>NC_000020.11:10066335-20066335 GCF_000001405.40 Homo sapiens
TGATGCCAGACAAGTCTTTTCAAGGATGAAAAGTGATTACTTCAGTACTCTACCTACCATCTAATTAAAATACTTTCAAAATTACTGATTTTCTTAATAATATAAGAAAATGTATGTGAACATGGCCTATGATCACCTGAGCGGTCTGAGCATACTTACTCCTCCCCCAGATCAGGCCTTTAAACACTCTGCTGTAGACAGTCTGTTATTTTATTTTATGTACATGCTCCCACCTTCCATTAAGTTTTTGCATAAACTGTATCCTCCTTGTCCAGGAATTCATTCTCCCTCCTCTTCCCCAATACCTCATCTGCTTAATTTTCCATTCCTTTTTCATCTCAGAGAAATCATCTCTTTGTTAGGGCAGACTTCCTCACCTTCCTCACGAAGTTAAATTCTCTTCCTATATACATTCATAGATCACAATGCACCTTCCTTCACGGCACTTACCGCAGTTGCAACTATATCTTCACCTGTGCAATTATTTGAATAATATTTAATTATTTGACACCATAACTGTCATGACTGAACATTCCAAAATATACCACATATTTTCTGGCCACATTGATGGGATTATAACATAATATAAACTTGAATTATTTTAAAATTTGTGCACAACTGAAAATCACGTATGTACTTTCTCAGTGCCTCTTTATGTGGAGAGTTTATCTTATACTAATTCATCCCTGACTATTGTACTCCTGAGTTCCTGCCTCTGTTCTTTAGAATGGTTTCTATTTTTTTTCTGCTGGACTGTATTAGCCTTTCCTTTTGCCACTGGGAACATAGCTGTTTGTAGCTATCCCAGGTGTATAAGTAACCTAAATGGCTGCTTATAATTTCTGCCCACTAGGAGAGGGACTCCTTTACTCCATTAGTCTCCTGTTTGAATCTTAACTCTGCCCCAGGCTTCAGGATACATAAACACTGCCAATCATTCTTAAGAAGTGAAGGGATTGCAAATAAGCAAAGAAAAAGTAATTTTAAACATTCTTTCCAAATGACCTTGCAAGAGTTTTTTCCATTTTTAGAGGGAATAGTGGGAGTCAGAATTGGCAGAATAAAAGCAGCGTATTCCTAGACCATATATCAGCAGATAAATGTGTTCTGCAGCATTAAAATTACCCTTGTGGTGCTCATTCCTGGATGTACCATGTGTTCTGTGATGTAAATCAGTACATAGCCTTATATTTTCCTCTGTGTCATGGACCCACAGAATTGCAGTAGCATGAACTGGTTGGCAACAAAATTCTTTCCAGTGCTTCATAAAGCCTTTGGCTTTTCTTCATTTGATATGTGTGAGTAGGAATGCACAAAAAACAAGAACAGATGATATTATTTAAACCGTTTGGTAAGAAATGTCTGACAGGAAAAAAGAAAACATATGTATCGATTCAAGTGCAGTAATTCGCTTGGCGGTTTTCTATATTATCCTTTCTACTTGTAAAAATCATCTCCAATGCAGCAAAATGTTCTTAAATCCTTTATACTTCATTCTAAAAATCAATAGTCCAAAGATGTTAACTCTTTTTGGGCTTTTGGAAAACAAAACAAAAACCAGAAAAGAGAGGATAAATGTTTTCATTTTTATCTAAATTTTTCTGGTTGTTTCTGGTTTTTCCGTCTCCACTTCATTATTACTAACATGGAATTATTGATAAAGCTTAAAAGAAGAGAAACACAAATTCAGACTTTAGGAACTCACTTGAAATCCTTACTTAAAGACTAAAAGTCATTCATTTATTCATTTCATTCAATAAATACTAAGGATCTACTATTTTCCAGTTGGCCTCTTTGGCACTGGTGTATAATGCTACACGCAGCACTCACTGCTCCCTTGGTTCCTGCCACCATAATAGGGAGATAGCAATTAAATAAACACAGCTATATTATTATAAATTGGGATGCATGTTACCATGGAAAAGTACTGGGTGGAGTTTTAGTTTGAGAGTCAGGGAGTGCCTCTCTGAAGAAATGTCTACTATGAGACCTAAAAAATGAGTAGAAGTTGTCAGATTAAGGGGAGGAAAGGTGTTTTAGCCTGTTTTCTGCTACTATAACAGAATACCACAAACTGTGTAATTTATAAACAATAGACATTTATTTGGTTCATAGTTCTGGAGACTGGGAAGTCCAAGGTCAAGGGGCTGCATCTGGTGAGAGCCTTCTTGTTGCACCATAACATGGTGGAAGGGCAAACAAGCAAGTGAGACAGAGAGAAAAAGTAGGCCAAACTCCCAAGATAACTAGCCTACTGCCAAGATAACAGCATTAACCCATTCATAAGGACAGAGCCCTCATGACTAACCTCTTAAAAGCCCCACTGCCTGATAGAACTATATTGACAGTTAAATTTCAATATGAACTATGGAGAACAGTTTGGAGGTTCCTCAAGAAACTAAAAAAATAGCTACCATATGATCTAGCAAGCCCACTGCTGGGTATATACCCAAAGTAAAGGAAATCAATATATTGAAGGGATATCTGCACTTCCATGTTTGTTGCAGCTCTGTTCACAATAGCCAAGATTCAGAAGCAACCTAAGTGTCCATCAAGAGATGAATGGATAAAGAAAATGTGGTACTTATACACAATGGAGTACTATTCAGCCATAAAAAAGAATGAGACCCTGTCATTTGCAGCAACATGGGTGGAACTGGAGGTCATTATATTAAGAGAAATAAGCCAGGCAAGAAAAGACAAACATTGCATGTTGTCACCTATTTGTACGATCTAAAAATCAAAACAATGGAACCCAAGGAGATAGAGAGTAGAAGGATGGTTACCAGAGGCTGGGAAGGGTAGTGGGGAAATGGGAGACAGGGTAGAAAAGGTTAATGAGTACGAACAATAATTAGAATGAATGAATAAGGCCTGGTATTTGATAGCACAATAGGGTGACTGTAGTCAATAGTAATTTAATTGTAAATTTAAAAATAACTGTAATTGGATTGTTTATACCAGAAAAGACAGACGCTTGGGGTGATGGATAGCCCATTTTCCATGATGTGATTACACATTGCATACCTGTATCTAAACATCTCATGTACCCCATGATGCAACTACCATATATCCACAAAAATTAAATATAAAACATTATATAAAAATTTCCACATAATTTTCAAAAGGGATACTCTATAGTGGCGTGGGGAGGCAATCTACACATGAGGGGGAAATACCTGCCACAACTCTGAGGCCAGAAAGAGCCTGGCTTGGTGAAGAGCAGGAAGAAAACCAGAAAAGCTTGCACAAAGATGGTGGTAGCAAGGGGAAGCCAGCTTAGGACAAGGTTGACGAAGAGGACGGGGCCAGATATCGAGGAACTCGCAGGGAAGAGTAAGGAGTGTGGATTTCTTTCCAAGTTCAATTGGTTTTCACATTGCTGATAGCATCTCCCAAGTGATTACAAGTCACATTGCTCTGTATCATCCATAAATTATCCTCAAGAACTCCTAGGGCCATAACAATTTTATGAAGGACTCAGCTCTGATAATAGAAAGTCAATATTTTTAGTCTCTAGCTTTTCAAGTAGGCAGCTGGAAGTATAGCCAAAGGATTTCAGATTTCACAAATGTGAGATCAAGAGACATCTGCTAGTCTCTGTTCAATCTCTAATTTTCCTGTGTCTTTCTAAGTGACACAGAATTAGTAGGCTTAGAATTTGCTGTAAAAACTTGTTAAATCCATGCTTTGTTCTTTAACAGCATCTTAGCTCTTCTGCTTACTAGCTTTGTGACTTGGCAAGTTGTTTGACCTCTCAGATTCTGTTTTCTCATGTATAAAATAGGGACACACTACAGTAGTGATTAGCACTATTCACCAAATATTTCCTGCTCTCTCCACTTTGGACACACGGTAGGATTATACTCTCTGCCCCATTCCCTTGTAGTTAGGTGGTGTCAGGTGACTAGTTCTGACGAATGAGCTATGCATGGAAGTGAGGTTTGCCATTTCCAGGCTGGAGCTTTTGATTGCAAGTGTGAGGCTCTCTGAGCAATCCTCCCCTCTGCTGCCGGCCGCTCTGTCAGCCTAGGAAATATGGAGTAGGATGCAGAGTTGCCCATCAATGGACATGGTGGGTTATAAGCAACTGGGACTTTAGGTTATTGACCAGCCTCACTAACAGACTTACTTCATAGGTTTGTGATTAGAACTTGTATTCATCCATTCTTACACTGCTATTAAAAATACCTGAGACTGGGTAATTTATAAACAAAAGAGGTTTAATTGGCTCACAGTTCTGCAGGCTATACAGGAAGCATAGCAACTTCTGGCTCAGGGGAGACTTCAGAAAGCTTCCAATTATGGCAGAAGGCAAAGGGGCAGCGAGGCACTTCACGGCCAGAGTAGGAAGAAGAGAGAGGGTGGGGAGGTGCCACACACTTTTAAACAACCAGCTCTCATGAGAATTCACTCACTATACAGTATCAAGCAGCGGACGATGCTAAACCATTCACGATAACTTTGTCCCCATGATCCACTCACCTCCCACCAGGCCCCTTCTCCAACACTGGGGACATGGTGATTTGGGTGGGGACATGCATGATTTGACATGAGATTTGGGTGGGGACACAGATCCATACCATATCAGAACTTAATGGGATAATAGACACTAGGCAATTGTTATACTATCTGGCACACTATGAAGTACTAAATATAGGTTTCTATATTTCAAGTAAGCATTACCGGATTTCTCTGCCCAAGCATTTGCGTAGCTTTCAGGATTTAATTTTCAAGCCCAGAATTGAATGATTCAAGTTACCGTTAGAAATATTTACCCTGACATTTAATTATACATGCAAATTATTGGCCATCGTTTGTAAATCATATTTTTGGTTTATGATAATAGGTGATCTGCAAGAACCTCCAAGAACTGAACATTACTGTGCTCACAAAAGTAAACTCATAATGGCTGAAAACATATCTAATCTCCTTTTCAATAAATAATGATATGCAACTGATAGCTCTTGCCAAATGTAATTGAGATAAATCTTAACTGTTTGAAAATATTAAAGAAGTATTTACTTTTAATTCATTACAGATGCAAAATGTTTGGGTTTAAAGGAGAAAAATCAAAAGAAAACATTCTAAAATAATATCAATTTCTTTCTCTCCTTGCCATTTTTACAAACATACTCTACCTATAAACATGCACCTGTATAAATTATGACTAAATCTATTTTTACTGCTTCACAGTAAATCTTCTGCTGAATATATGGGGCCTTAATCTCCGGTGTATTATGTACTAAAGGCTAATAGATTTGGCAGCAAAAATAGACAGTTATATTCCATTAAAAACCAACTCCATAATTCATGACTGGACTCGGGGTCTGCTTCCAGCCCAATGGCACACCTGGCTCCCAAAGCTCTAAAACAAAATTTCCAGTTTTATAATTGCCAGAGTCATAGTTTTCTCCATTTAAAAAAACACATCAATATTTATGTTGTTTTCCATGTGCTCTCAAAATGACAGCTTAAATGATTTGACAATAAGTAAGGTTTGATTAAATTCAGTAGTCCCTTGACAGGGGTGGTTTATTTGATTATTCAAATTATTAATCATCATGCCATCTATTTAATTTTTTAATACTTAAATGAATTTTTTCTTGTAAAAGAAAATCTTGTAAACAAAATCATATCAGAGAAAGCCCTGCAAATTACAAGGAAGAAATAATCACTCATAATTCCAACCCTAGAAAAATATCACTGTTGACCACTTGAGGACTTTACCCTAGTCCTTTTATTCTGCAAACATTTGCCATAGAGGTGCAATAGAACACAAAATAATATATGCTGCTTTTAAATATTTGTGTATAATTATAAATGCAATCTATATAGTTCCTTATAAGGAAATATGAAAATTATTAAGTCAAAAACATAACCCAGGGAAAAAACCATCAGAGATAGTCATTATTCATATTTTAGTGCTTCCCCTAAAAGCAGCCATTACTTAGCTACTTTAGCATTCACTCAAAAGGTGTATTCTGCAGAATGGTCCTTAGCAGTGCAATTGTATTTTCCAGAGTGCCAAACATTTATTCACTTTTGAGTTCGAGCACCCACACACGTCATGCATTTGCAATATGAAGCAACAACAACGTGTTACACCCTGGTATTATCAATGAAATTAAACCTAGCCTGTCCTCTCCAAGAGCTCCAGGTCTGAGGAGGATGTAGACTAGGAAACAATTATAATACAGAGTGATTAATGCTAGGATTTGAGATATGCTCAGGATGCCATGGCACTGCGATGGAACACAAACCTCGTCTGATGGAGGAGAAGGTTTCAGGAAAACCAAAAGCTTCCTGGGGGCTTTGCAGTAAGGCTAGTTCTCAATGGATGCAGCCAAAGACAGAGGAATAGAGTCACAAGTGAGCATATGCAATCTAGGATCAAAGGCAATTCCATATGGTTGGAGGATAGAAAGATAGTGACAGGAGATGAGGTGGGAGAAGTTGGCCTGCAGGATTTGTATTCCATAATAAGAAGCCTGAATTTTATGCAAAATACAACAAAGCAGTTAAGCAGCAGAGTGACATATTCAGGTATGCATTTAAGAAAGAGCACTCTGGCTGCAGGAGGGGACAGATAAGACATGTGGCAAGGCTGAAGCTAAAGAGAACAGTAAACAATGGTCATCATCCAGATTAGAAATGGAGAGAGCCTAAATGAAGGCAGCAGTAATATAATGAATATTAAGAAAGTCAAGGAGGCTTAGACTATTCCTATCTACATGCAGCTTGGGGATTAACCTCAGATGTTGATCATGCTTGCCAAATTATTAATAAGACAATATCTCAAGACCTGCCTTGATAATCTCCTTTCAGTCTTATGATATGAGGTTAAAAACAAGGCAAATAATATATCTTGGATTCTATCCTAAAGGGATCAATGTAAGAAACCTGGCTAAAATTCTGACACCATAATTGAAATCCAGGAACAGAGGCCTATGCTACATCACATACGGAGAGCAGATGGCTCAGAGTGATCATCTCAAGAACTTCTCGTTGGGCAACGTGACTTTTGCAAAAGAACTAGGAAAGTGTTCCTTTGGGCCATGATGATTTATCAAGGCTAGAAGTTGAAATAATAAATCTATTCTGAACAATATACTTACTAAATCGTAGTCATTTATAGCCCTCTAATGAGACAGGTACTCAAATGGGTACACATTTGCTAGGTAAACAAATGTATTGCATGGGGAATTAGGGATTTACAGCTAGCAGGGGACATTGAGGCTCAATATTGATGGTTTGCTTTTTCCATTTCGGTTGCTAATGTGATTTATTTGCAGTTTTCTTAATCAAGGTGACTGACACAGAAACTATCTAAATTTTTTAGCACAGCAGTTAAAACAGTCCACAATACATAATTTGGCTCCTAAATAATTTCTCCCCCAACAATTAGAACTTTCCGAAACTGCTTTAAATCGCCTTATGAGGGTATCATGAGTTTGTGGTCATTGGAAGTATTAAAAGAAAAAAGCCTGGAATATCAGTAATGAAATGCATCAAGCAGGAATCATACATACATTAAAATACTGGTTTATAGTTTTGAGGGCGTTTTCTTTTTTTTCTGTTGCAGCTATGCGAAGATATGCTTATGTATTAATTGTTTTTCTTGCTAACACTGTATAAGCAAATTCAACTAAATTGATATAAGATTTTGCATACAAGATTAGAAAACCTGATACCTAGAATTATTTTAACACACATTTTTCAAGTTTGCTTATGACTTCACTAGGTTAGAACTTCTTAAAAAGCAATGCTTTAAACATTTTATTCATTCAACCTTTATTGAAAGCCAACATTGTGTTGCTGGATATGCAAAAATAAATCATGTATAGTGAGCTATTAAAAATTTTTATCAACTTACAAACTGAGTACAGGTACCTACTCTCACTGTAAAGCCTTAGCAAAAAAAACTGATTAAAATAATGCATAATAGTACATAAAAAATTAAAATCTTCCATTAGAGGAACAAAAATTATGAAGAATTTCTAGGAGATAGAAAATAATTATGTACAGAGAAGATAATTCAAAATACATGTTGGAGAAAATTACTCTTTCAAAAGTCAGACATGTCCAGAGAAACTGGAAGGGAGGAAGATAGAACTGATGGGAAACATGGCAGAGGGGGACACCCCCATCATGTGATGGCAAGAAATGCTGTTTCCACCTGAATGAATTCCCAAAATCTAAAAAACAGGAAAGTGAGATCTGAGCTGTATTCATAATTCTTTAACGTTTTCAGTATTCTCTCCAGCACTGCTTACTGAACTTGTTCAGGAGTGAAGCCACGTGTCCCCTGGGAGTGTGCTGCACTGGCAAGAAGAAATGGATGACTCACAATTTTGACAGTGACTCTATAGAAAGAAAAAAAATCTGTGACTCAGGGCCTTGGGGAGAAGTCATCTCTTCAAAAACTCATCTGATTTTTTTTCATGCCATGTAATTACTCAGAGAACATTAAGAGTCTAAAAAATTTCAACACTGGTGTCTAAGAGATATGGAATTACCTTTTGCCTGAGATGCTGGAAGCAGTGGGGGCAAGTTTGTAACTAGAAAGATTTGAGCAAGTCCAGGCTCAGGTATCCAAATTGCCCTCTTTGCTGTTGGCATAGGGGATTGAGATTTTCTGGGTCTTAAATAAGGTTTTATTTTTATCTAAGGAACTATAGTTTCTATGCAAATCCGAGGGGGCTTAGAGAAACCTAGCGTGGAAAAAAGAAACTGTCAAAGCAGTGTTTGGGGAAATGAGATGGGGAAATTTCACGAATAGTGGGCATAGAGAAACTGACTAGACAAGAGAACGTGAACATTATAATGATATCAAATGGAAAATTTGAAAGTTTATTTTGAAGGAGATGGCTAAAAACAATTTTATTCTGAATGAGAATGTGATTGCCAAGAATCAGTCTTCAAGCAATCCAGGATTTAAATTTCCTTGTTCTAGGCTCAGAATTTAAATAGGCAAAATGCAGGAGTTCGAGGCTGTATGAGCTATGATCATGCCTCTGCACTCCAGCATGGGTACAACAGCGAGACTGTATCTAAAAGAATAAAAATAAATAAAATAAAAAATAAATGGGCAACAGGAAAGACTTTAAGACCACTCTCCCCTCGCTGTTCACATGGCTGGGTTCTTCCCATTATCCAGGTTTCAATTTTAAGATCACATCCTTACGTATAGTTTTCACTGAATACTTAGCAATTTGATCAGCAATTTGATCTTATATAACACATTGAAATGCAACACGTGTGTTTCAAAGTCAAGTGATTAGAAGACTGTGGGCCCTAACTGCTGTTTATGGAAGTATGCATCCAAAGCAGATGCTGTCAGAGGTCCCATGTACACCCAATTCCATTAACAGTCTCTTCTGATTCTTTTTCTCACTGACAGCCTCTCAGCAAGTACTGGTGCTCTCCCTGAGGATTTTCTCTGGCTGCAGGAGCGTGTTTCAGCGTGCAGGGCAGACTGGAAGAATCTGTGAGTTGATGCCTCAGGAAGCAGCCCTCAACAGACATCAGACAGGAAATGCTGGATAAATATCCCAACTTCTCACCTCTTGGGTAGGACAACATTGAGGAATGTCCTGCAAAGTCTCCCTAGAGTCCCAAAGGGCCTGAGCCCCAGTTACCCACAGCAGCAATTCTGCACATTAGCACACTCCTTTAGTAATTTTCCTCCTTTCCTGTCTTATTTCCTCACTCCTGTCCATTGTTTCCTGGGATCACTCCCGAAGCAAATCACTTGCACTCACATCCACATCTCTACTTCTGGGGAGTCCCAAACTCACAAGACATTTTTCTACAAAGGAAAATCAAATATAAAAGAAAGTAGAGTAAGAAGAGTTGGGACCAACAATGACTGATGATTAAGCAGCAAGAATAGCGGCAATTAAAAACTGTAGATAACACTATGGATGCACTGATGACACAGTGTCTTGGCCAAGCCCTGTGGGAATTCATACTGTTTGCCTGTGTGCAGCAGCGGTGCAAGTTTTGCAGTGTTGTGAAATATTTAGTGGACGCTGACTTTCACAGAATCCTGAATTACTGTTCTCAATAAGCTCCAGTATTGTGCTATTTCAAATGTAGAAATACCAAAGTTTACTAATTGTGAGCTCTTAATATAGTAACTTACTAGCAGGTTATATAATGAAATGATATCATATGGCATATCATTTCCCATAATAAAGAAAAAGCTCTCAGTGTTCTACCAGTTTGGGCCCTTAAGACTCCTGATAGGCAGGTAGATGCTGGACCACACTCTCTTCCTGCACTAAATAGAGGTTGCAGACACTGGGTAAAACCCCAAGAACCACAAGCAGATGCCCACTGCTTTCCTGGCAGCCTGACCCTTGCACCAAAAATACTTTAAACAATAAGTTCCCAGTTCTTAAAAGAGCAAACATACCTTTAAAGGAAAAAGAAAAAATACACAAAAGTCTTACCGACCTTGGGTTTAATATTTACTCTTCTCTTTCTTAGGTCAAAGCTACGGAGTATAAACTGGGCTCCTGCCAGGTTCTTACCATATTCCTTCAATAGTTGTTTTTCAGGAAGCTCTGTTTTCTGGAAGAGATAAGAAAATAGTACCTGGGAGGAAATGAGCCATGCTTGTGTTGCTGAGTGATTCTAACATGTTTGGTGGGGGAGAGGCACATAGATGTTAAATCATTCACCCTTTGCAGAGAACATCCTTTGGGTAGAGTGTTTCTTATCCTCCTCCACCCAGAAGCCTTGTTTCTAGTTTCCTGTGCTTGCAAGCTTGTCTCTCCCAACTAGGCTGTAAATGAATTGAGGGTAAGGATCTTGTCTAATTTACCTCTACATCCCCAGGACAATAAGCAAGGGTGTAAATGCCTAGTTCCCTTGCCCAGGTAAAGAGAAAAGCGCACCTGAGGCAAGATTCCACTGCAGCGCCCCCTGCAGGCTCCACAGACGTGGTCTGAATTCACCGCCAGCTTCACTTCCTTCCATTCCCTGTCCTACTTCCCCCATTCCTTTACTGTCTCTGTGGAGCCTTCCTTAGTAAACCACTTGCACACAATTCTCAAGGTTTGCTTATGAAGATCAACAGCTATGACATCAACCCATAGGACAAAAAAACAGAGCAATAGAAAAATTAGTAGGCAATAGAAAAATTAATGACTGCCATGTCATCTTAGAGAAGGATCCTCGATTTCCACTCAAATTAGCTTGAGTGGAAAGTTTACAGAGGACTCTACATTGCTAGAAGTACTGGACGGGCTTGGGGGGATTCGCAAGTCACCTTTACTTGCTAGGGCCACATGGTGTCTCTCCTCTGTTTCTCTTAGCACTTGTACTCGTCTTTTTTTGCTGTAGTCCCATATTGCCTATGATGTTTTACTCTAATGTAATGTGTTTGCACATGACTGTGGCTTCCTAAGGCAAAGAAGCTCTTGCCCTGGCTCTATAGAGAACCAGCTTATCCAGTCCCTTAATTCTGTAGGTCCAAATGCCAGACAAAAACAAAATAAAATAAAAAAACAGACTCTGATGAGCCCATCCAAGGTCAAGTCCCTGCCCCATCCAAATCAGATTCAACAGTGGAAACAGAGTCATCTGCCATGACACAACCACTTCTTTGACGGTACTGTGGGCATGAGTGGACTTTTTCAGGAGGAATTATGCACTCAGGGTAATGACTGACATCTGTAGGGCAATAACAAGCCAACACTGCTTGTTAGATTCCCAGTCCTCTTGAACATGTTCCATCAACTCCATTCTCATGGGCTTGCTCACTGTCTACCAACATACTGGGCTAAATTTGCCTCCAGGCTTCCTCTCATTGTCCCTCAAATTATATAGGCGTTGGCTCTTTTCTGAAAACAATATCCTTCATTTCCTACTTTCCCCATGAAGCCTTTCCCAGAATTCCAATTGTCCCCTAATGCCTAAATCAACATTTTATTTTGTCCATTTACCCACTGGTGCATGGTAGCACCAGGGTTGTCTTCCTTACTTAGAGAATAAGTTCCTCCAAATCAGGGAGGGACCATGCCTCCTATTTCTTCTGTTTCACTTATATCATTTGGCACGATTCTGAGCACGTAGCCAGCAAAACATAGCTGCTTCTCCCTAATGTACTGAATGAAGTAGATAAAGCTTTTCTACAGCACCTATTTCAGTGCCTTAATCATAGGCTGGATAAGAAACTTTTTGTACTACTGCCCCTTGGGCCTCACCACTACAGCATGAGCTTATTCCACTTCCAACTGCCAGGATCTGTATCTCTTTGCCAGAGGGCTTTTTCCCAAGCAGCAGGAAGCCTTTCTGGCCTTGGGCATAGTAGACTGGATAGTCTGGAATATTAATTGCTGGCAGCACTCAATTCAGGAGCTGGTGGAAGTAACCCAGCTCCCTCACCCCTCCATGGGTGTCAAGACTTGGTTCCTTCCAGTGGGTTCATGGTCTCGCTGACTTCAAGAATGGAGCTGCGGACCTTCGCAGTGAGTGTTACAGCTCTTAAAGATGACACGGACCCAAAGAGTGAGCAGTAGCAAGGTTTATTGTGAAGAGCGAAAGGACAAAGCTTCCACACAGCGTGGAAGGGGACCCAAGCAGGTTGCCACTGCTGGGTGGGGTGGCCAGCTTTTATTCCCTTATTTGCCCCTCCTGTGTTCCATTTCTGTCCTATCAGAGTGCCCTTTCTTCAATCCTCCCCATGATTGGCTACTTTTAGAATCCTGCTGATTGGTGCATTTTTACAGAGTGCAGATTGGTGCATTTTATAATCCCTTTGCTAGCTACAGAGCACTGACTGGTGCATTTTACAATCCTAGCTACAGAGTGCTGATTGGTGCATTTTACAATCCTCTTGTAAGACAGAAAAGTTCTCCAAGTTCCCACTTGACCCGGGAAGTCCAGCTGGCTTCACTTCTCAGTAGGTTAACTCTGAGTGTTCTACACTGTTTCCCAGAGTTCCCCAGTGGGCTTGAGCCCCAGCTGCCCACAGTGGTGACTTACTTGATAATGGCCTCCTGTGTCTGCCTTTCCTTCCTGTCTCACTTCTACACTTCCCTGTTAGTGTTTCCTGGGATCACCTCCCAAGTAAACCACTTACACTTGAATTCTTGTCTCCGAGTCTGCTTTTAAGGAAACCTAAACTAAGACAATGTTCAATAAATGCCAATGGAAAGGTTGAAAAGGTAATTTTCACCTTCCCCCTCACAGGTAGAGAAGCTAGGCCATTGACAGGGTTGGATTTCTCAAGACTGGCAGGATAGAGGACTCCACTCCTATGGAAGCACCTTTCAAGAAGAGACGGTATGGGAATCAGTTTAAAACACAAAGCACTGCATCCTTGGGGGCATCTGTTAAGTTCATTGCACCCAACCAGACCTCCTAGAGAGGGCAGGTGCTGACAACATAACTGCCAACAATTTACTGGTCCAATTTGTGATAGGCAATATATAACTCGGCAGCCCAGAAGCCACATCCCCATTTGTCTTGGTTTTCATTAATTCAAAAAAGAGGAAGAAACCAATAATGATAATAATAATAACAATAACAACAACTATTAGACTTTCTGCTAACCTGGGTGAGCAGCATTTGACTTGAGCTATGAAATCAGAAAAATGTCCCTTTCTTGCATCTTAATTTTGCAACAAATTCAACCTGTTAATATAGTCCTTCAGGAATTAAACAGACAAAACCATACAAATGCTTGGAGGATGATGGGAAAAACCAGTTACTTCTGACTAACTGGAAGGGCAGCTTGATCATTTCTGATGGTTGATTGCATAATTTCAGTCCTTGAACATTTAGTGTGCCATCCCCTTGGTTGCTGGAGGAATGCAATTGCTCTATGAAATGTGAAGAGACTTGACAAGAACTATTTTCATGGTTATGTGCCAAGTTCTTGCTTTAACTTGCTTGCTTAATCAAATGTCTACTCATGATATCTTTGGGAGTTTCTAAGTTTCATTAGCTCTTTCCTTAAAGAGAAATTAATCTACTTGGCAAGGAAGGTTTATTCATCATAGGTGAGCAAACATTAGCACTTTCTAATAATTAGTTCCAAGATCCAGTTTCTAGATACCTACCAAGTTCAGCCCTGGTTCACAAGAAATTGACCTATTTTCAGTGGAAGCACTGTAACCAGTGCAATAAACTCTATCTCATAGAACAGTGTTAATCTGTCATCACAGCCAAAATGATTTGTTATAGCAAAGCAACAATCAGAGTAAATGATGCCTGTCCCTTCATTAAGGAAATCTAGAAGAATGCTCTGTCATGAGTTTAATCTGAGATTTGCCTGGCTATCCTGATGAAAACCATCTAATGAATATGTAAATTTATCATTGTCTTCTATTGTAAAAATGCACAGCAAATTTTCTGCTTGGCTATGCATAATCAGAAGAGAAATCCTCACTGCTGTGAATTTGAACTTGAATAAAAATTGTCTTCTCAGGAAAAGAGCATGCTAGATGGAGGAGGGGTTAACAAGAGCCTTCAGTTTACAGATGTAGGATGTCTTCCTGCTGTTAATTATTGTGGTAGGCAGTGTAATGGCCTTCTCCCCAAAGACATCCACATTCTAATCCTTGGAAACTGAATATGTTATCTCACACAGCATGGGGCCCACTGGCACTGGACCCCTCCAGTTGGCAGGTCCACTGAGGCTTGGGTACATGGGTAGACATTCACCCTCATTTACCATTCTGCTGAAACTGTATCTCTAGGTTTCTGAATGGGAAGAAGGAGCCTACTGGAAGGAAGAGTCATGGCTCCTGGAAAGTGGGGGAAATGAAGCAAAATGGAGTTCTTTCCAGAGTTGCCAGATTATTTCAATAAAAATATCAGACATGTGTGAGTAAAAAACATGGACAAAATAGCAACAAAAATGCAATATAGAAAGATTTCTGGAAACAATCCATAACGTCTTATATTTTGCACTGAATACAATGACATTTTTTCATTTCTTTATTTTTCAGAAACTCAGGTTTTGTACACTTGAACTAGAAAAGCATCACATAGGTCAAGACAAGAAAAAAAAATTTTCAAACATCAGTTAATGACATGAAAAATAATAAAAACTATTTAGTTAGATTGTTTAGACTTTTATAAGGAAGACTAATATAAATTTACTGACACATTTCTTCAATGTGTTTCCAGAATAAAAGCTCAAACTCTCAATGCTTTCAGAATAAAAGACCACACATGATCTTCGGTGTGGTAAACACCCTCCAGAGTACTTCAAATCATGGGTTAGACAGAAACTACAGACCAGCAATATCCAATGGAAATATAGCATGAACCATGTTCAAAGAAGTTGAAGGAAACATATGAAATTATTTGTAAGAATCTATCTTATTTAACTTGATATAGCAAAAACATCATTTCAATGTGTAAACAATATAAAAATTAACTAAATATTTTGCTTTTTCAAATCTATTCTTGAAATCCGATGTGTAATGTACTTAAACCATATCTCAATTTAGATAGTAAAATTTATCAGAAATAATTAATCTGTAGTTACATTTCATAAAATTTATCATTGGCAAGTAAGATTCACATACTCAAGTTGTTCTAAGCATACATTAAAAAGTTTTCAATAACTGAATCAGTTTTTTATTTTAATTTTTAATTACAATTAAATAAAATTAGAAATTCAGTTCTTTAATCACAGTAGGCAGCCGGGCACGGTGGCTCACACCTGTGATCCCAGCACTTTGGGAGGTCGAGATGGGTGGATCACGAGGTCAGGAGGTTGAGACCATCCTGGCCAACATGGTGAAACCTTGTCGCTGGTAAAATACACACACAAAAAAATTAGTCTGGCGTGGTGGAGCGCAACAGTCGTCCCATCTAGTCAGGAGGCTGAGACAGGGGAATCGCTTGAACCCAGGAGGTAGAGGTTGCAGTGAGCCAAGATCGTGCCACTGCACTCCAGCCTAGTGACAGAGTGAGACTCTGTCTCAAAAAAAAAAAAAAAAAAAATCGCAGTAGCCACCTTTTATATGCCTAGTTGACACCTGTAGCTTATGGCTACCATATTGAACATCACAACACTAGCTCATACACAATGATTATAAGAATGTGTGAGATTTGTTTCACTTTCATAAATTTTTTGTGCTAATTTTCTATGTGACCCATTTTTTTCTCCATGTTTAATCTGAAGCCTTTAAATGAGAGGCCCTTGTGTTCTTGTCAGTGGTGTCAATAAGGAAGTGAAGAAGGTAAGAAGGAAAGGGGAGAAGTTTCTATGAAAGAATGGAGGATGTTGGCAGAAGCTTCAGAGAAAGGAAATCAGCCTAACTCTCCAAGATCTGTTGGGCAGAAAGAACAGAGGTTCCCAGGGCAGTAGGATGGGCCTGGAAATTGTTCTAGCACACTTTCAGACTGGGCTCTTGTTTACAAATGACAGAAACTTGATTCAAACTGGCTTTGACAATGAAAGTACTCTATCAATTCAAATAAATAAAACATCTACATGTTCTGTAGTGAGAAGCTCAGGCATGGCTAAATCCAGAGGATCAAATAATGTCATCACAAATTTATTTTTCTTAATCTCTCAGCATCAATGTCCCTGTGTTGCTTTAAATCCAATCAGGGTTTCACCATAGTAAAAAGATGGCCACCAGCTACCCCAACCTATGTCCTATTCTTAACAACTCTACCAAAAAGAGTACTTCTTTCTGAGAAGCCCCAGCCAATGTCCTGGGCTGATACTCCCTGGTCTGGGCATAGATCTTATGCTCATTCCTCAACTAATTCCCAGGCCTGGTGAATTTCCCAGCTTTGGAGATGGAGGGTTGGATCTGACCACTCAACCCCCATGAATTAGAAAAGGGAGAGTGATTTGTTCTTCCAAGGGAAAATCAGGCTGCTATAGCTAGGAGAAGAGGGAATGGATGCTGGGCAGGAAAAATTTCTTGTGTGTTAAA
The DNA here is from genome assembly GCF_000001405.40 of Homo sapiens. Taxonomy (NCBI): domain Eukaryota; kingdom Metazoa; phylum Chordata; class Mammalia; order Primates; family Hominidae; genus Homo; species Homo sapiens. The sequence goes on from NC_000020.11 coordinate 10,083,255, forward strand.
TCAAGACTTTTGACAATGAGGAGGCTAGTCAGTTCCCCCAAAATAATTTATTCAGACTTTAGGTGTTTCATGAAGAAAATTGTATCATCTGCCAAGCACCTAATCTCCTTTCCCCATTAGTCAGTCACATGGGAATTCATACCTTTTTAAAGCTACCTAACCTTGAAAAAGTTGTTTAATCTCACCATGATTCAGATTTTCCATCTATAAAATGGAAATGATAATAGGGCCTACCTCATACATTTATAATAAAGATTACATTTAATCTTATATAATAAGATAATATAATAAAGATTATATTTAATCTTTTATAAATGTATGAGGTAGGTCCTATTATCATTCCTATTTTATTTGTTCTTATTTGTGAAGTGCTTGCAATAAAGTCTGGCAGATGACAAGGGTTTAAAAAAACCCCACTAAATAAATACACAAAAGTGTGATATTATACATTTTTCTCAGAAAAGAAGATTCATTGACTTCTCAAATGAATTCATCTAGGCTTCTTCCCATCAAGGTGGCCTCCAGAGAGATGAGAAACTACTGGAAATGTTTACTAAATAAATGAGTCTCATTTTCAAAGGAAAGGTCATAGACACTTTTTAAGACACACAGATGTCCTTTAATGCAGCTCATCTGTATTGTAATTTCTGTGAGCTTGCATTAGAATGTAATTAAATTAACACCAATGCAGTCCTCCTGTCAAGGAAGCTCTGCCTAATGTAATGGCGTCAAGGAACAATCTGAGCATTACACATATCATGAGGAATTGTTTCCATCCCCATTCTATTCTTATTGTCACAATATTTGGTTTAATTAAGTTATATAGGATAGTAATTATAGCAAATGTAGTTTGGCTGGGAAAATACTCCTTGTGATATGAAGGTCGCATCTCCAGACACCACTGCTGGGGAAGGCAGAATTCAGTCCCTACTTAGGACATAAAAACTCTCAGACACATAAGAAGACTGAGAATAGGAATTGCCTGCTCCTGAAAATGCCAAATTGATATATGGTGAGAAGCCGAGTCTTAGAGTCCCTTTATTGTTGGATACATTCAATAAATAAAAGGAAAGAGCCACCTATAAAAGGTAATTCAAGGGACCATATGCTCTACCTTTCCAAAAAGATAAGTCTAAAATTACAGCCCTAGGGTCAGTTCTCTGATTTGGCATTGCCTCAAGTAGGCCCTTGCCTGTTACAGGGACATTTGCTACCTGGAGGGAAACACATTAACATTCTAGCACCACCACCACTGTCATGTAGGTAATGTACTAGATTACTCAGCCGGGTGTGGGAATGTTCCCATTCCTCACTCTTCCCCATACCCATGTCCTTGCCCAAGAACTCTCCAGTTCCTTCCTCTAGAAAGTGTGCTTTGTCCCATGTGGCTTGCTTTGGCCAGTGACGTATGGGAAAGAGTGAGGATGTACTGTTCTGACCCTACACCCAAAGAAGTGCTATCCCTTTCTGCTCACTCCTCTTGGTTTCTGCCACACCATTCTTCTATTCTAGAAGAATGTGAGACATATGGAACAGAGGCACCCTGGCCAATCAGCAACTCTGTGAGTGTGATCATCAATGCTTATCATTAAACGCCACTGAGATTTGGGGTGGTTTGTTGCGCAGTATGGCTGAGGTAACAGTTGACTAATACACTGGTTATTCAGCTAAGACAGAGAGACGCTCTGAGTGTCTTAACCATAGCAAGTAAAGTTTCCTGTAAGACAAGGCAGAATTTGTAGCCTTCATTGTAGCCATTCCCTGGCCCTTTTTCCTTGCTTTGTATAATTATAGAATCTAAGGAGTGAAATACTCAAGTTCCAGAATTTTTTACAGCTAGGGTGGCCATATGATGCATTTGTAGCCAGTGATACATGTTTTTTTTTTTTTTTTTTTTTTTGCAGGGGACTCCTGGAAATACTTTTGCCGTCATGAAAAAAGCAGACTTTTGTTACTGCTCTTCTCCCTTCTTCCTGCCTTGAAGGCAGTCATGATTCCTGAAACTAATGCAGCCAAGGTGCAGCCAGGAGGGGAGCAGTGTGAGGTTGAAAAATCAACAGCTTAAGGAGGGCAGAGTAGGAAGATGGAAAAGGCATGAGTCTTTGATGATGTTGCTGAGTTAGCTAAACCCCAGTAACAAATGCCTCAGTCTTCTTTTTCTTAGAGCTAAAATTAGTGTCCATTTTGTTTAAGCCCCTATTAGATGGGTGATATCTAATGTGATATCTAAAATTAAATGAATTTCTAACTGATATGCCTAATTTACAGTTTGGCTTGGAACTGGCTTAGTCTGTTTGCATCAGAAAGATGGCATAGTTTCCCCCATTGGGTATTAGAGAAACTAAAATAGAAAGAAACTGAAAGTTTTATGGCCTACTGAGGTCAGAAGGAGGGGAGAGCAGGGAAGCAGCAGTCTCAACCTTTAACAGCAAATCGAAGTCCCCTAGGAATTGAGATGGGGAAGACTTGGAACACCTCTCTTCTCTGTGTCTTGTCCTGTTTACCTATTAAAACCCAACCCATCCATTCCTAGCCTCTTCCATGAAGCTTTCTCAAAATCCAGCCAGAGTGAACCACAGCTTTCTCTGAATATCTAGAGTTGTTTATTGGTTTTGATCTATGTGTGCCCCTCAATTGACACATCACACTTGTCCCTGCATGAGTCCAGCTGTGTAATGTGTCTTATCTTCCCTACAAAGATAACATCTTAATCTCTGCAGAATCTCCTGCAGAACCTAGTAAATACGCAGCATACATCAAGTCTTTAGTAACCAGTAATAACAATTAATTACATAAAATGAATATAAACTTGCTTTATAACAAGCCTATCATCACACCTCTGCTTATGGGTGTATCTGGAAACTTAATTAGGAGTTGGTAGCAAAAACAGTCAGCTATTTCTCTTCTATTGCAGAGGAAATAGATTAGGAGAGAAATGAGAGAGGACAACAGAGAGGAGAAACAAAGAACAGTTCAAAGTCACCTCCAAAGAGACCAGAGTCTCTGTATAATTTATTCCCTCTTGGGAGCATTCCTATCAGTAGTTCTGATGAAAAGAGAGTTAGCAATCTGGCACCGTTTTGCATATTTACACTGTTCCTTAAAATATATGTTGAATCATTTAGACTTTTTAGCTTCCACTTTAGTAAAAAAAAAAAAAAAAAAAAAAAAAGAGGGAAAGTCTAAGCTGGAGAGTGCTAGAACTCATAATTAAGAAGGAGGGGAGTCTTACACTGGTCCCCCAGAAGCAGACACTGAAACAAGGGTTTGAGTCCAGATGGTTTATTTGTGAGGTGACCCCAGGAACCATTGTAGGAAAATGTGGAAATGAGACAGTGAAGGAAAGGAAGCTAACACAGGTGCATTAATGAGTGGGTAATTGGAAATCAGTCCCCACGGAAAGCTCTATGTAGAACACAGCTCCAAATTGTTCCCCATGTGTGATGAGGAGCTGGGATATTTATCTACTAACTCCCATTTGCACTTGGGCCCATTGGGCACTCCTAGACTGCCCCACGCATAACTGATCATGCTCCTGCAGCCAAAGAAAGTCCTTAAGCAGAGAATCCAAGGTGCTTGCAGTAAGAAACCATTGGCATGTGCAGGAATACTGAGTATTGATGATATGTAAATAGGGCATCAATCGTGTCTGCTATATGGGGAAAAGTAAAGGGTAGCAGAGTAGGGGCTGGGGGATGAGAAAGCAAGGAATGAGGAGCACTCACTTGGGGAGGACTGCCAACTGTGTAGCCAGGTCTCAATGAACAAAAGTAGGCATTCTGTTGAAACTGCTGGGGAAGTCTATAATATAATACCTCTACCATTTATCTTAATTGTCTTTAGATATAGAATGCCTTCAAAATCATAAGGGCCAAAACTTATATTTATCAACCTTCCTGTCCCGTATTGAGGGAATAATAGAGTACATCCATATAGCAGAATATTCTGAATCTGTTTAAAATTATGATGCATAGTTTCAATAAAAAGAAAAGGCATTTATAATTTAAAGTTAAGTGGTTTTTTTAAAAGGCAAGATCTAAAATTGTATATCTGGTAGGATTTCCACACTGTAAAAAACATGTACTGAACCAATATTGGAAGAAAATGTTAACTTTTTAAAAGTTTTTGAGTGGTGGGATTGTAGTTACTTTCCTCTGCTTCCTTATAATTTTCTAAAGTTTACCTGCTTTCCACAAGGACATGTATTACTTATAACTATAAAGATTTTTTATGAAATCTCTAAATATAAATAAATGTGTATATATATATGTATATATATATATATATATATATATATATATAGCCACTCATTGCCACCAATGGTCCTGCAATAACTTGGCCCATCTGAGCCTTTGTTGTTAGATTCTGTTTAGGACTGTGCTCAAGGGCACTGGCTCCCAGGAGATTAACATCTTCAGCTTTGCTCTCATTTCCCAAGAAGTCGGTGTCACATTTCAGTTCAGCCAACGAACAGGTATTCACTAATTTAATAAATATTGATAGATTACCCAGTGTATGCCAGGCACTAAATAAAACCAAATATAGTTTCCAGCCCTCATGGAGGGAACTGAGTAATAAAAGCAAATGAATAAAACTGTCCATCTTTGAGTAGTCCTATGCAGGAGAGATGCCTGGTTGTATTAGAATCTGCAGTAGGAGATTTGGATCTAATGGGTTGGGCTGCCCTCAGGAAGTGAGGGTCAACTTAAGATCCCAAGGATGCATGGAAGTTAACCAGGCAAATGTTAATTGGGCTTCTAATGTGTGCAAGGGGTCACCATGCTGGAGTCTTGGGACACAAACTTCTGTCCTCAAGGATCTAGCCATCTGATTGCCAAGCCACAATCAGGATTCCTAAAATAAAAGAAAAATCCCCACCGGTATTAGATTAAGGCCCCGGATGTCTATAAGAAGTTCAAAGGAGGAGCAATCAATAAGGGCTAAAGTAGTCCAGAAAGACTCCAGAGAAAAAGTAGCTTAGGTGCACTTTTTTGTCAGCCAGAAGGACAGGCTTGCCTAGCAAGGGGAACTGCATGAGCAAAAGTCCAGAAGGGTCAATGCCAATAATCTTTATATAAGAGAGTAAGATGAGAGGTTGCAACTGAAACTGTTACTGGAAAGGCATCCCGATCCTGACCCCAAGAGAGGGTTCTTGCATCTCACACAAGAAAAACTTCTAGGCCAATCCATAAAGTGAAAGCAAGTTTACTTAAAAAGTAAGGGAATAAAGAATGGCTACTCCATAGGCAGAGCAGCCCTGAGGGCTGCTGGTTGCCCATTTTTATGGTTTTTTCTTGATTATATGCTAAACAAAGGGTGGATTAATAATGAGCTTTCCAGGAAAGGACTGGGCAATTCCTGTAACTAACGGTTCCTCAGGCTTTTAGACCATATAGGGTAAATTCCTGACGTTGCCATGCACCTGTACATTGTCATGGTGCTGGTGGGAGTGTCTCTTAGCATGCTAAAGCATTATAATTGACCTATAATGAGCAATGAGGATGACCAGAGGTCACTCTCATTGCTCTCTTGGTTTTGGTGGGTTTTGGCCATCTTCTTTACTGTAATCTGTTTTATCAGCAAGGTCTTTATGGCCTATATCTTGTACTGACCTCCCATCTCATGCTGTGACTTAGAATGCCTAACCATCTGGGAATGAGGACAAGAGGACAGCTTCAACTTTTCATGACTTCATCTCCAACCCAACCAATCAGCACTTTCCACTTCCTGCACCCCCTACCCATCAATTTATCCTTAAAATCCCCAGTCTCCAAATTTTTGGTAAGATTGACTTGAGTAGTAATAAAACTCTGGCCTCGCATTCTGCCGGCTCTGCGAGAATTAAACTCTTTATGGCAATTTCTCTGTCTTGATAAATCGATTCTATCTGGACAGCTGGCAAAATGAACCTGTTGAGCAGTTACAAGAGTAAAGGATGAGTACTGAGTGGAAAGGATGGCCTGTCCTTGGGAGTCGGGTAAGGACACTTGAACTCATGATAGAAGCTAGGGAGCAAAGAGTGATCAGACAAAAGTTGTATCTATAGGAGGATGGGTGTGGATTACTGAGGCCAGTCCCTATGACCTCTCTCTTTCCAGGGCCAGGAACTATTACTGTTTTTTGTGACTTTGGTAAGTAAGTGAACCCAGGGCATGGTTTGCAACTGGCTGCGTTGGTCATTTTTATGAATCGATTTGTGCAAACCCATGGCAAGCTTTCCTAATATAAACAGGTGGAAAGAGAGAAGTCAGAGGGGCTGGCCTCAGTAATCCAGACAGCAAATCTTACAGGGAAGACCCTCCTTATATCCTGGGGAAATTGGTATATGAGAAGTTAACTGGGTTTTTACCCTCTGAAAAGGAAATTTCTATAAGAAAGGGAAGCATCACTGCATTGCTTGATAACATCTGTTTTATCTTGCTTGTTTTATCTGACTTTCTCCCATGGCCAAGGAAACATGATGAAAGAACCAATTTCTTTCCTCTTTTAGAAGCTCTGATCATGGAGGAGACCATATCTGCAAGTCATCTAGGACTCAGCTCTTTTAGAGCTATCCATGGACTGGGAGACCCTTCTCCCACTTCAAGGAGCCCCTCTTTTGTACCCCCCAAACTTCCTGGCTTACAAAATTTGCTGCCAGATGTGGTGGTGTGGGAGTGAGGGTGGGTGGCATAGGTCATGTTGGTAAAAGGCCTCCCATAGGCGGGAAAACTGCAGAGCCAGGGGGCCTAGGGGAAGGCATCTCTTGCCTAGCAGATGCTGACAGAGGAAATGGCACATTCTGCCCATGCATCTGTCCTCATGATTCACATGCCAGCAATTCCTCAGGCTAGAACATACCTTGTAGGTCATTTTCTAGCACATGCCGTAACTAGATAGCCCCTAGGTCTCTCTAGGAAAGGTGACTTTCTAAACTTTTTTTGTATTCTGTCTGTAAAGTACTGCATACTTTAAGGACTTTTTAAACAATAATAGAGAAATCAGCTTCATCCCTGCTTCAAGACACATCACAAAGCTCCAATCACAAAAACTCTAGAGTTTCTGTAGAGGGATTAAAGTGTGGCAGTCTAGTGACCTAAAGGGATTTGACTTGAAGCTGTATTTGCTTAGCACACACGCTGTTTTTATCTTGATTTTAAGTTTATTGGTGCAGCACATGGAAATAATGGGCATCAAAGCCCACACCTCCCAAGCTGGTCCTTGATGCCATCACTGAGCCCTAAGTGAGAGGCCTGCTTATAATAGTCCTGCATTCTCAGCTTCCCTTAACCCCAAGAATAGAACGGTGTCTTGCATGCAGAAATAGGTTATTGGTGAATAAATTGCTTAATGAATTATCTAGTTTCCCTAACAGAGCTGGTTACTTCTTTCTCATGTGAAGGTGAGCACCTGGTGAGGTTTTCAGGAATCAGGTTCACCTTGAACACCATACTCAGGCCTTGGCGGCTCTCTGGGCCTGCCTGGCTCCTACAAACACCATGCAGTGTTTCTGGATCTCCTAGGCCCTCTAGTGGCTATTCTTAGGCTGAAATCCCTCAGAACTCAGCCTCTCAGCTCCTGCTAAAATTTCAACCAGTCCCTGAATTTAGAAATATGTATATATACTTATTTTGCTTCTCGTAAACTGCAAAGAAATAAATTTAATTATGTCTAGTTTCTGATCAAGATTTATCTGGTCTCATAGCCTTCCCCTGGTTTGTGTTTTAATGAGCTTTTTATTTTTCAGTTGAAAGATTATACCAGATGTCAAGACTTAACAGGAATCAAGACAGCATGGATTGATATAAGGGTAGACATAATTATCAATGGACAGAGTACAGACTCCAGACACAGACCTACACCTATATAAGCAACTGATTTTCAAAAGTATCCTGCTTGCCTGCTTGTACCCCCAAATGGGCTCTCCCTCACCCCAAATGCATCTTTAGGTTTGTTTCAGAGAATTTCTGATGGTCTTTCTCGCACAGAAACACACAAGGGGTCTAAATGGGTTCTTTATGCAGAAGAGCGAAGATTTCCAGGTCCAGTGGGCCAAAGTGCCTTCCCCTGCAAAGCCTTTGAGTGATTCCAGGCACCAGGGGCATCAAAGCCTTGGTGGGACCAGAAACTATTGCTGTTTTTTATGACTTTGGTAAGCACGTGAACTCAGGGCATGGTTTGAAACTGGCTGTGTTGGTCATTTTTATGAACTGATTTGTACAAACCCATGGGAAGCTTTCCTAAATAGAAACAGTCTGCATTATGGTGGTATCACCTTCATCTGACCCCTGGGAGCTCTAAAGAAAAGCCCATGATACTCACCTGGCCTTCAGCCTGACCAGGGGATTAGGCCACTGGCCAGGATGAGACTGAAGGAGGAAAGGAACCTATACAACTACTCTTCCCTTGGTTGAAAGGAAAGTCCAGAGAGAATAGCTATTTGCAAATATCTGGGCTTCTACTGGGTGCTTACTGTTGAGTATCTTATATTGGGACACAGGTATGTTCATCTCCATTTTACAGATGAGGAAATCGAGGCTCAGAGTTAAATATATTTCCCAAGGTCAACTAAGTAAGTGGCAGGATTAGGATCCAAACCCAATTCTAACACTCTCTAAAACCCACTCTTTAGCTAGCCCCTGCCTCTTAGCTTTGGGGTTCAGGTTCTTGACTCAGTCTATGCAAATGTTGCCTTCTGGAATTTGGCAGTGCACAACCTGCACATCTGTACAGTGTAGCTGAAACCAACTTCTGGGTTGAAACCCTTCCATATTCAAGATTCTAAGCCTGGGCTAAAATCTAGAGCCTTGTTACTCAAAGTGGTCCCTGAACCTGCAACATCAGCCGTGTTTGGGAGCTTTTTAGAAATGTAAATTTCTGCTCTCCTGCTGCCACTCCCCCCAACCCCTTTCTATTGGATTACACTCTCCAAGAATGGAGGCTGCACCCAGGATTTCTCAGCTGTTATGTGCATTCAAATCACTGGGAATCTTGTTAAATGGAGATTCTGGCACAGGAGTTCTAAAGAGGTAGTGCTAAGCTTTTGCTTCTTCGGGCAGCTCCCAGATGATGCCGATGATGTGAGCCACACTTGGAATAACACAGCTTTAGATCAGTAAGTCTCAAACTTGAACCTGTATTCAAATCACCTGAAGAGCTCGTTAATACACAAATTGCTGGGCCCTACTCTCACACTCTCTTACAATAGCTGTGCACCTTCACCTTTACTTTCACCCCAAGAATAAAACAGTTTCTTGCACACAGAAATAGGTTATCCATGAATAAGTTGGTTAATTAATTATCTACCTTTGCTAATAGAGCTGGTTACCTCTTTCTCATGTGAACATGAGTACCTGCTGAGAGAGTGCTTCAGAGGGTCTGGAGTGGAGCCTGAAAATTTGCATTTCTAACAAGTTCTGGGCCCAGCATGGTGGCTCATGCCTGTAATCCCAGTGCTTTGGTAAGCCGAGGCAGGAGTATCACTCGAGGCCAGGAGTTTGAGACCAGCCTGGGCAATATAGTGAGACCCCATCTCTACAAAAACTTTTTAAAAATTAGCCAGGCATTGTGGTGTGAGCCTGTTGTCCCATCTACATGGGAGGAAGATCCCTTCAGCTGAGAAGTTCGAGGCTGCAGTGAGCTGTGATCTAACAAGTTCCTAGGTGATGTTGCGATGCTGCAGGTTTAGGGACCCCACTTTGAGAACCAGTGTTCTAGCCTATCAGAACTTCCTCTAATTAGACAACTAACTCCATGCTTTCTGGCATTTCATTTTTATAAAGCCCTATTCGGTCCTTGAATTCTAGCATTTTAGAGCTGAAAGGGACTTCAGAGGCTACCTTGTCTCAATTAAAGAAATGCAGGTCAAGGGTCCCACTCAAGGCCATACAATTAGCCAAGAGGCAAAGTCAGGATTAAGCATCCTGACTCACTCTATTTCTATGCTGTTTACTCTGCATCCTGCTGGCTCCAAAGCTCAATAAATTCCCTGGCATCCAGCAACTGCAGTATTTTTGGTGAGCTCTCCATCCCAGGCCAGCTTTGAGGTGCTAGAATCCCTGTCAGACACATATGTCATCCGCACAATCATGGAAACGCAGTGGCCTCCTACCTAACAGCTCTGTGAAAGAGGGCTTTGGAAAAAAACAGCAGCTGTGCTGGCCACTGTAGCAGAGAGAAAATGCAGCAGCTAGCAAGCAAACCCAGACAAGGTGAGTCAGCATAGAGGCCCTGGGGCTAAGGAATATACCAGGATACTGCCAACAACTGGCACCCAGATTCTCCTGAGCAAATCTGAGAAGGTCAATCAACTTCTCTGTGCCTGAAAAGATGCTTTTCTTTAGAGAAAACAATACTCTTATTCAAGGGAATGAACACACAAGAGGATATCAAAAATGTGCTTGGGGTGGGAGTTGTATCAGTCCTGCTGCATGACAAATCACCCAAAACTTAGTTGCTTTAAACGACAACCATATTCTTGCTCACAAGTCTCTGAGAAAAAGGAGAAATGCTTAAGATCCCTTGAAGCCTAGACTTGGAACTGGCATATCATCACTTCCTCCATACTCTACTGGCCAAAGCAAGACCCAAGGTGAGCCCACTTCTTAATGAAAGGAACTGTAACTTTACAGTATAAGGATGTAGAGAGGCGGAAGGTTTGTGGCCATTTTTGCAATCTACGACAGAGAGGTCTTCTTAGTTTAGGAAAGTCTGAGACAAAGATTCCAAAGCAAATGGTTTACTTGGAAAGGAAAGGAAATACCGGTAGGGGAGAGAAAAATGGAGACACAGAGAAGCAGCAGCCAGTAAAGGGTGCAAAGCCAAGTCGGCTGGCGCTCTGGGCAGCTGGAGTATAATTCCACTGGAGAACTCTGGAAGCTGGTGCAGGACACAGGCCTCATCATCATCCTACCTAAAGGAGGACGCCAGGATGTTTATACATCAATCCATGATATGGTTTGGATCTGGGTCCCTGCCCAAAACTCACATTGAATTGCAATCCCCGATGATGGAGATGGATCCTGGATCCTGGTGGGATGTGATGGGATCACAGTGGTGGATTCCTCATGAATGGCTTAGCATCCCCGTGGTGCTGCTCCCATGATAATGAGTGAGTTCTAATGAGATCTAGTTGTTTAAAAGTATATAGCACCTCCCTCACTCCAACTTTCTCTTGCTCCTACTCCTGCCGTGTGAGACATCTTATACCTCCTTCCTCTTCCACCGTGATTGGAAACTTCCTGAGGTGTCCTCAGAAGCAGAAGCCATTATGCTTGCTGTACAGCCCGCAGAACTGTGAATCCATTAAACCTCTTTTCTTTACAAATTACCCAGTCTCAGATATTTCTCAATGCACGAACACACTAATACAATCCGTATCAGTCATTTACTGAGGCTGCTCTCAGAGCACAGAAATTCCCTGTAATTTCAGCCCTCCACTCTGGGCAATGTGGCTTAAGAGGTCAGAGCAAGACCTTGACAAAAAAATAAAAAAAGAAAAGCAGATGCAGCTAGCTTAGCTGGACCGTTGTGCCCTGCAGCGGTTAGACAAAGAGGATAAAAGGGAAGGAGGATATGAGTAGGGCACCACCTACAACATATCCTTCACTGTGATGGTGATTAAAAAGAAAAAAAAAAACTCAAGTTTCAGATTTATGTTATTTTAGTCAAAACATCTTTTTTTCTTTTTTTAAGACTGTTTACTGTATTTTGGATGATGCCTCAGTTCTCTTGCTGGCAGAGGTTGGAACACTAGATGGCATTGTATTAAGTTGTCCTATAGCTCAGGAAAAAAAAAAATGCAAAGGGATGTTCCTAGTTGTCTTTGGAATTTAACAATTATCAGCATGAGTTGAGAGCAAACAACTGTCCCAGCCAAAGTGATGATGGGTCGCTTCAGCTCTACCAAGGCCACCACTCCATCTTGATCTCACACCTTGGCAGCAACATCACAAACCATGGGGGCCAAAGCACAAAGGGAGCAGGCTAAGATAGGAGGCATTTTCTAAAAACTAGGATTCGCAAAACCCATGGGAGGAGAAGCAGTAAGGAGAACGAAGCCTTCTGCCTCAAGAAAGGTCTTTGAGAGGCACAGAAAAATGGACTGCAAGAAAAAAGCAGCAAACTTATAGTAAAGATTTATTCTTACTTTAGTAATAGTAAAGATTTATTCTTTGCTGTAAGTTAGGTGTCTTGGTGTTGCCTGAAAAGAGATACTGCCTTTCTCCCTTGAATGTAAATGAGAGAGAACTCTTGATGTCTTTTACCAACTTAGAGAAAGCCCATACCCAGCCTTCACAAAATGCCATGAGAAAAAGAGGGGTCAGGTGTGGTGGCTCACGCCTGTAATCGCAGCACTTTGGGAGGCCAAAGCGGGCAGATCACCTGAGGAGATCAGGAGTTCAAGACCAGGCTGGCCAACATGGTGAAACCCCGTCTCTGCTAAAAGTATGAAAATAAAAAAAATGAAGAATTTACTCTTGGGGGCAGGAATGGAAATGAGAGTGGCAATAGGATGGGGTTGAAAGTGAGGGTCAAAGGCATTTAACATTTTCTTTAAAATATTTTAAACAAGTGAGATAAAATGTCAACAATGATCAATTCCTCATAATGGATATTAGGTGGATGTCATCTTATTATCTTTATCTTAAATTTCAAAAAAGAAGAGAAAAGAATATGATGTTCTCTTGTAATTAGCAAGGGCTGATAGGGTTCAAGAGGTGACACTGATATGGATCTTGAGTAACTGTTGACAAATACTTCCCTTTACTGAGCTTCCATTTTCTTGTTTATAAACTGAGGATAATGATAGTAGTGATGTCAGGGAATTGTCATAAACCTCGACTAAAATAATGTACTCGGAACAGTGCCTAAAGCAAGGTGGGAACAGTGCCCAAAGCAAGGGGGTCCCTCAAAAAATGCTTGCTTGCCCAGGACCCTCACCAGCCACCACCACCAATGTGAGTACAAGGATTAGTTAGGCTCATCTTTCTCACTGAGTCAAACCATACGATTGGCTGGTTGTCTGGATGTGATTAGAAACAGAAAAATCTTAAATAAAGCCTCATCCTGAATCCTCTCAATCCAGAGACAGAGTTGACCTAAGACCAAAAAAAAAAAAAAAAAATAGAAAATAGTTTTTGGAAATATGGGTGAAGAGACATCTCCTCTTATGGAAAAAGGGATTCTAGAATTTAACAATAAATATTCCCAACTTTCCCCAAGGCTTTAAAATCTACCTTGAAGGAGCAGCTGATGTATTTCTAGAACAGACTTAGGTGTCTTGGTGTGGCCTGTAAAGAGATACTGTCTTTCTCTTTTGAGTGTAAGAGAGAAAGGACAGTCTACTCAATAAAGAGTGCTGGGAAAACTGAATATCCACACACAGAATAATAAAACTAGATCCTATCTCTCACCATATACAAAGATCAACTCAAAACAAATTAAAGACCTAAATGTAAGACAAGAAATTATAAAACTACTAGAAAAAAACACAAGGGAAATGCTTCAGGACATTGGCCTGGGCAAAGATTTTATAAATAAGACCTCAATAGCACAAACCACAAAAGTAAAAATAGGCAAATAGGATTATATCAAACTAAAAAGCTTCTGCACAGCAAAGAAAACAATCAACAGAGTAAAGAGACAACCTGAAGAATGAGAGAAAATATTTGCAAAGTATTCATCTGACAAGGGACTAACAACCAAAATATACAAGTAACTCAACAGCAAACCATCGTCGTCATCATCATCATCATCATCCAATTTTTATAATGGACAAATGGTCTGAATAGACATTTCTCAAAAGGAGACACACAAATGGCCAACAAGTATAAGAAAGAATGCTCAACACCACTGATCATCAGGAAAATGCAAATCAAAACCACAGTGAGATATCATGTCATCCCAGTTACGATAGCTAATTATTTTTTTCTTTTTTCTTTTTTATTATTTCAATAGTTTGGGGGGAGCAGGTGGTATTTGGTTACATGAATAAGTTCTTTTGTGGTGATTTCTGATATTTTGGTGTACCCATCACCTGAGCAGTGTACACTGTACTCAATGTGTAGTACCACCCCTGAGTCCCCAGAGTTCATTATATCATTCTTACACCTTTGCATCCTCATAGCTTAGCTCCCATTTATAAGTGAGAACATATAAGGTTTAGTTTTCCATTCCTGAGTTACTTCACTTAGAAAAATGGGCTCCAACTTCATCCAGGTTGCTGTGAATGCCATTATTTCATTCCTTTTTATGGCTGAGTAGTATTCCATGGTATATATATACCACATTTTCTTTATCCACTCATTGGTCAATGGTCCTTTAGGCTGGTTCCATATTTTGCAATTGCAAATTGTGCTTCTATAAATATGTGTGTGCTGCTATAAAAACATGTATACTTTTCATACAATGATTTCTTTTCATCTGAGTAGATCTAGTAGTGGGATTGCTGGATCAAATGGCAGTTCTACTTTTAGTTCTTTAAGGAGTCTCCATACAGTTTTCCACAGTGGTTGGACTAGTTTACATTCCCACCAGCAGAAGTAAGGTGGTATCACATTTTGGTTTTAATTTGCATTTCCCTGATAATTAGTGATGTTGAGCATTTTCTCATATGTTTATTGGCCATTTGTGTATCTTCTTTTGAGAATTGTCTATTCATGTCTTTAGCCCACTTTTTGATGGGATTATTTGTTTGTTCTTGCTGATTTGTTTGAGTTCCTTGTAGATTATGGATATTAGTCCTTTGTTGGATGCATAGTTTGTGAATATTTTCTCCCACTTTGTGGGTTGTCTGTTAACTCTGTGGATTATTTCTTTTGCTGTGCAAGAGCTTTTTAGTTTAATTAAGTCCCATCTGTTTATCTTTGTTTTTGTTGCATTTGCTTTTGGGTTCTTGGTCATGAACTCTTTGCCTAAGCCAATGCCTAGAAGAGTTTTGGGGATGTTACCCTCTAAAATTTTTATAGTTTCAAGGCTTAGATTTAAGTCTTTGATCCATAAGATGGCTAATTATAAAAAAAAGATAAAAAATAGCAAATGTTGGCAAAGATGTAGAGAAAAGGGGAACTCTTGTACACTGTTGGTGGGAATATAAATTAGTACAGACATTATGAGAAACAGTAGGGAGTTTTCTCAAAAAACTAAAAATAGAACTATCATATGATACAGCAATTCCACTACTGAATATATATTTCAAGGAAAGGATATCAGTATGTCAAAGAGATATGTGCACTTCTATGTTCATTATTTATAAATAAATAAATAAATTATTTATTTATAAATGAACTCCAATGTTCATTTATTCACAATGGCCAAGATACAGATCAACCTAAGTATTCATCAACAGATGAATGGAAATGAATGTTTGGTAACAAAAAAAAAAGATGAATGGATAAAGAAAATGTGATATATATGTATGCAATGGGATACTATTCAGCCATATAAAAAATAAAATCCTGCCATTTGTGGCAACATGGATGAGCCTGGAGGACATTATGTTAAGTGAAATACCACATGTTCTCACTTATGTGTGGAAGCTAAAAAAGGTGAGGTATGGAAGTAGAGAGTAAAACAGTGGTTACTAGAGGCTGGTAAGGGAAGGGGGAAGGAGGAAATAGGGAGAGGTTGGTTAACAGATACAAAATTACAGCTAGGTAAGGTAAATAAGTTCTAGTGTTTTTCAGCACTCTAAGGTTACTATAGTTAGCAATATTTTATATTTCAAAATAACTAGAAGTAAGAATTTTAAACATTCCTAACACAAAGAAATGATAAATGTTTGAGAAAATAGGTATGTTAATTACCTTGATTTGATCATTACACATTGTATATAGGTGTCAAAATATCATACTATACTGCATAAATATGTATAATTATTGTGTCAATTAAAACATGTGTAGGACACAGCTAAA
Organism: Homo sapiens; assembly: GCF_000001405.40. Taxonomy (NCBI): domain Eukaryota; kingdom Metazoa; phylum Chordata; class Mammalia; order Primates; family Hominidae; genus Homo; species Homo sapiens. Next base: position 10,099,148 of record NC_000020.11, read on the forward strand.
GTAGTACTGAGAGTAAAACGTATATCACTAAGTGCATACATTGCAAAAGGAGAAAATCCTCAAATAAAAATTCTAACCTCCCACCTCAAAGAGAAGGGAGGGCATGACAAAAATAAGAGCAAAAAAATCAACAAAATTGAAAACTTAAAATCAATAAAGAGCTGGTTCCTTGAAAACATCAATGATATTTACAAACATCAAAGCAGATAAAAAGAATAAAGGTCGGTATCAGGAATGAAACAGGGAATATCACTACAGATGTTTTCAACAAAAGGTGATGGCACAATTAAACATCCATAAACTATAAAATGAACTCTAAGTTTCACATCTTATACAAAAATTAACTAAAATTTATTATCCACTTGTGATATGGTTTGGCTGTGTCACCACCCAAATCTCACCTTGAATTGTAGCTTCCATAATTGCCAGGTGTTGTGGGAGGGACCCAGTGGGAGGTAATTGAATTATGGGGGTGGGTTTTTCCATGCTGTTCTCATGATAGTGAATAAGTCTCACAAGATCTGATGGTTTTATAAAGGGCAGCTCCCCTGCACATGGTCTTTTGCCTGCCACCATGTAAGACATGCCTTTGCTCCTCCTTCGTCTTCCACTATGATTGTGAGGCCTCCCTAGCCATGCGGAACTGATGAGTCTATTAAACCTCTTTTTTCTTTATAAATCACCCAGTCTTGGGTATTTTTTCATAGCAGTATGAAAATGGGCTACTACAACTTGTAAACCTATAAAACCTTTAGAAAAAAAAAAACACAAGAAAAACTCTTTGGTATATAAAACTAGGCAAAGGGTTCTTAGACACCAAAAATGTGATTCATAAAAAGAAAAATTGAAAAAGTGAACTCCACCAAAGTTAGAAAATTTTGCTCTGTGAAAGAACCTATTAAGGAGATAAAAAGACAAGGTACAAACTAGAAGAAAATATTTGCAAACCACATACATGTCAAAGGACTAGTACCTAGGATATATAAAAAGCTCTTAAATGAAACAGTAAACAAACAATTCAATTAGAAAATAGGCAAAAGAAAGAGATATTTCACTGAAGATGTTATATTGATGGAAATTAAACACATAAAAAGAAGTTCAACAACATTAGCCACTTGGAAAAAGCAAATTAAAACCACATTGAGATATCATTACACATCTATCAGAATAGCTAAAATTAAAAAAGAATTAACAAAACCAAATATTGGAAAGGATGCAGAGATATCATATCACTCAAATATTGCTGCTGGGAATATAAAGTGGTGTGGCTATTCTGGAAACAGTCCCACAGTTTCTTAAAAAAGGAATAAACATGCACCTGTGAGGCTGGGTTCTCATGCCTGTAATCCCAGCACTTTGGGAGGCCGAGGCGGGCAGATCACAAGGTCAGGAGTTCAAGACCAGCCTGGCCAACATGGTGAAACCCCATCTCTACTAAAAATGCAATAAATTAACTGGACGTGGTGGTGGGTGCCTGTAATCCCAGCTACTCAGGAGGCTGAGGCAGGAGAATCGCTTGAACGTGGGAGGTGGAGGTTGCAGTGAGCCAAGATCATGCCACTGCAGTCCAGCCTGGGCAACACTGTGAGACTTGTTCTCAAAAAAAGAAAAAAAAATGCACTTGCTATATGGCCCAGCAATTGCTCTCCTGAGCATTTATCTCAGATAAATAAAAATTTATGTTCCCACAAAAACCTGTACATGAATACTTATAGCAGATTTATTCATAATAGCACAAAACTACAAGGCACCCAGATGTTCTTCAGATGATGCATAGTTAAACAAACCATTCCATACAATGAAATATTACTCAGCAAGACAATGGAAGGAGTTATTGATACATGTAATAATCTGAATGAATCTCCAGGGAATTATACTGAGTGAAAAGAAAAGCCAATCCCCGAAGATTTCACACGATAAGCCTTTCTTTATATAGCATTCTTAAAATGACAAACTTAAAGAAATGAAAAACAGATTGCTAGTTGCCAGGGGTTAAGGACCAGGCAAGGGTGGAAGGGAAGTTGGTTTGACTATAAAAGTATAGCATGAATGATCCTTGTGGTGATGGAAATGTTCTGTATCCTGGCTGCATCAATATCAATATCCTTGTTGTGATATTACACTACAGTGTTGTAAGATGTCACCACTGGAGGACACTGGGTAATTGGTATACAAGATTCCTTTGTATCATTTTTTATAAATTCATGTGAATCTACAATTATCTCAAAAAGTTTATTTTAAAAAAATGTTAAGGCTAAAGTGAATTTCATATATGAAAGAGGTCAAGTGGAGAAATAATTGGAAAGAGCACTGGACGTTGGGTCAGGAGTTTTAGATTCAGGTTTTGATTCAATCAACTTAAGTAAATAACTCCTCTTGTCTAAAATTATTTGTATAATGCAATTGACAAGACCTGCTACAGTTATCTCCCAGAGTTGATAATAGGTAAAAATTATATTAATTAAGAGAAAAACTTTAAAAACATAAGAACCAAGGCTCTATATAAATATTTGGTATTTAAAAGCTTGCATTATATAAATGATGCCTCAAAGCCTATTTCTCCTGGTAGTTTAGAAATATAATTACCTGGATAAGACCACCAACTAATTTCACTTTCACCGTCATTCAGTAAATCTCAGAAATATAAGCAAAGAACAATCTTGGACAAGAGAAAAGAAGAACCTGATCTCTTTTCCAGCCCTATGACTCACTGAAGAAACCAGGAATATGCCACGTGTTCTCTTTCTGCTGCAAGGGTTGCTGTGAAATAACCTCATTTAAGCTGTGTTGTACAGAATGGACCACCTTAATGCTGAGATTCCAACATTTTCTATTTCAGGACTGGTTTGGGGAGATTGCACAGAGTTCATCCTATGATCCTTCATGTGAGAAGGAAGCCATTCGGCCATTTATAGCCTAAAGAAGACAGAGCTAGAAGGGATAAAGCCAATCTTGGCTATTGCTGCTATGGGAACAGAGGGTAGAGATCATTTGCTCCATTGTAGAAATTTGGAACTACAGTTGACCCTCGAACAACATGGATTTGAACTGTTTGGGTCACATACATGTGGACTTTTTTCAATAAAAGCACCTGTCCCTCTTGCCTCCCTTTCCACCTCCTCCACCTCTTCTACCTCTGCCACCCCTGAGACAGCAAGACCACCCCCTCCTCTTCCTCCTCATCCTACTCAAAGTGAGAAGAGGATGAAGGCCTTTATGATGATTCACTTCTTAATGAATAGTAATGATTTTCTTAATAACATTTCCTTTTCTCTAGGTTACTTTAGAATACAGTTACTTTAGAATACAGTGTATAATATATATATAATATATAAAATATGTGATAATTAGCTGTTTATGTTATCAGGAAGGCTTCTGGTCCAGAGTTGGCTGCTACTAGTTAGGTTTTGGAGGAGTCAAAAGTTAGACGTGGATTTTTGGCTGCACAGGATGTCTACACTCCTAACCCCAACCTTGTTCAAGGGTCAACTCTAATGGGAAGCTTTTGCAGCCATTAACTTTCAGTGATTTCAGTACACGCTAAACTGGCTTTTTAAAATGAGGGAATATATAAGCTCATTTAACAGGAAATTTAATAAAAGCTGGTTGATCCAGTACCCCAGTGTTATTACCTAGGACTTAGGTTCTCTACATTTCCTGTCTTTGCTATACACATGGTTGACTTCATTTTTAAGGCTGGTTCCCACCAGAGGACAATTGTGGATTCATCCACTTTCATTCAAATCTGGGGAGAGAGCGGGAGAATAGCTTGTTCTTTAGAGCAAGGCAGAACTTTCCAAGAAGTCTTCCACGAACCTCCCTTCACATATCATTGGCCAGAACTGAGTCACAGGACTTTTTATAAACGAATCACAGACAAGGGGGTATGAGCTAACCCTTAACCCAATCAGAGTTACTCCTGAAGCTGAGGGTATTCCTTGGAGTCACATGGACTACATGAAGACAGGGCACTTGAACAAAATTGAGGTTCTATTAGGAAGAAAAACTGAGGTTGTAAGTGCTATGTAAGTAGTTGGTGCTCAGTAATGCTGCCATCCTGTCTTAACTTAGCTAACAGGACTAAGTGACATATTTCTGAGGACTCTGATACTAAATGGTGTAAATATAGGGTAGAGTTTGATTTTTTTAGTTTTGACTCTTTCTTTAAACTGACTGTGAAACTTCAGGAAGTCAAGTTATTGAGCCCTTGTTTTCTTACTTCTGAAAGGAAATAAAACTGTATAACTTCGGGCAAGTTACTTACCTTTACAATGTGTCAGCTTTCTCTTTTGTGGATTCCTTATCTAAAGTTTAATAGTACTTTACTCATAAAGTTGTATTAGTTTTCTAGGTTTTCCATAACAAAGTACCACAGACTTTGTGGCTTAAACAACAGAAATTTGTTTTCTCATATTTGGAAAGCTAGAAGGCCAAAATCAAGGTGTCGACAGGGTTGATTTATTCTGAGGACCTTTCTCCTTGGCTCGTAGATGACCATCTTTTCTCTATATCTTCGCCTGATCTTGCTTCTGTGTGTGTCTGTGTCCTATCTCCTCTTCTTATAAGGACACCAGTCATATTGGATTAAGGACTACTTTAATGGCTTCATTTCACATCTTTAAAGACCATATCTCCAAACAGGTCACATTGTGAATACTAAAGGTGAGGACTTCAACATATGAATCTTGGGGTGATACAATTCCATGCTTTTGATGTAAGAATTACGTGATTTAATACATGTTAAGGATGTAAATCTATATAGTAGATGCATACTCAACATTAGTTATAAAATTATCTTATTTTCAGTAGTAGCAACAGATATAAAAACAATAGTATTTGAAGTAGTAATAGCATCACTAGCAGGGATAATAGCAGAACTGTCTGAGAGAAAAGGAGAAAGAATCCCTATGCAAGGAAGGGGGAAGATATACTTTATAGAGAAATGAGACACAAGAGAATAGTATTTGTTTCACACTCTTCCAGCTACTATGGCTGTGTAACATAGTATGTCAAAACTTACTGGCTTAAGTCAACAACACTTATTTTCTTCATGAAATCTGCAGTTTTGACAGGCCCAACAGGGATAGCTCGCTCAAACTGTACTTGTCATCAGCTGGAACGTTCAGAGTCTCACTCACATGTCAATGCCAGCTGTCAGCTGGGACCTCAGTTGGACACGTATGTGGGGCCTCTCCACATGGCCTGGGTTTCTGCACACATTGTTGCTGGTCTCCAAGGGTGAGCATCCTGAAAGAGAAAAAGTGGAATTGTAGTGCTTTTTATGACCTAACTTCAAAAGTCACTAAAAATTCCTTTGGTTGCATTCTACTCATTTGAGGCATTTATAAAGACTGTCAAAGTTCAAGAGATGGGGAAATAGACTCTTCCTTTTGATGGAGAGTGTCAAGGTCTGGAAGAGAATATGGGACTGCATTTACTGCTGTAGTCATGTTTGGAGAGTATAATCCTCCATTCATACCTAACTTCCCACACGAAGCTTCTCTTTCTGGAGCTTACTTTCAAACACTTGGGTTTGTGATTTTGTTCCAGATCAGAATTGGATCCTTATGCTATGCTACCCAACTTCCAGAGATTTGAGGATAAAATGGCACATTTGGCAGAAAACTTTTGAGAAGATCTTTATCAAAGAGGGAACTCTCTAAATAAAGGTTCAGTGTGCCTCATAGTTCTCTTTCAAACAGGAACATACAGAAAGGGGGTTGACATTTTGATTTCCCAGATAATCTTTTGTTTTTATGATTTTGGATATAAACATGTCTCAGACCTGAACAAGGAACTCAGATTTTTATCCTTAAAATTAAATCTGAAGAATAAGGAGAACCACATGCCCTTATCAGCTTTAATATTCTAAGAAAATGAGAAAAAAAATGATTTAAGAACATTTAAAAGTTGTGCACTGGGTTCATCAAAGATTCTCCCATTGAAGAGAAAATCTGAGCTGTTTCTTGCTTTATATTTGAATGCTGTGCATGGTTTTCATGATGGCAATAATAATTTACTGCAAAATGCTTTTATTGAGTTGCCTTTACTGAAGAGGCCCTGCATGCCTTTTCACCAGCTTGCTACAATTAAAAGCAGCAGTAAACAGAGCCTTTCTATTTAGACTGAAAAGCAATGATTAAGCTTACCCAGCTATAAATAGGAGGCAGCTTCACATCTATGGCCCCAACTGCACACATTAAAGACTCCAGCTCCAAATGCCCCCAATTTATTTCTACAGGACAAACCAATAAATTGTCAAACTCTGACCTTAAAAGTGACAATTTCTTAAAAAATGAAAGTAGGTAAATTATGCATAATTATAGATAATTACTGAGATGTCTATGAGGCCAGGAAATCAGTACACATGCTGGAAATCTAAATTTGCACGCTGATAGCTTCTCCTTTTACCATTATCAAACCATGGTTTGCCTTGAGCAGCTGTCAGAGATGGCTTTTCTTTGCTTGGGGGCACAGAAGAAAATAAGGGACTTAAGAGAGAAGATGGAAAATACAAAGTTATTTTTTAAGATTCCCGTTAGTTCAAGTGATTCAGCAAGGAAACCAGAATATAGGCAGTTACTGTTAAACGTTTTTGAATAAAAATGTTTAAATGCAAGCCATTTATCCCACCTATAAGCTGTAGCTATCTGAGTGTTTAGAGATTTGAAGGCATTTGATTCAACCTCCTCACTTTCTGCAGCAGGAAACTGGAGGCTAAGAAAGCCCTGTGAATTGTCCAAGGTCACATGGCTTGACAGCAGCCGTGCTGGAACTCAGTAGCTTTTCTGACTGTCACTGCAGCATCCACTGAATGGAAAAATTTGTTCCCTTTTTATTATTTTTAGTATAAAACCCTAGATTAATGAGATCTAAGTCATAAAAGTCCATAGGGTGCTGTATTTCTTTGAGTGCAAGACAAGCTTGCAAAGGTGACAGGATTTTCCCACTTGAAGAAACGTGGTCCCCTCTGCCTCAGCATCCTCCATCTGAGCCAAGAGTTGCCAATTTCCAAAAGCCCAAGAAAGTAAGTTTCCAAAATATGTCTTGGGTGATCGTATCTTTTTTAAACTTGTGAGTCCTCTTCATTTCGTGTTTGCATGTGGCCTTTGTCTCCCAGTGATTTTCCAACTGCCCATGACTCCCCTTGGGTCATGCGCTGGATATTCTCTGTTGCCTTCTGTCACCTTCTCAACTCTGTGCCCAGGAGACTGGCATTTATGTATGTATCAATGTCACCCTAGTCCTTTGGCTATAATCAGGCTGAGCTATCAAGGATACTAACAGAAGACCGGATAGCAGGGAGATAAAGAAGCCACAGTTTCTATTCCCCCAGTTCACTTCCTGCAGAATAAAGCACAGTTGCCCAGCTGAGCCCAGCCCACATTACCAAACCCCAGAAAAATTAGTGAGAATTAACAACTGCTGTACTAAACTACTCCATTTTTAGGAGTTTTTTTAAAATTCAGCATTATCTGACTGATACAAAATATGACACCTGCAAAGAATTTAAGACAACATAACTAACTTGAAATAGAGATCAATAGTTCTGAGACCCAGAAATGGAAGTGAACTCAGACTGGGATTGAGTTTGCAGATTCACTTGACTCCACGTCCAGAAGCAAATGGAGACATCTGGGGCCCTGTGGGGTAGCAAAACTAAAAGTATCCCATGGGAAGTAAGAGATTCACTCTTCAAACTCATTGCTTGGAACTAGTAACAAGTTTGAGGTTCTCTCATGCATTAAAGGGGGCTGAAATAAGCTCTTAAAACCACCGTCTGAACTATAAAACTGGATAGCAGGGAAGCCGTAGAAAATAAAGTCTTTTATCCTGAACTTAGGCTTAACTGCTGACTTGGTAGCTGAATGTGCGAAAACCTCAATTTCAGTGCATTTTGGGAGCCTTGAGCTACCAATATAAGACCTGGTTTTTGACTAAATGTTATTGAGAAATGGTGGAAGAAGAAATTAAATATAAATCTGCAAGACTGTGAGACATAAAATGGCGGAGAGAGAAAGAGACAGAGAGAGAGAGAGAGAGAGAAAGAGAGAGAGAGAGACCTCCATTCAATAATAAAATTCCAAAACACATAAGGAAGTAATGCTAAGAAAGACAGCAACAAAATAAACTAATAGAACTGAGTTCACTCCAGATGAAATGGAAATAATAAAATAGACTATTACCCACTAGTCTTCACTAAAATAACTGCTGAAGAATGTATTTCAGGCAGAAGAAAACACCCTAAGAGATATAGAAGAATGGAGCGGAATGCAGAAACAACAGTACAGAATTTCGTAAAATATGATGATAAATTTAATTAACTATTGACTCTTAAAAAGAATGGTATTTTTCACATCATGAGATAAAATTCAAATAACACCAAGAAAGACATAGATGGGAAAGATATTATGTGTGTAATAAAAGCATACTTAGTTATTGGGTTATTTGGGAGAACAGCAGAGATACTAAATCACTTAAATTCTGTTCAGAATTTTTTTTACTTAAAAATGTTAAAATGTTAAAACTATCAATCAAACAGGAAGAAAGAAAAGAGGTAAAATAAGCAAAAAAAAAGAGGATGGTAAACATAAAATATATAATAACTAAGTCCAAATACAGCAGTAATCAAAATAAATGTAAAGGAACCAACTTACTTATAAGAGCAAGATTATCAGGCTAGGTATTTAAAAATCCAACCATATGTAGTTTATAATAAACACACTTAAAACATAATGGTCCACAAAGGTTGAAAATAAAGAAATGGAAAAAAACAAGTAATTCAATCACTAACCAAAAGAAAGCTGATATGGCAATATGAATGTCAGATGGCACTGGATCTAGGCCAAAAAGCATAAAAAGAGACATTATGTAGTGATAAAAAGAACAGTCCTGGCCAGGCGCGGTGGCTCACGCCTGTAATCCTAGCACTTTGGGAGGACGAGAAGGGCAGATCACGAGGTCAGGAGATCAAGACCATCCTGGCTAACATGGTGAAACCCCGTCTCTACTAAAAATACAAAAAAGTAGCCTGGCGTAGTGGCGGGCACCTGTAATCCCAGCTACTCGGGAGGCTGAGACAGGAGAATGGCGTGAACCCGGGAGGCGGAGCCTGCAGTGAGCCGAGATAGCGCCCCTGCACTCCAGCCTGGATGACTGAACGAGACCGTCTCAAAAAAAAAAATAAAATAAAAACCAGTCCTGTATTTGAATGGCTAAGATTATGGCTTGAAATATAAAAGAAAAATGCTGACAAAATTACAAAACAAAATTGAAAAATCTACTATCTTGTCTGAGATTTTAAAACACATATCAAAAGCCAGCGGAGTCAGCAGAAAACACCAACTTGTATTAAAAAGCTGGAAAATAATAAACCCACTTTATAGATGTAGAAACTGGGGCCTAGGCAAGTTGAGTGATTCATGCAAGATCACAAAGTTTGTATGAATTCAAGCCAGGACTAAAACTCACACTTTCTAAATAGTAATCCTATGCCCTCTCCATTTTATAACATTAACACATGTAGAATAAACTGCGTATCTGCAGAAATGATTAGCCTTTTCTATGTCCTTAAGAGAATCCTTAGTGTGGTAGCATATCTGTCAATGTTCCACTCGGTTTACCTTGAATTTCTTTTACTTTTTCAGTGTGCCTTTTCTTACCTCCTACATATTATGTTTCTAATTATCCATCTCTGTGATTCTCTATGGAGAACCACCCTTAGGCCACCGGGGTGTCTACTGTGAAACAGAAGTTCCTGGGATGTTATGCCCTCAATCACGGCCCTTATTCAATGACTGACCGGTGTGGGAAAATGGAAGCCCAGCTCCTTTGCCTTAGAGTTTGAACAAATCTAAGGTATAATTTTCACTCCGAAGCTCCCCCGTGGGATCAGGCTGAGGCTGAATCTCTGCTTGGCTTCTTCCCTTATCTTTCCTGCTTTTTACACCCAGTTCTACCTCGAAAATTTTCCTCAATAAATTGAGTTGCATGTGATTTCTCATCTCAAGGTCTGCTTCTGGGAACCCTTTCCTAAAATGAGGACCATACAGCTCTGTACTAGGAGTAAAAAGAGAGTAGAAAGTGGTTCTACAGAAAACCAAATACAGCATGTTCTCATAAGTGGGAGCTAAATGATGAGAACACAGGGACACAAAGAGGGAAATAACAGACACTGGGGCCTATTGGAAGGTGGAGGGTGGGAGGAGGGAGAGGATCAGGAAAAATAACTAATGGGTACTAGGTTTAATACCTGGGTGATGAAGTAATCTATACAACAAACTTCTGTGACACAAGTTTACCTATATAACAAACCTACACAAGTAGCCCTGAACTTAAAAACAAACAAACAAACAGGATTATTCCATAAAAGTATGTTCTCTATTTAAAAAAATTTGAAGTAAATGAAAGTCACCCATAATCCCACTATTTGTAAGGCTATTTTGGTCATTTACCTAAGTATATATACTGTACAAGTAAAAGTGTGATAATGCCAAAAAAAAAAAAAAAAGTAGTTCTAGGGAAAGAATATTTGAGTGGTTAAGGTTTCCTGCTGCTTTTATCTTTGGGAAATTCCAGTTTGATTTGGGCACTAGGAACCTGGCATAGTGAATGTAGTGTCTGCCAAGCTAGAAGAACACTGCTGCAACTTCAGACTTCAGGTCAATTACTATTGACTGGCCAACTTTCTGTCCCGAGCATACCCTCTTGGGTCCAATTCCAGATTAATAATGGCCCAATTCCAAATCTGGAGGATTCCTGGCCTCTCTCTCTCTCTCTCTTTCAATGCAGTTGCTTACTTCCCTTAAGACTGGCTCTGAATATACAAGAAGGCAACTCCGGGATTCTGGCCTTTAAGATGCAAGACCATGGGTAACCATACAAGCAACATCATGGGCTTTCCAGTTGGTTGAGCCATTATTTCAGCCTCTACTTTGTATCTCATAGCTTCACATTTCTTTGCTTTCCAAGTCTGGATTTAGAGGTGGGCCTTGTCTAGAAAGCCAGGTCTACCTTTTTTCAGGCAAAAAGTTTCATTAACCACTGTGGCTTAGAATAATATTTATGTAATAAAATATTTACTAGGTATTGAATGCATGCTATATGCCACTATACAGATGAAGAAATGGAAGTTTAGATCTGAAGATTAACTTGCCCAGATTTATGTGGCCAGCTCTTGCCACAAACCAACCAAGGATTTAGTGAGTCAGACATGAGCCTGACTCTGCACGTATCCTACAAGTCATAGCATTCCCTACCCTGGTTTTGCTGACCCCAGGCTCTAGCACTGGATTTATCCTTGGTTCTCTTACTGAGTGCTCTAGTACTTTCCTAGTTGAGCCCCTGACACCCATCCTCTGTCAACTCATTTTCCCCAGGAGCTGACACCTGCTCCTCAAAGTATGTCTTCAACTTCTACCTGCCATTTTTCACAGAGACACATGGAGAATTTGCCCCAAATACACATCTCTAGGGACTTTCTGCTTCAATGCCCTGCCCTCCTCCTGCCAGACTGAACCATGGCAATGGGGCCTAAAATTCTCAATGCTATCTTAGGTTGGGTTCCCCAGAAGCAGAACCCAAGAAAGGGAAAATCAGGCACACATTGCTTCAGTCCTCTTGAGGAAAGACTCTCAAAAGAAGCATCTAAAAGAAGAAAAGCAGACAGGACAACTAGGGTAAGAAGCCAAGCAAAGATGCGTGCTCAGGAAAAATCTAAACCTGGCCTGATATGAGAGAGGATCTGGAGCATAAATTACAACACTGACATGATGGTCCTCATCATTAAGACAAGGTGGTTCGCCTTTTGTACTCCTGTATCAGCCAGTCATTGCCATAGACTTCTCCTGATAAAACCATTTAGGGAGTGTAACTTTCTGGGCATTAACTTAGGGTGATACTTGGGGAAGAGGACCTCTGTTAGCTTTTAGCAGTCAATACAGCAGCTGGAGGCTAGAGCCCCTGCTCATCCACCAGCATCTACTACAAGTGCCTGGGCCTTGGGCAATGAACGTGGGACTTCAGCAATCAGATCCCTTTTCTCATCCCACCTTCCTGCTCCTGGCCTCCTCCTACTCCCCATCATCCTGTGTGGCTGGGGCCCCCCCATGCCATGTGCCTATCCACAGGCTCCTGGATTTTAGTACCTGCTCAGAGTCCACTGCATTGGCGCCTGACACTTTATTAGTGTTCTAAAGCTTTGTTTACAGTTACCAGGACTCTCTAGATAGCAGCAAAAAGTCAACAAGGAAATAAAACTCCACCAGCTGGTGTATTTGTTGGGGATAAACTCACCACACAGGAAACAGCTGGGTACATGCTCACAAACGTCAGTACCTTGCTGGTCCCAAAGGCTCATCTGAAGTTGCAAGTTTGAATCCCCCTTTCCAAGCTGGTCTGTTTATACGCACTCCTCCACACCTTCAGTTCCTTTACACCATGTGAGCCTCAGGAAGCTGAGGCAGTAATGAGCTTTGAAGCTGTTCTACTGCCTGTGACAGCCCACAGGCCAGTCATTTGATCCAATTGCTTGATGCTACCTCCAGCAGCCTCTTGGCAAAATCTCTGCCATTATATACCATTGTTTCCTTACTCTAAAGCTCACATCTTCTCATGCTGAAGTCTATATGCTTCCTAGTGTATGAAAGTAACACTTTAATGTAGCCCTGAAGAAAACTGTCCAGCCCATCTGGACATCTGCCAGTCACTAGGAAGAGAATAGATTTTTCAGGCACAAATGTTAGCATACTAAGGAGTAGAAGGCTGAAGGCCATCTTCACTGACTTTATAGTCAGTGCGTTCTTTGTTCAGCAAAACTTAGCTCCTAGTCCTGAGCCAATTCCAAAATGCTGAATTTCATCCTTCCACTACTTTGAAAGCATTTAAGGTCTAATGAAAGGGATTAGGCCTGGAATTGGTGCCAGAAATTAAAATGAAGGCATAATTTGCATGTTTTGACAATACCTTCACACTTACACCCATGCCATGCTTTCTTAAACACTCTTGAAAATATGTGAGAATCAAGATTTCATAATCCACTTCTTCTGGAATGCCATGTAGAAACATTCTCATTTTGCTTTCTCCCTGCCTTCTGATTTTACTCACAGGCTTAATAATCACTGTAAGGATGGGGTAGCCATAAACAGCAGAGCATTGAGCTTTAGTGCACTCAGATGTTTGTGTATTTCCCCATTTACCTTGTATATAAAGCCATGCTAAGATTCGCAGTTAATGCTGGAGCTCACCTTGAAAATAGCACCATCTTTCTCCTGAAGATGCTCAAACTCCAGGTAGTAACCTCAGGTTGTATCATAGCTCCTTCAGGGTACCTCACTGTTTTTAATAAGCACATGATAAAGATAATGTCTTCCTCGATTCTAGTGGTATTTCTTAACAAAAGCCTAAGCTGCACCAGGATGAGGTGTTGTAATATTTTCACAAGTGTTAAAAAGGATTACTGCTCTTCCTAATATTGGTCAATGTGCCCAGATGGAGACTATTGCTTTTGCGCATAACGTCTAAGCTTCTTTGCCAGCGCACAATTGTTTAAGAAACCACTTTTCTTGCTATGCCCTGATAATCTTGCCTCTTGAATAACTCATTTCCATCAAGAGCAGGACAGAATCAGAACAGCATGGACAAGGATAATCTCTAAAATGTGGTTTCAAATGGAGAAGTATGATATGGTTTGTCAGAGGCCTGGAAGGTGCACATTGTTTAGTAGGTTGACCCAAAGCCATCCTCAAGAGGTAGGATGGGTTTTTTTGTGTGTGGTTTTTTTTTTTTTGGTTTGTTTGTTTTGTTTTGTTTTGTTTTGTCTTTTGAGACAGAGTCTCACTCTGTCACCAGGCTGGAGTGCAGTGGAGCAATCTCAGCTCACTGCAACCTCCGCCTCCCGGGTTCAAGTGATTCTCCTGCCTTAGCCTCCCGAGTAGCTTGGACTACAGGCTCACGCCACCACATCCAGCTAATTTTTGTATTTTTAGTAGAGATGGGGTTTCACCATGTTGGCCAGGATGGTCTTGATCTCTTGACCTCATGATCCACTCGCCTCGGCCTCCTAAAGTGCTGGGATTACAGGCATGAGCCATTGCACACGGCCTAGAAGTAGGATGGTTTTAAGAGCACTGCACTTTCTTTGACACTTCTACCCCTGAGAGTAGGGTCTATGTTCCCACCCCTTGAACCTGGGTGGGCTTTGTTACTGCCTTGATCAATAACAAAGTGCAGCAGAAGTGACACTATAATTTCCAAGGCTGGGTCTGAAGAAAGTCATGTAGCTTTTTCCTTGTTCTCCTGGAACACATACTCTTTGTATCTTCAGCCTCCATGTAAGAAATTTTACTGTCCCGAGGCTGCCCTGCTGGACATACTAGGTGGAGAGACCACTAAGAGAGAGAGAGATGATCAACAAGCCTTAGCTATTCAGGCATCATACATGGGAGCGACAAAAGCTTCAAGATGGCACTAGCCCTAGCTACTGCTCAACTGTAATCACAGAGAACCCAAGGCCAGAAATGCCCAGAGGAGCCTAGTGGACCCCAGAACTGTGAGAGATACTAATAAATTGTTATTGATTTAAGCTACTGTGTTTTGAAGATGTTGGTTCCACTGCAATACATAATGGGAACAGGAGGTGCATTACACATAATATAATGTACAATTCAACCCAAAGGACTCTCCTACCCACCACTGGATACATGTCTATGAGAGTTGGCACTGCTGTGGGTGCACAGAGCCAAGGCCATGCCTCACAAGACAGTAGAGTGGGTGGATGTCTGCATGCTATGATTTGAGAATGACTCAAAGTAATCTCCCTCAGGGGGCTGCTCAGGTCCCTGACCTCTTCCACAGTAATTGCCTTGAGAGGATATGCAATCTTGGAAACTTGCCAAATGTTAGAAATCCCCTTGTTCAGTGGGTTTCAAACTAAGAACACTCAGGTTTTGAGAAGGGATTCCAAGGAAGTACAGTGAAAGCAAGCCTTCTACAGACACAGTATTCTCTCTCTCTGGCCTCAGAGGGAGGATTTCTTCCCAGCCTCAGGGGTGGAACTGACCCAAGGTGCCCATCAGTGCAACACATTCTTCTTGCCATTGTGATTGGTATAGGGCTGGACACGTAGTCCACATCAGGCCAATCAAAGTGAGTATCAGGACAGTCCCAGGGAGTTCTGGGAAAACAATGTTCTCCCTTTTTCACTAGATTGGAATTTAGAAGTATAGTACTTTGAGAGCTGCTAGCAACCATAGGAAAAGTGGCAGAGAATCCTAGGAATGGAGTGGAAAGAGAGGAAGTAGATCTCAGAAGAGACAGAAAAAAAAAGTTGATCCTAACGGCTTTCAACCTGATATTCAGCTGTTCTTGAAGCAGATCTCCCCTGGACTATTTTGTTATGTGAGCTCACAAATTTATTTTGTTTAGTGATTTAAGCAACTAGAATTTTAAAAATCAATGTGTACATATATGCTTAGCTTCTCTTGGAGTTTGTGTTTTAGCAGTAGAAGAAAATGATTTCTGCTGCTAAAAACATGTTTGGAAATAGCTGATCTTATCCTAGTGATCTAGTCCTTTTTGTTGTGCAAAAGGAAGTGCTAAAATCAGAATGAGAACCATGGTCACCTGACATAGACACAAGTGATGATGATGATGATGATGATGATGATGATGATGATGATGATGATATCCATGTTCAAGTACTAATTCTGGGCAAGACACTGTTCTAAGTGCTATGAATATATTACCTCATTTAATCATCTCCAAAACATTATGAGATATTCTGTTACTATCACCATTTACAAATGATGGGATTGAAGTACAGAGAGGATAAATAGCATCCTAAGATCACACAGCTAGTAAGTTGTGATGCTAGGATTGAACACAGCTGTTCTCTTAGCCATACCCTACACCCCTCTGACAAGGTAGAGTGCCTTCTCATTGGCCCCTAGGTTCTGGGCTCTCTTTCCACGATGCCTCTATTCTTAAAGCATGCAACCCAGAAGGTTCCTGTTAAATGTAAGTGAGAGAATTTCTATCACTGTGGACCTGCTTCCATCATCTGGTTTGTGGTTTTATTCTAACCACAAAGTATATGACTTACTCATGTCTGCTTGGTTTTGACTCTTTACTAAGAGTAAGGGAATGCAGTGATCAAAGGGAAGGAAGATTTTTAACTTAAGTTGTCAGCTTGCTTCTGCTTCCAAAAAAGTTTCATGCTTAAAAATATGGCACCATGCTTTATTCTTCAAAAGAAGAAAAGTCAAATTGTAGCTGACTCCAACTCCTTGTTTTACTTAGGTGGAGGAAGATTCCATCTCAGTGAGTATGATTTGTTCCTGCCCACCCCTCAGCTCCCAAAATGGCCCAGGAAGTTGTATGCAGCATAGAATTTGATGTCACTGTTATTTGGTCAACTTGTATGATCATTGTTCAGATTTGTGTAGTCCCTGGAAAGAAGGTGCCTCTGACAGTTCTCTGTCATTTTGGGGTACAGGGCACCTTGTTATATGGCTGCTTCCCC
This sequence comes from Homo sapiens, assembly GCF_000001405.40. Lineage (NCBI taxonomy): Eukaryota > Metazoa > Chordata > Mammalia > Primates > Hominidae > Homo > Homo sapiens. The sequence goes on from NC_000020.11 coordinate 10,115,667, forward strand.
GGGGCCTAGTGTCAAGCTTCTCTTCGTGGGTGTTATATATATATCCTATTCTAAGAAGATGCTAAGGTGTCAGATTGGAAGCCACCATCCCTCTCTTTGTCTCCATTAATCTCCACCTCTCTGCCTTTGCTATTTCCGCCCATCCCTTCCTTTCAGTGAAGAACACAGATCCCCTCACTGCTCTGCTCCATTCTTTATAGCTCTTTGCATATTGCATGGGTTTTGCCTAAATTAGAATGGACCTTAATAGAACTGTGGGGCTTTTAAACATTCAAGCATCACTTATTTTAATATCCCCCTAAATACCTTTTGAAAAATCTCTTAGAAGTCCAACCGATTTAAGGGTTAGTGTGCATTTTAATTGACCATTCAATTTCAAATAAATGTGGAGGAAATTACAACCCTCTTAACAGAGAAACGACAATTTAAGGAGAATGAGACCTTGATTGAAACAATTAGGAACTTAGAAACCAGACTCTGATGTGGTCAAAGAAAACAGCCCAGGAATTTATAAAGCCTGCCTTATTTTGCTTTGAAGAAAAACTTGAAAACCATAAAACAAGGTGAGATGTTATCCAAAATTTGGAAGCTAATTTAATAAACAGATTAATGCAGTTAGTTTTGTTTGGCATTGAGAAACATTGGTTAACCAAAATTTTATTACAAAAATAAAATAAAATAGTTAGTTCTCACCCAGCCTATGGACTTGAGGCTTAGAAGAAAGACATTTTAATCTCCTGTCATCTATTAACATATTTTTTATCAAATCACATAATCAGATAAATTCTTTTTTTTTTCTTTTTGAGATGGAATTTCGCTCTGTCGCTAGGCTGGAGTGCAGTGGCATGATCTCAACTCACTGCAACCTCCCCCTCCTGGGTTCAAGTGATTCCCCTGCCTCAGCCTCCCAAATAGCTGGGATTACAGGCACACACTACTACGCCCAGCTAATTTTTGTATTTTAGTAGAGACGGGGTCTCACCATGTTGGCCAAGATGGTCTCGATCTCCTGACCTCATGACCTACCTGCCTTGGCCTCCCAAAGTGCTTGGATTACAGGCATGAGCCACCGCACCTGGCCTCAGACAAATTCTTGATCAGATGGGCTCCCTAAGAACACTCTTTTCTTTCTTTCTTTCTTTCTTTCTTTCTTTCTTTCTTTCTTTCTTTCTTTCTTTTTTCACATTTTTTTCCCGTAGGTTATTGGGGTACAGGTGGTATTTGGTTACATGAGTAAGTTCTTTAGTGGTTATTTGTGAGCTCCTGGTGCACCCATCACCTGAGCAGTATACACTGAACCCTGTTTGTAGCCTTTTATCCCTCATCCCCCTCCCACCCTTCTGCTAAAGTCTCCAAAGTCCATTGTATCATTCTTTACTTCGATTTTTTGTTTGCTTGCTTTGAGACAGAGTCTCACTCTGTCGTCCACGCTGGAGTGCAGTGGTGCAATCTCAGCTCACTGCAACCTCTGCCTTCCAGGTTCAAATGATTCTCCTGCCTCAGCCTCCTGAGTAGCTGGGACTACAGGCATGTGCCACCACTCCGGGCTAATTTTTGTGTTTTCAGTAGATACAGGGTTTTTACCACGTTGGCCAGGCTGGTCTTGAACTCCTGACCTCAGCTGATCCACCTGCCTCAGCCTCCCAAAATGCTGGGATTACAGGCATGAGCCACTGTACCTGGCCCATTGTATCATTCTTATGCTTTTGCATCCTCATAGTTTAGCTCCCACATCTCAGTGAGAACATAGCAATGTTTGGTTTTCTATTCCTGAGTTACTTCACTTAGAATAATAGTCTCCAGTCTCATCCAGGTTGCTGCAAATGCCATTAATTCATTCCTTTTTATGGCTGAGTGGTATTCCATTATATATATATATAAAAAACTGGGTATTTGTGTGTGTGTATATATATTATATATATAATATATATAATATATATGTAATATATATAATATATATATTAAATATATATAATATGTATAATTTATATGTAATATATATAATATATATATTAAATATATATAATATATATAATTTATATGTAATATATATAATATATAATATATATAATATATTATATATAATGTGTATATATATATAATATATATAATATTATATATATTATATATAATGTTTTATATATATATAATATATATAATATATATATAATATATATAATATATAATGTGTGTATATATAATATAATATATAATATATAATGTGTATATATAATATATATTATATATATAATGTGTATATATAATATATATATTATATATAATGTGTATATATAATATATATTATATATAATGTGTATATATAATATATATTATATATAATGTGTGTATATATAATATATATTATATATAATGTGTATATATATAATATATATATTATATATATAATGTGTATATATATATATATTATATATATAATGTGTATATATATATATATAATATATATATATATACACTGAGATTTTTTGTTTTGTTTTGTTTTTTGAGATGAAGTTTCACTCTTGTTCCCCAGGCTGGAGTGCAATGGTGTGATCTCGGCTCACTGCAACCTCCCCCACCGGGTTCAAGTGATTCTCCTGCCTCAGCCTCCCGAGTAGCTGGGATTACAGGTGTCTGCCACCACACCCGGCTAATTTTTGTATTTTTAGTAAAGACGAGGTTTCACCATGTTGGCCAGGCTGGTCTCGAACTCCTGATCTTCCGGTGATCTGACTGCCTCGGCTTCCCAAAGTGCTGAGATTACAGGCGTGAGCCACCACACCCAGCCTGGTTTTTTTGTTTTGTTTGTTTGTTTGTTTTTTGTTTTTGGGGGATGAAATTTCACTCTTGTTGCCCAGGATGGAGTGCAATGGTGAGAGCTCAGCTCACTGCAACCTCCGCCTCCTGGATTCAAGCAATTCTTCTTTCTCAGTCTCCCGAGTAGCTGGGATTACAGGCACCTGCCACGACACCTGGCTAATTTTTTATATTTTAAGTAGAGATGGGGTTTCATCATTTTGGCCAGGCTGATCTTGAACTCCTAACCTTCAGGTGATCCACCCACCTCGGCCTCCCAAAGTGCTGGGATTACAGGCATGAACCATGGCACCCAGCCTATACCAGCTTTTTATCCGCTCGTTGATTGATGGGCATTTGGGTTGAGAACACCCTTTTCTATCCGTCCATTTCATTTATTTCCCATTTCAAAAATTACTCCATAAACGTGATCATCCCCATAAACACAGGATAAACACTTGACAAAATTCAGTGCCTTTTCATGATAACAAATAGTAAAGAAGGAAATTTTCTTAACTAATAAAAGTCAATACACAAAATTCACAGGTAACATCATACTACACAAAATTGAAAAGATTCCCCACTAAACCACGAACAAGACAAGGAGGGCCACTCTTACCATTTCTATTAAACATTATACTGGAGCTCCTAGCTGGGGAATTAAGCAAAAAGAAGTAAGAAAAAATGGAAATAAGTAAATGACATCCAGATTGGGAAGGAAGAAATAAAATCATGTCTATTTGCAGATGGCATGATCTTCTATGTAGAAAATCCTAAAAAATCCATGCATACACACAAAAAGCTATTATAACTAATAAATGAATTCAGCAAGACTACAGGATAAAACATCAAAAATCAAAAATCAATTCTCCTTTTGTACACTAGCAATGAACAACCCAAAAATGGAATTAAGAAAGACATTTACTTTATAATAACACCAAAAAGAATAAAATACTTAGGAAAAAATGTAAGCAAAGAAGTGTGTGGTCATTTATTTTTTATGTCCTCTGGACTAGGCCTTGGGCTACCCAGACATTTGTTCAAGCATTATTCTAGGCATGTCTAGGCATGTTTGTGAGAGTGTCTCTGGAGGAAATCAACATTTGAACCAGTAGGCAGAGTAAAGCAGATTGCTCTCCCTAACGTGTGTTGGTTTCAACGCATCAACTGAAGACCTCAACAGAACAAAAAAGCTGAGTAAAAGGAAATTCCTGCCTGACTACTTGAGCTCGTCTTTTCTGGCTTTTGGACTCAAACTGAAACATCAGCTCTCCTGGGTTCTCCAGCTTGCTGACTGAAAATCTTGGAACTTCTCAGCCTCCATAATTCCATGAGCGAATTCCTTATAATCGATTATTCTTTCTTACATAGGTACATATGGGGTGTGTATATATATAAATATATGTATATATATACACACATATATGTATACTTCTAGTTCTCTTTCTCTGGAGAACTCTAATGCAAGATTATAAAAAAAATTACTGAAAGAATTCTTAAAATACATACATAAATTGAAAGTCATTTTATGTTCATGGATTGGAAGACAATATTGTTAAGCTAGCAACACTCCCTACATTAATTTACAGATTAAACCCAAGTCTTATCAAAATCTCAACTGCCTTGCTTACAGAATTTGACAAACCTATCCTCAAATTCACATGGAAATGTAGTAAACTCAGAATAGCCAAAATAGTCCTGAAAAAGAGGAATAAAGTTGGAAGACTTACACTCCCTGATTTCAAAACTTACTACGTAGCTACAGGAATCATCCTGAATACTTTGTACTGGCATAAGGATAGTTATATAGATCTATAGAACAAAATTGAGAGTCTAGAAATAAACCCTTACATTTATAATCAATTGATTTTGGACAAAGATGTCAACAAAATTCAGTGAGGAAAGAATAGTCTGGTGCTGGGGTGACTGGATATCCTCATGCAAAAGAATAAAGTTGGACCCTACCTCATATCATATACAAAAATTAACTCAAAATGTAGGAGAGATCTGAATGTAAGAACTAAAATATAAAAATCTTAGCAGAAAACCTAGGTATAAATATTCGTGATCTCATATTAAGTGATACTTTCATATGTATGACACCAAAAGCACAAATCAAAAACTTTTGTGTGTCAGAGAACATCATGAAATAAGTGAAAATAAAAAAACCACAGAATGGGAGAAAATACTTGCAAGCCATATATCTGATAAAACACTTGCCGTATAAAGAACTCTTCAAAGTCAACAAGAAAATGACAAACAACTCAATTAACAAATGGGGAAATGATCTGAATGAACATTTTTCCAAAGAAGATATTCAGATGGCTAATAAGCACATGTAAATATCTTCAACATCATTAGCCACTATGCAATTATAAATTAAAATTACAATGATATATCACTTTGTATCCCTTAGGATGATTAAAATAAAAGACAGACAGTAACAAACATTGGCAAGGGTAGAGAATTGGAACCCTCATATATTGCTGATGGTATTGTAAAATGGTGTAGCCATTTCTGAGTAACAGTCTGGCAGTTCTTTAAAAGTTAAAAATAGAGTTACTGTTTGTGTGTGTGTGTGTGTGTGTGTGTGTGTGTGTGTGTGTGTATTTGAGACAGGGTCTCACTCTGTTGCCCAGGCTGGAGTGCAGTGGCGCGATCTCAGCCCACTGCAATCTCCACCTCCCAGGTTCAAGCAATTCTCCCACCTCAGCCTTAGAATTACTGTTTGACTCAGCAATTCCACATCTAGGTAATAATCACCAAAAAAGTAGAAACAACCCCAATGTCCATCAACTGATTAACAGATACACAAAATGTGGTATACTCCATACGGATTATCATTTGGCCATAAAAAGGAATGAAGTACTGGCTTATACATTCTAAACATGAATGAACCTTGAAAACATTTTGCTAAGTGAAAGAAGCCCATCACAAAAGACCTTATATTTTATGATTCATTTATATGCAATATCCAGAATAGGCAACATCATAGAGACAGCAAGTAGATTAGTGGTTGCCAGGCAATCGGAGGGGAGAGAAGGGAGATAGCAAATGACTGTTAGTGGGTACGGAGTTTCTTTTGGGGGTAATGAAAATGTTCGGGAATTAGTGGTGATGGTTGCACAACTCTGTGACTGTACTAAACAGTATTGAATTACACACCTTAATATATTTTATAATATATGAAGTACATCTTGATAAAGCTGTTCCAAACACTTTATATAATATATGCTAAATATATATTATATAACAATATAATCAATATAATATATATCTCATATTTATTATTGTGTATTATATATTGTATAAATGTATATATAACTATATAGTATAAAATTATAACAATTGGACATGTTATAATTGTTATGAGCCCTATATATATCTCCTGTTGCAGCTTAAAAGCTGGAAGTCCCTGAATTCATTTGAAACCTAAAATAATTTCCTTCTTACTTAAATATGCTGCCTTAACATCCTTTAAAGGTCTGAGAATTAAAACAAAACAATACCTATCAAAAACTTCCTTGTGACTAGTTTATCCCTAAGTCAAGTTGTTTTCTATTTATTTGTTTTCTTTTGGTTTGGATCAGATTGGTTTGTACATTATGTGGTTAAGAGCGTCTGCTGGGCTTCTAGTACTGGCCATCACCACTAGTAGCTATGATACAGGGAAAGTTATGTCCCTCTCTTTGCCCAGGTTACCCATCTGTAAAATGGGAAAATTTTTGAGGCCATCACTAAATATCAGTAGACTAAAGGACTAAATGACCTCTTAAAAATTCAGGGTTCAAGACAACCTATAGAATGGGAGAAAAATTTTGCAATCTATCCACCTGACAAACACCTAATATCCAGAATCTACAAGGAATTTAAACAAATTTACAAGAAAAACACAAATAACTGCATTAAAAAGTGGGCAAAGGACATTAACAGACACTTCTTTGAAGAAGGCATTTATGTGGCCAACAAACATGAAAAAACGTTCAACATCACTTATCGTTAGAGAAATACAAATCAAAACCACAATGAGATACCATCTCATGCCAGTCAGAATGGCGATTATTAAAAAGTCAAGAAACAACAGATGCTGGCAAAGTTGCTGAGAAAAAGAAATGCTTTTACACTGTTGGTGGGAATGTAAATTAGTTCAACCATTGTAGAAGACAGTATGGTGATTCCTCAAAGACCTAGTACCAGAAATACCATTTGACCGAGCAATCCCATTGCTGGGTATACATCCAAAGGAATATGAATCATTCTATTATAAAGATACATGCCCACGTATGTTTACTGCAGCACCATTCACAATAGCAAAGACAGGGAATCAACCCAAATGCCCATCAATGACAGATGGGATAAAGAAAATGTGGTACATATACACCATGGAATACTATGCAGCCACAAAAAGAAATGAGATCATGTCCTTTGCAGGGACATGGATGCATTTGGAAGCCATTATCCTCAGCAAACTAACACAGGAACAGAAAACCAAATATCGCATGTTCTCACTTATAAGTGGGAGCTGAACAATGAGAGCACATGAATACAGGGAGGGGAACAACACACACTGGGGCCTGTCAGGGGGCCGGGAGAAGGGAGATTATCAGGATAAATAGCTAATGCATGCAGGGCTTAATACAGAGGTAATAGGTTGATAAGCACAGCAAACCACCATGGCACACATTTACACATGTAACTGTATTAGTCTGTTTTCATGCTGTTGATAAAGACATACCCAAGATGGGGCAATTTATAAAAGAAAGAGGTTTATTGGAATTATAGTTCCACATGGCTGGGGAGGTCCCACAATCATAGTCGAAGGCAAGGAGGAGCAAGTCACACCTTACGTGGATGGCAACAGGGAAAAAGAGAGCTTGTGCAGGGAAACTCCTGTTTTTAAAACCATCAGACCTCATGAGACCCATTCACTATCACAAGAAAAGCATGGGAAAGACCCGCCCCCATAATTCAATCATCTCCCACTGGGTCCCTCCCACAACATGTGGGAATTATGGGAGCTACAAGATAAGATTTGGGTTGGGACACAGAGCCAAACCATATCATTCTGCCCCTGGCCCCTCCCAAATCTCATGTTCTCACATTTCAAAACCAGTCATGCCTTCCCAACAGTCCCCCAAAGTCTTAACTCATTTCAGCATTAACTCAAAAGTTCACAGTCCAAAGTCTCATCCGAGACAAGGTAAGTCCCTTCTGCCTATGAGCCTGTAAAACCAAAAGCAAGCTAGTTACTTCCTAGATACAATGGGGGTACAGGCATTGGGTAAATACAGCCATTTCCAATGGAAGAAATTGGTCAAAACAAAGGAGCCACAGTCCCCATGCAAGTTCAAAATCCAGCAGAGCAGTCAATGTTAAAGCTCCAAATGATCTCCTTTGACTCCATGTCTCACATCCAGGTCATGCTGATGCAAGAAGTGGGCTTCCATGGTCTTGGGCAGCTCCACTCCTTTAGCTTCGCAGGATAGAGGCTCCCTCCCAGCTGCCTTCACAGGCTGGCATTGAGTGTCTGCAGCTTTTCCAGGTGCACAGTGCAAGCTGTCGGTGGATCTACCATTCCAGGGTCTGTAGGATGGTGGCCCTTTTCTCACAGCTCCACTAGGCAGAGCCCCCATAAGGACTCTATGTTGGGGATCTGACCCCACATTTCCCTTCTGCATTTCCCTAGCAGAGGTTCTCCATGAGGGCACTGCCCCTGCAGCAAACTTCTGCCTGGGCATCCAGGCATTTCCATACATCCTCTGAAATCCAGGCAGAGGTTCCCAAACCCCAATTCTTGACTTCTGTGCACTTGCAGGCTCAATACCACATGGAAGCTCCCAAGGCTTGGGGCTTGCACCCTCTGAAACCACAGCCCAACCTCTACATTGGCTCCTTTCAGCCATGGCTGGAGCAAACGGAATGCAGGGCACCAAGTCCCTAGGCTGGACACAGCATGGGGACCCTGGGCCGGGCCCACAAAACCACTTATTCCTCCTAGGCCTCTGGGCTTGTGATGGGAGGGGCTGCCATGAAGCCCTCTGACATGCCCTGTAGACATTTTCCCCATTGTCTTGGGGATTAACATTAGGCTCCTCATTACTTATGCAAATTTCTGCAGCAGGATTGAATTTCTTCTCAGAAAATGGGATTTTCTTTTCTAATGCATTGTCAGGCTGCAATTTTTCCAAACTTTTATGGTCTGTTTCCCTTTTAAAACTGAATTCCTTTCACAGCACCCAAGTCACCTCTCAAATACTTTGCTGCTTAGAAATTTCTTCTACCAGATACCCTAAATCATCTCTCTCAACCTCAAATTTCCACAAATCTCTAGGGCAGGGGCAAAATGACACCAGTCTCTTTGCTAAAACATAACCAGACTCACCTTTGCTCCAGTTTCCAACAAATTCCTCATTTCCATCTGAGACCACTTCAGCCTGGACTTTATTGTCCATATTGCTATTAGCATTTTGGGCAAAGCCATTCAACAAGTCTCTAGGAAATTCCGAACTTTCCCAGATTTTCCTGTCTTCTTCTGAGCTCTCCAAACTGTTCCAACCTCTGCCTATTACCCAGTTCCAAAGTTGCTTCCACATTTTCAGGTATCTTTTCAGTAGCACCCCACTCCTGGTACCAATTTATTGTATTAGTCCATTTTCATGTCGCTGATAAAGATATACCTGAGACTGGGTAATTTATAAAGGAAAGAGGTTTATTGGACTTACATTTCCACATGGTGGGGAGGCCTCGCAATCATGATGGAAGGCAAGTAGGAGCAAGTTACATCTTACATGGATGGCAGCAGGCAAAAAAGAGAGCTTGTGCAGGGAAACTCCTGTTTTTAAAACCATGAGATCTTGTAAGACCCATTCACAATTGTGAGAACAGCACAAGAAAGACCCACCCCCATGATTTGATCATCTCCTGTCGGGTCCCTCACACAACACATGGAAATTATGGGAGCTACAAGATGAGATTTGGATTGGGACACAGAGCCAAACCATATTAGCAACAAAGCTGCATGCCCTGCACATGTATCCTGGAACTTAAAATAAAATATAATACAATTTTTAAAATGAAAAATGAAAAAAATTTTTTAATTCAAGATTCAGTCATTAAAACAGGGACATATGCCCAATAAATGTATCATCATTATTTTAATACTTAGCACTCTGTTCTGTGGATTCTTAAAAGTAGCTTATATTTTAAACCACTTAGGCCTTATAACTGGGGGAAGATTCCGTCTTATCCCAAATTGGGAGAATGCAGGAAGCATGAAGGACAAAGGGTCAATGGAGTTACAACCTGTAGACAGCCTGAAAAACCAAATTTGGGGCATCCCTTTGTGCTGCTCTACAAATAGCCTTCATTTGCTTTTCCTATCTGGCTTCAAGATTAATTGCTAAACTTGGAAGGAGGACCTTGAAGTTTGCTCGTAAATTTTCTGTGTTTAAAAAGAAGAGTTTTATCATTAATATTCTGGAGTGAGCATGAGTCAGGGAGAGTGACTCAGGCCATGTTCTCAGAGGTGGCTGGCTATAAATCCACTTTTGCAGAATATTAATCTCCCCTGGCTCCTTTGAAAAGTTAGCAATTATTAGTAGATGGTGTGAAAGAGAGTCTTTAAAAGAGGAATGGTAAGACAATGTCACCTTGAGTTTCTTCCAAACTCATTGCTATTAGAGAAGAGAAAAGCTGTTCCCTCAAACAAACTTTGGAGAGGAGTTGTCCTGGCAGGCACAGGCAGCAAAAGCAAGTCACAACTCCACTAGACGGAGCCCCCACAGGGACTCTGTGGTGGGGGTCTGACCCCACATTTTCCTTCTGCACTGCCCTAGCAGAGGTTCTCCATGAGGGCGCTGCCCCTGCAACAAACTTCTGCCTGGGCATTTAGATGCCTAAAACTTACCGCATATGTGTACTGGGTCCCAAAAAAAACCCTAGTACCTTCAAGGAAAGATAAGGTTTCATGAAGCAATTTGACTCAATAATTAATTGTTCCTACCCGGTGATGGAATACCTAGGTTGCCTTGAAAATATTAAGCCAATCATTTGGAGAGTTTGAATCTCTTGAATGTAATAGTTAAAGGTAGATAATATTTATGTCTTTGGGCAAGTGTAAACAGGGTCACAGAATTAGGGGATTCAAGAAATGGACATTGAAGTATCACCACCCATTCAAAGCCCTTGCCTGAGGAAGGGATACATTGAAACCACAACATACTGGTTTTTTTTTTTTCCTTTCCTGTATATTTATATTAGTTGGCTCTTAAAATGTGGTGCCCAGAAGGCAGCATGGGCATCACCAGGGAACTTGTTAAAAATGCAAATTATCAGGCCCCTCCCCAGACTTACTGAATCAGAATCTCTGAGGTTGGGACTCAGAAACCTGTATTTTAACAACCCATCCAGATGATTCTGCTGCTTGCAGAATTACTGCTCTAACTACAGCCAGTAACAGAGCTACTTTTAAAAAGCAAGTGATTATAACAGTTGGGACTATTGTAGGCCGAAAAAAGAAAAAGAAAGAAAGAAACTGGACTACAGTGGTCTAACTAAATAAGGGTTTATTTTTTTGTCACAAGAAGAATGGAGTTCAGCTACCCTGGGCTGATTCTGCAAAACCAGAATGTCATCGTTGTCCCAGGCTCCTTCTACCTTGGTAAGTGGCCTTTTCCCTCAGGTTCAACACTTCAAGGCCATAAGACAGCTGCTTCACCTCTGCCATGTTCAAGGCAGGAAGAAGAATGAGAAGTGCAAAAGGTAAAAGGTACATGCCAGCTGGGTCTCTCCACTTCTAAAAGGCTGCCTGGAAGCTTCAGCAAGTGACCACCACTCATGTGGCATAACATACAAAAACATTAATCAAATATTTCATCATCAGGGCTGGAAGGGACAATAGGAAAGTACAAAGAGTTTAAAAAGAGTGGTTAAGGCCAGGCATGGTGGCTCATGCCTGTAATCCCAGCTCTTTGGGAGGCCGAGGCAGGCAGATCACTTGAGCTCAGGAGTTCGAGACCAGCCTGGGCAATGTGACGAGACCCCATCTCTACAAAATACACAAAAAGTTAGCTGGGCATGGTGGTACATGCCTGTATTCCCAGCTACTCAGTGGGGCTGAGGTAGGAGGATCACTTGAGCATGGGAGGTGGAGGTTGAAGTGAGCTGAGATCACGCCACTGCACTCCAGCCTAGGCAACAGAGTAAGACCCTGTCTCCTAAAAGTAAAAAATAAAAGTAAAAAGAGTGGTTAGCAATTGTATTGCATAAGGTCTAATTTTGGTAAAGTGTGCTTGATTTTATTTTGGAAATTATTCTTCTTAAGATTGAAAATGCAACATTTGCCATTGTATTTACACCTTTCTTTATTATTTCTTCATCACTGGATGATTTTTACTCTTGATAAAAGTTTGGAAGTTGAATTGCTAGCACCAACTGTAATATCGGTGTGTAATGCTGGGCCACTGTAGTTGAGGAAGATGGCTCATGTTGTCTTTTCTTGACTGACTTCATTCCACTTAATTATGGAATTTTGTTCATATCTTAGTGTTACTTCCTGGCCAGAAATTTTTATTTTGCAAACAAGTCCAAACAGTAAAATCTTTATTACAGAGAAATACTCTTAAGTCCATTTACTTTGATATATACATCTTTCATCAGCTACGTTTTTCTTCTTGGCAGCTAAGGTTTACATTTAATCAAGAAAATGTCCTTCTTGCACTTAGAGTAGGCACCCTCCTACCCAGCTCTGCCTCTAGTCCCAAAAAAGCCATCTGATGCTCACTACTGCCTGTCAAACATCCTAATGGATTATTGCTCCTCTCCATCAACCCCCATCTGAGGACCTAGCCAGCAGAATGCTAAAACACCCAATCCACACAGGCAAAATAAAATGATGGGGGGAGCAAAATCTGGAAACTTGGTACTCAGAGTAGGGTCTTCCCTCCAGGAGCATCAGCATTTCCTGGACCCTTGTTGGCAATGCAGACTCCCAGTCATCCTAAATCTGCTAAATCAGAACCCACATTTTAAAAAGACCTCCAGTGGTGGTTGTGCATCTTAGTTTGAAAAGCACTGGCCTAAAGCAGTGGTTCTTGAAATATTGCTCTAGACATGCAGCATAATCATCTTCTGGGAAACTGTGAGAAATGCAAAATCTCAGTCCCATCCCAGCCCTGTTGAATTTGACACTTTAGGGGTGGAGCCCAGTAATCTGTGTTTTATCAAGCCTTCCAGGTGATTCTGACATAAGCCAAAATCTGAGAACTTCCCCTATAACAATGGTAGTCAACCTTACTTATACAAAGAAATCACCTAGGGTATTTAAACATTACAGCTGTCTCCTATCTTAAATATTTCTGCTCACAGGAGGAGTGTTTTAGGTCAAATTTCCCAGAAGAGCACCAGGAAAGACCACATCTATGTCTAGCCCCACTCTTCTTCCTCCTCTGTCACATAACACTTAACAAGAATCCACATTTCAGACTGTTCCTTATGAGCTCTCCCACACTGCCACACATTTGTTTCACCAGGCAAGATGAAAACAGCCTGCTGAGCCCCAAAGGAATAAAGCATGGAAGACGACTGGAGAACACATTTGACCGCTTTGTAGGGTCAGTATCAGGGGCTGCAGCCTAGGAGGCCTGGATAAATGCTGCTTTCTACATAGACAGGTTGTGGAGGGGAAAAGACCTGATTCTCAACACCATTGTCTTGGCGCCCCTGCCACAGGTAGTAGATTAATTACAGAAAAATAAATAGTCCTGATTTCCCATTCCTCCTTGTATGCACACTCTTTGCAATGTGATTTTGTGATTCTTCCAATCCAGAAATAGACTCTGTTTCCCTACCAGTTGAATCTGCTCTATGACTTGAATTCGCCATAGAATGTGGTGGAAAGGATGGTTTGCCAGTTCCAAGCCTGGCCTCCGCAGGCTTGAACACTCTCCTCTTCCTCTCCGACCCTTAGCCAGCACCAAGTGATGATACCCAGACAAACTAGCGTGAGAGACTTGTGCCCCAGTCATGCCATCCCCCCCAAAACAGCCAGCTGACCACCATACATGTGGGCAAGACCATCCTGGAGCAGCACTCCTCTAGTTGACCAATGACTCCCATATGAGCCCAGCTGAGAACAACAGAGAAGGGCCCAGGGCAAAAGGGTCACACACTGACCTGTAACCTTGAGAACTAATAATGGCTGCTATTTGAAGACACTGACTTTTGGGGTGCCTTGTTAGGCAGAATTATTGTGACAACAGTTCAATAATACCTCACAACTTTCAGACCTTTCCTGGAGAGACCCAAATATGGGACAGAAACATTAAACTACAAACTACAGACAGCTCTGCACACCTGACTCTGGGTGTGAGGAAATGGACCACGGAGAAGGCAGAGGCATTGGTGGTCAGGGAACACAGCACTCGAGACAGAGCAGGCTTAGAGCTCAGAGGGGCTCGTGAGCTGCGAACAGCACAGCCTGCAGCCTTCTGTGAAGTCACACGGGGAGGAAGTGATGAGAAGGCAGGTTCTATTTCTGTTATGTGATCTAGAAAAAGTACCTGGGAAGCCAGCAGGGAGCCAATCAGGGAAGTTGACTGATGGGGCCAACATGGGCTTCCGTTTTTATGAAAGATGTGGAAGAGAAAGAGAGAAGGGCCCAGAAGTGTGAGATTTGGGGGTAAAATTAGAACTAGGTTTTTTTTGTAGCTTTAAATTTTTTCTTTATTGAGGTATAACAAAAATACAGTAAATTGGCTGGGTGCAGTGGCTCACGCCTGTAATCCCAACACTTTGGAAGGCCAAGGTGAGAGGATCACTTGAGCCCAGGAGTTCAAGGCGAACCTGGGCAATGTAGGGAGACCCTGTCTCTACAAAAAATTTTAAAATTAGCTGGACATGCATACGCCTGTGGACCCAGCTACTCAGGAGGCTGAGGTGGGAGGATCCCTTGAGCCCAGGAGTTCGAGGCTGCAGTGAGCTGTGATCATGCCACTGCACTCTAACCTGGACAACAGAGTGAGACCCTGTCTCAAAAAAGCAAAACTAAAAAAAGCAAAACAAATGCAAACGCAGAACAGTACATTGCACAGATCTTAAGAGTCAAGCCTGGTGAATTGGTGGTGTAAGCTCCCAGATCAACACGAAAGGCTTTGTAGCACCCGGAAGTCTCCCTTGTGCCCGTTCTTGGTCAACTCTTCTTCTTCAGAGGCAACCCCTCTTCTAACTTCTACCACTGCAAACTAGTTTTGCCTGTTTTTGAACTTCATATAAATGAAATCATGCAGTATGTGCCCTCAACTCTGTTTTTTTTTTCTGCTCATCATTTTGCCTATAGAATTCTTACATGGAGGTGCATGTTATAGTAAGATGTTCTTTTTTATCATTCTGTAATATTCCATTTTATGAATATACTACAATTTATTCTGGTCTACTGTTATTAGACATTTTGACTTTATGAATAGGGCTGTTATGAACATTCTTGTACATGTCTTTTGGTGCACACATGTTCTCTTTCTCTTGCTAAACCTGTGGCTTTTAATCAATCCCTCCTTTGTTCATCAACTGGTTTGAGTAATGACCCGACACCCTTGGTCCCCCTTTCCCAGGCTCAGTAAGAATCTGCCCCTGAATTCAAAGCCCACTCTAGGAGGGAGGGCAAGAGGAGGAAAAGGGAGAGAAAGAAGAAGGTAGCTCCAGTGACTACAGAAATGATATCAGTTCTTCCTAACTTCACGTTTTGTCTCTAGTGGCTATCTGAAGTGCCTAAAATGACATTCATTGGAAGTAAAGACGTGAAGATTCCTTTAGAGATACAAATATGCCTTTTAGAAGGGTAAATACATAAAAGAATTTAAATGTTACCTTTGCTGGTCCTTCACAATGTTCAGATTATCCTTTATTTATTAGCTCCCCCACTACCCAGAGTGGCCTCCCCACTACTTGCATCCATTACCTAGGAGTTTGTAAGAAATGCAGAATCTCGGGCCCCACCCCAGACCTGGAATCAGGATCTGCATTTTTAAAAGATCCCCAAGTAATTCCCGGGCATGTTAAAGTTTGTGAAGCCGTGTATTATCCCACTGATACTTTATACAAAACTCTATAAACAGAGAGAGGAGGAATAATTGTTCTCATTTTACAGATAGGGAAATATGACGCGGAAAGGTGAATTTGATGTGCCAAGGGCACCTTGCTGGTTCTCTGCCAGGGGAAGGTCTCTAGGTGGAGGCTCTGTTGATTTTCTGAACACAGATATTTCCATTATTTCACACTGATACCCACTGGCACTCCTAACGCTTTATCAGGCCAACCAGCCTGCCTCTCTCTAGAGAGCAGTGTCCTAAGGGCATGCACTGTGTAACTTTGTTTGAAAGTTGGCATGAGGAGCCACCAAGGACATAAATGTTGCAGTGTGGTAAGTGGGAGTAAAAGGGGCAGGGTAGAGGAAGGGAAAAGGAATGAGGAACCCCAGCCACCACGTGAAATGGCCCAGAGGGGCTTGGGAAAGAGGAATGAAGGGGCTCCAGAGACGCATTTCAAGTTCCTGGCCTTGCTGTCTGCTCCTCCCTTGCCTGCAGACAGGAGGTCTGTGCTGTGACGCAGTCTGTTAGAGCCTGTTGGCAGCCAGCCTGGAGTTGGCCTGCACCCCCACTGCAGAGCTCTCAGCTACGCAGGGAGAGTGGAGGCTGCCCAGTGCACCTTTGCTGGGTACTGCAGAGCATCCATGCCACCTGCACCAGAGGGAACACAGCTCTGCAGTAATGCCAGTTAGACTGCAGTAACCCGAGATGGGTGTAGCTCATACTGCAGTAACCCGAGATGGGTGTAGCTCCATGCCCTTGCACACCTGCAGGGTCCGAGGACCCTGGGTTTTTACCATCTGTTTCTGCACCCCCCTCCAGGAAGCAGCTCCAGGTTGCAGAGTTGCTCTGCCTACCCTGAAGATGTCTGGAGGCTCCCCATTGACCCTGAGCCCCACGACGGTCCCACAGCCAGGAAGACGGGCTCAGCACGGCTCATGGTTCAGATCAGTGAAACTAGATTCCATGGCCTCCTTTCAAATCCAGCTGGAGGAGGCTGAAAAATACCCCCAGGGCTCTGCCTGCCTGTGTACCGGTATGGGAAGACTCCAAGAAAATGTACAGCCTCCCCCACACCACCCCCACAGGCGCCAGACATCAAAGGTATAGTTAGCAGTGGCCTTCCAAAGCCAGTGTCTGATTTGTTTCCTAACCTAAAAGGATGGCTCTAATGGCAGAGGTTTTGGGACAGGCAAAGGGAAGGGAGTACCACTGGCTGGTGAGGGAGCTGTTCGGGGCAGGTAAAGAAGCTTGTGGGGAGGTAAAGCTACAATGTGTAGTGAGCTGTCCCCATGGAGTGTGAGCCCGATCAACCCCCTCAGTCTAAAGAATAGGACACCTGCCTCTGCCTTGTGCAGCCTCCCCGGTGCTCCCAGCTGCCCAGTTTGCCTCCATAAATGTTACTTTTCTGCCGTCCATATTAAATGTTACCCTTCCCCAGTGTTCATAGAGAGAGGAGACAGATGCCTTTCTCTATGAACCGCTGCAGACTGTATTCAGTCAGGGCCTAGTTGTGTGGCAAGGGCACTGAATCCAACCTCCCAGCAGACAAAGCCATGCAAGAAGGAGGGTCAAGTTTCCAGGCCCAGGTTAAAAATCGTTGTGAGTGTCAGGTGTATGTTGGCAGGTGATCAGAGGCGGGGAAAGGAGGTGGAGGTCCCTGAAAAGCATCAGCCAAAACCACTGCTTAGGGATTAACAGCTTTTCAAGCAGCCTGGGATGTCCTTCTCATAAGGTTTGCCAGAATGGATGCTACTCACCTTCTTCCCTACTCCCTGCTGTGTATACCTGTACACAACATCCAAAGCAGGACACATCAGGGAATTCAATCCAAACCCTATCACGACAGTGGAAATTTTAAAAAATCTTCATGACAGAAAAGGTTCAGTGTTGGATGTCACATGGCAAGGGTATAAAAGAGTTAATTCAGATACCATCCTATCTGAAATTCCATCGTTATTTTTCCCACCTGTTTAACTGAAGCAGACAGGGCTTAACAATCTCGCTCAGATTTCAGTCTTCTCTCACTAGTCACCTAGATACTGACAGTTCACTCATTTATTCGATTAATAATTATTGAGTACCTGTCATGCTTGAGTCACTGTGCTAGTGAGAAATCAGTACACTGTCTACCATATAGGCATTCACTTATTCTACAAATATTTATTGAGCACCACCTGCTTACATAGCACTGTCCAAGGTGCTAGGGAGGGTACAAAGGAAGACAGCAGACAAGCCCTCAAGAAGCTTCAGATACATGTGGAGAAACGTGCAAGCCCACAACGCAGCCCATTTCTACTGTCAAAGAAATGGACCCTTGCTACAGAACTGTGGATCTCCTGAGAGCTTGTTAGAGATAGAGTCTCACACCCCACCTGAGACCTGCTAAATCCGAACCTGCCTTTTAAGAAAATTCCCCAGGAGGTTCCACGCACATTAAAGTTTGAAATCTACTGATCTAGACAAAAGAAGCTCTAAAAATTCAGGGGAGAGAGAGATTATTGTGCACATCAGTGGTCAAAAAAAAAAAATCCATGAAGGAGTTTGCCTTTAAAGGATGTCTGGGCTTTGGCCAAGTATAGAGAGCTCAAGGAATAGTAATTTCCCACCTCCAATGAGTTAAAAAAAAATATGTCTGCAAACTGCGGAAGGCAGTGACATTTTTCAGACACATTTTCCACAACAGCAAAAGCTTTGACTCAGGTAAGATGAGTCTGCAAATTCTTGTTGCTGATGCTATCAGGATCCCCAAATTGCAACTCGCCCAGTTTGGACAGCTTCAAGGTCAGATTACCTGCTGTCCTGAAATGGACAGGCCCAGGAAAGATTCCTGGCCTTGTCCAACCCACCTGTCAGTCAAGTAGATCAGCCAGTGAGAAACTGGCTCATTATTTTCCAGCAGTTACTCAGCCAATTGGCAGTCCCCAGCAAATTGAATTCTGGAGTGGCATCGTGTGAACATCGGTGTGGTGGCTGCTTTATCAAGCCAGTCCAACAGAGCAGATAAATCACTGAGAAGTTTTGATTAGAGGCTGTTGGCACCAAGACTATTGTTTCATAGTAGATCAGACTGAGCAGGTGTCTCAGTTTTTCTTACACTCATCCTTCCTGCATTCCATTTAAGAATTAAGATTTTTGCTTTCAATACAAAAATTGAAATAAATGAATAAACAGATCTAAACATGACTCTACTGTTATCTCTTGTTTCTAACTACCACCCACAATGTCTGTTTGTCCAACAATTGAATCCAAAAAAGATTGTACAGAACTTCACAATTGCATAGTTATATAGAAATTCTCATTCACCATTGAATGAACTGCTTACAATTCAGGCCTGTAGTCTATGGTGATAAAATCTGCCCATTGCTTCAGAAGTCATGCCAGGGAGGATTTGTCAGGTAAGCTCTAAAGACAACACAGCCCAACTCATTTACCATTGGGCCATTATTTTCCAGAAGCAGGGATGGGTTTGTGATGAGCCATCTATACTCTCTAACCTCCGTGGCCATGGCTTATGTTTATAAGGCAGCTGGCAGGGATAGGGAGGTTGGGTTGAAGCTGAGTAGCAGGACCTGGCTGGCTCACATGAAGTGGATCCTAGGACTTTGACTCATCAGCTCTGTCTTAGTCCTGTTAATTTGATGCTT
This sequence comes from Homo sapiens, assembly GCF_000001405.40. Lineage (NCBI taxonomy): Eukaryota > Metazoa > Chordata > Mammalia > Primates > Hominidae > Homo > Homo sapiens. Next base: position 10,135,186 of record NC_000020.11, read on the forward strand.
AATTAATAACAGGGCATTAACATCTGCTGTGAACATACTGCTACTCATCACCCTCCCAACCCTCCCTGCCTTCTCCTCTCATACCTGTCTCCAGGAAGCTGGACCCACTTATCAGCCAACTTAGTCTCTCAATTATTACCAAAAATGTGTTTTCAACTTGGTGCACACTGGGGGTGTGCCTGAGCAGGATGGCGAGAAGGGGCAGGCACACACTGAGAAGCGTAGACATACTCCCCTTTATCTAAGGGCTCTGCTATTTAGGAAAGGGCTTTTGTGTGAGGAGGTTCGAGCCTCAAAGGCTCATCTTGTCATTTTTCCTGTGCCTTTCAGAGATGGAGCATATTGTGCTGTGTTTTTGAAATGATGAAATGAAAGTGTGAGGAATCTGAAAGCCATATAGATAAGGAGTGGTTGAAGGAACTGATGGAGCTGAGATGAAACGTTATTTCAAACGTTGGAGGCGTCGTCGTGGGAAGAGGCAGCAGGTGTGTTCTTTGTGGTTCCCGCAGGTGGGATATAGGTTCGGTAGAAGGAGGCACTTTCTCACAAAGAAAAACCACCCAACAATGGGAGGCCAGGCCCTGCTTCCTGAAGAAGGAGCCCCCCCATGATGACAGGTACTTAAGCTGAAGCTCCACGACTATGTATAGGAGTCACCTGCATTATAAGCAAAAGTTGGAATAGAACTCAGCATTCTTTTAACTCTGAAAGCCTACAACACATGCAAAGCTAACCTTCACAGAGTAGCTCCTATGGTCTCACTTTACAGGTATTATCCCACTTAACGCCCACAGCAGTCCAATAAGCTAGGTACAGTTATTATGTTTTGTTTTGTCTCTTTTTGTCCTCACTTCGGCTTGGAATGCTCTTGCCTCAAATATCTCCCTCCTTTCCCATTATTCTGATCTTCTCAGGGTACTATTTCCTCCCCAGTCCTTCCCAGTCTTCCCAAAGAGGGGATAATATAACCACCCCTCCCCCATCTCTCCATCCCTTACACTGTTTGATTTGTCTTTATGGCATTTAGCACTGCCTAAAATAATGCTGCAATTGTATCTGTTTATGACCTGTCTCCTCTGGGAGAACAGAAGGACTTGGTTGGCTTTGCTCAGTGCTCCATTTCAGCACAGAGAATCAAGGCCTGGCATAGCGTAGGTGCTCAGGACGTATGCATGGAAGGAATAAATCAGTCAGTTTTACAGATGAGGAAACCTAGGCATTAAAGAGGTAAAGCAACATCCAAAGGCCAGACAGTAAGTAAAGAGAAGGACCAGGTTGAGAGCAATTTGACTCCAGAGTTCACATATGTACAGACAACCCCCTACTTGTGATGGTCCAACTTCACGGTTTTCAACTTATGATGGTGAAAAAATAATAAGCATTCAGAAGAAACGATACTTCAAGTACCCACACAACCATTCTGTTTTTCACTTTTAGTACAGTATTCAATAAATTACATGAGATATGCAACACTTTATATAAATAGGCTTTGTGTTAGATGATTTTGCCCAAATATAGGCTGATGTACGTGTTCTGAGCATATGTAAGGTAGGCTAGGCTATGCTATGATGTTTGGTAGGTTAGGTGTGTTAAATGTGTTTTATAATATTTTCAACTTATGAAGGGTTTCTCGGGACATAGCCCCTTTGTAAGTTGAGGAGCATCTGTACCCCATTTGACCCTTTGAAAAAAACATGTATTCTCAAAGAAAAGCTGAGACATCCTTGTTAATTCAGTGGCTGGTGCTGGCTCTTGTTTTATGACTTCAAATGACTTGTGCCTATAAGCAGGTGGTCACTGGTTGCCACCAACATGGTGTCTTAAAAAGCCCATTGAGAGAGGTAGAGGGCAAAAGGCAGAGGGCACAAAGTTACCTTTTGCCTCAAAGGTCTGACTGCACAGTGATTTGCTGAATAGAGCAGGTGAGTCAGAAAGGTACAGAGAACAGCTTGGCAGTCACCTGGTCCTAATCTATCCCTGGGCAGATACATTGAATCTGACACAGCTCCCGTGCCTGGAGTCCTCAGAATCAAATTTGCAAACTCAGAGCAGATTTCTTGCGTCTCCAGGCGATTTGAAACCATATGCAATGTCACCCTTTCACCAAAGGAGCTGAATTTATGTTCCTTGTTTTCTCCCTCCCGGTAAGGCTTGGATTTTTCCATGACAAAAATCTTGTTCATTTGAATATAAACAAGTTATAAAATGAAATCCACATTGACTTTTGCAGTTAATTAAAAAGAATATGGACTTGAAAATCAGACTAACTTGAGTTAGAATTCAGGTTACCACTTTGAATCTCCATTTTCCTACCTGAAAAATAGAAACTAACCCTTCTCGCATGGTTTTTGTAAGGATTAGATAAAAAAAATTGAAGGGGGCATCTGCCATTGATTTTCTCTTCTATTGTCAGAGCATTGTTTTCCGGCTAGACGCCTTCTAGTCTTTCTGTAGCTGGGTACAGGAAGAAGCATTGTCTGAAGGAGTTATCGGTGTGGAATCCAAAACAGCTAAATTGAATTAGCAGAAAGACAAGGGCATTCCAGTACACTGTGGCCAGGGAAGTGCTGTATTCACTCATTGTTTGCACTCCTGAGGTCAGGCTTTCAGGTCAGACCTTGAACCCTCTGCCTGCTTCACATCCTGGCTCCTTGGGAAGCCACTCCTGTGGCTTCAAAGGGGCAAAACTAAGAGAATGGTGGAGCTGGAACTTTCATGACCAGAGCCTGCCCTGGCCACATCCTCCCTTGGAACCTACAGTGGAAAGTGGGGACAATTTTGCTAGGTCACACCTTTTTGAGGACCTTGCTGGGCTTGTGGATCTGCCAGAAAATTCTTTCTTTTTTGAGGGACAAAAGCCTGCTGCTCAGCAGTTTTAGATTAAGCCTAATGAGTTCTCTCTTGAGATCACCATTGTTCTAAGCTTAATATCATCCTCATTGACCTAGTGGTATCAAATTCTGTTGGCATACCTCTTACTAACAAAACACATCAAATATGTTTTTATAAAACATGATACTAAATTATAGAATATACCAAGAAATATGCTTGTACAGTGAATCTGTGTGCTTCTATTGCTACCATTAAACGTTTGCACCTACTTCTAGCTATCACCAGAATGGGTTCCACTAGCTTCTAATATAAAGTCCTACACAGCTGTATCTCGTAATTTATAAGGTAAGGTGGGAAAATGCATCTCAGGTCTCAGCTATCTCCAGTGGGAGGCAGGTTCTACCACTTTCAAGGCTCATAACACAGGAAGGGGTGTTCAAAGGTGCAGGGTAAACAGAAAGATGGTGTTCACTGCTAGGCGTCTCAAAATGAATGTGAATGTTCATGCACTCTTATATACAGCATTTGAAACAAAACAAAACAAACATAAAATTAAACCTGACATCTTGGGAATGAGAAATTCTAAGGGTGCCCAACATATAGTAAGTGCTCCCTAAATAAGCTGAATGGATGAAAGAGTAAATAACTAGGTAGATCATGGAGCCTCTGATATCTGAGTAATACGGAAGTGTTCATAAAAAAGGGAAGCCTCAGTGAGACATATAAATCCAATGAAATATGTTAAGTCTCAAAAAGGGAGCAGATAATTACTTTTGCTTTATGTTTTTCAATGGAGTAATAAATAATAGAAGAATTCTGGTCTCTTCTCTGGAAGCTGTCGTTTACTTGGTGAAGTTTTCCTGTTTTTTCCTAATAAATGATATCAGTTTTAATGCCGTGCTGCCCAAAGATAACATCTGATATGCCCTTAGAGTCAGTTATACAAAGAAATATAGGTTTAGCTCTGGGCTTCTCATCCTTGAAACTGTAGACATTTGGGACTGGATAATTCTTTACTGTGAGGAGTCGTGCATTGTAAGATGTTTAGCAGCATTCCCTGGCCTCTAACAACTAGATGCCAGCGGCATCCCTACCCTATGTGATAACAATTAAAAATGTATCCAGACATCACCAAATATCCCTAGGAGGCAAAATTGCCTCTGGTTGAGAATCACAGACTTAGGCCTCAAAAATGGGCAACTCTTAGACAAATTTGATTTCTAGGCTTTTTCAAGTTGTAAACTAACTTTTCTCTAAGCACAGCTCTGCCATGGTATTTGCCTTGTATTCAGTTAGGGCCTGAACAAGATAGTGATAGAGACCAGAGATCTCAAAATGTGTCTATAAGATAAGCTGTTACACCGAATGATATTATTTCAGTTAACTATTTACATAGTCCTATTGTTAACAAACCACTCTGGAATTCAGTGATTTAAAACAATAATTATTCTTATGTTTCTGGGTTTACTGATTGGCTGGAGCCACTCAGGGTCTGTAGGTTGACTGGGGCAATTTTGTTCCATGAATATTATTTTTACACCCAGGTAGAAGCTACTAGGGAGAAGCTCTTCTCAGGATGGAGGAAGAAGCTTCCGGAAGCACTAGCAGAAAAATGCACTGTCTCCTGAGGTCAAAGAAGGCACTCGGCACACACTGTCATGTCCGTCCACTACTGCTAGCCTAAGCAAGACACAAGGTCAAGGCCAACATCAGCTGGGCAGGAAAGTACACACTTCCCTTGAAGACTGGGGCAAAGGAATTCATGAACGCCAAAGATGACATTTTCAATACAACCAATGAGATGGTGTCATGGGTCTTCGGTTCTCACTGGCTCCATTTCTTTAAGAGACAAAGATGGGGAGGTATCACTGGCGTTTGAGTCACGTTTGCAAAACATATTAAGATCCCAGTGGGAAAACGCACAACACAGAGAACAAAATTTCCATAGCTACATTTAAGAAATCTGACTATTGAATCAGTAGGCTGGTGGTTTTATTTGTTTTATTATGTTTTCCGGACCCTTGGTAAATATTGTCTTAATTTGGGTTAATTACTTTTAAAGGGAACCTCAAGAATCAAGGCAAATTATTTGATATTTATTTCGTATTCTCCTTCCTTGTGACTAGAATACTAAATAAATCACTAGCAGCTTGACAACAGCAGCAGCCTACAACAGAGGTATAGAATCGGTACTTTTGTTCTGCCTTCTTATGTACTCTGCATTAGTCATGGCCATGGTAGAGAATTCTGTGGACTGTTTAAGCTTCTGTGTTTTTCTGAAGGTATATAGAGGAATGGAATGGGTCCAACAGCAAAATTATTATTAGAAGGGAATAGAAATTGCCCACTAGTTGAATCTTCAATAAATATCTACCGTTGATTTCATTAACTGATACATGTGAAAGCTAAAAGATAGTTCAAATATTCCTGATACATCTTCCCAGGGACCTGACTGAGGTCAACCCCAAAATTTTAAGGATGAGAAACACTGAATTTAAAAAAAAAATCCATACATTGTTCAAGTTTTCCTTTTAGCCATAACAGATCCTAAGCTAGATCAGCCCAGGCTTTTTAGCTCCTAATTCCAGAACCTTCCAGCATACCATGCTTGCTTAATACAATAAAGGAACTGCAGGTATTTGGCCTAAGGGAGATAATAGTCATTTGGGATTTTAAGTAAATAAGAATCTCTTCCATCTGGATGCAGAACGCCGGGGTCTCAAATTGGGCAGGCAAAAGGCTTATTTTGAGGACAATGGAACACTCCCCTGTGGTCCCATTCATGGAGATGTGGGATGAGAATGAAAGTGAGGATCTTCAGCCTTCCTGACAGAATGTCCATCCTGTCACCTGAACCTCTGTCTGCCAAGTACAGTGGGGACTTTTCATTCCTGTGCTGATTTATAGCTTTCTGACATCTGACACTGTTGGCTTCCTCTTCTTAGAAAAATTCCCTGGGAATTTTTCTGATCCCACTTCTCTGATGGCTGCTTGTTCATTATTTTTGCAGTTTCTTTTCTTCTGGACTTGTCCTAATTAATGGTGTTCCCTTTGGTCCTCCCCTTTCCTCACTCCACGTGCTGCCCTTAGGGTCTAGAATTGTGGCTCTCAAATCTTCATCCCCAGCCCAAGTTGTCTTTTAAGCCCCAGAGCCACATTCTCAACCTTCTGGTGCACATCTCTTGGCTCATGGGAACCTGACTCCACATTCATGTCTCCCTGTGCCTGCCCTTCAAACACCATCTCCTTCTCTGGCATCTCCCCACTCAGGGAGCAGCAGCATCTACTCAGATACCTAATCCAGAAACTAGGGACTTAATGGAGATTCCACTGTTCCCACCTTGCCTCACATCTAAGCAGCCACAAGCTCTGTAATTCTACAGCCTCAGTATTTCCTAATTATCCCCTTCCCTTCATTCGCAGACATTGTCTGAGTTCATTCACATCTTGTCATTTCTTACCTGGAACTGTGCACTGACTTCCTAACCATTCCCTAAACCCAACCTCAGCCCTTCGGCCCTCCATCCCTAAACCATTCTCCATGTGCCCACAAGCCATCTTGCAGTATAGAGCACACATTTTTTTCTCCTTTTTTGTTTTTTAAGGGATAGGTTCTTACTATGTTGTCTAGGCTAGTCTCAAACTCCTGGCCTCAAGCCATCTTCCCGCCTCATCCTCCTGAGTAGCTGGAACTGCAGGTACATGCCACCATGCCCGGCCCACAAATTCTTCAGAGAGTTTCTCTAATAATGAATAAATTCAAGTTTTAGACAGTAATCTGATTTATATCAGCATTTGTACTCTGAGCATGGGACATTTGTTTATTTATTCCACATTATTTATTAAGTGCCTATTCTGAGCCTGACCTTGGCAATAGAATAGCAGTGAATATTTTCTTTAAACTCATTCTCATGGAGCTTAAAACTTAGTAGGGGGAGGCACACAATACAAAATTAAATAGATATCTATAATGAATAATATATTAGTTTGGTGCAAAAGTAATGGCAGTTTTTTGCCATTGAAAGTAATGGCAGAACCTACAATTACTTTTGCACCAATCTAATAAATCAATACAATATATATTACGTGAGAAAGTGAAAAGTGCTTTTGAGAAAAGCAAATCAGAAAAGGGGAGTTGGGAGCGTTGTGGGGGAGGGTTGAAATGCTAGGCAGGGTCTGAAGAAGACGACATTTAAAGACCACAAGTGGGAAAGGAGTGAGCTATGCGGATAACCTGGAGGAGGGGGATTCTGGGTGGGGAACAGCAAGTACAAAGGCCCTGAGTCAGGAGTGCACTTGTCAAGTAGAGGAAGTAGCAAAAGAGACCGATGTGGCTGTAAAGTGAGAAAAGTGACAGTAGCCAGCTTGCATAGCATCCCATTGCCAATGGTTGCAGCAGTACCTAGAAAGAAGGCCAGCACTGAAATCTAGTGTTTTTGGCTTTCTCTGGTATCTCTGAGAAAGTGTCAGTCTGGCATACCCATTGTCAGAACAATCCACTTAAATAATATGTGTCCTAGTCAGTTTTTGCTGCGCAGCAAACAACTTTAAGTCTCAGTTACTTACAACTACAAGCATTTGCTTTTCTCACTTATGGATCTGTGGGTTGGGTGATCTTGGCTGGGCTCAAGATCTTGGGTGATCTTGGCTTGACTGCAGGCTGTAGGTTGGGCTCATGTCTGCCCACCTTGCCTCTGAGTTTTTCCTGAACCGAAAGACACATTCTATGGTGATCACAGAAGAAGAGGCCCAGCCAAACGATGAAGCACTTTAAAACCCCTGCTCATTCACATGTCATTGGTCAAAGCAAGTCACATGACCAAGACCAACATCAAATAGATGGAGAATTATATTCTACATGCCCTAGGGGGAGGCACTGCAAACCCACAGCAAAGGATGTGGAAGTATAATTCTGCAATAGTAAATGAGTGAAGAAACAAGACCAATCATCCAGTATTTCATTATACTGTAGTCCTGCCTTGAATCTCTACACACTTTTGCAGGTTAGAATGCACTTACACACGCCTTTCTGTGATACCTATTTAAAAGCCTTGTAGATAGTAGGCACTCATAAAACTGCTTCCTTAATAATGAAATCTATGGATAAATGCCTTATTTCATATGACCCATGCAACAATTAGTGAATTAAATACAAATATCTTCATTTTACAGATGAGAAAGAATCTAAATGACTTTTCATTCAGGGTTGGCAGACTCAAGGCTCAAGCCCAATTCTTTGCTCTCTAAAGCAAAAGACAAAAATTCCAACATTACCTCAAAATTAAGTTTACAGCAACATGAGGCCTATATTTGATTACAGTTGTCTGGAGTTCGAAGCACATTTTGTTGTAAATAGTTTTGGTTAATCTGACATTTTGTGAAACACAGTAAGGGCCACAGTGAGTTTCTGCTGGGTTTAGGCTTCTTTCTGAGATTGGCCTGGCTGAGCTAGGCAGGCTGACTGCTCATTCACCCATTTATTTTTCATTCAATCAACATGAACTGAGTGTTTATAAGAAGCAGTGTTTTTAAAGCTAGGGCTTCCACTGTAAAGAAAACAGACAATCATGGAGCTCTTTGAAAGGCAGACGGTAGTATATACGAAGTTGGAAGTGGTAACTACTCTGAAAACAAATAAAACAGAGTTGGGGATAGGAGGTTAAGGGGCATGATGACCAAGGTGAAGTAAACGAAAGAGGAGAAAGCTATAGTCCCCATGGCAGAGAAGGATTTGTATAGCTGGTAACAAGAAGGATCAACTCAAAGCACCAGGAAAGGAATTGGATTAAATAGACAACTCTTGTCCAGGGTTGGTGGCTTAACCTGCACGAGTGTCCCCAGGAATGCAGCCCCCACCCCAAAGGCAACAAAGACCCTGCTTTTAAACTGACTGTTGGGGTTTCTTCACTTCCTGAAACTATTTGAAAGAGTCATCATTCTTGATTTTCTTTCTTAGTTAAAATTTGAAATTCAGGTTGAATTTTTAAAAACTGAGTTCTGTCCTAGAACTTCAGACAGAGGAGGTCAAAGTATCTATAAGATGCTTACATGCTAATAAAAGATTTCACACCAGTAAAGTGCATTGAAGGGCACTGTTGGTGGGAGTGAGGTTCTGAGTGGTCTTCTCATCTCCCCACCAGGAAAATAAAAGAATCTTGAATATGATTTGCATAGAATTCTGCCATAATTCAAGATATGACCTGTAATTTTATTGCAAATATTGTTGTTTGGCTCCCACCAAGTGGATAGATGGGAGTAGCACAGAGGAAGGGTGCAGAAAGGAGAGAACCCTCAGTAACAAGGAGAGGTTAGGAGAAGAGCCTTTTTATAATCACTCTGTTCTCTCTGGAAGGAAGAACATCTTTGGGAAACTTGAGGCAAACAATTTCCTTGCATTTACTTTGACAAGTACCATCTGTTAATGGCAAATGATCCTGGATTTTCATTTACAGTATAAATACAAAGTTTCCTTTTAAAATAACTTTAATTTGTAAAGTTAGTACAGGTGGTATATTCTTGGATTAGTTTTTTCAACCTCCCCTTTTCTTTCCAAGAGGTTGGATGTCTTAGAATTATACTTTCCAGACATCCTTGTGGTTAAGGCTCTGGATGAATTCTGTTGTGCCAATTAAATGCAGTTGCATGAGTTTTGTAAGGCAGAAAGAAAGTGAAGCGAGCCTTGCTGCAGTAATGGCAGCTGATTAGTAAGCTTTGTGAGATTTGAGCACATGCAGGAGTCAGACTCATGCTTCTACTCTAGTCGACGGAGGCAGTTATTATGGCAGCAAGAGTGGAAAACGTGAAAACTGTGGTTTCTTCCTGTTGACATGGATAGCAAGTTCCACTGGTGCCTCTGACTTCCATACTCTTCTCACCATTTTATAAGCATCTATTTCCCTGTATTAAATCACCTTCTACTTGAAATACCTAGAGTGGTTTCTCATTATTTTATTAATTTAACACATGTGGCAAAATTGTGATGTGGTAAGCACTGGTCTCATGGTGACATGACTAGAAACACACATTCTCAGAATTTATACAAAGGATACCTGAATGGATTTCGAAATATTACAATTTGGAGGCAAAGCAAAGCTGGAAATGCCAAGGGAAACTCATTAATTGATGTCCTATTGCCTTAAAAAATCTATTCAATTCCTTTTATGAAATGTGTTTTCAATTAATCTAATTGTCTTGGAGTCCTTCAGCTGACTGATTTTTCAACTGGTTTGGAGGAGGTTTTTTGGACATTTTGGTGGAATATAAGGAAACAGAGTTTGTCTCTTTGACTACCTTCATCACAGAGTAAAAGCTACATACTTACCTGAAGCCACAACTCCACGTGACTTACTATTTCAGTTGACCTAGCCCTTGAGCTTCTGAGGAAAGCAGATGTTGGGCTCAGTGGGTGGCTCCTTCAATAAACATGAAGAATGGCTTCAAAAAAAGCTACGGATAAACTATGAGTGGTTGGGGCTCTATACCAATGGCTGGGGAGGGTGTGAGGAGAAGAGAAACATAGCAGTGACTGCTAGCCCTGTGAGATCTTTTGCACCCAAGAAGTCCACTTAATTTATCAGGGAGGTCTTAGGAAAATTTAGCTGCCTCAGAAAGCCTGAAAGAAGACAGGTAGAGCACTTGAAAAAAAAAAAAAAAAAAAACAAGAAAATGTCTAGAAGTATCTGCATCATCAGTAATGTGAGCAAAGGAACATTTTGAATACTGAGTTAGCAAGTCTTGCTCTAGCGCTGAGGAGCCTTAGGTTTTAGGGGATTGCATAAGCAGAAATTGCCTCTTAAACTACAAGATTCTCTTTTCCTTTTTTTGCTTTGGTAGAAGATCTTTGTTGTTTTGCTTGCCACTGTCCACTCTACCAACTTTTGTTAATCATACTCCACTCTTCCTTTAGGAAATACTCCCTTTCCAGCTCTCAGCCCATGTGAAGATGGGCTGACTGGCCTGGCGTGGGCTGACTGAGTACATGACCCAGGCCTGGCAAACTAGATCATTCCATCATCTAGACCACTCTGATTGGTTCAGACATGGTCACATGATGTAAACCTAGACAACCCCAGACAATGAGCATGAGTCTGAAGACTTTTGATGGCACCATTTGAGAAAAGGATGCTCTTTTTGTTGGTGTAAATAAACTGGTGGATGTAGCCTTATAACTGTAGGGAGACCTCCCTGTGAGAAAAGCTTTACCTGAGAATGAAGCTAACATGAAGGAAAGATGAACAAATAAATGAAAAAAGAGAGATGAAAACAGAGACAGAGATAGTCCTTTAAATGCCATATGAGCCCTGGATCCAGCCATACCTGAAGTCAGAACTACTCCCTGGACTTAGTTACATGAACCAATGGATGTTCATTAAGGCTTAGATCAGTTTGAACTGACTTTCTGTCACTCACAATCCAAGGCACCATGACGAATGCTTTAATTGTTCTTTTTCCACATTAACACAGTGCTAATTAGAGAGCATAGATCTTTATTTTCTTCCTTTTTCTACAACCCCCACCTCCACCACCCAGAAGTCTTCTGATGCCTGGTTTTATCCTGTATTCATTCAGCAGACATTTATAGAGCACGCACCATATGCCAAGCATTGTCCACAACAACAGTTTTAGAAAACTAATATGGCATAGACCTTGCCATTAAAAAATTCAGTCAATACTGCTTTCCTAAAATGCATAAAAGATCACAAGTTGGTCATTTTGTTTTCTCCAAATTTTCAGCTTTCAAAAAAAAATTTAACTCTCAATTTCAAAATGTTTGTAACTGTTACCCATAAATTTACTTTATTGCATATGAATAGTTTAATTTTATAATAGCATCAATTTTCACCAAATTTCTTCATGTTTTTAATGTTGTTATCACATCTTCACCTTAGGAAACTTATTTAAGCTCTCTGAGCCTTGGTTTTCTCATCTGTAAAATAAACGGGTAGAGGGTACTGATATGCCTGGTATCTTCTCAACCTGAAATTCTGACAGTTTGCTCACCTATGTTGACTCCTTTCTTCCTTTGAAACAATTTTTTCCTCTGCCCTATAGCAACTTCTATAACACATATCCCCCCCGCCCCCCAAACCCCAGGGAATTAAATGCATTTCTCAGAATTCAGGAAGACTGCCCTGCTTTCATTCCTAATGCCTGTAACCTGTTCTCTATGAAGCAGCCAAACCGATCATTCCCAACTATATATGAAACCAAACTCCACATTTTCCACTCCTATTTAACATCCAGTGGCATCCTATCACCCTTGCAATAAAATCCAAACTCCTTATCTGATCCCTGTTGATATAGTTTGAATGTGTGTCCCTGCCCAAATCTCATTTTGAAATGTCATCCCCAGTGCTGGAGGTGGGGCCTGGTGGGAGGTGATGGGCTCAAGGGGGAGGATTTCTCATGAATAGTTTGACACCATCCCCTTGGTGCTGTCCTTGCAGTAGTGAGTGAGTTCCCATGAGATCTGTTCATTTACAAGTGTGTGGCACCTTTCCCCTCTCTCTCTTGCTCTTGCTTTTGCCATGTGACATGCAAGCGCCTGCTTGGCCTTCTGTCATGATTGCAAGTTTCCAGAGGCCTCCCCAGAAGCAGATGCCAGTGTTATGCTTCCGCAAGCCAATGAAGCCTCTTTTTTAATAAATTACCCAGTCTCGGGTATTTCTTTATAGCAACACAAGAACAGACTAATACACCTGCCTTTCTCTTCCTCTCTCATCTTACTTCCTCTTCTCCCTCTTGCTCAATATATTCCAGCCACTCTGCCTTGAATTTGCCAATCTTGTTTCCCTTTCAGAGACTTTGGTCTTGCTGCTCCCTCTTTCCAGAATACTTTCTTCCCAGATCTTGACAAGGTTTTCTTCCACACTTCACTCAGGTTGCCCATTCAAAGATATTTCCTGACTCTACCCGCCATCTAAAATAACATCTTACTCCCACTCTTTTCCATACTTTGTTTTATTTTCTTCTCAGCTCTTATCACTTATTGAAATTATAATGTATCATGTTATAATGATTCTATCTTATATAATTAACATTTAATTTAATATAATTTAATGTAAATTACATTAGCATAGAGAGTAGCAAATAGTAGAGGCTCAGCTGGCTTTGTGGAATGAATAATTTTACTCTAATTCTAATAATAGCCATCTGTTTAGCTTTGAGGTATTTATGACAAAAACCCACCTTAATCACAAGCCCTGCTTTTAACATCTTTTGTTCGAATATATGGACAGTTTTTTTATCCAAGTGGATTTTAAGAAACTTGAAGATCCTACAAACAGACATCCCTTCTTTTGTGAGTTCTCACAGACTGCCATTAGCTAGTAGAATTGTAATTATATTTTCAGAAGGAACTGTATACTCTACAGATTGAGAAAGGTTTTTCTTGCATTCTTAAAAGATTCAGTTAGGAAATGGCAGAATTGGTTTCTAAGACAACCTGTAATGGGTAGCATCTAAAACTTGGTTCACCAGGTGGAATCACAGGCAAGTGCTCAGAAATCGTGACATTAGACCCAGAGTTTAAACCAGAATGATGTGTTCTACTGATGAGGTCTTTCTGCTTTTTATCAAACTCATCCTATTTGGCCATTTGATTCTAGAAATATGGTCCAGGCAAAGGTCACAGTAAGCCGTACAAAGTGTTCCCAGTTCATTCAGAAAGAAGCTCATGGAAACTATCTCAGAGTCTTTAAGTGCCTATGCCCCAGGTTAGGAGATCAAGGACAAGAAATCTGGGTGTAACTCCTGGTGAACAGAATAAGGCTCAGAAGAGGAAAGGTCAAGAATCTCCCTCATATACATGTTTACTCAATGGTAACAAGAATGCACCAGATTTTTCACAACAGTACTATTTGTAATAGCCAAAAATGGTGAGAATCCCCATGTTCATCAACAGTAGAATGGATAAATTATGTTGGAATTCATGCATAGATTAGTGTACAAAAAATGAGAATGGATGGTTTACAACTGCATTGAATGATACAGATACATATTGTTGAGAGAAAGAAGACAGTCAACCAAACACAAAAGAGTACATACTAAATAATTCAGTCTAATGTTCAAAAAAACAAACAGACTTAATTCATGGTGTGAAAAATCAGGATTGTGGTTACCCTTAGGGAGTTAGTGACTAGAAAAGAACATGAAAGAGGCATCTGGGGTACTGGTAATGATCTAGTTCTATATTCGGGTCCTGGTTACACAGATGTGTTAACTACCAAAATTCATTCAGTTGTGCACTTATAATATGTGCATTTTTCTGTATTTATTTCATATTTCAATAAAAAGTTTACTAAAAAAATTTCCTCATGTGTTTTAGAAATTTTAAGCCAAGAAAATTAAGAGAGCCCTCTTTTGCAAGCACTCACAGATTGATATACCAACTTTCAAACTCATAAGAAGCATGTGTTGAAAAGTCGTTGACTCTTTAGCTGAACCTCACAAAAAGAACTCATTTGATTCTGAAGATGTCACACACCCTGAGTTTGTGAAAAGAGAAGGTTTGGCTTTCAGGATCCCAGAGCATATATTTTCCAAAATCTCACACTTTCCCTCTTGGTCATGATCATTCACCAAAACACACACACACACACACACACACACACACGCACACACACACGTGTGTGTGTATGTATGTGTGTGTGTGCATAACATACATATACATACATATATGTATATATATATAATTATACAATATATAATTTAAGCAATTACTGTCTTGTGTGCTGTATTCCAAGCTTTTCCTACATTATTAATAAAAAATTGTCCTCCATCTTCTAGAAATTTTCAGTCTACCTGAATGTTTATCATATGTATAATTGAACATTTCCCTAAAGCATAAAGACTCAATCAATGGGCTTCTACTGCTCACTGAGATAATCACCTTTAAAAAGACAAATGTTTTTTCTGCTAGATCTCTTTATCTTCACTGTGGGTTCCTCTTATTTTATTTCTACATCAATGTTCATATTTAACTTATTATTTTATCTTATTTTTAAATTTCTTTTATGTTGAGCCTTGATGAAAGCCATAGGTTCTCTCATATAATTGTATGTGTATGTATGTATATGTACATAATATATACATATATGTATATGTATGTGTATGTACATAATATATACGTATATGTATGTGTATGTACATAATATATACGTATATGTATGTGTATGTACATAATATATACGTATATGTATGTGTATGTACATAATATATACGTATATGTATGTGTATGTACATAATATATACGTATATGTATGTGTATGTGTATTACATAATATATACATATATGTATATATTATGTATATGTACATAATATATACATATATGTATATGCATGTATATGTATGTTATACACACACTAATTCCCCTACATCTCACCTGTATAAGCCATTTTTTTAGTTGCTATAAAGGAATATCTGAGGATGGATAATTTACTTTTTTAAAAAAAGAGGTTTAATTGGCTCACAGTTCTGCAGGCTCTGCAGGAGGCATGGTGCTGGCACCTGTTTGGCTTCTGGCGGCAGTTTCAGGAAGCTTAAAATCATGGTGGTGGGAAAAAAGTCCTGGTGGAAGGTGAAGGGGGGCTGATGTATCCTGTGGTGAGAATGGGTACAAGAGAGTAGGAGAAGGGAGAGATCCCGGACTTCTAAGGAAACACATCTTGTGTGAACTGAGCAAGAACTCACTTATCACCAAGGGGATGGTGCTATACCATGAGGGATCCGCCCCCACGATCCAATCACCTCCCGCCAGTCCCCACTTCCAACATTGAGTATTACATTTCAACGTGAGATTTGGAGGGGACAAACATCCAAACTATATCATGACCCTTCCATCTACCACCTTTTCTACCATCACCACCACCAGAACCCTGAACCCACATGCTATAACTCTGAATTTTTTCCCCACCACCACTATACTTTTTGGCAATTTTAATTTGATTTGATTGATAGGAAAAGATTCAGAGATGACAAACTCGGAAGGAAATGGCTATAGGCTTCATTCTACCTACAGATAAATTTTGTTTGGTCTTCACAAGGTATTTGTTAAATTTCTGAATGTGAATGTCTTTAGACTGGGCAAATGGTCTCCAGTTAACTGTGGTTCCCCAGCACTTTTTGCTATTTAACTCCCAACATACTACACTTAGGTTTCCCAAAATCTCATACCTTCCCTTTCTTATATTTTCTGCCAAGAATATAAGACATTTTGAGTTTTCCATCTTTGTTGTTGTTGTTTTTACTTTTTTATTTCAATAGGTTTTTGGGAAACAGGTGGTGTTTGGTTACATGAATAAGTTCTTCAGTGTTGATTTCTGAGATTTTGGTGCACCCATTACCCAAGCAGTGTATGCTGCAACCGATGTGTAGTCTTTTATCCCTCACCCCCCGCTCAACCTTCCCCCTCCCCAAGTCCCCAAAGTCTATTGTATCATTCTTATGCCTTCACATCCTCATAGCTTAGTTCTCACTTATGAGTGAGAACATACAATGTTTGGTTTTCCATTCCTAAATTAGTTCCCTTGAAGTAATGGTTTGCAATTCCATTCAGGTTGCTACAAATGTCATTATTTCTTTCCTTTTTATGGCTGAGTAGTAGTAGTCCATGGTATATATACATACATACATAGACACACACACACACACACACACACACAAACACACACATATATATACACATTTTCTTTATCCACTCGATGATTGATGAGCATGTGGGCTGGTTCTATATTTTTGCAATTGTGAATTGTGCTGCCATAAACATGCATGTGCAAGTATCTTTCTTGTATAATGGCTTCTTTTCCTCTGGGTAGATACCCAGGAGTTTTCCACCTTTGAATTAATCCTTAGGAATCAAAAAACATTGCCCTTCCCCACTTGCCTACTGAAGGTCAAACAAGCCTCTTCTGGGGAGCAAAAGTCAAATGGAGAATATACATGTTTGTGTGACTGTTGTCCCCATGGTTTAGTGCTTCCAAGGTACCAGAGTTGATTGGTTCATTGAGGGGTATGTATGTGTGTGTGTGTGTGTGTGTGTGTGTGTGTGTGTGTGACAGAGAGAGAGAGAGAGAGAGAGAGAGAGAAAGCTAGATCTCAACCCTACTAGGGAAAGGATCAGATATGCTTACAATGCTCCACCCCTGTAACTAAAATTGTCTTTGCATAAAAAGTCACAATTTAGAACTCCAAACTACTCATACCACAACATACAGAAGATTTACTCACCAAAAATCTCATGATACTTAAGAAAATATTATCTCTAAACATGAGCCAAGTTGGTGATGAAAAAGAAAAAAAAAACACAAAAAAACACAAAAAAACAAAAAACTCCCTGCTAAAAATCCAAACACTTTTGAGATTAGCAAGCGCCTTTAGAGTAGACCACCAGCATTGCCTTTATGGAAAACTCCTGGAAATGAAAACAACAGTCCCTTCATGAGATAATTAGGTCCTCCTTCCTCAACTCAATCTGAAAATATTCATTTAGAGACCAGACAGCCTGGTATCAGAAATTAAACCCCTGATTTCTGTGGCGTCTGATGGTTCAGAGTTCATGATTCTTGGTTAGCTGCATCAGTAACTGCTGTATGGACCTGTATAAAACCACTTGCCTACTCTAAGCCTTGGTCTTTTCATCTGTAAAAGGTTTGCAAACCAACTGATTCTATTTCTAAAAGTTACTTTTGGTTCTAAAATCCCATATTACAAAATGTGATATTCTATTTCTTAACCTGGGTAGTGATTGCACAAGTATTTGCTTTATAATTATTCTTTAAACATATATGTTTTATACAGCCTTCTAAATAAGTAATGTTTGACAATGTGTTGAAAGGGAAAAGCATTCTATCAGAAGAAGCCAGTCTAGTACCATTCTTGAATTCATAAAAGTAGGTGTGAAAATTAAATGTCAGAGGCAAAAAGCCAAGAGCAGATTGAAGCTTGTAAAACTCCTGAGGCTTCAAACCATTTCAGTGATAAGCTAGAACCAAAGAAAGTAGAATGAATGGGAACTTGCAGGGCAAGAAGGACTATTATAGGCTCATACAAATCCCCACAATGGTCCTAGGAGGAAATTGAAATCTAAAGGCTGTTACTTAATGGCCAAATTCTTAGCGAAATGTGACCATGGACATAGGAGACACTTTCTTCTGGTTTACAATAAGGAGCATCTTAACATTCTCAAAATGACTTGATTGTAAAACTTTTTCCTTCATTGCATTTATTTCTTTTGCCAAGCACCGTGCTAGGCCACAGCAATATAGAGAAAACTAAAGTATGACTGCTTTCAAGGAACTTGCAGACTTAGAAGCCTCTATGTCATTTAGAAAAAATTTCAAGCTTATTGCTTCTCCTGAGACCTCTGATCTCTTCTAAAAACATCCTACTCCCCCACTGCTGGACTGGCTCTCTGATGTGCTTCAGAAAGCTCCCGCCTCAGGCCAGGCATGGTGGCTAACACCTGTAATCCCAGCACTTTGGGAGGCCAAGGGGGGCAGATCACGAAGTCAGGAGACTGAGACCATCCTGGCCAACACGGTGAAACCCCATGTCTACCAAAAATACAAAAAATTAGCTGAGCATGGTGGCATGTGCCTGTAATCCCATACTCAGGAGGCTGAGGCAGGAGAATTGCTTGAACCAGGGAGTTGGAGGTTGCAGCCGAGATCACGCCACTGCACTCCAGCCTGGCAACTGAACAAGACTCTATTTCAAAAAGAAAGAAAGAAGGAAAGAAAGGAAGAAAAGAAAGAAAGAAAGAAAGAAAGAAAGAAAGAAAGAAAGAAAGAAAGAAAGAAAGAAAGAAAGAAAGAAAGCTCCCACCTTAGGGCCCTTGTACTTGCTATATCCTCTGCCACACAGTCTCTTCTCCCACCTTTACTTCTTTACTTGGCCCACTCCTTCTCACCATTCAGACCTCAACTTAAATGTCAGAGATGATTTTCTTGACTTCCCAGTTAAAAAAAATTTCCTCCTCCCCCACCTCAGTCATTCTCTACTTCATTTCTCAAAGTAATATTCTTCCAAATACTCCATATTTGAAAGTATCTTTTGCCGTAGATGTTTTTTAAAATGTATTTCTAGTCTTTTTTCTCTCAATATGAAGAACTTCTAGAAGACCAAAGGCAATGCTTTGTCCACTGCTACATCCCAGGGCTCATATCAGTGCCTGGCTCATAGTAGTTGCACACTAAATATTTTTAAATTTTATTATTATTTATAAGTGAGTGAATAATATGAGGCAAACTCAAAAAAAGTTTTCCAAATGACTTTTAAGGTTCTAGTTAGTCTTCAGATTTATGTGGTCCTAAGTAGTGTCAAAAGATAAAAGTTTCAGGGAGCTGGGAGGTAAGAAAGAAGAGATGAATCCTGATAGCATTCGTGCCTTCTTTGATGGTTGGGATCATAGAGGGATTCACAGAAGGTGTCATTAGTGGGAGTAGGAAAGATGCATATAGTTATTCAATATACAGAAAGAGAGGAAGGCATTCCAGGTCAAGTGAACAACATAAGCAAAGGCACAAAGAGATAAGAATGCACAAAAAGTTGGTAGAACAGAAGACAAATGGAAGGGTAGCGTAATTTATGCAATGGTCATGAAAAGCTTTGGACTTTATTCTAAAGAAGACAAAGATTCGAAAAGTAAACCAGCCTCACTCATCTCATAGAACAATTAGACTGACAGCAGTGTGAGGAATGGGTGTGTCCATGAACACTTTGAAATTTTGGCCAAAATTGTACATGTATTTGTGAGCGTGTGATATTTGGGCATTTTACTGGGGAGAGAGAACCTATGGCTTTCATCAATGCTCAACATAAAAGAAATTTAAAAATAAGATAAAATAATAAGTTAAATATGAACATTGATGTAGAAATAAAATAAGAGGAACCCACAGTGAAGATAAAGAGATCTAGCAGAAAAACATTTGTCTTTTTAAAGGTGATTATCTCAGTGAGCAGTAGAAGCCCATTGATTGAGTCTTTATGCTTTAGGGAAATGTTCAATTATACATATGATAAACATTCAGGTAGACTGAAAATTTCTAGAAGATGGACAATTTTTTATTAATAATGTGGGAAAAGCTTGGAATACAGCACACAAGACAGTAATTGCTTAAAGACAGGAAAGATAGGCAAATTCAGGTCCTAATGAGCTAAGAACGGATAGAAAAAGAGAAAAGTAGAAACCATACTTAGGTATGTTCTATGTGATTCCCACCTCTGCCTCAATAATCCATTCTTTCGTGGTGGGTTTCTCTTTCCTGCTAAGCAGTTCCTCCCACACCCCTATAGATGAACAGTCAATTCTTTGGTCATACTTGAGCCAGATCTCTGGTGATATAATTGCCAAAATGGCTTGACATTTAAAATATCAGAGATGACCCAGCTGCCCTAAGTGATAATAATGCTATTATAGTGGGGGTAGAAACAGCCCCAAAGGAGAGAAGAGTGGGATACTAATGATAAAGTTCAGAAAAATAAGAATTAAGATGAGATAATGAACAACAGGGAGACTCGATCCAAGTCAAGTCAATGGTCATCTCACCATGGGGACCGATTGGAGAAAAACTGAAGTTAAATAAGGACGCTGGCAAGAGAAGACAACAGGCAGTGGAGTCAGATGGCCTCATCCTTGTAGAAGCTATGCACACCCATTTGAAGAGGAGGTAGTTGGATTAAAGGAATTGGCTCTAATTCAGTAGGAAAAAGTTGCAGGAGCCAGGAGGCTGAAAGACGCCTGCCATCTGGAGAAACTGGGGAAGGAGAATTGGAAGTCAGGCAGATCAGGGGTGGGGAAACGGTAAGGAAGAAAGGCTATTTGGCAGGAATACTTTGGGCGGGGTCAGCTTCTCCCACGATGCTCTTAATTCAGGGATGTAACTTGCACACTCTTCAGTAGAAGCATCAGCAATAAAAGAAAATAATTTTATTTCCAAATCCTAATAAATCTATATTTTGAACTGATATTTAGGAAAACTGTCTTTTAATATGTAAATGTGTTTCACATGCAATCCGTTTGGAAAAACACCAAATCTCCAAAATCTTTAACAGCAATTCTACAAAGTATAATATATTTATAATTTTTTGGTTGGGGTAAAATAAATTATACCAGATTTTTCAAGATATAGAATTTCTTATAGGAGAAGCAGAATGCACTAGAAGTCATTGAAACACTGGCAGGACTAAGTAGAAAAAGTTAAGGTTAGTAATGGTTACAGGTACAAGCTCTTAAATGAGAACACCCAAGATCACATCCTGGCTCCACTAGTTTACTAATTGTGTGATCTCTGGCAAGTTCATAAACTCTATAAACTTCAATTTCCTCCACCATACAATGGGATTAGTGCCCATGCAAGGAGTTATTTTTTTTTTAACTTTTATTTTAGATTCAGGGAGAACATGGGCAGGTTTGTTACAAAGGTATATTGCGTGACATTGAGGTTTGGAGTAAAATTGAACCAGTCACCCAGGTAGTGAGCATAGTAACTGATAGGTAGTTTTTCAACCCCTGCCCCCTCCCTACATTTCCCCTCTTATATTCTCCAGTGTCTGTTGTTCCCATCTTTATACCCACGTGTACCCAAAGTTTAGCTCACACTTACAAGTGAGAACATGTGGGATTTGGTTTTCCATTTCTGCATTAATTCACTTAGGGCAATGGTCTCCAGCTGCGTCCATGTCACCTCAAAGGCCATGATTTTATTCTTTTTTGTGGCAGCATAGTATTCCATCATATATATGTACCACAGTTTCTTTATCCAATCTATCATTGATGGACACCTAGATTGATTCTGTCTTTGCTACTGTGAATAGTGCTGCAATAAACATACAGGTGCACGTTTTTGGTAGAATGATTTATTTTCTTTGGGGCATATACCCAGTAATGGGATTGCTTGGTTAAGTGGTAGTTAAACTGTTAGTTCTTTGAGAGCTCTCAAAGAGTTATTATAAGGATTAAAATTAAAAATAATAATGCTTGTAAATTATTTAACACAGTGCCTCATATATTTTGGGAGCTAAATAATTATTATCTGTCATTTCCATCATCATTATTATCAGTTAATTTGAGAGCCTTCCAGAATTATTTGCGGACAGTACTGATCAAGATTGTGGTTTTTCATCTGCTCCTGACTTGCTATATAAACTTCACCAAATGATTCAGCTACAAAAGAGGAACAGGGTCTATGTCCATGTTGAATCTCAAGAATTTAGATCATAGACATTATTGTTATTATTAACACTCTACTTGCAAATAGGAGCGTTGGTCTCTTGTGTCAACTCTACAACAAACTCACCACAGGGCTAGACAAGCCACACATCTGTTCTAGGTCTCTGTTTCTTCATCAGCCAAGATGGATAAATTACACAATCTTCAACGTTCATCTGAGTTCTAACATTCTATGATTCTGCAACTGCTGTTTCAAATGTGGCACTTGTGAGTTATAAACAACATAACTTCCCTTCACCTGCATTGGACTACACCTATGGGGACTGAAAGTGCAGTATGTGGTGGGTATGTGACCTTCCACAGGTAAGAGATGAGTTGCCCTTCTCTGCCTGCATCCTCACAAGAGCCATTTTGTTCTGCTCCTGTCTGACTGGCTCTCCAGTAATTTTCTGCAGCAAGCTCTATCCTTATCCCAGCCAGTGAGAGGAAAATGAATTCACCCAGCAGTCCTATGCATCCCTTCAGATGTTGCAGGGAGAAAGCACGCCAGGCATTTCACTGTTAATTATCAGCAGCCTGGCTGCTATGGCACCTTGCTGTGCCAATTTGAGAGATGAGATTCTTTACACTGCTTATTAGGCTCAGCTAAATAAATATTACCCAGCATTAATGTTGTCAGAGATACAGTCTGAATTCAGCTCCCTTGAGTGGCTGTTGGTACCCAAGCTTTTCACCATCAATTTTTCTTCCTGTACCTCCTTCCCTTACCAATCCACCACTAATCTCTTTCTCTCCTCCCTGGATGTTCAGCTGGATTCTGACATCAGAGGACTGAAATAATATCACCGATTTAGCTCCTTTGCTTAAGGTTATCAAATACTTGTGCTGCTACTAGATTTAAGGGCCCCATTATTAGTTACTTTGTAGTCTTGTCGTAACAGATTTCAAATTTCTGAAGCATGTATTTTGAGTTAGAGCCCGCCCTCTCCCCCAGCAAAGTGAGTTTTGAAAGACTGAAGCCCTCTGGCTACAGCAATTGGTTTAAAGGTGAACCCTAATAAGGCCAATCATGCCCCCAAAAGAATGAATTTCAGGATTTATTTTAGCTATTTAAAAAACAGAAGTTTTCTTCTTGGCTGGATGTTGAATCTAGAAAATATAGCCCCAAGGAACCACTGTTAGCTATTTTGCAACCATGAAGGTAAATGCTACCCATAATGGAGACGACATATAGTAAGTGGTGGAAAGAATTAGAGAAAAGAAACCCACACCTGTTAAGAGCCTAGATCAAGCTTTACCTAAAGCCAAATCAATCTTTGGACATTTCAGTTTGAATCCTTATGGCTCTCATATTATTTAATTCTGAGTTGGAAATTCTAATACTTTCAGCTACATAGATGTGTTTGTTACAAGGTCTCCTGGATGTGTCTATTTGGAGCAAGTGTAGGTGAAGCCCTGCCCACATCACTTCAGATCTTACCACTATAATGCTCTCCTACCTGAATTCCCACTCCCGAGGGCTAACTGTAGTGATTTTGCTTCAGCACAAGATAGTACAGAAGTGGTGGGTAATAAAACACCACACCGAGGCAGCCCTTAATAAATGATTGGCAGCAGTTGGTGAGTAAATATGCCAGCTTCTTTGCTCATTTTGTGTAATGCTGAGACACATGTTCTATACAAGCTCTCAGAGTTCCTCAGGGGGATTGACCCTAGTTTGTTTGATAACAACCCTTCATTGGCTGCCTTCTTTTCTCTGTCCCATTTCTCTATTGGTTTGTTGGTATCACCTTCTGAGTCACTTGTACTTGGGTCCACAATGAATTTATACAAAGTAACATCTGCTTATACCTTTTAAAATGCACCCTACAGGGAGTCACTTCCAAGATGGTTGAATAGGAAGAGCTCCAGTCTGCAGCTCCCAGCGAGATCGACACAGAAGATGGGTGATTTCTGCATTTCCAACTGAGGTACTTGGTTCATCTCAATGGGACTGGTTGGACAGTGGATGCAGCCCACAGAGGGTGCGCTGAGCAGGGTGGGGCATCGCCTCACCTGGGAAGCACAAGGGCCAGGAGATTTTCCCTTTCCTAGCTAAGGGAAGCCATGACAGGCTGTAGTTGGAGAAATGGTACACTCCTGACCAAATACTGTGCTTTTTCCACAGTCTTAGCAACTGGCAGACCAGGAGATACCCTCCCGTGCCTGGCTCGGCAGGTCCCATGCCAACAGAGCCTTGCTCACTGCTCATGCCGAAGTCCAAGATTGACCTGCAATGCTGCAGCTTGATGGGGGGAGTGGCATCTGCCATTGCAGAGGCTTGAGTAGCTCACAGTGTAAACAAAGAGCCCAGGAAGCATGAACTGAGCAGAGCCCACCAAAGCTCAGCAAGGCCTACTGCCTCTACAGATTCCATCTCTGGGGGCAGGACATAGTAGAACAAAAAGCAGCAGACAGCTTCTGCAGACTTAAACATCCCTGTCTGACAGCTCTGAAGAGAAGAGTGGTTCTCTCAACATGGCGTTCGAGCTCCAAGAACAGACAGACTGCCTCCTCAAGTGTGTCCCTGACCCCCGTGTAGCCTGACTGGGAACACCTCCCAGTAGGGGCCAACAGACACCTCAAAAAGGCAGGTACCCCTCTGAGATGAAGCTTTCAGACGAAGGATCAGGCAGTACTATTTGCTGTTCTGCAGCCTCCGCTGGTGATACTCAGGCAAACAGGGTCTGGAGTGGACCTCCAGCAAACTCCAACAGACCTGCAGCTGAGGGGTCTGACTGTCAGAAGGAAAACTAACAAACAGAAAGGAATAGCATCAACATCAACAAAAAGGACATCCACACCAAAACTCCATCTGTAGGTCACCAACATCAAAGACCAAAGGTAGATAAAATCACAAAGATGGGGAGACACCAGAACAGAAAAGCTGAAAATTCCAAAACACAGAGTGCCTCTTCTCCAAAGGATCGCAGCTCCTCGCCATCAAGGGAACAAAACTGGATGGAGAATGAGTTTGACATGTTGATGGAAGCAGGCTTCAGAAGGTCGGTAATAACAAACTTCTCCAAGCTAAAGGAGCATGTTCTAACCCACCACAAAGAAGCTAAAAACTTTGAAAAAAGTTAGACAAATGGCTAACTGAAATAAACAGTGTAGAGAAGACCTTAAATGACCTGATGGAGCTGAAAACCATGGCACAAGAACTTTGTAATGCATGCACAAGCTTCAATAGCCAATTCAATCAAATAGAAGAAAGGATATCATAATTGAAGATCAAATTAATGAAATAAAGCAAGTAGACAACATTAGAGAAAAAAGAGTGAAAAGAAACAAAAAAAGCCTCCAAGAAATATGGGACTATGTGAAAAGACCAAATATACGTTTGACTGGTGTACCGGAAAGTGATGGGGAGAATGAAACCAAGCTAGAAAACCCTCTTCAGGATATTATCCAGGAGAACTTCCCCCTAACCTAGCAAGGCAGGCCAACATTCACATTCAGGAAATACAGAGAACACCACAAAGATACTCCTAGAGAAGAGCAACCTCAAGACACATAATTGTCAGATTCTCCAAGGTTGAAATAAAGGAAAAAATGTTAAGGGTGGCCAGAGAGAAAGGTCAGGTTACCCACAAAGGGAAGCCCATCAGACTAACAGCGGATCTCTCGGCAGAAACCCTACAAGCCAGAATAGAGTACGGGCCAATATTCAACATTCTTAAAGAAAATAATTTTCAACCCAGAATCCCATATCCAGCCAAACTAAGCTTCATAAGTGAAAGAGAAATAAAATCCTTCACAGGCAAGCAAATGTTGAGAGATTTTGTCACACCAGGCCTGCCTTAAAAGAGCTCCTAAAGGAAGCACTAAACATGGAATGGAACAACAGGTACCAGCCACTGCAAAAACACGCCAAATGGTAAAGACCATTGATGCTAGGAAGAAACTGCATCAATTAACTAGCAAAATAACCAGCTAATGTAACATTATAATGACAGGATCAAATTCAAACATAACAATATTAACCTTAAATGTAAATGGGCTAAATGCCCCATTTAAAAGACACAGACTGGTAAACTGGATAAAGAGTCAAGACATCAGTGTGCTGTATTCAGGAGACCCATCTCACGTGCAAAGACACATATAGTCTCAAAATAAAGGGATGGAGGAAGATCTACCAAGCAAAAGCAAAGCAAAAAAAAAAAAAAAAAAAAAAAAAAAAAAGTAGGGGTTGCTCTGATACAACAGACTTTAAACCAACAAAGATCAAAAGAGACAAAGAAGGCCACTACATAATGGTAAAGGAATCAATTCACAAAGAAGAGTTAACTATCCTAAATATATATGCACCCAATACAGGAGCACCCAGATTCATAAAGCAAGTCCTTAGAGACCTACAAAGAGACTTAGACTCCCACACAATAATAATGGGAGACTTTAACACCCCACTGTCAATATTAGACAGATCAATGAGACAGAAGGTTAATAAGGATATCCAGGACTTGAACTCAGCTCTGGACCAAGCAGACCTAATAGACATCTACAGAACTCTCCACCCCAAATCAACAGAATATACATTCTTCTCAGCACCACATCGCACTCATTCTAAAACTGACCACATAGTTGGCAGTAAAACACTCCTCAGCAAATGTAAAAGAACAGAAATCACAACAAACTGTCTCTCAGACCACAGTGCAATCAAATTAGAACTCAGGATTAATAAACTCACTCAAAACCACACAACTACACGGAAACTGAACAACCTACTCCTGAATGACTACTGGGTAAATAACGAAATGAAGGCAGAAATAAAGATGTTCTTTGAAACCAATGAGAACAAAGACGCAACATAGCAGAATCTCTGGGACACGTTTAAATCAGTGTGTACGGGGAAATTTATATCACTAAATGCCCATAAGAGGAAGCAGGGAAGATCTAAAATTGACACCCTAACATCACAATTAAAAGAACTAGAGAAGCAAGAGCAAACAAATTCAAAAGCTAGCAGAAGGCAAGAAATGACTAAGATCAGAGCAGAACTGAAGGAGATAGAGACACAAAAAACCCTTCAAAAAAATCAATGAATCCAGGAGCTGGTTTTTTGAAAACAAAATAGATAGAGCACTGGCCAGACTAATAAAGAAGAAAAGAGAGAAGAATCAAATAGACACAATAAAAAATGATAAAGGGGATATCATCACCGATCCCACAGAAATACAAACTACCATCAGAGAATGCTATAAACACCTCTATGCAAATAAACTAGAAAATCTAGAAGAAATGGATAAATTCCTGGACACATACACCCGCCCAAGACTGAACCAGGAAGAAGTTGAATCTCTGAAAAGACCAATAGCAGGTTCTGAAATTGAGGCAATAATTAATAGCCTACCAACCAAAAAAAGGCCAGGACCAGACGGATTCACAGCCGAATTCTACCAGAGGTACAAAGAGGAGCTGGTACCATTCCTTCTGAAACTATTTCAATCAGTAGAAAAAGAGAGAATCCTCCCTAACTCATTTTATGAGGTTAGCATCATCCTGATACCAAAGCCTGGTAGAGACACCACAAAAAAAGAGAATTTTAGGCCAATATCCCTGATGAACATTGATGCAAAAATCCTCAATACAATACTGGCAAACAGAATCCAGCACATCAAAAAGTTTATCCACCATGATCAAATCAGCTTCATCCCTGAGATGCAAGGCTGGTTCAACATACACAAATCAATAAACGTAACCCATCACATAAACAGAACCAACAACAAAAACCACATGATTATCTCAATAGATGCAGAAAAGGCCCTTGACAAAATTCAACAGCGCTTCATGGTAAAAACTCTCAATAAACTAGATATTGATGGAATATATCTCAAAATAATAAGAGCTATTTATGACAAACCCACAGCCAATATCATACTGAATGGGCAAAAACTGGAAGCATTCCCTTTGAAAACCAGCACAAGACAAGGATGCCCTCTCTCACTACTCCTATTCAACATAGTATTGGAAGTTCTCACTAGGGCAATCAGGCAAGAGAAAGAAATAAAGGGTATTCAATTAGGAAAACAGGAAGTCAAATTGTTTCTGTTTGCAGATGACATGATTGTATATTTAGAAAACCCTGGCTGGGCACGGTGGCTCATGCCTGTAATCCCAGAACTTTGGGAGGCCAAGGCAGGTGGATCACGAGGTCAGGAGATTGAGACCATCCTGGCTAACACGGTGAAACCCCGTCTCTACTAAAAATACAAAAAAAATTAGCCAGGCATGGTGGCAGGTGCCTGTAGTCCCAGCTACTCGGGAGGCTGAGGCAGGAGAATGGCGTGAACCCGGGAGGCGGAGCTTGCAGTGAGCGGAGATCGCACCACTGCATTCCAGCCTGGGTGACAGAGCGAGACTCCTTCTCAAAAAAAAAAAAAAAAAAAAAAGGGAAAAGAAAAGAAAACAAAACTCCATCGTCTCAGCCCAAAATCTCCTTAAGCTGATAAGCAACTTCAGTAAAGTCTCAGGATACAAAATCAATGTGCAAAAATCACAAGCATTCCTATACACCAATAACAGACAAACAGAGAGCCAAATCATGAGTGAACTCCCGTTCACAATTACTACAAAGAGAATAAAATACCTAGGAATCCAACTTACAAGGGATGTGAAGGACTTCTTCAAGAAGAACTACAAACCACTGCTCAACGAAATAAAAGAGGACACAAGCAAATGGAAGAACACTCCATGCTCATGGATGGGAAGAATCAGTATCGTGAAAATGGCCATACTGCCCAAGGTAATTTATAGATTCAATGCTATCCTCATCAAGCTACCACTGACTTTCTCCACAGAAATGGAAAAAAACTACTTTAAGGTTCATATGGAGCCAAAAAAGAGCCCACATAGCCAAGACAATCCTAAGCAAAAAGAACAAAGCTGGAGGCATCATGCTACCTGACTTCAAACAATACTACAAGGCTACAGTAACCAAAACAGCGTGGTACTGGTACCAAAACAAATATATAGACCAATGGAATAGAACAGAGGCCTCAGAAATAACACCACACATCTAAAACCATCTGATCTTTGACAAATCTGACAAAAACAAGCAATGGGGAAATGATTCCCTATTTAGTAAATGGTGCTGGGAAAGCTGGCTAGCCGTACATAGAAAGCTGAAACTGGATCCCTTCCTTACACCATATACAAAAATTAACTCAAGATGGAGTAAAGACTTAAATGTAAGACCTAACACCATAAAAACCCTAGAAGAAAACCTAGGTAATACCATTTAGGACATAGGCATGGGCAAAGACTTCATGACTAAAACACCAAAAGCAATGGCAACAAAAGTCAAAATAGACAAATGGGATCTAATTAAACTAAATAACTTCTGCACAGCAAAAGAAACTATCATCAGGGTGAACAGGCAACCTACAGAATGGGAGAAAATCTTTGCAATCTACCCATCTGACAAAGGGCTAATATCCACAATCTACAAAGAACTTAAACAAATTTACCAGAAAAAAATAAACAACCTCATCAAAAAGTGGGCAAAGGATATGAACAGACACTTCTCAAAAGAAGACATCTATGCAGCCAACAGACAGGAAAAAATGCTCATCATCACTGGTCATCAGAGAAATGCAAATCAAAACCATAATGAGATACATCTCATGCCAGTTAGAATGGCGATCATTAAAAAGTCAGGAAACAACAGATGCTGGAGAGGATGTGGAGAAATAGGAACACTTTTACACTGTTGGTGGGAGTGTAAATTAGTTCTACCATTGTGGAAGACAGTGTGGCGATTCCTCAAGGATCTAGAACTAGAAATGCCATTTGACCCAGCCATCCCATTACTGGGTATATACCCAAAAGATTATAAATCATGCTACTATAAAGACATATGCACACCTATGTTTATTGAGGCACTATTCTCAATAGCAAAGACTTGGAACCAACCCAAATGTCCATCAATGATAGATTGGATTAAGAAAATGTGGCACATATCCACCATGGCATACTATGGAACCATAAAAATGGATGAGTTCGTGTCCTTTGGAGGGACATGGATGAAGATGGAAACCATCATTCTCAGCAAACTATCACAAGGACAGAAAACCAAACACCGCATGTTCTCACTCATAGGTGGGAGTTGAACAACGAGAACACATAGACACAGGGCGGGGAACATCACAAACTGGAGCCTGTCGGGGGGTGGGGGGCTGGGGGAGAGATAGCATTAGGAGAAATACCTAATGTAAATGACGAGTTGATGGGTGCAGCAAACCAACATGGCACATGTATACCTATGTAACAAACGTGCATGTTGTGCACATGTACCCTAGAACTTAAAGTATAATAAAAAATAAATTAATTTTAAAAAATGCACCCTACAAGTTGTGGCTTACATGATTTCCACCGTTCCACCCCCAAATAGACTGATGCATACCCAAACCATTTGACATAAACTCAGCCTAGAAAAAAGCTATGAATTCAAATCCAAGTAAGCCAAAGTGTTCTTTCCTGTCAGTGCCAGCCAAGCAGAGGGTTATGGACTAGACGGAAGATTTTAGGAGAGAAAGGGAAGCAAAAGCATGAACAAGCCAAGGTATGGAGGATGCTCATTCATCCTCAGGCTCCAGAAGTGGCAGCGAGCTGTCTGGATACTCCACTGAAAGTCACAGTCAATGAGGTTATTAATCTGGTGGTCCTAAAAGATGAGCAGCACAGACACCTTGAATCTCTGGATACACTTCCCCCTCTGCATAGCCTCTCTCTCAGTTCCTAAACCCTCCATGCTAAGAAAAACATCACCAGGCATGGGGCTTTGCCAGAAACGTTCACTCGAAACAGTACCTGGCAAATGAAAAATGCACTTTTAAATTATGTACTTTCCGACTAGTCTTCCTAATGGTATGTTGACTATTATTTACATGAAAAATGTCAAAATGTGGATTCCTTTGTTTTATTTTTATTTGGGGCATTTTAAACAAAACATTCACTTTAATACTCATGGAGAAAGGTCTACTTCTCTTTCATCTTCCTCTCTGTCTTCCAACCAAAACTCCTTGCCAAAGAACACGGATGGCCAACAGGACTTGCACTGACCACATCGCACTCCTACTAGAAAATTACGGATGGAGGAACCAGCAATTTCTAGATGAAATGGCCCTATTTCCTCATTTTACCACTAAGGATAAAGAAGGATCATGCCTGTAATCCCAGCACTTTGGGAGGCTGAGGCAGGCGGATCACCTGAGGTTGGGTGTTTGAGACCAGCCTGACCAACATGGAGAAAGCCTGTCTCTACTAAAAATACAAAAAATTAGCCAGGCATGATGGCACATGCCTGTAATCCTAGCTGAGGCTGAGGTAGGAGAAGCACTCGATCCCGGGAGGTGGAGATTGCAGTGAGCCATGATCACACCATTGCACTCCAGCATGAACAACAAGAGCGAAACTCCGTCTCAAAAAAAAAAAGAGGGCAAAAAGTCTTCGATGACAAGCCTGGACAGGACTTTAACAGTATATGCTCCAATTTATCCCTGTCACAGATGAGGAAACTGAGGCACAAATCAGTGAAATGCTTTGTTCAAGACTTTACAGCTAGTTAGTGACAAAGTCGGGGCCAGAACTAAGGAATCTTGATTCCATGCCCTCTTCATACTATCCTCGTCAATTCTGGTTTAAGTTTTTCACTTGATTTGTATGTTTGCTTTATCTTAAGCTCATATTTCAACCCTATAACCTATCTTGCATATGATGTGGGTTGTTTATTCTTAGAAAAATCTAAGATTATTCCACTGTATTAGTGGCCTTGCCTAAATAGATGCATTGGGGAGAAATCCTCCCACATAATGAATTTTGTCACTGAGACATTGCAAGAAGTAGCCCATAGCCTTTTCTTATCCTTTTAGAAACAGCCTGAAAAGTTCGATTATCCTCCAGATTCAACCTTAGTCCATTTGGTTTCATGCTCATTCCTAATCCCAGACCAATTCCTGGCCCTGAGCCCAGGTACTGGTATGGCCTGGAAAATGCCAGAAGCCATATGGACTCCCCAGGCTACCTCCTGGATGAGGATGGATGGCACACACCGAGGAACCAACTCTTTCCAAGAGATAGAACAGATGGCATTCCAGATATGAATATGTATAATGTAGACTGCTAAGTTGTTAAATAAGTATGTATTTTTAGGTGGATTCATGAAAATCAAGAATTTTATAACTAAAATGAAAGCCAAGCAAATGAAACCACAAACACCATTGAAAGCTGTGCATTACTCCATGTTTGTTGGTATTGGCCTCCATAGCATGCTCCAACCTCTAGAGAAACCACTCGAGAAGAACCAGGAAGAAATAATTCAAAACTGCGGCAAAGGATGTTAACTTCAAGCTTCCATGCTCTAAGACCCTAGGACGTCCATGGATGGCAGAATTAGTATTCAGAAGAGCAAGGAGTGGGCTGGATTTTTCCTTGGCTTTACCACCTTTCTCTATGTCCCTTTATTGAAAATTCCACTCTATCACACCCCCAACTCAAATTCCTTATGCTTTAATTTGGCTGCCCCAAGAACAAGCCTAAGAGGCATAAGAATAATGCAAGTCATTGAATCAGTAGAATCAGTCAAGAAGATCAGCTTCCACAAGCTTCCAGTACAAATAGTACCCTTCAGAAGACTTTAAGCTCTTTGCTCCGTAATAATACTACATTACAGGTATACTTATTTCCAGTTTACAGAAAATTTTAACAATCCCATGTGAAAAAATAGAACATGAATTGTTACCCCCATTTTTACAGAGAAGAAAATGAAGTCTTGGAGAGGTTAAACAACCACTCAAGAATGCACCAATGGTAAATGTGCCACTGGGACTTGAAGCTAAGACTCTGATTCTGTCCAGTAATGCATCTGATTTGGCATTCACCAATGAACCTACAGCCAAACGGGCCATCACTGGAGAAGTCCAACTGCTACTTGAAAAGCCTAATCCATGGATTAACAGATTCCAATGAGTTAGAACATCAAAGGGTAGAATAGGATATATTTCCACAATCTGGGAACATTCCAAATAGAGAAACTGGATTCTTATTTATCCATTATTGATGCAAGTCCTTAACTCCTTCCTGTATCCATGGGACCTTTTGCAATCCTTCACACTAGAGACAGAATACACTCTCCTGCTCCATTAATGATAGGCAATGGAAAGGTGATCTGCTTCATCCAATGAAATGTTAGCAAGTGTGATGCAAGCAAAGACTAGAAATTGACTTACTTGGTTGTGCTTGTCCTCTTGTGCTCCTATTATCTGCCCACAGTAGCTCACTGAACCAAGGGAAATGAGAAACATGTGCATAGATCTAAACTTAACTCACTGCTTTGAGACAAGCACATCTGAGCCGAGCCTAGATCATCCAGCATGCAGCCAACTGCTGACACATGAGCAAGAAAGAACATATATTGTTATTTGAAGCTATTGAGTTTGGGGCTGACTTGTTTTACAGCAATAGCTGACTAATACACTTGCTATATTTCTTTCATCTTCCTACTTCCACTTCAATGCAAATGGACTCTGCCCCTTGTTATTATTACTGTCTGTTTCTTTCCAGGCAGCAAATCACCACCTCTTTTGATGTCCTAAATTATCAGCAGTCTCAATATCAAGATCTACATAGTCATTAATTTACAAAAAGCTATTATTAGGAAGTGAGATGGTAGTAAAAATAAGGTAGGTGAAGTTATACCCACAAAATAGAATATCGGGGTGCCAGATCAATATTTAATAAATGGTTGAAAACTTCAAACATTTAAAGATTATTTTGTGGTTAACAAGTTAGAGAAAACACATTGCCATTAGACGACATTTCTTATGTGCTTCTTTACATAGTGACCTGGTGCTTGATGTGCTGTGAAGACAGGATGCTCATCGCCTTATAGTTTATCGATAAACACAGGCAATACAGAGGCAGGCAGCTAGTAGAAAATATAGATAGGTGTTGGATAAATTGATAATAAAAGGGTAAGATTAAGTGTTTTGTTTGGTCTTATTTTACCATTTCAGATTTGCTTGATTATTAATTTCCAAAGCCCCAGAAAACCCAATTCTCCTGCATTCCTAGAAATCGTGGCAGGTTTCCATCTATAGAAAATTACATGCTTTTCTAGGTGTTTCAGAGGTTTAAGTTGCTTAGTTCTTTAAGAAACTGCTCCAAGCTGGGGTGAGGGGAGAAGAGTGTACCAGTATCAACCCACTTACACAAAGAAGGACTTGACTATTCATCAGGTATCTAGGGACAATTTCCTGAAGATGATGGAAAGAAGACAGTGCCTAACACTTGGATGGTAAGCACTTCAACAGTATTTACTAAATTAAAGAAGGGAGGAAAATAGGAACTAGTCCTGCCTTACCCATCTTTCCATTCCTTCCGCTTTGTGTTTTCATCTCAGTTTTGTCAGATCCATTTCTCTGGCCTCTCCAACTCTCAAAGTTCCAGCCCTGTGATTCAGCCATCGCAACTCTCCCAAAGTGTTCATTGATCACATTTCCTCCCTAGTCATTGGCACAGTGCTTCTTTCATATTTGATTCTTGACACCTGCAGGTTTTCCATTTTGGCTCTCAACTTTTTTTATTATACCCCAGTGGGCTTTGTTTTGTACATATCCCCCACCCTGAGTGTAGCCTCAGAAAGGTGGACTTTGGTTCTCAATTATAAGAATATATATATTCTTTCTAATAGCATCATGCTGGGCACTGTAGTATCCAATCCTATAGTGCTTACAAGGCACTTTATTCCACACTAACTCATCTGACCCTCACAATGGTGTTCTCAGTTGGATAGGATGACCCTAACTGTTCAAATGGGGACTCAGAGTACAAAGGAGGTCACAGAGTTGGTATATAGAGAAACCAAGACACAAACCCAGTTTTCCTGTCTCTAACTCTGGGAATTATTTCTTTGCATCATGCTATTTTAAAAAGTACTAGCACTGCTGAAATTCTTGGACTTTCTTTATAATACACAACCTTAGAAGAGAAAGTAAATCATTGCTAAGGAAAGGAACTTTTCTTAGCTCAAAAAACAGCCTCAAGAGGACTGAACCTCTTAGAATGCTCGTCTTTGCCCAGATGATCACCAGCCACACTCCAACATATTGATACAGATTTTATGATTTTATAATTTTGGGTTCAGTTGGCAGGACTCACTCTTCCAAAAATAGCTTTGGCCTTAATGGGTAGGATGAGCTGCATTACAAAGGCCCTCAACTCCATAAAATTTGGCATCCAGCCAAGCCTTCAAAGGTGACTAAAGAAGAAATATCAAGAAAGACCAGAGGTTGGTACTGCCTTGTGAACCTCTCAACATCTATTGGAACTTATCAATTTTATAGATATTCACATTCCAAAGCAAGGAGCATTTGAGCTTTTAGAGAGATTAGAAGACCCTAAAAAGTGCATCTCGCTCAAAAGGTGTCCAGCTTGTCCAGTGGTCATTGTCCAATCTGATTCCATTTCAAAATCATTTCCATATAACCAGCTTGATGGTGAGATTCTTGAAAAGTTCTAGACCAGGAGGAGGAAATGAGGGTTTGGTTCCTGGCTGTGCCACTAACCGACTGCATGAAGTTAAGCAAATTATGGGGCCTATTCCAACCTCGTTCTTTTTACAGGTCTGACACCTACAACGTGTCAGACACTGGGAATAGAACAGTCCACAAGACAAAGTCCTTGCTCTAAGGGAACTTACCTTCTAGGGAAGATATATGATAAACCAATACATAAATATATAATAAGGACATGAAAGCAATAGAGAACAAAAGTGCTGTGAAAAAGATGCTGTTTTGGATAGGATGGTCTTTTGAGCAGTGAAATAAAATAAATATCTGAGGGAATAGAGTTCCAGGTGGAGGGGACAGCAGGAAGGCCATGAAGTTGGGGTGCACCTGGCATCTTCAAGGAACAGGGAGAAGGCCAGTACTTCTGGAGCAGAGGGAACAGCCGGGAGAATGGAAGGCAAGGAGGTGAGCGATAACAGGGGCCCAATCCTGGAGGGTCTTTTAGCTTTGGTAATGACTTTGGATGGGAAGGCAGTGGGGGAATCTGAGCAGATGAGGGTATGAACTGACTTAGGTTCCCTGAATGTGACCTTGGCTGCTGTATGAAGGACGGGCAGCCATTTCCTCATCTGATAGCAAACTGGTATGGACCAGAGAAACGAGAAGCTTCCCACTGCCACTCTAAGAGCTGAGATTCCGAGTCATATGTTTTACTGAACAAATTACTGCCCATCTTGGTTGAAGCCCATCGGGGCCTGAGCTAAGTCTTTGATCCCAGAGGCCAAGGCAGCACCATTCCTCGCCATTAGCCCATGGCTAGTGACCCGGGAGGTACAAAGTCAATCCTAGCTACAGCAGGAACTCCTGCAGAACCTGTGACCCTCATAGCCAGGGGGTCTCAAACCAGCGGGATACATCTCAGAGTGGCTTTGCTGCGACGTACCTTTGGGTAGTTTGAGACTGAAATGACTCTAGTCACTACTTTTCATTTCCATCCTTTCTTCCCTAAAGGTCAACTGGAAAGGCAGCCGGCTGAGAGAACTCGATCTCTGTCCAGCAGAGATTATTTTGTGGACGCTCAAGGTTCTGAGAGCTTACTTCCTTTTTCTGGGTCACCTGCTTGGTGTGAATTCATCCAAAATCATCCGTTTATTTTTAGAGCTATAAATTATATCTGCATTTCTACTCTCCTGCAGAAATTCAAGCTCAGAGCTTGGGCAGGGGCCCTGTGTTTGAGGCACAGAGACTGGCAAAGCGTCTTGCCTCCCACCTCTTCTGAAGTGAGGCCTCTGCGCTACTGTGTCCCAGCCCTTCAAAAATCCTGAGTCATTTCACTGTTTCTGTTTCTCCCCTTTCCCCAGCAAGCTTCCTGATGCAAAGGAACACCGGAGCGGGGCGATTGCCTCCCTAGAGCTGGGCCGGCCACCCCCACCCCTCGGGCTGCTAAAGCAGCGGGCCGGGCGGAAGGTCGGGGAGCCAGAGCCCAGGGAAGAGCAGAAGGCGCGGGGGGGCGGGGGGGGCACCCAGGAGGGAGGACGGGGCAGCGGTGAGGGTGTAGACGGGAGGGAATCTGTCCGGTGCCGCAGTGAGTTGGGTGGCGGTGATTTGTTCGCGGGCGCAGGCTGGGAGGCGGGGTTCCTGACTCACTGCGGCACTGGCAGGGCTGGTGACAGCACCACCCCCGCGCCGCCTGCAATCTGCCACCGCTGCCACCGAGCCGAGGGGCGCCAGCAAGGCATCCCCTGGGTCAAGGGGCCTCCCGTGGGCTTTCCAAACAGCCTGTGCTCATTTCCGCGGGAGCCCTCGGGGCGCTGTGCTGTGGCTGCATTGTCACTGTTTGTTTATTTCTACATCTGCTCTGTTAGAAGATAGGCTCGCTTAGGACAGAGCCTTCTAATCCACCCCCTGATGAATTCGGGCCCTCGCCTTTGGCACAATGCCTGGCGTCATCACAACGCGGGTGATCAGTAAACGGCAGCGAAGGAAGCGGGGTCAGGACTGGAGAGGAGAGGGGGAGGAAGACAGACGACCGGAGAGGAACAAAAATGGAAGGTAACTTGAGCTTTCATAACTGCAGAAGTGCAAAACAGCTCCCTGTGTGATATAGGAAGTAAAACCGTAGAGATGGGACTTGGCTGGCCTGCCCTTCACACACTTTAGACATTAACCCAAAGTTCATGCTCCTGCCATGACAGTGATGGTGGACAGGAGGGAAGAAAATGACAAGGAGGAAAGGAGGTGTCTTTTGCTCTTAAAAATGAGAAGGGTCATAAACAATCCATCGGCTGCAAACCACGAGTTGCCCCCAAAGCAAAGCAGGTTAGTGGCTGCTGCCGCCTCATCATAGCTTCAGAACCCACAGAGCCTGGAGGACTGTCAAACATTATCTAATATCCCATTCTACAGAAGAGAAAACTGAGGTTGAGGCAGGAACGCAGACAGGAATCAAGGTTTTGGGGTTGGGATTTGCAATCCATTACTTTGCCTCCTGCATCCACTGCTTTTCCCTGGGCATTCTCTTCTTCCGGTTTCTTGGAAGTTAAAATTGCGAGAGAAGCAACACAGAGTGGTTTTCCCAGGGCCTCGACCTCGGTAAGGGAAGACGTGGAATTCCGAGTGTGGAGACCCAGACAGCCTCCGAAACCCCCACGCAACCCTGGGCGTTCAGCAGCTGCCAATGCCCGCCTGACAAGTTTCTGGGGCATCTCTGCACACGGAGAGGTGTGTCTCCTGCAGCTCCAAAAACAGATTTTGCCATCTCATCCCCATATTTGCAGTCTCCAGTTGGCTTCTTGTGATTGGCCAGAACTTTTCCTCACTGGAGAGATGAGGAGAATCCAGTCCTCCAACCAGCTGAGAGAAAACACTGCAGTAGCAGAGATAGCAATGGCTGTTCCACCCCACACTGATACGATGTCAGGGAGCCAGGGGTGGGCTCAACAGGCTGAATGATGCCAGGGACTCCCAAGGGTCTATACATTTAACCCTGGAGGAAGTGGCCTCTGACCAGGTACCTAACCTTCTGTACTTCTCGTTCTGTAATTGGGGGCATCAGAGTGTATTCTTTGGCTTTCTGGAAAAAAAGATTTCTCAAATTTTAATTTCGGAAGTTTCCATCAGGACTGGCAGCTGTGTACACAGAAGGAGGTTGCTAATGTATTTCAGATTGGGGGCAATTACAGCTTCCCACCTACCCACCCCAATCTATTCCCAGATCACTGCACCACACTGACTCTTGGCCTCCTCTAGAGTTGGAAACTCTACCTGAGAGATGCACTCCTTTAAACTAACATAAAACCTAAACTAACAAAACCATAGCACTTCAAGGTATCCTTAGGGTAAGGTTTAATGACCTATTAATATCTCTAACACAGCAATTCTCTTGCTTGGCTATTCACTAGAAGCACTTGGAGAATTTAAAATAACACTGATGCCCAGGCCATACCTCAGACCATACCTCTAGAGGTGTTTTCTAAAAGCTCCCCCAGGTGACTATAACAACAGTAAGACTGAAAACCTCTGCTCTCGTGGGAGCTGCTAGTTTGCTGGTCAGCATCTGTTCTCCCTTCCACTAATAGCACCTGATGTTCCTTTGGAAACCCCACTCTTTCTTGGTCCACTTGATTGAGTTACACTAACCCCATCATCACCTCCCATTTACTTTTTTCAGGGAATAGCAGGCTACCAGTTTGGCCCCTTTGCATTTTTCCATTCCCCTGAAAGAAGTAATTGGTTCAGGCAGAAGATGTGATACAAGGGGGTCCAATGAAAATCAGTCTCAAGACTGGCTGAAACTATTGGGAAGGGAAAGATCTGTTTCTGCTGCAGTTATTTAGGAGAAAACATGGGAGCCTTGAGCTTCCAGCAGGCATTTTGCCACCACATGGAGAAAATCTGCTTGTAAATTAAGGCAACATAGAGGAAAAGAGATTATTCATAGAGTGAAAAAGACTGAAATCTAATTAATACCACTTCTGAAGCCAGATACTTCCAGTAACAGATATTAAATCCCCCTTTTCACCCAAGAAAACTTTGAACTGAGTTTTCTATGATATGCCGCATCATAGCAGAGTTAATCTGTTGCTTTAAAATGCAGAGAATAGAGTTCTAATCTAATATGACAGCAAACAAGCAAGCTTCAACATTCCTGGTCAAAGATTCCAGATAGCTAAAGACAAGTGGGTGCTGTCCATCTTCAAGGATAATGGCTTTCAGTGGAGAAGGGTGAGGAAACTGAAGACAGCAATGTTCTACTACATGTTTTTTTCAGTTAGTATCAAGAGTTATTGGTAGCTTAGCCTTTGCTAAATATGAAAGAGCTTAAGAAGTAAAGAGGTTCCAACCATAGGAACCTCTTTTAACCGTAACTATAAGAGCTTTTATAATAGCTCTTATAGGTTTTTATAGTAGCTCTTATAGGTTTTAACCATAACTGTAAGAGCTTTTATAATAGCTAATATAGCAGTGATGTATAGGAAGTACACAGAAGCACACAACAGACCATCAAGACAATGCATTGGATGTTTCAGATTCCCTTCTTGGTCACGGGAGATTCCCTGGAAAATGTGCCCTCTGTCTGAAAGTGCAAGTGAAGCCAAAGTAATTGATTGGCTGCATTTTAGATTTGAAAGTTTTTCCATGAACAATTGCCATGTAACAAGCTACCCCTAAATTTGGTAACTTAAAAAATGATGTGTTTGACTTGTCTTTGTATAGACTTGGATAGCTTTTCTGGGCTTACCTGGGATCTGCAATTGGCTTCTGGTCAGCTAAGTGGCTCTGTGTCTGAACTTGGCTGGCTCTTGGCTGGGGCAATGGGAGTGATGAGCTAATGTATCTGTCAACCCTTCAGAGCCTAGCCTGGGCTTATTCACATGGGGGAGGCAGGGTTCCAAGAGTGAGAGCAAAATTGCACAAGGTCTCTTGAGATTCGGACTCAGAACTTGCTCACTGTCATCCTGCCACATTCTATTTGTCAAAGTGTGTCACAACCCCATTTTTTTTTTTTTTTTTTGAGACAGAGTCTTGCTCTGTCACCCAGGCTGGAGTGCAGTGGCTCAATGTCAGCTCACTGCAACCTCCACCTCCAAGGTTCAAGCGATTCTGCTGCCTCAGCCTCCTCGGTAGCTGGAACCACAGGTGTGTGCCACCACACCCGGCTAATTTTTGTATTTTTAGTAGTGGTGGGGTTTCACCTTGTTGGCCAGGCTGGTCTCAAACTGCTGACCTCAGGTAATCCACCCGCCTCGGCCTCCCAAAGTGCTGGGATTAGAGGCATGAGCCACAACGCCCGGCCACAACCCCGCTTCTTGATGGAAGGAGCTGCAAAGTCACATTGCAGAGCACCAGTAAGAGCTCAGAGATCATTTAGCCCAATCCTCCCCATTTAACAGATGAGAAACTACAGACACCGAGCTTACCCAAGTCCCCATTTGATTAAATAAATTATATAGGATTATGCTGCCTTCCACACTGATACTCTGTCCACACTGATGTTTTGTCCACTATATCTCCTTTTTCCAAGTTATTTCCCATACGATGTAGCTCATGTCCATTATCATAAGATCTCTGCGAAGTGGTTAGGCAGAAATTGCCTAAATGTGCTACCTAACAATGGAAGAAACTGATACTCTTCTTCTCAAATTCGCCCATCAAATATATAGGAATTCTTTTCCAGGAATGGGCACTGGAGTCACAACAGAAAGCAGGGCAGACATAGATCTTATCTGTACAGAACATAGAGTTTACCATTTAAGTGGTGTCACTGGGACTTCAACCAAGACTGTATGATTCCTCCTCTGGATGTACTTTTCACCCACAGTGGTTGTTATGGTTCCCTGAAGGCTAGTTCGTCTATCAAAGCCAGTTGTTTGTATTTGTGACGGGGCAATCCATATTAATTTACAGGGTTCTCAGCCTCCCCTCATCCCCTTCTCTTCTCCTTGTGAATGAGAATGCTCTGTTTGATCACTCAACTTTGTGTATTCCCCACTGTCTTTACTGGGTAAGGTCCCAGGATTTGTGGTGGTTGACTCTGAATAATGGGAAGATAAAGTTTAGAAGAATCAGGAAGAAAAAAGTAAGAGAATGAGACAGGAGAACCACATAAGATTGGGCAGCAAAAAAAGCTGGGGTGCAGAATAGAAAGGAAGGGATTTGTAGAATGAATAAAACTACAGGCCACATGAAAACTAGAGAGAAGAAAGAATGTTTTAAAATACTGTACTGAGTTATGAACTGAATCTCTTATTTTTCTTCCAGATACAGAAGTGAAGTTTGATCTATTTTTTATTTTTATTACTATCGGCCACTAACTTAGTTGGTTTTTAATGTAACACTTTGGCAGGCCTAAACCACATGCAAACTGGGTAGTTATCTGGAGCAAATTTAATTAAGAATCATTATGTCCCCTGAAAGGACAACCAGAGTTTGTGCCTTCTCTAAATACTTGGTCCAAATCAAAACA
The DNA here is from genome assembly GCF_000001405.40 of Homo sapiens. Classification (NCBI taxonomy): domain Eukaryota; kingdom Metazoa; phylum Chordata; class Mammalia; order Primates; family Hominidae; genus Homo; species Homo sapiens. The sequence continues at coordinate 10,177,201 of NC_000020.11, forward strand.
TCAATTGTCCTTTTCTTAATGAAAAAAAAAAAACCTCAACTCCATACTTTATTCTGGTTTCATTGATTTTTCCCGAATAACATTTTTTCTGTTTCAACATCCTAATTGGGATACCACATTGTATTGGTTTGTCATGTCTTCCTAACTCCTCTGGACTGTGGCAGTTTTTCAAACTCTCCTTTTTTGGGGTAACCACAAAAGTTTTGAGGAGAGCTAGTCAGGTGAAATGCCTTTCAATTGGATTTTTCTAAATTTTTCTTTTCATAGTTACACTTGAGTTATTGTCTTCCCACAGAGAAAAGACCACAGAGGCAAAATGGCATTTTAAACACATGATATCAAGTGTGCATATCATCAACGTGACTTATGACCAATGACGTTAACCTCGACCATCTGGCTAATGTGCTGTTTGCCAACTTCTCCACTGTAAAGTTGCTTCTTTCTCCCTTTCCATCCTGTATTCTTTGGAATCAAGATGCTAATTGTAGCCCACACTTAAGGAGTGGGGAGTTCTGTCTTTAACCATAGTGAAGAATTTTATTTACTGGAATTTCATTTAAAGTTGGAGTGGGAAGGAGGATGATTCTCAGAAGAACAATAGTGTAAAGAACAGAAGAACAATACTGTAAAGCATAAGGGGTGAGGGAGTTCCCATATTATAAGCATGATGGGCAGAAATATTGCAGAGTAGGGAATGAAGAAATGGGAAGCCACATGCTGGTGAAAGGAAGGTTTGGAAAAAGAGAGAAAATTTAGCAGTTGTTCTCACTGAAAAATTTTGTGAAGAGATACCTAGAGAGAATGTTGTGAATGTTTTCTGAGCAACTCACTGTGAGAAGCCCCTATACTACATCTTTGAGAAAACTTACAGTAAAGATTTACATTCATCTTCTAGGTACCAGAAACTACACTGTTATCTTGTCCAGGCAAAAACTGGTCCACAAGAGAGTCCTATCATATTTGGGTTGTACCAGCAAACAATAAGTTGGGCTGGGTCTAGATCTGAAATGAAAGATCTGTAATCCAAAGACCAGATCAAGCATATTGTTTAATTTCTTCAACCTCAAGGAACTTATAAAATTGCTTATAGTAGCAGATTTTTGCAATGGCATCCATTAGTTCCACAGCAGTTTCCCATTATTTATCTAAACATGCAAGGGGTAGAGTGGCTAATAGTGGGATCTTTGGACTGTCTTGAAGATTGGACTCTTTTGTTAATTTTGTATTCCTCGATTATTGCTTATACATATATTGTACTCCATTGTGACTCATATTTTTTGGTCATTACTTTTTACTTACATATAACCCATAACGTTTTTTATGTATGTTTCTACTGCAGAGAGAAAGATTATTCCCCCACTCAATACCTATTAACTGATTGGCTGCTTTATGGTTGCTATTTCCATTCTGCACACTTGTGTTGAAAGATAAAGCTTCGATAACTTACAAGGAGCAGTTTAGCAAGTTGAAAGAAACTAGATGTAGGATCCATGTGTTTCCACAAAGGATATGCAGGCTTCAACTAGAAAGATGATTTAAGTGTTTAGGGAAGAAATAAGCATGTTCTAACAAGAGTTTTGCAGTCAGCAAAACAAGGTATGTGGTAAATAGGTCCTATCTTGGGAATTGCCAGAGCCCAGAGCTTGTGCTGTTGGCCCATCCAAGGAAACCAGTTAAATTAACTGTCTGGAAGGCATCCACAGAGATCCTTGGCTGGGAGGCAGAAGCAGGACATGGAACAGGTGCCCCTTTCCACTATTCCTGGGCACAAAGTCTCATTTCCAGCACACGCTGTGGCAGCAGGAGATGCAGTAAATCAACCAAGCTTCATTTCATCTCAGAAGTCCTCTGTGTACTAATAATGCAGGGAAACTTAGCTCATGAAGGAAAGAAAAAATAAATAAATGCTGACGGTTGTTAGAGCTAGTCCCAGTGATAAGCCTGGAACAGGCAAATATTCTTAGTGATTCAGACAATTACTATTAAACAGAGGCCAGTTTCCAAGTGACGTTGTGGTGCCAAACACAGCTTTTATCATTTTTGATGAGATTTTTATGATGCTTGTTATCTGCCAATATTATTAATGTTGTTAATGACATAAAAAAATTAGCATTTGCCACCTGTGTGCCAGAAGGCAGGCCTTCTTCCTTCTTTGGTCTTTGTTCTCACTAGTTTCATAGGCCATCTTTGCTTTGAGAAGGAGCAAAGTTGTCAGCCTAGACCTTGTTTGAGTTCTTGTCTGAAATATACTGGTCACCTAAGTGCATAATTCAAAGAAGCCTCCAGCTTGGTAGCTCCTGGGCCTCAGTCCTTCAATTTGCCTTTTAAGACTGCTGGGAAATAATAGCATTCAGTTAGCTGTTACTCTCACATTAGAAAAGTAAAATGAAGTATTCCACAGAAAAAAAATAAAATATTTTGTTTCAACATCAAAATCTTAAGTGGGATTGGATATGAACCCTAGAAGAAGACCATCTCTGGGAAATCCCTATTGCAAGGACAGAAGCAATAAGATTCTTAGCCAGAAAGAAGCGATCCTTGGGCCAAATGCAGTGCTGCCCCCAGTGGTCTGGATAGCAATGCTCTGTGAGACCAGCAGCTTTCAGTCTTGGGAAGAACTCAAATCTCCATCAGATAAAAATGTCTAAACTGGCCCATACCCGTATTATCATGGGGTGGACTTGGGTGCCGTGTGGACTGTGCAGGCCACATTTGGGTTGGTTAAGTGTCTTAATCTGCCCTGTACCCATAGCTAATGTATCCTTAAGTGGGAAAGGAGAGACAGATGATAGATAACTAAATACAACTACAGTCTGCATCATTCACTAAAGCAAGTCAAGTGACCAACCCCAGATCCAAGGAGTGTGGAAATAGACTCTGCTCTAGACGCTACCTCATAGAAAGAGGAATTATGAGATCACCTGAAAAAGGATACATGAATACAGGGTTGGGCAAAGAATTAGGACAAATGGTGCAATCCATCACTACCAGTTTAACATCATCTCTTTCAGATTAACTCAGTCTCATTTGGGCAAATAATTAATCACTTTTTATTCAAATGCTCTAGAAGGATTGTTATCTCTTCCTTCTCAGTGGATCTCACAACCTGATCTTTCCTTCTAATACAGTGTTTGGGAACAGGTAGAAGTTTATGTTCTTACCTACATATTGTTCTCTGCTGGCTCCCAGTGACCTCAAGTTCAGATATACCCTACCAGGGAAAACTCTAATTTTGCTGCATCTATTGCTGATGGGTCTTGTGTAATTTATAGTCTGTCCTTGCTGAATTGTCTTTCTTTGGGGGTCTTGGTGTTGAAATTCCTCCTCTGGGACATGGCAATGATTCCCATTCAACCTAGAGCCTGAGTGACCCACCCTACAGGCCTCTTCTACAAAATCACCACATTCTTTACTGAGAGTCCTTTGGTGGAGTCATAAGTCAGTTTCCTGGGGCATGCAGGAAAGTGAATTCTCTGTAAAGCATTCTCAGGCTAAGGCAGGCGAAATAAGCTTTCTTGGTATTTAACACTATCATGTGTTCATTTCTTTTCTTTTTTGACATCTCCCTGTTGGCATAGGACTCATCTTAAGGTCTTTAAATGTTCTAGGATCTGCTGGTAAAAGTGAGGAATAATTTTCCCTGTTCTGGCATTCCTCCAAAACTGTCTGGTTATTTCTCCCACTGTATCATCTTGGATGCTTTTGGCTCTAAATAACAGAAACCCTGACTCAAACTGGATTAAACAAGAAAGAACGTCATTATAGCACAAAATGAAAAGTCTAGCATTAGGTTTGGTTAATTCAGGGGCTCAGCAATGTCAGCTGGGACATGGGTTATTTCCATCTCTTCACTATGAAATCCACACTGTTGACTTCATTCCAAAGCTGACTTTTCTGCATAGCCAGAAGTTGGCTGTAAATAGTACAGTAATACCCCCCTATCCAAAAGGGAATTGTTCCAAGACCTCTAGTGGATGCCTAAAACTGCTGATAGTACCAAATGCTATATATACTATCTTTGTTCCTATCCATATATACTATGATAAAGTTTAATTTATAAATTAGGTACCATAAAGATTAACAACCGTAAGTAAAATATGGGTTAGTTGAACACAAGCACTATAATACTACAACAGTCAATCTGGTAGCCGAGAGGACTAAATGACTAATGTGTGGTAGCATGTACAATATGGATATGGTGCACAATTTAAAACTTGTGAATTGTTTATTTCTCAAAATTTCCATGGAATAGTTTCAGACTGTGGTTGACCATAGGTAACCGAGATGCAGAAATCAAAATAAAATCATGGAGACGGGGGGAATGACTACTGTATGGAGAGCCTGCTTCCTCCATCACCAATGGGAAAGAAAAATAGAAAACTTCTCTGTAACCTTGTATTTAAAAACTTTTCCTCCATCTTCATTGGGTCATCTCAGAACAAGTAAGAATGGACAGAGGAATACCATGTGCTGACTGACGAACGCCTGGGTTTCTGAACCAATTGCCATCAAGGGGATTGGGATTACCATAATTTTTGCTGAGACTAAGCCCCACCCCAGTAACCAAAGGTGAGTTCAGTTTCTCTGGTCACTATGGACTGTGTGAGGTAAGATGGGCAGCTATCAAAATAGTCAGTCTATCAATAAAGAGCAGGCAAATACGAAGCTAATTGCTCAAAAATAATCATCTTAAGTGATCATCTAAAACTATCTTTCTAAAGGTTTTGTCTATCTGCTAGAAGGAACCAGTTCACTCATATCTGACCTCCTGCCCCTCAGTTTCTCTTTCTCCCTCTCTCTTTCAGTGGTGGGAAACTTTCTACTCCTTTCTGTCTCATTGAAACTTTCCTTTTAATGTAAGCTAAGTTTTTCTACTCTGCTTTACAGCGAAACTCTGTGTTCAGTCTCCACACATTGCTCTTAATATGTAAAGAAAGGCTTAACTATTTTTAATTTTTTCTTTGCTGACAAAAGTTAGCTTTCTAAACTTTTGTTTCATTCAACTTTTAAGTTGTGATTCAGTGACACCTCTTATTGTCTAGGGGCCCCTGCCATCCCATGAAAATACATATGCCAGTGACTTAATAAGTAGAGAATGGCAAGGCAGTAAGAAAAACAGGTCAACAGGAAATTCAGAATACATGAAAAAAAAATGGGCTGGGCTAGATGGCTCATGTCTGTAATCCCAGCACTTTTGGAGTCTGAGGTGGGAGGATCACTTGAGTCCAGGAGTTCAAGACCACCCTGGGCAACATAATGAGACCCTGTCACTACTGAGAAACAACAACAACAACAAAAATTAGCTGGGCATGGTGGCAAGACCCTATCTCTACTAAAAAAAAAAAAAAAATAGGCACGATGGTGTGTGCCTATAGTCGTAGCTACTTGGGAGGCTGGGATGGGAGGATCACTTGAGCTTAGGACTTCAAGGAAGGTTGCAGTGAGCCATGATTCTGCCACTGCACTCCAGCCTAGCCAATAGAGCAAGACTCCGCTTCAAAAAAAAAAAAAATCTATCCCTATCACACCCCTTCCTGGTTTTTCCTCCAGGTACAGAGAATTAGAGCCTTCAAACGCAGACATTATCAATTTGGTCCATGTTGCTTAAGATCCAATTGGCTTCCTTCCTAGCAATTATTATAATTTGTAATTATTTGCAATTATGTCATTTTTTGTCTGCTATTTTATTGCCTATTTCCTGCACTAGAATGTAAGCTCTATGAGACTTCAACTATATTGTTCATTCACATCCCTAACATCTAGTAGAGAACCTGGCATGGAACAGGCTTCCTATAGTTATTAGTTAGATGAATGAATGAGTAAATTTTCTCCTCCTAAATTGAATGGTCTTACACAGTTTAGCACTTTCAGGCCCATTATGGTAGCTGACTCTCAGAATGAGGTTACTCTGTCTACCAGATAATAATAATAATAGTAATTATTCAACATCAGAGATGTTAAGTGATTTGCTTAAAGACACCCAGTAAGTGTGAAATATGAATCTTAAACTCAGGTCTTTCTTTCAAGTCCTATATTCTCTCCATTTTTACTTGTCTTAAAGTTCTCCAAGTTTAAGAACCATTTTAGCATTGAGAGATGGTAGAAAGCCTTCTCAAGTCAAAGTGAATAGGGTGAGCCAAATTAGGGAAGGCAACAGGGAGCATTCTGGGAGAAATCCAGTGGTGCATTCTGGGAGCCCTTTCATGTACTTAGCCTCATCCAATGCCCAGGGAGATGTGAGACTTCCCGCAGCCCACAGGGCAAGCTTTTCCCTGCCTGTGTTTGCCTGCAAAAACAACTACTACTGCCTCTAGCAACGTCTGGAACCATGTTCCCTGCATAATAAGAAAGTATAAATGGAGGACACAGTATTGAAGTATTGAAATCACAAGATAAGGAAGATTAAATTAGGCTCTGCCTTCCTGAAATGCTCCCAGAGCTAGAGCTACATGGGAGCAAGGCCAGCTACCAGATCTTGGGGCTTCTCCTTTAGCAAAGGGGAAAATCCCCGGCCCTGCAGGCATTTCAAGCTCAGGGATTGGTGGAGGCAGATCTGTCAGGAGCCCCGGTAACACTACAAACCAGGAGGGAAGCTGACAGGAGGACAAGCAATGCTGGCATTTTCCTCCCTTGGAAATCCCAGGGACTCTAACACCAGAGATCTGAGGCTGATCTGATGCTCCAGCAACTATATAACCTCCACCCTGCCTGAACAGCCTCCTACAAATAGGAAACTATAAGATTTGCATTATCTCAGAATAACCATTTGTAGGACTAGAGTCCGTCCATCAGCAGTAACTGTTCTTACTCAACCTTGATAAAAGCTTTGCCAGATGAGTTGGGCTCTGTTTAAGTTTACTAGGCCTGCCATAACAAGGTAATACAAATTGGGTGGCTTAAATGTAGTATCACAGTTCTGGAGACTAGTAGTCTGAGATCAAGGTGTTCACAGGACCATGTTTTCTGAAACTCTGGGTAGAATCCATCCTTGCCTGTTCCTCGTTCCTAATGGTGGCCATCAATTTTTGGCATTCACAAGCTTGTAGCTGTGCTATGCCAATCTCTGCATCAGTCATCGCATAGCATTCTCCCTGTGGGTCTTTATCTTCATGTGATGTTTTCTTCTTCTTATAACAACACCAGTCACATTAGATGAGAGCACATACTAATGACCTCATCTTAACTTGATTGCACCTGCAAAGGTACTATTCCCAAATAAGGTCACATTCATAACTACCAGGGGTTAGAACATCTGCATATCTTTTGGGGAACATAATAACCCACAACAGGCTAATATTACTATATCCACTTTTTGGAGGTAGAAACTGAGGCTCAGAGAAACCAAGAGATTTATGTAACATCACTGTGGTGAATCAATGCCATAATGGCCCCAATATTTTTCCTGCCTCTCTGAATCTATCTGTTGGTAGTACATTTCCCTGCTGATGCTGGGCTTGGCCATGTGACTTGCTTCAGCCAATAGGACAGAGCAAGTGTGATGCCAGCAGAGGCCTGGAAAGTGCTTATGCACTAGGATTTCTTCTCTTGCATACTCTGGAACACCGTGACCATTGAGTGAATAAACCTAGGCTAGCGTGTTAAGTGATGCGTGACCATGTGGAGAGAGACTCCAATCATTCTCATGTCACTATATGAAATCAATCAGCACCAGCCAAACCTCCAGCTGACCACAGATGCATGACCAAACCCCACCAAGATCAGGCAAGCTCAACCTGAATCAGCAGAACCCTTAGTTGATCCATAGATTCATGAACAATTATGAGTGAATGGTTGTTTTGAGCCACAAAATTTGGGAGAGGTTTGTTACACAGAGAAAACTGATACAGTCACATAGGTGTTAAATGGCAGAGCTGGAACGTGTAATCACTATGTGACCTGTTCATACCACACAGTTCTGAATCAATGGGATGGTGATTCATAATTTTCCTGTTGGCCACAACATGAGTTTCCCATGTGTCCACCAGCATCGAGCCAATATACAGAGCCTGTAACTATATTAACTTAAATATTTTGCTTTCCTTCTTTTTATTCCTCCTTCTCTAAATTATGAATAGAAAGTTATGAGTTTGCCCTTTAATTATGTGCTTTCTGGCTATGAAGAGATTGACTAAAATCTATGGTGTTAGTGGTGAAGTAAGCAAGAAAAGGAAGAGAATGAAGGCTCTGTAGGTGAAAGAACAGTCATCTTAAAAACCAGTCAGTTGGCCCAGTGTAATGTAGCATTTGCCTGCCTCAGTTGCGTCCCAGGGCAGACGGAGAGTTTAATCCTTGCCCCTCTCATATGAAATAGGCCACCACTAGGATCCTCAATATATTTCTTTTTTTAATCTCTCTCTCTCTTCTGCAGGCTTATGGGTGGAATGCAAGCTATTGGAAGTATTTGAAGATGTGACCAAGGAAGCTATGAGAATTGGAAATGAGGCAGTTGTTTAGAAACGGGCTGATGTGCTTGTGGTAAGGTGGAAGGAGGAAGGCAGATGAGGAAAGGAATGTGCAACTGAAGCAATTAGCTGTTACTATGTAACGAACCATCCCAAAACGTAGTGACATAAAACAACAACCATTTGTTATTTCTCATGCGCTTACATTTCTACTAGGAAGTTCTGCAAATCTGGATTGGTCTTGGCTGATCTTGGCAGGGCTTGTTCTGGCATCCACTCTCAGCTGCTGAATTAGCTCTCAGTTCCTGGTTCAGGGTGGCCTTGGCTTGGATGACTTGGCTCTGCTCCATGTATCTTTCACATCCTTCCAGCAGGCCAGCTCAAGCCTGTTCTCTAGATTGTGGCAAGGATCCAAGGGAAAGAGAGAAAGCCAAAATGTTCATGCCCTTTTTTGAGCCACTTTTTTCAATGAGTTGGCTACTGTCTCCCTAGCTAAACACATCTCAGCCAAGCCCAGAACCAGTATGGAAGGTCACTAACCAAAGCTGTGGGTAAATGGAGGCATGGAAATCTGTGACCTTTAATGCAATCATCTACAATAACAAGCCAATGACCATGAAGCTGGACAGAGAAATAGATTCCTGGGAGGAAGAATAGCAAAATGTCTGGAGTAAGAGGAAGTAGGGTATTTCAGGGAACTCAGCAAACAGTGTGATGACAAAATGAAAGCACAGTCATGCAATCAGCACCTGGGTAAATATTTAGGTTGGAGTCTGTGTTGACCCAGTCTGCAGGTAACCCTCAGCCTGGCCCAGCATTTCACTGCCCTCCTACTACTTACCCAGAAACAACTCTCCTGTATTGATTAAGCAGGAAAGAGGAAACTCTCCTGGAAGACACAAGGGCAGATCCAAGCAGGAGCTAAGGTTTTCCAGAATGTGGTCTTAGGTCTGTGAATGGCTTTTGGACAGAGGCACAGCTGAACATTCCCATGGTTTCTGTGACTTTAGAATCACTACCACCTCTTGACTATGCACCTCTTGACTAATTTCTATTTCTCAAATTATAGAATAAAAAATGCTGATTCTAAGGATAAAAACACAACAAATAATCCAAAAGTATATAAGATGAAAAATAATAGTGTGAGTTCTATTCCATTCTCCAGAGAGTAACAACTGCTCTCAATTTGGGCACTTCCTTTCTGTCTTCTTCCTGCACATGTACTTTTTGCATATGTCCTTTGCACGTTCTTAACCATACTTGGGTAATGATGCCAACATCACAAGCATAACTTTCTGACAGCCCAGAAAGCCAACCTTGTCTTCTTCCTTGTTCAACCCTTGTGCCATTTTGCCCTAACCAGAAAAATACTCCACTTGGTAATGATTCTCTCTCTGTGTCTGTGAAAAATAACATTGGAAAGTCTAATGTGGAAATGTTGAACCAGGCTGGGCATGATGGTTCATTCCTGTAATCCCAGGACTTTGAAAGACCAAGGTGGAAGGATGGCTTGAGCCCAGGAGTTCAATACCAGCCTGGGTAACATAGTAAGACTCCCATCTCTACAAAAAATTAAAATTAACCAGGCATGGTGGCATATGCCTGTAGTCCTAGCTACTCAGGAGGCTGAGGTGGGAGGATGGCTTGAACCAGGAGGTCGAGGCAGCAATGAGCCATGATTGTGCCACTGCATTCCAGCCTGGGTGACAGAGTGACAGCCTGTCTCAAAAAAGAAAAGAAAAGATACAAAAGAAATATTGAATCAAAAAATATAGGTAAAAGTGAAACAAAAGGAAATTTAAAAATAAATATGTATCAATAGATAAAAAATGGTAAAATGAACAAGATGTGGAAAATGTTGTAGTCTCTACATCTGGCCTAATATTTAATCTAAGAATCTAATGCAAATTTCTTACATCATGAATAAATATGGATGATGGGCCTACAGATCAGATACATTTTAATAATGAGCAGACTAAGTGAGGCCTCATACCTCTCATCTCCATGTGTAACCTAATTAATCGGGCCATTTCAGTTGCAGAACACTCACTTCCATAACTGTCTTCTACTTCAGAAGTGTGTGTTTCAGTTAGAATTTGATTTGGGTGCAGATGCCTATGATAGACAATGCAAACAGTGACTTAAAGAAATAAAAGTTTATATTCCTCTCACATAAAAAAAATTTAAATTTAAATAGTGCAGGGCAGATTTAGCACTCCACGGTGCCAAGAATATGAGCTTCTTTTATTTTGTTGCTCTTGGCCTTCACTTTATGGCTCAAAATGGCTGCTGAAACTCCAGACATCAAACCTGCATTCCAGCCTGCACAGTAGAGGAAGGAAGTAAAGAAGGGTAAAGGCTCATTTTCTAAGGAAATTGCTCATCAGCCTCACACAACACTTCCTCATACACTGCATTAGCCCAATTTAGTCATATGACCACACCTATCTGCAAGGAAAGCTGAGAAATGTTGTTCTTGTTCTCAGGGGAGATGTATGTGCCCAGCTAAAAATAAGGTGTTCTGCCACCAAAGAAGAAGAGAAAGGGGATATTGAAGTTCAAGTGGTAATCTTAGACATATAAAGCCATCAAAATTATTTCCCCCCCAAACCCTTTTGAGAAACTGAGTGCGTAAAGATAGATTATGACTGGGCACGTCAAACTTGTTTTAAATATACAATTGGCCAGGCACAGTGGCTCACACCTGTAATCCCAGCACTTTGGGAGGCCAAGGCGGGTGGATCACCTGAGGTCAGGAGTTTGAGACCAGTCCGGCCAACATGGCGAAACCCTCTCTCTACTAAAAATACAAAAATTAGCCGGGCATGGTGGCATGCCTGTAATTCCCAGCTACTCAGGTGGGAGGCTGAGGCAGGAGAATCTTTTGAAACTGGGAGGCAAAGGTTACAGTGAGTTGAGATCACACCACTGCACTCCAGCCTGGGTAACAGGGTGAGACTCTGTCTCAAAAAAAATAAAATTAAAAAATGAAATAAAAATACAAATAAATATACTATTTTTTTCAAAGGATAGAAGGAGCATTGTCTACGTTAAATAATGCAGAAGATTTTAACTGATTGCAGCCCAATTTGTTTCCATATCCCCAGAGGCCATCCCAACCCAGAGGCTTTCCCATAGAACCGTGGGGAAAGATCTCAATTGTCTACACTCTGGCTCTGAGATAAGGCAGCGCTCTCTCAGCCCTTTAAAGGGGGAGAAGGATGTTAGTTCTATTCCTTAGGCAAGAGGGCCTCACCTGTGGCCATTCAACCCCAGGTTCTGCAAGAGTGAGAAGCAGAAAGCCTACTTTGCGTTGCCTCTACCTGAGGAGAAGAAGCCAGGTGTGCTCTCAGATGGTCGGGGTAGTGCTTGGGAAGATGTCGGGAGGACCGCGTAGAAAGCTGAGAGTGAGCTTCCCTTTGCTCACTGGCTTCTCAGCCAAAAACCGCTGGAGTGGAAGAGGGACATTATGGGCCTGCAGCAAACTCTCTCTCAACCTTCAGTTTCCCAATGTATAAAATGAGTATGATGAAACTTGCCTCATAGATTCATTACAAGGGTTGTTTAAAAAACATTTACCAAAGTGCCCGCTGTATACCTCCATTTAATGCATGCAAGTTCCTTTCTCTTCTTCCTTTTGGAATAACATAACCTGATTGTAAGAACATGTTTCCACAAGACAACATGATGAGAAATGTTTGGCAAGATCTAGAATTGCAGTATGGTAGCCACTGACCACATGTGGCCATTAAGCACTCCAAATGTGTCTATTGTAACTAGGAACTGAACTTTTAATTTTATTTCATCTTAATTCATTTAAACTTAAATTTAAAACCTGCTGCTTGATTAGAGTATTGAAAAATATTTAAACGTATTTGGAACAATTTGGGTATGTGAATTTCCTCTTTCAACTATAAATCTTACAAAATCTAAACACAGATCGAGTATTCCGAATTAAAATTTAACATTCAAATTAAAATGTGCTACATGTAACAAATACATACAAGATTTCAAAAAATATACTATAAAAAAGAGAATGTAAATAAAGTCATTGATAATTTTTATGTTAATAACTTTCATGTTGAAATATGTTGATATATTGGGTAAAGTAGAATACAATATAAAACTAATTTGTCCTGTTTCTTTTGACTTTTCTGATGTGATGATTAGAACATTTAAAGTTACATAAGTGGTTTGCATTATATTTCCAGTGGACAGTGCTAAGCAGAGGATAGCAAATAATCATTTGGATTGAGTCTTCTCACCAGACTGGCTAGTGATTTTGGCCTTGCACAGACATTTCATTAATTAACCGAGCACCTATCCTGAGCTAGGGATAAAGTAGCAGTTGAATCAGAAATAAGCACATAAGCAAACATTGTAAATAAGACAATTTCTGATAATTATCATAAGCAGAAGGAAGGAAATAAAGTAATAAAAGAGAGAATAATTACCCAGAAATGGAGCTGGTTTCTTTACATGGGAGGGCAGGCAGAGAAGGCCTCTCAGAGGAAGGACATTTGAGTTGAGATTTGAAGGGTAAAGATGAGCTAGAAGTGCAAAAGTTTAGATGAGGGGAACATTTTACAGAAATATTAAATGGTTGTGCTCAAGGTCAGATAGCAAGCTGCTAAGTCAGACTAGCATTATATACCCAGACTGATCTGTGCCTAAGTCTGTGATCATATCCATTTGTGAGAGATGCTAATTTCCACTCTGACAAAATTGTTGACACTAATGAACTGCCCTCCCCCTTCCCCATTATACTTCAGCAGGGTATTGGTGGGGCATTTCCCAGTTATATTCCTAAGAGCAGAAATCGAAAACAACAGTTCTATACAGGTAGGCATATGTCATATCTTGGAGAAAAGCATCCTTTCTACTCTTTTCAGCCTCTTGACTTCCTATGACAAGAACCAATTACAAATACTGCAGAGCAAGAATCAATGAAATAAAGAAATAATGGGAATGATTTCTGAGGACAGGAATTAAATAAGTGTGTCTTTCCAAAGCTATGACTTAATGGGGTCAGGATAACAAGCTCCAGGAATAGAAATGTCCTAATGGGAAAATAACGGCAATTCTGAAAGAGGAATAGTGGGGATTTTGGTGTAAGGGACTAACCATCATTACAGTCCCATGGGAAGTTATTAGATCTGGAAAGGTAGGCATCCCTTCATGCTTCTATAGACCGAAAAAAAAAATGGATGTAATCAGCCATGTCGAGTTACAGAATTTCATAGGCAAACTAATGATGGAGCACCAATTTTTTCTCAGACTTAGGACCTCCAATATTTTTCTTTAACTCTGGGGGCTGCTGTGAAGTTACAAATATATGGTATGGAGCCATTTAAGCTCCAGATCTTGACCTTTTTTTTTTCTGATGCTGCTGCTAAGAGTCCAGAAATCTGGTCAGCCTTTGCTTTACTTCATAAGAAGAGAAGAGGGCTGAAAAAAATATTCATAGACACCAAAGTGAAGATGGAGAAAGATGACACTGGTGTTACAGGAATAAGCCTGGAGCTGAAGTGATTGGGAAGCCCAAAAGGACATCAAAAGTTACAGGATTTAAGACCACAGCCAACGTAGCTGTGTCAAAAGAATAATTCAAGTTTTAAAAACTGATTTTTGTTTAATAAGAAAAATTATATGTCTACCTCAGAACTCTTTCTTTGGCCCTAGGTTTGTAAATCCAATTTCCCACTTGACTTCCAACCCCAAATAGAAATTAGGATATTTTATTGTCACCCCAAATGGAACATGGCTAAAATAGAACTTTGGGGTTCTATGCCTAGCTTTTCCTATCTGGGGAAATTGACACTACTTAGTTGCTCAAGGCATACCATCCCACATCCATTTTATCACCAAGTCCCGTTCATTCTGCCTCCAAAATATATTTAGAAACTTTGTCTTCACTTAACCTCCAGAAAAGAGGTTAGGGTTAGGGTTTGGGTTAGGGTTAGGGTTCAAGTTGTCATCATCCTATGTGGCAGCAACAGTCTCTTAACTGGTGCCCTGGCTTCTCTCCTTGACCTCCAACCCCCAATCCATTATTCAGATAGCAGTCACAAGCCTACCCAGATCCAGGGGAGGAGATATAGACCCCCAAGCTCTCAATGAAAGGAGTATCTGAGAATCTGTGGCCATTTTATTCTAAACTGCTGCATTCACTCTTACAGAAATCAGTCTCCATCCTACCTGTTGTAGAGCACTTCTGGCACTCTCACTGCTGCTGTCACTGGCCTTGACCAATATGGAAAAAAAAAATCCACACCAACTTCATCCTTTACAACGTCAATATTTTGCATGGTTTACCCACAGAAACAGGGCAGGCCTCTGTTGAAACCTTAAGGTTTTAATTCAGTCCAGTTCTGTATGTCTTTATTGTTAGCTCTAGTGTTTCAACCATTTATTAGTCAGATGGCCTTTGGCTAATTATTTAGTCTCCCTGGGCCTCAGTTTTTTCATCTGAATTAAATGTCCTTGTATCTCATCATTTCTAAGTGCTTTGCAAGTCAGCCAGCTCTATGAGAGTTCAGCCATTGGCTATGCTCACAGGCCATTGACACACAGTTAATAATAATTTTTTAGTTGCATTAGTTTTAAGAGGGCTTGCTTCTATTTCAACTTTTCACAGAACATGATGCAAACCTCCTGAGGATCTGAGCTGTCTTGCCTCCCTCCTCCCCAGCATCTTAAATTATTCTTACCAACTTTTGATGCTTTGATTGTTTCCATAGCCAATTTTCTAAAAGCTGCTTTCCTTTTTGACCCAGCCAATTTGTCCCTATGCCAGTTTTCCAAGCAAACCCCTATCTGATTTGGCCTTCTAAAAAATTTCTGCAAGGTCTTCTTTTCTTTCTAACTGTTCCAATTTTGTTCTTGAGTCTTCTTATTCAAAAGAGGCTTCTATACCTTTTATTAGCGTACATTTCTAACAAAAAGCAGTTTCTCTTGTTTGAATTTTATTTTGCTCTGTGTTAAATGGACAATGCATGCTAAGGCAGAAAACTAAATTCCTTTTACATATTGGAGATTCATTTAAGCTGGGATAGAAGACAAAGATAATAAATATTTTTCAAAACTATTAAAAATTTTAAAAATCAATCATGATTAAATTGCTTACAAAGAGAAGGAATTTGTTTTGTTTATTTTGAAGCCTCTTTTTCTAAATTTTGGCTCTGAAATATATATGACTATATCACACATATATGCAAATGAAAATAATAAAAGTAAGTTCTAATGAAAAGACATTTAGCACATTTAATCAAACTAAACCACTTTGAGGCATCAACAATCCAGAGGAGTAAGGCTATGTGTGTGTGTTTTAAAATTTTTATTGCAGTATAACAATGACATAGAAGAACACACAAGTAATAACTATGTGATCTGATGAATTTTCACAAACTTAAAACACTCATGTAACCAGCAAAAGGGTTATCTTATTTAAAAAGTCTCACTGATGGGCTCTTGAGAAACACCTGTATAGTTGTCCTACCTTGTTATTAACTTTATGTAAGCATGAGGCTGTCTCTCCAACTCAATGATATATTCTACATGGCCGGATAGTAGGACTGTAGTTTATACCACACATTTTTTCTAACATAGTGGTAGCTAAGTGCCCTGGAATGAGGACACCCTGAGTAAATGAATATGAACTATATCAGACTCAGTTTATTAAACATTAATACACACAAATCTCTGCTCCACATGCTTTCGATTCCTATTTTATCTTCTATATCACTGGCCTTTGCTTCTAAGTCTTTTTGCTGTCACCAACCTCACTGACAAATTATTTAATCAATTATTGACAAAATGCTTAAGTTTCCTAGAACTCAACTATTCTTCATCTAAACCTCTCTCTGGCCGAGTTCAGTTGGTCCCATGGCTTTAAATAACACCTATAAGCTAAAGACTCTTGAGTTATAACCCGTACTACAGCCAATTAATTGCATTTACGGCCCCAATTAATGGCCTTTCTATATCCCTCTCATATCTTGACGTGAGCTGTTGCAAAGTCACATCGCAACAACTCACATCAAGAGGTGGAATCTATTTCATTACCCAGTGAATCTGAACTGGCTCTATAACTTTCTTTGGCCAATAGAAGGTTGGGGAATACCAACTGCATTACCAACTTTAAGCCTGTGCTTACTCTTGGAGCCCTCCGTCTACCATATGATCAAACCCAAGGCAGCCCACTAAAGAATGAAAAACCACATGGAACATTACACTCACTGACAATCAACCAACCCCTGGAAGCAAAGCCATCTAACCAACTTGCAGCTGACTACTGATGCATGAGGTAACTCAAGCAAGACTAAATGAGTCCCCCCAGCTTAACCCAGCTAAATAAACAACCTGCAACCTCATAGGGTAACAAAATAGTTATTGTTTTAAACTGCTGACTTTTGGTGTGGTTTGTTACACAGCAATAGCTAACTGATATACCAGCTTAGACATATGTGTAGACACGTATTCAACACCAATCTACACTTCCATGTAGACATCTCATAGCCATTAAAAAAATCTATACCAAATTTGATGTTTACCCCATCTAAAAACCTCTTCAATGTTTTCCTTTTGAAAAGTGGCCCCCTTATCTGTCCAGTTCTTCAAGCCAAAACTCTGGACGATACCATTTAATTCTTCCTTTCCTTCACTTTCCACATTCAATCCATCAGAAAGTCCTGCTGATTCTAATTTCTGAATTTTTCTTAATCCATTTAGTTCTGTCCACTCCACTCACATCATTTCTGCCAGTCTAAGCTGCTAGTGTCTTATGCCAACAGCACTACAGTAGCCTCCTGTCTGATCCCTTCTGAACCTCTCCAAACCTTTTTTACACAAAAGCTATTTTTGGTTTAAAAATCCTAGAAGATCATGTCGGTTCCCTGCTTAAACCATTCAGAAACTTCTCATCATGCTTAGAATCAAATCCAAGCTGAGTATCATGGCCCATGAGACCCTCCATGACCTATTTCCTTTCCTTCTCTCCAGTCTTTCTTCCCGCCACTCTCACTCTTTGACTTACTACATTCCAGCCACATTTGCCCAATTTTTTTTTTTTTTTTTTCTGAGACAGTGTCTTACCTTGTCACCCAGGTTGGAGTGCAGTGGTGCAATCCCAGTTCACTGCAACCTCTGCCTCACAGATTCAAGCAATTCTCCTGCCTCAGCCTCCCTCCTGAGTAGCTGGGACACCAGGAGCATGCCTCCATGCACAGCTAATTTTTATAATTACATGTAGAGAGGGGGTTTCACCATTTTGACCAGGCTGGTCTCGAACTCCTGACCTCAGGTGATCCACCCACCTCAGCCTCCTAAAGTGCTAAGATTTCAGGTATGAGCCACCATGCCCAGCCCATGTTTGCCCTCTTGCTTCTCCTGAAATAGCCAAGCTCTTCCTCATCTGAAGGCTTCTGCTCTTGCTCTTTAATCTGCTACAAAAATCTCTTTCCTTGCTTCTTGCTCTTTGCCTGGTGTCTTCCTTTACCTCTTTCTTATCCCAGATTAAGTCTCGCCACCTTTTGAAGGCCTTTTCTGGCCACCCTGTCTAAAGTGGTCTTCCTGTCCCACCATTTTTCTCCATTGTCCCATCCTATTCAGTTCATTGAAAATATTACGATTGCTGATTCTTGGTGTATTTACTTAACAATATGTGTTTTCTTGCCTGTCTTTTCTACTAGATTTGAAATCCCATGGGGGCAGGATACCATGTCTACTTTGTTCACTTAGCATCATAAGTGCTTTCCACAATTTTTGGCCCATGGTAGGCACTCAGTAAACATTAGTTTAATAAACTAATCTAAGTCTTCCAATAACACTATCAAGTAGATTTTTATTATCCTAGTTTTACAAATAAGAAATTTGAGGGCAGGCATTATTTGTATTACTCATACTCAGAGTAGAGAGACAGTACGGTAACCAGGCCAATATGTCAGAGAAGTGGAGTGGGGACATGAACCCTATAGTTCCTATACAAAGCCCAATCTTTAATTGCTCAATTCCCATGACTTGAAAAACAAGCAATTGTGCTCTTGAGGGATGGAGTGTTGTAAAGGGATGTGAAGAACAGAATGCTCCAACCCAGACAGGTGTTTCCCCCTCCTTGAACTGATGCTGCCACTCCAAGAGTCATATCCTCACCCAATTAAATCCAGATGCAGGAAGGTAGGGATAGACAATAATGGCTCTTCTTCATACTTTCCACTCAGAAAAGAGGAAAATAGTTTCCTGAAGCCTTCAGTGGATATCTAGTTACATTTCATTAGCCAGAATTTGGTTCCACTCCCACTACTATCATTTGCAAGGGAGACCAAGATTGCCACTCCTGATTTACGTTCATCACCATTCATCATCACCTGGGCTAGGCTGGTTCCACCCAAATGTATCAAGATTCTGATATCTATGATGGAAGGGAAGAATGGCTATTGATCATACCAGCAACAGCATTTGCCATAGAAATTGAATTACTCTAGGTTCTTTTGTCCCACTTTATTCTAGAAAATATGGATGTTATGGATTAAGTCCATGGACTAAGAAACTTAGAGCTCAATCTGATGATACTGAGTCTTGAAAAAGTTAGTCTACTCTTCTCAGTAATTGATGAACCCATATGTTGTATCCAAATAGTTCCAACCTCCCAGCAAAGCATAAATTTATATACCTGGCATAGAATAACAAAACCACACAACATAACAAGGCATTGTCCTAATGATAAACCTAAAATTGTCCTGATAGATAAATCCAGCCATGTTTTAAATTCAGCACTTTATAAGCAACCTAAATATGCTAATATCAAAATAAATCCCTTTTGGTAAACCTCAGTGTTACCTTGTTCTCTTCCCCATAAAGACAACTTTTATTTTCCATAAAATTCAATCTACATATTTCTGTTTTACCAGCAGTCATACAAGAGTTGTTGAAAATTATTTATAGATGAATAGAGGCAAGTTTGGCGTTGCAGAGCTGAGCTTTGGCTGCAAATTGGGAGACTGGGTTCTGGTCCTAGAACTTCCAAAAACTAGCTGTATGAATTTAGGCAAGTTACTTCATTTCTTCTTTGGTAAAATATGGAGATTAAAAGGATTATATCTGATAACCCAATTGAAACCACTTGAACAATATATTAGTAACGGTAATTGATTCTAGCTGTTACAACAAATGGCCCCCAGATTATAGTAGTTTAACATAATTAAAGTTTATTTCTCACCTAACAGTCCAGTTGGATTCATGAGGCATTTTTGCTGTCTTTCCTCCAGGCAGTGTTTCAAGAACCCAGCTCCATTCATCCTATGATGCCACCATCCTCAGCATTTGACTTCCATGGCTCCTGTAAGAGAAGAGAACATGAAGAACAAAACAGGAGGTTTTTATGGGAGGCATGTCAATTTGACCAGATACTTTGCCCAGAACCTTGTCACATGGCCTCTGCCTAAATGACAATGAGGCTAGTGGCTGGGTGTGGTGGCTCATGCTTGTAATCTCAGCACTTTGGGAGGCTGAGCCAGGAGGGTCTCTTGAGCCTAGGAATTCAAGATCAGCCTGGGCAACATAGGGAGACTTCGTCGCTACAAAAAAAAATAAATTAAAAATTAGCTGGGCATAGTGGCACATGCCTGTAGTCTCAGCTAGTTGGGAGGCTGAAGTGGGAAGATCACTTGAGCTGGGAGGTTGAGGCTGCAGTGAGCCGAGATCACGCCACTGCACTCTAGCCTGAATGACAAAGTGAGACCCTATCTCAAAGAAAAAACAAAAAATGAGTCTGGGTAACGTAGCCTGTGAGACCAGAAAGAAGCATCAGGATTGGCGAGTATTAATACCATCTCTACCATAAACATTTTTGGAAATATTTCTTTTTTTTTTTTAGAGAAAGGGTCTTGCTGTGTTGCCCAGGCTGGTCTCAAACTCCTAGCCTCAAGCAATCTTCCCAACATAGCCTCCAAAAGTGCTGGGATTACAGGCATGAGCCAACAAGCCTGGCCCTAGAAATATTTCTTTCTCTAAATTCAAAGTAACTAGGGGGAATATTAATCTCATTCTAAATATTTTATTTTGTCACTCCCTATCCTTTGTTTTCAAACACCTCACACTACTATTATGTGTTATCACGAGTCAACTGTTTACATGTCTATCTCCAGCTGTTGGTTGGGAGCTCACTGAAAAAGGAAACCTTTGTAATTCATTTTTGTATCCTGAGGGCTTAGCACAGAGGCTGGCACCTGTTAGACCTAAGAAGGATTGGCAACTCTGGACAAATCAGAGAAGGAGCGTTGTCAACCCTTTTCTCCTGGTGATGATGATGGTGATGGTCAATGTCCACTCCCAAATATCTATATTGGGAAGAGGTGGTTTGTAGGGTGAGCATTTGTCTTTTGAGTGTATACTTGAGGGAGGGATGAAATTATGTTTGTTTTATACTCTAGAAAAATTGGCTAAAACAGCAAATGTAATTTTACAGAATGATGGAGAGGGCATACTGAGGTGGGAGGCAAATAATAGAAGGAGATGTAAAACTGTCAACCTTGATCCCCACAGTGATGGGGGATGATGACAGCAGGAGTAAGTTATGGGATGATTGTATGTTTGTGAACCTCAGTTCTTCTGCAGCATGAGCTGGCAGGATCCTCTCCTTGACCACCTCAGGTGACCTGCTGGAGCCCACTGGTCTCACCAGGAGAGGTCATCGGGCCACCAGACCAACTGAAGTAATAGTTCTTCTTGAGGACAGTCTCTAGCTCCCCCTCTATCCCATCCCACAGTCCAAAAATGCTACCCAGCATGGCCTAACCCAGAGTCTACCCCCAAATAAGTGATTCTGCAAGTTGCTAGAATTCAAAGATGCTCACACCCCAGAATTAGAAAACATCACTGTGGCAGTTTCAGGTTCTCAGCAAGCAGACCAAGAATGCACATGTGAGCTTCCTTTATTTCAAGTTAAGGATGCATTTTCGGTTTTTAAAGTTCAACAATAATAAAATCAGTTGAAAGCCCAACTTCTAGAGCAGTGCTATTCAATATACTAGCACTGGCCTGTGTGGCTATACAAATTTAAACTAATCAAAACTCAACAAAATTTAAAATGCAGTTCCTCAGTGGCAGTAGCCACATGTTAAGAACTAAATGGCCACATGTGGCTAGTAGTCACCTTATTGGACAAGGCAGCTGTAGTACATTTCTGTCATCACAGAAAGTTATGTTGGATAGCATTCCTCTAGAAGCTGCTTCCGTGAAGCTGTGTGCCAGCTTTCTAAGTCAAGTTCTGTCGATCCTATTTGGTAGAAAATATGATAAATGTTTTAGAAAATCACAAGAGGACTTTTATTTGGCTGAAATTTAAACATATGCATGCAATTTCTTAAAATATATTTTACATATTTGAAGGTTCAGTTCACCTTGGAAAGCCAAATTTCACATCTACAATATGAACAAAATTTCAACTTCCTGGAGCTCAGTGATAATTATGGATTATAGGTTAAAAATAAAGTTAATAACTCCTAACAAGAGCATGAGCAATGTAAGACTTTTTCCAGGTAACATTAGAAGCAAGAAATAACTAAAAAAGGACATTGCTTATTTTTAAGGGTATTATCTCCAAGTACATATCATTTTAAAGAATAAAATTTTGTGTTATCTTTTTCAAAGCACAGATATTTCTTGTACATGTTAACCTTCTAAGCTGCACAATAAGATATGACATCGTTTCTTTCCAAGAAAAGAAGTTAGTTCACCTAAGAGAAAAATGAATCAGCCTGGATCCTATTTTATTATTGGTCCAGGAGAAGCAAGGACCCTACCTGACTTCAGGGAGACCATCTGGGCTAGTTATTAGAGCTGTTTATAAAACCCTGGCTCTCCTTCTCTAGGGGTGTGGGAGGGCTCACTTCCCCACTCCCTAAAGTAAAAAAAGGCCACATGACTTGGCTTAAACATGAGTAAGAGTAATGAATGTCTCTTCCAGAAGAAGCATTTAAGTAACTGTGCTTGATTCATTCCCCCTTTCTCTCTACATTGACAGTCATGGAATCCCAAGTTGGAATCTCCATCAGCAGATAACCACTAGTGAGGACGATTAAGAAAGGCTCTTTTAATCTACATTGGACACATAGCAAGAGGAAAAATAAACTTTTCTTATATTAAGCCATTATGAGCATGAGGATGTTTGTTACTGCAGTATAACATGGCCTTTGCTGACCAATACCTCATCCAAATCTAGGTCACATGGCACCAAATGGCAACACGGTTCTGAGTCTTTTGTTTCTATGAATACAAAGTGAAAAAGCTATATGTGTACAAATCAAGAATCAGATAAAGGTGAAGAATCAAACTTGACGAAAGCAATCCTAGGGGCTGGGCATGCTGTCTCACGCCTGTAATCCCAGCACTTTGGGAGGCCAAGGTGGGTGGATCACATGAGGTCAGGAGTTCAACACCAGCCTGGCCAACATGGTGAAACCCAATCTCTACTAAAAATACAAAAATTAGCCAGCCATGGTGGTGGGTGCCTGTAATCCCAGCTACTTGGGAGGCTGAGGCAGAAGAATCGCTTGAACCTGGGAAGCGGAGGTTGCAGTGAGCCAAGATCGCACCACTGCACTCCAACCTGGGTGATAGAGCAAGACTCCCTCTCAAAGAAAAAAAAAAAAAAAAGCAATCCTAGGTCTGATTTCCTACAGACACTAAACATAGAAAGAAGAAATGGCTCATTCATGTGAGCACAAACAGTAAAGAGGTTTATTTAAACTCTGCTGTGAGCTTGGGCCTCCTTTCCTGCCTGGTTGAATTTAAAAATACCATATAGACTGTGTGTACCTAAGATGCTTTTCCTACAAGAGCCTTAAAATTTTCATTTCTCTCTTTCTAGATATGCTGCCAAGAGAATTTTTTTCTTTAAGAACAAATAAACTAAAGAAATTAACATCCAGCTTGCTGAGTCACTTGCTTTCCACTTGAATTTTAACTACAAGGATCTGAAGACAGCCTGTGTTAGGCAGAGAAAGAAAGAGACAGAGAAAGAGTCAGGGAGAAGAGAGGAAGAGAGATGTAGCTGGAGAGTCAGGGAGAAATTCAAAGAGATGGAGAGAGAGACTGGTTCTGGAAAGAAAAGATAAGTTAAATAGAAAAAGGAAAGTAATCTTTGAAAGGTTTGTTTAAGACATGTATTTTCTTACTCTGTAGTGGGAGCGCTGAATAAAAATATTTAAATAAAAGCTGTAATGTGATTAAGGTTTGAGTTGGGGTTTAATCGTGGAAAGAGCAAGGTATTTAGAGTGAAAGATCTAACTTTTGTATTTATTTTTCATTTTTTAGTGTTTTCGCTTTTTTAATCCCAGGTCCTCTACCATTGACTATCTGATGTTAACAAAATCAGTTCGCTTTTGTGTCTTGGTTTCCTCATCTATGAAAAGGGAATAGAAAAACTTACCACATAAGTTGGTAGGGAAGACACAATTCTATAAAATATATTGGATGATCTGTGAAACCACCTGACACCAAAAGGGAATAATAAATTCCCTTCTCTCTTCTTTTTCTACACCATCTCTTTTTAATTCTACCAGAAAGTTCCTTTCTCTATGAGGCTTCTTGAAGACTGGCTGTATACAGGAAAACTGTATTTCTAATTCTGCTATTTATTGGAATACTAGGTCAAGTTTTTCCTCCTTCTTATTCTATTTAATCTTCACAATAACCCTACATGAGTTTATCTTCATTTTACAGAGAAAACAGAGGCTTACAGAGGTTAAAAAAAAATTCCCAAATCCACACAGATAGTCTTTTAGTAATCTATTGCCATAATAATACAGTATTGAAATTTCCCCCAAATTCGGCAGCTCACAACAACCATTTTGTGTGACTCATCAACCTGTGGGTCAACTTGGCCGTTCTGCTGGTTGAAGCTGGCCTCAGCAGGACACACTCCTGCAACTATAGTCATCTGGGCTTTGGCAAATCCCTTTAGTCTATAGCCAAAGAGCAATAAGTGAGCAGCAAGAAACTGAATTATCTCTGACCCTTTTATTAAATAAAATGCTGATCTTGGGCCAGCTAACTAACCTTCCAGAACCCCATGCCAAGGCTTTCCTTTGGTCCAGTGCCTTAAACCCATGCAGTCCTGGGGTAGAGAAATGAGGAAGCCCATAATTCTGGCAGAAAGGCTGCCTCTCATTCCCAAATACCCCTGAGAGAGATGAATGATAGCAGGATGGAGCCTGCCAAGGGCACACAGACAGGGCATACAGAATCGTCCAACCTCTCACCAATTCAAGGGCAGGGCAATTAAGAGGCCAGAACTCACCACAGCTAGAAATTATTTACGTTAATGCTTTAGCACAATGTGGTCCACTAACCAGCAACATCAGCATCACATGGGAGTTTGTTAGCAATGTTGACTTTTGAACTCCATTCCAGACCCACTAAATCAGAATCTGAGAAGCACAGGTTCAGCAAGAATCGCACCAGGAGTATACCACTGGAAAAGCATGTGTAGCCAGATTTACTGTATTAGATGAATTAACGCTTCAAGGCCCAGCACCTTACTGAGTTTCTGACCTCCCACCCAAGCACTCAATACTTTCCCCTGTCAATTGGCCCTGCTCTCTGGGATGAGTGCCTGGTATTTTTGCTTGCTCCGTATGCATTTCCTTCTTGTTTGCCTCATTCTGATTTTTCCTTGAAAGGAGTTTCCTTCCCCACTCCTAGTCGATGTGTGTCAGGTTGACTTATCATGGCTTCTGGGAATGAATATATGACCCAGGTCTGACCAATTAAAAAAAGTAGGGATTTTGCTGGAACGATTGGAAAAGTGGCATGTTCTTTTCTGCTGTTGATGATAATTGGCTGAGTCTATCTGAGAATGAAATCAACACAGAGATGATGAGAGATAAGTTCCTGATGACATTGTTTGAGCACCTAAATCCAGCCTTGCTTGAAACTATAGATCTGATTCCAGATTTTTTAACTGCATACGCCAATACATTTCCTTTTATGCCTAAGTTATTGTGGTCTGGTTTCTATAATTTGCAAGCAAAATGGTCCTGGTCTGCAAAGCCACCCTATGTTGTAAGCTTGATGCCCCCCTCACAAGTTTTTGCCTCAACTTCCTGTCTCTCTTCTGTTTCCAATCACCTGTGACAGTCATTTTCCAATTTCCAAATTACGAAATTTTTACATATTATATTTGCTGTCATAACACAAGTGGGAATTGACCCCAGAGACTTGGGATAGACACAATTCTTCAATAACATAGAATAGGCCTGAAGTGCTCAGTTCTGTCTAGAAGCTCACTACTCAAATATATACTGTGGGGGAAAGTAACCGCCTGATGGTTAAAAGGCTGGCCCCGTATTTCCTCCTCTTCCTCAGTTTCCTCATTCATGAAATCAGCAGACATTTTGGAGATTTACTTCAGCCCAGACTTTCTAAGACACTCATAGTTAGGGGTTCCTGGTTTAAATAGATTGCGACAACTTAACATGCAGCTTAACATGAAACACAGATGGCAGAAAAATAAAAAGGTGCCTCTATCAGTTACAAAGAAATTGGTTGGGCGCAGTGGCCCACGCCTGTAATCCCAGCACTTTGGGAGGCCGAGGCGGGTGGATCACCTGAGGTCAGGAGTTGGAGACGAGCCTGGCCAACATGGTGAAACCCCATCTCTACTAAAAGTACAAAAATTTGCCCGGTGTGGTGGTGGGCGCCTGTAATTCCAGCTACTCAGGAGGCTGAGGCAGGAGAATCACTTGAATCCAGGAAGTGGAGGTTGCAGTGAGCCAAGATCATAGCACTGGACTCCAGCATGGGCGACAAGTGGGAGACTCCATCTCAAAAAAAAAAAAAAAGAAAGAAAGAAAAAGATTGGCTAGACCCTGTGTGTGGCATGACATCCTATTCCAACTAAACACAATGTTCTATTTTACAAATAAGAAAACAAGCTAAGAGAAGTTAATTGGTTTTCAAAAAGTCACACAGTACAGACATAGCAGAGGAAGAATGAGAACCTACAGCAGAGTTGAGAAGGTTCAACAGAATAACGGGTCATGTTTGGGCACTTGTATTCTGGAGCTGGCACCTGGGTCCTGGCACTTATTAGCTGAATGTCCTTGGGTAAGATATTTAACTGCCCTGTGTCTCAGTTTACTCATTTGTTCAATGGGCATTATAATAGTATAAACATCAGAAAGTTGTAGGGGGTTAAATCTCTAAAGTGTTTAGAATGCTTGCAACTTATAACATTTTATATGTGTGTTTATTAAATAAATAAAAATAAATCTGACTTCATGTCCAAAGTATATTTTTCATACCCTGCAGCTGTCCTGTACCAGAAATATCTCTTCCCACAAGATCTCTTTAACGACCTGGCAATGTGTGTAAAACCTCACCTTACTCAATTCTTAAAATTACTCTGATTTTCTAGCTTGGTGAGAAGTCTCTAAATGCTTACTATGAATTAGTTACCTGATAATCTATCCTTAGTAGAAGCTATCTGCCGCAGCAGATTAGGTCACTAGGGCTTCTTGAAGGGAGAAAGGAATTAGAAAAAAAGCATCGAGTGGATGGAAAGAACCAGAAAGAAACAAACAAGGCAACACCTATTAGTTTATTCATGGTTGACCCAAGGAATAGATTGAAATACCAGATGCACCTGAAAAATAATTTTTTCTCACTCTGGCACCCAAGCTGGAGTGCAGTGGGCTGGGTGGAGGGGGGAGGTCATGGTTCACTCCAGCGTCAACCTCCCCAGCTCAAGCGGTCCTCCCACTCAGCTTCCCAGGTAGCAGGGACCACAGGCATGTGCCACCACACTTGGCTACTTTTTTAAAAAAATTTTTGGTAGAGACAGGATCTGACTGTGTTCCCTAGGCTAGTTTCAAACTCCTAGACTCAAGCAATCCTCCCGTTCGGCCTTCCAAATTGTTGGAATTACAGGTGTTAATCACTGCACCTGGCCTGATTTTTTAATTATCAAATCATGTTCAGAACTCACTTCAATCCAATTAACTGAGGATTTCTGGAAAGGTTACCCAGGCATCAGTATTTTTTCACTGTGATAAAATACATATAAAATGTACTATAATAATTTACTTTAATAATTGTCTTGACAATTTTTAAGTGTAGAGTTCTATGGAATTGAGTACATTCACATGGCTGTGCAACCATCACCACCATCCATCTCTAGAACTCTTTTCATCTTGCAAAACTTAAATGCTGTGCCCGTTGAACAATAACTTTCTCTTTTCTCCATCTTCACCCTGACAACCACTATTTTACTTTCTGTCCCTATGAATTTCACTACTCTAGGTACTTCACGTAAGTGAAATCAAACAATATTTGTACTTATGTGACTTGCTTATTTCACTTAGCATAGTATCCTCAAGGTTCATCCACGTTGTAGTATGTGTCCAAGTTTTCTTCCTTTTTAAGGTGGAAAATATTGCATTTTATGTATATGAATTTTACATATCCATGCCTCCATCGATGGACACTTGGGTTGTTTCCCTCTTTGGCTATTGTGAATAATACTGCTATGAACACGGTGGGCAACTCCCTCTTCTAAACCTTGCTTTCAATTCTTTTGGATATATACCCAGAAGTGGAACTGCTGGATTATATGGCAAATTATTTTTAATTTTTCAAGGATACATCTTACTGTTTTCTATAGTAACTACCATTTTACACTGCCACCAGCAATGCACAGGAGTTCCAATATCACTACATTTCTTTCAATACTTGTTATTTTCAGGTTTTTTTCTTAGTATCTATTCTAAGGGGTGTGAGGTGGCTTCTCATTGTGGTTTTGATTTGCATTTCTCCAATGATTAGTGATATTGGACATCTTTTCATGTGCATATTGGCCATTTGTATATCTTTTAGGAAAAATATCAGTTCCAATACTTTGCCCATTTTTGAGATGGGTTGTGTGGTTGTTGTTGAATTATAGCTTTTTATGAATTCTGTATATTAATTCTTTATCAGATATGCTATTTGCAAATATTTTCTTCCATTTTGTGGGTTGTCTTTTCACTCTATTAATTATTTCCTTTGATGCCTAGAGATTTTTATTTTTGATGTAGTCCAACTTACTTTTTTTTCTTTTGTTGCCTGTGCCTTTGGTATTTCCACTTTTTTTGGCTATTGGACATAATGCTGCTATGAACATTTATGTACAGGATTTTTTTGATGGATATGTGTTTTCAGTTCTCTTGGGTTTATGCCTAGAAGTAGAACTGCTGCATCATATGGTAGCTCTGTGTTTAAGTTTCTGAGGAACTGCAAAAATGTTTCCAAAGTGGCTACACCATCTTATACCTTACCAACAATAGATAAGTGTTATATATTCTCCACATCTTTACCAACACTTGCTATTTTTCATCTTTTAGATTAGAGATATCTTGGGGATGTGAAGCAGTATCTCCTTGTGGTTTTGATTTGCATTTCCCTAATGACTGATCATGTCAAGCATTTTTCATGTGTTTATTAGCCATTTGTAATCTGCTTTAGAAAAATAATTCTTAAATTTTTTTCTCATTTTTAAGTTGTGTTGTCTTTTTATTGAGTTGTAAAGGTCCTTTAAATACTCTGCATAGAAGTCCTTTATCAGATATATGATCTGCAAATATTATTTTCCTTTTTGCTTTTTGCCTTTTCATTTGTAAAATTGTATCTTTAGAAACACATTTAACTTTTTTTTATTTTGAGGAAGTCAAATTTATAATTTGCTGTCATTTGTATTTTGGTGTTCAATGCCTGATCCAGGGTCATAAAAATGTGCACATATGTTTTATGCTAAGATTTTTATAGTTTTAGCTCTTAAGGTTTTGATCAATTTTGAGTTAATTTTTTTCTATGATATGAGGAACTGGGCCAACCTCATTCTTTTGCAAATGAACCTCATTCTTTTGCATATTTTGCAGTTTTCTGAGCATCATTTGTTGAAAATACTGCCCTTTCCCCATTGGTCTTGGAGCCTTTGTCAAAAATGATTTGACCATACTATATGCAAGCATTTATTTCTGGACCCTCTATTCTATTCCATTGGTCTGACTTTATGCCAATACTACACTGCCTTGATTATGAAGCTTCATTGTAAGTTTTGAAATCAGGAAATCTGAAACTGCAACTTTATTCTTCTTTTTCAATATCATTTTGGTTATTTAGAATCCCTTGAGATTCTATATGAATTTTAGAGGGATTTTTCTATTTCTGAAAAAAAATGTCAATGAGATTTTGATAGGAATTGCATTGAACCTATAGATCACTTCGGGTAAGTTAGTTTTTCTATATGGTGTGAGAAACAGATACGCCATTTTTTTGCATGTGGATATCCAATTCTTGCAGCACCATTTGTTAAAAATACTATTTTTTTCCACATTGAATTCTGTTGTCACCCTTGTCAAAAAATAAATTAATCATAAATGAAAGGGTTACTTCTGGACATTTAATCTGATCCCAGTTATTTGTTTTTATGTTGGTGTCGTAAAGTCTTTATTACTATACCTTTGTATTAAGTATGGAAATGCGGAAGTGTGACTCTTCCAACTTTGTTCTTCTTTTTCAAGATTTTTTGGCTATTCTGGGTTACTTGCATTGCTATATAAATTTTAGAACCATACTGTTTATTTTCCCAAAAACATTTCTGGGTTTTTCAGTAAAGTTTTTGTTTTGTTTTGTTTTGTTTGTTTGTTTGGAGATGATGTCTCGCTATGTTGCCCAGGCTGGGCTTGAACTCCGGGACTCAAGGGATCCTCCCACCTCAGCCTCTTGAGTAGCTGAGATTACAAAGGTGAGCCACTGTGCATAGCTGGGAAGTACAATTAATGTGATAAGTTTTTAAAATCTAGTTCAAATTAATACAAACTTGATTTTGATAGTACACCAAAACTTTGCTCTGACATAGCTCTATTCCCTCCTCCCTCCTTGGTGCTTTTATTTTCATACAAATTACATCTGTATACATTATAAACTCATCAACATAGTTTTACAATTATTGCTTTATGTAATTTCGATCAGATAGGAGAAGAAAAAAATACAAACCAAAATAACACAATAAAGCTGGCTTTTATATTTCTCTTTGTACCTACCTTTACCAGTACTCTTTATTGTTTTATGTGGATTTGAGTCACTGTCCAGTCTCTCCATTTCAGCTGAGGCACTTCCTTTAGTACTTACAGGGAAGGTCCGTTAGCAACAAATTATTTTAGTTATTGTTGCTGTTTTCCTTCCTTTTGAAGGATAATTTTGTTGAATATAGACTTCTTGGTTGAATGTCTTTTTCTTTCAGTACTTTAAATATGAGCATGTCATCCCACTGTCTCTGTGGTTTCTAATGAGAATCTTAATCTTATTAAGGATCCCTTGGACATAATGAGCCATTTTTCTCTTTCTGCCTTCAGTATTTTCCCTCCATGACTTTTAGTTTTGATTGTAATGCACACAGATGTTGATCTCCTTAAGTTATCCTACTGGAGTTTGTTGAGCTTCTTGGGTGTTTAGATTAATGTTATTCCTCAAAATTTTGTTAGTTTTGGCCATTACATCTTCACATGTTCTATTTACCCATTTCTCTCATCTCCTTTTGGTTTTCCTTTATGCTGACTTGGTATGCTTGATGATGTCTCACTGATCTCTGAGGCTTCATTAGCTTTTGTTCATTCTTTTTCCATTTTGCTCAGACTGAATCATCTCAATTGATTTATCTTTGAAATTGCTTGTTCTTTATTCTGCCACCTCCAATATGTTACGGTGCTTCTCTAATGAATTTTTTTATTTCAGTTATGATATTTTTCAACTTCGAAATTTTTATTTGATTATTTACAATACCTATTTATTTATTGATATGCTCTATTTTGTGAGACATCTTTCCCATATTTCCCTTTAGTTCATTGGACATGGGCTAGTTCATTAGTTCTTTAACACATTTATAAGAGCTGATTTTAAGTCCTTGTCCAGAAATTCTAATGCCTAGGTATCCTCAGGGACAGGTTCTCTTGACTGTTTTTCTCCTGCATATGGGCCACATTTGTTTGTATGTCTTAATATTTAGTTAAGAACTACACATTTTAAATAATATAATGCGGCAATTCTGGAAATCAGATTTCTACCTTCATCCCACAGCATTTGTTACTGTTGCTATTTGTTACTACTGTTGTTACTGTCCCTAGTAACAATTTTTGTCTTAAATTCTATTTTGCCTGATATCCACTTTATCCAATTCTCTTTGATTATTTGCATTGTATATATATTTCATCTTTTTTTTTTTCAATCTATTTGGGGGAGTTTTGTTTGATTGTTGAGTGATTTTGCTGAACTACTTTGGTAAGTCTTCTTTATTGTGTATGGCCCTGAAGTCTCTACTCAGCTAATTTAATGTTCAGCTCATGTTTGGACAGAGATTTCCCTAAATACCTTGCACCAATAAGGCTCACAGTCTTTGCTGAGAAGTTCTGTGTATGTATTTTTTGGAGTACTCTTTCAATGCTCCACCAGGCAGGTTACAAAGCTGCCTTAGTCTTTGCTTCCTGATGATGCAGTCTCAGGTTATGGAGAGGTGAGAGAAGAGGGCCTTCTCAGATTTGGGGCATGCACCCAGCTTTCTGCATGTGCATGGCTTTCTAGATTCCCAGAAATACGTGAGAACTTTTGAAAACACCCTATGAACATCTCAGTTTCCAGCATTTCCTGTTATGATTTTTGGTCAACTTCTTATTTGTCCCAGCTGTTACCACTGCCTCAGGCAGCTGCTATGTGAAACATTTGATGCTGATTGTTTTTGACTAATGCTTTGGGGAGATAATGTTTATACTATGTGAGTTCTAAGTTACCTCAAATAAAGATAAGCTTCAAGAGTGGTAGTTTTTAGGGAACTTTTTATTTTTTATTTTTACTTTTTTTCTTTCCAACTTCTATTTAAGATTCAGGGGGTACCTGTGTAGGTTTGTTGCATGAGTAAATTGCATGTCATGGGGGTTTGAGGTATGGATTATTTTGTCACCAAGGTAATGAGCATTGTACCCAATAGGTAGTTTTTTGATCCTCACCTTCAGGAAATTTTCAGACAAGTTAAATAGTGACAATTCTCTCTGGATGGGATTCTGGGGAGCTCCAAATCAATTCTGTTACCCTCCAAATGGCATGTAGGTCCCTGGTTTTCAAGGTTGCTATAAAGCTGCAGAAAGGGGAATGGCAATAGGGCAAGTTAAATGCCACAAAGTTTCTTGTTCTTACCCAAAATGTAGACATTTTTCTTGAATAAATGCTCCTCAGATTGTTGCAAGCCTTTGGTTAATTTCCAGATTTCTAAACAAAAAAATTATTTTAACAATTTTTGCTAGTGTTCTTGTTGCTTTTATGAAGGAATAGATTTTCAGAGGTCCTTATTCAACCATCCCCAAAGTGGCTCTTTCATAATCATAATTTTATTATTAAAATGTTGGCTCCAACAGACCTCCTGACCAGATGTCAGCTCTCATGTCTCATATTTCCATTTTAATCTCAGTATCTTTCCTTAACATTGCCTAGAAAAACACAGGGGTTAAAAATACATTTCAAGGAATCTTTCTTTTCTCCACTTTAAAAATCAATACCGTTTTGTTATACTGAATAAGAAAGGTTATGGAGTTTCCAAAGCATTATAGGAGAGGACATTGAAGACAGAATTTTGCAGCCCACCCAAACCAGGAGAGCTTGCATAAAAGCTTTTTGAAATAATTTTGTTACTGCCATTCTTTTAAAGAAGAGTAACACATTCACAGGAAAACAATAATGAAGATTGTTTAAATAAAATAAAATCTTTTTGCATCTTACTCATTATCCTTCCCAAAAGTAACCATCTTTAAATACTTCCTCTTCAAGTTATCTTTGGTGTTTCCAACCTTAATTTTAAATAATATCTTTTTATTTCTTGATTTACCAATTTTAAATAATATATAAACATCCTTTATGAAAAAACTGAGAACGTTATCTTGTTGGCTCTGTCTCCCTTATTACAACCACTGAACTTTGGTACTTCTATTACTTTTTGGGTTTCTGTTGGCTAACTTTAAAATAATACATATAACTTTATATATGATTATACCATCAGTAAACTTTATTTTTCCTTTTATGAACTTTATACTGATTATTTTAATCCTTTACCATATAAAATGAGTAAATTGCGGTGTCTGCATTATAAAGTCTCTTTACATTGCCCCTCCTAAGCCCTCTCCTTTACTTCCCACATCTGACAGCTCTCTCACTACTTCTATATGTTAGGTCCCATAATATTCAGATTCTGTTTGGTAAATATTAAGTCATTTATTCTTGGTCTACAGTTTAATTTAAACTTCAAAGATCAAAAAAGAGCATTTACAGCTTATGATTATATAGATAGTATTTATTGCAGAACCAGGTAGGGTGGTAAAACTTTAAAGAAAAAATGTCTCTGTGGCACTAAATTTTCACACCAAAAAAGAAAAAAAAATTGAAGATAAAGGACAAATAAAAAATATTTCCTTAAACGCCATCAAAAAATGCTCAAAATTGTGTCGTATAATTGACTTCAGATTTGAACCAAAAATATATGATATAGCTTTTGTTTTTCCTGTCATTATAGGGGCATTTTCTTGTTATTACTGATAGGAGATATTTATGCCATTGTCTGGTTAATACTATAATTAGCT
The DNA here is from genome assembly GCF_000001405.40 of Homo sapiens. Taxonomy (NCBI): domain Eukaryota; kingdom Metazoa; phylum Chordata; class Mammalia; order Primates; family Hominidae; genus Homo; species Homo sapiens. The sequence goes on from NC_000020.11 coordinate 10,211,258, forward strand.
TTTAAACTATACTATTTGTCAAACTAATTTTACTCTGATTTATTACCGTATCTGTTTCCTAGCTTTGGTCCTAGGAAAAAAATGCTACCTTAGTTCTAATATTTCCTAAGTTCCTGGTCTTCCTCCTTTGCATAGATTCCTTTGTGAGTTGTATTGTTAAGGTAAAATCCTTAGAAAATATTTTTATTTGCAAAAAATGTTCATGGGAGGTAATTGTCCTGAGTCTGTCCACATCACATCTAGAAATGTTTTCATTTTGCCCTTCGCTCTTTATTAATATTCTGGCTTAATATAGACTTATAGATGGAGATTTATTTTTCTTGCTGTATTTGAAGACCTGTTCCATTGACTCCTACCACCTGAATTTGTTTTGAGAAGTCCAATTTTGCTGTAATTCTTCCTCCTTTGTAGGCGACCACCTCTTTCTTCTCTATGAAGCTTGTAAGAGCTTCTTTAGGGAAAGTGGGAAAATATGCAAAAAAAAAGAAGCATACTCATTATGTGGTACTACTTACAGTGAACAATATTTACCTAGATATATTCATGGCAGAGTGACTATTTAACACACAGTTGTGTTATTGACAGGATGGGGAGAAGAAACAAGGGTGATGTAAGAGAGCCTCATTATTAGGAAGTCAACTGATGTCTATTTTATAAATCAAGAATTAGCAATGTCTGCATATTATTTGGAAACAAAAAAGAAATTAACCAAAGCAAATGCAAATGCCATTGAAAACCATTGCCTCTGGGAAATATAATATAGATGTAGCTATAAACACATATATAATGTCAACAGGAGAAAAGTGCTATGAAGAAAAATAGTGCAGGGTAAAATAATTTTAAAAAATAGAGGTTAGCAACTTTAGCGAGTTTAGATTGTCAGAGAAGGCTCCTTTGTAAATGTGGCATTTGAGGAGATGAGACATGAGACGATCTGGGGGAGGCTATTTCAGGTAGAAACACTAACTAGTGCAAAGGTCTTGAGATAGGAGTGTGCTTGGTTGTTCAACGGACAGCAAGAAGGCCAACGTGATTGGAATGGAGAGGTGCTGGGAAATGAGTTCGGAAAGGTGGCCAGGAGCATGATCTTGTAGAGTAAAGGAAGAACTTCTAAGTGTGATGGGTGACATTGAAAGTTTTAGAGAAAGGAAATATGATCAGATTTGTCTTTTAAAAGTATCACTGCAGCAGCTATGTAGAGGAGATACAGGTGCTAGAAGACAAATTAAGAGGCTACTGTAATATCCCAAGAGAGAAATGATGGCGACTTAAACTAAGGTGGTATCCGCGGAGGTGCTGAGGAGTAGTTGGATTTGAAAAGTATTTTGACAATAGAGCAACAAGTGTTATTTATTATGTGTGAATATAAAAAATATCCTTGAAATAATATAAGATTTTCATCCTCAGGGACTAGGAATGTCAATGCCGTTCGCTAATATGGAGAACTAAGATGAAGGGAGCCTCTTGAAGTTAAAAAATCTGAAATCTGCTTTGGATATGCTAAGTTAGATGTCCATATTTGCCTTATGCTTAAGTACAGATATTGAGTAGAAACTTGTGCATACATGATGCAGTCCAGGAGCAAAATTAGGGCTGAATATGTAACATAAAAGCATCAACACATAGACACTACCCAAGGCCTTGGAAATGGATACACTTACCAGGGAATGATTATGTAGAGAGGAGAGAAGTTCCAAGTCTTGAACGCTCGGAGTTGAGAAAATGAAAGCAAAGCCAGCAAAGGAGAGTGAAAATAAGATGCTTGTGAGTATACTAGTTTGGAAGATGGGACATCATGAGAAAATGTTAATTAAGAATGTAAGAGGCGAAGTAGATTCTTGCAGAGTATGGAACCAACTTATGCATATATATGTTCAGTTTGAGGTGCCTTTGATTCAGCCAGATAAGAGTGTTCATTAAGAAGCTAGGAATATGACTTTGAAGCTCACAAGAGTGAGTGAGACTGGCAATAGGAAATTAAAAGTCAAATATATAAAAAGATGGTTAAACTCAAGGGTATGAAATCAGATTTTTTGAAGACAACATATGAAGGAAGATATAGAACACTGAGTCTCTTGAGGTACCATGGTCAGTAGAGAAGGCTGAAAGACCAATCAGAATTCTGCATTTTCTGATGTAGAATTTAGAGTAGGAAGTTTTCAGTACCTATTCTAACTCCATTACCAACTGGCTGCATGGTATAAGATAATCATGTATTAATTGGGAATTAAAATAATAATTACTATTATACATACCTCAGAGAGTTGTTGCAAGAATAAAATGAGATCATGTGTGTGACAGTTCTTTGCAACTTTCGTATTTCTTTAGCACAGAGCTATATAAAAGAGAGCTATTTAATTTTTTTCTCTTTGGCTTAGAGCACAGAAGCTTTCAGGGTGGAGAGTCAGGACAGGTTCTATGGACATATGGAGCTCCCAGGGGGGCTTGTGCAGGACTCAAGGAAATGTCCAGCTTAACCTGCTGGGCACAACAATTTTGCTGCTTCAACCCATCTGCTATGGAAAATGAGGAGCCAACAAAAAAGGGAGAAACAGAGGTGAAGGCACCTGATAATGAAAGCTTTAAGAAAGGGAAGGGGTAAGTACATGCCGTCAGGTGAACCCAGAAGTCAATAAAGATGAAAAGTCCTTTGGACCATGACCAAGAGATTATTGATGCAATCTGCTGATGTCTTAGAATGTGCCTTGCCTAGGCTGGTGCCTGTGAGCTGGCAGAAGTGTGATGCCCTTCTCCGCTAGTATCAATAAAATCGCACGAGATATTCTTGCCCCATTCCCAGGTATATCCTGAGTCATTCATTTCAACCCAGCTTAACCCCATCCTCACCCTCAGAGTTCTTCACCCTTGGAATCAATTCGTGTTGAAGACCTCATATCATCTGCCTCAAAACCACTGATCCACATTGCCATTCTGTTCTGACCTCTGGCTGACTTGCTTAGGTATATTTTGAGAGCATTTTCTGCCCTGATTCTTATTTAAGCTGTTTATTGGATATTGATCTCTGAATTCCCTCCTTGATTGTAATTTGAACTCTCTTCCTTTGAATATGTTGTTTCTGTTCACCTCAGGTTAACAGCCTAGACTTCTTTCTTGAAATTCGCCACAGCGAAACCTTGTGATTCAGCCAACCAAACCAGTAATTCATACTCATCCCTCTAGCAAACGAAACCCTGAAGTTGCTAATGAGAAAAGGCATATGCAAGCCACAGTGTGTTGAGGCAGAGAAGGTAGCTGCAGAGGGCAGAAAGGAGTCTGATGGAGCTGGAGGAGGCTGTACTAAAACATAGTGATTATGAGCTTGGGCCCTGGGGTTCAAACCCCAGCTATCCCATTTCTTAGCTGTGTCCTTGGCCTGGTTATTTAACCGCTCTAACCCTCAACTCTCTACTCAATTTTTCCTAGACCCCAGTGCTAAGCATATGGCAGGTGTTCGATATTGAGTAAATGAATAAGTTCATATAGATGAAAAAAACAAGGCCCAGTATGATTGATACATATCTAATTAATAGCTAATGAAAAAAATGGCAATCCTCCATATTAAAGCCAAGCTACATGTCATTTCTTAGAGAAATAAAGTTAAAGTCTCATCAAAATGATAGATTTTATTTAGCCAATACTTCATAGTGCTAGACATGACACTCAGTGCTTCATAATTTCCTTGTGTATTTGCTATAATTATTGTCTCCATTTTACCTATGAGATAATTGAGATACAAAGAGGTTACAGAACTAATATGATTCCTAAAAGATTTACTCAAGGAATACTGTGATCCCTAACAAATAGCCTTTTTGAAGTGTACTAATTTGGACTACCATTTTCTCTGCCTCTCTGTTCCTAATTGTCACAGGTTCTTCCTCCCTACTGGACCACAGGCGTGTCTCAGCATTGGGAAGGGTCCTAGGATGCATTGTAAAAGAAAGTCTGTAATTTTGGTGCATCAAGGAACAAAAGTGTGGAAACATCCAGCCTGTGGCTGCTGGACACTCCCCTTCTTCCTTCTCACCATACTGTCTGTAATAAAGAATAAAGTGTTATTTAATATTCTGAGTGTACAGTCCTATTTTTTCTTAACCTGGCAAACCAGAAACAGCAACTAATATTCCTGGTTCTCTTTTTACCTTTCACAAGATCTATATCTACCTTAGAGGCTTCAGGGAACAAGAACAGCCTGGATAGTTTAAACCTAGAGTTAAACTACTCGAGGCATTTTAAGGTACCGCTACTTCACTATATATAAATGGGGTGGGGGGCTGGATTAAGGGCTAGAAGAATATATGAAGAGAAAGTGGCAAGCAAACCACTTGGAAAGCAAACCAAGGAATCAAAACAGTTGCTCTATCAAACTGAATATTCTTGCGCAGAACTGAATATTCTTTGCCCTCACAGTGTTTTGAAACATTGTCATAGGGTGCCAGGCATGTCCCAAAGGAGGACCCTGGAGAGAGGGCTTCTGAGCTGGGCTATCTCTAAACTGCTTCCAAGTTGACTTTGGAAAGATCACATGGGATTTTAGAAAAGTTATTATTATTATGACTTATAAAATTGTAGTTATTGAGTCAACTATGAATCTTGCACCTTACCTTGGAGATACAAGCTAAATACCTTGGACCTAGAGCTACTGCAAACCAGAATACTTTGGGGCATAATGTACCAAAAAAGCTTTCAGAGGCTTGAATTATCACAGTGTAAATATCCATCTAGCAGAGCAGGTAATTTTCTCGTTACTCATCCTAAGCATTAGATACTCTGTGTGTTAGTTCTTTGCAGAAATAACCCATAGCAGCTGAACCATTTTGGAACAAATTTTCCATCACCTTCCTTCCCTGTGTGGTTCAGGCCTTTGCAAACCCTGAGTATCATGAATCTGCTGGTTCTCTACTGGCAAAGATGATGACGTTTTCTTGTTTGTTTTTGTTTTGCTTTAATCATGCCGTGAGAAAATCCTAAGGGAAAAAAATCTCATTATCCTATTCAAAATACATTTAGGGTTATCTGGTCATCCCTAGCAGATTTTTATGTACCCAATGTTTATGTATCTCAAATTACACTCTGTTACCTTTCCCAGAGCAAGATGAAGAACCTCTAAGAACCTCTCAAACAGCATCATTTTCACAACAAGCACTAGCAATGGAAAACATTGTCACCACCACCAGCTAATCTTGTAGGGTCCATGGTATTTTCTGTAATGCCTTGAAACAGTCTGCCTCTCTCTTCTTGTCTGTCATTTTTATAGATGTCAGTGTGGGGCATCAGCAGTTGAAAACTCAGAATACCAAGCCAGTCCTTCCCTGTGACTGCTACATAGCTTTTGCCTGCAGGATAAGCCTCCATCACTGACGTAGTTGCTTTTTAACTTCTTTTTTTTTTTTAACTTGGAAAATCCCCCACCTCCTCCATTCCTTCACAAAACTTTCTGCCTGAATGATTTCTAGTCTGAGGGCCATACACACATTTTTTTTTCTCCCTCTGCAGGTTTTTTTTTCTCTTCAAACTTCCGCATGCTGCCTTTTTTTAAAGTGTCACACTTTGGAAAAAATTCTGACTACAAAGGATTTTGCAGTACATTGCATTCAAACCCCTTTCCCCCTATTCCAACTTGCTTTATAATGAAAGTAAGAGCCATACTCAAGAGACTTTTATTGGCAATTAAGTATCTAAGGACTTTGCAGATTTTCTTCTTTATTGTATGGCAATCTTAAATGTTTAATGAATATTTAAGTAAACAAATTTCAGCAACATGCCTTTTTTAGGAATTTGGCTTTAATTAACATCCAAACACTGTTAATTATTATGGCAAAAACATCAATACGTCAAAAAAAAGCCTTCAGGCCAGGGAATCTTTAAGAAACAATTATGTCTACTAATTTCGATTAAAGGTATCCTTTATTAAATTCTTAACAACCCGTCTCTTTCTAAACGCAGCGCCTTCACAACTCTTCTTCCCTTCCCCCTACCCCGCTTCCCTCCCTCCGCAATGGAGCGCAATCAAAGGCCGTATTATTGCCTAAGCTTGGCTCTCAGGCCAGCTAGGGATGTGTGTGTGTGTGTGTGTGTGTGTGTGTGTGTGTGTGTGGTGGGGCGGGGGTGGGGGGCGAGGGTGCAAGGGGAGAGGTTGTACGCCGCTTTTCCGAACCCAGCTCTAAATGGTTTCTCCTAAGCGAGACAAGGATTTTCCATAGCCTAAAAGAGGCCATCAAGTTTTAACATTGCGAGGCACGACTTCTAATCGCATCCTTCCCGGAAAAGTACAAACAGTTCCTCAGACGAGGTCCCCCACCTCCCACGCGCTCCCCAGCCCTCCCTCCCTGCGGAGAGCCCCGCGACAGCCTCCCCAACACCTGTGAATCATCCGGGAGGCTGCCACCGCCGAGCGATCCGCGCACCACCCCCTTCCCGGGCCCGGGCACGGCCAGGGAGGACAGTTAGGGTTGTTGCTTTATAATTATCACTTTTAATCTCTAATACGACCAGCACAAGTAGCCTTTGTCTCCCCGCCCTGATTTGAGCATCCGAGGGCCCCCCGAGGCAGCCTGCACGGGTACCCCGGGGTTTGCGCACTGAGTGAACCCCCAGATTCGGCCGTGTCCCAGCCGTCCTTGCTCTGAATCCCCCACCTCCTCCCGGCCGTTTGGACGGTTCCCTCGGGGCGTCTGTGCCTCCGTGGGGTACCCCTAAGACACCCAGCATGAAACCCCAGCACCGACTGCAAATTCCACCGAAAGCAGAGTCATCCGTTTTTGCCCTCGGCAAACAACTCAACTTCAAGCCTCGAGTCCTTGCAAACCCACGCTGGCTGGGCTAACTCCGCTTCCCTTCTCCTTCCCCCGACTCCTGCAACAGCTCAGAGAGCCTGGCTCTGACGTAGTTCAAAATAACGTGCGCCAGCCTCGCTGCCCGGCTGACCACAGCAACGAGAGCCACAAGCCCTCGACGCTGCTTCGATAACATGAAGCAATCACTCATAAAAATAGCAACCCACGTAGCCTGGCCATATATGGAGCTGGCGAGGGTGGACGGGGATGCCCCTACGGACCCTCTTCGGAGAAAACAAATCGCCGCTGAAATTTCCCCCACCCCTCCCATCACTACCTTTTACCCCTCCTCTGCCTTCCCCTCTCCTTAGATGACTCAACCACAGATTCCACTGAAAGGGGGTGGGGGTGGGGGTGGGGGGGAATATATACACATACACACAAATTATACATATATTATACATGTATTATAAAATATACACACACATACATATATACATACACACACATATACACATATGTACACACACACGCACACACACCAAAGAACATCAGGAATGCAGTTGCGGGATGAACGCGTTTGCCCAAGACCGAGTGTTAAAATGGAGTCATAAGAGTCGCCCCGTGCGGGTGTTTATAGAAGGTGAAAACACGCAGGTTTGCAGGCCAGCGCACTGGGAACCGAGTCAAGCGCGCCGCAGCCCGGGCCCCGCCCCCGCCCCCGCCGTGCCCCGCCCCCACTTCCTCCCGCCCCTCGCTGGGCGGCTATTAAAAGCTGCTGACGTCAAAACGGACGGCCATCTTTGATGAGGGCAGAGCTCACGTTGCATTGAAGACGAAACCTCGGGGAGGTCAGGCGCTGTCTTTCCTTCCCTCCCTGCTCGGCGGCTCCACCACAGTTGCAACCTGCAGAGGCCCGGAGAACACAACCCTCCCGAGAAGCCCAGGTAAGAACCCCCCTCCCCAGGTCGTGGCTCTGGCTCGGGATGGCTGCATACCCAGAAGGGACAGCAGCTGGGCAGTCCGAGTGGGCTTGGGTAAATACAAGTATTGGTGCACTTAGGGTGCGGTATTCCGTGTGTGCACGTCTGGTGGGGGCTTTATAAAGTGTTTTCGAGGTGAGCTGCTGGGGAAAAGGGAAACGGGAGCCCTGCAAATGGAGCGACGGGGAGGAAGAGCGAGGGTACGTACCGAATAATAACTTACTCTTTTGAAACAGTAGTGGGACCCCCTCTTTCTTCCATTTTGCGATGCAGTTTTCAGAGATATTTAGGCTGTTGAGTTTTCCTCCCCTGTCGTTCTAACCCTATTATTATGACTGTTGTCGTTAGGGTGCTATTATCCAGGGAAGAATTAAGGGGGAGACAGGGTGTGGGTGCTGGGGAGGCGAAAGGAGAAAGGGGGAGTTCCCGCCCCGGGCAAGCTGAGCTGCTGCAGCGACAGCAGCCTCCATGCCCCGCGGACTTGATTTATGCCGCCTGCTCCACGTCAACTGCAGGCTGGCGGGAGGCGGGCGGGTCGTGCCGGGTGGGAGGGCTCTGCGGAGGGCTGGCGCGGGTGGGCTGGCTTCGGGGACTGCGGCGGCCCGCGCTCAGCACCCTGGATAGCAACACCGAGGGCTCGCGCGGGCGCCCTCGACCTTTCAGCACCGGGGACAGCGGTCCGGCCGCAGCGCCTCATCTGCCTGCGGCAGAAATGCCTGGCCGGGGCTGGATGTGCCAGGGCTGGAGACCAAATTGTCTCCCTGAGACCCCGGTCTTACGGAGACCCTTAATAGAGGAGTCATAGTAGCTTAAAAGAAAACAAGAAAGAAATAAATCTTCCTCACAGAGACTCCTTTGCAGACAATTTCCTGTTCCCCTCCTCACCTCCTGCATAGCTTCAACAAAATAGTCTACTTGTGGAAATCTTCTGTGTTGCCCTCTGACCCTTATTTTACGTAGAAAATAAATACATTTTTTAAAAAATATGGATTTATCCTCCAGCAGGGTATCAAGGTTTTTGTTTGGTTTTGTTTTTTAACACAGAGTAGATCTGTCTACAGATCTTGGGTGAGCATAAGTACTGTATATATGAAGAAGCCAATGCTATCTGTTTATAGGGATGATACATCTCTCTCTATGTTTCCATTTGATAAAAATGTGAGATTAGCTGAACTAAGCAGAATCAACTTTAAGAATGAATCACTCTTCCTTTTCCTTCTTCCCCCATCCTTGCAATCAGGCATGAATACAAGCATTCATCCACAAAAACACATATCTGAGAAATTTTACTGGTCCTGTACTGAATAGATTTAACCTCTTTGGCCACGGTTTCAGAGTTACTGGAAGTATTTGCTATCAGCACTGGTTATCGCAGGCTGATAGCTTTAGATTTTGACAATATTAAGACTGGCCTTCCTCAGGAGAATCCAAGTGTGTCCTTCAGGGTAATGCAGGTAAAGAACCATGGTGTTAAACTAGAACTTAACTCTGACCTAAAGGTCTACTGCAATTTCTCTTATGGCACTGCGGGATTTTGCTGAGGTGGTAATAACTACTTTAACCATTTTCTACTCTGAGGCTTGGAGCATCTGAGAGAGCAAAAGTCATCAGGGGTATTTCTCTCTGTTTGATGTAGATAAAACTGGCATAAAAATGACCAGAGTCAAAATTATGCCATTTGAGTCATTAGCAAAAAAGAGTAACAGCGTCATATGTAATAATCTATACAATGCATTAAAGAAACGCTATCATGATCCCCTTAAAAGACCCCAAATGAGAACTTGGATTGTGTTTAGATAGTCATACCTCCTATCATCTGTATGCTACAGACACTAAAATTCCCTGTCCATATACAGAAGGTAATTTCATTCGCTGCTATTTAATTATTTCCTAGTGTTTTTTCTTTTTATAGATGACCATGTGTTTCCATGTATGTATATGTTGATCTGTTATTTTGCATGGATGTAAAATTATTTGGGTGGACATTTATATATGAGTATGTAAACGTATAAAAGAAGTTTATAACTTTGCAATCTGCAGACAAAAATAAACAACTGTGTTTTAGTAGTGGAGGAGAGAAAATATGGGCAGGAATCTTTAAAAATGCTTTAACTTCATGCTGCATGTCCAGACAGCTGTCTGCGTAGTTGCGTCAAATGAAAAGCCTAATGCTGCCGGAATTACGTGCTTGGACATTAGTAATTACTGCTGGGTTTGTTTGCTAGTGGAAGACTGGGGAGGAGCGGGGGAAGTAGAGGACCGCAGTGAAGATGGCAAAGGGCACAGAGCTGAGAGGAAGAAGCAATGTGCACAATTAGAAAGCTAATTTTAGAATAGCTTACTGAGAAATTTAAAAAATATATCATTGAACCATGAATTTAACATTTATATCATTGACAAGCTTCCAGGGAAAAAAAATCGAGAAATTTCCCATTTTAAGTTAGAATTTTTAAAATCCAGGGCAATGCGGTGAGAAGAGGCAGGAGCAGATGGACATAGGATGAGCCAGGAGTCATTCACACAGACCCTCTGATGCCTGTTTGTTCATCGGCATTTACTGCATTACCACCTCAGTGTTCAAATTACAGAACAATTTACAATCCTCTTAACCTCTTCATGGCAAAATCTCCCAAGAATTCACAATTTTATTTTTACTTTGTTAAACACGCACAACCACACATGCACAAACACAATGCAAACTACCCGTTAATTAGCTTGTCTAAAGATATTCCCAAGCTCTAAATGTTAACCCTTGAGTGAGGGTTATCAGCTGAAAGACATGTTTCTGCCAGTGACACCTAGAAGCTGCGTAAGCAGTCAGCCTTCAGCATAACACGTAGGTTTTGACGATTAGTAGAAACGAGAAAAATAATCTGAGAAAGAGGTTGAGAGAGGAGACATGAAGGAGAAAAATAGAAAATATGCTTTTTAGATAATTCACTATGAATAAACAATGTTTCTCACATTATGGGACTGCTTTACAATTCTATAAAAGAAGGAAAAATCTGTGTTTTAAGCCTCAGCGCTGGATACTTTCTGCAATGTCATCCCTTGTCAGCAAGTACCAACCTGATAGGAAGATACTGATCAATCGGTATTCACCGGATACAGAAATGAATCCCATGGGAGTTATAAAATTTCATGGTTTTGTCTTGACCTCAATAAGTTTAGCATCTAGCAATCTTAATAAAAGCAATAAACAATAAGTTAATAAATAAAACCAGAATTAAATGCAATAAAACATTAGAAGACAAATTTTGAGGACATATGTGATTAATTTCCAAGTGAATGTAACCAACAATAAGTAACATAAAATCAGGAGGGCGATATCGCAGTGGACTGGAACAATCTGAGAGAAGAGGCAGGCCTTGAGATGGCTTTTGGAGGTTGCAGAGAGGTGGGAGAGTTCTGTTAAGCTGAAGTCACAACATATGCAGAATATCAAGTTAGGCAAGCCCACTCTACAGTTGGCAAACCCTGAAAATGCCCATTGATTTGGGTGGAGTGGGAAGCTTGGAGGGAATAGGCTGGGATGCAGAGTTGGAGCCTTCTGTGGAAGGCTTTGAATGTCAAGCTGAGAATTTGGTACTTTATCCTCTAAAGTTGATTTCTGAGCAGAAGCTGATATAACAAAGTAACCAGGTCTTTTTAATATCCAGAAATTACTATTGACAGAGTGGATTTAATTTGCATTCTTCCAGAAGTAGAGGGGAGCAAATTGGTATCATAAGAGATGGTTAATGAAAAAAAATCAGTCCTTACTGAAGCATCTTTTAAGACTACTTTTCAGGATACATATACCTACATAGACATATAATTCCTGCTTGGAAGTTAATTGCAAGTTTCCATTTTCCATTATTGACTAAATGAAATTATGCAAGTTGAGCACTTGCCAGGCAGACTGAAAAGAAAGTCAAGAATCTGGTGATGAGACACCCCAGAAGGTCCCAGAAGGTGCACTTGAATAATAAACATGGTGCTGAACACTCTCTTGCCCTCTGTGAATATTCAGCATTGTCAAGTGCACTGACGGGAGGAATGAAAAAAGTTGTCATTTCTTCTGAGCATGTTTTGAGCAGCATGACATATAGGACCAGCCCCAAGTGGCTAAAAATGGGAGGAAAAAGATGGAATGGTAGAATTTTGAAAAACTGGAATGGGTAGTATATCAGATTTCTTTCCCTGCCTATTTTGCTGACTCTTGCTAGTTACCCTCACTTCAGGGCTACCTCGAGGTCTGGATTACACCCATTTCCTTTCTAACCTTGTGGTTACTACTCTCACAGAAGAGCTTCAAAAATCCAAATGCTGACAGAATTGCTAAGCCAAAATAGTCAGTGGGTTCATGTAGAGGAAGAAATGGCAACGGTAGATACAGATTTTACTGCCATTTCATTTCTGGCTATAAGGTATCAAGAGACTATCCTCATCTATTCTTCACTAAAACACTGGCAGTAGAGACACCACAGGATAACATTTTTATATCCAAGCTGACTACCTAGGGGAAACTTAGAGGTAGTGACATTTGATGCTTTAGGAGGTCAGGTTGGTGGTTATTAAACTGAGTCCAGGGGCTACACAAGCATCAAGTAAGGTGAAGGAAGGAGATATGACATAGCACTGAGGAAGTAGGACATGATGAGGGGACAAAAAGTTAAAAAAAAAAGTCTTACAAGAGGAAAAAGACTTCATAGAAATTTCTAGAGAACCCCAGCTACACTGTGAACTCCTCAGAATTGCTATTATTGCCTTAACAATAATACCTACTCTTTCTACATAATTTTCTTCACAAGACTCTCAAGCACTTCACCCAATATGAAAGTCCAAGGAATTTCTGATTTCTAAATAAATAGTGCAACCCACAGACACATATGTTCAGATATAGTATTAGATCACATTTAGTAAGACATAAATTGATTTAGAATGACAGAGATACCCAAATCAGTGATTAATCAGAATGGGCTTATGGGGAAGAATGTGACACTCATTCTAAAAGTGTTTACCTATACTGGCTCACTGTATCCTCCTAACAACCTTGTGGTCAGATTACTATTATTATTTCCATTTCGCAGATGAAATAACTGATGCACAGCAAGGGTAAGTAACTTGTCGCAGAGCAGAGCCAAGACTTAAATGTAATCAGTCTGACTCCAGAGATTAAGCTATGAAGTGTATTTTATGCTACCTCTTGCATCATCCATATTTTTCATATTGGCCAAATAAGGCATAGAGAATGTACATGTCTTTTTTTTTTTTTTTTTTTTTTTTTTTTTTTTTTTGCAGTCTTTTCCTCCTCACTTGGGTAGCAAGGCCTGAAGGTAAGGATGCTGGTCAGAGCCAGGAGACCCAGCTCTAGCCCTGAAACAACTGCTTGTAATTTCCTGTTTGGAATTACACAGTCTTTAAATTAGTCAGTGCACCACTGTTGAACTTGGTTTCTTTACTGGCAGAATGATAGAAGTGGACTAATGATGTCCAATATCCCTACCATTCAAAAATCAATGAAATCAGTGCTGAAAACCCCAGGCAATGGGTCCTGGCCTAGTGACCGATGGCCTCAGCTGGCATCATCTTAATAATGCTTCAGTAACTGATCTGGACCCAATTGGAAGATTAATTACATTCATCGCCTCCCTCATCCCAATCCTTATTTTTTCCCCCCTCAGAATTGCTTGCCTTCATCTTTCTGAAGCCTTCTCAGAGTTAAGAAATCCTGTCTTCTTCCTCAAAGCCCTATTCTGAGTCATCACTGCTTTGGGTATCTCCTGTCCTTCTCAATCAGATTTGTAGCTATCTAGCACATACTGTCTCCTACAACCTGCCTAAACTTTGTATAAATTTCTTTCTAGACCTCTTCTTGATCATCTCGTGTGTCTGACTTAGCAATGTATTAGCTGCAGTTCCCTCACTCATCCTCTTACTTCTTCTGCCGCTTAGCAAAGAGGAAACAGAAGCTTTTATAGAATCTGTGAGCTGTAAAGTACTTTAAAAGTAACATTCCTGTGTGACCTGAATCTCATGATACTGATAGCCAGCTCAAAAACTAATCACATTGGGAGGATGTGGGGTAAAATGACATCACAGGAAAGCTTTAAAAACATAGGACAAGGAGAGAAGGAAGCTTTAAAGCCTATGAGGTCAGAGGTCAGCAGTTGGTGGTACAATGTTGATTAATTAAATTCATAGTCACACATCAAATAAATTCACATGTCCCGGAGGGGAAAAAAAAAAAACACATTCGCCTTGTCACAACCTACTGCAGATTTCAATGTCTTTCCACCAAGGTAAAACATGGTATCACAAGAGGAAATCCTAACTGATTTTCTTATTGTTGACTACAGAGGTCAACCTCAGCAGTGACTGACTTACTGGTAAGAACAAATCTGTATCCCTAAAAAGAGATGGGGGGAAATCCTATTTAAGGATTAGCATTTCCTTCTAAATGCTTAACAATGATTCCAGAGAAATTCAGTCAAATGATGCCTGCTCCCGAATGATGCTGAATAACAGCTGTACTGGGCTTATGGCTTGCTTTCTTTGGTTGTGGAAAAATATATTTCATCCTCTTCTTTGCTGTTGTTGATATGGTTCATATTACTCAAAGATGTCTAATTCTCATGTCTTAAATTGAGACTGTTGGCACTTTCTGCTGACTCATTGTGTCTTAATCTTCCAAGGTGGTCCATTTTTACTTAAAGAAAAAGGTTATTTTCCTCCAAAGTGGCAGGTTCTACAAAATGACCATCTGGTCCCAGCTTCCCCATCACTTCCTTTATTCAAATGACACTAGTCACAGATCTTGAACTTGAGAGATGACTTTCCATGCCTGTAACCTTGAATCAGTGGTTTCTGTCCTTTACTGATAACAGCAAGTAAAAAAATGAAAGTCTCTTAGGTGCCCCCCTGAGGCCAGAGTTCAGCCCTACACTCCTGCCTCATTCCTTTTTCAGAGAATTTTCTCAGTTGAGCTCTGAAAATCCTGCAAGTTGGACAGAGTTCCCTTTCCATGAAGAGTCTCAGACCAAGTTGTTAATCTCCTTTATTTATGTTCATCTTTGGTACAGTTTCAAAGAATAATAACTGGCAAATTCCAAAACAGTGAATTTCTTAAATTTCCCTGCAGTTATTCCGAAGTTGGTCTGGCAGCTAGGTATAGGTAAATCACACTGTGACTTCTCTATCAATAAACAGAAAATGCACAGAAATAAATGCCAGAAAGACTGCTAGGAAGAACACTGGCAAACTATTTCAATACGCATTAGCCTTGTTGAGTGAATTTTTTATTTTAATGGGAAAGTCCATTCCTAATTTATGCCAGAGAAATTGCTGAATGTATCTACTTTTTCCAATTCCATGATCACTGCCCATGTATTGCTTCATCATAAATCAGCTGCTATTATGGCATTCTTCATTAATTAATCCATTGAACAAATATTTATTGAACACCTGCCATGTACCAGGAAAACATACACTGGTTCCTAAAGTCAGAGCTGTAAATAAAATCATCATGTTTCTGCCCTCCATGTGTTATGCTAGGTGTCCCCTCTTGAGGTGTCATTATTTTAAAAGGCATGTTTCAATGGGATGCCTTTTAGAATCTAAGACATTAATTCAATGTAGAAAAGAGCTATGGCTCTCTAATCAAAATATACAATCTATTGAAGGTTTCTACTGAGCTGTCAGTATCTACAGAGAGATTGCTATATCATAAACAAATACATATTAAGAACCAGCCTCAGCCATCACCGAACTCAGTAAATATCTAAGGTATGTCTTTGTGTGAACTTGTCTCTATTTACATGGCAATCAACTAGGATGTCACTAAAATGTCCCTTAAATACATGACTATATTCCAGTATCCCAATCTGTTGGGATCTCTCCCTGTAGAGACCACTTTCTGCCGCTCATGGGAGGAAGGGGTCAAGCTTTAAGAAACATGGTACCTCCTGGGCCAGAAATCCTATTCCCAACTCCAAAACTCATGGAGCAATGCAAGAATAGGTTGACTAAGAAAGGATCCTTTGGATGAGAGTACTTCCCAATCCAATCCACTTTCCTCCTCTGAAAACTTCCTGTCATTAAACAAAGTTCAGTGATTCGGGATCAAGTAGAATTATGTAGTGATTCTGGATCAAGTAGAATTATGTCTTAATTTCCCAAACTCCTACTTCTAGAAATTCACCTCTTACCAATGAGCAATGCCCCTATCTCCCTTGTAAGATTGATCACACTGCTTTGTAGTTACCTACTTATGTATTTCTCTTTCTTAATAGACTTTGGAAGTCTTTGAGAGCAAGGGTAATATCTTAGCTTTCTTTGAATCTTCAGTACCTATAACAGTGCCTGCCACACCCATGTATGCAGGAAATAAGTGAGCGAATGGGGATACCAGCTACCCCTTTGCAGAGAAAAGAATTCTACCACTGTAAGTAATCCTGCTTTTTATTGATCAAATGTTATGATCAGAATAACTCAGGAATTGTTGTGTACCCTTGCACATAGATTCATCCTAAATATTGGAATAAAATTATGTCCCAAGGAATTACTTAGGTTTACCCTAACTAGCTGCCAAACTATGGCAAATGGTATAATATTCTAATCTGTTGTTTTATCACTTATGAGTCAGGAGTTAAAATGCTAACGAAGGATCAAAGGATTCTCAATAAAGGCATTGCTAAAATCAGGTTTATATTCAGAGATTAAAAGCCATTCACTAAGAGCATTTAAAGTCAAGCAGTTTAGCATATATGAATTATAAGTTTAAATGTTTTACTGTTCACTAGGATGAAAAGGATATTTCATACATCCATTTGAGACATATATTACATTCACCAGTGGGGTAGATTTATGGCTTTGGCCAACTTGTGTTTTCAGGGTCACATATTTGCTGCTGTGCTATTAGAATTGGCATGGTGGACACAAGTTTTTCATGTCAATTCCGCTTCCTTAAAAGTGTCCTTCAGAGACACCAGTCTCTGGGCTTTTCCTCTCAAATAGTCAGTGTCCTCTTGCCTGGGAGAGAATCATAAGCCTGGGCATGATTTGGTAAATAAGTCCCATTTGTCCTTAGAAAAAAACCTTCACCAGTTGAGCATTGAATTTTGCATATCTTTTTTCCCCATTCCTTCTCATGAAAACACGGGTTACTCTGCATCCAACTTTCTCCAGAGAAGACTGAAGATACTACCACTTAATGACCACAAGGAAAAAAGTAACTAACTTCCTAAATGTCTACTGTGTGCTGCACTGGGCACTTGATGTATGTTGTTTCCTTTATTTTCCATGGCAGCCTTAAAAGAGTTCGGAACACTTGTCTCTGACTGCAAAGTCCATGGTTTTCCCCACCACCCCATAAATTATCCCATGAGTTGCACAAAATACATTGAGATCCTCTAACAGAAAGCACACTGCTGATACATAGAACGTGAGTCAGCCAAATCTAAAAAGCTGAGTCCTCCAAGCTAAATAGCCAGGTGAGATATGGTGGTGTAAGTGACCAGAGAAACTATGTGTCCAAACAAGTTCATGGAGCAATGGGTGGAGAGTCAGCTGGCTGCATGCCAGCTCTGCCACTTCAATTGTATAACCCTGAACAATTTACCTAATCTGAACTGAGCCTCACTTTTATTTACATCTGTAAAAGGAGAGCAATTGCTGCCATGCATATATGTCAAGTGGTTGTCGTGAGACCTAAAGGAGCTAATGCTTGTGAAGTAGTTACCTCCACCACTCTGAGAAAGAGGAAGGGACTGTTGTTATGTTCAGTTACCTGCTATTTGCCATACCAGATTTCCAGGGTTCTTTATTATAGGTTACATGAAGGCCATATGCTTCTTTTCCTCTTTATTGTTGTGTTTGCTTAAAAACAAGTCTTGGTATCACATATTTTTTAGCTTGATCAGCATGCATAATAAAATGGGGAAATATGTCAACAGCCTTTGATTTTTCTATTTGGGGAAAGATTTTTAAATGCCTTTGATTAGCATCTCTGCTTTGGGAATGACCTCATGTTTCTCAGGGTAATGTTTAGATACCTGAAGAGGCCCAGTTGTTATTTAAACACTGGTCCCCTCTTCCTTAACATCTTGTATTTTAAAGATGCTTGAGGAGTTAAAAGAGATGATATGCAATATGTCCTGCTATTCTTTAGCTTTTGAAAAAGAAATTTTCTGTAAGCTATTTAGTGAACCATTACTGAAGCTACATCTGTTGGCTTCATTTTATATTCAGCTTTGTGTTAAGGATTTTTGTTGGGGGCGGGGATAGGTTTCTTATTAAATATTGTGTGTGCACATGTGTTTTTGTATGTGCACACAATACACAAGCAGAGAGATGCAAACCCAGACTCTTTCTTGGAGCCAGCCTTGAATACAAAATTCCTACATGCATCATCTCATTGTCAAAACCTTTAGTTTTATTCATAAACCAATAAATATAAAACCTGCACAAGCAAGTTACAAGAATAGCAGAATCTGTGCTCCTAAGCTGCATTCACAGAATGATTTTTCTTTAAGGTTGGAAAAGGCTTCCAAAACAACCCTATATAAAGCAATGACTTCAAATTCTGCTTTGGGGAGAAACTCTACAGACAGGAGAGCTTGCTGGGGAAAGATTTTGAAAGTCACACTATTTTTTGAGCATCTACTATGTGGTAGATATTATGTTAGGCTATCGTTGCTTGTTTTGTATTTATTTTCTACAGCAACCTTCTGAGTGGCAGGTTATACTTCACACTTGACTAAGAGACAATACTGTTTAATCAAGGTCTTGCAATGGATTCTAAGGTACTGATCACAACTCTTCCCCCGACAAACAAGTTCATACATAAACAGGGGTTAGTAATTAAAATACTAGGCATTTTGTTAAGCAGAATTTGGGGGAAAAAAGAAGAAGAAAAGAAAAGATTACAACCAGCAACCAGAGTCAGATTATCAGATTTCCTTACTCCTTTCTAGTTCTACTCCAAGATTAGACATTGGGACCTACCAAAGGAGAAAGGGCTGCAGAAATGTGTGTAGTCAGACAGGATAGCTAGAGAACCAAAGGCCCTTCTCTCCTTTTCCCACCCATACCCCCAAGTGACAGAACCTGCTTCCAGAAACTTGCAATCTGGGGGAGCAGAAAATGCAAGCTTGCTATAGGCAGGCAGATCCCAGAGAAAAAGCCAAGGAGGAGAACTGAGTTATACTTGCTCACTGCTTATTTCCCATCTCACAGAATACTTTAGTTGGGGGTGGGAGGGACAAGTAAAGGAAGGGGTGGAGGGAATATCATCCCAACACTCATCTTCCCAAAGAACGGAGAGTCCCATTTTGTGGGACAAAGTAGGAATTGATGAGTCTTTGAGAGGGGGAAAATGGTTCCTTCTTCTACACAGTTAATAAGAGAGAGAACTTGAGTTTGAATTTAAGATCTCAAGTGCAATGACCTTCTACAATCAATGATTCATTACTCTAGGACACTTGTTCTCAAACTATGGTGTTTAGCAGCATCAGCATCACCCAGGATTTTGTTTGAAATGCAATTCCCAGGCCCCACACAGACCTACTGAATCTGAAACTCTAGGGCGAGACCCAGTAACCTCTGTTTTAATCATCTCCAGGTGATTCTGATGCATGCTCAAGTTTGAGAACCACTGCCCTAGAGATCTTTGTTGTTCCTTCAAACCTTCACATCTGTCTCAAACTGAGCCTGTTGAGGATGAGGTGTTTTCACTGTTCTCAACCTTTCAAAAGTTGTGACTGGGTACTTAGCAAGAGAAGAGCTGTCCTGGACCATTGGATAGAAATCTCCATTTACCCTCTGATTTAGTAATGAAGATGCTATTTTTCTTCCAAGTGAGTTTGAAGGATGAGGAAGGTGAGCATTCACAGAGTGAGGACAAGTGTGTGGGATGGGGGCCAACTGGCTCCTTTATTGTGCTTTGTTTTCTTCAACAGTGGCCCAATCCCAGCCCCCAGAATCTTGTCTCCAAAGCTTAAAATCTCATCAAATAATAGGACATCTCCTTTCCTCTTTCTGCAGTCCCAGCCCATAGCCTCTGAAGGATACCAAATAGGAAAAAGTGTCCCCAGTGCAAAGGATAAAGGAGTTTCTATCACTCCTCCTCTGTGTCACCCCCCACACTTCCTGCCCCCATCCCTCAGCAATGAGCTACCACAGAGGCAGAGAGTCATCCTGGCCTTTTCTACTCATCCCCTGCAATGTCTTGTTTCTGCCCTGGATTAAAATACCAATTGCCCTTGGGAAAAGGATCCTGATGTCTTACATTGCCCTTTTTTTCCTGTCCTCCTCTTGCTTAGAATCATGGGTTCAGAGCACTTGCTGAGATTTTTAAATTGTATTTTCAAAAACATTGCAGATGACCAGGCCCAGAGATAAATTTCACACCAAGGTCACAGGGTGAGCACTGCAGCCAAGGCTCCTGACTCAAGCTTCAGCTCTTCTTCCACTGCCCTTTACTGCCTTACCACATCTGCCTCCATCTCTTCCAAATTTTCTCTCTGGTGCAGGTCCAATCTCCTGGAGTTTCCAGATCCCCAATCAGGAATTCTCTCAGTCTGTTGTTACACTCAGAGGTCTTGGCCTCAAGTGGTGTCCCAAACTCTACAAAACAGGGTAGGAACATTCTCATAACCCTGAGCTATCAGGCAGAGCTTCCTCCAAAATTTGGATGTACAGATTGTACCCAAACCCAAAATGTTTCACAATCTGAAACTTTTTGAGCACCAATATGACCCTCAAAGGAAATGCCTATTAGAGCATTTCAGATTTCAGATTTTCAGATTTGGGATGCTCAACTGGTAAACATAATGCAAATATTACAAAATCTAAAAATATCTGAAATGGAAAACACCTCTGGTCTCAAGTATTTTGGATAAGGGATACTCAACCTATACTGCTTACATCTCTTTGGATTTTTCATATTATAGAAACCCAGCTATAAGTGGTTTTGGCAACAATTGAGATTTATTGGCTTAAACAATCTAAGCAAATGTTGAGCAGTCAAGCCATAGGAAAAGCAGAGACGTAGCTGGAATTCAGGAACAACTCAATCCCAGTGTGCAAACATTACCAAAGCTCTCTCTTTCTCAGCCTCCTGTCCCTGATTCTTTCTGTACATTGATTCCACTTTCTCTTGTTGAAAAACACTTCCTCCCTCCCCATACCAGAAACATACACATGCGATTTGTACTCTCTGGACTTCCACTATGGAAAAGGAACTGACAATTGTTGTCTGTATCCTCGATTCAAAAATACCAAGGAAGATCTCTGATTGGCATAGCTTGGGCCAAGTGCTCAATCAATTGTGGGTGTGGAGTGGCATGGAGGAATGTGATTTCCATGCTGGAACCACACAGTTCAGTTGGGAAGAACCAGTTGCAAAGCAGACACAGTAAGCCATCTTTCCTTATTTTCTCCAAAAGGTTGGGCTGAATAGCAAACCACAGGTAAAATCTCTGCTGCTTTGGAAGAATAAACTACTCACCTCTGAGAACATTAAGGAGACTTCACAGAAGTGAGGAAGGATGTTTCTTTCACCTTTCTGTGCTCACACTAGCCTGGTTCTGCAGGATATTCCCTCCACGTTACAATTCATTCGCCAAATATAGATTGTGCCTCCACCATAGACTAGGCACAGTTCTAAGCAATGGTAATAAGCAGAGAACAAAGTAGATGAAGTCCTGTTCTCATAGAGCTTACCTTCTAGTAGAGAAAGACAATGCTATGAGTTAAAGAATGCAGGATAGAGACATAGAGTGATATACCCCAAGGAGGTAAAATGATGATTTAGAAAGAGCTATGAGAGAATGCATCTCTGAGAGGCAGCATTTAAGCAGAGACCAAATCATCTGTGGGCTCAATGATTTTTATGCCCCTTTCCCGCAATAACATCAGCAGAACTCCAGCACTTGATCCCTTTATTTTTCAACAATAAAAATAAACTTAACCTTGATCTGAATCATATAGATCTGCTTTCCCATCATTTTCTCATTTGTCTCCCCAATTTCATGACCAGGCACACTTACAGCTCAAGGATACAGTGAGAGAAAAGAACTTCATAAAATCCAAACAGTCCACAGTGGCTGAAAATAAGGGATAACTGGTCCTCTGGTTCACGTCTTTCCTCCTCTGGCTCATTTTGCCTCCTATCATGACCATATTATGTGCACAGATATATGGATGAGCTGGGGCACCTATGGCCTGTGTGGGCTAAAGGGCTCAAAGATTAGAGCCAAACCAAAGATTCTGTCACAGGATATTAAACTGGGTGGTGAATTCCCATTAAGCCTAAGATTCCTTCCAGACCTGCTTAGGCCACATCCCATGTAAGCTTTATGAAAATATATGCAACCCAGAGGGAAAAGATATGAATGTGATTCCTTGACCCAGCCAACCGTAACATTTATCCTTGTCACAAATTTTCTTGGACACAGTGAAGGAAGGGAAAGGGAGAATCTCCTTCCTCTGCATTTACTAACCAAAACCCATCGTTCCATCAATCACAAAAAAGGCCCAGTGTAAAGCTGAGTTGTCTCTGGTCCATTGAGAAGGTAAGCATTAAGGGATGGCATCTAATTGGATAATGGGATGCAGGAAGGCATACAGACCCGAGAACTAGACCCTCTTCTGCTTCTCTCTCAAGGTGGAAGAACTGGGCCAAATATGCTGTTAGGCTGCAAGATTGTGCCTCTGGACCAGCAAATTTAGTTTCAAGATCACGTTCTCCCTCGACTTGTTCTATTCCCTTCTTGTCCTAGTATCTCAGGCGTCTGGTTTTCCTTCCTTTTTATTTCTTTAAGCTTGTTTTCAACTTTGTTTGCCTGCGTGTAGCTTTTTGTGTATTATTGAATTGGAAATTAGTCCTCCACCTTAGGGCTTGAGACTCATATGGGTGGCTCTTTTATGTGCTTTTTCCTCCCAACTCTATTAACAATTTTGGCCCAATGGATCACAGTTGGCTTCTCAGTGAAGCAGGCGAAGTTCCCTTAATCATTTCTGAAGTTCTCCTTTTGGATATGACAGGCTGGTAACTTAAAAGAACCATGTCCTACATAGATAGACTTAAGTTTTTTCAGGTCACTTACCAAGCAATTGCGTTGATTTATTCTGCGTCTGTTTAATGATCCTTGTTTCTTTTTTCTCAAATTGTTTCCCCACTATTATTTAATTTTTTTTTTTGAACTTCATCACAGTTCTGGAAAGGAAGATGATACAGAAACCACAGCCATTTTGCAGATATGAAAACTGGGACATAGAAATTTGACTGCCCTGGAAAAGATCACCTACTTATTTGATGACAGAGCCAGTTCAGGGATGAAGGTTAGCCAGATGTCCAGTTCCCCAATCTTGTTCTTAATCCATAAATGGAACACTAGTGCTCTATAGGCTTAATACTACCCACAAATTTATTTTATTTGGCTAGTACTGGATTTACAAAATCGTTAATCTGAAATGCCTTAAGGCAGGGTACTTCCTCTCCAATTTGCCGCAAAGCCTACCATTACTTATGCCCAAGGCATAATTTTCATTATTCTCCCAGCCCTATAGGCATTTGAGATTGCTTCCATTGCTTACAAAAGTTGTGCAATTTGTCATGGTTTTATGATCTGCCAGAATCAGAAATGGCTAGAAGTTTCTTGGGTTATTTTACCACAACTCTTTCCTATGAATGTCTTCTTGAGTTATGTCAGTATTTGGGGAAACACGATTAGACATATAAATTGCACTAAATAGACTATGGCTTTTGATCTGAGTTGAATTCAAGCAGTCTCAGATTTTTGTTCTTCCCATGGATCCCACTGGCAGTATGGTGAAGATATACTGAAGCCACTTTCAGAGTGATACTTTTTAATGTGTAAAATAAAATAACATAAAATAAAATAAAATAAATAGGGATTAGCTGGGCATGGTGATGTGCACCTGTATCCCAGCTATTTGAGAGGCCAAGGCAGAAGGATCACTTGAGCCCAAGAATTCAAGGGTTCAGCGGCCTTGAACTGGACCATGCCACTGCATTCCAGCCTGGGCAACATAGTGAGACCCTGTCTCTGCAGAAATAAAGTAAATTAGTTGGGCATGGTGGCATGCACCAGCAGTCCCAGCCACTCAGGGGACTAATGTAGGAGAATTGCTTGAGCCCACGAGTTTGAGGTTGCGGTGAGCTACGATCATGTCACTGCACTCCAGCCTGGGCAACAGAGCAAGACCTCATCTCTAAAACATAAAAATTAAAAAATAAAAATAAATACATGGGGACTATATAGGAAACCAATTTTATTGAAGTACAACTATTAAAATATTTTTAGAAAAACCACATTTGTGGTATAATATGTGTTTTTTAATTAAAGCATTAAATAACAATATTTAGTGGTAAGTCTAATAGCTACCATAATTTCAAAGTGGTAATGAGAATATCTGCTATTTTGAGATATCTGCAACAACTGTAAAATGATATGAAGACGTCAGTGTCGAGCTCTCCTGAATCCCTGTGGGTGGTGGGATGGAAGAAAACTAGTCAAGTAGAGGGAGGAGTGGATCCACATGTCATCCAGGTCCAGTGAAACTGGCTGGCCCTGAAGCAGTTATTTTTCTTGTATAACAAACCACCCCAAAACTCAGTGGTTTAAAACAGCAACCATTTCTTATTGTGTATGTGTCTATGGGCTAATGAGTTAGTTCTTCAGTCAATTGGTAGATTGGCTGGAGCCTGCTTGGTGTGTTCACTCCCATGTCTAGTGGTTATTGCTGGCTCTTGGCTAGGGCATCAGGGGCTGGACCACATGTCTCTCATCCAACAGGCTAGCCCTAGTGTTGGCATACAGACATGGTGGGAGTTACAGAGTTTCTCAAAACAGCAAGAGAGAACAAGCCCCAATGTGCAAGTACCTTCCAAGTCTTTGTTGAGGCTACATTTGCTATTATCTCATTAACCAAAGTAAGTCACATGGCCAAGCACAGAGTCAGTGTGGAAGGGGGATTATGGATTTTGGGAGGGGAATTATGCCAACTATATTTACAAAAAATCAACCATAGTTCCCACCAATCTTGGGAGCATAGGTCAGAGAGAGCCCCACCTCTGCCATAGATAGATGGCCTCTGCCCATCCATCCTGTGGCTACACATCTTCCACTAAGTTCCACAAACCAGGAAACTTAGACCTGGCTTATTAGTACCCTGTCCCCATAGACCTTGGAGCCCTCAAGTTTAACTTTGGATATCCTTGGTTCAAGAGGGCACCTGAATATCTAGTTGCATCTCTCCAAGGTAACTAAGGAATCATAGACCCAGGTATCTGATCAATTCAGCAGGGAAGTCAAAGGGGAAATTTTCTCCTTTGAACATTGAGGATAAGTAAACTTTTCTGGATTCAAACTGGCAGGGTGGAGCAGGAGGGGATCAGCATCTTATTGTTTTATGGTAATGTTGCTTTATCTGTAATTTCACTTGAGCCTGTCTTGGTAAAGACGATTGCATTTTAAGTTTTTTCCCTGTCTCTCCAGAAGTGCCCTCTGTTTAAGCAAATTCTACCTTCTCATCTAATTACAAGAGCTACCCATAATGTTAAAAACAATTCTCTGCCAGTCCTCTGCCCAATGAGCACTTTGGTAATGGGAACACAAGGGAGGAGGCAATGGAAAAAAACTCTGAAGGCCTTTCAGCTGTGTTGCCGCGTCATGGAAAACAAGCCAAGCAACTGCGTGGAAGCCTCGCAGCAGGTCCCACCAGAGCCTTCTTAGCGATTCCAGGGATTAGCAGGGCACGGCTGACTCACCCAGCTGCCTAGCCAGGCACTTCCATAGGGCATTCTGATACCTGGCTGTACATTTGCTCGACTCACTTCAGATATCAAATAGAAGACCCCTAAAGATGAGGCCCTGGGCAGAACTGTCTGTGTCAGTTCCTGCACCAGCTTCAGTTTACTGAGCCTCCAAAGGAAAATACATAAATAAATAAATAAATAAATAAATAAATAAATAAAGGCTTCTAAATTCTTTGGTTGGAATGCTGTCCTAGGTTGAGCCCTCCCAAAAGCAGATCCTTAGTGAAGGACGAGGGTGCACATATTTTATTTGGGTGGTGATCCTAGGAAGCGCTGATGGGGGAGTGGAGAATCTAGACAGGGATTCAAAGAAAGTCAGTACAGGGGGCACTCATGAGCAGTTTGCCAGCTGCTGGGGCTCAGCCCAGCCAGGGACCTCTCTCAGAGAGAGTGTACAACATGCCTGGATTGCCTAACCTGAAAGGCAAGGAAGCTGGAGTATTATGCACCAACTCCCATCCTTCAGTGGCTAAGGGCTGTTCCCAGAGTGTAAACTTGCACCCAGCCCTGCAGGAGACAAATTCTACACCTCAGATTGGAGAAAATCCTAAGGCAATGAGTCTTGCCTCACTCACAGTAGAGGCACTAGCAGAAGAGGCCTTCAGAATACACAGAAAAGGCGAGTGCCAAGGGTATATGGTGGGCACCAACTGGCTGCTAGAATTTTGCCAACTGTTATCACCAGACACCCCAAGTATCACAATGGCTGTCTCCAGCTTTGGCACATTGATAGCTCGGACCTTCATTTATTCACTGGGTCCCTAGTGGGTACCATTCATTCAATATCTGTGTGCCAGGTACTGAGATAAAGTTTTTTCATACATCATCACATCCAGTTCTCAGGACAACATGCAGGGTATTATTAGCTTCATTTTATAGCTGAGAAAACCGAGGTACAATGAGGTTAAGTAAATTATCTTAAGTCCCTCAGCTTAAAAATAACAAAGCTGAGATTCCCATCCAGAGCCACTTTAAAGCCCAAGCTCTATCCACAGCAAGCTTCACCCCAATTAGGTGAGGAGTATTTTCTCCTGCTGAGAAAAGGCCCAGCCATGTCCAGCCCCCATACCACCATTTCTCCTGAATCCTTCTCTTCCTTTCTGGTCTTTCCTGTTCCTTTATCTCTTGTTTTCAGGTTGGCTCCATGGAATTAACTGATGTCCCTTCAGTGTTCTAGATCCTTTCTTGGGTAAGTGGGCTATCCCTCTTATCCTCCAGACCTCCTTACCCTAGGGGCTGGGATCACTGTCTGCATACTCAAGACATCTTTGAATCTCCAAGTCCTTAAACACTCTCCAACTCATACCCACCCACCCATGATCTGGTCTCGTTCCACCCACACATGGCAGGTGCTTTGGTGGATTCTACTGATTCTGGCATTCTAGTGGGGAAGGAATCATGGAACCATTTCTTTGTAGCATCTTGCAGGTTTAGGACTGATCTTACTGGTGGGTCCCAAGCAAATTGAACTGCTTGATTTGTACATAAGCATCAGGCCACAGTGTAAGCCCTGATTTACTGTGGTTAATATTTTAAAACTAAGATAGCATGCAGCAAGGACTAAGAGAGGGAATAATTAATTCTAGCCTGGCAGCGAGGGAGTGGGAGGGAGGTGGCAGCTCCTGCAGTCTCAGGGGGGCTCCACAGTAATAAACAAAACTGTAGCTTCCAGGTGGCAAAAAATATAAGGGGAATGGATGGGTGCAGAAGGATGCTGTGCAACTCTATTTTAGAGTCAACATATCCAACTTCATGAGGATCATACTATTATTTCAAAAAGAATATCAATAGGTTGGGCGTGGTGGCTCATGCCTGTAATCCCAGCACTTTGAGAGGCCGAGGCAGGTGGATCACATGAGGTCAGGAGTTCAAGACCAGCCTGGCCAGCATAGTGAAACTCCGTCTCTACTAAAAATAAAAAATTAGGCATGGTGGCAGGCATCTGTAATCTCAGCTACTCAGGAGGCTGAGGCAGGAGAATCACTTGAACCTGGGAGGCAGAGGTTGCGGTGAGCCGAGATCATAGCACTGCACTCCAGCCTGGGCGACAGAGCAAGACTCCGTTTCAAATAATAATAATAATAATAATAATATCAATAAAGCATCAATGCTGGCACCATCTCTGGTGGGGACTCAGAAGCCACTATCAGTGAGTAGCAGATTCTCTCCATCCAACACAGGCCAAAAACAAAAAATAAAGTTAGACCACAACATAATGTGACAGAGGTTGTTGATGGAAAATGCCCTGGTATAGATTAGGGAGCATTAATTTTATACACTGGTTCCAAATGGAGCATTTAAATGACAAAATCTAAAGTGTTTTATAGAGAAGGAAGAGTAGGGGGCCTCGAGTCATTCAAACCTCATTTTAAATCCCATCTTAGATTCCAACTCCAGGTTCTTTTGAACCACTGAGTGTGCCGTGCCACCTCTGTGGCTGTAGACAATAGTCGAATTTCATGCACACATATATGAAATTCACATAGGTGATATTTCAGGTAATGTAAGTGCTCTGAAGACAAATAAAGTAGGAGGAACAGAGAGAACGAAGGAGATACTATATTTGGACAGAGTGGGCATTCATCTAAGAATTTTGGCTTTGGAACACAATTGAATTCTTTCTTGGCCCAAGCCTGTAGATCTTTTTAAACTACAAAGTAGACTTCATTTGGTGGCTGCAGGCAGGTGTACAAGCAGGGGAGAATTATTTCAAAAAGTCATTACAAATTTCACATGCTCCCATGCACTAACTGAGCGCTCTATGCATATGAAGTCATTTGCTATTCACTCTGCCAAATGCAGTAGGTAATCTCAACATTTCCACTTACAAATGGGGAAACTGAGGTTCTAAGAAGTTACAAGGAATATGCCCAGAATATGGAATATGACCATGCTAGTCAGTGGGGTGGCCATCCCTGGAACCTGCATGACCTTGGGGCAACGCTTCTGTGCTACTCCACAATGTCCCATGAGCCCTCCCTAAGTAGAGGAGCAGAGGAGGACAAGACAGGGTAGAAGCCCCCTGACTTTGGGGAGGCAGCAGCAAGAACCTACAGGGGCCTTTCTGGAACCCGGGTGTATTCATTAGCTATTGCTCTGTAACAATATTACTGCAACCCCAGTGACTTAAAGCAACACACATTTCTTATCTCGCAGTTTTTGGGAATCACGAGTCTGGGCCCAGCATGGCAGGGCTCTCTCCTTAGGGTCTCCCAAGGCTGCTGTGCAGGGGTCAGCTAGGGCACATTTTCATCTGCAGCTTTCTCCACTTCCAAGCTCATTCAGGTTGTTTGTAGAGTTCACTTCCTTGCATCACCCTGAGGGCCCTGTTTCCTGGCTGGCTGTCATCCAGGAATCATGCTCAGTCCCTTACCACGTGACCCTCTTGGGGCAACTCACAACATGACAGCTGACTTCAAGCCCAGCAGAAGAATCTCTCTCTTCAGGAAGGGCCGGTCCTTCTTTTAAGGGCCTTCATCTGATTAAATCAGGCCCAACCCAGGCAATCTCCTTTTTTACTTATCTCAAAATCAAGTGATTGGGAGCCTTAATTATACACGCAGGATCCATTTACGTTTCCCTAATATCATAGCTAATCACAGAATGGCATCCTGTCATGCTCACAGGTGCCCCCCATGCTCAAGAGAAGGAGATGATAAAGAACTTGGGCACCAGGGCACAGAAATGCTGGGGGTCATCTCAGCATGGCACCCTGCATGCCAGGAAAGCGTGATCCTGCTTCCTTCTGCCATTCTCCATGCCTCCCTCCAAGGCTGCAAGTGTTCCTGCCCTACAGAGAGCCTTGGTCCACATCACACAGCCAGAGGCCTTCCAAACGAACATTTCTTAGCCGCCAGGCCTCGTTCTGAACTGGGTAATTGTGATGTTTGCAGACCCATCCACCTGCCTGAGTTGGGGCCTACATGCATTGTTCTGATCATGATTGCCTCAATCTACAATCATCCCTCCAGAGGAGGCTAGGCTCGCAGAGCCCTGGAAGAGCAGGCAGGGGGCTCTGGAGCATTCAGTCTTTCAGTGTTTGCCATTAGCGACCTGGGGAGTGATGCGAATGGCTTCAATTGCTCCGTGGAGCCAGCAATCACAGCAGGCTTTGGGGGTCCCTGACATGAGCTGGAGAAAAGCCTCTGTGAAGCAGCTGCCAGGGTAATGGAAATGCCCTGCTGCCTTGCTGCGCTTCCATGGAGCTGGGCAAGAGTCTAGGGCTGCGTGCCCTGCTCAAGAGAGGCCCAGTGTGAACTGCAGGGCCGACATGGGCTTTCCTGATGAAGCTGTTCTTGCGCCGAAGAGAACTGCAGAGGCCTTGGCTGGGAAGGCAGGAATCAGTATGGGAGGGCAGGGTGGGTGCAGTGGGGGAAGTGAGGGCAGCATCTGTGTTCTGTGATTCACAGGCAACCTAGCAGTGTCTCCTGAGCCTCAGAGTGCATGGGGTGGCTCCGTACCCCAGCTGCTCATCACCCTCATCATCTTCATCATGCACAGTTGCAGCCCCCGGGTCCATCAATATCCCCTCCTCCCTCTTTCTGCCACTCCCCATGTATTTACTGAGCATCTATTACATGCCTAGTGCTGCTCTGGGCACTGAGTAAACAGGGGTGAACATGCCAGGCAATATTTCCTCTCGGGGTGATTAAATTTTAATGGGAAGGGGCAGACATCAGTCAGACAGATGGACAAGAAAAATATCAGATGGGGATGGTGGCTAAGTAAGAGATTGAAATAGGGTGAGGTGGTCGAGAGAGACGGGTCAGGGAAGGTCTCTCCAAGGAGGAGATGTTTATGCTGAGGCCTGATGACAAGAACGGCCAATCATGAGATGGTGTGATCAGGTGTTGCAGACAGTTCATGCCAAGCCTGAGGCAGGGGCAAGGTGGGTGCTTTCAAGACACAGCAATAGGCTGATGCTGTTGGAGAGAAGCGCAGAGGAAAGTGAAGTGTTAGGAGGGAGCCAGGTTAGCCAGGGCCTGCCAGCCTGCAGAGGAGACTGGCTTTTGTTCAAAGAGCCCTGGGGAGCCCTTGGAATTGTAACACGGAGATTGATACCATCTGATTTATCTTTCTACAAGATACTCTGGATTGGAGTGTAGCAAGGAGGTGGCTGCAGCTCCAGAGTATGACTATGGGTGAAGCAACCTAACCCAGGGAGGCAGCATTCCTTACTAGGGGATCCCTACTGGACAGTAATGGCCAGCGGGTGCGCACCATGGGAGCTGCTGGAGAACCCTAACTGCTGTCTCCACAGTCTCCGCCTGGAGCAGAAGAGAAGCTGATTCTAAGTCTGTTCCTAAATGCAGCAGAATGTATACGCAAGTGAGGAAGGATTCTCAAGTGAAACCTATGTAAGAAAGTGAGGGGGAAAGAATGGGGCGGGAGAAAGAAGCAAGCAAGGATGTGGTTGCAGCTGGAGACTAGCATCAGCTGATCCCAGAGGAGCCCTGGAGTGTGGATTGCATCACAGTTACTGCTGCCTTGACACTCGGAGTGCCAGGCTTTGGTAGCCCTGAACTGGTCAGTCATTCCAGCACAGAGTGGAGGTGTTAGAAACTCCCAGTAGGGGAGGGGGTTCCTGTGTCTCAAGGGCAAGGCTCAGGAGAAGTCACAGTTATAAACTCTAAGCCATGTGAAGCCTGGCATCTGGGGAACAGGTGCACTTGCTAGTGGAAAGTAACAGGAATCTGGGCAGAGCACCTCCAGCATCTGTTATAGTGGCCACGACTTTACTGAGAGAGGAGAGGGAGGATGCCTAGACTAAGAAAGTGTCCTGCTGCAAGAAAGCACAGGACCCACATTTCTAAAAGCAAATGAGCTAACAGGAGGCCTGTTACAGGAGGAACCTCTCATTGCCTACAGATGCTCTCCAAATAGTCAGCTCCCAGTATGCACTTAAAATAGGGATCAATTTATGGGCATTCCATTCATCCAGCTTCCCAGGAATAAGTTCATTGCATTCTGGAAGGTTATATCTAAATATCCATTTAGCCAGCATAAAAGGAGATTAGGATTAGGTGCACTTAATCAGTACATTAGAATCTTCTACCAAAGGTATCTGATCCTGTTTCTGAGAATAAATGCAGAATAAACATGGCCTATTAGCAAGGAGTGGCTCTTCCTGTCCCCTGCTCTGTGATTGCAGAGAAGAAACCAGTAGCTAAGAAGTAGGGCCGCCTAACAGCTGCTTCTGTGATGGCCACAGCTTTGCTTAGGGGCACTGGCTTTACCGTTCAGCTGTGTAGCTCTTTAGAATGTAGATCAGTGGTTTCCAGACCTTGCCTGCACATCAGAATGCCCTGGGATCTTCTAAAAATCCAGAAGCCCAGGTCGTATCCTGAACCAACTGAATTACAATCTCTGGGAATACTTTTTAAATAAACTTTTTATTTTGAAATATTTTTAGAGTTACAGAAAAGTTGCAAGGGTGGTATACCTCTCACCCAATTTCCCCCATTGTTGAAACCTAACATTATCATGATACATCAATTACAACCAAGAAACCAACATGAGTACATTACTATTAATCGACCTCCAGACTTCACTTGGATTCCATCAGCTTTTCAATTAGTGTTTCTTTTTTGTTCCAGGACCAATCTGGGGCACCACATTGCATTTAATTGTCATGTCTCCCCTGTTTTCTTTAGTTTGTGACAGTTCCTCAGTCTTTCTTTGTTGTTCATGGCCTTGAGAGTCTTCAGGAGCATTGACAGGGATCCTGTGGAATGTCATCCAATCTGGGTTTGTCTATTGTTCTTGTAATGGAACAAGACTAGGGTTGTTAGACTCGGGTTATGGGTTTTTGGAAAGAGTGAAGCTAAGGTAAAGTGGCCTACTCATCATTTCATGTCAGGGGATACAGTAGATCCATATGACATTACTGGTAATATTACGCTCCGTTATTTGGTGAAGGTCATATTTGCCAGGTCTCTCCAATGTAAAGTTAGTATTTTTCCCTTTCCCTATTCTAATCTTTGACTGAGTCTAGCTCACTGTCAAAGTATGGCGTGTGTAGAGGTGGGTGGAAATCAGTCAGAAATCTATGAGACACATTTTTATGGCCACCAAACTATCTTCATCTCTTTGCCTTAGTTCCCAATCACTGTTTGCAAACTTTCTCAAATGATCTAGGACTTTGCAGACCCCTCAGTTCCCTGGGATTGAGACAGCACTTCCTGACTGTTACCTTGGGTAAGTTATTTAGTTTTGTCTCAGCCTCAATTTCCTCCTCTGAGAAATGGGTATTGGTCAAATATCTGTTTCTAGGAGTTATTGCCATGACTAAGTTAGATAATGCCTATAAGGTTTTGACTATGGTGCAAACATTCAACAAATGTTCACTATCAATCATGTTAATAGTCGTGGTAATAATTGCCTTCATTACTCTGACCTTGTGTATCTGATCTCTAGGGCCACAATAATGCACCTCAGTGACATAAACCAGTAAGTTAGAACTTACATTTGGGAAAGAGAGACATATTATAAAACTAAATCCACCAGGTTTATTTATTATAAAGAAACACTTAGCACTTACTATATGCCCAGCACTGTTCAAATCATTTTTATAAATATTAACCCATTCCATCTTCATAAAAAGAATTCAAGGTAGGAACTATTATCACTGTTTTACCCATTAGGAAACTGAGGCACAGTGAGGTGAGGCAGCTTACCTAAAGGCACACAGCCAGTGAGTGGCAGAGCCAAGATTTGAATGTAGGCAGTTCGACTTCAGAGTCTACACTTGTAACCACTACATGATGCTATGTGGGATAAACAAGAAGTATAAACTGTGTGAGACTGTGTGAAAGGTGACTGGGTCTCATCAGGAGCAGGAACCCAGTGAGACATAACATCTGCTAAATCTTTTTTGTTTCTTTCTTTCTTTCTCTCTTTTTTTTTTTTTTTGAGATGGAGTCTTGCTCTGTCACCCAGGCTGGAGTACAATGGCATGGTCTTGGTTCCCTGCAACCTCCACCTCCCAGGTTCAAGCGATTCTCCTGCCTCAGCCTCATGAGTAGCTGGGATTACAGGCACGCGCCACCAAGCCCAGGTAATTTTTGTATTTTTAGTAGAGACGGGGTTTCACCGTCTTGGTCAGGCTTGTCTCGAACTCCTGACCTCAGGTGATCCACCCACCTCGGCCTCCCAAAGTGCTGAGATTACAGGCATGAGCCACTGTGGCTGGCCATCATCTATTAAATCTTAAGCAAGCATATGCCAGACAGGAGAGAGGGGCCAGGGTTAGGAAAAGAGAGCTGAGGTGTTTGGAAAGATTGCTAAGGAACCTCCCAGTCTAGTGTGGCATCCTCTACAAAAGCCAGCTGGTATTAAGCATTCTCCCCCAAAGCCAACTAATATTAAATTTTCTTTCAGAGAAATATCTCATTCTCTCTCTCACTGTCTATATCCTGCTCTCTCAATTTCTGAATGTGCCCTTGGGAATTCAGACGGTCTTTGGTTTTAGGGAGGTTGGAGCTGGCAGGGTGTCTCTTTCAATAACTGGAACTGATCGCCGGTATAAAAGAACCTGGACCACTCAAAGCACATCCTCATGCTGTGTCTTCCACAGTCAACATCAATCCACCCTCCTTCGCTTTTAGGTCAGGAGTTTCGTAAGGCAAAGGAAGTTTCTGATTGGGAGAACTTAGATTAGCCATCAAATTATATTTGGGGTAAGTGAATGTTCATTTCAAACTGGGGGGTCTAAAAAAAGTTTTGTTTCTGGGGCAGTGTGGGTTTCAAAGTATCGCATTTACAGTTTCACCCCGGGCGTGTGCCCAGATCCAAAGTCTTGCATCAGAATTCAACTACAAACTTCTGGGCGACAGAAATGCTATCTTCATCTTATACACACACACACACACACATACTGACAATTCCCACACAATAAGTGCTCAACATGTGTCTTAAATGAATCTACAATTAGACTTATGATAAGGTGCCATAACTTGCTTATTTGTCACTGCATCTGTATTTGAAATCCCAAGAACACATGTAAATCATAAGCTTTGTCCTTTCCTTTGTCCCATCTTGTCACCATATAAAATTATCTTTCTACCTCCAAAATTGGCAGGGAGGAAAAGCATCTTAATTCACTTCATGACTGAAATTTTAAACATACCTTTACCGAAGTCTGAGACTTCAAAGCTGTGTGCCCTTCAGCCCAGGTAACTAGTGAGTGTCCTCAAGCATTGACATTATTTAATGGAATTCATTTTATGCCTGAATATGTTGACTCCACTTCTGTCTAAAGTCTGCTGGGAAAACTTGGAATTCCAGTGGCTTCACGGAGAGCATATTGATTCTAAGCTGAGTCTGAGCTATTTCTGAGCCATTATGTTTCAAAGACAGGGTCTCACACTGAATTTTCCTGGTTTAGAGTAAAAGAGAAGATGGTGTGGGTGTATGCGTGTGTGTGTGCACGTGCGTGCATTCGTGTGCGAGCGCATCCTGCACACATCTGTGCATGTATGTGAGGTGAGGGGAGAAGGTGGAGAGAGAGATAAAAGGGGGTTGGCCTATTTATTGAGAGGGAGGGGAATTGCACTTACAAGGTTCTCCTTATCAATGAAGACAGAATGATTGGCCGAGCCCAGGAAATTTTGACGTTTATCTAAAACGTCTTATGGAGAAGAAAGAAAAGAGGCAAACCACCCTGACAGTGGCAGGGGAATGAGTCCTATGGCTACCCACCATCCCCAGGGGCTCATCAGTACCCCAGCCCTCAGCCACAATGCACACACAGCCTCAGTGAAAACTACATGCTTGCTAAAAAACTCACTTTGCAGACAAGTCTCCTAAACTTCCCACCAAATTGCCACCTTTTAATTTCACAGCCCCCTTGAAATCCAGAAAGAATAGATGTGCCCTTCAAGTGGAGAGAGAAGGACAGAAGAGGAGAATAAATATCACTAATATTCATTCTAAAGATGTGTTCACCAGCCGCTGGGTACAATATTCCTGTTAGGGCTCACATCGTTGGGCACAATATTTGTTGAGCATTTATTGTGTCCAGGCACTGTCCTGCATGTAGTTGCAATTTAGCATAAAGGTTAACAGCCTGAGACCTAGGGGAAAGTTATTTAACTTTCCTGTTTCTCCATTCTTCATGTGTAGAAAAGGGGTGATGATCATAACATTGTTATGAGCACTGACACACATAAAGAAGTTAGACACTGCTTGACATGATGTGAGTGATTCACAGATGTCAACTATGGTGTTTCTAAGCATGAAGATGGCCTCATGCGTCCAGTTAAGATCCATGTGACCCAAAAGTTAGAAAAGAACTGGCAATTTCTCGATGGCAAATGCAAACATCTTTTTTACTTCTTAAAGGATTTGGGAAGCTGCAGAGAGCACCCTAGTTCTTCCCAGAAGGCTGCCCCTGAGCTCTTATACTGATGACCAACAACAGAGTGGTCAAGTGGTGCCACCAACAACCACTTGTTCTGATCAGTGATGACATTTAGGGCCGGCCCTGTAGCAAACTTTTTTCTGGCTCCTGAAATGAAATGAGATGACGAGATTTTATTTCACCAGTGACATTCTTCCTGTCCTAGCCCACAACTTCAGTATTCCCTTTTAGACCAACACAGGCATTAAACTGGAAATACATTTCAGCTTTGATAGAGGAAAAGGCTAAGAATAGAATCATTGGTTGTTCCTGAGATGCCATGTGAAAAATTTAGATTAAGTCAGGCTTCCTTTTTTCCTCTTGGCCTATTTTCTTTTGGTAAAGGATGTGAAGAGAGCACCTTCCATGACTGATGCGCCTTCCAAGCATGCTGCATTTCTGCTCTACTTGCTGCCTGCTGCTTACTCATCCTGATAGTCCAACTGTCTCTAAAACTCCTAACATGAAAGAAGAGAAAAGAAATTTGACTGCAGGGTATGGAGGGCAGAGCTCGGAGAGAGGATGATGGCACGAAAGCAAACTTTTGAGACATACTCAGTAGGTCAGTTAGCTTTTGCTTTGTAACAAATGACCCTCAACTTAAAACTTAGAGGCTTCAAACAACATTCATTTATTTAGCTCATGATTCCATAAGTCAGCAGTTTGGGCTGAGTTCAGCTGGACTCCCTTTGTAGTCTGTTGCTGGATCAGCTGGAGGGCTCGTTGGTTTAGAGTGCCTTAGCTAAGATGATTTCTCTCTGTTCCACAGGGTGTATCTCATGATCCATTAGACTAGCCTGGGTTTGTTCACCTAATGGTTGCATGGATACAAAGACGGATGGAGAACACTCCAATCTAATCATGTTGAGCCCATGCTTATGAGATAATGAAACCTAAAAAGTTGTTCTCCCCAGCTGAATTGCATGGGAATTATCAAACACACATGTGTGCACAGAAGCCAACAAAAAGTATACTTGGCTTTAAGGATAAGGGTACAGGGTGCAGGGAGACCCGGGAGACCCATAAAATAGTTTATAGCCAACCCCAACACCTCATGTAATTTTGCTGTTAACATTTTCCCTCCTTCAATGCAAATTATTTTATAGTGTTTTTTTCTGATTATAAAAGTAATTCGTGTTAATTGCAGAAAAATAGGCCAAGAGGAATATAACAAGGAAAATATAATTAACCATAATCTCATGTGCAGAGGCAATAATTATGAATAATTATTTTATTATACATACGGCATAACATGACCTTGTTTCTATCTATATTTAAATATCCAGTAATACCATTTGTTATGTGCTATATGTCAGAATGTCTGCTAACTGCTTTATATGTATTAATTCATTTAATCCCCACAACAACGATCATTTTTGAGATGAGGAAAATGGGGCACAGAGAGGCTAGACATCTTGCCTGGGATCACACAGCAAGTAAGTAGTAGAGCCAGCATTCAAAGTAGTGCAGCCCCACTCCTCAGAGCATTTTTGACCCTTAAAATCTGTACTATTGATCCACATCCAATGTTACTCAAACATTAGTGTGCACTAGAATCCCCTGAAAGGCTTGTTAAAGCAATTTGCTGAGCATCATTTCCAGATATTATGATTCATTTGGTCTGGGGCCTAAGAATTTGCATTTCTAACAGACTCCCAGGTGAGGCTGATATTACAGGTTCATCAACCACTCTGCGAATAACTCTGGTCACAGCAGTGTCAAGGTATGTACTGTTAATTCCGCTTCACAGATGAAAAAACAGAAGTTCAGAAAGATTCGATAAATAGGCCATGGACACACAGCTTGTCAAGTCTATGTTATATCCATTTTCCAGTTTACTCTCATGGAAAACAATAACAGCCAACGTTTACTTCATTTGATAGCTCGTGCCTTTCTTCTGGTGAGGCTATAGTGCTAAGGAGATAGTTCAGAAGTTAGATGCAGCCTCTCTGAGAGCCAGGTTTTACTGGGAGGTATGTGGATTGCAGCCACGCATTTGTTTGCTCATTCATTCAATCCCTTGGCAAGGAGCCCTAGCTGGGAAGCCCCATCGGTGATGGTTGGTGGTAGGATTCCTGCCCCCAGCAGCTTCCACATGCTGATACTGAAGTGACTGTTTCTGACTGAAGGAATGACAATCTCATCAAGTGAAGTATGAACAGAAAAAAAAAATGGCACAAAGATGTTACCTTTTGAAGCTATTGACGGGAACCTGTTCCAAAGACCTCTGTGCTATTTTCTAACAGCAAAGAGACTGGTATTATTTTGGCGGGTTCCTTACAAGAAAAAAAATAACCCTCCTGTGATGGCAGAGCCTCTGTGATGTCTGCCTAGATGGAGTGTAGCTTTTGCAGCCATGTAGGACCAGCTTGGAGCTCTCTGGGTGTCCATCCTTCCTGCTCAGTGTGGGCCACAGACAATAGCATCACTGTGCAACTTGATAGAAATGCTGATTCTAAACCCCACCACAGGCTGACTGGACTAGAATCTCTAGATTTGGAGCCCAGGAATCTGTGTTTTAATAAGTTCTCCAGGTGATTTTTAGAAGCCCTAGTCTAACAAGAACCCTGCAAAGCTAATTATTTTGCTTCCCAAGGAGAACAGCTAACCCTCTGGAAAGTTAAAACCCTTTAGGTCTAGTGTTAGACCTAAAGGTCTACTCTTCTCAAACTTTAGTGACCATCAGGATCACCTGGAGAGCTTATTAAAACATAAATTCCTGGGCCACACCCTCAGAGATTCCAATTCAGCGGATCTAGGGTGGAGCTCATGAATATGCATTTCTAGTAAGTTCCTGCATATGCTGCTGCTGCCTGTCCTGGACCACATTCCTAGACTCCTTTAGCAACATCCTTCTTAAAGAAAAAAAACTGATTGCAACTGTCAGACCTTTTCAAGATCTCTGTTTCCGTCATTCCCTTTCAAAATTATATTTTCTTATTTAGGGAACTCAGTTTCTTCAGAAAACTACTTACTTTTTAAACTTATTTTTCAATCAAAGTCCACAAACTATGTTAAAATAGAACTGGTTCTGGTCGTCCAGGGCATTTCTGAAAGAGCTTGTTGAGTGTAAGTAAATGGAAGAGGTATGGTATGGCTTCATGATTTCCTGTTCAGGAGACTTTAATCACCTTCCATCTGCTTAGAACCAGAGCTCTCATGATACACATTGTGGGGGACTAAATTTTCTGAGCACATTAGTCAAGCCCTGCAAAAATGACACCCAAATGATCACAAGTGGTCTCCAAGTCCCCTGAGGAAGAAACCTTAAAGTATTTATCTCTAGTCTCAAAAACCCTCAGTATCTTAACCCACAGTCTCTAGGATGCTAACGCTTAATGGGCAAAGTATGTAAAGAATTTTTTAAATTACTCATTGGACTCTCCTGTAAGTATTAACATGCTCAAATTAATTTGATATATATTGCCTTAAATAGTCCAAGGAAGATTGGTGCCAAAAAGCTTCATGAAACAATTAAAAAACACACACAGTCATGTGCTATGCATTTTGATCAATGATGGATAGATGGGTGGTCCCATAAGATAAGAATACCAGATTATTACTGTACCTTTTCCAAGTTGAGATATCTTTAGATACGCAAATACTTACTATTGTGTTATAGTTACCCATAGTATTCAGTACAGTAACATGCTAAACAGATTTGTAGCCTGGGAGCAATAGGCTATACCATATAGCCTAGGTGTATAGTAGGCTATCCCATCTAGGTTTGCCTAAGTACACACTATGATGTTTACACAACGATGAAATCACCTAATGACGCATTTCCTAGAAGGTATCCCCATCGTTAAGTGACGCATGACTGTATACTCCAATTTAAGATCCCAGCACCATGTCAAACAAAAAATGTTATAAAGATGTGTGAGACATGATCCTTGCCCTCACAATTATTTACTTGCTGCTTTCTGCATGGTAGGCACTCAGACTAAAAGGATGCTGGTGGAGTGACCTGTCAAACACGAATGTACACAGTATTTTTGTCTCCAGGAGAATTTGTGCTTCAAGGAGAATTTGAGGACCTATCACAGTTTCCTGGGGGATAGAGATGACATAGAGGCCAAAGTAGCATGAAGCAAGAAATACTGGGAAGGATACCTGAGAACCACACAGGAGTCCAAAGGCAGCCTTGGTCCAAGCTGCCAGCCTACTCCAGGAGATGCCATTTGTTCAGAATTTTGAAGGCTGGATGGAAGGCTGGAAAAGGGTTGAGGGATGATATTATGGCAAAAGAAATAGCAGACATTGGAAGGATTACAGTAAAAGTAAGTAGGGAAGCATTTTCATCAGGCATGCTCCTGAAGGAGCAATGATTAATAAGCATGAGATCTGATCCCTTGGAAAATGTTAAACAAACCTGTCCTACCTCCAAAAAGGAACACATAAATCTATTTGAATGGAGCCATGTTTGCCCTTGTGATTAAAGCAGGCTAACCTTTCCTGGGTGGCTTTTGTCTTTCCTTTTTGTTATTCATGAGATCTTCTGTTTTCATCGTATATCCCCTCAAGGTTCTAGGTAAATGAACTACAGGCCCAGAAAAGCTTGTTTGCCTATCATATGTTCCTCCTAGAAAGTGAATTTATGGAAATTTTGGATATTTGTGCAGCTACAGAAAAGGAAATCTCAAATCTGGGGAGATGGAAAGAACAGGAACCTAGAGAGACTTGAGGCACAAATTCTCTGTACATTTGTGTTTGACAGGTCACTCCAGCAGCACATGCCAAACCAGGATGAGCAAAGTTCATAAGCTTGCTTTCTTATATGGCTGCCACGACCTTCTAGAACCATCTGGAACTCTACCACCCTCCAGTTAACAGGCCCTATGTGCCCTGGTTTGCTCTTGGAAACATTCTGTACATCTGCACATACGGAGACACCCACGTGCAAACTCAGTAGAGGCAATGCATAATTTCCAGAGTTAGCACATGAATATCACATGAATGTATAGTGACTATATGTCAGAGATTTACTTACTTCATTAGTGAGAAAACCAGTAGGCAGATCAAGTCAGTTCACAGAGTATTTGAGGAACAAAGATTTATATGGTCAGTCAGGAAAGGGAGGTTAAAAAAATTTGTTTAATTGGGTTCAAAACTGATTAATGCCCTCCAGGCCATACAACTACAATGCTTGGGATTATCTTTTCTACCACAGATATATCATTTGCTTCTTTACTAGATGAAAGTCATGTGCTCAATCTTGTATAAAGTAACATGTAACTTGTCAGTCTGGTCTCTAATCAAGGGTAAATAACAAAAACTTTTGACGGTGATTGACATGTTTATTACTTTTATTGTAGTGATGGTTTCATGGCAATATACATATGTTAAAATTTAACAGATTTTGAA
The DNA here is from genome assembly GCF_000001405.40 of Homo sapiens. Taxonomy (NCBI): domain Eukaryota; kingdom Metazoa; phylum Chordata; class Mammalia; order Primates; family Hominidae; genus Homo; species Homo sapiens. The sequence continues at coordinate 10,252,601 of NC_000020.11, forward strand.
ATAAATGTGTGCATTCGTTGTATGTTCTTTATACTTCAATAAAGCTGTTAGAAAAAAATAGTAAGCCCAAACAAGTTACATTCCCCTAAAAAATTACATAATCCCCAGGCAGTCCTATTAGAAAATGTTCCAATATGATATAAAAGAATTTTCTCATCTTTTTTTTTTTTTTTTAGCTTTCAAGCTTTAGATAATTTTTCTTGACTTTAATTAAAGTAGTTGTTCTCGACTCAAAGAGATTTAAGTTTTGGCCACTTAGTAAGTGTGTAACCTTAGGCAAAATATTTAAACCTCCCTGAGGCTCAGATTCTCCATCTGAAAAAAAAAAGGGAGATAATAATAGATCTCTGTTTCATAGGTGTATTACTAGGGTTAAATAAAAATATGCATTTGGGTGCTTAGCACAGCACCTGGTACATCTTAAGGACCTAGTAAAGGTTACCTGTTCTTAATTATCATTTCCAAGGAGCAATGTAGCTCAGGAGCTATGTGAATGAGAGACGATGAGACAAAAAATATCATAGACCAGGGATGAGACCCTAAGGACACTCAGAACTGTGTTCTTGACCAGGTCACTTGTCTTTACCTTTTTTCTGATTCCTCAGCTACAAACCGCAAGGAGTAGATGAGAGCTAAAGCAGGTCCTAATTTTTAGACTAGGATTCACCAGGCCTTGGACTGAATCCTGATGGAATCCTGGCTTCTTCACATCCAGAATCTCATAAGCTCTTAGGGCTCTCTGTCCACGGTATTGTATCTCAGTGATGAGGACTCTGGATTCGAATCCTGATTCTGCCACTTACTAGCTATGTGACTCTAGGCTACTTACCGAACCCCTCTGTGTTTTGGTTTCCTATCTATAAAATGGGGATGATGAAGGCACCCACATCACATAGAGCTGGTGGGACTATGATACTGAGTTATCACATACCAGGATCTATACAGTGCTGGGAGGACTCTACATGCTCAGGGATCATCCCTGTTACTATGAGCACCTGTGAATGAGTGGTCGGGCAGCCAAGGGTCCCATTCAGCAAGCCTGAGGAGTGCTGGTGGACTTCTCAAAATGATGAGACTTGAAAATGTAATTTTTATATGCAGGACAATTCCCCTTTGCGGTGTCACCCAGCAATAACTCCAAAGGTGTATTTGGGGGTACTAATACAAGCTGTCTGGCAGTTGTAGATGTGGTTTAGTGACATTTGTACATTTTGTGATCTACATGTCACACACACCCTGGGACTGGAAAAAAGGTGTTAACACCCACAAAGGGGCTGACCAGGCAGTTCTCAGGGTGGCCTAGCCAGACCTTCCACCCTGCTGACTGGCAGGGTTCCCTACGCAGGATGTGCCCTCCTCCTCCCACAGAGCCCACAGATGGCTTACCACCTGCTTTGGGGAAGACGGCTGCTTCCTAGTTCTGGGGCATTGCTCAGCCTGAGCTACAAGATTTATCCCCGGAGGGTTCCTTTAGCAGGCACTGTGGGTCTCCTATGAGATCCCTTTGTTCCCTTTTACCAGCCCATTGCATAGCTTCTGCATGTTTTGCTGCTAAAGGCAATCTATGATTTTACTCATACAGAAAGTTGCTTCATCCATACAGAGACCAGAAATGGCTGGGAGTTTTTGTACCTCACAAGTGGCTTTAGCCAATGACTGACTGACATAGAAGTGCGCAAAGCCCAGCTCTCTCTCCTGGAGGTGAGGCATGCTCTGAGGTGCATTTAAGACTCCAGAGCTCCATGGAGGATGATGCTGATGCTGGCACACCCCCCTTGCTTGGCTTCTTCCCCTTTCTTGACCTATCTCCTCCACTCCCTTCCTGATCTCCCCCCAGAGCATTCCCTCAACAAATTCCCTTTACATAGACTCTTAGCTCAGGGTTGGCTCTTAGAAGCAGCAAACCCAGGAGGAGCTCCTTTTCCCGCGCACTCCCACCTCCAGTAGAGAAGTGCCTCTCTGCAAGTAGCTTATGGAATCCCAAAGGAGGACGGTCCTGCTCTGAAGTTCTTAGAAACACAGAACTTTGAGCAGTTTGCCCTATCCTGAGCTACCTGCTTTGTAAACACTTTGGGAGCAGGAGGAGAAACCAGATGGGAAGACACAGGCCTTGCGGTAAATGGAGAAAACAGCAATTCAAATCCTCCAAGGAAAAAACAGTTCCCCCAGGGCAAAGTGCTGGAGACGCATACCTGCCTCGGGTCTGGAAAATTATTTTTTAATGCACTGGGCAGTCTCGGAGCCTCATGAACTTCTTCCAAAACAGATATAGCCTGCCTGTGTCTCATTGGCCTCAGGGAAAATCTCTCTAGCTTCCCTCTTCAGCTCAGCCTCTATAGAAAAGGGTCTGTGCCTTCCGACTGTTTCTTCATCTGAAGTAAAAAGATTGATGGGACACAATGGGACTCCTGAGCCCAGCCATTTGTGGCTAAGGTACTTGAAATGATATAGAGGGATCCCTTCTCCCCAAGCCATCAGGGCAGCCCATAGCCTAGACTTTGGGTAAGAAAAATATCTGAAAATTTGTCTTTTGGAGTTTGCCAAATCCCAGGGTCCAAGTGGGCCCACGGATAAGAATAACGGTTGTGACAGCCAACCTGCCAAGTTTCCAAAAGACTGGATGGTACTACACAGACTCACTGGTGTAGCAAAGCACTTCAAACTTTGATTGCTTAAACGGCCATCAAACGATGCTTGCTCCTCTGGCCACAAGTGACACTCTTAAGTGTTGTCCACCCTCTTGTATGTTTCCTTCCAATGGGCAAATAACTCTTTGAGCTATACAGAGACTAGGTGGGAGAGGGTGAATGGGTCAGGGTAAGTTCCTCCAAGTTTCTGGAACAGTAACACCCACACACACACATACACACACAATTTATTTCCTCTGCCAACTCAGGGTTCTGGGGTGGGAATTCACTGTGGTCTATACACTACCTGGCAATTGGAGATGCAAAATGTAGGGTTTTGGGCCCAAGAAAGCTAATAAAGAGTACAACTTGAGTACTAGAATTACTAATGAAGTACAACTCATTAAAAATATTAGTAGGCAAATCTACCTTTTCTGTGATTTAACACAGGAATCGTGGGTTAGAAGATTTGTGTCCTCCATTTATAGAATATTTTTCTGTTTTCTTGGACATAATTAAACATTCTAGCCTCCTTTCCCTTTGTTAATATGGCTTTGATAACTTTGGGCTTCATTTACGGATTTTGTATAGGGCTATTAAGCGCAGAACAGTGAGACTATGATAATTATAAGAATAGAAATAAATGCATAATAACAAAACTTACAAAAATCGATTCCATTACATTCAGAACTGGTAATAAATCAACATTATGTAAAAAAACCTTTATGCATAGATAATGCAAGGGCATAAACAATGTTTCAAAGGGAGAACATGTGAAGTAGAACAGATGGATTTAGGCAGACCTGTTACTGGCAAAGCTACAAGCTGCTTGCAGACAGATTAAAGCCATCTTAGAGAGGATGAGCTTTGGGTTGTTTTTCAACACCTAAGTGTTCCATAAATGAGTAAGAGTTAAAATCAGAGCTAGGTATCTCTAAGAAATAATAATAGCTAAGATTTAGGCAAGAATGTACTTAAACTAGTTTGTTAGTAGTTGAAACCTTCATGTGCATCTTTCAAGTCTATCCGCTATTACGAAGGACCATTAATTAACCTACATATTTTATTTTAAACTTCTTTGAGTCATAAACTAATGGAGAAAGAATGAATTATTCAATAAATGATGTTGAAAAAGGAGCTGTTTGGAAAAATATAGAATTAGGGCTTTAATTCTTTCCGTATGTACACTAAAACAAATTTTAGCTGGATTAAAACGTTGAATTAAATATGACCACTGAGAAAACTAGAAAAAAATGAACTTTTAACTCATTTTGGAATATGCAAACATTTTACAGATAAAATACTGAGGAAATCACAAGTTAAAAATATACACTGATGAGCCTTTGTTGAAAGCACTTTGGTAATATACCTCAGCTGTCATTAATTTATTTTCTTTGACCTGTAAATCCACTCCTGGGAATCTATTATAAGGAAATAATCCAAGATGTAAATGCAATGTTTGTGTAAATATGTTCATGATAGCCTAACTTACAATGGCAAAAAGAAAGGGAATGGAAAGGAAAGGAAAGGCTGGGGAAGGAAGAGGAGAGAGGAAACAAAACAACTCTAAACATCCAGTAACAGGAGATTAGCCAAATAAATCTTAATATGTTATGTGAGGGAACATCATGCAGTCATTAAAAATGTCATTTGAGCAATGTCTAATATATGAAAATTTTCATAATGTAATTGACTATAAAAAACAGGATAATATGTGTATATCTGATTCTTTAACAAATAAATTTATGTATATGCAGGCATACACATGTATATTGATTCTAAATAGTGCATTGGTTCCCAATCTTGGCTGCACACTAAAGTCACTGGGGAGCTTTAAATATACTGCATCCTGGGATTCATTCTCAGATTCTGATTGAATTGGTCTGGGGTGTTACCGGGGCATCAAGATTCTTTTAAAGCTCCCCAGGAGATTTAAATGCACCCCTCCAGATTTGAGAACTATGGGCATATGATTTAAAAAAGGAAAAAAACAATTCTTCACTGAGAAGACTTGGAGAAAGAATAAATATTTATTTAGCCTTCCGAAGCAAAAAGACATTCACCTGGCCACAGTGGCTCATGCCTGTAATTCCAACACTTTGGGAAGTTGAGGCAGGTGGATCACTTGAGTTCAGAAATTCGAGACAAGCCGGGCCAACATGGTGAAACCCTGTCTCTACTACAAATACAAAAATTAGCCAGCATGGGCCAGACGCGGTGGCTCACGCCTGTCCCAGCACTTTGGGAGGCCGAGGCGGGCGGATCACCTGAGGTTGGGAGTTCGATACCAGCCCAACCAACATGGAGAAACCCCGTCTCTACTAAAAATACAAAATTAGCTGGGTGTGGTGGTGCATGTCTGTAATCCCAGCTCTCAGGAGGCTGAGGCAGGAGAATCGCTTGAACCCAGGAGGCAGAGGTTGCAGTGAGCCGAGATTGCGCCATTGCACTCCAGCCTGGTCAACAAGAGCGAAACTCCGTCTCAAAAACAAAACAAAACAAAAAAATTAGCCAGCATGGTGGCATGCACCTGTAGTCCCAGCTACTCAGGAGGCTGAGGCAGGAGAATTGCATGAACCCAGGAGGCAGAGGTTGCAGTGAGCCAAGATCATGCCACTGCACTCCAACCTGGGCAACAGAGTGAGACTCTGTCTCAAAAAAAAAAAAAAAAAAAAAAGTTCACCTGCTAGCTGCCAGCAAATTTCATAGAATAGTGCCCAAGGAAAACCTTACCTGTTTGTATTACTAAGAAAAATTATCCATAACTTGGAAATAAAGCAAAATGATGGATGCACATCTTTCATTTGACATACTGGTCATCTAATGGACCCACTCAAGGATTATCCCATTCTCTTTCTTTGACGTACTATTAACTTTTATCAGGGTCCAGACTCTGTGAAGTTACATGTTTGTTAATTTAGAGATCTCGTGTCATGGAAATTTAAATGATTCCTGTGTGATAGAAAAAGCAACTGCAAAGGTGACACTTTTATTGCTCCGTAAGATATTAACCAGCTTTGTATTTCAGTTAGTAATCTTATTCCAGTATTATGTATGAATTCTCTTTGAACCAGCTTTACCATCTTGTTGGCTCTCTCATTAATGAGTTAATAAATCTTCATCACATACTCCTTCTATATTTTTATGAGACTCATGTTTTTAACTTTTTGAAAGGGTACCTTGAAAACTATCCATGATCAAACATGGATTTAGTGACAGAAGTGAACCTAGAAAACTCATCCTGAGTGGAGACTGATCCAGCAACAACATCTTAGCGTTTGGCCACAAAATGCTTCCTTCTCCCAATGTTCTCAGAACATGCGCTCTGTGTGGCTTACAAAAATCTCCAGGCCCTTTGCCCACAAGGTCTAATGCAAGCGCCTTTTAAATCCACTCCATGATAATGATAGGGAATGCCAAATTGAGTAACTGGAGAAGTCAAATTTACCCACTAGGGTAGTTACAGTCACAGTAGTTACTTACCTTAAGCAATTCGATATTTGGGTAAATCCAATTTTACCAATCAGTCTTCTGCCATCATTGACTCCCACAATCACTTCAGAGACACTTTATCATCATGTGGAGCTCTTCTGCCATCAAATGGGACTCCTGACACTTTGGCCAGGGACCTTTTTCTATTTTTTGTTACCCCTCTCTGTGTCAAATACTCCCATAATGATCTATAAAATTCTAGAATATAAGCTAGTAGCTTTGCTATTTAAAGAAACCCTGCAGTGAATTCACTTCTAGAGCAAATAATTTTCCGGAGAGTTTAACTGCTTAGTAGGTTGGCGTATAGTAGGCTTGTTCAGAGTGGGATTGTGTTCATAGGTCCTGGTTTCTTCAAAGAGGGACATAGCAGAACTGTTATCTAAGGCTATATATATACAAAGATATATGTATGGCAGAGTATGGCAGAATATATATATATTCAGCAGAGGTGATAATAATGATGAAGTCCAGGGTGAATGCCCATGTTTTTTGATATGAGATTATCAGATTAATCTGAGGAATAACAATTAGGTTGGCATTTTTGTTTCTCTCACCTCCATGGAAGCAGAATTTGCAAGTGAGTCAGCTCCTTCCTGGGAGTTTGCTGGCTTAGGAAATGTCTTTCTTGTTTCCACAGTGGTTCCTGTAATACTGAGGAGCAGATGGTGTTTCTTCCAGCATGGTAAACTTTTCCAAAAAGGATGGGAGGATAGAAAGAATTAAGTCCATCAGCATTCTAATCTCTATGACAGTCTTGTGGGTGCAATTAGATTCTGAGGAACCATTTTAAAGGACCAGCTAATCAGGACTTTTTTTATTTTTATTTTTATTTTTTTTGAGACAGAGTCTCATTCTCTTGCCCAGGCTGGCGTGCTATAATGTGATCATAGCTCACTGCAGCCTCTAACTCCTGGGCTTAAGCCATCCTCCCACTTCAGCTCCCCAAGTGTCTGGGACTGCAGGTGCACACTGCCATGCCAGCTAACTTCTAAATTTTTTGTAGAGATGGGTCTGGCCATGTTGCCCAGGCTGGTCTGAAACTCATGGCCTCAAGCAATCCTCCTGCCTTGACCTCCCAAAATGCTAGGATTATAGGCTTGAGCCGCTGTGCCCAGCCAGAACCCATTCTTATGAAGTGACCTGGGTTTGTGTCATCAACACTATACATACACCTCGGCTTCCTTCATAGAGCCAGAGACCTCAGGTTTGGAAGAGAATTTGCACATCACCTGATCCAACGTCCCATCTTATAAATGAATCATGTCCATCAAGGCTACCAGCTGGTTGGTCAGCCTTTCCCTGAAATAGGGAACTCACTTTTTCTGAGTCCTCTAACCCAGACTTTGGACAGATCTCTTAGAAATTTATTCTGTCATTTCCTCCCAGTGCTGATGGTTTTATTCCTTAGAGTCTGTTGCAAATTTTCCTCTGCCAATTTGGTAATTCTCAGTAATTATTTTAATAGATGTAGTTAAAGTAGGTGAAGTTCGTAGGTCTCCTCCCTCATGACATTGAAACTAGGTATTATATTTAAGGAAAACAAGCCTCAGGATGGATTCTTCCCTCACCAAAATATTTCTTAGCAAGCAGACACAATACTAGTTGGAAAACTTGTTCTATAAACACAATGAAGTATGCATTTTCTGTTCACTTGGGCATTCCAATCAGCACCTTGCATAATATTCTAGTGGCAGGATTCAGGTGACCTTGCAGTCAGATCAGATTAAAACAAACAAACAAAAAAAGTGGTTCTTAAAGTGCATTCCCTGAACCACCACCAGCAGCAGCATCAGAGAATGAGAATCTTAGAAATGCAAATTGCTAGGCCCTACCCCAGAATCACTTACTACATCAGCAATCTGAGTTTTAACAAGTGCTACCCATGAGAATCGGTCAGGAAACTCCCCTAACCATGACAGAATCAAGGAGCAAATGTAAGCCTTAGGTTAATGGCATACTTAGACTCACTACACACACACACACACACACACACACACACACACAAACACACACACACACACATCTGCCTTATATTATGTGGGATGGTAGTACATTTACAGTATTTCTAGCCAATTTTTACATTTTGAACATTCATTCCACCAATAAAAAATTATTGCTAACATCCATTAGGTTAATTAGTAAACCTTTCCATAGATCACAGGCAAAAGGAGTTGAAACACTAATAGTAGCTATCTCAGAAATGTGAGCTCCTGATATAACTCTTTCAAATGCTAACTGCCTATCCTAGAAGTCTGTATCTCTGCTTAGGGTACCATGACTGTTTACTAACCACCTCTTGGGTACAGATTACAACTAATATACATTCATGTCAATGAATTTTAAGTTAAATTACAATTTAATGGCTAATATTGAACCAATCTAGTATCTATTCCTTGCAGTAACCAGAGTCATGCTCTGTCTTCTTTTCTCCAAGCTAAATACCCTCATACCCTCAATCATTTTTAGTACAATGGGATTTCAAAGCCCTTGACCACATTGTTCTCCTCCCAGCTTTAAGGTAACTACAAACGAATGAGTATGAACATGTGATTCAGGAAATCGCTTTTTCTGTGGGCTTCCAGATCCCAGGATAAAGGTACCTACACACACCCTAAATGTTCCACTTCTATTCCCTGAGCCACCACACCCTAGACCTTGCTCAAACTCAGAGCCTCTCTTTGCCAAGCTTCCCTTGCCTACGTTTGCACCCTCTACATGGGTCAGACATATGGAAACATAGGCAAGAATGTGGGTGTGTGATCCATCCCCTTATCTATAGCAATGAATTCCCCAGCATAGCACATATACCTTCAGTGGCTGGTGAAATGAGCTTAGGAGGATGATAGATGAAATTTGCAATATACATTTTAGTAATTGTGTATCTACTTTAATGTATATTAAACAAACATAATTAGCCATAACATTTCTGATTTTATAGATATTATTACTTAGAATGAGGCTAGGTTTGAAAGGTGCGTTAAAATCAATGATTTTAAAAAGACTTAGGGAATTAACAATGTAGCGTGCATTTATGCCTAAATTGTGAAGAAAACATAAGAGGCCCAGGGTTTTGGAAAAACTATTCACAAGGATAATGAGTTCAGGATATGGGGACCCTGGCCAGAGTTGTCTTCACCATAAGTACTTTTTCTAGGAAAACAGAAATTATGTTGATCAGCATTATTTACCTGCCAAACTGTTCATCTTTTCTCCAGAAGGCAGTAAAAAATAACACAAAGTGCCAAAACGCAATGAGTTTAGCAACACAAACACCACTGATTCTTTGATAAATACCATACAGCTCATGTGCCTGCTTTTAATTCAGGAGAGAAAGCCTTCTATACCAAGGCCAGCACCCACCAGAGAAGATCTAAGTCAGAAAAAAGTAGAGTTTTAGTTTTGCTATGGAAGGATGATATCATGAAATATAAAAATAGCAATTGTCTGAAATTAACAGTAGGAAAAAGACAGGCTACATTGGCCTTAGTCCTGTTATTTTTATATATTCTAAAAACATTCTCAACTAGCATAGACGAGTCCCTTCCTCTCCACTATTTTGATGTTTGCCATTTCAAGGATACCTTAAGGTGAGCCCTAGATTGGGACTTAAAGATTCAGGCTCTGCGTGACTCTGTAGTTTCAAGTTACTCCACCTTTCTGAGCTTCCCTTCCTCCTGTGACAAATGACACCCAGTAATCCTCAAGTTCTAGCCATTCTGTGATATTCTGAATGTGGAGTCTTCAAATCCAAGTAAGTTCAGCCAAGCTGAGAACACAGAGAATTTTTGTTCTTTTTCCCCTCTTTTCCTGATTCAGTGGTTTGTTGATTCCTCTAAGTACATGGCGTCCAGCTATCCATACGTGATAAAAAAAAAATAGCTCATAAACAAGTGGAAGTTGTCTTCGGTTGGATTCCTCAGAAGCAGACCCTTAGACAGGGATTTATGTGATAGTGATTTATTAAGGCAGTGCTCGCAGGAGAAACCAGAAAGGGAGTTTGGAGAAGGACAGTGGGGACACAAGGAAGCCAAGCCAAGGAGCCCTTGCCAGCAGGGTCCCAACTTTGGCATGATCCTGAGAGAATCTTTGGAGTGTACATTACACCTTATGGTTTGTCTCACCTTAAGGCACAGAAGCAGTACAGGAGCTAGTTTTTTGTACTCCTCTGCCAGTCAGTTGTTAGCTAGGGGCCTGCCCTGGGGGTGGGCGGTGGGGGGAGTAGTGGGTCAAAAGCTCCCAGGTACTTGCTGCCACTCCCAGTGGATCAGGCGAAGCAACCCTGGGGTGCTCTTTTTTTTTTTTTTTTTTTTTTTTTTTGAGACGGAGTCTCGCTCTGTCGCCCAGGCTGGAGTGCAGTGGCGCAGTCTCAGCTCACTGCAAGCTCCGCCTCCCAGCTTCATGTCATTCTCCTGCCTCAGCCACCCGAGTAGCTGGAACTACAGGCGCCCGCCACCATGCCCGGCTAATTTTTTTGTATTTTTGGTAGAGACGGGGTTTCACTGGCTTAGCCAGGATGGTCTCGATCTCCTGACCTCATGATCCGCCCGCCTCGGTCTCCCAAAGTGCTGGGATTACAGGCGTGAGCCACCGCACCAGGCCAACCCTGGGGTATTCTTACAAAGAGGGTCACAGGCACAGAAACACGGAGATGACCACAAAGAACCCCTAAGGGAGCTGAGCAGATACCCAATAACATTGACTACTGAAGGCAAAACTGTTACTAAGCCTGAATACATACCAGCTTCCTTCCAGGTGTTGGTGTGGTCATAGCAGCACAGAAATAGTTTGGTTTTCATGAGAATGGTGGGAGTGGGGTCTTTCTGTTTGGTCTTAGAATCTGTCTGTTCACGCACTCCTGAGAGGAATCATTTTGTTTAGGGTATAACAAGACTTTCTTTTATTGTGGCCAAGTGTTAGCCCCACAGAAGATTACTCATCTCCCAAGAACCAAGCTGTGTACCTCAGAATACAAACATTTTCATCAGTTCTGTCCTAGGATGGGGAAGGAAGAGACCCAAACGCAAAGGTTTCTTGCGAGAGCTCCTAAAACCATCCCTAAGGGGCGGTTCTCCACTCCAGCTTCAGGCTGGATGCGGCTGCACTAACAGTAGCACTCTGTAAATATTGGTTAAATGAATGAACCTGTTACCGTGGTTTGTTTAACTATGAACAGAATCAATGAGACAAGATTGGGGCCCCTCTTCTCTCCTGGTCAGTGAGGCTGCTGTGCTTTGGCTCCTAAGTAAACAATCAGGAACTGTTGCATAATACAAACCACAGGGCTAAATACCCATTTAGCCACATTTGCAAAACAGACAAAAGAAACATTGGCATTTTCGAAAAAGAGAGATTTAGGCATAATCAGTGTTGGTTGTGGCTGGATGCCCTGTTACAATTAAGAAATGCCAATGCTGGCTGCATTTCAATGCCAGGCCTCCCCAGACCCAGCACCCTAAAATACAAAACCCAAGCAGAGGCCGCTTTTCACGATGCTGTCACTAATCCTGGACTAGCCCAGGGAAGGGGCATATCAGGGAAGCCAGACTTCCCTTCTCAGAAGAAACCAGATCAAGACTGTGCCTATTTATATCCAGACATACAGATATAGAATCCCATTTAGGAATGGTGTGGGGTGGAATGTTCTGGGAAATAGATTAGCCAAGCTTGAAAGGAATTGGGCTTTAATGCTAGTGCCTCTTCTCAGAGACACTGTGGGAGAGGGTGACAATTCTGTGGGCTGGTTAAAGTACTTGTCACTTGAGATTGTTCTTCAGCCAAATTCTCCTATAAGAAGCATACTAATGGTGTTTAACACATGCTATGTTATCAGATATTGAAAACAACATAGTGGGAAGGAAAAGGGACCACCACCTCAGATCAAGATGGCCTCCTCAATGCTGGGGAGCCGCGTTCTTGTGTTTTTGGATAGTTTGGATAGTTTGGATAGTTTATCATAAGGTTACCCTTATGGGAAACCAGAGTTTCCCACTGGATCCTTGCAAAGACCTTCAGCCCTAAGTCATGCTACACATGGATCCTTCCACTCTGGGGGACCATAAGAAGGACCTGTGGTTGTTGTTGAAAATGCAGATGCTAGCCCGACCTCCACAGATTGCTTTCCATAGGTAATGTAACTGGGAATCTGCATTTTAGCAAGCAACTAAAAAAGATTTTGATGCAAGGAGATCTCAGACCATGCTTTTTTTTTTTTTTTTTTTCTGAGATGGAGTCTCGCTCTGTTGCCCAGACTGGAGTGCAGTGGCGCGATCTCGGCTTACTAAGAGGCCCTGTTATGAGCCACTGTGACTCATCTGTTATCCAGAAAATGGGTGTAAAATAGATGCAAGATGGTATATCAATTCATTCACAAGACATGTGTTCATCATATTTGAAATATAATCTTTTGATTTAAGTAGGAAATAGTTTAAAACCAGTATTTCCTGCTATGAAAAGAGGAGATTGAATTTCATGCACAGGAATATTCAAAAATACAATAACAAGGAGCCAAGTCCATCCCATGCTTTAGAAAATTTACAACTATGAACACGGCAGATTTAAGAAGTGTCCATTCTTAGTGATAGAAATGTAAACAGAAACTTACAGCATGTTATCTGCTGAAAGTACTTTTTGCTCTGGTCCTTAGTTTGCCTTAAAACATAAGCTTTAATTATTTGCAGAGGGAGAAGAATAATTTATCAGCACCATCCACAGAGTCTCCAATGCACAAAATCCTCAGTCTCTTCTTCCTCTGTCTTACAGAACAAGACTTCACAAACCTTGTTATTTGGGAGAGACAGAACATCGTCAGTGTGCTTTTTCTAATAACTATCTTCTCTTCATTTTCTGAATACAAGAATTTATCTCATGGAAATCAGTCATTTTGTCCACCCTCCAGTGCAGGGCACCATTAGGAGACTCAGAACCCATGGCCCCGTGGAGCTTTCAGTCAGCTTGGGAGGTAAATGATGTTGGGAGTCTGTAGGACATGTGAATTGGTGAGGTTAAAATAACATCGCGTGGTCAAGAGTGGAGCACAGGCACAGAGTCACCCCCAAGGTGGGAACTCCACCTCTCACACCTACCAGCCTAATATGGAGATAATGTGATTTAGGGCAGCACTTCTCAAACTTAGTGCTTGATATGTTGTTCAGTACGTGATCCAATCCAATAAGTCTGGGGTGGAACTCCTAACAAGCTCCCTGGTGAGGCCGATGCTGGTCTGGGGAACACATTTGGAGTACCAAAGGTTTGGGGGTTTCTATATAATCCCCCTAGTTTCATATAAAGTTCTTAGTTTGATTCCTATCACATTGCAAGTTCTTGACAAATAACTATTATTATGAAGAGTGTTTTGACAACTAACAGTTGTGCGGCATAGAATGTTAGAATAGATGCAGCTGATTTTGCCTAACAGGGAAAGGCTGCTTCAAACCTGGGGCAAATTCTGATGATTCAGAAAATGGAAGGAATCACCTCTTCACCAGTTTCACTCACCCTTTCAATGAGGGGACTTAGGGAGTTGTCTCAGCAGCAGTCACTGTGCTTAACAATATATTCCCTTAGAATAAGTGCTTTGCATCTTACGGTTGCATTCTCTTCAAGAAATTTCATCCAGTGAAAATAATAGCACCAAACCCATTTTTGATCATATTCCCATGCCATTACAGTCAGGGAAAGAGATTATTAGTCTCCAAACAAATCCAAGTACTGGCTCTTTCTGGAGGGCAAGAATAGAAACCCAGAGAAAAAAAGGTGGCTATTGTGAGCCAAATGAGAGCACATTAACCCATGACTTAGATGCTTAGATGCATTAGTTTGATGTTGTTGCTGTTGTTTTGGTTTGTTTGATGAAGATGAGAGACATAAGGCTAAGAGAAATGAATATTTGATTGGATTGAGTTTGATCAAGGTTGTGCAATATGAATAACATAGTAGAACAGGGTTATGGTAGCAACACTTATCTTCAATATTGATAAAAGCAATAATGCACTATGAAAAGGTAGCAATCATGGACCTATAAACATGACAACACAGCTGCAAAATGTAAAGAGTGAAAATGGGCTGAAATAGAAGAAATTGATGGAACGAACTCACTGTTGAAGACCTGAACACATCCCTTTCAGAAATCAATAGGTCAAATTGACTAGGGAATTTAGAGAGTTTGAAAACATAAACTTTCCTTTTCTGCTTGATTTGATGTCAATAGGTAGGTAGTTAGAGTCAAAGACAGAATGGACTTTCTTTTCAGACACAAATTAAATATTCACAGCCATTGGCCATGTGTTAAGGCACAAAGGAAATCTCAACAAATTCCAAACAGTAAAAATCATATGGACCACTTTCAACATATTGAAAATAAAATTAGAGATCACAAAAAAACCTCTAATATTTAAATCTTAACATCACATTTTCAAATAACTCTTGCATTAGAGAGGAAATTAAAGCTGAAATTTAAAACTATATAGAAATAAATAACAAAGAACATACTATATGACAAAACCTGTAAGATACAGCCACAGTAACACATAGAGCACAATTTATAGCAATAAGTATACTATACCCAGAACAAGAAAAATGCCAAGTAAATAAGTCATTTGTCAATTCAAGAAGATATAAAAGGAACAACACAATAACACATCTTAGGAAGAAAAAAGAAATAAGAATAAAGGTGAGGGTGGGAGGTGTGGAAGAATCAGTGATTTAAAATATAGGTAGAGATGATAAACAATAATGAAAACTGGGATTTACTGAGGTGAACCTGTCAAATCACTCTGTGTTGTTTTCCAATATGTAAATGAAACTAAAAATAGTCTCCAGGTTTTTTGTTTGTTTGTTTCTTTGTTTGTTTTTTTGAGACAGAGTCTCGCTCTGTCACCAGGCTAGAGTGCAGTGGCATGATCTTGGCTCACTACAACCTCCGCCTCCCAGGTACGAGGTTTCTCCTGCCTCAGCCTCCCGAGTGCCTGGGACTACAGGCACACGCCACCACACCCAGCTAATTTTTGTATTTTTAGTAGAAGCGGGGTTTCACCCTGTTGGCCAGGATGGTCTCTAGCTCTTGACCTTGTGATCTGCCCGCCTCGGCCTCCCAAAGTGCTGGGATTATAGGCATAAGCCACCGTGCCCGGCCAATAGTCTCCAGTTTTTAATTAAAACATGAAATAGCTACACACTTTGCTTTGAGAATAAATATGCTATGAAAATATGTTTTTTAAATCACCCAAACTCTTGATCTAACATTTAGCCTAATCTTAATAGTTACCGCTAAGCCTGTTTCATAATCTCAAAGTGGGGATAGTAATAGTATGCACAGCGTGTGTCACTGAAAGTTTGTGTAAAGGTATATTTTATATGAAAAGCACTTAAAATAGTGCCCAACAAAGAGCAAGCCCTCCGTAAGTGTTAGTTAATATGATTATTATTAATAGATAAGGAGAGTTGTCCCACTTGGTTTATAAAATCCTTTTTTTCTTCTTTGGGCTTTGTTGAATATAGTGAGTTTTCATAAACTTTTGTTGAATTTGAAGGTGTACCTCCACCAGAAAACAGGCAGGGTCTGCAGGAAGAGAAGGATCCATCCTGCAGAAGCTTCATACAAATGATGAACAGTGTGGCGAGACATCAAGATGTAGGTTTTGGCTCTCTGTGATAATTCAGCTGATGGGTGTTGATTTATACATATTTGTTAGTTTGGTTTATTTATTAAAAGAGGAACAGAAAGAAATATATTAGATCAGGGTACACTTTCCTTATGCCTTTCCTGAGACATTCCTGTCCTTTGGCACTTGGACTAATGACCCATGTCCCCAGCATAATAGCCATGTCTCTATTCACTTTGTATATCAAAAAGCACACCCTGCTCTATCCACACTCACCTCTCTTCCTGGGCCCTAAACTCATATTTCAGTTCAGAGTCTTCAGCAGGAACGCATTTTTACCCTAAGGCACCTAACTAAGTAAGCCCCTTGACAGGGAAGAACAGTTTTCTGTGGAGTCCATTTGCTCCTCATGTCATTAAGGTTTCAGATAGACTTAAGTGTAGCATTAAAGAATAAAGAGCTTTTCAAATTACCCTTGACACTGAAGAATAACTGCAGCCTGCCCACCGTGAAGCAAGTATCTTGACAGTGACAGACCCTCAGATGTTTCCGTTTCTGATGCTAAACATCTGTCTCAGATGTTTCTGTCTCCCACCACTACTGCTGGGGCTGGGAACATTTGTCCACAACTGGTTGCAGAAGTTAGAAATTGTTTTGAGGGCCACAAGGGCACCCTATAACCTTGCAATCAATCATATAGATTAAATCTGATTTGCAATCCTAAAATCCTGTAGGAATAGTCAATCAAAGGCAAATTTGTTTTTACATCTTGTATTTTACTTCATGCATTGTTTTAAAATATGTTCCAGAAGTCCGGCGCAGTGTCTCACGCCTGTAACCCGGCACTTTGGGAGGTCAGGGCAGGTGGATCACTTGAGGTCAGGGGTTCGAGACCAGCCTGGCCAACATGGTGAAACCCCATCTCTACTAAAAATACAAAACTAGCCAGACATGGTGTGCATGCCTGTACTCCCAGTTACTCCGGAGGCTGAGGTTGCACTTGAACCCGGGAGGTGGAGGTTGCAGTGAGCCAAGATTGTGCCACCGCACTCCCACCTGGGCGACAGAGCAAGGCTCCATCTTAAAAATAAAAAATTAAAAATAAACTATGTTCCAGAAAACACTAACCCCACCTTAGAAGCTCCATGAAAAGGGGATTTTACAGACACATATGAACAGAAAAAATATACCATGTGTGTCTATAGGAAATGTATAATGCTCTGGGGATATTAAGATTGATTTTGAAAAATTTCAGAATTTTTGCTTAATTCTTTTTAGGCTAAGGATCTGCAAATATTTTCTGCATAGAACCAGGTAGTAACTATTTTCAGCTTTTGGGGGCATATAGTCTTTCCACTCAACTCTGTTGTTGTAGCATGAAAGGAGCCATTGACAACAGATAAACAAATGGATGTGTGTGTGCTCCAGTAAAACTTTATTTATGGACCCTAAAATTTGAATTTCATATAATTTTCACATGTCACAAAATTTTTTCTCTGAGTCTTTTAAATCATTTTAAAAATGTAAAAACCATCCTCAGCTCAAGGCCAATACAAGAACAGCTGGATTTGGCCCGTGGGCCCTAACTTCCCGAAAGCCCCTGGTTAATGTAGCCTGCCCCTTGTTTCCCACTCTATATAACTATAGGACTCCAGCCCGGCACGGTGGCTTACGCCTGTCATCCCAGCACTTTGGGAGGCCGAGGCGGGCGGATCACCTGAGGTCAGGAGTTCGAAACCAGCCTGACCAACATGGAGAAACCCCGTCTCTACTAAAAATACAAAATTAGCCTGGCGTGGTGGTGCATGCCTGTAATCCCAGCTACTTGGGAGGCCGAGGGAGGAGAATTGCTTGAAATCTGGGAGGCAGAGGTTGTGGTGAGCCGAGATCATGCCATTGCACTCCAGCCTGGGCAACAAGAGCGAAACTCTATCTCAAAAACAGCAAGAAGAAAAAACTACAGGACTCCCACCACCCCACCTGGTGATGCTCATGAACATTCCAAGAGAGAAGGTCCTACAGACCAGAGCTACTCAACGTGTGCTCTGTGAACCAGCAGCTTCAGCATCACCTGAAGGCTGGCTGGAAATGCAGAATCAGCTGGCCACGATGGCTCACGCCTGTAATACCAGCACTTTGGGAGGCCAAGGCAGGTGGATCTCTTGAGGTGAGGAGTTCGAGACCAGCCTGGCCAACATGGTGAAACCCTATCTCTACTAAAAATACAAAAAATTAGCTGGGCGTGGTGGCATGCACCTGTAATCCCAGCTGCTTGGGAGGCTGAGGCAGCAGAATTACTTGAACCAGGAGGCAGAGGTTGCAGTGAGCTGAGATGGCACCACTGCACTCCAGCCAAGGTGACAGAGTGAAACTCTGTCTCAAAAAAAAAAAAGAAAGAAAGAAATGCAGAATCAGTGACCCCATTTCAGACCAACTGAATTAGAATCCCTGAGGGTAGGGCCCAGCAATCCATTTTAACAAGGTTTCTGCATATTCTGACTCTGGGGGAAGTTTCAGAAGCTCTGTCCTGGACCACACCTTGTAAAGTGCTGATTTGGGAACACTGAATGCTACATGGGAGTGTCAGAACAGTTCATCCATGTCAGTTAACATGAATTGAACCCTTACTAGGGGTCAGACCCTTTGCTAATAAGCACTGGTGATTTGAGATAATTAATTAGATACTGTTAGGCTCTTAATAGACTGGGAGTTTGTCTTACAATCAGAGCCTCGGGGAATAGTTTTGAGTGGCTTTTCTTCCTAATTTCTTCTGCTTCCTAGTTTCCTCTTTCTACCTGCTCTGCAACACACAAGATGGCAGTTTATTGTGCTAATATGAGGGATGTATTGCAGGCTGCCTTGATCATAAATGCCACTTCACTACTAACGTCCTTTCAGCTACTGAAATTACTATTAATAAACATCCTTATGCCTCTTCAGCTGCTGTCTTTTAGAATGCTAACATGCATGAGTTTGGGGTTTATAGGAACAATTTATTAAACACTAGCAGTAAACATCCCAACAGAAGATCTGGAGGTACGCTCAGCGCCCACTCTCCAGCCGTTCTTATTAGGAGAGGGGGAATTGCTTTTTCAGCTTTGAAATGCTGTGTGTTTGAGATCCACCAGATTCATCAGCCCTCCTCCCAAATCACAGACGTATCTCCATGTTTTAGAGCAGGACAAAGGTGTGGGAGTTCCTGGGGGAACCGTGAAAGTGATGAAACCAAGGGTATCTGCCACATGGCTTCTCCGCCATCGCACCAGCTGCCCATCAGCCAGGCCTGGATAGGCTGCTGTCAGCTTGGAGCCAGGGCGCCCTACAGCTGTTCTTCACATGCTGAGAATAACAACTTTGAGAGGAGATTGCCAAGGAAACACAGGAAACTTGAGTATGTGTGAGAGAGAGGGAGAGCGAGAGAGAGAGAGAGAAGAGAGAGAGCATGCACAGAAACATTCATCAGCAAATAGACCTGAAGGAGTGGGACAGAGCAATAGCACTACAAGTCTGAAAGCACATGGACCCCTGCCTTCTAATAAACTGGCCTGTGAAAAGGAAAGGTCAATGGCTTGCTTAGGCCGAAGATACACATTTCCCCCCCAGGAACCCAGCAGCAAAATATAAAGATGGAGCGTGGGGCCAGAAGGCACTCTTGTTTGTCTCCTCGTGGTACTCCTGTGAGAGGTGCTGCTTGGAGACTGGAGGCTCAGGCACTCTGCTGGTTTCCCTGGTTTCAAGCTTCCATGGGTGCTCAGCACCACAGCAACATGTCTTGTGCCTAGCCGTTAGTAGAGGAAAGCTGATTAACAAATACCGGGTTTGTTCCACTCTTAGCCAAGGGTGTAGGGCTGTCCTGAATTAGTGAGGCTTTCTGAATATTAAGCTCCACATCCTTTTTTACAAAAAATGTTGGCCAGAACTTTTCTGTAATTTATTCCCCTCAACAACCCCATGAGATTGGCATTGTTTGTCCTGTTGAGAAAACTAAAGCTCAGAGATGGTGATGAACTTACCCAGACTCACCCAGCTTCTGAGCGCCAGAGCCAGCGGTCCAGCTGGGTCTTTCTGACATCAATGCCTTTATCCACCCACTCCACTGAACTATGGTCCATAGTCTACTCAACTTCCCCACGGGTCCACTGCTTTATTCTGGAGGGTAGATCCCCGGTCACTTGGGAATACTAAAATTTCATTTTTGTGCATCTTAAGATTCTGGAGTGACTTGGTGTAAATTCCTTCCAGTGTCTGTTTTCTAGATCCTAATTTGTAAAATGGAGACATGGAAATAAAGTCTCATGTATTTAAATAAAACACAGTGTTCACATCTCTACATCATCTCACGAGCACATGTTCTAGTGGCCAGAACACGCATTCGAAAATTAGCAGGCTCATCGTAAGATGCTCTGTCAGTTATAAAATGACTGCCCATAAAGCTAACCTCACATAAACTTACTCCATTATTTGTTTAATGCCAGTGGTAGAATAAGGCAACCCTGAAGTTTTGTTATTTCTTTTTTTACTCAGATTCCATATTTGTTGCTTTGCCCGGCAATCACTGGGTAGAGAACGGTGAAACCTGTTATCTCCAAAGAAGTTTCACTTTAGGATTCCTTCTAAGAACCCTAAAGAGTATGATTTCTCCTTTTTCACAAGAGCAATAAATTTGGAAAGTGATATTAATATGTACTAAAATTCCATCCTTGTTGAGAAAGCAATAGAATCGTGGACCTGGAGGGTGAGATGGCAGAGCCTCCTCCCCCAGGATCAGATCTAGGACCTGCCTCTGGGAACTTTTGTTCCCTTGCCTCCCAATGAGTATGTTCCTGATTTTTTTTTTCATACAGAATTTTCATTTTTATTTTTCCGAAAAGTGATTCTCATTCTCATGCAAATAATAATAATAATAAACATGGTAGTGCCCCAAGGCCCCAAATCTAATTTCCTCTCCCAGCTTCGGTTTTCAATAGAAAGACAAACAAAAATATGTTTTTTGGTTAGGAAATCATGCTCATATGCAATGTTTCTGTTTCATTTTAAGTTTCTTCAGACATTTACTAGTTAGTGTAACACAGGCTGCTATAACAAAACAACCCTCACATTTTCCATAGCATAATAGAAATATATTGTTTGCTCACGTAAGAGTTCAGGTGTTACTGGCCAGGAGTCATTTTTCTCCATGCAGGGATATGGAGGGCCCAAGTTCCTTCTGTCTCATGGTCTCATGGCTTAACCATCCTTTAAGACTGTATTTCTGGCAGAAGGAGAAACAGAGGGAGGAGAATACCTGCTTCTGAACTGCCTTAGACTGACAGGGACACACTTTGTTCTACTACCACTCATGGACTGTCTCTAGCCACAGAGCACCACTTCCTTGCAATGGGAATTAGAAATGTAATTCCTGGCTGCACAGCCATTTCCCAGAGATCATGCTCTACCATGCAACAGTGAGGTTAAAGTGCACAGTTGACCATCTCCGCTACAAGACAAGAGCCCATGCCTTCTTCAAATGTGCTACTCACAGAGAATTTTTCATTCTATCAGATACCTACCCCATCGGGCCCTTTGCCCCCTTCCCTTCGATGGCCTGGGGACATGGCTTCCTCAGAAAGGCCTGTTGCAAACCCATGGGCACCCATGATACCAGACATGTCCCCTAGTGTAATTATCATCATCCTGAATCATCTAATTCCCTCTTTTGCTTGCATCTCCCCAATTAGACTGAATTCTGTAAAGGCAGGGAATTTGCCTATCTTGTCCATCACTGTATCCCTAGTGCCTAACACTGCCTGGCATATTACAGGTGCTCAATAAATATTTGAGAAGGAAGGAGGAAGGAGGGCTCTCTCCGGAATAGACCCAGTCCTTGTACCTGTCATTTGTACCATGTGGGATTTCAAGAGAGTAGCCAAGAAATGGACTGGTCACCTTTCAGGACCAAGGACCCACCCTCTTTGGAGTGATAGCAGCTCACCCTCACACAAGCCCTTTTGGCAACCTCTGATGATGACTGAAATAGATGAAAGATTTTCTGCCTTTGGCTTCCACATGCTTCTAAACACAATGGAACACTATTCAACAACAAAAATTGAATGAACTATTAATACATGCTGCAACATAGATAAATCTCAAAATAATTATGCTAAGTGAAAGAAGGCAGACAAAAAGTAGTACACACTATGTGATTTTTATTTATATAAAATTATAGGAAATGCAAACTAATGTATAGTGACAGAAAGTAGATCAGGCTGGGTGCGGTGGCTCACGCCTGTAATCCCAGCACTTTGGGAGGCCAAGGCAGGCGGATCACAAGGTCAGGAGATCGAGACCATCCTGGCCAACACAGTGAAACCCCGTCTCTACTAAAAATACAAAAAATTAGCCAGGTGTGGTGGTAGGCACCTGTAGTCCCAGCTACTCGGGAGGCTGAGGCAGGAGAATGGCGTGAACCCGGGAGGCAGAGCTTGCAGTGAGCTGAGATCACGCCACTGCACTCCAGCCTGGGCGACAGAGCGAGACTCTGTCTCAAAAAAATAAAAAAAAGAAAGTAGATCAGCAGTTTTCTGGGCATAGACATGTGGGATAGGGCAGGGGCCAGTGGGTGGGTAGGAAATTTGGAGGAGTAATGGCTATGTTCATTGTTTTGATTGCAGTCATGGTTTCCTGGGTGTATACATATGTCAAAACTTCTCAAGTTGTACACTTCAAATATGTGGGGTGGACTGTATATCTGTTATACCTTAATAGAGCTATTTAAATAAATAAATAAATAAATAAATAAATAAATAAATAAATAAATGTGATGATAAAAGTACACTAACCCCAAACCACATCCCTCCAACCTCATCATTCCCAACCCTTGGGTAGTTTGTCTCTTTAAAAATATTTCATCGGTAGATAGGTGTCTATCTCCATGGCAGAATTGGCAAGTATGTATTTGTGGCATCCTTCGGAGAAACAGCACAATTCTGTTGACCCCTGTCTGAGTATGGCTTTCAGATCAGAAAACTGAGTCATGTGGACTGAGTATGGGCCATTTAGATTTTCTGGTCTTTGCACACACCTACATGAACATATATAAGCTCTCATATTTTCATATCTACTTCTTCCCAGGTCCAGAGCCAAACCCGTCACTGACCCCCCAGCCCAGGCGCCCAGCCACTCCCCACCGCTACCATGGCCGAAGACGCAGACATGCGCAATGAGCTGGAGGAGATGCAGCGAAGGGCTGACCAGTTGGCTGATGAGGTAAGGAGTGGAGACCTAGGAAGGGAGGCAAAAGATGAAGGCCTGAGTGGTTTGTCTTATTCAGGTTCAGGTAGGGAAAGCCTTTCTTTCAATGTCTCAATTTCTTTTAGAAAAAGTAATATGACTTTGATTTTCTGTACACCTAAGGCTTCTGTGGACCAGAATAAGTTGATTATAGAAGCTGCATACAAATTACTGTCTTGGCCCTAACTCTCAATTTCCAGAAACCTTGAGAAGTCAAGGTCCTCTAAGAAAAGAAAGCAATGTCTTTGGGTGCCTTAATTCAGTGCTATGCTGGAGAAGGCTCAGTTCCGAGAACAGATTGTTAACATTTTCAGGAACTTTGCAAGCTGGTTGCTAAATGCAGCCATTATTAAAACTGAATTACATAAACTGACAATTAGATAGATTCTATTAAAATCAAAAGTAATAAACACTCAAACTTCATCACTTCCTAATTATTTTGCTACATTTTACTATTATCCATGATCTTGAGATTCATCCATTTTATCTGTAGGGTGGAAATAAGGTATAATAATGTGTTACCATGTGTCTTTCCAACTTCATGATCAGTAATATGAAGTTGTAGCTTAAAATCAGGCAGAGCTGGGTACAGCGGCTCTCACCTGTGATCTCGGCTACTTGGGAGGCTGAGGCAGGAGGATCGCATAGGCCAAGAGTTCATGACCAGCCTGAGCAACATAGAGAGACTCCCATCTCTAAAAATATTTAAAAATTTAAAAATCAGACAGAGTAAGAGTATTTATCACCCAAGAATCTGCAAATACTGCAGATCAGGACTTGACTTATTGTTTTGCTGATTGTCTAGACTTTAAAAAGTAGAGAAAATATTAATAATGCAGATTAAAGTTAAAAGTATGTATGTCTGCAGCCATTATACTATGAATAACACAAAAAGAGGAAATCTTCCAGTATTTGAAAATTATGATTCTCTAAGGCAAAGAAATCCTTTTTGTCATTCACAAATGAGTACAATTCCAACACATGCCTTCATTGTTTAATTTTCTTCTTACTCATTAATATACATGAAAATATCCAACCAACATTCATGTCAGAACTACTCTGGTTCATCACATGGTTAGCTGTAGACACAAAAGTTCAGCAAAAATCAGTAAAAGTTTTCTGTGAGAATCAATTGGCTATGCGGAATTTACAATAAAGAGAGTATTGTATATTTTATTATTATTTATAAATTTTGTGCTATTCATCCTTTATATCAGTAAAATAATAAACTTGAATACATGTATGTATTTGTGTATTTTTCCCAGAGAGCCGGTAGTTAAACCTTTACCAGCAGACTGCTGCTTGCAGCCATTCTATTTCAAAAAGCAGCTGGCTGACAGCTCTTCCAGGGAAGTTAACATCCTTCAGGTTCCTGCAGAATCTTGTTCAAAATAAGTTTGTCAGTTAAAAGCAAAGCTTTGAGAAATCACACTGGTTGTTGGATTCTAGTCGTTTCAAAAGAACTGAGAAAAAAGTGACAACGCAGTGCCCGGGGGACCATTGCAGAGCTCAGCCTTTCCGTCTCGTTTTTTCTTATCTAAGGATGAAGATAATTATTATAGCTCTCTCCTATAGGCTGGTCATTTCAAACATGCTTGATTTTTTTCACCCTAAGGCAACAACTTAATTTGTATTGATAAGAACTTCCAATTGTGTTTCTAGGAGCTTTGTAAGAAACTTGATGTTATATTCATCTCGATTCATGAAAAATTATGTTTGTGTTTAAAATTTAATGTTCCTGGCCCAGGGAGGCCAAATTAGTCCTCTGAGTAATTGAGATAATTTTTCATGCATTCTGAGCATGCAAAATTATCTTCTCCAGATTACTTTGTCTTTGATATCAAGATCAGCTTCATATGGTTTTTATTTTCTGAAGATAAGCTGTAATGTAATTGCTTTAGGGAATCTGATCATGTAAAAAGCCTGATAGGAAAGAGTTTGAAAATGTAATGACATTTTTTGTTTCACTTGCCAACTGAAAAGAATATGTGACAGAGACCCTTTGTGTTTCTCAAGTAAATAAAGTATTTCTGATTTTCCAAGATCTCTGGATCCTGCACTCATAAAGTTTATGTTTGTTTGTTTTTTAAATCTTAGTCGCTGGAAAGCACCCGTCGTATGCTGCAACTGGTTGAAGAGGTAAGAAGTGACAGTATTTTAAGATAAAGGAACAAATCCCTTATGCTGATACATCCTTTCCTAGTTGCTATGATGTTTCCTTGGGCCATGATCCCCTAGATTCCAGTGTGGATGTAGCCTATCAGAAAGGCACAGAATGAGGGAGATGCTGTATTTAAGTTGCCAGATAGCCATGAAGACACCTTCACCCTCCTTCCCAGCCCAAGCCACCTCTGTAGTCTGGTCTGGGAAGCAGAGAATAATAGAATTTCCAAGTCTGTGCTCTCAAGAAATCACAGACGATTGTATCACTTTAAGCAAATTAGAGCAATTCTTAATATACAAAGGAATTATCTACATAAAACTTTATTTGTAATTATTTTTGTGCCTATAAATTACATCTAATCTTGAGATTCTGTTCTAACTTTAGCCACATATATGACTTTTAAAAATATGTACGCATATAGGTGTATCATTTTTAGAAATTGTTCTATTTAAAGTCAAGCACTAAAATTTATGAAAAAATAGGAAAGCCCTTTAACAAAGGGAAATATCAAGTCCAATAATATAAATACAGAAGCTTTTTTATATTCCTGCCTGGATTGAGCATCCATTTGCCAGGCAGGGTTAATGAATCCCAAACTATTTTTAAATGGGTAAAATGGGGCAAATAGCAATAATGGAATCAAAAGGGCACTTGCAATCATAAACCTCACTCATTCCAATTTGGTAGAGCAGCAGTCGGCCAGGCAAAATAAATGGATTAATTGAACTTGCCCAATGGGAGAGATGAAGTGGAAAAAGAATGGGTTGGACTATACTTATCTTAACCTAATAAGACAAGCCTAATAGTTTTTATTCAGCGAGATGCTGTTTTAGCTGTGCTTTGAACTGCTTATCAGTATATAAATTCATGTGTGATTATCGTTTTTAGAGATCTTGGGCTTTCTCTGGCAGAATGATTAAATGAGCCTACTCCCCTCATGCTATCATAAATTTCATATGCAACAACTTGAAAGGGAAGAAAAGATAAATTTTACAAAGGATAAAAGGAAAGGCAGCCGCCTCTCACACTCTAGGAGCCAATGTCCTCCTTCTCTTATTTCTGTAGCTTCAGCTTCTCACCTAGGAATGAGATATGGCTAAATGTGAATTGCCACTGGAGGAGTGGGAAGGAGGTGGCAAGCATGCACTCCCTAGGAAGCCGGGGAAGTGGGTGGGGCGGGGGGTGGGAGGGTGGGGCGAACGTAACAAAATCTGTTATCCCCCAAAATGATAATTCGAGCCTGCAATGTGGCACAAACGGGACACACCGGAAGGCAGCCCTAGCAAAGCAGGTCCTCAGTATAGGGAAGCAGCGTTCTGTCTAAGTGAAGAGCAATATTTTATCTGCACTGTCCAGGGAATGCTGCTGCTCATGCAGAAATACTTGAGGATGAAGAAGGAGGTAGATATTCTAAATCTACGAGTACAGGCAAGACTCTTAGCATGGACTTATTCTCTCTCAAGTTTTCAGGAGGAAGAAAAATGAAAGAAGCCCATCTTAGTAATATGCCTACATGAGCTCTGAAGTTAACCTGAAGGGAGCCTAGAAATCAACTGAGATATTTATTTGATTGTATATTATTACATTATTATCATAATACATCCTTATGGCTTTCAACCATAGCCTCCAATCCCATTTTTCTTTTTTTGGTTACGTGTGTGCACATCTGATATAAGTTTCCAAAATATCAGAACCGTCACTAATTTGCCTGCCTGTGCAATGTTGAAATGCTGCCTAGACTGTGGAAAGGAGCAAAACAAATGAATCAGAACGCACACCTTGAACTGATCCCTTACACATCAGAGTCTGAGACATGGTCACTTTTTCATGTATCGTCTTAAACTGCAAGCCATGTCGTCCAGTCTTCAAAAATGAGTATCTGCTCTAATTTATTCTGGGGGAAAATCTCTCAAAAGCTTATTGATTGAAGTAGGATTCTCGAATCATATGTTTTTGTTTCTCCTAAAGCATTTTTCAATCAAGCATGCAGCTATATCTTAGAACAAGGAGCAAAAGAGATGGAAGCTATCTCCTGCCTCTAATAAATGAGAGGAGGCTATTAGACTTTCCATGCTTAGGAAATTGTGAGCAAAGTGTTATTAGAGTAGATTGATTTGCTCTTACTTCCTCCTGGGTTATTTTCTATTTATGGTCAAACATCCTGATGTCTAGGACATTTGCTGTTTAGATGATATTCTGCTTTTCAATCAAAAAGGACGTTCTCTAAAGAGAATCTGCATTAAATATTCATCAAGGACAGAAATCATTTGGAAAACCTGAGGATTGAAGTACCAGGATCTTACTCATGATCCCAAGGTTTGACAGCGCCATATAATCTGAATTGAGCTGAATCCTTATTGAAATTCAGTCTCAAAGACAGGAAAGGTTACTAAACTTGTGAAGTCTCCCTAAGGCAAACAATCTCTCAGCGGAATATACAACTTTACACCATCCTTAACAGACTCCAGGGTGTAGCCGTGGTTAGGGGTGGGGCCTTGCTTTTTAATAGTCATCATTATCAGCATCTCAAGGATAGTGTAAAACTACACAGAGGTGAGTGGAGAAAGTTCAGAAAAAATGAATGCCATAGATAGGTAAAAAGGTTAGAAATCATGTAGCACTTGGTTCTCAGCCTGGAGTTAGGAACTCTCTTTTGGTGAATGCATTTCAACAAATATTCACAGAATGCCTAACTCCGGGATAGGAAGGGAGATGTAAATTGGTATCTTGCTGGGAAACAGATATGTAAGTAGCTCTGCAAATTCAAGGCCATATTTGCCTTAGGTGCATAGGGGAGGGAACAACTGATTCTGGTAAGAGACTCATTAAGGTATCCTCGAGGAGGTAGTATTTAATTCCAGGAAAAAAAGTTAACTCTGCTAATGCTAAATTCAGGAAATGGAGTCTGCACATCAATGCCTTGGGCTATGTAAATTAAGCCCAGGAAAAGCCCCACAGCCTTAGGGCAGGCCAATTCAGAGACACCACATAACTTCCATGGAGTGGTTATTGCACAACTAATATTTCAAGAATGTTTTAGCATCCTTCTTTTTATGCCAACTTATCTTTCAAGACTTTCAAGACACTTTGGCCATGCAAAGAGAATAAGCATTCTAAAGTGGTGTATGCCAAACTTTCCCCTAAAAATGAAAAAAATCAGGTTGAGCAGTCCTTTTCAGATATGCAGATGTGGGGTCTTTTGGAGAGAGTGCCTGGAGTGTTCTAGTTTTAGTTCAGATGTTTTAGACTTTGGGAAAAGCATCTCAGAACGGCAAAAGAAAGATTTGAAACGTTCTATAAAGATTGTCTTAGTTCATCTGGAAAAATTTTTTTAAAAATTAAAATAGAGAAATAAAAGAGAACAGAAAGAAATGGAAAAGAAAAAGTAATCCTTTGTATCTTCAACTCCCCTGTTTTTAGGTAGGCGATTTTCCCAGCAATCTCAAACAGAAACTAAGAATTGAGCTTAGATAAAAATAGAACCACCTCCTCACACTCCTAGCTACTAAAACATAATACTATTTAAGGAATAAGAGAAAGTAATATTCTGCCTCCCTGAAATCATGTCTCTATCCCTGCCCATCTCCTTAAGCTTCTAGGTCCCCACAAAAGCAACCTAGTTATTTTTGATAGAAGCTGTCAGCAAAAGAGTGGAGCCAAACGCAAGTTCTAACATGTACCGAGGTGAAATGTGCCAGATACTCTGCTTAGAGCTATCATTGTCATCATCATCAAATGTACATTACCTAATTTAATCTTTGTTAGCTTCCTTCTACTACTACTTTGATCTCTGTTTTACTGTAGAGGAACTTGAGGTACACAGTGGTTAAGTAGCTTGCTTGAGACACACAGGTATAAACGGCAGAGATGAAGTTAAAACCCAGGTCTACCTGATTTCAGAGTGTAAGTTCTTACGCATCACACTTCTCTTCCACCAGCATCTCTTACAATCATTATTTTTCTTTGAGAATTCCACAAAAAGAAAGGATCTAAGGAAACAAAGCAGCTCATTCTAAATGGATTGAGATTCTACTCAATGTCTTATTTCCTGAACTCACGGAGGCGTCAGCTTCCCATAGAGGTGAACCTTGAGAGGCTGGACCCTCTGAGGCTCATTTTACTCTCATAACTACTGTGAGAAATTATGAGGGAGCAGTTACTCTCCCCATTTGACAGCTGGGAAGCTGAGACACAGAACAGGTGACCTTAGAGCACTAGCATTATGAAGATAGGTCTAGAATTCAGAAGTAATGACTCCCAGATCCTGGTTCTGCCCACCTGACCAAATTGTCTCACAAACAAAGGAACACATTTGAGAGGTCATGCATTTGTCTACCCGTTATCCTTAGTGCCTAGAGCAGAGTAGAGGCTCAATAAACACTAGGAAGGAAGGAGGGAAGGAAGGAAGGATGGAAGGAAGGAAGGAAGGAAGGAAGGAAGGAAGGAAGGAAGGAAGGAAGGAAGGAAGGAAGGAAGGGAAAGGAAGGAAGGAAAGTAAAAAGGAGCCTGTGAGTGATTAACCAACCACTCAATCTTTTCAATCTTACTCGGCATCCCTATCCTTATCTTAAACGTGGAGAAACATTCTGGAAGGTCAGATGTCTCTTCCAGGGTCTCGTGACTGGTTGCTGGCTGAGCTAAGAGCACAACCCAGTGTTCGTGACTCCCACATCAGTGCTCTCTGCTTCTGTTCTCCCAAACTGGGGCAACCTAAAAAACTCTTGCTCCCTCAAATTAGTTGCGTGAATCATTCTAGTGTTAAAACATTCAGCACCAAATTGGACAAATGTGCAATTATACTTGCAGGGCTCCACATAAAAATAAATGGGTATAATAGAATATCAAGAAAGTGTAAACAGATGAGGGCTGGACTGACCAAACTAAAATCACTAACCTTTTTCCCATCCACTGTCCCCAGTAGAATGGAGCGAAGATTTCATGTGTGGCCTGATTGGGCCCTCGAGGAGAAAGTGCTCTCCGAGATGCCTCTGCCCTCAGCAGAACCTGCATTGTCACATCCCTATGCCCGAATAGCCATCTGCCTTTTATAATTTCATCTCACAAGAAATGGAGAAAGAATGCAGAAAAGAGCAAATAAATCATTAAAATACAGGCTAGTACAGACAAAAGCCTGTTTACAACCCATTTAAAGAAAATATTTTGAAATGTCTTTTGTAGTCTAGAATCTTGCTACTCAATGTATGTCCCTGAACCAGCTCAATATGTCAGGGAGCTTGTTAGAAATGAAAAGCCCAGGCTCTACCCTAGCCCTACTGAATCAGAATCTACATTTTACAAGATGATTCATGTGCAGAGGATTCATATGCACATTCCAGTTTGAAAAGTAGTGGTCTAGAAGCTTCAGATACTCGATAATGATGATATTTTTAGTTTGCCTAGATAGGCTGCTATAGATGCATTTTCTGAATATATTTATTTTAGAAACACTTATTTTAGAAACACTCCATTCTAGCACATTCCACATATTAATTTGTTTAACGCACATACTTCCTCAATGAGGTATTAACTGTTGTCATTGCTGTCTTACAAAGGAGAACGGAGGCACAGAACAGTCAGGACACTTGCCTGAGGCCCCACAGTTAGGGAATGAAATCACCAGCATTCCAGCCCAGAGTCTGTCTCCACAGTCTGCGCTGTCAAGGACTCCTGAGGCCACCCTGGGCCAGCCCTGTCCATACTACATCCTGACTTTGCCACTAAAGCCTATCAAAGTGTGCTCAAAGGCAAGGTAGGCTTTTGTGTCCTGGAGATTTAACTGCACACGTTCTCTAAAATGGTGAGTTTATAAAAGCTCACAGAAATCATTTTCAGCATTTTATTTTTCAGAAGCACTATTGAAATTTAATTGTTAAAATACTATTTTTTTAAAAGCACTTTGTTGGCCTCCACTAGTATCTCTCTCTTTCTTTCTTAGTTCAAAGTACATCAGTGGAAAATAAGCACCATGAGAGAGGTCCTAGCTTAGAATTTCTTCTGGGGGTACCATGAGCTTTACTTGAAAAACCAATTCATCCAAACTATAAGCAATGCCATTTTATACCCATTAACAGTCGCCCTGTAAAATGGAAGGCATTAACTGATTAGGCTTTCTAGAAATGAGGATTCTTAAGTATGAGTGATACAGATATCTTTGTTCCTTCTGTCCTGACCACCAACTCCTGCCCATGGTTCAGGTGGTATTTGGTTTATTTGAACAGTAAGGAGATGAGGGATGCCTTTTAAAGACTTCCCCGGCACAGAAGAATTTCTGTAAAGCTTGTAAAGGAATTATTTTCTCACACTAGATTATTATGCAGAATGTTAGATTTCAGAATTAAGAGCCCTTATTTCTCATCTCAAACCCATTCTAAATACTGTAGACCCTCTCCATAGAGATAGAAAAATGGAGAGAGAGTGAGTTTCCTTTTGAGCTGTGTTTCCCAACCTTTGTAAAGCCATGCTCTCTTCTGATGAACCTGAAAACCTCAACCCCCACCACCAAGATTCTTGCACATCTTCCCATGGGGCATCCCTCCCCAATTTCACTGATGAAGACTTTCTGATAGATAGTGCCAAAGAAGAAAATTTAGACTAGAAGATTTCCAAAGGTTTGCTTTCTGTGATTGGTGTTATAAAAACTGTAGACACGTTTATTTCCAAACATAAAATTACAGTATAATATGAAGTATGTGTATTCTGATTTCATGCAGGCCCCACCCCAGCCCTACCCCATGGAGACAGTGCTCCATTTCCTCATTCTGCCTAAAGCATCACTGGTAGATCAAGTCCACAGCTGGCCCATTCTTCTATCCCTCCATAACCCCTCAGGGCTCTTGTCATACTTTCTCCCTTTTTTCTTTTGGTCCTTCTTCATTTTCCATTTATAGGGCTAATTGTCCCCTTACTGATTTCTCTTTCTCTCTTTTCTCTCTCTAACTCCTTTTCAACTTTGCTACCATTATTGGAATGTAGAGTAAAGATGCTGGTATCAGGACTTTGGTTATGTTGGATGAACAAGGAGGTAAGTTCAGATTTCTTCAGTAAGAACAATTCCTCTTCTGAATAATGTGCATTTTAAAATTATTTGTGCATACGCAGATGGTCGCTTTGACATGTGTTACACATGTACACGAATGTGAGGGTTCTAGATTTTTCATCTTGCTTTTTTTCTTTCTCTGTTGAAAAGATTGGTAAATGTATGGAAATGTTGAGGCCTTCTTCATGAGTGAATCAATGATACCACTATCTCTGTTATATATGTTGGGGTAACTGAATTTTGAAGGCAAAAGCCATTTTTTTTAAATGATAGTATTTTGGACAGTGTAAGAATTTTCTTATTATCTTTGCCCCTAAACTTTCCCAATAAATTTGATTTTCTTCTAACAATACGTAGATAGAATGAGCGTATGGCATATCATGTTGTCTACTTCTTTTGACCATCCCAACTCAGTATCTAGTAGTTTTGGGTATTTCTTAAATACCTGGGAGCTGTTTTTCACAGAATATAACCTGAGGGAAATTATCTGGAAAATACAACATTGAACCAATTGAAATATTTGGCCTGTTTTAAAGATTATTACAGAAATGCTAGAAGCAAGGAAAATCAGAGAGCCAGCATTTTAATATAGCATCTCTATACCTAACATGGAAACTGAAAAGGGTAATACCATCATTTTTCTTCATCTCAATGTATCTAGCCCTATGGTGAGATTGTACATAATTCTAGCCACTAGTCAGTTACCTGATTCCGTTCTGAATTCTTATCATAATAAACAGATTTCTGCAAAGTTTTTTTCTTTTTATTCATATTTTGTAAAAGCATTAGAAAATTTTTTGGAGTCATGACTATTTTTTTTATGGCAAAGATAAAAATGTACAATGTATTCACAACACAGGAAACCTTAAATAAACTCTAAGCATAAATCTCAAGCTGTGGGGGGGAACGTGCCTGACAGATAACAGAGAGAAGGCACTTCTCCTAAAATTCAGAGAGCCCTTGCATATCAAAGAAAAGGGCAGCAACCTAAAGGAAAAATGGATGTAAAATAAGACGTCATCACAGATGTATGAAACCATGCTCTAATCACCAACAATGACAAGATACCACTTTTTAGAGCAGACTGGCATAAATTTTAAAAAATGATAATAACCAGTGTTGTGAATATGTTGGGAAAACAGAAACTCCTATTCCACAGTTAGGCACTGTAACCTGATACAAATGTCTTAAAGAATAATTTGAAAATATCTTCACATTTTAAAGGGCACTCATCTTTGACCAAGACACTCCACTCCTAGAATTTTACAGTGCAGATATACATTTACAGTTATATGAAGTAAAATGCATGTGGCTTACTCATAATAGTGTAAGACTAGAAACAACTTAAGTATCTGTCGGTGGGGAGACCAACCCAATTAATTGTGGTACGGCCATAAAAGAATTGTTCTGCCACCAATATAATACATGAGGTAGATCTTTATTTACTGACTTCTGTGGAGTTGGGGTGGGAGCAAGAAGGGACTGGAGGAAGATGCCTCATTTGGGGTCCCCTGGGGAGCAAATGCCAGGAAGCAATTAGAAGCAAAAGAGATTTGTTGGGGAAATGTCTGTGATAGGTCAAGGGGAGAGCTGCCGGGAGCAGGCAGAGGCAGCCTTCAGACTATGAAGCAGGTCTGATGCCTATAAAAGTAGATGGGTACTGCTCTGAGAAGCCCTCGGCCAGGCCAATGGGGAGCCCGAGAGCAAAGATTGCTGATTAGAGGAGCCCTGTGTTGGGCAGAAATGTTCTAGCACTAGTAGCCCATTGTGCTCAGCCATTGGCTTGAAGCATCCCAGGAAGAGCCTGGCCTCAATGTAAACACTGTGGCAGCCTACATAGGTGCACAGCTGGAGGCATCTGGCTGTCACATAAAGGCTTTCGGTTTTACATTATTTATTTGTATTAAACTTTTTCAATAAATATATACCAATTGATCCAAAAAATGGAGAAAAAAGTTTGAAAAAAAAGTTGAACATAAACCCCAACATTTTTCCTTCAATTTTCACAATACAAATTGTCAAAAGTTGTACACAAATAACAAAGTCTACTAGAGTTCCATGTTGAAGATACTGCAGTAGCAATGGAAGTCTTAAGAACTCCCCCAATGGGTTTGTTATTATTACGTGACTTGTTGGCTGGATCTGTGTAACAATGTCCCAGGCTTTGAAACTGAGGATGCAGCAAGTCATTGCTTTTAAAAAAAATAACTAAACAACAGGTGCCCAATAGAAGAGTGGTACCTGATTTCCGGTGCAAAATTGAAACCTATACACTCAAACCTAGGCATTATCATTCAGGACATAGGCATGGGCAAGGACTTCATGTCCAAAACACCAAAAGCAAGGCAACAAAAGCCAAAATTGACAAATGGGATCTCATTAAACTAAAGAGCTTCTGCACAGCAAAAGAAACTACCATCAGAGTGAACAGGCAACCTACAAAATGGGAGAAAATTTTTGCAACCTACTCATCTGACAAAGGGCTAATATCCAGAATCTACAATGAACTCAAACAAATTTACAAGAAAAAAACAAATAACCCCATCAAAAAGTGGGTGAAGGACATGAACAGACACTTCTCAAAAGAAGACATTTATGCAGCCAAAAAACACATGAAAAAATGCTCACCATCACTGGCTATCAGAGAAATGCAAATCAAAACCACAATGAGATACCATCTCACACCAGTTAGAATGGCGATCATTAAAAAGTCAGGAAACAACAGGTGCTGGAGAGGATGTGGAGAAATAGGAACACTTTTACACTGTTGGTAGGACTGTAAACTAGTTCAACCATTGTGGAAGTCAGTGTGGCGATTCCTCAGGGATCTAGAACTAGAAATACCATTTGACCCAGCCGTCCCATTACTGGGTATATACCCAAAGGACTATAAATCATGCTGCTATAAAGACACATGCACACATATGTTTATTGCAGCACTATTCACAATAGCAAAGACTTGGAACCAACCCAAATGTCCAACAATGATAGACTGGATTAAGAAAATGTGGCACATATACACCATGGAATACTATGCAGCCATAAAAAATGATGAGTTCGTGTCCTTTGTAGGGACATGGATGAAATTGGAAATCATCATTCTCAGTAAACTATTGCAAGACCAAAAAATCAAACACCGCATATTCTCACTCATAGATGGGAATTGAACAATGAGAACACATGGACACAGGAAGGGGAACATCACACTCTGGGGACTCTTGTGGGGTGGGGGGAGAGGGGAGGGATAGCTTTAGGAGATATACCTAATGCTAAATGATGAGTTAATGGGTGCAACACACCAGCATGGCACATGTATACATATGTAACTAACCTGCACATTGTGCACATGTACCCTAAAACTTAAAGTATAATAATAATAAAATAAAAAAATTTAAAAAATAAATAAATAAACATATACACTCAAATAATTAGCAGTTTCACCTTATTTATTTTTTAAGTTAATAATTTGTAACTTCATGTGGGTGGAAAAAGAGACATTACAATGGAGGGTAGACTTAGGAAAGATTTAGAATAGAGCCTTTTCCCCCCGAACAATAAAGCAGTGACATAAAGACATGGAAAATAATATATACAAACCTGGAATGAAAAAGAGAAAACATGAATAACAGGCTTACATGAGTGATAAATTGCATTGTACTTTGATGAAGAAAATCTAGAGATATAATTTGCTGAAATCTTCATAAAAATGCAAAAATATATCTTCTTTAGCACAAATTATCTCCAGAATCACCTATGTACTATTCTCCGAGAAACAAAGCAGAATAGAATGTCTGTTTGACAGATTTCCCCATGAGACAGTTAATGTTCTCGGCTAAGACATTTCAATTATAGCCATACCACAGTAAATGCTGAATTCCTCAGTTAAACAAGGATAGACTGGGTTTTACCAGATGTGTGGTGAGTAGATAGACACTGATGAGAAACACGCAACTGTAAAACCCCCGAAAGTAGGTGGTTTCTGGCCGGTCTTAAATGGTACACATTTCATTTATAGTATAATAGGAACTTAGGACCTTTTTTTTTTTTTTAATTAGGCAGTAGAGACACAGAAGGACCTTTCTAATTGACAGATGAGCATGTCAACAGCTATCTTAACTGCCATATAAGTGCATTTTAATTTTGCCTTTACTTGTTTAGATCAGTAACTGCTTTGAAATTTCTCTTCATTTATGCTCTACTAATTTTGTTTATGCGTGAGCACCAAAAGTGTTGACTATTTCTACCTCACAGCAGCACGGGAGCCTCAAGAAACAGCCATTCTTCTAAAGAACCATCTCAACCACTGTTGGGTCAGGCCAGGCCATTCCAGGTTGTCCAGTTAAATGATTGCACTAGGAAATTTCCTATGGGATTCTTGCTTTATACCCAGGTATCGGGAGACACCAAGGAGCACTGAGCATGACAACCAGACCTGGAAACGTACTGAGCCCTGGAACTTTCATTCCTCTAGAAAATTTGTCACCAAGGGAAGTCCCCAAATGACCCTGGCACTAATGTGGGCTTTTACCTGCATATCTCTTGTTCCTTTTGCTGGTCTTTGCTGAGTTGTATGTCTGTTTTGATGCTGAAGATGTGACTTTTGGGAAAATCTCCTGGGATCAGCTCCAAACTAAACAGTGAAATATTTGACTACTGTCTGACAGAAGAAAGACAAAGTAAATTCCTGTCCGGAGAGTCAGCTATCTTAAAAGGTTCATGGCACTACAAGGTGGCATCTGAAAAACCATCTCTCTAGCTAAAGTCCATTCACCAATATCTGTTATGAATGACTAAGGCTGTACTTAGTCATGATAGCCACATAGGGCTATTTAAATTTAAATAAATTTCTATATGTTCATAAATGCTAAGAAAAATGAAATTCATAGAGGCAGCATCTTGTAACTGGATATACTCATGAAGGCTGCATACTAGATTAATAGTATTAATGCTTACTATTCTTCTACTGATTTTTACTAGATTGAGAATACTAAGGGCCCCATGTTGGCTTACTTAGGAGAGATTAGTAGAAATTTTGTTTTCACCAGTCATTGGAAAAATATTAATGGAAAACATTAATATAGATCCTTGAGGATTCTGTCATTGGTGGATCTATCACAAATAACCAGTGATCCAATATCATGGCAAAAGAAAGCCCAAGCTCTGGCCCCAACATATAGTGTCACCTACCTGAAGACCCCCTCCCTACTCAAAATGTTATTCTCCTCCCAGCCCCCAAGAATAAACAGAAATGAGCCAGAAAACAAGCTTAGGGAGATCAAAAGCAGTCAACACTGGATGGTGCGTTGCATCAGCCTCAGAGATGCTGCTGTTCATCCCAGAATGAGATGCTTATAAGCATTTCCTGAGAAGCATCTTCACAGAAATCATTGAAGTGCCATGAAGTCCCAATATGCCAAACATCTCCACAAACATAACTCAGTACACTCTAAAAATTAATATTATTGCTAGAATTTCTGCAACAAAATGACTCCACAATATTTTTTAAATTAAAGGTTTGACTTAGAATTCTTATGTAAATATATATTCAACTGATATTGGTAGTTATAAAATAGTGTTCTGAATCAACTATTTTCTGAATAGTTTTCTGAATCAAATTCAGCTTCAGAGTTTTCTCTTTTAGTCAAAACTTTGCCAAATTAAGCTGGTAACCGATGGCAGAGCCCAGCTTTCTGAAATATGGATTTAGACGTGCCTGTTTGTTTTTCCCTTTTTAATATCAATTATCTAATTCATAGGTCCAATACCTGTGCACCAATTCACATATATATGTTACCTCCTAATCTCTGGAAGCACAGTGGATGGGTCCCTAATATCTTGTCAGAGAGTTAATATTTTGGCCAAAAAAAAAAAAAATTATCAACTCGCTTTGTAACTTAGGAGAAACTCCTCAAGAAAGACAAATAATTGCATATGTGTCCCCACGCCATAATCTATGCTTATTTCAGCTGTCATTAGCTGGGGGCAGCATCTCTCCTTCTGAGTCCAGATGCCTCCTCCAATCCATCTCAAGCCTGCATTCCCAGAGGCCATTAGCAATTACTTGATTGGGATTTGGCATCCCTATTGTCTGTATATATAATGGTTCTTCATCTGATGATGAGTTCCTTTCCCCACACCAGTCCCTCCACTTGAATATTTACCTTGATCTACAGACTAATTTATTGCATTCTTAAAAGGAAACTGGAGTGAAATCCTTAGAAAAGAAAAAAATCTTCTTGAATGTAGGGGATTGCCATATATATAGCCTTTTAAAAATTTTTTTTAATTGTAATTTTTATTTTTGGGACGGAGTTTCGCTCTTGTTGCCCAAGCTGGAATGCAATAGTGCAATCTCAGCTCACTGCAACCTCCACCTCCCAGGTTCAAGCAATTCTCCTGCCTCAGCCTCCCAAGTAGCTGGGATTACAGGCGCATGCCACCACGCCCAGAAATTTTTTTTGTATTTTTAGTAGAAACATGGTTTTACCATGTTAGCCAGGCTGGTCTCAAACTCTGGACCTCTGGTGATCTGCCTGCCTTGGCCTCCCTAAGTGCTGGGATCACAGGCATGAGCCACCACACCCAGCTATATTTGCGGATTTTTTTTTTTAAGCCATCACTGTGCCTGTATTTATTCGGCAAAAGTTCTCCTGCACTACCTTATTATCTCCTCCAGGTATTCAATGCTGGATAAACAATGAAATTTTGTTTTCACCTGTCATTTCAAAAGCATAAGAGAAATAGCAGATTCCTCATGAACTGAATTCTGTTCTTTAGCCTCACGAAAGAAAACACAGTAGGCTTTTATTTTCCAAATTCACAGTCTGGCAGTTTGGGTCACTAGTGAATGTATCTTAGTTTTTTTGGAAGCACAATTTCCACTGTATAACTTAATGTGAAATTGTGTTTAAGTGATAATGTATGCCCTTAGGCTGGAAATGTACTTATCAGTTGTATTCTAGGCATGCCTTTATTCCAGGAGGCACAGGCATGCATGCATGAAAATACAGATGAAAAGAGGAATGGAAATGTAATTAGGTTTTGTAATTAGCCAGCGAAGACATCCATTGCTGCCTTCCTTTAATGGTCTTTTAAAGCTGTTTTAAAAATCCTTTCATTGAACTTGTAGTTATCTCAATTTGGTGATACAATTCAAAAAAATTAATCAAGTTGGTGTATGTAACCTTGGCAACCTAGAAGTATGATTCATTTTTATGACTATTGATCTATGTACTTAGATACACTAAGGTCAGCTATGCTGGCAGCAGTGACACCATATTGTCCTATGTTCCAATTCATAATCCTACTTCCAAAGAGACATTCATTCTCCCTGCTCTCTGCCTGGGCTTGGAGCATGACCCCCATTATAGACTTGGAAATCAGGGGGCAGAGAAGTGAAATGCCTTCCAAAACATTCATAGCAATTAAGTCATAGGATGATAGAGGAATTGCAATGTTCCAGGACTTACAATGTTGCTGTGTGGATGTTACTCTTTTTTTAAAAAACAGCTTTTACGAATTACATATGCACAATCAAGTGCAGACCATGGCTACCTCTGGCTAGACTGCCACTGCTAGGGGAAGAAAAGACATCCATACCCATTGCTTATGATTGCTGCTGCTGCTGTTGTCTCCAAAGAAGAAAATGGATTCTATTTTCTACCCTTATCTGGTTGAGGATGCTTAAAAACCAAAAGATGGAGATATTTTAAAGTTGAAGCAGATCCTTTCCTTAGTAGCGTTAAACTGGAATGCCTAAAACATAAACTAACACCCTGTTTTTTTTTCTCCTGGATTTCACTGGTGCCTGAGTAAGCGAATATGCTGTGCTGTTTTCCTGGACACTCAGAATCAAACAGGCCTTCCACCCCATCCCATCATGTTGAATTACAAAGTATTTTGAGCATCGTTTGGTTTGTTTCTTTCCACCCATACCTGTGTAGGGCAGCGGTAGCAGTCTTCAACAATGCATCCTCTTGGACAATGCATTGTAATATCTCTCTTTCAAATTCTGTTTCACATAGTCATTTCTCATGTTCTGTTGGAGACCCCCAAAAAATTCATTCCACACTGTCATCCCTTTGTCCTAACCAGAACAACTCGATCGTGTCGAAGAAGGCATGAACCATATCAACCAAGACATGAAGGAGGCTGAGAAAAATTTAAAAGATTTAGGGAAATGCTGTGGCCTTTTCATATGTCCTTGTAACAAGTAGGTACTGGGTACCAGCTCTAATCTGTGGCGTCCAGTTTTCTTTCTTTTTTTTTTTTTCTTTTTTAATGTCAAAGTGAATGTCTGAAGTTTTGTCTTTTTTTCTTTGTCCTTTTCCATCTGCTTCATTCTGTGGGGATAAAATACTTGTGTTTAATCAGAACAACTGGAACGCATTGAGGAAGGGATGGACCAAATCAATAAGGACATGAAAGAAGCAGAAAAGAATTTGACGGACCTAGGAAAATTCTGCGGGCTTTGTGTGTGTCCCTGTAACAAGTAGGTGCTGCCTGCCTGCCTGAAGCTTTGATTTCCCAAGGCCCATCTCCAAGCCTTGACAAGCTCATTCCTGCCAAGCTCATAGGCAGGATGAGCATGTGGCATGCAGAACAGATCAATACCGTCTCCAATG
This sequence comes from Homo sapiens, assembly GCF_000001405.40. Taxonomy (NCBI): domain Eukaryota; kingdom Metazoa; phylum Chordata; class Mammalia; order Primates; family Hominidae; genus Homo; species Homo sapiens. The sequence continues at coordinate 10,293,412 of NC_000020.11, forward strand.
CATTCATCTCATAGCATAGATGATATTAGCAGGAGTTACTGTTGATGCATTAAAAATCAGGCATACTACAGTGAAAGCTTCACTGTCAGCAACTTTTATTGATGAACGTTTCAACATTTTCCAGAAAGTGTACCTTGAGACAGAGGCTAGCCTCAAGAAAGAGGCACCCAGGGAACTTCCTTTTCCCCAACCCCAAGAGTCAAAATTACAGATTTAGAAAAGGCTGCGGGTAAGTTTGGAAGATGAGAAACACATATGCGAAGGTTTGATTTTTTCCAAAATAAAAGAGACAGGTAATTTGGCCCAGGGAAGGATTCTATAAATTAGAGAATATGACAGAGATTCTCCCTTTCTACTGCCCACCAGTTGCCAAATTTTGTCAATAGATGCTGCCACTGCACCCAACACAGAGGCAATGAGCTCTTCAGCAAGAAGTGCTCAAGCCTTACTCAAATTGGACCCATCCCTCCCAAATTTTTCTCCTTGGAAGATCTACCCGTACACTGGCTGAAATGTTGAAATGTGTAGATTTTGCATGCACAACATCACAAAACATTCAACTGTTCTCAAGGTTCTGCAACGCTTTTTTGGAATGTAGCAGAAATGTGACATGTGGTTATAAAGGTTTGCAATGGAAGGAACCTAAAACTGAGGGTTCTGGAAGATTGTCTCATTTGACTAGTGGTGGAAAAAGAAATGCATGAGTGGATTGCCCAACATGCATTTGGAAAATTAAACTCCTTATCCAATCTCCCTCACCCCTCCCACTTCCCCCTTCTAAAAGAAGACTTTTTCCTAAAAGCTCTCCTGATCCTAGCTTTTAGAATAGAAATTGACGTCATTTTTAGCAGATTATATGACCATTCACATCCTTTAAACTTTGAGGCTGATTTAAAATATCCCACTTCCTGTTTAGGAGGGGGAGGGGCTCATATTGCAAAAAAATTAAAAAATTCTGCTTTTTAAAGAGTGATCTACAGTAAAGCCTGATTAACTGGAATCTAGCTAACTGGAAACCTCAGCTGCATGCTCTTGCTCCCTTCCATTTTTAGCAAAAAAGAAACAAAGAAAAAAAATCACATCAGAAATGTAAAATGGTTTTTCTTCCAGGGTAGTTTGCATTGTCTCACTTAGTCTCCATCCTCCTGCAACTTCCACATCTATGAGGACCAAACAATAAGAGTTGATCTTCACAGAAAAGGCCATCAAGCAATCAGTATAAATGATAACCAAGGAAAGATTCAATCAGGTCTTCTACCTTAAGACTTTCAGGCAGGAAAGTGGCTCAGGAGTCTAGCAAAGATATTCACTCATCATCCATGAAACAAAACTTTCCTCCATGGCCCCACTGTTCATTAAGAAAGTCATATAATTCATCAGAAAAAAAAAAAAAAAGCCTCATTACCAAGCATTCCAGTTAGTCAAGATTTGACTGTATATTCCTTTCAGTGGCAACTTGCCCCCAGGTGAGATTTCCATCCATTTCATGATAAATTCCAACAGATACATTTTCCCCCCTTCATCAACTGTGTGTGAAGAAAGGGTGAAGGCAGGGTCCCCTGGGATGGATTCTGATGTTCTAATGAAATGATGGCTCCTACGAATTCCACTTTTGAGTGGTCACTAATTTCCTTAATGCACAAGAGACCCTAAACTAAGCTTCAAAGCTTGACTGAGGTGTTCCCTATTGTGTGTAAATAATGCTTTAAAAACCATGTGTCACAACGCAGTGGCTGGTGGTGCCCTGGACTCTCTGAGGGCTTCGCCCTGTCTCGGCATGTTTCAAGGGACGATGGTAGATGTACGGCAGTGATGTGAGTCTATGTGCAGCATTGTGGGTGCAGTGGTTTGCCTTCTTTCAGAAACGCATACTTCCCACTCCTTTGACTTTGCCAAAGATGGTATAGCAGACATTTGACATAGCAGAAAACATCACAAAGTCCATATAACTTCTTTTAATCTGAGGAGGGAGGAGATGGGGAGTTGGAAAAATAAAAATTAAAAAAGCCAGACTCTAAGCCCTATTAAATTTAGTTTGGGGATCTCGTTTCATTGAATGGGTCCATGGCCCTTTGGTGCAATTAATTTTGACTGCACTAAGGCCTGCGGCATTATAGACTTGATTGTGGGAGTTGCTGAAATTCCATTGGTACAATTTTCCAGTTTGTCTCTAGGGTTGCTTGGCCCCCAGTCTGCAAGTATTAGAGCCAGTTTTAATAGATGGCTGTGGTCCTCTGGCGAAAGAAGAAGATAAAATGTTAAATTCTGGTGTCTTACAAAAAAAAATGTGAAAATGGGACCAAAGAATGTCTCTTGTTTTTGGACTAAAAAGCATATGGTTTCTACTATGTAAAGAACCTAAAAACATCTTTGATTGCCTTTAATTACAACACTCACCAAAATATGCTGCACATGTTTCTATTGGGCACAATAGGTATGCCTGGATTTTAAGTCTTTTCTCCAAGGCAGCTCAGTGAAATACAGCCCATGGAGACCATACCAGCATTAAACCACTCTCCTCCATTACAACCCCAGGATAGTTTAAACTAGGAGTTTGTAAGCACTCTCTGCCCTGCCCCTCAGCCCAACAAAGAAGCTACTGAACCTGCGTTTCAAATCCTCATGAAGGCTATTACTGTCCTGCTAGTGCCTTTTTCGAGAATGGTCAACTTCTGGAGTAGTTTGGCTTAAATGAGAATGCTTCACTTTCTACTCATGCCTGTAGCTGGTGCATGAAGAAGACGTAGAGGGGTTTCCCTTTTTGGTGCTAGATGGCTTGTTCTCTCTTCTCTTTTCCTGCATTCATTTCACTATGCTTCTTTTACTTTTTGTCTCTGTGGACAAAGGTTTGTACATCAACTCTGGATGTATGGTGACTGTTTGGAAGTACCGATATATTATCTAATTCAAATCACTCTAGAGGCAATGCAAAGACCATCACTCTTGGCCAACCACCAATCCTTTATGTCCTTCATGGAGCTTTGGAAATGTTAGTTCCACACGTGTTGGGAAAAAAAAATATTCCACAGGGATCTTTGCATGATGGTGTGTAAAAACTTGGTTGAGGATGTTTTCTTGATGACAGTGTGTTGCTGTGGTGTGATGTGCACACTCTACTTGGCAGTCTTGTTTTGTGTCTGTCTGCCAGTATGTTTTTCTCTGTTTTATGTCTCCAAATATAATCACATCACTAAAATAGAATTAAATGTCCTCCAGCTACCTTAATCCTTGTCCAAAATCCAAACTAAACCACAAAACAAACCAAAACAAGAACAACCTTGTGGGCAAAGATTGCAGTCCATTGCAATGGATTCGATTGGAAGTGAAATGTTGAGTAGCTGAGGCATGGTGGTGGCCAACTGTTTGGGTCTGGATTATGATATATCGGTATTATCTAATGCCTCGACTTAAAACTCATTCGCTTGGTTCGATTCTTCGCTTGAAGAAGTGACAATTGTTGAGAGCTTGCTCCTCCACCCCTGTGCCTTGTCACTCACCCTCTCTTTTGCATAGGCTTAAATCAAGTGATGCTTACAAAAAAGCCTGGGGCAATAATCAGGACGGAGTGGTGGCCAGCCAGCCTGCTCGTGTAGTGGACGAACGGGAGCAGATGGCCATCAGTGGCGGCTTCATCCGCAGGTGAGCCTCATGCAGCATACACTGTAGCAGTTCTCTATTGTCAAGTACAAACAACTCCAAAACTGAGTGGTTTTCTAAAAAACAACCATTTTATTGCTCATTAATCTACATACCTGCTAAGTGTTCTTTTCTAAGCCTTTCCTGGACCTTGCCTGGGTGGGGTGATCCAAGATGGCCCCATTCACTTGTCTGGTGGTTGGCTGGGGCTGTTGGTGGGGCATGTCTGTTCTTCTCCATGTGGCCTCTTCAGCAAGAGAGCCCAGGTTCCTTACATGGTGGTAGCAGTATTCCAAGGGGGCAAGCCTCAGTGCACTTACCAAACCTTTGCTTGCTTACCTTGTATTTGCCGGTTTCATTAGACAAAGCAAGTCACATGACCACATCCAGACTCAATGTGGCAGTAGACAGGCATCACATTCCATGAGTTTAATTGAATAGAGCTTATAAAAGAGACTACTTACAGAGGGGTGGGCAGGACTAATAACAAGGAATGGTGAAGCACTTCTGAGCTAGCAATAGCAGGAAGTTGTTACCACCATAGTCCTGGGGGACAGGAGAAGGAATGATTATCAGAACCCAGCAATAGTTACGACTGTGGGCAAGGAACTATCAGTAGAGAAATACAGCCACTACCAAAGCTAACAGGGAGTGAAAGAGGGAAATAAATGCTGTAGCCCCTCACTCCTCTTGCCCTGCAGTTTCATTGGCCATTAGCCAAAGCCTACTGAAAGCCAGAGGGTAAGAGGAGCTGGGTGATATAGTCATGAGGTCAGCTCCTGAGAGCACAGAGCAAAGAAGGTCCAAGAACGGATTTGGAGTGAAAATAGAGAATAATGAGCTTCTTATTAATGATTTATTTTGAAACCTAGAATCAAAAGCCAATTTAAATATCTATTTTTAAAAGTTCAAATTATGACTCAGGGGCATTTCCTTTAAAAAAAAAAAAAACTCAAGTTACACACATCAGCCAATTCAGAACTCAGCTCTCCCTTTGCTCCCAGGGAAAGTAGCCCAAGGGTTCTCAAGCCTGGCTGTACATTAGAATCACCAGGGGAGACTTTTTTTTCTTTTACTACCAGTGTTTGGGCCCAATCCACACCAATTGAACCAGAATCTCTTGAAGTGAGACACAAGCACCTGTGGCCCATTAAAGCTCCTCAGGTGATTCTGATATGCACTCAGGGCCAAGCACCATTGAACTAGAAGTATCTCTTAGCTATTGATGATCATTTAAATAAACTTCTTCCCTACAGGAAAAAGCCAGAAAGTTCTCCTTTAGTTTTTTAATTTTCTCTGCCCTGGGCTGCTTTTGAAACCATAATGAGCCAGTCTGCATTGGGAGTTACCATGGGGGAAGGATTTTAACCCTTCTGAATATTTTTTAGCTCAATACCATATATACTAGGGAAATTCTGAAATAAGTACCTCCTTAACTTTCAAGTTGGACTGTGAAAAAATGTAATGTGTTTTGTGAGCCAGCTCCTTCCTCCCATTCCCATTCCACTCAACCTGAAACAATACTCTTTTGTCACAGTTTCACAGTTTTTGACTCTGAAATCACCTATGCACCATGCCACTAAAAAACCCATGTTATTAACATATGAGTAAATAAAAATCATCTTGAACAAGTAGCTCTCCTTGGAGTTCCTGGGAGCAAGCAGGGTTAAGGGGCAAACTGTAATTATCATTACTCTTCCCATTGGTGTCAATCCCAAGTGTGAAAAGAGATGAGCACAGAGACTCTGACTTAGCACAATAAGCTTTTTATTGTATTCTTAATTTGAGTCTTAGAAATTTTGAGACTTAATTTGAGTCTTAGAAATATTAAGAATATTCTTAGAAAGAAGAATATCGTTTCTAATTCCATCTTCGTGCTCTGACCTAAAGTCCTTTCAAAGAAAATGTTTTCATCCTTAAACAATAAAAATTGAAATAAACATATGAAGGGGAAACAACATAATGGAAGGAGTGAGAAAGTAGATAAATTAATCTATTTAATATACCTTCTTTAAGAATAGAAATTCAAGGGTTCAAAAAGCAATTTTAAACATTTTTTTTAAATGTATGAAAGCTAAAATGTGTTTTTGTACTGGATGGAGATTAAAGATAGATAAAGTTGATGCCCAGAGGACGACAGATTTCCACTATGCTTTGGGTCCTTGGTATTCAATATGTTTTCCACCCTCTGTCTTCTAAAACTTGCTCTTTGGATCCCAGGGTAACAAATGATGCCCGAGAAAATGAAATGGATGAAAACCTAGAGCAGGTGAGCGGCATCATCGGGAACCTCCGTCACATGGCCCTGGATATGGGCAATGAGATCGATACACAGAATCGCCAGATCGACAGGATCATGGAGAAGGTGAGCACGTGGCAGTCAGCAAGTCCCTACTGCGAGTCACTTCTGAAATGACCAACAGGAAGTGTGAAGGGCATAACAAGATCCTCAAAACACGACCTTGGATTCAGGCGCACTGATAGCTGGAAATGTTCTTCATTTTCCAAGAGAAAAATATAGGACTCAGCAACAGAATTGGAGTGAAAATAAGAGGGTCAAATTTAATCCAGCAAATATTCTCAAAGGCTCCTGTCAGCCAGGCATTGTGCTAGGCACTGTGGGCCATGTACACATGAGAAAGACACCACCCCTACTGCCAAGAAATTCACGGCCTATGGGAGGCTACGAGCCTCCAGATGAATTTTCTATCACTCAAAATATAATTCACTAAGAGATCCACAGATAAAATGCTAAACAAGGTTAGATAAGGAAAGATCTCAAGAGGCAAAGTTCGGGAAAATCTCAGAATAAGTTGACTTTGAATTGAATCTTGAAGGATGGTTAGTATTAATAGTTTGTCAAGTGGAGGTGGTGAAGGGATAGAATCAGAAAATGGGAGAAAGAATAGTCAGTATAGCCAGGACATGATTATGAGCTTTGCTTTTATAAATGCCAAAGCTTTAATGAGAATTCAAAAATATCCAGGTTCCATTTCCAGTTTAACAGTTCACATCCCCAGTTCTAAAAACAGGGAATTTTATATGATGAAATTGAGTTTACACAAGGACACCAGACTTGGCTCTAAGATCCACCATGTCAACGTGGGCCATAAGAAAGACTGGAGGGAGTAGACTGGGAAGGGGTGGGTTTGGGGGCTTAAAATTAGAAGAGATTGGAAAGAAACACTGGAACGTTCCTATAAAGAGACCTAGGGCACCAAAACCTGATATTCTACAACACAGAACTCCGACATAATTTATATTTCCATGTTTCATGCCCTTTCCTCAATCAGTAGGGTCTTGAATATTGATTACAAACTCTTATGTCCAAATGCTAAAAAGGAGAAAAAGAGACATTATAGATTTAACGATAATTGTACATCTATAATCTACTCAATGTGGGTAACTTATGTTGTGTGTTTATTCCCTGGGAGACGTTGAAGTTCTTTGTCTGATATCCTAAATTTTCTTATAATAATTCATTCCATTTTGGTGAGCAGAGAAGGATACTTTTAAGATTTTTAGAATCATAAATCTAAATAGTAGTTTCTTGGTATGCAAGCAACCTCCAATGACTTGAAAAAGGAGTAAGTAGGCATAAAGGGAACACTTTGTCCTGTTGTGTTGTACATACTCCATGTTAAAAATATCTGATTGCATATTTTGCCTGATCAGTATGAAAACTACGCAAACTTTAGTGTTGGTTGGCAAAATACTTGTGCTTTGCTTACTTTTGCAAGTAATGGCATGCTTATCGTTGTTAAGAAGGCTTTCATATGATAAAGCTTTTAAAGCTGTGTAAATCAATAGATATTAGAATAATAATGAGAGTTTCAAAACTCACTAGAGCCAACACAAGCTGACCTAACCCATTACGGCCCAGAATAATGAACTAAAAAATCATTGCTGAGCTGCCCTCCAACAGAAAAAACAATTTGAAAAAAACAGGAAGTATTCATTTTCTATTAATGGACCCACTTTACTTGCAGATGCAGCTAGATAATGCATCAAAGCCAATTAGGGTTCCAGAAGGAGCGTCTTTACTAATAGAAGGGTCAAACTCTTATTGACAGAGTTGAACTTTAAGCAAGAAAATGTGTTCCTGGAAAGGCAAGTGGCATCTTGATTCTGCCACTTTGAATTTCTAGTTCTCATCTTTAGGGAGAAGGTTTTTCTTCTACGCCCAGTGTACTATAAAGACAGAGACATATGCAGCTACAAGGTTTAATCAGAAGCCAGGCAGGTGGATGGATAATGACTATTTCAATTTGTATCATTCCTTGAGTGCAGAATCATTTAAGTGGGAGAAGGGTCTAATTGCCTTTGAATAACTAGTTTCCAGTCAGCACTTTAAATAGCCCCTTTTTTTTCCAGAATCAAAATCCACACATGATTTAAATAGAGCCCACTTCAACCCAGCATTGCCCCAAATGATCATGTCGCATGAACTGCACAATTATTAATAGATTTCCACCTTCTCATTGAAGTTCTCATTTCTGATAACGGGACAGTATGTGGAAGTTTCCTGCATATCTAAGATGTAATTGCAATCACACTGTAGGGGTAAGGAGAGTCTTATGATGTTTCTCTCATAATCTCTCATGACCCCAACAGCAACCTTTACCCAGCTCTATCAATCATGATCTTTTCTCATCACTTGGATCAATAGTGAAGTTTTGGGAGTCCTTAACAATGAGATTTTCAATACATCCTCATGGATTGTCAAGAAATTACTTTATTTAAAAATCTCGTTTTCTGCTTAAGGGTATTTATGTATATAAATAATAACCTTATATATATAAATAAATAACTATATATATTATATAATATATAATATATATATTATATGTATATGGTTATTATATATATATAAAAACCATATATAAAAATAACCATATATAGATATACCTTCTAAGGTTAAAAACATAATTTTTTCAGAAAACTTACTGAATTGGAAGCAAGCCTATATCAGAGGGTTTATGGGAACTGTTGCTAAGGAAATACCTTAGCAATGTTCAAACTTTGATTTAAAGTTATCAGTGGTAAGTTAGGCATGCAGTCCCAGCTACTCCAGAGGCTGAGGCAGGAGAATTCCTTGAGCCCAGGAGTTCCAGGCTGCAGTGAGCTATGATCGTGCCACTGCACTCGCACTCCAGCCTGGGCAACAGAGCAAGATCCCATCTCTAATAAGTAAATATATAAATAAAAATAAAGTTGTCAGTGGTAGATGACAGGCACACGTTGGAATACAGTGAGGCTGATTCTTTAGCAGTCCTCACATTCTTCTATCAGTGAGAAAACACAGCATTTGAGAGCTAAGACTTTGAGTTCTAACAGGGTTTTGCCATTCACCAGCTCTGTGACCTGATTGCCTCACCTGAAGGATAGTAAGAGAACTGTTCAAACCTAGGATCAGAACAGGCTGGAAGTATGAACTGGGTTCTAAAAGTCACCTGGCATGGTCTGAAGTTGAAGAGATTCCCGGAGCGTTCAGAAGATGGGCTGAACAGCTCCTTCTAAACTTTTACTGGCTCTTTGGTGGTCATCCTGGCCTTCTCACAAGGACAAACATGTAACATATGTTGGGCACTCCAGCAAATTTAGAATTTTCTAAATAGAAATATAAAAATTGGAATGGGACAGCCATCATAAATAAAGTCCTACAGCATATAAGTAGGGTGATCATAGGGGCATTCTCCAAATACCAGGAAGACATCTACAAGGAGATTCCAGACTTTTTTTTTTTTTTAAAAGAAGCTAATTCTTTTATATAATAAAGGGGCAGTACTTTCTGTGTCAAATATTGCATGGGGTGGAATTTTCATATGCTTCAGAAGTAAGTTAGGTGGAAATCACAGATGCTCATTGAACATAAGTCTGTTTCAGCTCCTCCCAGATCCTTTAAGGATATACAGAGTAACCTCATGCTCTACTTCAAATATCCCCAGGTGAAGGCCCCTCAGTGCATTCTTGTACAGGAGATCCTAGAATGTTTGCGCTCAGGAATGCCATCATTTTAAAATGAATTATTTTTCTCATTTGAGCTTTTCAGAGCATTTAGTCTGGCAACATAATAATTCAATCTACAGGAACATTTCACATTGCTCTGATCCTGTAACTTTCCTTTGCACTGAAGTGTCATTATTTCTGATACCATTTGTAGCTGGAAAGGGAGGGCTTAAGAACCAAGTAAAATTGGTGAGATTATCCATTTTCCAATTGAGAAACCTGAGGTCAAAAATGTGAGTCTGTAGTTCAAAACAATCAAAATCAATGCCCTATCTTACTATGTAAATACTGATTTTAAAAGACAAGTGTCAATTATCCAAACAGATGACAGAGAACCATTGCCAGGTATTCAAAGTTATGATTAATCTGGAAATATGTTTGTTTTAACTTTGCAAATTTCTATTTGAACATGGATAATTCTAATGTCCTGAGAATTCACGATATGAACTGAATACAGAAGACTCAGCTCAATAAAAATTGGGAAGTACAGCACCACAATAGGTACAAAGCTGGTAATCATTGAGTGATACTGGTTGAGAGAAAAACAGTTTGGTTTCCCCACACTGCCTGGCAGCCTCCTCCTCTTCTTCCCAGGCTGTAGAAGGATAGACAGCATTACCAGTCAGGGAAGGACAAAAGAAAAGCCTCCATAGAATCGTTGTCTTCACCTCTGGTTGCTGATGCATTTTTCTCAGTGGTGATGGGAATCATTCATTTTCTGGAATTTAAAGATTTATGCTGGTAGCAGCCCTAGGTTTCATGCTGCATATACAGCAAACATAACCCAAGCAGTAAAGAGATCAACCAAGAGATTAAAGCCAGCCAGTTACAAAATCATAGTAAATGTGCATCTGTTAAAGAAAAGACAGTTATTAAACTCATAGAAATGAATCTTCAGAAATGCAACTTAAAAACTATTAAGCATCCCAGAAGCAAGCCAAGTTCTCATACGGTAACAATAATTGCAAGATAAACTAATGAGCCCTTCGTTTTGCAAAACATTATTCCAAGCACATTATGTGTATAAACTCATTTGATCTCAGCAAATTGAATAGTAAGTGATGAATAGTGTGGACTCTGACTCCAGGTTGCTAGCATTCAGACTCTGGTTTCTCCATTTATTAGTACTAAGACTTCAGACAAATTCCCCAGATCGTTTCTGACTGCTTTTCTCATTTGGAAAAGTGAGCTAATAATAGTACACACTTTATAGTTGATATTGTTAATCTTGATGTTGTCAAAGTTTAATGAGTGGAACAAAGTACAGTTGACCCTTGAACAACATGGAGATTTAGGGTGTCAACCCCCATGCAGCTGAAAATTTTTTGACTCCCCCAAAATTTAACTACTAGTAGCCTACTGTTGACTGGAAGCCTTAATGACATAAAAAGTCCATTAACATCTATGTTTTATGTATTATTTACTGTATTCGTATGATAAAGTAAGCTGGAGAAAAGAAAATGTTATTAAGAAAATCATAAGGAAGATAAAATACATTTATAATACTATGCTGTATTTATTGATACCATCAGTTTATATCATTTGTTTACAAGATGAATCATCAGTCTGAAATCTTCAGTACACATTAAGCAATTCAACTTTTTCTTGAAATGTCGTGACTTTTTTTTGCTTTTTGGGAGCACTGCTAGCATCACTGGTGGCACTTTGTATGGGTGCATGATGTTATTCAAGGTTTACAGTATTGCACTAAACATGATTTTTTTTAAATGTGAAACTGCAAGAGATCACTTTTTACTGCACTATGCAATTTACTGGAGAGATGGTGAGGATGATTAGTATCACAGAGCATTTTAAACGGATGCTCACAACACTTGAGTTCACCACAATAATAGGAGGTGGCTATGAAATTATTAGAGTAGTACAGTATGGACTACAGTTAATTTTATACAATTATGATTTAATACTTCACCTTTACATTTCTCTCAACTGCAAATAGGCCCATGTATGGTCTATATTTGTTTAAGTCTCATCAATTTTAACTTTTCATAGTAGATTTATATGTATTTTATGATAGTAAATAATAGACTAGACTAGTATCTACATATATTTTATCCATTCATGACATGCCTAATTTTTTCTAAATTTTCTCAATATTTCTAAGTAACACATTCATCTGCAAGTTTGTCTTAATTGTTGCAAATCTCCAAAGCATTTTCCAGTGTATTTATTGAAAAAAAATCCTGGCCAGGTACAATGGCACATGCCTGTAATCTCAGCATTTTGGGAGGCTGAGGAGGGAGGACTGCTTGAGCCCAGGAGTTTGAGACCAGCCTGGGCAACATAGTGAGATCTCATCTATACAAAAAATAGAAAAATTAGCCAGGCATGGTGGCATGCACCTGTGGTCTTAGCTATTTAGGAGGCTGAGATGGGAGGCTCAGTTGAGCCCAGGCAGTCAAGGGTGCAATGAGCTATGATCACACCGCTGTTCCCCAGCCTGGGCATCAGAGCAAGACCCTGTCTCAAAAAAAAGGAAGAAAGAAATTCACACAAAAGTGGATCCACACCATTCAAACCCATGATGTCCAAGGGTCCACTGTACATGCTCATGCTCATTAGCAATATTTTTTATCATCCAGGTTGGAGAAGAGAAAGCTGAGCCCCCAAGATGTAATTTGTTCAAAGGGACACTGCTAATAAATTAGCCATGGTTTCAATCCTACAGTATAAGAAGTGTAATTCAACTTGGTCCAACAGATGTGAATGCCTACCACAGAAGTCATTGAGTGTCTTTCTAGGATAGAAAGATAAATCATATATAAGCCTACGCTCTCTGGTAGGGAAAATTATTAAAAATGAAAATTAAAAAAGCAATGATTCTGAAAAAATATATTCGTTCATTAAAAAAAAAAAATGAAAATTAAGCTTCTACGGTCACATTCAAATAGAGCCATAGCCGTCATTCTGGGAAGACAAAAGAAAGGATGGCCCATGCTGACCAAGGAGGTTTTAAGTGGTTTCACCCAAGAGGAAGCATTGGACCCGGACCCAGAAGGGTGAATGGATTTTTAAGGGGTAACCTGAGTTCTGTTTCTTTTCCCCCTTTTCTAGGCTGATTCCAACAAAACCAGAATTGATGAGGCCAACCAACGTGCAACAAAGATGCTGGGAAGTGGTTAAGTGTGCCCACCCGTGTTCTCCTCCAAATGCTGTCGGGCAAGATAGCTCCTTCATGCTTTTCTCATGGTATTATCTAGTAGGTCTGCACACATAACACACATCAGTCCACCCCCATTGTGAATGTTGTCCTGTGTCATCTGTCAGCTTCCCAACAATACTTTGTGTCTTTTGTTCTCTCTTGGTCTCTTTCTTTCCAAAGGTTGTACATAGTGGTCATTTGGTGGCTCTAACTCCTTGAGGTCTTGAGTTTCATTTTTCATTTTCTCTCCTCGGTGGCATTTGCTGAATAACAACAATTTAGGAATGCTCAATGTGCTGTTGATTCTTTCAATCCACAGTATTGTTCTTGTAAAACTGTGACATTCCACAGAGTTACTGCCACGGTCCTTTGAGTGTCAGGCTCTGAATCTCTCAAAATGTGCCGTCTTTGGTTCCTCATGGCTGTTATCTGTCTTTATGATTTCATGATTAGACAATGTGGAATTACATAACAGGCATTGCACTAAAAGTGATGTGATTTATGCATTTATGCATGAGAACTAAATAGATTTTTAGATTCCTACTTAAACAAAAACTTTCCATGACAGTAGCATACTGATGAGACAACACACACACACACAAAACAACAGCAACAACAACAGAACAACAACAAAGCATGCTCAGTATTGAGACACTGTCAAGATTAAGTTATACCAGCAAAAGTGCAGTAGTGTCACTTTTTTCCTGTCAATATATAGAGACTTCTAAATCATAATCATCCTTTTTTAAAAAAAAGAATTTTAAAAAAGATGGATTTGACACACTCACCATTTAATCATTTCCAGCAAAATATATGTTTGGCTGAAATTATGTCAAATGGATGTAATATAGGGTTTGTTTGCTGCTTTTGATGGCTATGTTTTGGAGAGAGCAATCTTGCTGTGAAACAGTGTGGATGTAAATTTTATAAGGCTGACTCTTACTAACCACCATTTCCCCTGTGGTTTGTTATCAGTACAATTCTTTGTTGCTTAATCTAGAGCTATGCACACCAAATTGCTGAGATGTTTAGTAGCTGATAAAGAAACCTTTTAAAAAAATAATATAAATGAATGAAATATAAACTGTGAGATAAATATCATTATAGCATGTAATATTAAATTCCTCCTGTCTCCTCTGTCAGTTTGTGAAGTGATTGACATTTTGTAGCTAGTTTAAAATTATTAAAAATTATAGACTCCAGATGATCTGCTTTAATTTCTTCATGGACTCGTCTGATTTTGCACTCACACGAGAAGAGAAAGCCTGGCTACCCTATCCCAGCTACTAAAAGCCAGTTCTGTGCACCGAGGACAGTGTGGGGGAAAATAGAAGATTTAAGCATGATTCCAGTGGCAACTGACAACTTGGCTTGATTCTCATAACCTGCTCCAGAATTACTTTGTGAATTCAGTGTTGACTAAGGGAGAAAATGTAGTTATCCAGAACACATAGAAAGAAAAATTTATAGGAAAAAAATCTATGGTACCCAGGCATGGCCCTACATAGATTCAGGTATATCTGGTGTCTGTCAACTCCAATCTTCCTTCCTTTCCACAAAATCCCCACCATCTAAAATTGAGGGCTTCACTACCACACCACCACTGACTCCATGTTTTTTTAAACAGCTTTACTGACTCACTATAAAATTCATCCATTTAAATATATAATTAATTTCTTTTGTATATTCACTGAGGTAGCAATCTAATTTTAGAACATCTTTATCACTGCCGCCAAAATACCCCATACCTATTAGCAATCACTCCCATCTCACTTCTCCCAGCCCTAGGGAATTACTGGTTTACTAGTTATCTCTATAGATTTGCCTATACATTTCATATAAATGGCATCATACAATGTGTGGTCTTCGGGAACTGGCTTCTTTCACTTAATATAATGTTTTCAAGGTTCCTCCATGTTGTATCACAGATCAGTACTTCATTCTTTTTTAAGGCCAAATAATATTCTATTGTATGCATAGATACTATTTTGTTTATCCATGTATCAGGTTATGAATATTTGCATTGTTTCTGCTTTTTGACTTTTTTTTTTTTTTTTTTTTGAGACAGAATCTTGCTCTGTCGCTCAGGTTGGAGTGCAGTGGCATGATCTCGGCTCACTACAACCTCTACCTTCCGGTTCAAGTGCTTATCCTTCCTCAGCCTCCCAAGTAGCTGGGATTACAGGCGCCTGTCACCACGCCCAGCTTTTTTTTTTTTTTTTTTTTTTTTTTTTTTGTATTTTTAGTAGAGAGTAGGTTTCACCATGTTGTCCAGGCTGGTCTCAAACTCCTGACCTCAGGTGATCCACCTGCCTTGGCCTCCCAAAGTGCTAGGATTACAGGCATGAGCCACCACGCCTGGCCACTTTTTGACTATTATGAATAATGCTGCTATGAACATTGATGTAAAAGTTTTTGTGTAGACATAAGATTTTTTATTCACTTGCCCCACAGTTTTACCAACATCATTGCCTGTCCCACCACAACCACCACTAACACCTCCACCGCCATCACCTCCACCATCACTATCCCTACTCCTACTAACACCACCACTGCCTCAATTATCACCACCTTACCTTTTCCACTGGCTCTACCACCTCCACACCATCTTAACCAGCATGCCCATTACCTCCACCTTTATTACCACCACCATTATAATCACCATCATCACCTCCATCACCACCACCGCTCCCACTGCCACCATCACCACCACCACCTGACCATCCATCTCCTCTGCCAACATCATCATCATCACTTCCATCACCTCTGCCACCTCCTCCACCTCTCTCTATGTCCACATAGTAGCAATGCAGATACATTCATCCTGGTTGCCTTGGTTGGCTGTCAGATAATTTTATCCATAAAAGCATCTCTGGAGGTTTGGTGAGAGCAATTAAGGAGCAAGAACAGTGATGACAGTAAATATGAGTAGTTCTTTAACCTTTTCACAAGCCTGAGAACAGGCTCTATAAGTAGCCAGTGGCTTTTGGAAGTTATTCTAAGGCACAATAGTAACAACAAACTTATTCCTTAAAATTAAGGTAGTAGAAAGGATGCTAGAAGATGGGAAAAGTGAATAAATTTACTGCATACGTCAAAGCTGCCAAGGGGTCAAATATGGGCCACATTTGAAAATTCTGTTCCAAACTCCATCTGTTCTTAGCCAGATGAGTGAGTGTGTTTCCACATCATTTGAGTAATTAAAACCTCTCACTGGATACATTAAAAGTAAGATACAGGCATTTTGCTTTAAAGCCTGTCACATTATTTTTTCTGAAGCATATTTCTTTTGATGATTGAGGTTATCCAGCCACCACTTGTATGCAGTCATCTCCGTTAGGCTAAAGGGAGACCTATGCCTCAGGGATGAATCAGCTCTGGGTAATGCGCCAACTCAGAAAGTACATTAGAAATGAAATGATTAGGGCAATGTGGAACACTGTGAAAGCTCAATCTTCTACCTCCCTCCTACTTGGCACTGGCAGAGGACCCTTCTACAAAAGACCAGAAGGTGAAGGGTGGCCCCAGATCCCAGTAACAGAGTCCTTTTCTCTTGTCGGACTCTCATTTCTATTTCTGTTACCCTTCTTCCACATCCTCCTCCAGCCTCTGCTTTCACCAACTTTCCCCAATCTCTGTGTCACTAATTCATTAATAAACTGATGATTGCATTGAAAAAGAAAAGAAAATCCGTATTTTGTGATCATCTATCTAGTACATGCCAGGCATTGTGCTAAGTGCTTCATTTATGTTGACTCATTAAACTCTTAAAAAAAAAAAGCTTGGCAATTTGGCAAAACCAGCATTATTAGCCCCATTTTGCGGATGAAGAAATTGATAGTTTATTTGAACAAGCTCTCTCAGCTAATAAGTGATGTAGTGTGATTTAAGCCAGATGTGTGTGACTTTGAAGTTTTAGAGAGTCCTGAAATATACATTTCAGAAATGCACCTTTGTCAATTCAGCCAGCCAAGAAACTCCTGGAGACAATTGCCTCCACAAGGAGAAGCAAAGAAAGATGGACTAGATGTCATAGCAGAAGGTCCTTGTGAACATACCTTTTATTCACTCATTCATTCAATAAATATTTACTGAGCTTCCATTATATATCAAGCCCTGTTCTGAGTATTGGAAAAACAGCACTAGGAGAAACAAAAAGCAAACAGACAAAGCAGGGAAAATTCCTTGCATTAACTGAACTTACACTCAAGCTAGGGACAGAGAGATTAACAATATATAAAGGATATGGAATGGTAAATGTTGTAGAGAAATGCAACACAATGAAGGGGGTACAGAGCATAAGAGGTAGGACAGAGGGTGTATCTTAGTCCACTTGTGCTGCTATAACCAAATACCACAGACTGGGTAATTCATAAATAAAAGAAATTTATTTCTCGCAGTTCTGAAGACTGGGAAGTCCAAGATCGAGTTATCAGCAAATTTGATGTCTGGTAAGGGCTGCTCTCTGTGCTTCAAAGATGGTGCCTTATTGCTGCATCCTCTGGAGGGGAAAAACTGTGTCCTCACATGGAGGAAGGTAGAAGGACAAAAGGGACTAAGCTAGTTCTCTCCAGCCCTGTTAAAAGGCATTAATTCATTCATGAGAGTGAAGTTCTCATGACATAATCACTCCCCAAAAGCCCCTATTTCTTAATACCACCACAATGGGGTTTAAGTTTCAACACATGAATTTTGGAGGTGACACATTCAATTCATAGCCAGGTGTTACTGTAAAATAGAATGGTCAGGGAAGACCTCACCAATAAAGTGAAGTTTAGTCAGGGAATTCTTCAAGGTTTAGAGTAATTAAAATACATCCAGAGTGACCCACTGGAGAAGCAGAGGCTGAAAGTGATGAAATGAAAGTACAAATTGCCTCTATCTTATCATTTAATAATAGTGGAGTACCTCCTCTGTGAATCAGTACTCGTGTTAAGTATTTCCTACATATGCTAGAAGAAAGTTGCAAACCCTTGGCCCAGTGAGCAAGGAAGCAAGTTCAGATAATGAGACAAGTGGTATGCAAGCAATGAATGTCAAGTCAAATTTTCTTAGAAGAGTAGAAGGTGTTGACCTCATGGTCCAAGATTTAGGTCTTCATACAATCATCCACTTACTAATTTACCTTCAAACATGTTTGTTGTGTACCTACCTCAGGTTCTTTAAGTTTTGGATACTCAAGTCTGTCTCTTAGAATGTAGGGAACAAGAAAACAAAGAAAAGTGAACCATTGTCAAGGCATTTAACTGTAGTACCTGCAGCTATCTCCTGGATGAGTTGCCAACACTCTCAGTTGTCTCACTGTTCTGGAGGAGCAATCCCAGGCAGGATGCCTCCAGCTGGTATTCACCACCCACCATTACACAATCCTTGGCTCCTCTAGCCTCTTGCCATAACATAGCTTCAAGACCATTCTATTCAGGGGGTTGACTGCCTTGAGTTTATGATCCTATCTCCATAAAGAAATCAGAAAAATTTGGCCCATAATCCTCCTACCAGACCCTGCTGATGCCTTGCCCACATCCTCCAAGCACACACCTCTGTTCATAAAAGGCTGTTTGCAGTGAAGAATCATGTAATTCTCTGCCTTGCGGCAGGGATAGCCAGAACGCTGAAGTTTTAATGGCCTTGCAAGCAGTCATCAAGAATGGATGAGGATGGATGAGTGGATACCCCAGCTTCTTTGGCCCTAGGTTGGGATAACTCCAAGGTGTGTGTTCTGCATTGTCTCCCAGAGTTCCCCAGCTGAATCAATCTCTAATTGCTCATGTGATAACTCACCTGATACTTATCAACCACTTTACTGGCTATCTGCTTTTCTCTGTCTCTTTCCCACCTTTCCTACTTGTTTTTTTTCTGGAATCTCTTCTCAAATAAACTACTTGCCCAGAAAACCTTGTCTCATGGTCTGCTCTTCAGAGAGTCCTACTAAGGCAACACCTTCACAAGATTCAGGCCAGCTCCTAAGCATCTTCCCCAAAACACTGCTACAGAGAAATGTGCTGCCTTCCATCTGCTTCAAAGCATTTTTTGGATCCATCATTATTCAGTGAAATGCCCCTTGGCATTCTTTGGTGCTGAGCAAGAAGCTGCATGCAAAGCAATACCAAAACGATTGCCTAAACCTACTGCCCTTCACCATGAAACTTAGCCTTTGTCCTCAAGCATCACTACACCCTCCCCAAACAAGGGTTGGAGAAATGAAAGTTTATAGTAAAAGGCAATGTTCTGCCTCCCACAAAATTGCACACTAAAGGGTAGCATGGACATGCTGTGGAAAGAGAATTCAATCAGGAGTCTTGATTAAGACTTCTCTGAGTTTTAGTCTATGGATAAGCAAAATGGACATCACGATGCTTGCCTTACTGATTCCACAGGGTGGTTGGGAATATCAACGAGGATAATGTTCATTAAATTGCCTTGTAAATCTTCCATACCACTAAGATGATGATTAAGGTGAAAGGAAACAAAATCAGCACCATCAGGGTCAGAAACAGGCCTCTCTTGCTACTTTTAATTAGAAAATTCACTTATCACATGCATGTGCATAGGTTGTACTCACTGGACTTCATCTTAGGTTTAAGTAAATTAATTTCACATCAACTATGTTTCATACCTTTGTCAGGTCTACCAATAAACTGCCCAAGTATCTCCATGTTCCCAATTGTAGCAGTGGGGGTACTGAATTTTTCACCATTAAAATTCAGTCTCTGACCATTACCCAAAAGTCATCAAGGTCAAGGGCATTAATACTGTTTTCTCTATTGTTCATGTGCAGAAAATAGGAATACTTCCCCAAATGTTACTATGAGCCCAAACGACTTTTACGCTCCACAGTTCTATCTTACTGTTACCTATTGTTATCATTTTTGCCAGTACTGTTAATGATAATAAGGGAAACCAGGCAAAATATTCAAGGAATATGGTGGAGGCTATGAACTTCTGTCATCAGTTAGCTACTACTATGTAACAAACTGCCCCAAAACACAGTGTCTTAAAATAATAAATATTTATTTAGCTTGCAATTCTGCAGTTTGGCATTTGGGGATAAGCTTGGCTGGCAGTTCTTCCAGTCTCTGCTGGGCTCCTCATGTGACTGTGGTCAGCTACAGCCCACTGGGTAGCTCAGCTTCTGGGAGTTGGCCAGCTATTGGCTGAGGCTTCTTCTCTATGAAGTCTCTCATTCTCCAGCAGGGAGCCAA
Source organism: Homo sapiens (assembly GCF_000001405.40). Taxonomy (NCBI): domain Eukaryota; kingdom Metazoa; phylum Chordata; class Mammalia; order Primates; family Hominidae; genus Homo; species Homo sapiens. The sequence continues at coordinate 10,313,419 of NC_000020.11, forward strand.
GGTTTGTTCTCATGACAAAGTCAGGAGTCCAAAAAAAGAGATTGGAAGCATGCAACTTATCTTGAGGGCTAAGATTTTCACCTCTGCCACATCCTATTGGCCAAAGCAAGTCACAAGACCTGTCCAGATCCAAGAAATAGAGAAATATGCTCTGCCTCTTGTTGAAAAATTCTTCAGTCTCATTGCAAAGAGTGTGCATACAGAGATTGGTGAATAGTATGCCTGTCTTTGCAATCAATCTACTACAACCTCAAAGAGGTGTATGGAATTCTTCTCTCCTCTTTGACCCTAGACACTTATGAAAACAAAAAGTTAAGGTGAACTCTCTGTGTTTGTTAGAGTGGGCACATGCCAGTATCCTTCCCCTTTAATGGTATTCAAAAGAAAAATCACGGGGCTCAGTGGTCCAGCAGCCCAACGGAGGATTTGAGAACCATGAGCAGAGTGATTGTAGCTAGGGCTGAGGGTGGCTGCTGACAGCCTCTTGATAAGACTGACCTTAATCCTGAAACAACAAAACTAATCCCTCGTATTCAAAGCAATAGGGTTTCAGCCACATCATTAACCCCTAAATACCCAGAACTTGAAAGAAAACATTTCAAAATGTACAAATAAAACTGGATCCTCAATTAGCACTTGACAAATACCCTTATTCTGGACAATTCTGTGTTTATTTTCCTTTCTATCTTTTATTTGTTGCTATTTTGTGGAAATTTGCGCTGAAATTTAGGGAGGAAAGGGGTCTTTCTTTTATTTTCCTTTCCTCCCCACCTTTTCTGTACAAAAATACAGTGTTCTCTTTACTAAGGGGACAAAAAGGACTGATTACTCAGGGTTGAAAAAGAAATTATGTGTGTCAGAGACAACTTAAGTATACACAAGATATATCCTGGGTGTCTGGGGGTGTGGGGTGTGGGAAGTGGCTGCTATCTTCCGAGGAACTGTTGTACTTCTTTAAAGGAACCGTGACAACTGCCAGTTTAGGAAAGATGAGGCAAGTGCTAATGGTATGTGTTTTTAAACATCCAGAGGCTGTGGAGATAGAAAGCCCTAGAGACCTAAATCTGTACTTTCATTTGTTATTAAAGGCAAAACTCCAAACTAGACCAAACAGACTCTCCAAGGGGCTAGAGCTTTTATACCACTCCACTAAAAATTCACTTTGTTTTCAATGCAGATTGATTTGACCACGACAATGCCCTATTTAAATTTCTACTCTCAGGGCTTTCATTTATATACATTAAATGCAAATAACCTACTCAGCGCTGAAAATAATTAACAGTTCTTTAGTCAAGATAGCTCTTCCAACTATCTCAACATAATTTTATTCCAGAGCAATGATTTCAAACCAAGAAGAAACTTTGGAGTACCTTGGAAGTGCTTTTCTCAAGTTAGGGGATGTTACAGGTTGCTTCCTTAGGAAACAAAGCCTGAAATAGAGGAATAAGTTTAAGTAGTTTATCTGGAACTGTGACTCCAGGGAGCAGGAATGAGGGATGAAGAAGTGAATGGTGAAAAAAGTCATTGGAAAGCCAATGGAGGCATGAGTTATGGAGTTAGCCACCTGCACGTTTGATTCTGTGAGACAGCTGGGAAGCCTAGGAAATGCATATTAGGACCATCTGCCTGGGACAAGAAAGGGAGCTGCATTTGCCCCTCAACTCCCAACTCTTTCTGGTCAAGGATTGCCACACTTTGTTTTCCACAATTATCAATTTGATTGTGACAATGGCCCACGTAAATTTCTACTCTCAGAACCTTCATTTATATACCTTAAAGATTACCACAGGGCAGGGTGTTTACTTCCCTGTTCTGGGTTGTGTGCATGGATGACAACGGGTTATTTGCAAGAATGTCCTGCACCAGAGGACTAGAAAAATTCCAGGGCAGAAGGGAGGGGTGGGGCTGCAGTGGGGACAGTCAGCTCACACTTCCGTAAGGCTGGTTGGACCCTGTATGAAACTGATTGCCACTGTTGTGGGTCGAATAAGAGACAGGGACAAGAAAATTAGAAGGCGTGTTTAAGAAGCATCTACTGTGGGAGGGAAAAGAGGGAGAGACCACACAAGCAGGGCACCTACCCAGGGTACTGCATCTCATTGTTCAGGTTGCATACAGTAACAGCAGCTCCACATTCGCCTGTTCCATATATAGGGTTTCATCGAAGATTTTGTTTGAAAGCATTCACTGTTAAAAAAGAAGAGGCAAAAAAAAAAGAGAGAGAGAGAGAGAAAGAAATCTTTAAAAGCCTCTGTTCTAGAATAATTTAGAGGACAAATAAGATGAACTCAAGAGTAGATGGAAATATTAATATATAAATATTCTAAATATTGGTAGTAGATCTAAGGTTTTGGATGACAGATAATAATATCAGGAAAGGTGTTTTTTGGTTTGTTTTTGGTTTTGTTTCTTTTAATCCTAAAGACCCAGAGGCAATGAACCAGATAGTTTAGCATGAAGAGGAAGAAAAGGAAAAGGAACACCAAAGAAGATAGAGTCAAGCAATTTTGACAAAATGGTAACACGGAAGAGAATGAGGAGAACTGCCATTATTAGTTAAAAAAGAACAAGAGTTCGAGATCAGCCTGGCCAACACGGTAAAACCCTGTCTCTACAAAAGATACAAAGCTTATCCGGGTGTGGTGGCCGGTGCCTATAGTCCTAGCTACTCGGGAGGCAGAGGCAGGAGAATCGCTTGAAGCCGGGAGGCAGAGGTTGCAGTGAGCCGAGATGGCACCACTGCACTCCAGCCTGGAGCAAGACTCTGTCCAAAAAAAAAAAGGAACTAGAGAAAAAAGTATAAAAAGAAGCTTTTAAATAACAATGGTTTCTGAAGGATTGGAGGACAGAGGCTGTTTACAAACTCAGCTCTCCCTTGCCTCTTCAGGCTATTTCTAGTTCATCTTCCCGAAATAACCTGTTCCTTGTTTGCTCTCTCTTTCTTTATTCTCACAGCCATCACCAAGTTGCCCTTGAGTACACCCTCCTACACCACAAAGCTGTTCTCATCCTGGGTCTCAGCTCATCCAACACTGCTCCAAAGTTCAGCAATCTTAAACTCCATATATGTCATTCTCTAACCAAAATAGTCATACCTTCACTCTCTCATGTTCTTTCTTATGTCTTTGCACTTGCCCTTCAAACTAACCTAAACTTCTAATGTCTGCTTCTAAGTTTTCTCTCAATGACCCCAATTTCCAATCCTGCCAAGAGCTCCAGTGTGTGACAGCCTCCACTCTTGGGTCACATCTTCCCTGTTTTGCCCTTCAATCCTGGACTATAAATCCCAAACTCTGGATCAATAGAGTTCTCTGCCTGACCCCTCCTTAGGCCTGGGGTCCTTGGGAACACAGGAAAATCCTGGACTGGTACCACGGAAAATGTATGATCCCATTGAAGTTCTCACGCCCAGCAGGTGGCAGTGTAAACTGGTATAACCACTTTAGAAAACCATTTGGCTGTATGTACTAAAGCTGTATGCATACACTGACTTGGCAATTCCATTCTTAAGTATCTATTAAACAGAAATACAGTGGTCCTTTTGTATAGGCAAGGGATTAGTTCTAGGACTTCTGCTTCTACCCAAATCTGTGTATACTCAAGTCTTGAAGTCAGTCCTGTGAAACCTGAGTATAGAAAAAGCCAGCCCTTTGTATCCTTGAGCTTTGCATCATATGAACACTGTATTTTCCATCCCCATTTGGTTGAAAATAATCCACATGTAAGTGGATCTGTGCAGTTCAAACCCAGGTTGTTCAAGGGTCAACTGTATATACTTTTGTTCACCCAAAGACAGGTACTAGAATGTTTGTAGCTCAAACTGGCATTTATCCACATGCCCATCAACAATAGAATGAAGACATAAATTTTGGTTGTTTTCACATAGAACACCTACAGTAAAGAGAATAAGTAAACTACAACTACATGCTGAAGCAACATACGTAAGTCTTATTATCTCAATATAGGATGGAAGAAGCCAAATACAAAAGAGAGCACGTTGTTCCATTCCATGTGTATAAAGTTCAGAAACAGGATAAATGAGTCCATAGTGTTAGAAGCTAGAATAGTGGTAATCCTTGGGGGAAATGGTTAGTGACTAAAGATGCAAGGGAAGCTTCTGGGATGCTAGTAATCCTGCTTCTTGATATAGGCGCTGGTTACATGGGCGTGTTCAGTTAGTGAAAGTTTACTGATCTGTGTAATATGTTACATGTGCACTTTTCTGTATGTATGTTATATCTCAACAAGGAAGTTCAAAATAGTTACCAAAATGACAAATATATATATATAGGCATAGGTTACATAATTGCTTCCCAATGTGAAAAATGCTCCCTGCAGTAGTACAGCACCACGGTCTGCAATTATAAGGCATAAACCACTTTCATTTCCTGTCCCTCCAGTTTCAAAATGTCCCTTCCCATCTATGCTGTACTGCCTTCCTGTATCAGTCAGGCTCTTAGAATGCCTGGGTAATGTAACAGGACTTTAATAACAGCGACTCTTTATAAAGGTGTGGGCAGGTTTAGAGAAACCAAGGAGGAGAGTGCAGTCCCTTGGGACTAGCAACAGTGGGGGCCCTTCCCATCCCTAGTCCCAAAGAGGCAAGGAAAGGGAGCTGTTTCCCTGAGCCTAGAAAAGGTAGTTTTCCATGGAGAGGACACCGTCTGGCTGGAGCTGTGGCCTTTGGTGAAGGGATGGAGCCAACCTAGGGCAACGTGGAGAGAGAAAACTGAAAATAAATACCAGTATCCCTCTACTCCTGCCGTCTGATTTCTTGCCTTTCTGATGGCTCCCAAGGGCCAAAGCCTACCAGAAGCTAGTGGATGGGAGTCAGTAATGAGGTCCACACAAATTGGCACTTCCAAGACCCAGAACAGGGTGGAAAAGGGTAGAGTGTTGGTTTGGAGCAATGAGTGAGGGCTTCAAACACATTCCCTCTCCATAGGTATCTTTCTCCAGTCACACTGACTCTACTGAGGCTGTTGTAGCTGCATGAAACAGTCTTACTAAACGTCCCTCAAGCAAAAGGAAGCTTGTGGTGAAGGTCACACAGAAGAATTGAAATTAGAGAGTCATGGAGTCTTCTCTTCCTCTTGCTTAACGGCTATGTGGTACTTCCACTTCTATCTGTTTGTCTTTATATTCTCACCAGTTTGGCTACCTCATAATGTTGGCTAAAGAGAACCAACCATGTTTTCTCCATTTACTTTTTTCATCTCAACCTTTCAGCTTCTGCTTTCATTGCTTTTCTCCCTCATTCTTGAGATGTTTTCTACTGAAATTCCCACAGAAAGGAATCCAGTTAGTTCCCCCGCTTAGGTTCACAACAGGCAACATCATAGGTTGCTGAGCAGCCTATGTTTGGATTGGCTGAGCTCAGTCATGTGCTCACCTTTGGTCCAATGAGCTATTGATGGAGAAGTTGGTCATGTGACACAAAACATGGCTACCTAAGTAGCAGGAGCTGTAGTTGGGAGAATGGGTGCAGTGAGTGAGTACCTGTTGATATGTACGTAATCGTCTTAAATCACTAGTGTCTAAAATATTTCCTTTTTGGTTTAGATGCTCTCAAAACAGAGACTGACATATGCTCTTGGATTCAGGTAGTTTATTTAAGAGGTGATCTCAGAGAGCCAGAGTAAGAGATCTTTTAAGAAAGAAAGGCCACCGTAAGCATTGTTGTCAAGGTCACCACTCTGGGCAATGGGGCTCAATTCCATGGGACCTCTGAGAAGTGTACAGAATGCCTCTCAGTATTGGCCACCCAAAAGATGGGTGGCAGGAGCATTTATTAATCAGCTTTCATCCCTGTACCTAAAGGGTTATTTCTAGAGGTATTAATTTCCCCACACTGCCACGCTTGCATCCACAGGGTCGAGCAAACTCTCATTGATGCCCATAGCATTGAAGAAGCCCTGAGACAAAAAGGAAAACCCAAGGTACACACTAAAGGCAAGATGCCTCCTGCTTGAAGTGAGTCAAAGCCTGCACAGAATTGTCTACCCATCCATGGCTAAAGTCAGTGCTAAGACCAAGAAACCATGGATAGTTCAAATATCATGCAGCAGTTAATAACCATTGTGGTTTTCATTTCTTGACTCTCAGTTTTCCTGTCCATTCTCTACAGTCTATCTTCCATCCTTCTTGACCTTTATGAAACCCTCACTCAGGTCACCATAAAATTCATCATACTTTCTGGGCACAAAACAAAGAAGTAAAATTTTTCAATCCTCAGCTACTCTGGTCTCCTGGGATATTTGATATTGTTAACCTCCAACTTAAAAAAAAACTCTTTCATCTGTTTTTGCAAAACTGCTTTCCCCTGGGTCGTCTCTGGCTGCTCTTTGTCAATCTCCTTCGGTTTTTCTTCCTCTGCACATATTTTAGGTGTCTGCATTTCCCTAAGATACTAAATTGGGTTTGCTTCTCAAAGTATACAAACCCAACCTTGCCTATAATAGCTTCAGCTACTACCTTTATGCAAATGATTCCCAAACCTAGATGCCTGCTGCAGGCTCCTCTTCTGAGGCCCAAAACCACATTTCTGCCTGCCTACTAAACACCTCCTTCTAGCTCACCCACAGGCACTTCAAACTCATCATGAACCACCATGACATGCTCACCACCGCCCCCTTCTAAACTTCTCTGCCTTGGGACTGAAGCCAGGAACCACCCCCTCATTAAATCAGTCACCGCGTCTTGTCTATGCCACCTCCGAATATCTCTTTCCTCTGCCCCCTCCTTTCCCATGGCCATATCTGGGAGAGCACACACTCAGTATGAGCCTACCCAGTTCCTGCTTGGGTCTCACTTCACCCTTCATACCACTCCCAGACCATGGTTAAAAAACCATCAGTCTGATCAGTTTATGCCTCTTCAATCCTCCAATAGTTACCTTTAAGATGAAGTGAAAATTCTAGCACTATGTATGAAGCTATTCCTGATCCAGTGGCTGCCACCAATTAGGACTCATCCATTACTATTGCTCTCCAATTTACTAAGATAGTTGCAGTATCTGAAAGGATGTGCTTTTCCCACCCCACCTTGGCAAATACCTGCTCATCTTGGGGACTTTATTCAGGCAACTGAAGTGTTCAACTTCCCAAGGCAGATTTAAACACTCCCATTTCACTCTTCTCAGAGCACCCTATACAATCTTCAAGTATAATATTTATTATATGTTGCTTTGCAAATTTTTTCATTATGTTTGTCTCTTTTATGACACTGTAAACTTGTGTCTGTTCCTATTGCTGCATAACAAGTAATCATGAAATCTCAGTGGCCTACAACAATAAGTATTAATGTCTCACACTTCTTCAGTATATATCTGAGCTGGGCTCAGCTAAGCAGTTCTACCCGTCTCTGCTGGAATCATTTATGCACCTATGGGTCAGCTGAGTTTCTGTCTAGGCTGGGCTAGGTTTGGGCAGCTTAGCTGGGTTAGCTCTGCATCATTCATCTCTCATCCTTGAAGGCAGGGATTTTTGTCTCATTCCTCATAGTGTTGAATTGTTGAATCAAAGAGCCCAATGAGATAGCTAGTTAACAATGTATATATTAAACAGAAAATTCTAAGTTAAATTGTGTCCCCCACATTTTCCAAACTCTTCCCTCATCCATGCCTACGAAAGCAGAATACCCTCTCACTCATCTTCATAAATATGACTTTTTCACTATTTCAATGAGTGTGATATATAAGACTTCCATGTTTTTTGCAACCTCCCAGCAGAACATTCAAATACCAGGTGGTATTTTTATCCACAGGGTAACAATGACTTGTTTGCCTTGTGTGAAGCTATTTGAAAAAAAGACAGTTGGGTGGTTTAAAATATGTCTACAAATTATTCAACACTCCCTTCAAAAGGTGAGGCCTAATTCTCTTCCCCTCAGGTATGAGCTTAGTGACTCACTTCTATGGACTAGAATAAGGCAGAGGTGACAATGTGTAACTTCTGAAACTAGGTTATCAGAGGCCTGTGGCTTCCTCCTTTCTTTCTCTTGGATCACTTACATTGGAAGAAGCCAAGTTGTTGTGTCATACAAATAACTCAAGCAACCCTCTAAGGAGGTCTATGTGACAAGGAACTGAGGACTTCAGCCAATAGCCATGTGATCTGCTTCTAGGAAGCAGATCCTCCAGCCCCTTCTGAAGATGGCAGCCCCAACCAACATATTGACTGCAGTCTCATCAGAGACCCTGAGCCAAAACCACCCAGCTATGCTGCTCTTGCATCCTGATTCTCAGAAACTTTGTGAGGTCACAAATGTTTGTTGTTTGGGGCTGCTGAGTTTGGGGATAATTTGTACGTAGCAATAGATAACTTTCAGCCACTTTGTGAACAAGCTATTAAACCCTCCCCTAAAGCCCAGCTTTCGTAATTACAACATTGTGGTGGCTTCTAAACAGCACAAAGGGTAGAAAATAGGCTGTCACCACCACCTCCATGTTAGAATCCCTCTATCTGTTGTCTAAAAAAATAACAAAGCAATTACCTACCTTCATTTGAGGCTAATAAAAAACGTCAGATTTTAGGAGGGAGTGTCAAAGTTGACTGCAAATGTTGGCCAGGAATTGTGTGTGTCAGAGGAAGAATTGAAAAGACTCAAGATCATCCCTTTGACTGAAGCCCAATCTTTAATTTTCAAATGCTACATTCAGCCTCTACCTCCTCAGAGAAACCAGATTATTAGACCACTAACCTGACATCTAGTTTATTGAAATGTCACTTGGTCTGTGCTCTGCACCTTGGCCCTAAGAAATAAAACACTGCAGGCCAAATCCTGGTCTAGCCCGAGGGTGATAATGAGGGAAATCATGCGGCTCCTAAAAATAATGACAAAAGGGAGCAGCATCAGAGGTGGTGAGTCACTGTTGTTTGGGAGGCAGGATAAGGAGAGCAGAGAGAGGAGGAGATTGTAAAAAAAGATGAGCAGAAAATAAACATGGGTGCTGCAGACATGAAACTGAAGGGAGCACCCCAGGCCCCCGGCCCCAAAAAGCTCTAGAGCAGGTTGAGCTGGAGGGCTGGACAGTCAGGGAGAAAGCTGCCCACTCCTGGCTTAGCCTGGGGAGCTGCCACCCACCCATGTAGGGTGATTTGTCAGGTCCCCAAATCTCTCCTTTAACCACTGGACCATAACATCTATGTCCCCATGATGGCAGAAAACAAATACAGAAAAGACACTTTTACCTGGCATGATGCCAAGCCCGGGGGCTAGGAAAATGAATAGGACCCTGGGGATTTAGAATTTAACAAGGAGATTGACCTAGGAAGAGTCATATACAAAAGAATGGAGCAAAAGCAATGACAGAGGATCGCATAAGGAATTATGGGAGACAGAGGAGGGCTGTCTATTCAGACCCAAGCCTGGAGGTGGTGAAAGGAGAAATCTGGGAGGCTACCTGGAGGAGGCAGCATATGAGCTACAAAGAATTATGCTGATGAAATATGTGTTGTGGGAGAGAGTGGGGGTCCTGAGTAATTCCAGGAAGAGGTAAATCACAACCGTATTAGTTTCCTATGGCTGCTGTAACAAATTCCCACAAAACAGGTGGCTTAAAACAAAAGACATTTAGTCTCTTGCTGTTCTAGACACCAGAAATCTGAAATTAAGGTGCTGATAGAGTCACGCTCCCTAAAGAGGCTAGGGTCTAGGGGATAATCCATTCTTGCCTCTTCCAACTTCAGGTAGCTGCCAGCAGTCCCTGACTTGTGGCCGTACCATTCCAATCTCTGTCTCCCTCTTCCCCTCACCTCTTCTATGTGTCAGCTTTCCCACTGCCTCTGTCTTTTTTTGCTGTTGTTTAGTTTTGTTTTGAGACAGAGTCTCACTCTGTTTCCCAGGCTGGAGTGCAGTAGCGTGATCCCTCCCAGCTCACTGCAACATCTGCCTCCCGGGTTCAAGCAATTCTCATGCCTCAGCCTCCCAAGTAGCTGGGATTACAGGTGTGCACTACCACGTTCAGCTAATTTTTGTAATTTTAGCAGAGGCTGGGTTTTGCTATGTTGACCAGGCTGGTCTTGAACTGACCTCAAGTGATCCGCCCACCTTGGCCTCCCAAAATGCTGGGATTACTGCAGTGAGCCACTGTGTCCGGCCCTGCTTCTATCTTACAAACACATTAGGATTGCATTTAGGGCCCAGATAATCCAAGAACATCTCTCCATCTGAAGATCATTTACAATGACATCTTAAAGGACCCATTTTTCCTGTGAAGTAACATTAACAGTTTCCACGGATTGGGACCTAGTATCTTGTGGTGGCCATTATTCAGCACAGTAGAACAAGCTAAGACACAGACATGCGGATGCCCTGGTGAGTGGACATTTTGACTTTCCTCAAGCTTAAGTAGAGGTGAGAGATGAGGTGGGCTGATCACCAAAACATGAAGAATCTTACAAACCAGGATGGGGAATTTGGACTTTACCTGGAGGGCAATAGAGCATCCTTACAGATTTTAAGTGAGAGTGAAAGGGCCAGCCTCTCTTGACTAGAGATTCCCCTGGCTGCAGTGTGGGGTAGGGCAGGAGAGGGCAAACCCTCCAGTGTGGAGAGGGCAGGACATTCGATCTTAAACTGGGACTTGTCTTTAGAAGACCACGAATAAAATACAGGTGTATGACCCCGGAGGGAGAGTGTCAAGGACCTCCTTGGAGTCACCAGGTCAGATTTTGTCAGCAAGTGACATCGCTGTTTGTTGTGGAACAGAGATTGAGGCCCTAAATGGACCTTACAAGTGTACAAATAGTGCCTAGAATATGTGTGTGATACATGCTTGCCAAATAAAAGAGAAGAAAGAAAAGAGGGTTTTACAAAGACTGTGAGAATCAGGGGGGAAATGGGGGAAAGTCAGGAGGGGTCCCCTGGCCTACAAGGTCCTCATGAAGGCACCTGTGCCAAAGGGAGCCACATCACCCTGGAGATGATGCCACCCCGCCCCCCCGAACAACCTACAGCAGTGACTGGCAGTGGGGCGCTGAAGGCTGCCCCCTTGACTCACGGTGGCACAGCTCTGCTGCTGTTCTTGTTCCAGAGCTCCCTGTGGGGTCAGGCTGAGGCTACAACTGAGCCCATATCCTCATTTTTCTCCTGCCCCTGCCCTGTCTTGTGTTCCTCATCCCATTTCAGATTTCTTCTGAGAGCACTCCCTAAATAAATCACTTACACAAGAACCTCCCGTCTCAGGCTCTGCTCTAGGAAAACCGATCTCAGTCGGCCTCCATTTCTGGTAATGTGGCTCTTGGGACAGTCTCGGCTAAGAGACAGACAGCAAGCAGAGGCTCAAACCAGTTGTCAACAAGTTCCAGGAAAACACTTAATTCCACACATGCTAAAGTGAGGGGAGAAGGTTTTATCAACAAAACTGATATTCAAGAAGTTTCCAAAAATCAGATGGTCTGCACTAAGTAGAGTGTTTATTTCCCCAGAACTGATTTCTAATTAAAGACTATTCCTTTGGCACTTATATCACTCTTCTTTGTACTGAAAACTTATGCTTTTGTTACACATTTTGTTTTCACTGATTAAATTCTTAAGTCTTTATGGATGAGACTCCACGTTGGGTTTCTTTATTTCCCCATAATGCTTATCCCAATAGCTGGCATTCAGTAAGGATTCAGTACAGGCTCAAAGCTCACACCCTCTTGATTTTGTAGACTTTACAGAGTGCTTCACATACTCAAAGCATGGACCATGGACCAGTAGCTTCAGCATCCATCAACTTGGTAGAAATGCAGAATTTCAGCCTCCACCCCAGATCTACTGAGTGAGAATCTCTGAGGTGGAGCCCAGCAGTCTGTGTTATAACAAGATCTCTGGGTAATTTTATGAGCAGTAACGTTTGAAAACCACTGACATATATGATCCCTTTCAACTTTTGGGAGATGAATTGATTGGAGAAAGTAGAGCCAAAAAAATAGGACAGCGGCCAGGTGCGGTGGCTCACACCTGTAATCCCAGCACTTTGGGAGACCGAGGCCAGCGGATCACGAGGTCAGGAGATCGAGACCATCCTGGCTAACACAGTGAAACCCTGTCTCTACTAAAAATACAAAAACTTAGCTGGACGTGGTGGGACGTGCCTGTAGTCCCAACTACTTGAGAGCCTGAGGCAGGAGAATTGCTTGAACCTGGGAGGCAGAGATTGCAGTGAGCCGAGATCGCGCCACTGTACTACAGCCTGGGTGTCAGAGCGAGACTCTATCTCAAAAAAAAAAAAAAAAAGGACAGCAACAGGAATGGAATCTACCCCCAACAAACATGTCTCCTACCATGTGCATGGCATGGGTGTGCCAGGTTAGGCTTCAGGTGCCCCACCCCATTACTAGGACTCAGACCCCAAGTTCAACATTGGTTGGCTTGGACAAACTATCTCCTTCAGTTTCTGTTTTCTCATCACCGAATGAAAACAACCTTAGTACTTACCAATTCACAATGGCTAAATAAATTATGATATAGCCATACAAAGGAATACTATGCAACCTTAAAAATAAGTAAGCTTATATCTGCTGTTACAAAAAGATGCTCAATTTCTATTTTTATATAATGCAAGATTCTGAGGAGTAAATTGTGTATATTTATGTGTGTGTGTGTTGGGTGAAAAATAAAGGACTCCAAAAATGTTTTAAATAAAGATCTCATTACATATATACATATATTATACATTATACACAAATACTGCAAATATATCACATATATGTGTGTTCCACATATACATTACATATGAGAGTGAAGTTAAAGGAATCATGGCAGGCATGGTGGCTCATGCCTATAATCCCAGACTTTGGGAGGCTGAGGTGAGAGAAGCATTTGAGCCCAGGAGTTCAAGACCAGCCTGGGCAACATAGTGAGACCTCATCTCTACAGAAAAATCAAAAAATTAACCAGGCATGGTGGTGTGTGCCTGTAGTTCTAGCTACTCAGGAGACTGAGGTGGGAGGATCACTTGAGCCCGGGAGGTTGAGGCTGCAGTGAGCTGTGATTGCACCACCGCACTCCAGTTTAAGTGACAGGGTCAAAAAACACACACACATGCACACACACACACAGAGAAAGAAAAAGGAATCACTAACATTCACATGAACACATTGCATGTGTGTTATTTGTGTGAATGCATGTACAGGTATAAGGGTTCTCCACTTTTAACCTTATATATGACGCAGCCACAGAGCACTGACAATATGCTGAGCTCTGGGCAAGGTGCTGGAAATATCAGTGAAAGTAAGAAAATCACAATCTTGTCTAAGAGGAACTTACATTCTAACTAGGAAGGCAGCCAACGAAGAAGCAAATAAATAATAGGATAATTACAGATCGTGATTAATGTTATGAAAGAAATCATCTAGATGGTATGACTGCAACTTGGAGGGTTCATTAGGTAGAGGACAGAGAAGCTTTCCAGGAGGAGGTAATGTTTCAGCAAAGATTGAAGCAAGAAAATCAGCCAGTGATTGGCAGTGCTGGGGAAAGGGCATTCCAAGTGGAGGGAGCAGCACGGACAAAGGCTTGGAGATGGGAAGGAAGTTATCTTGCTAAGGGAAAAAAGCAGGTCAGTGGAACAGGAGCCTAGGAAGAGGCTGGGGCAGTGTAGTGAGTTTGGCTAAGGAAAGACACCGTGTGAGCCTTGAGAACTGCTAAGCATTGGCTTTTTTTTTTTTTTTTTTTTTTTTAACAGAATCTTGCTCTATTTCCCAGGCTGGAGTGCAGTGGCATGATCTCGGCTCACTGAAACCTCCACCTCCTGGGTTCAAGCAATTCTCCTGACTCAGCCTCCCAAGTAGCTAGCATTAGGGGCCCGCCACCATGCCCGGCTAATTTTTTCATTTTTAGTAGAGATGGGGTTTCACCATTTTGGCCAGTCTGGTCTTGAACTTTTGACCTCAAGTGATCTGCCCACCTCAGCCTCCCAAAATGCCAGGATTACAAGCGTGAGTCACTGCGCCCAGCCTAAGTATTGGCTTTTATTCTAAGAGGAAGGAGCACCCAGCAAAGGGTTTATCCAGAGGACTGACACCATCTGATTTATGTTTCTAAAAGATTCCCAGGTTGCTGAGTGGGCAAAGTCTTGCGGGAAAGTGTGAAGGAAAAAGGACATTGCAGAAATCCAGGTGAAATATGGTACAGCTGTCAGGGTGGCAGCCATGGAGTTAGAGCAAAGTGGGCAAACTTGGGAATTACATGGGCGATAAAGCCAAATTTTTTTATTTGAGACAGAGTCTTGCTCTGTCACCCAGGCTGGAGTGCAGTGGCATGATCTTGGCTCACTGCAACCTCCACCTCCCAGGTTCAAGCAAGTCTCATGCCTCAGCCTCTTGAGCAGCTGGAATTACAGGCACGCACCACTACACCTGGCTGATTTTTGTAATTTTAGTAGAGACAGGGTTTCACCATGTTGCCCAGGTTGGTCTCGAACTCCTGGCCTCAAATGATCTGCCTGCCTTGGCCTCCCAAAGTGCTGGGATTACAGGAGTGAGCCACCATGCCCAGCCCTAAAACCAGAATTTGACAATGAAATGGAAGGTAAAGTATTGGTCTCGGAGTCCTTTGGCTGTGAGTTGCTCCTAGACTGTTCTTACCTGGGACAAATGGAACAACTCAGCCCTGCCCCACATCCCTCTCATTCTCCAGCAGGATGGCCTGGGCACTTGCTCATGGCTGCAGCAGAGGAGCAAACCCCACTGCAAAAGAACAAGCTTTTTCTCAAGCTTCTGCTTGAGTCACAGCTGCCGACATCCCATTGGCCAAAGCAAATCACACAGATGATATCGGAACCAAAGGGCAAGGAAATAGGCTCCATCTCTTGATGAGAGGAGCTGCAGAGGCTCCTGACTAAGCGCAACGACACAGGAAAGGCTGAGGAATGAGGAGACAGTGTTTTTCAAAGAACTCAAAGAACCAGAAGCTCTCTACCAACAGCCAGGGGCAGGAGACCACTGAGGTTAGCACAGTTGTGGAATGTTGAAAATGATAAGTGCCTATCACTATCAGTGACATCAGTCAGTTTAGGATTTGTCAATAAAGTGGTAAGTGCCAGGCCATGAAATGCCCCAGGGCCCTAGGATATGCCAAAATTAGGGATTCTCTGCTCTTTGGACAGTTTGTGTTATCACAACAAAACAAACTGCAGGTCAGCCTGAGAGTGGCAAGTGCTTTCTTTTTTTTTGAGACGAGTCTTGCTCCGTCGCCCAGGCTGGAGTGCAGTGGCTCCATCTCGGCTCACTGCAAGCTCCGCCTCCTGGGTCCACGCCATTCTCCTGCCTCGGCCTCCCGAGTAGCTGGGACTACAGGCGCCCGCCACTGCGCCCGGCTAATTTTTTGTATTTTTAGTAGAAACGGGGTTTCCCCGTGTTCCCCAGGATGGTCTCGATCTCCTGACCTCATGATCCCCCCGCCTCGGCCTCCCAAAGTGCTGGGATTACAAGCTTGAGCCACCGTGCCCGGCCGGCAAGTGCTTTCATTTTCTCTTTAGCTGCCCTCAAATGCAATGAGAAGTGCTTCCCATTACTTAATTTCTTGGTGCCTCCCCTGATTTTTCTGGGCCCCAAGCTGGTATGCTGCCCCAGGAAGACCATAGGAATTTCCCTAGAGAAACAAAAATCCTGCTACTGTTTCCACACAAACCATTCCTACAGTTAGATGGGGGAGGGGGGCGATGTGCTGGTGCCGGTGGTGCTGGTGATGATGTGTTTCCACTCTATTTGGTTTTATGGGTTTGTTCGTTTGCTTCTCGTAAGCTGTAGGGCCCTTGATGAAATCAGTCATCATTTTTGACTTTATTTGGGACATGAAGGGATAAGCCTCTCCCTAATTTCTAGAAACATAAATAGCAAGGAAACAGAATATTAAACAAACAAGGGCTTTAGCAGAAGGTCTGCGGATGTTGCGAGGTTCTCTCTATCACTGCGGATCTGTGGCCTGTCCCCGGGATGGGGCAAAAAGACTTGGGGCACCTTACTCAAGTGCAGCAAACAAAAGTCAAGGTCTGGCAACCCCATCCGCTTCCCTCAAGAAGGAAATATTGTAAAATAGTAATGTCATGGCCCCTGGTAATGCAGATTCCCATGGGTCTCTGACTTAACCAACATGTCCTTTTACACATAAACTTGGAA
Source organism: Homo sapiens (assembly GCF_000001405.40). Taxonomy (NCBI): domain Eukaryota; kingdom Metazoa; phylum Chordata; class Mammalia; order Primates; family Hominidae; genus Homo; species Homo sapiens. The sequence continues at coordinate 10,329,528 of NC_000020.11, forward strand.
TTGTGATGGAGGCGGGGTAGACAGCTGGACACACTGTCAATGTTGGCACGTGGTACAAATGAAAAGGTACCATCTGTGCTACTGCTGAAAGATGATGATGCATAGATGTGACTTTTTAAATGTTCCATCTGGATATAATTAAATTGCCTCCTTAAAATAAAAAATATCCATATTTGATATGTATCCTTTATTGTAATGATCTCCATATATCCTTCATTATTTTTATAGAATTCACTTCATGAGAAGTCTGACATGAAATATTAAAACCTAAAAACAAAGGTCTCTGGGGAGATGACTGTGGTGTTATTGTTTCTCTGGCTGACTTGTTCTTGATTTTCTTATGATTTCAAAAACAATTACAATATGCAGAATTCCATAATACCCTCCTGAAAAAATACCTTTACTGGAAAACTGGATAGACAGGTAGAAAGAGAAAGTCTGTTATCTACGCATGGGAAGAAGACAGGATGTGAATTTGCCAGAATATCCAGTTGCCTACATTTCTAAACCAAGAAAAGCTGCAATTAATTTTCTTCCCTAAAAACCATGTTGGTTCCAAAGAACGTTCTGAGAATAATAATAAGGGTAATTATAATCACAACTTGAATTCAGAGTGACTTGCTTCTGAAGCATTAAAAGCATAAGAGAGAACAAAATACATGGAGGGGACTCTAACAGGCCTCTCTCCAGTACAATTATAGATTTCAAATCTGTTGTTACCTTACCATGGCAACCTTCATACTTAATTTCACAAATGTTGAACTTTTGTCACCCTATTTCTTTGGGGGAGTCCTTCAACTACTGCGTTCACTGAATTCATGTCATGTCATTGCCTTTGATACTTAACATTCCTCCAAGTACATGCTGTGAGCTCACATCCCCAGACCAAAAACAACAGCGAAGACTAGGAAGAATTCGGCTGTGCCCTTGGCAATAGCACTTAGTTGTGTTCTTTCTGGCTGATGAGAACCAACAACAGAACATAACTCCAAAAATTAAGTGTCAAGTTTAAAAGCAAAACTTTGGCCTTCAATATTAATAAATAATCATTAAATATCTACTGCGTGTTGAAAGATACGGGAAATACAAAGGTTAAAATAAGCCATATTGTTCCATCTCACGACATTTACAATATAGAAGGAGAATTAGATCCAAATCACTATAAAGCAGTTCCCAATGTGTGATATCCCCAAACCAGCAGCATCACCTGGGATCCTATGAGAAATGCAGATTCTCAGGCTCCACCCCGCCAGACCTTGTAAATCAGGGTCTCTGGGAGTAGGGCACAGCAATCTGTGTTTTCAGAATTCATCCAGGTGATTCTGATACTCTCCAAATTTTGAGAATCACTGCTGTGAAGCAATAGAACACAAATGCCATAAGACAGACACAAAATGCTTGAAGTAAAGGGAAAATAACATCCATTTTAGAAAGAGGACTTCCTGGAATGACAATATTTCCATGCAGCTTTGTGAGTTTGCTAAGAAATTGAAATGTAGGAAGTGGATGGAGTAAGAGAACATTCTGGATGAGTGAAACATGAGCCAAGCAACAGAGTTAAGAAAGTAGAAGGCAAATTGAAGAGTCTAGACTGACTGGCATGTAAGGAGACAGAGATCAAGGTCAGAAGATAGGTTGGGGTCTCAAGAGCCAGGCTGAGGAGGGAGTTATCTAGCTCAGTGGACAATCATATGTTATTCAGGTCTTCAATTAGAGGAGTAACAAGATTAGAGCAGGGTTCTTGGAAGTTTCATCTCAAGGTTTCCATAGAGTAACCTGGAAAAGAGGAGGATACACAAGGGTTGGGGAACAACTGAGTTGACAGTTGCAATAGTTTGGGTAGGTAATAATGAAAGTCCCTACTAGGGAGTTTGCAGAGGAAATATAAAAATGAGGAAAATAATTGGAGATGTTTCAAAGGACTACATTAGTAGGGTTTAGTAACTGATTCAATATTAAAAGGGAAAGAATGGGAAAATCAACACCTTCATTAGAAACAAATTAGTCATGTCATAAACCAAAGAAGAAGGAGATTAGGAGGAATTGGTTGTGGGGAGATTTGTTTAGGACACAGTTGATGGTCTGTGGTATGGTGTATACCACAGCTAGAATATAGGCATAGAGTTTATAATAATAATAACTGTAAAATTTGGCCACATAGGCCATGACTGGTTCTAAGCTAGATACATGACCTGTATGTATCTTGTAAACCTTATACTGACTTTACGAGCAAGGCATTATTATACTCTTTTTTTTTTCCTTTAAGAGACAGGGTCTTGCTCTGTCTCCCAGGATGGAGTGCAGTGGCACAATCATAGCTCACTATAACCTCAAACTCCTGGGCTCAAGCAATCCACCCACCTCAGCCTCCTTGAGTAGCTAGGACTACAGGCCTGTGCTACCATGCCCAGCTAATCTTTTCATTTTTTGTAGAGATGAGGTCTCGCTATGTTGCCCACACTGGTCTCTAATTGCTGGCCTCAAGCGATCTTTGCAACTCAGCCTCTCAAAATGCTAGGATTACAGGCATGAGCCACAATACCCAGGCTGATACCTATTTGTATTAGTTAAATTCGATTCTGTTGCATAAAATAAGAAGTTCAAAGGAAGAATGGCTTAAACACACAGGGCTTATTCTACTACATAAAAGAAATCTGGAGGTTGGCAAGTTTCTTCTAATGCCCTGCTTCAGCATCCTCCACTGGTGAATTTCATCCTCAAGGGTACTTCATGATTCAAGATTGCTGCTAAAGTGCCAGCCATCAGGGATATGACAGCTGTGAATATGGGAACGGGGGCTTGTTGAGAGACGGAATATAAAAGAATAAGAGGTTGAAATAAAGAACCTTGGAGAATGAGCACAAGGAACGGCCTGGAAAAGGCACAGAAAAGAGGCAGAGAGGAAACTTCCGGCACTATGTCCACAAAAGGCAGGGAAACACAAAGCTTCAGAATGGAAAAAAAGGTTGGTAAGTGGTGTCTAATGGTAAAGTCCATGGCAACTGAAAAATACATATTGGATTGAAGAATGTGAGGTCCTTAGTGACCTTTAAAAGAAGAGCATCATTCACGTTTTCTATGGCAGTGGATCTCAGAGTTAAGGAAATGTTAGGTAGTGAAGTAGTGAAGCATTGATTCCTCTTCCGTGAAGTTTTGTGATAGAAGGAAAGAAATAAATGGTGGTAAGGCTTGAGTTTAGCAGTATTGAGGTAATGTTTTCATAGATTAGAAAACCTGAATACACTTTCCCTTTATGATGTCAAGTCTCTCCTGAGACTAGATTTAAATCACTTGAGTGTGTGGGCTGGGACAGCCAAGTGCTTCTTCCATAATCAGCAGCTCCAATCCAGTATCTCCCGGGGAAAGTGAACCAAGTGTTGGCTGATATTATATCATAATAAAGGGCTGACATTACACTTTTTGAAGGCTGTCTGGTAAGCTTAATTAATTCGTTTTTGTTTTTCCCTCCCAAAGCTGGATGGAAACTCATGCAACTCTGGCTTGAGTTCTTGAAGAAAAATTATATTGCAAAAGTGAAGATGTTTCATGGCCTTCTGCACTCCCCCAAGGGCAGCAAAGGCTCTCTGGCTGCTTTGCAAAGCTGCAGAATCTGAAATGTCAGGGCCGTGGATCCATTTCAGCAAAAATAAATATCAGATTACAATACATTGTTTTTGCAGCTGACTGAGGCTTTGGTGTAGTGGATATTTCATTCTGCAGTTGCAAATTAAGAGAGAAGTTGCTGGCAGGGCAAAGTATGGTGTTTGCATCATTTCTTTATGAAGCCATTTTCTCCCCTCAAGCAGTGTATTCCCAGAGGATTTTTTTTCCCACTCCACAAATGCCTGGTGCTTTTGCAGTGCTCAGCATGCATGACTTGCTTTGAAAGCTGTTAAAAATAAAGACAGATAGTTGGACCAGTTCTCTTGGTACCTTTCATTCTTTTCTCCATAAATTTTTGCCCCCTCCCTCCCACCCTCTACCTTAGGTCCCTCCCTGGAAACCCTTGTACTACAAAATTATGATAGAATAGCAGATACTGAAACCATAGCATGCCTTGCATTTCTAATTTTCTAACCTGAAACTAGTGAGCCATAACACCCTGGAAGCTTAAAGCTGCCGGAGGCAAATCCAACTCTTCTGACTTTAGAATAGCAACACATCTTTTACCATTTTAGCTATTTTGAGGTAGATTTTCATACACACGAATGCTTATTGAAATTAAATGCATTTTATTTTTATCCTTTCTTTTTCCTTCTGGAGAGATAGCAGACGTGGGGGCACTTGTTTTCTACCTCTTAGAGAATAAATTTGAATACCTAACGTAGGTATTAAGCTACCTAACAGTAAGTTTTCTACGTATATTGATTAAAACCAGTCCAGAAATAGACCCACACAAATATAGTCAACTTATCTTTGACAAAGATTCAAAGACAATTCAGCAGAGAAAGGATCTTCAACAAATGGTCCTGGGACCTAGATAAGGACATTACACCTTTCACAAAAATTAACTCAAAATGGATCATAGACCTAAATGTAAAGTGTAAAACTATAAAAATTCTACAAGAAAACCTAGGAGAAAATCTATATGATGTGGATTAGAAGATGAGTTTTTAGATATAATGCCAAAAGCACATCTATGAGAGAAAAAAAAAGTTATGTCAGATTTTGTTAAAATTAAAAACTTATCTGCAAAAGACACTGTTAAAAAAATGAAAGAATGGAAGAAAAGAATTGCAAACACTTATCTGACAAAGGATTTATATCCAAAATATAACAAAGAATTCCTAAAACTCAATAATAAGAAAAAATTGGAAACTATAAAGATTGGAGGAGCCATTTGGATTGTAAGAGTTTTTCTCGCTGTCAGAAGATTCTTCAAGCAATCACTGTGTCAACCAACACAGATGTTTTTCTTTCTTCATATAATGAAGATCAGGAATCCAAACTTATTTGAAAAGCTGAAAAGACACCATTAATCCCACTGGAATAGCAGGTTTTGCAGCAATTGTTGCACATGGATTAACAAATTGAAGATCAGGGGAAATATTAAAATGTCCCTTCACCTGATCCACATGTGTATGGCAGCCCAAGGCTTTGTAATGGGAGCAATGACTCCTGGTATGGGCTATTCCCTATATTGGGAATTCTGGGCAAAACCTAAGCCTTAGAAGAAGAGATGCTGTCTTGGTCTTGTTGGAGGAGCTTGCATTAGTTACACATTTCACTATTGAGGTTACATGTTTATGTTGAAAATAAATTGAATATATTCAGACAATAACGTGGTATTTTGAATACTGGCTGCCTTTCTTGCAGGCTTGATTTGCTTGGTGACCAAATTACCCATGACTGGTTCACTAACTAGGTCACTCAGGCGAGTCAAGTTAACACAAAAGAAACATGTCACCCAAATGGACTTGATGATGTTAAAATGTCCACCTTTTAAAAATGTTAAGATGAAATCAGTTCTAAAGAAGACAGTAGGCCAACCTTGAAGTGCTCCCTGTTTGCTGCAGATTATTGCATGCTTTAATGCTATGTAGGAGTCCTATTTATCCTACTTAACTCTTTTTTGCCTGTCTTGTGGACTGGTTGGCTCTTTTGGAACTCTTTCAAAAAAGTGCATGGAGTATAACTTGTAAAGCCTCCCACAACTGAAATTGTGTATGTGTGTGTTTAAACCAAACCTAGGCTGGGCAAAGTGGCTCACACCTGTAATCCCAGCACTTTGGGAGGCCGAGGTAGGCGGATCACTTGAGGCCAGGAGTTTGAGACCAGCCTGGCCAACATGGCAATACCCCGTCTCTAATAAAATTACAAAAATTAGTCAGATGTGATGCTGCATGCCCGTAATCCCAACTATTCTGGAGGCTGAGGCATGAGAATTGCTTGAACCCGGGAGGAGGAGGTAGCAGTGAGCTGAGATCATGCCACTGCACTCCAGCCTGGGTGACAGAGTGAGACTTTGTCTCAAAAAATAAATAAATAAATAATAAACTAAACTTAGAAAGCTTACAACAGAGCTACATAGTAGTGGTATTTATTTCAGATTCGCAATTATTTCTTTTTTTTTTTTTTTTGAGATGGAGTTTTGCTCATTGCTTAGGTTGGAGTGCAATGGCATGATCTGGGATCACTCTACTTCCACCTCTCGGGTTCAAGTGATTCTCCTGTCTCAGCTTCCCAAGTAGCTAGGATTATAGGCATGTGCCACCATGCCCAGCTAATTTTGTATTTTTAGTAGAGGCAGGGTTTCACCATGTTGGTCAGGCTGGTCTTGAACTCCTGAACTCAAGTGATCCATCTGGCTCAGCCTCCCAAAGTGCTGGGATTACAGGCATGAGCCACCACGCCTGGCCTCAGAATCACAATTCTAAACATAAGAATAGCTTAATTATGGATTCCAGTTGAGCTCTTTTATAATTGCAGAATTGTATTTTTGCTGCTACTGTATTAGAATAATTTTTAAATGCCATCTTGAAAGAGAAATATGTATTTTAGGCACTAATGCAAAGATAAATGAAGAACACTTTAAATGTGTGCATTATGTTTATTTTCTCCATAAGAATCATAAACATTAAACTAAACAAATTACCTATAATGGTAATTTAGACATACACAGGGAGGAGATGGCCATCCCCAAGCCAAAGAGAGAGGCCTCAGAAGAAACCAACCTGCCAACACCTTGATCTTATGCTTCCAAGCTTCCAAAATTGTGAGAAAATTTATTTCTGTTGTAAGCCACAGAGTCAATGGTACTCTGCTATGGCAGCCTCAGCAAACTAATACAGCCCTTTGCCTACCTGAATTTTGGAAGTATTGGGAGGAACCCAGTTGACATTTAGATGAAGTATAGAAATACTTTTTTACACAAGTTTAATAAAATTGCTATCATTTATGGTGTACTTATTCAAAATTACAGTGTGGTAGCTATTTATATTCCAAGGTATATAGCAAACATATTTAATCTTTAGGTTAAAAATAAAGTGTGGTGTGGAGGAAAATACCAAATTACAAGTTTTTGTGATCACCCTCTCCATTTCTTCCTAAGGGTAAAAGAAATAGTATTTGTTTGGTTTGTTTATCAGGGTATCGTTGTGGAAGGAGAGAAGACTTGAAGAATTGAGAAGGTGCAATTAATCTTCATGAGAACAAAAAGAGAAAAGACAGGAGAAACAGAAGAGCTAGCACAACTGGAAACTTTGGAGAGTACGTGAGAGAGAAAAGATTCAGGAAGAGCTATTAGGAGTGGAATATTTCGGGGGGATGGTATATAAGAAGGGTTATTAGAAAGGTATGCCATGTAGAATCCATTGTGCTGTTGCCTCTTCCTTCCATGAAAAATTGTCACAAGATTTCCACGTTATTCTCTAAGGCTTTAGATTTATATTGCTTTTTCTGACATTACAAAATGTTGAAAAGTTGTAAAATGAAAACAGGGAGCTTAAGACAGCTCAGTCCATTTAGTATTTTTCTCTTAAAATTTTCCACAATGTGAAACACAAAGTAAAATGCTGTAAGGGCAATGATTAAGCAAAGAATAAAGTTTACTTTTTCTTCCATTTGATTTCTCTAGCTTTCAAGTGTCTGCTACTTAGTCCATCTGTTGTTCTATTATGTTGTGTTTGGCAAACAGATGCAGGAGAAGAACACTATTGCCTTTTCTGTTTTATATAACCCTAGAGATACAAACATAATTTTAGTTGAGTTTTCTTTTGTAGAGAAAAATTGCAAAGGACTAAAATACACCCAAAAAAATTACTGTATGTTTTAAATGAAAATATAGGCATTGTCTAATATACCCTTCCAGGTTACCTGATTCTTTGGAGTCTCTATACCTTTTATTTTATTTGAGTTCTTTACAATTCTGCAACTGAAAAATGCAAATGATTCAGAATTACGCAATCAACACTAATTTCAGAACATTTTCATCACTCCAAAAGAAACCTCATCTCCATTAACAGTCACCCTCCTTTCCACCTTCCTCTCAGCCTTTCTCAACCACTGATCTACTTTCTGCCTCTGTGGATTTGCCTATTCTGGACACAACTCATATAAATGGAATTATGCAACATATGGCCTTTTGTGTCTGGCTCTTCTGAGGCAGCATAATGTTTTCCAGGCTCATCCATACTATAGCATGAATGAACACTCATCCATTTTTATGGCTTAGGGCTGCGTGGTGTTCCATTGTGTGGACATACCACCTTTTGTTTGTTCATTTATCAGTTGATGAACATTTGTGTTTCTTCCACATTTCAGCTATTACAAATAATGCTGCTATGAAAAAGAAAGAAATGCAAATGATGCTCCACATTCGATTTTTCTAAGGCACTCATGGCTTCTTTATCACATTCAGATAGTTTTTACTTGTTTTCAGCTCTTGGTTAGATTATTTAAGAGTCTTGAGTTGGTTTTTAAAGTCAAAAGAAACACTTTTTCCTTTCCCTACCTGTTCATAAAATTGAAAGACCATAGCATTGGGATTGAATTGAACCTCCACAAATATACAAGTGAATCTGGGAGGTTCAGTTGATTCCCCCCTACCCAAACAAGTCATTTTGGCACCAATTATGGAAATTCAAATTCATTTTGACATTTATGGTAGCCTACATGTATGTCTTCTCTTCAAATTGTTCTTGAACTGGTTGTAACATCTTACTGTTTCCTCATTAACGAGTTAAATAAAATCTTTGACGTGTGTCCATTTTCTATTTGTAGAAGAGTTATGAGTCTATCTTTTCTAAAAACTTTATCCTTAGCGCTTTCATAAACTGACTGTCTTTAAGCTTTTAGGAGCACAGCTGAATATTAGTCATACCTGACTTTCAACTGGACACAAAAAGTGAATTACTGTTTTGGAGTAAGGAATAGCAGGGGGCGGCTGTGGAACAGCAGGGCTGAACTGACCTCTCTATACCTCAGTCAAGAGTCTCAACTGTGTACATCTCCAACTAACCCAGGGAACCTAGCTATAATCTGCATGACATTTTTATCTCTGACATTCAGTTTGACTTTCAAGTATCACACAGTAGAAAAAAGAAACTCATGAATCCAAAATGAAACTGAATAATATTTTTCCACTTGGCACTACACCATCTAGTCTAATGTGAAAAAAAAATCCACTTCAGTTTGCTACTGCCTGCTGATTAGCATGAGCTCAGCCGTCCTTCAAAAGTTCAGCCTCTCCTAAAAGCAGACACAGTCACTGCTGTGAGCCAAAGGGGGAGAGAAGAATCTCAATTCTTAAATTTTCCTGAGGGTTATTTTTTGGGAAAAATACATTTAATGCATGGATTTCACTTACTCTGAAAAGTTCCTTCATTCCTGTTTTAAAGGTAACATCTAAGAAGTGCCCACAACTTCCAGTGAGCAAAACACCTGCCATCTTGAGATAGATGTTGCCAGAAAACAGAAAATGTTGCAAGAGGTTCGCTGTATCAGAATTAGAAACACATGCCACATGCTTTCTGCTACTGCCAAACTTGAAGCCACATCCTGACATTTCAGTTAAATGCTCTTTCCAAGGCACCTATGGCTTCTTTATCACATTCAGATAGTTTTTACTTGTTTTCAGCTCTTGGTTAGATTATTTAAGAGTCTTGAGTTGGATTTGAAAGTCAATAGAAATAGTTTTTCCTTTCCCTACCTGTTCATAAAATTGAAGGACAAGAGCACTGGGATCAAATCTAGGCAAATATCTTAACAGACAATATCCAAAATGTAATTTTCAAAATGTTTAAAATTATATAATTCTCAATTAAATTTATAATGAATAGAAATCAAAGTTTTATTAGACTTAATAATGAGTTAATGGTTTTTTTGAACCAACCAAGTTGGTTCAAACCAACTTGTAGGTTCAAACTTGTAGGATACAAAGACTGACAATTATATAGTCAATGAAAGAAAAGAATTCTGCAATAAATCACAAAGACGCAAAACTGTTATTGTTCTACTAGCAATACAACTATATCCTTTGAGGTTATCTTTTCTACCCAGGGAAATTTGTGTGTATCACCATCAGGCAAAAATAATCCCCACCATTTCTGGACAAAAATTATTGCATAACATTGGTCAAAAATTATTTATACCTTATCAGTTTCCAGTAAAGCAATACCATAGAGTTGTAAATTGTCTGAGCCCTAATCAACAGTAAATCGTAAATCAAACAAACTTATATATCATGTCACCCTAGGGCAGGAGTCATCCAATTACAGCCTTGCTTAGACTCTGGGTCAAAACTAGCTCACCACCTGTTTTGTAAATAAAGTTTTATTGGAACCCAGCCTCACACATTTGTTTACATGTTTTAAATAGCTGCTTTTGCTGCAGAGTTGAATAGTTGTGGCAGAGACTGGATGGCCCACACAGTCTAAAATACTATCTGGGCTCTTTACAGAAAACAAAATATAACAAAAATCTTGATGTGTTAGGACATTCTTGTTTTGCTATAAAGAAATACCTGAGACTGGGTAATTTACAAAGAAAATAGGTTTAATTGGCTCACAGTTTTGCAGGCTGTACAAGTATATCGACAGCCTCTGCTTGGCTTCTGGGGAGGACCTAGGGAGCTTTCACTCACAGTGGAAGGCAAAGTGGTAGCAGGCACATCATATGGCAAGAGCAGGAGCAAGGGGTAAGCGGGAGGTGCCACATACTTTTAAACAATCAGATCTTAAAAGAAGTCACTCACTATTGTGAGCAGAGCACCAAGCCATGAGTAATCTTCCCCCATGACCTGAGCACCTTCCCCCAGGCCTCACTTCCAACACTGGACAATACACATCAACATAAGATTTGGAAGGGGCACCCAAACTGTATCAGGTGCCAACTTTTGATCTGGGAACAGGGCATTGTCTAACAATGGAAACAAAGTTTCTTTTTTTTTTTTTTTTTTTTTTTTTTTTTTTTTACCTTACGTATAAGCTTTGGGTAATATTTTTTCTTAACAACAATATTAGTAAAAAAAAAAAAAGCATGAGATTAAAATCAGAAAAATGTCTTCAGGGAGAAGGCACATCTGAAATAATTTAAATCCCATGAATATATGACTGAAAATTTGTGCATTGCAGCCACATGTTACAATGAAACTAGCTTAACCGCGCTAGAGATCCTCAGACTCTCCTTCAGTATCAATTGAAAGAGAAACACTAAATTCTTCATTTGTAGGTTAATGTTTAGAAATGGTATTGGAGCAAGAGTTTTAAAATACCAGTCTAGACTAATCTTGTCCATGTTACCTCTTCAGAGGTTATGTATTTCCCGCAGTCACTAGACATGACCAATGTGAATTATAGACATTTGGGGGATTTTGTAGACTCCTTAGCCCCCATCTGAAAAGCAGAGGTAGGCAAAATGTCATATTAAGCCCAATTCACAGGAGTAAATTTATTATTATTATTATTGCATTGAGACAGGGTCTTGCTGTGTTGCCCACACTGGCCTCAGACACCTGTGCTCAAGGCTGTCCTCCTGCCTCAGCCTTCTAAGGAACTGCGACTATAATGATAGCAGCAGCAGCCTATCTGGAGCCACTGCTGCAAAGATGCCTGCTGCAGCGAGGGAGGTGCAGCCAGGGCTGCATGCTCCACAGAGCCAGCAGGAGTTGGGAACAGGCAGGAGCCCCATCCCCTTCCAAGCTGGTGGGGTGGGAACCCCACACTCCTGGGCATTGCTGCAGCCACCCAACTATGGCTGCAGACATGGGCATCCCTGTGCTCTGGAGGGGGGGTGGACCTGCGAAGCCCCCCTGCCCCTGCAGGCTTGAAAGTGCCCGATCCTATTGCCTGGCCTCCTTCTCCTGGCTCCCAGCACCTGCTTCTATTTCAGAGCAAAGTTGTGGCTGAGACTGGTCACTGTCTCAACTTGGCCAGGTCTGTGTGTTCTTGGGGTGGCACTGACATGCCAGCCCCCTGCCGCTTCAGTCCCCTCTGGACTTTGAGTACCAGTGAGCACAGGAGAGAGTGAGGGGGAATTGTGGGCAGCTTGGCATGGGCCTGCAGGCACCCCTCTGCATGAACAGCCTGGGTGCTGTGGGTGCCATAGATGGTAGGTTGATGGTGGTAGGAGGCAGAGAGCCTCCTGGGTGGAAAGGGGCAGGACCCCAGTGAAGTCCTGCCTTCAAGCCAGGGATAGCCTGAAGACTAGGGGCGGGGCTGCCAGTTTCTCCGACCAGAGTGAGAACTTATGGTGCTTTCTCCGGGCCTGCCCATCACCTCCCATGGACCAATCAGCATGCATTTCCTCCCTTCTGAAGCACATAAAAACCCCAGACACAGCCAGACTTGGGTAGATATCCAGATGACCTGGAGGCAGATAGGAGCTACCCACTCTGAGTCTCCTCTCTGCTGAGAGCTGCACACTTGTCAGGACTACCTGCCTGCAGAAAGGAGCGGCCCACTTAGGGTCTCCTGAGCACTGTACTGTTACACAGTAAAGCACCCCTTGCTCACCCTCCGTTTGTCCTCGTATCTCATTCTTCCTGGATGTGGGACAAGAACTTGAGACCCACTGAATGGTGGGGCTGGAGGAGCTGTAACACAAACAGAGCTGAAACACACCCCCACTGCTCACCACATCATGGCAAGGAGAAAGAGAGGAGAGAAGAGCTGCTGCCCTTCTGGAAGCCCAGACTAAGAGCTCCCAGAACCAGGGCTATGACACCCAATTTAGGGCTCTGCCATTCCTGGTGTCTCCAAGATTCTGGGCACCAACAGGTTCCCCAGTGCCTGCAGTGGAAGCCACTTGTGGTATGCCTAGTTCAGCCACAGCAGGGAGCCAGCACCCATGCCAATGCCTGGAGCTGCCTGCCCCACCACAGCCTGGCTGTGCACAGTGGCTGGACCCCAGGCTCACTCATTCATGCACCCCCTCACTGGTCCATGCCTGGCTTGCCCTTGGCAGGTGTGGGATCCAGGCTAGGAGCAAAAGCCGAATGCAGCCTGCCAGGCCAAGTGGGTGGAACAAGTCCAGTGGGCCCAAGCAAAACTCAGGCAAAGGTGCCATTGGCCACAGATGTTCCCAGCTGGTGAAGTGACACTCCAAGGATCCTGAGACATAAGAACATACCACTGCACCTGGAAGAAAGAAGCAAATTCTGACAAAGTTTTATCTAGGTTATACACAGGGCTGAGATTCAGCAAGTATTCACATCTTGTTAAAATATGTAATACTTAAGCACCATTTGGTAACTAGCCATGGCTCTGAGCCACTCATATAATCCTCAGGTTATCCCAGTAATCCCAGCCTCTCCCTCTAGAACCCCCAAGATCAGTCACCTACTAAAGGGTTAATTCTGGCATAGAGCAGAAAGTCGGTATGTAGTCAAGGGTTCACATGGTGATTGGTTGTTGCCCACACTGTGTTGTACACTAAATATTTTTACATTTTTACCCCTGGCTTTACAGTCCCCACATTCCCAAATTGTTCACAGTTCCTTTCCAGTTAAGTTCCTCCTGGCACCCACCAGCCACATCACAAAATCAATGCAAATCTCTTTAAAAACAGCAGCAGCAAAATAGAAGGAAAGCCAGGAAGAACAAGCATAGAATGGGAACCAATCTTAATTCTACATCTAATGCTACCCAAATGAGGAAAGATTATGCAAACAATTCTAACAAAAAGTGTTAGATTTTTTTTTTAATTCCTAAATATTGAAGAATTGTACAGCCTAACATAGATGAAAGAACTGAGGCATTTACACACCAACTGGAAGAGGGGGCTCCCTGTAAGGAAAACTCATAAGAAAAGCCCTTAATGAAAGAACTAAGAAAATAGAAAAACAACAGAAGAAAGCTTTGGAAAAAAACTTCTGATTTTAGACTTCTGCTTAACCTAACCTGGGTGCCCAGAATAACTTGTCCATTCTGACTTTATCTTTATCTGACTTTGCTTTTATCCAGCTCTCCCCGTCGTTGAATGCTGTATTTGCACACATTGAAGTTCAGATGCTATTGGTGCCCCACCTTGTGTCCCCTGACTCCTCTTCAATGCACATCAGTCAAACTTTCAACAGCCAGCCCTCGCATTTCCTTCCCTAAGGGCTTTCACTGTCCCCTGGATCCCCCTCTGCCATTTGTTGTATAAATGTCTCAGTTTCTTTAACCCTCAGGTAGAATATTCTACACCAGCTTTCAGAGTATTCCCAGCAGAAATGAGCTCCAGCCATTCCTAACAGCAGCTGACTTGACAAGGTACATATCATTGGCTCCTTTCCCTTTCCCTGTCTCATGTAACCCTCAATTCCAGTTGCCTTTATCTTCTAAATAAGCCCAAAATGTTCACCTCCTAAATTACATTCAAGTCTTTGTGTCAGAATCTGTTCTCTGGCAGAATCCAAAATAAAACACAGTAAGAGGTCAAGAAACAGTCATTCACTCATTCAAGACAAAAGGTATCTCTACTTTTTGGAACTTATTGAGGTTTCCTTTGTACCCTATTTTATATGTGTTGGTGGGCACTTGGAAAGAATGCATATGCTCTAATAAACATATATATATACACACACACAAACACACACACATATGTGTGTGTATATTTATGTGTGTATGTATATATATATAATCAATTTTACTTTAAAATTATGTTATTTAGACCTTTCATATCATTTCTTATTTTTCATCCAAACTATTATAGAATAAAATAGAATAATAAAATATTTTAGAATAAAAGAGTTGATTTGAAGTCCTCTATTATTCTATAGTTTCTGTCTTATGATTTTTTGTTGCCATGTTATTTGATTGCTCTGTTGCCCAGGCTGGAGTGTAATGGCTCAATCTTGGCTCGCTGCCACCTCCGTCTCCCGGGTTCAAGCTATTCTCCCTGCCTCAGCCATCTGAGTAGCTGGGATTACAGGTGCCCGCCACTAGGCCCAGCTAATTTTTGTGTTTTTAGTAGAGACAGGGTTTCGCCATTTGGCCAGGCTGGTCTCGAACTCCTGACCTCAGGTGATCCACCAGCCTTGGCCTCCCAAAAAACTGATATATTTTTATATGCTTTACACATTTCAAAATTATGAAGTACCTACAGCTTTTAGGACTGAATTACATCTTTTCAGATATTATGACCATGATTCCTGGGTTTTCAAAAATTTGCCATTCCTAATACAGTTTTGCTCATCCTTCAATTTTTGACCATCCTAAATCACTTTTCTAACACGTGTCCTTCATATATGGCATAGGGTTTATAATCGCTTAAATTCCAACCTAATTTAAACTTATTCTCCTTTAAAATGTAAGTTAAATCCATTTATATTTATTGAGCTGACATGTGTTTGGTCTCTGTTCTGTCATATTATTTCACATTTTCTGTTTTTATATATTAAAGTCTTTAATATTTTAAAGACTTCATGCAGTCTATTTTCTTTGGTTTGCTTTCTGTGTATAGTTCTAAGATTTGATGAGGTCTGTAGTTCTGTTATGATGATTATTTTTATTAATGCATATCGTCAGCATACAATAGTTCCCTGTTACAAGAAATAAAAAATAGCGTTCTCTCCTTCTTCCCCATTCCCTTCCTCTCCTCCCCACCACCCAATTTAAATCAATAACGTTATCTTTCTTATCGTTACCTTTGTATTATTAAAAATGTGTGTATGCCTATCACTTCATTAGTCAGCTTTTAATGACGTCATTTAAATCAGCAGACTTATTTTAACTCCTACTTTCTTCACTCCGATTTGTAGTATTGTAAAATTTCTATATTGTCCATAGTCACTTCAAGATGGCTCTATCACCTTTAGCCAGTGTATTCTTACAGTGCTTTCTGAAATCTGTTTTTTCTGGGTTCTTTCACTAACCTTTTGCCTTTATCCTTCCTTTTCTCTTTTACTTTTTTCAGCTGCTCTTCCTGTCTGTTGCTTTTATATTTTACAGTCTGTGAATCATATTTGTCTCCTACTTTTTACTAAAGATGGCATCTCTGAAGTGTGTTTCTTCATTCTCCTTGAAGATTTTGTATAGATTTCAGGAGGAGAAAAAGAAAGAGACTTACTTACACAGAGTCATACTGGAAGTTCCTGTATGTGTTTGTTGCTGTTGTGTTTGTTTTGTTTTGTGATCATGTAGCGTTTCTCATGCCCATTAAAGGATCAAACCTCACAAAACTACAAAAGCAGTGACTCTGGTCACAGGTATTATAGGTATTTTAACAAAACAATTAAGAAATCATTTGAGGAGTAACCTTTCAGCACTTCTCAAGGTATAGAAGTGCTGTGATTTGAATGTTTGTCCCCTGCAAAAGTAAGGTTGAAATTTAATTGTAATGGTATTAAGGGTGGGACCTTTAAAAGGCGCTTAGGCCATGAGGATCTGCTTTCATAGGTGGGATTACTGTTGACATAAAAGGGCAAGTTCGGCCCTCTTGATCTCTTTGCCCTTCTACCATATGATGACTTTTGCCATGTTTTAACACTGAAAGAAGGTCCTCACCAGATGCTGGAATCTTCATGTTGGGCTTCTCAGCCTCTGGAAGTGTGAGCCAATAAATGTATGTTTATTATAAATTACCCAATCTGCAGTAATCTGTTAAAGCAGCATGAAACAGACTAAAACAAGAAGCAAATGGCTTTTTAGCAATACAATTATCTAGGCCAACTTCTAACCGTTCCTCACCTGGTAATAACCATTTTCCTTTCATTTCTGTTTTACAAGTCTAATTTTACAGAATTATAAATCATTAGCAATAAGAGTGATGCTGTAGTGCATATTCTCAAAGAAATTTAAGCCGTTGATAATTTTTTCTTGGAAGGTAAATGTCTTGTGCTTATTCTTAATTATTCAAGTGATTTAAAAATGTGGACATAATCATAACTGTCAAGGTAAAGATTATAGTGAACATATCCACTTGGAGTACTTCAGGAGAGTTAAATAAGATTGGAAAGTATTGTTCACCTATAAAGTTAGAGAACTGGGCAGAAAGAAAAACCTATTGATTACGTTACTTTTGCTCATTGTTTAATTCCTGACCCTTCTTGAAATAGCTGCCCAACCCCTACGAAACTGTCATACCTCTCTGATGGCAGTTGACTAGTAATAAAATTCAGGTCACCATCTATTACAGGCCAGAGAGTCTGACTTTCAGCATAGTCTTAGTGACCAAATTTGCCAAATGCTATAGAATATTCCAAAAACAAAAGGTTTCATTCCTTGGTATAGATAGTGTCCATCTATAAGATAAAGAAAATTAGATCTAACTCATACAATTGGTGTGAAGATCAAATAAGAAAATGTGGATAAAGTACATGAGCCATAAGTAATCAATAAGTGTCAGTGGCCCTCCTGTGTGCTTCTCAGCTCTTCCTCCCCTCCGCCATTTCTTACTACTATAACCTGGATTTCCCTTGGCAATAGTCCTTTTGGACTTCCCAAAACTAGGAAACTTTTTGCTGAAAGCAGATTATTCTTTGTTTAGTGGAGTATAATGTAGTCCTCTAGTGATCAGAAATGGAGTAACCATTTTTTTCCTCCTAAATACTATTTGGCTTATTAATGACTTGCTCCTATTATGGCATTTCTCACATTGTTTTATAGGGTTTTTTTTTTTTTTGCACATATTTCTTTCATCTTGATTTCAAAATATAGAAAGGCAAAGACTCTACATTTTCTTCTTCAAATCTATGACACAGTATTAGTGATCTATTGCCGCATAACAAATTACTCTGAAATTCATCAGCTTAAAACAACACACATTTATTTTCTCAGAGTTTCTCAGAAGCAGCTTAGCTGCATAGTTTTGGCTCAGGGTGTCTCACGAGATTGCAGTCAAGCTGTTTGCTGGGGCGACTGTCATCATTTTTCATATTCTTGGCTGTGTCATATAATGTTCAACAGAGTCTCTCTCTCTCTCTCTCTCTCTCTAGTTCTCATTTAGATTCTATATGAGACAGAAATTCCAGAGCCAATTTACTTTTGAAAAACCCCTCAAATTACCCCTAAAACACAGTCTATATCCCTTTCAAGATGTTGAACACAGTGAAAGGTCTGGTTAAAAGCTGGGGAGAATAGTGGGCTTAGAATCAGAGGACATGTTCTATGAAAAATTACATAATTTTAAATACAAGAATTATATTTAACTTAGCTACACAGACACACAGACACACACATACACACACACACACACACACACACACACACAAGAGGCATTCAGAGACTGAGGAGGCTGAGGGTACAAAGTTTCCTATCTCACCTTGACCACAGGACTCACTCTCAATTAGTGGATTAGCAGTTGCAATTTAAAATTTAAAAAGTTGTTTATTTATTTATTTTTGCCAAGTTGAACCTGCATACATGAAATACATTCATGATTTAACCCTGACATATTAATATTAAAAGGTAAAGAAGTTTTCAGATTCATCTTTAAGTGTTCTCTCAGATTTGATCTTATGCTTTCTCTGTCCAGCATTTCTGAGCTTTGCTCTGCTTGCTGATTGATGCTAACAAAGCAGGCCTCAGAATTGTTCTAGTATTAGAGCCACTGGAAGCCAAAGTGCTTCTTGCAGAATATAGTATTGTTATGTTGTATTCCAATCACACAGATAATACTTTAACACAAAATTATATTTGGTTATTTTAAGTTTATATTGATTAGGGTCATTACATTTAATTAAATTTACACAGCATGAAAGGCAATAGTGTCATGATCGCAAGTGTAAAAATCCAAACACACACACACACACACACATTTGATTCATAGGTTTTTGAATCAAACCTATCCCTTAATATTGGTTTGTTGTATGATCATTCTTCTAGCTACCGGCTAGTCCTCTCTGGCAGATAATCAATGGCACCTGTCAAAAGTTTAAGATGCATAATATTTTTTAAAAGTATTGTAGAAAAACAAGTTTAAGAAAAATTTCCTTGAGTTATTTTTCCCCAAACTGGAATACAGTTACATTTTAGCCAAAGCCCTTGCGTTCGCTTATAGAAGATAAACCTTCTGTTGCAACCAAGGAGACAATTCCAATCTATCTCATGAGCTGCATGGAAATCTGAAGGTCAAAAAACTCTGAATGTCTTTCTTCTGTTATCCTTGTTAAAAAATAATATATCCCATCTGGAAATTTGGAGCTTGAGTCCTCTGTGGTAAGTGCTTCCTTTGTTGTTATGTAATCTTTATTTTCTAAATTCTTTACCACTAGTTGTGTAAAGTTGGTCCTGATGTAGGTACAGACATACACACGCCTCGGTTAAGAGTAAAGGTTTTGAATAAGCTGGCTTCTCTGACCAGAATATTGCTAGAATGTAAGCACTGTGAGTACACAGGCCTCCATATATTTTGCTCACTGCTGTTTCCCTCGAGAAGTCCCTGGCATTTGGTGAAGGCTTGATCAATATTTGTTGAGTGTTTTTATGGTTGAAATCATTGTTTATGTTCCATTAGCTTTCACCATTTTTTTTTCATACCTCTGTATTAGTTTCCTAGGGCTGCCATAACAAATTACCAAAAACTTGGTGGCTTTAAACAACAGAAGTTTATTCTCTCACGGTTCTAGAGTTTGTAAGTCTGAAATCAAGCTGTTAGCAAGGCCACACTCCCTCCAAGGCTGTAGGGGGGTATTTTTCCTTGTCTCTTCTAGTTTCTTTTTTCTGGTGAAAAGATACATATATTTAGAATTAGCCAGCCAGACTCAGTTTAGATGATCCCAATTTTGTTGGCAACATCCAAAGCATCATAATCAGGACCCAGAAGAATATGTGCCTTCTTCTCTCTATCAGTCCTAACCAGGGTGTTGACCTTGGCCACATCAATGTCACAGAGCTTTTTCACAGCCTGTTTGATCTGGTGCTTGTTGGCTTTAACATCCACAATGAACACAGGTGTGCTGTTGTCTTCTGTCTTCTTCATGGGAGACTCAGTGGTCAGCAGAAACTTGATGATGACATAGTGGCCAAGCTTGTTTCTCCTGGGGGTGCTCTTTCGAGGATATTTGGGCTGCCTCTGAAGTCACAGTGTCTTGGTGGGCGGGGGTCGTGCAGATTTTCTTTATGTGTGTGTGTATGTGGCTGTGGACACCTTTCAGCACTGCCTTCTTGGCCTTCAAAGCCTTTGCTTTGGCCTTGGCTTTAGGAGGGACGGAAGCTTCCTTCTTCATCTTTGGCACCATCTTGTGAAAAGCTCTCTTCTAGTTTCTGATGTCTCCAGGCATCCCTTGGCTTGTAGCTGCACAACTCCAATCTCTGCCTCCATCTTCACATGGTCCTCCCCTATGTCTGCTTCTGCTCTTCTTTTTATAAGCACATTTGTCATTGGATTTGGGGCCCACCTAGTTAATCCAGGATGGTTTAATCTTGAGATTCTTCACTTAATTTACACCAACAAAGACTCTTTTTCCAAATAAGATCACATTCACACTCACACGTATCTGAAGTTGGAACTTGGACATGTTTTTCATGGCCACGATGCAACCCATTACAATGTCTAACTACCAATATTAAGATTCTATTCATTCAACACACATTTTTAAAATATCTATTATGTTCCAGGCACCAAATGGTGAGGATGCAAATATCAGCATGATGTGGCCACTGTCCTTCCTTAGCCAGATGACAACTTATCAAAGGTTTTTATCCTAATCCTTCTGTAATAAAATATATTTTAAATTCACATAAAAGGATATCTTATCTACTCTGAATCCCTTCGTATTAATTTTTCCATAAATTCTAAAGAACACTCTTCATTGTTACTTTTTCAATTGTCCTATTATTCATTTTTCAGATGTTATTAGCTCGAGGTCATTTCTTTCAAAAAATTTCATGATGTGAAACCATTTTAATTAGTTTCAACATATTTTCTTTCACCACAAGTCAAAGTACAGGAGCAGTAAACTTAGCAAGAACCCATTCATCCCTGTACCATTTTGTCATTAAGGTAACATCAATATCCCTCCGGCTGAGGTTAGCCATATCTTATCATGGCCTGGTTTCTTTGGAAAGCAGAGCCTGAGAACATATAGGTAGTTTATTTGGGAAATAATTCCAGGAAGCAGGAGTGTCAGATGGGGGCGGTTTGGAGGGGAACAGGGGATCAGGGAATCAAGAGGGAGAAACTAAACAGGAATACATTGCCAATTGAGCCCTCACAATGCAGTAACTGGTTTTTGCCCCCGTAAGACTTTCTGATTTTTTTTTTTTTTTGAGATGGAGTCTCACTCTGTTTCCCAGGCTGGAGTACAGTCACTGCAACCTCCGCCTCCCCAGTTCAAGCAATTCTCTTGCCTCAGCCTCCCGAGTAGCTGGGACGACTGGTGTGTGCCAGCTAATTTTTGCGTTTTTAGTAGAGATGGGGTTTCACCATGTTGATCAGGCTGGTCTCGAACTCCTGACCTCGTGATCCAACAGCCTCAGCCTCCCAAAGTGCTGGGATTACAGGCGTGAGCCACTTCGCCTGGCCTACTCCCTTACTTTCTTAGTAAACTTGCTTTCACTTTACTCTGTCATCTCACTTTTGATTTCCTTCCTGCATGAAGGCAAGAACCCATGTGACCTCCCAGGCTGCACCCCCTTGAGGTTCACCCTGTGAAAGAATGACTCACAGGACTCAGGAAAACACTGTACTTACAATTACTCTTTTCCCATAAAGGATACAAATGAATAGTCAGATGAAAAAACATATGATGGCAAGATCTGGAAGGGTCTTGAGCACAGGAGCTTCTGTCCCCATGGAGCCAGGGTCTGCCACCCTCCTGGTACATCAATGTGTGCACCAACTGGGAAGCAGTTCACACCTCATCATTCAGAGCTTTTATTGAAGTTTTATTATGTAGGCATGATTGAATCAGTCATTAGCCACATTAGCCTCAGTTTCTGGCCTCCCCTCCTCAGCAGGCAGGGACTGGGGCTGAAGGTTCCAACCCTCTCACCACATGGTTGATTTTCCTAGCTGCCACCCCCCATCCTGAAGCTCTCTAGGGGCTCTGCCAAAAGTTACCTTATTAGCATATACTTGGATATAGCAAAAGTGGCTCATTATGAATAACAAAAGACACTCCTGTCATTAAGGAAATTCCAAGAGTTTCTGAAACTCTGTGGCAGGAAACAGGGGCAAAGACCAAATACTTTTTTTTTTTTTTTGAGACGGAGTTTCAAAACTTGTCACCCAGGCTGGAGTGCAATGGCGTGATATTGGCTCACTGCAACCTCCGCCTCCCGGGTTCAAGTGATTCTCCTACCTCAGCCTCCCAAGTAGCCTAAATACATGTTTTGATTATTCACAGTACAACACATAGGGAGTGCTCACTGAACACTGACGATTGTTATTCTCGAGGTGTGGAAGCTGTGTCATAGACCACAATCATCACAACCACCCCTGGAACAAACACCTCTGCTGTGTTAACTTTTGAATTAAAAAAGTAAATCTTAATTTAAAAAAAAGAATTTTCAGGCCAGGCACAGTGGCTCATGCCTGTAATCCCAGTACTTTGGGAGGCCTAGGCGGGCAGATCACCTGAGGTCAGGAGTTTGAGACCAGCCTGGTCAACATGGTGAAATCCCGTCTCTACTAAAAATACAAAAAATTAGCTGGGTGTGGTGGTGCGTGCCTGTAATCCCTGCTACTTTGGGGGCTAAGATAGGAGAATCACTTGAACCGGGAGATAGAGGTTGCAGTGAGCCGAGATCGCGCCACTGTACTCTAGCCTGGGTGACAGAGTGAGACTCCGTCTCAAGAAAAACAAAATTCAGAGCAGAAGATTTGGAAATGTTACAGATCACAAGCTCTTTGGTTTCCCATGTAATAAAAATTAATACGGGGCCAGGTAGTTTTCCCAGTCAAGGTTTTTATTTTGGAGCTTGTGCTCAAGCTCAAGGAAGACAGTGGAGGTACAAGGACTCCCTGAAAAAGCTGGTTGGGGCTTTTTTATTAGGCAAAGCACGGGAATTAACATCAGGTGTAGGGTATGCAGGCTGGGTTGGGCAAAGCATGTGAGGGGTAGATTATTCAGTTAGCATATCTGGTTGCAATGTTTATCTTGAGTAATGGACCACCTGGTGGTCTGGCTGGCAGCAACAAAGCTGTAAATCAATTGTTCAGCATTCCTTCCCAAGGTGGGACAGTCCACAATATTTAGATTTCCTAAGCCAGTTTCTGGAATTCTTTACGTAAAAGGCATGGTTACATGTTATGAAAGCGCGGAAGAACGGCTGTTTTCTTTGTGTGACTAAAGCCTTGGGATTCGTGGGCATATCACCAGCGAGTGGTGTGGGTTTTGTGATCAGTGGAACTAGAGAAAAAGAAAAAAAAATATGTGAAGGAGGAGCTGCATCCCATTCCTATTCTATCTCAGAAATAAGTTAAAGCAGTACCAGCTCAAGTTAACTTCCTTTGACAAAATGTGGGAAGCAACTATATTCTACCAATGCTTAAAACAAAAAATAAAAACAATTATTTTTTCAGGGTGTCTAAATTAAGGCATTGAACTGAGGAAGGTTGGATTACCTACAAGTACAATAAACAGTTCTTGTACTTGAGGAGTTAAAATTCTAGGCAGGGAGAAATGACATTAACATGGCACTAAGCAGAATGAAGGATAAATAAGGGGTAAAAGAGTAAGTGAAGCACTATTGCAAGGCAGCTCTTGAGTACATTAATAAATGAATTCTATAAACAGTAAATGCCAATGAATAATGACTCCAGGTTTGGGAAATTAAGAAAGTGTTTACAGGAAGTTTCAGTACCAAGGTTGATTGGATTGAAACCTTTGTCAGGACAGCAAGAGGACATTGAAAGAAGCAGAAGTACGGGAGCAAAAATTTAAAGACAGGAAAGACAACGTGTGGTCCTGGGACGATTAGTTCACCCTTACTAGTGTTTTGGGTTTAAAACGAGCAACACAAAGCTAGTAATAGCAATATCCAAATTCCAAAGAATCTCATGTTTATTCATGATCTTTTCACTATGAGTAGACTGTGTTGATCTGTTAGCGAGTTTATTGTTTCAAAGGAGGAAAACATATTGAGGTCAGTTACAGAAATGGAATATTTGAAGTCGATGAATTCAAGGAAATATATTCAGGTCACCAATACCTTGTGCAGAAATAGATAAAAAGAAGAGGGTAAAAGTGCAAATTATTTACATTCTTGAAACCACAAAAGTGAACTGAGCCAAGAACACAGCTGGAATGTGACCCAGTGGGGTAGGGAGTCCCACAGAGCCTGAACACAAGCCCACTTAGGCTTCCTTGGTTAAGACCTGAACTTCCCCATCTGATAATGGGAAAAAACACATCCAAAGGAAGTAAATAGTAATTACATGTGGAGCTAGTGGTTGTCTTTCTAGTTCCACCTTGGGATTGAGGTTACAAAAGATAACGTAGAGAGAAAACATTCTAAAGTTATTTATAATAGAGTTAAATTGAACTTAATTAAATGTTTGTTTGAGAGTTTATGGGCCCGAGTGGATTTCTCTCCCTGACCTTGGTCAAAGTCAGTCTATAATAAATCAAGTGTAGCATATCTACATGGTAGTGCATATTCCTTTTTTTTTTTTTTTTTTTTGAGATGGAGTCTCACTCTGTCAACCAGGCTGAAGTGCAGTGGCATGATCTTGGCTCACTGCAACTTCCACCTCCTGGGTTCAAGTGATTCTCCTGCCTCAGCCTCCTGAGTAGCTGGGACTACAGGCACTCGCCACCATGCCCGGCTAATTTTTGTATTTTTAGGAGAGATGGGGTTTCACCATATTGGCTAGGCTGGTCTTGAATTCCTGACCTCGTGATCTGCCTTCCTCGGCCTCCTAAAGTGCTGGGATTACAGGCATGAGCCACTGTGCCCAGCCAGCAGTGCATATTCTATTGGTATTGCTACCTGAAGGAAGCTGGGAAATGGCAGGCTTATTCTTCTCTCCTTAGGATTATAGCCACTCCAACAGCCAGTGCACCCATAGAGAGCAGTGGGAAAAGCACAAAAGTCAATAGGAATGGCTAATCATTTCATTTAGCCTTTACAACACCAAGAGATAAGAAGAATAGACTTTATTGTTCCTATTTTACAGATGAGAAAACTGAGCTCCAGAAAGATTAAACAGTTTTAATAGTGATATCTCTTTTTAAAATCAAAGCATATAGGTGCTTTGATGCAAAACACAATGATATGAGCATTTCATAAATTAACATTTTTTCTATCTAGTTGATGAATATTTTCTTCTCTCTTTTTTAAAGGGTTTAAACATTTTCTTTTGAGGTTTGTTTTTTACTATTTTTGAGACAAGGTCTTGCTCTGTCACCCAGGCTGGGGTGCAGTGACGGCCATCTTGGCTCACTGAAGCCTTGACTTTCTGGGCTCAAGCGATCCTCCCAACTTAGCCTTCAGAGTAGGTGGGACTGCAGGCTCATGCCACCACACCCAACTATTTTTTTTTTTTTAATTCATTTTATAGAGACAAGGTCTCACTGGGCTGGTTTCAAACCAGCTTAGATTCAAGCAATCCTCCCACTTTGGCCTACCAAAGTGCTGAGATTACGGCATGAGCTACTGCACCAAGTCCCATAAATATTTTCTATGACGCTTGCTAAGGCTTTTTTCCTGTATATGGTGTGTTTAGGACTTGAACAAAGAGGTTTAATTCATTTCTCAGAAAGCTCAACACTTTTTTCACTCCTTCAAGTAATGTTTCATTTTGCTTTGTTTGATCAATAGTTCTTTTCTCATTTCTAATTTAATAAAGCACAACTCTTCTTCCCAGACAATGGAAAGCCTGAATCAACAATAACAATTTTTGTGGGCAGATTCCATGGGGAGGGATACAAAGTATCAAACTGCTATGTGAAGAATTGAATTTTATAACATTCTGGGAATCTGTGAAGGAAAAAATAAAGCCAACACAGGGTTTCTTGGCCATAAATTGTAAACATAGTGTTCTATAGTTGGGTGCCATTCTAACGGAGGCAGCCCTGGTACAGATGACAGTGTTACTAACAACTCTAATGGAAAACTTGCATTTGAGTCTCATCTCTACTGCTTACTAGGCATGTGGTGATAGATGGGACACTACACCTTAGTTGCATTTTCAACAAAATGAAGATAATAATACCTCCTTGAGATATTGCTAAAACTATATATAACACAACATCGCAATATCCACAGAGTCATCATCTCCTGACCACCAGCACCATAATCAGCAACATCTCATAATAAATCACAGGAGTGGTTATTAGGGAAAAAAGAGAAAAAGCCTATATCTTAATAATAATATACTAGTCATTCTAGATATTTGATCCTCTTTTATTTCCATCCAATTTCCAATTGACTCATTTACATTTATTTCACAACACTAAAAAGGAACTATTGAATGTTTGTTGGAAAGGCCTTTGGATTGCAAGTTAGTGATAGCCATTTCATTGTAAAGCAGAAACACAAAGGTTTATAGAACCTATGTGTAGTTTATATAGTCTTTTATGCTTCCACTGTATAAAAGAGTGATCAATATAAAATAGAACCATAGAAGCAATGGACTGTAGATAGAAGTTTGGAAAGCAAATAACTTGAACAAATTGGTTTTGGTGAAAAATAATGTACTCTGATTATCCTAACCCCAAAGTACACATCATCCCTAGAGTGCCACATGACCATCCTGGGCATTTCTTTTAGAATAATATAAGTGCCTAAGAAGCCTCAGGAACTTGGAATAAAATCAATTAGTATTTGCTGTAATTTCCATAGCATGTGTGACCCTTGGGTTGAAGAGTTAAAAAGAAATGTATGAAGCCTAGCCAAGAAGTCTACAGTGGAGGAAAAAGTATTTGTCTCAATTTTACTCCAGAAATTCTGTTCTTGAATGGGAATGTAGACAAGAATGAAGAAATTCATTGAATGAAAATACTAATTTATATCCGTGGCACTTAGTCAACTAATTTGTTTCAGGCTTTTAATAGTTGAAAATGTTGGACCAGCATTTATTTACTTTTGTTTTTTAGAGATGAGGTCTCACTATGTTGCCCAGGCTGTGCTCAAACTCCTAGGCTCAAGTGATCCTTCTGCCTCAGCCTCCCAAAGTGCTGGGATTATAGGCGTGAGCCACTGGTGCCTGGCCTAGATCAGCATTTCTAGAGTCCAACAGGAGTGTTAGTGTTTTAAAGAAGAACGTACCTTAATGGTTTTCAAATTCTTCAGGCAGCAAGTCTGGAAATCATGATGCTTTTTGTGGAATCTCATGAAATACTAATATATTTAACTCATATTGTGGCAGACTGGCTCCATGCTCATTACTCTTGTTTCTTTTCCTGGCACATGTGACAGCTCCACTTTCCAGCCTCCCTTGACCTTCAGTTGGAGCCATTTGACTGGAGTATGACCAATGGAGTATATATAGAGGTGCTGCTGACTGGACACATGACCAGATGCACCATCTCTTTTCCCCTTCTGTGGCAACCACAGAGGCCACACATTACAGAGCATAACATGAAGGAAGCACAGAAGCCTGAGTCGCTGCTTGAAGGAGAAACTCCCAGGGGGCCAAATAACCAGAAAATTCTACCTTGGATTTTGCTTAAATAAGAAATAAATCTTTATTGTGTTAATCCACTGAAATTTGGAGACGATTTATTACAGCATTTAGTGTTACTTACTGTGATGGTTAATTTTAGGTGTCAATTTGCCTGGATTAAAGAATACCTAGAAACCTGGTAAGGCATTTGTATTAGTTCATTCTCACACTGCTATAAAGATACTATCTTAGACTGGGTAATTTATTAAGAAAGGAGGTTTAAATGACTCACAGTTCTGCATGGCTGGGAAGGCCTCGGGAAAGTTACAATCATGGCGAAAGGCGAAGGGGAAGCAGGCACGTCTTACATGGTGGCAGGAGAGAGGGAAGAAGGGGGAAGTACCAGAAATTTATCAAACAACCAGATCTCGTGAGAACTCACTCACTACCACGAGAACAACATGGGGAAAACCACCCCCATGATCCAGTCATCTCCCACCAGGTCCCTCCCTCGACATGTGAGGTTTACAATTTGGATTACAATTTGAGATGAGATTTGGGTGGGCACCTAGCCAAACCATATCAGCATTGTTTCAGGATGCATCTGTGAGGATGTTTCCAGAAGAGATTAGCATGTGAGTCTGGATGAACTAGGTGGGGAAAGTGGTCTGGCATCATCCAATCTGCTGGGGGACGCCCCAGAGAACAAAAGCAGAAAAAAGGTGAATGTATCAACCTATCTGCTGGAGCTAGGATACACTCTTCCTCTCTTGTCCTTCAACAACATATATATATCTTCTTGACTCTGTCTCTCTGAAGAACTCTGATACACTTACTCTAACTCAGTGTTGTCAAATATAGCTTGAATATAGGCCTTCTGATATTGTAAATAAAGTTTTATGGCAACACTACCATGCCTGTTTGTCTGTGTATTTTCTATGGCTGCTTTTGCACTACAGTGACAGGGTTGAGTAGTTGCAGCAGAGATCTCATGGCACACAAAGCCTACAGTGTGTACCATGTGGCCTTTTAGGAAAAAATTTGCTTATCTCTGCTCTAATTAATATACCTATGAATGGTAATTTAGCTCCAAATTTTATATTTGGTTGTTTAAAATTTGTTTACATATTAATAAAATGTTGACTTAAATTAATAATTAGCATATTCTTACAATTTGCAAAAAAGAAAACTCTGACCATAGCACATGGTGGCAAGGCTATGAAACAATAGGGACCCCTATAGGCCACTATGGGTAAATTACATATAAATTAAAACAACTTTGTAAAATAAGCAATATCTTAAATGGATAAGTTATGGCATAGTTATAAAATGGGATACTGTACAGGCTGGGCTCATTGGCTCATACCTGTAGTCTCAACAGTTTGGGAGGCCAAGATGGGAGGATCACTTGAGCCCAAGAGTTAGAGATCAGCCTGGGTAACATAGTGAGTCCCCATTTCTACAAAAAATAATAAAAAAAAAAATTAGCTGGGTTTGGTGGCATGCACCTGTGGTCCCAGCTACTTGGGTGTCTACAGTGGGAGGATCCCTTGAGCCTGGGAGATAGAGGCAGCAGTGAGCTGTGATTGTATCATTGCACTCCAACCTGGGTGGCAGAGGAAGACTGTCTCAAAAAAAAAAAAAAAAAGGAATACTAGAATACTATACAGTAGTTAAAAAAAATGACCCACAGTTATATGCATCAACAGAAATAAATCTCACAAATATATGTTGACAAAATACAGCAAGTTGAAGAAAATTTCATACAATATATTACCTTTTAGGTAAAGTTTTAAAAGATGCATAAAATTCTGCATAATTTCTTAGGGATACAGTCATGTTTGAAGATAATTGCAGGGTAATATCAATCACCAAATTTAAGATAGTGGTTCCCAACCAAAATGCCCATGAATGATAGACTGGATAAAGAAAATGTAGCACATAGACACCATGGAATACTATACAGTCATAAAAAAAGATGAGTTCATGCCCTTTGCAGGGACATGGATGAAGCTGGAAACAATCATTCTCAGCAAACTAACACAGGAACAGAAAACCAAACAACCGCATGTTCTCACTCATAAATGGGAGTTGAACAATGAGAACATATGGACACAGGGAGGGGAACATCACACACTAGGGCCTGTCAGGGGGTGGGGGGTAGGGGAGGGATAGTATTAGGAGAAATACCTAATGTAGATGACGGGTTGATGGGTGTAGCAAACCACCATGGCACGTGTATACCTATGTAACAAACCTGCACGTTCTGTACATGTATCCCAGAACTTAAAGTACAATTTAAAAAAAGAATAAATAAATAAATAAATAAATAAGACAGTGGTTTCTCCAAAGGGAGGGAGTTGTAACTGGGGGAGAGAATACAAGAGTTTCAAATGTAAAGGTTAAATTCTACTTCTGAAGCTGGGTAGTGGGTACATGTTATATTACCCCTGTGCTATTCTTTATACTTTTTTGATTGTTTTTAAATGTCACCATAAATTTTATTTTATTAAAAAATAACATTTAGTACAATATAAATTGCTTTAAGTTTATAAAACAGAAATGTTCAATTAAATCAAACACTTGCTTGGTGGATTTGTTATCATGAGTAGACCATGAGCTCATCCAACTTTTAAAAACGAAAATACAAATGGAATTATTTGCATTCAACGGAAGGTGCTGCTATTTGGACCTTGGATTAACTCAGTCTATAAATAACCTCGAAAAAATAATAAACAACAGTCTTGAGATCTTATGCATTGATTCATAGTAGAGGTTATTTTGTAAAAAGGCTAAGATAACTTTGCCATAACCTAACTGTATACTCATACTACAAAAATAATTCAGTTGGCTTAGGTTCAAAATCCAGCCACAGTGTCGCTATTGTGCTGAAAGGTCTTTGCTTGTTGTTATTTCTCACTACTTCTGAAATCCATTACAACCCTTTGGTTATCTTCAGTGCTGTTGGTTCTGTCTAATTATTCCCTAGAGATAGACTAGAAAACACAGATATGAAAGTAAGGCTTGAGATTTTAATGACAGCAGGTTGGAGGTGGGCAGTGAAAGTGACTGACAAGTAGATGATCTTTCTGCATAGACTCTATGCCAAATAAGAAGGTCTACAGTCATAAACATTTATATATTGACAACTTTGGATATAATAATTCTAATAATAGCTTTATAGAGTTTTACAGAAACAGTAATTAATAGATCTTGATATTTCACTTCCTGCTGATGTCTTAGACCTGATTTTAACAGAACCTAAAAATAGTTTCTAATCTGAATTCATTAAATACACTCACACTTAATAGGAAAAGAACACTGAATAACACATTCAAGTGTCAGGATTTAAAAACTCAAGCCAAAAACCATTTGGTTAATCAGGACTTCTCTATTTATTTGTTTATTTATTCTC
Organism: Homo sapiens; assembly: GCF_000001405.40. Taxonomy (NCBI): domain Eukaryota; kingdom Metazoa; phylum Chordata; class Mammalia; order Primates; family Hominidae; genus Homo; species Homo sapiens. The sequence continues at coordinate 10,360,357 of NC_000020.11, forward strand.
TATTTCCTAATCATTTAATATCTGACCCACAACACAAATGCAATGCAAAGAAGGCTCCTTAAATGGATTTTTATATAGATCTCAGAATTGCTTCTAATGGCAAAAATGGAAGACAGAACAAATGCAAACCTCCTTTCCCTGCTGCTTCTAAAATTCTGTTTTGGAGAAAGCATGTATTTTAGTAAAGCATAGGAAAGAGCTTGATTTCTTCCTTTGTGACAAATAAAATGGAATAAATACACATTTCTTCCTAACACCTTTTATATTCAAAGGATAAGCAGACTTCTAGAGGAACAAAATGATGTTATTAAATGAAATGCAAATGTTGAAAGAGTATATGCATTATATATCTTAGTGCAAAGCCTTCCGATGCTTGTCAGATCAATTCTGCAACCTCATTACACACTTACACATTTAGGGGATTTCTGCTTTAAATATTCTCACAGTTTTCAAACATTTTCAGCACCTTAGCAGGAAACTCAGAGGCCACTGAACCTGCTAAGGATAAACTTAATACTGGTTGATGCCGGAGCCCAGGTGAAGTCCTGTGCTCCAGAGAGCCTTTAAGAAGATGGTAGTTTATTAAAGTTATCAGACCTGGGGGAAGATGACAGTAATTGGGGGAGAAGATAATTCTTGCAGTTTGAAAGGAACAATCATTTCTTATCTTTGATGTTACAAACTCAGAGGTAATAAGGCAAGATTCATCTTTGCCAAGTTGACCACCAACCCTGAGTCACTAAGACCATGAGCCCTGTTAAAGATAAAAACCAACAAGTAAGGAAATTGATGTTATTCAGACTATCAAAACTAGGAGAAAACCCCACAGTGTCTTGGCAAGGTAGTTTGCCTTACACATTTTTTTTTTTCAGACAGAGTCTCACTCTGTTGCCCAGGCTGGCAGTGGCATGATCTCAGCTTACTGCAACCTCCGCCTCCCAAGTTCAAGCGATTCTCCTGCCTCAGCCTCCTGCGTAGCTAGGACTACAGGCGCGTGCCACCAAGCCCAGCTAGTTTTTTATATTTTTAGTAGAGACAGGATTTCACTGCGTTAGCCAGGATGGCCTCAATCTCCTGACCTCATGATCATCCTGCCTCGGCCTCCCAAAGTGCTGGGATTACAGGTGTGAGCCACCATGCCCGGCCTGCCTTACACTTTCATAGGGAGGTGTAGACACGTTATAAATGGGGTGATTTACAGTTAGGTTATTTTGCAATTAGGAAAATTCTCTGTTAGCCGAAAAGAAAATGTTTATCTCTATGTCTAGCTATATTCAAGGGTACAGGTAGTTCTAATCTCAGATAATCATTCATGAGACAAACAAAAGAGAGGTGGAGGGTCTGTCTCTGGCCTTTGAGCAGGTTCAAGCCAAAGAAGAAAGGTCTATATTTGGCCTTGTCACAGGTGAACAAGGGAGGCCTCCATGCAAGTGTGATAGGAGTCATCAGAAAGTGGACAGCCAATCTGACCTAACTCTATGAGGGAGGATGGCTCTTTGCCATAAACCTTTTCCTGGAACAAAAAAGAGTTGGGGGGGATTTTGGATGACAAAATGTTGTGAGGATTTCTTAACTGTGCTGTTTTATGGGAGCACAGGGCTCAGGTCAAGTTCAACAATGTCAACTCATTTACTCATCTGCTTATCCATCTACACCAAATTGCCCACCTTACCTGGGAACAAAACTAGTTCTCTATTGTCACATTCAATCTTGTCTAATCAACCTTGTCTGATCAGCAGCAACATATCAGAATTACCAAAAGTCAATACTGAAAAGGCCAGACTTCCAATGTTAGTCAGCATTTATTTATACCAAGGTAAGCTCCTAAAATTTATACATAAATTAAATGCTTATAGAATAATTTGGAGGTCTCATGGAATAATGATTACAAGTCTGTGCTCTGCTGTCAGTCTTTCTCTGAATTTGCTCTTTGCAGAACTTTCTATGTCCCTGTTTCCTCATCTCTAAAGTGAGGATATTGCTCTCCCATCCTTACATGGTCATAATGAGGATTAATTTTGATAATGTGTCTAAAACGGCACTTGTCAAACTTTAATGTGTTTCAGAACCCCATTGGCATCTGGTTAAACTGAAGTTTCTGAGTCCACCTGTCTGGGGTGAGGCGTGAGGCTATGCATTTCTAGCAAGCTCCCAGTTGATGGCTATGCTGCTAATGTCCAGACCACACTTTGAATAGCAAGAATCTAAAGCCTCAATCACACTGCCTAGCACACAGCCAGTGGTTAATCAATAGGTGTTATTGGTATTAGATTATACACCTGTGCATAAAATGAGGCCAATAAAGCCTTCTGTAAGGTACATACACCCTGTGTCTTTGCCTTATGTGTGGCCATACATGTGATTACAAAGTAATGAGACATACAAACTGCATGTGAAAGTCACCCTGATTTTGCTGTCTCAAGTTCTGCTCAGTGTTACACTCTGCTAGAATTGAGTATACTTTCTCAGCTAACTCTTCAATGCCTCACTAATTAACTTTTAGTCTGAACATTACTCATTAAATTGTGAGCCCCTTAAACTGCTCTCTGAAAGTTCAGAAATGATCAAATCAATACACCTGGTGTTACAAAAGAAGATTGGTCAAGGAGGAACAAGAAAGGCTATCGAGTGCTGTGAAACTCACAGAACAGTGAGCCAGGCATTTCTCTTCTGAAACTCAGAGCTTACTTTCAAAGTGGGATGACTTAAAAGGTAAAGAGAGGCTCATAGTTCAACTGAGAGGATCTCTATGGATATAAGACAGAGGGACAACTTCAAATATCTAAACTGAAAAATTACATGACTGTGCATGGAGATGTGTTTTAAAAAGCCCTGTGGAATTCACATGCACTGCTGGTGGGAGTATAAATTGGTACAACCACTTTGGAAAACTCTTTGGTAGTACTAGGTTGGTACGAAAGTAATTGCGGTTTTTGCATTATGGGAATTTGCCATTTGATATTGGAATACATTCTTAAATAAATGTGGTTATATTATACATCATTTTAATGGGCATTTCTCTCTTTATACTTTTTTGCTAATGACTTATTACTTGCTGTTTAGTTTATGTTTATTTTAGACTATGGAAATGATGTTAGACAAAAAGCAAATTCAAGGGATTTTCTTATTTGAGTTCAAAATGGGTGGGTCATAAAGCAGCAGAGACAACTCGCAACATCAGCAACGCGTTTGGCCCAGGAACTGCTAACGAACGTACAGTACAGTGGTGGTTCAAAAAGCTTTGCAAAGGAGATGAGAGCCTTGAAGATGAGGAGCATAGTGGCTGACCATCGGAAATTTACAACAACCAATTGAGAGCAATCTTCAAAGCTGATCCTCTTACAATTACACGGGAAGTTGGCAAATAACTCAACATCGACCTTTCTAGGGCATTTGAAACAAATTAGAAAGGTGAAAAAGCTCAATAAGTGGATGCCTCATGAGCTGACCAAAAATTTAAAAAATCATCATTTTGAACTGTTGTTTTATTCTATGCAACAACAATGAATTTCTCAATCAGATTGTGATGTGCGATGAGTAGTGAATTGCATACGACAACCAGTGACGACCAGCTCAGTGGTTGGACCAAGAAGAAGCTCCAAAGCACTTCCCAAAACCAAACTTGCACCAAAAAAAAGGCCATGGTCACTGTTTGGTGGTCTGCTGCCGGTCTGATCCACTACAGCTTTCTGAATCCCGGCGAAACCATTACATCTGAGAAGTATGCTCAGCAAATTGATGAGATGCACCAAAAACTGCAGTGCCTGCAGCCAGCAATGGTCAACAGAAAGGGCCCAATTCTTCTCCAGGGCAATGCCCAACTGCAGGTCTCACAACAAATGCATCAAAAGTTTAACAAACTGGGCTACAAAGTTTTCCCTCATCCACTATATTCACCTGACCTCTCGCCAACCAGCTACCACTTCTTCCAGCATCTTGACAACTTTTTGCAGGGAAAATGCTTCCACTACCAGCAGGATGCAGAACATGCTTTCCAAGAGTTTGTCAAATCCCGAAGCATGGATTTTTATGCTACAGGAATAAAAGAAACTTATTTCTCATTGGCAAAAATGTGTTGGTTATAATGGTTCCTATTTTGATTAATAAAGATGTGTTTGAGGCTAGTTATAATGATTTAAAATCCACGGCCCAAAACCACAATTACTTTTGCACCAACCTAATATCTACTAAAGCTGAACATGCACATGCCCAGTGACCCACCTATGGAATCCTACTCCTAGGTATCCAACAGGAATGCATATGCATGTTCACCAAGGGACAGGTACAGAAATGCTTAAACAGTACTAGTCATGATAGCCCAGACTGGCCACAAGCCAAATGACCACTCATTAGAGAATGGTTAAGTGGCATATCATACAATAAAGTATTACACACCAATACAAACTGTTGAACTACAATGTATCACAATAATGTGGCTGAATCTCATGAATATGTTAGGCATAAGAAGCAAAACAAAAGAATGAAATTAAAAACAAACAAAATTAACCTATGTTCTGTTCAGATGGGGCCACCTTTGGGGTAGGGACTCGGAAGGGCTTCTGCAGAGCTGGTTATGTTCTATTACTTGGTCTGTTGCACTGGTTACAGAGTATGTAAACTCTGTGACAAGTCATTAAAGAGGATAAACAACTGTTTTTCTAAAGTCTCACAACACTTCTGACATCAAATATGTGGGTTTTCCACACTAAGCCATTCTCCAATTCTCTGCAAACCACTGAATGTCCTACGATTCAACCCTGACACTGTGAGTTAGCATAGACCCCACAGATTAAGGACTTAGTTTCATAAAACTATCCCCTACTTAAGTCCTAGGTTGTCACATGTACTTCTGAAAAGCCAGCTATAAATCAGGAGTTTCTACAATCCCCTCCTCATGTTTGATAACTTACTATAATGGCTAACAAACCCCAGGGAAATATTTACTTATGTTTACCAGTTTATTATAAAAGCTATTACAAAAGATACAGATGAACAGGGAGATGAAGAGGTATACAGGGAAAGGTATGAGGAAAGGCTATGGGGCTTTCATGCCTTCTCCAGGAGAGCCACCTCCCAGCACCTCCATGTCTTCAGAAACTCTCTAAACCCTATCATGTAGGGGTTTTACAAAAGTTCCATTATGTAGACATGATTAATTAGATCATTGGCCATTGGAGGTTGGAGTTCAGACTGAAAGTTCTAACCCTTTAATCACATGGTTTGTTCTTCTGTCAACCAGCCCCCATCCTGAATCTTTCTAGGGGCTTTCAGCCACCAGTCTTCCACTGACATACAAAAAGACACTTTGATCACTCCAGGAATTCCAAAAGGTTTAGAACTGCTTGTGTGTCAGAAACCAGGACTAATAACAAATACAGTGAGCCCATCATATCCGAGATTCAACCAACTGCAGATCAAAAACATTTGGAAAAAACAATAAAAAAAAAAAACAAATGTAAAAACCAGTATAGTATCACAACTGTTTGCACAGCATTTACATAGTATTAGGTGTTATTAGTAATCTATAGATGATATAAAGTATACGGGAAGATGTGCATAGGTTATATACAAATACTACATCATTTTATCTCAGGAACTTGAGCAACCTCCTATTGTGCTATCTGGGGTGAAGGGGGGTTCTTGAAGCTACCGAAGGACAACTACATTGTAATGAAAAATGCTCCTAGCACCCTTATCACTCAGGAAATTACAAGAGTTTCAGAAGCCCTGTGCCAGGAACTGTGAGCAGAGACCAAATACACATTTCTTATGATGTCATTGTCATCTCTCTGTCCACTTAGGATTTGTGCACTTTTCTCTATGTATGCCACTCATTAACAAAATTTACATTACAAAAAACCCTGTGACTATCTTAAAAGTGATATAGACTTCTGAGGTGCTTTGTTTTTCTATTCAGGAAGGTATTTGTGAGGAAGAAATGATTTGCTCTTGAATATTTAACCTATCTTTGTCAGATCTCAGGTTAGATTCACTCTTTAAAAGATGATGGTAAAAAGAAAATCCTCAGGAACATGCTGAGAAAGAAAAGCACCATGCTTCTTTTTAACCTTTTTTACCTTTCTTCTTTTTTGAGACAGGGTCTGGCTTTGTTGCCCAGGCTGGATTGCTGTGGTGCGATCTCAGCTTACCGCAGCCTCAAACTCCCTGGCTCAAGCGATGCCCCCATAACTTCAGCCTCCCAAGTAGCTGGGACTACGGGCATGTGCCACCACTCCTGGCTAATTTTTGTATTTTTTGTGGAGACATGGTTTTGTCATGTTGCCCAGGCTGGTCTTGAACTTCTGAGCTCAAGTGATCTGCCTGCATCGGCCTTCCAAAGTGCTGGGATTTCAGGCATGAGCCACTGCGCCTGACCAGCACCATGCTTCTTAAAGGAGGGCCACAGCCTTCCACTTTCCGTCTCCTTTCCACTAACCTGTTATGATCCTTGACCAAAGGCCAATTAAATAATCAGAGGAGACCCAAGAGATCCCTCTCTTCTCCCTCTGAAGAAAAACAAAGAGCAGAGCGGAACTGAGGATTTGGGATGTAAAATTAAAAGATCTAAGAAGAGGCCATGAGATTTATTTTTATTTTCTTTTAAATTTATTTTTATAGAGACAGGATCTCACTATGTTGACCAGGCTAGTCTTGAACCCCCAGGCTCAAGTGATCCTTTTGCCTTAGCCTCCTAAAGTGCTGGGATTATGGATGTGAGCCACGCTCTGCCAGAGATTTCTAAAAGGCTACAAAAACATTGGGTCTATTTGAGGGTGGGCCAAGGCATCCTGACCCATCCACCACTCAGCACATGGACAAAGATGAATTAAAAGAATGAGGGGAATAAAAGGGAGTCAGCTGTGAACTGGGAAATGAATCAGCCTTGGAAATAATTAGCTCACATACGCAGTGCCATTTCTAGGTGTTCCCATAGCTCTTTATTATTTCCCTCATTCCATTCTCCCTTAAACTTTATCTCCCAATCCAAATCAGTCTCATTTTTGTTGCAAGGTCTCCTGGTTGGGAATCTGAGCCTGGCCCCCGAAGAGCAAGAATTTTCATCTACATGCAGCTTGCTTGTGGAAAGAAATCTGTTAAATGAGCTTTTTCAGTGTCTACCACTGCTGTTGTTCATTTGTTTCCCTTCAGCTTTTCCCAGTTGGTGCTCATTCCCTTTAATTTTTTACACCAACTTGTACCTTGTTCTTGGAATCCACACTCTCTTATCCATACTGTCCAAATAGAAAAAGCTGTGAAAACTAAGTTTTTTCTTAAACTGAATGGAAAACCGGAACTCACATGAGGCTGTTTATAATGTCAGTTTATCTCACTTACTGTGAATTTTTGTGTTTTATTGCAGAGACTTAAATGTGTTTATTACAGGATGCTGCTTTAGATCCCCCTGGAGATGGAATGCAATATGCAATATATGCACTGTATTATCTTTCTACAATCCAAAAATTTCAAATTCCAAAGCACATCTGGGATTGCAGAGCTGTAATCAAGAATTTTCTTCTATAATGGAGATAAACTTGTTCAGCTGCTGGAGGGATTGGGGTTAAATTTAAGCAATAGTCTTATGGCCATAAGAGTGGTTAAACACAAATAATTTCTCCCAAAGACTGTGTTAGGTTGAGAGATCAAAATCAATCAATATTTAACCTAGAGTTCAAACTTAAAAGTCAATTTCTAGCTGTCTACAGGACTCTGACCCTCACACATCAGATCTTTTTCCTAGTGGTAAAGTAAGGGGGTGGATGGGGAATGCAACTCAACACACTGGGGAGAGGCGTCATCAGGTCAGAAAGAAGAGAAAATAAAATATTAGTCTTTTGGCAAATTTTAGGTTTTTTGTTTTTTTTTTAGCCGGATTTTCCTCTCGTTACCCAGGCTGGAGTGCAATGGCACAATCTCGGCTCACCGCAAACTCCGCCTCCTGGGCTCAAATGATTCTCCTGCCTCAGCCTCCCAAGTAGCTGGTATTACAGACGTGCGCCACCACACCCAGCTAATTTTGTATTTTTAGTAGAGACGGGGTTTCTCCATGTTTGTCAGGCTGGTCTCAAACTCCCAGCCTCAGGTAATCTGCCCACCTCAGCCTCCCAAAGTGCTGAGATTACAGGCGTGAGCCACCATGCCCAGCCTTGGCAAACTTGATGTGTCTGAAGCAGGTGATAAGAACTTAGTTCCAGGAATGGGTTTGGTGTGGATTTCATAAAAGACTGGGTTTTTCAGAGGGATGGTACCCATTTACCTCCTACTTAGAAGGCTCCTCATCAGCATCAGCTGGTTAGAGACAGCGAATAAAACACAACTTTCAGTTACAGTATTTTCTAGGGCAGCGTGTCTCAGACTTACCGGTACACACAAATCACCAGGGCATCTTGTTAAAATGCAGATTCCAGTTCCTTAGGTTGGGTTGGGATTGAGATCCAGCATTTCTAACCAGCTGCCAGGTCCTTCTGTTGCAAGGTCAGGGCTTTTTAAACTTCAACTTGCGTATCCTGCAGGGCTAGTTAAACACAGCCCCACCCTCAGAGGGTCTGATTTTGAAAGCCTGGAGTGGGCCTGAGAGCCTGTGAATTCCTCCCAAGTAATGCGGCTGATGCAGGACCACATTTTCAGTGTTTTCAAGAAAAAATTAAATAAAACAAGCATGCCATTCTTTCAGGAGTATTATTTATTTTTATTTTTATTTATATATAATTATTGTACATATTTCAGATCTATCATTAATATCTGAATATTCATTTTTGAATAGAGGTAAGCATCTAGATCATTTAGATATAACCTGGTGTGAAAAATCTCCTTGTAACCTTTATATGTTAAAATGCTATCAGTAAGTTGGAGTATAAATATATATTCATTATTGTAGGAGTTTAAAGTGCTACTATAATTAGTGATTGTGAAAGCTGAGGATTTTACCTACAAAATCAATAATTTAAAGCTTTCAAGTAGTTAAGTCAAGCAAGATCAGCAGCTAATAGAAATCTAGTAAAAGAGAATGTCTTGGCCAGGTGTGGTGGCATGCACCTGTAGCCCCAGCTACTCAGAAGGCTGAAGCAGGAGGATTACGTGAGCCCAGGAGTTCCAGGTTGCACTGAGCTGTGATGGTGCCACTGCACTCCAGCCCGGGCAATGGGGCAAGACCCTGTCTCTACAAAATAAAGTTACAAAGAGAGAATGCCTCTACTAGATAACTTTAGGAACACTCCATCCTTTTTGAACCAACAAATGTTTACACAATTTTAAATAAGAATGGAAGGCAGAATAAAAGGATTATATGTAAAACATATTTGAAATCTTTGCAGAATTATTAGATTATTATTCATGACATTAAAATAACCTTTAAAAACTGTATTTTTATTTCATGATTAAATTCCATTCCACCTATGAGTTTTAAAAGAGAACAGTCTACCCCGGAAGTTCCTTCTAAGTTGGTGATAGTTGGCTTCAGTCTGATATTTATTTAAACACTAGGCCAGTTAGCATTCAACCGAAATGAGTTTTGGCACACTTCCAGCACGAATCTTAAGAAATGAATCAGCGGAGCTCCCAAGATCATGGGTCAGACAATGCCCTTCCACCCCACTGGAGAAGCCCCAACCTCCCTGCCCAGCTCCCCTGCTTGGCACTCTTGTGGAATCTTGTGGAAAGTTAAACCAGTCTGTTGATTTCCTTTCTTGTGAAAGTTGGGTGAGGTTAGGGTTGCCAGATTAAATACAGGATGTTCAGTTAAATTTGAATTTCAGATTAACAATACATTATTTTTCAGCGTCTGTTCCAAATATACGGGACAAAAGAAGGCTTCCCCTCCGTGTGCCTTCCAAAGGTTTGCTGAAAATTAGCTGGCAATAGGCAGATTAGTAGGAGAATAAGACATACAAACTTATTTAACATGCATAAGCACAGGGGAATTCTGGAGGATGATTACTCAAATAACCCAGTGAGGTCCAGATGCATATATGCCCGTCTTCATAGGGGAAGAGGAGATGGGGATATAGGAGTGAATAATTTTTAGTGCGGAATGAATGGACCTGGGTGGCAGGCAGTATCTTGTAAATGATTCTCTTTGGAAATTGATTGGGACCTGAGAACAAACAATGGTTTGGGACAAAGTTTGCCTGGGCTCTAGACATGGTGTTTAATGTTCAGTCTCTTTCTCTGTGATATGAGTTTATCTCTTCTCTGGTTGATGAATTTCAGGGAAGAAATCAAAGGCAATTGTGCAATTTTTTGGTATGTCTGGTTTCTAGGCAGATAAGGGAATTTCAGAGAATAACCTCATCTTGTGCTTTGTGAGAAGTGTTGAGAGACAGGATCGGGGTGGTTGGTGAGATCAGAGAGATATTGAGGCTGCTTCCTTTGTTCTGCACGCCAAAGAGCCATATTTAGGGGTGTTGTTTTATGAACCCCAACATATCCAACATGTGGAACATTCCTGTATTTTTATTTGCTATATTTGGCAACATTAGGCGAGGTACCAGCTGCAGGAAAATTATCATAAGATATTGTCTCTGAAACTCAACATTTCTTCCCTTGTAACATCAAATGGGAGACATGAAGAGGAGAATGATAGTTTCTTTAAATTTATAAGGTATGGTATAAAAGCAATTTGCCAAGGGCTCCATTTTTTAGTGTAAATTTCATCTAGTCTTTAAAACACTGGTTAAAAACTGAGGAAATCTTAGTTCCAGTCCCACTTCCACCATAGACTGGGTTTGACACGTTGAGATAATTATTGATCTTGTTTCATGGCTCTAAGACACCAATGCTTATCAAATAAACCATTTAAAAAATGCCACCAGGAGAGAAAAAATGCTGCCAATTAAACTATGACACAATACTAAAACACCATTGATGTGTGAAGATACATCTTTATTTCAGAGATATTAAAATGTGAGGGAAAAAATGAGCATCTTGGAATTCACAAAGCATGATATTTTGACTTGCTTCACTTATATAATGAAGATAATTATCATTTTCCCTACCAAATACATATAAAGATTAGACCAAGAAATTAATAATCAGCTTTTGTTTCACAGTCTAGTTTTGAATTGCATGACAGGGAACTTTAGTTTCCAATATAGAAAGTTTTCCAGTGACTGAACCTGTAGAAGTAGCATAAAGAAAAGTGAAAATGTCTTATAGTTTGTTTGAAAGATTTTTTTCAGTTGTAGGTCAAAATTATCTGAGTCTTTTGATCCACTAGTGTAGAATCATCTTTATGGTTAGAGACAAATGTCATTTAAACAGGAAGCAGCTGAATGCAAGAGTTTGTGTCATCTGCCTGCTCATCTATCCTTTGATCTGTTGATCCATTGACCCACTGATCCATCTACCCATCCCTTATTCATTCCTACCTCCATCTTCTATTTATCCATCCATCCATTTATTCATTGAATAATCCACCCAACATTTATTAAATTTCTATTCCATGCCAGATAGATAAAATTTGAGAACACAGAGATTAAATAGTTCTTGCATTCAAGGAGGTGCCAATTTTTTAAAAAAGTACTGAAATCCTCTACTTACTAAGAGGTCAGATCTTTTTGCATCCAAAAATCTCAGGAAAATAGCTTACACCTTCTCTTATGTGGACTACTCCCTTTCTCTGGTCAGGACTCAGAACACAGTATTACAAAGTATTGTGATACTTTTTGGAACACTGAGTATTTTTGAGCTGAAGGAGATAGGAAGGACCTCAGAAGCTAGAAGGTTTCCCTGATCTTCTCCCCCCATCCTGTCTCTCACCCCTTTTTCTTCCCCAAAGCAAGCCATAAGACCTTATGACCTACCTTTCCTGAAAGTAGATCATAATACTCTCATATGACAGATGTCCTGGGGAAAGGAATGCTACACAGAGAGACCAAGAAGAAGCTGAACAAAGAGACTTTGCTGAATTTCCTCCTCAGTTTATTACTAGATCATGCACTTTTTGTCCAGTCATGTTTCTCCTCAGCTATCCACTTATTTCATCAGACTTAGCCTAAAAATACAGTTTTCCCTGCATCTTTCGGTCTTCATTTCTGAAGATTCCATGTCATATAAAACTTTGATTAAATACATTTGTTACATTTTTCTCTTGTTAATCTGTCTTTTGTTATAGACGTGTCAGCTATGACCCCTGCAATGGGTGAGGAAAAGGTATTAACTTCTTTTTTTCTTTTTCTTTATTATTATTATACTTTAAGTTTTAGGGTACATGTGCACAATGTGCAGGTTAGTTACGTATGTATACATGTGCCATGCTGGTGTGCTGCACCCATTAACTCGTCATTTAGCATTAGGTACATCTCCTAATGCTCTCCCTCCCCCCCTCCTCCCCCCGACAACAGTCCCCAGAGTGTGAAGTTCCCCTTCCTGTGTCCATGTGTTCTCATTGTTCAATTCCCATCTATGAGTGAGAACATGCGGTGTTTGGTTTTTTGTCCTTGCGATAGTTTACTGAGAATGATGATTTCCAATTTCATCCATGTCCATACAAAGGACATGAACTCATCATTTTTTATGGCTGCATAGTATTCCATGGTGTATATGTGCCACATTTTCTTAATCCAGTCTATCATTGTTGGACATTTGGGTTGGTTCCAAGTCTTTGCTATTGTGAATAGTGCCGCAATAAACATATGTGTGCATGTGTCTTTATAGCAGCATGATTTATAGTCCTTTGGGTATATACCCAGTAATGGGATGGCTGGGTCAAGCGGTATTTCTAGTTCTAGATTCCTGAGGAATCGCCACACTGACTTCCACAATGGTTGAACTAGTTTACAGTCCCACCAACAGTGTACAAGTGTTCCTATTTCTCCACATCTTCTCCAGCACCTGTTGTTTACTGACTTTTTAATGATTGCCATTCTAACTGGTGTGAGATGGTATCTCATTGTGGTTTTGATTTGCATTTCTCAAAAGGTATTAACTTTCTTACCCGTACACGTCTCATTGACTATTCAAAGCCCACTCATTTCTTCAAAAGTCCGCTCAAATCCTCCCACTCCATGAAGTCTTGCCTTATGAATCTCCCCCTTTTCCAAATTCCCAAATTGCTTAAAGTATTTTATTTGGCTCCTAATTGGGCATTGAATGAGTAAAATATATAGTATGTTAGATAGTAATACTAGCTAAGGAGAAAAATCAAGCAGGAAAGAATACGATGAATATCCAGAAAGGAGGAGGTTTGAAGTTTTAAATAAGGTGATCTGTGAAAGTCTTACTAAAAAGCAGAATTTTGAGTAGTAATCTGAGTTAAGCAAGGGGTGAACCATGTGGGTATAAGGGAGTGAAATTCCAAGCAAAGAGAACAGCTAGTACAATAGCCCTGAGGTGGGAGTGTATCTGATATGCTGGAGGAACAGGAAGTAGGCCATTGTGATTGTAATGCAGTGAATAAAAAGATGAAGTTGGACACTTTGGGAGGCCGAGGCTGGTGGATCACGAGGTTGGGAGATCAAGACCACCCTGGCTAAAAAGGTGAAACCCCATCTCTACTAAAAATACAAACAATTAGCTGGACGTGGTGGCGGGTGCCTGTAGTCCCAGCTACTTGGGAGGCTGAGGCAGGAGAATGGCATGAACCCGGGAGGCAGAGCTTACAATGAGCCAAGATTATGCCACTACACTCCAACCTGGGTGACAGAGCGAGACTTTGTCTCAAAAAAAAAAAAAAGATGAAGTTGGAATACGAAATCAGAGAGGTAAGGGAACTAGGCCTTGTAAGGTCTGTAAGTTTTACTAACAACCTTGCATTTTACTCTGAATGGGATAGAGTGCCATTGGAGGGTTTGAGAAATGACATGATCTAATTTATTTATTAACTAATTTTTAACATACTCTCTTTGCCCTCTGTGTTGAGAGCAGACTGTGGGATGAGGCAAGGGTGGATGTGAAAAGACCAATTAGGAGGACTTTGCAATAGTTTAGTCAATAAATAATGGTGACAGTGGTGGGTAGAGAGATGTGGTTAAATTTGGAACATATTTAGAAACAGGTCCGTTAGAATTTGCTGATGGAATACAAAAGAAAGAGAGTTAAGGATGGAGCCTGGGCAACTAGAAGGTTAAAGGCAGCATTACCTGAGATTAGGAAAACTGTGAGAGGCACAGGATTTGGAGAAAACCATATGAGCTTAGTGTCAAGTTTGAGATGAGTATTAAACATATGAGTGGAGGTGTTGGCTGGGCAATTTAGTGTAAAAATCTGGAGTTCAGAGGAGACATCCTGTTGGGAGTAGATAGCTGGTACTTAAAGCCATGATACAGGATGAAATCAACTAAAGAGAGAATGTAGGCAGAAAAAGAGAAAATATTCAAGCACTGAGTACGGGAGATGTTGCTGTAATTATCTCCATCAGAGCAGAACACCCTGACCTATCAGAAAGAAGTGCTGTCCAAGCCTTCCTGATCCTTAAAACTGAAGATAGGATAGGAAACCCACTAAAGTGGAAATTACAAATGTTCACTAGGTATCTTTGACATAGGAAGAAAATGGAAAAGAGAGAGCTTTGGAGACAAAAACAGAATGCTCTCTGAGCTTTTTGTAATACCTGTAAGCTGTCTCCAGCACGTACAGTGGGTACCACATATATAAAATTCCGTTTTAAGACAAGTGAGAATAATAAAAAGAAAACTTGATAACTGAAGAAGGTCACATGAATGAGTGTTATCACACCAATTCTATGACACCAACTGTGTGTCCTGCAATTCAATTTTAATGCTACTAACCAAGAGTGAGCACAGTTAAATGAGGTTTAGCCTAAAGCGGCCTCCTTAGATATTTTAAGTTCATCCTAAAGGTTTCTCTGTACATAATAAACTGAAACCTAACTGGATGTGTAAACAGACTAACCTACTTTTGTGCCAATCACCAAGTTTTGGCCAATCAAAGGTGACCAACTGTTCAAACCATGTTCAAATAAGGCAAATACCAAGCTGCAACCAACGTGGCTATTTCTCTACCTCACTTCTGTTTTCCGTACCTCACTTTCTTTTCTCTGTCCATAAATCTTCTTCTTCCACATGGCTACACTGAAGTCTCTTGGAGGCTACTCTGGCTTGGAAGGCTGCCTGCTTCATGAATTGTTCTTTGCTCCATTAAACTCTGTTAAATTTAATTTGTCTAAGGCTTTTCTTTTTAACAGTATAGACCCCACAGGTTAGTGGGTTAGTCCTCCACAATATCAACTTCACTTCATACATCAGCCACAAGTGGTCCCCAGGATACCTGCACTTCTGAACAGCCAGTTCCAAATTCAGGGTTTCCCATGACACCCTCAGGTTTGATAATTTGCTAGAATGATTTCCAGAACTCAGGAAAGTACTGTGCTTATGATCACTGTTTTATTACAAAAGATACAGCGGCCAGGCACAGTGGCTCACGCCTGTAATCCCAGCACTTTGGGAGGCTGTGGTGGGTGGATCACAAGGTCAGGAGTTCGAGACCAGCCTGGCCAATTTGGTGAAACCCTGTCTCTACTAAAAATACAAAAAAATTAGCCAGGTGTGGTGGCGTGTGCCTGTAATCCCAGCTACTCAGGAGGCTGAGGCAGGATAATTGCTTGAACCCAGGAAGCCATGGTTGCAGTGAGCCAAGATTGCATCACTGCACTCCAGCCTGGGTGACAGAGCGAGACTGCATCTCAAAAAAAAAAAAAAAAAAAAAAAGATACAGATCAGAAACAGCCAAATGAAGAGATGCATAGGGCAAGATTTGGTGGTAGAGGAGACATAGAGCTTCTAAGCCTTTCCCTTGTGGAATCCGGGTTCATCACCCTCCCAGAGCATTGATGTGTGCACCAACCAGAAATCTCCACGGAACCTCGGTGTCCAGAGTTCTTATTGGAATTTTATTACCTGGGCATGATTGATTACATTATTGTCATATGATTGAACTCAGTCTCCAGTTCCTCTCCCATCCCTGGAAGTCAGACTGACCCAAAGATCCAGCCTTCTGATCACACGGTTGGTCTTTCTGGCAGCCAGCTCCCAACCTAATGCTAGTGTCCCACCATGAGTCACCTTGTTAGCATAATAAAAACACTCCTACCACAGGAAATTCCAAGTGTTTTTGAAGCTCTGTGTCAGAAACTGAGAACAAAGACTAGATCGATTCTTCATGATACCATGGTATAGCAGATCACATTTTCCAAAATGATCACAATGCTATCTTCTACCCCACGTGCTCTTCTTACACTCTTCACATGGAGACATAAGGGCTATGTTCCCACTTCTTAAATCTCAGTGTGCTGTGACAATAGTGACAGTGGCCCACTGACTTCTGAACTTGGACTATAAAGGATGGTGTAATTTCTGTTTGGTTTCTCCTAGGACACTTGCTCTTGAAATCCAGACACCATGCCCTGATGAAACCCAGGCCAGGTGGAGAAGCCATATGTAGGTGTTTTGGCTGACAGGTTTCACTGAGGTCACAGAGGACAGCAACATCAGCATCGGTCATTAGACATGTGAGCGAAGAAGACATCAGGAGGCTCCAGCTGCCAGCTGACCACAACTGCATAGAGACTCCTGACTGAGAACTACATACCTGAGCCCAGTGAACCTCCAAAACCATGAGCGATAATAACAACAACAACCAGGTCCAGTGACTCAGGCCTGTAATCCCAGCACTTTGGGAGGCTGAAGTGGGCAGATTGCCTGAGCTCAGGAGTTCAAGACCAGCCCAGGCAACACTGCAAAACTCCATCTTTAAAAACTATTCCCAAAAAATTTAGCCAGGCATGGTGGCACACACCTGTAATTTCAGCTACTTGTGGGGGCTGAGGCAGGAGGATTGCCTGAGCCCAGGGAGGTTGAGGCTGTAGTGAGCCATGATCGGGTCACTGCACTCCAGCCTGAGTGACAGAGCAAGACCCTGTCTCAAAATAATAATAACAACAACAAAATGTTTGTTGCTGTTTTACACTACCGAGTAGCAGGCAGTACATTTTGTAGCCAATAGGCAATTGAAACACAGAAATTTCCCATTACTTAAATTTTGCTGCCTGATGCCATCCTTTGAAATAAAAACTGAATGCACCCAATAAAATGAATGTGTTGCAGGAATATGGCAAACCCTGGATTCCATTCTCAGCTCTCTCATTAGCTCCCTGCTAGATCTTAAACAAGTCTTGCCATCTTTTTGGCTTCTGGTTTCTCATTTGTTAAAGGATGGGGCTGATGTGTTAAAGGAAGTTCCTATCCTTCTTGGTTTTTTCTTTCCTACTTACTAAACTTCCATGGTTTATACTCATCTTCCATCACAACAGATAGCAATGAAAGATTGGTTCATTTGACATTTCATACTTCAGTTAAAAGAAAAGAAAGGTCTCAGCTCACAGGATAATAAATCTTTATTATCCATTTTGAGGAAGAAAGAGTAAAATTGTCAGCAATTAAGACACAAGCTAAGATTTGAGCAAATGGGTTTGAAATATTCTAACCTGAATAGGAAGCACTTTTCACTCCAAAAATGTTGTCAACCCTTACCTACATGTTCTGCTTTGGACAATTACCTGTCACGGATGATTTTCCTTCTATCTCCCTTAGGCTGAGGATGAAACCAAGCCCTGTGATTTCTAAGCCAAGGCCTTCAAAGTTAAGAAGATAAATAAATTTGTGCACTTTCTGCTCTTCATGCACCTCCAGTGCTCCCTGGGCTCGTCCTTTTCAATTGCACTGATGGCAACTGATTTCACTCTTGTCCTTGCTTTTCCTCTGGGTAGATTTTAAAGCAAGATAAACTAATAAATAATGAAGACAGGTGAAGCAGGCAGGAGAAATTTTGTTTTATCATACACAAAGTGATTTATGTTGGTCATTAAGAATATGGATTTTTAAAGAATTTTCCTTTTATTTCTCTCACAAATGATAGATATTTTATGGCTTTTGCTTAACTTTGCTTGTTGTTGCCAGGTGTTTTTAACTCAAGCCTATTTATGTGATGTTTGTATGCTAGTATGGTTTCAACAATTTTTCCATCCAATGTAAGAAATTGAAGATTTTATATTCAGAGATTGTTAAAAAATATTGATTTCATCTATATCATCTTGTTCATGAGCACTGACTGTGGATATGAGTAGCAAGGATATGCATTTGAGAAGCTTACTTTTTTTTTTTTTTTTTTTTGACAGAGTCTTGCTCTGTCGCCCAGGCTGGAATGCAGTGGCGTGATCTCGGCTAACTGCAACCTCTGCCTCCCAGGTTTAGGCGATTCTCCAGTCTCAGTCTCCTGAGTAGCTGGGATTACATGCATGCATCACAACGCCTGGCCAATTTTTGTATTTTTAGTAGAGATGGCGTTTCACCACGTTGGCCAGGCTGGTCTCAAACTCCTGACCTACAGTGATCCGCCTGCCTCAGCCTCCCAAAGTGCTGGGATTACAGGTGTGAGCCACTGTGCTCAGCTGGGAAGCTTACATTTTTAAAGCATTTTAATGTATGTAAGCATAAACACTTTCCTTTCTCCCCCTCCTCTATCAAATACATCCCACATTCAATTCTATTTACACATATACATGGTTACCTGATCTATGACAAAAGTGGCTTTGCAGGGCAGTAAAGAATGGCCTTTTTATTATGTGCTCTCTCTCTCTCTCTACATATATATACACATGTATGTATATATATAATTTGAGCCTAACACGAATATCAATTCCAAGTGAATTGCAAATTGATATATGAAAGGTACAATAATAAAACTTTTTTTAAAAACAGAACTAATTGAAAAAATTGGACTATGTTAATATTACAAACTTCTGTTTATCAAAAGGTCCCATAAAAGGTGTTAAAACACAAACCACAGAAAAGACACAATATTTGCAATGCATGTATTCAACAAAAGATGTTAATCCAGAATATATAAAGAACTTCTACAAGTCAATAAGAAAATATGACAAGGTGATCTGGTAGAAATTAACAAAAGATTTGAACAGATAATATCTTATGAAAGATAAATTCAAAGAGAATATCTAAGTGGCCAGTAAATGTTTGAAACTGTGTTCAACTTCTTTAGTCACCAGTGAAATGCAAATTAAAACCATTTACAAATTAGAATCCACCAGAATGACTAAAGTTAAAAAAGACAGAAAATATCAAATATTGGGAAGGATTTGGAGCAACTGGAATGCTCACACTCTGGTAGTTGTGAGTACTTCTTTGGCCACATCAGCTCATGCTGACTGTCAGCATGTAGTCATGTTCTAGCAATTCCTCTCGGAGTAATGGATACCCAACAGAAAGAAGTAGTAATGCTGACCAAATGATATGTATGAGAATGCTGTTAGCAACACTATTCATAATAGTCCCAAACTGAAAAACAACCCAAATGTCCATCAATGGGAAAATGGAAAGATGAATAAATTGTGGTCTATTACACAACACAATATAAAACAACAATGATAATGATACACAAAACAACATGGATAAATGTCACAAACATAATAATAAGTGAAAGATATTAGACACAAAAAATACTTA
Source organism: Homo sapiens (assembly GCF_000001405.40). NCBI lineage: Eukaryota > Metazoa > Chordata > Mammalia > Primates > Hominidae > Homo > Homo sapiens. The sequence goes on from NC_000020.11 coordinate 10,379,829, forward strand.
CTGACTATTTGATTCTATTTATGTAAAGTACAAAAACTGAGCAAAGCTAATCCATGTGTTAGAAGTCAGGATAATAGCTTCTCTTGGGAGGGGGAGGCAACTGGAAGGTGACACAGAGGACGAATTTCCTGTTTCATCTGGCTGCTGGTCACATACACGTGTTCAGCTTGTGAACACGCATCAAGCGGTATGTTTATGTGCACGTTTTTCTATGTATGTAATAATACCATAAGGCATAAAACGAAATGCAACAGAAATACTAACCAATCTTTTGGAAGGTTCCAGCTCAGAACGTAATTACAGGTATTCTGTCTAATAAGTGTGCTCTTAAAAATGATAGTTAATCGCATTTGGGTTGTTTATTTTAGTGCTCAAGTGGAAACCACTATTTAAAGGAAGGCTGAAGCAAATCCTTTGGTAAATGAATAATTATTTCTGATGACATTTCAGAGTTCAGATGTTCTTAAAGTGTGCCTCTTCTAAAATCACTTTTCATCCCTTGACTCTCCTATCAATGGGTGCATTATAAAATAAAATCATAGTTCTGTTCCTTTGGGAGTCTAATCATTTTAAGACCTTTCAAAAATTTCTTAATCATGACTCCATTTTTCAATGTTTTTTCACCTGCATTGAGCCAAGGTGCCCAGAAATGTTCTTTTGAGTTTCATAAATTATAAAAGCACTTAGAGATAGAAATTCAAAGGCATGCTCTATAAATATTTTTATGTCAAAGATATTATCAGAAATGTGAGATGATTAACATGGCCACTCAACAATTTAAAAGAAAAAGAGCTTTTCTAGTACTAAATCATAGGACTTGGATAAATTACTACTGTTGTCTTGTGAAAGCAAAATATTTTACACTTTTCAAATATATACAGGAATAGAGGATAGAGTATAATGAGCCCTCAGGTACCACTCATGCAGTATCAACATTTATAGCTGATCTTGTTTTTTCCACAACCCACATAAATCCTCATTCCCCTCACTAGATGATTTAAAGCAAATCCCAAACATATTTCATTTGCAAAAACTTCAGTACACACACACACACACACACACACACACACACACCTTTTAAAGACCACAATACCATTACTAATATTAATTGATGAAAATAATTTAATATTATCAAATAGTGAATCTACTATCATTTTCCTCATTGTCTCATGTTTTTTTGTTGTTTAATTTTTTATTCAGGATCCAGAGACTATATGTTGCATTTGATTACTGTATCTCTTGAGTCTCTTTTAATCAGTAGACTTCCCACCCTGTCTATCTTTTCTCCCAACAAAAAGAAACAGGCAGAAAAATTAAAATGAGCTGGGCGCAGTGACTCAATCCTGTAATCTCAGCACTTTGGAAGGTGGAGCGGATCACCTGAGGTCAGGAGTTCGAGACCAGCCTGGCCAACATGGCAAAACCCTGTGTCTACTAGAAATACAAGAATTAGCCAGGTGTGGTGGCAGGCACCTGTAATCCCAGCTACTCGAGAGGCTGAGGCAGGAGAATCGCTTGAACCCGGGAGGTGGAGGTTGCCTTTAGCCGAGATCTCTGAGCCAAGCCTGGGAGACAGAGCAAGATTCCTTCTCAAAAAAAAAAGTAACAAGTTGACTTTAGTACTATAATTCTATTAGGATTCACATTTACTATTGTGCAAATACAGTTTCTTCACAGAATTGAAAAACTAGTATTTCCATCAAACTCTATGTCCCACCAGAAGTCCACTCTGAAATGGAATTATATCACTATCCCATTAATAAATTGTTCTATCAGCAAATATTTATTGAGGGCTTACTATGTTCGACACTGTGCTCAGCACATTACACTAATTATTTCACTCAATTCCCACAGCACCCTCATGTGGTAGCTATTCCCATTTTACAGATGATAAAACGGAGGCACATAGAAGTTAGGTAATTTGTCCAGTGTCAATCATTAGGAATTGAGAGAATTGGGGCTGAAATGAAGTTTATTTAACATCAAATCCATGCTTTTTTTTTTTTTTTTTTTTTTGAGACAGGTTCTCCATCTGCTGCCCAGGCTGGAGTGCAGTGGCGCAATCATGGCTCACTATAGCCAAAACCTCCTGGGCTCAAGTGATCTTCCTGCCTCAGCCTCCCAAGTAGCTGGGACTACAGTCGTGCACCACCACACCTGGCTAACTTTTGTATTTTTTGTGGAGATGGAGTCTCACTGTGTTACACAGGCCAGTTCTGAACTCCTGAACGCAAGGGACCTGCCCGCCTTGGCCTCCCGAAGTGTTTGGATTACAGGCCTGAGCCACTAAGCCCCGCCTGTTAAATCCATGCTCTTAATGATAACATTGTTCTGGGAGCCTAAGCATTTAGAAAATACTCCAGTATTAGAGAGTAAGGGGATGCCACCATTCAGATCTGACTGCTGTTTTTTTCAGTAATGTTTCCCTTATGAGGGAGGCAGAAAAGTTAAATGACATGAGTGACAGCATCCAGTAGCTGATAAGCAGCAGAGCCAAGTCTTCTCACTCTAGGCTCTTGTTTCCACCATGTAAAATTATAATAAAGATTTGGGGTTTTTTTATTTCTTAAATTTTCGATCATCTTTTAAAGTATTTCTTATTCTTGGAAGCTGCAGAAGTAAAACAATATTCAAATAAGTAAAATTGTTCAGTGATTATTTTATATGAATTCTTTGAGCTGGAAGTGTTTTTAGACATTTTAGCACCACTAGTTTGAAACAAAATCATCTTTTAAAGGTGAGTTCAACAGGAAAGGCAGCTGACCCAAAAGGGTGAATTACTCAGAGTTATAGCTTTAGGCCTTAAGTTAGCATTGTTAGTCCTTGTAGAAGTTTGGTATATATTGGGCCAGGGGCCATGGCTTACGCCTCTAATCCCAGCACTTTGGGAGGCCGAAGCAGGCAGATCACTTGAGGTCAAGACTTCAATACCAGCCTGGCCAACATGGTGAAACCCCGTCTCTACTGAGATTACAAAAATTAACTGGGTGTGGTGGTGTATGCCTGTAATCCCAGCTACTCGGGAGGCTGAGACTGGAGAATTGCTTGAACCCAGGAGGTGGAGGTTGCAGTGAGCTGAGATCGTGCCATTGCACTCCAGCCTGGGTGACAAAGTGAGACTCTGTTTCAGGAAAAAAAAAAAAAAAAAAGTTTGGTGTATATTTTTTCTAAACTGGGCAAGGCAATTACTGTTCACCTCTAAGACTCAGCCCAAATACTATTTCCTGGGCGACCTTGCTTTGACTGACCCTTTTTTGCCCAGATAGAATCAGTTACAACCTCACATTCTTTCTCCTGGCAGCTTGAACATGCATGTAACCCACAGCTTCACCACAGCACTTATCACATGGTACTGTGCCAGATGTTAAAGTGTCTGCCCGTGACCCCCACCAGGCTGATCGTTTTTTGAAAGCTACCTTTTTTGCTCTTTTATCATCTGTCCCCCATGTGCAATGCACAGGAGGTACTAAATAGTTTCTGAATGAATGAAATAAATACAACGAGTCCTTGCTTCAGTATTCATGTAATGGTCCTAATCTCTATAATACAAGGGCAAGGAGTATGTACAGTTGGGATGGAGTGGAGAGAGAAGTGAACAAACTCAGGTCCCTATCTATGAGGCAACATAGTCTGACAATTGCTGCAAACCAGACCAAACACAGGCAAAGATGTGGGAGACAGGAATGGGTAGTTACTGCTTGTATTAGCCTGTTCTCACACTGCTAATAAAGACATACTTGAGACTGGATAACTTATAAAGGAAAGAGGTTTAATGGACTCACAGTTCCACATGGTTGGGGAGGCCTCACAATCATAACTGAAGGCAAAGAAGAAGCAAAGTGACATCTTACATGGTGGCAGTCAAGAGAGCTTTTGCAGGAAACTCCCATTTATAAAACTATCACGTCTCGTGAGACTTATTCACTACCATGAAAATAGCACAGAAAAGACCTGCCCCCATGATTCAATTACCTCCCACTGGGTCCCTCCCATGACACATGGGAATTCTGGGAACTACAATTCAAGATGAGATTTGAGTGGGGACACAGCCAAACCATATCACTGCTAATCAAGGCATAAAGTGGTAGAACCACTTTGGCAATTCATGATAAAGATTGCACCAGGGGAATTATTCTGCTAGTTCCTCCCCATCTCCTGTTTCCTGCTGGTCAAGTTTCACCCCAAAGAGAGGGGAGGCTGGTGAAGGGTAGAGATCTGATAAGGAACACAAGATTTATTTGTAGCTCAGAAACATCTGCAAAATTTCTGCCCTTGGGAAGATTTATTCTAATAAACATTTCCAATCGGCTTGAATCCATTTCTAAAAATACTAGTTTTTTTTCATTAATTAAGTAATATATGCTCACTGCAAATAATTTTAAAAATACAGAAAAGTTGAAAGATAAAGTCACTCATAATTTGATCACCCAGAGAAAATCATAATATTTTTTAGATAATTTTTGTCTTTGTAGTTAGGAATAAAACTCTGAACAATGATTAAATTTGAAATATACATCTAAATTTTTCAATCATCTATGTATGTTTAAAATGTGTGAAGTGATATGGGGTTGTCCAGTGTTACACAGGATTTCTAAAATTCTTGGTAATGGGCTGGTATAACCGAACAAGATGAAAGTTACTTGCTGCGTAGTTTAGTTGAAGCCAGACGATAGTCTCAATCATTCATAATTTGAAAGTCAATATATATTTTGACTGAAAATATGAATAGTTGACCATTTAATCAAATGTTTTCTGTTTTATGAAGTATATTTTTCTAGAACTAAATAATTTGTTTTTATCTACAGAGTGGGTATGCCAAAGTCATCATTGTTTTATTCATTTTGACATTAAATTCCATTAAAATTATGCAATTTTGTGGGCAAGTCAGATAATTCTGGTCAACCAAATTTTTGAAGACGAGTAATAATACACTCTTCACAGAAAAGTCTAGTTGGCTATACCTTGAATTCCGAGCTGCACAATGGCTGTCTGATGCACCTTTGAGCATATTTATTTTTGTAGCAATTGAAATATAAAACCAAGATAAAGGCACTGGTTTCTACTTCACTGAAAATAAAAGCAATATTGATTTTTAAAGTAATACTCATCAAACCTTACATTATTCTGTTTAGATGGCAAGCTGTTATTAACAGGAACTAAAATGCTATTCGTAGCACATACTACAGGGTCATCATTAACTGTGAGACTAGTATTTTTGTAGTCTTTCAGACATACACTCAAATTAGGCTTGGTTATTCCTGATATTTTCTAAACTCATTTGATATACTTTAGGACGTAAATCTCAAACAGAAAACCAGATGGACCCTTCTTGTTTAGAATTGGCAAGTCCATCTTATGTCAATAGTTTTTTCAGAGAATTCATTTGAACAGTACAATTTTTATTTATTTTTTTTTTGGAGATGTAGTCTTGCTCTGTTGCTCAGGCTGGAGTGCAGTGATCTTGGCTCACTGCAAACTCTGCCTCCTGGGTTCAAGCAATTCTCCTGCCTCAGTCTCTCAAGTAGCTGGGATTACCAGTGCCCACCCCCACACTCAGCTAATATTTGTATTTTTAGTAGAGACCAGGTTACACCATGTTGGCCAGGCTAGTCTCGGATTCCTGGCCTCAAGTGATCCACCTGCTTTGGCCTCTCAAAGTGCAGGGATTACAAGTGTGAACCACTGCACCGAGCCTGAACAGTAAAATTAAATGTTTTCACATTTTGTAAAAATAAAATAAAGCCCATAAATCAAATTACTATATATTATTTATTTTCTTGTAAATTTAAGCATTTGAGGACATTACTAATTATATCCCCAAAAAATATGTTCTTTAGCAGGGAAGGGTGTAAGTTTGAAAAACTTGTAGCTGCAGCTGGCAGGGTTTGGGGGCTACCGGCCATCTGAGTTTTATTAAAACTGCTGGCCGCGAAGCCAGTCTGCAGCCAAAATGTCCAGCAGAAACAACAAGCTGCCCAGTAACCTGCCGCAGTCACAGAATCGGATCAAGCTAGACCCACCGGCCTGCATTGAGGAGTTTCTACAGCAGTAAAATCACTACAGATCCAATGTGGAGATTTCCAAATTGCAACCAAATAAACCCAGCAAAGAACTAGCAGAGCTGGTGATGTTTATGGCACAGAACAGCCTAAATGTCTGCATCTTAATTATAGGAGAGAAAGAGAGAAACTTCAGAAGAGCCTTTGCTTTGCTACAGATTAGTCACTGCTACCCAGAGTATTTAAGTAATTTTCCTCAAGAGGTGAAAGAGCTTCTCTCCTGCAATTATACCGTATAAGATCCAGATCTTCAAATGACATTTTGCAAAGCTTTGATCTTGCTGAGAAATAAGAATCTCATCATTCCATCAAGCCTGCTAGAACTCTTCTTTGAACTTCTACGTTGCCATGATAAGCTTCTGTGAAAGACTTTATACACACATATTGTGACTGATATCAAGAATATAAATGCAAAACACAAGAACAGGAAAGTGAATGCAGTATTGCAAAATTTCAAGTACATCATGTTAAGACATAGCAATGCAACCGCAGCCAAGATGTCTTTAGATGTAATGATTGAACTCTACAGAGGGAACATCTGGAATGATGCCAAAACTGTCAATGTTATCACAACTGCACATTTCTCTAAGGTCACCAAGATATTAGTTGCCACTTTGACATTCTGTCTTGGGAAAGATGAAGACGAAAAACAGGACTGTAACTCCGAATCTGAGAAACAAAAAAAAAAAAAACAAGAAAAAATCAGAGATGTTTAACTTTTCAGCCATTCACTTAATTCATGATCCCCAAGATTTTGCAGAAAAACTACTAAAGCAGCTTGAGTGAACTAAGGAGAAGTTTGAAGTGAAAATGATGCTCATGAACCTCATCTCCAGATTGGTGGGAATTCATGAGCTCTTCCTCTTCAATTTCCATCCTTGTTTGCAAAGGTTTCTGCAGCCCCACCAAAGAGAAGTAACAAAGATCCTCCGTTTGCTGCACAAGCATCTCATCACCTAGTACCCCCAGAGATTATTCAATCATTGCTTATGACTGTGGCAAACAATTTGGTTACCGACAAGAATTCTGGAGAAGTCATGACAGTAGGAATCAATGCTATAAAAGAGAAAACAGCTCGATGTTCTCTGGCCATGACTGAAGAACTTCTCCAAGACCTGGCTCAGTATAAAACACACAAGGATAAGAATGTAATGATGTGTGCTAGAACTTTGATTCAGCTCTTCCGAACACTGAATCCTCAGATGCTGCAGAAGAAATTCCAGGGTAAGCCTACTGAGGCCTCCATAGAAGCAAGAGTACAAGAATATGGAGAATTAGATGCTAAAGATTACATTCCAGGAGCAGAAGTTCTGGAAGGTGAGAAAGAAGAGAATGCTGAAAATGATGAAGATGGATGGGAAAATACCAGTCTCAGTGAGGAGCAGGATGCTGATGGTGAATAGATTGATGTGCAACACTCTTCCGATGAAGAACAGCAAGAAATCTCCAAGAAGCTGAACAGGATGCCCATGGAGGAGTGGAAAGCCAAAGCTGCAGCCATCAGCACCAGCCAAGTTTTAACTCAGGAAGACTTCCAGAAAATCCGCATGGCCCAACTGAGAAAAGAACTTGATGCTGCCCCTGGGAAATCCCAGAAGAGGAAATAAATTGAAATAGACAGTGATGAAGAGCCCAGGGGTGAATTACTTTCTCTTCAGGACATTGAACGCCTTCATTAAAAGCCGAAGTCTGACAAAGAGACAAGACTAGCAACTGCAATGGCTAGAAAGACAGACCGAAAAGAATTTGTGAGGAAGAAAACCAAAATGAATCCATTTCCCAGTTTGACAAATAAAGAGGAGAAAAAACAGAAGAACTTTATGATGATGCAGTATAGCCAGAATGTCCGGTGAAAAAATAAGCATTCCTTCCGAGAAAAACAGTTGGTGCTACGAGATGCACTTTTGAAAAAGAGAAAAAGAATGAAGTAACTTCCCAGCAAGTTTTCCATTCCAAGAAGAATGCTAAGTTTGTGTCATTACTCTGAAAATTGGTAAATCAAGCATGTTTGTTTACATTAAAAAGTCCAGAAGCACTGTATTGTGAAAACTGCTGAAAATGTGGCAGCAATTTGGTGTTTTTATTTTGGAGACGGCTAATGGTGGGAATGTTAATGTAAATAGTGGTGGTAGTGTAAAATCAATTCATTTATCATTCATGCAAAAAAAAGTATTGAGTGCCTGTTAATTGTCACTGTAGATATAAAACCAATGAGCTGTAACCCCTTCACTCAAGGCATTGACAGCTTAGCTGTGGGGGTGGACACACATATGTGTATTTACAGCGCAGTGTAAATAGTTCTCTAGTAGAGGTAGCTCCATATTTCTATGAGGTCACTCAGGCCTTTTGGACTAACTCTGTGGGGATAGGAGTTATATATTCTTATAAAACAAAAGAAAACAGGACAATGTTATAAGAGTAAGAGGTTCTTACTTGTACATAGGCTTACCTGCTGAAAACAGGCCCTTGTTGTACAGATTTTGGGTACATAATTTAACTCTTTTAGTCAATACAAAAGATTTAAGTGACCCCCTCTTTTTTCTTTTTTTGAATGCCATGTAAAGGATTTTTGGTTAAGACCTCACTTTTAAAACTGCCTTAAGTATAAATAGTACCTTTGGAATGTATTTAGTTCATCATTTGAGCAGCCTTCATACTGGTTTCCTCAGCCTTCCTTCAGCCTGTAATATTTTCAGCCCACTGTTTACCTTGTCTCAATAAAAGCTTTCTAATGCAAATTGGAAAAAAAAAAAGAAAGAAAAAGAAAAAAAAGAAAAAGAAAAACTTGTGAAAGAATTTAGCCAGTTTGCTTTAGGCAGACAGTAAGGGAAGGGTCCCCGGAGAATCTGCCACTGGCTCCACAGCATGAGATGCTTTGTGCAGATAAGGGAACTTGCAAAGGGGGATTGCCTAAACATGTCCACGTGGAAAATTCCATTCCGTAACATATGCACAGCAAGGGATATAAATTAATATGGAGTGGCTCAGACCAAGGGCCCACAGGCACACTGGAAGGATGGGGTGGAGCCACCAGAAATTCGTGCCTTACACCCTTGTATTCAACTGTGAAGGGGGCAACTGGCAACTTGCTTTCAGGACCCTTCTCTTTGCTGTGAGCTTTCCTTTTCCTTAATAAATTCTACTCCACTCACTCTCTGGTGTCCACATGCCTAATTCTTCCTGACCATGAGACAGTAACCCGGACTTAGCTGAGTTAAGGAGCAAAAATCCTGCATCACTTGGAAAATCACAAAAGAAAATAAAAGAAGCTCTAACTAGCCCTCTTGCTATTCAGATTGTACTGGTAGTCCTAGCCAATGCAATGAGGTCCAAAAAGAGAGGAAGAGACTGGGTGGGTGTGGCAGCTCATGCCTGTAATCCCTGCACTTTGTGAGGCCAAGGTGGGAGGATTGCTTGAACCCAAGAGTTTAAGGCCACAGTGAACCACAATTGCATCACTGCACTGCACCCAAGGTGATGGGGCAAGACCCCCATCTCTAAAAACCAGATTCCATTTACAATAATAAAAAACTTATAAAATATCCGGGAATAAACTCAACAAAGGAAACATTCAAAATATATAATGAAATAAACAAAAAACTACAAAAATATTAAATAACTAAATAAAATTCAAGTAAAGAAGACAGACACCCTTTTTCAGGATGAAAAGCCTAAATGTTATACAGGTATCAATTTACAAATAATGCAATTCCAATTAAAATCTTAAAGGATTTTCATGGAACTTGTCAAGCTGACTCTAAAATTTATCTGAATCCCCGGAACCAAGAACAGTGCCCAGCACATAGTGGGAGTGTGATAAACATGCTGATTGAATGAATTAGTGAATGAACAGCTTCAATACCATCATGTTAGTCCATTTGTGTTGCTATAAAGGAACACCTGAGGATGGATAATTTATAAAGAAAAAAGAAGACCAGGCGCAGTGGCTCATGCGTGTAATCCCAGCACTTTTGGAGGCTAAGGTGGGCAGATCATCTGAGGTCAGGAGGTCGAGACCAGCCTGACCAACATGGTGAAACCCCGTCTCTACTATAGTAAATGCAAAACTAGCTGGGCTTGGTGGCACATGCCTGTAACCCCAGCTACTCAGGAGGCTGAGGCAGGAGAATCGCTTGAACCTGGGAGGCGAAAGTTGCAGTGAGCTGAGATCACACCATTGCACTCCAGCCTGGGCAACAAGAGCAAAACTCCATCTCAAGAAAAAAAAAAAAAGAAAAAAGAAAAAAGAAAAAGGGTTTAGGCTGGGTGCGGTGGCTCACGCCTGTAATCCCAGCACTTTGGGAGGCCAAGGTGGGCGGATCACAAGGTCCAGAGATCGAGACCATCCTGGCCAACATGGTGAAACCCCATCTCTACTAAAAAAGATACAAAAATTAGATGGCCGTGGTTGCCCACGCCTGTAGTCCCAGCTACTCGGGAGACCGAGGCAGGATAATTGCTTGAACCTGGGAGGTGGAGGTTGCAGTGAGCCAAGATTGCGTCACTGCACTCCAGCCTGGTGACAGAGTGAGACTCCTTCTAAAACAAAAAAAAAAAAAATAAAGAAAGAAAAGAAAAAAGGTTTATTTGGTTCACAGTTCTGTACAAGGAGCATGGCGCCAGCATCTGCTCCTGGTGAGAGACTCAGGCTGCTTCTACTCATGGCAGAAGGCAAAGGGAAGCTGGCCTGTTCAGGAATCACGTGGTGAGAGTAGAGGCAAACAGGGGGTGTCAGGCTCTTTTTAACAACTCGCTCTTGCAGGAACTAATAGAGCAAGAACTCACTCATTACTTAGAAGACAGCACCAAACCATTCATGAGGGATGCACCCGCATGTGACCCAAGACCTCCCACTAGCTCCACCTCCAATATTGGGGGTCAAATTTCAGCACAAGATTTGGAGGGTCAAACATCCAAACTAAGCAACCTAGATGAAACTGACTCATATTTATATTTCTAGGCCAGATTTATCTTCTGAACTCCAGATCAGTAGATCTGTCTTAGTAATCTCTTCACTTGATTAGTAAGAAACCAATTCAGACTCATTGTGTTCAAAACAAAACTACTATCCCTCTTGCAAACCCTGTGCTCTTCCAGTCATCAAATTGAGTTAAGGTTAAAAACAGAGAGTTAACTCTAATCATCTAATTGGCCATTCGTTTTGTTTGTTTGTTTGTTGTTTTTGTTTTGGGACAGGGTCTTGCTCTGTCCCAGGCTGCAGTGCAGTAGTGCCATCTTGGGTTACTGCAACTTCCAGCTTCCAGTCAGGTGGTCCTCCAGCCTCCCAAGTAGCTGGGACCACAGGCTCACACCACCACACCCAGCTATTTTTTGTATTTTTAGTAGAGACGGGGTCTCGCCATGTTGCCCAGGCTGGTCTTGAACTCCTGCACTCAAGCCATCTGCCCGTCTCAGCTTCCCAAAGTGCTCGGATTATAGACATGAGCTACTGTGCCTTGCCAATTGTCCATTTGTGATTATTGAAGTCATCACAACTACTCCTGGATGCATCTGCTAAATGTTTCTTGAATCTATCTGTGTCTCTCATGTATACTGACACCACCATGTGCCATAATTCCTTCACTATTCTAATGAATAACTTCCTAACCAATCTCTCCTCCTCAAACTCACTATTTCCCCCCTACTGCCCTCCTGCCTCAACTTAAAACAATGTCAGAACTGCAGGCTAGGTGTGGTGGCTCACACCTGTAATCTTCCTCGGGAAGCTGAGGCAGGAGGATCACTTGAGCTCAGGAGTTCAAGACCAGCCTGGACAACATAGTGAGACACCATCTCTACAAAAAAAAATTTTTTAAAGAATTTCCATTGATTTTAGATTAATTCCAAACCCTTCATCATCACAAGTTTGGCCTGGCCTGGCTGCAACCTGTATCTTCAGAGACATCTTCCACAGTATTTGCTCTCGCTCTCTACTCTAAGCTTTGGCCACAGTGACCTTCTTCCAATTCTTCACATATGTTTCTTCCTACAACAGTGCCTTTGTATATGCTGTTCTTTCTGTCTGGAATAATCTCATTTTTCTCTGATTCTAATTAATTCTAACGACGCTTGATATCTAAAAGATCTCTCTTATTCCTATTACGTCTTCTTAAAAAACAGATTATCAGGCCAGGCATGGTGGCACATGCCTGTAATCCCAGCTCTTTGATAGGTCAAAGTGGGCAGATCACTTGTGGCTGGGAGTTCGAGACCAGCCTGGGCAATATGGCAAGACCCAGCCTCTACTAAAAATAAAAAAATTAACCAGGTGTGGTGGCACACACTTGTAATCCCAGCCACTCGAGAGGCCAAGGCATGAGAATCACTTGAACCCAGGAGCTAAGATTGCACTACTGCATTCTAGCCTGGGTAGCAGAGTAAGACTGTCTTAAAAAAAAAAAAAAGAGAAAAAAAAGAAACAAAGCAAAATAACAGATTGATTATCTCTTAATAGTTTAGTTGTAAGTGTACCTTTATGTGGGTGAATTTTAGCCTTTATGTGGGTGAATTTTAGACATTAAGCTCAATCAGAACAGGAACTATGTCTTTTCTTTTTTTTTTTTTTTTTTTTTTTTGAGATGGAGTGTCGCTCTGTCGCCCAGGCTGGAGTGCAGTGGCACGATCTCGGCTCACTGCAACCTCTGCCTCCCAGGTTCACGCCATTCTTCTGCCTCAGCCTCCTGAGTAGCTGGGACTACAGGCGCCCGCCACCAAGCCCAGCTAATTTTTTTGTATTTTTAGTAGAGACGGGGTTTCACCATGTTAGCCAGGATGGTCTTGATCTCCTGACCTTGTGATCTGCCCACCTCAGCCTCCCAAAGTGCTGGGATTACAGGCGTGAGCCACTGCGCCCGGCCAGGAACTATGTCTTTTCATACTTACTATGGTATCCCTAGCTATGACACTAGGAGCTCAACAAATGAATGGAAGAATTGAAACTGAACAGGAAAAATATATGCACAATGACTTGACATGGTAACCAATAAAGGTCTTCATCGAATGAATAAGGAGAAATTTTTTTTTTTTTTTTTGAGACAGGGTCACACTCTGTAGGCCAGGCTAGAGTACAGTGGTGCAATCCTGGCTCACTGCAACCTCTGTGAATGAGGAGAAACATAATCTGGTTCTAAGAAAGTAAGAATCATAGGACCAAAAAACCTGCAAATGTACCATATTTAATTTCATATTTTAAAACTATTTCCAAAGCACAATCCTAGTGTTTACATCAGAGCATTCATTACAATGAAAATAAAACCAGAAAGCATTCAAATATGAGAAGACAGATTCATCTCTGAGGATTATCAGGAATTAATTTATAGTAGAAAATGACAAAGCTATTTCTTACGATGCTCAATAAAGAGTAAAAAAGGTATTTAAACAAGAACTTGAATTCATTTGTGTTTTAAACCCTTGGTTTCATATGCTATAAATATTAAGACAAAATTTTTCATTATACTTTATCATTAAGTAAAAATCTAATTTAATAAAATGTTCATACATAGTAAATGCTTAAGTAAAATAAATAAGAATGGCTGATAATTTCTCTTGAGAAATTGATAGGAATTTCTGTTTTAGTTTTTAAAAGTTCTTTAATTTTGATAAGTAACCTAAGAATATCTAAGCTATTATATAATTTTAAAATAGATTGAAACTTATTTCATATGTATTCATTTCTTACGGCCAAAAAATATAAATAAAAGTAAAGAAGTAAAGGTTTGCAAAATAATAGTTTTGATAATATTTTAAGAGCCAGTCATTGGGAACAAATTTTAATTAATAAGCTGTTGATAAAAACTCAATCCATCTTTCTTAAATCCAGGGAATATTAAATTCCTTTGTAATAAAATAATCTACTTGATACTCATAGATATATCCAATGTGCTGATAAAAAGTAAAACTTAGCACATCTATCTATTTTTCTAGTGGACCAAGACTGTTGGGAGATTTAATAAATATGCCCCTTGTGTGTAGTCCCTAACACCACCTAAGAGAATTATAAGAGTATGCCCAGTTAAGTTACTAAGCCTGTAAGAGGACTTCAAAATTAAGCAAATGATTAAATATCCTTGTAACAACTCCACTCAACTTATAAATTTGTAGTTTTGCCTTATCTCAGTTAAATTTTTAAGACATTCTTACTGTTTTTGTTTTTGAAATTGCTAAAATAATGTGTGATTGTCAGAGTGTTGGAATTTACTTGAATATTTTGCCTACCTCCCATTTATTGAGTGTGCATTATGTGCCTGGCTCTGTAGTAAGAGCTTTTAATTCATTCCATTGGTTCTTTTTTTTTTTTTTTTTTTGGCCAAAATAGCAAATTTTATTTTAAACAGTAGTCTATAAGGTTTTTTCTATTATTATTATTATTATTATTATTATTATTATTATTATTTTACTTTTTAAACTATTTTTTTTTAATTTTAATTTTTATTTTTATTGATCATTCTTGGGTGTTTCTCGCAGAGGGGGATTTGGCAGGGTCATAGGACAATAGTGGAGGGAAGGTCAGCAGATAAACAAGTGAACAAAGGTCTCTGGTTTTCCTAGGCAGAGGACCCTGCGGCCTTCCGCAGTGTTTATGTCCCTGGGTACTTGAGATTAGGGAGTGGTGATGACTCTTAACGAGCATGCTGCCTCCAAGCATCTGTTTAACAAAGCACATCTTGCACCTCCCTTAATCCATTTAACCCTGAGTGGACACAGCACGTGTTTCAGAGAGCACAGGGTTGGGGGTAAGGTGATAGATCAACAGCATCCCAAGGCAGAAGAATTTTTCTTAGTACAGAACAAAATGAAGTCTCCCATGTCTACTTCTTTCTACACAGACACAGCAACAATCTGAGTTCTCTATCTTTTCCCCACCTTTCCCCCTTTTCTATTCCACAAAACCACCATCGTCATCATGGCCCGTTCTCAATGAGCTGTTGGGTACACCTCCCAGATGGGGTGGTGGCCGGGCAGAGGCGCCCCCCACCTCCCTCCCGGACGGGGCGCCTGGCCGGGCGGGGGCTGATCCCCACCTCCCTCCCGGACGGGGCGGCTGGCCAGGCGGGGGCTGCCCCCCACCTCCCTACCGGACGGGGTGGCTGCCGGACGGGGTGGCTGCCGGGCGGAGACGCTCCTCACTTCCCAGACGGGGTGGCTGCCTGGCGGAGGGGCTCCTCACTTCTCAGACGGGGCGGCCGGGCAGAGACGCTCCTCACCTCCCAGACGGGGTGGCGGTCGGGCAGAGACACTCCTCAGTTCCCAGACGGGGTCGCGGCTGGGCAGAGGCGCTCCTCACATCCCAGACGGGGTGGCGGGGCAGAGGCGCTCCCCACATCTCAGACGATGGGCGGCCGGGCAGAGACGCTCCTCACTTCCTAGATGGGATGGCGGCCCGGAAGAGGCGCTCCTCACTTCCCAGACTGGGCAGCCTGGCAGAGGGGCTCCTCACATCCCAGACGATGGGCGGCCAGGCAGAGACGCTCCTCACTTCCCAGACGGGGTGGCGGCCGGGCAGAGGCTGCAATCTCGGCACTTTGGGAGGCCTAGGCAGGCGGCTGGGAGGTGGAGGTTGTAGCGAGCCGAGATCACGCCACTGCACTCCAGCCTGGGCACCATTGGGCACTGAGTGAACCAGACTCCGTCTGCAATCCCGGCACCTCGGGAGGCCGAGGCTGGCGGATCACTCGCGGTTAGGAGCTGGAGACCAGCCTGGCCAACACAGCGAAACCCCGTCCCCACCAAAAAAATACGAAAACCAGTCAGGCGTGGCGGCGTGCGCCTGCAATCGCAGGCACTCGGCAGGTTGAGGCAGGAGAATCAGGCAGGGAGGTTGCAGTGAGCAGAGATGGCGGCAGTACAGTCCAGGTTCGGCTCGGCATCAGAGGGAGACCGTGGAAAGAGAGGGAGAGGGAGACCCTGGGGAGAGGGGAGATGGGAGAGGGGAGAGGGGAGAGCCGAGAGCCATTTCATTGGTTCTTAAGAACAACCACATAAGGTTAAGAAGCTCACAAAAGTTAGAGTTTACTTAAGTATTTAAACCTGGGTCTTTCTGTCTTCAAAATGCTATGCCACACTTCCTTTCAGCTCTGTAAACTGCATAGGCTCACTTATTTTCTCAAATCTGTAAAAGTCTGTAAAACCTGTCTGATGTCTGTAAAACATCATCAACTTTAAATATGTTTTTTTATAGGGAAAAAGAAAAATCAAATAATGTATACTTTGATTTTAAGACACACTCCAATTTTAGAAAAGTTAAATGTGAAAAAGAAAACAACCTCATGGATCTTAAAAGTATCTGTGCTTTATTATCTCCATTAGCAGTGAGCAGTATTCATGGTCTTCGAAAAATATAGAAATATAGTATTGGGCATTTAGTAATTGAAAATTATTCTATTTAAAATAGCAACATAACAATGAGATGCTTAAAAATTAACATAAAAGGTTTAAAACCTATACTGAAAACTTTAAAATCTTAATAAAGATAATGAAATATGATTTGAATTAATGAAATGATTACCACGTTCTTGAGTGGAAACACTTGATAACCCAAGAATGTTAATGTTTCTGCAAATTAATATATAAACCTGAATTGAATTCCAATGTAATTCATTTTATAATTACATGAAATGATCTATAAATTTATATGAAAGAATAAAACTAAAAAATAGCCAAGGGGTATATTAAAGAGAAAAATAGTGAAATAGGGAATTCCTTTAGCAGATACTAAAAATTTTAAGACATGATTATAATCAATAAGTGTGGTATTGCTTTAAGAAAAGGCAAAAAAAATTAGTCGAAAAGACAGTTTAGAAATAAATTTCCCATAAATGAGAATGTAATATATGACAAGGGTGGTATTTCAACTTGCTGGGAAAAGATATTTTAAAAATAATTGATGTTGACACAACTGGTTCTCCATCTAGAAGAAAATTAAACTGAACCTATACCTCATATCATATATATATATAATTACAGATAGATTAAAACTTAAATGTACAAGGCAAAATGCTTAGGAGAATATTTAGAAGACCTAAGGGTTTTTAATCAAGATAAGAAACCCAGACTAGAAAACATAGACATATTTGATTAGAGAAAAATTAAAGCGTTTTAATTGGTAAAGCATCCTATGATTGAAAGAAATAGAAAACAATTTGCAAAAAATATTTGTACCAAAGAGGATAGATGAAAGGTTAATATCTTTAATAGCATTTATAATGCACAAAGCACTCTTACAAATAAGAAAAATAAGAAAATGGGCAATAAATATAGATAATTCAAAGAAGAACAAATCCAAATGGCTAGCAATATATTTTTTAAATACTCAAATTCATTAGTAATCAGAAACTTCAAAACAAAATAACAAGGAACTAATAATTGGTAAAATAAAAAAGAACATAGTACCTATTACTAACTGGCAGTGGCAATAGGTAATGAGGTTATGGGAAATGGTACTCATGAATGGCTGGTAGAATTATGAATTGTTACAGTCTTTTGCAAAATAATGAGGCAATACTTAGTAAAGAGTGCAAATCTTTTTCTGACCTGGAGGTTTCATTCATTAGAATCTAACACTTATAAATGAAAACATAAGTAGGTAACAATATGTGTACAAAGTTATTGGCCTTCTTAAAAAGAATATATGTACAAAGTCATTGTCTATGGGTACAGACATACAGGAGGAAGGCAGATATAAAAATCTTCTTGTCATAACCTCTCTGGCAAGGTGGCCTCTGGGTTTAGAGTAGCTCTCCTGAGAAGAGGTAGCTGTAAGCCATTAGCAGCTAATGCTCGCAGGATTTGGGGATGGGTACACTAGGCCAGTTCAAATGGGACCTGGGTGGGACACCAACATCTTCCACTACAATCTCTACAGGCATAGTATGTGACCATTAAAGAAAGGAATTAGCTTTTTCAGATGACTTAGAGACTTTTCTGAAAAAAGCAGATCAAAGTTATGTAAAAGCAGATCAAAGTTATATAAAAGCAGGTCAAAGTTATATAAAATGATCTTTTTTTTTCTTTTACAAAAGCATGTACAAAATTTTTCTTCATATGTCTTTATATAAATTATCTGAGTATAGAGAAAATATGGTTCAATGCCCAGTAGGTCATTTTTTCTGTTTTTGTTTGTTTTTTAGACAGAGTCTCACTCGTTGCCCAGGCTGGAGTGTAGTGGCACAATATTGGCTCACTGCAACCTCCACCTGTCGGGTTCAGGCTATCCTCATGTCTCAGTCTCCTGAGTAGCTGGGATTACAGGTGCACACCACCATGCCCATCTAATTTCTGTATTCTTCATAGAAACAGGTTTTTGCTATGTTGGCCAGACTGGTCTTGAACTCCTGACCTCAAGTGATCCACCTGCTTCAGCCTCCCAAACTGCTGGGATTATGGGCATGAGCCACTGTGCCCAGCCCCAGTAGCTAGTTTATATGTAATACCTAGTGCAGGAGAATGCACTAGGTATTACATATACCTATGTAATGAATGAAGATGATGCAGGTAGAAAAGGGGAGTAGGGAAGAATGTCAGGTCTAGGACAATTTAAGGAAAAAAAGAGAGAAAAGAGACTGCACCCTACCAAAAAAGACGATTATAATCAAAGAACGACAATAAACTAAGAAATGATTTGATAAGCTTGGTGGTAAAACCTGGCATTGGTACCTTCTGTCCACATTGGGCACACAGTTGGCCTTCCATATGGCAGGTTCCACATCTGTGGATTCAACCAACTGTGGATGGGAAATATTTGAAATAACAAAAATAAAAAATACAGCGTAACAATTATTTACATAGCATTTACATTGTTTTAGGTATTATAAGTAATCTAGAGATAATTTAAAGTATACAGGAGGATGTGTGTAGGTTACATGCAAATACTGTGCCATTTTGCCTAAGGAATCTGATATCCAAGGAGGTCCAGGAACTAATGCCCCAAGAATTCCCAGGGATGACTGTATTTTGCTTTCTGTGCATCTGTAGCCCTGGAGAAGGATTTACATCTTGGCAGTTTTTTACCATCTGTGGTGAGTTGAATGATGTCCCCCCAAAAGATATGTCCAAAGACCTAAGTCCTGCTACCTGTGAATGTGACCTTATTTGGAAACAGGGTCTTTGCAAGTGCAATTAAGGATCTTGAGATGACATCATCCTGGATTTAGGGTGGGCCCTAAATCCAATCACTGGTGTCCTTGCAAGAGAAAGGAGAGGGATATTTGACACACAGAGAGGGCGGTGGAAGGCCATGTGAATACAAGGGCAGATTGTAGTGGTGACAGCTACTACAGGCTGGAGAAGGTAAGGAATGATTAACCCTAGAGCCTCCGGAGGGAGCATAGCCCTGCCAACAACACTTTGATGACAAACTTCTAGTGTCTAAAACAGAGAGAATACGTTTCTGTTATTTTAAGCCACTACTTTTGTGGCAATTGTTATGGCAGCCCTAAAAAACTAATATACCACCCCATTTCATAGACACCATAAGAGTTGAAGGTAGTAAAAACTTAAGGGCAATAGTTTGTTTATTGTTTGAATTCATCATACCACATAGGTGTTTTGCTGCTGCTTGTGAGTGACAAGTCAACAGATGGGTACAAAACTGTATCATTAAGAAGACGTCATGTCTAGCTTGGGGATGTGCGGCTGAACGTTCAGCCCATGAAGAGAGGCTATGCATTTGCTCTAAAGATTACCTGAATATGTATATATCTTTAATGATGCATATGAGAAAATAAATACAAAAATAAAAATGCATATGAGAAAGATAAACTTACTGATAGAAAATGTGGAAGGCATTTCAGAAGCATTTGACTAGTGTACTAGAAATGGAAGGCAATCTATTATATAATCGTCCTCCAGATGTCACATCAATATACCGCAACCACAGTGTGAAAGTGCTCCTTTTCCTAAACTTTTGCCAACAATAGTTACTATCTTTGCCAATTTAGTAACTGAAAATGGACTCTCCTTTTAAAACTAATATTTAAAAAAATCACTGGGGGTAGATAACATGTAGTCTTTCCATTTCCAGTACACTTGGACCCAGAAACCTGAATTATATTTATTTATCCTGAAGAAATAATCAGGGATATGGGAAAACAATATATACAGTATGTTCACTGCATTGTTGCATATATTAACACAAAAATTTTGAAAACAACCCAAAGGTTTACTAATACCAATTTATTAACTAAATTATGGCATAATCTTTATAACTAAAATTTCTTCAGGCATTAAAAATGATATAATATATTCCATTTACCCTGATGTGATTATTACACATTGTATGCCTGCATCAAAATATCTTATATACCCAATAAATATATATACCTACTAGGTACCCATAAAAGTTAAAAGAAACATGATGTAATAACAGAATGTGTAGAATTCTATATGTGTATGATGTTCATGACATATTAAGTAAAAGGAATAGATTATAAAACAGAACATACTGTATGATCATCTTTTTGGAAAAATCCATGCAGAAAACAAACTGAAAAGATACATAGAAAATGTAAACACTGATTATCTCTGAAGATAGCAGGAATATACTTGACTTTAGTGTGTGTGTGTCTGTGTGTGTGTCTGATTCATATTTTCCCAGTTTTCTATTACAACATGTTTAACTTATAAAATTAATAATTAAAAAAAAAAATCTCGGCCAGGCGCGGTGGCTCACACCTATAATCCCAGCACTTTGGGAAGCCAAGGCGGGCAGATCACATGAGGTCAGGAGTTCGAGATCAGCCTGACCAACATGGAGAAACTCCATCTCTACTAAAAATACAAAATTAGCCGGGCATGGTGGCACATGCCTGTAATCCCAGCTACTCGGGAGGCGGAGGCAGGAGAATCCTTGAACCCAGGAGGCGGAGGTTGCAGTGAGCTGAGATCGCGCCATTGCACTCCAGCCTGTGCAACAAGAGCGAAACACCATCTCAAAAAAAAAAAAAAAAAAAAAAAAAAAAAATTCTCCCTGGCTAGATGATCAACTTGTTGAGGCCAGAGACTGTGAACAAATTTCTGTGTTGTTTTTTCCTCTTCTCACCGCCAAATACGCTTGACTATCCTATCTGCAAACAGAAAGGGCTCAATTAATACTTCCCAAAATCAAACCACAATACTAGAAACAAAATCAAGATGGCTAAAATAAGATGTTTATTATAAGTATTTTCTCAAAGAGAATTTTTAATAGGAGATTGTCAAGCTGTTTTATTTCCCTCTAAATTCACACTTCATTACAGGTAATATAGTATTCTATGGATTTTAGTGCGCCAAGACTAATCGTCTCTCCAACAAACAGCTTCACTTACATTTAGGAATAGTTTTCAGGGATTGCATTCTCTTTCATGAATATTACTATATTCTTAGTAAAGCAGCATATAAATCTACTTATAATCCAAAAGTAGGCTAACATTGGGTTTAGGTGCATCTAAATTCAAATTCTGTAGATGATTGGCAAAAACTTCCATTATGGGATACAATAGTTACTAAATGGAAGCACTTAGCTACATGAAAAAAATTATAAAGATATCAGATATTCAAAATTGACTTTTCCTTCAGATTAAGAGATAGCTTTATTTAGACAGCTGAAACAGGGCCTTGTAGGAGATGTTTAGTCTCTTTGACTATTCCCCAAAGATTATCAGGAAGGAATAACCTAACTAATTGTATGTTTTGTCAAGGCCTGCATTGATTTTTTACATGATAATTTTAAATAACCTGCATAATGTATGTGATGGTAAACAACATTATTTTATTTTAAAGTTATCCAAAGAACTGCTCAACAATATGAACAACAATATGAAAATACATAGTACAATGGCTGATTTATGGTTACTTCAAATTTCTTGTCTACAATGTAAATGCCTAAGTAGCTTTGATAATACAAACCAAATGAGTTCAAGGATACCTATAATAAAAGATATTAATGTGATATAGTTTAAATATCTTGTGTAAAATACTTCACTTACATAAAGTGCTTCAGTCTAACAGTTGACTTACAATGTCTAACATATAAAGACTCTCTAATATGGTACAAATGGAAGAATTAAAGGGTAGGATATCTATAAGACCAAATAAGTATTTGATTAAAAGTTTCCTTTATTTGCTGTAGCTCTCCACTTTCTTCCTTGCTGCTAAAATCCTAATGCCTTTTGATTAATAAGATGATAATCCTGTTGGACTCCTATGGTTGAATAACGTTTAATGTTACATGTCCTGAGAGTCCCACGAAATTATTGAGCAGCTGTCACCGACTTCATTTTCTTCTTCACACTCTCCCTTTCCTTTTCCACAGCGATCACGGTTTCCCATTCTCTCTCCTGAGGTACTTCATAATGCAATATTCAGACCTCAATCTTACTTTAAGTCACAAAACACTGCCTGAGGCTTACCTTAGTTGCTATTTTTACTTATCATTTATTTCTGCCAAAAGGAACTCCTCTAAAATTATTTTCATCAAGAATTTTCATTTCATGTTTTATCATCTAAGTTTGAACGCTAATTTTCTTGAACTATAGAGGAAGGTTTTTTTTCTCTTTTTTTCTATTTCCAGTGTTTTCTGCTAGGGATTATTATAACTTTAGGAAACATAGAGGTATTTGTAAATATATTTTAACGAATTTGTGATATATTCAAAATAAGAGCATTGATGTTTCACTAAGGAATGTAATCAAATTGTATGGCAAAGCTAAAAATGATAGAATTTAAAAAGTGGCTATCGTGAAAAGTAGAAGCCCCTAATCTATAAGATCAATTGGAGAGGTTCGCTGTGTCACCCCTTCTTGGAGGAACTTGAAAAAATGCAGGATAAGGGCAAAGAGAACCAGGACAATACCCAACTCCTATGTGACACATTGTAAACACATGTGATAAAGAACCCTTCTTTTAGGTTGGGGTGATGATAAAAATGCAAAGGCATGGCATCAAGAATGCTTTTTTCCATTTATGTGACCAAGTTTTCAGTAAATAATTTATTACAAATAAGCTTTTCCTCCTGCCTTTATTAGATAGCTATTGCTGTATAAGAAAGTACATCCCAAATTTGACTTAAAACAACATTTATTATCTCACAGATTTTGTGGGTTAGGAACCAACCTGGGAGTAGCTTAGCTGGCTTTTTTGCATCAGGGTCTCTCGTGTGGCTCCAGTGGTAGGGCTATACTCAACTCAAGGTTCCACTGGGGAGAACCTGCTTCCAAATTCACTCTTGTGGTTATTGGTACGATTCAGTTCCTTTTGAGCTGTTGGCTAGAAGCCTCCCTCAACCCTTGCTATGTGGGCCTCCCCAGGGGGCAGTTCCCAACATGACAGCTGGCTTCCATTGAGAGAGAAGGCATCAAGAGACAAACTCATCTTTTTACCACCAAATATCAGAAGTGATATCCTGTCCCTTCTGCTGTATTCTATTCATTAGAAGCTAGTCATTAGGTCCCACCTACACCCAGAGAGTGAACCACCAGGAAGTGAGATTATTGGGAACCATCTTAGAGGCTGCCTACCACATGCAAAATACGTCCCCCCTACTCCTCAGATCCTCAAAAGTTTCACTTTTGCATTACAACATCAGCTCAAAGTTCAGAATCTCATAATTGGAATCAAGTCAGGGTGATATCATAACTGGAATCACCCCAGGCTTCCTCAGGAGGTAGTTCTTTAAGTACAGTTCCTGGAACACAGTTGCTTTCCATCTGTAGACCCATGAAACTAGAGAAAAGTTATCTGCCTTCTACTCACAGCATAAAATTATGGATAAGGCATAACCATAACCATCACCATAACATTCTGTCCACAAAGCTGGGAAATGGGAGACATAAAGGAGTCACTAAGTCTAGCCCATGCTCAAGGGGAGGAAATTATGCAAGGTCTGAAACTAGGAGGTGGGGCCACCTTAGAGGCTGCCTACCACACTGCCCTTCTATTTGATTGTAATAATAAAAGGAGTAAAACTTTTGATAAATATTTTATGAGACTTCAGGTGGGGCTGATACCTAACATATATGGATGGCATTGCTGCTTGTATTGCTAGTTTTTTCCTTTGGCTCAGAGTAAAAATTCTTTTTGATTACAAGAATATCAGAGGAAATTGTTTAACAATTCTATTTCTCTTTATCATGGCTATAGATCTGATCATTGACTATTAGGTTGGTTTGTTTCCCAAAAATTTCCAAAATATTTTCCTAAAGTTTAATACAACATTTGTTATAGCTCCATGCTTATTCATGTGGCTGCCTTCTATATTTCTTCTTCAATTTATCAATACATCTTATATTTGCATAAAATTCAAACTACATCCCTTGGTGAAACATAATGTCTCTACTTTGAACATGGGAGATTTTCTACTTTCTTTTTCATACTATTGACTAGAGAAATAACTTCCCCTTCCCTTTATGCTGCTTTCTGAAGTCCTGCTAGAATACTCCTTATTGTCCTTCCTTTTTCTATCAGTCTATGGTTCTCAACCAACAACAGTTTTGCTCTTCGGGGGACATTTGGCAATGTCTGGAAACATTTTTGGTTGTCACAACAGGAGGGTGCTACTGGCATCTAGTGTGCAGAGGCCAGGGATGCTGCTCAGTAAGCTGTAATGCACAGGGCAGCCTCCGTACAACAAAGAATTATGGGGCTCAGAATGTCAATAATGCCAAAGTTGAGAAACCCCAGTGTAAAACAAACCAGTCCTTCTTCCCACTTTAAAAATGAAGACATTACAATGTTGCTTTAGCCTTGGTTACTATATAAATCTACTTTTTCCCCCCAAAAGCAAACATTTCCCCAAAATAACAAAAATGTGGAGTTGTGATATAAACTACAAATTGCAGGCAAACCAGGTTCTACTCAATTACCTAACCACTGAAGAATATAGCTTGAGATAAAGGGCATGGAGAAAAGTGAAATTTTACTAAATGTGCAGTTTGAATACTTCTTTTGATTGAGCAATATATACTGAATGTTTTGTGACACTTTGAGATCTAGTTTTATACTTTAAGCATATGTAATTACTGCTAACTGGAAAATATCTAAAATATGTATATCCAAACTAGAGCATGGATTAGGAGTCTTTTTTATTTGTTTGCTCTCAAAATGATGCCAACATAACAAAAATTTAGAACAATGTACAGCAGCCAGTATAGAATCCCTAAGATAACTATAATATTTTTAAATAAATAATGCTTCATATTTTTATTGTTTCATGGCATTTCCATTCACGAATCACCTTTTTTCCTAAATAAGTGTATCTATAATTTTATGAGTCATTTGTCCAAATATGTAGAACAGGGCTTTGGGAGAAAACAAATACACTCACAATTTTTCTCAATTGCCAACAGACTAGTTTATTTGTTTCTCTTGTAATACGAACATGCTATTCTCTTAGTTTTTATCTTCAATAACATATGAAAGATCCAAAATCAAATTGGCTGTCTCTACAGCCACCTGTAGGCCACTAAGCTTTGCAGTCAAACAGTCCAAGGTCAGGTTGCTGGCTGAGCCCACAGCTTCATGTGGAAGGCAGCTTTGTGGCACAAATGGACGACGTGTGCTTCTTAAGAAAGACCAGTTGAGTTCTTCCTGGCTATTGTATAATCCACAGCCACACTGTGAAAGCAAATCTGGCCAGTTAGCAACACAGGGAGAATCTGCCTGAACTGACCAAAGGTGTCCATACTTCATGTCAGTGAGAATTTCACCTCCATCATGTTCTAAAGAGCCAACAACAGATTCTAGGGCACTGCAAAATGCTTCAGCAATTAATTGAAGTTCTGTTTGAGTACATTCATCATCTTTGAGAATGCTTTCTGGGTCGTTGTGAGTCTAAAGAGTAATAAAAACATTGAAAACACATACAAAGCAATTAATATAAAATGTTTCAGAAAAATAAGATACTGAAATCAAAATCTTATTCCTAAAGTAATTACTTACTTTCATTTAATTTGGGGTCTGGCACAATGCTAACGGGCTTGTATGGGTCAGCCGGCCGGGTTGCAAACCCTTAACTAGGTTGGTTATAGTAAAAATGTATTAAAAATGTATATACTACCAGTCATGTTACCAGAATGAGTGAATCAGAATAACCCCACCATCAGCTTATTCTGAATGAGGCTTGGTAGTGCCTCCTTAATACATGAAGGACTAGGCATAATACATGTATTACAGGTTTTTCTGCACACAGGAGGAAGTTCCTGAAGACTGATGTCCCAAATGGAGTACTTATTTATCTCTGCAAAATGTTTGAGATTTGCTTAAAATGGGAATGCACATATTTTTATTTGGAAATCATGATGTAAATTTTCATATCAATGTTTTAAAAATGAATATTCTTCTCTTTAAATTAATGAAAAGGTAATAAGACCTTAAACAGTCTTCTGGTTCCACTATTTAAAAATGTTTATCCTAGAAATTCCATGATAAAAAGAAAAATTAATATATAGCCATGCACCACATACCAACACTTCAGTCAATGATAGACTGCATATACAACAGTGGTCCCATAAGATTATAAGGCCATATTTTTACTAACCTTTTCTGTGTGTTGATATGTTTAGATACATAAATACCATTGTGTTACAATTACCTACAGTATTCAGTACAGTAATATGCTGTAAGGGTTTGTAGCCTAGGAGCAATAGGCTATACCACATAGCTTAGGAGTGTGGTAGGCTCTACCATGTAGGTTTGTGCAAGTACACTCTATATTGTTTGCACAACAATATTGTCTAATGATGCATTTCTCAGAATATATCTTTGTTAAGCAACATGTCTGTATTAGCAAACTAATAACTGAATGATGGGTTAAAAAATCCATATCTTAACTGCTTAAAAACAGTGACTACTTTCCTACTCAAGACACCTCCTTCCTCTAAAAAACTTTCTCTAGTTTATCAATTCCATTTCAGAATACATTATTGTCCATTCAGCACCAATAGATTGGCACAAATTTTGTTTTCCATAATGTATATTCTGATAACTTTTCATGAATGTGCTTTATCTTCAAAGAGATTCTAAGTTATTTGGGGAAGGACAGGGCATGTTTACCCAATGAATCGATTGCTAATATCTGGAAAACACCTATACCTTTTTCTATCCATTTTCAAATAAAGTAGGCCAGTACTTATGAAATAATCAGAACAACAATGCACTAAACTTATCTGAGAGCTGTCAGGAAATGGAGTTTCCTAGACCAATCAAAAAATTCTATTTAGTATAATTAATAAATAACATACATAAATACCAATTTTAAAATTATAATAGAATCTAATATGTGAATTGCTTAAATAAATGAAACTTTTCTTGATGCTCTAGAAGATACTGAAGTATTCTGTAGAAACTTGGCCCTTTTGTTTGTGAACATCAATTATTACTGTATTGCAGCAGTTGAGATCTCTAAGAGAACTCCCAATAACAGAATGCTAGCTTCAACATGCAGAACATGTAGACAATACTCAAAGAACGTGATCGCTTGCTTAAATATTTTTATAATAATCATTGTAATAAGGATATTACCTTATATTTACCTTGTTATTTCCCTCAAGTGTTTTTGATTATCTACTTTATTTAGACTACTGAAAAATTCAGTGTTAAAGGCTACAAGTTTACCTGTATAACAAACCTATACATGCACCCCTGAACCTAAAAGTTAAAACTAACAAAAAGACTATAGGATATTATGATTTTGGCTTATTATCTCAGAAAACAAAAGTTGCTGAGAATTCAGGTAATCCGAAGAGGATTATCTTACATACCTTGTGTCTGATATATGCAGCCAAATGAGTTTCAGTACAGCCACCTCCCAACAAAGCCCATGGTTCCTTGAGTGTTAACTGCAGGACATGCAGTGCCGTCTGACACGTGAGCTAAGAAAAAACCCAAATCATCAGAATCAGACGTTCACATCATATTAACACACAAAAAATCATGCTCTCAAAGCATCATAGTGAATACAGAGAGTGTGATTTTAATTACAAAAGAACAAAACTTGTGTGGTGCCAAGGTTGTCATGTGATTAATACATTCTGAATAGTAAGGTTTAGAGATTAAGGGAAGATACTTCAGTCAGAAGTTTGTTTTCACGGAGCCAGATTAGTATTTTCTTTCATATACACTTAGCTCTTCAAACTGAGACGAATATATGGCCTCAAAATATCTGGGTCAACAAGGTTTGCTGACACTTCCACTAAAAAAATCATTTCAGTCTAAATAATAAATTTATTTTGAATGGATTTGGAAATAATACAGTTACATCCCAGCAATAATAAATAAAAAATCACACAGACCTTTAACATTTACTAAGGATATATCCTTGAGCATACATGAATCTTTAAAACTTGTGACCAATCCCATAGATTATCATTTCCCTTGTATAAAAGTTGCATGTATTATTGCTGGCAGAGAACAGGAAACTCTGCTAAGAAGTGGATGATGGGTATTGACTGGGGAACTCATTTTTCCAAGTGAATTATTCATACACATTACCATCAAAGACTACACAATTCAAGCTAATTTCTTAGAAAAGTTCGCATGTCAAGGGCCTTTTAGGTTTCTAGTAAATAGTAGAAATAATAAATGGCAACACATGCCAAATTTATTATAATGCCACAGGCATTTAAATTAGCTTACTTGTGACTTTGCATCAATCATTTTAATTTTTGCTTTCTATACTACCTAGGGAAGCTACGAAAAAAAAATCATAATAACTATTGAGTGACTAATTCCTCCCTCAGCCTCTGCATATGGAATTCAAAGTTCATTACCTACCTTCAGCTCATCCCAGGCAGTGTCATTTCTGTTGCAGAGAAGCAAGCTGCAGATTGTTGCTTCATTAGGAATAAGATGAAAAAAATGTTTGGAGCCAAATTTTGCAGTGCACACATCTTTCACACTTCCATAACTATTAGGACATATTGAGCCTAGGGATCCAATAGGCTGTGTTCCTATTTTTTAAAGATTAGAAAATACAAGTTGTATAAGCAAAAGTGGAGCAAACAACCATTTAAAAGTATATTTATTCCTAGCCAACATAAAAGCCCCACAAGCATATAATTTAAAATATGAAATACAGGATAAATAAGATGAATATTCCTAAACTGCTAAGTTATATTCTGCTATTAAAATGATATACAAATAAAGTAAAGTAGAAGTTATTTTTGTTTACAGATCTCTTTGAAAATCTTTTAGAAGTCATTTTGTACTGTCTTCCCAGAAAAGGGCACATACAATTTTGCATACATTTTCAAGGAATTCAGAAAACCCTCAAAGCCCATTCAGGGTTTAGAGACCCCAAATTAAGAACTTCACTAATTTGGATTACGGGTGATGTGACAGGCTATTTTTTTTTAAAGGCATTATTATTTTCAATTTAAAATAAATGCTGCTATCCAAATAGTTGTGTAGTTGAATTCCTTCGGGACGCTACATAGTGAATATGTAAGAATTATTTTTTTGTCTGGCAACTATTTATAAAATAGCTAACTGAATTATGCCAAAATAAAGTGACATGCTTATTTCACTGCTATTATTTGATATATTAAGTATTTTGTCCTCCTACCTGCACATGTAAAATAGTGAAGTTTTATAAACCACAAGTAAAAATATGAATAAAGAAGTTAGCGTGACTTGAATTTTCCAAATCTCCAAACGTAATGGAAGTTATGTAAGAAAAGAAACCTACATCAAACTCCTACAAGAAACAATACTAAAGTCTAAAGCTATAATTCTGAGCCATTCACCCCTTTCAGCTAGTTTCCTTTTCTTTCAGACTCACCTTTAAAAGATGGTTTCTTTCAAACTAATGGGGTTTAGTTTGAAAGTCTAAAATGTCGGCCGGGTGTAGTGGCTCATGCCTGTAATCCCAGCATTTTAGGAGGCTGAGGCGGGCATTGCCTAAGGTCAGGAGTTCGAGACCAGCCTGGCCAACATGGTGAAACCCCGTCTCTACTAAAAATACAAAAACTAGCCGGGCGTGGTGGCAGGTGCTTGTAATCCCAGCTGCTTGGGAGGCTGAGGCAGGAGAATCGCTTGAACCTGGGGGGCAGAGGTTGCAGTGAGCAGTGAGCTGAGATTGCGCCACTGCACTCTAGCCTGGGCAACAGAGCGAGACTTTGTCTCAAAAAAAAAAAAAAAAAAAAAAAAAAAAGCTAAAATGCCTAAAAACACTTCCATCTCAAAAAATTTATAGAATATAATCACTAAACAATTTCACTTATTTGAATATTGTTTACTTCTGAAATATTCAAGAATAATGAATACTTTAAAAAAGTGATCTAAGTAAAAAACCCAAAATCTTATAGTATAATTTCTTTCACATGGTGGGAACAACAGATTCTGCATGAGAAGGCCGGCTCTACTGCTTATCAGCCACTGGATGCTGTCACTCATGTCATTTAACTTTTCTGCCTCCCTCACATGAGAGGCAAGTGGGGATAATAATGCATACTTCACAAATAAATCAAACCAAGTCAAATGTTAAAAATGCTCCAGGCCGGGCGTGGTGGCTCATGCCTGTAATCCCAGTACTTTGGGAGGTTGAGATGGGTGGATCACCTGAGCTCAGGAGTTCAGGACCAGCCTGACCAATATGGTGAAACCTGTCTCTACTAAAAATACAAAAAACTAGCCAGGCGTGGTGGCGTGTGCCTGTAGTTCCAGCTACTAGGGAGGCTGAGACAGAATTGCTTGAACCCAGGAGGCAGAGGTTGCAGTGAGCCGAGATTGCGCCACTGCACTCCAGCCTGGGCGATAGAGTGAGACTCCACCTTAAAACAAACAAAAACCTCTGTAAGCTGCAATATGCTTCACATGTGGCACCCATCCACAGTAACACCCACTACACAACCTATATCATTAATAAACAGGAATTTTGTTTGAAGGCCTGAAATGAGGTAATGTTAACTTAGATTACCAGGGGAGATAGGTAAGGCCAAAAACATACTTCATCTACCTAAAAGTTTACCTGCGCTATGTGCCTGGTAGTTTTCCCCCTTTTCTTTTTTTCTCAAAAGCTCTCTGCTCCCAAGATCCAGGACTAAAGCTATGGCTATTAATGCCATGTTTAGGTATATATTATGGGCTAGTGTGGAAACCCAGCCCCCAGTTACAATATGGTTTCTACGGGAAAATGTTTGGTTTTTTTTTTTTTGATAGGGAATCTTGCTGTCACCAGGCTGGAGTGCAGTGGCGCAATCTCGGTTCACTGCAACCTCCACCTCCTGGGTTCAAGCAATTCTCCTGTCTCAGCCTCCCAAGTAGCTGGGATTACAAGTGCGGCCACCATGCCCAGCTAATTTTTTTGTATTTTTAGTAGAGATGGGGTTTCACCATGTTGGCCAGGATGGTCTCGATCTCCTGACCTTGTGATCCGCTCACCTTGGCCTCCCAAAGTGCTGGGATTACAGGCATGAGCCACCGCCCAGCCCTTTCTGTTTTTTTAGATGTAGTCCTGCTTTGTTGCCCAGGCTGGACTTGAACTCCTTGGCTCAAGTAATCCTCCTGCCTCAACTTCCCAGGTAGCTGGGACTACAGGCATGTACCACACCCAGCTAAAGTGTCCCATATTTTAAAAATGAGTCTGGAAGACCCAGTATTCACAAACTGGAAATTGCCAGATTCATGCAAAGCTAGTAGATATTTAAGGCTATCAGTCTGACTTACCATACCAACAACGAGTTCCAAGGAATTATTTCCATTATTAAGAAACTCTACTTTTGACAGTCATTTGAGTCTTACCAAGGTAGGGCAATAACCCAGAGATATTATGTATTCAACACTTGGCATACATATGGCTCCTTTTTGATAATTTATACTAAGACTTTTATTAAATAAACTTTAACAATGGTTTAAGTCTAGTAACTTAAAAATTGGAAACAATGCAGACTAAATGATCATCTTTCTGATAGATTGTCAAAGCAGTTAAAGGATACTGAAAAGTAGCTCACATCAGGAACTCTTCAGCTTGTCATTTTTCTTTGGCTCTAACAGTACTTATATCTGCTTTTAATTTGCTGAGTTTGTAAAATACAGTGAATTTTTTGCCTATTTTAGTTCTGTATATTACCAAATATATTTCGGTCAATTCAACAAACACTTTAGAACACCCACAGTGGGCCAGGCCTGTAATAGGTGCTGAAAGTAAAAGATGATCTTGGTTCTCAAGGTCAGGTGGGAACAGTTTTGATATAGGTAAAACATAGGTGCATGTACATCCCCCTCCCATTAGAAACAACTACTTAAGGAGAAGTACAGAAGTTTGCTGGAATTATGACAAAGTGAAGAAAAAGGGTCATTCTAGTTACAAAATTACTTTCTAAATATAACATGATTTAAAAGTTTTGTCAATTGAGGCTGAAGAATTTTGTGTAAAGTATGAAAGACCTTAGGATTATGGGGATGTTAGACTTCTCAATAACCTGTAAAATATTTGGGGGTTAGATGATATAGTACATTAGGGGGCTGAAAATACATAGAAAATGGCTATAATCACTGCATTTTTAGTATGTGAACAATACAGGATCTTTTCCAGAAACCTTTGCTGCCAGAAATGATACTGACACATGCTGGGTCAATTTTTCAAGATGTTAACAGTGACACAAACCAAAAATATCTCTGCTCAAAAAAGTGTGATTTATTAACTGTAAGAGGCAAAAGCAAAGAGTGATTTTTACCTGTCATTTTAGTCAGGGGTTCCATCAGAGTCACTCCAATTCTGTCTATGGCAATAATACGATGCATATTGAGAAACTGCTTCAAAGATGGATGTATAACTTTTTGGCACAGGACAAGATCTACGTGGTCACTGATTAGCTGCCTTCCTAGGTTAAGCAGCTGGTCCAAGACTGCATTTTCAAGAGAAACCCCATAACTGACCACCACAGTTCCTTCTCCAGTGTCAGAAGTGTCTCCGGATAAAGTTGTACAAAAGAGTGCCACCTTGAGGGCAGTTGATTTTTTGATAGGTAATAGCCTCATTAATTGAACTTCTGACATTTCAATGAGTATCCCAGGTAATACAGTGGAATCTATAACTCTTTGACCTTTTAAAGGTACAATTAAACTCTTTCCTAAAATGATGTGGCCTTCAGCATTTTCTGGAATTGTAAGCAAAAAGGCTCTCAGGATCAAAGCACTGACATGCTCTGTTTCCTTTCTGGTGAGCATACAGGCAGGTTTACTTGTTAATATACTACGCACCAAACAAAGGAGGATCTGAGTACTACTAAAGTCCACTGGGATTCGACAACCACAGGTCTCAGACTTGAGATAACTGATGCAAAGACTCAAAAGATGTTTATTTAATCTAATGACAGTGGTGGGTGTCAAGCCTAATCTCTGAACATTTTCAATCAGGTTGCAGCAAAGAATAGCTGTGAATAAGCCACAATCACTGAAGCTTGACACATGATTCTGTATGGAGGCTGTCAGGATCTTTAAAATGGGATGTGTGACCAAAAGGTGACTGAGCAGAGCTGAGGACTGTGAGGTTGTACACACGTAACCTCCAAAGCCATTGTGCAGCTGCTTCAGCCTACCTGAGGGGCCATAGCATGATGTTACAATTCTTTTCAAGACAGAAAGTGTGGTCCTGACTCTCTCAGTTGTCAGTGGTTCACTCTTACACAATGATGGCTTCTTAGCTTCCAAACGAGACATCTTACTTCAGGTGGTAACTAGTGAAGACCGTTTTTATTTTGTAAACCACATTTTTCTATTTATTGCATTATCACGTTTTAACAT
Source organism: Homo sapiens (assembly GCF_000001405.40). NCBI lineage: Eukaryota > Metazoa > Chordata > Mammalia > Primates > Hominidae > Homo > Homo sapiens. The sequence goes on from NC_000020.11 coordinate 10,413,599, forward strand.
TAAAAATTATTCTTTAGGAATTAAAGTATGAATATGCAGCATTGTGGCTATAAAATCAAAAAGTTCAATGTTTATGAAGCTAATCAGCATAGAATGATTTAATGACAAATTAGTAATTCCAAATATTTATTTTACTTCACTCTTCAATACTCTTTTGTTTGCTTTGAGACTGAAATTTTACAGACTGCTTTGCAGACCTCTGCAAAAAGTATGTTCCAAGATGGACACCTATGAAAGATATCCCAGCTACAAGAAGCCAGTTCTTTCTAATCCAACTGGTATTTTTCATCTCTTCTTTCGATATGAAGCTCAGATTCAAAGCTGCTTCTTTACCTAATAAATAATAAAAAAAACATTTTAGAGAAATACTTCCCAAGCAGTTTGTAGACTGCAGTTTAATAATTTATTCTAATGCTCTGCTGCCTTTTTAGAAAAAGGAACTACTAACTGGCACAAACGTCCAGAAAATGAGAAAGGTAGACCAACTTTGACTTAAAATTCCTTTATTCTTCAATAAATCCCCTCTACAAGAAAAAGTGCTTGTATTTCAGTGATTCTGTAAGGCACAACAACATGGCTAGAAAGCTTACAGCACAGTTATTTGAATATGGCATGCTTCTAGGAGAGAAATGCTACGATATAAAACAGAGAATTAGGTCTCTGAGTCTTTTTTTTTTTTTTTTTGAGATGGAGTTTCGCTCTTGTTGCCCAGGCTGGAGTGCAATGGCGTGATCTTGGCTCACCACAACCTCAGCCTCCTGGGTTCAAGCAATTCTCCTGCCTCACCCTCCTCAGTGGCAGGGATTACAGGCATGCGCCACCATGCCCAGCTAATTTTGTACTTTTAGTAGAGATGGGGTTTCTCCATGTTTGCCAGGTTGGTCTCGAACTCCTGACCTCAGGTGATCTGCCCATCTCTGCCTCCCAAAGTGCTGGGATTACAAGCGTGAGCCACTGTGCCCGGCAAGTCTCTGAGTCTTAAAAGAAGTCCCAAATATCTTTATTCTCCAACATGAAGATTTAATATTATGTTTTTATCTATAATTGTGGTTTGCTTGGAAACTTTAGGTTTGAACAGAAGTGCATTTATATCAAGTCATGTTTGTAAATAATTATAAAAACAAGATAGCTGTTGGCATGTCTACTGCAGGAACTCACTAATGTATAGTCTATATTTAGCTGAATAATTCTGCACAACACATTGTACCAAAAAACAAACCATGTTTTAAACACCTGGCTAAAGTCAGAGCTAATTTTCTATCATTTTACGTTATCAATCAATGATTTTCAGTTTTGGAAATCCTAGTCAACGAATCCTCCCCAAAGCACTGGTTAATGACAGTACATGCAAAAACCAAGGGATATGCTGGATAACAACAACAATAAAAATAGGATCTGAGTTGCAATTCAATTTCAAAGTCTAAATACCATAAAATGTTATATATCAAAAGGACATGTAGAAATACAATTCTAGTTTCCTTAACAAGGTAGTGTCCTTGCTAAAAAAAAGTGTGCCTTGAGGCATAAATTCCTGACACATTAATAATAATGTGTGAAAAGAATAAAAACGTTAGATCATAGATCTTATCTGTTGAGGCCGGGTGTTTTAAAGGTATATTATTCGTTAGTATTTCCAGGAATATGCTGAGTATGGTAGTGTCCAGGAGAGCATTTAGCATAAATGAAACAAATCTATTTAGCCTAAAGTACTTCCTAAAAGTAGGCTACAGCATAGTATGGTGATCAGACCAAAACCTTGATTTGAAGATGTGCAAAGAGGTGGGCAGAACAAGGGAATGTTATGCAAATGTTATTTTGGTTACCATTCCCAATTTAGCTAAAGGGCTGTAACCATGGCAACTGGGCCCAAATAAAGGGCAATGATGGTCAGCTTTCTTCCTGTGGTGATAAAGCTATTGTCAACTTTTGTATGGCATGAGGAGGGAAAGAAAAATCTGTTTATTGATGCCAGGAACAGCCAAGGTACTTAAATATTTCAATGGCTATTACAGATTCAGCAAAATCTGAGAAATACATTTAAATGAAACCTCACAAAGTGACTTCTATATGTTAATTTGCACGTTAAAACTTACATACACACCCCACAATAAAAACTATGATTAAGAAAATCGTTTTTCTAGTTAGAACATTTTCAATACTTAATAGTGTCATGTAACTTTTCAAAAACAGAATGCCATGTTGGCACCTCTGTCAGTCTTACAGTAGTGAGACCAGTACACATATCTTTTGGCTAGTATTTCATTAAAATGACAAAGAAATCACTGAAAGTGGTAGTGACTCCCAAATCATTTTAAAGATGCCAAAACTTGTTGACCTGTGGTCACAGGTCTAGACCTGAACAAAAGAAGGTACAAGAAAGAGAAAAGAGAAAAAAAAACCAAACCACTGGGGCTGGTTTATAGAACATGTTTGGAAGTATCAGTTCAGCTCTATTAAAACTCTTTCTTCCTAAACAAGGTGCTCCATAATTCCAAGAGTTACCATTAGACGAATGGTCCTGACTATTCTTGGATGCACGGGCTTGGCAGATGGGTTTTTGTTGTTGTTGCAGTGATGGATAACTTAATTAAAATAACAGTAAAACTTGCATGACTTCTTCTAAATTAAGAGGTGCACTATAAAATATGATTTAAAGAAAATACAAACAGGTGAAAGTTTTTCCTAAAAGCAAATGGAGTTCTTTGGCAAAAAGAATGATTATAGGTATGAGGTAAGAAATACACAAGGTAAGCTGGGGTCCTTTTCTGCCCAAAAGTAAGGATGTTATTAAAGACTACGTGGGTCATATCACAAGGACAAAGGAAAAACAACAACAGGAGTCAACTTGGAGAGGATCCAAAATGGGACAACTTTAGCATTAAAAAAAAACATGACGACAGCAACAGATTAATATAACTGAAATAAATGCAAACCCACAGGTTCATACTAACACCAAAAACAAAAACCCTAAGTGGCTTGAGCACTCATTATTATAAAAACCAATAAAGGGAATTACAGGGATAAAACATTAATCTTGCTTTCCTTGTATAAATGCATTTTGGGGTAACTGAATAGTTGACGATGGAAAGTTGTTCCAGCTAATAAATGGAGAAGGAATGATAGAATTTGAGCAGCATCATTTGGCAACCCCTAATGAAATAGTGCATTAGACCCATATATGGTGGTTGGTAAATTAAGCCTATGGACCATATCCAGACTGCTGCCTGTTTTTGTAAATGAAGTTTTATTGGAAAGCAGCCATGCTCATTAATTTGTGTACTGTGTATGAGTGCTTTTACACTACAACAGAAAGCTGAAGGGTTGGTATAGACACTATATGATCTGCAAAGCCTAAAATATTTACTATCTGATCTTTTATAGAAAAAAAGTTTGCCAATTTCTAGGTTACAGCAATGATAATGAATAGTCGCTAATAATTATTAAGTAAAAGATCACCTGGCCAACATGGTGAAACCCTGTCTCTACTAAAAAAATACAAAAAACTAGTCAGGTGTGGTGGTGGGTGCCTGTAATCCCAGTTACTCGGGAGGTTGAAGCAGGAGAATCACTTCAACCCAGAAGGCAGAGGTTGCAGTGAGCCGACATCACCCAACTGCAGCCTGGGTGACAGAGTGAGACTCCATCTTAAAAAAAAAAAAAAAAAAAATCAAAGGGGAACTTTATAATGGAAAGAAACACTGCTAACTTGCCTGTTAATCTTAGCAACACTGGCTAGACGCAGTGGCTCTTGCCTGTAATCCCATCACTTTGGGAGGCCAAGGCAGGAGGATTGCTTGAGGCCAGAAATTTGAGACCAGCCTGGGCAACACAGCAAGACCCTGGTTCTAAAAATATTTTAGAACTTAGCCAGGTGTGGTGGCGGATGCCTATAGTCCCAGCTACTTGGGATGCTGAGGCTGGAGGATGGCCTGTGCCCAAGAGTTTGAGGCTGCAGTGAGCTATGATATGTTACTGCACTGTAGCCTGGGTGACAAATCAAGGCCTGTGCCCAAGAGTTTGAGGCTGCAGTGAGCTATGATATGCTACTGCTACTGCACTGTAGCCTTCTCTGTAAAAAAAAAAAATCAACATCATCATCAAAAGTGGATCAGACATTATATATGAAACAACATGATTACCTAGGATCTATTCCACAGTACCATCCATGAAGTATTCTTGTTCAAAAAGTAAATTAAAAAAACAAATGAAAGTAGCCTCTTGATATAATTACGAGATTACAGGAAATAGGGGAGAGAAAGAGGAAATTGTTAAATGACAAGATGAGGAAGCAATCAGCCAAACTGAGAATGTGGGAAATTTTTTAAAAGGCAGATTTAGGAGGGGAATTGAAAAGAGATATTATCTATCAAATGCAATACGTAGACCTTGTTTGGATCCTGATTCCAACAAACCACCTGAAAAGATTTTTTATAGACAAATTCAGAAATATAAACATGGCCTTGGGTATCAAATTGTAGGTAAAGAGTCACTGTTAAGTTTTTCTAGGTGATAATGCAAATGTGTTTGTGTATGTGTGTTTATTCTTACTGTTAAAGACACATACAAAAGGACTACATAGTGGAGCTTAAGATTTGATTTAAAATATTCTAGCAGTTCAAAAAACAGAGGAAAAGATGGATAAAAGAAGACTGGCAAAACGCTGTTAACTATTAAAGCTGGTTGTGGCGAAATGCCCTTAACTATTAAAGCTGGTTGTGGCAAAAGGCCATTAACTATTAAAGCCAGTTGATGGATACTTGAGGGCTCAATATACTATCCTCTCTTTATCTTGAGGCATGTATGTAATTTTCCATAATGAAAATAAGAATAGAAAATAAGAGACAAATAAATGCATTCTTTTGATGTACTTCAACTATTCGGAATTTGTGTTTAACTTACTCTAAATCCGGCTCTAACTTTTGCTTACTAAAAGCCTGTTTAAATATCTGCTTCTGCTTGCTTGACTGGAAATGTTAGCCTCTAAAACTTTTAACTATTGCTGCACTGGCATCTAAAATCTCTTACTACATTCACCTAACATTTTAGAGGAGATTCTTTTCTCAGCTCTATTTTTCCTCCAAGAGTATTTCTTTTTGCATGAGAAGAAACTACTTGATTTTCTTCCTCCAAAGTTTGGCCATACCTGGCCTCCAAACTGTTAAGACATCTTTTTGTTCTTTACTTCTTGTCATAAGTACAATATACATACATAATATAATGGTCTTACTAGTCTGAAAGACTATATATATAAAAATCCAGCACCTAATAAATTCTCTAACTCCCTGCTTATATATATTAAAACTCTTCCTATAAATACAAATTTTATATAGAATGTCCTAAAGTTACTCTTTTAAGTTGTTAAGCTTCTATGTTACTACCTGGCTTTTATATTTAATAATTGTCTAATATATTAAGCTATGCTCTTCCACTTCTGCTTATGAACATTTAAAAGTAAAATCTTGATTTAAAATATTGTTGAAACCAGTAATTATACCAAAAGTCAAAATCTCAGACCAAGGCTTATAAATAAGGAAAATCTTACTGAGGTTCTTCTTCCATAAAGAGCAGAACCTTACACTCATCTATCTTATAACAAAACTTAGAGCATATTATTCACCTCAAGGTTAAAAAGTAAATTATAATAGAAAATGCTTTACAATTACAGGGTCACAGTTCTTTATCTGAAACTCCTTGGGCCAGATGAGTTTCATAATTCAGAATTTCTTAGATTTTATAAATACAATATAGTGTATATAACATACATAATCAATATAATCATAATATAGTATAACGCTATATTATAGTAAATCAAACGTGACAAATGCCAATAAAATTTCTGCAGTGAAACTCAATTTTCATATTAAGTGGAATAAAAACAGTGACCTCCCCCATTTATCTATGAGGGATATGTTCCAAGACCACCCAGTGGATGCCTGAAACTACATATAGCACTAAACCCTATATATACTATGTTTTCTTCTTGTACATACATACCTATGATAAAGTTCAATTTATAAATTAGGCACAATACTCCTGTGCTTTGGGTACATTGTGAAGTAAAGTAACAGTTACCTGAACATAAGCGCGGAGATACCACCACAGTTGATCTAACCCAGAGTGCTGCTAAGTGACTAACGAGCAGGTAGACAGACAAGGGAATGACTCACATCCTGCGTGGATGAAGTAGAATATCCCAGGATTTCATCATGCTACTCAGAAAGGTGCATAATTTAAAATTTATGAATTGTTTATTTCTGGAATTTTCTATTTAATATTTTCAGACTAGGGTTGACTGCAGGTAACTGAAACTGCAGAAAGCCAAACTGCGGATAAAGGGAGACAACTGCACTGCAAATTGCCTCATGTCAGTTAAGATCAAGTTTTGCTGTCAAAGGAGTGAGGATAAAATGTTTTGGTTTTGAGAACTTTTTGAATTTTGGAATTATGGATAAGGGACTATAGACCTAAATTATATAACTTCATCCTCTTTATTTCAGTGACTCTCAAAAGTAACAAATTATGGTCAAGCTAAAATAGTTGATGTTAAGAAATGAATACAATTAGTTTTGTATTGTTAAAAAAAAAAGAACACTAATAGAAGAAAATAATCTTGTATAAATTTGGACTTTTGTGATATGTAATGGTAAGGAGTCAGGGGCTCCTTTGCACACATTCATGATCCTGGTGATGCTGCTAGCAAAACTGCTCTTTCCCTTTGCATTCAATTGACTGCCAGGCAAGTGTCAAATGTCTCTGCACAACGAACTTTTCTAGAAACAACTGCAGAATAGTATTTTGCCAGTGGGTCACAATAAAAACAACAGGTAACTTACCAATTTAGGCTTTTCCTTGCCAGAGATCTAAAAGATTGAGTTTCCCATTGTTGGAATGTGCCATATGATTAACCAACCAGATTAAATGGAACTTACCTGAAGATTGCAAGCCTGCTACTTCCCCTGGATTTGGCTCTTCTGAAGATTTGAAAGTCCCAGACTATCTTGCTCAGGAATGTCGTCGTTTTTAGGTATTTGGAAAACAGGGCTGCTTTTGATTCTGTACCACCCCAAATGTATGAGCCCAACTAAAGGGACCATAACAACCAAAACTTTGTAGTCTCTCCACAAGTTCCGAAGGCTCATAGTACTTCAGCATCAGTGTACCTAAGAAAAGGTTACAGTTAGAGGAAAAAAACCACTAAAACCCATAACCTCCCTTTAATTACATTTCTAAATCACTACAAGTAGCATGCTGTACTCTAACAAATGCTGACTGTTAAACATTTTAAATTATAATACATTGCAATGTTAATAAACAAAAAGAGACATGTCATTGACCCAAAGGGAGCAGGCAGTCAGCCTTGGGAAACTTACAGAGCAATACTGACTTTTTGGCAACAATTGCAAAGGAGCAACATTACCTGCTGGAAAAGCTATATGAATCTTTGAAAACACACATGCATGGAGTGTTCTTTAAATATATTAATGTTCTCTGAGCCACAATAGAGTAAGAGCCTTTTTTTAAATTATATTTTTTAAAAATTATAATTACAGGCTGAGGGTGGTGGCTCACGCCTGTATTCCCAGCACTTTGGGAGGCTGAGGCAGGCAGATTGCCTGAGGTCAGGAGTTCGAGACCAGCCTAGCCAACACAGTGAAACATCGTTTCTACTAAAAGTATTAGTCGGATATGGTGGCGCATGCCTGTAATCCTAGCTACTCTGGAGGCTGAGTCAGGAGACTTGCTTGAACTTGGGAGGTGGAGGTTGCAGTGAGCCAAGATCATGCCACTGCACTAGGCAACAGAATGAGACTCCATCACAAAAAAAAAAAAAAAAAAATTACATTTAGTCACAATTTTAACAGAAGAATCAAACGGTAATCCACAAATATGCAGTAAGAATTTAGGTTCTATATTCTGACAGGATGTAGTGATAGTGTTTCAACTGCGATTGCAACAGCTGAACATGGATTCCAATTGCAGTAAAAGATTTCTGGCTTGAACGCTACAAATCAGAATGAATGTAATGCCATTTCCACATTTATGTGCAAAACTACTGCATTTTAGAGTGTTTGCCCTGAATCACTAGAAAACCCTAACTTACAGGGTTATCGACCTAGTTTAGACAAAGAAACTGGGGCTAGACAGTTGCCTGGAGTTACAAAGTTAGTTAGCTTTTAAAATATATATATATATATTTTAAATTTGGAAAGGATGGAAGTAGGGCCCAGAAAGATGCTATGTTTGATGATCTGTTGGGTTTGGGAACTTGAATCTGGACAACCTCTAAAGACTCCTTATACTCTTAATAAGGACTGCTCCACCATCTATGAGACATGCTATGAACTTGGCTCAATTGCATCTCTGAGTTTTAGTACCATGAAATCTCCTAAATTACTTTATTTTTGTCTAAATGCCATTAGAAAAAGGTCTGAAAAGAATTTCTTATTCCCCCTTTTAAGACCAAAACACAATAGTACTGAGTTAAATAGTCTGAACCATCTGTGTTCTGTGTATACATACTAAAAATAATAAAAGATGTTATCTTATAGCTATGAACATGTTATTCTTAGCATTATAAATCATTTCTCCCAAAGGTCTCAATTCATATTTTATAAGGACTTTGTGGCAAAATTTTAATTACTAGATAGAGGAAACACGACCTGCTTTGTAAATGAAAGTATTTTATGGCCTTTTCCTTTTCTAACGTACTGTGGTATACTATATACTTTTTGTAACCTTTAGAGAATACACCTTTTATTGACATGCTTATGTTCCATTTTTAGAGGGAATCAATTACAAATAACTGTATCATAATTAAATTTCATTGTGAAGTCCAAAGGCAAAAGCCTTTGGGAATTTAAGGGTACAATAAAATAACTGGGGGAGGAATTTAGAGTAAGGAGGGAAGAATTCTATTAAGGGCTACTTACTTATAGGAGGGACAGAGGCTGCACCAAAGGTCAGCTGGCCTGTGTTGATTGACATATGGCATTCTTGTTTGCAAACACCTTAACTAAAGGCCTAGAAGATACTGTTATTTATATCCAGTCTCAATACTTAAGGTGACTTTGGCACCTCTATTCCCCTCAACATGAGGTTATCAAGTTATATTATCTTTTTTTTTTTTTTGTGAGACAGAGTCTTGCTCTGTCACCCAAGCTGTAGTGCAGTGGTGCGATCTCAGCTCACTGCAAGCTCCGCCTCCCAGGTTCACGCCATTCTCCTGCCTCAGCCTCCCGAGTAGCTGGGACTACAGGTGCCCGCCACCACACCTGGCTAATTTTTTGTATTTTTAGTAGAGACAGGGTTTCACCGTGTTAGCCAGGATGGTCTCGATCTCCTGACCTTGCGATCCGCTCGCCTCGGCCTCCCAAAGTGCTGGGATTACAGGTGTGAGCCACTGCGCCCGGCCCTTCAAGTCACATTACTTTTAAGAGCCATTTCTGCCATTCACCATTTACTTCTCCATGATCATTAACATAATTCAACATTTGTCAGCTTTTTTCTGAACTATAAACTCAAGGAAAAAAAACCCTAGCTTATAAAAAGAGATTAGGGCCAGGTGCAGTGGCTCACAAAAGTGTAATCCTAACACTTCGGGAGCCTGAGGTGGGCGGATCACTTGAGCCTAGGCAACGTGGCAAAACCCGTTTCTACAAAAAATACAAAAATTAGCTGGGCATGGTGGCGCACGCCTGTAGTTCTAGCTGCGTGGGGGGTGCTGAGGTAGGAGGATCGCTTGGACCTTGGGAGGCTGAGGCTGCGGTGAGCTGAGATAACACCATTGCACTCCAGGACAGGTGATGAAATGCGATCGTTTCAAAAAAACAAACCAAAAGCAAAAAAGAGACTGGATAGGATAAAAGGATGTAATAATAAAATTGAGATTTGTAACTCAAGAACTAAAATTAGGAACAAATTAAATGACAATCTGTAACACTAATGTTTGGGGAAGTGTTGTACTATTCTCTCCAGCAAAGTGGTTAACAGCATGTAATGACATAGTATGAACCCTCTTTGAGAAGAGTGAAAATTATATAGGGTTAGCTCCCTATAATACTTAGTGAATCTTTAGGTCATCTCCCAGTTAAAGATAAAAGAAATGCTCAATTTTATGTATATTGTGCTTAACAGTCTATTACTCTTTCCATTAGGATAACTTAAGGATCGATGAATCTTTTTCTAGATTTAGGTTTAGTTAAACCTGGAAATCAGTATCTATTTTAACTGAAAACTCTATTTGCTAAACATCACTGAGACTCAGTACAGTATTTCCTGGTTAGTAAATGATGTAGACTGATTTAATGATTAATTGCTTTAATGTTTACTGAACATCTACATGTCCCCACTTCCTCAAATTCTCCATATCTCATATATTGATTTGGCTAATGGGGGTGAGAGAGCAAGTAACTATTTTCTGACAGATAATTCTGTTGTCCTTTGAGAGGCTTGGGAAATGATTAGGATCAGTATGGAAGGGCTTTTCACGTTACAAACTATTTTTAGAGTTTTCATTTAATTCACATAAAAACAATAAGTATCACACTGTACATATAATAGTCCCTTTTCACTGAGCAAGATGGAATTAGCACTTTAAAATGACATTGGCATATAATGAGACCTCATCTCTATTTTAAAAGAAAAAAATATATATTAAATAAAAAGGAAAAAAAAAGGCCAGGCACAGTGGCTCACACCTGTTACCCCAGCACTCTAGGAGGCTCAGGCAGGGGGACTGCTTGAGCCCATGAGTTCGAGACTGCCTGGGCAATACAGTGAGACTTCATCTCTATTTTAAAAGAAAAAACATATATTTTTAAAAAATGACATTGGCATATAACTTTAAACTACTTCATTTCTTTCACTTAATAGTGAAAAATCTCCAGTACATTGGATGTATTCTATTGCCTGCATAACCTCTTCTCAGGGCAAGACACATTAGACCTTACTATACCTTACTAGCAAAGCTCATTGCTAGTTTTACAAAAAAAAAAATAGTTTTCAAATTTTATATTTGATATGGTAGTTAGCGAGGTAATGTGTTATTTATTTTGTTTATAAACTCTTGCAGAGCTTTTACTTACAATCAAACATATTTTGGGGATACAATTTAAATTTAGCACTTTTTTTCTTCTTAGTTCCTCTGTGGTTTTTTACAAAATGAAAATTAGAGCAGGGCACGGTGGCTCATGCCTGTAATCCCAGCACTTTGGGAGGCCGAGGCAGGTGGATCACCTGAGGTCAGGAGTTTGAGACCAGTCTGGCCAACATGGTGAAACCCTGTCTCTACTAAAAATACAAAAAATTAGGCTGGTGTGGTGGCAGGCGCCTGTAATCCCAGCTACTCGGGAGGCTGAGGCAGAAGAATCACTTGAACCTGGGAGGCGGAGGTTGCAGTGAGCCAAGATCATGCCATTGCACTCCCACCTAGGCAACAAGAGCTAAACTCCGTCTCAAAAAAAAAAAAAGAAAGAAAGAAAATTAGCATTACTGTTCTTTTCTAATAAATATAGTATAGTATAACCTTACTTTTTAAAGTTAGCAAATATAGAAACAAGGAAAAGAGAGCTAAAATCTTTTGGGTGTAACAAAAATGTGATCATGATACACATGCTGTTTTGTAATCCCTCTTGCAAAGAATATAAATCTCCATTATCATTTTTAAGAGCTATACAGCATTTGATTATAATGGCGATATCCTAATTTGACCAATCTGTGATTGAAAGAAATTTGAGATTTTTCAATGCTTTATTGCAAAATATGCTATGGCAATAAATATTTGTGTAAATACTCCAGAGTCCATGCTCAAAGCCTCTATGTGCTGCTTTTCAGAATTAACAAATTTCTTAAAAATTAACTCATTTTTCAAATGAACTTGACAAGAAAGTTTTTAAAACCTTGACTTTTAGAAAGGTTCATGATACTGAGAAGCAGACAGACTGGGAGATCCAATTTGTGAAACAAACTTAAGCTATTTACAGTTTGCCTTGAGATGGTCCTTCCCTCAAAACACTTGGCAAGTTGTTCCAAGAGGCATGGACTGTCTTGTAGAGATTCTGAGTCTAAAACAAAGATTTCTCAAGAATAAGCTCAAAATGATCAGATTTGATGAGCAGTAACTGGTTAATCCCTAAAATAAGTTAGTGTTTGATGCTCATTTATTGAACTTTTCAAGTTTGGAGCAAAGCAACAAGAGAAATGAGATTTTTTCCCTTCCTTACCCTCTAATGTACTTGCCACTGCCCTTTCTTTCTTTCCTGAATCTTCTTTAAACATATTTCTAAAAAAAGACTCCTTTAGAAGGATAGAGAAATCAAGAGACATGAAATGAGATTAGTAAATTTTAGATCAAGTAAAATAGAGTTGATATTTATAGTTTCATTTACTAAAATGTCTTTTGTTAAGTTTAGAAAAAGTTTAGAGGCAATCTTAATGTGGATTATGCTTTTCATATTCTTCTCTCAAAAGTATGGTCTTAAATTATTCAAAAGTTTCATATTTTTCATTTTGTTTTGCTTTCATAGCAACTTTATGAGATCATTTTATAAATGAAGAAACATTAAATGATTGATTCTAAGATTACTGTCAGTTAACTGTGGCATTCAATTTAGATGTGAAGTCTTTAAAGTCTTGCCTAGTACTCTACTAAGCAATTCTTCAAGTCAAGAATTAGTGCCCCAGCTTGGGCAGTACTGTCTATCAGGATTTCCAGTGTGTGATCACGGATGAGGGGAACATTTGGAGGGCGTGAGGCACACCCTTGAGGATCACTGAGGTCAACTAGCTTGGGGCATCATGCCTGGCATGTTGTTCTTTTTTCTTTTTTTGGGACAGTCTCACTCTGTTGCCCAAGGGGGAGCGTAGTGGTGTGATCTCGGCTCACCTCCGCATGCCAGATTTAAGGGATTCTCGTACCTCAGCCTCCCAGGTAGCTGAGATTACAGGCCCACGCCACCATGCCCGACTAATTTTTGTATTTTAGTAGAGACGGGGTTTCACCATGTTGCCCAGGCTGGTCTCAACTCCTGGCCTCAAGTGATATGTCCGCCTCAGCCTCCCAAAGTGCTGGGATTACAGGCATGAGCCATGCACGCCCCGTGGCATGTCCTTGGCTGATTTTCATGTCAGGTATATAAAAGGTTAACAGCTGTCATTTCACTTGTCCAAAATTAGAGGGCATCTTACAGTTCTGGAGGTAAGAAAAACAAAAAAATTAGAGGGCAAAAGAGTCTATATCCTCCAAAAACACATCCGTGACCTACTAATGGTTGAGATTAGCTGGGTTAGTTCAGTTTTCTTTAATTTAGTTCTCAGTATAGAATGACAGCAAGAGATTAATGAACAGAAGAGGGAGAACTTGCTATGCTTCTACCTCATTATAAATACTGTAATCTTTTAGAGTAGCTTAAAGGCCAAGAAAAGAAAACACTGACACACACACACACACACACACACACACACACACACACACACACACACACAAAGTAAGGTTAAGGGCAAAAAGGCAAGCAAGCTTCCTAGAACTTCCCAAACAGCTGGATCTAGCCATCAGATTATTCTATCTAGCATAGTATTAGTTAAAGCCATCAAGTTTTTTTAATTGCTTCCTGCAAAATTAGGCCTAAAATAACTTGGATGCAGGGAATGTTACATCAAATGTTCTCATTTTGCCTATTGGGCTTGCTGGGCGCCATCTGCTGGCCTTTTGGACACAGTGTAAAACGGATTCTTTTTGGTCTTAATTGCTGTTGTGATTTGAAAAAATTGTAATTTTTAAAAACTTCCACTGAATGTAATTTAATCATGAGAAGAACATTAGATAGAATATTAAAAACCAATTAACCCAGCTCTTGTGATAATGAAACTTTATGAAGTTTACTGGAATTGTACTATGCCTTTTCTTTTACAATGACAATGTTGGCTTTAGGTATTTGTGAATTCTTCATTTCTGAATTCTCATCATCAACATTCAAAAGTTATTTTTTATCCTCAATTTTTAATACAGCAGTTTGAATTGTGGCATTTTTTCTGTGTACACAATAGAAAAGACTGCACGTGGTCTTCAACTGTGCTATGAAATGAACTGACATGGTAAACAGAACAATCGTTTTCCTTTTTCTTTTCCAACTATATCACCTAAAATAACACTCATTTTGCTGGACTTCTCCAGTCTTGTAAAAACACACACCCCAAAAACAATACTGTAATTCTTAATGAACCCATGGATCATAATTGAGTTCTAAAGTTTCCATTCTGCAAATCCTACCACCTTCCCCACCAAACCATTCAAGGTCAGCTTGACCTATATCCAAGAGCTGGGCTGCTAACAGCGTAACTGAGTCAGGAGTGGATCTGCAGTCAGAAGGCCGAAACAGGTATGCGTAAGTATCTTATGTCTTTTGCTATTCCTCCCTGCTCATTGCTGTGAATTTAATGTATTTGTAAATAAAAAATATACTGAAAGCATCATAAGTCTTATATGGGGGTTTCACTAATTGTAGGCAGTCTCAAATATTAAGCAAGTGATTAACAACTAATGAGAAGTGAAAACTAGCTTACCAGCAAGCTGTGGTTTATCACAATGGTTGTAGTGGTTTATAGAGTTGTCTGAGAATCCTGTCCCCTTTCACTGTTTTTACACCCTGGCTGCCATTTGATGCTGGTGATTGGTGGAGGAGAGGGGAGTAGGTATCATGCAGATAGCCAGATTGTTCCAGATCAGATACCTAGATGAATGGGCCTTTAGTGCTACAGCAAACACTTTATGTTCCTGGTATGTTCTGAATCCCTAAAGAGCCCATTTCTACCCTTCATCATTTTCAAGATTTTAATTGTATGCTCCACCTTCATTTCTGCAGATAACCTATTGGCCAGAGGACATTATAGCTCTTTAGGTATGAACACCTCTAACTTGTTGTCCCCTTATGTGCACCTTAGCTCTCAACTAAATCTTCTTTCAGCTGGGCGCGGTGGCTCACGCCTCTAATTCCAGCACTCGGGGAGGCTGAGGAAGGTGGATCACTTGAGGTCAGGATTTTGAGACCAGTTTGGCCAAGATGGTGAAACCCCATTTCTACCAAAAATATGAAAAATTAGCTGGATGTGGTGGGTGCACCTGTAATCCCAGTTACCTGGGAGGCTGAAACAGGAGAATCGCTTGAATCCAGGAGGCAGAGGTTACATTACAGTGAGTCGAGATCGCGCCATTGCACTCCAGCCTAGGTGACAGAGCAAGACTCCGTCTCAATAAATAAATAAATAAATAAAACTCCTTGCCTGCTGTCAGAAGAACTGGTATTCCTATTACCTGTGTTCCAGTCCCACTTTCTACTGTGTCTTTGGGGTTCTAACTTCATTATCCCCTCTCATCTACCTCCAACCTTCCACTCTTAAGGGCCTTTCTCTTTTGCATAACTATGACTATTTTTCTCCACTGAAAAGAGTCAAAAACAAATTCCCTAAGGCAACTGCCCTTTACCATCTTCCTTCCCAGTACTACACAATCTCTTTCCTTTCAAATAATGCATCTTTTCCTAGTCACTTCCCATTCCATCTTCAAACCCAAGCAATCTGCTTTTGTTTCATTCTCCATGGAAAGTGTTCTGACCATAAAGATCACCAATCCTTCCCCTTACATAATCTCCCTGTAGCCTTTTGATGTGTTCTTGAGACTCCTAAGTACTCAGGACTCTATACTGTTCCTTCTTAGTCTCCTTTAATAGCCTGCTGGTTTCCATCCACCTATTCATCCTTATCAAAGATCTGTCTTTGGTAGTGTTTGTTTCCTGGGCGGTCTCATTCAATCCCCAAACTTCTATGATCATGCATCCACTCTGGCTCTCACACGTTCATCTCCAGCTTAGACCCACATAATAAACTGCTACTGTACACCTTTGAACTAACCGTCCCCACAAATAGTCTCAATTCATCTCATATAAAAATAAGTCCTCTTTCCCTCCCAAACTGCTGTTCCACCTGGATTTCCTGTTTCGTTAACAAAAAGCATCATCTACTAAGCCATTCAATTCAGAAATCTGGATATACTGGACTCTGCCCTTTTCCTCATGCTCCTCATCAACTCACTCAGCACATCCTGCCATTTGACATAAGTGTTTCTTTACATAATCCCTCCTCCCTAGGGTCACAGTCCAGACCCTCGCGCCCTCACATGACCTCCTTGCTTCAATTCCAGTAGTTCTCAAACTGTGGTCCTCTCAACAGTGCCATTAGCAACACTTGGGAATTTACTAGAAATGCAAATTATCAAGCTGCCCCTCCTGACCTACTGAGTCAGAAACTCTAGGGTGGGGTCCAGTAATCTGTGTTTTAATTAATTCTTTAGGTAATTCTGAAGCTAAAGTTTGAGACCCACTGTTCTAGTCTACATCCACTAATCCATTCTCTACACTTTTAATATAGCCATCTTGCAAAACAAAAAACAAAAAAACAAAAACAAAAACAAATCTGGTTGTATTCCTGCTTTGCTTAAAAGCCTTTAGTGACATTTTTGACTAGAGTGAAATCTAAATTTCTTAGTACAGCAGAAAGAAAAATCCACTAGGATCTAGATCCTGCCTACCAGTTTTCAGAAAGTCAAGCACTTTAAATCATTTTTGTAAGAATGCATTGTCATGTAGTGATTAAGGGATGAGCTGTGGACTCATACCACCTGGCTTTGAATCTTCACTTACCACTTTACAACTGGCTGTGTGGCCTTGGATTAGTCACTTAATCTCATTGTGCTTCAGTTCCATTGTGTGTACAATGTGAATAATAACATCCATATCATAAGCTTGCTGTGCAGTTATCACAATACTTGGCACTTTGTCTGGGCTCAGTAATTGTTAGCTATTATTATTTTGATTATGTCAAAAAGAAAAAAAACATTACTGGAATTAACCTGTAGTATAGCAAGAACTGGAGAGGATTAGAATTAATGCCCAAACTAAGGGAAGTGGTCCCCATAAAGGAAGGCCCACTTCTCTGGGCAGTTTCAGTTAGTTAGCTAAGAATAAAAATACCCAGTCTCAACAGAGAGGTTCAGAGGTCTTTGGGGTTTGACTAGGGTAGTGAATCTGGTAATTAGATTCTAGGATATTATAGGACAGATAACTGTCAAGCTTCTAAAGTGAGAGCCAGGAAAGCTGTGAAGGAAGTCAGAAAACTGATACAGAGCAAAGAAGCAAAGACGGTGAAAAATTTCATGTATGTTTCTCTAATAACAGTTAATAGAGCAGCCAAGTGATCAAATGTGAGAATCCTACAATGACTGAAACTTGGTCGACATTTTCAGACACGCTGTTGGTCTGAAACAACGTTTTACATAAGAGCAAAAGCATTGAGTAATGGCGAGAATCAAAGTCTAACCTCCACCACAAATTAGTTATGGTCTTGGACAAATTACTTCTCTCCTGCCTCAATGTCATGATCTGAAATAGGGGGCCACATTATGAAGAGAACTATATACATTCATAGCTTAGTACAGTGCCTAGCATGTGGGAAGTGCTCAATACACGGCAGCCATTACTTTTATTGGGAGTATATTATCTTATACGAATCATATATAAAAATAGGCACCCCTGGAGGTTCCTGCTTGATCAAAGCAATTATATATTATCATCGAATATTTTGACTAAAATTGGGTTCCAACTTATAAGGTGAGGAAATACTGTAAAGACAAATCCAAACACAGTCATGTATCCCACATTCACAATATTTAGGGATTAGCAATTTTCACTTCAAATATGTACAAGATTAATTCTATCCAAATGCTCACTTAGTGTCTATTAGGTGCTAGCAAGACTACTAGCCTCAGGGGGGAACTACCAAGAAGAGTAAGGCATGATTCTTGTCCTCAAGGAGAATACAGGTTTGAGAAGATAATGGGACAATCTTAATAAAACATAACTCAATGCTGTATAGGGTCAAAAAACCAAACCAAACCAAACCAAACCAAACCAAACCAAACCAAACCCGCACAAAAAACTGCATAAAGTCTTTACCAAGTTGACTCATTTTTCAAAATCATAGTTCTCATTTTTTCCTCTATCCTCCTCTGAATTAGTCTCAATCCATTTTTACTTACTCCATCTTTAGTTACGGCAGGGAGTCAAGATCTAGAAAAACTAGTCACTGCCACCCACGATAACAGAAGGTAGCAGCCACTTGTCTTCTCTGCTATATTCCTAGTGCGTAGCAGAAAAGTAGAGAATCTTGTCCCCTTTGGTCCACAGAGGATGGCTTATTCTTCTGCTTCAGCTCTTAGTTCAGATGTCACCTACTCAGAGAGCCTTTCTCTCAGCACTCAACCTAAAGTGTTTTCCCTCTCCCTCCCCATTATTCTCTAGCACGTGATTCCTTCAAAGCCCTACCTTTGTGATGAATGCTGTGATGTGCCACCCTGACCCCCCTAAGGAATGAAAGGCTTATTTCCCCAGCTCCTGGAAGAGCTGAGACAGACCTCGGCTGCCAGCCTCCGTCCATGATTGACTTGGCTGAAGAGAGTTGAAGTTAGGCCCTTTCCAGGGAAACAGACATCTAACGACAGATCAATCAAGGGGTATAAAAGCCTGGCCCTTCTCTTCAACTTTGAAGGGCCAACCCAGCACTAGAGTTCCTGTGGGACTGGTGGAGAACATCCTTGAGACTTCACTGCAGCTTAACTTTTTCTATTGCCCAATCCTGCTTCCTTTCTTCCTTGGTAATCATCCAAAAAGTCTTCTCTAGTAAATGTCCTGCCTCTAAATCTCCTCAGAGTCTGATTCTCAGGAAACCCAACCTAGGACAATCTAGAAACATCTTGCTCAATATCAATGTGCAATCACCCCTCAGTATTTGGGGGATTGCATCCAGGACCCATGATGGATACCCAAATCCAGATGCTCAGGTCCCTGATTTAAAAATTGTGTAGTAGGCCAGACGCCGTGGGTCATGCCTGTAATCCCAGCACTTTGGGATGCCGAGGCGGGTGGATCACCTGAGGTCAGGAGTTCAAGACCAGCCTGGCCAACATGGCGAAACACCATCTCTACTAAAAAATACAAAAATTAGCCAGGTGCAGTGGCGGGTGCCTGTAATCCCAAACTTCTCCGGAGGCTAAGGCAGGGAGAATTGCTTGAACCCGGGAGGCGGAGGTTGCACAGTGAGCAGAGATCCAGCTTCAGCCTGCGCGACAGAGCGAGACTCTTTGTCAAAAAAAAAAAAAAAAAAAAAAAAAATCGTGTAGTTTTGTACACAACTTGCCACCTCCTTCCATGTACCTTAAATAATCTCTAGGCTACTTATAATACCTAATACAACGTTAAATGCTATGTAAGTAGTTGTTACACTGCAGTGTTTAGGGAATGACAAGAAAAAAGGTCTGCACGTGTTCAGTACAGATGTAACCATCTTTTTTCCCCCAGAATGTTTTTATTTATTTATTTTCTTAAATAGAGTCTCTGTCGCCCAACCTGGAGTGCAGTGGCGTGATCTCCGCTCACCGCAACCTCCGCCTCCAGGGCTCAAGCGATTCTCCTGCCTCAACCTCCCAAGTAGCTGGGATTACAGGCGTGCGCCACTGCGCCCGGCTCATTTTTTTGTACTTTTAGCAGAGACCGGGTTTCGCCACGTTGGCCTGGCTGGCCCCAAACTCCTGACTCAAGTGATCCGCCCGCCTCGGGCTCCTAAAGTGCGGGGTTACAGGGGTGAGCCACCAAACCCCGCCGCCCCAAAATATTTTCTATCCGCAGTTGGTTGAATTCACACATGCGGAACTCATGGATAGGGAGCGTATTGTTTCTCCCCCATCACTAGAACATGGAGTCAGGACCGTGCAAGTCCCTCTTGGTCACTGCCGTATCTACTAACTCGGCAGTGCTGTAGACACGTGTATATCTGTTTATGGATAAACTGAAGATGTTAATGAATGAATGAAACCGTCATATTGAGTCTCTGAAACGGCAACAGGATTTGGGTATGGTCTTATCGGGGAGGAAGACGAGCATGACCTTAGAGGGTCATCCCTACAAGGTCCACAGCCCTGCAAGCCCCGCGGCTGCTTTCACGTAGCTGGCAGGGCCACGCTGCACAACGTCTCTAACGCCGTCGGAGGGCGGCCCCCACCTCCCGACAGCCTGGGGTACACCGTGCACCCTCCAGACAGTCAGGGGCACACGGGGCCCCTCCCAGCGAGGGAGGGGACGGGGAGTCACAGGTTCGGCGTAGAAGGCGGCAGCGCAGGTGGGAGCGTGGTGAGGCGCCACTCCTCCAGCTCTCCCCACCGGCGGGAAGACCTCCTCGCCGCCCGCATCCGTGCCGACCGCAACATTTACCATCGGCAGCTATTTCAGAGGTCGGTCTTTCGCCTCCTACAGAGAGCCAGCCTCCTCCTTGTCCCCGCCCTCAAATATCCTTCAGTGAGGACACCGGTGACCTTTGGGGGTGGAGAGGGAGGCGCCTACAAGCCCCTTCCCCTCTCTTCGGCCGGACACAAAGCGGGCTTTTCCACCTAGAGTCCCAGCGCTCTCACCTGCGCACCAGCCGTCGCGCCGCCCCAGGCCGCCACCGCCAGAGGCCCCAGAAACAGATCTCAAGCAGCCGCTGCTGCCGCGGATCCCGACAACCTTCGCGTCGCGCGAGGGCACGGAGCACGCGCAGCTCTGCGGTCGACGCCGGGCCGCCCCCACTCCGCTTCTCCGGGTTTTCCGTGAAGCTCCAGCCAACAGCGGCCGTCACCGGAAAAAACGGGGAGCGAAGTTTATTCAGCGTATATTCCAGCAAATTGTTGAAACTGAAATTTTAAAAGAACGCATAAAATTTAAATAACATATCAAAATGGCACAGCTTCTGCCTTTTGGTGAGCGCTTGACAATGATTTATTGAATGAAAGAAAGAAATAGTCCACTGCGCTCTGCTCTCTGTCCTGACATGACCAATTACAAAGCGCTTGGATTTGTCGCTCAGCGCCAGTATCCCGCCTCTCTGTGCGGTTGTCTGGAAAATCAGGATTTTTACTCTCCCGTAACTCCCGGGATCGGGTTTGGAAAACGGACATGCGCCGTGAGAGCTAGTTGCCTTCTACTAAAGCATCCGCCCTCAGTCCTTCCTGAGGGCTTACAGGGAAGTGCGGAGTTTCGCAGCTCGTACTCTTCACAGATTAGATAATTCACCCGGCATTTCCCCATCCTGCTTCTGGGTTCCAGGACAAAACTTTTATTCTCTTTTAACATTAAAAAACATATAGGAAGTTATGTTCAAACATGGCTATTTTTATTAAAATTTATCCGGCACTGTGAAAGCTACCTTTCCTTTCTCACAATCTTTCGCACCGAATATATGTTCCATTCTTGAGCTAGTCATTTTCCAATGTTAAGAAAACACACCACAGAAAAGCGTTTTTTTTTCTCTCGGTCAGTTCAACTGCCTAGCACCGTGAGTTACCATGATACGTTATTTGCTAATGAGAGTCATTGGGGTCCCAGCCTTTAAAAATAGCCTGCGTCCGGCGCCATTTTTGTTTTGGGCCCACTTTGAAAGCCGCGATATTCTGAACAGAGGCCATTTTTCTTTTGGGCAGATTCCACGGGCCATCGAAGTGTTTCGCTGCCATCTTAAATCCTGGCTGTGGCCTCAATCCTGCAGCGAAGCTGCCCAGATCATTTTGTGTTTGGGCGGCGGCTGAGTTCCCAAACGCGCGCGGAGACCCTGGGAAGGAGGAAGTAAGCGCGAAAGTGCTTCCCTTAAGCTTCTGAAGGTTGGCTGCAGTTCCGGCTACCTGTGTAGTCCGAGTTTCCACAGCCAGGTACTACTCCGCCAGTGACCCTGGACAGTAACAAAACATATAAAGCCCGAGCCCAAACCCCGCCACCATCATAGGTAAGCACATGGACCTCTGACAACCTCAGATGTTCCTTCAAGTGAACTGAACTGTTTGCCCATCTCCTCCCTCCTGGTTTTTGGCTTTGATTTTTTGAGACTTTTCCGAATCCTTCTCCCTGTACTTCCACCTTTCTTCATTGTTTTCAAAAAGCCAAAAAGTTGCTAAACATCAGGATGCCATGAGCATGGGCATTACGGTGGAGATATTATTCAGGAAAGTTAACTGTCTTTGCACAAAGGGAATGCAGTAGATGGGCCAGGTATTTGTATCAAATCATGGCTACCTGCATCCAGCAGTACAAATACCTCCCCCTTCCCAGACATTTTTGGAGATGTGAGGTAAATACAGATTGCGTTTGTATATACTTCCCATTCATTCATTTATTCATTGCATTTCTTGAGTACCTAATTTGTGCTAGGCCATAAGGATTCAGGAGTTAGCTAAAAAAAATCCATTAACTCATGGAGCCTACATTTTATCACCTTGACATCTACTAGGTTGAGACAAATAACAGTATTTTATGGTTCTTAGCACTGCTAGACTGTATAAACAAGTATTTGCTTTCTCCTTCCCCTGAACTATTTTTTTTTATTTTTAGTTTTTAATTTTTTTGGCCGGGTGTAGGAATTAATGGTATTGACACTTACTTCTTGGATCCTAGACATAACGATATTTGTAAGCCAGTTGGCTAGCGTTAAAACTAATATTCCAGTTACTTAGGGCCTTGTTGCTCCAAGTTCATTTCACCTACCACCAGCATCAGCATCCCTGGGAGCTTGTTAGAATTACACTTCATGACTCTCACCCCAGAGCTGCTGAATCAGAATCTTCCTCAAGAAGTGTACCTTAAAGTTCAAGGAACATTGATTCAGGGCATGGGCTAAAGATACAGCCCTTTCTTTCTTTCTTTTTTTTTTTAGATGGAGTCTCGCTCTGTTGCCCAGGTTGGAGTGCAGTGGCGCGATCTTGGCTCACTGCCATCTCCGCCCCCCGGGTTCAAGCAATTCTCCTGCCTCAGCGTTCCCAGTAGCTGGGATTACAGGCGCGCGCCACCACCCCCGGCTAATTTTTGTATTTTTAGTAGAGACAGGGTTCGCCATGTTGGCCGGGTTGTTCTCGAACTCCTGACCTCAGGTGATCCACCCGCCTTGGCCTCCAAAGTCCTGGGATCACAGGCCTGAGACATCACGCCCGGCCTGGCCCATTCTTTGTTCAACCCGTGCTTCTTAACTAGATTCACAGTGTATTATCAATTTATTGCATGTTCTAAATGCAATGGATATTTGACAGGTTTTTTTCTGTGCTTTTAGTTCATTGACTTGATGTTAGGGCGTCAATTTAGCTTTCCAAAAAGTTGAAAAGAGATTTTGTCATCCCAATATACTTATATGTAATTTCTGTTATAACATCTGAAATGTAGGGTTTTCTCTGTAAGTCTTAGCATCCAATTTACCACTGGTTTGCGTTTTTTTTTTAAAAGTTGTTTACTGTGCTTCTTGCTTTCTCATATCTTGTATGCATATTTGTACTTTTAATTTGTTAAAAGTTGAACTCAAAAGTTTGCATGTGGACAGCAGTTCAATACTGACTTGGAAAACCTTGGGCCTTGGTTTACCAAAGCTTTTTGTGGCACCTTGCTTTCTTCTGTCTTCCCATTTTATTTTACTTCTTTTATTTTTATTTTTTGAGACAGGGTATAACCCTGTTGCCCAGGCTGAAGTGCAGTGGTGGGATCATAGCTCACTGTAACCTCCAACTCTTGGGCTCAAGCGATCCTTCTGCCTTGGTCTGTCAAAGTGCAGGAAAGCAGGCATGAGCGACTGCACCCAGCTGCCTTCTGTCTTTCTTTAATGAGAAGACTAAATCAAGAGTTCTCAGCCTTGGCTGCACGTAACAATCACCTGGGAGCTTTAAAAACAGACTCCAGCCCTGTATCTGCAGAGATTGAGACCCTCTGGATGAAATTAAAGAGCCAGTAAGGAGTATGAGAAAACAGAAACAACTTTTACGTTTTATGTTGCTATGTTAGATTTTCTCTCCCTTATGGTGTTACTTAAAATAATCGGGATTTTGAAAACCATGAAAAGATCTGGATTAAGAATGTAAGGAACCAGCTTCCCAGTAACTGGTCAACTTGCCAATTATTTGCTCTGTGTCCTAAGAAAGTTGTCCAGCCTTTCTGCTTCTCCTCCCTCCATCTATTAATTGGGAAAAGAAAATAAAGCCACTGTTGTTTTTTATTTAGTTTCATGTGGTGTTGCCAATTGTAGTGAATGTTTATATTCTGTGAGTGTGAGAAAGAAAAGTATTTTACAAGTACAATATTCATTGCTTCTAGTATTAACATACCTCATATTGTGTGTGGCAGTAGAACATGATGGGTTAGGAAATTAACTCTAGAGCTAGACTCCCTGGGTTCAAATTCTAGCTCCTCTACTAATCAGCTTTGTGACCTTGATCAGATAACTTATCCCTTCACTACCTCAGTTTCCTCATCTGTAAGATAGGGTTGATGTGAACGTTAGATAAATTCATACAAGAAAAATGCTTGTCATAGTGCCCGGCACATAGTCACAGCCATGTAAATATTAATTAACTATTGTTAAATTTTATGATAATTAAATTTCTGGGCTTTAAGGTTTTGTTTATGCATGCAAATCACCAGGGGAAAGGTATTACAGTTCTGTGACTTTTCGGGATATGAACTTGTTTAGAAAAGAGGGTGATATAAACACAATATACCAGGCCTGGAAGAGGCCTTTTTTTTTTTTTCTGTAAGTACTTTTAAACAGCTTTATTGAGGTATAACTGTTATACAGTTAATGCACATATTAAAGTGTACAATTTGGTATGTTTATGCCAGTGAAACCATCACCTCATCAAGATAATGAAGGTATCCATCACCCCTAAAAGTTTCCTCTTGCCGCATTGTCATCCCTCCAGCCACTCCTCTTCCAGGAAACCTCTGATCTATCGCTGTAGATAAGTTTGCATTGCATTTCCTAGGTGTGTGTGTTTTTTTTTTTTTTTTTTTTTTTGAGATGAAGTCTCCCTCTGTCACCTGGACTAGAGAGCAATGGTGCGATCTTGGCTCACTGCAACCTCCGCCTCCTGAGTTCAAGCAATTCTCCTGCCTCAGCCTTCCAAGTAGCTGGGATTACAGGCTTCCTTCACCATGCCCAGCTAATTTTTCTTTGTATTTTTAGTAGAGATGGAGTTTCACCATGTTGATCAGGCTACCTGATCAAATGATCTGCCTACCTTGGCATCCCAAAGTGCTGGGATTACAGGAGTGAGCCACCATGCCCGGCCACATTTCCTAGGTTTTTATCTAACTGCAGTCTTGGAGTATGTGCTTTTTGGGGGGTACGGGTTAGTCTGGCTTCTTTCATCATCATCATAATCATTTTTTTTTTTTAATTTTTATTTTGTTTTAGAGAGGATCTTGCTGTGTTATACAGGCTGCTCTTGAATTCCTGGTCTCAAGCAATCCTGCCTCAGCCTCCCAAAGCACTGGTATTATAGGCATGAGCCACACACGCCTGGCCATCATAATTATTTTGAGAACCGTCTTTGTTGTTGGGAGTTTTGATAGTTTATTCCTTTTTAATTACTCAGCGGTATTCCATTGTGTAGATATATAATAATTTGTTTACATATTCACCAATTGATGGACATTTGGTTTGTTCTTATTTTTACAATCTCATTCTCACATTGCTTTGTTCTTCTCTAGCTTATTTTAATTAAAAACGTTTTTTTCTTTTTTCATTTTTTTGAGACTGGGTCCCACTCTCAGGCTGGAGTGCAGTGGTATGATCTCAGCTCGCTGCAGCCTCCACCTCCTGGGTTCAGGTGATTCTCGTGCCTCAGCCTCCCGAGTAGCTGGGACTACAGGTGCGCACCACTGTGCCTGGCTAATTTTTTGTATCTTTAGTAGAGTTGGGTTTTTACCATGTTACCCAGACCTGTCTCAAACTCCTGGACTCAGGCAGTCCTCCCACCTTGGCCTCTCAAAGTGCTGGGATTACAAGTGTGAGCCACGGGGGCTGGCCTAACAATTTTTTTAGAAGTTTAATTATTTGGTAATGAAGCCTTCTGTATACAGTGAAACCAAGAGGTGATAGTCATAAAGCATGTTTGTATTAAAACTTCACCTTTGCTGTTATGTAGTTTATGAATTAATGTTTTGTGAATGAAACATGGCTTTTTAAAAATGCAAAATGTGTGCATTGACTTTTAAGTGGATTGTTAGTTCTTGACATGTACATGTCTAATCACTTTAAGCTGTATTAAACCTCAAGTCTACTTTTTAGAGATTGAGGACAATAATTCATGCACATGAAGAAACCTATTTATTAGGTAGCAAAGTAGAGATCTATAAAGCCAACCCTATAATTTCATAAAACTCCCCTTTGTCAGGGAGATGGGGAGTACCACTTATATTTTGAGTTGATGTAAGTATATTTCTAAAGTCTTTTTGCTTCTATTATGTAAAAGCGGTTACTTGTGTTTATTTTAGTATTGACGTTTTGTGCTTGAATAAATCAGAGGTGGTTTAAAATTGGATTTGACTCATATTAATTATGGGATAATATATAGAATATGGCTATTACAATATCGTGGACATAGAAATTCATTTGTGTCACTTTTGATTTATCTTCTAGTTAGAAAAGATTGCATTTTTTTTTTATTTTTTGCATTTAAAAATTATTCCAGACCCAGTACGGTGGCTCACGCCTGTTATTCCAACACTTTGGGAGGCCGAGGCTGGCGGATCACTTGAGATCAGGAGTTTGAGACCAGCCTTGCCAACATGGTGAAACCCTGTCTCTACTAAAAATACAAAAATTAGCTGGGCATGGTGGTGCACACCTGTAATCCTAGCTACTTGGGAGGCTGAGGTGGGAGAGTTGCTTGAACCCACGAGGCAGAGGTTGCAGTGAGCCAAGATAGTGCAACTGCGCTTTAGCCTGGGTGACACAGTGAGACTCTGTCTCAAAAAAAACCTAGAAACTAAAAAATAAATAAATAAATATTATTTTTAATTTATGTAAAATAAAATTATTCTTGGGTATGTAGTTTTCAGAGTTTTAATCAGTGCATTGAGTGTTTTGTAACCACTATCGAAATCAGCACATGGAACAGTTCCATCAGCTCCTTCCTCCCCAACTTCCCTTCTGCCACCCCTTTGTAGTACTCCTTACCCCTTCACCTTTGGCAACCAGTGATCTGTTCTCCATCATAACAGTTTTTGCTTTGAAATGATTAGATTTTAAAACTATTTTATTAATGATTATCAGAACTTTTTTTTTCTATGTAAAGGTGACTGGAAAACATTAGTTATCAGAGTTCTTGGGTTACAAAGTGGATTGATCATGTGCTGTTTGCTTGTGCTCTTGTTGTTGGAATGATTCCGTTTAAGACACTGAGCATCCACTGTGTATCAGGCACTAGGCCCCATAATTACATATCTGATCTCATGTAATCCTTACAGGAGCCATGAAATAGAAACTGTTGTTATTATCCCATTTCAGAGGTAAGAAAACCAGAGACTTAAAGGAGTTGAATAGCCTGTCTCAGGTCATACGAAGAGTCAGAATTTGAAGGGATGTGTTTTACAAGAACCTAAGGACATGCATCAGGTGTGGGTGCCTATGTCTGTTTCTGACTAGGTATTAAATAAAAACTAGATTCAGGCCGGACATGGTGGGGTCACACCTGTAATCCCAGCACTTTGAGAGTCTGAGGCGAGTGGAGTGCTTGAGCTCAGGACTTAGAAAACAGCCTGGGCAATATGGCGAAACCTCATCTCTACAAAAAATACAAAAATTAGCTGGGCATGGTGGCTTACACCTGTAGTCCCAGCTACTCGGAAGGCTGAGGCAGGAGGATCACTTGAACCTGGGGAGGTTGAGGTTTCAGTGAGCCGTGATCACGCCACTGCACTGCAGCCCGGGCAACAGACCGAGACCCTGTCTCTAAACAACAACAACAACGAAAACCTACTAAATTTTGCCTATTAGTAAAGCATCCCATGCAGTGGCTGGTGGGGATTTTCTGTGGGCACAGCAGGAAGGGGAGGCTCAGATCATGGGTCAACTGACTAGGTTGAGAGTATAGAGTAACTAAAAGGTAGCACTGTTCCATGGAATTATTCTTGGTAGAGTATCAATGTTTGACTTACATTTAGTGACAAAGGATTTTTAAAAGTTCTAATTTTTTTGTTACTTGCATTATCCTCTTTCCAGTGTTGAATCTGACGTGTTTGTTTTTGTTTTTTTTTTTATAAGTAAACTTTGGCATTCAGAATTACCATCTGAATAATAGCAAAAACTAATTCTTTTTTACACTGAAGTTGCCTTTCAGCCTTTATCTGAGTGGTCACCAGTGAGGCCTTTGCTCATTTGTCATTTTTCCTTGGTCTTTTGTTAAGTTTGTGATTCATTCCTTGATATTGGTTGTTTTGGTGGTAAGATTGGTGCATGTGTTGGGAGAGGACAACAGTGAAATGATTTCTCATTCTTGAATTATAGCTGTAACTTCAGAAGTTCTAGGGCTTTGCCTTTGCTGTTTTCTGTTTCTGTTCCCATAACTAATGAAAGTTTTTTAAGATGATAGAAAGAAGCATAATAATTTCCTAGATAAAATTTGAAATCTGGAGATTAGAAACCTAAAGTTAATTTCTGGTCTATTTAATGAGAGCATTTGCTTGTGACACAGGCCAGCAACACTAGAAAGAAGACAAATGTGAATTTCAGAGTGCCTTAGATTTTCCCACAGAATAATCTAGAGGGTCATTGACTTTCTTTATTAGAGTTTATCTCTGCTTTGTATTTAAATGACAGGACAACCATGTGATATTGTTTAATCTACTTCCATTCCCTTCCCAAATTAATTTTTTAAAGCTCTTAGGATCTTTCTCACTCCACTAAAAACACACATGTAATCATATTTTTGGTAGGTCATACCCTATCAAAGTCTCCTCTTTGTTAAAGAATGCTTGTTTTCAGGCCTGAGAGAGTGGACTCAAGAATGCACAATAGAAGATGAGGCATCATTTGTAAGTTATAATATACTCTAACTTAGCATACTTATGTAAATTATATACTTTCAGATATTTGGAAAATTGATCTTTTTGGGTTGTCCTACACTTCTTAAAAACAGGCAACAAAATAAAAATGCCACTGAATTTAGACTTGAATTGCCAGCTCTGGTAGCAAAGGCTTTTTAACATTTATTCTGTAAACCTGGTCACTGAGCTTGTTGCATCCTGCTGAAAGCAACTTTGAGGGCCTAGGAAAATAATCATTGAAGATGCATTGTTGCTTTTTGTGTGCGTGTGTGCACACTTGCTTTTTAATGATCAGTAAAAAAAATTTAGAAAAGCCTCAGGATGTTCCTTGATTTAAAACTTAATTAAGATAGAAGCTAATAATATCTTTTCCATTTAAATGAATGTTAAAATGCCAGTATTTTAAAGACAAAGAAATTTATGCACCAAAAACATCATCTTTGTGGTATAAACTTCAACCACACCTCTAATCTGTTGCCCATTATTTTCAATATGAAACACTAGGATCTTCTGGGTATGTGTTTATATGAATTACAACTCTCAGCTTTGGCTGTATGATTATATATAACTGAAGTATTATTTATTTGGTGAAATAGGTCCAGAGTGCTTGACCTCTTTTTTGGAAGGCTTACTGTGGAATTTGGAATTTAGGGACAGTAAAGATACGTTGGATAAATAGGTATAAATCTAAAAAAAAACAAAAACAAAAACAAAAAACCACATTCTGATTTAGTAACATCAATGGACCCAAGTCAGCAAACTTTTAATGCATAACAGTGCCACACCCCAAATATTAAAGAGGAGATGAATGGACCCTGTCCCTGGGAATCTTATAGTCAGGGAGAGGACCAGAGTTAGTTATAATTCAGTGGGCTAAGCGTGAGAGTAGAGGTGGTTCAGGTGTGTCCCAGAGAAGGAGCAATTCACTTGGTTCATAGAAGGCTCCAAGAAACAGGTGGCATCTGAGTTGGGTCTCAGAGGATAACTCAACTCGCTTTAGGAGAGGACATTCCACAGTGCGGCATGCATGGGTGAAGGCAGGGAGAGCTGGAGCTGCATGTTCAAGGACATGTGCCAGGAGTTGGTTATGTGGTGGCATTACAGGTGTGAAGTTGCCTGTGCCATAAGATGGAGGTTTGGGCAGGGGCACTGATATTGTTCGGATTTGTGTTCCTGAGCAAATCTCATGTTGAATTGTAACCCCCAGTGTTGGAGGAGGGGCCTGGTTGAAGGTGATTGTTCATGGGGGCAGATTTCCCACTTGCTGTTCTCAGGATAGTGAGTTCTCTCAAGCTCTGGTTGTTTAAAAGTGTATAGTACCTCTCTCTTCTCTCTCTTCCTCCTGCTCCAGTCATGTAGGATGTGCCTGCCTCCTTTTGCCTTCCACCATGATTGTAAGTCTCCTGAGGCCTCCCCAGCCATGCTTCCTGTAGAGCCTGGAGAACTGCGAGCCAGTTAAACCACTTTTCTTTATAAATTACCCAGTCTCAGGTAGTTCTTTATAGCATTGCAAGAACAGACTAATACAAGCATTGACAAAAGGGCTTCTGATGCTGTGGGAAATCCCAGTGAAGAGTTTTGAATAGGGGACTTATGCTCAGATACCTCTAATGTTGGGTTTGGGGATGGGGAAGTACAAGGATAGAGATTAGAGGTACTTTAAGAGGCTGTAGTTGTAGGGGTCTGGAGCTGCTGGCATCACCATGTGTTTTAGTCTGCCTGTGCTGCCATAACAAAATACCTTAGACTGAGTAATTTATAAACAATAGGAATTTATTGCTCACAGTTCTGGAGAATGGGACGTTTAAGATCAAGGCACCAGCAGATTCACTGTCTGGTGAGGGGTTTCTTTCTTTCTTTTTTTTTGAGCTGGAGTCTCGCTCTGTCACCCAGGCTGGATTGCAGTGGCAC
This sequence comes from Homo sapiens, assembly GCF_000001405.40. Classification (NCBI taxonomy): domain Eukaryota; kingdom Metazoa; phylum Chordata; class Mammalia; order Primates; family Hominidae; genus Homo; species Homo sapiens. The sequence goes on from NC_000020.11 coordinate 10,444,441, forward strand.
AATCTCAGCTCACTGCAACCTCTGCCTCCCGGGTTCAAGTGATTCTCCTGCCTCAGCCTCCTGAGTAGCTGGGATTACAGGTGTGTGCCACCATGCTCAGCTAATTTTTGTATTTTTAGTAGAGGTGGGGTTTCACCATGTTGTTCACGCTGGTCTCGAACTCCTGACCTCGTGATCCGCCCGCCTCAGCCTCCCAAAGTGCTGGGATTACAGACATGAGCCACCGCGCCTGGCCTGGACTTGCTTTCTGCTTCGAAGATGATACCTTCTTGCTGTACCCTCACATAAGGTAGAGAGGCTGGGGAGCTTGTTTGAGCCTTTTTTAAAATAAGGGCACTGGTCCCATTCATGAGGATGGAGCCCTCATTATTTATCACTTTCCAAAGTCCCCACCGTTAATACTATTACACTGGGCATTAGGTTCCAACATATAAATTTGGGGGGATACCAACATGTAGACCATAGCACCATGTTGTGATTTTTCCTTCTCGTGGGAGGCGGATGGGCCCATCCATGACTGTCATCTGTTCCATCCCAGATAACAGGCTGTGTGCATGTAGTAAGGGAAGAGAACATGTGTTCCCCACAGATTCTCCGTCAATTCTTCTGTGTTTAGATATCACAACTAATTGGGTTTTGTAAAAGAATAGTGAGGGACATGCCCCTCAGCTCCCAGAGGATATACAAGTCTCATGGTTGGATGTTGCACAGTGGTTGTCAAGGCCTAAATAACAGAAGGGATGAGAAGCTCTCCTTCCACCCCCTACTGCCTTGCCAGACCTGCAGAGACTTTGTTGGGAGGCAGGGGCACCTTACTCTGGGGACCACCTCTCCCCATTTTTCTGTTGGATTGCTTTTTCTTTTTTCTTTCTTTTTTTTTTTTTTTTTTTTTGAGATGGAGTTTTGCTCTTGTTGCCCAGGCTGGAGTGCAATGGCGCGATCTTGGCTCACTGCAAACTCCACCTCCTAGGTTCAAGCAATTCTCCTGCCTCAGCCTCCCTAGTAGCTGGGATTACAGGTGTGCACCAAGACGCCTGGCTAATTTTTTTAATTTTTAGTAGAGATGGAGTTTCACCATGTTGGCCATGCTGGTCTTGAACTCCTGACCTCATGATCCGCCCGCCTCAGCCTCCCAAAGTGCTGGGATTACAGATGTGAGCCACCATGCCCAGCCGATGAGATTGCCCTTTTTTTTTTTTTTTGAGATGGAGTCTCACTCTGTCACTCAGGCTGGAGTGCAGTGGCGTGATCTCGGCTCACTGCAACCTCCGCCTCCTGAGTTCAAGCGATTCTCCCGCCTCGGCCTCCTGAGTAGCTGGGACTACAGGCACATGCCACTAAGCCCGGCTAATTTTTTGTATTTTTAGTAGAAACAGGGTTTCACCATGTTAGCCAGGCTGGTCTTGAACTCCTGACCTCAGGTGATCTGCCCTACTTGGCCTCTGAAACTGCTGGGATTACAGCCATGAGCCACTGTGCCTGGCTGAGATTGCTTTTTTTTTTTTTTTTTTTTTTTTAACTCAGCCTATTTCCTTAAAATCCATCCAAGTTGCATGTATCAATAGTTTATTCCCTCTGCCTGAGTAATATGCCAGGGTATAAAGGTACTGCAGTTTGTTTAACCATTCACACGTTGAAGGATGTCTGGGTTGTTTCCAGTTTGTGGCTGTTAAGAATAAAGTTACTATGATGGCCGGATGCGGTGGCTCATACCTGTAATCCCAGCACTTTGGGAGGCTGAGGTGGGTGGATCACAAGGTCAGGAGTTCAAGCCCAGCCTGGCCATGATGGTGAAACCCCGTCTCTATTAAAAACATAAAAATTAGCCAGGTGTGGTGGCAGGCACCTGTAATCCCAGCTACTTGGGAGGCTGAGGCAAGAGAATCACTTGAACTCGGAGGGCAGAGGTTGCAGTGAGCCGAAATTGGGCCACTGCACTACAGCCTGGGCAACAGAGTGCGACTCTGTCTCAAAAAAAAAAAAAAAAAAAAAGTTACTATGAACATTTTTGAACAAGTTTTTACGTGAGCCTAAGTTCTCATTTCTCTGGGATAAATTCTGAGGAGAGCAATTTTTGGGTTGTTTAGATTGATAAGAAACTTCCAGTCACTTTTCCTGAGTGGCTGTACCACTTTTACAGTCCCACCAGTGATATATGAGAGATCTATTTTCTCTGCACCCTCACCAGCATTTGGTGTTATTGTTTTTTATTTGTCTTTCTGGTAGATATGTAGTGATATCTCATTGTGGTTTTATTTTACATTTTCCCATGGCTAATGATGTTGAATATCTTTTCATATGCTTTTTTACCATCTGTATATCCTTCTTGGTGAGATATCTGTTTGTCATTTGCCCATTTTCTGATTGGACTGTTGCTTTTTACTATTGAATTTTGAGACTATGTATTCTAGATAGAAATCCTTTGTTAGATATGGATTGCAAATATTTTTCTCCCAGTTTTCTTAGAAAAGTTTTAATTTCAATATGGCCAAAGCTGTCATTCTTTTTCTTTATGGTTTACATTTTCTCTGTCTAGTTAAAAAACTCCTTTATGATTTTGAGTTCATAAAAATATCCTCTGAAAGGTTTTAGTTTCACACCTTTGAGTTTTTAACCCATCTGTAATTGATTTTTGAGTCTTGTATGAGATCGAGTCCAATTTAATTTTTTCTCAAATAGATATGAGCAGTTGTTTGACCACAGTTTATTGAATGAGTCATCTCTTCATTTCACACTAATTTCACAGTGCTGCTCCCAGCATGCATCAGTTTCATAAATGCATGCATTGGTTTCTGGTGTGTGGAGTCTGCCCCCTCTGCCTGTTTGTCTGCCCGTTTGCCAGTACGTTAGTTTTTTTACCTTGCATTGTAGCAGTTTTGCAAGCCCCATCTTTTGTTTTTTTCTTCCTTTTCTAGAAGTGTCTTGATCTTTTTTAGTCTTTCTCAGTTTCCCTGTTCAAGTTTGTGTTTGGAGTTGCATTAAATTAGTAGATCAGTCAGAGGATGTCTCGTATATATTTTTTTCATTTTATTCCTAGATACTTTTTATTTGTGGGATGCTAGTTTAAATGATATTTTAAGTTCTACATTTTCTACTTGTTGCAAAGAAGTTGTTTCTACTGGTTCATCATTAAGCATTTTGTTACATTTTTGTAGATGCTTTTTTTAGATTAAGAAATTCCTTTGTATTCATAGATTTCTAATGTTACCTTTTTATTTTTTTCTGCTTCTACTGAAATGTTTATGTGCCTTTTTTCTTCTTTAGTTTTTGTTTTTGTGTTTTGAGACAGGGTCTCTGTCACCCAGGCTGGAGTGCAGTGGCATAAACATGGCTCACTGCAGCCTTGAACTCCTGGGCTCAAGTGATCCTCCTGCCTCAGTTTCCCATGTAGCTGGGACCACAGGTGGGGGCTCCACACCTGGCTGATTTTTTTTTTTTTTTTTTTTTAGAGATAGGGTCTCACTTTGTTGCCTAGGCTGGTCTCGAACTCCTGGGCTCAAGCAGTCCTCCTGCCTCAGCCTCCCAAAGTCCTGAGATTACAGGTGTGAGCCACTGAACCCGGCCTCTACTTCAGTTTTTTAATGTGATGATTTCTGTAGTGTTTAGCTAACCTTGCACTCCTCAGATACCTCACTTGATTCTGATGTTTGTTTGTTTTTAAGTAGGTTTGCTAGATTAAAATTGCTTTTAGATTATTGCTTCTATGTTCACTCATAGAATTGACTGATTTTTCATTCTTTTACTGCCTTTGTCTGGTTTTGCTATCAGTACTCCATAAAATGAGCGGTGGGATGATTTCCTTCTTACTCTTTTCTCTGGAAGAATTTGTATACTGGCATTATTTGAACCCTGAACTACTGTTGATTTTTGGATTCTAGAGGTTTAGAAATGGAATAGACTATAGTGGTCAACCTTTCCAACTCCACTGTTTTTTTGAGGTGGGAAGAATTAAATGCTGAGGCTTAAATCCAAGGGACACTTTGCACTGTACCATGACCCGGTGATTTCATCATTATAGAAACCCTAATCCTGAAGTAGAGGTAATAGTCATTTTATTATGTAAAACAGATGGCTCAAAGCCTTCGCACACTGAAGTCCATGCAAATCCATGTAAGAGTGGCTTGGAAAACATCACATTAGCCTTAGTCTCTTAGTTTTCTAGGCCCATCTGATTAAGATTAAGAATGGAGTTAAGAAAGGGACTCAGGCACTCTGACAGCTCTGGGATCACCTGCGAGAGCAGGCAGACGACCCCGCTGGCCTACTGTTGAGCAGCTTTGAGTAGGAGCTAGCAGCTCACAGGGGCAGTGATGTGTTTATTGCTCAGTGTGATGATAACTTTAATTGGGAATATCAGATAAATATTCAATATATGGTATTTTTATGAACATTAATAAAGATTCAGTATATTTTTGGAAAATTTCCCTAAAAACAGAAAAAAAATAAAAAGGTTATATGCATAAGTGACTCAGCACCAATTATCTGGAACATTTTTTTCACCCAGCAGGCTTTTCTTGAGTACCCTCTAGTGTTAGGCATTGCTCTGAGGGCTGCTCACATATGAGTGTGTACTCCTTCCACCATGGATAAGTATGATTTTACCATATTTGGAACTTAGCAGATTGGCTCAGTTCATTTCAGATTTCAATTCACCGTTTAATTCATCCCCAGCACATGCCTAGTGCTGTCATAAACCAAAGAAAAGATGGTTTCTTTATCTGAAATGACTTTAGCAAATATGCAAGCTCAAGGTCTATGCAACCGACTTTCCAGATGTGTTATGGGCTTTATCTTGGTAGAATTCATTTATTTATATTTTGTCTATGAAGGGTGCCATATTATGTAGCATAGTGATAAATTAATTCAAACTTCATTTTCATTAACTATAGAGTTTCTTTCTTTCTTTGATTAACAGGAGAGGACCACTACACATGTAGCTTCATTTGAGGTCATACTCTGTGTTGGGAACTTGGACCTTGGCGTGAGGCAGAGGGAAGAAGGTCACACCTACCCTGACAGCCCAATTAGTCACTGACTTTGGCAATTCTACAGGTGACAGATGGTGCTAGTTTGCCCTCAGTGGACCTGACAAGACTCTATCTAGCGCTTGGTTAGGCCATCAGCTGTGAGATGCTGGCCTGGTCCCATAAGTTCTCATTAGGGGAATAGATGGCAAGGCTGGGAGTAGAGGGTCTGTAAGATCTATTTTAGCCCTAAAATTGTGACTTTTTGAATTTCCAAACATTGTGGAAACAAGTGAAAAAGTTACATAACTTGAGGCAGAGTGTGTTATGATATTAAAAACAGACTAAAATATTCAGAATATAGATTTCATTCTTCCCAGGTAGCCTATTTTACATTGTCAGACCATATTATTTTATATAAAAAATACATGCTTTTCAGTTCCAGATCCCTAGAGATCATTTTTTTGATATTGGACTTTGATGATACTCTTTGAAAAATTCAGAATCTACATCGTAAATGTAGCTGTTCTTGTTTTATTGATAAAAGTAAAAAAAAAAACCCACAAAAACAAAACCTTATTGTGAGTTGAAAATGTGAAAATGTAACTGTATTAGTAATATTAGCCATCACAGTAACCTCACTGTAATATGGCTCATTTATGATCTATCCAAGGCAGATATGATGTGAAAGCCTTGCCTTGGCCTTCCACGTGGTCTATCTGTCCTTCAGGAAAAAAAGTACATATGGGAAAACTGGTGTGTAATTAAAAAATAATTGGATCACACATTTTTTTTACCTGTGATGGTTACTTATTGACAAAACTGTCCCCTTTTTCCTGGTTCCATGTCTAGCTGATGCACTTGAGTATTCTTTTTAAGTACCCTCATTTAGGGACTTCCTTAATTCTTAGCAAGATTATTCAAGCCTGATTTAATGTATTTAAGGTGACTGATTTTATGTTTATTAGACAAAAATAATGTAATTTTAAAAAATTCATATAAAGTTTTCAGGACAACCTTTATATACATTGTTTTTAAACATGTGCCTGATTTCCCAGGAACTTACTTTTTTTCCACTTACACTTGCGTCTAAATGGGCTTGCTAAGATAAACTTCATTAAATATTTTTCTAAGTCATGTGCATTATGTTATTTAGAGAATGGAAATGAATACTTAACATGACTTAGGGTTTGGATAAAGATATTTTTGTCCATTTAAAAAATTAGGATCTCATCACATAGGAGGCAAACATTAAAACATTAAAAATTAAAACCAAAGGGTACCAATTTCTAAAAAATCACTGTTGACTGAGTAATAATAATTATCAATACTCATCGAAGGCCTAGTGGTTTTTTTGTTTGTTTTGAGACGGAGTCTCGCTCTGTCGCCCAGGCTGGAGGACAATGGTGCGATCTCGGCTCACTGCAAGCTCCGCCTCCCGGGTTCACGCCATTCTCCTGCCTCAGCCTCCTGAGTAGCTGGGACTACAGGCGCCCGCCACTACGCCCGGGTAATTTTTTTGGGTTTTTAGTAGAGACGGGGTTTCACCGTGTTAGCCAGGATGGTCTCGATCTCCTGACCTCTTGATCCGCCTGCCTCGGCCTCCCAAAGTGCTGGGATTACAGGCGTGAGCCACCGTGCCCGGCAGGCCTAGTGTTTTTGTATGTCATTTTATTTAGTCCTTTCAATAATTTTGAGTTAGGTATTATTACTCTTATTTTAGAAATAAAATATTCAGGATACAGAAATAAGTGCCCTTCTTATTTATTTTTTTGAGACAGAGTATCACTCTGTCACCCAGGCTGGAGTGCAGTAGCGTAATCTCGGCTCACTGCAATTTGCGCCTGCCAGGTTCAGGCGATTCTCCTGCCTCAGCCTTGCGAGTAGCTGGGATTACAGGCGCCCACCACCATGCCTGCCTAACTTTTGTATTTTTAGTAGAGATGGGGTTTCACCATGTTGGCCAGGCTGGTCTCGAACTTTGACCCCAAGTGATCCACGTGCGTTGGCCTCCCAAAGTGTTGGGATTACAGGTGTGAACCACCGCGCCTGGCCGTGTTTTTCTTGTTTAAAAAAAGGCTCTCAAACTGCGCTGTCCATAATGGTGGCTACCTACAAGTGTCTATTGAGCACCTGACACATGACCAGTCCAAATTGAGATGTCCTAGAAATATAACCAATTTCAAAGTCTTGGTTAAAACAACAAGCATGTAAACATTTTTATATAGCTCACATGTTGAAATGCTAACATGTTGGCTATATCAGGTTAAATAAAATAGATTGGCCAGGCACGGTGACTCATGACTGTAATCCCAGCACTTTGGGAGGCCGAGGCGGGTGAATCATGAGGTCAGGAGTTCGAGAACAGCTTGGCCAATATGGTGAAACCCCGTCTCTACTAAAAATACAAAAAATTAGTTGGGCATAGTGACGGGCGCCTGTAATCCCAGCTACTTGGGAGGCTGAGGCAGGGGAATCGCTTGAATCCAGGAGGTGGAAGTTGCAGTGAGCCAAGATCGTGCCACTACACTCCAGCCCTGGTGACAGAGTGAGACACCGTCTCAAAAACATAAAATAAAATAAAATAGATTATTCAAATTAACTTTATCTGTTTCTGTTTACTTTTTTAAAAATGCAACTACTAGAAAACTTAAAATTACATTTGTGGCTTGCATTATATTTCTTTTGGAAGACCTGTTCTAAAAATTTCAACGGGCAAATAGTTCCATGCTCAAGGCTTGTGAATTATGGTGTCCTCCTCAACCCCTTTCCTCCATCCTTGTGAGCTCTCTTCATCTTGTTCTTCAGTTTGGGGCAGAGTTTAGTACTTAAGAATTGGATCCAGGCAGGGCGTGGTGGCTCCCACGTATAATCCCAGCACTTTGGGAGGCTGAGGCTGGTGGATTGCTTGAGCTCAGGAGATGAAGACCAGCGTGGGCAAGATGGTGAAGCTCCATCTCTATAAAAAATATAAAAATAGGCTGGGCGCAGTGGCTCATGCCTGTAATCCCAGCACTTTGGGAGGCCGAGGTGGGCGGATCACCTGAGGTCAGGAATTCAAGACCAGCCTGACCGATATGATGAAACTCTGTCTCTACTAAAAATACATAAATTAGCTGGGCGTGGTGGCATGCACCTGTAATCCCGGCTACTCGGGAAGCTGAGACAGGAGAATCGCTTGAACCCAGGAGACAGAGGTTGCAGTGAGCTGAGATCACGCTATTGCACTCCAGCCTGGGCAACAAGAGCGAAACTGTCTCAAAAAAAAAAAAAAAAATATATATATATATATGTAAATTAGCTGGGCTTGGTGGCATGAACCTATAATCTGAGCTACTTAGGAGGCTGAGGCAGGAGGATCGCTTCAGTCCAGGAAGTGGAGGTTGCTGTGAGCCTAGATTGAGCCACTGCACTTTAGTCTGGTTGACAAAGTGAGACTCTGTCTCAGAAAATAAATAAATAAATAAATAACGTAAAAAATTTTATTAAAAAAAAAGAATTGGATCCCGATCACTAAATTACCGTCTGTATTTTTGCTTTACTATAGCTATTGTGGTTGTTATTGTTTTTACTGGTCTGCTTTGTTTCTGAAACATTCCATCACCATTAGAGATCTTTTGCTCTGTTTAACCTCTATGCCCTCACCATATTTATACACACACATTCCCTATTTTTCTAATATCATCGTAAGCATAATATTGTTTAGGTCAGGATTCAATGTTTGCTATTATAACTATAAATGCTAGTCATAACTGAACTGTGTATTAAGCACTCTTTTTATTTACTGCAGTTTTTGTTTATCATGGAATCAGTCATTGCCTTGTTATTCTTCTGCTGTTTAGCTTTCCATGTACCTGTCCTAATTCAATCTCATATTCTCCACGAGTTGTCTAAAACTCATCCGTGTGTGTGTGTGTGTGTGTGTGTGTAGATCTTCCTGGACGTGCCTCTCCCCTGCGGCCTGCTCTGGTCTGCACCTGCGCTTCTCCTGTGGTCTACCCACAGCTCTCATGGAGGCCTCCTTTCACCAGATCCTCAGCTTTGCTCTGCCTTTCTCCTGTCTCACCCTTCCTGTTTCCTCTTTCTTGCTTAGTTTCCTCATTTTGGTGAAGCACATCTTTAGTAGCTTCCTGAGAAAAAATACATGAAACAGTTTTATAAGAGCTTGCATAAGAATTTTTTTTCTTCCCTGAAGTTTAAATCCAGTTTGAGGTTGGAAACAATTTTCTTCAGAATTTTGAAGATATTTCTCCATTTCTTTGGGCGGTTTGGAACCAATTCTGACTCCTGATCCTTTGTGTTCTCCACCTCCTACTACCCCCCAACGCACTTAAAAAAAATTTTTTTTTTATCCCCAATGCCTAAAATTTCACTGGGATAGATGCTGTAATATGGGTCAGTCTCCATACTAATTTTCATGTGTTTGACCTCCTATATTGGTCTTTTAATTTTAATTTATTGTCTCTTTTCATTTTTTTAATTTTTGCTGAAGTTTCTGAGAGATTTCATCAGCTTTATCTTTCAACCATTCTATTAAGTTTTTAAAATTCAACTATCATTGTTTTAGTTTGTTGTCTTCTGATAGTTCTCTTTTTTTGTTGCTGTCATTTTTTGCTTTATGGCTGTAGTATCTGCAATCTCCCTAATGATAATTCTTAAAAAATGTTTTCTTCTCCCTCCATACTTTGTTTCAGCCAAATAGGTTTTTTTCTGTATTTGGTTTTCTTTCATAATTTAATCTTGCCTTAGGTGGTAGGTGATTCCTGCTTGTTTACTTGTATTTGAGAGTGGGACATTAAAAGATGACTAGAATCTCTGCATATGGGTGTGGGGCTTATGGATGTGGACTTCACTTAAGAGCCATCTGTTTAGGCTGTTCCCCAAGGAACCCCTATGTCAGTATTTTTAGACAGTGTCTTTTAGGTTAGTCCAATTCTCTGAATAGGGAGGTTTCAGTCTGCAGTCTGGAGAGTATGGGCAGGGTAGAGAGGCATGCAGGCAGAGGAAGGTCTCTGTATTTGTATTCCCTAATGTCTCTTTGTTCAGAAGACTCCACCTTCTACTGTGCCTGGTGTTTTCCAGACTAGAGATCCTCTGTCTTACCCTCTTCAGAAAATACTCCAGGTTTCTGCCAGGGTGAGAAAAAGCAGTTGCCTGGCTGAGCACAGTAAAGGGGAATATTTACCTTTTTATTGCCAAATAATATTCTATTGTATGATATATCACATTTTATTTATCTGTTCATTAGTTGATGGACATTTGGGTTGTTTCCATTTTTTGACTATTATTAGTAGTGCTTCTGTGAGCATTCCTGTATAATTTTTTTGTATGGAGTTATTATTTTTTTTCTTGGATATATCCTTAGGAATGGAAATGCTGGGTCATGTGGCAACTCTTTAAATTTTGAAATGCTATCAAACTATTGTGCAAAGTGGCTACATTTTACATGCCTACCATCAATGTATGAGAGTTCCAGTTTATTCACATCCTTGCCAACATCTGTTATTATTTGTCATTTTGATTTTAGCTATTTATCTTAATGGGTATAAAGTAATATCTCATTGTGGTTTTGATTTGCATTTGATGGCTAATGATGTTAAGCATCTTTTCATGTGCTTATTGGTCATTTGTATATCTTCTTTGAAGGAATGTCTATTCAAATTCTTTGCTTATTTTTAAATTATTTGTCCTCTTATTGAGTTGAGTTCTTTATATATTCTGGACATGAGTCCTTCATCAGATGTATGATTTGCAGATTTTTTTTCTATTCTGTGTATTATCTTTTTACTTTCTTGGTTTGAAGTATAAAAGTTTTTAATTTTGATAAAATCTAATTTACTAATTGTGTTTGTCACTTCTGTTTTGGTATCATATCTAAGAAACTGTTGCCTAATGAAAGGTCACAAAAATTTATGCCTTTGTTTTTTCCTAAGATTTTTATAGTTTTAGCTCTTATATTTAGGTCTATGATCCATTTTGATTTAACTTTTTGTATATAGTGTGATGTAGCAGTCTAACTTTATTATTTGGCATATGGATACTCAGTTGTTCTAGAACCATTTGTTGAAAAAACTATTTTCCCATCAAGTTATCTTAGTACCCTTGTTGAAAATCAATTGAACATAAATTTAAGGATCTATTTCTATCAATTTTATTCCAATTGACCTGTATGTCTTTTATTTATTTATTTATTTATTTATTTATTTATTTATTTATTTATTTTGAGACAGAGTCTCACTCTGTCCCCCAGGCTAGAGTGCAGTGGCGCAATCTTGCCACACTGCAACCTCTGCCTCCTGGTTTCAAATGATTCTCGTGCTTCAGCCTTCCCAGTAGTTGGGATTACAGGTGCACACCACCACACCCAGCTAATTTTTTGTATTTTTAGTAGAGACAGGGTTTCGCCATGTTGGCCAGGGTTGTCTCGAACTCCTGGCCTCAAGTGATTTGCTAGCCTCGGCCTCCCAAAGTGCTGGGATTACAGGTGTGAGCCACCGTGCCTGGCCTATATGTCTGTTCTTATGCTAGTATAGGTTGAGCATCCCTAATATGAAAATCCAAAATACGAAATCCTCCAAAGTCTGAAACTTTCTGAATGCCAACATAATGCCACAAGTACAAAATTCCACACCTGACTTCACATGACAATCTGTAGTCAAAATGAAGTCAAAACTTTGTTTCATGCACAAAATCATAAAAATATGTAAAATTCAGGCTATCTGTATAAGGTATATATGAAACATAAGTGAATTTTGTGTTTAGATTTGGATCTCATCCCCAGGATATCTCATCATGTATGTGCAAATATTCCAAAATCTGAAAAAATCCTACATCTGAAGCACTTCTGGTCCTAAGCATTTCTGATAAGGGATACTCAGCCTGTACCATACTGTTTTGATTGTTGTGATGTTGTAGTAAGCTTTTATTTATTTATTTATTTTATTTGATAGTTTTTCAGACGGAGTCTTGCTCTGTCACCCAGGGTGGAGTGCAGTGGCATGATTTTGGCTCACTGCAACCTCTGCCTCTCAGGTTCAAGCGATTCTCCTGCCTCAGCCTCCTGAGTAGCTGGGATTACAGGTGCATGCCACCATGCCCAGCTAATTTTTGTATTTTTAATAGAGACGGGGTTTCACCATGTTGGCCAGGCTGGTCTCGAACTCCTGACCTCGTGATCTACCCGCCTCGGCCTCCCAAAGTGCTGAGATTAACAGGCGTGAGCCACTGCGTCCAGCTGTAATAAGCTTTTAAATTGAGAAGGCTGAGTTCTCCAATTTGATTCTTCTTTTTCAGTATTGTTTTTGTTACTCCAGATCTCTTGCATTTTCATATACGTTTTAGGATAAACTTGTTAATTTCTATAAAGAAGTCAGCTGGGATTTTGATAGGGATTATGTTGAATCTGAGAACAATTTGGGAATATTGCTATATTAACCGCTTTAAGTCTTACAATCCATGAACACGGGTTATCTTTCCACTTAAGTCTTTAATTTCTTTCAATTATATTTTATGACTTTTGGTGTACAAATCTTGTACTTTTGCTATGCTTATTCCTAAGTATTCTTTTTCATGTTATTATGAATAGAATTTTTCTTTAAATTTTATTTTAGGACTATTCATTGTTGATATGTAGCAATACAGTAGATTTTAAAATATTTATCATATATCCTACAACCTTGCTGAACTTATTAATTCTAGTAGTTTTTTGATGATTTGTTAGGGTTTTCTATATATGAGAACATATTGTTTATGAATAGACAGTTTATTTCTTTCTTCCTGATCTGGATGCTTTTTATTTCTTTTTCTTGCCTAATTGCCTTAGTTAGAACCTTTAGTACAATGATGAAAAGAAGTGGCAAGAGCAGACGTTTCATGTAAAGACATGTCTCTCATCTTAAGGGAGAAAACATTTAGTCTTCATCATTAAGTATGATTTTAGCACTTGGTTTTTCCTAAATGTCTTTTATCAGGTTGAGATAGTTCCTTCTATTCCTATTGTGTTGGCTTTTTTTTGTTTTTAATTAAAAAAGCATTTTGGGTTTTTTTTTTTTGTATTATGATTATGTGCATTTTTTCTGTTATTCTATTAATAGAGTGTATTATATTGATTAATTTTCAGATCTTAAACTATCCTTGCATTCTTGGGCTACATCCAACTTGATCGTGGTGTATAATCTTTTTTACATGTTGCTATGTTTGATTTTCTAGTATTTTGTTGAGAATTTTTGTGTCTTCATAAGGGACATTGATGTGTGGTTTTCTTGTGATGTCTCTCTCTGGTATTGGTATCAGGATGATACTGGCTTCAGAATTATTTGAGAAATTTTTCTTATGCTTCTGTTTTTTTAAAGAGTTTATGAGGGATTGGTTTAAATTATTCTGTACACATTTGATAGAATGTAGCAGGGAAGCCATCTGAGCCTGTGCTTTTCTCTCTTTTTTTTTTTTCTTTCTGTAGAGATGAGGTCTTGCTGTGTTGCCTAGTTTGGTCTCGAACTCCTGAGCTCAAGTGAGTCTCCCACTTTGGCCTCCCAAAGTGCTGGGATTATAGGTGTGAGCCACCATGCCTGGCCAGGGCCTGTCCTTTTATTTGCAAGCAGTGCTTAAATTACTAATTTAATATAGTATTTTGGTTAAGGGCAATTATAAGTGAACATTCATCTCATAAATACCTATTGATATTTTACTATTCAGCCCATCTTTTTCCTGTATAATATCCAAATAAAAAGAAATTTTAATATACCTAATTGTAACTTTTTTTTTTCTTAAAGGTCTGTAGTTACTGTGGAATCAATAAGCCATGGCATCTAAGAAATTTGCTGTTAAAGTAAGTAATGTTTAATAGCTTTTTAAAAAGAGGCTAATCACTTTCTAATATAACTGAGCTCTGTGTTAATTGAAAATCGAGGTTCCTAACTTTCTGCTTTTTACACTTGGGACTCTGCAAAATTTTTTTTTTTCCTTCAACTTTTAAGTTCTGGGGCATGTGTGCAGGATGCGCAGGTTTGTTACATAGGTAAACATGTGCCACAGTGGTTTGTTGCACAGATCATCCCATGACTTAGGTATTAAGCCCAGTGTCCATTAGCTATTCTTCCTGATGTTCTCCCTCCCCCTTCCCCCACAACAGGTCCCAGTGTGTGCTGTTTCCCCCCATGTGTCTATGTGTTCTCATTCAGCTCCCACTTATAAGTTAGACTATGCAGTATTTGGTTTTCTGTTCTTGCATTAGTTTGTTGAGGATAATGCCTTCCAGCTCCATCCACGTCCCTGCAAAGGACATGATTTTGTTCCTTTTTATGGCTGCTTAGTATTCCATGGTGTATATGTACCACATTTTCTTTATCCGTTTTTTCACTGATGGGCATTTAGGTTGATTCCATGTCTTTGCTATTGTGACTAGTGCTGCAATGAACATACGCATGCATGTTTCTTTATAATAGAATGATTTATATCTTGGGAGGTATATACCCGGTAATGGGATTGCTGGGTCAAATGGCATATCTGCCTCTAGATCTTTAGGGAATCGCCACACTGTCTTCCATAATAGTTGAACTAATTTACACTCCCACCAACAGTGTAAAAATATTCCTTTTTCTCCGCAATCTCACCAGCATCTGTTGTTTCCTGACTTTTTAATAATCGCCATTCTCACTGGCGTGAGATGGTATTGCATTGTTTTGGATTTGCATTTCTTTAATGATCAGTGATGTTGAGCTTTTTTTCATATATTTGCTGGCTACACGAATGTCCTTTTTTCAGAAGAGTCTATTTACGTCCTTTGCCTACTTTTTAATGGCGTCATTTGTTTTTTTTCTTGTAAGTTTGTTTAAGTTCCTTGTAGACTCTGGATATTAGACCTTTGTCAAATGGATAGCTTGCAAATATTTTCTCCCATTCTGTAGGTTGTCTGTTCACTGTGATGATAGTTTCTTTTGCTGTGCAGAAGCTCTTTAGTTTAGTTTGATCCCATTTGTCAATTTTTGCTTTTGTTGCAATTGCTTTTGGTGTTTTGGGGACTTGACAATTTTAAGTAGGCATATGGAAAATTTATATTTTGAGAATGAGACGGCGGAGAAAATGTTCATATGGTTATGAGGCGTTCCTTGCTTCATCTTTTAAAGATGCTTTTTGGTCATCACTTGGTCTTTACTGTTAAAAACTATCATTCATATTCCATGTCCATGGCTTGATTTCTCATTATGTCAAAGCAGATAAAAGGTTGAAGCAAAAGAAGTAATCAGCAAATTCTCTACCTGGGTAAATGCCAGGAGAGTTCTCTTGCCTGGTTGCCCTCTTTCATTTTCCTCTTATAAATGTCCCTTGTTTGTTCCTTGATGGCTGGGGTTGAGACCTTCTCAGGTGTGGATAGATGGGAGGCTCCTGTGTGAGGGATAGTGGGAAGGGAGAAGAGAAGAACTGATGATGAGTGCAAGATCTTGGAGATGCTTTCATATATGTTGGTGTTTCTTTAGGACATTTTCTGTATGCTAGTCTTACCATAAGTGCAAGTTCAAAACATCAAAATATAAATTACAATAGCTAGTTGGCCAGATTAGATACTATGTAATATTATAGCTCTGTCTTATTTTTAACCAAGTCAGTGCTTATTTAGATTTACTAACATATTTATAAATTTCATTGCTTTCAGTTGTTTTTTGTATCCATATATATATTCTTTAGTATTTCTTTCTGTGAAGGCATGTAAGTGATGAACTTTCACTATTTGTGTGTCTAAAAATGTATTTGGTCTCACCCTAGAAAGATATTTGGTTGGTTTTAGAATTCTAGGTTGAGCATTATTTTCCAACAACAGTTTAAAGATAATTTTTAATTTTCTTCTGGCATCTTTTATTACTACTGAGAAATGTTTTCATTATGTATTGATGCTTAAATCCACCTTAAAACTTAGTGGCTTGAAACACGAACCATTTTATAATCTCTCCTGATTCTGTAGGTTGCCTAGCATCAATTGAGTAATTTTTCCTTTTGATGTTGGTTGGGGCTGCAGTTCTACTTAGGGACTCAACTTAGGTGGAAAATGAAAGATGGCATACTCAGTGCAGTTGATGCTGGCTTTGGTTGGAATCATTGCTGGATCTGTTAATTGTTGTCCTTTAGTTCTCATCCACGTGCCTGTTCTGCATGGCTTGGGCATCTACCCCGGTGGCTGAGTTTTGAGGGGTAGCATCTTAAGACTTGCACAATGAAAGAAGTATAATTTGTCAGTCCTCTGAAGGCCTAGATGCAGACATCTCAGATGCCACTTCTGTGGACTTCCATTGATCAGAGCATTCACAGGGTCAGCCTAGAGTCAGGGGAAGCTGCACTCTTGACTTGAGAAGCAGTATTTTCTCACAGGGATTGGGAGAATTGTTGGGGTGCGTCTATGGAGACTACTCACCTCAGAAGTTCACTGTTGGCCTGATCTGATTCCTTCTTGGTTATCTGTCTTTCTTCTCTGATTGCTCTTAAGATTTATTTTTGTCTTTGCTCTTCTATAGTTTCACTATGAAATCTCTAGTTATAGTCTTGTTTTTATTCTGGCTTGGGATAAAATGTATGTCTTCAATTTGATGGCTCAAGTCATCAGTTTTGGAAAATTCTTGACCATTTTCTCTGCCTCTCCTAATTCTCTCTGTTCTCTTCTTATAGAGAACTTTTATTTGAAGTTTGTTGGATAGTCTCATATGACTTTATTATATGCTAGAGGAGTGAGATTAATTTTTCCAAGACTGAGCCCTGGTAGTCTGTCTGCTCAGAAAAGGGCTGGGCTTCTTGCAAAACTCTGTTGAAACTGGCTATGGCCAAGTAGGGCAGACCATCCTGGTCAACCATGAAACTTGGACGTGAGGCCCCTAATTATGCAAGAGATGGGTCTGTTCCATACCCATGGAAATGGCATATTCTGCTACCATATTATCCCATCTTATAGTGATGCCTGCAAGGCTTGGAACAAAGCTTCCAGATCATGGCAGGCAGAGGAGTTGCCTCAACCGTGAGTATCAGGCTAGCATAATAGGGATAGGGACAGGGTTCTGACACATCGTATTGAAGGCTCTGCACATCACTTTGTGGTTGTATTTCTGCCTCTGACAGGCTAGGGACCAGTGGTTCTCTAATCATGTACCTTACTTAGAAGCTCCGTGACTCAAGCATGGGGATCCCTTTTTAAATATCTGACATGAAGTTTTGCCAGGTTTCTGTGCTCTGCTCCAGGGTATCATGAGCAGCAGGAGACCTGCACACCTGCTACTGATGTTGTCAGACATGCTTTCTTCCCAGGGAACACTGCTCCTGAAGTCTTGTGTGAGTGCTGTGTGGCCAGTGGCCAATTGCCTTTCCCTGTTTTTCTTTTCCTTATTACTTTGAGAGTGCTTTTTTCCTCTCTGAAACAGGATCTCACTCAGTCGCCCAGGCTGGAGTGCAGTGGTGTGAATATGGCTCACTTCAGCCTTGACCTCCTGGGCTTAAGCAGTCCTCCTGCCTTAGCCTCCTGAGTAGCTGGGACCACAGGCATGCACCACCACTCTCGGCTAATTTTTTTTATTTTTAAATTTTTGTAGAGATGGAGTCTCAGAGCGAAAAAGGAAGGTATTACATATAACCACAAAACAAGGTTAGGATGTTACGAACTAGGGAAATTCCCAAGAACAAGAAAGAGCTCTTATAAATTAAAAACATAATATAAATGAAAATATGATAAAGTATGGGGCAAACACCAAGGAACACTGCCCAGAAAGTAGAACAAAAAGATAATAGATTAAAAAATTGAGGAGAAAACCACAAGAAAATTAGAGTTTCAGTCTTGATATGAAAAATTGGAGTTCTAGAAAGAAAAACAAATGGTTGAGAAAATATTATGAAAGAAATAATGCAATACAATTTACTGGAAGTGGAGGATACAAACTTCCTGTTTGAAAGAGCTGTGAGTGAATACACAATAAAGTCAATGAAAAAGAGTTGTGCTAAGGTATATCATCCTAAAATTTCAGAACACTGGGAATTTAGAGAAGAACTTAAAAAGCAAACAGATTACAGACAGAGAATCAAGAATCAGAACACCCTTCTCAACAGCAATAACTAGGAGACAGTAGAACAATACCTTTAATATTTTAGGAAAAATGGTTTCCAACCAAGAATTCCCTTTACAGCCCAACTTTCAGTCACATGGTAGAATAGAGACATTTATTTTTAGGATGCAGAATGTAGAAAACACTTCCCTTCTGATGCACACTGTTTTAGAAAGGATGTGGTCTTCCAAAATAGGGGAATAAACAGAGAAAGAATCAGATATGGGATCCAGGAAATAGGGAACCAGTCAGATGAGGGCCTAACCAAATTCCTTGATGATTACTGTGTATTTTGCCTAGAAAGTGTAAGGGTGGAAAGGGTATGATCCTTTCTTCCCCATCATGGAGGGTCACAGTCAGCACTCCTGTAACAAAAGAATAAGTTAACTAAGGAAAGCATAACAAATTTATTATGTGCACACAAGTGCATGGGAGTCATACAAAATATGAACACTCAAAAGCTGGATGTGATGGCATATGCCTGTAGTCCCAGCCATTTGGGGAGGCTGAGGCAGAAGATTTGCTTGAGCCCAGGAGTTTGAGTTCAGCCTGGGCAACATAGAGAGACCCTGTCTCTAAAAACAACAACAACAAGAAAAGAAAACCCAAAGAGCCAGACGGTTGACCCTTAATACCCTCTTCGTTGGGGAGAGGGAACTGGGAGATATAGGGGTAACTGATTTTTAGGGGAAATGAATGGACTCGAGAGACAGAAATTAACTTGTAAATGATTCTCTTTAGAATTTGAATGAGCCGAGAAGCAGATAATACCTAGTTGAAATGCCTGTCCACTGTGTGGTTGCATTCTTTAGTCTTCTCTGCTATAGATAATTTCAGGGAATATGGAAGGCAATTGTGTTCCTCTTTGGGTATCCAGTTTCTGGGCAGATAATAGAGCTTCAGCGGAGAGCCTCATCTTGTGCTTTGGGAGAGATAACGGATTGAGAGGAGGAGGGGAGGAGGTCAGAGAGACCTTGCTGCTGCTTTTTTAGTTTAGCATGTCAAAGTGTTATATTTCTGGGTATTGGTTTCTGAACTGCAACCAAAGTAACCAGTCCTATTGGAAGAAGACAGAGGGTTCCATGAAAGATTTCTTCAACAAAAAATGAAATGAATAAAATACATCATGTATTTAAATGCATTGAGAAGAGATTTTTTTAGGCCTGTCAGGTAGCATGGGAATGATTTAGTCATAGGAATATAGAAAACTAAACAAAAGAAAAATGATGCAACCCTCAGTTCTCAGTAAACAAAAGATTGTGCAAGATAGGAAATTAAGCATAGTATACTACGTGGCTCAACTTTTTGTTCTTCTTGTTATAGAGATGGGGTCTTGCCCTGTTGCTCAGGCTGGAATGCAGTGGCACAGTCATAACTCACTGCGGCCTTGAACTCCTAGGCTCAAGTGATCCTCCTGCATGGTTCAGCTTTGAACAGAGGTTACATTTCATAATATTGTGAACTCCAAGTTTTGGAAGGCTGGGGAAGGAAACATGTGGGAGGGCAGGTATAAGGATTAAGTCTTCATTTTCCACATAAAGTATATAAAACTGAAATAATAAGACATTCGTAGGATAAACATAGTGTTTAGAAATATGTTGGCAAATTACCAGATCAAAAAGCTAAGTTTCAGTGTGGTTGCCCATGGTGAGTGAGAGTTGGAGTGAGAGAGGGGGCTGGATGAGGCAGAAGAGGCCATTTTGTTTTTTTGTTTGTTTGTTTGTTTGAAAGATGGGGTCTCCTTATGCTGCCCAGTCTGATCTTGAACTACTGGGCTCAAACAATCCTCCTGCCTCAGCCTCCTGAGTAGCTGGGACTACAGATGTGCACCACTACACCCAGCTTGAGACCTCACTTTGATATGTCGTTTTAATATGTGTCTATGCATTAATATAAAAATTAAGTGCATAAATAAAATGTAGGCTGCGTACAGTGGTTCACATCTGTAATCCCTGCATTTTGGAAGGCCCAGGAGGGAGGATCACTTGAGGCCAGGAGTTAGAGACCAGCAGCCTGAGTAACATAGTGAGACCCCATCTCTAAATTAAAAACAATAATAATAAATAACATTTAAAAGGAATTAATTAACTTATGCAAATTTTTCACATAGATGCAGCCACTTTTGACTGGGTTGAAAAGTACTTGGTTAGAGCAGGGTTTCAAAGTAACAGAAAAATTGATGAACACCAAATAGTTTGACACTTCATCTGGGTTGTTTATTCTAAGACTGCCCTTGGAATGGCATTAATTATTCATGCAAACGACTTACCCATCTGACCTTCCTGCATATGAATACTTTTTTTTTGTTTTTAAGGGCTGTGGTTCTGGCCTTGAATTCTTTTTTTTAATCACTATTTTTTAGAGACAGGATCTCGTTATGTTGCACAGGCTGAACATGAACTCCTGGGCTCAAACTGTCCTCCCGACTTGGCCTCCTACGTAGCTGGGACTACAGGCGGCACTGCCACCGCACAGCTGGCTCTTGAACTCTTTCAAGAGTTGAAGACTCTTCTGAGGCCAGACTTCCAGGAAATGGCAGTAGTGCATGAGATGTAGGAATCCTTGGAAGTATAACTTTCAGGGTCTATAGACTTCTGGGCTACTGCAGCTTCTAGCAGGGAGGTATGTCCTGTACTTCAGTGAGTGACTCTTATTTTAACTGAAAGAAGTGGTAGCAGCAGGCGCATCTCCCCAAGGCTTCATAGCAATCTTAAACCCAAGCTTTGCACCCACCCCAGTGTTTTAAAATTTCCAAAATAATAAACTCTTTAGGGTAGGGAAAAGATCTAGACCAGAGATCTGCAAATTACAGCCCACATGCCAGCTGCTTGTTTTTGTAAATAATGTTTTACCGGAATCCAGCCACTCCCACTTGTTTACATATCATCCCTGGCTGCTTTTATGCTACAATGAAGTGGAGGGTTGAGTAGTTGAAACAAAGACCTTATTGCTTGCAAAGTCTGAAATAAACACACTCACACACACTGATTTATGTATAGAATATGTATACAAATATATCTTTTATTTATCTATTTTTTTGAGATTGAGTCTCGCTTGTTGCTCTGTCGCCCAGGTTGGAGTGCGGTGGCAAGATCTTGGCTCACTGCAACCTCTGCCTCCCAGGTTCAAGTGATTCTCTTGTCTCAGCCTCCCAAGTAGCTGGGATTACAGGCACATGCCGCCATGCCCAGCTAATTTTTGTATTTTTAGTAGAGATGAGGTTTTGCCATGTTGGCCAGGCTGGTCTCAAACTCCTGACTTTTAGTGATCCGCCTGCCTCTGCATTCCAAAGTGATGGGATTATAGGCGTGAGCCACTGTGCCCGGCCTACAAATATATCTTTTACAGCACATCTCAATTCCTATTAGCTGCATTTCAAATGTTCAGTAGGCACCACTGGCTAGTATCGGCTGTATTGGCCAACACAGATCTAAATTGCTGTATCCTTGGTACTCCTACCTCCTGGTACCTTATCAGAATAAGCATTCAATGAAGTTACCTTGGGTTAAACTGGCTGCAGGTGTGGGGTAAGTTAGCAAGGCCAAGGTAAAGCCATTTCCTTTGCAAGAAATAGACATGGACACATAATGTAATAGTCATGAATGTTTATCCATTAAAACAAAACTTTAGTAAAATAAAAAAGAAATCCAAATATCAAATTATTGTTAAAAGTGTCAAGTGATACACATGGTGTCTACCTCAGGAAAGTTTATGTGTCCACCCGCTGCCTTAGAGGCATTTGAAAAAGTATAGAATGTTGCCAGGGTCGCTCTCAATAATAATTCTAACTTATGATTTTGAATTTAAATTTTGGGTCCCAGCGGAGCAGTGCTGTGAAAGTTTCCTACCTCATTGTGTGTCTCTGTAGATAATTTCCTCTGCTTCCTGCATCTGTTTTCTTGGATTAGTTAGGTATTATACTAAAGTCTAGAATTCTTTTGGCTGCAGAGCTTTCTCTGCTGCTTCCCTTCCCCCCCAACCTACTTTATTGTGGGTGGGAAAATTTTTGTTGGGAGGGCTTGATTAATTAGAAGGGATTCCTGGCTTCCCTAGCGGTGGCAGCCTGGGAAGATTACAGAGCCTGGCTTAGTGACAGGCCAGTCTGTATTTAAGGAAAAACTCGGACCCGCCAGATTTCTCTGGAATGTGCATCTGGCTTTGTCTTCTACAGGGAATGTGTAATGATCCCCTCCTCTTTCTTCCCACCCATTCCAGGAGGCTAAACGCTTTTACTTTTGCTCTTGATGGGGTTGTCTACTTTTTATTTTGGGAGAGGGGAGGGCTGGAATTTAGGGGTGGGAAGCTTGAGTCGTTTTCTGAATCTAAAGTAAAAGATTTAAGGTTTTATTAATATTTAGGAGGAAAGGAGAGATTTTATTAAAAAAAAAAGAACTCCCTGCATCTTTACTATCAATGTTTTTCTTTCCACTCTTTCAGAGCAATTATAGTTTTATATTCTTCTCTGAATTTCAGTTAACCTTAGTCTTCACATTCCTTAGAACACCACAAAAAGAGAAATAAGCCTAAGAATTGACAATGATTTCCCCTTTATAGTAAAAGTATAGAGCAGCTCTTTAAACTTTCAGAGAAAGAGACAGTTGAATGGTAAATGGGTAATCACTAGGCTTTTGTCTTGCTAGTTTGCCTCAAGGAATCACTTAAATCCTGTGTCCTAGGTTTTTTCGTCTACTTAAATGGGAACGTGGTACTGACTATTATCAGTGCTCATTTGAAAATGGCTGCGTTGATTTTGTGTATCACATTGAAAAGATTTATGCAATTATTTTCATATCAATTGAGTTCTAGGTACTGATTTTTCTACACATTTTAAGAAAGAATAAAACTGAAGTGCCTAAACAGAATAAATCACAAACATTTTAAATGGTTATATTCCTTACTGGAAATAACTTTGGAGTGTGCAACCTTTGTCCCGAAGAATGATTTTACAGAGATTTGTCCCTGTGAAACTTTTAAAGTGAAAGAAGTACCTCTATATTTCTTCTCCTGATACTTAAAGTCTGCATCTTCCAATTCCTCCTTAATTTCATGTATTCCTTGTAAGAGCTTTATGTTTTAAAGACATACAGGGTCAATGCGAGTTTGCAGAGTGGTTGATGCTATGCCCAAACTAACATAGGATGCTGTTTTCCCATTCAGTATCATTGTTCTATTGCTTTGCTCATGCTGGAAGCTGTATTTAAGTAAGTATGTGCTGATTTCGTGAAAGAATTGAAATAAAATTAGTAAAAGTTTTCACACCAGCAGTCACCCAATGAGTTTTATCTCAGGCTTAGAGCTTTTAGATACCTTCTCACTCTGTAAGGCATCTGCTCTGAGTGTTGATGACTTTGAAACAAAGTTCTTGGACTTGAAATTAATTTTTTTTTTCTAAGAGTTCTCTCTGCCTTTCTGGCCAGACACCCAGTTTTCTAGGCTTCATTTTCCCAGTCCTTTCCTCATGTGATAATAGATAAACTAGTCTGTTCTTTTTTTGGATGACTAAAAATGTGTAAATACAGCTCTGGCTTCTTATCCTCCTTTTTAGTCTCAACTTTCCACCTGCCTCCAAGAAGTTTCTGCCTACATTGATCCCTAAAACTTCAAACAAAGAACTGAGTTTATCATGGCTTTCATCTAAGCTGATTTTTGCTTTGAAAGTCTCTGATGCTGCCTCCACACACCCTGGGCTTGCCAAATGATGTCTCGTCCTTCATTCTTTAGTCACTTACTAAACGCATTCCTGCTCTGCAGAGCATCTTGAATTTACTCCTCTTAGAAATTCAAGCCTTTATTGTCCTTGTTTTTATGTCCATGTTAATCTCTGAGGACCTCTGTGCCTCTCTTCTCTTACCATTCCAGTTCATCTAGACAAGTGCCAGGGTAATGTTTTCTTAACATCATATTCATCATGTTACTTCCTTGCTTAGGTGATCAGGGTAATTCCTTTTGTTTAAATGGATCTAATCTGAACTCTCCAGCTAGACGTAAGGCATTCTGATAATTACTCTCCCCTTCCTTTTTAACTTGGACCCATGTTTGTTTTCATCTTGGAACTGGGGAACGTGGCCCACTTATTCCTGTGAAACTAATGCATTTGCATTTCCTGCAGTCATCTGGCTTTTCTGTGGTTTTCCCTCTGTTTGCTATCTCTCACCTTTTCTTCCTTGGTCCACACCCTTCAGCTTTTTCCAAGCTTGACCAGTGAATGACTTGCTTTTTCTTTGTTACACATCTAAACCTTTCCCATATTGATTTCTCTCTTGCTATGTGTTTTTTTGACTGTTATGTGCAGTTTATGTTATGTTTTATATATATTTCCAATTTGTTTTCTTTCCTAAGAACATCATCTTGAGGTGATATACATCTGCTTTTATATACATTATGCCTAGCCACATTCCCTGGGAAGAAGGAGCTGTCCTATGCTTCTTTCATATCTGCACAGACCTTGAATAATCTAAAGCAGGGGTGTCCAATCTTTTGGCTTCCCTGGGCCACACTGGAAGAAGAATTGTCTTGGGCCACACATAAAATACACTTATACTAACAATAGCTTTAAAAAAAAATCGCAAAAAAAATCTCATAATGTTTTAAGAAAGTTTACACATTTGTGTTGGGCTGCATTCAAAGCCATCCTGGGCAGCGAGTTGGACAAGTGTGGTCTAAAGCATTTCTGAAGTGCCCAGTACCCCCCACTTTCCTTGTCCCAAAGATGACAAGTTTCTTCGTCTTGGCTCATAGAGAACAGGGAAGTCACTCCAGCTTTGGATTATTTCTTACTGGTCTTTTTTTCAGTTCCAGTCAGGGAATGTTGTAATCTTCAATTTGTGGTATATTTGTTTTTTTAAAAAAAAAATCATCTCAACCTATTTCTCCTTTTAGGAGTCCACAGTTCCACTTTGAAAATATTTTTAATAATTCTTTTGAAAATAATCTCTATTAATAATCAAGATGACAATCCATAGAATTTGCTTCTATATGCTTCAGAAAAGTAAAATGTTTCAGTATAATGGTTTTGATTGTCTAGACATTATATTTTATTTTAATAATTTCTTAGTGTTAGACCTTGATACTTTTAATTTTTTCCAACATATGTACAAAGCATGTGTTTTTATTACTTATTCTAGTGTAAAAATTAATTCTTACCAGAAAAGTAAACTCAGGATCTCTTACCAAATAGATGAACTCAGTAAGCACCTTGGATTCTCTCTGAGGGCTGTAGGGGGCATCATTGTTCCAATGTTTTATAAAGTATCTTCCCGCTGTGATCTAAAGAAGCACAGCAACTAAAGTGCTTTTACAGTCGTTGGCTCGTGCCCACGTTACTATGACATCCTAAATGCCTGTTTGTTTGCCTGGTGGTTGTATGTGCACACTTGCATCCCTAGCCTTTTATGAATGTGTATATTTAGATTGCTTCTGTCATAGAGTCCTCCTCACTAGGATGTACCACCACCAAACACCGAGGGAAGACAGTCCCAACGACGAAAACTATCCAAAGTGGCCCCAGGGAAAGCATTCTCAGAGTGACACAAGACTGCCTCTTCAGTACTTCCTTTCCAGATTCAGGAACCTGGAGATGATGGTCGGAGAGTAAGGATCCTCTTTGTCCTTTGAAAGCTTTGGGACCCCAGTTCCGCCCTGGTCCCAGCAGTAAGGGCTGGAGGGGGCCAGTCGAGTCTGGAAAGAAATCCTTGAAGTCATAGTTTTATTACCATTACTGCTCATCCGACTCACCTTTCCTTTTTGTTATTATTACTCTTAGTTTGGGGGATGCTTGGTTGAGAAAGTGAGGGATGGGGTAGCGATTGAGAGTGTCCTTGCAATTTACAGTCCCAGAGAATTCCATGGAAATGACATTCCATTGAAATGGCAAAAACGTACAGCAGCGTAGCCGTCATTAGCCAAATAATGTAACGATGCATAGTGTTTGCTAATTGTGCTTTGAGATACTTCTCTAGTAGTAGGCTCTTGGAATATCCATGATTAAGTAATACAGGAAGCTAGGCCTCTATATGTGTCACTTTGTCCCATGTGAGTGTCATGTGACAAAAACACTGATTTTCAGACTGTTGGAAATAATCAGGTTATTAATAGTTACCTTAAACACTCACATACACACATGCACACACTTGTGCTATATTTTGCGAGTTTAATATGAGGTGAAAAAAGAATGTCATGCTGTTTGTTCCACAGTGGAATAGCATTATATAGATTCTGGTAAGGTATGTACCAGGTCTAGCATCCGGATCCTTATTACCTGAAAAATTCACCATATGTTACTGATTAGTATTGAGATCATGTCTGGTTCTAAATTTTTGTGGTTCTCTAAATCTATTCATTTTACTCTAGGTTCTTTGATAGCACTTCTTGAAATTTAGATCATCAAGTCTTTGAGGAAAGGATTCTAGAAAATTAAAATATCAGACTTTTAATCAGGATTCCTGAATGCATGTTGTGGTTTCACTTTTGAAAACTGGATGACTTTGGGTGAATTTTATTACCCCTTTGAGCATCTTATTTCTTCAGCTATAAGGTAGGATTAACAGCAGTGTCTGTTTTACAGGGTTTCTTTTGGATATCAAATTAATATAAAAGACATAATGCTGTGAAAGTGGGAAAATAACATTTTATGCATGTCTTAGGCTGTCAGTAATTATTTTATTATCTTACAGTGACATGCTGTATGGTATTTGAGGGACTTGGCCTTGACTTATTTGTTCCTGGTCTCATAATTCTTGGGAGTGAGGAGTAGTCTAATTCTTTTCATATGTGAGGGCTCAATTAGCAAATCTTTATTTATCCTCATCATGCAAGGCCCTGGGTTAGGCACTATAGACACAGATGAGGCTGATGATTGCCCATCCCTAACCTCAGGTAGTTTGCAGTGAGAAATTAATGTGTCAAACTAATATCATTAAATAAAGGTTAGTGAAAAAGAGATACCAGAGCACCCAGCATAGCTGGGTTATGACCAGATGAGCCCAGTAATTTTTTTCAGACATGTTTCTGAATGGGATGTTGTGGAAAAGCCATAGGGCAGCCAGTCTGTTGGGTGCACTATTTGTTAATCAGTTTATACTTTGGGCTACAGTGGCAGGTGGTCAGGATTAGAAGTTAGGGTTGTTAGATTTTAGTCCTTGCTATTGATTCCTATCTAGGGGCAAGTCAGCTAGCCTCTTTTGTTTCCGTTATCTGTATCTGTGTGACAAAGAAGCCCCACTATTCTCATATTTCAATGGGTCAGAAAATCCAGCTGGGCAGTTTTTCTGCTTTATTTGTCTTTGGCTGGGGTCAATCACTCAGATGCATTTGGTTACTGACCAGGCTACAAAGCTCTAGAAGACTTCACTCACATGTTTAGTTCTTCTCAATGATACCCTCTCTCTTCACAAGGTGTCTCATCACTCAGTAATCTGGCTTGAGCTCCCTTACAACATGGCATCTAGCTTCCCCAGAGCACATGAAAGTGGAAGCTGCCAGCTTCCTAAGGGCTACCTCTGGAACTGGCACACTATTATTTCCACTGTATTCTATTGGGCAGCAAATCACAAGGTCAAGAGGAGAGGAAATAACTGCCTCTTGATGGAAGGAGCAGCGTACCTCCAGAGGAGGGAAGGGATTGTTGGTGGCCATCTTTGGAAATTGTTTAGTGTAGTTTTCTTATTTGTTTATTATAGTTTTCTTATCTATTAAATGAGATGTTGAATTAGGGAGTTTCTAAGGGCCTGTCAAACTCTACATTTCCGTAATACTATACTTTTTTTTTTTTTTGAGATGGAGTCTGGCTCTGTCGCCCAGGCTCGAGTGCAGTGGCACGATCTCGGCTTACTGCAACCTGTGCCTCCCAGGTTCACGCTATTCTCCTGCCTTAGCCTCCCGAGTAGCTGGGACTACAGTCGCCTGCCACCACGCCCGGCTAATTTTTTGTATTTTTAGTAGAGACAGAGTTTCACAGTGTTAGCCAGGATGGTCTTGATCTCCTGACCTCGTGATCTGCGTGCCTTGGACTCCCAAAGTGCTGGGATTACAGACGTGAACCACCATGCCCGGCCTGGTAATACTATACATTTTTATTTAAGGGATTTTTGTGTGCATGGTATAATGGAAATAATTTGGCCTTTGGAGGCAGAAAGGCCTGGGTTTGAACCAGGGCCTTAAGATTGACCAGCACCTTGGGAAGTGACTTGAGTCTTTCTGAGCTTTTGTACACATCTGTTAAATAATAGGGTTAATTAAATAGGATTAATGTTAACTCACTTCTATAATAATTGTCCATCTTAGCACAGAGTCACGACCCAGAAGGTGTTAGCACCCATCCCTTTTCCCTTCTTTGTTACCTGATACAGGCCTTTTAAAGCCAACAATAGTTAAAGATATTCATTGAGGTTTTTTTGTTTTGTTTTGTTTCATTCAAGTATAAAAATGTTTAGGTGTTTAATTGTGTTTTGCAGATGCTGGCTTATTTTTCTAAGACCAGGAGTTCAAACAAAACTGTTAAGTTTGTTTATCTGTTTTGTTGTTATAAATTGTCCTTAGAACATTGTTGCTATTAAGAAAGCAGGCTTAAAAATAACTTAATTTGAAAAATGCATTTTGGTCTGTGAACAGCTGAGTTATTTGGCATTCTAGTAACTTTTGTCTGGAAGAAAAAAATAGCTGTGGGGCATGGCCAGCATTCGGTCTGGCTGTTATACGCTGTGGTGGTACTTAGCTTGTGAACCAGGCCTGATAGGTGAGACTGGGCATGCACTTCTACTCACAGGCTAAATGGTTGAAACCACTGGGGTCAGAAAGCTCAGCAACTAAGGGCAGTAGGAGAAAAGAAAATCTCTGTTGTCTCTAAAGCACTGGTTCTCAGTGTATTCCCTGGACCAGCAGCATTAGTATCTCCCACAGTCATTGCAGTGATTTTATTGTACTGGTTATTGAGAGGGTTAAATAAAAGGATTCGTATAAAGTGTTTAGCACAGTACCAAGTAACCATTTTAGTAAGTGTTAGGCATTATTAGTAATATTCATCTTCATTGTCATAAATATTGATAATCATTGTGGTTAATATTTTTCTGCCAGAGTGTGTCTTGAAGCAGCTTATTCTGCAATTCTTCTTAAAACTGCCAGAGTTCTGTTTCTTTTTTTTTTTTTTGAGACAGAGTCTCACTGTGTCACCCAGGCTGGAATGCAGTGGTGTAATCACGGCTCACTGCAACCTTCACCTCCCAGGTTCAAGCAATTCTCCTGCCTCAGCCTCCCAAGTAGCTGGGATTACAGGCGCCTGCCACCACGCCTGGCTAATTTTTAAAAAATGTTTAGTAGAGACGGGGTTTCACCATGTTGGCCCGGCTGGTTGGTCTTCTTTTTTTTTTTGAAAGGAGTCTTGCTCTGTCGCCCAGGCTAGAGTGTGGTGGCGTGATCTTGGCTCACTGCAACCTCCGCCTCATGGGTTCAGGCGATTCTCCTGCTTCAGCCTTCCAAGTAGCTGGGATTACAGACACACGCCACCATGCCTGGCTAATTTTTGTATTTTTAGTAGAGATGGGATTTCACCATGTTGGCCAGACTGGTCTCAAACTCCTGACCTCAGATGACCCACCTGCCTCAGCATTCCAAAGTGCTGGGATTACAGGCGTGAGCCACGGTGCTCGGCCTCAGGCTGGTCTTGAACTCCTGACCTGAGGTGATCCATCCTCCTTGGCCTCCCAAAGTGCTGGGTTTACAGGCATGAGCCACCATTCCTGGCCAAAGCTGCCTGAGTTCTGATTAGTTCTTTTTAAAAGCTTATGAATGGTGTGCTGGTCTAACAATATTTCAAGTTGTCAAGTAAGAAGGAGCTTCTTACAAAAGCCCATCGTTCTGAACAAGATATTCTTCAGTCCAAAATAATATTGAGAGATCACATAACACAGCTATGCAGATATATTCTAAGCCCTAACTTCGTGGGAGTCATTAATGCCATTTAATGAGGCCCCATACAATGTCTGAACTCTGGAGTTTGCTTTTAAGAGCCATTCTTTCCTAGACCCCCTTCCCTTCTTTACTTTAGGTATTGATGTCCTCCATTTACATCTCTGTGGAGTTTTTTCCTTTTTCTTTTTTCCCCCGCTCCCATTTGTGGTCAAATAAGGATCATGGTTAACCCCAGAAGGAAGGCCAGATGGGCCTTGGGGGCCTGGGCTGGGGCTGGAGCCTCTCCACTTCCGCCGGCCGCCTTGTTCACTTCCTTTTTTTCCCTCCCTTACCACTATGTTGCAGCCAAACTTCCGAAGTGAAAAGCAGTTTATTCCATCTAATCGGGGCTGCTGAATCAGAGGTGTTGGGGGTGTTCCCTGGGATGATGCTGCCCTTTGGCCACTGATCTCTGTATCATAGCTTACCTCGGCCTCCCTCTGGCGCCACCATCCAGGACTGGAAGCATTTGCTTTTCCTCAGGGAGCCGTGGGTTCAGGCCATGGGTGGTGAGAGAGTCTCATCTTCTCCAGCTTCCTGGTCCTCAGACTTGAGTAACACTCCTTATCCTCTGTCTGTTGCCTTCTTTGGGCAAGCACGTGGAGCCGCTCAAGTAAAGCTGCTCTTCATTGGGAATATTATCTGCCAAGGCTAAGCCAGGATCCCTAGAGAGCATCCAAGTCAGGGCTTTCAGCAGAGTTCCCTGGAAGCACTGCATTCTGTGGAGGGCCAGAGCCAGATCCCTGTCTCTGCTCCAGCCGACAGCTCGGCCACCATCAGTTTGGTGTATTGAGGTCATGCATAGAATTTAACATTGAAAAACATCCTTGTTCAGCTCCTTCAGTGATGAGATGAGAATCCCTGGGGAGTGGAAAGTGAGGATCTCAGAAGTTGCCCAAGGGAACTTAGTGTCTTATTTAGAGTCATAATAACTAGCTTAGACTAGCGTAACTGCTAGTCAAGGCTCTTTGGAAGGAAGTAACACCCACGCAAACTACTAGAACTTGAAATGGGCAGTTTATGATAAGGGAGTGTGACTGTCTCAGCATACTGGCATCAGTGTGCTATTGAGCTGGTGAGGGCCTGGAGGTAGCTTCAGGTTGCCCATGGCCCTGAGGCAGCTTCACTGTGGGCCTCTCTTTGAGAAGTGGGATTCTGGTCTTTGCATCTTCCTTGTTATTCTCCCTCTGCTGGCCTCTCTCTGCTCCTTTGTTCATGTTGCAGAAGATAGTGGCTCCTCACCTCCCAAGTGACATATCCTACAAAACTGCTGCACTTTCTGCCCCAATAGCAAACTTCTGGAGGTGAATTTGGGCAGATGTCCACTTTTGCTTCATCGATTGTGGCACGGGGCAGTGTCACATGGTAAATACATGGCTGCCCATGCCCACCCTTGAGCATGACAGCTGTCAGAAAGAGGGGCATAGATTCCCCCAGAAGTTACATGATAGTACTTTACAATTTAGAGACTTTGCTGGAAAGTTTCTTTTTGGCAGTCTCATAGACAGGCCTTTTTACAGAACATAGTAATGAGCACTTACAGTTTGTAGAGAGGCCTCGGGGGCATCCAAGAGGTAGCTGGAATAATCTGACCCTTGAGAAGCTTCTCTTGGTTCCTGGGGATGACGATGGTCATAATTAACTGCTTTACTTACAACTTGGCAATGTGTTTTATTATCGGTGTGCATTTTGAAGTGTTTTAAGGTTTTTCACATCCCTCACTGTGTGTGTGTGTGTATATATATATCTGTTATGATAATTAAACCAAATATTGTAAAAGTCAAGAAAAGTGTCAAAGAGGATGTCATTCTACTAAACTTTTTTGAATGGCTACTCTTTGATGATCTTGTGAGTTGGGAGAGGACCCAACCTTCAGTAGCATGAATCTGGTCTTAAATCTTAAATTTTGAAGCACTGAATGCATTGCAAAGTGTCCCATAGTCATCTATGAGTGTGCATATTTGCTTTTGACTCAGCATTCCATTTGTACTTCCTCCACAACAAAAAATGCATTGTAGCTTTAGTATTTTTAATTGTCACCAAGTAGTACTGCTAGCCATTGTGCAAAGTCTACCAACAGCTGATAAAATGATTACATTTTTAAAGGTTGCTGGATGGAATCAGATGTTGCTGTATCAGTTCCTATGCCGCGTGTGTCTGTTTCACTTCCCATAATGACTGATTCTCCACCTGCCATGACAGTGCATTCTTGATCTGCTGCGCCCTCCTTGGGTTGGGGACTGGAATATTTATTTTTAGGAAAAGTTAAAATTATCCAGAGAAGGGTGCTTTCTGTAAAATTTACATGAATCAGCCTCTTATTGCAGAGATCATGGGAGATGTGTGTGTGTGTAGATAAAAAAAACTCAATGGAAAAATGTAAAACTGTTAAAGGGAAGGAATATAATGAACATTGTTTTACCCATCACTATCTTTAACATTGTGGGCACTTTTAAATTAACTAGTATTCAAACTAAATGTGTGTTTAATAAAAGTGAATGGTACTACATAACATTAATGCTTTTGCAGTTAAGCTAGATTTTCCAAATTTCAGCAAAACCAAGAGTCTTAGCTCCTTCCTTCAGTCTTCAGTTTAAATTCTAAGAAATATTATTCGAAGTTTAAGAGGTCTTATTAGGGCATTAATGTGGGTTTTCCCGTATCAAGAGCAGACACAGGTTTTTGGTGTCTTAGGTTCTAAAGATACCAGTGTTCCTTAGATTTCTGACCTGACTGTGAAGGGAATTCTCTTTTTTTTTTGAGACGGAGTTTCGCTCTTTTAGTGGCATGATTTCGGCTCACTGCAACCTCCGCCTCCTGGGTTCAAGTGATTCTTCTGCCTCAGCCTCCTGAGTAGCTGGGTTACAGGTATGCACCACCACGCCTGGCTAATTTTTGTATTTTTAGTAGAGACGGGATTTCACCATGTTGGTCAGGCTGGTCTCAAACTCTTGACCTCATGATCTGCTCACGTTGGCCTCCCAAAGTGCTAGGATTACAGGCATGAGCTGATTTTTTGTGTTTTTAGTAGAAATGGGGTTTAACCATGTTAGCCAGGCTGGTCTTGAACTCCTGACCTCAGGTGATCCGCTTGCCTCTGCCTCCCAAAGTGCTGGGATTACAGGCGTGAGCCACCGTGCCCGGCCGAAGGGAATTCTTGTTAGGCTATTGCACAGTTGTCAGATGGACCTGACTGCTTCTCATCTCTAGGATCTTGGTTCCTTCTCTCCAATATGGGGATAATAAGTGTCAATCTTCATGGGGTTGTTACATAAAAGGTTTCTAACACAATGCCTGGCAACTGGTAAGCATTTACCAAATAAATAAGCCTTAGCTTAATTAGTAATCAAAGATACCAGCTGGGAAACATATCTATTTTAAGATTATATAGGCTCCTTCTCATCCTCTTTGGGCATTTTATTTCAGCTGCTTAAGATGTGAAATCTGTGTGTTGTGGTGTTCCTTGTTACAATCTCCCTTTTTTTTTTTTTTTTTGAAACGGAGTCTTGCTCTATCGCCCATGCTGGAGTGGGAGTGGCGTGATCTTGGCTCACTGCAACCTCCGCTTCCCAGGTTCAAGCAATTCTCCTGCCTCAGCCTCCAGAGTAGCTGGGACTACAGGTGCACTCTGCCACGCCTGGCTAATTTTTTGTATTTTAGTAGAGATGGGGTTTCACCGTGTTGCCCAGGCTGGTCTTGAACTCCTGAGCTCAGGCATTCCACCCGCCTCAGCCTCCCAAAGTGCTCGGATTACAGGTGTGAGCCACCGCGCCCGGCCAAGCTCTCTTTTAAAAGCTTTTTTTGTGACAGCAAAAGAAAGGGAGCTAAGATTGACTACCTAATAAAGTAGGTGTTTTTCACATTTTCATGTGTTTCCTATTTAGTTCAGTAGGTGTTTTTCCTGTTTAGTTCTCACAACACTGTGAAGTACATGTTACTGTTGACATGTCACAGATGTGACAGGCAGTGAGATTGAGTAATTTGCTCAGTTGGGAGGTAGAGAATGTGAAAAGCAGGTTTCAAGCCTGGGGTCTCTGACTCAAAGGCATATGCTTTGATGAAGATCGAAACTCTAGCTACAAGCTTGTGAAGATATTAATTTAGAATCATCCTTGTCCAGTAATAACACAACTACTTATAGTGGTTTGTAATTTTAAACATTTTATTAATATTAACTATATTACATTTACTAACCATGTTAAAATATGTTCTCTTGGGAGGTAGGCAGCACAGGTAACATTGTTAAAGAAGGGGCCCTGGAGCCTCTGATTCTTGTTCTTTATTGTCCTTGCCCCTCAGTAAAAAATCCTTTAGGAAAACAGATGCGTTGATGACTGTGCTGGTCAAAGGTCAATTTTGGACCCCAGACTCCTTTGTAAAAGCTTAATGAATCTGACCAACTCTTCTAAGCTCTTCTAGAGGTAGCTGCCACTCCCAAGGGAGAGATTCTTGAGCTCCTTTGGCTTACCAAGTGGGATGGGGTGAGATGGTATGCAAAGAGGGAAGGTGAAAGAAAGAAGGGGGTCAGTCTTGGAGAAAAAGGCGTATTACCTCTATTCAGGTAGAAGCAAGAGAAAACTGCCTAAAACCTGGGATTCCAGGGATGAGCTTGCCAATCCTCCCCCTACTCAGGCCTCTGCCCAGATTCGGGACTGGCATTGGAGAAGGAGTTAGGGAGACCTTGAGAAGTGGTTAGGACGGTGGACTCCACCTAGAGGCAAGTAGTGACTCTGATTCCTTCCCATATGACAAACCAGCCTTCTGGGAAAGGTGAGGACAGTCTGGGTAAGTCATCTGCGGATGCAAAATGAAAATCTGTATTGTATAACTTCTAGGGTCTTAGTATACTTCTTTTTTTGTTTGGTAAATTAAAAACTGAAATGCATAAAGAAGAAAAATTTCCATATTCTCATCGCTCAAATTCCATATTTCTTTTTTTTTTTTTTTTTTGAGATGGAGTCTCACTCTGTCACCCAGGCTGGAGTACAGTGGCACAATCTCAGCTCACTGCAACCTCCGCCTCCTGGGTTCAAGCAATTCTTCTGCCTCAGCCTCCTGAGTAGCTGAGACTACAGGCGTGCACCACCACGCTCAGCTAATTTTTTGTATTTTTAGTAGACGGGATTTCACCATGTTGGCCAGGCTGGTCTTGAACTCCTGACCTTGTGATCCGCCTGCCTTGGCTCCCAAAGTCCTGGGATTACAGGCGTGAGCCACGTCCCGGCTCGAATTGCATATTTCTATTACTGTTAACATGTTACAGTATTATCATCCAGGCTCTTATTTAAAAACAGGCAAACAGAGGCCGGGTGTGGTGGCTCACGCCTGTAATCCCAGCACTTTGGAAGGCTGAGGCAGGTGGATTACAAGGTCAGGAGATTGAGACCATCCTGGCCAATGTGGTGAAACCCCGCCTCTACTAAAAACACAAAAATTAGCTGGGCGTGGTGGTGGGTGCCTGTAATCCCAGCCACTCGGGAGGCTGAGGCAGGAGAATCCCTTGAACCAGGGCGTCAGAGGTTGCAGTGAGCCAAGATGGCGCCATTGCACTCCAGCCTGGCGACAGAGTGAGACTCCATCTAGAACAAACAAACAAACAAAGCAGGTAAACAGATGAACAAAACTTGTTTTATAAAAAATGACCTATTTATTTTTATTATGAATAATTCAAAGAAGAAAAAGTAGTCACTCGGTTGGGTGCGGTGGCTCACGCCTGTAATCCCAGCATTTGGGGGGCTGAGGTGGGCAGAACGCTTGAACCCAGGAGTCTGAGACCAGCCTGGGCAACACGGTGAAATCCTGTCTCTACAAAAAAATACAAAATATTAACCAGGCATGGTGGCATGCACCTGTGGTCCCAGCTACTGGGGGATTGGGGCCGAGATGGGAGGATCACCTGAGCCTGGGAGGTTGAGGCTGCAGTGAGTTGTGATTGAGCTACTACACTCTAGCCTAGAGTTTTGGAAACAGCAGGACCCTGTTTCCAAAAAAAAAAAAGGAAAATCAGTCCAAATAACTTGATAGTGTTAAAAGAACATCATTCCGGATGTGTACTGTAGATTATATCATATGTACAGATGGAATGATTACAATTAAAGGTAGAAATACTTTTGTTAAATATGGCATATTATAGCTATTGTTTTAACTAAAAATATAAAACGTGATTTTACTTTAACAATAGATAAAAGAAGAATTGAAATATAAGGAATTGCTGAACCTCAAATTTCTTTTTCTCATGTAGATTTTCCTATAAGATTTCTTTGAAATTAAAATAGCCTAGAAATAAATAGGTTGAACTGATTTTTAAAAAATTAAATTTCAGTTTTAGATACTAGTGATTGATTTCTACATTGTAAGTATTTCATTTCCGGAATTGTTTCATGCTTGAGAACGTGTCCTCTTTGCCTTTATATTTGAATGATGCTTTAGCTGGGTGTAGTAGTCTTGGCTCTTACTTTCTTTCTCTCAGAGCTTTGTAACAACATTTTCACCACTATTATCTGATATTGAATATTGCTCTGGGGAAATGCAAAGCCAACTTAATATCTCCCTATTATATAGGTGACTTGTTTTTTGTTTTGGATATCTAGAAGACTTTGTATTTGTCCTTGAAGTATAAAAGCTTAACTATAACATCTCTCAGTGTGGAATATTCTTACAACTTTTTTTTTTTTTAAATTTTGATATGTGTACTTGTTTTGGTATGTTCATTCTTCAGAGACATTCTTTTTTAAAAAAGGTTTGTATAAATTTAGGGGGTTCAAGTGCAGTTTTGTTACCTGGATATATTGTATAGTGGTGATGTCTAAGTTTTACTGTTAAAGGAAAAGAAATCACTCTATTGAAAAGATGGCTGCACTTGTATGTTTATAGCATCACTATTCACAGCAGGAAAGATATGGAGTCATCTTAAGTGTCCAGAGAGATTCTTACATTGTCTCATATCTTGGAATCCATTGTCTGTTCCATTTCTTAAGTTGTCTTCTTCAGGGATCTGTTCTCCTATTAGATTATTTTTATCTGCCTTTCATTTTTATTAGCTTTTCTCTAATTGCTTCAATTTCCTTGTTTATTTTATTATTTTAAAATTTGAATTTGCCATGATTATGCAAACTTTCTCACTGTCAGTAAATTAGTTTTCAGGGATGTCAGCATCTTGTTTGTCTTGTTTTCCCTTATATATTAATGCTATAGTAACGCTGACTTTGATTCTCAATTTATTTCCTTATTTTCCCTATGTTGGTTACCTATTTCTGGTCACCAAATTACCCCAGAATTTAGCAGCTTATATTGACTCACAATTTTTATGGCTTAGACATACAGGCATAGCTTAGCTGAGAGCCCCTTGCTCAGGGTCTCTCACAAGCCTTCAACCGGAATGTCAGCCAGGGCAGCATTGTTCTTAACGCTCAGTCGCGGGGAGGATCTATTTCTAAGTTCACTCTTGGGTGCTCCCCAGCTGTTGGCTGGAGACATCTGTTTCTCAACAAGTGGTCCTCTCCATAAGGCAACTCACAACATGCGGCTGGCTTTCCTCAGAGCAAGCAAGAGAGGGTGCCCAAGATGGAAGCCACAGTCTTTTTGAAATCTAATCCCAAAGTGATATCCCATAATCATCTCTGTCACATTCTATTTGCTAGAAGCAAAACACTCAAGAGGAGCAGATTATATAAGGGTGTGAAAACCAGGAGGCAGGGATCAGTGGGGGCCACTTAGAAGCTGTCTTCCAAGCTCCCTTTTTCATTTTACTTTGGTCATAAAACTTTGGGTTCTCGATTGATTGATTTTTTCCTGCTTTTCCTACGGCTCTAAGTGCCTTAAGCAATTGGTTTCTCATATTATGTTTCCTTTTGGGTTGGACATGTGCCTTTTTGCATTGTGCTTTTGGTAGAATCACAGTGAAAGCCATGCCATTTAATTTAATCGTGGTCTTATGCGGCTCTTTCATGCATTCTATTTGTTTTGATATCATGTGAGTGACTTTATAGTCTTCCCTCTTTATCTGAGGCCAGTTTGATTTTTCTTCAAGCTAAGTTTGAGGACTGGGTATTTTTGGCTTGATCACTTTCCTGAGCCTGTAAAGAATGGTCCCTGGAGGAAGCAAGCACAGTTGAGGTGAGGTGGTTATACACTAGATGCCTGGATCCTACTCTCTTCTGAGGTTGTACTAGAGGTACTGTGTCAGGGTTTACTCCTTGTTGGGGAGAGTGGGGTAGGGTGAGATCCTCTGCCATGGGAACATCCTCCCTGTTGTTAACTCTGCCTCCCAAATAGCCATTCCCTATACTTCATAGAAGGAAAGCGTATTTGCAGAAGTGGGCAAATGGGCTAAGAGACCTTTTAGAAGTGTTCTAAAACTAGATTATGGTGACAATTGCACAACTGTATAAATTTACTAAAACTCATCAGACTGGAAACTTAAAACAGGTGAATTTTACGACATAAAATTGTACCTTAATAAACCTATTTTTAGAAGCCATATCTGTTTAGTGTGCATTTTTCCCGAGTTAGAGGCATTAATAAGAATTTTCAGAATGGTGATGATGCACCAGTCCCAGCCATTCACTGTTCATGTTTATTCATTTATTAGAGCATACACTGTTCATGTTTATTCATTTATTATCTATAGTGATACGTTATCTATGTATTATCTATATATCACCACAGATAAAATTAACAACAGAAAGATAAGTTTTTTGTTTGTTCGTTTGTTTGTTTTGAGACAGTCTCGCTCTGTTGCCCAGGCTAGAGTAAAGTGACGTGATCTCAGCTAACTGCAACCCCAGCCCCCTGGGTTCAAACAATTCTCGTGCCTCAGCCTCATGAGTAGGTGGGATTACAGGAGAGTGCCACCATGCCTGACTAGTTCTTTAGTATTTTTAGTAGATGCGGGGTTTCACTATGTTGGCCATGCTGGTTTTGAACGCCTGGCCTCAAGTAATCCACCCACCTAGGCCTCCCAAAGTGCTGGGATTACATGCATGAGCCACTGCGCTTGTCCAAGAAAGGTAATTTTGTAATTAGTATGGGATGAGTTAGTTTGTTCTCTTTAGTTTTACTAGCAAACAAAATGATTATCAAGAAAGTTCTATAGTATTGATTGGGTAATACATAAATGAAGAATTCCTCATGAATGTTGCAAAAATGCAAATTAATTTTAATTACATATTACAATTTAATTTTAAATTTTTAAATGTTTAATTACATATTAAAATCCTGACTATAAAAAAACTAGTAGCAAAAAGGAAACCATTTTAAGATAATGCTTTCCCAAAAGGAGTCTATGATAATGATGGAGTTCAGGCCATGCGACCCCAAAGTATGGCACATGTGAAAACAGCAGAAGCATTAGTTCATTTTCCCCTCCCCCCACCCTTCTCTTCTAAAGGAGGTCATAAAACCTAGGAAGGAGTTTCTGACCTTCCTCTGAAGCAAATCGTAAGACCTTATTTGAGAAGTGCCCTCTCTATACCCAGAGGAAAGGAACATCCTTATCTCTGAATACAAAGGGTCACAGAGAAAAGTCTGAACAAACATACTTTGCTATGTTTCCTCCAGTTTATTACCATTAGATCATACTTTTAAATCTAATCTTACTTATCCACAACTATCCACTTATTCATCAAACCTAGCATAAAAATATACACATTTACTCCTATATTCAGATCTTCATTTCCTTAGGAAGGCTCCCATGTCACACTTATATTAAGTAAATTTATGTGCTTTTCTCTCGTTAATTTGTCTTTTGTTTTAGGGGCCTCAGTCATGAACCTAAGATAAGTAAGGGAAAGATATTTTTCCTCCCCTACAATGAGATAGCCTTTTATTTATTCATTCTGATAGCAAAATATAGCATCTAGTAGAGTCAGATCTTGATGGTCTTTAGGTTATAGATAGATACATTGTCAGTGAAGGAATTAGTGTATAGTGTCACTGAAGAAATAGCCTTCACTTCCTCCTTTAGCTAGGAGTTTCATTCACTTATCTAAGAAGTATCTTGAGGGGAGCTCATTGCTTTGGTATCTATTAGTAGTATGCCAAAAAGAAATATGGCCAGCTTCTCAATGGTCAGCTTTTTAGTAAATAGATGGGTGAAGACTTCTCTCTGCTTGTCACTGTGTGAGGCACACAGTGATACCAAAATTGTGAGGTCATTGAGGGAAAGGCTATGTCTGATGAATTCGTTTCACATCTCCAGTTTTTAATATAGGTGCTCCATAAATATTTAATGCCTAAGTGAATGAAAGAATAAGTAAGACATAGTCCTCACCCTTAAGAAAAGATATGCTTTTATTATCCTCAAGAAAAGTATATGCTAGTTAGACAACTAAGTCATACACATATGAAAAAGATAGCTAGTAACACAGGGCCTCATATAATCCCAAGTATTCAAATTGTCCATATAGTGCCTGAAGAAGATGACAGTGGCTTGGACTGCTCAGAAAAGCCTGTGGAGTTGGTGGTACCCATGTGGGTACACCTGAATTCCTGACAAAGAACAGAGAATGCACACAGGGAGAGTGCACTCAGAAATGAAGGTAGAAATGAAGATGGCTTGAATGGGGGACCTCGAAGAGACAGGGCTCACTGAAGCCAAGGGGAGACCTGGGAAACAGAGTTGGATGGAAAGAGTGACTGAAGATTGTAGAGGGGCTTTAAAGCCCAACATACGAGATTAGCCTTATATTTTTAGGCATTAGGGAATCAATGGGTTCTTGAGTCAAGAAATGATTACATTAAAATTTACAAGCTTGTTGGGGTTATTGATTGACCACATGGATAATTGGGCTGTTTTTTGTATCTCTTATGTGCAAGATGCTTATACAGTTGACCCTTGAATAACATGGGGGTTAGGGCTACTGACTCTCTCTATGCAGTTGAAAATCCACATACAACTTTTGGTTGGGCATGGTGGTTCATGCCTGTAAACCCAGCACTTTGGGAGGCTGAGGCTGGCAGATCATTTGAGGCCAGGAGTTCAAGACCAGCTGGCCAACACGGTGAAACCCTTTCTCTACTACACTGTCTCTACTAAAAAAACAAAACATTAGCCGGGCATGGTAGTGCACACCTGTAATCCCAGCTACTCAGAAGACTGAGGCAGGAGAATCGCTTGAACCCAGGAGGTGGAGTTTGCATTGAGCCCGAGATCGCACCACTACACTTCATTCAGCCTGGGTGACAAAGGAGACTCTGTCAAAAAAAAAAAAAAATCACTGATAACTTTTGACTCCCCCAAAACTTAACTACTAATAGCCTAGTGTTGACCAGGAGCCTTACTGATAACATAAATAGTCCATTAACACATATTTTTATGTTATATGTACTATATACTGTATGCTTATTATATAGTAAACTAGAGAACATATACTGTATGCTTATTATTTAGTAAACTAGAGAAAAAAGGTTAAGAAGATCATAAGGAAGAGATAATATAGTTACTGTTTGTTAAATGGAAGTAGATCGTCATAAAGATCTTCATCCTTGTTATCTTCATATTGAGTCGGTGGAAGAAGAGGAGGGGTTGGTCTTGCTGTCTCAGGGGTGGTGGAGGCAGAAGAAGTGGAGGAGGTAGGATAGGCAGGAGAGGCAGGCACCCTCGGTATAACATTATTGGAAAAATCTAGGTACAAATGGACCCATGCATTTCAAACTCATGTTGTTCAAGGGTTAACTGTATATTCAAGAGGGTTTGTTTATTTAGTTCTTAGTTTTCTTTTTGTTTGGCATCTTAACTAAAATAATTATCAACTCCTTGCTTAAATTTTTTTTTTTTTTTTTTACTAGGTAGGCATCCTAACACAGTCTTGCAAAAAATTGTTTTATTTGAAACATTCAGGCTGAAATTAATTGAGGGCATGTTATATGCAGGACATCACATAACATGTTGTGAAGGAGTTCAGAGATGAAGACATTACCATGCACAGAGTGGTTAGACTATTAGAACGGTAGTGATGAAATGCTGCTGGAGTTGACAGGAAGAGAAGGAGCTCTTTGTACCTGAAGAATCAAGAACTGAAAGAGATGGAACTGGTGTGCCAGGCTCTTTCCTATATACTTTCCTTAAACCCTCACAACACCCTGGTAAAATTTTTAATTCCTACATACATACAGAGGAGAAATGAGGTTTAGGGGGCTAAATACGCATGTGAACATGCGTATTTAAATCATAGGTTGGGACAAATTTGCAAATAGAGGAAATATAGACAGGAAAGGCCATCAGTTCATATAAAATAGCTTGTTATTGTTTATATCTTCTCTGGGATAAATGATCATGCAGAGTATATAGCCAGGATAGCCCAATGTCCCTGTTTACAAAATTTTAAATTCTAAGATAGTTAATAGCCCTTCAAATATTACTTGAAATCAACTTACATTAAACGTTCAACCCTAGCAAAGATTTCTTAGAACATTTAAAAATTGTTCTTTTGAAAGGATTCTAGCCTGAAAGAAAATTCTGTTAGAAGAAAGTAATGCCTGAATCTCTACATTCAAACTTGCTCTGTTTTTTTTTTTGAATAATCTCTTGAGGGTACAGTTAAGTGTTGATTGTTCATTTGATCAATTGATTCTGATTCACTTCAGTTTTTTGGGCGTTCACATCTCACTCAGTAAACAG
This sequence comes from Homo sapiens, assembly GCF_000001405.40. Classification (NCBI taxonomy): domain Eukaryota; kingdom Metazoa; phylum Chordata; class Mammalia; order Primates; family Hominidae; genus Homo; species Homo sapiens. The sequence continues at coordinate 10,487,040 of NC_000020.11, forward strand.
AGGTTTGGATTAGAGCCGCCTGCACGCTTTTCTAACTCTGAATGCCTCTGTTCTCTGTAGAAAACTATTCCTTAAAGCAGTAGCTCTTTAAGAGTTAAAAACAAAAACAACAACAACAAAATCAACATCCAGTCTAGTCCTGCTCAGCTCTTATTTATTCACTTTTGGAACTGTGATACTTGTTAGATCTTGTGCAGTAAAACATAACTCCCAGTTTTCCAAGGCCAGCTGTAGATCAGGATTCTAAAGGCCTTAATGGAAAAGGGTGGGTCATGTGTTTGTCAAGAGGCCACTTAGAGAAATCATTTCCATGTAATTTTTAATACAGTTCTTTGGATAGACTTTTTATGACTCAGTATTACAGATGTCATTAATTTGTAATGGAAAATAGTGAGACAATATGACAATTATCTTCAGACTCAGGCATACTTAGGCAGCAGGGTGAGTGATGATTGAACTGTTCTAACAGTTAGGTTGCTGCAAAGTGCCACTGCCGGGATGAAGCTCTCAGCCGAAGCACTGATGTTGCAACCCAGCCATGGACCTGGGTGTCTTGATTAGTCAGCCACTTGATATGTAACTTGGGCAGCAGAAGGAGACTGAGACCTGTTGGGAATCTGAGGGCCTTGAGGTTTCTTCTCGCACACATGTTTCTTTTCCAGGCATGCTGAGATGCTCGAGAGGGCGGTCTTGGGCAAAATGGGAGAGTAGATTTAAGTTGTTTTTCTTCCAGTCATATTTCTTGCATGTTCGCTGAACAGTAGGTATTTTAGACATGAGGGCAGGCATATTGCAGAAATATTTCAGGCATTTTTGTGAGGGAGGAAGTTAGGATACATTGGTGAACATTAGTGACCAAATGGAATGATGATTTCCTTTTCCTGGCATTTGAATGTTTCATTGTCCTTTGTGAGATATCAGTTTTTTGTGGGCGGAAGTCATTTCTGACTTTGTAAGTAGGACCTATCAGCTGTGGTAGCAGAGAAATCTTATGAATAAGAAAGGCCACTGTCATGCATTGGGAGACCTGGGTTCTCTCCCCAGGTCCCAACAGAGTTCTGCTCATAGTCCTTATTATGGGTTGAAATATCCCTTCCCAAAAATGTATGTTGACATTCTAACCCTTCAGGACCTCAGAATGTGACCTTATTTGGAAACAGAGTCTGTAAAGAGGTAAATGAGGTCACTAGGGTGAACCCTAAACCAATATGACTGATGTTCCTATAGAAAGGGGACATTTGGACACAGAGACAGCACACACAGAGGGAAGATGATGTGAAGACACAAGGATAATGCCATCAACAAGCCAAGGAACACCTGAGGCTACCAGGAGCTAGGAGAAGAGGCATGGAACAAATTTTCCCTCATATCCATACTCAGAAGGAACCAACCCTGCTGACACCTTAATTTCAGCTTCTGGCCTCTAGAACTGTGAGAGAGTACATTTCTCTTGGTTTAAGCCAAGAGAATCTGTCTTTTGGTACTTTATATCATAGCCTCAGGAAGCAAATACAGCCCTGATTCCTTCAAAGTTGTAAAATGCTGAGCAAGCCTCTCAGTCTCCTCGTCTTCTGCTTCCTTATTTGTAAAATAACAGTATTGGGGTAGATGATGTCAGGACCTTCCTGCTCTGACATCTGATGATTAACACTTCAAAGAGTGCATTTCATTTCCAGAGAAGTAATTGTTATATTTCTTAATATAGCTAAAATAAGCAAAGAATATGTTTTTTTCAGTTCCCAATTTTTTTTCTTTTCATTCAAGAGTCATTGGTGATAGACACTTCCCTTGAGCTGAAATATTGGGCAAGGCTGTCCATTTCAAGTTGACACACTGAACAAATGACAGCATGTCTAGTCTGTACATGATTATAATATATAACCAAAGAACATACCACTTAAAAGCATATAGCTGTTTTCTGCTGGTTTGGGGTTAGCATAGTTTGGATGTCATTTCATGAATTTTCCTTCCCTAGATTTGTAGAATGATTTCTTTTAGACGTCCACAGGCTTGTTCTAGTTTTCACAAGGGAACCTGCCCATAGAAACAAGCCACTCAGGTATTTGCTAGATGCCTTACCTCCATAAACAGTAGTGCAGCAGCAGCCTGGAATCGTGAAGTGTAGTTCATGCCAAACGTTCACATAAGTCGAGGAGTTCTGTATGGGGTCATTCTTCTTACTTGACTTGTCATTAGGTTATAGTTCGGTCCACTAATGTAGACAAATCAAGACATTGTACTTGGTGCTGTCCCAGAGGAAAGCAGTGAGGAAACCACCACCCCCCTCTTCACCAGTTATCTTTCCCTACAAAATGGGCAGCTGAAACCCACAAGATACATTTTAAATAATACCACCTAAGGCCTTCTCTTTAGATTTTATTTTTCTCTTGCTTTTCCTTTAGTTCCTAAGTTATAGTGGATAATTTTTTTTAATGGGCCTTAAACTTGCCATTTGACTCAAAGTATAGAGAGGAAATCTTTAAAACAAGATGTATGAAATGTTTGATACCATTTGCCCTTCTGTCTAAGGCTCTCTTCCTAATTTCCCCAGAACCCTTTTATACCTTCTTGCTCTGTAAAAATATTCCCTCTCCTCAACGTGCTAGCACAAGAGTAAGGGGTCAGGTTAGGCTTAGGGATAGAATTTAGAAGGGGAGTGGGATTACCCATGGTGACATGTGTCTGGATGGGCCTCAATGGCTTCTATTTCCTTTGTACTCCTCAGTGAGAGGGAAAGGGAAATGGTTAACATGAGGACAGTTTCTCTGAATTCAGCTAAGTTAAGATAGTGGTATTATTCACACATTTAATGAAGCTTACTTGGTTCTTTAAGAATTACCGAGTTATCTTCTGAAGGTGTTTTAACACATGCAAATGTTTAAATCTGGTCTCTGATTTAAATTTTCTTCTGCACTTAACTCTACCCCACCCATACATCTTTCATAGGTAAAAACAGGGAAGGGCCAAAAAAGTTCTTAGTGTTAATATCTAATTCTAAGGAGGCCATGATGAATCACCTGTATGGATTATGAATGACACACCTTGGAAAAACTCTATCACCATGAAAGGCCTTAAAAAAGAATCCCTATCATGCAAACCTAAAGAACATGTTTCAAAAGGAGATATTTTTAGTATTTAAAGTAGTGGAAATTTCTTTTTTTTTTAGACTAAAACTAACTTTGGATAAGTCCATGTATAAAATTCTTTATGAGTATTTATAATATCATTTTGTTTATGAATAAAATATAATAATTAAAATATTCCATTTCCGGGTCTGTCCCAGAATCCTCCTTCATGCTGGTTCTGTCTCCTCAGTGGCTTAGAGCAGTGGTAACAAAGATGTTCAGCTTAATTTGGGTCCGTGTGTCTTCCTGTAACATCTTTCTATAGTGTGAAATGTGGGTTAAAAATAAGTCATCCCCTCCCACCCCCTGCTTTAGATTAAGATTCACAGTCTCATAGAACCTTCTGACCTCACATTGAGACTGGTCACTCAGTTAGTTTGTGAATTTTCCTGACTCTACTTCCTGCTCTTTTTTTGGGTAACCTATTGTTTTGGCATTTTATTTCTTTGTGCCTTTTCCAGAGGATCCAGAAAGAATGGAGAGACTTGAAACCCAACCCATCTGTGTTGCTGTTAGTTAATAGAGGTTGAAAAGATTTGGTAGGTCTGCAGTTTGAAATTATTGGCCATATAGTGACTTACAGTGTTTTTTTCACCATTGTTTTGTGGTTTATTTGAGAGTCTCTGTCCATTCTCCTTCTCCCTGTGAACATGGCTTCTGGTGGTGAGAGCCAGTTTGCATTCATTCTTTGATGTGAATGCTCTGATTCAGTAGCTCTCAACTTGTTTTCTGCTACAACACAGATGGCTTTCACATGCCTCACACCCTCACAGGGGGGTATCCAGGGTTATGCAAAATTGAAGCAAGCTACTTGTAATTCCACCCCTCTCTTCCCCATTCAGGATAGTCCAGGAGAAAGCAAACAAGAGAGTGGTTTTGTCACGTTGCTGTCAGTAGGCTCCACTTTAAAAAAAAACACAGGTTGTTACACACTTTGGTACTTGCCTCTTGTCTTGCTTTGTCACTTGCAGATGTAATTCTTTAAAATAATTTGTGTTTTAAATACTTAATAAAATGGCTAATCGCATAAGGAACACCCTTGTACTTATTTCGCAGTTTAAACATTTCATCACATTTTGCCAAACATAATACCCATCAACTCTTCTTAAAGGAAATGAAGAAATTAATGCCTTTATATTTTCTCCTATTTCTCCCTCAACTCCCCTGTTTTTTTCTCATATTCTTACTTTGTGCAGCCAAGTAATCATATTCATGATTCTCAGCTCTAACGTTCTTCAGAGCTTTCGGACCTTGCTCCTTTGTCTTCTCCATGAACCAGTGTGGAGAAGCATTAAAGTCATCTCAGGTTTCCCCCATTTCAACTCAATTTTGCTGTCTGCACAACTAGAGAATGTTCAAGTTCCAGAACCTAACCATCTTTTTAGCAATTATGCTTATCACTTTTCCCCAAAGCATGGTGCATCTTTTACATCTGAAGATTACTTTCTTTTTTAATTCCAAAAGTGATTCTCTTATTAAATCTTTAAACTTATGTGTTATGTAATAATTTGATACATATTGAATAATATTTATCATGTTTATGGAAACTATGAGGCATAATTATTTCAAAAGAATTCAAGAACTCATTGTTCAACGTAATAGTATCTACTGGTATCATTGGGTTAAAAAATTGTAAATATATTTTAATACCCGTGTATGTCTCCTCAACCTATAAACTCCTCACTTACCCCAGAAGTAACAGTTTTCCTGAATTTGGTATGTTTTATTTCTATATACATTTTCCTGCCTTTTCTACAAGCAAATGTGCTCATAAACAACATTTGGTATTGATTTGCACATTTTCAAAGTTAGTATAAATGGTACATGCTGTGCATAGTATTAGGCAGTCTGCTTTTACTACTCATTGTTATGTTGGCTGTGGATACATGTAGCTTTAGTGAAGGATCTGCTACATAGTTTTCCTTTTTATAACTCTATGCCATTTATTTACCCGTTTCTGCTGAATGTTTAAGTTTTCCCTAATTTTGTGCTATTCCCAACAGTTTGTGATGAATGTTCTTGGGTGTGTGAATAGGGAGAAGGTGCACAGAAATACTGGCTGCTGTAGGGGATGTGTCCTGGAGTGGGATTGCAGAACTACAGAACATGACTCAGGCTCAGCCTCAGCCTCACTGGACAGTGTAAATTACTCTCCACAGTAGTTGCGTCAGTTTCCCCTCCCACCAGCCATATGAGAATTTCCTTTTCTTCATATCTTTGGGAATTCTTGGTATTGCTAGAATTTTTACTTTTTCCAATCTTATGGGTGTGAAGTGATATCTTACTGTTTATTTTTATTTCTTTTGTTGATACCTGGTTCATATCTTTTACTCATTTTTCTGCAGGACTGTTTGTTGTTATCTTTTGACATAACTGCTATCTATATAGTGATCTTTTGTCATTTATATTTGTTATAAATACTAATCTGTGACTTGTCTTTTTACTTTGTCTCCAGTGTCTTTGTTGAAAAGAAGTTTTAAATTCTAATATGGACTGATATATCAGTCTTTTATGGTTTGTACTTTTTAGGTCTGCTTGAAAGTATCTTTCCAACCAAAATGTATCTAATATATTCTTCAAAAATTTTAGGTTTTTGAAAATATTTAGTTCTTTAATTCATCTGGTATAGTTTTTACTTCCCAATGGATAATTAGTTATCTCAGAACAGCTTATCCTTTCCCCGTTGAAGTGTAATGTTCCTCTGTCATATAGTATGATTCTAAATAGACATATTTTTTATGTACACATTATCATTTGTCTCTTTCTATGCTAATACCAACTGTTTTGATTACTGTAACATTATCACAAGTCTTTTTTTTTTAAGAGATGGGGTCTTGCTATGTTGGCCAGGCTGGTCTCAAACTCCTGGCCTCAAGCAGTCCTCCTGCCTTGGCCTCCCACAGTGCTGTGATTGCAAGTGTGAGCCACTGCCCCTGGTGGTATGTCTTTTCATCTAGCAGAACAAATCTTTCTACTTTTTTCTTTTTCAACATTGCCTTGGCTACTCTGTGACCTTTGATCTTCCTTAAACATTTGGGATTTTGATTTAAGTAATATTGAGTTCGTAGATTAATTGGGGAGCATTGCAGTCTTATGATTCTGAGTCTTGTCTTTGAACTAGGTCCATAGAGGCCTTAAATAAGATTTTTTATTAGGTCTGTTTCCAGGCATTTTTTTCGTTGTTGCTACTATAAATTGGATATTTTATTCTATTACATTTTATAATAGATTATCACAGGATTTAGGACAATTATTCATTTTTTAGATTGATGTTGAAACCACCAACCATATCGAACTCCCATATTTTAATAGTTTTTCCAAGATTCTTTTGAATATTTTATGTATAGTCAACATCTACAGATAAGGTAACTTTTGTCTCTTTCATTAAGTTCTTTTTTTTCAGCCCTTTTAAATGCATGAACATTCAATTCTTATATATCCATTTTCTATTTCTTGAATTATTGCATTGCCTAGGACCAATGCAATGTGAATAGAAGATGTAGTGGTTATTCCTGTCTTGTGCCTGACTTTAATGGAAATAATTTTAAAGCCTTACTATTAAGAGCAATGTCTGCGTCAGGCTTTGATACATAACACATTTTAGATGAAAAATGTTTCCTACTGGTCTACTTTGCAACTATGTTGTCTTGAAAATGAGTGTTAAACTTTACTGAAGTGTTTTTTTTATAGTTGCCTTTTTTTTTTTTTTTTTTTTTTGAGTCAGGGTCTTACTGTGTTACCCAGACTGGTCTCAAACCTTTGGCCTCAAGTGATCCTCCTGCTTTGGCCTCCCAAAGTTCTGGGATTACAGGAATGAGCCACCACACCTGGACTTGAAGACTTTTTAAGAGCATTTATTGAGATGATCGTATTTTATCCTTTAATATCTCAATACGGCATTTAGTAGATGTGTTGATCTTACAATTCCTGGGATAAACTCTGCTTTGCTTTGACAGTATAATTTAGCATTATTGAAACTTTTTATGAATGAGCTTTCTTTTTTTGTTGTTGTTGACTTTGTTACTAATCTCGTTAAATGATGGATCACCCCTTTAAAAGTATTCTGTAATAGTTTGTAATTATCCATTTTTTGAAGACTTCATAAAACTCTCTCGTGAAACTGCCTGGGCCTGTGGTTCTAGGGCGGAGGATGGAAATAAAGCTTTTTGATTATTTAAGATTATTATTATTTATATTACTGTTATAATATCATTATTATATTTATATTATTATAAGTTTCTTTAATGCTTATTGGTTTGTATACAATATAATGCTTTTGAGTCTGTTATTAATATTTTTCTAGAAAAAGTTATTTCATCTGTTTTTAGATATATTGACATAGAATTGAGTTATAGTTTTCTCTTTTAATTAAATAAAACTCTGTATTTAACATTATCCTCCTTTTTATCCAATATTGTTTATTTGTGCTAGACGTTTGCCTGCTTAGTTTTTCTGGTGAGCCAGAATTTGGTTTTGTTAATATTTGCTGTTTTTCTTATTTTCTGCTTAATTTCTACTTTCTTCCTTTTACCCTCTTGCTTTTTCCCTTCTTCCTCCTATCTCCCCCTGGCCCTACTCCCACTTTGTCTTTCTGTCTCCTCCTCTTTCTTTAGTTTACTCTATTTTAGGCTGAATTGATTTTGATTCCTTCTTCTGTCTTAGAAAGTACATATAATAGAGTTTGTGGAGTGATGGAGAGATGGCCATCAAGGGGTACAAAGTTTCAGTTAGGAGAAATAAGTTCTTGATGTGTTGTACCTCATGGTGACTATAGTTATTAATAATGTATATTTCAAAATTGTGAAGACTAAATTTCAAATGTCTCACCACAAAAAAAGACAAGTGAGATGATAGATATGTTAATTAGCTTGTTTAATCATTCCACATTTTTCCCATTTATCAAAACATCACATTGTACTGAATAAATACATACAATTTTTATTCATCGATTAAAAATAATGAAAATACGTATATGACTGTAAAATATATCTAAGAGTCACTTTAACTGCATGTTACAGGTTTTGAGATATAGTACTCTCAACATTATTAATTTCTAAGTATTTTGTGATTGTCATTGTCATTTTCTCCTTACTGTCTGATTTTTTTAAGATTGCATATTAAATTTCTCAAATACCTTTTGAGAATATTTTCTATTGTCAGTTTCTAATTTAACTGCCCACATTATGGCTAGAGGATGTGGTCTGTGTGATAACCATTGTTGGAAATTTGTTGAGACTTCCTTTCTGATCTGGTACATGGTCGGGGTTTTGTAAATGTTTAAAGTATAATTAAAAAGAATTCGTAGTCCAGATTTATTAAATGTAAGATTCTATTAAATAATCAGATAAGTTAATTTCACTATTTATTAATGTTTTTGCTTAAATATTTTGCCTGGTTTTTCAGCTTCTCACTATAGTAATAGATTCGTCACATTTTCCTTATATCTTGTCAGTTTTTGCTTTATGTATGTTGAAGCTGCACTGCTAAGTATAAACAAGTTCATGATTATTCTATCATCCTCATAGATTTTTCTATGTATATTGTTAGGTATCCATCTTTAGTAATTCTGATGGTTTTCCTTTAAGATTCTGTTTTGTCTGCTATTAATATTTCAGTATTAACATTTCTTCACCTGTTTTTCTTTTGGTTAAAATTTGTAAAACATTTACTTTTCAAGCCCTTTCTGTGCATTCTCTCTGATAAGTGGCAAATAGCTGGGTTTTTTTTTGTTGTTGTTATTATTTGGTTGATTTTTAATTTTGTTTCATTTTTGGTTAAATTTTTAAAGACATTTGCTTTTTCAGCCCTTTTTGTGCATCTTCTCTGGTAAGTAGCAAATAGCTGGGTTGTTTCTTGTTGTTGTTTGGTTGATTTTTTTTTTCTGCACCTATTCATTGGTTCCATTTATTGCAAATATTAATGTATTTGGACTTATTTCTACTACATTATATTTTTTGCTTGCCATTCTTTTTCTTTTTAAATTATTTTATTTTTGTAATTGATACACAGTGCTTATGCATGTGTCTGGGATACATGTGATATTTATTACGTGCATAGAATGTGTAATGATCAAGTCAGGGTATCCATCACCCGAGCATTGATCATTTCTACGTGTTGGCAACATTTCAGGTCTCCTAGCTAGCCCTTTATTTTGTGTCTTCTTTTTCCTATTCCTGTCTTCTGCTTAATTCATCATACACAGTAATTCTCTTCTTTTAGAGTTTGCTCATAATTCTTTTTACTACTAAAGTTATACTCAATGCAAGTAGCAGAAAACCCAATTAGAGAGTCACAAACAAATAGGAGTTATTTTTCTTGCACGAAACAAAACCTAGAGGTGGACCTACCATCAGGGACCCAGGTTTTTCTATCTTTTGCTTTATCATCCCATAACTTGGGGGCTTTTCCTCATTCTTATAGCTTTATGGCTGCAGGCTGGCAGCTGCACTTCCTCACATCCATGTACTACTAGGCAGGAGGGAATTGGGAAAGGCCAAATGGACAAAAAAAAAAGGCGTGCTCACTGAGGAGTTTTCTTTTTGTCAGAAAAGCAAAGACTTCTGGGAGTAGCACCCAAGGGGCTTTTGTTGTTGGCTAGAACTGTGCCAGGTAGCCTTCTATAGCTGGAAGGAAGCCAGGAAGAAATTAAGAATGGGGCTTGGGGTCATATCATCTACAGTATCTCTCATGGATTTCATTCTAACATTTTTCAGCAAATTCTAAAGTCATTCAGTATTTCTATCCTTTTTCCATATGTGACCTAGACTTAGCACATTTTGTTTAAACATTGAACAACTTTCACAGTGTTTTCTTAATATAAAATGAATTGGTTATTAATATTTTTTCAATCAGAAGTTAAGTGTATGTATCTATGTGTGTGTGTTTCTTTTCTTTTTTGTTTTTAATCAGTATCTGGCGTCACTATTGTTTCAGGTATCCCATGCATTTTCTCCCAGTGATAAACATTTAATAGTTCTTTTAATGAGGGACTGTGGGAGTCTGTCCCTCATTGATTGATTGATACTTAGTTTTTCAATGTCAGAAATTACTTTGCATTGAATCTTGGATGGCAGTTTATTTTACATGAGTATGAAATTTTAGGTCAACAGATATTTTCTGTGAATATTTTGAAGGCACTCTTCCATTTTCTGTAGATGAGACATCTGCCATTAGATTTTGTGATAACTTTTAAATTTTACAACTTTAAAAAAATCCCTGATACTTTATGCTTTCACTATAGTGTCTAGATGTGGATTTATCTTTTTTGCTTTGTACTCAAAGGTGTTTTCATCTGAGGAATCATTTCCTCAATTTTGGCAGTCTCTAGTATACCCTCTTCAAATATGGTTTTCTACTATTCTCTTTGCTTTCTTTTTTCGGAAACTTTATTTCTGCCCTATTACTTGTGTTTATCATTTTTTCATATCGGTTTCCTATCAGCATTATCTCTTTCTGTATTATAATTTCTTACTCATTTTAATGAAATGATGTTTTTATTTCTTTAAACTTCTTAAATGTACTTGTTTAGAATTCAAATAGACTGTTCCAGAAATTATTTTTCTGGTTATTGACTTTGTTGGTCACTTTTCTTAATATTAGAATTCTTCATATACTTTGGAATTTTGGTTTGGAGGCTCATTTTGAGTAGGCTGCTGCTTCTTCCTTTAAAAAAATTTTTTTTGGTGTTAATTTTTCCTCTGTTGCCCTTTGTATGCAATCCTTCCACCAATCTTGCTTTTTCTAAAAAATGGCCTCTTCTCACTGAGAACCAGCTTTCTCTTCTCTCTACTCCTTCACCATGGAGTCTAGAGCCAAGTCATAGAGCATATTATCAGTTCCATGACTCACTTTTTTTCATGTTTTAAAATCTTTCAGATTGGGATACATCTATAATTCATGGATATATCATTTTAACTGGCAATATTTTTTCTTAGTGGTACATAGCAATATTCTTCCTTAACAATTATTGGCATCCTAGATTTGATGACATAGGTAATATAATTTCAGATCATCTGTCTTGCAGTGAATTAGATATTGTTAATCTATTAGCTGAGCCAGTGGGCAGCTCTGTTCAGTTCCTGAGGCTGTGTTTGTGTTTTCCTGCCTCCCTGTGTTTACAGCTTCCTATCATGCCAGTGCCCTAGGTCAATCTGTTAGCAGAAGTTTTCCTCTGGCGAGTCCTTCTCCATCCCACCCAGTGTGGCCTCAGGGGTTATCTCTCCCATTACTCTGCAGAATGGAACTTCCCACTGCCCCTGCCAGGTCTGTGGTATCTACCCTGCCTCCTGTGCCCCTGCCAGTTCTGTGGTATCTACCCTGCCTCCTGCTTATTTCAGGTCCATTTCTGTCTCATGAAATGGTTATCTCAGTTTTGAAGTGTCTTAACACTGTAATATTTTGTGGATGGTTTTAAGGAAATTGATCATTGCCATAGGGATGCTTCAAAATAAGCACTTAACTGTATCATCTTGATGGGAGGTTCTTTGGTGCTTGTAGCAATTTCTTTTTTCTTTTCTTTTCTTTTTTTTTTTTTGTGGTGACGGAGTTTACAACTGGTGATTATACCTGACACTCTATTGTAATTGAGTCTATTGTCCCTTATTCTCAAGATTCAGATTTTTAATATCCATATTAAAATTCTTTTTGAAAATCCTCTAATTTTTAAAAATTTCCTGCTTTAGACAAATTTACTTTGTTATCATATCATTCTACCCTGTATAGGGTTAGAACAATAGCGATTCTTATTGGCCTCTTCTAGGTAGGAAAAATAACATAAAGCATTTGGACAATAAATTATCACTGAGGATGATCACAACTAAAATATGTATATTTACATATGCTTTGGATGTTAAAATATCTCTACTCCCTACTTTGTATCTTTACAGCAATCATTATTATCTTAACTATATGTGTGAACAAATTTTTATTTATTTTAAATTTAGTGATCTTATTAACTTCTTTAATGACAAAAATTATGGGTCTAATACAGATTTTCAACTTTAATTCTTTATGTTATATATGGCTTGGACTTTTATAGCTTACTCTCTTTAGTTAAATGACAGACACTTGTCTATCTTTGAACTTTACTTACAATAAGAAATACATTTTACATGATTTGAAGAACCCCAACATACATACACAATATGCATATGCACACAACATGCACGCACACATGCATTTACACAAATAATTGAAACCAAAGTATCACAAAATAATATGTAGCTTTGTAACATGTAATATACCTTGTTTTATTCAATTCTAGACAATTCATTGCATTCAGTTAAACATATTGGTTGTAAATCAGTAAGCTGATTTCAGGATCCAGTAATGGGTTATTGCTTGAAAAACAGTGTCTGTTGTATGAATGATAATTTTCATGAAAATCAATGTGCTTCATCTTCCCATTTGTATTCCTGGCACAGGAAATATTTAAATATATTAGTAGTATTACCTACAGACAAGACAAATTTTTTGATGTCCGTGAAAATGCTGAAAGGTATGACTATACATGAGAACAAGGTCATTATTTACCCTCCTTTCACAGAGGATAGCATAGTATCCATTTGATTGGAGATAAAAGATATTTTTAAAATGTAGTCCTTTAAAAGTCAAAATGATAAAAGTTAAATATTCTAGGTCTGTTATAATCTATAACCTGGGTTTAACTGGATCTAGAAGAGTAAATCTATGTATAGCTAATCATGATAATGACTGCTGTCAAAAATACAAATAAACCCAATAACTGAATTCAAGGAAATGGTACATGTCAAAGTTGGAAAAAGAAAAGCTGTGGTTAAAACATGGTTATTGTACAATTATTAGATGACTTATTTAAGAAACACCTCTTTTGTCAGGAGACCAGAAGATTATGTAGAACCCTGTCCCTTTATTAGACATTGTGGTCTGAGCTCTGGGTTTAGATAGATGGGGAAGACTTTGAATTTATGATGTTATGTGTCAAAATTCTTTTTTTTTTTTTTTTTTTTTTGAGACTGAGTCTCACTCTGTTGCCCAGGCTGGAGTGCAATGGTGCAATCTCAGCTCACTGCAACCTCTGAATTGTTCAAGCAATTCTCTTGCCTCAGCCTCCTGAGTTGCGATTACAGGTGCCCGCCACCACACCCGGCTAATTTTTTGTATTTTTAGTAGAGACGAGGTTTCACCATGTTTGCCAGGCTAGTTTTGGACTCCTGACCTCAAGTGACCCACCCACCTTGGCCTCCGAAAGTGCTTGGATTACAGGCATGAGCCACTGATGTGTTAAAGTTCTATGTGTGGTTCTCTTCATGTGTGGAAAAAGATGGGGCCAGGCATGGTGGCTCATACCTATAGTTCTAGCACTTTGGGAGGCTGAGGCAGGTGGATCCTTTGAGTCCAGGAAATTAAGACCAGCCTGGGCAACATAGCAAAATCCTGTCTCTGCAAAAAAATTAAAAAATTAACCATGCGTGGTGGTGCACACCTGTAGTCCCAGCTACTAGGAAAGCCGAGGTGGGAGGATTCCTTGAGCCCAGGAGGTCGAGGCTGCATGAGCTATGACTGCACCTCTGCACTCTAGCCTGGATGACAGAGCGAGACCCTGTCTCAAAAAATAAATAAAATAAGTAAATAAAAATATGAACATTTGTAAGGGTCTACCATTGCATGCTTTGCCCCTCATGATGTCTCAGGTACTCATTTCAGGATTCTAATTTGCAACCAGTTTTGTTTTATGGATAATGTTCTTGTTGGAAATGCTTCCAAACTCAGGCTGAATGCAGAGTGTGTTACATAAGCACAGATTAAGGCCATGTCTGCAGGGAGATAATGCATTAGAATCCTGTAGAACCAGTGTTTTCATGTGTTCATTTGGTGTAGGCTTCCTTCCCCACTGCCATGGTGATATTTGATGAAACTAGTTGGTGGCTTAGTTACAGGAATTACACCTGAAAATAAATCGCGAAAGTTCCCATATGAAGCACAAGTTTAGCCATATGTACTTACAATGATGATGGCAAAAATAGGTGAAAAACATTGTAGTTATATAATATTACCATATTTAGAAATGCTAGTGATGGTGGAGGGAGTAATAATGACATTATATAATAATGTATGTATAATCAGTGCAGAAAAATTTCCGCTATACTCCAAAAGAAACTAATGCTTTAATTTACATTTGGTTCTTATTTGTTCTCCCCTCCCCCCACAGTCTATCCTTTCAAAAAAAGATGCTAATGAGTAGTAAAGGAACCAGAGCTAAAAAAGGAGCTGTCCTCATCTGTAAATTCACCTTCCCCAAAGAGCTGCAAGTTGACTGTTTGCAGTTGCCAAAAAGCTGGGGCCCAGCAATAAAGTGCTCAGCCCCCACAGCAATCTCCTTCCTTCAGAGGCGGAACTGCTCATGATAAATACTTCTGCCTCCACAGAAGCCTCCTTGTTTTACCTCCTCTCCGCTGTTGCCACCCCACTTGGTTCTCGAGGGCAGCAGGCAGAGTTGCCCAAGACTTATTGTGTGGCCACAAAGAGATGGCAGTCATGCCAGATGGCAGGTTTTCCTTGCTTCTACTTACCCAGACAAACAGACTTAAAGCAGTCTGGTGGTGAAACAAGAATTGTTGTGGCCATGAAGAAAAGTTCGTGTCAAAATGTATTCATTTCCTTTCATTTTCTTCCGAGACGCAGACAACTTTTTAAAAAAAATCTAGTATTTTGTTATAAGACTTTTAAGCAAATGTACTACTTTTATATGCATGTTTTGAATGCCTATGTAAAAATGTAATGGGCACATTGCTTACAGTACTCTGATGAGAGCACACCGTTTGTCTTTAAATAAACCTAGATGTGATCTTTGGTTTGCATTTAGTTTCAATAAGCCAATTATTGGCAGATTTTTCACTGGGTGGGGCCGAAACGGCGGCTTATTCATTTTTTCTTAAGCATAGATACTCAAGGGGGTTAAGTAACTGCACACCACTGGCAAAGATTTGTAATCCTCAGTGCTAGTAAAGGTGAGGCACTTACCCCTTTAAGTGAGGAGAGATGGCTTCCATTTAATTATTGCTCTGTGGCATTTCTGTGTAGGAAGTGGGAGGCACTGCAGATGCTCGGAGGAGTTGGGAGGCCCATGTGTTTCTGCACTACCTGGTCTCTGTGCCCTCGCCTCCCTTCAGCCTGCCCTCTACATAGCAGCAGAGGATCCTGTGAAACACCAGTCAGATCCCATCACTCCTCGGCTCCAATGCTGGGGTATTGATCCAGGCCATCTTATGTAGAGGCAAAGCCCATGCCCTCAGGCCTTCCGATCTGACTCTTCTCTGTGCATGTGCATGCACACTCACATGTCCCCGCTCACAAACCCACTCACTTTCAACCTCACAGGACTTCTTCGAAGATGCCAGCCTCCTTTTCACAGCCTTTGTGTTTACTACTCCTGCTGCCTACAATGCTCTTCCCCCAGATATTTGCAGCGTGTACTCCCTCTCTTTGGGCATCATTTTCTCTTTGAGGCTTTCCTTGACCACCCCATTTACTCTGTTAACTGCCCCCTCCCCAAAATTTTCTGTCTTGTTCTCTGCCTTATTCTTTTTCATCATACTCAAGTCATCATCTAATGGGCTAAATAGTTTCCTTTTTTTTTTTCTTTTTGGTCTGTCTCTATTCTAATGCAAGCTTCATGAAGACAGGGATTTTTACCTGGTTTATTCACTGCTATCCTCCATGCCTAAAATAATGTCTGGCACATAATAGGTGCTCAGTAAATATTTAGAGAATTTGCCAGTAGTATGTTCTAGTAGCCCTTCACAATGGGCATCTGGCTCTTTAGACCTGATGGCTCATGTTATCTTTCTTGCTATTTGACCTTGATATTGGTGACTGTGAGTCTGGTTCCTCCTCTAGTTGTAGTGCCTTGTGCTGCCTTAGACACACCTCCAGCATTGATACAACTGTTGGCCACCTCACTATGGCCTACCCTGCCATCTGTCCTCCCACATTCCCTTATATCAGCAGGGTTCACTCTGGGTATGAATGGGACTCTTCTGTATGCCAAGGTTAAGGTAGGACCCAAGGGTGTATATGATGCAGTCCTTCTGAGTCTTCAGGCCTGCTGTCCGCCAGAGGTCTACAGGGTTAAACTAGCCACTGAGTCTCCCTAACAGCTGGCGGGTGACTGACTGGCAGAGTTTAGTATAGGTGGCCTAGAGGTGTGGCTGGGTTGGATGGACCATTGAAGCAACCTAGAAAGTGTGAGCCAGACATTGCCAGGCACCCTTAAGAAGTAGCCAAATGTGCTGTTTTCTGTGGACCTGCTCTTTGGACCAGCCTGCTGCCACCTTGCCATGGGAGGATTTGATGTGTGTGCCCTATGCTTTTGCAAGCAGCTTTGCTTTCCTCTGAAAGGCATCATCTCTGTTCACAAATGACATGACTTCGTTTCTTAGCTCAAGGCAAAATTTGCTCTTTGAGTTTGTTTCCTAGGGCTGTTGTAACAAACAACCACAAACTGGGTGGCTTTAAACAATAGATATTTATTGTCTCATGGGTCTGGATGCCAGAAGTCTGATATCAAGGTGTTGGCAGGGCCATGCTTTCTCTCTGAGGGCTCTAGGGGAGATCCTTCCTTGCCTCTTCTAGTTTTGGTGTTTGTTGGCAACCCTAGGCCTTCTTGGGTTTGTAAATGCATTGCAATCTTTGCCTCTGTCATTACACAGCTCTTCTCTCTGTGTCTCTGTCTTCTTCTCTTAGAAGAACAACAGTCATATTGGATTAAAGATCTACCCTAATGAGCTCATCTTAACCTGATTACAACTGCAAAGACTATTTCCAAATAAAGTCACATTCACAGGTATTGGGAGTTAGGACTTATCCTAATATCTTTTGGATCTTATGATATCCAGTTCAGCCCACAATTAAACCCACAATGCTCTTCGTGAGAAAGAAGCAGCAGCCATGAAGAAAGCCTAGATATTTTTAAGGGTGGAGAGCGCTCTTGACCTTTCCTTTGACAGCCTTGAGCTTCCCTAAATACTGTTGTCCTCACTGACTGGCTTGTCTTAGGAGTAGGGTTTTTGATCTTCAAACCTTGGAGTGCAGTTCAGTAAAGTGAGACAAGCATACCTTCTGTCTCTGAGGTCCAGGAGCACTGGAAGAGTGGACAGATTAATTGTGAATAGAGAATGCCCTGAAAATACAGGAAGAACCACCCTCCTGCAGATGTAGCTCTGGTCCCTTGTGGGAGCCCCTGGACCTTCGGTGAGGCAGATCTGGAAGGCTACAGCAGGGGATGTAAAGAGCCCCTTCCTAGACCCGCTTCCTGGCCCATTATTCTGCCCTTCCAAATGTATTCCAAGGGCTCCTCATTTTGATCATTGCTCAGTGGCATTGTTGTAGAGGAAGTAGGAGGGTGCTTGGTGGAGTTTGGGAGGCCCATGAATTTCTGCACTTGGAGAAATGTTAATGTTGAGCTTATATTTCTCTCCTTGCAGCACAGAAGACCATTACTAGGTCTGTGTGTAGAAGCCCAAGCAGTTAGAGGGGGCCTCTGCGAGGCTTGTGGGATTTTTCTGGCCAGAAGATGGGCCATGGTGGAGGAAGGCCATGTTAAATGGCTGTGATCCACTGCCTATAGGGAAGAGTACGCAACACACACCCAGGAGGGCTTAGGTAGCCGGAACTGTGGCGGCTCCATACCCCCAAAGTGAATTTTAAACTTGACTTATTTATGCCGTTCTCATAGCAACAGGAAAACTGTTCCGACCTATAGCCACGGAAGACTCTGTAAAAGAAACTGTAGGAGGAAAAAAAGATAATGCCAGGAAAAAAAAAAATTTAATGAAGTACCATTCTTTCACTTATTCAGTCAACTGAGAATAACAGTTTGTGCATTTGGCAATCAAATGGGAAGTGGCATTTCGTGTTGCAACATGAACCTGCTCACATTAAGTGATTTATTTTTTTGTTTAGACACACTGTACTGAGAACTTTCTTCAAGTAGAAAGCTATTAAAAATGTGAGAACAAGCAGTCCTCACTAACCTGAAGCATTTGGGGACTTAGAGGAATGATAAATGCAAACAGCCCAGAATCCAGAAACTGTCTTGAACATTTAAACTCTAGACTCTGGGAATGTGTGCATGTCTTCAGTTAGTCAGATGTAGATAATTTTTCTTTCTGTGAGGTCTCTTTTCACTTATATCTTGTCTGGACAGGGTGGAGCCCCTGCTTAAATTCTATTTCTAGCTTGAAGAAAGACTAAATTATTGTAGACCAAAGCCAGTGCTACTCGGAAAATGGAAAAGACATAGGAGACAGGGCATGTCTTCTTTAGCCCGACTGTGAACTTAGGGCCCCTCCTCTGGTGAGTGCTCCTGGGAGGTTGCACAAGGCTTATGTTCAGCTACTGGGCCAAGCTGAAGGAACGCCTCTCATCTCTCTCATGTTTGTACTGAAGATCCGTGTTTGGTAACCATTTCATAGATCTTTTCTACCACTTGATCCTGGGCTTGTAGTTAATGCTGTGCTCAGCATATTTCTGTGTGATCTTGATAAGAAATCTATTGGCCAAAGACCTTGTGAGCTATTTCTGTCCTCTGTCTCTCTCATCTTCTATTTAATATGTTTGTCTGTATTATATACGTATAAATATAACCGAGTTGTATTACATTAATTCTTTTTTTTTTCAAAAATATATTAAAATTATTCCCCTTTTCTAACCTGCCCATTTATGAGCTCTTGCACGGTAACATCTTGATTCCCATTTTGGCTGAGAAACTACATAAACTAGTTTATTGCATGCTGCTCCATTTTGTATTCATGGTTATGATATTGAAACTTCAGGACCACACACAGATAGCATAGTCTCTGGCCACTTAAGCATGTAAACAGTCTGGCTTTTTATAAAGTGGAAAAATATTTCTTGTGCACTATTTTAACATGATCAGCATGTTGAAACTTGGTGTGCAACTGTGTCAACATTTCTTTGGCTCTGAGGAGCAAACCCGGAGAACCTCATGGTAACATATAAAATGCAAAGCTGGTTTGTTTACTACTGGGATTTAGGCAGCAATTAGAGTCTGTAGTTGACTTCCAAACTTGGGGTACAGAATAAGTGAAATAATTATTTTTGCATCGCGATTATGCTAGCTAAAATAATGATTCCTTTTCAGATGGCTAAGATTCTTTCAGGGAAGCAAAGGAAAATGGGTGGCTGGATTACAATGCAGTTTCTTTATTGAAAAACCCACATTGGACCCAGCTTGACAGTGTTTTCTTTTGTTTCATAAATTTACTGAACACCTCAAATGTGTCAAATCCTTTTCTACATGCTAGGCATGTGAATTTAACAAGACAGACAGGCCTTATGTTGTTTGCTCAAACTCTCTGGCTCTCTTGAAGAGAAACAAACACTAAATAAGTAATCAGGTAAACAAGAAGATGTTTATGATTGCTATGAAATTCAACATGAGATGTTTACCAAGGGCACTGTTGAGACCCTTAGGATGTGTCAGTGAACAAAACAAATGCACATTTTCTTCTCTTAGGGGTCTCACATTCTAGTACAGGAAACAGACCATAAACAATAACTGGAATAAAGACATAAATTGTAGAGCATGTTCATAAGCAGTCAGTACTATCCAACAGGAAAAAGCAGAACCAGGTGAAAGGTATCAGGAGGAGTGAGGCAGCAGGGGGTGTGGGAACGGACAGGCTGCAATTTTATTTTTATTTGTTTATTTTCCCGACTTTATTGGGATATGATTGACAAATAAAAATTGCATATATTTAAGGTGTACAATGTGATGATTTGATGAACTTACACATTGTGAAATGATTACTGCAATCTGGCTAATTAACACCTTCATCACCTCACATTTTGTGTGTGGTGGGGCGGTGAGAACACTTAAATTCTACTCTCTGGGCAAATCTCAAGTGAAGCTGCAATTTTAAATCAGGTGGCTGGGGAAGGCCTGCTTGAGAAGACTTGAAGAGATGAGGGAGTTAGCTCAGATGTGTCTCAGGGACAGTGTTCTAAGCCTATGGGAGGCCAGTGCCTTTGACAAGCAAGGAGGCAAGTGCCTTTTAATGAGGATATGCGATTTGAACTAAAACCCGGAAGATGTGAAGAACCCGTCATGTGTAGAGTTAGGTGGGAGTGCCCCAGGCAGAGGAACAGCAGGGCCAAAGACCAAGACAGGAGAGGAAGAGGCCACTATGACTGCCCCTTTAAAGTGGGGAGATGAGGTGGGAAAGGTGGGAAGAGATTGCTCAGGTAAGGTTGTATAGTCCACGGCAGGGGTTTGGGTTTTACTTTGTGTGAAATGAGTTGTGGAAGAGGAGACACCCTCTTCTGATTGCCCATCTCATAAGAGTTCAGAGAGGAGAGGAAGAATGAACCCAGCATAAACTTACCCTGAGGACCAAAAACCTCATGAGGGTTGGGATTTGATCTGCTGGTTTACCACTGCATCCTAGCAGTGCAACAAATACTAGGCCCAGGAAAGCAGTCAGTATTTGCAGGGATAGACACATGGATGCATGATTTAGTGACATACCTCCTGGGACAGAAGCCTATTATCTTTTATTTTTTGAGATATTTGGAAAATGCAAAGAAAAAAGAAGTCTCAAGAATAATATAACAGCACTTTATGCCAACCACCCAGAATTTACAGCAGTTAACATTTTGGCATGTTTGCTTCCAGCCTTTTTTATTATTTCTCTGTGAATACTTAAAAGGCATACAAGGAGCAGAGGGATACAGTCTCCTTTATATATATATATATACATATATGTATATTTGAGATATATATACACATATGTGTATATTTGATATATATATACACACATTTGTGTGTGTACGTAAACATTAAACTTCTAATTACCATTCTTAGTTGCTTTCCCCATGCTAGAGGCGATCATGCCTAATAATTTATTAGCAGATCCTGTTTCTGGTTTGCATCTGGGGGAAGGGGAGGTAGAGAAGAGAGCCAGCCTTATATGAGAGGACACTTGGCAGGTTGTGGCCCAGTGCTCACCTGGCCGGAGTCAGCCAGTGTGTGTGCCCACAGCCCTGCCCTTGGAGCATCAGCCTACTTGGCGAGCACCTAGTTTGGGCTTAACACAGTGCTAGGCACAATGCCAATGCGGGCAGAGCCTAAGAGAGCCCAGCCCTGAAAATCCTTCTCTTTATAGCATTCCTGTAGCATGATTTGTCCTGGGTCAGTTTGTCCTTGCCCCTGTGATATCTTCAGCAAATGAGCTGCTCAACAGGGGTGACCCTTCCAGATAACTGAGGCTTATTCCTTTATTATATGAAACGCTTTTGATAGAAATGATCCTGAAGTATCTCACAGATTTACATTTCCCTGTCTTCTTAAATGAGGTCTATTAGCCTTTGATGTGGGTTGATCAGGATTGTTCTTTTCAACAACAGTTGCTATATCCATTCATGCTCCCGGGGGCTGCTGGCAACTTGCTCCTACAGTACATGGCCCAGACTGCTTTGCAGAGTATGTTGCTTTAGAAACTCTTCTGCCTGCTTTTGCTAACTTTACTGGTTCTCCTTCTCCGTGGGCTGGCAGCTATCCCTTCTTGCTGTTGTCAGTGAGCCTGCTTCTAACTCTGCTTCAGTTGCATTTCTCACTCTTTATTTATGAGTTCCATCCGCTGGGGCCTGGGAAAGGAGATAGTCAAATTAAGTAAATTCTGGGTACAGCCAAAGACGACTCCCAGTGAGTGGCTCTCCACTGAGGGTTCCCTGCAGACCCTGGGGCCTAACTTGGGGTGTCTGTTAGACATCCCAGCCTGACATTTTGATACTGGCTGGCAGACACATTTGGATTTATGGCCTTCCCAAGAGAATCATGCTGAGGTCAGTGCTGCTATGTGAGGCTCTGTAAGCATTCCTTAGTAGCTCTGTGATGGGTTAATCTCCCTCCTCCCACTCCGAGTCAGGGTGTCACTCCCTTTCCCCTGTGATTCTACCCACAACGTCTGACCTAGTGCCAGGGGCACGGAGTCTCTTTTAACTGCCATGGTAGTTGGCATCAGGTTGTAATTCAGCATTAGGGTACTCTGACTGTGAAATTGTTGTTCCCGGGTCTTTCAATTATTTCTGTTATTCAATTATAAAGATAGTGGGGAACATGGAGATAATCTCATTCCAGCTTATAGTTTTGCAGTTGAAGAAACTAAAGCCCTGAATGGAAAATGACTGAGATCACCGAGTTGATAGTCACCAGCAGAGCACCGTCCCCACTGTGGAACAGTGACCACCATGGGTGAAATTGCTCTGATTTTGGGCTGTAATTTATCTGAACCAGTAAGTTGGACAGCCTTGGCAACACTATAAAGTAGAGGGTCGCTCTCCTGTACCTCATTTCCCAAGTGTGGTAGGATATCGCCTTGATACAGACCAGATTCTCTTCCTGTTAAAGAAAAGTAGTTTGCAGCTGATTCACTATGTGGACGAAGATCCATCCAGAAAGATGTTCATTGCAGCATTGTTTACAGTGGTGAAAAAATGGGGACAGTTGGTCCCGCATTGGGATGATGAATACATTTTTTTTTTTTTTTTAAGCCACAGAGTCTCACTTTCTTGCCCAGGCTGGAATGCAGTGGTGCGATCATAGCTCACTACAAAGCCCTGGCTCAAGCAGTCCTCCCCTTCGGCTTTCCCAGTATCTGGGACTACAGGTGTGTACCACCATGCCTAACTATTTTTTAATTTTAAAAATTTCTTTAGAGGCAGGGCCTTGCTTTGCTGCCCAGGCTGGCCTCAAACTTCTGCCTCGGCCTCCCAAATTGCTGGGATTACAGGTGTGAGCCACTGCACCAGCCTGATGAATAAATTTTGACACAGCAATATAATAGAATATTATGCAGCTATTAACATTCTGTGTACAGAATTTTAAATAACAAGGTCATTGAAAAAGTCACTGGTCATTTTTGAGCCTAATGTTATAATATTAAGTCAAACAGGCAGAATTAAAAGGAAGAATAACAATATAATTTTAAATTTTTAAAATTTCCTTTTTAAAAGAAGAAAATGGTCAAAGCATTTACTAGTCACTCTTCTTGATTGGTGAAGGGAAAGAGGCTGTGTGCCGTCCATGCACTGGATACTACATCTGTCATGTCTGTGACACTGCCATGTGGTTTTTACCCTTGATTTGTATTCAGACTGAACAAATGATCCCCAAGCCCTTAGGGTGCTAAAGAGTGCATGAGCCATACTCCTTGTGGCCACACACACCTTTCATCCTGGATAATGGGCAGCTGGGGCCACAGGCCCATTGTGCAGTCAAGTATCTTGCTTCCTGCTAGTATCAGCGGGGAGCACGGAGCCCTGCTGGTGGAGCCTGTCCAGCTCTACTAAAGATAGAGCAAGCTGCAGTGAAAGAGAGCCTGGCCATGGCCTTAGGTGCCTTGCAAATTATTGTTGTTATTATTATTATTATTATTATTTTTATTATTTTTTTTTTTTTTGAGATGCAGTCTCGCTCTGTCACCAGACTGGACTGCAGTGGCGCAATCTCGGCTCACTGCAACCTCCACCTCCCGGGTTCAAGTGATTGTCCCGCCTCAGCCTCCCAAGTAGCTGGGACTACAGGCGCCCACCACCATGCATGTCTAACTTTTTGTATTTTTAGTAGAGACAGGGTTTCACCATGTTCGCCAGGATGGTCTCGATCTCTCGACCTCATGATCCACCTACCTTGGCCTCCCAAAGTGCTGGGATTACAGGCGTGAGCCATCGCACCCGGCGGTGCCTGGCAAATTATTAATGGGCCCAGGGTGAATGGACGCAGCATGAATTGGGCACACTGTACCTTTGAAGGACCCTGCCAGCCAAAACCACTGGGCCTGTTGTTGGAGACAGGGCCGCTTCCCGGGTGACTTTATCAGAGAACCTGGCTTTGGTGCCGTGTTCTTGTCCCTCCATTTACCTTTTTGGCAAAATGGAACCAAGTTGTGTCCTTATTCTGTTCTGAGTTGATGGTGGTCCTTTAAAACTTAAAAAGTTTGCAATATGTTGTTCTCATAATCTGCTGACACCTATTTACTCTCTGGTGTATCCTACATATTTCCCCGTTCTTAAGATGGGGCTGATGGTGTGCGTTCCCAAAGCTTTCTTCATCATAGTCTCAGATAAAAACACATGGCACTGGCAGTCTTAGTCAGATCCTCACTCTCCTGCAATCCCTTCTGAATCCTCCATGCCATGGGGCTCACACTGCCCTAGGGATACTGTCAGGGATGTTGAACTCCATGAGACTGTCTGTTCACCTGACTCCCAGGCAGACAGTAAGGCGATCAGGCTTTTCCTTAAGTTGAGCTGAAAGCTGAAATCTGCCTCCTTGAAACCTACCTCCAGCTGTTTTAATTTTGCCAGCAGAGTATGTCCAGCTCTTCACCAGTAACAGCAAGCACAAATGACTAATTTAAGAAAAGCAGTACAGCAGCTGGACGTGTTCCATCTTCTTTGATGCTCACCACCTCCCTGTGAGGAAAGTACTCTTACTACCCCAGCTTCGCAGATGACACTTGGAAAACGTAAGGACCCACAGTTAGGTGGCCAGACTGAGAGCAGAGTGCTGAGTCACCACACGGTGCTGACTCACCCTCTTCACGTGACAGCCCTTCCTGTGTGTGGAGACCACAGTGGTTTTCTTCTTCTCTAGTAAATAGTTGAGTTCCTTTGACCATTCCATGTGTAATAATGTTCATTAAGTATGAAACTAAAATTTATTGAAATTTAACATGAAATTGTTGCATAGTAAAAACTCATGCCTATCATAAGAGAAGTAATTTGGTATTTTTTTCTTGTCAGATAATAGCATACAAATGTGAGATTATGGGATTGGAAAGCAATGTCTCTGAGTTACTTGAGTCTAGAACAGGGGTTGGCAAAATTTTTCTGTAAATAGCCAAATAATACATCCTTTAGACTTTGTGAGTGATAGAGTTTCTGTTGCATTAACTCATCTCTGCCATTATTGCACAAAAGCAGACATAGGCAATATGTAAACAAGTGAGCATGGCTGTGTTCTAGTAAAATGTTATTTGCAAAAACAGGCAACAGCTGGGTTTTGACCTTGGCTTATAATTTTCACTTAATGGGGTTTTTCTTGATAATGAGAAAGAATTTACAAGTGGGTGCTAAGTAGGAGAATCCTAGATGTTTTGTTATAATTATTAATAGCACCCCTTTTTAGTTTCAAAAATGTCTTGGTCAATAAATTAACGTATTGTCATCCTGGTATTATGTCACTTTAAGTATTTTTTTTTAAAGAGATGGGTTTTGCTCTGTCAACCAGGCTGGAGTTCAGTGGTACAATCATACCTCTTCTGGGCTCAAATGATCTCCTGCCTCAGCCTTCCAAGTAGCTAGGACTACAGCTGTGCCCCACCATCCCTGTCTAATTTTATATATATATAGGTGTGTGTATATATACATTATATATATATAAAATATATATAGTATTATATATTATATATAGTATATATAGTATTTTTTATATATAGTATATATATTGTGTATATATATTTTATATATAGTATATATAGTGTATATATATTTTATATATAGTATATGTATTGTGTATATATATTTTATGTATATATATACACACACACACTCTATATATATATATATATATATATATATATATATATATATATATAGTTGTTGTTGTTATTGCCTAGGCTGGTCTTGAACTCCTGGCTTCAAGCACTTCTCCCTCCTGCCTTAGCTTCCCAAAGTGGTAGAATTTCAGGTGTGAGTCACCACACCCAGCCACTTTAAATTTCTTAATGAGACTAAGGTGAAATAGAAACTTTGGTTTATGTCCTTACCATGGTCAGTCATTTTTTGTTACAACAGAACTTTTCTGCATCAGGTGACTTTTCCATAGATTTCTATCCTGTCCTAGTCCAGGAAGAGGTCCTGGCAGTGAAGGAAAACTCAAGGAGGGAAAACGAAGACCTCCTAGAGGAGCATCCCTAGCTTACTTTTTGGGAGTAGTGCCTGTGTGCTGGACACTGTACCAAAGGCTTTATATATGGCCTATCTTAGGAAACAGCTGCTAACCCCAGGAGTTAAGTATGATTATTATTTCAGTTTTACTGACGAGGAAACTGAAGCACAGAAGCTTAGGAAATTTGCCTAGGGTCACAGAGCTGGAAATTTGGTTTGGATTCAGGCCTACACTGTCTGGCTCCAGAACCCAAGCTGGGAGATTGAACAGGTGTGAAATAATTAAATCTAATAAATCAGTCAAATCAAAGCAGGAGAAGATTGGGATGAGGTTAAGAGGTGGAAGACATACCTCTCATCCTATCCATCTTAGGTACAAACATCATGGAAGTCGGGGGTATTAGCTGCACCTTTTCATTACAAAATCCTTAGGCCTGCTGGTTAAGAGAAATCTCAGGGCACTGGAGAGACTTGAGGGCAGAAGATGCCAGGTGGGCAAGGGCATCCTTGGATTTAGGAAGAGTAGGAGGCTGCCTTTTGCATTAGAGCTGCCTCTGGCATTCCCAGGGTTTTGTCTGGCTGGGCCCAAGGGCTAGAAGGACTGGAGGAGTCCTAGCTGTGCCTATCACTGGCCATTGCCCCTCTGCAGCAGAGTAGTCAGTATGCAGCACAGCATCTGCCTGGCACTTAAGATGTGCATCTCTGTGGGACACCTGTGGCTTCTAGCGAGGACAGTGGAGGGAGAGTGGCCCACACTAGTCTCTGGACTCTTATACTTTAGGCCCCCTACTTCTAGCTCAGTGATTTAAGGAGAACACCAAGTTGTACATAATTTTCAAAGGGAGGGGAGTTGCCTTCTTTAGATAAACCTATGCCAAAAGGAAATCTTTAAAAATAATTCCCATCAGCTCTTATTATTTCTGGGTGGTATTTTTTTGTACATTTTCCAAAGCAGTGACCCTAACCACAATGAGGACAGTCATTTGGAGCTTTTGCAAGCTACTCATTCAAAGAAAAGTGCAAAGAAGGGTGCCTCTAGGTTTGGTTACAAAACTCTACCGGGGAGTGGGAGGTGAGAGTGGGAAACCGGTGAATATGCCTCCTGGCCCCAACTTTTTAAAATGTATCCTTTGAGGTGTATTCTATTTGGTGCATTTTCCCAGATTTTGAATGTTGCCCCAGGACAACTGTCTTAAGTTCGTTTTGGCATCAGGACAAATGAGAGGATGTTTCCTGTTTGCCTGACTCTTGCCCCAACTTCTTTCTCTGTTCTGTTAAGCTCTTGGCTAAATTCTTTCCTCTTGTATTCCACATTTTAACTGACATTAGGGCACCAAGTGCAAAAATCTGCAAACAGTTAGCTTTCCTGTTTGAGCATTCTGGTCAGATTATGCTGAAGTTAAAGTTCTTGTAGCACGGAAGGATCACCCTCTGTACAATGCATTAAGTATTTAATAACTGTACTAATAATTACAAACACTTTTAATGGGCCACTTGGGAGCCTTAATGTGGTTAAAAAATGTATTTCTTCTCTGTCAAGTTAACTTGTGTCAAATTGAGAGAAATTCTTCTAAGCAGCTTTGAAAGGTTTGAGCTTCATAAGCCTAGGAGCAAGTAGCATATTGTGAAAGTAGTTTTTATGTAAGAAGAGACAACAGAAATAGGGTGAGTATTAATGTAGTGCTTTGTACATTTCCTTTATAGTTTTGTATTTTTTAGGTGGAGAAGTGTCCCACCACCCTGTTGCATCCGCTGTATGTCAGGTTAAGCAATTTTTAGTAGGATTGGCAGCAAAACCAACTTTGGAACACAGGACTCTCTGGCTTCAAGATCTCTTCTTTGGGAATGTGGACAATTTGGATTTGGCCATTTTTGAAGTATTTTAGAAAATAGGACACTCTTGAGGGGCAGAATTGAAGGTCGATGCGTCTTTTGTTAAATTCACATTTATTTGTAAGTTGAAGCTTTTTTTTTTTTTTTTTTTTTTGAGACGGAGTCTTACTCTTGTCACCCAGGCTTGAATGCAGTGGTGCAATCTCGACTCACTGCAGCCTCCACCTCTTGAGTTCAACCTGTTCTCCTGCCTCAGCCTCCCAAGTCGCTGGGATTACAGGCAGCTGCCACCATGCCCAGCTAATTTTTATATTTTTAGTAGCGACGGGGTTTCACCATGTTGGCCAGGCTGTTCTCGAACTCCTGATCTCAGATGATCTGCCAACTTCAGCCTCCCAAAGTGCTGGGATTACAGGCATGAGCCACCGTGCCAGACCTAGCTGAAGCATGTTTTTGAGAAATTATTTTCTGGTGAAACAGGTGTGCCTTTGAAGTGATATAGTTGCTTTCCAAAGCTCAGAAAGAAAGTATTAAAACAAGGATAAAGTCCTATAATGTAATTACCAGTTTTACTTTGTTTTGGCTTATTTAAAAGTGTTGGCTCCTTACTCCAAATGAGATCCAGTCAAAACACTTACAATTATAGTGTGCATACATTAAGGACTTAAGAAACTGTTATTTCTCAGGTATTTGGAAGGAAATGATGTCTTCTGGATGAAATTCATGGCATAAGCATAGCTCATTTAGTTCACTAGCCTGAATATTCTATCTGAATGGTAACTTTTTTAAATTTAAAAACTTTGCTTTTAGGTGTATTTGTATGGTTGGTATCAGATGATTATTTCTTTCTGAAAGCTGATATTTTAAGAGAGATAAAGTCTTTACACCTGATTTTGCTGTGTGAGAACAGCTCTCTCACATGTTACTTGAGGTTTTTTTGTTGTTGTGGTTGTTGTTTTGAGACTTGGTCTTGCTCTGTTACCTGGGTTGGAGTACACTGGCGTGATCATAGCTCACTGTAGCCTCTGCCTCCAGGGCTCAAGTGATCCTCCCACCTCAGCCTCTCGAGAAGCTGAGAATACAGGCATGTGCTACCACACCTGGCTAATTTTTGTGTTTTTGTAGAGACGGGGTTTCACCATGCTGTCTGGACTGGTTTCTAATTTCTGAGCTCAAGGGAGCTGCCTACCTCGGCCTCCCAAAATGCTGGGACTACAGGTGTGAGCCTCCATGCCTGGCCTCGTGAGGCTATTTTTATCTGCACCTTAGTATCTGGGATAGTGGTGCCTTCCTAGGCATGGGTAGGTACACACATACACAAAATGTCAATGCTAGCAAGTTTTTATTCTTTGAGGAAAGGTTTAGTTTTTTTAGCTCAGAGAAAGTAAGTTTAGTTTTTCAACTCAGAGAAAATCACCTTATTAATCTTCAACAGATTAATGTTGATTAATGTTATTGAGCAAAGCTGAGGTATGATTCTAAGGTAATGAGGTTTGTCTTCTACTGAGGCTTATAAACTGAATCTTAGGCTGTTACAGAAAAGAAATTGCTGTGGGTTGGCAGCACTGAGGAATGAGCATTCTGCCTTCTAAGACGTATGCTTGTTTGTAAGTGTCTGTTCTGAGATGTTTTGTAACAAATCAGATTCATTGCTTTATAGCCCTTCTTCATTAAGATGGGTCTAACACGGAAAACCTCAGAAGCTCACCCCATCAAAGACAGCTGTGATAGAAATATCAAGTAATAATAAGTTTGCTGCTGTGATTTTTTTCAGAAGGAATTTGCTGGCATCAGCAAAGAAAATTTCAAAGTGGGTTAGGTTGTCTCCATTGGCTTTTATTCATCTTTCCCTTTCACAGAATGAAAAAATGTCTGGGCTGTTATAGCTTTGTTCTAAAGTGGCCCATAATTTTGTCTATGTTTTACATCCCAGTGGATTCCTAAGTCCAAATATGGTATTGCTTCTCAGAGAGGTCTCCTTTTCTTTCCCTTCAATCTATACAATATTTAGTAGATTTATTTTGAGATCAAGATTATCTTTTAGGTCAACCTGCAACTTAAAACCTGCTGGACTAATGTATTTGAATGAGCATGGGAGGAACTATGTATGAACATTCTGATCATTTTACATTGTCAAGCCCTTGCATATAAGAAAGCATTCCTAAGAATTTAAGAAATTGTTCTAAACTGATCATTTCTCTGAACCCCATCTCTTACTGGTTCTTTGTTTCCATAGGTACCATACCAGAAAGACTGTCATCAAACCCTCACAGGGTCAATGTCAATATCACACTTGTTTTATAACACTGTCAGAAACCAGGGGTACTGCTCTGCCCCTCAGTCTGGCTTGACAAGGTGAAAATTCAGGGACAGATGAGAGGAGGGACCAGATTGAAGACAAAGAATGGACATAGGCCAGAACGTGATGTAGGGTGGGGATAAACAGAGTGTTCTAACAGAAGTGATGTGTCAGAATCTTCCCACTTATTAGAAACGAAAAATGTCAACATTTATTAAAAGAAATGAAAATCTGAAGCATTGGTTTTAGGGAGACGGACATATGTTATGAGTTAGAAGGTCAGGCTCTGGAGACAAATGAGCAGCCCAAGTTGCACTCCTAGCTCCTTGTCCGTAGGCCGCTTGCTAACATCTCAGTAGCTACATTTCTCATCAGTAAATTGGAACAGGGGCTAATTGTCCTGCTGCATAGGGTTGATGTGAGGAATAAGTGAGGAGAGCATCTTGGGTATTTAGGAAGCCCTCCATCTGTGCTGATGATGGGGCCACCCTCCCTGGAGGTGTGGAGAAGCGACCTGGGCTGGTGCTCAGCAGCTTTGTCAGCTTATCATCCCTGCATTCCCCAGCAAGTCTTCTAACTTCTCTAGGCCTTCATTAGTTTCAGCCTTTGTCAAATAAGGGATTTGCTATATACAAGTTCCTTCCAGAAGGAAAATTTTATGTTTTTAAGGTGAAATTTTATTTCTCCCAAAAAGCAAACCGAGAATAAATAGTAGTTTACAAATTAAGAGTTCTGTTTATAATACACACTGGGGCCTACTGGGAGTGGGGAGGGGCAGGGGGAGGGAGAGCCTCAGGTAGAATAGCTAATGGAGGCTGGGCCTAACACCTAGGTGTTGGGTTGATCTATGCAGCAAACCACCGTGGCACACGCTTACCTACGTAACAAACCTGCACATCCTGCACATGTACCCCAGAACTTAAAAGTTGAAGGAAAAAAAGAGTTCTGTTTAGAAAAGTTAATGTTCTGTTAGGAAGATATACTTGCTAACTTTAAGAACACATTGATTAAACGGACATTGTTGCTTTCCTGCTGGAAACTGAGTCTTGACGCTCTGGATGACCATTCTCCACCCAGCACTAGAGACCAGTCTTTTCTTTCTTTCTCTCTTTCTTTCTTTCTCTCTCTCTTTCTTTCCTTCTTCCTTTCTTTCTTTCTTTCCTTCCTTCCTTCCTTCCCTCCCTCCCTCCTTCTTCCTTCCTTCCTTCCTTCCTTCCTTTCCTTTCTTTTCCTTTCCTTTCCTTTTCCTTCCTTCCTTCCTTCCTTCCTTCCTTCCTTCCTTCCTTCCTTCCTTCCTTCCTTCCTTTCCTTCTTTCTTTCTTTTCTTTCTTTCTTTTTTTCTTTTTTTAGACAGGGTCTCACTCTATCACCCAGGCTGCTGCAGCGCTGCGATCTCAGCTCACTGCGACCTCCAGGGCTCAAGTGATCCTGCCACCTCAGCCTCCTGTGTAGCTGGGACCATGGGTGGGAGTCACCACATCTGGCTAATATTTTTGTATTTTTTGTAGAGACGGGGTTTGGCTATGTAACTCAGGCTAGTCTCGAACTCCTGAGTTCAAGTGATACACCCACTTTGGCCTCCCAAAGTGCTGGGATTACAGGTGTGAGCTACCATTCCTGACCTAGGGGCTTTTCTAAGGAAGGCAGAAAATGTTTGCCTAACACAGGTGAGTAATGCTGGCCACAGAAAGGTAGTCATGAGTTTGATATTCTTTCCTGCCTGGTGTTCTGAAAGTAACATTGTTATAAATTAATTGTAAAATTATTGCATTGGAGATGCTTTATGAAAAATGTGCTTTATTGAGGTGTGATTTACATATAATAAAATACACCCATGTAAATGTACAGTTGAATGTTTTTCTTTTCACTGTCATAGTCTTTGCAAAAGTTGGATACGTTTTGACAAATATTTACATCTGTGTAATCATTGCCTTATCGACTTTTAAAAACAGCTTTATGGAGGCATAATTCATATACCATAAGATTCCTCCATGTTAAGTATATAATTCAGTAGTTTTTAGTATCTTCACAGAGTTGTGCAGCCATTACTGTGATCTAATTTTATACCATTTCATCACCCCCCCAAAAAGAAACCCCATACTCGTCAGCAGTCATTCTCCTCATCTCTGTGCCCACTCCTACCCCTTGGCAACTGTTTATTTACTTTTTGTCTTTATAAAAAATTGCTTGTTATGGACATATCATATAAATGGAGTTATACAACACGTGGTGTTTTGTGACTGGCTTCTTTCACTTAGCAAAATGTTTTCAAGGTTCAACCATGTTGTAGTATGTGTCAGTACTTTATTTCTTTCTATGATTGAATAATATTCCATTGTGTGGATACATCACCTTTTGCTTATCCATTTATCAGTTGAGGGACATTTGGATTGTTTCTACTTTTGGACTGTTATGACTAATGTTGCTATGCATGTTTGTGTAAAAGTTTTTGTATATTCTTACATGCTTTCATTTATCTTGGGTATATACCTGGAAGTGGAATTGCTAAGTCGTATGGTGACTCTGTGTTTAACTTTTTGGGGAACTGCCAAACTGTTTTCAAAGTGACTATACCATTTTACATTCCTACCAGCCACGTATGATGGTTCCACATCCTGGCCAACACTTGCTATCGTCTGTCTTCTTGTTTACAGCTATCCTAGTGGTATGAAGTTGTGTCTCAGTTGTGGTTTTAATTTGCATTTCCTTGATGGCTAATGATATTGAGCATCTTTTCATGTGCTTATTGACTATTTATTTTCTAGAGAAATGTCTATTGAAATCTTGTGCCCATTTTTCTTTTTTCTTTTCTTTTTTTTATTTTTGAGATAGAGTCTCACCGTTGGCCAGGCTGGAGTGCAGTGGTGCATCTCAGCTCACTGCTACCTCCGCCTCTTGGGTTCAAGCGATTCTCCTGCCTCAGCCTCCTGAGTAGCTGGGACTACAGGCGCCCGCCACCATGCCCGGCTAATTTTTTGTATTTTTAGTAGAGATGGGGTTTCACCGTGTTAGCCAGGATGGTCTTGATCTCCTGACCTCGTGATCCGCCCGCCTCAGCCTCCCAAAGTACTGGGATTTCAGGCGTGAGCCACTGCGCCCGGCCCTTGTGCCCATTTTTCAATTGGGTTATTTATCTTTTTATTGTTGAATTGTAAGTGTTCATTATATATTCTGATCAGGTATATGATTTGAAAGCATTTTCTCCCATTCTGTGAATTGTCTCTTTACTTTCTTGCTGGTGTGCTTTGAAGCACAAGTGTTTTTAATTTGATAAGCCCAATTTATCTAGTTTTTTTCTTTTTGTCACTTGTTTTTGTATCATATCTAGGAAATCATTGCCTTACCAAGATTATGAAAGTTCACACTTATGTTTTCTTCTAAGAGTTTTAGAGTTTTCATTCTTAAATTTAGGTCTGTGATTCATTTTGAGTTAATTTCTGTGTATGGTTTGAAGAATGAGCCCAGCTTTAATTCTTTTGCATGTGGTTATTCAGTTGTCCCAACACCATCTGTATGAACATATGTTTTCTTTTCTTTCCCCTTAAAATTCTTTCTCCCTTTAATTGTTGGAATCACATTATAGACTTTGAAACAAAAATAATAGTTCCCTCTTCCACTCCTCTCTATCCTCTGTTCCCACTCCCCAGAAGTGAGCACTCTATAGACTCTTTTGGCTGTTTCTTCTGGTTTTCACCTTCATACTTATAAATAGCATCCTTATATGGCAGTTCTGGAGGATTATTTAAAACAGTATATTTAATTTTGACACATTTTTATAGAAATTCCTATTGTGTTTTCATTATTATGATGATATATTATTATGACAGTATTTACTGCAGAGCCAGGCAGTGTACTCTGATTACCTTTCGTTTCTCTTTAATTCCCACACCTCTTTTGTTTTCATTTGCTTGCTCTCTTCAGCAGCCTTGCTGATCTGTCTTACTCTCCCGCAGCTCTTAAAAGTGCCTGCCAGTCCACTTCTCTCCATGGCAGATCATCTTTCTCTTCTGTCTTTTCTCATTGTGTGTCTGTGTTTTTGTTCTGTGAGTCATCCTTCCTGGACTCCTCTCTCTTGTTCCATTCATTCTAGGCTGGTCGCTCTCCATGACTGCTGTCTTCCTGAGGCTTCATATTGCTCTTCTTTTAGGAGCTCCCATCACCTCTCTTCTCTCTACGTGGGTTCCTGTGCCTCCTAGCTTAGTGTGGATTTTTCTGTAGGAGATCCTTTACATACAGTCAAGGAACCTGATGCCCAGGCTAGTGAGGTCCCTTAGCTAATATCCTTGAGCTAATTAGTATTTTCTTTTCCTGCTCAAGGCTACTGAAAATGAATTAAATTCAATTAAAATGCTGAGTCAAAAGCAGCTGTCTTACTCTGAGTGGCAATATTATTCATGAGGACTAAAATGCTAGGAACCAAGTCACCAGGAAACCAAGAAGGCCAGAAGTGGTGCTACATCCCCAAATATGCCCATGGAGGCCCCAGCTCCTTCCTCACCACATCTCTCTTCCTTCAGAGGCTGCTTCTCTTTTACATACAATTCTAAAGTGCTTGGCTTTTTGGCTTTCTAAGGCACAACGGATAATCTGAAAGTGTTTAAATTTAGGAGCAGAGGGAGTGCAGAGATGGGCACACTGTGAGCCATAAGAAGTGCCAGTTAGCTAAGGGGACAGGTGGGGAAATGACTTTTAAAAAATCAATCCATAATTAGTAGAGATCTGAAGTATGTGTCATTTAATTTGATTACAGAAGGCCCTACATTAGTCAGCATCACATAGAGACATCACTTTATTATGGCACTCTAAAGTGACTGGCCTCTCTTCCTCACTCCCTTTCACCCCCCTTCAAGAGATTTGAAGAGATTTGCATGTGTTGTGACATGCAAGCATTAGAGATAATTATTAGTAAGATATAACTGGAAAATGTCTGTTTTGATCTTCTGCTCTCAATAGAAAATGCACGTTGTGTTGCAGTTAATGCAATGACATTATTAGTTTTCTCTTAATGTTGCCTTTTTTGGGGGGATCTTAGCTCTTTTTGTAAAGACTTATTAAAGCCCTCCTAACACTCTCAGTGACAGAAATCAGTGTTTTCAATCCTCTTCCCCTCTGCCTTTTTAAAGCTATGCAACGTTTTCTTAAAGTACAATGATACGCGGAAAAAGTATACAAACCCGTAGGGTGGAGGTGCTCTGTTGGTGAGAGCTGGCTGACCCTTTTTCCTTCCTGCCAAGCAGCCCAGCAGGGAGCAAAGAGAAGCATTTAGGAGGGAAGGAGACACATGGCTCCCGGTCTCCTGGGCCTGCGGGTACCAGTGACAGTGCATGCAACTAAAACCTGGATTTTGTTGACCTGTTGCATTCTTAGCCAAGTGCCTTACCCTCATTAAAATGCCCTTCCGTCACTCAGTCCTGGGGAGGGAGGTCATCTCATGCGCTTACATATCAGCCCAGCTGGCTGCTACTGGTCCTGTTTCTCACAGAGAACCCTCCTTGTTCTTCCCCGCCATTGAATCTGTTCATCCATCGATGCCACAAGAGCCCAGCTGCAGAAACCATAGAGACCATCTCTCCTACCCCATGGCACAGCCTGTTGCTGAGGAAGGGGGTCCCACCACAGGGTTGCTTGGGCCTTCTGTGAATAAGAATTTGGTAGGACAGAAAGCATATCACATCCACCTCACTGGGTGCACAACCCTCTTCCCTACTGTGTTAAGTTCTCTCTAAGCCCTGATCATCCTGCAGTTTCTCCTTGCCATTTAGCCTCTAAGTCTCCCGGCCCACTATTCTTCCCTGCCTTTGCTTGACCTGCCTGCATGCATATGTGAATCCTAAGTGCAAACAGAGATCAAATTGTTCCTCTGTAGCAGACCTCTTGGCATGGGATGGGCCAGTGGGTAAGTTTATAGAGCAGGTGGGGACTATCTCTCTGGCCAGAAGGATCTCAAGCTGGTTTCCACCTGAAAGGGATGCTATACCACGAGATACTGTGACAGTCAGAGAGACAGGCTTATAGCTTTCTCCTCCTGGTGGAAGTTTATATGAAATTTGTTTCTAATGATAAAAGGACACATAAGCCAGTTTGCAGGGGGGAGGAGGAGTTGAATTCATCCAAATCACACTTAACTGGTTTTCATGATAATTATTAAATTGCCTAAATTGTCTTCCTTCTTTCAATTGACCTCTGTATATAGACATAGTCAAACGCCTTTGTGTTTATTTCTTCATATCTACAGACATATGATTATATGGAAGAAGATTAATTATAAGATAAAGTAACAGATCCTTCACCTTTGTAAATGTTGCATTAAACACTAATGACTTTCTAAAATGAGACTGTAAGCACCATAGAAGACAGGGACCAGGACTGCTTATTCACACCATCCTCCACGGGGCCTGGCACGGTGCCCGGCACCAAACACCCAGTGCTGATTTAATGAATGAATGAATAATTTATTGCAGGAGATGATACGTCAGAACTGTCTGCTGGAGGAGGTATTAGGTGAGAAGCTCATAT
This sequence comes from Homo sapiens, assembly GCF_000001405.40. Taxonomy (NCBI): domain Eukaryota; kingdom Metazoa; phylum Chordata; class Mammalia; order Primates; family Hominidae; genus Homo; species Homo sapiens. The sequence goes on from NC_000020.11 coordinate 10,523,763, forward strand.
TAAGCTTTAAAATTATGAGCAGACTAAAAAATCTTTTTTTAAGAGTTGTCTCACTATATAAACAAAAAGTCACATTATCACTTAGCTGCAACCAAATTCTTATTTGAGTCTATTAAATTCATTTTTTTAAGGATGTGAGACAGTAGGTGAAGTATCATTTTTAAAAAATGAATTGGTAGGAGGAGGCAGTGATGTTTGGCCATTTTGTTGTTGTTCCTGTCTGACAGGGACCTGCAAGGGCAGGGCTGGCTGGTCGAACGTAAGAGCCTTCCTGGCTGGCTGGGGGACCAGCGGGCTCATGACCCTAAGACTCTGCACTGGGAGGCGTAGAGAATGTGGAAAGGCCTGGTGACGGCAGCAGGCCTGGGCCAGCCCCAGTGCTTTGTGATGGAAGAGAGCTGCAGGCCTCATGGGGTTTGTAAAGTGGACTGGCTGTGTCCGTTTGGGATTGATTACACAGTTACAGGGATGGCTCGCAAAACTCCAGGAAAGGAGGACCCTTGGCAGCGTTCCTCTCAGCTGCTGCTCTTTGGGAATCAGCTGGACTCTTCTCAGGCTCTGTTTTTGTTCCACAGTGCCCAGGTTTACACATAACAGGCATAGCCATGCAGGGAGACACTCTTGACCACCCGCCCTGCCTTAGTTCCACGTTGCCGAGAAACATGAAATGATTGTTCCGTCAGCTATGGCCAGGCCTGGGATGAAGTCAGAAACACACAGGGCTCCCAGGAGCCCACTCAGCAGTGATGAGAAAATAGTCATAAAGAAGAGGTTTAATTGGAAATTCAGTTTGCTATATTCGTAAAAATGTCTTTGATGTTTAAAATAATTAATATTTTTGTGAGTTGCTTTCAAGTTTTTATTTGACCTGTGGGGATACAGGATGGTAGTGGAGCTACAAAAGTATTAGCTGAGTGTTGTATGTACAGAAGTCAGCACAGTGTCAAGAAGGAGGACTGGGCTCTGCCAGTTACCTGCCATTTGATCTTATCTTTTCAAAGCCTCAGTTGACAGGTCTCGAAAATGAGGTAATGATTCATGCTTGCTCACATCTGAAGCTCAGTACATCCAGAATTCTGATCTCCTGCTCAGTCATACTTGCTTGTTCCTCGGACATTTCTCCTCGTCATTTCTACTGCCATTGTCTTGGTTCAGGTTGTCATCTCCTGTTGCTAAGGTTACGTAACAGCCACTTAACTAGTATCATTGTCTTCAGCTTCTCCCCTCTGCACCTATCCTCCCCTTTGGAGCCAGTGGTCCTGTATGTGCTTATCCTGTTTGATAGAGAAAAAAGTTCCTAGCACATTATTAAAAATAGAAAGATAGAAATAAAATAAAATCTTTACAATCTGATCCAGCTTATCTTTTTCTTTTATTTTAAATGTGGTTTCTTTATAATTAGTATTTTCATCATTTTTATGTGTATATCATTTAAAACATGAAATAGCAGTACCACAAGGATTTTAAGAAAAAGTAGCAGACCCCTGCCTTCAGTTCTTCCTATTTCCAAATCCTGTACTCCAGAAGACACCTCTTTTTACCTGTTTATACAGTAATTTGATTTGCCAATTTTGATGTTATATATTGACCTTTCTCTACACGGAAATTTAGCACTCATACCTCTTGCTTTCCATCTGCTCACATAGAAGCTTCCCCTCTTTCCCTTCCATAGTTGTATTACAATGTTGAGTTAAATCTGTATTTAATGTTTATATTATTATAATTATATAAGTATTTTTACCGCTTAGCCGAACTATATACCATGAATACATTTTCTCATTGTTATAATGGTTTGTTTTTCCTGGAATTTAGAGTTGCCTCTTTTTTGGCGGATTAGGGGGTGTTAATGGTTTTCTTTGTTTCTATCACTATTTTCCTCCAGAATTATTCAAATGAATTATAAAGTCCTTCCAAGAAATATTTTCCCACAATCAAACCCATCAGGTAATGGACCAGCACATTTCTTCGTGTCTTCCTGGAGATGTCATTCTGTTGCTTTCTGGACCAACTGCATTCAAGGCTCAGCGCACAGACGTCATTTTCTGTTTACCTTCACCTCTCTTCTGTGTTAGATTCTCCTTTTCTCACACCTTCCACTGTCTTGACTTATTCCTTTTTCGGTGGAACACAATTCTAGTAACTTTCTGAGAAGGAATGTGGATATGGGGTAAGGACTTGGGGGTCTCCTGATAAATGCCTTGCTGCCGGCATTCTTGGAGCTGAGCAGCAGAAGGGCCCCACTTCTCCATGGAGTCCTCTCCCTGCTCATCACTGGCCTGTCAGCTGATCTCTTTGTTCTAGCCTGCATTTCCGGTCTCACCTTCCCCCATCATACCCTCCTTCCTTCATGCGCACATCACATTGCACTTTCACGCCTCTGCATTTGTTCACACTCTTCCCATAGACTTCAGGGTTCTTCCCCAATATTCTACTTGGTAAAAGCCTAGTCATCAATCTAGATGTCTATTGAGGTGATAAAATTATAGTTGAGAAAGAGAATGGTTCCCACTCTGGAAATCATGCTCTTTCTCAATTATAATTTAGCTCTTGCTCAACTTTGGTTTATCAAAGCATGAAAAGTCAGTTTTTAGGCAGGTGTATGAGAATCATTGGGTTTGGGTTTGTCAGCTGTCATGATCCTTTTTGGGATGAGCTAGAATATAATTCATTAACAAGTAAAATTTAGTAGTGTTTCTGACACGTGCTGGTATTTGTCTGAAATATGTCCTCAAGATTGCCACTCAGGTGTTTTCTCCATCAAATTGTTTTTGAACTGCTGTGTTTTTAGTAGGCTTCTGTATTTGTTTCCTATGGATGACATAACAAATTGCCACAAACCAAGTGGTTTAAAACAACAGAAATCTATTCTCTCCCCTCTCTCTCTCTCTTTAAGAGACAGGGTCTCAGGCTGGGCACGGTGGCTCATGCCTGTAATCCCAGCACTTTGGGAGGCTGAGGTGGGTGGATCACTTGAACTCAGGAATTTGAGACCAGCCTGGGCAATATGGTAAAATCTTGTCTCTACCAAAAATACAAAAAATTAGCTGGGTTTTGTGGCATGTGTCTGTGGTCCCATCTACTTGGGAGGCTGAGATGGGAGGACTGCTTGAGGCTGGGAGGCAGAGGTTGCAGTGAGCCAAGATCGCACCACTGCATTCCAGCCTGAGTGACAGAGACCCCATCCCAAAAAAGAGAGAGACAGGATCTCCTTCTGTTACCCAGATGGGAATGCATTGGCTATTCACAGGTGCAACCAAAGCAAGGTACCCATTGAGATATGTGTTGTATGTTGATAATCAAAAGATATATCATCTTCTGGCTGTAATGATCACATACCATCAGTATTTTGCTGGTTCATTTGTTCACTTAACAGATAAACATGCCATAAACTAGGCCCTATGCTAGGCGCTGGCTCTATAAAAGCTATAAAAACAAAATACTGCCCCTCAAAGAGCTCACAGTTCTGCCAGAAAAGCCAGCTCGCCCATGAGGGTCCTAACTTATTATTTAAATACATCCTTGAATAGCCATAGAAATAAGGAGTTAAAAATACGAAGAACAACTCTGGCAGGAAGGTTAGACACATGTGGAAGGTGCAGAGGGGACTAGTCAGAAGGCATGTTTCATGATTTACCAACTAGAGGTGTTTCAAGCAGGCTTTTGGATGCAAAGTGGCTTTATGATACAAAGATTAAACTCTCTACAGAATCCTCTCAGTGTATTCAATATGAGCCCCTTTACTTCTTTCTGTAAAAATTTACTCCATCCTGTCCCCAAGGAAGATGTTTTTATAAGGTATAAGGGAAATGGAAGGTAGTCTTCAGCCTTTAGAGATGTTTTATTGCTTTCATTTGTTTCAGGGTACTTGACTACACTCAAAATTATTTCTCTGGGGTATTCTTACAAAGCTCTCTTGGATTCATCTAATAAGGAAGAATAATTTGGAATCCAAAATTATCATCTCTGTTAGAGGTTCTAATCCATGGTTTCTTCACAGTGCAGTATGTTTTGGATAAATTGTGATTGCTAATATAGTACCTAAGTTTGTCAGTGATTTCTTTCCAAAAAAAGATTGACGCACATTTAAGATTATTCATTAATATAATTACTCCTTTTCATTTGCATTCCATCCTGCTTTTTCATTTGGGAAAGAAATGTGCAGAGGGACAGCTGGTGCCTCTGTAATTACACATAACCCCCAGCCTGTCTTATCTGTGCACTCCTGGGAGCGGGTCACAAATGTCATCCTCTGTCTTGCGTGTTTCAATTTTTTAAAAAAATGTTGACAGGCCTGGTGGTTCCACCTTTCCTAAGTAATTGATCATTATGGCTGTTGTGTAACCATTTGTCAGGTAAGAGTAGTTTGTTTTATTTTTAACTTTTGCAGTTAATTAAAAAATGGTTTTAAGCTCCTAGAATTTAATTCAAAAGTTTTCTAACTTTGCGCTATTCTTGCAACTTTTCTGAAATTTGAAATTATATGAAAACAAGAAAGCATCAAAGCAATAGGAAAAAACAATGCTTAAATGGACCTTCTGTGGGTCCATTTATCAAACATTAGTTTGATAAATATCATCATTTTTGAAATGTAATTAATTTTCCTGGTAAGGCTGAATCATTCAAATGGGATTTGCACCTTTCACAGTCTTTCATCCTCCTGCCCATTTTCCCTTTCCTTTATCTGATACTCATGAGTAATAACAAAAGCAACAACTAACACTTATGAAGAAGAAAATAATTTTACTTAGGAGTAAAAAGGCTTGTGGAAGTTAAGCTTCACTGGCCTTGCCATATTCTTGGAATTTTCTTTTCTTTTCTTTTTAAAAAAAATTCCTAGGAATGTGTTGTCATTATATCAGACTAGCTCTTTGGAGTAAACCCCAGACCTGTCTCCTTATGTACCAGGCCAACAGAGGAGGGCCTAGACTTGTCAGCCCCAGCCTGAAGACTCAGAAGAGAAAATCTTTGATACCCATGTGAAGATCCACACCCAACCAGAGTGGCTGGCCAGTGTTTGCCCCACTGGTCATATTTCCCTGGGCTCAACATACCTGTGTTGTCACATTAGATGTTTTTGTAATTCGGGATTTTTCTTCTGAACATAGATGCAGACATTTCAGATACCCACAAACTATGTAACCAAACACAGCCTAGCTCAAAGTTGATATTCCCTGAGCTTTCCTTTATGCACGTGACTTAAACACATGACAATATTTGTCTATTATTTTAATCTGTACAAGGAAAGAAAGGTAGTGATACGTCAGTGAATTGTTCAGATGGGTTTCTGTTTCTGTTTGCTTTCCATATTCTCTATTTTTTATAATAATAAATTTAGGATGATGTCTAAAGACTAAAAAGTAGATTCAGATTTTGCTTACTGCTTTAACTTATTTAAAAGTCCTGTTTTTAGGAGGAGTAAGTAGATTGATTTTCCTGTCATGCTAACATGAGACATTTAATTTTTATAATGTAATCTTACGTTCATTAGCCTTGTGGCTAATGATAAAACAAGATAAAATAAATGGCATTTTAAAAGTGATTCTGGACCAGGCGCGGTGGCTCACCCCTGTAATCCTAGCACTTTGGGAGGCCGAGGCGGGTGGATCACTTGAGGTCAGGAGTCTGAAATTAGCCTGGCCAACAGGGTGAAACCGCATCTCTACTAAAAATACAAAAAAATTAGCTGGGCATGGTGGCAGGTGCCTGTAATCTCAGCTACTTGGAAGGCTGAGGCAGGAGAATTGCTTGAACCCAGGAGGTAGAGGTTGCAGTGAGCCGATATTGTACCACTGCACTCCAGTCTGGGTGACCGTGTGAGACTCCATCTCAAAAAAAAAAAAAAAAAAAAAAAATGATTCTGATTACTCACATTCTTCTTCTTCTTTTTTTTTAAATCCTACTTTTGTTAGAATTCCATATCTCTAAGAAAGGAGGAACACCAAAATCATTGAAGGTTCAAGGACCCTCTCCCATAATTGCTATCATAGAAAATGTTCAATTCTAGTCCACCTGAATATAAACCACCTCAAGCCAAAATGAACAGAGTTCTCAGTGCCAGGAGAATTTCATGAGTTTGGGAAGCATTTTGAATCTCTGCCCTCAGTTTGGAAATAGTTTCATTTCTCTGCTAATGAAGAAGTCCAAGACCATATGCAGTCTACAGAGGTTCCATCTATGGAGCAAAAGTTGGGAGCAGACCAGCAGGGTTGGCAGCGTGAAGATTCTAGTTCTCTCTGTTGAAGTCTCAACTGCCGAGCCAGCACTCAGACACAGAGAATGGTGGTTCCCAAAAGTTTTGGGAATCCATATTGTGAACAGGCTGACACTCTGCCTACCTACTGTTTAAGGGAATTTAGACTGTTTTGGGAAACAATCGTGTAAGAAGGCTTGCCTGTGCTGCCTGCCCCAGAGTAAGGCGGTGCAGTCTCAGACGTACTGGTTGGAGATTTGAAGCACAGTAATACACTGGCTGGTCCTTTCATTTGTTGGTTATTCTTTGTGTTTCTGGTATGAGTTTGTACGTTTAGATAATCCAGTGAATCTTTGAGCTTTTTCTTTGTGAGGTCTGTTTACACATTTGGAAATATCAGTGAATATAGTTCCATTGGTGTTTTGCGGCTTTCAGCTTTTGAGTTCCCTCTGAAGCTACTGCCATGACGTTAACCTTTGATGAAGTTAAGAGCATCAGAGGGTAGAAGAAAATGATTACCAGTGGTTAACGATGTCCCGATTTGTTAGGAGTTTGGGAAAAGTGCACATTTCCATGGAGTCTGCGTGCTCACTTGGTGAGAAGCTCCCTGACCACACGTAAATTGAGAAATAGATTGCAAAATCAGTTTTGATTAAAATGGGAATTTGAGCCTGCCACTGAGAAGCAACCATCTTGCTATAAATTATTTATGGCATGAGCATAGGCTTTAGTATAGAGGCTGTAAGCCTTTTTCCATCTTGCTTTAAAAATTGATTTGATTATAAAAAGAAAATTAATTTTGCTATTGAAACAAATCTTTAAAAAGGGATTTTAAAGTGACTCTAAGGTAGAAAAAAAAAATTACCAAGACTCTTCCAAAAAACCAACTTCGTAGCTGGATTCTACAAAAAAAGCATAAATGCTGAACCCTGATTAACACACTTTATCATATTATATACATGAGATATTTCTTACAGAGAGTACCACAGTGGTGTAAGGAGCATATTTTTGTGAAGTCCTCAGCTTTACAAACATATTTAGATTTATTCCTGTGCTAACTAGGTTATATCATATCTCCCAGTTTAGACTGCACATGGATAGTCCACTGAGCAATGTGACATGAAGATGGATGGGCCTAGTAGACAGATACCAGGCCGCTGCCAGGCTTGCAGCATTGACTCCTCTTCTGGGATCATCACATGCCCACTTCTCCCCACCCATCTCAGCTGTTAAGTCTTGCTGTGGGATCAGACCCTCACCCCACCTCCTACCTGCCGTGACTTGACAGGGAAGTTCATTTGGGAGATTAAAAATGTAGATGGACAGATACAGTTTCATGAATGATTGGAAACATGGTATATTCTCTGCTTTCATTGCATAGGGTTTGAGGTATATCTTGTGGACCAACATTATCTATTATATGTCCTCTATGGTCTTATTTGTCTTTGCCTCCTTGATCTGACATGGCCTGAAAGAAGTGAGCTCAGTCTTCTATGACTCTTGTGTTTCTCTTTGCTGTTTTTAAAAATTGTACCTGTTCAATAAATGTTTATTCCTTATTTCCCATGTGCCAGGAATGGTTCTCAGCTGTGGGGACCCAATTTTGAATAAGACCGACAAAGTCCTTGGTCTCATGGAGATGGCATTTCAGTCAGGGGTTAGACAGACACTGCACAAAGAAAGAAACAAGACAATTTCAGATACCGAGACGTGTGACAAAGAAAATAAAAGATGGTAACTTGGTGGCTAGTGACTGGAGGTGGTTCCTGCTTAAATAGGATGGTCAGAGAGACTTGAACTTTCAAGGTGAACTCTGAGTGAAAAGAGAGAGACACCTCCTAGCGTCTGGAGGAAGTGGTTCTAGCAGAGAGAACAGCAGGTACCAAGCCTTTGAGACAGAAGCAAACATGGTGTATCAGAGGAGCAAGTTTTACAGTCTTTTCCCTGCACATGTATGCTGTTGGATTCTCAGGATAGTTTTCATTTCTTTATAGCTTTTATTCTCCATCACTACACATGCCCTGCTTCATCTCCTATAACTCCAGCGTAAGTTTCTGACATCACATCCCTGACATTGGTTTGCAACTGCCAGCAGGAATTTGCCTTTTTCACTGTGGGCCTCATCTGAGTCATCAGCTATCTCGTCATTGACTGGAGTGGTCTCCATAGTTGTGTACATGTGCCAAGATGGGGGCAGAGGTTAAATGATCCACGGTGGTATGGGAAAATATAAGAACTTTCATCTGTATTTAATTTATTGAATTCAAAAGAACTAATCAAAAGATTGATGTCACCACCAAGAAATCATAAGTATGGGAGGGGATGGATATGTTCATTGGCTTGGAATCATTCCACAGTGTATACATACAACATCACATTGTGCCCCATAAATATACACAATTATTTGTCAATTAAAAGAAATTAGTATCCGCACCCTCACTAGGTTGGTGCATCAAAGGGCCCTCTGTCTGGGAAGGTGACATGAAGGAGGGAAAGATCCCTCCTGATGGGAAGGACCTGATTGTAGTACCCTTTCCTGTTGGCTTACCCTTGATTGGGACATAGTGCAGCCACATGCAGCAGGGTGTTGTCATGTGGACGATTTCATAAAAACACAACCCATCTCTAGTCCTCACTTCACCTGAGGCCCCCTGGTGACATATTGTAGTGAAAATAACCAGTGTCTTAAATAGGGGTTCGTATTCTTTTAGTGCCCCTCTCCAAGATGGGTGCATATCCCCAAGCTGAAATTTGGACTATGAGATTTTAATTCATACTGAATAGAAAAGCTGAAGAAAAAAATGGACTTTTATAAGCCACAAGCAATTTTTTTTTTTTTTTGAAATAGAGTCTCACTCTGTCACCCGGGCTGGAGTGCAGTAGCGTGATCTCGGCTCACTGTAACCTCTGCCTCCCGGGTTCAAGCAATTCTCCTGCCTCAGCCTCCCAAGTAACTGAGATTACAGATGTCTGCCACTATGCCCAGCTAATTATTTTTATTTTTAGTACAGATGGGGTTTCACCATGTTGGCTAAGCTGGTCTCAAACTCCTGACCTCGTGATTTGCCTGCCTTGGCCTCCCGAAGTGCTGGGATTGCAGGGGTGAGCCACCACGCCTGGCCCACAAGCAATATTTTTGTGTCAAGAAGGAGAAACTTCAGTATTTCAAAACCTCTTGGGAAAACTCTCATATGAATGAGCCTTGTATTTGTGCAAATAAAACAGAGATCCACTTTGAAATGAAAAGAAGTTTAAGGTAAATCACTCTGGTGGGAAGAAGGTTGTTCAGTGCATGAAAATTTGCAACTCATGTCTTCTCGATGGTCTGATCATCTTATATGAAACATCTCTTTTTTGTTGTTGTTCTTGAAACAGAGTCTTGCTCTGTCGCCCAGGCTGCAGTGCAGTGGCATGATCTTGGCTCACTGTAACCTCCACCTCCTCGGGCTCAAGTGATTCTCCTGCATCAGCCTCTCAAGTAGCTGGGATTACAGGCATGTGCCACCACACCTTTATGTACAAAAATACATAATTTTTGAATTTTTAGTAGAGGCGGGGTTTTACCATGTTGGTGAGGCTGGTCTCAAACTCCTGACCGCAGGTGATCCGCCTGCCTCAGCCTCCCAAAGTGCTGGGATTACAGGTGTGAGCCACCATTCTTGGCCTTTTTTTTTTTTTTTTTTTTGAGGCAGGGTCTGGCTCTGTCACCCAGGCTGAAATGCAATGGCATGATTTTAGCTCACTGCAAGCTCCACCTCCCGAGCTCAAGCCATCCTCCCACCTCAGCCTCCAGAGTAGCTGGGACTATAGGCACATGCCACACTGCCTGACTAATTTTTGTATTTTTGGTAGAGATGGGGCTTTGTCATGTTACCCAGGCTGGTCTTGAACTCCTGGCTTCAAGTGGTCCTCCTGCCTCAGCCTCCCAAAGTGCTAGGATTATAGGTATGAGCCACTGCACCTAGCCATCTCTTATTTTTAAAAAATTTTCACCATTAATTTTGTGTTGTCTGATTTTCACATTGCCCTCCCTTTTTCCTTTGGTTATGAGTTCCCAGATCTTCCTCCAGCCTTTTGCTGGGAGGGAGAGTCTGCATGTGGAGCACAGAGTTTTGTCTCAGCCGAGGCAGGGTGAGGGTGGTGGGTCACTTCTGCCAGAGCCCCCTTGAACCAACTTTGTGCCTTGTGGGTAGGGGTAAACAGGGCAGAAGCCAAGGTTATGAGAGGATTTGTAAGGCCCTGGGCACCATTAGAACTGCACTGGGACCCAGGAAGGAGTGTTGGCCCTGAGTCGGGGAGTGAGCATGTATTCCCTGCCTCCTTCCTTTCTTTCTGCAATATACTTATTGAGCACCTTCTGTGGGCTAGGCATTGGTAAGCATTAGGGTGTCAATCATCAATAACTAAATTGCAGACCTTATTGTCTCTTGGAGGAAGCTGGCAGTCAGATCAATCACACAGAAGCAGGAAAAATTGCAATCTTGAATCATTGTTTCAAAAAGAGGTACATGATGCTGCCTGCAAGATAAAGGGTGAGTTGCCCTGGTCTGGAGCCTTAGAAGGTTTCCGTAAAGAAGGAGCCTCGAGTCAAGCCTGAGCCTAGGGGAAGGTGGGGTAGAAGAAGGAATGGGGAGCTCCTTCCAGCAGAGCCAAGGTCCTTTCTGCTTTGTCCTGCTCCGTGTTCAGCTCCTGGCGCAGGGCTGGCGTCTGGGGTATGCTCAATAAATTAAAAACGAGTGCATGAACAGAGGCCAGCAGGGCTGGAGCAGAGCACAGGGGACAGTGGGTTGGCATGGTGCTGGAGAAGCTGGCAGGGGCCAGACCTCACAGAGGCTTGTAGGTTATCATGTACTTGTAGGAGACCACATAGGTTACCATGAAAGGAGACCACATAGGTTGTTATGAAAATCAAGATAATTTTTAGAGCAGAAGGGGGAGCTATTAATAATTACGCCTGGATAGAAAGGCGTAAAATGCAACTGACTTGGGTGTACCGGGATATGGTCAACCTCTTACCAGCTTCCTAGGATTTTAGTCTTTATTCTGAGAGGAGTGGAAGGCCCCTCCAAAGGTTTTTAGCTGGGATGAGGTTTGGGGTGTGGAGGCAGGGCATGGCATGATCGCTCTGGCAACAGACTGGTAATAGATTGAAAGTGAGTTGTTGCAGGAGAGAGACCAGGGAAGACGGTTGCAGAAGGCCAGGCTGGAGCAGGTGATGGCTTGGCCTGGAGGCATGGAAGGGGTTAGAAGTGATGAATTGCAAATGGCTGCTGAGGAAGGGAAGTGTTGAGGTCTCAGAATTGGATAAGTCCTAGTGCCACTGGCTGAGTCAAAACAGGAGGAGGGAGCAGGTTTGGAAAGAACGTGCAGGTTTTGTTTGTTTTTTTGAGGCAGAGTCTTGCTCTGTTGCCCAAGCTGGAGTGTAGTGGTGTGATTTTGGCTCACTGAAACCTCCGCCTCCTGGGTTCAAGCAGTTCTCCTGCCTCAGCCTTCCAAGTAGCTGGGATTACAGGTGCGTGCCACCATGCCCAGCTAATTTTTGTATTTTTAGTAGAGATGGGGTTTCGCCGTGTTGGCCAGGCTGATCTCGAACTCCTGAGCTCAGGTGATCCACCTCCTCGGCCTCCCAAAGTACTGGGATTACAGGCATGAGCTACTGCGCCCGGCCCAAGAACATGTAGTTTTGTCTAGGGTAAGAGTCAAGGTATGAACTTAAGAGGTTTCATCCTTAGTCTCATGAATTCCCAAACCAGGAGAGAATAATGGAACTACCTGTGTTGCATGCACATTCATGCTCCATCCTCACCCCTTCACCCAGGTGTTCACTACTCACATATGCCTGAATTTTATTAACTAAAAACAAGTTCTTTCCTTCACTAGAGATGAATGTGTTTAAAAAGCAAATATTGAGTAAATTTGCATAGCAGATCAAATGCTTTCAAAGGGGTAAGGATTTTGGAGAATGCTTTGTTTTGAGAAAGCCTGAAGACCCTGAGCTAGAGACACACTGTTTAGAAAGATGAGCCTGGAAACACTAGTGAGGGAGAAAAGCAGAAATGAGCGCCGGAGACTCCACCAAGGGAGTCCGAAAAGTCAGGGCACTGTGGGTGAACTTGAACCTGAATGTAGAATGGCTCTTACGGTATCTATAATTTGCAAACTTCTTATATACTATTTACATAATAGTTCTCCACTTAGAGATCTTTAACACACCTTCTTGTTTTTTGGAATGTGACAAGTTTTATAGCTAGTATGGACAGGAGAGAGGATAACTTTAAAATGTGGTGAATAGGGCTGGGCGCTGATGGCCTATGCCTGTAATGGCAGCATTTTGGGAGGCTGAGGCAGGAGGATCGCTTGAGCCCAGGAATTTGAGGACAGCCTGAACAACACAGCAAGACCTTGTCTCTTTAAAAAAAAAAAAAAGGATTAAATAAATATGGTGAGTTGGTTGCAGTGAGCAGTGCTTCTGTATCATCAATTAGAAATATTGCAACGGTTTGATCTCTCAGTCGCCTGTTAGTTCATCCAAGGAAAAGGAAAGGCAGAGAGCCTTGTTTCTTTGCATGTGTGACACTCAGAAGCCAGCAGTTCTGCAGGCAGTTTCCTAAGGTCTGGCTCCCTTGGCAAACGTTACCTTGGCTGCAGGTAACTTTATTCTTTGTGAATAATGCCAGCCTGGCCACCGTTGCCCTCTTCTGGTAAGGGGCTAATGCTACAAACGTACTGAGTTTTACAAGGAAGGAAAACTCAAGCTCGATTTTCACTTTGGTCAACTGTGCTATGCCAGCTGGCATAAATCCCTACAATGAAATGAATGTTTGGTTTAAAATGTTGTAATGTATACTCAGACCATGGAACCATGTGAGGGTCTAATCTTATTTACAGTTTTGGCTTTGAGGACTACCTTGGGTATCCATATCATTTCCCACAGTTGGGCCACTTTCTGTTTGGCAAAAAAGATTTCTTTCAGCCTTTTCTCTGCCTGTGAAACCCTGTCTGGCTGCTTCATTAGCTAACACATGTGTGAATTTGCATCATTGATAATGGCAGCAAATGCAAGGAATATGGTTTTAATCAAATTTTAGTATCTAATATCTCTGAAGCTTAGGGCATAGAACATTAGAGGCCTGGGATAAACAATTCATATTCAATAGCAGCATTTTAGCATTTCTTGGTGACATATTTACACAATTTATAATTTAGAGATGAGTTTATGTTACATGGTAAAACTTGAGAATATGCTGAAATAACGCACTGTGTTGGGAGGGGGCAATGAAAATATGGGGCTACTATGGCAGTTTATGCAGGAACTACTTTAAGGGCAGTCCTTGTTGCCCTACCCAGTGCTTAATTTTTTGTGACCAATCTTTGGTTGGCACCTCTCTTTCCCTCCCCAACTGGGAAGAAGGTAAATACTCCAGTCAACTAAGTGGGCTTTGTGTTTAATGGAACCCGTAATGAATACTTACAAAGGAAACACTGTTTCGTGAGGCATGTACTTCCTTACTATAACTCTTTTTAAAATTTAGATTCTTAAGTAATCCATTAGGTTGCAGTTTGGCCCGAAGAGTATCACAGATAAAAGCTAGCTACCATACTCGTTTGGATTATTAGGATCTAAAGACATGATGTTGATCTTTTTATGCTGGATCAGTTTGATATTTACAGTTCAGTTGATTCATGTAATTTTTCTAGGAATTGAATAGCAACAAGAAATACATCTAATATCATGATCTCCTTATGACATTAATAATACATGAGAAGAATCTTTAAGTTTTACCCTTATGCAAATGCCCCATGCAAATTACCCAAAATAAAAATGGTTAGGTAACAAGGTCTCTCAAGAGAAAGGACAACATGATCATTTAGATTTTGACAAAAGTAATGAGATAGCCTATTTTTTAGATGTTGTCTGTTCACAATTCCTGAATTTATTTTTTAATTCCTTTCTCCCTGCCTCCATCCCTTCTTTCATTGATTTAGGCCCTGTTAAAAGCTAACAGTGATATAAGAATGCTTTATAGAGCTGGGGTAGTTTGTCAGCTGGCCAGGTGATGAATCATGGAATAGAATTCTTTCTGTGACCAAATTAAACCCTAATCCCATGAAGAAAGCAGTCATTGACAACTTCTGGCAAGGTAAAGACTAAGAGGACCCTTTCTTTGTTGTTCCGGGCAGCTGGGAGGATGAGCAGCATCCACACTCTTTGGCTGAGCATTTTGTAGTACCTCTTTGACCCAGGGCCATTTGTACCTCTTTTTCTTCCTCCTCTTGGCCTTTGATCCCTACAAATTCTCCAGGGCTAAGTCAGCTGGCTCCATGCAGAAGGTTTTAGACAAGGTTTCTCTACTTTGGCACTAATGACATTATAGACCAGATGATGCCTTGCGGTGGGAGCTGGCCTGTGCAGTATAGGGTGTTCAGCAGTATTCCTGGAGTCTACCCATTAGATGCCAGCTGTGACAGTCCTAAATGTTTCCAGACATTGTACACAGGGAGGAAGGGAGCAAAATCACCTCTTGATTAAGAATCTAAAATTACAGTTCTAGATTCTTATTGATAAAGCCCTTCATCTTTTTTTTTTTTTTGAGACAGAGTCTCACTCTGTCGCCCAGGCTGGAGTGCAGTGGTGCCATCTTGGCTCACTGCAACCTCTGCCTCCTGGGTTCAAGCGATTCTCCTGCCTCAGGCTCCTGAGTAGCTGGGACTACATGTGCATGTCACCATGCCCTGCTAATTTTTTGTATTTTTAATAGAGATGTGGTTTCATCATGTTGGCCAGGCTGGTCTCGAACTCCTGACCTCAAGTGATCCACCTGCCATGGCCTCCCAAAGTGCTGGAATTACAGGTGTGAGCCACCGCACCAGACCTTCTTTGGCTGTATTATTTTGAGGTAAACTGTATTGTCACATTTCACCAATAGGTGCTGATTCATGGCACACAGTGGATTGCAGCCTGAAGGTTTCTTAATTTAAGGAATTAAGGGTGGGGAATAAGTTTCCTGTTGAGGACTAATGCCCAAGGCAGAGTTAATCAAGAGGCACATACCAAAAATAATTTAGTGTCTTTTTATCTCACCAAATAAAAATACTCAGTTCCCTTGTTTGTTAAATTAGGAACAGGCACCATAAAACTTTATTTCATAAGAATAACTAATTGTAAAGTTTACACTTGTCACATTAAGGCAGAGGTGATGAAGGAAGGGTACAGGCAGGCAGATGATAGATGAAGGAAAAGTAGAATCTGATTTAGAAAGAAAAAAAGGCATTCAAGGAGGATAGAAAAGAGACTGAAGGAAGAAACATTAGAAGAATTTGAGTGTTTTGGAAATATTACCTGCTCCTCAAATAGTTGTAGGATTGTCATGAAAATGTATCACTTTTTACCTACCATATTTTAAAGGGATTAGAAGATTTATCAGTGTTCACAAAGCGTGAGTTGCTCTAATTAGTAAATCTGTAGGGAATCCTGTCTAAATAGCAGAATTGGAGTGGAGGGTGACATTTGCAGGTGCAAAGAAGCTCATTATATTTTGGTTTGTTAAAAAAAAAAAAGAAGAAAGTGACCATCACCAGTAAGGGCAGGTGGAATCAAGCAGACACCAGGATCTGCCTCCCTATCTCTAATGTGTAAGGAAAAACAAGGTAGTTTTCTGCTTCTCTTTTTCATTTTATGAGTGTGAAAGTTATGGAATTTACTTAAAACAAGGAATAATTATTAAACTGTTCAGAGTATATGTAGTCTCCAAATTTAAATAGTTGAAGGTAATCATCTCAGCAGTGGGTCTCAACCCAGCCAGCACATTAGAATCGGGTAGGGAGCTTTTAAAATATACTGATACCCAGGCCCCACCCCGAGAGTCTGATTTGATTTCATTGGCGTAGAATTTGGACATAGTTATTATTTTAAAAGCTCCCCAAGTGATTCTGAGGTGCTGCCAGGGTTGCAAACCACTCTTCTAGGCCAGTGAATCTCAAAGTGTGGTCTCTAGACCAGCAGCATCAGCATCACCTGGGAGTCTGTTAGTAACGCACATTCTCAGCCTCACCCCAGGTTTAAGTCTCACCATGGGGCTGAGCTTTAGCAATTTGTGTTTCTTTTTGTTTTCTTTCTTTTCTTTCTTTTCTCTCCTTCCTTCCTTTCCTTCCTTCCTTCCTTCCTTCCTTCCTTCCTTCCTTCCTTCCTTCTTTCCTTCCTTCCTTCTCTCCTTCCTTCCTTCCTTCCCTCCCTCCCTCTCTTTCTTTCTTTCTCTTTCTTTCTTCTTTTTGTTTTTTTAATACCTAGCCGAGCACAAAGCTAATCAATGTGTGTTTTTAACAAGCCGTCCTGGTGAATCTGATGCTCGCCCAAGTTTGAGAAACACTGTGTCAGGCAATGGGTAGTGGTGTTTTGAAGACATCGAATCCTGAGAATCAAGGGTGTGTAATAGTGGATGCTGGCAGTATTACTCTGAAGTCAATGCTATGGTCTTCAGTGTTCATTTGGCTCAGGAGGCTCTTCACTTATCCGAGGAGGATACCTGGGAAATGTAACTTTCCACTGAGAGCCTTTATAAGGCTTAATTGCTAATGTGTAGGTAGCAGCTGATACAGACTTGTCCCTCCCACTCTTTTCAGCCAAGCTTTCAACCTCACTCTAAATATTCTTAATTAATGATCTTCGGCTTCTGAAGCCATTTCATCAGTGGTCTCCTGTCCCAGCACGTTTCCCCTTTGAGCATTCCTTGAAGAGGGTGTTATTCCCAGCAGTCAACTAGAAAAGGAAAGTAGAGGTGGCTCTACACAAGTCCTGTGACCAATTAACGACCTCCCTTTATTCCTCTTTGTAGTTCTCTAAAAATGGGTCAGAGGAAGAAAAACTCGGCTCTCACCAGCAGACCTCGCCTGTGTTTGTCTAACATATTCTGTCCCATTTCAATTTCCTGCCTTAGGCATGAATTGGTTGAAGATTCCCTTTGAACTCTTACTCATTCTGTAGAAATTCTCTGTGATGAAAGCAGTCATGGGATTGTTTCCTGAGTTCTGAAGCAGAGCAGAATAGTGAGGGAAATTCAGTGCTAAAGTTTAAGGTTCATTCTCAGCAAAACTAAGGGATTATTTTGCATTGAATGAATTTTGAATTTTGTTTTCTCATTTGATAAAGCTGAGTGAGGGTGAAAGGTAAAGGGAAACAAACTTCTTAATCCTTTACTTGTCAGTAACAGTTTTTATTGCTTCATTTTCTATTTACAAGGAAAACACCTTTAAAATAAAACAATTCTATTGGATCAGCACCTTCTTTGGTAAAGTTCAAAGAAATTTCCCAGGTTAGTCCCTATCATTCCCTCACATGTGGTCCTTAGGAGCCTTCTGGAATTCCCTGCAGGATGGGATTCCCCTTGCATCACTGGGCACTTCCTATTATGAGGTTCCCAATGTTGCTTGCCCTTTGTGGTTTTAGTCTCTCACTAAAATAATAGAACCAGGATTTCTGAACCAGGAGTCACTTTAAGGAAGTGTCTAGGCTGTCCAATGTGGCAGTGACTAGTTTATATGTAGCTGTTTAAGTTAATAAATTAACTGCTTATTAACCAATTTAATTAGAAATAAAATTTAAAATTCACACCAGCCTCATTTCAGATATTCAGTAGCCACATGTGGCTTGAGGCTAAGGTATTAGACATTGTAGATATAGAACATGTGCATCATCACAGAATGTTATTGGACAGCAGTGGTCAATTTTGTCACCCTTGTTAAATAAGATACTGAGACTGAGAATGATGTTTGTTAACTACTCTCAATTAGTTAATTCCTGTTTGTGGACACTGCAGTCTGTTTTCTTTTTGAATTTAATCATAACATCTCTGGGAGGGCAGGGATTATTGTCCCATTGTACAGATAAAGGGATTAAGATTCAGAGAGGCTGAGAAACTTGGCCCTGGCTCTGTGGCCAGTAAAGGGGGCAGCCAGTGTTTGCATACATATGTATCTGTATGACTCTAAAGCCCATGCTTTGCATGTTAAAGTCACTAAAAGGTCAAGTACTCAGATTTTTGGGGTCTATAAGCCCACATTTTTAGGTGTAAACTAAACAAACAAACAAAAAACCAGGAAGCCAATGGTGCATTGGATGGTTGAAGTAACTAAATCAGTCCAATGCAACAAGCCAGCAGTCAATCCTTTCCTGTGTAGTTTTCATCACTCCTCACAGGGAGACCAGTGGCCTATGATAACAGTGCAATATTTATTCAGTTGCCCATTTTAATGGGCTTTGTGTCAATAGAGTTTTCTCCCCTGGGTTGAGTGGCCAGTGCACACCCCCTGCGGCAGATCACTTCCTGTTTGAAAAGTCCTGCTGGTCTGATCGTCTTCCTTAGGTGGAGCCAGTACCTGTCTCCTTATGGTTTCTCTGCTTCATCTGGTTCTCTATCCCTTAAGGCCCTAGAGAACTAAGGATTATTCTTCCACCTTTGAAAGCCCTGTTAATATTATATTATCCTGGCTATTCTTTTTTAGATTAATCATTTTACTTTCTTCAGCTGATGCTCATGACATGATTTTAAGTGTTGCTGTTATCCTGATCACTCTTATTTGGGTACGTGATAGTTTGTCTCAATTTCAATATTGAGAGTAATTGAGCACTAAATGCATAAAGCCTCATCCTGTCACTTTTCCCGGCCACTGCTGTTAAGGCAGCCTAACATGAAATTAACATCATTTACAGCGATGGCACTCTGCTGCCTGCTCACAGCACTTACTCTTGACTAAGAATGCCTCCACTTGGGCTGTTAGTTTTTTGGAGCCAAATGTTATATGACCCTTACATATATCCTAGTTTAATTCTCTCTAGTTAGATTCCCTCTGAATCACAGAGGTCCAGTTTTAGAGTTTTGTTTTGTTTCCCAGATCCAGTTTTTGCTACCCCAGATATGCACTGTCCCCTTCTTTGCAGTGACATCCACCTATTTTGTGGGTATGTCCCCTATATATTCATCCATTCCAGTGCTGGAAATGCAGACCAAGACCAGGGTCGAGGAAAAAGTTGTTCACCATCCCCATCCAGGTTGCTGTTTGGCCATTAATGGGTCCTGTGGTTATGGCTGTTTAACTGGTTATGAACCCACCTGTCATTTCATCCACTTCTATTTTTCTGTTGTTTTATTCACTAGGACTCATTTGTTCATAGATTCATTTCATTAATATTTATTGAGCTCCTACCATGTGCCAGGCCCTTTTGAAGGTAGAACTGTTAGGGTTTGTTAATAGATTGGATGTGTAATATGGGAGAAACAGAGGCATCAAAAATGACTCCAACGTTTTTGACCTGAACTGGAAGAATGGAGTTACAATTAGTTACCATGTTTGAGGGTAAACATTAATAGTTTGGTTTTGAACCTGTTAAGTTGTAGATGTCTATTTGACTCCCAAGTGGAGATGCACAGTAGGCAATTGGATATATGCCTCTGGAGGCGAGAGGGAGGTCTAGGCTACAGCAAAAAGACTAGGAGCTCTCAGCATGTAAACTGCCCAGTGTCTGAAACCTTGAGACTGATGAAAGTGCAGATGGAGGCAAGGAGAGGTCTAAGGACTGAGCCCTGGACTCTCTAGTGTTTAGAGGCCAAAGTGATGGGACAAGCCAGCAAAGGAGACTGAGAAAGTGTGTCCAGTGAGGAGGGAGGAGAACGAGCAAAGCTGACTTCTGGTGTCCCAAGAAATCAAGGAAAGCAGGAAGTGAAAGAACCACTTTGTTAGATGGTGCTGAGGTAAAGTAGTATGAGGATCATGAACTGACCATTGGGCTTGGTGACATGCAGATCATTGGTAACCGTGACAGAAGCTGTTTTAGTGGAGTAATGTGAATAAAAGGATGTCATGAGGAACTTCATTTGATTCCTGGCTGAGGTTCACGTGTGCTTTGTCAACTGCCTTCACCAGTCATGGCAGCTAAGAATATTGTCAAAGAAGAAAATGAGGTTAGTTTTTCATAATTGGGGTTTTCTTCAGGCTCTCCCTTAGTAGTCTGTTATGGATGAAATGTATAGCTGTAAAATCCATCTTTCTCTCCTTTTTGAAAAGTGCAGCATCATTTCTGTCTCTCTAGGTCCTCCAGGTAACTCTTGTGCTCCTCCTCATCCCAGTGGTCGAGCCAGGCTCTGGTGCCCTGGGATGGATTCCTCTGAGCCCAGTCATCTAACTCATTAAAGGATTTACATGCAGTTATATCTGTTCCTTAACTGTTTGGAGTTTACAGCCCCCTTTCTTTTCATTTCTGGCCTTTCCTTTCTGTTTCTTCCTAAGGCTCTCCCTTCATCCAGCAGGTAGATCTCTTTTTCCCTTTGGATTTTCATCATCTTTATCATCCTAATTCAGAGGTGAATTTTGAAGATGCTCAGCAAGGCACTGTTTTATCTGTAGCTCTCACCCTGGCTACACATCACATTCACCTCTGGAGAATGTTTGTTTGTTTGTGACAGGGTGTCCACTCCAGTTGCCAAGGCTGGAGTGCAGTGGCACAATCTTGGCTCACTGCAGCCTCGACTTCCCAGGCTCAGATGATTCTCCCACCTCAGCCTCCTGAGTAGCTGGGACTACAGGCGTGCACCACCATTCCTGGCTAATTTTTTGTATTTTTAGTAGAGATGGGGTTCTGGCATGTTGCCTAGGCTAGACTCGAACTCCTGGACTCAAGCAATCTGTCCGCCTTGGCCTTCCAAGGTGCTGGGATTACAGGCGTGAGCCACCATGCTCAGCCTTTTTTTTTCTTTTTAAAGAAAATCATAATTTACACTAAAGGAATTATTTTCTTGTATTTATGATAAAATGGTGATTTTTTTACTTGTGAGTTTTACAGTTGAAATATATTCTGGTGAATATATTTCCTGTTGTATTACATGGTGAAACTTCATCAGGTATTTTTTTCTTCCTTTCTATTGTAACCTCAAAAAAAGTTCCTGTATTCTACAGAGAATGCTATGAGTATTCTTCCAGGATACAAGGGGGCCTGTAGCAGGGGCTCTTAAACTTCAGCATATGCCAGAATCACCTGGAGGGCTTGTTAAAACACCGGATCCTGGGCCCCTCTCTGTAATTGCTGATTGAGTAGGTCTGAGTAGGATCCAAGAATTTGCACATCAAATCAGCTTCAGGAGATGCTGTGGCTGCTGGTACTCTGGGAACCGGCTGCTGGTACTCTGAGAACCGGTAGTCTAGGCTTGAGGCTCTAGTGGGTAAATATCCCTAAGGTCGTACACACAGAGAGCTTTCCTGAACTAGCAGAGCCAGGATGGTAAGTGTGGCCAAGGGTACAAACAGGCCTAGCACTTGACTTTGTTGGGGCTCTCCAAGGTTCTGGTAACCCTGAGCCCTGAAATAGTAGAAACTCCTCATTCTGAGGTTGTGTTTTAGTTTGCAGCCACATACTTCAATGCTGTTTTGTCTCCTGTAAAGGTCACACTTAGCCCTATCTTTGGCCTGTCAAAGTTGACACCCGCTTTAAAAGAGTAAATGTGTAGCCCCCTTGATACACAGTACTCATTCTGTGACACAGCTGTACATTAAAAAACAAAAAACAAAGCAGTACTCATACAATGCTAATACCCCAGAAAAAATTAAATGACAGCTGGATTGAGCAGAGAGTACCTGTCATAGCTTTATCTGGCAAGTCCTTTGTTGTATTAGAAAGTAAATGAGAAGATTCCAGGGAAAAATTACCACTGTGGGGGGGATTCCTTAAATTATTTTACCTATAAACAAATAAACTGAATTCCTCTAAGTCATCCAGAATCCCCAAAGTATTTATCAAAGACACTTTGGTTCCACCCACAGAGGTAGGAAAATTATGCTACCTGTCTTTCCTCTTCCTTCCTGCTTCAAGAAATCTCCCTCCAAAACTGGCCACCCTTTAGAACAATCTGCCAACCTAGATGTTGATTACTAGGGGAATATTTACAGGGGTTTTCTTTGACTCATATGTAGTTTGTCATAAATTCCTCTAACTCATAAACTGAAAAGCTTTTCTTTCATGTCAGGATTCTTCACAAATATTAAAGAATATTTTCTAACATGTTAATTCTTAGTTTAAAATCAAAGCCACATTCCAATGCCTCATGATCACACATGTTAGATCAAGTAGTGGACAAAATTTGTGGGTGCTGATATTCCTGTTGTTTCCCATACTCCTGTTTCAGATTATAGATGCCATAATTGATCCAGAACATGCTCCTGACCAGCATAAATGTCACTAAATATGAGTGATGCTTGTTTCCCAGCCACTTTGCACCCTCTCAAGTCAGGGGCCTTACGGACGAGTACATTGCAGTTTCTGTCAGGTTGTCTTTTCATTTCATGTGCTCTCTTGCAGAAATATGTAAGAGGAGAGTTCATAGTTTTACTTGTAATGTGGTGTGATTACAAGCCATCTGCTCTTTTTCGTAGAAGCAGTGTGTGGCCGGAGTAAAACCGTGCAGAAGAATTATGAGGCATTTATTGGCTCTTAATAGGAATAGGTGGAAACCTCTGCCCTACCTATCTGTAAATCTTATGGAACTAACAGTTCAGAATTCATTTGAAAGTCTTTGGAATTTAAGACAAATTCTACCTTTGGAGAAAAAAAAGAGAAAAGCAGCCAATATTTCTTCCTTGAGCCCTTTGTATGGCTGGCATGGTGCAGAAGCCTCATGCCCACATTGTCTCATGTCATCCTCAAAATAAAACCATGATGTAGTTTTCATTGCTATCTCCATTTTATGTTGGAGGAACTTAACCTGTGTCTCAGAGCCACTGAGGCTCAGGGCTAGGATTTGAAGTCAGGTCTGTGCTGAACCAGGCCACTGTTTTACTCATTGCCACACCTGCTGTGTCTATGCCACTGACCAGTCGACTGAGGGAAGGTACCTGCAGGTTTATACTTGAAATAATCATGTCCTGAAAACCATTAGGGAGGGTCTAAAGAAATGAAATCAGTTCTCATCTTTCGAAGGGACCCCCAGAGAGCCTATTCCCAAATGTATTCTTCATGCAGTGATGGCTTTGAGAGTTTGTGATTCAGCCTGGAATTCTACCCCAGGGTCCCAGGGGCATATGTTAAATTTAAGTAGCCCTTCATAATAACATGGTTGACCATTGCTTTATTCCACGCAGTACTTTGCCTCCCATCTCAAATCTTACCCAGGGAGACTGTGAGCCACCCTACAGCACTCTGGGTCAAAACTCAAAACTCTTTCTCAGTAGGATACCAGAGATGATTTACTGAAGGACATCACAGCCTCTTATTTGATTTTCTCCTCCTTTTAGAAGCTGCTGTCAAAGTCATTTGTTCTGCTTTTCCCTCATCTTTCTTTCTCTTTCCTTTGTGTTTTTATCTTTGTAGAATCCTTCCCCAACCATAGTAATAAATCTGTTGTGGAAAACAAGTGACTGGGAAGTTACACATCCTTGACCTGTAGTCAGAGGTCCCACAACAGACACTGAACAGGAGACAGGAGCTCCCTCCCCTCCTGAGTCCTTTTCACCTCAGACAAGTCACACTCTCCCAAGCATCCCTTTAACCCGAAAAACTCAAGCTTAAAGAACTAGTCATCCATTTGCAACCAAGGAAGTTTCCTTTAATTGGTCTGGATTCACATTGTCAACCAGGGCTTTGTACTTGCATCTTGTTCTGCCTGATTGACTGGAAAGTGGGGAAATAGCCATTCCAATTCACGAGTGACAGTATTCTGTGCATACCTGGGGCAACCTTAGTTGTAAACCATTAGCTTGATTCTGCAGTGTTTTTTTTCCTGCGTTCAGGGTGCAGGTGAGAGGGAGGTAATCCCTCCTAGAGAGAGAATAAGCCAGCCACTTAATTTTCATCACTGATATATGTTTTCACTTAACAAACACTCTTCACGACCATCTGTGTGCCAGACCCAGTACTAGACATTGACAACCCAAAGGTAACAGAAGGCAGCTCCTCCACAAAGGCCACCTGGTGGATGGCCCATAGTGGACTGACAGAGGACAGTATGAGGTGCTAGTCTCAGTGTGACACTTTTATAACCTCCACAGGAGGACAGACACTATGTGTGCAGGTAGAATCCAAGTAAATGGTTGCAAACCAAAATGACCAGGAGATGAGATCTTAAAGGGAAGGCACCTTGAAGGCAATTTAGTTCAGTCCACTCATTTTGTATATAGGGAAACTGACAGTAGAGAAAGGAGGTGGTTCAACGCCTCCTAAACTGGGGCATTATTAGAAGAGATTCATGGTCTTTGGACTTCCTGCACCAGGACATTCTCCTATTAGTCATCAAAGGGCTTTCTCCAGGGCTTCTTTTTTTTTTCTGAAACGGAGTCTCGCTCTGTCGCCCAGGCTGGAGTGCAGTGGCATGATCTCGGCTCACTGCAAGCTCCGCCTCCCGGGTTCATGCCATTCTCCTGCCTCAGCCTCCCGAGTAGCTGGGACTACAGGCGCCCGCCACCACGCCCGGCTAATTTTTTTGTATTTTTAGTAGAGACGGGGTTTCACCATGTTAGCCAGGATGGTCTCAATCTCCTGACCTTGTGATCCTCCCGCCTTGGCCTCACAGAGTGCTGGGATTACAGGTGTGAGCCACCACACCCGGCCTCTCCAGGCCTTCTTTGTGTGTTATGATCTCATATTCAGGCTGTGTCTAATTCTGTTACTGAGATTATGGAGTGTTCCTTGTACCCCACCTGACAAGTATTGCCAGGTTGGCAAGGCACCGCACCAAACAAAACCCAGTCATGATCACCAGCGATCTCCTAAAAGAGAAAGAGTGCTTTTAAATTTCTCAGTGTTTCCAGAACGCCAAGGGGTAATAGTTTCTGCTTTGTGAGTTGTCACGAGAATTAAATGCAATAATGTACAGAAAGGGCTTGACACCAAGTCTGGCACACAAGCGCTCCATGAATCTTATTGTTATTGCCAGCTTGTTCACCATTAGTAGATTTTTGCAATTGGACTAAATATATAGCATATTCCAACAGAATGACTCTTTATTCTCCCATCTCCTGACCTGTCTGCTAGTTTACTGAGTATGCCATCCAAAAGGTATGCTGGTTCCCTTTCTTATATGTAAACTACAAGCTTGGATTTCCTGGGCCAGTGTTTCACGTGAGTAACTGGCCAAGGGAATTCAATTGACAACACACTTGCATTGACTTTTCTTCAGCTTTTAACTCTCTGGATAGGGATTCTTAATGTTAGGAGACTTCTCTTCTACCCTCACAGCTCTACCCCACCTCTTGCAGGGTTTATTGCTGTCATCCTCTGCTGCATTCTTTTCTTTCCCCTCTTCACCTTTTCTTTTCCCTAACCACCCCTCCCACCTCGTTCTTTCTACAGTGAGGCTTTCACTGCCTCACTGCACTTGTGTTTCAGCATGGGGCCCTACAGTGGCATGGGGCCCTACAGTGAGCTCTCCGTATCTGTGTTGGAATGGAATCAGACATGGAATCAGGCTGCCCAGGGAAAGGAGCTGTGGGACCCTGTTGAGAATCCCTGGTGCAGTCACCAGGCACTAAGGCGTAGGCTGTTTTAGGGCACACTTGGCTGCCATTGCTCACCTAGAGGGGATAGGGGCCAGCTCCCAAATAAAGGGGAGTGGGTTCCAGGCTAGACAGCCTAAACGTGCTCCCACATGAGGCTGGAAGTGTGTCCTGAGTAGCCTTCCACAGGGGTTAAATTTCCTCAGAGTAATGTCTGGCAATGTGGAGTCTCTCAGATCTGGATTTGATTCCTGGGTCTGGCACTCACTGCCTGTGTAATCTTGGACTAGACCTTCCCGAATTCAGCTTCCTTATCTACGAAATGCAAATAATCATTGTGCTCCTTCACCAGAGTGGCAAGGATTTAATTGAATGCTCTGAGTAAAACTTAGCACAGTGCCTGGAACATAGGTGCTCTGTAAATGGCAATCAATATTTTAAACTGTGATTGTTTAATCACATCACTATAAAATTTTGCATTGTAAGATATATGCAGTTTGTGGTAATATGAAAATATTTAATATGTTTTCTAGAACTTTTTTGTAAAATTCACACTCCAGGAAGAAAATTTCCATGTCTTCTGAGGAAGCCTTTAGGAGAAACTCTTTCTAGCTGTAGTATCAGAAATGATTCAGTTATCCTCAGCATGAATTCCTTCTCATCTTCTTGACTCTGATTGGTGCTGTATTTTTCACATTTGTACCTAGGAATCTCAGAGCCAGATGTTGCAGAGACTTGGGACTATGGTGGGAATTTCGTGCAGGCCTATCATCGGTTTCATCTTATGTTTTTACCCTTGTTTGCTTTTACTTATTCTCCCCATTTTTAATCTTTGCCTCGTTACTTGAAGCTGCCTTATACCCTCAATGCCAGGTAGGTGTAAAATGCCAATGACGATTTGTGTGGCTTCTCAGCGACAGACCCATGTATGTAAGCTGCCTCTGGAAACCCAGTGGGCGTGGTAGAAACGGACCACATGCCTTGGGCCTCACCCTTGTCCTTCCTCTCCCTCACACCCAACCACATCCTCTTACTTCTGTCTTCTGAGTGTCCCTCAAATGTGCCCCTTCCCCTTCACCTCGAGATCACCTTGCTTGATCTCTTATTTGGGTTCCTGCAGTGGCTTTGAACCTGTCTGCCTGGCTCCAGTGATTTCCCCTTGCCCGCCCATGCTCCACACTCCTACCCAAGAGAGCCCTCCAGCCCACCAGCCTCCTCAGCCTGTCCAGGGCCCCTCTGTGGCCTGAGCCTTCCTGCCCTATTGGCCCCATCTGCCAGCAATGCCCTGTGTTTCTGCATTGAGACTCTTTTCCGTCTCCAAAGCACGCGAGCTCTTTCTCTGCATGGGGCGTTATTCATTTTTCCTTCTGCACTCCTTTCCCTGTTCCTCAGTACTTGACTGCGACACCACCTCCCCTTCCCTCACCTTCCTCAGGCAGAGCTGTCACTCCGCTCCCTCTGGTACTTGGGTATGTGCCGTGGTCACACATGCCACAGTGCCCAGCTGCTGCCCCTCCCTCTCTCAGGGCCTGGCTAGTGCCCCTGTGAAACTCAGCAGGTGTTTCAGATGATCAATGAGTGCATGAGAGAATGTGGGGACCTTTCTACATCTCTTAAGAGTTCTGAGTCTGCTCCAGAGATGGCTTTGTGGGTGAGAAATGTTAATATTTTCACCTTTATTCTTATATTTAATGTAAACACAGAAGACAAGACCTCCCACCTCCGAGGACTTGGAAATAGTGTGAGTTGCACCTCTGGAATTCTTAGGAAAGAGATAGGAAAAATAACCAACACGTTCAGTTGGCAGTGAGTTTCCAGTGAAGTAATCCTAAGATTCTTGTATTCCCATTTCACGAAATATGAAAAATGACTGCTTGTTGTTGCTGATGGCAGAGTTGTCGCTACTCCAGAATAGGGAGAGAGGAAGTTGTTCTATGATGTATCAGTGCACTGGGCCGAATAGTAACGGCTTGGTCCCTGGAAAGGGCTTAGAGCTCTCCCTTTGCAGACAAGGCTGTGATTTGCCCAATTCTTGGGGCTAACTTGTTCTGTCATTTGTTTTTTTCATTTGTCTTCCTTTCATTAAATATTAAGTATTCACTGAGGGCTGGTAGTGTGTTGGTCACTGGGGATGCAAGATTGGCAGAGGTATAGACCTGTCTCCATGGCTTATAGCCTAGGATGGGGGCCCTACATGGACCAGTCACTTAATGTAGAAATAAATAATCACATGAAGAATGGGCTGGTCCAGAGCAGGGAAAGAGAAACTGTTCAGAATAGCTTCACAGAGTTGACCACACTCCTGCTAGGGTTCGAGGATGCATAGGATCTCAACAAGCATGGAAGCAGCGAGGCAAGTTGTAATGTAAGCCAAGGATGAAAACGTCAGGTGCAGGAGACAAAGACATGGGCCTCATTAGAGCTTGTGAGTTGCTGCTCTGAGCTGCAGCAGGAGTGGACTGATCCGATTTATAGGTTAGAGATTTCCCAGATATGCATTGAGGGTTCATCCAGGACACCAACAGAAGTGACTGTAATCTTCCAAGTGGGAGAAGATAGGAGCAGCAGAGCAAGAGAGAAGTGTGTGTGAGAACGCTCTAAAAAATTAAAATGGACAAGATGCGTGACTGATTCTGGAGGGTTAGGGGAAGGGAGGAGTTGGGGGTGACACCCCTGTTGTTGGCTGAATCCTCTGGGTGGAGGGGATAGAAGCCAGACCAGACCCTGGCTGGGGGACTCGCAGCCCAGTGCATGCAATGTGAAGCTATTCCTAGCAGCCTGATGGTTGCTCAAGAGGTGGCTTGGCCTCTGCAGAGTGACCAGTTCTGGGCTGAGAAAGAAGTGATGGTTACCATGTTGCTTCTCTCAGAAGAAAGCTGGAGAGTTGATCTTCTGAGACTAGAAATAACCTTCTCCTAATTAGGAGGAGGAGAAAGGGAGGCTGTGCTGCTGGCAGTGTAAGAAGCTTTCTTTTCTTTTTTTTTTCTTTTTTTTTTTCACTTCTGTTTTCTCATGAGTGACAAGAAGCAAAGCTTTGAGAGCAGGGAACTTTGGAAAGGCAGAATACCTCTGCCTAGTGTGGGAGGGAGTTGAGAGAGCTCAGAACTGCAGGCTGCAGAGGGAGAGCCCCCTGCGGGGGAGGGGACTGCCTGCCAAACAGTGGAGGCTTCCAGAAACCCCAGGAAAGTCTGCTCACCACAGTAAGATTTGACAATTTATTTTTCTAAAAAGAGACATTCTACTCAATCTGTTTATTTTCAAACTTAGACTAGGTTATTTGTGATCAAAGTCACAAAATGGTGAGAAAAATACCAAATTGGACCTTACTATTAGGTTAATTCTTCAGCAAGCTGCTGTTACAGTATCAATTCAAGTTGCTTAAGCTTAAGATTCCCCTCCCCCCACCCCCTTTTTTTTTTTAAAGAATTAGTTTTGCGGTGGTAGGAGGGTTACAAGAAAAAAAAACAATTAGTTTTGCTAATGAAAAGGTAGCAGTGAACTTGGTTTAGATTAAAAAATCAGGAAAGAGCACCTGTAGGAACCTGCAATAAAATGTGTTGAGACATGTTTTACCGCTTTGGAAGGGCTTTTATTCCAGAATCCTTGGAACTTCAATGGGCCTGTGATTGAATTCAGAGGCCAGTGAACTTGCATGGGAAAAAGTTACGTCTTTATTGTGATCAAGTTCTAGTAAATTTAGTTTTCCTTTTTATTATGAACGTGGGATTCATAATCAAAATATGAATAATATTAGCAGTATTTGTCACCATTAGAAATTATAGCTCTTTTCATATTACATTAAGGTTGTTGCAGATAATGAAGATATCATTTATGCTTATCGCCACTTCAGATTTGTAGTAGTACTAGATCCATCACTATGTGACAAGACCCAATGCCTTAATAAACAAGGACATACATTCCTATGTCTCAAATTTTTCTTTCGTTAAGATAACTGTACTTCAGTGTAATTGGTTTTCTTGTTAATCCTATGTGTTGTGTTTCATGCATTTAAAAATATTATTCTGAGCAACTTTCATCAGCTTCACAGTTGGCTAAATAAGTCCATGGCACAGGAAAGGTTAATATTCCGTGGCTAAGATCCTGTAGTTGTGGCATGCGACCTCCACCTGGTGGCAGCATACTCCTTAAAGGTTAAATTCTGTAACCAACAGTTGAGAAGGACTTTAACAGTATACTTGAGTGGTTTTCAAACATTTTTTATTACAACCCACAATAAGAAATAGGCTTTCCATCATAACTGAGTACACACTTACTTACATTTCACAAAACAATTCTTGATCTAACCATATGACACATTGATATTTTGTATTGCATTCTAATATTATCTTCAGTTCTCTTTCATTAAAATAAAATGCTGGTTGCAACACACTAAACTGTAACACACTAAAGTGCACTCTTTTACATCGTAGGAAACCATCTTTCAACATGCTTCACAGTTTATTACCTGGTAAACTTCATTTGGGTCTCCCACACATTTTCAGGGACGTAATACCTACATTTTAAATAACTGCCAACAAGTATGAGTGCATTTTACACAGTGTTTAAAAATTGTTTATTATTGATGTATAATTTAAATATAGTGAAAGGAACTGATTGCAGTGTATACATAACATACCCCATCAAGATACAGAATAGTCTTATCACATACAAAGTTCCTTTGTGACAGTTCTCACCCAGTTTTTTACCCCCCTGGGAAATTACTGTTTTGATTCCTTTCATCACACGTTGATTTTGCTGTTTTAGAATTATATATAGATGGAACCATACAGTATATGTTATTTTGGTCTGGTTTCTTTTGCTCAACCTAATGTTTTTGAGATGAATACATGTTGAGTCTATCGGTAGTGTGGTGAGTAGTGTTCCCTTGCATGAATATGGCACAATTTGTTCTCTTGTTGTAGACTTTTGGGTTGTCTTCACGTTGGGTTATTATAAATAAAACTTCCATGAATATTTGCATACAAGTCTTTGTGTGCACATATACTTCATCTCTCTTGAGTAAACACCTGGGAAGGAATCATTGGCTCAGTTGATAAGTAAATGTACGTTTAGCTACAGGAAACTGACAAACCCATTTGCCAGAGTGGTTAGACCATCTTACATTTCCACTGGGAAAGTATGAGAGTCTGGGTTGTTCCATATCCTTACCAACATTTCATGTTATGTCAGTCTTTTTAACTGTAGTCATTCTGGTGGGTATTGTAGTTGTATCTCTTGGTGGTTTTAATTTTAATTTGCCTGATGACTAATGATATTGAACACTTTTTTCATTTTCTTATTAGCCATTCATTTATCCTATTTGTGAAGTGTCTATTCAAACTCAGGTTTTTTGTTTTGCTTTTTTTAAAAATATCAGTTTGTAGGAGTTCTTTACATATTTTGGGTACCAGTCCTTTTTGCCAGATACATGTATTTTTGAATACATAAATACATTTCTCCCAGTCTGTAACATACCTATTTATTTTATTAGTGGTGCTTTTTTCGTTAACAGAAATTTTTAATTTTGAAAATTTAACAATTTTACAACTATTTTTCTCAATATTTGGTGCTTTCTGGATCCTAAGAAATCTTTTCCTATTCCAAAGATCAGGAAGATAGTTTTGGCTTTTTTGTCTAGGTGTGTGATCCATCTCAAATTAAATTTTGTATATAGCGTGAGGTAGGTGTCAAGTTTCACTTTATATTTACATCTGATGGTCTAACCATTTGTTGAAACTACTTTCCTTTCACTGTTGATATATAGGACAGAATTTAAAAAAAAAAAAACAAAACTGTCCAGCCAAGGAAGTGAAAAAACTGAACCTCTGAGTCTCATAAACCGAATCTCTGGGTCTCTCAGACCATCCCCAACCTTGGTGTCCCATTCCTTACCAAATTAGTTTGTTCACAGTTATCTTGTGATTCTCAGAAATTACTTCACTCATATGTGAGGATTTATAAGGCAACAACTTTTCACAGGGTCTGTAACTGTGCTATCCAGTATGGAACCACTAGCTACATGTAGCTACTTAAATTTAATTTAAATTTTATTAAAAATGTAGCTTATCAGTTACAATAGCCACATTTTAAGTGCTCAGCAGCCACATATGGCCACATACGGCCACATATGGCTATCTTATTGAACAGCATATATATAGAATATTTCCATTATTTTCTAAAGTGCTGGACAGCGCTAGCCTATAGAATAAGAACAGAGTCAGGCTTTGTACAGTTTTGTAGCATACTTTAATGAATTTTGTTTTGTTTTGTTAACTAGCATTCAGTATGTATCTTTATCTTCTTGCTTATTTCTCATTCTTCCATGTTCCTATTTCAATTCCAAAGTGTACCGTCCTAGCCAATCCTTTTGTCCGTCTAAAAATGCAGTATCTTATATCTGTTATTTGCTGCTTAGAAGAAAGAATTCCCCTGGCTGTGCATGGAATCATTCTTTTGTGGAGCCTACCTAGTACTGACCTATTTAACTTCTCTCGATGCTTCACGTCTTCCAACTGCTGCCGGGATGCTTGGACATCCCCTTTCAAGGTGCAGCCCAGAGACAGATATTTTGTCTTTCCTGTCTTGATTAACATTGCATCTCTCCTTAGCATTTCCACTGTAAATGTTAAACTTAGGGAAAGTAGTAGATTATGACCTGTAACCATGTTCTTTATTAAAAGTTCTGTCTAGTAGTGAACTTTGTTGCCATTTCATCATGAGCAACCACATAGGAATTTGTGAGATTTTCTCTCATTGTTTGCTGGGCATGAGCCGCACAGACACTGACTCTGCCATTAATGTCTTTCAGTGTGGGAATTTTGCTGTCCTCGTGGATCTTCATATCTTGCCACAAGGTTCAAACAAAGATACAAGCTGGTTTTCTGAACAGAAGAAAGAGGTACAACAAAACTTTCTACTATTTAATTGCAAGTAGCTGCTGCTGCTATAAGAAATATCAGCTCTTTCCAGCTTTCATTTCTGTTAGTGGGAAAAAAATGTTGCGTATTTAATCCTTGAAAAACAATTGTATTCCCAATGACAGACACATATGCACCCACTTTTTTTTTCCTTCAGAAACTGACACATTCATAAACTTCATATGATACTGTATTATTTAAACCAGACATTTTATACCTCTTTGTTTTGGGGGAAGGATTTCTATATATTCAAAAAGAGGAGAAGAAGAAGAAGAAGTTAAAGTGACTATTTCAGTAATCAGGGATTTTAACCTGACTGGTTGTGAAGGATGGCCTGAGCACCTGAAGCAGGTGTGGCAGTTAACACAAGGCTGAACCTTCACACCCATCTTAAAGCCTCAGCTTTTATTTTCTATCATCCTTGTATTATCATGAGCCTTTGACAAGTCAGGAAATACTTGACGGTGTTCCTTCTCACAATGGTCAGTCAGGAAAGCCAGTAGCCGGGGGCTTAGCAGAGCATGATGCTGGACTTCACTGAGCCTCAGCCTCCTCATCTGAAAGTGAAGAGGTTTGCCTAGATGCCAAATTCACTCCTGGTTCTAAGTTTCAACAATCCCACCCAAGTGCTGCTTGTGGTGGAGGCTTACAAGCTGCACTGAGCTCTCACCATTGCTTTGCCTCCTTCTCTGATCCCTGCTCACCAGAGAGCAGGAGTAACCAGCTTGTGGCTTTTACACACCTTTAAAAATATCATTATCCGTGATGTCCATTTACCACAGTTGCTTTTTAGACTGAGAAATAAAAATCAGATTTGTTAAAATATAGTATATGGCGAAGAAACTATTGACAGTGGTGAAAAAACAAAAAGCCACCCTTTTCTGTGATAATTGCTTTTAATTAGCTTTTGGAGCTCACTAGAAAAAAGATCCCCACCCCCCAAAAAAGATTTTATAGGATAATACATTTTCATTCAAAGGATAATATTATCAAGACTTTGCTGTCATTATTTTGCAAAGAATACCTG
This sequence comes from Homo sapiens, assembly GCF_000001405.40. Lineage (NCBI taxonomy): Eukaryota > Metazoa > Chordata > Mammalia > Primates > Hominidae > Homo > Homo sapiens. The sequence goes on from NC_000020.11 coordinate 10,557,367, forward strand.
GTGACCTAAAGCTGAGAAAAGGAAGGCACAAGGTTCTGTATGGTGGGATTTATCATTCAGGTAAATAACTGTGGACTCTTCTCTTCAGGACTTTTAAATATTTAGCAAGTCAATCAACATCTCCTACTGCCACTTACCTTCATATAATTCCACTCCTAGCTTACTAACGCATGTTGCTGTGATTCAAAACTGTTCACTCGTTTCCCCAAAGTGACCAATAGTCACCCAAGGGGACCTCACCCCAAAATCTTCTGACTTGACTTAAATTAACAATGTTATGGAATCCACCATTCCAGGCCTGTTCTCCATTCCCTTTCGGCTTTGCCACCTTAGACCTTTATCGGCCTTAGACCTTTCTTGTTAATATTGAGTCCGTTTTGCCCAAGATTCAGTTAATTTGGAATGCTTTAGAATAAAGCCCTGGGTGTGTGAATCACCTCATAGCCAAAGCGTGAGGCTAGGTTTTTGTTTTTTTAGGAGCCACATGCAGCTGCGTGGATGCTCATAGTACCTACTTGAGGGCAGCAGGGCATGACTTAGCAAAGCTGTGCAGTGCATGACAGGACCTGCAGAGCAGTGCTGCACTGGCAGCTGCAAGGGGCAGGTCGCTGTAGCAGGCTGAGCTTGCCTCTCAAAACCAAATGGTCGGTTTGCTGCTGCTTCTTTAATTTGCCCTTTTAAAATGTATATTGGCCAGGTGCAGTGACACACACCTGTAATCCCAGCACTTTGGGAGCCCAAGGCAGGCGGATTGCCTGAGTCTAGGAGTTCAAGACCAGCCTGGGCAACATGGTGAACCCCCATCTCTATAAAAAGTATAAAAATTAGCCAGATGTGGTGGCTTGTGTCTGGAATCCCAGCTACTCTGGAGGCTGAGGTGGGGGGATCACTTGAGCCCAGGAGGTTAAGGCTGCAGTGAGAGTTGTGATCATGCCACTGAACTCCACCATGGGTGGCAGAGTGAGACCCTGTCTCAAAAAAAAAAAAAAAAAAAAACAATTCGCTGATGTTAAAATTCCTCTGGGATCATTTGTGTGTGCGTAAGAAAGGAGAAAAGCTAGTTGAAGAAAGGCTATGACTTTAGCTTAGGTTCAGTGTCCCCAGGCTTTCATCTTCTTTATCCTTAGATCCTCTCATGATTGGGATTTTATGAGCAACCAATTTGATTCCATTTTAACAGTCATTTTATACAGTGAAAGCCTAAGAATATCCAGTTCCTTTTTAGAAAAAAGAACTAATTACATGTATTAACATATGTTTATTTTGAGTGCAGCACGAGTAGTCTTTGTACCCAAACAGTTGAAGTCAAACTGTTCCATGTGTCAACTCGAGGAAGCGAGCACAGCCCGTTAGCCTAGAGATGCCCTCTGCATCTCTGTCTTGAGCACTGATTTTAACTTGTTCTTCTTATCTGCCCCTCAAAGGTAGCTGAGAAGTTTTCTTTTCTTGCATTGTTGTGGTTCTGAAGAGAAAGCTTCATGACGTGTGGTGTGGTCGGTTACTGGTGTCTATCACACTGCACTTGGTCTACCTTGCATTCGTCAAACTGACTCACAGAAGGAAAGCCCCACAGCTAGAGGGAGAAAGTTTGTGTGTATGAGCCTTTGCTTTATTTTTGTCATGCTATTTTTAGTTTTAGCCTTATAGGGCATTTATAGCCAAATTTTAGCAATCCTTGTTTCCATGTATGTCTTTCACATATTTTCTAGCCCAGTCATAGTTGAACTCTGCATGTGAAGCAAAATTCTTTAATTGTTTTTTAAAAAAAAAAAAACCTATGAGGCGGCAAGGCTGCCTTTTTGTTGTGTGAACAATGCCGAAACACTCAACTGTAAAGGGATATCTCTGTATTCCATGAGGCACTGCATCTTTAGGCTGCAACATGAAAAGCAGGAGAGAGGAAACCAGTGTTTGTACTTTATCTAGAAACTCACACTCATGAGTTAAATCAAGGGTTTTCTATATTGTTTGAGGAGTACAAGTGTTTTTAATAAAGGAAAAGTTTTGCTATCATTGCTCTTTAGAACAGCTAAAAATTTTGTTGTTTTAATTTGTGAAGATTCTAAGAGATCAACCTGAGATGACATTGCAAGAAACCAGCAAAACAGGTTTGAGGTGACCTGGGCAACTCTGAGTTTTCTGCAGTCTTTGGGAATTAAACAGGAATCATCAGTTCTTATACATCAGTTCTTAATCTAAATTAAGAAATTTAGATTTGTGTATGATTTTACTCTCTTTTTCTACATTAGGTCACAATTTCCTGTTAGTGCAGGAAACAACTGCAAAGAGTATCTTCCCATTGTGTTGGGCTTAAATTTTTGTTTACCTTTATTATAAATAACACCAAAACAATAAAACAATTGACCTATCCTGAAACTTACTAGTGATAAGGAATACTGAAATTGAATTAAAACCATGTGTTTCTGTCGCCTAATAAATGTTAATCTACTTTAGAGAAATTATATTATTTTCACTGTTAGTACATGAGTGTAGTACGTTTTTACAAAAACAAAGGCATATACAGTATCATCAACAAGAGCGTAGAAGAAAATAGGATTAGTGATTTCCAGTTCTCTGCTTAACTCACTGCTCAACAGTTTCCTTCTTGAGTAGATTTGTAAACCCAAGACCAGAAACTAATGAATGATGGTGTTTAGATTTTTAAAAATTTTTAGACCAAGTTTGAAAAATGGGATAGTTTATATAAAAATTACTGTTTCTGACTCCTTTTGAACAAAGATCTAGCAACACTGTGCCTATAAACATGAAACAGTCCCCTAAAACCATGGGGGGCTGCTTGCTGTTGACTGGGCTGTGGTGTGGGTTCCCCATGCCGTTGCACCAGCAGTGGATGAATATGCCCTTACTCCTGGCCCCATCCCTGTCTACAGTCCCCTGGCCACACTGGGTGTTTCCCTGGGGCCCTTGATGCCAGCCAGTGTTGGCTCTTCTTGACTTATTTCTTCTATTTGTCACAGTACAACTGATTGATACTTATATGAAAGCATTCTTTACCATACTTATTACCTCCTTGCCCTGATGTTTACACTGAAATATTTTTATCTTTCTTTTAGAAATATGAAACTGAGGCAGAAAGAAATGAAATGACTTTCCCAGATCACACAGTGAGCCAACATCATGGTTTCGAGCAAACTTCAGTAGCAAATTTAAATTTGCGGTGTTATTCATGAGCACATATGACATTCCTTTCAACATTCACAGCTAAATTAAAAAGCAAAATGAAATGAAATGTTCATTGTTAACTTTTTAATATATATGTTAATTTTTTTGCATTAAATTTGAAGGTTATATCTAATTTTTTATTTGCTTTAGGAAGTCTGTTTACTGTTAAAAGAAACCATTGATTCAAGAGTTCAGGAGTACTTGGAAGTTCGCAAACAGCACAGGCCATCAAATGCAGAATTCACAAGATCCAATCCCTTGTCCTTAAAAGGTAGGCACAGAGCACTTTGATTTTGGACAAAAAATAAATAGAATTTCTGCTCCGTAGAGATGGCAATTATGTTTGACTCTGACTGTCATGTTAGTATAGTGATACATTTTAAAAATATGTCCTAATGAAGATACTTTGTTTGGGTAAAGAAAATTAACTGAAGAGCCCTCAGGACTTTTAATGGTAGGCAAAATGTATAAAAATAGCAAATAAAACATTCCTAAGGAAACTGTAAATTGTTTAAAGGATTGTTTTTTATTTTTAAGGTTTTTTTATTTTTAGTAGACTTAATAATTGTACACATTCATAGGATACAGAGTGATATTTTGATACGTGTATACAATGTGTAATTTTCAAATTAGAGTAATTAGCATATCTATCACCTGAGCATTTATCATTTCTTTGTGTTGTGAGCATTTAAAATCCTCACTTATGTTTTTTTAAAAAATATACAATAAATTAATGTTAACCATATTTACCCTATAGTGCTATAGAACACTAGAACTTACTCTAGTGGTAGTCTTATATCCATTAGCTAACCTCTTCCTATCCTTCCCTTCCCCATCCTTCCTAGTCTTCTAATACTCACAACTCTGATTGTATGAGCTCAATTTTTTTAATAAATAGCTTCTACATATGAGTGAGAACATGTGATATTTTATTTTCTTATTTTCTGATTACATCATCAAATTTTAATATGTCTATATATCTATTTTTCTTTTTTCTTTTTTTTTTTTTGGTTATAGTAGTAAGTTCTTAAGTGGTGATTTGTGAGATTTTGGTGCACCCATCACCCAAGCAGTATACACTAAACCTGATTTGTAGTCTTTTATCCCTCACTCCCTTCCCCACCTTTCTCTCTGAGTCCCCAAAGTCTATTGTGCCATTCTTAATGCCTTTGCATCGTCATAGTTTAGCTCCCACTTACAAGTTTGGCTTTCCATTCCTGAGTTACTTCACTTAGAATAATAGTCTCAAGTCCCATCCAGGTTGCTGAGAATGCCATTAATTCATTCCTTTTTATGGCTGAGTAGTATTCCATCGTGTATGTGTGCCGGACTTACTTCACTTAATTTCCTTTGGGCTCATCCGTGTTGCTATTGAAACAGGAAAAGATACCTTATCCCTGAAACAGGGCGTGGGATGGGGATGTGTCATCGGTGCCCTGCGGCTCAACCCTTAGGGGAACATACAGACGGGCAGTTCATAGGAAGCATGGGCTCCAATCCTGCAGCAGCGTCTAGGGTTGAGTGTTTACAGATCCTCAAGCCCCAGTGGGCGTGTGTTACAATGTGCTTTTTCAGTTTAGCCGTCTGCAGGCGGGTTGCGTTAATCTACTCGATTAGGCCCTCTGCCTTATCTCAAGGACAGAGGGCTTTCTGTATCCCGGGTTCTTGCCTTGGTGTACCGGAAATACTGGATCACACGTGGGCTTGGAGAATGGGTGCAAGGTTTTACTGAGTGGAGGTGGCTCTCCGCGAGGTGAATGGAGAGGCCAGAAGGGGGATCTAGTGGGAAGGTGGTCTTCCCCTGGAGTTGGGCCGCCCAGCTGCCGGACTCTCCGACTGCCCCTGGCAGAATTTCACGTTATCCCGCTGTCCATGGCCTGCCGGAATCTGCTGGTGCCTGTCAGAACAACTTCTTCCGTTCCTCTGCTCCTCTTGTTGTCCAGCCGCCTGTGTGTGTGCCCGCTAGGGTCTCGGGGGGTTTTATAGGCACAAGATGGGGGGCGTGGTAGGCCATGGTGTTCTTGGAAAATACAACATTTGGGCGTGAAAACAGGAGTGCCTGTCCTCACCTAGGTCTGTGGGCACAGGCCCAAGGGTGGAGCCCTCACCAGGGACCCTGCCCTTCTCTACCCAGCACTTCCTTGCCCCTCTCCCATATCACCATGAATGACAGATTTTATTTTATTTATTTATTTTTTTGTATATATTGCTGAATAGTATTCCATTGTGTATACATACAGCACGTTTTCTTTATCCATTCATCTGGTGATGAACATTTAGATTGATTCCGTTATCTTAGCTATTGTGAGTAGCACTGCAGTAAGCAAGGGGGTACAGATCTCTTCAATATACTGATTTTCTTCTTTTGTTAAAATACCTAGTAGGGAGATTGGTGGGTCATATGGTAATTCTATTTGTAGATTTTTGAGGAACCTCCAAATTGTTCTCCATAATGGTTGTACTAATTTAAATTCCCGTGAATCATGTATATGAGTTCCTTTTTCTTCACATCCTTGCCAGCACTTGTTAGTTTTTGTCTTTTTGATAATAGCCATCCTAACTGCGGTGAGATATCTAATTGTGGTTTTGATTTGCATTTCCCTGATGATTAATAACGTTAAGCAATGTTTCATATACTTGTTGGCCATGGGTATGTCTTCCTTTGAGAAATATTCAAATCCTTTGCACATTTTAAAATCAGATTCGCTTATTTGCTATTGAGTTATTTGAGTTCTTTGTATATTATGGACATTAGTCCCTTGTCAGATTAATAGTTTGCAAATACTGTCTTCCATTCTACAGGTTGTCTCTTCATGCTGTTGATTGTTTCCTTTGCTGTATAGAAGATTTTTAGTTTGATATAGTCCCATTTTTCTATTTTTGTTTTTATTGCTTGTGCTTTTGAAGTCTGATTCATAAAATCCTTGCCTAGACCAATGTCTTGAAGAGTTTCCTCTGGGTTTTCTTCTAGTAGTTTTTTAGTTTTTGGGTCTTAAATTCAAGTCTTTAATTCATTTTGAGTTGATTTTTGTATCCAGTGAGAGATAGGGGCCCAGTTTCATTCTTCTGCATATGGATATCCGGTTTTCCCAGCAGCATTTATTAAAGAAAGTGTCCTTTCCCCTAATATGGTTCTTGGCACCTTTGTTAAAAATCAGTTGGCTCTAAATAAGTGAACTTATTTCTGGGTTCTCTATTCTGTTCCATTGCTCTATGTGTCTGTTTTTATAACCATACCATGCTGTTGTGGTTACTATAGCTTTGTAGTATATTTTGAAATCAGGTAGTATGATGTTTCCAGCTTTGTTCTTTTGCTCACAGTTGCTTTGGCTATTTGGGTCTTTTGTGGTTCCATACAAATTATAGTGTTACTTTCTTCTATTTCTGTGAAGAATGTCATTGGTATTTTGGTAGGGATTGGTTAATAAATGCTTAGACTCTTGCTAAACTGTCAATTTCTAAAAGGTATGAGCATTGTGGACCCAGCTCGACCACAGGATTGATTTTCACTGATGACAGAGGTTCATTTTGTTCTAGGCTGTGTAGATCTAGACACCTGCAGGGACAAGAGGGACACGCCATGGTATACCACCGTCTTATATTGTTTATTAACAGCATCACTAAAAACAGAAATTGATTCATGCTTTTACTTTGTCATCAGTGCCAAAAACATCTCTCTATACATTTATCTAACTGCCTGTTTTCAGCTGATCCTATAGTCTTTTAAGCCTGTTTCAAAACCAAGTTCAAAACCACTAACCAAAAAGCCATGCCTATTTCCTCCTCAGTCTTCAGTTCTATGTCTCATGTTCCCTGAAAATAGAGTTGTTGTTTCTGTGTAGGTAGTTTGGATGAATGTGGATTGTTTATGCTTTTGTGTAAATTGGATATCTTCTCTCATTTGCATGAGTTCCTTACCTTTTGTTACATTTCCAGATCCATATATTGGAATATGCCTCAACTTGGGTATATATACTTAATATACAACCCTGGATAAGCTGAAGTCTCTAGGCTGGTGACTTTGCTCATTGCTATAATAATATTAATATTTTTTATGCTTTGAGATTTCTTTATAAACAATTTGCATAAATGACTTGGAGGCTGTTTTTCCAATTATATGATATAAAGGAGTATGAAAATTACTCACAAACTTGGTCAAAGAACAGCATAGTACAGACATTGCCAATAGCCTCATTGTTTTTAAGAGTTACTGAAAATTTATTTCAGTATCAGTAAAAATTAATGGTATAAGGCTTTTTAAAGACTTGACTGTCAATTCCCATCAATTCTGCCTCACTAATGTTTTTTCCTCTTAACCTTGCCAATATTGGGTATTACCAGTGTTTTTAATTTTTGCCAGACTGACAGTCCAAAAATCAAAAAAGGAGATATTGTGCTTTTTGATTTTTATTTATCTGTGTGTTTTTATGTGTTTACTGACAGAACTGCATATTTATAGTTTAGGTTTGTGGTTTTTGCCTTTTCCCTCCTAATTTTTTTTTTCCTTTTGTCACTCCCTTGGTCGAGGCCCGTCTTGATCAGCTCTTAAATTAATGCCACAGCCTGTGATTTTCCTCTTAATTCATCCACACCTCTGCTGCCAGAGTGGCCTTTTGAAGGCAAAAATGTGATAGCTCCCAGCTTGAAACCCTCTGTGGTCAGGAACCTTAGTTGCCTGACATTCTTTATTTCACTTTTTCTCTGCTTGAGACTAGCCAGAGTGGGTCTGGCTCTTAAGCAGAGAAGAAGTTGATTAAAGATATTAGATAGCTCATAGGATCTCGGGGAGTGCTGGAGAGCCCTGTTGTGAAGCTACGCAAAACAGCCTCAGCCATGAGTCGGGGACAGCTTTGAGACATGCTCCCTGTGATGCTTAGGACCACGTATCAGAAGCTTTGCCGAGCCTCATCCTCTGCCCCACCCTGCAGAGACTGACTGCCCGGCCTGTGGCCACAGCCTTGTGCTGTTTTTTCCCTTTTGAGTCCACCACAAGGCAAAACTAGATTTCATGGTTGTCTCCTAGTTACAAGTGAGTCAGGGGAGGCAAAATGTTTGGCTTTTACCTTGGGAAAGTGACACTTATAAAATGTGGAAAGTCATCAAAACATAGGATGATGGTCAACAATTTTGAGTGGGTGGACACAAGTTACAAATATCCACTAATAACTTTCCTCTTGGCTTCCTTCTTCCATGAGCTTCTAATCAGTAACAACAAGCTATTGCCTAACAGCCTGACTTTCCCAACTACAAAGGAAATGTGCTCACCACATATCCTTCAAAAGAGATGACCCAGAGTCTCAAGTCCCAGCTCCAAGTCCAGGACTTCTAAGTGATGTTTACTCCCCTTCTAGTTCATTCCCAGCCCATATTTGTTAACTTTTCAACTAAATAATGAAGTGAACTACTGCCAACAAACCTTAAATAAAATAGTAGGGAAACAGCCAAAAAAGTAACTGATGTATAAATAAATACATGATGCAGCAAAGGACAGTGAGGTAGGTAGATGCTACCATTCTAATTTCTGTAACTGTGAAATAAGTAGTTGATGTTTGTATCTTCCCTCCTCTATTTATTTTGTATTCCCTGTGTTCTTCGCCTGTAACTCATCTGATTAGCATTCTTTACCTTCATTCCCCCAGGATTTGAGCTGCCAGTGGTCCTGCCTTGATGAGATTGCCATTGTTTTAGTTAACTTTTAGCACTGGGTATGTTTCACCAGGTAGAACTGATTACATTTTTTTTTTTTTTTTTTTTTTTTTTTTGTCTATATACCTCTCTCCCTCCATTCATCTCATCATGAGCCAGCATTTCAACTCCCCTTTGGCCTGTTTGTATATTGCCATAAAGAGCCTGAAACAGTCACATGGTACTTTGAACTTTCAGCCCGATTCATTGTTATCATCTGTGTTATAATCATCCTTTGAGTACTAAGGAAGCAGAGTCATGGGGATGGAACGTAAACGTTTGCTGAGGTGGTCACCTCGCTTTTCCAGTCCTTCGTTCCAGGAACCATGTATCTGGCCAAGGTAGCACATGTTCTGCTGGTCGGAGCCTATATTGCATCCCTTAGGACCTTACTCCAGTTCTACAAGGTCCTGCCTCATAATTTGCATCACAACTGAGTTTTCAATAGACCTTTCCACCATTGAGTAAGGCCAGCTGCAGTTGAGCTGTGCTTGATTGTTTGTAAGACCATTGAATTTTACAAGCCTACTGTCTTATTTTGTTTCCTGTAAAATGAGCTGCTTTGTCAGAATCGCAGTGGTGGTGATGGCAAGTGAGGCCTTCCTGAAGTCTGTGGATGATGTGGCTGGCAGAAACATGGCAGACATACAGGGCACATCCAAATCCAGAAGAAAGCTCCATTTTAGTGAAGATAAGGCATTGGCTCCTCTGTGATGAAAGAGGTCAAATGTCATCTACCCACCATCACTGGCCTATCTCCCTATGAAATGAGAGTTGGTGGCAAGGCTCAGATTAATTGCTATTGCTGGCAAATTGGGCATTTGGCAGAGCTCAGTCTTGGGTAGGTTAAGTCTGTGTTGAGCCCTAGCAGAACATTCATCCATGCCTCCATGGCCACATTGCTTATGAGCCCTTTGAGCAGGTACTTTGGCAGCTAGGGAAAGAGGCCAGCCAGCATCCATGGGGTATGTCACCTTGTCTTACTCATTATAAGAACCTCTCCTGAATGGGGCTTGCTGTGGTGTGAAGTATCCCCCAAAATTCACACATTGGAAATGGTCCCCAATGCAATAGTGTTAGAAGGTGGGGAAAGTATTTGCATATGAAGGCAGAGCCTTCATAAATAGTTTAATGTTGTTTTAAAAGGGCTTGATGGAGGCCTTTTTGCCCTTCCTCCTTCTGCCGTGTGAGGATACAGCATTCCTTCCCTCTGGAGGACTCAGTGTTCAAGGCACCATCTTGGAAACAGAGATCAGACTCTCGCCAGACCTGCTGGTGCCTGGTGCCTTGATCTTGGACTTCTCATCCTCCACAACTGTGAGGACGTAAATTTCTATTCTTTATTCTAGTTTGTGGTATTTTGTTTTAGCAACACAATAGACTAAGACAGGGCTCTTTGGAGAACTTTCACAAAATGTATAAATATTCTCACACTCTATATAACTTTTCCCCAAATATTTATGTCACCAGTTCTTGATGACCCTCTCTTCAAACTATTAACCACTGCCAGTGAATCAGTATATATTTGTTTCTCAGGCCATCTCTCCTTATAGGCCACATAGACCCAAAATATACCACTCAACAGTCTGCTCACTGGACAGATTTTTCTTTTCCACCCTGAGTGAGGTTATATCATCACATTCATTCACTTCTGGCTAGTACCATCCCATTGGGCAGTGCCACTGATTAGGCACAAATTTTTATCTGTTCATAACTGGCGAGTGAAGCTATTGCCTTTTCAGGTCTCTCATAGTGGTCAGAGAAACACACAGACATACTCATTGATGTTTGTGCCTATTTCTTAGTAGTAAGGGGTACAAGGTGTAAAAAACTTGACTTTCCTTTTAGATGAGCTTTTTCCTGTGCACCAGGCCATTGTACATTCAGAAACTGTATTTTGAAAGGCTTTATCTGTCACCATCTGACATGCCTGTGTCTTAGCATGACAGCTAGAATACACGCCACCTTGTGCTGTGTAAGTCCTATCATAATGCCTTTGGTGTGGTAGACCAGAACAATGTCCTGCAAGATAGTGAGATAATGAAGTTCCCTGTAGATTCAGTAGTGTCACTGAAGCAGAATGTCAACAGAGCAATGAGGCAAAACAGTGAAGCTGCGTGACTTTCTCTGCCAGTAGATAGAAACCTGCTTCTGTGTTCGCTGTTCACTGAGATAGAAAAAAACAGATTTTGCTGCCTCTGTAGTACTGATGCTAGGTGCTGTAGTTCTCCAGCTGAGAGATCGCCTCTGGAAGAATCTCTGGCTAATTAAACTTATATTAACCTTCCATCATTCTGTAAGACTCATCTGTGTTCTGCTTTACCAAAGAGGAAAGTGAGATAAGACCATATGAAAGATGCTCATGGATGTTTCAGGTTTCTCATGGCGGCAGATCTCTTTGATCTCCTAGGGATTAATACTGATTTTAGTTTACAATTTTGGTGGGATGGGAGAAGTTCCAGAAACTTTCACCTAGCCCATAATTACTGTAATAGTTCTCACTCCCTGAAACATGAATTCCAACTGTGGATTCTGTCAGTTGCAGAATAAACCTATCCCAAGGATACACTCAGCAACTGGGAAGACAACTGCAGATTTTTACAGTCATGCTGTGCCCTTCGTGAGATGAATTTAAGCCACATTTCTAGATGTCACCCTCTGGTGGATCACAGCAATAATCAGGAACCCAAGAATTATCTCAGAGCCAATGCCTAATCCTCCTCAAAAGTTCGAATATTTCTCTTTTTCCCTTGTGCAAATACCTTAGTAATCTCTGTTGATCCCACGTGGAAGATTTAAAGGATGCACTTGTAACGTTATTGAAGGGTCCTTACTTGAGGACTGCCTGGCTCTCCTTTCGAGGAGAAAATAAGTCCGTGTACTGACCCAAATCTGGAGACTGGCCAGGTGGCAAGTCAGGTCCCTGTGCACCAGATCTAGATTTTTTTTTTTTTTTTTTTTTTAATTTGAGACTGAGTTTCACTCTTGTCGCCCAGGCTGGAGTGCAATGGCACGATCTCAGCTCACTGCAACCTCTGCCTCCCAGGTTCAAGCGATTCTCCTGCCTCAGCCTCCCAAGTAGCTGGGATTACAGGTGCGTGCCACCACACCCAGCTAATTTTTATATTTTTAGTAGAGATGGGGTTTCACCATGTTGGCCAGGCTGGTGATCCACCCCCTTCGGCCTCCCAAAGTGCCGGGATTACAGGCATGAGCCACTGTGCCCGACCCAGATCTAGATTTTTTTTTTCCTGTTATACAGTGTATTGGTTTGCTAGGGCTGCCATAACATACCACAGGCCGAGTGGCTTAACTAACAGAAATTTATTTGTTCTCAAAGTCTAAAGACTAGAAGTGTAAGATCAAGGTTAGTTTCTTCTGAGGCCTCTCTCCTTTGCTTGTTGATGGCTGTCTCCTCCCTCGTCTTCACATGAGTTTTCCTCTGTAAATGCCTGTGTCTCCTCTTATCTAGAAGTCTGAGATTAAAGTATTGGCAAGTTAGTCTCTTCTGAGGCCTCTCTCCTTGGCTTGTCGATGGCCGTCCTCTCCCTTTGTCTTCACATAATTTTCCGCTATAAATGTCTTTGTCTCTTCTTATGAGGATGCCAGTTACATTGGATTAGGCCCCATCCTGATGACCTCATTTTAATTTAATTACCTCCTTAAAGACCTAATCTCCAAATATAGTCACATCCTGAGGTACTGGGAGTTAGGACTTCAACATATGAATTTGCAGGGAGAGGTGCACAGCTCACCCCATAACATACAGTTTAAGTAGAGTCTAAGTATGTTCTCCGTCTTATTTGGAGGTATGGACATAATCAATTAACTGGTAAGCCAGAGACAGCTCTGGGGTGCACCACTCTGAAAGGGTTCTGACCAAGGTCACCACTGGATCATGGCCCTCCAGTAGACCAAGTGACTTGTCCAGCCATGTGCTTAAATTGACTACAAATTTCTACTCACCCAGTTACCAACTGCCCCACCTTTACTCTTGAGCTTTGGTACTGTGCAGACATCATATCTGTTCCAGCTGTTAACTCTCTCAGCAGCTAACTCTTACTCCCTGGGGGACATCCCTCACCCACAAGGTGGCTATCCACTCAGGAGTGGCCTTGGTAGCATGTCTTTCTCATGTTGAGCCACATACCATTTTGCAGATAGTTCTGGGGAATGCAGGGGGATCACCGGGCACAGGCTGGTATTGTCACACAGATCGGCATGCAGACAGATCATGTACTCTGGGCATCGTGTACCAAGGTGTGCTCCTATGTATCACACACATACACTCTTTTTTTTTTTTCTTTTTTTTGAGGCGGAGTCTTGCTTCTTTGCCCAGGCTGGAGTGCAGTGGTACGATCTCAGCTCATTGCAACCTCCGCCTCCCAGGTTCAAGTGATTCTCCTGCCTCAGCCTCCTAAGTAGCTGGGATTACAGGCGCCTGCCACCACGCTGAGCTAATTTTTGTATTTTTAGTAGAGACAGGTTTTCGCCATGTTGGTCAGGCTGGTCTGGAACTCCTGACCTCAAGTGACCCACCCGCCTTGGCCTTCCAAAGTGCTGGGATTACAGGCGTGAGCCACCACGCCCAGCCACATGCACACTTGTTTTTTGAGACAGGGTCTTGCTCTGTTGCCCAGGCCAGAGTGCAGTGGAACAGTCGTGGCTCATGGCAGCCTCAACCACCTGGGTTCAAGTGATTCTCCCACCTCAGCCTCCCGAGTAGCTGGGACCACAGGTGTGTATCACCATATCTGGCTATTTTTTTAAAAAAATTTTGCAGAGATGGAGTCTCACGATGTTGGCCAGACTGGTCTAGAACTCCTGGGCTTAAGTGATCCTCCTGCCTCAGCCTCCGAAAGTGTTGGGATTACAGACGTGAGCCTCCATGCCTGGCCTGCATCACCCTTTTTTATTGGGCAGCATAAAAGTGACCTTGTGGAGTTGGGGGTGGCAAACATTTGAGTCCCAGGTTCGGGCACCGAGCAGTCTGGCTGCTTAGGAGTATGCTGGACAAGCCAGTTGCCCAGGACCTGGAGGCTTTTGCAGTCTTCCAGCTAGACCTGCAGTCGGCTGAGTTCAGGAGGATCCTCTCTCCCCAGGGACTAGGAGTCATTATTCCCAGATGGCCTTGGCCAGCAAACCCAGAGAGTGCCCATGGTCATTGATCAGCTTGTCACTCTCCCCTAACTCCATCCCCAGAGTGTGCTGCTGTCTCACCCTGGGCTTCTGCACACACTGCTTCTGCTCCCCTGTGTGTGCCCTCCTCATCCTCCAGCCTGTGCTCAGGTATCACCTCCTCCAAGGAGCCTTATCTGATTCTGTGTAGCTTCTCTCTCAAGAGCACTTCCCTTCCTCTCTCCCTGCTCACCCTCTGGTGTAGCAGCACTCATTGTTCCAGTTGCTTCCCTGCCTCACAGATAGGCTTCAGTTTCATTGAGGACAGGAGTCTTGTCCTGTTCAGCACCCACTGCAGAGCCTGTCAGAGCACAAGTGTTGGGAGAAATAAATGAATTGTTACGGCTCACAGGTCCCATTTTCTTTGCTGAGACTTTACAGCATGTTTCCATTGCAACATCTCTTGCCCCTTACACAAAACACAGAGATGAAAGTGGCCTGTGAATTACAAATTATTGAATAGCTTTTCTCATCTGGTTTTCAGAAAGTCAAAACCACAACTTACCCCAGTGTAAGATTAGGCTGCAACATCTTCTGACTCCAGGGACAGGAAATACCTTCCCTTCAGCCCCACCCCACCCCAGGTCTTTGTTAGTATTACTATCCTGCCCAGGTACCTTACCGAGCGTCCACCCCTCGGATGCTGGCTCTGGGTTAGATCTTCCACCTACCCATGGCAGATCCCTGAGACAGTCCTTTCTAGCCAGGCTTCTTAGCCCTTCTTTTAACCATTCCTAAGCTTTAGAACCCTTTCTCTACAGATGAGAGCCAGATTTGTGGTTCAAGTAACTTGCCCAAAGATCAGATACTAGCTAGGAAGTGTCAGAGGCCACATGAAAACTCCACTGTCTGACACCGGGTTTGTCCTCATTGCTTTGGTATCCCTATTAAGGAGAGTATTGTATGTTTATGTGGTTTTTTTAAATACAATTTTCCTCTAATCATAAAAACACATCTGTCTTTAAATTAACTAGGAGCAGTATTCTGCTTGAATTACCATGTGGGTATCTTGGTTTAAAGTTCATATTCTCTATTCTCTGATCATGAGATGGAAAGGGAGAAATAGACCCCCAAACAGAGCTCATCTTCCAGCTGTAAGCACTTGCCTCAATGCATTTTGTCTAAATAGGGTTCAGGACATTTTTCTGTTTGTGGAACAGTAACAGTAAATTTTTTTTACTGCCTATTATTCTATTCTGTATAACCTTTTCTTGTAGTTAACATCTAAGAAACCCAGTCCTTTGGAAAATGCCATAAAATAAATTAAATTTTCCTGGGTACTGTGGTTTCTGTCTGCAGTGGCCTGCTTTTTGGCATTTCTTCTAAGCTGAATGCTTCTCTAAAATCTTAGCTTATATCTGTAGCCAAAGTACCTAGCCCTCTGCTCACCCTTCTGTGGCATCCGAGGTATCTTTGGTGAACATTCAAGGACGAATTACCAAGGTGTTCTCTCTCTTCGTCAACACTCACCTCCCAAGCAGCGTTCTGTGGTGGGGCACATTACCACCATGTTGGGGAATCAGTGTGTGTTCACACGACAAGAGGCGAAAAAGAAAAAGACAAGAATTGCCAAAACAAGCAAATTTTTCCTATTCTTTCCTCTGTCTGAGAAATGTTCCTCAACTTTCCCCAACACCCGATGCATGATACCTGCCAAAAAAAGCTTTCTCCTTGCTCTTCAGACACAGGCTCATTGTGAGCCATTCTCCCCGGCATCCCCGCGAGTGCAAATTTGTGTATGTGGTGTTTTGTTTTGTATTTATTTTCCCAGCCCTTTGAAAACAGGGCCTTTTCCTATTTAAAATAAATTTCAGAAGTGAAATACTTTTTCCCTTTTGAGAGCCCAGCCCTTCCTCCATACAAACCTTCAGGCATTTTCAGAGGACAATGAAAACTTGCTCTAAAACACCATCCATAGACTTCCCTTCAGTCAGTGTTTTTCTCACACATTAACAACAAAATAACAAGTACTGTACATCCAACCACTGTGATCCCTGAATAAACATAGGCCCTTGACAAGTAATTCTATTTTTAAGAGTCATTTTTTATGTGAGTCAGTTATTACAATGGGCAGTTAGAATGTGCTCCTATTGTGCACACCCATGCACAGTAGGAATGGAACTGTACCGCAGTCACAGAGCAAGCTAGGTAGTTCTCTGACTTCCACAGCAGACATGGAGGAGGACTAAGAGGGGAAGAAATAGTCACTCATGTGGTTTTAGCAACAGTCAAACTGCACAGCACATTTTCAGTTGTCTGCTGTTCTATTAAATATTTTTACTGTTTAGACATTGTATTTTTTCTATTCACAGCCCTTTACAAATAGAAGTGGATTTCCCTAGATCTCTCATAAAGCACTGTGGAAACGTGTTTTCTTTTTACAAATGTTTAAATAGCTTTGGTTATTATTTACATTTCTTCCCATAATGGACTCAATCAAAACATTTTATAGGCTTTTATCCACACATGTAAAGCTTGAAAGGGCAATAATGAGAAAGCAAATGCCAATAAGTTGTCTGGTGAATGTGCTGCAATTTCAACAAAGATTATTTTTTCAGGAATGGGTAATTTGTAAAACTTGAAGTTTTATACTTTTTACCAAAAGTGTGCTAAAGCACCAATGACAACACAAAATGCTTTGCTTTCTCAAAAACTGGGGAAACTTCTCTAACCACTTATTACAGTAAATGGAAAGTAAACAAAATTTCTAAACTTTCAAGGGTAATGTTTCCACTTGTTATCATCACCTGTTATGGACATAGCCAGAGTTGCAGTGACTGATACTTTTGTCTACTTTTAATTTTTACAAGAAATTAAAATTCAAAAAAACGTGATGTACAAATCTTCCAGAAAGGTTAGAATTGTTTTGACCAGAGGTTGTCAAACTTCAATTTGAACCATTACAAGACCTTTCCCATGTAAGTATAAACCTTATTAGAATGATCCTGTTGGCCTGCTGTGAACATACTGCTTCTTTCTCTCCCATCTCACCCATCTGAACCCACTACCCCACACATCAGAAAGATAATTTTTCCATCATAAAACAAAGTTCATATTGCCTTTGTTCTGCTTCAAATTACAATGCCAGTTCTGATGGAGCTTTTATGGTGACACAACTCCAGTATTACTTTTGCATCTGCTTGGGCTTGTTCACATTTACAACCAGACTTTCGGCATATCTGGGAACTGGAAAGCTCACAACAGCTCTACCAAATACCCCAGGACTCTTAGATTCTTGAAAGATCTCTGTTACCAAATGCTACTTTCCAAGACTTTTTTTCTGAGATGGAGTTTCACTCTTGTTGCCCAGGCTGGAGTGGTGCAATCTCAGCTCACTGTAACCACCACCTCCCAGGTTCAGGTGATTCTCCTGTCTCAGCCTCTTAAGTAGCTGGGATTACAGGCACGTGCCACCACGCCCAGCTAATTTTTGTATTTTTAGTAGAGACGGGGTTTCTCCATGTTAGCCAGGCTGGTCTCGAACTCCTGATCTCAGGTTATCCACCCGCCTTGGCCTCCAAAAGTGCTGGGATTACAGACGTGAGCCACCGTGCCTGACCGCAAGACTTTTTTTTAATGAGTTGTTCCAGTTAGCTCAGAGCCCTGCCCTCTCATTAGCTCCATGAAGACTGATGACTTATTACTACATATTCCAAAGACAGGTCCCCACTGGGGTCAGGTAGAACTGGTTGGCATTCCTGCCCCACTAGGAGTAGGAGGAAAAGTAATAGGAAGGAAAATCACTTGCCCTTAAATTGATGTGGGGTGAGATTAAAAACATTTCTTTTGGTGATCTGTTCGGTCACAGTATTTCTAACGATGACAACTGGATGGGAGGCCTGTAGTTCCATTTTACCCAGCAGAAGAGAACAGTCCTGACCCAGTGAAAGTCATTTATTCCAGCATGTTGGGAACATAGTACCTGGGGCACTGGTTTTATATTGTCTGAACGGTTTAGCTGCCACATAGCATTGGGTAATAATGTATTGGGGTGAGGGCTGGGGCATACAGGGAGACAGTGAGACCCCTACAAGGCTGTACTTTCCTTTGACACATTCCAGGTGAAGTCTTAGAAGGCAGCAACTTCTCCTGTGTTTGACAGATAATAATAATCAGGAAAGCTCTCCCTACCCCCCACCCCCAATATAACAGTGGCTGCTTCTCATAGGAGTAACATACATATTTTTAATATGTAGGATGACAAGGTATAGTGGGAACTGTTTACCTTAGCATGTACTGTTTGTTTCTCAAGAATTTCAGGTCCATTACACCTTAGCAATGAAAAGCCTTCTCTTATCTAGGAAGTACTTGTAGCATTCACCAGCTTGTCTGTTCCTTTTAATTTTTTTTTTTTCCTTTGGCCAGGACCTCCCATCATAATGCCCGGATTTTCAAATTTCTAGTAATTGAGTTTCACATTCCTAATATTAACACCCATAAGGAAGCTGGAAGGAGAAAATGGATACTAGTTATCTTACCGACTAAATATCAGTAAGAGCCCTTTGATTTTGAAGTGTTTGAAGGATGAGTGAAGAGGCCTTGTTTAGGATAGTACACTGTGGTCTAACACATTGGGACCGTGATTTGCTACCTGAATATCTTGGGAATTTGGGGGATTCTAACCCAAGTGTTGATTAAAAACAAGAGAGCTTTCATTTTCAAATTCCCTAACATGACACCCTAATTATTCTAATTATTTGGAATAAAAGTGGATAACCTACAATTGTGAAGTTTTATGGTTACTAAATATTTTAGTTAACCACTTCAGTTGTTCATGATCAAAATAATTTTATATTCATTATAATACCTTCTATAAACTGGGCAGGGGAATTGACTCCCTTTGGTACGATAGACATTTATACTGTCTCTAAGTGAATTTGCCACAGATTCAGAGTGAGGTGCTTATTTGTGAAGCATTAAGAATCCCTGGGCTGTTCCCAGGGAGTTGAGTAGAGGCATGGTGAATAACTGTTCAGGTACACCTAATTGTATAGCTTGTTTATATTTGTTGTTGTACCACAATGCCCTTATTACTTAGAGCATAAACTCCAATCAGATTCACATTTATTTTAATTATTTGATCATGAACCACATAACCTAATGGGAAACTTGGCCTGATCTGTTTTGTGAAATGTCTTGAGAAAATTATCCATGCCTACATTAAGCAAAAACAAAACTAACTCCACATGATCTCACGCATAAAAAATGAATGCCTGGAAAAGATGCTAGTTTTAAGTTTTAGGCCAAGATTGAATTTCAATTCTGGGTCATAGATTAATGTATGTGTCCAAGTAAATGTGTATATTTGTGTGTTTGTGTGTGTGTATGTAATGAATGAATAGATAAGTATATACCCACAATATAAGTTGCTGCTAAAGAAAATAAAAGTTATAAGACCTGAAAGGGGACACCAAAAATATGATTTCCTTACAAATATTTTCAGGAATTTTACTTAATTGCAACCAGAAGTCTGACCTGGAAGTGTAGTGTTTTGACCCCCCTAGCTGTCTGGTTTCCTATTTGCGGTGTTTTTTTTCTCCCCCAACTGTGAGAAAATATATTTTACACAGTTTTAACCCTGTGTATTCTTAGAAACACTGAAATAGAAAGTATTCCTCTGCGGGGAAGAAATTCTCATTATTTACAAGAATGATTTGCAAAAGC
This sequence comes from Homo sapiens, assembly GCF_000001405.40. Taxonomy (NCBI): domain Eukaryota; kingdom Metazoa; phylum Chordata; class Mammalia; order Primates; family Hominidae; genus Homo; species Homo sapiens. Next base: position 10,577,077 of record NC_000020.11, read on the forward strand.
TTCACTTAAATAGAAAATATTTTTTAAAAACTTAACAAATCCTTATTAGATATATTTGAAAATAAAACAGCTTCTTGGTTGCCCTTCAAGGTAGTGTGAACTTCTAGAAGACTGAGATTTTTGTATTGTTTAAGTTTACCCTTATTTTAGTAAAATACTAGTGTTTTCATAACAAAAGTGTACAGAATTTATAAATAATGCCCTTATGATGAGGGTTTTTCATGCTTTCCCCCCTTCATTTTTAGCTTATTCAATCTTTTTTTCCTCTAGCTTTTTATAAAAGTGAAAATTAGGCTGAGTAAACTTAGGAAGGCTGTAGTACTATATAGTATTCTAATGAACTGAAAGATAACAATAAGGCCTGGCATGATGGCTCACTCTTTTAATCCCAACACTTTGGAGACCAAGGCAGAAGGATTGCTTGAGACCAGAAGTTCAAGATCTACCTGGGCAACATAACAAGGTTCTGTCTCTACAAAAAAACATAAAAATAAATTAGTTGGGTGTGACAGCACGTACCTCTAGTCCTAGCTGCTCAGGAGGCTGAGGCAGGAGAATGGCTTGAGCCCAGGAATTCGAGGCTGCCGTGATCTATGATCATACCACTGTACTCCAGCTGAGGCAACAGAGAAAGACCCTGTCTCTTTAATGATAATAAGAAATGAATGAATGACAACAATGAAGCTTAATTAGGATGACTGTAGGGCCAGGAAGCCTACTGTTGGAAAATTATAGAATTCACCATCAAATACTCATAGATTGATTTGCTGAATCAGTCAAAATGATGAGAAACATTGTTTCCATATTTCCATTGTAGCCTCTTGTTGTTTACCAGTGTGGTGGAATAATTATATATCTCGTTTTTTAAATCTCAGACATTTTCACTTACAGGAAAGCCTCATTCTTCCTAACTATTTAGTTGAGAGATTTAAAAATGAGGAACACAGTTGTCAACAATCCATTTAGCTGAAGAATACTTCTCATTTTTTTAATAACAGCTTTATTGAGATATAATTCATATACAATTCACCTGTTTAAAGTATACTGTTCAATGGTTTTTATGTATTCAGAGTTGTGTAACCATCACCAGAATCAATTTGAGAACATTTTCATCACTCCAAAAGAAACCCTTTACCCATTAGCAGTTACTCTTCATTTTCCCCAATACCCCAGCCACAGACAACCAACCACCAGCTTACTTTCTGTCTCTATGGATTTGCCTGTTCTGGACATTTCATACAAATAGAGTCATACACCATGTGGTTCTCTGTAACTGGCTTCTTTCACTCAGCATAATGTTTTCAAGATTCGTTCATTTTATAACACATATCAGTAGTACTTTATTTCATTTTATTACAAATAATGTTCCATGGTATGGATCTATCATATTTTGTCCATTCATCAATTGATGGACATTTGGGTTGTTAACCACATTTGGCTATGATGAATAATGCTACTATGGGTATTCGTGTACAAGTTTTTGAGTGGACATATGTTTTCATTTCTCATGGCTATATACCTACGAATGGAATTTCTGGGTCATTCTGTACCTGTATGTTTAACATATTGACGAACTTCCAGACTGTTTTCCAAGTAGCTGCAGCATTTTCTGTTCCTGCCAGCAGTGTATGAGGCTTCTATTTTCTCCACATCCTTAGCCACACCTGTTTGTCTTTTTGACTATAGCTGTCCTGTGTGTATGAAGTGTTATCTCATTGTGGTTTTGATTCCATTTCCCTGATGACTAATAATGTTACCATCTATTCAAGTACTTACTGGCCGTTTGTATATCTTCTGTGGATAAATGTTTGTTCAGGATTTGAACCCATTTTTAATTGGGTTATTAGTCTTTTTATTGAGTTATGGGAATTCTTTTAAACATTCTAGATATAAGTCCCTTATCAGCTATATGATTTATAACATTTTTCTTCTCTTCTGTGGATTTTCTTTTCATTTTCTTGATGGTGGCCTTTGATACCCAAAAGTTTTTAATTTTAATGATGTCCAATTCATCTATGTTGTTGTTGTTGTGCTTTTGATATCATATCTAAGAAACCATTGCCCTATCCAAGGTAATAAAAATGTACATCTATTTTTTAAGGAGTTTTATAGTTTTAGCTCTTACATTCAGGTCTTTGATGCATTTTGAGTTAATTTCATATATGACATGAGTTAGGGGTCCAACTTTATTCTTTTGCATGTGGATATCCAGTTGTCCAAGTACCTTTTGTTGAAAAGACTATTCTATCCTCATTTAATTTTCTTGGCACCTTTGTTGAAAATCAGTTGACAATAAATGTGAGTGTTTATTTCTGGACTCTCAATTCTGTTTCTTTTTTTTCTTTTCTTTTTTCTTTTTTTTCTTTTTTCAGACAGAGTCTCTCTCTGTCGCCCAGGCTGGAGTGCAGTGGTGTGATCTCGGCTCGCTGCAACCTCCGCCTCCCAGGTTCAACCGATTCTCCACCTCAGCCTCCTGAGTAGCTGGGATTAAGGCATCCGCCACCATGCCCAGCTAATTTTTGTATTTTTAGTGGAGATGGGGTTTCACCATGTTGGCCAAGCTGGTCTCGAACTCCTGACCTCATGTGATCCACCCGCCTTGACCTCCCAAAGTGTTGGGATTACAGGCGTGAGCCACCGTGCCTGGCCTCAATTCTGTTTCTACATGTGTTTCCATATGCCAATACTGCACTGTCTTGATTACTGTAGCTTTATAGTAAATTTGAAATTGTCTTCTCATTCTTTTAATGGAACTATTTTTTTTTTCTTCCCAGCAGGGTCAAAGCTGGCATTTACTAGTTAGGATCAAGAATCTTTTTTAACCTAGCCAGTGCAAACATGATTTTAAATTGTTATAAATATCTGAATTTTAATGAATTAATAAAGTACCATTGATTTTGCCAGTGGTCTTCTCCAGAGATTTAGATTAAATTAAACCTTTCACAAATTTCTTGACTCTAATTGTTCCATTTTAACCAAATCAATGAAGATAAAAGTTATCCTCATTATAGTCAAGGTCTTCATAGGCAGAAAAACTGTGGTGAGTCACCAGTATTTGCAAGGTATGACTGAGGGCACTCATGGGTCTTTAATTCTCATTCAGAATCCTTTCCCTCAGGTTCTAAAGTTGAGGCCAGGTTAAAATCTAACCTCCTTTGTTCACCCTTCCAGGCTTGTCCCCCATCTCTCTCTATTATTCTATGCATTCTGAACTCTAGGCGTCAGTCTACCCTACCAGGGTTGCCAGGAGCCAAAAGGACTTGTCTGAGTTTTTGCACAGATATGAATGCAGTGCCCTCCGCTTCTCAGTCCCAGCAGAATGCTCCTGATGCTTTAATCCTCTGCTTGAATGTTTCCCATCCTTGAGGATCTCCCTCCTCCCAATTTGGTTTGTTACTCCCCTTTGTTAAGTTAGACTTACCCTTTTTTTTTTTTTTTTAACATTGCAGTTGCCTATGCCTACCTTTGTTGCAGTAGCATTTACAATGTAACCATCCTACCTTTAACTCCTCTGTCTCTCCCTCTGCCCTCAGTTGAGTCCCTCAGGAGCAGAGCATTTTTCTTGATACCCCTAGGACCTCACATAGTACTTATATGTGGTAGGTGTGCAAGTGGCATGAGTTGGATGGTTCCGGTTCGATTATTACTATTTGAGGGGCACCTGGTTTTTGACAGAATGAAAAAAGCATAACCATTTCCTGTTCATACTGGCTCCTGGAACTCCTCTACTGAAATCATTTTCAAGATTAAGAAAGAGTAAAATCCCTTTTTAGTGGAATGCCTCACATATACAGACATATATACTCCAGTTTGCTGCCAAACTGCCAACTCAGTAATAGCTCACCATGAATGTGATATTTAATAGAAATGATTGACAATAATTCCAGACAAAGGTGTACAGCCCAGACTTGTTTAACAATGTTGGCCTTAATGCCATTTCTAAGGAATCTTTTTTTTTCTTCTGAGCCCCAAAAAAGCCTTTTTCCAGAAAAGCTGTGTTGAGGAGAGAGCTGAGAAACAGTGAGACTTGCTCTAATGCATGGGGAAGGGGTTTGAATGATGCAAACAAGCAGAGTAGCAGTGTGTCCAGAAGTAGGTGCTGGTGGTAGAGAGCAGCAGCAGCCTGGGGAAGACCATGGGACAAGATGGAGGGACAGGGAGCTGATAGCAGGAGGTGTGGGCAGGGCTGATGTTGAGAAAATCCTGAAAAGTAGTGATATTTGGCTTCATACAGAACCTTACAGGTGGCTTCATACAGAACCTTAGATGTGAGAACCTTGGTGGGAGACATCTGCCACTGAGAAAAGATGAAGACAAACCTAGCAAACCAGTGAAATGCACAAGTCCAGGAAGAAAAGAGAGAGACAGAACGTGCCTGAGTTTGAACAAGATGTAGTGTATTATTACCCTTGATTGTGTGGATATTGCTTTACAACTCAGAGCTTTCTCCAGGATCCTCTTTCAGAGACCCCAAAGCACTGTAAAGTATCAAGTATTTGCAAATGCCAGGTAGAAAAGTCTCACACCATGCGGACTTTCTAGTAAAACAAAGGGAGAGGCCAGGTGCAGTGGCTCATGCCTGTAATCCTAACACTTTGTGAGGCCAAGGCAGGAAGATCATTTGAGAGCAGGAGTTCAAGACCAGCCTGGGCAACATAGTGATACCCCATCTCTACAAAAAAAAATTTTTTTTTAATTAGCTGAGTGTGGTGGTGTGCACCTGGAGTCCTACTTGCTTGGGAGACTGAGGCAGGAGGATCGCTTGAGCCCAGAAGTTTGATGCTGCAGTGAGCTATGATCACGCCACTGTCCACCATCAAAGCCCCCTGTAACTGGAAACATCTTCACCCGAAGTGGGATGACTGAGAGCTGAGTAATGCCTTGAAAATATTTGCATTTGTAACAGCTGAAGGACAGTGATGAAAAGTGATTCCGTGGGGTGGATCTCCAGGAAGCTGGGAAATGTGGCATAATAAAATGTTATGAGCTTTTGTGAGGCCCCAGGGAATGGTGAATTCTCAGTGTGCAACAAAAGGAAAAATATCTAAATAAAAGGAAAGTGAAGTTTTCATGGAATGACAGGGCTGTGTGTACTCCTGTCAGTGAGTGGGGACCAGGATCTTGGAGAGGTGGCAGGGTGCAGGCAGGATGCAGCTTTAGACCTTCCCAGACACCTGATCTGACACTTCTCCATAGGCCATTAGAGTGTCAGTCTGTTTGTTTCCTACTCTTATTTTAAATTCCCTCTGTTCCTGGTATTTCCTTAATATTTCCATTTTGTTTGCGTTACATATGTAAACTGTTTTTTTAAAACCTGCATTCTGTGTTTTTAGCAGGAAGGTTTCCTTTATCTCAGCTTTCAGATTTCCCCAATTCAGCTTTCAGAGATTAGCCCTGTTTAGTACAAGGTGATATTTTTATTGAATGGTGCACTTTCTATTCCATGCTTAACGGGTTGGTAATCTGGCTTGAGTCTGCAAGATGTGTGTGTATGTATCTATAACTATGTATCTATAAATCTATATTTTCAACTTGGGCCACTAGTTTAAAAATCTCAGGGTGAAGTTATTGTTCGTATTTTACAATAGTATGATAATTTAAGCTTAAGGAAGATAAGAGCTTTACAATCACCTATTAGATCATTTTTGTTTAGATTTCCTTTAAATTGTTATCTACTTAGAAAAATTATTCTAAAGATTATAGTTATAGTTCACAACATAATAAAAGATACTTTTGCCTTCCTTATAAAATGTTATTTTCAGGGTTAGGAAATTACCTAAAAAAATAAGCTTTAATCATGATTTATGTTCTGAGACTTTGGAAGAGGGTCTATATTAATATAAATATTTAGAAGAAAAAAATGTATCATCTTGAAAGGCCCTGAATATTTTCATGGTGGTGTTTCTTTTTTACAAATAAATCTTTAAAAGAATACTTTCATTTTTTAAAACATCAGAAATTTCAAATACATACAAAAATAGGATCATATAATGAACCCCCACTTATCTGTTGCCAGCATCCCAGTTTTAAACAGCATATAGCCAATGTTATTTCATTTATATGCTCATCTATTCCCTGCTCCCCCAACTATTTTAAAGTAGATTCTGGATGTCATTTAATTTTATATATAAATGATTCAACATACAGAGCTCTAAAAGAGAAGTGATTTTTAAAATGTTAAAAACGCCATTAAAGACAAAAAAGTAATGTCATCAACTATCTAGTCCATCTTCAGATTTATCTGAACGTCTCTTCAGTTCCTTTATAGTTGAGTTGTTCTATTCAGGGTCTGAACAAGGTTGGTGTACACATTCATTGCACTCGGTTGATTATCTTTATCATAGAAGAACACCTCCTTTAACCTGTAGGAACCCTCATCCCCAATTTTTTTTCTATCTGTTTATTTAAGAAAGCGGGTCAAATGTCCTCTGGAATTTCCCACATTTGGATTTGGCTGGCTGCATCCGGATGGTGGCATTAACCTGCCTCTTCCAGCCCCTTGTATTTTCTGTGGATTGGTGGTTTGAGCCACAGGCCTGATGAGGCTGGGGTCCCTTGTGTGAGAATACTTTGTGGTATGTGGGGTGTGTTTTCTGTTGCATCTCATCTGGCAACACATGATTTCTGGTTGTATCCCTTCTAATTTCACGCTAACAATGTATATACAATGAAAATGGAGCTTTTTATGATTTTAAAATTAATCAGTATTTTAGATTTGTTCATTAGGTATTTATATTACTAGTAAATACTGTTTAAGCAAAACAAAATTTAAAAGACTCTTTTACGTAGGCTTCTGAAACTTTGCTTAATTCAGGCAATTAAGATAAAAATATCAAGGTAATGTTTTGCAATAAAACCTGGGTGTTAGCATACATAGTTCCTTTTTAAATCTAAGTCTATGTAAGATCTAATTTAGCACCTTAATTAAGATGGTAAGTTATTGCATACCTATCATCATAAGGCTTACATATCAGCCCAATATACATCTTATGTGAACTCTTAAGGACTTGTATAATAGAAGATAAAAATAAAAAGCACATACATGGTGGGTTTTTTTTCCCCTATAAAAACGCAAATCAGCAGGTAGTTAAAACAAAAAGAAAGAAAGAAAAGAAAACAAAGAAGGCATGAGACCGGTTCATTTAAATTCCCTGGAGGAGTGATAATAATTGAGCTAATATGCATTGCCTTCTCATAAATTGCTTCAGTAGTTTAGGCCTTGAGTGGCTTAGAAATTAGCTGTCTCCCCTTGCCTCTTCACTGTTGCTATAGAATCCAGCTAAAGGCCTGTTTGTTTGTGTTTAAAGAACTAGGATAACCTCTTATATTCACTGACAGAACTTACATTTTGTTTTTGTCTTCTAAGAACTCTGCAAAGCACTACCATTACTCTAATAAGACTCTCACTACTAATTTCATTATAACATACCAGTAAATCAACAAAATAAGATTTAGAGCAGTAACTTCCAGACCTGTCTGAGCATCAGAATTCCCTGGAGCTCTTTTAAAAGAATGTAGTTCTCTGGCTCTCACCCCAGGTTCTCTGGGCCTGGGAATCCAGGAATCTGTATGGTTGGAAAAGACCTCAGCCTTGGAGATTCAAATTTCCCAAGTGATTTAGATATGGGCAGTGGACTCATGATTGGGAATTGGAAAGACCCTAGACTAGTAGATAGATGCTTATTTGAGCTTGATAGTGGATTATTTAATAACTGGAAGAGGAAGTAGAAGAGATGATAAGTTTTAGGAATATTTAGTGTTTTCATCCATGACTTGAGTGAATGCATCAAAAATGGGTAAAAGACCTAGCACCTTATAAAATGGGATAGAAATTCCAAATGACTGTGACAAAATTAAGAGGAATGTCTGTTACAGACAAATGCTGAATAGAAAATGTAGAATAGAAAACAGACTACATAAAAAGAAAAAGCAGAAAGCAAGCAAGCATGCAACTGGGAAACAAAAACAGAAGTGTGACATGAAAGAAGAAACACACAATGATCTTTCTTTAATTTAATGTTTTCCCCTGAAGCTCCTGTGTTGTTTTCTGCTTCTCATCTTTGCAAAGTTCCCAGAACAGATGTTTGTGTTTTGTGTCCTCTTTCATACTCTCATTTATTCTTCCACCCTGAAGCTACCTCCGAAATGCTACCAATCACCTCTCAATTGCCAGCTGAGTATTTTGTTCTATTTCTGCTGTCACTAATGCTCTCTGGCATTTGATCTTTCAACTCTCTTTTCCAAGACTTCACTATGGTGGCTGGCCTTCTTCTGATCTAACTACTCCATGTGGGCCCCTCTTTCTCTGCTGACTCTTGAGAGTGGTCCTGCCCTTGCCCTTTGATCTCTCACTTGACATGCTCTGCCATGGACTTTTCTTCCTTTTGGCCAGAGTTGCTTCAGTAGATCTGCAGCCATGACTTTTCCTCTGAACTCCAACTTTTCCTTTTCCTTTTCCTTTCCCCTTTCCCCTTTCCTTTCCTTTCCTTTCCTTTTTTTTCTTTCTTTCTTTCTTTCTTTTTTTGAGACGGAGTCTCACTCTGTCACCCAGGCTGGATGGAGCGCAGTGGCATGATCTTGGCTCATTGCAACCTCCGTCACCTGGGTTCAAGCAATTCTCCTGCCTCAGCCTCCCTCCTGAGTAGCTGGGACTACAGTTGCACACCACCACACCCAGCTAATTTTTATATTTTTAGTAGAGACAGGGTTTCACCATATTGGTCAGGCTGGTCTCGAACTCCTAACCTCAGGTGATCCACCTGCCTCGGCCTCCCAAAATGCTGGAATTACAGGCATGAGCCACCGTGCCCAGCCACTGCACACCTTATTTCTATTGGCTTTCCAAACAGCTTCACCCAGAAATCTCATTGATCCTCATCTCTAAAGCTTGGTTTATCTTACCAAGCCTACCTACCCTCTCTATACCTTAGGAAGCTACCACTCATGTAGTCAACAAAGTTAAAAAAAATTGTCATTGTCATCAGTCTTCTCTGAACACGTTTCATTGACAACCAAGCCTGTCTCTGATTTTCATCTCTAAAGTGTCCCTTGAATATCTCTCTCTCTTGTTAGTCCTATGGCTACTGATGATCCTTGCCTTCTCCCACTTGACTTTGTTAAAAGAAAAACTTTAGACAAAATAAATATAACAGTTTATTTGAGCAAATAACAATTCATGAATCAGGCAACACTCAAATCCACAAGAGATTCTGAGAGCTCCGTTCCAGCAGTATGGGCAGGGGGCTTTCATAGGCTGAATGTGGAGGCAAAGTAAAGAAATTACTTGATTGGTTATAGCTAGGCATTTGCCTTATTTGGATATGGTTCAATAGAAAGTCCCTAGTTAATATAACGAATTTGCTAGTTGGTTATCTGCGATTGGCTGAAGCTCCATTCAAAATTAATCAGTCACAAGGAATGCCTCTAAGTTAAGTTTTGGTTTGCTTATTTATGTAAGGGTTCCTAGTACAGAAACAACCCCAGACTAATGGTTTCTTGCTTATTTTGGCTTAACAGCTTGTTAATGATAGGTATGCAGTAATTTGTGATAAAGAGGGAAAAAAAGATGAAGAGAAATATTAGGAATAGAAGTATTAGTAATGAAAAAAAGACGTAATTAGATCAGGAATAGAAGTATTAGTAATGAAAAAAGACATAATTAAATTAGGTGGAAATTAAAATAAAAGACTATTAAGAACAACTTCGTGCCAATAAATTTGAAAACTAAGGTGAAATAGAAAAATTCATAGAAAAATATAAATTGTTAATGTGAGCTAAGAATAAATATAAACCCTGAATAGATTATTAAAGAATTTAAACCACTGGTTAAAAAAGAAAGCACCAGGTCTGGATATTTTACCAGGACAGTTCGCCCCAAAATTTAAGAACTAGGTAACTCCAGTTTTATGTACTTGAATAAATGTTAACATCTCCAATTCATTTTATGAGGTTACTATAACTTGACACTAAAAACTAGGATCAAAAAAGAAAAGAAAAAAACAGGACAATAAAAGAGAAGAAAATTACAGGTCAATCTCACTCAAATATAAAAGCAGAAATCCTAAACTAAATATTAGCAAGCTAAATTTGGCAATATAGAAAACAAAATCATGATATCATACAAAGTTGGCTCAGCATTAAAAGTCAATTTGTAATATTTACAACATTAATAAATTAAAAAGAGCAATGCATGTAACAATTATACAAGGTACAGGAAAAGCAACCAGTATTTATAATAAAAATTTTTAGAAAATTAGAAATATGTCTACAAAAAGTCTACAACAAATGTTCTCAGTAGTAAGTGAAACATTAACAGTGTTAGCTTTATAATAAGGAGCACCAGAAGATACCTACCAGCAGCAGTATTCAACACTCTACTGGAGGAGTTCCAGCCCAAAGAATAAAACAGGAAAAAAATATACAGGTGAAAAAATTGGAGATGAAGAAAAGTCCCTTTTTTGGTACATGGTATGATTGTATATGCAGAAAAATCTAAAATAAATATACATACAAATTACTCAAATTAAAACAAAGCTATAGCAAGCAAAACAGAATAGCACTGGCGTAAAAATGGGCCCTAGACCAACAGAACAAAATAGAGAGCCCAGAAATAAACTCATGTGTATATGGCCAAATATTCTTTGACAAGAGCACCAAAAATGCAAAATGGGGAAAGAATAGTCTCTTCAATAAATGGTTCTGGGTAAACTGGATATCCAAATGCAAAAGAATGAACTTGGATCTTTATCTTATACCATACACAAAAATTAAAATATATTAAAGTCTTAAATGTGAGACCTGAAACCATAAAACTTCTAGTAGAAGAAGTTGGGAAATGGCTCCTTGACATTGGTCCTGACAATGATTTTTTTGGATGTGACCCCAAAAGACAGGTAACAAAAGCAACTATATCAAACTAAAAACTTCTGTGCAGCAAAGGAAACAATCAACAAAATGAAAAGGTAACCTATAGAATGGAATAAATATTTTCAAGCCCATATATCTAATAAGGGATTAATATCCAAAATATATAAGGAACTCATACAACTCAATAGCAAAGAAAAAAAAGGAAAAGGAAGAAAGAAAACAACTAAATTAAATACCCCAATTAAAAATGGGGAAGGACCTAAGTAGATATTTTCCCAAAGAAAACATATAATTGTAAACAGGTATATGGAAAGGTGCTTAACGTTATTTACCATCAGGAAATGCACGTTATGACCACAGTGAGATGTCATCTCATACCTGTTAGAATGGCTGTTATAAAAAGAGATAATAAGTATTGGTGAAGGTGTGGAGAAAAGGGAACCCTTGCATGCTTTTGATGGGAGTGTAAATTAGTACAGCCATTATGGAAAACAGTATGGAGATTCTTCAGAAAAGTAGAAACAGAACTACCATATGATCCAGCAGTCTCACGTCTGGGTATATATACAAAGGAAATGAAACTAGCATCTTTAAAAATGTGCTGTATGTATACAATGGAACATTACTCAGCCATAAAAAAAGAAGGAAATCCTACTATTTGTGTCAGCACTGATGAACCTGGAGTGCATTATGCTACATGAAGTAAGCCAGACATAGACAAATACTGTGTGATCTCACTTGTATGTAGAATCTAAAAAAGCCTAATTCATAAAAGCAGAGAGTAGAATGATGATTGCCAGAGGCAGGGGTAGGGACAGAGTCTGGCTAGGGGAAGGGGTCAATGAGGGAAGGAAGGGGAGATTTGGTCAAAGGACACAAACTATCAGTTATAAGGTGAATAAGTTCTGGGGAATCTAATGTACACTGTGGTGACTGTAGTTAATAATCATTGCATACTTGAAATTTGGTAAGAGAGATCTTTAAATGTTCTCACTGCAAGAAAAAGAGAGATAACTATATGAGGTGATAGTTGTATTAATTAGCCTGATTGTGGTAATCATTTCACAATAGATACATATATCAAATCATCATGTTCTATACCTTAAATGTATACAACTTTTATTTATCAATTATACCCCAATAAAGGTGGGGAAAAAAGATTTAATAGGCATTTCAGCTGACAACATATAGAAGTCAGTTACAACAGCAGGCAGTTTAAAAATGTAGTTTTTAGGAGATAACATTTACATGACAACACTAAAAAAACTTTATTGGAAGGTATTAAATAAGTTATTAAAAATAATTAGGAGATTTACCATGTCAAATGTATGGGAAGTGTCATTATCATAAAGATGTTTATTTTCTCCAAATTGATCTATAAATTCAAGGTCTTTCTGATCCAACCCTGAAAGGGCTTTTCATGCAACTGGACAAGCTAATAAAAGGATAAAAGGCCAAGAATAACTTCAAGTACTCCTGATGAAGAAGAAAAATAATGTTGGGAGTCAGGAAAGGAAATTGCCCTACTAGATTAAGATTTATTATAAATAAAGCTCAGGTAATTAACATAGTGTTAACTGACTGATGATAAGCTAGTGGAATAAAGTGAGTCAGAAAGAGAGGTCTGTGTATGACAGACCTGGCAACCAGGGATCAGTGGGGATCTTCTGTTGAATACTCAATTTATTATTCATTTGGGAAAGAATAAAAACGGATTTCTAAATGGTATCATACACAAAGTCAATGTTCATAGTACTGAGGTTTTTAAAAATCACGTTATAAAACAACATTCATCATATGATTTCGTTTTTGTAGAAAGAAATAAGAGTATATGTGATTATATATTTTGAGAAAAGACCTAGAAGATATCAAAAGTCGAAAGTGACAAAGGGTCTCTGGGTGGTCGGATTGTTGAAGATTCATTTCTCTTTACACCTTTTTTTGTCTAGATTTTTAAAAATACATTGAGTCTATGTTACTTTTAATTAGGAAAAAAATTTTTTTTACTTTGAATTTTTTTTAACTATTCTTTTAGATTAAATTTAGCATTATTTTTCGCAGCTTCCAAACTGCCTCCTCCCCTTACACACATAAAAAATAACAGTTTCATTGTGATATTTGACTGGAATTGTCTGGTACACAATAGGCACTCGGTACATATTTGTTAAACAAATAAATATGGGAACAATTCACATCTTTATGATGGTTAGCCCTTCCAGTTGAGAACATGGTATATTAATCTTTTTAAGACCTTTTCCTAATTAATTATGAAAACTTTGTAATTTTTTAATGCAGATCCCACACATTTATACAATTAATGATTTCTAAAATTATATCATCTTTTCATTTTCCCCCATATTGAGTCAAACCCTTGAGTATCATTTTATTTTATTTTATTTATGTATGTATTTATTTATTTTTTTAATTTTATTTTTAGAGACAGAGTCTTGCTCTGTCACCCAGGCTGGAGTGCAGTGGCGCGATCTCGGCTCACTGCAACCTCTGCCTCCCGGGTTCTAGCAATTCTCCTGCCTCAGCCTCCGGAGTAGCTGGGATTACAGGCGCACACTGCCACACCCGGCTAATTTTTTGTATTTTAGTAGAGATGGGGTTTCGCTGTGTTGCTCAGGCTGGTCTCAAACTCTTGAGCTTAGGCATTCCACTCGCCTCAGCCTCTCAAAGTGCTAGAATTACAGGCATGAGCCACCGCACCCGGCTGAGTATCTTTAATGTCAGACCTAAGAGTCAGAAAGATGATTTTAACGTAGAAAAACATGCCCTGTTTAGTAAGGTTAAGGACCTGGGTTTATTTAGCTTAGAATAAATGACTAAATTGAAACTGAATACCTATCTTCAAGCATTTGGTAGTGGCCAGCTTTCCTTTAGCTCTGCCGAAGACACACAAAAAAGAAATTCAACTGAAGTGTGAAGAATTTAAGTTAGAGATTGCAAACTGACAATATAAAGCTACGTTGGCTCTCAGAGACATATTATTTGGACCACACAATATATTTTAAAAGTTTGAATTGTTTGCAAAGTTAAAATTTGAAGAGATTTCACATAAAAACTTGGATTTCCAGCTTTTCTGGTACCCCTGTGCCCTAGTTTCCGATGAGTTTGAAAATCACTGCTGTCCCCTTTAAACAAGCCCTGAGCTCTCTCCAGTTTTCCAGTCAGAACCCAACCCTTTTCCTGTTACCTGTCTTACCCCTCAGGCATTAAGTTTGCAATCTCAGTTCATATAAAGGACAGATAAAGTGGCACATAGGTAGGTATAGCATCTTCTCACTCAGCATTTTGGTGTTGTTTTTAAAAGATGGTTTTAATGTGGTCCTGGCTGACAAACAGGAAATGAACTAGGAGACTTCCAAGGTTGTTTCTTGTCCTTTGGGTCCATGGTCCTGTTAGAATAGTCCAGTGGTTCATGAACTCTCTTTCTCATTGCACATGATCTAGAATCTCAGAGTTGAAATGGATTCCCTGCAAGACAGGGAGGCCACAGAGGATATGCTTCATCTGGTGTTCCTCTGTATGCACAGGAAATTTGAAATCCATTGCAGAGGGGCCTGCTTGAACAGCTAATAGTTCAAACAAGCAGCTACCTCATTTAGAAGGCTTATTAAACATCTCTGTTTCTTTTGTGTATAGTTATTTAAAGATGAGTGAAGGGTTTTAAAGAGAACTTTGAGTTTTATAAGTACACAGTATTATATTATTCTTATCATTATGCATGGCCTGGCAGAGTTATGATTGTGGGAACCATAGTTTTGAATATCATTTCATCTATGCTTGCGTGTTATCCAAACACAGTTTTCATATTTAATGTTAAGGGCCTTTTTTTAAATAAACAAAAAAGTGGGAAAGCAACATGGGGAAGAAATCTGAAGTGATCATTTCTCAATTTGTTTTATTCTAATTTTTGTCTGCTCTGAAAAGCCTTCTTATTCCATGTGAACAATCTCTGATGGGTCCCACAGAAAATGAAATTTGTGGCACATGTGCCCTCTGGCATTACCTACAAAGTCAAAAGGGTGACAGGCAGAAAATGGGTGTTTTTTTCTAAATAAATTTGGCTCCGAAGAATTATTTTATAAATAATGATTTTATTCATGAAACATTTCATGCTCCATTTGTTTTGGCATCAAATAGACATAGCTTTATTGTGACTCAGAGTCTAGTACTGTCCTTATTTAGGGACATGAAATGTTATCTCAAGGGAACCTTTTTGGAATCTCTAAATGTCTTGGGTAATAAGTGAAATTTTTAGCCTAGGATCAAATATTCCACTTACCCACCAAATTTGTTTCCCAGTTGTGGTCTTAGACTAGGATCCCGTATGTATATTCCTAAACTTGGGACAGGACTCTTGGTTTTCAGTTCCCACAGAACAACCCCTTTCTCCAACCCCCCCCCATCACCAGCAATAGAGGAGGTCACACTTGGACCCATAACATGTTTCCAAAGGCCCCATCAAGGCTTTTTCATAGGCCCCATCTCATACTTAGTCTCTTTTCATGTTTGAAGTGACAGCATCAAACTCATGATTTCCCTACCCTTTCTACCCTAGGCCTTTTGATAAGGACAAGGTGCAACTTTCTGAGTGACACAGTTTGGGATGTAATGAGTTACAACTTCATTTTTCCTTAATGAAATAGCTTGAAAGCACACGTATTCTTCATCTTTTTTTTTTTTTTTTTTTTTTTTTTTTTTGAGATGGAGTCTCACTCTGTTGCCCAGGCCGGAGTGCAGTGCCATGATCTCGGCTCACTGCAACCTCTGCCTCCTGGGTTCAAACGATTCTCTTGCCTCAGCCTCCCAAGTAACTGGGACTACAGGTGCGTGCCACCACGCCTGGCTAATTTTTTTATTTTAGTAGAGACAGGGTTTCACCATGTGAGCCAGGATGGTCTCGATCTCCTGACCTCGTGATCTGCCCACCTTGGCCTCCCAAAGTGCTGGGATTACAGGCGTGAGCCACTGTGCCTAGCCTCTTCATCTTTTAAGTATATTATATGTTCCTAGTCTAGTCTAATACCCAAGATACTGTCAGTACTCAGTTGGTATCAGCCTCTTTCTTCCTGTTCTCTTATTAAATCACAACCAAGCTTGAGAACTGACTCATGACTTCAGACTGGAAACAGTCACATGTCTGAACTGGCGTGCAATGCAGAGCTGCTTCCGGGTTAGCACATAGTAATCTGATTATGACAAAGTGCCCTTTCTTAAAGCAAATATCAGACCACTATCCAACCTACCTAAGTAAGCTTATCTTCACCAAAATTTTAACTATCTACAAATCCATAATTTTATTTCTTTGAAATTATCATTAGGACCAAATTTTCAGGTCATCTGTATGCCAGTCTTTGAATTGTCATTATAGCTTTAGTTTGAACCTGTAATTTCCTACAGCAGTTAAAGGAGAAGTCAAAATTAATAAATGGCTGGCATTTTAAAAGAGCATACAGGTTGAAATTTTGTGTTTAGGCAACTGAGGTTAAAAAAAAAAGCTTAGCTGGGTGCAGTGGCTCACACCTGTAATCTCAGCATTTTGGGAGGTCCAGGCAGCAGGATCGCTTGAGCCCAGGAGTTCAAGACTAACCTTGGCAACATAGGGGGACCATGTCTCTAAAAATAATTTTAAAACTTAGATGAGTGTGGTAGCATGCACCTGTGGTCCCAGCTACTCAGGAGGTTGAAGTGAGAGAATCATCTGAGCCCAGGAGGTTGAGGCTGCAGTGAATTGTGATTGTGCCACTGCACTCCAGCCTGGGCAACACAGCAAGACCCTGTCAAAAAAAAAATTCAAATGTAGAATGGGGTTGTTCTATAACACAACTAGCCTGATCTCTTTAAAAGTTCAGAGTTCTTTTTTTAAAAGGTAAAGGGAGATTATTTTAGATTAAAAGAGATATAAGCAAATACATCTCTTAAAATCCATGATCTTTGGTTGGATCCGATTCAAAGGAAAATCAGATCAGTGATACACATTTTGGGACAATGGAGAAATTTGAATATAGGCTGATTATTTGATCGGTAATGTCATACTCAGTTGTAATAATAGTGTCGTGGTGATGAAGGAGAATTTCCTTATTGCTCAAGAGCTGTGCTCACATGTTTAGGAGTAAGGTTTCATGATGTCCACTTCGAAGCAGTTTAGAAAATATGTGTATGAAATACGGCAAAATATTAACTGTTATTGAATCTAGATGGTGGGTTTTGGGATGTTCATGACATTATTTTTCTACTTTTCTGAATGTTTGAAATGTTTCAGACTGTGTGAGTGATGATAATAATGGAGTCATCTCAGGGAGAGAAGTACTGAGGGGCATCGTAGGTCTTCCTGAGCCTGCCTTGTAGTTTGGGAGAAGGCTTTGCTGGAAGAGAGCCACACAGGTGGTGGGTGGGGTCCACAATGAAGTGGAATTCACCTGCCCGGAGGTCCTGATGGCTCACCAAGCCACACAGAGGCATTTTCCCAGGCTCGTCCATGAATGGTCTCGTAATAGCTGTGGGAGAGGACTTCCCACTGTTACGCACCAGACCACAGACTCCCGTTGGCAGCTGTGGGGAAGCTCAAGTCGCCTTAGCTATGAATCCCCTGGAAAACAAGTGAGGCTGGATAGTTTTACAGTAAAATCTCTCATTGAATATTTGCTCTCAGTGTCTTGGGACTGTGAACTGTGACAACCCAAATAAATGACCACTCCCTTAAAACCATTACTCATTGGAACATGGTACTACTTGAAACTAATCTACTGCCTTGCTAAGCCAGGATGGAATTTGTTCAATTCATATTTGAGTTTTTTTGTCGTAATTTTTGCCTTTCTGTTTATGAAGACTGCAAATTTCTAGTAGAGCCATTTTGGAGCAGCTTATTTTAGACAGAATATGAAATAAAATAGTAGGAGGACTGTGGTTTGTCCTTTCTTTCTCTCATATGCATTACTGACCACCTCTCCATTTTTTTTAAAGAGACTCAATAGTTTTTGATGAACAACTTAGGTAAGCCAGAAGAAAGTTAGTGTGGTAACAAGTAATCATTTGAGGCTTCATGCTTTGGAGGTTGTTTGTAGAAGGATAAGGAGAAGTGCAACAGCTTTTTACGACATACAGAGAGCAAATGGTGGCACAAGAACTGGAGATTTTTTGGGCTGCTTGGAGGCCAGGGGAGAAGATGGGATCTTGCTGATACTAGATGATTGTGTTACATTAAGCAATTCAAAAATATCAATTGTTTCTGGAAATGCACATACCTGCAGACGCCTGGTGGTAAGATGTTTCTATTGCAAAGCTTTTTCTCCCTCTAATCCAAATCCCTTCTTGTGTCTAAAGACAGTCTTCTCAGATTTAGGAGCACCACAGTCGCCAGCAAGGAAACAGGCATACTGAAATGTGATTTGCAAGTGCCTCATAATATTAATACCATCATCCAGTAGTTTTCAGATGAAAAGATGATCACTTTATGATTTCCATTTGCTCTGCTGACTCAGGTTTTCTGCATTTAAAACACCAGCATAGCGAGCTGGGAGCTGGTGCCCCAAGTAGGAAAAGCAAAAGGACTTTTGGATCCTTTGCCAAATTGCTGTTTAGCTTTAGAGAGTAGTGGAGCTTTGCTTTAGCCCTGGGTAAGTACAAAATCTCAGTGGCCTCCTGAACTCTGTGAAGTTGATTTCATTAAAAGCAAAGATAAGAATGTAGTCTTTATCATTGCCTTTTGTCTATGAATAAATGAAATACATCTTTCTAAGCATTTCAGTGCAGTATGTTTCAAGCAGCAATAATTTTCTCTGTTTATAGATCAAATTTAGTTTGCCATAAGAACTGGCATAGTACCTTTTGTGTTTAATCTCTCCTCAAGTTTCTCTTTAAACAAAGTTTCATATGACCAGTCGAATTTGGATTAAGCAGGTGCAAATCTTTTTTACATGTTAAACTTGCTATTTCTCTTGTAGGTGCCATTTGGGCAGGTTTTCCATTGAAACCACTAATAACAAGATGCTATTTAGAAATGATTCCTTTTAACTTAATTCTGTCCTGGGGTGGGAGGTGTAGGGGTCAAGGTTTCAATAAACTCATTTCTCCTACTAATTTCAGTAACAAATCACTTGAAATCTGCCTTATACTGCTTTCTTTTTCTATAGGGGAAGGTGTCATATTGAGACTTGATTGTTCAGCAGTCCAGATAGGATTTAGCTGTCACTCAAGTAGTATCTTCAGATACCAGGCTTCCTGGACTCAAAACTGTAGCTTTCATGGTCAACTTCAGATTTTGCCCCTTCCTGATAATAACGTTTTTTTTTAAGATGGGGTCTTGCTTTGTCGCCCAGCCTGGAGTACAGTGGTGATCATAGCTCACTGCAGCCTTGAAGCCCTGAGCTCAAGCAATCCTCCTGCCTCAGCCACCTGAGCAGCTGGGACTACAGGCGTGTACCACCATGCCCAGCTAATGTTTTTTTGTATTTTTTTTAAGGAGACGGGGTCTCAGTATGTTTCCCAGGCTGGTCTCGAGCTCCTGGCCTCAAGCAATCCTCCCACTTTGGCCCCTCAAAGTACTGAGGTTACAGGCATGAGCACCACACTGGGCCTGATAATAACATTTTATTGCTAAAGATTTTGCATAGGAAGAAGATTTTTGAAATTTCGAACATGCCTCCTGAATCTTAATCACTTAGAGCTATATATCAGCAAAGGTAGAATAACAGATATTATACTTTTTTTTTCTCAGTTCTTTGGAAGACTTGCATTATAAATTAATACTTGAAAAATACTTTTAAATTTTGCTGTATGTGTTTGTGAGTCACCAATTGTTAAGGATTCCACTTCTTCCCTCAGCAGTTGGACAAATAAACAGATGTAGAAATGACTTCCATTCTCTCAGTGACCTAAGAAATAACGTATTTGTTTTAAAGCACTCAGAGTAATGTCAGTGGTGTGTATATTTTGTTTGACATTTTAAGCAGAAGAAAGCCACATGACTGAAATGCAATCTATTTTCAAGTGTGTTAGGAAAAAATTATTTTATCTCAGCAAATCCGGAGATTATCCTTTCATAGATGTCACTGTTCTTGCACAATCTGCATGACTAAAGCAATTGTTCTGTCAGAGCCATCGCTTGTTTAGACAGCATCAAGTCTGTGGTCACTCATGTCCTGGGTCTTTCTACAGGAGTGTCGGAAGGATACTGAATATGAAAGTGGAAACTTCTTTAATTGTATTCTTTATATAAGTTATTTCAGACCAACCATAGTCATGGACTTTGGAGAATCTGATGGTCCTAGAGATTACTTCCTGCAACTCTTGGCCACTCCAGTTTGACAGAGGGGGACCCTCACCCCACTCTGGTGGAGCTTTTGCTTCTGATTCTTCTACCAAATAACTTGACTGCTGACTGCGATAACCAGGAACGGTTTTACTGTGATTTCAGGAAAATCATCAACAAAGTAGTTTATACCTGGAGGGAAGCCAGAAGAGAAGAGAAAGGGAGAGAGGAAGGAATTAAGCTGGCACTTTCTGTGAATCATCTGAAAATCTGTTGCCACCCTATGAGACGAATGATAGTGTCTCCATTTTCACAGATGGCATTTACTCTTCTGGATCAGGCTTCTTTCATGTAACATTATGTTTGTGAGATGTATTTCTGTTACTACCTATAACTGTAGCTCATTCATTTTTAGAGGCACTATAGTATTTCAGTGTGTGACTATATCCCCATTAAAAAATTTACTGTTGATGGATATTTGCATTGGTTCCAGGTTGAGACTATTGTGAAGAGTGCTATTGTGAACACTGTATGTTCATGCCTAAGTTCAGCTTTAGATACTCAAGCATTTTTTTCAAAGTGGCTGTACCAATTTGTACTCCTGCCAGCAGCGTATGAGAATTCCAGTTGTCCTGCATTCTTGCCAACACTTTATGCTCTGTCTCTTTCACTTAGGCCACTCTGGTGAGTTGGAGAAATTATTTTTTTACTCATGTCATATTTCTTTTAATCTCATTCTATATGAAGATTTTGACATACTTGAATTAATTTATTTACAGGCAAAATACATCCATGTTCAAATAGGTATGAACTGCTTCTTTTTATGAGCTAATAAGCAGTGAGTATGAGAAGGTGGCTAAGATCTATTCGCAAGCTCCGACTGAATTATCCCATCTGAAAGTACGTTAGACCTCATTTATTTCGTTTTACAGTTGAAGTAACTGAGGGACTTCAGGGACTAGGGACTATGCCAGCGTCATAGTCAGGCCTCCTGGAAGAGGCAAGATAGTAATGTTCACCCTTGCCTCTCAAGAGAAGCCCTCTGTTAATTCCTTTATTCTTTCATTTACTAATTATTATTATTTTAGATAGAGTCTCGCTCTGTCACTCAGGCTGGCGTGCAGTGATCTTAGCTCACTACAACCTCCACTTCCCAGGTTCAAGTGATTCTTCTGCCTCAGCCTCCTGAGTAGCTGGGATTACAGGTGCCCGCCACCTCACCCGGCTAGTTTTTGTATTTTTAATAGAGACAGGGTTTCACCATGTTGGCCAGGCTGGTCTCGAACTCCTGACCTCAAGTGATCCGCCTGCCTCGGCCTCCCGAATTGTTGGGATTACAGGCGTGAGTCATCACACTCAGCTTCATTTGCTAAATAACTATTGAATGTGTCTTTTATGGCAGGCACTGGGCTGAACTCCAGAGATTTAGCGGCAAACAAACTTAACTTAGTGATGTTCCCTTTCACTTTCCAGGTTATGGCTTTCAAATCACAGCCTATTTCCTCAAGAGAGGGATACGCCTTCGCTGCATCAGGAGCACACAGAATGCTGGTAAGAAGCCGATTTCTTGGTTTGTCAGACATTTCACACAATCTGCTTGCCCTAGATAGAGAAGGGATGAAAATTAAGGAGTGGAGAGTCCCACTTGCTTCATTGCCTTCATGTCTTGAGTGTGTCCGAAAGTTTGCGATTTCTTTCCTCCCACCTTGTACTGTGTTTACTGCCTCTCTAAGAACAGTGAGCTGGGCCACATCATGCTTTCCTTTCCTGATGCATCTCAGCACTTTCTTTGAGTTTTCAGAGTGACTCAACACAGTTGAACTATGAATCACTTCAGTATTGTCTGTGCACACCAAAGCCCTGGCATATGGAGCAGGTGTGTACACAAGAAAGCTCTTTCCCAGCCCTGAGCTCTCAGAGCTTTCCCTAGGTGTGTGATGAGGCCACTTTCCCCCATCACTTCCCCAAGTCTAGATGTCCACTAAGGATATGATTTCAAACTTGTCCAGCCAGCAACAGTAAAGTCAGAAGCTAATGATCATTCTCCAGGTTGATCTGAGCACTGGAAAGAAAATTTAGTTCACCTTCCATGGACAATTTCAGTATATATATAAGATATGATATAGGAACTTTAAAAAATTAACATATAGAGGCTTGCTGTGGAATCTTCATGATTATCTGCATTTTCTTAACTGTAAACTCTGCTCGAATATGTTATTCTCTTTTTTGCTGTTATTTGTTTGTTTTTGAGACAAGTTCTCACTCTGTCACTCAGGCTGGAGTACAGTGGTGCAATCATGGCTCACTGCAGCCTCCTAAGTAGCTGGGACCACAGGTGTGTGCCACCATGCCTGGCTTTTTTTTTTTTTGTAATTTTTGGTAGAGAAGGGGTCTCACTATGTTGCAGCTGGTCTCAAACTCCTGGGGTCAAGCTGTACTCCCGCCTTGGCCTCCTAAGGTGCTGGGATTACAGGCATGAGCCAGCATGCCCAGCCTTAGATATACTGCTTTCTTAACAGGTCCTTCCACTTTGTTCAACTCTCTAGTAAAATAAGTCAGCTAACCTTGCACTTGTGCCCTTTATGGTAAGGACTATCATTGCCTAAATATTTAATTAAATATTAAAATAGTACAACTCTCAATAATGACCTAAACAGAGCAAAAGGGTACAGAAGTTGCTTTCTGTTAATACCTGGCAGCACCAAAATGTTTAAAATCTGCCATTCGAACATTGTTACTTTTCAGAGGAACAAATGCAAATACCGAGGAATTATTTGATAGAACTGATAATTTTGAATTCCAGTTCTGATCCACTAATGAACTGTTGTATTTCAATTTTATGATTTTTTTAGGGGGGGGAGGTGGAAAAATAATGAATTCTGTGGCTCAGTTTCCCTCCCATAAAATGATAAAAAGGCTATATACCATTTATCGCAATAAGATCTTTTAAGAACTAATGAATAAATATTAATTGCTTTGCTAATTTTGTTCTTCTGGCTTTTCAAAATCCACCTCTAGTCACCTAGCCAGATATCATATGCCCACATGGGGTCAAAGTTGAAAAAAACCCAGGCCCCCACCTGAAATGGGGGCTTTCCTCATGAGGAAGGCTAATTGGGAGTGAGACCAGAACAACAGGTTAATCCCTAATCATGGAGGGCTTTGAATATTGGGCACTGGGGAGCCATGGTAGGTTTTTGAGCAGGATGAGTGGAGCTCTTTTTTTAGAACTGTTAACCTGCTGTTCTGAATAGGATAACTTGGAATAGGGAGAGTGACTGCCAAGGAGACAGCAGTGGTTGATGGGATAAGGAGAGAGCTGTTACTGGAACAACAACTCATTGGGCCTCTTGGGATCATTTAAGCTAGTCTAGTAGTGTAAGGTGTTAACTTGTTTAAATTCTGTGTCCATGTAATTGACACCTTCTTGCTTGGCTTCCAAGCGGTGCATCAAATTGAGATACCTTATTACCTCAGTCATTGCCATCATGTGCAGTGTACCTAAAAGGCTTTACTCACCTGATTCATAATATCCATCTTTAAAAAGAAATTGGTCTCATGTAAGAGGGAAGCTTTCTCTGTTAGAAAAATGACTTAATTTCTATCACAAATATCAGACATGTATATCATAAAAATATTCAAGCAGTACAACCAAGTAGGAAAAAGGGAGAAGAGCCCCCTCCCCACCCGCCTGGAACATACCCTGTTGGCATCAGCTTAGCATCACTCCAGACATCATGCCTGGGTAGCTGGAGGCTGGCGAACAAATGGATGGATGGACAGACAGATGAGAAAAGGAAAGATCCAGATGTCATTACCATCTTGCCTTCCTTTCATTGAATGCCGAGGAGTCCAGTTCAGTGATTTATTCAGTCTTTCCCAATGAGAAGTCAATGGTTTTGTTTTAAGAAGCAGCAATAATAGATTACTATGAGTATGGTGTAATTTTACCATCTTTATTGTATATTTAACCATTTTCTTAATAGTTGGATCATTAATTCCTAAGAAAAGCTGCTGTTTTCCCAGCCTGCTTCAGATTAGTAGTTTGCCCTCCAGGGTCGGGGAGCTCTCTAAGACTAGCTAACCAAGGAGATGATAAGTAAAGTAACTAGGAAAAACATTGATAGGTCACATTTTTAGATTTTATCTAATATTCTTCCTCTTCCTCTAAAGTGTTACATGCTCATTTTGAAAACATTGATCCTATTTTCTAAATAGGAGTTCTAATCAGAAAACAGCTGACTGACACAGAGGGGAGGCTACAGAGGTTCTGCCTGGGGGTTTCCTGTAATGTAATGGTCCCGGGGCGCAGGTGGACCAATTTGCAGCCTCATCAGCTCTCCCTAGAGCTTTGCGCTCACCCTGCCCTATTGACGGCAAACACCGAAAGGATGGGAGGAGAGAAGAGACGTATGTTTTATATGGATGTGCATATTGCAGTAACTTAAAATGAACAAAAATCTGGAACAACCATTCTGTGTTTATAGTTTTTTGACACCTTTAAACTTGTTTTTCTTCATTTTATACAGAACTCTGTGTATTCCCTGACAGATTTGTGGTTTGTGTCAGTCAGCTTGCATTCAGTCGTGATCTTTTAGCAAGTCAGAATGAAGATTTGGTGAGTATGAAAAAATTCTATAAACAAATAAGTCTGCTTAAATGCTGAGTTACTGTAAAAAATAGAAAACAAGAATTGTCTGCTGTTGTCATTCAGCTGATGAGCACCCAACGCATGTTTTAAGGGAACAAGAAGCCCTACCTGTTTTACGTGGTAATATCAACTAATTCGTGTATTGTTCTTCTTTTCCTCAAGACCATTTTAATCAGCAGTACCTTTTCCATATCAACTGTAAATGAGAAAGCAACACATCACAAAAGCTGTGATGGTGCTTATGATAGTGTTTAAATGAAATAAAGAAAAGTCTTTAAGTGAAATGAAGCAAAATCCACATGTTTCCACTGGAGGCTTTCATTGGGGTCAGTGGCTTTTAAATTTTATTCCATGGTGAATCACCGACATTTTCATGAGAACCAGTACTTTTCCCCAGTGTATTATTTCATAGCTGATAGGGTTCATTTTCTCCCTCTCTCTCTCTCTCTCTCTCTGTCTCTCTGTCTCTCTGTCTCTCTGTCTCCTTCTCTGTCTCCCTTTTCTCATGCTAAGTCTTGAGTTCCAGCAGGGCCTGCTTCTGTTTTATTGGAGTTGTCTCTTCAGACAAATAGATAAAACTGACTCAGAATTGCAGCTGACTGCTTTGTCTTTTAAGCTGAACATGTACACTTGAGAATCTCCTTGTTGCACGTGTGTGTGTTTCCTGCAGCCACAGTCCAGTCTGCCTGACTTCTACACAGACTTTTTTTCATATTTTTGGACGTATGACTTGAATCTTTAAGAAACAGGGACATATGACTTGAATCTTTAACAAACAGAAAAAAAATCCAACAGACATTAACCGGGCCATGAAGTGTGACATGATTATTATGCTTCTAAAATAATTTATGGGAATATTAGATTACCCTTGATGTTTATTATTTTTTAATCCGTATGAAATCTGAAATTTGGCCCACATCATCTAAAACCAGCTTCTTATCTCATCTTAAATAAATACATAAGAAGAGTGTTTCAGAGGCTACAAGGGTGAATAGAGACCCAGGAAAAGTAAAGAGCAGAGAACTTATATTTAAATTTAGATGTCTGCGTTTGGTGCAGAGGAACCCTTTGCAACAGCCAGTGTGGTTCATATTTCCTCTTCTTCATCCATCAGTCAAACTCTTAAGAATACACATTAAATGAATGAGGCAAATTTGGTGAAAAGTATTAAGTTTGTCCTTTGAAATATTTCCAGGATGTTGAGTTATCTTCGTAAACTAATAAATACTAAAGTGGCAATGCCATTGGCATACATCTAAAATATAATATAGCTTAACTGATTCAGAGCAAGGAAGAAATTGATCTATGGGTTTAAGAAAACAACAATTAACTGTTCCAGAAAGTATTATTACTTTCAAATGAAATACAGGAGAAATTAGATCTTCTATCTGATATGTAATATTAATACTTAGTATCTTAAATTATTAAGGAGGGATTAAAACATCTCAATACAAATGAAATATTATCCCCCTTAGGGGCCTTGGTATTTATACAGATGTAAGTTTTCTATACCGGCTGTCATATAAATCCTATAATCTGGAGGACTTCCTAAACATTGAGAATTTTCATTCTGAAACTCTCACCGGTCTAAGCCTTTTACATGAGTGAGTTCAGTTTCTTTATCTTTAAGATGTTCTGATAACCAGTGATAACATGACCAGAGTTAACCAC
Source organism: Homo sapiens (assembly GCF_000001405.40). Taxonomy (NCBI): domain Eukaryota; kingdom Metazoa; phylum Chordata; class Mammalia; order Primates; family Hominidae; genus Homo; species Homo sapiens. The sequence continues at coordinate 10,603,524 of NC_000020.11, forward strand.
ATTAACTTATGAGGAAAATGCCATTTCCATCATGAGGCTCGTTCCTTGTTTTGAGTGATTGTCTTTAGTTGTGGTCAGTTTCTGTCTCTTCAGTTGCTCATTTACTCCACCTCTGTCTCTTCACATATACATTTTCCCAGCCACATATGTCAGCTAAAGCCTGGCACTACTCAACAGTTTCATCTCGGGGCTCAAGCTCTGTGCGTCCCTCTGCCTAGCCTGCTCACCTCTGCCACCTCCCCTCCTCACAGGCCTCCAGCCCACTACTTCCTCAGGCCTGTTGTTACTAGAAGCAATAAAAGACCCAGGTCAAGTAAAGGTCCCTCTCCCACAAATGACCCATCAAGCCAACTACACCATCCTTCCACCAGAAGTGTCTTGTAGTTTAATTCTCATTGATATTTGACCTCTACAGAGTCTGCCTGTCTCAGCTATTTAAGGATCAATAAACAGCCCTTCCCTTCCAGAACTGCCTTCTGCCTGAGAGAAGGCATTCTTATCACTTGTTCCATACTTCAAATGCCCACAGCCAGTGATGTCAGGCTCCTGTGAGTATTCCCTGGACTTGCTTCAAGCTTTGAATTCTTATATCACTTTACATGGATATTCACCAAAGGGCAGGATCCATCTCATTTTCTCTGGATAGCAATTCTCAAGAACATCTGACTGGGCAAGGCTGGGAAAATTGGTACCCGCAGTAGCTATGTTGGAAAGATTTCTTTGGCAATAAACTTCAGTTGTTTTTGTATAACTATTGACTTAACTCACTCTTCTGCAGCCACAGAAGTGACAGAGGAGTGAACTAGTACTTGAGCAACAGCCTGGGTGCCTTACTCGTGCTGTAGCCTTGAGAGCACACATTCCCTTTCCTTCATCTTTTTTTTTGGATTCTCAATGTCTAAGTGACAATTTGTTAGGAAATCTGGGAGCGTCTATTCAAAACTCCTCTGTCAAGGGATTCTTTCAACCTGTAGACAAGGAAGCCAGCTGCACTTAGCTCCCCAGTACTTAAAGGTGGTTGCACAAAAGAACTGCTGTTCCAGATCAGGCAGTACAAAGGGAGTAATCCCCCTCCTTTACGGAGCAGAGCGAATGCAGCCACGCTGCCCCTAAGCACCACAGCGCCAGGGAGGTCTGTCCCTGCTGTCACTGTTGCGTTTCTCTTGTCCACTCAGGGACTTTGGTGCAGGGAGATCCTCTGTGTTGCAATAGCTCTGCACAGAGTGCCCATGTGCTAGGGATGTGGGAATTGTGATGTGTACTTTGGGAAGAAAGGACATTATTATGAAATGAGTCATTGTATTTTTCTTACTAGAGTTTCTCATAAGAAATCTAAAAACTCTTGTAGCCTCAGTTTTTGACCTATTGCTAGATATAGGACTGGGGAGTCTTTTGAGAGTTTTTACCTTTATTTGGTTTGTTTTTTCCTCACCGTTTTTTTCCTTGGAAATATGAAGAACATAAAGTGAATTTTGATTGCGCTCAGCTACATTCCATTCCAACAATATTTTCTTATTTACAAACCCAAAAGCCTATGTAGAAACTGTTTTCTTTCTCAGATGTAAAGTCCTGGAGCCTTTGGGAAATTTAAAATTATTTATTATTTCTTTGTTAAAGTTGTGTAAATAACCATAGAACTCTGTATATATCTGGGACATTTCTGGGTCAGGACAAAGCTACTATTTCATTGTGTGTTAGTTACAGCCACTCCTTCTAGTCTCTGGAGATCAGCCTTCCCATCTGTTTTTACCATCACATTTTAACATAATTTGCTAAGTCCCAGCTCTATACTGGGAACTCTGGTAGGCACCAGGAAAACAAAGAAAAGTAAGAAAGTGTGTTGGCCCTCAAGGAGCTTACAGTTTGGCAGATCAAGGCTGCTGAAGGATATCCTGGTGACCTAAAAATGTCATTCAAATAGGGCCTCCATTTTTCCTAAATATTTTTCCACTCTGCACCTGTATCTTTAAGGGTTCCATTGGATCTCTTCTGCCGTTCCTCAGAAGGAAAGTCCAAAATCCCCCAGCCCTACTTTTTTTACTTTTAAACCGAAGCTCTCAAAGTCTGTGATCCTTTTGGAAATTAAAAAATGATTTGTAGTGCTAGTACTGCCTACAAGTGGACATATACATTAAGATATTTGAGTTATCTGCCTTATACTCTTTATTTGAGTTGTGGTTCAAGTTGTGAAAATAGCTGTTAAGACTCTGCAGACGTAGGCCAGCCATACAAGGCTAGGTCCTCACTGTAGCATCATCTAAGTAGAAGGATTACCGGGACATCCTGACAAGAAACAATATTGAAGCACTAACTCAGCTGCTTCTCTTAAGGCACACTACTGTTTAGTGGTAAAGAAATGTCCTTCTAGTTTTTGAATACAAAATTGAAGTGAAAATGAGTTTAGACTCATTTTCACTTCAAATAAACTATTGAAGGCTGAGTTATTTTTAGCTTGGCTGTTATAGTCCTCAGCTGTGCATAATCCAGCCCTTTGTGGGCCATAGCCCTCCTCTCATTCAAGGGGGAGGGTATCAAATTATCTCAAAAATCTTTTCTCACATGGGATTTCTATTGGAGGAAGCAAATAAAACTGTAGCTAAATAAAAACTACAAAATAATTTTGCACAAAGAAGAAATTTTCTTGCAGATTAAAAAATTATGATTAGAAAAACTTCCAGGGTAGTTATATTTGATCTTAAGAAAGATGTAAATAGAAATTATAAGCTAACATTATAGGCCTTATGTTTTTAGAACAGAAGAAATAAGCTAATTAACATTTGACTGTGCACTGATGTTTGTACCCTCATGACAGAATCCTTTAACTTTTGCATAAGTATAAATCAGATCATTCAAGAAAAGAATTCTCTATTTTTGTGTTTAGAAAATGAAATAAGTAGTGGATGACTTTTCCAGATTTTTCATGATCTATCATAGAGTTAAAAAAATTTATTTTTCTTATTTCTAAACAACGCTAGTGGTGAATTGCGTGGAAGATATTAACAAGAGATTCCTGTAGCACTAGGGAAAGTTCCTTGAGTAGAGAGAGGCTGTTTTCATATTTCACATTTTCCACAATGTTATGAACTTAGATTTTACCTAATAACTGATGACCAATATTGTACATATTCATTGTACAAAAAAGCTTTTAATCCAAATATATATAAAGAAAATAAAAACTAGCCACAACCCTGAACACAAAGTCTCTGCTAGTGATCTGGATGGTATCTCTTCATACATCATACTTAATAAACTGAGGTCCGTGTGTATGTATTTTAACTAGGACCCTATTTGTCAGTTATGTGTTTCTGTCCATTTTTTTTACTGATGATTTTGTATTTGACAAACTCTGCTACATGAAGACTTCTTATCTAGTAAGGAAAGTAACTCTCAGTGAGTTTATTATTTTCCTTTCACTTGTATGTCAGTGCTGTATGGTAGGATGCATTGTTTTTCCTCAGAATTGTGTTTTCTGTAATGATCTCTGCTTTCGATGATGTTGGTGTTATGTTTTTCAAATTAGATAAACACTTGTATTTTCTTCTGATACTTTTATGGAATGTATTTTAGTTTATGATATGAGGTCCTTTTTATTCCGTGTAGTGACCAATATTATGCTAATTATAGTCTTTAGGTTTAAGGGACAGCCGAGCTGTGTCTGCCTCTGCCACACCGTCAGTGCACACATGACAATGAGGCATCTGTAGGGAGCAGACTCTCTTTTGCCCCTTAGCAGCTGGATTTCGCTGATGACACTAAGATATTTGGGTTCTCTGCCTTATGCTTCATTTGAGCTGTGGCCAAAATAGCCATCAAGGTTCTGCTGACCTGCATCAGCCACACAAGGCTAGTCCTCACTAGCATCATCTAAGTAGAAAGATTAGTGGGACATACTGCCAAGAGACAATGTTTAAGCACTAAATAGAACACTTCTCTTAAGTCACACTACTGTTTAGTGTGAAAGAATTCTCATGGTGCTTGCCCCCTCCCAAGGCTGACTGCCCTGTCCCTTTCCAATCAGTTAAGGCCAAGGCTCAGGGTCAGAACATGTTCAACAGATAGTTAAGGAATAGATTAGGGCCACACCCTCAGCAAGTGGCCTACGATGGGCTGTTTTCCTTGGATAGCCACCATCCCCACCCAACCTTATAGGGACTGGCAGAGAGATGACCCTCTGAAAATGCTGGTAGTGAGGATGAAGATGTCCTCTGTTGGTTAGTTTCTCTAGACTAAGATGGAGAAAATAAGAAAAAAAAAAATCTCTAGGGTGAGATCATTTTTTAAAAGATTGTCTTTTGCTTGTATATTACAGTAACCTGAGTTCTCTTTTGTTAATAATGAAATTTGTTCTCTTTTCTTAATAATGAAATCTTCCCAAATGTTTAGCCAGTATTTGTGAAAAACATGGTTTGTGCCTCCTCCCACCACTGCCATTCCTGCAAGGGAACCTGCCCTTTGCTGAAGTAGAATAGGATAGGTTAAATGAATGAGGATCATTAGATAGGATAAGTTGGAATAGGATGTATCTCCATCCCCAATCCTTTGTGGTTTTTTTCTCATAGTGTATCTTTGCCTGTGCAGAGGCCCGTGATCTCCATTGATGAACCCTTTGATAGATTTGATTAGGAAAAACGTGGTGGGGAATAGAACAACTGGAAAAGGGATTTGAGTTAAAATGTAAAGACCTGGCTTTGACCACTGCCTCTCCCCTTATTCACTGATGACCTTACACAAGTCATCTGGCTTCACAAGAGCACTAGTCACCTAACTTGTTAAGCAAAGGTAAACATGATACTTTCTGTACAGCGTTCTCAAGTTTTCCTAAAGAGCAAGTGAAATAATGAATATTAAAATGTCATAGAAGGCCAGGCGCGGTGGCTCATGCCTGTAATCCCAGCACTTTGGGAGGCCGAGGCGGGCGGATCACGAGGTCAGGAGATCGAGACCATCCTGGCTAACACAGTGAAACACCATCTCTACTAAAAATACAGGAAAAAAAAAAAGGTAGCCGGATGTGGTGGCAGGCGCCTGTAGTCCCAGCTACTCAGGAGGCTGAGGTGGGAGAATGGTGTGAACCCAGGAGGCGGAGCTTGCAGTGAGCCGAGATTGCACCACTGCACTCCAGCCTGGGTGACAGAGCAATACTCTGTCTCAAAAAAAAAAAAAAAAAAAAGGTCATAGAAAGTCTAAGGCACTTATACAGTATTAATTTTTATCAACATCATTTCCTTTCTTCTCTGAAGAAGTCTTCATTTAAATGCAATTAACGCCACATTAACAGACTGCTGTACAATCTTCTCCTTCCTGCTTGAAAGGAGAAAAATACCTGACACTATCATTCTGCTTATATTATTAATATTTTCCCAAGAAACTCGACTCCCTAATTATTTTCTCCACTTGCCAGCTCAACTTTATTTTGCAGCTATAAAAACTAAAGTACCAAAGAGTTAAGTGATAAACCCCCATTTAGCCAGCCAGTCAGTGCTGGAGAAAGAGACACGCTAAAGGCAAAAACTTGTGACCTTCAGTGGGAGTTCTGTTAACCAACATCCAGAGGAGGAAGAGGAGGAGGAGAAGGAGCAGCGACCACCCAGCTCAACACCTTCGATTTCCAGTAGCTGCCAGCAGACTCACATTGAGATACGGCTTTGGAGGAAAAACCCAGTCACCTCTCTAAAGTACGTAGGAATCAAGAGACAGCAGACTTCTCAGGCTTGAATTCCTAAAAGCCCATCTTCATCAGAACACCCACAGTGATAGCACAGAGAGTTCATTAGTTAGCAGATGATTTAGAATTCAATACTCATTTTCCCAAGGATACAGTGTCATAACGGGATGAGGTTCCCAGACTAGTTCACAAAAGCTGTTACTATCATGAGCTCTGAGTCTTGGAAAGAGGAGGCCTTAGTATCTGTATCTCAGGGAAATGGCAAGAGCTATTCCTTCCACATCCCTGGGCAGAAGGCCAGCTCAGAGCAGAATTTTGAAATGAGACAATCATCTGTGGTGTGTTCTCTCTAGCTCTTAGACCCTTTTCCCATCAGTGCCCAGGGCTACTGTGGGCTCTCTCCTGGTTAGCCCTACTCCCTGCGCAGCTGGACTTCATGTTTACCCACCTCTCTCCACCATGTCCCTGTTCAGGCCCACATGCTCAGTCAGGTGAGATGTTAGGAAAGACATTATCCTTCTTTCATCATCCCGAAAGAGGTCTGTCTACCTTCCCACAGGTGTTGGCACTTTTCAACCACAGGCCTTTGTCAGAGAAGGCATTTTTTTTTAACAAGAAGACCTCCTAAAGTGGCCCAACTCTGCCTTGGATAATTCCTAGTATGTTTTCTCTATTTTTTACAGATGTTTCCCTTCTACTTTTAAACTGGAGTTACTAGCCTATGATTCATGAATTCCTTAAAATTAAAAAAAAAATGTGTATTTTTATGTTTTTTTCTGGTCAAAGTTAAATAGCTTCTATCCAATTCTCAGAACAGTTGATAAGCCTCACAATGTCAAGTGTTGGCCCAAACCCATAAATTCTTCAAAATGTCCAAGTTTGTCACACTTGTTTGGCACCAGAGATTTGAGCATAGAGGCTAAGGTTGGTCAGGATATATTTTTAGGTTCTTGAGGGTAGGTGAATGTAAACTGGAAAATCCCTGTGAAATGTATACTTCCTGCAAAATAACTTCCTTGATTATTTTCACCGATTTCATGTTTAGGGTGATACTGTTTGCAGCCACTTATGGGTGCTTCCCCAGATCTACACAAGAGCTTCACTGGCATCAATTCAGAAGAAAAGAAAACTTTTAAAAAATAATTTTAAAGAGAAAATGAGAGTATTCACTACTAACCCAAATGACAGCATTATCAGCAGCCCTGGCTCACTTCCCCTTAGAGACCCGCCCTTTTCATGGGAAGGCAGAGAAGTGAAGTCCTCAGAGGACGGACTCTGGGCCAGACACGTGTGGAATGAAGGCTTGCCCCTCACTGTGGGAACTGGGCAGATGGCTTGGCCATCCAGAGCATCAGTATCCTCAAGTCTGAAATGGGGAAGGTCATGTCTGCCTCGTGCATGTCTCACGTGGACTCACATACCAGGTGCTAGCCCCTGTGCCAAGTGTTTTGCCTTTGGTCTCAGAACAAATGTCCATCATCATTGTCATCTTTAGAGAAAAACAACTTCAGTCCCAGTGGAATTCATGCGATGCCACTTTTCATTTCACCTCCTGTTTGCCTCAGTTCCCTTGAGTCAATACATACATGCTTGTGTGTTTCCATCTTTTCTTTTCGTTATTCATTGCGACTCTGTCCCACCTGTTTTGCCCTTTTTACTTAGTTATTATCAAAAAATTTAAAAAGTATTATTAGTGAAATTTAGGAAAGAGAGACTTCTTCATTTTAAAGACAGGTGGCTTCTGCGCAGCCATTTTGCCTTGTGGTCTGGGATTGTAGTCATTGTCATTCATGCTCTGTTTGCACTGCTTTTCTGTAACTAACTGAGGCTTTCTTATGTGTCATATTTCACATCGCTGATGCTCCTGAAAATCATGAGGTGTCCACTAAAGTATGGTTGTAACGTTCTTTTTGCCTCATTACAAATTAAAATGTTCCAGTTTCATACTTTAACATTATTATATGCCCCCCAAATAAGCTGATAATATATTACACTTTTAATCTGCTTTTATTGTTGGCAGAAGGTTTTAATTATTTGCAGAGGGCTGTCGCATACAATAACCTATTCAGTGCAACAAACCTGAGAAGAGATTGTATCAGTCTTGAACCTTTTCATTTTCACGAGACAGCAAGGCCAACTCAAAGCAGCTTAGCCAAAAAAGGAAGGTTTTTGTCTCATGCCCCTGAAAAGTCCAGGCTTTAGGTACAGCTTGATCAGAGACACAAAGAATATCATTAAGACTCCATTTCTCACCATCTTTGGCTCCAGATTCCACTGTGTTGGCTTCACTCTCAGCTTATGTGTGGTGGTTGGTCCCGGCAGCCTCAGGTCCATATCCTTCCAGCAGGGGGAGGTGAGGCCTCTTGCCAGGACAGCTGTGGCTGATGCATCTCTTTGAGGCTTGTTAGTTCAGTAGTTTGATTGGCCTGAGCCACAGGCCAGTTTCTGGAGTCAGGTAGGGAAACAAGGTCTCTTGAAATGCATGGACATGGATGGGGGTTGAAGATGTGATTTTCCAGGACAAAATCTGAGCATTGCTTCCAGGAACTGAATGAGTATCCACCATAGAGGCATTATTATCATCTCTCTTTTTATAGATGAAGAAACTGGTGCTCAGAGAATATGTCAGTTGTCCAAATATCACAGTCAGGTAGTGACCAAGAGAGGACTGGAGCCAAAGTGCTCTTCTCTTTCTATAAGTCCATATCTAACCATGATGGCAAATGATACTGTGGCCATTGGGCAAAGTGAAGAGAGTACTACTGCACAGGGAGCAGGCCTCCTAGACTCATTTCTGCCCCTGACTACATGCACGGCCTCAGTCTTTGTGGGTCTCATTCTTCTCATCCATCACATAGTGACAATACCTGCCCTGATGAATACTCCTTGGGGACCAGATGAGATGTTGGGAAAAGGACTTTGGGAATCATATGAGTTCTTCATGAATACAAGGCACTCTTGCCTTCTCTCCAGCCCCACATGGTTTGTGAAGGCATCACATTTGAAAATGTGTTCAACACTCTCCAGTTTCCAAAGTTGCTTCCTACACCTCACTGCATTTAAATTTCCCAAACAGTCCTGTAAGGTAGATGAGAAACCAACCATCAAGGGGTTGAGAAGCTGGCCCTGGGACAAGCCAACAATGAACATGAGACCTTAGACTCCACTCCGTTTCACCTCTGTGCTGGGACTCGTGTGCCAGGAGCCTCAGCCTGATTCGATCAACTCTGGGTGTATCATTCTCAGCAGATGTGATTAGGAGGAATCGAGAAGCAGTAACATTTTGAATATGCCCTAAGACTATGTTTTGTAATATTCTACTGTGAATTGCCTACTTTTCAAAATACTCTGGTTGGGTTACTATTATTATTATTGAGATGCAGTTTCGCTCCTGTTGCCCATGCTGGAGTGCAGTGGCGTGACCTCGGCTCACCTCAACCTCCGTCTCCCAGGTTCAAGCGATTCTCCTGCCTCCTGAGTAGCTGGGATTACAGGCATGCACCACCACGCCCGGCTAATTTTCGTGTTTTTAGTAGTGACAGGATTTCACCATGTTAGTCAGGCTGGTCTCGAACTCCTGACCTTAGCTGATCCACCCGCATGGGCCTCCCAAAGTGCGGGGATTACAGGCATGAGCCACAACGCCCAGCCATTAATTATTATTATTTTTTTAATCATCATGTTTTACCTTTTTTATTTAATCATATACAAATCTTACAAAAATGCTTGAAGTAATTTAACACCTGTACATCAGTACAAAACCTGGCTGAGTAAAATGAAGAGAGAATCTATTCAAGATCATTAAGACCAAATGTAAACTGGGAAGTATGTGGAAGATAGCTGTCCAGCAAGTGTCTGGAAGGTGTTCTAGCTGGGTAGAGAGCCTATTCTAACAGACACGCACATCGCAGAAAGCGGCATGAACAGAACCACATCCTAGATAAGAGTGCTGTGTACAGAAGATCCATGGAGGCAAGTGCTGTCAGGAAGGGACACTGCCTCCCTCCACCCTCCCAACTGTCACCACCAAGTTCCTTCAGGTGAGACCTCACACAATGTCAAGTGCTTTCTAGGAAATACTAAGATCAGGTTGAGAGATTCTGCTTGGTCTAGTCAATCTGAAAAATTCAGGCTGGAAAGACACCTTTTCTCAAGAGTTGAATTGCTTTTTGCCTTCAAGTCTTGCCTGCACCTTGCTTACAATGGCATCAATTTACACCTAAGGACCTTTGAAGAGAAAAATTCCATTATTTCTTTTTTTTCTTGAGAGCAGATTTTTTCCCTCCTCCTTTGGAAGATTTGCAGTACTTTGCTTCCATCTGAGCCAGAAAATTGTCCATTTCCTTTTGCCAATCCTTTTGTCTGCTCTGAATGGCTGCCTTCAGGCTATCCACGCCTTCATCAAGCCCCAACTCCTTTCTGCTCATTTCTGCTTCTTTGGCCTCTTCCTGAGCCCTCCTTTTCTTTGCATTCATCTTTTGTGTTGATTCTTTGACAAAGGCGTTATAGGATGGGACCTCTCCGGCGTCAATAGCTTGCTGAATGATATTCCTTATCCTGGGTTCCTCTGTGTACTGCACGCAAAGCACAGACTCCATGATCTGATCCATGTCACCCTTGAAGTCCAGATAGGCCTGCTTAATATCAGCCAGCTCTTCTTCCAAACCTTTGTATGTCTTTTCAAAAGCTTGAACGTCCTCTAAAGATATCTTTTTAAAGAGTAGCCGCCAATACGCCTCCCAGTCTTGATCTTGGATGAGCACAGGAGAGTCCTCGTCCACCGTTCCCTGCTCATCGTACACTGCTCTCTGTTCTCTGTCACCGAGAATGGAATAGACTTTTTCCAGGATCTGGAAGCAGCGGGTGGCGTCCTCCTTGTCGCCCTCGCCCACCCGGTCCAGGTGTACCTGCAGGGACACCTTGTGGTAGCCTCGTCGGACCTCGCCATCGGAGGCCTCGCGTTGCACGCCCAGCACCCAGTAAAGCCAGCCATTAATTATTTTCATTTGGGGTTGAATGTAACAGAATCAGAAGAAACTCATGTACATAACCATGAGAAAACAGATCCAGCTCTCAAAAGATGAAGACAGAATTCATGAAGTCCTACCTTGAGAACAATTTTAAAGACATTGAATAGCTTTTTTTCATCCCTTTATTGCCTTCACATGACGTTTTACAATCCTAAAAACAAGAGTTTGGTGGGATAGCTTCTGCCATATGCTTCCAGTATGGCTATGAAGGATACTAGGAGGATCATATGGGGTGGGCCATGTGGTCAGGATGAGCTGGGATTGGCTGGTGCACCCCAAGGACTCTTGGAGTGACCAGTAACCTGATGACATGGCCCCAAAGATCTGCCGCCATAAACTCCAACCTCAGCTAATATTAATGTCTTAGAGCCTTCAGCCAGTTGCTGGAGAGCTGGCTGCAAGTCACTCCCAACATAGGCCGTGTTTGTCAGATGGGTAGGGGTGTTACCATCCCATGTTGTGTGTCCATGTCACATCAGGTTCTAGCCAGCAGCATCTGACCCTGGGGCGTGGTGTTAATATCTGCCTCACCAAGCTGTATTGAGGGTGACAGTGGTGGGTGCCCCCATTTCTCTGTTCTCCCTTACTGCAAAATTCTTCCAAAGTGGTGTTGTCTAGACCTGTGCTGGCCAGTACTTGTAGCCACTGGCCACATTTGACTATGGAGTATTTAAAATACGGCAAGTCAGAAATAATGTAATCCAAGTTGAAAGTGCACACCAGACTTTGCAGACTTAGTATATAAAACATCTGAATATTTTTTACATTGATCACGTACTATAATGATTATATTTTATATTATGTTAAATATATATTATTGAAATGTAATTTCACCTTTAAAGGTGTCCTTTTACTTTTTTAATGGGTCTGTAGAAAATTTCAATTTGCTCGTACAGTTCACATTCTGTTTCTCCTGGAGAGTTCAGTCTCCAGTCTGCCTTCATACTGGAGAAGTGCCAATGCAGCCACTTGCACTTCTCCCTTGACCCCATCTCAGGTAGGCTTGGATCCCAGCACTTCACCAAAAACAGCTTATGTCAAAGTCACCTTCCTTCCAGTGATCAGTTTTCACTCATAACCAGTCAGCAGTGTTCCATACAGTTGTCACTTTCATTGACATTTCATTCTTCACTTCCATGTCACTCTCTCTTGCCTCCAGGAGCAATATGCTATCTTGATTTTTCTCCTCCTCACTGATGCTTCCCTCATAGTCTCTTTTCCTGAATCCTCCTCATCTTCTCAACTTCTTTTACTCATCCAAAGTCATTTCCTAGTAGAGCTCATCCTGACTGACTCTGAGGACTTTGTGTCTGCAGCTCAGACCTCCCTGCTTTGTGTCTACAGCTCAGACCTCCCTCTGCCGGAAACCTGTGTCTTACCTGCCTGCTCAGCACCTCCATTTAGATATCCAGGAGGACCCTTACATCATCTTAGTCCATTTGTGTTGCTATAACACAATACCCAAGACTGGTAACTTATAAAGAACAGAAATTTATTTCTTATTGTTCTCAAGGCTGGGAAGTCTAAGATCAAATCACCAGCAGGTTGGGGTCTGGTGAGGGTCTAGTCCCTGCCTCCAAGATGATGTCTCATTGCTGTATGCTCCGGAAAGGAGGAACAGTGTCCCCACAAAGTGGAAGGACAATAGGTCCAACTCCTTCCTTCAGGCCCTTTTATAAAAACACCTAATCCCATTCATGAGGGTGGAGCCCTCATGGCCTAATTACATCTTCAAGGCCCCACCTCTTAATACCATCACATTGGCAGCACCTGAATTTTGGAGGGGACACAGTCATACCATAGCAATGCCTAAAACTGATTTCTTGGTCTTATTCCCCAAGCCTGACCCTAAATTTACTATATTTTCTGTGTTGGTAAAGGCCAACTTCCTTCATCCAGTTATTTAAACCAAAGATTGTCGAGTCACCAATGACTTCTCTTTCTCCCACTCTCTATATCCCGTCCATCAGCACATTGTGTTGGGTCTCCCATCAAATTATATTTCCATTCTAACCACTGCTCCCCAAGGAGCAGGCTCTTCTCCAAGACCCATCATCTCTGAATCAATCAATCATTGCCGAGGCCTCATCACTAGTCTTCCTCCTTGTAACCTTGTCCCTCTACAACGCCCAAGGTATTCCTTTTAAAATGTCAAGTCCCAAAAAAAAAAATGAAATAAATAAATAAATAAATAAATAAATAAATAAATAAATAAAATGTCAAGTCCCTTTTCTTCTAGGAAGCTTCCATGGGTATATCATCTTCCTCACAATAAAATATGCCATCCTTACAAAAGTCACACAAGATCTGCCTTTTCACCACCAGTACACACACACACCCCTCTTTCCTGCTTCCTGACCTCTTCCCCTGGTTTACGCTCCAGTTTCTGCACCTTCCAGGCATACTCTGTCCTCAGACCCTTGGTGTTCACTCTTCCCCCTACCCAAAATGCTCTTCCCCGTCTGCTTTTGTGGCTTGTCCTTCACTCAGGTCTCAGTGTAAAGCCCACCTTGTTACCTACCACAGCCTTTCCTGACCACCATATCTAACATAGCACCCCATGGCCCTTTAGATGTTTATTTCTCCTCATAACATCATAACCACCTGACATACGTTTATTTGTTTGTTTGTTGTCTTCTCCATTGAGATAGGGGCTCTGTGAAACCAAGGTCCTTTCCCTCAAGGGCCTCAAGCATTGCCAGGTACAGAGGTCAATATTGCCTGATTGGATTACTCTGTCGGATTCTGCTCAGTTATCAATTCTGTGTGCCTTTAGGGCAGAAGTTCAATAATTCTGCTGGGTATCAGAATCACTGAGGGGCTTGCCCAAAATATACATGCCCTGACCCCACTTCCTAGAGATCCAAATTCTGAGGTGGAACCTAGAACATTTTTAAACACACTTCCCACATGATTTTGATGCATGGGATAAATGGACCACACTTTGCAAAAGGCTGTCTCACTGTACCAGTTTGTGTTTGTTTATCTGCTGCTCTGCCTTGCTGAGTGTTGTTTTATGTATATCGGCAGTTTTTGAATCACCTGGGAACCTAAATATAGATGCCCTCGCCCCATCCCAGATCTTGTGAATCAGAACTTCCAGGGATGGGTCTTGGGAATCTCCATTTTCAAAAGGCTCCCTCTGTGCCTCTGATGCAGCCAGTCTTCCCACTGGCCTGCGGGAGCCCCTCCTGTGCTTTACAGACTTCGTGAGGAGGTTGGAAGCTCAAGAGCAGGTGTTTTCTCTGCCGTTTTAGGCCAACTTCTCTCCCTATCTCCCATTAATCCAACAGTGTTCTGTTCAAAACCAGTTTTTAGTAAGTCACTGTGGGGTGACTCCTTGGTTTATCCACAGTTTCAATGTGCCTTTGGGACTTAAACATTGCCCAGTATTTATTTTTTCTTTCTTTCTTTCCTTCTTTTTTCTTTCTTTCTTTTTTTTTTTTTTTTTTCAAAGCATTACTCTGTCACCTAGGCTGGAATGCAGTGGCACAATCATGGCTTACTGCGGCCTTGACCTCCTGGGCTCAAGTGATCCTCCCACCTCAGCCTGCTGAGTAGCTGGGACTATAAGTGCACACCACCACGCCTGGCTAATTTTTTGTAGAGATGAGGTCTCACTATGTTGCCTAGGCTGGTCTCGAACTCCTGAGCTCAAGCTATCCTCCTACCTTGGCCTCCCAAAGTGCTGGGATTACAAGCATGAACCACTGCGCCTGGCCCAGTATTTCTAACTGCATCTCAAATCAGCCTGTTCTCTGATTAGAGGCAAGAAGGATATCTTAGGCACCTAGCTCATCCTGGTGGGGACTCTCTTTGCAGTCCTTTCTATCCTGGAATTTAAAATGTGTTTCCCAGGTCAGCCCATACAGGAATAGGGTAATATCACCCATTGTCATACTCAAACATTCATCTGTTCAGCCTTCCCCTTGGTTCTGTACTGGGACATGTGCATTGACTGTCTTCATCCTTGGGGTACTGGTCTCCAGAGTACCCCCAAAGATCGAGAAAAGTCCTGATCCCTTGCCTTGTGGCCTGCCTAGGCTGCTTAGGTTGCTGAGGGAGGGTATCTCCCTAGAGGCCAGGGCTTTGCCCTATTTCTGTTTGGTTTTGCCCTAGAACTGTGTACTGACATTCTTTATAGAGAGAAACTTTTGAACCAAAAATCTTAAAAGTATAACCAAAAAGTAAAACAAAATAGGAGGTAGGGTGGACATGAGGCAGATGGCTGGAAATGGAGTATACCAAGGAATGATATTTGTAGAATTTTATTCCTTGGCCCAAGTGTAAGAGCTACCTTCCAGGTTGTAAGGAATCATTTATGAAGGCCCTGGAAGATCCTGTTGGTTAATCTAATTTTTTAATACCTGAGTCTCCATGGACTCAGAATGTCCCATTCTGGACTTTGGATGGCCAGCTCTTTGGTAGCCTCTTTGAATATGTTGGGTTTATCTTCATTCTTTACAAGACATGATGGGATCATTATTCATGGCAGAATCTGAAAAGTAGTAGGGTTGTCCCGTAAGCCCAGAAGGCACTTGCAACCCTCTTAGCACACATTATATATCTGCACCTTGGCGTTGTGCCTCCGGATAAGCCTCAGATTGCATTTTGATGCCAGATGTGAGAAGCCTTTAGTAATCAGGATGACTCCCTTTAGGAAATCCTGTTCCCAGGTGATAGCTGCTTCCTAAGGAATACTTGTTTGGGGGCTTGGGGGTTGGGGGGGCGGGGGAGGGGAGCAGCACCAGAGGCTCTGATTTAGAGACAAAGGGGAGTTAATTGACCCTAGAAATGTTAGAGTAAGAGATTTCTAATGAGACCTGACAGCTCAGGGGCTGAAGAGGGAGTCTAATCTTTTTTTTCCTGCCCACCCAGTCTTCATACAAATGTAAATATGCCTCCTTCAACAAATTGCCAAATGTGGTTTTAATTTGTAAGCGGGAGACCCCGCCTTGCTTTTCTCTTTCTTTTTTTCTTTTTCTTTTCTTTTTTTTTCTTTTTTTTTTTTTTTTGAAAACTAAGTCACAGATTTTACACTTTTTGAACAGGACATTTCCTCCTGTCACTCTTATCACCTTTTCTGTTGTCCTTTTTCTTCCAAGGACATTTTCCCCCATTGTTGTCAGAGGAATTTGGGATGAGAGCCGACTGCTCTGCTTCTTAAAGGAGTTTTTGAAGTTCCCATAGGAAATGCATAGTGCTCTTTAAACTGAATTTTAAAAATAAATAAATAAAGGCAGTGATTGAATTTAATACGAGATTTGAAAGAGTGTCACTATCACAGCATCATACTTTATGTGGCATATGCAGTATTCATTGTTGTTATTTATGACCCTGTCTGCCTTCCATTGTGGATTTCTTCCAGCCTTGGGGAATTTACATCATTCCTAATAGCAAAAGGCTTTCTGGTTCCCACAGAGTTGTTCAAAGCCTGACTCATGCTCCTTATGTTAATTGTTCAGCTCTGAAAATACAGCACTTACAGGGTGTGGCTGTGAGGGGAGAATCTACTGTACTTATAGGGCATGTTTAGAAGTGTTTCACACATAAATCTCGATTCCTCTCGATCTCTCTCTTTCTCTCAGTTGAATTTTAAGCTGTCACTCATTTTGGCCAACTAGTAAGTCTTAGAAAACAAAAAAAAAGGGAGTATAATCCAATAAAATCCAATAAAACCTAGAATATTCTGTTCACTAGCTTAAAACTCACTTGGGTTATAACCAGATATGACTTTGAGTGACACTGGCCCAGGTCTGAGATGGATAGGCACAATTGAAGAGTGTGAAGAGCCCATCCTCAGTGGTGCAGGGCAGTGATTAGGCAAAGCACATCCCCTCGGCTTGTAGGATAACCAGGCACGGTACTCATGGCTGCCACCCACCAGGTACTCTGGGGCTGTCACTGCTAATTCCAGTGTAGGTCTAAAGCAAGGACCTACTGACAACTTACTAAAGCTGTTTCTGGTGGTAGCAACATTTTATTGGAATTTGATGGAGAAGAATACTTAGTTTCTCAGAAAATATGAGGAGTTAACACCTTGTATGGATTATCTACTTGATAACCAAAAGGAGAAGAGATTCCAAAAGCATGAAATGGGTTAATGTTGGCAAGGTAGGTAGGCTTTTACATTTTATAATTACTTCCTTATGATGCTTCCATGGGAACACAAAAGGCTAGATAGGCAGATAATCTATGAATTATATAAAACCAGAGTGGTGGTTAGTATAAGGAAAAAAGTCCCGAATTTTTTGGTAGCCAAGAATCACAAACTACAGTTTTCAAAATACCAATATTAAAAGATTTGACTGTTGCTATGGTCTTGGGTGTGATAAAATATTCTTTTTTTTTTTGAGACAGAGTCTCGCTCTGTTGCCCAGGCTGGAGTGCAGTGGTGCCATCTCGGCTCACTGCAAGCTCCGCCTCCCGGGTTCACGCCATTCTCCTGCCTCAACCTCCCAAGTAGCTGGGACTACAGGCATCTGCCACCACGTCCCGCTAGTTTTTTTTGTATTTTTAGTAGAGACGGGGTTTCACCGTGTTAGCCAGGATGGTCTCGATCTCCTGACCTCGTGATCTGGCTGCCTCGGCCTCCCAAAGTGCTGGGATTACAGGCGTGAGCCACTGCACCCGGCCACAAAATATTCTTTGTTTTTGCAGATAGAGAAAATATGGGGAATTCTTAGGATGATAAGGGTGTAGACCACTGTGTCACCAGGTCTTGCTAGAAGAACAGAGCTCACAGGCACGTTGCCCCACACAGTAGGATTCTGGGGCTTTTGTCACAGCCTGAGCCTCACAGATACCAGATATTGGCCAAGAGTTCCCAGATGGTTTGGAATCAACATTATTTGCCTTACAGTTTTGTATGTTTATGACGCATGTTAATGTATGAAATGTGGACTGGGAGTCCAAAAGAAGTTACAATTAACCATAAAGTCCTAGGTAAAAAAGGTTAAAATAGCTTACCACTGAGCAGTTTCATTCAGTCTTTACAAAAATAAATGTGTTCATTGGGGCATTCAGAGTGTAACTGTTTTCTCTCATGTTCAGCTAATAGATTTCTGGTTGAACCTTTGTTATCTTTTGGAGTAGACAGAAAGAGTTCTCCATGGAGTGTCTGATTACTTTGCTGAGTGTGCAGAGAGTTCACTTCCTCCCAGTGCAAAGCTCCGGAGAAATGCTCTGAAAGAAATGTAGGTGCAATGTGTTTCCTTTTTCTCATTTTTGCCTGTCTCTATGTATGGATAGATAACATGAAGTCCAGAATTAAACAGAGTGCCTGGAACTGAAGCACAAACTCCCCTCCGTCACGTACTTACTCTCCCCTCCCTCCTGACTCTCTTGCTTTCTGGACAATAGGGATAGAATCCTTGCTTCACAGGTGTGTTGCAAGGAGTAATTAATGACACGTTCTTTGAAGATGAAAAGCACCTGTTGGTGGTGTGTTTCATACCACTTTCGGAGGGACTACAGACAGATCTAGAAAAAAAAAAATTCCTTTCCTAGGATCCTTGTTCCGACTTTAATATAATTACGATAATCCTCATGCTCCTGGTGTCAACAGTAAGAACATGAATATTACATGTATTTGTTTTCACACTGAAGCTAGCCGAAATAAATATTTCAGCTTTCAATGTTTTGGTGGTTGAGGAAATTTCTTGCCATTCACAAACCTGTAAATATATGCTGAAGTTAACATCTTTAGTCTCTAATTCTCCCTGTGCAGCTTCTATCCTGCCCCTCAAAGTTCACTTTATCATCAGAGTGAAGTTACATTGTCTGTTGTGCACGCTGTAAGGAGCAAGGGGCTTATATACAGCTATATCGACACTCTTTTGTCTTCCACGATTGTATTTTATTGCCTTTCATGCTGACTATCTGAAATTTCTTCCAGGACATTTCAAATTATATTAACTAAGTCCTACTCCCATTTGTTGATCAAGTTTGGTCAACAAACCTGATACCAGCTAAATGGTGGTTATATTTGGGTAACATCTTGAAATAGCCTGAGAGAAATTCCAGAAGATTTTTCTTTACTCACAAGTAGAAATTGTGTGTATGTGTACATTTGTGTACACAGAGCCTGAGTCTACTCCTGGAAAAAAAAAATCAGTATATAGGCAGTACTGACCCTTAACATTGGAAATGAATACCTATTTACCTTAGTTAAAATGTGAACGCCATCATAAATCCATTTTTAACCCAATGATTGATAAGCAGTATCATGTATAATGGAATATGTGAAGGTTTTTGCTTGATTCAGTCTGCATTTAAACATACACCTGTGGTGGGGAGTGTTTCCAGATTTGCTGGGGAAGCGAGAGGGCAGGTAGTGCCTGCCTCCTTTTTCAGGTGTAGGAAATGTGGTAGAGGGAATCTGGAGGAAACAGTGCAGTGACAGCTTTACAAACCATAAAATCATTTTTGTTTGTTTCAGTGTGAAAAGAACTGAAACAAAAAGCAGTGTCACGAGCAAATCGCAGACCAGAAGAGACACTGTGGAAACATCTAGTGACTCAGTGATTGCAGAGATAGCAAGGAGGAGGAATGATGGTCAGGCTTCCTCCAGTCCCCCATCAGAATCCATGGGACAAGCAAAGGATTCCATAAAGGCAGCTGAGAGCCACTGGGGGCTTCCTGTTCAAAAGCTGGAAAAAGTTAATCAGACCCAGCCAGAAGACACTAGTGGCCAGCAAAAACCTCATCCTGGGGAGCGGTTAAAGACAGGGCTTCTAAGCAGGAGCCCCGTCTGTAGCTGTGAGTCAGCATCACCATGTCCAAAACAAAGTCCACGAGTGGCCAAAACCCAACAGAAACGCAGGAACTGCAGCTCTGCGGAAGACTTCGACCACCACGGGAGAGTTTCTCTTGGAAGTGATCGATTAGTCCCGAGAGAAATAATAGTGGAAAAAAGCAAAGCTGTCAGGGTTTTGCCAGCTTCAGAGTTGTCAGATCCAGGGTTACTTTTGAAACAAGATTTGGCAAAAACCACGTCTAAGGAAGAGTTGCATGTTTTGGAAAGTCTCTCCTCCAGACATCTTATGAAAAATAACCCAGGGCAGGCACAGCAAACCGGCTTAGCCACAAACACTGAAAGATTATCTACAATTCAGAACAGCCCAACCAAGAAAAGAAAGAAATACGAAAGAGGCCATTAACACCGAAGAGGTTTGTACCGTTGGAGTTGAGGACATAGTGGCCAAACCTGTGACAAGAGAGCTGCGAATATAGATGCCGGGATTTTAAAGGAATTAATTAGAATGACTAATTTAAATAGGAAGTGTGTTATCTGTGTTATGGCTATGGTTTGTTTTCAAAGCATTTCAAACCGGGAGGCTATATGCTTGTTCTAACAGCGTTGCTTCTTTATCATTGTATTTTATGACTGTCTTCAGAGAATTAGTAATGACAAAGAGCCATCCACCTTGTCAGGGAGGAGACTGTGCAAGGACTGCATGAAGAAACTGATCATGAGCCCCTTCTTGGCACATCACTGTGCAGACCACACAATGGACCGTGCAAAGACAGTGCTGCCGTGCTGCCTTTCAGCTCCAGGGGTACAATCCATCCCCCTGCTCCTCAGCCTGAGTAGGAGGGCAGTGAAAGAACAAGCTAGTGGTTCTTAGCGCGTGGTCCTGGGACCAGCTTCGTTGTCTGGAAATGTGCTAGAAATGTGGTTATTGGGCCCTGCCCCATGCTGAGTAACTGCCTTTGGGTGATTCTGAAACATGCTCGCGTTTGAGAACCACTGGACTAATAGAACACTCCCCAGTGCTTCCTGCAGCCTGGTTGCCATGGCCTCCAGCTCACCAGTTGGGGCCAGATGTGCACATGCATCCCCTCGGACTCCCTCAAACTCGTAAAACACTTGGGTTTGGTGTATGGGTCACTCTCTTCCGGGTTCTACAGTATGGCAGCCATGGCACCCATGAAGGTGTTACTTTCCCTTATAATTGTTGAAGTCGATGGGCGATTCTGCCCAACCTTAGGAGAAGACATCAGAGAGGCTCGTTGTTGCCTGTAGCTCAAGCATGTCCCAGTCCCTGCTCTTGCACCCACCTCCAGGATTTTGGTTTGGGACAGACTATAACCTAACAGGAACTCAGTGACCAGGTTCCAGTTTCCCAGTTGGAAGGCTTCGCAGGCAGTTCAAATTTCAAGATGGGAGCCTTCCCTTTACAATGTCACCCACTGTCTCCAGTGGGCTTGATGAAATGTCACATAGTGAATTGTAGCAATGACTTATTTTGGATGGACACCCGCTAAAAGTTTCCAATAACCGAATTTCACTCTAAAAGAGGAAAGAAACAATATTCAAGGTCCATTCATTCAATACATCTTTTTTTTTTTTCTGTTCAACATGGGGTGGTCCTTTGAAATGGCACCTCCCCTAAGTAATAAGGAAAACCAAGTATATTCCCTAAAGTGTTGAAGTTAGCAGAAAAATCACCCAGAAAAGCCCAAAACAATGACAAGAGTACAGAAACAGGCATAGTGTAGGTTCATGCTTGAGATGGATTAGTGGTTTATTCCATCCCGTTCTATCCTTTCCCGTATCTCCTGTCCCCACTTGTTAAGACCAGTAAGACTCATGAAGCAGCAGCTATATTTCATGGCACCATTTTGGGTCATGAAATTCCATCTTGGTCACCAAGCCTGACTGTGGTGGTAGATACTGTTACTTTAATGTTCCAAACCCTGCCTAGAAACCTGTTCCTGTCCCATGATCCCAGCCTCACCACCCCCACTTGAAACAGCCCTTCCTACTGGTATCCTGTCCTCTTCCCTCTTGGCTTTTTTCCTGCTCCCAGCGGAACCCAGTCAGGGGATTCTATAGGAGAAGAGGGAGCCCAACAGAATACTAACTTCAGTGGAGCTGACTCTGCTTATACAATAGGGGTGGGCTGCACAGAGTGGAAACCGAGTACCTGGTAGAATGTGCATTTCCATGGCCCACTGTAGGCGCCTCTCTTAGAGCAAACAGTATTTTAGGTGTGCTCTTTATTGAACACAGGACCACAGTGTGTCACTGAATCTTCTTAAACAGAAGCAATTAGAACGATTTAGATATAGGGAGGGCACAAGTAATAAGTAACCCAGGGGATAGACCAAGAAGCAGCTCTCTGGAAGAGTCTGGAATTAAAAAGACGGCTGTACTAGAACAGTAGCCACTGCCTGCTCCAGAACTAGGGGGGAGATATTTGAGCTGGAGCCACCAGAGAACATTTCTATTGAGAAGTTTTTATTTGTTTGTTCTGTTGGTTTTTTGTTATTTCTGTTTTCTTCTAATCTTTCTCTGAAGTATCACTCTGGTATTGAGAAATTTTTATTTCATTAGCTAACCTGGGCTTGGTGGTTAAGGCTAGTACTTGTACTTAGAATGATTCTCTGTCAGGAAAAGTCTTGGCTTTAGAGTTTGTTATAGTTGGGGATATAACAATTACTGTGATCGAAGAGAAAAAATAGCACCTTTGGTTGTAGATAGATGTAGTTTTCCTCACAGCCCTCACGTCCCTTCATGTAAAAGGGATTTTAACAGGATTTACAGAGGGAATGGCTCTCAGTTCCCACACTGTGACATGTGTTTGAGGAATTTTGCCTTTAAGCATTTTTCTTGCACATGGCTGAAACACCCCTGGCTCTCTTGTTATTTGAGTGGTTGCATGATTCTTTGGATATTTGGAAGTACAAAGGGGTAAATGGATGCCAGGGGTTTTTTGTTGTTGTTGCTTATTAGGTAGGATATGAAGAGTTCTCACTGTTGGGAATGGTATGTGTTTTGACATTCTTTTTTTTTTTTTTTTTTTTTTTGAGACAGAGTCTCGCTCTGTCGCCCAGGCTGGAGTGCAGTGGGGCGATCTTGGCTCACTGCAAGCTCCGCCTCCTGGGTTCACGTCATTCTCCTGTCTCAGCCTCCTGAGTAGCTGGGACTACAGACGCTCGCCACCACGCCCGGCTAATTTTTTGTATTTTTTTTTTTTTTTTTTTTTTTTTAGCAGAAACGGGTTTTCACCGTGTTGGCCAGGGTGGTCTCGATCTCCTGACTCGTGATCCGCCCGCCTCGGCCTCCCAAAGTGCTGGGATTACAGGTGAGAGCCACCGCACCCGGCCTGTTTTGACATTCTTAATGATCTTAATAATTTGGCATCTGAAAGTCTGAAACAGTGTCAGTATTGTTAGTCAAAAAGAACAAGTTCTTCAACCACTTGCGTAGTACCCCAAATTATATTCAAGTCCCTGTGACTCCAATGCTTGGAGAAGTCATTGATATGATTTGATTAATGTTATAACTTTGAATTTCCTAACTTTCTCAGCGGCATAGATTCTAAGCCACTTCCATGTGCTTTCAGATGGCATCTTAATAGATTGGTGTTGAGGTTATTTTAATGTCCATAAACAAGAAAGGTCTGGGAACAATCTGTATGATTTTTCTTTCACATTTTCTTATCTTTGCCACTGGAGGTTAACTGTCGTCCAGATATGCATATGAATTGTGAAATGCAAAGAAGCAAACATTTGGGGGTAGGGGAGTAAGTGCTGTAGTTCTTTTGTTCACTTATTTTAATACTATAGAAGTGTATTTCATTTTATAAAAAGCAAGAATCATAAAAACCCTCTGTATTTTGATTTATGAAGAATATAGCTTCTCTCTGAAGTATCTCAAGATATATCTTGGGGACCACAATGGGATCACAGTGTAATTGTTTGCTGTTGGTGTCATGTTTGGATTTTAGCATGGTTTGTTATGCATGTCAGTGGCCTCTGATTTCAGAAAGAGCTTGGCGAGGGCAGAACACATAAGGGAAGGAAACCTCTGCTCAAGAGAGTGGCCTGGGATCACAGTGTCGTCATTCCCAATTTCCTTGAATTCCTTCTTGGCAGACCTTACTGTAATATTACACAAAACTGTAATGAGTGGCCCTCCTTTGGAGGTAACAGATGCCTTTCCTAAGAACTCAAAGTTCTCTTTTCAGCGTGCTGTGACTTGAATATGGAAATCATTTTAATTTCTTCTTTTCTCTTATGGGGAAATTTCCATGCTTGGTTTGTCAAGACAAGAGAATTCATTCCTTATTATTGAAACATTAATGAACTGAAACACGTTGAAGCAAGTAAAAAATCAAAATTAGGTTGGTTTATCTTAAATAGTTAAAAGCCTTCCTTAGTACAAAATAAATTAAGCATTGTAAAACGAAGTTAATTCAGGTAATTACTCAGTACAGAAATCTAACCGTATATATCATTGGTATTGCAATTTAAGGGTATAATTAAATTCTCAGAAATCTGCAGGACTCACTCTAATTTGCTTTCTATATTTATTTACAAGACAGGGAACAAATATGTGTCAATGTGCAGCTTAACAGAGGGGACTTGAATGGATAAAATTATCTTTAATTATCTAGAGCTACCCAGTACTGGGCTTGAATTTAATCATAGTCAAATGTTTCCTCTGGCAGCATAATATTACCATACACCATATTACCTTATAATTGCCATTACAGTTCCTTATCAAAAATGTTAATTCTTTGCTTGAGCAAAAATCAATAAAACCTTATGTTTGACCCTAAAGTATTTGATCAGGGAACAGAAGGTGTGAATTGGACAGATCCCCCGAATAACTTTCTTCAATCAAGTTGAAAAACCAAACAGCTATGTAAGTCCCCAGGAGAGCTCTTTTTCCCTTATCTTCTCATTTGTTTTGTTATAAACTGTTTAAATAGTTCAAATGGTTGTGCATGCCTAGGGGATGAAACCTATGTAATAGAAATGTACTGTTTTATGAATAAGGAGTAAAATTGTTTTAAAAAATTAATGTGTATCACTTCTGTTCTTCAAAAACAAGTGAATTAACCCCAAGAAATGCATATTCAAAATGCCCTTTTCTGGACAGCTATTTTAAATTATGCTCTATTTGTAAGAAGTGTTTGTGTTTTCTTTGTTGAAATAATTCTGCAGTTTTGAATACTGTGTAAAATAATCAAAGGAGCTTTCCATTTAACCATCGGCCTTAAAGATTTAGGTATTGAAAACCCAGCATGAAACATTTGGATTAAATTGACCCCTAAGATTTTGGGGTGCTCCTTACAATGTGGACTTGTTCCCAATTCTGCTGCCAACTAAGAGCTAAGATAGACCTCTTTGGCAAGATTAAACTATGGCACTTTGACTCCTTTCCAAGGATCTTGACATTCCCCAAGTGGATTCATTTCCATTTTCCAAGTGAATCTAATCTTTACTCAGAACTGATGAAGTCCTGGGCTGACTGTCTACACTGCCTTTTATTTCAGTACTGCAGGCTTCTCTAGTTTTGTACATAACTTTTCAGAAGCAGTTTAGTCAGGTTGGAATAATACATTTGAATAGCTGTGCGTGCAATGCTGAGAACCACTGCAGTCGATGAGGCGTAGCTCATTTCTTCCTAGTGTTTTGGTCATGGTGGCCCGCTGTCTGGCCTAACCCACAGGAAAGACACCCTGCCCTGGACATGGGGGCTGGGCCTGGGATCTGGGGACTGCCTAACAGCATGGGGCTGCAAGCTGCAATCCCTGGGTCCAGGCTGCTGCTTTGCCACTAGTTGGTCTTATATGTTTTGGTACAAGTCATGTAACCTCCCAGGCCTCAGTTTCTTCATCTGTCAAATAAAATTATCTCTAATATTTTAAGTGCCAAACACAGCTTTTAGTGCATCGGGATAAACATTCCCCTCCCATGTATTAATGTCTACATCTGTTTGAAAATGGTTCTCTACACTGGCCACCTACTGGGGTCACCTGGATAGCTTCTAGTTCAATCAGAATCCCTGAGGTTTGGCCTGGGCGTTGGTATTTTTAAAGCTCATCAAATAATGATTCTCAGGAGACACCATAGTTAGAACTATTGTTTAAAAATGTGGTGTGTGCATGTAAATAGCGGATGTTAAAAGAGACAGGGTTCGCTGAGTATTCTTTAGAAGAGGGGCTTTCTGCAAATCAGAAGTGTACCTACTTTCAAGTAAATGAGTAGGCATGGCTTTGGGGACAAGGTGTCAGTCAACAGTCATACATGTTAATCTTACAAAGAGATGTGTTTTGTTTTCTTCTGAAGGCCCCTCTGCATTGGTTCTGCTGCTTTAGAACCTACACATCCCAACGCACCCATCATCTTTGCCAACATTGAGAAATTGTTACCCTCGTTCAGAAGATGGGTCTTTAAAGCACCTAAATAATTGTCTGAAATTTTTACATAAACCTCTGGGGTTTGCCTTTGATCATGATCATTAATATCATTAATAGGCTCTCTCTAAAAGTGCGTGTGAATCTCAAGTTAGCATTTGGCAGGGCAGTGGAAGAATGAATGCTTTTAAAATAGTTTGGCTCAGAAAGTGCATCTGAAATAACCCTGTGGGAAAATCAGGAGAATTTCTCATCCTCCAAAGGATTACCTAGGATGAGATACTGACCTTGTATTTTAAGTTCAGTTGCATTTCTTAAAACCTCATTCATTACCCAGCCTGATTTATTTTAGGAGTGAAGTAGGCTGTGGGAGGGGGCTATATAATGATGTATGGTTTTTATGTTTGCTTTTTGTTTTCTGCACAGTTCCCGAAAGATTTTTTATCATAACGTGTATATATATTTCTTTAAAAAAAAAATCCAGCTTCTTCACAAGATTTACTATGGCTTTTCTCTTAGAAATTAATGCTGAAGAATTCTCTCCTCTTCAGGCTCTAAGGCGATCAAACCCCAGAAGGCTGAGTGTGTGCGGGGTGAGCAGAGCGCTGACCTCTGCCAGGGGAGAGGTCAGTTCAGCACACAAGACTCAAAAGGGAGGAAGAAAAAGCAACTCCTCAGCAGGGAGTTTGACTTGCTTTAGGGCAGAAGAGCTTTTATAAATGAGTTCCCAGTCTCCCACGCCCTCTCGCCTGCACTTCTGTTACCAGTCCTGTTCTGCGCTTAGACACACACACACAGACACACACACACACAGGCACACTCACACCTCATTTCCACTCGTTGCTTCACATCCCTCTCTCCACCTGCCCCAGGAACAGTGGAGAGACTGACAGACCCTGCTCCAGAGGAGGCAGGTGATGGATTGACTGGGAATTTTTCTAGGCCCAGCAGCTCCCAAGGCCTTTTCAGTTCCTCCTTCACATGCTTGACTGGTGAGAAGAACGCAGAAGGCTCTTTCCCAAACCCACGGTGGGTGCCTGGAAAGATGAATACCAGCGCATCCATTCCTATTGTCAGAGGGAGAGGTGGAATGGTAAATCAGGGCAGCCTCCAGCCAGGAGGTGGGAGACTGGGCTGGGTATTTGGGATGTGTCCCAGTAGGAGGAGCCTAGAGGGACCTTCCTGTCACAGCACAAGAGAAGGACCTTGTGAAGCAGCAACATTGCTCTATTGATATATTCTCCTTAAAATGCTGCCCCAGTGAGCCTTGTCCCAGCGCCCTTCTGCTCAGCATGTGGGCCATCTGCCTGTGGCAGAGCCTGGGGCATCTAGAAAAGAATATTCTTAGGTGGCTCTCCTGTGAAAATGCCCCATCAATCAATCTGAAGGCACTTGTAGGCAGCAGAGCTTTCTATGCCAGAGGTGTCAGGGATCTGGGTTGCTATTGGGGTTCTTGTTTTGATGCCAATAAGCATCTTCACCGGAAAGAACCTTCTAGATGTCACCAAAATCTTTACACAGGCTCAAAGACAAGGAGTCTCTGCATCCATCTGTGAATTTTCTACAGCAAATTTTCCCTGTTTTCCCTTGAAGATAGCATTTCCTGGTACCAGTTTATCAAATCTCATGTTCTTCTGGGCCCCAGTTGTAGAAACAACTTTGGCTCTTGTTTTGCATGTCTGTCAAGTCTAATTCCAGGTCCTAATAATGTTGTTTTAGAAAAGCTCACTGAACTTAAGAGAAACCTTAATTTTCTGCTACCAGCAATGCAAGTCTGCCTAGGCCACCTGCCTTGCCCTCCATGCAAGGGCACTCCTAGCAGAGAGATGGTGGGAGAGAAAGTTTGGCTTCACATTTAGCCCCTTCTCAGTGCCAAAGAAATGGCCACTGTGCAGTGACGACGGCCAAGCAGGGAACTTCCTTGTAGGGAAGGCCTCTGAGGAAGCCGGAGGTGGGAATACAAAGTATTTCTGAAATGCCCAACCCACTGAAAACCTCCAGAAAATGGAAGTCAAAACAGTATCTCGTTTCATAAGGAGAGAAAACTATCTCAAGACTTGAGTGTCCTGGAGTCCTCCAAGGCCAGGTATCTGAGCTTACCTCATTTGGCACACATTTTATAAAATAGGGGTTTGGAGGGATATAGAAGAAAAAAACTGTGTTCTATTCTCATTATTCGCAGGCTGTAGACAGCTGTCGACACTCACAGACCACACACTGTTGTAGACTTCAATTAGGCACCAAGTTTTGTACAGTCCTATAGTTCATTCTTGTCTTAAATGAGCTTTTCTTTCTCCTGCACCGGAAGCCGGCTCTGAATTGATCAGGGAAAAAGCTAACAACGATTTGTATAGTCACAACCAAATACGACACCTACAAGTGACATAGCTGGTACGATCCTTTTTAGAAGAAGCCTATGTTAGTTTTCTATCCCTGTGTAACAAATTACCATAAATTGAGAGACTTAAGACAACATAAGTTTATTATCTCACAGTTTTTGACACTTAGCTGGGTCCTCTGCTGAGGGTCTCAAAGGCTGAAATCAGGGCGTCAGCCAGGCTGCATCCTCATCTGGATGCTCAACCAGGGAAAGGTCCACTTCCAAGCTCCCTTGTTGGCAGAATTCAGTTCCTTACATTTGTAGGACTAAGATCCGCATTGTCCCGCTGGCTGTTGGCAGGGGACTTCCTACAAGCCATTTCGCGGGTCCTTGCCACATGACCTCGTCCATTTCATTAATGGAGAAACCTTGGCATTGAATCACTTTCATGCTTTGAATCTCTTTGACTTCTCCTTCTGTGACTAGCCAGAGAAAACTCTCTGCTTTTAAAAAGCTCCTGTAATTAGGTCAGCCCTACCTGGATAATCTACATTTGAAGGCTAACAGATTTGAGACTTTAATGACATCTGCAAAATCCCTTCACAGCAGTACCAGGATTAGCGTTTGATTGAATAACCAGGGACCAGGGAGCTTTGGGAGCCATCGTGGAGTCCTGCCTACGACCAGATCCAACAGCACTTAGCTCTTCTCTGACAGGCCCAGTTTAATGGTGTAACGGTGAGAAAGTAGACTGTCAGTTGGAATCTAGCTGAATTCCTTAATCTTTTAATGGTTACTTAGAGCAAATACTGAAAGCAGTGTTCTTTCCTTTACCTGTAGCCCTTTTCATGAATATTAACTATAGTGGCACACATTTATTGTCACCATGACAGATGAGGAAACTGAGGCACAAAGAATTTTGGAAACTTTCCCAAGTTAGTAAATGGCAGTGCCTAGAATCTGGGTCTGGCAAACCTCAAAGCCCAGAAACTGTGTTGTTAGAGCACACAGGTGGAAAATTTCAAACCAGGAGCTGGAAGGAAGAGCTGCAGTTGGAATCAAAGAAGTTTCACTCCAGAATGCATGCTCTTGACCACTAAGCACACAGCCTGGCTTTGCACACCAAGAGGGTGAAAGTAACAGTCCAGTGAAGGAAGGGTCAGGCCCACGTGGAGGCTGAATGCTCTGCAGGAGATGTTCAGGACCTCTTTTGTAACTGCACTGCAGCCAACACTGTCCGACTGAGAGCTCACAGGAAGCACGGAAATGACAGGGCGTGGAGGTGGAGAAAGCCAGAGATTGTGGTCCCTCCCGGCCCCTTCCCACTCCCTTTACTTTACTAGAGGCACTTTTTTCTTAGTTTGTTGCAAACCTGTAGGACATGTCACGTTTGCGCTCTTCCTTTCTGCTTTATGCCTTGAATTCTTTAAAAATTCTTCTAAAGTAACATCACTGCAAAGCCAGAGAGAGCCCCTGAGGGTATCTGATTGTTCATGTCCTGAACTTGGAGGGTTTATGTTTCTGTCTTGGGGATGGGGTTTTTCCAAGTCACTCAGTGTGGGTGCCTGGGCGCAGAGGAAACTTCTACATAGAATGTACTTCTGGCCTACCCTGACACGACAAACAGGTTGTGGAGGAGTAGCCTTTTGGGGATGTCAGGTGGAGGAAGCAGAGCTGCCCACAGGCAGTTCCAGGAACTCTCAGGTGTGTCTGAACTGGCCCAACCGCACACTGGACGTGGCGAACTTCATCACATTCAAGCGATCTGGATTTTAGTCCTGTTAAATGCTCAGGTGTTTTTGTGGTGATAACCTGGAAGGAAGCTGCCAGGGGGAGTGGGAGTGGTTAGAGAACGTGGGATGAGGCCTAATGATAATTGCAATCACCTGACACTGGCGAGGACCCTGGCACCTGCATCTCAGCCCCGGTGAGCAGCAGTGTGGTTCTGAAAACACCTGTAAAATGTGCATGTGTGCATATGCGTGCACACACACAGGCAGCAATAAGACCTAGTGAGGCTGTTGATTTCCTTTCTGAACCTCTTTTCCTGCAACTCATTTTAATTCTATGAAGCAAAAACTAAAAGGGAAATCAGAAACTTCCCAAGAACAAAGGAACAGCCTACAAAGGAGCAGGGCTTAATCTTCCTTTGATGCAGAAAACACCTATTGCTCCTGGGTTTATACAGATGTCACTTTCTAGGCAGAACCAGTTCAGATTGGCGACACTGTCGTAGCAGTCGCTTCCTGTGACCTCCCTTGAGACTTTGCATCCATTTTTGTGAAGTGCTGATCTCCCAAGGTTTTACCTTTTAAAATCACACTAAGGGCAGGATGCCGGCATAAACCTCGCAAATTCCCAGAAGAGGCAGAAAACACAGCAGCCCAAGAAGCAGGAGCCCAGAGTTCTAGTTCTGGCTATTGCTAACTCTGTATAACTTCAGACAAGTCCTTGAACCTCTCTGGGCCTCAGTTTCCTCTTCTGGGAAAGTAGTGGGGGTTGGATCCTTTGATGGATAAGGTCCTTGATTGCATTAACATCCTGTGATAAAGGTGTTTCACATGTAACATCTATGATAAAGGTATTTCAACTGCACATATCTCAGCAAGGGTGAACTAAAACAGCTTTTCACTCTTCAGGTGCAGAACAGAGGGGGCGAACCTGTTTGGTTGACTGAGTAGTGATTAGGAAGCCAGCTGCAAACTTGTATTTCCCCCGAGGATCACCGATGAGCACCACCAGCCCTGCCAAGAGAGCTTCTCTTTAAAACAAAGCTGTTACTTTCATGTTGCTGGCATCTGCGTTTGCTTTCTGGATAACTCAACCCTTGGGTGCCCTGGTGTGGATATTTGCAGTGCGGGTGGGTTGGAAAAGGCAGCAGGCAGACCTCAATTCAAGGTTCTTACTGGATTTAAGAGCCTTTATTCTCCAGGTTAATTTTCCTGACTTGCGTATCACAGGTTAATACTGGACCCAGGCATAATGATACATAATTTGAGACTTGTAAAAGCTGTCTTGGACTTGAAAGAAACACACTCTAAGCCAGGAAGGTTGTGCCCAGCATGCAAGAGCAAGTAATACAGGTAGAATATATGTCCAAAGCAAGAGAGCCGCACCCTTTTGACATGATCTCAGAGGCTGCCGGGCAGGGTTTAGGCTCCTCGGCTGCCAGGCAGCGATACCACGGCGGCCCTACAAGCATCACTCCCCCCAACCTGCTCTTAGTTTTATTTTAACAGCCATTGGAAGGCAATGGTTCGCAAACGGAAATTCGTTATTTTTAATAGACCCCGAAATACCTCGTGGATTTGAAGTGATGCAACAAGATTGCCCTAATGGTTTCTAAACTTTGTTTTTAAGACTTCTGGGGCCAGAACTGTAGAGAACTGCCTCAGGGCACCCTTCTAGCTCAGATAACCAAGCTGTTTGTTGGCATTGCTGGAGACTGACATACCCTGAGCTGGGATGTTTAGCTGCTTGTGGGGTGGAAAAAAAATGTTAAGAAAAATAATTGTTGTTTTTGCAAACTATCTATTTAAAAACAGAACCTCAGGAAGCAGATTTCTGTTCCAATGCTTGGATGAATCAGAGCTTACAAAGTATAAATACACATTAGCAGGAGGAGGCTTCCCATAACCCATGTGCTTGTTGTATGTCTTCCCAGACCAGGAACCTCTGAACTCCTGTTTCTCATTCCCAGTAGAGGCAAGAAAGAGACCCACAGTCGAAACGGAAATGGTGGAGCATTGCTCAGCCCAAGTTTCAAAGCCCGAAAGGCCTGTAGAACTTTTTTTTTCCTTTAAAGGCAACTGGTTTTTTGCTGCACCTTTGCTCACTTTGGAGCAGACAGGTGTAAGCCATTTGGAAAGGTGGGAAACCCACGCTCTGGCCCATTTTGCTCCTTGCTACCTAAGAAATATTACAGAATAAGTTCATTTTGACTCACTGACCCCTCAGATCAGCTAATAGGCATGAAGCACTTAGACCACATCTTGCTCAAGGGGCGGTGTAATCATTTTACTTAAAAATGATGTCAGGTGGCAATTTAGCAACAAACTGGCTTCCAGGCTATTTAATTCAGTTTAACAAGGAAGAAAAACATTATAATTAGTTAAGAGCTGGTACTGTAGCACTTTAGCAGAGTTGCTCCCAATTTTTAGAGTGCATGAGTCGGGGAGGAAGAGCGAGCTTGTCAAAAATTCAAATTCCCAGGCTCCACTTCTGGTGCATCTGGTCTAATAGGGTCATGGACCAGTCCTGGAAATCTGCATCTTCAAACTGTAAACCCTCTCGCAAATCACCACTGAGTCTCCTTTGGCTTTTAGTCAATTAAGATACATCCTCCCCCTCCACTTTCTATTCAAATTCTACATCATGGAAGTATAGAATCTCAGGACAGAGCTTCCCATCCTAAAAAAACACCAGCTTTAAGTGTTCTTTCCTGGAGTTTCATGGGATATTCTAATGCTAGAGTTCTAGTTAGCCAAGTTTCTGGACTGAAAATTTTTTCTTCCAGGGCCCCTTTAAAGAGAGCCCAGGGCGTTCCTGGGGAATGAATGGTAAAGGCACTGAGTCCCTTCCTCTCAACTTTCCTAACCCCAGGATAACCAGAGCACCATTGCCTGCTTCCTTCTTCCTGAAGGAAGGGGAAAATCCACCCTTCACAATTAAAGTCCTGGCACTGAGCCACATCCAGAGGAGGCTGATCTATGCCCTCCCAATACCAGGGGTGTCCCAGACAGAAGGTGAGTTAAGACAACACCCATGAATCCCAAGATCCCTTCCCTCCTGGAATAAAGAATTGCAGAGACTCATTCAACTTTTTTTTTTTTTTTTCTTGGCACAAAAGCATCTGGCAGCTACCCAAGGAATTCTGGGGTCCTGCAGAATCCAAGTTTACAAACCACCAGAACAAGGTTTTGCTTCAGGATAGTGTTTGACTCCACTGCTGCGAAATGACTGTCTCCTGGCTAGTAGGATCTAGATTTCTCCCTCCCTTTGACCCCACCTTGTGGAAACCCAGCTGTCTACTGGCAGACATTGGTGAGAAAGCGGAGCTACGCTAGGGCAGGGAGATGTCATGGAAACCTCAACTCTTCGCTGTCCGGGTCCTTCAGGCCACCTCCCCAATGAGCCAAAACAGTGTTGGCCCTCTTAGGGTTGTCACAATCCCAAATCCCTCGATGGCCTCTGCTCATGCACAAGGATCCCAGGACACTTAAAGCTCATCTTTCATTCTTAAGATGTTCCTTAGCACAACTCCAAGCCTAGAAGAAAAAATGTTTCCCCGAGAACAAAGAAAAACATCCCCATCAGCTTTTCCTCCATTCAAAGTCTGCTGTGCCAGTTGTATGAAAACCGGACGTGGGTGGACAGGCCTGAATGTTGAAGTGCTGGGGGATGGCTCTGAGAAGGGTGAGCTTTGGCTTTCCTAGCCAGAAGCAGAGTCCTGGTGACTCTGCACGGCTGCTGGAAGCTGTCCATGTGCTTGTTACCACAGCTTATTCCTTCCGCAGAGGTGCCAGAGGCAAAGCTTCTCCCACACCCCACCACGCGATGCGGGGGCAGGGCCTCCACCAGCCACAAGTGAGAGAACCAGAGTTCTCCTGCCCGTGACAGGTGGGGACAGCCCAACTCTGGAACCTCACAGAAGACCAGAACACCAGCACTCCAAGGCTGCATGGTGAGGCCAGAACACTCATTCCCTGGGAACAAGGTGATGAGTGATGAGCCCGAACACCAGAAGCTTGCAACTACCACCTCCTGTGCCGTGAGGAAACCACCCCATGGGTAAATGTGCACAAGAGTCATTTCAGACCACACCCTTACAACAGGACATTAATATGAATCTAAGTAGCCAGGGAAAAAAAAGAGGCAGACATTAAATCTCCCTGCTCGTTTCCCAACACCAATTCCAAACCCTTTAAAACCCTTTCAGTGCTGTGGCCAGTTCCCCTGATTGCTCACAAACAATTCACCTCGACACTACAGGCCATTAATCCAGTGGTGTTTATTCAAGCAGTATTCACACTTGCTGTTGAATAACAAGGGAATCAAGGCTCCCCTAGATGGGGCTCCCGCAGTTCCAGCTTCACAGCAGCCCCAGGTCTTTGAGAACTCCAGATGAGTTTTGTGGTTGAAAAGCCTTTCAGTTCTTCCTCCATCCCTCTGTCAGGCAGAGCCTATTATACCCCGATTACCAGAACAGACTCAGCAGGGTGGCAGAAGCACATGGCAAAGCCGGTAGAACTACGTAAGCTCAGAAGAGGCCACACTGTTCCATGTTTTCATACAAAAAAATTTAATAAATATTACTTTTCAAAATTTATTGCCAAGAACAACACATCAAAGATGCATTTGTATGTTCATATAACACTAATAGGACAATACAAAGTATCTTCACGGTCTCAATGGTGAACCAACAAGATTACTCTGTTTTATAAGCCTTTTTGATCTTGAACTTCGTAATAGCACTTTGATTTCCTCACTTAAGGCAGGCAGTGTACTCTATGGCAAATCTAAACAGTGATCTTACTGGACATTTTATGGTTCAAGTATTCAACTAGCTTATTAGAATACTCCCTAAATGCAGTAGATTAAAAAAAAAAATCAAATCTACAAGTGGTTCAGTATTATGTACGAATGGTGAAAAGAAATCAGAATTTACAAAGTAAGATTGGTGTGCTTCCAAGTTCACACAATTAATTTGATATTTTTAATCATATTCAACCACTCACATTTTGGCTATGTTAAGTCATAGCTCAACTTGTTCCCTTACTGCTCTGCAGCAGATCACCTGCCTGTCTCTTTTCAAGTCTAAAGCAGAAAAACAAAAAACAAACAAACAAAAAAACCTGTTCTAAACTAATCCTCAAACTGCCTCAGTCAGTCCTTAAAACGTGTTTTAAGTGATGCTATAGAAGGTGTTTTAAACATCTGACGTCGTACAAAAAAATTCCATCAGTATTCTGGGCACAGAAGCCCATCCTATTGTTTTAAAATAAACTATTTTCAAACACCTTAATTTTGGCTTATAGGCAACAAGTAATGAGAAGAGTTCAAAAAAATAAAGCCATACGCTTACAATGCTATCAAAAACCTTCAATTCTAAACACATACATATAAATAAAAAGGAATGATGTTTTAAGGCTCTTGATTATTAAGTTAATAAATCAAATATACACAGTGATTAATAAAAAAGAATTATTTACATAACTATACAAAGTTCTACTTTTGACATTTTTTTCTTTAAATTCTTCATTTTACCAGCAACTGCTGACATCAAAGTCTCCCCTCCCCCAACAACAAAAATACAATTAAAAAAAATAAATAATAAAGTCATTTGTGATCGTTGCTGTGGTTCTGAGCTGCAAAGGCACTTTCAAATACAGAACTACTTGTACGTCATCATAAAACCAATATACAAAAACAACTCAAGAGTCAATAAATATAAATAAAACTATGATCTAAGACTGCATCACCATTAGGACATCTGGCAGAAGTGGGAGCTCAAAGACCAGGGGGCTGGGCAGGCTCCTGGGAGCCTGATCCGAGACCGTGTCGGCTGCAAGGGGACACACAACCAGGGTACTGTTGACTAGCTTTTTGCATAGCTGTGAGATGCGGCACTCGATTTCCCAGCCAACCACAGAAACTACCATTGCCAGTGTAAGCCAGCTTGTCAAAACTTAAATTAACACAGGGATTCTAAGTCAGCAACGGCCTCAGACTCGAGTATGACACGACAGTTTAAAGAACTACAAGCCCTCAGACTCTACCTAGCGGCGGCAGTGCCCGCGGTCTGCTATACGATGTACTCCATTCGGTTTAAGCTCTGGGCACTTTCCAAGTCTCTGTTGTCCTGTTTGTTTGTCCAGTTTGGGTGTTTTGTCGGCGTGCCGTTGGGGGGCTTCTCTTCTCTGTCTACCAGCGTGTACGCCGGCTGCTTGGCAAACCGGGCTTTCTGCTGGTGTTTGTCCATGTCGTCCTCTTCTACTTCAGAATTGTGTGTCCTTATTTTAGACATTTTGGAGTTCTTGTTCTCATAATCCTTGATGGGGACCGTGTTGGCCCCATGTTTCTCAATGGGGTTTTTGATCTGGTTCAGCTGCTCCCGCACGTTGTTGGTGGTGTTGTCCTCAGAGGCTGAGTGTGTGTGGCTGCCCGGCTTCCGCCGCTTCCGCAGGCACCAGTAGAAGGCCGTCACCAAGCAACAGATCCAAGCCACAGTTAAGACAGAGCTCAGCAAGGGAACAAGGAAATCTGTAAGGCAGGCACAAAACCAATTAACTCTCCAAGAAAGAAAGAAAAAAGCATCATCGCAGGAACAAAAGAATACCAACAGTGGTTCTCCTGCCCTTTATCCCTAAGAGGGGGGCCACAGGGACAAGTCCCTTTTCATCATTGCATATGGTCACTTCACAACTTGATAAGCAAATGCTGGGATCAGGCCCCTGTAGACCTTGATACTCTTATCCCTGGAGAGACTGGGTGGAGCGGCAGCTCCTACAGGCTCTTTGACTTCGCATGGGGAGAGCAGTGTCTTGTTAAGTCTGGCTACTGAGGCAGCTCAGTACAGGAGTTGGTTTTCAGAACTAGAAATCCGATTCAAATTAGCACAGACAGCTCAAACGTGCCATGGCTCCATGCCCAATCTCTCCCTTGGCTGAAACGGTGCTCGAGATCCTCAGGAGGGAAGCCTGGACACCCCTGCGGGGCCATCGAGCCTCACAGAGCTCAGCAGTGGCTAGGCTGTCCCAGGACACCAAAATGCCAAGTCAGGCTTTGTACAGCTTCAAACTCAAGGACAAAGGACAAGCAGTGTCCTAGGGCTTTGTCACGGATCTAGCACAATACCTGTTCTGCAGGGAACGTTGCATAGTGTGTTGGGAAGGAAAATATGAGGCAGACCTCTGTTCCCATGGGCCATGTGACCTTAGTAAAGTAGGCTGCCCTCAGTTCTCAGTTAAATTGGGAGCTCCTGCGAGGGTAGGGCACTGCCAGATAATCCCTCGACCTGATGGCTTTATTGAATAGTATAATGAGATCATCTACTATCATCACACAAACTAGTCCCACTTGACACCTACCTGTTCTGTTCTTCAGAGGCCGCCTCTGAACTCTTACTTCTGCAACGGCAGCAATCAGCGAGCTGTTTCCATCACGTTTACTAACAAGATCGATTATTTTGTCAGTGATTTCCTTGATCGGGTTCCCATCATCCCGTATATCTTCAGCAGACTGGAAAAACAATTGTCAGACTTGAGAGTCAGAGGAATACTCAAAGCAGCCTTTCTTCAAAATTACTCGACAATCTGTGTCTGCAAAGCTTTTTGTCAGTGAATTTGCTCCATTCAGACACTGGTTAACCGAACTGCCTTGCCATCGAATAATGAGGTGTGAATGGGTCTTATACTTACAATGGCCACATGTATTTCATTGTTCGCTGAAGGGGAAGGCTCGCAAGCGATGTAGATTGAATATTCAGCGGAAACATTCTTCAAAATATTCAAATTCCTCAATTCACTGCAAATGTGCTCCGTAGTAAGACCCTAAAACGATTTTTAAAAACCCACACACGTGTAAGATTGAGAGGAAGAACAAAAGGCTGAGATGTTCTCTTTGAGGCTGGCTAAGTTCAAGCTTACTTTATTATAAAACAGGAATGTAAGCTAGGGAGAAGTAGATCCTAGCTCATGGCATTCCTCCTTTAAAGCAAGCAAGCAGACATCCACCATTCAAAAAAAAAACAAAGGTTGTTACATACTGGTGACATCATCTCCTTGTTAAAGGTAAATGTGATGTTCGCACAGTTATCCTGGTAATAGGAGTCAGAGGTGCACTTTGTCTTCACCGGCTGGAGACTGGAAGACCGACACTCGCCCACACCAGTGCAGGGGTGGACGAAGCACTGGTCGTCCAGGATGGGGATGCAGCTCTGCCCGCTGGGGCACTCGCTGTGCCCTTTGTGGAGCAGGCAAGGTCGAGGGCCACACCAGACCTGGAGAAAAACAGAAGCTGGCAGCTTAGCAGGCATGCTCATCCCTGATTCCAGAACACAGGTGAACTGCGGCAGCCATCATGTCCTACCTTTGAGCAGGCGATCCGTCCATTCAGGCACTGGCAGGTATTACAGTCATCATCCCATTTGGCCCCATCTGGTATCACACTCCCCATGGTGATGCAAGGTCTCCCTGAAACTGACAGGTGGAGACGGGTGAGCAGTTTATTTTTCTGTGAACCGGATCGGGGTTCAATTCTTTGGTCCCTGTTATGAAATGGTTATGCCTGTGCCCTTTGCCATGTTAAGATCATTCTTCCCACAGTAACAGCATGTGTACTTCCTGCCTTTGCTGGCTCTGCGCTTGGCCACAAGACTTGCTCTGGCCAATGTAACATTGGCAGATGTGATGTGAGCAGAGCCTTTGACTAGCCTCTTGCACACCTACCCACTGGCGATGAAAGGAATATGCCCCAGACACAGCCACTGGTCGAACTGAACCCAACCCACAGCGCAATCTCTCTGCCCATGCTGCATATCATGAGCAATAAAAATAATGCTTGCTGCAAGCCACAGCAGTTTGGGATGGTTTGGTACACAGTTTTGTGGCAACAGCTGACCAAAAACAACAGCTACCTGTTTTGGGGAAGACTCTTCACGTTCCCTTTCCCTTGTAGTCCCACTGTGTGTTCCCTTCCCTGAGCACAGTGGCTTATTTGTGAAAAGTCAAATGGTGACTGCAAAGCTCGCTCACCCCAGAAGACCCATGGGCAGCTGAAGCCTGGCACACATACCTTCCTGGCACTTGGCACCACTGTGCCCTGGAGGGCAGACACACCGGTAGCCATTGATCTCATCCACACAGGTCGCTCCAAAGGCACAAGGTGAAGACTGGCATTCATTGATGTCTAGGAGAAATGGAGTTCAAGTTTAGGGACTGATGGTGTGTGGCAATGTTTTGAGATTGTTTTTATTGACATAACATACAAGAAAAGCATATCATCATAAGCTTGATGAATTTTCACTCAGGTAAGCAGCATCCAAAAGAAGAAACAGATCTATTGCAAAAACCTCCAATCACTGGCTCCCAAAGACCACCACCATCCTGAGTTCTAACAGTGGAGAACCATTTTGGGAGGCAGCAATTTTTAATTTGATTCCTTTGACAGTGCAATTTACAGCAAGCCTGGCAAAGTTTCCTGGAAGGGGTCAGACAGTAAACATCTTAGGCTTTGTGGGGTATATAGTCTCTGTCACAACTATCCAACTCTTGTGGTATCATGAAAGTAGCCATAGACAATACATAAATGAATGTGTGGCTGTGTGCCAAGAAAACTGTATTTATAAAAACAGACAGTGGGCTGGATACGGCCCCTGGGCCACAGTTTGCCAACTGTTTATTTAGAAACATGAAACAGATACAACCTGCCCCCATCTAGTGCTGAAGACTAGTTAATCCCAGACTTGGATTTCAAGCACCAGTAAAATTTCAGACAATTTGGGTACAAGAATCAAACCATAACTACTCTAGCACCTTTTTTGTTCTGTAAGAGAAAGGGCTTGTAAAAAAGTAGAGAAAAGGCTCAAAATAATATGCTTTAAGCCTCTTGAAAAACTGCGTTGCCTGCCCCTATTTTCCTGTTTTAGTCATTTCTCCAGGGCCTGATCAGACCCAGCACAGACAAGCCTCTGGAAGCCACAGTCGTCCTCCCTTCCGTTTGTATTAGCTTTATCCTATACCAGTGTAGCTGTGGTTAACATCTGCTTGCCCATAATTTCATGTTAGTCATGGGGAAATGCACATACTTTCTTCAGGACCCCACTGTAGATTAATCATCAGATTCTGTGACTGGCACTCTCTCCCCAAGAACAAGGAGGGCTACACCACCCAGGGAACTACCAGCAGGTACCTGGGAGGATCCAGCCTGGCATATCTTAATCCCAGCTGGAGGAGAGAGATCCTTTGCTCTATGAGAGCTACTTAAAGGGAATGGTGGCTTTGTTTTTAAAGATGAAAGTCTTGGGGTGAGGCATGGAATGAAGCGGTAAAGCCATTGGGAAAACCAGACGGAGACAGTCCTTACTTATTCTGCAGTCGGGCCCAGCAAAACCCGGGGCACATTCGCACCGGTACCAGTTGTCTCCATCCACACAGGTGCCGCTGTTGTAACTAAGAAAGCAAAGACCACCTTGGTTACCAACCTCCCAGTCCATTACTCTGGCTGCCAATCACTCACATGTCACCACACCAGTTACAGTCAGTGGCTCTCACCCCATGGCCGTTGCCTGGGGAATTTTAAAAGAATACTGATGCCTGGGTCCCACCCCCAGAAAGTCTAATTTCACAGGTCTTGGTTGCAGCCCAGGCAGCGGGATTTTTAAAAGCTCCCAGGTGATTCTGGTGTGCAGCCAAGGTTGAAAAATCACTGCTCTAAATGAGGACACAACCTGGCTAATTAAAGTGTGGTCCATGGGGCAGCAGGATCGCTTCACCTGGGAGCTTGTTAGAAAAGCAGTCTGAGGCCCCACCCCAGACCTCCTGACTCAGAACTTGCATTTTAAACACAATCCCTGGGTGATTCTCACACACACACACACACACACACACACACACACACACACGATAGTGGATGAGTGCTGGCTTAAAAGGATGTCACACTTACCAGGGATGAGGGCTGCAGTCATTGGTATCTGCAAAGAAAAGACAACTTAATAGTGAGGACTTCAACAGGGAAAGCGGTCTTAGCCCTAAGTAAAACCACCACTTATTTTCCTAATACCCAAATGATAAAGTCGTAGTTAACACCAGCAAAATACCTTTGCTAAATTGGAACCAGGCCCGCACCACACTTAGTTTCATTTGCTGTGGGACACATGTACACAGGAAGAGGCCCTGGTAGGGGATAGGGGTGGGGGTGAGAATGGAAGGAGACAGGCTGCTGGTCAGACCCAGAGCTGGGAACTGAGACGCCATCTGTCTCCACTTATCTTATTGGCGACTTTCTCATGCCCAGGTCAGGGCTGTATCCCATCAAGTCATTAATGCAGACCCAGGTGATACAAAAGCAGACATCAAACAGCTCTGCTTCTGGTTTCCATTGCAAGTCCCCAAGGGTGTCAGGATCTGCTCCGACAGCCCTGGGAGAGTTCAAGGGGGGAGGACACTCACTCTGAGCACAGATGGGCCCCTCCCAGCCTTCCTTGCAGACGCACGTAAAGGACTCGCCGTTGACCACACATGTGCCCCCATTATGGCAGGGGTTGGGCAGGCAGCTACTGTTTCGGGCTATAAAAGAAGAGCAGACACGACCACCCTCCCTGAGTATCCAGAAACAGTCTGGAGGGGCAAGAACCAGGCCCAGAGAAATATCATAAGCTCCAGGGGCCAACCAGCAGACACGCCCAGGTGGCCATGCCCACTGCAGATCCCACGTGGGGCATAAAGTTACCTATGTTACAGGTTGTTCCTTCCCAGCCGCCAGGACACATGCACTTAAAAGCATCCCCCTCATCATAGCAGGTGCCACCGTTGTTGCACGTGGCCTCATCACACTGACTGTCACCTGGAGGAAAATATTTCAGTGTGAGTCCCAGTGGCCCCCTCCCACAGAAGACAGAGGGAAGGGTCCCAGAGATAGCATCCAAGGCCAACTACCACTTACGTGAGTGGCAGGTCTTTCCTTTCCACCCATTTTTACAGTCACAGTAGAAGTCATTGACCAGGTCGCGACACGTGCCCCCATTGTGGCAGGGGTTCTGGCTGCAGTCATTAATATCTAGAATCAAAGGGGAGACAATCGGCTGAAGACGAGATCCAGGACCATTCACGACAGGCGAGAGCCAAGCCTTTCCTACTGCTTACATCCAACATCCTATTCTGAGAACAGCCACAGTCGTAGTACTTTAACACAATCAGGCTTTTCCAGGAATAAAGGAGCTCCCAACTGGGTTACTTTGAATGCCACAAGTTAGGCAAGATGTGGGGTGGGCCTCTGGAAGTCCCATGGAAATGAAAGTAGAAATATGACTTTCCTTGCAAGCAGGAATATTTATTACACAGTCTAATTCTATAGGTCCTCAGCAGAAGCTCCTCCCCATAAGCTATCATCAGGACTCATAAATGCAAATGAGACACAAGTGATACTGTCCCAGTGCAGAAATCACTGCGGTCTTGCTTCCAGAGATTTCCAGTACAAAGAAAGTTTTCCCACGTTGAAGTGGGATCCCTCCAACATGACCCATACATCCCAGAGCTCCCCAAAGAGTGGCAGACTCACTGGTTTCACAGTAGGCCCCCTCCCAGCCGTCACTACAGATGCACTTGTAGGAGTTGACACCATCGATGCAAGTGCCACCGTTTCTACAAGGGTTGCTCTCACAGTCATTAATATCTATGAAACAAAGTAAAGCAAAAAAAGAACTGAAGGACTTGTGAAGCCATAGACAAGCACTGTTCAGCAGTTTTCATGGCTCCCTCCTGACACAATGCACCTGGCACCTCCACCTGCTACCCTCCATCAGGGCTGTTTCTCAAATTAGACAGGCGGCTTATCAAGCAGAAGCTTCCAGAGAGTGCCTTACCCACTTAATGCCCTCACATGGGCATTTAGTCACCGGTACTAGGTGAAAGTGGGGAAGAAACTCCTACAGAAAAGAGGAATCACCCAACCTAGCAACATTCCAGAATGTTCCAACATAGATATGGAGGCTCCGAGGCAGAGTGATCTGGTAAATTGAACACGACCTCAGTCTTAGATCCCAGATGTAAGGATAAGTCTCAACCAGTCTCCCCAGCCTTACTGTTTCTGATTAAAACAATTTCAACA
Source organism: Homo sapiens (assembly GCF_000001405.40). Classification (NCBI taxonomy): domain Eukaryota; kingdom Metazoa; phylum Chordata; class Mammalia; order Primates; family Hominidae; genus Homo; species Homo sapiens. The sequence goes on from NC_000020.11 coordinate 10,646,520, forward strand.
CTGCTGGGCATGGTGGCTCACACCTGTAATCCCAGCACTTTGGGAGGCCAAGTTGGGGGTCGGGGGGTGGATCATCTGAGGCTGGGAGTTCGAGACCAGCCTGACCAACATGGGGAAACCCCATCTCTACTAAAAATACAAAATTAGCTGGGCGTGGTGGGCGTGGTGCGCATGCCTGTAATCCCAGCTACTCAGGAAGGCTGAGGCAGGCAGGAGAATCGCTTGAACCTGGGAGGCCGAGGTTGTGGTGAGCCGAGATCGTGCCACTGCACTCTAGCCTGGGCAACAACAGCGAAATTCGGTCTCAAAAAAAAAAAAAAAACTTTCAACACCAATGATCCCAGGGTGGGCCAGGGGCAGAGGCAGGGGCAGGGGCAGGCTGGGGAGCACTGGTCCATTCCCGGATGAGGGAGTCTTACTTTCATGGCAGTATGTTCCCGTGAAGCCTTTGTTACAGTCACAGGTGAATTTGCCTCCCGACTGACTCTTGCACTTCCCGTGAGGACCACAGACGTTGGAGGAAATATACCGCACCCCTTCAGGTGTGTCGTTGGAAGCCATGGCCACTGTGCAGCTGTCAATCACTAGAAGATAGGCTTGGGATCAGATCACAGCCATGCACCCACAGATGCGGCATTCCTAAGCCAAGGGCCTGGGCCAAGCCCACTTTCCTGGAGACAGGGACCCTCTGGCTAATGAGACACACCCCAGGGAAGCCAAGATACTGGCAACGTGCCACATCACATTATGACAGGCAAAGTTGAGACTCCAGGCAAAGAGTTTTAAAGCATTTTCTCCCTCCACACAACCAGGAAAACCCACATGCTTGTGGATCCCCTTCATCCTACCTTTGACATCTACCCAATTTGGTAAACACTTGCTAAGGCAAAAGGACCTGCTTTATTTACTTCCTTTTTGATCTTAAGCAAGGCTCAAGGACAATCTTATAGAAGCTTTAAATGTTGTGCTGCCTAATACAGCAGCCACCGGCCACATGTGGCTATTTACATTTAAATGAACTAAAATGAAATAAAATCAGTTTCTAGTTACACTAGTCACAGTCCACATGGCCTGGGGCTCCCATACCTGACCGTGCAGATACAGAACATCCCCCTCTGTCTGCCGTTGCAGGAAGTTCTGTTGACAGTGTTGTTCTCAGGCATTTGCCTCAGCGTTGCACATCAGCCCACCCCAGAACAGGAATGCTAAATGGATTTCACATTCTCTCCCCTGGGCTACTTGTAGACACGGCTCTCCCACTGGCAGGCCGGAATAGATTGTTTCCACGTGTTGCGGCCCGCTACACAGGCAGGATCATTTCACTATAGAGGTCCTCCTCACCAATACATTACTTCTCAAGTGTAACAAGGGGCAGTGGTAGTAAGTGGGGACAAAAGGAGCAAGTCTGGAGACAGCCAGGTCCCGGGAGAAGGGAGGTACCTTCACAGGGGGTCGTGCGGCAGTGGTCTTTCAGGTGTGAGCAGTTCTTGCCCTCATAGTCCTCGGGGCACTTGCAGAAATAGTCACTGGCACGGTTGTAGCACTGGGCACCGTTCTGGCAGGGATTAGGCTCACAATAATCGATGTCCAGCTGCAAATATCAGGAACAGCGAAAAGGGGGAGGGATCAGAGTAAAACAAAGGTGTCACGATAACTTCTCTGGGGCAGCAGGCACTGGAATCTGACAGTTCCTTCGGTTTCTATTAGGAGACACCCTGTAAGATACATCTCTATGCTGTAGGGACTGCCAATGTCCAGTATTTGAAACAACGGGGCAGAGTGGGAGAGGGAGCACAAGAGGGGGTGGAGGGAACCAAAAAGAACACAAAGACGAAGACACTAAGAAGAAAATAATTCGTCAGTATCTCCTTCCACCAGCATTTGTCTAGCAGAGACTCTCTCATCAATAGGATGTTAATAGATGTTAGGAAATTCCAGACACAAGAGCTGAGGGAAAAGTAAAGGGAAGCGGAGGAGGCAGCGGCTCTGCTCTAAAAACTTGGCCATCTGAGGTTTTGCCACCACTCACCTGACAGAGGTTTCCAGAGAAACCAGTGGGACACAGACACTGGAATCTGTTGATTTCATTCTGACAGTGACCCCCATTCAAACAGGGGTTGCTGGCACATTCATCGATGTCTCTCTCACAGTGATCGCCTGCATAGCCAGGTGGACAGATACAGCGATAACCATTAACCAAATCCTAGAAGAGGAGAAGGGGAGAGAGAGACACATGCTTTTTTTCTATGTATTCCACAAACACAGGGCTTCAGCGGTTTAGCATGACTGTTGCGGTTTAGCTGGTTCACTGAAATAGCCAAATGCTAAACCTCTGAAAGTGGTTAGAGGAATTTCTATGTGCATGCCTTCAAAATGACTCCCACGAGGCTGGGGTAACATAAGCCCTAGCGAAACTTCCAAGAGACTCTTTTTTCACCCAAATTTTTAAATCTCACAGGGACAGAGCTCTCCTAGTGTCGCACAAATCTAAAGATTTGTTGTCAATTGTCAAAGTTTTGATTTAAGCAAAGATTTACATACCCGACAGGAGGCGTCATTCTGACACTGGCCAAGGCAGTCATTAATATCTAAAAAATAAATAAGTCATCATTTTAAAGAGGTAATTTACAGTGAAATTGGGCTTAATTGAAAAGCCTTCTCAGCTCAGGATAGATAAGTTTCAAATCAGATTTCCTGTGTGCTTTCCGTGAGATAAGGTTATTACGCTGGGTGGGGACCCTCCCTAATTCTTCCAGAATGAGGGAGTGAAACTTCACATCATTGTTTCAGCCACATTATCAGAATATGGCTGGTTTTCGCAGCTAATGAGCCTGATAAAGTGTATGTTTTCACTGCTGCCCTGACCACTCCCTCTCAAAAAACCATTCCCACTCTAAGGTTTTCCTTCTACTGCTCAAGTCCTAGGACTGGAGCCCCAGTACGGACCAGCAAGTCGGCTACCCAAGTTTCATGAAAATCAAAATGGAAACAAAGTCACTCACTTATGTCACAATTCTGACCCATCCAGCCGGGAAGACAGTCGCAGTAGTAGCTGGCAATGAGATTCTTACAGGATTTGGCGTTTACACAAGGTTTGGCCTCACATTCATTTGCATCTGAAAGGAGATGGGGATGAGCATGAGAAATGAAGTTCAACCCCCATCTCCCCCACCTTGGAAAAAAAAAGAACAGGCCAGAGTTTGTCTGAGACATGAGACATTTTAATAAGCTAGCTAAATAAAAGATACTAGAGGTTCCCTCTATTTTAAGCATCTGATCCCTCTCCCTAGCTATTATCCAATAAGAACCCTAATTGATAACTTTCCAGCTGCTAGTTAACCAGCCCCCAACAAAACAGCAGAAAGCCACCAGGCATTTCTGTGCAAAACCCAGGCAGCCTAGTTGCTGGGATTTAAATGTGGCAAAAAGAATGCAGACAGCTCATTCCTCATGAGATCATCCCCTTTTGGAACCCAGCTGAACACTCCTCGGACAGACGATTGACATGGTTCAAGGAATCCCACGACTTTCCCACAGGGCCTAAAAGAGCTAGTCCATTTGCATTCAAGTTATTTCTCCCAGGCCTGCTAGACTCTTGATAATAAATTACTTCTTAGCATGATGGAGTGTGAACTCACACTGCCGGCCACACGCTCGTCTTCTGTAATGGCTTTGACAATCAAAGCCAACCTTGGTATAAAAATTACAGTCACAGGGATGTTCTTACCTAACTGGCACGTTTTCCCAGTCCACTGTGGGGGGCACACACACTTAAATCCGTTAACCAGGTCCTGGCAGGTGCCCCCGTGGGAACAGTTATTAGGAGAACAGTCATCAATGTCTGGTCAACAAGAAAAGGAGGGGGTTGACAATTTAATTCAATCCATCTGACAATTAGATCCTTTAACATCACCTCTTACATGAGGGGCTGTCATTGAAGAGCCAGACACCTGCTACAAGGAAAGCTACAGCAGGACAAGTGGGACGGTGACGATAAGGCCGAAGCCTTGATTTTAGCTTTAAATCCCCCACTGCCCCAGTTCATGTAATCCCCAACCTAAGCAGTGGGGGAGAAAGACAGCTGGATACTGACGGAGCATCCGCCCAGGAGGAACACAGGACATCTCTATCTGCCTAATCTTTATTTTTAAAGAAAAGTTTCATCATGGCTCAGAAGTAGCTAAGAAGTCAGGAAAAATAGTTCTTTACAGGTGGAAAACCTTATTCCTCTCATTTGCTTACAGAGTTTGCCCAAAATAGCACACCTAGAGGCTGCATTCTCCACTTCTGCTCTGACCAGAGACAACTCCTAACAATTTATGAAGTATTCACTTTTGTGTCTTTATGACAACCTCGGAGATGGGAATTGCTACTGTGCCATTTAAAGAGGGCCCGGGGAGCTTCTGTGGCCTGCTGGAGTTCCGCAAGTGACAGGTGGGGGCCTAGGACCAGCACAGGCAATCTGACCCCAGAAATCCACATCCATAACCACACCTGGGGTGCTGATGACAGCGGTTCTCAGACCTGGCTGCACTGCAGAATTCCAGAAGTTTATCAAAGACCATGGACTCCCCGATTCTGGAGGGAATCTGGGGGACCCAGAGATTTACACTGTAAAGCAGCCCAGGTGATTCTGATATACAGCCCTGTCTCACAGCCAAAGGAACTCTGCAGGCCAGGTTCTTCTCTGGGGCCCCCTGGCCCTATGACAGAATCCAGTAGTAAGTGACAACCTCCCCTGAAGGCAGCCTCTCCATGGCTGCAAGAAGAATAACCACAATTGGAAGGTGGCCAGCTCCAGGAAGCAGATGCAAAGGAACAAGCGATTCCACGAGGACGTTCCTTCCAAGAACAGATACATGCGCTACCTTAGTGGGACAGGATGGGGGTGCTGGGAGACTTCCAAACACACAAGCCACCAGACTGCTTACCAGACTTAGGCCTGCACCCGCCCCTCTCTCACCGAGACATTCACACTGGACAAGCCTAGGTACCTCTCCCCAGCGTGGTATCTTGGCACAAGGATCCTTAGAATGGACACAGGCTGAAAATTGGACTTACTTGTAGAGCATGTGGGGCCGGTCCAGCCTGGGGAACACTCACACTCAAAGCCCAGGGAGGTCTCCTTACAGCTGCCTCTGTTGTGACAGGGATCAGAGAGGCAGGCGTGCTCAGCTGCAAAAACCAGGATGGCAGTCAGAGAGGGATGCCTGCACACCGTTACCTCCCCACACCCCCCTCCAACCGAATCCCACACCACAGCCACTAGTGCAAGCATATTTCAAAAACCAAAAGCAAGCGTGTGATAGAACCCTGCTGTGTCTAGGAAAGAAAGGAAGTCATCTTTCTCGCTGAGCTGTCTCTAACCACATTCCAAGACATCTCAGAGCTGGGGTCATTTCATCTCCCGCTGCCTCCTATACGAATCAGCATCACCCAAAAAACTTTAGAGACTTGAAAGTTACAAAGGCTTATAGAATGGTTGGGATAAGGCCTATCTTTGGAAGCTATTTTCACTTTTTTTTCCTTAAACAAGTCCTTAAGTATATTTTTTAAAAGCTGAGTACAGAAAAATTAGACAAAGGGCTCTCATTCATCTTGGACCACTTACCAATTTCACAGTTGGGTCCTGAATACCCCTCAGGGCAGGAACACTGATATTTGTCAGGGCCTGTGTTGCTACAAGTTCCCCCGTTGAGACACGGCTGATGAGTCCCACAGTAATTGAGATCTGCCAAAAAGATCCTGGAGTCACTAAGAGACGCCTGTGAAGATGGCGAACCCACCATGTTTCTAGCCCCAGTCGTCTTTTAAAAAGAAAAACCAGAAAACCCACACAGCATTCAAGGAGAATTCAGAATAAAAGCCCCTGCCAATAAAATTAGAAACCAAATTAGTGCCATCCCACCCCCAGATCCCACCCTGGGTCTCATCCCTAAGGGCCATACCTTTGTCACAGAGCTGGCCGCCCCAGTTGGTCTCACAGAGGCACTGCCAGGGCTCATTACAGATGCCGTGGACGCATCCCGGGTGTGGGATGCACTTATCACAGTACAGGCCTTGCCAGCCGTACTGGCACCTGGAGACACACAGCACACCTCCAGGTTAGCCTTTTGAACGTTAAGAGACACCTGTACAATTCAAATGGAAGACTGCAAAGTCCAGGCTTTTTCTGTTTTGTTTCTGGGGACAGGAAGGTAGACTCCCAAGGCTCATCAGGGGCTCCGTATAAACAAACATTTTCACAGTTGAGCTGAGGTCCCCTCCCAGCCGACTCCTGACAAAAGGAGGGCTGTTTGGGAAGAGGCCAGCATGGGGATGCCCTTCACAAAGCCACTCTCTTCTCAGGCTCACACGAGTGAGCCAAAGGTGAAGGCATGGAATAAATCAACCCGTGCACCTAGTTGCGACAGACTATAGAGGAAAGGACTCTCTCGGTGACAAGAGAGCTATGCCAAAGTCTCTGCAGACGCTGCACTTGCCACTCTGCTCTTTGTCTGCACAGAAAGTCATGACCCCAGTGCACAGAAATGCAACAAGCCACCAAGTGCAGCAGGAAACTGCCTCACGATGACGCTTTATTTAAAAAAACAAGGAGAGAAAGGGGCACCCTCCCTTGGCCAAAGCCAGAGTAGGCTCTCTAAACCCACTTCTATAGGGAAGGAGAAGGAAATGACAACACTTGGAACCAACTCCATAATTTGTGTCCCATTACTGTGTGCTAATTTATAGTGATTTCTTGCTTTGCCAAGAAAAGAAAAAAAAAAGAAAGCAGTCTGCTTAATTTATCTAGTATTGGCGGAGTTGAGGTTCTTTTATATAAGCACCTTGATTAATCATACTCTTTTGGGGCCAAATAGTGCCTCTGATCCCCAAGCAAAAACAAAAACAAATACAACAACTTTCATCTGGGGTGGGAGAGGGGGCAGCGTCTCAAACCACTCTCCCTTGAATTTTCAAGCCCTCTGAAACTTTAATTGCCTTCTCAAGAGCCAAGCTTTAACAAGGGTGGGGGAAGGCAGGGAGAAACATCAACTAGCCTCCCGGTGGAGCGTGGAGGGTGGAGGGTGGAGGGTGGGGTGCGGGTGGGATGGGCAACATGTTTCCAGAACGGGACCTGGGAAAAGCCACGATCAGCGCCAACCCCCTAAGCTGCTCAGCTGTAACTCTGGAAAACAACCCCCGCCCCCTCTAGCTCCCCAGAAGGAAAGGCTTTCGGTTTCCCAAGAGCGGGAGGCAGGCTAGCAAATCCTTGTCATGGGAAAATTATAGGGATCTAGCTAATAGCTAATCACCCACGGCTGAGAGTCAACTTAACCCCTGAGAATACTGACTAACCACTTCCTAACTTCTGAAACCAAGCTATGCACACCCACATGCAAAGAAATCACTAGAATGTGTGGTTTAAAGTTAGACACTGGATTCTGGTTTATGTAAAATGGAATGTCAACGTGACAAGTGACTAAAGGAGTAAGATAAGAACAAAATTACAATCTAAATAATTTCTCAAAAGCGGACACCCACGTTAGTGGGAGGTAAGGGTGTAGCCATTCTGTCAAGGCTGATATTCTTAGCCTGAAAGATAGTAAGAGGGAACTGATTACGAAATGGCAATATTCTCACCGTCTTCCCTTATTCTCTTCCAAATTCAGGATCACTAGCCCTCTTCAAGTTGCCTCATAAAGGCAAGGAGAGGCAGCTGAGGACCCAACCTCACCTAATTAAAGAGACCTCAATCCCCAAGCATAAAAAAGCAACCACAAGAGGCCATGGATGACTTCAAAAGAAAACAAATAAAAATACTGACCCTAAAAGAGGCACCAACCAAGTTATCCCAGTTTAATAATATATGATTAAGATTCTCATGAGAAATTGAAGTGACTTTCCTCAGATGATGATTCATAATTAAGTTTGATATTATTGGCAGGCTTGCAATAAGCAAGCATGTATACCCAGGGAAAGGGACTCAGTCTACTTGGGAACAACAAAAACCAGTAAATTTTCTCATGTGGGGGTGAAAAAAAAAATAACCTGTGTAATACATAATCCAAAAGACAACTTGCAGGTAACTTGCCATTCAACTATTTCTGCAGCAGGACACAACCTGAACTTCCTCAGCGTGAAGGTTCTGTTTTGACTTTCTTTCAAGGTAGGGAGGGAAAACTGGGCTGGGAGACTATGCAAATGATGTGTGGGAAAGTCGCACCTTAAGTAAATAAGGCCATCAGTGCGTGTCTGGGCAGGGAGAGGGAGGTGGGACTTCGAAAGAGAAAGGGCTAAATTCTGGAAACAAAGCCTGTTGTTCTGGCTGGGAGGGCCCTCCCCTGTATAGCTGTATGTGTGTTCTGATGACAGCAGCACAAATCACAGTCGGCCTCCGCTGATATCCATCTGAGCAGGCAGCAGGCTTGGAATCACTAATAGCACTGCCATTGGGACTTTCTCCAGAACACCCTTAATTAGGAAGAGTTAAGGTAGGTGGATTCCTGCTCCGCATTGGACAGCAATGCTGTTAAATACTACAGTCCATCGCCACCAATGGGAGACAGCAGGAGAAGCCCCTCAGCCTTCCAGGAAATAAACTATCTTTCTGAAGTGTAGGAAGAGACAATTCGGGACAACCAGTTCTTAATTTAGTTCCATGTTCCCCCTTGCATGGGAGGGGAACAGACGGAGCGGTGGAATCATAAAGGTAAAGGCCACAGATAGTTCTCTTTAAAGGAGTAGCCTCAAAATTTACTAAGCAGCAAAGTCATGTGGCCAGCTTGTCAAATGCAGACTCCTGGGCCAAACCAAGGACTAGGATTCTATGGATGTGGGACGGAGCCCACGAACCTGCATTTTAACAGCTCCCTTGTTAATTCTGGAAGTTACACTTTGAGTACTGAGGTCTGGGGGCAGTGATTGCTGATGGTTCCATCAGCAGCATCGCTTGGGAGCTTGTTAGAAATGCAGAAACCTGGGCTCAGCCCAGACCTATAGAATCAGGACCTGCGTTTTAATAAGAGCCCCAAATAACATTAGTTTGGGACATACTGGTTTAGACTATGTTTCATAAGATTCCCTTTACTCATGTCAGAGTAGCTTTGGGGGCAAAAGTGACAGGCTCAAAGGATCCATTTAGCGTTACTCCTTAAAATTTGGGAGGAGGGAGAGCAAAGCATTAAGACTGCCAAAAACACCACAGACACCAACAATATTTCCCAAAATAAGCCTTTTCCAAACGGGCGTAATATAAATTTCAAGAAGTTCCAAAACCCGCCATCGTGAAGTGGTCAGGGCAGGCCTCCCTTTGGCTTCCGCATTGTTCCTGGACCATAAAGGAACAGACTTCAAAGGACTGCAGCAAAAGTCTACATTCATCAGGCTCAACTGACAAGATTCCAGGGCAGCCATTAACCTCTCAGCACCAACCCAGCTCCCGCCTGCAAAGGGGCCAGGAGATTGGACTAATCCCATTCTAAAGAATGCTGGACTTTCGCCTATTGATGGGAAAAGTCGGGGAGGGGGCTGGGAGAAGAAAGCCTTGGTGGAAGAGGAGAGAGACGCAAAGAAACAAGCCCACATCCCTCCATCTAGCCCATCAGCACTATAAGGGAAGATTATAAAAATGTGTTATCAATTTACAGAACAGTTAATACATGAAGTCACTGGCTATGCCCAAAGAGTTTCTTTTTATTCCAAGAGAGAAGTGGTGTGTGCATTCCACCAGACAGCTGGTATAATTTAATAAGCTTCGGATGTGTCTATCTGAATTTTTTTTTTAAAAAAGCTTTCTTGTTCTCCAAGGAAAAAAGAGGCATAGTCACAATAAAGTCAGTTCCTCTCTTACATAAAGGAAAATTAAAAGAAATCTCACAAAAGACCAGTTGATTTACCTGCAGTCACCTGGGAGTTTGCAAGACCCATGCTTAGGACTGCAGCCTTGTCGGCAAATAGCTGTAAAAAACAGAGAAGGGCGTGTCAGCACACTGCCTGTTCCTTGCATCGCCCCGGTCATGAGAATGGCCCATTGCATTAAAGTCTGCAAATTCCACGATTTTAACAGGTCTCATATCAAGTCCCTTGTAAGGAGAGGAAGATGGGAGGGGCCCAAATAACAAAACCAGCTTTAAACTTCAAGGCCTTGTTAGCAGATTCTGAAAACATGATATTGTTTGGGGACAAAATGCAGACAAGTTGACGAGGGAAGGGGGACCTTCGTCCAGCCTCTCTAAACCACAGCTACCCTGGCTCCTTGAGCAGAGCTTGGTCAGTTTCCATTCTGCCCACACCCTTTTCATTAGAAGAAAAAAAGGTATAGATAATCCTTCCCCATCCCACCAGGACACATTCAGATGAGCCTCAGCCTTTAAAAAAAAAAAAAAAAAAAAAAACAACCCATACCAAATGCCTGGTTTGAAAATTCCATGGGACTAACAGAGCCAGCCAGGCTGGACTCATTGGGCAGGCTAATCTGGTGGCCAGATCTGGTGAGACTTTTATAAAGTATCCTTGCAGAGCAATTCTCTACTTCGTTTAAAAAAAAGAAAAAAGTAACTTCTAAAAAATGTCAGTTTCTAAGACCAGGCAACAGTGGCCCATGCCTATAATCCCAACACTTTGGGAGATTGAGGCAGAAGGATAGCTTGAGGCCAGGAGTTCGAGACCAGCCTCAACAACATAGCAAGACTATGTCTACACAAAATAAAAAAGCTGGGTGTGGTGGCATGTGCCTATAGTCCCAGCTACTTGGGAGGCTGAGGCAGGAGGATCACTTGAACCCAGGAGTTCAAGGCTCCAGTGAGCCATGATTGTGCCATCATGGGTGACAAAGTGAGCACCTTATCTTAAAAAAAAAAAAAAACACCAAACAAAAAACCCACACTAAGTGTTAGGTCGTTTAATTTTTAAAACACACTAAAATATGTTAATGAATTCCCCTTTTCATTTGAATTCCAGAAATGCCATCCTTTTTAAACTCTTCTCTCCAATTATTTAAGAAAGCAGTAGTACTACCCGGGAGAGCTGTAAATTCCTTCCCCCATGACCCACCCCTCTCTCATGGTTGAAAAACTCACTTTGAAATTGAGTCTATCAAAACAATTTACCTAATTATCATGTAAAATAAGCAGAGTACATTATTGCTCATGAGGGGATATTATACAGTTAACAGAATTACCCATCAAGTTGCTATGAATTGGAATCACTGAATTCTATAAAGGGACTGGGACAGTAGACAGCACAGAGACTAAAAGTGGGCCCACTCCTACACCAATAGGAAAGCTTGAGCTAACCACATACCTCTCCCCATCAAAGCCATGCCCCCAAAGACACCTAGTGAAAACTTGCTGCAAGGCTACCCTGAATGCAGGGGCTATCATTTCCTATAGGATAGCCTGTTCAGACAACAACTGGGCTGACCTAGTCCTGTCTGGATCTATTTTGGGTCAAGTTCCTTAGAAGCAGAGTCTGAGAAGGGGATCTGGACATAGGTAGAAGGAATTGAGGGAAGCAGATGGGGTAGGGGAAAGAGCTGAGCAAGAACATGGTCTCAACTGGAGTCTGATTTCAGCCTAATCCCAGGGTAAGCTCTAGAGTGCAAATTGTACTACTGTTTTAAGGCAAAGGAAGCTGGGCTTTGTAGCCCTATGTCTGTCAATCACTGACTGTGAGCTGGAGGAATGGGGCATGCACTGGTTTGGCCAAGGACGAGTCTCCTGAGAAGGAGCAGCTGTGAGCTGTTGGCAGCCAACACAGCACCTGGGGGATGGGGATGCCAGTAAAGGGGATCTGGATGGGGCACCAACAGCATCTTCTACACTCCGCATCTTCATACTGCAGGCCCAGAATAACAGCCAAAATCCCACCCCACCTGAGATAGCCGCATGCCACCTGCCTGCTGGTGGGGTGATAAATGGACACTAAAAGCAACAGGCACACGTGCACATGCACACACACACACATACCTCTGTTACATTCGGGGCCCATCCAGCCTTCCATGCAAGTTTTGTTGCCATTCTGGTCACAGGCATAGTGTCCAAAGAAGTCATCTCTGGGGCGGCAGAACTTATTGCAGCCAAAGCCATAGTAGTAGTCATCACAGGTCACGCGGATCTGATACTCAAAGTGGGCAACGCCCGTGTTCTGCTTCAGCGTCTGCCACTGCCGGCTGGGGTTGATCATGCCCGAGTGAGAAGCCTTTTCAATAATACTGTCAGGTTCTAGAGACAAAGTGATGAATCATGTTAATATTCACATTGCAGCCTTCTTCCCTGACCATTTTGGCTTTTTAAAATAAAAACATATGCACCTGCTACAAAATTCTATCTGTTGTAAAAAAGGCAAAGAAATGAAAAGTTTATGCCCCTACCCAGAGACAACCTGTTACCACTTGTTTACCTTCTTTAATGGGTACACAGTATTTCATTGTCTGGAAACACCAATAAATAATTTACCTAGTCCCTGACATGTGTGCATGTGAGTCGTTTGGGCTTCTTACTATTAAACAAAGCCACAGTGAGCATTCCTTGAACGTATCTGCCTGTGTATGGTTCCCACAATGAGATACTCTAGAAATGGAAGTGCTGAATCAGAGTCCGTGCACAACAAATCAACCTCTGTCCACAGTCTCAAACTACCAGTCTGTCCTCCCACCACCCAGGAAGCTGTGTTTCCCAATAACACTGCCAACGTTGTACATTATCAAACCTTCTAATCTATGCCTGATAGGTAAAGAGGTATCTCATTTAATTAGCATTTAACTAAGTGATGGCAAGAGCCCTTTCTGGTAGTTACAAAACCATTTATATTTGTTCCTGTGAACAGCAACAGCTTCTCTTCTCTGCCAACTTTTCTATTACATTGCCATACTGACTTGCAAGTGCTCTTTACATATGAGAGACAGTAGCTCCCTATGGAATGTTGCTCTTGAAGAAATTTCATTATTCCAGATAAAGGTCAGCAATCATTTCTGGTTTTAGGGTTTTATGTCTTGCTCAGAAAAGCTTTTTGTCCATTTCAAAACTCTTAACTGGAAGCCAAGGAGACGATTAAGTTACTTTTTTTTTTTTTTTTTTTTTTTTTTTTACAATTGTTAACATGGCAACCTTTAAAGCCAGCTCTTAAATACCAAGACCTTGAACTTGATGCATTCCACCTTTCTCCTCTGCCCAGAAGGCAGATGGGAGAATAATTCACCAAAGTTTAGACACAGGTAAATTGAGGGGAGGGTTTCTTTTTTCTTTTTGTTTTTTTGAGCCAAGTCATGCTCCTGAAAAAAAATGCTTACTGAGGATAATAAACACCTCGAGCTCAAGCAGCTCTCAGGAGTATGTAGTCCCTGCCCTGAGGCCACTTATCATCTAGTTTGAGAAGAGACAGGTACAAAAATAGCTCAAACATCAGGTGCCAGCAGTTCAGGGGAGGGATCTGAAAAGGCAGCAAGGCACTAAATCAGCACCCCAACCTGGTTTTGTGTTTGTTTTCTTAAACCTGCCAGCACCAACTCTTCATCACCTTGTCAAATTCAAGACCATCTTGGAGAGACAGTTAGGACTGACTTGCAATGTCTTTGTGATTCTTACCCACCCACATGGCTGTTTTTCTAGGCCTCGGGCCAGTGCTCCTTTAAAAAGTGATGCAAGCCCTATAAGTGACCAGGAGAGAAGGGACTCCTGGGTGGCTTCATCCACACACCGCTTCCAACAGGGCCCCAGCGTTCGCCCTCTAGGGCTCTCAAACTGCTGCGTGGGCAAGACAAGCCTTGAACAAGCTCACATACCTGCAGCCTGACACCCCGGCACGCACTGAACCACTTGCAGGCAGGTAACACTTTACTCGTTTTTGCAAATAAACAGAGGCCAAGGAATGACAAAAATGTCTCTCCATTAACTATGTTTGCTCTGCTGGTTCAGTTAAAAAGCATAGTGGGCTATTACCACGCGCTTACAAGATCTTCATAAAAGGGATCGGTTAAACACACTAGCCATGGCTTAAAGGCATCCAGCTTCTGAGGCTGGTATCAACAACAAACAGTTTAGACAAGAGTCCAGGGCAATCCTAGGGGTGCAGGACTGATATGTACTTTTCAGTCATGCAGTAAGCTTTCCACTTATTTCCGGGAAGTGTCGTGCAGAGGATCACTTCAGAATCCTCAGTGGAGCTATGGAGCTGCATACATAATTTCACACCTGCTCAGGGAGGGGGTCGAGCATGTCTGGGTTCAAATACGTCTGCTGCCTGCTTCCTGATCACGCTTTCCTTCAGCTTGGGGCACTGGAAAGGAATCTGTGGCAGTTCGTTTGGCAGTCCAGCCTTGTGACTGGAAAAGGACATCACCATGCCTCCCTGCAATCCCCAGTGCCACGAAGATGAGTCACGAAGAAGCCATGACCGCCTCGCAGGCCAAGGAGGAGGTGATGAAGGGCGAGTCTGAGCATAACCTGGGACCACACCGACCCAAAAACCTGGAAGGGGGCCTTAGCCGAGAAAGCTAAGCTACAGGGAAAACCTGGTCTGAAGTGTGCCTATTTATGTTTACATGTTTATTATGCATTACAGTAAACTGAAACCATTTGCTCTAGGGGAGAAAGAAATTTGGAACTCTATATACCACAGTCCCAAAATGTAATAAAAGACTTTGGAGGACCGATGACAGAAGGACCAGCCTTAAATACTTTCAAATACATAAACAGCACCTAGGCTATATTTGGGCCCGAGTCTGCCTGTGAGGGCTCACTGCAGAGCTGATAGAAGGAATTCTCTGCCCTAAAACTCAGGGCTCTGCCTTTGATTTACATCTGAAGCCAGAATGTTTACAACTCGCTTGGGTCCCACAGGGCAGCCAACTCCGTTTGGGCTTCTGAACATCCTCAGCTTCTGCCCTGTGGAGTGCAGTCCAGAGGGAGTGGCTGAGGGTGAAGAAAGGAACAAAACACTCCAAGTAGCATAAACAGCATGTGCAAAGGTCCTGAGGCCAGAAAGCATGTGATGTAGTTGAGGATAGGAAGGCAACTGCTAGGGTATGGCCAGGCTACAGATACGATGGACAACACGGTGTGTAAGACAAGGCTGGCAGGGAGACAAAGCTGGGCTGCACAGAGCCTTGTGGGCCACATGAAGATCTGTCCCAAGAGCAACAGAAGGCCACCAAGTGGTTGGTTTTTCATAATAAGGGTGACAAGCAAATGTTATGGCTCTGAAAAGACCAGGATGGCAGAAGAATGGAGAAAGCACTAGAGGTGAGTCAGAGCAGATAAAGGTGGACCAGACGAAGGCTACTCTAAGTTCAGTCATGAGCAGATGGTGACTTGGACCAGGGCAGTGGCAGAAGGCAGGCAGATTCAAGTGAAGAGCTGGAGAGATTTTTCAGAACTTGGAGGTGGACTAGGTATGGATGCTAACAGAGAGGGGGTACACAGATCGCCTTCTATATTTCTGGCTTATGGCAATGAGTGTTCAAATATCGGTGCCAGACACCCAGAAGGGGCCCTGGGAAGGGACTGCTTTTGGCAAGAGAAGATCCTGAGTTTGGTTTTGACTGTGCTGAATTCAAGATTCCTTGGAAGCATCATAAAAGAGGCCAAATAGGCAAGTGGAGAAACCATTTCCACCAAACCCATCTCCCTCTTCAGGGTTCACCAAGTGAGTTTTGATAACCTGCAATGGGCACCCTTGAGGTTTAAAAGAACTTTATTCCTACCTCAGTCTTTCTTGTCCTCTTCCAGGGATTTGATTACCCCCCCAGGAGATGAAACATCCTAGAACCCCAAAATCGGGCTACCTGGAAATGCAGACAACTGTGGGTAGCTCTGGACAAGCCCTGGGTTCCCAGGGGACATAACTCCCTGACCTGCGAGGTGACAGGAGGTCCAGGAAAGGTGCTGTGAATGCTGCAGTGTGGCGGGGAGGTCTCTCACATGTCCCTAACAAGTATACTGACCTGGCTCTTATCACAGGCCAGGATCAACCTCAAGCTGTTCACTCTACCGGGTGGATTGTTTCAATAGCTAAAAGGGAGGGGAAAGAACACCATGTCGACACCATACTATTACAGAAGAGCCTATGTCTCCCCCCTCCTCAACCCCTTCTGCCTAACGCTTAGTTACCATTGTAAGCAGGTCACAGTGACATAATGTTCACAGTCCTCAACGTTTGTGGCAGGGAGGGGAGAACAAACAGGTGTCTATGACCCTGACTGGCATCAGCCATAGCCAAGGCTGACAGAGCTTCCCTGCCACCCCCACACACACCCCCCCACGGCATTACAGGGTAGCCCTCTGGGGAGGAAGACTCGAACCTTGGACTTTCATGAGCTCCCCCTCCAGGGAGGATGACATCCAAAAAGCTGGACTTAAGATTCCCAAGCTAGAAGAGTGACCCAAATGGCCTGGGACTCTCTGGCACATCGGAGCTCAGCAATGATTCTGTGGCTCCAAGTAGCCCAATAAGCCAGCCACAGGTGGAAGCTGCCCACGTAGCAGGCACCAAGCCCTCACTGCACCCACGGTGTGCATTCACCATTTTCTGTCAGCAAAAAAAAGCAAGGCAAGGAAAGATGAAAATATATTATTCACAGTGAAAGCAAACAAAAAAAAATGGTAAGATAGAAAAGCAAAAAGTACAAGGCATTCAGAGAACAGAGAGCCAAGACAAGAAGCTGGATCCACTCTTCCTCATGCACAGACCAAGAGATTTCAGTGAGCATCAAGTTTTCCAGCGACCGCAACCCAAACTCTGCTGGCAAAAAGGGAACTTGAAGTTTCGGCTCGTGAGCGAAAACACTGTAAAGTTACAATTAAAGAGCAAGACTACTTTGTAAGCCAGACTATGTCATTTCAATCACATCCTCCATGGCTTATCCACCAAAACCAACCCCTCAGTCCTGAAAGGCAACCTGCACTGAAAACAGAGCCATCTTTCAGAAAGGGACAAGGCAGGTAATGGCTGTGAAGCTCTGGAATTGCGCTTCAATGAAAGGTTTGTGGAGCAGTGTGGGAAACCCGGAGAGACTAGAAGCTCACCTGCCCACCAAGTGAAATTCAAGGTCGGTCTCTAGAGCCCAGCACCACCTTTATGGCTTTATCTTTCTGATGAGAGATTAAACACTCACTTAAAGTTTAAATGGACTTTTAAAAAGTCACTACTTTGATCCTTTAGCAGACTACAAGGTTTTAAAGTTGTAAAACCATTAAGATCTCTATCCCGAAGATAATCTAGGTTTCATAATCAGGGAATGAGTTAACTGGGATTCTGTTCTGGCCACTTAATATTCCAAGCAAAAATCCTAGAAAAGTTAAGGAATACATTCCACTGAAGGTTCACCCTGGGGTACAGGGGAGAACAGAAGGCAAGAGGTGGCAGAAATGCTAAGTACTAAGGAGACAGATCCAGCTCCAACTGGTTGGCCAAGCCCCACACTTCCACGTGTGTTTAGAGAAAAGTCCACAGAAGCGATACTTACGAACGGTGTCATTACTGGAATCCCACGCCTCCACAAGCAACGTATAGGACCTCTGCAAGACAAACAAACAATTTAGCAATTCAGAAACAGGGTCGACTTTCCAAAATCTCGTACATTCTTGGCCTCCCAGAATACCCCACCAAACAAAACCATAATGCCAAAATAAAAATTCTGTTGGTTGTTGCATTGAGTTCCTGGATGTTTAAATCCAAACCAACTCCCCTTCCTTTGTCAGCACTCTTCCCAGGTTGACAAATGACTCCTTTCACCTGGCAGGGACGCACTGGAGTCAACATGCATGCAGGCAGCTCAAAGTTGAGATCAGGAAATGCCACCTCACTATATGATATGAGAGTATTTAGCATATAGTTTCCCAAAACTTTCCAGACCCTGACCCTAGTGCATGAGGAAACACACACACACACACACACACACACACACACACACACAAAGAATTTATTCTAAGCTAACCTAACCAGGTATTTGTACCGAGGGGGTATTGCTAAGGTTACACTTTGGGCCCTGGTGAGGCAGTCTCTAGGGAGGCCCCCTTTTCCTTTTTAGAACCCCTTTGAAAACTCTGTCTATGTGAGACCATCCTGGCTCCCACAAGTATCGGGTAACTCTAGGAAACAGGAGGGGGTAGATGCAAAGTGACTCTGCAAGACAAAGAAGTCAACCTCACTTGGGCGGTGGAGTTGGGGGCAGATCCCAGGGAAGAAAGTACAAAGGGAGAAACAACCGCACACCCATGGGTTATATTTATTGATGAACTTATCTGTTAATAAGATCTAACATTCCAAGAATAATCAGAGTCTACTAACTAAACAAATTCCCTGGATACTGGCAAGATGCCAGCTGTTAAACTGAAGGCACCTTTTATCTTCCAAGCTTATCTCAGAATTCCACCTCCCCACCCCCAGCCAAACCTAAGCTATTAGCAAATTCCCTCCTTTTCTAAAATTTTCCTTCGTAATTTACAGTAAGGTCAGTCTCACAAAACACCAGCGTTTAAATGAAGCTTCTGCTATCTTGGCACTGAAGAAATGTACTCAAGGCAGGTGGGGTAGACAAGGAACATGAACTAGGTTATGAATCCCTGCTTTGCTGTGTCAGAAACCAAGCCATAGGAAATAGAAGCGTGTATAGATTAAATAATACCGTGCTGTGCCACCAGAAGCACACTGCTGCCAAGAGAAGAGAAAGCACCTATAAGATAAAGGAAAAAGAGAAAAAGGGAGGGTAAAAGGGAGTTTCATTCATAACTCAAGGCCAGCTTAGCGCTCTCAGAGTGACACAGCAGGTCATCTCTGAATATAAAAATATCTTGTGATAGACCCTGCCTTGGAATTCAGCCGAAATATGTTTCATACTCAAAGCAGAGTAGGATTCCATTTCGTTCACTGATAACTGTGGGAAAATGCTCAGAAAAGCAAGCAAAACCGGGCAAGCCAGGGCACATACCCAGCCCTCTCCTGTTAGTGGCCACAGGTCCAAATTCATTGCTGTTGTTACTATTTTATTAGCGAAAGTTATACCTTATTTACTGCCTCTTTAAGTTTCTTAGGACTTCCTGCAAATTACAGGACTCTTCC
This sequence comes from Homo sapiens, assembly GCF_000001405.40. Classification (NCBI taxonomy): domain Eukaryota; kingdom Metazoa; phylum Chordata; class Mammalia; order Primates; family Hominidae; genus Homo; species Homo sapiens. The sequence continues at coordinate 10,665,558 of NC_000020.11, forward strand.
CTAAGAGCAGCAAGAAATTATATTTCTCTACTGATTTGAGGTAAGAGCACAGTCAAAATGAGGCCAGATGTGTGGCTGATTCTGTATAATTAAGCCCTTCATTTGCTGGTCACGTTGAGGCCCACGTCCTCCACTTCAACAGTATTGTTGTAATTAATCCTCTGATTAAATGCATTGATACCAGGAGTTTTGACAGACTTGCACAAGCGCTAAACACATAATACCCACAAACCCCACTGCAAGGGAAGGTGCCGGGACTGAGCTGGCATGGCAGTACTAACTCAGTTTAATACTCAAAGAGGAAAGCATCCTTAGGTCTTGCACAAGAACTTGGACGACCAAGCAGTCTACCAGGCTCATCCTCGCCAGAACTGGGAAAACCTCAGAAGTTGCTGACCGACATCACCCCACCTGGAGAGAAAAGAATTGCACACAGCCCTACGTGCCTGGCTCTGTGATTTTCCATGAACTGCCCTTCTTTCTCAGAGGCAGAGACAGGGTGAGGGCAGGGAGCTACAGTGACGGCAACAAAGCCTGGACTTTTTTTCCTGTCTGTTTCAGGGAGGGGATTAGGGTCTCCTGGGGCAGGAGGATTCCTCCTGCCCAGCCCTACAGAGAAAAAGGATTCCCTCCAAGGTTCCTATTAGGAGGCACTCAACCTCCCACTCCATCCCCACACTATAGATCAGCAATCAAGATAATTTAACAATGATTATTAGTTGCTAGAGAACTTTAATTTTTCCCAGGCCCACACTTGACCTCTGTACATCCCTGAACATACACCCAGGCACTGAGATCCCAGATCATGCACCCCACATCAAAGCAGGGACCAGGCCACAGAGCAGCAAATCCACTATGCCGAAGTCACATACAAGCAGCCACTGCAACTCTGACCCCCAGTAGAGGCGGAGTCCTCCATCCCAGGAGGGCTTGGAAAGGCAAGTGTTCAAACTTAAGTTTATACAGCAAAACAACAACAACAAAAGCAAATACCTGGGTTTTTCTTGATTTCAGACTACAGAACTAAGACTCTGCCGAAGAGTCACCTGGCTTTCATCTTTCCTTATGTTTTCCAGAACAGTACTGTGAAGGCCACACAGGAAGGAGGGGTAGCAAACAGATCTTTAGTCTGGATTTGCAAAGTGAGTCACTTCAGCCCCTTCCCAGCTCCAAGCCCAAGGAAATCTGGAAACCTGGCAGCTGGTTCCCATTCTGGTGTGGCATCAAAGAGGAATGGTCAGCCTTCGGAATTGCTTTTTGGAAGATTTCTGTGGAATTCTACCTAGAGGAGAGTCCTGGCATCAAAGCCCCAAGGCATCCAAGGGCCACCAGGTTCCCAGCAAGGCTGGGGCCCCTGCACCTCCTCCCGCCCTCCACACTTAGGCTGCTGTGCCAAGGTTGTGTTCTCTGCCCTGTCCCACTCCATGGCGGTTACCTTGGCACTGGGCAGAGCGGTAAGCACTTAATTGCCACATTAAGAAGGGGGGATGTAAGAAACAAAGGTAATTGTGTTGGCAGCCGGGAGCTTCCTTTTCCTGGCAACAGTGACAGCCAAACCAAGCCCTGAGAAGCGGCTGCCTCCCCTCCTGCCAAGCTGACGGACACAAATAAACCGCCATCCAAACGGCACGCGTGCGGCGTCCAAAACCCCAGGCTGCTGCGACAGGCAGGCCCGCCGGCGGCACGCACATCCTGGGAATGCCCGACGTGCCAACGCGGCCATTGTGCACAGTCAGTCGGCTCCCAGGGTTCGTCAGGGGCCCTGAGCTCTGCTGACTCAACTGTTGCTTCCTGTCGCTTGTCCTGTGTTAGCATTATTTTTGGAGAGGCCCTATTATTCTCCATAATCCTCATTTCAGTCAATTCGGCCAACTCTATTGTCCTGCCTGTGTCTGGGTGGCCAGAGTATAAAATATTCCAGTCACAAAACATATTAAGCAGAAAAGGTTGCAGGGAGTCCATGTGTGGCGCATGCACACGTACTCATGCACACAATGCGAGTGGGTTTTGGGAAAGTGAGATAAGAAAGGACAACTATCCTATAGCATCTAGGCTAAGACTTCAGGCACAGAAAGCAATCAAGTCTGTAGGGCTTGACATGTCAATAGAGTCCGATCTGGTTACAAAGGGTGATTTTCTCATCAAAGCCCACTCAAAGGCTCACCAAGGGGCCCCAAAGCTCATATCCAGATTTGTGACTCTCAATGAGACATCCCCACCCCCTTTCCCATCATTACCCTTACCTGTTTGAAAAGCATCCCACTGATAATTAAATGCACCAGTTACAAAAGGGTGGCGAGGTTAATAGATAGAATACCAAGAAGCCAGCCAAGCACAACGGTCTGGTTCACACAGAGCAAGCCTGAACAAGAAGCCTTTCTGTTTATTTACCAAAAGTGCATAAAAACTGGGTTGAGCTGGTAGAGGACTCTGCATGTTTGACTATTTATGTACTCCTTTAACTACTGGGAGCCACCTTGCGGAATTTCTTCCCAGCACACGCACTGCACCAATGGTAGATGTCACTGGCACCATAAAAAAAAAAAAAAAAAAAAAAAACAGCAGTCACAGGGCTGCTGTGGTCCATGCGGTAATCAGAAATCAGCAAAGAAGTCACAACACAGCCACCCAGTGCCATGCACCAAAGTAAAGGTGGGATTTTTCTGAACCCAGGACCCTCCTCCATTTCCACCACCATTTTAGAATCACCACTTTCCATTCATCCCAATGTATCTTCCAACAGTTGGAAGAAAAGATTAAGTTTTGAGAGATATATATATATTTAAAAGCTGAAGCCAAGAGTCACTTCTCTCAGCAGCCTAGATCCTAGGCTTGAAGGATGGGGGTAGGTGGAAGAGCAACATGCCTTACAGAAGTTTACCATGGAAGAATTTGCAGGAGTATTTGCATTTATGGATTACAACGCTAATTGTATGCACATCCAGAGATCATGCATTCTTACATTGTCACTAACCTTGAAAGCCGGACATTGGGACCAACTTCTGGCCCTTCTACAATGGGGCCAGTGGGTGATATGAATCCAGCCAAGGCCTCTGGTTCACATTCCTGTTTTCAGATCAGGAACTGTGAAGGCTCCTTGTTACCTTGACACTGTTTTTTTTTTTTTAAGTAACTTTTTTCTCCATGCTAAACTTTCCACGTCTTCTATCTAAAAGGTCCCCAAAGGCACCACTATTTGGTGTGAAGATTTTGAGCAGCACTTAGATTGCTGATTTTCTGGGAGGTTGCATGCCTGTAAGTTGCTGCTGACTCTCCTTTTAACCCACTGAACTCCCCCAAGAGCCTCCACGCCAAAGTTTCACCGTTTTCTAAAAACATCTTAAGTCCCTGTAGAATTACGGGTGTGGAACTGGTGGGTTGCAAATTCCTATAAGTACTGGAGGTTTGAATAAGTTGCTAAGAAACAAGACAACAAGGAGAAAGAAAACACAGAAGGTTACACCTGCAAGAGAAAAAAAAATTAGAAACCAAGTACCTGGAATAAAGATTCCATTTTTGGAGCAGCTATTCTGCAGATACTTAGCACAGCTCTTTCAAAGCAAGCACAGCTTCACTTTCCCCCAAGCCCAGTGTTGCAACACAGATACATCACTTCATCCCTTTGGTTTGAGGTAGACTTCTTAGGGCAAAAGGCGTTTTCTCCACATGCAGAAAGTCCCTTGCTCTGAGCACATACGTACACACATGCTCTTTCTTTGTATACATGCTGACTACACGGGCAGGATGCAAATCCTGGCTGCAGAAAGGAGGCAGGTCAAATCAGAACCCCATCCTTAAGCCCTCCATGTGCCCACACCATATCTACAGAAGCTCAGGGACTGGAAAAGACAGCAAAAGGCATAAAAGTAAGGGCCTGTCAATTACATTCTGTGATTAGCATCGTGGCAATTGGTCATTCAGGCCTGAAGCATGAAGGGGGCCAAAGCTGGCATCCCTCACACAGAAGAATCACGTTTCATTGGATTTTCCAAAAAAAAAAAAAAAAAAAAAAAAAAAAAAAAAAAAAAAAAGTTGATCTCAGCAAGTCTTTTAATAGGATCAATGGAATTTAAATATGAGGCTAATAAGCCAGATACCCCAATTTCTTCCCCTAACGTTTCTCTAGATTCATTTCACTCTGGGGCCACCGATGCAGCAATACAGCTAACTGGGGTTCTGAAGTTCCCAAAAAGCTTTTGGAGATGAGTAGTGGTAATTACACTAATGTATTTTTAATAAGCAGGCACTACTGGGATTTAGCACTAATTTTGGGAGGTACAGATTAACCGTTTCAGTGATTTATAAGTGGTAATTCCTAAATTATTTCCTGTTAAGCCCAATTACTTCCCACAATAATGGTTCTTATCACTTGGTCCCCCAATTTGAGAATCATTAATCCAGATAGTTGCTGCAAGTTAAGCCCCTTAGAGCAGCAACAGTATGAGAATTAGAAGCCAGTGGTGAAAAACTACCCCAAGACCAGAGCCGGGGCAGGGGACACCACGTGGGACATACTCAGATATGATATATGACAGGAAGGGCCACCTCTACAAAGCCTTTCACATGCACACCAGAACATGGACTGTATTTCATATCTGACCAAATCGTTTCCTCCTCGTCCTCTCTAGAACATGAACAGTTGCTTGGATAGGGGTCATAATTCCAAACAAAAAGCATGAACTACATGACCTTCTACACTGACCTACCCCTGCACCCTTTGCTGATACCCAGCGTCAGCAAATTTGGGAGGACTCATGCAAATGGTAATTGTGCCTGCTAGGGGTTGGGAGCCCAAGGTGGTTTGGAGTTTTGTTTTGTTTTTAACCATATATCCTTTTCTTGCTATCTCTTGAATTCTGTACTAAGTTCATTTATTTCCCATTCAAGGAAATCAGTTTTAAAAGACATAGTTAATTGCCAAACTAAATGAAGCTGTGCCCTCTAGTTAAATACTCGCTCAGCTACTTAAGTGTTTCAGTTACGTTTCTACTCAGCCTGGAATCATTCTTGAAAGTTACGGACTGTGCCGTTTCTCCAACCACATACAGAAAAACAAATACACCTAAACTCCAATTTCTCTTGAGAATTAAATCTTATGTTTCACAGCAGGCCTTTCTGGGGCATCAGGGTGGAGACTTGTTTATGAGTGATACATGCGTTTGTCCCAACTTCAAAAGAACCACATTTTCAGTGGTGCCCCATCGGTCTTCCCCCATTCGAGAAAAGCCGAGAGTCTATTTCATGGTTGGTGACCCGTGGGGCCTGAAACCACAGAAGAGCACCAGCAAATGCAAATCAATCGCCTCTCCTACCCTCCCACACTATTTCCGCTCGTTTTCCATTGAGGACTCTGACCAAGTGTCAAAAGCGGACAGACGCACTTTTCTAGGTCACTTTTCCTTGGCCAGCGAGGGAGCAAGCCTCCTTGTTTTCATGTTAGCCATCCCTCTGACCCTACTCTCCAAAATGAGCCTCAGCCAGGCTGCTGCTTTTCCACATCACTAATAAGATTCCTTTTATGGTCTTGTGAAAAGCGAGGGGCTCCAGACAGATCCTCCGGCAGGAGGGTGGAACCACCTGCAGGCCCCTTCCCCCTAAACTCCAAACACACGTTCAAGGGCAGTTTGAGTATTCACAGTCAGCTTGGGCCAGCCAGATTTAAACGCAGCCAGACTCTTTAGCTTAAAGTTCTCCCTAATAGGGGATTAACAAACAAGATAAATACTCTTGGTAAAAATGAAATCCCACAACAGAAACAGCCCTTGGACCTCAAGAGAGCTTCACAGACAGCGTTGGTTTTAATTTTTCTTTTTATAAACCCCTTTTCATGGCAGTTTTTGATAACTGTCTTATCTCACCCACAGCAGAGGGCACTTTATAATGCCAGCTCCTGTAATCGTGGATTTTAAGAGCCACCCCAAGCTTCATACACAGACACAGCCAGATAGTCTCCCCTCTGTCTCCTCCCAGAATCACAACCTAAGCCGGCGGACAGGAGGCAGCAGAGTGCACCCCATTAGAGCACGTGGTGGAAAGCAATGCTCTGGGGCACCGAGCTCCCCCTCTCACCACCCACCCTCCCAGCACAGGCTAGGCCAAGCCCCAGTCTTGGCAATGAGTCATGCCTCCTGGACAGCAGGAGCCAGGCAGAGGGCACACCCCCAACATTTCCCTTTCCTCCCCTTCTGCAATCGCACCCATCTTCCTTCCACCCATTTTGGGATGTTGCAAGGGCCTCGCTGCAGGATCTGCCAGCTGGGCCCGGGCCTCGAGCTCCTTTGGGGGCGGAATGGGGCGGGGGGATGAGGGCCTATCACTTACACCCTCAGGCACTACCTCCAGAAGACCACCCCTTCCAAGCCTTGGCACGGCCCCCGAAGGCTTGCGGGGGCCGTGCACCCGCCCTTCCCGGGGAAGTCTGCAAACACAGCTGTTCCAGAGCCCGGGAACCGCTGGAAGTGAGGCCACAAGAGCTACACCACTCGGGGGCGGGGGCAGGAAGGGGCCAGCAGCGGGCGGGGGTTCCCAGGTCTACAGCTCCTGTGAGGGCCCCAAGAACCTCCTCCTGCGGCGGCCGCCCCCGGCCCTTAAGCCGAACCTGGAGAGCGCCCCCGCACACACTAAAATCTCCCGGGGAGCAGCGGGAAACGGACTCCCCCACACCCTCCAGGAAGGACACACCCGCCCTCCCGGCCGTTCACGGGAAAGGGGAGGTTGCCAATTTGGACGGCGTTCGCAGGCCAGAACTGCGCCGAGTCGCCTTCCACGGCGCACCAGGTTTAATTAGTTAAGCAAAGAGATCAGCTACAACGATCTCTTGGCTTGGGGCCGGGAGAGTTACTCTGGGAACTTCAAGTTGCAAGTTTACACCGGCCTTCCTAGGAGCCTGGTCCCATAAACCCTCTGGGATCCCCACTTTTGTGCACTAAGCAAATAGCAGCAGGAATGGGACCCACCTCGACTACCCCAGCCGAGATCTAACTATAGTGTCCCGGCTCCCTCACCCGCCACCCCTAGAGATTTCCCCAGTTAGCGCCTAGTTTCAAGCCAAAGCCCTTTAAATCCCTCTCGCAAGGGATAACAGGGCTCGGCCAGGCGCGGGTGTGAGGCTCCGCCCGGCCTCCTTCCCGAGTAGTCACTCACCGGCCAGGCGAAACTGAAAGGCAGCACGATGCGGTTGCGGTCGTTGCCGCGGCTGGCCTTGAGGTTGAAGGTGTTGCCCCCGATGACAGGCGTGGACCCTGAGCCGAAGCTGCAGGGCCCCCCGGCCGTGACGCGGGACTGATACTCCTTGAGGCACACTTTGAAGTATGTGTCACACTCGTCGCGGGTGCACTTGCGGTCTCCCGGGTTCCGGGCGCCGCCGCAGCAGTTCCCGTTCTGCAGCTCCCCGTTCACGTTCTGCATGGACAGGATCTCCAACTCGAACTGACCCGAGGCCCCACACACCTGCCGGCGAGGGAAGGAGGTAGGTCAGCGCGGGAGAAAGCTGTTTTCTTCGAGTATAGAGGTGGCGACTCCCTCCCACTCCCCGCCCCGACGAGCCCTCCTCGCCGAGTGAAAATAATTTTGCGAAACTACGTTCAAGGACTCAACATGATTCCGGGGCAAAAAAAAAAAAAAATGCACGAGTGCGGAAGAAATCCGACGACTTCCCGGGGGGCAACAGCGGAGCGAACGCGCCCCTGTCCGGCCTGGAGGGGTCACCCTCAGGAGGCAGGGGCTCCCGTGGGGGAGTTGGCGCGCTCAGCCCAGGTGCAGCCGCTCGGGCGCAGGGGCGAGGAGTCGGGCGCTCGAGGGCTGCCGAGCCTGCTCGCGGGGCTCAACCGCCCAGGGCGCCGCGAGGGGAGGGAGAGGACGGCTGGGAGGGAGGCCCGGAGAAGGGCTCCTACCTTGGCTCGCAGGGCACAGAGCAGGGCGAGCAGGAGGCTTAGGGGGCGCCCGGACCGGCCGCGCGTCCGTGGGGAACGCATCGCTGCGCCGCGCGCCGCGGGCACTCGGGACGCCGCCGCTGCTGTTCGCGCTGGTGCTGCCGCCGGTGCTGCCGTCGCCGCTGCCCCTGCGGCCGCCGCGTCCCGGCTCTAATATACTCCGCCGATTGGAGCATGCACGACTGGAAAACAACACCACTTTTCAAAAGCCCTTTCAAGAGCGGCCCGTTCCAGAAGGCAAAGAGCCCGGCCTCCTTTTATTATTCTGATCGCTTCTTTGAGACGCTCCCCCTCCTCTTCCACCTCCCGGCTTTCTTTCCTTCTCTCGCGCTCCCCTTCTTTTATTATTATGATTATGCGCAGCCTTTTATTCCCTTTTAGATCAGCTGCATGGAAAAAGGGGGGAGGGAGGGGAGAAAAAAAAAAACCAGCCTAGCTCGCGGGCCGGCCGCAGGTAACACAATGACGCGTGCCCGCCCGGCTCTCGGAGAAGGACCCGGAGAGCCCGTCTGGCAGCAGCGGCCGGGGCTGGCCACCTCTACCCAGCACGCCGGGCAGGGCGCATGCGCGCTTATTAATATTCATGAGAGGGCGTGCTCACCCTGGGCACGCCCCTCCCCTTCACGTTGCTGGGGAGGGGGTAGTGCGAGGAGGAACTTGGAAGGGGTTGGGGGCAGCGGGATGCTCAGGGCGGCGTAGAAGAACCAGGGCCCCACACCAACCCCCGCCCTCGGGAGCTTCGGGCCAGGAGGGAAGGGAGAGTGCGGGGAGGTACTTGGAAGGGATCGTTGCTCAGGGACGCCTGGAGGCCCCCAGCGGGGACCGCCCCCTCGGGCGCCCCGGGCCGTGCGCCTTTGCCCGCGCGTCGGGGCCCCAGGTGTAGGCGCCGCGGCGCTGACTGAGCGGTCGGAGCGGGGCAGCTTCCGCCTTCCGAACCGCCTGCGTCAGCTGCGGCTTTCGCCCCGGGAGGAGGGCCTGCCTGCCCGCCGGGAGTTCGGCCCGCTTCCCGCGAGCGAGCCGCCCAGAGCGCTCTGCTGGCGGCAGAGGCGGCGGCGAGGCTGGCGCGCTTGCCGCCGTCTGCTCGCCCCGCGGAGGCGACCTGGGCAGACGCTGCTGGGAACTTTGAAAAACTTTCCTGGAGCCAGGCTTGCCGCAGATTCGAGGGGAAGCCTCGGCCGCGTCCCACCCCCTCCCAAATCCGAGTCTGCGGAGCCTGGGAGGGCTCCCAGCTTCCTATCCAAACCGCGCCGGGGCAGAGGCGCGGGGAAACCGGGGGTAGAAGGCGGCGGGCACGCCGGGGCCCTGTTCAGGCTTTGGGAAGGGCCGGCGGAGATGCTGGTGGGCTTGGACGCCCTCCCCGGCCCGACGCCCCGGCCGCAGTGCCGGGATTGCACCTGTAGGCGGCCTCCGAGCAGCTCTCTGGGTGGCAAGAGATGGGCCTGGGAGGGACCGTGTCCCCAGCACCGCCAGCCGCGGAACTTGCCTTCTCTGGGGTGGCAGTGGAAACCGATACTGTTTTCCACCTTGAGGCAAGCCTCGCAATTAACAGCTACACTCCTGGTCATAATCAAGGTCGAAGAAAGCCCGTGGGCTGGCCGTAGCCTCTGCTAACCCCTCTCCCACGGGCTTGCTGTTGCATTTGAGGGGACCTTTATATGGAAACATCGACTTCCTTTGAAGGGTGGACAAAGTTTTGGCCCTAATAGTAGGTATGTCCTGCAGAAAAGCGTGACTATTCAGCGGCCGGTTTGGGGCTTGAGTTCTCCTGGGTGTGGGGCGTGATGGGCTGGCAATAGGTCAAGGGAAAATAGTTTCCAACATGCTGAGTTATGAGCATAAAAGGGTGGGTATTTGTGGTTATCTACTTATTGCATTTGATGGGAGGCTCAGTATGAACAATATTTTCAGTGCCAAATCTCATCATTCTGAGGAATAAACTAGGGCAGCTAACTGACCTCTTTACATAGGTTCAAAGCTACCAAGGATGGTTAGGAGTCTTGGCATTTTAACAGCCTAAGAAATGCTCCTAAGAAAAGTGCTTACTTAGTGGTAATGTGTCCCATCTTGAGCACTGGCGGGAGAATCCATGTTTTGGAAGGGAGGTTTCTAAGAACAGAGCAAGTTTACAGCTGGTCATGTTAGCAGCTGGGGTAGGCAGCGACAACCTGGGTGTTTCAATGTGCCCCAGCCTCCCTTTCCCCAATTATCCTAAATCAAGGCAACCAGTTGTCAACTGTAATCCCATCTACACTTTTCTCACTGAGGTTTCCATCAACACCAGTCTCCCCACTTATCTGTCCCGTTCTAATTTCTACTCCCAAGTATCCCTGAGTTTGGGTGCTAAATAACGGTTTAAAAGTAAAATGGGCCGCGAGCTGTGGGTCACGCCTGCAATCCCAGCACTCTGGGAGGCCGAGGCGGGTGGATCACGAGGTCAAGAGATTGAGACCATCCTGGTCAACATGGTGAAACCCGGTCTCTACTACAAATACAAAAATTAGCTGGGCGTGGTGGCACATACCTGTAGTCCCAGCTACTCGGGAGGCTGAGAGAGGAGAATAGCTTCAACCTGGGAGGCGGAGGTTGCAGTGAGCTGAGATCATGCCACTGCACTCCAGCCTGGCGACAGAGCGAGACTCCATCTCAAAAAAAAAAAAAAAAAAAAAAAAGGCAAAATGGTGCTGAAAAAGGCTGGTGTGATCTTAAAGAGCACACTCCTTGGAGTTCCCTATGTCGGACCCTGTTTTAATTCTGTGCCTTGTGCCCCCCACAGCTCTCAGGAAAGAGGCTGCGGAGCCAGACCTTTAGTTAAAGTGTTTAGATCTCCACCTGGCTTCACCTAGAAGGGCTACCTGAGATTGCAGGTGCCACCAGTTGCAATCTGGGCCACATGCAAGCTGGTGTCACCTCCAGTCCACCAGTGAATTTAGCCCATTTGACTGATAGGAAAGAAAATATAAACTCTGAGAGGTGAAAACTACCTGATTACACCTAACAAGAATGTCAAATCACTGATAAACACAAAATTTTTATGTCACATAGCACAGAGTCCCACACCCTTCCTGAGCCTGGGAACCCACTTTTAGAGAAGGCAGTTGTGGGCTAGAGGGAATTCTTTTGAAAATTTTCAGTTGGGGCTCTTCCAAATAATTGGGACTCCCCCAAAAAGCCAGTCACGTTTACCACAACAGACACTGAGTGGAAGCTCTATCCTCTGCTTCCTTGAAGCCGGTTGTCAGGCCCCCTCCTTAGAGAATGAGGAACTGCTGCCGAGAGAACTGAAATACAGAGATTCCCCCTTGGCAGGGCTTGTCCTGCTTTGGGGTATAGCCTCCAAGTGTAAATGAATATTCCAGAACAACCTTCCTGTGGAAAATGCCATCTTTAGCTGTCATACCTACACCTGAGAGAAGGGGAGAGGCTTGTAGTCAGTTACTATCTGACCTGTCTCGTGTGCTCAAACATCATCCTTGGATATCTTTTCCTTTAATTCTAAAAAGATGATGGATGCCTCATTTTTTCTTTTCCCAGAAAACTTGCCCCACTTTTATCTAGTCAACAACATATAGCAGTTCTGAACCTGCAAAAGCTTTATAAGAGACATTCAAGCTATATTAGCTGTATTTAAGTACATCTAATCAACTGTAATCCTTGGTTAATCAACACTGTGGTTAAAATAAGCTAATCAATATTTATTGAGAACTGCTATTATAAGCAGTAACATCGATGATCTAAAAAATATTATGTTAAGTGAAATAAGCCAGACACAAAAGACTACATCCTGTATGAATTTATTTATACGGAGTTCCAGAACAGGAAAAACTGGTGAAAAAAGATCACAAGAGTGATTTTGAGGGTGGGTGGGTGGGAGCAGAGCTTCACTGGGATGGGCTTGAGGCTCTTCTGGTGGCATTGTGGGGTAATGTTTCATATTTTTGATAGGTGTTTGGGCTACACAGGTGTATGCATTTGTCAAAATTTATTAAATAGTACATTTAAGATTGTATTTCATTAGGTGTTCAAAAGAGGAAAAAAGAATTGTGAACAGATATTCACCTCCAGTTATATGAGTGCTGAAGCATTTAGCGGGGAAGTGGAATGATATCTGCAACTGACACTGAAATGCATACAAAATTAGAGGGATCAGAGAGGATGGCTGGGTGGGTGGTTACACGCTGAAGCAAAATAGTAAAGTCTTTTTTTGTTTTTTTGAGACAGAGCCTGTTGTCCAGGCTGGAGCGCAGTGGCACAGTCTTGGCTCACTGCAATCTCCGCCTCCCAGGTTCAGGTGATTCTCCTGTTTCAGCCTCCCGAGCAGCTGGGATTAGATGCATGCCATCATACACGGCTAATTTTTGTATTTTTTAGTAGAGATGGGGTTTCACCATGTTGACCATGGCTGCTTTAAAACTCCTGACCTCAGATGATCCTCCTGCCTTGGCCACCCAAAGTGCTGGGATTACAGGCATAAGCCACAGCGCCCAGCCAGTAAAGTCTTAATGGTAGAATTTAGGTGTTACAGTGGTGTTCACTGCAAAATTCTTCGACATTTTTCTATGTTTGAAAATTTTCCTTCTTAAATCTTGGGGAAGATAGTTATTGATTTGCCAGGTATTTTGTGGGTGCCAAGAATATGGTGGGCAACACCACAATACTGGTCTTCAGCACTACTGAGTGGAGAGTGTGTTTCAAAGGAATGGTGATACTGTAGATTTTAAGAGTGAATGAGGCTGGGAGCGGTGGCTGACGCCTCTAATCCCAGCACTTTGGGAGGCCAAGGCGGGCGGATTACCTGAGGTCAGGAGTTCGAGAACAGCCTCAACATGGAGAAACCCCGTCTCTACTAAAAATACAAAATTAGCCAGGCGTGGTGGTGCATGCCTGTAATCCCAGCTACTCAGGAGGCTGAGGCAGGAGAATTGCTTGAACCTGGGAGGCAGAGGTTGCGGTGAGCCGAGATGAGATGGCACCATTGCACTCCAGCCTGGGCAACAAGAGCGAAACTCCATCTCAAAAAAAAAAAAAAAAAAAAAAAAAAAGAGTGAACGAAAGGAAAGTAGTTCTTTCTTCCCATTCTTCATTCCAGTTAGGTTCAAATTGTAGAGAAGGCACATGTAAAATATCCATTAAGATCTTCCTTATTCCTTGTTTGAACTTGCAGAGATGTTAACACAAGTTCACAAATCCTGTTCCACGGATATGTTATCTTTCTGCCCCTTTCCAGCAGAGCCCAGTGAAGCTCACATGTCCCGCCAGGTTACTGCCTCCCATGAACCTGTCCAGCCAGCTCCCTAAGGAAGCACAACATCATTCTCCCACATCACAAGATATTCTACATGGAAAAAAACCCACCACCAACCTATAGATAACAGACACTGAAAATCAGGGTATAGTTGTAGCAACCACAACCAGGCCACAAGTTTGCTCATTCAAGCATAAGTTGAGTAGATCCAGCTATTTTTTTCCCAAAGATTCATCATATGTACACAAGAGATCTGGATTAATTTTTTGAAACCAGAACTGTGAATTTTTTTGTATTATCAACAGTGATTTTGTATGAGCGCATGTTAAACATTGTCTTGGTTTTATCTTGAGCCCAGGTAGTTATGATTTTGTCCTCCCTGCCCCAATCCTGTTTCATAGTCATTATGTGGAAAACCATCAGGATGAATAGAATTATGTGTCCACATACCCTTTACCAAACCAATCACAGAAAGTCGCCAAAAAACTTACATGCAAAATCTCAGAACTACGAGACTAATATTTACATTTTACTCCTTAGTTAAAATCAAATGTTCTTTGTGAAGCTAGAGTGTGGGAGAAGTCCTACGTACAAAATGTACTTTTTTCTTAGAGTTCAGTCTTTTCAGGGAAAAAAAAAATTCTGCGTGTAAGTTGCTGTTAAATTGGCATTCTCAAAACAACTGTAAATGATTCACATATCCTCCTTTTTTTTGGCACTGATACAGTGAGTCGTCTGTTCTTGTGAATGGCACTTGAATGACTTAACCTATAGATATTCTGGGATGGAATTTTTTTTTAACCAAATTGGTCCATTTGTACAGTCGACTGATTTAAATGCAACTAACAATTTTCTATAATTGTGAAGTATGACTGATCTCTTACAAGCCTTTTCATCTCCTGAAAGGTTCTGGAAATTACACTTCCAGAAGCAGGTAGTATTTGGAAACTACCACAATACAGTTTTCTCTGTGAGTACCTTTCATCTCACTTGCACTCAGCTTTTCCAAACAGATGCCTCCAGATCTCAAATAAATAAATAAATAAGGTAAAGTAGTTGCTGGAACTTGAGGAAGGAGAGCTAAATGTATTTAGTTATCTGAGAAAATTTCAAATTTTCACATACATAAATGTGAGAGTCAAAGAAAGGTGATTGCACCTGCCAATGGCATGAAAATAACAGAGCTTTGAATTACATATTTCATGTTCAGGTTAATGGTCCCAAATAAATTACAAGACTGTGTCTGTGTTTGACACTTTTGTTCTCAAGCCAGTGGTTTCTGTACTGATGGCTTCCTCTAAATTAGAAGTTATTAAGAACATCAAAAGTGGATCATTGCAATGCTTAGGTTTGATTTCCCATTGGGAAGATAAATAGTTGTTTTTATTATTGCTTTATGCTAACAGCACTTAAGGATGACTAAATAAAGAAATACTAGCTTCAGCACAGAAATATTGGTACAAGTAACAACTATACACTTCTAGATCCTTAGATATTAGTCATAACATAGGTTTACTGATACATAGATTTTCATAAGCATCATTCAGAAATCATTTCAGAGCAATATCAGAAGTTCTTTTTGCTTTTGGAAATAAGGCTAAGACATAGAAAACTTAGAAAGACTATAAAGAAGAAAGTTTAATTTCCAAAAGATGGTTATTTCCTCCACTGAAGTGATAATATTTCTTAAAAGCCAGATAAAAACTAGAGAAGTCAATTATTCTATTTCAGGATAGTTTGGCAGAAATTCATGTGAAGAGAAGTTGGGGTCGCGGGGGTGGGTTTCAACAGACCACACAGGTAGTGTAATGCAGATACTAGGAAGGGCAGGGCTCACAGTCTGAGGAATGTAGGCGTTGGCAGTCAAGGAAAAATCATAGCCCCAGCATATTCCGCATTGGCCTTAACACATCTAGAGGGGTCTATCCAGCTCTGGGCTGGAGATTTTTTGGAATTGTGGTAAAATATACATAAAAATCACCATGTGAACCAATTTTTAATTCTGTTGTATTCAGTAAATTCACATTGTTGTGCAACAATTTACAGAACGTTTTCATCTTGCAAAACTGAAACTCTATACCTATTAAATAACAACACCCATTTACCTTCCTCACCCACCCCCAGGCCCTGGCAATCGCCATTCTACTTTCTTTCTCTATGAATTTGACTACCCTAGGTACCTCTTAAGTGGAATCATATGGTATTTGTCCATTTATGCCTGGCTTATTTCACTTAGCACAATGTCATCAAGGTTCATCCATGTTGTAGCATATGTCAGAATTCCTTGTCGAGGCTGAATAACATTCCAGTGTATTTTTAGACCACATTTTGCTTATTCATTCAACCATTGATGGACACCAGAGTTGCTTCTACCTTTTGGCTATTGTGAATAATGCTGTTCTGACCATGGGTATGGGTGTATAAGTATCTATTCAAGACCCTGCTTTCAATTTTGGGGGGTATCTACTAGGCACCATTTTTTTTTTTTTTTTTGAGATGGAGTCTCATTCTGTCACCCAGGCTGGAGTGCAGTGGCACGATTTCAGCTCACTGCAACCTCTGCCTCTCTGGGTTCAGCAATTCTCCTGCCTCAGCCTCCCAAGTGGCTGGGATTACAGGCACATGTCACCACGTCCGGCTAATTTTTGTATTTTCAGTAGAAACAGGGTTTCACCATATTGGCCAGGCTGGTCTCGAACTCCTGGCCTTGTGATTCGCCTGCCTCGGCCTTCCAAAGTGCTGGGATTACAGGCATGAGCCACTGCGCCCGGCCTAGGCACCGTTTTTTAAGAGAATATTGACCAACTGTGCCACTCCCAGAAAAGAGTGATAAAATGTCTAAAAATATAGACCTTTAAGCAGAGCAAATGAAGGATTGAGAGGGTGTAACCAGAGAAGAGGAGAAAGGAAGCATAGCAGCTCTCTGCAGTGTGGGGAAGGCTGACTTGAGAGCGGACTTGAAATGCTGCAGATGACAGAATAGGCTTAATGGGTGAGGTTACAAGGAAATTGATTTTGACTCAGCAACAAACTTTGTTTTCATAAGAGCCATTCCTTAATGGAAGAGGCTCCCTTGGAGATAGTAAGTCCCTGCCATCTATGGATATCAAACAGGCTGACAGGCTGCTGTGGACCATTGTCAGTGGCAGGAGAGAGGGAGGTTCCCTGTCCTGGATGGGAGGTTGAACTGAGTGATTTCCTAGGAATCTACTCTTTATGAGGCCACAGCAAAATAAATGGATAGGGTGGAAACTCAGGTCTATAAACATAAAAAGCATCTAGGAGCCAGCTTTTAAACAAAATGTGAAGTTGATACCACTGATTGAGGATGATCACAACCTGGAGTACAGAAGTGACCATTTTGCACAGATTTATCTGCTTTTTGAACTCACTCTTCTAGGATCTATCGCACACATATTGCCTGCAACAAGTGAGTCAATTCTAAATGTCACAGCACTGGTCATCATAGCCTCGGTCTTATTATTATACCTTTGCTATTATGAATGCACTCTGAGGACCAGCAGCATTGGCATCACCTGGGAGCTTGATAGAAATTCAGGATATCGGACCCCTGTCCCACACCTTTTGACTCAGTATCTACAATTTCACAAGATCCTCAGGTGATTTGTGTGCACATTAAGGTCTAAGAGGCCTTAATCTAACCCACAACAACAGAAATATTCCAGAGTTAGTAGAAGTTATCAAATGATCTTTCCACTAAATGATTGCAATACTCTATCATTGGGTAAAAGTATTGGCTAATCAAATCCATCTTTGATTGTCCCATTATGAGCTCAGCGTCGTAATGGAAATTACAGTTATTTATTTAAGTATATATAGACCAGATAGTTTTTTAATAATTTTCAGCAAATTTCAGGTAAAATATATAAGCCAATAGAAAAATATAAATGAATAAATATCAGGACCAAGGAAAATGGAGCTGAAGATAGAAGATCAAGATCAGTGACAGGCAGGTCAAGGATGGCTACTTCAGTTGAGAATTGGATGCTGAGCTCCTTGACAGCCAAAGTAACCAAGGAAACACAGTCAGCTACAAGATTAACAGTCTCCATGCAGAATCAACAAGCTAGTCCTTCAGATGAAGCAAAGCTTTTTCTGGCATTTTGTTATGAAAGATATACACAT
Organism: Homo sapiens; assembly: GCF_000001405.40. Classification (NCBI taxonomy): domain Eukaryota; kingdom Metazoa; phylum Chordata; class Mammalia; order Primates; family Hominidae; genus Homo; species Homo sapiens. The sequence continues at coordinate 10,682,877 of NC_000020.11, forward strand.
ATGTGTGAGCATATAATTATAAATATTTTGGGTGACCTTGCGTCTTACATTATGGAATGCAGAGGAAATGCAACTGCTTCTTAGAACGGTGCACCCTGAACTGAGGGCATGGCAACAAAGCACAGCTCAGAGGAAGCAGTCTGGAGGTGAAGTGGGGGTGGATTGAAGACTCTATCATTGCCATGGAGCAAGCTGGACTAACGAGCCAGAGGATGAAAGGTTATGGGGAAGAGAAGTAAGTAGTCCCAGATGAGATCATCTTTGACCAGTCAGCCTCCATCTGACCTACCAGCTGACTGCAGACACATGAGCAAGCCCAGCTAAGATCAGCTTACCGGCCCAGATCAGCAGAACTTTCCAGTCAACTCATAGACTTGTGAGAAATAACAACTGACTCCTTTAATTCAAGTTTGGAGCTGGTTTGTTATGAAGCACTATTGTGGCATTAGATAACTACTACAGCCTTCATGGGTGAAAATTTTAAAGAAAACAGAACCACAAATGTCAGCTTGCAAGTATTCAATGAATGATAATCACTACTAGTAAACTTCTGTGAGCCAAACGTAGCAGAGACTGGCCAACCTTAACTCAATAACCTCCACTTGAGAAAGCAAGCTGAAATGTGAGTTAAAGTGGCCTTATTGCAGGAATAATCTTGAGTCTGCTCCAACTTATCTTAAAAAATAAGTTATTAGTAGGCTCCCCTGAAACAATCCTGATAAAGACTCTTATAACCAACTTCTACTTAACCTAATCATTGGATTAACCAATGTTCAGCATTCCTTCTTTAATAAATACTGACTGTTCCCCACAGTGTGGAGAACGCTTGCAGTAAATAGACTGAGTTCTCATGTTCCTATGCAGTCTGTTTCAAAGAGGGAATCAGCTGTTATACTTCCCAGTAGTCAATTGGGAGGGTTCCCGAATCTGTATATGCCAATTGTACTTATTATATCATTCAACTCAATATTACATAAACTGATGAATATGAGTTCTTAAAAAAGATAGTGCTTCTATGCAACCCAAGTTAAATGTAACTTGATGAAAATAAATGTGAGTAGCTAAAAATGAATTTTTATTCAATGAATGTCACCAAGACAATTTTAAAATAATATTTAACTATTCTGAATAATCTAGAAGAATTCTGCGTTTAAATTGTTTTCCAAATGTCTTTTAGCTTTCCTATTTGACTAACAATAATAAATTAGCTTGTTATAGATGTGATAAGCTGCAATACTAACAACTTAAAAAGTTTTTGTCTTATATCAAAAGATAGGCAAATACATATTCATTTATACATTTGATATTAAAGTAAAACGTTTGTGTCTCATGTTTTATGATTCCATCTTTAACCAACATTTTTGATTAACCAACCAATTACTAGTGATGGTTGCATCACTTAAGAAGGTTTTATTCTGTTAGTAGAGCCTGGACCAATGCCTGACACATAACAGGAGCATTATTACTAACTGCTGAATGAATTTGTTGGATGAATTAGCGGCAAATTGCTGGCAATGCCCATTACAACCAAACCAGACATGTTTTCACACACCAATGTGTTTTAATACTGAGTTAAAAAAAATACCTGACTTTTTACTTTAACCATACTTTCTTTAACCTTACTTGTAGAAGATGGAGGAACAGCTTAGCTTTCCAATATTTCTCTAAATATTGCTTGTTTATACCAGGTCTCTAACAAAGGCTGATAACGTAGGTTTTTGGTGTTGTTGACAGTGTCCCACTAGCATGTATCAGAATCACCTGGAGGCCTTGTTCAACTGTAAATTGCTAGGCTCTATCATGGAGTTTCCATTTAGTAAGTCTGAGGTGGGACTCTAGAGTTTACATTTCTGACAAGTTGCCAGGTGATGGTATTCCAAGGAACAAACTTTGAGAGTCACTGACCTGGTATACCTCCAGAATAGTACAGTTATCAAGGTCATCTTACTCTTCCTCTAACCATTTACCCCAGTCCATTTAATTCCTTCAAATGTCTCAACTGATACTGGATTTGACTTCAATGTTCTGGCAATAAGTATTGAATTGGCTGGGTAAATTGATGGGATGAATATTGAATTGACTGGGTAAGTTAATTGGCTGGGATGAGGCAACAGATATATAAACCTAGGTTATGGGCCAGGTACAGTGTTGTTTTATTACATTTTATAATTTAACCCCCACAGCAACACTATAAAGTTGATATTAATATCTCCATTTTATAGATGAGAAAAACTGAGGGTCAGAAAGGTGATGCACTTCTATAACTAGCATCACTTTTTCACTTAGTATGGTCTAGATGGAGGACACACAGCTAGTAATCAGTGGAGTAAGAGTCAGGGTCAACTGAGACCAAAGGCCCTGTTCTTTCCACAACATCTAGCGGGAATATAAATTATCAGGTCGCTAAGATGAACACTTAAATCTAAAACAGGACTTCTTGGACTTTAATGTGCATATGAGTCTCCTGGACATTTTGTTAAAAATGCAGATTCCTATTCTACAGCTCTAGGACAGGCCTGAGATTTTGCATTTTTCACAAGTTCCTAGGTGATGGTGATGCTTAGAAAAGCAGTGCTCTCAACCCCATTTGCTTGGGTGCAGAGCCTGGGATGTCCCTTAGCAGGAAGTGGAGGTCCTGAATGGCCCTTCAGTCATGTTATAATATGTACACTTTGCCTTTCATTTTTCTCAGTGAAGAATTAGAAGAGGGAACCAAAGGGAAATTTATATTAAATGAATAAGCCCAAGAAAGAATGCCAAGGCCATATATTCTTCTTGAGAAAAAGGAGGATGAGCTAAGGAAAAAGGAATTGGGACTGCCTGGGAACCAACTAGGGAATATGGTCACCTGTTCACCAACTGCAGCAGCATGTGATGGGAATCTAGAACAATCCATTCTGCCCTCTCAGTTACCATCTACTGGAAAAGGGAGTGTGGAATTATAGTGAAAGCAGCTAGGAGGGCCAGGAACTTTAAAATCCCTCTTCATACCTTTCATGGCATACCTGTTGCTGTTTTATTTTCCATATTTGCATATGATAAAATTCACTCTTTTTGGTATATGGCTTTATGAATTTTGACAAACACATGCAGTCATGTAATCACCCCCATGATCAAGACACGGAACATCTCCATCACTCCCCCAGTCCGATCATGTTGCCCTTTGGTCCTCATTCCCTCCTCCTGTGCGTATAGTTTTGCCTTTTCTGGAATGTTCCATGGATGGCACCAAACAGTATGCAGCCTTTCGAGTGTGACTTCTTTCACTTAGCATTGTGTATTTGTGATTCATTCACGTTGTAGTGTGTCTTCCAGGTTGGATCCTTTTTTATTGCTGAGTGATAGTCCATACAGGGATGTTTGTTTATCCATCCCCAGTTGAGAGATCTTTGGGTTGTTTCATATCTCATTGGCTATGAATAGAGCTGCTATACATTTGAGTACAGGTTTTTGTGTAAACACACCTTTTAATTTTTCTTAGGTAAATATCCAGGATTGGGATTGCTGTGTCATATGGGAAGTGTACATTTCACTTTTTGGGAAACTTGAAACTTGCTAAACTGTTTTCCAGAGTGGCTGCAGCATTTTGCACTCTCCCCAGCAACGCATGAATGGTCTTTCTGAGACGCACGACCCACACGCTCCTCCCAGTACCCAGACACACATGGGTGGACACCCTTCACTGCAGGGATTTCAGTGAGGTCGCTGTCAGAGCAGGAGCCACCTGGGAGAAGACTGAGGTCAGAGGTTTTGGGAAAGCCAGCGAGCCTGGGCCTACCTCCCCCAGTCCTTCCCAGCCTTCAGGCCCATCTGTTAGGGCCCTTGCGCCTCCTCCTTGAAGAAGCCTTTGAGCCCACCTCTCTCCCCAGCAAGTGTGCAAGCCCCAAAACACCACCCTCCTGGTTTAGGCTTTGTTGTCAGATAATGTGACTTTGAAAAGAAGCCCCTCCTCTCCCACCAAAAGGAGGATAAGAAAGGCGCTCAGATCAATCCTCAGCAGATACATGGAGTCGCAAAGCTCCAGAAAATCCTTTATTCTCTTTTCTGAGCAGCTGCTGCGGCAGCACCCCGCCCCCAGCTCTGCCCCCAGTGGAAACCTGAAAGCTATTCATATCATTTAATCCTGTTGAAAATCCTCTTCGCTCTCTCTCGCTGAGGTGTGGTCGGCTGAGGTAAACCTGGGCTTAATTCATGTGTTGGAAAGCAGATGAAAGGTGTCACATGATTTGACATTCTATTTAGGAAACTGACTCTTCCCTAATCTAGAAGCTTCCACTCATAACCCCTGTTTGAAAGTGGTCAGAATAAAATCTTCAAGGTAAAGTCACAATTGGGTTTTCTTTGAAGGTGCATTCACTTCAGAAAACGGAGCAAAAGAGCAGAGGTAAAGTAGAGATGGTTCAAGGGGTTTGGAGTGGATTTTTACCTATGTATCACTCAGCTTAAACATCTACCAGATTGTTTACATTTTATCCTACACATGGCAAAAGAAAACTCTACAACCATTTTACCCTGTTGCCAATCATGGCCACATATTTTAGTTCTCTCTCTTGCCACCAAGAAGTATGAGATCTTATAGCTAAGTTCTTTCATTTTAAGAAATTTGGACATAAGATACTGTAAAGCTATATCCAGAATGAGTGTTCAGTCTACTCTCTTTTATTGCAGAGCTCATTGATATGCATCACTGGAAACATGCTCTCTGACCTTCTCAGGTGTTTTTAGGCTGGGAGAAGACTCCCCGTAAGAGTTTCATAGCTCCACCAGTTACAGAGAAAGCAAAAGAGCATGGGCAATTTCATCCATATTCAGAGAATAAATTTCTTCTGGCTTGTTTCGGGACCCAAACAGTATTTGGAGAATAAATGATCCCAGATGGCTAATTAAGGGCGACTTCCTTATACAAAAAATTATTTTAAGAACCCCCATGAAAATCTCAATTCCCTGGCAGGCAATATTTATTAAACTTCTCCTAAACATAGGCTGGTCCATGAGGCATACTGGAGAAACACAAATGTAAAGTCTATCCCAAAGGGCTTTGTAATCACAGAGTACATGAAAAAATATCAGAGCAGTAGCAGGGATATTAAACCCGTAGTCAACATGCACAACCTTAGCTGTACATTGGAATCACCTAGGGAACTTTAAAAATTATTGATGCCTGGGCCCCACCCCCCAGAGATCCTGATTTAATTGGTCTAGGTTACAGCCCGGGCACTGAGACTGTTTAAATCTTCCAATGTGTAGCTAAGGTTAAAGCCTGCCGTTCTAGCTAAACAAACCATGCACTAAGCATGTGACTGAATTAATGACTTTACCAGAGCCTTCTCTTTCGCAGAGGGCCCATCCAATGTGTGTCTCACGGTGAAATGGTCCAGGAAAGTTAGGTGAGAGGAAGCTGTAGGACACATAAGACTGGGATCTGGAGTTGTGTGAGAGAGAAACTGAGAAAATGCCACACTGACGCTTGTCAAGTAGGAAATACGGTTGAGTAATGGAGGGACCAGAAAGAGCAGGAGAGTCCTTAGAAAAATGCGTTTCTTGTAGATAGTGCTTTACAGGTTAAAATCACTTTCACATTATTTCCTCATAAATATGGAGGTAAGAAAGCATAAAGAATAAAAGTCAGATAGACTTGGGTTAAAGTTCCAGCTCTGCTACTGCTGAGCTCTGGAATCTTGGGCAAGTTACTTAAATTGCCTCAGTTAAGTAACTAAGCCTCAGTTTCCTCATCCATAGAGTGGAAATAATAATAGTGCCTTTCTTATAAGGTGGCTGGGAAACTTAAATAATGTATGTAGAATGCTTAGTTCAATGCCTGGCACATGGTGAGCTCACCACATGTCTGAGTTGCCACTGCCATTATCTTCAGCATAGTCATCATTGTTTTGGTGTAGAATGGAGACCTATGGTCAGCCTCAACCAAGGGGTATAGGGAAATGAGAAGTGAGTGAAGTTTGTTCTGAATGAACAGAGTAGGAACTAAAAATCATAAAAATACTTCACAAACTAAGGCCAAAGGAGCCGTTACATTATGGTTGGAACATTTGATCTCTCAAAGGCTTCATTTATCTGTGACAAAGTTTGTGCTTGCATGGCATTTTCAGAGGAAGGGAGGTAGAACTTAACCAGGGAGTGAAGCAGCAGGTTATATATAATAGTTGCTCAGTTAAAAACTTGATGAGTTGAAGTGAACACCTCTTGAGTAGCTGTAACACTAAGTCTTAGATGAAGCTTGGCTCTGCATGAGAGAATAGTGTGGGTGGGCAGCCAGGCCACACTCAGTGACAGAGAGCTGAGTCCTGGGCTTGAGTGGATGCACCTGGGAAAGAGGACGGAGATGAGTGAGGAGAAAGAGAGCACTGGTGTATGTTTGAGAGGTTGCTAGTAGGTCATAAGCCATAGAGTTGAAGGGGCTGCTGAGGGTGAAATCGAGATGGTCTTAGATTAGTGAAGAACCCGCTCTCATTTGAGACCCTTCTTTAGGTTTCGTGGCCCTTGAACCCCCATGAAAATCTCAATTCCCTGGCAGGCAATATTTATTAAACTTCTCCAAAATATAGGCTGCCCTTCCTTTGCATGGCAGGAAAAATGAGAAGGGTGGCAGGAAGGGTCTGATGTTCCTCCCAAGATCAAAGGTAATGTATACTTGTTGGTTTTATGGCCTCAGACCAAGGCACGGGTGATGATTGCCAATCTCCCTTTCCATTCCAAGGTCCTAGGCACCCACTCTCTTCTAACTGCCCTCTCTCAATGTCCTTCCTGCTGTTTTCAAAGTCCTTCTGGGGCTGACCTCTCAGAGAGCTACTAGATAGTTCCTTATGATCCCTCTAGCTTAATGCTTGTCACAGTGAAGTCTCCATTAAGAATCACCTCCAGAAGTTGTTAAACAGATTTTCATCCCTCCCCCTACCAAGAGTTTGATTCAGAAAGTCTGGGGTGGGGCTGGAGCATTTGCCTTTTAGCAAGCTCCCAGTTGATGCTATGGCTGCTAGCCTGAGATCCACACTTTGAGTAGCCCTGATCTGACCACCCTGCAATCCCAGCCCCTGCTGCCCTCAGGATTCTTGAGTGTGTGCGTTTGCTTATCTCCTAGGGGAGGGGATTAACTTTAGTAAATTATCCAGGGGCTGTTAGTTGGGATTCTGGCTTCAGATGGGGGATTCTCAGCAGATGTTTTTAAACAGGACTCAAATATTGGTCTTTTTGGAAGAGATTTTATGGAAAACAGAGTCTATGATGCCCACGTTCTTCTAAGGAGGGCCACCATTGCGTATTGTGTTCCATCTAAGCTTAAGAGACATGAAGGGGTAAGATGAGGGTGAGATGTATTATAAAATTTTGTAAATTATTTAAAGTCTGTATGCCAATGGCTTTTTTTTTTTTGCACCTGGGGAATTTTTGAGAAAGAAGACATCCTCCTCCTAACAATCATCTTTTTGACAATTTGTTCATTCTGCTGAGCTTCCTTTGAAGTTTGAGTCTCAAAACCAAAACTTTCCACAAGGGCTCCTTTGTTTCTTCCTGATCTGCCAGGATGAAATCCTCAATTCGGCTTGCCCTACCTCACAAATAGCACTTACACGTATGCTAGAACTGCCTTTTTTAAAGGAATAAAATGCAATCTAAATGTTCTGCCGAAACAAAACCTTCTGGTTTAACAATAGTCCTGGTTTCTTCCAACATGTGGACTTTTGGGGTTTGGTAACTGAAGGGGGTGAAAGGTTCTGTTGGTTCTCAGAGACTCAAAGGTCTCCCTATGGATGGCCAAACTGCGAAATCAGAGCCGCCCAGAGTTTGTTGTAAACAAGTCCATCTTAATTCCTATTTGGGATTTGTAATTGCTTGGTCCTCTGAGAAGCCTCAGTGTGGAATTGCCTTATCTAACTAGTTCCATTCTGTGGATTTGCCACCTGTCCCAAGGCAGCCTAAATTGAGTGAGGCCTGGTGTCCTTGCAAAAGAGGTGGTTCTTAGACAACAACTGGAGTTTATTTTGATCTCTATCTTTTGAGGCCAGAAACTGTTCATGTTTAACTTTAAAGAAAGCTGTGATTTTTTTTTTTTTTTTTTTTCCTAGAGGAAAGCTGCAATTTGAAGGCAGGATTCTATTAAAAACAGACAAATAATTCCCATTCCTTCCTGGTCCTGCCTATTGTTTTCCTAAGTTTGTTTGGATTCCCGGGTTGAATCCTTCTGGCTAACCCTCCAAAGAGAGGGTCCCGAGCACTGCCATCCGTGAGGTTGACTGTCTCGTGAGGTCCTTGGGGAACACATCCTGTTTCTCCCTCAAAGAGGCAATTGGAGGATGTGAGAGAATGTCTCCTGTCTTCTCCATTCAGAGAGCCTTTTTATTTCCTCCCTATGTTTTGTCTATAGACGGTTTCAGTCTTCCTAAGAAGAACTATTCCTAGGAAGAAATGTTGGTCTGGAGCCAATATCACTTATAGGTAATACATTGTAGACTATGGGTTGCTTTAAATAACCCGTGACCCTGTCCTCAACAAGTAATCCACCCCATCCTCGAAACACACTTTAAGCAGAGTTATACAGCACCAGCAACATGCCTTTAGATGCATTCAGCTGATCCCACCCTATATGTGACACACACTTTCATGCCATGAAAGGTGTCCCTAACACTTGGCCATGGATCCTTATACCCAAGGAGTCCTGATATGCTTGACATTCTTCATGCAGCCGTTGCCCAGCAACCAGAGCTGAGATGCTAGTTGCAACCTAGGAGCCATCCCTGAATCAAGTGTTGGCTTTTCTATTTAGAATTATTATTTGTCTTATTCTTACATTTCTGTTGGAGGAATGTTGACTTTTATTTTTATTATTTTTTTTTTAATTTTTTTTTGAGATGGAGTCTCGCTCTGTTGCCCAGGCTGGAGTGCAGTGGAGGGATCTCAGCTCACTGCAAGCTCCATCTCCCAGGTTCAAGTGATTCTCCTGCCTCAGCCTCCCGAGTAGCTGGGATTACAGGTGTGCACCACCACACCTGGCTAATTTTTATATTTTTAGTCGAGACAGGGTTTCACCATATTGGCCAGGCTGGTCTCAAACTCCTGACCTCAGGTGATCCACCCACCTCGGCCTCCCAGAGTGTTGGGATTACAGTCGTGAGCCACTGCACCCGGCCAACATTTCTTTTAAAAGGAAAATATTCTGGAGACAGTGATAATGTGATATTGCCAACTGTATGTGCTTTTTGGGGCCTTCTTTTTCCCCAGATCCACAGGACCATGCTGGCCTAAATGGGGAGAGGGGTGCCACACGGTCCTGTGTTTCCTTTCTCTTTGAATGGTGCTGGTAAATGCAGATGCAGTTGGCAATGCACGCAAGAAAGCAGTTACTTGCTGAGAAAATTCCTGACAAATATTGAGAGAGGCAACAATTTTTTCTCAGTCTAAACATGAAAAAGCCACTGCTGATTAAATGTATCTGGTAAAGAATCTTTTCCTAAAGTTTTAAACTGAAACCTCTAAAACCTTTTTCCCAGAGTATTCCAAATACAGACGGGCAAGTTGTATTTTTTCCAAGTTGCCTTTTCCTGAGGGAAAACTAGTGATGTCCAAGGCTGGCAGACACGGAGCTCTGCGCATCCTGATAAAGATAGGAACTTTAGGCTAGCAAAAAATCCAAATAAACAGATTTTCAAACAGACCAGCTTTCCTTTTGGTAGCTGAAAAGGAAACCCCACATCCAGGAGGAATGCAGATCAAAGCAAAGCCTACAAATGATGCAGAAACACATAAAATAACAAACAAGCCTGGTGGGAAGAGGGAACTTTTTGTAAAAGAATAGGCCTCTTCATATTACACTGAAATTGAATGCAAGATTGCAAGCAAAGATACATGAGTTGGGAATACAAAGCTATAGTTTCTTTCTCCTTTTTTGGGGCCAAGAGTATACCTTTAATAGGTCACATTGGAAGCCACTAAAAGCAAAGGACAAAAGATAGGCCCCTTGTTGGAAATCTTGCCTAGTTTTCCTTTTGCAGTTGCCTCTGCTTCTCTTTCTTGGTATAAAGTGGACAGAATAATTAATCCATTTGGCTGTAAAAGTGGAATCTAAATTGCCCTGGTCTCTAAGCATTTCATGTCAAAAGCTGAGCCTTTTTAATTCTTGAAAACCTGGTTCTATTTACCAGGGTTCTCAGGTGAGACACAGATGTAAAACTGTTGGTATGATGACATTTTAATTCAGATGACCCTTTTCCCTGATGTTAAAATTTATGTGGGGTAAACTCTCAATTGGATCATAGTTAGCAGGGTAAAAAATCACTTTTATGATATTTTATCCTTGGGAATTAAGCCCATTTAAATCATATCTGTGTTCTGACTGTGAGGTGCTAAGTGGCTACTGAAGACACAGAACACTATTGGATGCTATTACTCACTATTTAAAAATCAAAATTACCAGAATTGTTAAGTGTCTTATTTTTTGAGAACCACTGGAATGAATACTTGGTGGTAGAGTTCTTTTTAAAGACCTTGAAATGTTAAGTGGACATTTAGTTGAGCTTCTAGCTCATATGTTACCTCCATTGAGAAAGGGGAGTTGGCCATCCATTACTACCATAGGTAATCTTTAGTAACTTGCCCCTTGAAGCAGCATTAGCATTGTCTAGGAACATTACCTGGGGTATATTCCTCGGAGCGGAATTTTGGGTTGCTGCATACATTTACCTTCAAATATATTAGCTGCTGCCAAATGGTTCTCCCCAATGGTTGCAGCGATTTACAATCCTCCCACTATGTAACAATTCTGTGTCTTATGGTTTCATATTCTTCTAATGCTGTTATCACACATAACCATTTTTCTTACCAGTTTTTGATGAATGAGAAATGGTATTTTGTTCCATTCTGTACATCTGATTACTTTACAGAAGCTATTTATTAGACGTTTGAATTTCCTCTTCAGTGAATCTCATGTTTTGTCAATTTTTTTTTGTGGGTTGTTTTTTCTTACAGATTTTGTGTAAGTTATTCAAATTATCTGTAGAGTGACTCTATCATTGCAAGCATTGACAATATATTTTTTCAGTGTATGACTTGACTTTTTCATTTTAAAATGGTATCTTTTGATATACAAAATATTAAATTTTAATGTAGTTGAATTTTTTCATCTCCACTTTTGTAATTTCTGTGTGTGTGTGTGTGCGTGCATGTGTGTGTGTTTTACATGTTGTCAGGAAAATCTTTATTACTCTCAAACCATAAAGAAATTCTCCTGGATTGTCACCATTGAGCCCTTAGACTACCTGGAATAGATTTTCTGCATGATGTAAAGCAAGGACAGCAGTCTAACAAGCTATCTCCCCAGCCACATTCATACATAGTTCATTGTTTTCTCAATAATCTGTGGTGCCTCTTCTGTTACCTGCCACATTTTAATGTATGGATGTGACTGTTTCAAGGGTCTCTATTCTGTTCCATTGACCTTTCTTTATTCCTGTGCCCATACCATACCACATTCATCACTATTGCTATACACAAAACATGTTTAACATTTGGTAGAACGAGTTTCTGTATCCGTCTTCATTTTTTTTTCTTTTAAATTGAGCTATTCTTTTTTGTTTTTGTTTTTGAGACAGAGTCTTGCTCTGTTGCCCAGGCTGGAGTGCAGTGGCATGACCTTGGCTCACTGCGACCTGAACCTCCCAGGTTCAAGTGATGCTCCTGCCTCAGCCTCCTGAGTAGCTGGGGCTCCAAGGGCCTGCCACCATGCCCAGCTAATTTTTGTATTTTTAGTAGAGATAGGGTTTTGCCATTTTGCCAGGTTGGTCTTGAACTCCCAACCTCAGGTGATCCACCTGCCTCGGCCTCCCAAAGTGCTGGGATTACAGGTGTGAGTCACCATGCCTGGTCCTAAAATGGGCTATTCTGGGGGCATTGCTTTTCTGTATAGATTTTATCACCTGATTGTCAAGATTCATGAAAAACTGGGTAGACAATTTCATTGAAATTACATTTAAATTTTAATTTGCAGATCGATGTTTTTGCAATTTTAAGTTTTTCATCTGTGAACATGGTGTATTTCTTTGCTTATTAAAGTTATTTATTGATGCCCTTCAATAAAGGATTTATCTGTAAAATATTTGCATATCTTTTGTTAGACTTCTAGGTACCTTATATTTCCTGTTGCTGCCAGTTTTTGTTGTTCTCAACCAAGAACTCTGGCATATGCATTCATATTTATGCTCCAATTTAAAATATATTAGGTGCTAATGCAGCTGTATAAAATACAGTTCTTATCTTTATATATAATTCATACTGAAGAGCAAAGACAGATGGAACAACAGGATTATGTGGGCATTCTAGGATGAAGTGCCAATCATCATCAGAGTTAGTTGATACGAGGTAGTGCAGAAGAGAGAAAAGGCCAGAGGCAGGCTGGTTCAGTTGGAGAAAGACTCATCAAAGGGATATACCTTGAAGGTTTAGTAGCATTTTGATAAAGAAATGGAATATATATGCTGAAAGAAAGCTTATCAACATAAAGTTGTACATGGTTAGGTGACAGAGGGTTGAAGATGGTGAGGAGATGTGGCCAGACTCTGGATGACATTGAATGTTAGGACAAGTTTGCACTTTATCTTTTATTCCCTAGGAAGCCTTCCAAAGTTGGATGATGTGTTGAACCTCAAGTCTGACATTTGTAGAAAGAGGCAAGTTAGGAGAAGGGGGGTTACCTTGTGATAAATCTTTTAAATTCATTTTGATTCACAGATGGTTGTGAACTGAGGCAAAGCAGTTGTTGTATATGAAATCAAATGCGTTCAAGACAAGTTTTAGAGTCAGGATTTAGAGAAGGCGTTGCTCTTAAAAATTCTGAGAAAAAGCTGGAGTTCTAGGAACTGCCAAGGACGGATGGCTCAAGGTCTAGCACACAGTATAACCTCTTTATTATCTTCATTTTCTTTCTGTAAAAAAGTATTTTATTACCTGGGCTTTTCAAAGTATTCTTCTTGGCATTTACTGAGGTCATGTGGCAGAGGTATGGGTTGGGGCTGATTGAGTAATATGAAGGTATCTCTGGATGTCTGTGACCTTCATGAAAAAGCCCTCATTATTCTCCACTGCCTGATAAGTGATTTACTTTCTTCCCCCTCAAAATTTCATTTCAATTTCATTGAAAGTTGTGCATATTCTTTTCTCCATTAAGCATCATCTTTTGTTTCCTAAAAGAGCCAGAGCGTGGAAGGAAGGAATGTAGCTCAAAGTGATGGGGGACCTGACAGGTACGGGTGCAGGGATGAACAACCTGAACTAGAGGTGTTGCTGCCAGCTGTCAGAGGAGGCCTCAAGGACATGTGAGTTTCTTTTTTTTTTAAAGCACAGGAGACAGTTTCTGAAGTAGCCAAAGAGCATGCTTGCTGGACACAACCAGCTCTGTGAAATCCAAGGAGTTGTCACTTCCTGGGAAGGTTAATGTTGGAGGAAGACAGAGCAGGTTTCGCTGTCTGAACCAACTAAAGGCCCTGAGACACCAGTAACCTTCAGTTCCTTCCCCTCACCCCGAATCCCTGCTCATTCAGCAATCCCATTTCTTTCTTTCTTCCTTGGCTTTCATCCTCCGCAGTGGGGAAAAGAATTCCCTGCCATTTCACAATAAGAAGAGGATAGTGAAAGCGTATTCTGTTATCTGAAGGAGCCCTTTCCAGTGAATACGCCACTGCAAACCACTCAATGTACTCGGGGTGTCAGATTTCTAGGCAGAGGGTGGCCTGTCCCAAAAGGGAACTTGTTCTGAGACCATATAAGATACCTTGGAAATAACAGCTCCAAATAACTTTGCCAGTTATTAAGCTGTTGTCTTTCAACTCTAAACCCTCCCTCTTATATCCTTCTCTGTGACTCTGGGGCCGCTGGAGCGGAGACCCTGTTAGTTCCGTTTCAGCCTTGCCAGCTGCTGCCAGTAGGGGGTGCTAGACTGAAACTGCAATATTGGAGAAGAAAGCAATGCCTTCCTGTGTCACCTGAGCAACGTTTGTTCTTTGAGGAAGCCTCATTTAGTTCTGGTAGCAGCAGGTGGTTCTGGTTTGCAGTGTATTCAGCACTCACAGAACAAGCATTATCACATTCCCTTAGAGACACCAGACCAGCATCAGCTGCCCGTGTCCTTCCAAGATGCCTGGGTCCAGCTTGTGGGAGGGACTGTGAATCCTGAGGACAGCACCAGCTGAGCTTCGGATCCTTCTCAATGGTGCCTTTTCAGTTCTGCAGGGCCCTCCTCTCCTCTGAGAATGTAAGTTGAATGATTCCAATCTCTTCCCTTTGTTCCCTTTGCTCTAGGAGCTGCTGCCTACAGTTGCTATCTCCTTGACACCTAATGGTTTCCTTTTTGCCTGTTCAATTACCTTGTTAGAATTTTCTACCTAGTTAACAATTCTATTCTCTCTTTGCAGTCACTGTTGCGATTTCTATTGGATGTAACTAGATTAGTGGTTCTCAAACTTTAAGATGCATCAGAATCATCTTGAGGGCTTGTGAAAACACAGATTACTAAGCCCGTTCCCAGAGAATCTGATGTAGTAGGTCTGAATAGGTCCAAGAATTTGAGTTTTCTTTTTTTTTTTGAGATGGGTTCTCTGACATCCAGACTGAAGTGCAGTGGCATGAACTCAGCTCACTGCAGCCTTGACCTCCTGGGCTCAAGCAATCCTTCTACCTCAGCCTCCTGAGTAGCTGGGACTACAGGTGAGTGCCATCACACCCGGGTAATTAAAAAAAATTTTTTTGTAGAGATGGGACCTTGCTATATTGCCCAAGCTGGTCTCAAGCTCCTGGGCTCAAGTGATCCTCCCACCTTGGTCTTGCAAAGTCCTGGGATTACAGGTGTGAGCCACTGTGCCAGGCCCAAGAATGTGAATTTCTAGCAAATTCTCAAGTGATACTGATGCTACTAGCCCAGAGGCCCCACTTTGAGAATCATTGCACTGGACAAAGCAGTCCACTCCTAGAGAAATATTTGTCCTGAAACCACCATAAGACTCCTTGGAAATAGTAGCCCCAAGTACACCCAATTGACTAATGAGTTAATGATGTTTTGAAAATAAAGTAGGGTGATGTCCAAGGTGCTACCAATTGCCAATGTAGTAAGAAAAAAAATGAAGAGCATGTGTGATCATTCATAAAGTTTCCTGCAGTGTGATCATATATCAAGTTTCAGAATGGTGTGCAAGAGGTGTTCCTGGCATTTTATAAACCCACAGGCTTCAGAGAGGGAGTGGTTCAATGAGGTACATCTAAATGGTTCTAAACAAGAGTATATATGAAAGAATCTTAGGTTATTTGGTGGGGAGTTCAGATTTGCCCTTATATGTTTTGTCATGCTAACAAATGAAAATAAAAACTCAAAAGCCCACGCCTGACCATGTTGAACAGCTCCATGCTTGCTTGTTCTTTATACTCTTCCTTGACATGTACATGGTAGTTTTTGTTTTCTCCCTTGCATGTTCTGGGAGGGAAGTGAGTATCTTAAATCCCCCTTAACGGAATAGAAAACATAATACATAATAAATTAGGGACTGCTTTTCCACATATTCCCAGCAATCATGCTTGCTTAGTTTTGGTAGTTGTGAGGTGAGGGGACCAGAAGAGAAAATCAGGACACTGGGGTCAGAAATTCCAAGGTTACAAATTCATTGAGGTTCAAGAAGATGGGAACGCCAAAGCTTATTGAGATATTACTATGGTTGCAAAACAAATCACCCTCCACCAAGTGGCTAGAACCAGCAACAATGGCACATTTGTTTTGCTTATGAATCTATAATGTGGGCAGAATTTTGTAGTGACAGCTCACGTCTGCTTGATTCAAGGTCATTTAGAGTGGCTGGATGCTGGGGCTGGAGTCATCTGGGGCTCCTTGCTCACAGGTCTGGTGGTTGATGCTGGCTGTCAGCTGATATCTTAGTTGGGGCTGTTGGAGGGAACATGGCCATGTAATCTTTCCATGTGGCATAGGCTTCCTCACAGCATGGTGGCTGGGTTCCCAAGGGTGAGTATGAGGAAAAGGTAGGAAGATCGAGAGGAATATCAGGCAGAAGCTGTATCTTTTTAATGACCTAGCAGCCTTGGAAGCCCGTAGCACCACATCTGCAATATTGTATTGGTTAGAGCAGTCAAAAGTCTCAGCCTAGATTCAAGAGAAGGGAACCCAAACCCCACCACTCAGAGTGAAGAAGAGTGGCAAAATTCTGAAGAGTATCAGGGACCAGAAATATTGCTGTGGACATTAGAAAAAAAAGTCTGCCATATTCTTTAACTTAACCTGCACCCTTGCTCAAGCCCCTGATACCATCTTTATGCAAGGTAATCCTATTTTCTTTTGGGATATGATGACTGAATCAGAGGTCGACCCCTGTCATGAGAACTGGGCTAATTGGATTCTGTCCTGACCAAGAATTTAAACAAAGGAACCAGAATGAGACATCTATACTTCTGGATCTACTTCTGGAGTCAACACAGCTTGTGGACTTCAGAACTGAAACAGGCACTTTTGGTCCATTTGCATAGAGAAGCAGAGATCCAAGACTGTATAGCGAAACAAAGGAATAAAAAAGGAAAGGCAACCTGTGTTTGTTGCTGATGGCTCCCCAGCTTCCTTGTGATGCCCCACTGATTTATCATCTCTAGTTTTGTGAGACATTCTTGTATCCTAAAAGCAATCCCCACTTTTTGTAAGAAAGCTGTGTGGATTTCTGCAGTCTGGGTAGACAGCAGGAGAAGAGAAGACAGTTCTCCAACAGAGGGGTTTCGCTTCTAACAAGTGGACTGATTTGTACTAGGCTGTCCCTGAATCTGTTTTCCATGTTTCCTGCCCTTTGATTTTATGCTTCTTATCAAGGGTGGCCCCACCCACCCCACCCATTTTTCTTCAACTGATATTGTAGGCACAAGAAAATACCTCGTGGAAATAGGCCAGGGTAAATATATGAGCATTTATTCTGAATCAGCTTGATTTTCAAGTTTTATTTATACAAAAGGCAAATGGAGATGTTCAATGAACATGTTTTATGAAGAATAATAAGATAGAATAGTCTGTCATGGTTTTTGCCGGGCCTGCACCCAGATGTTCTTGGACCCTTTTTACTGGTTCAGGGTGGCCCCATGCCTCAGCTTGTGTGCACTGTGATTCTAGCAGCATGAACTATTAGCTTTCTTCAGAGGATGGCCCTTAAGCTACCAGCACTGCTTTGCCCATACAACAAGTGGACTTCCAGAAGTATCTGGTAGTTTACATAGCCAATGACTAACAGGTGTGGGTGTATGAAGGCCTAGCTCCCTATCTCTAGGTGGGCCAAACTCTCTGGTATAATTTATCCTTCGGAGTTTCCTGCAGGATGGGCCTGTGGCCGGGACTTTGCCTGAAATCACCACCTTGGCTGGCTCCTTCCCTGTTCTGGTTTCCTCATTCTTTTACTAGTTTGTTCTGGGAGCTCTTCCTTAATAAGCCACATGTACGTGAATTCTTGTCTCAGGCTCTGCTTCTGGATAACCCAAACTAAGATATAAAATAAAATGTCATGGTAAAAGAGAAGTGTTAAAACAATCAAGCTTGTGTTCGGGTCTCTGAATACAGAATTGATTTATTATACAGTCATGGACCCAGTTTACTTTTCTAATTTTGTCTCTCTATCTAAAATATGGAGGTGGATTCTAGCTTTCTCCATTGTTTTTGAATTTTATTATTTGCCTAAAATTTTGGCTAAATCTTGCACTACTTCCTGGCTATAATAAATCTCTAAAGAAGAACCTGGATTTAATTTTCTTCATGGTGCTTTTAGTTGACTTCTCAAAGAAAAATTTTTTTTTCTTTTTTGTTCTGGCATACAAATTATCTTTTTAATTATAATTCTTATGTACATGGTATTTCTACTATGACAGTATTACCTGGAAATATGCTTTCATGGCAACAAAGAACACCTTGACACTCAAATTTTGATCATTGATGCTTTCAAGAAGAAAGATTTTTGATCAAAAGGGGGAAACGAGAAAAGAAAAGAACTTTTATCTGAGGAATGTGAGTCCTTTTTTGGGGGGACAGAGTCTCACTGTTACTCAGACTGGAGTGTAGTGGCATGATCTCCACTTACTTCAACCTCTACCTCCCAGGTTCAAGGGATTGTCCCACCTTAGCCTCTTGAGTAGCTGGGACTACAGGTGTGTGCCTCCATGCCTGGCTAATTTTTGTAGTTTTTGATAGAGATAGGGTTTCACCATGTTGGCCAGGCTGGTCTCGAACTCCTGTCCTTAAGTGATCCACCCACCCTGGCCTCCCAAAGTGCTGGGATTACAGGCATGAGCCACCAGGCCCGGCCTGAGTCCTTTTAAATTATTAAGCTCAAAGAGACACTAAAATGACAAAAATCATGTCCTACTTCCCCCTTGAGCTATGTGTTCATCTCTTGAAACTGCTTGCTAGTGCTATAAGTAGCTATAAATTAACCTAATAGTGCTGCACCAGACACTGTAACCCATACCTTACAGCTTAACAATGTAGAGCCAATCACTAATCAATATTATTGCTGTAAACCAAAGAGAATTCTTGACAGAAAACTTTGTATCAGCCCATGCCCTGTGACCCTTTTTTTTTTGCCTTTAAAATTCCATTTTTAATTGCTGCTAATCAGAGTATATATTCAGGGCAATTTGAATGTATGTACCTGGGTTGCAATCTTCAAGGTTGGCCCAAATAAACTCTCTACTTATATATATATTTTAAATGGAGGTAATAATTACTACCTTGTGGCCTCATGTAACAGATATAAATTTCATCTCTGTAAATCTGTAACTATATCCCAACAGGGCTTGAAAGATATAGACCAGCATTGTCCAATAAGACTGTTTGTGATGCTGCGTTCTCTGCATTACCCATTACAACCACTAATCAGATGTGGCTACTGAACAGTTTAAATATGGCTAGTGTGACCAAGGGATTGGATGTTTAATTAGTTTAAATATAAATAGCCATGTGTAGTGAATGTATATCATATTGGACAGCAGAAGGTAGACTAGATGATAGTATTATAAAGTTGATTTCCTGAGTTTTGATAATTGTACTGTGGTTATTTAAGCCATGGTTTTATAAACTTACACAGAAATATTTAGGAGTAAAGAGGAATCATGTCTGCTACCCATTCTCAAATGGTTTTCGGAAAAAATACATATAAAATAGTTGTGGTAAAAAAATGTTAATATTTAGGGAATTTGGGTGAAAGTTATATGGGAATTTTTTGTAGAAAGTAAAAGGGTAAAAATGTCAAATTCTTAACTGTCATGATCATAAACTGGAAGATAGTAGTTGAAGTCAATTACTTAAGTGGTAGCCATATATAAATATTATTTAGCAATATGGAGGAAAATACTAGAAGAAAACAAATTAAATTACCTGAAATATTGAAAATGTCTATACATTCTTCCCATTCCATTCTGCATGCCCTTTTGCAATATAATTTTGAAGGTCTGCTCATTGAGTAGTCTATTTCCTGATATTTGCAACTGGAGTTAGTCATGTGAATTGCTTTGGCCCATGGAAAAGTAGCAAATGTGACATAGGCGGTGAACTGAAAATCGCTTGGTTTTGGTTACTTGCCTTTCTTGATGCTCTTAGGCTCTTGGGAACTCTGCAGCCGCCACTGTGGGAACAAGCCTTGGCTAGCCTGTTGGAGGATGAGAGACCATATGAAAAGAGGCCCTGCCTTGTCAGTCATTTTGGCTTTCCTGGCTAAGGCCCCAGATAAGATAGTGAGGCCATCTAGCTTGTCTATCCACCAGCTAACCTCATATGTATGAGTGAGCCCAGCCAAGACCAGCAGAACTGCCCAACTGAGCCCAGACCAAATTGCCACCCCACAGTGTCATGGGCTAAACATGTGGTTGTTTTAAGCCACCATGTTTTAGGGTGATTTGTTTCCTAGAAACAGCTAACTGACACAAAAGTGCTTTCCTCTAGGGAAAAAGATAAGCTTGTCATGGGAAATATAACATGGTTTTGGAAAGCATAGGTGTTTGAGTTATAGCCTACCTTTCATTTTCCAGTTGTGTGGCCTTGAGGAATTTCAACTCTTTTTGTCTCAATTTTTATATCTTAAAAGTGGAGATAATAGTACAATCTTGTATATTTATTATAAAATAAACTTTAAAAAGTTACATAAAATACTTGATGTAGTACTTGTGTGTGATAGGTGTTCCATAAATTGCTAGAGACTGTGGAGGTGAGGTCAAGGCTAAATAATAGTGTCAGTTGCAATAAGAGATGAAGGATGGTGCTGTCAAGTGCACTGCATTCGAAAGTACACCAGGAGAGTTTGATTCTCTTTCTACAGTCTTCTGGCTGGGGAATCTAGGAAAAAGGACCAGACTACTCTAGTGGTTTGGATTTGTGTCCCTGCCAAATCTCATGTTGAATTGTAATCCCCAAGGTTGGAGGTGGGTTTTGGTGGGAGGTGATTAGATCATTGGGGTGGATTTCTCATGAATGTTTGGCACCATCCCCCTTGGTACTGTCCTTGTGGTAGTAAGAGAGTTCTCCCAAGATCTGGTCATTTGAAAGTGTGTGGCACCTCCCCCTCTCCCTTTCTTTCTTTCTTTCTTTCTTTCTTTCTTTCTTTCTTTCTTTCTTTCTTTCTTTCTTTCCTTCCTTCTTTCTCTTTCCTTCCTTCCTTCTTTCTCTCTTTCTTTCTTTCTTTCCTTCTTTCTTTCTTTCTTTCTTTCCTTCCTTCCTTCTTTCTCTTTCTTTCTTTCTTTCTTTCTTTCTTTCTTTCTTTCTTTCTTTCTTTCTCTCTCTCTCTCTTTCTCTCTCTCTTTCTCTCTCTTTCTCTCTTTCTTTCCTTCTTTCTTTTCTTTCTCTCTTTCTCTCTTTCTTTTGTTGGAGTCTCACTCTGTTACCCAGGCTGGAGTGCAGCGGTATGATCTCGGCTCACTGCAACCTCTGTCTCCTGGATTCAAGCAATTCTCCTGCCTCAGCCTCCCAAGTAGCTGGGATTATAGGCATGCACCACCACGCCTGGCTAATTTTTTTTATTTTTAGTAGCGATTGGGTTTCACCATGTTGGCCAGGCTGGTCTCGAACTCCTGACCTCAAGTGATCTGCCCGTCTCACCCCCTCTTTCTTTCTTGCTTCTTCTCGGGCCATGTGATGTGCCTGCTTCCCCTTCGCCCTCTGCCATGATTGTAAGTTTCCTGAGGCCTCCCCAGAAGCTGAGCAGATGCCAACATCATGCTTCCTGTACAGCCTCCAGAACCATGAGCCAATTAAACCTCTTTTCTTATAAATTACCCAGACTCAGGTATTTTTTATAGCAATGTGAGAACAGAATAATACGCCATGATTCTATTGTTTATAAACATCCATTACTTTTCTAAGAAGTTCATGAAGACCAGAGCCAGAACTTTCTAGAGTAGAAAGTAAAGATTTAAGTTAAGAGTCAGGCAACTTCAGACACAATCACAGTTATACAAATTAATGTTGGACAAAGCCACTCACTAGAGAGGTCCAGGGAGGAAGACCATCTCTTGAAGTTCATAGTGGGTTGATTTCTACAAGAAATGGTGCCTTTCAGAGGGATTAGTCATGGGTAGTTCAATGTAAGATGAGAACGATGGGCCTATAGGTATTAAATCAGGTCCCAGACTCAGATGCTCAAAGGTAGGTGCATTAAAGTTCTGCTAGTTGCTATAGCAAACCCAAAATGCATAATGGCTGAAACATAATAGAAGTATTTTCATTTCTTACTTATCTAAAGTTGTTCTAGTCAGCAAGTGGATCTTCCAACCTGGGATCTTTCCATATGATGGTTCTGCCATATTCAACATGTGGTTTGACTGCATCAAATGGAGAGGAAAAGAACATGGAAAATCACATGTGAGAAATTTTATGGCATTCACCATAAACTGGCACATGTCACTGCTATACACATTCTTCTGGCCAGAGCTCAGTCATATGACTATAATCTTAAAAAAAAAATCAAATGCGATAAAATATGCAAAACAAAAAATTTACCATTTTAACCATTTTAAAGAATATAGTTCAATGGTGTTAAACACATTTATAATGTTGTGCATCTGTTACCACCGTCCATCTCCAGAACTCTTTTTATCTTGTATGATTTTGACTACTCTAAGTATCTCCTGTAAGTGGAATCATGCAGTGTTCATCTTTTAGTGACTGGCTTATTTCCCTTAGCATAACGTCCTCAAGCTTCTTCCCGGTAGTAGCATGTTTCAGAATTTCCTGCCTTTTAAAGGCTGAATAATACTGTGTTGTGTGTCTATACCACGTTTTTGCTTATTCATTTATCCATCAGTGAACACTTGGGTTTTTTCCACATTTTAGCTATTGTGAATAATGCTTCTATAACCATGGGTGTACAAATAAGGATATATAGTCTTGTGTGTTCAGAAAGAGAAACCATGTTTTGTGAACTGCTCTCCCGTCTCTGCCATGCAAGGTACATATGTGAGCTCATGGGATGGTCAAGTGTGTGACAGTGGGGATGGATGGGGACAGTGGGGATGGATGGGAACAGTGGAGAAGTGGAGTGCTGCTTCCCCAGCTAAAAAGACAGCCATTTCTCAGCTTCAGTTGATTGGTGCCAGGTAGAAATGCCAACCAGAGGTGGCCAAACCTTCCAATTTTTAAAAAGAGGTTAGACATCTGAACTGACATAGAAAATTTCTTGACTTAAAAACATTGGTGATGAATTTATGAAACAAACGAATAGTGTCAAGAAGAATCAAAATCCCCTTGCAGGCCCAGTGTGGCCTGTGTGTTTTAGGCTGCCAACTTACTGTGTCTATGTTGGACCATGTGCTCAATGGGAAGGACAGATAATTTGATAATGAAAAACAGGCCTGGGAATGCTCCAGGCAGAAGAGTAAGGGGCAGAAATCAGCCTGGCTCTTGGTAGGACTTCATTCCAGCACCAACTAGGAGCTACAAAGAAGCTGGGAAAGACCCTTTGATCAGAGATTTTCCAGAATACCTTCAAAAAGCAGCAGCCTTCCGTGGCCAAGCAGGGGCAGGGGGTGAGGCTGAGAATGATAGGTAAGAAAAGAGTGACATGTGAAATGACTGAGGCCACGGGACATCCGTCCACCTGTGCTCAGCCATGTCATGCCTACCTGTATTGTCCCAGTGGCACTGCGAGAGGAGCCAGGGCGTCGGCTCGGCACAGAAGTGATTTCACCGTTAGTCACAGACGCCGCGGGTGTTTACCGCTCCAAGACAGAGGCTTTGTATGTCTATGTGTGGACACACATTTCCTGTAACACTGTGAGTGGCTGTCAGGTTTGGGGTTTATACAAAGCTGTGGTCATGTTCCAGTCACACCTTGGATGATTTAGAAAGACTGCAAACACTGGAACTGAAAGCCTATTATTTTCTTGGTAAACTGACGTTGACCTCGAAGGCAAGTCATCAATGCCTATTCACGTTGTACCTAAGTACAACAGATTCTGTCTGTCTCATGTTCTCAGTCCATCCTAATGGGTCCGTGACACACTGATGGGATGCCACTCTGTGCTAGGCACTGTGAGGAATGGGAAGATCATAAACCTCACCATCCCTACCCTTGAGGGCTTTATGATCCTGGGGAGGATGGAAGAAATACGTAGTCCTAGGAAAAGAAAAGCTGTATCCAGTACAGGAAGGGCATGTGGAATGAGGAAAGGATGGTGGGAACGGAAGGAGCCTGAGGCCTGGAGGGGGATTCGGAGGCCCCGACGGACCGCACTGTGGAGGAGCTTTCTGTAGAGCGCAGGATCCACTTAAGCTCCGCGTGTGTGTAGGGATTGTGTGTAGGGATACGGCAAATATCCTGCAGTTGATTGCCAGACGTACAGATCGATTGCAACTTCAGTCCCTTTTAGAAAACAAAAAAGAGACAAAGGCATTTAGGCAGGTGTTTGGGATGTTTTGTTGAATTGGGGACCTGTTTTTATCAAGGTAACGTCAGTTTTGTGGAATGTGATGGTCACAGACGTGGTGTGTTCTGGAGGCTGTGTGGATGCGGGAATCACCTGCTCCCAGCAAAGGAGTGACCGCTTGGCTTGGAAACGTACCAGTGTCCTTTCCTCTGAACATTTCTCCTCAAAAACATCAGCAAAGCCCCCAGAAATCTCTGCCAAGAAGGTCTGAGCAAAAATCCTTCTAAGGTTCTCTTCATGATTTATGTTAAAATAAAAAAATATGTTCATCCCTGATTAGAAATATTCCAACCTTTTTTTATGGTTATAGTTCCAAGCATTTGCGACTACGTTCTCCATTTGGCAGGATGATAAGTTGGGAACGGAAAAACATGCCAACTTTGGACAAAATATGATTGTGTATTTTCAGTTGCAATCCAAAGTCACAATTTGGACTATGAAGCTGGTTCTATATCTTTGCCAAGTTGGGCAAGGAATCTTGGCGGAAAGATGCTTTTTAAAGACATGGAGTGTTGGACTAGATGTCAAGACATTTGTATTTGGGCTTCTTTGGTGCCACTGTTTGAGAAAGCAAAGGCACCCTGGCTTTGCTATTTCTTTCCATTTTAATGTAGAATGATGCCTGAGTCCTCTTACAGAATGTTGTATGGCTAAATCAGACCTTCCTTTAGAAATATTTAGAATCCACTCTAAGTTGGCTATCTAAAATAATTATTAATTAATAATACCACTTCTACTATTATTATTGCTGCTGTGTTATTACCGTTTTAGCTGTGATTATTGTACCACCATCTCTGTTTATTATAAAATGAGATGCTCTTCTCACTCGCTGACTGGTATGTTTTCCAGACAGACCAAAACAGTCCCAGAGAAGTTAAAAGTGAAAATAATTTATGTCACACTGCTGAGGAAACTGAATACCCAGTGGTCAAGAAATAACCATGTCAAAACTTCTAGGAAACTATTAACTAATAATGTTGCTTCAGAATCACTGAGTATGGGCACTCCTTGATACTTTTCACCCTAGCATGGGCTTTAGATGTCAATATTCTGATTTATATTCACCTTCTTTAGACCTACCTAAAGCTGTAAATCGATGTTTTGTTTTATATTATATTAACCCTACTTAGACCTTTCTAAAGTTATATACATAAATATATGATTTTGATATTGCAATTATGTTGCAATAGTTGCACTAATGCATGATAGTGCTTTCCTGAATCACAAATTTTGAGACAAATAGATAATTTTAACACCAACTTTTTCTGTACCAGCTACTTTAACACTTTTCTCCTATCAGGCTCTTTTGATAGAAAAATATGAAAAATTTAAGAATGTCTAGCATACACAAACAAGCTGAGCTGTTAAAAGCATGTCAACTGAGAAGTCACACACAGTAAATTGCAGGTGGCAAATGAGTATGAAGTACATGGGCAGAATGAGAAGCAGCAATGCCACCTTGGCTGGGAACTTCAGAGCAGTGCAGTAATGTGATTATAGTAATGATTCAACAAGTCATCGTCTGCTGCCTTTGTCCACTGTAATTAACTTTTTGGAACTGCGCAGCCTCTGTCTCTGGGCTCATCAGCTGGCCTAGCTTTTGTGTCCCCAGTCTGTTATTTCTGCCCAGGCTCAGGAGCCTCTAAGCACATTGCTAAATGAATTCATTGCTGGAACAAAGATTTGGTGGTCGAATAGAGATGGCTATCTTTTGTTGTCAGACATTCAATCCCATATACCAATCCAATTACTTAAGCTGTTTCTATCAGTCTTATTAGGGCTGGCCATTGAGGCTGGCTAGAATGCTGGTCGCTGTGTCTTGGAAGAATGTGGTGGAACAGATTAGCGCTTTAATGAGAGGCTTTCTGAAGGCCAGATCTTTTCCCTTGTATATATATCGAGATCTAGGAATCATTTTTAGGCGAGGGCCCAGAGTCATTGTTACAAAGACTGATCAAAGGATGGCTGGAAATCTGTACGATTGCTTGAAGAAATTTTATGGGTTATAAAATATTGGCATGGGTTCTGTCTGTTATGGGCTATCTGATGAAAATCTCTGGTAGGCTGGGAAAAGGAAATTGCTTATTGGCATTTATTCTGTGGGATGGATATCTTTGGAGTTTGCATTTGAACTCTTTCTTCACTGTGTTACAGGTCAAATTCTGTACTTAGTACTAACATTCCAGGAATGTGGGCTGCATAAAATCAACATAAGCCTTGCTCCATACTTTGCTACCCAGAAAAGCATTATGAGAGAGTGGCTCAGACAAGGGTGAATGGATGATTACTAAGAAAAGATAGCAAGGGTGGAGTGAAATTGCAGTGGTTAATGTGTAGCAGTTGAAACCTAAAGTTAAAATCTGAGTGCAGTTAAGTCAAAGAACTTAGAACACCCTTGCTCTGACTATCAAGAAAAGGTGGTAATTGGTTTTAATGTTCAAAGAAACACTATTCACCTTCTATGTGTTATGCTTATTGCTCTGGAAATGTTTCTGAAATGTCAGATGCAAAGAGGGTTTATTTCATTTTATTTTTATTTATATATTTTTTGAGATAAGGTCTTGTTCCGTGACCCAGACTGGAGTGCAGTGGCATGATCATGGTACACTGCAGCCTCGACTTCCCAGGCTCAAGTGATCCTCCCACCTCAGCCTTCCGGGCAGCTGGGACTATAGGTGCATGCCACCATGCCCAGCTAACTTTTTTGTGTTTTTTGTAGAGACAGGGTTTTACCGTGTTGTCCAGGCTGGTCTCATACTCCAGGGCTCAAGCCATCTTCCCTGCTTGGCCTCCTAAAGTGTGGGAATTACAGGTGTGAGCCACTGTGCCTAGCCCAAAGAGGTTCTATTTTAAAGGAAGGATATCTACTCATACTTGGAAGATTGTAAGCCAATAGAAAAATATTTTTTTCCATAAAATATTGTCTTATAGAAACTTTTAAACAGACACTAAAGTACCCTTTACCAGATTCAATAATTAATTATAGTTAATCTTGCAGCAAAACTCCCTAACCTTCCTAAACAAATCTCTGACTTCATATATTTTATCGATTGCTATTACCTTCTAAAAAATGATAATACTTTAAAAAAGCATAAACTGCAACAAAATTATCATACCTTAAAAATATTAACAATAATTTCCTAACATCCACCAATATTCACGTGCGAAATTTCTCATCAGAAGAAGATGTAGAGGCTGGGCTTGGTGGCTCACACTGGTAATCCCAGCACTTTTGGGAGGCTGAGGTCAGCAGATCACTTGAGGTCAGGCATTTGAGACCAGCCTACCCAACAAGGTAAAACCCCTTTTCTACTAAAAATATAAAGATTAGCTGGGTGTGGTGGTGCATGCCTGTACTCCCAGCTACTTGGGAGGCTGAAGTGGGAGGATCACTTGAACCTGGGAGACAGAGGTTGCAGTGAGCCGAGATTGTGCCCCTGCTCTTTAGCCTGGAAAACAGAGTGAGACTCCATCTCAAAAAAAAAAAAAAAAAAGATAAAGAAAAAGATGTAAACACATTTGGCCTATTTTTTGGTATGCGATATTTTAGATAATTTTAGATCATAAATGCCCTTTTCCCAGGAAGTTGTTTCTTATCTTTGCTATACAAACTTATTCCAGATTCTATAAGGACATCAAAAATTAGAATAAGGGTACATTATATTTGTATGAAAAAAATATATAAAAAATTAAACAATATATCTTTAGTAAAAAGAAAAATCTTTCATGTGCACAGATGTTTTGGTTTTTATGTTAGCCTCTGTGAGACAGCTGGATATGTTGGAAATAAAGAAATAACATAACAGATACCTGTGCTTCATTCGTTTGACCTCAGCATAGTATTCTTTCTCCTTTACCCTTGATGTTCACTCTCTCTCTTTCAATATAATGAAGTCTATCAAAATATAAAATTTTATGGGCTTTGGAAATAGTCTGAGATTCAAATGCAGCAGGATTTGGTCATGGATTCAAAAATAGGGGCTTGAGACCTAGAGATAGCTATTTTAAATATATAAGGCCATTTTCCTAAAGTGTAGGAAGAAAACTGTGAGGAGAGCGTTCAGCTCCCTCATAAGCTAAGCTAGTTTCATACCTTCTGAATTGGTGTAGATCAAATACTGAAGTAAAATGGTAACTGAAATGAAACATAACAGAATGACCTCATTCAAGTCATGAGTATGGGGTGGGGGGTGTGTATGTATTTCTGTATGTATCTGTGTGTATGTATGTGTAAGTCTGTGTGTGTGTGTCTGTGTGTATGTGAGTCATCTGTGTGTATAGGTGTGTGTGGCCACTTGTGTGTATGTGTGTGCACCTGTGTGTATATGTGTGCATGAATGTGTGTATGTATGTATGAGTCTATATGTATTGTGTGCCTGTGTGTGTGAGTTAGTGTGCATCTATGTGTGTAGGTGTGTGTGTGTGTGAGTGTGTTCAAAGAAAAGCAAATAGTCTCCCTTGGATTGCCCCAATACCCTACTCATTTCTTTATAAGATAAAACCACAAAAACTAACAAATGCAGAATTCTGCTTTTCACTGAGAAACGCAAAGCCACTGGTGCCTGCTTTCTTTGTTTAAAAAAAAGAGTTAGAAAGGTCATCCAAGATAGGAATAAATGGAGGCAGAGGCAAATCAATGTTTAACTTGGAAATATTTTTCAGTTAATCATCTCTGACCGCTCACACTAAGAGGGCACTCCTAGAGTGTTGGCAAACGTGAACTGGAAGTCACTAAGCTACTAGTAAAACAGCCAGACGTCAGGATCCGTATAATCAGAAAGCCTGAGGCTCTGTAGGTTTAACCTAAAATGGCGAGAAAACCTTCTTCTGAAAATATGATCTAGAAATATTTTGACTTCTAGACTTTTGCTTCCAAGTATGAGGATTATGAAACCATAGGACTTTCCTTGCTTTAGGATTATAAAAACCTGGGACTCATACCTGGTAGGAAATTTGTTGAAAGGTGTGGGAAATCGTCTTGGAGTCTGTGATATAGCTTTCTCTCCCTGTTTTCTTTTCTGGCATATGTAACTTTATAAAATGCTACAGAATGTGACTTAGTAGCTTTGTGGCTCTTTTGTTGGCTTTTTTGGTCATTTTGTTATAAGGAGCAATCTTTAAGAAAGGTATGGAAAGCATATGGGGCCAGTGGGGTCAATATTTGCTCTAATGGGCAAATAGACTTTGTTAGTCTCATTTCCATTTTTTGTGTGTTTGTAGATGGCCAGCGATGAGGACAGGCTATGATTTTGACAGGCTTTGTTCATTCTTCTGTACGGGTGAAATAATTATCTGTCAAACAAAAGAAGTAACTCTTTTTGCCTTTGAATGTGACATACCCATTACATTCATGTAAAGTCGAGTTTGTAAAGAGATTCTTAGTCAAAATGTCACCCTTGACATAAGGCCATTGTGCTTGTGAACTGCTGAGCATATGGCATGCTTGCTATTCTGCGACCCACTGCTCCAAGAGTTCCCTGTGCCATGGACATTTCTTTACAAGAAGAGAGTAATGCAACTGGTGCCAAAACGATGAATATTCTAAGACCCCAAAGATGCATTTCTTTTATGAGACCTGATCTTTCTAACATTTGGATTCTAGACACATGAAACAGCTTGCAATAATTTAGCAGCAGTGAGATTCAGCAGAGCCATATTTGAATTATTGGAAAAGTCTGAATTTTGGTTTTGCATTTAGGGAGCCTTAAAAGATCTGATTTGTAAATGCTTTTGAAGAATTCACGTGGACTAGAAGGATTTTACAGGAAACATGAAAAAAAATGCCAGATTACATGTCTCCTTTATCATTCAAAAGAATAAAGTCTGTATCTGTTGTGTTCCTTTTGCTTTTTTTAAATTTTTTTTTATTTTTTGAGACAGTGTTTCCCTCTGTCACCCAGGCTGGAGTGCAATGGCACTATCTTGGCTCAATGCAACCTCCGCCTCCCAGGTTCAAGCGATTCTTCTGCCTCAGCTTCCCAAGTAGCTGGGATTACAGACACCCACCACTCCCAGCTAATTATTTTGTATTTTTAGTAGAGACAGAGTTTCACTATGTTCTTTTATGGTGAATGGACAGCAAGACCTTGATGGAACACACACAAAAAATTCTTCATTAAGTTTTGGCTTGGGTCTTTAATCTTGCAATGCTTTTAAATAACATTGCTTTTTGTTATTAACTATTACTTTATTTGGGGCCTGGATATCACTTCTCCTTGGCCATCACCTTGGTCCACCAGTGCTGGGAGAACTATAGGGCCATGATAAAACCCAGTGAAATCAAATGGTAAGAGTCTGCCCATGGGTTTATCTGCCACAATAACAGATGTATTTTCTTCCTATGAAGGAATTGTTTTCTCATTCAAACTTGCCTGAAGAGAGGACAGATGGTAGGTACTCTGCCTTATGTGTCGGTTAGCACTGTTACATAACAAGCTACCCCAAACTCTGTGGCCTAAAACAGTAAGATTTATTGCCCTTGGTTTGGCTGGATACTTCTGACACTGGCCAGCTCACTGTGAGTCTCTAGCCAACTGTGGGACAGATAGGGAGCTCTGTTTTTCTAGGCTGGGCTCTTTCACACGTTCAATGGCTGGCTGACTGTAGGCTGATTTAAGGTCACTTTGAATGGGACAATTGGAATCTCTTCCATGCAGTCTCATCCTCTGGCAGGCTCTTCTGGGCTTGTTCCCATGGTGGTGACAAGGATCTGAGAGACAGAAGCATGCAAGACTTCTCAAGGCCCATACTTGGAGCTGATGTGCTGATACTTTCACTGCAAAGTTATAAGCAAATCACAAGACCAGCCCAGACTCGAAAGGGAGGGAAGTAGAATCTTCCTCTTGACGGGAGGATCCACAGAATCACATTGCAGAAAGTGTGCACACAAAGCAACCATTACTTCGCACTATGAATGCAATCAATATACTTCATCTTAGTTGGTAAGTAATCTTCAATAAATCTAGGGATCTCTGATCCAGGTGAAAGAGCTGTGATCCATGGCCAATTGCTCATACCATATTTCTCAAAATGTGGTATACAGGTATCTTCTGCATCAGATTCGCCTATGGGATTTGAGATGCCCTAGACCTACTGAATTATTATAGAATCTAATTCTGGGTCTCAGAAATCTGCTTGTTAATTAAACTTCTTCCCCAACTCCCACCCCATAACTCTAATATTCAGGTTTGAGAATTTTTGTATTAGACTCACCTACTCAACGCAATCATCAAAACATGTAGATTCAAGTAATAGAACATATTTTTCGTATCTGGAAAACTAACTCTGAAATGAATTACAAAAAATGTAGTTGGACTATTTCAGTGAATTGACTTAAACAAATTCTTACCTTCTCCCAAGTTATGATGAATATGTTATGTCATAGTGGCACCAGATTAACTGATAAACTCATATTGGAAAAACAAGTTTGATTGATTGCTTTTGCTTTAATAAATTTTCACTTGACTAGAAAAGAACACAGATATATAGAAGATATAAGTTTTGTCCAGTGCATCCTAGCAAGGAAGCAGGGGAGGAAAAAAGATGTCTTTACATCTTTAAAATCCTTATCTTAATCTTGAACTCAAAAGCCTTCCATAGGAGTCATCCAGATGCCCTGCAGGTAGGGACCAGCTCTATGTGTGTGTGTGTGTAGCTCTATCTTTTCATTAAAAGCTTCTTTTGAGTCACTAAAAACTTTAGATATTCTGGAAGATTCTTTTGGGGTCAAAAAATATTTTAATGAGAGCTAGAAGAAAAATCTGAAAGGGGCAAATGAGGTTTTAAACAGGCTAGTACTAAACTAGTTTCTTAGATTCTAGTCTTTACTGATACCAACTGAGCCTGCACAGAGGACCAGATTAGTCTTTTGAAAGCAGTATTGGGTGACTCTCATTCCTTGCTTGAAAACTGTTAATGATGCTTGTTGCCTCACTGGGTTTGCAAATTCAAAAGCATCAGGGGCTAGGGAAAGAAGAGTAAGTGAGTGAAACTGAATGGTTATGATTAATAGGGGGTGGTGAGGTTTCTGGTAAACTAAAAAATGCATGTCCTATTGAGAAGCAGTTAAGTTTAGATTTGCAAAAGAAAAACAAGACCTGCTCAATGGAACACATTTGTGGCTAAATTCAGCTCTTAGGCTACTTGTGTGTTACCTGTGGGCTGGCTCAAGTCCAGATTTATTAATCTGGCATTTGTGATTCTGTACAACCTAACATAGTGCTGTGAACAGAACAGGACTCTTTACTCTCATTTTTAATACAGAGAGGTGGAGGAGAAATATCATTAGGCTTTGGGAGTCTTGGGACTGAATTCTGATTCCACCACTCACTGCAGTAGTGTACAGCCTCAGATGACTCATTTTATCTGTCTCCGAGGCTTGTTTGTTTTTCATGTATACAATGTGGGCAGTAATGCCTGCCCTGCTTTGTTCATGTATTTCTTAGAAAAATAAAAGGATGCCGTTTAGAGCTACAGCACCAATACTGCAGCCACTGGCCATATGGGACTACTGAGAACTTGGCATGGGTCTAGTGTGACTGAGGAACTGTATTATTTAATTGTGTTTAATTTTGATTAACTTAAATTTAAGACCTGCTTGATTCAGGTCTTTGAAAACTTTTAAGAATGCCTGATACAACTTGAATTTGCCAATCTTCTTTTTAAACTGTAAATTTTAATCTAAATATAGATCAAATACTTCTGGTGAAAATTTACCATCTGAATTGAGATGTCTGTAAATGTAAAATACACACTGGATTTTGAAGATTTAATATAAAAAAGAATGTAAAACATATCAATAACTTTTTGTGTTGACTATATAACTTTTTATATTGATTATTTTAAATACATTGCATTAAATTAAGTATATTATTAAATTAATTTCACCTATTTCTTTTTACATTTTAAAAAATGTAGCCAATTGATTTGGACTCTCACCTCTGGAGACAGGACTAGAAATATAAAAATTACATAAGTGACTCATAATACGTTTCTACTGAACACTAGTGATCTATATGAAAGCTTTTAATGAACTATGATGTTATTATCAATAAATTCCACAAGTAGGTTGCAATATCTGTGAGCGTAAGGATCATCTACTATTATTTCTACTTTATTTCCCATCATATATTTAGGGCCTGGCCCAGTGCCTGGCACAAAGTAGGGGCTTGGTAAATATTCTGTGAACAAATACTTATTTAAATAAATTTAAATAGTTATTAAATGAATATGTATCCAAGCTGTGCCATTGTTTGCATTGCCTATTAAATGAGGAGGCTATAAAATGATATTTAAGTTGCTTCCAGCTCTGAAATACAATAAAATCTGACATGACAGGATACCATACAACAGGATGCAGTATTCTTTCACTCTATTTGAACATGTGTAGTCTTTTTTACTTGGCTGGGCTGCTGGGATTTTGCTATAGTCTCTTTACACAATACATGCCAATATAAGAAAGAGAAGCAAATCTTTCTTAGATGACAAAATCTAACTCATGCTGCCAGATTCTGATTAGTGATAAGGGAAGCAAGACTGGCCATATCAGCAACTATATGTTGGACCTTATCACTTTGTTTTTATTTTTGTTTTCAATCAAACTCCAGTTTTATTAGAATAATCCTCACTGCAGTAGGCATGCTTGCCTATAGATTGCAGAGGTTTTTTAATGCAGGTGGGGATTCCACACCTTGAAGTGAGAATTTGCCTCTTGGGAAGTAACGAGCTCTCCTGGAGAATGAATTGTCACCTCACATTTTCCATCTGTCCTCAAAGAAGTGTGTTTATTTTTAGCGAACATGATAAACCCCAGAGGGCATAAGTGATAGATTCCCCTAACCAGTAGGTTTCACTTTGTTTCATTTCATGTGAAGCAGAAGAGTATTCTCTTGATAATTAACCTATCAGGTTTCTGAGATGCCTGCAGCTCCTCTTATAAGGAAAAGTGTTTGTGTGTAAATTATCTATATAATATATGCAAAAGTGTTTGTTTCCATAGGAAATGTTGCGATGCAGGTTTTTTTTTGCCATTTATAAAATGTAACATTTTGAAAGACTTTCATTTCATGAAATTAAAGGTGGGAAACTTCACTGTAGAGTACAATTTCTTTGGAAATGAATAGCAACTTGTCATTTTCCTTTGCTTCTTGGTGATGGAAATTGTGAGGATTCCAATCTTTTCCCCTGAGAGATTATCTTCTTTTGGCTGCCATCCTAACTTTTGAGATGTTTACTCTACAAGCAATTTAAACAAAAGGGAGGAAGTGCCCTGGACTAAAGGCTGTATGTGAGCATAATGAAAAATGCTTGATACTGAATCACAGGAGTGGAAGATGGTGTGGTGACTTCTGATTTGGAATTGCACCTCTGGAGACAGGACTCTTTTGAAGAAACTGGGATAAAAGGAAAGCCTGTTGTGACAAAGCTGGCCCATTTGTAGCATAGGCATTTTCCCCTTTTTCCCGGCGTATGAGATGGTCACCCTGTGAAAACGCCTCATGACTGCTAAAGCAATCTAGTTTTCTTCTGCCCTGGAGTGGTGTCAGTGAATTAAGTTTCTGCAATGTAACTTAGAGAATACGAGAACGTCGGAGTGAAAATTGATTTAGGCAAGATTCATCATTGGATGCTAAATCTAGAGGTACAGATTAAATAAAGAGCAGAATACTTAGGCCAGATGCGGTGACTAACGCCTGTAATCCCAGCACTTTCAGAGGCCAAGGCGGGTGGATCACCTGAGGTCATGAGTTTGAGACCAGCCTGGCCAACAGGGTGAAACCCTGTCTCTACTAAAAATACAAAAATTACCTGGGTGTGGCAACAGGCAAGTGTAATTCCAGCTACTCGGGATGCTGAGGCAGGAGACTCACTTGAATCTGGAAGGCTGAGGTTGCAGTGAGCCAAGATTGTGCCACTGCACTCCAGCCTGGGAGGCAGAGTAAGACTCAATCTCAAAAAAAAAAAAAAAAAAAATGCAGATTACTTACATAATTTCAAGGTATCTAAAGGTAAAGAAGGAAAACAGGTCTCTATGCAATGAAGAAGTGGGGCAAGATCTTCATCAAATCATAGAAACTAACATCACAAAAACGGGCAAATTGGGTATCAGAATCCTGAGATGAGACTTCAGGAAGAACACATCATTATGTAGTATTCCAGGCCCAAATTTGATATATGAACCTAATCATAAGGAAATGTTAGAGAAATCCAAGTTGAGAAACATTCTATAAAATAACTGAAAAGCTGAGGAATTGCTCCCAGGTTAAAGGAGACTACAGAGCTGATAACTGAATAAAATATGTGATTATGAAC
Organism: Homo sapiens; assembly: GCF_000001405.40. Taxonomy (NCBI): domain Eukaryota; kingdom Metazoa; phylum Chordata; class Mammalia; order Primates; family Hominidae; genus Homo; species Homo sapiens. Next base: position 10,718,121 of record NC_000020.11, read on the forward strand.
TGAATCCTTTCAGAGAAATAATTGTTATAAAGGGAGTTCTTGGGGACACATGATGAAATTTGTATATGGTCTGTAGGAAGAAAATATTACATCGATGTTAAATTTCGTGAATTTGGTAACAGTACTGTGATATGTAAGAGGCTATCCTTATTCCTATGATATACACATGGAGGTATTTCAGAACAAGGACACGTTACATGTGTCCTAGAGTCACATGGTCCAGAAACAACTGTCTGCGACTGAGTGTATGCCTGGATACACACACACACACACAGAAACAGAGAGGGGTTTGTGAAAGTGTTTCTGTAGATTTAAAATAATTTCAAAATAAAAGTTTTAAAAAATAAAGCTAATACTCCCCCCCCCCAACACACACACCTCCTCACATATGCATGCATCTGGTGGTGAAAGGTTTTATGAGAGGAGAATTTAGAATACAGAAAGTTTGAATATTGGGAGAAAGATTTGAGGAATAACTGCAAAAGCACCTTCTCATAAATATTGTTGGAAGCAGTCCTTTTACAATGACAGACTCCAGAGATTTTATGTCCATCAGGGTAATCCCATTAAAGAAATTTCAGATGGCTGCAAAGCTGTGAGAGTCCAGGTATAGGGTGATGAAGCCCTGGTTAGGAGGTTGATTTATTGGCTGGCTTAACCCATGCGTTACTTGGAACCTGTGGAGCAGTAGTCTGGGTCAAACCTGGGTGCCCTGCACCATCCTCAGAGAGGGAAGCAGTGATGAGATTAAACCCAGGAAGGAATACATTCCCCATCCTTTAAGTGTTGCATTCCGGGGGTTGACAGCTGGCTATATATCTTCTCTTAGTAGCCTGGAATATCTGCAGTGGCTGAACGTCACCATCTCATATGAAGCATGTGAAGGCATGTTAGTTCTTCAGGCAAACTCTCCCAACCAAATAGTGTTGATTGGTGAACCATGAGATTTCAAGTGTGCAAGCTTGCTCTTCTTTCACACTTAGGGCTGAGACAATGCACCTATATCTGCTGTGTACAGTGCTTTCTAGGAAGGGTAGGACTCACTAATCAGCCCATTAGGGTAGAGAGAATGAAGCTGTTGTTTTACCAGTCTAGAGAAAAATCTCAGTGGGATCTCCTTTAACGAACACCAGTAATCTGGTGGCACACCAACACACAGTTAGCTCTTTATACAGACATTTGCAATGCACTAGGAAGCACCCTGTGGAGTTACATAGGAAGGAAAATTCAGCCCTTTATTACTTAATCACATCACTCAATGTTAGAGGTTTTCATTATCTCATAAAATGCTTTCCAGGGGTAGAGAAAGGTGGTTTAGAAGAAATTTTACTGACTTGCCTTGTTTCCAATTTTGTGAGCTTTCAGAAATACTTGTTCCCTCTTATACACACACACACACACACACACACACACACACACACACACAGACACACATTTTAAAAACATGACTTTTTTGCAGGATTGGTTTATTTTCAAGGCCATTTTGCTTTGTTCTATTATCCATATGGTTTAAGAACTATTTTCTGTAAGGGTAAATGGCATAGAGAGCTGTAAATAATCAAAGTGTATTTGATTACAACAGTAATTGTTTCACAGTGTTGTAGATCAAAAACATAACATAGGATGGAGCCAGTTTCAGATCTAGCAAGCTTTCAAAGCTATTGGCTTTAAAAGAATGAGGTCCTAAGACTAGGGCTTCTAGTTTTCAAAGTGCTGTGCAGAGTTTCAATCTCATGATCTCTTATCAACTCTGAAAGGGGACACCTTTGTTGTCTTTGCTGAGTAACAGTTAAAATTTTTCCATTTTAATTTCAATGGATAGCATTGTTATTTTATACAATATGAATTGTTTTATGAGGGGTTAGCTGTACAAGCTGGGGACTACAAAACTCTCTACTTATTTACTTAGTACCTAGAAAAGAAGTAAAGGAACAGAAGGAAAGGATTTTTTTTTTTTTAAACAGAGAAGAGATCAGTGACACACCTAGCCACAACTTGAGGCATTCTAGTGGGGGTTCAGTTTCCACGTACATGACTTATTTGGCAGAGCAATATGGTCCCAAGGTTTCTGATTCAACTGTCTTAAAAAAAATTTATGGCTAAAACACAAAAATTTCTGAGTGTGGGTGTGGGGGTTTTTAAGGCATAACTGTGGCGGAGTCAAAAGCTTTTTAGAAGCTCAGCAATTAAGACAGATTACTGAGATCTCTTTCTGAACAGAGATGCTGTGATCTCTTTGGGGAGGACCTGTCTGGGGAGGAAGCTGGAGGTTTCACTTCAGTGCAGAGTGAACTGGGGCAACCATCTTGCGTTCTTGAGATGGGACTGCCCTCCAGCAGGTTTTCTAACCTAGACTGCAACTTTCTTGTGAGAAAAGGAAAAATATTCTTTGGGCTACGGGCCTTCTTTAGCTAGTGGTATGTTTTGAGATGCGTGTGTGTTTTAGATTGCAAGCTTTCTAAATTTCTTTTATTTGTAAGAGTCTGTGATTCCATGTGTGTCTTTTTAGTTTGGCAGGAGCAAGTCTCAACTGAGAAAGAAGTGAACAGAAGGCTTTCTCTTTGTAGACTTCCGCATGAGATCAATTTCTTCTCAGCCCACTGTTCAGAGCAAGAACAGAAATGGAAATAGTTCTCTTTTTTTGCTGGCAACCAGGCAACTTTCCCTTGGGACAAAAAGTATCAAGGCTGATCCTGCATTTCCTCAACGTGGCAGATTGACTTTGGTTAAAGAGTCTAGTGAAATTTCCCTGTGTGAACACTAGATCCATTAGCTTTCTTCCCCAAAAGCTATTTACATGCTTGCCCTGCACATGTCTCTTGTTTGTCACCTATTTTTTTTAATTGCACCAAGCTTTGGCTCTATTTTAAACTATGTCCAGCCATTTACCATATTAAGGAAAAAAGCAGGTATTTATCTCATTCCACGAGGTGCTGATTGGTTGTAAAATGTCCTTGTAAAATCTGTTCTTGCTGTTAACCTCATTTGTATGAAGGAAAAGTATTTGGAATTTGCTAAAATTGCTGAACAAGAGGCAGAGCAGTCACTTCTGTAGCCTCGTGTTTGTTTTATGAGAAAATCCCGAGCCTCTAAGGACCTTGGTAAGTCTCCTGGTGGGTTCCTCTGGCTCTGGGTGAATCGGCCACTTGACATGGCCGTGCGCATTACTGGACTTTTCCTGTCTCATGCCTCTCCTGGGAGGGAGATTACAAGACTTCTCTTTGTAACCTAATATGATACATATCAACTTATACATCAAGAATTCATCCTAAAAGCTAAGCTGACATCTTTCTGGACTGACTTAAAGCCAATTTTTGGTTGTTTTTTCTTTGGAGATAGAGAACTTTGATCTAATAACACTCCATATATTACTCAACCACCCTGTGGGGCCAATCTCAGTTCCTTTAACCATTTATTCCCCTTGCGCCTTCCCAAATGTGTAATCCGTTTACATTTTCTCTTCTCTAAGTAATATATTCTTAAGGTATCTGTGACTCATTTTTTTTTGCATGCAAAATGTTGTGCTGTTTCTGTTCATGCTTCCACAGTGACCTTCTTTATCCACGTGCCAACCGTGCCATGTTTAGCCAGGCCAAGAGCATATGTGGTTTCCTTTGATGGCACAGCCCTGGTAACAGAGACAGCCATGAGAAACAGAAAGAGAATAGAAAAAAGGATCAGGCTGTGTTTCTGTCTAGAACATAGATCAGACTAAAAAGTATTCAATAAGTGAATTCTACATAAATAAAATTTCATTTCTATGTCATTTTCCTTGCTGTCTATACCACCTTTATTAATAATTAGAAAGCTTTCTTAGTGGGATATTTTGAAATTTAAAAGTCATCCCTTTTTTAATATCTTCAGAATAATAAAATACATTATAACTAGAGATTTTTACGCTAATTCAACCACTATCTTAGGGTCGAAAATTGGCAATTTGGTTGATCTCCCAATAATGGGCATTGCCCAGAAGCTATTGTGTTCCCCAAAGTAACACTGATAAGAGGAGACCACTCCCAGAATGCCATGGGCCCTTTCACTTGGAACTAGCATGGGTGTAACTTCTTTACTTCCTGAAGCTATATCAGTTACAAATATGTGGAAGCAGAGAAGATTAAGCTATTATGGAGAATTTTCTTCTGAATAATTCATATTATTTTTCCTGGGTAGAATTGTTCATTCCCAGCTCCCTCCCTTCAGATACGAACTAAATTTTGAAAGTTCAGTACATTTTTTTCTGAACATAGAATTCTGACCATGATAATAGGTTCTGGGAACGATCTGAGTTTTCAGTATTCCAGTGAACAGGATGTAATAAAAACTTCATAAAGAACCAACACTTTGTCATGTACTTCGAACATTGTTTCACTAATAGTGATTTTCTAGTTTTTAGCTCTTGAGAGCAAGTAACTTATCATCTTAGCTTAATTATTCATGGCCCTAAAATAAAACAAGAACACCCTTCCAAGTCATATTTTAGTAAGAATTGTCCTAATCTCAAAATCCCATATTTTAAATCAGTGAGATTTTAGGTTTTGTCACTTTCATGGTAAGTTTTTTTTTTTTTTTTCATTCTGGAAGCTTTGCCATCAATTCATTTTCTGCATGATCTGGTTTTCGATTGTCTTTGTTAATGCAGAGCCATCTTGCTCAGTAAGAAATGAGCATGCAAGGACCCAAGGCCAAGGAGTTGATGTTATTTAAGCCTTTCTGGGGCAGAAGCTGTTTAGAAAAGCCTGTTTCCCTTGCTAAGTAACTCATCTAGAGTCGTGGGTAGTTCTCTTGTTGTTTCCCTAGTCAAGACATCAGGTTCTTTACTGTCTCATCTACATCAAATAAAAGCTTGAATCTTGCAGAATAGATGGAATTTATTTAGATGTCTGTTACTTCATATTTATGTCCTCCCTCCCAATGGCTATAACAATCCTTAGCTTTTTGTGACAAAACATGCACAATCCCAACCCTCTCTTTCTTCTTTCTTCTTTCCCTCCTTTCCCTTTTGGAAGGGCACTCTTAGAGAGAAGGATTGGTTTTTAGACTACCATTGCTACAGTCTGAATGCCTTAGTGGGAAGGGTTGAGAGGACTGATTTAATAACTCAAGTATTTATTGAGTGTCTACTAGATGCTAGAGATTGAGGTTACCTGAGTTTGGCTTGTGCATCTCTCACTTCCAGAATGGCAGCAGTAGGGACAAACTGAAGTAGTGCTGTTCTGAGCTTGCTAGTGTGCAAGTGTTATTAAGATGACTTCACAATGGCAAATTGGAATAGAGTACTTGAGACCCAGCTAGTGGTATCTCTTAGGCTATAGGAAAGAAAGCAGAGAAAGATTAAGAGTGACTGCCATCCAAGCATGGGGGAACTCCAAGTTCTCTTTGAGGAAGAAAATAGAAGCATGTATGGACCAGGGCAGTTGTTTCACCTGGTTGAACAGGCTTCTTGGTATAGACAAAGGCAAAGCACTCAAGAAGACATCTGTCTGCTGCTGAGGTAGTGGGACAGACAGGGCATAGGGGACTCTTTTTTACTTATTTTGCCTCAAATGCTATAACCCTGCAAGGAGAAATAAAAGCTAGCATTCGTGGAGTACTTACTATGCGGTAGGATTTATTTTCAGCCCTTTATATGTAATATCTAATTTAAACCTCATAGCAACCTGGAAAAGCAGGCACTATTATTTTTCCGAAGAGGAAACTAAAATACAAAGTGTTTGAGTGCCTTGCCTAAATTCACGTAGCTAGCAAAAGATGGAGCCAGGCAGTCAGATTCCATAGGCTGAGACCCCTTATCAGAAAATTGGACTCCTTGGGAGCAGGTTTCTTGTGCCAGAAACTGCAGGGAAAAAAAGGTACAGAATCTCTAACAGAAAGTTAGTTTCTGATAGAATTTAGATGATTTTGTTAGTTTGTCTATAGGCATGGAATCATTTGATATAGGGGGAGGGTGCATGGTCATATTTGATGAGCACACACATTTCTTCAAATTTCCCCAAATTTGCTCAGAGTTTGGAAACTTCAGTCCATGAAGCTCTTGTAGGTAGTTTTGTTCTTTTAGAAAAACTCATTCTCCAGAGCTGGCAAAGCAGAGCCCTGGAGCTCCCCGGGGACAGTGGGAAAATTTTTTCTCTTAAGTCAATTGAGCTAAAGCACCAGCAAAGTGGCATTTTATAGAAGAGCCTTGATCAAAGTCAGTAAAGCTGAGTATATTTCCTTAAACATATCTTTAGGTAAACAGGGAGGATGCAATAAGATTTTAAAATAACACAGTTCAGTCAGTGAAACAATTGAAGATACCCATCTGATTTAAACTGAATTCAGCAACTGCAACAATACTATCTGATGAAGGAGATTTTGTGTCACATGTTCAAAGCTGGCTTTAAGTCTTAAGAGGTATCAAAATAATCAAAGTGTTTTCTTTGCCCTTAGCCATCAATGAGAAAGAATTATAAATGGTTGAAATATTTATGTTAATCAGAAACCGCAGTTGGGAAGTGAAAAGAAAGGCTGTTTCTGAGCAGAAAACAAGGAGGAGTGACCCTGTTATTACAGCTTCTGTCTTAGAACAGTTATACACTCTCTGCTTCAGATCCTAGCTCCAGGATATCCCAGGCTTCTTGGAGGAGGCCTTTTAATGTGAGGGGAATCAGAATTGCTAAAGGGATCCTCAAACTTCATGAATTAACCTAATCATCTGGAGTGATTTTTTAAAGATACAGATTCCAGGCCTCCCTTGGAACTTCTGCTCTAATAGGTTCAGATTGGAATCCAGGAATATGAATAACAAGTCTCCCCGTATGAGAGTCCTATGATCAATCAGGACCGGGAGCCACATTTTGGTGTACCCATTTTACAGATGAGTAGACTGAGACTTGGCAAGGATAATTTACACGCTTGATCGCTGCTCTAGATGTGGAGCTGAGACTCGAATCTAGAATCTCTCTCTCTCTTTTTTTTTTTGACTCTAGATTGAGTGCTTTTAAAATGTCTTTGGGTACATGTGAATTGGGCAGTTAGAGATGAGTGTGTGTGTGTGTGTGTGTGTATGTGTGTGATATGCAGATACATAAGGGTGAGGACCTATCAGTAAAAGGTGTTAAATATTGAACTATTAATAATTACACTATAATTTTAAGTATGGTAAGATGAGCAAAAATCTCCAACTCTTGGAATAAAAACGTTTATCCCATGAACATATAATTATTTAGTACCTAGTCTTCTGGGAAAGGTAAAAGCACAAGAAAGAGAAATAAGATACACTTTCCTAGGAGTTACTTCAGGACAATATTCTAAAATACTTTGTCCAAGGCTTACATTCACATAGAAGAATCATACCTGACATCTTAGAAAAGATAATTAGACAAGACAGCGAAGAAGTGTCATATCACTTGTATCTCCTCTTCCCAGTCCAGTAGGCACAAAGCACTCTCCTGTTCACTTCTGCTTTTTCTCCCATTAGATTTTGAGCTCCTTGAGGTAAAATATGACTTGGAAGGATGTTCTTGTTTTATTTCAGGGCCATGAATAATTAAGCTAAGATGATAAGTTACTTGCTCTCAAGAGTTAAAAACTAGAAAATCACTATTAGTGAAACAATGTTTGAAGTACATGGCAAAGGGCTGGTTCTTTATGGAGTTTTTAAAGAGGGTGGGGATTGTGCATGTTTTGCCATGAAAAGCCAAGGATGTAAGTATTCCTACTTACATCCTTAAATGCCTAGCCCAATGTCTAACATATAATACTAGTGATCATAATAATAATTTATTGAGCTCATATTTAATTTAAAAATCTTATGATATAGGTAAGGTTTTAACCCCCATATCATACATGAGGAAACAGATATGCAAACACCATCTGGTTTGTTTAGTGAGGGTAGAGGAAGCTCAACTTTGTTCTCTGTCCACCAGAATGGACAAGGAGGGGGTTCAGGACAAGTTAGGACTTTTGACAAGGCCTGGAGAATGGATACAGGTCAAATGAGGAATCGGCTGGGGAGTCATGCTCCCTGCCAGAAGGAAGGAATGCTAATATACTTGAGAAGGAGGGAAGAAATAAAGGTAAGCATGCTTGAGTATCAGGTGCAGGTTTGTGTCCTCCATGCAGGGTTGAGAAGAGAGGCAGTAGAAACCGTGGTTAGAAAGGTGATTTGGGGTGGACCCAAGAATGGCCATTGATGGCCTTTGTGGACGACCTTGAAACCTGGGCTGAGAACCTTGGCTTTTATTCTGTCCACATTGGGGAGCTCCCAGAAGCTTTGAGGAGGGGTGATATGGCTTGGCTGTGTCCCCACTCAAATCTCATCTTGAATTGTAGCTCCTATAATTCCCACATCTCGTGGGAGGGACCTGGTGGGAGGTAATTGAATCATGGGGGCAGATCGTTCTCATGCTGTTCCCATGATAGTGAATAAGTCTCATGAGATCTGATGGTTTTATAAAGGGGAGTTCCACTGCACATGCTGTCTTGCCTGCTGCCATTTAAGATGTGTCTTCCTTCCCCTTTGCCTTCCGCCATGATTGTAAGGCCTCCCCAGCCACGTGGAACTGTGAATTATACCTTTTTCCTTTATAAATTACCCAGCCTCGGGAATGTCTTTATTAGCAGCATCAGAACAGCCTAATACAAGGGGAAACAATGTCCCAGAAAACGGCTATTCTAGGATGGCTGTGTCAAGAATTAGAAAAGGTCTGAGGCACCACAGCTCAAAGTCCCTATTCAAAGAAATAAAGACGTTTGGAGAAAGTACCAATTAAGGAAGAGAAGAGACGATGAATTTATCTTTGTATGTGTTGAGTTGGGGATTGAGATGCCCAAGTCAGGTGGCCATCTCTACCAGGCAGTTGGAACTATGGGGCTATGGAGTGAGCAGCAGAATGGGACTGGAGTGGATTTTTGAAGTTGGTAATAAATGAGATCTCTGAGTAGAAGAATAAGAAACAGGAAGAGCAGAATTCCGGGACCAAATATTGTGCACCTGTTCTATTCGGGGTCAGGAAGAAATACCAAGGCAGCAAATGGGCAAAACAGTAAGTGGAATCTGGAATGTAATGAGCTTCTGCATTTTATTAAAAAATACCCTCTTGTATATGATTAACTGTCTCATGTGCTCATTTCTCATGTGTGTGTTTATCCAGTGAGTTTTTCTTCCCAACTTCCGACAAGACACTTCTACCACGCTGCTTGCCAACTGGAAATCTTGCCAGGACCTTAAACTTAATATTTCCCAAATTGAACTCGGCTTCTCAATTTCCAAACTTGTCCTGTGTTCTGTGTCCTCTATTAGTAGTGACAATTTCCCATCTCCCAGGCTCAAACGCTTCAACTGTATTCCACTTTTTTCCAAGGCCCAGAAGGTTGACCTCAGTGCTGCTTGTAACTGCCTGGCCTCCCCTCCCACACCGCTGTACTTGAGTTCAGGCCCCCAGTGCCTCTACCTGGGGATGTTGCACTAACCTCTTAATTCATCTTCTCAAGTTTGCACTCTCCTCACTCTAATCCATCTTAAACACTGCGGCCACCAGACTCATCTTTTGGCATCTGATCTCTTGACTCACCCGATCCTCTTAAAGATCTTGCATAGCTTCTATTTGCTGACAGCAGTCATTTCATATTTGGTCCCTCATATGAAATCTTGTCCAGGAACTCTAGTATGTCAACTAGATAAAAGCAGACTGTCCCAGTCACAACAGGGTAGTATCCTGGATTGTCCCCCCATTCTGTTTTCACAACACCAAGAGCTCAGCAACATAGATTTTGAAGACATGCCAGCTTCCTGAGCCTCATAGTAATGGACCCCCCAAATTAACTCCCATTGTACTTTTCCCATCTATGGCCCATTATTGCCAACTGTGTCTCCTCCAGTTGATTCATTGTGGAACAGTTATTTCCATCTTCTGTCTTTGCTTCCCCACTTTTTATCCTTTGCTTATTTGAATAGAATTCTCTTCTGTTTAGAAAGCCCTCCCTTCATCTGCATAAGTCCTAATTCTGTCTTTCAAGACCCACCTCAAAGGCTTTCTCAGTGCAGAGTTCCTGCCTCAGTTTGTTCCCCTTAATTTCAAGTACTCTCTCTTTCTGCTCAACCCCTCATTGCTTATTATCTGGGTCTCTCTTAGGCATGTATCACTTTCTGCTTCGTACGAGAATTATTTAGTGTCAGTCTATTCTCTGCTTGTAGACTTGAGATCAAGATAATTGATCAACTTGCCCTTGTATTCTTTCTCAAGGATTGGAACACATCTTGAGCTTGTTGCTCACAATTATTTGCAGAGGGAACACGAGCTTCTTGAGCATCATGAAGGCAGGAATGAGGACTCCATCACCATTGTGCATTTCCTGTCATGCAGAGGTCAGGGCCAGGCTGACAGCAGACCTCATAATGAGCATAAAAAGCTGGCAGGCATTTTGTTTTGCTTTGCAGCTGTAATGTGTATTCTCACCTGCTCAGCTGCCTTTTGAAAGTCATTGATATAGACCTTCAGAGCCACAAAAGAACAGTTCGTCCATCTAGTATGGAGGTGAGGAGAGCAATTACCCTGATTCTGTTCATGACGTTCATAGGCTAAAAGAGGTAAAATGCATTTCAGATAATTAGAGGCAGGCTCTTAAAATGCATAATAATAATCTTTGTTATGCATCTTCTACCCGAGGTCATTTTTCCAGTAAGTATTTTATGGCATGTTTCCTTTGAGGTAATTTGCTGCCGCATGCCACTGTCTTTAGAGCGGATCTTCTGAAGGAGCCTGAAAAGAATCTAAAGTAACGGTTTAGAACTTTTATAGTTCTGTATCTCTAGTGAGGTGCATAAACGGTTTGAGTTGAAAGAACTTGGAGGACGGTGGCAATAAGCTTCTGGTAGGGGCAGTAGGAACTCTGAAGGAATAAATTAAAGTACTAGATGAACTTTATACTGCTCAACTGCTCAGCATGAGTCAGTCCTAACTTCCCAGCTTGGGTCACAAGTTTATCCTCTCAAAGGGCTGTGAAAGCAGCCACAATGGCAGGGGATGATGGATAAAGTTGTCCTGAGGAAGGGTGTGCATGGAAGTTCTGTTTGGGTTTTAAATTCCCCAAGAAGGTTCAAGAATTTTTCGTAGTCTAAATTCAGTAAATGAGAAGAAAAAGCAGGGGATGGAGAGGCTCACATCAATCATTTGTCTTAATTGTATACATTTCGATATCACATAGAGAAAGTTTGCTTATAAGTATAAAATCACAAGGGGAAAGATTTTTTGATTACTCGATTGCAAAATTAAAAAGTATATACATATTTTTAATTTAAGTGTTAAATTCAAGTTCCTTCATATATGTCCTTCTCTTAATGCACAAAGGCCTAGAGCTATGCCTGTTAGAACATGTTGCTAATCTCTCTTGCAGTTGAAGTAGCTCTGAGTTTTCCATTGATAAGAAAAATCAGATTTTTAAAAAATGATAACTCGTTGTCTTTCGGAAATGGAAACTGTATGCATAGTTCCTAAGCCAATGATGTAATTGGACATTTTAGTGTAATTGCTTTGATTCTCATATTCACAGTAGTCATATGTTAAATATGGGCTCGTTCATAGATGTTATAATGTAAGAATGCTTAAAAAGAAGACCTAGGAAATAAAATATCTGTGCCTTGGTTTGAGGTGGAATTCGAAGCTCCCCGGACATTTCACATAGAATGGATTCACAATGTTTATCTCAAACACTATGTAATATAAAGCAGGGCCTAAGAACTTTGCTTTAGAGTTGTATTGCTTGGTTGAAATTCCAGCTTCACCAGTTTAGCTGTGTGACCTTAGTCAAGCCACTTAACTTCTCTGTACCTGTATTTTCCCAGCTGAAAATGGAAATAAGCACAGAACATGTCTGTTTTAGTCAGCTTTTATTACAGTCCTGCTGTGTAACAAATAGCCCCTTCCCTAAACAAATTTAGTGCCTTATAGTCACAGATATTTTATTTCTCCTTTAATTATCTGTAGGTCAAGTATGACAACTCTGTTACTGGCTGACAGTTGGATTCAGGTCTAGTCCACTGATATGAGGCTGAGAGAGCAGTGGTTCTCTGAGGCCAATGTGAGAAGCATGAAAGAATGAACTGAACCATTTAACAACCAAGGCAGAGGCTTTGCTTGCATATATTTACATTTCATTGGTAAAGCAAGTCATATGGCCAAGTTTAACATTGAGGGGTGGGTCATCATGCTTTTCCCATGGAAGGAGGAAGGGACAGTGAGTAGTTGCTGAACAATAACATCTACCTCACTATTCTGGGGTTGCTGTGAGTGATAACTGATGTAATACACATTTGCTTGTGTCATAGTAACAGATCAAGATGCATTTCTCATTATTATTATGTCTTACAAAAAAGGTGGTGCCATAAACTGAAAGGAAAACAAAGGACAAAAGGACCTCTGAGAACCCAGTCAGGCATTACTGATATTCATGGTCCAACTTGCCCCGAGTCTCTCCTTTATTGCCAGCTTCTTCCTCTGCTATTGTAGAACCTGAAGGATTGTTAGCAATCTGGGAACAGAGGGGAGAAGTTTATCTCTCTCTTCTCTCTCTCTTCCTCATCCAGGCTGATGCTTAGTTGAGCACTGACAACTCCTTTCATAATGGTCCAAAAGTGTCACAAATTTGATTTCTGGGGGCCTATGGTAGTGAGTCAAGAATCTTAGGAAGTGCATAACTTCTATTAATTTTCTCCTCTCCTCTCTTCCCCTTTCCCTTCCCTTTCCCCTTCCCCTTCCCTTCCCTTCCTTTCCCCTTCCCCTTCCCTTCCCTTCCCTTCCTTTCCCTTCCATTCCATTCCCTTCCCTTTCCCTCCTCTCCCCTCCCCTCCCTCCCTTCCCCTCCCCTTCCTTCCTCCCTTTCCTTTTCCCTTCCCTTGCCTTCCCTTCCCTTCATTCCTTTACCTTCCCTCTTTCCTTTCCTTCCTTCCTTTTTCCTTTTTCTTTTATTTATTTATTTTTAAACAAAATGAAATTTCCATCAGGCGAATAGATTATATCACAGTATTTACTATCACCATTAACCCATAGAGTGAGTTTGGTTTGGTGTCTTGGAAGTAGGTGCTGAGACAGAGTTTGGTAAACAAGATGTTTACTAAGCATTAATGCCCATGAAAAGAAGGGGTAAGAAGTAAGATTGGGTGTTATAAGTCCGATGAAGCCTCAACCAACCAGACATAGACTCTGAAGCCAGCATAGCCCTCCAGAGCTGTCCTGAGTTGAATTGAGATGACTAATCATTTAAATTTCTGAATAGATCAGTCATTTGGTGTGGGCTGCCCAAGAACGGACGTGGCTTGGGTGTGGTGACTGTGGAAAAGGCAGACCCTGAAGGAGCTGGCAGCTAGAGGCTGCATGCAGATTGTACACCTACAACTGGGCAGCAAGCCTTTCCTGAAAAGGAATCTGGGAGGTGCTTCCCATGTCGACCACATAATCTAGCTCATTGTACACATTTAATAAACGTTAGCTGTTATTATTATTGCTATTTATCCTTGATGTCTGTATATGTACATTTTTTCTATCTCAGCCTTCTTTCTGTCCCCCCAACTGCCCCTAGATGACATTATTTTCCTCCCATGCTTGGCACAATCCCTAAGAGAGCTGTTTTTGATGCCAAGGGCTGTGATGGTAGTAAGATCCATCCGGCTCCTTTGGCTCTGAGCCCTGGAGAACAATCTGGCTCCTGTGTTTACTCTTGAGTTTTCAACCTCAGCTTATCCAACCTCAAGCAGGGATGGAGGAGACCCCAGCAGAACCCCAATGTCCATCAGACTTGGATCTCTGCCCAAAGTCTATTATAAACAATACCATAAAGCCTCTAAGATATGATTCTATCATTCCAAGAAGGAGTCTTAGATATTAGAAAAACTAGGCTCATATCTTTTTTTTTTTTTTTTTTTTTTTTTTTTTTGAGATGGAATCTCATCTCACTCTGTCTCCCAGGCTGGAGTGCAATGGCACGATCTCGGCTCACTGCAACCTCTGGCTCCCAGGTTCAAGCAATTCTTCTGCCTCAACCTCCTGAGTAGCCGGGACTACAGGCGTGCACCACCATGCCCAGCTAATTTTTTATTTTTAGTAGAGACGGGGTTTCATCATGTTGGTGAGGCTGGTCTCGAACTCCCGACCTTAGGCGATTTACCCGCCTCAGCCTCCCAAAGTGCTGGGATTACAGGCATGAACCACTGTGCCTGGCCAACTAGGCTCGTATCTTATAGAATAATGGAATGTTGAAATAAAAGAAAAATTAAAATCAGCTTGTTCATTTTCTTCCTCTTAAAGTTGAGGAAACCAAAGCTTAGAGAGCCACGATATGTTCTCATTTACTCAACTCTTTATTGGCAAGAACTGGGGTGGAGCCTGGAATCTTAGGCCAGTCATTTTCCATGTCATCTTACAATATGCAGATAGCACTGGCATTTTAAAATGTAGCTCAGAGATGGAATTGGATTTGCTGGGTGTGGTGGCTCACCCCTGTAATCCTAGCAATTTGGGAGGGCAAGGCGGGTGGATCACCTGAGGTCAGGAGTTCGAGACCAGCCTGGCCAACATAGTGAAACCCTGTCTCTATTACAAAAAAAAAAATACAAAAATTAGCTTGGCATGGCTGTGGGAACCTGTAATCCCAGCTACTCAGAAGGTGGAGGCATGAGAATCACTTGAACCTGGGAGGCACAGGCTGCAGTGAGCCGAGATCACACCACTGCACTCCAGCCTGGGAGTCAGAGTGAGACTCCATCTCAAAAAAAAAAAAAAAAAAAAGAAAAAGAGTTGGAATTGGACAACGTGGTTCAAATCCTGGCTCAAACATTTAGAAGCCATGAAATTATGGGCAAGGGACTTAACCTATATCAGCGTCAATTTTCTCATTTTTAAGAGGCTACTTTATAGGGTAGTTGTGAGAGTTAAATTAGAAATGGATGAAAAGGGCTTAGATTCTATGATGATGATTTTAATCACAAATCTTATCTGTATTTAGAAACATACAGTGATGCTGCCTTATAAGGGAGTATGTCTGTTATCCAGTACCACAATGATGCAGTGTATCAATAATGCAACACCTCAGTAACATACAAAATTAAACATGTGTGGCTCATGCATCTGTGGTCAGCTTTGTCTAAACTAGCCACCTCCACTGATTTTGACTGGGCACACTCACATGCCTGGGTGTCAGCTGGCTGTTGGCTAATCTAGGATGGCTTTTCTTGGGTCAGTTGCAATCACTCAGCTCTGCTCCATGTGTCTCTCATCCTCCAGCAGGCTAGCCCGGGCATGTTCATGGTGGTGGTAGAAGCACAAGAGAGGAAGTATTCAGGCATCTTAAGGTCTAGGCTTGGACTTGTATGCCATCATTTTTTATTTTTTTTTATTGTCTAAAACAAGTCACATGACCATCTCCAGGGTCAGAGGAGAAGGGCACTACAAAGTCACATGGTAGAATGAAAAGGGCAGGGGAAAAAGACCACACCACTTGATGGGAGTTGCAGTCACATGGCAAAGATAGTGGACATAGAAAGGGGTGGAGAATTGAGGCCATTAATGTAATCAGTCTAGCACTGGGAGACATTTTACAATATGCCTCAGTTGACCCCACTGTGTACAGGGTCCATGATGCTCTATTCCATGTTGATTTCTGCTTAGGAAGGATCTTTATTGTGAGATTCCTTTATACTTGATTGAAATATTATAATTCTTTCCTCATCATGATCCAAGGCTGACATCCCACCCCAGAGGACCAATTCTTCCTCCCTTTACACACCAGCTCGATGGGAACACAAAGTTTTAGAGGTGGAAGGGGCCTCACAATCTGCTTTATTTTACAGATGGAGAACCTAAAGTCCAGAGGATTTTAGCAACTTGTCTAATGTCATCCAGTTACTAGGAAGGGATCCAAGACTGGGATCCCCATTGTGCTGACCATCAAGCTCAGGTCTCTCCACTGTTCCCTCCCATCTAATCTTTTCTGCCCAGACTCATCTTACAGGAGGAAGGGGTGCCCCTCTACATAGTGCAGTTTGAAGGAATATTGGACAGAACCCCGCTGCCTGTCACTCCATTATCTTTTTATTCCTTTAACTTGGACAGCTTTGGTTCTTTAAGTCATTTATTATAAGACAATATACTTTAATGAGTACTCTAGCAGGGAATGGGAATAATGGTGTATGTGTCTGATAAAAGAGTTTGAGATTATTGGCAAAATAGAAGTTAAGGGCAAAAAAAGCTTCTAGACTGAAGTGCTTCGTGAACTTTAAAGTATGCCCAGATCTCCTAGGATCTTGTTAAAATGAAGATTCTGATCCAATAAGTCTGAGGCAGGGCCTGAGACTGTGCATTTCTAGAAAGCTCTTAGGTGATATTGATGCTGCTGGTCCAGGAAACCCTCTTTGAGTAGCAAATGGCTGGAACATCTCTCCAGGAGGGCTTCCTGTGATGATGGAATGCTCTGTATCTATACCGTCCAAGACATCAGCCACTAGCCACATGTGGCTATTCAGCAGCTGCAATGTGGGTAGTGCTGCTAAGGAAATAAATTTTAAATTTTATTTAATTTAAATTAATTAAATGTGGCCAATGGCAAATGGCCAGCACAGGTCTTGAGAAGAGGATCTATGTCCTATTTAGCTCTGCATCTTTTAGATTGGTGGTTGTCAATAAATATTTGTTATGTGAAAGGAGCATGGTTGCCTGAGGCAGGGGCTGAAAGACACAGCTCAAATATTATTTGTTCCTAGGAACTGTGTTTAGGTAATGTGGCATAGCGGATAAGACCACAGAGTCTAGAGCTTGCCAGACTGGATTTGAATATGGGCTCTGCCATTTATTAACTGTGTCACCTTGATTTTCCGTGCTTCAGTTTCTTCATCTGTAAAATGGAAATGAAATAATATCTGTCTTATAGAATTGTGTGTATGCATGGAATGATTTAATATCTGTAAAATTCTTAGGATTCTTCTAGAACATATTGAGTTCTGCCATGTCCATATGGTCTTACCAAGGTAGAACCTTGCCTGAATTAAGCCCTTAAGTATCTTTGCATTCTTTTCACCTCTCAGAAAAACTGAGGACTACACGTGAGCTCCCAGGTTTTTGGCGGAAGGGATTCTTTCATGCTGCGGATGCTCCTTTGGACAATTAAATCTTGTTGTGTTGTAAATCCAAAAGTGTTTAACCAAACCCCATCCCTAAATGGAGGTAATTCACCAGTGAAAGCGTCTGGTGTGAGCAGGAGAAGCGAGCTGCTGAAACAATGAGATCAGCCTTCAGAACCAAACAGGGTAATGATAGCTGGCCCCACAGAAGATACGACTGCTAGGAAATTCTGCACCCGTGTTTATACAAAACCAAGCAGGAAATGTTTGCCAGTGGAATAAATAAAGAAGCCTTCTGGTTACATAATGCTTCGTGGTGCCCTAGTTTGAGGCCGTTTTGGAATGGTTGCTGGGTCTAGGTTTGAATTTTGGAGCTCAGGCTGCTTGTCTCCTCTTTTGTTTGCTTACTTCAGACACTCGAAGCATCATTCTTCTCCGGTTCCCTAAAGGCCTGAGTGAACGCTGGACCAGGACGTGACTTCATCGCTCTGGCTTAAGACAGCCCTCATGTTCTACTTCATTTCTGAACCCCTGACCCTGGGATACATTTAGAATGGGGCAGAGGCTGATGGACTGGGGGTGGTGGGGCTCAGGGCCAATTTTCCCATGTGCCTAGAGAAAGGGAAGCTCTATTATTCCTAAAAACACATCCAATCATTGAGATCCAGATATGTGCCAAGCATGATGCCAGGCACGGTCCCAGGCTCTCCCAACCTTGCAATGTAAGCAATTATTATCTTCAGATACCGAGTGGTTTTAAGTAACACGTTCTGGGTCAGAAGCTAGGGTGGGTTGGCCTCCAAGTCGCTGCTTTTTCTCCTCTGTTAAACTACCTTTCCTGGATTAGAAACAAAAGCAGATATTTCAACTCAGTTGCCTGTGTGCCCCTGTGTAGCCCAGGAGAGCAAAGGATTCTTTACGGGGAAAAAAAATCTAATTGTAAAAATTCAAAAGAAAATTCTTATGAGTCAACCAATTTTAATTTGTATAGATGAGTAAATTTGTTATTGCACACTTTAAACTTCTCAGTACCCTGAAAAGAGAGTCACCATCTCCCTACCCTAGTGCACATTTTATGAAAGCATTTATAGAGCACCTGCTGGATACCATGGCTGCCTGTTGGTCCTGGGAAGCAAGTGCAGCAAGGGCAAAGGCCTCACTTGGATCTGACAGACTGATGAGCTTGGTGAAACCCAGTTTTTCTGGCCTGAGTCTTGGTTTAAGGAAAAAAAAATGTTATGGTTCTGGAGCCCTCTGAAATTCTAGGGTGTGGTGAACTCGGTGAGGATTTAGGCCTCTCTAGATAAAAATTGTGCTCTCTGGTCTCTTATCTCCTGGGGAGGCTCTTGCAGCCCATTCAGAAATTCTAGAACAGTTGAGAAAGCAGACACCTCTCAGTATCTAGTGGGACTGAAGGAGAACAAAAGGGAAGACAGAAGTGGTAAGTGTAGTGATATCTAATGTTGCCTGGTCTTCGGCTAAATCTCCAGTACTGTTGTAAGCGTGATACCTGGACTGCATTTACTTGTTTAGTTAATTACTCCAGTGATTTAGAGCAGTAGGTGGGGCATGTGTGTGAACCCAGGAAGCTAAGAGGGTGGACAAGGGTTTGCAAGTGGATGGAAAAGGATGCTTTCAGTCTGAGTGGCTGGCTGACTAAGTGATTTGAGGTTCACAGTGGTGGCCCCCAAATTTCTGATTAGAAGGGCTCAGAAGCCTGCAGTTCAGTTGGAAAAGGTGTATGGAACCAGTTTTGAAGCTTCTTTGCTTGACACACAAATGGTTTTTGCATAGTGTGTATGTTTATTAGTAGGGGGATGTCTGTCGGTACTGTCGGTAGAGATTGTGGGGCTGGACTCCTGCTTATAAAGCTATTCCATGGTACTGCCGATTGGTCTTCAGCAGATCTTCTGCATACCAGGGGCAAAGTATCTGAAATTACATCAGACAAATGATAAAGTACATCAAATAAATGAAGACTAATTTATTAATGTTTTGCATTTGCTCTGCAGGTTTGCTTTTTCTTTCTTTCTTTCTTTTTGAGACGGAGTCTTGCTCTGTCGCCCAGGCTGAAGTGCAAGGTTTGCTTTTTCTAACTTTATTCTTTGAGGATTAATTTACATTCAGTGAAATGCACAGATCTGAAGTATACAGTTTGAGTTTTGACAAATATATACTCCCATGGATCCACCACCATAGTCAAGATTTAGAACATTTTCATCTCCCTAGAATGTCCCTTTCTGCCCCATTCTAGTCAATTCCTCCCCCTCCATCCACCCCAGGTAACCAATGTTCTGATTTTTATCACTAGAGATTAGTTTTACCTGATCTAGAATTTCATATAAATGGAGTCCAACAATATTCACTACTTTGAGTCTGGCTTCCCTCACTTAGTGTTATCTTCTTGAAGTTCATCCACATTGTTGTGTGTATCAAGAGTTTATTCCTTTTAACTACTGAATAGTATGCCACTGTATGATTATACCACACTTTAAACATCTAATCTTGCTGATGGACATTTGAGTTATTTCTTATTTTTGGCCATTGCAAATAAAACTGGTATGAAAGTTCATGTACAAGACTTTTGTTGGCAGATGCACTTATTTCTTTTGTGTAGATACCCAGTAGTGGAATTGCTGGGTCAGAGGGAAAGTGTATGTTTTATGTCATAAGAAACCACCAAGCAGTTTTCCAAGGCAGTTGTGCCATTTCACGCTCTTACTCAAGACTTTCTCTCAAACAATTAGCAGCACAGAAAGGCGGACTTTTGTACTACTTTCTCTCACCACCCCCATCTCCTTTTTGCCTTGTCAAACCAGTCAACTCTAGAAAACTTGAACATATGGCAGGACTCAATAATACACATTCAGATTATTTAGGCTCTCCATTTTCTCATTCATTCTGTGAAAAAAATCATTGTCACTAGACACAAAGAAATGAAAGGGTGGACTTCAAAATCCAGGGAGAAAGCAACAACTAACTTCGTACTTAATGGTGGCTATTAAATCACCTTCAGATCATGAAAAAAGCAAAAATATTTACTCTGGCCAATTCCATTAACATTGTACTATAGTTCATACCAGTGCCATAAGGCAAGAAAAAGAAAAACAGGCATAGAGATTGAAAAGAAGAATACAACTCTTTACTCACAAATGGCATTTTTATCTATGTAACAATCCTGAGAAATTGACACAAAAGCTTCTAGAACTAATATGTAAGTGTAGCAAGATTTCAGTACTCAAGGTTGATATACAAAATCAATAGTATTTGTGTATCCAACAGCAAACAATTGAAAATAAAATTAAAAATACCATTTAAAGTAGCGTCAAAAAGCATAACATACTTAAACTTATTTCTAACAAAATGTGCAAGACTTGTACACAAAAATACAAAACATTTCAGTCATGGAAGACCTAATAAATGGAAAACTATGCCACATGCATGGTTTAGAAAACTCAATATCATTAAGATGTCAGTTCTTCTCAAATTGCTCTCTAGCAGGAATTGGCAAATATTTTGTGTAAAGGGACAGACAATAAATATTTTAGGTTTTGTAGGCTATATGATATTAATTGTGGCTATTAAACCCTGCCTTTGCAATGCAAAAGTATAGATAATATGTAAATGAACAAGTGTGGCTGTGTCTCCATAAAACTTCATTTACAAAAACAGGTGGGGGGCTAGATTGTCCCTCTTCTATTGCACATAAACTGAAAAACAAGAGGTAAAACCAGAGGGACTCTAGGGTGGCTTCCAACTTTGTCTTTTTCTAATTGTGCTAGAGAAAGAGAGAATATAAGTTATACCTGCTTCTTTGGCTGCTAATTCTCTTGCCAACCTTATCTTCATATATAAAAGGTGAGTATTAAGTCTACTTGGTAGTGTTGACGGGGGGATTAAGTGAAATAATGTAAAAATCTGGGACGATGTCAGACTTGTTCAAAGATATTCACACTTCCCCTGCTCTCTGTTATATTTTCCCATTTGTTTTCAGAATTTAGCTTTAAGGTTTGGGAATCCAAATACTGTTTTCAATCAAGCAGCCAAGGCTTCAGATGACAAGCTTGTGTGTGTTTGGAAAACGTGGCCTCATGATGTGCACACCTAGGACTGGTGCAGCTGTCATACTGCCATTTCTTAGTGTAGGGTGCTGGGGTTTGAATTTTGATAATCCCTGTGGGACACCTCAGAAGGACTAGGCTTTATCTCCAAAGGGGTCACAGTGAGTAGAGTTTTGGCTTTATCTCCAAAGGGGTCACAGTGAGTAGAGTTTAGGATGCCATGGGGTTGCAGTCCAGAATCACCAGGCACCTAGTCCCATTTCTTTTTTAAGAAGACATGCTGCTTCTTGTAAACATTACACTCCAGCCTCCCGGCATAATCCCAAATAATGTCATTTCTGGGAAAAGTTGATAAGTGGTGAGAATTTAAGCCTTTTCATCTGTTGGGAATAAAAGTGGGTAGACATGCAGAAGTTTTCTTCTACCTTACATAGTTGCACCTCCTCGGCATTCACTTTCCTTTCACTTTCTGGAATTGAGCTGGCCAGAGATGAGGATCGGTATGCTGCTTCCTTCAGCCCTGCCCTGTGTGGCGTTTGTCTTGCAACTTTCCCATGCTTGTTTCAACAGGAAAAAAAGCAAAGAGATTGACATATAGCTACCCCGAGGCTAGATTGTCACCGAAATAGATTTCTCCAAATAAAAATAAGGGCCGTTTTTGCTTGCAAGGCCTTGCAATGAAACAGAGTTAATAAAAACTGCATGGGAAACTCACATTGCAGCTATAAAAATATTAAAAAATAGAATTCTTAGCTAAAGTCAGCAGTGATTGTTGGCTCGAGGTAGAAATTAGGGAGTAAAACATTCTGAAACACTCATTGAAAGTGAAGAGAGGGAAGAATTATTACCCTTTATCCATTTGGTTAACCCTTCAGAAGTAAAGCTAGAGTCACACTTGCTTAGCAAGTGATTAAGTACTGGGTTTTTAAGCGTAGGACAGACCATTTTCTCCTGTGGCTAACCTGTAACAAACAGAAAATAGGGCCACTTAAAAATTAGCACAAACATATATAAGAAACAAAGCTGCTCCAACAGGAAAACTTGGTAAGATCATTGACGAAAACGTCTACAGCTTCATTCGTTCTTCTCCTTCAGCCTCTGTCCCTGTGTGTGTATATCAGATGTCTCTGAGGTTAAAGCTTGTGTGTCCTCCTGGGCTGGAGTACAGGGACACCCTTCATCACTCTCCAGTCCCCAGTGCCCAGTGTCATCATCTGGAATATCTTCTGGAACCCTGGAGGGATGGTTTGTTTCTACAGCTCCCCACTAGCAGGGGTCTTTCCTCTAAGAATGGTGCTTCCAGGATCTCTCCAGGCTCAGTTTCAGGCGCCACTAGATCATCAGGGAATGGTGATTGATTATCTGAGAAATGTATCTATTTGCATTCAGGATTCACCAAGTCACTATTCTAATGGGAACTCACTAATTGGCTTCACTAATTCCCACTTAGAACTACAAGCATTAAAAGTCACAGTATCTAAGACAAGTGAGCTTTTAGCTCCTGGTTGCAATAGGGGAATTTATAAGAATATTTAGAAGTGATCCAGGTTCCTTTCTTTCCCTCTCCTTAAAGCACATAAACTCTGGTCATTTTCACAGGTTTTTGCTAATTAATACCACCACTGTGGAAATGGGGGCTGTTCTACAAACAAGCTGCAACAAATGGGATTTTTATTGCTGGTGGAAAAGTCTGGGGAATAATTAGCAGATCTATGGAGATCCCTTGACTCCGGGCATCTGCATGGTAATGGCCAACCCTGGAGATCACTCAGGGAAATGGGGTCGGACTTTCCACCTTAGGGCACATTTATATTGTCAGTTACAGCCTTCAAACTGCAGTGGGACAAATGTGGGAAAATATTTTGTGAAATACTAGACAAATGAACCTGGTGTTGACCAATCTCAACTAGGAAAACTGGCTCTGCTTTGCTAAGTGCTGTACAGCAGCCAAGACTCGCAAATGAAATATTTTGATATCTTGTTAAACTTGAGTCCCCAGAGGGAGGCACACACACATACACATGATGGACTCGGGTCCTCAAGGTGGAAGGCCAGAGAAGATTAGAGAAACGACTGGCTCGAGGGGGGAAGAGAGAACCGTGAGGTCATCTGGTCCAGAGGTTTGTACTCAAAGGATCCTTGGAGAGAATCCAGGGGGATTCTGTGAACTTGGATGGGAAAATAATTACATTTTTGTGTTCCCTAACGTCTAATTGAAATATACTCTTTCTTTCTATTTCAAATGAGGACAAAAAATCATAAGAACATCAGCTATACCCATGATATTGACACAGTGGAAATCAAAGATGTCTTTATATCATATTATAGTGTAGATATCTCAAGACATCATCTCTGCCCATCACTTCTGTGAAATTATGGTAGTTACTGAACCCACTGCTAGATCTTCTTCTTTAGTGTGCTACTAAAGAAAATACATATATTACTATATCACACATTTAAAACTATTTTGAGTACTGTGTTTTCTGTCATTAGGTTTTTGAGTAACTTTATATATTTTATCTACTTATGAGCAAAAAGCATTATTCTGAGAACAGGACATAGTCTTTATCACACTGCCAAGAGGTCCATAATACATGGTATAAGATCCCCTTCTCGCCCAGTCTTCTCTATTTACAGCTGAGGAAATCGAGGCAGCGCTGGCAAGTGGCAGAGAAAAAGCTGGAACCCCAAGGTGCTGTCTCTAAGTCTGTTCTCACCATTCTTCTGCAGGAGAAGAAAGTACCCTTGGTAAAAACAACATGGAATACTTTCTTAAAACAATGTTTCAACGTGTAGGAATCAGGGATGATAAGTAATTCCCGAGGCTAGTCTTAGCTAGAGAATTTGTTTTCAAATTCAAATATACTTTTCTACCTTCATTTTAAAGTGTGGACATTGCCAAGTTAAGTGAATGTTGTTATTTTAAAAAATTAACATGGAGGCCCAATTATGTGGGTTATATTTAAACAGTTCCACAGAATATATTTCATGTTATTTTCTACACCTATAGCAGCAAGTTTATCTCCTGCATATTTAAGGCAATTTGAAATGAAATTTTTAATCTGTGAACACCCCAACTGTGAGCCTTAGGAAGCTGGGTGTCAGACCAAGCTAGGTTACGATGAGTATGGATAATTTAAATTATCAACTTCATGTATTATCTAGAATGGCATGCATTGATTATATACATGTGTACATGTACTTACTAGTGGAAAAGACAAGAAGCACATTCATTTCAAGTAGTTGATGTCTCTCATGAAAGCATTAGCTGATTCTACTTCCTTGGTGTGGACATAAAGATGAAAGAAATTCAAATAAATTATCTCTTAATGGTTAAATTGATGGCACATTTTCTCAAAGCAATTGATCCTGACACATTGTGGTTTTCTAAATTTCATAATTTGTGGAATTGTAAAACTGTAGAATGGAAAGGGATCTTATATGTCATCTAATTCAGTAATTCTCAAACTTTAGATTTCTCGACCATTCTCTTTTTTCTTTTTCAGCAATTTATCAGATGGGACATAGATAGGGGCACATTTATTCATCTATTTTGGCTTTAATGTTTATGTTTTAGTTTTGAAATAATATCAGACTTATAAAAAAGTCACAAATATTGTATAATTTCAGTATGCCCTCATCCAGACTCTTCAAATAGTAATATTTCTTACAATTACAGTACAGTGATCAAAATGATAAAATTAACGTTGATACGATCCTATTGTCTAAGCTATAGTCTTTACTTAGATTTTACATTATTTCACTAATATCCTTTTCTTGATCCAGAATCCAATGTAGGATTGTATGTTGCATTTAGTTGTCACCTCTACTTATTCTCCTTTAATCTGAGACATTCCTCAGTCTTTCTTTGTGTTTTGTGACATTGAACGTTAAACATTTTGCCAGTGATTTTGTGAAAGTTTCCTCATTTTAGGTCTGTCTGATGTTTTTCATGATTCTTCTCAGGTTATGCACTTTTAGTAGGAATACCATGGAAGAGATATTGTGTCCTTCTCAGTGCAGCCTATTAGGAGGCATGTGGTGTTGATATCTTATCACTGGTGATATTAACTTTGATCACTTGGTTAACGGAGTGTCCGCTAGTTTCTCCACTATAAAATTACACATCTCCTGTTGTAATCAGTAAGTATTCTGTGGGGATATGCTTTGAGACTATATAAAAATCTTGTTTCCCCTCTTACTTTCACCTGCTAATTTTAATCAATGATCTTGCTTGAAACAACTGTTAGGATTGTATGAAAAAGTTTGTTAAAGAGAAGATTCAATATTTAACATGAAATCCACAATTTTAATTTTCTTGAGATTCAGCTTGGTTTTTTATAATTACTTCATTACCTTGCTTAATTTCTTTCTCTCATTATTTATTTACATTCTCATTATAAATGCCATGAGAATGTGACAGTTACGAATGTTCACACAATCTAAATGTCCTTGCAAGATAAGTGTGGTAATTCCTGAAGGTTCTGATCGGATTTCAAGTATTTAACAACACAGAAAAAGGCACAATGTGAATTATTTTATGCATGAATGTAATTTAATCACATCCCATGAGTACAGAAGAGCATAGTTATTTATACCTTCAAGGCTTCAAACACCTAATAAATACACACAATATTGAAAGGAAACCTTCATGTTACACAGGTGTCAAAATCATACATTTCATGTTGTACTCTAAGACTCATCAAAGTGAGCTGAAGCCTTGAGGACAGAGAGGGAGAATTGTGATCTGAAAATTTCTTGGATTAACATTTGACTATCGACTTCAGTATTTTTATAGCTCAAGTCTAGGTACACGTAAGTAAGCAGAAAAATAAAACTCCTACCTCGGATTTTACATGCTGCTTTGGAAGGTAATATAAGACTCTGAGATATATCTGGGCCTCCACAAAAAGAGAAAAGAGGCTTGCCTGCTTGTTCTTGGAATGCATGGGGCCAGCTGGTAGAGACCTATCTACAGCAATCCCCAAAATGTGAATAAGAATCAGCTTCTGGCTGAGCATGGTGGCTCACGCCTGTAATCCCAGCACTTTGGGAGGCTGAGGCAGGTGGATTGCTTTGAGCTCAGGAGTTTGAGGCCAGCCTGGGCAACATGGTGAAAGCCTGTCTCTACTAAAGACACAAAAATTAGTGGGGTGTGGTGGCACGCTTGTGGTCCCAGCTACTCAGGAGGCTGAGGTGGGAGAATCACTTGAACTCCAGAGGCCGAGGTTGCAGAGTGATCCCCTGTCTAAAAAAAAAAAAAAAAAAAAAAAGAATCAGCTTCCTACTAGACTGATTTTTTGTTTCAGGGCCAACTCTTAAAATATAGACATATGAAATAAAGATGTTGCTATAGGAGGGATCATTTTTCTTTTCCAAGATACCAAACAAAACAATTTCGTAAACCTTTAGCTAGTTCCTGCTTCACTTCATCAGAAGCCATTGCTGTTTCTAAGCCAGTTCTTAGAAAACTCAAGTGCTGGAAATGTAACACCTCCATCACCTCTCATCCCTTGTTACTGTCAAAACTCTTTCTTAATGCCCACCTGAGGACCTGCATCAATAAAAACCCAATCTTTCAAAATCTAATCATAATAGTAATGCCAAAACTTGTTTCTTGACCAACCCTTACCAACAATGTAATCAGCTCCTCAGAGGAAGATTTGAAAATACGATCATCAAGTATGTTGTGGACACAATGCTGAGAGGGAACACAATTTCTAGATAAGAGACTTAAATTGACTTTAAGATTGACTTAAAATTCAAAAGGCCATGACCGCTGAGTTTGGGCCAAATCTAACAAGTGGAAATGAACAGGGCTGTCTGTAAAATTGTTCACTTGGGTCAGAAATGATTTGCTGGCACAAGTACAGGTCAGAGAGGGAGCAAATGGAAAAACAAAATAAAACGAAAGAAAACCTTGGGAATTTTCACTGCAAATAAACTAAAGCTAGAGATGCAGAGTGGCTGGAAATGTAACTATTCCCACCCACTTCCGTGTGGGGCCCTTGAATGCAGAATTTATTCAACTGAAAGTGAAGACCTTGACCGAAATATCGAGGGCCTTGAGCTTATTTTCTTCTGTATGACCATCTTTCAGAAACAAATGAATTCTTTCAAAACAAAAAAAAAAAAAGAAAGAAGAAAAAAAAAGGAGAAACAAAAGTCAAAGAAGATTTTGAAAAAAGTAATAACTGACCAATTTGGCATTAAAAAACAAATATTTTGATGCATATGAGAATTAAACTTGTATAATGCAAAACCATCTCAAGTGTTCTGGGTATAGAAAATTATTTAATGAGGTCAAAATAGAGAGGTAGATGCAGTAGTTTTCATCAAATTCACATTTGCAAATATTCTTTTGATACATAATCCCCTGTGTTCAGTGCCAGAAAAATGGTGCTAATTTTGGAATAAAATCAGACCTTGCTCCGGATTCACAAAATATTCATCATAAGAATGAAGAATGAGAGATGAGAAAAATAAATGTGAGTTGAGAGAAAGTAAGGAAAGCTTTCTGCAGAACAGAAAGAGAACACATTTCCTGCATCCTGAGCCTCTCTCCTGTTTTTATTTTCCTTGTAAATTTCCCACATTTCAGAATGTAGGTTGATGTAGCCATTATGGAAAACAGTTTGAAATTAAAAATAGAACTACCGTACAACCCAGCAATCCCTCTTCTGGGTATGTACCTGAGGGACATGAAGTCACTACCTCGTAAAGATATCTGCACTCCCGTGTTTATTGCAGGACTAGTCACAATAGCCAAGACATGGAAACACCTAAATGTTCATCGACTGATAAATGGATACAGAAAATGTGGTACATACATAATACAATGGAATATTATTCAGCCTTAAAAAAGAGATCCTGCCATTTGCCATAACATGGGCGGACCTGGAGAACATTATGCTAAGTGAAATAAGCCAGGCACAGAAAAATACTGCATGATCTCACTTATATGTGGAATATATTTTTTAAAAGAGGTCAAGTACACAGAAGAAAACTGTGGTTACCATGGGGTAAAAGAAGGGTGGAGAGCAAATGGGGGAACATAGGTCAAAGGGAACAAAATTGCAGATATATAGGATGAACAAATTTATAGATTGAATGTACAACATGAGGACTAAAGTTAATACAATTATATTGAATTAGAGATCTTTGTTAAATAAGTTGATTTCAGTTGCTCTTGTCACCAAAAAAACTATGTGAGATAATAGATATGTTAATTTGCTTTACTATAGTAACCATTTTATTATCTATATGTGTCCCATAACATCATGTTGTAAAACTCAAATATGCACAATAAAATTTATTTTTTTTAAATCCCACCTTTCATTAAGGCCACCCAAGGATTTCCCTGTAAGCTCAGGGAAGAAAATCAATTCTGTGGATGTACTGTGAGACAGCCAAGGAGCAGGCCCTAGGGAGGAAGCCTGCCAGTGGACAAGCAGATACAGGTGTCTACAGCTGAAGCATTTACCTAGAAACAGGTTGCATATTTTCTGATCACTTTGAATTTTTGTTTTGAAGGCCCTGAAGAATTAATTAGGTGTCAGGGCCTTTTGTCTGCTATGTCCAGTCCCTGAAAGAACTGAAGCCATGAAGCCACTTAGAACCAGCACATCAACTGTTTTCTAGATGATCAGAAACCTCCAGAGCTTTTCACTTCAGCTCACTGTATGCTTTTAAGCAACAGAGATTTAAAAGTCTTGAGATTATAGGACCATAAAAATACACATTTACATGTGGTCACATGTAAGGTTTAAGACTGGGAGTGAACCATAAAGGGAATGCTTTGTACCAGTACCAAAATACAAGTTCAATGAATGACGCAGCAGCTCTGAGAGGAACATAAGGAAAACACCCAAGCCGGAGTCTCTCACAAGCTTGAATGTGTGTTCTGGAGCTGAAGGATGCACGGTTGTTAAGCCCCTGTTCTTTTCCGTAAGTTCCTTCTGGGGCCTTCTGCAGCCATATAAAATGCAGCTAGTAAAACAGGTTTCCGTGGGAGGGAGACCTGGGAGTGCCTGAATTTCCTTCTTTTTTTGCTGAACAATTAAGCAACAAAAGCAGTCTGGGAAAATAGAAGACATTTCAGAGCTGGTCATGCATTCAACACATGCCAAGGAAGGGAGGTTTTGTCGCTGTTTGACTCCTAATCCTGTATTTACTTGTTGGCTAAATGGAATTAATTCATTTAGTTTTGCAGAGTGTTAGGCTTTCTTCTCTCCGTTAAGTTTCTCTTTTCTTTTCTCAAAAGGAAATAGCAAGCTTATCTTAGAAGGTTGAAGGCAATTTGGCAATCTGTTCTTTGGTTAGAGGAAATTATCCTATTTTAATAAACAAATTATTCAATTAATTCAACATGAAAAAATAGTTTGGCACTTACTGTGGGGCGGGCCTTGTACTAGGACATGGGATACACCAATGAACAAGACATTCAAAGATGTAGATAAACGAATAGGCAATTATGGTCAATGGACATGAGGTTAATGCAAGGGAAGGCATTAGGAACACTTGGGTCTTATTCACTTTTGGGGACCTGACGAAGGTTTCTTGCAGAAATCTAATCTGAGATCCAAGGAGTAAGTCAAAGTTTATTCAGTGACAGGGAGCAGGAATTAAGTTTAATTATTTTTCCAGGCATATGTGCAGAACGGTGGGGTGGGAGGCCTGAATGTGGGTGAGCACTCACTATGCATGAAGAACTAAAAGAATATTGAAATGACTGACATATGCACTGGTGAGAGATGGTCAAATAAAGTAGGTAGGAGCCAGATTCCTCAGGTCATTGTTGGTGTTGTTCAGCATTTAGAATGTTTTTCTTGCTTTGTCATTGTTTTTAATTGACACTTAATAACTGTACATATTTATGGGGTACAGTATGTTATTTCCATACATGTATACAATATGTAACGATCCAATCAGGGTAATTAGCACGTCCATCGCCTCAAACCTTGATCATTTATTTGTGTTGGGAAGCTTCAAAATCCACTCTTCTAGCTATTTGAAAATATATAATTAATTATTGTTAATTACAGACACTTTATAGTGCTATAGAACACTAGCACTTTTTCCTCCTCTCTCACTATACTTTTGTATCTGTTAGCATTTGAATTCTTACTCCAAGAACAAAGGGGTAACCACAGGGGAAAGAATCACTCAGATTTTGAAATTTCTCTTTGTCTACATTGTAGAAAATGATTTGGAGGTAGGTAAGACCAGAGAATTGAGCAAGGGGAGGATGAAAGGTGAAAGAAGACAGCGCTCTTCCTATCTTGGTGGGCTTGGGGCTGGGTGGTACTGCTGAGTTTGTCCTTTGCCTGGTGTCAACCATCACCATCTATCTCAATGATACCCCAGTGGACTGTAAGGACCCATTATGCCTCTGTCAAATATGAAATATCTAGACCTTTTCAAGTGTCTGTTTTGTTTCCTCAAACCATACCCATTTGGAGGTTAATATGTTGTTGGGTAAAATAATTAAACTTAGCTCCAAGTACAGAGTGAAAGGGAAATTTTTTGTTCTATCATGTTGGGACTTATATAATTTGATGTCTGTTTCATCCTCACCTTTTGAGTTAGTCTTTGCCCTGGAGTCTGAGAGAGTTTTCTCAAAGGAAATCTACAAAAATATTTGTGGATTTAGAAACACTAAAGGGAAGAGAAAATTGTTCTGTAGTTCACGTTCCTGACATTTCAGAAGCTCATGATCCCAGGCTCTCAGGTTACAAAAAGATTTTTTTCTTCTAAACATGTTCCCTTAAGGTGTCAATGGTTGATAATGCGCCCAATAAACATTAATGCATCAAACAAGTACAAACCCTTTTTGACACAGGAACAGAGCTGAAACTGTGGGACCTTAAGCATTAGCAGGCATGGGTGTGTTTTGGAGAGGGAAAAGTCCTCCTGAGATCACATGGGTTTCTGGGTAGAGAGGGAGAGCTAGATTTATCCTGAGTCTTGTGAATTATCTGTTGTGTGACTGAGTTTTGTGGGAATTAAGCCAAATCAAAATAAATAATGCATGTAATGTGTTTAGCACACTCCCCAGTGTGTGGTGGGCATCCAGTAAGCATTGGCTATTATTAAGAGCTATGGAGTCTGGGCCACATGCTACAAGACATTCAGCAGTGAAACTGTTTTGGGTTGCTGTAGAGAGTAGGGATGTATGTTGCATGGGAACAGTCAGGGAGGGAGGTCCATTTTCAGCATCACCCCAGGGTCAGATGTCATGACACAGACAGAGGGACCGAGAGAGAGAGAGCGAGCATGAGCCCCTCCTGTTATTGTCCTAAACCCTCATTCACTGAGGGCAGCCTCTACTCCATTACCGCAGTAAAGGTTCTGCTGTGAAGCCAGATATGCAGCAGCCCTCCCTCCAGCACCTTGCTTTCACAGGATCTGTTTCTTGCCATGCATGCCATAGATTCACAGAGCATTTTATAAATTGAAAAAGGCTATTCAATGGCAAGGTATTACTATTACCGTGTATCCAACTGGTGATGTTATCCCTATAGACAGGATGTGTTAGGGACACCCTGGGTCTCTTCCTCCCCACTCCTTCCCATTTTGAAGTACACATTTATGTTTATCAATTGTTACTATATCCAGAGCCCAGTCTTCTCCTATTTCTCCTACTTGTTCCTTGCCAACAAATTTCATTAAGGCTCTTCTGGGAGACCCAAAAAGTGGTGGGAAGAAAATGCAATTCTGACGTGCAAAGGTGGGATGATGGAAAATCAGGAATCTGTTGTAGAATTTTAATTTAAATATACCATTGTCGTTAAATACACCAATGGCGAGGGGCTGAGTCATTGAGCACTAGAATTCCACATGCATTTGATAATGATGGTTTCTAGTCGGTAATTACGTGGCTGTGGCCCCCATGTTTTTCTTGGAGTCTTTGTGATACTCCCTCAATTTGCTCTTCCTGTACTCACTTCTTGTCTTTCATTCTTGTCCTTGAATATTTTGGGTATATAGGACAAAAATAAGAATGCAAGCAGGCACCCACCAGCATGACAAAAATGAAATAGATGGAAGATGCTTACTGTTGGCAAGGAAGTGGGACAACTGGAACTCACATGCACTGCTGGTGGGAGTATACATTGACACAACCTTTTTGGAAAAATGGTTGCTAGTATCTACTAAAGCTGAAAGTAGCTATGCTATTGTTCAACCAGCCCACTTGTTGGTGTGTGCTTAACAGAACGCAGAAAACAGTCACCAAAAGACACGTAGTAGAATGTTCAAACTCCTCATAACTGGAATTACTCTAATGCCCATCAGCAATAGATTGGATAAATAAATTCTGGCATGTTTGCAAAAATGGGGTGCTATACAGTATTGAGAGTGCATGATATAATTCTAAATTACATGCATCAATATAGATGAATCTTATTTATAAACATAAATGTTGAGCAAAAGAAGCCAGATACATGCACAAAAACTCACACTCTATGACTGTAGTTTGTATAACAAACACCACTGATTTGTGCTGTTAGAAGTCAGGATAGCAGGTCGAATGTGGTGGCTCACACCTGTAATCCCAGCACTTTGGGAGGCTGAGTCATGCAGATTGCTTGAGGCCAGGAGTTCGAGACCAGCCTGGCCAACATGACAAAACCCCGTCTCTACTGAAAATACAAAAATTAGCTGGGTGTGGTGGCAGGTGCCTGTAATCCCAGCTACTTGGGAGGTTGAGGCACAAGAATCGCTTGAACCTGGGAGGCGGAGTTTGCGGTGGGCAGAGATGGCACCACTGCACTCCAGCCTGGGCAATAGAGTGAGGCATAATCTCAAAACAAACAAACAAACAAACAAACAAACAAACAAACAAAAAATAGAAGTCAGGATACTAATTAGTATTGGTGACCAGAAGAAAGCATTCCCGGGGACTTCTTGGGTACTAGTCAGGTTCTGTTTCTTAGTCTGGGTGCTGGTTTTAAGATTGTGTTCAGTTTGTGAAAGTTCATTGGACTGTATGCTTAAGGGTACTTTTTGTATATTGTATTTTAATAAAAAGTTTTTTTTTAATTGGCAAGATTAAATACATTATTTTTGTCATCTTTTCAGCCCTGGACACCATTAGTAATTTTTATGGAACAAAGCTAGCAGCAGAACCAACCAGCTACAGTCCTTAAATTTATACATTTCATACAGAAAATAGTACTTTCCCATCATTATTTCAGAATGGCTTAATCAATATCTTCATCTAAAAGATGAAGCCAGAAATGTCAGCTACACATAGCTGTTGCAAATATTAACTAGCATCTTGTATATAGATATAGTTCCTGGCACTGGCAGGTATTCAGTATGGTGGCAATCCTGAACCCCTGATTCCACTTGGAATGGAAGTCAGGATAGCAGCATTTCTGTGCTAGTCATTGCTCATAAGCTCATGATATGCTTTATATATTTTATCCCATATCAACCCTATGGGGTAAAAATTATTTCCATCGTTACCCAGATAAGGTGACTGAGGGTCAGAGAGCCGGATGGGTAAGGTCACAAAGCTGTAGGAGGCACACTGATATCTGAACTCAGGCCTCTTCCAAAGTTCATTCCACAGGAACACGCCGCCACCCAATTAAGTAGAAAACTACCCGAGTTGTACTTCAATTTCTCTAAACATAGTGGTTTCCTTCTGAGGTAGAAATCATCTGCTCAGCTGGTTTCAGAGTACCATTTTCCTTGTTGAGTTGACTTAGTGGTAAAAGAAATTTTGAATGAAGTGGGCAGAGAGATCCGGAGAACAGCAGGGAAGTCTCCAAGGACCTTGTGATTTTGGGCTCTCACTGTGGGAGTTGTTATGCTTTGCAGTAATTGCATATTGGATACATAATTCTAATTTTCATGGAGTGGGCTGCCCGGACCCTCCAACTTTTAGTGCTTATTGACATATTTTTATACATTTTATCAGTTTAACAACTAAAACACACTTTCCTCTTGCTCAAGAGTTTCCCAGGAGTATACTAGCAAAAGTGGGAGATGCAAATTTGTGAATATCCACTTTTTCCTCCACTGAAAGGAAAATAATAAAAAGTCCAGGTACTGGCCAAAAATAACTATTACTAAAGCAGACCCAGAAGCCCAGCCCAGGCCCTTGCAACCAAGATATGATGTGGTCTGCCCTCTTTGCAAGTTGAACTGTGCCAACATCTGTTGGCTTGTTGCCTCTGACAGCTACATAGAGAAAGACATGGGAAAGAGGTGTGGCAGAAGAACCAATATATGTGGTGCCAAGCATCATTGTAGATATCTGCAAGTTGTATATCATGACTTAATTTAGAAATAAAAACTGAGGTCACAGAGGGTAAGAAACTTGCTTAATGCCACAGAGATGTTAAATGGCAGAATCAAAGTGCAGTCCTATCGCAAGAATTGGCAAACCTTTTCTATAAAGGGGCAGATAATAAATATTTCAGCTTTGTGGGTCATATGGTCTTTGTTGCAATTACTAGTCTCTTCTATTGTAGTGTGAAAGCAGCCACAGATAATATAGAGGAAAGCAGGTGTGGTTGTATTCTAATAAAACTATTTATGAACACTGAAATTTCAAATTTCCTGTAATTTTTGTGTCTTAAAATATTATACTTAAAAATTATATTTAACTCTTTAAAAAATGTAAAGACAATTTTTAGCTTACAGGTATACAGAAACAGGCGGTAAGACATATTTGGCTCATAGGCCATAGTTTAGCTGACCCTTTGTTTTATCTGATTCTAAAGCTCACGCAAGCTGTTTTGACTTAGCAGGTTGTTTAATCTAATGTTCTTTGGAATAAAAACCTCCCTGCCAAGTAGTACTTGGTTTTATGCTCAACATGCTTTGACTGTTGAAAAGAGACCTTTGGCACACATTGAAGGGATGGTGAGTATATATTTGTTTGTGTTTGTGTGTGTGAGAGAGGGGGATAGAGGGAGGGAGGGAAAGAAGGAGGGAGGGAGAGAGAGAGAGAAAGAAAGAAAGAAGGGAGGCGCAAAGAACAGACAACAAAAAGAATTAACTCAATTTTTTATCTTATACCAACAAACAGACTTTGGTGATATTGACTTTTCCGTTTTCAAAATCTAAGATGTCTTGCTGTTTTCTAAAATAAAAGTGACTTAATGTCAACATTAAAATTTATCAAATTTTATCAAATTGGGAGAATTTTGTCATCTGCTTGACATTTGGTAAATGAAATTCAATGGTGCCTAATTAAATATTGTGAATGTTAATACTGAATCAGGGAGGTTTGCAAATGATATCAACTGAGGTTTGTAGATAGTATTGACTGAGGTCCTCCGTGTTATCTCTGCTTCATTAGGTGATGGAGATGCCAATCCATGGAATCAGGTGGCACAGCTATGTTGGTAGCTATAGCAGAAGTCTTCTTGGCAAAGATTCCTCCAGGGAAGGAAGGTACCATTGGAGAACCATGCATGAAGACAGGGAAGAAATGATTGGAATCATGAAACATTAAACTGGAAGGAAGCCCTAGGCAAACCTAACTCATGGGAAAACAGACACCCACATGTTACCCAGTTTAGTACCAAAACCAAGGCTGGTATTTGCATAAATATACTTTTCTTCTCTATCTAATATCAAGGCCTTCTTAGTATTGTTAATAGGCCTTAAGCTTGGTTTGTCTACATAGAAATCAAAATAACAATGTCAACCCATGAAAGAATTAAAAGAAGTCCCAAACAGTTCTGATTTCCTCCAATGTGACTATTTCTGATATATTATAAAATAACAGAAATCAAACTCAAAGAATGAACTTTTTGTCTCTATTTTGCTAATAATGGTTAAAGTAAATGGATGGTCTTTCTAGTCTTTCCCAAAGGCCCCTAGATTAATTGTTAGTGACATTGCTAGGAAACTCCCATGAAATCTTGTAGGTCCATGGAAACCATGCATCAGACTCTAACATATTGTGTAGATCACATGCTATCATGTGAAAATGTTCTGTTCCAAAGTCCCCTGGAATTTGGGATGTATTTTTCCTACAGAACAATGTTCCAAGCAAAGGTCTATTGGATTCCTCAAGTGGCTGACTGCAACGAATGTGCTCAGAAGCTGCTGAGGCTTAAACTTTCAGCCCTTCGAGAGGCAGCTCAAGAGATTGGGAAACTGGAAGAGGCTCTGCTATATCCTGTCCTCCTTTTGGGAGATCTTGGCAGCCCTTGCGTAGAGAGAGGGAGGAGGGTTGGTGGGCATGGGGGTTTGGTGGGGAAGCTAAGGTCCTCCTTTGGAAACAACGGAGGAAGCCTCCATGTTAAAGGGGAAAGGAGGAGACAGGAAACCTCCATTAAATTGTTTATAAGTTGAATTGTTTCTAAAGCCGGAACTGACAACTGTGTTTTTACAAAGTAGAAAAGGATGCAACGAGTTCCACAGCCCTCATTCAGGCATATACAATGCTTAAGAAGATCAGAGTGCAGTTTTCTTTGGGCAGGTAGGTTTCGAAAAAAAAAAAAAAAAGAGTGTTGACACAGTGTATAAATTCTTCCAATTTGAAAATTATTGAGGGTTATTACTGATGCCATTTGAACAGGACCATAACATTCATGGATGGTGGAATGGCTCAAATCACTGCCTAAGCAAGCAATTATTTTGTTTTTGCTTCTGCAGTTAGACAAGGAAGAATGTTTTGCATTCTATCAGCTGGGCTTTTATTGTTTTTCATGTTAGGACAAATGTTCTTTGAGAGGTGGGGTCTTGTTTGAGGAAATGTCAAGCTGTCCAGTTTAGATTTATTGGTGATTGCGGCAGGTGCCAAATGTTTCAAGAAGTTGGCGTATGCACTTTTTTTTTCTCCCCTGGCAGACTTTCCTGGAATCAGGATATGTTCTCTGCAGGAAGAAAGCAAATGTGCTATACTTAAAATTCAGTGTATGACAGAAAAACCTAAAGAAGACTTATAGTAGATGAATTTACATTATCTGAAAGGTATTTTATGCACCAAGTTCCAAAGTTAGAGAAGGCAACTAAGCAAGGGACTGCCACTTAAGACACAGGCATTGTCTATGGAGTCTGGGTGGGCCAAAGAAGCAAGATTTGTGGGAATATCATGAGAGTTCCTGGCTCTAAAATAGTTGCTCTCCAATGTCCAGAAATTCCTGCCTTTGGAATAGTCCTTGGAGAGACAATTTTCTCCAACTTAGACCCCCTTTCCCACTAAGCATCCTCATGAGCAGGTCAAATTCAATGTGAACTTTTGGCAGGGAATCCTTTGGAGGTTTATGTTTTATCTTAAAAATTGGTAGGAACTTTGCATCTTTTCCATCACATATTCATGTTTTATGTAACATAAAATTATCACCCATTCTGCAAATCTTTGAGTGGAAATGAAGCTTCAGGAGGATGGACCGTATCTCTTCCACAGTCCTGGCCACTCTGCAGAATACTCTCTGGTCTTTTCAGGAGGAGGGGGATCCTACTTTGAGAACTAAGGACTTCAGTCATTGTCCAATTGGTAGTCTGGCCATTGTCCTTTGAAAATGTACAAATCCTCTCTTGGAACAGTAATATGTGAGTTTATTTTTACATTAGAAGGAGGTACTTTATCAAAGGAGTTCATTTTCATTTTGGAAAACAATATTCTGGTCTTGGAAAGATTGTAAACCAGAAAATCTTTGGTGATGAAAAAGGGCAAGATTTGAAAGTGTGGGATACTGTGCCGGAAAGGTAACCTTATGTGGGGATGTGGGGAATCTGGGCTGAAGGGGGAGGATTTGGGTGGGGCTGGAGGAGAAGCAGATGCAGAGAAAAAGGAAGGAGGTGTAAGCCACAAGGTTTGCCCGAGGTTTTCTTAATGGCTTTCAATTCTCCCAAATCTATCTGCAATCTCGGTTCCAGTCCTCCGCTCTATTTCCAACTGCTCTGTCCAAGTGGCAGCATCTCCAGCTTGGAGAATCAAGTCAACATGTCTAAAATGCCAACTCACCTGTGAGCAACTCTGCCTACTCCTTATCATGCAGCATTTTCACCTGCTCATTCCTGTGTGGCTTCAGCTCTCACACTGCCAACTATCTGTCTCCCTTTTCCAGCCAGAAACTGGGAAGTCTTTGTCTTTTCCTTCTTCCCAACCTCCCATGCACATGTTTAGTTGATCATGAAATCTAGCCAGGCTTAATGTAACCTTTGAAACATTCTTTTATTCTCTGTAGAAATTACAGTTCCTGCAGGAAACTGAGCACTCAAAGGGCTGAAAGGTAGGGTTTAATGAACAGTTGGCTTTCGAATAGGGAGGAGAAAACTAAGTAACAGTGGCAAGGCTGGATGCAGTGGCTAACATCTGTAATCCCAGTACTTTGGGAGGCCAAGGCGGGTGGATCACCTGAGTTCAGGAGTTCGAGACCAGCCTGACCAACATGTTGAAACCCCATCTCTACTAAAAATACAAAAATTAGCCCGTGTGGTGGCAGGCACCTGTAATCCCAGCTACTCGTGAGGCTGAGGCAGGAGAATCACTTGAACCCAGGAGGCAGAGGTTGCAGTGAGCTGAGATCAAGCTGCTGCACTCCAGCCTGGGTGACGGAGTGAGACTCCATCTCAAAACAAACAAACAAACAAACAAACAAACAAACAGTGGCAAAAGACCCAAGGGCAAGCTGCAGGATGCCTTTACCATCCTTAGGAAAATAAGGTGCAAGGGGTGGCAGTGGAATTCCCAAAAGTACCTGATCTCTAAGCTTGGAGCTGTGGAAGAAGGGCCACCTGATGGGAGCTAAAGCAGGAGATGCAGCCACTGCCAGGACTCTGGAAAGGTGTAGGGGCAGTGAGGGACGAAAGCCAGGGAGACAATCGCCACCATCATTTGCTGTCCCTCTTCTCATCCTCTGATTTCCTGCCAGTGCTTCCAGTTGGCAAAGGCCAACCAAAAATCACAGGGCAAAGGAGCTGTAGGCCATAGATAGGAGGCAGGCTCCTGGGGTAGAAAGAGTGCAGAGAGGGGAGCAAAAGGAATCTGGTAGGGTAAGCAACACATGGAGAATGGCCAGCCCAGATTCAGCCCCTCCCTTCAACACCTGAAAATTCGGCCTGAATTCAAGACCATTATTTCTTTCTTGAATGTCTGGAAAAAACAAACAAATAAACAAACTTCCCAGTGGTCCCAGTTGACTTCAGTGTGTGCTCTAATTTCATTTTATAAACACCATTTCTTAGCAATTTCAATGCTGACAGATGGAGCTCATGTGCCAGCTAACAGGAAAAGAGCATCATCTATGAGCACAATTCCCCACGGCTGGAGCTCCTTGCCTATGTTCCCCCCTCAAGAGCATACATGAGGCTGCAAATCAAACAGATCTCATGTGATGATTAGGGAATTATCTGTATTTCATTAAGAAAAATAACTTGTACACTCGGTTTGAAAAAAGTATTGAAGGCCGGGCGTGGTGGCTCACGCCTGTAATCCCAGCACTTTGGGAGCCCAAGGCGGGCGGATCACGAGGTCAGGAGTTCTAGACCAGCCTGACCAACATGGTGAAACCCCGTCTCTATTAAAAATACAAAAATTAGCCGGGCGTGGTGGTGTGTGCCTGTAATCCCAGCTACTCAGGAGGCTGAGGCAGGAGAATCATTTGAACCTGGAAGGCAGATGTTGCAGTGAGCCGAGATTGCACCACTGCACTCCAGCCTAGGTGACAGAGTGAAACTCTGTCTCAAAAAAAAGTATTGAAAACATATTCTTGGGGCTTAATAGATATTCATAGAGAGTGCCGAACAGATATTTGTTAAAGGGGTGAATGTTACTTGTGACACTCACAATTAGTGGATCTTTACATGTGAATGTGTTGAATACAACCAGACCCCTTTAATTAGACACGCTGTTCTAAAATGAATTTCTAAGGTATGAATCTAATCTAATCACCTCTTGACTTACACAGGCTGGTAGCTTCCCATTGTCAAGAAGTTCTTATCATGGTGGAAAAGATCTCTTCGTCATCTCAACCTCCAAGCCTCACCCTGGTCTTTCCAGGTCTCTTCTCTTACCTATCCTGACACCATCTGTCCCCATCTACGCTAAGATCCTTATCAGTCCTGGAAGAACACACTCAAAGCCAATGATCTTTGCGCCCTCTGTATGTTCTCTCAACACTTAGCATTTTAATGAACATTGGCCCAAATTCCAGCTGCCAGCACCCGACACTCTGCCCAAGGGCTTCTCTGACCGACACAACCCACTCTGCCCATGTGTGGGGAAGGCTTCAAGTGCCAGGAAGTTAATGGCCCCTGGAAGCATCCCTGACCAGTGACTTCCAAGAATGGGTGTATAAATACCTCCACTCTTTCCTCCCTTGGGTGAGATAACTCTGAGGCACGTGTTTGACATTGCTTCATGGAGTTCCCCAGCAGGATTAAGTTCCAGTTGCCCTCAGTGGTAACTCGGGCTTGATTCATCCTTTATTTGCTTCCTTCCTTTCCTGTCTTACTTCCTCACCTCCCTACCAGTGTTCCGGTGAATCACCTTCCAAATAAACTACTCACATTGGAATCCTTGCTTCAGGGTTGGCTTTTGGAGGAACCTAACGTAAAATATTTCAGTATTCTCTTTCAGCTTTTTCTTGCCTTTGCATAAGACATTGTTTGTGTCTGGATTCCCCTTTGTTTCTTTTTAAACAAACATTTAAAATGACACAGGAAAGCACAGGAAAAGAAAGAATAAAATGTTTCTCCTTCATCACCTATTCCCCTCCCTTCTCTCTCTCATCCTGGTCTACTTTCCTTCCCAGAACTAACCACTATTTGGTATACATACCTCCAAATATTTTCTTTATATATACACATTTAAAAGTATGTAGATATACAAATGTAAATACATTTACCAATCTGTGTATACAATGATAAGTGAATTTGAACACATCCTTATACACAGTCCTTTTCACATGAATGAAATCACATTATACATGTTGCATTGTGACTTGTTTTTTTTTCAATAATACAATACCCTTAGATTCCATAATATAGTGTGATATACTATAATTATTGAAACATTTCTCCTATTGATGAACACTTAGGGTCCTGATACTTTTTCCACTGTTATAAAAAAATGCTGCAATGACTATGTGAGTGCATATATCTTGCACACATGTGCTGGCCATCCTGTAGATGAATGTGTCTGTTTGAGCTTTTTAGTTTTCAGCAATAGAAAACCCAACCTCGGCCGGGCGTGGTGGTTGACGCCTGTAATTCCAGCACTTTTGGAGGCTGAGGTGGGCAGATCACCTGAGGTCAGGAGTTCCAGAGCAGCCTGGCCAACATGGTGAAACCTCATCTCTACTAAAAATAGAAAAATTAGCCAGGCCTGGTGGCGGGTGCCTATAATCCCAGCTACTTGGGAGGCTAGGGCTGGAGAATCCCTTGAACCCAGGAGGAGGAGGTTGCAGTGAGCGATCCTGCCACGGCACTCCAGCAGGGGTGACAAGAATGAAACTCTATTTCAAAATAAAGAAAAAAAAGAAAAAAAAAGAAAACCCAACCTCAACTAGCTTAAGCAAAAGCAAATTTATGTGGTGAAAGGGTGGATCTGGTTTTAGAATCAGTTACCAAGGGCTCAAGAAGTGTCACAGGGACTGATCCCCCCACCCCCCCGTCCCCCATGTCGTGTCATTCTCCAGGTCTTTCCTTTTCATTGCCAGGAGCTCCAGGTTTCTACCCTCAGAACTCCAAGGCCATTGGAAAACAGAGGGCAGTTTTCTTAGTTGCCCAAGGAAATGTTCCCAAATTGTATCAAAAGCCCACCTCTAGGTTAATTATTGTGGCTGGAGGATGTAATCCATTCATAGGTCAGGGCTGGCCAGGTGTAGTGGCTCATGCCTGTAATCCCAGCACTTTGGGAGACTGAGATGGGTGGGTCACTTGAGGTCAGAAGTTCGAGACCAGCCTGGCCAACAGGATGAAACCCCGTCTCTACTAAAAATACAAAAATTAGCCAGGCATGGTGGCGGGCGCCTGTAATCCCAGCTGCTCGGGAGGCTGAGGCAGGAGAATGGATTGAACCCAGGAGGTGGAGGTTGCAGTGAGCAGAGATCACGCCACTGCACTCAAGCCCAGGCAACGAAGCGAGACTCCTTCTCAAAAAAAAAAAAAGAGAGAAACATAGGCTAGGACTAGGCATATGCCATGCCTTGTGACATAAACTGGACATGGGGAAGGGGAGTGATTCCCCAGTGTTAGTTAGCCTTGCTCTTGTCACTAGAAGGAGGAAGGAATGCTGTGTGGCAAGGAAAGGAATTAATGTCCACTTGAGATGGATTTGAGAAGGATGTCTGCAAGCAGAAATAAAGGGTTAAAGGGTGCTTACATTAAAAATTTTGATAGCTACTGCTCTCAAAATTGTATCGCGATTTATATTCCCAGTGCCAACAGTGTTTGAAGAGTCTGGCTCTCCAGAGCCTGTAGACACTGGATATTGTCAGTGTTTTAAATTTCAGCAGATCTGATATCTAAAAATGGTATCTCACTGTTCTAAACTGTTCTAGTATGGTGTTCTACGTGAACACCCTTTCATGTGTTTAGCTGGCCTTTGCATTTCTTTTTTTTTTTTTTTGAACTGCCTATGCATATCTTTTGGTCAAAATTCAATTGAATTGCCCTTTTTTATTGTTAGAGCTGCTACAAACATTACTGAAAAGGCAACTCAGTTGTGTGTGTGTGTATGCACACACATATATATTTATAATACATATGTTACTTAGGGTTTGTACCAGCTCTATGAGCTCCTTGAGGGTGGCACCTTGCTGTAATACAGCCTGACACCTAATACGAAGTAGAAATCAGTGATTATTTATCACGCAAATAAAGAAACAAATAAGTGAACGAATGAATGAGTCAATAGTGTTGACTGCCTTGTATTGTCCTAGGCCCAAGAGACAGTGAAATATCCCTGTTCTTGTATACTTTTCTGTAAGTTTCTGGAAGTTTCTCTGTAAAGCATCTCAGTAAGCTTTTCTATAGGCTGTGAGAAACGCATGAGTCAGGCTAATAGGAGGCATATAATTTTGAATTGCTTTTCAGAAATGGCCTTCATATTCCTTTACACTCACTCATCCTGTTGATAAGAGCAGATGGCCTACTGCATGTGACTCAGACTCAAACACACACCTCCGCTCCCTTGAAGTGCCAGCCCTGGAGCTTTGTTGAGGCTCGCATCTGCCACGGGAGTCAGCTAGTACGTTGCCCAGTTCAACATCCATCCAGGATTTCATAGGAACTTGAGAATCATTGTTTTTGGCTTGAATCCTGGGTTTGAGGTTTCTTCGTGTAGGAATCTGAAAAAAGGATTTGGAAACGTTGTTGTCTCTAATCCCAAAGTATGTATCTGGGAGGCTGCCTTCGCCATCACCCACCTAATAACTCAGGCTCCCGGGGCCATTTCGCTCAAGTGCATTCATTCCTTTGGTAGAATCAAAAGAAACTGATCCAGGTGACAGAGTACCTGGGTTCTAATCCCAGTTTTGATGAGCAAGTTATTTACCCCTTACAGCCCCATTTTCCCTATTCTAAAATGATATGGTTGCAACTGACGATCTCCAAGTCTCCGTCCAACTCAACAATTCAGAGTGGAATTCTGAATTCTGCTCTGCCACCAACAGCATGTCCTCGGAGCTTTGCCTATTACTCATGAGAATGTCAACGTCTGGGTAAATAGATATTTTGGGGTCAGCTCTAAAAAACCCAGAAGTACGTATTGTATGTTGATTTTGGCACACGGACAAGCCTGAACAGGGCTGTGTCAAGCCTTTTACCATGATAGCTGCCGGAAGAAAGGCCAGGCGAAGCAGTCTGGGTGAGCTGCTTGGAATGAAGAGGACCAGCCCACATCCCATGGCACAGATGACCTTCAGGAGAAGTGGAGGGGAGCAGCTAATGTAAAGAAATCATTAGCATCTGTGTTGGAAATGGCTTATGACACTGTCTCAAAGCCACGTTCTCAGACAACAGGGAAAG
This sequence comes from Homo sapiens, assembly GCF_000001405.40. NCBI lineage: Eukaryota > Metazoa > Chordata > Mammalia > Primates > Hominidae > Homo > Homo sapiens. Next base: position 10,762,215 of record NC_000020.11, read on the forward strand.
CTGTAAATAGATGCACACAGTTATCCAAGCATAGCAGAGTAAAACTAAAGGAAAGCCAAATTAAACAGGCTCAACCAAAGTTTTGAGTGAAAGTGTTGAATATTGCTCATGCCTTCAGAACGGGAAGCTCTGTTTAGAATACTCACAATGGTGGGTCCTCTTGAGGTGACTACAGGCTGGTAGGTCGGTTCTATCCTCCCCCTAGGAGCCATCTCAGCAAAGAAGAATCAGAGGCAAAGACTCTTTCAAAGCAAGGACCTCACACTGTGAAGGACTGGGAGCATTGCTTGATTGCTACTCAACTGGCAAAAGTTTTTAAAAAGCAAGTTAGGCCCCAAGACCACATGACTGAGAATCCTAACACATAACTGAGAATTATAATAACATGATGGATTCTCCTTGAAAAATATATTTCGTATTTTGGCATAATTTCAAACTTACAGGAAAGTTGCAAGAATTGTACAAATGATTTTTGTGTATGCTTCATACCCACATTCTGCATTTTACCAATTCTTTTTTCCCTTCCTCCCTCTTTATTTCATATATATGTTATATATATATATATATATATATGTGTGTGTGTGTGTATATAGACACACACACATATATGTAACAGTTCTTGGGTATGTGTGTGTGTGTATATATATATATATATATATATATATATATAATGTATATTTCCCACAGAACTGTTTGGCAATAGGTTGCAGACATGATATCTTAAACATTTCAGTGCATATTTTCTAAAAACAAGGACAGTCTTTTATATAACTGTAGTACCATTACCAAAATCAAAAAATTAATATTGCCATAATATTATTATCCAGTTCATAGACTTCATTCACTTCCCCGACTGTCCAAAAATAAATATTTTATAGCAAAAGAAAGTCCTAGACTACATGCTGCATTCAGTTAACACGTCTTTAGTTGTTTTTTCTTTTATTTTAATCTGGAAGTTTCTCAGTCTTTCTTTGTCTTTCATGATATTTTTGATGAATACAGGCCAGATACTTTGTGGAATGTCCCTCAATTTGGGTTTGTCTGATGTTGTGGAATTTCCTTTTAGCTCTATAAGCTGCCTCCTGAAATACAAATGCCTAGTTAGGATGTGACTGGCTGCAGGAAACAGTCTCTCCAGCCTAGCAGGCTAGAGCTCATGCAAACTCCCCTTTGCCCCATCTTGGGGATTTCCTCCCTATCCTCTTCAAACATGGTTTCTCTCTCTGCAAGAGTTGTGGGAAAATCTGATACTTTGCTTGTTGGAAATTAGACTTATATTGTTTCCCACAGACATCGTGTTGGATGTGACAGATGGGTTGATTCTTCAGTTTTATCAGTGTTAAATTGTAGGAGCACTAAATATGCGTTACAAGCAGATGGGAATAGATTTATGATGTATAGCTTAGATTCTATGGAAAAATAAACTTTAGGCTGTAAACAAATCTATGTACAAATTAACTTTTGCAACAAGATGAGCTCTTTGTTGGCAGCTTCTGTTTGTTTGAAAGTTGTGTTTGCTATAATGTGGTTCAATCTTTGTCTCCACTTGGATGGGTTTCATTATTTAGGCCTCCAAATAGCCTTACTTTAAAGTCTCCCCTATAGGTTAGTCCTATGGCATGAAATCTGGAAATAATAATGTTGCAAAATTTCAGTAAATCTAAATATGATTTATCACTCATCCCCACATGTCATTGTCAAACCAAGAAGATGAAATAAGAGGAGATAGTATGGAATGAGAGAACTACTCAAGGTGTTCCACCTGTTTTTTGATAGACAATTGAAGGTTTTCCTTAGTTTTTTCCTAAGGACTGAGACATTTCTGGACAAACCTGCCAGTCAGCTGAGAAATTTTCCTGAGAACCGGGGATCAGACTCTTAGAATTGCAGTAATTGTTACAAATTGCAATCAAATCTGGGAACTCTTAAAGATGTCATCCCTGAAATAAACCTCAGTAAATTTATCTAGGTTGAAAGGGAATCTCCAGCTTTACTCAGTAATAAGAAGTTGACACATATACATACTTGAATGAATAACTTAATTCTTAGGAGACACTTAAATAAGAATTATTTCTGTTATTGAAACACAGTTCCAGTTACAGGGTCTTTGAAATCATGAGAGAGTTGTACAGTTATATTTCTGTATAGTGTGAAGAGCTATCTTATTTTTTGCAGATTACTTACTTTGTTAATATACCTCCCCCTCCTTTAACCAATTGGTCCATTATTATTGTAAGCGTATTACAAAGAATACTCTTTTGGAAGTCAGAAGAATGATACCTAATCTTTAATTTCTTATCAGGAACTAGTTTTTCATTGTATGATGGACACGATGTAACCCCTAAAGACAGAAAAAGAAGTGAAAAATAGTCCTCATTCTCATGGATTTATAGCTGTAGTAGAAGAAAAGATAGATTAAAAAGGGCATAAGTTCCTCTAATGTTTATTGCAATGTGAAGCTAGATAGAAAAATAGAAGAAAACAGAGAGAATCATGATCATGGCAATAAAGAGAGAGTAGCTAACTCAGCTGGAATTGGCCTGGAGAAAACGATGGTGAGAACTCCCGGAGAACGTTAGAACTGAGCTGAAGCTTGCAGAATGCATAGGAGTCTGGCAGGCAGATGAGGCAGGGAGGACATTAAAGGCAGGAGGAATAGCACATGATAGTGGGCTGCAGGCTGGGCTGTAGTTTGAGGGGCTGTAATTCAATACAGGCGGATGCAGGGGAAAAGCAGGCGGTGAAGTGAAAAATTAGTAAAGGGAAGATCATGCAGAACCTTGCAGATCATGTAAGGAGCTTGGAATGTCATCTCCATATTATTCAATCATCAGACGGACTTCAACAAAAAAGCCACATTATTGAATGGCAGAGGTTGGAGGGGACAGAGACTGGAGGCAGGCACAGCAGTAGGGCACTGTCATAATAAAATATTGAGCAGTGATAATGACTAACCAGGGGTCCCCAGCCTTCGGGCCACAGACTGGTGCAGGTCCATGGCCTGTTAGGAACCGGGCAACACAGCAGGAGGTGAGCTTCGGGCCAGTCAGCATTACCGCCTGAGGTCTGCTTCCTGTCAGATCAGCAGCGGCATTAGATTCTCATAGGAGCACAAACCCTACTGTGAACTGCGCATGGAGGAATCTACGTGGCGCGCTACTTATGAGAGCTACTACTGCCTGATGACCTGAGGTGGAACAGTTTCATCTGGAAGCCTTCTGCCCCCACCAACCCCAGCCATGGAAAAAAAAGTGTCTTTCACAAAACCAGTCCCCTGGTGCCAAAAAGGCTGGGGACTGCTGGCCTAAACTGAGATGATGGGCCTGGGAATGGAGGAAGTGGTATAGATGAGAAGAATGTTTCAGAGATGGACGTATTAAGATTTGTTGACAGATGGGATGTGATGTTTATGAGGAAGCATCAGCTAAGAATGACTTTAAGATTCAGCCTTGGGTGGCTAGGAGGGTGATGGGCATATTCCTTAAAATAGGGAATCTACTGGTCGGGCGCAGTGGCTCACGCCTGTAATCCCAGCACTTTGGGAGGCCGAGGCGGCCAGATCACGAGGTCAGGAGATTGAGACCATCCTGGCTAACATGGTGAAACCCTGTCTCTACTAAAAATACAAAAAAAAAAAAAAAAAAATTAGCCGGGTGTGGTGGCAGGTGCTTGTAGTCCCAGCTACTCAGGAGGCTGAGGCAGGAGAATGGCATGAACCTGGGAGGCAGAGCTTGCAGTGAGCCAAGATTGTGCCACTGCACTCCAGCCTGGATGACAGAGACTCTGTCTCAAAAAACAAAAAACAAAAAACAAAAAAACGGGAATCTACTGAGCACAGTGGCTCATGCCTGTAATCCCAGTGCTTTGGAAGGCCATGGCGGGTGGATCACAAGGTCAGGAGTTCGAGACCAGCCTGGCCAACATGGTGAAACCCCATCTCTACTAAAAAATACAAAAATTAGCCAGGTGTGGTGGTGGGTGCCTGTAATCCCAGCTACTCAGGAGGCTGAGGCAGAAGAATCACTTGAACCCGGGAGGTCGAGGTTGCAGTGAGCTGAGATCGCACCACTGCACTCCAGCCTGGGGGACAGAGCAAGACTCCATCTCAAAAAAAAAAAAAAAAAAGTTGATTGGAGGATAAGAAAAATGATATGCTCAGAATTTTGTAAATGTGGATTTTGATGTACCCAGGGAACATCCAAGTGATGATATTCCATAAGAAGTTGAAAGTTGGGTTCCAGATTGCAGAACAAATTAAGACATCTGGGGCCAGGCATGGTGGTTCACACCTGTAATTCCAGCACTTTGGGAGGCCAAGGTGGGAGGATTTCTTGAAGCCAGGAGTTTGAGACCAACTTGGGCAACATAGTGAGACCCTGTCTCAAAAAAAAAAAAAAAGAGCCAACCATGATGGCTCATGCCTATAGTCCCAGCTGCTCAGGAGGCTGAGGTAGAAGAATTACTTGAGGCTGGGAGTTTGAGGCTTCAGTGAGCTATGATTGTGCCACTCCACTCCAGCCTGGGTGACAGAGACCTTGTCTCAAAAATAAAAATGAAGATAAGACATCTGGGAGTCATTGGTACATAGGTGATAATAATAAAACAAATAGGAACAGATGAATCCAGGAAGGTCTGTAGCATGAGACAAGAAGGAAACAGAGAACAAGCATTCACAAGTGGGATTAGGAGGAAGATTGTGCCAGGAGGAAACTGGAAAGAAGCAGGGAGAGAGGTAGGAGAGTAGTCAGGAGAGACGGCTCACATGGAAGAGAGTGAAGGAGCAAGTGGTCAAGGTCTCTTGAATACAGAGGGGTTCTTACAATGAGATACAATCAACACACTTTGAGAAATAATACTTTATTTAGGGAAAATATCTGCTTGCTGTATTTTTCTGAAGATTTTGTTTACAGAAGAGCAAGCTCTCCAGCAGCTATATGTTTTAGGCAATGTGGCTCTCGAATCTTCATTCTGTCCAAGTACATTCACGTGAGGGTGCTGCCGTCTTTTGTAGGCCTGTCCCAAGGCCGGCTGCGACTTTGCATTTTCGCCTGGCTGTGTCTATATCTTTTAAAAGCCAGCAATTTCCACAGGAAAATTCTGCTGTAGAATATTGAGGAGAGGGCTTGGTAAAAGCTGGAATGAATGGTGTGTGTGTGAATGGTATTCCCCAGCATGCATGGACCTGGCTGGGGATGGGGGATCTTCCATTTGCGGCAGGGAGGAGGCAAGAATAAACATGAGATTTATTCCATATCATTACCTTTCCTCCTTGACTCTATTTCAGGCTGCATGGAATAATGTCTATAATCAATTTCAAAGCCTCTCAGGAGTGATGAGTAAGTACCGGCTATACTTAGGGCATATCATCTAATATCTCTCCTGAAGTGACTAGCAATGTTACTATTTTCTCATGATTCCTTCAAGTATATTATATTTCCATCATATACATGTACAGTAAAACTTTTCTTTTTTTCTACCTACATACATAATATACTATAATATTCCCCCCCCCTTTTTTAATAGTACATCCTGATGGTTTGTTCCATTCCAGTACAGGTAGATTGCTTCATTCTTCTTAATGATTGCATGTGATCCTATTATATAGATGACCATAATTATTTAGCCAGTTTTTTATTCATAGATCACATGGATTAGATTGCTTCCAGTATTATGATATTACAGGTAATGCTATAGTGTCTTATTTTACACAGGTGCAGGTATATCTGTAGAATAAATATCTAGAAATGTTATTGTTGGGCCAAAGGGTACATAAAATTTTAATGCAGAGATATCTGAACAGGTTTGAAAATGGTCAGAATGAAAGGCGATTGGTTGGGACCTAATGCCTCACTTATTACTCACTAGAGATTGTAGGATGTCATCACTGTAAGCAGATGTGTGGCCACAGTTTTGTGTACTCAAGTTCAGTAAAATCAAGGCATAAGGCAGGACCGAAGTAGAATAGAACAAAACTCTTCTGAACATGGTGACCCCAAGACAATTGGCCATTGTGTGGCAGTGTTCCTGAAGATCTATGCCTAGCCAATGATATGGTCCATGAGGTTGCATGTGAACTTTGTATGTCAGATGCCTGACTCCTGATATATGCTCAGCCCTCTTCTTGTTTAGATAGGAGGCTCCATCAACTCCTACCCTAGTAATGTGTAGTCCCAGGCCTGGGAGCCAGGTCATGGATTAAATTATTAAGTTGAAACTGTCAGAGTGAAGGAGCAAGTTATGAGATTAGTTAAGTAGCATATCAAAGCCAGAGTGGTAACAATGAAAGTAATCCTCCATTCATATAAGAGCCCAATGTCTCTGTAGCTTCATTTTCCTACCTCTTGCCTTCTTCCCACCAACAAAGAGTTGAGATAGAAAATGTAAGAATTGGATGTCATAAAATCAAGAAGGTTTTCTGTTCAAGATGTTCCATTCCTTGCAATTAACTCCCATTGGAGCCCAATACCATAATAACGTTTCCTGTGCCAGAGTCCCCAAAAAGTAGGTGATGTTCCCATGGAAGATTAGTTGTTTGTTTCAACAGGGAAAGAGAAGTAAATCTAAGGCACCACCTCTGGCAGCAGGACACCCCCTTCTCCTGCCTCTTGCATTTTAACACATAAAGCAGATAAGGTGGAGGAGAGAATGGGGCTGGAGGAGAATGTTCGAGTTACCCAGAGAAGACATGAGCAAGTAGAGCAAAGAAAGAACTGTGACCTCCCAGTCACCCATATTTATTCCTTTATCAAAGAACGCAGGAGTTAGACTTCTCTTTTCCTGATCTATTGTTTCTGGAGCTCAGGAAGTACAATGCACCATGGCAAGTCAGAGTCATGAGTTTCAATTCCACCTTCCCCATTATCTGGCTAAGCAATGGTGGACTTAATCCAACGAGGTTCAGAGTCTACATTTATAAAACAGGGGTTATATCAGTACTTATGCCTCAAAGATAACATAGGTAGAGATTTGGCATACTGCTTGGCACATACTAACCAGTCAATGACTGTTAGATATTATCATTAATACTAATCCCACAGAGTCAGTTGGGTTGCAAACTGTTTTGCACCAAAGTCAACATTATAGCACCCACTGTCACAATCCTTTGGGCAGCATCATCTCTTTGCATCATCCTTGTTGGATCATGTGTGGTTCCCATATGTGCAAACACAGTCCAGGTAATTGCATTACATGGCAGAGAGACTCAATGCATTGCACACAGCTGGAAGCTAGGCTACTCATTTTTAAAGTGAGCTCCTTGGCTAGCAGCATTAACATCACCCAGTTACTTGTTAGCAAATTCTCAAAACCTGCCCCACACCTCCTCAATAAAAAATCTCTGGGCGTGGGGCCCAGCAACTTGTGTCTTAGCATCCCTTACCCTTGCCAGACCCCAGGTGATACTGATGCATGCGAAAGTGTGAAGACCACTGATCTAGACTGTGGGATGCCATTGAACCTCTCTACTTCACCAAGGAAGAGCTAGAGGGGAAGCAGAAATTCAAAATGGCTGGTAGCTCAGGGACAAATTTGGGTGAATGGCTTAACAGTCTTGCCTATTCTTGAATGTTCTCCTCTTTGGCTGGGAACGGCCTGTCAGGCTGCAGATATTTCCTTTCCTCTTTCTCTCACTGCTTATCTCCCACAAGACACAAGATAGTTCCTGCCCAGGCATCTCAGATTACCATTCCTTCCTGAAAGCCAATTAAAGGTCTCTAATCCCTCCTGTGTTTACCTAAAGGATGAATTTGATCGGAAAGGATGAATGGAAAGGGCAAAATCCTAGAAGGGCTGGGAAAGAAAGTTTCTGCTCCAGTGGTGGGAACACACCCTTTCTCACTAAGCTTATTATGTACTGGTGCATTTTTTGAATTACAATTCTCCATCAGCCTGCCCCTTTTATTTGAAGCCCTCAGTTGTGATTTCCAATGCAGCTTCTGACTTTGCCCTTGGTATTCATACTTTTGAGAGTCTGTTCCCTTCATTAACATCTCAGGGACCCCCAAAGTAATACTTTGAACCACGTGACATATCCGTTTTGTGAGTTGAAAGCAGTTGGATATTAACAATTTCTTATAATTCAACTTCATGTACCCACTCGAGGTCTCTTATTTGGGACACATCATTCTGCCTTAGTCCGAATTGAAGGCAGCTGAGTACTTCTGGGAACGGCAGATCATCTTCTTTCAAGACTACCTAGAGTTTGCCACTTTTTGGCTGGGATCCTTGTATAAGTAAGTAAATCTCCCAAGCCTCACTTTTATCATCTGTGAAGTGGGGATGCTATTATCTTCTTTATAGGTTGATGTATGAGTAAATGAGAAATCAGGCATAGAGTGTCTGATATGGTGTCTGAATTGTAGTTTTTTTTTTACAACCTTTAGTATCCTTCTTTAGCGAGGCTGGAGGTAACACTATCGTGCTAAAACTTGATCCATACCTTTCCTGCTAACTCTTAGCCTCGTCCTACATATCTATTGGTGGTGAGCCTCCAAGTTACTACCATTACTCACCTGAAAATGGGTAGGCCTGGGCTTTTTTAAAAGGCCCTTAATTAGTACCTTTTTTTATGAGATGGTAAGACAAACGTTTTCCCTGCCTTAAGTAACCATTATTATTCTCATTTCAAAGGTGTGTCAGATTTATTTATTTACGTGTTTTGGAATCTTAGTAGGAGAAGAGAAGGCAGCCCAGTAAATGGATGCAGATTGTTCTGGCCTCATCGTCAACTGCATTGTGCAATCTTAGAGAAATGACTTACCTAACTCTGATGTCTCCATTTTCCTATTCTGTATGTGAGGATTATGTATATGCCTTGCTGAGGATGGAAGTGCTAGACAGAGCTAGTGTTTCATAAAAATGTTTTGAGCTTTTGGAATGCAGAGGTGTTATATATATACAAGGTATTACTGGATTGAGTAAGGATTATCATTATTCTTTGGCAATAGCCATGACATCAGGAAAACATATCTTCTATCATAGTTCAAAGGCAGAATGAGAAAAGAAAACATTTTTTTTTTTTTCAGTAGAAAAGTCATCAGAAAGATGTTTTGGAGGGTGTAATAGGAATATTCTCAATGGCATTTAAGAGCAAGGTTTAGAGCTATCTGTACTTGTCGCTTCCTCCAGTACACAGTGGTATAGCAGTCCTGATGGATTGTCTTTCTGGCTAATTGTTAGATGTTAAAAAAGGTAAGCGGAACCTGATACCTTGTAAGTTGGACTGTTGACAAGAGACCCTGTGACTTTTCAAAGATGAGTGTTGATTGGAAATTTGCATGTGTTCCCAGACATTCTTGTTTATGGAATTACCCTATTCTTGGAAGTAAAAAAGGAGAAACAATTCAATGTTCCCATTGACAAAATGGATTGCTCTATGCTTGTAAACTGTGCTGTAGCTTATTCATATACTGAGAGTTGAATAATGACAGGGGTATGATGTCATGCATGAGCAGTGAATTGGGGAGGCTCACTTTCCTTAGTGTGAAGTTGTTTGTATTTGCAGAGAGATGGGGAAAGTGATGTTTGAATGGGAGAACTGGAATCTGGGGTCTTGATTTTTTTTTCTTGCTAAGTTAAAGTGCTTGTAGCTTTTTCTTTATATCAAACTATACAGATGAAACCCACACATATAAAGAAAATCATATGGAACTGGCAAACAAAAGATATTCAGTGACTCAGGTTTCTTTGTCAACTTTTGCCACCCACCATGACAAGATCAACAGGCTTTGCTGTGTATAGACGTGTATTCTGAATTCCTTCCTCCCTTAAAAACATTCCATTGCCACTGATATCTCCACTCATGGGGCAGATATCCAGTAATCCCATGGATATTCTTGATTCTTCCTTAATAAGTAAAACTGTAAGTATGGCCTAGTCTTTCTCCACTTTCTGCTTTCTTGTTCATTACTGTAATTGCATGTTTACATCTGGAGCCCTGGGTTTTTGTGTTTACGTAGTTATGCACAAGCCTGAGCAGATCTGCAAAACAAAACAAAAAACAAAAACAAAAAACAACAACAACAGAGCCCTCAACCAATTATATGCTAGTTCTTGTCCCATTCTTTTTTCTCTTATGGGGAAGGCAGGTAATCAGGATTACTAGTGGCTGCCTTGGAAGTGATACGTTAAGCAAATGAAAAGTCAATTAATACCTTTACTGTCTAACCCTAAGGCAAGTCATGATTGAAGAATTTCATAGTTACGTATTTGACACCAGCACAATAGTAATTAAAGATATTTTCTTGCATTTTTAATTTGATAAATGCCAGTTTTCTGGTGTGAGTCTAACTAGATTGTGGCTTCCCTAGAGGTGATTTGATATGAAATAATTTTTTTGACATTTTGCCTTGATTAGAGATATAGGAACTAAATTGCGAAGTATGATCAGGTGGATTCTGCCCTAGAACTGCCTTTTTCTTTGCAATTCTCCAAAATACCTCACAGCTGAAGTAGCCATGTGGCCAGGACAGAAAGCTTGAGTTAGCACAATTATTTCAGTTGTCATTGGAGCAGTTTGAGTTGAGAGGTTTTTTTATTGTTAATAATATCTGTCTGAAGACATCAGTGTAACCCAGGATGGCGTGCCATTGCACATATTTACCAGGTTTTCTAAATGCACCTTAGTCAGAAGAAGTTGTTGCTCAGTCTTGGGAATCGTGGTAATTTATGGGTGGCAGCTCAGTCCAAACCAGCTTTTCGCCTCTCTATGCTGGTTTGAGCTCTTTTGTGTCAATGTAGCCTTCCTTTCCTTTTATCTTCTGAGGTATAATTCAAGGTTTGTGGTTTTCTGTTGTGTTTTGCGTTAGTTTTGTAATAAACATCACTTCAGAGAAGGCTGATTAACATGGGAACTAAATGTCCATTTTCAGCTAGACTGCCTTAATTTAAATCCCAGTTTTAACACTTGGGAGTTGACTGTCTGATATGGTTCAGGTATTTGTCTCCTCTAAATCTCATGTTGACGTGTGATCTCCAATGTTGGAGGTGGGACCTATTGGGAGGTATTTGGGTCTTAATGATAGATCCTTCATGAATAACTTGGTGCTCTCTTTAAAGTAATGAGTCAGTTCTTGCTCTGTTAGTTCCTATGAGATCTGATTGTTAAAAAGAGTCTGGAACCTTCCTCCTCCCTCTTTCCTCATCTTTTGCATGTGATGCCTACTCTTCTTCCCCTTATGCCACGAGTGGAAGCTTCTTGATGCCCTCATCAGAAGCAGATGCTGGCACCATACTTCTTGTACAGCCTGCAGAACTGTGAGCCAAATACACTTCTTTCCTTTATAAATTAGCCAGCCTCAGGTATTCCTTTATAGCAACACAAATGAACTAAGACAGTGTCCTTGGGCAAGCTACTTCAGTTTCCTCATCTGTTGATGGGGATGATGGAAAGAGTGACATCAGCAAGATGGCAGAATAGGAGTTTCCAGTGCTTGTCCCCATATTGAAATATCAATTTGAAGAATTATTCATATGCAAAGATAACTTCACAAAAGCTGAGGAATCTAAGTGAGAGATTACAGCACAGCACGTGGGTGGAGCACAGGAATAAGAAAAGCTGCACTGAGGAGAACAGGAAGGACAGTTTCACATTACCTGCATCACTCCTACTCCTTTGCATGGGGGTTGGAGAGTGAGGCAAGCACCTGACTTCTCTAACTCCAGCACAGGGCCTATCTCAGTAAAACCTAGCTGGCCTTCTTAGATCCAGGCTCCAGGCCCACCCCAGTCTTCAGGCTGGCCCTGCAGATCCAGGATCCAGACCTGTCCCAAGACCAGGCTCCCATGGCCCCAGGTTCCTGTGGGCCTCAACAAAATACTAGCAAATTGAATTCAACAGCACAATAAAAAGATAATCAAGTGGAATTTGTCCCTGGGATGCAAGGATGGCTCTACATATGTAAGTCAATAAATGTGATACACCACATTAACGGGATGAAGAATAAAAATTATATGATCATTTTGACAGATGCAGAAAATGCATTTGACAAAATACAACATCCTATTATAATAAAAACTCTCAATATATTAGGGATAGAAGGAATGCACCTAAACCTAATAAAAGCCATATATGGCCAGGCACAGGAGCTCATGCCTGTAATCTCAGAACTTTGAGAGACTGAGGCAGGAGAATTGCTTAAAGCCAGGAGTTTGAGACCAGCCTGGGCAACAGAGCAAGACTCTGCCATCTCTACAAAAAAATAAAAATAAAAATAAAAGTAAAAATAAAAATAAAAAGGCTATGCAAGACCAGCCCACAGCTAACATCATATTCCATGGTGAAAAGCTAGAAGCTTTTACTCTAATATCAGAAACCAGACAAAGATGCTCACTCTTGCTGCTTCTATTCAATATAGAACTGGAAGTTCTAACCAGAGTGATTTAATCAAGAAAAAGAAATAAAAGACATCCAAATTGGAAAGGAAGAAGAAAAATTATCTCTGTTTGCAGATGACATAATCTTTTTTTTTCTTTTTTTGTTTTTACAGAACAGGATCTCCCAAGCTGGATTGCAGTGGTGCAATCATGGCTCACTGCAACTTCAACCTACTGGCCTAGAACGATTCTCTCATTTGAGTTTCCCAAGTAGTTGGATTACAGGCATACACCACAATGCCTACCTAATTTTAAAATCTTTTTTAGAGACAGGGTCTCCTTTTGTTGCTCAGGGTGGTCTTAAACTCTTGGGCTTAAGTGATTCTTCTGCCTCAGCCTCCCAAAGTGCTATGGTTACAGGTGCGAGCCACTATGCCCAGCCGACATAACCTTATGAATAGAAAATTCTAAAGATTCCACCAAAATACTGTTAGAACTAATAAATTCAGTAAAGTTGCAGGATACAAAATCAATATATAAAAATCAATTGTGTTTGCATACACTAACAAAATAGCATCTGAAAAAAATTAAGACAACAATCACATTTACAGTAGTATAAAAAACGGGCATACATTTAACCAAGAAGGTGAAGGATCTATACACTGAAAACTGTAAAACACTGATGAAACAAACTGAAGAAGTCACAAGTAAATGGAAAGGTAGCTCATGCTCATGAATGGGAAGAAGTAACACTGTTAAAATCTTCATACCCCCAAAGTAATCTACAGATTCAAAGAAATCCCTACCAAAATTCCAATGGCATTTTTTACAGAAATAGAAAATACAATCTTAAAATTCATATAGAACCAAAAAAGATCCCAAATAGCCAAAGCAGTTTTGAACAAGAACAAAGCTAAATCACAATACCTGATTTAAAAATATACTACAAAGCTATAGCAATTAGAACAGCATCGTACTGACATATAAATGGGCATATTGACCAATGGAACAGAAAAGAGATCAAGGAAATACATTGATTTACATTCAATTGATCTTTGAGAAAGGTGCCAAGAAAGGACAGTCTCTTTAATAAATGGTGTTGAGAAAACTGGATATCTACATGTAGAAGACTGAAATTGGACCGGATCTTACACAATATACAAAAATCAATTCAAACTGAATTAAATACAAATTTATGACATTAAACTCTAAAACTACTAAAAGAAAACATAGGGAAACAGCTCCTGACATTGGTCAGGGCAAGAATTTTTTTTGGGATATGATCTCAAAGACACCAGGAACAAATTCATAATAAACAAATGGGATTGCATCAAACTAACGAGCTTCTGCAAAGCAAAGGAAACAATAAACAGTGAAAGGACCATCTGAAGAATGGGAGACAATATCTGCAAACCATATATCTGATAAGAGGTTAATATCCAAAATATATAAGGAACTCACAGCACTTAATAGCAAAAGCCAAAATAACCCAAATAAAAAGTGGGCAAAGACCTGAATAGACATTGATCCAAAGAAGACATACAAATGGCCAACAGGTATATGAAAAAGTGTTTAACATCACCAATTATTGGAGAAATACAAGTCAAAAACCACAATAAAATATTACCTCTCACCTGTTAAGATGGCTATTATCTAAAAGAAGAAAGACAGCAAGTGTTGGCAAGGATGTGGAGAAAAGAAAACCCTTGTACACTGTTAGTAGGAATGTAAATTAATATAGCCATTATGGAAACCACTATGAAGCTTCTTCAAAAAAATCAACAATAAAAGTACCATAGAATTCAGGATCCCACTTCTTGATGTTTGTCCAATAAATTGAAAACAAGATTGTGAAGAGATGTTTGCATTCCCATGTTCATTACAGCACTATTCAGAATAGCCAAGCTACAGAGTCAACCTAAGTGTCCATCAACAGATAAATGGACAAAGAAAATGTGATACACAGAGACAATGAAATAATACTCAGCCTTTAAAAAGAAGGGAATTTTGTCATCTGCAACAACATAAGATTAAACCTAGAGGAAAATGGAAGGTCATGCACAAAACGATATACTGCATGATCTCACTATGTGTGGAATCTAAAAAAAGTTGAACTCATAGAAGCAGAAGTAGAATGGTTGCCAGAGGTTAGGGGATGGAAGAAATGAGGAGATGTTGGTCAAAGTGGACAAAATTTCAGTTATGCAAAATGAATGGGTTCTGGAGACCTAAGGTACAACATGGTAACTATAGTTAATATTACTTTATTGTATACTTGAAATTTGCTAAGACAGTAGATCTTAAAAGCTCTTCACACACACACACACACACACACACACACACACAAAGGTAATTATGTGAGGTGATGAATATGTTAATTAGCTTGATCATGGTGATCATTTCACAATGTATAATATATCAAAACATCACATTGTATACTGTAAATATATATAATTTTTATTTATCAGTTATGCCTCAATAAGGCTGAAAAAAAGGGATGATAAAAATGAGGCTGTCATGAAAGTTGTTAGTTAATTGACATAAAATACTCTTAAGCTTTCAATAAACCTTAGCCAATGTTATTATCAATTTTTCTGAAAAGCTGAACTGAAGGAAGGTATTTGTGTCAGCCTTTTAAATATCAAAACAGGAGAAAGAGCCTGGGAAGATCAGTTGGGAAGGCAAAGTGGCCAATATGAGGAGAAACCATGATGTTGCTTTCTGTTGTTTTTACTACTTGGTATCATTAGAAATTACATCAATTTTGGGAAAAAATTTTCAGCATGAACCATTTCAAATTTCTCCATTTTCTATGTAACAGTCATAATTTCACTTTATGTTAAAATACAAAGATTTACTGGGAGGAGGGACGCTTGGAGAGGAGAATAAGAGAGATGGTTGAAGGCAGGGAAAGAGGGCTGGTAAGGAAAGTTACAGACATTCCATTGACTTTCTCTGTAGGGAATGCTGAGTTTGGGTTAAGGTTATATTGCCAAGGACTTACTAAGGGAGAACATGACTTTTATAGGAGGAGACATTAGGGTTAGTTGAATTGAAAACTTTCTAAAAATGACTGCTGTTAAATTATCATTTCCTTTGGTCTTGGTTTCGTTTCCCCCCAAAGCAGGCCCTGAGGCAGGTACTTTGTTTGGAAGGTGACCCCAGAAAGCCAGGTGAGGGGGTGGTGAAGGGTGAGACAGAGAGGGAAGGAAGCCAATTCCGGCTACCGCTGTGGGTGGTGGGGCTCACTGTTGCTGGGGGCCTCTGGGAAACCATGTGGAACACACCTCACACATGTCAGGGAACCCTGCATATTTATCAACTTCTGTTTCTCATTGGTTAAGAATTGCCGTGGAGGTGTTAAACCCCTAGTGCTTCTGAGCTGTCCTGGGCTGTCCTGTGCTGGACTGAGCAAACACGTACGGCGCTAGAAAAAGCCATCAGGCTGAGAAGCAGAGGGAGGTGTCAGTGCATGAGGGGGAAGCTGCCAGCCTGCATGAAAACTGGCTGCTGCACATGGAGATGAACTCAGGTGGGCAGAGGGTACTGTGTCTACTATATCCAGTGACTTAAAAGAGCTAATTTTCACACAAGGGGTAAATAAATGGCAGAGATTAAAGTTAACAAACTGCTTGTTTCCTCAGTGTGAGAGAATGGTCTCCCTACACACCTTTTCTTCCTTTCCTTTTTCTTCCCTTCCTTCTTCCTTTTATAACATTATCTTGCATTCTTTTATTACCTTTCATATATCACCTTATATTTTTAGAATTCTATATCAGGCTATTAAAGGCAGAGTCTTATATATCTACGTAATTAGCTAGCCATATCTAAAGCTAGCTAATAATAGATAACTAATAATTATGTCAAATTACAGATTTTATGCCAAGACAGAATGTTTAGAAGTTATCCTGTCTAACATGCTTATTTTACCTCTCTGTTTGCCTTCCCAAAATGGCCCCATATATCTGCATTATCTTTTTAATTTTTGTATTGGTAGACCTCTTGAAATATGAAGAAATTAAGGTTGCTTCTATCCAGGAGAGAAAAAACAGTACAGACAGAGTGCTTCAATAGGCCAAGAACTGGGCTTAAAATTCAAGAACAGCAAATTCTGAGCTTGGCTGTCAGGTTTAATAACTTCTGCTCCTGACACACATAATTTTGCCTCATGTCTGACAGCTCACCTCAAAACACTGATTCTGAAACTCTAATAAAAGCAATTTTAACTTTAACTTTTGGAATAGATCATTTAAACCACCAGAGAAAAATTATCAAAACCTCATTCACATGGACAATTTTTCTCACTATGTTTGAGAAAATTGACTTCCTTCAATTCTCAATTCATGTGATTTTCTCAGGAATAGAGTTCAGCCTAGATCAAATGAGATTGCCATTAAAGCATTTTATTCAATATTAAGCCTTTGTATTATAAAGGTGTGATAAAAATGGATCAAAAACTCTGTTTCTAAAAATTTTTCAGACTTACCTTGACTGTAACAATAGGCACCAGGAACATTGTCTTTGTTCCCTAATGTAATTTAGCACTTAGAATTGTTCTTGGCACTTAATAGATGCTCAGGAAATGATTCTTGACTAAACAATTAAATAATGAATGGCTTTTTAGTGGCTCTCAGAGAATGTGGTTCAGATAGCTATCAAGGTCTATGTTCAAATTATCATCTTACAGAACCACAGGTATTTGTCTAAGACGTGAAAGATATTAATTCTAGCCCCTTCTATCATGATGTATATATGTCATTCCTGTGCCCCACCCTGCCACACATACATGCTATTAAATATGCTTAGACCATCTGGGCATACGTCAATCATTTGGAACGTACCCCTGCCACCTGGGTAAGGTGGAGCTATCTGGAGTTCTCCAGGCCTGCATACTGATATGTCAACATTGCGGATATCTAACAAATGTTTATTAAACGATTATGTAAATGATAAAAGTTTCAATTGTTATTTCCAGAGCTCAAAACGAGTTAAAAGCTTTATATGACATGACTCATAGGAGATACAAAGACTGCACGAACCATCGTTAGCAAAGGTCTTGCTCTGGCAAAATATCTGCGCCTATATTACATTTAATCCAGAGGCTTTTAAAAGATTTAGATCTTTATTGCTTTTTTATGTTCTTAATAGGATCAAAAATAATTTTAGAACATACTTTGAGTTGCCTATAAATACTTTCCAGTTCATATTAACACAATACTTTTTCTTCTAGATATTTTACTTATAGACATCATTTCATTAATTTTCTAAGGATTCTGGCCTGTTTATTTTGGGGATGATAATTTCCACAGTCAACTATTTTCTGGTGAGCCTTTGGATCATCAGTTGTTTAGCTTAATAGAGAGTTAACCCATATTTAATTCACCTTACTAATTTTAAAAGAATTAGAATACAATAGAGTTTATTAAACTTTTCAAATCCTATTGAACTTCAATTGCTCTTTCTGATTGGCCCAAACAGACTCCAGGGCTGTGTCATGCCTTGGGTCATTGTTAATGCAATAATCATGATTGCATTGCAGAAGTGTGTCTGTGTCAGCTCATAACATACCATACACACCGATTTCCACTTGTTGAATATCCAGCATGCCCAGTCTTTGGTTCTAATCAGAAGAACTATTTCCTATTCATATCTAATTGTCTTAATTGCCACTGCTTCCTATTATGCCACATAGTAGATAAGAAACACATCAGTTAAAAATGGTCAACCTCACTGCATAATACCTAGATTACAGGCATTTTATCACAGAGCTCATATAAGGGAGGGGAATTTATTTGCTAGATTTTTTTGTGTTATAAATCCAAAGACATTTCAGGGAATGCAGGCCTAATACTAACAGCATGAGTTGTGGGGCTGCTTGTGTCTGTTTACCACACAACTATTGTCTTACTAATGTCAACTTTTAGGCAAGGAATGTGCTTTATTTGACTTACAGTTGGCAAAAAGGTGATTGTTCCAGATATGAACCCAGTGGATACTTCTCTTTCTAGCCTTGACCTATTGAAGAAGGAAGCTACTTTTTTCAGTGAGTTACTTCAAAACCAGCAGTTGCATTTTAATAGATCATCCACATTTTGGCAGCTGAAGAATTCAGATGTTTCTGTGACTACAGAACATCTAATGTCAACTCTGTAGTTGATAGATTAATCATGGGCTGGTCTCTTGGTTTTAGTAAAAAGAATCAGATTTCCTTTCTGAAAAAAATGTTTTAGTTTATGTCCTTTCTTCTTTTTATTTTTTTTTTCTTTTCTCTAATCAGCAGATCAAAACTTTGGGCCCTTCTTAACCCTAATTCAAACATCACTTCAGAAGTTAACACATTTGAGCTCCAAAAGCAATGCTTTTAACTTCTGTCCCATGGTCAATAAGGGGCTAAATCGATCTATAAACAGTGTCAGATGGTGTCTCACACATGGCACTTAAGAAACCTTATTCCTGATAGAGCCTTGACCTCGGGGGCCCCCCTGATCAGGAGGTCTCAGTAACACTGAACAGGGAAGCATCAAAGGAAGGGCTTGTGCGGTCCCACGAGCCTGACTGCAGCTTGGACTCCACGGTGAGGTGCGACGGCCGGGAGAGGGTGTTGAAGACAGGGCAGGCATGGTACTGACATGACTGCTGAATATTTCCAGTTGTGTTTGTTGCATGACTGAGGTTGGAAGGTTTCAGGCTCATTTTTTTCCCCTAGTAGTTCCGTTTCTCATCCTTCTTGCTTTTCAGTTTATCTAGAAGTTTTGCATTGGGAACTGATGGAGTTCAAGGATATCTTTCAAGGAAGCCAAAACAAAGCAAGCTCAGAACTGAGGAGGCTCAACATAGTTTTTTTGGGGAGCAGCAAGATTGTCATTTGTTGAACAGAGTAGCATTTTGATCAGTAAAAATCCTGCAGAATCTATGGCAGATGCTGTTGGTTTCCTGGAGGTCCCTTGCAGGCAGCTCCCCTGAACGCTGAGAGCTTCTGTGATCTCTAGGATGTGGCTGGGCTGCTCGTGGGGCATGTTAGGAAACCCAGAAGCTGAGGCCCCAGGATGGTTGTCAGTGAATGAATACCAGCTTCTTGCCCTCCAGTGTAGAATTCTGAGGTGCGTTCCCTGCGGCCTCTCAGGGGCTCCCCAGTGGGGTTGTGCCCACAGCTTCCCACAGCAACTGACTCATGAACACACTTTGTATTGGCTCTCTTTCCCTTCTCTGTCTCACTCCTCTAGTCTCCCACTTCTGCTTCCTGAGGTACTTCTCAAATAAACTACCTGTACCCACATCCTTTTCTTAGCAGCTGCTTTTGGGGAAACCCAAAGACAGAATCAGATAAAAGTACAGTTTTTGCATCCAAAAGAATTTGAGACCTCTTGAAAGTTCTATTTTTCCACCAAGTTGATACCACTGTACCTTGGTTTGGATTCCCCGATGCAAATCCTGAGATAATGATTTTGGTACAAATAGTGTATTTGGGAGGAGATTCCAGGGGGAGCAGGAAAGTGAGATAGGGAAGGGAAGGAAGAAAGAAAGTGGATGTTATCAAGCCAATCACGAGTGCGGGTAGCTACAGCCCAGTCCTGCTGAGGCACTCTGGAACTCCGTAGAACATGCCTCAGAACTGTCCTGTCCCAGAAGTGAAGAAGTTAAGATGTTGATCACCAACTCCTCATTCATCATTGATCAAGGGTTTCTCTAGGAGTACTAACTTTCCTGTGCTTCTGAGATGCCCTGCACTCAGACTGATCATGTACTGTGGCCTGAAAAGAAGTCCTTAGGAAGAGAGTCTCATGTTTGCAGTAAGCAGCCTTTGAGAATAGAGATAAATGCTGAGGGAATTTGGGAAGGACACTAAAACCCCTTTTACACACTCAGAGATGCTAAAAGCCAACAAATGCATCTCTGAAATAAAATGCAAAGGAATCACTCATTCTCTCATTCAACAAATCTTTATAAAGCCCTTCCTGTGTATTTGGATAAATGTGGAGAAGATGGACTATCTGTTGCCTTGCAGGTACTCCAACACTTTTGTTCCATAAGGAGTTCCGTGCCATCCAGCACAGAGGGGAACTTTTCATCCTGATGTGGCCTCCCTAAGCCTGGTTTCTTGAATGCATGGGTTGTTATGCAGAGCGTTGGACTGAGAATTAGGAGACTTGTGTTCTGGTTCTTGTTCTGCCCTTGAAGAGCCAAATTACCTTGGAGGAGTCATCTTGCTTTCCAGGACCTTGATTTGTTCCTGTGCTTAATGACGGAGCTGGCATAGGATGCCTTCAGACCTTCCTGCCCTGAAATATGTGGCTGCAGGTCCACTTGCAGAAGTGGCTGTGGTCCCAGGGCTATTTGTGCTGTGTAGGTCAATAGCTGTGAGCAGCTTCTGGTCTGGAGGCATTTCAGGTCAAGGGATATCTGAGCTGGCAGAAAAGTTAGAGATGGAAATTAACTCTTGTAATGAATAGCAGTGAAGCTCAGGAGATGACATGACTTGTACAAGCTCACTCAGCTAAGAGGGGGCAGAATTGGAGCCAGAACCTTTTTTCCTATTATTCGATTGATGGGTCTTTCTTTCTGCCTCTCTCTCTCTCTCTTTCTTTCTTTTTCTTTTTCTTCCCCCCACTTTTATTTTTTCCTCAGACATGATCTGGCTCTGTCTCCCAGGCTGGAGTGCAGTTGCTTGATCTTGGATCACTGAAACCTCTGCTGCCCAGGATCAAGCAATCCTCCCACCTCAGCCTCCTGAGTAGCTGGGACTACAGGCACACACCACCATGCCTGGCTGATTTTTTGTATTTTTTTTGTAGAGTCTGGTTTTGCCATGTTGCCCAAGCTTCTCCAGAACTCGTAAACTCAAGCGATCCACCTGCCTCTGCCTCCCAAAGTGCTGGGAGTGCTGGGATTACAGGCATGAGGCACCGTGCCAGGAAAATGGATCTTTCTATTAGTTTACAGACTGCACTTTTTGTAGCAAGCTATTAAACAGCACTGTTTCTGAGACAAACAGTAGACAAATGGCTAAAGAAATCCCCTTGATCCAAGCACTGTGATCATGAAATTGGAAGATATTCATGTTTAAGGGCTCAAACCAAATATCAGAGGCTCCACCTCCTTAGAAACACTCTCCTGCTGATTTGTTCTATGTGCTGTCCAATAGAAGGCCAGTCCCATCCACAGGGATTGTTATCAAGTGGAAAAGGTGGACCAAACACCTGATAAAAAAAAATCCAGCTCATGTACACCTCACCATGAAGCCTTGGATCTGCAGATATTGATGCAGGGCTTAGCCGGGGAATGTTCTTGGCTTTGCTCAGGAAAGAATTCAAGGGTGAGTGGGTGATGTTATACAGCAACTTTTGCTGAAACAGCAATGTACAGCAGCAGAGGCACTGCTCCTTGTGGAGCAGGTATACCCCATAGGCAGTCTGCCCAGAGTAGCAGCTCAGAGGCAGTGCTGTTACTCTGGGCATATTTATACTCACTTTTAATTATATGCAAATTAAGGGGCAGATTATTCTGAGGTTTCTAGGAAAAGGGTGGTAACTTCCCAGTTGTCAGAGCCTCCTCATGGAAAAAGGCAGTAATTTCCTGCTGTTGCCATGGCAATAGTAAACTGACATGGGACACTGGTGGGTATGTCTTATGGAAAGCTGCTTTTGCCTTTTGTTTTAGCTAGTCTTCAATTTGGTCCAGTGTCCAAGCCCTGCCGCTGGAGTCAAGTCCCACCTCCTACCTCAATATCACCTGCATTATTTAGCTTTGGTTAATGTGTATACAAGATGGCAGTTTGATAACAGGTCTGAGCAAAGAAAGGGAAGAGAATTACAAAGAGAGGTGGAAGAATCCAGCCTTTTTAGAATGGAAAGTAATTTAGATGCAAATTTAGAAGATGACGGGAAGAGAAGTGAAGATGACTCAGCACTCCTGCTTCCTGTGTCCACACAAATGGGTGTCTTGTTTTTATTCAGCAAAAGACCAGCCAGGTGATAACACCTTTGGCATTACACCGGGTTGAGTTCAGGTTGCTGATCACAGAGTGAATGACATTAATAGACATGATATAAGCTGCTGCCTATTTTCCAGCCTGATCGTCACGTGCTGTATCATGTTCCATCTTAGCAAAATTTTAAGTGTTAGAAGAACAGCACAAGTCCACTCTTGACTCTTGTGTGGACCTACGTCACCAACTTCATTTCAGAGCTGGTCTGAAATGCAGTCTCAGTCCTGACCCCAGACCTACTACACTGGTAGTAGTAATTGAAAAGCAACTGTGTTTTTAACAAGATCTTCAAGTGATTTGTATAGATATTAAAATTTTGGAAGCACTGTTGCTGCTCATAACAAGTGGATAATTCCTTGAGTGAAACCACTGAAAAATATTATCAGACAAAAATGAAGTACTCAAGGAGACCTTGCAAACAAGTGGAAAAACTAGATGCGATTCAAATAATCGATACAATGGTGTAATGCTTAGTTGTTGTGAGCTAATATTTAAACAACGTTAAATCAAACACATAGCTCTTAAAAAACACCTGCTTCAATTTTTTTCAAGTGTGAATGTATGGGAGGATGTTATTTATATTTATACCTTGTTTCATTCCACAAAGGATAAAGACATGTTGTTATCAGACATAACAGTAATTACAGAGAAAAACACCACTGTTAAAGGGCTGTTGTGATTCCCCGCAGTGTCTTTAGACTGTACACTAAGTAGAAGCTTTCAGAATCATCAAATTCCTTTTCTGTCTCTGAACCCACAGAGGTAATTGTCTGTCTTAGTTCTGAAATATCACCAGCCTTTGTTAATAGACTCTGAGATATTTGTAATGGATGAAGGTTAAAGTTTGCTTTTTCTGCTTTTTTGTTTATTTCATTTTTTTTGAGACAGAGTCTCACTCCATCACTCAGGCTGGAGTGCAGTGGTGCAGTCATGCTCACTGTAACCCCAGACTCCTGGGTTCAAGTGATTCTCCTGCCTCAGCCTCCCAAGTGTCTAGGATTACAGGCAAGGACCATCAGGGCTGGCTAATTTATTTTTATTTTGTAGAGACAGTCTTGCTATGTTGCCCAAGCTGGTCTTGAACTCCTGGCCTCAAGTGATCCTTCCACCTTTGTCTCCCAAAGTGCTCGAATTATACCTGTGAGCTCCTGTGCTCAGACTTTTTCTCTTTTAAAAAGACCATTGAAGGAATCATTTACAAAATAAATCTTGACTAATAAATTGTGTGGAGAGAGCTGGCTAAATGTCTAAAGAGAACAAATTTTGAAAAGCAATTTCAAAGACTTGAGAAGCGTCCTTTTAATAGCAGAGTTTAACAGATCAATTACAAATCATTCTTTATATTTATTAAACCCTCACTACTTGTTATGTAGCAATAGCTTACTGATACAGAGAAGGAGTCACTAATTGGGGAGATGCTGATGCCTGGTTGCAACACAGAACTGCCACGTGCTAGAAGACAGCAAGTACAGGGTTCTATTCAGACCACTTGCTTCTCATGCTCTAGGAATGAGCGTGTGTAGGACAGGAAAGACTCTTTCAGAGACTGTAGAGCAAGAATGGGCAAGGAAAAATCCATGGCTGAAATGAGTAAAGCCATCTCTTCTCCCATCTCATTTTCAAGAGCTTCTTGTGACCCTAAGGCTGGTGTCCTAACATTACAGAACCTCCTGCCCAGCTGTCATAAACTTCTAAACATGAGTGTGGATGAAAATATTGACAGACCTCATGGTGGGGGTTGGGTGGGGTGATGAAATTTCACTTTCCCTGAGGCATGCCAGAAGGGTGAAATAAATAATGGATTAACCTAAATTACTCTGATGAGAAAGCTTGGGTTTGGTTTTGTACCTCCCTCTTCCATTCTAGGTGGTTCTACTATAAATACCTTTATTTTTGTTTCCTTTAGGGTAGTGTTTCCAAAGAATGAAATGTGTATCCCTGATGTTACACAAAAAGAGTTTCATCTATTTAACATTTTGTTTAATAGGTTAATTAATTAGGTACTTTTTAACATTAATGTCTATTTATGACAAGGGTCACTGGTTTTCAATTTAGGGCAGAGTTTTAACATTTCTCTTTAACGATATTTAAATCAAAGTGAACTGATTTAAAAATTGCATGAAATATTGAAACAAGCATTGATATTAGTAATAAGGATGATAAAAGAATATTCAGTTATTTAGTTGAAATAAAACAAATTTGCAGCACAAATTTGAATTAATGAGAACATATTTCTGTGCCTTATTCCTAGTAGTCTAAGGCCTTTTTATTCAAGGACATTCAGCTTCACTGGATGTTATTTAGTTGTTCACATGTCCCTGTGAGGTCAAGATAAGACAGATAGCCGTTATCTACTGTTAGCTGTCACATGGAGAAGAAACAGACTTTCAAGGTACAAGAATTGAAGCATGTGTAGGAAGCAGAGAGGTGTCTCATCATTGCTTCAATCTTTCACTGTCACACTCTCCATCATAAGGTCAGCTGTTGAAGTTTGTAGGTGTCATGATACAGGTACAGCCTGAAGAGTATTTGGGTTGTTTGTTTCAATAGCTAAAATTCCACCATTATTGAGTCTTGAGAACCCATCTTGAAAATGTCAGTATTATGGGCAGAAAAACCTTTGCAATAAGTCATTTGTGACCACGAGATCTGGAAGAGAACAAGCCTTCCTAGAATTATGTGCAGATGGTGGCCGAAGGAGGAGGAAGGGGTTCAGGTATGGGGAGAGAAAAGCAGCAATATACCAATGGGGGAAGGTATTGGCTGAAGTAAAGTTTAGATTTTAGTGCTCTTTTTTTATGAGCTGTGTCCACTCATGGCCAGGGTGCCACATGGGGAATTAAAACAGAGGCCACCTGCCTTATGTGTCTTCTAGGCAACCAGATTTGGTCCCCATTTTGCTAGCTTTATCTTCCTTCCAGGCCAACTCTGGGTTAGGTTTTAAGTGGCAATCTTAGATCTGAAGGTCTGTGCCCTGGAATGTGAATAAATGAATGAAAGAACAAACAAAGTCGGTGCAATCGACACCACATTTGTCTGATAGGACCCTATTTGTTCTTACATTCATAGCGGCTAACACTGTGCTTAACACATGGTAAATACTAAGTATTTGAATGAATGAAGGTAAGAAACCCACCTATTCATAAAAACAGGGCAAGAATGACTGTATCTGAAAACTACAAGGTCGAGCTTCTCTTTTGTTAACTAATTCATTCATTCAATAAAGAATGAAAGAACTTTGTGAACCAACACCATGCTGAGAATTGGCCCTTGAGATAAAATCTGAGTTAAAATCATCACTTACTCTATGGGGGGTTGTTGAGAAAGGGCATGAGTTTAGCCATAAGGCCATACACACATACACAAAAATTTTGTGTATTGTTTTGCAAAGACTTGGGTAGGGGTAGTTTGGGTACCGGTACTTGAGCCCTGGAAGACGGAGTAACGGAGCAGAGAAGAGTGAGACAGGGATAGAGAGAAAGCCAGTAAAAAGGTACACTATTGAGTTTGTTACAATTACACGGAACTAGGGATCAGTTCTCTAGGGGATCCTTTGAGTAACCATGTGGAATGCTTTTCAGGAGTATACCCTAAAAAACTCCCCAAAGGAGTAAGGTATTTCTCCATCTACTCCCATCACCCAACGCTGAAGATTGTTCCTGAGGGATTTAATGTTCCCTCTCCCCATCTGGTGGCTGCCCCTGTGTGTGGGCTGGTGAGAAGTGTGTGGTATGTGCTGAAGAGAGGAAGTCCTCAGCAATCATGACCCACCCCAGCTGCTGCTGAAGCTGGTGGCTAAGGAGATGTAGCAAAAGGAACTCATAGCCTCAACTAGAGTTTTCTTAGGGGAATTTGCCAGAGATTATTTATAAAATACCTGACATACAAAATAAAAGCAATAGGCAGTTTTCGAAGCAGATTTCAAAAAAAATTCTTCACCTAAGCAAAAATATGGAATCCATTGAAATATTTAATGGAAGGTAAAACTTTAGACAACATTAGGGTCTGTTGGCTATGACTGGGAGACACTAAATAATTGTAACTGACAACAGAGTAAAGATAGGACACATCTGTGTCTTGGAAAAGCCCAGGATTATGTGTGTGTGTGTGTGTGTGTGTGTGTGTGTGTGTGTGTGTGTGGTGGTGGGGGTAGGAGTGTCTTTCTGATTACACCTGCCACCAGTGTCTGGTTAGGGAACAAGAACAGCAGATGTTTCTTAGAAGACGAATGAGTATGGGTCTAATAAATATCACTGCTTGAATAATAATCTATTAAAATAGTTACTATATTAGTCAGGCATATTAGTTATTTCTTGCTGTGTAACAAAGAACTCCAAAACTTAGTGACATAAAACAACCACTTATTATTTTTCATAAATCTATGGATTGGCTGGCTCGGAAGTTCTGCTGATCTGGTCTGAGTTTGGTTGATTCAGCTTGGCTTGATTTATTAACTTCTGGTCTGCTTGGACAATTCGCTCTTCTCCATGTTGTTTCTCAACCTTCAGCAGACTAGTCTGGCTTCTTCGCGTGGTGGAGTCTGAGATCTCAAAGAGTAAGCAAAAGCCTGCAAGGTCTCTTGAGGCCTAGGCTTGGAACTGGCTCTGTCACTTCTGCTACATTTCATGTGCCAGTTCAAGACACATGGCCAAACCTAGGTCCAAGGAATGGAAAATAAACACCACCACTTGATGGAAGAAACTGCTAAATCACATTGTATGGAAGAGAAATAATTGGAGGAAATTTTGCAATCAATTTACAACAGAGTAGCCTGATTGCTCTAATAAACAAATCTCAAATCTTAGGATTAAACATCATAATGTTTATTTCTTGTTCACAGTCCAATCTTGTATCACAGTCCAATAGAGGTGGGCAGGGGAGTGAGAGAGATTGCTCCACACAGCCATTCAGGTACCAAGTTTCCTTCTGTCTAGTTGCTGTGTTATCCAAAGCCATAGAGCCTTTGATTGGGTCCTGCGTTTCCATCCACTAGATGAGAGAAGAGAGCAAATATGTAGAAGAAATATCTGTCCTTAATTGCCTCAACCTGGAGGTGTCATACATATCACTTCTGCCCCTTTCCAGGGCTAGAACTTGGTCACATGATTGAATAGAACTGCAAGGGAAGCTGGGAAATGTGGTCCAGCTGTTAGGAGAAAGAGGAAAATGGCTTATTGAGCACCTAGCTAGACTCTGCTGCAGTCACAGGCTCTGTGACTGAGGAACTCATTCCCAAAGAAAGTGCACTGGGACACATTTCAAAAGTTGATGCATGATAGTATGGGGCAGACAAAGGTTAAAAAGACAAGGTCATGATTAAGTAGGGGAGAAACACACAGATACCTATGTAAATACCTAGGGTATGAGCAAGAATCTGGGGAAAGACTTGGAGTTAGGAGGAGGTGGGTGCTTGGCAGGCGGTGAGACTTTAATAGGCAGAGGTAGAAGTGAAGGGCAAAGGGAAACTTTGGGCCACACGGGGAAACTAGATTTGTTTGCTTGTTTAACACTGTGGCCTCCAGTGGGACCTAAAGTCGATGCCTTAATGTAGGACGGCTATGTTAGTGCTGATCAGAATAATGTACCCCTTAGGGCTACATTAAAAAACTATGCTCAGTGCCTCATTTGCACCTTCAAAATATGCACATACATGTGTGGGCCAGAAAAGGCTGCGCTCAGGACATGCATTCTTATGTGAACCGTAGGTAATTGCACAAGCAAACAGGAAGTTGCGTAGGTATGCAGGCAGCTGCCTGTTGAGAGGTGCGTGTGGGCATGGGCAGGCGTGGGCCTTGTCTGTTTGAGTACAATTTTAAAGGCTTCTCCTGATGGAAGGGAGGGCAAGCAAGCCTCTGGGCACCTGCTTCCCTAACTGCTGCTGTCGTTTGTCCTTCTCAAGGTTTCCTTTCTGGGCAGGGCCATGTCAGGGAGTATTTGTGGCTGTAAGAAAAAGGTGCCGTTTCAAGGTCTTTGCTAACTGCCGAGCTGGTGAATAAACGTTTTGAAATTCTCTTTGCTGAGAATTCCATCTCCTGGTTCTCTTCCTGATTCTATGGCCCAGTTTCCCCAGTTTATTCCCTGTCTTCTTCTTCTGTTTGTTCCTCAGATGTTTTCCCGTGAACCTGTCCCTAATCACTTTCTGACCTTCTGAACCAGAGCTATCCAACAGAACTATCTGCAAAGGTACCTGCACTGTTCCTTGTTGTAGCCACTAGCCACATATAGTCATTGAGCACTTGACATGGGGCTTATGGGCCTGAGAAACTGACTTTTAAATTTTATTTAAGTTAAATATAAATAGACACATGTGGCTAGTGGCTTCTCTATTGGACAGCATAGCTCTAGAACAGTCTTTATGGGTAATAATTTCTCCCTTACAGTCTGCCCCATTATTCCCAGTCTGTATCTCCTTACCCTACCTGCTCTCCTGAACCATGTTTACAAATACTCCAATTTGATTATTCTGTGGTCCCCTTAATGCAATGTGGCTAAGGTTGAACTCTTTGTCTCTACCCACAAAACTCATTTCTTCTTGACCTTCCTCCTGTCACTTTATCCTTGGTCCTCCCTTATTAGGGAACAGTTCTGATCAGACCATGTTACTCATATATATTATCATCAAGATAGGTCCAGGTTTTGTGGATCTGAGTCAATTTGGGATCTCTACTTAAAAAAAAAATTACAGAGTACAAATGCAAAATTAGATTTAGAGCCTTGGAGCATCCTCGGCAAGTGAAGATGTCTGTGAAGCTTAAGCTTTATTTGCTTTACTGCAAATTGGCCTCAGTTTATCATTGGAATATTCTACAGTTTCTGGGTTTGAATCTCAGTCTGACCACTTCCTTGTTCCACAACCTGGGCACAGTACTTAACCACACTGAGATCGAATTGGCTATTGGGGATAATGATAATACCTATTAGACTAAGTTGTTGCAAAATTAAATAAGATATATGTATACAAAGTCTAGTACATCTTGGAGCCATTCCATGAAATAATGTTATTCCCTTGTTCTCACTGCATAGAAAATAGTAACAGCAATAACAATGAAAATAATAACACTAGATAATTGTCTTAGTCCATTTGGCTGTTATAACAAAATCATAGACTTAGTGGCTTATAAACGATGGAGACTTATTTCTCACAGTTCCGGAGGCTGGGAAGTCTAAGACCAAGACACCAGCAGTTTCAGTGTCTGATGAGGGCCCACTTCCTCGTAGGCTATCTTCTCACTGTAACCTCCCCGGAGGAAGGGTTCTCTCTCGGGCCTCTTTTAAAAGAACACTAATCCCATTCCTGAGAGCTCCACCTTTATGACCTAATCACCTCTCATAGGCCCACCTCCAAATACCCTCAGTTTGGGGATTAGGATTTTAACATAGGAATTTGGGGTGAACACAGACATTCAGTTCACAGCACTATTGTATTGGGTGCCATGTTCGACACTTGGCATAGATTATCTCATTTATGCCTACAAGGTAAGTACTTTTCTTAGCCCGTTTTACAGATGGGTGAACCTAGGCCCCAAAAGGTAGGCAACATGCCTAAGGTCCCACATGCTAGTAAGCAGGGGAGTTGGGATTTGAACCCAGCCAATTGCACTTTCCCTTCCCTTTGCACTCTTAACCCCACGCCTTGAGCTGGGCATTCAGGACTCTCCACAACCCTCTTTTCATCAGCTTGCTGGATTCCTTCCACTTGTGTGTATGTTTTCACCAACAACTAAATGTTTCATGATTTGCTCGTATACTTCTTTTTCTTTTCTCATCCTATTTCTTTTCCCTGGAGTACTTGTCCCTTCTCCTTGATCTCCTGTGCTTTATTCATGCCTTAACATAACCAACTTTGTTGCTTTTACTGTAAGGGAGTTGCTGAGAGGGTTTTTTTTTCCCATATAACACAATGTTCTTCCTATGAACATCGAGAATGATTATGTCCTGAGGAACTGGTCTATTTTTATCTCACCAGGGAGCTTTAAAACATAAAAATGTGTGGGTCCCCACCCCCAAACCACATGTATCAGAAACCCTGGGGCTGAGTTGAGATTCACTGGTTTTAAGGATTGTGTTTTTCTTTTTGAACTGGTTACTAGAAAGCCATGAACCAGCTCTCAGCTCAGCTCGGGCCAGGATACAGGACGTTGGGCTTCATCTCACCTCTTACCTCATTTTCCTTTCACTTTTTATTTTAAATTGCATGTTGTCTTGGTTTTTGGTATGTATTTTTGTAGGTCACTGATATGGTTTGGCTTTGTCCCCACCCAAATCGCACCTTGAATTATAATAATCCCCGTGTCAAAGGCGGGGCCAGGTGGAGAATCATTGACTCATGGGGGCAGTTTTCCCCATGCTGTTCTTGCGGTAGTGAATAAGTCTCATGAGATCTGATGGTTTTAAAAAGGGGAGTTCCCCTGCACAAGCTCTCTCTCTTGCCTGCCACCATGTAAGATGGGACTTGCTTCTCCTTTGCCTTCTGCCATGATTGTGAGGCCTCCCCAGCCATGTGGAACTGTGAGTTCATTAAGCCTCTTTCCTTTATAAATTGCCCAATCTCAGGTATATCTTGATTAGCAGCTTGAGAACAGACCAATACAGTCACCTAAATTAATTTTGTAATGACTAGAGGTACAAATACAGATGATGATGATGGTGATGAAGACAACAGATTTACTCTAGAATAATGAGAAACTGTGGAAAGCCTGTTTGAGTCGATCTCAAAACAGACATCAGTAGACAACACCATAGATGAAATCAAATTGTAGTCTCAGGAAAAACATTATCTTCAAATCCAGGGCCACCAATCACCCTGGAACCATCCCATAGCTGTCTAAACGCAGTTTGCATGTGGTCGTTCATCTGATGGCTTCATTTCCTTTTGACCCTTCTTTTATTCTAATTTTGCTGAAGAGATTAAATGATCGCCTGTTAAAAAGGTGTATAAAGTGGAATCTTGTAGAAGAAATAAAAATAAATCCCTTTGTGTATTTGAATTTACTGACATACCCAGTGCCTGACTCCACTCCCCAGTGTCTGTGATTTTGGGTAAGATTTCCTGCTTAGGGATCTGGAGCTAGTCAGGTAACGACCGCTGCGTGCATTTAGCATGTACGCCAGGTACAGCTGCAAGGTTTCCAATTTTCCCGTTTGCCTGCCAGCCATCACCCCAGACTCATCTGAAAGCCAGCAAGGAGACAGTGGCTGCAAAGCGGCTTTTTGTCCTCAAAGTTTAGGCTCCTTGAGGCCCCAGAATGACAAAATGGAGAGGCAGGGCCAGGGGAAGAGGGCCTGGTGAGACCCGCCCTGGCTCCCGCCGGCCTTCTGCCAATGCCCGCAGATGGTGGGGGCCCATGGCCGGGACGCCCGCTCAGGCCCTGGCAGCCTCATGTGCCCCAGCACCTCCTTAAAAGCTGATTATCCGGCTTGTCTCCTTTGTGAGCCGGCTCATTACCATTTCATTGTGTGGTGGCAATTCTTACCCGCACCATGAATATTGACTTTATGCTTGCTTTTCTACCTGAATTACAGGCGGGCAGGCCGGCGGCTCGCATTGCTTGCTCAGCTCCAGCCTCCCTGGCAGCCACTTGAATAGTCTCAAAGAAAAGCTGTTTGCTTGAGCATTTAGGGATAACAGAGAGCGGTCACAGGCCGCTACAGTGATTTATTAAAAGACAGGAAAATGAGAGAAAAGACCCTTACTTCTTGCACCAGCTGCCTGCTCTCTTGCTTCCTTTTATTCTCTGTCTCTCTCCTCTTTTCTCTTTTCTCTTTATTCCTCCCTCCCTTCCATCCTTTCCTTTTTTCCCTTTCTCTGTCTTCCTCCCTCCCTGTGCCTCCCTCTCTGCCTTTCTTTCTGTCTCTTTCTCTGCCTCCTTTTTGTTCACATTTTTAAAATGAGAGAGGGAAAAAGACGGCTGTGCTTTTAAAATTTGTATAAATTTATGGGATACAAATACCATTTTACTACATGGATATATTGCATAGTAGTGAAGCGTGAGCTTTTTGTGTGTTCGTCGCCCAAATGCTGTGTTAAGCAGATGCTTGAGGGACGTTGGGCTTGTTTGCTACATCTAATGACACATCCCATTAAAGGTAGATAGAACCCAGGGTTAGCCTTTGAAGGATATGAGAGGAGATTGAGTACTTGCAGGTGTGTGTGTGCATTTAGTGTACACACACACACACACACACACACACTGCAAATGGTGCCAGCTGTTCTGGAAAAAGGAAGCTCTCTTCTCAGAAAAATAAGGCAGGGTGTCCTCTCCTCTCAATCTCCTTCTCCCCAGACATACTCCAGCAGTCCATGACCTTCTGAGTTCCTACCCTGAACACAGTGTCTGCCATCTGAAGAGGCCACCCCTGCACTGTCCAGCCTGGGCTTCTCTCAAGGGAATGATGCATGGAGAGTCTTCCCTCCTTGGTGTGCTGGTTCTTCCAGTCCCAGGTTCAGCCCCATCACCACCCCGATGGCTCCTCCCTACATGCAGGAAATCTGTGGGAAGTAAACATGGCTGGAGTGTGTGCAGACCTTCAAAGTGAAGGCTACATCTTGGTGACAATTTCTGTTCAACCAACTGACCTATTGGAGCACTAAGCAAGCTGGGCTAGGAAGGACACGGGAGGGTGGGCTGGGTGACCCTGGCATGCTGGCCGCTTGGTGTGAGCAATTGCATGGGGGCAGCTCTTCCAAACTGAGCCGCAAGGACTTTGTTTCCAGACCTTATCTGAGATGCAGGAACATGGGCTTTTCTTGGTGGCTTCTGGGAACTTTCCAAAACGCAATTTTCTTGGAATTCAAAGTTGGTCTGTTTTGCGTCTGGAGCTTGTTTCTGTGGCCCCTGCCCTCTCCAGCTTGCAGTTTGCACTAAGTACTCGGCCGGGTTCCTGCCTCCTTTCACTTTGCTTTCCCCAAATGCCTTTGGTCCCCCTTATCACCTGCCATGAGGCTCTAATTAGTCTGCTCCCAAACCCATAAATCAGCCCCCACCTCCTCCGGTTTGCTTCCTCTGGCTGAGGCGTGGAGCTCACCTTTCCCTTCCCAGATGACAAATCGGCCATTAATCTTGGTTTATTTGCTGGCTTCCTTCATTAGCTTCTGAACAGTTTGCAAACAAAGAGGGAGGGATTTTTGGTGACCTCAGTAGAGATAGGGACCCACAGGTGGATTTATTCTCATGTTTGATATTTTTTCTTCTTTTTTTTTTTTTCATGAAAAGGCTAAATACGTAACTGTCTTTCAGCACTTGTGGTTTTTCATTTTTGAAGCTTTCAGATCTGCTGTTGGGCTGCAGCGTGCTTGTTTTTATTTGGTCAGGCTAGTTTGTTGCTATGTATGAATCGGGACAGGGTGACCTGGGGAAGTAATGGAAAGGGTGGCATGTTTGGGTGCTCAGTGACTCTGAACCTTCAAAGAGGGCGCTGCCATGATGTTTTAATGGTCAACAGTCAATGGCTGCAGGAGAGTCATCTAGAAGCTTAGGAATTAGAGTGTTTTAGCTCTTTCTGTTAGCTTTTGGGTTTCCCAAGCCTGATGTTAGAATACACCAGCTCCCCTTCTTAGGTTCCATCTAATACTCTGGATTAAGTCTCTGAGAAGAGAGCTGAATTTATCAGCTGATATGTGTCTTTTAGGATGCAGGAAATAAAGCTGGACAGCTTGTGGGAGGATAGGAAGGGTATCACTTGAGAAAGAATGTCTACGAAGGGAAGACCAAGTTTTCAAATGTCATGGATTAGAGATGGGCTACAGGGAAGATGTGGGGTATTGGGTCTTTTAGTGTCTATCTCTACTTTAACCCAAAAGAATCCGTGATGTGGGCATTTGGGCATTGGAACAGGACAATGGGCAAGATATTTTCAAGGTCTTCAGGAAGATTGTGCCTTACACAGATTAGTGGGCCTTCTTGACCTCAGTGCAATGGGATAATCTTAAAACTCAAAGCCCTTGGAACACAATCTATGAAGTGGTCCACATCAAAATAGTAATGTTGGAGTTGGCAATCTTTTTTTTGAGACGGAGTCTCACGTTTGTCCCCCAGGCTGAAGTACAATGGCACGATCTTGGCTCACTGAAACCTCTGTCTCCTGGGTTCCAGGCATTCTAGTGCTTCAGCCTCCTGAGTAGCTGGGACTACAGGTGTGCACCACCACACCCGGCTAATTTTTTTTGTATTTTAGTAGAAACGGGGTTTCACCATGTTGCCCAGGGTGATCTCAAACTTCTGAGCTCAGGTGCTCCACCCACCTCGGCCTCCCCAGACACTGGGATTACAGGTGTGAGCCACCGTGCCCAGCCAGAGTTTGTAATCCTGATGCTCATTGTCTGGTGACAGCCATGCTAACCTCTGTTTTCCCCTATCCAACAATTAATTTAGACTAAGGATTATGATTCAATTTATTAAAAAATGCTTTTTAGTCATCAGGGCTTTAGAAAGGGAGACACATATACGCTGTCAAATGTGTTCAGTAACTCCATCCTTTCCTCCCCTACACCCTTTGATCTTGTCAGAGAAATGATGTCTCCCCCATCATTGAAGAGTCCTTGAGGATTGGAATATCGTCATTTCATCTTTACGTCATCAT
Organism: Homo sapiens; assembly: GCF_000001405.40. Classification (NCBI taxonomy): domain Eukaryota; kingdom Metazoa; phylum Chordata; class Mammalia; order Primates; family Hominidae; genus Homo; species Homo sapiens. Next base: position 10,797,091 of record NC_000020.11, read on the forward strand.
CTGTTTCCCTGCAATGGCCAGTTCTTTTTTTCATATATTTCAACTGATATATAAATTACTTACAGTGAAATCCACAAATCTTAAGTGTGATTTCAATTATTTTTGACAAACGCATATGCACATGTAACCCACAAAGCAATTCCATCACTCTGGAAAGTTCTTTTGGGTTTCTCATTGGACAGTCTCCCTCCCCTTGCCAGAAGAAATTACTATTTTGATTTCCATCATGATAGATTCATTCGACCTCCTTTAGAGCTTCATACAATTGGAATTATGTGGTGTAAAATCTTTACATCCAACTTCTTTAACTCGACATACTGTTTCTGAGATCCATCCATTTGTGTTGTTGCATGTATCAATAATTTATTGCTTTTTATTGTTGAATATTATTCCATTGTATGAATATACCACAGTTTGTTTTTCCATTGTCCTGTGGGTGCATACCTTGGATGTTTCCAGTGTTTAGCTATTATAAACACTGCTATGTTTATAAAGCTGCTATGAACATTTTTGTTTAAGTCTTTTTATAAGCTGGGATAAATACCCAGGAATGGAACTGATGGGTCACAGGGTAAATGCATGTTTACATTTTAAAGAAAGTGTCTTTTTTCCCCCTATATTTTTATTTATTTATTTATTTTGTTATACTTTAAGTTCTAGGGTACATGTGCACAACGTGCAAGTTTATTACATAGGTATACATGTGCCATGTTCGTTTGCTGCACCCATCAACTCGTCATTTACATTAGGTATTTCTCCTAATGCTATCCCTCCCCCAGTCCCTTACCACCTGACAGGCCCTGGTGTGTGATATTCCCCACCCTGTGTCCAAGTGTTCTCATTGTTCAATTCCCACCTATGAGTGAGAACATGTGGTGTTTGGTTTTCTGTCCTTGTGATAGTTTGCTGAGAATGATGGTTTCCAGCTTCATTCATGTCCCTGCAAAGGACATGAACTCACCCTTTTTTATGGCTGCATAGTATTCCATGGTGTATAGGTGCCACGTTTTCTTAATCCAGTCTATCACTGATGGACATTTGGGTTGGTTCCCAGTCTTTGCTATTGTGAATAGTGCCACATAATTTCCAAAGTGTTGGTATCATTTATACTTTCATCATCAATGTATGAAAGTTCCATTTGGTCTACAGCCTCACCAACTTTTGGTGTCATTGATATTTTTCATTTTAGCCATGCTAATAGGTGTGAAATAGCATTTCATTGTGGTTTTAATTTGCATTTCCTTGATCGTAATAATATTGAGCACTTTTTCATGTGCTTATTGGTCATATATATATGACCTTTATATATAAGGTGTCTGTCAAGTCTTCTGTTCATTTCAAAAATTGGTTTGCTTATCTTTTTACTATAGAGTTGTAGGAATTCTTTATATGTTCTGGATGGACGTTCTTTCTATAGAATTGTAGGAATTCTTTATATGTTCTGGATAGACATTCTTTCTCAAATATAGTTATCTCCTAATCTGTTCCTTGTCTATTCTCTTAGATGTATTTTGATAAGCAGAGAATTTTAATTTTAATTTTAATGAGGTCCAATTTACCATTTTTTCTTTTATATTTAGTGCCCTCTGGGCCCTTTCTAAGAAATCTTTGCTTACTCCAAATTCAGGAAGATGTTATTCTATGTTCTTTTCTAGAAGCATTATACATTAGATGGTCTAGTCAATTCTTAATAAGCCAAGCAAAATAAGAAACCCAAACAACAGCTTAACTAAGCAACCAATCCTTAAAAGAACCAATGAACCCACTCACCAACCAACCAATGAACCAACTGGGCAATCAATCAATCAGAAGAATTTGTTCCAATGCCTTTCAGCGGGGTAAGTAGCATGCTGTAACTTGTATGTTTGGAACAGATCCACAAAGTGTGTCTGAATTCCATGGTTTGGCAGATGACTGACTAATCCACAGAATTTCTACCCGTTGAGGGTTTGCCAGCAGAGTCCCTGGGTTACTACTTTTATCTGAGCTGGCTAAACTCTTAGTGGTCATTCTGAATGAGCAGTCAAAGCTGACCGAAACTGCTCTGTGTGTGTTGGGGGAGGGGGGTGGTGGGGCTGGGGGATGACAGGGTGGAGCAGGTGTGCATTGCTTTCTTCCTAGTACTTGGAAGATAGTTATCATTGGAAGGATTTTTATATATGATGTCTGAGTCTCATTTAAGTGATTCTATAACTATTGTGCTTCAGGGAGGGTGTTGTGTGTTGAGGAGGCTTCTGCGGGCTGGGCAGGACACCAATCCTCTGTGTATATGGCTCCTGTGTACTTGCAAATGAATCCAGCTTGTGGAAAATGAAGGGACCTCTTGACTGCAGTATTCTTTGCCCTGTCACAGGTCCTGAGACATGAGTCTTGACCTTGGAGAATTTCTAGACTCGCTCTGTATGTGTGCCCTCTCCCTTCCCTAATCCCAGGCATCTTGGGTTTGGCTGGTCTTGGCTACATATCTAGTTAAGTGTCAGCACTGGTATTGTACCAGCCTAGCTGCTTGGGTCAGCACCTTAGGCACAGCCCAGAGAGTCACCTTAGTATTTAATTTACCTCTCTTTGCCAGTGGTGTGGTGTAAATGATTAATGTCCTGTATTTCATAATTGAAGATAATACTGTTCCAGATAATTTATTTTATTTTAAGTTTACAGTTTCTTCTTGCTGTGCTTGTGGACTTATGCAGTTAGATTCTGTCATTTAGTTATTAGACATCACAGAAAAAGCTTCAGCATTTTTTGAGTTATCCTTTTTTTAAAAAAAGAAATGAAAACACATCTCTGGAGAGCTTCAGTGATTCATAGGAGTCATCCTACTAGGTAGTGTCAGTGGCTGGATGACTGGGACTGAAGCCTCCTGCCTTCTAGACCAAGATTTATGTATTTTATGTATATGGTCTTTGTGCAAATACAGAGGCTGGGAGGGCTATGCGTTATGATGATTGGTTTTTTTAAATCCCACTGATAATCTGTGGCCATAAAGAGTGATACTTGAAGCCGAGGGTTTTGTATCTCAGTTGGATGGTTTGGTGAGAAGATAATTTAACACTGTTAGACACTGCTAAAATTTCTGTGGCCAACAAATTTGGTATCCATCTGTTCACTTCAAACGTGTTATTTCTTTCTTTGTGGCTTCCGTATTTGATAGACCTAAACTCTGACTCCTTAGCATTTCAGCTTTAAGGTAAAAGAGGAGAGAGGGAGCTAACCACCACCCTGCCTCTGGGTCTCAGGAGACCCTTCTGTTGATGTCTGTGAGAGTGAATATGTGTATGTGAGGAGAGAAGTGGCCTTCGGGTTCTGAGTCTGCTGGCTATAGTAGAAGTTGACCTTGACTATGAAATGGAGAATTTAAAAACAGCTTTACCCAAGGGCCCAAAGCTAATGATTCCGAAGTGTTGACTAAGGTATCGGAGTAAACAATAGCAGGCTTTCATAGTGTTTACTTAGCTCTGCAGCTTACAAAGGAATTGTGTGGGCTTTCGTCCACACCACGTTGCTGGCTTATATCACAACTGTTCGTTTTGAAACAACTTAAATGATTTTGACCTTTTGTTTAGGTTGTGGGTCAGTGCAGAAAGGAAGTTTTCTATAAACTACCATGATGTTTTTCTCAAATTGGAATGGGCATGTCTTTGATTAGAACTCATTTCATATGTAGGAATGGCATCCGCAGACTGGATAGAGTGTTGAACGAGAGGGGCATGTGCCTTCAACTTGTCAGTTGCTCACACTCCTTATTTTGCTTAATCAAAAGCATGGCAGAAGATGTGAGGTGTTTATCTATAATTTAAATCATCTGAGTGAAGCACATCTTACTTCAATGTGCCTATTCTATTGCATTTTCATAAGCAACATGAGGCCCACTGGTCTTACACTTGAAGACTGCTGTAGTATTTTCTCAAATAGAGACATTTTATCAAACTTCATCAAACAAGGTCATTTTGAACTCCTAATTGCACATGGTATCATTTTTAAAGAGGTTTGTACTATATTAAAACATAATTACCCACAAGGGCTCTCTGCCTAGAGCTAATACGTGAAAACTGATATAAAAAGTAGCATACTGAATATGCTAGATGTTATTTTTCTTCATTTTCCTAAATTGTTTTTTAGATGTGAGGGAGAAAAATGCCAATATACTTTATCAGTCCAGTTTGACTAATATTGAGCCTCAAGTTCAATAGGCATAAGGAATGTAAATTAGGCTCAAGCAATGTAAATTAGTGGGCCTTGTGGACCTCAGTGCAATGGGATAACCTTAAAACTCAAAGCCCTTGGGACACAATCTATAAAGTGGTCTACATCAAAATAGTAATGTTGGAGTTTGTAATCTTGATGGTCCTTCTCTGGTGACAGCCACACTAACCTCTGTTTTTCCCTATCCAACAATTAATTTTGACTAAGGATTATTGATTAAAAAATGCTTAAAAAGCATTTAAAAAGGGAGGCCACATATATGCTACTAAATGTGTTCAGTAACTCCATCCTTTCCAATAGCAGAGCTGAGATGAAGCCCCAAGCTTTCCAATCCTGCTCCTGGCCTTGTGTCAGCTGGCCACATAAGGGGACAACACCTGCCTCAAGTGGGCTGTCAAGTGTTTCTACTCTGAGCTAAATGGCAACCCTCCTCTGAGCCCTTCCACTGTGTTCACACCTTATCATGGTCATCTAAGTTCATTCCCGCCCCCACTTCATCCTGCTACCACACAGATCATTAGATACCAAGAAGTTGCCACTATGGAATTTCTCCTGCGACTCCCCACATTCCACAGGTTTTCTGACCTTTTCTCAATGCAATTCACCTATCCTGTGTCCTGTTCCCCCAGAGCCAACCTCGATGGCTTGAAAAGTGAAAAGGAGCTAACAACAAGGATTTGTCATGGTGTCATGCATGTCTGAGCCCCTCCTGGAGAGCAGAGGCCTTTCTTACATGCATTGGGTCAAAGCAGGGATGATGGGAATTTGGGGTGACAGTTTATGTCAGAGGAGATGCATGTGAACAGAGAGACTTTTCTTTGTGCACCTCCTATCAATATGGATGGGCAATGGATTGCAATGTGGCAAACAAGCAGGGGAACCAGGAGTCTGTCTCAAGTCCCACAGCTTGGCCATCATGTCACTTTCTCTCTCTCATGCAATTTCTCTGCATTAGTTTCCCAGGGCTGCCATGCTAATTTCCATAGCCTGGGTGACTTAAAACAACACAAATCTATTTTCTTACAGTTCAAGAGGATAGAAGTCTGAGATCAAAGTGTGAGTAGGGCCATTTTTCCCTCGGAAGACTTCAGGGAAAAACCCATCCTTGCTTCTTCTTAGCTTCTCGTGGTTGCTGGGAATTCCTGGTATTCCTTGGCTTGCAGCTGTATGACTCCAATTGCTCCAATTTCTTCCTTTATTGTCACACGGCTGTTTTCCCTCTGTATGGGTTACTGTCTCCAAATTTCTCTCTTCTTATAAGGACATCAGTCTTTGGATTAGAGCCCAACTTAATCCAGTGTGACTCCATTTTAAATCAATTATATCTGCAAAGATCTAATTTTCAAATGAGGTCACAGTCACAAGTATTGGGGGTTAGGACTTTTGGGGGACATAACCCACAATGTCCTCTGAATATATATATATATATCCTCCCATATATATATATATATATATATATCCTCCCATATATATATATATATATATATATATCCTCCCATATATATATATATATATATATCCTCCCATATATATATATATATATGTCCTCCCATATATATATATATATCCTCCCATATATATATATATCCTCCCATATATATATCTATCCTCCCATATATATATATATATATATATTTTCAATGTATCCCTTTATTCAAGTGATTTTAAGCAATGAAAGCAAGACAGCTGTTATAGGATTTACCTTTCTAGATGGAAAAGGACAAGTAAATAAGGTCTTAAGCTCCATGTCAAGAAAGGGGCACAACAGAACAAATTCTGCCTTGGTGGGCATCAGTCTTCTCTTTCTGCTGTGCAAGCTCCTGGTTCTGTCTTCTCTGTGCTGTGCCTTGTTCTGTGTGATCACAATCCAGCAGTCAAAGAGGCACACTGGGCTTCTTCATTCTCAGCTGAATCCCTCGTTGCCACTTCTGCCTATATGGGCAGGCTTAACGGGGGTGACACTCCCGTGTTCCTTTTGTCAAACATCCTTTCTTCTCCCTACCATACCACTGATCCACATTCTTCCAATCTTTTCTTGAGGTCTCAGACATCTTAAAAAGTCCTTACCTTCCAAATGTATTCCCACATTGACTCTTTCTCTTCCTTTCCACCCTTTACCCTAGTCCAGGCCACCAGCACTTCTTGCCTGTCCTGCTGGCAGTAGTTGTCCAATGGGCCTGCCTGCTCTCCTGGTCTTCCCCCTCTGCCACAAACTCACCCTAAGCAGCCAGGGCGATCCTTCTAGAAGAGACACTGTACTATGTTTTTCCACTTCTCTGGACCATCAAGGGACTTTGCAAAGCATTGATATAAACCCCAAAATTCTCCCATGGTCTACAAATCCCTTGGGGATCATGACCTGCCTGAGGACTACCTCTGACATGTCATCTCCTACTACTCACCCCTTTGCTCATCCATACATACACCCTGGCCTCTGGCCTCTTCTCAAACATGCCAAGCATGCATCTAACTGCACACCTTTGCACTTGCTATTTTCTCTGCCTAGAATATTCTTCGGCAGTGAAGTCAAATGGCTCAGTCTCTTGCTTCATTCACCCTGTTCAGTTATCACCTCTTTCCCTAGTCTCTTTCTCTTACCTGGTTTTAGTTTTCTGTATGGCGCTTACTATTATCTGGTCTTATAGGTATATTTGTACTTGTGGGCACCTTGATATAATCCCTGTAAAATATAAGGGTTCTTCATTTGGGGTCCATAGATCTCTACAAAGTGTGAGTAGAATTCAGGGGGGCTAAGGTAGGCTTAAAAATGACTCTTCCAAGATGTGCTCACGTCCTAATCCTCGGAACCTGTTCACGTTGCCTTATATGGAGAAATATGGGAAAAAGTTAAACATCTTTGGAGCACCAGCTTATCCTGGATTATTTGGGTGGGCTTTAAATGCCATCACAAGTGTCCTCATGAGATAGGGAGAGAAAGATTAGGCACACATACACATGTGCACACATGTGTGCACACACTGACACACAAAAAAGAAGGTGATGTGAAATTGGAGGCAGAGACCAGAGAGATGTGGCTATAAACCAAGGAATGCCTGCCTGCAGCCCCCAGAAGCTGTGAGAGGCGGGAAGCAGATTCTCTTCTGGCATCTCTGGAGGGAAGAAAGTCATGCTAACACATTGATTTTGAACTCCCAGCCTCCAGAACTGTGAGAGAATAAATCTCTATTATCTTAAGCCACCAAGTTTATGGTAACTTTTTATGGCAGCCACAGAAAATTAACACAGGGTCTGTGAACATGGATGGAAAAAGTTATATCTTTATTTTAAGGTATCTCTAATTGAAACTTAGCATGTCCTTCAATCATGAATGCAAGAAACAAAATGTAGTTTTAGTGGGATCTGTGATTTTGTCACCAATTGAAATCACAGATCCTTGCGTATCATAGGACAGACATTACAGAGACCTTGAAATATCATTGACACTTCTTGATACTTTGAAATTGCAGTAGTTATTAAGCCTATGCAATTTCCAGATTATTAAGCCTGGATCTAGTCATTACAAAGTGTTAATAAAGGTATACATTAACACTAAACTACAATTTTGGTTTTAAGTAGTTTGAGAAGTATTTTAAAAATATAATTGGTTACCTTTGTATTCTTATCTATTTTGTTTTTTATATCCAAAACAGTCTGACGAAAGGCCCATAGGTTTCATCAAAGAAAGTCAGGACTATCTGGAATGGATAATTGGTCCCAAATAGTGGAAGAAAGAAAGAAAGAAAGAAAGAAAGAAGAAAGAAAGAAAACAACATGAATAATTCTAGTAAAATGTGCTCATATTAAAGAGGGAAATTAAGGCCCAGAGAACTGAAATTGTCTGCGGTTATAGCAGCAGAGAAAAGACTTAAAGCCATATCCTCTAGGGACCACTTTTGCTTGTATTGTATACTTCAAGATCAGTTCAGGTCCTGCTTCCTCTAGAAAACCTTGTGGAGAAACTTCACTCTCTACAGTTCAATCCCCTGCCTTGCTTTACCTGTTACCCCTTCTATACATCTTATCACTTGATTCCACTGAAGGCAGCCCTTTTGACATTCCATTTTGTGGTGTTCCCATCTGAGCTCAATGCCTGGTATATAAAAAATAAGTGCTTGTTGAGAAGTGAAAAGCAAATGTCTTCCAATTTTTAATACATGTGAGTATCACCTCCTGAACAAAAGGAAAGGCACCTGCCTTTGTTTTTTGTTTGCGTTTATACAATTTATAAATGCACCACAGGCACATAGTAGGTGTTCAATGAAGATGTATTCAATATAATTGAATTTCCTGGTAGCTGAACAACTAGGCAGATGGGTGGAGAGATATAAATTAGTAAAGCAGATTTAAACCATGTGTTGATCATTGAAAAGTTGTTTCATTTTCAGCCAAGATAAATGCTTTTTTAATGTGTAAAGAAATCTATAATTTTCTATGCTTTGAATTAAAGCTCCCACTTCCCAGGTTTCCTGCCTGCTTCTGGCTGCTCTTAATGAGCTAATTTACCCCACCGAGGTGAGAGATTTCCTCTTGGGAAAGGGTTTAGATGTGCCTCTCTCATATCCAGGGCCCCAGAGCGTTTCCTTACAGGGCTTTAAACACTCTGCCCGTATTTAAGAGAGAAGCCAAGGAACAAATCTGTTGTTTTAGCTTTATTCCTTGAGGCTCAGCGGCTCGACTTTCCTTCCCCTTTGATCGCTCTCACTGGAGTGGCAGGCCTGGAAACTGCGGAGAAGGGGTAGGTCTCCTTAGGAAGCCCAGTTCAGGGGACCCACCCAGCTCCACACAATGAAAATAAAGTTGTCAAGCCTTTGAGGTGGCTGTGAAGATTTATTCTTCCTGGGCAAATTGGTGAGACATTTATATTTTTAAAAAATGCTTTGATGAACTTGATAAGGAAGCCCTCGTTTGAATGTGGAAAAACATTCTAGAGCTTTTTCCACTGCTACACAGGGTTTTTAGCTTTAACCTGTGAAAATGGACTGGGTTTTGACCTGGGTTTTAGCTTGACCTGTGGAAATGGACTTGCCCTTCAGATGAATGACGAGACTGTAAGGGGTTCATTTGGGGATTGCAGGACACAGGTTTACCCTGTCTTAGAATATAAGCATCCATGAGGCAGGAGGTCTTAAAAACCTTTTGCAGATCTTGACATCTTATCTACACATTTCCTAGTCCTCAGCTGCCAACCAAAATCTCCCAATTGCTCTATTACAGCTCAATGACTTACATCACCAAGTATGGTTCCATTACTTCTACCAGCTGAAGCAATGGAATATGCAATATTTTATTATGCATATAATTGAAATACTTTCTGTTCTTTCTAAGTTCGAATATTGTTTGTGTCACATATTGTTCTGAGCATGCCTTGGTCACAGTCAGGTCTCGAGGGACCTAGGGAAGGAAGTGGAAGCTGGTGTGAAATATCCTTCTCTTGCATTCCAGAAAGTCATTTTAGCCAGGAACATCTGCCAACAGCTCTGAGATGGTGCTCTTAACATCCCTGTGTTATGCAGACCATTATGAATGGCTCTGAAAAGACTGAGTGCTCGGCCAAAAAAAAAAAAAAAAAAAAAAAGAAGACATGGACACATTTATCAGCTCTTAGTGGTGGAAATTCTGCAATCATTGGAGGATTTTCTTGGAAAAATCAGAGAACTGTCCTTGAATTCTGTTATCGGGGTAACTCTGTCTTGGGCTGCAACAGGCACTGTGCTCTGTGGAGAGCCCATGGGCTTGTGACAGATGGAACCAGGTTTAGATTCCTTTGTGGGAACTTATTTTCTGTGTCACCTAGGGTATATTCTTAATTCTTCTTTTTCAATTAGCTCAACTGTAGTATCAAAGTAATTGCACTTTGCTGGTTGCAACCTTTCAGGTTGTAAGGATCAAAGGCAGGCTCAGGTTACCCTGGAGATCAGGGATTACTAAAAGGAATGCAGGCACTTAAGGAAACGTAGCAAGTGATCACTACACAGGATGCAGCAGAACCTTCCTAAGAAGCTCTGCCACCATATTCATGGTAGAGTTTCTTCCTGTCTCATCTTCCCTCTTTATGTCTGTTTCTACTCTGCCAACACAGCTTTTTTTTTTTTTTTTTTTTTTTTTTTGAGATCCACCATACCTAAAATCCCTGTATCAGTCAGTCAAGCTTCCATCATGTAAGACCTGTTTCACTGAAAGGGTTCACTAACAAGAGTGGCAGGAAGGGATTATTTACAAAACTATGGTCGGAATTAAGGGAACCAACTAGGGATGGTGAAGCACCCAGCGTCCAGCAGAAGTGGGAAGCCATTACCACCTGTAGGGCTGGAGAAAAGAGCTGCTACTAAAATGCCAGAGAGTTGTAGCCAAGGTGGGGATGCTGATTAATAGAGGCTGTGGACCCTGCCAAAACCATGGCCACATGGTAAGGGACAGATGAAGAATACATACCCCAACTTCTCTCTCCTTCATCATCTGATCGCCTTCCAATGCTTCCCATTGGCCACACCTAATGGGAACAAGACAGCACAGGCAATGCAGTTTATAGAGCTCAGCCTTCAGGGTACATAGCAGGGCAGAGAAGAGTGGAGAATGGATCTGAAGGGGCAGGTGGAGCTTACCAAGGACAGTCCCTTACTGAGCAACATAGCTGTGTTTAATGTCATATGACCCTATTGGCCTTGCCTTTGCAGATGGTTCCAGGGATCCTGAATCAAATGCAACCATCCATGGGCTGAGCTAGCTCTGAGGAAGCCTAAAATGAGCACTCTAACCAGTGGAGGGTCCCTAATGGGTGGTCACCTCCTGACTCAATGGTATTCTCTCTGTTGGTGAGGTTTAAATGAAAGACAGAGACAGGGAAAGAGTGGTAGAAAGAAGAAAAAAGCCATGTTGGGCCGGGCGCAGTGGCTCACGTCTGTAATCCCAGCACTTTGGGAGGCTGAGGCTGGCGGATCACGAGGTCAGGAGGCCGAGACCATCCTGGCTAACACGGTGAAACCCCGTCTCTACTAAAATTACAAAAAATTAGCTGGGCATGGTGGTGGGCACCTGTAGTCCCAGCTACTCGGGAGGCTGAGGCAGGAGAATGGTGTGAACCCGGGAGGCGGAGCTTGCAGTGAGCCGAGATCGCGCCTCTGCACTCCAGCCTGGGCGACAGACTGCATTGCCTGTGCTGTCTTGTTCCCATTAGGTGTGGCCAATGGGAAGCATTGGAAGGCGATCAGATGATGAAGGAGAGAGAAGTTGGGGTATGTATTCTTCATCTGTCCCTTACCATGTGGCCATGGTTTTGGCAGGGTCCACAGCCTCTATTAATCAGCATCCCCACCTTGGCTACAACTCTCTGGCATTTTAGTAGCAGCTCTTTTCTCCAGCCCTACAGGTGGTAATGGCTTCCCACTTCTGCTGGACGCTGGGTGCTTCACCATCCCTAGTTGGTTCCCTTAATTCCGACCATAGTTTTGTAAATAATCCCTTCCTGCCACTCTTGTTAGTGAACCCTTTCAGTGAAACAGGTCTTACATGATGGAAGCTTGACTGACTGATACAGGGATTTTAGGTATGGTGGATCTCAACATATATCATGCATGGGCTATCCAGGACAAACACTCAACTTCAGGGGTAGTTGTAAGAATTGAGTTTATGTTCCTAAGGACCTGATGCATCAGGGGACTCAACAACTAGCAGCTGCTGTCATCATTACTTTTGCCATGTCTCTGTGGAAGAAGCTAATCAAAATTATGTGTTTCAGAGACATAAAGTCTTCACACATGTCCCATCTAGTTTCTTCAGTGACTTGAAAGTAGTCACTTCCAAAATAATGGGAATGATGTTTGTACACTCATCGGTGGCCCGATTCTCAAATGAAATGATGTTTAATTTTCTGGAGCAAATTCAGAGAGAAGGGGATGTGACAAAGTTTTGTGAGATATCATTTAAGGGCATGATATGGAGCACCTATCATTATCGCATGACTGAAACAACGTGATAGAGTGAATCTCAGCTGAGGTCGGAGGAGACAGGAGAGGTAGCTCAGAACGTGAAGAAGTAAAGAAAAGGGCCGCTATCATTGGATTGTTGCTGCTGTCTCGTTGTAATAAAAATTTTGGGCAACCAGGAATCTGCGACAGAATATCAGGAAAGATATCACATATATAGCTAATCAGAAAAAAAACAACAACAGTGTGTTAGACATGGAAGGTTTTCAGACATAGCCCAGTTCAAGTGTCTTTTTCTACAAATGAGCAAGCTGAGGCCTCGAGGGCTCCATGCCTAGGTCAGGAATGACAAATGTGTGGTGCATGTGTGACCACCCGTTCTCCCATGCCCGGGATACACACAACCAACTGACCATGGCGATTGTTTCCGCCAAGCCCAAATAAGACCTAAGACACCTCCATTCAGTGCTCTAGGCAGGCACCAGCAATCCAGCTCATCATAGACACTGCAACTCATGTGTCATCCCTGGACTAGAAGTAGTCTCTCACTTCTAGACGTAAAATTCAGTGATTATAACTCTTGTTAGTGACAGAGCAAAACAGTCCAATTTTGCCTTTTAAGTCTTTAATTTTCAAGTTTTATCTGCATGTGGATTATCTGGAATATAATTTGTAAATGACATGTGTAATTTATACAGATGCTGCAGCCGCAGGCATGAGAGGAAGGCAGGCTGGATGTCTCTGTTCAACATTTGTCATCCAGTCTGAAAGTTTCCCAGGCATGATTTATCTTTTTCTCTTTCTGCTACCTTCCTTTGAACTATTTATCCATGAATTAAACCACCTCCATAGACCAATTTGAGGAAGCTCGCATCAATCTATTCTTCTCTATGTTTGGCTAAAATGTTTAGTTGACCCCACATTTCTAGATCATTTGCTGTTGTGCTGAACCTCTATGGACTCCAGTGGGGTAGGCACCATGTTCAAGCGGTTGAAGAAGAGACCCAGAGCCAGCAAATGAGACATGGGGTTTTACTGGGGGCTACATACCGGGGAGAGAGTCTAGTGGTGGTGAGCTGGGCAGGAGAACTGCCTTACATACGGTCCAGTGGCGGTGAGCTGGACAAGATAACTGCATGGCCCAGAGGTGGCAGACTAGGTGGGAAAACCACAACAGCTTGCAAAATGCATGCAGTTTATATAGTGTTTCCACTTAGTGCCTTCCCACTAACAACCTCCACCTGGCAATCATCATTCAACCTAAAACTTGGGGCCTTGATCCCCTATATGGCCAGTGTTCTATGGAATGGGACAGGGACTCAGATGTTCCTTGTAGACAAGGAAGGAACTCTGGGCTGGCAACTCCTGGATTCCCTAGCTCAGAACACACATTCAGGTCCATCTTCCATACAGGGTCATCCTAAGGGTATGCCTAAGTTATTGCTATCAGATGCATTTATCATACATTTGCTTCCAGTTTTAGTCATCTATTGTCATTTATCCACCATTCTGGTGAAGGACAGCAGTGGCTCCAACGAACAATTGTGCCCATTTACTCATGATGCACACCATTCAGCAATTTGAAAGGGCCATGAAGGAGCCTCAGCAAATCTAAATCTAATCTAATCTTTTATTCTTCCTTTTGCTCTCAGTAGCCTATGTGTTGAACCATGTGAACTTGCTGATATTCAACTGTTTTTAAACTACAAAAATGTCAATTTCACATGGTTCAATCTAAAATGTATCACTTACACCTTTGCACTTTTGTGCAGAAATCTCTGAAAATATAGATGCACAGAGTAGATTTTAGTAGTTAATAATACTTTTTTTTTTTTTTTACCTGAGAGCGATTATGTACTATGCAGTAGTGACCAGAGTCACCTGCTGTCATTAGGTCAGTGTCAGGTTGAGAGAAGGGAACCCAGAGCTGGGGCCTGTGGCACGTGCCTGTAATCCCAGCTACTCCCGAGGCTGATGCAGGCGGATTGCTTATGCTGAGGAGTTTGACACTAGCCTAGGCAACATAACAAGTTCCCTTCCCCCCACCTCTCCCCCAAAAAGAGCAAAGGAAATCCTACCAAGCTTGGCAATCCATTCTGTGCTACTCAAAGAAGATAAGACCCAGACAGGGCAGATGCACTGAACAACTCCAGGTGGTGCCTTCCACATTCCAGTTAATGTGTGTAATGGCCACGGAAGCAGGAGTTTATTTTCTTCCTACCTATAACCTACCACCCTGTACAGTATACATTGAAAAAATGGGCCCCAAAGACTTAAATGTTTAACCTGAGTGGTTGTTGGCCAGGGTCTCTATGGAGCCTCTGATGTTAATGAGAAAGGTCAGACAGATACATAGAAAGTTCAGGAGTCTTAAACTGTCTGCCTATTGATCCCATAAGTTGGTCAAATGGTTTTGTTTGGAGTTTTGTTTCACCCAATTGTCTAAAACCTTTCAGTTTCATTCATTCTCATTATGTGCATGGATCCCATGAAAGTGGTTGCCATTTTGGTTTTTAATTTAGATGCTTCAGAGATAACAATGGGATATATAGTAGGTAGGAACTTGGGCTGTATCCTTTGGAGGTAGATGAACAAGGTTCTCAATCCAGCTTTGCTACTTCTAAGGCTGTGAGTGTAAGTAATTTTGCCTTTCTAAGCCTGTTTTCCCCACTGTGCAATGGTGATAGTAACTGAACATACTTCATAAGTGATTTGCTAATGCACATGATGTGCTTTGTAAGAGGTACCTAGTACTTAAAAACGTTAGTAGCGGCCATCACTCGTACAATACTTCTCCAACACAGTTTGCAAAGCGGGGTGAACGTGTGCCCTGCCAAAATTCTTTTACAAGCTTGCTGCATCATTCCCAGCTTCTGCCAACAGCTTGAACCTGTGACCTTCTGAAAGTTACCTCTGGGCACTTGGAGATGCTTTACTTTCCGAGAGCCATAAGTGCCTGGGAGTGTACATTTCCAACCAATACCAGCCTGACCATCTGTAGCCAAGGACTAGCTAGGGTACGACTGTGAAAGCCCTGCTCCTTTGCCTTGATTCAGGACAAACTCTGAGGTATAATTTGTGCTCTAGCGATTTATGCAAGCTGAGGCAGGGACTGGAAATTTGTAGGGAATATCAACTCTGGCTCCACTTCTTCCCCTTTTCGGTCCAGCATTCCCCACCTGGTGCTTTCTGGTAGCACTTCCTTAATCTGTGAATCCTGGCCTCAGTCTGCCTCCTAGCAACCTGACTAACTATAAACGGGACTGTGTTTCACCTACACAAAACGTCAGGTAGGATTCCCACTTTACCGATGTGGAATATGGAGGCTCACCTGACTTGCAGAAGTTCCCTCTTGCCAGTAGGTAACAAGCAGCACCTGGCTCCAGCTGCGCTGTCTTGGGAGGCACACCTGATCCAAGTCAGTTATCTCCATTCCCCACTGTTAATTTTAAGACTAAGCGAAAGGCTAGAGTGGCTGATCTTATAAGGCATTTGGTATTGAGAAAAGAGAGGAAAACTTAAACAAGGCTAAAGAAAAGGGTCGAAAATCTTATCATAAATGCTGGATCCTGTTGCTTTTGAAACTGCATCGTAGAGAGTATTCCCTGATATCAGCAAGAAGGGGCTGGGACCTGAGGGTTATTGTATTTCTACATGCAGACTATACTGCAGCCTGCTTGATGCTGGCATCGGCTTGCTTCGTGCTTAAACCGCTTATTAAAGTCTAGACGCAACATAAAAGCACGTAAATTGGTTCCAGCCATCTCTAGTAAAAACTTCAGCTGGAGCTGGGAAGTGATTGGAGCATCTCTTGGTGTAATTAAAATTGACTCTTAAAGTTTCTTTAGCTTAATTGGTAACACTTTCTTTGGAGGTTGGTGAAAGCGTCTTGCTGGGAAGGTTAAATGCATTTCTGTGTATAAGAACAGAATTCAAATATAGTTTTATGGACACATTTACAGTTATGTTCTACCCGGGTGGTCTTTTTTCCCTGTATCTTTTCTATTTAAGATTTATGCTGTCATTCACCACAGTCTAAATGTGTTTTGATAAAAGGAAAAAAAATGAACCGTTGCTGACGCATTTCAAACAGACAGTTGGTAATATTTTGAAGCTTTCAGTAAATTGAACTGCAGTTTGGCTTAACCCGAGCTCCTTCTTTCCCCCAAACCCTTCACTTAGAGTCTAGCGCTTAAGCTTTGTTTGTTATCCAGAAATTAAAGTAGCTACTACTATTTGGCTGTGTCCAAAGGTAGGAAACCAGGCATTTTCTAAGATAGCCACGCCTTTGCTGTGACCGAATGCCTTTGACCCCCATTATTTGAGAATGAATGTGTTTATGTGCGTGGATATGTTTATATGTGCTGGGACTTCTCTTCTTTGGCATTGCTTCTTGAGGGTCTTGTCAGTGTGATACATTCTGATAGGCAAAAGGCCTAGGCTTTCCATTTTTGGAGAGTAATCATGGACGAAGCTTCCAATTCTCTGGACTGTCCTTAATTCAGACTTGGGAGAGGACCTGCTTTAATTTACATTTGTGAACATTGACTCTTCATGATTTCCAGGGCAAGGATTTGATCCTTATTGTAGGAATCTATTTTGATCCATCCCTATAGAGCAGAGGGACTACCTTCCTTGAAATCAGTTCAATATTATCTCTTTGTGTGTATGTGGTGTTGCAAAACAATGTTATGAAGACCATAAAGGAAATAAAAATCACTCTGATTCTAGGATCCAAATGCAACAACTGCTTATATTTCTGTGTTTTTTTTCCTAATACTTGTCTACAGGCTTATATAGTTTCAGTTTTTGTTATATAGGTATAATTTTTAACCAATAATCTTTTAAAAAATACCGAGTTAATTTTTCTCATTAAGTACGTACTTGTTATAGAACATTTAAAAATATAACAAAGTGTAGTACCAATTGCTCAAACACAATGCTTGCTAAGATTTTAGTGTTTATTTCTTCAAACTTTTATATATGCCTTGCTTTGCCTCTTCTATGTGCAATATGAACAAGAATTGTATTCATATTGCATATATAATTATGATTTCTGTCTTTTTATTTCACATGATTTTAATAATATATTATTATAAATTTTTGATAAATATTTAAATGGTTACATAATAATATGCTACATTAACAGGCTGTAATTTGCTTTAGCATTCTTTTACTAGAAGATAATGTTCCATTTTATTTTTTGCTATTGTAATGCTACAAATGGGCAGGATAATTCTAAATTCAGATTTGTTTGTTTTCTGCATCCAGAATTATTTCCTTTCCATAGATTCCAAAAGATGAACTTATATCATCAAAAGGAGTGAAAAGATTTAAGGCTCTTGATAATATTGCCAAATGTATTTCCAAAATGTTCTATCAATTTACAGTCTTATTAGCAACATACAGAGCTACCATTATTGGTTATGGCCAATGATGTTAGTGTTTTACCATTTTGGTAGAAAGCAGCATCTTGTTCAGTTTGCATATCTCTGGTGACAATAAGGTTGTTCTGTTTCCTTTGTGTTATCTAATTCCATATCCTTTCAAACGAATCATCTGTTCTCATCCTTTGCTGACTTAGCTTTTGAATTTTTGTACTTTAAAAAACATTGATCTGTGATATATAGTATACATATTAACTATATTTTGATCTTTTTTTATATTTTCTGCAATTTGCAAGAGCAGTGTTTTGTTTACTTGGTATGTTAGATGATGTGAGTGTAAATACCATTTCTGCATACTTTGTGGTGACTGGGCATTCTGGGAGGGCAGTAGTGCTGTCATTGAGATGACATGATCTCTGTTTCCAGGGAGACCGACTTGCACCCCAGCTCTGATACTAGTGATGCCTTTCACATTTCAGGTGTCAAGCCCAGATTTTGCTCACATCACTTCTTTCCATATGGAAATCCTACATACCCTTTAAGGCCTAGGTCACATGTAATCTCTTCCAGTTTCCTGGTCTCCTTCCATTGCTTCTTCCTGGTTAGTAATCCCAAAGATCTGTGCTTCATTCGAGAGAGAACCCTTCTCAAGATCTGGAGGAGAATTTTTGGGGGAAGTTTTCCTGGGAGTTTTATTTTCTTATAGAACTACCAGTAAAGTTATTGAAGTCCATTTAATGATTGGCAGAAATGAATGTGGATGGGATAACTTGATTTTAAGCTGAAAGAAGAGGAAAAGGATAGTTTTTTCTATCTTGTTTTGCATTCTTTTTCACCTCCTGCATATAGTTGGGGCTGTGTGTGTGTGTGTGTGTACATTTTTGTGTGTGAGTGTGTGCATGCACCCAAGCCTAGATTCCACTGAAAAGCAGAACCAGAGGCAAGGGGTTGCGTGCAGGTTGTTTTAGGAAATGATTCCAGGGATCAGAAGCAGGAGATTGGGGAGAGTGAAGTAGGGAAAGAAGAAAAGCCAATTTCATGGTGAATTATTGAGCTGATTCTTGCTGTGGGTACTAGGGCTCAGTCCAGAGCCCCCAGAAGCCATGCAGGATTGTCTTCTGAGAAGAAGGGAGTATTTCTCCACTGGTTTCCATTACTCATGGTCAAGGATGCCCCATGAGTTAATTCCCTTACACTTCTAAGTTTGCATGTGTGCCAGAATGGCTGGTTGGGTTCTTTCTGGCATCCTACATGACTGTGGCATAGAAAGGCCCAGTATAGAAAGTGAGAGGTACATGATATAGTTGAGCTGAAGTGCTGTCAGGTTACATCACATACATCTGGTTGCAGCAACAATGCTGTAGTGGAAAGTGGGGGTGGTGGTAAGAGACCCTAGGAAGTGCACAAGAGGAGTCAGACATGGTGTGCATGTATTATAACCTCATGTGTGCTTTCCCTGTTTAATTAGGTAGATTTGGAGCCTGGGTGGATGCAGCATCTATTTAATCTTGATGTTTTTCTTTGTGAACCCACACCTCACTTTCTTTCAGTGAAGGTGTCCCCCATTCACTACCTCCACCTCTTATGTCCTCCAGGCCTGGCCAATGAGAACATTGCATTTCCCCAACCAAAGTGATTGACTCAGGGACGGGGATGTGATACAGCCAGAATCGAGAGAACCAATCAAGGCTTTCCCAGGACTAATGGGGAAAAAACACCTTTTCTTTTTCTATTTGGAAGATGTAAGACTGTAGCTTCAGGGGTACCACTCAGAGCTTGAAAAAAAAATGAATAAAGCAGGAGATGGAGCTGAGATCCAGAGAAAAACCAGGTCCTGATGGGATGGCATTGTTTGAATTCTTGAATTCAGCCACCCATGGAAATTTCAAGTTACATTAACCAGTTAAATACTTGTTTTTGCTGAAGCCAATTTGATAAGGGGTTTCCATCACTTGCAACCAAAAGATACCAATAGATACTTTGAGTTTACTCTCATTTAAGGTCAATCTTACTTTTTATTTTACTTCATTCATTCAAATAATATTTAATGAGTGCCTACTCTGTACCTGATGTTGTGAAAAAGTTCAGCTTCCAGTTGCATGGAGAAGAAAGAGATATGTAAAATAAAGCTCAGCTCTACTTTAATTTTCTGGAATACAGAACAAATTACCTTTAGGTAGGTATGTCTTTGAGCAACAGCTGATTGCCAGAAGGCATAGAGGAAGTTTTTGGCTCTAAAAATAACTCAAGAGATGAGAGAGATTCAAGCCTAAGGGAAATTGGGAGGGGTGGGAGGGAGGAGGAAGGACACCTTTTATTGAAAATATATAATGGTGGTAATATTTGCAGAGTATCAAGAAATGGTCACAAATATAATTTCTATTACATGATATATCAGTTATCTATTGCTGCAATAATGCAACATCACAAGTAGCCATACAGCTTCGCATGCATGTGACAATAAACCTTTTTGTTCATAAATCTATGGTTTGGCTGAGTGGTTGTGCCAATCTGAGCCAGGCTTGGTAGGGCTTACTCATATGTCTATCAGCTTGGGTTTGGCTGGGTAACTTTGCGGATCTTGGCTGGACTTCCTCACATGTCTGAGACCTTGACTGGGACATTTGGGGCCTGCTCTACATGTCTCTACCTTGAGCAGTTTAGCCAAGGCATGCTTATATGTGAAGCTGAGGAGCAACAGACTAAATGGAAACCCATTTCAAGCCTTTGCCCACATCACCTTTGCTGATATTTAATTGACCAAAACAAATCACAGGGCTAAATTTAGGGACATGAGGCAGGCACTACAACATTATATAGCCAAGGGTAGAGAACCAGGGGAAGGTAAAGAATTGAGACCATTTTTACAACCTGTCTACCATACTTGGTTGGCTTATACGTAGTTTATTAAAATTAATATTAGTATAATTGATTTGATTTGTTGAAATGTAGTTCATTTAGTCCCTGAGTTCCCAGAAAAATAAAACTCTTGACAGCTGAGTCTTGGTCAAATCAGCTCCCCTCTAAACACATGGGGGCTTTGCCTTTTCTCCATAGGAAAACCCCAATATTTTGGATTTGTTAAAAACAAAAAGATGTCTTTTGGATTTAAAATATGCTACCTTTCTTTACAGAGTTTAGATTTCCTAAGCTGGAAGCTATGTATACCTTTTTCACCAAGGTCAGCTCTGAGCCTATGATATTCACTGTCTTTGTGAACAAATTCTAGGGCTCTCTACTATGTTCCCCTTCCATATTTCAGATAGGGTCTTAAAAGGCTGATTGCTTTGGATATGCACGGATCAGAGAATGATTACAATTGGCTTTTTAAAGAATTTATTATATTTTTACTTTTTTTCTGATGTTATGGATTTATGTAATATTTGAGCTTTGTAATCCCTGAAATTTTTACTTAAAATAAATCTCAGGGTTTTTTTCCCTCTCTATCCCTTATAGGTTTCCAACTCTGAAGGGTGGTTGAGCTCAAGACACTGAATAGGCCCCTATATCTAGCAACCATTTTTGTTTAACTGCAAGAGTTTTGAAAGTTGGTAGTCTAGGTTTGAAACCAGGTTCTACTGTTATTATTAGTTGGATAGCTTAAAGCAAATTTTTCATTTTCAGCCTGAGCTTACCTCTCTGAAAAATAGGTGTCACATTACCTACTTTATAGTGTGAAACGAGATAACACATGTGAAGCCCTTTGCCCAGTGCTTTACAGGTAGTTAGTGCTCAATAAATGGAGACTGTTCTTAGCCTACTTTGTGGCCTCCAGTTCATTGCCATCAAAAGTATTTTAGAACATCAGCTTCTGTATTAGTCTGTTCTCACACTGCTAATATAGACATATCCAAAGACTGGGTAATTTATAAAGGAAAGAGGCTTAATGGACTTACAGTTCCACTTGACTGGGGAGGCCTCACAATCATGGCAGAAGGTGGATGAGGAGTGAAGTCACATCTTACATGGTGGCAGGCAAGAGAGTGTGCAGAGGGAAACTCCCCTTTATAAAACCATCAGATCTTCTGAGACTTATGCATTGTCATGAGAACAGCATGGGAAAAACCCATCCCCAGGATTCAATTACCTCCCATTGGGTCCCTCCCACAACACATGGGTATGATTACAATTAGAGGTGAGATTTGGATGGGACACAGAGCCACACCGTATCAGCCTTCCTATCCTGAGAAACCTTGCTCAGGCTGGTGATGGAAGCTCAGAAACTATTTATATAAGACACTTCCCAAGGAGGACACAAGCTTGGGAGATGTTGACAGGAATGACTCCAGCAGGTGGGAAGTTGCAGGAGGAAGGACATGGAGCTGACTACTTGTCCTGCTACTGTGGGAATTTCATGTGTCTGTTCTCATCATTATTCAGATGCTCTGCTCATACCTCAAGCCTCTTATTTGCATAATTCACTCCCCCGTTTCCTTTCAAGTGTCCCTCACTCTCAACAAGATGTTATGAATTTGTTTGCTCTTGCTTCTCTAGTTCTTTTAATTGTGATGTTAGGGTGTCAATTTTAGATCTTTCCTGCTTTCTCTTGTGGGCATTTAGTGCTATAAATTTCCCTCTACACACTGCTTTAAATGTGTCCCAGAGATTCTGGTACATTGTGTCTTTGTTCTTACTGGTTTCAAAGAACATCTTTATTTCTGCCTTCATTTCATTATTTACCCAGTAGTTATTCAGGAGGAGGTTGTTCAGTTTCCATGTAGTTGTGTGGTTTCAAGTGAGTTTCTTAATCCTGAGTTCTAATTTGATTGCACTGTGGTCTTAGAGGTGTTTATAGTATTCTTTGATGGTAGTTTGTATTTCTGTGGGATCGGTGGACAAGAAATAACTAAGATCAGAGGAGAACTGAAGGAGATAGAGACAGGAAAAACCCTTCAAAAAAAATCAATGAATCCAGGAGCTAGTTTTTTTTTTTGAAAAGGTCAACAAAATAGATAGACCACTAGCCAGACTAATAAAGAAGAAAAGAGAGAAGAATCAAATAGATGCAATAAAAAATGTTAAAGGGGATATCACCACCAATCCCACAGAAATATAAACTACCAACAGCGAATACTATAAACACCTCTACGCAAATAAACTAGAAAATCCAGAAGAAGTGGATAAATTCCTGGACACATACACCCTCCCAAGACTAAACAAGGAGGAAGTCAAATCCCTGAATAGACCAATAACAAGTTCTGAAATTGAGGCAGCAATTAATAGCCTAACAACCAAAAAAAGTCCAGGACCAGATGGATTCACAGCTGAATTCTACCAGAGGTACAAAGAGGAGCTGATATAATTCCTTCCAAAACTATTCCAAACAATAGAAAAAGAGGGAATCCTCCCTGACTCATTTTATGAGGCCAGCATCATCCTCATACCAAAACCTGGCAGAGACACAACAAAAAAGAAAATTTCAGGCCAATATCCCTGATGACCATCGATGTGAAAATCCTCAATAAAATACTGGTAAATCAAATCCAGCAGCACATCAAAAAGCTTATCCACCAGGATGAAGTAGGCTTCATCCCTAGGATGCAAGGCTGGTTCAACATACACAAATTAATAAACGTAATCCATCACATAAACAGAACCAACAACAAAAACCACATGATTATCTCAATAGATGCAGAAAAGGCCTTCGACAAAATTCAACAGCCCTTCATGCTAAAAACTCTCAATAAACTAGGCATTAATGGAATGTATCTCAAAATAGTAAGAGTTATTTATGACAAACCCACAGCCAATATCATACTGAATGGGCAAAAACTGGAAACATTCCCTTTGAAAACCAGTACAGGACAAGGATGCCCTCTCTCACCACTCCTATTCAACATAGTGTTGGAAGTCCTGACAAGGGCCATCAGGCAAGAGAAAGAAATAAAGGGTATTCAAATAGGAAAAGAGGAAGTCAAATTGTCTCTGTTTGCAGATGACATGATTGTATATTTAGAAAACCCCATCGTCTCAGCCCCAAATCTCCTTAAGCTGATAAGAAACTTCAGCAAAATCTCAGGACACAAAATCAATGTGCAAAAATCACAAGCATTCCTATATACCAATAACAGACAGAGAGCCAAATCATGAGTGAACTCCTATTCACAATTGCTACAAAGAGAATAAAATACCTAGGAATCTAACTTACAAGCGATGTGAAGGACCTCTTCAAGGAGAACTACAAACCACTGCTCATGGAAATAAGAGAGGACACAAACATGTGGAAAAACATACGATGCTCACGGATAAGAAGAATCAATATCATCAAAATAGCCATACTCCCTGAAGTAATTTATAGATTCAATACTGTCCCAATCAAGCTACCATTGACTTTCTTCATAGAATTGGAAAAAACTACTTTAAATTTCATGTGGAACCAAAAAAGAGGCCACATAGCCAAGACAATCCTAAGCAAAAAGAACAAAGCGAGAGGCATCACGCTACCTGACTTTAAACTATAATACAAGGCTACAGTAACCAAAACATCATGGTACTGGTACCAAAACAGATATATAGACCAATGAAACAGAACAGAGGCCTCAGAAATCACACCACCCATCTACAACCATCTGATCTTTGACAAACCTGACAAAAACAAGCAATGGGGAAAGGATTTCCTATTTAAGAAATGGTGTTGGGAAAACTAGCTAGCCATATGCAGAAAGCTGAAACTGGATCCCTTCCTTACACCTTTTACAAAAATTAACTCAAGATGGATTAAAGACTTAAACATAAGACCTAAAACCATAAAAAGCCTTAGAAGAAAACCTAGGCAGTACCATTCAGGACATAGGCATGGACAAATACTTGATGACTAAAACACCAAAAGCAATGGCAACAAAAGCCAAAATAGACAAATGGGATCTGATTAAACTAAAGAGCTTCTGCACAGCAAATGAAACTATCACCAGAGTGAACAAGCAACCTACAGAATGGGAGAAAATTTTTGTAATCTATCCATCTGACAAAGGACTAATATCCAGAATCTACAAAGAACTTAAACAAATTTAAAAGAAAAAACAAGCCCATCAAAAAGTGGGTGAAGGATATGAACAGACACTTCTCAAAAGAAGACATTTATGCAGCCAACAAACATGAAAAAAAGCTCATCATCACTGGTCATTAGAGAAATGCAAGTCAAAACCACAATGAGATACCGTCTAATGCCAGTTAGAATGGCAATCATTAAAAAGTCAGGAAACAACAGATGCTGGAGAGGATGCGGAGAAATAGGAAGTCTTTTACACTGTTTGTGGGAGTGTAAATTAGTTCAACCATTGTGGAAGACAGTGTGGAGATTCCTCAAGGATCCAGAACTAGAAATAACATTTGACCTAGCAATCCCATTACTGGGTATATACCCAAAGGATTAAAAATCATTCTACTATAAAGACACATGCACACATATGTTTATTGTGGCACTGTTCACAATAGCAAAGACTTGGAACCAACCCAAATGCCCATCAGTGATAGACTGGATAAAGAAAATGTGGCACATATACACCATGGAATACTATGCGGCCATAAAAAAGGATGAATTCATGTCCTTTGCAGGGACATGGATGATGCTGGAAACCATCACTCTCAGCAAACTAACAGAAGAACAGAAAACCAAATACGGTATGTTCTCACTCATAAGTAGGAGTCGAACAATGAGAACACATGGACACAATGATGGGAACACCACACACTGGGGCTTCTCGGGGGGTGGGGGGCTAGGGGAGGGATAGCACTAGGAGAAATACCTAATGTAGATGACAGGTTGATGGGTACAGCAAAGCACCATGGCATGTGTATACCTATGTAACAAACCTGCACGTTCTGCACATGTACCCCAGAACTTAAAGTAAAATTTTAAAAAAATTTAAAAATTGGCAAGGTTTGGTATCCTGAATACATGTAGTTAATATGATCTCAACCTTGAAAGAATAGTACATGCACCCATAAGAAAAGTCTGTAAAAATATAAATAAAAGTGTTAACAGTATTTGAGGAAAAAAAATGTTGTGAAGACACACTGGGAGAACCAGTAGCTCTCAAATATAGCTGCACAATAAAATTGCTTGGGAAACTTTAAAAAATCCTGATGCCTGAGCCCTACCTTAAAAATTCTGATTTACTTTATCCGAAGTGGGGTTTGGGCATCCACATTTTAAAAAGTTCTTCATGTGGTGCTCATGTGTCTCTAGGGTGAGAGTCACCCAGCCAAGTTATTGCTGGTGTTTATGCAAGATTTCATTCTACTCTTTATTTATGATCCTACTTCTTGTCATTTGATTGCTCCAGCCTGCAAACATTCCCTTTGGAAGAGGGTTGTTTTCCGAATAGGTAACCAGCATTCCCTGGTGAATAAGCTAACGGCTTTATCACGATGTTCTGGGAGCTAGCTATGCCTCATGATATTGTTAATCTTGTTGTAGGCTGATTGGAGAATTTTCCTTTGTGGCCCCCTAAATGTCCTTCTGAAAAGTGATGATAACCCACATGTTTGCAACAAAAGACAATTCCACCATACACTTGGGCAGTGACGTATACTCTTCCATGAGCTTCTATGTTTGCTATGAGAGCTATTACAGTAGGACTTGAAAAAACTTGGAGTTAGAATTTACCTACATCACTAATCAATTATTGTAAATTTGGCCAAAGCTCTTAAATTCACTGAATTTAAATAAAAATAAATTCTTTGTTTCTTTACTTTCCCTCTAAAAAATTCCAGTGTGATGTATAGAGTAGTTATCACTGGGTCTTTGTCCTACTTGGCAGATGAGGAAACTGAGCTGAAATAAATGAGAATTAGAGGATCAGCTTTGGGCGGATGCAACAGGTCTCTCCTCTTCCCACTCCCATGCCTTTGCCTCTTCCATTGCTCCTAGGCGGCAGAGATGCCTATGGGCAATGGATTACCTTTCACGGGTGCAGTCAATGAGTGCTGGGAGAAGGTCTTCTCTATTCTACAGGCACTTGCATGTCTGTTCTTCTGGGCTTCTTTGAGCACAGAGTCAGAGAGGAGGGATGGTAGAGACTATCTAGATGTTCTTTAAATGTGTATTCATTGCTTCCTGGCACACAGCTAAGCAACCTTTCCTAGCCTCCCTTGCAGTTAAATCTGATCACTGGTTGCACTCTGGCCAATAGAATGTGGGTGGAAGTGATGTGTGCTGCTTCCAGGCCCTCAAAAGCTCCCAGGAGCACCCTCTAGGGGTTTCCACATCTGCTTTTTCCATCATGGAAATCGTGTATGTGAAGATGGTGAAGGAAGAAGATAGAAGGAACCTCGGTTCTTGATTCAGAGCTTGAAGAAGAACTACATGATCAAGAAAATCTGTACGAAATGATTACATGAACAAGAAACAAAAACAAAAAAACTCAAACACCTCCTATTGTGTTGGCCTTTGACAGTGTCACGTGTGCTTGTTTTATTGCCTTGACTAACTTTGGAGGAATGGAGAGGATATGGGGTTTGGTGGGGTATGGGCATGCTTGCAAGGGTATGCCACTCTGCCTCTGTGGTGTCACTCACACTCCAGGGCTGTCTGTGGGATCAGCTGAAATCATATACTTTCTCGGCTTCTTCTGCCCTGTGCTTCCTCATTGCCTTGTTGGTATTACCTGAGACTCCTCCCTTATAAATCACATGTAAAAGAATCCCCATCTCAGGCTCAGCTCCATGAGAATCTAACTTAGAGCATTTCCCCCTAGAATATAAGCTCCTGATGGCAGGATTGTACTTTGTTTCATTCTCCATTGAATTTCTAGTTATCGAATGAATGAATGTGTAAGTCACTAGAAACTATGGATAAATATAAGGAAATAAGTCATAGACTTGGCTCTATGTTCTCTCATCTTATCTGAAAGCACTATTTTCCATAAACCTTAAAAAAATGTAGACAATCTCATATATTATTTTTCACTGTTTTTTCTTAATAGAGGACAATGAAGAGATACTACCGTTTTATTTAATGTCCTTTGAAATCCAAGTGAAATTTAATTGTGGAATTGATTCTTAAGGCAATTTTTCTTTTCCTTGATCAGTTCTTCATATACTTATTATTATTTTTTTTTTCTGAAGAGCAGCATCTGAGATAATTGCTTTTTTTGAGTAAAACTTGCAATGAGTTTCATGTAAATTATAAAAGTTAGCCTGGCAGTGGAAGCAAAGAACATGTCCACATTAGAAACCGTTTAAATTCAAACCTAATTCCTTTAAAGAACGCTGTACCAGACAATGTGGCCTTTCCTTTGAAAGGCCTGCTTCAGGCACAAGGGAAATGGGGGCGTCTCCATTTGTTGTTGAACAGTGCCCTTAGCTGAGCAGTGGGAGAGAAATGATGAGGAGCGTGCAGAAAGCGATTGCTTTAAGCGCATTGGCTTTTCCTTTCATATCTGCAATGTGATCCTATTATTTTCAAGCAAATGGGGTCCTAAGTGTGCCTGGCTGGAGGTTTGCTATTTTCCTCTATTCTTTCCTTTAAATCTTTTTTGTCAACCATGTTCTCCACAACTAGCAGAGCAGCTGTCTGGGTAGTTATAATCCCATTAAAAAGGCTTCTATTTTGTCAATAATAAATTTATAGAGAAATTAGTCACCTGGGGTCGTTGGATGATTCTTCTCTTTATACATATTGTACCCCAGAAAAGCAGACCATCTCCTTCTTGTTATATGAGGCCTGCTGCCTCTGTCACGGTGCCATATTGGCAGAAACTGATTAGCAATTAACATGGAACATGCCTTCCTCTGTTTGCAAAGCCCCCTTAATCTTTCCCACTGATCATATTCCGCTCTAGCTTTTCTGATAAAGCTGATATTGTAGATGAGTCTGGGTGTACGCGGCTTATAGTATTAGGTAAAAATATGACAGGCATTAAATGACCATCCTGGTGGGAAAGGTGGGGAATTTAACCACAAAGATTTTCTAAACCTGTTCAACTGCATTTGAGCAGTATCCTAAAATTAGTAGTGCATCTTCCTCCACAGACTCCATTCTTTTTTCTAAAGAGGCTTTACATTCTTAACATTTGAGTTCAGGTCTAATTATATACTTCTATAATAAAAGGAAGAAGAAAGACAAAACCTGGATTTGAGCAGTTAGGGGAATGACTTGCAGTATAAGACTATGTTTGATTATTAAACTAGCCACTATTAGTGGGTTGAGGTTTAGTTTTTGGAAACTCATCATGTTTTGAAAACCATAAAAACTAGCACACCTTTTAGCAGACTTTATAATGAAAGAGGGTGACGTCAAAGACAATCCACGTGGTATGGCATACCATTTGTACTAATTTCTCTTTCTTATTTTCCAAATCATGACTGATTTTTGAGACACCAACAAGACTCTCTTCAAGGCTGATTTCTTACTGTTACTTTCTCACTAGTTTCAGAGTTCTGGAAATATCTAGATAGACAAAGAGACAAGTCATCTGTAGGCTAGTTGGTGTTTGCTCTCAGAACATTGGTGGGAAGTTGCAAACAGAGGCACAAAGCAAGGCATCACCCCACGTTTCATCTGTTGTCACCCACCTTCAATACTAAGCAAGCAGCTTTCAGGAGAGCCCTAGCCAAATTTGCAGAGCAGATCATCAGATTTAAATAATGGCATGAAAAGCTATGAGTGGAGAAATAACAGCAATATTTATATAACATAGCTGAAATTTCCTCAGCTGTTTGGAATTACTTAGACATCACATTTAAAGTGAAATTCAGAGAAGCAAGAATCCTTGGCCAGGTCTCTAGTTCTGGGAGTCAGATGTTCTAAAAGCTTCATTCGATCCTGCTCACCAGCTGTTCCTCTCTTCACCAAGAAAAGGTTCTTTACTGCTTTTCTCTGTATTGTGCCTTCCTCCACCCCATATCATGTGGTGTTTTTCCCATTCAGAAAAGATGGACCTTTCCACCTTGAGTGTATAGGGGTTTGCTTTTGAGATGGAGAATATGGGGCCAGGGCATAGAGCTTTTGAGAACTCAAATTGCATAGGTTTTTAAAAAAATGCTTGCTTTTCATGCTTGCATGAATTCTACATTCAGATGATATTCATTAGAAATACAACTTGTGATGTCTCAGTGGCCCACACATGCTCATGTTGAAGGACCCCAGAATTCAAGTTGCCAATTTCCTACATTGCTGGTAAATGGCCATATGACAGAACATCATATCTTGACCCTAAAAGCTTCAGGTTTCATTCTCTTTGTGATCTAAGGAAAATTCTCTGAGAGTGGAATATTCTAGATCTATGCAGTCCAGTGGAAATTTCTGCAACGATGGAAATGTTCTCTGCCCTGTCCTATTTGGTATTCATTAGCTATCGCACACTTAAAATGTGGCCAATGTGATGAGAAATTGAACCTTTAATTCTGTACATTTTAATGAATTTAAATTTAAATATCCTTATGTGGCTAGTGGCCACTGTATTGGACAACCCTATTGAAGTAGAGAACTTTTCTAGTAGCTAGGATTGGCAAAGCCTGTATAAGCCACACATTTTGAGGCACAATGTAATGTAGTGGTTGAGAGAGCTGACCTGGAACCCAGACTAGATGAGTTCAAATTCCACCTCTGCTACTTTTGAACTGTGAAGTTGCAGAGGCTATTAATCTCTCTGTGCCTTAGTTTCCTCATTGGTAAATTGAGAGATAATGTCTGTCTCACAGTATTTGTGTAATAATTTATTGACTAATTCACATAAAACGCTTAGAATAGGCCAGGCGCGGTGGCTCACGCCTGTAATCCCAGCACTTTGGGAGGCCGAGGTGGGTGGATCACCTGAGGTCGGGAGTTCGAGACCAGCCTGACCAATGTGGAGAAACCCCATCTCTACTAAAAATACAAAATTAGCTGAACGTGGTGGCACATGCCTGTAATCCCAGCTACTTGGGAGGCTGAGGCAGGAGAACTGCTTGAACATGGGAGGCGGCTGTTGCAGTGAGCCGAGATTGTGCCATTGCCCTCCAGCCTGGGCAACAAGAGTGAAACTCTGTCGGGAAAAAAAAAAAAGGTTAGAATAGTACCTGACACAGAAAACCAGACTTAAAAGTAGACAATGCAATGGCATAGGAGTTCTGAGACTGTGCTCCTGGAACCAATGAAATAAATTGAAAGGATTAAGTAAAACATTCATCCACGGCACATAGATGGTGAAGCCTGAGGGTTTTCCTCCCCATTTCCTCTATTTTCATCACTATTTGTTAGTTAACTCATATATTTGTTTAACAAATAAGACTGCTCTCTGCTAGTCTTGTCCTAGAGGCTAGAGATGTAACAGTGAACAGAACATCATATCTGTCTGCAAGGAGGTTATGGTTGGGTGAGGGAGAGTATGGGAGACTAAATGCAAAAATGACTGCACTTCTTCACCCCTCTCTGTAGCATGCCTCTTTGTAATGTGACTTATCTTAGCTCCTCTCAAGAGGAGTCCATTTCCTCACTCTTAAATCTGGGTTAGGCTTGTGCCTTGATTTGACAATAGAGTGCAGCAAAAGTGACCTTGTGCCAGTTATTCACCTATGCTTCAAAATATCTTGTATGAATCTCTCCCTTGCCCCTTTTCTTTCTCTCAGAACCTTGCCCAGATGCTGTGTGAACAAGTTCAAGCT
This sequence comes from Homo sapiens, assembly GCF_000001405.40. NCBI lineage: Eukaryota > Metazoa > Chordata > Mammalia > Primates > Hominidae > Homo > Homo sapiens. The sequence goes on from NC_000020.11 coordinate 10,828,190, forward strand.
AGTCTGCTGGAGGATGAGAGGTCACAGGCACGTGGCCCAGTTAACGCCATCCTAGACCAGCTAGTGCCACCCAGATGACCACAGATGCATGAGCAAACACAGCTGGGCACAGCTCATGGACTCATGTTTGAAGTCGCTAAGTTTTGGGGTGTGGTGGATTTGTATGCAGCATTCACTCACTGATATAGACACAGTCCGTCCATGTGGCAGCCATCAATCATCACATGGCGTGATGGCCACTGTCATAGAGATAAAGACAGGGCATCTGAGGAGCCTTCCTAAAGGAAGACATTGCTAAGCTGAGGTCTGAAAGATGAAGATAAAGGAAGGAGATGTTTCAGACAGAGAGAACAGCATGAAAGACTTAGAACATGAAGAGCAGAGTTCATTTTTTTTCTCTGCAGAAGCATGTGAATGTAAATGTTTCTTTGCTCCAGGAGCTTCTTGTGTAGCTGTGATGTCAAGATCCATACACAAATAGAGAAGTCTATGATTACACAAGGTGAACTATATTAAGTGCTGAATTTATTCAGACCCTAGTGCAGGAGATGAGAAGAGAGTAGAGAGAGAAATCAATATGAACTGAAATAAGCAGCCTGGAAGGTTCTTGGAAGATAAGCGAATTGTGCTAGGACTTAAGGAATGGGTAAGACTTGGCTGGGAGTGCAGGGAAGAGTAAAATATTCCTGCAACTACCTGGGGCACTTTGTGAGAGTGCCTACTTGGTCATCCTTGCCCATTGTGCACCTACTGTGCACTAAACCCAGTGTGAGGAACCACAGGAGATGAAAAAGAAGCAGGAAACACTACCCTAGTCTTGCAAAAATGAGTGTTATACTTGCCTTTGGGGTGGCAAGCTCCTCTTAAGTTACATCTTGGCATTTGCACAACACGAGTTCAGCCTATCATTCATTTCCATCTACATTGTTGGGGTTATCGCTTTGTGGCGGGATGCAGGGAGAACCATAAAATTGTAGATCAACAAGTACAGTTTTAGGTGTTCTTGCTAACAGTTAAAGGCTTGGTTGCCAGTTTTTTCAGAAGATACTGTCTCATGACCACTTTTCAAAGAGACTAGGGAGTTCCATTTCTGAGCCCCCTGAAGTGTGGATTTCACGCTGCTCTGAAGATCTGAGCCCCAGGACATTGGCGCCTGTTGAGAGTTTTATCTTTTCTCCTTAAGGTTTCTATTGGGCCTTCTTGGGATTTAGAGGCTTATGTGGTGTTTTCTTAGCCAGAAGTCTTTGCAAAACTTGATTATCGGAAATAAACCAGAGCCACCCCCAACTTCTTGAAAACAGTGTTTAAGAAAACCTTAATTTGGAGTGAGGGACAGCCCAGACGGCTCTGGCATTAGCTCAGAGCTGGCAATCCTGCATCGAAGCAGAAAGTTGCCTATTTGTAAGAGATATATTTGTTGAATCACAAAAGAAAGCTGCTATTATAAGTAAACCCAGGCATCTAGGGACTTGTGTGGAGATAATTCATGCTGCCCCCTTTTCCAGTTTGCAAATTTCTTTTGGAGGGCAGAGTAGAGGGTGGGCGTGGAGTGTCCCTTTTAAAGGCCCACATGAATCCCCATAGCTAGTAGCCATCTCTAGTCCTGTCTGCTCTTATCTAGGCTTTCCTTATGGGTTCTCAAAAGGCATTTGAAAATAAACAAGCGAGCAAGCTTCCCAAGACATCCTAGCATTCCACTCTGACACTTGCTGAGACAACAAACCGAAGCTGGTCCTTCTCCATTACTTCTCATGGTCTTCATTCTGGGATTCTTTTCCTTGTTGGTTCAGGAGTGAGATTCTACATGTTACTGTCAAATGATCTAGTTGGAGCTTATGCCTTTTACCACAATTTTAGAAAGCTATAGTTTTGGATGGAAATAAATACTTTTAATATTGTCTATGGCTCCTGAACCCAAAGTTCTTTACTACTTTCAAATGTATTTAAGTATAGGAGGTAGTTTGTGGGCTAAAAAAGAAAGGTCCTGTGGTTAATGTTAATGGATTTCTTCTCAGTTTATAATAACCATATGAAAAAATTACATTTCATATCAGATAAGGAAAAATTTCTATAATGTATAAAAAGTACCTACATATCAATAAAAGTAGACTGAAAACCTAGTAGAAAAAAATGGACAAAGTATATGATCAGATAGTTTACTAAAAAGCAGATACAAGTGAATCTTGTATTTGTAAAAAGCCACTCAACCTCATCCATTATAATAAATATGTGTATTAAAATTATAATAGTTTTCATTTCTCAGATTGGCAAACGCCTGAATGTTTAATGATATATTTGGTTGAAAAAATAAGAAACTGAAACTGTCATACATTATTGGTGGCCCTGTAAATTACTACAAATAATTTGGAGGACAATTTGGTAATAACTACTAAAATTGCAAATGTCCCTTGACCTAGAATTACACTTCTAGGAATTTATCCTGTAGAAATATCCATACATGGATGAAGGAATGAATGCACAAAGTTATTCAATGTGGTGCTGTTTGTAACTGAAAAACGTTATAAACAACTTTAATAGGGGACTGGATAAATATATTATGGTTGATGGTCAAAAAGAGTGAGGCAGATCTTTATTGCTATAGAATAATATCCAATGTATGTTATTATGAAAAAATGAAGGATGAAGAACAATTTGTGTTATGAGCTATCATTAGTGTAAAAAATGAAAAAATGTTTTTGTTTGTATGTGCATAAAGTATCTTTAGATAAACAAAGAAAATGAAAGTAGCATTTTTTTTTTTCCTCCCAGAAGATGGGAACTGAGTGGTTGGAAGACAAAGGTGGGAGGGAGACTTATATTTTACTGTGTATCCTTTTGTACCTGTAGGATTTCGTACTGTGTATATGAATGCATTACCCATTTAAAAATTGAAACCTAAATAAGAATTCCAAGGTGAAGGTTTCTTTTTGACTTTCTTCTATCTGAAAATTTGTTTTTCCTTAAGCCCATGCGATAGACTATTTGCTTCACAAGGCCTACCATTGTCTTTTCTTTTCTACCCCCTTTGTCTAATTTAGTGCCTGGAAGAGAATATTTGTCACCAAAAAATATATGTTACAAATATAAATGAAGGGATGGGATGCATGAGATGACTTCACAATGAGCCTTGCAAATCTGAAGTATCCACAGTAAGGCTGTTTTGTGCTCACCATGATTTTCAGGAGAAGATGTTCATGTTGAAATTGGTCACTTTCCCTCTTAAACAAAAAACTGAAGAAAAGAAACGGACTTAAGAATGTGGTGTTAAAACCCATATGACTGTGTGGATGGAGCCATTTCCCTAGCCACATCATGGCCATTGGTCACTGAGGAATTCCTTCTGAGGGGATGGAGAATGAGGAGAGAAATCTGAAGGCATGACCATGATCTGTAGTCTACTGGTAGAAGTTTAATAATTGGCTTCTAGAAAATATCAACTCTGATTTGTAGTGTTCACCAATTTCCATGTTGTTAATACTCCCACCATAGCTGATTTTGGGCTACTGTGTGAAGTGTGAGTGACATAATTGAATGTGAAGTTGGGAAGATATTATAACCATTGGCTCTTGTGACAGGAGGAGCCAGGTCCAGCACTTAACGTGATAACCAGGCAAGGATTTCCCTTCCATAGCAAAGAGCAGGAATTTTGCCATGTAAACAGAGAAGAGTTGGAGTCTTATAAATTTTATGTAAGTTGTCTAAGCCAGTGCTCAAAGTGTGGTCCACGCAAACTCTGCGGCTGCAGACCCAAACCTGCTAAATCAGAAACTCAGGAGAGAAGGTTCAGTGATCTGGATTTTAGAAAGCCATCCAGATGATTCTGATGGGTGTTAAAATTTGAGGACCACTACTCTAAGTGTTAGTTTCCTCTGGAAATGGGAAGGAGTATTTAAAAATACAGGCCTGTAGTAAGGAATGAACAGAATAATGATTGTATGTTCTTGGCACAGGGAATGTTAACTATGACATTGAAGGTGATATTTTTTATAGCTCAGCCAGCCATTTAAGAGGCACTAAATAAGTTTGAAGTATGCTCAATTCCTTTTCTCATGTCAAGGGAGGTAAGCTATATGTCTATAAGACACATCATAACTTTCTGCATAGTTGGACCATGTGTAATTGTCTTCATTCTTGTAGCATCACTTGGGGGAGGTGAATACCAGCCTATCTCCCAGTAGCATGCTCAGGCAGAACTAGATGCCTCAGATAAAAGCCAATGAGGTATTCTCCCCTCAACACCCAGCTCCCTGGCAACCCCCAGTCTTGGCCTAACTAGTTGAACCAACTTATTTTACATGCACTGAAAACCAGCCTCCATGAAAAAGTGGTGGTGAGGAGTGGGAGATGAAAGGAACATATTTGGAGACCTAGGACTTGAATCTCAAGAGAGCTTTGGAGTGGGGTAGCAACACTTGTGGTTTAGGAGACTATTAGCTCCATTTTCAGAGCACCTACTACCTAGCAGACATTGCAGCACGACTTTTCACCATAGATGTTATCACCATTTTGCAGATAAAGAAACAGATGGAGGACTCAAGTAATGCGTTGAAGGTCAGAGTAGACAGAGGCTTTCTGGATATAGAAGGGCACAGAGCCAGTCCCTTAGCTACCATTTGTCCTCTTTTCCCTAATGTATCCTTTTCCCCTTTATGCTGTAGTTCTTGGGAGTACAAGGACCACTAACTCCTGTGGCAGAATTTTTTTTTGGCATTAGGCATATTTCAGAAACTCTTATACCAGAATGGTCCATGGCAGTCTTCCCTGAAGGCTCAAAAATAGAATTTCAAGAGTAAGTGCGATGCAGTGGTGAGAGCCCAAGGGTCACACAGACCTGTGATCGAATTCTAGCTCTGCCACATATTAATTCTTTGACTTTGAGTATGTGATTCATTCTTTCCAAGTGTCTTAGGGTTGAGTTCCTCAGAAGCAGAGCCTGAGATAGGGACTTTTGTGTAAATGATTTATTAAGGGGATGCTCTCAGAAAACATTTGCACCAGAATGAGGGAAGCAGGAGGGGCAGGAGAGGATGCTGAGCAAGTGTAGAAAAGCTTGGCTGGAATCTAGCTTCAGCCTGATCCTGTGGGGAGACTTGGAGGGTAAATTGTACCACGGAATTTGTCCCAAGGGGTTGGTCAACTTTTGGGCCCCTGTGTCAGTCAATTTTTGTCTAGGGGACAACACAGGACATGCAATCTTCTTATGAGGTGTTTCTGTCATAAGAGAGCAATTTTCAGGGAAGAGGTGATGCTGATTCAGTGCTAATGCTCTGAGCATTAGCAACCATTATTCACAGTGTTCGGATTTAAACACAATCTAGATGAGGCTACATAGCTTTTACTAGAGTTAGCTCTCAGCTTTTTATTTATAAAAATGAAGATACTGGTGACTCAAAGGAATATTGTAAAGATTAAATGATATAACATGTTTAGAGGATTAAACACAGTGCCAATCACAGAGTGAGCCCTTAATCGATGTTAACTTCTTTCTCTTCCAGTCTTGTCTAAAGAGAGTAACATCATCTCTCTGGTTGAGATGAAGAATAGCTCCTCAAAGAAATCAGCCTATTTCCCCCTCACAGATGAGGAGAAGAGAATAATTCTGGGAGCGTTACTCAGTTATTCATTACAAAATATTTATTTGTCACTTATTGTGTGTTGGTCACAGCTCTAGGTGTTGGGGATACTGCTGTGAACAAGATAGACAAAAATCCCTGCCCTTATGTGACTAACATTCCAATATAGAAGAATAGACAATCAGCAAAGAAGTAAAACTGGCAAATATTAGGTAGTAATAAATACTATAAAAATACATGCTGGGAGGATGGGATCCAGAAGGACTGGAGAGCTACACTGAGATTGGTGGTCAGGAAAGTCCTCTCTGAAATAACACTGACTTGAAGATCAAGAATGAGTTGGTCATTTGGAGTTATGGGGAAAGACTGTTTCAGGCAGAGGGAACAGCTAATGCAAATGTCCTAAGGCAGAAGAAAGTAGGAAAATTCAAAGTGCAGAGGAAAGGCTAGTGTGCTAGATTATAGTGACCAAAGAGAACATGATAGGAAATGAGTCCAGAGGATAAGGTTGGAAGGTAGGAACAGACTACATCCTTCAGAGCCATTCCTTAGAAAGAGTTATAAGAAATTCTGATTTCATTATAAGTCTCAAAGGAAGCTATTGGTGAGCTTATGTAGGGGAATGAAATAAACTTACATGTGTTTTAAAAGATCACTCCAACGCTATATGAAGAATCAATTGTAGAAGAACAGAAATGGAAGCAGAGATGCCAATCAGGAGATCATGGTGAAAATAATGTTAGCTTGGAGTGAAGGGTGGAACAGAGTAAATAGATGTGTATGGATCCGGGAAATGTTTTGATGGCACATTCAGGAGGGCATATGAACAGATTGGATGTTGGCCGTGAAAAATCAAGGATGAGTCCTAGGTTTGTGGCTCTGGGGTCTGGCAGAAGGTTTAGCTGTTGACTGAGTTGGGAAAGACCAAGGGAGAATCAAGGATCTTGTGTATCACAGACAGAAGGAAACACATGAGGGGAAAGGTATAGTGAGGGAAAAGAAGGAAGAGGAACAAGTCACAAGGTATGGAATAAAATGCAGAACATGCAAAATTAGAACAAAATGGAAGAGAGAAAAGCAGAATAAACAGAGTTTTAATACTATGGGTGGAAAGTTTCATGCAAAATATTATGAGATGCATCGGAGTTTGAAAGGCCTATTCAAAGCAGCTCGGTTTGGTGATCAGCATTTTCGGAGAATGGCAAATACAAATTTATCCTGCCAGTTCCTCTAAGAGGAAGTGTCTGGGGATATTTAGGATCTGGAATCTTGGAAGGGGTGAGGGTTCATTTATTTTAGAATTATAAGTCTTTTTCAAATTTAATCATCAAAGCCATAAGTAACAGGGATGAACTTCTTTTTAAATAGGAATATTTTCTTAGTGGTGTACTTTGAAAATCTCAATAGATGGGCAGAAAAATGCAACATCTCAGCTTTTTCCATTGGCCCCACTTCCACTGGGGGACAAGAGACAGAAGCTAGCATTCTCTTTCCATCATGTTCAATAGTAAAAAATCATGAAGCAAATGTAGCATTTCTTCTTCAAAGATTTAAAATTAAGAAAAATATTTTGGGGTTGGAAACTTGGGAGCGATGTGCTGTGTTGATCTGTCTGTCCAAGACCAAAAATTCCAAAGAGCTTGGACGAAAACACAACAGAAACCCTCCTGTAGCTTTGTTCTTGGTTAACAATTCTTCCTTCAAGACGGACGTATTCTTCCCAATGAGGCCTCCTTCTATGTTAATTTTTTAAGCACATGAATGTTACTCCAGTGGTTAAGGTAGGGGGATCAACATAGGAGTGGCCAAGGTGTTGAGATTTTTTAAATGGTCATGCTATGTTTCTGAAAGCAGCTGCCAAGGAGCCAAAGGAAGAACTGGAGATTCCTTTAGAAACATTTAGAATCATTTAGGGGACATCTAGTTGGAGTTGGATCCTCTAATCAGGAATCTCTCTTTCTTTTATTCCTCCAGTGGCAAAAGGATAAGACCTTGGTGCAGTTGAAGGGAGATAATCATGGATCCTAGCTGAGAGTTACTTCTAGTCACCTATGAACTTGTCTGGCTGGGCATTACTGTAATGAAATCAGCCAGTATCTAGCATCAGAAAATTTTGTCCAATTTCAATACACTTGGGATGACTAGCGGGAAAAGTCTCGTTTGTTGATATCCACTATGCTCCAAGTCCTGCACTGTACATGTTAAACATATTATTATCATTATTATTATTATTATTATTTTGAGACAGAGTCTTGCTCTGTCACCCAGGCTGGAGTGCAGTGGCATGATCTCGGCTCACTGCAACCTCTGTCTCCTGGGTTCAAGAGATTCTCCTGCCTCAGCCTCCTGAGTAGCTGGGATTACAAGCACCTGCCACCACGCCTGGCTAATTTTTGTATTTTTAGTGAAACCCTGGCTCTACTAAATAACATGTTTGGCCACGCTGCTCTCGAACTCCTGACCTCAAGTGATCCAGCCACCTTGGCCTCCCAAATTGCCGAGATTACAGGCGTGAGCCACCGCACCTGGCCAAACATATGATTGCATTTATTCCTCACCTCAATGCCTGAGTATTCGTATTTCTATTTTAATTCTACATGAATGCAGCTCTGCCTAGAGGGATCTGAGGTATGACTACATCAGGCAGAAAGAGTTGGGTGATGTCTCTTCCTTTATGTTACCAAATGTATTGACAAATTTTTATGGAATTCAAGAAACCTGTGCAGAAGGAAAATAACTTGAATGGAATGGATCTGGCAGGGGGAAGGGTTACAACAGAAGCCAAGCTTCGGGAAAGGGCTCTGGAGACCCCAGAATATTAATTCCAAAAGAAGGAAATGGTGTGATGAGGCAGATTCTGCAATAGGGTCTGCATTGTTGTTGGTTCTGGGTTTAGCACTGAGGCTGGCACAAGACACCCTGACGGCATATATAAGCCCATGGGAGAAAAAGGGCAATATTAGCAAGCTAGAAGAGGGGACTCACACATTCAAATTGACACTGTCCAGTATTACAATGGACACTGTCCATTTTCCTCATTCTGTGATGAGGAAAATGTTCTTTATCTGTGCTGTCCAATAGAGTATTCATGGGACACATAGGGCTATTGAGCATTTGAAATGAGGCTAATAGGATTGAGGAACTGAATTTTAATTTTGTTTAAATTTAAATAAATTTAAATTTAAACTGAAATAGCCCCATAGGTCTAGTGCCTATCACAGCTAAAAGCTTCAGTACCCACAGTGCTGTGGGATCCTCACAGTCAAGCACAGCTCAGTAAAGCAGACTTCAGAGATATGGAAGGCAAGGGAGGTAATGTGAAACACAGTGTGGAGGGAGAGACGTCAGACTACAGCCCAGATCAGTTCAGAGCTTCACAAGAATTACCTTATGGACTGGACTACTTGTGTAAGCAGAGGGAGGTTTGGAGCTGGCAAAATATGTGCATTGGTGACCTCATTTGTACCCACATGGTAGTGAGCTTTGGGTTACTTTCATAAGAGATAACTAGGCTCATCACTTGGCAGAGGGCTTAAAATCTACTCTAGTCCTTAGCATACTGTATGTGTTCAATAAAAATTTGTTTTGGATGAATAAGTGGATAAATGGGAGATAAAAGTGCTCATCTAGATCATTGTATCCATTAGCTATTGCTGCAGTAATGCTGAATAAAAAACACCCCAAAACTCGGTGACTTCAAGGAAGAATAATTGATGCTTGCTCTTAGGTCAGGAGAGTAGCTGGCATGGTCCATGTTGTGTAAGATCATTTCGAGGTTCAGGCTAAAGGAACAGCAGCTACACAAGAGAAGCTCTGTTGATGCAGATGACAAAAGCTCAAGAGGCAAACAGAAACTTATGTGATATGGTGGGTCCTCAGAAACATGTCATCACTTCTGTCCACATTCCATTGGCCAAAGCAGATCTCTTCACTGAGCCCAAAGTGAAGGGTTGGGGAAGTACACGATGCCCACAGTGCAAGGGGCAGAACTATGAAGTCACATGGTAAAAAGCAGTGTCCAGGGAGGGGAGAGGAATTGGGACCCAAATTCACTCTGCCACAGTCATAGCTGGAGTATGGAGCCAGGGTCACACCTGGAGTTCACATTCGATTTTGTCGAGTTCCAGAGTTTATGTTCCTTCCTCTGTCCCAAACACTTCATGTATTATCAAAGACAGTTTTACCATTCATGTGATTCCTAGTCTCCAGACTGAAGTTATGTTTCCAACCTTTAAAAAATCTGATATTCTTCTTTTAAACATTTTGTTATTTATCTCATTGAATGATTGTCATTTTTGTGGTACTGGACTGCAATCAATCCACATGATTTGGCTCTACCACAGGGCTGGAGGTGTAGTGGTGTGGAGGTTCAAAGAATCTGTTAGTCTGCACATATTTTTGCCTTAATCATGGACCATCTCAGTTACTAAGGGCCTGGGATTCTGCTGCCAATGGCTGAAGCACAAAAGGGTGGAACTTTCACAAACCCTGTGCCCTGGGTTAGGTTTTTAACTTTGACTGAGGTTCCTTGCTGCTATGAGAACCTACCATTGCTTTATTTATTTATTTGATTGGTTCACTGAAAAAATTATTTACAATACAATTCTCTTTTTGGTATGCAATTCTATGAATTTTGATAAGTGTATGCAGTCATACAACTACGAAAACAATCAAGATATAGCACATAGCCATCACCCATAAAATCCCCTGTGCTGTCCATTTGGAGTCAACTCTTTCCCCAACCTCAGCCTTTTCTAGAATGTCATATAAATGCATCCTACAATATCGCCTTTTGAATCTGGCTTCTTCCAGTTAGCATAATGCATTTGAAAGTCATCCATGCTGGATTCATCCATGTTGTTGGATGACAACAACAACCACTACATATGTCAGTAGTTCATTCCTTTCTATTTCTGAGTTGTATTCCATTATATGGATATACCACACTTTGTTTATCCATTCTGAGGCTGAGAGGCATTTGTTTGTTTACTGTTTTTGATAGTTATAAAAGGGCCACTATAAATGTTGGCATATAGGTTTTTGTGTGAATGTCAGTTTTCATCTCTCTTAGATCAATAGTTAGAATAAATACCTAGGAAGATTTCTGGGTTGTATGGTAATATATGTTTACCTTTTTAAGAAACAGCCAAATTGTTTTCAAGGTATACGTGTGTAAATGTGGCTTTTTATTTCTCTATTTTCCTCTCTGCAATTTACTTTCCTATATGGATTTGTGATCCAGACACCGTTTTTTTTTTTCTTTCCCTGGTAGTTTAAAGGAGGCTATTGTCTGGATTAAATCTACTTTGGAAGAAAGTACATCATATTATAGTTTTCTGTATGATACAATAGATGTGAGTACAGGAGTTCAAGTGCAGGGAATTGCAATATCAATTTGCCTTTAGTGCACTGAGCATCCAGGGACATTTTTTGGCCATCAGTTACCTCAATACCAACATAAACGAATTGATCTAGGCAATAAGTATAGTTTCTATAGAGGCGGTTTCTTAGCCTTAGCTTCTTGCTGATATACTAAGCCATCACCCTACTGTGATTTCTGATATTCATTAAGCTGAATTCCTGATGTTGGCCTTTACCAATGTAAATGTGTGCTGGCCTAGCTCTCAACTGCCCACACCTGCCTCTTTTAGTTTGAGACTCTTCTTCTGCCATCATAGGCCACTCTGCTCATGTACATGGTAGATAGGAGTGCCATGGGATTATGCCCCCCGGAGACAGCTCTCAACCACTGACTGACAGAAAAAATAAATTGGATTGGTGTATAAGCACCCCAGCTCCTTCACTCTCTGGTTCCAATAACTCAGAGGTGTGTGGCTCTATATTGGCTCCCAGGGCTCTCCAGTGAGGTTAAGCTCCAGTTGCCCACAGTAGTAACTTGTTTGGTAAACAAGCTTTACTGGCTGCCTTTCCTTTTGTTTGACTTCACTTTCTTGCTGTTGTTTCTTTACTTCCCAGATCACCTACTTAAACTTGTCCTTGATTCTTGTCTACTTTTTGGGGAACTTAAACTTAGACTGCCCTTTTCTTAATTTCTCTCCTCAGCCCCCTTTTTGGTTGCCTGAAGAGAGGCCTGCTGATACCCAAGTGTACTACCTTCCATTAACTGAGTCTAGTCACATCGATATCTAGTTTTCTAAATCTTGACATAGTCTAGGTGCCCCTGCCCTCCTGCTGCCCATGGACATGATGTAGCATTGTTATGGTGCAAAGAGGAAAGAGTGTGGCTGCAGGTGTGAATTTGAAAAAGTAACATAAATTTCTCCAAACTTCAGTCATTGACATTTGTAAAATGAAGTTAGTGGGTCCTGTAATGAGGATGGTTTAGAACTTTAAATTACCTACAAGTGTTCACTGGATAGCATCGGCCATCATCATAAGTTGGTTCTCTTGTTTTTCCACTGTCTGATAACTTTGAGGCCAAGTCTTATTTCTTTCATTGCTGACCAGTTTTCAAGAGCATGCATCAAGGAATAATTCTGTTTTTATCTATGGTTTGTGTTTTTTCATTGTCCTAGGAATGTGATGTGATGTATTTGTCCCATAGTTCCTGTCTTGGTAGATTATTTCAATAAAAGAAGTAATTCCTGTCAGTGGTACTGATTAGGAATTAAACAAAAATTACAGAGAATTTCTCATGTGTTTATTGAGGTTTAGTGAAAGAAGAAAGCGGTGACATGAAAACAAATGTTCTGTTTCTGCTTTGAACTTCAAGCATAATAAAAGACAGAAGACTCAGAGTAAAACAGAATCTTAGCATTGGAAACAACATGAAGAGTCCTCTGGCAACAGTAACAGTAATAGTTGATGTTTACTGAGTACTCAGAACAGAACATGCCAGACAGTGCTCCAGGCATGTTCCAGGTGATTCCTCAACAGCAAACTTTTGAGGCAGATCCTGTTATCATGCCCATTTTAAAGATAAGAAAATGAGTCCAAAGAAGTTGGTGAACTTACCCAAGATTACATCTCAAGTAAATGGTGAGGTAGGAGTCAGACACAGAAAGTCAGACACCAGAGCCCACATTCAACCTCTGTGTCATGCGGCCTCCCCAGACTGAGCAGCCCTGTCATGGAGAATTGATGGTTTTCAAGACATTTTCTTCCATGTTGAATAGTCCTAGTTCTTTATCTTGAATGTAAATCAGCTTCTAAGTTTCTTAAACTCTTTGATCTTAGATCCAACTTTTAGAGAAGATTATTTTTACCTTTGGCTTGACAGCCTTCTGAGGCTTACTCCATCACCTCTGGGTTTTCTCTCCTTCAGAATAAACAGGCCCTAAGTCCCTGCTGCAAATCACTTGTGTGATATATGTATTCACAATCACAAGAAAGCTGCTGTTCATTCCTACTGTTCATTGTTAGAGTTAGCTCTTCAGCCAGACACTAATTTGCATTAGCTTTCTATCATACCTAGTTATTCAAAAGGACTGAATGGAAACAGAAATTCAATATTTTACAGGAAGAAATGATGAGCTCTAGAAACAATGAGTTTTGGGTAAATATACAATGTCTTCCCCCTTTATTCTCTTTAAAAGATCATTGACTATTTCAAGGAAAATAAGCAATGTGTTCTGGGATTTACTCATTATGCATATGATAACAATTACATAAAAATAGAAAGGAGGTAAAAGGAAGAATACTTTTGTAAGATTAATACATTAGATGTGGTACAGTATTAATTCATGATGGATTGTGACAAGTTAAGAATGCATTTTATAATCTTTGGAGTAACTATTAAGAGAAATAACTAGAGATATCGTTAAAAAACTGTAGAGTAGATTAAAAAATATTAAAAGATACTTCATCAATCCCGGTGAAGTCAGGAAAGCAGAAACAAAGGAACAAAGGAAATTGAAACAAATAGAAAACAAATAGGAAGCATGTGGAGCTAAACTGAATTATAGAAATAATTACACTAAGCATTAATGGATTAAACACTCAGATTAAAAGGCAGAGATTGTCAGACTGAGTGAAAGAGGAAAGTCTACCTGTGTTTTGTTTATAAAAAATACATTTTCAATGTAAAGACACAAGTTAAAAGTAATATGAAGAGAAAAAAAGATGCATGTGGAAGGGACTGAACTACATAAATTGAGAACCCCTGCATTACTTAATGTAGGAAGTATAGGGCACCTATATAGATATCTTAACAGAAGGAGGCAACATACAAAGAAGATTCCTTGGAACAAGGATGTGCCAAGCACTGAAGGATGCTGAAAACATCTCTCTAGAGATGCAGAAAGCTTAGCAAACAATCAAAATAATGTCTTCTCTTTACTGCTTTGTAGATAATTGCCAATTAGGATTCACTTTTAATGAAACAAAAGTAATTTTCTGCTACCTCCTCTAGGATAGCTCTTCAGCCTGACTCAGCATCTTAGCTATGAGCAGTAGCAATCACGTGAATTGGATACCAATTTCCTTTACCAGTTGGGGTTTGGTGATGAACTTAGCTGGCTGACACCTTTTATCCTGGTCCAGTATGTCCACTTTTCCTCCTGGCCCTAGGATAGTAGCTGTTGCCAAAGCAAACAATGACAGAATATAAGAAAGAGGAATGAGCTGCTGACATGTTTATTGCTCCAATTTTGCCAGTAGACTGAAGGGTGTAAAAATGAAAGAGATGCTGTTGTGGCTTTGTTCATCATGCTTTTCTCTGAGGCTGTTATTTGGTAAAAAGTAAGGTTTCCAAGTGGAACGTTAATTTCTCCACATGCAGCACATATGCAACGTGTGCCCGGCTCTTCACAGACTGAGAAAACCACCAGGCTTCTGTGAAATAAAGTAAGCCTGGAATATTCCCTTTCTCCTTTTGATCTCCTGCTAAGACTCCTGCTTAACATCCTTCTGAAAGGCTTAGGTGAGGCAATTGCAGAGATGTAATTCCATTGACAAAATTCATGGTTTCAGTCCTGCATGTTAAATGAGTTTCAAATAAACTGGAGATTGTCAATAACTATGATACAGAGCTAGACTGGGCTGGGGAGAAACTTTTTGTGGTGGGTGGTTATTTTTCTGGGAGTGACTTTAATTAACCTCTCTTCTTTAAGCATCCTCATTCAAAAGGCCCCTTGGCACTCAAGAATGAAGGTAACAATTTTTATTGCTCAGCATTGTTAATTTGGTTGATATTGGGGCAATTCCAAAGAAACCATTAAAGCTATCAGAGAAAATGAAGGGGAACACATTCGAGTAAGATTTTGGAACATTTTTGGCTTTTGGAGTGGCCTGCAGTTTTGACAAAAAGGAAAAAAAAAGGAAAAAAGAAAAGGATGAATTTATTATCTACAAATAGTGGAAAATATTATAAATGGCAGTAAATGAAGTAAATGGGAGTTTCCACTGTAATGTATGATTCTTTGAGCCAGCCACCCAGAAAGAGCACAGCTTGGTTTGCTGTGTGGGGAGTATGAGCTGAAATGCAAGAGACTCTTCTTGGGCTCCAAGCAATATTTGGGAATAAGGCATTGCTTCTGCTGCTGTGGCTCTTCTGGTTTATTGCCCATCTGGGCTATGAGTGTCTTTCAGCCTGTCAAATTGAACCCGAATGGAGCTCTCAGCTCTGTGACTTCGATCTGACCTTAGGGTGTTGCTTTCTTGCCTGACTCAGGCTCCAGGGGAAAAGAAAATAAGAGAATAACCTCTCCTTTTGTGAGGAAATGGTTTTTCTTGCTTTTGGATGGCTCTCCTGCTCTGGCTGCCTTTCCAGGCATGCAGAACAAAAGCCATGGCTGTGTCTCCTTGTCAGTGGGATGCAATCACTAAGCATGTCTGCTAAGGCTCAGGCCATGCTGCTCTTCTCCAGACCCCACCCTCCTATCCTGGGAATTGAACCCGTGAGTTTACAGCTTTCCTACACAGGACCAGAAGGCCACATTCATCACTGCCACCAACACCACCGTTTCTCTCTCCTGCTATACGGGATCCACGAAGGGGTTCCCCCACTTTTACTGACTTCTTGATGCCACCTTCTTCAAATGAATGGTTACCCACTGGCCCGGAGTGGAAGCAAAGTCCACCTGGTGGGTTCTCTTCTGTCCTTCTGGCTAACAAAACAGGTCATCCACAGCGTCGTATCTTCTCTATCTTTCCTGAACGAACTTTAGCAATTTTTGAGAAATTGTCAAAATTTAGAGGTAATTGTAATATCTTAGTTCCTGATGTTTGCTATGAATTCCAGAAAAGGGGATAACTGTGTCTATATCTGTAAAAATTTTAAAAGAAACTTATCTCTAGGGTTTCATTTTTATTTTAAAATTCTCACCACCAACTATCTTGTACTGAGCTAAAAACAGTCCTGAAATTTGATCTGTGAATTCTTGCCCGTCTGTAGAAATTGTGGGGTTCTGGTGCCAAATCTAATTCTACAAGAATTATTGAGAACTTAATTCCAAATTCTGAAAGAAACACAAGTCACAGGTTCAGATTTTAATGAGCATAAACTCTACCCGAAAATACAGAACAAACACATGTGGAACACTTGGTATGTATTTCTTCCTATTCGATATGTTTGCATGCACATGTGCATGCATATACATACCCATACATGTACACATGCACATACATACATATGCATACCTAGGCACATATGCACACATGCACACACATATATGCATATGTACATACCCATACATATATATACACATACACGCCTTCCTACATACATACATATATACCCACTCACAGATACTCTTACATACATATACCTATGTATGTAAGCGAATATACCTGTGGCTATGTAGTATATGAATGTGTATATATGTGTGTGAGAGGGTATATGTGTATGAGAGTATATATGTGAGTGTGTCTGTTAGTGGGTGTTTGTACTCACAGACACACTCATATACATACTCATACACATACACCCCCTTCACACACATACATATGCATTCATATACATATACATACTCATATATACAAATTCTTATATACACACATACACACACTCCATGAACATATACATACACACAAATATACAATCCTATAGACATATACTTAAAGATACATATACATCTTAAAATTCTGATCAATTAATTAAATAGCTAGAGCCCTTTAGACTCATATAAATTAATAGTGTGGATCCTTATTGTTTAAATTATTTTGATGTGGATGCTTCCCCTGTTTTGCCATTAAGAATGGGACTAATTTTTGTTTGGAAATATATATTTTTACCATACTGAGGAACTTGGTGTCTGTTTTTATGAAAATTTTTTTTTGTTCTCAGAAATCTGAAAAATCTCAAAAGTACAATGAATAATGATGCATGTTCATACACTCACCAATCAGAATTGAAGATTGTTAAAATTTTCACCAATTGAAATAAAAGAAGTAAAGGATTACGGCGAATGATAAAGTCCTCCACTGGCAGTATTGTTCTTGCTCCAAACCCAGAGGTAAATGTGAAAGGAATATGTATCTTTTTCACTCCATTTTAATATATTTACATACTTATGTATGTGTTGATGAATAATACACAATGTTTGTTTTTGTGTTTTGAAAATAGACATAAATGTTAAGGTTGGGTGCAGTGGCTCACGCCTGTAATCCCGGGACTTTGGGAGGCCGAGGTGGGTGGTTCACCTGTCAGGAGTTCAAGAGCAGCCTGGCCAACATGGAGAAACCCTGTCTCTACTAAAATACAAAAAAATTAGCTGGGCATGGTGGCACACGCCTGTGGTCCCAGTTACTCAGGAAGCTGAGGCAAGAGAATCACCTGAACCTGGGAGGCGGAGTTTGCAGTGAGCCAAGATTGTGCCATTGCTCTCCAGCCTGGGAAACAGAGTGAGACTGTCTCAACAACAACAACAACAAAAATGTTTAAGGTGTGTGCTATTTGCTTTTTTGCTTTTTTTTCACTCAACATTTTGTGTGGAGTTCTAATTACATGACTGAATAGAGAGAGCTACATAATTTTAACAGTTGTATGAAATGAAAATACAAATGTTTATTCATTCTCCTATTAATATAATTTATTTTTTTCTATTTTGAAAGAGTTTTGCCATGGAAATTGTTGTATATGTCGGTTTATAAACTGTACAAGAATTTCTCTAGGATATTCTACGCTGGAGTAGAATTCCTTGGTCATATGGTATGTAGGTTATCCGTGTTCCTAGATACTACCAAATATTTATTCAAAGTGATTTGACCATTTTGAACTCCCACCAGGAGTTTACGAAAGTTCCGTTTCCATATATTTTTGCTATTTTTAAAAATAGTTTCAGATGTTTTAATGTTATTTTATATAAGATGTGAGATGATATTGTACTGTTGTTCAATGTACAGGTCCTAAGGAGTGTTTTTGAACTGGAAATAAATGTTTCTATTCAATGCCTTTTCTGAATATTGAGTTTTTTATTCACATGCATTGTTAATTATACTGAATCCTCATTATTCAATCATCTTACGATTTCCAAAGGTTATTCCCCTGTAGTATTCATTTACTGTACTGACAAATTTCATTTATTGATATTTAATTTATGAGCTTTTCATGTCAACATATATAAGTAAGGTTGTTCTATAATTTTTTCTTGGGCTATTTTTTTTCTCAGGTTTTGGTGAAGTTTTATGTTGCCTTCATAAAAAGTTAAGAAATATCCTTTCTTTAGACTCTGGAACATGTTATATAGCAAAGGAAAAATCTCTTCCTTGAAGATTTGAAAAATTCACCCTTGAAACCAACTGGCTTTGGTGCTTTTTGGAATTTTAGGTAGGGTAGGATAAGAGGGGCTTAGGGAGAACAGGGAAATAGCTCTTTATAAATGTTCATAATCTCTTCTTTGGTTATTCATATTAGGTTCTCTTAAATAATTTCAAGTTTCCTATTTTTTCCCCTAGAAAGATAATTTACCCAGGTTTCAAATTTATTCACTTATAGTGAAAGTCAGATATATTGATCATCCAGAATATATAAAGGACTTTTACAACTCAATAATAAAAGGACAACCCAATTAAAAATGGACAAAAATCTAAATAGACAGTTCTCCAAAGAAGGTATACAAATGGTCCATAAGCATATGGAAAGATGCTCAACATCATTAGTCATTAGGAAAATGCAAATCAAAACCACAAGGAAATACCACTTCACATCTACTGGGATGGCTGTAATAAAACAGACAATACTGACTGTTAGCTAAGATGTGGAGAAGTGGGAACCCTCATACATTGCTGGTGGGAATGTAAAATGGTACAGCTGCTTTGGAAAACAGTTTGGCAGCTCCTCAGAAAGTTAAAAAATTGAGTTATTGTGCAAGTAAGCAATTCCACTCCTAGGTGTATACCACAGAGAAATGAAAACACATGTTCACACAAAAACTTGTACATAAATGTTTATAGTGGGATTATTCATAACAGCTAAAAAATGAAACAACCCAAATATCCACTACCAAATGAATGGATATACCAAATATGGTATATCCGTATGATGGAAAATTATTCAGCCGTAAAAATGAATGAAATACTGATTCATGCTACTACATGAGTGAATCGTGAAAGTCTTATGCTATGTGAAAGAAGCCAGACAAAAAAGACCTCATATTATATGACTTAAATGTCTAGAATAGGCAAATCCATAGAGACAAGGAGTAGATTAATGGTTGCCAGGAATTGAGGGAGGAGGAATTAGGAGTGACTGCTAATATATAAAGCTTCTTTTTGGCTTCATAAAAATATTCTGGGATTGGAAAATGGTGATGTTTGTATGACTCTACAAATATACTATACATAATTGAATTGTACGCTTTAAAATGGTAACTTTCATGTTGTATAAGTTATATCTTAATAGAAAATATATTGGTAACATTCAGGGCATAAAATCTTAGAGTTGGGATTAAATGGTCATCAATCTCAAACTCAAATTCCAGTGGTCAATAGTCTTTGGTTGAGGTCTCTTCCCCAAACTGGAGTTCAAAACCATACAAAAGAGATGATTCAATTTTGACGCGTTTTTATGGCTAGAAAAATTTCCCCCTTTTTGACTTGCAATCTTCCTTCCTTAAACAATCTCCCACCCTTATTCTTGTGTTTATGTGATGAGCAAAACAGAGTAAGTCTATCATTCTCTTCTGTATCATTCCCTTCTATGTCTCTCTTTCCAAAAAAGTTAATGTGAGGATAGTGACATTGTCAGAAGTTGTATCGTTTCCTCTTTTTTTGGTGTTATTTAGTTTGTCTAAAACCACTGCAAATATCATCACACAATGTTAGCTCCCCGTGTCCCTACTTTCCTCTTGCCCCCCAGCTTCGTTGATTGAGGGCCCTGCTCCATGCTCTTTTACAAAGTTGTGCTTAGCTGGATCCATTCCTCAGTTTAAGGCACAAGGAGGCAGAAATAGCAGAGCCAACCTAACTCTCCATTAATGCAGAATCTCTGCCCTCCAAATACACCAGTTTTCCTTAAGATCTTCCAATCTTGCAGTAGTAGCGAAGAGTAGAAGAGAAGTCCTTGTCTCAAGAAGAGACTAGGATAAATAGAAACACAGGTAAGAGAGAGCTTAAAAAATATACACGTTTAATGCAGAAGTGAATGAACGTGGCTAGTGTCAGAGAAGAGAATAATGCCTATTTCTTCTCTTAGTCCCAAATATGCTCCTTGGATAAACTCATCAGAACACTGAGCAGATGGACCACAATCTTACCTGGTGTTCCAGAAATTAGGATTTGATCCCTCCTTTCCCTGATCTGTGGTTGACAGAATGGCGTGATAGTTACAAATGAAGACTTTGTAACTGATGGCCTGGGTTTGAATCCCAGAGCCACATCTCTTTTAGGTCATCTGTGAAATGGGAATGATAATGATAACAACTGTATAGGGTTGCTATGAAGACTGAAGCTAGCACACACACACACATATACACACACCATATACATGTATACATACAGAGAGAGAGTGTGAGAAGAAAGGAGTATTTAAAGTAGCTCCTGGTACATCGTATGTGCTGTATAAATTGATGTCAATGGCTATTCCCACTGCTATTATTGCTCTGGGATGGTGTTTAGGCCGCTAGACTTTCTGGAACAAGCCTGACTTTTTTCAGCCTATTCTTTAGTTGTACTTGTTAACTGGTCATTGCTCTAGTTTAATTGGCACTCAGGGAGGCTGTCCACTCCCTACTTAGTCTGTCCATGATTCTTGCTGACCTAGATTTGTTGTCTCTGTAATTCCCCTTCCAGCTTTTACAGCAAAGAGGCCACGTTGTAAAGCTGAGTAGGGTGTGGTTCCAGGAAGCTAACTCCCCCACCCGCCTCCAAATGTCCTTAATTCATAGGGAAGGCCCTGATTGCTTTGGTTATCTCCAGACCCCCCTGTATAGAGGGGCTGCTGGAGCCTCAGTTTTCATGTCACTGCTCTGTGGCTTTGTAGGCGGGACTTTGACTTTCTTCCTCAAGGCCAGCTGTTCTAGGGAGCACACTGGAATGTCTCTTTTCTGCTTAACTGTGCTATGCGTGCTTTGTCTTCTCAGCAATGCCAGAGATGAGTCACCCCTTCACTTGTTTGCTCATTCGTTCTTTTAGAAAGTCTTTATTGAGGTCTTACCACACGCTGCATTTGGCTAAGTGTAGACAGATGGACAGATACTGCCCTTGCCCTTATGGAGTGCATAAGCTACATGCTACTGAAGGTGGTACTGACTTTGAAGCATCAAGAATAACTCTCAGATTATTTTCCAATGTAATCTGATGAATGAAGGCATTTAAGGAATTCTAGAGGAGGAAGAGGTTGGGGGTGAGATGGGAGACAACAGATAATGTAATTTTGCATATGATAATTTGCATATGTTAGTTTGAGGTACTTGTGAATAACCTAAGGGGGGATGTGGCCATATGGTTCCAGAGCAGTGCTGTCCAGTGGAATATGATGTGAGCCATGTATGGAGTTCTAAGTGTTCTAGTAGCCACATCAAGACAAATAAAAAGAAACAGGTGAAATTAATGTTAATACTGTTTTAATTTAACTCAATATATCCAAAATAATATGTCAGCATTTAATCAATATAAAATTATTAATGAAAACTAGACATTTTGATACTAAATCATCTAAATCCAATTTATATTTTACATTTACAGAGCCTCTCAATTTGGATGTTAAGTTTTCATTCGTATGAAAAATTGATAGTTGTAAAAGTAGATTTGGATTGTTTGTAACACAAAGGATAAATGCTTAAGGGAGTAGATACCCCATTTTACATGATGTGATTATTTCACGTGATGTGATTAGTTCACATGATGTGATTAGTTCACATTGCATGCCTTATCAAAACATCTCATGTACCCCATAAATTTATACACCTACTATGTACCCACAAAAATCAAAATGAAAAATTTTTTAAAAGTAGATTTACATACCTAAATTGTTCCAAACATTATTAAAGGTGTTCCAATAATTAAATTGAGTATAATTTTTAAAAAATCAAAATAAATGAAAATGAAATACAATTTTTAAAATGCAGTTGCTCAGTCATACTAGCTGCATTTCTAGTGCTCAATAGCCACATGTGGCTAGTGGCTGCTACACACAACAGCTCTTAAGGGGGGATCTGGGCTAAAGATTCTCCAGACTACAGACGAGATCTGACACCAAGAGAGTGAATGAAATCACCCTGGAAGATTATGCAGAAGAAGAGATGCTGGATGATCTCCATGGGCCTGCCCTTCTACATGTTATTTCTGAGCCTCAGCCACTGCTTAAAATTGTTCATTAGCTTAGATTTGGGTATATGATTGATGAGGAAGATTCTAGACCCGGTTTGAAAATGGGGCCACAGGGATGGACACTGGGATGTGGGTGTCTGCCCTTAAACATCTCCCTGAGTCGGAGAGTATCTAGATGCTGCTAGGGTGTTTGCTGAACCCTCTTGATTCATTGGAGATCTGGGTTAATTTCGGCCAAACCCCATCTCATGGCCTCCACAAAAGCCAAGCTTGCCTGAGGCTCCTTTACCTCCCATCTCCTCTGGCCTACTGGGTAGGTGTGGTCTCTAGATCATTTAAAGTCTGCTGGTCCAGAAACCCAGACACTTCACTGCTTTCTACAAAACCTCCCCTCACTCCAGGCATTGTTGAATTTAGCCACCTTATAGAAGAATGGGAGTAAGCAACACAATTACAGCTCTTCAAGATGCCTCTGTCTTCCCTCTGCCTTCTAACTTCCCTCTCCTATTTCTGTTTGCACTGCTCTTTTTCTCCCCCTTCAATGACAAATACATTGCCTGGTCTTCCCATAATGGAAGGTTAGGCTTGTTCTTGATGCCTTTCCACTAATCCTAAATGTCTTATCCGACCTTTTCACCCAAAAAAATACAAAAGCCTCCTTAAGAAAAATTTAGGTCAATAAAATTATCCCCTCTCAGGGCAACTGCTTTCTGAACTGTGTCTTTTATTCTTCGTCTCCTCCTATGATACGGTTCATGTTCCCCACAGTGCCTGCTCAACAGAACGCGGTCAGTTTATATTTGCTTAACGACTGCCCCTGCTTCTTACTTCCCATAAACTCTGCCTTTCAGAGGAGAATTGAACTAATTGCACCTTTATCCATTTCATCCAGGCCACAGACAAAACCACAGTTCATTTGGTGGCTGAAGCTTACTGAAAACTTCCTTTCGTCTTGATGCAGCCAGCTTTTTGGATTACATGGCAAGGGTGGCCTGAGCAAAGCGATGGGAAAGAGTTGTTGGTGGAACAGTGAGTGCTTGTGACTGTGGGACTAGAGCCTTGCCTCCAGAATTTAGCATGCTGCTGCCCAGGAAATTAAGCCTTCAAGTCTACAGACTTGCAATGAGTATGGTCGAGATGGGAGTATTGGGTGGTTCCAAGAATCACTGAGAAACAAAAATTAATTTGGGTACTTTAGATGCCTACTGATGGCTGAGAAAGAGAATAAGAATGTTTGAAGCCTTAAAGGGTAAAAGTCAAGGAAATGGCAGTGGCCTCTGCTATAAACCATATAGGTGGAGCAGAATGGCAGCTTGAGTTGCCAAGGAAGTCATTCATTCATTCATTCATTCATCTACCCATCCATTCATTCATTCACTCATATACCAGGCACATCTCATGGGCTAGCATCTACTGAATAATTAACATGTATCAGACAGTATTCCAAGCACTTTGCTTGCATTAACTTATTTAATCCTCCAAATGACCCAATTAATCTGAAGGATGGGAGTCAGCAACACAATGACTTATAAGTAGTTACTTAACTTGCTCAAGCTTATATAGCTATTAAATAGTGGAGTCAGAAATTGAACTTGGAAGTCTCACTTCAGAGTATTTTTACTTTACCACTAAATTGGCAAATAAGACTGAATTCTTGGTCTCCTGGACTTTACATTGTAGTAGGAGAGACAGCCAATAAACATGCACATGAACGTTAAATAAAAAATATGATTTCAGACAGTGAAAAAGGATATTATCAGATAATGATATTGACTAACTGGAAGGGCAGTGTGTCAGAGTAGCTACTTTAGCTAGGTGGTCAAGCATGGCCACTCAGAAAAGATATTTAAACCAAGATGAAAATGATAATGAGAAGCTAGAAACATGCAGATCTAGAAGGAGCATGCTTCAGGCAGAAGGAATAGCTAAAACAAGTTCTTAAGGTAGATCTAGTAGAATTGTTAATGCCTTGCCTACATCCCAAGGGCCAAGGTACACATCCCCTGGCTTCCCTGAGTGTTGGCTGCTATCTGCTTACAACTGCAATTGCGCTTTCCTGCAGGAGAATGCCTGAGATGATGTCCACCCTCAGGGGTGGACCACAGCCAATGACTGAATGGAAAAAGATGCCAGTCTGTTGCCTTAAGCAGGGCCATGGGATCATCAGGCTGAATCTGGTCTCTGGTGGAGACTGTATCTTTGATTGGCGTCTTTCCTTTCTCTGTTCTATCTCCCAAACTATTTTGTAGGTTTGTCCTGAGAGTCCTCCCTGCATGCACAAGAATCCCCATCACAGGCTCTCCACTGGGAAACCCCATCTGGGACAAAGGGAAAGAGCTTGGTGCAATGGAAGGATAGCAAGGGGACCAGCATGGCTAAAGCCCAGTAAGTGAAGGGGAGAGTATTAGGGAATCGTGGTAAAGATGAGAGAAGGAGACAGCTTAAGGAAAATTATGTGGGCTGTGTAAAAAGCTTAGATTCCACTCAAAGGCAGTGGGAAAACTTTGGAAGGTAATTTGGGTGTGAAAATACTCTCACCAGCTGCAGTGTGGAGAGTAGGATGGAGGTAAGGCGAGGCAGAGAGCCCAGTTGGCCATCAGTTGTAACATTCCAGGCAAGAAATGATAGTATCTTGAATTTAAAAGGTAGTGGCAAAGGGGGTGAGCTAGGAGCTGAATGTGGGGGGTATTCTGGAGGTAGAGCCGAGGCTTCCTGATAAATTGGATATGGCAGAGTTAAGGAGTCTAGGTTTAGTAGTCAGGCAAATGGCTAGGTTTGGTGGGACCAGTACTTACTCCATCTTTTTTTTTTTTTTTTTTCCTGTTAAGAACTTAAAACAAATCTTTTGTAGAGTCAGGATCTCCTATGTTGCCCAGGCTGACCTCAAACTCCTGGGCTCAAGAACTTCTTCTGCCTCAGCGCCCCCAAAGTGCCAGGATTACAAGTGTGAGTCACTACTTACTTGATCTTAAGCCCTGGAAGTTTTTCACATGGGTTGGTTCCTCTTAATTCCAGCTTTGTCATTGGCAGATGAACCTGAAAACGGATACAGTTTTCAATTAACATGATACAAAATGGCAGTTAAGGGAAAGTAATGGCATCATTCTATTGTCTTCCTCTCCCCTCAGCTTTCCCTATAATTTTTTATACCTCCGTGTGTTTGCTCCTTTTTGCTCCTTACATTTCTTTAACAGTGGTGGTGTGGCTTTAATTAGATACTCCATTTAAGCTGGGAGAAGGCAATGCCATAGCTCCCTGCTTTCTTCTGGGCAGGCCCCGTTGTGCACGGCTTACTTTCACAGCAATGGCCTTGATTAAGTGAAGGCCAAGGAGCCACGCAGCATCAGGGAAGGCAGAACTCTATTACCCTACTGCTGTCAATCCCAAGAGGATGTGAGTGGGAAAGCAAGCGTGGAGTGACTGTGGGAGAATGAATGGTTACCCTCCCCTTCTAAGAACCTCCCAGAATATGGAATAGATTAGGATACTCGGAAGCTGTCAATGCTGCAGGTCATGCCGAGAGGGGTGGTAAGTGTCCCAAGGGCACAGGCCTCCCTGATTTCAGGGTGAGGCCTGAAATTAGCAGGAGGCCCTGGATGGGGAGCCCAGGCTGTGGGTGGAGGAAGGGAGCTTTTTTTCATTCTCCTTTGTTCAAAATAAGGACTTTTTTTTCTTTTCTTTTCTTTTCTTTCTTTTTTTTTTTTTTTTTGTTAGTGGGAGGGTGGGACATGAGCATAGCCAAAAATTTATTAACTCTTCTTAACTTTCCTAACTCAGGGAGGGAAATGTTAGCACCAGTGTCTTCCAAGAGAGCATCATTCACAGAGCTCCCTGGGATCTGGGAACGCCATGATTAAGAAAGCAGATGCAGGCACTCATACTAAGAAAAGTGAGTCTCAATCAGAGAGAGATGCTTAACAGAACCATGAATAATTGGAGGGACAGAATCCACATAGGCCTTTTAATTGATGGAAGTAAAGCATTTACAGTGTGAACAATAAGTGGAAAAGAAGTCACAGTTTTTCTTGATCCACTGTGCCCAAGTCAGATGCCCCATCACTTCCTGCTTAATGCAATGCCATTGTGCCTTGACTTGCAGGCAAAGTAAGTAGTTAATTTTCTATCTCTAGGTGTGAAAGCAATGCTTGTTTAATTTTTGGTGATGTCTCTATCTGTTATCAATGTCTTGAACAGTGCAATTTTCAAGAGGACCAAGAGGCAAACATACAGTGCTGAGCACAGAAGTGCAGCTTGGCTGCTTTGGATCAGGATCTGGCTTTGTTCCCTGTCTCACACTTTTTCTCCAGCCAGGTAAAATCGCCTGTTGTTTCTACCTGCAGGCCTGCTGAGCCTCAGTCTGACAGTAGTGCCTTTCCACAGCAAGAATTATATAGGAAACTCCCTGAAAGTTGTGCAAGATGGACATTCATTCTGTCACATTCATTTTGCTTTAGTTAACTAGAGGTTAAGGAGCCGGTAGGCCACACTTAGAGGGAGGTAAGGCAGGTGACTGAGGGTGTTTAGCAAGTGTTGGAGATGTGGTCTGCGATTTGGTAGTGCGGTCAGAAGTAAGAATATACCTTTGGGAATCATGCAGTGAGGATGGGAGCCAATGAGAATCTTCATGGAATAAAAATGTTCTCTGCTCACTATACTGAGCCAAGAGAACAAGCCAAGAGAGGTATTTTTGGAAATAACTTCCATTAAGTGATGGACAAGAATAAGGAAAAGACACTTTATATGAGTAAGTGAGAAAAGTTGGAGGGAAACCAACATCACAGAAACCAGGAAGAGAGGTCTCATCTTGAGAAGCAAGAATGCTTCTGGGATTACTAATAGGATGGGTGTCAAACCCAGACCTTTGATTTGGCTAACCCTAGAAAAGACAATTTCATTTTGGGTTGATTTTTGTGTATGGTATGATGTAAGAGTTCAGTTTCATTCTTCTGCATGTGGATATCTAGTTTTCCCAACATTCTTTAGTGAAGAGATTGTCCTTTTCCCATTGTGTGTTTTTGGCACCTTTGTAGAAAATCAATTGACTATAAATGTGGAGATTCCTTTCTGGGCTTTCTATTATGTTTCATTGGTCAATGTGAAAGATTTCTACACTTTGTAATCTAATGTGTAGAATTCCAACATTCTAAAAAGTTCAAAACACTGATGAAAGAAATTGAAGAAGATACAAATAAGTAGAAACATATTCTGTGTTCATGGATTGGAAGAATTAATATTGTTAAAATGTCCATACTACCTAAAGTGATCTGCAGATTTCAATGCAATCCCTATCAAATTCTGATGTCATTTTTCGTAGAACTAGAAAAAAATCCTAAAATTCATATGGAACCACACAAAACCCCAAACAGCCAAGGCAATCTTGAGGAAAAAGAACAAACCTGGAGGCATCACACTACTTGCTTTCAAACTGTATTTCAAGGCTATCAAGAAATGAGTCTCACATTTATTTGATGCCTTCTACATTTAGTGCTAGGTGAGACAATTTTTTTTTTTTATGGAAGGCATAGAGAGAGAAGAGGAAGTGGACACTATGGACTGGTAGAAAAAGGAAGGCAAGAGAGTGAAGAGTGAATGAGGAGAGGATGTCATTGGTGTTTGTGTGTTTGTTTTTGAATGAGAAGATTTGAGCCTGTGTTGAGGAACTGGACAAGTAGTCAGTGGAAGGAGAAAATAGAGACCCTAATCATCAAAGGGAAGCCCCTGCATGGTAGAAGGCAGGTGAAGGGGTTAACCTGTCCATGTGTCAGGGAATGTTTCTTCCAAGATGGGCGGGAAGGAAGAAAGTTTGGGTGATGATCCAAAGAAAACTTAAGGAGTTTGGGAGGAAACTTGTGGGAGTTCTCATCAGATGTTCTCAATTTTCCCAAGGAAGTAGGTGGAGAGGTCATCTTTGAGAGTAAATAGGCAGGGGAGGAAATAGAGCTGGAGGAGAAGGCTGGCTGCTGTGGTGAATTCCAAGACAAGGAGTAAGTATACTGTGGATGATAAAAAGAAAGGGTTACAGCCAGGCACAGAGCCTGGCTACCAAAGTCCACCTTGTGTGTTTACTCTGCCCCAGCCCCCTTTGACTC
Organism: Homo sapiens; assembly: GCF_000001405.40. Lineage (NCBI taxonomy): Eukaryota > Metazoa > Chordata > Mammalia > Primates > Hominidae > Homo > Homo sapiens. The sequence goes on from NC_000020.11 coordinate 10,856,520, forward strand.
TGATGCTGACAAGGCCAGAAGAGCCTTTCAATGTGCAGAGATTTATTGAAAAGGGTAGATAGTTGAAAGATAAAACTCTGAATTGCTTTTAAATAGCCAGAGAAGACTTTACTGAGGAGGAGGGAGTTTAGAGTTCTGAGAACACAGAAAATTTGAGTATTACTCCAGGATAAGATAGATCTCTTTGGAAACACATGCCTTACTTATTTGGGGGAATTGAGAGAAGCAATGATTATTCAGTGGATTACCCAGATTCCTCTTTTTATTTCACTGTGCCACTGCCAGAATTTGATTTGTGACCCAGCGTGGCTATGTTTCATCTTACCTCTGATAAATGATGGATTGGGGATTTTTTAGGTTATGTGTGTTTTTCAACTATTTGGCATTATGACTGATTGATATTTTCATAGCAGTAAGTTTATGTTTAATGTCATCTTCAAGCCAGGGATGAAAGTTTTATTTGAAGTCTTACTTTTCAATACATTCTTATTCATCATCCTGACCTTCAACTTGTAGAGATTTCCTTATTTTTCCAGTTTTGGGGAAGAAATGTCCCAGTCTAGAAATCCAACTGACCTATCTTCCTCCAATTACACATTGAAAACAGTGGTTTCCATAGAGGTTTGAAAGTGGGTCTATAACTCTCAGTTTATCACCTTCAATCTCCTGAAGAGAAGGCTCAAGGTAAAGTATATAAAAATAACCAATGATGTTTAGTTTGCGGATAACTGAGTTGAAACAATTAGTATCAGCTACATAATTTATTTGCAGGGCCCAGTGCAAAATAAAAATGTTGGACCTTGTTGAAAAATTATTACAATTTCAAGACAGTGACAGCAGAGCATTAAACCAATCATGGGACCCCTCCAAGCACGGAGCTCTGTGTGGCAGTTTGAGTCTCGTACCCACAAAGTCAGTCCTGGAAGCAATCCAAGGGCAGTAACACAAGTTGCAGAAGCCTCACCAGCTTTCGTCATTCCTTCCCTTTTACTACTTGGTCTAAGTCCTGAGCCAGGTTATTCTGTAACTTCCCTTGTGGAAAAGCTGAGTCAGCCCAACATAACACTGTTGTGATCTGTTGCCCTGTGACTGCCCTGGGACCCTGGGCAGGGAGTTGGGAGTGGGGTGATGTGGCGGATAGAGCTTGGGCAGGGGTAAACCTGTGAGCCCTGTTCCAGGAAGGGATCACATGTCAGCTTCTGAAGCATTTTTAATTCTTGCCTAGAAGTGACTGCTTTCAGAACTGCCTCTAAAGTATCATCTTCTTGGTTCCTTCCTTTGTTTGTTGGTTTTGGACAGAGTCTCCCTCTGTAGCCCAGGCTGGAGTGCAGTGGCATGATCTCAGCTCACCTCCCAGGTAGAAGCAATTCTTGTGCCTCATTGTCCGAAGTAGCTGGGACTACAGGTGTGTGCCACCACGCCCAGCTAATTTTTGTATTTTTAGTAGATGGGTTTTCACCATATTGGCCAGGCTGGTCTTGAACTCCTGACCTCAGGTGATCTACCCACCTTGGTCTCCCAAAGTGCTGGGATTACAGGTGTGAGTCTGGCCTAATCTTCTTGGCCTCCAAAAGTGCTGGGATTACAGGCCTGTGCCCAGCCTAATCTTCTTGGTTCTTTGAAAACAAAAATCTGTCAGCCAAAACAGTTTGTTCAAATGAGGGACATCTTACCAGGAGAAAAGAGTCCACTTAGCCACTGGGCACAATGTTTCAACTAGGAGCAAATATGTGTCCAATTTGTGTTCCTATTTTCAGTAGAAACCCCTATCCCTCCTCTGCTTTCTGATGGAGGGTACCCTAAACCCTGACTATACAGTTTTGACTTTAGTGATTAACAGCTGGATAAATCCCATCTAACTTAAAAGGTCTTGGAGTGGGGGAAGAACTCTCCATCCATGAAGGAATTTTTGTAGCTGTCCTGGGAAACCTATCGGGGTGCCTCATCCGACTGACAGTGAGGTGGCAGGGATTTAAGATTTAAGCAAGACCATGAGTTAGAACCCTTGAGACCTGCTAAACATGAGGTGGAAACAACTGTGCAAGTTCAAAATAAGAAGTAGGGTGGAAACGTACGAGGGGGAGGGGAATTTGTGGGGGAGGAGGCACAGCACAATCACTGGAGGGCATAGCAGAGAGGAGCTGGAAGGGTCAGGTCTCCAACCTTGGGGTGCAGTGGAAACTGCAAGAGCAGGGTATAGAGGAGGATGGAGCCAGGGCCACCAGGCAAAAGTGTTGGTTACCAAGACAACATGTTCAACATTATCTCCTGTGTCCTCTAAGGTACTTAGGGGCCAGTGGCCTAGCAGAGCAGACCTGGGGCTGCAGTTGCTGAGACAATTGTTTGAAATAGTCATAGGTCGGAGGCAGAGCAAGAGGATGTTCTGTAGAAAGAGTGTAAAAGGATAATAATTTAGTCCTCTTGTTCCAAAGAGGAAATCTGTGCATTTCCAATTTTCAGTCTGATAAGTAAGCTCTTCATGGGCAAAGACAATTTACACTAGTCTTGTGCTATTTTTTTTTTTTTACTGTAGAATATATATTTAATTTTTTTTATTGTACTTTAAATTCTGGGATACATGTGCAGAATGTGCAGGTTTGTTACACAGGTATACATGTGCCATGGTGGTTTGCTGCACCCATCAACCCATCATCTACATTAGGTATTTTGTGGAAAAATAAGAACGCCTTTTTTTTATTTTTATTTTTTTTAAGACAGACAGAATCTTGCTCTGTCACCAGGCTGTAGTGCAGTGGCACGATCTTGGCTCACTGCAGCCTCCGCCTCCTGGGTTCAAGCGATTCTTCTGCCTCAGCCTCCCGAGTAGCTGGAACTACAGGTGCGCCACCACACCAGGCTAATGTTCGTGTTTTTAGTAGAGACGGGGTGTCACCATATTGGCCAGGCTGGTCCTCTTTTGTATCTGGTTTGTTATGTCTGGAGAGTCATCCGTGTTGTTGTGGGTAGCAATTGTTTATTCTTTTGCATTGCTGAGTATTATTCCCTTGTAAGACTTATATCCCATTAGTTGGTTATTTATTTTCCTGCTGATGGGTATTTGTGTTGTTCTCATCTTGGGGGTATTATGAATTAAGCCACAATGGGCTTTCTTTCATAAATCTTTTATTGTGGACATATCCTCTCTTTTCTCTTTATTCTTTTCCTATTTCACTGACTCCTTTATTGATGTTCTCTGTTGGTTTCTCCTGACCTCCTCAACCTTTAAAAGTTGAGCTCTCCCACTCTCAGTTCAGATCTTGGCCCTCTTCTCCACTCGCACTCATGTTTTGGATGATCTCATTCAGTCTCATGGCTTTAAATATCTTACGATGCCTAAATTTATATCTCCATCTCAGCTCTCTCATTTAAACTCTATATTTATACATTCAAATGTCTTTTCAATACCCCTACTTGGGTATTTAGTGGGTATCTCAAACTTCATGAGATAGAAAGTGACCTTCTGATTAAACCTTCATAATCTGTTCCACCCCTGGTCTTGTCCATCTCAGCTGTGGCAACTCCATCCTTCTAGGTGCTCAAGCTGAAAAAACTTGGAGAAATCATTGACTCCTCTCTTTCTCTCCCACCTCACATCCAATTCACCACAAAATCCCATGAAAACTATCTTCAAAATACATCTTGAATCCAACCATGTCTCACCACATCCATTGCCATCTCTCAAGCCTGGTATTTCTGTTTCAGCCTTTGTTCCTCTATACTCTTTCACAAAGAAGCCAGGATGATTCCTTTTAAAGCAAAAGCCAGACCATGTCACTCATCTATTCAAAATCTTCCAAGGGCATCTCATCTTACTTAGAGTCAAAGTCAAATCCCTTCCTATGGCATATAAGGTCCAACATGAACAGGCTTCCTTCATCTCTCCTCTACACAATCTCTTCCTAGTCTTGCTATAGCCAAATTTGTCTCCTTGCTGTTTGTGAAGAAGCCAAACATATTTCTACCTCAGGAAATTTGTTCTTGCTGTTTGCTCTTTCTGAACTGGTGTTTCTCCAGATACCTGCATAGACTGCTTTTTTACCTTCTTCAGATGTCTGTCAAGTATCATTTTATTACGAAGCATTCCTTTAAAACAAGATCATGTCCTTTGCAGGTACATGGATGGAGCTGGAAGCCATTATTCTCAGCAAACTAATGCAGAAACAGAAAATCAAACACTGCATGTTCTCACTTATAAGTGGGAGCTGAACAATGAGAACACATGGACACAGGGAGAGGAACAACACACACTGGGGCCTGCTGAGAGGTGGGGTGCGGGGAGGGAGAGCATTAGGAAAAACAGAGAGTGCATGCTGGGCTTAATACCTAGGTGATGGGTTGATAGGTGCAACAAACCACCATGGCACATGTTTACCTATGTAACAAACCTGCACATCCTCCAACAGAACTTAAAATAAAAACTAAAATTAAAAAAGCATTCCTTTGAGCACTTTGTTTAAAGCATTAATTCTTTTTCATACTATGCCATATGGAAGGATTTAACATATATTAACTTGTTTAGTTGTCGATGCACTGTGTATTACAGAGAATTTCTTAGAAAGAAATCGCTGAATATAAAAACAAGCCACTTCAAGAAATAGGCCTTTCTCCCAAATTAGGTTATAATCTCAAGGAGATTACATTTACTTTTATCCTCCACTATGCTCAGGCTGGTGATGTTAATGCTTCTTGATAAGTATTTGTGGGTACCGTTGAATCATAGAAAAAGTAATAGCTTAAACAAAACAACCGTAGAATAGTGGTGAAATTACTGAAGGGACTGTGGTTTTTGCCAGTTATGCATGATGTAATCTTGAGCAAGTAGGTTGCTGATCCTTTCTGAGTCTCAGTTTCCTCATCTCTAAAGTGAAAGTCATAATTCTTTTATATTTGCCTCAAAGGTAAACTCAGCATGAATGAAATATGTAAAGCAGATTATCTGATAAATGGGGTTATAGGAATCATTTTGGATAGCATTATTTTAAATGTTACATAAAAGCATATATAAACTGTAAAGTAGAGCACAAAATATGACATTAAAGTATGAAAGTATTGAGTAATTGTGTCCTGGACGTCTCTATCGGTAGATGTCTCTATGAAACATTGGTTTCTCTTCAGTCGTTCCAAAGATGGATGTCTGAGTACAGTGTGTTATTACATGAAGTCTCTACTTTTCTAGAACCTTTTGTTACAGGCCCCTGGTCTTTGCAAAGTGATCATTAACTTCCAGGTGGCCTCCCATTCTGACTTCGGCAATGGGCCAATTCCTTGATTCTATCTCACAATGTAACTTCCAAAGTAAATGTCTATTAAGCCTTTGTGTAAACATTCCAGACCTGTAACAAAATCAACTGAACATAAATCATATCCAGAGAAAAGGGTGTAGGAGAATGTGTAAGTTTGAAAAATGAAATAATACAGTACAGTTTCATTGTGGATCTCTGGCCTCAGTTACCTTGACTAAGACTTTCTCTGGTCTACATCACAGCTCCTCCCCAGAGGTAGTGGTTTTTGGTTACTTCAGCGGGCTCTGCCCAAATATAGAGAAAATAAACCCTCCACATGAAAAGATGTAAAGATGCCTACTTGCAAATGGGCTTAACCAACATTCTAAATAAAAGCCAGATTCTACCATCTCCTTGTCACTTACCGTATCTTGTCCCTATTAAGAAGTTTTGGCTAGAAGTCAAAGAAAGCAATTATAATAGGTATGGTTGTTTTGCTTTGGTATTCCTTCCTTCTTTATTTAGAAATGGATGGTGGATAAAAGTTCTTGCCTTTATGAATTGATTTGGGAATTTTTTTTTTTGCCTTTGGACAGAAGGATGTTAAGATAAAATGAAAGCTCTCTCTGGAAGAATGGGAAAGAGTGGAAAGAAGGTATTTCATAAAAGTTAAGGACTTTTGTTTGGTTTTTGCCTTCAAGGGCTCAGGTGTGCATTCTGTCTTTGAAGTGTAAACTTGTCAACTTGAAGATAGTTGTGCAAAACTTTAGTATTTCCAAAAATACAACTCTGGAAGCATATGTCTAGAGTGTGTCCTGTACAGAGGGGTCAACGTATTTGAAGGTAGGCATTTTCAAATAGGTTTTTACATTTTTAGAGTAGAACATTTAAGCTCAAAGAACATTCTTTTCTGCATACCTAGCAGGGTCTAAAGCCATGCCATGTCCTTTTTTATACTTTTTATTTTATGAATGAAAATATATTGTCAGCCTTACTCTTTCTTTCTCTCCGTTGGAAATTAATGTAGAAGAAAAGATCTCACCCAAAGGGATTTTGATGGTAAATAGAGATGTTATAAAGTCCGATAAGCTTTGGAATGAGTTACCGGGAAAGATGGTACAGTATCCTTTTCCAGAAATTAATTTAGGATAGGTCCTCCCTGGGTGGGTTCCTTTGGTTTTGGTTCTGTCTGAATGCACAAGATGGTCAAGGAACTTTAAGACTTGCATTGCACTCCTGTATTCACTGTTGTCGTTGTCTTGCTCATATTCCTTTGGCCATACCAGGAAGTCACTTGCAGATAGGCCAAGTATGTGCTGATGGCTTTCTGCATCCTTAAGCCCAAATGCATATGATCCTCCGAGGATGCTTCACCTATGCATGGAGCAGTCTGGAAGACACTGTTGCATAGTCCCAGTCCCAGAGATAGCTCTCAACAATGAGGGATAGAATTGGTAATAAATTCCCCAGCTCCCTTCAGCCTCATAGGGACAGTTCTGTAGTATGTGGTATGTTCTGCACAGTCACTTCAAGGGTCCCAAGTAAGACTGTGCCCAGTTTCCTGCAGAAGTAAACTGCTCATAAACACAGTCTAATGGCCTCCCTTCCTTCCCTACCTCTACGGAGGTTTCAGCTCCCACGTATGTTACTTGTACCCAAATGCTGCTCTCAGAGTCTGCTTCTGAGGGAGCCCAAGCTAAGACAATATCTGACCTCCTCACTGAAGGAATTGCTTAGGCTAGGCATGGAATCTGCTAACCTTTTATTTTCTTGGCTCTTGACTAGAATAATTATTTAGCACTTGCTATGTTCCAGGCATAGTTCCAAATGTGTGTGTTCTCTCTGTCTCTCTCTCTCTCTCTATATATATATATATATTTATCTATATATAATGTATATATACATATATACATTAAAAATTCAACTCTATGAGGTATGTACAAAAGCTATTCACATTTTACAGATAAGAAAGTAGAGACATGGGGTGGGAGGTAGGTGACTTGATCAATGTCACAAAGCCAGGAAGGCTTTGAGCCAGGATTCAAGCGCAGGCATCTGGAACCAGCATTCCTAACTACTAAGTCATCCTGCCTATTCATCTGAAAATCAACTAAAATAATGGATTTGAAAAAATAAAAAAAGCAGTTCTAAACAAATGAAACGAATGATTGCAACTAAAACTTTCTCAGCCATATCCTTTTATGACTCTCATGTGTTGAGAGGATTTTAAGCAAAAATAGAGACGGGCCGCCTGTTCACTCCAATCACTAAAAGCCCCTTACAAGTGAGTTGAACTTTGTCTAAAAGGATATTAGATTCTGTTACCTAATTACTGCTTGTCTTTTAGAGTCACCATGAGGAAGTCCATTTTCAAGAACTTGGGAGGTTTCAGTTGCAGTGGATTATAAGAGGCACTGGAACAGCTGATATACTGAGGTGCCATTAAGAATTATATCACCACCGAAGCATAATCTTGCTGTAGACATGATTGCTTTGGGCGTAGGCTCCCATGTCAGTGCCAAAAACGCTAAGACTTGGAGAAAGGAGAGGAGAAAGTAGAGCTACTTCCTCTGTATGCTTTGCTGCTTGGAAAGGAGACAGAAAAACAGCAGGAAATGCTCACTTCTTCTCTTGGGATCTTTCAGGGACCTCCCACCTGAACAGGACGATTGAACTTTGCTTTGGTAAGGGATGACTTGCTGGAAGATGAAAAGCCTTGTGGTGGAACATGAGTGGAGCTCTTCACAGCTCCCCAGGCATTGCTGGTGCAGCACGGGGCAGAGGGTGTGGTACAGGTGAGGAGGTGGGTGTGGCTCCAGCTCACGGCCGACAGCTTTCCTGTTCCCTGCTAGGGCAGCTCTGGCATGAGCAGTTGGGAATCAGACTCTGGGCAAAGCAGGAGCAAAGAGCCTTTCTGAGTTTCCTCGACTGACTTCAATGGACCTGTTTCTAGAGGGGCATGAAGGTGGCTGTGACTTCATAAGCAGAATGGAAGTGATTTGATCTACACCGGGCCTGGGAAAATTGGCTTAGGTGTGGCAAAGGTACAGAGTGTGAAACAGGTGGGGAAAATAAATTCAAGATCCTGAACTTTTCCATGGCCCCCAAAGGGGAAGCCATGGGTACAGTGAATGGAGGGGCTGCCTTCAGCTCACTTGGCGCTGTGGTGAACTGTCTCAGGGCTTGGCACATTGCCACCATTCCAAGACAGATGGGAAATAAACACCATTAGTATGTCGATAAGTGTTTGTTTTCCTTCAGCATTAGGGCTAAGAAAAATAAAGTGGGGAGGGTATCAAGCCCTGGAGTAAGCCTTTAAAAGGTTTCCCCTTTTGAATCTCTTACGGTTGTCTATTTATAACAGTTACAATCACAACAGAGAGGAAAAGACTTCAATCACCCCTGGGACACATTTTGTCAAAATTACATTTAAGCACTTTTTATTTGTAAGCGAGAAGCATTATCTTTTATTATGCCTTTAAAGCAGCGTGGGGAAGTTGTGTGCATAAACCAAGGTGTTGCTGTGGCCTGTTGTCTTTTGTGAACTTCTGGAAAGGATCACCAAGAAGGATGCTCTGATAACTGTCTGCCAGGCAATTTGCATAAGAGGAAAGAGGCCTTTCTGAAGATCATTAAAAATGATTCATTACTATTGGTCATACACATACATGTTGTTTTATTACTTAAAAGCATAAATCATACATTGGCAAGTAATTGTGTTTATCAGACTATTTTAGGCCCTGGGAGGAGTAGAGAGGTACAAAGTGTGGTGATTATTCCCAAGGAAAGTGCATTTTAATTAGGGAGACAAGAACAATTACACGTGCAGTAGTTAAAAGCTATACAAAAGCCTATGATTAAGTGGTGAGTTGTGAATAACAGGCTACCCATGCTGTGATTCTCTTAGCGATGACACAAGCGACATCTTGGAAGAGGCAAAACTTGAGACAGGTCTTCAAGGATTGGTGCCATCTGGACAGGTTGAAGAGGAGTAGGAGGGCTTTCGGATGTGGAGAATGGCATGCACAAAAGCACGGAGGTGAGAATGCACATATGTGTCTGGGACTTCTAAAACAGGGCAGCCTGATTGGATTGGAGCCTTTGGGCAATGATGAGTGAGCAATAAAATGGAAGAGAACAGGGTCAGAAGGGGCAGACAGGAGTTACCCATCCTCATAACATGCATTCACTTCTCAACTCCATTACAAACCCACACCAAATTTTTCTGTGTTGACTATTTGAGTATTGTAATTTAAAAAGAGTAATCCGTGTACAGAGCCCTGTACTGGGTTACAGAGTCTGTCTTAGTTGAGTTTTCCCCAGAAGCAGACACAGATAGAAAGAGTCCAGAGCAAGTAGTTTACTAGGGAGGTCATTCTAGGAAACTTTAGCAGAGGGGCAGGAAAGTGAGACAGGAAGGGAAAGGAAGGCAGTCAGGGAAGTGCTATTAAGATACCAACATGGACAAATGGAGCAAAATCCCAGTGGTGAACTCTAGAAATCAGTGTATAAAATGTGCCTCAGAGTGAACTCATCTGGGAGGTGAGGAAGTTGGGGTATTTATCCACCAGTTGCCATCAGTCACTGGGTGAGGGCTGCTTTTGAGGGCATTAACTTCCTAACACTTTTGTTCCAGAAAAAAAGTCCTAAGGGAGAAGTTGCAAGCGTTTTTAGTAAAGAATCCTGGTCCTAATATGTCCACATCTTTAGAATGGAAGTTACAGCATGTGCTTCCAACCCTCTAATGAAGGACAAGTCATCCTGGGGCATCGAAAAATCCTTTCCTTGGCCAAGTTTGCCTCTTCCTATTTCTTACCATTCATTACTATGGTCTGCTCTGAGGCAGAGCAAACTCTGGAAGGATGACTGTAGAGTTTGGGTCGCAAATGGAAGCATCAGGGAGAGTTCTGGTTATAATAGAACTCCACCTGAGCCAATTTACTTTTAGTGCAAGGAGTTTCCAACACAACTGCAATGGAGATTAACAAATATGATAGTGGCTTGAATTTGAAGAAGCTGGAGCAATGATTCTGTGTTGGGCTCTGGGTTTCCAGTGGAGATATGGCAGTGAACTGGGCTCATGTTTTAGTTTTCATGGGGAAACCAAAATGGTCTCGTTAAAATTCAGCAAACCAAATATCCACCCACCTCCACCCCAACCACACACACCCCTTCCATTGCCCTCTATAACACATGGCACAGGCCAGCTAGGAAATATAAAATCAATCAGTGGTTTAAATCAAGTTTTTTACTTTCTCTCTCCATCTGCAGCAACACTTTATGCCAGTTGGATTATGGTCCATTGGGAGAAAGATCAATTAAGGTGAAACCCCAGTAGAGAAAGCACTGGAGAACAACATTCATTCTTCCTTAATAAATCTTAGTTTTAAATATTTGCTTTGAGTTTTGTTCCATTAATAAAGAAAATAAGAAGGAAAACCAACCAATATTTTGTTTTTCCATATGCCGTAGTGGAATCCTGAAGTTGTTGAATTGAATTAATGCTTGATTCAATGTGAGGAATGGACAAAAGACATGCAGAGATTCAAGTTCCCTCCGTAATCTGGTATTTATTCATCAATCCATCCATCCATCTATCTATTCATCCATCCATCCACCCACTCACCCACTCATCCGGCCATTCACCCACCCACCTATCCTCTTACCATTAGGAAATTCTTTTATGTTAAGTGCTATAAGAGCCAATTCCTCTTTTTCAGTAAATGGAGAAGAACAATTTGTATTATAAGAATTAGTGTGGGTTAGATTATTTATATCATCTTTCCCTGGTGAGGGTTCATGTCTAGGTGTTTCAGACTAGCATTTTTCCTTGGGTAATTTCCACTTTCCCTTTGTAAGCTGATACTTTTACTACATGTAAGGTCATAAACTGTTGTTTTGTAAAAAATATTTTGACATGGATGAACAATTTGGAGTGTAGATATGAAGACATAAAAGATAACTTGAAAAAATCAGACTGATTCTAACATTTATGTAGAGAGGTAAATAATCAAGAATAATTAGTAACATTCTGAAAAAGAAGGGTAGCAAGAAGTGACTATCCTATTATTAAATCTTATAAAAACTCATTAAGACAGCATGGTATTGGCATAAGAATAAAAAGACATCATTGGAACAGAATTGAAAGTTTAGAAATAGACCTAAATACATACAATAGTTTAATATAAGGCAAAGTTTACATCTAAAATCAGTAAAGAAAGATTAATCAGGGAATGAGGACAACTAAGTCACACATCACACCCTACAGTATAAGTTCCAAATGAAGAAAATATTTAATGTTAAAAAGGAAATACTGAAAATACAAACACGTACAAAAATTATTTTATAATTACAGAGGAGGGAAAGGCCATAAGTCATAAAATGAAAGATTGATTAAAAATAAAGTACTTGCACCTGGTGAAAAACACCAACATCAAAGTTCAAAGATAAATGACAAGCCAGGAAAAATATTTGCAATTCTGTCAAAGTGTGAATTTCTCTACTCTTAAAGGAGGCATACAAACTGATAAGAAAAAGACCAATATCAAACAAATAGCAGAAAAAGAATAGAATAGTCATGTTTATACAAAGGGAAATTTACAAAGAAAGATCATTTACATTGCTTTAAAAAAGAGAAATGCAAAGCAAAGCATAACTGAGATACAATTTCACCTGTCAAATTGGCAAAGATTCAAAAGTTTGGTAATACCTGGTATTGGCCACAGTATTGGCACAAACAGGCTTTCAAATACAAATAGTGGGGATGTAAATGGCAGAAGTTGGCAAACGATGGCTTGTGAGCTCAATTCAGCCTGCTGCTTGCTTTTGTACTGCCCAAGACCTAAGAACCATTTTTAAGTAGTTGAAAAAAATCAAAATAATATTGTATCGTATCGTATTGTATTGTATTTTACTGTACTGTATTGTATTGTATATTGAACATTTGCTAAGAATAGATTTTAGGTGCTCTTATTACACACACACACAAGGTAGCTATGGAAGGTGATGCATAGGTTAATTTGCTTGAACATGTTAATCATTTCACTATACATATGTGTATGAAAACAATCATGTTGTATACTGTAAGTATATATCAATAAAATAAAACATTTTGTGACACATGAAAATTATGTATAATTCAAATTTCATGCCTTAAGTTTTATTGGAACAAAATCATGCGCATTCCTTTATTTGTGTCTATGGCTGCTTTTGTGCGCCAATGGCAGATATGAGTAGTTGTGATAGAGACTGTATATCCTGCAAAGTTGAAAATATTTGCTTTCATGCCCTCTATAGAAAAAATGTCCTTACCTGTTGCCATACAAGTTGGCAATATCTATCAAAATTACAAATCCTTTTTGACCTGCTGAATCCATATTTTCTTTTCCTACAGATACACTTGCATAAACATGACTTGACATATATCCAAGATATTCATTGTTCTAGTGATTGGCAAAAGATTGATGCAGTAAATGGCTCTCAATAAAGGGCTGGCTATATAATTATAGGATATCTTCACAGTGAAATACCATTCAATTATAAAAAAGAATAGAAAATGATTCATTCATTACACTGAAATGAAATAGTATTTGAAATACATTAAGTGGAAAAAGCAAGATAGAGTGGTAGATAAGATGGAAACTACCATTTGTGTAAAAAAGTAGGATAAGATATGTATACATATGTTTATACATTTGCCCACACATTTTCTCTCTCACACACATACAAATAAATTATCTCTAAAGATTACATAAGATGTCCTGATAACCAAACATTTGTTGTCAGGGTTTTCAGAGGGTAGGGTAACTAGATCCTTAGGGCCCAAGGGCAGGAGATTGACTTTCATAAGGTTTTATACTTATTTTTAATACTTTTAGAATTTTTAACCAAGTGATTTTTATCTACGAAAAAATATTTTGAAAACTTACCTCCCCTTACCGCTTCTAGTCACTGTTCGTCTCATGACCTGGTAATATTTTCTCCATACCATATATCTCCATCTGAAATTCTTATTTTTCTGTTTACTTCTCTAACATCCTTTCTAGACTATAGACTCTTTCAGAGCAGTGACCAGGTCTGTCTTGCTGGTACCTGAAGCCTTGTTGGATGAAGGAACTGGCTCCATGGGATGAGTGGTGAGGCTGTGTGGGATAGGGGTTTGTGGTATGGGCAAGGGATCTCTGTAGCAAAGATGGACTCCTGCAGAGTGCATGCAAGGTTTTCAGACAATGGGGATCATAATTTCAAATCCTTGGTACCTCCAATAAATCCAGCCTTCCATCACCACCATTATCCCAGCTGAAGACTGAAAGGTGCACCAGCAGACAAATCAGCAATCTGCAAACACAACATACCAAAGAGCTTGCCACTTCATGTGGGCACTCCTGGTGTTATATGTTCAAATGTGCAGCATAGTTTGTAATAGACAAAAATTGGAAACAATCCAAGTGTCCATGGTTAGGTTCATGGTTGGGGAAATGTTGAAATGCCATGTAGACATGAGGAAGAAGAGAGAGCATTATAAATGGACTTAAAAAGATGACCATAAGATATACAGTAAAGAAAGCAATTTGCAAAATAGTATGTATGATATGCTCTTGTTTTAAAAAAAGTTATGCATAAAAAATTTAAAAAGAGTGGCACATTGGTGCTGCGCTGTTAGTGGTAACAGCATAATGGGGACCTGTGTGGAAAGGGAATGTCATCTCTTATGTTGTATATTTCTATGGGGTTGAATGTTATTAATATTCATAAATTTCTTATGCAATTAGAAAGGGTAAGTGAATCCACATTGGTATATCACTCCATGTGTAAATGTCTGAGTTCCTGACATGGGAATTTCACAATAAGGACACACATAACTTACCTACAGAGCCCAGGGAACGGTAAACAATGGGAAACTGAGCTCTAGAATCTTGAAAACAAAGGTGGCAGTCAGGACTCATGAAATCTGACTCTTGGGAACTAGCAGGATATATTTATTTGACATTGGTTCCTCCAAAGTGAAACTATACAGGCCAGGAGATGGAGGGAGGGCTAGCATGGTTGTCAGAGTATGGGGGCCCTAATGCTCAATTTTAATGATGTGAATTTTAATAAATTTAAAATAACAATCCAAAGACTGATATGGCTCTAGAATGGGACTGAGGAGCAATGTCCATATACCGCCTCCTATAAACACCCGCTTTCTTTGTTATGATGTCCTGTTCTTATTTTCTTAATTTTTCCTGATGCAGCTGAGATAACAAGACAGGGTGGTCTGGGGCTGGGCCCACAGACACCTGGATTGCAGTCTGTCCTCTCCCCTGGACTTGCCCTGGGGCGTCGGGTTATCCACAACCTTTCTCACTTCCTCAGTTTCCCATCCCCAGCAAGGGACTGCTCCCGCTTGAGCAGAGTCTCAGGATCTCATATGAGGTTGTGTGCGTCATGGGATTAGGGTTTTTCCTAGGCAAATGGTTTCTATAAAATTATGTGTGTGTGTCTCTCTCTGTGTGTGTGTGTGTGTGTGTGTGTATACCTAATCTCACACTCTTTTTTCTGGCATCCTATCTAGAACTTTCTATTGTGTTCCCTCTGTGTCCTCACTCCGATGGTCAGCATGCAGCACTAGGTCTGGGAGGAGGATTTAGATATCTGCTTCAAGTCCATCTGTTTGTGAATGAAACTCTGAGAGGTTGAATGATGTGGTCTAGACAGTTCTTCTCAGACTTCAGTGTGCCCAGGAACCACAGGGAGAGCTTGTTAAGGTGGAGATCCTGATTTAGTAGGTGAGGGGCAGGGTTGAGAATCTGCATTTCTAACAAGCTGCTGAGAGATGCTGATGCTGCTGGTCCACAGACTGCACTTAAAAGAACAGGCATGTAGGATAAGTGCTTCTCAGAGGCAGAGGCTGAACTGGGCCCAGTTCCCCCGACTCACATCCTGTGCTCTTTCCTACTGAAGGCATAATTATCAATTTAGTTGCTGCAAGACTGAAAACTGTCACTTACACATGAAGCTGTGTGTCAGAATTACTTTGGGAACTTGTTTTTCTTTTTAGGAGACAGGATCTCACTTTGTCACCTAGGGTACAGTGGTATGATTACAGCTCACTATAGCCTCGAACTCCTGGACTCAAGCAATCCTCCCACCTCAGCCTCCCTAGCAGCTAGGGGCTACAAGCATGTACCACCATGCTCAGCTACTATTTTATTTTATTTTATTTTATTTTATTTTTGTAGAGACTGGGTCTTGCTATGTTGCCCAGGATGGTCTTGAACTCCTGGCTTCAAGCAATCCTCCTGTCTTGGCCTCCCAAAGTGCTGGGATTACAGAAGTGAGCCACTGCCCCTGGAACTGTACATTTCTGAACCTCCTTCCTAGAGCTCCCACTTGGTTAATGTAGGTGGAGGCCTGGGAATTAGTATTTTGATGACACCCTGATAATTTCGATTTATTCAGTCCATGACCCATTTTAGGAAACTACTGCCTGAGTCATTTAGGAAATATTAAATTAGATCTGATATGATCTGATTTCTAAACTTTATTTTAAATTGTTATTTTCTTCGTATATATTGATTCTTTGTATATTTCTTATTACTTTCTAAACCACTGTGAAGTTCAATGTACTGAAGAAAACTCATGTCCATAAGTGACCCTCCCATTCTAAATACACAAATACAATCATCCTGAGCCTGAGGCTGGACTGTTAGGGACCGTATATTTTAGACTTCAAAGACACTTTGAACACCTTTTCTAGAAATGCATTTACTACCACCTGCTTTTTACCCTTTTTTTTTGTATATTTGGATTAATCAAATATCATCTTAGAGTGAATAACATCTAAAATGTGTTCCAAAAACTTATATTCCAAAGATTTGTGAATGTTTACTCACATTACCATTTATTTATTTTTTATTTTTTTTTTACTCTTGTGATAACCAATCACCTGTGGGATTTGCTCTTTCACCATCAACGTTCCTGTTGTTATTTGGTTGGGGAAATCATTCAAAAGCAGCTTTCTGCTAGAAGAGTCATGTTAGCCTGGGTGGTTCATGTCAACCTGGGGAGGGAGCCTGCCTTTTGGGATGTCTCTCCATCCTCTATGGCTCTCAGTATTGTTCCTCCTGAAACACCCAAAACACAGATCAACTCACTGGCCTTGTCACAAGCACAGTTCAGAGACATGTCTTTCCCAAGCTCTCAGGGAAGAGCTGTACTATGTCTTAGCACCTGATCTCTAGCAACAAGAGACTCTTTCATATTTTATCAGCAATTAATTGCAATCACTTCTGCTTTATGAGCTGACAAAGGCCTTCATCTTCATGCTTCAGTCATTGTTTCCTGATTTTTGTTGGGACTCAGGGATCACCTCCCTGCCATGGTTCACAAAGGTGCTAGCTTAGATACATTTTCCACCTTGCAACTGGGTGAGGCAGTGACTGAATCACGTGAGTCCAATTTTCACATTTAATAGGACATGAATTATTGTTGAACAATGTATCCTGCCTCTAGCCTACTGTGGGCGATTAAGAACATGCTTTGCGTGCATAATGACATCTGAGTAATGGAAAGAGAGTATGATATTTCAAAAGCATTGGCATCTAGCGGAAAATTTTGAAAGCATCAGGCCTTGGCCTGTTGTCATTTTTATTCTACCTTATTGAGGGCCCATGATACAACAGCTGGGGGTGATGATAATGATGTATAAAGTACAAGATGGGGTACAGGGTGATGAGTGGTGGCTTCATTCTGTTTAGCTGAGGATGGCCCATTCTTTACATCTGTCAGGACACAATGATTTGGCGACCCTCAAAGTACAAATAAAAATATTGAAAGATCAGATGAAACAAGTTTGGATCGTTGAGTCATTTCAAATAACTGTCCTAAGAAAAGGGAAATGTCAATGAGTTTGAGAAACTAATTTGTTGTTTTGACAAGAGGTAGAAGCAATGATCCTAGAGTCTCAGTGTTCTCAGAGTCTAGTTGAGTATTTCATATGTTGTTCTCCACAGCTCTTACTTATTTTATATATACTCACCTTGTCTCCAAACAGACTCTATTTCCCAAAGATAAACAACAGTCTTTATATTTTGGTTTTCTCTAGTATAGCATGGAACCCAGTTCCTAGCGCATAATAGAAACTTAACTGATTTGCTTTTGCTATTACTATGACTATATTATTATTTATATTATTATATATTACATATATTTATTATATGTAATTATATAAAAATTATTATTATTGCCTTGCAATTAATAATAATAGTAACAGTTAGGGAGCCTAGACTCCCTAACTATATGATCCAGTTATTAGTCTGTGTGCTTTACATATTTGCCCATTTTATTCTCACCATAAACTCTGAGATGGTTGTATTACATCTCTTCTGAGACTCTGGGAGAAATGTTAAAACTTGCAAAGGCAGAATCTGAATCCTTGTGTTTTGTATTCTTTTCACCATACCATGTGCATTGCTGCATTGTTGATAACCCTTGTTCTGGGTCTGAGATGTTTCTCCTTAAGTTAATGCGGAGCCTGACCATCCAGATCTATCTTCAGGCTCCTCTCAACTCAGTGGATAGTTGATATTATCTTGAGAAACATGTCAAGGTAGACTTAGAGTGAGCCCAAAGGGTGTGCACTCTGCTGTGATGCTCTTGAATTATTTCTGGGTTTTAGATAATTTCTCCTGGGGTTAGATTTAGTCTGAATCAATATATTGAGCTTTGGAATAGATTGCCCTTATCGTAGATCTACCTTTGTTCTTCCATGATCTTTACCATCTACACACTTGAAAAGGCCAAAAAAGTCACATTGTGTCCATATTCCAGAGCCTGTGATAAAAACCCAACAGCAGATTGAAACCCTACTCTACTTGCCTTTCTCAAAAACAGCCCAGGTAGAAGTAGAGGGAAAGAAGCAATGGGGAAGAGGCCCAGGAGAAGAGAATCAGCTTACCCTGTAAATTTAATCTAATGGCGGGAATCAGTCACTGTGTGACCATATTTTATTGCTGGAAAGTTCTTGTGCTATACTAATTTTGTTAGAATTGCCTGAAGCCTAATATTTCCAACATAGCACTCCTGGAAGCTTCTATTAACCAGTTGGAGTTGGCATATAGGATAAAAACTATCCATGATCTCTGATTTAGAGGGTTTCTTTTTAATAACATGTTTTTATTTTTTATTTGCAAAACAAAACACCAGGGCAATGTGTGCTTTCATTTTGGTGGAGGCCACGGGGCTTCCCTTAAGGCAGACACTCAGCTGTTGGGCTGGTCTCTTACCAAACCCAACTGGCAGGAGTAGAAAGCTTCCTGTCTAGTTGATTCTTCTTTCAAGCAGTGAGTGATGTAGTAGATGAAAAGAGGAGAAGTAGAATTAACTCTGTCCTGCTGTTATTTGGAATAAAAGCACATAGGCTTTTACTGGATTTAGATGGTCATTTGTCTTACTTGGGTAAATTGAAAATTCTATATGCCATCTTAAAACCCTACAGCATCTTTCCTGAATTTTTCTGTAAGTGAAACTAAAGGGAACTCAAAAATCTTCAAAGGTAGTCTAGACATGCAAGAGAAACATGTTTTTGGAGGAAAACATACAACTTATATGATCTAGAATATTCCAAGATATTTGTGGTTGGTTTATTGCAGAAAAGTCTCAAATTTTCTATTACTCTCTGTGTTCATGCCATTGACCATGTGACTTTGCAGCTTATTCCATCAAGAGGTGGAATCTGTTTTCCCCTCCCACTGCCCCTTGAATCTAGGCCATCCCTGTGACTCGATTTGGCCAATAGAATGGAGTGGAAGGGATGGTGCGTTCAATCTGAGCCTAGGCCTCAAAGGCCATGATTCAATCTGAGCCTAGGCCTCAGAGGCCTCATGGCTTCTGCTTACTCTCTTCTGCCACTGCCATGTGAACGTGCATGGAATATCATTTTGTAGAATATGGAACAGAAATGAACCACCTTAGCTGAGGGCATCCTATACCAGCCAGCCCCTAGCTAATCCAGTAGTTACCTGCAGGAACATGAGTGAATCCAGCTGGAATCAGTTAAGCCTGGCATGGCTCAGCAGAACCACTTAGCTGATCCAGACACTCATCAGCAATAATACATGGTTGTTTTAAGCCACTACGTTTTAGGTTGGTTTGTTATGCAGCAAATGCTAGCTGATACACATTGCGATGCCAGTGATTTTTTTCATGGGTAATTTATATAGCATATGTAGAGCTATGCATAGTAAATTTGAC
This sequence comes from Homo sapiens, assembly GCF_000001405.40. NCBI lineage: Eukaryota > Metazoa > Chordata > Mammalia > Primates > Hominidae > Homo > Homo sapiens. The sequence goes on from NC_000020.11 coordinate 10,875,977, forward strand.
ATTTAGTAGGTATTTAATAAACACTGGTTCTGGTCTTCCTTCCCTTTCCCTAAAGAGATATACTTCCAGATTGGAGTTTGCAGGTTCCAGCCAGAAAATAGAATAGCAACTTGGAAGTCACGTCACAAAGGTGTCCATGAGTGAGGGATTCATAACAGTAGTAAAAATAGGAAGTCGTTTTTTTCTGAGGCTAGACGAGACACTGATGTTTCTTCCTTGCCTTCCTAAACAGCAACTCTTGGTGTTATCACTTCCTGGGAGAGAAGAAAAAAGGAGACTTCAGACATTTAAAAACTCACCCCTGAATTCTAGTCAATTAAATGACACTGTCTCTGGTTTATATATTTTTTCTTTAACAAAATTTGTCAAAATATAGAGAGTACTGTTACGAAAATTAAGCATCTTGGGTCTGTGTGACCTTGTGGAAATCACCAACTCTTTCTGGGTCTCAGTTTCCCATCTCTCAATTTGGAAAGTTAGACTCTCCCATATGATTCCTAGCTCCAACCATCTATGACTCTTCTAGCAGCACTGTAGTGAAAGTAGAAACGTAAGCTCCAAAGCCCAACTGCTCACTTGGAAATGTGGCCTGATGCTTTCTATCTATATACCCTTAGACAAATTAATTATACCCTCTGTGCCTCAGTTTCCTTATCTAAAAATGAGGCTGCCTCATGGCAAGGTTCTGAGGATTACATGCTATAATCCATGTAAATGGCTTAGAACAGTGCCTGGCACACAGAAACTGCTTAACAAGTGTTAGCTATTATTTCCTTTGGCATAGAGTCACATCTTATGCAACAGCACTTTCATGGGATTTAAATGTTGAAAGTTCAAATGGTGAACATCAACCAAGTGGATAAAACTGCAAGATGTTTTTGAAATTCACATACACGCAAAAGAGTATTAACAACCATCCTCAAGCTCTTATATCCATAATTCAAAAGGGCTATTTTTCCTCACCTAGTTAGGTGTGGTTATCTCATATAGTAGAAATTTACCACTTTAGCTCTGAGCTTATTTTTCTTTCTCTTTTGCTGCTACTCTTTGGCTACAAGCAAGAGGAAGTGTAATGCAATATTAAGAAAATGGGTCCTAACTCTGGTTCTGCCACTTACTAACTTGATTAGATTTTTAGTTACTCTGTCCCTCCATTTTCTCATATGTAATATATGGGTAATAATCAAGCCTGCCTTATAGATTATTGTATAAACACAATACATTTAGAAAAGTGACTGGTACACAGCAGGCTTTTAATAAAACACTATGGATTGGTATATTATTATATTCTGCTCCACTAGAATTGTTTAAAGGAAGCGTTAGGAACCCAAACATTGTCCAAAGGAATATCTTTAGGGATGAAGTAAGATGGTACGTATGGGAATGCGATTGCTGACCCACTCAGATCCCCTTGACCAGACTGGTGTTTCCATATCCACGTGCTATTAGCATTGGCTCTTAATGGTTTACAGCTGCCTCTTTCTTTGGAGAATTGCTCTTGGCCAGATGGGAGTTGCCTAGCCTGGAATTGCCTGGGAAGTTATGCAACTCCCTTGCCCCTGGGAGTGGCCAGCAGCCAAGGACTGACTGATGCAGGGGCACAAAAGGACCCTTTGCCTCAAAGAGAGGGAGGCAACTCTGTGGTGCAATCCATGCTCCAGTGCTCCCTGTGGGATCAGATTGAGATTAGGCTCCAGCTGAGACCACACCCTTAGTTTGCTTCTCCTTTTTTTCCTTTCTCCTTTATCAGTAAATTACTTCCAAGTGAATCCTCACTTTGGGCTCTGCTTCTAGACCCTGACTTAAGATACAAAGGAAGGAGAAATGAACCATGAACAATTCCAGAGATTTTGAGACATGGCAATTGGACTTTCTGTCAGGGTAAACATCACAGGTAGGTGTAGTTTTGATTCCATTCAAGTTTCTGTTTGGGGGAAAGGCTGGAGGGGTTCAATAGGAGTTGAGATGACAACAAGGCCTTAGACAACGTCATATATGAGCCCGCCATAGTGGGCTCTGTGCTACTGAGGTCTGTGTGTCAAATAAGCGCGTGTTATCTTAGTTTGAGCTTGTGGTAAAATACACATCCCACACATAGATTTTGATGAGCCATGTGATCATTACAAAAATTAGTACCCACTAGACTTAGAGTCTTCCAGCACCCAAGACACCCAAGACACTCAAGACACTCTCCATACTAAATTCCATTCCATAGTCAAATCTTTTGACTATGTAGAAATCCACTTTTTTGTTATCACAATTGCCTTCCTTCCACACTCATCAAAGAAGACTGTCCCCAGGACTTTGGGGATGAATTAGGATGATAGCTATGAAATTGTATGCTTACAAAGCACTGGCCAGGCTGGAGCAAGGAGCAGGTCGTCCATGGCGGGATTCCTATAATTTGTTCCAGAAAGAGATACAAGATAAAATTATCTGATGGTGCCATAAAAAGAATAAAATCATGTTTCTCAGTAACATGGATGGAGCTGGAGGCCGTTATCTGAAGTGAAATGATTCAGAAACAGAAATTGGAAAACCACATGTTCTCACTTATAAGTGGAAGCTAAGCAATGGGTACACATGGCTGTGCAGAGTGGAATAATAGACACTGGAGACTCCAAAAGCAGGAGGGTGGTAGCGTGAGGGATGAAATGCCACCTATTGGGTACAATGCACACTATTCAGGTGATGGGTACATGAAAAGCCCAGATTTCACCACTGTGCAATATATCCATGTAACACCACTGCACTTTCACTCCCTTAATTTATAAAAATTTAAAAAATTAAAGAAAAATTACTGGAGGTGTAGGTTTGGGCTTGTAAGTGCGGAAGAACCAGCCACCCACTTAAATTCAAAGGCCCATTCCATCCTGATGTTTTCATGGAGGAGTGCAATACAGAATCTTCCCAGAGTGTTCTTTCTCCTAAAAAACGGGGCAGGGGGCAAGGGATCAGCTCTCATTATTCTTTCATTCTTTCCCCCTCTCTCTTTTCTTTTACTTCAATCTACATGTGACATCTTATAAGCATTTTCCTGTATGCTCAATTTAACATACTAAAGAACACTTACTAAAATGAGTTATTATTTCTATCTGTCAAAGGATCTTATGAAATTTGTCATTTGCTTCTCAAAACCATGCAATATTATCTATAAAATAGAACTGGGTGCAGTTTTCTTGAGCATTAACTAAAAATGATGCTATGCAATTTGTACTACTAGTTTTATATTAAAAAGGGCACAATAATGTAGAGGAGTAAATAAATAGTACATGAACTTTAAAGATAAACACGAGATTTCAGGGAAAAAAATTGCAATTATGAGGGACTGTTATGAGTTCACCCCTCAAACCTCTGGTTTAGTATTATTAGTAAAACCATTAGCATAAGTGTTCTCTTATGCTAAAAGGATAATTTTGGTGGAAGTGTCTGAGAAACACTTCTACATATAATATCCACCAGTTCAGAAGATAACATAAGCAAGGCTTCAAAATAAATGTGCAACAGGAGGGAGGAAAAGATGGGAAAACTTCTAGCGCCATTTTCATTCCGAGACTGAAAATGCCAATAGTATTCCAAGTTTAGGTGACTACTGCATAATTGGCTAAAACATAGCTCACCATATTCTTTGGAACAGTGAAGAATTCACCTCAGGGAGACACAGATTTGCTATATCTCATGAGGGGGACAGGTCTGGTACATGGCCACTCGAAGCTTGCTTCTAAGAAGTGATTGAGTGGACGCCCGGGAAATGAATGGTGGCTTTTAAGATTCATTGTCCAGGAAATAAGAGAGTTATGTTGTTTCATGAGTAAATTGGAGGCTGTTTAGTCCTGGGGACTTTTCAGGCTTAAGAGGGCCTGGGAGAAACCTTCCTTCTCATGATTCTAAATGACTATTAATGTTGCAGCCACTCTGCAACTGTCAGTGTGTGACGTGAATTGGACTCAGGAATTATCGCAGGTCAGTGAGTGAGACTGCATCTCCTCATGCGAGAAAACCATGACACTTTTGTCCAGCAGAAGTGGGAGTCTTTGGGGCTGACCAATGAGTTGCAGAGATGGTGCTCCTTCAGAAAAGGCAGGTAGAGAAGTCCTGCTTTTTTTCTGGGCAGAGTGACTTTTATTCTGACATCTCAGCTTCCCAGGAGAGGGTGGTACAGCAAACTCAGGAAGGTAGTTTGGAGTCGGTTTCGAACCGTGTTATGAGCAGCCTTTTAATAAGGTGGCAAGATACAAAGCATAGAAGAGAGTTTGGAAATGAGAGACCATCTCATGGTAAAATCTAGAAGATGGTGTGAGAATATCAGGTCTGAAAAGAGACCTTGGAAAGATTAGGAAACCAGACCCCATCGCTTGATCTGCAATTCGTTGTGTCTTCTCAGCTCATGGCTCTGCTCTTGGAGATACTGTGTTTAAGTTTTTATGCACTGGTTTTTTTTTTTTCCTTTTTAAAATAAAATCTTGGGCAGGCAGAGCCTACTCTTGCAGGGCCTGAGGCAGGATGGAGTGGGGTGCACACTGGTTCTTTTGATCATGATTTCACTTCAAGCAGTGGGGATAGATTTCATGTTTCCTTCCTGCCCTTTCCCACGAAGCATGCAATTGAGTGGGTGGCTCAGTCAGAAATGCCCAATAAATATTTGCCAATGAACATAATGGAGCAACACTGATGACAGCAAGGGGTTTGTCCCATCCCTACTGTCTCTTGGAGGTGGCACAAATGTGGTCCTGACACCGGGCCTACGGGAGACTTTGTGGCACTCTCTGAGCCTGGAGGCCTGGCCATGATCCATCTTACATCGTTCTACCTACCTGAGTTCCCTATGCAGTTGCTGCCTTCCAGTGCTTCTCATTTCCCAGAAAAGGAATCACTGTTTCTCCTAACGAGTATGCAGACGGAGGAGGGAATTAAGGAGACAAGTGAAAACCACCCAGCAAGAGGACTTGAATAGTGTGCAGGGGAGGGTGGTGAAAAGGAGGAAAGGAAAAATGTATCAAAACAATATTATGTCAGTTCTATAACTTTCCGCTAATCCTTATGTGGATTTGTACCAGCGTTCATGTCTTACAGTCTAAGACAAGAGCCAGACAAAAATGCTTGGACTTAATAAATCTAGGAGAGAGGTTTGTTTATCAAGGTCTAGCATTGTTTGAAAACTCAACATCTGTTGAAGACTCGTAGGCCTTTGCCCCCCACACTTTGTGCAGGTGCTTCTGGTCTTATGACACTGGTGCATGGATTTTAAAGAAACATTCAGTGAAAAAAGCTCAAGGTCATCTCTATACATTGCCATGGCCTCTGCTCCTAACAAGGCCTCCTCATCTCTCGCTTGGATAGTTGTAGCATTTCCAAATGGGTCTCCTTACCTCCCATTATATCCACACAGCCCACTCCTCACAGCAAGTTAGTCTTTCTAAAGCCCAGAATGTGAAAACTTTCTAATACACCCCTAACTTATTAATAGGGATCTTCAAATTCTGAAATTTTTGTTAAGAAACAAAACTTGGCTACCATTCTTCCTTAGGTGGTCTTTTCTTACGTTTTTAAATGCAAATATTTTATAAAAGTATAACATAAGTGTAGAAAAATGTGTGTGTTGATGAATTCTTATACAATTTGCATGTGCATGAAACCAGCAGCCGGCTCATGAAACACAATACAACCAGCACCCCAAAAGCCCCTCGACGTCCCTCCTAGTCAGTATTCCCCCAAGGGTAATCCTTGTCTTGACCTCTAATCCCATGGATGAGTTTTATCTTTTTGGAACTTTGAATAGATGGAACCATGCAGCAGGAATTCTACTGCATCAGTTAGCATGATGTTTGTTTCATCCATATTGTGCATGTGGTTGGAGCTGATTCATGCTCATCACTGTATAATGTTTCGTTGAAGGGATATTTATTTACCCATTTTACTGTTGTTGTTTTTTTCTTTTTAGACAGGGCCTTGCTCTGTTTCTCGGGTAGAAGTATAGTGGCAAGATCAGGCCTCACTGCAGCCTCAACCTCCCAGGTTTAAGCATTCCTCTCATCTCAGCCTCCTGAGTAGCTGGGAATACAGGCATGCAACGCCCCATCCAGTCAATTTTTAAATATTTTGTAGATATGGGGTCTTACTATGTTTCCAAGGCTGGTCTCAAACTCCTGGGCTCAAATGATCCTCCTGCCTTGGCTTCCCAAAGGGTTGGGATTACAGGCATGAGCCATGAGCCACTGCACCTGGCCCCATTCTACTCTTGATGGACATTTGGGTTGCGTCCAGCTTTTGGGAATGATAAATAGTGTGGTAATGAAAAATTTTCCTAAACAAGGCCCCAAAGTGCCGAGTACAAAGGGAAATGTTGATAAATTGGCTATGTTAAATTAAAATCTTTTGCCTTTCAAAAGACATCGTTGAGAGAGAAAAGCCAACACATAGAAGATAATTACAGTATATGTTATCTGGAGAAAGAACTCATTTCTTGAATATAGAGAGAGCTTCTATTAATCAATAAGAAAAGTGCAAATGACTCAATAGTGAAATAGTCAGAGACTTCAATAGGTACTTTACAAAACAGCACATCCAAATGCCAATGGTCCTTAAATGCATGAAAAGTTGTGCAGGCAATATTTTTCAGCTTTACTAGTCTCTTCACTACTCCCAATTAAGCCATACTTTCCTATTTCAGTATTTTTGCACAGATTTTTGAACCTACCTGGGGTGACTTGACCTCCTTTTCCACCTCCTTATTTTTTAAGGACCAACCAGAAAATCAGCTCCTTCCAAAGCCTTCCCCACTCCTTTAGGCAGAATTAATTGTTGCTTCTGTAGGATCCCAAATTGTGATTTTTCTCAGAGTGAGATGTTTCATTAATCTATCTTCAGGTTCCCAGTATACAGCATTGCTCTTGGTGCATAATAGGTGATCAATACATGGCTTTCTGAATGAATGTCTAACTTTCTCCTCAAACCTCCAGATAGGATTTAAACCAATGAGGTACAGTGGTAACAAAGGCTTGCTGTGTTGAACGGGAGTTTTTATTAGCCGATACAGAGGTTACTTCATACGGAAAAATGCTGGCCTATTTCCCAAATCATAGCTCATTTTCAATGAATAGTATCATCACAAACCTGTGAACAAAGACCTAGTACTCTATAGGTTGAAAGACATGTTCATATATATATATATATATATATATTATATTAATAAGTAGGTCTAAAAAACAGCTTTGCTATTCAGAAAGGTCGCTGTGGTGAGTGGTGGGAGCACCAGTTTAGGTCAGGAAACTTCCTTGTTGTATGATATAGGCAACATTTCTGATCAGAGCAAATTTTCTTTTGTCATCATCCTCATTTCCTGGTACCTCTTTTTCCCCCCATCCCCCCACCACTGGCTCGTGCTTGTACAGGGTTCTCACTTCCCCAAACCCAAAGTGTTTCGTGCCTCCAACTTGCTTGTTTCCAGCCTCATATAATTTCTTCAATCCCAACCTTTTATTCTTTTACTGTTCTACCTTAGTTTAGTTTAGCCAGATGATAAGAAAAAACTTGTTTATTAAGAGAAGGACCTGTCCTTCTCTTAATACCTTTCACAGAGTGGATTCTCAAAACATATTTATTGAATCAATGGCTTGGCAATTTCTTACCAAAGTGGGAATGGTTACCAGCTCCTTAACCTTCACATTAGCTTGACTGAATTTTCAACTTATGGGATTGTAGCTGATAAGAAAATGAGTGAAAATGTTTAGGAAAGCATATACAAAAAGAGATTCTGAGGCAGATAAAGCAACTTTTTCTTGGAATTTGACCCTGGGACCTTAGGTTGATTCTCTAAACATAGTGTTTTTCTTTATTTTACTTTGGAAATTTATTTTCTAAATCAATAATACACCCCCTTCCCTTTTCAGAGAATGAGAATCTCCCTTTAACATTCAAACAATCTTTCATATCCAAGAGTATTAAAATTGATAAATATCAAACGATCAAGTCTTACTCTGAATTGAATGTTTTATAATAAAGTGTATTTCAGTAGCATGATACCCATATGTATTTGTTGTTATGGGTATATATTTGTATGAAACATATTATTAATATATGTTTATAGATAAAGCTTGGTGTGAAAATCAATCCATGAGTCCTTGTCAATTAATCCAAGGACTCCTGGATCACTGTTGTAAAAGCTGCACCTTTTGTCCCCAGTGGTATTAACAACACACAGTAGCAATTGTTTATAACACAGATTGAATGTTAACTGGGCACTGCCTAAAATTATCAGCGGGATGAATGCTGACTTTATGAACTGTTATTTATGGCTTGTCTTAGGTTGGGTTCCCTAGAAGCCTGAGACAGGGATTTGGGGAAAAGTTATTTATTGAGGGAGTGCTCTCAGAAGAAAGGGAGGGAAGGAGAGGAACAGGGCAGGAAATGAGAAGAAGCATAAAAAAGATGAGATTTTGGGTAAAGTGTAGCTTCAGCCTGATCCTGCAAGGAGCTCTGGCGTGTGAATGGCACCACCAGTTTGTTCTACCTGAGAATTGAGAGTCTGTCCTTCCTTCACAAGTCATTCGTTGACTATGGGATGGCTCAGGGGGATTGTAAACTCCTTGCAGGTGAGGTGGCTCCAGTTGCTCAATAGTAATCCTCCAGAGAATGTCGCAGGCATGAGTTCAGAGCACATGGACCACATAGCAGCTGAGGATGCACGGAACTGGTGAACAGATCTGGAAAGGGCACTAAGAGCATGTAATTGTTACATGGCTTTATTCATTCATTCGTCCACTTAATATATATTTGTTGAATCCCTAGTCTGTGCAAGTTCCTCAGATAGAGTGGTGAATAAGTTGAATAAGGCCTTATTTTCATAAAGCTTACAGTTTGTAGGAGAATACAGAAGTAAACCAGTAGATAACTATAGCAACAAGGTAACTTTAGAGATTGATGATTTTCTTAGAGAAAAGATAAGCAGTTCAATAGGTTGTGGAATGACTGGGGCAAAGGGCAGGCCCAATGAAAGCACTTTTGGTTAAATGGTCAGGGATGGGGACTTGAGCAGAGATAAGGAGCAAGCCGTGCAAGGATGGGAGTGTGCAACATTTTGGCAGAGGGAATGGCCATCGTCAGAGCCCTAAGATGGGCCAAAGCTCAATGCCTCTGAAGAACAGAATGAGGTCTGGTAAGCCTGTGGTGCACTTGGGAGAGTTGTAAGAAAAGGGTGGAAAAGTGGGCATAATGCACAAAGGAGTCCAACATTGTAAGAAGTTGGGCCATCTTGTATTCCAGTTGTAGAAATGAGTTCTTGGATCTGCATTAAGATGGGAAAGATAGCAATTTGTCAGACCGTGACTTAGGTTTGCCTTAACATTGTCTATTAAAAACAGGGGTTTACTAAGCAGATTAATAAAATAAACAAGGAAAAATTTAGGATTAAAGGACATCTCACTGTTTTCAAACTCCAGAAGCATAGCAGGCATTGATTTCAGACATTTTATATGGTAATTATGAGAAAAATTTCTCTTTGTTAAAACCTTCCCAAGATTTTAAAAGATATATAGCTGGACTCAACCTTCCTTTGTCCTTGGCAATGTGACAAAGCAGCATTTTTAGAAAAGAATGTAAATTGGACTTGACCTTGGTTATACACAGGGAGAGTTATCAAGGTCATTTTATTGGGATTTTGTTTGTATTGTAATTGCTATTAAAATGAATCAAGAAGTAAGTATAGAACATCTCTTTTTCGTTCAACATTCTGCTCTGGGTACTGAGACTGCAAGTCTTAAATGCAGATCTATTTCTCCATTCTCAAGTAATGATGTGTTTTCCTTAATCTTCTCCAAGTCCACTGGAGAAGGTACTATGATTGCAAATGCTACTAGATCAACATCACGGAAAATGTTTCCTAGACTTTATTCCTGAAGAGGATAATACTTGCAGACTATCAGCCTCCATCAAAGCTGGTGAATGAAACCCACTGAACCTGTATAAAAGAGGCCCAGGAAAACTGTGTTTTTGGTCTGATCTATCAGATCATCATTGAAGATCAAGATCAGAGAACAGCTCTCTAAACCGAAGCAAACTTAACATCTCAAACCAGAATGAACTGGAAATATAAGCAGCATTTTTATTCTTTCTAAAAATGGATTTTTCAAATAGTTTTGATTTATCAAAGATTCACAATCATTTTGTCATATTCTTTCCCACATCAACCCCTGCCTTTACGCCCTTCTGTGAAACCCACGTTTAATTTAGGGGGAACTTAAATCCATATATTTCTGATTCATTTGCTCGATGTTCTTTGGGAAGGCCTAGTTGATGTACGAAGAGTCTTATGATAACTTTTATAAGCCTTTAAGAATTTTTCTTGGAGACAGAAAATCATCTTTTCAGGCTTAAGGTGATCCTCAAAATCAGAAAAAAACTCTGGCTTATTGGAAATGGTGCTTTGAGGGAGTCTTAAACTCAGGCATTTGTGTATGTGTGTCCCACCCCAGTTGTGAGCTGTGCAGCAGGTAGCAGATAAATAGCCCCTGAGAGGTGGGAGAAGCACAGGAAAAGGGACACAAAAAGAACCCGAATAGTGTAAGGATTCTTGGACCTGCCATGTTTTTCCATTTCTGAAGAGCAACCAGGGAAGTTCCACAACCTATAAAGTCAGATTCAATCTATGAAGCATATCTAAAGCCAAATGATTGTCAATCAACTTTGTATAGCATCTCTGAGCAAGTCAGAGAATGCTAGGACAGCTTTCAGATTTGTAAATAGCATAAGGCTTCATTTGTAAGTGCACTTCACTGTTGCTCAGCACTGTTCAGTGACCAGTCTTCATTTTTTTTTTTTATTACACTTTAAGGGCTGGGTTACATGTGCAGAACATGCAGTTTTGTTGCATAGGTATACACGTGCCATGGTAGTTTGCTGCACCCATCAACCCATCACCTATATTAGGTATTTCTCCTAATGTTATCCCTCTCCTTGACCCGCACCCTTACAGGCCCTGGGTGTGATGTTCCCTTCCTTGTGTCCATGTGTTCTCATTGTTCAACACCCACTTATGAGTGAGAACATGGGGTGTTTAGTTTTCTGATCTTGTGATAGTTTGCTGAGAATGATGGTTTCCAGCTTCACCCATGTCCCTGTAAAGGACATGAACTCATTCTTTTTTATGGCTGCATAGTATTCCATGGTGTATATATGCCACATTTTCTTAATCCAGTCTATCACTGATGCACATTTGGGTTGGTTCCAAGTCTTTGCTATTGTGAATAGTGCTGCAATAAACATACGTGTGCATGTGTCTTTTTAGTAGAATGATTTATAATCCTTTGGATACATGCCTAATAATGGGATTGCTGGGTCAAATGGTATTTCTAGTTCTAGATCCTTGAGGAATCACCACACTGTCTTCCACAATGGTTGAGCTAATTTACAGTCCCACCAACAGTGTAAAAGCGTTCCTATTTTTCCACAAAGTCTCCAGCATTTGTTGTTTCCTGACTTTTTAATGATCACCATTCTAACTGGTGTGAGATGGTATCTCATTGTGGTTTTAATTTGCATTTCTCTAATGACCAGTATGATGACGATTTTATCATATGTCTGTTGGCTGCATAAATGTCTTCTTTTGAGAAGTGTCTGTTCATATCCTTTGCCCATTTTTTGATGAGGTCATTTGCTTTTTTCTTGTAAATTTGTTTAAATTCTTTGTAGATTCTGGATATTAGCCTTTTGCCAGATGGATAGCTTGCAAAAATTTTCTCCCATTCTATAGGTTGCCTGTTCACTCTGATGATAGTTTCTTTTGCTGTGCAGAAGCTCTTTAGTTTAATTAGATCCCATTTGTCAATTTTGGCTCCTGTTGCCATTGCTTTTGATGTTTTAGACATGAAGTCTTTGCCCATGCCTATGTCCTGAATGGTATTGCCCAGATTTACTTCTAGAATTTTTATGGTCCTAGGTCTTATGTTTAAGTCTTTAGTCCATCTTGAGTTGATTTTTGTATAAGGTGTAAGGAAGGGGTCCAGTTTCAGTTTTCTGCATATGGCTAGCCAGTTTTTCCAACACTATTTATTAAATAGGGAATCCTTTCCCCATTGCTTGTGTCTGTCAAAGATCAGATGGTGGTAGATGTGTGGTGTTATTTCTGAGGCCTCTATTCTGTTCCATTGGTCTATATATCTGTTTTGGTACCAGTACCATGCTGTTTTGGTTACTGAGGCCTTGTAGTATAGTTTGAAGTCAGGTAGTGTGATGCCTCCAGCTTTGTTCTTCTTGCCCATTATTGTCTTGGCTATGTGGCTCTTTTTTGGTTCCATATGAAGTTTAAAGTAGTTTTTTCCAATTCTGTGAAGAAAGTTAGTGGTAGCTTGATGCGGATAGCATTGAATGTATAAATTACTTTGGGCATTAAGGCCATTTTGACGATATTGGTTCTTCTTATCCATGAGCGTGGAATGTTTTTCCATTTGTTTATGTCCTGTCTTATTTCCTTGAGCAGTGGTTTGTAGTTCTCCTTGAAGAGGTCCTTCACATCCCTTGTAAGTTGTATTCCTAGGTATTTTATTCTCTTCATAGCAATTGTGAATAAGAGTTCACTCATGATTTGGCTCTCTGCTTGTCTGTTTTTGGTGTAAATTCTCTTTTACACTTTCAGAGTCTGCTTCAATGGCATAGGTGACATAGGCATTGGAGCCCTCATCAGCATCACTTGCAAGAACTTTAATGACTAAAGTCCCCGTAGCAGCACTGGGTCTGATATTCACTTCATATTTGGTCACTCGAAATTGTGGTGTATTATCATTGTCATCTGTAAGGATGACATTAACTGTGCGGAAAGCAACTTTCCCACCAGCATCCTTAGCCATTAAACCGACTGAGATCACTTTCTCCGCTGGGGTTTCTCGATCAAGTTTTTCCAGAGTAAGTATCTGTCCTCTCTCATTTATATAAAATCTGTCTTTGGCAAAGTCATTTACAATATGTTAAGTAACGTGACCATAAATACCAAAACCCCCATCCGTAGTTTTAACCCCTATCACCAGGGTATGTAGCGGAGCGTTTTCAGCTAGTTTCACTTCATATTCATTCTGAAGAAAAGCAGGACTGTGCAAATTTTCTGCAATTACAGTCACATGAACCTCTTTTTTTATTTTTTTTTTTGACGGAGTTTTGCTCTGTCGCCCAGGCTGGAGTGTCATGGCATGATCTCGGCTCACTGCAACCTCTGCCTCCTGGGTTCAAGCAATTCTCTTGCCTCAGCCTCCCAAATAGCTGAGATTACAGGTGCCCGCCACCACGCCTGGCTAAGTTTTGTATTTTTAGTAGAGATGGGATTTCATCATGTTGTCCAGGCTGGTCTCAAACTCCTGACCTCAGGCAATTTACCTGCCTCAGCCTCCCAAAGTGCTGGGATTACAGGCATGAGCCACTGCACCCGGCCTTCATTTTCTAAAGAGCACAATAAAGTGTAAAGATGAAAAATTGTTGATTACAGAGTTAAACAAGTTCTACTAAGAATATGAAGACTGTGGGCTCGTTAGGGACACATGAACAATCGCTGGACAGTGTGTGCAAAAGTATAAGAATAATTTTCTTTGTCCCATTTATTTCAGCTGTGCTATGACCTTTTTTAAGCAGGCTTTGAGGGCACCTGATGTCTCTGGGAAAAGAATGATATATAAACCACTCATTTAAGCCAAGTACTTGGCAATGCATGCACGCTCATCAGAAATGGGTCATTTTATTGCTAAGAGCTTGGACTCTTCCTGGCTCGAGTGTCATTTTTCTACTAAGGCCAGAAATGTGCTCCACTATCATCATCCCAAGTTTGGCCAATTTTTCCAAAGCCAGTGTTTATACAATCCTCCTAAAAAGTTTTCTAGCCTCACCAGGCTGCAGTGGGGTGACTTGGAAAGCAGGGATGTGATGAACCTTCATCTCAATGAATGCCACTACTATCTATGTAGGTTTTCAAAGAAAAAAAAATCCAGAACAACACTTGATTCTTTTCTTTTTATGCTTTCCAAATGCAACCTATCAGCAAGTTCAAGAAGTCTTCCTTCTCAACTGTGGTCATCAAATCAGCAATATTAGCATCACCTGAAAATTTGTTAGAAATTCAGAATCTCAGGCCCCGTCCCTGACTTGCAGAATTACAATCTGCTCTTCAGCAAGCTTCCCAGTGATTCTTGTGCACATTAAACTTGGAGAAGCCCCTCCATGAAATACCTCTTTATTCACTGCCATCTCTTGCCTGGTTTATTGCAATTCTTTCCTCCCTTCTGCTCTTGTCCTCCTTTAGCCTATTTTCAATTCAGTTACCAGAGTGGTCTTCAAAAAAAAAAAAAAAGAAAGAAAAAGAAAAATTACTGAAATCAATTTACACTGCTCTTTAAAACCCAAAGCTCTGCACTGCACATGAATATCTGAACTTGCCATCACTTAAGAGTCCCATATGAAGTGGCTCATCTTCCCAACCCCTCTCAACCATTCTTCCTGGTCTGTTCTTTAGCCAAGCTGGTCTTTATCTATTTCAGCCTGCACGAGCTTTCTCTTTGTTTGGTGTTCTTTGGCAGGACTTCTCATGGCTTTTGGTCATCAGATTTATTACAAATGTCACCTACCTAGAGAATTCTTCTTGGCTACCATCTTAGTTGGTTTGTGCTGTTATAACAAAATACCTGAAACCAGGTAATTTACAAAGAACCAAAATGTATTTCTGCACAATTCTGGAGGCTGGGAAGTCCAAGATCAAGGCACTGACATGTTTGGTGTCTGGTGAGGGCTGCTCTCTGCTTCCAAGACAGTACCTTGTTGCTGCATCCTCCAGAGTGGAGGAATGCTGTGTCCTCACATGGCGGAAGGGCAGAAAGGCAAATGGGAGGGGCCTAAGTGAGTTTCCACCAGCCATTTAGTATGGCATTAATTCATCCATGAAGGTAGAGCTCTCATTACTTAATCACTTCCCCAAAGGCTCCATCTTCTTTTTTTTTGAGATGGAATCTCACTCTGTTGCCCAGGCTGGAATGCAGTGGCCTGATCTCTGCTCACTACAACATTCACCTCCTGGGTTCAAGTGATTCTTTTGCCTCAGCATCCAAGTAGCTGGGATTACAGGCATGAGCCACCATGCCCAGCTAATTTTTGTATTTTTAGTAGAGATGGTGTTTCACCATGTTTTCCAGGCTGGTCTCGAACTCCTGACCTCAGGTCATCTGTCTGCCTCAGCCTCCCAAAGTGCTGGGATTACAGGCGTGAGCCACCATGCCCAACTGGCTCCATCTCTTATTACCACTACAGTGGGGATTAAGTTTCAACACATGAGCTTGGAAGGACATATAGACCACAGCAGCTACCAAATTTAAATATACCTCCAATTAAACCATACATACCATATCATTCTCTTTTACTTTTTATTGCTTTCTGAATTATCTATAACTATCTTGCTTATTTGTTAATGGATTAATGATTGTTATCCAGAATGGATACTCTCAGAAACTTTTCCCATTTTATTTCCAGCTATATTATCAACACCTAAAATGGTACCTGGAATAGAAAAGGTACTTGGTATATATATTTGTTGAATAAATTAGTGAATAAATTCATATCTATATGATCTGAACAAAAACCAGTGTCTTGCCATTTATGTTCCTTCCTCTTTCTTTTCCTTTTTTTTTTTTTTTTTTTTTTGGCAAATATTTGTTAGGCACTTAACCTATGCCAGGTATAAGGATAACCAGGGGAGGGGAAATAGATCTTGACACTGTCCATGTGGAGTATACCAGGATGTAGCAGAGAATAATAACTAAAATCACAGCAATGCTGTCTCATAGAGTATATAAACGTTTTCCTAAGTTAGTTCAGGGGACCACCATGAGCTGTGGGGCTACAGGATGAATACATGCTAAACAGCAGAGGAAAGGGAAGAGAGTAGATGGGGAGAGCATTTCATTTTGTGCAGAAATAATAATGAATCCAAAGGCAACATGGCATATTGAAGAGACAGAAAGAGGGACCCAGAGAATAACTGGAGAACCGTATGTAGTGGGGCTGGCAGGCAGGTAGCCAGAGCAGTAGAACCTTCTGTGTAGGGCAACTATAAGTCCTGCTTTGCCTGGGGGATTTCTGGTCTACCTGTGTGATCTGCTGTAATTATTAGTAGCACCCTCTTTTATTGTCAGAAAGTGTTCTGATTTGGATTAGGAACTATGTGGTCACTCTTATGGGCCATATCATAGGCATTTATATTCAAAGACTCACCATAAAGTCTTGTGGTTAAGAATGATGACTCTGGACCCAGATTTTCTGGAGTCAAGTAAGTGGTTTACTATTATTTGCATTATGCATCCTTAGGCAAATTGCTAAACTTCTCAGCCTTGGCTTCTTCATTGTAAAATGGGGATTCAATAATTATAGTATTTAACTCATGTAATTTTAATAAAGATTAAATGAGTTAACACATGTTAATCTTGTAGCATAGTGTCTGGTATACATAGTAGGTAGGTACTCACCAAGTGTTAGCTATATTATTGTTATTATTAATATTTTAAAAATTGGCTTATTAATTTTTAGAGACGGGGGTCTCTCTATGTTGCCCAGGCTGGAGTACAGTGGCTATTCATAGGTGTGATTATAAAGCACTGCATCCTTAAATTCCTGGACTCAGGTGATCCTCCTATTTCAGCCTCCCCAGTAGCTGATACCATGATGCTCAGCTTTAAATTTTAGTGTATGAATAATAATGGGAGGCTGTGAAAGATATTAGAAGGTGTTGACATCATCAGAATTGTGTTTTTCAAAGGTCATTTAGACTTTCATGTGAAATAATATTTCAGGGAAAGCAAGGAGAAAATGCCTATAGAGTTCTCCATAAAATGACTAGTACATAATAAGTCTTCAATAAATAGACAAAATAAGTGATCATCATGATCTTAATTATCAGCATCTTGTAGTACAAATAGAAGTGTTCAGAAGTAATATAGTTCGTAAATATTTTCTATTACTTTCCATTTGGTAGTATTTGGGGACAAAGCAGCTATTTGGAATTTGAGAGTCAACTCAGAGACTATTGTCTTAGAATCAGTAGAAGTTCAAAGATCAGAGTTGGAGGGACCACCCAATTGACTCTTGTAAGTCAAGCTTTTTGCTCTCCCAAAAGGAATCCATAGGATTACAGACCCTCACTTGGAGTCTTTGGATTGCACAAAGTGTTTCTATATGAATGTTCGATTTGGTATGCAATAATTTCCAGGGCAAAATTACTCAGCAACAGCAAGAAGGGTTGGAAGGCTTCAGCAAATTCCTCCCGGTGGGCCTTGACTTGAACTTTTCGGGTCTGGACTATTTCTTCCACAGCTCCCTGACACTCCTGTTACCCCAAGGGTGAGAGGAAGCGATGTGAGTGAAAAGGGGCCCCTTTCTCCTGAGGTTAGTGCGGGAGACACCTCATAGTCACTTGTCACTTTGCAATTCCCCTCTCCCAGGAGTGTGGAGAAGGATTACAGAAACCTGGCAGATAATTAACATTGCCAGTGTGAATGGAAGGGATTTGTCACACAATGACTTGAGCACCATAACTTTCTCACTAAACCTGGGGAAAAGGTAAGGATTTATGGGAAAATCCCATTTAAGAATAGTTAAGGAACAGGGGGCATTATGGTAAATTGTTAACTATTCAGTTAACCAGGACTCATCCTGTTACCGTATCTGGTTTTCCCAGGCTAAAGGCTTAGAATATACTGAGGTGATTTTAGAAAACTAAGTTTTCTGACCTTTCCCAAGGCCTTTATAAACCTATGGGAATCATTTTAATGATTAGAGTCCATGGGGGGAAATTTAGCTTTTTGAATTCTTGGTGGATTGGCTTTTGGATAAAAGAGGATCCAACATATTGCATTAGATATCAGTGGTGAAAATCACATGGAATATTAGCAGGCAGGACCTGAGAAAAGAACATAACCACGTGTAGATGGGAGGCAATCTTTTAATTTCCAATGCATGACTAAAATATCCTACCTTTTTGCCATTTCCAGAGCACTGAAAACTCAAAGTTCTCTTATTTTTTCAGGTTTCTAAGGATTGAAAAAGAGATTTATTCAAAGCCATGCTGATTGTCATGAAGGTACCTTAAGGTGGTGTGTTATAAGACTGGTTTATGTAGAAGGACAGGAAATGAGAAAAGTGGTACTTGGAACTGACACTCCAAGTAGGGGAGGCAGGGACGGATGCACCGTCTAACATCCAACAACATATACAAATGCTAGTGAAGATAATGTCAATATTAAGTCCTACTATGTGTCACCATCTCATCGAGTTCTTCATAACAACATTATAGGAAAGTCATGTCATTCTTAATTTCATAGACAAAACCCTAAAGATGAGAGAATTTAAGTACCAGGCCAGACTGTGAAGGAACTTGAGTCCAAGCTAAGCACTTTATGACTCTCCTTTATGTTGGCCAATTTTGTTAACGTCAGTGGAATGCAATGTATTCTGAGCTTTTGGGAGAGTGATATCAAGCTTTAGGTGCTGGCCTCATAGGCTTTTTTTGTGGTAGAAATAAAAATTAATATAAAAGCATTTTGTAGGGAGGTATAATCTAATTTATAAATAGATAAAACCAGTATTTAAAGAATGTGATGTGTGAGGGAAAAGAGAAACCCCTACCTCAAAATATCTCTCTCATTGCTCAGCATAAGTATGTGAAGTTCCTTATTTGAAGATGCATTTCTTGGAGCCCAAGAGTATTTTAGAATTTTCTGTAATCTTGTTTCTTTTCTTCTCTCCTTCCCTCTGTCTTTTTGTTTCTTCATTTCTCAAACACTTATTGAGCGTCTGCTGAGTACGTGATATATTGCTTCAGGTAGAGGATACGAAAAGGAAAAGCATGTCCTTCCTAGAAGACACGTAGAGTCTGATGAGGAGACAATAGGGTCAGACAGTCATTGTGATAAAACCCAACGAGGGGAGGGAGCATGGAGCAAAAGAGCCTTGAAGGAGGCTGAGACCTTCAGAAAAGTTTGTGTAGAGGAGGTAGTAATCTAGCAGAGGTCTGAAGGATGGGTAAATAGGGGATGGACATTCTGGACAATGGGGAAACCTATCTCAAAGGCCTTGTGGCGTGAAATGATACTGTGTGAGACTGAAGAATGCTGAGCTTTTCAGTATTTTTAGGACATGAATTGGAATGGGAAGAATTGATAGGTGCAGGATTTTTGTGGGTCAATAGAGGGCCATATTATTTTAACAAAGGAGTTTAGGTTTTATCCTGCAGCTGATGAGTAACTCTAGTGATCTATATTATTTTAGCTGAAAGTAATTGCAAAGTCATTTATTGGCACCTAGGAAGTCCAGGGTTGTGTCTGACTTAAATGATAGCTATATCGAGTTGCTTCTAAACTTAACAGTGATTCTTCTGGATCAGCTTCATTCTTAGGCAAATATCACAACTAAAATTCTAGGCTTATATCTGGCAATCTCTACAAAAAAAAAAAAGTAACATTTTTTGTAACATCTCTGCATAAAAATCCCAGGGAGAATTCTCATTGACTCCGCTTGGATCATGTTCCTTCATCTGAACCAATCACTGAAGCCAAAGGAATGTCAACTTTGATTGACAGGTCATACGGTCATCCCTGGAACTGGTGAAGTGAGCTCCACTTAAATTCCATGGGCATTTCCCCAAGGAGATACTGGATAGCTGTGTTGGAAGCTTAGTCAATTACTCCCAGGTCCTGACACCCTCCCTGCAGTAGAAATTACAAGAGAATAAATATTCTTTTTGTAATAATTTTGATATGGAAATTGGGCACTGAACTGTGAAACTTTGAGGAGATCATAAATATG
Organism: Homo sapiens; assembly: GCF_000001405.40. Taxonomy (NCBI): domain Eukaryota; kingdom Metazoa; phylum Chordata; class Mammalia; order Primates; family Hominidae; genus Homo; species Homo sapiens. The sequence continues at coordinate 10,895,795 of NC_000020.11, forward strand.
TCTACGAGAAGAAACTTAGGAAAATTTTGATGAAAGATGTGACATGATTGATTTGGTACTGCAAAGCTTGTTATGTCTTTAAAAATACATCATTTTGCCCTGATACAAAGAACAAGTTTTTGCCAATACAAAAAAATTCAACAAACCATGACTTCTCAAATATTGAGCAAAATTGATTGTCTTGGAAGATGTTCCATGTTTCTACAATGGGTACACCTACCTATTATAGCAGATGGCATAGGTGCTCTACCCAGATCCCCTCCACTGGGCTGGTGCACTCATCCCTTGGCTAGTGCAAGTGCTGTCTACTGAAGGCTATCAGCAGCTCCCTCCTCCAAGAAGGTTGACCAGCTGCATGGTACCATTCACTCTCTGGAGCTCCCTGTGGATGAGGCCGAGGCTAGACTTCTGAAAGCATGCCTTTGCCTGATCTTTTCTCCTGCTCCAGCTTGCTCCCCTTGCTTCATTGCAAGTTACTTCCTTGAGCTCTTCCTCCGTGTATCTTTTGCACAAGAATCCCCATCTGAGGTTGTGCTTCCAGGGAACCGACCCAATACACCCACCTATACATTTCTGTGTAGCTCAAGGGCAATGAGCCATTCTTGCCTAAAATATTTAAAGGAGAACAGTGAGTGCCAATTCTTTTCTAGGAATGGAAGCTGAAAGAAAGAATAGAAGGAAGAAGATGTCCTCTATACTACCTCATTCCTCTGCTGTAGGCCAGGCCTGCCTGTTTTCTCTGAAGTTCTAAGTGCCTGTGTGAAATTCTGTTGCTTGTTCTTTGCTGAACAAATATCTATTGCAATGCCACATTTTGGAATTTTCTTGGGAAAGCCAAGGCCTTTGATTTGTAGCTTTTATAATCCATGTTACCCCACCCTCCTGGAGCCTTGGGATATAGACAAGGAGGAGAACATAGCACTACTCTAACCTCACAGTATTCTCCTTAAACTAAAAAACAAAAAACAAAAATAAACCCCCAAACTCCGAAGAAACAGACAGTCTTAATACGATGCATGTGGTTATATTTTAGCTCAAATTGAAATCAGCTATGCAGATCCCAAAGATATTCAGATTCTACTTCTTTTTGTTTCTAAATGTGTTTCTATTATATTACAGAGATAATTGAATGGAATAATTTGCCTGGTTCTACAAGCAATTTGGATTCTTGTAATAGTTGCCTTTTGATTTTCCATAAATGACATATTTTAAATCACAGAATAGCTGCATGGGTTATTACAGAAAGTAGCAAATGGTAAACAGTAAGACTTGCTGTTTTCCTAAAAGCTCATGAGTTAGGAACATGCTTACTTTCAGTCACTTCATTTGCTTGGAGTCCTCTGATTTAGCTTCAGAGTTCTACTTCCATTTCCCTAAATGAAGAAACTTCGTTTAGAGAAAATTCATTGAGGACAGGGTGTTGGTTCTACATCTAACCCATGTTTGGGAGTCTCAGTAAAGTTTCATGGGGCAGTGTCCAGTTTCCCTATCAACATAATGACTGAAAAGAATATTTATTCTGTTTTAATTTCCACTGTAGGGAGGGTGTCAGGAGCAAGGAGTTATTGGCTAAGCTTCTAACACAGCTAGGTCTACGATGGGCATGATTGTAAGTTCAAAGAACCTGAAAAGACCTGCATCTTAACCAGGTACCAGGCTGATTGTTAAGAAGGGTGTGGAGCATGGGAGAAATTCCTTGGGTCTTACATAACAATGAGATCTATATATCAGCAAGTCTGCTAATAAAGGCTTCACTTTATTTCTGGGCTCCACCTAACTTTGTCCATCTGCCATTTGTGGTTACACCCTCAAGCAATTTTCCTAATGCCCCACTCCCTGTGGTACCACATTTTTTTCTTTTGACAATAATTTTTTCTTATTGACACTTTATTTTTCTCTACCCAACCCAAGGCTAGAATTTTATGGTAATTCCCATCTGAGGCCGCCATATTCTGACATGGCCTTAGCACTCTTTCTCTTAGATAATGTCTTTCTATTGCCTAACATTTCCCCCTTCTTCATTCCATAATATTTATCTTGCCAGGTGAGCTTTTAGGGAGCACAAAAGAGAACTGAACCAAATGTTTGGTTATTTCCCTTTGACAGGTAGCCTGAAGGCTACTAGATACTTTTCCAGAACGATGTTCTTAAGAGTTTGATTCTGCAATGTTTGCTTGATTTGGCATGGGTGTTCCAGTTGTCCTTCTTAGATAAATGGGAGGAAATACAATAATGTCAGAGAATGTCAGGCAAATGATGTGATTTTATTACAATAGCCTAAGAATGATTTTAAAGCTTTTGGAAGACAAATTACAGAGAGAAAAACTTTGCAATAAAAAATGCAGCTTAGCAAAGTAGAATCATCCTCCAAATATTGTCATGACAAGTCTAAAATTAAAAATAGCAGAAAATAAAGTAATCGCATAGTAGAAAATATAGTAATCGCATCTGACAACAAAATAATTTAACAAAACTTACCTGGACATGACATAAGAAGAGAGAAGTCAGGTATAGTTTAGGTAAAGATAAAAATGGTCATAGAATTGGACACATGTATACAGATAAATTTGTGTATTTAATAGATCTGATCATATTTGATAGATTATGTACATATCAGAAGTTGAAACTTTTCATCAGTCTCCTTCACACAGCTTTGCACACTTTGCTTTCATTCTGTTGTGTTGCCCTGGGAATTCATCGTAACTTGAAAAAAGTGGTGTCTTTATTCTTGTTTTTCCATGGCAATGCCAGCCAAAGAAGCATTTTCAGTTCCCTGCTCCATACTCATTCATGCAATGAGTTATTTTCACATTTTAGAGGTGCCTGATTTCTTAGGATTTCTTCATACCTTAAGGTTCTGTTTGTCATTGAAATGGGACAGGCTGTGCTGACACTGAAAAGCTGGTGAGTTCATCCTAAGATAATGAAGTCATCGTTGACCCCTCTCATGGACATCTTTGTGAGCTCATACTGAGTTCTAAGTCCAACTTAAACAAATTGTGACATATCATCTAGGAATATGATTGTGGAATTACATGACCACAGATACTCCCAAGGTACTGAACACATTATTGAGTGGTGTTAGAGGACTGAGCCAAGGAAACATTCTGGAAACTTAAGTAGAGAGAGGCTGAGAGAGAGAGAGATGGAGAGAGAGATGTGGTTCAGATATCCCTAGAAAATGGAGGAGACTCTGAGCAGTAGAAAAAGCTGCCGAAATGCATTGCCATGGACCTGACCTTTGATGGTAACTTATTTAGCAAAAGCAGAATTGTTTTTTTGTTTCCATATTTCATTTCCCTCCCCTTGAAGATAGAAACATGCCCATTTGGCTGGAAAGATGTCCATATTACATCCTAAATCATTTCCTTTGTAAGGAATATTTTTGCAAAAAATCCTTATAGTAATTCCCGGGTATAGAACAATAAATGTTTTACTATAATTGCCTTCAGAGTTTCATAGTGTTTTCTTCCTCTCTCTCACCTTCAAAATTAAATTCGTAATGCCCTCTTCATGTGCTTCACATATATTTCTGTAAAATCATTAAATTCAAGGGCCTGAAAATAAACAATCTTTAACTGGCATCTTAAGATGCTCAATACAAAATGTAAATACAGCCATTTGAATTTTTTCAAACGTCTTTTTGGGAAGGAAAAACTAACATATTTGATATCAAGTTTACAAGAACTACTATTTCTCTTTTTTCTTTCTTCCTTTCTTTCTTTCTTTCTTTCTTTCTTTCTTTCTTTCTTTCTTTCTTTCTTTCTTTCTTTCTTTCTTTTCTTTCTTTCTTTTTCTTTCTTTCTTTTTTGAGACGGAGTTTCACACTTGTTGCCCAGGCTGGAGTGCAGTGGCGATCTCGGCTCACTGCAACCTCCGCCTCTTGGGTTCAAGGGATTCTCCTGCCTCAGCCTCCTGAATAGTTGGGATTACAGGCGCTCACCACCACACCTGGCTAATTTTTGTATTTTTAGTAGAGACAGGGTTTGAGCATGTTGGGCAGGCTGGACTCAAACACCTGACCTTAGGTGATCTGCCAGCCTCGGCCTCCCAAAGTGCTGGGATTACAGCGCCCAGCCTATTTCTGACTTAAAATATTATTTTTGCTTTTTTCCTTGGTAGAATAGTCTGACCAGTTTATGCCTATTATAATTTTTGAAGAATATTTAAGGAATAAGGCACTAAAGTGAATAATATGAGGTTGATGATGATTAAGCTTAGAGAAGATGTCTGCTCCTGCTGCTAAGATGCTTGCTGTATCTGAAGATCTGGAAGTAATAATGGCTTTGTCATATTAAATTAGATATCCCTGTTCTTAGGGACAAAGTGCACACAATAGAAACCTGATATAGCCTTACTTGCCCTTGCCCTTGTACCTGTCCTTTGTCTGTTACCTTGTCCTCAATGCTGGAAATCTAAAGAGGAGAGTACACTTTAGTGGAAAGACTATTTGAAGATATCATTTGGGTTTATGATGAGTTTATTGGATAAGTTAGGGTCACATAGTAAAAATCTTACTTTCACCCAGAAGCTGGCATTTATGGAGCAAGTTGCTAAAAAGTTCTTTAATTGGCTGAGGAATTAATGTATTTGCTACTAAGATCTATGGGAAATATTTTTCCAAGTGTACATAGAATGATGTAAACTTTAAATATTTGCATTGATTATTTCTATTGCAGACGAAAAAATAGCAGCAACAGCAGCAGTGACAGGAGCAACAGTAGGACGGTGACCATAAAATTCATTTGCACAAACTGGGATATTTTTGAAAATGAAAGCAGGTGCTACATGACGAAGGGCAGGGCAGCCAGTTTAAACCAGAACATTTGATAACCATAAGAGTAGTAATAGTAGAAGTGTAGTGATAATGCATAATTCCATAATCCAATTGGTCCAGTCCAATAAGGATATAGTCACACACACACACACATGCACACGCACACACACACGCATATGCATACGTGTGCACACACACACATACACACTCCAGTGTCTAAAAGATATGCCGTTATTTACAACAGCCAAGACATGGAATCCACCTAAGTGTCCATCAACAGATGAATGGATAAAGAAAATATGATATTTAAAATAATATTCCATTGTGTGTATATATAGTGCTCAGTCTTTTAAAAAGGAGATTTGTCATTTGTCACAACATGGATGAACCTGGAGGACATTATGCTAAGGTAAATAAATCAGGCACAGAAAGACAAATGCTTTATAATCTCACTTATATAATCGTCCCTCGGTATCCATGGAAGATTGGTTCCAGAATTTCCTGCAGATACCAAAATCCATGGATGCTCAAGTCCCTTATATAAAGATGGTGTAGTATTTGCATATAACCTATACATCCTCTTGTATAACTTAAGTAATCCCTAGATTTATTATAATACTTAATAGAATGTAAATGTTACATAAGTAGTTGTTTTACTGTATTGTTCAGGGAATAATACAAGATAAAAAAGTCTGAACATAGTCAGTACAGATACAACCATCTTTTTTTCCAAATATTTTCAATCTGTGGTTGGTTGAATCCATGGATGGGGAACTCAGGGGTACAGAGGACTGACTGTATATGTAATAGAAAACAGTTGAAGTCATAGAAGCAGAGAGTCGAATGGTGGTTTCCAGTGGGGATAAGATGGAGGGGAATCGAGAGTTGTTGATTGAAAGGTACAAAATTTGAATTGTGCAGAATGAATGAGTTTTGGGGCTCTAATGTACAGCATGGTGACTATGGTAAACAATGGAACATTGTGTACTTGAAATTTACTAAGAGAGTAGATCTTGACTGTTCCCACCACACACACAAACAAAGGTAACTATGTGAAGTGATGGATGTGTTAATTAGCTTGCTTGTGGTAATCATTTCACAATGCATACATATATCAAAACATCATGTCATACATTGTACATATATATAATTTTTATTTGTCAACTGAACCTCAATAAAGCTGAAAAAAACAAAAAATTGGAAATAATACAGTTCTTTACTTACATTTCTTGAATTCCATGAAGAATAAAAAAAAATACTATGAGAACATAACTACAAATCTCCTTTTTCCTTTCAACCAACTTCAACAAATTTCCTCACATACCAGACCAGATCCTTTCTCCTCAGGACCTCTTAAAGTTCCTAAATCTGCCTTGGCCTGTACGCTTCTTTTTGGTTTTTTTTCCTCTGCTTTGTTTATGTTTATTCTGCAATACATAAGCCCCAAAGATCTAGTCTGGTTAGTCCAGACCCTTCTGGGGAAACCAGAGGAGAAGAAGAAACTAAGCTGGCAAAGTGTAATCCTCTTAGCTGGCAGGTAGTGGGCAAATCTGCTACTAGTCATCTATTAATAGCCTTGGTCCCATGCCAGTAGCTTATATCAATAGAGAATCTTCTATATGCCTGGTGCTGTGATAAAATTAAAATCCTCCCCTAAATCAATTACCATTGAAATGGATGCTCTTGATAGCTCCGTTTTGCAGGGGAGAAGGCTGAGGCTTGCTTGCTAAGGTAGGAGAGTTGCTCCAGGGATGGAGCCAGGACATAAACTTGGCAGTCTGTTAAGGAGCTGATGCTCTTAGATAGCATGTTCACAGCAAAACTTTGACCTGTTGTTAGTGGGATTGCTTAATGATAATAAAAACCCTTACTCTAAATGCTCTATAATAAAACATGCCCAGCTTTAAGTACATGGTAATCCTAGCAAATGTTCTTTCTGACTTTGAAAATCATTCTGGTGTGAATGGGGTATCTAGAAGAGATCTTTCTGATAAAAGAGTTTAATATGAAAATAAATGCATATGAATTCAGGTTCTTTGGAATACTTACACAAAAGTGAACAGAACACACAGTGAGAATGGGCTATTTTTCCTTCAGTTGGAAGGGGCTGTCATTGGCTGAGTTTAGCTGCTTTTGCCAGAAAGACATCAACCATTTTTAATGTTCTGACTATTTTTTATGACTGCCTGAAGGATATCAGATGAGCTATCTGTTGTAAATCAATAATAATTTGCTCTAGAGTAATGAGGAACTAAAACTGTTTCTAATAAATCTCCAAATACTTAGCATACTTTAAAAACCAATTGTTTCATGAGAATTAGATTTCTTCTCTGTCCTTAAGAAAGAGCTGAGGGTGGAGGGAGGCAGAAACACTAGCCAAACATTTTGGAACAGAGAAATGTGAAAACAGTGAATGAAGGCATATGAATTCCAAGGCTTTGTTTTGTAATCTCAGCTGTTCAGAGGCACGCTCTGTGGTGCAAATTGGTACAACTTACAGCAAGTCAGATGCCACTGTGCAGTTTCTTTAGAAAAGCTCATTGGCTACAAACTGATCATAGCCTTCAGTATCAACTAAGTAACTAGAATATATTGAAAATAGCTGAATTCTAGTTAAATCATAGCCTCTGCCTCCTGGCAGTGCTCTGTAATGACTGGGTAACTGGAGCATGTCTTGGAATGTGGAGGGATGGGTCCCACTGTCTGTCTAGTCTTTTTTTTTGGTATTTAGAATGCATCATGGGAAAAGAAAAATGTAAGCTCAATCCATCCATTAATTTGATACTGTTATAAGTATATTTTTCCTGGGGACTTTCTTATGAAATTGGAAGGGGAAAAGAAATCCACTGGGGAGGGGAGAAAGAGAGAAATATTTTTTTCCCTAACTGTGTCTGCATGATTCTGAGGATATGCCAAAATCTTAAGAGTAATCTAGTGGTTAATAAACTGCTGTAGTTGCTATTCATCAGACAAAGGAAAGCAAATGATTGCTTGTAGAATCCCTGCCCCCAAATCTCAGGCTTATTTTGTGGAAGGAATGAAAATAGTAAAGAATACTGTGGCGGGACAATGGTGTCCTCTGAGCCGGGTTTCCTGTCTCTAACAGAGCTTTCCCTTTAGCGAGTTTCAGTGAATGTAAGAATTTCAGTTTCTGGGTATTCTAATGCAAAAAGCTTAATTTCAATAATACAATTCTGTATAATAAAATCAGCTAAGAGTCTGTGGGAAAGATCTGACCCTATTTTTGCTCTTACTTCATCCTTGGGTTTATATTACTAGACCATATTTCTCTGATAGCTTGATGTGGTCATGTGCCTGAGGTCTGTGCAATGCAAGGTGTGCAAAAGTGATGGGTGGTACTTCCAGGACTGGCTTATAAAGCCCTCTCATGTGCCATCTCCTTTCCCATCTGACTGAATGATGAGGGTCCCTAAGACCTAAGAGAGGACAGACTCACAATCGGAAGGTGCCCAAGACCCTGGATGATCACATGGAAGCCTACCCCACCAGAAAAGTCCATTACTGGCCAGTGACAGGCATGGTAATTAAAGCATTATCATGTCAAGTCCCTGAGATTTAGGGATTGCTTTTCATAGCAGCTAGCCTTACTTTATTAATACTGGATTGGTTTATGTCATGACTAGGGTGATGGCCTTGTTTGATGATAATGATCCTGTTCTCTATGTGAGGTTGTCTAGATTCTGGTCCTGGCCTCTGCCTGTTAGTTTTTCAGCAGCAAAATGTAGAGTTTGCACCAAAGCCTTTAAGATTAGTTAGAGTTTAGAGGTTTTTTTGGTTGACAGAAACTCTGACAAACTTAAGCCAAAGGAATTTGTCATGAGGACACAGGTGGCTCATGGTATGAAAAATGCTGTTAGAGAACCAGGCTCAGAGAGGGCAAGAATTAGGGAAGATCCAGGAATCCAGGAAGCAAGAGGTACTTAAAAATCTTGTCGCGGGCTGCCTCTGAGATTTATCATAAGTATTTTCTATTCTTGCCTTTTGGTTAAATTTTGCTATGTAAAAAAACTTTGTGGCTTAATACCACTACCTTTTAATAGCTCATGGTTTTGTAGGTCGAAAATTTGGGCTGGACTTAGCTGAAGTTTTCTACAGATCTGGGCCAGATCAAGCCAGGTTCACTCATGCATCTGCCATCCCCTGCCAGGTCAGTGAAGGCTGGTCCATCTAAGACGGCCCAAATGGATGGTTTGTTTTTGCTCCATGTGGTCTCTCAACTTCCATCAGGTGAGCAAGGACTTGTTCACACAGCAAGTGAGCAGGGATCCAAGAGGGGTGTAGAAGTGTGCAAGGTCTCATGAGGCCCATGCTCAGAACCTTCACAATGTCACTTCTGCTATATTCTATTGGCGAAAGCAAGTTACAAGGCCAGCCCAGATTTAAAGAGTGGGAACCCCACCTCTTGATGAGAGGAGCTGCCAGATTCATGTTGCAAAGTGGAATAGATGTGGGGCAGTGGTGGAGAAGAATGGTGGCCATTTTTGCAATTCATTAAACCTTGCTTGGATCATAGGTTTACTCCTTGAGTAGGGGCGGGCTGGCCAATTTCATACTCCTCCTAAGAGTGAGCTGAATGTGGGAGAAGTTAGTTCCCATAAGGAAATTAGAATGAAGCGCGAGATGTTCTGAGTAAGGTAGGTAGATCTGATTTTGAAACCCACCATCATTATCTAGATGTGAGACCTGAGCAAAACACAGAAACTCTTAGGACTACTTTGTCATCTGCATGACGGGTTAAGTAATATTTACTGACAAAGTCGTGATAATTAGAGATTATAAAAGGAAGGGACATGTACCATGTTTATATATAAGTGGCATCCACTAACTTCTCAAGTTTTCACCTCGAATTGACACAAGGAAATGAAGGGAGATGTGTCTATTCTAAACAGTTTTTCCTTTTGGTTCTTTTGAAAATAAGGCATGATAACTTTGACACTAAGGCTCAACCTACTTTTGCTTTCACAGCATTTAGAAGTGTTATTCACTAAGATCTGTCTTTACCATTCTCAGGAATTGGGTTTGCTCCAGGGCTGTTTCAGTGGCCACATTGTATCCATAAGCTTTATCCTTCCTTATTGGTTATGTGGCAGGGCTGTCATTCTGATTGACTGGAGCCCATGCTGCAATGATTGTTAAATATTGTGAATATCCCCACGACTGTATCTAAGAAACACCCCACAACCTTAACAAATTTTGTTTTCTTCTTCTGGGAAGTACTGTGGCTTTGTGGAACCTGAGGTAGCATTTGTTTCTGAAAGTGTTTGACAAATGTGTGTTGAATGAACATTTGAGAGTGAATGAATAGGTAAATGAATGATTTGGTGTAATGTCTTAGTTTCCTGGTGACAGTTTAAAAAAAAAAAAAGAAATGTCTTGATTAAGTGCAGACAATAATCTATCTTGGAAAGCTGCTAGAAGAGATATTTCAGGGATAGAATTGCAGATGTAAACTATAACAAAACTGCCTGTTTGCTTTATTTCTCTTTCTTCAGCCTGTTTATCTTTTCAGTCTCAACTAGCTCTTGAAATAAATAATACTGGGGTTTGCCATCTGGGGTGGAAAGCTGAATTTTATTAATTTGTTCTAAAACTAGCTGTTTTGAGCTTTGGGGATTACATGCAGGGAGTGTATCTCCTTGTCTTTAAAATTAAGATTTGGTGTACAGGTCAATGGTAGCTTTGCCAGTGGAATCCCAAAGTGCATTAGGAATATAGGTGGGGATTAAAGCAGCATAACTGAGATCCTATGCTCAGGACCACCATGGCCCCCACCCACACCCCTGCCATCACACCCAGCACCCCCTTGCTTTTTGAGTGTTAAAAATGATTTTTTCGCCCTCTCTGCTGTATTTTTCCACACTAGAGGGCTCTGGGTAATTTTAGCCAGTTTGTCCAGTTTGTGCTGTGTCCTCCGCTATCCACTTGGAATCTAAAAGATCACAGGAAGAGGACAGAGAATGACTAGCAAAGCCCTCGTGAAGCAACTGAGTTTTCATCAGGACATAGCAGATGCTGTGTGCAAAAAAGATCCCATTTGGAATGCCTGGATGATAGATACACTTTTTGATTTTCATGCAGAAACCTCTAAGGCATTAATTGGGAAGGGGTACAAAGGTAGAGTGACCATATCAACTGTATGTACTAGTTTGTCTGGGACATTCAGCTCTACATCTTTTGTCCTGTTATCTATCCAGGTTAGCATTTGTCCAAGATATTTCCCCTTAAGTGAAAAATTATTATCAGTATTTGTGTTAAAATAACCTGGGATAGACTTGGAAGACCTCTGCATTGTGCTTTCACTTCTTCCATGACCTTGCCTAAAAGTGAGTGAGACGCACATGAAATAAACAGAGTTTTCATTTCAACAAGTGGTCAAATCTGAAAAGAAACAGAGATGATCCATTTTTCTCTTCCTAACTCTTTCCAGATGCATCAAAATCAACATATCCCTTTCAAGGGAAGCATGCATTGTGTAGTCAGGCAGAAGTAGCTACTGTTGGGTAACTTTTTCTGGATATAGTGGTGGGAGAAGAGCTCAAGGCTCTGTCCCTATTGGACATTCAGTTTCCAACCAGTTATGCCATGGTTCTCCTGAGGCTGACTGTATGATGCTCGCAAGGCATGCTTCAAAGAGATTAGTTAAGGTGGCTCCATTAATGGGTTGAATGGTTTTTTTTCTCACCTAGTTCATGGAATTTAAGTAAAGGTTTTAGAAGTTCACTCTGACAAAGAAAAACTATATTTTTGTAAATGAGCTTCTTGCTCAAAATCAGTTGGGAATATTTAAATCAAAGTATTCAATGGACTAAGTGTCAAGAAGTCAGCAGTTGAAACTCTTAGGGACCTGCAATTGTTGACAACAAAGCTTGCAGGCAGGAAGATATTCAAATTTATTTCTACACAATATACATATTAAACAGTGAAAGCTCAAATGGCGTGTACAATTTCCATTTGAAAGTCTATAATTATGCTATGGAAAAACTCACCTTGTGGTAAGAAACTATTGATAGACCTCCTGTTTTTAACAGAATAAAGTTGCATTGCATATACTGAAATAAAATAAAATTGAGAAGGTCTGTGATTCTGTTACATTTATGTTTAGCGAAACATTCAAAAGTATCATAAAGTTTTTTTTGATAAGTTTTGCTTGTAAAATATTTGCCTAATACAAGCACTCTGAGGACAGGCAAAAAGTCAGTACATATACAGTACATATTTTAGGGCTGAAACAACATTTTTATATTTTAGTAAAGAATAATAGCATTGCTATGGATTGAGTTGTGTGTTCCCCAGATTTATATTTTGAAGCTCTACCCCACAGTGTCACTGTATTTAGAGATAGAACTTTTCGGAGGTAATAAAAGTTAAATGAGGTCATAAGAGTGGAGCTCTGACCCAAAGGAAGGGAGCTTTCTCTTCCTCTCTCCCTTTGGACACAGCAAGAAGTGGCTGTCTATAAACCAGAAAGAGAGCCTTCATGAGAAACTGAATCCACTAGCACCTTGATCTTGGACTTCTCAGTCTCTAGAATTATAAGAAATAATACCCAATCTGTGGTGTTTTGTTATATAAGCTTGAACTGACTTGTACAATATTCATTTAGCAAAACTTACTGTGAGCTTGGTAGGTATCACAGCCAATGTCAAGGGATATTTTTTCTTTAAAACAATAGAGAAATTCACATACTTTAATCATGCGATTTTGAAAAGATCTCAGGTATTTTATAAAAATAAGAAAAATAATAAGATAATATTGAAGACATATTACCAGGTTGGTAGGTATCACAGCCAATGTCAAGGGATATTTTTTCTTTAAAACAATAGAGAAATTCACATACTTTAATCATGTGATTTTGAAAAGATCTCAGGCATTTTATAAAAATAAGAAAAATAATAATATTGAAGACATATTAAAATACCAGTAATATGGTATGAGTCCCATGTGGCTAAAAAAACCCCAATTAATATATATAAATATATACCAAGAAAAACTGTTTTGCTTACGTTATTTTTAATGTTCATATAATAAACATTGTATTTAAAATAATTTTAATATATATGGATATATTCTATGTTGATTAAAAAATATTATTTTTCAAAAATAGTTTTGACTAGAACTATTTTATAGTTCCACCAACAAATTAAAATCAATAATTAATTTTTAAAATTTCAAAATATCATTTAGATTTATTACCACTCTTAACCACTTTGTTTCTCTCTTAAAATTGTTCTAGGTTGGACCATATATTATGGGAGCACCTTTTGCAAGGATGAAATACTCCGTCTGGGTAAGGCATTTTCATTGAAGCTTGTAGCTGTTTGTTTAGTTATTTAAATCAGGTTGATGGATGTAAAGTGAGCTCCTTCTACTCACCTGAAGCAGAAACAGTGCTAGGTGATACTCAAATCTCTGGGCACCCAAGAAGACTCCAAATCTCAGCATCTCTTGAAATAGGTGGCAATGTGTAACAGCATTCTAGCCAATGTAACATATTTTACGTCCAGGACTGGCCCCTAAAACATTTTGCATGATCCTTCAACATTCTTTTTTCCTTTCCTACTAGATGGATGGGAATAATTCAGCTGGGGATTTGGAGGCCCTAAAGGGCAGTGTAGCCAATGGACAGGTGATCCCAGGTACCTGCATGAGTGGAGGCAGGCCCTTCCTGCAGACCTGCACTGAACTATAACGTGGGCAGTAAGTAACTATACTTTGTGTTAAGCCACTATGATGTGGGGCTGTTTGTTACAACTGCAAAGATTGCTGTCCTTGATTAATGCACCATGCAATGTTCTCCCAGGCTTAGTTTCTCTGCTTGATTGCTCTCTTCATGTTCAACTCTTATATGAGTTGGTGACACTTTGGTTGAAACATTTCCAAGGACTGAAGAATATGTTTATTATCAAACCAACTGATTATGAAAATAATCTGTATTTTTAAGGTATGTGAAGGAGTAGGTATACATTTGTGCTTTGGGCCAATTTTATATCTTTAAAATAAAAATACATTAAATAAGCAGGTAATATTAATAATTAATAATACCATATAATGATCTGTAAAGCATATATTGATATGTAAAACACTGTGCTAAGTACACATATATAAGCACAACTCTTATAGCAATGCTTTGAGGTAAATGCTTTATTAACTCCATTTTACAGATGAGGACACTGAGGCTTAAAGAGCTTAAATAACTTACTAAAAGTTACATATGTGGAAATAGTGGAATGGAGCTTGGAGTCAAAGCATACTAGGCTCTAAAACTTGGGCTCTCAATCACTTTATTAACCATAATAGAGACATTAATTCTCAGTCCTTAGACCTCTTAAGTCTCACCATGATTCATGATGATAATTATCAGTGATGATTGACATTTCTGTATACTCACTCACTACTGCTCTGTGCTCTGTGCTGTATGTGAGATAGCTTATTAAAAGTCTTCACAATCATCATATGAGACAGGCATATTACTGTCTGTTATATGTATACCTAGTGTATCTAGTAGTTACAGTAAGCACTCCATAAATATAAATCAATCTTCAGCTTACAGAAGAGAAAGCTGCAATTTAGAGACTAAATTACTGACTATAGCACCTGTGGGAATGTTCTTTTAAAAAAAGTGACTTGGGTGTCATGAGTCTTTCCATTTCAGTTTTTACAGATTGCATCCCTTCTCTTCTAAAGAAAAAAAATTAAAAAGGGGGAAAGTAGTGTGACTTCTCTAGGTTAAAGCGACCCCTAAGTTAAAGAGGAATGAAGAAATTTACATTTCATAAGCTGAGAGTTCCCATTGAGAGTTCCGTCTCTCCACTTCCCACCTCCAACACATATACACACACACCTTTGTATTACTTTAATACTTTTGTGAATCAACAGAGAACCCAATTTTGCTAAAATCAAGGTGGCACAATTTAGCTTCCTGAGACTGGTCGTAGTCAGCCTTCACATTAACTTTGAGCAGGGAGGGAAAAAGCAGCAGACACGAGGACTGAGAGGCTCTAGCTACATAGTCTGGCTCAGGCTTCTCTACCGTGAAAAATGATGGGAAAAAGAAAAAGAAAAAGAAGCAGAAAAACAAAACCCGAGACAGAAGGTAGGAGGAGACACTGGGGCAGCTCCAGCTTTCAGCAAGCCGGCTCTGTTCCACTTCCTTTTGATTGTCCAGGAAAGCTAAGAAAAGTAAAAACAAGGCTGTGACTCCGTGGAAGCAGCCCTGTGGAAACGTTATGTTAAACAATTGGCCTGTGGGTCAATTGTGAAGGGCGTTAATGTGCGAGACCCCGATAAAGAGATTTGCACGAATGGCCACAAAGCATTTCATATTTAAATATGGATCCAAGTTTCTTCTGCACAACAGTATAAATATAACTAAGGTGGGGTGGAGAAGGAGATTTGGAAATCAGCCGATTTGAAGGAAGCCAACACAAACACTCCAACAAATGCAGCATTTCGCACAGCCTTTGTGCTCATTGCTTGTTGTTGGCATGAACTCATAAAAACAGAAAAAGGCCATGAAGGGTAGTGGTTGAGATATTGCATGCCCTGGTGGTAATGAAATACACTGTTTATCTGAAAACAACCTTCATGTCAGTGTGCTTTGCATTTCCTGAAGGTGATAGTCTATTTTATTTTGTTTCTTGATGGTAGTAAAAGTCTAGAAAAACGTACAATTTTTCAGAAGGGCCTTAATTTATTTTCTGTGGTTATCTCATTGTGAGATAAGTAAGAAGAGCGTAAGTCCCCAATCTTGAAAACTTTTTTTAAACTAGTTGTTTAATATAAGAATATATTTTAGCCTCTTTAGCAAATTCATACTGCACGAAAGGATATTCTATAATAGACTAAGCAGGCCATATAAAATTAGTAAAGTTGGATGTGGTGCCTGAAAATATTTGGCAGAATTCCCTGGAAAGCCACATGTGAACATTTTTAATATATATTATGAGGCAGAAAAGAATAATTATCTTCAATTGAAGTTCCCAGTGAAAGAAATGTATTTGTACAGTCCTTTCAAAGAAAACCCTCAGTATTGACAAATTGTGTTTGGGATGGTGGCTTCTCTGCTGTGGCTTGTGGCTTGCTTCTCATAGAAAAAGCAGACATTACTCTGCTATTTCATGTGACTTCTACCTTGAGCAAGGTGTTTTTGCCAAGGGCTTTGGAACATTGGCTGAGAAATCTCCAGAACAAATACTTTTGAACCCTATGGGTGTGATACTGTGGAGAGGGCAGGGCATCAAAACTACCTTGAGTGACTATTTCTCAACTTTATTTCTAACCTGGGCTCTTGGTTTGGGATAAATTGCACATCTCCTTTCTTTACTTCCTTCTCTGGAGAGGGTCACTTTTCACTCAGGGCACCCATATGTGTCTAAAACATTGCATTTTTGAGGCCAGCCTGTGTTTTAGTGTGGGTTGCCACAAACACAGATCCTGATAATAATTTGGTGTAAGAAGATTATTTGGGAGTGGATCCCAGGAAGCATATTGAAGGAGTGGGAAAAGTGAGAGAGCAAATAGAGAAAGCCAATAAGGGGTTGCAAAGAAACGATTGACTCCTTAAGGCTCAGTCCTGGTGGACCCCTCTGGGCCACTGTGCAAAACACAACTGAAAATTATCCATTGTGGGATAGAGCAGCTCAGGCACTTAGCCACCAACTCTGGTCCCTTTTGTGTAGAGGGCTGCTCCTGAGTTGTTAACCTTCTAGCTGAGACTTTTCAGCCTGCCTTAGGTTGATAGAGCATCCTCCCATAACCTAAGACGAGCCTTGGACAGACTGAGACAGAGAGAAATGGTCAATCTGAACAGGAACTCCTTGCAGGCTCTCTTGGCCACGTGAATTTTGGTAGGAACCTGGGAGCATCAGATATAACCACCATCTCTGACCGTTAAGGCAGCCTCCTGGCCAAGGCCAAAGCCCTTATTTTTGATAAGCGCCCAATATTTTTTCACTTTTTTCCTTTCCTTCATGTAACTCTTCCCAGTGTTTTGGAATAACTAGGTAACTATAGCCTTTAATTTCCTTAATTTCTAAGAGAAGTAATAATTATAGAATTTATCATTTATTGAGTGCTCACCCTATGTCAAATGCATTGACTTATTTAATTCTTACAACAACCCTATGATATAGGCATTCTTATCCAGGTTTTGCCAACAAGAAAACAGGCTCAGAGAGGTTACATTTCCCAAAGGACAGGGTCAGGATTTGAACCCAGGTTCATCTCAATTCAAAGTCCAAGATTTAACTATGAAAACTCAACATTGCCACCACCAAATTGGGATAAGCTGTATTTCCAGCTATATACAGGATATTCTGGGTGGGTATAATGACTGATATGGTAGCCAGCCTCCAAGATGGTCTTTCCTGGTCCTAATCTCCTGATACTCTAACCATTGTACAATCCTCTCTTACAGTACAGGGCTGGCCTGAGTGATCAATAGAATACTGTAGACGCAACAACATGTGGCTTCTGAGGAAGCATTGTAGCCTCTTGGTTTGTTCATGCTGTGGAAGCCAGCTGCCATGTCAAGAGGATGCTCAAGCAGCCATGTGGAAAGGCCCGTATGGTAAGGATCTAAGGACTCCTGCCGGCCCCAGCACTAACCTGCCAACAATGCAGCAAGTTACCTGGAAGTAAATTCTCTAGCTCCCAGCCAAATCTTTAGATGACTGTATTTCCAGGTAACATCTACAAAACATTGCTGAGAGAAATTAAGAAAGATCTGAACAAATGGTAATATATACCACGTTTATGGTTTTGGAAGACTCAATAATGTAAAATATCTATTAAATATCCCCCAAATTGTTCTAATTTAATCAGAATACCAGCAGGCTCTTCACTAGAAATTTAAAAACTAAGATTTGGATGGAAAAGCAAAAGACCTAGAATAGCCAAAAGAATCTTGACAAGGAACAAAATTGCAGGACTTTCCCTATTGATTTGAAAATTTATTCTGAAGTTACAATAAGTGACATTGTAGTATTGTTGTAAAGGCAGGCATGCCAATCAATTGAATGGAATAGAGAGTCTAGAAATGGGCCCATGTGTATACAGTCAATTGATTTTTGACAAAGTGACTACATAATTTAGGGGAAAAAGAATAGATTTTACAACAAATCCTTCTGGAACAACTGAATATCTTCATAGAAAAAAATGGACATTAAACCTCATCTCATGACACATATAACAACTAACTCAAATTGGATTCTAGACCTAAACATAAAAGCTAAAAATGTAAAACTAAACATATAAGCTAAAAATATAAAACTTCTGCAAGGAGCTATAGGAGAAAGTCTTCACAACATTGGGATGGGCAAAGATTTCTTAGACATAACTCAAAAGCACTAATTTTAAAAGAAAAAAATGATTACTGTATGTGATCAAAACTAAAACCTCTGCTTTTCAAAATATGTTATTAAGAAAATGCCTCATAATTCTCTTAAGAGAAAATATTTGCAATAATATGTCTGATGAAGAACTTTTATCAAAATATATAAATAACCCTTAAATTCAATAATAAAATGACAGACAACCCAATACAAAAATAGACACTTCAAAAAAGAGATTATAGGAGTGGTTAATGGTATGGACTAAATATCTATGTCCTTCAAAAATTTATATGTTGAAGCCCTAACCCTCAGTGTGACTGTATTTGGAGATGGAGCTCTTAGGAGGTAATTAGGATTAGGCAAGGTCATGAGGGTAGGGCCTTGGTTTGATGGGACAAACCCTTATAACAGGAGGCACTAGAGAACGCTTCTCTCTCCTCTGTCTCTCTCTCTCTCTCTGTCTTTCTCTACTATGTGAAGACACAGCAAGAGAGTGGCCAACTGCAAGCCAGGAAGAAACCTTCAGCAGATCCCAACCATGCTAGTACCCTGATCCAGACATTCAGCCTTCAGAACTGTAAAAAGTAGAATAAAATTCTGTTGTTTAAGCCATCCAGCCTATGGTATTTTGTTATGGCAGCCCAAGCTGAGTGATTTAGCCAGTAAGCCCATGAAAAGATGGTCAATGTTGTTAGTCATGAAGGAAACGCAAATTAAAAACATAATGAGGTATCAATATATATACATACATCAGAACAGTAAATTTTTAAAAATTGAAAATACCAAGTTTCAACATGGATCTGGAGCAACTGGATATCTCATATATTGTTGATATGAGTGTAAAATTGTGCAGCTCTTTAGGAAAACAGTTTAAGAGTTTATTATAAATTTAAATTATCCATTTAACCCATGATCCAGCAATTCTTCTCTTGGATATTTCCCCAAGATAAATTAAAACTTAAGTTCACAGAAAAGATTTGTATACCCACAGTGGAATACTATTCAGTCATAAAATGAATGAAATCATGTCTTTTGCAGCAACATGAATGGAACTGGAGGCCATTATCTTAAGTGAAACAAGTCAGACAAAGACAAATATCCCATCTTCTCACTCATAAGTGGGAGCTAAAAAATGTGTACACGCGGACATAGAGTGGAATGATAGACAATGGAGACTTGGAAGGGTGAGGGGGTGGTAGGGGATTGGATGACGAGAAATTACTTAGTAGGTGTAATGTATGCTCTCTGGGCGATGAATACTCTAAACGCCCTGACTTGACCACTATGTAATCTGTGTATGTAAAAAAATGCCGGGCCGGGCGTGGTGGCTCACATCTGTAATTCCAGCACTTTGGGAAGCCGAGGCGGGTGCGTCACGAGGTCAAGAGATGGAGACCATCCTGGCCAACATGGTGAAACCCCATCTGTAATAAAAATAAAAAAAAATTTAGCTGGGCATGGTGGCACGCGCCTGTAGCCCCAACTACTCGGGAGGCTGAGGCAGGAGAATTGTTTGAACCTCGGAGGCAGAGGTTGCAGTAAGCTGAGATTGAGCCACTGCACCCTCCAGCCTGGGCAACAGAGTGAGACTCCATCTCAAAAAAAAAAAAAAAAAAAAAAAGAAAGAAAGAAAAAGAAAAGAAAGAAAAAAAATGCCCTTGTATTCCATAAATTTATACAAACCAAACAATTTGTTTACATTTATGGTGGCTTTATTTGTAATAGTCAAGCACTGAAAACAAACTAAAATAATGGATACAGAAATTTCCTCTGGATGAGGGAATACAACTCAGAAATCAAAAAAAGGAACTTCTGATACGTGCAGTAATACAGATGGATCAGTCAGGCATTATACGAGGGAAGGAAACCATACAGAAAATAGTATGTGCTGCACACTCCATTTAATTGAAATTCCAGTATATGCAAAATTAATCTACAGTGATGGAAGTCAGATCTGTTTTTTCCTGGAGCCAAGAGCCGGCTGACCACAAAGGAAAATGAGATAACTTTCTGGAATGATGGAAATATTTTGTATCTTGATTGAGGTAGGCTGTTACACAGGTGTGCATATTTATCAAAAATGCAAAATGTGCATTTTATTATATGTAATTTGCACTCCAGTTAGGTGTATGAAAAACCAACAATGAGAATGATTGGATCATGGATGTTTGTTATAGTATCCCAGTATTTTTCTGTATTTTTAAAAGAATAATTTTTCCTTAAAAGGTGCCTGCCTGGAGTTTACTGACAGGTTTATCTCTTACCCTCATATTTCACCCTCCTTTTTTGTTGCTTTAGAAAATAATCAACTTGAATTTGGATGTATGAGTGAAAGAGCGACTTTAAAAAAAATCATTTGGAGCCCATTCATTTTTGGTTACATAGTGATTTTTGGCTTGCAGAGTTCATAGATTTATATTGTTGTAGGCTGTCTCAGAAGTTTTTCCAAAATGCATCTAAGAGTGCAGGATATTTGTGTGTGGGTGAAGCTTGGGATTTTTTTTTTTTTTTTATCTTTCTCCTTGAGAAAAGGTTTTTGAAATGTCTAATTAAGTCCTGGAATGAATTCTTGCTAAGCCAAGCCCATGGGAAAACATGGCTGGGACTGGCAGTTTCCTCATCCAGCCACAACTCCAGGACCCAGGTTTTCCTTCTTCAAAGATAAAACAGTAGCCCTTCTTCCTTCTGCATTCACCACTTTTTTTTGGTTTTCTTTTTGAGATGGAGTTTCACTCTTGTTGCACAGGCTAGAGAGTGCGATGGTGCAATCTTGGCTCACTGCAACCTCCGCCTCCCGGGTTCAAGAGATTCTCCTGTCTCAGCCTCCTGAGTAGCTGGGATTACAGGTGCCCACTACCATGCCTGGCTAATTTTTTTTTTGTATTTTTAGTAGAGACGGGGTTTCACCATGTTGACCAGGCTGGCCAGGCTGGTCTAGAACTCCTGAATTCAGGTAACTCAGGAGATCCACCTGTCTCAGCCTCCCAAATTGCTGGGATTACAGGTGTGAGCCACCACACCCGGCCTCATCACTCTTAAACTCCCAGTTGAACTACTTTTTGTTTCTTGATATAAAAGTCCTTAACACCTAGTGAGAAGATCAAACCTTTGTGGGTCAAATCTTCAATGAAAGTCAGAAAACCTTAATCATCTCATTCATTTTATGGTACCTGGAAGTAGAAATTGTTCCTTCTAGACAGGAACGTTGCCTGTCTTGTTCATTGTGGTATCCCTATCACCTAGAACCACGTTTAATAAACATACATTTTACTGATGAAGAAATAGATGCCCAGAGAGATTTAAATGCATAGCCTAAAATCATACAGCCCATGACCCAATAATTCTACTTCTGAATATATATACAACATAATTAAGAATAGGGTCTCAGGGAGATATTTGTACACTCATGTTCATAGCAGCATTATTCACGACAGCCGAAATGTGGAAGCAACCTAAATGCCCATCAATAGATGAATAGATTGACAAAATATAGTGTATGAAAACAATGGAATATTACGCAGCCTTAAAAAGGAAGAAAATTCTGACATATGCTACAACACAGATAAAACTTGAGGACATGATGCTAAGTGAAATAAGCCAGTCACAAAAGGTCAAATACTACATGATTCTCCTTATATGAGAAACCTATAGTAGTCAAACTCATGGAGACAGAAAATAGAATAGTGGTTGCCAGGGACTGGAGAGAGGAAAAATAGGGGGTTGTTTAATGGATATAGAGTTTTAATTTTGTAGATAAAAAGAGTTCTAGAGATGGAAGGTGGTGATGGTTGCACAAAAATGTGAGTGTAATTAATACCACTGAACTATACGGTTAAAAATAGTTAAGATGGTAAATTTTGGGTTACGTGTATTTTGCTGCAATTTTAAAAAGTCACACAGCTAACGCATGACAAGAGTGATGGAACCTGATGTGGTCTGAATGTTTGTGTCCCTCCAAAATTAAATGTTGAAACCAATCACCAATGTGATAGTATTTGGAGGTGGGGCTTTTCGGAAGTGGTTAGGTCATGAGGGCAGAGCCCTCATGAATGGGATTAATGCCCTCTTTGTCCCTTCCACTGTGTGAGGACACAGCAAGAAAGCACCATCTATGAGTCAGAAAGTGGGCCCTCACCAGGCACGAAATCTGCTGACGCCTTGATCTTGGGCTTCCCAGTCTTCAGAAGTCTGAGCAACACATCTCTGTTGTTTATAAGCTACCCAGTTTATGTTATTTCCTCGCAGTGGCCTAAACAGACCAAGACAGAACCCAAACCCATGTCTTCTGGATTTCAAGATCAAAATTATATTTTTTACAGCCATGTACAATTTTGGATACTGTGAGGCAGGTTTCTCCCTAGCTTACTTGTTATAGAGGAAGATCATGAATTTGATTACTTAATACTATGACTTCAGAGATTTAGGGATAGCTCTGCCACTCATGAAAAGAAGCTTCTTAATTTGCTTGATGTTGCCTGATGTTTCACTAAGTTAGTGATTCTCATTCTTGGCAGCACATTGGAATCACCAGAGAAGATTTAAGAAATACTGATGCCTAGGTTCTGCCTCTCCCAACCCCAGGCATTCTGATGTAATCTAACTGGGGTGTGAACTGGGCATTGGGATTCTTAAAAGCCCCATGCCCAAATGCAGCCAAGAATGGCTTCTCTATTAGGAGGCAGATGTCTGGATTCCTTACAGAACAGGGTACCTCTGTGCAACAGAACTCTAAACGTTTCTCAGATCACAAGCACTAAGCCAAATTGTGGTCATAGGCAACTTATGCTCAGCTCCAGAGGAAAGTTTACCAGCTCCTTTCCCAAACTTTCGAGAGGGAGGAGGAGTTAACATAAAATGTGTTAACATAACGTGTCTTTAAAGTAAGAACCTGAAGTTTGGCTGCTGGGATTGGAATTCTGACTGCATCACCTGCTATCCATGTGACTTCAGCCTAATTGCTTAACCTCTCTGAATCCCCAAATGGACATGATATGGTTTCTTGCCCACAGAATTACTTGAGAAACAGATAATTCCTCTAAAGCACAATATCTAACAGAGGCTGAAAACTTAGTTTTACTACTTATTATAAAGAACTCATATTCTTGATGTCTGGTATTATTTTTTTCCACTATTTCATGATGAGACAAATTTCTCTTACATGATATTTAGGTCTATTCTGCATGGCATGTGCTGCCCTGTGTTTCTGAAGATCAAGGGGAGAGGAGGGAAAAATGCAGGGAGAGAGATTGGTAAAGGGAGGGGTGTGTGTGTGTGTGTGTGTGTGTGTGTGTATGAAAATGGAGAAAATAGAGCAAGAGAGAATGGTCAGATTACCAAAGGCATTTACTAAAAGATGGCAACTGGAGAAAATTTTGTGACCTCTGAACTTGATACCAGACGGAAATGGAAGCTTCAAGAAGAGACCAGGAAGCGAAGATCTGAAGCATCCTTAGAAGGGAGAGGGCTGCCATCCAGGGATGGAAAGAACCTTGGCAAAAGAGGTGGAGAGAAGAAGAAAGAATGAGCCTTGGAATCAACCAGGAGGAAAGAAAATTCAGAGAAACACCGTGAAGGCCAACACTTCAAAGATTTATGTTTTTATGCTGCTACATGAAAAGTTAAACTTGGAAGAAAAGAATGTTCTGAATCATTTCTGCAAAGGAAAAAGCCATCTTGGAACTGTACATAGGAGCTAAAGCAAATGGAGGCTGTGTGATGATGAATCCAAATTCACCACATCTTCTTCCAGACTTGAGGGCTGCCTGGGCCCCTGTGCCTACCACTCCCCGCAACCCATGCTAATGTCATACCCTTTGCAGTGGGGAGGAAAGACTGCCTTGACCCAGTTGCAGAGAGCTCAGAGGAGGGAGGCACCTGCCCAAGGGAATGAGCTCAGATCCTCTGATAATGGTGCAGCTGGAGGCCTGGCGGAGGTCCATGAGGGTCACCATCAAGGGCTTTTGTCGTGCTGAAGGGTGTGTTGTCCAAGCACCTCGGGTGGGTGCTGAGAATATTCATAACTCATTCCCGATTGTGTTCATTCCATTTGCTGACTAATTATTTTGAGACTTAGTCAGAGGGAAGGGTTTTGGCTGTTCCCTTCTGTGCACAAAACATGAGCCTCCACTCTCACTAGCTGGGAGAGTCAGCCCTTTTCTCCATCATCAGGCAGGTTTACAAATCTCTGCTGTAAGACTGGCCACCCCTCTGTCCAACCTTCCACTCCCTCAAAGTTCCTTGGTGCCCTTGCTAGAATAGGCCTGAGTGCACAGTGTGCAGAGATCTCTAGGGATTCTTCCATCCTCTTCTCTCCCTTCTCAGCATGGCACCCCATACAGGGGTAAGAAAGGGAGTTCGGGCTCCTTCAGTTTCCATCCTATCCAACAACTTGGTGGCTCCCAATTAGATTAGCTCAGAGAAAAGAAAACCTCCAAGGAGTTCCCACAAGCCAAGGGCTGGGCCCCGTCCCTGGTGCCACTGGGTCACCTAGCCTGCACTTTTTTTGAGTGTGTGTGTGTGTGTGTTTAATATGACAGTTCAGGCTTGAAAACCAGTACGTTTGGAAATATAAACTAGATGAAAACAAGCTATAATGAAAGTGAAAAAAAAAGATATCAGTTTACTGTTGATTGAAAATCAGGACCAGATGAGATTGGGAGGCTCCGGGCATTTAATTTGCTAGAGGAGGTCACTTCTTGGAGAAAACCAGGCCCAGGCTACATTGGCTTCCCATCAGCAATATTGTGTTTGTTTATTTGTGCCCTTCCCTGGTTTGTGGAGGGAAATAATGAGCCAGCTGGTTTTCAGTTCTTTCTGCCTTTCTATATCATGGAGTGTTTCATTTCATTTCATTCTGTTTGGAAAGGTGGGTGGATAGGAAAGAACATCAGCATGACTAGTAACCCAAGAGTCCAGTTTGTTTCCTAAAAAGCATGGGATGCTCGAGAGGGAAAGAGAGGTGTCAGGAAGCAGGAAGGATGCTCAAGCATCAGTCAAGCGAATTAACAAATCCATTACCTCAGGTTGCCTTTTTCTTTTTGTGGTAACAACATAAAATCTACTATAAAATCTACCCCTTTAGCAAGTTTTCAGTGTATAATACAATATTATTAACTATAGTCCTCAAGGACAAAGAAATTTTGGTATGTATATGCAATGGAATATTATTAGACCTTAAGAAAGAATATCCTGCCATTTGCAACAATATGGATGAAGCTGGTGGACATTATTTATATGTTCTTTTTAGCATCAGCACAAAAACACTATCACATAACACAATTAATATTAATTCTTTAGCATCATCGAATATGCAGTTGGTGTTCAGTTTTCCTTGATTGTCTCAAAAATGTCTTTTACAGTTGGCTTTCCAATCAGAATCCAAATAAAGTCCATATATCTTTAATTTTCTATAAAGACATTTAATATTTTTATTACTTAATTTGTTTATTGTTTTGTTAATTAGTTTGTTAATCATCTGTATGCACCCTTTAAAGCCCCATGAAAATGGAAGTTACCTGAGTGCTACCCAGTCTCTGTCAATTTCGTACATCAGAGTCTCCCAGCACCTGGTGTAGCACTCAGGTGCTAGATCCTCGGTAAGTATCTACTGAAAGAATAAATAATGAATGAAAGGACAAATATGTTTGTATATCACTTGTGTATATTTAAAACCTCCCTTTTGGGCCCCATAATGCATAGGACTCCTGACTTGATTCTTTTCTTCTTGCTCAAGAAAAATGAAAAAAATGTGAAAACTGAGCTAAAAGTTATGAAATTATCTTGAAGTAGTCCTCAGAAAACTATGCTAACTAGTAACATGTTCTAACAAGACTGAGTGATAAATATACAAAGACAACCTTTTTTTTGTTAGGTGAATTAAAAAAGGTTGAATCAGCTTTATTTAGAGTAATTTATGAAGTAAAAGCAGACTAAAAATGTGTTTACTTTTAAAATCTCTAATTCTATCAGCACCTATCAAAAGAATTTCAGATTCTTTTGAGCAGGACTTCAATTTAATTCATATAAAATTATGTAACGGGAATGTTTTTATCCATTGTCACAAATATTACAGGAGTTATAATTCAATCTTTTAATGAATTACTACTTTGAAATAGCAGGTAGCTGAAAAGACAATCTGTAGGGATATGAGGAAGTGTCCATGAAATTTCAAGGTTACATATCCTACTATCATTCCAGAAATAGTATGCTTGCAGTTTATTTTTTGTAAATTCAAGAAAATCTTACAAAATTCTTATGAGACTGAGTGATTCAAAACCTCTTTCCTTTCAGGCTCATGCAAAATTCTCACAGGTGATCTAAAAATGCAAATTTTGATTCATGGGACAAGTAGAATCCTTCAGATCTTGTAGTTGGCTTGAGTGCTAGCATATGGCCTATAGTATTAAGGCGAAATGGAGAAAAAAGCGTGAAAAGACAAAAGACAATTTATGCGAGCCTCAGGACGAAACTTGGAAAAAAACTCAGTTTCTACCTTCTTAATTCAAACAGCCATTAAAAGACTAATGACTACATAATATAGCATTAAAATATCCATGCACAAACACACACATTTTTCATTATTTTACCCACATTATGCATGTGACCTCTGTACATAAAATATAAAAGAATGTCAGAAATAGCAAAGTTGCCAAGGTTACACAGAGACTGCTATTTTAGATGATCTAAAAAATTTTAATGATCGCACACATAGATCTGAGAGATGCAGAGGCACACAGCTGTAGCCTTAGAACCCAGCTTTATTTACCATCTGTCTGTTAGCACCATGAATCTTGGCTGAGAGCTGCTCTGCAGATCTGAGAATTCTGTCTTCTTTTCCAAGCACTCTGGGCTGAGTTTTTCAGGGGATTAATGGAACCTAGAAGTAATGTTTCCCTGCTCCCAAACTTGGGGCAAAACAAGGGCAGGTTATTAACTTCAAGGCAGGTTATTAACTTAGTTATGGGCTCTTCATATGCTTTTGCTTGTAACTGTGTGGCAGACTAGACATTTAGTCACTTACCTTCTGTAAGGGAAGTCACTTAATGTAGATGCTCAAGGAATCCCACGTCCAAATACGGTCATTGCTGAATTTGATGGGAGAAAAAAAGGACTGTATTTTTGCTGGCTAATGCGGCATTTCTGGATGTTCATTAAGCTGTTAAAAAATGTGAAATGATGACTCACTGTGAAGCCTTCCCAACCCCCTTCCCTGCTCCAATTTGCCTGCGGCTTGAAGGAATGTATACTGACTTGAGTTAAAGAAGAAACTTGTGGTTTCCATTATAGTCTGTAAACATCGATTGCTGAAAGCCTCAAGTGTGCTATCATCTCCTGCCACACACATGCTTTATATACAGTTCATCTTGGAAAACAGATTGGGAGAGCACCGTGTTTACAACTCCAGAGTAACCCAACTAATGGGGGGCTGGTCTGCCTGGGGGTCTCGAGACCATCACTGTTAACAGTGGAGGTCCCCTCTGATGTCTTTTAAGCCAAAGTATCAAGAGAGAAGCCAAAGACAAGCCTCATTAAAGAAAGATCTTCCTGGTACCCACAGTGGTTCTTTGCTGCTTTATCATCAGCAAAAGAGACATAAAAAAATCTTTGCTTCTCTTTTAGGTTGTATCCTTAGGCCTTATTCTTGATGTCATTGAAAAGTTGGTTTATCTATTATTTCCAAGGCCACTGGCAATGCTATCATTTTTGATTAATGATTAGTTTATGGCTAAGTAGTATTCCATGGTTAGGTGATGGTTATATTGAAAGCCCAGATTTCAGCACTATGTAATATAGCCATGTAACAAAATTGCATTTGTACCCCCTAAATCTATTTTTAAAAAGTTTAATTTAATTATGCAGGAGTGGCAGCAGAATGCAAACCATCCAGGGAATTATTCTGGTAGTGCCTGATGGATTTAAATAATACCAAGAGAAAGACTGCAGAGGGTATCCTGAGATTTGCATGACATCCTGACCAGGGTTGATAAGAAGAGCTAAATGGATAAGTTTCTTCTGGAAGGAGATATCATGGATGTGGTATGGGTAGAAAAAGTACAAGATGCAGCATCAGAGGATTCGAATGTGCCTTCTGGCTTTGACATTCAGTGGCTTTGTGACCTAGGGCACTGCTTCTTAGACATTAACATGGGTACATATCACCTGGGGGGTTTGTTAAATGCAGATTCTGATTCAGTAGGTGTGGGTGGGGCCTAAGGCTGCCCACCCTGGTCATCTTGCACCTGGCTGTGAGAAATAGAGAACCTGGCAAGGCTCCTAACCCACGTAAGTCTCAGTTTCTTCTTTAATAACACGGGGTTTAGAATGATGCCAACCTTCCAGGGTTATTGGGACTCATGGCACTGGTAAGAGTTCCTGGCACAGGCACTGGCATGGAGAAGACAAGTATTGGATATTGGCTTTGGGATCCCAGAATCTTAGTGATTAGTGATGGAAAACATCTGAGGAAGGACCTAGTTTTAACCCCTCATTTCACAGGTGAAGAAAGCAAGGTGTGTGTATGGGCTCAGTAAGACATGACAACTGTGCCTGCTCTTTGAGTCTAAATAGAGGTCCAGTGGACAGAGGTGTCTGGTTTGTATTTATGGTGGGTGTGACTTGAGTCTCTGGCAACATCTGACCTATGATTTGATATAAAATGAATCATTGTTGCAAATGTTTCACTTCCCTGCTCTTTCTCCACCCCCCTTTATTTATTTATTTATTTTAATAAACGAAGGCAGTCCTATGACAGGCCATGCTAATATCTTTTATTCCAAACAGAATGGGCTAGGAGTCAGTGATTTCATGCATATGGAGCTAAAAGTGTTTGCTTTTCCCTGATGTCTCCCTTCCCACCCCTCCTGACTCTGAGCTTTCACAATCCTTTCCTCAGCTCTTAAGAATGCTAGGCAGGCTAGCTGTCATCCTCAATCAAATAACATGATCAGTAAACACTATAAAATTATACCTTTCTGCTTTGCAGTAGTGGAGAAGGTACTAATGATGCAATGAAAGCTAATTAAAAACTCATAAATCTCACAGTCTTTTGAGTTTGGTGAGTGGCTAAGAAGAAAGGGTTGATTCCACAGCCTGCTTACTAAGAACTCAATGGTCCTTATTAGGAAGTAGCTCTCACTGTCTGCTTCTCTTTACTGAGACTTGTACAGTTGTTGAAAGAACTGCCACATGGCTCAGCTTTGAAGAGGGCCATGCTTACTAGGTTTCCCAGTTTTTAGTCTTGTATTTGCTATAACTCACTGTCAGCTGTCAGAGCCAGTTGTCTATGAGTATGATGCTAATGATGTTGGAGGCTTCACCCCAGACATGTGTGTAGGACTCCATACAAAAAGACAGTTTATTCTCTGACCTAAGACCGCACAGCTCATGATGGCCTAATTTCCTTGAACATAAGGAGGTCCAGGAGAGAGAGCAGATGGCTGGCTTGATGGACCCTGAAACCTCTGCTGGGCAGAAAGAAGACCCATGTGCTGGGAAACATGGGTCAGTTACCTCATCATAGTTTATAAAGGGTAGCCCACAGCAGTAGATGAAGGGAAATAGGGAGATGGTGTGTTCTTCAAGGGATGGCAGAGGGAGATATATGGGTTTAGGGCAAGCCATAGGATTGAATAATAGAGATGGCTGGGGATAATGGGACCCCAAACCTGAATATGAATAGTAGTATCTTCACTTCCTGGTTATTGTTTCAGGAGGGCAATTACTAACTTTACCTGGTCTGAAGTCCTACCTGACCAATATATAGATCTTAAGGCACCATCTGAGGACTTCTAGACTCTGAGGGTCCTAAGCATATGACTGCTGGTGAGTGATAAAAATGTAGGAAGTCAGTAAGTCTGACTGTAGAGGCCCCATTGCTTTGTAGAAACAATGATTAGCAACCAGCAGAGTGGATGTGGAAGATTGCAAAAATGGCCCGAATTATTCACCCTTCCTGTTTGTTCTCCCATCTCTTGAATCTGAGCTGGCCTTATGAGTTGCTTTGGCCAAAAGTCTAGTGAAAGTGATAGTGTGACATGTCTAAGCCAAGGATACAAGAAGCCTTGAACACTTCCACTTGTTCTCCGGGACTCCTGTGACCATCATGTAAACTTCCTGCAGGAAGATGAATCATGGAGAATAGCCATCCCAGTTAAGTCCATCATAGACTACTCAGGCCCCAGTAGGTCTATCCTGCAATGGGGCAGATATGTGAGCAAGTCCCGTGAAGATCAGTTTAGCCCATCCAAGAGCAGAGGAACTCATATATTTGTGAACTAAATAAATTCTTGGTTTTTCTTTCAACATTTCTTAATGAGAAATTTCAAACATACAGAAAAATTAAAAGAATTGTAGAGTGAACAACCATATACCTAATATTTTACTGTTTATTTTTTTAAATCACATATCCATCCATCCACCACCATCCTTCCTTTCATCTATCAATCCATTTCCTTTTTTCATGGTGATCATTGTTTTAAGCTACTAAATTTGGGGATGATTTGTTATACAAGAATTATTTTTGGTAGTAGGTAACTGATACCAATGACATAATATAAAAGAAAGCTTATTTTGGGAAATAAGTGAAGATTCCAAGAATGAAGTGGCTGATTTGGGCTTCTTTGCATAACAGTGTTTTCTTACTAAAGGGTACTGATGAGATCTACTTTTCTGGGAGGAAGAATTTTGACCAGAAGTTGTGAAATGGCTCAGGGTTTATCTGCAAGCAGAGGACCCTTACCAGACTATATTACTTCCCTGTGCTTTGTGACTCCCCAGCAGGTAGGAATGCTCATGACTTTTTGACTGGAAGAGTAGATACTTAGAAAGCAGCTGTCCATGGGGATGAGGGGGAGGAATGTCCCTTACGTATGCATTCACTTCCATGGCTTCTAAGTGCTTCACACAGGTATATGCTCATTTTTACATCAGTCTCATGAGGAAAATGTCTTATAGATTTGGAAATCAGATCTCAGAGAGGTTTTTCATCTGCCCAATGTCAGTTTAAGGTCGATCTAAGACTCAAACCCAGGCTTGTACATTTTACATTCCAATGCTCTTTCCATACTAAACTCTGCTTTTTCGTTGTCATACAAAAAAAAAAGAAGAAGAAGAAGAAGAAGAAGAAGAAGCATGGCAAGTGAAATTCGGAATAAGAAAGATGAAAAAAGAGAAAAGAGGCATTGGGGATACATGCCAAGTGATCGATTTATTCTAAACTTGTTCCTGTCAAGAAATATTTATCTCAGCTATTTCCAAATGTCTGGCACTGTGCTGGGTTTGTTGACTGGCATGAGTTGTGGAAACCAGCTTTGTCCTGAGAAACTTGCTGTCGAAGTTGATGTGAAAAGACACAGGGCAAATGACTCTGGTATTGGCATCTCAGACTCCCAGCTCACCTCTGATTTCAGCCCACATGAGGGGGACAGTTCCATGAACTAAAGGCTCAACTCCAGCTGTCAGCTTCTCATTTCAAGGGTATGCTGAGTGGCTTTCTCTTTTCTGTCCCAGGGCTTTCTGCCAAGCCATGGCAACTTGAGCTCATTTGGCTTTTAAGTGCCACTCAGAAGACCTGTGGAATCAATACCCTAGGAGGTGATGCTCAACCAGTGAGGGATGAGATCTGGTGAGTAGATACTCCGGCGGCCTACCTTTTACTCTGACAATTCTGGGAGGTATTTGCCTGCTTCTTAGTGTATCTCATAGAACTGAGCCTTGGTGTCTACAGCAGCAACCTTGATAATGCATTCTTGTGTTAGCTTTTCCTCCCTCCCTATCTCATTCTCTCTGTTCTCTGTCTCCTGATTCCAAGGCCTTTTCCCCAAAAAGCCAACTAAGTTCACATCTTGTTTCAGGTTCTGCTTTCCCACAGCTAAGACAGAAAAAACAAAACATATTCTTACAAATAAAATCATGAATAATATGGTAATACAATATTATGAGACAGTAGGACATGAAGGACAGATACATATGTATACACACCATATATAACAGCTAATACAGGGATTTAAGAAACAAGAAAACGCTAAAAACACTGGGGTCGCTGGAGTCAAGCCTTTAAGTGAGAATATGATTTCAATACATTGTTAAACGGAATTCTGGGCATGGGAATCTGTGGGAGGGAATTTTTCTGGGATTCTTACAAACCTCTGTTTTTTTATGCTTTACTAAATGTCAGCCATTAACAGTGCTGAAGTATCTAGTGGAAACTTTAATCACCAAGTGCCCACCATGAAATAATGACTCGCTGACTGCCAATGCTATGTGAAACCCAAGTTGTTTTCATTTTTTTCTATCTTTGATTGTGACACAATTTTATTAGGGTTGACCCCTTATATTTTAGAAATGATCATATAGCTCCATTCCACGGTAGGATATTTAGGAGCACATTCAATGCCAAAATTACTAAATTATATAGAGTCCTAGGGACAAGTGGGTTGGGAAAGCCAGGGCTGGGTTGTGATCGAACTTGTCGTTCAAAGAGAAGTGCAAATGCCATGTGGCTTTTAAATTAAAACCAGATGGCAAACAGTATTTGGTAGGTCTTGGTTCTTCCCCAGTTGTCTAATGCTCAGAAGTCTGAAGATAAGTGGAGATATTTTTGCCACAGTGAAATTCTGGCATTTGTAGCCACTTGCCTTGATTTCCATCATGAAAGGCTCGTTTTGAAGCATGACTCACAGAGGAGGCCGTGAGGAAAAGCTCCAATGAGAGGGTGGTCCCCTTGGGTCAGCGATTAGGCTAGAGAAAGGGCAGGGTGGGGCGATTTGGGCTGCAGCTTCCTATATAGTGCTGGATATTGTTTTAAGCAGACAGCCTTATTTTGTAGGACTAATTTCTCTCTTGCTCTTCATCAGCCCAGTGCTTGAAAGGCAAGAAAGTCACAGAGGAAAAGAAAGAGGAAATTCATAAGGGAAAGAAAATATCTGCATATCACAGAAAGCATAAACAAAATGTAAAACTTTAATAATAGGCACCCATAGGCAGATGAAAGCAGATGAAGTGAAATCTCCTCCACCACCTCCCAAGTTACCACATCTGCACAACTATCTGTTGAAAACACTTTAAAAGCTCCAAACATTAACTATTTTGTTGTTTTCAAAGTTTATAACCTTTTCCCCTTTTGCTCAGCTGTGTTCTAATGACTTTTTTTTTTCTGTTAAAGAGCATTGGTTTATGAGAACAGGATGTTTGTATTAAATATTAAATCCTCAAGGCTTCCTTCAGCTGAAGGTCCCAGCTTGGCTTCAGTTTTGATTGAAATAGACAAACCTATGTTCCTACAGAACTACAGAGAGTACAAAGAGTTTGTCAAATCTTGATAGTGGAACCCGGCATTGGGCCAAGAACAGGATAATTGGTTAAAGTCTGCATAGTTCTTTGAAGATGCAAAGTACTGTGTAATTCTAAGTCATATTGAAAGTTGAGCCAGCCCTTGAGGGCCTGATTCTAGGGGACAGCAGACTATACACCTCCCCGATGGTCTTTTGAGGAGCAAAGTTATTGTCTCGTGTAGATGAACTGGACTCTTCATGGGAGCCATCTGGGTTCTAGAAATTGGCCTCCAGCTCTGGGGTATCTAATCTTACTCCTTCTTGGAGACTTAATTACAGGCTCAGTGTCATCTTTGGCTTTCAGGGCTCTGCAATGTCCTGGAAGGTATCCTATAGTTCACATGAAAACATTCTGGGTGTAAGAGGTAGAACTCTGAGAAAACAGTCAAATATTATATATCTTAGGATTTCCAACTAGTCTCTGATAAAACAGACTTCAAACCAACAAAGACAAAAAAAAAAAAAGACAAAGAAGGGCATTACATAATGGTAAAGGGATCAATGCAACAAGAAGAGCTAACTATCCTAAATGTATATGCACCCAATACAGGAGCACTCAGATTCATAAAGCAAGTTCTTAGAGATGTACAAAGAGACTTAGACTCTCACACAATAAGAGTGGTATACTTTAACACACCACTGTCAGTATTAGACAGATCAATGCGACAGATAATTAATAAGGATATTCAGGACTTGAACTCAGCTCTGGACCAAGTGGACCTAGTAGACATCTACAGAACTGTCCACTCCAAATCAACAGAATATACATTCTTCTCAATACCACATCACACTTACTATAAAATTGACCACATAATCCAAAGTAAAACACTCCTCAGCAAATGCAAAGGAGCAGAAATTATAACAAACACTCTCTTAGACCACAGTGCCATCAAATTAGAATTCAGGATTAAGAAACTCACTCAAAACTGCACAACTACATGAAAACTGAACAGCCTGCTCCTGAATGACTAGTGAGTAAATAACAAAACTAAGGCAGAAATAAGTAAGTTCTTTGAAACCCGTGAGAACAAAGATACAACGTACCAGAATCTCTGGGACACAGGTAAAGCAGTATTCAGAGGGAAATTTATGGCACTAAATGCCCACATGAGAAAGTGGGAAAGATCTGAAACCAACACCCTAAGATCACAATGAAAAGAACTAGAGAAGCAAGACCAAACAAATTCAAAAGCAAGCAGAAGACATGAAATAACTAATATCAGAGCAGAACTGAAGGAGATAGAGACACGAAAAACCCTTCAAAAATCAATAAGTCCAGGAGCTGGCTTTTTTGAAAAGATTAACAAAATAGATAGACTGCTAGCCAGACTAATAAAGAAGAAAAGAGAGAAGAATCAAATAGACACAATAAAAAATGATAAAGGGGATATCACCACTGATTCCACAGAAATACAAACTACCATCGGAGAATAGTATAAACACCTGTATGCAAATAAACTAGAAGACCTAGAAGAAATGAATACATTCCGGGATACATACACCCTCCAAAGACTAAACCAGGAAGAATTCGAATCCCTGAATAGACCAATAGCAAGTTCTGAAATTGAGGCAGTAATTAATAGCCTACCAACCAAAAAAAAAAGCCCAGGACCAGACAGCTTCACAGCCAAATTCTACCAAAGGTACAAAAAGGAGCTGGTTCCATTCCTTCTGAAACTATTCCAAACAATAGAAAAAGAGAGAATCCTCCCTAACTCATTTTATGAGGCCAGCATCATCCTGATACCAAAACCTGGCAAAGACACAACACAAAAAGAAAATTTCTTTTTCCAATATTCCTGATGAACATCTATGTGAAAATCCTCAATAAAATACTCGCAAACCGAATCCAGCAGAACATCAAAAAGCTTATCCACCATGATCAAGTTAGGTTCATCCCTGAAACCCAAGGCTAGTTCAATATACATAAATCAAGAAACATAATCCATTACATAAGCAGAACCAATGACAAAAACCACATGGTTATCTCAGCAGATGCAGAAAAGGCCTTCGATAAAATTCAACATCCACTCATGCTAAAAACACTCAATAAACTAGGTATTGATGGAACATATCTCAAAATAATTAGAGCTACTTATGACAAACCCACAGCCATTATCGTATGGAATAGGCAAAAACTGGAAGCATTCCCTTTGAAAACCGGCACAAGACAAGGATGCCCTCTCTCACCACTCCTAAGTCCTGGCCAGGGCAATCAGGCAAGAGAAAGAAATAAAGAGTATTCAAATAGGAAGAGAGGAAGTCAAATTGTCTCTTTTTGCAGATGACATGATTGTATATTTAGAAAACCCTATCATGTCAGCCCAAAAGCTCCTTAAGTCGATAAGCAGCTTAAGCAAAGTGTTAGGATACAAAATCAATGTGCAAAAATCACAAGCCTTCCTATACACCAATAATAGACAAACAGAGAGCCAAATCATGAGTGAAGTCCCATTCACAATTGCTACAAAGAGAATAAAATACCTAGGAATACAACTCACAAGAGATGTGAAGGACCTATTTAAGGAGAACTACAAACCACTGCTCGAGGAAATAAGAGAGGACACAAACAAATGGAAAAACATTTCATGCTCATGGATAGGAAGAATCAATATCATGAAAATGGTCATACTGCCCAAAGTAACTTATAGATTCAATGCAATTCCCATCAAGCTACCATTGACTTTCTTCACAGAATTAGAAAAACGACTTTAAATTTCATATGGAATCAAAAAAGAGCCCGTGTATCCAAGACAATCCTAAGCAAAAAGAACAAAGCTGGAGGCATCACTCTACCTGACTTCAAATTATACTACAAGGCTACAGTAACCAAAACAGCATAGTACTGGTACCAAAATAGATATATAGACCAATGGAACGGAACAGAAGCCTCAGAAATAACACCACACATCTACGCCCATCTGATCTTTGATGAATCTGACAGACACAAGCAATGGAGGAAGGATTCCCTATTTAATAAATGGTGTTGGGAAAACTGGCTAGCCATATGCAGAAAACTGAAACTGGACCCCTTCCTTATACCTTATACAAAAATTAACTCAAGATAAATTAAAGACTTAAACATAAGACCCAAAACCATAAAAACCCTAGAAGAAAGCCTAGGCAATACCATAAAGGACATAGGCATGAGCAAAGCCTTCATGACTATAACACCAAAAGCAATTGCAACAAAAGCCAGAATTGACAAATGGGATCTAATTAAACTAAAGAGCTTCTACACAGCAAAAGAAACTATCATCAGAGTGAACAGACAACCTACAGAATGGGAGAAAGCTTTTGCAATCTATCCATCTGACAAAGGGCTAATATCCAGAATCTACAAGGAATTTAAACAAATTTACAAGAAAAAAAAAAAGCAACCCCATCAAAAAGCGGGTGAAGGATATGAACAGACACTTCTCAAAAGAAGACATTTATGTGGCCAACAACATATGAAAAAAGCTCATCATCACTGGTTCTTAGAGAAATGTAAATTTCTCTATCACAATGAGATACCATCTCATGCCACTTAGAAAGGTGATCATTAAAAAGTCAGGAAACAGATGCTGGAGAGGAGGTGGAGAAATAGGAACACTTTTACACTGTTGGTGGGATGGTAAATCAGTTCAACCATTGTGGAAGAGAGTGTGGCAATTCCTCAAGGATCCAGAACTAGAAATACCATTTGACCCAGCAATCCCATTACTGGGTATATATCCAAAGGATTATAAATCATTCTACTATAAAGACACATGCACATGTATGTTTGTTGCAGCACTGTTCACAACAGCAAAGACTTGGAACCAACCCAAATGTCCATCAATGATAGACTGGAATAAGAAAATGTGGCACGTATACACCGTGAATACTATGCAGTGATAAAAAAGGATGAGTTCATGTCTTTTGCAGGGACATGGATGATGCTGGAAACTATCTTTCTCAGCAAACTAACACAGGAACAGAAAACCAAGCACGGCATGTTCTCACTCATAAGTGGGAGTTGAACAATGAGAAACATGGACACAGGGAAGGGAACATCACACACTGGGGCCTGCCAGGGGCGGGGTGGGGGGGTGGTAAAGGGGAGGGATAGCATTAGGACAGATATCTAATGTAGATGATGGGTTGATGGGTGCAGCAAACCACCATGGCACATGTATACCTATGTAACAAACCTGCACATTCTGCACAAGTATCCCAGAACTTAAAGTATTAAAAAAAAAAGAACCAAAACTAAGTCAATGCTCAGCTTGTGGCTTCTCTAAGTGGTTTTATTTCTTCTCTCTTTTCACCTGCGTTGTAGAGGCAGAGGCAAGCATGGAGGTTGGGAGTTGGGCTAGTGCTGGCTAATGGGATGCTAGCAGAAGGAGCATCTCCTCCAGGGAGAAAGACAAGGCACACTGCAGCCCGGAACATTGGCAAATGGATGGATTTGGCAGAGACCCTCCTTAGGGGACTCTGAGGCAGGCATTGTCAATAGAACTTTCATTTCTGCAAATGACTATAATTGTCACATGGGAAATTTACAGTTAAGAGTTTGGACTACCAATCTCAAGTGTCTGACTTTCCACCTGTTACTCCAACTGCGCTCTAGAGCCACCTACTCACTTTCTCTGTCCTCTGAGTCTCCTGCCTCAGTGTCTGGTTCTTCTTAGTACTGAGACCATTTCCTCTGAGTGTTGTAGAACTTTGCTCCTTAATTCAGCTAAAATCCAGCTTCTTGTCACATGACCAGGAAAATTCAGGCATTTAGACACATTGAAGGGTGAGTAGAGCAGGACTTTATTGGGCAAAAAGGAAAAAAAGAAAAAAAAAAACTCAGCAATGCCAGATGAAGTTCCTGCTAACCCACCCCCACCTCCCAGATTGATTCCAGGGTCACCACAGGAACTGAAGAGTGCAAGCTCCACCCCTGCATAAGGTGCAAATTCTGCGTGGCTTCACCCACTTCCCCTGGTGTGCATGTTGGGCTCCAGTCCACTGTTAGCATGCCCAGGCAATCCCTGGGCAGATTCTCTCATCTGCACAAAAGCATGTGATATAAACACTTGTGGAGCTAGTGGTAGATTCTCCAGAGACCCCTATTTATCAGCCTAGGCATTAGGCTGTCTCATGAGTACTGCCTAGGCCTTCAGCCACATCTAAGTGTCTCACAGAGGTGAGTATACACTCCTAAGGGTATATACTTCTGTATTTTTGAAGAGTTATACACACTTCTGTGAATCTTTTGTAGTGTATGTATGTGTATGTATAAATTTGTCTTTGTGTATTTGTTTCTACTCCTGCACTAGAAGTGGGATTATTACAAAGCTCAGTGTGGGTATTTCAGGGGAACACTCATCCCAAACCCTCTCTGCCATACATCCTTCAGCAACAGGATCTTTTGGGGTCTGCTGCCTTAAGCCATGCCTAGAAACTAGACCTCGATAGTGGAATTGGTGTGTAGTGCTTTAGAACTAAAGGAGACCTTTCAGAAAGAAGTGTCAAGGAATAGCCCTATCTTGGCATGAGGCTACCCAAACTTTGATTCCAAATCTGGAAGATGTGGTTGGGAGAAGTGAATCTGGTGGAGGACCCTGGTATCTAATTCCCTGGCTGCTGCCATCCACAGTCAGTGAGTGGGAAGAGAACACTATCCTGTGTCTATCAACAAATTCCAAAATTAGTTCCTTTTCACCTCTTGGCTCTCTCTTTGCCACAAAATCCACACATTCAACAAGGCCAGTCTTTGTAAGTGTTGTGATAAACTTTCCTGACATTGACAAACAATTCATGTAATTTAGGCCTTGACAATGAAATATTTGCTTTGGTAATCTTTGGGATGTAGTGTGTCTTTTTCTTCTCTGAAGGTAACTTTTCCTTTTTTCCCTCTTTTGGTCTGGATAAATTTCCACTCCCAGATTCAAGGGTTTTTTTTCTGGCCGCCTGAGAAGTCAATTATCTCTGTAGTCTAAATCTTCAAACTCTTCATTAACCACAATTTCCTTCTTTTGTGACTTTGCCCAGATCTCCTCTTTTCCAGCTTTTTTCTGCTTCTCCTCAGTCAGCGTGGGCCAGAAGTCTTTCTCAGTAATCAATAAGACTATCCATTCCTTTTGGAGATAGTATCAGTTTATGCCAAAATCCAGTCAAATACATGAGTCCTTTGCATACAATGGTGATCGGTTTACCCGAAACGAACCAGGTAGCTAATCTCTAGAATTCCAAATTCTAGTTCTCTGGATTTAGAAATTAACTCAATATTATGAAATCAAATATATTGGAAGGTGAACAAGGAGGAGAAGGAAAACCAGATACATAATTTTATGTAATTGAAGAAATAGCTAAATATCTTCCACCATTGCAGTGCACCTCCTTGGAGGCAACATAAGTGAAATCTTCCATAACATCTGTTTTGAACTTTGCATCTTTTGCATGTTGCTCTACCCTTCTTGATTCTAGCAAGGATGGTAAGTAGAAGAACGAAAAACCATGAGAGAGGCTGTGCTTGCGATATTGCCAGCCTGACTGGAAACAGGAAATACCAGGAATCTTATAATAAATGTGGAGACTTCCAGCCTAATTTCACAGTCTCAGAAGTTTGAATAGAGGTTAGACTAGGCTGCAAATCTTGGGCGTACATTTCAACAAAACTTCCGGTCACATGGTGACCCACCCTGTGTCAGAGGAGTTGCCTGTGAAATTCAGTCTTGGTTAACTAAATTCTGAGATAGCAAAATCCCAATGCCCTTCAACTTTTTGAGGAGATCATAAATAGAAGGTGAGATTTGGCAAAGTTGGACAATGAGATGCAGACAATATCACCTTGATAATTCTTCAAAGCCAATTAGAAAACCTTTTGCTGTGGCTTAGATAAAGCCCTATTAGAAAAGGGGGAGGAATTTGGACAATTACTACTCACAGTAGCAGTATTGGCATCATCTGAGAGCTTCATGGAAATGCAGAATCTTAGGTCCCAAACCACATCTGCTGAATCACAGTCTGTGTTTTCATAAAATATTCTAGTGATTTGTATGCACAGTGAAGTATAAAAAGTGCTAACCTGGAAGACTCCTGATAGTTCTTTGAAAGTTCAGTAGTTTCTACTTGGCGTGTGAATGATGAATAGTTTCTGTAGGTAGTTAAATACCTATGCAATACTAGCTATCTAGTGTAGATAGTATAGTTTCTACACTGCTTTCTATACCTTCCATAATCTGAAGAATACCATAACCCTTTCCTTCAATTAATTCTCCTGAATTATCTTACAGTGTAACGGTTTGAACGTGTGTGTATGTGTATATATATATTTCTCCTGCTACTGTGTAGCAAATTATAATAAATCTAGCAGCTTAAAACAACATACATTTATTGTCTCACAGTTTCCATGGATTAGAAGTCTGGATATGGGTTAGCTAGGGCCTCTGGTCAAGGTCTCATCAGGCTGAAATTGAAGGTGTCAGTGGGGGCTTCTCTCTCATCTGAAACTCAAGGTCCTCTTCCAAGCTCATTGGTTGTTGGCAAAATTTATTTCCTTGTGACTGAATGACTTAAGTCCGTTTTCTTGCTAGCTGTTGACTGTAGCTTACTCTCAACTCCTGGACACTGCACTTAGGTGTGTGCTACATGGCCCCTTTCGCACCAAGGCTCTTCATGTCTGCTAGGCCATACAAAAGCATCTGGTGCTTGTCTCTTCTGTGAGTTCACCTGATTAGGCTCAGCCCATTGAAGATAATCTCCCTTTTGATTGACTCAAAGTCAGCTGATAGGAAACTTAATTCTATCTTCAAAGTCCCTTTTGTTACATAATGTAACATGATTATGGGAGAGATGTCCCATGATATCCCCAGGTTTTTGGCAACACTCAAGGGGAAGGAATTACATACAGCATGTGCACCAGGCAATATTAGAGGCAATGATAGAATGCTGCCTGCCATTATAAATACACATACACACATGCACAGACCCACACATATATAGATTACATATAATGTATGTATATGTAAATGACAGGATTTTAGATTAAAAACTCTTTGAAATAAACTAGTGTTCCCCAAACTATATTGCTTCACTTAACATCTTCATTATTTTTACAAAACCTTGAAAGAAACCATACCATTGTTCACATATATTTTCTTTAAGTTGATTACTTTTTAAACTTAAAAATACGCTAAGAAGAAAACTTTAGTAGCATTAACATAAATTGACAGCCATTATCATTCATTAGGAAACAGGAGGTAACACAAAATATAAATTCAAGAGAAATAAAGCATTATCAAATTAAATCTATCCACCATTGCCTGAACTTGAAGTCTGTGCCCAATGATTGCTTTTCTTTGTCAAAATGGAAATGTAGCAAGTGTTTAAAGTGTTTAAAGATTAAGATGGCCTAACTCCAAATCGAGTATTTCTTCTGTAATTCATTGTCGAGGTAAGTGTAAAAAGAATCACTTTCTCATCTTGTGATTCAATGTTCTCGATGCTGGGTAATTGCCACCTAACTAAGGTGAGTCCTACATCTTGGTATTTCCTTGGTTTCTTGAAGATCTTTATTAATAATAATACCTTTTGCCCCAAGTGGAATAGTATGTAAACCTTGTGTGTTATTTTATCTCATTAGGCCTTTGTTGCTTCCTATATAAAATATTCATGCTAGTTAGTATGTCAAATATTCTGACAGTACCAGAAACAACTTCTGAGAGCTCTTCTAGCTCCAGGATCTATAATTATATCCAGTTAGCGATATGAGATTAATGCATGGGATTATTTATTAGATTGGCTGGCTAGCTACCTAGCAAGGAGTAGTTTTTACCAAAGGATTAGGATGTAGAAAGATGAAAAGTGGAACTGTAGACTGTGCCCATTTGAAATATGGGCTGTGGCTCAAGGAAGACAAGCCTGTGTAGGGCTATGTGGGGTCTGTGGGCAGTCATGGAGGCAATAAGTGGATTGGCCATGGACTAAAAAGAGATAACCATCAAAAAGTTTAGGAGGCATCAGAGAAAAACCATTTAATTCACTTCTGCATTAGGCAGAACCTGACAGTTCACAGCATACTGGGTATCTTCTATCTGCCCCTTTGGGTCCATTGCTACTATTATCTGCCCTGCTCTGATCCTGGTGGATCTCCTCTGACTTCCAGCTGGGTTGGTCAATGGGAGGTGGCATGAGGAGATGCAAGTACTGGAGGAAATGATGGGGCACTTATTCTCTGGCTTCCTCTCTGCCCCTTAATCATGTATTGGCTGATCCTGCCATGGAAGGCCATAGCTCTTTTTGGCCAGCCCTCCCCTATAGCTACCATTCAGCATTCCAGTAACTGTCCCCAACTCTTCCCCTTCCTGGCTCAGGGTTAAAAAAGAGGCTCCCTCTCTTGCCATTTTCTGTTGGTTTTCTGAACCCTTCCCAAACACTATAAATAGTCCCTTCCTTAAACTCAGTTTGTGTGTGCCATCATTTCCCTGCAGGATCCAGTATACAGTCCTCAGCAGATTTAAATCATGGATGCTTTAGAATACTGCAAGCCTGTAAGTAAAGGAGATGCTCTCCTGCAATGGCTCACTTTTCTACCTTTGGCTGTGAAGTGAGATGTGCAACACACTCTAGGAACCCCCCGCCTCAATCCAGTAACTTAATCTGAGTCCCCCCTTCATTCTGCAGATCTGAGCTGTATATAAAAAGGTAATTGGAAATAATCATTTATTATTGTGTTTTAACTTAAAAACTGTCTTCTAAAAGTGTAAGAAATAGATTTACTCTGCTAAAGTATAGTTAAGACTAATTTATATTTTTAATCTCAAAATGGCAGAAGTGCTTTCGAACTTGGAATACAGGGCAATGACTCCTTCCCCTTGTATTATACAGACTTGACTTGAAAGGAGACACTTAGGTCCATTGAAACTTCTCAGTTTTGTCGATCAAAAGGATCAAAGTCAAGGGGATAAGCCTGAGACAGGACACTGAGTGTTTCATAAAGGAAAGAGAAATGAGGCTGGATGCCAATTATCCTAGAATTCAATGGTTTCAATTTCAAACAAGGTAGGAATCAAAAGTCCTTTTAAAAAATTGAACAATTATTATATTCCAACAAAAGATTAGGTAGGATGAACCTGAATTTGAAGATAAAAAGACATAGGTATTTCTTTAAAAGGAATAACACTGAGCTTGTCCTGTATTATTCTGGCGAGTCTTTGCAATGAAGGAAGAGCTGACGCTGTTTTTTGGTGACTCAACTTTCTTCAACTAGATTAGGCTTAGAGACTGTCAAGAGTGATATTTCAACCAGAAAATCCAATGACAGTTATTCTTTATGTATGTGACTGGGTGAAATAGTGTGACCAGATGATCATAAGCTCTTTTGTATATAAATATGGAACAGTTTAGGCTTGTAACTATAGCTTCTCTTTGAAGGATTTGTCTTCTTAATAAGAACAATAACCATTTTTCATTTATTGAGTATTAAAGTTGAACAAATATGGCTAAGAACCCCTGCTGTGGGAAATGCCTGCAGGTGATTCATAGACAACTCAATAAATAACATATTGTGCAATAGTTTCCCCTTTCAATGATCTTTCAGGCCTTCAGATTATATTAAGGAGTCAGTTTTAGTTTGTTGATACCATATTTCCTTGATTCTAGGGTGTATATAGTTTTACATGATACCATCATTGGAATTGGAGGGGGTCTTATAATTTGACATTTCCCAAAATGTTGCCAGTCATATGTCAGTAAGATGCGATTGGATTGTCATTGTGTGCCTGAACTTCATTTTGGTTACTCTTCATACTGTTGTCACTTTTGTGTCTAAATAGGTCTAGAAGAGTCCTTTTAATAAGCACTACCTATAGTTTCTATGTGAGAACAGAGAATTATGTCATAGCTTAATGGACAGCAGTTTCTTTTTTTCTTTGTGTAACATCATATAATAATGTGTCTTACCTTCCATGGCATCG
Organism: Homo sapiens; assembly: GCF_000001405.40. Lineage (NCBI taxonomy): Eukaryota > Metazoa > Chordata > Mammalia > Primates > Hominidae > Homo > Homo sapiens. The sequence continues at coordinate 10,940,184 of NC_000020.11, forward strand.
TAGAGTCTATGAAATGCTCACTTTGAGGCCTGGTGATCGACGGAATGGTCTTGCCAAGCTGAGGAGCAGGCTGAACTGAAGTCATGCATTGGCAATCAGGGTAGAGCCAAGGAGACTTCTTCAGGACAGGGAGAGCAACTGCATCAAACCATAAGTTAGAGGACCACGTGACCTTGGTCAAACTGATCAACTTCTCTAAGCCTCAGTGACACTTTTACTAAATGGAAATAACAATAATATCTACCTTGGTAAGCTGTAAAAATTAGATAAGAATGTGTTTATAAATATGTTTTTATGCAATTATGCCTAGAGACATTTTATAATGTTATTGTTCATAACAATATACAAGAATTTGTCCTACAGAAGGAGGATGGTTGGATGATTATGTATCCACATAATAGATGTTAATGCAGTGCATAAACACAATATGTAAGAGGACATTTATGATACAGGGAGACGTACAAGATGAAATATTAACCATCGAAAGGAGGTTACATAAACAAATATATTAAAAAATAAAACAAGTAATTTTATTTTTTTAAATTTTTTACTCACCACTATACAAATGAGGAAAAACAAGTAATTTTAATGTGTTTTGTAAGTTGTATGTGTAAAATATTACTACTAAAATACAAACAATAATAAGTGCATTTTCTATTACAATATATAAAGCAAGTTCCCCTACATTTTCCCATTTCATTTTCTCATTGAAACTCTAAAGTGCCAGGTGTGCTACCAGGAAATGACATCAAACTTAGAGAGTGGCTGAATGTTCACAATGGCTGCTGTCAGCTGTGTCTTCATCCATGGCAATGTATGAGTTAATGTCCAGGTCTGAGGTGAGGGGAGTGGGACACCTGCAGGGCCAGGTATCAGAATACCCTGTGTCTCATTCTGGCCCTGGCCCCGCGGTGCTCTGCCACCTGCCACCTTGGGTTTAGATAAGTCAGTCTGAGTCTGAGGCTAATCTGGCTGGAAAAGGAAGTGAAAACATCATAGACTCATTGAAAGTGAATCTGACGCTATTCAACTTATGAATCTAGAAACTTTGTCCCCAGTTAAATATCTTGACTTGTTCTTTAACTCCTCCTTCTGTTCATCTTTCACATCCATCTACTGGGCTCTCATACTGGTGTTCTCTTCCCCCATCGCTTTTATCCATATTTTCTTCCCCATTGCTACAGCCTGAGGACAAATCATCAACTCATTCACGGAAATTGACAATTCATCTTGCTCTCTTCAGACTACTGAAGATTTTTACCACTTTTGAACTCCATTCTCACCAATTCGTTTGCTTCTCCCGTGTGATTTTTTCCTATAACTCTAACTAGCATTTTTGAGGCTCCCATCATATTGGTCCGTTGCCTGACTCATCCCATTCCCATGAGAACCCCACCACCACCATTGCCCCCTTGGTAATCCCAGTAGTAATCCTATGCATTTCCTTCCTCTGGCCCCTCTCATTTAGGCTATCTTCTCCATCTCTCACAAATTCTTCAAATTCGTATCATAATCGTTCTCTAAGATGTACAACAAACATTAAAATCTTCAACCTCTCCCAGTGCCTATAACATTGAACAAACAGTTGGCTCTCCCTTAGCTCATGCCTTTTAATCAATAATATTATTTCTGCTAATTCAGTTTTACCAGAAACAAGTCATTTTTCTCCTGTGGACCCAATATCCCTTATTTGTTATAAATGAATAATAACACTTCATGTTTCAGCTTTCACACAGTGCTGTGTTGAGAATCAAATACTAAAATGGGAGAGAAATCCCTTAGCACAGTTAAATCACCCAATGTCATATCAATTGGTGTTGGCTCACAGAAGCACAACATCATATGTAGAAGACTTTGCCAGGGTCTTGAGCAGATCCCCTTGTGTCATTATTAATGGTTCCATGTGCTCATTCCCAGGTTCTTTGTGCTTTGACTTTTGCATCTTGTTCTTTTTAGAGTCTTGCTCCCACAAATGCCTAGAAGTTTATGTCTCCTCACTGCAGGCCTTATCTGATAACTGATGGGTAAAGGAGTATGAAAGCTCAGCTCCTGTTCCCCAAGAAGGACAAACTCTGAGGTGTGATTTATGTCCCAGAACTCCCCAAGGATTTGGCTGAGGCTGGGATGTCACCTGACATAATATCCTTGCTTGGTGTGTCTTTTCCCCTGCCTGTTTCTCCCACTTTCTTGTCAGTTTTTCTTTGGAGAACTTTCTTCTTTTTTAAATTTTTATTTGTCAATTTATTCATTTATTTATTTTTTAATATAATTTCATCTTTTGTTTTAGACTTAGGGCGCACATGTGCAGGTTCGTTACGTGGGTATATTGCATGACCCTGAGGTTTGGGGTATAAATGATTCCGACACCCAGGTAGTGAGCATAGTACTCAACAGGTACTTTTTCAGCCCTTACCTTCCTTCCTCCCTCTGCTCTTCAATCTATTGTCCTTAGTGTTGTTGTTCCCATCTTTACGTCCATGTGTACCCAATGCTTGGGGGACTTCCTCAATAGATCACTTATACCTTTTCCTCAAATCTTCTCTGGAGAACTCAACCTGAGACATTAGTCTTCAAAGCTTGTTCAAAGATACGATTTCCACAGAACAAGACTTTCATTGACTCATTTCTCCCACATAAGTATACCCATATACTCTCAATGAGTATGGTGAAAGGTATAAGATACATCCTTCGAAATTTAAGCCACTGAGCCCCAAGCCAGATACCACATACTCTCATTGAGCGTACAGAGATACACTTACATGAGAGTGCTGTCCTAAGCACTGAGATGCAAAGGAATGGTGTAAGTTCCTCCCTTTGTGGACATAAAAACACATGATTAAAAAGTGACAGAGCCAGGATTTGAATTGAGTATCTTGTCTCTAAATCAATTGTTCTTTTCTCTGCTTTCTGTCTGTGGATGCAAAATGCTTTTATATGCCTTCCTGAAGAGTTTTGAAGGTATACGTCATTTGTTGATTACAAGAATGTTCCACTTATATCACAGTAAAATAATATCAGTTTTTATATCCCATAAGCAAAGCTACATAAAAAAATCTTGTACACATTTAGTTTGTTTTTCAGCCCATTTGGTTTCCTGGGAAAAACATGGTACATGGTGAGTTTGATCAGTCAATATTGCCTGTGATTTCTGAGTTGATTTTGCAGTTAGACAAAGGTTTAAGAAGAGCCAAGTTTAGTCTCATAGCAGCCAGAGGTCCCATTCATCTGATAACTGAGGTCTTAGATAAAGGCAAAAAGCCATCTATGGGCTTTTTGATAAACCCTTCACATCAAGGCTGATATCTCAGGAAGGGCCAGGCCAAAGGTGTAAGACACATCCTTCAAAATTTAAGCCACTGATGCCCAAGCCAGAAATTACATCTGCTGATATTTTGAAGTCCAAGGGAAGGGTGGAGCTGCAGATGGAGAATTAAGAAATTTATTACTTCTTCAAGAGGGCAGGCAGATAGATTGGCAACTTGTGGGGGACTCTGAGTGCCTTGTTCACAACAGACTCCAGGTTTTTAGTTTCTTGATGCCATAGTCAGACAGTGGTTTAATGTCTGGGAAGTATAGGAAGAACGTGGAGGAAGCATTAAGACCTCCACATTGATCTTAAAACACTCATGCTCAGTGTAATTTATATTTGTACTGACCAGTTTAGCACTCCTCTGGGATGGATCACTTAATTAGAAAGAATTAAAAAAGCTGTTGTTTGATGTATGTGTCTTAATTATTTCCAAGTGGCAGAATTGATTCCCCCGTTATGAATTTGCCTCCATTTGTGAGACTAATGAAACCCCATTAAAGGGAATGGAAGGTCAGAGGTCACCCTTTCTTTACATTTAATGTCCTCAAGCTGGTAGATTATTTATGAGGCTTATTATGCTTTGGATAATGTTCCCAGTTTTTCAGAAGAGCTACATTGCTGTGTAACCACGAGATACCACACATCTCTTCATTGCACTTGCACTCCAGATGTCAACTAGAAAGTAGACTGGGAATATGATTAATCGCCATGGGTATTGGCAGTAATCAATATGGCTTCCATAATCTCAGATACAGGGACTTGGCCACTATGGGCTATACAGCTTGTTCTAACCCAAAGTTGTAGATAGTGCTTTGTATTCTAAAGAGAAAGACAATGCATTTTTACCAAGAGAATTCATAGACTGCATTCTAAGATGTTTTTTCTTTTGGATTTCAATAGAAATTTCAAACAAAAAAATATATATCCCCCTGGAAAATGAGAACATACAGCATAACTGTGAGAAGGATGATAAGTTTGTGTTCCTAAAATAGACTTCTTGGGTTCAAATACCAACTTCTTTACCTATAATTCGTGTGGGGTAGTCACTTAACATCTCCATGTCTCAGTTTCCTCCTCTGTAAACTGGGCATAAGAAACAATGTTGAGAAATAAATGAGCAATTTTAGCAGAAGTGCTTTGAATAATTTCTGGTACACATTAAGCACTTAATAAGTGTTATTATTATGAAGATTTATAATTTCTCATGGGATTAGTTTCTTTATTTCCACCCCACTTCTGCCCCACAGCTTAACTTTTGGACTGGTCCAGTGGGTTGACTCTTTGGTGGATTTTCTGTTTATTTGACTCTGGTTTGTCCCAGCTTTCCTTCAAGTCCATACTCTGCTGGCTTCTCTCTCTGTGCCCATTGCCTCTTCTGGGGGTGATTTCTCAGAAGCCAGTTCTCATCAGGACAGGAAATGGAAAGTCACTGTGCATGTTTTTGTGTAAGGGGCCATGGTAGGGTAGTGGTCAGATCACAGGTTTTGGAGCCAGATGAATCAGGTACAGGTTTTAAAATGTATAATGGGGGCTTCCTAGGTATATAACATCCATCAAATTATTTCCCCACTCTAAGCCTCACATATAAAATGGGTATAATTCATAAAGTGGTTGTGAGATTTAAATGTAACAAAGTGCTTGGCATAATTCATGGCTAAGGGATGTCTTTAATACATGTTAGCTCTTCTATTTATGTGTACATACACACAAAACACATGGTCACCAGCTAATACCAAGGTCCCCACAATATGAAGAGATTGTTACCTTTCAAGAACTTACTGATAGATCATTTAAAATTTAAAAATCTGCCATCTAGTTTCTAATCAACACTGTTTCGAGTTGTCTTTATCAGCTTTTAAATGAGGAATCTCACTGAATTATGCAAATGCAAAGCGAAAAATTTTACCACGGCCAAAGTGCTAGGGGTTCAGACAGCTCTATTCTTCTTTTCCATCTTCTCTGTTTTTAGAAAACCCATGGGTGTACTCTCATTTGTTTAGGTGGTCAGTGAGATGGTATTCCTCATGGCCAATGAAAGGCCTGACACACTCCTCTGACAGATGGCAAGCGCTGGGCCCTCATGAATTTGTTACTGCCATAATTGAAATCACATTTGAGCCTTGTCCTTCACCACTGGAGAGAAATGGGGGGTTTTACTTGCAAAATGTGGAGCTGGGAAATCCTTCAGAAGGTGAAGGATGTGTTGAGGACAAGACTAGAACCCCCGTCATGTGGTTGATGCCCCAGTTCAGGGATGACCCTTGATCAGGCTTGGTTGGATTCCTCACAGCTGCAAGAGATAGGGTTGAAGAGAAACAGGGAAGCCCAGTTACCCCGGCTTTGATTCTTTAAAAAATCTAAACCTGTGTGGAGGGCTACCATTGCCCTGTATTCTATACCACAGGACTCAAGACACGTTTTCCCCATCTCTTGAGTTCCTGGTGGCCCAGGCTTTGAGGGGCACAACAGCACATACTTTGTTAATCACTGGGTAGTTCCCATGGTGGATTGTGATGGAGTCACTTTGGATGGTCACTGGCTTTTTACCTAAAATATCCTGAGATGGGCAGAATGATTTGTGGTGACCATGGTTCAACCCCACATGACAAATTTCCACCCAGATGGCATTATTTTAAAATAATAATAGCTTCAATTTATCGTGTGCTTAATCTGTAGCAAGGCCAGCATTTTAAATTTAAGATCATACTTTATCTTCACAGAAACCCGGAGAGGCAGCTGCTACCATCATTTTCATTTTACAGGTGAGAAACTAAAGCCCAGAGAGAGGATGTTTCACATAATCTGCATAGCTAGAAAAGAGGAGAGTCATCCCTAGAGTGACTTATACCTAGAATGACCATATAGTTCATTGTCTGAGCTGTGACATTTTTCAGAGTGAAAAGGGGCATTATTAATTATGACACCAGGGCCATCCACACAAACTGGGACACAAGCTCTTATCAACCACCAAACTTTGTTAACCCTCTAACAGAGCTTTTTCTTTTTCTTCCTTCCTTTCTTCTTCTTCTTTTTTAAACAAATCAATCCAGGGAAGTGATTAAAAGTGAGTCTTCCAGGCATCTTTTGCTGGGTTGGAAGATGAACACTTCTGGGGCAGAGAAGCCTTTGAACATTCCTTAAAGGCATACATATTTGCTGATCCCCTGCCCCATCTTGTCTCAGTCTCCAACCCAGGGTTCAATTAAATGCCCCTTCCCTTCCCTTCCCTTCCCTTCTCTTCCCTTCCCTTCCCTTCCCTCCCCTCCCCTCCTGTCCCCTCCCCTCCCCTCCTCCCTCCCTCTCTCTCTTTCTCTTTCTCAATCTTTCTCTTTCCTTCCTTCCTTCCTTCCTTCCTTCCTTCCTTTCTTTCTTTCTTTCTTTCTTTCTTTCTTTCTTTCTTTCTTTCTTTCTTTCTTTTTGTTTCTTTTTCTTTCTTTCTCTTACTCTCTCTCTTTCTTTCTCTCTTTTTTCCTTTCTTCTCTTCTTCTCCTCCTTCTCTTCATTATCCTCCTTCCTCTACTTTTAATGTGCCCTGTATTCACCAGTGTTACACTTTTATTTTGATTCTCAAGGAACCTTCTCAAAATCAACATTGTGCGTCAACATGCTAGGGAAGATGAGAGGCTTCACTTTGTACTGAATACCAGTTAGATATTTTTGTCACCAATAATGTTGGGATAAAATAAGTCAGATAAATCTCTAAAGTCTTCACAGGCAGGACTACTGTGAATTTAATTCTCAGGGAAGGAGACATGGGGAGAATCATCTGAATTTAGAATTACTTAGTAGAAAGTTTTGGGATATGAAGGCAAAGAAAATTGGAACATAAAATATTCTGATCATCTTCTTCACAAGACGTGTTCCAGAACACAGGAAGATAGGATCAATCCAGTTGTGCCAAATATTGATAAGCTGTGGCTCTTAGTTAAATATTCATGACAAGGATGTTGGCTTTTATCCAGGGGCACAATAGTTTGCTTTGTTTGGGGTAGGTGATGCCATTCACACTTTCTCAGAATAAACACAGATGACTCCAAATTGGATCATCTGGGACTTGGATATTAGTAGTCTTTGCAAACTTTGGTTGGGCAGTGCTCTTCAGGGAAAATTTAGTTGGCCTTTTTTGAAGGGCTTGTTTCTGCAAGGGGTACCATCAGAGGGACCTTTGGAGTGTGGGGACAACTGTCTCATAGCTTGCCAGAACATAGATGTTCTGGCCTCTGAGCAAAACAAATGAGGGGTTCCTGGATGACTCCATCTTGGTGGAATGGTCTATTTTGAAGAATGTTTTAATTAGTAGGTTGTAACTAGGACTGGCCTTAGGGAAGCCCAAATCTTTTGCTGCCTTCATTTGTAAAGGCCAGAGCTCACAACCTGATTGCCAAAGTAAGAAAGAAGCTCATGATTATGTGTCATCAAGCAAGTAACTGTGGAAAATTGGAGCTTCATCTCTCTGGGTGACTCTGTGAGGCAGGGTAGAACATGTATCTTAGAGTTATTCTGCCCATGAGGCAAGAGCTGGGGCATTAACCCCTGACATTCATTGGGGAGGAGGTGCTCCTTTTGGTATTGGACATCAATTTTTTTGTGTGTTTCCAGCTTACAATGTAAATGGGCAGAGTGGGTTCCAGCAGCCAGAGACAGAGAGTCTCCAGGCAAAGAATCTCAGGAGCTGGCTGGCTCTATTACCAATCACGCAAATGGTAAGTGTAGATGGGATCTGAATAGAGCATGGATAACATCTGTGACACAGTCCTTTGCAATGGGGGCAATGGCAGGTGAAGAAGACAGGAGGAAAAGGGTGGGATAAATGAGGGAGAGTTTTTAAGAAGAACCCCAGTCTAGCCTATACCCAAGGCCTCACAAAGTCTCTGAAAGTTATTCCCTTGGAGTTGTGTCCCACAGTCTCTAACCGAGAGCTGTTCAATATAAATGAGGATCAGTAATGTAAAGTAACTGAGAGCCCCAAAGTTGAGCTTCTTGGTAGTCAGTGAAATCTCTGAATGCAATTGTTGGTGTGTGGATTCCTATGTTTATTTTTATAGTCCTTTTTATTCATTGAAATACAAAGACAAGAAGAGTTAAGAACCACAGTTTTAGAACTTACAGATAAAATTGAAGTGCATTTGTTTTGTTTTAGCTTTTTGGATATTTGAAACCACTCACTTCAGTCATTTCTTTTGTCATTTTAATGAATTATTTGTGTTCTCCGTTTTCTTTCAATTTCTATATAGCGATTTCAACTGAATAAATTTTAAGTATTCTGGATCTGACATACAGAAATAATGCACAGATTTTCAAAATGTTGAGTTTTGTTTGTTTCTCTTTATATCAGTGGGATTTTCTCTTCTACATATCTGGAAATAAATAGGCTTCTGTTATCATTTTATACATTTATAATATCTATAACCATATAGTTCTTAAATGGCATATAATTATCTGGGTATAAATGATCAGACTAATGCATGTCGCCTTTTTGGGTTAATAGTTAGGGGTATGTGTGTATGAATCCCACTCCCCCAACTTTGTTTTTCTACTGAGTTTTAATGATAAATCAATGAGGCTGGGTGCAGTGGCTCACGCCTGTAATCCCCGCACTTTGGGAGGCTGAGCGGACAGATCACGAGGTCAAGAGAGCGAGACCATCTGGTCAACATGGTGAAACCCCGTCTCTACTAAAAATACAAAAATTAGCTGGGTGTGGTGGTGAGAGCCTGTAGCCTGAGCTACTTGGTAGGCTGAGGCAGGAGAATCGCTTGAACCCGGGAGGCGGAGGTTGCAGTGAGCCAAGATCGTGCTATTGCACTCCAGCCTGGGCGACAGAGCAAGACTCCATCTCAAAAAAAAAAAAAAAAGATAAATCAATTATATCAATATAATTTTTATTTCCATATATTTACATAATCTCTTGTCTCTCACACACACACACTTTGAACATGAATTTTTCACAGAAATTAAGAACATACAATCAGCTTTTTGCTCATCATATTTCACATTTGGCATTTTAGAGAGGAAAGTGTGTCTTCAGATCTCTGGATCTGAGTTGCTAATAGGAGGGTTGTGATGGGGAGGGTAAAGGGGACTTTGGTAGCATCTCACATAGTAACAATGGCAGCTAGTCTTAAAATAGCTGAAGAAGTTAGAAGGTAGAAGATTCTACATCTGAAAGTTCCAGAGAATATTAGGGCTTTGCCCCAAACCCAAACCTCTTTTAAGACAGATGTGAGATTTTTGTTCCATTGGACAGAGAGTAGCCAAGTTGGCATTGGTTTCATTGATAAGGTAGGTCAAGTCTATCTTATCAAAAAGAGACAAATTCTTATCCACAGAAGAGTTAAATACTAAAATTTTACTCACAAGTTCATGCTGCATCATTTCATTTCTTTGTAAAATATTCATTGAGCACCTAATATGCTCCAAGTACCTATCGTTCTAGGTGCCAGCTCTCAATAGCTATTCCTACCCTCTTAATTTACCTGAAAGTAAAGGCCATGAAGCTCTGCTTCCTGCACTTCTCTGTTTTTTGCCTACAGGTGGGCGGGCATGTATACACTTGTTAATCATTTACCTGGGCCTTGAACTCTTGGGAGAAGCATTCTAAGCATGGAAAGAATTCTACTAAGAATTGCCTATCGATCAACTACCCTTTAGAATTTTTGAAAGGCCAGCTTTATTTGCACATGTAATCCTCTAAGGAACACAGATATTCTAATCTAAAGCATGAAAAACAGTAATTCATTGTTGTACTCAAGCAAGGTATAAACCACGGGAAATGATGCTTTAACAGAATAATGGTGTCAAATAATTAGGGCTTCTAGGGATTTGGAGCCAAGTCCTGCCTCAATCATTTCCTGGCTATGGAGCAAGTTCTATAATCAGAGTTGGGCCACTGGGGCCTCTGCACTGTACCCTGTGCTCTAACAGGCCATGTCTGTTAGATTTGCATTTCTCCCCATTCATCCTGCTCCTCATGGAGGCAAGAAGTTCACAAGGCTAGGGAACATACCCACCTAAAACCCACACTGTCCTTTCAGAATATGCTTGGAGTAACCTTGACCAGGATCCACTGCTAAAACTGCCCTTAGTCCTTCTTAGGGCCTGCAGGGGACTCTTCTCTCAGTTTGTCCTCCAGAGGGTGAATTGCACTACTGGCATACACACTTTTAAGCCTGAGGAGTGGCGAAGGGGCAGCTGTTTACTGGGTGGTAATGCGTAGAGGAATCTTGGGTAGGTAGCCTGCACTAGATAATAGATACAAGGCAATTAGACAGTCCATGTTCAGCAAACATTTGCTATAAGTTTGATCACTGGTAAAAAATAAGCCAACATCCATAATGTCTAAATTGTTTCTTTCTACATCTGATAAAAAGAGAGGAAAAGGTTAGCATGAGATTGAGCCATGGTGACTGGGTGCATTTATTGTATTCTAAGAGACAGACCTCCTGCATGGACATTTAGCTGTAGTTACATAGAATGGGGCATGGTTAATCAGGTTTTTCAATTAATTTTATTTAAAAATTTTCCATCCCCAGTGTGTAGAAGAGGGGCATACCTTTAGATAAAGACAGAACGTAAATTGTGTGAAGGAGAAGAAAAAAATATCAAATGCACTCTGAAAGCATACAGGGAAAGATGATAAGAAAATATTTGATATATTATGCCCTTCAGAGATACCTTATCAAAGTCTGGGTCAGCTTCATTGGTTTCACAAAATAGTCTTGTTATGGGGACATTTTCCAGGGACAGCCAGTCCTGTGACAGTTGTTTTTGGGGTTTCAAGTTCAAGAGAGATTACTGTCTCCAAAGCATCATTTTAAAAGACTTTTTTAAATGGCAGGGGGTAGGTAATTTAATCTATACATTGTTGTAAAAACGGGCACATGGGCTTTGGGTTGCTATAGCAATCAGGCAGCTCAAGCAACAGGAACCAGGTGAAGCTTTGCTGCATACATGATGTGAGTGACAGAGGCTGAGGTGGAGAAGGAAGAGGAAATCTCATCGAGTGTATAGTCAATAGCAAATGCTTTCAAAGTGAAAATGCTCAGTGGCAAGTGACTTCAAAAGCTGCAAGGTGGTGTCCAGACCAAAAAAAGCATCCCCTTTAGGGCCCTGGCTGCTGAAAATTTTTAGGATCAGTAATGAAGTGTTGTCTTATGTTAGGTTCCCCAGATGCAGAGTTTGAGACAAGAATTTAGTGCACATGATTTATTGAAGTCCTCTGAGGAGAGAGACAGTGATGGAAGTAGGATGGGTCCGGAAAGATGTTGAGCAAGTGTATAGGCTTAGCTGGAGTTGAGTTTCAGCCTCATCTCATGGGGAGCTCTACAGTTTGATCTTACCTTAAGGTCAGAAAACTGTTTCTATTTATTTATTAAATTCACTATCAGTTGATTATTGGATATCTCTCCATAGCCCCCATCAGGAGCAGGAAAGTGTAACCTTTCAGGCAAAGTGGCTCTGGTTTGGCCAAGGGAAATTATCCAAATAAGGGGCAACTGTAAAACACTCACAGCAGCTGGGGAATGGGCAGAGTAGCCTGTTAAAGAAAACTGGGGTGGGGAACCCAGAACGTCCATTACAAGCATTGTGATATGTGATTATATGTGTGTGCATGTATGTGTATATGCATAGATTTAACTTCTAGCCTTAGGATTATGCTTACATAATCATGTTTCTGGGAATCACAAATATGGGTTTCAAATATGATTACATCTATTTACATGTAGATATATTTAGTCCACTTATGAGTATTAAAAAGACTTATGGCATAGCTGAAGTCTTTCCAGAGTGCTGAATTCCTACTCTGTACAAAGCTGTATACTCTGGGACAACATTCAGTCCCAATTGTGTAAACCCTAGTACTAATCCATGGGATTTGGCTTTACCTTCATGCTAGGGAGTGAGTTGAGAACAAGGACTGTCTTTAGGGTAGAGAAGTGGGAGGTTTGCATTAAACCTTTGAAGATACGCTGCAGAAGAGTCTTCCACTGACTTCATTAGAATTATAAGGAAAGAGAGAGAAAATTCTTCCTCTGGCTTTTCTTTTGGTGAAATGGGCTGAGGATGCAGGCAGCTTGAATCCATTTCCCCTCCCCTTGCTATGGGGTCCAGGAGTTAACTCCCAAGGGTATGTGATGTTGAGACAAAGTCAACATGAAAGCTATTCCATATTTCTGGTTTGCCATGATTTCAATTTCCATTGCTCAAGTAATACGGTTGTTCCCTGATTTCAGCAAACTATCTATATCCTTGCAGCTTGTCAGCTACTGCTGCATTTCATATCAGACCAAAGCAAATTAGCCACAGCACTTCCAATTAACATGACCAGCATTGTGCTGCATATAAACAAAACTGGTAAAACATACACCTTGCATCTTAGAGTGGAATTGAGGATAGCTTCCCTCCCCACCTATGTCTTGTGCACACCCAACACAAGGAGTGAATTGCAGAGATTTTTAAAGGGTATAATGCCAGTTGTATCCAGCAGCTTGCATTCTACTTAAGATCCAATAGTAAATATAGGAAAAGAAAATAGGCACCCAGTTTTCTATTCCTTAGAACTACCTTAGAATTTTCAGAGGACTTTTTTATTGGTCACCTGGGCAAAAAATAAGATAAAATAAACATGTGAGCAATATTGTAGAAAACTATTATAAGCTGTTTCAGTGGTATTAAAAAGTTCTCTATCACACGGATGCCTAAAAAACAGGTCAACAGGAGATGTAGAGGCCACAGAACTAGAAAAAGCAGTATAACTTTTACAATGCAGTTACATTAACATCCTAACTGAATTCCTTCATTGTGGGGTTCATAATTGACTGAAGTTTTTAAAACCTTTTTACTACTTAAAAAAGTAGCTTAAGCTTTTGATTTTTCTGTGTTCTATTATTTATATTCTTGTTCAGAGTATGGATTTGGAGGGGTGTTTTTGACAATTGGTTCAATTTCTAAGGATCAAAGACCTAAGTAAGGTATGACTCTCTGTCCCTGCCTCCATCCCAGAATGGCCGCTTTACCATCATGCAATTAGAAGTTGTAACTGCTTTGCTAACAGCACTGTAGAACCATGCCACTCAAGTATCCTAGAACAAAGAAGTAGGGAAGACGTCTGGGCAGGGTTAATAGTCTTTCAGAACTGTCTCTGACTTGAATAAGCTGAGTGACTTTCTCTGGCTAAAGAACAATAGAAAGTATGATGCAAGCAGAGACTTGCAATGTGTTTGAGCATTGGGGCTGGGTCTTTCTTACTGCTCTTTGCACCTTGAGACCACCAAGTGAAGGAGCCTGAGTTTGTCTACTAGAGGATGAGACACCTGACCCAATCACCAAACATGTGAGTGAAGTTATCTCAAATAAACCAATCACCAGCTGACCACAGGCACAGGCACCTGAGAGCCCAGCATGTCATTCAAGCTTTCCCAGACCTGATCTGCCCAGATGAACCACAGAATAATAAGCAAAATAAATGGTTGTTGTTTTAAGCCAGTAAGATTTGGGTTGGTCTAAAGAAAACTGACGTAGCTTTGAAAACACAGTGGCCCATATAATTTTTAAAGTCATCTTATGTTCACAAACTCTTAATTATCCTTGCGTTACTGTGAAAGGTAGATTAATTTTTATCTTTTAGTGCAACAAGTGGGTGGATCTAGAATTCCTCATTTGCAGGTAGTTTATTCTTAGGACTAAGCAGCCCTAGCACCCCATTAGAGGCAAAAACTCTTAAGAACTACTGGGATACACTCTATTTACCCTTTTGTGCTCAACCAAATTTCTACTCCTCCATTCCCTCTACCCTGAGGGCATCTTAGCAGAGAAAGAAACTTCCTGGCCCGTACTTTTCATACTCTACCTGTAGAATAGGGGCCACATGAAGGGTTTCTGTCAGACTCTCTCTGCTCATCAATGCCTGTCATAGAACTTACACTGAGCTGGGCTCAGCTGGTTAGTGATGTGACTTTACCAATATTGAGGGTCATTGCAAAGCAAGGACCTGACAAGTAGAGCCGGGCTGTAGCCTGAGATTTGGTCCTGGCACAAAGGAAACAAATTACTTAATGAATGACTGCAAGTCCTTGATCCACCGAATGTGGGCCTTTACCTGCCTAACACGAGTGTTGACTTGTTAGCTAACACATTCCACCTGGAAGAGTCAGCAGGGAAACCCCAAGCTGGCCTGGCTCTGGCTACAAGAATTCCTGGCACATCAACTGCCGAATAATGGAGTGAAGCTTGCAAACAGAGGAGATATTTTGATTCTTAAGCCACTAGTTCCGGATGTTCACTTCTGAGATTTCTTTGCAGATGCAAAGGAGTTGCAGGGTATAAAGAATATGAAGAAGAGAATCAAGAAACCTGACTTCTTGCCAGAGCTCTGCCAACCATTAAATGTGTGAATGTGGCCAAGGCACTGTCCTTTTGGGAGCCTCCATTTTGTCACTGGTAAAATGAGGAAGCTGAATATATTTTCTCTTGGGAACCTTTGAGGTCTATGTATATGTCTTATTCAAGTGCATAAATACTCTAAGAGAGAAAGGATCTTTGCATCTTAGAGAAGTATATAAACTCTAATATGCATAAAGAAACAGCTGGGAATCTTACAGTGAACATTCTATTCAGGAAGTCTGGGTGGGGCCTGAGAATCTGAATTCTATTAAGCTCCCTGGTGATGCAGATGCTGCGAGCCTATGGACCTCACTTTGAGTAGCAAGACCCTACGGGATGCTCTTCTTATGTTAACCTCTCTTAGTTCCGTGTAGAGCAGGGATGTTTATTGTCAGGCTAACATGAGCAGAAGACTTGAAAAGCACAAATCATTTGAATTTGTTGTTTTTGAGTGCTCATAGCATGAGGAATCAAGAGATAATTTTTCTTGTGGTTTTGTAAATGTTTAAGGCTAAATTTGTTTCTGGAGTCCCTTCTGGTTTTGGTGAGTGCTTCCTGTGGAGACTTTCCATTTCTGCTGCTGTGATTTGGAGTGAACTTCTAGAGATGAAGGTTTTAAAAATGTCTTTGATGTCTCTTATGTAGAACCACATATTTCACAGATGAAATTTATTGCAGGATGACCAAAATAATGATCAAATGCAGAACAGCTAGAAACTTGTGTAGCAGTTGTGAAACATCCTGGATAATTAGAAAACTTTTAATTAAATCATCAGTGTTTGGTGATAAAAAGGTAAATATTTTTAAAAAGACTCTCATTGTTATGAAAGTGTACCTCAAACTTTAATTATTATGGCCTAGGTTGGGATTTTAGATAGTAAGCCAGTCTGTTTTTTTTTTTTTTTTTTTCTTCTTCTAGTTGGGGAAGGTAGTTGGTGGTGGTAAAATGGTCTGGGAAGCTACTCAAGCACTCTGCTTTAAAATCATCCCTAGACAGTTTTTGATCTCTGGTATAACACCAAGGGTTAGAGGGATAAAGGAAGACAATTCTTTTACATCTGTCTTGAGGAAAAAGCAAATGTGGGAAGATGTAATTTTGCTTTATTTCCCAAGGGAAATGCCAACAATTTTTATTGTTTTCTAAACACCTAGGAGTGGTAATTTCCCCCACCCTCTTTGGCAGAGTCTACACAGGAACTGCAAATTTAACTGTTTTCAGGGGCTAGGCCAGTAAAATAACTGAGTGAAAAGGCTGGAACAAGACTAACAAATGGTGGAGACTATACTCAGATGGAAAATTTGTATTCCACCCTAACAGCATAGACTTTATGCATTTCCCATTTTTTTCTAATGATGTAGAAAATCTCTTATATTTTTAAATGTTTAAACTGAGTTTATGAAGAACAATGCACAGGCCCAACAAAACATACCTGTAGATTAGATTTGTTTCAGAGAAGGATGACCATAATTAGAAGATCCCTGGTCTCAGTTACAGATCTAGTTTTTGGTCTAGAGATTCAATACCTTGTCCCACAATATGAAAATCCTGACATTGTTTACTCAGATAATGATGAAATGTTTTGCAGTTTGAAGAATTGTGATCAATACATTTATGTTCATCACATCCCATAAAGATAAGAGATCTTCCAGAGTCTGAAAGAGATTCTCTGTTTAAAATATATTAATGAAAATTAAATATTGAAAAAAGGTACTCAAAAATTTCAGGAAAAATTATGTGTCCTCAGAAATAATTTTTTAAATCATAAATATATTATATTTTCTGACCTTCTTATCTATGAACACTTAGGTAGTTCCAAAAAGTTCAAAGAAAAAAAGGTAACTGAATATGAGGTATACATAAGTTGAACCAAATTGTTTTTTGTGTAGCATTATACAGGACACTTAAAAATATTTTGTTATTAGCTATTTTCTCCTTAGCATCTTCAAGGTTGTGAGTATAGTTTTGCTATCTAGAGATGAGTTAAGTTTGATCGGCTTCTTTTTGAAATATTGAACTTTTCCTGGCTTCTATGCATGGCGCCTGTGGTCTTTTAGGCTGTTTCTCTTTCCTAAACAAGAACATCCCTAAGAAAGTTCCTAAAATCTGTTCCTTTGCATACACTTCCTTCTTCACAAAACACACTCTTTTTCCCATAGTTTTGACTAGAACCATATGAGGCCAATTATCAGAATGCGTGCTTTATCCTTAATCTTACAGCAATGCCTTGCCCTTTTCCCCATTCCCACAGCCTTACCCCCAGTGGAGAACAGCCATCACCTTGCCTTTGGTTGTTTTCCACTGTGGCATACCTCACAGAATACCACGAACTCTTCATAGTTTCAATTATCAGGCATTACTCTTAGCCATCAGCTAATGTAAATTAACATGTCAAATGCTTTTTTTTTGTTGTTTATCCCTCCTTCTGTTAAAGTCTTTAATTATTTCCCAAGGACAAATACTTAGTATTTATTTTAATGGTTTAAAATACATCTGGATGGCCGGGCGCGGTGGCTCACGCCTGTAATCCCAGCACTTTGGGAGGCCGAGGTGGGCAGATCACGAGGTCGGGTGATCGAGACCATCCTGGCTAACACGGTGAAACCCCGTCTCTACTAAAAATACAAAAAAAAATAGCCATCCAAATGTGGAGAGTCCAGCAAGGTCCTAGCATGGTGGCAGGCGCCTATAGTCCCAGCTAATCGGGAGGCTGAGGTAGGAGAATGGCGTGAACCCTGGAGGCGGAGCTTGCAGTGAGCCTAGATGGCGCCACTGCACTCCAGCCTGGGCGACAGACTGAGACTCCGTCTCAAAAAAAAAAAAAAGAAAAAAAAAATCTGGATGTTTTGGCAGTTCCAAGAGGTGAGCTCCAGACGAATGTGTGTTTATAACTCCAGGTCTGTCTTTTCCACGATTTGAAAAAGAATTAAGAACATTGTGAAGATAAAGGTAATTAAACACTTAATTTTGTATGTTGATGACAGAAAATAAATAGCTCTGCTGGTCACACATTTCCATAGGTTATTAGGTACCTCACATATGCTAATTCCATGTACTTTTCCATGTCCAGGAATCTATTGTCTCCATCACTGCCTTATAATAGTGGAAATATGCCTATAGTTTGTTTAACTTTCAGACTCTTCCCCACTTTAATCCAATCTTCAACAGATGTATTAGCTATAGTGTAATTGGTGCATCGTGTATCAACTCAAAAAAACTTTCATTGATTCCTTATTTCCTATGGTTAAAGAAATCTAGAAGCTGAGGTTCTTCATAAGCTCATCTGAATGACTTTGGAAATGTTATCTTCCACAAGATAAGACAAATGTTATTTCCAACTTCTCTAAACACATGGTGAATCTAGTTAACCTGACCCCTTTCTTGTCTAGAGAATTTACATGGGCATTCTCATTACTTCTCTTCTCCCAGGGTGCTGTTCTCACCCGGGAGCTTCATGCTCTACTTCTTTTCCTTATATATAAATGTGTGTGATTGTGGATGGATAAGATATCTGATCTGTTTGCAAGTTGCAGACATGATGTCTCATTCCTAAATATTTCACTGAGTAAAAGGACTTTCTTTTACATAACCATAGTATTATGCAATAATGAAAATAATAATCTTAAGACTGATGAACTTTTACAGCTATGCTACAGACTTTATTGCAATTTCCCCAATTGTCCCACTCATTTCCCTTATAACAAAAGAATACGAAATCTTGTCCAGGATCCAATCCAGGTCGCTTGATGCATTTAGTTGCCATATTGCTTATGTCTTGTTTTATCTGGAAAGATTCCTCAGTTTTTCTTGCCTTGCACATCTTGACATTTTTAGAGAGTACATGCCAGTCATTTTGTAGAATGTCATTCAGTTTGGATTAGTCTGTGCTACCTCATGATTATATTCAAGTTATACATCTGTTTTTTGGCAAGCACATCACAGAAGTGATGTTAAGTCCTTCTTAGGGTGTCATATCAGGAGACATTTGATTTCCATTTGTCCCATTAGTGGTGATATTAACTTTGGTCACTTGATGAGGGTTAGTGACTGCTGGGCTTCTCCATTGTAAAGGTACTATTTTCCTCTTTGTAGTTAAATATCTCATAGGAGATATGTTGAGAGTAGATAAATATCTCCCCTCACTTGTTTTTGAAATAATTTTAGACTTAACAGAAAAGTTGCAAAAGTCATACCAAGTTTCAATATACCTTGTATCTAGCTTCCCCTACGTTAGCAATTCACAAAAACAAAATGGAATGATCAAAATGAGAAAATTAACATTGGTATAATACTTTTAACAAAACTACAGACCTTACTGGAATTTCATCGGTTTTCCCCCTAATACTTTCTTCTATTCCAGGATCCCACATTGCTTTTTTTAAGGTTGTATCTTCTTAGTCTCCTCCAACCTATGGTTGTTCTCACTGTCATTTCTTGTCTTTCATGATGATGAAACCTTTAATGAGTGCGGGTTATTTGTTGTGTAGACTTTCTCTCAATTAGGGTTTGTGTTCTGTATTCTTTTGATTAGATTGAGGTTATGCATTTGCGGCAGGAATGCCACAGAAGTGACAATGTGTTCTCAGTGTGTGATATCAGGGGAACATCATGTTCATATAGCTTATTGCTGGTGATGTTAACCTTGCTCATTTTGCTGAGTAGTGTCTGCTGGGTTTCTCCACTATAAAGTTACTATTTTCCCCTTTTGGAACTGATCAATATCCTAGGGGAGATACTTTGAGACTATGCAAATATATTATTTCTCCTGAAACTTTCGCCATCAATTATAGCATCTATTGATGGATTTTACTTGCAACAGTTATTACTGTGGTCATTGCTTAATGGTGATTTTGCTTGATAATACTGTTTCTCAAAAATTTTTCTCTCATTTTTTTTAGCATCCATTGATGGTTCTTGATTATAACAATTATTACTATGGTAATTTTCAAATGGTGATTGACTAGATCTCCAATCTTGTCTCTTAATGATGAGCATGAATTTTTTGGGAGCATAAACTAGAGTTGGTAAATTCCTATTGTCAGCTGTGAACCCATAGATTCTATTTTATGTAGTCCTAATGCTAGACTCTAATTACTAGATGAAACCAGGACTGCTTTGGGAGAAACTATTAACTCAGAGGAATTATTAAGACAATTCTATGGGGCTACACCATATCTTTATAATTTAGTAGGTGGTTTTAACTTTAATTGGCTGCTAGATATAATAGTAGCAATCACTGACATTTGTTTGCACCCTATAATTTTGCAAAGCATTCCTTAAAACACTTTGAAATATATTAATTGTTGTGTCCACAGGCTAGGTTTGGTTTACTGCCACTTACAAATATCTTTGTATAGACAGACCTCTTTTCTGATCTATTTTCTAAATTTTTTTTTTTTTTTTTTGGTGGGAAAAGGATTGTTGGAGTAAGTAACACTAGCTTGCTATAACAAACACTACCAATACCCTAGTCTCAGTAGTTTAAAACAATAAAAGTTTATTTTTTGTTCATGGAAAGTATGATGTGAATGTTCCCTACCAGGGAAGATTTTTGACATGGTCATTCAAAGACCCAGGCTTATTATATTGGGACTCCCTCGCTCTTCGGACCTTGCTGGACTCTCCACATTTGGATGACAGAAGAGTAAAGAAGGAATTTGGAGAATTGCTTGGGAGATTCTTATGGCCAGACTGAAAATGGCAAATAGTGCCTGTGCTTCTGTTCCATTGGCTAGACTCAGTCACATGGCTATTCTTCCTGCAAGGGAGGCTGGGAAATATAGTTTATCTAATCTGTATGCCCAGGAGGTAGAGGAAATGGTTTTGTTGAAACATAGCAGTTTCTGTCAGTTTTGATTTTAAAAGGTTATCATATGGCACATGAAGCCAAGTGCTTGGCTCAGAGGAGATTAATTAATGTGCTGTGTTGACTGCATCAGGTGTAGGGGGGACATCTGTGAGGCTAAGCCTCAGCCTAATTTATAGGAAGAAGGCTTCCTGACTTTAATTCTAGTTAGCTTTGCAATAACCTTTCTAATTCCCCAATAGCCCTTCTCCCTTTGATCAAACTATCTCTAAGAATTTTCTACTCTAATGAATGACTAAATCAAACTGTTCCTTTAATTAAGCGGAGTACCGACATCTTTGAGAAAAAGTCATTAGACACCTTTCGATCCCAAGCTTGTATAAAATCTGGAAGAGCTGAGGAAATCAGAAGCATATCTAAGACCGACTTGCAGAACCAATATAAAGAATATATGAGGGCTTTTGGAAGAGAAGCCTCTCTCTTGCCCCATTTCTACCAGGACAAAACTCTAAAGTCAAAGCACTTTGGATCCCACTATGTGATGGGTACAAAATGAAGTTTTAAAGTGATAATTTTTAAAGGCTTATTGCAAAGAGGCATGAATTATTCCTCTTTAGCCAGAAGAGGAGTGCGCTCTCAATATGTGTCTTCTTCAAGTCTACCCCCACCATCCACATAACGAAGATATACTGATCACCTGTATCACGTATTGAAAGATCCCCAAACCCTTGGCAGTTTGTGCAATGAACATTTTCACTGGTCATTAGTGATCCTCATTAAAGAAACCTATTGAAGAGAGGGCGGAGGCATCCTGCCAGTCTGAAAGGGGTTATTAAAAAAATCCTTGTTATATTAAAAAAATCTTTGTTACTCTCGATGCTTCATTTTGAAGGCATGAGGTTCTCACTGGATATTGCATAAGATTGTACCATAAGAGCAGCTTAAGAAATTAATAAATCTAGCTCAGGATAGAGATTTTTTTAATCAGAGAAGAGTCATTCCAAATTCTGTATTGTTGGTAAAATTAGCTGTCTGTGAATCAGAAGAATGTTAAGGTAATATGACAGGGGAAATACTTTCAGTGAAAATGATTCTCTATGGTTGATCCTGGCTGCAAAATTTTCTGCCAACAGAAATTGATGTCTGTGTTGGTGCTATTACCCTCACTTTGCTGCACTGCCACTCCCATGCTGTGGCCAGGCAGAGAAACACTTGAACACCATGTTCATGGACATCAATTTATCTTTCAAGACATCATGATATTATTGTGTTATTAAAAAGAAGAAAGTGGAGTCTACTCCCTTCTTGCTTAATCTACCTCCAGTCCTGTAACTGGTGTGAAACCTGAGTTTTACAGTTGGAGGGCAACTGCCACATGACCTCCCCTCTTCTACGGAGTCATGCCATCAAACTGCCCTTTCTCTTTATTATTATTTATTGTTCCTTGAACTCAGCAAGCAAAAGTGGCTCATATAATAACTCTGGCAGTGCCAAAACAAACAGACACAGTACTGCCCTGAGCTGCTTGAGGTTTAGAGACACAAATGATATTGTACAAAAGAGAAATGTAGAACAACTGCAGAATGGAGGAGGTGTATTTCCCCTGTGTCCCCTTTCTCTTGCTATTTACTCCACACTCTTTGACTCAATGAAGGAAACGTACGTGAAATATATACCTTCATGTCTGAATAATTTTAAAACGTTGAGAAGATTTAGACATTTCAATAATTCTCACAAAAATGTTTAAACAATTCTACAGATTTAGAATTTTAGTTCTTGCCAGAAAACTAATTCAACTTAATTTTGGGGATGGTTCTTGAAAAAAACACTATTAAATACTATTGTTAAATACTATTAAATACTATTTTTAAATACTATTAAGTATGGGAAGGAAATGCAGAAGGAATGAGCAGGGCATTTGGGGAGAACTGAAATCACTTAATATTTCACCAGAACACTCCTTTTTAACATGTTATTAAACATTTTAACTTGAAATCCTATATTTTATTATGTGTAAACCTTGGGTTGGAAACATCCCCTGGAATTAGTTGAAAAGGTAAAAAAAATTTATGCATAGAAGGAGTTACGTCTTGCTAGAGACTCAAATGATTATCAAATTAGTAAATAAATGAATAAATTAATTACTACTTGATTTCTTTGCCATTAAATCTCTTTTCCTGTCTTTCCTCCTGTATTCCTCCCTTCAAAAATAATTGTCAGTTACTATAGCTTCTTCTCCCACCCAGTTAAAAAATATTTTGTTAACCTTTGCCCATTTGGTGGTCTGGACATTTGCTGTTGTTTTCTGTCCAGAATCTCTTCTCTCTTCTGTTAAAAGTATTAATGTTTCTTGAAGACCTTTCTTCCTTCACAATCAGGTCATGTGATTTGATTAGAGCTGACCTGCCCCCATGTTTCAGGTGGTTATGTCATGACCCAGGCTCAATAGATGAACATGTGACCCACGCTCACTAGATGAACATGTGACCCACATCTGTCCAATTACAGTGAATCTCAGTACTTTTGCTGGTGGTGTAGGAAGTATGGAAGGAAGTCAAGGATGAAGGTGGTATAGGTGGTCTTGTCTGTCCACCGGCATTGCTAAGAGGAGAAGAAATTGGTCTGGGGCTGTAGTGCACTATCTTGTCACCTCGAGTTGTGGTGGTGAGGTCCTTTTTGAAAGGAGTCCACCAAGAAAGTCCATGATTTCAAGATGTTCTGAAGACATCATCTGAGTTTCTAGATGTACCGGTTCCTGAAACAAGATATTGGCTATTGAGACAATAAAATCCCCCCGGCCCCACTTTTTTTAATGCCTGTTGAATTGGGTTTGCTGTCAATTTGCCAGAAGGGTTTAGACAAATGCATCTCCCCCAAACACACACCCACATCTGTGTTTTAGAGAAGAGCATAAATCAGAAACAGCAGTGTTTTCTAGTACATCTTTCTTTGTTCTTACTATCAACTACTAATTTTCTTGGTGTCTTCCTTGGTATTTTCATGTAAAGTAAATGCTGCATGAATTACTCAATGAATTATTATTTTTTTCTGTGAATAGAACATGCCAGTTATACTTTAGGTTATTAATTTGTAATTGTTAGAGCCAGGGGTTAAATTGTGCAACAGTCAAGTCCCTCCCTCATTACCATGCTTTGGCTGAATCCTGTCTCCAGAGAGAGGAAATGTTTCTGTTACTCTCCCTCTTCCTGAGGAAGCATGTCTCCAGCCTTGCAAAGTCATCAAGACTGAAAAAATCACCACCAGGCTGTGATAACAGGACAGATCCCTCCCATGCTGCAAATTATGCTGTCTCCCCACTGAAGCCACTCGCCTCTGTAGTGTCCTCATCACTGAGTGATTGGCTTTTCCTGAAACAAACACACACAGCATGTGCTATACATGTAGACAATCAGGAAAACTTCAGAAAAAAAGGAAAGAGAAAAGGAAGGTGTGTTTTATGTTCTACTAGTAATAACATGATAGCTTTTATTACTTCTAACTTTATTTCTTCTTGGTTTGACTCACTTTCAGGAGGTGATGTGGTGTGCAGGCCCTGTGGTTTTATCTTGAATCCTGGCTCTTCGGTTTAGCAAGGATACTATCTGGGCAAATAACTAATTTCTATGCTGTATTCCCCTATTTGCTAAAAAGTATTAATACATACCTCATGGTGATGTCAGAGTTAAATGAGATAATATACCTACAGCACTTAAGACAGTGTCTTGAACATGGCAAGTACTCGATTAAGGTCAGCTGATGTTTAGTAGCTGGACAGTTTCTCTCTTTCCTCCTCACACCACTCTTCCTTCTCCCAACCCAGGTTAGACTTATCCCTTTCTTTGCTAACTATAACAGGTAGCTCCCCACAGAGTATAATTTGAGAAGCCTCAGAAAGATGTCTCTTGTACTAAAATATTTATCCTTTAGTCCCTGTTGAAATTTTCCTTTCAACCACATTCTGGAATTAACATTGAAGTTCCCTAGTAAAATGCAAAAGCATCAGTCATTATACACTTTGAATTTATCAATTGATTCCTAGACATCAGATTCTGGGGATATGAGGCACAGGAAGAATCAGTCAGAGAAGACAGGCTAAAACTCAGGGGTGTGTTTTGTCTCTGATTTCAGAGCTTTAGGAGAGATGAGAATGGGATGCTAAGAGAAGGAGATAACCTACCTGGCCAACCACATTGCCAGATTCAACTGGTGAATAGTAGGTGATGGACGTTAGGATGAGAGTTCCATCACATCTTTGTGAAATGCTGTGGTGGGGAGTCCAAGATTGATGCCCAAGTTGGCTGAAATAAAGCTCCTCTAGGTATCAGTTAGGAGTCATTCAGGAGAACAGAAACTGATCTAATCTGAAACCAGAAAAATTTAAAACAGAGTTGGACACATAGTTGCTGGAACATCTGCGACGCCAAATAGAAGCTGCTAAAGAAATACAAAGATTTGCAAAAGCAGGATGCCATTATCTTTCCTGAGGTTAGATGCATAAAGAAGGAGGTAGTGTCTCTGAGGCTGGAAGCTAAGCCCACCTAGCAAAAGCAGGAGCCTTAGCTGCCTCTCTGACAAGAACCAGAGCCATGGAGAAGGCACAGTTGCTACCTGAGACATTGCCTATGACAGAGAAGGATGGGGGAAATGCCCTGTACTCTCCTTTCTTTCTGCTCTTTAACCTCCTGCCAGCATCTCTCATTGGGTGAATGTGGGTGGAAGTCAGCTGGTACAGAAGCCTGGAAAACAGAGGCTGCAGGACCCACCTCCATGGTAGGCGGCGCAGTTTAGGAGATGGGACTAAGAATGACGTGAGAACAATGAAGCGATGGTCACAGTGCTGAGAAGGTGAAGGAAAACTATTATGGTCAACTAAGTAGGCGACATTGAAGAATTTGAGGTGTCAAAGGTCCTCTTTACGTTTGCCATATTACGTTTGCCATACATGTTGAGGATTTTGGCTTAGTTTTTAGTCTGGACCTAGATGTAGACTATTATACACCTCACTTCCTTAGTTTTTCTCAATGGTAGTCATGGAGTCTGCATTAGAAACAGTTGTACTGGTAGTTCAACATGCTAATTCCTGGGCCTCACATCAGGTCTTCTGAATACATTTTCCTTATTATGGGGTCCACTGGTTTGGTTATTTCTATGTTATTGAGATTTGTGTTTATAGTGGTTTTTTTTTCTATTTAAAATTGGGACAATCACTCTCCGAGCAAGCTTTGCTTGTTTTCTCTCTTTGATGATGGGTGATCCTGTTCTTATGAAGTTCTAGTCTATTGGCCTGTTTAATATCCGCCCAAAGGTTCTGCCCAGGACTTAGACTGCTGATGAGAAATGTCTCTTTTCCAAAGATTGATGGTTTAACTCAAGAGAAGGGCAACACATTCTCAAGCATTTTAACAGATCTCCCATCCCAGGAACAGAGTTGCACAATTGAAAAAGTTAGAAATAGAAACCAGAGGAATTCCTTGGTGCAAGAGGTCAGTGAGATAGACTTCCCAGCTGGACTGCATAGCATGCTGCTCATGGCCTTGGGAAGCCATTTCGGGCATTTGAAGCCAATTGCTTTGCATTTCCTTCAATGCTGTTGTAAACGATTTTATTTTTATAGCTATAACTGGTGGTGTAATGAGCATAGGCCTGAGTCATAGATGCTTGGATTTAGTATTCCTTTGGTGCATAAGGTAAGGTCTGTGTCCTCTCCGACCCTGTTTCTCATCCTTAAAATGAGCATAGTTGCTTTGCTTCCCTTGCAGAGTAGTTGGAAAAATCACCTATATTAATTGAATGATTTCTTTATTGAGTTCACCCATGTACTAGGTCTCATATTAGAAATATAAAGACAGCATTCTTGTCTTTGACATGATTGCAACTTCTTAAAGATAATTTGTATTTGAAAGCAGCCTACACTTTGCAATGCTCTGTTGAGTTGAAAATTATTATTTAAAATACTGTAATAAAGTCAGATGGGCTTTTCCTAATGGCTACACTTGCAGTTGAGGTGGGTAGATATTAGTTTTCTGCTTAGGGGATCTAAGGGACGATGTCAACATTTTTAACCCGAGGACCTCCAGAAGGCAGTCAACTATGCTAAGCTTGCTATTGGCAGGCAAAAGTCCTCACTAAGGAGAGGAAAAAGAAAGAGTAAGAGGAAGAGGATTAAAAGATGTGAAAATAAAAAAGACTGGGATGAAATGTAATGACAAGTAGTGTATAGCTACCAATGTCCACTGAAGTTACTATTTAAGGCACCTCCTGCCAAATAATTTCGTCCCTCTGAAGCATTTTATGAAGTGTTTACAACTAGAAATTATAAAAATGTGAGCAAAAATCTGTTTTTAAAACACCTCCCAAACTTGCCTTTACTGTTTTGGAACTTGTTTCTTCTTACTCATAAATTATTGCTTACATGTGTTATTTTTGTTTTGTTGTGTTTTTCTTCTGATGGAATGATAAGCTCTCTTTTATTTTTTCAACTTGGGATGACATGTTGTACTATTCATTAAGCACTTCTAATATTTTACCTGATGCTTTATTTATTTTGTCACAGTTATTTTCAAGCTTTAACTGCATCAGAATTACCTGGGCAGCTTGTTAAAACACATATGACTGAGCCCCACCTCCAGAGCTTCTGATTCTGTTTCTAGTCTGTGGGATGTGGTCTAATAACCTCCTATTTGAACAAATGCTGATCCTGCTGGTTCAGGAGGAACCACTTCTTTAACATTTCAATAATATTGTTGAATATTTCCTCCCTTGGGCCTCTATTTTCCTGTGTTGGGTTGTCTCTCTTCTTACAGAATATAGTTATTATAGAACATTTTAATAGAATCTAATATGGTAAATCCATGGGTTTTTGTGCATTTCTTATGCAGGAAGTTTATATTCCAAAATATCTGTGGGACCCTTTCAATGAATGGTTCTCTTCTCATGTAGGCCATGGTCTAGGTAAACAGAGAGGAAATGCTTCCATATTCCCAACTCCTGAGTTCTAAAATAGAAACATGATATTGTGGCTTGGACAGGTACACTAAATTTATCACATCAATATTGTAAAGAATCATCTCTGGTGCTCAAGAGTAATCCCAACAGTGTAGATATGATTTCTGTTTTGGCTCATATGAGAAGCCCTGGCAAGAGGAGGAGAAGTGGATCGTTGGTTGCTGGCTTTGCACTGAGTTATGCCACTTTTCAGCTGCATGACTTTTTGGCAAAATCTAGGATTTTGTTACCTCAATTGTGAAATGGGAAAAATGACCATTTGCCAGATACATGGAGTTGCTGGGAGGTTCAAGGCTGCTAAATATGTAAATTATGATGGATTCATTGGTTGCTTCTCATTAGGTCCAGGTTTGTCTTCTTTTCCTGCTATGTTGCTTTGGACTGAGATGTTGCTGTCTCCATTTTGGATGTAGTGACAGATGCTGTGCAACATAGAATGGAAAATCTCCTTCCCTGGTGATCTTTACAAGATAAGGCATTATCACGTCATAGGAAAATCTCCCTTCATCCCTTGAAGCTGTATTAACGCTGTTGGTTTCATGAGTTTGTTTAACATGCATGATGGGTGAGCTGTCAAAATCTCTATCAAGGGCAGAAGTCTCTTATTTTGGTACAGAAGCAGATTTGGGCAAAAGAAATATAATTACATTTTTTCTATTGCTTTGTAGGATCTTTGTCAGTAGCTAACTAGATGGACTTGAAGTTACCAAAGGAGAATTATAGCAGATTATACTGAATCAGATGCATTCTCATAGTAGCGAACAATTTTTTTTCTTTTTTTTTATTACTATTATACTTTAAGTTTTAGGGTACATGTGCACAACGTGCAGGTTTGTTACATATGTATACATGTGCCATGTTGGTGTGCTGCACCCATTAACTCATCATTTAGCATTAGGTATATCTCCTAATGCTATCCCTCCCCCCTCCCCCCACCCCAAAACAGTTCCCGGTGTCTGATGTTCCCCTTCCTGTGTCCATGTGTTCTCATTGTTCAATTTCCACTTATGAGTGAGAACATGTGGTGTTTGGTTTTCTTGTCCTTGTGATAGTTTGCTGAGAATGATGGTTTCCAGCTTCATCCATGTCCCTACAAAGGACATGAACTCATCCTTTTTTATGGCTGCATAGTATTCCGTGGTATATATATGCCACATTTTCTTAATCCAGTCTATCATTGTTGGACATTTAGGTTGGTTCCAAGTCTTTGTTTTTGTGAATAGTGCTGCAATAAACATACATGTGCATGTGTCTTTATAGCAGCATGATTTATAATCCTTTGGGTACATACCCAGTAATGGGATGGCTGGGTCAAATGGTATTTCTAGTTCTAGATCCCTGAGGAATCGCCACACTGACTTCCACAATGGTTGAACTAATTTACAGTCCCACCAACAGTGTAAAAGTGTTCCTATTTCTCCACATCCTCTCCAGGACCTGTTGTTTCCTGACTTTTTAATGATCGCCATTCTAACTGGTGTGAGATGGTATCTCATTGTGGTTTTGATTTGCGTTTCTCTGATGGCCAGTGATGATGAGCATTTTTTCATGTGTTTTTTGGCTGCATAAATGTCTTCTTTTGAGAAGTGTCTGTTCATATCCTTCGCCCACTTTTTGATGGAGTTGTTAAAAACATAAAATTTGTATTAAAATGTAACTCAGAGAAAAGATACACATTATATTTGTATTTAATACAAATATAAAATTTGTATTAAAATGTAACTCAGAGAAAAGACAACACTAAGCATAATAAGTATATAGCTTGAAGAATTTTCAAAACTCAACACACTCATGCAACCAACACTCAGACCAAGAAACAATATCATCACCGGAACCCCCCCCTCAGTATTCTGTCCTCCAGTCACTACTACCCCCTTCCCCCAAAGGTAACCACTGTTCTGACTTCCAGCACCATAAACTAATTTTGCCTATGTTTTTAATCTGACATAAATTAAATAACATAGAATGTTATCTTTGGTGTCTGACTTCATGCATTAACATGTTTGTAAAGTACATTCATGTCATTTTGTGTGGGCTGCAATCCATTCATTGTAATAGCTTGATAGTAATTCATTGTATCAATAAACCACATTTATTTACCCATTAGAGTGTCATGGCCATTTTTGTTATTCTTAGTTTTGGTTATTAGAAATAGTGCTGCTATGAGCTTTTCTGCACAAGTCTGTGGTGAACATATCCATGCATTTTGTTGGAGTATAACTGCTGAGTTTTAAGTTGTACATACATTTTTATCTTTACTGGATGCTGCCAAACGGCTTTCCAAAATGGTCATACCATTTACATGCCAAGCAGCCGTAAATCAGATTTTCAGTTTCCTCCACATTCTTGTCGAAACTTAATATTGACTATGGTTTTATTGTAGCCATTTTGGTGGGTAAGGCAAACCAAAAATACCATTAAAATCAGCACAGAAGTCCCCTTGCCCCAGTACTGATGTTTCATTGCATCTTAAGGAAACTTCTTTTATGGGAGTAATCACCACAGGATGGATAGTTTAGTCCATATCTATAAAGGACTTGAAACAATTTAAAATGACTCACAGGGCAGCTGCATCAGGGTAAAGATTAAACATTTCAGTACAGGAAGTAGTCTAGGTTTGTCATTGATTCATATCATAAAGTTCTTTTTCAGGGCAGACTGAACCTGGAAATTCCTCTTCACCCACTAAGTTCAGAGGGTGTCACTCTCTTCAGCCGCCATAATGAAGAATGTGTGCATGCATTTGAGAGAGTGAAAGAACCAGAGACTACAGAGGTCACAGAACAGTTTATAACCTTGTAGTATCTGACATTTCCTGATACTTGGTGCTAGTAGATCAAAATTTACCGTGAGTATTGAAAAAGCAAAATCCTTAAATTATGGCATTGATTGTATATAAGGAGCAGTAGCAAGGACCCTGGATATTCAATCAATAGTGCGTGTGTTTGTGTGAGCATATGTATATACATAAAACATTTACTTTGAGAATTAAAAGTAGCTATTTCTCTGTAATTAGTATTGGGAACTGGGTACAAAAAATTGATCACTCTAGTGAGATAGGTGTGGGAGAAATAGAACGAACAAATTAAAAACTGATGAAGAAAATGGTATTCAAGCTGTCCCAGGAGAAGGATATTTGTCTTAGGTATGACTGACTAAAGGTTTCAATAATTCTCCATTGACATAAGTTACAATTAATGCTATTTTTGTCATGTTATATTACAGTCAGTTTCCAATTTCCAGAATCCTCATGTGTCTTTTGGGTACTAAAGGAACAACAACTAAATTTCACTGTCACTGCATCAGTTGTCTATTGCTACAGTTATGCTGTGTAACATTCACAAAACCTCAGTCCCATACAGAAATGAGCATTTATAGTTAGGTTATGAGTTTGTGGGGTTCGGCTGATCTCTGCTAGACTTGGCAGATTTTAGCTGGGCTTATGTGCCTTTGGTCATATTTGGCTTGGGTAGGTTACTCTGATGATCTTGGCTGGATTGCTCATATATCTGGAGGTTGGCTCATCTAGGATGGCCATAGCTGACATAATTGGGAGCAACTTGGCGCCACCCTAAAACTCAGTGGCATACAACAATAAGCATTTATTTACTTCATAAAGCTGTGGGTCAGCTGGCTGGTTCTTCTGGTGTTGGCTGGTGTATTAATCATCTATTGTTGCATAGCAAATTACACAAACTTAGTGCCTTAAAACAATACACATTTATATCTGACACTTTCTGTGGGTTAGGAATCTAGGTAACAGTTAGCTGGGTTTTATGCTTCTGGGTCTTACCAGGCTCCAGTCAGTACTGGCTAGGCTGTGCTTTTATCTGGAGTTTCAACTGGGGAGGGGTCTGCTTCAAATTCACTCTGGTTGTTGGCATAATTCAGTTTCCTATAGCTGTAGAATCGAGGCTCTAAGTTCCTAAAACCTTCCACATTGCTTTTCCTTCTGCCACACGGGCCTCTCCACATTTCATATGTGGCTTCTTTCTTTGAGGCTTGCTGGAGTGTCAGAGCCACTCTAGTGAAATGGTCTTATATAAATAATGTAATCATATGAGTGAAATCCTATCACCTTTGCCATATTCTGTTGATTAGAAACAAGTCACAGGCCTCACCCACATTCAAGAGGAGAAGGTTGCATAAACTGATGGACCCCAGGAAGTAGGAATCATTGGGAGTCACCTTCGGGTCTATCTGCTTCAGCTGGGCTTGCTCACATGTCTTGAGATCAGTGAACTGACTGCACATGTAGGAAACATGTTCACATGGCAAACATAGAGATGACAAGAGTGACAGTAGTAAGGCACAAGTGATTTTTTTCGGCTCTCTGCTTGCATCCCATCTGATAACATCCCATTTGCCAAACTACATCACACGGTTCAGAGACAGAGTGGGAAAACAGTGCAAGATTGCACGGTAAATGGTGTGGATACACGAAAGGTGAGGAATTCAGGCCATGAACACTTCAACTGGGTAATCCAAAAATTCAACCTATGTAAATCTCATCCCCCTCTTCCTCTGGCAAGCATTTCTGGAAGAACCAAGGGTCTCATTTGGTGTCTCACACGTGCTCACAACCCTGGGTGTTTCCCCTGCTCTGGCATCCCTTCCAGGCCCTCTGCTGCCGGCAAACTCCCATATAGATAGGAACTTTCATGAGCTCCCTCTGCTACCTTTCATGAAAACATTAATGTCTGGCAGATGTGCTTTTCCCAGGACTTTAGAAGCTAAATACCCTTTCTGTTTCCTACCAGCAGAGGGGAGAATATTGATCTTACTCACTGTGTCCTATTCCTCATCTCATAGAATAATTTATGAAATCATTATCTGCTCATCAACTCCTCTCTTTTCACGGGTGAGGCCAAACTCATAGTATCCTCCCCACTCACCCACCATGTATTCCAATACCTGTAGAACTAACCAACCTGTGTTCTCTCCTGATTTAAAGAATGCTCCAGCACTTATTACAGGTCAGTGCCTCTCAGTGCTGAGTGCACATTAGCGTCACCCAGGGAGCTTTAAAAAATTCCTATGCCTGAGATGGATCCAAGAACAATCTCTGGGAATCAATTCCAGACATTGACATTTTAAAAACTTCCCCAAACAGTTCTGATGCACAACTGAGATTGAGAACTCCTATGATACACAGACATGTAGACCAGGGTGTCTTAAATAACAATTGCCCTTAGGATTTTGGAACTTGAAGCAGGTAGAAAAATTCATTTATATTTGACCATGGTAAAAGCATTGTCCTCTTCAAGGAATTTTTCAGTGAGAAGCCTTTAGATACAGATGAGGCACATTTGCTTTGAGATATCTTCTTATCCAACACCCTGGCACCACAGAGAGCGAACTCAAATCCCATAGGGACTTATTCACTTGTCCAGGGTCATACAACTAATAAGGCACAACTAGGACTGGGTTCCAAATCTGTCATCTTTTTCCATCTTCAACATCAATCTATTTTCAAAGCATGGATTCAAAATAAAAATTTTGGTCGTAAACAGTTAAGTTCTATAATTTTCCCAATATACATGAAACAACAGTTTTTGTTGTTGACCAAGCTTAGAAGCAGGTCCTTCAGAAATTAATGGAAAATTCCAGAAAAAAAAATGGAATGAAGTTTTCTGAGGTAAAACTTCAAAAAGGTTATCTAGTGCCCTTGGCTCCAAAGCTTTCTGATCATTCTGACGATTAAGCATTAAGTTTTTTTTTTAAATTTTTTTAAATAGAATTTTAAAACAAGTTTTAGAATTACAGGAAAATTTAAAATATAGTACAAAGAGTTCCCATATACCTCTTCACCCAGTTTCCTCCTCTATTGCGATCTTACATTAGTATGGTATATTTGTTACAATGAGTGAACCAATACTGATACATTCTCATTAATTAAAATGCATAGCTTCTTCATACTGCCTTAGGTTTTACCTAATATTAATTTTCTCTTTTTGAAAAAAATAATTTCAACTCTTATTTTAGACTCAGGGGTACACGTTCAGGTTTGTTACCTGGATATATTGTGTGATGCTGAGGTTTGGGATATGATTGATCCTGTTACCCAGGTACTCAGCATGATACCCAAGAGTCAGTTTTTCAACCCTTTCTTCCTTCCTGCCTCCCTTCTTTAGTAGTCCCCAGTGTCTACTGCTGCCATCTTTATGTCCACGAGTACCCTCTATTTAGCTCCCCTTTATAAGTGGGAATATGTGGTATCTAATTTTCTGTTTTTGTGTTTATTTGCTTAGGATAATAGCCTCCAGCTGCGTACATGTTGCTGCAAAGGACATGATTTTGTTGGTTTTTTTATGGCTGTGTAGTATTCCATGGTGTACATGTACCACATTTTCTTTAAGCAGTACGCTCTTGATGGGTGCCTGGATTGATTCCATGTCTTTGCTATTGTGAATAGTGCTAAGCCTCAAGTCTTGAAGGGTATACTGGAATGCCTCTGTGTACTATTTATTATTGAAAACGTTGGCTGTTTTAATTCTAATTTAGATACGCAGCTGTTTGGGGGACATAAAGAAATACATAGTATTATTTGAAGTCTTCATGTGTATTTAATGTCTTTAAAGAAAGCTTCTTTAAAGTTGTTAATTCTTGAGGAAAGGAAAAATTCAGGTATGTACAACATACATATAGCTCCTTGTGCTATGTAAAATGTGGGAAAGTAAATTCTAAAACTGTGGATCACAAGCTGTAATTAGCAATCTAGAGTGATGTACTAGCTACGTCTTTTATTTTTGGGGTGCTGATGCTTTGACATTTGGGGCATTGCTGATCCTGGGGTCACTACCCTTCCAAGGGTTTGTCGATTCCAAGAGGCAGTGAACAACTCACCTGTTACACACCTTTCAAATGCAAACCAACCAATTCAGAGCCCCCATCCGACCTGCCTCCTTTGTCTGGCTCTCAGACTCCAGGCCGCTATCCACCTAATCTCCCCAGGGCCAGGGACCAAACAAGTAGGGATAACCCCCTTACCCCAAATCCTGGGGGAATTATTCAATCCTAAGCCTGCTTACCCTTCCTGGCAGTTCCTGCCCATGGGAACCACAGTCAAGGCTCTCGTCCACATTTCTCCCATCTCCCTCTGCCTCCTGAGCCACCCAGATCTTTCCCATGTGGCCCTGTCCATGGTGTGGGGTGGCCCCTTCTCTTGGAAACTGTGCAGAATACACTGTCTTTTCAGTGCCAGTGGTCTCCTGATCTGTTGGCCCTGCCTTACCAAAACAACAATAAAACCTGTATTAAAACAAGTGAGATATAAGAGCTTGCATTCCTAACATGTTCCTAGGTGACGGTGATGCTGCTCATCTTGGGGACACACTTTGAGTACAACTTTCCTAAAACACTTGAAGGCAGCCATGTTCTTGTCTGTTAGTGGGAGAAGGAGGGTGAGGGACAAAATCTGATGGAGGTGTCCTCTGGGAACCTACAGAAAATAGATATTTTTGTCAAAGCTGTTTCATCCACTTAATCATTATACTGTTGTGCTTATTAAATCATTTTACCACCTATTTGAGTCCTCCTCTGAAAGCCTTGTTATTCTTCCATCCTAATACTAGGGTCTTTGTTGAATTACTTGTGAGAGAATTCAACAATACAAAAAGGTGGTTAAGAATATTGGTTTTAAGTTTGGCTGTGGTTCTGTCAATGAGTTGTATGACCTTGGGAAATTGTCAATGAGTTGCATGACCTTGGGAAATTCATCTCATATATCTAGGCCTCAGTCTCCTCTTCTGTAACTTGGCAATAACAGCAATACCTATCTTAATCTATTTATGCTGCTCCAACAAAAATACCTTAAATGGGATGCTTTATAAACACAAATTTATTTCTCACAGTTTTGGAGGCTGGGAAGTCCAAGATCAAGTTGCCAGCAGATTCTGTGTGTGGCAAGGGCCCGCTTTCTCATAGCCAGCACCTGCTTGCTGTGTCTTCACATGGTGGAAGGGGTGAGTTAGCTCTCTGGGGTTTCTTTTGTAAGGCCACTGATCTCATTCATGAGGACTTGGCCCTCAAGACCTCATCACCTCCCAAAGGTTCTACCTTGGGAGCTAGAATTTCAGCATATGAATTTTGAGGAGGATGCAAAACATTCAGTCTGTTACACTACCTCATAGGGTTAATGTTAGGATTAATTGAGCTAAGTGCCAAGAAAATACTTAGGAAGGTCCATGGCACATAATTCGATTTTGAAATGTTAGCTATTGTTATTGAAGTTATTTTGGGTATAAAATGCAGGATTACCATCAATTTCATTGTCTTGCCATTTATATGATATAATTTTATGCCTGGAGTTTTGAATTGAGAACAATGGCATACAATTAAAAGAATCTAAAAATAAGATCCGACTACATTTGTTATTCTACAAAGCAGAAAACCAAAATCCACAGATGAAAGTTTCTGACATTGTTCTCTAAGTGATGAAACTACAAGATCCTGGGATATGATCTTATTCCAGGATTTTATGTCAGAAGAAAGTTGTTTTTTTCCAGGATATGCCTCATTTTCAGTCCTGCTGTTGGCAAGCCCAATGATGCAATGATGCACGGTGTAATTTCTCCCAGGGTGGCACATGATCAGAGTAGTGGCTGCACAAAAACGGCTCATCCAGTCCAACGTGTCTTTTATGTGCCTCACTTTTGAGGCATACCGATTCCCATGGCAGACAAGTTTTACTTGTAAGCACGTGGAGGTAGTCTATCAGGAGGAAGGAAAATCACTATTTCTTCTTTTATGCCCATCACCGACATCAGTGACAGATATGCTTAATTATAGTATCCTATTTATTTGTGAGGACCAAAGCAGTAGGAAAAAAGTATTTAAATTTCCAGATACCCAGCTGTGTCAAGATTAAATTTAGTCAGTTTTGCATTTATGTAGCATTTTCAACAATAAAATATAAGGGACATCTGATTTTCTCATAAGCTAAAAGAATTGCCACAATTTAGCTCAGGGGAGAAAGATAATACATTTCAGTGGTAAAGACAGGAAGCTGAAGAGTATTTGAATAACGGGGATTGCGTGTGCTGAACAAGTCACGATAGGATAACTGAGAATGGTGTGGAGGGGATTTTTACACTGAATGGGGGTTAGGGATGTGGGTATAACCAATGTCTCCCAAGGTTGAAGGCAGTGTTTTAAAAACTGTGGCTGATAACACACATATGGGTCACAACTAGTGTTTTTTAGAAAAACAAATAGGAAAGAACAAGAAACATCAGAGTGCATTACAATTTGTAAAGGTAAGTGTGTGTGTGTATGTGTGTGTGTGTGTAATCTGCAAAATACAACCTGTTTTTTTCAGTGTGTCATGGCTAAAAAAGAGTTTGAAAAATATAGCCTTAGTTATTTCTTGAAATGATTTATTTGGGATGCTGACCCAGACCAGAGCTAAATAACATTGAATCCCAATTGTGAGATGCCTTTTTGATCCCTTTTCCATCTCTTTCCTTTCTTCTGATTAGATAGACAATCTCCATTTCCTGCTAATGCATCTCCATCGCCTCTCTAACTCTTGTGAGTCTCCCTTTTAAAGGGAGAGAAGCAGGCCTCAGCCTTGGAGTCTAGGGCAGGAAGAGTTTCTGCTTATTTTCTGTTATGTTCTATTGGAGCTTCTCATATACTTCAGTTTCCAAATTTCTATTTCCACTTTGTCCCACGAAGATTTATTGTTTTCTTTTTCAATGACTTGATTTAAGCAAGAAGAAATTGATGGGAAGGAATATTAAAGAGTACAGCTATGGCAAACAATCCTGGCGGTGGTCTGGTACTGGCAGGGGAGGGGAGGCTGTTGGGGCAGGAGTGGGCTCAAGTGTCTTTGGTTGCATCACCTTCCCACAATTCTGGGCAGTCTGATGGCCTTGCCCTTGACAAGCACAACTGGAGGCCTCTTCTTTGAGTAGATCAGACTGATTGCCAAGGGCATTTTCAGACTTCCCAGGTGTCGCAGGTGACAACTGCATTTTCTCTACAAAAATTAAGAAGACACAGGTGAATATATCCCAGGAAGTCCCCAGTGCTGGCCTCTCAATGTGGATATCCAGCTAATGCACTGATATTTTTTACCAGAGACAATGATTGGGTCTTGGAACTATTCATTTTTTCTTAGATTGACCACACCATGCTGATTATATATATATATTATACATATATTATATATAATATATATATAATTTATAGATATAATATATAATATCTATAAATTATATATAATATATAATATCTATAAATTATATATATAATATATATTTTCTTATGGTTAAGTATTGCTTCAGCAGGAATAGACCACCAATTGGATGGGAAAATCAAATGGGGTGATAATGCAGATCCTGCTAGGGACAGATAACTGAGCTCACATGCCCAGGTTCAGCGGCCACCCTGAGATCTGGCTACCTGGCCTTGCCAGGTCTCTATGGAAAATTATTTAGGGCCTTTGTGTGCAGGGGAACCTGAGAAAACTGAGTGCAGTCTGAAGCCTGAAGTGTAACAGGCCCTGCTCTCCTTTGTGTGATGGAAGAGCCTAAAAATAATACAGAGGTAACAGGTGTTAACTCAGGCATTAGTTGTCTTTCCTGGAACAGATAACACCCCTTTTAACACCAAGAGTAAGTAGCTCAGAAGGGTAAATTGAGCGTTGCCTTTCTCCTGTCTGAGACTTTTCTGTGTCAACCCAGGGCTAATTTTCTCTTTCCTCCAATTGGCTTGGCCCAGTCATTGCTGTGATTTCCTCCCCTGACCTCCAGAGTGAGACCAGGAGAGGTGCCAACATGCCCATCTGTGTGCTTAACGAACTTGCTACTTCATCACTAGAGCCAAAGTGACCACTCGGTCCCTTCCCCTGTGGTCATGGGTAGAGTAGGAGCCATGTTGGTCTCTTGTGTTTCAAGACTTAGCTTCCACCCCAAGCTGTGGTGTTGTCTTTTCCCAAAATCCCTCCTTGAGCAACATAATTTGGGAGGCAATGCTTTGATCCTGATGGAAGACAACTTTGTGAAAGCAGGTTGCAGATTTTGAGGGAAAGGCTCAAATTGCCCTGGGCATGGCTTTGCATGCACTTGCTTGCCAATTTGAGTAGGGAGGAAGTGCAGCCAGAATGAATTGCCCGGGCGATTTATGCCTTTGGCAAGTTGTTCAAGGGCTTGAGAGAAAGAGGAGAGGGGACCAAAGGCTCCCATTACAACTTAAAAATAGCCAGCCTTGGGCTCCTCCTCTTCCTGCTCCAGGCTCCTCTGATCACAGGGAGAGCTTTGAAAGGGATTCCCCTCCCCCTGCCCCGTCTCCCTCTCCCCTCCCTCCCTTCTTCTACTCCATCCATGACGCCAGTTCATTTGAATGGCAAGATTTTTCTGAGCTGGGATAAGCGAGATACAGGAAATCACTATTGAAAGACTTCTTTATTCTTGGTGTCATCATCACCTTAGTATGAGGGACAACCAGAGGGCCCAGTGACGAAAGAGGAGGCCTGGACCAGCCAGGATGTCCAAGGACCCAGAGGTAATAGAAATGAAACTGATTATCCACAGAGGTCAGCGGCCACAGCCGAGGTGGTGAACCTCACTTTCCAGGGTCACGTCAATGGGACTTTACATCAACCCTGAAACTTCAGAGAGTTTTAGATACTTTGTCATATTGCTAATGACAGTCATGATGGGTGGAGGTGGAGGGTGAAAACTACAGCACTCTTCCCCACTCTCCCCATAAATTCTTGATGCTTTGTTCACCTATGTAAACCAGAATTATGTGGTGACCCAATAAGATTTTTTAGACTGAATATTAAGCAAGATCTCCCCTAATTTTGAGTTGATTGCACTCTGCGATCACTGAGCTCAAACCTGAAGTGATTCTGTTTATACCAAGGCTTGTTCAAGATTTGGTTTCCAAAATGGGTAGGGGAGGCTCCTTTCTTACCTACTGGGCCACTCAAAATGTTTAGATTGCTGAGAATGGAGTAATTGTCCTTTTCTGTTACTGAAACATCTATGCCACATATATTTAGATGAGTGGTTCTTAAGGTGTGATATCCAAATCAGCAACATCAGTATCAGCATTCACCTGGAAACTTATTTGAAGTATAATTTCTAAGGTTCCAACCCACAACTTTCATTTATTCATTTATTTTTTGAGATGGAGTCACTCTGTCACCCAGGCTGGAGTGCAGTGGATCTATCTCAGCTTACTGCAACCTCCACCTCCTGGGTTCAAGTGATTCTCATGCCTCAGCCTCCCGAATAGCTGGGATTACAGAAGTGCGCCACCACACGTGGCTAATTTTTGTATTTTTAGTAGAGATGGGGTTTCACCGTGTTGGCCAGTCTGGTCTCGAATTCCTGATCTCAGGTGATTCGCCCACCTTAGCCTCCCAAAGCGCTAGGATTACAGGTGTGAGCCACCACACCTGGCTCAACCCACAACTTTTGAATCAGAAACTCTGGAGGTGGGCACCAGGAATCTGTATTTTTATTCTTTAACTTTTTATGGAATCTGTATTTTAACAAATCCTCCAGGTGATTCTGATGCAGGCTCAAGATTGAGAACTTCTGATTTAGATAACTCAGAAAACAGACTGTGTTTCCTTATTGTAGACTTCATGGTAAAACTATAGAGACTCAATAGATGACTTCTATCAGGCGGCCGAAATACTTATTTTGGAGCTTGAAACTTTTATGAAATGTCGCCAATACAGAAATGACATGGACTTGAATACAATTATGACCAACCACATGGAATCATGCTCATTGTCACAGGATTACTTTAGAATGAATGCATGTGTGTATGTTGCATCTTACTCCCTTCAGTAACATTCATTTACAAATTGGAGAAACATTTCTGACTAGAGAAAAGAACTGGTCTCAGGAGATTAGAAAGTAGCAATTTAGAATTTAGAAAAATTTCTTAAGAACCTTCTAAGAAGAAAAGTGATCATTTTCTGGGACCAGAAAATGGGACCAGAAAACAGGATAATTTTCTGAGACCAGAAAACACTTGCTGTAAGTCCCATTATAGATGGCATCATTTTGTGTTTTTATGTTCTGCAATAAATGACAGCTAAGCTACTAGAATACACTGGGATGAGAAAAATTCTCTCTCTGCTTTGCAAGGTTTCTCATAACCTTAAAATAACATGCATTTTTCCCCCTTGCTCAGGCACCATTCCCCAGTGTTGCATGGCTGCTCTTAGAAGGAAATAGGTTGGATCTGAATGAAAAAAGAAGGGCCAGATTCTAAGTGAAGAGGTAAATTTAAGAGACATGTACTTTTGGAAACATGAGATCTAGGGCACCTATGAGTTTTTGAAATAAATCTTTTGGTAACATAATCAATGTTTTGTGTGTTTTCTTAAAAAATTTGCATAATGGACTCTCCCCATAGGACAGTCCCAGTGTCTCCGAACAGTGATTGTAATCCTGCATGCTTGGTCATGTGTGGCTTATTAACCTCAAATTTCAAACCCAGAGCCAGAAGTGGCAGACTGTGGAAGGCACCACGTGGCCAAAAGCAAGACCCCAGAATAAAATGGGCCGTAGCTTTGTACACCAAATGCTGCTCCCACATAGGGCATCTTTGTGAAAGCAGTCATTATTTGCAGAGCCAACACCTGCTAACCTTTTCAGAGACTAATAGAAAATGGTTTGGGTGGTCTTGTAGATCTCATTCTTCTCTCCTAACTCTCCTATCTCAAACAGTTTAATTTCACTAGAAGTACATGTTTTCATGTGGTTTTCAATCACTGTGAAGGAAATAAAAGTTATTTTTGAACTTTTTTGAAGCATAAATCAGGGCCATTTATATCCATTATTCTCAGTGTTAGAAACACACAAAATATTTTAGTTGGCAATATGTCTTTTTTTCTTAATAGAATTATGCTGAGGCTAGGACCTCTTTTGAAACCTGTTTATTTTCTATATTATTTCTTTTGCCAGTCAGACTTTCTTAAGAGCAAAGGTTGTTACACTTGGGTTTTCTGTGTTGAGAATTCAATAGGGCTGAATAAATTTGCGGTCTCCTGATTTGCCAGTTCATATCTAGAACTTGACCTTTTTTTTAATATCCCATGTTACTGAAGCAGATTTACTAATATAATCTGGAATTT
Source organism: Homo sapiens (assembly GCF_000001405.40). NCBI lineage: Eukaryota > Metazoa > Chordata > Mammalia > Primates > Hominidae > Homo > Homo sapiens. The sequence goes on from NC_000020.11 coordinate 10,981,789, forward strand.
TTACTTTCAGGCCTGAAAGAAACCTTAGCTCTAACATTGTAGAACCTTGTGATTTTACAGATGTGGAAACTGAAGTATAAACATGTTCACTGAAAGTCAGACAGGGACTCATGGGAAAAAATACAGAAGCAGACATGGGACCCCAAATCTCTATCTTGTTCTATTCCCATTATGGCCAATGCTACAAACAGTATTTGACAATCTAGTAGCAAATAAAGTAATGTGCCATTTCCACTTTCTGGTTCATTTATTGAAGTTTTTCTGCCTACTCCTATCAATGCATAAATCATGGAAGGGAGTCCTTAAGACTCCAAAACCCAAGAACACAAGTTTATCATTTTTTGAATTTGTGGATTATTTATTTGACAGTGGCTGGCCTTGAGAAAAATCCTTAGCTGAAAAAGCATTTTTACATTCCTGAGAAAATAACTTTTCCTTTGGTCTAGCATTATTTATCTTTCCTTTTTTATAATAAATTTTATTATGTTTATTTTGAAACGTACTTTTACAAGGAGAGAGAATATTCTTTTAAACCCTCACAATCCACTTCGGATTCAACAATTACTGAGGGCTTGCAACACTTGTTTAATCTATTCCTTTTCCTCTCTGTTTTTTTCTGAATTATTTAAAAGCAAATTCCAAGTGTCATTTTATTTCACCCCTACATTCCACATTACACATCTCTAAAGAGTTATGGATATTTTGCTGCATAAACCTAATGCTATTATCACACCTAAAAATTATAATTACAAGGTCATCCAACATCCACTCAGTCTTACGACGTCCCCTCATTGCTTCAACAAACATTTTTAGAGTTGCCTTTTCTCCATTGTTAATATGCATGGCTATAGGTTCAGGGTTGTGTCAAACATTGCAAACTTAAAAAGGAAAGAAAGAAAGAAGATGAAGAAGTACACTTATTTAGCGAGGAGGGTTTTCCCAAATTCTCACAGCTCTAATCTGGATACCATTCAGTGTGACAGGCTTCTCACTGGGTTCCCACAGCTGGTTAGTGTTTTGAATTCCAGCCCCATGAACTCATCTCAGGCTACATGGGCTAATGCTCAGCGGCCAACCTAGAGCTCATATCTCTGATGACAGAGGACTGGAGCCAGCACGGGCACTGTCTGCCTCTTTCTAAATGCACTGTCATCTGTGTTATTCTTCCATCTTTGCTAAGAGTGAGTGACTCTAATGCCTCTTGGATGCATTTAAGCCATTACGGAAGCAAAATTAACGCCATTCAAGCATATTTTGTTGAAAGACCAATAAAATAACCTGCCGCATTGTGGCTGAGCCCCAGAATCCTCAGTCACACCTCTTCAAATTCACATTTCTGTCTCAAAGTTGAGCTTTAAGAAACACATATGAAGATAAAAGGGAGATAGAAAGTATAAATACATGTTCCATAATTAGATATGTAGTTAGTATAGGCTCTGAATTTTGATTATGACTTGCCTATCTAGCTCTTAACAGACACAGTTTCTTAGAGCAAAGGCAATCTTGTGCTTGGGATAAAGGAAACATTTGTTCTATAAGCTCCTCTATTGGAAAACATTATAGGCCCTTTGTTAGATGCCTAAGGGATAGTATTTTAGGGGCCCCACTTGACCTTGCCAAACATTTACTAGGCTAGACAGCACTTATTGAAAGATGCCTGAAATTTGAATTTAAAAAATTCCTAATGTAAATATTTTCTCTTCTCTGCATTTGCATTTATTTATAACAATGTGAGTGAGAATAGGTTCTGAGAAGGGGTGGGAGAAGAAAGTATCTATGCTGAACATTTTTTTTTTCTTTGAGACAGGGTCTTAATCTGGTTGTCCAGGCTGGAGTGTAGTGGTGCAATCTTGCCTCGCTGCAGCCTCAACCTCCCAGTCGCAGGTGGTCCTACCACCTCAGCCTCCCGAGTAGCGGGGATTACAGGCATGTGCCACAATGCCCAGCTATTTTTTTGTATTTTTAGTAGAGATGGGGTTTTCTATGTTGCCCAGGCTGGTCTTGAACTCCTGGACTCAAGCAATCCACCCGCCTTGGCCTCCCAGAGTGCTGGGATTACAGGCGTGAGCCACCACGTCTGGCCTACGCTGAACGTTTTGGACATGGGAAGTGCATATATTGGAAGAGTAGGTATAAAACACTTGGTGCCTATACTAATAGAGCTTTACATTCTTTCTGGGGAGTATGGGCCCTAAATGTACAAACAAACTCATGAGAAATATGATCGCTCATCTTGGAAAGCTGCTGCAAGAATAATCCTAGACAGTATCTATTGGCAGATACTTAAAGGGTGTCTGTGGTGGAAGCTACTTTACAAATGGTTTGACATTTGAACAAAAAAAACTGAATGAGTTAAAGAGCAAAGCATGAGCAGGTTGCAGGAAAAGTCCTCAAGGAGGGCACAAACTGGGCCTAGCAGAGGTAGGTGAAGGTGACATTTGTGACTGGAGCTTGTATGTCGCAGTCAGGTCATGAGGGCCTTGTAGCTCGTAGCAGAGAGCTTGATCTCAGGCCTGGATGGCATGTATACAGCAGGTATATGAACATCTCAACATGGTTGGAATTCTCAGACTTTAGTGGGTACCAGAATCACTTGGAGAACTTGTTACAGCTCAGATTGCTGGCCCTACGCCGAAGGTTTCTGACTGAGCAGGCCTGGGGTGGGGCCTCAGATCATACATCTCTAACATGTTCCTGGGAGGATGCCTGTGCTGCTAGCCCAGGGGACTGTACTTTGAGAACTATTGCTCTAAGGAGCAGCTGCAGGTGGGTGTGGCCTTTGTCCATCCTTTGCCGTTACCGCAGAAAAGAGAATTACAGGTAGAGCAGTTTAAATGGCAGGTGTGCCAATGTGATTGCCACTTACCTATCTTTCCTAAGATGTCTTGCTTTTTTTAATCCCTTCTTTAGAATGAACCTGAACCTCTGTTTGACATACACTCCCCAAAAGGTAGAATGAGAAATTCTAAAGGCTATCAAATCACCTCACCATGTCACTGCCTTCAGATTCACCCTGTCCTTAGGGGGGCTGCAGGCGATGGCAGCTGCAGCACAGGCTGCAAACAAGGGCTGCTCTCAACATTTTTAAGTGGAAGAGGGCCTGTCTTTCCCTGCGCCCCCATCCTCCTCTCAATCTGGGGCTTTCTGAAAATGCACTTTATCTTCCCAGACATTTATGCAAGAGTAAAATGAGTTAACAGAGGCCAGTAGCATCGCTAAGCTCCAACCAGGAAGTGTTCAGACGTTAGGAAACACGGGTGAGCAAATGTTTACTGACTGTGTAATTAATACGATGCCTTGCCCTGTCTATTGGTCCTTAGTACCATATTTCCTGTTCAAGGCAGTGGAAAGTGAAAATATTAGTTGCTGTTTGACCAAAGGAACAAGTGTCTTCCAAACGAGCACATGATCTATTAGCAGTCCTGCCGGTTCTTCCCATGGGAACAGGCATTTTACTTTGTTTTACAGCTAATTTCTTTCTTACAGCAGGTTCCCAGACACATCAAATGCCTTGCATTTGAGGCTAAAGTCAAGATTTATAGTCCAGGCCCATGTAATTCAGCGTCAAACAATTCTGATAACATAAGGGCTGGAAGTCAACCATTTTCTCATGAGTTCTTATTAAAAAAAGTCATTTTAGCCAAATTGAGTTTGAAGGGTGGGTGTGTCTCTGTGAGCTAATGGATGCTACCTACCCATGTACCCCTGCAAAGAAGCTGGCTACTTTCTTTTGCTACTGTAGAAATGAAATATGAAAATGGACTAAGTGATTTCTGATTGATATTATTGTTGGCTAACCCAGTGGTAGATTTTGTTGCTTTTTCCTCTGTGGACTTCAGAGGGAGAAAAGAATCCCAAACACTTTCTCCTCTGATGGTGCATTGTATCTTCCCTTTCCGTCCTCTATTTCTTTTCCCTGACCTTTTATTGGCTCATCATCTCTCTGTGACTCACACATCATGAGGCTTCATTTTCCTACTGAAAAACCACCACTTGTGCCAAGAGTAGGTTGGAAAGGAGGGTGTTTCCTTTGGTTTTTCTTTGTAGGTTCATGGGTTTGCAGACTCTTGGAGATGAAAAGATCTTGGGGATCATTTAAAACAAGTCTCTATTTTACAGGTGAAGAGGAAGATGGTTGAGTGGTCCCCCTTAGAATGACACAGCCAGCTAAAAGAAAGAATGAGGGTATGGTGATCTCTCGCCCCCACATATGATATCTTGTGTGTTTAACCAGTTGTGGGACAGGGAGACAGAGACAAGGTCTCTCTCCCTAACCTAGATGCTTTCTAGGTTGTGATATAATTAGCTACTTCTTGACATAGGAAGCTTATTCTTCACATCCTTCAACAGAGATGATTTTCTACCAAGAATGCCTCAAAACTCTTGGGGAGAGAGTTGATGGAGCTCATAATCTGTGGTGGGTGTGGGGAAAACCTGCCTTGGGGTTTTTGAAGATGAGTAGAAAGTGAAGGAGGAAGCTCAGAATTGCTTTAGGACACCATGAAGGCAGTGGGGGTGGGGTTCTTCACCTTCCACACTGCATAGCATTTGTTCTCTTCTCAAAATGCCCAGATGTGGGGAATAAACAGTAAGCAAACTTAACAAACTATAAGAAACTCTAAGACATGGATTTAATTCCTACAGATTTAGATTTTTTTCCTCTTTGGCATAAAACAAGCCAAAATGCAATAAATATGTACATTCTGTGAAGAAATTTGGATCCTAGAGGTCTTGCAGTTTAGTGTAGAACAAAGGGAAAGCAGAACTCAGGCCCTGGTGAAGCCATGCGGCCAATCATCCCATTGTGACGGACACAATGGCGGCCTTGATGCTAATGATGATGAAAACAGAGCTTGAAGTAGGAGAGGCGAGGCCAGTTGCCTCTCAAACAGTCATGTGGACCTAGCCTGAGGTAGTAGCCATAGATGTCAGTGGCAAGACAGAAGATTCAGTCTCTAAACAAAACCATGTGAGCATCTTTTCCACATTGTTTATGTTGGCATAAAGCAGTACTGCTCCAAGTGTGGTCCAAGGACCAGCGGCATCAGTATCGCTTGGAGACTTGTGAGGAATGTAGATTCTCAGGGCTAACTTCAGACCTACTGAATCAGAATCTCTTGGGGCTGGAGCCCAGAAATCTGTCTAAACAAGCTCTCATTATTTCTTGCTTATCCTAAAGTTTGAGAAGCATTAGCAAAAAGATCTTGTATTATGGATGCATGAATGCAAGCTTGTGAAGTGGGTGTGCATTTGTTGAAACTATATAGGAGGTCTTGTTGCTTGAGTGTTAAAGTCTGTTATTTTTTTCCTAAGATACTTGGCTATGAAGCTAGCTGAAATAATGGAGGGGGATTTTACTTTTCCTCTTTGTTCAGTTGGGAATTGATTGTAGGAATTGTCGGTTAATTCTAGGTAATTGGATTAAATCCAGAAGGCACATGTATGTTTCTCAGCATAAAAGACTGACTATTGAGGTTTTACACCATCTCTGGATTTAGAAAGTACAATGAGAGAGAGGAAATTTAAAAGTTTCCCCATTTTGTAGACTAACTGTGGCCTCCTATAGAGAAAAGAGCACCTGCTTTTTCCGCTCCTGAATCAGCTCCTGATTTCAAAACTTGGCTTGGACACTTAAAAATTGTATTTCCCTGGATAAGCCATGTATCCTCTTTCAGATTCCATGTCTTCATCTATAAAAGTGGAAGAATAATGGCAAATGCTATGTGAAGATGAATAACATCAGGTGAGATGGTGTAAACAAAATATCTAAAACCAAGCTCAGCCTGCGGTAATTCTCACATAATGAGGTATTATGATTATGGTGATGATTGCTATGATGAAAATGATATTGATTCTGTTACACAATCCTGATTAAGGTCAGAAGGTACCAGTATTTCCCTTGATCATGTCTTTTAGAGGTATTAAGATAAATGGGATTGAAGTATAACAAATTCAGCAAAGGATACAGATCCTAAGTGTGCAGCACCATGACTTTCACAAAGTGAGAGCAAATTTGTGGTTAAGAAACAGAATGTGGCCAGCTCCAAAGTTCCCAAGCTCAGATTACCAGAGCCACTATTCTGACTCCTAGCACCTAAGACTAGTTACAAATCATAATGTATGTGCTCTTTTGTGTCTGTCTTTTTTTGCTGTGTGTGTGTGTGTGTGTGTGTGTGAGCGCGCGTGCATGTTTGTAATTCATCCATTTTTGTAGCATTTTACTGTAGATTATTCATTCTCATTGCTAGATGGTATTTTATTATAGGAATACATCACAGATTGTTTATTCCATTCCATAATGTTTTATCCATTGCAGGTGTTTGGGTTGTTTCCAGGTCTGGCTGTTATGATTAATGCTCCATGGACATTTTTGAACATGTCGTTGGTGAGCAAGTGTGCATATATCTGCTAGTTATGTACCTAGGAGTAAAATGGTTGGGTCACAGGATAGGCACGTGCTCAGTTTTAATCAATACTGCCAGTTTACCAGGGTGGTTGCACAGATTTACAGTCTCATCAGCACAGGATGAAGCTTCTATTTGCTCTTATTTCTAACCAACACTTGGCATAGACTCCTTGTTCTGGTGGCATACATGGGATTTCACTGGAGTTTGAATTCACATTTTCATGATGAACAATAAAGTTGGGCACCTTCTGACTGCCATTTAATTTATCTTCTTTTGGGAAGTGCACATTCTGATTTTTTGTCCATTTTTTAAAAACTGTGTTATCTTTTTCTTATTGATTTGTAAACTTTTTTTATGTATGCTGAAAATCCATCTTTTGCCAAATATATTAATTTTAAATTCCTTCTCTGACTCCGTGACTTACCTTTTTTCATCTTGGTAAAATTGTCTTGGCTTTTCTTAGAGTTGCCAGAAAAGTACAGGACTGTTCATTACATTTGAATTTCAGCTAAACAAAAAATGGTTATTGGTATGATTATACCTCAAATATTATATGAGAGATCTTTATGGTAAGAATCATTCATTGTTTATATGAAGTTCAAATGTAACTTTGAGTTCAGTGTTTTTATTTGCCAAATCTGGTAACCCTATCCATAAGGGTTTTTTTTTCCTTTTTTTTCTTTTTTTTTTTTTTGTCCCCTATTTGAGGACACAAACCTTTTCAAGAGTGGCAACATCAAGCTCTGAGGGAGGACAGGGAGGACAGGGAGGATACTTACTTAACCAATTAGAACCTCTAAGTTTTGGAGCCCCATCTAACATGCACTAAAGCATTTTGAATCTTGCTTTAAAAATGTCTTAAGCTATATCTTTTGATTAAACTATTCTCAAACAGTTATTACTGGGTAAATAGTCTTACAGGTGTGGCTTTCTTCAACTTTGACTTTTTTTTAAATTCTGAACCATGAGTTTCAGTGTTCAGTGGCAAGTGTAGGTTGAAATGGAAAGTGATGTAGTGCCTCAGCTGTCACCTCTGTTTGTTTCCCTCAGACTTTTAAACTGTTTCCTCAAAGTCAAGTTTTTATTTTCCTCTCCTTTCAAGTCACTAATTCATGTCCACAGAAGGAGTGAGTATCTTGAAAGTACAGTAAAAGCAGCTGTTGCTGTGGCTGCTGTACATGATACAGATGTAGATGATACAGATGTTGAAGATACGGATGATGTAGATGTAGAAAAGGTAGATTAAGTAGATTTAGAAGATATAGATGATGTAGATACAGATAATGTAAATGTAGACAATGTAGATGATGTAGATATAGATAATATAGATGATTTAGATATAGATAATGTAGACATAGATAATGTAGATGTTGTAGATAATGTAGATGATACAGGTGTAGATGCTATAGATGATGTATATATAGATAATGTAGATGATGTAGATATAGATTATATAGATGATGCAGATGTAGATAATGTAGATAATGTAGATAATATAGATGTTGCAGATGTAGATGATGATGATGCAGAGGATTTAGATGATCAGTAGGGATGATTCTGAGAAAGATGAATACCTGTTTGAAGTATGAAGGACTAAGGATACCAAAATAGGGGACTTAAGAAAGAAGAGAGAAATAGAAGATGGTTCCATTCAATAAACATTACTTAAGCAAAATATTTCAATTCTCTGCCAAGATTAAAAATAATCAGAGAATGAAATAAAATTTAAGTTTAAAGTGAGGAAATGAAACAGAATTGTCAGAAACTGAAAAGAATTTCACAGGTCAAATGGCAAAGGTGAAAATATCGAAGTCATGTAACAGGAGGAAAAAGGATGCAAATCCAGCTGAAAGCAGTATCAGCCATCAGAAAATGCTTGGAAAAAAAAAAAGAACTGAACCTGGGGTTCCGTCTCAATTTCTGTATAACTGTTAAGACACTGTCTCTTTAGTTAGCACCCATATCTATTCATTTTTCCCAGGTCTCATTTTCCCAAATGTGAAATGAAGGTATTGGTCCTCACAATTCAAAGTGTGGTTCCTGGAAAAGTAGCATTGGCAGTATCAGGGAGCTTGTTAGAAGTGCAGAATCTGGGGACTGTTTCCAGATCTGTGGAATCAGAATCTCTAGGGACAGGACCTAGAAATCTGTATTTTAACAAGCCCTCCAGGTGATTATGCAGTATTCAGATGCTGGGGAAGAATTGGCCTACTCTAGTGCTTTTCAAATTTTAATGTGCATCCGAATCAGTGGGACGTCTTTACACTGAGATGCAAAAGACAAAACTATTTTTGTATCTATTCTATTTGAGTTTGTGTTTATGATTTTAAGATAAGGCTATTCTAGAACAAATCTACATAGAAATTGGCTTTCTGATTATTATCCCCGCCATAGCAGAATGTGTGTAGTATTTTTTCCCCCAAATCATGAAGTTTGTGTTAGTACATGTGCCAGATGCACCCACTCTGAAGGGGTTGTTAACAGATACACACACACACACACACACACACACACACAGAGTTTCTGAGTGAAAGCAAGGAAGAACAGATTTCTGAGCCAGTAGAGGCCACAAATGTCTTGGCCCAAGTGTAGCTCCCAGGCCTGAGGAATCCCAAATGATACCACAGTTAAATAAGGCAAACCCCAGGCCCTTAGAGTTCAGGCTACGGGAAGTGGCAAGAAGCTCCTGGCAGGCAACCCCCAGGCCTGAAGGTTGACTTGGGAATTTAAGTGCACAAACTGTCCAGAAAATTGTCATGGTAGGGGAAGGCTGGTCTCTTTTCTGTTTGTGTTTATGTATTAAAATTAAGGGATATGTTGTACAGGGCAAAAGAAAAGGGTTGGCTTGATGTTAGGTGAGAAAGATCTGTGTTCCAGGCCTTGTAATGGAGGGAGAGACGTGAATGGAGAAAAAAAAATGGAGCAGAAGCTCATTTTGTCAATATTAATGATGATGATGATGATGATGATGATATGTATATTTTGAGCACTTTAAGTGACAGTCACTTTTTCAAAACATCATGTATATTATTTAGTCCTTGTAGTAGACTTGAGAGCTGGGCTTTCTTATTAAATCCATTTTAGAGATGAGGAAACGAAGGCTATAGGTGGGTTAAGTAATTTACACAAAGTCATACATTGATGAAATGCTGAAAGCATGTAACAAGCCAGAGAGTCTAACCCTAAAGCCAGCATACTCTATATTTCTTGATGCCTATTGGATCAAATATGGGTTGGAATTTTTGTAACTTGGTGTTGGGTAGTAGAAAGAATCAGAAAAGTTGAAATGGAAATATTCTCTCCTAACTTTACCACTGATTAGATGGATGTGGTCGGTTGATGGTAAAATTGGCACCAAATCTTACTTTTCTGTAACCCATTCCTTGTAATGTGATCTTGCAGCAACTCTCAGAAAGAAGAGTCTATGTCCCTGTACACAGAATCTGGCTTGACTTTGCGACTTGCTTTCACCAATCAAATGCAGAAGAAGTGAAGTCTGGTCCTCAGGAGGTTTTGTACTCCTCTGCTGACTCTCCTGGGATGCTAAAAACGCCATGAGTCCTAGTTACGACTAACTTACATGGCCTAGTCACCTCCATTGTCCAAGCCAATAGGTACCCAGCCATCACACCTAGAGTGAGGCCATTCCAATCTCCAGCTGATCTGCTGTGGATGAGCATGGCCAAGATCAACTGAGCTTGGCTCAGATGAGCAAGACTCCCTGGATAACCTACAATCTTGTAAGTAATAATTTTGGTTGTTGTTTTAGGGGAGGAAGTTTGGGGTAGTTTGTTATATAGCAAGGGATAACTGATACATTGCATGATACAAGGAAAAACCAGTTAAATGGTACAGAATTCTGATAGAACAGCACAGGTGAGACCACCCTCTGAACATTTCATAATTCCTCTGTTCTTGTCTTGGTAGAGTGTGATCCCCTATTCAGCTTTATCAAGAACTTGGAGCCCACTTTCTTATTATTATTATGGATGTTTATTTGGTGAATACAAGAATTAATTGTCAGGGCCCAGCATAATCTGGGACCCATCATGTGAACATGTTGGCAGACTGCCATGATGGATCTTGTCCCTATCCCTGACCTTGGCCTCCCATTCATGGTGGGGCTTCCTCCCACCTCTCCTGCTTTGTAAAGAGTATTCAGTAACACAGCAGTGTCTGCATGTGGTTTCCCTCTGTGAAGCTTTAATTAGTGGTGTCTTGAATCTTGATTGCTTCAGGAGTGGCCAATGAGTTTGACTTTCCAAAATAGATACCCAGAGGGTGTGAAACATGCTTACTCATTAGATTCAAGAAAAGTGAAGAAGTCTTTATGTAAACAGCCCGGAAGATAGTGCATTTTTGGAAACTCACTATCACTTTTTTAGGCAGGTAAATGATTGCATGATAATACATAGGTTGCTTTCTACTGAGGGTGAACTTTCTCTAGCCATTAATAATGTTAATTTAAATTCTGGGTGTTAACTATGAGGTAGGTTCCTTTAGTTGCTATGTGAGAGGCTACGGTTTGCTCTGTCTCCTAGAAAGGGAAGAAAAAGGATCCCGGTTGTGTTGGTAACTGCCTCACTGAAACTCTTTGAGTGTGCCACATGTGTGTGGTTTAGCTGGCGACCGTGGTGTCTGTATGTATGTGGTCATAGATTTGTTATAACCTCTTGTCTGCCAAGGCAAGACCACCAGTTCCATTTTAATTCTAAGTTAACCTCAGGCTGGAGTCAATCCATGCTGCTTGAACATAAACGCTGACACTCGATCCTCTCATCCTCTTGGCCCCACAATTTGTTGTTTTTCTTTTTCTTTCTTTTTTTTTCCCAAGGGAGTTTGAACATTTGTTTGCAATCCAAAACCAACACTTCGTGTACAGGACATAGTGATTACATAATTCTTTATAGGTTCTTATACTTTCCATGTATTGCAAATCTTGCTGCTCTGTTATAAAACATCTCAAATTAAAGAGCAATTTGTAAAAGACATACTTGGAGCTGGGACATTAAGTTTTACTGTGGTAATCGTTTTGATTCTTTTGAGAGATACAGAATCAATACTTTAAGTAGAATCCTCTCTTTTTAAAGAATGGCTTGAGAGAGGCTGCCTTTCGCTGTGTTTTTGAAATGGGTAAGACAGACCTCTATGCCCACATCCTGGCAGTGCAAATGTAGGTGACAAGATGATATTAAGTGAGAAACATTGAATTAACTTTTTTTAGAAAATTTAATTTTTGATGAAAGGAAAGAGGAAATTAGTCTGTTAAGCTTTTCAAACCTGATAGCTAATTGGTTTCATGCCCATGGCTGTGAGAAGATTGTCATCTTTAATTTCTAAATCTGAATTTAAATCTCCTAATTCTTAGGCAGCCCAAGCATTTGTGAACTTAACAAAGAGTTGGGAAATTTTTACCCTAACAATGGTTTGTGGCAAGCTCACATGGTGGCCTATGTCCATTGGTTCGATTACAAAAGTTACTTGATTTAAATATATTTCTATATTTGGAGTTGTAGTTGTTCTCCAAGACTGCCTGCCCTCTTTCCAGAAATTTTGCCCAGTGACTTGTTTTCAGAAGTAACCAGTTAGACACTTTGTGAAATTGCCAAGGGTGCCTCTCTTAGTTACTAACCAAGTTTCACAAACGCTACATTATCATGAGTTAAAAATAATTTCTTTTGAGCTGGTTGAAGAAGACTGCTAACTGCTGAAAATATTGGGAGTGTTATGGGTGACCCTAAGAAGAGTGCTGATGTTTTCAGCCAATCACATCCAAATCCCTGCTTTTTGAGGTCTAAATCTAGTCCTTGCAGGAATCCTCTGAAATGGGAGACAGGTGAGATGTCAAGAGCATAATGGTAGAAATACAACATTGAACTCATCAGATGATCTAGTTAAGAGCTCCAATTCCATTAACATGCTGCCAACATTCCAGCAGCTGCGAATATCATTTAACCCTATCTAAGCCTCAGTTTCCTCATCTGTAAAATAGGGATAATAAATATCCATTTGATTAATGGACTGTGGTAAGGATTATATTGATAAGCTATGCCTAGTGTTTCACATGGCACCGTTGCTTACCGCCCTACTTGCTGTTTTCCCATCCTCTGTTGCAGAATACAGTCCATACTTCCCAATATGGCATGCTGGGCCTTCTATGGTCTGCCCTTAGCCTACCTTCCAGCTAGGTCTCTCACCAAGCTCTCTACTGCACAGGCTCTAATTCCTGGCCATGCTATACACCACCATGCCTCACGTTCCCTTTGCTAGAAATGCCCCATTCATTTCCATTCACAAGGCAATTTCCACTCTTCCTTTAAGAATCATCTCAAGCATCACTTTCTCTCAGAAGCTTTTTCTCTACCGACGCATCTCTCCTTCATCTCCTCCAGCCTTTATACTGCTAGCCAAATGTCCCTACTTTTGCCTTAGCACTCACCTATTGTGTACAAACATGCTACTACTGCTGCTAGCATTATTCCTCTGACTAATTCACCTCTGCATCTTTCTACTTTGCTCACTTCTTGTGATTCCCAGGCTCATTTAGTTTCTTTCTTTCAATCAGTATAAAAAAATGATTATGTTTGTTTACATTCAGGTTGGGCCAAGAAGACATATGTGCATAGAAATCTTTGAACTTTGCTGATAAGAGAAAGCCTAGAATTCCAAGCCAACTCCTTCATTGAATAGATGAGGAACATAAAGCCAAGAGAAAATGATAGGCTTGACAAAGTCAAAATAACCAGACCCAGATTGTCTGACTTCCAGCCCAATAGCCTTCCAGGAGAGCAACAGACATTGTGAGGAACACAATGTCCCCTGTGACACAGGACACAATGTCAGAAATCAGCACCCATTTTCCTTCTTTGGTTAACAGTTATTTGGTTTTCTTTTGGGAAGTCATGCTTGCTCAACAATAAGTCCTCTTGGTCCCCCAGAGGGTTACTTCCCCAGCCCTAAGGGTGTACTCACAACCCAGGCCAGCTTAATTAGCATGTCTTATACCCTTGACTATAGCCAATGGGTTTGTCAAAGGCATGAAATTCAGCTTGGCTCAGTAAAACTCAATTCCAGAACTTTTGCTAGAATTGTGGTGAAGACTCCGTGTGATCATTAGCCATAAAGATGGGGTGAACCTTGGTCTGTTGGGGGTCACCATGTGGAGGTGCTTAGTTGAGAGTGAAGTTAGCAGAAAGAGAGGACAGCCCAAGAGAGAAGGAAGTGGAGAGAGAGAAAGGGAGGAAAAGAATAAGGGCAGGGGAGGATGAGAGAGAGCATGAAATCCAGATTTGAGTCGCTGGATCCAGCTGTACTTGAAGCCTGCAGGAAGTCCTAGAATTTTTAGACACATGAGCCAGTAATTCTCTGCTCAAATCAATTTGATTGGGTTTTTTATTATTTGTGACTGAAAGAATTCTGAATTATACATGATCTAACTCTCTTCCTTGTTGCACACTTCTAGAGAGATTCTTAATACCTAAATTCTAGAATTTTCAAGCTCTGCTACTCAAATGTCACTACCTCTCTGAGCCCTGGTTTCTTCAGATTTTAATTGAAAACAACTACTTTGTTTTTGGAAATTTAAAATAAGATACACTTGGTTAAGTGCCAGCACAAACTAGGTGGTCAATTAGAGGTATTTATTATGATGATTATGAATTTGATGTATCACACTTTGAGATTCAGATGCCATAGTGATTCTCTCTGTGTATGGGGGTTGTTTTTAATTTAACATGTATGATTAAAATTTTAAAGTCACTTTTCAGGCGTGTTATCAAGATGTATCCATTAGAACATTAAACATTAATATATTTATGTAGTGCTGCCTACCTGTCAAGCACTCTTCTAAGCATTTTGTAAATATTAACTTATTTAATCCTTTTAAGAAATTGAGGAGGTAATTTCTGGTATTGTTTCCATTTTACAGGTGGAGAAATGGAGGCACTCATGGATCAAGCATTTTCCCAGGGCCACATAGTTAATGTAGCACTTAGAAGACTGGGTATCTTTTTCAATGCCACATAGTAGCACAGCTAGGAGTTGAACCAGGCAGTCTGGTGCTACAGGCCATACATTTTGACATGTGTTTTGTTGCCTCTTGACAAAGTCCATGGACTGTGATCCTGGGACCAACAGCATCAGTATCAACTGGGAACTTCTTAGAAATTCAAATTCTTGGGGCTATTCCCCAAATTTCTGAGTCAGAAGCTCTGGGGATAGGGCCCAGCAAGCTATGTGTTAACAGACTTTTTAGATCAGGGGTTCCCCCCAACTCCCAGGCCAAGAACCAGTACCAGTCTGTGGCCTGTTAGGAACCAGGCTGCACAGCAGGAGGTGAGGGCAGGTGAGCATTACTGCCTGAGCCCTGCCTCCTCCTATCAGATCAGTGGTGTCATGGCATTAGATTCTCACAGGATCAAGAACCATATTGTGAACTGCACACACAAGGGATATAGGCTGCATGCTCCTTATAAGCATCTAATGCCTGATGACCTGAGCTAGAACAATTTCATCCTGAAACCACCTCCCCCTTCCCCCAACCCCGTCCGTGAAAAAATTGTCTTCTATGAAACTGGCCCCTGGTGCCAAAAAGGTTGGGGGTGGCTGTTTCAGATTATTCTTACTCAGGATAAAATTTGAGGACACCTGCCCTAGCTCCTTAAATTTAAGCTATAATTCATAAATTGGGTTCTTACGGTGCATTAGAATAATGCATTGAATAGGTGATTTTTGGATGACTCCTATGTGCTAACTACCATTGTACTTGTAGGTGTTACCATGCAGAACAAAAGGTAAAGTATTCCTTGGGAAATAAACAGCCAAATAAAGACTTAAATACACACAAGATCTCAGCTATCACATTCGATAATTTCCAGAAAGAAAAGAAGTGTGATACCAGAGCACATGACAAGAAGTGGGTTTGAGGGTGAGAGGTGGGGGTGGTGTCATCAAAGTCTTTCTTAAGTGAATGATGATGTATAAGAAAAAGTTGATGGTTCTGGACACTGGCTGCACATTGCAGTCTCTTGGGGAGGCCTAAAAACCTTTAGGCCACATCCCAGACCAATTGAACCGGAGAGTTGGGTTTGGGGCGCAGGCATCAGTATTTATTTATTTATTTATTTATTTATTTATTTGAGATGGAGTCTCACTCTGTCACCAGGTTGGAGTGCAATGGTGCAATCTCGGTTCACTATAACCTCTGCCTCTCAGGTTCAAGCGATTTTCTTGCCTCAGCCTCCCCAGTAGCTGGGACTACAGGCGCCTGCCACCATGCGCAGTTAATTTTTGTATTTTTAGTATAGATGGGGTTTCACCATGTTGGCCAGGATGGTCTCGATCTCTTGACCTCGTGATCCGCCCTCCTCGGCCTCCCAAAGTGCTGGGATTACAGGCGTGAGCCGCTGCACCTGGCCAGCATTTTTTTAAATCACCTCAAGTGATATCAGTTTGCAGCCCAGGTTTAAGACTCCCTGAACTTAAGGCTATAGGGGAGATATGCAGGCCTGATGAAAGAGTGACATGAAAGAAGTTAGTGTCAGAACAAAGTGTTTGATAGCACAAAAAAGACCAAGAAGACAAAAGATTTGTGTATGTATAATGCACTTGTGTAATATAATGTATTTACTACATGAGTGAATAAAACAGATTAGCTTTTAATACATGCTATTAAAAGATAAGCTACTAATACATGCATTTAGAGAAGAAGAAATGTTAGGAAAATACTAGTGGAAAATAGGATGTGAAGAGAGGTGAGTTCCTTCCTGTAGAGGAGTTTGCCACTTATGTAAAAAAACTAATCAACATTTATGGAGTGACTACTAAGTGCTCTCTAGCAGATGCCATGAAGACAATCCTTTTCTACTCTCAGTAGTCTCAGGTCTGCTGAGGTAATGCTTCTAGGAAAAACGGTTTTGATTTCAATATAAAATCGTAACTTGATTATGGTTATATGCCCACCTATAGATGGAAGATGGAAAATCCTTGAAAAATGTACTAGTGAACTGGTTCTGCTGATAACTTATTTTCAATACTACTTAAGTAACTATATAATTAGTGGAAAAAAGAATATTGTCTGAGACTAAAATGTGAAATATTAATTGCATTTTTGGTCCCTATTGATAGCCGTCTCTGCATCTACACTCTTGGTAATTGAGACTTTGTGGCTGCTCGTTTGAAGAGATAGAATCTAATTCCCTAGCCTTGTCTCTGGACTGGCCTTATGATTCTCTTTAACCATAGAATGTGGGAGAAGTGATGATGTGCCTATTCTAAGTCTAGGCCTCAAGAAGTCTTGAAAGATTCTGTTCCCTCTTGGTTAGTCCACTGGAGGATGAGAGACCCACGGCCCAATAACCTCCATTGCCTCGGCCAACAGACAGTCAACTTCCAGTCTCACCATTGCCTAGACTACCACAGGGACCACAGACACATAACGGTGCCCAGCCAAGACAAGAAGAAACATCCAGCTGAGTCCAGCCTAAATTGCTGATCTGCAGAATTGTAAGCTAGATAAATAGTTGTTGTTTAAAGACACTACGTTTTGGGATGGTTTGGGATACACCACTAGCTAATAGGTAAAATAAGATTTAAGAAACTTTAAAATAATTTAAAATAAAACTTTAATACATTTTATGGGATGATTCAGGAGACTCCTTCTGAAAAATAAGCCTTGTGGGGACAATGCTAACTAAAAATACAGTTTCTGAACACAAATTGTACTTTATTGCAGCAGTTAGCCTCTGCTCTTTTATTGTAGTATAATTAGTGTAATATCAAATAAACCTGGTTCAAGCCAAGACAGGGAGGTTTCTAAGTACCAATAAGTTGTCTGTCTTGGTAGAAATTTAAAGGAACATGTTGAGTTTATTATTGTGTGGCATGTTATTTATCAGCAGGAGTGATTTTTGACAAAGAGGCCCCAACATAAATTTTCATTCTATTAAAAAATAATCGCAAAGTCCTGCTCCCAATCCAAGGCCACAAATAATTTAATTAAAGCCTATAAAACAGGACACACAAAAAAGTCACTCTGTTTCCTCCACTCCACAACTTGTATGTGTGGCTTACAATGCATTTACTTTATTATCAGTCTTGATAAACTCTGGGGAAGAAAGCCAGGGGTAACCCACCTAATCCTTTCATGAAATGTCTCTCACATGACTTTGAGTTTGTGGGATCTTTTCTCAGACCCCCATGCCTGAGTGCCTTTTGCTGATGGCCCTTCCCCATGAGTGAGGAAGTTGGGTCACTAGTTGAACACTAGGTTCAAGAGAGCATGAGAATCATGCTTGCAGCTGCAGTTAGCTGAGGGGCTGGTGGAGATCACTGCTCCATGATTCTGTATTCTGAGTTCTGCCATTTTAATGATATCTGTACATGTTTTCTATCTTTGAAGATTCTTGGATTTTTACATATCAGAATCCCAAGGCTGAGATATAAAAATTTTAAAAATTAAACTCTTTGATTTTTAAAACCAGTTATTTGCTAAGTTCATGAAATATCCATTTTCATTAAATGAAGAGGTCTATGTGTCTGAGAATTGCATTGGTTTTCTGTCTGGGGGTATAGTGGTTCTCCCCCTGTCCACTTCTGCCAGTTCTGCCAGCATTATTCTTTCTTTACCCCACAGTGCAGGCTGAGGGGAACACCTGCTCTGCACTCTGGGTCCAGGAAAATATTTCATAGACTCATGGGAAAGACCATGTCTTATGGCAGAATGGAGGCTAATTTGGAGGTTAGGAAACCTTGCTCTAATTCTTGCTCTGCCACCCGTTACTGAATGATCTTGGATAGCTCACCAATTAGCTTCTGTTTCACCTATAGAAGGAAAATGTGGGAGTTGACAACCTCTTATATTTCTTTATAGCTACTTATTATGGCAATAATTGGTCAGCATTGGAAGACATGGCCACTATATCTATGATTTTCACTGATTTTATTTCAAGAGCTAAAATAGCCTAAAGAACCTTAGGATTGCCTCCTGCCCTGGCTCGATTAGCCACCTTTAAGGCTTTGAACTCAAAAAGTCCTTAATGCCTTGGGGTTCATGTCCAGGTGATATTTGCAAATGAATATCAATCCTGAAATAATTTAGAGGTATTTTCATTTAACATGTTTAAAGTGAAATTTTTTTTTTGCTTAAAATGGTATGCTTCAATTATGTGGAATTTTTAATTATAGAGACTTGAAATAATTCATGTGATTCACTAGTCCTGGAACTTCTTATCAAAGGATAGTGGGCCTTTTACCAACTCCATTAGGCTATCTCTACAGAAACACATCCTCATGTGAAGGTTTAGTCAAAGAGTTTTGTTGTTATCCAGAGCATGCTGCCCTTTAAAGAGAAGAAAGCTTTCCTTTTTGGGAAAAGACTTCTCTGATCAATTTTGGCTGAGGCTTAAGCAATGATTTATGGGTTTCAGTTGACCCATTTGTTATTTATCTAGGCAAAATGAGTTTTCTATTGATTGAATGTCTCCCCTGATTACGTTTAATCTTTGGAGTGGGATCTAAGGATGGAAGAAAGAGACATTCATGATAAATGTAGCTTTTTTTCCCTAGGAAAACTTGGGAGGAAGACATACTATACCACATGGTCCTTTCCTTTTTCTGTGGATGGCAAAAAGATGCATCACTTCCCGGAGCTTATGATAGAAGATGCTCCTTCGCCAGTGTGAGACACTTAAAAGGACAATGATTTGTGCAGGGAACTAACCCTGTGTGCTACGTGTCCTTTTGCTCCATTTTACTGATGTGACAATTGGAGCAGAATAGTTTATGTGGCAAATTTTCCCAGCATTTATTTGCACTGCTTACTACATTCACATTCTAGTTTACAAATCTTGACAAAGACAACTGAATAGGTGTTTTGCATGAATGTACTTATTTTGTATTGAAGTATGACACACATGCAGAGAAGTGACATTGTCATAAGCAAATGGCTTGATGGCTTTTACAAACTGAATGTATGTATAACCAACATCGAGAACTAGAAGCAGCTTTTTCAGCCCCTCCTTCCTGAAACTTTTCCTCTCCTTCCACCTTGACCAAGTGTAATCTCTCTCCTGACCTCTGGCAGAATAGGTTAGTTTTGCTTATTTTTATTTTTATATGAGGTGAATCTCTAGTGTCTGGGTTCTTTTCCTGAAAGCTGTGTTTATGGAATTCATCCATATCATTGTATGTGGTTATAGATTCTCATTGCTGTGTAGTAGTTCAATGGCATGAATATACACTAATCATTTATCCGTTCCACTGTTGATGTGCAATTGGAGAATTTCCAATTTAGAGCTATTATGAATAATGCTGCTAGAGCCATTCTAATGCATATCTTCCAGTGAACACATATACGCAGTTCTCTTGGGAATATTCCTAAGTGTGGAATTGCTGGGTCGTAGATGTACATTTTTAAAAATCATAATATTAGAGTCGAGTATGCAGAATTGACTGAATTCTAAAACCAAAAGCTAATTTTTTGAAGTGTGAATTTCTGTTTGGGGAAAGTGAATAATGTGAAGAAACATAACATTTTTATTTATGGAAATAAATTTCATGTCCTCTGAGCTAACATCGCCCGTTCTTACGTCTGAATGGCAGGATGTTGAGTGTGCTGACGCGGTCATTTTCTGCGGGGCTGCTCCCAGCTTAGCATTCTTGCCACATAAACTCTTCTAGCCCAAACCTTGAAATACTGCAGGAAGTGGCATCAGCCCTTTTGTGTTCTTTTCCGGCACCAGGTTGCTCATCTCTCCCTGTGCCCATTTGAGGTAATATACTGACAGTTGTCAAGATGAGTCATGGCTCTTTCTCAGACACACAGGGAGACCAAGTTTGTGACTAATCGACAAATCCTCTGGACACAGGCTGAGCCACCAAGAGCCACCCTCGTCCCGGCAAGTTCAGGCCTGGGCTGCAACCTCTGACAGCCAGAGGGGAAAGCAAACATTGGCAGAACAGTTCTGTTTATTTGCTTCTCTGATTTTGAAGACATGCAGCTTTCTCTCACTCTTCTCCATTTCCTCTAAAAAATTTTATTAATCTTAGCTTATTTATGGCCTTTAGCGTTTGTCTGCCTGTTCATGCATGTGCTCAGAATCTAAGGAGTATGGGCATGAATAGAGGCCTCAGGGGAGATGTGGGCTCAAGCCAAGTCCAAGTGGCCTTTGAGCATTGCTGTCTTCCTGGCCACCTTTCACTCCCTATGACTCCTCTGACTCCTTTGCACAGATGTCATTGGATTAATATAAAGCAGGACTTGAAAACAATAAAGAGAAATAAGACGTGAACAAGAAGGATAAGATGAGTTTTTAAGTGGTAGGTACTGATTATCTGCATAGATGTTTCAGGTCTCCTGAGATTTTTCTGGAAACCATTTTCCCAACTGTCCCAAGTTAGTTTTCAGACATTGCTCTAGAGTTGTGTGTGTATGTGTGTTAGTACAATGTCAGCACTAGGTTTTGCAATCACATATGTGCTGCTAGTTCTGTAGCATCTCCATGGAACTAGCCCTTGCAATTATAACAAAGTCTGATATTGGTTGGCTACAAGTAGGTATTGCCTTGTGTATGAGTTGGGTGATATTTTGAATCCCTGGAATTGTCCTCTTCACTTTGCAACATCCACTCACTCAGAAAAAGCCTTGCATCCCTTGCCTGAAGGGTGGAAGAGGTGGGGGTTTAAATTAGTTTCAAGGGACTGGACAATTTCATTCTCACCTACTGAAAGCACCATGTTTGTTGAAGAGAAACTTTCAGAGTAGGCTCAATTAAGCCCAGACAGTTTGATTTAACTTGTTTTTAATTGTAATGGGTTATTTTTTCTGGCACGGAGCCACCCAGAATTTCATCTGTGAGTTCCCCAGATAATCTCCATCTACTTTCACAATTTTCTCAGCAATATTCAGAATTCCCACTACAGTGGGACCTTCTCCCCTCCCCTGTTTTTGTATTCTTTACATCATTCAAGGGTTTGGAGATTAGAAGGCATCCTCTTGGTGAATTGTGGCTGGGAGAGGGGGTTTCTGCAGGAATACTCTTCACAAATCTACAGTCTGTCTTCAGAGGCCAAACTTGTTTCTTGTAGAACTAGAAGTCTCCAACAATGGCAGGCCCCCTTCCTATATTCAGCAATTCCTTCTGTGTCTCAAAATCAGGGAGTTATTGCCTAATCTTTATTACAAAGAAGGGCCTGTTACCATCTCGGTTGGAAAGAGGAGGAATGGAGGAGTTAGTGTTAGGGAAACCAGTGCCCATTAACCTACCACGGTGGTTTGTAAAGTGTGGTCCCTGGATCAGCAACATAAGCATCACTTGAGGACCTCTGAGAGAAGCACACTTACTGAACCAGAAATTCTGGGGCTGGGCTTTTAACAGGTTTTAACAAGCCTTCCAGGTAATTCTCAAACAGGCTACAGTTTGGGATCAACTTCTTTCATCAAAGATTGCTTTTGCCAGTCTTAAATAGTAAGACTGTAAATTTTGGAAGAAGTATCTCTGGGTTTTTCTTCTTCTTCTTTTTTTCTCCATTTTCTTCTGTTTTTCAGTGGTGGTAACTTGTACTGCAAGACAACAGGTATAAAAAAAACCCATGTGAAATATTAGCTGCAATTTCTTTAAGCCTGGGCTCTCTTTTTCCCAGTGGAAGACAGAAGAGCTACTGCAAAATATATTGAATGTTTATCCCCTCACCTTGTATATATTTGAAAAACGATTAAGTCTCTAATCTTAAGTTTCTGAACTGAATGCCTTCCAGACCAGGCTATCTCTCTGTCTTGATTTTTCTGAATAAAGTTATTAACTGCCTTTTTTGATGTATTCTTTTGCACGGTGGCTTCAAAATAGTGTTTTGGTTTTCTTTCCTTTCCTTTTGTTTTTTTCTGGAAATTTCTCCCAAGGGATTCTTAATTATGGACCTCTGTTGAGTATATATGATAACACAAAACTCTGGTTATGGCTGGAAAGCATAGAATTCAGAAGAAGGCTGTCTTACCACTGCTACACCAACAAGTCGAGATAGGTGTTCCACAGTTTGTCCATTACAGGATAAATAGAGAATGGAAGGGCTCACTTCCTGAAACCTCAGTTGATGTCTAACATAGTGCGGGAAGGAGAAGTCATGGAGCAACAAATCATCCATTGTTCATTTCCTTGTCAAAGTTCTGGAAAGCTTTGGTGACTACCCATTTAATTATGAGATTTAAAATCACCTTATTAAAGTATAATTTATATACAATAAAATATTAAATATTAAATATAGAGTTTGATGAGCTTGATGGATGTATACAACTGTCTCACAAATTACAATATATAACATTAATTATTATTATTATTATTTAGATACAGGTTCTCACTCTGTCACCCAGGCTGGAATACAGTGGTATGACCACAGCTCCTTGTAACCTCAAACTCCTGGGCTCAATCAATCCTCGCACCTCAGCCTCCCAAAGTACTGAGATTACAGGTGTGAGCCACCGTGCCCTCCCATAATATATGATATTTTTATCAGCCAGAAACTTCCCGGATGTTCCTTTGTAGCCAGCCCCCCATCCCTGCCCTATGCAGCCACTGATTTGATATCTAGCACTACAGATTAACCCTCCTTCTCCTAGAACTTCATACAAATGGAATCAAACAACTTTTATGTTTATGTTGACTTCTTTCACTCAACGTAATATAAATATCCAAACTTATGCCCCAGGCTAACATTTTCTTTTCTTTTTTTTTTCATTTTTAATTAACTTTGAAGTTCCAGAGTATATGTGCAGATTTACTATGTAGGTAAACCAGTGTCATGGGGGTTTGTCATACAGATTATTTTGTCACCCCAGGGATTAAGCCTAGTATCCACTGGAAACCACAGGACACTTTGAAACTCCTTCAGGACAGAGGTAATTCACCTGCTGTGTTGCATATATCAGTATTTTGCTCTTTTACATTACTCTGTAGTATTCTATTATATGAATATATCCAATTTTCTGTTGACAGATATTTGGGTTGTTCTCAGTTTTTTAGCTTTTATCAATTAGGCTTCTATGAACATTTATGTATAAATCTCTTTATGGACATATGTTTTAATTTCTTTTGAGCAAATGCCTGAGGGTGAAATTGCTTAGCTATGTTTAACTTTGTAGGCAACGGCCAATTGTTTTCCAGAGTTGTTGTTCACCGAAAATCTATGAGGGTTTTAGTTGTTCCACCTGCTTGCCAACACACACAGACCATAAGTCTTTAATTTTAGCCACTTAAGTAAGTTTATGTGTCATCTCATTGAGAGATGGTTAATTTAAAAAAACCTCCTATCCTCTTGTGGGTTTCCTTGCTGGTAATTCTAACAAGGGGACCAATCAGCTTAGAGTATAACGTAGAGATGTATAAAATCTTCCGGTATGAAATTGACAGAGATCACTAGGTCATGTGCACAGCTGATTAACTATCGACCTGTGATCACACTGGGAACTTGAGGGCATCGCTTGTGCCCTCTTTTTTGGAAATTTAATCTGACTGAATATTTTCTCTTTGAATATTTAAATTTCTTTAAAGAAGTTAACAATTAAAGGAAGGCATTGTGTTAGTTTCCTATGGCTGCTGTAACAAATTACCACGCACATGTGGCTTAAAGCAACAGAAATTCCATTTTTAATTTAATCGTCTTTTTAAAAATTATTTATTTATTTTTTAAACTTTTATCTTAGGTTTGGGGGTGCACATGCAGGTTTGTTACATAGGTAAACTTGTGTCATGGGGGTTTGTTGTATATATTAGTTCGTCACTCAGGTACTAAACCTAGTACCCATCAGTTATTTTTCCTGATCCTCTCCCTCCTCTCACCCTCCACCCTCAAGCAGGCCCCAGTGTCTATTGTTTCCCACTTTGCATCCATGTGTTCTCATCATTTAGCTCCCACTTATAAGTGAGAACATGTGATATTTGGTTTTCTGTTCCTGCATTAGTTTGCTAAGGATGGCTTCTAACTCCATTCATGCTCCTGCAAAGGACATGATTTTATTCTTTTTTATTACTGCATAGTATTCCATGATAAAACAACAGAAATGTATTCTGCTGCAATTCTGGAGGCCAGAAGTCCAAAATCAGCTTCTCGGGGTTAAAGTCAAGGTGTGTACAGGGCTGTGTTCACTCCAGAGGCTCTAAGAGAGAAGCCATTCTTTGCCTCTTCCAACTTCTGGTGGCTGCTGGCATTTCTTGGATTGTGGCTGCATCCCACCAAGATGTTCCTCTGTCTTCACATTGTTCCGTCTTCTGTGTGTAGTGTAAACTCACCTCTGCCTTTCTCTTATAAGAGCACTTGTACTCATATCTAGGTCCTACCTGGAAAATCCAGGATAATCTCTCTGTGCCCAAATCCTTAATTTAATCACATCCACAAAGACTCTTTTTCCAAATAAGGTAAGATTTATGGGCTCCAACGGTTAGGACCTGATATCTTGGGAGTGGGGATTTTTCAGCCTTCTACAGGCATTCAGCCTTAAAGATAGTTGTGTCTGAAGTTGAAGTTCTTGTTTCCTTTTGAGGAAGGATGTTTGGAAGAATTTAAAACAATATATAAATGCACAAATTCCATGAACTATTTCTGCAGGTTCCTATGATCTTCTGGAATCCATCCATAAATACCAGAAATAAAATGCCATGAGGAGGAGAAATAGAGCACAAACCCCAGGTCCACTAAACAGTATTATTTGTTCATAATTCTGTCTTTCCTCTAGCCCTTATCATGGATTTCCTGTAGGTAGAATGTTCTTTCCCCCTGTTGAGTTTAGGTTTGGCCATATGACTTGCATTGGTCAGAAGAATTTAAGCAGAAGTGATAGTATGCCAGTTAGCAGCTAGGGCCTGAAATGGTTTTGCAGGTTTCCATCAGTCCTCTTGGAGCTCTGGTCTCTACCATGAGTTACCAGATCTTGCTTCCAGTAGTCGTTGTTCCTTCTGCCTGGATCCTGGAAACAAGACTTATACCTGACCCAAAGTTGGAAGTCTAGTCTGGCGCCGAGAAGCCCAACTAACTCCTTCTGAAGCAAGCTTACCTGCAGATCCATGAGCATGAATTAAATGCCTGTTTTTATAAGCCACTGTGATTTTTGTTTTTTTGTCAGGTAGCATTAACACAGCAAAAGCTGACTGATACATCGTATATGAATCTCTGTCTATCAACTTTTCTATTCTGGCAAGCTGTATTGAGCAGTGCAGAAGGAAACCTCAGAGTGTTCATTACTTTCCTTTCCCTAAAATCCTAGACCACCGGTTAAGCAGTCAGCTCCTCATTTGTTTTTTCATATTGCTTTTAGAAAATTAGTCAAAAGGGTTTTCTACACTGAAGGCACTCTAGTCCTAAGGAAAATCCCAAATCATGATATTCTAAGTGGTTCTCAACATCTAATGGCTTATAACTCCAAAAAGGAAAATAAGCAAAACAAGCAGCTATTTTCTCTCACTTAAGAGTGAACCACAATTTCACAATATCACAAAGGAAGGGGAGGAAGTCCGCCATCTTTTTCCTGGAATCTGGGGAAACATTTGTCTTTCCTTGTTCTATTTTTCTGCTAGATGCTGATTTCAAGCCCCTTTCGAAAGGAGGTAGAGGGCAGGTAGGAAGAATTGAGGGCTCAAATCCTGGGTTGAACATTGGTAAGATAGGCAACTACCAAACTTCCCTCATGAATTCCATAATATTGACTGCACTTTAGTTTCATCCTTAGGCAAAATTTCATCGTGTGCAATGTAAATATTTGCAAAATCTGTGTTGGTTTGTGGTTAATTATGGTATAAACAAAACAAAACCCACAAAAATCAAACAAACATAAAACCCCAGTATACCTCCTCTCCCAATTTCACCTGTTAATCACCATTATTTAATTAATACCAGTTTTCTGTAGGCACTCTTATCAAGTTATAGCCAAAGAGAAATGTTTATTACCACTAAAATTCCATTATGTGAGAATTTTTCTTTAAATATTTTTTGTTCAATATTAGAAAAGCAAAGATATTGGGAATTTACCATTGTCTCAAATGAATAATCTTCCCTGAGTCCAGTATTACGGTCTCACTACCCCATAAAATTAGCAAATCATGCTTGGGGAAAATATAAAGAACTGTTGATATAAAGGAAGCTCCAAAATTCAGTGGTGCTGGTAGCATTATAGATAGAAAATTGGTGATTTGGGAGGATGACATGCCTTAGACATGACAGCTTGTATGTTCCCCTTTATGAGGTGGGTGGGGAAATAGGGTGTCTATTATGTCAAACTACCCTCACCTGCAACAGCGAAGGTCTGAACTTTGTTCAGCTGGATATATTTAATGCCATTAAAATGTAACAGATACGAAAGTGGTTCTGTCTCATCCATTTAAAGTTTCCAACATAAATTACTACTTTGCATGGTACACTTAAAGGCAGGTCTGTTTTGTGTCAATGCTAAATGAAAATGGAAAAATAAAGCCAGAGAAGAGGCTAAAGTTCACTGATGCAGTAAAAAGTGAAAAGGAAAGCAAAACGACGTTCCATTTTCTGAAAGGCTACCAGCCCTGCCTTTGATGTTGAGATTGTTCAATTACCACGGAACGTGAAAGATGTTCTGTAATCATTAAATTGTCATTTCCCCCCCATCCTGAATATTGTAGTGCATTTCCTGTCTTAGTGAAGCAAGATAAATTAGGTTCAGGCGTTTCCCTGGAAAGGGCACCTCTCATTCCATGTGATGCTGACCTTTTTTCCTTTCTAATGAATACTGTCTTAAAGTCCTTTTTACCAACTGATGTGTCCCTGTCTCAGAATGGTATACCCATTTTTATGCCTTTGTTAGTTTTAATCCCTTCTAAGACATCATCTTTTCTTTAGTATTTAAGTATAGTTAGATGCTATTTCATGCTGCATTTAAAGTGATGGAGACTCTTCGCAGCATATGCTTGTTTCGGATGAGAGGGAATAATCCTAAAACTTCAGTTATTTTAAAGCACCCGCTTTGTTGGACGTACGATCTATAGACAGCAGAAAGAAAAGTGGACTTGGTAATGGTTATTGGTTGGCTCTCAGATTCTTCTTCTTGCCTATTAAACACATTATGCCAAGAACAAGTCCCAGGACTATTAGCCTTGCTCCGAACATTCCTGTGCACACATGTTAAACACAGGCAAATGAGGCTCAGCGAGGTAGCCCAGTCTGGAGGAGCCAGTTCTGCAGTATGAGGTCCACATGCTAATTCTGTTCCATCTGGTTTCGTCCACCTCTCAAAGTGTATTTTACTTGATTACAAAACAGTCACGGTCAAAATTGTTTGTAGTTATTTGCAATAATTAATAATAATAATAGCAGCTACCTATTAATGGATGAATGCTTACTTCAGGTACCTAATACTAAGCACCTTAAATGTCACAATTCTTTCCAAAGTTGAGACAAACATTTTCTTTTTCTTTTTTGTGACGGAGTTTCGCTCTTGTTGCCCAGGCTGGAGTGCAATGGCACGATCTCAGCTCATCGCAACCTCTGCCTCCCAGGTTCAAGCAATTCTCCTGCCTCAGCCTCCTGAGTAGCTGGGATTACAGGCATGTACCACCATGCCCGGCTAATTTTGTATTTTTAGTAGAGACGGGGTTTCTCCATGTTGAGGCTGGTGTTGAGCTCCCGACCTCAGGTGATCCACCCGCCTCGGCCTCCCAAAGTACTGGGATTACAGGCGTGAGCCACTGCGCCTGGACCAAATATTTTCATATTAAAGGTTCTGTAGTTGTTTTAACATGCATTAGAAAAGTTTTTATTTTAAAAAGTCATAACTTTATTTTAATTAGACTAGGAAAAAATGTTATGTTTTAAGCCCATGATTTCATGGATATTATTGTTTGTGAGGCAAGGATAAAGGAGAAGAGGGAGTGAATTTAAGGTTGACACATGACTGTTTTTCTCTTGAAACTCCTGCTGTGGCAGACCCGCCCACAGCTTTCCTGGGGGCACCTCTTCTTTCTCCCCAGTTTTCAGTGGTTGATAATTTCTGAGTTTCCTCAATATCTTCTGTTGGCTTCTCCACCATCTGTTGACAAAAGCTCTGTAAGAAATTCCCTTATTGTAAATATGTAAAGTGATTTCTGTTTTCTTGCTTAGACTCTGCCTGACACAAGTTGGTAGGTTGACCATATCTTTATGAAAGGGTAACAAAACTGACGTTTGATGAAGCTTAGCAACTTGCTCAGGATCTTACAACAAACAGGTGATGGAACTAGAATTAAAATCTAGTTCTTTTTGACTCAAGAGCCTATCTTCTTGATTCCTGCTCTTCTGCATACCTTAATTGACTTCACAGACTTGCCTGATGTTAGACGTTTGCATAAATGGCCAATATGACCTAAAATGTACCTCTCCCTGAACAATATTTCTTCACTGGCAAGCAGAGCTGCTCCCCAGGAACCTGGTCTCTGCTCAGCTTGCCCCAACTGGATCAACTAACCATTTCATCTGGCTGGTGCTTAGGCAATTGTTCAATTATTCAGAAGATTCTTACAATTTTAGATCTGGAGGGATCCTGCAATGATCTCGACTGCATCTTGCAGAATACCAGCAGAAAAGAGATGGCAAAGTCAAATCGGGATAATTCAAGGAGCAGGTGGCAGATTGTATTTAGCAAAGACGGCCACACTATGCGTATATCAACATCCTATGCTCCCATTATAATGTGGTTTGCATTTCCCCATCAACAGGAAGGTTCTGTATTCTCTCCCATGAACCTCGGTGAATTAACTGCCTTGATGAATAGAATGCAGAAGTTAAGCTCCATCAATTCAGAGGTGATGCCATAAAAGCCAGTGTGACATTCTCTCTCTCCCTCTCTCTCTCCCCCCCACCCCCCATCTCTCTCTTTTGGTGTATGTGATTGCTTTGGGGAAAGCCAGGCACCACACTCAAAAAACCCCACAGAGAAATCCCTATGGAGAGAAACTGAAGCCGCAATCAATAGCCAGCACCTACTTGCCCATGTGAGTGAGTGAACTGCCATGGAAGTGCATCCTACATCCAAATGACTGAAGCCCCAGCCAACATATACCTGCAACCACATGAGAGACCCTAAGCAAAAATTTCCTAGCCAAACATTTCCTAAATTCTTGATCATCAGGAACTGTGAGAACTAACACATAATTATTATTATAAGCCACTATATTTCAGGATGAATTGTTATGCTGTGATAGATAACTAAACAGATGATTTAATAAAAGGATTATATAAAGGGCTGACAATACCGACAAGGGGTGGTACAGTATCTTGGAGCTTCTAGTAACCAGGCTGCTATCACTCCTAGACCTTAGAAGCACAAGGCTGTGGAGACAGGTTCACCTGAGAGAAGCAGTGACCTCTGGTCAAGGGTTGCAGCCAGCCCAAGGTGGTCCCCCAGGTAAACAACTGGGAGAATAAATGCCTCAACCTCACTACCCTCTTCCTTCAGGTCTTTGGTTGAGGGGCTTCACCTTGGCCATTGGCCAGATCCAACCATCAGAGGATGATTAGACTTTATTAAGTAGAGACACTGGGAGAGTTGATAGGTTCAACAGGAAATACATGCAAGGAAGAAGCAGGCTTTCAACAAGATATGCCTTCTGGTAACTCTCATATTATCTCTAGCTTCAGTCTCACTAGACAACCCAGTGCTGTCATTCTGTAATCCTACCTGCACTGGCCAGCCAGGGCACTGCCAGCTGTCACATTCAACATCTCTTTTCTGTGAACTGTCAACAGAGAGAATTATATTAGTTAGAGAACTCTAATCCATTAAAAGATGCCAGAGAGGACTTTATTAGCCAAGATGTAAAACATCCAATGAACTAAAGGATGAATTTCAGTTTCTCCCTCTTCAGGTTCTATATTGACAAATCCTTCCTGTGACCTTTCATCCTTCTTCTCTAGCTACTTTTCTCGTTCACTCCTTCTTCTACCAATAATCTGTATTGGTCATCTCCATTTTCTCACCATACCCTCACTCTTTAAATGCCTAATGAGCATGATGTTCCAGCAAGTCAAACTTCATGAATCACTGCACTTTTAATCCCCTGATGTATCTAAATCTATCCGAATTCCTCTCCATCTTCTTTTCACTCACTGTCTAGATAATAAATGAGAGCCATCAGTAAATTTACTAACTTGGTTCTATGTTCTTTTAAAAACATGATTAGAACTTAGGGCTTTGATTCTGAGTAAGTTGATATGAAATCTCATTAGGAGACATAATACTAAATAATGCATGGGGTTGGGCAAAATTTTGATCTCATAGAAACCCTCTTTCTCCTTAAATGACAATCACCATCTTTTATTCATTATTTAGTATCCCAAAGGAAATACAAAATTTAATCAATGACCAAATATCTCCCCTATTTTAAGTGTTAGCTTTTACTCTCCTCAGAATACATCTTATTTAGAAAAAAATCTTATACATTATTAATCATGTTGGCCAAAAAGAAGCCTGTTTATATATTTGCAACAGATGCCATAGATGTTAATAGACATTCATCTGCATTTATGATACAAGAAGAAGGCTATGGCTCAAAGATATAGGTACATAGAAGTTTAACTACGGGTATGCCACTAGTCAGTGGCAGAGATGTAATGACTTTCTTGCCTCGCCAAGATTTCCAGTTCAATGTTATTTCACATTAGACTGTTTTTTTTGTCCTAAAAATTGTGTGGTTTTCTAGACCGATAAAACAAACAACTGTTTTGATAAACTTAAACATGCTTCAAAGAAAAATTGTTTTCCTGTAGAGGACACAGCGTTTGGCACACAGTAGGTATTCACTAGTTATTTGGAGAATGAATCAAGTGACAGGAACCTTCCAGATAAATTCAATCAGTTCTGCTTCCTTTTTCTTCAAGTCTTCATTGTGCAATGTTATCCTCAATTCAACCCTAAATCTATTTTCCCAGAAGCAGTGAGTGGTTTTCTACAAGTATGCTATTTCTGGGATCTTGTTTGGCTCCAGTATCTTTTTTTTTTTTTTAAGAGTCTTGACTTTCCAGATTTGAGGAGCAGCTGCTTTTTTGAATAATATACAGGACTACACATGCTTTTTCTGCCTGTTTCTTTCCTCTGAACCCCGGAGGGATTGACATCAAGGATTGTGATTAATGGTATTTGAGTATTTCCCTTGCCCTTCTCCACACTTTTGTACTACGAGCATCTTTCTTTAGAAACATTCATCTCCATCTATGTCTTGGTTTCTCATGTGTTTTTCTTTGCAATGAGAACCTCCTTAGAAAGCTCCCCTTTCTACTCCTTTGCCCTATTTCCTGTTATTTCATCATTGAATATGATTCCCTTCTCTTCTGCCCATTTCAATATATTGATCGTTATTTTACCCTCCTATGTAAGAAAATGAAATTTGTTGATAGTCCACTATAAGCCAAGTAGTGCTGTAGGCTTTTCCATATATTATCTCTATTAATTCATGCAGTCTTCTGAGTTCAGCAACATTATTTCTGTTTTTCACAGGGGAAATTAGAGGTGCACTGTTGTCAAGTAATTGCCCAGATCTACACATTGTAGCAGGCTTATCCAATTCTTGATTTCCTCCCACATCTATGTCTAGTGATATTGAAGGCATGCAATGTTTTGTTTGCCACTTTGGAATTGACAGTACCATCACTGTTTTCATTCATCTAATTGGGAAGTAGGTCAGTTAGAAAGTGGAGCTAGAAATGCTGAAGGGAGAAGGAGAAATAGAAAAAAGAACAAAAGGTCAAATTTTTAATCATTCCTTTAACCTCAAGACAATTCTGCATAGAGTGTCTCTCAACTTCCAGTGAGTAAGTTCAAAGACTTTACTACTCTCTTCTTTACCCAACCCACCCCTTCTCACTCCCAGTAGGTGACCTCACCTCATATTCTCCTACCAAAATAGAGTGATATTAGGCATCTTCCTGACTCTCAGCAAAAGATCAGTGTATATTTCCCCTTCTTTGGACAAATAAGGCTCTCTATTTATCTGGCCATACGATCATTTCCTTTCCTTCCCAGTTAAACTACTTGCCAAAGAGCCTCAATTCCTTCTTCCTCATCTTGTGGGCACTTCTCACCACCCCCTATCCTAAGGTCTGACTTGGCTCTGCCTCTCCACTGCTGCTAAACTTATCATAATAACAGTTATCCCCAGCTTCTGTATGGCCCCTTTCATCTTTCTGTAGCACTTGACATTATTTAACATTCCATCTTTGTAACTCTTTAATTTCTAGGTCTCCCTGGCATTTGCAACACCTGGTTCTTCTCTCAGATTTTAGTATGGGCTTATTATCTGCACAAGACCCTTATTAGTTGAATCTCTCCAAAGTTCTGGTCTTCAACCTCTTTCCCTAGTAGAACTCACTGTCATGGTTCAACCACCACCTCAAAATAATAACTGACCCCTCTTTTGTACTTTAGGTTTATATATGGTAATAATTATTTGACATTTCCTCTTGAACACTCAACACATCCCTCAATTCTCTGTCTTCCCCCAACCCATTACAGACCTTTACTTCTTTTGGTAATCTCTTTTTCAGTTAATGGTATCACTGTTTATCCAGTTACAGAAACCAAACACCAAGGTGCTACTTGTAAATCTCTGTCCTTCTTATCGATTCCATCACATCTTGTCAAATCAGTCTCCTAGTCCTCACTAGTCTGTCTTCAAATACTACTTGAACCTGCCCCTTCTACTCCATTTCACACCATTTCTCACCAGTAGCATAACAAAAGCCATCAAGCTTATCTTTCTGCCTCCATTTCCCCTTTCTGTTATATCTCTTCTTGCCAGAGTAAACTATATAAAAAGTAAAAAGTGGGCATGTCTCCTGCTTATCATTCTTCAGTGGCTTCACCTCATAGACATCTAAAATTGCAGATGCATAGCACACTCTAAAAGGGTGCCCCTGGCCTGGCCCTGACCACCTTTCCAGCAGCATTGACCATATGCTCTCCAAAGCCTCCTCGCTCCTTCCTTTCTCACCCTTGAAGCTCTTGTGCTAACTCTTCCTTTGGTGGAAATGACCTTTTTTCGTTTTCTTTTTTCTCTCCTTTCACCTGCCCAAGTCATCTCTATTTTTGAAGAGTCAACTCAGGAGTAATTTCCTCCATGAAGTTCCTCCCAAATCCCCAATCAAGGCTGGGAGTGTCTATCAGTATACCTGGCCCTAAGGAGGAGCTCAATAAATGTGTGCTGAACTCTTCTCAAGCTTCTGACCGCACCACACCTCTTTATTCTTACTTTAATCTCCTAATGATACAGGACATAGAAAGAAATTATTTAGGAAGATAGTGAGGGTAAGAGAGTTCTTGGTAAGGTTTCCCTTTTAACAAAAAGCAGCCCCAAATTATTTCTTTTCTAACAAAGAGCTGCCTGTAAAATCGAGCTACAGAAATAGATAAGCAAGCTGGAAGCTTGCACAGGTGAATGCCAGCAGCTGTGCCAATAACTACCTGAGAGCTAGGCACATTCAACATAGAGGCTCCATTTTCCCTTTTCTTTGTCAACCACGTGTACAGTAAAGGAACAGGCAATGTGGTGCCGGCCAGGTAGAGAACCCATCTGCATTATAAAATATTAGGGTGGGGCTGCCAGCTTCTTCAGGCACTATGCAAACGGCACACCTGGTCCAACCAATCTTTGGGCCTTATGTAAATCAGACACTGCCTCTTCAAGCTCATCTATAAAACCCCATGCATTTCACCACAAAATCAGAAGATCCACTCGGGAGCCCCTCTTTCTCTGCAAGAGAGAGAGCTATTCTCTTTTTCTCTTTCTTTTGCCTATTAAATCCCTGCTCTTAAAGTCACTTCTTGTGTGCCCGCATCCTCCATTTCCCTGGCATGGGACAACAAACCTCAGGTATTTATCCCAAACAACGATGCCGGTATACTAATTTAAAGAGAATATGAAAATTTTAAGATAAGAATTTCTTCATCTCCCCTGATATCAATCAATTCTTTCTTCATCTGCCTACATCATCTCCTTCTTCCCTTCTGTTATACTAAAGTTACCTCAAAGAGAAACTAAGTAACTTGAACAATTGTAGCAGCTGCATTAATAACCACATAAATATCAAACGTTAGAAGGAAAGGGAGAGATAGGAGGCATTGTTAATGACCTAAAGTACCATGTTTAAATTAGAGAGTTAATTGATGGCATAAAGAAATAGAATAAGCATAATTTTTAGATAGTTATGTGGGGGATCTTTAGAAGAATCAGAATTAGAAATGAAGATATACCTTTGGGGAATGGTAGATGAGATATGAAAGGGAGATTGGATAATTTCTCTAATGGTGTATTTATTCCCATTATAAGTGTTACTTTGCTGCCAAGGCTGTGTAATCTAAGATAGGCAACTTAAAAAAAGGAGTATTAATACTTATCTGTAAGGGATGTTATAATTCAATGAGTTAATAAATATCTCAAGGTGCTTTCTAATTTTTAGAGTGCAGTTCAACTTTTATTAAGTGAGAGTTTTGGATGCTCTCATGTAAAATAATAATGTGAATTGCTTTCCTGGACACTATCTACTTTAAAATCAATTTCTCTTTCTAATGTTTGTCAGTATGTGAATGGCCAGGACAAATTGGTTTTGCTTAATCCACACAACATGTCATCAACAAAGTAAAATCGACTAAAAGTAAAGTCATCAATTACATTCACCATTGGTGCAGTAAAGATAGTTTATTTAAAAGTTATTTGATAGACTTTTTACAAGGTTTCTACTTTTTATAAGAGACTATGGAAGTCTGAGGAATGCTTCAAGAAAAGAGAGAGCTTCTCCCCTGAAGGGGCTCAATACACTGACAATTGACTGTCTCTGTGAAAAGCATTTGAAATGAATCCAGGGATGTGACTGAAAAATTTTAGTACCCAAATACTTATTAATGAAATATTGTCTTCATATTGAGTCAGGAGATACTGATGTCACAGTACAGAATGTTGTGAGAGTTTTCTTTAAATTTAATTTTAATTGATTTTTATAAGCGTGACTTGATGTCTCCAAAAAAGAAAAGGAAATGTATTAAGTCCCCAAAACATTTTAGTTCAGTATTGCATAAACTTGTCTCTTTTTTTCAAGAATAGTCAGAGTTTATAAGTGTTTCTCAAGAAACCTCAGGTAAATTGGTGCTGATTGCAAATTGTCTTCGTTTCTCTCGACCACAGAGAAATAGTTTGTGATAGTTTTAATAAACTATTTCCTTATTTGGTAATGGTTTCAGTCTCATCACAGAAATAAAATTACATGTCTTTTTTAGCATGTATCTTACGGTTTGATGGTCTACTCTTGTTTTGTGGGGCTCTGACATTCATATCTGCTACACATGGCCCTTTAACAACGACCCTCTCTTTCTTTTTCTAGAAGTATGACAAATTCTGCACCAGTAATACTGTTTCATCATCAAATAAAATAAACAAGTTATAGGAATGTACTCTGGCTCTTTGCTTCTTAATTACTCTAATTTGGGCCCCAGCTGGGGCCCATCTCTGACAATCTTCACTCCATCAGATAAAGGGGAATTGTTTAAAATTGTGCTGGGTTTGTTATAAGCAATGGACGAACTTCTAAAAGGATTATCTCCAAGTTGATATCTGATAAAAGCAAAATATTAAGGCTGAATCGAAATGAAAAATGTTTTGAGACTTCTCCCTGTTCAAATGGTCTTAATTCATTATCATGGTAGAGCTGAAGACATCTTCTATTTAATAGCTTCATTTAGTTGTTATGAAAATTTTGTAAACGCATTTTTCCAGATATCTCTTATATTGAAGATGTACTGAGTGCCTAAAATCAGGAATTTTTGAAACAATTCAAGAGATAGGGTTAAAAAGTTCATTTCAGTGAAATAGTGAAATAAAGGGCGAAGAAGACAGAAAGAAAGATACAGATGAAGAAGAGGAGAAAAAAAGGAACGGGTACCAGATAAAGTATGAAGCATAAGTAAAAGTGTACCCATGGGTTTTGTGTGCAAGGTCCTTCTTATTTCTCCCCATGTGATTATACCCAAGTATTCTGCCGAAAAATTCAGTTTAGAGAAGAGATGGAGGATACAAGTACTCACTTAGGAGGCACAAAGACATATATATATACACAAACACCCAGAAACAGAAAGCAAAGCCTGCTCATTAGAGAAAATGTAGAAAACTTTGAAAAGTAGAAAGAAGACAAATAACTGGAGAGAGACAAAATCTGCCCAGCCTCAACAGAAATTCTGTTTTCTTTTTTCTTTTTCTTTTTTTTGTCTGTGAATGTTAACTGTTTTATTTTTTTGAGCTTTGAATTCTATTGTATTTATTATTTTTAAACTTTAAAAATGATAACTTTAAAACTATCGATTAAAATAATTGTTAGTTTACTTGATTATATTATAGACACAGAAAAGTGCATAAATTGTTAAGTGTAGAGCTTGATAAATTTCCATAAATTGAACGCTCAGTCATGATAGCAACTATTTTGCAACCATTTACTTTTTGAAGACAATTAGGCCACTTGTTCCAGGACCTTTGCCTTAGTCTTCCAGCAGAGGTATTTCTTCCTCCCTTGTGACAAAATTAGCCAGACTCCTTAATGGAATCTGAGGATAGGGAGGGGTTCAGTCACAGAAGCAGTATGGTAACCAGCCCGATACAGGTATGCATGACAGTAAAGGAGAGTGTTGAGGAAAACAATCGTAAACATTTAAAGACACCTCTGGGGGATGAGAGCTCCAGGTGCAGCTGGAAGAGGAGAACACTGGTAGCTTCACAAGGGCAGTCGCAATGACAGCCCCAGCACTGGCAGCCCAGTAGGAGCTTTGGGCAATAGCCCAGAGCAGAAGCAGCAGCCTGAGAGCTGGATGTAGGAATGTGCACAGAGGCCTGACTACAAGGGGCATCCCAAAAAGAGGGGAAATGGGTGACCAGAGCAGAACAAGCTGGCGCAACCTCGGCAGGGGCAGGAGTGAAAACGTGGCAAGTCTGAGAATGGACTGAGAGACAAGAGGGAACCGCAGTAGGACAGGGGGTAGGGGAAGATACATTTAAGGAAATCAAAAGAGGGCTCAACAGCAGCAAGAACATGGATATCAAATACTTGGAGGAGAATAAGAGGGGATAAAAAGATAATGCAAATTAACTAAATCCGCCTTCTTTATATCTGAGCATGATATGTGGTATGTAAAGCTAATGCATAAAGAAATAGAAAAGATTTAGAATGCAGTTAGAAATATAGAGTAGAAATAGGAATAGAGAAGAGAAATAGATGATAGGATAGAAATAGAAATACAGATTAGAAAGTTGATATAAAAAGAAATGAAAAAATAGAAAAGACATTGAGTAGGAATAGAAATATAGAATAAAAATAGAAGTAAATAGAAAAAGAAAACCGAGAAAACTACATACTAACATCACTGAGGAACATAGACGCAAAAATCCTCAACAAAATACTAGCAAACTGAATCTAATGGCACATCAAAAAGAAAATTCACCATGATCAAGTGGATTTCATCCCAGGGATACAAGGATGATTCAACATGCACAAGTCAATAAATGTAATTCGGCCAGGCTCGGTGGCTCACGCCTGTAATCCCAGCACTTTGGGAGGCCGAGATGGGCCTATCACGAGGTCAGGAGATCAAGACCATCCTGGCTAACACGGTGAAACCCCGTCTCTACTAAAAAAAATACAAAAAATTAGCCGGGCGTGGTGGCGGGTGCCTGTAGTCCCAGCTACTCGGGAGGCTGAGGCAGGAGAATGGCATGAACCCGGGAGGCGGAGCTTGCAGTGAGCGGAGATCGCGCCACTGCACTCCAGCCTGGACCACAGAGCGAGACTCCATCTCAAAAAAAAAAAAAAATGATTCACCACATAAACAAAATTAAAAACAAAAACCATATGATCATCTCAATAGATGCAGAAAAGACGTTTGATAAAATCCACAATCATTTTATGATAAAAACCCTCAACAAACTAGGCGTAGAAGGAACATACCTCAAAATAATAAAAGTCATACATGACAAACCCACAGCCAGTATCATACTGATGGGGAAAAGTTGAATGCATTCCTGCTAAGAACTGAAACACGACAAGGTTGCTCACTTTCACCACTTCTATTCAACATAGTACTGTAAATCCTGGCCAGAGCAATCAAGAAAGAGAAAGAAATAAGGGGCATCCAAACTGGGAAAGAGGAAGTCAAACTATCTCTGTTTGCTGATGATGCGATCTTATACTTAGAAAACCCTGAAGTCTCCTCTAAAAGATGACTAGATTTAATAAATGAATTCAGTAAAGTCTCAGGTTGCAAAATCAATGTACACAAATCAGTAGCACTGCTGTACACCAATAATGACCAAGCTGAGAATCATATTAAGAACTCAATCCCATTTATAATAGCTGCAAAAAAATAGCATACATAGGAATATACTTAACCAAAGAGATGAAAGATCTCTAAAAGGAGAATTATAAAACACTGAGGAAATAAATTATACATGACATAATTGGAAAGGCATCCCATGCTCATGAATTAGAAGACTCGATATTGTGGAAAATGACCATACTGTTCAAAGCACTCTACAGAGTCAACGCAATTCATATTAAAATACCAATGTCATTTTTTTCACAGAATTAGAATAAACAATCCTAAAATTCATACAGAATCAATAAAAGAGCCTGAGTAACCAAGACAATCTTAAGCAAACAAAACAAAATGAAACAAAAAATTCTGGAGGTGTCACATTACCCAACTTTAAATTAAACAAGGCTGTAGTAACCAAAACAGCATAGTACTGGTATAAAAGTAGATTCATAGACCAATGGAACAGAAGAGAGAATCTAGAAATAAAGCCAAATACTTACAACTAACTGATCTTCAGCAAAGCAGATGAAAACATACACTGGCAGAAAGGACATCCTATTCATCAAATGATGCTGGGGAAATTGGATACCTGCATGTAGAAGAATGAATCTTGATCCCTATCTGTCACCATATACAAATATTAACTGAAGATGAATTAAAGTTCTAAATTTAAGACCTGAAACAATAAAAATTATAGAAGCAAACCTAGACCAAGGGAAATAACTTGTGACTAAGCCCCAAAAGCAGATGCAACAAAAACTAAAGATAAATAAATGAGACCTAATTAAACTAAAGAATTTCTGCGCAGCAAAAAAAAATATAATTATATAATACATAATTATATATTATATAATATATAATATATTAAATATATAATATATAATATCATAATATATAATATTAATTATATATTATATAATATACAATATATAATTATATATTTATAATATACAATATATATTATAAATATATAATATATAATTATACATTATATTTATAAATACATATATAAAATAGAGTGAATAACCTACAGAAAGGGAGAAAATAATTTGTAAGCTATGCATCCAACAAATGACTGGTATTTAGAATCTACAAATAAATCAGCAAGAAAAAAAACAAATAATTTCATTAAAAAGTTGACAAACAACATGAACAGACGTTTCTCAAAAAAAGATGTAAAAATGGCCAACAAACATATGAAAGATTGTTTAACATCTCTAATCAACATGGAAATGCAGTTTAAAACCACAATGAGATACTAACTTCTCCAGCTAGAATGGCCATTATTAAAAAGCGAAAAAACAATAGATGTTGAGATGGATGTGGTGAAAACGAACTGCTTATGCATTGCTGGTGTAACCTCTATGGAAAACAGTATGGAGATTTCTCAGAGAATTAAAAGTGGATCTACTATTCAATTTAGTAACCCCACTACCGAAAGGAAAAAAAGTCAGTATATCAAAAGGACATCTATGTTTATTGCAGCACAATTTACAATTGCAAAGATATGAAATAAGCTTGAGTGCCCATCACCTCATGAGTGTATAAAGAAAATATGGTGTGTATATACCGTGGAATACTACTCAGGCACAGAAAAATGAAACAGTGTCTTTTGCAGCAACATGAATGGAACTGGAATCCAGTTATTCTAAGTGAAGTAACTAAACTCAGGAATGGAAAACCAAATATTGCATTTTTTAATTTATAAGTGGGAACTAAGCTATGGGCATGCACAGGCATACAGAGTGGTATAATGGGTATTGGTGACTCAGAAGGTAGGAAGATGGATGGAGGATGAGGTACGAAAAATTACCATTTGGGTGTAATGTACACAGTCGGGTGATGGGTGCACTAAAACCCCAGACTTCACCACTGTACAATCCATCCATGTAAACAAAAACAACTTGCACTCCTAAAGCTATTGAAATTTTTAAAAAGGTAACATAGATGTGAATTAGAAACAATTAAATGTAAATATAATTATGTTGACTTATGTGGGGAATATTTAGAAGAATAACAAATAATAAAAAGTACATTTTTTGGTCACATACGTCTTTTCTTTCATTATGAATAATACATAATTTCAGTTCTGATACCCTCTTTGATTAGAAGGCTGATTTAAAACCAATTTTAAAGTAG
Source organism: Homo sapiens (assembly GCF_000001405.40). Taxonomy (NCBI): domain Eukaryota; kingdom Metazoa; phylum Chordata; class Mammalia; order Primates; family Hominidae; genus Homo; species Homo sapiens. Next base: position 11,022,661 of record NC_000020.11, read on the forward strand.
TTTCCTTGAAAAAGCTTATGTTGATCATGAATCTATAATTTTATTGCCATGTGGCCAAATAATATGTTCTGTATGAATTTTAACTTTTAGGAGTTTACTAATTTTTATTTGAAATATACAAACACCATTTTTTAATCTCACTATTGAGTCATGCCTTAGCTAGATATAGGAATCTTATTGAAAATGACTTTTCCTGAATAATTTAATGATAGTGCTTCATTATTTTCTAAGCAGTTATTTGAGCTGTTAAGAAGTTGCAATTAGTGACTTTGTCACTCTTTTAAAAGTAATCTGTAGTTATTCTGGCAGCTTTAAGATTACTCTTTTTTTTTTTTGCAATTTCATCAAGCTACGTGCATATATGGATTTATTTTATTTTATTAATCCTGTTCAACACTTATTATGCTATTGTTTGTTTTTGGAGACAGGGTCTCCCTCTGTCACCCAGGCTGGAGTACAGTGGCACAGTCTTGGCTCACTGCAACCTCCACCTCCCAGGTTCAAGTGATTCTCTCACCTCAGTCTCCTGAGTAGCTGGGACTACAGGCATGTGCTACCATGCCCGGCTAACTTTTGTATTTTTTTGTAGCGAAAGGGTTTCACCATGTTGGCCAAGTTGGTCTTGAACTCCTGACCTCAAGTGATCAGCCTGCCTCGGCCTCCAGAAGTGCTGGGATTACAGGCATGAGCCACCACACCTGGTGTGGTTTAATGTAATTAAACCGATGTGGTTTAATGTAATTCTCCAGTCTGGAAATTTCTCACTGATTACCTGTTTGAATATTGACTCTGCTTTTTCCTCTCCAGGCTCCTTCTGGAACTACTATTAGATACTGATGAAGCTACTCAATCTATCTCCTATGTATCTTTATTATTATTATTATCGAAATATAATTAACATAACATAAAACACATCCTACTGAAGTGTTTTTCTACAGTGGTTTAATTCAATTGTTTTTAGTACATTCCCAAGGTTGTCCAACCACCATCATTGTCTAATTTCAGAACATTTTCATCATCCAGAAGAAAACCTTGTACCCATTAGCCATATTACCTCATTCCCCACTTCCCGAGCCCCTGGCAACCATTAATTTACTTTCTACATCTATGGATTTGTCTATTACAGACAATTCATATAAGTGAAATCATACAATATGTGACCTTTTGTGTATAGCATCTTTTACTTAGCATCATGTTTTCAAGGTCCATCCGTGTGGTAGCATAAATCAATAATTCATTACTTTTTCTGGTTGAATAATATTCTATTGTATGGATATACCACATTTGTTTATTTGTTTATCAGTTGATGAACATTTGAGTTGTTTACACTTTTTGGCTGTTATAAAAAATGCTTCCATGAACATTCACTTATAACTTTTTGGGTGAATATGTTTTCAATTCTCTTGGGTACATACGTAGGAGTAGAATTGTTGGATTGTATGGAAAACTTATGTTTAACTTATTTTATTTTACTTATTTATTTTTATTTATTTATTTATTTTTGAGACAGAGTCTTGCTTTGTCGCCCAGGCTGGAGTGCAGTGTCACGATCTCAGCTCACTGGAACCTCTGTCTCCTCCCTAGTTCAAGCGATTCTCCTTCCTCAGCCTCCTGAGTAGCTGGGACTACTGGCGTGCGCTACCACACCTGGATAATTTTTGTATTTTTAGTAGAGATGGGGTTTCGCCATGTTGGCCAAGCCGGTCCCAAACTCCTGACCTCAGGTCATTCACCTGCCTCAGCCTCCTAAAATGCTGGGATTGTCTACTTGAGCCACCGCACCTGGCTAAAAATTTATGTTTAACTTTTTAAGATTTTCCGAAGTGGCCACACTATTTTACATTCCCACCAACCATGGATAAGGATTCCAATTTTTCTACAGCCCAGATAATTCTGGTTATTTTCTGTATCTTTGATTATAGCTATCCTAGTAGGTATAAACATGTATCATATTGTGGTTTTGATTTGCATTCCCTAATGACTAATGATGTTGAGAATCTTTTCATGTGCTTATTTTATATCTTCACTGGAGAAATATCTATTCAAGTCTTTTGCCCATTTAAAATAGGGTTGTATTTTATTGTTGATTTGAAATAATAACTAAACCTTTCTTTATGCCAGATATTTTTATTCTGGACACCGGACTTTTATCAGATATAAAATTTGGAAACATTTTCTGCCATTCTGTGAGTTTTATTTTCACCTTATGAATGATGTCTTTTGAAGCACAAATGTTTTTAATTTTGATGAAGTCCAATTTATTTATTTTGTTTTGGTTGCTTATGCTTTTGGTGTCATATCCAAGAAATCATTGTCTAACACAAGGTCATAAATCCTGGCACCAATGTTTCCTTCTGAGAGTTTTATAGTTTTAGATCTTACATTTAGATTTTTGATCTAAAAAATTTTGATTTTGACTTTTGTTTTGAATAAATTTTTGTATATGGTTTGTGGAAGGAGTCCAATTTCATTCTCGTTGAGGTGGATATCTAGTAGCCTCAACACCATTTGCTTGGAAAAGACTACTCCTTTCCCCTATTGAATTGTCTTGGCACCCTTACTGAAAATCAGTTGACCACATAAATGTATGTGGGGTGGTGGCTGTTTTTCTCAGTCAATCTTTCTTCTCCAGCGGCCTTAAATATAACCCCGACTCATACAGTGGCCCCAGCTTTTGTCTCTGGTTGTGAAAGGCCACATGTTCCTGCAGGAGTTGAATTTAGGCTACCAGCAACTCTGTCCAGCACAAAGCTCAAAAGGCAGGACTACCACCTCTTACTTTGTTCTCTCTTCTTTCACTTACTTTCTGTTTTAATATTAACATCTACTTTGTTATGTGATTTTTTTTTGAGTAATTAAAATATTATCTATCTATCTTCTACCCAATATTTTTGTGTATGTATGGGGGGGTGGTGTTTTTGTGTGCTTCCTTTTATGTTTTGACAAAAAATAAATAGTACATATAATTCTTAGGTTCTGTGTCATGTATCTACCATTATGTAATGCTATGAAACGACCACAAATTATCAGCTGCATGCAACAATAAGCACTTACTACTCACAGTCCAGGGATGGTTGGTTGGAAATTTCTGCTGCTTTTGGCTAGGATCGTCTGATGGTCTGGGAGCTGAGTGGCTCTTGGCTGATCTAGGCTGGCCTCAGCTAGGATAACAAGGACATTCAACTTCTAGTCAGGTAGATTAGGAATTTCCTCATGGGATTGCAGAGACCAAAAAAAGGCAGAAGCACATTTTCAGTTCTCTGATACTCCTGCTAATATTGTTTGGGTTAAAATAAGTTGCATATCTGTGCTCAGAGTCAGGGGGTTGGAAGGTTATGCTGCTCATGTTGAGACAGCACTGAAAAGTGACATGGAAAAGAGCAAGGATATGTGTAGGTGTGTGAAGAATTGGAGCCATGTTTTGCAACCATTCGACCACAAGCGTTTAAAAAATATATATTCTATTACTCCATAAGAAAAAAAGAGGACGAGGGAGAGAAACATGAGGAGGATAGAAGTAACTGGTGAGAAATGAAGAAAATTAGGATTACATGATATTAATAATTGTTGAAGCCACCTAATGGGCACATTGAAATTTCACTATCCTGTGCTCTATACTTTCATGTGTTTGAAAATTTTTCACTATATAACAATAAAATGATATATAGTCTATGTTTGTTGGCTATAAAAGTCTTTATTCAGATATATTATGTCAAAGCTGTTATTTATTCAAATCTTTTATATTTCTAGTTATATTTTTCTACTTTTTAAAAAAATTTTTTAGGTAATTGTACTAAACTCTTCCACCATAATTGTGATCTCATCTTGGGATTTGCCAAAAAACATTTATAGCATGTCTGAGAAGTCCAGAGGAAGTATATATCTCCTCTTTGCTCCAACCTTCTTGTAGCAGGGTATGTGTTGAATCAGTCTGTCCTGAAATGTGTGAGTCTTTTAAAAAACTGAATACTATTGGTCATTTTTGTTTGGAGATTTCTAAGGCAAGAAGTTTGTCTAAGTACCCTAAACCAGCTGGGCACTGGGGGCCAGTGACAGGACTAGGAAAGAGATACTCATGTCCATTTCAAAGACTTTTGCCCTATGGAAGAGGCTTCTGTTAGCTTCTGTGACCTCTGGTGAGTTGATGCTGGCATTAGCCACTGGGCTGTCTTGCTGATAAATTGGCTAAATCATTAGACATATTCCCAGAAGGGAGTATATGGTGAATGGCTCATATGGGCCCCCGGGAAGGTGGCTGCACCTCTGAGGGTCCTTTGTGCTAAGGGAGCAGAAAAGGACCTCGCTCATGTGCTGGATAAACATATTTGTCACTGTTTTCATTATTTCCCTATGTATAGTTTTAAATTTTTCATTACAAAGTCATTTATTTAAAATAGTATGTATGCACTGGCAACCAATAATTTTCCCTTGGACACAGTCCTGTGGCAAGGATCCAATGTGATAACATATCAAGTTAACAGAATATTTTCAAAATACTCAAATTTGGTCTCATAAATTACTGAAAATATTCATATTCAGTATCATTGTTGTTGAATTAGATGTAGAAATAGGTGACAGTGGCCTTTTCCTATGCCCTGAAACCTCCTTTTGCCTTATTGCCACCTTTTGATGCGATGCTGAACAGGTTGACCTCTGAATCTTGAAGAGCCCTTTGTTTTCCCTCCTGATATCATGTTGGAATTTGGAAGAACAGTGGGTCTTTTGGTTCACTGCATTCCACTGGGACCCTTCCAACTCCAGCTCATTAGAAACACCCCCGAGCCTGAGGACTAACTATGATGTCATATGTCATAGCAATGAAGTAATTATGGCCGGCCAAGGCAAAGAACAATTTTATTTTTGCTGCTTTGAGAATTTTCTCATATTGCTTCAAATGTAACTCCCACCTTTCAAGTAAAAATTATTATAAGTAGATTCCCAGGGTCAAAAGAACAAGTGGAAACTTGTTGGATGGGGTCAACCTGGAAACTGCTGAGATATTTGTATACATATTCCCTTTATCTTGCTTTGGCTCAGTTTTTTTTTGTTCCTTTCAGGTGTGCCTAATATTATACTCTGTGTTTTGAAAGGTTTGAGGGAGAAGGCTGCAAGGAGTCCTGTGGGAGGCCCTGGGGTCTTATTAGTTGAAGGAAACAAATCATCATACCTTTAATACTGGCTCCAATTTGCCCCTTTCATGAGTAGTCTTGGAGAGATAATTGCTAATCTGGAATGGACATACTTCTGTAAGTTTATATCAAATACATTTTTTCCATTAAATAATATTTTTCTGTATTCCAATTTTGAGGAAAGTAAGTTAATTTAATTTTTCTTTTTCCTCTGATATACTTTTTAATGAATAGATTGAAAATTAAGGAGTGCCATTATATATACACTACTCACTTTAGATACAATGCTTTGAAAATTAATGAGTGCCATTTTATACACACTGCTCACTTTAGATACAATGCTTTATATATCTTAACTCATCTCTCAAACAGTGATCTTGGTTGGCATTTTTCAAACTGTGATGAAGACACTTTTTATAGCCCTGTTCAGAATACAGAAGGAGACCTACTCTTCTTTGATCACAATCTAAAGACAGACAGAGGACATGTGGAAAGGTAAAGAAAGTTCCAACATTCAGTAGGGAGAATATCGTCACAAGCCTTCCCTCTTTATCTCCTTTTTAACTCTCTTTTCAGATTAGGTTTGTGAGGAGATGATTTATAAAAGGTAATTTGTTGATCTTTTTTCCCCGGAGAAAACATATATGGTTTTCATCTTAGTCTCTGCAGGGTATGTGACCCACAATATATTCAGAAACCTCCAAAAACAGTACTGCTATTTACTATTATAAATGCATAAAAATAAAAAAACTATACATAGAAAATTAATAAAAGAAAGATATGAATCTTTTCTTTCACGTCTTTAACATGGCAGTACGTAAGTATACAATAGAAGTGATATTTTCATTCTCAGTCACCCAGTTTTATATTTCAGAATAAATTTTGACTTCCTTCTCCTTTTTCCTTTTTCTTTTCTTTTCTTTTCTTTTCTTTTCTTTTCTTTTCTTTTTTCTTTTCTTTTTGATGGAGTCTTGCTTTGTTGCCCAGGCTGGAGTGCAGTGCACGATCTCTGTTCACTGTAACCTCTGCCTCCCAGGTTCAAGCAATTCTGTCTCGGCATCCCGAGTAGCTGGGATTACAGGCATCTGCCACCACGCCCAGTTAATTTTTGTATTTTTAGTAGAGATGGGCTTTCACCATATTGGTCAGGCTGGTCTTGAACTCCTGACCTCAGGTGATCCGCCCTCCTCAGCCTCCCAAAGTGCTGGGATTACAGGCGTGAGCCACCGTGCCCAGCCCTTTCTCCTTTTTCTTATACTCATACTCAAGCAAATGTTATTTTCTTCCAGAGGTAGTGTATTAATCTGATTTTGCTACAATAATACGGTGTAACAAACAACCTCAGATTCTCAGTGGCTTCCATGAACAAACATCAGTAACATATATATTTCTTGCTTATAGATCTGTCATGGATTAAATATAAACAAAAATGAAGCAAGAAACAAAACTAGTCTTTCAATGAAAAGCTGAAGATGCTGAAGAAGAAATGCAAAATCATTTCACAAGAAAAACAAAATCAGACCAGGATCACTTGGCGTACCATCCTAGCAAAATATATCTTCTTGGAGTTGCCCTGACAATGCTCCTCAAAAACTACTTTCTTCATCTTCTTGCGGGTTAAATACTGGGATTAAATCCTAGCATAAAAATTACATCTAAAATGAAACACAGCTCTTCACCATTGTTGACCTCTTTAACACCTTAATGTCTACTCAATCTGTTGTTCCTTTTAACTTCACTAGTGTATTTTTCACAACCAAAATTTTGGAATGATCTTGAGCTCCTTCATGATTTTCTTTCCTTTAACTCAACAATATCTAGAATTACCTGTACTGTCTTTCACACATAATTTCCTTCCCTGACCTGTTTTCAGAACAATCACAAGTCACTTTTTCTTCCCCTGCCTAGTTCAATTCAAGACAGGGTACTTTTCCTTTTTTTTTCTTTTTTTAATTCTCATTTACCACTCACTTTAGACTCTTTCCTAGACTAATGACATTGTTTCCTAATTGATCTCTTTGTTTGTAGTCTTTCCTAACATTTACTCTGTTATATCCATGATGCAGAAGTTCCCACAGGAGTCAAATTTCTTGATTTTTATTTCAAGGTTCTTAAAACTATGGCTCCACCTGAAGTTCAGAGACATTTAATAACTGATTGGGCACAAAATTATAAATGGTCTCTGTCATACACTGGGTCACAATCTAAACGGAGAACCAAACACATTTTTAAAAATTCTGAGAGAATGCAGAATGCTTGTTATGTTCTGGAAAGTACTGTCTAAGACATGGATAGGCATCTTTTTTTAATTTTAATGTTTATATTTTTATTTTTATAGTTAAGAATTTTTTAATATGTTCAAAAATGTGACTAGCCTATCAAAGTTATGGTTGCTTAGCATGGTATAGAGAAAAGCTTAAGTAAGAATATGGAATCTCTCTTCTCCCTTTCCTGCTCCAGCAAAAAAAAAAAAAAAAAAAAAAAAAGTAATGGGAATCAGTAAAAAAATGTTAAATTAATAAATTAATACAGGCTGACTATCTGAAATCGTTGGGACTAGAAATGTTTCAGATTTTGAATTTTTTCAAATTTTATAGTATTTGTAAATACATGATGAGATATGTTGGGGATGAGATTCAAGTCTAAATACAAAATTTGTTTATGTTTCATATACAACTTATTCCCAGTGCCTGAAGGAAATTTTATACAATATTTTAAATATGTTTGTGCATCAAACAAAGTTTTGGCTGTGACCCATCACATGAGGTCAGTGTGGAATTTTCCGCTTGAGGCCAGTGTGGAATTTTCCGCTTATGGTGGCATGTTGGTGCTCAAAAAGTTACAGATTTTGGAACATTTTGAATTTTGAATTTTTGGATTAGGGATGCTCAACCTGTAATAATAGGGATAAACAAATATGCAAAAATTGAGAAGGTTATGGGGAAAATGATTGAAATTTGGCAATTAGTTTAATAATGGCTGTGTAGGAGAAGGAATGGAAAAACAGAATATGTCTATTTAGTGTTACTATAATGAAATACCTGAGATTGGGTAATTCATAAAGAAAAAAGGTTTATTTAGCTCACAATTCTACAGGCTGGGAAGTATGAGAAGCATGGTGGTGGCATCTGTTTGGCTTCCGATGAGGGTCTTGCTTGGCAACACACACAAGTCAAAACATGGCAGAGAAGGCCAAAGGGGGAAAAACATGTGTGAAGAGGCAAAACCCATGGGGCCTTCTAATTTTATAAACACCCATTCTCGCAGAAACATTCCTGAGAGAGTTAATCCAGTCTTATAAGAGCAAAACCTCACCATAAGAGTGGTGCCAAGCCACTCATGAGGGCAAAGTCACCTTATGACCCAAACACCTCCTATTGGGCCCCACCTCTCAATACCAACACATTGGAGATAAAATTTCAACATGAGTCTTGGTGGGGACAAACAAACCATATCCAAATCATAGCAGGAGATAAATCTTGAAAAATAAATTTGGATATACTTTGGGTTGAGGTGGGGTATTTTGAAAATCAGACTGATTTTAGTCTGTTTTCATCTCAGTGGAGAGATGTCACAAGCTCAAGGCCAAAGGGAATAAATGCATCAGTTAGCTTTTGCTGCTCAACTAACAGCCCAAAATAAATGAGTGGCTTAAAACAAGAATCGGTTATCAGGCTCCTGATTCTGAGTGCTAACCATTTGGGCTGGGCTCTGCTGGGTGGCTTTTCTGGTCTTCTGGTCTTGGCTCAGTTTGTTCATCTATCTGTGGTCAGCTGCTAGGTTGGCTGGGGGTAGGATGGTCTAGAATGGCATCAGCTAGTAAAACGTTTCTCTATGCTCTGTAGTTTTGTATCTTTCAGTAGGTAGTATGGGTTATTCACTTGGAGATTTAAGGATTTCAAAAGAGAGTGGAAGTGAGCAAGGTCTTTTAATGTCCAGAGTTAGAACCCACTCACTGACATTTTTGCCATACTTATTTTTTTGGGCAAAGCAAGTCACAAGACCAGTGAATATTCAATAGATGGCAAAAGAGCCTTTCTCTCTTAATGGAGGAGCTGCAAAGTTATAATTTAAAGGATGTGGACATAAGGAAGAGCAAAGAATTATGTTCAAACGCAACACACAATTAGTTTTATGCTTTAGGATGATTCCTTTGTTACAAACCATTAAATGCTGAACAGACTATAGAATTAATTGAGATCAAATGAGAGTAAAGACTATAAGATTAATTGGAATCAAGTCACAGTTGAGACAGGATGACCATTGAAAAGGCTGATATAATAGGCCAGAGAAAAATAATGTGAGAGTGAAGCACAGCAGTTGGGGTATAAAGGATGCTTGAGGTATTTTAAAAGGAGAACCCCAGGAGTTGGCTCTGGTGGCATTTTTAAAGGGTCTATGGTGTGGTGAAGGGTGAAGATAGAAGTCGTACTCCTGGGAAACCAGTGGGATGGTGGTGCCATTAGTCAGGATGACAGACATAAAGAAAGCAGGCTTGGTGGGGATTGGTGGTCCGTGGAAGAGTTGCGATGCTAACTGGTCTTCTATGTGGCTGTGTCTAGAAAGAAATTTGAAATTTAGGTGTGGAGCTCAGTCGTGAAATAGAGAATAGAGCTGTAAATTTTGAAGTCATTCACATATTGGTAAGAACTTGCAGGCAGGAGAGTGCATATGGTGACATCCCCTGTACCCTTAGCCAAGCTGTGCTTTGTATGCAGTAGATGCAAAACCGATCATTTTCTAGCCAGTAGCAAAAACTGTGCAGTCTATTTACCATCTTCAACACCCAGGGTGAGGCTGTTTTATTTCTTGATGAGCTGATTGTAATATAAGAAATTATGGTAAAAGTCAACCAGGAGCAGAGGTTAATATTGGAAAAAAGATTTTTTTTTGAGCATCAACTATGCATAGGCTTCTGAGCTAGGCAGTTTTCCTGTGATACCTCATGAATCCTAACAGTAGTCCTCTGAGTTGGGTGCCTTTATCCCACCTCACAGACTCACAGAGAGAGGGCGCTAGGTTTTGAGGTTATCAGTACTTCTGAGGGTTTTCCAGGTCGACATACACATGGAACATGATCCTAGTTCTCCTGAAGGAGGCTACCACTGGCCTGAGGGTGTGGGTCCCAAGACACACCAATTTGTTCTTATGGCTGGGGGCATCAGTGTATTGGCACACCTGGAACTGATATGTGGCACAGCGGGCCTCAGCTCACCAGCTGGGAAACTGGGTTAAATAAACTGCCCAGAATAATAGATCTAATAAGCAGTAAAACTTTGACAAGAATTCAATTCTGCTTGATTCCAAAGTTTAGATTATTTCCACTACGTCATGTGGTGACTCTGACTGGGTGTTCGAGTATAGATTATGGGAATGGTTTATCATTGGCAAGATATACTGTCACCATAGCTAAGATACATGATACCTTTTGTTTTGTAATTCCTAAAATTGGTTCAATAATATGGGATAAGCAAACACTGGTGATGCTTCCCTTTCTTGTAATTTAAAAAGATATTCTAAAGTGATATTAACTAAGACCACAACATAGTGAGGAAATGAGCTATGAATTTTCAAAATCCAGTATATGGATTACAGATACATTTCAACACTCAACATATGTATTTTGATGTTTTGTTTCGTTTGATTTCTGAAATATGCTTTCCATTTCAAAGTGTCTATTAGTTTAACTGTAATAACCAAGCTTTGGCTTAAATAAATGAAGAGACTTATATTAACTATTACACAACTAGAGATTTTTGATAGCTCCAAACCCCTGGGTGACAGATTTTTCTGATCTCCAAGGCCAGCTTGTATTGATAAGGCTACCTGACACACAGTCTGAGTCTGTACTGGCACAGGAGGTGAATGGTCACTCAGGAGCCACATACTTCTATCTCTGCTCTTAACACTGGTTACATTCCATTGTACCCTTGCAGACTTGAGGAGAAGTCATACTCCCTCGTTTGTAAGTACTTTACTCTTCAGTAGAACATAGGAGAATGAAATTGGAAACCTCTGGCATAGAGATATTGCTTTACTTTTTCCTATCTTTGTGATTTGGAGCAAGTGGTATGACTTCTCTGACTTTCATGTAAAATGGGAGTAAAAATATCCACCTCATAGAGTTTCTGTGAGAATTAAATAAAGGTAATGATTATATAGCATTTAACTTAGCTCTTGGCTTATAGATACAATCATGTGGTAGCAGAAGTGATGTAGTGATGGAGGTGATAATGCGAGAGCTGGCGACAATAGTGGAGGAGGTGGTAAGAGGCATGAATGTGGTTCTGATGCTGGTGAATGGTTGGGTTAGTAGTAGGACTGATGATGAGGAGTTGGTACAGGACATAGTGGTGGAGGTAGTGGTATTGGTAGCAGAAGTGAAAGTGTTGCTAGAATTGGTGGAGGTGATGATAGAGATAATAGCGAGGTGGTGATGATGATGGTAGAGGTGGTGGTGGTGGAGATAGTGAAATTGGTTTTGGAGAAAATGATGGAAGTGAAAGAGGTGACAATAATGGTGGACCTTGTGGAAGTGGAGATGGTAGTGAGTGGTACTGGTTGACATAAAGGGGAGATGGAGGTGGTGATGATAGTGGTAGAGATGATGGTGGAAGTACAATGGAGGTAGAGATTATGGTGGAAATAGTGGTGGAGGAGGTGCTAGAGTGACTGCTGATAATAGTAGAGGTGGAAGTAAAGGTGGTGGAGGTGATGGCAGTGGTGGTGGGGGTGAAGGCAGTGGTTGGTGGTGGTTGTGGTGGTGAAGACAGAGGTGGTAGAGATAGTGGAGGTGGTGGTGATGGAAGTGGTGACAGTGAAGATGGAGGTAGTGGTGGTCAAGGAGGTGAGGGAGGGGGTAGAGAAAGTGGACTTGGCAAATCAATGTGACAATGTCCATAGGGAGCAGAGAAACTGGAACCCATGGTAAATGTTCTACCCTAAGAATCTGAAAATGAAAGGTGAAGAATGTCTGTTCTCAGGACAGCTTTGGTATAATCAAAGGGGCTTCAGTTGACACTGGGTTAACAAATAATATCCTTTCCCTGTGTAGTATTAAAAATCGATATCATCTGAGATTCAAATCTAAATTCCTATATGGTCCTTTTTCTTCTGTGGCCTGTTGCCACACTCTCCATTCAAGTTTCCTTCCTTCAAAGACACTGTTGGTTGAATAATTTTTTGCATGTTCATGAACTCACACTCGTAGGTCGTGATGGACTGAAATCCCACTACAGACATGTGTCTGCTTCTCTGTCTCTTTGATGCATGGATTCCTGTGCTGACATGATTGATTAACTGTGCAAATACAATCCTTTTCTGGACCTTCCATCGTCTCTTTGATGTGCCAGTTTGAGGCAGTGAAGCTGTGGAGAGTCCAGCGTGTCTGTCATGAGCCTTCCCTATATATTAGCACACGGGAAACCTTGCCTTATGACTCGAGGTCTTTGCCTCTCAGTCCTCATATTTAGTTGCTCTATTTTGTTCTTGAAACTGTTGCCTCCTTGGCCGCCTGAGGCACTGATCTCTAGGTCAGTGATAAATTCCACCCAGTTAAGCCACATGACTAATTTCCTCCACCACTTTCAAAACAGAGTTTCTGGGGCTGTGCCTCCCCACCATGGGCTATGTTGCTGGCATGAGAAGAGCCCACTTCTTGCTGGCATCCTACTTTCTTTACCAGTTCAGAAGGCCATGGCCCCACAGCTTGGCACCACAGCTAGCATGAATTCCAGGGACTTGTCAGGCTTGCCATCGTTTCATACAAGCCTGGTGTTTGTGCTTGCCTTCCCCCTTGGCAGGTCTGAGAATTTCCACCCTTGTCAATCCATCTTGTATAGCCACAGAACAGACGGAGACCTGTGGTGTCTCTTTAGTGTGTGGGTGACGCTGGAAAACATTCCTGGTACCAAACTGTGGTAAGTGTGCCCTGCCAGGACTTAGGACTTTTGGGAAGTGACTGTTTGTCCCAATTAAAAGTGTTTTATTGTTAAGAAATGAGCTTCTTGCTGAAGGTCTTCTTTCAACAACCCAACTTTGTTAAGTGAATGCTCATGGCACTCACTAATCTTCCGTCTCTGACAGCCTCCTGGCCAATGAGATTATCAGTTCAAACTATGGAAGCAAAATGCATTTTATTTATTATAATTCTGAGATGTTTTCAATAATGCAAATAGCAGCGACTTTGCAAAGTGGGTCTCATGACCTTCCAGAGGCCTGGGCTAGTCAGCAGCCTGCCAATGCAAACACATGCTGTTCTGAAGCCTTCTTGAGGGCATCCTCTGCCACGGATGGAGCCTCCTCCACTGTCATGTTTGGCCTTCTGAGGAGACAGACCAAAGCACTCTAGACCAAGGCAAGCACCTGTTTGTATTAATAGTGCCTAAGATGATTTGCTTCTTTCATGCTTTGACTATTTCTGTCCTCCCCTTGGGAATAATTGTAACAACTAAAATGTATTCAGCATTTATCATTTGCCAGGCACTCTGCAAAATGCTTTTCCCAGATGATCACATTTAGCACTCAAGCCATGGCATGAGGTAAGTACTCTTCTTATTATTCCTGTTTTATAGATGAGAAACTGAGGCACAGAGAAGTTAAGTGACTTTCCCGAGGTCACACAGCTGGCAAGAGATGAATTTGGAATTTGAATTGACTTAGCCTCTACACCAGACCATTGTCTGGGGTTGGTAATAAAACATGATAAAATGAGCAAACAATGCTAACTGCAAGTGAAGCTTTGATCATATAAATGGAAGGAGGTCTCTTGGCCTTTCAGCTAAAAACACTTTTGAGAGATGAAAAGGAGATGCCCTCTGTCTTAACTTTAAGAGAGTTTGTGAAGATCGTTTTTGTCTGACATTATCACAACTCTAGGCCTGAAGGCAGCCCCCATGACTCTCCTTTCTGCTCCAAGGCAGTGCCTTTTTGGTTGCCTGATTCTGCTGTGCTCATCCTTCTCTTAAAGATGTACAGCTTGTTTCTATGACCCTTTTCTTTCTTTTTTCCTTCATGACTTGTACAGATAGACTTGCCCGGTTTGGAAGAGTATCGGAGAAGTCAGTTTCTTGAATCACTTTAGAGATACCTGTTGGCTAAATCCAAGAGAAAGGAGTTATTGCTGAAATGCTGAGTTCAAGATGGCTGTATGCAAGCTGATTTGTGTGTACACACAAATAGGTGTGAGTACATTAAGGAGGCAATGTCAGGAAGTTACATATTGTGTTCTCACCAAGCAAAGGGAAGAGAAGGGAAAGTTGGTGCAAAACAGACAGGAATTTCTGCATCTAACTTTTGGCCGAATACATTTGAAACAGAATCTTTCCATTGCTATCCAGGGAATGTATCTGAAATCGATTAGCATTTCTGGCACAACCTATGTCAAACTGAGCAACTGCATTCAGTTTGGAGATCTTTTAGATCTTGCAACAGGATACCTGGGAAACAACTGAGAGAACACTGATGCTTTTTAGAGACATTATCGGGCTCTCTCTGATGTCGAAATCACCTCTAGTATTCATGAGAAAAAGAGCGCAGCATTGTCGTTGGTCCAGATTGCCTTACAGAAGAGTATTATTCCTCCTTCCATAGGTGTCCCCAAGACACTCACACACAGAACTTCACCATTTGAGCCACAGAGAAGAACTTTGAAGTTGGGTGACCTCAATAGGCTTGTGTGAACCAGAAAAAGATGGAGCTATTCTTAAGAAAGAACATCAAAAGTTTGTGAAAATCAAGATACAAAGGAGTCAACTGAGAACTAGGTTTTACAATGATTGAAAACTATAGTGTGTCTCTGTAGATGGTGGCTAGAGAGAGTGTGCTGTTTGAAACAGCTGTTATCTTGTTTGTTTTCAAAATAGGTTAAGAGAAGGAGGGAGGGAGGAAGAGAGAGAGAGAAAGAGAAAGAAAAAAGAAGAAAGAGAGAGAAAGGAAGGAAAGAAGCAAGGAAGGAAGAAAGGAAGGAAGGAAGGGAGGGAGGGAGGGACAGAGGAAGGGAGGGAGGGAGGGAGGGAGGAAGGGGAGAAAACTCTCTTGAGTTCAGCCTGGACTGGATGTTTGTAACACGTGGCTCTGGGAGGAAGCTATAGTGTGGAGGTATCAATTTGATATAAATGAGGCTGCATTTGGATAGCTTCAGTTCTCATGATAGTGGCTATCTTTACTTTCTTACCCTTGAAAGGCGAGGAAAGGAAGGGATTGGCTCCCATGCTGTTTCCAAAGTCTCAGGACTTTCAAGGCCATCTCTCTCATTAGGGAAATGTAAGTCTGTGATTGACAAGGACCTTAGAGTCATTTAGCTCCATCTGTTCCTCCACACAGGGACACTGGTGTTTTAAGTGAGATCTATAGAAGATCCAAGTGGAAGCTTTAGCTAATTACCTGGCATTTCTGAACCTCTGCCACATGGATATGGAAGGCAGTTTTGCATAGTGTTTTTTCCCCAATGCTCATATCACACCTTCTAAATGACAGCTTTGCTTATTGCCAGTCTGAGGTTGTGGCTATAATGAAATAAGAAACACTAGCTTTCTGTTTTACAATTCTCCACAGTGTCTAACATCCACAATTGCTTTTACCAGAACCTTGCACATAGTAGGTGCTCAATAAATATTGCTTGGTTGGCCATTAATTGGAGGACACAGATAATTGATCTCCTAGATTTCTGGTCATACTTTTGGGACTTTTGTGATGTTCATAGAGTCTATAAATTCAAAGCCTCCAGTAGATTGTGACATAATGTGCTGGAAAAGTAGCTATTATTTTGGTGGAAAAAAAAAAAATCCCCGAGAAAGGTTTTAGGTTTTGGAGTTGGAAGCAAAGAATGACATAGAAAAGACTTCGTGAAACTTCCATGTAGAAATCAGGTAAAGTTTGAGTTTTTCCTGTCTGTGACCTGCTAAAAACAATTCAGGTGAGAAAACAGGTGTCTTTATATCAGGGAAAAGGCAGTAAAGCATGTATGTCTTCAGTTCTTACTGGAGATGAGCCTTCATGCTTTGATGGAAGTGTTAGTAGATAAAACTGGCCTTTGCCCAGACCCTTGCTACTAAAATGTCAGAGAGTGAAATTTAAATGTATTTGGTGAAAATCAAACTTGTTATCACTTACTGTTCCGACAGGCAGTAATGAAGGGGAGAGGTGATTAGATTTGACAGTCTAAAGGAAAGGGGGCCCTAATGAAGGCCTATAGGATTATTTTTTCTTTCTTAGAGATTAGTGTCATTGGTACTCATTCTTTATGCATGGGAGACTGAGCAAATGACAGAAGTGCATGAAGGGTACAGTCTTAAAAGTGAGGCTGGAGTCACCTCAGGGAGGGTGACAAGATAAGCACTGAGAGGGTATGGCAAAAAGAAAGTGCTTTTGAATTTACTATTTTTGTTTATTCCTGGGGAGGTTCATTCCCATGGGCAGCCTATAAACCTATTTCCAGTGGCTTGCAAATACTTTTCTCATTTAAGTAGAAACTTGAATTGTCAAATTAGAGTTGAAAACGTTGTAGATCCCCTGAAATTCTGAAGAAGCTTGATTAGATCAGTCAACTTTTCCAATGGGAAGCTAAAATAGGCCCTAAATAAGCAGCCACATGGACCAAAATTGTATATCCTTCAGTCAACTACTGTTAGAAATTTTTCTTTAAATCCATGATTTCTCAAGTTTATTAGCTGTCTTTAGCAGTGTTGTTTTAAAATAGTTTATTCAATTTTCTTTCAGTAGAAATAAACATTTATTCCTTAGAGTCATAATGATTATTCAACCTGTATTCCCTTGGCAGTTCCAATTTTAACTATAGTGTTATGGTTTTCCCACTGACCATAAAAATGTCCCAGATAACCTAATATTTTCTCATTCATGCTGTCTCCCATGTGTGGAAGAGTCTGAACCTCACATCTGGAAGTAGCAGGGCAGTAATTTCCCAGACCACATGTCTCATTAGGGGGCAGGAGACTGAAAGACATGGGTACCATTCTTAGACTGGGGAGACAGAAAAAAGGTGAGTGTGTAGTGAAAAACTGAGCAAATGATAATGATAGGCTGAGCTGAAAATTTGTAAAAGCCCTAGGGCTGAAGGGCTCTTCAATCGTTATGTGTTCCCTGCTGTGTGAAGCTGGAGGGTGTGTGCACACAGGAAACCTGCTTCCATTCAAGACTCATTCTCAGATGCCACAGATGCAATTTTCAAAGTAATGGGTACACCAATCACCAAATTACTTAACAAGTATTTACTGAATATCTGCTAAATATTAGCCACTCTTCAAGGCACTTGGGGATACAAGAACAAAGCAGAAAAGCCCCCTTGTCATGGAGTTTATCTTCTGGTTGAGTGAAACACTCTGTAAGTCAATTTTAAAAGTACATGTAATGTGTCATATGCTGATGAGTATAATGAAGAAACTAAATCAGGATGAGGGGCTGAAGACTGAGGAAAGAGATATTTTAGATAGGATGTTCAGGAAAGGCTTTTTCTAATGAGGTGACATTTGAGCTGAGACTTAATGTAGTGAAGGAGGAAATGATGTGCATCTGTGGGAGAAGAGGAAAAGGAAGAACCAAAGATCTAAGGTGGGTATGTTGACATGTTCCAGAAACAGGAAAGACTTTACTGTGGCTGGACGGGATTAAGAAAGGAGAAGACCATTAGAGGTTAAGATCCACAAGGTCATGGGATTCACTCATGTGGAACCTCCTAGGATTCTTTGGTAAATGTCATGGGAAGTCACTAGGCCAACAGGATGATCAGAACTGGTATTTATCAAGGAGAAGGCTCCAGGGGAAGGAATCCCAAGCTCACAACTAGACTGCATAGGCTTACGGTGCCTATTACACATTCAACTGAAGCATTGGAGAGGCAATTTGTCATGGAAGGTTGTTGTTTAGGATAGAGATATGGGCTGGAAACAAACATTTGTGAGTCAGCAGTGTGAAAATAGTGACTAAAACAAAGAGATTGGATACAATTAATTAAACAATGAGGTAATTAAATAGAGATGTTTACCAGTTCTTGATAAGAGCTCTGGGCTAATAATCTATGTATGGATTGATACAGCTTTATATCATTGGGCTCAGTTGTTTAAAATGAGGAAGGTCACCACCCTCATACCTTGAGTAAGATCCAGCTCCCTTTTTACTCTTACTACCTCCTTTCTAAGGAGGAGGAGGAGTAAAGTTAATTTTTCATATCCCCAGATACTGATTGGAACACTTGTCACTACAGGGCAGAGTCATTGTGCTTTAAAAGGCATGCACTCATAGTTCAATCCTATGAATGGATTTAGAAAGATGGTTTTACTCCTTGGACTTGACAGGCCATTTTTCTACTTCCTCTATGCTCTTTTCCCATGTGGCAGCCTGGCCTACAGAGAGTGACTTAAACTTCGGAAGGGTGGTCTAGACCAGTCTGGTGATGTTTTATTTTCCAGCATTCCACCCTGGGTGGTGCGAGCGTTCAGCTCCTTTTGTCCCACAGCTGGTTGGCTAACTGTCTTGGTGCTTCTTTTGAAAAAATAATCATTTCTGGATTTAAGGAAATAGAATGGGAACACTCATATTGGCCAAGAATCCAGATCCTTCAATTCATTTTCCCAGCAGAGAACTGTGCATTGGGCAGCACTGGCAACATGCTCATAGCACTTTTACCCATTTTAGTAATTGTCCATGTGTGTTGCTCCCTGGGTGAACCTCAGAGAGGAGGAGAGATGAGGAATAGGCTTTAGGTACCAAAACCTGAACAGAATCCTTCTTTTAAAGACAATGCTAGTAAACATGTGGTTTCCTGAATATGATGAAACACCTTAAAGTAATGCAGGCTTTGTAGATGGTTTTGACTCTTCCTCCCTGACTAGACTAGTTCCTTCGGGGCAGGGATTATGTTTTTTTCACAGATGTATTCCCAATGACTAACATGATTCTTAGTCCATGGGAAGCACTCAATAAGGCTTGTTGGATGAGGAAAGGAGATAGTGACCCTGGCATTATCTATTTTCTTGGAAAGGGGAAAATATCATATTCTTACGAGGAGCCATTTCTTTCTCCTTTTTATTATGGCAGGAGAATTCACCTCTCCACCAATGATCCTTTTATTTCCAACTCTCTGGAGTTAACACCTGGGGGTCTGAAGGTCATTTGCTGCCTCACCTGAATTTGGAAATGTCTCATCATGCATCCTTCCAGCTCTTCTTGAAATTCTTAGATTATAGAACAGACTGTGATCTGATATTGAAAGATGATGACCCTCTACTTCACTACACAAACCACCTGTAGCCTTCAGTTTGGTCAACTCACTGCCCCAGGGACACTGGTGGATTCTGACCGCATGTGTACTTGATTGCATGCTTCTTTGGGCTAGGTGAATTGGAGGTTCTTCTTCTCTTAGATTTTACCCCTTCTCTGTGGTCTGAAATCTCTAGCTCACAACTTTCTTAGAACACTTGCGGAGGTTGGAATCTGTCTCACTTTCTTGGCAGAAACTAATTGCCTCCTTGTAATGTTAGTATACTTTAGTGCAGAGCTTCTCAAGCTCAGTGTTGACCAGAATCACCTGGAAAGCTTGTTAAATATTTTTGGGCCCCACTCCCGTAATTTTTGATATAGTAGATATCGAGTGGAGTCTAAACATTTGCATTTTTAACATGTTCTTAGGTGATGCTGATGCTGCTGATCTTGGGACCATGCTTTGAAAACCACTGGGTGGCTCTCAATCCTGGCAGCTCACTGGACTCACTGGAGGAATCTTTTAAGGGCTGTAATGCCTGCACCTCAATCCAGACCAATTTAATTAGAAACTCTGGGTGTGGGACGCAAACATTGGGAGGTGTAAAATAAACCATCATTTTCTTCTCCTGGAATTACCACAGGTCTATAATAAAGAGACTTCTGCCTTATTGGCAGTATTAGGGACAAATACGTCTCTGAGATGGTGCCTTTTTAAAAATGCCAATGGACCTTATTTCTTTAGGACAGTGGTTCTCCAAGCATGATACCTGAACTAGCATCTTCATCACACATGGGCCTCATGCCAGACAGATCTACTGAATCAGTGACTTGCGTTTGGAACCCAGAAATCTATTTAACAAGCTTTTCAAGTGATTCTGATGCCCACTCGATCCTGAGAACCACTATTCAATATAAAGTGGATAGATGGCTTGATAGTTAAATCAGTCATTCTCAAATATAGCTGTGCAGTAGAATTGCCTGGGGAACTGTTAAATATATACAGGCTCCCCAACCTCAGATATTCTGATTTGATTGTCCTGGGTGGGCATTTGTACTTTTCAAAGCACTGCAATTGATTTGATGGTACAGCCAGGGTTGTGCGATGACTGAGATAAATACTGTTTTGTAACCAATTAACCTAACCACTTACAATGGCTGCGGCTCTATTTCTACATGAATGAATAGATCTTCTGGCTGACCAGATTTGTTATAAAGGAACATGTCAGTTAAAGTTAACATCACCAAGTCCTGTAGGGGACTTGGAGTAAAGTATGTATGAAGAATACTGCTTGGAAAGTATAGTGGTAAACACTACCTGTTGACTATGGCTACAAGTAACATGATAGAGTACTTGAGGATTTGAAGTGTAGAAGAAAAGGAGGGTGTGGTAGATTAATTGAAAAAATGGCCACAGTTATTCACCTCCTTGTATCCATACTTCTTTGCAAGGTGATTCTGATACTTTTTCCATGAAAAGGTCAAAATTATTTTCCAATCCTTAAATCTGGGTTGGCTATACCAATAGCACGTGGCAGAAGTAACATTGTGCCATTTCTTGGGCCAGGCTTCCAGAAACTTCATCCACATCCATGTTCTCTCTTGGAAACCCATTGCTGTTTTGAGAACTAGCTCAAGCTAGACTCCTGGAATATGAGAGACCAACATGGAGGAGAGCTAAGTCCCAGCTGAGGGGACTTAGTCAGTCAGTTTTGGGTACTTTGATCACAAGCAACAGAAAGAGAAACTCCAACTGTCTTAAATCCCAGCTGAAGGACTTAGCTCTAGATTTGCATTACTTGGCATTCTAGATTTGCAACCCAAATCAATCCAACAGCTAACATGGGCACATGAGGGAGCCTACCTGAAATCCTAAGAACCAACCAGTTGGGTGTAGCCCAAATTGCTGACCAACAGAACCATGAGCTAAATAGATATTGTTTTAAGTCACTAAATTCTGCATAGCTCATAAGGTAGAAAGCCTAACTGACACAGATGACATAAAATTAATCTACGTGTTCTTAACCTGAACTGGTGAGAGTTAACATAAGACTTAGTGGTTTACTAAAAACTGGATGTAGGAAGAAGAGAGTGTAAGTGTACAGTGCCTGAAATCAGACAGCATTAACTCCTTTGACAACTTAACACATCAAAATCAAAGGCTTTTTAAAAATACATGTAATCAACTAAAATTTTTCATGAAAATTATTTTTGTCAGCAAATGAGGGAAAGTTTTGTGATTCACAAGGATGGGGACCTGGGTCACATTGGTAACAGAAAACTTGTAGCACTGAACAGGAGAGCAGAGACCATAGCATTAATTTAGTAAATTTCAGTGCTATGTAAAAGGAGATGATAACCTGCTTAAAGGGGCTATAATATTTGTTTGGAATGAATATCAAATGGAAGAGTTGCATCAATCTGTCTGGTCTTTTAAGCTTCTCTCTGACTATAGGAAATGCCTTCCTGTGTATGATGTCAGCTGTTTTCTTCATTAATAGATGTGTGGCATATTTGTATTTTTGTTTTCCTGCTGGAGAGAGCTTGTAGCTCTCTCTTGGTTCTCAAAGGGATTACGATTACCAAAAGCCATCTCTTATCTCAGGTCAAGAATCCCTAAAAGAGTAACAGAAAAATTCCAAGTATGAATGCAGGATGATAGATATGTAGAGTGTGGACAAATGCTAATGCTTTAAGGATTTAGACGTTACCTCTCTTGGGCCACCGGTAGAAAAAGACGTGTAATTTATGAGGACCTTGTGCCAGATATTTCATGTGTGCCGTTTGATTTAATCCTCAAAAATGCTTTACAAGGTGGTTGCTGTTATCTTCATTTATAGATAAGCACACTAAGGCTAAAGATTACGAACTAGTCAGTCAGTTTGGGTACTTTGATCACAAGCAACAGAAAGAGCAACTCCAACTGTCTTAATACAAGAGATCAGCTCATGCAATTGCAAAAAGGTGAGTTAGGCAGAGCTTCAGTTATGGTTTGATCAGGGCTTCCAATCATTTGATCTGAGATTGTTTTAGCTTAGTCTTTCTCCTTGTTTTGGTTTTGTATTCTAGCCGCTTAGTTTGTGGTAGCTGCAGCAGGTCCAAGCCTCTGAACTGTACATATCATTTAGAATAAAAAAAAATGTATAAAAGGCTTCAGCTTCACTAAGACTGAACAAACTTAGGTCACATGTCCACTTCCGAATCAATTGCTGTGGCTGTAGAAAACCACACTCTAATTGGCTTAGGCCTTGGTTGTGTCCACATTTAAAAGATAGGATGGCAATGACTTTATACTGATTAGTTTTTGTTTTTGTTTTAAAGATGAGGTCGTCCTATGTTGCACAGGCTGGTCTTGAGCTTCTGGACTCAAAGTATCCTCCCACCTAAGCCTCTCAACTAGCCAAAAGGGACACACCACCACACTAGGCTATACTGGCTATATGGACTATTTTAAATGATCAAGTATATTACCTAGGTCATTCCCATCTAGAGCCCTTAGCTCCTACTCAGTAGCAGACAAAAGGAACAAAGGCCGTTAATAACCACCTTGTCTAGTAGGTGGTGAAAATAGCCTTTGAACCATTTTATCTCCAACTCCACCCACATTCTTTCCCTTATGCCTACACGGTCTTCATCCAGGAAGTGAGACTTGTGCCGGACCATCAGGGTTGGGCAAAGGGAGGTAATCTTAAAATGTTCACTAACTTGTAAGAGCTTTTGAGGTCTACAAATGAAAAGCATGATTTTACGTGAACTCTGAGAATTAACCGTAAGGGTTGTCCCTTTCTCCGTTGGTAGAGTTATTAGAAGACTAGCAGTCATTTGTTCTACTATCCTGACAATTCAGGGAATTTTTATAAGCAGTGATTTTTGTAAAGGAGGGGTTAAAATGACTGCTTAGACGTTGACAGTCTATCTCTAATAATGCATGTTAGAAGAGAGAAGACAAAGCTACAATTCAGCTGCTAGGTCTTGGTGATGTCATAAACACTTATGACAGCAGTAGAACTTTAAGATTGAATTACCTTCTTTGTACCCACTGAAGGAGCAGGCCTTGCTGTGTATAACACATTGTGTAAGCTAAACAGTGTTTGGCGGTTTTCACATGGCACATGGGAAGAAGGGAACTTGATCTGTGAACCCAGAAGATCATGAATCTGATAAGAAGAGAGATAATTTAACCCCGAAAATTGCTTTGGTCTCTGATATGTTATTTTCAAATTAAATAAATTAATATGTGCTGACATTTTCCTACCCTAATCTTAAGGCATCACAGTTTGATTAGTCTAATGATGAGTTTCAAGTTGAGCATTTCATTATGTAACTAAAAACACCATAGTCCAGTATCATAAAGTTAGTTAATAATTTTAAGTGCATTAAAATTTATAAGTCGAAATTCATATAGTAGGCAAGGGGGAGAGAATCAAGCCTGTTTCTTTTTCCTTAGCAATGGAACATTTGGTAGGAATATTACCAATTGAATATTCTAGGAGTAGAAAACACGGACAGTTTATTCAAGATTTGAATTAACAAGGCAAAAATACCAGCTTTGAAAATCAAGTGAGCTGTGGATGGTATATAATTGATGTCTTCAAAGCCAAGGAGAAAATGAAGTTAGCAGAACAGACGGTTGAAAATATTATTAAAATGAGTTTTTTAATAAAATTCTTTTTATTTGTGGTCACTTTTTTGATGTTCTCATTTTTGCTTAATATGAGCTCACTTAAAGGCAAGATTTTTCTCTTATTACCTTTTTTCAGGAAAAATTCAGGGTGACTAAAAAAATGAGTCATGGATTGCCTTAACTCATGGACAGTTACTGAGAAGATACTTCAATCATCAAAACATAACAAAATCTGTTTTAATTACAGTTTTGTATGTTTTTTGGTGACAGTTTTTAAAAAAGAGACTCATAAAAGCCGTTTGGCTATCTGTAGTTGTTTATAGCAGAGCTGAACGTGAAATTAAATCCAAGTTGAGGACAGACCAAAGATTCACCAAGGAAACACCCAAATCATGCTTATGTATTGACTACTGTCAGTGTTCAAAATGCAAAAAGAAAACTCATTAACTTAAATCATATAAATATATAAACATACTTAATACTAAACAAGATTTTGTCCTTCAAGATTGATTTGTTGCATTTCAGAACACTGGTAATTACTGAAGGACTTGATAGTTTCAAAAATAATAACGACTTCTGCTTTTGTCAATAGTAGCAGATCTTTGATTTTGCTGTTTTAATTCATATATACTATCAATAAAATTCATTTAACCTTCTCAGATGTGTACAGTGATCTTATTCCTCTAAAATCATCCATACATTAAAAGAAGAAAAATGATCTGATCAATTGTTGTATTGCTTTTGAATAAAGAAGTAACATTCTAATAAATTCATTATGGAGATGGTAGACCCAATGGGCCCCAACCATTAAAACAATGAAAGTTTCTTCTAGAAGTTCTTGCTGTATTCACTTTTGTCTTTTCCAGGATACTTGTGGCTTTCTTATATGTAAAACTTCCCCTTCCAAAAATTTTTCCCAAAGATAAACTTGTGGCTTGGGGTGAATTGAACTGGCTAGCCTAAGCTTGGCTGAATGATGGTGCCAACCCAGGTAGCTAGAACCTGTGAAATTTTCCCTAGCCCACGAGGCCTTATCTAGTGTAAATGGAATGCAGAAGTTATTAATGATGTACTTTGAAGCCTATTGCCCTGAGGGCACCGATTCAATTCCTGCCTATACCTAAGAGTTAAGTCCTGGAAAAATGGTGTTGCAGACAGAGGGCTGTGCAGTGATTTATGTGAAATGAGTTGGTGGTTTAAATCAAGAGCTTAGTTGACCAGAGTCCAATTCACAAAAACCACTAGTACAATTTATACCCTTGTTGGCAGTATCTTCAGAGAGCAACTTAATGTTGAATGACTGAATGATCATCTTCTACTCTGATATTTCCTGTGAAGCTTAGAGAAGAAAACACGCTTTTTGGATGACTAAGGTTTCTGCTCAGAAGAAATGAAAATGCTCACTTCCACAGTATCATTTGTTAGAAGGGCTCCATTAAACCAAAGATGCTTTATAAAGCAACTCCTCTGCGTATTTCTACCAGTAGACTTTACACAGAACTGAGTTTTACACAACCATATAATGCTTTGGTTTTTATAGATTATCATTTATTGGAGGTGAAGTGGAGCAAATAAAACTGCAGGTTTCTGTATAAGCAGACATCTAGTACTGAAGAAACAATGAGAAATAATCTTTCTTAAAAAGGGCACTTTGAATTTTAGAGTTAGAAGAATGCTTAAAATAGGAAGGAAGATATCAACATTTAATAAAACAACTCCCATAAGGAGTTATTATTTTATTTTACAAAAGAAGAGTTTAAGTACATTTGACTAATATCTCATAAGAAACAGAATTATGTCTAGAATTCAGTTTTTAAAATGCTCCTATTAAGCATGCTTTCTTCCCTCCCACAACCACTCTCTTTCCCTTCTTTCCTTTCTTCCCCAGTTAAAAATAAGGACAATTTTCTTAGACAAAAAGCAAAATTTAAAACAATTAAACCACTTAGATCATAATTCATTTGGCCAAATCTTCTTGAGGATCAGCCTGAAGGTGTTTTGTTGGAAACATAATGCTATACACAGCCTGATTCTTGCCACAAGGAGCTTACAATCAAGTCTAGAGTGTGATCAGACCAGATTTTATTCCTGAAAGTAGGACAGAGGTAGCAGTTCACACTTCAACTGCTCTGTCAGTCCAAAGCAAACTGAAGTTTTTACCATCTAGAAAACTCTGTCTTTCACCCCAGGCCAGGGCCTGTCCCTTTGAGGGTAGATAAACCATCTGAGGTCTCAGGGAGACTCACTGAGTGTGCAGAATGCCAGGGACACAGAAATGGCTGCACCAGCTGCAGACTTGGGGTGGGGAAAACTTACATAGTGTGTACACAGTAGAGTCAACTCAGGCACAGATTGGTAACTGCTCAACACACACACACACACACACACACACACAAACTACTTTTGATTTGTCTGCCTCTCCTCTAACCCTCTTCCATCCTAAATTTCCAGTACCTCTCTGCAGCCACTCAATTCCCTAGTACCTTCTACCTAAGGCAGGAGCAATCTGTATGCTTCCTTCTTCATTGTAAGTAATCAGATTTTTCCCAGGAAATATAGCACATCTATTAATACAATCAATGGATCCTAGTGAGTTAATACACACCCCCGTCTCACATTTTGCCTTCTTCCCCTCAGCATTATTGCCTTAATCTAGAAGCATAATTCATATGATGTCATTAATAAAATAAATAATCATTTAAAGACTAAGAAGAAGAGTGGTCCGTCAGTCAGACTCCCAGTGGGAAACAGAAGTCTTAATCAAATGAACAAGAGTTTGAAGAAGTTGTATTTACAAAGGGACATATTTACAAAGGTAGGTGGAGGATAACCACCAGGTAAAGTGAAGTAACCTGGGGTTAGTGATCTGTTATTATATCATAGCTACCCTTACACTTGAAGGAATTGGGAAAAAGAGTCATTATCAGATGATCCCACAAGGAGTGGACCATATAGAAGAGGCCAACTTGATAGGGGCATAAACCTTCATCTTAAAAAAACATCCTACCTGAGGTGACTTCGCAGGGAGGCAGCCTGAAGACAAAATACCTTGTCTTGTGTTCCTTCTTCCCTTCCCTTTCTTCTTGGGGTTCCCACTGGGTGAACCCAGGTGGAAGCTGGTGGACAAAGGACTATACATATCACAGCATGGAGAAGGGTGGAATCTAAGACTCCAGGGGCAAACAGAAGATAATTAGCACTTGGACATTTGTCAACAGGTGGAAATTTTGACAGACTCCTTTAAATAATGTAGTAGAGGCTCCTGCCTATTTCTTCTATTGTGCAACTGATCCCAAAGTTTCAGATTTAGAAAGTGAAGTTGTGACTATAAAACTTTACACCATCTGATACAACTGGTAGCTGGTGGTGTCTTTTGCTGAGGAGTGGCAAATAGCAAGTGGGCAAGTTTGCTGAGGATGTGAGGGATCAGTTTCAGATGTTTGAGTTTGAAGTTCCATTGGGGCATCCAGTGGAGACATCCAGGTTGTTAAATAACTGGGTCTGGAGACGAGATTGGGGATATAGATTGCACAGTGGACTGCATTTTTCATTGCTGCCCTGGAATGGCTGAAATTAATGGTATCATAAGCTTGAAGTATATAATGAATCTCTTGGTAATGGCAGAATCCAGGCCAATTCCCTTTCACCACAAATAGAAAGCTCTCTAGTTGCTTTTGTCAGAAGTTGTGCATAGGGGAGCCAGGGGATGTGGTGGGCAAAAAAAGGCAAATTTCCTCTCTTGGCAAATGGGACCAGAAATGAAATGAAGATAAAAATCTAGAAAAACATTACCTTAAAGAATTTTAGAAATTAGGGAAACATTTTAATAAACAAATGGACAATATAACATGACGAATAATAGGTCTTCTTTTAAGTAAGAAAATAATATTAGCCACTATGCACCAAATATTGACTATGAGTCAGCACAAATGAGCGGTTATTACCAGAGAGAGCAAAAGCCAAAAAAGCAAATTTTGAAATTGTATTAAGGAATGTAAGTCATGGTTAAAAGCCACATTTAACTACTAGGTAAAGTTTAGAGAACTTGGTGAGCATCCAAATATTAAATGAACTGCTTTAGAAAATGCAAGATGCTGTATTATATCATAGGTAAAATTTGAGGTTGAGTTTTGGGTATCATGATATCAGCTAATATATGCTGCTGATTCTGGTTGCCTAGTCTGCCTGTGAAATAAAGTAGTTTTAGAAGTTTTGCCATTAAAGCTGCCCAAGTTTTACAGGCTAAAGCTGTGTTTCTTTCCATTTATTTTCACCACACATTTTAATTCTAGGTGCCTTGCATTTAGGATTTTACTTGACTTATTTTAATACTTATTTTGAATTAATGAGTGATCAACTTGGCATTGCAGGCTTTCATTAATAATTAAGGAAGTATTGGACATAAACCTGCTAATACAAATTTTTTTCTGAAGAAAATCCGTTGCTTTTGTTCTGCAAATATCCTTTATATTAATTCAATAGGTGCAGGCTTTTACAGCCCTCATTGTCTATTGCATAAAATGTCAATTATTATTTTGGAAGGCTTTAATGCATATTATTAACCTAAGAAGCTGTTATGGGCAACATTGAAATACTTCATACTGTCTCATCAAAATCTTTTTATATAGTAAAAGATGTGATTTGCTCTCAGCTAAATACCACAAGTTTGTAGACATGCCAACTGGAAAGCATTCTTGATCACCACCCCATGGGAGTGAGTGGGGGATGGGAGAAACCCTTCAAGGCTTTTGAAACTAACTGAACAAAGTGTGATGGGAATTTTCCGAATTCTATCATATCTTTTTATGGGTAACCCTATGACTAGGGCTGTCCGTATGTGCAAACTGGTTTTAAGAATTATTCGTTATAAAAGAGAAACAAAGGATTGATTTAATCCTTTAAGTGATGTTAAATAGCTGGTTTAATGAGGTTTTAAGCCAGCTATTTAAGCAGCATATGAACATCATACCTGAAAAAAATACATGTTGCACATCAATATCCACACCGACATGTTTCAAAGAAATATCCACATCTCTTCACTCTACTGAAGCTGTAATCTCTCAGATGTTGCCAGACTGAGATTTTAAAATCCATGTGTTATACAGAAATTTCCGTTATAGTGACATTCCCATAGTCCCCTTATTTTAATGATCATCCACTAAAAGTAATTTATGTGTTTAGCATTATTTACCCTAGCTCTAAGCCTGGCTAACATATACAACTGTGTGATAATAGTGAGTTTAGCCCCAAGAGAATAAACTATAAAAAATTTTAAAAACCTTAATATAAAATAAGAAAAATGATGTAAAAGATCATGTAACTTCATGATAAAGTAGAACATACACATTTTTTTCCTTTGGGGCCTTAACTAAATTTCTGATTGTTAAAAACTTTTTTAGTGTTTTTTAGTAGATACTGATGTGCAACATGCATTTTTTCCTTTAGAGCCTCCATTCAAAAGATCTTTAAAAAACTTATCTTTCTATAAAGAGTGCTGGTTACATCATAATGTTTCTCTATCCTAAAGCACTGTTAATAGACAATTAATGACAGTGATGACAGTCAGTGTCTTTGATTTCTGAAGATGATTAATATTGATTTACGTATTTCCATTTATGCTTCCAAATGTGCCCTTTGCGTACGTGTTCATGATTTTGCTGAGATGAGCTTTTCTCTTTCCCTACACTTTCTTCTTCCAAAAATTACCACACTCTCAACCTCTCACTGTCTCCTTCTCCCTTATTATTATCACCATTTTTTGGCGGGGAGGGGCACGGATTTGTTCCAAATCTTTAGCCATGCTTAAGAACAAAACAGATGATGCCCTACTGAAAAGGAGTGGGGGAAAAGTGGCACAACTTGCTTTTGCACATAGTAAATAATACCAATTACTTATTGCAGTGTTTCCTGAATGGAGGATGATTCCCACTTACGGAATTGATAATTACAGATTGAGGAGAGATGGGATATGGCTAACACATGCACAGGCTGCTGTGACTCTATGTGGTCCCTGTGGTCCCTCTGTTGGCTGTCCAAGACTGGAGCATCTTAGGAAATGGCTCACCTGGAGTAACTGATTGAGGTCCAGTCAGGTAAGTACTTGGTTGTCCATAGAAAGGGATGAAGGCTACCTGGATGGGTAACTCCCTAAGACACACTCATGAGGACAAACAACTGTCTCGAACAATAAGTTACATTCCTATAGCATCATGTAATTGACAAAACATCTTTATTTTGTTGATCATTATCATAGCCTTTCAAGATAGGTATTATTACTTTCTCTATTTTACAGGTGAGTGAGAGTGAGTTCCTGAGTCATTAGTTACATAGCTGTTACCAAGATCACTCAATTACATATACATCAGCCACCCATTCCCCATCTATACTGTCAATGAATCTTTAAGAAAATAAAAACTTTCGCTTAGGCAGAAAAATACTTTTATCAGAATTAAGGCCAAAAAATAGCTGGCAAAATTTAATTAAAAAACAAACAAAAAAACAACCATCATATCTGCCTGGAGCATCACTTCACTGAGCTAAAAAGAAAATCAGCCACACAAAAGCTGACTTATTCACAGGTATTGCACCACAAGAAGGCATCCATGCTTCCACCCAAGTCACTCAGAGGAAAGAAGCTGTTGTGTGTTACATTTTCGGGTAGAGAAGAGAGCACTTAATGAAGTTTTCATAAGTGAATTTTCATGCCACATGCATTCTCTGTGCATAATCCTTTGGAGTAATGTTAAGCATATACTGGCACCCACAGTAATATTTTAATGTCTTCAGCTTGCTTAATTAATTTTCTTTCAACATATGTTCATATAACATTAAAAATGTTCCACTAAGCCAGACACCAGGATATTGCTGAATATGCAGATACTTATTACACATAGATGGACTTAAACCTATTTTGAGCCCATCTACCTACCCATCAGTAGTGTTTGTGGTCTTGTGATACTATCTGTGACCCAATTTTAAGTGTGATCTCATTTATATGTGGAAACTAAATAAGTTCATCTCATAGAAGCAGAGAGTAGTAAAGGTAGTAGAGGCTGGGGAGGAGAGGAAGAGAAGGGGCAAGCGGAGATATTGATCAAAGGGTACAAAGTTTCTGTTAGACTGGAGGAATAAGTTGTAGTGATGGATAGCACTGCATGGAGACCACAGTTAATAACAATTGTATCGCATATTTCAAAACTGCTAAAAGAATAGATTTCCAATGTCCTCACCACAAAAAAGTATGTTGGTGAGGTGATGGATATGTTAATTAGCTTTAATGAATCTTTCTATAATGTATACATAGTTCAAAACATCACATTGTACCCAATAGATATAAAGAATTATTATTTGTAAATTAAAAATTAATTAATAAAAAATTAGAAAGTTGCTACTTCTCAAATATACTCACGGGTTAACTTTTTCATGTGGAAAAGCAATGTCGGTTTCATCACAAACATCCTTCTAGTTGGTCAAGTAGATTATTTAACTTGAATTAATATACTTTTTTTCCATGAGGCTAATAAAGACATTTTAATTAAAACTAAAAAAAAACTCCAGTTTTATTTTTCTTTTTTGTTTTCTGATTTAGTCTTTGTAGGTAAGAAGTTGTTCATTATTGACAGAGACAAAACATTCTAATGAGTGATGGAATTTTTACTCTCCATCTAAATATCACGTTAATATCTAACACAAAACATTATTGTCCTGTTTCATATAGAAACTGCAAGTTTATTTTGTTTGAAACATGGGGAAATAAACTCCCGTTTTGACCTTCTCTTTGTTGTTCTAGCTGTGTGTCATTGACACTGGCGTGACTTGCCATGGGAAGGTGTAATGAGGCAAGACTGGGATTGTAACAATTATTAACCTACAAATACGCTATGGCAAAGTCAAGGCAAGCCAGAGTGACACTTCTAAATATCTCAGGAAATAGTACTCATGTTTGAATTACTCATTTTATTAGTTCGTTTTGATGAATATGGGAGAAATTAATAACTTTTTAATATAAAGAGTAACCTAATGTCATTAATTGGGCATTTCACATGGGCTGATAGATTGCCCCTCCCCACCCCCGCCCCTTTGGTGGTAATTTATTGAGCTGGGAAAGCTTGAGTTCGGTGTAGCATCTGGTTTTCAGTGATATCCTGCTGGTCTTATCCAATTTTCCAGCTGGGAGCATGAGGCACAGGGAGGTCGAATGACTTGCCTAAAGGTCACCTGGTAGCTCAACTGGGATTATAACTCAAAATCTTTCTGATTTTCCCATCCTTTGCTCACTGGACCACAAAACTCCCTTGATCCTGTCTTCTCAAGCTTGCCTGAGCAGGAAGCAAATGTTTAGGCCTAGAAAAAAGAATCCCAAATTAAGTACTGGCCAAAATCATCTTTAAAAATGTGTGAAATTTCCATTGGTATAACTCTTAAGAAATACCTCATTTTCATTCTAACACCTGAGAATATGTGTGACCATGGGAGTGTTGTCCCTTTCCAAGGGGTCACCATGGGAAAGTCCATACCTATCACTGTTTGGATGCTGCTTTGGCCAAAACATTTTAGGAACTCCAAAATTTGATGCTTGTGGTAGAATACAACCACTTGAATATATAATGGACCTTGCTCATATTATACTCAGAAACAGGGCACTTGACTCCACCAAGTGCTATAAACCATCTGGCTCATCCTGTAGTAGAACTCTTAGGCTTGCTCCTCCCTCAGCCTGCAAATTTTCCCCGGGATTTCCTCATGGCTGGCAACTTTTCATCATTCAGGTCTTAGCAGAAATAATACCTTCTCAGAGTGAGACTTGCTCTAACCTCCTGATGTAATGGCTTTCTTTGTCTGATGGCCCCATTTTTTTCTTCATTACATTTATCAGCATTTACAATTATCATTGATTTCATCTTAAAAATTCGGTATGTCCTAACTCTGAGCGTAGGAGTCTGATCTGTCTTGTTTTCCAGCATATCCTAGACAATGTTTGATATATAAAAGAAGCTCAATAAACACTTTTTGAAAGAATGGATAGCCATTCCTGGTAAAAGAAGGTCTCTCTTCTCCTTATTTTTATTATCATTCAAAGAGTTTCAAAAGGGATGCCCATGGGGTAGTGAGGGCGGATGGAGATGACCCTCAGTCAGCCAGCCAGATCAGGTGAATTAACCTCGAAGGTCAACAGGATGACTGATGACAGCTGTCCCTGTCAGATCACCCTCTCATCCATAGCTTCGGCCTTGGAATTGCCCTCAGGCATGGCTTGTGACTGGTGGAGGAAAATCAGTCTTGTTATACTTATAGTCACACTTCATTTTTTATCTAAATTCACACCGCCCACTTTCATCACCCATCTCATTTATACAATTGATACTTAATGATGACTGGTCACTTCCAAAAGCCAAATCCATACTCACAGACTGACGAATATGCAGAATATAGAAGAAAGTCTCCCAATACCTGAACAGGAATTTCCCAAGTTTTTGTATTAACAGACAGAATATGTTATAATCTCCCAGAGTGATGCCTTTAAATAAATCTCTTCTAAAATATTTAAGGTTGTCAATGTTTTTAAGAAGGCAGCCAGATTATTTTCCAGACTTGCTTGATATACACTAATTTGTGACTTTTTAGGGGAAATAAAACTGTATGGTACATAAATTCCTGCTGCTGGTGATGCTACACAAGCTACTCTGCATTTATAAACTGATAGTCGGGACATCATTTTATAGATCAGGAGAAAGGACTGCAGAGTGACTTTCTCAAGAGATGCTTCTGTGTTATTCTGGCATCCCAGTGAGTGCTTACTGTAGACATTATGGAAGAAAGGCCCAAGCACCTGTTTACTCTGCCTTGCTATGAGAAGTCATTTCTGTAGTGACTGGCAATTTCGCCAACAACGTGCAAAACTGTAGAAAGCTACTGCATGGTGGCCTGTGTGACTGTGTTGGAGAATTGGAGAGCAGTGATCTCAAGCAGTGAGCAGTTTCCCTTTCACTTGGCAAGCAGTCCTCTGGGGACATTTTGAGGTTAATGGAGAAAGGCAGAGTGACATAAAGCACCTGTGGTACCATTCTTTTTGACTTTAGCTGCTCTTATAAAAACTACTGCTGCGTGCTTTCATTGATTCAATGTCAACGTTCTGACCAACCTGGTTATGAGACGTCTAGTTCAGAGATATAAACATGCAGTTATGACAGTCACAAAACTTCTAACTCCTATGACAATCTATAACTGTCTGGTTGAGTGAAGTCAAGCCCCAAATTCATATTATTAATACAAGAAAGCATCTAACCAACAATTAGAACTAAAATGAATATTGAAGTTAACTTTTCTTTGATCTGCATATTTCAGGACAGACACCTGAAATGTTCTTCTTAGATTCTTTCACGTGGTTACCCAGACAGACTGTACCCCTTTGTTGTGAAAAGTGTAGTAAATAACTTGTTGGCTTTTTGAGTGGTCCAGTCATTATCTTGTCTTCCAACAATTATTTTGTTTTTATCATTAAGAAAGAATTATGTTGTGCTCACACTCATTCTGGAGAAGTCAGAAAGTCTCTCATTGGTAGGGTTGGTATTGAGAAAAAAGAATGTCCCATTAAGGCATTTTTTTGTTCGTTTTAAGCCAACAAAAATGTGATCTTTTCTTCTTTTTTCATAACTTACGTTAAAGCACCACCCAATATATTCCAGGTCCCCAGAGAGTCATACAATTTCTGTCATCAAAGTGATGCTGGGAAACCAAACTGGGGATTATTTTAAAACAGAGGCATATGTCTATATTCGGAAGATAAACCCCAGACACAGTTCAAACAGGACACACCAATAAGTGTAGTATAACCTCAAAAGAGAGAAAGCATGTTTCTTAAGATCGTTTTCCTAATATCATCACTTGGATTTTGCACTTTGGTTATTTCTTTTGAGAGATGGCCCTGTGTCATCCTTCAATCTTTCATAGAAGTGACTTTGGAGAAGGAATTGATAACTTATTTCATATAGTTGACAATGATCTTTTCCTTTTCATTCAGATGAATGATTCTGTAGACCCGTTTCCTATTATTGATCATGTTGACACTAGAAGGACTCTAAAGATGGGAGAAAAGTTTGTGAACAGAGCTACTGAATTACAGCCAAGTCATAACATCAAGAATGTGCACTCAGTCAGTGCCTGATTGATGATGTTTTGCAACACATTGTGTGACATCATGGGAAAACTTTCATTTTTATTGCTTTTAGGAGTAAACAACCTGATTCCTTGGGAAATACTTTGCACTATTTTTTCTATAAAGAAGCACTTTTTTTGTCCCCAGGAAAGACTGCTTTATAGTTGCTTGATTTTATGAGGAACAATCAGAGGGTATGATTGGAAAAAAATAAGAAAAAATGAAATTCCTTCTGATCTGATTCTTCATTCATTCAACAATATCTATTGATTGCCTACTAAGTTAAAGTGCAGCATAGAGTATTATCTTAGATAACAAGTAGTGGATGTAGAAGTTGTGTGATGATTCCATTCTCTTGTGGAAGTAGAACTAGCAACAATTATGGTATAGTTATTGTTGTGGTCTGAATGTATCCCCCAAATTCATATATTGAAACATAATTGCCAATGTGACAATAATAAAAGATAGGGCCTTTGGAAGGTGATTAAGTCATGAGGGTGGAGCCCTTATGAATGGAAATAGTGCTTTTATAAAAGAAGCGTAAGGGAGCTATTTACCTCTTCTGCCCCTTTTGCTCTTCTGCCTTTAGGCATGTGAGGACACAGTGTTTGCCCCACTGGAGGACGAAGGAACAAGGCACCATCTTGGAATTGGAGACCAGAGCCCTCACAAGACACTGAGCCTGATGTTACCTTTATCTTGGACTTCACAGCCTCTAGAATTGTGAGAAATAAAGTTCTATTAGTCATAAATCACCGAGTGTTAGGTATTTCCTTATAGCAGCACAAATGAACTGACAGTTACATCCAGGATTTTAATTTGCAATGGTTCCCACTTCCAGCCCCAAACTTGGCATCTCATGAAATAGAATAAATGAATACTATTTCCAGGGAGGAGGAAAGTACAGATTCTGGAGTGTCAAGATGGCTATGATAATTGATACTCTTTGCCCCATATTCCTATGTAGAAAGAGTAAAGTTGGAGATACATTGGCCACACAATTTTATCTATCTCCACAGGCAAAAAAAAATAAGGATAGAGGTCCTCCACCTTTTAAATATCTTGAAATGTCAAGAAAGAGAGAGACATCTGAAAGGCACAGAAAAAGCGGGTGGGTAGGAGAGAAACTCAAACATTAATGGGGAATAGAATTTCTCTTGCACTGTCCACAATACATATGTTTGTTAAAAAGCAAGAGGCGGGGAAGACATGCATGCCTGATATTGAAGAAAAGCCTGTTTGTGCCTTACACACTGGAGAAATTGTTCAGGAATAGTTCATCCATGTGAAAATATGACCCATGTCATTTTGCCAGAGTCATTAAGACACTGAGCTGCTGAGTAAGGTCCGATTGGGTAAATTCAAGGTTCTGGGGGTGTACATACTTCCTAGTGCCCAGTTTTTCTAAGATGCAGAAAAAAAATGTCAGTGGAAATAAGGTTATGGAGTGCCACTTGCGTGGGCGAGACAAGGTCTCGATAGGGTGGGAACCAGCCGGATCTCAGACATGGCCCATTCTTTTAGATTCTTCACCATTTTCTTAGTGGGCAAAATGAGAAATAGAGAATAAACACTCGGCACCAGTAGCAAGAAGAGAACAGTGGTATTTACAGATGGGAAAGAGGGAAAGGTTACAAATCATTTGTGAAATGAATTTCCCATTCTCTTTTGACTATTGTCATATTCATGTTTCATAAGCTCCAAAACCGTCTGGAGATAAAATTCAGATCATTTGTTATAAAAAGAAATGGCTTTTTAGAGGAGCTTAGAGGACATGAAAGCTACATTTGAATGAATAAATATTCAAAGGCGGGCAATAAACATTGAATAATGGACAAGCATTTCTTTAATACTGTGGAGAATTGCATGAAGTTTGAGGACATCCTAGAAGAATTCAAAATAACTAATTGAAAAACAAAATAACTTATCATCTAGCAGTTTTGGTTTTAACTAGGTTAGGATAAATGATCAGTTCAGTCTCAGTGTTAATTTTTTAATAGTTGAATTGACATTTGTGATGGGCAGGCTTATTGCCAGTGTCCCAGGCTCTCTCTTACGCAAGAGAGTGATAGAGCAATCATGCACTTCATTCAACAAATACAAACAAAATCTTATTAATCTACAATAAACCAGACCTTTAGTCTCTCGGGACCTCAGTTTCCTTATCTACAAATTAATGGTGTGTGACTATTTGATTTCCAAATTTTGTTCTTTGAATTATGTAACACTTTCCACCTTCAACATTTCAGTAAAGGGGTTTTATAATTTGAATGCAGGTCTTGGAACTATTTGTATTTCTAAAAAATATATGTAAAATAGTCCCATTATAATCTTTTGGGAATACTATCTAAGTATGTATGAGAAGAAAAATTCCTGGGTTTCTGATTAGCTGCTAACTATATTCAGAGTT
This sequence comes from Homo sapiens, assembly GCF_000001405.40. NCBI lineage: Eukaryota > Metazoa > Chordata > Mammalia > Primates > Hominidae > Homo > Homo sapiens. The sequence continues at coordinate 11,060,193 of NC_000020.11, forward strand.
TCTAGAGTTTTTAACATTTTAATGTAATGGCAGCTTACTTTTTTATCAGGAAAGGAATTGGGCATGGTGGACCTGGCATTGAACCTACATGGACCATTCAGTTTTAGTGTGGCAGGTTCCAAAATGTCCCCTAAATTAAAGGCAGAGGATTTATTTTAAAGGACTCCTTTGAAAGGGATATATCTTTCTGCTTTTCTGTCTTAAGGGCCTGCAGGCATGCTTCAAGCTACTTAGATTAAACAGCTTGAGAACTCCTAGTTATAAAAGTTTTTTTTTTTTTTTTGTCAAGAACTAAGATGTGGTTTTCAAATCAAATTGGCAGGTACTTACAGAACCATGGCTCTGAGCGAAGGAGTGGAAACATGAGACTCGTATAAAGATCTCACCACCATTAAGAAGTTTCTTTTGAGACGCTGGTATCAGCCCACTGATAAAATGTCATAAAATAACTGCCATCCCCACCTTTTATAAGAGCAATCCTTGGATTAGCCAGAGCTGCTGGATTGTAATAAGGAAATGTGTGTTTAAAAGATGAATTAAAGGAAAATATGACCTTCAGGTTACTCTGGTCTGTTGATGGGGTCAGGGGAAGGAAGGTTCAAAACCTCGTAGGAGAGGGGTCAGACTGACACTGGATGCGAAAGTTCACAAGTCTGCATTATAAATAATATAAGTAGGAAATGAGTGTTTACCCCTCTCTAATGTTAGCAAACTGGAAGGATAAGATGGCTTCCTTTTGACGCGAAAAAGATCTAAATGTGAGATGCTATTTTAAACAATGAACAGCTGTTTCATCTTGAACTAAAAAGAACAAAGAAAACACCATCAGATCTACATAGAACATATTGTGGTTTCCCGTGTGTTTGTGTGTGTGTGTGTGTGTGTGTGTGTGTATGTGTGTGTGTTCCCCTCTTCTTTTTTTACTTACGATAATTGAAATGTCATTTTATCCTGGATGTTTTCTTTTCCAACCAGGGACATGAAAAGTTAAAATATTAAAGAATTTCCTTTTCATCATTTTGAACAAAAACAACTTTTCATTGCTTTAACATGGATTGTTTTCTTTGTTAATCCAACAGAGATTAATGCTTGGAATGCTAAAGTGTGTACTTAAGGGAAAAATCATGATGGTCCATGGGTAATATATTTTAGGTGGGACTAAAGCAACAGAGTGGCATTCTATCATAGTCTAAGAGATTTTCCCCTCTGGAGAACAGCTGTAAACATAAAGGTAGTTTAAGTCAGTGACTTCAGAGATTTCAATTATCCAGTTAATGCCTGGGAATACTAGCACTGCATTTACAGAAAAATTTAGGCACTTATGTTTAGATGTTAAGAAAATAAATTTCTGATTTTCAGAGCAAACAGTTTGGAAATTTAACTCAAGACACCTCAGATCAATATGTAAGTTGTTATAAATGTGCATTAATATATAAAATTATTTGTCTTAGTTTGAATTTTGTACTGGAAGTTGCTGAGGCTGAATGTATAGAACAAAATTTTACGTATTTAATGAGCATCAGTTTTATTTAATTTTAATTCTCCATAGATATTATTTATGTTTGACATCCCAAATCTAATTTTTGGAAAAAAGTTAAAATGAATTACATTAAACTTTATTCTTCCAGGTAAGAAAATACACACACACACACACACACACACACACACACACAAAATTTAGTTCATTTTACCTGGAAACATATTCCATTAACTAAGAAAGGAAACAAACACACTCAAAAGTTTATTTACGTTATCTGTTTCTAAATGGCTGGCACACAAGATTGTGGCCTTTTGTGTCCTTATTTTTTTAATTTGAAGGAACTATTTTGTTTATCTCTTTTTGGTTATATAGCTGCAGAAACTATGTCTAATATTTTAGACTGTTTCTAGCTCTCTTTTTTAACTCATGACACACAATTTTAGTTAACTTTTCCTGAGGCTTAAGTCTTTCTAATTTTTGTTTTTGTTATAAAAGATTAATTTCTTTAAATTAGGAACAGGAAATTCTAGGCCAGAAACCACTAGCTTTCTTCAGATATAGATCTAAGGATAATAACTTGTAAAACTTTAAAAAAAGAAGAAAGAAGAAAAAAAATTGTGCATGATTTTCTTTTTTAATCCAGACTTGGTTATAGAGCACATTCATAAATTGTCCTGTCAACCTCTAGGACATGAGTTCAACTCCAATTGGTTTAATGGCCACAAATGTTTCCTTAGAAGAATTCCGGATTTCTGGATGGAGGAAAGAATGTCAGGGATTCTCAGGGCAGGTTGAAAATCACCCCCCTCCCCCCAGGGTGGTCTTGGGCGGTAATCACACCCCGCTGATAGGATTTGGCAGTTAAAATAGATGGAGGTCAGCCTGTCATTTTGTCTATTTAAATAAGTCACTTGTGATTAAGGACAAGCAGCAAGTTTTCTTTTTTTTCTGTCTCACTTTTGAGACCTTTACTTGCATCTACTTCTCTGGTGTTTCTCTTCTTCTTGTATATTTCTCGCTTTCATTCTCTTTGGCCTTTTATATGGAAATTGTTTGTGTTTTTTTCACCATATCCCCACTTGGAGATATGAAGTAGGGGACAAAATATAGAGAGTAAAACTTGGTATTCAGACTGAGACTTTTACAATAGTATTATGTATTTTGTAACATGCAGAGAGAGTCTAAACTCAGGAGTCTCTGCCATTTCCTTCTTTGTTAGATAAGTCACTAGCATCTACATTATGTAATCAAGTTCATGGTAATTTCTCCATTTGCTCGGGTCCTTTGGTAGAAAACCTTATTTTAAAATTAATCGATGTATAATTTTGTGCAAATACCCATGAGGGCTGCATTTGCTTTTAGGATTTTTCTTGACCACAAAGTATCTTCATGTGATCGTGTACTTTTTCAAAAATAGATTGGCTGTTACACAAAGTGGAATCAATGATATATAAGTCTTTGCATCTGCCAACCACTTTGCTGAAATTGTTTACCAAATGTCACCCTGAAATCCTGTTTCTCTTTCTCAGAGGTTTGGCATTCAATGCTCTTCTACCTCTTGATTCTTCCTGCTACCTGGCCCATATGGAAGGGAGGGCTTTCAAAAAGGCAACAACACCTTGCTGAGTGAAAATGAACTTGAAATAAGTCCAGCCACCTCTTGGGCTTTGTCTCATCCTCTGTTCACTTTTTTCTCTGTTCATTTCTGATGCGTCTGGCTTTGTACAGGTTTAAGATGATGGTGCTAACCTCAGAAGCATTCTGTAATTCTTGCTTCCTCCCTTTGGGCAATAATCTCAGGACAGTGAAAGTGTGCATATCCTGGAAATGCCAAAGGGTTAGAACCACCAGGGCAATGCTTAACCAACGGCAGACAGGAGTTAGAGCATCATTTGGGCAGACGATTCTGGAGCTTATTCTATAGGACTCTTCAACATTTCTCAATGGGGTTGAGCCCCAGTTGGTCAGAGTTGTGGTCTAAATGCACTGTGAATCAGGATTTCCCAGTCTTCTGTTCCTATTCTTGGTATCATTTCCTCAAATGCACAATTTGCACAAAGCTCTAGTCTCAGAATCTGCTTTCCAGGAGAATTTGGTCTAAAACAAAACGAAGAAAAATGAAGCCCTAAGTGATCTTTCTTCTAATGTGATTTGCTGCCTCATATTATGGTAATTAAGTATAGATTTATCTTTCCTAAGAAAAAGGTTTGCTTCTTAACATTGGGGACAAATATGGTCAGCCACTGCTTTATGGCAAGCTCTCTGCTGGGACCGAGGGATACAGTGTTGGAAGAGAAGAGGCCACTGCTGTCTAGTGTTTATCCTCTTTGGATGTTTCCTTTATAGAGGCTCAACAAATTGCTTTCAAAAGCAACCAAAAGATATTTCTTAAATTCACATATAATTCCTTCGGTTAAAGATGTTATACCTGTGTTTGTCACAGGACACTATAAATAACCTTTGACAGAAAGCAACTGGGTGCTGTGGGAATCAAAAAGGAAGCCAAAAGTTAAAGCCCACCAGGGCAGGGTTTCTCCAGATGTTTTGAATGAGATTTAACATGAAGCAAAAGGCCTGGATTGACAGAGGAAAAAGAGAAAGGCATTGCATGGACAGAGAATGGGAAGAGAGAAGACTCTCTAGACTGTGGATACCTAAGTACAGATGCATAGAGCCACTCCTCCCTGACTCAGGTCCTACAGAAAGTGACATCCTATGAATGGTTGATAAGGGATAAGTGTTCCACAAAAAATAAAGTTTTGGAATAAAATAAATTTGAGAAAAGTTGAATATTACATTCAGAATTCAGAGATTCTCAGCACACATTGCCACATTAAATATCCCCGAGAAGTATTGCCATGAAAAAAATATACCCCCAGAAAACTAACTCTGTGGAAGTGCAATCACTTGCAATTGGATGTTGTTCAATCATCTTGAGGCACATTGGTATTCTAGAAAGTGGATTTTAGAAAATTCCGGAAGACAGCAAGCAGTCCTGCAAAATTTAGCAAGGATTGGGGATGGAGCATGGGAGTGCGGGAGAACTTCACATACTATATAGATGCATTTGGGTTTGACATGTCGAGCAATCAGATGCTATTATGTCACTCCAGGAGAAGGCACAGAGAAACCCCTATTTCTTGTAAGAGAATTTAGCAAACCAAAATCACTCTTCCAAGTTTATATTGGCATTTTCATAGTGCTGTTAGACTTACCATGTCCATTGTTGAAAAAGCAGTGTAAAGGGGGATTTTATAGACTGATGCCTGTGTTTAAATCTTAACTTCCTCGCTTCCTTATGACTTTGGTTTCTTAATGTCTCCATGCTTCTGTTTCATCACTTATAATAATTATGGGCATGGTGATAATGGCACCTAACTCACAGAGTTGTTGGAAGAATTAGACACGATGAAATAACTACAGCACTTAGAATGTCTAACACAGAGCATGTGACTGAGAAAACAGAACACATTTATTTTTAGAAGAATAGTATTGTGTGATGGCAAAGGCACAAACTTAGGGACAGTCAGTCCTAAATTTAAATGCTGTCACTGTACTTTATTGGGCTTACTAAATTCTGTACATCAGTGTTACTACTATAAAAACTGAATAATAATATATATCTTACATTGAACATAATGATAAAATGTCAAGGACAGGGAACCTGTTCAAGAAATATTTGCTGGTATAATTATTGTTAATCTACAGTACTACTCCACTTCTTATTAGTAACAGAATATTGCTCTGAAAGCTTCCTCGTCTTCTTCTGAAATTGTATGAATTTGCTAAATAAATAAATGCATGAGTTAATAGTCTTCTAACTGGGGATGTCAGACAGTGAGACATCAAAGAAGGTATAACTGACAGCGAAATCATGTTCTGTGCCATGAAAATAAAAATCAGTATATTTTATCCTTGTTGTATAGACAGAGAAATTAAAACAGAAGACTCATCTCCATGCATTTTGTTTTAGACCCAAATGCAATGTTTCTTATGTTAATTATTTTTTAACAGACATATAGGGTGCGAATCCAATAATAAACTTTACTGTTTGAAATCTGAATCATCTCTTAGGGATTTTGTTGAGAGGCAGATTTAACTTTTCCTTTTTATAATGTATTATAATAAAATCTTTTATTCTAAAGCATTTCTTACTAGAAATCTTAAATTTACAAAATAAGGACTCTGTCTCCTGTATCAATGTCAAACAACAAAGATAGAATTCCAAAACCTTTTTTTTCTTCTTTTTTGGATTAATGCCTTGTCAGGCTTTAATATAGACCAGGCCTGGAAAGACCGTTTTGCCAGGAGACATGCAAGTTGTGATCTTGTGTGTTATATGCTTTTTCATATGAAGACTTATTTGGAGAATGTTTTTAAAAGAAACACAAAATTTACATTGTAGTCCATGCAACCTGAATTGTGCCTCATAGGCTTGTACGACTATGTAATCACCTAGTGCCTTTCTTGAAGGGACATCCTCCCTTGGGATGAATATTTTACAAAAAGGACACAGAGCCTCATGATTATTTTGGTCCATTGAAACATATTCCTCCAAGAGTCCAAGAATGAATTAGACAACTGCAGGAACAAACGCATTCTTATTTCAAAATTTGGCTATCAGTATGTCTTTATGTTTAAATACTCTTTGTCAATGTACTGTAATTTCTAATTCTTATAACCCTAAAGGGACAAAAAGTAATTCTTTCTATTTGTGAGTTGTTTTAGAGTTTATGAAGCATTTTCATACACTTCACCTTTGTTAAGCTGTTTGGTGAATTACTTTCACATTTTAGGGAATATGGTATTTAGCTTAAAAACATTAAATGCAATAACCAAAAAAGTCAACACAAGTGTTTCATAAACCACAGTGATGCCTAATTCCCCACTTTCACAGTTGTTTCCATAATGCCCTCCAACCCCTCCTTTATTCTTGCAAACAGAGAGAATGTCACTTCTAGACATTTGGAGTTAGCTTTGGCAAGAGAGATTTAAGGTTGCAAAGTAACATCGCATGGGTTTAGGGCAGGGTCTATTTCCTTGCCATTTTCCTGTTTGAGTATGGACTAATTTCTAACAAACAAACAAACAAACAAATAAAGAAAAACCTAATTGATTAAGATATGACATAATTCTTAGAACAAAATTTTGCTCTCTTTTAATTTACTATATGTAGTAGCACACAAAAGAAGAAATGCTGAATTTTAACTTTATCTATTTGCAAAAATTTCTAAGTGTTTTAGTCTACATTGTTCTTTAAATACATACACAAATATATAAACACACAAGTGCAGCAAAAAGGAAAAGAAAAACCAACCTGACAGTTTCTTATGATGAAGAACAGATTAAAGCTAGCCAATTTGTGATGTTATTATACTTGGAAATTTTCAAAGGAAAGAGCCAAGGTCTCTAAAGACTGCAATTGGAAAACTTTTTGATATTAAATGCATCTCTTATTACACATTTGTATGCTAAAATAAGAAAAATCTGTATAGGGCAAGGAATGGAAGTTCTAAATAGGTTGATTTACATGTGCAAAACTTAATTTTTCAACTGAAATTTCAAAAGCATTTTAACAGGCGAATTTACTATTCTTCAACTTAATGGTAGCCACATGGCTGAAATCCTTTTGAAAATGGGTATCATGCTTGATATTTATCTAACATATTATATGACTTAGAGCTCTTTGACAAATACATTGAATCTTATTGTCCCAGCTGATTTGCTGTGAGAAAAAGAAAAGTGGAAGAGATTGGTATCAGGAGAGAAAGTCCAGTATTCAATGACAGAATTGGTCTCTAATCTGACAGAACAACAACATCATTAAAATTTGAGAAGGCACTTTAGGCCTTACAATAATCAGCAACCCAAAGGCAGAAGAAGGCTAAAAATAGGGACCTATAATTAACAGTCTAAAAATAGACTTGGCTAGTCATATGGAAGTCATTATAGTCTAGAGGTTAAAGTGGCTGAGGAGGATAAAAAGCAAATCAAATATTATTGCATATTAAACACACTACCTATAAACATAGTAAATACTTTACAGAGTTCAGCTCAATCCGGTACAATTTTATATAAGAAAAATATTAAAGTGCAAATTTTCATTTCCTAATGATCAAAGAAGTTTTCTTGGAAAGGTATGTTTGGCTTTCATCCAAAAGTCTTCCTTTGGTTTAAGATATGCCTGTCATGCTATTGATACGATGGGGATTCTTTCTTTCACAAAAGAAAAATAGAGTGATTTTTAGATCACTTTTTCTATTTAGGATAAAGACGAGTACTTCCAACATAAATAACATTTCCCAAGAACAAGTAATTATGCAAAATATATTATGGCCAACAAAGATGCACCTAGTTCATGGATTCAATAGGCTACAAAGGGTTCCACAATTTTTTGTAAGATGAAAGCTATCAATGTGTGTGTGATTTCCTTCATTTTTATTGTTAATGTGAGAAGATGTAGGAAATATTATTACTATTACTGTCAATGGGAATTACTCTCACGGTTGCAGAGTTTCCAGGCCTTTCATATGTTTGCAGGGTCTTACACTTGTTAACAACATTTCCTGGAAGGCTGTGAGAAAACCTTAAATCGACTCCCTTTACTTTTAAACATCTATCTAGGTTAAAAAAAAAAAAGTGGATGTGTGAAGGAGTGATCAGATGTTGCCTAAAATGGAAAGTAGCATACTAATGTGGAAGGAACACAAGTGTCTTGTCTGGGGCTGAGATGGGGATTGGGAATCACACTGTGCCTTGTATCAGGTTTATGGCTTTAGCCAAGAGATTGATTTACCTGTCAGAATCTATTTCTTAGGTTTCATCTGCATAGCGGAAATAATGGTTTGTGGTATTTACATTGGGTATTGTAAATATCTTCTGAGAAAATGTACATAGAATCTTTAGAAACACTTGGTCTTGGTACATGACATTGCCTAATAGATGATAGTAGATACTAATATTGCTGTTTATCAATTTCATCTAGTTAAACATAAATTCTTACATGTTCATAAGACAGATATGACAAAGTTGCATTAAAAAAGCTTGAAACTTTATGGATAACAAATATGTTCTTTCTAATTTCCATCCCTTCCATTCAAATTTCAAGAATATTTCTCAGCTCTCCCTATTGGTTTTAAGTAATTTTTACTTTCTTAAATAAGGTCATTCCATTGAAATCTATTTTTTTTGTTCCGGTAATATCAGAGGTACCCTGTATGCCAAATAATAACTCTCATCTGTGTATTGATTTTATTTGCCAAACTCATATGCATATGATTGCTTCTGATTTGTAAATAAAATAAATAATAAAATCTTAAAAATTATAAAAATGAATACAAAAATAAATTCTGCATAATTTTTTAAAACCATGTTTCTTAAATATCTTAAATTTTTTTCCTAAGTAACTTGCCTTTCTATTGTTATTTTCCATAGGATTTTTCCATTGTATATTTCCTATATGGTTGTTATTTGTGAATACGGAAGTATCATGTTCCAAATGACAAGTAACTATCTTACTCAATTAAATTTTCTGTTGAATCTTTGGGGAATCTTTCAAATGTCACAACATTTGATAATTGTGGTAACTTTCTCTCCCTTTTGTCTGAATTTTTATACTGCTCATTTTTCTCTTGTCTAATTTTATTGACTAGTAACTCTAGCAGAATGTTAACTCTAGTGGTAATAGCAGACATCGTTATATTTTTTTCTGGCATTTTTGGGAATGTCTCCAGTGATACTGTATTAAGTATAATGCTGAGATAATATATTTCATTAGATTAGAAAAGTGTCTACCTATTGCTATCTTGTTGAATGCATTTATCAGAAGAGATTTTAAACTGTGTTGATTTTTAATGTGTTTTTTTATTTTTAGAACTATTAATATGTTGAATTATATTAATTATACATTTATTAAAATTAGTGACTTTTTTAAAAGTCAGAATCTGGTATGTAATTATTTATAATATTAACTCATAGTAGTTGACTTTTGAAAGCTTGTCTGTGCTTAACAAAATCTGTACCAAGTCATTTTGGATGACATTTTTATTAAGTTGCAGCAAAATCATTTTTTGAAGTCTGAATATTTTATCAACAGAAACATCGAGTACATTATTTACTATATAAAAATAAAGCAGCTTTATAAAATATTGTTGCTTTTTTATATTTTTCTTTTTTTATGTTATTTTCAATACATTTATGAGATTCAAAGATTAAAAAAATTAAAGATACATAATGAAAGTCTCATTTCATCCTCTGCCCCGTCTTCTCAGAGCTCCCTCTTGGCCTTTTCACAGGTACCACTGCTTTCACTTTTTGTATAACCTTCCCATGTGTATACACATGTACAGACAAATATGAATAAAGATTCTCCCCTGTTTACACAACAGGTAGAAGAGTATGCATATTTCCTGCACCTTGTTTTTTCATTAGCAATATAGCCTCAAGAACATTCCACCTCAATAGATATAATAATTCCTCATTCTTTTTTATAGTTGCATATCATTCCATTATATGGTATATTATCATTTTTACCATTTTCCTGTAGTGGACATTTAGAATGCCTCCAACATTTCTAAATTACAATGTTGAAATGAATAGTCTCCAAAAATCAAAATCTGTACTGATAAAGCTGATAAGTACCTTTTTATTTTGCCTTGAAAGAGGAATTGTAAATTGATGTATGGAGATACACTTGGCAATAGATATCAAAATTACAAATGCTGGTTCTCCTTAACCCAAGAAATCCACTTCTGGGAAGAGATTCTCTTTTCCCTGCACGTTTCAGTGATGCTTGTGTTAAAAATCAGAAAGACATTCCTACTTTAGTTCTTGCACTCTATTTTTATGAGGAAATATATTCTGAAGACTTTAAAGAACATGATAAATGCTTATTAGGAGATCTATGTAGTAATATGCCAACCTCCTGAGACCCCTCCAAGCATCATGTTTTGAGTTTTTAAATCCTACGCTGTCATCGGGAATATATTTCTATCTTTAACCAAATAATTTTAGATTTACAAACCTTGTAATATCAAGTGCCTTCGCTCAGATTCATACTCAGGTGATTCTCATTATACTTTTCTGTTCCACCACCTCATTCCTTGGCCTCACTTTAATTTTTTTCCCTTGGCAGAAAAGTTCATTCTGTTGACAAAAAAATTATCACATCTTCTTATATTTCTTTCCTTCTCTCTCTTCCCACATAATCCCTTGTGCCTCTAGCTGAATGGTTATTTTTATTTCTTTGGAGTTCTTTCCTTCATCCTTCCTCATTCCTTAATTTAAGATAGTTATTAGCATTAATTTATAATTAATTTTAACATATGTCATAGTAATAAGCAAGTAGGAGGCTTCATCATGCAAATAAATGGCTCCCACCCCAAAAATGAGCTCTACTAGTTCCATTCCCTTAGAGACTATCTCTTTTAAGATGTCTGTTCAAGGGTTCCTGGTGGTTACCTCCATAATTTTAAATAATATTGTCATACCACTGTTTTCTGGATGATTAACTTTCATCTATTTACTTTTTTATATGAAAGATGAGGATTAACTCCTATATATCACCTAACTCTTGCCACCCCACTTCTTCCCAATTTTAATAGATTTTTAATTTTTATTTTATTCTATTGAATTACTGCATATATCTTTAATTTATATTCTTAAAATTATTTATTTTAAGCATTTGAAGATTTCTTTGATCCTCTCTGTGTATATTATGTTACCTTTCGTCCTTACTCCTTCTGACACCTCTTTTCCCCATTTCTACTGTCTATCTCCTGGGTGATAGTTGTCAAGTTTGATAACATTTATATTCTGTTATCTTACTATAGTCAAATCTCTCCTGCCCTTTCTGTAAGTTGAGTCTCACAGGTGAAAACTAATAACACATGATTATAATGTAATTATTGTTCATTGTAGAGTCAAGTAGTGAGTTATAATTACAGTTGCTTTTCTACTAGTACAAGGTCTTAAACTCATTTGGAATTGCTATTTGGAGAAAGTGTCTAGTGCCAAGAGCAAATACAGTTTCCCTTTTAATTCTAAATTGAGTGCTGTAGCCTATGCCATCTCATGAAAAACATTTGGTTTGCTTTTCTATTTAGATAAATATTTTCTTTCTTTTTCTCCTGTAGTTATTACTTGCCTTTGATTTTTCTCATTGAGAGAATTATACACCCGATCACCCAATCTTCTTGAAGACTAAAATTAAAACCTATCTTATCCATGGAAGATGCCCACTGTGACACCACTGAGGCCGTTTATTCTGGTACAAACTAACTGTCTCTATGGTTAGTATTATAAATTCCTGTATAGATTATGATAACACTAGATACTTTTATTTTTCAGAATTATATTTTACATTTCCTCAGGTAGTTGCTGTAATGAATATTCTTGAGAAACTTTTTTTTTTTTGCCTTTTGCGATACCTATCCTTTCTTCCACTCTAATGCTTACAACAGTTCTATGTTTCCTATGAGTGTTAATTTACATCGGTTGATAATGCAGCTTCCAAATGAGATCTACATTTTGATTATTATTTAGTTATCTTGATTCCATATGCAGGGAAATGGTCCACTAAAAGTATCAATGAAAATCACTGGTTCAAGGTCTCTAAGTGTAATTCCTGGGTCAATCACAGCCCCCCATCACCCCTATGTAATCTTACCCATTTCCTTTAACACCTTTTGGACTCCTTTTTATGTCTTTTGTGTATTTTGGGAGTATTCATTCCTTTCCACTCCCAATACCACTTTGTTCAAGTCCTCATCTCCTCTCTAGAGCTAGAGTTAGGTCAGCTCCCAACAGACTTCTCTGCTTTAAGAAGTCTCACTGAAACCCACCAAGGCACAACTTTCTCTGGCTCTAAGATATACAATGTCTCTCTAACACCTTGCAGCTAAACTTCAAACTCCTTATTCTACTACTTAAGTTCCTCCATGATCTAAGCAAATGCGCCTAGTGAATAATAAGGCTAAACTTAACTAGACAACTTTAAACTCTTTAAATGCACATTGACTCTTCCCCTCTCCAATCTGGCTTACACAGCTCCCTCTTTTGAAATGCCCATTCCCAGTATCTGCCTCATGAAGTCCTCCTTATTTTCAAAGACTTCTTCAAGTTTAATGATCTCCATGGAATGTTTTTATGCCTCAAAACAGAAGTTGTATCTCCCTTCCCATGCTTCCTCCTAGCACTTCTTAAGATCAGTTCCTTCTTAACAGAGCCCCTTGCATAGTATTCATTTCTATGTGAGTGTTAGGTCCCAAACTGGATGCATCTTCCCTGAGAAAAGGGGATTTCTATCAATATTATGTGTTCCTCAATGAGCCCATCATTGTAGGAACTCCAAAATTATGTTGACTACAAGACTGAAGCTATAAAATGACATTAGTTATTCTTACCCTTGCTTACCTCACAGGGGCATGGGTATGCCTTATTTGGAGGCAGGATTGCAGAAATTTATGGAGCTATTCTGGGATGCCATTTAGTTTTATTTTTTCCTGAGCAGATGAATGACTAGGCACATAGTGTTCAGGATACATTTGAAAAAAGAAATAGATGAAACTGCAGCCAGTTTAAACTTCCCCATTTTTTAATGGAACATGATGCGAGATGTTTCATTCATGTGCCTGAAGAAATAAAGACAAATGAAAGGGCTGAGTCAATAAAAAGTCAAAATATATTTTATAACCATATATAAATTCAAACATGAAAGCATTTAGTCATTCATATTACAGGCTGAAAAGCCCTCCTGGCCTAGCATTAGAAGAAATTGTATGTTTTAATTATCTTGTGGACCTTATTAAAGTTGCAAGCTTGTTTCTCTTTGCTATGTGTACTGACAACCATTTCTCACATCTCAATAAATAATAATAGCATCATAATTGAGAGATGGGCACTTAGAAGTTTCAGGAGAAAATATCCCATGGGAGGGGGTATCTATACATGAGAATAGGAATTTTCCCTTACCTGCCAACAAACTTGGCTACATGAGCAGACAATATTTTATGTCTTTCAGCGGGTGTGGAGAGTTCAAACATTGGCATTGCAGTTGTATGCCTGCAATGATGAAAATTAGATTAGGAATATCTGTAACTATTTTATAAACTGTTGGAAGGTAGAAAAAAACACAAAGGTGTTTAAAGAAACAGCCTGGTGGTACAAGGAAGATAGGAATAGGGGAATGACTTCCTGGTAGTCTTGGTTTCAAAATAGCATAGATTTAAGATTAGTTTATCAAATAAGGGTCATCTAGCCCAATTTCCTTGTTTTGTACATAAGAGAATTGAAGTGTGATGAAGAAAGTAAGTCATTACTTGTACTATTTTGTCACCCGATATACAATTTATAAGAGTGAAAAGTAGGCTTTCTATATCAGATAAAACCTTTCTTTGAATCATAGAAGGATCCTATTGACGGACCATTTCGTCACGTTTCTTTCATCCCTAATACCTTGTTAAACAAATAAGTAGTTTTGCCCTTTCTTTCAATCCCAGGGATGGTAAGAATGAAATGACACCACAAACAATTACGCATTTAATATCTTTCAGAAGCTAGTACAAGATCAGGGGCCTTTGACCTAGCAACCACCTCCTCACTCTCCCAACCCTGCTTCCCGGCACCCACCTTCCCAGAATCTATGAATAGAATCCAGGGGATCTGTGGATTAAGATGGGAAAAAATTGCACTTTGATTCTGCCAAAAGACAAAATTACAACAAATTTATTTTAAAGATTTTAATTGGCTTCTATTTCTGATTCTAGAATCAAGCAACACCTTATTCTATAAAATAGAAGGAGTGTTTCTATGAGTTAAACAGAGGAGGTTGGCTTTGTAAAGGAAAGGAGAAACAGAGAACAGAAAGTGGATTGGCCATTTCAAAATTACTTGCCTTGTGCAGGTTAAAGCAGACAGGACTTCCTTATTATTCCTGCTAAAGCTGGCCTACTGGGGGACTTGGCAATTATCTCTCTTTCTCCTGATTTTTTGTAACGACAGATAACAACATTGTTTTGGCTTGGTGGAGTGGAACGTTAGCATAGTAGCTCCATTTTGTTTTGGTCTGGTGTGCTTAGCGGCTCAGTCCAAACCAATGCCCTCTTATAAATTTTATTTCACAATGTTCACCCCAAATAGAACATTTCTTTCAGTAATGAAAGTGAGCACAAACCACAGTACCAGGACAGAGATATCTTCATATTGAATGACAGTTGTTGCAATACCATGGTAGTTAACAGATTCACTTAAACTTATTAGATACTCATTAATTTACTAATATAAGCTATTCTTTTTACTACATCACACAAATATGTTTTTTAAAATTGCATTTATAGAATGGGCCTTCTTAGAATTCCTATGTATTTTATCTTATGCTTTAGAAAGTATTATTTTCGTAAAGGGTCTTAGGCTTCACCAGTTTGCCAAAAGACTTATGGCATAAAAAAGGACACAAATTTCTACACTAAATAATACCTTAAGATGTTTAGCTTTTGTTTATGGCTATTTAAAAAAATTATTTCCAAATATGCACCTTTGAAACTAGTTTTCACAGTGTTTTCTACTTAATTCAAGCTATTATTCTCATTGACATTGATTTTCTCTACCAGCCTCCATTAGAAAGAGAGCTTATGTTTTTGTAGACATTTTTATTACCACTTCTAAAATAATTACAATGTTGTTTTTGTCCAGGAATGGTGTCTCATGCCTGTAATCCCAGCACTTTGGAAGGCTGAGGTGGGAGAATAGCCTGAGCTTAGGAGTTCAAGACTAACCTGGACAATATATGAGACCTTGTCTCTACTAAAAATCAAAACAAGTTGCTAGGCATGGTGGCACATGCTTGTAGTCCAAGCTGCTAACAAAGCTGAGGCAAGAGGATCTCTTGAACCTGGGAGACTGAGGCTGCAGTGAGCTATAATCACACCACTGGCTTCCAGCCCTGCCACAGAGTAAGACGGTGTCTCAAAAAAAAAAAAAAAAAAAAAAAAAAAAAAAAAAAAAAAAAAAAAAAAAAGTTGTTTCTTCCAATGGAAAGGTCATTGGTTTTTAAAGAATAAATTTAAAGTCTTTTCAAAATGTGCTTTAAAATTCTAAAGCTTTTCCTAATTTAATGCTGGAATTATTCCCAAACTTCATCAATTACTGATCAAGATTGCTGATGCAAAGAGATTAAACATTACTCTTAAATCTGGAAGAAATTATACAAAGACATACTTTTTTTTTACTTTATCCTTATGTAAATTAATTTGTAGTTGTTTGTGAATTATGCATAATATCCATATAAATAACAAGGCACCTTAAAACTGTATGTTGTTGTTTGGACATAGAATATTTCTTTTCTTTATTTAAACAAATAAATGAGTCTGAGGAATTGTTGCTGCCATGAATTAGGATTTAATCATAGCAAATAATATCCAGGACACTATGAATTAAGCATGTAAATGATTTAAAAATTAAGAATAATCTCTCAGATATCAATTCTGTATCAGGCTGAATTTTTAACAGCTTGCATAGTTTTATCTATATCTTTCTAGAGATCAAATATCAGCGAGTGGGAAATAAGGGTCAGATGACACAAGCCAAATTGAAATGTGCAAATCAAGCAACACTTCACACACTACTCACTTTTTATTCCTGATGAGAATGCAGTCTGGGAGTCTTATAAAATTTTTGCCAAGGCAGTCCTCTGGAAAAGCAAGGTGTAGCTGCCTTTACATTTCAGTTTGCAAATAACCCACTGGTGCTTTTTTCTTCTATGGTCACTGCTGGTCTTCTAAACATGTGGTAGCTGTGACACAGTAGTGGCTAAGTGATCACACATCATTACATCGTGCATACGTGATTATTTATGCCTTCTCAACCACAGTGTAAGTTACAAGCAATTATTTTTCTGTCTCCTCAGTGTAATTACACTGTAATCTACAGGGACGTGTAATTGCATAGATGGGTTCTGTACTGAATTACGCAGCTCTCAGGGGCTATGTGAGATCCTGGGAGGCTTTTACCAGCTAGCAGCTGGGCGGTCTCTTTGTGTAAACCTGGTGGCCTGTATATGGGTTATGCTGGAGGGAGATTTGCATCCCAGATGTGATGTTGGGCTGCCAAGCAAACGGCCTAAGGGTTAGAGAGCCTGTCTGTTTGATATCCTGACCTCATCAAATGACCCCTTTACTTCCCATCCTCAGATTATGAAATGCCTTTAAAAAAAAAGGAAGCTCCTACGGAAGCAAAATTTTCATTGGTGGAAAATTTCTTTACGATTTAGAAATCTTTTATTTGTCATTTTCAGATTGCATGTACCTAATAAGTACAGAATGCTTTAAAATGTGCAAATCCTCATACTTACATCTGTGCCCAAAGAAAACAATGAATTGGTTTACGATGACAAAATGCTAAATAAATATTACACGTTTCTTTTTTTTTAACAAGAAACAAACATAACCTGTTAAATGCGTAACCTGATGATGTGATAATTTATTACTATTCCTAGTGTGTTAATCTGGAAAGGAGCAATCTTTAATTGTCAAGTTATTTGTCAAGTGCCTTCTAAGAGAGTCACTGAGGTGCCAGAGTTTGTCCAAATGGGAGTCAGAGAAATTCCCAAAGAGACCATTTTACAGCTTGGATGATCTAATTCTCTGAGAGGAAAGCAAGAATGACATAGGTAAAAATCATTTATTCCTTGTCTCACTGGCTGATCCTCTCCTAGGAGAGTTTACGTTTTCATTGGCATTCACTACTTGGCTTGATGATCTATTCAGGTTCAGGGACAGTGTGGGCAAATGCATGTTTTTCATGCTTCTTGTGGGTATGTATATATATTTCACTGCATGCCAGAATTCTTGTAAATTCAAAAAAAAATTTGTTTGGAACAAGAAGGTCTTCACTTAGGAAGAAGGTTTTTGGGAGAAGTCTGAGGAATTAGAGCCAAAGCGATGATATGTGATTGAATCCTGAAACAAAATTGTAAAATCCTTGCTTTAGCCTTTGGTGGGAACTTTCAAGTAAGTGTGTAGTTATATAATTCACTACCAGAACTTTCCCATAGATTTATAAATTTCTGGAGCTATTTTTCTAAAAGAATTTTGAATAAAAGGAGTGTATGATGAATTCAAAAAAATAGTCTTCTCCCAAATAAGGCTATTTTAAAAATTTGTATCTCAAATGGGCCTTTATTCAACAAATGGGGCATTTTTTTTTTGTTTTTGCTAATGTATATTATTTTTCCTTTACTATTCATTTGCCTTCTAGTATGTTTTTATGATTTATTTCTTTGGGAATAAACATTCATAGGTAGATAAAATGGATGGATAGATAGATATAGAAAAATAGTGAAATACTTCTGTTGAGTTTTATTATAATATATTTATAAGAGCAATGCTTCTAAATTGGCCACCTCTTTCACATATCATATTGTCTTAGTTCATTTTCTCTTGCTTATAACATAATATCCTAAACTGGGTAATTTAGTTTTAAAGAGGAATTTATTTCTTACTGTTGTGGAGGCTGAGAAGTCTGAAATTGAGGGGCTGCATTTGATTAGGTCCTTCTTGCTGGTGCGGACGCGCTGCAGAAGTCTGAAGTGGCACAGGGCATCCCACGGTAAGACGATGGAGTGTGCTAGCTCAGATCTCTCTTCCTCTTCTTATAAAGCCACCTGTTCTACTGCTGGGATATCCCATTAATCCATTAACCCATTAATTCATGAGTGGATTGACCCATTCTATAAAACAGAGGCCTCATGACCCAATCACCTCTTAAAGGGCACACTTCTCAGTACTGCCACATTGGGGATTAGGTTTCAACGTGAGCTTCAGAGGAGACAAATATTTAAACCATAGCAAATATCAATCACATGTCTTTGGTTCAGACTTTTTTTCCCCCAGAAATGGCTATCACAAAGTTCTCTGAATAATTGAAGATTTTAATGTATATCTTAATATTTAGTTACTTTAATGGCTTGCCATCACACACAGTTCTAAACATGTGATTGGCTTTACCTTGTAAGTCTTTAATTTCTTGTTGTGTAATGGTTTCCTTAGCCCTAAATTCATTCACTAATAAGTCATATGTTTTTTATTATTTTGTTTAAATATTATTTAATATTTAAATAATAATATTTTGATTATTACTCATTTTTTTTATTGTGGAAATGTGGCACTATCCACCTCTAACCTGGATGCTCAGCCTTATTTAGATTGTCATGGATTTGGGGTTTGGTGAAATGCTTTGAGTCTTTAGATCTTTTGTTTGATGGCACCAGCAAATTTAGGAACTCCAGTGACATAAATTAGAGATTCAGATGAATCTGATTTTGGCTTTGTGTGGTATATAAAGGTCAACTCTCTGCCGTCCACAGAGGAATTCAAGTATGCTCTAATTACATAAAAGGCAAATATCTCCCTATTTGTATAGACATTAAGGACTGAGACAAATGTAAGTTACACTCCCCCCAATCATGTTATTCTATAACTATGTGTCTTTTATAACTTGTGTAATTTATTGAACTGTCAACAGAAAAAGGTTTTTTTAATATTAGCCTATTAACTGATACCAAAAATCATAACTTCATAGCTTTCATACAAGAACAAGTTTATTTGCTTGCTCATCAGAGGTTCATTCCCAGTTTTACAAAACTCTTTCAACTGGAGAAACTTGAATTCAATATGCCTTATATTCTTTTTGTATATGTGTGAGTTTTTTCCATTTGTTTGATTGTTTTGTCTTTTTTTTCCTAGAGTTGGACTTTATGTTACTTCCCAATGACTTTAATTCACATCTGTAATTTGGGCTTGTTTCATTAGCCCAAATCAAAATAATATTAAAGCAAAATCAAAGGTATCTCAAACAGGTAGAAAAAGGCAGGGGCATATCTTGGTGACACTATCTAATGGGAGGAAGTATGGCCTTATGAGAAGAGAACATGTAATCTATGGCTGTGCTGCCCATGATGGGAGCCACTAGCCACACCTGGCTGTAGGACACTTGAACTGTGGCAAGTCCAAATTGAGATATGCTATAAGTGTCAAATATGCACTGACTTTGAAGATTTGGTATGAAAGAAAACATAAACTATCTCAATAATGAATAATTTTTAAAATTGTTACTCATTGCAATAATATTTCTGATATATTGGTTAAATCAGGCATATTATTAATAAGCATTCACCTGTTTGTTGTTATTATTATATAGCTACTGGAAAATCACATATGTTGTTAACATCATATTTGTATTGGACAGTGCTGGTTCTAAAGGTAAAATAAATGGACTTTATTGGAAGTCCTTGATTTTCTTGCCAGCACAGTTTGGCTCTGAATGAGACATATAATTATGAAAGTCCTCAGTTTCTTCATCTGTGAAATGGGGATAATAACACTTCCCACTTATTGACATAATAGGGGAATAGCTATAAGGATTAATGACCCAAAGCTTGTAAAATGTTGAGTTCTTTGGATCTTCTACAGTGAAACCAACTTTTTTTTTTTTAATTTCCCTGGGGACTGGACTATGTGAATAAACAAATAGAGTGCATGGGAAAACACCCACACACTCACATAACTTTGGCCCATTTTTCCCTTTAGTGCATTTATAGTGGCTACAAAGGGCAGGAAAAAAAGTCATAAGCTAAAAAATGCCAAACACGCTTCTGTCAGGTTTGGCTAAGCTATGTATGGCCTAAGTATCTACAATTCACACTGGGCCGATAATTGCTGAGGCTGTGAGGACATAGAGCGTGGTGGTTCATTTTACATTTATTTGGTATATTTGAAATGTTTGCAGTAAAAATGTGTAAGTAAATAATTATTATTCTACCCTATCAAATCTCTTTCTTTATTTTTTAGAATTTCTTTTGTGCTTTATTGTTGTATGCTGAAGATCTCCTTCACAATAAATTGAACACAAAGCCATTCTGCCAAACAAATGTTTTAGCCCTGAATTCAAGGTTAGAATAAGCCTTTCTCTCCCCATGATTTGAGAGCAAAAGGATCCCAAAACATGAATGAGTAAATGAATGAGGAGGAGTAAATAAATGAACCAGGAACAGTAAATAAACCAGGATCAATAAATGAAACACCTTAATTCCTGCTCCCTAACTTTTAATGTTTTAATAGTCAGGATTTAATTTTCTTGATATCTCTTTTCCTATTTGAATCCAAGGATTTTGTCTTTTCCCCAGTCTCAGAACTGATGATGTGGATATGAGACATGCTTGTTTTTAAGCACGACAGAGCTTTATGCTGCCAAGATGGATCCAGGTTCTTCCTGAAACACAGGAAGCACAGAGTATTTTCATCCTCTGAAGAGGCAGCCTCCTGACCCGCTGGAGCCAGTGCAGTCATGCTGAGTGGTCTATGTTTTCCTCTTCCTTTGCTTTGTACAACGGGGAAGTCTTGTTTGATGTCTAAATATGAGGATGCTCTAACTCTGGCATGCCTGCCAAGGCCTGAATTTGTATCCGTAATTGTCACATCCTTTATTAGGAGCAATGTACTTGCACCATTGTGATAGGTTTTTTGGGGCGGAATAAATCGATGTCAGCAATTATATTCATGCATCTATCTTAGGCATTTAGCTGAAATATCCTTCAAAGAATGGCAGCACTAGTTAAGAATAGCAATTAGACAAGAGAAGTCTATCTTCTCTTGAATTAGTCGATAGAATATTGCGAGTGTGTGATATAACACTAGAATAATAGCTTGAAGCTATACAGTTAAGTGATGATAATCATATACCTTAGCCAAGAGTTCTAAGAAAATTCAAGAGACAATCTAATTGTGTCCATTGTCTTCTAGTAAGCAGGTAACTATCCTCATTTTACAAATGAACCCTAAGGTTTGGAGAAGTTAAGTGACTTGACTGAGCCACACAGGTTATTGGGGGTGAAGGTGGGTTGGGGGCAATACTGAATTTATCTTTGCGAGAAAGTATGTCATTTAAGGACATTAAGGAGAGTAGTGATTGTAAACAGAAGAGTAGCTATTGAACAAACCCAGCCCTTGTCTAACTCTTAGAACAAATGAGAATGTGTTAGAGAAATTAAAGCTGAGCAACTGTTTCACCAAATGGGAAGAACTTCTGGGGCTTAAACAATCCCCTACCTTGGTGCTGTGGCATCCTGGAGGTCCAGTGAGTGAAGAAGATGCTTCAGGGTCCAGCCACATGTACCAGCCAGGACTGCTCTGCCTGGCAAGCAATGTGAAAGAGCACTAAGCCTGGTAGTGCAGCCGTGCCTGGAGGGGTGGGCTTGGGTCAATGTCAGCATCAGTGGAACCCACAGTGCCCAGGAAGCACAGTGACATCAAGGTCCCCAGCACGCCACATCAGATGAGTGGCAGAGGAGCCACGGGGAATAGAAATGCGTAAGCACGTGTGATATTCTACATGGTCAGCTTTGTAGGGGCCTGGAGAAGAGGCCTGAGAATGCATGTGATAACCAATACTTGTGTCTGTTGGTAGTGACTGATCAAGTTAAGACATATACAAAGTTGAGATAGTAGCAAAAACTCCCCCAAAATACCTCGGTCTATTTGGGGGTATGGAAAGAGGGAACTTGAAGGTCCCAGGGACAGTTTTACAAAAAAAGGCAATTCTGTTTCTCAGTTTGTTTTCTACTGAAAGCAGAACCAAGGAAAAGATTTGAATGCAAGTTGATTTATTGGGCAGTAGGTCTTAAATATTAATGAGTACAGGTGAGACAAGGAAGAGAGATGGACAATGTAAAGGTGTCTTGTCTAGGTTTCCTCTGTAGGCAGTGGGACTTGGTTCCACCAGGAGTTCCCAATAAATGGACATAATTCCTTCCAGAACTGTCCACATGAAAGAAAACTGGAGTGCTTTCCACTGGCTCCCATCCCCATTGGTGGAGAGTTTCCTCTAGGGGCTGTGCATACACCTGAAAGCCAGCATTAGGGAATTTCCTGGCGCAGAGAGCTAAAGGACACATGCTTGCATGCTTGAGGTTGGACCACGTGGGGAATAGGTAGGTCTGAATTCACTTGGAAATCTCCAAAGCATATTCAGCTGCCCTGGGAGCCCATTGAGCCATGGGTAGGGGCAGAAGCACCAGATGCATTTGCTGTAGAAGGTGGTGAATCCTGTGACTGTTGGTAGACAAAAGATTGAAATGGACACAGAGAAGAGCATTTACAAAGGCTCGATGACATGAAAGAGCAAGGATGACTTTATAAATTTAAGCAAGTCTGTGATGTTGGAGCATAGGATGAGTAAAGTGGCGAGTCCAGATAAAGGTGTATATCATAAGCAGAAGACAAACCGTGAAGAGCCTCAGAGTCATTCTATGGAGTTTAAGTTTTATTTTTCTGGAACTCAGAGTCTAAGTCAATGGTATCCTAAGTGGAATTTCTTAAATATCTATTTTTGATGTTAAAAGGAAAGAAATTGAGCTTGACAACTCTTTAATATATGGCTGAACTATAGCACTTTTCTTCAGTCAAGGCACTCCAGAGTTAGGTGCCACATATGAGTAACGGGGATCTTGTTGATAGGGTGGGAGAATCCCAGGGTGGCATAGCCATGAGAAACACCCTCCCTATTCACCCACAGAGCCATTTTGATGTGTTGTTCGTTAGGTGCACCTGGTTAGGCGGAACCTTGGATTTAATTATTGGTTTTCATTGAAATTCTTCTCACAAAATGGACAAATGCTTTGAAAAGGATTTCTGCAAAGAACCATGATCATGAAGAGAATACCAATGAAGCAATAATGAGAAAACAGCAGCACCAGTACACTGACTTTTATCCTACTCTTAGGGTAATTTCTTCATTAATCATATCATGATGTTATAAACAATGAAATTAACAAGTATGGCAAGAAGTAGGTCCAAAAACAGCAGAAAATTAGAAATGATCAAGAAGACTATGTGAGGTATGGGTTAAAATGG
The DNA here is from genome assembly GCF_000001405.40 of Homo sapiens. Lineage (NCBI taxonomy): Eukaryota > Metazoa > Chordata > Mammalia > Primates > Hominidae > Homo > Homo sapiens. The sequence continues at coordinate 11,083,575 of NC_000020.11, forward strand.
TGATTACTGAGGATATAATTCAGGCCACACCTTAATAGAACATTGTTTCTTGAGATGTTAGCTATCAATAGTGTGAAGCCATTTTAGATATCAAGCTATTTAGAAATAGGATATTACTTCAAATTCTTTTTCATGTTTCTATTTTTTTATTATTTAAATCACACATATAATATACTAGTATTTGTATATAATTTATAAACAAATACATGCGCATATACATAGACAGGTCTACACACACACACACATATATATATTTTTTGTACTTTGGGAGGTGATTTCAGGAAGGACACATGAGAAAGTGAGGAAGTGAGACAGGGAAGAGGGAAATGCCCATAAAGAGTGTGGGCACAGTGGGCAAGAAGTGCTTGATCCTCTTGGAGACTATTGAAAGAACCATGTAGAATGCATCCCAGAATTGCTCACTAAGCGCTAGTAAACTGTTGGGTTACTTTGCACTGACTCACATCCCTTATTGGTTTACCCATGAAGCATTTAATCACCAGGTAATCACTGGCTTTTCCAAGCTTCTGCTACGTGAGGCTGTTCAAGATTCCTCTACCCAGTGGAAAGAGAGACTTGGGGAAAGCTTTCAGGCAGCAAGAAGAGGACACAGTGCCTGCTGAGAGAAGAGGTGTCAGCTTGCTGCTGGGTACTCTCCCACACTCAGATAAAAACAGAGCTGGATCAAATGGATGTGGGGTGGAGCATCAATAGCATCAACTACAAGCTTCATCAATATTCTAAGTGAAGGAGGTATCTTAGAACGGACATGTGGTAGGTAGAGGTGTGAGCCACTGCACCCGGCCCCAGCAGACACAAGCTATCTTGTAAACTTAGCACTTTGGGAGGCCAAGGCAGGAGGACAAGTTGAGCCAAGGAGTTCAAGACCAGCCTGGGCAACATAATTGAGACTCCCATCTCTACAAAAAATTTAAAAGTTAGCTGGGCATGGTGACTCATGCCTGTAGTCTCAGCTATGAGGGAGGCTTAGATGGGAGGATAACTTGAGCACAGGAGTTCAAGGTTACAGTGAGATATAATGGCATGACTTCACTCCAGCCTGTGACAGAGCAAGACATTTCTCTGAAGAGGAAGAGGAAGAAGAAGAAGAAGGAGGAGGAGGAGGAGGGGAAAGAAGGGGAAGGGGAAGAGGAAGAGGAAGAAGAAGAAGGAGAAGAGGAAGAAGATGAAAGGTGAAAGGTTTGGACAGCAGTGTGATGATGGTGTTTTGGAGGAATAAGAGGCTGGAGACTGGGAGACCTCTTAGGAAGAGGTTGTGATAATCCACATGAACAGTGGAAATGTATCAAAGGGGCAAAATCTACAGATATGTATGGGCCGAAGTATAAAGGGGCTGGTAGCTGATTTGATTGCTGGAGGGTGAAAGAAGAAACTGAAGGATGAGCCTCCTATTTTGACTTGAGTGACCTGGTTTATAATGGCACCAAAGGGCAGAAGCAAGTCAAGGTGGGACCCTATGATGAGCTCAGGGTAAGCAGGTTTGGTGTGACCCATCAGAGGCTATCTAGGAACATATTGCTACTAGAGCATTGAATAGAGGTATCAGGAATCCAATAAAGAGTTCCCACATTAAAAAAATGAGGAAACTGGGCTGGCTCATGCCTGCAATTCCAACATTTTGGGAGGCCAAGGCAGATGGATCACCTGAGGCCAGGAGTTCAAGACCAGACTGCCAAACATGGTGAAACCCTATCTCTACTAAAAATACAAAAATTAGCTGGGAGTGATGGTGGGTGCCTGTATTCCCAGCTACTTGGGAGGCTGAGGCACGAGAAGCACTTGAACCCAGGAAGCAGAGGTTACAGTGAGCTGAGATCATGACACTGCACTCCAGCCTGGGTGACAGAGTGAGACTCCGTCTCAAAAAAAAAAAAAAAAAAAAAGAGGAATCTGAATTTGTATGACTTTTAAGATTCTTTTATTATTAAGTTTAATAATTAATATCCTAACTCCAAATTACCATAACCGCCTCTCATTATAGATTTGTCAATTCAGGAGTTAGGCCTGGAAAAAGCACTCATCAAAATGATTAATATCACTTTAAAGTGAAAATATTTTCTCTATATATTTCAACATAATTAAAAAGATGTTTCAACCTGCTGAATTGAAAAATAGCAGCTTCAGTTACAGCATATCAAAGATAATTGAATCCTTATTCAATTATTGGAGCCTAATACAAATTAAAAAAACCTTGCTTTTTTAAAATTTTGTTAATTTGTCCACAAAAACATGATTTAATTTTGTTAACCTTGATGGTGCTATGTATTATAAATCCTTCTCAAACTTTTGTATGTGCACAATTATTATTCTCATGGGGAATCTTATTAAAATCTAGGTCTAATTCAATGGGTCTGGAGTGAAGCCAGAGATTCTGCATTTATAGCTCCCAGGTGATGGTGATATTCCTGATTCAGAGGTTTATAGGATATAAAATAAACAAAATGAGATGTTCATGCAATCAGATTTTCTTTTGAAAAAAGACAATTGGCTGATTTTTCAGCAATTCATCTACCTGCATCCATTTTCTCTTGCTGTGAGTTGAGGTAATCGTCACCGGCTGCCATGGACCTTATTGTAAACCCTGTGGCCATGTGAACCTGGGAGATCAGAGAGAAATTCACAGAGTATGTATGTAACAGAGTGATAAAAGAAGAGAAATATTGAAAACTATAAGATAAGAAGTAGGAACAGATGAATGATGCATGGAAGAAAATAAGCAAAGATGCAACTTTATTTAATATTTACTATTTTTGGAAAACCATTCTAAGTTTATTTCCTGTGAGTTGATGGGGAAAGGAGAAAGGATGGAAGAATTAGCAAGCAAGAGAACAGCAACTGCCCAAGAAATACAATTCCAGGTATGCTACCTATTGATTCCCAAAAGGTAGTTTTTAACTGGCATTGAAGTATACGAGATTTACTGGCCCTGTTTACTACAAGGAAGATTCTTTTTCTTTGTCTTTAGAGATTCTTAATCCAGCTCACTGCAGTGGGCCACAGTCTAATGCATTTTAAATTAGCACCTTAAATATGTGTTGATTTGGAGCATAGTTTGAGAAACACTGCTAAGGCCACAGGAGAAAGGGAATATATTGCCAAATATTTGAAGCCAGGAAGATATACTGGAATCTGCAAAAAAGCACTTTGGGAAATACAATTTAAAAGGGCTTCCAGAAAAAAGATGTAGGCATTATTATTGGGTTAGCACTAGAGACCAGCACAAGCTTCTTACAGGAGTTTAAGATGGTGTTTCTCAAATTTAATTTGCAAACAAATCACCTGGGGATCTTGCTAAAATGCAGACTATGACTCAAAAAGTCTGGCAGGCCTGAGATTCAGCATTTCTCATAAGCTCCTAGATGATGTTGATGCTGCAGCAAGGATTTAAATAATGAGATGAAAGAAATTTGTTAAGTACTAGAAGTCTGGCCATTTAAAATTTTCTTGGAGGAAATAAAGTAATGCTGGCTGACATTTGCACTCATATCATTAAACAGACAATAATAAGACATATTCGTTTATCAGTTTACCATGGGACAGTTGCTAAGAATGCCAAGAGACGGGGCTAAAGAGTGACGCAATGATCAAAGTCAGCGCAGATGGTCTTGGAGTGTAGATGGGGCAATATGTGTGTAGCCATCGCCAGATAGAGGGAGGTGGGGGTAATTTTTGACAAATTAGCAGTTATTGAAAGTCACTAGATAGAACACAGCCTCCATGCCTTCCCCTCTGGCAATCCCTGTTTCTGGTTTAGCTGCCATAGATCAATAAAATATGAGTGTGATGGGGCAAAGAGCAAACACAAATCTCTAGTGTCCCAAAGCTAACATGAATAGAAAGGGGATCCTGAGGTCTGTAGAGTCATAAGAGAGTTGACAGAGAACAAAGTTGCTCACAGAATCAATGGAACTCTTATTCAATTTCTTGCTTAGGAAAAAGAAGCCCATAGAAAGAGCCGGTTTTCTGTAAGTGAATGTCTTAAGAGATACTCATTGTCTTAGTCCATCGGTGTTGCTATAAACGGCTACCTGAAGCTGGGTAATTTATAAAGAAAAGAAGATTATTTGGCTCATGGTTCTGCAAGCTATGCAAAAAGCATGGCACCCCACACTTACATCCAAAGAGAACCTCAAGCTGCTTGCACTCATGGTGGAAGGTAAAGGGGAGCCCAAGTGTGTGCAGAGATAACATGACAAAAGAGAAAGCAAGAGAAAGGGGGAGGTGCCAGGCTCTTGTTTACAACCAACTGTCTTAGGAACTAATAGAGTGAAAACTCACTCAATATCCAGAGGACAGCAAAAAGCCATTCATGAGGGATCCTCCCCCATGACCCAAATCCTCCCCCAGCTCATTTAGGCCTCACTTCCAACACTGGAGATCAAATTTAAACATGAGGTTTAGGGGAACAAACATCCAAACTATGGCAATCCCTCAAAGAAGTGAAAGTAAGAGAATTCAGTTTTCTTGCTTGATTATTTGGTCTTTTTGAGATTCTAACCAAATAAACATGCAAAGGTGGATGAGTTTGAGGTAGACAGTGGGGGCAGCCAGTAAAAACAACTAGGGCCATTAAGAAGAGATAATCAATAAACAGAACTGAAGAAAAAAATACAATGGAGAGAAAGACAACACTAAAATAATTTACACAGATATATAGACCAATGGAACAGAACAGAGGCCTCAGAAATAACGCCACACATCTACAACCATCCGATCTTTGATGAACCTGACAAAAACAAGCAATGGGGAAAGGATTCCCTATTTAATAAATGGTGATGGGAAAACTGGCTAGCCATATGCAGAAAACTGAAACTGGACCCCTTCCTTACACTTTTTACAAAAATTAACTCAAGATGGATTAAAGATTTAAACATAAGACCTAAAACCATAAAAACCCTAGAAGAAAACCTAGGCAATACCATTCAGGACATAGGCATGGGCAAAGACTTCATGACTAAAGCAATGGCAACAAAAGCCAAAATTGACAAACGGGTTCTAATTAAACTAAAGAGCTTCTGCACAGCAAAAGAAACTATCATCAGAGTGAACAGGCAACCTACAGAATGGGAGAAAATTTTTGCAATCTATCCATCTGACAAGGGGCTAATATCCAGAATCTACAAGGAACTTTAACAAATTTACAAGAAAAAAACAGCCCCCTCCAAAAGTGGGTGAATGATATGAACAGACACTTCTCAAAGAAAGACATTTATGCAGCCAATGAATATATGAAAAAACCTCTTCATCACTGATCATTAGAGAAATGCAAATCAAAACCACAATGGGATACCATCTCCCACCAGTTAGAATGGCAATCATTAAAGAGTCAGGAAACAACAGATGCTGGAGAGGATGTGGAGAAATAGGAATGCTTTTACACTGTTGGTGGGAGTGTAAATTAGTTCGACCATCGTGGAAGACAGTGTGGTGATTCCTCAAGGATCCAGAACTAGAAATACCATTTGACCCAGCAATCCCATTACTGGATATATACCCAAAGATTTATAAATCATTCTACTATAAAAACACATGCACACCTATGTTTACTGCAGCACTATTCACAAAAGCAAAGACATGGAACCAACCCAAATGCCCATCAATGGTAGTCTGGATAAAGAAAATGTGGCACATCTACACCATGGAATACTGTGCAGCCATAAAAAGGATGAGTTCATGTCCTTTGCAGGGACATGGATGATGCTGGAAACCATCATTCTCAGCAAACTAATATAGGAACAGAAAACAAACACCACATGTTCTCATTCATAAGTGGGAGGTGAACAATGAGAGCACATGGACACAAGGAGAGGAACATTACACACCAGGGCCTGTTTGGGGGTGAGGGGATAGGGGAGGGATAGCATTAGGAGAAATACCTAATGTAGATGATGGGTTGATGGGTGCAGCAAACCACCATGGCATGTGTATACCTATGTAACAAACCTGCAAGTTCTGCACATGTATCCCAGAACTTAAAATATAATTAAAAAAATTAAAAAGCAAAGATAAAATTAGGGTTATGGCATCTAAATGATTAACGGATCCACAAAAATGGCAAAACAATAAGGAAATAAACTTCAGTTACTGCATGCTGGTATATAACTGAGAAAAGATAAGTCAGTTCTTATCAATAAGTTCATTAAGCTTGTGAAAATAGAAGCAAGTATTTAGAACAGGAACAGAAGTATTCTCCATTTATATCTAGGTAACCGCAGCAAGATATTTTATACAGTGTGAGAAGTCAGTGTGGAACTCCCTACCCAAAACATTTGAATTAAAAATTGAAGATGTCATCGTATTAAAAAAAGTGAGTAGCTATGACCATATGTCATTTGTCAGAGTGTAACTATCCTTTGCTTGTTATCTTATGGGTTCTTTTCAAATCCTTATTCTGAAATTAGGAATGTGCTTCCCTGATAATAGAAGTAGCCCAAAGTTTCCCAACTAAATTATCTTCTTCTAAACATGTTGATATGAAAATATTTTCTCACTTATCTATGCTGATATCTTTCTGAAATCTTGTAAATAATGAATGCCAAAGAACAAAAGCTATGAATTGGAACCTAACAGAAATGAAAATAGCTTTAAATGTGAGCTTTTGAATCAACATTTTAATCTAATACATAAAGTTACTTTAAAAAAAAAACAAAAGAAACACAAAAATATTTGGAAAAAAGTGATAGTTTCCAAGAATACTCCTCTAACCAAATTTTGGAAACATTTTTCTCTGCATTTTAAAAGACAATCTTTCAGTTCTATATCTGCAGTATAACTTAAAATGTTGTTTTACTGTTTTTCCAGAAACATTGCCATTTCTTTTCAGTGTAATAGTTTTAATTAATTCTCTTATTCATAAGTGTCATGTATTTTAAGCTGACACTTCCAGGAAGTTTTTAGAAATTTAGACAGATCAGTTATGAAGAAATTTGAGATTTTAAAATTATTATTATTTTATATACTTCTGTGGAACCATTAAATATGCTTAAATTCCTTCAAGGTTAGGATGTTTGAAACAACTTTTTGAACATTTTGTAAAATTAAATAGAATTGCTCTTCTAGAAAATTTTATCAGATCAATTTTTTTTCCAAAATGTGTAATATATCTGAGTTATAAGTATCTCATAATTTTACCCTCCTAATTTCTCATTCTGGCCTGTTAGCAATCAATATTGATGTGTATTTAATAGTGTGAATATGCTAACAAATTAAAAGGAAAAGATGGTCTCATTCTTACCTCATATGAATTCATTAAATACCTTCTTATGGGCATTGCTGTGCCAGGTGCATTGCAAAATGAGTTAATCAGTCATGGTCTGATGATCAGATCCTATAATCAGTTTACAGAAATGTGTTTCGTAGCACAGCAACAGGATAAGTCTGAAAACAGTTCTGCCCTAAACATTGGATCTAAGCAATGTATTCTTACTACTACTGCCTTGGTGCTTTTGGCTCATTGATTTATTCCATAAACATTGGCATGTCCTTGAGTCAACCCTGTACTAGGCTCTTGCATATGAAATAGTGCTAGGATGAGTTCATATTTCATGGGGATTGATCAACAACAAATAATTAGACTTAAATGCATTGAGTGTTATTGTAAGTTAGCTATAAAATGCTGGGAAAAGTCAGAGAAACCTAACCTCATCTAGCAGGATCCCTCTCAATGGGACTGTCATGTAAGAAGAGTTTTGAAGAGTAAATAAAAAATGTGTTAGGCAGAGAAGGGGGAAAAATAAGCTATCCAAAGGAACAGAGATATAATACCACATCAATTGTCAAGTTTTGGAGGAAAGCTAGTGTGGGTATAGCATACCGATTGGGAAGCGAAAGTGATAAAAGCTATGGCTATGTAATAATCAGGGCTTAGATCACAGAAGGAATTCTATACCAGTTATATAAGTGAGAGTTTTGAGGTGCATACAACGCAATTCAAAATCAGTGCCATGGAAACCCAGGGAGGAGAGAGTTTCAAAAAGGAAGGGGTGGAAAAGTATGACAAACTATGCTGAAAGAATAAGTAAAATGAAACTTGGAATTGGACCACAGGATTTATCAGTGACTAAATCTCTGTTACCATAGTGATAGAATAGTCTGTAAGACAGTGATTTTCAAGTTGTGACCCACATGTCAACATCATCCAGAAGCTTGTTAAAAATGCAGAATCTTAAGCCCATTTCAGAATTACTGTGTCAGAAATTCAGGAATTAGGGCCCAAGATCTGTCACAGAAACCCTCCTGGAGATTGTTATGCAAGCTAATATTTAAGAACCACTTCTTGAGTGTGACTAAGAAAAAAGAAGACTTTTTTGTGGCTTGGGTTTGAAAGAAGTAAGGTCAAAAAGAGTAGCCTGCCCTTTCAGAAAGTTTGTCAGAAAAAAAAAAAAGTACAAAATGGTAGTTTGGGGAGGGGGTGGTATTAAGGAAGCATAGGAACCCATCATCTATTTTGTTTATTGATGGTTTTTAATTTTTCTAATGGTGTTTTTTTTTAAATTCACTTAAGTTTTAATTCTTTCAACAGTCAAGTCTTCTGAGTTTTTGTGGTTATTTTTCATTGCAAACTTATTCACATGTATTTCCATATTTTCTATTCCTTTGCCTTTTTTCTTTACTTCTTTTTCATATTTAAAAATATACATCTGGAATTTATTTTACTCATCACTGGAAAGAGTGGCTCTAATGTGATATATTCTTCCCCTAAAAGCTAATTTCCTCAAGATTGTTTATTGACTATTCTATCCCTTACTCAATGTTATGAGCCATTTCCTGTATCAGATTTTAAGTTCTTATATACATTGGATGCCTTTCACTGTGGTAGACAACTCCATTATTTTTGTCTTCTCCTGAGCAGAGATGCCGCAGTATTACCTCCTGCTAAGTTTGTGATCAGTTAAATCCCCAGGTTGTTTCTAAATTAATTATTTCAATTATTCAGTTCTTATGTGGATATCAGTATAGATACAATTTTTCATTTCTTATATTCAATTCTTATGTGGATATCATTACAGATAATAAGTATAAAATATTTAAACCTGATTTAAAGCTGGGGATAAATTTCAACTCTAGGTCAGTGATTCTCAAAGACCTAGGCTTCATCTCATTTCAGGGACCCTGGGTCTCTGTCTTCTGTATTAGCTCTTGAGGTAATTCTGTTACTCATGGAAGTTGGAGAAACACTGCTCTAGGTGCTTTCAGATTTTTTTTCATTTTATTATTATTATTATTATTATTTGCTATTGTGAATACCTGAATATAGTTGGAGCAGTTAAGCCAGTCTTCAAAGTCTTACTGAGACCCAGACCTACTTACACAGAGACGACCATATTTGCCTCAGTACTTGAATATATGTTTTTTAAAAAGTGATTCTTAGACTGAATTATCCAGAGAGAACATCAATTCTTTATCTTCCTATGACAATAGCTGCCTTGAGTAATTCTAATGGCTTTTCTAATTTGAAATAATTAACAATCATAATCAGATCAACATTTTGGAGTAATTGGCTTGTAATTGCTTCTGACAATTAGGGGTTGGGAGATGGATAAGATTTAGAGATGGACTGTATTTATAAAATCTGTGAAATTAAAATTGCCTCTAAGGTAGGATTTGAGTTCTAGCCATATTGATATACAGTGAGTAGGGTAGTGCTTATCTCTTGATTTATGTCTCTTAAACCCAGGTTCAACATGGATGTCTACCAGTTTTTACTGTACAATGTAGATATATTTGATTAAAACATATTTTTACTCGTAAAATATAAAAAACTATAAAATATTAGCATTCTATGTAGTTTATTTTAAAAACTATTTTCCATGTTAGAGGGAAGGGGTAATTTTCTGGTATGGAAAGACATCGGGTTTTCAAATATTTATCAAATATACATCTTTTAGCAAAACTTAAACACATTTGACCAAATAGGTTATTTTTTCCTAGAGTATTTTAAACCATATATATTTGAAGGCAAAATTAATCCATCTGCTTCTGATTTCTTTACACTAAACTAAAAATTGCCATTTTAAAGATCAATTTAACAGTTGTGAAATCCTTTGAGAATTTTTTTATGCGTGTGAGAAAGTTAAAAAGACCTTTGAACCAGAGATTGATAGTAAATAAAGCATAAATATTAAGGTCTGTAGTTTGGATTTTGGAAACAAAGGTATTGTTAATATCTAAACATGGGGAAGGGACATGGGGGAGGAGTTGGGAAAACCCCTTTATCCAACTTCCTGAGAACGCCTAAGCATTGTTTCATCTTTGTATAAGGTATCGACAGTAGATATTTTAAAATAGAGTTCTGCTCAGTCACAACATTAAGTTTCTTATCTTCAGTTTTCAAAGGAAGCATTTCTTTCTCTTCTCCACCTTTTTTTTGGATGAATGCCACCATAGGATCTTCTGGGAAGTCACCTCTCCTCCCCACACCTCCAGGGCCTCTTATCCCAAAGCCTAACCTACCAGCAAGAGATACCTATAAAGGGTTTGGGTTGAGTATTGGAAAGTGCCTAAAAAGGAAAATCCAAAACTGTAAATGTACAGTATTATTAAGGCAAAGGATTTTTAAAAACCTGTGAAGTAACTTATTTTTCTAAAGTACTATAGATTTCCAAAGTGCTTGCCAATAAACTTTCTCATTATAGTGGCTCTAATAATGAGTGCTGACATGTGACTTAACTGGTAGAGGGCTTTAATGGCAATTGAAAGAATATTTAGTACTTGGCCCATCTTTACACTGTATTACATTTGGCACTGCGTCACCAGCTATAAAGTCTAGGATAATCCTATTGTTACATCAAATTGAAAATCCAATTTGCCTCCAACAACAAAGCACTGTTACATGTCTATGCCTCTTTGTAGGTGTCTTAGAAATGTATGCCTTAAGTACAATGATGTTGTGTTGAAAAGCATTGAATTAATGGTTCAGGGACTTATACAACCCACTCTAAATAAAATCCTCTTATCATTTCTGAATCACAAAGTCAAAATTTTATCCATTTTAACAAATGCTTCATGGATGACTGCTACCTTTTTAAACGGACAATTTGCTATGAATTATAACCGAATTGAACATAATATCTCAGACATTAGCACTTTCCATATTACACTGACAAAATTCCTGATATGTGCTGTGATGTGGTTTTAGTAAAGAATATATTTCTATTTGTTAGATTGAAATCCTTTCTTAAAGTCCCCTAGAACTGTCAACTCTCCCAGGCTCACTGAGTATCTGTGACATGTGAATAGTTCAATATGTGGTATGGTCATTTCCCTATTCTAAAGGTCACCTGGTGAATAAAACCATTTAGTTAAAAAAGGCCATTGAAAATACACATAACTCTCTCATAATGCTAGGAAAACACTAAACAGCAAAAGGATATGGGCCACATAATAGAGTAAATGTCATGAGTTCAGTATTTAAAATGCGCTCTATTCCTAATGTATTACACTTTCAGGAAGTGTTTGATGGACTGATATATTTACTTCGTGGTTTTCTTCTGAGTATAAAGATAAGTTATTCTTTTTTTTAACAAAAAAAGTTCCCAATGATGTGAATTCAGTCAAAGAGGGAGAAAGTTGTGGGTAAAGTTACAACCTTCACTTTATAGATGTGTTATTTTCATAAAGTCATGGTCAGTAACCCAACTATTCCTTGCAAAAGCATATTTTTCCTTCTGCAGCTAGTCTTACGCAAACGTGAAATATTCAACAACCTTGATGTCATAAACCTTTGCTGCCATTATTAGTAAGCACAAGTTTTAGAGTTATATTTTATTAATGATAGGCCTTTTAATAACAGAAATAGACTATAAAATGGTGTTTTTAAATTAAACAATTAAGTTTTGGATACTCGCTAGCTACACATCTTCTGAAAATCAATTTATTTTTGTGAGCATTTCTTGCAGTTTTTCTTTAATAGAACAAGGGAAGTTTTCATGACAGTACAAGTCTTCATCTATCTCCAAAGACTTCAAGTTTAATTCAAGAATAGATTAAAGACATATACTTCAAATTAAGTTATAAGATTTGGGTATTTAAAACACTTTACAGTGGAATAATGAGTCTTATTTTTTCATCTCACTTGTAAACTTGTCTTGTCATTCAAAGTTGAAAGTATAGGGACTTTACATAAATGTACAGGATGTTGCCATTGTTTAAAATAATCTTGGCTTCCTTTTATGAACTCATATTTTGTCTCAGGTGTGATTATTTATCTCAGCCTAAACGTGATTATTTGTCTCAGCCTAAACTTGATGCAAATCACCTTCTGGGAGGCAGATTTGACCTTTGAAAAATAGAAAGATGATTGAATGTGAAGTCTGGTCCCTAAGGTAGGTTAACAAATTGGGTAAGGCTAATTTTCTTTAAAAAAGAGGTAAGTGCCTGTCTGTTTCTTCCATGGCTCACAACTAGGATGCTTGACTAATTTAGATTGATTAGGTGTTCAATCAATAGTTTAGACAAAAAAGTCGGCTTTTACTCTGAGTGAACTGGGAATGAATGAATACATGAATTCAACAAATATTGATTGAGTGCCTAATATGTGATGGGCACACTTCTAGATGTTGAGCACAAAAATGTTCTGTACAAAAATCTTTGCATGTTCAATGTTTACATCCTAGAGGGAAAGAGGAAAACAGGTAAATAGGATAAATAAATACCATAAAGAGTAGATTAGGAGAAAATGTGGGAAGAGAGGATAGGTCACATTAGAGAAGTATTGCAATTTTAGGCACTGTGGTCAAGAAAGGTCACAGAGAGAAGAGTGAGCCAGGTATTTGAGTCAGGGCATGAGGAAGTGAGGGAGGAGCCATGCAGATTCTGGGGAACAAGCTTTTCATGTGAAAGCAGCTGGCACATGGAAGAACTCCTACAACCTGGGCAGAGTGAAAGAAGGTAAGAAGAGTAGGAGGCAGGGAGGGGGATCACGTAGGGCCTTATGGGTCAATGAAAGGACTTTGGTTTTTAATCTGAGTAAATTAGGAAGGCTTTAGCTTCTGGAAGAGTTTTAATAAACAAGTGTTGTGATCACATTGATGTTATGTTGTGTTATGTTATATGTAGTTTATTTATTTTTAAAGATGTAGGGGATACAAGTGCAGTGTTTTTTTACATGGATATATAACATCGTGGGGAAGTCTGGGTTTTTAGTGCACTCATCACTTAAATAGTGAACACTGTACCCTACAGGTAATTTTTCAACTCTTACCTCTCACATTTTTTAGTCTCCGGTATCTATTATTTGCTTTTCTAAGTCCACATATACCCATTGTTTAGCTTCCACTTATAAGTGAGAATATGAAGTATTTGACTTTCTGCTTCTGATTCATTTCGCTTAGGATAATAGGCTCCAGCTCCATCCATGTTGCTACAAAATACATGATTTCATTCATTTTTATAACTGAGTAATATTCCACATATATATATATCACCTTTTCTTTATCCACTTCTCTGTTGGTGGACACTTAGATTCCATGACTTTGCTATTTTGAATAGTGCTACAGTAAAGTCGATAAAAATATATACAGGGGAAAGGACACCCTCTTCAATAAATAGTGCTGGAAAAATTAGATTACCATATGCAGAGGAATGAAACTGGACCGATATCTCTTGCCATATACAAAAATTAACTCAAAATAGCTAAAATACTTCAACGTTAGATCTGAAAGAAACCCTAGAAGAAAACCTAGGAAAAACTCTTCTGCTCATTTACCTTTTAAAAGGATTGCTCTGGCTGCCATGTTGAGAATACACTAGAGGGAGGCAAGGGGAAAAGAAGTTAGGCCAGTTCCAAAGCTACTGCAATAATTCTGGTAGAGCCGATGGTGGATTCGACGTGTGGGAAGTATCAGTCAGGCCCCCAACAACAAACAGGTGGTATGCTTGAATTTTGACAATTCAAAATAGGAATTTTGTCTGTTTTACGAAGAAGTTAACTACAGAGTGTGGGTGGGGAATAGAGGAATCATAAGGGATAGTGTGGGGATAACACAAGCTGCTTATCTCTTACTATGCTTGGGCCAAAAGGGATAAGGGAGGAAAATAGTTCCAGAACCTGACAGCAGGAGAAAGTGTGTAGAGAAGATCCCCTTGAGAGGCGCAGGGACACAGCCATCCTGGGCTGATCTCACAGAGTGAGCCAGTATGGTAGACACCATGACATCACCTTCTTCCTTCCACCTCATCTTCTGTCAAGGTCAAGGCTTTCCACTGGCTAAACCCAACTAGGAGTCAGAGGGAAGGGAACCACTGATATTCTTACAAGGTCTGTGTGCTGGAACGGAAAGCAGGATGCAGCATAGTGAAAAGCACATCTGGTCTACTCCTCTTTTTCTCAGGTTTTTCTCTTCCCTTTCATCTGGGTGAAAAGGTTGTGCCTTCTACCCAGGGACTACATGAAACCCCATCAGATATCACATCACTGTAGATGTTATCTATCCAGTAATCCTCCTATCTACCATTTAAATGGATAACCATCACTCACATTTTCATATAAGGTGGTGGTGAACTCAAGGATAAAGAAAATAAATAAGACATAACTACTACAGTCTTTGCTTCTGTACTTGGTGATGAGCCAAAATTGGTAATCACTATTGCCTCCTGTAAGTCAGTACATATTTCCTTTACCATTACCAACCTTACCATATGCCAATGCCATATACATAATCCATGTTCTTTACCAGGTAGCGTGACTAAAGACATTGTTTGTAGAAGATATGAGTTCTTGGTGGTCTTGTCTTTTTTGGGTTGCCAGTTTTCCATTGGCCAAAAACTTTTGGCTAAAAGAGTACTAACAGGTACTCCACTGAATGCATATGCCCTTCAAACAGTCTTCTTACCCACACTGTATTAGACTCAATGGTACAAGGGACCACGTGGCCAGGGTGAAGTCTCAGTTTCCAAATCATTGAGTTATTGATCATTTTTTCCTGGTGGAATCATTCCTGCCTTGGATCTCAAGACCTCTAAGCACAGTGAACCTTAGGCTATAAGGATGAGAAAAAAAAATTTTTAAGTGAGTTATTGATATAATAGTGAGAGGGATCAGTCTACTACTTAGTTCCTGGATGTGTACATTCAGGCTAAGTTTTTTAAAAAAGCAAAATATGTTGGTCACATATTTAAAACAGGTATGGCATCTATAATATAACACCCAGTACTCTAATGTGTTGACTTACCGCTGGTTTTGTTATTGATCTTTCTCCTGGTCATCCCATACTTCTGTGACACCAACTATTTCTGACTGATGGGTCATGTGGTGATTCCATGAGTATGAACACACCGCCTCATTACCTTTGCTGTAAAATGAATCTCCTGGTTGGGGGCAATGTTGTACAGGATACTATGGCAATGAATAAGGAATTCTGTAATTCCACAAATGCTTGTGCTTGCAGAAGCACTGTGGGCAGGAAAGCAAAATCAGTATCCTGAATATATGTCTATGTGAGTATAGTATATTTAGAGGCTGTTATCTCTTTCCCTGATGTAGTCAACTGCCACCAGATGGCTGACCGGGGTTGGCAGGAAATTCTACAGTCTTGGATTATCAGCATTTGCCTCTGTTGTTGGCTGCATACAGCAATAGTAGTAGCCAGGTCAGCCTTGATGAGAGAAAAACTATGCTATTGATTCACAGCCTCCATATCCACTTTGTATATGGACCTACCAGCAATCTAAATGCAGCATTCCAAATAGAAAATAGTTATCAGCAAAGAAGAGCATATCCTACCAAATCCTAGACATCTGTAGATGATTTTCTACTTGGGGCATGCCAGGCAAGCTATTCAGCAATCCTGCCTACCACAGACAAATCAATCATTATTGATTCTTCTGCGTCATAGACCCACATGGTATAGCAGCTTATACCAAAGCCTCTACTACTATAGAATATCTTTTGTACTCTGAGTCCCATTCAAAATTTGCAGTCTTATGGGTTATCAAATAAATGGTACAGAGAAACACACCCAAATGTGTTATGTATTGTTTCCAAAACCCAAAGAGATCTCCCAAATTTGAGTCTCTTTGAGATGAGTGGTGTAAGTTGCAGAAATTAAACTCACTTTATTTTTTATTTTTTAATAGGAGAAAAAGCATGGAAATTTATTTAATATGTATGCACAGGAGTCTTCAGATTGAAGACTCAAACTTCCAGTGGGACTCTCACTTTAGAAGGAGTAGCCTGGCATAACCCACACTGCTGGGTCCCCATAAGCCCCAGTGTGGCTGGCTGTTGAACTTCTGCACAGTCTCTCTCTCACAATTTGGAATGCATATACCTTACTAAGTTATCTAAGGAACATAATATTTCATGCTTACCAAGTCCATTGTGATCCATGAATTAGACTAACATTATGTTCTATGGAATTTCAAGTTGATTATGTTCCCTATTACGATAGACATCGTTGACTTGTCTCTGAGAAAAAGACTTTCTTTCTTAATTGTAAAGGGAAGAAAATATTTATCAGGTCAATAGCTGCACACCAGGTGATAGAGTTTGTGTTGACTTTATGTAGTGGAGATTGACTATTCTTTAACTGTATTTATGGTTACCATGACCTTAGAATTAAGTTTTTGGTAATCTACTGTCATTCTGCATGAGTCAACTTTTGTTATTGTAGTTTTCACATGCCAAAAGGGGGTAAATTAAAAAGTATGTACCAGAAATGATTACTCTTGTATTTCTCAAGACTCTAATGGGGGCATACTTATTATTATTTTTTGAGACAGAGTTTCCCTCTGTCACCCAGGCTAGAGTGCAGTGGCATGATCTTGGCTCACTGCAACCTCCGTTTCCCAGGTTCAAGCAATTCTCATGTCTCAGCCTCCCAAGTAGCTGGGATTACAGGTGTGTGCCACCATGCCCAGCTATCTTTTTTTTTTTTTTTTTTTTTTTTTTTTTTGGATTTTTAGTAGAGACAACCACTATGTTGGCCAGGCTGGTTTCGAATTCCTGGCCATAAGTGATCTGCCTGCCTTGTCCTCCCAAAGTGCTGGGATTAGAGGTGTGAGCCACCATACCCAGCCTAATGGGGGCATACTTCTATAATTTGCTCAGAAATATGGTAAATATTTTGGCCTGTTATTTTGCCTTTATTGGAAAGAAAATCCAGTGGAATTTAGAATTTCAAGAGTCTTAGCCTTATCTATATCTACCCAAATATCCCTATATCCTATCTCAGGGTTTCACTTCTTTCCCAATATTGCTCTTACCTTAGCACAGGATGCCTGGTTGGGCTGAATGTTTGAAAAGCACTGCAACTCTACAAACTTTAAATCCTAAACCATATCTGTTTTCTGACTACAGGAGATAAGCGACTCAATTCCGCTGTAAAGATCTTCTGATTCTCCATGTTTCCTTAATTTTATGCACATAATTTAAAATTTTTATTTTCCTTGTGTTTATTTTCTAGGATTATAGTGACAAGAAAGGTGACTTCACAGTCCTTACAATCGCTAACGTTGCCATGATGATACAGTAGCACAGCCACTTGATGTCCCAGTGCCTTGCTTATACTTGCCCTATATCCTGTGCTGAGCGGAGTAGTCATGTTGCCGCTGTGTGCTTAAGATATCTCTTGTCCCATTTCTCTGTTTGATATATTTGCAACCCAATCATAGCATTTCACTTTGAGAGTCAGATTCTTGAGATTACTTTCAGTAGCAATTTCTCTTATTCGTGTTCTCAATCAGGGAACAGGTACCATATTCAAATCAACATAATTTAAACAAGGTTTATGTACAAAGTGACTATTTACAAAGATGTAGTTGAAGTACAGAGGAACTGTAAGGGATTTGTAATCAACTCTAGGCCAGAGGGACAGTGAGTCAGATTTCCTAGAATCCAGAAGAAGGAAGTTGCTTTAAGCAGGCTGACTTGAGAGGACTAGGAAGCTTCAACAGAGACATGCCAGTATAAAGGGGACTGTGGGGACTGTGTGACGGGAGCAAGGAATATAACTCCTCTGAATTAACTCTCTCCATTCCCTCAATGGGAGAGCTTCTCATGGTTGAACTTAACTGAAAGATAGTGAGGAAGGAAGTGGATTTGGAGATCACCATGAGGAAGGGTGGAGGACAAGTGGAAGATATCTGAATCTGTGGCAGCTATAGACATGATGATAACTATTCGGTTTCTCTCTCTCTCTCTTTTTTGTTTTTTTGAAACAGGGTCTCACACTGTGGCCCAGGCTGGAGTGAGGTGGCACTGTCATGGCTCACTGTAGCCTCAACCTCCCAGGCTCAGGTGATCCTCCTACCTCAGCCTCCCAAGTAGGTTGGACTACAGGCACGTGCCATCACACGTGGCTTATTTATTTATTTATTTATTTATTTATTTATTTATTTATTTATTTAGTAGAGACAGGATTTCACCATGTCGCCCAGGCTGGACTCAAGCCATCCACCTTCGTCAGCCTCCCAAAGTGCTAGGATTACAGGCATGAGTTACCACGCCGAGCCCAGTTTCTCTTAATTTGAAGGAAGAGCAGATATAATTGGCCAATAGGTTAAATACGGGGTATGAAGGGAAGGATGTAGAAACAGAGAAGTCAAGAATGACTGCAGGTTTTTTTGTTTCTGTTGTTGTGTTTTTAATCTGAACAACTGAAAAGGTGTAATGGACATTTACTGAAAATGGAGAAGAATGTGAAAAAGGAAAGTTTGGGCGGGGCAAAATATAGATGTTTAATTTTAGGATATATTAAATTCTAATGCCTATTTGGCACCCAGTGGAGAAGTTTAGTAGGATGTTGGACGTATAAGCCTAGAGTTCTTGGGAGAGGTCCAGACTTATAAATACTTAAAGCTATGGGACTTAAAGAGAGCATCAAAAAAGTGAATATGATAGAGAAAAACCCTAAATGCTGAGCCCAAACACTGCAATAGTTAGAGTTTAAGAAGACTAGTAGGAACCGGGAAATCTGACTGAAGAAACTGTGGGGTGGGAGAAAACCAGGTGAATTTGATGTCCTGCAAGTCAACTGTAGAAGGTGTTTCCAAAAAGGAAAATATTTAAAACATTTAATCTATTTTGAGTTAATTTTGTATATGGTGAAAGATAGGGGTCCAGTTTTATTCTTCTGTGCATATGTCTAACTTGCTATCCCAGCACCGCTTATTGAATAGAGAGTCCTTTCCCCCTTGCCTATTTTTGTTGACTTTGTTGAAGATCAGATGATTGTAAGTTTGTGGCTTTATTTATGGGTTCTCTATTCTGTTCCATTGTTCTATGTGCCTGAATTTTTCAGTACCGTGCTGTTTTGGTCACTATAGCCTTATAGTGTAGTTTCAAGTCTGGTAATGTGATGCTTCCGGCTTTGTTCTTTTTGCTTAGGATTGCTTTGGTTATTTGGGCTCTTTCTTTTAGTTTTATATAAATTTTAGAAGTTTTCCTAGTTCTGTGAAAAATGACGTTGGTAGTTTGGTAGTTTGATAGGAATAGTTTTGCTTTTATAGATTGTTTTGGGCAGTATGGCCATTTTAATAATACTGATTCTTCCAATCTGTGAGCAGGTAATGTTTTTCCATTTGTTTGTGTCATCTATAATTTATTTCAGCAATATTTTGTAGTTCTCCTTGTAGAGATCTTGCACCTCCTTGTTTAGATATATTCGCAGGTATTTTTTGTGGCTATTGTAAATGGATTGCATTCTTGATTTGGCTCTCAGCTTGAACTTTATTGGTGTATAGAAGTGCTACTGATTTTTGAATATTGACTTTGTAGGATGAAACTTTGAATCCTGGAAGAAAACTTAGGAAACACAATATTGGACATCTGCCTTGAGAAATAATTTATGACTAAGCTTTCAAAAGCAATTGCAACAAAAACAAATGTTGACAAGTGGGACCTAATTTAACTAAAGAGCTTCTGGACAGCAAAAGAAAAGATCAACAGAATAAACAGACAACATATAGAATGGGAGAAAGTATTCACAAACTACACATTCAACAAAGGTCTAATATCCAGAATCTATAAGGAAATTAAAGAATTGAACAAGCAAGGCTGGGCATCCTGACTCACGCCTGTAATCCCAGCACTTTGGGAGGCCAAGGTGGGTGGATCACCTGAGGTCAGGAGTTTGAGACCAGCTTGGCCAACATGGCAAAACCCTGTCCCTACTAAAAAAATACAAAAATTAGCCAGCCATGGTGGCACATATCTGCAGTCCCAGCTACTCGGGAGGCTGAGGCAGGAGAATCGCTTGAACCCAGGAGGCAGAGGTTGCAGTGAGATGAGATCGTGCCACTGCAATCCAGCCTGGGTGACAGAGTGAGACTCCATCCACAAAAAAGAATTGGCTAAACAAAAAACAAATAACGCCATTAAAAAATGGGCAAAACATGAACAGACACATCTCAGAAAAAGACATAGAGGCAGCCAACAAACATATGAAAAAATGTTCCACATCACTAATTATCAGAGAAATGTAGATGAAAACCACAATGATATACTATCTCACATGAGTCAGAATGGTTACTACTAAAAAGTCAAAAAATAACAGATGCTGGTGAGGCTGAGGAGAAAAATGAACACTTACATGCTGTTGGTGGGAATGTAAATTAGTTCAGCCATTGTGGAAAGAAGTTTGAAAATGTTTCAAAAAACTTAAGACAGAACTACCATTTGACTCAGCAATTTCATTACTGGGTATATTTCCAAAAGATAATAAGTTGTACTACAAAAAAGACACATGCACTCACAGGTTCATTGTATCACTACTCACAAAAACAAAGACATGGAATCAACCTAGGCGCCCATCAAAGGTGGATTGGATAAATAAAATATGGTATATATATATACACCATGAAATACTATGCAGCCATTAAAAAAGAAGGAAATTGGCCCGGTGTGGTGCAGTGGCTCACTCCTGTAATCCCGGCAATTTGGGAGGCAGAGGCAGGCATATCACTTGATGTCAGGAGTTCAAGACCAGCCTGGCCAACATGGCAAAACCCCATCTCTACTAAAAATACAAAAAATTAGCCGGCTTTGGTGGCATGCGTCTGTAGTCCTGGCTACTCAGGAGACTGAGGCAGGAGAACTGCTTGAACCCGGAAGGCAGGGGTTGCAGTGAGCCAAGATTGCACCACTGCACTCCAGCCTGGATGACAGAGTGCGACGCCATCTTAAAAATAAATAAAAATTTTAAAAGTAAAAAAAAAAAAAATTGCATGTTCTCACATATAAGTGGGAGCTAAACGTGGGTTACTTATGGATATAAAGATGGCAGCAATAGAAACTAGGGAATATTAAAAGAGAGAAAGGGTTGAAAAACTAACTAATGAATACTATGCTCAGTACCTGGTTGATGGGATCAATTGTAACCCAAACCGCAGCATCACGCAGTATACCCAGGTAACAAACCTGCACATGCAGCCCTGTGAATCTAAAACTAAAGTTAAAATTATGATAAAAAAGAAAATAATCTAGTGCTGCTGACTGAATTAGACAAAAATTAACTATTTTGTTTATCAAAGTTGAGGTCACTAATAACCTTCACTTTTAGTAGGGTAGTAGGAACAAAAACCTGAATGGAGTGGGTTAAGGATAGAAATTTAAAAATGGACGGTAGGTATATAGATACTTATTTCTAGAAGGTTTTCTGTGAGAAGGAAGGAAAAAATAGGGTCTTTTCTGGGAGGTGAAAGTAGTATTAATAGACAACTTTGTTTTATAATGATGAAAGGTATTAAGAGTCTGAATATACCATGATAGAAATAGATCAAAAAGAACAAAGGAACCACTGATGATACAGAAGAAAGGGATGAATTGCTGGAGCAATATCCTCTAGTAAATGAGAATGGAAGAGTTCGCCCTAGATAGATACCTGGCAGCTCGTAGCACCAGGAGAGAAGATAGATTGATTATATGGGCTCATGGGCAGATAGGACAGTATATAATGTGATGACAACTTGTGAGGTCTGATCTGATTGCTTCTGTCATCTCCATGAAGCAGGAGCAAGGTTATCAGCTAACCGGGAAGATGGTAGGAAGTGCCAGATGTTTGCGGAGAATGGAGAAGGGATCACACAGTCCTCCTAAGAGTGAGAGATTCAATGAACCAAGAAAATGCAATGTGGTTTTGGGCAGCGCTGGGACACCCCATAAGGTTATTCATCATTGAAGTAAGAACAGTCAGCATAGGCTTGTATTTTTCTCCAGCCACATCCAGTTGTGTAGGTGCAGGCGTGGGAGTAGACTGATAATTGGATTTAATGAAGATTGCAGTTTAGCCAGCAAGTTGGAGAACTTTAGAGATCAAATGTCACCTTGTGGTTATACTTGAGTGACAAGAAACAAATTTGTTGAGTTTCTAATACTATTCCCAAAGGTAATTATTAAACCATAAACTTCAATATGAAATACATCCTTTAAGATTAATTTTAACATATCGGACATTTAAGCCATATAATTAAATTTAATTAACATTTTATATGCTAATACAATTAAGAAACCAAAAGACTATATAGTAAGGCACATTTTATTATATAATGATAAAAAAGGAAAATTTATTACTTTCATTTTTACTTTGATTCTATATTAGTTATACTGGAATCTTTAGTTGTATTCCTAAATTAGAGAAAGATTATACTTAGGAAATGGCTATCTCTTCTGGTTTTAGACCATTAGGTTTGTATGTTAGTTTCTATTTTTAAAATGAGAAGTCAGTTCAACTTTATACAAGTAGAAATGATGGGTGGATGTCTGTCCTCCAGGGGGGTTTCAGGGGCATGCAATTCTTCCCTTACTCTAAGCAATCATCCAGGTGCTTAAATTTCCTACCATCATTTTGTTTTTAGAATTGAAACATAGCCTCATGGAAGACATTTAAGATGACACCTAGAAGGACCCATTGGTCCCAGTCATCATTCTTGTTTGGTTTGTTTTATTAGATTAATACGAAAGAAAGTGGAGCCCTGAGTGTATGGCACACATGTCCGGTGAGTATTGATCAAAGGTAGGAAGTCAAGAATGAGCTTGCCTCTGCAGTAGGCCATGTCTAGGTCCATTCCCATAACCCTGAGGGCATGGTTACCTGGGTTGCAGCTCTCAAACAAGGAAAGGGTTATGTTTAAAGGACACTTGAAGATAAACTGAAGATACTCCCCATGTGCTTTATAATATTTCTAAAACCTGGCTCTGAGCTCCAGCATCTTATCTAAAATTGTTAGTTTTTTGAAAGATAAGTTTATCTTTTCTATCAGAATAGCTAATAATCATATAATACTTATTTTTGGCTTACTGTGTTTTGAGCAGTGTGTTAAGGCTAATGCCTATGTTTTGGTTTCTTCAAGCCTAAGAAAAAACATTGAGGTTATCGCTTTATACGTGAGGAAACTGAAGCTTAGAGTATTATTTATTTATTTTATTATTTATTTATTTATAGAGACAGGGTCTTGCTCTGTCATCCAGGCTGGAGAGCAGAAGCATGATCACAGCTCACTGTAGCCTCAAACTCCTGAGTTGAAGGGATCCTCCTGCCTCAGCCTCCTGAGTAACTAGGACTACAGGTGCGACACCACACCTGGCTAATTTTGTTTTTTGTAGAGAAGGGGTCTCACTATATTGCTGACATTGGTCTTGAACTCCTGGCCTCAAGTGATCCTTCTGGCTAGAACATTTAAATAATTTATTCAAAGCCCTAAAGCTAGTGGAGAGTCTAGATGGAAATTTGCAAAAGATCTACCTGCCTGCTTATAATAAAAAATCCATGAGAGCAGGCATCGTCCTTGTATCTCTGTATCCTTTAAAGTGCCTGTGCCTTCGGTGCAGATTGCCACTGATAACTGTTTATTCAATTGAGTGAACAGGACTTTCCTACATTGGACTGTGAGTTATCCCACAAATGGAAAGTAAATTAAACATCAAGGTGCTTTGTACAGATAATGAACACTAGCATTAACTAACACAAAACCAAAACCCCATTAAGTTTTCTTTAAATTAGTCTGATAGTTGAGGCCAAAATGCATTCTGACATGAAATAGCACGGATTGCTTTTAGATCTCTCATAATGCACACCTTTTAGTTGTATGGTTCCTAGTAAACATGCAGGTGTATTTTTGTTGTTGAGATCATTTAAGTTTTGCCTGGTAAATGTCCTAATCTTTGTATTCTCCAAGGCATCCGTGTGAAACCCAGGGCCATCCTAAGCAATATGAGATATCTGGCTACATTCTGATAGCTTTATTTTCCACCGTAACTAATTCCAATTTACTTGCCAACAACTTCAGACATCAGCTGGAGGGGAAAAGAGGATTTAGGGGTGGAGATGTATTTTAAATAATATTTAATAAGATTTGTTTTTGTAATTGGAAAATAAAGAGCATTTCTCTGGGGATATGCCTATGTTGCAGAAGAACTGGCTCAGGACACGTTTTGTAAATGGCTCTCCTTTCTGTGGCCATTCAATTCAAAGGTTTTGGGGTAAAATCTATGGAAGGAAATTCACGCAGGAAAGAGGGTGGAGATGGAAAAAAAAAGTTCATGCTTAAGTCACAGTCTATGGATAAGAAAGAATTTGAATATTAATGCATAACCTTGAGAATTAAATGCTCTGTCCAGCAACCTTACAAGCTGACAGCTGGCTGGGGGCTGATAAGGAACACTGGGTGGGGGGTAGGTTCTGGGAGGGACTAGTTCCCAGAGCAGGCTCTCATCCCTGGCTGGCATTAGAAAGAATTACAAAGCATGATTCAGAATCTAATTTTGTCAGCTGGTGATTGGCTCCCACGAGGCTCTGGCCTCACAATGCGTTGTATTAAGTAATGGGAATTGGGCTGTGCTCTTGTTCTCTGCTTCATGCCTGCCACCCTACTCTCCTTCACAGTGCTTCCCATGTCTCCTGCGTATACTTAGGTGTGCTTGCTTGCATCCGCATTCCAAAAGGCATTTCTAAATACCTTCACAATACACAGATGCTAACCACACAGAAGGATGCCAACACCACATTGTTTCTTTGTATTTAAATTTATTTTAGTCTTGGGCTGCATTGAACAAATCAACAACACCTTGTTAGGATAGGCAAAACCCAGATAAGAAAATACACAGTTTAAATTAAACCTCTCCATTTGCCAACCCCTATTTAGTGGCTCAGTGCAAGAGAAGCTTGTAGCATGGGTAAAAGAGTCAGCCTCCATGCAAAAATATCAAATAAACACATGGTGTGGTGTGAGACATCATTGGGTTTCTGTCTGCTTCAAAGAAACAGCATTGAATGAAAATGGACTCTACAACTTGTTTTTCTTTTGTAGCCAAATGTCTGATACCTGTCAAAACGTCTGTTTATCCTTTATGATATGACTTATATCACCAGTGATGAAACTCATTTTAAAGGTAGTAATTTGCACAATTACAAAAGGTGGCGTTATGTGTTCAGAGGACATATAATACGGGTTTTGTTATTCTCTTATGTAACTGGACAGGAGTTAGTTTATCAAAGAGTTATGTAACAGGATCATTTTCCATTCATTTTAAGACTTCAAGAACTTCGTTACTCTCTCTGGGTTCCAGAACATACAAAAATTATAATTAATGGGCAAAGGTAATATGTTCAGTGGACAGAATATTTTCAGTTTATGAAACATTTCTAAGAATGTTTTTTTCCTCAAAATTAAATCACAGGATTCTTTCCCTCATTCTGAAACAATTTTCCTAAAATAAATTTGAGACCCCCCCAATAAAAAATTGAACGATTTTAGTTTCATGCTGTCCTTTTCTTATCTTCAGGCTATGCTTGTTTCAGATAGAACAGCCAGCCCCTTGTTGAAGAAAAAGGGCCTTTACAGGATATCAGAAGACCTTAATTCTATTTTTGCTCTGGCATGAACTAGCCATGGCCATGTAAGTCACTTTCTGGACCAATTTCCTCGTTTGTAAGGTTGAGGGAATTGACTAGGTCAGAAGACAAACACTCTTGGCTGGCAAGCAACTTCCAGATGTGTTTCCTATGGCAAGTTGAGTTTCTTTAAAATCTATATTTAAGGCTGGGCGCGATGGCTCACGCCTGGAATCCCAAAGCTTTGGGAAGCCGAGGCGGGTGGATCACTGAGGTCAGGAGTTTGAGACCAACCTGACCAATACGGTGAAACCCCATCCCTACGAAAAATACAAAAATTAGCCAGGCATGGTGGTGTATGCCTGTAGTCACAGTTACTTCGGGGGCTGAGGCAGGAAAATCACTTGAACCCAGGAGGTGGAGGTTGCAGCGTGCTGAGATCATGCCACTGCACCCCAGCCTGGGCAACAAGCAAGACTCCGTCTCGAAACAAACAAACAAACAAACAAAAACTATATTTAAATTATTTTAAATAGGCATGCCTTTCTCAGTTTGCCACAGCCCTCACCACTCCTTATTACCTTGTTTTTATGAATGTATGCATGCATTTGTGTATCAGTTGGCTTTTTCCATGTAACAAATAACTGCAAAACATAATGTCTTACATTTATACGGATTAAACTAGGCTTAATGGCTAAAGCACAGCTATTTACTTAGCTCAACATTCTAGGGTCAGTAATTTGATGGTTTTAGTTAGGCAATTCTGTTGGTCTTGCCTGGTCTCATTTACTCATCTTGGATCAACTGCCATTTAGTAAGGTGTCTCTGCTTGTGGGTATTGATTGCCTGTCACCTGGGGTAATAGATATTTCTGAGCCAAATCATTCAGCAAGCTAACTTGAACTTCATATGGCAGCTTCTGTGTTGCAAGGGTGCAGGAACACAAGTTGAAAGGCCCGTTGGGTCCTAGGCTTGGCACTGATTCATTGTCATTTCTGTTGTATTCTATTATTCAAAGCAAGTGACAGGGATAACTCAGATTCAAGCAGTGGAGGAAAATACTCCATCTCTTGAAGAGAAAAGCTGCAAAATGTTTTGGCTATTTTTACAATTGCTACAACCTGTTTGCAAGCATTTCATCTTGCAAACTGTGGATTACATGGCCTTCAATTTATTCCCAGTCTAAAAACAAGGAAAATCACAAGCAAAACAAACAAAGTGGATACTCTTTTCTATACCAGAAGCATATTCATAGTGCTCAGCAAGTTGCTTTAAAATAGAATCATTTTAGAACAGTACTGACAAGTACATATCCCGTTAAACCACAAGTCCCCAGATGTTTGGGGATTTCTGCCCTTAGTGACCAAACATTTGTGCCACAAACTATTGGCAGTTTCTGAACCTGGGTTATGCCCTTGTCATAATATGGAGCCGCTGCTTAGTGATGGCCAACACTGGAGATGGGAATTCTCACTGAGCCAATGTAAGCCTTCAAGTCTGTCCCTGTATGTCCCTGAAGACGAACGTAATCTGAATCCCTTTTGAGGTTTAGAGTTGTTTCCAGACTCCCTGCATTGACTTTTTCCCAGAATACCCTTAGTTTGAAATGATCATTTGGGGGAAATTTCTTTTAGACTGGAGAGCTGACTAACCATCTTTCATGCACAGTGTGGTATGAAGGAAAGGCTGTCAAATTATAAAATACAAATATAATAAACCCCATTTTTTAAAACATAGACTTGGCATATTATAGGTTCAGTTGAAACCTCTATGTTACAGACCTCTAACTTCTATTACCTCTATAACCCCTAAAGCTATAGACATAGATTTATAATGCTGAATATATCCATTAGCTGAGCATGCACTAAGTCCAGAATTCTGCTCTAGGTGCTTTAATGACTGGAAATACACATGAGAAAATGTTCCTCCTTTCAAAGTGCTTTCAGGCTACCATAATCAAAGTAGTCAATCTTGAAGTTGTGAGTCCCAGTGAAAGAATTTTTCCCGGAATGACTTGAGAACCAATAATAGGTGTTTTCCTGTCTTAAACATTACAACTGTATGTAATAAGTAGGAAAATGACTCACTGCATCACTTTATTTTACATCTGAGATGGAAGATCTGCATATAGATCTTGAAATACTGTTTTTGTTTCTTTATTTCTTTCTTTCTTTGTTTATTTAGTGAAACAGTACGACAAGACACATGGGGAAAGATACCTCAGCTACAGTGTTTAATTAAGAATGCCAAATTTCCAGTTTGAAGTGAAGCATGTTCATTACGCTTGTGGAAAGGAGCTTTGCATCTACATTTTCATCATCACTTGCATTAGCAGGAAGAAGGAGAGACAATTAAACCCCTTCAAATGTTTGAGCACATGAAGAGACCAGGGAAATTGCTGATGCTCTGCAAAAGATAATTTCAGGAAAAAGAAATTTAACAGAAAACAAATAGACAAAGGATATGAGAAACAATATACAGAAAAGTGAATCCAAATGACCAACAAATGCTTGAAATTTTTTCACACTTTGTAGCAGTCAATGCAAGCACAATAAGATATTACTTTATATCCTGTACACTGTCAACAATTAAGTAACATTATCACTGAAGATAGGTATTCACACAAGTAATCTCCAGAGGTGAGATTCAGGAAACTGTGTTTTAACAAACTTTCCAGATGATTCCAATACACACGAAACTTTGAGAACCACTGCTGTCATATAGGTCTATACATTGCTTCAGGCCTTTTGGAAAGCAAAATGACAAAACCTAATGCATTTTTAAATGTTATAAAAGGCCGGGCGCAGTGGCTCATGCCTGTAATCTCAGCACTTTGGGAGGCCAAGGCGGGCGGATCACAAGGTCAGAAGTTCGAGAGCAGCCTGGCTAACATGGTGAAACCCTGTCCTTACCAAAATACAAAAATTAGCTGGGCATGATGACGGGTGCTGGTAATCTCAGCTACTCGGGAGGCTGAGGCAGGAGAATCACTTGAACCCGGGAGGCGGAGGTTTCAGTGAGCCAAGATCGCACCACTGCACTCCAGTCTGGGCGACAGAGCGAGACTCTGTTAAAAAAAAAAAAAGTTATAAAAATAAGAATTAGTATATCCAGGATTTCTTATTCTGAAGATTTCTTTCACAGAAAGAACGAGGAAATAAATAAATATGGACAAAAGTGTTTATTCTAGCTTTGTTACAAAGGCGAAAACAGATGAAGGCAAAACAGAATTGTTGAATGTATCTATTCAATATCAGTAGCAAACACTATGAATTAGTTGTACACTATGAATTAGTTGTACACTAGGAAAGTTTTCAACAATTATTTTCCCATGGATAATAGCAAGATATACAGAAATCTGTCAGTATGATCTAATTTTGGTAAAACAATAATAAAAACTTTAACTTCATGATATGTAAGCAGGAGAGAGAGAAAAGACAAAGAAAACAGAAAACAGTTAAGAAGACTGCCTAACATAAAAACAAACAAATAAATAAAAGAACAGGAAAAACACTGAGCACAAATGAGTGACTTGTCCACACCATGCAGTTGTTCAGTAATAAAGCTGGAATGCGATGACAAATTCTCTTATTCCAAACTCATCTCTATTACTGTGACTCCACATTATGTCTTGTCCAAATGCTGAAAGAGGTGTTCAGTTCTTATCCAATTTCATACTCATTTATAGCACCTGGCTCTTAGTAGCTACTAAGTAAACATTTGTTTAATGTTTAAAGAATGGAGAGAGGAATAAGCAATTCGAGTATATTTCAGAAGAGCAGGTCCTCCATACTGTGTTCATTTTATTCACTGGTTAGGATATTTACCAAAGGTTCCTTTCTGTTGCCTCAGTCCAGTTCAAACAACTGTGCTTGACATTAAAAAATGCTCAAAAAGGCCAGGCTTAGTGGCTCACACCTATAAACCCAGCACTTTGTGAGGCCAAGGCAGGAGGATGACTTGAACCCAGGACCTTGAGACCAGCCTAGGCAACATAGTGAGATTCCATCTCCCTAAAAAAAAAAAAAAAAAAAAAAAAAAATTGGCTGGGCATGGTGATGCACCCCTGTGATGCCAGCTACTTGGAAGGCTGAGGCGCAAGGACTGCTTGAGCTTTAGCGTTTGAGTCTGTAGTGAGTTATAAACATGCCACTGTGCTCCAGCCTGGGAAACAGAGAGAAACCTGTCTCTAAAATACAACAAACGTAAAAATAAAAATGCTCAAAAGCTGAGGTTGATCAATGGGTACGTATATACGGTTAGATAAAAGAAATAAGACCTACTATTTGATAGATCATTATGGTGACTACAGTTAAGAATAATCTATTGTACATGTCAAAACAGCTAGAAGAAAATATTTTGAATGCTTCTAGTGTAACGAAAAAATATTTAAGGTGAGTATATCCCGATTATCCTGATTTGATATTTGTGTATTAAATGAATGCATCAACATATTACCTGTACCCCCAAATATGTATATTTGTTGCATATTAACTTAAGAAGGCTCAAAAGTTAACATCAGTTTTTCGGCCCATGTTTATTTTCTCTCCTTTTTTCACAAGTTAACTCCAGTCCAGCTATTTCTGGTCTCACCGAAGCACATTTCTTAACAACCCCTCCAAGCCTTTCACTGAGAACTTCTTTCCCTTCCCTTCTTTGCTCCACCCCATCTGTCTTTCAAGGCCTAGGTTCTTTCCCATCTCTCCCACAACATTTTCTCTGAACCATTCTTAGTCACATTTTTATATGTTCATGTTGTACTCATTCCTACATTATTAAGCCCCTATGGTCAGGAACTATACCCTAAGGTGCTTTGCCCACCCCGTAGGATCTTTTCCAATCCTTTGCACATACTGGGAGTTTAATAAATGTCTATGATTCAAGTTTTTGTTGTATGTCATCAAGGATATTTGCCACTTGTCAATGGCAGCCTTCACACTGCTTGTTTTGGTAGTATTTGAAGCCCAGATGTCCAGAATGGAATTAATTACAGTTTCTCCATGATCCTGTTTCTCTTTCTGTATTTTCTGTCCCAGTTACTGACACTACTATTAATTCAACTGTCCAAACTGAAAACCTCCCATATTTGATCTCTGGTTATTTTTGCCTCCTACATTTAATTGGCTGCTCAGTTTAATTGATTTTTCCACTGCCACACACTGCCAATTAATGTACTACTTTTCTTCTCTTCCCACTGCCAATGTCCTGGTTCATGTCCTCATGCTCCCTGTTGCTAGTGAAGTAGATTTCTAACTGATACCTCTCTGTTCTTACTCTCTAATCCTTCCTTCAAAGGGTTACTGGAGTTAAAACCTTGCCAAGTCTCATTTTTCTTTCCCCAAGCCAATAAGAATTAAAAAATAAGTGTCATTGTGTGGCATTGTAAACCCTCTCCCATTGGCTCCCCTTCTAACATTTCTGCCTTATCTTTTCCAAACCCTCCAGACACACAGTGTTAGGAGCTTGGATATATCCTTGACTTTTCTCATGCTATTCTCCCAATTTGAAGTGCTTCCCCTTCCTCTCCTCTAAACTCTCTAGTTCCTGTCACATAGGAAACATGACGATGTATTAGATATCACTGCTATAATTACTAAAGGCTGAATTCAAATGCTTATTTTCTCTGTGAAGTTTGTCTCAATTTTTCCTGTGAATATCAATAGGTCATTTCTCTATTCTCTGTACTTATTAGTAATTTTTCATTATAAAACTTTAATTTTTATATTGTAGTTTGCTGTTTAGCTCTCTTCGTCTTCCTACTCAATTATGAGCTCTTTGAGAAGAGAAACCGTGGCAAACTCATCTGCATATTCTCACAGCATCTAGCCTGTATATGGTACATAGTAATTGTTTCTTAATTATTTAATGCATGAAAGAGTGAATGTTTTCTCTCATCTACTTATGCTGAGGAATTGTTATATTATACTAAATGCTTTACATTGTCCCATTTATTCTCCTCCTTTAGCAATACCAACCAAGCATATGTGTGTGTTTAATATATGATTTATTTTTTATCATTCATATTTTTATTAGATCTATATATGTACACAGATGAAAACACTTAAAAATGGTAAATAAAGAAAAACACCAGTTTTTCACTCCTCAGTCTCACTGCCATTTTCAACTCTTTGAATGGTTTCTTCTGCTTTCTAAATTCTGTAGTTCTAAATAATATGTGTATGCTGAAGTTTATTCATCTAACAACTGTAGACATTATTACTTGGTTTGAAATTATACTTGGTAGATTAGTATTTAGCTCTGTTCAGCAGAGCGGACCACGAGAACAACTAACAGGGATTTGACTACACAGAACCAGTTGACTCTCAAAGGAATGGAGCCTGACTTGCCCTGTGTTAGCCCCTGACTCTGAACCACTCAGCTAACTGACCTCTTAGCTTCATCATCATGACCACTGGCCCAGAACTTGCGGTTTTCTATAGAATCCATCAGAGCACTTCATTTTTCTATCAAGCTTTCAATTGATGTCTGTATTAAAACATTGGCCTAAGATTAATTTCTTTTTTTTTTTTTGAGATGGAGTTTCTCTCTGTTGCCCAGACTGGAGTGCAGTGGAGTGATCTCAGCTCACTGCAACTTCCGCTTCCTAGGTTCAAGCGACTCTCCTGCCTCAGCCTTCCGAGTAGCTGAGATTACAGGCACGTGTCACCACACCCAGCAAATTTTTTTATTTTTAGTAGAGACAGGGTTTCTTCATGTTGGCCAGGGTGCTTGCATTTCTTTTTTTTTTTTATACTTTAAGTTTTAGGGTACATGTGCACAACATGCAGGTTTGTTACATATGTATACGTGTGCCATGTTGCTGTGCTGCACACATTAACTCGTCATTTAACATTAGGTATATCTCCTAATGCTATCCCTCCCCTCTCCTCCCACCCCACAACAGGCCCTGGTGTGTGATGTTCCCCTTCCTGTGTCCAAGTGTTCTCATTGTTCAATTCCCACCTATGAGTGAGAACATGCAGTGTTTGGTTTTTTGTCCTTGAGATAGTTTGCTGAGAATGATGGTTTCCAGCTTCATCCATGTCCCTACAAAGGACATGAACTCATCATTTTTTATGGCTGCATAGAATTCTATGGTGTATATGTGCCACATTTTCTTAATCCAGTCTATCATTGTTGGACATTTGGGTTGGTTCCATGTCTTTGCTATTGTGAATAGTGCCGCAATAAACATACGTGTGCATGTGTCTTTATAGCAGCATGATTTGTAATCCTTTGGGTATATACCCAGTAATGGGATGGCTGGGTCAAATGGTATTTCTAGTTCTAGATCCCTGAGGAATCGCCACACTGTCTTCCACAATGGTTGAACTAGTTTACAGTCCCACCAACAGTGTAAAAGTGTTCCTATTTCTCCACATCCTCTCCAGGACCTGTTGTTTCCTGACTTTTTAATGATCGCCATTCTAACTGGTGTGAGATGGTATCTCATTGTGGTTTTGATTTGCATTTCTCTGATGGTCAGTGATGATGAGCATTTTTTCATGTGTCTTTTGGCTGCATAAATGTCTTCTTTTGAGAAGTGTCTGTTCATATCTTTCACCAACTTGTTGATGGGGTTGTTTGTTTTTTTCTTGTAAATTTGTTTGAGTTCATTGTAGATTCTGGATATTAGCCCCTTGTCAGATGAGTAGATTGCAAAAATTTTCTCCCATTCTGTAGGTTGCCTATTCACTCTGATGGTAGTTTCTTTTGCCGTGCAGAAGCTCTTTAGTTTCATTAGATCCCATTTGTCAATTTTGGCTTTTGTTGCCATTGCTTTTGGTGTTTTAGACATGAAGTCCTTGCCCATGCCTATGTCCTGAATGATATTACCTAGGTTTTCTTCTAGGGTTTTTATGGTTTTAGCTCTAACATTTAAGTCTTTAATCCATCTTGAATTAATTTTTGTATAAGGTGTAAGGAAGGGATCCAGTTTCAGCTTTCCACATATGCCTTCTTAAATGCAATAATTAGCATTAAAACCTTGCAAACACTATAATAGTCACTATGTAACTCCATGCATTCACTGGTATGGAGTTTTGGAAAATTCCAGTGTTGTTCTTAGTTCAAACATACATGGAAATACAAAAAAAACTGTTGACATAAAGTCTGTAGAGCACAGTTCTTCTTTTGAAATTTCTCGGCAAAGCATTTCAGCAATATAATTATCAGGCACAATTAAACAGAAACTCCACAACAATGTAGTACATCTTCAAGAGAAGGCTTGTGAAGGTTAGTTTATACTCATCTTTCATCATTGAGGTACATCTTCATGCCTCAAGGAGAAATGGTGTCAAACATAACCTGTGTTTGTCCTAGACATGTTAATTTAGCCAGAAGAGGTCAATCAAAGGCTAAAAGATGTCCAAAAAGATTTCTCCTATATGTTGGCCAAGGATGCATGACAAAGATAGAGATAAGATAGAGAAAGCAACAGCATGCTTAGTCTAATCCTAGATAGTCTGTGCTTAAGCAAAACCAAACAAGTTTTAATTGTTAACACACAGAGCCAGGTAATGCTTCATATCACCATGTGAACAGATTATTAACAGTGGGGTTGTCATCAGCAGCATCATTGTTGTGTCTGAGCCATGTATGTGAAGCCTGTGTGTGACTCAGAGTGATATCATCAGTGTGGGCCAGGGGGTACTGGCAAGGACAAAGGCTGAGTCCAGTAGGGGATCTGCCAAAGAAAGTTGGCTTTTGAGTCAACATGAATCTCTTCAGGATCTGAACTGGGAAAAGCCCGGAGTGTCTCCATGGCCAAAGCCAAACAAATCAATTTTTGAAGGCCCTGAGGTCTTTATTAAATAAGGGAACTTGGTATACAAATTTTGAAAGGGGGGAAAAAAGCAATGAAATAAAATAGTACTCCACCTTTCAACATATTTTCAGAAGTACATTGTTCAGTGAAGCAGTTTCTGGGCTTCTCCACTAGGTATGGTTTCAGAGTGTGATTTTTAAAATCTGGCATGTCTTTGTCTATTACTCTCTTTGTGGGCTGTTGAACTGAATAGAGGCAGACATTACTCAGAATGAGGATGGAGACTGTCTGTTTTCGAGTAACAAAACTTTATTTTAAATGTCTACTTTGCCCCCAATTTTTTTTTGTAATGATGCAGTAAAAAATTATAGGATGCTTATCAGCAGACTATAATGTATTACAGATCCAAAGAGAGATTCAGATCCCTCAAACACCTCTTAAAAAGATGGGCCAGAAGGTGCCTTACAAAAGAATGGGATGTAAACCATGAACTTACTTTTCAGATGCCCAAAACTGCCATGAAAAGTTCATTTCTTTCAAAATTAGTGCTTTTAAATGACTCAAAATCATTATTATTTCATTCAAAAAATCACATACTTAAAAAGCACTGTATTTTCACACTTATTTTCAGTTTATTGTATACAGACAAGAGCTCATGACTGGCCAATTTATCATTAATATCTTTATTTTTCATAGTACATATTTTTACAGAATGACATTCCTGCATTTAGCCAGAACAAAACAATTCAGTTAATTTTGAATATTACTCATGCTTACATGGAAAAGGATGAAAATATTCTACTGGAAAACAAGAGACAATTCATCTTACTTGCACCTGGAATCTTCTGTGAATCACAGAAAAATATTAACTTGACTCATATATAAGGATTTCCTCTCTATTAAATAAAACATGACTTATCTCTATACCTTTTCAGTCTTGTTAGAGAGTAAGAGAGTTTATTTTTTCCCAATGTCTTCCCTAAATGAAGTTTTAAAAATGTATTCTAATGTCCAGCATGACGTAATATTAAGTATTGAGTCATAAATCAAGACACCAGCGTTAGAGTTTCAACTTGGCCATGGATTTGTTTGTGGTTTTAGGTCTAATCACGTAATTTTTATAGGCATCAGTGTTTTCACCTTGAAGAATCTGCAGAGGACTGAATACGAATGTGTCTTAGGCTCCTCTTGGCATGAGCACCAGGTCAAAGCCTTTGGTGACACTTAGTATGATTTTTACCTTGGCCATCAGGAGTTTGTCCTGGACCTACCTCAGAAAGGTATTATGTAAGGAATATTGCATTCTTCTTCCTCAGAGTCAAACTGTTTTCAAATTCACTTGTAGCTGGGAATGAAGAGCTCACCCCATAAGGGCATATGTTTTCTATTTGGAAAACAGATCTGTGGAGGCCATTCTAATCAGTCTCATGTACCTTCCTTTGAACTTGAAGGCTCTGTAAACAAAACAATACCTCCAAACTATTCCAAACACCAGCATGAGCTGCCATCCTTGATAAGTTAGTGTGTGAATCTCCCTTTCCTTTTTGCTTTTATTGGAAGTGACATAGAGTATTTCTGCATTAAATTAAATCTGGCCCACATAGAGCTCTTTTACATGGAAAATGCGAGAACATGGGTTGTTGGCAGAAGTAAGGTAAATATAGAACCTCTGATGGCGTTTGGGTGCTATGAAGCTTATTCATCGCCACAGACCAGCAATGACAACATTGTTCACAAGTGGTAAGGTTGCAATAAAGTAGTGCAAGTCTTCCAAAAGATGTGGTATTAAAATTCATGCTAATTACTCTCCTGTCATTTTTCTACATGCCCACATATCTATCTAATTGTGCTAACTTTGATGGACTATTTCACTTCTTTTCATACCTCTTTTGGTTACTATTGAAAGAACTGGCTTATGAGTCTGGGTGGAGAAAGAGATGATGACAATCTTGAGTTTGAAATGTATTCTGGAGTCAAAAAAAGGGATTTGAATGAATTCTGAGCTCAGCTGAGTATAGTCAGTAGTTTAAGTGAAACTGTACTAACATAAATCTTGTGAATTAGCAGAACATGAAGACAAGTTAGCATTTTGTGGGGCTGCAGACTTATTGCCTCTGGCAGTGAAAATATGACTAGTTGCATTTTGTTCAGAACTTAGTAAACTATATAATGACATTACAAGTTGAAAAATAACTTGATTTTGAATTTACAGTTTTGAATCCATATGAGCTGTCTTCAAAACTGCTTACCTTACATTTCCCTCACACTGACATGTGATATTAATCCAATAAGGAATTAATGGGGAACTACTAAGTGCTAGGCACTTTGCTAGAGGTTGGGGATATACATATAGCTCAAAATCGACTGGAATTCTAGGCACTCTAGAGTTGAGACATTACTTATTATAATAATTGTAATTTGACTTCTGAGGTTCTTCGTGGGGGACATTCTAATGACTTCACTATGACATTCATGGAGAGAACTCTGAGGTCTTGGCATACATAGGTCCATCTCACACTTCGAGAATTTGGTGAAGTTCCCTGAAATGATCTAGGAACCCAGTATTGACATTTGCTATTCAGTCTAGCATTCAGTTCTTTTCATGAGGCTTAAGGGTCATGGTTTCAAAGTCTTTTCACCTATGAGTAAGAAAGAGTCGATTTGGAGAAAACAGAGCAAGCAAATTTTCCTGCTTATGATCATGCAGATGTTTCTGGAACATAAAGGGGAAGAGCCAGGTGGAATCACTCAAAATTTGCAGTTCATAGAAGGGTTTTTCTTCTGTTTGTGAGTGATGAGGAGATGAAGCTGAGTTTTATGGAAAACTGGGAAAAATTCTTATAAACCAAATAATTCATTTACAAACACATTTTCTATTATTTCTTGTGCTGGTTTTAGTAAATGTATACCTCTGGATATACATTCATTTTATCTCAATTGTAATATATTGACACAAAGTTGATTATATACTCTTTCTTTTTTAATGTCAGTAGGATCTTTAGTGGTGTCCTCCTTGTCATTACAGAAATTATCTGCATTCTCTCTCTCTCTCTCTCTCTCTCTCTCACCAGTCTTGCCAGGGGGTTATTCTATTATTATTATTATTTTTTTTTGAGATAGAGTCTTGTTCTGTTGCCCAGGCTGGTGTGCAGTGGTGCAATCTCGGCTCACTGCAACCTCTGACTCTGGGGTTCAAGTGATTCTCCTGCCTCAGGCTTCCAAAAAGCTTGGATTACAGGCGCCCACCACCACACCCAACTAATTTTTGTATTTTTAGTAGAGATGGGGTTTCACCATGTTGGCCAGGCTGGTCATGACCTCTATTGCTCTTTTTGAAGAGCTGCGATTTGACTTTATAGTTCCATTTATTTTATTAAATTTTGTTTTTATATTTATTATTTTCATTTTTCTATTTTCTTTGGATTCACTGTGCTGTTCTTTTTCTAATTTCTTGATATAGACCTTAGATTACTGACTTTCAGCCATTCTTTTCTAATGTGTGGATTTATGACTATAAATTTCCCTTTGAGCGAGATTTTAGTGAAGCTCCGTAAGTCTGATAAGTAGTATTTTCATTATAATTCAGTTTAAAATGTTATTTAATTTTCATTGTTTCTTCTTTGAACAATGGGCTGCTTAGAGATGTACTGCTTAATTTTAAAATAGATTTTCTAGGTTCTTTTTTGTTGCGACTTCTACTGTGGTTACAGTATAACATTTGTATTATTTCAATTCCTTGAAATTTGGTAAGATTTTCAACATAACCCAACATATGTTCATTCTGGAAATGTTCTGTAAAAATTTTTTAAAGATGTGATTTCTGTGGTTTAATACAATGAAGTTAGGCTTGCTCATAATTTTGTGTATGTCTGCTCTCTACTTTCTCATTTTTTGGTCTGCTTGCTAACTAAGTTTTCATCATGAACTTTTGCCATTTGTACCAAATTCTACCTACATCTATTGAAATGCTGTATTATTTTATTCTTTATTTTATTAATGTGTTAAAGTATATAAATTAATTATTTTATTTTATTTTATTTATTTTAAAGCCTGTAGCCCAGTCTGGAGTGCAGTGGTGCAATCATGGTTCATTGCAGCCTCAATCTCCTGGGTTCAAGCCATCCTCCCACCTTGGCCTTCCAAAGTGCTGGGATTATGGGTGTAACATATGTGTCCTATATGTTGATTTCTCAAATGTTAAATGAAACTTTTCATTGTTATTCATGATGAGTTGTCTGTTTTTATGTATCTCTGGATTTGTTTGCTAGTAACTTCTGCCTCTTGGTTTTGTGGTTTGATGACTTTTATCATTTTGCAAAATCCCTAGATATCAGACTATCTTTCAAATATTTTTTCCTGTCACATTCTCTCTTTTCCTTTTGGAGTTTTAATTAAGGTATGTTAGAACCTTTCAGTATCTCCAATATGATTTTTATATTATTTTCTGTACTTTACATAATTTTTTTAAAATTTCAATACATATATTTCTTCCTGATCTGTTTTTCATTTCATCAATTTTCTCTTCAGCTTTTTATAATGTTATTAAAGTCATTCACTGAGATATTAATATCTGTTACTGTATTTTTAGCTTGATAATGTTCATTTAATTTTTAAAAATAAGTTTCTATTTTATTCCAAAATTCTTCTTCTCATCTCTGTTTAAAATTTCTTGCGCATATTACTCAGCATTATTTTTATGCTTGAGATCTTCATATTCAGGATATCCTGTGTATCTGTTTTTATTATATTTCCTCTTGTTTTTTGGTCATTTGTTTTGGCCATCTTATTTTTAGTATTCTATTTATTTTTTGTGGAATGCTAGACAATTGTGTTTGATAATTTCTGGAGACATTTTGAAGCCTCAGTTGATGTTTATCTTTCTTCAGAGAGGATTTATCATTGTTTTCGGTAGGCAGCTAAACTAGTTACTAACAATCCCATATCATCTTAATTAAATTGGGGGTTGAAGTGATTTGAATCTGGGTCCAGTCTCTCTGAGGTCTGGGCTACTTCCAATTCAACTTTTTTTCTTAGGTGTGGTCTTAAAGGTACCAACCAAAAGACTAGGGTGTTTACCAAAGATCCTCCTTCACATACAACATACTCTAATTTTTGTCCTTCTAGCAGTATGAATCTAGCAAAATCTGTAATCCGCTTCTCATACTCTTGGTTTCCACATTCAAAATGGGCAAAAGCCCTGGAAGAAAAGTGGAAACCAAATGCCGGGATCATTTTTTTTTTAAATTTCCTTTTTAAAAAATTATTATTCTACAAATCCTCACTGCCTTGATGGCACTCCAATGTCTTTAAATAGATTTAAAATTATTTTCGGCAGCTCTTCTTGTTGTTTTCAAGGGGGTAGGAAAAGGCCAGGACTACTTAATCCACCTTTTTTCCTGGAGCTAAACCCAAAACTAAAAATTTGATTCAATGTAATTTTTTACCCATGGTCTTCTCTATTTTAGAAAATGTCTTCAATTTCTCAAGTCTAAAATATAGGAATCATCCTTGATTTGTCACTTTCTCATACATCTCACATCCAACTCATATCTATGTCCTGTGAGTTCTACTTCCAAAATGTTTTTTGAAAATTTCTGTCCTCATTGCTACCACCAACTCTGAGCCACCTTTCTTTCTCTTCTGTTTCATAGAAATAACCTTCACACTGATGTTGTTACCGCCATTCATTCTTCAAAGCAAGAGCTATCTTCTAGTAAACAAACTCCTTCTTTTTAATGTAAATAACTTTATGGTGGGTTGAATTTAGATAAAATACACCTCTTGGCATGGCTGCCAATGCCCTACTTATAGTCCAACCTCATCTCGAAAACATTTGCTCCTTTTAAGCTACATGTCAGCTACAATGGCCTTTTCTGTTTTCTTAAACACAATTTCTTTATAAATATTTTTTCTTTACAATTTATTAAATATACAAAATTATTCCTCCCCTTTCCCCACCCATAAGCTATCACAGGGTCTGTATACAAGCTATACCACTTTTCATTCTTTTCTGTGAGTTGAGTCCTTTAAATCTTTCAGGTATTCACTTAAATACCACAATAGTGAGGTCTCCCACAATGTGAGATACCGATATTATACCCTAGAATTGTAAAAGAAAGGCAAATAAAAGTGAAGAAGTGAGTAGTTATGGAATGCTTTCTGGGGACATGAATTGGGACAAAACTGCACAAGCACAGGGCTGATGCCAGGCTTTGGGAGGGGACGGACCAGCACTAAGCACGGTGGAAAACATGCTTGGGAGGTAGAATCCATTCATATTATGAAGAAACTTGGGAGGCAGGCGAAAGAGTTTAAAATTGCTATAGAGTCAAAGTAAAAAGGGAAAAGAGGAAGGATGAGATGAGGAAAGCAGGGGTTAAAGAAAATTAAGCTGACAGTAGTGTGTGGGGTAGTCTAGAGGGCAGGAGGAATGCTGAGATCAGTGAGGTCAGCCGGGAGGCTGCTCTGTAATCCAGGTGTGAGGTGATGAAGCACTAGATGGGGGTTGGTGGGCGGGTGACGGGGAGCAGTCAGGATGGAGAGGGGATGGATTTCAAAGGGCAGTTTGGCAGAACTTGATGACTGACGGGGTATAAGAGATCAAGAGGACAAATATGTCAAAGATGGATCCAAGATTTTGTGCCTGGGAGACTGGGAGGTGGAAAAATGAGAAGGAGAGAGAATGAATTTGTTGTATTTACATGTTGATTTTGAGGTAACAACAAATTATACAACAGCAGAATGCCCCTGGAAGAAGTGGAAAATGAGGAAGTTTTGTCTTCAAAGAAGAGGATAAACTTAGAAGTGTGGTGATAGACACCAGGGTCCCAGAAGCTAAGAGATGTCTTTTGGAGTATGCCACTTTCCCTCAAAGAGTCAGCAGCCAGACAGAATGAAACCACAATGTCTGGCCTTAGAATGTGGACCCAGCAATCTCACGGTGCTCATCTGTTTCTTGACTTCCTTTTTCTGTGAGAAGATAGCAAGGACTTTGCTGACCATGAGAGAGATAAGCGGAGGTCATTGTTTGGAATCCTTTTGCTATGATTTTCTAACATATTGGGCTTATAAAACCCTAAGTGTGTTTTTGCCCCAAGTACTTTTCTTATTTTTTAAACCCATATGTATTTTGAAGTCAATTTAATCCATATGTTTCTGATTAATTTATGCTTAGCTCATCAAAATGTTGTTTTAAGAAGAAGGCTTATTAAAAAAACAGAGTCATGCTTCACCAGCCACTGATGAAATCAACTCCAGAAGACTGTGCCTTAGTCACAAAATCAGATGGGCTAAGGGTACAAGGGGACAATGGGTTCCAAAGTTGGGAAACTCACTGTTGTGATCTTAGGAAGACTATGTTCAAATACTTGGGCAGGTGGGGAGGGGGAGCTTAGATTTTGGAGTCTGGAGTGTATTTAGTTTTCATTTCTGGATGTATTTATTTGTTCCTTGTATTAACTATGATCCCTATACTTAGTTGTTCAGAAAGCTTCCAGGTTGTTCATAAAACTATTAATAAGTAGGAGGAAGCTGGGATATGGTATAAAATGAGGAGTCTATTTCTATATGTGATTGTGTTTTTGTCAGTTGAAAGGCATCTCTGTAGAATGGTTCATGGGAATTTTAAGAGACAATGTATATATTTTACCTACTTGGGCCATAAAGATGGAATTATGGTGTATGGATCATAAAGATAGAATTATGATGTATGTCTCTGTCACTATATTGAGAATTGGAAACAAAATGGTTTTCAAAATAATTCATTGTTTGAGATAACCTGTATCTTAGAAAAATCCTAAAAGGTAATAAATATGGGGGCTTTATTCCAGAGTTGAAATTTAGATAACTTTTTTTTCTTAATATCAGAACAGTTTCATGGAAGTCTTAAACAAGTTTCAATAAAATTAAATTTTGTCTACTTTATTTGAATGTTCCTTCAACATCACTCACTAATAGATTAAAATCAGCAACCCTACCTCTCTGATCTATAGATATAATTTTGTCTGCTTTCTCCCTCAATGTTGGTTTCAGCCTTATTTTTCTGTTCTTTTTATTTCTCACATACTCTTTGAGTGATCTTAGCCACTCCAAGTTTCGATGGCCATCCATGAACTAATGACATCTAAATTATATTCAGACTTTAGTCTTCTCTCTTATGTTCTAGACTTGTGTATCCAAATGCTTCTAGTTAAAAGTCCAGTGGAATAAAAAAGGTGAACACGCCCCAAACAAAACTGAACTTCATTTCTCAAATTCCTCTTTCTCTTCCCCTGCCTTGTCCTATAATCCCTGTTGTGATTCCTGGTATCATCATCCACCTTGTAACCCAAACAGAATACACGGGTGTCAGCAAAGAGTCTTCTTTCTATTTCACTGCCAACGTTGAATCGGCACAAATGTTTCCACTCTGCCCCTTAAACAATTTTTGTATTTTTTCTCTTGTCTTCATTTCCACCACCACCACCAAGAGTCAAGAGTCTCCAGCTAGTATGATTTTTTTTTCTAGTCTTGACTATCTCCATTAAAATCTCACTGCTGCCACTGCCACTATTCTAAGACACAAATATGGTCATTTTGCTCAGCTGCTTAAAACCTTGAGTATTCCCTATGTTCTACATGATAACATCCAAACCATTGTGTATTGTGTCTAACATGCTACATTATTTCCCCCCATTTATATCTTAAAGCTTATTTCCTTCCACTTTCACCCTCTCACACTAAATTCCACCACCCTGGAGTTCAAGGTCAAGTTCT
The DNA here is from genome assembly GCF_000001405.40 of Homo sapiens. NCBI lineage: Eukaryota > Metazoa > Chordata > Mammalia > Primates > Hominidae > Homo > Homo sapiens. The sequence goes on from NC_000020.11 coordinate 11,126,883, forward strand.
TCTAACTCGCATCTTTTTAGAGCTCATGCTCTTACATATAATATTCCTTTTGCCTGGAATGTTCATCTTGTACTCTCTTTGTATGTATCACTCCTGTTTTTCTTTTGGGCCTGGGTTTAAATAAAACTTCTTCCAAAAAGCCTTCTCTTATTTCTTTTTTATCTACTATTATTATTATTATTATTATTATTATTATTATTATTATTTTGGAGAGGGCATCTTGCTCTGTCTCCTAGGCTGGAGTGCAGTGGTGTGATCTCAGCTCACTGCAACCTCCTCCTCCCAGGTTCAACCAATTCTCCTGCCTCAACCTCCTGAGTAGCTGGGACTACTTGTGCATGCTGCCACATCCGGCTAATTTTTTGTATTTCAGTAGAGATGGGATTTCACTGTGTTGCCCAGGCTGGTCTCAAACTCCTGAGCTCAGGCAATCTGTCCACCTCAGCCCCCCAAAGTGCTAGGATTACAGGTGTGAACCACTGCGCCTGGCCCTTCTCTTACTTCTTATCCACATACTCTGCAGAAGCCTCTGCTATTTTCCTGTCATAATATTCAGAATACTTGATTTTATTTAAATTGCATGTTTAGTTACACACCCATGCCAAAAGAATGTAAACTCTTTGAAGGCAAGTTTCGTGTTATTCTTACTTACCACCAAACCCGCAACTCAGCACAGTCAATACCTGGCACATAGTAAGTGTTCATTAATATTTGTTTAACAAAGTAGTGAAAAGCTTTTTTCATATCTCTATACTTCCACATACATTATTTCCTCCATCTTGAATCCCTTTCTTGTCCTATTTGATCAGTGAATCTCTAGTTTTGCTGTGATAATTTATATCTCACAGAACTAATTTCTACAATATAATACTCTGAGAAATGCCAGTCTAGCCCAACTCTCTCCTTTGACACAACAGAAAACTGAAGGCAAGAGAAATAGGTATTTATTGAAGGTGAGACAGCTGGTTATAATGGAGAACCAGAATGCAAGTACATTCCCTAATATGTCATAATTTTTTAAATAATTATAATTTAAACAATCTAACCAATTTACACTTGGTTTTATTTGTAAAAAAAAAGACTTGTCATTTTTGTGACAGCAAATTCATCTTCGATTACTTTTTACTAACAAGGACATATTTTGTTAGTCCACTTTTGATTCATCCAATAACAAAAGGAAACTTGATAATCAGGAATGAGTATTCGTATGCCATTGATAATGGGAGAATGAGAACATTAACAAAAGGATGAAGTGAGTTGCACGGTCTGAGTACATTTTTCCACAGTAATAAAATGATCAGTGCTGCACATCATCAGAATTTGGTCTTTCCTTGGGAATTTGGTGTTTATTTTAACCAACACTTAAAAAAAATATGTTGCTCCTCCCTAAAGATGTAAAATTTCACCATTTATTAAGTCCTCTTGGCTGAGTTGAGAATTGTAGCATCCACATTCTCACATGTAAAATATTTCCTAATCACAGCAAACGTTTGACATCTGCTCTGGATAACTGGCCCAAAACCAAGAAATGGAAGCATTCTTAGAGGATATTTGTTGATCCCCAGCCAGTCTTCTTGACGCTGGAGAAGAGCTACAGTGAGAGGGACTACTTCCCCCATTGTCTTCTCCCCAGGTGTTTCTTCTTTGGTTACTTGATGACACCCCTCTACACAGAAAGCACACCTCTCTATGCTAATATTCAGGAACCGTGCCAGAGTTCAAGTTGTGTTTTCAGTTCTGTCTACCCTTTCCACACCCATTGGAAAGCCAAGAACAGATTTGTGTGACTTCCAATTACTTCTTGGCTATCCTAGTCTTACTTTCACCACATGGAAATTCTTCACCCATTATAATCAAACTTAACTCCAACACTTAATAAACACTCAAGTGGTGATTTACAAAGATTCTGCTAATACTCATTTTCTCGTTCTGTTCTTATTTATTGGAATTATTTTCTATTGTAGTCTCCACTTCATAGTCTCATTCTGTTGTGTTTTTGGCTAACCTATCAGAGTAAATGAGAAGAGACTCTTGTCTGTCTCTGGAGTGAAGGGAAATGGAGTTGTCCCAAAGATTATTCATATTGGAAATGATTTTCATTTTGCTTTCATTATGATCCAATTTTTTCAATTTATTGGAAGCTAAAGTTCAGCTAGTGATAAATCTCTTAGCTTGTGGGTCATTTTCATTACTATCACCTGGTTTCCAGGCATAACTTTAAGTGACAAAGTGATAACATTGACAATAAATTCTTAGAGGTGTGATGCACTGGCACAGAAGGGAAGATTTTAAAACAGCACTTATTTGGTGGCAAGTGTCAGAAAATCTAACATAGACTCCCTGGAAACCTAACTCAGAATTAAGCCAAAAAGAAGAAGCCGGCTGGGCATGGTGACTTACACCTGTAATCCCAGCACTTTGGGAGGCCGAGGTGGGTGGATCACCTGAGGTCAGGAGTTTGAGACCAGCCTGGCCAACACGGTGCAACCCTGTCTCTACTAAAAATACAAAAATTAGCCGGGCATGGTGGCAGGCACCTGTAATCCCAGCTACCCAGGAGGTTGAGGCAGGAGAATTGCTTGAACCCAGGAGGCAGATGTTGCAGTGAGCCGAGATTACGCCATTGCACCTAGCCTGCATGACAAGAGTGAAAAACTCCATCAAGAAGAAGAAGAAGAAGAAGAAGAAGAAGAAGAAGAAGAAGAAGAAGAACAAGAACAAGAAGAACAAGAACAAGAAGAAGAAGAACAAGAAGAAGAAGAAGAACAAGAAGAAGAAGAGGAAGAAGAAGAACAGCCATGATGTAGAACTTAAAAGATCTGAGGTATTTTGGTTTCAGGCATGGTTGGATCTAGACTGACATGATGCCATTAGTACTAGGTCTCCCACTATCACCTCTGCCCTCTTTTTTTGTTGTTGTTGTTGTTGTTTATCGAGATGGAGTCTTGCTCTGTCGCCCAGGCTGGAGTGCAGTGGTGTGATCTCTGTTCACTGCAACCTCCGCCTCCTGGGCTCAAGCGATTCTCCTGCCCAGGCTTCTGAGTGGCTGGGATTACAGGCATCTGCCACCATGCTTGGCTAATTTTGTATTTTTATTTATTTATTTATTTATCTATTTTTTAGCAGAGACGAGGCTTCGCCATGTTGGCCAGGCTGGTCTTGAACTCCTGACCTCAGGTGATCCACCTGCCTCGGCCTCCCAAAGTGTTGGGATCACAGGCGTGAGCCACCACACCCAGCCTCACCTCTGCTTTCTTTTGTGTTGGTGTCATTCTCGCACACACTCTCCCTCCACTGTGGCAAAATGACTTCCAGCATACCTCCACGCATACATCTCATCCCTTCAGTAATCTTAGTAGAAGAAAGAGTGCTTCTTAGAGGTTTTTGCAGCAAGAGTAGTGAAACTAACTGATTAAACTGACTTGAGTCACATGTTTTCCCTGAACCAATAATAATAGCTATGTGTGGAAGATGCTAACTGGTCAGACATAGGTCATCTGCCAACTTCAAGACTCTTGGAATAAGAATAGGGTTGAGATAGGATTACCAGAATCCTGTTACCATAAGAAAGGAGAAAATACATTGGCAGAAGAAGGTAACTCATGCCCGTTAAAGTCTTATAACTGACTCTACTGAGACATAGGCCCAAATAAAAAAAATGAACAAATCCTGTGTGAAGAAAAGCAGCAATAAAAATATCTTTGGGGAAAGACTCAAAGTCTGTTTATGTGACTGTTGTCATTGAACACAAACCTGATAGCTTAACAATGAGACCATGGCAGCCCCAGAAACCCTTGATAGGGCCTACTTACCAGAAGCTAATCATTGTTTGAAACTGAGATGACTGTGTTCACAGGTGGTTTATTGTAGAGTTGAGTCATGTCTGTGCACAGAGATAGAGTTTGGCATCACCTGTGATGACCAAGCATAATAATGACCTATTATCTGTTTTGAAATAAAACCACCTTTATTTCCTTTACTTATTTTTAGTTGTGCAAAAGTCATACCTGGGGATTTCCAAGGGGATATGGTGAGAGCCAAGTGACTATTATTGTGTTTCCTGAGACAATGTGGAAGTAAGACCCATTTGCCTGCCTTTGCCCATCAGGAAATTGCATCCTTCTTCCACCTGATAAGGGAAGAAAAAGTTGGGGGGTGGTGAGCACACCTTCTAGTAGCGAGATACCTTGGGAGAGATTGAGACTAATCACAGATTGTGTTTTGCCTCCTTTCATCCTCTAGACTTTGTGTAAGTGCATAATTTGGATAAAATGAACTGAAAGTAAATCAGTGGTAGGTTCCATAAGGGCATTATCCAGCCTGAGTGTGGAAATATGTTTGGAAGTCATGCTGGTTGGATCTACAGTGGCTATGCAGCTCTGCATTGAAGTATGGAACTGATGGCCCGTCTGTGGGTCTTGAGAATTTCAGCCACACTTGGAAAGGCAGCCTTTCCTCTACTGCTTTGTTCTTTTCCAGACCCCTTGCTCCTGGAGCTTTGGGCTGTTTTTTTTGTTTGTTTGTTTTGTTTTTTGTTTTTTCCCATCTCTGTTCCCAAAACGGCAGCTGGAAGGTGTTTCACTTTTTGAAAAACAACTATGTAGGACATGAGTAAATTCATTTTTGGTCACGATATTAAAGTCTACTATGGAAGAATGGTCCCTAAATACTCGCCAGGCTGTCAAGGGACCAGGAGAAGCATGAACCCACATGTGTTGACACAGAACCTGTCATTATCATGGGAAACTCTCATTGCAGGAAGGAACTCTCCCTATAGGCAGCACTTTACCAACAGAAGCTGCATAAAAGATGATGGTGCTGCTTCATTCACTGTCACTAGTGACACCCCTTGAACCTTCGAAGAGGTAGAACAAAACCAGGAATGGCTTGAGAATCGTGGAATTGTCCCCTAAATAATATCGAGGGCTTGGTTCAATAGATGAACACATGGAAATGAATCTCATGCTGTTGGCAGTATCCTCAGATGGAATGAGGGACCTCTGGGCCTATTTCCTTAACATAATCTCCCCTGTTTCCTCCTCTTTCCTTTGGTTGGGTCCAGGCTTGTCCCTAACTGCTTCCTTTGTTCTATTTCTTCACTCCCATCTTTCCTCAGCCCTTTGTGTCTGGAACAAGCTCCCTTTTGCAGTCTGCCAAGCCAGCAGGCTCTTTGCTGACCTGTCCTCAGTATGTTAGCTTTGAAGACATTCGACTCAATCTTTTCACTAAGGTCAGGGGTTTGGAAGGAGGAGGGAGGTTTGTAACAACCTTCAAATGAAGAAAAATAAAAATAATTCCTTCTGAAGCTTTGGAGATCCTCAGATCCTTACCTCCACACTATTTACTCTGTTCTTTCAGTGAGTAGTTTCTTCCCCCCACAAAAAAGCAAGGTTATCATTTTCTACATAACAAATAATGACAATACATATAGCAACAATAATAATTTCTATAACAGTTTCCAATTAATTTCACATCCTTATTTCCTTTAATTCTCAAATGATAATTCTGATTTTATAGTTAGGACAACAAATTCAGAAGTTACATGTTTTGCCAAAGACACACAGCTGGAAAATGGTCTTTCCACATATAACAAACGCTTCCTATTACTAGCAATAAGCGGGAGGATAAGTAATGAAAGGGTGATGTCTTGAAATAAAGAAAGAAAGCTGACAAGTTTGCATGAGTTAGAATCTAGAGAAAATATGTTTAAAAAGATTCTTATTTTTATCTTTTAACCGTGTATCAGAATGTGAGTCCCCAGAGTCGTGGCCCACCAGCTCACACCTGTAATTCCAGCAGTTTGGGGAGGCCGAGGCTGGCAGATCACCTGAGGTCAGGAGCTCAAGACCAGTGTGGCCAATATGGTGAAACCTTGTCTCTACTAAAAATACAAAAATTCGCCGGGTGTGGTGGCAGATGCCTGTAATCGCCTCTACTTGGGAGGCTGAGGTACAAGAATTGCTTGAACCCAGGGGACAGAGGTTGTAGTGAGCCAAGATCATGCCACTGCAGTCCAGCCTGGGTGACAGAGTGAAATTGTGTCCCAAACAGGCAAACAGACAAAAACAAACCATTTATATTTAATATTCTCTACCTGGATTCTGAGTGGAGATGATGACTCACATATGCCCTGCAGAACAGCACCCTCCTGCTATGCCATTCATCCTGCTTTCAGAAGCTCCTAGTTTTATTTAAGGTTCTCCCATCCATGTGCCAACTACCCAACTCATTCTGGCTTATTTAAAGTGAAAATATTGATTCCTAATTGAGTCAGCAGATAGCAAAAATTGCTTACGTATATACTTTCCACGTGGGGGATCAGGCCTGTCTTTCGGTGTTTGCTCATTTTGTCATTCAATTCTATGGCTGATAACTAAGGAATTTATTTCTGTTTTCTTTCTATATTGGTCTTCATTGCAGGAAATGGTATTCAATAACACTGTGAGGGCTTTCTTAACATGCAACTGGAACTTTGTTTTCTTTTCTTGTGCAGTGCACAAGTAATTTCTTCTTAACTTTAAAAAAGTAAACATTTAATTTCATTCCCCACCCTACTCCCAACTTTCCCTATCTAAACATACAGGGAGAAATGTGAGTCAGGATATGTAGAAGGAATATTTTACATGTGTTATTTGAAATTCACAGACTAGAGGAAAAGAATCACCAAAACTTTGCAAAATTCTCTGTGTTTTCTCCCAGGTGTAAAGCATCGTGGGTTTGCCCCATAATTGGAGACAAGATTATCAAGTAATATTGAGGGCTTGGTTCAATAGATGAACACATGGAAATGAATCTCATGCTGTTGGCAGTGTTTATGTATCTGCAGGAAACCCGAGGCACAGTCCCACTAGAACTGAAATAATTAAATCTTTTGCTTATGTTATTTCACAGCTTTTTCAAGATTTTGCCAAGAATGAAAACTGAGACAACTATTGGTAGATGAAAATTGTGACTTGAGGGGACCTGGAGGTAGATGTGTTTTAAGGGTAAAGAGACAAATTTTGTAATGTGATTTGACTGGATGTAAAAGGCAGGGTGCCTACACCTCAGAGCGAAGTGGGCAAAGATCAGGAATAGATGATTGTCTGCTTCTCGTCATGCTGCACAAAATTTAAGAGCCATTTACAAAATGGAACAAATGAAAACATAAGCTAAACATCAAGTGGTAAGGAAAGATTTCATGGTGCAGAAATTATTGCTAATGATTTTAAATATGTAGTAGCAACATGATGGTTTAACTCATTTAATTCTGGTCTTGACAACAAGCAATGAAGGATGAGGAATAACCTAAGGAACATTATTCCTTTGGTAGTAGGTTTCTAATGAGTGAAGATTTATGTGGTTCTGTGTTGTGTACACTCAAGCGTTTGGAAAACAAAGCAAAAAAGTTCCACTAATTCAGACGCTTGGAGAATGAGCTAACTTTTGGGAAACCAATATTATGGGAACAGAGACACCCCTTGAACTTTTGAAGAGGTAGAACAAAACCAGGAATGGCTTGAGAATCATCATGGAGTTGTCCCCTAAAAAGATTCTCTTTACCTACACATAAGCCAGTTGGGCATGGGAGGGAATGAAGAAGGTGGGCATTCCTTTGTGTGTCAGAGAAGCATGTTAACTCAGAAAGAAAAGGAAAAAAAGAGAGAGAGAGAGAAAGGAAAAGAAAGAGGAGGCAAGAAAAATTAAAGCAACAGGATGTAATTATTTTATATTTTAATGTCTGTATCATCACCTTCAGAACTCTTATTTTGATTTTGATTTGGTTGGTTCCTTTTCACTTAGAACTGCAACTCTCTAGATAGTAGCAGGTGTGGGAAACAAAGAGTACTGGGAAAATACCCCTACAAGCTTCCTTGAAAATTATGCGACCTTGTTTAACTAACTAAATAAATAAATGTATGTCAACTTCTAAGGGAAAGATCCATGGGATTCATTCCAGCATTCTTTGACAATGCTCAATTTTCCCAGAGAAAAATAGAAACTCTCATTACAGAAACTTTATACCTGGGCTTCATTTCTCATATTCTCAGAGGAAAGTTTTCACCTCTACCATCAATGTGGCATCCTGTAACTGGCAGCCTTATCTTTGTCTTTTTACTAATATGAAAGCCACACCACAGTTGGCTTTCACAGTATTTGCTAAGCTGGTAACAGTGCCAATGAGGACCCAGAGTGGGAAATTTACCTATGTTTTCTCCCCTCAACAGCTGCAAGTGAGATCTGAAGTAAGGGGCTGGATAAAATATTCTTAGGACATTTTGGTAATTATGATTTAATCCAAAGGTACAGTTAGACATCTTTGAAAGGAATTGTGAGCATGTTTCTTTGAATTGCTGAGGAACACCAGGGTTCTGACAAACACATCGTTTTAAGGAGACCCAAAATTTCTTCAGTATTTATCATCTTTCTGAGATACGGTTCCCACGAATGCTCCTGAACCTTCTGGGAAGGCACATAGCTTCATATTTCCCTTCACATAATGATTTCTTTGTCTTTTTCAATTTGACCTTGATGTTTTCCTGTAATCCTAAAGATGCCCACTTATTATAGATGATAATGTATCTATTTCCTTTATGGGCAAATGCTGTCATTCAATGTGGAGAAAATCATGTTTGACATTCCATGTAAGTCCTGTGAAGTGTCTGGGAAATTTCCAAGTCTATACAGTCTAAGCAGTGGTGGGGAAAGAGGTAAAGAGTGTGGGCCATTAAGTCAGATTGACTGGTTCAAATCCTGTACGGCTTCACTATTATGCAACTATGGATAAGTCCTTTAATCTTTCTGTGCCTCAATTTTCTATCTACAAAATAAAATACTAGCATCTTCCTGGAAAAATTGTTGTGAGGCTTAATTGTGCAGCCTTGCTATGTATATGAACCCCAGCTGTGGAAGCCCAGAAATATGCATGGAGTATCTAGGATATTTCGAGGACAAAGTCAGGGAAACCCTCCTTAGACATTTCCCTGGCACATGTCTTTTATTGTTCCAATGCTTCCAGTTCCACACTGGCCTCCTAATTAAAGCCGGGTGGTACTGCTGATCATTCATGGACATCAGTCATCAATTGACCTAGAGCTCACAAGTAGCTGGTAAAGGTTTCACTGTTGTTATACATGCCATCCTTATTGATGGACAGAAAGTTTTAGCAATTTCAAATGTCTGGATTCTGTTTCACCACTTACTTAAAATTAGATCCAGAGTGATGAAGCAAAGATTCACCAGATGCTGCAATTGTACCTAATTCTTTTCGTTTAAAAAGCATGGAATATTAGCATTCTAATGACAGAACATTCATCTTTTTCTAGAATATACCAGAGGCACATCTCTTAAGTATACTCTACCTGCACCAGTAATTGTAAACAGTGAAAGCTTTTAAGCAAGCATATGTCAAAATGGCCATTTGTCATCTTTGCAACAATGACCATGCTAACTTTAAATCTCTTTTAAAACTTTGTTCACTACTCCTTCTTTCCATTAGCCTATTAACTAGGGCACTTTAGCCCATGAATCATATCACTTATTTTTGGAACTGGAAGGGAGAAAGTCATATTATTTAAAATATGATTTATATTAAGGAATGTAAAAATAATTTCTGTCCAAAAATAATTTAAATAGCACTTGCCAATACTCTAGATTCAGAAGACCATCAAGTTTTTTTGCAAATATTTATAACCCCATATAATCTATTACCATCTATCAGGTACATTTTCTAACTTATATGTTCTGAAATCCCCAAATCCTGAAATGTTAGAAGTAAACTTGGGAATCATTTAGTTCTACCACCCATTTAATGATGAAATTTCAAATCAGATACTTTTTTAGTTGACTGATTGACAAGCTTTCTACTCTTTTTTAAAAATAATGTTTCTTTACAAGCTCCTTTAAATTATCTTTACCCACATTCACTAAAAGCAGTAATGAAGTCAAGGGTCACTGTTCTGGGCAGATGCCTGTGGATATCAGATTCCTAGGAAGACCAAGTTTAGGAATTTAGCTTTGGAGGTCTAAATTCCTTGGAAGCAACCACATTCATGTCCAGTTTCTTTAGACCCATGAGCTCAAACAAAAACCTTCTTCTGAGGCATTACCCTTTTGTTTGTAGTCATCATTAGTACTCTTGTTATAGCAGGTCATTTTTCTTGCTGCCTTTTCTGCTAGTTTTACTTTTTTTGAAATACATAAAATTGTTTGGGATATAAAATCCCCCCTCTCCTCAGCCTTGTGATTTGGACTATTCTCTATCACATACTGAACCTTTTCGTATTCTTTGGAAGCCTGATGGCTTGCTCTAGAATTCAGCAAATTGGGCAGAGTGGATCTTTCAAAGGCAAGTGAGCATTGTGAGTATCACCTTTTCAAGGTGAAGAGTGTCCTCTTATTCAGAGAGCACTGACCCTGAGAAGTCACTTACTGTTTCTGCTAAAGCAGACCTTGAGCTCAGGTGTTCTTTAGATGTGACTCTGAAGCTGAGTTTCTCCATTTCCTAAGCCTGATTTTGGACAAACTGTTGGACCTTTTTCACTCTTTGCTTTGCCCCTCTGTGCAATGGGAACCAGGATGCCGAGTTCAGTGGTTGCCATGAGAGTCCACTGAAGCAATGCGAAATATTCAGTGCAGTGTCTGGTGCCTAGTAGGCATTCTACAGCCTTGATGCCTTTGGGGCAGGCTTACTTTAGAAGTTTTAAGAAATCTCAAAATGAGTTCTATGATGTTTGCCGTGCTTGGACACAAAATGAGAAACAGAAAATCTGCCTTCTCACCCTATGGGTGGAGTGTTGCTCCTCTATATTTTAATTCTTTTTAATAAGAAAAGGGCGTCTTGAATGTGGTGGGAAAGGGCAGACCACATGGTGGGAAGTCATGTAACACAAGATACACTTTATTGCATGGCGTGTTTCTGTACCACAGATGTGCACACAGATGTGATCATCAACAGAGATAACTAGTTTACAAGCCCTCCCTGGAAACTCCTCATCGTTTTTAGTAGAAAAGTGATTTTCAGCCAAGGCCTGAGCTGAAGCTCAGCCCATGATTAAAGCATTTCCAACTGTTCCACACTGAAAAGAAAGAAAAGAGAAATGACCAGCAGTGGTTTTCCAGCCAAGGTGTGAGACCAGAGGTCACCTAAAAGGCTTAAGTCTATTAAAACAAGTATCTGCTGTGGCCTTTTCTTTCTGCCTTTCCCTCCTTCCTTCCCTCCCTCTTTTTCCTACCTTCATCCCTACTTTCTTCTTTCATTTATTTCTTTATCATACATTTTTTTTCTCCTGCTCTCTTCTTCTTCTTTCTCCTCTCTCCTTCCCCTTTATTCTTCATAGAAAAATATCACCTTATGTCAAGGAAACACTGAGCAACATCTACTCATCGTTGAGCCTGTTAATGTGGAGAGGGCATATTTGTTTACTTTCTAAGTTGTGTAACTTTATTATTATTATTTTTATTGGTGATATGTGATGGAAGTTTTATGCAAATGTCTAAAGCAGCAGTTTAGTATAATAAATACAATCTTTTTAGGATTCAAGGAAAAACCTGAGTTCAACCCTGGTTCATAATTCTCAACTATGCAGTATTCTCAAATACAGTAGCTCTGCGGACTAAATAAAATAAATGTATGAATACAAGGTATCTCTATAATACATATGGAACTACAGCTTAAGTCTCATTCTCTATAATAGAAGTAGGGCCTGAGAAACAGATTCAGGTGCATGTCATTTTGGGTGGTAAACATCTCAGGAGGAAGGGGAGTGAAGGAAGCAGATGGAGCAGGTGGAGGAGCTGAGCTTAGGATGTGGTCTCTTCTGGAGTCTGGATTTACCCTAATCCCACAGAGAGCTCTGGAGTGTGAATTACACACATGAAGTTTGTTCCTACCTTGATGTGGTTGGCTGGTCTTTTGTATTCTTCATGTCCATTAGCCCTTGCAGGTGGGCTGCCCCTGGGCTGGGGGTGGCGAGGTAACCTCCCAGGCAAATGTCCAAGAGGAAATCTCTGGAGAAGGGGGCAGTTATGAGCCATTAGCAGCCTCCGCTTGCAGCACCTGGGGCAGAGGTACCAGTCTGGTAAAGGGCGTTGGTTGTGATATCAGCAGCATCCACTATGGGGCTCAATAAATGGTAGCTAAACTTAGTATAATTCTTGGCTGCCATATGTCTAGTTCAAGTCCTTTGCTGTGGAGGGTCAATATACACCTATCATAGTAGTTTATGGCCTTCTCAAAAATAGGAAAAGCAGGTTAGCTTTTAACAAAATAACTATACTATTCTCTATAGGTAGGCTTCTCCATCCACCGACACTGAATTTGGTCAGTTCCCTTCAATGATTCACTGATGGAAATAAAAGCCTTTCATTGCAAGGTACTGAAGGTTTTTGTAACTGGAGAACAGGTAGGAGTCTCATAAGTACAAAATGACTTGGAAAGCGAATGCAATCACACACAAACCTGGGCTCTTAAAAAATCCAACAACATTACATGCAAGTAAAGATAGTATAAAATAAAATGCTGATGAGAACCAAGCAAGAATGACTATTGTAGAAGAACAATTAGCTAGACCCGAATGTGTTTTAGTTTCTCCAGACATTGGGTCTTTACAGCGGTTTCTGATTTGAATATTTTGGTTAAAATTTATTAGGTCTCCTAATTGATATTTTCCATCATCTCAACTCAGTGATCGTGCCTGGGTGGAAGGTAGGGGATTTACAGAAGACATTGTCCAGATTTGTTTTCAGTCTGTAAGCCTGGCCGTGTCAAAGTGTAATAAGACAAGCAGGAGAACAATGACAACAGCAGTAAAAGCCTTAATTGAAATTATACCCATGGCTGTTTAATCTAGCCCTGCTGGTTTTGCAGACCAGGAGCTAAGTCTTCCCATCAGCACTCTTCCCTTGGGTTGCTCTTGACAGCTCTTCTGTCTATATAATGTTACCTTTGCACACACAAAATCCTGTTTTTTAACTTGAAACACATGAAAGCTTTGGAAGGGTTTGCGTGGGTATCTTCATTCTCATTCCCTTCAAATGTTAGACTCTTCTGTTCTTCAAAATGGTGAATCAATCTTTTTCCACTTTCTGATCAATCTATAAGATTATATTTACTTTCCTGTTAACAAAAAAGGTATCTGTGATATAGCTTTCCTATTTATCACTCTGCCCTTCAAAATCTATTAAATAAGGGAAATATAAATTAACTCATATACAAAAATTATACCACATAAACATCATTTATTTTTTATATTTTATAACATATACACCTCTGTGGGAGACACAGGATATTAATTAGCTTTGTAGAATATAAAAATGATACTATGGTAATTAACACTTAATGTTAGCCTTTGTGTGTCACTCCAATAACTTCAGATATACTTCCTTCCTATGTAAAACAATACATTCCCCTTTGTCTTCTGGAAGTTAGAATGATGGTTGACCCTTATAATTATTAAAATGCTGCCCAAAATAATAACCTGATTTGGCTTGCTACATAAAATAATTTATATAATAAATTAACTGCATTTTCCTGTGATTCAGAATTCTATCTTGGCAAGATACTCTTCTGGACATTGGGCAATAGCAGCGCTATCATTTTCTTGTTTGTTTGTTCCTGAACAACTGGAGGCACTCTTTCACTATCCCTGGCTTTTTCTCCTTACATAAGTGAAATGAGTTCACGACAAAGTAATGTTCAAGACATCAAAATGATGACAAAGCCAAGAGCAAGAAATGAGTAAGGCTTTGTTGCTTGTGGTTTGAGGGAGTGAGAAGTACCACCCTCTGAGGTGTCTGAGTGGATCACCCAACAGACTTGCCAAGGGCTGGGAAGGAGGAAAAAAATAGGTTGAACAACTCTCCTCTTGGGACAAGTCTCAGAGTTACATCGTTAGTGGTGATAAAAATGTGCGTGGGGATTAGGGCATGTAAGTGAAAGGAAAAGAAAGGAAAGGAATGGATTGGAGTGGAACAGAGGTAGAGAAGAGGGTTTTGAAGTGTGATAACTCTCTGGCTTCCACTCTAAATCATACTTCTCATCTTTACAAAAATCCAGGATGCATTTTTTCTATGAGCTAGCCCTTTAAGATGCCTACACACCAGTGGAAAACAGAAATGTTTGAACTTTACCATTATTCTTTTTTAGCATAAAATATATTTATATAAACAAAAATAAGTCACAAGTTATCGCAATGGTTGATTTTGCCTTACAAACTTCAGCTTTTTTCTTTTCTTTTTTACTTTGAGTGTTATGCTGAAATATCGGGGGAAAATACTTGTTTGTAAGTCAGGTCATAGCTAAATCTAGATTTGGTTCTTTTCTCCAGCATTATACACTATGTGATGCTAAAAATATAGCCATTTTACAGATAAGAAAACTGACCCTTGTGTAGTGAAATTTATACTACTGGTTAAATGTAGTGGAACAGAACTTTGACTCTGGGCAATACTAATTAGGAAACTGCACTCATAGACATTGCTGTGAGTGTTGCTATAATAGGGCCCTAGCTTTCACCAGGCCTTCTAATCTTTTCTTTACCCTGTAGTCAACATGTTCTATCTGCAGTGTGAATCTATTCATTTCTCTCTCTTCTTAAAATCCTTGGGCACTGTTAAAAGGGTAACCGTATCCCCCAACATTTATTTGTTGAAGTCCTAACCCCCAGCTCTTCAGAATATGATCTTATTTAAAAATCTGGCTCTTGCAGATAGAATTAGTTGAAGTCGTTAGAGTGGGCCCTAATTCAATATGGCCAGCATCCTTATTTTAAAAGAAAGAAAGTTGGACACAAACATACATATACGAAGAACACCATGTGAACATAAAGATGGCCATCTACAAGCCAAGGAGAGAGCCAGGAACAGATTCTTCCCCCACAGTGCTTAGGAGCCAACCCTGTAGGCACCTTGATTTCACACTTCTAGCCTGAAGAACTGTGAGACAATTAATTTCTATTGTTCAAGCTGCCCATTTTGTTGAACTTTGTAATAGCAAACCAATACAGATACCTTTCTATTATTCTTAGCATGATGTCCAACATCCTACACCTGGAAAGCAAGGAGTAGAACATCAAACTAAAAAGCAAATGTGACTCAAGCTAAGCATAGTAAGATTTCTGGAACTGTGAATGGGCTTAGTAAAAATTCATTGAATAATTATCATAATCTTACATGCCAGGAATTGTATTTACACAATGCAGGAACCTTACATGCCAGGAACGGCCGTATATTTAGATGTGAAGTAAACTGACACAGTGCCTGTTCTCAGGGAGCTTACACTGAGGCAGGCAACTAATTACGCATATAATTAATTACAGTAAGAGTGAAGAGTGGTAGTGGAATGTCCCAAAAAATAGGAT
This sequence comes from Homo sapiens, assembly GCF_000001405.40. Lineage (NCBI taxonomy): Eukaryota > Metazoa > Chordata > Mammalia > Primates > Hominidae > Homo > Homo sapiens. The sequence continues at coordinate 11,142,221 of NC_000020.11, forward strand.
GCTAGAGGAGCCAACCCTCTTCTTGAAAAAAATCAGGAAAAGCCAGAAAGGCTTCTTTGAGGTAGTCATGTTTGAGCTTATATCTGAAGAATGAGTAAAAATTAGTTAATGAAAGGAGATGCTGGGAGAAGTAGCTCTGAGGTCAAGGGGACAGAAAATATAAAGATTCCAAAGCCAGAAGCATTATGCCACTTTCCAGAACCACAAAGAGGAAAGTAAAAGTGGAGCAGAAAAGGTGAGGTAGAAAGTTGTGCGCGATGAAATAGAAGCAAACAGAGTCAAGTCCTGTGGGCAGTGATGTAATCAGAGTTGCAGACCAGAGTTAAAAGGTGCCTCTGGCTGCACTGTGAAGAATAGAGCTGAGGAAACCACTTAGGAGGCTATGGTAAGAAGTAATGGTGGGCTAGGAGTGGATGGATTTAAGAAGTAGTCCATTGATGGGATCTAGTTGATGAGGTCCAACAATTAAATAGATGTCGTACAGTCTGGAGAAAGGGAGGCATGTGTTCAAGTTGACTGTTCATTTTCTAGCTTGGCCGACTGAGTGGAAAATAGAATTGTTCACTGAGATAGGAAAGATTAGATGAGGCCATTTTTTTTTTCTTCCTGGGGTAAGGAGGGAGAGAAGAAAAAGTTGAGTGCCTAATCACACATTTGAAGCAATTGTGAGATGTGTGATGTCCTGTAGAACCTCAGCCTCATTGATCAGGATGTCTGAGCCACTGGAGATGTAAATTTGTCTGTCATTGGGATACAGATGGTAACTGAAGCCATAGGAGCAATTGAGCTCACCTGGCAAAAGAAGGTAGAATGAGTAAAGAGAAGACTGTGCACAGTTGAGGAATTCTAGCCTTTCAGGTTTGGCTGGAGGAAGATGGCCCAGCAAGGATGATGACTGACAGAAGCAAAAGGAGAAAACCCAGAAGGATGTGTTGTCATGGAAACCAAGGAAAAAAGGGAGCTTCAAGAAGGAAATAGTGGCTGGTAATCTTTAAACTATGGAAGCGGTTTAAGTTTAAAAAATATTCTGGCTGTTGTAGCCATTTGGCTCTTAGCAAGATCTCTTGCAGGCGCTTGAGTGGAGGAAAAGATGGAAGGTGTAGAGGATGATATTGGTCTTCTGTCCACATCCCTCTGGAAGTCACTCGCATATTCCAAGGACTGCTTATTATGAACACCTGTAACTCCTTGCTTGGGGCTTTTATTTATTTTCATTATTTTATGGCTGAAGAGTACCCTTAGCCTAAGCACAGAGCAAGCCAAAATGACAGAGAGTTTACGTCCCCAGACAGCTCTGAAACAATGACAAACAGATATTTGATAACTAAATATCCCAATCCACTGGTCCTCAGTTGGAATAATGCTGAAGAATGTTTCACACCGTCTCTCAGAGCTCCCCAGAGGGATCAACTGGTTTGATAATCTTCAAGAACTTGCTGTCCTGTCTTTCTCTGACATACTCCTCTACTCCCCTACCAGTGTTTCTGGGAATCACCTACCAAACAAATTACTCACTCTTGAATCCTTGCCTCAGTGGCTGCTTCTGGGAAACCAAAATCATATAGAAGAAAAGAGTTAGACCAGTAAGTATAAACTTAGTGAGAACAGCTGAAAAGGAGTATCAGGAAGAGAAACACAGTCAAAAATGGCTTATTATAATCAAGAAAGAGTGCTAAGCTTATTTGACTGAGGGTGGAAGGAATATAAGAGACAGAGGGGAGAGATTTTATAGGAATTCATATGCAGAAATATTTTTTTTTCTGATGCTGTTGGTTAAAATATAAAAGGAGAAAAAAGAAAAGAAAAAATAATAAAATTTGCATTATAAAACTTAGGAAACCTCTTTCTAGATAAGATAAAGGCACAAAAGTTTCCTCTTCAAAAGCATAAAAGAAGTTCTGATGTTCTTGGACCTTTGTGTGTTTAGGAATTTCCACCATCTCTAGAATCCGTTTAACCACTCCATGACACATTTTTTTCTCTCCAGATGTAAAAACTGAGGAGTCAGTTGTCAGTTGAATACTCTAGTATTATTTTCTCAGCAATTATTTTAAGGAATGCATTTGAATAAAATGCAGTTTTGGCATCATTTTAAAAAATGGATGATGATTTATGCTTTTCTTGCGGGGACAAGATGGCTGTGGGCATGAGTCATGACTGTACGCTGGGAAGATTCCGATGGGAACCTTGCTTTTGCTGGTTGAGCCATAACTTACACGGACTTGAGACTGTGCGTGGCTTTTATTAACATGTTCATTTTGCTTGTTAAGGCTCGAGCTTCATCTTTTTCTTCCCGACTAAAGCCCTGTTTGTATTTCACACACACCTGATTCAAAATCTGTGCTTGGAACCCAGAGTGGCTTGGGAATAGTAATTTGGAAAAATTTGATTATTTGTCAGTTAAAATGGAATGATGTGTTCTCAGCTGCAGCTGGGAAATGGGCTATTTCTCTGCAGGGGAGTAAATTCAAATGATAGACAAAGTTCTAACTCTTCCAACATCCCTGTCTTCGTGGAGCAGGTTTGGCACAAATCAAAATTGTTTATAGGCCAAGGAAGGTACAAATCATAGCACAGATCTGTGCTTTTCTCAACTGCATAAAGAGCTTTCACATATAATTTTTCTGGTGAAAAATCCCTGTCCCGGAGCAGATGTTCCATGGAAACAACAGTGAAGTTTTTAAGGGGCCAAGGTGAATGAACTGTAAGACTGGTTCTTGAAGTTTTCCAGGTTAAAACCATCTCTCTCATTGTCCTTGGAACTGGTTTTCAAAATGTGTTTTACAGCATTGCTTCTCAGATTTTAACATGCATACAAATCACCTGGGGATTTTGTTAAATTGCAGACTTTGTTTCAGTAGTTCTTGTGTGGGGCTTGAGATGCATTTTTGATAAGCTCCCAGGGGATACTGATGCCGATCTATGTTTATCCCTGAATCCTACTTTGAGTGGCGAGTAACAGAGGGATATAGAAAGTTGGTCTTGAAAGATTCTCTCCAATACAAAGATTCTCTAGTCTAATAAGTTCAAAAAAATTCACATTTTTGTCTTTCTCTCTAGAATTCCGCAAATTAACAAATTAAAGACTCTGAGAAGATTTGCACTGATAAAGTCTGCAGTCAATGCTGTCTCCTAACAACCTATGGAATTTGATTTTGTGAAAGGAAAGGATAATCTGATGTGCGCTATTCTTGGGAATATTTGTTCAGGCACTTAAACAGACTGAAGGGGGATTTCAGAAAATGTTTGACTCTCTTTGTGGTGACCCTTGCAACTTTTCTCAGGTGAGTGTTACTGCTTCTCCAAATAAGCAAGATTCTAAGTCCAGCTCTCAATATCCCCAGTAGAATAATAAACTTTCCACCTAGAGTTTTGGTATTCAGAATGTACGGCGTGCCTTCTAATCAACTCTAAAAATTGTTCCGGGTTTAGCTGCCACCATGCCCTGTCAAAAGGCCAGCTTAGAAAAGTGTCAGACAGGAAAACTACACCAAGGGAATTTAAATGCTTCCAAGCATCTTAAATTGTTTGCAAACCTCTGTATGTCTATGAATCGATTCTCTAATAATTTCCCATGAAGATTCCTGGCCTCTGCCCCAGAAGTGATTATTCTTTGAGTCTTGAGTATATACTGAGAATCTTCATTTTAATAAGCGTTTCCAGGATTTTCTGATGCAGGTGTTGTAAAGACCACATTTTGAGATTAAGTTCTATTTCCTCAGAGTTATAGAACAAGCAATTGGGCTACTTTGTTTTGGCTTTCTGAGCATGCACTTTTGTGAGTCATGCTTTAATGTTCTACCCTGGATTTTTATGGATAATCTATATGAATGAATGAGAAAGCGTTAGCATTTTCTTTGGAAATGTTATTAAAGATACTGTCATTATGCCAGACTTCAGAAACTTCTGTAAAGGGATCCTGTTGGCAGCAAAATATAACCTTGATCCTGTAGTTTGGAGTATGAGAACACTACGACAGATCATCACTTGACATGTCTTATGGTTAAAGTGAATGCACGTTTTGCTCCTTTTTCTTAAGAAATTCATTGGCATTACTATAAACATGTAAGCTTACGTAAATTTTACCCAAAATTGTTAAGCTGAGTCTCAAAGTCATCTGTGGCTTTAGGTACACCCTGGCATATCCCCATACTCTGGGGATATTTTCTCCACAGCTTGAGAAATATAGGACTGTATCGTGATTAGGGACCCAGAAATAAAGAATGAGTACATTCCCCTTACAATGTTCTCCAGAAATAAAGGCTTTCTTATATTAATATTTTTATATCGAGATACTTTATAATGAGAATTACATCCTTTTCTTTTTAAAAATGTCAACTTGATTGGTAAGAAATTCAGAGCAAAATTAAATGCTTAATTACAATAATTTTTATTGGTCTAGCTATTTCATATATTTGCAAAAATTTTCCAACTTTTCTATATACATTTAATTTCAACTTTTCTGGTTAGTTATCTTACTCTATATGTGATTTTTTTAAATTATACTTTAAGTTCTGGGATACATGTGAAGAATGTGCAGGTTTGTTACATAAGTATACAGGTACCATGGTGGTTCGCTGCACTCATCAACTCGTCATCTACATTAGGTATTTCTGCTAATGCTATCCCTCCCCTTGCCCCACAACCCACAACAGGCCCCGGTGTATGATGTTCCCCTCCCTGTGCCCATATGTTCTCATTGTTCAACTCCCACTTATGAGTGAGAACATGTGGTGTTTGGTTTTCTGTTCTTGTGTTAGTTTGCTGAGAATGATGGTTTCCAGCTTCATCCATGTCCCTGCAAAGGACACAAACTTATCGTTTTTATGGCTGCATAGTATTCCATGGTGTATATGTGTCACATTTCCTTTATCCAGTCCAACACTGATGAGCATTTGTGTTGGTTCCAATTCTTTGCTATTGTGAATAGTGCTGCAATAAACATACGTGTGCATGTGTCTTTACAGTAGAATGATTTATAATCCTTTGGGTACATACCCAATAATGGGATTTCTGAGTAAAATGGTATTTCTAGTTCTAGATCCTTGAGGAATCACCACACTGTCTTCCACAATGGTTGAACAAATTTACACTCCCACCAACAGTGTAAAACTATTCCTATTTCTCCATATCCTCTCCAGCATCTGTTGTTTCCTGAATTTTTAATGATCGCCATTCTAACTGGTGTGAGATGGTATCTCATTGTGGTTTTGATTTGAATTTGTCTAATAGCCAGTGATGATAAGCTTTTTTTCATATGTTTTTTGGCTGCATAAATGTCTTCTGTTGAAAAGTGTCTGTTCACATCCTTTGCCCACTTTTTGATGGGGTTGTTTGTTTTTTCTTGTAAATTTGTTAAAGTTCCTTGTAGATTCTGGATATTAGCCCTTTGTCAGATGGATAGATTGCAAAAATTTTCTCCCATTCTTTAGGTTGCCTGTTCACTCTGATGATAGTTTCTTTTCCTGTGCAGAAGCTCTTTAGTTTAATTAGATCTCATTTGTCAATTTTGGCTTTTGTTGCCATTGCTTTTGGTGTTTTAGTCATGAAGCCTTCACCCATGCCTATGTCCTGAATGGTACTGCCTAGGTTATCTTCTAGAGTTTTTATGGTTTCAGGTCTTACGTTTAAGTCTTTAATCCATCTTGAGTTAATGTTTGTATAAGGTGTAAGGAAGGGGTCCGGTTTCTGTTTTCTGCATATGGCAAGCCAGTTTTCCCAACATCACTTATTAAATAGGGAAACCTTTCCCCATTGCTTATTTTTGCCAGGTTTGTCAAAGATATGATGGTTGTAGATCTGTGGCATTATTTCTGAGGCCTCTGTTCTGTTCCATTGGTCTATATATCTGTTTTGGTAACAGTATCATGCTGTTTTGGTTACTGTAGACTTGTAGCATAGTTTGAAGTCAGGTAGCATGATGCCTCCAGCTTTGTTCTTTTTGCTTAGGATTGTCTTGGCTATGTAGGCTCTTTTTTGGTTCCATATGAAATTTAAAGTAGTTTTTTTCTAATTCTGTGAAGAAGGTCAATGGTAGCTTGATGGGAATAGCATTGAATCTAAAATTACCTTGGGCAGTATGGCCATTTTCACGATATTGATTCTTTCTATCAATGAGCATGGAATGTTTTTCCATTTATTTGTGTCCTGTCTTGTTTCCTTGAGCAGTGGTTTGTAGTTCTCCTTGAATAGGTCCTTCACATCCCTTGTAAGTTGTATTCCTAAGTATTTTCTTCCCTTTGTAGCAATTGTGAATGGGAGTTTGCCCATGATTTGGCTCTCTGTCTATTATTGGTATATAGGAATGCTTGCAATTTTTGCACATTGATTTTGTATCCTGAGACTTTGCCAAATTTGCTTATCAGCTTAAGGAGTTTTTGGGCTGAGATGATGGGGTTTTCTAAATATACAATAATATCATCTGCAAACAGAGACAATTTGACCTTCTCTCCTCCTATTTGAATACCCCTTATTTCTTTCTCTTGCCTGATTGCCCTGTCCAGAACTTCCAATACTATGTTGAATAGGAGTGGTGACAGAGGGCATCCTTGTCTTGTGTCTGTCTGTCTGTGGGTTTGTGTCTGTGTGTCTGTGGGTTTGTGTCTGTGTGTCTGTGTGTCTGTGTGTCTGTGGGTTTGTGTCTGTGTGTCTGTGAGTTTTCAAAAGGAATGCTTCCAGCTTTTGCCCATTCAGTATTATATTGGCTGTGGGTTTGTTATAAATAGGCCTTAATATTTTGAAATATGTTCCATCAATGCTTAGTTTATTGAGAGTTTTTAGCATGAAGGTGTGCTGAACTTTATTGAAGACCTTTTCTGCATCTATTGAGATAATCATGTGGTTTTTGTCATTGGTGCTGTTTATGTGATGGATTACATTTATTGATTTGTGTATGTTGAACCAGACTTTCATCCCAGGGATGAGACCGACTTGGTCGCGGTGGATAAGCTTTTTAATGTGCTGCTGGATTCGGTGTGCCAGTATTTGATTGAGGATTTTCACATTGAGGTTCCTCAGAGATATTGGCCTGAAATTTTCTTTTTATGTTGTGCTCTGCCAGGCTTTGATATCAGGATGATGCTGGTCTCATAAAATGAGTTAGGGAGGAGTCACTCTTTTTCTATTTTTTGGAAAGGTTTCAGAAGGAATGGCACCAGTTTCTTCTCTGGTAGTATTAGGCTGTGAATCTGTCTAGTCCTGGGCTTTTTTTGGTTGGTAAGCTATTAATTACTGCCTCAATTTCAGATCTTGTTATTGGTCTATTCTGGGATTTGACTTCTTCCTCCTAGTTTATCTTGGGAGTGTGTATGTGTCCAGGAATTTATCCATTTCTTTTAGATTTTCTAGTTTACTTGTGTAGAGGTGTTTATAGTATTCGCTGATGGTAGATTGCGTTTCTGTGGGATCTGTGGTGATCTCCACTTTATCATTTTCATTGTGTCTATTTGATTCTTCTCTCTTTTCTTCTTCATTAATCTGGCTAGCAGTCTATCTATTTGGTTCATCTTTTAAAAAAAAACAGCTCCTGGATTTACTGATTTTTTGAAGGGTTTTTCGTGTCTCTATCTACTTCAGTTCTGCTCTGATCTTAGTTATTTCTTGTCTTCCGCTAGCTTTTGAATTTGTTGACTCTTGCTTCTCTAGTTCTTTTAATTGTGACGTTAGGGTGTTGATTTTAGCTCTTTCCCGCTTTCTCCTGTGGGCATTTAGTGCTATAAATTTCCCTCTAAACACTGCTTTAGCTGTGTCCCAGAGATTCTGGTACATGATGTTTTTCTTCTCATTGGTTTCAAAGAACTTATTTATTTCTGCCTTCATTTCCCTATTTACCTAGTAGTCATTCAGGGGCAGGTTTTTCAGTTGTGTGATTTTCAGTGAGTTTTTTAATCCTGAGTTCTAATTTGATTGCACTGTGGTCTGAGAGACTCTTTGTTATGATTTCCATTCTTTTGCATTTGCTGAGGAGTGTTTTACTTCCAGTTACATGGTCGATTTTAGAATAAGTGCTATGTGGTGCTGAGAAGAATGTGTATTCTGTTGATTTGGGGTGGAGAGTTCTGTAGATGTCTATTAGGTCTGCTTGGTCTAGAGCTGAGTTCAAGTCCTGAATATCCTTCTTAATTTTCTGTCTTGTTATTCTGTCTAATATTGACAGTGGGGTGTTAAAGTCTCCCACTACTATTGTGTGGGAGTCTAAGTCTCTTTGTAGGTCTCTAAGAACTTGCTGTATCAATCTGGGTGCTCCTGTATTGGGTGCATATATGTTTAGGATAGTTAGCTCTTCTTGTTGCATTGATCTGTTTATAATTATGCGATGCCCTTCTTTGTCTTTTTTGATCTTTGTTGGTTTAAAGTCTGTTTTGCCAGAGACTAGGATTGCAATCCCTGCTTTTTGTTTGCTTTCCATTTGCTTTGTAAATTTTCCTCCATCTCTTTATTTTGAGCCTATGTGTGTCTTTGCACATGAGATGGGTCTCCTGAACACAGCACACCAATGGGTCTTGACTCTTTACTCAATTTGTCAGTCTGTGACTTTTAATTGGGGCATTTAGCCCATTTACATTTAAGGTTAATATTGTTATGTGTGAATTTGATCCCGTCATTATGATGCTAGCTGCTTATTTTGCCCATTAGTTGGTGAAGTTTCTTCATAGGGTCGATGGTCTTTACTTTTTGATTTGCTTTTGCAGTGGCCGGTACCGGTTTTTCCTTTCTATATTTAGTGCTTCCTTCAGGAGCTCCTGTAAGGCAGGCCTGGTATTGGCGAAATCCCTCAACATTTGCTTGTCTGTAAAGCATTTTATTTCTCCTTCACTTATGAAGCTCAGTTTGGCTGGATATGAAATTCTGGGTTGAAAATTCATTTCTTTAAGAATGTTTAATATTGACCCCCACTCTCTTCTGCCTTGTAGGGTTTCTGCAGAGAGATCTGCTGTTAGTCTGATGAGCTTCCCTTTGTGGGTAACCCTACTTTTCTCTCTGACTGCCCTTAACCGTTTTTCCTTCATTTCAACCTTGGTGAATCTACCAATTATGTGTCTTGGGGTTGCTCTTCTCGAGGAGTATCTTTGTGGTGTTCTCTGTATTTCCTGAATTTGAATGTTGGCCTGTCTTGCTAGATTGGGGAAGTTCTCCTGTATAGTATCCTGAAGTGTATTTTCCAACTTGGTTCCATTCTCCCCGTCACTTTCAGGTACACCAATCAAACGTAGGTTTGGTCTTTTCACATATTCCCATATTTCTTGGAGGCTTTGTTCCTTCTTTTTCATTCTTTTTTCTCTAATTTTGTCTTCATGCTTTATTTCATTAAGTTTATCTTCAATATCTGATATCCTTTCTTCCACTTGATCGAATTGGCTACTGATACTTGTGTATGCTTCACGAAGTTATCATGCTGTGTTTTTCAGTTCCATCAGGTCATCTATGTTCTTCTCTAAATTGGCTATTCTAGTTAGCAATTCCTCTAACCTTTTATCAAGGTTCTTCGCTACCTTGCATTTGGTTAGAATGTGGTCCTTTAGCTTGGAAGAGTTTGTTATTACTCACCTTCTGAATCCTACTTCTGTCAATTTGTCAAACTCATTCTCCATCCAGTTTTGTTCCTTTGCTGTTGAGGAGTTGTGATCCTTTGGAGGAGAAGACACATTCTGGTTTTTGGAATTTGTGGCCTTTTTGCACTGGTTTTTCCTCATCTTTGTGGATTTATCTACCTTTGGTCTTTGCTGTTGGTGACCTTTGGATGTGGTTTTTGCATGGTCATCCTTTTTGTTGATGTTGATGCTGTTAGTTTTCCTTCTAACAGTCAGGACCCTCTTCTGCAGGTCTGTTGGAGTTTGCTGGAGGTCCACTCCAGATCCTGTTTGCCTGGGTATCACCAGTGGAGGCTGCAGAACAGCAAAGATTGCTGCCTGCTCCTTCCTCTGGAAGCTTCTTCCCAGAGGGGTGCCCACCAGATGCCAGCCAGAGCTCTCCTGTATGAGGTGTCTGTCAACCCCTGCTGGGAGGTGTCTCCCAGTCAGGAGGCATGGGGGTCAGGGACCCACTTGAGGATGCAATCTGTCCCTTAGCAGAGCTCGAGTGCTGTGCTGGGAGGTTAGCTGTTCTCTTCAGAGCAGGCAGGCAGGAAAGTTTAAGTCTGCTGAAGCTGTGCCCAGAGCTGCCCCTTCTCCCAGGTGCTCTGTCCCAGGGAGATGGGAGACATACTGGGGCTGCCACCTTTCTTTCAGAGATGCCCTGCTCAGAGAGGAGGAATCTAGAGAGGCAGTCTGACTACAATGGCTTTGCAGCGCTGTGGTGGGCTCTGCCCAGTCCAAACTTCCAGGCAGCTTTGTTTACACTGTGAGGGGAAAACTGCCTATTCAAACCTCAGTAATGGTAGATGCCCCACCCCCTACAAAACTCGAGCATCCCAGGTCGACTTCAGACTGCTGTTCTGGCAGAGAGAATTTCAAGCCAGTGGATCTTAGCTTGCTGGGCTCCGTGGGGATGGGATCCGCTGAGCAAGACTACTTGGCTCCCTGGCTTCAATCCCCTTTCCAGGGGAGTGAACGGTTCTGTCTTGCTGGCATTCCACGTGTCATTGGTGTACAAAATAAACTCCTGTGGGTAGCTCGGTGTCTGCCCAAATGGCTGCCCAGTTTTGTGCTTGAAACCTAAGGCCCTGGTGGTGTAGACACCTGAGGGAATCTCCTGGCCTGTGGGTTGTGAAGACCATGGGAAAAGCGTAATATCTGGGCTGGAATGCACCATTCCTCAAGACACAGTCCCTCATGGCTTCCTTTGGCTAGGGGAGGGAGTTCCCTGACTCCTTGCACTTCTCAGGTGAAGCAATGCTCTGCCCTGCTTCTGCTTGCCCTCCATGGGCTGCACCCATTGTCTAATCAGTCCCAGTGAGATGAGCCGGGTACCTCAGTTGGAAATGCAGAAATCACCCACCTTCTGCATTGGTCTTGCTGGGAGCTGCAGACAGAAGCTGTTCCTTTTTGGCCATCTTGCCTGGGAATCGTGATTTTAAAAGTAAGGCACATTACAGTATTATAGCTTTAAGTTGATAGAGGATACGTTATTAATAATTTTTTTATTATTGACTTAACCATCAATATCTTCTTACTATTTAAGAAAATATTGAATACTCTTCAATATTACTGTGGTTGATTCAGGTTCTTCTTGAGGGTTCAGCGTGTAAAACTTGAAGCTGCTACAAGGCAAGGTGATGTCGATCCAGAGGTCAAGAGAGAATAAAAATTATTCTTCTGAGGACTTCTGGATAGCTCTGCTACTTTACACAGAGTCCCAGAAACTGTATCACTGAATTCCTCTGCCTTTACATATCCTGTGATGTGTTTTTGCATACCTTCTCTTATCAGCCTTCCCCAAAGCACTATAAGCATCATCTTTACCTTTAGGCTGAGGACAGAGGCCTAGAAGACATTGAATGACCTGCCCAATGTCAATCAAGGAAGACGTAGAACTGACATTGAAACTTGGTCTTTAGATCCCAAATCCACAATTATCCTCCTAGAACACAGCTCCATATAGTATGCCTGAATTGTCTCATTTGTTACAGCCTCTTGGCTTTGCCACTTGTTCAAATGGAAAAGTATTTGGCTGAATAATAACTCAGTAAAAGGTATGTGTAAGAAAACAAAAGAAAACATGTTTGTTTTAAGAAATCAATATGCCAGAGTTTGACAAAGGGCTAACTGAATGTTTCTCTTTGCTTATAAGGTATTTGGGTTTGTCTTGAAATAAAATACAGGGATGACTTTAGCACAAAGGAATTTTTTTAAAATTTCAATTCATTGGCTAAACAAAGCATATTATTTTAATAGGAATAAAGTCCACATGAGTATTGCATACAGATAAATTTTTCACCAACAAACTGCATTCTCCCCATGCTTTAGTGACGTCTTGGACTAGGAATTAAATGACATCCACAGAATATCATGGCAACAGTTAACACTGGGAACAGTTAACACTGGGAAGCAAAACCAAACAAAACAATCAACAGCAACAGTCAATTAACCTATTGTTTGTTCCACATTATCTCAAACATTTATTCTGATTTTAAATATCTTAATTGCCTCCTTTATTTGATGGAGAAAGTACTCAGTTGTGGACCATTTGGAATGCTGCATTGACTCTTTCAGGTTGGAGCAATTTAAGTTAAACTGACAAATACAGTCAGTCTCAATCTCTCTCTCCTTTCTTATACATGTACACATGCACACACACACCTATACACACTCAAGAACAAATATTGACATATGCAATGGGGCATGGTGAATACTTGATAAATAATTCTTGAAGAAGAAAGATCAATAAGATTGCTCTCTGTATTAGCCATTCTCACCATAGCCACCCAATGAGATGCTCATCGACCATGGGTCACCATGCTGATGAGGAAAAGCCTTTTATATAAGTGACAAAACCCCAGGGCAGAGCCATTGTGGGGACGTTATAAGTGGATAGTAATCAGCCGGAGACCAGAGACATGTCTGACACTTGCTCTATATCATCCACACTATCTAGCGTAGTGCATAGCACCTAGAGGATGTCCAATTAGACTTTCTGACTGGCAGAGTGAGAGAACCAATGTCAACTACTTTCACTGTCTGATACTGGTGAAGTGGGAAGGGAGAAAGTTTGTGTAGTAAAGATGTATAGAGCAAATGGAAGCCAGGAAAAAAGTGAATATTTTCACTTTTACCTCTCCCTTCAATGTTTTTTCTTGTAGCATATATTAATAATTATGATAATCACTCTTTGTATTGGGATATAGTTTATTATGTAATTTATACCACTGTTATTATTTACCACTATTTTTGTATTTCTTTGTGTATATTTATAGCACATTTATAAATAATACATGACATGTCCATTAGATACTTATGTGTAAAAGTTATACATATTCAACATTTAACTTCAAAGTCAGCATCCTGTAATATGAGAAATTTTACTAAATGTAATGCTCTAGTCCAGTGACAATAAAACTTATAACATGGAATTGATTCTCCCTCAAAGGCAACTTCCTTTGCCTTCCTAGCGGAAGTGAAAACTTTGACCTAATGAAATGGTAAAACAAACCCCCACTCACATTCAGTTGCCAACAAGAAGGTCCACAGCCTGAACACAGGAACTGAGCACAGGAAATTCAATATTTGTCTTGCATTATAAGACTATTGGAGCCATAAAAATATTTTTTTTAATTTTTGATTATTTGAGATTCAAACAATGTTTACCTACAAGATACCAGTCCATAGGACACTATATACTGGCAGAATGCCAGCCTGTACACATACAGCCTCTACTGTGTGTACAGATGGTGGCCATTGGGCTTTGGCTTTTATAAACTGAATTAACAAACATTTAATGGAAACCAGGTTTAACAGATAGCTTGCCCAGATTGAGGAGGAAGTTTTTTTGTTGATGATTTTTTTTTAAATTCCTTCCCACTGACAGCTGTTACAAAAGCAGACAAATATTAACTCTTCATCTTGTCTATTGACTCATAGCAACACAAATCTCTTGCATCTACTTAACTTTTTATTTTAAATTTAAATTTATTTATTAATTGTTTTTACAATTTTGGATTCTCCCAGCTATCCATTTGCTTCTTACTTCAAGCAATGAGCTCTGATATGGTGGTCACGGGCATTGTGGCTGAGGTTCTTAGGAGGTGGGTGTATAGAATTGAATCCACGAGTATTGTTTTCTTGCCAGTGAACACTTTGAAAGACGCTGAGAATAAATTGTTAGGGCCACAAAATCTATATCCTCTTATCACATCTACTCTGTGGGCTAGACTTTTCCACAGTGGCTTGGGGAATCAAGGGGTCCTGCTCTGTTTTCACTTTCAAGTCCATCAAAGGCACAGAGCAGCCCCAGAATTTTAATGACTACATGAACACTGATAAGGTTCAATTTCTATTCACTCACTCCCTATGGTGAAATTAATGGTCATATATACATATGAAATATGAAATCCTACTGTGCTTTATTAATATAACTTTATGGAAAAGTTTTTTTTGGAAAACATTAACTTATATGCCAAATTCAACAATACTTTTCATTATAAAATTAGTGTCTTTATTCTGAATACTTACAGCAATTCTCCTTGAAAAAATCTTCAAGAATATCACTCCTTGTTACTGATGGTTTGTGTATATCTTAAATCTCATGGTAGATTTAGGGTTGTCAGATAAAATAGAGGATAACCAGTTACAATTAAATTTCAGATAAATAAGGATTTTTTTAGTGTAAGTGTACCCCTAGAAATACGCATGACAAAAATAGCCTTTGTGTATGAAATTCAGATTTAACTGGGCACCTTGTATTTTTATTTGCTTAATCTGGTAACTCAGTAGATTGTAAATGTCTCCAGCCATCAGAGTTTAGGCTTTTCTTTGTCTGATACTTGCCCGGCTTGCATGATGCCCTCTAATGATATAAAATCTTACTAGGAATAAAGATTTTTAAGTTTGGTTCAAAGCTCTTTACATTTACTTAATAGATAAGTATTCTTAGGCACTATTTTAGAGAGTATGAGTCATATTTGATAATATTGAAATTGATTATGGGACACTTTTATAACTCATTTCATTGTTCTTCAGTCAAAAAAGGCAGTGGATGTCAGAAAACGAGGAGCAAATCAGAAATCTGGAGACCTGAGAGAAGTGAGTGAGTTTTATCTCTGACTCAAACTATTCCTGGGTCCTTCTATTACCTGTGTCTGTGAATACATCAATGACCATCGTGGATTCATTGCACTAAGGACCCCAATTATTTTCCCCTTCCTGCATTCACAACTCTGACACATAAGGTGGTGGAGCCGATTTCCCTACCCCTTGATTCTGACTGTGGCCATGTGACTAGTTTTGGCCAATGAGATATTAGCATATGGGACACATGCAGAGGCTTGAAAACCAACTTCGCTTCTATGTTTCTGCTTTCAACTATGTGCTTCTGCCTTTGCTAGGAGAACATGCCAGGGCTGGCCTGTTGGAGGGCTGGGAGAGTGAGGTGGGGAGCAGCATTTAGGTTGTCTCTCACCCAAGACAGAAAATAATCAGATTGACAGATTTCACTTTTCTCCAAGACTCATTACTCATCTGTTGTGTGTAGATTTCGGCAGGGGTTCAAGAAAGCATATTGATGCATGTATGTTGCGGTCTTAATGCAAATCTGATCTAGCCTTAGAACTCTGAGCATACCAAGAACCTAAGGGTAAATTTATTTTTCATACGCATTACCCCTTTGAAACTTGAAGAAAGACAAGGAGGAACATAGAATGAAAAGCAGATTAAAATGAAGGGTACGTGCTGAAGGCTGGTTGGTCCACACGGTAAGAGTTTTATGGGCATCTTAAGTGGGACATGTGAGGGTGTTTAGGTGTTCATTAGTGTGGTCATGAGATTGGCTGAAGTTGGAAATGAATGCTGAATGGAACTTATTTCACCCAGCTGCATGTCCAAGTTTCTATGACTGTCTGACTTGTTATTTACAGCCATCAACAAACAGAGTAGGAAGATATGAACGTTTTTGTTTGCCATGCTTGACAGAATGTTGAATTAATATCTGAGCTCTACATGTTATCAACAGAACTTTTCGTTCTGATTTACTATTAAAATATTTGATTTGTTTCCATTTCTCCAGATCAGACCCAGCTGGATGTCTTATACCTCCTCTTCTTTGTCAGTAGACTCCTGAATTATTAAGTTCAATAAGAAAGGAAAGGGATGGAAAGGATTCGGAGTGTCTTATTTCAGGTGTAAACCTTTATGATGTCTTCGTATATTCCTGTACCGGTAAGTAAACTGAAGTTTTACAGAAAGTTACAACCTGGGCTTAAATAAAACATGCAAAGTACTATAAACCCAAATTCTCATCAGACTTTGACAAGAGTTCAGAGTGTATATTCAGAAACCTGTGCAAATAATAACAATAACAACAATAAAATTCACATTACTAAGCAGCTCTAATCTAAATGTCAATATAACTCTAAATAATACAAGCAGATGAAAGCAGTGTGCATTTTCTTCAAAGTTTCTAACTTTGGAAGGAATTCCTAGATATAATAGGTATGTGGGAAAAAAATCATGTTGACAGCACAACAATTCATTCACTTCCTAACATGACTAGTCATGTACTGTACTTTAGTGCAAACAATAAGGTTATTGTTCAGATGGGAAAACAAGCAATTTGTTGGAAGGCGAAAAGGTGAAAATGTTCTATAACCTGATTTTGTTTTGGCAGGCTGCATGTCATTTTTTAGTCTTAAAAGATGTATTTAATAGACACACGTTTAAAGATTTGGCCATTTGTGAAAGAAAGGATTCCTTCTAGTTTTCTTACTGCTTTTGTGCAGAATTGTTTTCTCCTTTTTATTTTTATATGTTTAGATCCAGAGGCCTGACATTCTGATCAAGGATAGCAGGGTCCCAGATAACACTGTCTGTTCTGTTTCTCTCTAGCGTGCAAGCATTGGAGGTTTGTGGCTGGAAATCCTTCAAAGGTGACAATGTACAGAAGAGTTGATATGAATCAAGACTGGATGAATGAAGCCATTGGTAGGTACGGTTTATGCTCCAATCAGAGGATTTTGCCAGAGCAGCCTCATGGTTTGGGCCACCTCCTTTCCTTATTTTGCATCACTTTCTTGGCTGACTATGGTCCAATAGGAAGTGGAGTAGGGAGGAGAGAAGAAAGAGCCAGGTACTTTGAGAGAAAGGATAGAAGTTTGGAATGCCTTGTACTGTGTGTATTCCCACATTTCTGAGCTCTACAGAATTAAGGTGTTCTGTTTAAGTTAATGGTGTTTGGATATTTGCAAGGTGGCTTTGGGGTACTAATGATCTCCAAATAAATACCACTCATATAATGTTTAGAGTCTATTTTAACCATTTTCTTTTCTTAATTAAAAGGAAGACACCTGAATTTAGTCTGAGGTTTTTCTGGAAGTTTCTAAACATAGGGACCTGTTTCTTTTTTTCTTTTTTTGTGGGGGAAGGGGTTGCCTTTTAGTTTTAAAAAATACCCTATTTGTATTTTCTTCCTTTTTTTTTGTTTTTGTTTTTGTTTTTGTTTTCAGTGGCATGATCATAGCTCACTGCAAACTGGAACTGTTGCGCTCAAGCAACCTTCCCACCTCAGCCTCCTGAGTTGCTGGGACTTCAGGCACGTGCGGCCATGCCCAGATAATTTTCTCATTTTTTGTAGAGATAAGGTCTCACTCTGGTGCCCAGGCTGGTCTCTAATTCCTGGCTTCAAGCAGTCATCCCGCTTCAGCCTCCCTAAGCACTAGGATTACAAGTGTGAGCCACTGTGCCTGGTCCTGTATTTTCTCTCCAAGCACAGAATGGCAGGCACCTAGCCCTTCCAGGCCACCTTTCCCGCCAAAAAAAATATTTAGGTACACACACACACACACACACACACACACACATGCACACACTATTAATAAGCTCTTCCCAACCTGCTCCTCTCAATTTCCATCCTTCCATCCTGGTGTGAAATATTGAAATACCTAAGAAAGATTTAAGGCAAGTTCTTAACTAGTAGGGGCTGGATTTCCAGCTCCTTATATTCTGTCTACAGAAACTGCTGTGGGCGCCGTGGTCAGACGAGATGCTTCTTCCTACGTTTGTTTATAAGTTCCTCCCAAGCATTTGGATCACTCTGGTTTCCATTTGAGTGTCTGCGGCTGAGAGCAACCATGTGAGCAAAAATAGTCCAGGGGCAAAACAAACTCAGACAGGCCGTAGTGTGCAAGGAACTGCAGCCTGAAATATCTGCATTGTCATCAGTCAGTGCTAAAAGGAGGTCAGTGATGTTTCTGGATTTGAGGCATAAGCAGGATATGGAATCTTGGAAGGTTTTATTCTATTGATATCCATGTGATTTGGGGGTTTTTGCTAATAGTTCTTGCTGCTAACTTTGACTGCCAGAGTAAATAACAGTGGCCAAGGAAAAAAGACTTCTGGAGCTCATTTAAAGAAAAATGAAAAGAGTTTTTTCCTGCCAACCTGGGCTTCATCTTTCAACCCACAATTAAGAGAGATTAAGACTGAGACAGATATACTTCAATCTGGTGGACAGTTTGTAAAAGAGGAGTAGTCATTTTCAATTTAATTTTTATGTATTGGTCTTGATGACTGACCTGATGATTATCATATTATTGGGTGTTTACTATGTGCCCCTCTTTAATTATGTCATTTAGTTCCCTCCAACAATACTTACAAATAAATGCTATTACTGACCCCAATTTGCAGATAGGAGAACTGATGGATAAGCTATAAGTGGTTTGCCGTTCATATATGGTTGGCATGTAGGGAAAATGAAGATGGATCTGAACTTCAGGAAAGCTGCATCCGAGCAACGTGCCTAGTAGTTACCCAACATTTTTATTAATCTATCCTTAGTTTCTTACAATACTTTACTTTTTCCCTTTTTCATGAGGCTACTCTGAAAATACCTGGGATCTAGATTAGAGAGTACAGAAAAATCAGTCATTGACATGGCTGTTAAAGTTTGAGGGATTTCAATGGTTTCTGCCAACACTATCATCAATAAATGCAGATAATCAGGAACTGATTCTATCCTAATTTATATAGCCATCTTACTATTTCTAAGACATATTTCCCTTTAATGTTTTTCCATTCAGAAAAGTAATTTCTGAGATTTAGAGACACACCGTCTTCTGAGGAACTCCACAATCTTTATACCAGATTTTTTTGGTATATAAAACTTGGTACCTGTTTGACCTTAGAAATGGCCTGTAGGCTAAATAATAGGATGAAGATGTCAGGGAGGAAGGGGATGCCGCCTAGCATAGTGATGATGATGACTGGCTATGACACCACTAACCAAGTCCAAATATTGATTTTAACACTAATTTTTGCCTTTGGCAAGTTAAGTAGCCCTTCCATGCCTCAGTTTCCTTACCTGTAAAATGAGTGTAATAACCGAGCGTGCTTCATGGAGTTATGAGGTTTATAATGGGCATTTTAAGCATTTTAAATCATGTTTTTTACCAGTACTCAATACAAATTAGATATTTTTACTCATTCTTAAAGGTGTGACACTTCGGTGACACTAAAGTCACCAGGGGTAGATTGTGTGTACTTTCTGAAAAAAATATTCTAGAGTTTTGCTTATCAGTGATATAAGGTTTTCTGTGTTCCATGCATTTAATTTCGTATGTAGTTGGCATTGCCTTACTGCAATTAGGCAGGTTGGAAAAATAGGTGTCATTCATTTTCAGCATCTCCTTCTTCCTCCCTCTGTGCATACAATTTGTCACTCAAACTTATAGACCATCCCTCTATTGTGACTCTGAAATTCCCTCCTTTCTGTTCACCAAGTTGAAACTACTTGGCATCTAGTGCAAACCAGTGTCCTCATACCCCCACCTCCTGCCCCCACATGGATACACCCCTCACTCAAAGCCTCCTGGCAGCTGTTCCATACCAGATTCCTTTGCCATCTCAGCTGCCTTCTGCAGTTTCTTCAGATGCCCTAACTCCAGCCATAACTTTGTCTCTTCTATTCACTTTCGTGGCCCTTTCATTTCTTAGCAAATTCTTATTTCCCACCTGTACTTGAGGTCCTTCAGCCTTTGCATTATCCCCCACTTCCAGAGTTTGCCCCCATTATTAATATTAGTAATAATTTCACATTTCCTTTGCTCTTCACTCAGAGCTTTGGGACAGGCCTAGCTCTCTGAAATCCAGCGTTACTCAGAGTTATGGTCCCTAACCTTGCCAAGATGGGAATATGCAACATTTTCTGTTAGACCAGTGTCTTTCATACTCTACTCTTCCAGGGATTTGACTGAAACAGGAGATTCTAGGTTCGTAGGTCTGGGATGGAGCCTGAAATTCTGTGTTTTTAACAAACTCCCAGGTGATGCAGCAGCTGCTGCTGTGAGTATCTCCTAGAGAACCTCTTAATGTTTCTCTCTCTGCCTTTCACCCTCACTTCTCCATTGGCTCTGCTGCCAGAGCTGTTCCCTTAAATAATTCTGCTTAGTTATTGTTAATGGCTCCCCATGGCTTATAGAAACAATCCAAACACATGTGCAGAGCATTCAAGGCACGCTAATTGAAATTCTACTGAATATTCAAGGACCAGATAAATATTAATAACAACTCCTCCGAAACTGAGCTCTACTCCTTGTCAGCCTTCATCATCCCTCTGCACACAGGTTCCTACTTTGCACCTCTGCATTGCCCTTTCATTCCTTTGCATGGATTCATAGATGCTAGGTGTTTGTTCATCCCTCCACTCTGAAGAGCTCATTGAGCATCCCCCACAGTCCCAGAATAAGCGAAGAGCTGGGGGTATAGCCAACATTCACTAAGTGCCTGTTCACATGAATTGTGTTAGACTTTGAGTAACCAGGGCAAGGCCACAGGGGTTGATCCAGCAATGGAGTCCAGGGAAATGATCATGATGAAAGGTTTTGTTATAAACCAATTAAAAAAAAACTGGGGAAGAGGTCAGTTGTAAATAATAGAGCTATGCATACCAGATGCAGAACTGAGAGGAAAAAGCACTAAGCCTCAACATTGAAAATTTTAAGCACTGATTGAAAATTACTACCAGCTTCCTTCTTTGGCAGATGGTATTGCTTGAAAAGTGTTGTTTCTATGACAACATGGATCTGAGAGAAATATATCATTAATATCTGGGTGTTAGATTTGAGGGTTGGTGGGACATTGTTGATTCTGTCTTCATGGTTTTATGAGAATATTTACCCAAGATTTTGAATCCCTTTCTTTTTCTGTCTTTGATAAATTCTTAGAACTCTGTGGGCAATAATTCATTACTTTAAGGATGGGTGAAGATCCATTTTTTTCCCATTATAATCTGCTTTAATTACTTATTTAATTATGCTTATAAAATGTAAAGTTACAATTTTTTAAAGCATTACTTATTTGTATACTAGGAAAAAGTGAACAGCTCTTACAAATGGGTTTAGTTAATATTACAATAATCCTGAATTACTGAGTCATTGGTTCAGACTCATTCTCTATGATTAATTTATAATCCCAGCAGTTAATATCTACTTTAGGAAATTAGGATTCAAGCAAGCTTTCCATTCTTAACATTCTATGGATACATTCACTGGAAGCTGCAAAGACTCCTTTAACTCAGGACTTGCATGGGGGCTGTTGTGTAGGCAAACAGTGGCTCCCAAGATCCTGTTTTATTATCTGGTTCAGCCACTAAATAGTGTGTGATCTTAGACTGTCCCCCTTAATTCCCTGAACTTCACTTTTCTCACTTACAATAGATCTGGAAGAAATTTATTCAATCGGAAGTATGTATGAGACGCTGGTAGACCAGGGGATATGCTTCTGTGTTTAGAGTCCTGTCCTCCAGGAACTCATAAGATACACATATAAGTCGAGTAGATGAGAGGTAGAATGCAATGGGAACTTGTGAGCTAAGAAGACAGGATTTTCCTGGATTCATGAGCTCTGTGTTTATATCATATTGAATTTTTTAAATTTCTGAGGGTTTTGTTTATTTGTTTGTTTGTTGTGGAAACAGGGTGTCGCTCTGTCACCCAGGCTAGAGTGCAGTGGCGCAATCTTGGCTCACTGCAACATCTGCCTCTTGGGTTCAAGTGATTCTCCTGCCTCAGCCTCCTGAGTAGCTGGGATTACAGGTGTGCGCCACCATGCCAGCTAATTTTTTGTATGTTTAGTAGAGATGAAGTTTTATCATGTTGGCCAGGCTGGTTTCAAACTCCTGACCTCAAGTGATTCGCCTGCCTCAGCCTCCCAAAAGGCTGGGATTACAGGCATGAGCCACCACGCCCAGCTGAACTTCTTAAATTTTATAAACTCAGAAGCATCTTTCTCATCCTGTGTTTTGGTGACTTCTGCCTATGCATAAATGTGACTTTTCTCTTTCTCTCTATAACTCTCTCCTTTGCTTTTCTACCTTTTCCTGCTTTTCTTTTAAGATTTACCTCAAGAGGACTCACATGACTAGGTCTGGACATCCATACCCTTGTCTTTGAATTATATCTCAGCACCATATTATGGTATTTATTTATTTATTGTCATCTCACTAGATATAAACTCGTAGGACAGGGTCTTTTAAAAACCTGTGATAGTAATAACTACTGCATAGTGGATACAATACATATGAATTAATCAGTTAATGAATTAACTAATAAGGGTCAATAATTAGTTAATTATTATTATTATTTTGAGACGGAGTTTCACTCTTGTTGCCCAGGCTAGAGTGTAGTGGCATGATCTTGGCTCATTGCAACCTCTGCCTCCCGGGTTCAAGCAATTCTTCTGCCTCAGCCTCCTAAGTAGCTGTAGCTGGGGTTACAGACATGCACCACCGTGCCCGGCTAATTTTTGGTATTTTTAATAGAGATAGGGTTTCATCATGTTGGCCAGGCTGATCTCGAACTCCTGACCTCAGGTGATCCACCCACCTTGGTCTCCCAAAGTACTGAGATTACAGGCGTAAGCCACAGCACCTGGCCCCAATAATTAGTTAATTACCAATGCTTGATAATGTCAGTACTTTATGTCTCTCAAAATATATCTCTTTACATCTCTTAGATCCTTGTTCACAGAGTTCAAATGATTTTATAGTGATGTGCATCATATAAGGTAGAATGTGACGGTAGAATTGTTCTATTTTGTAAAAAAATTCAAATAAGATGAGTTTTGGTTTGACACTTTATTCTTATTTCATTTATGCAGCCTTCCCTTTGCCTCTCAGCCATCTCTGACTTTGGACTCAGAGCCTTGACTGAGTCTCTGACTCCTATTTGACCCTTCTCATATCCAGCTTTGATTTTCTTTCTTTTTAATGTATGCGTAATCTTTATCAATGCTTCTGTGACCTCCCCGGCCCCCAAAACGTGTATAGTTTAATTGCTCTTTAAGAAATTTACAGCACCCTTGAATATAAAATGAATTGTTTGTTGGTTGCATGTATGTAGCCATTGAAGTGGGCAATATACCAACCTGTGGTATGTGATCAATGACACTTTGAGAAAGAATAGACACTCAGGTTTGGTGTAGTTAAGACAACCATTTGTGAGTTACTGCTTTATTTACTAAATCTCCACATACCTGAAGGATCATGGAGAGGAAGAAAGGAGCCATGTCACAGAGGTGTAATGGACCAGGCATTCCAACCAGGGCTACATCAGAATCACCTGGGCTTTTAAAGGTTCAGATGTCCAGACTCTTTCTCCAGAGAATCTGACTTGGGAGGTCTGGATGGAGCCATAGCATCATGGTGCGTAAAACTCCTACAGACTGCACTGAAAAAGAGGGTTGGGAAGCTCTGTGGTAAACTGATGACAATTAGGAGAGATTTGTCCCAAGGACTTCGTGACTCCCTCAAGGGATGGACAAAAGTTATTGCTTTTGAAAAAGTGACCCTGAGGGCCTCCATTGTCTTTGTTTCTGAGAACATATTTTGATTTTAAAGCTGTTTGTGTGAGCTAACCAGTTTTCATGAGCACAAAAACAATGTATTAATTAAAGTCAACCATTAAGTTGAAGCAGAAATGCCAGTCTATGGACTTGTTGATTGTTGACAGATTGTAGCAGAGGAAGTAGAGCCAGTTCACAGACTATACATTGTACCAACAGGACTAAATGAGTTGATCTTTGAAAATTCTGTAGCAGACCATTTAAATGTATTCATGGACTTTCTTAGAAAATAAGGAGGCTGTGTGGTCTCCGGAAAAAGAAATCAGGACCTTGGACCTCCTCCCAGGGCTGCTACTAACCACACATGTGACCTTGGGCCAATTATTTAACCTCTTGAGGTCAGTTTTCTTATTTGCAAAATGCATGGACTATATTAATTATTCTCCAAGTCCACCCTCAATATACAATTCTATAATTTAATATAATCTAAAGAATTTTCTTATATTTCTAAAACACCTAACAAGGTAAAGTTCTCCCTGGAAACAAAAGCCAAAAACCGAAATACAACTGGTGTTATATTTTGTCCTGAATTTCATGTATCAAGATAATTTATGTTGGTTCACCAGTGCTTCTCAATGTGGACTTCCTGCTAATACTCCGTACTTGGTTTCCTGCTAATACTCCATACTTGGTTTAATCTCTCGGCGTTTCAGTAGTGACATTCATGGAAGAAAGATAAATCTGAATGACCCCAAATAACAGATCATTCAGTTCAGTTAAGTAAGCTTATTCTCTTAAATCTTTTTCTGAAGAATAACATGCAGAGAGGTGCAAAAATTTTACCTATACAGTTTGATGATTTTTTCCAAAGTGAATGTGTCCATGTAACCAGCAGTCAAATCAATAAACAGAACATTAAAGGTGCCTCCAGGTGCCAGCTGGCATGCTCCCTTCTAGTGACCATCTCCCATGCTCTTAAGGGTAAACTCCCATTATCCTGACTTGCAATATTACAAGCTAGATTTCGCTTATTTTTATGCATATTTGTTTCTGTCTTCTATTGATATTATGTTTTGAAATTCATTCATATGGCAATGTGTAACAGAGATTGTTCATTCTTAGTTGTGTATAGTACTTCATTGTATGTGTATGTCACAATTTAATGTTGATTAGCATTTGGGTAGTTTCCAGTTTGAGGCTCTTACAAATCATGCTGCTATGAACACTCATATGTCTTTTGATAACATATATCTGCATTTCTGCTGGGTGTATTCCTAAGAGAGGAATTGCTTGGTCATGAGGTACAATACACTGTTCTTTGATTGCTTCATAAGAAACCGGTGTATTGCTCTGTGCTGAGGTCTTAGATATGTTCTAGCACTCAGGAGTCCAAACCATTGCTTTTGGGTTAGAAATGCATGAAAGAAACATGCACGTCTATCTGAACTACAAATAAACTTTCTGCTTAAGTCTACTTAGGCTAATGTTGAAACATTTGTTCATTCAACACAAACCACATGGTGGCAGAAGAAGAGAGACCCTCATTACACCACATAGTAGCAATAGGAGCTGCAATGTCACAATGAGTTTTAAAAAGAATGCCTCTTTAAAAGAAAAAAAAAAACAAGAAAGAAAGAAAGACATCATGTTCTGCTAATAGTCCCATTTAAAGTCATCTGGGGAGTATTAGGCACGGCGGGACTGCACTTTATTTTGCTTTGTTTTTAGTTTAACTGAGGTTGCAGACAATACACTCAAGACCTGGAACAAGGGCCCCCCACACATCAATCCCTCCAACTGATCCTGAGATTTGGTATATAAAAAGCATTATGATTCTTTCGTCCCAAGCCTCCCTGAAGGATCCAATTTTAGGCCTCTCAGAAGGTTACCTGCTCACTCTTTCCACTGTGCATGGGGGAGCAGTTTGGCCTGAAGGACAGTTCCAATGTCTTTGTGCTACTATTATTGGAGATTTGTTTCTGCCTGAGGTCACGTCCACCTCATCAGTTAGTGGCCTGCTGGCCCTTCAATGAAAGGGGCCACTTTAGGTGATGCATTTGGGCTTAGATTTGCAGCAGATCCTGAGAAAGTCTGTGGGTGACTGAATGGGTGTCTTCAGGAAGTTGGAAAGACCTCACTTGTCTTCATCAGAGACTCAAGGAAGGTCTGGGAAGGACTAAATGAGTTATAATGCCTTTCCCTGTCAGCTTATGAAGAAGGTCCACTCCTGTTGTACATGTGGGGTCTTGGATGAGCTTCTCTGGAAGCAGAGCCTGAGACAGATTTGGGTGCACATGACTGCACATGACTTAATGAGGATGAGCTTTTGTAAGACGGCAATGAGTGAAGCAGGGTAAGGCAGTGGAAGATACCACACATGTGTCATTTTGCCTGCTTCTATAGCAGAAGGTGGAGGTCTAGAATATAAATTGCATGACCTAGAGGTTTAGGGGCCAGCATTCTGTACCCTTTGTCATTCATGTCAATTAGTCACCAGTTGTAATGTAGGCTGCCAGTGAACAGGGCATGTGCAATCTCTTAGGTAAGGACACTCCCTTTTGGCCAAGGATATTTCTTCAGAGAAGTGGGCAGCTGAGAGCCATTAGTAACCAATAGAAGCAGGGGGATGGATACATGAGTCAGGAAAGGGAATCCAAGTGGGGATGGTAACAGCATCTGCTATATACAAATTGTGATTCTTAGAGATCTTACTCCAGGGCATAGGAGTAGGGGAATCATTTTTTCTAAATGTTTGGTTGGTCTTACTTTATGATGGCATCTTCTGCTTGCTGATAGGTATCTGGCCAATTTTTATCAAACTTGTTCTGGAACAAAACCTGTCCCTTCTCACCCAACTCCCAATTTCACAAACACTCTGTGCTCTTTTCCTGATTCCTAACATCACTCACCTCTTATATCCAGCTGAAAATCCACTATACTTCTCACAATCTGGCAAAATATCTCACTTCCTCTCTAAAATCCAAAGTATGTCTGTCATCTTCAGCCAAATTTATCTCCTATGGCAGTCAGCTCCTGACACACAGTCTAACATTTAATTGCTGGTGTTGTTCACTTTTGAGATATGTTGTATTATCATCATACATAGGCTATAAGACTGCTTTAGGTAGGGATTCTCTAGACCATGAGACCATGAGATGAAGATTTAAGTGTAAGGATGTGATTCCAGGAAGCACTGGTAGAAAAATGTTCACGTGAGACTGGGGAGGGGAGACAAGCAATTCAAAGTACATTGCCAAGTTTACCACTGTCAATGATTGGCACATAATTCCACCAAGGACTTATGGGATAATCTTCAGTGCACATCTTAAAATTGTACCACCCAAGGGGAAGGAAGTGGGACATTTATCTTCCAACTCTTGTTCATTATTAGTGAAGGCTTCACCTGGGCAGCTAACTTTTTGGTACTACTAGAGTGTATAGGGCAACCTCCTCCTACCAGAGAACATACTTAAGCTGATAGAGGTAGGTTCTCACAATAAGAAGTCTGTGAATGTTGAGAAGATATGGGTGGGATACCTGCCCTGAGCTTCTGGAAGACAAGAATGACATATGCATCAAATTCCTCCATTCTAGTTTACAAAGATCATGCATTAACATTCTTGTTTCACTGATATGTTGGTTGCTGATGACTGAGAAGTGGTGTAAATGTCAGTGTTAAATACAGACTTATATTAGCAGTCTTGTAAGATTTAAGGAGCCTAAGGAAGTAACTCAACAGATGAAAACTAAACTTTTCCAGGATTAAATGTCACTATATTTTTGCCACACCAATTAATGGAAGTTGTTTATCAGGAGTTTCATGAATTTGATGAGGCTGTATCACAGGTTGGATACTCAAGCAATAGTATTTGGGGAGATATTAGATATCTATGCAGTTTGGAACATCTACCACAAAGACAAATTCTTAAATTCAACCTCTAGTTGTCACGGCACTCAATCACATTTCTCATACTCTTTCACTATGACACTTTTTTTTCCAATTTTTCTCTAATGTTTGTGAAGTTCCTATAAACTAGTTTGGTTCTAAAAGCAGAAGTAATGTTGGGTGTCTTTCCTTTCTGTATCAATACTAACTGCACCTATTTTATAATGAAAAATCTCACAGTTTAAGTTCTGCCTGCAAACTTTCCTCTTTGAATATTGTGTTTTTTATTCTTTCATGCATTCAACAAATGCTTTTCCAGTGCCTGCTCTGTGCCAGGTGCAATTGTAGATGCTTGAGATACATCATTGAACAAACATCTATTTGCTTTCAGTGGGCTTATATGGTAGATAGGGGAATAGTGTCATTCAATAAACAAAATAAATGAGTAACTAATATAGTATATGAGAATATGTTGTATTATGGGGTAACATTAGGATGGGATAGGGGTATAAGAAACATAGGTGGGTGAGTACAAATTTTTTATAAGATGGCCATTCTAGGCAATGTTGACAAAGTAGTCTAAACTAAGAAGTGAAAGAAGGGAGGTTTGCCAATCTTTTTATCTACATTGGCTGGAAGCTACATTATTTCCTTTTCTGTGAAATATCTCATATGTTTTCTTTTATGTCTTCTAGTTCCTGAAATTAACCACCAAACCTCCCTTCTCCTGAATTCTCTAAGCCCATTGTTACCCATTTCCTTTCACATGTAATAATTTTGACTCTCATGACTTTTGCCTGGCTTTTTCTAACACAAATATCACTTCACAGAAGCAAAGCCAATTCCCAAACACTCTATATTTCCCCTACTTTTAGAGTCAATCTTATTACTTCTTTTGACATGCTTAATGTGTTCCTTTGGATGTCAACCTTGTTTTCTTTCCTTTGCTTGGCTTAGACTATCTCCTTTTAGGAATAGAATTTCTCCTTGCTCATTTTCTTTCCCCCGTCCTTCTTCCCATGCCCATCCCATACCAAAAAAACCACCCACATAGATAAAAACATAAGTCTACACAGTTCTTATGCTTAATTTAGCTGATTCCATGTGTTTTGATGCACACGGGACCAAGTGCCACTTATGACTTCTTTCCAAACTAAATGACTGCTTCTTCAAGGAACATTTCTAAAACATGATCACAGTTTGTTCTCAAGCTTTTTTGGGGGATGGGGTGGGTACATTTCTAAGGAATCTAAGCAATGCAAAGATTGCATTTTTCTAGAATGTCCCAAATGAAATGCCTTTTCCTGCCTAATCATGCTCTGTCAGATGCTACAGACATTTGGTTTCTTCTTGTGGGATCTCTACCCAGTATATTGCTTTATTCAACTTTATATTTATCGATTTGTCCTCTCTGGTCTTCAACAGATATATTGCATATTTATAGATAATGAGGAATTCATTATTTCAGAACCCAAATATGAGAAATTTATCTGAATTCATATCGAGTTATTTTTCTTGTAAAAACAACAGAGTAAAACTATTTTTGCTTTCTCCTGCTTTCCAAACATATTTAGGACCAGGAACAAGTTTTGTTACATTTGTAACTCATTGGAGCTTTACTTTATGACTTAAGTAAAATATAAGTGAATTTATTTTTGTAAGATCCAGAATAAATTTATGTTACATAATTTTTGTAAAAGCTGCATATACATTAGGTTTGGATAATCCAAATCCTATTTTAAATGTACAAAATAGCCCAATGTACAGGAAATTTATCTTGTCTACAAATAATTCTTTTAAAAATTAATGTTCAACTACTCTATGGTCAAATACTTCAAGTTGCTTCCTTCTCCTTCTTCTTTTTTCTTTCTTTTCTTCTTTTTTAAGATAGGGACTTGCTCTGTGCCCAGGCTGGAGTTCATTGGCATAATCATGGCTTACTATAACCTCAACACCTAGGCTCAAGCAATCCTCCTACCTCAGCCTCCTGAGTAGCTAGGACTACATTAATGCACTGTCCAGTTATTTTATTAGTTTGTTTGTTTGTTTGTTTGTTTGCTTTTGTAGCGACAGAATCTCACTATGTTTTTTAGGCTTTCTTCTTTTTATTTGATTTCAAATTAGGTAGCCTAAAACAGTGATGAGACCACCAATACATTTTTTTTTTCATTTTGACATATTTATAAGTAATAAAATACAATTCATCAGAATGTATAACTCTGAATTATTTTTATATTCTTTATCCTTCAATTGTCCTGAGGATTTTATGACCTGTCTGGTGAATTTCAAGACTTGCCACTGTGGAGTGGCAAGGAGTAGAGTTTGGCCACAGAAGTGATCCAAACCACATGAAGAATGTGCATTAACCCAAACACCTCTAACTAGACATGTTCACGTGTCCAGACATTGAGTCCAGACTTGGACTCTGTAAAATATTGGATGCAACGGCTTAACTGGTTTAAGCTAAATCTCCTCTTGAGATTTCCACTGCAGTTGGAAAGATTCACAAAGAAACAATAAAGCTTTTTGGTTGTTGTCTGGCCTTAAAATCAGAGAACACTGAGGTTTTTTTTTCTTTTTGTTTCTCCGGTTTTTGTTTGTTTGTTTTTTTGTTTGTTTTGTTTTGTCTTTTTGTTCTTAGAGAGAAGGACTCATTGATATATTTCCCAAACTCTTTTCCTGCTGCCCAACCTACCCTAAACAACAAAATCCAGGGGAAACTAAAAAGGCCTGAATCCCATTTTAAACTACCTGAAGTTGAATTTTTTTGTTACCAAAAAAAAAAAAAAGAAGAAAACAAACAAAAAAAAAACATTGGCGATCTGTATTTTTGTCTCTGGATTTGGGAAGCCTGGACTGAAAAAGTGGTCATTTATTAATTGGTATTAGAGTTACATTTTTATCTACTAAGGGATGTGGACTAGAGAACAAACTGGGGCAATGATTAAGATGTATTTGCTTAATTGAAATCAGAGAACCTCCTAGAATTTTGAATATGAATCCATATCAGAGCCTTAAAGGTGTATAATGCTAGTATTATAGACATATATTTTTCTTTGACTATATTGAAGAAATCATAAGTTCAAACCCAAAGAAATGCACAATTCTAAAACTATAGCAATAATTATTATTAATAGTCCACCAAGAGCATCCTGATATTTATGGCTGCCTGTGCTCCCTGGCTCCTGAGCACTTCTGTTTTAGCAGACACAACTTAAGAAATTAATCAGTAGGTTAGGATTTTTCTATGTGCTTCTCTCACTGGGTAACTGGCCATAAAAACATGGACATTCTTAAATTCCCTTGGGGCTTGTCTTTCTCCATTTGTGAAATGGGACAAATACAACTTCATTTTGTCTTTAAAGTAATGATTAAACAAAATGAAAACGAAGTGGCTATTGTACAAAGAATCTCTCTCAGTATAAAGTGTCTTTATTAGCAGGCCTGTTTTGAGGGTTAAAAAAAAAAAAGCATTATGATGCTGAGAAATCCAAGGTCCTTGGTCCAAATCCCAGGCCCATTGCATCTTTTATTATTTGTTCCAATCATCTGTGTAAGTCCTTTCTTATCTCAGAACTTCCATCCTCTCCATTGTTCACTGAAGTGAGTAAAATCTACTTTTATCTCATATTTGTGAAAATCAAGTAAAAAATATGAATAGAAGCATGTTGTAAAAGGCAATGAGCCCACTTACCTAAATGATTGTTGCTGTTACTTTAGTTGTTTTTGTTGATATCATTATTATTATTATTGCTGAAAAATAAAATGGTGAAGTCATCCTGGATCTGGAAGTTTGGGAGATACTTTGCATCCATCTGAGGAGGATATAGCAACAGTGTTCAGGTAAAAAATAATTACAACTGCATAAAAATATCTCTTTAAATATTAATTTTGAAATTTATGTTCTTACTTGTTCATCTTTTATAAAATCTCTCTTGAATGATTGTACTTATTAAACAAATAAATAAGTGAATGAATGATTCTACATGCTGCTTAAATGTTTTTAATTACTCTATTATTTTGATCAGTGTTTTGCCTACATTCACTTAACCTGTATACATTTTACCCATATAAAAATGTGGCTTGATGGTATTCCCAGCTGACTGGATAAAATGAAAAAGACAAACAATATCAAGTATTGATGAGCCTTCCAATGTCTTACATGCTGTTTGTGGAATGTAAATTGATACAGATCCTTTGGAAATTGGGGAATGTTTGCTACAGGTGAACATATGAATTCACCAAAAACTAGTAATTCTACTACAAGGATTAAATATCCCCTCAGAAATGCATATATTTGTACACCATACAAGAATGTTCATAGAAGATTTATTCCAATAGCCAGAAACCTGAGGCTACTCTGACACTTTTCAACAGTTTCTTGGATAAAGAAATTGTGGTATATTCATACAATGGTAAACTATGTAGTGATGACACTGAACGTACTACAACTATCCAATGACATGGGTGAATTTCACAAACATAATGTTGAACAGAAGTACCCAATCATAAGAATATATAACATGTGTTTCCATTTGCATGAAGTTCAAAAGCAGGCAAAATGACCTCATGGTGTGAGAATTCAGGGTTGCGGTTACCTTTGGAAACATGGGCTGTGATAGTGACCAGAAGCCATCATAAGCATAGCTTTTGGGACATTAGCACCTCTGTCTTGATTGACGTCTTGGCAATTTATGAATGTGATCTCCATGTGTGAGAATTTTCCAAGCTTTATGCTTAATTTGCATGACTTGTTTTGGATCCCGATCTCAAGACTCTAAGAATGTCTATGACTAGTTAACCAGTTTGGTAAAATGTTTTTGAACTTAAGGAAAATTTATTTCCTTTGTTTTCAGAATTAGATTGGCATTTTGGTGACTTATTGCTGAAAGAATGACTCTATATTCTTAGCCTATTTGTCTTCAGGACAAACTGGAGTTAGAAGCCCCTTAACAAATGGTGATTATGACATCTAAACTTTGGCGGCAGAACCACGTAGGTCCTTAGTTAGGCGATGTATCTGATATAACTCAGTTAACTGAGGGAAGGCCAGTTCTGTGGCCATGCAGGGCTCACGTTCCTTGTGACAGGCAAGTGATCTGTATGAAGCAGCCAGGATGGACGTTATTTCTCATGCAGTTATGTGGGGACTAAAAGCTGATGTGGCCCTGTGCCAAGTCCTTTAAAAACCTACATAATGGAAATCCATTGGCAAAGTCTTTACTACTCTAAAATGGACTCTCACCTCCAAATGAAAGTGGCTGGAAGCATCACACTGCCTCTGTCCAAAGCAGTGTAAGATGCACCAGCTTGACTCTGAGCTGGAAGCAGAAGTCAGGCATGACTCTATATTTGCACTGACATCAGTTCTACCACTAAAGTATCTGACCAGTGGCTGGTGTTTGTTATCTCTGTGGGGCCTAACATCTCCACCATAAGGCAAGATTCATCTCAACTTCTGGGCAGTGCCCTACCAAACTCGACCTGGAAATTGATTGCCTCTGTGCAGTTGATACCTGCACTTCCGGGCTCAGTGACAGGGTCGACTCGCATCATGGCCCACAAAGCTCCTTGTGCAAAGAGCTCTCCAGTAATCTGGTTGATCTTGATCTTGTTTCTACCAGTTGGTAGTTTTGCTCAAGTGCTTTCAGAAGCTTGAATGGCCTGATAAGTTGGTCTTTGTGTAGAAAAAAAAAACGCAAAAAACTAGGAGACAACTTGTTCTCACAAATCATGTTTCAAGGAGCTATTTTTATTCCAAGATATGAGAAGCAGTCATTCTGACATGTTTTATTGTCTGGTGGCTAAAGTCAGATTCTTACATTAAAAGTAAGAACTAAAAAACTTTAATGTTATTTGAGTATGTAGAGACCACCCTTGTCAACATTGGCATGTTATAGAAGAAGGAACTAAGACCAAGACACTTGCTCTGTCACTATCTCCATTACTATGAACCCTCAAATGGTGCCTGTCCTTCTTGTTTTATTTTCCTATCCCTCTTTTCTCATTCTTACTCCCCTCTGCATTTCCCTTGTCACTCTTCACTTTATAGCCAAAGAGACACAGAAAGAGTGTAATGTAAATGTGGAGGGTATACATACAATTTTCTTCTATTGTGTCTTTTAATCAGCATCTCTTTCAACTCATACTATTCTCAGTTTATCATCTCATTTTTTTTTAATTTGGACACTTTCAGTATGGTCTTATCATTAAGAGACATAAAGGTTTCAATAGCCAGTGGTGATTTTTAGGATTTCACAGCTCATATTTTTGGCTTTTGAGTCTCAAAAATAAAACAATATGGAAAGTGCCCAAATCAGCAGTATAAGCCCTGGCTGCAAAATTATACCCATATTCAAATTACAGTGTTGGTAGCCAGATTCTTTTTCCCTTAGAAAAGACATTTTTAACAATAGTTTTCAATGACAGCAAACAGTCACTTATGTGTAACAGAAAACATAACCTAAAAACAAAGCCTTGAGAAATTGACACTTACTTTAGAATATCTTTTTATATTAATGGTCCTAGTGCCAAGCTGGTAGATTTAAGCTAAATTCTTTAGAAAGCATTCCCAGCACAAATGTAGCCAGGGAACTCTTCTACAATTTGTAAATTTTGCTGGAGGATAAACAGTGGAAGTGGGAATAAATTGAATTTAAAGTCTCAACTAAACAGTCGTACCTTGTATGTGTGTCTGTGTGTGTCAAACTTAAATGCAGCTTGCTCAGATCCACAGAGCACACAAGAGCAAGTCTTCTGAATTTCAGAACTGACCAGAGGCAGAATGAACTTTAAATCTGGCATGTTACATTTTTCAGTGTCTCCATCTGAAGAATATGCAAACCTCCAGTTAAAAAAAATTTATGTATTATTCCATTCATATAGATTTAGGGTATCAAGTTTTTAAGTACTGTAATTGTTTGACCACCATGGAAAAAATGATAGTTTTAATTCTTTCCAAAGCTGTAGTTTGTGCATCTGTGGACACTCCTTCAATATTTTAGGAGAAGGTACTAGGCATATTTAAATAATACTATATTATTACTCACTTTGTCAACAAAATTTGGTGGTTGTTCCAAAGTGCCATATGAAGCCACATGAGATTTCTCTCTATGGGCTAAAAACCTGGCATCCCATCAAGATGATGCTGTTTACACATTCGATCATCATTTACTTTGTGAAGGCAGAAGGAAAATTTTCAATTAATTTTTAAAAATTTATGTTTAACATAAATTCATAATTTCTTACATATATGTTTTCTTAACCGAACAATTTCCCTTTTCTTTTCTTTCCTTTTTTTCTCTTTTATTTTCTTTATCTTCTCTTCTCTTTTTCTTTTCTTTCTTTTTTTTTTTTTTTTTTTGAGACAGAGTCTCGCTCTATCACCCAGGCTAGAGTGCGGTGGCACAATCTTGGTTCACTGCAACCTCCACCTCCCTGGATCAAACAATTCCCCTGCCTCAGCCTCCTCAGTTGCTGGGATTACAGGCACATGCCTCCACACCCGGCTAATTTTTTTGTATTTTTAGTAGAGTTGGGGTTTCACCATGTTGGTCGGACTGGTCTCGAGCTCCTGACCGCAGGCAATCCGCCCGTCTTGGCCTCCCAAAGTGTTGGGATTACAGGCGTGAGCCACCACGCCAGGCCTGAACAATTTCTTAGTAAGAGGCATATCAAACCATTTACATTTAGAAAATAAATGCCAAATGCCAGGTGAACAGCTTTTTGCCATGTGTCATTCAGTTTTAGAATTTCTGCTCACTTTGATTGTACCATGAAACCTACACTTAGATGGAGCAGAAAACTTCAATAGGGCTAAGGCATGTGAGCAAGAAGTGCTTTTAAAACTTCCACTGAGGGCATTCTCTACTTTGGGGATTAAGGAAAGTTTTACATTTTACCGATTATGGATGGACTCTCAAGTTGAAATCTAAGTGAAGTGGTTCCATTAATCCAATTTATCACTGTGATAATTTAATATACTCTATGGATTGGTGATCAGGGCAGCCGACTAGTTTTCTCTCCTTTAACCTGGCTTAGTTTCCTCATAGAAGAGACATTTTAAATGTAATAAGCCTTGGCTCTTGCCTAGCGAGTTTTTTCTTCCATTATTCTTTATACTGGAAGAGTAGCTGGTTTCAAAGACTTAAGTTTCCCAAATCCCCTACTTGATGTTTTCAGGGCTTCTCCCACATCCTTGGTCTTTACCATTTTGGTATATGTTTGCCCGAATCCCAACTGCCAGAGAGCTTACTTCTTTGCCTGAGGACTTGCCCTGGATCCCGAAGCCTGTTTGCCCATGCAGGAGGAAGGCTGGAAGTCCCAGGAAATTAATGATCCTTTGGAGCAGGATTTAGTCAATGACTGAAGAAGTCAGTGTATAAAAACCCCAGCTCTCTCTCCCTTGGGGAAGCTAATCCAGATGCACGTGTTCCACAGGCTTCCAGAGTTCCCCAGTAAGACTGAGCTCCAGTTGTCCACAGTGATGACTTGCTTGACAAAGCACCCCTGTTCATTATCTTCCCTTGCTAGTGTGACTTCCCACCTCTCCTACTAGTATTTCCTAAAATCACCTCTGAAACAATTTCTTCTTGAATCTTTGTCTCAAGGTCTACATCTGAGTCTACATCTGGGGAAGTTCTGAATAATTTGTAATAGAAACATCTTTGGCTTTACTATTCCCCCGAAAAAAACTAAATAAGCCACTTCTCATCCCCAATTATGCAGGGGCTATGTCTCCACTTTAAGGCATATTTTCTAGGTATTTTTTGTGGCATATTTTTGTCTTGAAAAATCTGCCAAAATATATATAAAATGACAGCTCACTTTAATCATGCTTAATGAACACTTGCTCTGAAGCTCTGGCTAGCAGCCAGCTGATACCTGGATGCTCCAAACTTCAGAAGTTGTACAGCTCAGCGGCTCTGGTAAATTCAATTCAATCTTGAAATTAAAATGTTGCAGAGACAGTTTCTGATATTGTTTTCCAGAAAATTGGCCTTAATAGAGTAAAAATAACATTCATATTTAATCTTCTTTCCTTTTCCTCTAAGTAATTTAAGGAAAAGTTAACTTAGTTTACCAAGGCCCAAGGCAATGCTCAGCTATATTAAAATAAAATATAATAAAGCCTTCTTAAAATACATTTTTCTGAATTCTATCTCAAATCTATAAAATCAGGACCTTTGAAATTGAGGAATTAATGTTTTACAATTCCCCAAAAATAATTTTTATACACTCTCAGGTTATATTGCCTTGGTGCTTAATAGTTGTTTTTTTTTTTTCACTTTTCCTTTCTTCTAATCTCATAGTTAAGTTGAATCAGATTGCCCTATTCTTTTGGCAATCTAAAGGAAACATATTTGCATGTACACCCTGTAGAACAGTATTTACTTAAGTCTAGGTTTAATAGAAAATAATAAGTCTAATAAGAAGCCCAAGTTCCTATAATAAAAATGAAACAATAAATGCATAGAAATATGAGGAAGAAATTACACCCATTAAATGCACCTAGCCTGATGAGTGATAGGATGGCTGCTTATTCAAGTTGGAAATTTTACACATGATCGAAGCTTTATTTAGTCTAATGGAATGTGCTTCCTGAATCTGGCTTCTAACTAAGCCAGGGCACAATAGCAAGTATTATGTGATTGGACTGAGCTCATTCCCTTCTCTGAGTCATTGTGACTCAGTCTTGACTGCCTCTTTCTCTCAGGTAGCCTATCACCTTACTTTTCCCCTCTGGTTTAGAAATTCATTCAGAATGTTACAGAAACCAACTTGACTATCCTTATACATCATGGGTTACCGCTCCCGTCTTTCTCTAAGAACTTCTGGAATCACTTGGAATATTTAGCCTTATTTTACAGTTTAGAAAACATAAGCTCAGTGATTTATGGAGATAAAATTCACAGAAAGTGTCCCACTAGTGGCCAAGATAAGCCTGTCTCACTGCTAGAGGATCACATGGGTGGATGAATGCCATGCTAATTACACCAGCAAAGTAGAGATGACTCCAAAATATTTTTTAGGATAATTTAATATTTGTAATTCTCAAAAAACAATATTAAATATATAATCTTTAGAGGTTTCTGAACACTCATATATGTCCTTACATTTATTAGTCTTTATTTTGACATATTTAGAGAGGTAGGGATGTATCAAAATCAAATTGTAACTTGTGGCTTCCGAATGTTCTTAATCCAAACATTTCCTGTCTTCATGTATTGCTTAGCCACTGAGCATAAACCCATAAGATATAGTACAAGGAAAGCATTGTCAGGATGCTCATATATCCTGGAAATAATTTTGGTTTTCCCACTGGTCACCCTGGGTTGTCCATGCAATCATCCAAGTCAATGCTAAAGTTTCAAATTGTTTTGAGGATCTGAATTAAGGAAACTTAATATTAGAAGAAATATACTCCATTCCCAGACAGGCTCTCAAGGCTAACACATTTCTAATGCAGATGTAAAGGTTATTTATTGGTCAAGAGTATTATAAAGTGGCCTATCTACTATAGCTTTTAGACTTTCCAGGAAAGTGTCAAATCACCCTGCCTTTGTTCAAATACTCTGTTTAGGTCTTGCCTTTCTAAGACTTCTCTTTATATACTGCATCTCTGAGTGTGTCCCTACACAACAAGGAGATGTTAGGCTCTTACCATCAATGGAAGAAGAATCCCATGTTTCTCTCAAGTCATCTTCCTCCAAAATTCAATATGAGTTCATTCTGGGCCACTGATCTGACTATGAATTCTGGGAAGTGTGCAGTTATCAGATAGTGATCTAGAATTCATACAACCTACAAAAGACATTGTTTATAATAACTTAAACCACATCACAAGTTTCCCCTCCCCTGGAGACTGTAGTGAAAGCAGAGCATCATTAGGCAAGACACCTGATAGAAACATTAGATGTTGGTTCTGGTTCCCCAACAATAAAAAATTCACAAGGACTTTAGCCTTGCTGACCACATTGCTAGAGTTGTTGACATTGTAGGGCTTTGTGGATAGTCCAGGCTGACTTCCATCTATTTCCCACCTACAGTCCTTGACATCTTCCATGCCACTGTCACATTGCTGAGTTCAGGGTGAGAACTCCCTCTTCTTCCCTCTAGCATTAACTTGTAATCATATTGATCAGGTCTCTGACAAAGAAGTCTTGGTGACTTAGTTTGGTATAATTCTTTTAGCATAACCACCACATTTAACTCATTTTTCCTTTTTTTTTTTATAGTCTCCAGTTCTGTTTGGAAATACAGGTTGGCTTCTCTTGGAGATAGTTCTAAAGATGATATGAGTAAAAATACACAGTTGGACACATTGAACAATTCCCTTGCAGCTTAAAATGTCTGGACTAAGCTGAGTTTCTTCTGAATCTAGAATGTAAGCACTGGGGTAGCAGATTGGGAAGAATATAAATTCATTGAAATGTAAGTTACCACATGAAAAATTCCACTCTCCAAACAACCAATTTGCTGAGAGCAAATCTGGCTGCCACTTGCATATGAACATTGATTGTTCAAGAACTATCTAGGGCTCTTAAAATGGGAAAGCTATTTTTTTCTTACCCTGTACTATCTGAAAATCACTACTTGATATGGTTTGGCCATGCCCCCCACCCAAATTTCATCTTGAATTGTAGCTCCCATAATTCCCACATGTTGTGGGAGGAGCCCAGTGGGAGATAATTGAATCATCAGGGTGGTTTCACTCATACTGTTCTCGTGATAGTGAATAAGTCTCACAAGATCTGATGGCTTTATAAGAAGGAGTTTCCCTGCACAAGCTCTCTCTTTGCCTGCTGCCATCCATGTAAGACATGACTTGCTCCTCCTTGCCTTCTGCCACGTTGTGAGGTCTCCCCAGCAACGTGGAACTGTAAGTCCATTAAACTTCTTTCTTTTGTAAATTGCCCAGCCTTGGGTATGTGTTTATCAGCAGCATGAAAAAGGACTAATACACTACTAAATCAAAGCAATTTAATTGTACTTTATTTTTTACAAAGTATAAGTAATTTCACCACTGTCTTTTTACTTCTTGTTTTCCACTGTGA
Source organism: Homo sapiens (assembly GCF_000001405.40). Lineage (NCBI taxonomy): Eukaryota > Metazoa > Chordata > Mammalia > Primates > Hominidae > Homo > Homo sapiens. The sequence continues at coordinate 11,181,583 of NC_000020.11, forward strand.
TGAAACCTGTATATAATTTAAACAAGCAAATAATTAAGTAAATAAGTCAACAAATAAATCTCAAAAAACAGAATTTTCAGTGGTCCAAAGAAGCAATATAAATTATATAATACAATAAATACACACAAACACAGCATCTTTAATACAATTCACTGACTTTCTCTATAACTTTAATAGATAATAGTACAGTTCAGTTGAATGTAGATTAATTTAGTACTTTGGATTTGTGAACTGTTCTCAATCATTTACCATTTTATAGATAAATGAGAAGTTGTATTAGTCAGCATCGCTGAGATATCAAATGATCCTCATATTTTAGTGGCTTAAATCACAAATATTTATGCCTTGCTCACATTTCATGTCAACTAACTTGGGACTGTCCCATTGTATTTCTTCTCATTCCGGCACTGACGGTCAAGGAGAAGTGCTCTTTTGGCTTTGCTATTCTCTTGGAAAAGGAAAAAAGATGAAAGCCATTTGTGCAGTATCCTCTAATGCTTCTATTTACACATCAAGACGGTTTATATTCCATTGAACAAAGCAAGTCATGACAAGGTTCAAAATGAAGGGGGCAGCAAAGCACATTCCTCCCTTGGAAAAGCACAGAAATCACATAGCAACAGATGATGGTACATATTCTTACAGGCCAAGGAGGCATGAATAATTGAGAACAGCAATATAATCTAATACAAAATTATTTTTCTTAAATGCCATTATTTTTTCCTGGATATAGAAAAATGAAGAAGATGAAGCTTCATTACTGATATACCAATTTTACTTGATTCTGGGTTTATATTTGTAAACAAGAGTGGAAGATTTCATGTGAGCTTGAATATGGATGTAGTCAGGGGCATGAGCCTGATGAATTAAATAGGTCAGCATATATAACATAATACAAAGGAAGACAGAAAACCATCCTGCAGTTTATGTTATTCTTTCCATTCGTGTTATATAAAACACTGGAAGTTAAGATGCACTAGAAGTTTCTGTTTCAAAAATGACAGTGGGCTGTACAATCACAACATAAATTGTTATATGTATCAATTAGTAATGACTGTGTACCAATCCTACCCAAATCTCAGTGGCTTAAAATAATAAGATTTGTTATTTTCTTAAGTAGATGGAAAGATCATGAGGGTTTTATTCTCTTAGCTGTATTCACTCATACATCTGCAGTCAGGTTTTTCCACCTATTTGGAATGCAGCTGGATGCATGTAGACTGACCTAGACAGATTACAGCTGAGGCAATTGGTTTGTCATCCATATCTCTCATTCTTCAATAGGACAGCCTAGGCTCATTCACATAGCAGTGACAGGGTTCCAAGAAACAGAGCAGAAGTTGCGAGGTGTCTTGAGGCCTGGCTTGGAACTTGCACAACAGCACTTTTGCAATCATAGCAATTCACAAGATGAGCCCAAATTCAAGGAAAAGGGAAATAGGCCCTACCACTTGAAGGTAGAAGCCAAGATATCATATTGCAAAAGATAATCTTTTTAGATTAAAAAATGGGTTATTTTAGAATAGATTTATATATACTGAAAAATTATGAAGATAATAGGGAACCATATACCCCAAGCCCAACTTTTCCTATTATTAACTCCTTATATTACCATCGTGCATTTGTCACAACTAAAGAACCAATATAAATGTATTATCACTAGTAAATTCCATACTTTTTTCAAATTTTCTGAATTTTTATCTAATGTTACTTTTCTCCAAGGATCCTATCTAGAATACACTACATTCAGTCATTATATCTTGTTAGGCTCCTATTGGTTGTGACAATTTCTCAGCCTTTTCTAAGTTTTGATGACATTGACAGTTTTTGTTAGAGCACTGCTCAGGTATTTTGTAGAAGTTGTTTTTTTCTTGTTTGTTTTTGGAGATGGAGTCTCACTCTGTCACCCAGGCTGGAGTGCAGTGGTACAATCTCGGCTCACTGTAACCTCCATTTCCCGGGTTCAAGCGATTCTCCCACCTCAGCTTCCCGAGTAGCTGGGATTACAGGCACCCGCCACCATGCCTGACTATTTTTTGTATTTTTAGTACAGATGGGGTTTCATCATGTTGGCCAGGCTGGTCTCAAACTCCCGACCTCAGGTGATCCGCCTGCCTCAGCCTCCCAAAGTGCTAGGATTACAGACATGAGCCACCGCACCTGGCCAGAATGTTTTTCAACTGGAATTTGTCTAATTCTTTTCTCATAAACAGATTGAGGTTATGAGTTTTTGAAAAGAAAACCACAGAGGTTAACTGCTGCTCTTATTACATTAAAACAAGAGTACATATTATTGGCATGCCATCACTTTTGATATTGACCTTGTCCACCTGAGCAGCATAATTTTGTCAGCTTTCTCTGCTGTAAAGATGTTCTCCTCTCCTTTGCCATATTATAATTGTTGGAAGGGAGTCACCTTGTACAAAACACAAATAAGAGTAAAAACTTATGTTCTGCCTCCTTGAAAGTGAAGTAGCCAAATAAATTATTTGTAATTCATCTGCATGGGAGAATTGTCTATTTTCCTATTTATTTATTTATTTACTTGCTTGTTTAATTATTTATTTATATCAGTATAGACATACAAGTATTTATTTTCTACTTTGGGTCATAATTTCACAGTATTAATATTATTTTCATTATTTTCTTTCTCAAGTTGTTCCAGCTTTGGCCATTGGGAATGCTCCATTTCTTCTTGTGTCCCTTTGTCATACTTCTATTATTGTGGGGGATTTTTAAAAACTTTTATTTTTTAGCATTCCCTTGATTTTTGGCATTACAGAGCCTTCAGCCTCCTCTTTTATATTTTCTGAGTTCTAGAATCAATCATTTCTTCAAGGAAAACTTGTTCCTTGTATTAGAGAATAGTATTACAAACTAAAAGCTGGGTCCTGGGTTTGGTCATTACTGCTGGAGTGTTGTTGCTGCTAGGCCCTTTCAGCCGACAGAATGATCAAATGCATGAGTGTATACTAACCTGTGCATATCCTTGTATCTCTGAATATTTCCATATGCAACCCTGTGTACCTACATTAAGCTAAACATGAGTTCTTACTCATATCTCCAACTGCAGATTATGATCTGGATCATTTCAGCTTCCTCTCTTTGCTATTTGTAACCTCATACTCCAACACTAAGAAACCTGTCACTTTCCATCTGCTATCAATTCACTTGATTGTTCAATTTCAATATAAATGTATAGTGGTTTCAGAATTGTCAACTTGAACTCTTATGGGAAACAGCTTTATCAAGTAGAATACGGTACTTATGTGCAGTTCTTTTCACCTTTACTGTCATTTCCAAAATTATTTAGGTCGACACCTTTTCTCCTATCCCCTTCAGTTAGATTGTTTCATACATTTGTAATATGGTTAGATTCTTTTGCCGCATTCTAAATTCCATTCTGGAATTTCCTTAACTCCTAATTTTTTTATTTGCATGCACTAAGGTTCACTCTTTGTGTTGCAAAGATCTATGAGTTTTAACGTATGCAGTGTTATATGTCCACAATTACTCTATCATACAGAATAGTTTTACCTTTCTAAACAAACAAACAAACAAACAGAAACACATTTTCACCTATTCAACCCTCTTCCTACTCAGATGACCCACAACCACCAGCCTGTTTCCTGTCTTTATAGTTTTGCCTTTTCTAGAATGTCATGTTAATAGAAGCATAAATTTATAGCCTACTTAGCCTGGTTTCTTTCACTTAGCAATAGGCTTTTAAAGATATATCCATGATTTTGCCTGGCTTGATAACTCACTCTTTTTATCCCTGAGTATTAGTCCATCCTATGAAGGATGCAGAACAGCTTGTTTGTCCATTCGTCTATTGAAGGACATTCGTATTGCTTTCTATTTAGGAAGATTAGGAATAAAGCTGTTATAAACATTCGCATGCAGGCTTTTAAGTGGACATGTTTTCAAATCAACTGGATAAAATACCTAGGAGCACAATTAGTGGTAAGAAACTGTCAAACAGTTTTCCAAAGTGGTTGTACCAGTTTGCATTCATATCACCAATGAATGAGAAATCCTGCTGCTCCACAATCTTACAGTAATTGGTATTGTCAGTTATTGGATTTTAGCCATTCAAATTAGTGTGTAGTGCTCTCTCATTGTTATTTTTATTTGCATTTCTCTAATGATCATTTTTATAATCAATCTACTGCATCATACATAGCAATCATTAATAAAAATAATTTTTGATTAATTCATAAATTGTATGAATGGTTATTCTACATATTTTTAGAATATAAATTGTTCATCATGTAATGGTTGGCTAGTTTAACTTTGGGGAAATCTGAAGCCCTAGGGACTATATATTTATGTTGTTTACTTTTACATCCTCAGCACCTGATACATATTAAGTGCTCAATAAGTTTCCTTCCACGAATGAATAGACAAGCTTAAATTCATCCCTACTAAAATATTTAAAAAATAAAAATATTAATTATTGTGCCAAGAGACTCAGAAGTTCTTCAGGATACTTCTCAGTTTTTTAAGGTGTTTTCTTTTTTCCTCTTATTCTTGATCATCGTTTTCCTAGACCTTGATGGTAACACTTGGAAAAATGGAAAAGTATAAAAAAAGTGTATCTACTTCCTACTCTCTTTTAGTACTCTTTAGCTGATATAAAAGCACTAACTTACATTACCATATCGGCTTATTGCTGGAAGTCTCCATGAGAAACGGGAGATTCTAGGGGAAGGCAGTTCAGTGATGGGGAGACAGGGAGAGAGAGAGTTCTTTAGTTTTTATGTGTAGTTTTGGTATCTTCTTTTCTGTATGCATTTAATTACTTCACACTGAATGCAAAGTAAAATTTTTTTGAAGACAAACATTCCACATGTATTTTCATGCCTTTATTCTTGTTCTAGCCTGAAAGTGCATACTTCTGTGTAAAGTTCATTTTACCATTTCCTGTCATAGTTTATATCCACACGCACAACTGACTTGGATGTTTTTATTGAAGTGAATCATTAATTTGCCAGTAAACCACTATTAAACTTTATTAAGAAATCAGTTATTTCTCAATCATCTATTTAAATAATTGCCCCTTTTAATTAAGGTTTTGAACCAGCGTGGCCTAATTCAACGGCATTATCCACACAAGTAGTGTACTTGAAAACCAACAATATCAATAACAACAGAAATAATTTAAGATTGTGTTTCAGGAAAGACTCTCTTGAACTGTGTGTTTCCTCTGATTTCATACCATAACAATCATCAACATAGAAGACTTCTGTAACCAAAGATGTGGGTTTTTATTTCTCTACAAGCCAAGCAGTGGACACCAGCTGAGTGTCCCCCAGTTCAATTCCAATGCTATCTACCTAGAGATAACATCAGATGCCACAGAGTGGGGGCTTTGTCTCCAAGCTTGCCTTCCTCCAACTCTTTAAAAATTTTTATTTTTAAGTTCCAAGGTACATGTCTAGGATGTGTAGGTTTGTTACATAGGTAAATGTGTGCCATGGTGGTTTGCTGCACCTATCAACCCATCACCTAGGTATTAAGCCCAGCATGCATTAGCTATTTTTCCTAAATAGGAAAATATTTAGGAAAAATATTTCCCCACCCCCTGACAGGCCCCAGTGTGTGTTGTTCCCCCAGCCCTGTGTCCGTGCATTCTCATTGTTCAGCTACCACTCATAAGTGAGAACATGCAGTGTTTGTGTTTCTGTTCCTGAGTTAGTTTGCTGAGGATAACGGCTTCCAGCACCATCCACGTCCCTGCAAAAAACATGATCTCATTCCTTTTTATCTGCCCCTCACCTCTTTAGACACCAGTTTCACATCTAGGCCTTTGAGACTTCTGACTGGCTGACTTCAAGTTGAAGTTCCCACAACCCTCTCTTTGGGTTGGATTAATTTGTTAGAGAAGCTCACAGAACTCAGGGAAACATATTTACTGGCTTATTATAAACAACATTATAAAGGACACAGATGAAGAGATGAGTAAGGAGAGGTAAGGGAAAAGGGGTATGGAGCTTCCATGTCCTCCCTGGGCAGCCACCTTTGTCCAGCCATCCAGAAGCTCTCAGAACTCTGTCCTTTTGGGTTCTTATGGAGGCTTCATTACATAGGCATAATTGACAACCATGTAGAAACATGATTGGACAAAAAGGGCATGATTTAAACCCAGCAAAGCTTGTCTGTTCAGACTTCTTTGGCCTCTTTGGGTAGCATTCCTTCCTCTAGGGTCTGGGGAAGAACTCTGGCTGGAACGAGGGTCTTTTGACTCACAATCAGATTAGAGTCCTGCCTTGGGCAGGTGAAAGAGGGACAGAAGAAGGTCAGAGAGAAAGAGACAGATTTTGTTTCCTGAGGCCTGAAGTGCCCCAACATTATAATGAAAGACCATGGCAGGGGTTATGGGAGTTATAAGCCAGGAACCATGGACACACACAAATATATAAAATATCACAAATTGACTGTCTCAGAGGAAAACTGTCTTGACTAATTCTTTTCTTTGAAAAAGCTGTTACTTTTCTGTAATAAAATTGTTTAAATTTCCACCACTATGGAATTCCATGGAAACTGAAATACCAAGTAATACTGGTGCACACTGGTTTTGTGAAGACAAGGGCAGCTTTCTTGTCTTCCTGTTATGAACTCAGGGTTAGAAGACAAGGCTTTGCTCCTGGAATGTCAGTTTCTTTATTTCAAAATGAGAATAAGAAGACTCATTTTGTTTCGTACTCTCTTCCCCTGCCCCCATTTTATTAAGGTATAATTAACAAATAAAAAATGTATACATGTATTGTGTACAACATGATGTTTGATGTTTTGATATATGAATACATAGTAAAATGATTAAGTCAAACTAATTAACATATTCATCCTCTCAAATACTTATTTTTTTTTCTGGTTAAATCTACTTTTTTTTAGCAATTTTCAAGCAAAGAACACATTATTATTAACTGTAGTCACCATGCTCTACAATAGATCTCCAGAACTTATTAATCCTGAGTATAAAACATACTGCATATTAACTATATTTATACTTTGACTTCAGCTACACCAATTGTCAGCATTGATAACTGAAACTTTGTACCCTTTTACTTGTTTCATTTCTTTCTAAGTGGTATAAAGTCAGCCTTAATTGTGGACCCATAAGACAGGTACCACTTGTGGAGCTGAAATAAGTTATATGATTTTTATGGTGGCAAAGCAAGTAATATAGGGAGCAAAAGGAATTTTCCATGGTTTGCTGATGACTGAGTGCATGAAAAGATAAATTTAATCTGATGGCTATTAATACAGACAACTCTGGGTAGACCAAATCTAATAAACCCTAAGCAAATATTTAATCAATATATTGTGGTTTGAATAAAGGAGACTGAAAATGCTTTAGCCCAGGGTTCGGTGTAATCATGCTGACCGCAGTTCTGAGAGCTGGTTGCTGTCTAAGGAGAATGATGATCAGTGTTTCCCAGACGCATCAGTCTAACACTAAATCCACCTATTTGACCAGCCCTATTAAAACCGTATCAATCACTGGAAACTGTATTCCCAGACTGTGCTATTTAAATTGCTACTTAAAAATCAGCATTTTCCATTATGCTAAACATCTCAACCCATTCGTTCTGCAAAGCAATGTTTTATTTTTAAACACTGGTTTATTACACATCGAGGAATCAGTCTATACATAACTCTAGAGAACATTCTTCTTTCCCCTTTAATTTTAGAAGCAAAAAGAACCAGGTCATTGTGGTCTATTGTTGTATCATACCCATTATTCAGTCTCCTCTTGTGAGAAAATTATAACCCTCAACTTGCTGCCATGCGAATTACAGTGACTTCCCTTGGAGGGAGGACTTCCTTAGCTCAGTAACATCACTCTGCCCATGTGACTTGCTTTCATCAGTGGAATGTGACCAAAGTAATGCATGCCATATCTATAGTTTTAAGTCATTTATGATTCAATCATCTCCATTTTTCTTTTGCTATCAGAAGGGTATGTCCCAAAGAAGGGCCGATTCTACATCTTGGATTCTGGGATGAAGAATGTGTATCAAGCAGATTTGTAGTTAATGTGCAGCTTCCATAGCCCAAATATGAGGCAAAGAAGAAAGTAATTGATGTAAACCTTCGTAGCTCGGAGTTGCTGGGTTTTGGAAGCTGTTGGTTGTTGCAGCATAATGTAGTAAATATTGGCTTACACATTTAGCAAGGATTCTGAACACAGTGAGAAAAAAACATTTTCTTAGAAACTTGGTGATAGCCAAGATCTTTCTTAAGCTAGATTTATATTTATCTATTTATTATTTTTGCAAACATACAAAACATTTCTACATTGTGAAACTTCTTCCTTTAAAAATACTACTTATGACACATAGGTTGATACTTCATTTTTAAATATCAAGGTTGTGTTATATTCTCTACCAGGTCCTTATAAATATTTCCAAGTCTTAAAATACCCCACTGAGAAGTTACTTTGGAGCTCTATTTTACAGAGAAGGAAGTTGTGACTCGGAGGTGACATTCTACAAGCCACAAAGACACGGTAAGGATTTCAACCCATGCCACAGCCCCCATCCATGCACATTTTATCACCTCTGTCACTTCATAATCTTTCAAATTAAATGATGTTTTAATTATTCAGCCAACCCCCACCAACTCCTCCAGAGCTCCATTTGAAGGATAAATTAGTCTTTAACAGTTTTTTTCAATGCCAACATTCTGATGGTGTATCACCTTTTCCCTATTTATCTTAGACATGGAACATTTCCATATTCCACTGTAATCATGCAGATTTCAAGGATGTAATTTAGAAAATTAGACAAAAATTTTAGTAGGATGGAGTTTTCTTTAGTTTCCTTTTATTAATGTTTGCATTTCTGTTATTTCTAATAACAAAAGTAATTCACTTTTTTCTTGTAGAAAATTGAAAAATGCATCAAAGCTGTAAAACTAAAGAGTGCCGTGATTGATGCATTTCTCTGAGTATAATTTATATTTCCATAGAAACTTTGCATAAATTCAAAAAACTATCCACAACATTGATCTAAAACTTTTAATCAATAGATTCATTTATTAGCCATTTGTTCAATACTTACTAGATAGCTAGTCAGTGCTAGACTGGGCCTTCGGATACAGTGGATCCAACAGACAATTATCTACACTCAACATCACTTACATTCTACGTGGAAGACAGATAATGAACTGGCTTTAAAAAGGGACAATCAAAACTATTAAATACTGGGGCATATCCCCTAAAGAAATTTATCAGGGTGAAGACAAAGATGACTCTTTTGGATAGAGTGAGTAAGAAAAGTAACAGTTGGGTTGAATTTTAAAGGATAAGAATGAATCAGCCATGCCAGGAACCGGGGAAAGACCTCCCAGTCAGAGAAAAGAGAGAGCAGAAGGCACTGACCCAGGAAAGAGTGACTTCTCCAGCAGGGACAAAAGGAGGCCAGCATTGGGTTGAAGTACAGTGAGTAAGGGTGGGAGCAGTCTTGGGTGGTGGGGAGATGGATATGAAAGTGGAGTTCATCTCAGGTGGATTCTTGTAGGACGTAACTAGGAGTTTGGATTATTTTGGGGGTCAGGGAGAAAGGGAAGCCATCAGAGCGATTACATGACCAAAGCTTTAGCATGTTCACTTCAGATGCTGCATGGCAAAATGCACCGAGAAGGCCAGAGTGGAGACTTCTATTTTATTTACATATTTTGTCTGTATTGATAGCACAGTTTCATCTTGGAAACAATGACAGTAACTTATTTTGCAACAATTTAGCTAATAGAAAAGACAGAAAAGGGCCAGACATGGTGGTCCACTCCTGTAATCCTAGCACTTTGGGAGGCCAAGGTGGGCAGATCACCCGAGGTCGGGAGTTGGAGATCAGCCTGACCAACATGGCAAAACTCCATCTCTACTAAAAATAAAAAAACTAGCCCGGTGTGGTGGCAGGAGCCTGTAATCCCAGCTACTCAGGAGGCTGAGGCAGGAGAAATGAACCTGGGAGGCAGAGGTTGCAGTGAGCCAAGATGGTGCCATTGCACTCCAGCCTGGGTGACAAGAACAAAACTCCTTCACACACACACACACACACACACACACACACACACACACACACACACGACAGAAAAGGGGAAATTGCAACTGGGCATTTATTACAGGATTAGCTACTCTCATCTATTACTTGGATGGAGAGAAATAAATAGATTTCAGGTTTGTTTTGGGAAGAGAATCCATAGAATTCACTGGTAAACTAGATGTGGAGTATAAGAAAAGAGCCCTCAAGCATAGTTAGCAGTTTTCTAACTACATCGACTGTGAAAGACGTGGAAGTATTTTTCTCAGATGGGGAAGATGTGGACAAAAAAAAGCAGTGAGAGAAGAGAATGTTGGACACTGAAGGTTTTTGAGGGACAAATAGAGATATCAGGAATCAATTGTGAGGTCCAAATGTTAGGTATTGGCTAAAGACATAAATTTGAAGAACTGAGCATTTAGACCAGGGGTTAGCAAACCCTTGCATGTGGGCCAAATCTAATCACTGTTTGTTGCCTTATGGCTGTGTGAATGCTTTCCATGTTTAAATGGTTGGAAAAAAATTAAAACAAAAAAATTATGATATATGAAAATTATATGAAACTTAAATTTTAGTGTCCATAAATGAAGCTTTATTGGAACACAGCCAATATATTTGTTGATATATTATCTATGGCTACTTTTATACTACAAAGGCAGAGTAGAGTAACTGTGATAGAGACCATATGCCCTGCAAAGTCAAAAATATTTACTATACAGCTATTTATAGAAAGACTTTGCCTATTATTAATTTAGATGATATTAAACCTAAGGGATTGGACTGTACAAATCCTAGAAAGTTTTGCTTTGTCTTTGCGTCCAGCAAGCCTGATGTCCTGGAAAAATGTGGGAACCTGGAGAGAGGACCATCCATTCACTTGCCTGCTGTGAGTCTCACTTGTGGACTCTCTAAGGAAGGAACAACATCAGAAGAGAATGATAAATGACCAAAGCCAGACAGGGTCCCTGCACTGCAAGCTCCAAATTAACTCTAGAGTGAACAGATCTGCAAAGTTAAAAAAAAAAAAAAGAAAGAAAGAAAACATGGGAAAAGGGCCTTCTGTTTATTTTTTTTCCCCTTATTAATTTACCACAACCACTGTCCCACTGTCAAGTATCCCAGTTTCTGTCTGAGAAGAGCAGCTGGCAGGGACAGTGATCAAAAAGCAGTTGGAAAACCCCAAGAAATTATGGAACCCTCATAAAAGAATCAAAGGACAATGTTTTTCAAACCACTTGAAAAACTAAAGCCTCCATTCTGGTCATACCATTCATTGTGTTTCTCGTGGTGTGTTAACTGCAATGAAGGACATGGGCAGTTGTGGAGATTGGGGTAGAATGTTTTCAGTGAAATACCAGCCTCCTAAGTGACAAGATTCACAGGAGCCTGTGCTTTAGCATGAAAATAATGTCCTCAATGTATCTTAACTGAGAACCAGACAAGTAATTTTTTAGTAGAACTTCAAACAATTGTTTACAGTAGAGTATAAAACATACTGCATATTAATTATATTCACACTCCTACTTGAGCTACACCAGTTGTCAGCGTTGACTATATATTTTCTACATATTTTATAATTAATAATAATAATTCTTTTTGGGAAGGTTTAGCCAATAGAAGGGAGATGGGGTGGTGGTTAAGTACCTCAGGATTGCAACTTGAGAGTGAATGGCAAGGAAACCACTTAATCTTTAAAACACACACACACACACACACACACTGTATTTCAAAATCTTCACTAGGTATTTGAGGTGGTTTTTTACTAGTGTTTTGAAATAGTGACTGTGACTCAAGAAAGGCTAGAAGATGCCACATCCATTCATATTTTTCTGCTAGGATTCTTATGGCTTCTAGTTGTGGTGAACCAACCTCATTCTACCAGTCATACAAGCTTACTATGACTTGTCAGCTTTTCCATTCCCTGGTCACTTAAGTTAAGTGTATCCATTTATTTACTTCTCTCCAATATTGCCAAAATCTACAGTGAGGAAAAACATTATCTGAGCCATTATATGTTGAACCATTATTAGGAAATATTTGGCATTTATGTATAAATAGTTTCAGTTGTAGAACAAAAAGCCTCTATTAAAATTTCTGGAACTTCTTTTTCAGAAAATTTTATCATTTAAATAGGCTCATAAAATTATTTTGTCATGACATATATCACAATGTAATATAATCTATTTGTATCTGTGTGCATGTACATACACACACCATATATCAGACATTGTTTTATAAATTTATTATAGCAGGTGGCTATTCAATAAATTTTGGAAGAAAGAAATACAGACCTATCCATACATCTGGAGTAGCTTTGACCTTGACCAACTTAACTTCTACTCTCCATGATCATGTAGTGTTCTATTTAGAGGATCCCAGTGTTGTTATTAGAGCACCTTGCATATACCAAGTGCTCAATAAATGATGGCTGAATGCAGAATAAAATCATTACTGACACTTTCTTTTTTAATCCCCAAGGGCATGGCACAAGTTTCAATAAATACCAGGTGATTTCTACTGAAAATAATTTTACTGTATAATTTACAAAGTGCTTAAGTATCCACTACCTCATTTAGTCCTTACTACAGTTCTACAAGCTAAGTAGTTTTATCCACATTTTAAGGTGAGAAAATTACGCCCAGAGAAGTTAGATGACTTGCTCAGGGTCATCAACAAATAAGACATCATGAAGGGAATGAATTCAAATTTGGTGCCTTTGCATCATCCACTTTTTGTGTAGAGTTGACTGGTCAAAAGTCTGTCTCTCATTTACAAGTCAAGGTGCCAGGCATACAGTCTTGAATGTTGAGCCTCAGGCCTCCAATGAGCAATTTGTATTATAACCAAATAGAGTTGTTTGGCCATTTTAGGTCAGCATTTATGGTATTTACACCTATGAACCTACCCCCTTTTCTCTTTACAAACTTATAGGTTGACAATTTTTTTGTGTGAAAATTCACTGAAATGAGATTATCTCATTTTTGCCTCTTGATTTTTGGTGTGCTTTCTTGTTCTTGTTTAAAACATTTGGTTTTGTTTTGATATTAAGCTTCAGTGTCAGTCCTGTGAAGACGTAAGATAGAAGCTATACATGTACAACAATATAATCCATACTTCCAAAGCTACAATAAGCAGTAACACTTTTGGAGCGAAAAATCTTGGTAAAGCAAACAACACATGTTTTGGGGTTTGAGATCTAGGTTTGAGGCCTAGCCACAGCACTCTCATGTTCTTTTTGACCCAAGCCAAATCACTCAGCCTGCTGAGATCTCAGTTGTTTTTTTTCATCCTGGACAATGGGCATGATGCTGACTGTCCCTCTGGGTGGTTCTGAGGATCTTGGGAGGATGGATATAAGTGCAACTTAAACTCTGGAGCCCTTTACAACTGCAAGGCAGCATTATTCACTCAAACATAAAAATAGGTCATTAAGCATCATCAAAGGGAAAAGTAAATGTTCAGGGATCATCTCTGCTGCACTGTTGCTGGGGAAAGAGGCTCTTTGTCCCTTTAAGAGCTTTCAGACACATCTCTAGTCACATCCTAAAAGCCTTCCTAGTTGTGTAGCTTAGGTGCATCCGGTAGCACAGCCGTGTTCTGATCTTCCTGGCAGATGTCATAATTTACTGTCACCCCCATGCAGGAATGCAGGGCGAGGGGCCCCCATGCCGGCTCTGTGATCCATTGCCTGACAAGTCCTGAGTGTCAACCTCAGGCAGGCCCAGCGGAGGTGGAACACCATTTACCTGATAGTGCCTGTGATAAAGTGGGCAATTAGACGCACTTGGAAAAGCCTGGCTGGAAACTGGCTGGCATTTACACAACATTACAGCCAAGTCAGGCTTCATAAAAGTTAATGGAGAAAAATGAAGTCCTTCAAGATCTACCTTGCTCTCTGAGGAAGTCAGGAACACAGGACTCTGTAGCTTTATTTCTTTTTGTGTCTCTCCCACCTTTTCACTCTATTTCCCCCAGACAGGGTAATATATTCTCATTGGAGATGGGAGTAAAGGAAAGCGAATTGAGAGTTGAGGTCTTAAGTGTTTGATCTCAGAGGCATGTTATTTCTTTAGTCTTCAATCCTCTCTCTTCCCCTCCTCTCTGTCTCTCTCTCACACACACACATGCACACACACACACACACTCTATACTTCTATAGAGTATACACACTCTATATTTCTCTGTCTTTCTGTCTCTGTCTCTCTCTCACACACATGTGCGAGCACACACACACACAATCACAGTGCTAGGATTTAACTTGGCACCTTGGCTTACAATTTGCCTCTCACTGGAGTTTCTGGAGTTTGGTGCCAGTTCAAGAGCATGATCTGTTTGACATGAATTCTACAGCCCTCTCTTCATTTCCTCCTAACTGGATAGCTTCAGTTTGCCGATGATTAATGAGTCTGGAAGGTGAGCGACAGTTATCTTAAGGGCTCTCAAAAGTTTATTTCAGAGACTAGCCAAACTCTCCTGCTACATTAACTGCAGCGAAGTTTCCTGTTTAACAGCCCATGGAAAATAACTGCCTGACCCCCGCCCCCCCCCCAAACCAAGCTGCCATGAGCGCAGCTCTGTTTATTGGCCAACAGTGTGCATGTTCTCTCTATCGCTTCCTTTCAGGCAGACGAACATTTTACCTATGAGAAGTAGGAAGTCCATTGTGAGGCTGGTCCAATACTGGACCTCATTTGGATGTGGAGGATTTCTGAAATTGGAAAGTCAGGACTGATCTGGAAAATGTGCTTACAGATAGTGGAACAGGAAAATGATTCGCTCCCCAAGGCCAGTTCCTCCTCCTCTGCTGGGTGGAAAAGGTGGGAGGAAGGGACAGGGTGTTCTGCCTGTGATTGGAATTCCCCTGTAGAGTCATAGAGGATGAGCAAGCCTTTGGTTTTCCTTTTTCATATTTTATTTTGCACCTACAATAATAAGCATGCAGAGAGGAGACAGAGAGGCCTAAATGAGTTTTTTTCCTTTCTAAATAATGACCAGCTCTGTATCAATCTGAAGGCTACTGAGGGATGCTGGTGGCTGGATGGCGGGGCCTATTTAGGGTTTTGGCCTGATTAAAAGGTAGTCCCAGGGACATGCAGGCCTACCAGGTGCACACTGGTGCCAGCCACTTCAGTGGGGTGGGGGAAATTACTGGGCCTGCTGTCTCAAGTTTGAGAGGACATCTGAGATTCGGGTCCGATAGGGTCACAATGTCTTCAACACGAATAAATAGGCAGTTGTAGGTTGGGGAAGGGAAAGCTAAAGTGGAAAATAAATAACTTAAGACACCAGACAAGTTCTGGAGACTGAGGTAGAGAGATGATGGAGTGCTCTTCACCCATGTACACTTCAGCCTCTCATGTCATCGTGGTGATGCTGCCAAAATAGACCCAAGTTACATTTTCCTTATGATCTCATTTTACTGGGCTTGAAGCCTACCTCACTCAACATCTTTGGAGGGTACATTGAAACGAGCTGTTTGTAAGACAGTATTAAAGGAAGTGGCGTTATATGTGTGTGTATTTGTGTCATATACATATATGAAACAAAGATATTTGAATATATACATGTAGATAGTTTCCCAAAAACCCATCTCCCTTGGGGAATAGTCTCACCTTCAGGGAGAGGTGCTAGAGAGGGTCAGAGATTCTCCTGCTCTATGCCATAAGACCAAAGATAGATTGTAATTATGATCCCAATTCTTTGCCTCTCCTCTATCCGTGCTATTTGAAGCCCCTCCCATCAAGAGGTGAGGTCTGGGTCTATTTCTCTACTCTTTGATTATTGATTGGCCTTGTGACACAGCTGGGCCTATAGTGGAGGTTACACTGTGCCAGTTTTGTCTAAGCCCCGAGATGTCTTGTGTGTTTCCTCTTGCCCACTCAATCCCTGTAAGTTGCAGCCATGACACTATGCCCTGAATAGCCTTCTGTAGGATGAGACATGAGGGACAGAGCCATGTCATCCCAGTGGTTTTAGCGAAGGCTGTCCTAAATCAGCCAAAGGCTAACTGACCTCTGAAATATGAATGGGCCCAGCAGAGCCCAGGCCAAATCACCAAACTACAGACACAAAAACTCAATAAATCTTATTGCTTTGAGCCAGAGTTTGGGGCTGGTTTGTTATGTGTGTTATTTATTATCACAGCAATAAATAACAGATGCAGTTGCCTCTGCTTACTGTTCCAAGTCTTACTTTTTTTTTTTTTTTGGTCACTCATTTACATCTTTTTACATCTTTGCTAGTGAGCCAGTCTGATAGTGGCCTTTATCTTACATGATTTTTCAGTCCTTCATTTGGCTTTACCTTCATTCTCTTTCTTTCCTCACTCCCACTCACTTTGCATAAGAACCCATTTTGTTTTTCTATGGCACTCTTAAGTTAATACCAGACAGCCCTGACATTAGTAGGGAATTTTTCTCAGTTCCTCTCAAGCAACTTCTACATTTTGTGTTATTTTGACATTTGGGAGAAAGAAACAAACAATAAACAACTCTGTAATGCATTGGGTAATACATAGTGCTGTGGAGAAAAATTAAGCAGCATATGCCAAATATTGAGAGTTGAGGGGAAGGGTGCTGAGTGGGGAAAGGGGTGCTTCTTTTTCATAAAGGGTCCCTAGGCAAGGCCTCTCTGAGAAGGAGGCATGTGAACAAATACTAGGTGACTTGATCCTTTTCTAGACTATATTGGAGTGGGATGAAGGGTATGTAGGTCACTCCCCTGGTTACCTATTTCAAGGACTGATATGGAGACATAAAGAATCACCATAACTTGCCCAATAAAGTGCCACTCATCCATGGTCACTGTGGGAAGGAGGCAGCATTTCAGGGCTTGCAATTCTTTACATGCTTAATCCTTCTAGTATCAGAACTTTAACAAGCACCTGCTGGACCTGAAGTCTAAAGAGCTAGATTTTTACATCTATGCTGCCACAAGAAAATCATGTAAACTTGACAAAGTCATTATTTTCTCTGGGTTGATTTTTCTCATATGGCAAGTGAAGGGTTGAATTAGATGCATTTTAAAGAAACTACCAAGTCTGTCATTCTGTGGTTTTATGAGATTATGTAGCTGGTGCTACATTGAGTTTTTCAGGAGAAAGAAAAGAAGAAATAATTGTAATAACAATATTGCCCTCCTCACCGACCCGTATAATCTTCTCTAATTCTTCACAAAGATGAGAGAGACAGAAAGAATAATACAAGGGGGTAGAAAATAATGCATGCTTTAGGAATCCAAGCAATACTTTTTCTCTTCCTCATTGAGTCTTTGTACCTTCTGTCCCAAATCCAGAAAGAGCTAGTCTGCTTTCTCATGAACCATCCTAAATCTATAGGGCATTACTCCTTTAGGCATCTGCCAGATTCTAATTCTGAAGGATGATGTAGGATTTGGGTGTTAAAGTTGCTACTGTGTCCCCAGTTCAGGGCTCTGAACTGTCTCCTGGTGATGGGGCACACTGCTGCTGACAATTTTGGGTGAGAGGTTACCCATAGTGAGCCTCCACTCATTTTCTACTCAACAAGGACCTCCCTGGAATTCATCTGTGGTCAAAAAGAATCGTGGCAAACTTTGGCTATTGTACATGCAACAGAATGGCACTTCGATGTTTGTGGAGCATGGCAAGACTGCAATCCTATAACCTTACTGGCCTGGTAGAACTATTGTCATCGATGATGATCATGCAACTAACAAGAACTGTCCAATAAAGAACTGTCCATGTGGATCAATAAAGGATCCACATGACATGTGAATAGAGGGAGGACTGGCTGGCAAGGAGGAATGAGGCCAGAAATGGAAAAGAATACATAAGCCAGAAAAAAAAAAAAGCCAGCTTCTAGAGGAAGCATTGATAGCCAAAGCCTGCCTGCTTGGGCCTGGCTCAGCACACTCCCTCCATTCTTGATGCAGGTGTTATCAAGATTAGAGCATGCTGAACTGCTGGAACTGCACAGAAAATGTCATTCAGGAGACATTGAGGGAGAGAAAGTGGGGCTGCAGCAGTCAGGAAGGGGCATAGGGCCTTCCTGCGTAGTCATTTTCACAGCACAGTAAGAATAATAGAATGAGAAAATATGATTTTACAAGAAAAAATGGTTAAAGAAAAAGAGACAAAACATCACCATCATGCACACTCACAAACACAGACACACACACACAAACATGCACAAAACAGGGTATTGACTACAAGGAATGAATGTTTCCATTCTATTGCCAAAAAGGCCTGATTCTCTTTAACTGCTGTTTACCATTTTTCATTGTTTTATTACTATTATTATTTTGAAAATACTAGTTAAGCAATTACCTCAACCACTTTTGAAACTGTAGTATAGTGAAGTGGTTAAAAATGAGAATTCTGGAGCCGAACATCCTGAAACCAAACCCCAGTTTGTACCACTTTCTGTTTTGGGTCTGGATACATTAGCTCCATATTCCTTAATTTTCTCATTTATAAAATGAAAGTTATAACAACTTACATGTCATAGAGTTTTTATGAAGATTAGATAAAATTATATGTGTGAAGCACATGGAAAATCAATGCCTTGATCATTTGTTATGAATATTTTCAACTCAGATACAATGCAGCCGTTTACAGAGGTCTAATAATGAATAAATATAGTGGTTGGAGGTTATGAGAGATTTAAAATGTACACATAAAGCCATTCCTCATTTACAAAATAGTTTAAGAGGAAGAATTACATGTAAAGAATTTAAATAGGACAATTATTCAAGACAAAATAGAAAGTAAAATCAAATAGAAATATTAATGAAATAGAGAAGTGATAGGTTCTCATTTCTTTTTACAATGTGTAAAAAGAAAATATAGTTTATTGGAAATCAATATTAAGGTAGAAAAGAGAATCTCCTTTTTATGTTGAGGGAGCATTTCAGAAGTCATTTAGTTTAACCTTTTGTTTATGATACAAACCTATTTTATGATTTCTCTGAGATCTTATCAGTCAAGGAGTGATTATGTTATATGGCTCATAGTTCATTCACTCAGGAAGCAATCTATTCCATTTTTGAAGAGCTATTAAGAAAAGACAAATAAAAAGCTATCAAAGGTCACTTATAGGAAAGAAGAAAAGGAGTAAAGCTGTTAACTTGTGAAGAGCTTAATTGGAGTACCTCTACTGAAAGTTAGGTTATTCATATTAATCTCTCTGCTAAAAATAATTTTAAAATTCTGAATAAAATATTTTTAAAGGATTAATATGAAGTGTTAAATAACTCATAAGATAGAAATTGTAGAGAAAGATGCAACTCAAAAGATAGAAAACAAAGTTTGATTTTACCATAAAGACAATTGTCAAAACTGAGAAATGTGAACACTGGTTTTGGGAACTTTAGCCTTGAGGAGAAAAAAGAGAAATAAATTAAACTCAGAGCCTTCTAAGGCTGAGGAATCATCAACTTCAGTTAGGCGTTAAAGGATTGTACCATCAGAACAAAAGTGAAGAAGAAATAAGGTGGAACTTAGATGGATTTGCCAACAAATTTGCAATTCCTTGGTGCCTCTTTAGAAAAAAAGAAAACACACACACACACACACACACACACACACACACAGAGTTAATTTTAATTTAGAGTAGTATCAGCATTGGTAGTAACAATGAGTAGATGAAAGAAATAATACTCATTTTGACTAAAGAAGGATAACATTGTCATAGCCTTAAAATACTTCTAAAAAATAATTTTCAAATAAAATGAGAAACACAACGTCAAATAATTCCAAGTACCCACGGAAACAAGGAACTGTGAGCAAGAACCAGCAGAAAACTGAAAATAAAAATGAAGAGTGAAAGAAAAGAAAACAAATTCCAAGATTGTCACATTCTAGAATTAGTAGACACATTATAGAACAATCTGTTTGCTAGATTTAAAGATTTAAAGCCACATTTGAAAATGTTTACAGAGAATAGAAAAGTTTAAGTGATCTAGCATATTTTTCAAAGTAATATTTCTATCCCATTGGTTACTCCTTTTAAAAATTAAAAAGTGTTATTTCTAGAAATAAAAAATATAATAATTAAAAGTTTAAAGTATAAGTTTAAATGCATATTAGATACAATCCAAGAAAGAATTAGAACTGCAAGAAACGTTAGAATAAATTATTTAGGATGTTGCATGGAGAGACAGTGGATGGAATACAGAAGGTCAAGAGGCAAAAAGGATAGATTGAGAAGAACGAATATACCCTTAATTTGATTCCATAAAGGAGAGAATAAAAGTATAATGGAGAGATAATATTTGAATAGAAAATAAATAAAAATTTTCTAGAACTGATTAAGGACAGAATCTAGAGATTTTAAAAAAAGCTAATAAATCTCTAAAAGGGTAAATAGAAAGACATTTACACCTAATCATTCTATCATGAAACTGCAGAATTCTAATGAAGAAGAAAAATCCTGAAAATAGACAAAAGAAAAACAGATTATCTTTAAAGAAATGACTGACAGCTAACTTAATAGCAACAGTGAATGCCAATAGCAATGGAATGGTGACTTTAATGTGCTGAAGAAGGTAAATGTCATCCTGAAAATCTATATCCCGTGAAAGTTACCTTCCATGTGAAGAAGAAATTTAGATTATTTTCAGGCAAACAAAAAGCGAGAGGATTTGCCACCAGCAAACCTACACTAAAAGAAATAGTAAAGAATGTTCTTGAGGCAGAATCAAGTTGAATCCAGAGAGAAGATCCAAAGTGAACAGGGAATGAAGAAGAGAGAACAAAGTGAATATGTGGGTAAGTCTAATAAAATGTACAAAATAACAATAATTAAACATGATAATAAGGTATTAAAGATTAAGACAGAATTTAAATCCAAAACAACATTAACAGATTTACTTGAATGTGATAAAAATGAGTTGAAATGTTCTAAGGACCTTGTCTTTTCTAAGGGAAAATTGAAGTATTGATTAATTTTCTACTTTGATGTATACTAATGTTTTAACTTGTATGATTTTCAAATTAATATTTAAAAATTAGAATAAAAACATTCAAACTGAAATATTACAAGAGGGAAAGGAAATACAATAGAATAGTTAGAGAAAAATAAAAATCAAGAGGGTATATTTTAAACACAAACGTGTTAGTAATCATTGAAATGCAAATAGACTGATTTAAATGCAAATAGACTGAATAATTAAAAGTAAAGAATATTAGCTTGGATTAAGGAAAATTCCTGTGAAATCCGGTACATCCATAATCACTGGAAGTGGGGAATTCATGTTCTAGTTTATGAGGGTGGTGTTCCCTGAAGTTGTGTAGTATACATCCTATGTGTCCCTGGAGCTAACAATAAAAATAAAACAGAAGTAGAAGCTTGGACAAATATGTATTATTTGAGTGTAAAACAAAGGAAAGGTAGTGTTGCAATAGTAATACTAAACATAATAGATTTAAGGCAAAAGGTATAGTCACTTTATAATGATAACAACTTCAACTCACAAGAAGATGTAATGATTTTACATATCCATGCACCTAATGATAGAGATTCACAGCATATAAATCAAAAATTGATGGAACCACAAGAAGACGTGGACAATAAGAGAATCAAAAGAATATATAGGCAAAACTACACTCATATAAGAAACTTTTAACACATCTGTTTCAGGAATTGAAAGAACAAATGAATCAAAAATAACCACTCAGAATTTTAGCATATTATCTTGCTCAGTAGTTAATAGAATTGCAAGGAAAAATCAATACAGTAAAAAAGAGGCTGAAATGCACAAACTAGGTATTTGTATTAGTCTGTTCTTGCACTGCTATAAAGAAATACCAGGAACTGGGTAATTTATAAGCAAAGAGGTTTAATTGGCTCACAGTTCTACAGGTTGTACAGGAAGCATAGCACAGCATCTGCTTTTGGGGAGGCCTTAGGAAGCTTACAATCATGGTGGAAGGCGGTGGGGGAGCAGGTGTCTTACATGATAGGAGGAGGAGCAAGAGAAGTCGGAGCCACCACACACTTAAATGACCAGATCTCAGGAGATCTCATTATCACGAGGACAGCACCAAGTCATGTGGGTCCCACTCCCATGATCCAGTCACCTCCCACCAGGCCCCTCCTCCAACATTGGGGATTACAATTCAACATGAAATGTGGGGGAGGACAAATATTCAAATGATATCTGCATTCATTACAAGGAGTTACTAAACTTTCACAAAGTAGAATAAAGTAGTTCAAATGATAAAAATAGGGCAGAGAAGATAAACATTGCCAAAATTTGGTTCATTGAAAACACAAAATTTTAAAACATCTAGAAAATTAATTTTAAGAAAAGGAAAAAAAAGAAAGCCCAAATAATCAAAATCAGGAAGACAAGGAGGCCATCACACACATAATGCAGACATTGTTAAGATATTACGAACACTCTTGCAAATAAAATGGAAATTTCAGAAAAAACTTGAAAACAATCTTAGAAAAATATAACGTGACTCATCTTACTACTTTTATATACACTTAATGGGAACCTACAGTGGTTTAAATTTTAGAAACAATTGTAAAAGGCCTTAAATATATTCATATACTTTTACTTCGTAGTCTCAATTCTCGGTAAGTTTGCAAAGGAATTATGCCTAAATGCAAACAATAACAACAGCGACCTTGACATACAAACACATTCCACATAGTTACTTACTCAAAAAAGAAAACTGGGCCAAATCAAGTGTGAAACTATTGATGAACAGCTAAAAAAATGGAGACAAGTGGGCCAAAACATCGTTTTTTTTTAATCCACTTTTTTGAAAAATGAGAAATCTATTTTTATTTCATTTTGTTTATATTTGGGCATATACTATAAATGTCCAGCAACAAAGACATTAATTAAATAAGTGATAGAAATATACTATGAAATACAATGAAATCTTTAGAGATGATTGTGTAAAAGTCTTTTTATATTTTGGGGACTCTAGCCCATTTGCATAAATTATCTTAATCCTATAAGAGGAAAATACAGAACCAGTAGGGAAAAAAGAACAAGATCATGGCAAGCTGAAAAGGCACAAAACTTCACTAAATCAAGTCAGGATTCAAAGAGAAAATCTAGCTTTATAGGGAAGCAGTATTAATAATAGTAAAACCCCAATAGTCCATTGTAATGCTTGAGACAAGGCCTCACATTTCAGCAGGTAGAATTATTACCACCCTGGGGACTCACGACCACAAGTCCATCTGTGATCAAAGCAACTCAGTTCCAAGTTTCACTGGATTTGGTGGTGATGTTCCTGATAGGCCTTATTTATCAGTTCTATGGTGACCATTAAAAAAAAAAAAACTCTCACACACACAACAGAATATTTTAAAAATTGAAGTTCATTTTATAATCAATAAGCACACTTAATGCAATGCTATTTTTCATTATTACTAGGTTGATAGTTTATCTTAAAGTTTAAGGCATCTTATTGTCAAGGAACCATAGTGTTTCCAGGGTTCTTCAGACTAGCTCAGGAACTGTGCCTATGGGTGACACCTGGCATTAGAGTTAGCACAGAGGACTTAAAAGCATTGGAAGGGAAAGGAGACCAGAAGTGAAACTGTAGATCATAACACAATCGAGTTATTAACAAAGATTACTTCCAGGTCTCAAAAGCTTGTGCTCTACTATGAGAGACAGGCTAAGAACAGTGACAAACCCTAGAATATCCTCCAGCAAATACTAGGAAGTTGGTTCGTAAGATCACTTTCCCAACTGCTACGCCCTCTGTTGGTAGGCACAGTTGATGAGTCTGACCTCACACAGAGTTTTGCTTCTGTCTTTCAAAGTCTGCAGGTTGGAAGGTGTAAAGCTGTGGAGTTTCACTGCCAAGTTCTGTGGCACAGGCTGTATACTCTAAGAATTTAAAGGCGAGATATTGAAAAGGACTAAGGAAGGATTAATGAGTTAGAGTTGGGGCTTAAAGAATTTCAATAGGTAAAAAGAGGGCTTTTCCAGGGCTAATAAACATGGAACTTGAGAGGGGAAGAAGGAAGGTGCATTTTTGGCATAGTGTTTCTTCTGGAGCATTTCCTTATTCAGCTCTGGAAGTTCTTTGGCTAAACTGGAATTGCAAAGGCAAGAATCTACTTGGAAATAACTGGAATGTGACAATATATTTCTCTCTGCTTCTCCCTCCTGACACAGAATTGGAGCCTAAGCCTCTTTGAGACTTTTCAGTCAAAGCTGGATTTTCATGCTAACGTATCTTAACCATACAGGCCCATTCCACATCTTGCAAATCTTGTGCCAGAAAAGGATTTCCACTGCCTTGCAAAGCTGTCCTGGCACAAACAGACCTCTGCGGGCATAGAACAGAATGAGCACAGAAAGACTACACAGCTTCCTGTGCTTGACAGGGTAGGAAGGAGGCTCTGCGCTATTCCCCTCGGGGGAAGAATCCCACACACTAAGTATAATTTCCAGGCAAGTTGAGTAATGGGGCAAAATTAAATTGGACTCTCCTTCTGTCTTAAACCTAATTAATCTTCCTCTACCATGCACTTACTCCACTAAAATATGGCATTAAAATTCCAGCACTTTAGTTAGCACTTTCCAGCAGCTTTCTATAAGGAGTAGTAACCTGATCTACTAGTTCATGAAATCCTAATATGGAATAATTTAGAAAAGTGAAAGGGTTGGTTCTCAGCAAATAAATAAGATATTGACTTAGGAATTTTAGATCCCAACAGTAGAAAAGCAGTGCCCCAGAGATATAAGTATTGTTATTATTATTACTTTGTTGTGTGATCTTGAGTCTAAGAAATCTATCATGTTAGTTGTTAGTGTAATTACATGCTTTGTGAGCATACTCCTTGCTAAGGATTTGTGGAAACAGAACTCCCTAATCTATAACTGTTAGTAACTCATATTTATTTTGAATTTGTTCTGGCTTCTGTTTTTCACATATTTAAGTGTCAGATTTGCTGTTGTGTGCTAGGAAAAAAAATGTTTACTTCAAAATCAACCATATTTTGATTTCAATGTACATCACAGCTTCAGGGTAGAAGTGCCCAGGATTGAGATGGTTGAACAAGGGTATATTTTCCACCTGCCTTAAAACTTAATTACAACTAGAATCTTTTCTTCCCCCTTAAGTGAGTAAATCCCAGACCAAACCTCTCATGTATTTACTTGTTTTGTCCATGCTAAGACTACAAAAAGAGAAAACATATTCTGGCAACAGTTATCCTAAGAGAGAAAAATTGCAAAATACCTAACATGTTGAAACATTTAGAAATATACCACAAATATTCATGTTTATGGGTTGTTTATATGTGCATTTACATATATATGCATATATTATTATGATAGCTTAATAGGAAAGATTCCTGCATATTATAAAACTTAGATTTATCACCAACTCTAGTTTTATGACATTGACTAGAAAGGAAGGACCAGAAATAATGGTTCTCTTTAGCTTTAGATTGGGTGATTTTTACCATTTATGTATATTTTATTTGATTGGCATAATATAGTGGAGCACATGAGCAGGTCATGTACATAATTCTCTTTTTTTTCCCTGAAGGCCAAGCATATAAGAACATAAGAGTGAAGTTCTAAAAGATTTTGTAGATAAATGATTGCAATAAGATGACTATCGATATTTAGGTATGTTTTAAAAGGACAGAAACTTAATTTGTTGTTTCTTATTGTATTGTTTCTTTAATATTTACTTAATTGCTTTCATTATTAAATACCTATAATTAATTGATTGCATGAAGAAAGCAAGAAATAAGTGAATAAAAAATATGTCTATACCAAATGACATATATAAAGTATAAAACAATGATCAGTTAGATCATAAATATTTTAGCTTCTGCAGTTCATACAGTCTCTGTTGCAACTAGTCAACTCTACCATTTTAGAGCAAAAACAGGTATGGATAAAGTATAAACAAGTGAGTGTGGCTGTATTCCAATAAAATATTGTTTACTAAAATAGTCTACAGGCTGAATTTATCCCATGGGTCATGCTTTGTCAAGAGCTGATTTAAGGCATCAAGGGCAGCCCTTTATTCTCAAAATAAATAATTAGCTTATAGGTATTTTAATAATTTGCAAGACTTCATGAAAGGATCGGCTCAGAGGAAACACAATTCACCCAAACTTTCTACTGACAAGTCATCAGTATATAGATGGTGTACAGGACCAAGCAGGCCTTTAGACTTTCTCTCCTCCCTGCCACTAAATTCCTTTTGGCCTTGCTGTATTTTATGAGTTATTCTTGTTTCCAGCCTAATACGAGGAAAATGGGTAGATGGCATAAGAGGACATTGAATGTACTGAAGGCAGCCCAAATATTCCATGCATTAGTCACTTCGGATATCCAGTGGAGTGAATGCGGCATTCATTAATGCCCAATGTCGGCCCGGGCAAAGTCCAGACAGTCTGCTGGCAGCAAGAAAGCTAAAGGCAAGAAGGCCTGTGTCGATTGTCGTCTGTACTTACGAGGCTGAGAAACAGTAGCTATGAATCAGCCTGTCTGAGACTCTGCTGTCATTATTTGCAGCAGTAAGGAAGATAATATTTTAAAAAGCTTTCAGGAATAAAATGAGTCTTAACCACTAGAGGAAGAATCACAGTCTGCAGCTACATTGCCTAGAGGCTTAATGATGATTCATTGCAAATTAGACCAATTAAGAATACCCCCCATATTGTAGTCTTGAGTGGCTTAGATAAGATCATTGGTTCCCTTTGACTCCTGGGATCCTAAAATAAATGGGATCTCAGAGATTTCTGGTTCAGGGCTTGTGGAATGTTAGAAGTATGAGGCATCTCACTGGAGATCTGGTCAACCCATTTCTTTACAGATGCGTAAACTGAGCTCTGGTGAGGTAAATGACATCCAGTGATTCATAATTAGTCGGTGGTGAGGTAGAAATTGAGCCAGCACTCTTGATTCTGGGTTGATAGTTTGATTCTTTTATTAAGACAATTGTTATGTATTCAACCAATGTAGTTTGCACATTGTTTTCCAAAGTGATTTCATCAGAGAACCCCTTTTGTTTCCTCACATGGTTCAGAGAAGACCAGAGTTCTCCAGAACCTACTTCAGGAAACTCTTTAATGACTACCCGACACCTTCAAGCCCTTTCAACTCCACCCACACATGCTGTTTTCAAGTCTGGAAAATGAGATCCAAAGAGACTAGGTTGTTGGCTCCTGACCTTGCCTGTATATTAGAAGTACCTACAGATCTTTTAAAAATTCCAACTCCAAGCCACACCCAGACCAATAAATCACAATCTCCAGGGGCAGGACAGAGACATCATATTTTTTGACGTTTCCCAGGTGATTTTAAAGTACAGACAAATTTTGGGAGCCACTGGGACAGGGCATTTCTACCTCTGCTATATCTCACATAGGAAGGCATCATCCATTATGGTGAAAACATGATTTGAGGACATTAGAAGAGATGGAATAACATTTCTTGAAAGGATGCCCTGCCACCATTGTGAACACACATCAGAGTAGTTCTGAAGAACAAAGGAACAAATATAGGTGAAAGTGCTCTAGAAAACTGAAGGATTTATATAATATATTCTTCTTTTATTTTAGGAGGTATTCAGACTTGAGCTAGCTGTGAATGCTGTTTTATCTAACTATTTACTAGGAAGAATTATTCTGAAATCAGAGAATCAGTAAATTTTCAAAAGCACTTAACTTTTGAAAGTAGACCTAAAATTAACTCAATTTTTCTCCTGAGATTTTTAATATTGTTGCTGCTGCTGCTTCTCTGATGATATCTCGATGGGAGTCTATCTGTTGTAGGATCTCAACTTAGCAGCTCACCTGTTTTTCTTTCAGAGAGCTTTAGTACATAGTATATGCTGTTTAAAGATAGAAGCAAGAGTTTGGGTTTATTCAACCTTTACACAGAGTAATTTACTTGTGCTGGCTTAAAAACTAAGACCCAAAAACTATTTTTAGAAGAAATTATGTTTATCCTATATTTAAAATTCAAAATATTTCAGATGCATTCAATGAAAGGAAATGCAGGACATGTCATAACTGAGCTGCTTTCTTTTATTTGATGCTCTCACATAAAAGGCTTATTACCATATTCCATTCAAACACAATTTTTAAATGTTTTCTGAGTCTTCTTAAATCAAATCCTCCTCTACCAACACAGTTGGGTAATAGATGGCTTTGGAACAATTAGCTGAAGAGGAGGATGATGATGTACTTTTATATATTTCAATTAGAATAACACTCCAGTCGCATTGTTGAGATTGTTGTTTCTGGATTGCAGTTCCAACGTCATACTGAGTTTGCTCATTTTCATGAGCCAAGATGGGCTCTCTAGTCCTTGATTCCCTGGCTCATCTCAGCTTGTAATAATTGCTTCCATACTTTCCCACTCGTTCCCTTACTTCGGGTTTGTCCTCTCGTCCCTTCAGTTCCTGTACCCTTCCAGAGGTAAGGCAGAACAGCAAGAGCCCCTATCCCAGAGTTGTTTATCTAAAACAAATTCACTGTCTCAATACAGTCGAATGCATTCTAGTTTCCAGAGGCTGTGGTTGCATTGTAAACACACAATACTTACTTAGGTTGTGTTTAATTGGGGTGGCTTTAAGAGATTCTGGGAGGAGCTAAGTGACCTCTCACTCCCAGCTACCCATCAGTGTATTCTCTCCCATAGAAGTTTAAAATTTAAGGCAAAATGAAACTGTCTTACAACTCCTGATTCTTACACTCATCTTCAAATATCTTGCTTTCTGTAGGAAATTGCTTTGTGAGATTTAGGAAGGAAAACCCAAGAAATACTTGCCCTGAAAAACCAATGAACTGAGATCTATAATGGAAGAGCTAGTGCCCTTGTAAGACGGAAATCTCAGACATTGGCATCTTTTCTATTGTCCTAGTGACAGACTTATCAAAATAAACAGACAACGATGCTCTCCTGAAGTGGCAGAAATTCCTCTTGAAATTCTAGGAAAGTGATCATGATGGGGAGATCTCCAGAGCAGAGTCACTCAAATCAAGACAAGATAGGAGAGGAGGGAAGTTGAGCTGCCCATCAGGAGAAAGAAAACAGACTGATAGCATCTCCACCTCCACCCAAGAAGGCCCAGTGTTTGCTTTTCTGAGATTTTAACCAGAGTTACACTGATCAAACTTCCATTCTAACCAAACGACAGGTCTTTTCGATCGTTAGTTTTTATGTGTGGGCAGCCTGATGTCCCAGGCATCCATGTGGTCGGCTCGGTATTTTCATCCTGTCCAGTGGATGCTGATCTTAGAAACCACATGCCCTCAGCTGCTTCTACTTCTGGAGCACCATTTCCAACCCCAAGTTAACAAAAACTAAACAGCTATAATATATTTCAGTAGGTGAAATTGGAAAAGACAGGAAGGAGGGAGCAATATGAAGATGTCCCACACTGAGAAGACACAGGTAAACAAAAGAACTGTCAAGAGGTATTTCTATCAATGCAGTGGAGCATTGTGATCTTATTTATTTCAACAATATCTGTTTATATTCAACAGGTGTGTCAGTAGGACAATAGAAGAGATCTTTAATGTGTTGAGATTTTTCTTTTTATGTAAGCACTAGCTCTTCCCCAATTATCCTAGTCCTTTGGTTTTCAGAGCAAACATTTCTTAGCTTTTCTTTCCTAAATTCCACAAATAGAAATTGAGGCTCTACTAAGTACCAGGCCAAAGGACAGGTAACAGTAAACTCATGAAACTTAATTTTACTCTACAAATGAACAGTTCAAATACCTGGGTTCTCTGTTTTTATGGAGATCCAAATACTTATTTAGAAAATTATGTCAAGGTTTTTAAGACAGTCGCTTTCTTGCAATCATTTTGAGCCATATTTTTAGTGGATGTGGAAAGTGCAATCAAGTATATGAGGACATGGAATATCTTTCTTTAGTATTATTACCAGAATACTGTCTGAGAATTCTGATTCACCACTCTCTGTGAGGGTGGTGACACTTGCTTCCTATTGTTTCTGTGTGTCTGTTTGTTCATATATGGGTATGTACCTGTGTGTGTGTGTGTGTGTGTGTGTGTGTATGTGCTTCTTGCATATTGAACATGAATATCATCTGTTCACAGTGATTCCAAGAAGAGAAATTCACACTAGTGTCGAAAAAAAAAAAAAAAAAAGCAGGGATGGTGACCTTACTTCTTAATTCAGAAGACACATTCCATGCTGTGTTTTCTAATACTTCTGGATCATAGAACCATGACTTGTTTTTTTCATTTAAATTGTTTTTCCTGTTGAGTCCAGGTAGGGCAGGGGCTCTCCTATGGCATGCATGTTAATAACTGAGGCACGTATCACTGCCCTTGACTTATGTCCTGCTTTTTTCTGAGTTAAACCTCTTTCCACCCACAGTCTCCTTCATTCTCTTCATTGCTTCAAGGAAAACTATTAAAGCTCTTATAAAACACTACGGCACCTGAGAACTGACATTAGTGAGAACTTCATCTAGCTCCTTTTACTGGGGCTCTTATTTTGTGGAGGGGCAGAGGGAACCAATTCCTCTGAGCTTTTGAAAGAGAGTAAAACCACTGAGTGAGTTTTCAAGGAGGATAGAAGGTTGAATCTGCATATCTCATGATCTGCACATGTAATTTGCAGCATGCGTCCCTGTATGGGGTACATGGGATGTAGGTGATATGAATGTGTTCATTTAGTTATATAACAATTTGTGATTGAAGACCTGGGTACTAGGCACAGCATACAAGGATGGCTCTGCCTGTAAATTAACAGGAAGCTCTCAGCCAAAGAGACTGGGAAACAATTTCAGTATTTCTGGAATCAGAGAGCTCTGAGCTCACATTCCAAGCTCTGCCATTTAATTAATGTAGAATTGTGGCAATAAACATAACCTCTGTAGATCTCAATTTTCTCAATGAGGAAGTAAGGAAGAATAGCACCTGCTGTACACAGAAATAATGAAACGTAAATGGCATCCTATATATAGACAGCCTGGAACAAGTGAGGTGCTCAGGAGAAATTCGATGCTTTTCCCTTTTTATCTTGTGATTGGTAAGCGGCCTCTTTTATATCCCTAAACCTTACCTTATTTTGATCAATAACAGCCACATGGAGAGATTCAAGTCTCCTAGAAGGAAGACCTGTTGGCCTTCATCTTCCAACAGACATTTCATTGCCTTAAAAGGAGCTCTGTACCTTATGAAAAGGAGAAAAAGATGCTGCCTCAGACTAGGGTGAATTTACTGCTCTCTGTTCCCTGTAATTTAAAGGGTTAATTTGCTTTCATCTTCCTCCCACTGAGAACCACTGTTATTATGGGATGCAGGTTCCCACAAAAATAAAGTCAGATGCCTTTTTCAAAGCATAAACTGGAAAGACCATAGTTAATTTCCATGAGTCAAGAGAGCAAAACCCTGGGCAAGTCTTTGAAAATTCACTTGGGACACTTTATGTCGGAGAGACGGCACTTAAAAGACAGGAATCCCATACCTTGGATTCACTTTCCCATGAAAGGCTGCAGAAGTTACTACAGGAAACAAAAAGCAATTCACCTTTACTCTAACCGACCCTCCCCTTCTTCTCCAACTTCCTCCCTCCCACTGCAGTCTGCTACCTGAAAAATTCTAGCATAGCGAGATAACTTGCTTTAACACTTTGCTACTCAAAGTGTGGTCCATGGACCAGCAGCATCGAGCACACCTGGAAGCTGGTTAGAAACTCAGAATCTTGGGTACCGCCCAGACCTGCTGAATCAGAATCTGCATTTTTACAAGATCCCCAGAGATTTGTGTGCATCGTGGAGACTGGGGAGCAGTACTTTAACTGGCATCCATGTGGATGGACCATATCAAAGCTGCATTTGCTAATCTTGGATCAAACCCATTTTTATTGTGGATCTTTCATTTTTATTTTCCTGTTATAAAAAATATTTGATAGAGAGGAACACCCCAACACAAAGCCCTCCAGGTGGAAAATTTAGTCTCTGAGAGTTTTGGAGCTGTAAATTGTTAATCAAAGGTCTTAAGTTCTATGTAGGCTCACTGAAAACCTGCATGTACATGTAGTGATATTTGCAGCTTTATATGTCATTGTCTAATGGGATTTTATCACTCTTACCTGTGAGTAACTCAGGCCAGCTTTGAAAACCATACTTTTGTTTTCCTGCAGGAACAATTTTATATGGGCCTGTGGGTAAAATGAATACTATTTGGCTGACCTAAACCACATCAAGAAAATTAAAGGGTGAAAAAAATTCACACAAAATTTAAGCACAGTCAGTAGTTAGGGATACCTTTTCTTTAGTTTCTACTTTGTTTGTTTTTTTTTGTTTTTAAACTGAGGCAGGAGGCTAGGCACTGTGGCTCATGCCTGTAATCCCAGCAATTTGGGAGGCCAAAGTGGGTAGATCACTTGAGCCCAGGAGTTCCAGACTAGCCTGGGCAACATGGCAAAAAATCTGTCTCTACAAAAAATACAATTAGCTGGGTATGGTGGCACGTTCCTCTAGCCCCAGCTACTGGGGAGGCTGAGGTGGGAGGATCACTTGAGCCTAGGAGGTCGAGGCTACAGTGAGCCAATATCGTACCACTGTACTCCATCATGGGTGACAGAGTGAGACTCTGTGTCAAAAAAAAAATAAAAATAAATAAATTGAGGCAGAGATGTGGACTAATAAAATATTGGTGAGTATGAAAAACATGCAGTTCACATCTAAATATAATTATAACATGTAGAAATTCTGACTCATTTTGCAAACACCATTTATTAGTAAAGAAGTGTTGAGAATCAGCATATGCACATTTTTTTTAGGAGGCCTGTTGAGGAATGTGAAATAAAGACTTTTTGCCTTCCTAAGCTTCCTGTAACTAGAGGACAAAAATGTGTTTCTGGCTCACCATGACCCATTACGCAGCAGAGGAAGCCCTATGAGTGCTGTAGGAAGAAGGAAGGTGGGAGCGAGAGAAGGAGAGCTGAATCCTACTTGAGTACCACCAGGGAAAACATGCATGTGTCCCCAAGGGGAGTTATTAACCAGAGGCTCAGCTCACTGGCTCTGCTAATCTCCTGAGCCTACACATTACACACCCTGCACATTTCCAGTCACTGGGGAAAGTTCGAGGAAGCGAGTCCTCTGGTTGGATTGGGGGCAAACCCCTTCTATTCATGGGAAATAGGAGAAGTGAGTTGGTGGACATGGCCTGTGACCTCCTGACAGACGGTCTCTTCACACTGTGGCATAACGTGGCCTGGTATGCTTTGATGGCCTCCCACGGTGGTCGTCTTGATGTGTCTTTCAGTGGACACTGATTTTTATCACCAATCCATAACAAACTATTTTGCCGACAGAAGGAAAAGGAGGGAGGGGGAAGGGAAAAGCAGTGGGTAGCTGATAACAGTATACATTTAGAAAGGGCTTAGAAAGACTCGTAGCAGCATGCTTCAGGGGCTCCATCTGACTGCTAGCTAAGCTGCTTCCAGATTTTCACATGGACACAGAGGGACACTGAAGTCTACTCTGTGCTTCCAAGTTCCTAGTTATTAAAGAGAGCTCAAAACAAATATGTAATGCTCAATGTTTATATCAATTTAGACATGCATAAAGTATATGTGGATAATTTATACATGTAAAACTCATGGAACTGTAGGCTTTAGATCTGTACATTTTGCTTCATGTAGACTATCCCTCCTTAAAAGTAAGTACATAATTTAAATAACTTAGCTGGACAGGAATGATGAAGGGAAGGAATGGGGATGATGTGATATACGATTGGCCTGTCATTGATAACTAGGGTACATGAGGGTCCGTTTACCATTTTCTCTTTAAAACCCGAGGGCAAAGAAGCAGTTATTTTGAAGTCAGAGGGTGGTTTACCTTTATAAGGGAGGGAGGGGTGGTGCTCGGAGGGGCGCAAGGGATGCCAGCCGTATTCTGTTTCTCGACCTGGACAAGTGGTAACATGGGTGTTTGCTTTGTGAGAAATCATGAAGCTCCACATCATTGTTTTCTGTATATATGTTGCATTTCACAATAAAAGTTTCCCAAACTTCTGTACCTTAAAAGATACTATAAAATACACATATAAAAACACATGCCTACAGATTCATGAAAGGATTGTCCATCACGTCGTGCATTCCTAGATCCTGTCTCGTGCATAAATTAGAGTACACAGGAAAGAGTTGAACATAAATATCCCCCAGCTTTCTGCCCAACTGATTGTCTCTAAGAGAACAACATAAGCTCAGTAGTCACCCAGAGGGTGGGGAGAACTTAACTAAAATATTTTTCATTTTGTCGGTATTTTGAACCCTGGGTCCCTCTAATCAAAAAGCTCACATCTTCCTTGCAAGTAGGAGCAACAAGTGTTCACACATTTGTTCTAAAGCAGATGCAGCTTTCCTCAGGATCTTTGCACCTGCTGTAGCCTCTGCCTGGGATTGGCTCCCACTGAAACCTGGCAAGTACTTCTTCACCTGCTTCAAGATTTGACTAAAATCATACTTTCTCACTGCTAAAATCTAAAATTGCTATGACACGTTTATTGACATTTCCTAACCCCCTTCTCTGTTTTAATATTCTTCTTTGAACTTAAAAATTTTACTTCATTTTCTCTCTCCCTGTCTTCTCTCTGCCTCTGTTTCTCTTTTTGTCATGACAGTCATTTTTGTCAGTTTGGCTCACTGCACCTAGAATACTGTCTGGCACATAGTAGGTGTTCACCAAGCATTTGCTCTATTGACTGAATAACTAAACTGAGAGAAGCAGGAATATATACTACATTAAAGTCAGTCATTGACATAATAAACTCATTGTTTACAAATAGACTTGTTGGCTTAAGAATCAATTTTATTTTATTCTATCATATTTGTTATTGTTTATTTTGTAACTGCTGCACGTAGATTATATTTTGCCTGTTGTGCGTTGTGGAGCTTAACCTGGGATCTTTGTTTGTACCATGCATTTAATCAGAAGTCATGTTTGGAATTCCAAACACCAACATATGAACCAGTCCTTGAAACACGACCTCTTTATGTGGCAGAACCGTACCTCAAGCGTCCCCCAGGTCAGTCTGTGGATTCCATGGCCACTCCCAAGATTTTTACTGCTGACAATTATTACACCAGTTAAAGGACATATTTTCTAGCTGATATCCTGCTGTTGTTATGAAGAGGATTGATTCTAATTGCCAGTTTCCTGCATTTTTCTTCAACATTTAGCTTTTGCAAGAAAAAAAAATCACTATGAAAATTCCACACGTTACTAGGATTACTTCACAAACAGATCATTCTTGACTTTGGAATTCCCCCCAGACTCCAAACTGAGCTTATCCATACAGAAAGCTTGAATTCATTTTGAAATGGGAGGAAAGCAGGGCAAAATGTTATCTTTGAGCTATGCCATTTGGCTTCCAGTGGACACACAAAATGGACACACATCAAATGTCAACCAGGCTGATAACAGACAGGAAGCACCACTGTGGACACAGCAAGCCCGACCTTCACTGGCAGCAAAAGCCTGGGTGAAACACAATTTCTCTGACCCTGAGTCACCCCAGGCATGAACAAAACTAGGCCTGCAGGTGAGGATGCTGGATCATGGTGCTTCAGTATCTAAGGACATCACACAGAAAATCAGACTGAAGTCTGGCCAACAGGGAGGGCTGAGTTTATTTATCCATTGCTGAGAGATGAGCAAGGCAGAAAAATAGGCCCTGGTTCCAAGTCTTCCCTGGCTCCATTATCAGGAAAACAGGACAATATACACAGAAATAAAATACAGAAACTTCCTCTTCACCATCATTTTGAATCTGTCCTGGCACAGATTTGCACTGACTCCAGCTCACAGCAGATTCAGTATGAAATTTATCTTCATAGGCATGTGACCCTTGGCTGCCAGTAGGCTAAAAAATATAGCCAACAGTGGGGCAAATAAAGATAAAGAAGTTTGTGGAGGACAAATACTGCATTTCCTACACACGGCTTTGTAATTCCCCTGTCCCAGGAATGAATGGAAAACAAATGGATACAGTCAGCCACCAGGGAACCTCTGGTGTGTTATCTGCACACTACTGCTTGTGAAGAAGTAGATAATCATTTTGCATGAATAGGGACAAGATGACTAATTGATATTGCTATGAATAAATGATGTACAAGGCAAGCAGACAGAACTTCTCATAAAAATGTCGTTTTCAGCTCACAGGCTTTGTGCACTGAAGTCCTTGTTCTATTTTCGTATTCAGGCAGCTTTAGCTTAAGGGTTCAGGAAATGATTGCGTGTACATATGTGTGTGTGGTGCATGTGTGAATGATTTATGATTTTTAAGTGTCAGACTTATTTTTTGCCTGCCATTCTTTTTTAAACACAAGTTAGACTTTTAATTAAATCACATATGTTTTGAACTCAATATGTATGTATATTTTACTTTGACTACCTTTAGGTTATGGTTTAATAACTTTGGTCTTAGTTTGCGCTGGTGCGTGTTTTGGCCTTTCTTATTAATGTCTTGCATTTATACAGCTGTTTTCAAAGCAGCTGTGAAGTATTTTAAAAATTTCTTCCCAAGGGGAAGAAACTTAGTATAAGCAATATAAAAAAAGAAGGGAGAAAAAAAAGACAAACATTCTTCTATGGAATTCTGTCAGTGTATATCAGATAGACCAGGAAATCAGCTAAGCTAAGCAAACATAGACATTTTATGTGGCAAGAACAAAGTAATAGCCTTTTTACTTTAATAAATCACTGTCATAATTGTCCCAAAGTGATTTGATTTGAGAAATAGACTTTGGGGAAGTCCTCCTTCCCAAAATATCCACCTTATCTGCCGTTCTCTGATAGCTGAAATTCCACTGTTTGAGAGGGTTGTATAGAGCTAAAGGGTGCAAATATCTCTGCAAAAGGAGGAGCCACTGAGATATTTACACTTCAGGGTGAGGTGTTTAATCAAATGTGATAAGTAACTGGGATATGTTTTTCTTGTGAAGCCACTAATTCTAAGAGGGGAGGGGTGTCAAGATAGTGGTGGGAAGGACTGACAGAGAAGGTAAGAAGGTGTCAATGACAAAAGTCAACATTCTCCTAATATGTTTGGGGGACCGTGTATGTTGTATCCCTTGTTAGTCCTTTGGTCTGTGCAGCCTGAGAGTCTCAGTTTAGTTTGAACACATAAGTATCTTGGGGTGTGGCAGCTTTTCCCAATGTCCTAAGTTTTTCCCTCACCCTAGAATTTCTGAAGTCAACCTCCGTTGTTAGAAAGATGTTCTTGATGGATTCTTCTTATGCGTGTGAGCACGGAGGAGGCAGAAGAAAGTTTGAGAATCACTTGCAAGCTTATCCATTTGTCTATAGTGAAAATAATTTGAGCCCTGATGGGACATTGCTCCCTGGGGCTTCCTAGCTCTGCGCCACTAAAAGAACACAAAGGAACATTGCAGTCTTCATTTTTAGAGATGGCCTCTGCCTCTCCCATGGGCAACTACCGTCTCTGTCCAGGCCACCTGTCCCTTTCTCCTGCCATCCGCATGCTACCCCATGGCCAAAACGATGGCAGAGTTGCCTGTGGGCATGGTAGGACTTCGGGTCTTTTCTCAGAGAAGGTCAATGCCGTGGTTGTGTGGTGGAGAAGCTTCAGGGGTTATGGGCTTAAGGTAGGTTGTTGGCATTCTTGAGTCTCTAGGAATCCATCTGTTAAGGGGAAATATACACACCCCACGGAATTTCAGCCAATCACATTACCTCAAGATTTTACTATGTCTATGAACCACATATAGAATCACTTACACATTTTTAACTTCCTTTCTTTCACTTTCTTTGACTTTGAAATAAAAACTGAGCTAATCTCACTTCCACTTTTTCCTTCAACGTACTTGCTACCATTTTAATTTATGTCTATTTGTGTGTCTGGCACACTGGACCTGATCAATACATATTTGTCAAATTTTACTTGTTTGGTGTTGTCAAAGAAATATTTTCAAAAATGTAAAATGCGGCTCACCTACAAATATAGAATGAAAATTGGTCAGCTAGTTTTTTTCAACTCTATTATGAGGGCATCAATAAGATGAAAATCTAGTTCCAAAGATAAATAGAAAATCAGGTTATGTGGCACTTGACAAAGAATACTGAAATAAGATGTCTAGGTTAGATACAAAACTGGCTAATGTCCCACAGGACAATCAAATAGTCACCTTAGGCGTTATTTTTTTTCTACCCGACAGAGGCTCTTGCATCTTTACTGGATGAAAATCACCAACGTCTATCTTTGCCACTACATGGCGAATTTAATGAGAACAAAGATTGTGTCTTTTAACTTACACACATTAACTAAATTTACAAGGAAACTTTTGTTGTATCCATAAATAAAGAATGAGTATTACTTTCCATCAATGGAAGGAAACATGCTATGGTTGTCACAACAGGACAGATCAGCTGAAAGATGCAAGCAAAAGATAAAGGCTTATTTAACATTGATAAAGCATACAGTTTACTATGCACAGATTTGCAAAGAGGCACAGAAAGCCTCTGTTATGGAACGTCACACTTTCCTGGCCTTTGCTAGTCACAAAGGTGTCCCACTGCTAAAGACATGATCAGGATGAGGATCTTATTAGGTTTTTCAGGGATCAGCCTTTGCCAAAAAATCTTTTTTTTCTCCTTCTACTCCTTCCCACCAACTCTATAGGCTCTCATGCTCTCATTACCTGCCTGCCTGTCCAATAGGTGCACATAGCTGAAAATGTGTGCTTTGGGACACTGGTGGAATATCTTTCTCCCAGGTGAACCGTGCCCTTATGAAGCCCGAGTTTTAGGCCTGATGGAGGTCTATCCTGGCAGTCAACATAAAATCATTACAATGAATATTGTCTGCCAAAAGTTCTCAATCTAGAGTCTGCTGTCTCTTTGTTATAAAGGGAGATTAGCAAGTGTTAGAGAGGTGTTGAAGACATCCTAGTGCCACACTGAGACTTCCCCCTATGACACTAGCAGGGTGACTGATGAAGAATAAAAAGTGAGTAACCTTTTCACTAAGTGACTGTAATTTTTTTTAATTCCACATCTCTTTCACACATTGGGAGTCATAGGGCTAGAGATGAAGGCTAGCACCCTCAGAGGGCCTAACATTCTTGTTTTCATTTCTCTGAGAATAGCATTTTAGAAATGAAAGAGATGTTAGCAAGCTTCTAATGCAAGCCTTTGGACAAAAGGTTCAAACATAGAATATAGGGACAGAGATTAGAATTCATGACTCCCAACTGTAGTCCAATGCTCCTACCAGTCTAACAATGGCTTCTCTTAGAAGACTTAAGGGTAGCTTTGTTTTCTCTCTATGGAATTATGTTTCTGGGTCCATTGCTCTAGGCAGAAGAGACTGGATAGGTATTAGGACTAGATGCCTTCTGAGAATGTAGGCAGAGACCTAGCAGTAGCATTGAAATAGCCTTATTAAGAGGAAGTACAAGCCTCTGGTGCCGGAGCTGCTCAGATTTTGTTTTCAACCTCCACTTCTGACTATCTGTGTAATCTTGGGTAAGTTATTTAGCACCTTTGAACTTCTGTTTCCTCGTCTGTAAAATGGGGATGATATTTTGGCTTCTCTCCTTGAGTTGTTGTGAAGATTAGATGAGTAAAAGAAAAATGCTTAGAAGAGTGCCTGGCACATTGTCAGCACTGTAGAAATGCTGGCTGCTGCTGTTACTGGCCTGCCCAACTCTCTGATGGTTTCATTCCTCCTTTTGTTCTCATTCTACAGATAATTCTGTTGGTTTTAGAAAATAGCATTTATACAGTACTCAAGGTCATATTCTTCCCCACATGTTGGCAGAGGAGCCTGGAAGAGAGAAAATCTCCAGCTTGCTCGTAGAACAAAATTCAAGTAGATTGTGTTTTTGAAGGGGAAACAATGAATATTGAAGGAAAGAAACCCAACTGGCATTTGTTCCAGCAGGACAAAGTGATGGCAAGCAAGCAAGAACTGGGGATTATAGTAAACACGCAGAAAATGGCTGAAGGCAGGGCAAGATAATAAAGTAGATATAAAGATTTAAAAAGATTTTAACTGAATCTAAACTTAAAGGAAATTTAAAATTTGTCTGTAAATAAAAAATAAAAGTTTTGGGATCCTTAATTAATGACCCTCATAAGACACCCTCAGTAGGAAATACCAGGATTCCTCCGTCAAGCAAATGTTCTGATGGTCTCAACCCAGACAGCAGCATTCAAAATTTGGATGCTCATGATATGATCTTCTGGTTTTTAGCTTCTGATTTTAAGGAGTGAATTCAGACAGATCTTCTGATGTAAACAAAGGGGTTGACTCCATTTAAAAAAATTATTTTGAAAAACATTCAGCTATAAATGCTGTGTGCTAACCCCTATGGTAAGAGCTCGCCTCAAGGAGTTTATAATCAAGTAAGTAAAACATAGAACACATAAGTAAGTAGTGACAATGTTAAACACTTCAACAGAGGTGAACATAGGGTGTAGTGGTCTATTTGTCATCAAACGTGGTCCTAGAGAAAGAAAAGGACAAGATCACAGGAGGAAAACCCTGACACTCTGTATGCTGGTGAGACACTGTTTTGTTCAGTTTTGAGAGTACCATTTTAAGAGGGACATTCCAGAGGAGGAGAAGATGGATGTTCATAATAAAGGAAAGTGGCAGTGTTGATACTTAGCTAGGGAAAAGATGAGGAAGGGGGCCCTGATATCATCAGGAAGGCAAATTGGGAGAGTATCATGAAGAGCATCATGGGAAGAAGTGGATTCTATCTCTATTGGTTTGCCAGGATGACTGGATGGAAATAATAAGGAAACAGCTTTGAGCATATTATGATAGTCTGTAATAAATCATGCATGCTACTGACAGTGGCACATGATGTATTTTGAGGTGGTGAGCTCCTGACCACTAAGGTGTTTCTTAATAACCACACCAAATGGCTGTCAGCCAAGTGATCTTACTATAGGAAAAATTTGAGAACTGCTTCCAACTCTAATATTCTCTAACTAGTAGAAAAATCAATTCAAAATAATTTTTTATTTAAAACGATTCTAAAAGCAGATCTCTTCTACAAAATGATGCAAACAGGCGTCATTTGGAATGTAATCATCAGCCAGAAACATTTAGACCCAAATTCTAGCCCAACTTACTAGATAAGTGTGTGATTTCATATAAGGACATTCTCAAACAACTCTAAATTTAAATCATATCCTCAATCCATCCTCCCATCCTCTCCCGTGGAGCTATGTCCCCACAGAGCAGCTGCTAAAGTGTTAATTTCTGGAGCTGCAGGGTCTTTCAGGACCTTGCTTGTGTTCCAAGCCTAATTGGTCTTTGCATGAACATTATCTTTTAAATATTGTGTTAAATATTTTTACTATCACCCCTCCAAGGAAATAATTTGGAAGTGAGGAGTGGGAGAGGGAAGGTAGAGCTTGAGGAAGAAAGAGATGACATGAAAGTTAAAGAACATGTGGTTTGAGAGGACAAAGCAGAAATGGATGAGGAGGTATAGAGACATAATATGATGAAA
This sequence comes from Homo sapiens, assembly GCF_000001405.40. Classification (NCBI taxonomy): domain Eukaryota; kingdom Metazoa; phylum Chordata; class Mammalia; order Primates; family Hominidae; genus Homo; species Homo sapiens. The sequence goes on from NC_000020.11 coordinate 11,223,099, forward strand.
GACAAACTATTACAAAAACTGGGGCCCTCCAATTGCCTACCAGCAATGAAATAAACTACTTTCCAGCTTTGTAGCCAAGGGCAAATCATTTGACCACACTAAACCTCAACTTCCTCATCTATAGAATGAGGATAATGATAGCAACCTCACCTCCTTTTGTTGTTGTGAATATTTACATGATCCATGAAAAGTAAGGGTAAAATTTGGCACAAAGAAAGCTGTCATTACTATTGTTATTGAGTGAATCGATGCTAAAGGCTTTGCATGCCCCATATCATTCAACCCTTAGCATCCCTACTCATCATTGAAAAAGGTGGTAACCCCTAGGTAACAAAGCACATGATAAGGGGGCCCACCATTATGGTGGACAGATCTCTACCCTGAGTTTGTGTTGATGTCGTTAGGCCCATTATCACTCCAGGAATCATGGGTGGATGGCTGGGCTGACAAAGCTTTGCTGCTATAACAACACAGGCCTTTTTGATGTCCTTGCCTGATAATTTCTCAGGCGGTGTTGTACATAATAAAAATTACATGACCTGAAACCCAACTAGAGCACACTCAGCAATAGAGAGGCACTGCAGCCAGTGAGGCATCAACACAGCACAAGAGATATGCGTAAAAGGGAATAAAAGGAATAGTTAGTTTTTAAAATTAGCTATGAAAATTGAATGCAGCCATAAAGGCCATTTCTAAGTGATGCTATTCATAGTATCGATTTTGAACTTTATTCTGCTTTTTTTTTAAAAAAATGGAAAGATGGTTAAAGGTTAATTTCAAAATAAAGGTAGATGCAATTGTGGGTAGATGAGGGAATCACGTCCTAGGCATGATTAGTAGGCACAGGAAGAGTTCCTAGAAAGATAGGGAAGAGAGATGAAGGGACTTTGAAAGACATTTCCTAGATATCTTCTGTTCTGCTTTTTAAATTCATCTCCTCACCTAGCTGTGTTATTTAATTTCTTACATACGATTCCACTAGGCCTCAGCTCTGGGAAAGAAGTTATCCATTAAAACCCAGTGATTAATTGATTCAGTGTCCAAGATTGCTGTCTGTCTGGGCCAGCCAGATTTTATATTGATGAAGACTTTAATTCCAAATTACATCTGCACAACACAGTGTTCTCAGAAAAAGAAGGTAACATCCAAAGTGAATGCACCTTCCAGGTGCAACTGCATTTGAAGATAGCGGGATCAAGGCTTCTATCTTTATTGGAATCAAGTTAATTCAAAATACTATCAAATCTCAGGGCTCAATCAATAATAGCTACTTTACTCCCGGGAGACAGGTTTCAATTAACCTTCAAGGAAGCTCACTTTGGTTTTTGTTCTGTGTTTATTTATTTTTTTCTATTCTCTTCCATATTATTAGTTAGGAGTAATGATCTCCCTTTTTCCATATGGGTAGAAAGGGGCTCTTGGCTGTACTCACAGTCAGTGATAAGAGGAGGAGTCAATAATAGCTCAGTAGTGGACCATGTAAGGAGACACTTTGAGATCCGGCATTGTCCTGATATAAGTGAAGATCTTTATTCAAGTACTGATTTTACCTTTCAGGAATCTCCTCTCTCTCTCCACCCTCCCCTAGAAGTCCAGTACATTTATATTGCCGCTGAATTCCGAGCTTTCTACCTGATATAGTGTTTCAAGGTCATCCCCCAAATAATAGACCAATTGTTTCCTCATCTGTCCTCTTTACCATCCCAACACATGCCCAGACATCCATGTGCTGCCCCAAATTAAAGCTATTATTCAACAATTGCTTGGGAAGGATTTGGGCAACTAATTTCGTAAAGAGTACTCATGGCTTAGTCTGACAGGGATTTGCATTGCATAAAAAAAAAATATGTGACATTTAAGACATACAGGAGAGGCTACGGTGGAAGGGATTTTGCATGTGGAAAGTGTTGAGTGATAAGAATTGATCAAAAATGAAATTTAGAGTGGGCGTCTATTGTGTCGTATCAAAGAAAAGGTATTATATGTAGTTAGAAGGCAGAAAGAAGTGGCATTAGGAAACTCTGAAGAAATGCTGTCAGACTTTGTGGAGACAGAGGGCACCCACAAAAGAAGAAAAAGGAAGCAGAACTGAGGACTACTTTGCATTTGTTTAGACACAATTGTAAAGGGTGCCAAGAACATGGTGTGAATCTGAACAAACAGAGTGGGGTGCCCAAGTCAGTGATGAACTGGATGCACCTTCACTGATGATAATGATGATAATGGCTGGAGAATGAGAGAACCACAGGCAGAGGAAAGAAGCAGCAATCAGAGGTGCTGTGACCAGCCTGGAGGTTGGTGGGGAACTCACAACCCCATGGCTCTCCACAAATAATTCTTTTCACTGGTCGCTCCCTTTCTACTCCCTGATTCATCTCATCTCTTTCATGAAAGTGAGGGGTCCCATGATGTGAAACGATCTCTTGTAGCCATTTCTTTTGAAACTCTGCACATTCAAGTTTGGCTTCTAACTAACCAGCCTCTGAGCACCTTCGTGGCTTTGCCACCAAGCAGCTTTTCAGCCACCAGAGGGATTTCATCTACTTAGGCCTTGTCTAATCTACAAATAAGGGTAGACTAATATAACGCAGGAAGGTTAGACTTCCTTCACCATAAAATATGTGATGAGTTTCACAGGTTCTGATGTTTAAAAATAAAAATACTTGAGAGATATTTGAAAACCAAAGATCTGGAGCAACCAAAACAAACCTTTAGGTGGTCCCAGTCATTCTGCTTCTGTTAATGAAATTGTTCTTGGCCATAAATAATTTCTGATTTATTGAAGATCTCTTTCCTATAATAATCAGGCTGAACCCTCATCTCTTGATATGTTGCTGCTATGATGGCATAGAAAGGACCAGAAGTATCAGCCAAAGGGAGAGAGAAATGATGTCCATGATAAAGGTTTTATCTTGATTTTACAATAAGTTTGTGGGGGAAGGAAAGAGGTTTCAGTTCACACTAGCAAGCAGTAATAGTAAATGGTAACCTTTTAACATAGCACTTACAATGTGCCAAGCACCAGGCATACAAGAATTCATTCCATTCTCACAGCAAATTCTATAAAATAGGTATTAGAGCCCCATTTTACAGATAAGGAGACTGAAGCACAGAGTAGTCAAGTAGGTTGACCAAGATTATGCAACTATTAAGAGATAAACCTAGGATTTAAAACCAGGAATCTGTGACTTGATTCAATGGGCATAAGATGATGGTAGGATCATTCACTTTTAAATGTCTTGGTAAATATATTATTAGGACAGAGAAATTTCTCCTGCATGTCAGTTCCCTTAAGATCAGGCTACTAAACATTCAGATTACATTCCCAAACGACACTGCAGAAGATCTGGATTGCTAATTAATCTAAGAGTTGGCACTGTATGGGAAACTAATAAAAAGAGTTCTGGTAAATTCTGTTTTACTTTTTCTGATCTTGTAATTACTCTGGCATGAGAAGTGCCTATAGAAAAAACTATTTTAGAAATCACTAATATATTACATTTAGTATTACTTTTAACTTTAACAAGCACCATCCTTCAAAGAACTCCCTCTGGACAGAGATGGAAAGTGAAGCCAGAGGGTTATAGTAAAGTGACTTCTTCAAGCTCCAAAGTAAATGATGTCACAGAAAGATCAACACTCAGATTTTCTGACTCCAGATGAAAGATTTTTTTATGAACTACATTGCTTCTGTATTTCAATCTCTGTCTCTCTGTCTGTTTGTCTTTGTATCTATATTTCTCCCTCCCTCTCTCCCCCCACTTTCAAATCAATGATCTTAGCATCTGTATAACTCAGAATTTCCATGGGAGTCGAAGCAGAATGCTTGAAGGCATTGCCTAGAGAGGCAGAAGACTGAGCAACCGTGTCCTGCAGATTCTTTTCCTAAAGCTTCCAAGCAGCTCCTGACTGCCTCTCAATCTCATGGTCACTATCTCAACTCAGGACTTCATGAAGTCAGCCCTAGACCTCCACTTCGGGTTCACCTGCCTCTATGCTTCCCCTTTGCCCAGTCCATATCCCTGCCGCTTGCAGTTTTATTTTAACACTCCTCATTTAAAATCTTCATGGATTTTTGTTGTCCTGAGGCTTATTCCATAGGTCTTTGTTGTGCGGAAAGGCACTTGGGGTTTACAGGTAAGGCTAATTTCTGCCTCTGTTTCCCTGTATGCCAGGCTGTCTATATAGATACTTTAACAGCTGTTAGTTTCATCAGTATTCTGAGGAACAGTACACATTTGTGAGAAGTGAGCACAGTGTTCTTATTAAAAACATAAACTTAAAATGTAACAGCCTGAGCTTCACTTCCAGCTCTTCTCCCAATAGCATGGGATGGCTGAAGGGTTAGTTGGAGGATGCTTGGTCACTCTTATGTCTGGCAGCTGACAGGTATCAGCCAAGGGCTGGCTGACTCTCAGCTGGTCCACCTTGGATCTCTGCCACAAGGCCTTCCATTTCTAGCAGGATAGCTTGGGCTCATTAACGTGGTGGTCCTAGGGTCTCAAGTATGCAAGAGAGCAAGCCCCAATGCACAAATGTGTTTTAATCCTCTGCCTGCATCACATTTAGTAATGGCTCATGGACCAACACAAGTCACATGGCTGAGCCAAGATTTAAGGGACATGAAATTGACTGTACCTCTTGATCAACAGGGAGGAATCTTGCACAATCTACCATGCATTCTAAGTTTTAGTATCCTTACATGAATAATGAGGTTGCTAATGTTTGTTTCTGAATCATAAATTTGGAGTGAGAATTAGATGGCATGAAATACGTTAAGTGCTCTGTACAGTACTTGACAACTAAACCGTACTTAATTGATATTATTCACTGCTTACGTACAAATGTGAATCCTGCAGCAATTAAGAAACAAAGAACATTCTTTAGCATCTTGGAAAACCTGTTTTCACTCCATTTTTGCTATACAGTTTTAATTCAGATGGCTTCTCCTTCTCTTTTACTACCTTTATTCCAGAATATTGATGTGTGAGTCTAAAGGATTTACTTGATTTCTAGTGGGGGCCAGGTTTAAACAACCTAGGAGGCAACATTAATATATGCAGACATCACAATGGACCACAATAGGTTAAGAAACTATGGTTGAATTGTGATGATAAAAAGTACTTCAGAATGTCCTTTGGATTTATTGGTTTCATTATAGATGAATTATTTGGATAGGATTTTCGGTTAAATTCACACAGCCCATGTTTTTATTTAAGTCAATTTATCAGAGTTGTGAGAGGCTACATCTGGCTGTGTTCTAAATAGTATGGAAGATATCCACGAATTGGTCTTATGTTAGAATAAAAAAATGGCTGCAGTTATTCCCCTCTCTGTATCCAGACTCTCAGTGTGATTTTGCAGTTCATCCAGTCAAGAGAGGTAATGTCCATTTCCCTACTCCTTGAATCTTGGCTGGTCTTGCAACTTGCTTTGGCCAACAGAATGCAATGGAAGCAATGTTCTGTGAGTTCTGAACCTAGATACTGAGAAGCCTTGCACACTATTGCTCTTGAAGTGAGTGAAGCAGCATCTGAGTGAACAAACCTGATTTTGCCTGCTGGAGAATAAGAAGTCATGTGGAAGAGGAGCAAGGCTTACCAGCCGACAATCAGCCAGCCCTTGGCAAATGGCCTGCCAACTAGGAGGTATGTGAATGAGGCCATCCTAAACCAGTCAGTTCCTAGCCAAAGCAGCAGCTCAACACAGGCTGATGAGTGAGCACAGCCGAGATCAGGATAGCCTGCTGAGCCTAGGAAAATTGCCCAGGCAACTGTGTTTTGGGATGGTTTTGCACATCAGAATCTAATTGACATAGGACTGATGGCTGCAACTCTCAGCATTCTCCTTGGCAGGCTTCATGAGTAACCTGATACCTCATGAGACCCAGATGACCGAATATTCTAACTCGACTTAGTGTATGGATGTGACTTGGTAGAAGAAGAATTAAAACATGTGACAGATAACACGGCGAAACCCCATCTCTACAAAAAATACAAAAAAATTTAGCTGGGCTTGGTGGCGGGAGCCTGTAGCTCCAGCTTCCCGGAAGGCTGAGAGGCAGGAGAATGACGTGAACCCGGGAGGTGGAGCTTGCTGTGAGCCGAGATCGAGCCACTGCACTCCAGCCTGGGCGACAGAGCGAGATTTTGTCTCAAAAAAAAAAAAAAAAAAAGTGCCAGAAAATTCTGTCATCTTTTTTTGTCACAAGCACGGCAGAGGGAGTTTCTATCTGCATTCCTTTTTGTGCATGTATAATACACCCATGGACTCAATACACAGATGCTTCCAATGTGCAAACATACCACAAAATGTTTCTCTATGGACAATGTGCCACAAAATAAATAGCATAATTTTCAGTTAGAACAAACTAGGTTTCTACCTATATTATTATTGTGTGACCTTGAGAAAAATTATTCCATCTCTTTGAGGCTCAATTTTTTTCCAAATGCAAAATGAGAAAAATAATACTTGCTTTACCATATTAACCGGCACCTTGGGATTACTAAGTTAAAGCACAATATTTGTATCCTGGTTTGAAGTTGGTCTCAAGCTTTTTGAGCCTCCTGCTATTGAGAAGGGTAGTCTATGTCCTGTTCCCTTGAATCTGGGCAGGTTCTGTGTTTGCTTTTACCAACAGAATAAGGTGGAAGGGATGCTGTGCCAGTTTTCAGGCCCAGATGTTAAGGCACTGGCAGCTTCCACCTCCTTTCCATCAGCTTTCACTTCCTGTCTGTTGGAACTCACTTTCAGAGCCCTGAGATCAGCCTTTCAGAAATCCCCACTAATGAGCCAGGCATGGGAGGGAAGCCACCCTGGACCTTCCAAGCTGGTCCAGCTGCCTGCCAAATACCAAGAGTGACCCCAGGTGACGTCACATAGAGCAGCAAAATCAGCCAGAGAAACCCTGCTTGAATTCCTGACTACGAGTCATTACATATAATAAGACAAGTATTGTTTTGAGCCACTCAGATCTGCGGTAGTTTGTTACACAACCATAGATAAGGAGAACAATTTGGTGCAGGGCAGGCCCTTGGGACACAGAGTGACTGAGCCTGAGGAGTTTTCCATACCTAGTGCAGGACTTTCAGTGCTCAAACCTATGAAGTCCCAGGTAAAAGGGAATGAGTTGGTCTCCTTAATATGCTAGAGATTATCATTGTGTTGTACAAAAGCGAAATTAAACAACTTTGTGGTAATTTCATTTCTAGCAAAACTGCACAACGGCCACCGTGAAATTTGATACCTTCATAGGAGATGAGAAATATTTCCTGATGGAAATACTGCATGATGCCGTGTTTCATAGAAGGCAATCTCCTGAAAATCAGTTCTACTTGATTTTCTTATCTATGAGAGGCAACTTTTTGTTTAATAGAGGCTTTCTTTAAAACCCTTATACATGAATAAAAAACAGCAGTGTGAGTCCCCAACAGCATTTCAAATTTAAGTATCAGCAAAGCATTTTTACTGAACATTTGAAATAACTTTTACTGATAACTATCTCCCAGGTCCTGCTAAAATTAGTATCTTTTTGATTGTTATTTGGGAAAGGCTTTTATAATGTGTATAATTACTACCTTATTTTTTCCTAATATAAATTGTAAATTTATTTATATCATTAAATAGTTTAGATTCTATTTGTATAACTGCCAAAATAATGCTCTGTGTTGAAAATTTAGAAATATCCAGAAAAGAATAACAATATGAAAATATTTTAAATAGACAAAGGCATTTTACCTTTAACTGCTCTCCAGTCATCGTTAAAGAAAAGAAAAACAAAAGAAATAAAAAATAAAGGAATCTGCATTGCCAATGACATTGGGAGTTCTTTAAGTCTAAAATGAAGAAAAAGTGTGAAAAAAAATTGATGAGAAGAATGATACTTTGATACTTGGGCAAAATCTAGGGAGGATAAAGGACACCAGTATGTGTCCCTCCCTGCACAGCCCCATGCAATGTCAAGATTTCTACAGAAGCAAGCGAGAGGCTCCTGAATTACATACCAGTGTCTTTTAACTAAATGATGGAAGCCCAAGATTGTGAGTGGTTCATTCATGAAACAGAGGGTTTCCCTATAGACTTAGTCCTACACTGCCCAATGGCAGGAGGCCAAGAGACTCAAGGGGAAACTCATCTTTGCAGTAGACATACTAGACAAAAGTATGCCAATATTTTGAACACTTTTGACTTCTCCTGCCAAATTGCTTCCCAGATGGTTTGTAGTGATATAGATTTACATAAACCATGTTTAATGAGTTGCATTAAGTATTATCATTCTTTACATCTTTGCTGATTAGGGCAAAAAATACAGCTTTGCTTTTTGTATTTACAAGTGTATTTTAAAATTAGGAGTGAATTTAATTCATTTTCCACATTACTAAGAGATTTATATAACTTTTTTGTTTCTGATTTGTCTACTTATAACCTATACTTATTTGTGTTTTCAGTGTCTTAATTAAGTTTATATTTATTCACATGTTATTTGCCAAAATTATTCTCGGGTGGCTTTTTTCTCTAATAGTTGTATTTATTTATATTTTTAAACCCTGATTGCTTCTTCTTTGGGGTGATTGGAGAATTTAGCAGAGTAGAGAACTGGCATGATTTCCAGAATGTTAAGGGATTCTGCAGTCTAGGCCTCAGCTCAAATGTACTAGTGATGCCTGTCTGTATCCAAAAACCCCCATAATAGAAAACCTCTCTTGAAATTTCTATTGTTCTATTCAATTCTATTATCTCAAATTGCATAAGGTTTTCACTTATGCAAATATAAAGACACTAACTTTCATCTCCAGTACTTTGTGAAAATGCTTCACACAGGGGCAGCCAGCCCGGCCTACTGGCCAGTTAAGAGTCTGCAACTAACTGGCAGCCACGTGCCCAGGATGCTACTGCAATGGTAGAATACTTGCTTTTAGTTTGACCAGTTTCTCTTTGTTCTTTTGTGGATGCGTATACTAAATGCCACAAAGGAGGGTGCAGGGACTTTGGGTCTGAGGAACCCCTCCTGTGGATGGATTGGGCGTCAGGGGTCTGTGAGACTCAAGCTGGTGTCTGGCTTTATCACTCCTGGAGTCTAGGACTGCACATAAATACCACCCTGTGTTCCCAAGAAACAGTCTGCCCAGTCTGCCCAGCCTGCCCAACCCTCAGGGAGTCTGGCGAAACTGAACCAGCTCATGGTTGCTAGAGAATTGCCTGCTTTCCCATCTGAACTCCCCACCCTCAGCTGGTAGGGTTTTAGGGTGGGTGTGTATTTCAGTTTGTCAGAAAGAGATCAGTTCCTGTGCTGAAAGGCAAGCTCGGGGCAGTATTTGACAGAGCTGGGGACACCAGGAGGGACAATGACCATGTAAGTGGTTCTCACGCCGGACCTGGCATTGGGTGCCAGCTTGCACATTAACTCCTTTGACAGTACTTTCGCCAGTTTACTCAACATTCTCAAGGGATGGCTTTGTCAATTGTTTCTCTGGCTGCTATTTTGACAGTCGATAGCCCCTTGATGCCAGCTTAGGCTGTCTAGTAAGAAAGAGGCCAACGTGAAATTTTAAACCCAACAACTGCTGGATGTGGTGTGGGGTGGCTCCGGCTCTGTTCTCTCCCTTTTTTCCCCTCTCCTGAATGGTAATGGGTCTTTATCAGTGCACTTTTTTCCTCATTCCCCCTGGCTTTTGGGAAGGGGAATCATGCATTACCCTAGGTGGGTCAGCATCAGAGGGGTGTTGAAATTTCCAGTGGAAACTGACAGAGGATGGTAAACAGATGCAATTTATGATATTAAGAGGATTCCAGACAAATGTCTATGTTTGGGTTATTCTTTATGTCAATTTCCAATAAGCAGCAACAATAGACTGGATAAGAATCAGGCTCTGACATAAACAGCATGGCTCCTGGAGAGGGAATTTATGAACGAAATCTCTTTCCTGTAGTCGCATCGACAAGACACACAGACGTCACACCTCCATGTTATTTGTAAACAGTGGCAAAAGAAAGGAACAGAAATAAGAATGTCTTCCTTCTCTAAATCCCCTAGTTACGCATGTATCTTAGCATTCCAGCAAAAGCACGTTCCTGGCATCCCTCTTGTGTCTATTTACGAGTCAGATCCTCTTTCTAAGAACAAATCTACAGTCTGAAACTAGCTACCTTAATATTGCCTTGATCTTTCTAAACTGCTCATATTGCAAATTATCGATACAAGTTATAATTTTGACCCATTGAATCTGTTTTCATTTTAGCTACCACACTAAGCACCATTTTGTATTTTACCAACTGAAACAGTTTGGAAGAAATAAGATGTTCATTTTTCTTTCACTGACTCTTTAGCCCAAATTAAAATGCAAAAAATTGAATGTTTTTACTTATTTTAAAAACATGTTTTTGCTCTTTCAAAATCAAATGTAGTAATTTTTCTATGCTTCTATTTTACAACATAACTTCTGAAAAAATTTTTAGTTCTATAGAAGTATTAATTTAAATTTTTAATTCAAATTAATGCAGATTTTTAAGTATGTGATTGCTAATATTTCAGGGTTTATCATAGTCTACTATTTCAATTAGTAAGAGTAGTAATTGATGTATAATTTTTTATTAGCTTAGAGGTCCCAGAGTTAACATATTTCTGATCAACCTGAAAGCCACAGAAAAGCGAAGGTGCAGAGGTAACTCATTCCAGAATTTAAAATGTCCCTCTTAGTTACTCTCCTTAATTGCCCTGACCACACCCTCTTTTTGGGAAGTAAAGAGAATAACACACAAACCGGAGATTAAGTTATAGTCATCTGATATTAAAGGGGAAGAACATTTTAAAAATGCATTTGCTGATCATTGCCACTTGCTTTGCAGAACCTAATACATCCCTCTCTGATAACATCAAAGGAATTAAGGCCCTCTTTATGTAGCAAATGCTTTTCACAGTTCAATAACCATTCCTGTTGCTGCTATAATATTTCACTCACATTTCCCCATGCTCAGAGTAGGCCTCGGAACTGGAACTGTTTCATTGCTATTGAAAGCACCTTCATCTCTCCTTACCACATCGTACCGCCTTTCTCCAAATATTTGCCAGCCATAATCATTATATTCCTCAGTAAAGTGGAAAAATAATTCCTCTGTTTTGGAGTCTATTTTCTGAGATATGGAGAATAAAAATGACGTGCTCTGGAGTTATCACCCTTTTTCCTCTGTCTGTCTAGAGAGCCAAACCAAGAGGCAGTGGTGAGTGGCTTGACACATGAACCAGAAACAAACAGCAAAAGACAGGAATCAAAAGCCCCAATGTGACTGCAATAGAAACCATTGTTCAAGGCACTTCCTGGGAATTATTTAGGGATTATAGTGTCAAAATTGCTTAATCTGTAGGAAATACCCCAGGCCTTCAATTCACATCAGCAAATATGTATTAAGTGCTTACTCTGTGCCCAGGACTGAGTGAAGCACTTAGGGGAACAAAGAGAAAATATAAGTGCATTGCTGTATAAGCAAAAAGTGTGAGTGGACTCTACTGAAGGAAGTAAAAAGGGAGGTGTGTGCCTCTGTGCATACATTATCTTCTTCATATCTTATTAATATTGAAGGTAGGCCTTCTCAGCTCCACCCTAGATCCCCCTTAGACAAAAACCAAGCAAGAGTTTTTCTGCAGATTGGTTGTTTCAATTATTAGTTTCAGGAACAGACACACTGAAGGTTTTGAAACCTAAGAAGGAGGAATCATTAAAAATCAACATCTGTCAGAGAGAGCAAAAACGAGAGGAGGCAGGACTGAAAAAGAATCTCAGATCCTTAAAAGGACTGTTATGAAGACCTAAGGGGAAAAAAAAAGAAGAATGGGAAAGTAAACTAAATGGGATGTAGTTTGTATGTTTTATTTTAGCAACACCAGAGAGGAAAAAAAAAAAAGACTGATGGATACTCTCGAGTCTCTAACATTTAGAAATGTCTTACCCATGTTTAGTTTTCATTTTTTTATTCTACAAAATCGAAAGACCCCAATCTAATTGTTTTCATTAAATCACCTAGATAACTCTCAGGTTTCTAGACCCATTCCCACCCCCCTCGCAAGGAAAGATTCAGCCAAGCTTGTTGTTTTAAAAGGTTTCTAATCACAGGAGAACCACACTCAACTTTGCTCATTTCCTGTGCCAATTAACAGCCAGGAGTGGTTGTCTCCCCACTGTTACCACAAGGAATTCCAGGGACTGACCCTTTCAAACTTGACTCCCGGTCCCTGGGAAAGTGGCATCAGTTTTGGAAAGAGGCAGGAAGTTGGAAATCCTGAGGAGTTACAGCCCAAGAGCCTGAGAACCAGAGGGGCAGGGCCCCAGGAGTGAAGGAAGCTTTATTTTTATTTCTGAATTTTATTCTGTAATGAAAGTCTGGGTCCTGGGAATAAAACAACAGCAAAAATACCTTGTTTTATTGGGCACTCAAGGAGATTCCTGGGTCTGGTGAGCACTATATAAATCTGCCAAAAAGGCCCAAGTGTCTTGATCCCCAGAATTTAGATGAAGGGAAAGAAAGCTCCCAAGTTTGGCTCAGCAGAGCTGGAGCAGAGAGAGCAAGAGGCCCAGGATTCTCATTCAGGCCTAGGCTCCACACTTACAGCCTCTCTGACTTCCTCAGAACCAAGAGGAACAAAGTGAGAAAAGCAGGCTAGAAGAGAAAGAGAGACAATCTAAAAGAGCCAGTATTCTGATTGATAAATTGGAATGGCTGACGCCAAGTCAGGAAAAGCTATTTTCCCTGCTTGGAATGATTACCCTAGTTCTCTCTGCTTGACTAAAGCTTTGAAGCCCTTCCTCCTGCAGGAAGATGTCTCTGACTATTCCAGTGTATCAATTATCTATTGATTCAGTGATCCTGTGTGATAAACTACCAAAAACTTAGTGTTTTAAAACAACCACCATCTATGAGGTTTCCAAGTCTATGATTGGTCTGGGAAGTTCTGCTGACTTGGGCCAGGCTGGGATGATTACACTGGGGCTCAGAACATGATTAAGGTCAGTAGGTAGGTGCCAGCTGGTCCAGGATGGCCTGGTAGAGAGCCACTCAGCTCTGCTCCATGTGGTCTCTCATCCTCCAGTGGGCTAGCCCAGTGTTGTTCTCATGGTGATGATACAGTTCTCTGGGAGAGAGAGGAGGGCGCAACCTCTTGAAGCCAGATTCAGAAAGACACAACATCACCTCCACTGTATTCTAGTTGTTAAAAGGAGTTGGAATGCCAGCCCAGATAGGGCAGGTATTGAAATAGACCCTACACCTTGATGGGAACAGATGCAAAGTCACATTGCAAATTGTATGGATATATGAAGGTTCTGAAGATTGGGATTGTTTTTGCAATCAGTCTATTACAACCAACCTCTGCAAATTTGTTGAGGCCAGAAATCCTGCATCATGTTTACCACACTGTCCCTTGCTTTCAGTAGCTCTCTAATTAAGGATTACTAATGTTGCGGGACTTTTCCTTAGTTCAGCTAAAGACAAGGTCCTTGTCACACAGCCATGAAAATGTAGGCTAACAGACCATTTGAAGAGTGAGAAAAATGGGATTTATTGGACAAAAAGGAAGAAAGGGGGAACAGAGACTCTTAGTGAAGTGAGAGAGTGTTTCCTGCCTGTGGGCTTCCCACATTGTAGACTGAATTCCAGGTTTCACCCAGGAAGAGAAGGGGCCAGGGTCTTCCCCACTGCAAATGGCGAGGACGTCTGTGGCTCCACCCTAGTGCACAGGCTGGTTGGAATTTCTCTGGGGACCCCTTCCCACCTGGCTATCTCACTAATAAGAGCACTGACTGTATCTCCAAATTAACAATAAATACCTGGAGGATAACAGTTTTCTTTATTCCTGTACCACTTACAAGGTTTAACGTTGGGCTAATCATTTTCTTGCTAATTTTTTTCCGTTGTTGTTTGAATAGGAGTGAAAAATGACATCCAGAAACTCAAGACCTTTTGTTTCCAGAGACACTATTTTTCTAGTATTATGTTCATTTTACTTACTGCCTGGTACTTAGGATTAAGAAATGTACTGAGCCAAGCCCAGTGGCTCATGCCTGTAATCCCAGCACTTTGGGAGGCCGAGATGGGTGGATCACTTGAGGTCAGGAGTTCAAGCCAGCCTGGCCAACATGGTGAAACCCCGTCTCTAATAAAAATAGAAAAATTAGCTGAGCACAATAGCAGGTGCCTGTAATCTCAGCTACTTGGGAGGCTGAGGCAGGAGAATCTCTTGAACGTAGGAGGCAGAGGTTGCAGCGACCTGAGATCGCAGCATTTTTCACTCCAGCCTGGGTGAGAGAGCTTTTTTTCTTAAAAAAAAAAAAAAAGAAAGAAAGAAAAAGAAATGTACTGCCTGGGTTCGTGCACTTAAGAAACCATGAAGACATTTTGGCGTGTAAAATTCAGCAACACATTTCTTTATAATTTTTTTAAATAATCTCAATCCCAATTGGCTAATTGTTTAAATTTATTCACAGATATTTTGGAGGTTCTGATATCCTCCCATAAAAATTAAAATATCTATAGAAAGTAGAGGAATTCTGGGTTCTATTTTGTCACTATTAAATCCCATGTGGTCCCTTGGAGTTTAACAGAGCTCAACTTCTCAGCCAGATATGGGAAGTGGATATCTAAACAGCATCCCCGGGGCACCCACAGCCCTGCCTCTTAGAAGCGTAAGCCTTCACCAGGGCATTGTCAGGAAGAACAGTGTGAGTGCCTCCGCTCATGTGGGTAAAACCTGTGGACACCTATTCCTCTTTGGGGAAGAAAAACTCATATTTCTGTTTCCCCCTTTGTTATCCTCAAAGGCCTGCATCCTCTTCCAACACCCCTACCTCAAGGACACCAAGCTCAAAGACAGAAGAACCACAATCTTCCCATAAATTCTGCCTTCAGGCTGCCAGAAGCTCTTGAGGCATGCTTCGACACAGCTCAGCCACCTGCTTTGATTGTGGGAAGGAAAAAATCTAGGGAGACAAATATCCAAATTTCTATCCCAAATCACCCCGCCATGGCTTGTATTTTCAAAGAAGCGTGTGGTATTCTTCAAAGTGTGCACTAGATCTAGATCTTGTTCTCATCTCCTCCTTCCTAACTTCCTTCCTCCCTTGCTGTTGCTCAGAAAGAAGCAGGTGAATTCCAATCAGCACTGTTAGCTCGCAAAGGGAAGGTCACGGTAGGTAATAATATAGGCAGGCTCATAACAAGTTGTTTGAAATACACCCTAGAACTATCAGATGAAGTAGTGGATACTAAAGTGTATTCTCAATCCCAGCTCTTTGTTTAACTTCAAGTACAGGCCAGCTGTTCAGCAGCCTTGGGGAACAAATGCAGGAATAACTAATTAAAGGAAGATGTTTCCAGGCTGAGTGAGAGGAGGATGGTGTTTTGAGGAGAATGGTGTTTTGATGCACAAATAGTTGGCCTCTGTCATAAAACCTTTCTTCCTCTCTCTGTACCACAACCATTGTGAGCACCACAATCCAAGTGGAATCTCTATAGTCACTCAAGATGTTATAAAGGGTGGTTATGACTCCATTGTTTGGGAGTCCACACAACAGACCTGGCTAGGGGCATGTGCTTCTAAGAGATCTCTTGCACGATGGGACTGTGACTCTCAGGCCTCCCAAAACACGTCTACTGAGGGTCTCCCATATGCCATGGACTTACCCCTGAGTGAACACTGGTGAATAAAAGACACTTGGCTCTTGCCCTCAAGAGCTTACATTCTATGGAGACTGAACCCTTTGCCTGAAACTTTCTTTTGCCAAAATAGCTTGAAAATTTATTACCTAGATGATAGGGTTTGGATCTGTGTCCCCACCCAAATCTTATCTTGAATTGCACTCCCGTAATTCCCACGTGTTGTGTGAGGAACCCAGTGGGGGATAATTTGATCACGGGGGCAGTTTCCCCCGTACTGTTATTGTGGTAGTGAATAAGTCTCACGAGGTCTGATGGTTTTATCAGGGGTTTCCGCTTTTGCGTCTTTCTCATTCTCTTTTTTCCTGCTGCCACCCGTGTAAGACAGGACTTGCTCCTCCTTGTTTTCTGTCATGATAGTGAGGCTTCCCCAGCCACATGGAACTGTAAGTCCAATTAAACCTTTTTCTTTTGTAAATTGCCCAGTTTCAGGTATGTCTTTATCAGCAGTGTGAAAACATACTAATACACTAGAGTAGACATGAAACTGGTGCCCCCTTTTGTTAGACTCTCAAATATGGAGAAAGTCTCCTCTGTTCTCTTCTCCAGGATAGTTTGTCTCCCCTTCTAAGACCCACATCATCTTACATTTCCTACCACTCTTGACTAATTTATGCTTTTACGCCTATTATCACTCTATCAAATTTCTATGATGTTATGGTAAAGAAACAGGAAAGCCTTTGCCTCACTTTTACTTTAAGGCATCGGATTGCAGTAGTCACTGGATATATCCACCATGATGATTTCATTCCCTTTGCTGTTCTCAACGTTTGGAGTAAAGGAATTGTGTGATAAGATTACTATAATGTATTGAAGGAGGAGACATAAGAATCAATGCCTACAGAGGCCAAGCAGGAGATGAAATGATGTGATATGAAGTGAAATTTAATAGGAGTTGGTGGGCACTAAGGTGAAATGAAGGTCAAATGCCCCACATAAGAGGTTTAGCTGTTAATCCCAGCCAGTTATCTCCATGAAGGATTGTGGTCCTATTATAGCCAGCACTTTCAAATTTTTCAAAGGCATACAAAAATCTAGATTTCATGTAAGCTCCCTCAAGTTTTTTAATCTTGAGGAATAATTAAATGTGTTTTTCTTTCCCTTATAAACAATGTGTAGGCCACACAAAACATGTCACTGGATGAGATATGGCTTTGGGACAGCCAACTGTGTCTCCAGAACAAGGAATCTAATGCTGTGCTGAGATAAAGCCTCTATATCTTCTCTTGCATGGAGATGCAGGCCAGTTGAGTAAAATGTGAACCAGAAGGTCCTTTCTCCAGCATGTAAAATCCAGAGAAGGGCCCTATAGCTCTACCAGTCCATATGAATCTGTGTAGGAGGAGGCAAAATATCCCTGAGGCATGGATGTCAATATGCCAAAAATCTGAAGCATGGATGTCAATATGCCAAAATCTTGCTTTGCTCCATCTTTGTGTTATGATTTTCATTGAGGCATTTGAGTTTGATGAGATCACATGTGCACCTTGCTGTGTCTGGATGGACTACCTGTGTACTTTGGGTTGAGCCACCTCAATGTGCATCTGGAAATGGTAAGTTCCTGGGTTTGCCTTCTGTAAGGGAGGCAAAAAAATTAGTCTCACCAGAGGTGAGCTAGGGTTGTTGGCTGTACTCCAAGGAGTAAGACTTCAAGCTGGCTTCGAATTGTTTCCCAAAGCAATAGATCTATTCAGAGACTCTTTTTGGTTCAGTTTAATGAAACCACAGAAAAATTTGCAAACTAATCTCACCAAGACAAGATGATAATAGAAAGCAGACTTTTCTTCTTTGGATGTCACAGCTGATGGGAGCATCTTCAAGGCGGTACTGGAGCAAACCTTGCTTTGTATCCTAAAGGTCTGGGGGAATGTGGAGCTGGCAGGACTCTGCTTTGAGGAGTACACATTACGCATGCTCCAGAGCCTTGGTACTTTATATTCTTCACTGCCTAAAATGCTCTTTGGCTCTCATAATTATAAAGACCTGCTCCTTTAAGTTTTTTATGCCCCTGCACAACCTCCTCACACAGCGCTCCCTTTATGAACTTATCTGCAATAGCACCTGCCACTACACTTCTTTCTCCCATCTGGCTTGAGTTTACTTCATGAAACCTCTCACTACCTTCTGCTGACATTTCTTTGCATATTGCTTGTCTTCTCCACTAGAATATAAACTCAATGAGGGTAGGTATTTATTCATAGATTCACTCCTGTTTTCTAATGCCTAGAAAGTGTGCAGAACTATGTAAATACTCAAAATATGTGGTCATTGAATGAATCAATAGCTTGTTGTGTATATAGTAAGGCGGCATGTATTTTGAGCTAAGCAGATTATGGCTGGGTCTTCCCAAGCATCTTTTTTTCCTGTGTCACATTAGGTGTCAGTAGTGAACACATGTACTTTCCCATATCTGTATCGCACTGAAAAGCTCTCATATATTCTTTCATTTACCTTAAATTTTGTCAGTTTGATTCAACTACTTTTGGTAAAATGATGCTTCTGATATAAAAAAAGGAAGACTTGGCCAGGCCCGATGGCTCACACCTATAATCCCAGCACTTCGGAAAACGCTGAGGTAAGTGGGTCACTTGAGGTCAGGAGTTCAAGGCCAGCCTGGCCAACATGGAAAAAACTCATCCGTACTAAAAATACAAATAAATTAGCTGGGCATGGTGGCATATACCTGTAATCCCAGCTACTGGGGACAATGAGGCAGGAGAATTGCTTGAATCCAGGAGGCAGAGGTTGCAGTAAGTTGAGATTTTGCCACTGCCCTCCAGCCTGGGTGAGAGTGAGAGACTTTCTCAAAAAAATTAAAAAATAAATAATAAATAATAAAAAAGAAGACTTAAAATACTTTTATCTAAGTTGTTCAAAATATACTTGGGCCCTCAAAAGGCCTTTCTTAAATTAATTTGATGGTTTAAGTGTGCATGGATGGAATAACATTTCTTTTCACAGATGAGTAGATCTAAAATTGAAGGAAGATAAATTTGTAGGCTTTAGTGATTATTTGGAAAATAATAGCTTTGGCCATTGGATCAGCTTCCTATCTGTACAACTCACCAATTTCTAATACCAGCATTTCAAGTTTTTGTATCCTTTATTTTACCCATTCATTTCCCTGTCTTCAACACGAATTCCAATTACTTTTCTTTCTTTTTGATAACTGAGGTAATTTTTAAAGCATGTTAATGAACCAAGAAGAAATACTGTTTCTAGGCATTTTCCAAAGCTAGAGTTCCAAGATTTAATGTTACTCTAAAACAAGCAGGCAATGTGAAAAGAAAAATCGAACATATCATCCCCTTCATTTTATTTCCCACACAAATATAAATGTTTTTGAAAGTCAACATTGCATTCCAATACATGCAGGGAGGTAGTGGTAGAAAGAGGGAATTAGAGGATAGCTGGAGCTGGGCAATCACTTGAATGCTGGTTTATGGCAACTCTTTGTCAAATGATATTGATCTTTGGTTCCAATCTCCAATTACTAAATAACGAAATTAGGCACATATTCTTTAAATGACTCTCTCTGTGCTTGTATGAAAAGAAGGACTGGAAAATATACCAAGAAAATTACCATCCCAAATGTGTTTGGCTCCAGCATTCCACTAAAAGAGCTCTTGTTTTTGTGGCAAAAGACTTCCTTACTAAATCCAAAGACTATTTCCCAGTCATTACCTTTCTTCTCTTCTCAGCAATGTTTGCACTGTGACTCCTCTTCCTTTCTCGGTACACGGCCAACTTGTAGCTTCCATAATTCAATGGTCTAGTTTTCCTCCTACCTTCATGAAATCCTTTCTCTGCCTTTGGTACTGGCATCTCTTCTACCCACTCACTGGATGTTGGCTTTTCCAAGTCACAGGTCTAGCTCTCTTCTTTCAATCAATAATCTCTTTTCAGGAGGTCTTAGCTACACGCTTCCTTTCAATTACCCACTTATTATGAGCTAGAGTCTTATCTCCAGCCCATATCTTTCAACTTTTAGACATTTACCCACGTGTTAACTTTTATTAAAAGTCTCAAAGACAATCCAAATCTAACTAGTCCAAAACCAAACTTACAAGCTCATAACCTGAACTTCCTCTAGTCTTTACATTCCAGGTTATGATGCTCACATTTATCCTGTAATGCAAATCACAATTGAATCCTCTCTCTTCTTTATCCCTTCTCCAAACCAACTCCAAGTTTATTTATTAATAAATCTCCATTTTGTTCACTTCTCTCCAAAAGTATAACCACTACTCTAACCTAAGCTATCACTTTATTTTTATGGAAAACTGCAACACACCAAATGGGTCTAACCTCACCTATTTTAGCTCCTACCTTCCCCCAATCTACTCCCTTGGGGAAACTCAAAGTAGACTCGTTACCACCAGCTTCAAATACATGCATGACCTCTCACTGCATTCTGGATAAACAGCACACATTTAGACCCCACAGAGGCCTTCTCCGCCAGGTCTCTGCCCACTCCTCAGGCTTTGTAGTGTACAGTGAACTCTCTCTTCCCCCATGTTAGCCATACCAATTTTTTTTTCTTTTTTTTGAGACAGAGTCTTGCTCTGTCACCCAGGCTGGAGTGCAGTGGCACAATCTCAGCTCACTGCAACCTCCGCCTCCCGAGTTCACGCCATTCTCCTACCTCAGCCTCCCGAGTAGCTGGGACTACAGGCGTCCGCCACCATGGCTGGCTAATTTTTTTTTGTATTTTTAGTAGCGACGGGGTTTCACCGTGTTAGTCAGGATGGTCTCGATCTCCTGACCTCATGATCCACCCGCCTCAGCCTCCCAAAGTGCTGGGATTACAGGCGTGAGCCACCATGCCCGGCCAGCCATACCAATCTTTATTTCCTTTTTCTTAGTACTCCTTTCCAATACAGGGTCTTCCACGTGGTCTGGTGTTCCATCCTTCCTAGGTTTTCTCCCCTATACCTAGTTAACTCTTAGTTTGTTCCTCAGATTTCACCTTAATGCCTACGTTCTGAATTAAATGTCCCTTACTTACCTGACCAAATCAAATCCCACAGCACCTCTTCTTTGAGTAGTTAACTCAAACACTGTTTTATTTTTATTTGTGATAGTATTTATTATTTTTTTGCTTTTTAATGTCTCATTAATTATTTATTAATGTCTGCTCTTCTCATAGGCTGCCAGTTTCATAAAGACAGAAGCCATATCTAGTTTTCCCAGTATTCTATGTTTACTGTGTAGCAGGCACATCACTCATAGTTGTTGAGTGAAGGAATAGCGGGAATGGCAAAGTAGTGTTTACGTTTAAACTTCTTGTCAAAATTATAGGCAGATTTAGGGTCTGTGTATCTCTGGGTCCCTAGAAGAGAATAAAAACCAAGGCAGTGGTTGTGGCCTGGATTTAATGCCTCTGATCCTCAAATGTGAAGATGTTCTGGAACTGCAGTCAGTAGACTCAAGCTGAGAACGGAATGGAGGATCCATCAGAAGTCACAGGAAGTGAAGAGGGATGTTGCCCAATTCTTTTCCTCCTCTACTTTATGAGGAACAGATAATTGTCTATCAGCCTGGTGGATTAAATACATTCTCTCTAAAAGTTTCTTTTCCCCTGATAACAATCACTAGAGATTCAAAACAGGAAACACAGTTTTGTTGATAGGAGTGGAAAGGGGAAGGACACTGAATTTTACTGAGAAAATTGGTCCTAATATCTAAAAACTGGAAGATGAAAAGCATTTACCAAAGGCAAATGTGAAAAGTGGTCTCTACAAAATCTTAGTAACTAACTGCATAAACTTCCTGTGAGCTGTACACATACAGCCACTCCGATCCTGGATTTCAAATAACCTCTCTGCCCTTCCTATAAATCCACTCCAAAATCCTTACACTATTGGCATCCAAATGAGTTCTCTCAGGGTATTTCTTACATTCAGAAGTGATACAAGAAACCTCTGGTGGACTATGTGCAGAGATTTCTGCTTCAAAATATAAAGTCACTGTATACATACTGTTTTTTCAGGGTTAGATAAATAACTGCCCTGATGTTCTTATTTGGAACAAATTGAGAGCAGCCCAATGTAATACATAGGGACATGTCAGTAAACAGAAGACATTTTTTAAATGTAGAAATATAGTGAACCCTTGTACTAGGACTAAACTCAGAATGCAATCTTTCTTCAGAACAACACATCTTGAAAGGTTTTCCCAGTTCTGCAGGATACAGACTCATCCAAGCTCTAGCACTGGTCTTTGTGAATGCCTCTTCATTTCATGTTTTTGCTTTTGACCTGCTGGGGTGACTGGGATGAGAGGGACTGGCTCAGATAAAAATTGCACTGTCCAAGGTCATTTTTATTTAACATATGCAATATTTCTAAAGCATTGTTTTTAGTTGCCAATGTCTAAAAGTTAAAAAAAATTATATAAAATTCCAGATTCTCAATCTCTTTTAAAACATTGGCCTGATGACAAGAATTGTCTATGCGTGTGTTGCACATTTTACTAAGGTATGTGTCCCCAGGGTGCCACAGTCTTCACCACACCGTATTTCCTTCATTGATTTGTCTGTGCTACCAAAATCTATCACCGACAATAGAGATATTTATGACTTTTTTTCCCTCAAATGATAAACAGCCCAAAGTTTAAGCCATAAGGAGTGTATTTGAGAATTCTTAGTTGGCTTCACAGTAGTTTTTGAGGTCTTTTTAGCATATAGCCACTAATGAAGCTCTTTAATGGCCTATGGCTACATCATGTCTTTGTCACACTTTGTATTCCTGGGACTCTACTCTGAACATGTGTCAGCAGCAAACAATTCTCTTGTTCTACCCATTACTAAAGTTAGGAAATAACTTTTAGGGATGACCTTCAAGACAATAACCACTTGTTGGAAGTGGAAGTCATGAGCTTGTCCAGTGGTACAGAACATTTTTCTCTCATTGAGAGTTTTGAAAATCTGTTGCCTTTATGTACAATAGAGATTATAGGTACAATAGAGAGAAGAATGGCATGCATCTCAAGCTTCAATCTCAAGAATTTATCTGGCATTAGTGAGCAGTACAATCTTATCTTCTCTTTAATTTTGTCTTTTTTGAACTAACTTCTCTCATTGTTTGATAAATTATATGGTTTGATTGTGTATGTCACATGAAAATATATTTGAAAGATATTTAGATTCCTCTTTGGAATTAAGTAAAAGAAGCATTTGGCTATAAACATGTGGTAACTGGGTCTGAGGTCATGTACATACATTCTTTTCTAGTTGCAGCCAAAATCAGGTTTGGGGGTTTCTGATGAGCTCTTTTGTGGTTATTGTTATTAAAGAAAAATGGATCTTTCTGCTGCATGCTTAGAAAACCAGATATTATCACCACTTGATTATTTACTTACTGGTACAGCTTGTTTCACTTATTAAAGAAAAGACAAGGTTGAAATTGGATCTATTCAATGCATGTTCGTGGCTTTATGTGTCTGTAGATAATAAGCAGCCTTGGGTGTTTGTTCAGGGTTGACTTTCTAGGCTATAATTGGCATCATTTTGATTTTTCTTTGGATGAGCCCACATCGTTATGGAGTCTGTAGCTTTAAATAAGAAAACACCTACAAAAATGAGAGGGGCAAAATGTTCCCTTTGGAAGCAGTAGGGGAGGGGGCAGGAAGGGGAGGCTTTTGTTCACTCATGGAAAATGGACGTGTGTCTCATGGTAGCCGCAGTTTAAGTAAACATAAACTCTGAACCAGAGATCATACCCGCCATTTCCTCAGCACTAGCAATACCAAACCAAAATATAGTTTTATTTGGCTAACCCCAAAGTAGGATGTGGGTGCCAGCCTTGAAAACCACATGATCGGGTTTCCAGCAGACACCACCAGGGCTATGCTTTTGTCTTAAGCAAGAAAGTCACAAAGGCAATACTCCTTGTAGTACCATCATTATGTTTAGCAAACAGATGCAACCATAACAACAGTTAACTTCAGAGACAACAGTTCACTACAGAAAAAGGTCAAGAGGGTCTTTTACTCTTCATGCGTAGAATCTGAGCTATCCCATATTACAACTCTATTGAGAGAAGAGGCATTAAAAGAGAGACAATGAGAACCTAGGGCATAGGCTCAGGTAGTGGGGCTGGGTGGGGAAAGAATCCTCCCATCTTCTTATGAGTTCTAGAGTCGGCCAATCTGGAATCCATGTTTAGAAGCATCACCTTGACTTCTGTGGAAAGTCGTTTTTTCCAAACAGTAATCCAGCAATGAGCAAAGCATTAAATTGTGATTTTGACATGTCCTCATTTTGTCTTTTCTCTTATAAAGAAGATTCTTCAGGGCCCAGGGTCATTCCAGTCATCCCAAGTTCGGTAAGCATCCAGTCAGGGCTTGCTGTTTCAGAGGTTTTCATGGTGTGGTTTCATTTATTTATTTACCATGAAGCTGTTGTTTTTCTCCCTTCTCTGGAGCCAGGGAGGGAGGGGCAGATGATAGAGTTGGGTGCCCTGAGTTAATGACTAGCCCTATATTCACAAGCTCATTTACTTTTGTCCTCACCTGGCGCCTCAATGCTGCCAATGAGTGGGAATTAATTTTATTGAGGGCCACTCAGTTCCTTAAAAGAAAACTGCTCACTTGGCTGGAAATGCTTTGACAGAAGGTAGAGCAGCCGGTCACATTTGAACACTGTGTCTTCTAGATTTGGGGGCAGAGGGGGAGTGGCAGATTCAGAGGGAGAGGGGACCAAGCAGTCATTTCACATGAGCTATTATGGGGTGGCCGGAATCCCAGCAGAGTCCATCAACAGACTCTCGTGCTAAAGACACAGCCTGTTGTCTCTTTATCTGCCACTCCCCACTAAATCTGTGCATGACCCCCCAGCACCCTTCTCAACAATCAGCTGCCCGTAAGAAGGTAATCATCTTATGGTGAATTGGAGAAGAAGAAAAGACACTCTAGGAAAATGTTATGATAATAGAAAACTCTTCAGTGTTGTAACCATCTGGTGTGCTACGGTGACAAAGAAGCCGATAATTGAGTGCCCAATAACTTCTTTTGGCCTGAGATAATGGGCACTCACCCTGATTTGTGTTCTTCACAAGAGTAATTCGCCATCATTTCACACCACATCTGCACCCCATTTCCTCCATCAATACAGCCTTACACATAAGTTACCACACTTAATTAAGTCCACATCATTCTCCTCCAAAGAACAGAAAAGTTTGAGCAGATCCCCGAGTGGCCGAGAGGCACAAATGAGGTTTTAGTGACTCTTGTTTGGTGGGAGAAATGGAGATTGATGAAGAGCTCATGCCACCAAGGTTTGGCTCCCGGGTGGGGCAGGGTAGGGCTGCGTCTCCACAGCTCTTGGCTGGGCAACAGCTGTGGATAAGCTTAGGCAGGCAGCCCTGTGGCCAGGCATGCTAGGGGAGGGGATGCAGACCCCATTGTCACATAATCTTGCTTTTGAAATTGTGCTACAATTCATTCCATTTGATTTCTAAGGTGCTGTCACCAGAGCATCATTAAAAGTCCTTTAAGAAACTGGAGAATAGACTAGATCACCAAAGGCGGCTTTGTCAGCCCCTTCTCTCTTTCTTTAGTGTGTGTTCCCTTCCAGCTGACAGAAAAGGCAAAGCCTGTAAGCTCAGGACAATTAACAAGGATAATTTCATTTTTCTTTAAACAACAATGCAAAGTTACTGGGAGAATCAAAGCAATTACTGGGAGAATCAAAGCAATGCTCGCTGTAAGAGAGAGTTTTAAAAAATCTTTATTTCACCATCTTCTTGAAGTGAGAAGAATCATTCCACATTCTTATGGTTGGCGCTAAGATTCTCTTTACTAAAAGGTTTATTAGGGGGGTGTGTGTGTGCATGTGTGAGTTTTCTCCTACAAACCACTCCTAGAGGCTTAAAAGTTTCCTCTTCCTAAGAGGCTTGTAAGCAGCAGACAACAAGGAAGACTGAGCCTAATGAGAAGGGCATTAATCAACCACCCAAGTACCAATGGATGAAAGCAGAGATTCCTCCAGTCTCCCAACTACCTTAGCCATAAGTAAATTAGCAACTCTTTATCCTCCCTTTAAAAGATAAGGAGGGATCCGGTGCAGGGATCTTTAAGATATTTCCCACAACAAGTGTCAAAATACGCTGAAAGCTCCCAGGGGTCCAACTCCCACACACAGTATGCCCTTCATTTGTTTATCTAAATGCTGACAAATTGCAGTATTTTAACAGCCTATCTGTGGGCTTGGCTTCATTTGCATGGCGTGCCCTCTATCTTTGAGCCGATAATGAGGCTCAACATAAAGCCCTCATTGAGGGCTCTGCAGAGGCTGACAGTGA
Organism: Homo sapiens; assembly: GCF_000001405.40. Taxonomy (NCBI): domain Eukaryota; kingdom Metazoa; phylum Chordata; class Mammalia; order Primates; family Hominidae; genus Homo; species Homo sapiens. Next base: position 11,249,105 of record NC_000020.11, read on the forward strand.
TGAATACAGAGCAGGAGAATTAGGTGGTTTAGAGAAGAATATGCTATTGTGTACAGCCCTTATCCCTTTCTCTTCCCTGCTGCTCATTTTCAGGTCTTTCAAGGAAACTGCCTCTATACCCTTTCTAGCTAGTGTCTTTTACCTTCCTTTCACTCTGAAAGGGGACCATCTTCCAAATCGTCAGCTCAGCCTTATGCTATTTTAGTCACTATAATTATGTTCCCATTTTATCCTATGAAATGCTAGAGGTTTCCTTTCACTATGCAAACCACTGAGAAAAGCTGGAAAGCATTGTCCTGGGAACATGCGGCCCCTCCACCCACTGAATTCTCAGATACTCTATTTTACAATGCAGAATCCAGCCACCTTCTGTCGGAAACATTCGGCCACTGTTGCTAGACAGAGCTGTCACTGAGTACGCTGTTGAGATGTGGCTGATGGTTGGGGAAGTTACAGAAATTTAGCAATTCAATTTCCTTCAGAAATGTAGCAGTCTGAAGGTATGTGCTCAAACAGCTAATTTTGGTTAATGGTGTTTATGTTTTTAAATTGAACACAGAGAGGATTTAGCTTGGTCAGAATGAGTGATGTTACATAGGGATTTTCTCTAGGGAAGAGTGAATTTCCTGTCTTGGAAGGCAATCCTCCATGTGATGTGTGACAAAAGAAGCTTTTGGTATAAAACAATGGGCTTATGGCATAATATGTTTGGAAAAGATCTTATGGATAGATGGATCTGACTGATCACTTCATTTCTTCTAAGGGAAGAAACACAGAAGGGGAAGTGGTTTGTCCAAAGTCACACAGCAAGTCTGTGAACTAACCCTTTCTCATGCAAAGGTCCAGGAAAGAACATGATCTTGCTGAATGAGCTCGCAGAAAGATTCACATACGGGTGCACTCTACTGCATCTCAGTTTCTGTTATCCATGGCTCTCAACTTGTTCCATTTTGATATGCTTTGGCTCATAAAATCACTTCTTTTACTAGAATCTTTTAAAAGGATCATCTGTAATTCTCAGACCTCTGCCTCCCCTGACTCTGATTCTGGGATCCAGGATTCATTCTCCCTAATTCTCTAATAATGAAGTGGGTTATCCTCATTTAATCTGCTTTCTTCCTGTTTTTCTGGTTAGTTGACCTTTTAGGTACACACTGAAATCCTAGCTTTTTGGACTTCCCTGCTCTCCCTTACACACTGTCTAATGGGATGCACAAGACCTTGAATTTACTAGAAGTCATACATGGTCAGCAAAATTATGATGCTGATGGCAAAGGGCCTACTTTGCCTAAGAAATGGCTGAGATTCCATCCTACTCTCTTTTTTGATGATGCTGTGGAACTATAAAAGTTTCTTAGAGCCTGTAATCCTTAAATGTCTGTAACAAATTTGTGTCTACGTCCGCTTCTTTTAAAATAATGCCTTTTATTTTCTCTAATTATTAATTTAAATACATGCTCATCCTAGAACGTGTGGAAATTAGAAAACTGTATTTTAGTCCTCACCGTCTCTAGTTCATCAATCTGATCATTATTAATGTATTGCTATGTATGTCTCTTCCCTTTTTCAAATATACCAACATTCTATTCTTACTATAATTGTCAGGTCTACATATTTCTTTCCATTGACATAACTTTAAAAAAAAAACACAAACACTATATAGTACATATTATGGGCCTAAGAAGTACTGTTTACATAAACTGATAATAAATGGCTAGCAGGTCCCATGAAAGAAGGTGAACAACAATAATTTAACATGTAATGATTGGTTTGTATGCAAAGGAAAATGGAGAATTGTTATTACAGAAAAGAACACAGTTATATAATTGCTTTAGTTATAAAGTCAAATGGTTTCTTGTCTTGCATTTTCTGTATGTAAGAATCCTTAAGATATATAGCATAGGGTCAAACAGAATAAAGAGCACATGCTTTCAAATCTTTGCTCCATTCCTTATTATTTAGGAAATTTTCTTAGTTTTTCTGTGATATCATTTCTTCAAGATGGATAACAATGCCTTCCAAGATTTTCATAATAATTTACCATAATGCATTTTAGCCATTTAGCATAGTGCCATTTGCAGAAACAAGGAAGAGTTTCTGCAAAGATAGGAGTTTGATAAACGTGCTTGTGAAATCTTCTGAAATTCATATCTGTGATGGATTCTCATACCTCCAGGATAGTGTTGGTGTAGTCTAAGTCTTCCTGATGCCCTGGGAGGAGACCAGCTGATCAACTTCCATTGTAAGGATGTATTTGCCACCCCTCTTCCGGGGGTCCACCCCCGGAGCTGCTTCAAGGGCCACTGGGAGAATGGTGGTGAAAACCATCTGCCCTACTATGATGGAGAGGTGATTGATAAAATTTTTGCACATGTCCCTTGTAAGTCAATGACTGGGGTCTATCTGTGACTGGATATGTTGCTCCTACAGGCATTCAAGCGGGCATATGTAGGGGTATTTAAGTGCTAATTTTTGCTTCGAAAAGATAGGGAAATTTGCATTGGAAACATTATTAAAAACACAGATTGAGGACGTAACATATGGAAACTAGATAGTAATCCTCACGGTTCAGCATAATAGCACCACTCTCAATGTGGAACTCACGAGAGCATATACATTTACTGATCCCACTTTAAAAAAAATCAAAGAAAAAATCCAAATCATTTGAAAGTGTATAATGCATTCCAACAATGCATTAGTGCATATATAATAATGTGTAGCAGAATGCCTTCCTATGATGGTTAAAAACCTAGTGTTAAACTGATCGAGGGTTCAGTTTATTTCCTTGGAAACTTGGTGACCATGGACTACTTTGAAAATTGATTTTTGTAGTTGTTGACTTAAATATCATATTTTCAAATGTATCTTGCTATGAAGTAAAGCAAAGATCAACATAATACTAAGAGTAGATTCAATGACAAAACTTAGGAGGAGACCTAGGATATAGTTTCTGTTTCATTTTGATCATGTTTGTATGAGACAAATCTATATCTTTCAGATGGCAAATGACACTGTTAGCTTTGAACAAAAAGAGATCTTTACCTGCTGAATCAAAACCCCACAAGTTTTCCTCTATATCTGTTTTCACCTTCCTTAGTAATATAATTTCCAATTCAGCTAGGCAAATGGCTTCCTAAATAAAGACTATATTTTCTAGCATTCCCTGTGATTAAGTGACTATATAATTAACTTCTGCCAATAGATGTAATTGGAAGAAATATATGCCCATCACTGAAAGTGTATTTTGACTTATCTTCTCCTTTTCTAGTTGGAATGTGATAGGAAAAGCAGGCGCTCCCACTCCGCATAGCCATCTTCAACCATGACATACCTCACCAATGATATCTACATGCAGCAGAATGACACAACAGAAAAACATTGAGTTCCCAACACCATGGAACATCGTACCATAATTCTAGGACTAAGTTATATTCAGAATTTTTTAATGTCAAGGACAATATACACCTGTATTTTCTGTTATTAGAATTGTTTGCTTTTATTTTTCAGATTGAACTTAAGCTTGACTAAAATATCCACACTCAGCATTCCCTTCTGAAATTCAATGATTATCAGGTTTTCTGGAATCTTCCTGCAGCAGCATATCAAGCAGTGATCTGTATTATGAGAGTGTATCTGCTGCCTCTTTGTGTGAAACCCAGGGACCCACTTCCAACATTACTTTGAGGAAGATGGGGAGGGGGTGCAAAGCCCATTACCATGTGTTTTCCAGCTTGCACAAAACTCCACTGTGACTCTACACAATTCTTCTGTGCAAGGATAAAATATTTATTATTGGATGTTACCCCATACAAAAATGGCAGAAGGTCCAGTTACTCCTCACTCATTGCTCAATTAGCAGGCACTGTTTGGAACCCCTGGTTTCTGGTGAGCACTGGGATAACAGTATTCAAAATATTCAGGAGACTTTTTTTTTTAATTAAATGAGCTTCATTGGGAAAGTCAGATAAAGATGAAAACCAGGAGTAATGGAAACTTAAACTGAAAAATAGGAATGTAAATTGTAGCACAAGTTTCTGAGGTGGGAAGATCTGGGTGAGTCACAGTGTTAAGAGTAGTCTTACATAGAGAAGCAGAGATGGTAGTGGGCTGTAGAGGTTTCATACAATAAATGGGAAAGAAGATATCAAAAATATATAGCCACAGGAATCCTTTCATTTACTTAACAGCCTTGAGTTTGCAGGGCTGTGCTAGTTGTTTGGATGAAAACGTTAACCTCAAGCAAGTAAACTTACCTTACTAGAGCTTAGTTACCTTATCTGCAAAATAGAGATAATAATAGAGTTCTATCCAGGATTAAATATGTCAATACACGACAAGCACTTAGAATAGTGCCTAGTATGTAGTACATACTGAATAATTACAAGTTATCATTATTGTTGTTATTATTTGCAGAGGAGCTCAATGTCTAATGGAGGTGACACCCTATAAATATTAATGGTAGCGGATTGTAATGAGTTTTATCATAGAAATGTAGATGCAGCACTCCGGAAAACACAGGAGGGGGGAACTAAGAGTTGGGAGGAAGCATTTGTGACTCCTCCCCAGTTAAGTCATATTAGAACTTAGACTTGCAGAGGGGTTCATGTTATAGTTTGACTTGCAAAGGGGTTTCTCCAGATGACGAAGAGCATTGCAGGCTGGTGCGCAGCTTGTGTAAAGGTGAGGAGAGGTTGGCAAGTTAAAAGTTTGGAAAACTAAAGTTTGGTGTATTGGGAAAGGCTGATGATGTTGGGGTAGACAGACAGAATGATGTAGTGGTACACGCTGGTATAAACATAGCAAATGCCAACAGCCAGCATCCATTTTGATAGGGTCACATCTGTTCTGACTGGCTGGTACCCGTGCTGAACTGAGCAAAAATAATGTGGAGGATAATGTGGAGAATGTCAACACAGGCTTTGTAAATCTTGGTTTAAAAAAAATCAGAAATAAGCCCCAATTGTCAGTTCACCACTCTGCAGAGAGACATCACTTCACAAAGACATTTGCTACATTTTTTTGGCCTCTTTATTATCAGTAATGTTCTTGTGTAAAATTTCTTAATATTGTCTAATTAATATTAGATAAGCAATTTGTACTAAAACAAATGAACAAAAGAAAACATAGATGGTGTGCTGTGGCAGAGTCTACACTGTACCTTTTGTTGTCTGAATGATGAGAATGTGCCTCATGGAAAAGTGGTAATGGAAGTGGAGCTGCTCATGGAATTGCCATCTACACTTCCCTACCTTTCCCAGCCAACAAATAATTTTTCTTTCCAATGATGAGTGAGTAGAGACCATGAGTATCATTTCTGGTCATTTACTAAGCTGGTCTATGGTACCTATGTATTCTGTTCCCCTGCTATGCCACCATGGAGTATTATGAGAACACCTTTGTTGGACATGTGGAATGAGTAATGTTTGTCACCTTGATCAACTTTGTTTGCAAGGTTAATTTGTAATCCAGACATCATCTAGCACTACCCTAACTAATGACAGAACTGTTACCAGGAGTGGGGTGTTAGATATCCAAACCCTAAAATATGTAGCTTTGGCTTTGTGACTTTCAGCAGACAGTGATAAAGCTTACCTCACAGGCTGAAACATGGCAATCCATGTTTTGCAGGAACAAAATATTTGGTAAAATTGTCATCTGAGGAACTTTACTTGGAACCAGATGCTGTGGGTTCTGAGCCAGAAACTCTCAGGAAATAAGTCAAAAAAATAGAACCTTAGCATTGCTGTTGCTTTCCTTTGGCTAGAGTTGACAAGGAATCACTGATTTGAAGGGGGTGATTTTAGAGAGAATTTAAAGGTTCATAGAAAAACTTAAATGAAATAGAAATAGCACAGAAATGTGGGGCCTTGTACTGTGGGAAAAACTCTCAAGCCATAGAGGTTGAGATTTAAAAGGGGTTTTAATGCCGATTTACCAATAAGATCTTTCACAGAAAATGTATTTTTTAATGTGACTTTTTCACTACAGCCAAGTCTCTAAATAGCCTCCATTAAATTAAAAGCTAGATACTCATGCTAAGAAGGTGAGGAAATGGGCATTTTAGATTACATATAAAGTGACTTTCAGTGTGATTATTAATATATGGAACTTACTAGAAGTGAATTGGAAGCCTATTGAGTTTTTGAGAAAATTGTATTGCCAAAGAAGCAGTAAACCCTGTCTAAAAACATCTGTGACTACTGAGGTTTTAAACAATTCTTGGTCCCCCAACCATGCATGGTCAGGAAATAGGCTGAGAAAGTTGGGTAGTCTCAAAGGAGGGCATATTCCCTAGTTCCATTACATGTGACCAAGGAATATAATAGACAAAGAATAATTTCCTGGAAAGAGACCCAGGGACACTGAAGAACAATGGGCAAGGGGTCTCCTTCCAGAAAAGAGAATCAGGATCTAATCAAGAAAAATTCTGCATCTTCAGGTTCTCAAACATCTGCCCAGAAAGAATGAGTAGACAAATGGTGAATTTGTGTCTTCCATTATTCCTGTTTTGTGGTTAATTGTGTTCTTCTCCATTATATAATGGAGAGTCAGCAGAAAATGTGTTTATAGGTCATACATTTCTGAACTAAGAGAAACTGCATTCAGACATGATAGAGATATTATTATCTCATGGATATTCTGGATTTTGAACCAGATACCGTAATAAGATGTATCATTTCTTGTGAGGAGGGATTGAGTGATTTCTACATCTAAGCCTATCAGGCAGAATTCCTATAGGAAACAGGAGGCACTCCCAAATTAGGATAAACTGAGGAATACTTACTGACAAAGAGATTAGTTAAAAAAAAATGTAGGTAGAGTGTTGAGGAAACAACAAGGTATACTACAGAAACCTAGGCCATTGTCATCCATAGGCCCAAAGGAGGGTGTGAATGATTACCAGGACCTGGAAGGGGAGAAGACTGAGTCATTTTGTCATGTCAAGAGGCTCAGAAAGCCAAGGTGTCCTCACAGGGAAAGAACCAGGGCATAAATACCCTGACCTCATTCTCCTCCTCCCCATAGGTCTCCTGGGTCTTTCCTTTTAGTAGTCCCAGCTGTAAGCCAGTGGGCATTGAAGCCTTTTTTTTTTTTTCAAGATAAATAATTTATTTTATGTTTTAATATTTTTTATTTCAATAGTTTTTTGGGGAACAGGTGGTGTTGGTTACATGAATAAATTCTTTAGTGGTGATTTCTGAGATTTTGATGCACCCATCACCTGAGCAGTGCACACTGAACCCAATGTGTAGTCTTTTATCCCTTACCACACAACCCTTTCCCCTGAGTCCCCACAGTCCAATGTATCATTCTTATGCCTTTGTGTCCTCATAGCTTAGCTCCCACATATGAGTGAGAACATATGATGTTTGGTTTTTCCATTCCTGAGTTACTTCACTTAGAATAATACTCTCCAGTTCCATCCAGGTTGCTGCAAATGCCATCATTTCATTCCTTTTTATGTCTGAGTAGTATTCCATGGTGTATATATATATATATATATATATGTGTGTGTGTGTGTGTGTGTGTGTGTATATATATATATATATATATATATATATATATATATATATATCACATTTTCTTTACCCACTCATTGATTGATGGGCATTTGGGCTCTCCATATTTTTGCAATTGCAAATTGTGCTGCTATAAACATGCGTGGGCACTAAAAACAAAAATCACATGATCATCTCAATAAATGCAGAAAAAGCATTTGACGAAATCCAGCATTCCTTTGTGATTAAAACCCACAGCAAAATTGGCATAGAAGGGACATACCTTAAGATAATAAAAGCCATCTACAACAACCCATAGCCAACAATATACTGAATGGGAAAAAGTTGAAAGCATTCCCCCTGAGAACTGGAACAAGACAAAGATGACCATGTTCACTTATATTCAACATAGTACTGGAAGTCTTAGCCAGAGCAATCAGACAAGAGAAAGAAATAAAGGGCAACCAAACCAGTAAACAGGAAGTCAAATTGTTGCTGTTTGCTGATGATAGAATCCTATACCTAGAAAACACTAAAGACACATCCTAAAAGTTCTTAGAACTGGTAAAAGATTCAGCAAAGCTTCAGAATACAAAATTAATGTACACAAATCAGGAGCTCTGCTATACACCAACAGCAACCAAGCTGAGAATCAAATCAAGAAGAACTAAACCTCTTTCACAGTAGCTGCAAAATAAAATAAAATACTTAGGAATATACCTAACCAAGGATGTGAAATACTGCTACAAGGAAAACTACAAAATACTGCTGAAAGAAATCATAGATGACACAAGCAAATGGAAGCACATCCCATGCTCATGGATAGGTAGAATCAATATTGTGAAAATGACCATACTGCCAAAAGCAATCTACAAATTCAAGGCAATTCCCACCAAAATACCACCATCATTCTTCACAGAACTAGCAAAAACAATCCTAAAATTTATATGGAACTAAAAAAGGGCCCACAAAGCAAAACTAAGCAAAAAGAACAAATCTGGAGGCATCGCATTACCTAACTTCAAACTATACTTTAAGGCCATAGTCACCAAAACAGCATGGTACTGGTATGAAAATAGGCACATAGACCAGTGGAAATGAACAGAGAACCAAGAAATAAAGCCAAATACTTACAGCCAACTGATTTTTGACAAAGCAAACAAAAACACAAAGTGGGGAAAGGACCCGCTATTCAACAAATGGTGCTGGGATAATTGGCAAGCTCACATAGAAGAATGAAACTGGATCCTCATCTCTCACCCTATACAAAAATCAAGTCAAGATGGATCAAAGACTTAAATCTAAGGCCTGAAACCATAAGATTCTAGAAGATAACATCAGAAAAACCCTTCTAGACATTGGTTTAGGCAAAGAGTTCATGACCAAGAACCCAAAAGCAAATGCAGCAAAAACAAAGATAAATAGATGGGACTTAATTAAACAAAAAGCTTCTGCACAGCAAAACAAATAATCGGCAGAGTTAACAGACAAGCCACAGAGAAGGAGAAAATCTTCACAATCTACACATCTGCGATTGAAACCTTTTGATGCGTTCTATAAATAACTATTCTATGCACAGAGAGCTGGATACAGAATAGGGACAGCAAGTCCGCCGGGGCAAAGAGAAAATATATGAATAACATGGGAAAGAAGGAAAACAAGGGTGCTTCACTGACCAGAATAAAGAAATCAGGCATGTAGTCTTCTACTTACACCTTCTTCCATACATTGACAATTCAATTTTCAGTGGGGAATAAATATATACTATGAGCAACAGACATTACAATATATGTTACAGATTGGTAGGGTTCAAAGCCTCAGCATGGGATAATTGACCTCTGCATTCAGTTAATGAGTGGTTGATCTTCGCCAGGACTCAAAGTTCATAACTTCTTTCAGGTTATCATGTGGCTGCCCCAAGACTAGTCATAGACTTTTCAAAAGTGAGTAGCAGGGAGTAGAGTATATCGAGTTGACTGTGTATAACTACTTGAAGGTGATCACTCCACGTTCTTCACTGCTCCCACTTTGATTTATCATTACATTAATGGTGCCAATTCTTTACCCCTCTCTATATCCATGCCCTTTACCATGTGACTTTATAGTTCTTTTCACTAACAAGATAAAGCCTGTTTTACCAACCCTTGAAAATAGGCCACCTTGCAATTTGCTTTGGCTACATAGGAGGAGGTAAAAGTGATAGTAAGCCACTTCAAGCCTCAAGAACCATGAGAGCATTCCCTAGTTAACCTGCTGGAGGATAAAAAATACCTAAAGCAGAGCCAAGTCATCCTTGTCACTCCAGCTAGAGTCATTATAGCTTCAGCCTGCTAAACTCTACATGTGGGAGCAATAACGGGCAAAATCATTGGAATCTAACCTGCCTGAAGTTTATTCAAGATATTTGACTATATACAGTTATTTTGTATCCATTGAAGTTTTTGTGATCGTTTGTTACACAGTACTGTTGTTGTAGATAACTGATACACTCTCATGTCCCTTAGCCACATAAAATTACAGCTTCATAGGGCTATTGTACTTTAATGACAGCTTTGACTGCAAAATGATTTTCAATTCAATTCTCATGAATAGCAATATCAACAATGCTTTTTTTCTGCTGCCTTTACGAGAGGTGTTTAGACTCTTATTCACACTCAGATTTTTAATCACTTTTTTTCTCTTTTTTTGAGAGGGAGTCTCACTCTGCCACCCAGGTTGGAGTGCAGTGGCGCAATCTTGGCTCACTGCCACCTCTGCCTCCTAGGTTCAAGTGATTCTCCTGCCCCAGTGTCCCCAGTAGCTGGGATTACAGGGGTCCGCCCCCCCACCACTCCTAATTTTTATATTTTTAGTGGTGGAAATGGGGGTTTCGCCATGTTGGCCAGGCTAGTCTCAAACTCCTAACTCAGATGATCCACCCACCTCGGCCTCCCAAAGTGCTGGGAATACAGACGTGAGCCACCACACCCGACCCTTAATCACTTTTTAGCTTTAATTAAACCCTGGCCGAGAATGCATTAGCCCTGGGCTTCAGTTCCAGATCTGCCTTTTAACAGCTTCAATTGTGGGTCAACTAATTCAACTTGCTAGGCCTCAAACTTCTCTTCTATAAAATGGGAACAAACTGTTCTGAGAACTAAATGCAGCAATGTGTGTAAAGCTTTTAGCCTAGTCCTTTATGGTTTCACAAGTTGATGAGACTGAATCACAAGATAAAAGATTGTATCTACTTCTTGCTATCTCACTTGGAGATGAAGTACAGTGTGTAAATTACCATACTAAATGAAAGAAATAAGATAGACTGTACTTACAGTCACAATTTTTATTTCTGCCTATTGTTTGTTGCATTGTTTTCAGGGGAGAACAGTTTTAATGAGAACCAGTAACCCTAAAAATAAAAATAAAGAGGACAAGAGTCCTTAGTTCATTTATGGTTAGTGTTTACATATTCCCATGAGGGCGGGATTGCAGTCTGCTTCATTAAATCAACAAAGTTTGGGGCAAGCAGTGTGCTGAAGCCAGCCTGTACCTGCTGGTAAGAGTCAATTATTCAATTTTCAGTATTTTTTTAAAAGCCAGTTGTTACATGCAATTGCTATTAAAAATTTAATTTTTAAATTTAAAATGAAATAAGTTATATTAAAAACAAAGATAGTAAATCCTCAAAGCTTATTGCTTCCTAATTATTTTACTATGTTTTGCTATTACCCATGCTCTTGAGCTTATTTACATCAATTGTATCTGCATGGTGGAAACACTACATAACAGTATGTAAACAGGGAATCTTTTCCCCACTCAACCTTCAGTGTTGCCACACTGGTTGATTACAAGGGCCATAGAGGGAGTATACACCAGAGAATTCATCAAATTCTACAAATCATGTTTTTTTGTTGTTGTTATGACAAACAATTCATCAATGTGTCCAAGAATACCTTTGGGTGATTCTGCCAGTTGCACTTAGAAAGACATTACTGATTTTGCACTTGTTTAGAAATGACATTATCTCCTATCTACTTTTGCTATGATATTGGGAAGTTGGCTATAACTATACACACTTCTTCAAGAAAAAATAGTCTTCTCCAACAATCTACTGATGAGTCAAACACACTTAAGAAAAAGCCATCAGATTTAACTACAGAATGGGGTCATTGTAATTCTTAGCTACGTCATGGTCTGGCAAGGGATGGAATGAGAACACTATAGCGGGAATGAGGCAACCTTGGAAACCTGGTACAAATATTTTCTGAGGAGGCTTCCTTTAATCTGACTTGTTGGCGGACTGTGCTGTGATGGAGGCAGAAAACTAGAAGGCCAAGCCCAGCTCAATTGCCTGCTGTCTGGTGACCTTGTTCAAGTCACTTTCACTCTCCTGCACCTCAATTTTACTTACCTAGAAAATACAAGGATCATATAGGTAATATGTAGGATCTTATATAGCTCTCAAATTTCATGACCTCCAGCTCATAGACGAAGAAATCCAAGAGAAAAGAAACACTTCTGAAAGACAGTCCATTGTATCTTCTCCATTATCTTTGTTGACAAAGAGAATTTCAGGGGGATGTGGCCAGTCTGAGAGGTGCTGTACTTTAAAGGAAGAGAATTTAATATAAGGCAAAAGATTTTTCATGGGGAGATTATGACCCATGCCTTGTAGCTTCTTACTTTGTTACAGATCACGTTGAAAAGAAAATGTTGGCACTTTAAGTTCCTGTACAATTTTAAAGAATGCACACACAAATTGTGCTTCAGCAGGTGACCAGAAACAAGCTGTTTTGTTCAAGTGTAGAGATTGTTGATCTCTGGAAAAACATCCCAGCAGGGGGTAGGAGTGGCAGAGATGAGAGAAAAGGGGCCTCAGCTCTTGTTGGGTAAACAGTTACCTGGCCTGGTCAGTCCTGGCAGTCTCCTGCTTGCCTCCCCTACACTGCCCACCCTCCTGCTCCGAGGCCAGAAGCTACCACTGCCTCTGCCTCCACTTGGCTGAACTGGGGCTGGGCTCTCACCTCCTCAGAGCAGACCAGGGGGCACTCATCACCCTGAGTCAGATACAAGCTGCAGGGGATGACCGATCCTACCACAGAACTCTCACCACACACACTTTAGAGTCTGACTCAGGCCCACCAAAGCAGGACAGTCAGAATTCTGCGGCCAAGGTTCCCTCACCTCCTCAGTTCCCAAACCCCCTTGGGGGATCAGTCCGCCCACCTTGTGAGCACTCCTGCTGGTGGGAAACCCCAGGGCTTTGGGAGGATTTGAGCAGAGAAAGAAGCAGTTTTAGCCAGAGGGAAACGGGTTTTAAGATCAAGCTGGGAGTTGGCACTAAGCCTTCAGATGAAAATTGCTTCACACTTTGCAAACAATTCCTAGCATCCCTGGGCTTTGACTTCTCATAATTTTGTGTCTCAACTTTATTGTAGGGCCCAGTAGCCTCCTTTTTCTTTTGTTTCTATCAGTGCCAGTCACAAAGGGGCTCTGGTGGGTCCCTATGACTTAATAAATCTTTCACTGTGAGGCCCTACTGTTCCAATGTGTGACCCCTCTGGGAGATGGTCATTGCCTGTCTAGTGATGTGGCTGGGGCTGCGTCGGTCAGTGATGCTGGCTCAATCCTACACTACAAGTGAGATCTGCTCTTCTGTAAACTCACTTGATAATATAATATGCTTCAGTGGTCAAGATAACTGTGTTTCGTCATTTCCTTTTCCTCTATGTGCTTTAGCTCCATGGTGGAACCTATGTTTTAATATATAATTTTGTCGACATCTCTAGAGTTTTGCACAAAACCTATCTAGTTATGTAAGTCATTATCAGCTAATCTGTTAGCTCTGATATGTGGGGCCATTTTGAGGATTTCTTCTAATCTGAGACTCTTTTTTTTCTCCAAGTCATTCTTATATTTGTTTTGTAGTTCTTTGTTAATTGATTCATCAACCCAGATTAGAGAGTTAATTGCTACTATTTGATCTTGGCAATGTTAGTATTCCCTATCATGGGATTTAAGAGCCAATGTATTCCACTCCTAAGTGTATACCAAAGAAAAACGAAAACATATTTCCCACAAACATTTGCACATAAATGTTCACTGCAACATTATTTATGATAACAAAAACTGGTTAAAAATAGTACATCAACTGATGAGTAGCTAACTAAATTATGATATATCTGTAAATGGGATATTATTTATCTATAAAAATATGTGAAGTACGAATACATACTACATGGATGAATCTTGAAAACACTGTGTAAGTGATGAACCAGCCACAAAGACCACATATTCCATTTATATGAAGTGTTCAGAAAATAGGATAGTGCTTGGCTTGGGTTGAGAGGAAGGGTGGAGGAGAAATAAGGAGTGACTATTAAGAAACCCATATAGGGTTTCTTTTTGGGGTGACGAAGTTTCCAAAATTGATCATGATGATAGTTGCACAACTCTGTGAGTATATTATAAACCATTGAAATGCGCACTTTAAATAGATGAATTGAATGGTGAATTCAATCTGAATGTGAATCATATCTCAGGAAAGTTATTATACTAAAAGAACTAAAGGGCCAATTTATTAAACCTCTATTTTTATTTTATAAATTATTTTTTCTCCTTTGTATTTATTATCAATGAAGTGTTTCACTGCTGTGTAATTAAGAAAAATGTAACAGCAGTCACCTTATAGAGAAACAATAATACAATAAAATCATTATCAACAAGAGTGATCACAGGGTCTGTATTTACATGGAGTAACTTTATATGGAACAAGCAGGGAATACTATGTAGTCGAATGTGGTGGCAACAGCTATTATTATTGCCTTTTAACAATTATTGGCATATGTGAAAATCAAGGTCCTTTTAATGCTTCCAGGGGCCTACATGGCCTGCTTTCCTGATTCTTCTTTGGTTTCATCTCCTACCCCTCTTCCTCCTTGCTCAGCAGCCTGCAGCTTGCCCTCTATAACAAGCTTGGCATGCTCCCACCTCAGAACCTCTGCCTTGGCCTTGCTCTTTGTCTAGAGTGCTCCTCCCACATGTATGCACATGGCTTCACATTCACACTCACTAATTCAAGCTCTGCCCAGAAGTCAACTTAGTGAAGCCTCCCCTGACCACCCTAGTGTATCCTTCAAACACATTAAATAATTCATTTATCAGTCAGGTGCAGTGGCTCCCGCCTGTAATCCCAGCACTTTGGGAGGCCGAGGTGGGCTGATGACCTGAGGTCGGGTGTTTCAGACCAACCTGGCCAACATGGTGAAACCCCATCTCTACTAAAAATACAAAAAATTAACTGGGCATAGTGGCGCATGCCTATGATCCCAGCTACTTGGGAGGCTGAGGCAGGAGAATCGCTTGAACCCGGGAGGCAGAGGTTGCGGTGAGCCGAGATCACGCCATTGCACTCCAGCCTGGGCAACAAGTGCAAAACTCTGTCTCAAAAATAAAATAAAATAAAATAAAATAATTCATTTATCATGTTTACATTTTATTGCGTGTCTTTTCTGTATAAGTTCTTTGAGGTGAGAAATCTTTGGCTGTTGTATTCTCTGAATATGTACAGCGGTGTCTGAGATATAGTAAACGCTCAATTAATATCTGCTGAATAAATAAATGATCATAGATGATAGCAGTGCAATTTGAGGTATATATTTCTGTTCTTTGTTAGTTAATTTGTCAGTCAGTACATCTCAAGTTTTAGACATTCTCCTAACTTGGGAATGAATAATCAAAAAGAAAAAATAACTAATTTGGAAAACAGGGAAAATGTATCTTTAAAGAGTAAGGAGACAATACTTTAAAAATAAATCAATCTATAACAGGAAATAGACTATATTTTAAAATACCTAGTCTGCAGGTAAATGATTATTTTAGTAAAAGCATTTACAGATTACTTCGCTTCTCTTTAAAGGTAACACCATATATTAATTCAGCAACCATATAAATATTAATTGAGTACTTTCTGTGTGCCAGGCACATGATGTTAGTGATGAGCCAGTGGCGCTTACATTGTCATGGAAAGACTAACAAAAACCAGCCAAACGAGTACATATAATGTCAGTTGGTGCTGACAGCTATAAAGAGAAACAATTAAAGTAAGCAATAATAAATTAAAGGGGTGCTGGGATGGTTAGCAAAGGCCTGTCTGAGATGGTGACATTTGCACAAAAGCATGAGTTAGGTTAGGTAAGAGTGCACCTTCAATAAAAAGAGTGCACCAGATAGAGGAAACAGCCAATGCAAAATTCTGCAGCAGGAATATGTCACCACGTTCAAAGAAAGGCAAGGTGTGATGAGGAAAATGAGAAGAAATGATATTGGAGTAGCCTTCAGGAATCAAGTCACCCTAAGGCCTTGTGGTTATAGGACTTACAGCTTTATTCTTGGAGCCAAGGTTGAACTGACATGATCAGTTCTGCATATGTGTGACATGATCTGGTATACACTTCAGGACTATTTTGACATTGGGGGGTAAGAGTATAAGCAAAGCAATAGGATGCATGGTATATGGAAGCCAGAAAGAAATCTGAGGCTATTCTCAATCTGGAAAGCAGCAATGAGCCACAAGAAAAAAGAGCTAAGTTGATTCAGCCCTATCTTGGAAAGATCAGACTCCAGATAGAAGTTTGCCTTCATCCTGGGGGCTGCTCTGTATGATGGTCAAGCTGGCATGTGTCTAGGGAGTGAACCAGACAGTAAGAAGAATGTACCTCTTGGAGTGAGGAACTCTCTGCTGTGTTGTGGATTCTGTCTCCACAAAAGCAGGATCCAAAAATATCTTGAGACATACTCTGGTTCAGGATGTAATGTCAGGATGCTCCACCAGGTTCCCAAAGTTACCTAAAACAGAGGGTCTTAATTGAGTTTGCTCCTTTCTTTGATTGGGGTTCCCAAAAGCCATCCCTGAGATAATATTAATATATTGGGGGAAGTAGAAGAAAATCAGAGATGGGAGAGGGAAAGGGAGAGAGAGAAAGGAAGGCAGCCCAGAAAGGATGTTTCACAAAATCAGCTACTGCTGTGAGCAAGTGGAACCTAGACTTGCTGGAGACTGCTGGAAAATGGGGTGAAGCACCTTTATCCTATCCAAGTGGCAAGGAAACCGGGTGTATATGCAAGACTCCTAGCAATCATTCATCTGGCCTGCCATGAGTGGCTAACCTAGACTTAGATACCAGAGACTGTCCTTAGGCAAAGAGTAAGTTGGGCTGCTCTGCCCTGAAGGAGTAAGGCAGGAACGAGTAAGGAGTAAGAGATGTAGAGATGGTACCCACAGTATCTGCTGCAACCACCCCTCAGGGAAATTGCTGTTCACTCAGGCTACCATACAAATAGCACCCCTTGGGGTTTTGCAACATGCATCTTGTTCATTCTCCCCCTTCTTGTCCCCCGCTCCAGTCCCATCTCTATGATATTTGTTGTGCAGGATGAATTCACGCTTCTCAACATCTAAGCCTTCGGCACACCCTTTGGTGGAATTCAAAGTTTCTGCGGAGCAGAGAGCAGTAATTAACAGTGAGACCTTATGATGAGCAAATCACAGGTCAGTAATAACTCAGTTCTTGGGGAATTCAGTCATGGGGAAGCAACAACTCATAGCTCAAAGTCAGATTCCCTTCTATTTGTAACAATTTCTGGGTGAAGAAGCTTAAGAAGCTAGTCGCATTTTTCCCGGATACTGGCAGCCATTGTTTCTCTCTTTTTCTTTCTCCATTAAATAGTACATCCGGGGCACCTGTGTCCCACATTATTTAACAAATGATGTTCTCATTTTGGCAGGCAACACAGAAAAATATGGTTCCTTTACAGGATTTTCCTTGTGAGCTACAATTTTGATCCAACACCACCATTGATCTGGAAGAAAATTATGTATAATAGAGTTTTAATTAGACTCTGAAATGAAGTGTGTGTGTGTGTGTGTGTGTGTGTTTGGGGTTCGAGTGTGGATGTATGTGTATCCATACGCTCGCATAAAAATGGTGACCCAGTTTTAACTCTACTGGTACAAGCGAAGCTGTTGTAAGACAGAAATGACTTCATCAGGAAATCCTCATTCAGACTTCCAAATATACAAATAGATGCCTTTTATTCCACTGTGAATCAAAATGATGCCATGTCCTGTAATTAAGGATGTTATTGACCAGGTTGAATGGGCGCCAACCATGCCTTGCCTTTGTTTCTATGACAGTCATTTCAAAGTTCAGCATCTTAAGTCTGATAGTCACCTTATTTGGCAAACATTCAGGAATTCTGCTTCCAGGTTTATTTCAGGGTGACAGAATTTTCATTTAATCTTTATCTCATGTTAGGAGACACGTTAATTGCTTGAGGCCAGACACACAAATATTTGTGTGCTTGAGGCAGGTTACTGTGCAGACAAAAATAGTCATAGATGAAAGAAATATATATCCTAACATAGTGACTTGAGCTAAACTATCATTGAGCCGAAGGTTTTTTTTTTAAGTTGTCAAATGTAAATATATGTGGGATTGAGTCAATAGATAACATTAGCTTATTATTTCTTTCCTGTGGAAGCCATATGCAACCATTAGTCTTTTTAAATATTAACTTCTCAAACTGACCAGGTAACTAGCTCCTGTGGGTTCTGTATAATGGTAGGATGAAATGGTCCGTTGAACCAGCATCTTGGGTGGGAGGGGAGCAGAAACACATTTAGAGCAATGATACAAACACCTCTGAAATCAGCAACTCAACTCTCAGATACACAGGGCCTGTGTGGAATCTCCTCCTTCGGGGGCACTCTGCCCAACTTCCCCAGCTGCAGGAAAGAAGACATCACCCTAAACACTGAGAGAATGCCTGAACTTGCCGTGTCTTCTCTCTCGCCTGCTCGTCCACCCCCATCAAATTCTATCTTTGTTTTAGGCCATGACTCACAACCCACCCCCACCCTTCAGTCAGCTGTGACTCATAGCAGAGGCCAGATAAACTGAAGGCTGAACAGCAGGGGTGGGAGAGAGCTGCAGTGGTTTTTTTTTCCCTCTTGCTTTTTTTACCCAGTGAGAAAAGCTAGGTCAAATGGTCAAGTTGTGGGAATCTTTGAGGGTTTATGTGTATGTGTGTGTGTGTGTGTGTGTGTTTAATTTGGGGGAATTCCTGCATTGACTGGGGGATTCAGCTAGGTGTACTCTTTGAAGGTAACAATAATATTGTGGTTCCAACTTTTACCATTGAGAATAATCTAACTTTGATTGCAAAGATGGCCTCCAATTTTTTTTGAAACATTTTTGGGATCCTTGCCTTTTGCAATGTGACTTTACTCCCATTAAGGCATCGGGTCTCTTTTCCCTCCTTTAGAGTCTGGGGTTGGACATGTGACTTCCTTTGGCCACCAGAATGTTGCCAAGAAGTAAGTGATGCACCAGTTTAGGGCCTAGGCCTTAAGAAGCTATGCGTTTTCCTGATCTCTCTTTTGTGCTTCTGTTTTGCTGTGATAGGCTAGCCTGCTAGAGGATGGCTGCATCGTGCAGCAGAGCCAGGTCACCAAGGCCAGGGCTGTCCTAGATCAGCCACACTGCAGCAGACAGACCAGTGGACTCTAGAAAATTGAGTGAGCCCAGCTAAAATCAGCCAACCCTGGTTCATTGATGAGGACCCAGCTGAGCTGCCCAGCTGACCAGTAGCTTTGTGAGGACCCAAGAGCGAGCTGTCCAGCTGACCTGTAGCTTTATGAGAAAAACAAAAATAGGAACAAAAACAATATTGTGATTTTAAGCTACTGTGTCCTCCCTTTGGCCCTTACTCTGTAGAGACTTCACATGATTTACTTCGCTATCTTTTTTTTTTTTTTTTACTTTCTTTTGAAAGAGTTCCCTTACCCTATGACTTCAACACTGACCTTTCTCTAAGGAGGATGCTCTCATACGTATCTTTATCTGTCCTCTCCCTTGCAAGCGTGTCCAGCCCGTGGCCCATAGGCCACAGGCAGCCCAGGATTGCTTTGAATGTGGCCTAACACAAATTTGTAAACTTTCTTAAAACATTATCAGATTTTTTGGTGATTTTTTTTAGCTCATCAGTTATTGTTAGTGTATTTCCTGCATGGCCCAAGATAATTCTTCTTCTTCCAATGTGGCCCAAGGAAGCCAAAAGATGGGATACCCTTGCATCTTGAGTTTTCATCTCATGTCCCCAGTTACCTCCTGGGCTCTTTCTGTCGGCTGTCTGGGTACTGCTCATGGAAGAAATGTCAGCAGGAAAAGGAGAGGTCTTGTCTTCAACCCACTGCTGATGCATTTCATAACTTTTGGCTTCTCAGGGTCTTTGATGTTCCTGTAAAAGACATGCCAGTTAACAACACTAAGTGATCACACAGATAAGGGACACTTGTAATCAGCCTCAAAATCACTGGGCCTAATTCCCGTATTGAAATGGAAACCTGTAGAAGCATACGTACCTGCTCCCTCACCTGTCTATGCTTAATTAAAATAGAGATTTTGAGGCTCTTTCTTGGAAATTCTATTTCAGGAGGTATGGGTTAGTTTTCCAGAAATTCACTTATCATTTGGACACTCCATCCAGACCTCCTTCAGGATGAAACTCATCCTGCCTTTCAGGAGGTGAAGAACCCTGAGGTGGTAGGTTCAGGCCTCAGAAGTCTTCACTGCACAGGAGAAAGGAGGGACTCCTCTCTTGGTGTAATCATGGCTTTAATCGATGAATGCTTCCTTGTAAAATACTCTGTTGCACCCTCCTACATTAACACTGGGCTTATCCATGTGGCTTGCTCTGGCCAATGGAACAACTTTATATTAATATTATGTAATATACGTGTGTGTCTATGTATGTGCATATATATATATCTTACACACACACACACTATGAGAAAAGTGTTAAGATTGTTTTGGACAAAGAAGATTATGGATGAGTACGGTTAAGTTCCTTTTGGTTTTATACTGCTATCCTAACCTGTCTATTCAACCAATCATCTATCTATCAATCCATACATTAAATATTTACTAAGTACCAACTACATGCCAGTCCCCATTATAGGCCCTCAAGTTACTAGTGTTCTAATAAATAATTTATTGAAGCCCTTCTCATCCTTTACTAATCCGTTTTAACTCTAATACAATATGCTGAGATTTTACTGGGACCTGAAGTGTTCAGATGTGCTACAATAAATCAGGTTTGATTTCACTTCATGTGGATACCTGGTTCTAGTTTTTACAGCAGATCTGGCCTCTTGTATTGGTGGGAGGATTTACTGCCTATATATTTTAATTTAAGGGAGGCTTAGTAGGCTTCCTTTTTCTCTTGACCTCACCCTCCCAGCCCTCTCTCAATTGTTAACTGATGGTTTGAAATGTACATGTGTTCATTCAAGTTCTAAGGTTTTGTTTTCTATTAGACACGCCATCCAACTTTTATTAATATTTTACTTTTTTACAACTCTACCATTTCCTACCCCCCACTCACCCCACATCTTACCTAGAATGGGTTCCTATCTATTCCTTACAGAAGCCACACACACATATATATAATGCTACACATATATATAATGCTGTGCCAAGGCCCAGTAGATACCAGTAAGTCAAAAAGTTAAACACAAGAAGTCAACCTCAGGGAATGGGGTGGCTGACTGTGCAGTGTTGTGAAAGAGGAACACAATCAAGAAACGACTGTACAATTGTTATTGCCAGGCTTACACTACTAGCTGAAGTGTGTGAAGCAGACCAGGCACCCTCTCTTCACTTGTTCTCTGCCATGGGAGGCTGACCCACATGGACTATGCCGGCGGGTTTTGTCTTCAGTAGGTTCTCCCAGAAGCAGGCCCTGTGATAAGGACTGTAGTGTGTATGATTTACTTCGGGGATAATCCCAGGAGGCACCAACAGAGAAGCAGCAAAGTGAGACAGGGAAGGGACTAAATCCAATAATGAGTGTGTAATCAAGCAAGTTCTCATTGTGGGCAACTGTTGAGGATCCTGCTGGAACTCAGGGAGATGGTGCAGGGTGAGGAAGCTGCTATTTCTTCATTTCTTCACTAACGTGTATGAGTTATGGGTTTCAGGTACATCAGCTTTCTGATGCATTTGCTGTGCACATGGGCCAAACATGCTTGTCTGCTAGAAAAACAAAAAACAAAAAACAAAAAACCCTCAGGCCAAATGCCTCAGAGTAAAAAGCCTTCCCTATTTATGTGAATGACAAGGGGATGTGGGCGGGGCTGCTACGTAGTTCAGGTGATGAGTGGCACCAGCAGGAGATTCGGAGAGTGGGAGGAGAGTGAGGTCCTGGGATGGGTTCTCAGAGTATTGCTCTCCCCCGCCCCACCTCTCCTCTTACCCTGCTTTAGCTGCACCCTGAGGAAGCCCACAGCTTGTGTCAGGGTGTCCTTCCCCCTGCAACTCCATATCTGGTTTCCAGTAACTGCTCTCTGATGTTGCCCCTTCTGCCCTGGCACGCTAACCACTCTGGGATGTCGAGAGCCCTGGGATACTACACAATCCCCTCTTGCTTTTCTTAAACCACACCTGCACCTTTGTAAAAAGTCCTGTTACTAAACAATCCTTGATTCACCCATTAAAATGTCCCCTTTCTTTCCTGCCTGATAGAAGTGATACCTTTATATCTGGGTAGTCTCATTAATACCTCACAACAATCCAGTTGTTATTATTTTTCTTCTTTTGCAGAAGCACAACTCTGAAGTAAGTCACCTAAGGCCACGCAGCTAGGAGATAAATGAATCAACATTGAAACCCAATTTTGTTGCTTAGTATCCCACATTCTCAAACTATATTATCTGTCCTTATTGTGAATAAAAAGTGTTCTTATTAACACTACATTCTTGGCTCAGTGCTAAGCTCTGTGGCCCATTGTCCAGCACTTGACCAGGTCCCCGGCAGGCACTGAGCCATTTGATGCAGAGGAATGCTGAGCAGCGTGAGGCCAGGCAGGCCCAACTGGCCAGGTGACGCCTGGCCAGATGGTTCCTCCCCCCGGCGCCCCCAGAGGCCACTATTGAAAACCTGAAAGAGACAAAAAGCCTGTGGAATCCTCCAAGGGGACCAGATGCTGCTTAGGGAAAACCTCTCCACACTGTGGCATCAGGGAACGGGTGGTGCAAGAGAAGCTTCAAGAATGATGAACAGAACAAGAAACTGCCTCACTTGACAATAAAATAAATGCCCACCACCTCCTGTTTCCTCGTTAATGATTATTAAAATGATCCTGGTACAAGATTAATATTAAAAACTGATGCTTAGTAATAAACTTCTCACAGCTATCTTCAAGATTTCCAGGGAGTAATAGCTGAAAGGGAAAACTGAACAAGAGGAGTCTTCCTGTGTGTTGTAGTGCCTGGGTGTGTATTTCTTTCCACTGCTAGTACTTTTGTTGGCAAATAGTGCACGCTGTTGGAGCCTATCCCCCAGACCTTAAGTAGGGGCAGTGGGTCGTGTGGGATGGAGCCCTATCAAATGGGGCTGGACTCTGGTTTTGTCTGCTGTGACCCCGGGGGTGCCCGCTGGGATCTGTGAGCAGGCAGAGGCCGGTGGGAGCACCCTCCGCCTCCCTTTGTTCCGCCGGGCTCCAGCCTGCAGCAGCTGATCCGGTTATTATGCTCCTGAAAAGAATTTCTAGGTGGCCACAGTGACCATAAGGAGCAGAGAAACCACGAGGGCTGCAAGCCACGAAGAGCAACACATCGGCTATTGAGCACTAATCCCACCCATAATTAGAGGATCCCTTCAGCCTTGTGGTGCTCACAGAAATCTGAACTAAGGCAGAGAGGAGCCGTCTGAGGTCTGTAGGCCACCGTTTACCAAATGTGCTGTCATCAGCGCAATTAGCTTATTTGGTGGGATCGGCGTTTTAAAAAGAAAAACAGAAAGCTGTATAGAACATAGACTTGGGGCAAAAACTGAATTTAAGATGTAGTTAAAGTCACCTTTGATTTCTCAGCTTCCTTCCCCCACCCCATTCTTAAAATCATGCATTTTAATGAAAATTTGATCTGCGTGGGTCTGATTTGTTTACTTGGGACTCATCCAAATGCTGTTTTGTAAGAGCGATTTCATATCTAACAGATTTGCATAACTTGGGCTATACTTCTCAGAAAGAAAAACTCATGTTGGGCCCTAAATGAACAGATTTATCGCTCTGAGACTTGTCCAGGCTTTACGGTGGCAGTTGCTCTCTGCCTACTCTGCTCTCCCTTGTCTTCATCCCAGGCATCCCAAGGTTTCTGCTATACTAAAGAAAAGCTGCGCCCATCATCTGAATCTAACCTTCGTGGGTGCTCAGGAACCTGTCACCTGTTCTAAAATTCCACCTGCTATTTTAATTCACCACATGCCGCCCGTTGGCTAAGTGGAAGAAAATGAACATCTGATCACAAAGTCACTAATTATGTTTAATTACTGGCTAAAATATTAACTTTCAAAAAGGAAGATAACTTTTGAAAGTGATATGAATTCACCACTGTTGTAATCTATTTAAATTCATGTGTTACAAATAAATTACAAGAGAGAGGAAGATGATGTATGAATCTATATAATGGTCTTCATTTTTTTTCGAACCTATTATCTTGTTTGATTTTCCTAACAACATCATGAGGTACATAAAGGCAGATTTTCTCAGTTTCCTTTCATAAATGAGGAAACTGAGGTGCACATTTTCCACAAACCACACCAAACACTTGGGATTATAACCTGGATTTTTAATAACTTATTTGTGTTTATTTATGAGATGAAATCCCAAGCAAGGGTTCAAGGCCTTACCTTAGAGACCCACTTGTCCAAGATCCAGTAATATCTGCTCATGTCTGGTCCTGCAGATTAAGAAGAGAGTTGGAGAATTCTAAATGCTAATTGTCTTAGGTAAAACTGCTGTTTCCATGGTATCTGGGTGAATAAAAATATGGAGGTGAACTTCCACTACTGACCCGGAAGGATTTTCTTCATGAAAAGATTGTCACAAATCCTTTTGGAGGCTAAGAATAAAAAGTGAAGATGTAAATGTGCCTCTCTAGAACACTGTAGTATCAACCTGAATTAATCTCTCAAGCACATATTGCAAACACAGCTAACCAGGCCAGGAAAAATCATGGATAAGGGTCCTCTTCCTAAGCAAGCATACCTCGGGCCCCAATAGATGCAAATATAAGCATGGAATTTGCAAGAACATTGGAGATAGAAGGACTGCAAGTTTTACTTGAAGCTTTTTTTTATTAAATAGCTTGAAGCAGATATGTAATGCGATTGGTTAGCAAGCAGGCAATTTTAAGTACTTATTGAGTATTTCATTCTGATTGAGAACAAATTGGTGTTTTAACAGGATATACCCTTGAATTAGAGGTAGCATATAAGTAGTCAATTTACATTCTGTTTATAATTCCAAACCAGAAAGAAACATTGAATAAAGATACGTTTACCACATTTGGCTTCACCATGCAAAGGTCCCGTTGAATAGCAAAAGATTTGCACATATTTAAATTAGATTTCACACAATCTGTAAAATGACAAAGTATTAGGGAGGATTAGCCTAATTAAATGAGATTGTGAGAAAGCCTCAAAGAGATCCAAAGTGCAGATACCTTCCAAGTAGGATCACAGTGAAGGCTTCCAGAATCTATTTTGCCTCTTTCCCAGCAATCAGGGCTCAGATTACCCTGGGCGACAGTAGCACACTTGTGTATGCAGTGACATCTAGTGACAAAGAAAATAAAACCGGCTCCAAGGACACTTTCTTCACCAGACAGACTCCACAAAAATGACGCAGTACCTATCATTACTGTAGATTCGTGCATAGTATCCTATAGAGATTGCAAAAGAGATACACCAGTTTCTACACCAGATATGTTCAAAGAGGTAATACAAGAAGTATCAGTAAGGTTTGGCAAACAGCCGTGGTATCAGAATCCAAACAGGTAATTAAAACAGATTTATTTCTGTCTTATGTGCCCATAGTAAAAACTGCTGTTAATGATTTGGACACAGAGTTCGTGTGGAATGTTCTGAAGAACCACTGACATCTTCCAAGAAAAGAATCCATTAAGATGAATAGAATTTGCTACTTGAAATTCATGTCCAAAAGTTTAGAAAATATACATATGCAAGTTACTCAGGCAAGACAAAGATTTAACCAACTCTCCAAGTTATCTTAATCAAGCTGAAACCCACTTTAGATTAATTGGAGTAGGCCATAATAAAATATTTCCTGTTTCCTTTTGTCAGATTTTAGGATTTTAAGCAAAATGAATAAAATATATACAAAATCACAACTTTCTCTGTATAACAGGAACTTGGGGTCTTGTCTTCGTAGAGTTAGAAGAAAGTGAAATCTACAGATGTTAACTAGCTACACTGGAGGCAGGTTAGTGCTGTCCCGCTGAGGACTCCAGTTTTTAATCACCATCCTCACCCCACAGGACCTTTCAGGAGGCAGTGATAGTGCAGCCTACACCTGGAGGTCTCTCAGATTCTGGTGATCTTCAGTGAGGCCTTGGAGTCGGAATTTTGAGCAAACGCCCAGGTGATTCTTATGCAATTCTGCCATATCCTACCTTTTCTTATATGCTCCAGTGCAAAAGTAAAAATACCACTTGGGATATGGAGAGGGTTTAAACTTTGTAAAGGTATCCACAGTTGCCTGGGACTCGGACTGTAAGTAAACCATGAACCAGTTTATCCATGTGTGGCTACAACATTATTAAAAACAGTGTAATTGCCAGTATATTCTCAAAATGGGTTGCAAAGTGGCTGAAAAAAATAACTGGTTTTGGCCGGGCTCAGTGTCTCATGCCTGTAATCCCAGCACTTTGGGAGAATGATGTGGGTGGATAACCTGAGGTCAAGAGATCAAGACCAGCCTGGCCAACGTGGTGAAACCCTGTCTCTACTAAAAATACAAAAATCAGCCAGGTGTGGTGGCGGGCACCTGTACTCTCAGCTACTCGTGAGGCTGAGGCAGGAGAATCGCTTGAACCCGGGACACAGAGGTTGCAGTGAGCCAAGATCACGCCACTGCACTCTAGCCTGGGTGACAGAGCGAGACTCCACCTCAAAAACAACAACAAAAACTGGTTTCCTTTTTTTCTCCCTCCCTCCCTCCCTTCCTTACTTCCCTCCCTCTCTCCCTTCCTTACCTCCCTCCCTCTTCTCTTCCCTCCCTCCCCTCCTCCTTGCTTCCTTCCTTCCTCCCTTCTCTCCCTCCCTCCCTCCTTTCTTTCCCTCCCTTCCTTTCTTTCTTTCTTGCTTCCTTTCTTCCTTCCTTCCTTCTTTTTTCTTTTTTCTCCTTCCTTCCTTTCTTCTTTCCTTTCTTCCTTGGTTCCTTCTTTCTTTCCTTCCTTCTTCTCTTTGTCCCTCCCTTTCTCCCTCCTTTGTCTGTCTTTCTCTCTCTCTCTCTTTCTGTCGCTCTCTTTCTTTTTCTTTCTTCTCTCTTTCTTTTCTTTTCTTCTTCCTTCCTTTCTTGTTTCTTTTCTTCCTCGCTCCCTTCCTTCTTTCCATCTTCTCTCTCTCCCTCCCTCCTTTCCTCTCTCCTTTGTCTGTCTTTCTCTCTCTCTCTTTCTTTCTCTCTCTCTTTTTTTCTTTTTTCTCTTTCTCTCATCTTTCTTTTCTTCTTTCTTTTTTCTTTTTTAATGATTGTCATTTCTATATTCAGGGCTCTCTTTCTTTTCCCCCATGGAAAAATTAAGTCTATAAGCAATAAACTCTTTTAAACAAATTAGGCTTAAAGTTGTATCTTTAAAATACTAGCTATATAGCATGGCTTAGCCCTGATGAAGGCATTCTGAGTTTTTCTGAATTATTGATTGTGGATTCAATGCTTGGAAATTTAGTAATTGCTGATATAGCAAGGGAGCCTGCATGTAAAGAATTCTCAGTAAATTCTTTAGTCGAGTTGTACAAAGAAATAACCAACACATTTATAAAAATCCCACATTGTCACAAAGTAAATTATTAGTTGATTATTCTCCTTATACAAATTTGTATACATATATATATGGTTTATTTAAAGCTGGCAATTCATGTGGACATTTATAATAAAAACTATGTTTCTGTTGCATTTAGACATTCATTTACACTCTGCCTTAGAATTTAGATTTCAGGGCTTGCTGTTTTTGTTTGAATTAAGGTTGTTTTTTTTTTTTTTTCTCATTTGTATTGGTTTCTCAATGTCTTTCCTTTGAGGTTTTGAACGTAAACTAACATTGCCAGGTGACTTTTTCACATATAATTCTACTATCTGAAAGACCTGGGAAAAGCTCTTTGACATTGATTTTCTACTGAATGGAGATTTGAGCTGGGGTCTGCAGAGCCTCAGGGATCTGGGGCATGCTTCAGGTGCTGCAGGGAGTAGGGGGTGGGTGGAAGAAGTTTGGGGCTGCCCCAGAGTCCCCTCAAGCAGAGTCTTGGAATTTAATTTATGAATTTTGACTCAAAAAAAGGTTTCTTCCACTTTAACTACATTTGCAAAATACTAATTTGGAGGTTTTCTTGAAAAATTATCACCCCTCCCACTACCCTCCACTACTTCGTTTCCTTTTTATTAGCTCATTGGTTTAGTTTTGTCCCGGGACCAGTTGTTAAAAGCTTTCACAGATCCACAATTCCAGACACTGTGTGTGGAGACTGGAACGACTTAACCCATAATGCCCTATGCTCAGCTGAGACCCAGTAATGCCCTGTGCTCAGCTCAGAGGCTTGTTTGTCCCCACTCTGTAGTTTCCATATGGGTTACTGGGACCTCCTACTCTATTTTATTTTATTTTATTTTATTTTATTTTATTTTATTTTATTTTATTTTATTTTATTTTATTTTACTTTATTTTACTTTATTTTACTTTGTTTTATTTTATTTTATTTTATTTTACTTTATTTTATTTTATTTTGAAGGCAAGCTGCTTTAATGATAGCAGGCCATTCACTCCACTGCTTAAGTATAACCCTGCAACAAGAAAGTGCTGTTAAAACATTGTTTAAATCATGCACTTTCTCTCCTCAAAAATTCTTATTGGCTCCTCAGTTAGAAATTCAAATTCCTTCATAATTTGACAATTATTTAGGTCTCCATTAGCATTTTTTTACTCTATCCTGACATCCACCTTGCCCTTAATTTACATCGGACTATTTGTGAACCAATCATTTATTTTTACATCTCTGCACTTGGCTCCATCTTGTCTTTTAACTGGGCTTCCCTCTGCCCATGCAAATCCCTTTGTAAAACCTCCACTTTTGCCTCAAAACACACTCAAGTGGCACCTGCTATGTGCAGGATCTCCTCCAGCACCTCATATCCTCCCCAAGTTTAATTTCCTCTTGCCCAAATGTTCAGCTCTCCTCCACCTCCCTGGTTACTCCTCTGTCTCTGGCATCGTTTCCCCCACCTGTGATGTCACAGTCTCCCAGGACTCTGTCCTTGGCCTCTTCCTTCTCTCCCTTGCTCATCTCACCCAGTCACATGTGTTTAAATACCCACATTTTCATTTCCAGCTGAAACCTCTCTCTCCTTGACACTTCACTCAGAGATTTAACAGACGTTTCACATTTCACATGTCCAAAAATAGACCTGATCATCCCTACCCCACTTGCTCCCTCCTAATTTTCCCATCTCATTGATGACTTCATCGTTCCAATTATTCAGGCTAAAACCCTTGAAGAATAAATACCTCAAACCCCCTCCTCCTCTCATAGCTCACCACGTCCAGTCTGTATGAAAACCATTGGTGCTTTCCATTTCAAAATATCCAGTATCCATCATTTTTCATGACCTCTGCTGTCACCTCCCTGGTCCAACCCCCATCTTTCTCATCTGGATCATTATAATAGGTTTCTAAGTGGTCTTCATTTCTTCCCTTATTCCCCTTTAGTGTACCCCTAGCCAAGTAGGCAGAGAGATCCATTTAACATATGAGTTCGATCATATAGCTCTTCTTCTTAAAAGTCCACAGGAATTCTTCATTTCACTCAGAAAAAAGGCCACCATCCTTGGGCCTCAGGGCCTCAGGGCCCCATGTAGCCTGGTGCACTTCTATGACATCCTCTATCCCCTACTCTCTGCTGTAGCCAACCTGGCTGGCCCCCTTGCTCTTTTGCAAATATGCCAGTCATTCTCCCACTAAGGACTTTTGCACTAGTTCTGTTTGCCTAAAATATTTTTTCTCACAAACAGCCGCTTGGATAACTCCCTCACTTCCATGGCTTCACTCAAATATCACCTTCTCTGTGAGGCTTGCTCATATCACCCTATGTAGCACTGCAAGTTGCCACCACCTACAAAACAGACCTCCTGATCCTCCTTACCCTGGTCTTGTTTGCTTGTTTTCATGCCACTTTATCAGTCTCTAATATGCTATCATTAATCATCTATCTATCCATCTACCTAGCTATCCATCTACTTATTTATTGTTGCTGGAACCTGAGTTGGGATGGCTTAGATAATTACAGATGCCTGGAATGTCTACCCTGGGGCCATGCCTTGAGCCTCATTTCTGGCTGTCACTGAGTTTCCTCTTTTCTTCTCCGTGAAGTATCTTCTAGAGGTTGAATATTCAAAACAGCTGTCCTGCTCACATTTCTGACACCTAAACTGGGATGGCTGAACTATTGGGAGCTTGCTGGGGGTCCCTTTTTTCCAGCCCCTTCTCCATATGGCTAGTATGAGTTTCCTCCCAGCATGGCAGTCTCATGGTAGTTTTCCTTGTTACCTGGAAGCTCAGGATCCCCCATCAGTGAGAGCTTCAAGTGCCCTTTGCAGAGGCTGCCAGGCTCCTCCTGACCTGCCTCTAACAGTCCATGGCATCCCCTTGCACCACACTGAATTGGTCCCAAATCAATCATGTAATGCAAAGTTTGTAAGATTCATTCATATTCTAGTATGTCTCAGTACTTCATTTCTTTTTATTGGTGAATAATATTCCATTGTATGGATACGCCATGATTTGTTATTCCATTTTTCTGTTGATGCTCACTTGCATTGTTTCTAGCTTTTGGTTGTGAGCAGACTGGTGGTTGTCAGGGGCTGGAGAAGGGGTAAGAGGAAATAGAAATAACTGCTTAATGGGTAGGGGCTTTCCTTTTGGGGGTGAAGAAATTCTTTTGGAACTAGATGGGGTAATGATTGCACAACATTGTGAAAGTACTAATTACTCACTTTTAAATGGTCAATTTTAATTCATGTGAATTTCACTACAATAAAAAGAGAAAAATAGTCAGTTACAAATCAGCCCAGATTGAAGAAAAGAGGACTACTCAGGGTATAAATAAATACTTCGTGGTCTCACAAACAGCCACTTGGGTAAATCCTCACCTCCATGGCTTCACTCAAATATTAGTTTCTTTGTGAGGCTTGCTCAGATCACCCTATATAGCACTAAAAGTTGCCACCACCTGCAGCACAGCCCTCCTGATCCTCTCTTGTATATACAAGCATGTATACACAAGTGTATATATCCACGCTTGTATATACAAGCATGGGGGCGAGGAGCTCTGCCTATTTGTGGAATGGTTGCATTCTATGTTTTTATCTTAGTTCCTCATGTGAAGGTGATTTTCCCCACTAGCCTCTCTCACAACATTAAAAAAAAAATAAGGGGCTGGGCACGGTGGCTCACGCCTGTAATCCCAGCACTTTGTGAGGCCAAGTTGAGCAGAACACAAGGTCAGGATATCGAGACCATCATGGCCAACATGGTGAAACCCCATCTCTACTAAAAATACAAAAATTAGCTTGCTGTGGTGGCACATGCCTGTAATCCCAGTTACACTGGAGGCTGAGGCAGGAGAATCGCTTGAACCTGGGAGGCAGAGATTGCAGTGAGCCAAGATGGTGCCACTGCAGTCCAGCCTGGTGACAGAGTGGGAAAAAAAAAGAAAACAAGATATCATAGCATTATTTCTCATAAAACTAATATAGTACTTGGTAGGTATTATGGACTCAGTTAATCATTTTTATTCAATGCCTACGGTTTTGTTCCAAAAAATCTTTATGAGTTGGTTGTTTGATACTCAGTGTCTGTTTTTCTTTAGGAACATTGGAAGCAGTAGTTAAGATTCTATTGTAGTGTAGTAACAAGAGTACTAGCTTTGTAGTCAGTACCCCTCTCAGAAAACTATGTGCCAGATACTGTTTTAAGCTTTTCATATATTATTTAATCCTCAGAGCAACACTGTGAGGAAGTTACTGTTCTGTATTCATTTTATAGATGAAGAAACTAAGGCATAGAGGAGTCAGGTAACTTGCCTAAGTTACATTATGTGTAGTAAAGATATTAGGATTCAAACTCAGACAGGATAGCTTCATAGTCATGCTCTTATCCTCTCTGCCACAGGCCTCTTAGCTTTGATGTGTAAACTCCTAACCCCTAGTTTCTTTATTGGAAAAATGGGAATAATCTTCTTCCCAATGTTACTTTTGGTTTTAAATTAAGATATGTATTGGAAAATGTTTTGCAAACTTTAAAACAGTGTATAACTCTTGCTTTAATGCATTCCTCCATTTTTTCCATTTGTTCAAGCATATTAATTGAATAATTACTTCAGATGAAATAAGATTGAGTTCTTGCTTTCAAAAAGAACGCTGTCTACTAAAGAGACAGATAATTAAACAACTAGTTGTACTACAGAGTGATGAACTTTCTACAGTAAGAAAATGGTAGAGGGGATTGGAGGTTTGCGCCCAAGTCCATTATTGAACCTCGCCAGAGATATGTAATTAAAATAATTCTAAAATATATTTTGTAAGTAACAAAATATTTTTAAAATTATTTAGCTATAAGATGAATGGTTTGTTAGTAGTTTCTATTTGGGTTCCCATCTTCTTACGGGACCTATATTTTGAAAGGCAAAGAAATCTGTGGGTTGACTGCATTTGGAAAATTTCCCAAGTCAGCATAATTCACAGATGAACCTGTCAGGGACCAAAACAACATCCCCAAATGAATATAACTCAAATTATTTTGAAGGTTTAGTCTTTACCTGTGTACTATGCACATGGCATATGATGTTTATTGGCTTTACTTTGATCTACTTTAATCCTGTTTTTTTCCTAAAATAAATTCTCGCTTTAGGGTAATGTGGCTTACTGACACACTTCCTATGCACTATGTACACAACTACTGCACCTGTTTAAATCATTCTTTTTAATGGGATGCATCCTGGAGTTCTGAAACGGATCATTTGATGGGATTGCTAGAATGTTTGCTTCCACTGAACATTTTCAACTTAAGCCCTTAAAAGAAAAACGTTTTTATAACAAAGTAATCTAAGGTAATTGTAATTTTATTTGATTGACTGTGTTTAGTCCAAATAAAATTGGTCTGGTGTTCTATCAACCATCAAGTAAAATAGGCGGGATAAAATTATTCTTCTCATAATGAAATAAAAGCATGTGCAAAGAGAAATGCTGACGTAGGGACTATAAAAGGCATTTCAAAAAATGATAGAAATACTGAGTTGCTGAAAAAAGCATTTCTTATGTTTGCATTATAAGGCTAGTCACTTGAGCTTTTGGGAATAGATATGTCTTAGAAGCCGCAGTCACATTGTTAGGGATCCTGGGATGGCTGCCTTTAATGATTTAAAAACTCAACAGGAAATAATTGCTTCAAAAAATTCTGTATGCTGTTCAACCCAAGAGGGACCCTGGCCAAATTCTTATTCTTGGGACTTTCTTGGAAATGGATTAAGGAAGATGATGAATAACATTGATCTTTGCTTCCTGCTCCAGGTATGAAAGGCGAGAGCAGTCTTGAAGGGTAGAGGAAGCTGCAGGGCATCTGTGAAGGGGGAGTGTGGAAAGGGGAATGGTGGGCATACAATCAGTCCCCTCCTCTGTACACTCAGCAGATAACTGGAAAGTGCTCAAACTAGTTCGGGGATGTCTTCTGTTTAGATTGCTCAGTGGGGATACCCCTCAGTGGGGTTTGTCAGATTTTCATGGTGATTTTAATAATGCACTAGAATAGTAACTTGGACAAATCTTGAGGAATATCTGTGTTTAGCAGAATGTGTATATTTACACAGAGAGACACCCATGCTGCAAAGTTTCTTATGACTGCACCTGCAGGGTTGTTTATATTTGTAGATCTTCTTAATGGAGAATTAAACTGAACCAATGGCAAGCAGTGAAGCATACAACAAAAGCAAAAATAAACAAATAGAACTGCATCAAACCAAAAAGCTTCTCCACAACAAAGGAAGCAATTAGCAGAGTAACAAAATGATCTACAAAATGGGAGAAAATATTTGTAAAATACACATAGGATAAGGGTTCATCTTCAAAATATAGGGGGAACACAAACAATTTAATACCAAGAAAACAACCCAATTAAAAGATGGAAAAAGGACCTGAATAGATATTTCTTAGAAGAAGACAAGCAAATGGCCAACAGGTATATGAAAAAGAGTGCAATATGATTTAATAGTCATCAGAGAAATTCAGATTAAATGCACAGTGAGATATGACTTTACACTGTTAGAAGGGCTATGATCAAAAAGACAAAAAATAGGCTGGGTGCAGTGGCTCATGCCTGTAATCCCAGCACTTTGGGAGGCCAAGGCAGGTGGATCACCTGAGATCAGGAATCTGAGATCAGCCTGGCCAACATGGCAAAACCCCATCTCTACTAAAAATACAAAAATTAGCCAGGCGAGGTGGTACACATCTGTAATCCCAACTACTCCAGAGGCTGAGACAGGAGGATGGCTTGAACATGGGAGGTAGAGGCTGCAGTGAGCCGAGATCGTGCCAACACACTCCAGCCTGGGCAACAGTGTGGAGAAAAGGGAACCCTTGCACATTGTTGGTGGGAATCTAAATTAGTACAACTGTTATGGAAAACAGTATGGCAGTTTCTCAAAAAATTAAAAATAGAACTACCATATGATCCAGCAATCCAATTCTGGGTGTATATCCAACACAAATGAAATCGTTATGTTGAGGAAATACCTGCTCTCCCATGTTCATTGCAGCATTATTTGCAATAACCAAGATGACAATTCAATCTAAGTGTTCACTGAGAGACAAGTGAATAGATTCATGCAGTGGATAATATTATTCAACCTTTAAAGAGAAGGAAATTCTGACATTTGTGACAACATGGATAAACATGGAGAACACTATTAACAAAAGATGCCAGGCACAGAAAGCCAAATACTGCTTAATCTCACATGTGGAATTTTTAAAAGTTGAAGAGTAGAACGATGGTTGCCAGGGGCTGGAGGAGGGATGGGGTCAAATGTTGGTCGAAGGGTACAAAATTTTAGTTATGCAGCATAAATAAGTTCTGGAGATCTATTGCACAGCATGGTGACTATAGTTAATAATAATGTAATGATAATGTATAAAATATTATGTACTTGAAAATTGCCAAGATAGTACAGCTAAATGTTCTCACCACTCACACAAAGATAACTATGTGAGGTGACATGATAGATATGTTAATCAGGTGATAGATTAATAGATTGATGGTGGCAATCATTTTGCAATGTATAATGTGTCAAAACTATCACATTGTACACTGTAAATATATGCAATTCTTATTCATCAATTATACCTGAAAAATGTGGAAAAAATAAATTAAAGAGTAGAAAGCAATGAAGTAAAGATCATTCATTACTTTAATGTTGCCATATGTGAAGATGAGGCTGAAGTTTCACACCGCGTGGGGCAGACATGAAACATTTGTACCCACATTTTTGGTATACAATCAGGAAGTGCGAAAAACAGAAGGGGGGATTGTGTAGATATTTCGGACATATGTCATCTACATAAACTATTGTTTTATTCAAATTAATTTAAACTAGCAGCATTTCTATCAATTTCCTTAAAACAATTCAAAATTCACTTTCTTGAGTAGCCTTTCTGTATTGCATTAATTCAAAGTTCATGATGCCCTCAATTTCATCTTTGATGTCTGATGTCATTATAACTGTACAGTAATAGGATTAATTATATCAACAGGCATACCTACATAAAAGTTTTCCCCTTCATATCTGGTGTCTTAAGAGGCTTTCCCGGTCATCTTACAATGCACTGAATCATTCATCGAAGAGTCTGGGGGATTCTAGTTAGCATATTTCATGCATGTATTTGACTTCCTTTAATGGTAGAAACTATGAGTTGATATATTACTAACAATTACAATCCATTCAGGGTCAAATCCAATGAATACAATAAATCAGCAACCCGTGGATATACCTGAATTTATAAATAAATATGACTTGATTTCTAGGACATAATAGATAATTTAATATAGCAATCTAATTTCACTTTATTTGAAAACCCTACAAAAAGCCTAAAAATGTATTTAATTTAAGATCAAATTTGCTCAAAAAGGAGAACAAAATTTATTCTATCCTATCTATCTAGCCACTACAAAATAAATTCACTCAGGAAAAATATTACTTTGGAATGCAATGTTAGATAGTTGGAGAAAGTGCCTTCACTTTTTAGATTAAGTGTAAAATTTTATATTAAGAGAGAAGCAAAATGAAGTTACACACAGGGAAGGTAAACGATTTTAAATCAATGTTTTTAGCCTTTAGTCACTGGTTTTGGAGATGTGTCCAGACTGTTTTTCTAAGATGTTTGAAACAGAGTTTGATATGTTAAATTTAAGAACAATGTATCTCAATCAATATTTAGAACTCTGGGGAACAAATTTGTTCAATTTATAATACTTTTACTCTTTATATTGTATGTCAATGAATAGAGAAATGAAACTTTGTCCTCAATTAACAAATTAGATATTGAAAACACATCATACTGATAATAATGATGTTAAAATATTGCCTTGAAATGATGTCATAGATTTTAATATAATAGTAATGCCAACAATTATAGTGATGAAAATAAGCTTAAAGTATTTGCTCATTTCCTTTGCAGCAGGCAAATGGGTCATGAATCCCCAAAACATCTTAAGCAGCAATAACATATCTGTAATGGGAGCAGAAGCTCCAAAACAACCTGTTTTGAAGGACAGCCTTCCTGGGTCCATATTAACTCTGTTGTTTGATTATAAAAAATTAGAGTCATATCACTTTCTAGTTACATTTCATGGGAAATTTCTACATATTTTTATCTTGATTACACTTACCATCACGACAATTTATTCAACTTCCTTTCCTATTTCTAGGCCAGGGGCTGCTCTTGAAGAATCTTTTGAATCCTCCAACCCTGATCCAAAATAGCATGTACTTTTGAAGATACTTATGCTATTCTGAGAGCACATTTTAATCAGATGTTAATTCATTGCTTTCCACTTGTGGCCTTGACCTATCATACAAAGATGAGCTTTGGTTATTTTGTTTTCTGATCACCCAACTTCTATGTCTTATTCGGCAGACCTGGAGAGGCAGTAAAGTTCCCATGGGGTGCTTTCTTTCTGGGAGCCCCCTGACCTCCTCAGCTTTTGGTTCAGATGAATACTTCTTTAGTGTGACTGAATGTCACCATCCCTCCACTCAACTGTTCCATACTTTGTACTTGATAAGAGTTTGTTCCCGACTGTAACACAAATAGTAATATAAGGGGGTTTCTGCTGAGGGAAGAGGTCACATGCTCTCTCTGAAGTGTGGGAGTGGAGAGGAGAGAACAGCTGCTTGGGAACAGCTTTCATAATAATCCCTGGACGGCAATGCCAGGAGCCATCTGGTGTCCCATTGGCCATCAGCACGCCCTTTAATTTTACCAATGGCCTTGATTTCCTGTGACTTTTTTTCATATATATTTTGAAATATTTCAAACATATACAAAATTACTGAATATAGTACAATGATGTTTTATAAATCCACTATTCACATTCAAACATTATTAACAATTGGTTCATTTATTTTATTTATAATCAAATATATTTTAAATCAATGTTCATTCACCTTGGCATTTCTAAAATTATGAACTTTGTAAAAAACATTACCCGTGTACTATCTGTCATGCCTGATGAAACTAGCAATTACTGTCTTTATTGGTATTATCTAATACCCAAAACATATTCACTTTTTCCTTATGTCTCACAAAATGTCATTTTGCAGTCTGTGTGATTATATCAAGATCCAAACAGGGTTTATACATGACATTTGGTTGTTTATTCATCTATAGTAGTACTCACTATATTTTTTAATATCAATGGCTTGCAGACACTGTCATTCCCGTATAGATTTTAACATTCTGGAATTGTCTCTTTACTTGCTTGTAGGTTGTCTATGTTTCTCCATTTCCTGTGTTTTCTATGAAGATATAGCACTATGTATTAGTTCTAGAGGTTTGATTAGATTCAGGTCTAAACTGTTTTGGCAAAAACTCTTTCTTTGCTGTTGTCATGTGCTTCACCAACATGAAGCACATCAGAAGGCACTCATTGCTTGTCACACATTTGGTGATGCTAAGTGGGTGAACACATTGCTATGTTTGTCATCTCTTCAAGGACTTTGCAGTAGAAAGTGATTTTTTATCCTGAAGATATTAGATGCAATATAACTGCATTTTCCCAATGTATTATTTGCATTCTGCTCTTCATAAACTGGTCTTTTTCTTTCAATATAGTCAATATTTTACCTGGCATAAAGTGACCATCTCACCTGATAGGTGCCGGCTATCCCTTTACAATAGATTTTAGTTAAGTACACTGTGTTTTACAGAAAAGAGCTGAAATTCAGTTGCATGACTATAGCCCAATACTCTAAGGGAATGCAGATAACACTCTGCAATATTCATTAAAACTGTGATGGCAGCTGCTCACTCTCAGTGAACAATTCTACTCAGCATAATTGAAATTCTGTAAAATAGCAGGACTGCATTGAATTAACCCTGAGTCATGAGTTTCCATCTCATTTCAGTTAGATTAGAAAAGGAAAACGTGTTCCTTACATCCATCAGGAAAGACATTACTATGGGATTAGGACTGAGATAGAAGAGGCTAAATGAATGTTTATCACCAACAAAATAGTTGTACTCACTGTTTTTAGCATGTTTTAGAGCACAATTTTTAATAATAAACTTGTTTTTCTTTCAGAGTTGAGAAACCAAGATTTTAGATGCCCTAATGGATATAATTATTCTAATAAATATA
Organism: Homo sapiens; assembly: GCF_000001405.40. NCBI lineage: Eukaryota > Metazoa > Chordata > Mammalia > Primates > Hominidae > Homo > Homo sapiens. The sequence goes on from NC_000020.11 coordinate 11,287,622, forward strand.
AAAGATTTGGGCAAAATTTCAGTTATAATGTATTGAATTTTCAGTTTCCAATTATGATAAATAGTTTCACTAGAGATGAATCAGAGGATGGAGGTCACAGTTGCTGAAATAGAATTTTGCTGATAAATCTCCTTTTCTCTTTCTATTAGTTTATTGGTTTGTTTAGTTATCAATGAATACTCTAAAAAATTTAGCCCCTTGAATCACCAGTAGCAACATTCCTAGAGCTTAGTAGAAATGGTAAAACCTGGGCCCCACCTTAGACCTACCGACTCAGAATCTCTGGGGCCACCCCAGAGACTTTTAGCAAGCCTTCCAGATGATTCTCATACACACGAAAGTTTAAGAAGCACAGCTTTAAATAACACAGCACACAGGGATGAGCATTCTGAGAGTGATTAGGGTGACAGAGAAGGCACACAAAAGGATTCCTGGCAAATTAGATGGATCCTTGTGACCTGATGACCATAATAATCCATCTGGAACAACTTTGCTTGATAGATTGCATGTTGAGGAGTAGAGTCCCACTAGGGCATTGATCAATGGTTCTGTTTTGGTCCTCATTCTCTAAGTTTAAGGCAATGATCAATGGTTCAGTTTGGGTCCACATTCTCTAAGTTTGGCACTAAAAATCCTATGTCCCTGGAAATCTCTCAGTTCCAGGCAAAGTAAGGTCATTGGTCACCCTAACCATCATGAGGCCAGCAAGCCAATGTCCCAATAAATGAAACAAGGGCTCTTAAAGTCTCCTGCTTCCTCCCTGATGTTATAACATTGGCTTTGTGAAATGTCACAAGGAAACTGGGTGGCCAGATGAAGTTTTATATGGAAAATGTGGTAACTTCCAGCTTACTATGTAAACAACTTTAGGCTCATTTCACTAATTTTTGTATTCAGTAATGGTTAAGAATATGACTGCCCCAGGCTTCAGCATTAGAATTTTGTTTCTTTTATTTTCTAGCTGTGTGGACTCTGACAGACAAATCAACATCCTAGTGTCTCCATTTCTTCATCTGTGGAATGGGAATACTAAAGTACCCATTCATAATGTTATTGGAGTATAAAATGAATTCCATATTTAGAACAGTCCTGGTAGACAATTAATTTTACATATTATTACTAGTAACCAGGGAACTAATATTGTACACTCATCAACTTTGAAAGTGACATGTAGCACTGAAACATCTTGAGGACTTCATTTAGTTTGAGAATCAAAGAGACACTTTGGTCAAGAGAGCAAGTATGTTCAGTTTGCATTTCATGTCCAATCAATTGGTGGTGGCCAGCTGGAATACAATGTTCAGAAGTATTCTGAAGCTGCATCTGATATTGTCAGGAAAGAGTAATGCTTTTGATTCATGTTGTCTCTGTGAAATAGTGTGCAGAAGGAATGTTATTTAATTGCCAATGTTATGGTCAAGTATCAAGGAAAACTTGGCAGAATATCTAGACGTGTAGATTGTTAAGAGTTGTTCTATGTCATATCATAGCTGTATATCATAAAGGTTTCAGAGAGATATACCAGACTGGTTCCTTAAGTATATGTTTGATATTATATTATTAAAATTATATTTGCATTTTCCATACTTATGCATTTAGGTGAAATGAATCATGAGCTTATGTATATTATAACCAAAATTCATTTTGGACTTCTCAATTATTGAGTTTGAGTCAAACATACAGAGATGTATAGTATTTTGCTTGTGATTATATGAAATATACACATACATACATACATACATACATACATATTTTGAAAGAGTTGAAATAATTAAAATAATTGATATTTGTATTTGTTTAAAATTATTGACTCACACTGCAGTCTTATCCATTTATAGCTTAGAGTTCTTTATTATGCATGCAGTAGTAGAAAAAATAAACATCGTTCATACTTTCATGGAAATAAGGGTCTAATGTAAAAGCTTGACAACAAATAAAATGTCATACTGATAGCTGTATAATGACAATCAGAGTTGATTGCTGTGGGAAGACAATTCTCTATTGGTCTCTTGTGTTTCTGCATGCCTTGTGAGCAAGGGCACTGACTGTCCTTTTCTCTGGACTATCTCTTCAGGATTGTTTGTATAGTGAACAGCTTTGGGAGGTAGTGTCCCCCTCTAGACAAAAGCACAGGCACACTGTCCAGTGTAATAAAGAGAATGTCTCCTGGAAGAAAGAGCAAGCAAGCCTTTGTCCACTATAAAACATTCAGGCTCCCTAAGCTCAGGGCTCCCCTTCTGTAATGCAGCACACTGAGTGTTTGTTTGGATGTCACCTGGCTCTCTTTGTATCTCCCTTTAGGAGCTGGGATTCAGAAAAACCATGCAAAAATACTAATATTCTGGCTATTGCTATGACTGTGAGTAAAGAACTGTTCTGTAGCTCTTATGCAGGAGTAGATTGTAGACTCTTCTATCAGCATCTGTAACACTGTTGCACACTAAATTGTTTGCTTGCATCTAGGATAAAATCTGATTTTTACCTTAGGTTTAATGGACACTCTCTCTCTCTCTCTGTCTCTCTCTCTGTCTTTCTCTCAGTAACAAGATTAAATGTGGGATAATTTCTGCACAAGAGCTTGTAAACATTATACATTTCACTCATAATATGAAATTCATATTTCTGAGAAAGATAATTGTTATTTGCAAGTAAATTACATCTTGGTGTGACTCACTTGCAAATAACACTTACCAGAAAAACATTTTTTATTCCTACAAGTATCTTCAATAAAAGATTAAAAAGATGAGTAAATATATGTAGAGCTTCAAGAAGTTTCAGGCCTATACAGAAGAATTTGACCAAGAAAGTTCTGGAACATCCATAGTTAATGGAAAAATAACTGAGCAGCAGCCATTCTCTGCTGTTCCTGATTTTAATGAGGAGGCCTCTGGTGTTTCACTGTTATATATTGAACTGGCTCTATAATTTAGATTTATATCTTTAATCAAGTTGAACAAGAACCATTCTAGTTGCTAGTTTGCTGTTATTAAAAATGGGTATTAAAGCTTATTAAATATCTTTCCAGCAGCTATTGTGGTGGCCTCTTTCCTTCAATCACTTAATAATATAATACATTATACTAATAGATTTTTCTAATATTAAAACTTCTTTGCATTTCCATTTGTCACTGCAAACCATTATCATATCCTGTTGAATTAAATTTACAACTTTTTTCCAGTATTTTATATTTGTTCCTATACTCCTTTGTAGACTCCACTATGAAAAATGAAACATTTGTTTATACTTCCTTCAATTTGACCTCCTCATTTCCGTTTGTTAATTTGTTTATTTTTTATTCTCCAAACGGTTACCTTAGTAATTGTACAACTATGGAAAGTCAAAAAGAGAACTAAATTGAGAGTCAGGAGGACCAGGTTGTAAATAGAGAAAGATGCTCTCTGTTCGTGACCTGCATTTAAGCTAACTTCTTCTAAAATATATTTTTTTTCTTTTGTATTCTACAGTTGTACTTTGAAGACTCTAGGTATGTCTTGGAATCCTCTGTGGTCTATTTTCAAATTTACCAGATACTTTTATGTAAGCTTTTAAGCTTCACTCATGTTTTAAATTTGGTCTTTTATTTCTTTAGATACAAATACTTTGCATTCTGTATTTTACATTTGGTAAATCCAACTTCTACCTTCTTTGTGGGTCTGATACTAAAGTTGTTTTGATTTCTCTTTCTCACAAGGTATTGTTCCCGTGGGTGCTTTAAGATGGTGTGTGTATATGTGTGTGTTGGGATGGTGTGTGTATGTGTGTGTGTTGGGATGTTGTGTATGTGTGTGTGTTGGGATGTTTTGTGTATGTGTGTTTGTATGTGTGTGTGTGTGAGAGAGAGAGAATAAATATTGAAAATTTCCCTGTGGAAATTCTTTGAGGAAATATTTATGCTTACTTCTTCAGCGCTTGGGGGCATCAAGTATCCATAAAGCCCTTAAAATTATTATTCTTGGCTGGGCATGGTGGCTCACATCTGTAATCCCAGGGCTTTGGGAGACTGAGGCAGGAGGATTTCTTCACTTGGGCCCAGCAGTTTGAGACCAGACTAGGCAATATAGTGAGACCCTATCTCTACACATACACACAAACACACATACACAAATAGTCAGGCGTGGTGGTGCATGCCTGTAGTACCAGTTACTCAGAAGGCTGAGGTAGTAAGACAGCTTGAGCCTAGGAGTTCAAGGCTGCAGTGGATTACTATAGTGCCACTGCACTCCAGCCAAAAACAAAACAAAAAAATCATTAAGTGTGTGTGTGTGTGTCGTGATTTCAAGACTATTCTTTTTAATATCATTGCAGAACTCTTGGTCACTCACTTTCCTCCCCCATCTTGCCATATGATTGCATTTGTGATTGGTGGTGGTAGTTTGTTTTGTATCTGTAGGTGTCTTTATTTCTACACATCTTCTCTGCCACTTCACACTAACAGATGTGGCTCAAGATGCAACAAACCTTGCTGCTCCTTACAGTAGAGGGGGCTTTAGTATGGACTTTCTGTCTGTAGATGCCACTTTTAGGTAACCATTTTGTGTAGACCTGTTTTTCAACTCTTGGCTTTTTTTCTAAACCAGATTTCTTTTTCATTGCACTTTTCAAGCCTTCTTTCATAAACTGTGGTCTGAGATTTTGCTGCTTACTAACTTCTTTGAAGGTGTAGTTTTCTATAATATTATCATCATCATCATTATTATTTTTATGTTTATTTCAGGAAATTGAGAGGGGCAGAGATGCCTTCAACAAAGGATCTTCAGCTGAAATTTGGCTTAGATAAGCTTCATCAGACAATGATACAAATTTCTGAGCTCAGAATTGAAATTGGGTCAGTGAATGTTGGAAGTTATATAGAGTAGTACTCAGTTTAACTTTCCAATAATTCATTGTATTATTCTACATCAACAACTCCCTAGGGTTTCAATACTATCTAAATCACATCTTTCAATCTCTCTGCAGATCTGCAATTCTGTGACAATTTATAATGATTATGCAAATAAGTTTATTAATTATAATTGCTATTATGCCAGAAAACCAAATTCAGCTGATGTTTGGAAACTTCTGATCATCTGAATGTAAAAATGGATTTGACAGTTTTGTAATATTTGAATTTATTGGATGTCTACAACTTGGATAATGTGGGCGGTAAAGACATAGCTTGTGGGAAGAGCACAGTCTACCAGCTTTTCTGTATCTCTGGGGATTCCAAATTTCAAAATATTTTATTATTTAGATGAAAAAATTAAAAATTGATTATGCTAATATTGAATGTGAAATTATAAATTGCTTTGGATAATTTTGAGTTTCTTAAAATTATTGAACTATTTTAATTTGTGCCCATATTGAGTTTTGTAAACTCACCACCTCTCATGATAAAATTAAGTACCTAAAGTCCTGTAATTATAGGTGTTCAGACACATAAATGAGCCTGGATCACTCAACCCGGTTTTCAGCATGCAATTGCATTTGTCATTCATCATGGTTCATAGGCACAAGCAAGCTCAATACAAAAGCCACCCTGCATTATTGTCCATCCAGTTTTCTCTCTCCTGGTGTTGTTAAAGATACCCCTTTGTCCTCACCTGCAATTAGAAGACAGAAGGATTCAGAGAACAAGAGTGAATTAAAACAGGGTCATCATGGGAGTAATTAAATCCTCTGTATGTTAGAGAACCAATCATAAACTCTGGTTTTGCCCCCATAGAACCAATTGTGGTTTTCATTAAACAGAGTTCAGAAATCAACTTTTGAGGGACCCTTTCACATATTTTCTGCTTCAGCATGTCTATCTGAATGCTGTATATCCTTAAGCTAATGGGTTCTCCTGTGTGATTCTGGATTTATGAATGTGAATGCCAAGTTGAAAAATTAGTTTGAACTAAGTGAATCAGTACCATGTGGGTGTTCAGACAAGAAACAAACTTTAAATTTCTAGATTCTATGTATGTTCTTCCAGTGCCCTCATTGCGAAGTATTGACTAAGTCAACTAATTACACTGTGCCTCGGTGTCCCTGAAGTGATCTGTGATCTTTTCTGTCTTCTGAGGCAATGCATCTTGAACTGTGAACTTTAGTGTGCACACAGATCACCTGAGGATCTTAATAAAATGATGATTCTGATTCAGTCGGTTTGGGGGTGGGCCTGAGATTCTAAATTGACTAACTAACTTCCAGAAGATACTAGAGCTATGGTGTTCAGGTCCCACTTTAAGTAACAAGATCTTAGAGCTGTATGTCCAGTATGGCAGCCACTGCCTCACATGTAGCTATTGACTGCTATAAATGTGGCTAGTGAGATAAAGGAATATGTTTTAAATTTAATTTAAATTTATTTTAAATTTAAAAATAATACTTGATTCAGTTATCAGAAAACTATGTTTAAAACCACTTGGATATGTGAATCTATCTTTTCAACCATACACTGTATGATGTGTAAATATAGATCAAGTAGTATTGATAAAAATTTAATATCTGAATAGATATTTGCTGTAATCATAAATTATGTAACAGGTTTAGAAGACAGTACAAAAAAAGAATGAAATATGTCATCAATATTTTCTATTGATAACATGTTGTAATGGTATTTTGACTATACTGAGTTAAGTATATTATTAAATTAGTTTTGTGTGTTTCTTCTTACATTTCAAAAATGTAGCCACTAAAAAGTTTAAATATTTTATATATATATACATATATATAGTCATATTGTATTTCCAGTGGAGAGTGTTGGTCTAGAGGGTTGTCCTCAGCCCTTAATTCTAACATAGCTCAGTTATTCATAAGGTCAGGTCCCTAAAACCTGCAGAAACAGTCCTCAAACAGTGTCTCTTCTTTTCTTTTTCCTTAATCTATTTTCCTTTTCTCCCAGCACCATTTTGATTCTCTCTTCCCCTGTATTCTCTCTCTCTCTTTCTCAATAACTGCATATCATCCTGGAGTCTTCTTTCTCAGTCATCTTTTCAGCCAATCAGTTCTCTGTAGATTTCGCCTCATTAATTTCTCTTTTCCCATACCTACCTCCATCACAGGCATTTAGGTCCTCATTAGTTTCTCATTCCACTGGGCTGTCTTCTCACTCCATTCATCTCCTCACCTGGTCTGTCTTTTTTCCTAGTACTTGAGTAAGTAAAAAACAAAAAACCTAAGTATTTTATTTATCTTTTTAACACCCTCCAATAAATTCACATATGCTTTCTGGAGGAAATTAAAATTCTAGATCAACATAAGAGGCCCTAAATGTTCTATCTCTGCTTTCTTTCCAGACTCTGTCCTCTTCTCCACCCCCTACCACGTATCTTGTATCCAGTCACACTGAATGACTTGTAGCATCCATTGTGTGACATGGGATGTCTGGTTTGGTGTCTTCACACATGCCTGTTCCTGGTATGTTCTTCCCCTTGTGAAGTCCTGCTCATCTTTCAACACTCAGCCCATGTCACTTTCTCTACATCTGCTTTTCATGTTGATTTAAATGCCCTTCATTTGTGCATTTCTCTCACTGTAACATGTACATAGTTTTGTTTCTTCCAACCATTATTTTTAACTCTATTCTATTGAAAACAAAACAATGCTGAAATAATTTACTATTTTGATATGACTAACCTTCAGATATTTGGAGTTAGTTCTCTGACTTCCTTGGCTCATTTATTCTCCAGAATTAACAGAATCCTACAGCTTTCTAGGACTCATAGAATTAAGAATACTTTCCCTCCTTGAGCAAGACCATACTTTCATTTTTCCTCGTGTTAAAAAGATTAAAATTACAGACCTAAAAGGCAAAGCCTGCCATAGAAAATACAATGCTGGGCAACGTTTTGGTATTATCCTCCCTGACCCTGCCTTCTGCTTGAAGAAGGAATTTCCCAATTGCTTAAGCAGATCTGGACTCAAGCTGGTGAGGCTCACCCAGCAATGGGGCTCCCAACAAAGTCATTTTCCATGAGACCCTGACCAATGTGAGCTCTGGGCACCAAATGAAAGTAAATGAGGTCTTCTGATCCCCCTTCGTTATTTAACTCAGGGAAAAAAATATAGACTCATGATGACAAACAATTAAAACTCCATTACTTTGTGGACCTATGGAGACATCTAACCAAAATTGTATTACCTCACATGGGGCAGTGGAAGATAGGTTTTTAGGTTTTTCTTTCTTCTGTTACAGAAATATTAAAATCCAATAAGACTGATGTATTGCTTGAAGTCAGCAGTTTGAGACCAGTCTGGCCAACATGGTGAAACCATGTCTCTACTAAAAATACAAAAATTAGCTGGGCGTGGTGGTGGGCACCTGTAATCCCAGCTACCCCAGAGGCTGAGACAAGAGGATCACTTGAACCCGGGAGGTGAGGTTGCAGTGAACCAAAATCGCCCCACTACACTCTAGCCTGGGTGACAAAGCAAGACTCTCTCAAAAAAAAAAAAATCCAATAAGATTGATATTTAAGAAAAGAGGAAATAAAGAGCTAATTTGCAGATATTTCTTACAAATATGTGGATTTGAAGGGGCTCAAAGACCCTAGCATAGATAATAGAAAATGGTGATCACGAGTAACTCTGATTTCCTTAAGTAGGAGGGCTTGGGTTGTCTTAGGTTGGGTCCTCTAGAAGCAGAGCCTGAGAAAGAGATTCATGTGCAGGTGGTTTATTAAGGGAGCCTGGGATAGAAGAAAAAGCTAAGCAAGAATGTGGTATCAGCTGTAATCTGGCTTCTGCCTGATCCCATGGGGAGCTCTGGAGCATGAAGAGCAAGCAGAACTGTCTCACCTTGAGGCAAAGGAGCTGACAGTCATATGCTGCAAACTGTCCTCAGAGGAAAGGGTAACATTTCCTGGGGGCATGGCTAGATGCTTTCAGCAGTTGATAAGTACTTGGAGAGGGAGCAGTGGTGAGCCTATTGCAGCACTAGGTAGATGAGTGTTCAGGCCTGATAAATGGATCTGTGTGGGGAATCTGAAGTGTCTGCTACATGAATGCGTCAGAAGGGAGGATGTTCTCCCATAAAACCAACTTCTCTAATGACAGTTTCCAGTTTTAGGAACATGCAATTTATCTTTATTTCACTGAATATCTCTAGTTAAGTATGGCATTCAGAATTGAACCAAATAATCTAGATCAAGTTTGATTATTAAACATTGTAGTGAAACTTAACCTCATTTGTTGAGTCTTAGTGAGAGAAGACAGCCCCAAGATCAGGTATAGGCACTGCTGGAAGGTATTGGCACAGGTATGGAGGGCACTGCTAAGGTACCTAGACCATAGTCCTGATAAAGAGTACAAAGAACTGTAAAGAAAGAGGCATGATATAATGGAAATTGATTTTTGTAAGTGACAAAATCTAAAAAGAATCATTCTTGAGAGTGGGGTAAGACCAACAGAGGTCCCAGGCAAATGGGAATAATTTAATGTCTAAAGGTGGTGATTCAAGGGATGGGGGAAGAACCCTTAACACTGTTAAGATTCTAAATAATCACTTCATTCAGAGTCAAGCCTATCTATTTCCTGGGAACAAAGAAGTAGATTCCAGGATTGCAAGAAAGGGCTTGAAAGAACTAAGTATTGCATCAGCACCTTAGACAAGGAGCCTGATGAAAAGGCCTCCTGGTAACACAAGGAACAGAAGGCTAAGTGGCAAATAAAGGTTTAAGCTTAATAATCCAAATTAGACCAACCAACACTGCAGAGTTGGAGAAATATGTAGTTGGAGGACTAACTGTGTACCAGGGTCAGAGAACAGCAATGAATTCCAGACAACCTGCATGTGAAATTCCTAATTAATTACATCGGAGAAAAACATGGGCAAGGCAGAGAGGTACCCATTGGAAATCAGTGGTTCTCAAACTGGAGCATGAATCAGAATAACCTGGAGAGTTTGTTAAACAAAGATTTGTAAGGGTCCCAGATATTCTGATTACATCTAAGATAGATCAACAGCAGAATACACATTCCTTTTAGGTGTACATTGGCCCATCAGCAGGAGAGACCATTTGTTAGGCTATAAAACAAGTCTCAGTAAATTCAAAAGAAGTGAAATCATATGAAGTATGTTTTCTGACCAAACTGGAATAAAATTAAAAGCCAATAAGAGAAAAAAATTTGAGAAGTTTACAAACATTTGGAAATTAGACAAAACAGTATTTAAAACAAATCAATTCTATAGGTCAAAAAAGAAATTACAGGAAAATTAGAAAATGATTTGAGGTGAATGAAAATGAAAGCACAACATACAAAATGTGTGGCATACAAATAACACAGTGCTCAGGAATGTATATACAGCTATAAGAACTTATATTTTTTGAAAAAAGAAATACCTCAAATTAGTCATATAAACTTCTACCTTAAGAAACTAGAAAGAAAGAGCAAACTATACCCAAAGCAGGTAAAAGGGAGAGAATAGTAAAGCTTAAGAAAATAAATGAAATTTAAAAAAAAATCAAAGTTGTGCGTTTTTTCTTTTTTTGAAAATAACAAAATTCATATACCTTTAGCTACACTGACAAGGAAGAAAAAGACTCAAGTTACTAAAATCAGAATGAAAGAGGGAATATCACTACAGACCTTACAAAAATAATGATTATAAGAGAATACTGTGGACAACTGTGTGTCAACAAACTAGGTAACAGATTAAATGGACAGTTTTCCAGACAGACACACACTACAAAAATTTACTAAAGAGAAAATAAATAATATATATCGATATACTTTACTTGTTGGTATACCTTGTAAAGAGTAAAGAAATTGTGTTAGTAATTTGGAATCTTCCTACAAAGAAAATCCAGGTCTGGATAACTTCATTGGTTAAGTCTATCAAACATTAAAGAATTAGCACCAATCCTTCACAAACTTCCCATAAAATAGAAGACAGAGAACAAACACTTTCTAATTTATCCAATAATGCCACTATTACAAAGATACCCAAACCAGACAAAGATAGCATAAGAAAACTACAGACCAATATCTCTTTTGAATAGAGACATAAAAATCTTCATAAACTTATAAGCCAACTGGATCCAGCAACAATAAAAAAGACTATATCATAAGAAATTAGATTTAACTCAGGAATACAAGTTTGGTTTAGTATTTCAAAATAAAACAATATAATACACAATATTAACAAAATAATGGGCAAAAACCACATGATCATCTCAAATACAGGAAGAAAAAAATTGACAATATCCAGTGCTCTCACATAATAATTTTTTTAAAAACTCAATTAACTAGGAATAGAAGAGAACTCTCTCAGTCTGATAAAGGGCATTGTATTAGTCCATTCTCACACTGCTATAAAGAAATATCTGAGATTGGGTAATTAATAAAGAAAAGAGGTTTAATTGACTCACAGTTCCAAATGACTGAGGAGGCCTCAGGAAACCTACAATCATGGCGGAAGAGGAAGCAAAGCACGACTTACATCACAGCAGGAGGTGGGGAAGAAATGCCACTTTTAAATCATCAGATGTCATGAGAACTCACTATCATGAAAACAGCATGGAGGAAACAGCTCCCATGATCCAATTGCCTCTCACCACCAGGTCCCTCCCTCAACACATGGGAATTACAATCAAGAGGACATTTGGGTAGGGACACAGAGCCAAATCATATCAGACACCTGTGAATAACCCGTGGCTAATATAATATTGAATAGTGAAAAATTGAATGCTTTCTTCCTAAGATGAGGAATAAGACAAGGATGCCTACTTTCACCACTTCTAGTCTATATTTTACTGGATATATAAGAAAGACAATTAGGCAAGAAAAGGAAATGAAAGATATCCTGATTGGAGAGGAAAGTAAAACTATCTCTATTTTTGTGTGTCATGATTTTGTATATGGAAAATCCTAAGAAACCCACCAAAAATTATTGTAACTAATGTATGAGTTTAGCAAGGATGTATGATACAATATTAATATAAAAATTACTTTTCTATGCAATACCAATGAACAATTTAGAAATGAAATCATGAAAATAAAGCAATTTTTAAAAAATATTAAAATACAAATAAATTTAACAACTAAAATACAAATACAACGAGTGCAAGACTTGTACATTACAAAATCTAAAACATTGTTGAAAACTATTAAAGATTTAAGTAAATTGAAGACACCCTAAGTTCAAGGATTGAAAGACAATATTGTTAATACAGCAATGCTCCCCAAATTGATCCAAAGCTTCAATGCAAACTCTATCAGAACACTAGTTGGCTTTTAAGAATAATTTGACAAGCTGGCCCTAAAATTCATACGGAAATGCAAAGTATCTGGAATAGGAGAAACAATCTTGAAAAAGAAGAAAAAGATTGGAAGACTCACACTTCATAATTCCAAGTCTTCCTACAAAGCTGCAGTAATAAAGACCAAGTAATACTAACATAATGATAGACATATAGATTAATAGAGTAAAATTAGTGGTCCAAAAATAAACTCTCAAATTTATGGTCAACTAATTTTCAACAACATTGTCCAGAAAATTTAATTCTTTTAATTAAATTGAGCTGGGGCACCATGCAAAATAATTATTTTAGACCCCGACCTCACATCATACTCAAAAATTAAAGTAGATCATAGAATTAAGTTTAAGAATTAAAATGTTAAAACTCTTAGAATAAAACAGAAGTAAATTTTTGTCACTCTGAATTAAGCAATGGTTTCTTAAATATGACACCAAAATCAGAAAATAAAAAAAAAGATGTATTAGACTTGATCAAAATTTAAAATATTCATCCTTAAACCACATCATCAAGACAACAAAGCAACAATCCAGTCTTGGAGAAAATATTTGACAATAATATATTTGAGAAGGAGACTACTTACAAAATACATTTAAAAACTCTTACATTTCATAATGAAAATACAAGTAATCCAACTTAAAAATGAACAAAGTATTTGAATAGGCATTTCTTCAAAGAAGATATCAAAACAGACAATAAGGACATGACAGATACTTAGCATCATTAACTGTTAGTGAAATAAATACAAATCAAAACTACCATGAGATACCAATGCATATTCACTAGAATGGTTATAATTAAAACAATGGCGGCCGAGCGAGGTGCTCACGCCTGTAATCCCAGCATTTTGGGAGGCCGAGGCGGGTGGATCACGAGGTCAGGAGATCGAGACCACGGTGAAACCCCGTCTCACTGTGTGCGGTGGTGGGCGCCTGTAGTCCCAGCTACTCGGGAGGCTGAGGCAGGAGAATGGCATGAACCCAGGAGGCAGAGCTTGCAGCGAGCCGAGATCGCGCCACTGCACTCCAGCCTGGGCGACAGAGCGAGACTCCGTCTCAAAAAAAAAAAAAAAAAAAAAAAAAAAAAAAATAATAATAATACACAGAAAAGCATGTATATGAACAATCATAGCAGCGTTATTTTAATATCTTGAAAATATTATCATAATTCAAAGAAGCCAGTCACAAAAGGCCACATATTATATGACTCCATTTATAGAAAATGCCCCAAATAGGCAAATCTATAGAGACAGAAGTTAGAATAGTGTTTCCTAGGGCTGTGCAGGGGGAAGAAGTGGAAAAGTGACTGCTAATGGGTACAGGGTTTTTTCCTGAGATGATGAGGACATTCTAAACTTAGATTGTAGTGATAATTGCTTAACACTGTGAATATACCAAAAACCATTGAGGTGCATGCTTTCCATCGGTAAATCTTCTGGTATGTGAATTATAGCTCAATGAAACCATTTTTAAAGTGACCCTTCTGATTTATTTGTACTTATTTAAAAGTAAGGTTTGGGTCATCAAGGTTGGGTATTTTGCGAAGGGGAAATGTGAAACTTGTGGGTAGATAAACTAGGTTTAAAACAGCATCTTACCTTAGCACATGCCAGTCTTCTGAAATGAAATAATTTATCAAAGAAATTGGGCTATCACTGTCCCCATATTCACAAAGCTAAATCATTTATCATCTTCCCTTGTAAACTTTGCCGTTGGGAACTAATTTTAATGCTCACATAAAAGGAGATTCATTCTGGAACTTCCAAGTGACTGGATTCTATAAAGCACGTTTGCTGTTTAACCCAGGAAGACTTGCCTCAGGGATTAGGAGACGGAACACTGCAAAACTGTTCCCAAAACTGCACCCTAAGTGTGGTTATTTCACACCCATGGCGGCGGGCTTAGAACGAGGTTTTATTTCTTCTCCTCCTTTCTCTGTGGCACCAATTGTGTTGGGGAGTAATGAGACAGGAGTGCCACACAAAGGATTTTCCTCTAGCCTCTAGGAGAAGCCGGTCTGCCCAGTCTTCCCAAGTGACCGAACCAACTGTGGGGCTGGCTGGGCCCTGGGTGGAGGGAAGAGAGAGGAGCTGATCGGGTTTCCCAGCTTTGAAGTAAAGAATGAGCCAGAATGAAGAAGCTCCTGATCAAAGGCTGCTGAGCGATAAGGAAGGCGACATGAACTCTCCAGGGAGAACCCAGGCACCTGAGGCCAGGTGGGGAGAGGGCAGCCAGCTTTCTGAACGGGCGCTTTGTTTCTGCTCCTTTTCACAACAGGAAACATTTGAAGCAATTGGAACCAGCAATTTATAAGTCAGATTGGCCTAATGTGACGGTTCTCAAACTTTGAGGTGCATCAGAGTTGCTTGGGGAAGTTTCTGGAAGTACAAGTGACTGGGCATCTCTCCCAAAGGTGCAAAAATTCCTTAGATCTGAGGTAGGAAATCTCAACTCTGCATTTTTATTAAGTTCTTAGGGAAATGTATTTTCTTTATCTGGTAGTAAAATTAGAATTTCAAACACACTTCAAAAACCCTCACAGAAGAGATGGTTCACTTATAGTAAATCTAAGCTACCAATTTTCCTAATACATGATATGACACTCAAGGAAGTTTCTCTGGGTACCCATATGCTTTTGTTAACATCTCAGGAATCGGGCTAGGTGCTGAGGGTGGAGATGAATAACACAGCCTTGTTTCCAAGAGCTCAGCATCTTGTTGAGGAGACAGACATGTAAACAAAATCAATGAAGTATTATAAGAAGAATGTATAAGGCCCTGTTCCAGCCCAGTAAGAGAATGAGTAAGTCTGCCTGGAGGGTGGGAGGAGAGACAGCTGAGGCTTTCCCAAAAATGCAAGGTTGGAAGCCTATGTCTTCAGTATTAAGGAGCAGCTTGCCATCCCAGGATGGGCAGGGGCCGGTGGCCTGGAAAGGAAGTGGGAATATTCCAGTCCGAGGGAAGTTCTGTGCAGAAACTGAACAGACCTGAGAACCCTGGGAGGTTTGGTATGAGCATGCAGAGGAAGTTGGTGATGGGGTGGGGATAATGTAGAAATTGGTCTCAATATGAAAGTACCTGTGACCTCATTGAAGGAAGCTTTTGGCCTTTGCTTATATGGGACAAGCACTTAATGCAGGAGTTTGTCCTATATCTGGGAACCACAGAAGCTGCAATCCTGGGTATAAAATTGTTACTCGAGTCCAGTACACTCGAATTGGGCAAATATAAGGGATGTGTTCCCAGAATTATAAAAACTCAGTATTTATTTCCCATTATATTTTGCAACCACCAACTGACTACTAATAAGAATTACTATTTTCAAGGTACTTTACCATTAAAGAGAAAAATTTACAGCCATTTTCACCTATGCTTTTCATGGCCTTATAGTAACCATGTTAAAGTAGGTGTTATTGGCTGAGCTTTCTAGAAAAAGACATTTCTTAGAGAGGCAAAACAACTATTCAACATCACACAGCTTATGAAGTAGCAGACCTAAGACTCAAACACACACCTTTTTATTATAAATCTCATGATTTTATACTACGATATATCAATTTACTGAGCAAAAGTATAACTCTAAACAAACAGACACAATTAGAGACCAGCAACTATACCACAAAGCTCTGTCACAATCTCGAAGAGACATTCAAGAGGGAAATTTTACAATTTCTGTATTTGTCAAAATAGGCTTAACTAGGCTGCGGTTACAGAAAAATAGGCAAAACAAAAACAAAAACAAAAAAACAAAAAAACACCACAACGATAAAGAATGAGTGTCTAGGACTTACTACAGTAGGAGAATACTTTTTGCTCACTTCACAGTGTGACGCAGTTTGGACAGCACTCCTGGGCGTCTCTCCTGCCCATGGCAACTCAAGGCCCAGGCTATTTCCACCTTGGGGCCACACCTTCTATGGCTGCAAAGTTGCCCTGACTGCATCTAGCCAGCAAATGTGACTGTGTAAAAACATCTCGATGTGGCTCTTGGCCTAGCCACATGCCTTGCTTTGGACAATGAGATATTAACAACTGTGGAGCCAACAAAGGCTTGAAAAAGCCCTGCATACCTGGCCTTGCTTCTCCTTGTACCCTAGCCACCTAGACCAATGTTCTGCCAAATGAAAAATATTCTCCTTAACACCAGAACGTCGTGTGCTGTGAGGAGAATAAATGTGGCCATTAGTGATTGACTTCAGTTCTCTTTATTGTATGTGTTCATAAATGTGTGGACAAAATGTTTTGCGATCTTGACGGCTTTTGTACAAACATCAGTTGTTTCTTATATTATAATTATCATCCTAATCGTTATAATGTCTAGGCCAACTGTACTACTGAATTAATATTCTAAGACTCAGGAATAGCTGATGCAATCAAATGAAGATGGGTGAAAAATAAAAATGGCACACATTTCCTAAAAACCATGTGTTATTAACTGAACTAAATTAATTATGCCCTACTTTAGGTTATTTGGGTAGATGGTGGCAGCCACTAAAAAGAGTTCGAGGTAAGTGAGTGTTAGTTACTCTCCCACAACTTCACTGCCAGGCTATATAATAAAATCAGGCCTTAAACCAAATTTCATCACACATGTGGACATTAATTTATAAAAGCAGTTCATAAAACTTGTCTATAAATTTGATGACATTCCAGCTCTCTGTTCTTGTAGGTGCCCCAACCACTACTTGCATGTTAGTTCATTTCAGGGAGACATAACATTCCAGAGATCTTTTCTTCTGGAATTGGGCTCAGGTATCCTCTAAAACTAATGGCTGGATACAGCATCACTTAGCAACTGAGCCCTCTATTTATACTCAATGAATTCAAATTCTCTGTTTATGTATGATTGGGAATGTATCTAATATATCTATAGTCTTCAATTTTGCCCATTTCTGGTACTCACCTTGCTTGTCAACAAGCCACTTGCTTTCACCAATATTTCTCACATTCAGTTTACTGACTAGAAAAGCCACGATCAAGATAGAGGTAAGAGATGAGCTTGTGGCAGCTGCCCCTGCAGTCTGGCACTCTGTGATTAGTGCCAACCCAGCACCCCTGGGATCTGCATTTTTGATTAGGATAATTGACTATCACTAGAGATAAAACTGAAACTAACTGACAAGCACATAATATCACACTGAAAATGCTGATGCACTTTGACACATCTCATGGGTATGGTAATGCCATGTCACTTGGGAATTAGATCTTCATTCGTACTGTCTCCAAACATCATTCAGAGCTCTCCTTGGAGCTCTTTATCATACCACTAACTATTTTCATGGTGACATGTTCGATAATGTGGCATAGAAATACATATTCCATGCTTGATGCAACCTCAAAATTCAAATTTTAAAAAGCCATTTCAGTTTTAGACATACCTCTGTAAGGTGTGGATGTTAGGCTAGATTTCTATGCAAAGAAAGGTAACAAGAATTGGGGGTACATTAATTTCCAGATATCTTGATAACCTGGCAGAGGTCCTAGCTGCAGAGTTAACTTCTTCCCTGGCAAGAAGGAAGGTATTTTATGAGACTGATTGGGTTGGATCTTGCTGTAGCTCATTGCCTGGGAGGAAACAGAAAGCTTTGTGTCTCTCAGGTATACACCCTTCAACAGTCAAACTCCTTTTCTGACCCATGGAGATGTGGTAACTTGCAGCAGCTCTAAACCAGGATTATGACTCCCACGCTGACATTAGCAATTGATTGAAATGCGGTTTCAGGCTAGGGCAGGAGGAAATAGCACAGAACAATACAGCCAAGTTCATTGTGCTAACTGCACTGCAGCTCCCTGAGAAGCAGGTGTGAGCTGAATAGAAAGGATATTATTGGCTCAAGCTTCCTCTGGGTGGTGTAGAAAGGAGAGCATGTGGTATATCTATCAACCTCACCTGACTCATAACTGATTTCCCCCATTTTTTTCTCAAATTCAGTCCTCTTCCCTCTCCTTTCTCTCTCTGTCTCTCTCTGTCTCTCCCTCTCTCTCTCGTTTTACCTGTCTGATTGGCAGTTGTTCAGATTTCCATAGAAAAACATTGGGGAAATAGTGCTCCAGAATCCAAACAAATGTAGCTCCCATCTCAAAACACAAAGCGGGAAGAATTGACTCATAGGCAGTGCCGAAGTTGGGAAGTAGAAGGAGAAAGGAAAGAATGAAAAACTTTTGTGGGCTTGTTCTCTGCCAACCCAAATGTAGACGCTTTATATTTGTTAATACATGTGTCTCACAAAATCCCTGGTGGTTAGGGATCAGTATCACAATTCAATAGGTGAAAAAAAAACTGAAGATCAAGGTATTTAAGTAACTTACCTATAGTGCCCAGGTGGTAAATGATGGAAATGGGATTCAAGACCAAGTTCCTTCATTCAAGCAAGCGGCTCCATCATCCTCTTCCTTTTCATCACCTGCTCTTGTGACAGCAACTGTGCTTGATTTGCTTTATTCATTCAGCTAATATTTATTAGGCAAAAGTTATACGACAGACACTGCATGGTAGGGACTGAAGAGTTGCTGGTGCATTTTCTATTAAACACTCATTTCCTTTCGTTTTGCTTTGGAGAGCCTCTTTTCCTGAAACCCTGGTTCATGTGGATTGAGTGGGCCTAATTCTTTTTTTTTTTTAAGATGGAGTCTCACTCTATCGCCCAGGCTGGAGTGCAGTGGCGCCATCTCAGCTGAGTGGGCCTAATTCTGTCCTGTGGATCTGGAGGCAGTCAACATTCCTGGCCACATAAATTGGTTCAGTGATATGGATGTGAACCAATCCATATCATTGAGTATTAGGCAAGGAACTTTTTCTTTTTCTCTGAAACTATTAGAAAAGAAAAGCATTTTTTGTTAGGATAGCTAAGGTGATGGAACTTAAACCTAGACTGCTGCTAGCCATCTTTCTGAAACATGGCAAGGGATTTCTTGAGAATGAAGTGCAGATGGGAAAAGTGCAGAGCCAAGAGATGAGGAGAAAGCACCATTTGGGTGCCTTAATCCTGACTAACCTGAACCTGGGACTTGAATCCCTGAGGCTTTTCAGTTATAAGAGTTCTTTTTTTTTTTTTTTTCTAGCTTAAGTTGGTTTCATGCCTTATTTCAAGAGAAGGGTGATGTCTGGCCATTATGCAAGGGTAATCAACACAGACTGGATATCTGATTTCACAAAGACTATAGTCTAGTAGGGAGATGGGCAGTAATAAACTACTCACCAAAATGACTAGTATTACAATTTATAGGTGCCCTGAGGAAAGGGACATTTTCTCTTTATCTTTAAAAGTATATCACAAAACTTTTCCTGGGAGGTGAATCAGGGAATTCTTTCCTATAAAAATTACCAGATATATGATAGATAAAAAGGATTTAAGTAGATGGAATTTGGATAAAATGTGGTTCAGATAGAGGGAACGGATACGCAAAAGGGATAATTGTGTATCTAATAAAATGAATTAATTTCAAGGTACTTGGTAGAAAAATAGTATAAGAGAGGGCTGAAAAGAGCCAAGTCCTATATGACCCCATAGACTGTAGAAAAAAAATTAAAGCCCTACCTTAAGAGAAACAAGAAGCCGTGGCAAGTTTTTCATCATGCTAACATAATCAGACTTGATTTTTGAAATGTAACCTACAGTGAGGATAGAGCAAAGGTAGCTACGGTGGATGTCAGAAAACCAGTTAGAAAACTACTGCAGTGGACTAGGTAACAGGGGATAGTATCTTGAATTGGGAAGGGATGTCAGAAGCTCTCCACTTCAGGAGAGCTAAAGTGGTTTGGGAGATATTTTAAAGGTGAATTTGGTGGGAGAGGAAGCAGAGAGAAGGGGAAGTAAGGGATGATTCTTAGTTATCCAGCTGTGCAACTAGATAGAAGATGTCCTCCTTTAATGATATAGAGATCAACAGTAGAACAAGGCCTAAGCCATTGGTTAAAGGAATAAATTCAAGCTCAATCCTGTTGAGCTAGAAGTGCCTTTGAGATATGTAAGTGGAAATGTTGAATAGGCACGTAAAATTAAGTGTCTGTGTTTGGAGCTTAGACAATAAGGTTTTAGATAGAGAAAAAAAATATATGGGAGGAACTGATGTCATGGATTGAGGCTAATTGAAGCTGTGGGTGTAAATGAAGTAGCTCAGGAAAAAAATATGGACTAAGGATTGCTGTGAGTCTAGAGATGAGCTGTGTGATACTCTAATATTTATCTGGTATTAAAAATAATTTTCATGAAGACATAAAATCATAACTTTTATAAACATGTAAATGAACACAAGTTAAAGACTTTAGTGACTTATTATTAATAATGGAACAAGGTAGATCTTACAACATGATTTAATCTTCATATTGATCTACAGATTCAACACAATTCCTATTGAAATCTCAACTGGCTTTTTCTTTTTTTATTTTTATTTTTTTTAGAAATTGACAAACTGACCCTAAAATTCATATGGAAATGTAGAGGACTCCAAATACACAAAACAACCTTCCAAAACACGAAAGAAATTTGAAAGACATACATTTTCCAATTTCAAAGCTTACTACAAAGCTATAGTAACTAAGACTCTATGGTATTGACATGAGGATAGACATATGAATCAATAGAACAGAATTGACAGACCAGAAATAAACTAACATTTATAGTCAATCGATTATCAACAAAGTGAGCAAGCAATTTGTTGGAGAAATAAGAGCCTTTTCAACAAATTATGCTGGTACAACTGGATATCTACATGCAAAATAATGAATTTGGGTGCCTATCTTACACTATATGCACAAATAACTCAAAGTGAATCACAGACCTAACTATAAGAGCTAAAACTATAAAACTATGAGAATAACACATAGGTGTAAATTGTGAAGTTAGATCAGACAGTGCTTTCTTATATATGACACCAAAGTGTCAATAGAAAAAATAGGTAAACTAGACTTCATCAAAATTAAAAACGTTTGTGTTTCAAACTACGCAATTAATAAAGTGAAAGATAGTATCTAGTCTTGGAGAACATACTGACCAATCACGTATCTGATTAAGAACTTGTACCTAGAATATATAAATAACTCTTAAAACTAAATAACAAAAAGCCAAATAATTCAATTACAAAATGGGCAAAGGATTCAAATAGATAGTTCTCTGAAGAAGATATGCAAACAGACATTAAGCATATAAAAGGATGCTCAATATCATTAGTCATTAGTGAAATGCAAAACAAAACCACAGAAGGTATTACTTCATACCCCTCAGGTTGTCTATAATAAAAAAGACAGACAATAGCAAGTGTTGGCATGGACATGGGAAATTGGCATTACCATACATTTCTGTGGGAATGTAAAATGGTGCAATTGTACATACTGCATTTTGGCAGTTTTTTAAAATGTCAAATATACAGTTACCGTATGGGCTAGCAATTCCTAAATATATACCCAAGAAAAATAAGAACATATGTCATACAAACTCTTGTACACTCATGTTCATAGCAGCATTATTCATAATAGCAAAAAGTAAAAACAATACAAATGTCTACTAGTTGATAATAAATAAAATGTGGTTTTATATATACAATGAAATATAATTTAGCCATTAAAAAGTAGTGAACTATTTATACATGCTACAAAATGGATTAATCTAAAAAATATTATACTATAAAGGAAGCCAGTCAGAAAAAAAACATATATAGTATGTATCCATTTATATGAATTGTCTACAATAGGCGAATCTATAGAAACAGAAATTAGACTAGTGTTTGTCAAGGCCCTGGGGTGAGATTTGGGGCAGGTGTTTGGTGAGCCATTGCTAATGGCTACAAAGTTTTTTTTTGTGTTGGAAATTTAAAAATCAAACAAACAAAAACCTCGTACCATCTAAAATGTTGGAAATATTCTAAAAATGATTTTGTTGATGATTGCACAACTCTATAAATATATAAAAATATTGAATTGTACACTTGAAAAATGGGTGAATTTTATGGTATATAAATTTTGTTTCAGTAAAGCTGTAAAAAATGAGTACAAATCAAAATAATAGACTATTGGTCAAGTATACTGAATACACAGAAATGAAATTGCAATTTGCTCAAATCTGGCTTTTTCACAGGAAAGGGGTTGTTCATCCACATATAAAATTTATTTGCATGTGTACAGACAAGAATTAATTGCATTGCCTTTAGTGCTGTACAGCATACAGAGTTATAAAATTGCTCTGCACAGGATTATGAAATAGCTTAAAGCAATGAAAGGTCCAGAGCCCCTCATAGAATCAGAATCAGATAATTCAGGAGAAAATTTTTTTTAGGTTTTTTTTTTCATTTGTATTGTGCTAAAATACCTATAATGTAAAATTTACTATCTTAACCATTTTTAAGTGTAAAGTTCAGTAATATTAAATATAGTCATATTATTAGGCAAACATCACCACCATCCATCTCCAGAATTCTGTTCATCTTACAAAACTCAAACTCCATACCCGTCAACTCCCCATTCTCTTGTTCTTGCAGCCTTTGGCAATCACCATTCTACTTTCTGTCTCTATGATTTTGACCTCTCTAAGTACCTCATACAAGTAGAATAATAAAATATTTGTCTTTTTGTGACTGGCTTATTTCACTTAGCACAATATTCTCAAGGTTGTAGTATACTTCAGAATTTCTCGCCTTTTTATCGCTGAATAATAGTCTATTTTATGTGGATACTGCATTTTGCTTATCCATTCATCCATTGATAGACACTTGGGTTGCTTCCATTACTCAATGCCTTTCCACAAGGTTCTATTGGCTAAAGCAAGTCTCGCGAGCTGGCTAAAGCAAGGCCAGCTCATATTTAAAGGGGATGAAGAAATAGACTTTACCTGTCAATGAGAGGAGCTGCAAAGTCATGTTACAAGTTGTGTGGTTATATTGAGTGGAACAATTAGGGTCATTTTTGCAAATAATTATCATAATATCCTGTTTTTCTTCTTAAACTGTACCTAGATTTGCAATTGCATATTGATTAATGTGTTCTGGTTATTGTTGTTAATGCTAATCCCTCCCACCAGATGAAAGCCACAAAAGCGCCAAGACTGTGCTGGTTTTTATTTAAGTTGGATGTTTGTTCCTAGCCTATTTTTTTGGTGCATAAGACGCACTAAGTGAATGGTTAATTAATTACCCCCTGGCTAATTCCCCGGATTGATGCAAGCACTGGAAATAATGTTGGCAAGGTGACCGAGACAGATCTTGCAATTGACTATCTAGTATCCACTGAGAAAAGGTATGGCTGATGACAGCTCAAATATATTGTTATATATGTACCACCAGTTGCCGGTTAGGTCAGCACAACTGGAGATAATTCATAGACATACAAAATCACTTTAGAACATCTGAAAATCCTTTGGGAAAGAGGCTGAGGGCATGACGGTCCTGCTTGTGTTGACAACATTGATAAGTAGTTAAAAAGATTATTAAAAATATACATGCATGGACTACCCACTCTAAGATTTTGAGTTAACAGGTCTGGAGTGGGGCCCTGGTATCCACATTAAAGGCAGTTAAATGTTCCAGTTGCCTTTTCCCTCATGCTCCGAGGAATAGTTCAGTGCAGTCCTTTATGGGTACCAGCACCAATGGGTCATAGTTCTGAGTATCAGCTCTACAGGGCCACTTGTTTGCATTTCTGAGGAATCAGGAATAGTTAGAAAGCACCACCATCTCAAGGGCCTGGGTTGCAGCTTTGCAGGACTTTCCTGCAAAAAGTAGGACAGATAGCCGTCCCTGTATTTACTCTGTCTGTTGCATTAATGTTTCTGTTTTGCCTTTTCGTACTCACCCAATTTCCTACGTTAAGTACATTCTGTTAAAATAGCTGGTATGGTTTTGGTTTTCCTGACCAAGCCTTGACTAATATACACATTAAACTTCAAATGCATTCATTTTCTTCCCTTGGAGTCACCTGGCATAGTTTCCTGTACATGGTTCTCCCATTGAGGAAGGTGCTACATAGAATAAACCCTTGCCAGCATCACACCCTCACCCACACTGATTGTTTGGAAAACCCCACCCAGATGATGTTGCTACACACCCTGGGGCCCAAAATATCCCTACCGACTTGTGGAACATGTTGTACACATATGACAATTCCAACAACAGACATCTGTTTTGAGATATTAGAGGTTAATCTATTTGGCCTACACAGATGGAGCCACATGAATGAAGGAGAGAAAAGCAATTTAGTCTCACTTGTTAGCAGTGACTTGGCTGGGGAGTGAAGGGCCATCTAGGTCCCACCCTGTTGATTTCCGGAACAAAAGTAATTACATTGGCCAAAGCCAGGAAAATCTCACCCTCTATTTATAGCGTGTTTGATTCCCCAGAGACAGATGGAAGAACCTGAGTCTAAGCATGTACCTGATTCTATGATCTTCTTTTAAGATACTACAGTACTCTAATGGGCAAAAGTAGTACACGGTTACTCCCTGTACCAACAGATATTTCTTTGGGAGCTAAAGTTTAGTGAAGATATTGGGTCAAAAAACAGAACAGAAGTGGACAACTGAGATTTGTTTTCCAATTTTTACATCCTTTTTTTTTTTCACATAAACATGAACTTTGTTTTAGCATCCTGATGCCTCAGTTCACCTACTTACAAAACATCTCTCAACCACATACATTAACGTATAGAACTGTTGAAAATCTAAGCAGGCCCAATATGAAACATAATTATTTAAGAAAAATGAGTTTACTAAAGTCTCCATTTGCCCCAAATCTATCAAATCCATTTGTATTATAGGATCTAGCTCAAATCCTATTTCCTCCAGGAAACCTTGCCAAATCCACAGCTAGAAGTAATATGTTCTCCTCTTCAATCCCCATGCATGTTGCTTTGGCCATGAAATGGGCAGAAGTGATAAGTGTAATTTCCTAGCAAAGGCTTGGGAACCAGCATATGCCTTTTCATAATTTCTTTTTTCTTTTTTCTTCTGCAATGGAACTAGTAATAGATGTATCTCAATCAGTCTGCACCTGTGAATAAAAACATCTAAACCAAACGCACAGCCCTGGATGAGGTAGCATGGGCTACAAATAGAAAACCTTCACTGATGTAAGACATTGAAATTTGGGGCTAGTCTGACTGATACAAGCCATGTGGTATGTTATATGTGATAGTACTGAATTAAAAAAAAAGCTTCCACCATTTACATGACTGGAGACATTGACACCAAGATATTTAACTTTCCTGGACCTCAGCTATTCCATCTGCCAAATGGGAATAAAATCTTCTTGCCCGAAGGTAGAATGCTGGCTCTCTTGAAATTTATTTCTTCTCTGATATATGAAGCTGAATTCCTTACTGTTTCAAGGTTCCTCCTAAGGAAAAAAAAATTACTTCTATTAGCAAAGATGTCCATTCTTCAGCAAAGCAAATGTCTAAGAAGTCATAGTTGTGAAGACTTGTCTGCAGAAACAGGGAAACTTTCCAAAACATCAACTGCCACATCCATCCATCAGAAAACAAACAAACAAAACAACAGAATTAATGAGACACACAGAACTGAGCTATAGTCCTATCGAAAAACTAAATTATGCAACAGCTGCAGTAACCCCAGATATTGTTTTTGTCTTCTCATTTTTTTAGATATGTACAATTGGCGGGAAGGTATTCATGTTTGGCATTTCTTTTTCTCATACTTTGGCCAAAGATGACAATTACCTGGAAAGAAGGGTAGCTATGCTCACCAGTAGGCATTTGTGCATGCTTCTAGCTGACCAATGCCAGAATAAATTTTTATAGGCACACTGAGAGTATTACATTCCAGGGGGTGTTTTCATAGAGCTCTTCTCAAAAAGTTGGCCTCTAGTTCCTCCCAGTACCTCATAAGTTGCCACACAAGGTAGATCAGCCTGACTGCCAATTTGAGCAACTGGCAATGCTTTGGTGGAAAACACCAAGCTAGTCTCTTCCCAGAGTAACATTTGATGGGGATTGGGTCAAATGGGCTATACTTTAGCTATATTAAATTTATTTTAGGTAAGCCTTCTCTCATTATAGAGTCTCAAAGGGGTTTGTTTTTTAATGCAATTTTCTTGCAAAATTAGGGCATTTGCCAAAATTATCATGGTGGAAATTTGGGGTTTCAGTTTTGAATTGACAAAATGGCTTTATATTCAGGAGGAATCCCACTACTATGAATGTCAAAGGTACCTGGATATTTTTTTCATCACCTCATGTCTGCTGGAGACTATGCTTAACACTGAAATATGATCAATCAGAGACTGACTCCTACTTGGGACTGTGAATTCTAAGGATGTGATGAAATGGCACAGGGTCAGTAAGTCATTGTGATAGCCATTGTAGAGTTGATAGTTCAGTGATATTGAACTGTGTTCTGGGAATGGTTACTTAGCAGCACAGGGACAAATATATAGTGCAGCAGTGCAGGAGAACTGCCCAGAGATAATGGTACAAACACCATGATGGTACAAGTGGCCCTTCCTGGACCACTTGTCATGACCAGGTCTTGGCTAAGCCCTTGCTCCTCTTGATACCTCTTCAAGTCTCCTTTCCAGGGTTACTGAATGTTTTTGAGAATACATTGTTACCCTTACTTTCTACTTAAGTTAAAATAAGATCTTTTTTTTTTTTTGCCACCAAGTGCTTTGACTAATGTTTCATTTCTAATATTCTCAAGTTTCATTTTGAGAATTTTAATTTTAGAATTTCTCATGCATTGTTCTCCACGCTTTGCTCTTTTCTTAAAAGTCTCTTACTCATCTCTTGAAGTTTTATCAAAACCTCATTTAACACTGGGACAGTAGGATCGTGTTTACATTTTATTTGGTATGCTAAATATGTAAATTTAATTCTGTTCAATGAATCTATTTAAAAAGTCTATGTATACCTTTTGAAATCTCTCATGGTACTTGAGTTTTAAAATATTAATAGTATTTTAAGAAAATCATTCTAAAATATTTGGACGCCCATTTATATGCAAAAAAAAAAATTTTTAATGGATCCTTCCCTAAATTTATAACCTAAAACAATAAAAATTCTAGAAGAAAACATAGAAAAATAGAAAATTATGTGACTTTGGGATAAGCAAAGATTTCTTATATGTTACACAAATGTACAATCCAGAAAATAATAAATTAGACTTAATCCAAATTAAAAACCTTTACTCTTCAAAAGACATTTTTAAAGAAATGAAAAACCAGGCCACAGACCAGGAGAACATATCTGCATAGTACATATCTGATAAAGTACTTATAGTCAGAATACAGAACTGTCAAAATTAAACAATAAAAAGTAAATAAAACAAAGAAATACACAATCCAATTCTTTTTAAAAGGGGCAAAAAAATCTGAATACACACTCAATGAACAAGATATACGGATGACCCAGTTACAAAAAGTGCTCAGTATCATTAGCCATTAGGAATACAAATTAAAGCCACAAAGAACTAACAATACACATCTGTTAGAATAGCTAAAGTTGTCATCAACATTATCATCATCACCATCACCATTATTATTATAAAACTGACAATGCCAAATGTTGGCAGGGATCCAGAAACACCAAGATTCACATACATACATTCCCATGCATATGAACACTGCTGGTGGGAATACGAAATGGTACAGCCCCTCTGGAAAGTAGTTTGACAGTTTCCTACAAAGTTAACCATATACTTTTTATATAATCAATCTGTCTTTTAGGTACTTACCCAAGAGAAATAAAAATCTATGTTCACAAAAATACCTATTTACACATGTTTATAGTGACTTTACTAATAATCTTCAAAAACTGGAAACAGCACAAAAGTCTTTCAACTGGTGAACGTTTAACCAAACTGTGTTATAATGTTTAACTAAATTGTGTTGTATCCCTACAATGGAATGCTACTCGATGATAAAAAAGGAATTATTAACATATGCAACAACACAGAGAATCACAGATGCAGTATGCTAAGTGAGCAAAGCCAGGACCAAAGGGCTACTTACTGCATAAGTCCATTTATATAACATTCTGGAAAAAGGAAAACTATAGAAACAGAAACTATCAGTGGTTACCAGGAGCTGGGTATGTGTATGGGGTGTTTTGTTTTGACCTCAGATACTTACCATTTATTTGTGGTAAGGACACAAAAAATCTACTATTTTATCAGGTTTCAACTACACAATACATTGTTATTAACTAAAATCATCATGTTGTGTGGGGTGTTTGGCTACAAAGAGGCACAAGGGAATATCTAGAGATGATGAACTGCTCTACATCATAGAACTATCCCATTAAACAGACTAAATTTTACTCTATGTAAATTATATCTCAAATCATGACTTTTAAAATGTTAACAGAAAATTATTTGTTCTCAAATTAAGTACTAGAGAATGTATTCATTTAACAAACATTTATTGAGTGCCTACTATGTGCCAGATCTGGCTCTAAGTGCTTAAAAACAGTGAACAAAATACACAAAAGAAACTCTGTCCTTGTGGAGCTTGCATTCCATCAGGAGAAGCAGTGAATAATAAGTGTGATAAATAAGTGAAGAACAGAAAACAATGCTTCCACAGACATTACTGTATATGAGAAACTAGAAGGTGTGTGAAAATACAGAACCCTGTGCCCCACTCTGGTGATGCTGATTCAGCAGGTCTAGGGTGGAGCCCCAAAGTTTGCATTTCTAACAAGCTCTCAGGTGATGCTGATGCTACTGGTGAGGGAACTACACATTGGGTAGTTCTGACATATGATGTCAGAATGTGGTGCCATAAATGTAAGAAAAACAATGACTAAAGGAATATTAGGAAGGAAATCTGGGAAGATGTAGATCTCAACTTTAAATAGTGGGCTTCATGGAGCAGTTGGCTTTTGGGCAGAAACATGGAGAAGAGGAGGAAGTTGGCTGTGTAGATATCTGGAGAAGACACTGCTAGCTAAATAAACAGCCAATGCCTGTGAATTATGTCAGGGGACATGTTTACTTTTTTTTCAAGGACAGAAAGAGGCCAGTGTGACAGGAATAGAAAGGGTGAGAAGGAGATGAATAAGAGATGTGTTCAGAGGAATAATTGTAGGAGGAGAGTAGGCAGAAGAAGTTAAGGCCTTTCATTTTTGCTCCAACTAAAACATGAATCCACTGAAAGGTTTTGAACAGACAGTGACATCATTTGACTGATAGCCTACAAGAACCACTTAGGCCATTTTGATGAGAGTAGATAAAAATGGAAGCAATTCACTCACCTAAAAGGTTGTCTTAGAAACCTAGATGAGAGAATACTTTTGCATAAACCTCGTGGCCAATTGTGCATCTTCTTTGAAGAAATATCTGTTCAAGTCCTTCGTTCATTTTGGTTATTTGTGTCTTTTTCAAATTAGTGTTAGTAGTTCCTTATGTATTTTGGATATTAAGCTCTTCTCACATATATGGTTTGCAGTTCTTTTCGCAGTTCTTTTCCATAGCTGCTTTTTCACTCTGTTGATTGTTTCCTTTGTTGTGCAGAAGCTTTTTAGTTTACTGTTGTCCCACTTGTCTATTTTTGCTTTTGTTGCCTGTGCTTTTGATGCCATATCAAAGAAATCATTGCCAAGACCAATACTAAGAAGATTTTCCCCTACATTTTTTTTCTAGGAGTTTTAAAATTACAGGTCTTACATTTGAGTCTTTAATCCATTTTTAGCTGATTTTCTGTAAAGTATATGGGTCTAAGTTTTATTCTTTTGCTTGTGAATATCCAGTTTTCTCAGCACAATTTTCTAAAGAGACTATCTTTTCCTCATTGTGTATGTTTGGCACTCTTGTTGAAGATCAGTTGACCATATTAATGTGGGTTTATTTCTGGGCTTTCTATTCATTTAATTGGTCTGTATGTCTGTCTTTATGTCAGTACTGTACTGTTTTAATTACTGTAGCTTTGTAATATATTTTGAAATTAGAAAGTGTGAGGCCTCCAGCTTTATTTTTCTTGCCCAAGATTAGTTTGGCTGTTCAGAGTCTTTTTTTTATTCTCACTGTTTGGGATGGGTTGTTTTCTTTTTTTTTCTTTTTTTTTTCATAAGTTTTTGGGGGGAACAGGTGGTGTTTGGTTACATGAGTAAAGTAAGTTCTTTAGTGCAGATTTGTGAGATTTTGGTGGACCCGTCACCAAAATCTTACAGTGTATAGTATACACTGTATGCAGTTTGTAGTCTTTTATCCCTCACCCTCCTCCCACCCTTTCCCCAAGTCCCCAAGGTCCATTGTATCATTCTTATGCCTTTGCATACTCACAGTTTAGCTCTCATTTATGACTGAGAACATATGATGTTTGATTTTCCATTTCTTAGTCACTTCACTTAGAATAATGGTCTTGAATTCCATCTATTTGCTGCAAATGCCATTATTTTGCTCCTTGTTATGGCTGAACAGTATTCCATGGTGTGTGTATATATATATGTGTGTGTATATATATATCTCTCTCTCTCACAATTTCTTTATCCACTCATTGATTGATGGGCATCTGGGTGGGTTCCACATTTTTGCAATTGTGAATTGTGCTGCAATAAACATCATTAATCACCAGGGAAATGCAAATCGAAACTAAAATGAGATAGCACCTCACATATGCTAGTGTGGTTATTATTTAAAAAAAGATAATGAGTGTTGGCAAGGATGTAGAGAAATCAGAACTCTTGTATACTGTTGATAGGAATGTAAATCAGTACAGCATTGTAGAATTCAGTAGGGAGGTTCTTCAAAAAGTTAAAAATAGAACTATCATATGATCTATCAATTCCACTTCTGGGTATTTATCCAAAGTAATTGAAATCAGGATCTTGAAGAGATATCTGCACTCCCATGTTCATTGCAGCATTATTCATAAAATCCAAGATATAAATGTCTATAAATAGATGAATGGAAAGAAATACACACACACACACACACACACACACACACACACACACACACACGAATGTTATTCAGCCTTAAAAAAAAAAAGGGAAATACTGCCATATGCAACAGCATGAATGGACCTGGAAGATATTATGCTAAGTAAAATAAGCCTGTCAAAGAAGGACAAATACTGCAGGATCCCACTCAGATGAGCTACCTAAAATAGTCAAACTCATAGAAACAGAATAGAATAGTGGTTGCCTGGGGCTGGGGGGAAGGGAGAAATAGGGAGTTGTTCAATGGTTATAAAGCTTCAGTAATGCACGATGAATAAGTGTTAGAGATCTACTGAACCACATATTGCCTATAGTTAATAATACTGTATGGTACACTCAAAAATTTAAGAGAGTAGATCTCAAGTGCCCTCCTCTCCCACCCAGCCCCTGGCACACACACATGGAAGCAGGGGGAAGCTACTGGAGGTGATGAATATGCTTATTACTTTTATTGTAGTGATGCTTTCATGAGTGGATGCATATGTTCAAACTCATCAAATTGTATACATTAAATGTGTGCAGCATAGTATATATTAATTACACCTCAATAAAACTATTTCTTTAAAAAAGAACCCTAGATGAGAGAATATTGAGACTTGGACCAGAGTGGTACAAGTGGCAGTGGTTAGATTTTAAGTCTACTTTTAAGATAAAATCCATAGGGTTCCTTGATTGATTAAATACCAGTTATAAAAAAGAGAGGGTCAAGTGTGACTTGAAGGTCATGGACATGAGCAACATCCCTAGATATGATGGACATGAGCAACATCCCTAGATATGAAGACTGGTAGATTTGACTTACAATCTACCAGTCTCAGGTTTCCAAACATTAAGCTTGCTAAAAGACTTTGGCTGGCAAATATCTTCCTTTCTTAACTCTGCAATAGTGGACAAAAGTTACATTTTTCCCAATAATAAGTGAGAAAAATATCAGAATAAGAAGCTGTGTAAAGTAAGATATATCTTACATGATGGACTTGGCCATAATAATCAAGGTATTCTTTATTGTTTTTATCACTCTCCTTATCATCTTGATCATCATCATCATTGTATTTTAGATTTTAAAGGAATCTGGATATTAAGAATCCGATGCACTGATTTTCAGGTGAGAACAGCCAATCTGATGCTCATTTCAGCTTGCAATACTATTTTTAGTAAACTCCATTTCGTAGAAAGATTTTTCTCTTTTTAAGAAGATTAACTGGTATTTTATCATTTAAAAGCTGAAAATTACTTCTAAACATCTTTGCTGACAATTTTAAGGAAATAATACTATGTGACTAGTGAAGACCTAACTTTTTGGACATTACACTTTTATGTCTCATTATCTCTATTTATTCAATGAGAGGCAAAGACAATTTTTTTATTAAAATATATATAAGGCACTACTAGAAACACAAGATGATTAAGATAATTTCCACTCACAAGGAGTTTATAATCTAAATTTAAGAAAGATATACAACATATTTTTTAATATTTCAATTTCATAATGTTTTCACATTTGGAAGCCTATTGCATCATATATTTTAATGCAACATCAATAAGATTTAGAGAAGATATTTTTAAGAATAATGAGCTTGCTGTAAGAGGAATATATACTTAGAATTAACAAATGTGCCTTTGAAGTACTTAGAAGCATGTGTTGCACTTACCTGACAATCATTAACCATTATCATTGTTTAAAATTATTTCCATTGCTACTATTATTACTACTACTGTCCTTACTAGTAATATTTTTCCAGGTTCCATGTATTGAATAAAAAGTAAGTGTTGACCTGGAAAGTGGATATGAAAGAGGGAAATCTGGATTTGAACATAGGCCAAAAGGTAGGAAATAGTAGGCTATGTGAACTCACAGAAATATGTTCATTGAGGTAAAAGGATGGGGTCAAATACTGCCTCTGATACTTATGAGGTATTCAACATTGTATAAGTTTCTTAATCTCTGTTGTGTCTCAAACAGAAAGAATTTTTTCAATTTGAAATAAATGAATGCTAGATAATAATTCAAAGCCACAAGAAAATATAAAGTTTTCCAGTAACAGTGAATACATAAACAAATATAAAAGCTAGTATTATTGTTGTGATTTATACTTGGCCTTTTAATTCTTTTATAGGATTTAAAAGGCAAAGCATAAAAATAATTGTATAAGTTAAAGAATACCCAGTATATAAAAATATCAGTTGTGATCTCAGTAATATAAAGTGTAAAGGCAAAGCTATACAGGATTGGAGATTTGTTTGGAATTGGAGCTACATTTCTATCAGTTAAAAATAGATTGTTATAACTTTAGGATGCATGTAATCACTTTAGTAACCATAAAGAAAATATCTGTAGAATATACAAATGGAAATGAGAAGGGAATCAAAATATGTCACTATAAAAAAAAAACTAAACGTAAAAGAGGGCAATAAGACAAGGAAGAAAGGATGTACAAAAAATCTATAAGACAAATTTCCAGAAAAACAACCTACCAGACTGAGCCATGACAAAGTAGAAAATCTTTGCAGACCTGCAACTAGTAAGGAGATTGAGTCAGTAATCAAAACTTTGCAACAAAGAAAAGCCAAGTACCAGATGGCTTCACATGTAAATTCTAACAATCATTTAAAAAAGAATGAACACCAATACTTCTAAACCTCTTCTAAAAATGTGAAGTGGCGGGAATATTTCTTAATTAATTCTATGAAGTCAGTATTATCACATCAAAGCCAGACAAAGACACTACAAGAGAAGACCACTAGAAGCCAATAATTCTGAAGAATAGTGATAGAAAAATTTTCAATAAAATAAAATCAAACAGAATTCTACAACCTATTAAAAGGATTATACATTCTGACAAAGTAGAATTTATCTCTGGAATTCAAGGATGGCTCAACATGTGAAAATCAGTGAATGTAACACACAACATTAACAGAAGGAAGAGAAAGCAAACATGCACACACACACACGACCATCTCAGTTGATACAGAAAATGCATTTTACAAAATTCAATACATTTTCATGATTAAAAAATAATTTGCAATGAACTATGTATTTTTAAAAAGCTATCTGCATGAAAAGCCCACAGATGGAAGACTGAAAGCTTTTTCTTTAAGATCAGGAATGAGAGAAGGATACCTACTTTCACCTCTTCTATTCAACATAGTACTGAGAGTCATAGAGCTATTACACAAGAAAAAGAAATAAGTGGAATCCAAATAGGAAAGAAAGAAGTAGAATGATCTTTAGATAACATAGTATTTAATGTAGAAAACTGAAAATTTCACACACAACAATGTTAGAACTAATAAAATAATTCAGCAAGGTTGCAGGGTACCTAATCAACGCACAAAAGTTATTTGTGTTTTTATACATTAACAATAAACAATCTGAAAAATATTAAGAAAACAATTTTATTTATAATAGAACAAAAATTGGTTTTTAGAATAAACTTATCTAAGGAAGAAAAAATGTATATACAGAAAACTATAAAATGTTGATTGAAAGAAGTTGAAGACACCAATATATGGACAGACATCACATAGACATGGCTTGGAAGACTTAATCTTGGTAAGATGGCAATACTACCCAAAGTGATCCACAAATTCAATGCAATCACTACCAAAATTCCAATGACACATTTTGCAGAATAGAAAAATTCATCCTAAAATATGTATGGGATTTCAAGAGACCCCAAATAGCCAAATAATCTTTTAAAAAAAGAACAGCAAAGTTGGAAGTCTAATCCATCTTGATTTCAAAGCTTAGTATAAAATTACAGTAATCAAAAAAGTGTGGTATTGACATTAAGACAGGCATATCAAACAATAAAATGGAATAAAGAGTTAAGAGATAAACCCTCCCTCAAACTGTGAATCTCTGAGAAGAAAACACAGGGAAAACTTTATATTGGTTTCAGCAATGATTTCTTGGATATGACATCAAACGCACAGGGAACAAAATCAAAATAGTTTAAGATATGATTCAGCCTTAAAAAGAAAGGAAATTCTGACATGTGCTACAGCATGGATGAACTTTGTAGACATTATCTTCGGTTAAATAAGACAGTTGCAAAAAGACAAATGCTGTATGATTCTACTTATAGGGTACCTAGGATAGTCGAATTTATGGAGACAGAAAGAAGAATGGTGGTTGCCAGGAGCTTAGGGGAAGAGTGAGTGAGGAGTTACTGTTTAATGGGTACAGTGCTTCAGTTTTGTGAAGTGAAAACAGTTCTGGATATGGATGGTGGTGATGGTTGCATAATAATGTGAATCTACTTAGTCCCACTGAACCCTATGCCTAAAAGTGGTTTCAAAAATAATGATCAACTGTCAAATAGGAAAGCTTAGGTCAGAAAATAAAACCCATCCATTGGGCTTGGAGATTTGGATTACATTCATAATTTTGCAAGTTAAGTGGCTCAGTGGAGGCACGCAACTACAGAATGAATAGAAGGTGGAAAAGTAGTGGATTGAAGGGCAGATACCACTGGTGAGGAGCTTGGTGAAGGCACGAAAAAGAGGGTTTCTAGAACGGTAAAATTTGTCCAGAACCCCAGGTGTGTTGCCAGTCACCTCTAGAATACACTTCCATTCTCCAGTTGCGGTGTTAGCCAACTTAGCGAAGTCACAGATTTCAAAGTGTAGCCCAGGACATACGTCTTTTTGATAAAAGACATATAAAATAAGTCTCCCTATATCAACAAAGCTATTGCTAATTAAAAATAATCATACTTTATTAATGTCTATATCAGTTTAAAAATATTATTTTTCGTTCTCAGAACAATCTTGCCATGCAGGCATTATCCTTATTTGACAAATAGGAAAGTCCAGTTGAAGAACTCCAAGGTCACAAGGGTCCAAATGACAGACTCTGTAACTCGAAGCCAGTGTGCTCCTGAATCCAAGTGTAGCTGTGGACTGATGGTCCTTAGCCTCCTTCCTCAGAATGGTGATCCATCACTCTGTTTACTTACAGGCAAGGGCATGAGGTAATGCCATTTATTCTGGCGAGACCATTGATGCTGTGTCTAAAGGAACCTGGCACAAATAGGTTCTCCGTAGGTAGACATATTGGGGAAATAGAAATACCCTTGAAGGACTAAGGCAACTTGGAAAATAGAAAGTAAGATGGATGGGTATGGATATGGAAATCCACTGAATCAGATACAGACACATTCCTTCATGGTTTAAAAAAAATAAAAAATAAAAGAAACTATGAAAGTACCAAAGACATGACCCTAATTCTCCAAGGAGCACAGTTGTAGGGCTGCTTTGGGTCTCTCTAGTTTCCGTGAGAAAATCTTGGCTGGCAGGGCCCCCTGATGAAAGAGAAATGACTCCTTGTGTGAGATTTAAAGCATTTCTAATTTGAAAGCAAACATAATTGCACATACTTTACATACACATGCCATGTGGAAATAATAAATGCATTTGTGATGAAAATGCTTGCTTCATTTATTATACTAGGAGTTTTTCCAAGAAATGGAAACAATTGTTAGAAGTGACATTAAATATTTAACTGAGTTTCTTTTTTCTTCTTTTTCTTCGTATTTTTTATTAACATATTTTAAAATGTTACTACCACCCAATAAGGCATATGGCTCCTGATTTGTCGGAGTCTTTCATTAGTTTAAAATGGAGAAATCAGTCTCCAAAAAACACATGCAACGTTAGAATATGACACAGGTGAAACCTGAAATGTAAAACTATGCTCTCCAAGGATTTTGAGGTCTGTGGAAAATAGCCTTCAATTCTTACACTGTGAAATGGGACTTCCTAAGTTAGGACTTGGAATAGCATTTGGTGGCATAGTAACCATGACCTAACTAACTGGATGGCTGTTTTCTGAAGTGGATAGTTGAATGGCCTTAAATTTTCAGGGTGAGATAGGCGAAAGTCCAGCCATTGATGCACGAGTTGTGAGGCAGGGAGATTTGCAAATGTAAGTATATTCGTGAGGAACCTACCTGCTATAAACTGAATGTTTGTGTTCCCTCAAAATCATATGTTGAAACCAGAATTCCCAGTGTGATGGAATTTGAAGATAGAGCCCTTGGGAGACTTTATGATAAAATTAGTGCCTTTAAAATAATAGGCAGGAGATCTCTCTCTCTCTTTCTCTTTCTCTTTCTCTCTGTCTCTTGCTCACTCTGCCATGTGAAGATACAAGGAGAAGATGGTTTTCTGTGAACCAGTAGGGCCCTTACCAAGAACATGACCATAATGGCACCCAGATCTTAGATTTCTAGGCTCCAGAACTGTCATAAAAATAAATGCTTGTTGTTTAAGCCATCCAGTCTCTGGTATTCTGCTCTAGAGGCCTGAACTGACTAAGACACTATGCGTCCATTAAATTGTGAGTTCTATTTCAAAAGACCACAAAAGCTCATTGTGATACGATTGTTGTATCAGCCAATACTGCATCATAAACCATCGCAAGGTCCTGTGACTAAAAACAATAAGCATTTATCATTGCTCATAATTCAGTGGATTGCCAATCTCAGATGACCTCACCTGGGCTTCCTCCTGCATGTGTAGTCAGCTATGGGCTAGGAAAACAATTCTGCTGATATTGGTTGGGCTCACTCACTGTTTGGTGTCTGGCTGGGTGCTGGCTGGTCATGGATAGTCTCTGCTTTGTCCCCACATGGTCTCATCATTCATTTGATTAGGCCACGCTTGTTCACATGGGGACTGACACCTCTGAAAGAATAAGCAGCTCTTCCATCCTCGGCTCTATTTCTCCTTCCTCCAACACACATAAACACACACACACATACCCCCAGACCGAAAATTTCAGAAGGTCAAATAGCAAATTTTTACCCAACATAGGATAAGTAAAGTGGATACTTCAGGGCTAAAATCATACATTTTAACACATCTTTCTCAGGTAGAAAAACTAGTCAAAGATTT
Source organism: Homo sapiens (assembly GCF_000001405.40). Classification (NCBI taxonomy): domain Eukaryota; kingdom Metazoa; phylum Chordata; class Mammalia; order Primates; family Hominidae; genus Homo; species Homo sapiens. The sequence continues at coordinate 11,325,621 of NC_000020.11, forward strand.
AAAAAAATTGAACAATATGATTAATATTTAATCATATTATTAGTGAGAGGATTTGAATAATACGTTTCAAAAATTTGACCCAATAGCCATATGTGGAACACAACACCCAACAATTGCAAAATATACATTTGTTTCAATCTCATGGAAAATTTATAAAAATTGACCTTATACAGGACTATAAAGTTTCAATAATTTCAGAAAGTTAGAGTTAGTTTTATAGTTATGTATAGAGTTAAGGTAACTGTTAGGTTTAGACTGGAAGTAAGGAATTGGGTCTACCATTATCTTTAGGTTGAGCTTAGCTTTAGATGTAGGGTTTGTATTTAGAATAGATCTAATTCGGATTAGGGTAGATTTAAGACTAGAGTTATCATTTTGCTTGTTTTAAGACTAGTGTTAGTTTTAGTTTTAAGATTAGTACTAGAACGATTATTAGGTTAATGGTGAGAATTCATGTTGGGATTAGGATTAAAGTTAGGGTTGGGACTAGGTTTCATAATTCGGTCAGGGTTGGCTAGCATTTTATAGAATTAGTAGAGTTAAGGATATTATTAGCATTAAGATTTGGATAGACAAACTAATGAGGCAAAACAGAAAATCTGAAAACACACTTTCTTTATACAGGTGGCACTCTAGGTTAGTAAGAAAGTGGCTATCATTTAGTGGAGGCCACTGGACAAGTGGGTATCTACATGGGAAAAAATGATTTGGAATTCCTACTTCTCACTATCCTTAAAAATTAATTTAAGTTGGAGCATAGTGATAAATTGAAGAAAAAATCATACACATTTTAGAAGACAATATAAGTAACATTTTTCCTAATAATATAGGAGGAAAATGGTTTTTAACGTAAGATAAATGAAAAAAAACCTGATAAATATACTATATCAAAATGATCCATTTTGATTATTCAAAAGTCACTATTAAGAGAGTGGAAAGGCAAATCACATCTGGAAGATGTTTCAATACAAAGAGCCAAAACGACTTGCCTTAATGTATAAAGAACACCCGCAGATTAATAAAGAAAAGAAAACTAGCCCAAAAAACCAAAAGACTTAAATAGACCCTTAATAACAGTACACAGATTTGGCAAGAGATTTGAGCTATAAGAACTTTACAATTCTGCTGGTAGGTGAATAAACTGATACAGTTGATTTGAAAAATAGATTGTCAGCATGTAGTCTAGTTGAAGTTATAGCTATGTCCAAGTAATGGCATAGCAATAGATAGCAATACAGATACAAAATTGTGTGCTCAAGTGCAACAGGACAGAAGTTCATGAATATTCACAGTGGCATTGTTTTGTTTTTAATAGTTCAAAACTTGCATATTTCCCAAATTGAATCAACAATGGAATGGACAAATAAATAGTAACTAAAAACAGCCAGACACAATAGAATACATACAGATTGGATTTCATTTATATAGGGCTCAAAAACAAGAAAAAATAAAGCTACCTTGTTTAGGATTGCATCCATAGTCAGAAAGCAAGGAACTAATGATAACAAGTTCAGAAGTAGCTCTGATCAGAAAGTTGGGGAACTTCTGGAATGATGGCCCATTTCTCTTTTTTTTTGTTTGTTTGTTTTTTTCTGAGACAGGGTCTCACTCTGTCGCTCAGGCTGGAGCGCAGTGGCGCGATCACAGCTCACTGTAAGCTCCACCTCCCGGGTTCACGCCATTCTCCTGCCTCAGCCTCCCAAGTAGCTGGGACTACAGGCGCCTGCCACCATACCTGGCTAATTTTTTTGTATTTTTAGTAAAGACAGGGTTATGTTGGTCCACTTCTTGATCTGCATAGTGAATACATGAGTATTGTCTTTACAATAAATCATTAAGTTGTACCTTCAGTTTTTGTGGACTTTTCTGTAAGCATGCCACATATTATAACAAAAAGATTAAAACCATATTATTTTAATGGCTGCATTTTACTTAATGATTTACCTCATTGATAAATATTTACATTGCCTCCTCTTGTTTTCCCTGCTCAAAATAGTGTTTCAGTAGGCAAATCTTCATATGTATTTTTAAACTTCTTTCTTAGAATAGATTCCTGAAAGAGAAAAGACTGGGCCTAACCATATGGAGTTTTAAAGTGTTCTTGATATAGCATTAAAATATTTTCCAAGAATACTGCACCAGCTGCACTCCCTATAATGTAAAGATTTCTGAATCATTGCACATTCACCAGTATCAAATACTATAGTTTTTTTTAACCTATGCTTATTTAACTGGAGTGGGGAGATGGTGTTGAGAAACCAATATCGTGCTATTTTAATTTACATTTACTTGATTTCTGCCTAGTAAAATTGTTAAAGTATGCTACAACATTCAGATTGAAGGATCAAGAGTCAAATTTTTGGTGTTCGAATTCTGGCACTACCGCCCACACACTACTTGGCTTTGTGATGTTACCTAATCTTTGAGGGTCAAATTCCGTACATGTAATATAGAAAAGGGTGCTGTGATAATTAAATAAATTTTCTCATATAATAAGCATAGCACACTACTTGGCATATTTTAAGTCCCCTGTAAATGTGTGTGTGTGTGTGTGTGTGTGTGTATGTGTGTGTGAATAGTGTTGCATGGAGCACTGGAGATATGGGACATTAAGGGTGGAAAGATGAAGGAGGGAGGGAGAGAAGGATAGAGGATGAAAAGAAGGAAAAGAGATAAGAAGGGAGGGAAAGAGGGGAGGAGAAGAGCAAAGGAAAGAGGTTGGGAAGGAGAGGAAAGAAAGGAGGAAGGTTTGGAGTGGGGAAAGCAGGAGCTGATGGAGGAAGTTCTAAAGGGAGTAATGAATCAAGTGTTGGATGATAAGTTAAAGGGACTGGTGATCAGAAGCATTCAGTTCTTTATTCCTCCCAGAACAAGAGTTTATTTTTCAAAATTTAAAAACACAATATAGAGATAAACCATACCGGAAGCAAGTGTCAGTGATCAAGGCTCTGGAGACCCACAGTTCTGGTTCTATCAGTCTTTAGCTACATACTCTGGAACCACAACTCTCCGAACCACAGCAAACACCTAATGTTCGCTGCCTGCCTAAGAATTAAATAAGAAGTATATATAAAGCCTGGTTCACAGTATATTTCAGAAAATGAAAAAAGATCTTGTTTGACAATCACTACAAAAGTATTAGCAATGGCTTAACGTGTCATTACCTTAAAATTGGTAAATTTTAAATACCAGAATGTGATGAAAGAATTAATCACTTAGGAAAGGTTCATGGACTATTAGCATGTGAGTGTGCGTATGTGAGTGTGTGTTTGCCCATTCAGGGTAGAATCTGGAACGAAAATGTGGATAGCACAAATAAAGAAGAGATATTGAGAAAGTGTTCTTTGACCCATTTCCTTGAGCTATCAGGAAAATCACGGAAATCCCCGGTGTTGTTTGGCAGTTGAGTGGAACAAGGAAGGCACGGTGGCAGCCCTTGGCTGAGAATAAGAGAATCTTTACCTCCGTCATCACACCCAGAAAGACTTGGACTTACTGAAGCCAAGAGAGGCAAGTTAACAATGTTAGACCAAAGAGGCCGGGAACATGGGGTCTGAAACATCATGAGCTACACGGGACACATTTTATCAGGTAATCACATGTAAGTATCATGCACAATATGACCATTTCATTCTGTAACGTCAATTCCAATTCATAGCATGGGTATGCCTTGCTATTTTTCAGTGGTATTCCAAATATGCTCAAGAATAGCCGACTTTAAAAAAATATGAATAGAGGACCAAAAATACAAAGACAAAAAAACCAGTGTGTGAGTATCTGCAGGGATTTTACTTCATGGTGTTAATGATGTGAGATGAACTATTGGATGACTCAGTCAAGCTTGTCAGCCTAACTGCCATTCCTACAGGTTCTATTATTGTGTTCTCAAATCTCAACAAGCCTAGTAGAAAAGAAAAGACTCTAGGAATCAGGTTACATAAAGGGAAAAAAAAAACAGTGTGCTCTCTGGGAGCTGCAACCTAGTTAATGTATAAATAATGGCAAATTTATATTATAAAATATGTATTAAACATAGAGGATGACTGTCAGGTAAGGCTGTGGCCCTAGTAGATGAATCTCTTTCTCATACTCATGAAACCCTTCAAAACAATTGATGGATATGGGATCTGCTGAAAATCCTTCCACTTTTTGGACTAAGAATATCAGACTCAAATACTCAAATATTTTCCCGCATGAGAGAAATACTTCTCTAAGCTGTAACACGACAGCCCCTTCTAAACCTAGAAAGCTGATTACTAAGCTATCTGTGTTTGAACCAGCTCCCACAAATGTTGCTTATGAAATAACTTTATCTAGTTGAACTGATAACAATAGCTTTTGAAATTATAATATAACAATAAGAAAAACAAATCAAAAGTAATTCATTAGTCCCTAAAAAGGGCATTTCCTTGTAATGGTAGTATGTCATTTGGTTCTAGATTGCAATGGTAACATTCCCTTGAGGTAGAAGAGCTTTTATCTAATAATCTACAATTTCTATATGAGTCTTTTTTATCTGGAGCAGTAGTGAATGGTCTTAAAGGAGCCCAGACTTTATTTTGTGTATATCTTCTGGCACATATCACAGTTAATGGAGCTCTTTAAGATTTTCTCTAATGATGTTAATCAACACATTTTATAGTCCTAATCTGTAATTTAAATGGGAATCTAAGAATAAGATAGCATTTGGCTCAGAAGTAAAATGTGGGAACACCCTGGGCACACTGATTTATTTTGGTAAACAGAGCTGGCAAAGTTGATTTTAAGGCAAGAAGGCATATTTGATGAGAACAAGATGATAGGAGATTCTTCAAAACAATTGATGGATTTGGGATCTGCTGAAAATCCTTCCACTTTGTCTAATGTCTGATGATCAAATATCTTTGTACTGTGACCAGAGGGACATAATGAGTTAAAACACACACACACACACACACACACACACACACACACAAAAAAAAAAAAAAACGAACCAACCAGACAGAAGTTTACACCTGGGAAATTAAATTATCTGAATGGGGATCCTACAAGAAATATTCTCTAACTCCTGGATTCTGTCATAAGTGTCCTCTACAAAGTACTGAGATCATTTGTGTCTTGGCCTTCCCATGAACAGGATTGTGTTCTAAGTTGTATTGCTATTTTTCACAGAAAAATAAGTGGACAGTAAGGGAACAAATGGCTAATTGACTGGTTCCATCTCATTGGAGAAGGAGGAACACTGTCTAAATTGAAAGCAAATTTAATTTTTCCCTAAGTCATGTTTCTTGATGTCTCTGCAACATATAATGCACTTGACCATTCTTGTTTTAAAGCAAAAACAGCTTTGTTACGTTTTTGTTACTTAGCAAATTTGTAGTGATTTTAGAAAATTCACACAATATGGGAAAAAAATAAAAAAGAAAGTGAGAACCATCAAAATTCCTCTAATCATCATCCCTTTGACCCCTAAATAGCTAGGTCACCATTTTCAACATTGTAAAGATCATCTTCCTAGATATTTTTCTATTCCTTAAAGAAAGAACATCTATATGATTTACATAGATGGTATTATTTAAAAAGTGAGATGATGTGTCTCTTGCTCTCACTTATCAGCATGCCAAGTGCCCGATCTGGTTCAATAATACAGACATGCCTCATCTTTTTTATTAGGGCGATGTAATACTCCTTTGAATGTATGAGTCACATTTTATTTTACCAGTCTTCTAGCTGACAGACACTTAGCTTGTGTCCAATTTCTTATTATAGTAAACTACACTGCCATGAAAGTCCCAACTCTGTAACAGACACCTGGAGTGCCTTCCACCTCACTGGTAGTGTCCAGATTCTTGGACTTTTTTGGCCACTTTATCCTACACCATTTAAAAATGCTTCTTGCACCTCCTCTCTGAGAAAATACAAGCTCTGGAGCCAGACTGCCTAGATTTAATCTTATGATGTCTCTGTTACTATGGGCATTATTCTTTTACCTCTCTTGTGCCACAGCCTCCCGGCTATAAAATAAAAACAGACAACAATATGCATATCCTAGTTATAATATGGATAATAATAATAATATCAAATGAAATTATCCGTGTATAATGTTTGGCATGTATGTGTTCAATGTATTTCAACTATGGCCATTATTGTGATGTTCTCATTCATCTCTCTCAGAAAACCATTTCCCGTGTATTCCTGATCTTTCCTACTCAAGATTTCTAAATTATGTCTTTTGCCCACAAGTGTTCATTGCATGTTCTCAAATTTCTGGAAGACATTTATGCTGGATGTTCTAACACCACATAAATTTTATACAGATCAAAATGGCTACCAAATGACCTTAATACAATCCTCAGTGTCATATGTTATGGTTTCTCTTGTCTACTATATGCCCAGTCAGTCACAAATTCATGCTGAGTTTTCTCATTTCCTCAATGTGTTCCAAACCTATCTCTTTCCATCACCCTATTTCCAGCTTAGGTCAGACACTGCTGGGCTCATACTCAGATGATGGAATTATTAACACCTTTACGGAGACAATGCTTTCCATAAATGACATATCAGGAGGAAATCCAATATATTTGACAAGTGAAATCATCACTGCTGCTGTTATTGAGACAGGATTTAGGGCTTGGAACTCCACCTCTCTTCCTTCATCTTCCCCAAATGCCCCCTTAAGTAACTGAACCCCAATTATTCCTCCGGAAAGAGGAATTTCCCTTCAAGCTTCCACTTGCTTTTTCTCCAAGCTCTCCTGCACATGGGAGACAACATAATCAAACTAATGATACAACTGTGGTCACATTTCTCCCATGACCCAATCTATGCATAGTTGCATTCAAATTCCATCACTGACATTCAGTTCCTTCTCAAAAACTCCAAATTTAGCCCCAAGAAGTATTTTTGACTTTATAAATAAATCTATTCCAAAGTGGCCCAATAAGAATCTACATCATCATCTTGTTGTTACACATCTTGGTGTGGGGTTCATGCCCTCAAAGGCTGGCTTCCTTCCACCCACATGCTCTGACATCTCCACAAGCCCTCAAGGGCTTATTTAAATTCTGTCTCTGTGGTTTCACAAACATTATGGGACTCCCCTCTTAGATTTGAGCTCCCTTTTCTCTGATCTGCAGAAGTATCACATATTTCTGAATATCATTTTGTACTGAGAATGTGTCATGTTTTCTAAAACTTAAATTAATTTTTCAATGCCTTAGAGTGCCTCATACATGCTTAAAGTTCAGTCATAGACGCTGGTATCCCTGGATACAGTGTGCTCCAACAAGGCAAATTTTAAGATGCTGTGAAGGATTGGAAGGCTGTGAGTATCACCCTTCAGTCATTTACTTTTCATTTGTAACCAATGATGTTTCTTTTGGGGTATATTTGTATTCACTCTCACATCTTTTACGATTACAACTGTGGTTATTCTTCTGTAAAAATAAAACTTTGGTTTTTCTTTATTGAAAAAGGTAATATATGTATATATTAAAAACACAAATCATCTCCCAAAGTTATACAGTAGAAATAAGCATCCTTCTCCCTCCAAATCCCTCATCTCCTAGTTCTACTTCAAGGCCAGCATTGTTACAAATGTCTTAGTGATTATCTTGTAATCATAATTTGGCCCTGGACTTAACGCTGCCATTTCACCACAAAATTACGTTTTATTTCTCTCTGTGTCTGAAACAGTCAAGCAGACTTTGCAATCTCCTTCCTATCCTCAAGGATTACTGGCATCCTAGAAAACCTCCCAAGGCCCCACCCCTCTATGCTCTGGCTCAAAGCATCCCTTCAGTTTTAAACATTTGATAATGAGCTCACTGACCTTTTATTTAGACTAACTCTTCCTCTATTCCCACTTGGATAACTCAAATCAGACCCCTACAGCATCCAGTCTCCAAATTCCTGGAAGAGAACTACCAAGAGTAGAGTACTAATGTGGAACTTGGGCAACCAAAAAGAGTAAAGCCCATTAAATTAGCTTATCCATGAAAAAAAAAAAAAGTTGCTTATACTGAATTTGAAAATAAAGAAATATGAATAAATCTTGTTTGATGTGTTTGGATATAATTTAGAAGGTAAGAGAAAGAGCAGAGGGAATGGGGCAAATGAAAAACAGGGTTTGGGCAGGGTTACATTAAAGTGATTTCATTGATGAGATTTAAAAACTTAAAGTAATAATTAATTACTTTTATTTATTTTATTTTAGCATTTTATAAATAAATACAATTTTTATTTATAAATAAATAAAAATAAATATTTATTTAAAGTATTGAGTTAAAATTTAAGGTAAATTTTATTGATGAGAAATTCTGACTGAGGCAGGATCTCTGGACTAGATTCAGAACAAACATAATAAAATTCTCCACAGCTTGTGTGGATGCACACACCTACCTCTTCCCACACATGCCAACCAAAGAGATTCCATGACCAATTTCTGAAAAAACTTACATCTCAGGCCACACATGTTCTCTGCTGGGTATATTAATGGAAAGGCTGAATTCACAAACATCTATTTTCCAGAACTACTATTATACAAGCTGGGCTCTAATCACAGTCTGGGCCAAATTACTCTGCTCTGGTTTTAGAAGAATTCAGTTGGCGAGAAACAGTTGACTTGAAAACAGTCATTAGCTGAGTTCCTGACAACTTTATTGAATCAGAAAATTTATTTTTTTCAATACATTTGAACATGTCATGGATGCTTTTATGTAACACAAAGAGGTAGAATTAGACAATCCCTAAGATTTCTGCAAATTCTAAAATATTGTTATTAATATTACATCAAGTGACTGGGCAATATTCATACTCCTTAATGGGTATTCACCCTACTGAGTTTACAATTCAAATTATGGAAGTTTAAGAAGGATTCAATTCTGAGATTTGGAAGCAGCTATAAGATTGTTGAAAGTGTATTTGCTAAAGCAACATAGTTTAGTTTAGTATCCCTGCCTCCTACCAGCTAGGATTCAGGACAAGTTCCTTAAACCCTCTGAGTTTTTGTTTCTTGTCCTACAAACCTGAGATAATAATGACTTGCTTCACAGGGATGTGTGGAGATAAAATGAGATAACATGTGTTAAACAGCTGGCAGGTAATCAAGAAAACTTAACTCCCTTCCCCCACTCTCAATGAAGAGCAATTTCAAGATGGGAATCACTAGCATTTTTCCTGGGATGTGATTTTACCAGCCCTAGGGATAGAAGGTTAGGTCAAGAGCCTTTAGAGAGTAAAAAACACCCACGCAGTGAGAATATGCATTCCAGGCATTTAGGCAGCTTCACCTCTCACAGGGCCTTGAGAACAGGGCTTAGGAAGAAATCTCTGAGACTTTTGGTCTCCTGTTGTATGGTGCAAAGAAATGAGATTGTAGAGTTAGATTACGTATTAGCACAGTGCGTTTGAGACAAAAGCTGAAGTGGATGAAAAGAACCACATAGAAATAGCTGTATATTACACTGGCTCATATGTTCCTGTCAAGTAGAAAGTAGATGCCAGAAAGTCCTTTTAGCAATTGAAGAGCCAACAATATATGCAAAAAAAAAAAAATGGCCCAGGACAAAAAGAAAGGTTTTATATACTTTTGCATTTCGGTAAAACACAGGTAAGCATGTGCTGAGAGTTTGTGGTGGTTTGGAATCATTTTTATTCTGTGGATGACTTCAGAATGACAACTTTGATAGATTCATTCTTGCCAACAGAGTATATATAAATTCACTCTATGAATGAAAGGAGAGAATGGGAGTGTTTTCATGATCCATCTTAAGACTTTAATTGGCCAGGAACCCATCAATGTGCTAAGGCATGCATGCTATCTTAGAATTAATAGAACAAGAATGCTACAGCCTAAGAGATCTTCCTGAAAGAATAGGAGAAACCTCTGATTGCCCCCAAGTTCTCTGTTCAAGTGTATTTTAGAACTCATACTGAACTTATATTTACTCCTATTCTGATGAAATGTACTAAGACGGTATGTAATTGTATACATGATATAACCCAACTAAAAGCAGGGGTGTTGGGAAAGAATATGCAGTACTGATCCTTATTGAACACCTACTAAACTACAGGCAATTTGAATGTATTGTTTAGATTTTTCAAAGATTTCCAATGAAAGGGTTATAATACTAATTTTTCAAAAGAGGACAATTACATCTCATCTGATGCTGGTCAAAGGTAAACCAAAAATAGCCTTTGCTGTGAGAAGAATCATCTGACCTCCTGTCTCCTAAACTCCTAATGTTGTTCATTGAAAAGTAGCTTGCATGAAAGTGACCTTCTTTTTTCAAAAGGCTTTTTTTCCTCATCCCAGTGAACCCTGGTAGTATTCTGAGTGTAGAAAATAAAACAACAACAAAATGAGCTGAGACATTCAATTTCTCTTCCAAATCAATTCCTGCTTGCTAGGGCTTGAATGGAAACATGCTTTTTTTTTTTTTTGCATCATTGAATGAAGCTATTTGTTAAGATGTGTTTATTAGACTTACATAAGAGTTCTTGCCCAAAGAACTCACACTCAGTTTAAGGGGGAACAATCTTTATGATCTCTGGCTCTTTCATTTTAACATTACAGTGAAAGGCTCATCAACATGTCTACTTTTTAATTTCCACAGATGAAGAAGCAACAGAATAGAAGGAGGTGTTTAAAAATCATATACTCTATTTTTTTTTTTTCAAATCACAGGTCTATGTCAAGGTATACTTTTCACAAACTTAAGGATACTTATCTGATACAAATAGTGAGGGCCAGGCATAGTAGCTCACAGCTGTAATCCCAGCACTTCAGTAGACTGATGCAGGAGGATCACTGGAGCCCAGGAGTCCAAGATGAACATGGGCAACATAGTGAGAACCCCAGCTCTGCAAAAAAAATTCTCTTAAAAAATTAGCCAGGTGTGGTGGCATGCTTCTGTGATCACAGCTATTTGGAAGGCTTAAGCGGGAGGATGGCTTGAGCCTGGGAGGTCCAGGTTGCAGTGAGCCACGATGGTGCCACTGCACTCCAGCCTGGGTGACAGAACAAGAACCTGTCTCAAATAAATAAATAAACAAATAAATAAATGCATACATACATACATAGAAAATAGTGTGCATGAGTCAAAAATTTATTTAATTTACTAATAAAGGAATCAGCAAGGTGGTAAAGTGGTTGAAAGAGAATTTAAGAGACTAAACATATATATAGGCACTAAAATGGTTCTGGGATAAAAATGCTAGCTTTGATTCAACCCTGGTTAATGTTCCACAGGCAAAAAGACTGAAACTTTTGGAGTTATTTTTTTTTTAACCATACAAATCCTATACAGGTGTCTTTGAGACTGGTCCATAGTCAGTAGCAAATACTAACTCAGGCAGAGGACATCAAAGCTTTTCCATAAAGAACCAGATAGTAAATATCTAAGACTTGGTGGGCTATATGGTCTCTGTTGCAACCACTCAAGTGTACCATTGCAGCACAAAAGTGGCCATAGAAAATACATAAATGAATGTGGCTGTGTTCCAATAAAATTTTGTTTACAAAACATGTTAAAGGTCAGATTTGGCTAGTGTGTCACAGTTTGCCAAAACCCGCCTTAGAAAATTAAATAATCTTGGGAGGGCCTATTAGACAAGGTTCAGGTAGTGCTTTGAAAAGGTACATCGACTATTTGCATTATATCTTAGTATTGAATCATTTTTCTCAGATCATGTATAGTTCATGAGATCTTATCCAAGCTACTCATACTTCAGTTTCCTCACTTGCTGAATAGGGATAATTTTTAGAGATCTTTGGAGTATTGTAAGCATTCAGTTGGTTAGTATTCAAAAAATGTTTATTCTTTCCAACTTTCATTGTATTCTTATTCTCATTCAAAAAGGTGAGAGATGATCTCACACTGTCTGTAACAAAATCTGCTTGAGAAAATAAAGCTGCTTGCCTAAGTTGGAGGCAGAGATCGACTGACTTAAACAGCAGGAGGTTCAAGGAGAAAAGAACAATTGCCCACGTTTTTTTCTTAGTGTAACAAAAGTCCTGCTGCGATGTCCGATCTGGTCTGGGGCTTCTCTGGCACAGCCAAGACAAGCATGGAATGAGCTATGTCTTTATTTCATTTGCCAGATGTGACTTGAACTATAAGAACATCTCTGGAGACTGAAAAGGCTCAGTGATTTTTACAAACAAGTGGCTGAGGCCACTAGCCCACTTTATTTCCCCAACTGTGTGATGTTCACCTGTCAGTGTAAGCTTGAGCTGTAGGCATGCAAGAAGAGGTCATGCTAATGGTGATAAAGAAGGCTGAGCTGGGATCTATCCAGGGAAGATAATAAAACCCAATGAGCTTATTGGGAGAAAAATATTTACTTAGGAAGATTTTATCACACAATGTCCTGGGAGAAGAATTTAACCAGAAACACAAATGCCTTAAACTGGATTCTCCAGAATACATCAGGAGTTGTATGTAGAAGGTTTATTAAGGCATGCTCTTAGAAGGTGAACCTGTAAGGAAGTGAGGAGCAATATTGGGCAAACAGAAAAGCTGACCCCAGTGCCATTATGAAGGGGGTCTCAGCTGACCCCACAGGGAGCTCGGAACTGGGATGGTCTTTTGAGCTGTTGCAATTGAAACAAGGGGGCCAGACTCCTGTGTTTTTACATTAATCAGTCGTGTCCACAGCCATCCCCTGGAAGATGGTGTAATGTTGGAAGAGATAGTTCCTTGAAGCCAAGAGAAATTCCAATGAGGGAAGAAATTCTGAGCCATCAGTATTCACTGTTTCCATCACCTGGAGAATGGGTATGTTAACCCTGAAGAGCATCTTCTATACCCAATTGGTATAGATAGGGCTTCACATTTCCTCAACTGCATTTCAACTATGTAACTATTAATAAAAAGGAAGTGTACTTATTTATGTTCATTGTTGATGCTGATTGCAGATTTCTCTGGCTATGCTCATAGCAGGACCTGTTAGTTATCTATGGCTATATAATGAATTACCTGAAACTTAATGGCATAAGACAACAAACACTTATTATCTCAGTTTCTCTGAGTCAGGAATCCAGGCTGTAGCTTAAGCTGAGTGCCTCTGACTCAGGATCTCATGAGGCTGCAATCAAGATATCAGCTGGGGCTGCTGTCATCTCAAGGCTTGACTGGAGAGGATCCGCTTCCAAGCTCCCTCATGTGGGTGCTGGTAGGAGGTCTCAGGTCTTCACTGGCTGTTGCTGGGTAAGCAACAATCGCTTGCTTGCCATGTGGCTTCATCCACAGGATTGCTAACAGCTTGGCAGCTATCTGCTGCCAGAGTTGGAATCTGAAGAAAGGAAGAAAGGAGGAAGGGGGGAGGGTGACAGGAAGGAAGAGAGAGAGAGGAGATAGAAAAGAAAGGGAAAGAGGAGAAAGAGAGAGAGAAAAAAAGAGAGAAAAAAGAGAGGGAGAGAAAGAGAGAGAAAAAGGAGAGAGAGAGAAGAAAGAGAAAGGGGAAAGAGGGAGAAGAATAGAGAGACAAAGAAAGAGAAGAAAAAGAGAGTGGAGAGAAAGAGAGAGAGAGAGACCCTGACATAGAGAGAGAGAGAGAGAGAGAGAAACAAAACAGAGAGAGAACCTGAGCCCAAGACAGAAGCCAAGGTATTTTTATAACCTAATTGCATAATTGACATCTCATCAGGTCTGCTATCTTCTATTCATTATAAGTGAGTTAATAATTCTAGCCTACATTCCAGGAGAGAGTTGTATAGAGCTTGATGACAGTAGGTGAGGACCATCTGAGCCATCTTAGATGCTGCCTACCTCATAGAAGAATTAAAAATATTTTTGAAGAAAAATTAGTAAGACCATTCTGAAGCACAATCAATCAAATGTACCTATTAAAAATTTTTAAAAATCATTGTAGGACACACTGAATTTGGGTTAGGATGATATCCAATGTGTAGACCCTCAGTGAATTAAAATAAAGAAAGAAACTGCTAGCCATCTGCATGAGATAAGTACAGAAATTGAAAACAAACCTTAAGAAATTTTATGTTACTTGACATCCAAGTGCATGTTCAATGGATTCATCTCATTAACTGGGTACAGAACAAAAATATTGGCTCATAAGGGATTTGGAAAGAAAACTCATTCCTCACCACAGAATCTGAGAAGCCCTGCTACAACGATGTAACACCCTTGCCAGGTGGGCCACTCTAGGGCAGAGGAATAAGCTTAGGTTGTGGCAGATCACTAGACAGAGAGTCAGGAGATTTGGTACTCATTCTGCCTCTGATATTTCCTAAGAAGAACTGAATATCACTTAACCCACCTAGATTTGTTTCCTGGACTGCAAACAAATTGTGTTAATTACAAGGTTCCTTTGAAGTCTAAAGGATATTAATTTGTTAAGCAGTCCCTTCTATAATTAGACAAACTAATGTATTAGCAATTTTCCCCTGTGATTTCTACATCTCCGAATCTGCCATCTGCAGCTATCTAGACCTCACTCAAATTGACTTACTTCTATAAAATCCTTTCCACCTCATCATGGCTTCTTAAATGGTTCTAGAGACAATTTGGTAGTCTGTACTGACTCACAGAGCAGAGAGTGATGGCCATCTTCATAGTAATAATATCAATAATAATTTTTCTCTAAAAATACAGTTTTAATAAAATAACTTTTTTAAAATGAGCTATTTAAATTTTTTTTACTCAATAGTGCTTCATAAATGTACTGTTTCAGTTTTTAGTTATGTTACTAAACTCCAGAATTTACTAAATTTTATTCAGTAGAGGTATTTAGAGCTCTTCTGTCGTCCTGTTCCTATTCCTCCTCATAGCAAATGAAGATTGCTCTGGGAAGTGTATGTCCTAAACATCTGTCAGCAAAGACTCTTGGGTGATTGGTACAGAAATCATCCTATAGGTCAATGTTCTTAAATGTGGAGTTTTTGTGGCTAGCAGACTCTTCCATGGTCAGTACATGCAGCATAATCTAGAGAAGTATAATTATAATAATTGTAATAATAATAGCAGTGATTATCCCTTGATAAAATAGTATGTGCCCAGTGCTGTGCTAAGTATTTTCTGTGTATCACTTCATTCCTCCTAAAAAGTCACTTAATATCTCTGAAATAGGTACTGGCATCTTCATTTTACAGATAAGAGAGCTGAGGCTTGAAAGATAAATCAACTTCACCCAAGGAGAGGTAATTAAGTAATTTCTGGAGCTAAGATTTAAACCCACTGTGGTTGACTCCAGCATACAGTCCCAGTTTGAGCCTTAGCTATGCCTACTCTAGAATTCAGGCCTCCTGGCCAGGTCTGAGGAAGCACCCACGATGGATCTATCTGCATGGGACATCCTAAAGGAAGAGATGATTATATAAAATTTCATGCAAGAACAAGAGGCAGTGTCAGATGTCAGCATTTTAGACAACAGTCTGCCACCCATGAACTCTGGTCCATTCTCTTCAACTTGAGTAGCAGTGTTGTGCAGGGGCTATGATTTTGCTAAGGCACCCAGAGTGTGAAGTAACTTTGTTCTGTGGTCTATGTAACCAAGCACACAGAGCCCTTTCTTCGTGTGGGGTACAGTGGAAGCATAGCACTGATGTAATTCCCTGAGCTGTGCTCTGGGAGAGCTACATCTGGAGAAGAAAAGAAAAAGGAGAGGGCTTAGGTACCTGTCTATGCAGGCATTGTTGGGATATAAGGCAGAATCTCCAGGAAACATGGAGCAGTACTTGTGGATTGTGAAGGAGCAATGGAAAGAGTAGATTCCACCTCCTGCTTGAGAGCTTATGAGACTCTCCCTGAGGACCCCCAGAACTACTTGTGCAGAGTTTGGAAGAACTGGGAAGAACTAAAGGAAGGCATGTTTTATTAATATCCAGAATGTAGTTCTCAAAAAAAAAAAGTTTCATGTCTATCAATGCTTTCTAAGATTGTATTAGGTTTTATTTTTAACTACTATATTTTGGTTCTTATGGAATAATATTAACTCCATTAACCATGAAAGTCTTTATTTGTATGATTAGACATGAAGTCTGTTATGGCTATTGTACCTTAATATAAATTACCTGATCTCAGTCACACATCTTACATTGGCCTCTCGTAAATCTAGTTGATTTTAGCCAGTTATTCCAATTTATGAAGGATATTTTGACTCATGATTCTACCAGAAAACATTTTAGTTCTCTTCCAGCTTTTATAGTTTATAAATCTAATGAATATACTTATCAATCTGTGTATTATTTCTTGATATAAAATACAAGAGACCTCAGCTTAGAGCCAAATTTCATCAAGCCCAGATAACATCAGCCAAACTTCAGCAAACCGATAGTGAGTGAGAAACATAATTTTTTTCTCACTAAAAATGTCTTGTAATAGTCAAAGGTCAATGTCAGAGACCTGACACATCCTCAGCCAGTTTCACGCAGGTTGTCACTAAACCTCTTCCCAGTATGTTGTGATTGTTCAACACACTATACTTTCATGTACCTGTGATATCACCTGGCCCAGATTTCCCTAAATCCTCCATAATTATATTGTGCATAATGTTGTCAAATACCTTGCAGAAATCAAGATGCATTGCCTTTAGATAGAACTCTCTTAAAAATACTAGATTTGTTTTTGTTTGGAATGACTGATTTTTTGCCAACTGAGTTTCAACGGCAGCATGTGTAGGGCTTATATTTCAAATTTCAAAGTCAAGACTTATCTAATTTTTCTTTGCCAACATGGAGACAGGTGTTATGGAAGACACACTTTGGAAATAGTGTGGATAATACCCTTTAGGAATTTGCTGCCCTTAAGAGAAGTTGGCATAGACACAAAAGTGTGAAATGTCCTGTAGAAAGGTACAGATCCTGTGCTTTGGGAATTAAGATGGTGGAGAGATCATCTTCTGCATGATTCATCAGAGTAACCTTCCTTTCAGAAGTTGTAATTAAGCTGTCTCTGGTTGTGTGTGTGTGTGTGTGTGTGTGTGTGTGTGTGTGTGTGTGTTAGTTTGGGTTTTCCCAGAAGTAGACTCTGAAATAAGGAGTCAAACACCAGTAGAGAGGTAGAAAAGTGAGACAAAGAAGGGAGAACAGTCAGTGAGGTTCACATATGAAGAAAGTTACCACAGTGGGCAACTTAAGTCCTTATGGGAAGCCCTGGGAAGGGTTGTTGAGCAAGCACTTTAGATGAATTTTCTCCAAAGGATGAGAAAGCTGCGGTTTTTATGCATTATTCCTGACACCCATAGGTTGAGGCTGCTCCTGGGGGAGGAGGGCGTTAATTCTCTGGCATTTTCTGCTTGCCTGTGCAAGGTCAGAATTGGTTTCCTTGGCCAGAGAAAGGCCACAGACAAAGAGAGGCCAAGTGCTGACACGTTGGAAGTTAAGCCAGTGAGTGTGAAATGGCAAAGATGAAGCAGAGCTTCACACATAGTGTGTGCTTATGTGTGTGTTTGTGTGTGTGTGTGTGTGTGTGTGTGTACATGAAAATGAAGATATCCAAAGAAGGAGAAGATCTTCCAAGCTGAGAGAACAATAATTTATCAGGAGCAAAGTATACATGAAATGATTTAAGAGAAATTAGATGATAAGGATGCATCAAAATCCACATTGCCTGGATAACGAAATGTATCTAACATTCCTTAATTCCACAATGGGATTAGGAATTGTCGATATCCTCCTGGCAGGCCTGGCAAAATGCTGATTGTTTCTAATTAAAATGAAATAATAAAATAATGAAGCTAGAATTTGCGAGGCACACCAGAATTTTCCATCCATACCCTCAACCTGTACTGAATTCTGAGCTGTCAATTTGGCAAGAGAGAACGCCCAGCTCCTTGGAAGGCATTTTGTTTTCCTCTTAAACTCATCAGGAAAGGTAAGAGTACTCTGGGTAAAGAAGGCAACCTGGTTATGTTATCTTAAATATGGATTCCTACTGCCTTCTGTTACTCGTACCTTTTTTTCACTTAAGCATGCTATACAGTATGCTCTAGAATCTAGAGTTTAGAATATAAAGTCTAGATCCAATAACCTATTTGTTGTTTGATAGTAATTAAAAAGCATTGCCCTTATAAGACATTACACAGTGTTAAAAGTCCTTTTCTACTTAGAGAATACTAGTTTTATTTTCTTTGCAATTACAGTTCTGCATATTTATATATTCTTTCAAAATGTTATTCAAAACTAGATTTTTTTCTATATGAGAATCAGAATTTATACTCCACTGATAAAACATAGATTCTGACTGTATTTCTCTGAAAGTGCTTTCATATAAAGCTTTTGGTTTAGAATGATCCATAATGTATGGCAAATTCGGTGGTTATTTGACAGAATTGGAGCTTAGGATACTGCAAGGCTGGAGCGATGCAGTGAGCCAGGAAGTGTCCCCTGGGAACAGAAGGTAGTGGTAGTACAGCAGCTAGTAATTTTTTTTTTTAATCTGATATCTTCTGAAAGAAAAAAAGCACTTCTTCTATCATCTTCAAGACAACACTAATAGCCTTAGAGCTGCTGATTCTTTAGGCAGTAAAACACATTTTTTTTTTCCTTCAACACACACATTCATCTTGTCTATGGCTCTTTGGAGACATCTCAACTTTGACATCATCTTTTCTCCATCGTATTTCCAGATCACCCTCTCTGGGCAGTAGATTGTTCTGTCTAAATATAAGTTTCATCATGTTACGACCATCACTCACCTTAAGACCTTCACCCCCCCTTTCAGAAAAGTTATCTATATTCTATTTTAATGAATCATGTTGTTCTTAAAATAGTTTATTTTTTTAAATCCAGAGTTAAATTAGGAAAATATGTAATATAGAGAGTTTTTTATATTAAACTTATTGAATTTAAAGGACTTCATGTTATTCTGGGGTTATTATTTTTTGTTTTAAAATTTGCAAGTATATTCTCTTTATTAAATGACTGTATATTAGGAGAGGCTTTATCAGGTGCAGAAATAAACCCCCAAATCTCAAAAGCTTAACATGAAAGTTGATCTCTCATTCACTCAAAGACTGCTGCTGGTCTAGAGGAATTTTCAGGAATCATTTTTCCAAGCAGTAATGAAAGATTTTAGACTACTTGCCTACCCATTTTAGCAATGCCATCTGAAACATGTGGCCCCCCAGGGTCACTATGAAAAGAGCTGGAAAATACACTGGAACTTATCTCTGCCTTAGCACTAAAGTGATCCACATCCCAGACTACTGGCCACAACAAGTCTTGTGGCCCAAGGTAAAGTCAAGGAGTGAAAAGTGTAGTTTTTAAGTTTAAGTTAAGTCCAGGAAGGGATGCTTGAGATATAAAATAGTTTTCACTGGGAATTTCTGCTACAGAGATTTGTTCCTTAATGCCATGTTATGATAACAGAAAAAAAATTAACACCCTATGTGAGCACCCCACTCATTTGGGGATAATTTCTTGGTGCATGAAATGCCAAAATTTGGTAACTACCAATGCATTCTGTAAAATATAAACATCACAGCCAGAACCATCACATGGTTCTTCAAGCTCTGACCTGGCCAATATCTCCAGGCTTATCTATGGACACCCCCAATATGAATCATACTTCCTAGTTTGTGTCATTGCAGTTTACTAACATATGCCCATGTTCCAGTCATGCCCTACACCTTGTTCCATTTTCCCTTTAAGTCTCTTATTGAACATCTCCTGGTTGGGGATGCCATGCCTGATTCTTTCAGACACAGCCAATGCATTCATATCCTCCTGTAAACATGGATGCCCCTTTAGATCTTTGTGGGTGTGTGTGGATGAGAAAATAACTTTACTTCATTTTGGTGAATGGGAAGATGTCCATAGTCAGAACTTCTGAAATTGTTTCTTGGTGTTGGACACTTTGGTGACCTTGAGCATGTTGAAGTGTACAGTCTTGCTCAGGGGCTGGTACTCACCCACTGTGACAATGTCACCGATCTGGATGTCCCTGAGTGGGAGAATAGGTACACAGGCATATTCTCATGGCACTTCTCAACACAATTATACTTGGACATGTAGTGCACACAGTCTGGGCAGATGACAATGGTTCTCTGACTCTTCATTTTGTTCACCATGCCAAACAGAATCCTCTCTCAAATGGAGATGTTACCAGTGAAGGGAAATTTCTTGTCAGTCTAGGTGCCCTCAGTGTCCTTTTTGGGTGTCTTGAAGCCCAGACCAATGTTCTTTTACTACCGCGGGAGCTTCTCCTTCCCAGTTTCTCTCAGCAGGACTTTTTTTGTTTTGAAAGATGGTTGGCTGTTTTTGATAGCCTCACTCTGTCTTAAGTCTGCTATCTTTTCTGCTTCCTGAATAAAAAGCCTACTTTAGTTCATTGTTTTGTAGACATCCTTGAATCATCAAATAGGCCATGAGTTCTTTGAGTAAAGGCGTTGAGTTTTACTCATCTCCGTAATTCCAGAATCCACCAGACTGCAGGACTTAGTGCTTGGTAAACACTGAAGGAAAACTTGGCTCTGTTGATCAAAGCTCTCCTTGTTTATATTTTAATCAGATTTTTTGAAAGGGTCTCAAAGAATGGTTAAACTCTACCAAGTCTACTGTCCCTTGGCTTATGTAGCTTCTGAAAGTCATATATTCATCAGCTCTTACCTTATTTCCTCCCCACCACCATCTTGACCTATGCAATTGGTGAGGCCACAGACCCCTAGCATGAGGCCCTGTTTTTCCCACAGCAATGGGATTTATGAAATCATTCGAACTTCTCTGTCTGGTGGGGTTTGTGTTGATGCTGCTGTGTTGCAGTGAACAGGCGAATAGGGTCCTCTTTTCAGAAATTGTACAAAGCTGTGGTAAATTTGATTTTCATTATGATCTGATGGCACAATCAAGTAGCAGTTTTCAGCTTACTGATTGTAACATGAGAGGACCACACTCATTTCCTTCAGTAAATGTTCACCAGGAATCTCTGCAAAGATGCAATGGAAGACTGAGACATAAGTAGAATTCCCTTGAGAAGTGTTCACAGAACTTAACTTACTTGATTACATTGCATACTCACTTTTTGCAAAGCTACAATATGGATGAGGAAATGTCTTAACCTGCTGGACTCATAATAGATTACATACATGCTGGAGTTAGAAAGAAGATGAACGAGACAGCCTAAGGAATAAAGCTACAAGACAAATGGTCCTCTAAGCGAGGGACCACGATCAAGGAGTGAACTCACAGAAGAAAATAAATCATTGACTCATCTCCTCATGCTCCTTAACAGCTACTGGCAAGTTGGTTATTAAATGAACCTTGATAACTTTGGAAAACTAGTCAAGTACCAAGCAAGACACAATTTGTGATTCTTGGCATGGCTTGTATTACTGGCTCCCTGTGCCCGGGACAGTATTGAAAGGAGAAGTATCTATAAACAGAATGAATAATGTGCAGCCATAATATATTCTTTGTTTATTTTTACATCAAATGTTTGGAATGTTGGCACTATTAAGAAACTCATTTAATTTTGATTCCCTTTTGAACCTGTGATGTTATAATGCAAGCCCCCGAAATGAGCCATATTCCTAGTGACGAAAATTGGGTGCTGGTGCCATAATTATACCAATGTTGGTTTTGATAAGTCTCTTTTAATTAACAGAATCTTTGAAGTTTGCTGGCAATTTTTATTTTGTGAAAAGGCCAGTAATAATAACAGAAAGGTACCCGTTTAAAATTGTCCACCTGGTCTACTTCTTAAAGCTTTTCATCTTTGGATTGATTTGCACGTCATGACCAATTATGGAGGTGGGAAGATTCTATTATACTCATTTTGCAGATGAGGAAATTGAAACTGGGAGCTTTGGGGACTTGCCGGAGCAGGTGAGAATGACTCTCACACCGAGACTCCTAGAGACATCCCGCTCCCTGATAATCACAGTGGTTCAGTTCTCAGAACACGGGCTTTCCTTACCTTGCCACTATTGACACTTGGAGCCAGATAATTCTTGGTTGTGAGGATCTGTCCTGTGTGTTGTAGTATGTTTTGTAACATCTTTCCTTTGCCTACAAGGTGCCAGTAGCAATCCCCCTAGTTATGTCTCCAAACATTGCCTAAAATCTCCAGGAGGACAACATCATCTGATTGAAAACCACTTGACTAATGGAATCGGGCTCCATGACAAACGGCTTCTCCCGTTTACCTGGTTTACTCTTTCCTGTCTGCGTGCCAACAGGGGCCTCAATTTTTTTTGTGTGTGTGACAAATTATAAAAAGCTACAGTGAATTTGCCTTGCACTACGTCCTGACAGCATAATCAAATAACAGTTTTCAACCTACTGCCTGCACAGCAAGAAGACAAAGTGTGTAAGGACGGGAGCCACATTTTTTTTCCTTTAATAAATCTTCGTTCAGTGAATGAAAAAGTGGATTGCTGCTGCTAACCACGAGCCAAGCAGGTTACAGACTCTACACACATTATACAGTTTCATTCCCCAACCACCTATGCATTACATATTAAAAGGCCTGTTTCTGAAAGGCAGAGTGTAGAGGATTTGTAGGGCAGTGAAAAGGTATCCATAATCAGTGATCTATTGCCAAACCTTAACAGGAAGTCACATGGCCAAGGAGAACACGGTTTGTGGAGTTCCAGCACCAGCCTCAAAGCAGAGCATGGAAGGGTAAGTTTCCAGCTCAGAGACAATTGCTTCATATTGGGCACAATTTCTTGTACTTTCTTCCAGAGTATATGGGTATTTTATTTTCTTATATTTGTTTGTTTGTTTGTTTTAATGTCGCACTATTCCCTCTTTGTCTTTTGTTGGTATTTTAAAGACTTTTCTAAATCAACCCAAATCTACTTCTTTTCTTTGTTGCAGTTTATTCCATTATCTGGATAAACAGCTCTGTAAATGAGCACCTGGCAGCTGCTGCTTCTCCTTTTCCCTCTCCTTCCCCTTCTCTTCCTTTTTTTTTTTTTTTCACTCTTTTGCTCTCTCATTCTCCTTCTCTTTCTCCATCATCATGCTTTTGCATATATGAAAGTATATCTAAAAAAATCTAGAGCAATTTGGTGGGACTAAGGGCACATGTTTTAATTTTCAAACACATTACCAAATTGCCGTTTAAAAATATAGTAATCTATTTTTACCTTCAATGTTTGAATATATTTTTTATCACAATCTTACCAACATGGTATAAAAATATACTTAAAATATGTTCTTCATTTTTAAGGTAGGAAATTATGTCACATTGCTATATTATTTTGGATTTTAAAATTTTGTATAATATTCAACATTGGTTCATTTATTGTAAATCTTTGCATTCTTTTGCTTGTTTAAATCCTTGCTCACTTTTTCTTATTGATGTATAAAATCTTTTTACAAACTGAGGACAATTGTAATATGAATTATGAATATTTCCCTTGCTTGTTATCACCTCTCTTCTGACTTTGTTCTTTAGATATAATGTTTTTTAATTAGTGATACAGTTTGGACATTCCCTCCAACTCTCATGTTGATTGGTAATCCCCAGTGTTGGAGGTGGGGCCTAGTAGGAGGTGACTGGATCATGGAAGTGTATTTCGCATGAATGGTTTAGTACTATTCCTTTGGTGCTGTCCTTGTGACAGTGAGTGAATTCTTGTAAGATCTGATTGTTTAAAAGGGTGTGGCATCTTCTCCTTGCTCTCTCTTGCTCCTGTTCTCACCAAGTAATGTGCCTGCTCCTATCTTGCCTTCTGCCATGAGTAAAAGCTCCCTGAGGCCTCCCCAGATGCAGAGCAGATGCCAGCACCATGCTTCCTGTAGAGCTTGCAGAACTATGAGCCAATTAACCCTCTTTTCTTTACAAATTACCCAGTCTCAGATATTTCTTTATAGTGATGCAAGAATAGCCTAAAACAATTAGAAAGTTTTATACATTTCTCATTACAAATTATGTTACACATTACCAAGGTTCTTTTCTAGAACTTTCTGTTTAATTACATTAAAGAGTAATTTAATGTGCAATTTATATTGAGATAAAGAATAAGATCCAAATTTAAATTATTTTGAGAAGACAAATCAGGTTTTTCTTAAACAATACAACATAACTGATTTCAAATGTTGCCTTTGATATATGTTCAACTCCTGTGTGCATTTTGCATAATTTCTGAACTCTATTATGTTCTACTGATCAGAACATGTTATTGCCAGGATGTCATTTTAAAAAAAATGAATGAGTTACTAGGGGATATTTTTTTAATGCTGATTTGGATCCAAAGCCAAATGGAAAATTTTAGGAGTTTCCTCCAGTGGACTTTTTTCGAAGTGATCTTTTAAAATTTAACTTCAATAGAAATGTGTTGATTTATCTTATAGATCTTTCACTTACTGCTTTGAAGTTTTCTCTTTGTGTAGGACATTGTCTCTGTTTAGTGGGGTTGTCAGATGGTTTACATCATCTTCATTTGTTCCCTTAAGAAACATTTTTTTTTGAGCTACTACTATATCTAGGGCATTGTTCTAAATGCTAGGGATACAGCACTGAGCAATTCAGAATAGGTCTTTGCAGTGATATTGTAGTGGGTGGAGACAGGCCCTGATTTTTTAAAATAACAGAATTCAGATGTATCAAGGGCTATGATATAAATAATCAGAGCCACAACATAGAGAGTAATTGAGGTGGGGCCAGGTGAGATAAAGTGTCAGTGAACTCTCTGAGGAGGTGATGTCTCGGTTTGATGTCTGACAGCTATAAAGGGAGTTGTCATGTTTCTGTTCTTCGGTGCAGTGTCCAGGACTGTGCTTGTCATATACTGTTTCTTGACAGATATTTACTGAATGAACCAATCAATCAGTGATGGCTGGAGGTTCTGGCCTTGGCTGTGGGAAGCACTTCATGTTGCCTTTAAGCTTCTATTATGACAAGCTGTTTAGACAAGTTAAGTGGTAGGTTTTTACTTTGGGGAGGAAAGAGATTTTTCCTCAGTCTTTATTCATTACTTATTGCAAAAGGGATTTCGCAATGACTGATTTCAACATTTCTCCCTGGGCTTCCAAACCACCCTGGTCCTTAGCAAGCCCAAGCAAGTTTCCAAACACAGGGTTTTTCCTTCAAGCCCGACCTCCCAATCTGCCATGAGAGAGCTTTGCACATGCACACCTGTGTGGGGCACAGCACGGAAGTGAGAAGGAAGTTGAAAACAAGCCCGGAGGACCTAGGTGATATGTTTTCAGAATGTTGCCTCTCCCAAAATATTTCCTGTGGATCAAAATGTCTTGCTTAGACATGGTATCTGTGGCTCCATTTGCAGTGGATGATACACCAGCCCCATCTTGTGCTTCTCTAAAAATCTTTCCACTGTATAATTTTCAAAACAAAGAAATTCAGACTAGCTTAAGACACTTGCTTTTCATTGATGACTTGAGTAACAAAATATAAAATGAAAAATCAGAATGGATGAAAAGGTGAATGTTTGTATCTTCCATCGATTGCTTCATCTACTGTCTTTTTGTTGAGGGGATTTGTTTTTAAGATTGAAAGCCATTGGCTTATTTATTTATTTTTTTTTTGCTATGGTTTCTCTTCATGATTATTGATCTCTATTAGCATGATAATTATAAATACTTGATAAATTTCTTTCTTTGATCTGGCCTACTTGTCACTCAACAGTCTTTTAAACTCTAGATTCTTTCTTTCATTCTTGACATTTGCCATTGTCCTCCACCCTGAATGCCTCCCTGCTGTTCTCAAAAGCTGCCTAGAATCATTGAGAGAGTATATTGCGGTATCAAGTACCATGGCTTCAGGCTCCGCTGCAGCTGCCTGCTTTCTGAAAGCTCCCTTTATTCTTTGCAACTGCACTTATCGAATTCCGCCTAACAAATGTCAGCTTTTTTCCCCTTACCTTTCATGCAAAACACACACACACACACACACACACACACACACACACACAGTGTAATAAATCCTTACCTCTGCACAGTGTACATTTATACACCTTGTAATTGCCTTTCTCTGTTGGTTTTAGTCCTTTGCCCTTTTATTCTTTCCTTTTGTACTCTGGCTTCCTCAGCTCTAGTATTCCCAGCCTTGAAATCCAAATTGCAAATGCAGAAAATATGCCCACCCATTTAGGACAAACTGAATGACTCCAATTGTAGAGGGTAGCACTGCGTCTGGTGGTACAGCTCACTAAAAGCACTCATTGCCTGGTTCATAAGAAAGTAGCAGGTCTTGTATTCAAGACTAAGAATCTGTGAACTTCAGAGCACACTGTGGAGCTTCATGGAGGTGTGCAATAAATTAATATATTGTAGTATATCTATATATAAACTATATATACAGTATAGCATATTTGTGGTAATATGTAGTATTTTTCCACCGGCCACCATATGCACCCACATGAAAAAAGCTGGAAAGTTTGTCGACTGAGTGTATGATTCTCTGCTGCTCCTCTGATATTCTTTTTGCTGGTTTTAAGTAACAGCAGTTATTAGGACCAGCCATGTTTTCCTGCATAGAATAAACACTTGATGAGAGTGGCCTTGAGGAGGTCAATTAAAGCAGATGTAAAGATTATCCTGCCTCTATTGAGTTGAAAATAGGAGCTAAAAGAGCTCTTCACTTAACTGCAGGCCATTAGGCAAGAATTAAGGCTTTCCTTATAAGGAAACTGGAGTTATTCTGAAGTCATATTTGTTGTTTTATAGAACAATTCAAATGACCATTAAATTCTTTCAGAGCTATGAGCACCAAGGCCCCCTGAGGAATGTGAATGGACCTTTTTTTCCCCAAACCTCAAGGATTCTAGGAGCTGAATAGGACTTTAGAGACAGGACTGGATAGGGAATTCCTAAGGGCTTTTTTTAAGCCAATATTCCATGACTCTCTGACCTAACCCTTTGCTACTCAAAGAGTATAGTAGTCCATACACCAGGAACATCAGCATCACAGGCACCACATGAGAATAGGTTAGAAATGCAACATCTTAGGCCTCACTTCCACCTGCTACATCAAAATTTGCATTGTAACACGATCTCCAAGTAATTCATGTGCACATGAGAATTTGAGACACCCTGATCTACTCTAATCTCTTTTTTCCCCAAATAATAAAAATGAAATAAATTTCCCAAGGTCACTAAGTAAATTAGTAGCTAGGATAACTAAGAAAGCATTACATTAGTCAAGCTGTCCATTCTGGATAACAATCTCCTTTTTCCAGGCATCTAGTTCTTCACCTATATGTCCTGGAGTTGGCCTATGTAACCCAGGACCATCTATCTCCAGATATCTGTAGACATTCTCGAAGTCACCTCCTCCATCAGGACTTTCTGTGTTGGCAGAGACGTGCTATGTGTGCACTGACCACTTGTGCCTGTTGAGTACCTGAAATGAGGCTGGTGGGTCTGGAAAGCTGGAGGAGGAATGAGAGCTCCATCTCTAGTGCATGTTCATCACTCAACTCTAACGTGAAAAGAGGAGTTTCAGGGCTTCTGTTTGGATAATTCTGCATGGTGGTAATAGCTTTCAGGAAGACTTCACTAGAAAAAAACTCTAGGTTATTGATACAGACAGGAGACAGGGAAATATTGGGTAGAAGAGGGCAGTACCCCAGCAAACACCCCATCCTCAAGCCTGAAAACCCATGGCCCTAAATGAGGATAGGCATTTCTGTTTTCATTGCCAAAAAGTGGCCCTTTGGCCAGCCATGCCCCCTATCCTGCACCCATATAAACCCTGAACCCCAAACTCCAGAGCAGACCAGCAAGCAGCAAGCCAGCAGACCACCAGAGAGATGGCAGAATGATGCGGCAGAGAAAGGGAGAAGAGGGTTGGTCAGAGAGGAGTCCAACTGCTGGGCGGCCCAGCTCCGGGGGAGGATCACCTACCCACTCCATCCCCCACTTCCAGATCTCCATCCATCACACTGAAAGCCTCCTCTACCACTTAATAACACCTCACATTCATCCTTCGGGTCTGTGTGTGACCCAATTTTTCCGGGACTCTGGACAAGAACTCAGGATACAGAAAGCTGTTACACTGGCCCTCTGCTTTTGTGAAAAGACAGAGGGCCTATTGAGGTGATTAACACCCAAGCCATCTGTGGCCAACAAAGCTGAAAGAGCTTTGTAACACTGGAGTTGCAGGTACCCACTCCTAGACACTACCTGGGAGCTGGAGCTGGAGCCCGGAGAGCTCGCCTGAGCCTCTGCACCTGCCTGTCTGCATGCTCCCCTGTCCCTCAAGGGGTTTTGAGCCACACCCCTGTCGCAGGTCCTGCGAGGAGAATCAGGGAACTCTCTTGTTTTATTATCATTTTTGAACTGGGAAAAAGAGCAAAGAATCTTTAGGGTCATCTTTGAAACTCACAGTTTGTTGGATAAAATGTAAACAATCTAGTAACTTGCGGCTTCTTAGGCAAATGTAATGTCCCTGTTCTTGTGTTTGTTCTGAGGATTTTCCATTTAAAAAAAAATGAATGTTTGTGTACTGCTTATGATTTACCTGGCTGTGAAGTTTTAAATTGTCTAACTTAATGAGTGAAGCTTTAAATTGTCTAACTTAAAAAACACATTTCAAAACGTTTCAGAGAGAATCATGCAGACTCATCTAGTCATCATCTGGTTGTGTTGACTAATGGCCAAATTTTCCATTTTTTCATTGCTGCCAGTTTCCATACACCTCTGCAATGTGATTTTGTAGCAAAAATTGATGTCTATGTCCACACCTATAAATTTACTTTATGATGTACTTTGTAAATGTAAACATGCAGTATAATACATTGGAAGCAATGAAGTGCCAGTTCTGAACCGAGGCCCAAATGGCTTTGTGTACTTCCATTCTTTTAGAGAACCTGCCATTGATGTGGACAAGTCTGCACTAGCCTCTGGAAGACGAAAAGGTCCAGGCATTAGAAAAGACCCCAAGCCATTCTACCTGTCCCAGCTGAGTCCCACACAGACCAGCCATCCCCCAGCTACACACAGGTTTACTGCAAGCATGCGAGTAAATCCAGTGAAGTTCAACAACACCCAGCCAAAATCAGCCAAATTGTCTAGTCTACTTCCAGATTTGTGAAAATAGTAAGTAGTG
Organism: Homo sapiens; assembly: GCF_000001405.40. NCBI lineage: Eukaryota > Metazoa > Chordata > Mammalia > Primates > Hominidae > Homo > Homo sapiens. Next base: position 11,354,582 of record NC_000020.11, read on the forward strand.
CTGATTTTAAGCAACCAAGTTTGGGAGTGATTTGTTACAAGATTATTATGACTATAGAGGACTGCTATGCCAATGTTGTCATATTTTAACATTTTCAATGTTATTTCACCTTTCTAAAGAGAAAAGTGGACTTTGAGGCCATGATGAGATTAAGTTCCTTAGGATTAGAGTCTTTTAAAGAGGGAAGGACATTAGAATTAGTCCTCAACTATAGACAGAGTTTTATGGCTGAGAAAATGGAGGCCTAGAGAGGGGAAACAAGTACCATTGTATCACCCTGCCAGTCAGGAGCAGAACAGGACACAGGTCTCCTGTCTCCAAAGTCTTTGCAAGTCCTCAGTCCGTTCTTTCATGAATATGCTCTGAGTTTTGCTTGTCTGCCAACCAGCAAGTCTTTGAAAACATAGCTTTAAGAAAGGAGATTACAGTTACAGAGACCAATGCTTCCGACTTTACAATCTGATTCTTCAGTTTCTAAAGGCCCTCTTGATTCTTTGTTAAAAGAAATCCCCACTTTGCCATTTGTCTTTTATGAAAAGATTAGTGGATAGCTTTTACCATCACCATAGCACCGCTTACTTAATCAACCACTATGTTCTATTTGTAATTTGTCAAAGATGTTGGATGTTATAATAAAAAAAAAGTCTTGAACGTGGTGCATTTTCTACTCACCATTGAGTGAATTTCTTCCCTGGAGTGTGTTCACTTCCCTGGCAAGTTAGTGACTCAGCTTGTCTTCTTGCTTCTATTCTTTTTAAACTCTGGTGGTCACGCTTTACATCTCAGAGATTATAACATATTTTCACGTAAATTATCTGATTTGAATTTCCCAATAACCCATTTCCATCTCCATGAGAAAATTAAGGCTTAAGGCAGTTGTGTGGTTAGCACCAGGTCAAGTGGACTGGAAAGAGAAGGGCTATGCCAAGCTTCTCGATTTCTGTAGTCTGATTTTCTACTGATGATGTCACTTTGCCAATTTACAGTCTGCACCTGTTGGGTTTGTTTAAGTGCCAGTCATGTCCAATTTTCCCCTTCTTGCTGAAATGCCCTGGTCCAAAGACCCTTCCTAAGGAAGTAGCCCTGGGCTTTTCTTGGCAGAGAGGTTGTCCATGATGGATGATCTCAGGTCCAGAGCCCTTCTCTTTGCTGGGCCAGGATTTAAACTGAAAATATGAGGGAGAGAGGAATCTGTGAGTCTGAAGAATATGAAAGGAAAACCTAGAGAGAGATTATAGGCAACCCGTTGTTCTACTCTGTTCTTTGGCGCTTTCTGTTTCCAGTTCCAATCCATTCATGTCCTTAAACTCTGTTTTCCTTATGAGGACTTGAATTCAATTCACACAGTCACCTTTCCTTTGTATGGCATTTTATTTTTTTAAAAAATAGTAGTGCCATTTCATAAACAAAATCAATCTGTTAAGGGACTTGCAATCAATTATTATTATTATCATTTCATGAGGAATAAATATAGCTTTGAAAGGAGATTAAGTGACTTGCTTAAGGTCACACAACAATATAATAAAATTTAAGCTTAGTTCTCTCACTACTAAGTCCTAAGAACTTTGGGATTAAAAAACATGATATGGAACATTTTTAGTAGGCTACATATAGTATGTCTCTCAATTTTCTTTACTGAAAAATCTGCAACAATCACCTCGGGGATTACGTCAGAGGAGAATTTGGAGCCTCACAGAACTGCTCAAAAAATCCTGCTGCCAGCAGTTTGTTGATATTTCAAGGCAGGGTACATATCACGTCCCACTCTCTATACCACACTGAGCTTTTGCCTTCTTGAAGGCTATTCAACAACACTCAACACTTTAGTTGCAAATCACAAAACCATCTTCCAAGTTTCACCTAACAATGTCAAAGGCCCCATTGCCCCTATATTTCTCCAAAGGAAACATAGAGCCATAGAGCTTTCTTGTAAACACACAGTTGACAATTGCTCTGATAGTGCAGAATTCCTAAGGTGAATATATATATATATATTCAGTGGATGTTTATTTATATGCTGTATGTCATATTTATGAAATGCTCCATGAGATGTCAAATAAACTGGTATATGGTTCTTTGAACACTAAACATCCACTGTATATTTTTGATAAGGAGGAAAGTTATGGCCTTGAGATTGTGCCTTGCACACCTTTGACTATAGGGAGAGTCATTGACCAAGGATCTCAATTGCTGTAGACTGACATCCATCACCTTCTTTGCATTGAAGCTACTCTCCACGAATAACTGAGCATGGTAGGAATACTAAGGGAGGCCAGTTTCTGGAAGACATGGGGTTCCTCTGACAGCCAACTTTGGCTCAGGACCTCTTTGCCAAGCTTGCCAAACTTTCCTTAGATTACACAGTTGTCTTGGGTACTTCCATACAATCTTCCTTCTCTCTTTCTCTCCCTCATGGGATTCCAACCTGCATCTCAATCTAACAGTTCTCCCAGCCTTCCCTGACTCACCCTGATTTTTCTCAAGACATTTTTTCTAATAAAATCTTTGCCTAGCTAATTGCACCTTGGTCTTCTTGGAGGAACTGGCAGGAAGCAGATGAGTGTTATATGTTTAAGTCAGCAGCCACTATATGTATATATACTTTGATATAGCAACTTTGATACTAAAAATCAATTTTAAAAATTATTATAGACTCTGAAGATGGTTCTAGTCTTGGTCAGATACCAATAAGTGCCTGCTCTTCCCATATTTATCCTCAGATTACAAAGAATCCAAGAGCCTAGGCACAGCTGCTGACAGAGGCTGATACACCAAATCTGTACCATGCAAGTAGTGAGCAAGATAAGACAATGGAAGATGTGGTCCACTGAAGCATCTTGTCCAAAATGCTTTTGTATCATAGAAGTCTCTTTCTATACCTACGGCCTCAAGGAAAGCAGAAGTGACAGAGGCAGATTGTTTTAAATCCAACGCCCTGAGTAGAAATTTGGGCAGGAATACCTCACCCACACCCAAAGGACAAAACTTCCTCCCCCTTCCTGCTGGTCTCAGCTGCTGATCCAAACTGAACAGAGAGGGAGCAGGGAAACCATTACTCTTCTTTTTTCTCACAGCTCTTGCCAAGATGGGAATTGATTCCAATTGTGTTCCAGAAAGAACACTGTCTATAACTCAGTTCACTTCAGCCTGATGCATTCCCAAACCTTTATTAAGCAGCCCTATAAATGGCAGAGTATTAAATCCTGAAGCTTTCCTTCTTTATTTGCTTCAATCCAATGTAAAAGCAGCACTACTTGGCTTTCCCTTTTTTCCAATAATTTATTTATATTTTGCCTAATTCTATATTCTATCTAATCAGTTCCTGTTAGAGTAGATTGGATTGAAGCTATGCTGTAGACTTAAGCATCATTTCCCAAATTTTAATAAGCATACTGAACTACTGAGGATCTTGTTAAAATACAGATTCTAGTTCCATAGGTCATTGGTTAGGGACTAAGTTCTTGCTTTCCTAACAAGTTGAGAGGGGACCAAATTGATGGTGTGAAGCTGAGGCCCTAAAGCCATGCTTCTCAAACTTTAGCATGCCTCAGAATCACCTGAAGAGGTTATTAAAAATAGATTCCTGGACCTCACACCAGAGATATTGATTCAGGAGTACTGGGGTGAAACTCAAGATTTTGCATTTTTTTTGGTAATTGATGAGTTTAATTTAATAACTTGGAGGTTTATAAAATTTCTGTTATTTTACTTTAGGTTCTGGTATACATGTGCAGAATGTGCAGGTTTGTTACATAGGTATATGTGTGCCATGGTGGTGTGCTACACCTAATGACCTGTCCTCTAAGTTTCCTCCCATCACCCCCCAACCCCCAACAGCCCCTAATGTGTGATATTCCCTCTCTGTGTCCATGTTTTCTTATTGTTCAACTCCCACTTATGAGTGAGAGCATGCGGTATTTGGTTTTCTGTTCCTCTGTTAGTTTGCTGAGGATGATGGCTTCCAGCTTCATCCATGTCCCTGCAAAGAACATGATCTCATTCCTTTCTATGGCTGCATAGTATTCCATAGTGTATATGTGCCACATTTTCTTCATCCAGTCTATTATTGATGGACATTTGGGTTGGTTCCATGTCTTTGTTATTGTAAATAGTGCTGCAATAAACATACCTGTGCATGTGTCTTTATAGTAGAATTATTTATATTCCTTTGGGTATATATACAGTAATGGGATTGCTGGGTCAAATGGTATTCCTGGTTCTAGATTCTTAAGGAATTGCCATACGGTCTTCAACAATGGTTGAACTAATTTACATTCCCACCAACAGTGTGAAAGCATTCCTATTTCTCCACAGCCTCACCAGGATCTATTGTTTCTTGACTTTTTAATAATCACCATTCTGACTGGTGTGAGATGTTATCTCATGGTGGTTTTGATTTGCATTTCTCTGATGATCAGTGATGATGAGCTTTTTTGCATATGTTTGTTGCCCACATAAATGTCTTATTTTAAGAAGTGTCTGTTTATATCCTTTGCCCACTTTTTGATGGGGTTGTTTGTTTTTTTCTTGTAAATTTGTTTAAGTCCCTTGTAAATTCTGGATGTTAGACCTTTGTCAAATGGGTAGATTGCAAAAATTTTCTCCCATTCTGTAGGTTGCCTGTTCACTCTGATGATAGTTTCTTTTGCTGTACAGAAGCTCTTTAGTTTAATAGAATCTCATTTGCCAATTTTGACTTTGTTGCTATTGTTTTTGGTGTTTTTGTCATGAAGTCTCTGCCCATGCCTATGTCCTGAATGGTATTGCCTAGGTTTTTTTCTAGGGTTTCTATGGTTTTGGGTTTTATATTTAAGTCTTTAATCCATCTTGAGTTAATTTTTGTAAAAGGTATAAGGAAGGGGTCCAGTTTCAGTTTTCTGCATATGGCTAGCCAGTTTTCCCAGCACCATTTACTGAATAGGAGATTCTTTCCCCATTGCTTGTTTTTGTCAGGTCGGTCGAAGATCAGATGGTTGTAGATGTGTGGTGTTATTTCTGAGGTCTCTGTTCTGCTCCATTGGTCTATATGTCTGTTTTGGTACCAGTACCATGCTGTTTTGGTTACTGTAACCCTGTAGTATAGTTTGAAGTCAGGTAGCATGATGTCTCCAGCTTTGTTCTTTTTGCTTAGGATTGTCTTGGCTATGTAGGGTCTTCTTTGACTCTATATAAAATTTAAAATAGTTTTTTCTAATTCTGTGAAGAATGTCAATGGTTGTTTGATGGGAATAACATTGAATCTATGAATTACTTGGGGCAGTATGACCATTTTCATGATGTTGATTCTTCCTATCCATGAGGATGAAATGTTTTTCTATTTGTTTGTGTCCTCTCATTTCTTTGAGCAGTGGTTTGTAGTTCTCCTTGAAGAGGTCCTTATATCCCTTGTTAGCTGTATTCCAAGGTATTTTATTCTCTTTGTAGCAATTGTTAATGGGAGTTTATTCATGATTTCACTCTCTGCTTGTCTATTGTTGGTGTAAAGGAACACTTGTGATTTTTGCACATTGATATTGTATCCTGAGACATGCTGAAGTTGCTGATCAGTTTAATGAGTTGTTGAGTTGAGATGATGGGTTTTCTAAGTATAGAATCACGTCATCTGCAAACAGAGACAATTGGACTTCCTCTCTTCCTATTTGAACACCCTTTATTTCTTTCTCTTTCCTGATTGCCCTGGCCAGAACTTCCAGTACTATGTTCAATAGGAGTGGTGAGAGAGGGCATCCTTCTCTTGTACCGGTTTTCTTTTCTTTTTTTTTTTTTTTTTTTTTTGAGATGGAGTCTCGCTCTGTCACCCAGGCTGGAGTGCAGTGGCTTGATCTTAGCTCACTGCAACCTCCACCCACCGGGTTCAAGCAGTTCTCCTGTCTCAGCCTCCCGAGTAGCTGGGATTACAGGCGCCTGCCACCGCGCCCGGGTAATTTTTGTATTTTTAGTAGAGATGGGGTTTCACCATGTTGGCCAGGTTAAACTCCTGACCTTGTGATCCACCCACCTCGGCCTCCCAAAAGGCTGGGATTACAGGCATGAACCACCACGCCCAGCCTGTACTGGTTTTCAAAGGGAATGCTTCCAGCTTTTGCCCATTCAATATGATATTGGCTGTGTGTTTGTCATGAAGAGATTTTATTATTTTGAGATATGTTCCATCAATACCTAGTTTATTCAGAGTTTTTGACATGAAGGGATGTTGAATTTTATCAAAGGCCTTTTCTGCATCTATTGAGGTAATCATGTGGTTTTAGTCTTTCGTTTTGTTTATGTTATGGATTACATTTCTTGTTTGCCTATGTTGAACCAGCCTTGCATCCCAGGGATGAAGCTGACTTGATCGTGGTAGATAAGTTTTTTGATGTGCTGCTGGATTTGGTTTGCCAGTATTTGATGATTTTTGCATCGATGTTCATCAGGGATATTGGCCTGAACTTTCCTTTTTGTGTCTCTTCCTGGTTTTGGTATCAGGATGATGGTGGCTTCACAAAATGAGTTAGGGAGGAGTCCCTCCTTTTCAATTGTTTGAAATAGTTTCAGAAAGAATGGTACCATCTTCTCACTGTAACTGGTAGAATTCAGCTGTGAATCTGTCTGGTCCTGGGCTTTTTTTGTTGGTAGGCTATCAATTAATGCCTCAAGTTCAGAACTTGTTATTGGTCTATTCAGGGACTTGACTTCTTCCTGGTTTCGTCTTGGGAGGGTGTAGGTGTCCAGGAATTTATCCATTTCTTCTAGATTTTCTAGTTTATTTGCATAGAGGTGTTTATAGGATTCTCTGATGGTAGTTTGTATCTCTGTGGGGTTAGTGGTGATATCCCCTTTATCATTTTTTATTGTATCCATTTGATTATTCTCTATTTTCTTCTTTATTAGTCTAGCTAGTAGTTTATCCATTTTGTTAATTTAAAAAAAAAACAGCTCCTGGATTCATTGATTTTTTGGTGGGTTTTTCATGTCTCTATCTCCTTCAGTTCTTCTCTGATCTTAGTTATTTCTTGTCTTCTGCTAGCTTTTGTATTAGTTAGCACTTGCTTCTCCAGCCCTTTTAATTGTGATGTTAGCGTGTTGATTTGAGATCAATCTAGCTTTCTGATGTGGGCATTTAGTGCTATAAACTTCCCTCGTAACACTGCTTTAGCTGTGTCCCAGAGTTTCTGGTACATTTTCTCTTTGTTCTCATTGGTTTCTAAGAACTCCTTGAATTTTGCCTTAATTTCATTATTTACCCCAGAGTCATTCAGGAGCACATTGTTCAATTTCCATGTAATTGTGTGGTTTTGAGTAAGGCTCTTAATCCTGAGTTCTAATTTGATTGCACTGTGGTCCGAGAGACTGTTTCTTATAATTACAGTTCTTTAGCATTTGCTGAGGAGTGTTTTACTTCCAATTATGTGGTCGATTTTAGAATAAGTGCCATGTGGCACTGAGAAGAATGTATATTCTGTTGATTTGAGGTGGGAAGTTCTGTAGATGTCTATTAGGTCCACTTGATCTAGAGCTGAGTTCAAGTCCTGAATATCCTTGTTAATTTTCTGTCTCCTTGGTCTGTCCAATATTGATAGTAGGGTGTTAAAGTCTCCCACTACTATTCTGTGGGAGTCTTAGTCTCTTTGTCGGTCTCTAAGAACTTGTTTTTTGAATCTGGGTGCTCCCGTATTGGGTGCATATATATTTAGGATAGTAACTCTTCTTGTTGAATTAATTCCTTTACCGTTATGTAATGCCCTTCTTTGTCTTTTTTAATCTTTATTGGTTTAAAGTCTGTTTTGTCATAGGCTAGGTTTGAAATCTCTGGGGTTTTGTTGTTGCTGTTGTTGTTGTTGTTGTTGTTTGCCTTCCATGGTAAATATTCCTCCATCTCTTTGTTTTGAGCCTATGTGTGTCTTTGCATGTGAAATGGGTCTCCTGAATATATCACACCAATGGGTCTTGACTCTTTATCCAATTTGCCAGTCTGTGTCTTTTACATGGGGGATTTACCCCCATTTACATTTAAAGTTAGTATTGTTATGTGTGAATTTGATCCTGTCATCATGATGCTATCTGATCATTTTGCACACTAGTTGATGCAGTTTCTTTATGATGTCATTGGTCTTTATATTTCGGTCTGTTTTTGCAGTGGCTGGTACTAGTTTTTCATTTCCAAATTTAGTGCTTCCTTCAGCGCCTCTTGCAAGGCAGGCCTAGTGGTGATGAAATCCCTCAGCATTTGCTTGTTTGGAAAAGATTTAATTTCTCCTTCGTTTATGAAGCTTAGTTTGGCTAAATATGAAATTCTGGGTTGAAAATTCCTTAAGAATGTTGAGGTCAGGAGATTGAGACCATCCTGGCTAACATGGTGAAACCCCATCTCTACTAAAATACAAAAAAAAAAAAATAGCTGGGGGTGGTGGCAGGTGCCTGTAGTTCCAGTTACTCGGGAGGCTGAGACAGGAGAATGGCGTGAACCCGAGAGATGGAGCTTGCTGTGAGCCGAGATTGCACCACTGCACTCCAGCCTGGGCAACAGAGCGAGACTCTGTCTAAAAAAAAAAAAAAAACAAAAAGTTGAATACTGGCCCCCAATCTCTCCTGGCTTGTAGAGTTTCTGCTGAGAGGTCTGCTGTTAGTTTGATGGGCTTCCCTGTGTAGGTGACCCGGCCTTTCTCTCTGGCTGCTCTTAATCCTTTTTCCTTCATTTCGACCTTAGAGAATCTGATGATTATGTGCTTTGGGGTTGATCTTCTCATGGAGTATCTTAATGATGTTTTCTTTATTTCCTGAATTTGCATCTTGGCCTGTCTTGCTAGGTTAGGGAAGTTCTCCTGGATAATATCTTGAAGTATGTTTTCCAGCTTCCTTCCATTCTCTCCTTCTCCTTCAGGTACTCAATCAATAGTAGGTTCAGTCTTTTTACTTAGTCCCATATTTCATAGAGGCTTTGTTCATTCCTTTTTGTTCTTTTCTCTCTAATCTTGTCTGCATGCCTTATTTCAGCAAGGTGGTCTTCAAACTCTGATATTCTTTGCTCCACTTCATGAATTTGGCTATGGATGCTTGTGTATGCTTCATGAAGTTCTTGTGCTGTGTTTTTCAGCTCCATCAGGTAATGTTTGCTTTGCTCTAAACTGGTTATTCCAGTTACCAGTTCCTCTAACTTTTTATCAAGGTTCTTGTCTTCTTTGCATTGGGTTAGAACATGCTCCTTTAGCCCAGCAGAATTTTTTGTTACCCATCTTCTGAAGCCGACTTCTGTCAATTCATCCATTTCAACCTCCGTCCAGTTCTGCACCCTTGCTGGGGAGATGTTGCGATCATTTGGAGGAGAAGAGGCACTCTGGCCTTTTGGATTTTCAATGTTGTTTCATTGATTCTTTCTCATTTTGTTAAGTTTGTCTAGTTTCAACCTTGGAGGCTGCTGACCCTAAGATGGGGTTTTTGTGAGGGCTTTTTCTTGTTGATGATGATGCTGCTGTTGTTACTTTCTGTTTGTTTTTCTTTCAATGGTCAGATCCCTCTTCTGTAGGGCTGCTGCTGTTTGCTGGGCATTCACTTCAGGCCCTATTCATCTGGTTCGCTTCCGTGCCTGGAGATGTCACTCAAGGAGAAGGAGAATAGCAAAGATGGGTGCCTGCTCCTTCTTCTGGGACCTCTGACCTCAAGGGGCACCAACCTGATGCCAGTAAGATCACTCACATATCGCGTATCTGATAACCCCTGTTGGAGGGTCTCACTCTGTTGGTGGCATGGGGAACAGGACCTGTTTTATGATGCACTTTGATTGTCCCTTGATGAAGGGGGTGTGCTTTGCTGGGGGGAAACCCACTCGTCTGGGCTGCCCAGACTCCTCAGAACTACCAGGAGGAAAGGCTAAGTCTGCTGGTCCACAGAGACTGCAACCACCTCTCCTGCTAGGGGCTCAGGCCTAGGGAGATCAGAGTTCTGATTTTGCGTTTCTAATAAGCTCCCAGATGATGCCAATGCTTCTCATCCCTTTGAGTAGCAAAGATTTAGTGAACATATCTAATAGGGGTCCGTTAGTGAACTGATGAGAAAAGTGTCATAAACCCTAACTCTTTTTGTTATTGATTTTATTTGCAGGGGAAAGTGGATTTGGAAAACCTGCTGAATATTTTTGCTTGAGGCAGAGTCTTTTTTTTCTCCTTTTTTTTTGAGACACTTATAGACAGTGCCTCAAAAAAAAAAGTGGGGGGATCTTACCTTGTCTTTGTTGCTCACGCTGGAGTGCAGTGGTATGATCACAACCACAGCTTCGACCTCCTGGGCTCAAGCGATCCTTCCACCTCAGCTTCCCAAGTAGCTGGGACTACTGGCATGTGCCACCGCGCCAGGCTTATTTATTTATTTATTTATTTATTTATTTATTTATTTATTTATCTTGTAGAGATGGAGTCTCACTGTGTTGTCCAGGATGATCTCAAACTCCTGGGCTCAAATGATCCTCCCACTTCAGCCTCCCAAAGTGCTAAGAAGAATACAGTTGTGAGCCACCTTGCCAAGCCTTCTATTTTCAAATTGACCTTTGAATACAAGGAGAAATGTATGTGAATAGGGGCTATAAGTCTGGGAAGTAGATGAAAATCATGAAAGATGGGAAATAGCACAGGTTTTAAATCAGAGAACCCTGATTCACCGTAGCCGTTCTCCCCCAATTTTAACCTTTTTCATCATAAATAAGGCAACTTGCATTTTATCTCTGCTTTAGATCTGCATGTAAGGCTGCCAAGACACAAACATGGTACTCTAAATTTAAATATTGAAAGCTACCTGGCACTGGGACCATGGACATTTATCAGAATCAGGCCCCATTTCTGTGGAGACTGCATGTGAAACATTGGCTGACTGTACATCTCTGCATAATACAATAGCTCCATATTCTCTTCATGTCCTGTGTGCTAGAAGGTGTAACTAGTCCATTAAACGATGGTCTTATATATATATCTTATGCCAACTTAATGAGCAGATGAGAAAGTCGAAGCTGAGGATAACTGGGTCACAGGCCTATTTGTCCAAAACCTGTGCTTTAGATCTTTGCTACTGAAAGTGTGGCTGGTAAACCAGCAGCATCAGCGTCACCTAGGAGATAGTTAGAAATGCTAAATCTCAGGTTCCATGCCTGACCTACTTGATCAGATTCTGATTTTAACAAGATCCCAGGTGATCACTGTGTATTTTAGAGCACTGCTTGGGCACACTCTGACATATTGCCTCCTTACCAAGAAAGTATTTTTGCAGAGTCATTTTCTTTATTGGAAATACTTTAGCTCAGATCCAGTGAGACATCAAAGGCAGTCATTTTCATCACCAGCAAAGGGATGGTTTGATTGCTTTGGGAGGAGGACTGTTTGGCAGCACATCAGAGTTCAGGGGGAGCTACATGTGCTGACACAAGCAATCCCTGGCTCACTTGGGCTGGACTTGGGAACTGATGTGTAGCCATCATCCAAGAGTAAATTAGGTCAGACAGCAGGGCTTGCTTTCCTAGGGCCGCTTTTTACTAAGGGTGAAGGCCCAACATCTGCAAGGGTCTTCAAGATGGTAGAGTTAGATTAAGAAAGAGAAGAATCATATCTCACTTGGCTTTTGGGGATTCAAGTTTCTTTCTTTCTTTCTTTCTTTTTTTTTTTTTTTTTGAGACAGAGTCTCACTCTGTCGCCCAGGCTGGAGTACACTGGCGCGATCTCAGCTCACTGCAACCTCTGCCTCCCAGGTTCAAGTGATTTTCCTGCCTCAGCCTCCCAAGTAGCTGGGGTTACAGCCAGCTAATTTTTGTATTTTTTAGTAGGGAAAGGGTTTCACCATGTTGGCCAAGCTAGTCTCAAACTCCTGACCTCAGATGATCCACCCGCCTTGGCCTCCCAAAGCACTGGGATTACAGGTGTGAGCCACCATGCCCAGCCTCCAGTTTCTTTTCTATGAAGAAGAGATAATATGTGGCAGAGAAATTTAGCATCTGACTGAAATAGGAACCATATCCCCCAAAGGGTTTTGGACAACGTTGGACAACTTTAGTCAAGTCTGCCAACCTCCTTCTACTTGATGGGTTGAAAGAAGAGCCATTTATTATTTCTTCACAAATCTACAGGTGACCAGTGGTTCTGTGAATCTGGCTCAGGCTCAGCTTATCCCGATAAGGTGCTCTTATGAGTCTCCTTTCAGATCACCAGGATGATCTCAGTTGGGGCATCTCTGCTCTGGTCCATGTATCTCTCATCCTCCTGTAAGCTAGCCCAGGTTTGTTCATTTTGTGGCTCAGTGAAATTCCAAGCAAATGAGTATAAGCACGCACAACGTCTGAGGCCTAAGCTGACCTGATGGATTGTTACTTCAGCTGCATTTTACTAACCAAAGCAAATCAAAATACCAGTGTGTATTTAAAGGCTGGGGAAATAAACTCTACTTTTTGACTGGAGAAGAAGAAAGGTCACATTGTCTAAGGATATGATAACAGGGAGGGTAGAGAATTGAGGCCACGTTTGCAATCTGTTGTGTTCCTACTAACTGCCTCCCACTGGTTCTTTTTTGAAGCAGTCATTGGTACCTTGGTCTCAATTCCATTTTGTTGTTCATGGGCTGACTGCTTCTCCTGGCTAGATGCATTTGGGGCCACTGCATTAATTTAGGGGCTCTAGTTGAGTAATTTAAAAATGCAAACCATCAAATATAATAAAGACTGGTGGAAAAAAGCAGTTAAGAGATTGCATACTTTTCATATAAATTAAAATCTCAGTGGGATAGCAGTATATGCCTAGAACGTGCTAAATGAAAAAACAAAGCAAAACAAAAAAAACAGACAATTGCCATGTATTGTCAAGGATGTAGAATAATTGGAACTCTCATGCACTGCTGGTGGGCAGGTAGATCAGTACCACCACTTTGTATAACTGTTTGGCATTATTCAATACAGCTGAGGAATGTACATTTCATGAGCCAAAAATTCCTCTTCTAGGTATATACCTAGCAGAAATGTTAAATAAGTGCGCCAAGAACGCACATATAGGATTTTTTGTAATAGTGACAAGCAGAATATGCCTCATGGGTTTGTCAACCATAGAATGGGTAAATATATTATTTTATAGTCTTGTGATGAAATACTATATAGCAGTAAAAATCAAAGATTTACAACTCTTTATAACATTATGATAAATTTCACAAATGTAAGGTAAAACAAAAGAAGTCAAAAGAAGACGTGCTATATGATTCCATTTATTTAAGCTCTCAAACTGGCAAAACAAATTCATTGTATTAAAAACAAGTAGAGTGGTTTTCTGTGGGAGACGAGTGTCAGGGCAGGAACAAAAGAGGCTTCTAGGGTGCTGGTAACGTTTCTTGATCTGGGGGCTGCTTACACGAAGTGTTTGTGAAGTAAAAATTTCAGCATTTTACAAGTAAAACTACGGTACTTTTTGGTATGAATTCTATGCATGAATAAAATGGTGTTAAGAAAAAGTGATAGAGAGGAAATAAACCTGAGTTCAAATCTAGTTCTCCTCTGTGTCCTTGAAGAACATTCTTGACTTCTCTGAGTACCAATTTCTTCAGCTGCACAATGACGATCATTTAATATTATAATGATCTTTATGAGGATTGCATTTTAAGAGATATGTAAATCTCTCTGTGTCCAATAAATATTAGTTCCTCCTCCTCCTTGCTGTGGAAAAAGTTGTATTTACTCTCCTAGATGTGCACAGTATAGTGCCTTCCTTACAATATTGCATTAGATCACATTCTGAATGTTGCTTCCAAAAAAAGCTTCTAACCTCTTCCTATTTTATTACTTGTGAGTGTGCATATTATGAGTCCTGGAGGTTCTATCTTAAATGGGTTATCGCTTCATATGTCATTCTACCATCATGGATGGTGCTTAGTTCCTTCCTTTTGTTTCTGCTGATTCTTTTGCTGTTACTGCATATCTAAATTTTAAGACATTATTAACTGTCTTTTAGATCAACAAATTCCTCAAGGGACTTTACAGCAGTAAAGTTGCTACTTTAACAAATACAGAAAATAGTACAAAACCTCATTTTGTCTAATTTAAGGAGGTAGAGTCATTTATCCTTCAGCAACAAGCTGCTTCAAAATTATCCTGAGGCACAAATGAGTGAATTATGCAGGAACAGCCTGTCCTGGCTTCTGACTGTCTGTGCCAGAAGCAGAGGCATAGCACCCGTGGATGACAGGAGACCGCGAGAAATCCCAACTCGTTTCCTTTCCTTGTTCTCAGGCACTTTGGAGCCACTTCATTAGGAAAGAGGTTTAGAGGTAATTTCAGAAATTTTGAGAAAGTTGGCTGCTCCCCAAAGCTGTTCTCTGTGGCAATACTCACATGTACATGCTCATACACTGTCACACATTCGCACACATTAATGCCCATATACACACATGCACTGTCGCACACGCATACAGACACATACACACACATGCACTGTCACACACATACACACATACATTGTCACACACAAACACATACACACACACGTACTGTCACATACATACACGCATACACACTCAAATACACATATACACACATGCACACATGCATTGCACACAAACGCATGCACTGTCACACATACACACTCAAATGAACACACTCAAATACACACATATACACACATACACACATGCACTGTCACACATGCATACATATACTCACACACATGCACCGTCACACACACGCACTGTCACATACATACACATACTCACACATATACACACATACACACATGCAGTCACACACAAACATACACGCACTGTCACACATACATGCATACACGCTTAAATACACACATACACACATACGCACATGTACTGTCACACACATACACGTACTCAAATACACACATATACACACATACAAACATGAACTGTCACACACAATCATACATGCACTGTCACACACATACACACTCAAATACATATACACACATACACACATGCACTGTCACACACAAGCACATACACATGCACTGTCACACACAAACACACACACATGCACTGTCACACACATACACGCATATACACTCAAATACACACATACACACATGCACTGTCACACACATACATGCATAAACACACTCACATACACTCACACACATACACTGTCACACACACACTGTCACACACACTCACACACACACTATCACACACACACACGTGAAACTCATGTCTAAAGTTCCATGTGGCTAAGATTGGTTCTTGTCAGCCCGCCAATAATGAGACCTTCGCAGCTTTGATGAGTGGAAAAATACTCTAGGGGCTCAATGAGAGGAGAAGCTGACTTTGTCTATTTCACAATTTTCCGCAGACCTCAGCTCTGCTCTTTAGTATACCGATCTACAGGAGAAGCAGAAATCATGTAGGGAAGGACTAGGATCGACAGCAATAACCAGTGCAACAAAGCACTGGATATATGCCAGGGAATGTACTGTAGATTTCATGAATATTGTCTGTGTTCTCTGCAACAGCTCTGTGAAGTAAGCAGCACTCTTATCCCCAGTATACAGCCAAGGAAACTGAGCCTCTGAGAGGGAGACTAATAATTCAAACTCAAGTCTCCACATCCTAACCAGCGACTTTTTCTTAGGTATTTTACTGGAGTCCATTTAAAAAAGTAGTACTATGACTATATACTTAATATTTTGATAGGTGTAAGGAAGCAAAACTAAGAAAAAATATATGCATATGTAATGTAAATCATGAATACAGTAGAGCGGTGGTATGCTAAGATGGCATGGGGTTTAAGCTGGAGTTTTGAAAGAGCATTCATAGATAAAGGAAGTTAGAAAGGAACTTACTGGAAGGGATTGAGGATTTGGAGAAAATGCACAAATGACAGGTGACAGGAAGTCATCTAACTTCTTCTCCATGATTGGTGAGTTGATGTGTGAGACTGGAGGCCAACAGCACCTACATATCAGGATCACTTGCTCAGGTAACTGCCAAAATTGAAACATCAGATGTTACCTCTGGAGGAGGGAGAATAGAGAAGTAGAGAGAACACACCAAGGATTGAATTTGGGGAAATGCCCTTGTTTAGTGAAAAGGTGGACTAGGAGGGTCTGAGAAACAGGATTTGAGAAATTAAGTGGTATCATATAAGAATCCCAGAGAGTCAAGTTTCAAGAATATTGCTAATGGGCAAGAAGAAAAAGGATGGAGAATTCCTGCTTATCGGGCCATTTGATGATTTTAGCGTATGCTCTTGCTTGAGGTGGTGGATGAGGGGTTCTGTAGAAGGTGGATTTCAGGTCCTATACAGGGTATTTTGTGAGACTATGAATGGCATGATGGTAGGTTATATACAATTTGAAACATTTAAAATAATAAAGTGTTAAAGGTAGAAGACAGGAAGTTTTAACATTATTATTATTATGGTTTGATTTTTGTTTGTCTTTTTTCCTTGCCTTCTTGCTTTCTCTTGTTTTTAAGAAGAGAAAAAAATCTGTGCTATGGACAGAAAGCAAGAGGAAGCATCAAAGGTGCTGATGGTGAAGGAGGATATGCTATGAGACAAAACCTTGACAAGATGTATTGGACAGCAGAGCTTCTCACATTTGAACAAGCATAAGAATCTCTGGGAGAACATGTGAACGCAGATACCCAGGCCTTCACCTTGGGAGATTTTAAATGAGTAGGTCTAAGGTGGGACCCCAAAAACCTGCATTTCTGATGAGCTATGCTGATCCGGTGCACTCTGAGCAGATCCATGCAGCACTTTCAGGCTTCCTTTCTCTGCAGCTTTCAGCTTCAAGACACCCTGGGACTCTGCCCTCTCTTGGCTTTCTAGAAATACCACACTATTCTAATTCCTCAGTCTCATTTCCAAAGTCATCTCTTTCCTCTTTGTGTCCTTTTCCTCTCAAACTATGAGATATCCAGGGCTTGACTTTCTGACCACTTGCTTTCTGCAGGATACATGTGAAAATAATTTATATCAATATTTCTAGACGGATCCACTGGCTCCTCCCAGGCCATGTATTGTCATTCCTGCTATATCTACTTGGAAATCTCTTCCTAGTTGTCTGTGCCTTCTACCTTACCTGAAAAACACCTGTCCTTTATTTCTCCCCCAAATCTAGAGTCTTCCTTGACTGATGTGGGACCCCACAGTCTCTACCCCTCACAGTTCAACAAAGGAGGGAGTACTTGTCCGTTCATAACATCACAATCCAAAATGTGCTCCTTGATTGAATCTGGATTTGAAAATATCAGTGTTAAAAATATTTGAGAACAAGCGGGGAAATTTGATAGTGGACTGGGGTGTGTAAGATGTTATTAAAGGATTATTAGGTTTTTTTGAGTAACATATTGGGGTCATGTGGGAAAATGTACTTTTTCTAGTAGAAAAATAGACCTCCAAACTATTTTTTAGCTTAAATTGTCCTGACCCCATCACCTAAGCGATGTAATAGGGGAACATGACTAATTCATTAGAGTTGCTAAAGCTGTTTGCCATGCCACTGTGAGCAGTTTAAAGGATAACTAATAAAATATTAACTTAGGTGGCATGTCCAGAGGACACTTAATATAAGACTATTTTCTTTATTAGAAAAGTGAATATGGATATTTTTGAAGTCTGCTTGAAGATAATTCTGACTATTCATTTTTTTGTCCTGAACAGAATGTACTCTGAGGTTGAAAATGGTCTTGATTTTCAAAAATAGAGTAGTCTGGATATAGATCATAAACATGTAGCTGAGTGCTGAAAAGAAAAATGAGATTTTGTAAAAAGGGGATAATTTTCAAGTTGACAAACATTGGTGAACTTCAGGGCCCAGGGCCATTTCAGAATTCAGAGAGATTAACAAGTAATTACATTTTTATTGAGTGTCTAGGATTGACAGACCTGGGGCTGATGGATTCTTGGGAGGTTACAGTCTAGGTGAGTGGGAGACATGCATTTGTGGAATGGTCCAGACAACAGATGGAGTCACTAAGAGCTGCCAACACTGTAAAGCCCTGGTTTACAAACTTGACTGCATTTTGGACTCGCATGGAGAGGTTTAAAAAATACTGATGCCTGGGTCCCAACTCTTGTGTGTCTGATTTAGTTGCCCTGGGGTGTGTCCTGTGCATCGGATTTTCAAAATTCCCCAGGTGAATCTAATGTGCACTTAAGGCTGAGAACAAGTGTACAGAAGTCCAGGATCAATTCCAGCTGGAGAATTTGACTTCCTGGACTAGGCTCTGTGCCTGCCCTCGAGGAGCTCTCTAATTGTTTTACTCTTTCTCCTCCCCTGCCTCTCATCATTTGTTCTACTTAGAAATTTTTGTCTTTCTTGCTTGAAAGTGAACTAACCACAACAAACAAAGGGAAATAAATGATTATTACACCCAGGCAGCAAACAAGCACTACCAATGATAGAGATCTTGGTTTATGCAAGTAGCTCAGTAAACAAATGCTGTGTTAAAAGCTGAAAGAATGCCCTCCCTCTACTGCTAGAACAAAACATCATCCATGTGTCGGCCTGTGGTCTGATGAGTGATTCAACTTTCTTCCTCCGAGACTTTGTTGGTGTCTGATAGATGCCACTAGAGGCTATGTTCTATTCCAGCCTGTTTGAAATGCAAAGACTTGCGTAGCAAAATTATCTCACTCTAGGAAAATAGACAAGTGGTCAGTAAACTATGGTTCTGTGGGCCAAATGCAGCCCACTTACTGTTTTGTAAATCAAGTTTCACTGGAACATAGCCATGCCCATTCATTTACTTATTGTCAATGGCTGCTTTTGCACTACAGCGACAGAGTTGAATAGTTGTGAAAGAGCCTGACTGACAGGCCTGCAAAGCCAAAAATGTTGTCTATCTGGTCAGTTACAAAAAAAAAAAAGAAAATAGTTGCCAATCCCTGTAATATAGGCATTTTCATGCTGTCTTGTTAGCATTTGCCTGCTGTGGTCAATCAATTTGAAAAATGTCTCCAGTTCTTCACTCCTCCCTATATCTGTCTCATTTTCAATGTGACTGCAACTCCCCTCACCTGGGCACGGAGCCAGTTTCACCAGCCATTGCATCTGTGTTGGCCTGAGAGTTATTTTGACCTAGAATGCCAAGAAAGTGACACTGTATCCACCCTGAGCTGAGACTTCAAGAGGCTTTTCAGACTTTCACTTGCTCTGTTAGCATCCTGACTCTATGAATAAGCTTAGGCTAGCTTTCTGGATGATGGGAGACACACAGCCCAGGTTGCCCCATTGCCTTAGCCAACAGTCAGACAGTCTTCCAAAGCAGAATTGCCTTCTAAACTGCAACTGACCACAGGTGCATGAATGAGCCTGATCAAGACCAAAAGAAGGGCCCAGCTGAGCACAGCACAAATTGTCAACCTGCCGATGCATGGACTATATACATGTTTGATGTTTTAACCCACCACATTCGAGAGTGGTTTGTTGTACAGTAAAAGCTAACTGATTCACCTGTCATTAGGAATTAAGCCAACTAATTTTGTGGTAGGATTTCCTTTTTTCCTTTCTTTATTCAAAGCCAGAATATCTCAGTCTTGTCCATAAACCTCAATCTGAAAACAGAGAGAACAATGCAAAGAAAGAAAAACTTTATGATGATTCTATGACACTTTCACCAAACACTAAGAAAACAAACATAAAATGAACAACTTGGTTTTCAAACAGAAATAATAAATCTGTAAGGGCCCACATATAAATATATACTGACAGCATTTGAAGGTAAAGAAAAAAATATATACGTATATAAAAAATTAAGCAAGAATAAAACCAATGGTTGAAGAAATTGTAATAAAAAATTACCATGTGCCAGGCACTGGTCATGCCAGAGGTATGACAATGAATGAGAAGCATGAAGTCCCTAATCTCCCCTAAAGCACATTCTTGTGGAGAAGGACAGACTACAAAGAAGTGAACACATAAACAAGATATAATATAGCACAAACATTTAGGAAAACAAAAATGCAGTAATGTGATAAATCTTAGTAGGCTATTATATACACTTTATGTATATATATAATACAGGCTTATATATATAATATAGGCATATATATATTCTCTATTATTAACTTAATTTAGTGACAAACCATTAAGCTTCACCTTTCCATTAGATGCTTTTTCTGCCTAAAGGACTCTACACTTAGATGGCTGCATGAAGTATCTGGGTCTCAGTTAAATGTCAGTTCTTCATTGAAGCCTTCCCTGATGAGCCAGTTTATAATAGCCTACTAAGATCTATCACATTACTGGATTTTAGCTTTTCTGAATATTTTTGCTATATTATAGTGTCTGTTTATTTATGTGTTCACTTCTTTGTCATCTGTCCTTCTCCAAAAGAATGTGCTAGGGACTTCATGCTTCTCATTCATTGATGTATCCCCAGAATGACCAGTGCCTGGCACATGGTAATTTCAGTTACAATTTCTTCAACCAATGGTTCATTCTTGCTTCTCATGGATACAACATCATTTTATCTGAAAAAAATAAGTACCCCCAGTCCATGACTATTTTTGAGCAAATGAGGATAGTAACAGTATAAGATTTTTAGTGGCATTTTCAATGAAAGAATTATACAACAATCCCTGATTACTCTTTGTCTTTATGTGTCCATAATTTTACTGCTAACACTAAGAGAGTGTATCTTGCTGTTATCAACTCTGGCCACATCTTCACAAGTACATATAGCAGGTCACTATTTTGTTTTACAAACAGAAGTTGATTAAGTTGTCCATTCTGTAGGACCCACAACAAACCACAGCCCAATATAGCAGCAGAATGTAAGGATTTAGAAGGCCTAAAATCTACAAGCTCAGGAAGACACCCAATTAACAGAAATTAAAGTTCAAATCTGACTCATCCACCTACTGGAAATTCTGGGCTGTCAAACAATATCCAAGCTTATTTTGCAATCAGATTAAAGCTCTGGGCCTTGTGGGGGCCGGAGATTGGAATTCTATTTTAAAAAGAAACGTGTAAGGCACTCTGCTTCCCATCAAGAAGTGTAATGAGTAGGTTTCACCTATGATCCCCAGTCCCAAATGATTGAACTGGCATTAGTGCCAAAAAAATTGAAAATGTCTTAACATGCATTAATCGCTTAATGGATGTGTTGTCTGCCTGAAAAGGGCGGGGTGGTATTTAGGTTGCTTAATGACTTTACATTTTCCCATGGCAAAATACTTGTGATTTGATTATGCTGTAATTAAAGAGTTACATAAACAATATCTTTGGAAAGGAACAAACGGGCTTCCTTGAAAGAGGGATTTTGGTCAGCTCCAGCTGGTATCTCAGGCCCCTTCATGAGGAGAAAACTCTCACCCCCAGGTAAACTCCTCTCTCTGCCTCTTAGAAGTTGCCCTTAGTTTTATGCCTGCCTGTGTGTGTGTTGTGAGTGTAGATCATGGGAGATGGGGAGTGGGCAGAGGGAGGATTTTTTAAAAAATAAATGACATCTTTAATAGACAATTTTAAAACAGGTTGAAATACAAGTAATAAAGACAAGCACTTTAAATTTAGAAAAGGCTTGGGATCTTGAAGCCAAAAAGCCTAGTAATGAGAAACCCCAAGGGCAGAGTGGGATCTGTCTTGTAAAACCAGTCGATCAAATGTTTATTACTGTATAAGGAAGAACCTTTGAACTCATGTGGTTTGCTCTCATGTGTCCCAGAAACTATTTCCTCCAGGAGCACAGATTCTAAGTTTCTTAACCATAGGTTTCTCGCAACTTTTGGCAGTCAAGAGAGGTCTTTAGCAGGGAAGGTGGGCATTCCACCTTCCAAAGAAAGCACACCAGTCAGGATAATTTAGAAAGAAACCCAGAGGTTTGGCCTCAGGTTTACATTGAATCTTTATCTTTGGGTATTAGGAGCGCTTTTCTTTTCAAGTCCCTACTGCAATCCCTGCTTATTATACAGTTACAAGAAAGGTGGGAACCAATGAGAATAAATGTCAAATTATTTAACTATAGTTAACTTTCACAGTACATTTTCTTTTAATTTCCTAGATTTCAATCTTTTTCATGTTGTAATCTTTGCTACATTTGGCAATGAGTCATTCATCATGTTCACTGATCCAAGTTTCCCACCAATAATTTACAACCTATTCTTAAATAAAAATAAACATCAACTGCAACTTTATTTTTCTTTAGACATTTTCACCTCCTCAGCTTTCAAATATTAGAAACTAAATCCTATGAGCCTTTCATTTACTAAATAGCTTAAGCCAGCAAACTGAGCTGAAATCAACTTGCTTTTCCATTAGACATATTGGCAATTTTTCTAAAGCTGGAATGAGAGAAGAGGTCTGGGGTTTGGGGAGTTTGCCTTAGAGGCTGTGGTAGATTGACGCCATTTCTAGTCCTATTCATGACTTTTCTCTATCCCAACCTTTTGCACCAAGACTCTGAAACTCTTCTCACCAATAATTGAAGCCCATTTCCCTCACTGTTTGAATCTGGACTGCCTTGTGACTTGTTTTTGCCAATAGAATGTGGCAGAAATAATGGGAGGTCTTTTCTAGGCTTCAAGAGACTTCATGCTTTTCCTATCTGTCATAGAAGCTTCCACAGCTACCACGTGAACCAGCCCAGGCCAGCCTGTTGGAAGTTGAGAGGCACATGGAGACTTTAGCAGCCTCAGCCAAGAACAATATAAACCAGTCTAGACCCCTAAACATGTGAGGGAGCCCAGCCAATATCAGCATAGCTGCCTCCCAACCCACAGCTGACCACAGATGCATGAGTGAGCTTGTCTAAGGCCAGCAGAACCACCTGATGCATGGAAATGCATGAGCAATGAAAGATACTCATTGTTCTGAGTGCCTGAGTTTTGAGGTAGTTTGTTATACACTAGTATTTTACGGATACAAATATTTAAGAAAGATATTGTTTCTGGATCACTGCAACATCCACAGAGGTAAGCAAGTGAAGACACCAACATCCATATCATGTTTATGAAAGTACCATAGAGGAACATTGGTCATTAATGACAAATATGCAACAGATACTAATGAGATCTGAGACAGCTATTCTAGGAATAAAGTAGGAAAACCAACAGATATGGTACTCATCCTCAGGGATCTTACAGTCTATTGGAGATGATAGATATTTCAAATTATTTATGTTGAAGTGAAAGGGAAAGAAAAAGACAGTGGATCTCAATCCTGGCAGTACATTAGAATCATCTGGGGAAAATTAAAAATATACCAATGATGAGTCCCATCACAAACCAATGAAATCAAAATCTTTGTGGTTGGGTTCTGAGTATCAGTGTTTTTGGATGCTCCCCAGATGATTACAATGTGTGGTGCAGATTGACAATTACTGGTCTGCAGTGCTTTTCCAAGAGCAGTCGTAGACCACCAGCAGCATCAATCAGGAGCTTGTTGGAAAATGAGAATCTCAGATCCCACTTCTGAATTGCTGAGTCAGAATCTATAGATGAAACATGGGAGTGGCAACCTATATTCTGACAAATTATTTGTGTGATTCTTATGCAAGCTAATGTTTGAGAAGCACTGGTCTTTGTTTGGGGGCAGCCAAAATTGACATCAACTATTGATTATTTGGTACAATTGATGCAGGTCAGGCAAGCCCCCAAATTGGGGCTTAGCCCAGGACGGTTCATGGCTTTGTCCAGAAAAGAATTCAAGGCTGAGCTGTTGGTGTTAAACAACTTTTATTGAAGCAGTTGGGTACAGCAGCAGCAGAGGAGCCGTTCTCTCTTCGGCAGCTCTACCCCACAGACACTGTGCCCAGAGCAGCAGCTCAGAGGCAGTTCTGCACTCATATTCATATGCACTTTTGATGATATGCAAGTTAAAGGGCAGTTTATGCAGAAATTCCTAGGATGAAGGTGCTAACTTCCAGGTTGTCAGGTCATTGCCATGGAAGGAAAGGGGTGGTAACTCCTGGTGTTGCCATGGCAACAGTAAACTGGCATGGAACACTTGAGGAGTGTGCCATGTCTTTTGAAGAGGTGCTTACCCCCCTCACCTGTTTTAGCCAGTCCTCAATTTGGTACTCTATCTGAGTCCCACCTCCAGTGTTGTGCCTCCTACCTCACAATCACCAACACACTCACACACACAAGTACTCCTAAGAATAAAGTAAATTGTCAGCATTGTTTTCCTAGGCACAAAGGTGAGGCATATGTGTATTGAGTGTTCAGTAATTAATATGAGTGAGTTATACAACAAACTCATATGATACTTATTTTAACCTTGCTCATGATTTGAGTGTTCTGTTAGCCACTCTGTTTAAATTCTCTAGAAATTGTTCTCCACAAATACCAGAATTTACAACTTTATTTTAAGACAGGAGTCTAATGGTGCCATGTCTACCAGCATTTCCTCTCTTCTATAGTTTCCATCTCAATTTGTAATATAATATTTTAAGAGTTGTCCTCATTTCTGGATGGGCTTAGAGGCTAATCCAGATTTAGTTACCTTTGAAAGGGTCACTCTCCATCAAATTAAGGAGATCATATTCCAGATTTTCCTGGGACAGTCCTAGTTTATGCCTGTTCCCTGGGCATAATTATTAATAGCATCTCCTTTCACTCTCTGAAATGTCCCAGTTTAGACAATATATTATTGATTACCTTACCTAATATTAATAACTGCATTATCTTTTGGAAGAAGTAATTTTTGCCTTTTTAAATAAAACTATAAATTGCTATTAGATGTAAACATTTCTTGGGGGGCAGGGCCAAGATGGCCTACTAAAAACAGCGGTGTTCGTTGGCTCCATCGGAAAAAAAACATAATAAGCATGTGAATCCTTCACCAGCAACAAAGGCATACAGGTTCTCTCATCAGAACTGACTAGGAGGCTGGCGTGACCCACAGGATGAAGCAACAACAGTGTGGTACAGTGGCCAACCTGAGAGCTACATGGGGGACGGGGAACCTCCTCCCCCCAGCCAAGGGAAGTGGTGAGAGAGCGTGCTACCCAGCTGAGGAAACTGTGCTTTTTCCACAGAACTCTGCAACTCACGGATCAGAAGATCTCACTCGCGAATCCATGCCACTGGGGACTAGCGTCCCAACTCCAGAATGCACAGACTCTTAACAGCCGCTCAGCTGGAATCTGCTTAAGCCTATGGAACTCCCACAGGGAGAGACAACCAGCACCGCACTTCGGCTGCCTGCTGTCTAAGCACTTTGAGCTCCTTGGGGGAGGGGCAGCAGCCAGCACTAGGACTGGCAACCGCCAAACACGCTAAGCTCCCTAGGTGGGGGAAGGGCGGCACCCATCTCTATAGCCCCAGGCTGTGCTTTTCCCCTGCTGGAGCCAGAGAGGCTGGATTCCTTGGTCCTAAGACTTGTCCCCCACAGCCCAACACTGCAGCTGTGGCAGTCTGTGGCCAGAGTGCCTCTTCAGGCTTAACCCTGACCCATCCTTCCTCATTGGGCAGGGCTTCCCTGCAGGAACTCCAATAACTCCAGCCAGAGAGGTTCAGGGACAGAATCTGGATCTCCCTGGGCCCGAGCCCTTAGGGGGAGGGGTGGCCACAGTCTCTATGGAGCAGCAGACTTAGCCTCTCATCCTGGTAGTTCTGAGAAATCCAGGCAGCACAGATAAGTGTGTTTCTCCCCAGTGAATCATACCCTCTCCACTAAAGGACAAAGTTCTTCATTAAACAGGTCCTGTTCCCTGTGCTACCCAACTGGGTGAGACCCACCAATCGGAGTTGTCAGACACCCTATACAGGAGCAATCCTGCTGGCATCAGGTTGGTGCCCCTCTAGGTCAAAGATGCCAGAAGAAGGAGCAGGCACCCATCATTGCTGTTTTCCAGCCTCCTTGAGTGACATCTCTAGGCACAGGAGCAAATCAGATTAATAGGGCCTGAACTGAACCCCCAGTAAACTACAGCAGCCCTACAGAAGAGGGAACTGACCACTGGGGGGAAAAAAAAAAACAGAAAGCAACAACAGGAGCATCAACCACAACAACAACAACAAAAAGCCCCCACAAAAACCCCATTCACGGGTCAGCAGCCTCAAAGACTGAAACTAGACAAACTCATGAAGATGAGAAAGAATCAACAAAAGAATGCTGAAAACCCAGAAGGCCAGAGTGCCTCTTCTCTTGTAAATGATCACAACATTTCTCCACCAAGGGCACAGAACAGGATGGAGGATGAGATGGATGCATTGACAAAAGTAGGCTTCAGAAGATGGGTAATAAAAAACTACACAGAGCTAAAGGAACATATCCTAACCCCATGCAAATAAACTAAGAACATTGATTAAAAAGTTCAAGGAATTGCTAACTAGAATAACCAGTTTAGAGAGCAACATAAACCAGCTGACAGAGCTGAAAAACACAGCACGAGAACTTTGTGAAGCATACACAAGTATCAATAGCTGAATCGACCAAGAGGAAGAAAGGATATCAGAGTTTGAAGACCACTTTGCTGAAATAAGGCATGCAGACAAAACTAGAGAAAAAAAAGAATGAAAAGGAATGAACAAAGCCTCCAAGAAATACAGGACTCCATAAAAAGACTGAACCTACAACTGATTGGAGTACCAGAGGAGACAGGGAGAATGGAAACAAGCTGGAAAACACAGTTCAGGATATTATCCAAGAGAACATCCCCAAACTAGCAAGAAAGGCCAAGATGCCAATTCAGGAAATACAGAGAACACCATTAAGATATTCCATGAGAAGATCAGACCGGAATGCATAATCATCAGATTCTCCAAGGTCAAAATGAAGAACAAACAGTTAAAGCCAGCCAGAGAGTAAGGCCAGGTCACCTACTAAGGGAAGCCCATCAGACTAACAGCAGATATCTCAGGAGAAACTGTACAAGCCAGAAGAGATTGGGGGCCAATATTAACATTCTTAAAAAAAAAATTTTCAACCTAGAATTTTATATACAGCCAAACTAAGCTTCATAAGTGAAGGAGAAATAAAATCCTTTCAGACAAGCAAATGCTGAGTGATTTTGTTACCATCAGGCCTGCCTTACAAGAGCTCCTGAAAAAAACACTAAATATGGAAAGGAAAAGTTGGTACCAGTCACTGCAAAACACACCAAAATATAAAGACCAATGACACTATGAAGAAACTGCATCAACTAGTGTGCAGAATGATGAGATAGCATCATGATGACAGGATCAAATTCACACATAATAATAATAACCTTAAATGTAAATGGGCTAAATGCCCAAAGTAAAAGACATAGACTGGCAAATTGGATAAAGATTCAAGACCCATCAGTGTGCTATATCCAGGAGAACCATCTCATGTGCAAAGACACACACATTGGCTCAAAATAAAGGGTTGGAGGAAAATTTACCAAGAAAATGGAAAGCAAAAAAAAAAAAAAAAAAAAGCAGGGGTTGCAATCCTAATCTCAAATAAAACAGACTTTAAACCAACAAAGATCAAAATAGACGAAAAAGGGTATTACATAATGGTAAAGGGAAAAATTCAACAACAAGAGCTCACTATCCTAAGTATATATGCACCCAATACAGGAGCACCCAGATTCATAAAACAAGTTCTTAAAACTAAGAAGAGACTTAGACTCTCATACAATAATGGTGGGAGACTTTAACACCCCACTGTCAATATTAGACAGATGAAGGAGACAGAAAATTAACAAGGATATTCAGGGCTTGAACTCAGCTCTGGATCAAGTGGATCCAGTAGACGCCTACAGAACTCTCTACCCAAAATCAACAGAATATACATTTTTCTCAATGCCACATGGCACTTATTCTAAAGTGGAACACATAATTGGAAGTAAAACACTCCTCAGCAAATGCAAAAGAATGGAAATCATAACAGTCTGTCAGACCACAGTGCAATCAAATTAGAACTCAGGATTAAGAAACTCACTCAAAACCACACAATTACATGGAAATTGAACAACCTGCTCCTGAATGAATCTGGGGTAAATAATGAAATTAAGGCAGAAATCAAGAGTTCTTAGAAACCAGTTAGAACAAACAGACAATGTACCAGAATCTCTGGGAAACAACTAAAGCAGTGTTAAGAGGAAAATTTATAGCACTACTTGCTCACACCTGAAAGCTAGATTGATCTCAAATTGACACCCTAGCATCACAAAACAGCTAGAGAAGCAAGAGTAAACTAATCCAAAAGCTAGCAAAAGACAAGAAGTAATTAAGATTAAAGCAAAATTGAAGGAGATAGAGACATGAAAAACCCACCAAAAAATCAATGAATCCAGGAGCTGATTTTTTGAAAAATTAACAAAATAGGTAGGCCACTATCTAGACTAATAAGGAATAAGAGAGAGAAGAATCAAATAGACACAATAAAAAATGATAAAGGGGATATTACTACTGACCACATAGAAATAAAAACTACCTTTAGAGAATCCTATAAACACCTCTACGCAAATAAACTAGAAAATATAGAATCTATGGATAAATTCCTGGACACATACACCCTCCCAGGACTAAACCAGGAAGAAGTCAAATCCCTGAAAAGACAAAATACAAATTCTGAAATTAAAGCAGTAATTAATAACCTACCAACCAATAAAAGCCCAGGACCAGACAGATTCACAGCTGAATTCCACCAGTTACAAAAAGGAGCTGGTACCATTCCTTCTAAAACTATTCCAAACAATTGGAAAAAAGGGACTCCTCCCTAACTCATTTTATGTAGCCACCATCATCCTGATATCAAAGCCTGGCAGAAACACAACAAAAAAAGAAAACTTCAGGTCAATATCCCTGATGAACATCGAAGTAAAAATCAGAAAATACTGGCAAACCAAATCTAGCAGCACATCAAAAAATTTATCCACCACAATCAAGTAGGCTTCATCCCTGGGATGAAGGCTGGTTCAACATACACAAATCAGTAAACATAATCCATCACATGAACAGAACCAAAGACAGAAACCACATGATTATCCCAATAGATGCAGAAAAAGGCCTTTGATATAATTCAACATCCCTTCATGTTAAAAACTCTCAATAAACTAGATATTGATGGAACATATCTCAAAATAATAAGAGCTATTTGTAACAAACCCACAGCCACTATCATATTGAATGGGCAAAAGCTGGAAGCATTCCCTTTGAAAACCGGTATAAGACAAGGATGCCCTCTGTCACCACTCCTATCCAACATAGTATTGGAAGTTCTGGCCAGGGCTCAGCTGGGACTGTCTGCTGAAGTATCCACACATGGCTTCTTCACTTGGCATGGCTTCTTATAGCATGCAAGATGGATCCATGAGAGAGTATTCTAAGAAGCATCCAAAGAGAAAGCATTCCAAGAAAACTGGAAGGAAGCTGCAGGGCCTTTTACCATCTATCCTCAGAAATCATATTAGCATAACTCCCATTGCTTGATTGGTTGAGGCAGTAATAAACCCATCCAGATTTAGAAAGAGGGGGCATAGATAAGCCGTCTTGTGGGGAGAAATGTCAAGGAAGTTGGGGGCCACATTTGATAAGCACTACTTCTACTGATGCCACAATCATGACGAGGTGTTTTCCTGCCTCCCTTGCTCGACACTCTCTTCCTCTTTCCTTTTTCTAGTTCCTGATGTCCTTGTAGTGTCCTTTAATTATATAATTCTCTGTAAAAAATTTCCCCCATGATCCAATATCCATGCACCCTATCTTCTACCTCTTCCCACGGAAATTCTGTTCTCTCCACTTGGATTATCCCTGCTAGGGTCTAGTGTCAATTACTTTACTGAAATATCGCCTAAATTTTGAATGGCTGAGCAATTTAATGCATCCATGAGGGTCTCTTCATATTAGATGGAGAATGTGCTAATCCAAATGAACAATAATTAGTAGTAGGTGTAGAAATCTTTGTTAAGCTCAGAAGCCTTCCTTTACATTGTCCTGTTTTCCATGTATTTCTCATCTCTTCCCTAGACCCTACACTACCCCAAACTAAAGGATGGGCTAAGAGCACTGTGTCATTCCATTTCAGAGAGAGATGCTACCCCTCACTGTGGCTTTCCCTGCACCACCCTAGTCCAGTTGTTATAACTGCGTTTCCATACTTCATAGTATGTAAGATGAGTTTAACTATAAAGCTGTCTGTTTATGTACCACTTAGGAAAAACTGCTGCTAATTAACGTATAATGCAAGATTTTTTATAAAGGGGCACAGGAAACTTTTGAGTATGATGGGCCTGGCCTAAATTTTGAGTGTGATGGTGGTTACAAGGGTGTATTCATTTGTCAAAACATATGACCTAGTGCCATTTGACTATGTGGTTTATTGTATGTCATTATAGCTGAACTAACTTGAAAAAAAAGTACCATGGAATACTGTAATATTGATACACTTAAATAATGTTTTCTTAACTGCAAGGAGCATGCTTGGAAAGGAATCATGTTCAATATATTGTGTGAGATGAAACTAAGCTTTCATCCTCAGATGAAAAGCATCTCTTAAAATGCTTTAATTTTAAAGCCATCTGTCACTCTAAAGACACCCTTGGCTAACAGGCTCGCTGACAACCATTCTCTTCCACTTTGGAGGAACACTGAAGTGGGCCAATAAAACCTGGGTTTTCCAAGGTGATAGTTGTGGATGAACGTGAGCTAACTACCTCCTGTTATCTCCTCTAGCAGTTCTGACTGAGGTTTGTTCATATTCTACTGATGCTTATTTCCCCTCCTTGCCCCATCTGAGCAGTTTCTCTGTTGACAACTGCTCAGTGGATCAGGCGGAGTGAGGGTATAACTACTTGTCAAGGTGTCAGACACTTCCATCAAGATTCAAACTCCTGACCATAAGTAACAAAGGGGCTTACAATTTCAAAAAACAACAATATTAAATAAAACACGAAATAGATACAGCTACCACTCCCGACCAACTATATATGATGCTTAGCATCCCCAAACTAATGCTCACTTATAAATACAGCAAGTGTCCCAAACACTTAAAGACCAGCCACACTCTTTTATAAAAAAGACTTTTATGTTTTAAATATTTGTTTACAGTTTATTTTTGAGTTAAAATATACATACAGTAAAGATTCAAAAACATAAGTGTACAATTTATTCAGTTATGACAAATGATAACATCCATATTAACCATACTCCAGTAGATATATGGCCATTTTCTATGGTATAATTTTTAAATTATATTTTAAATGATTGTTGCTGGTATATAAAAGTGCAGTTGGCTTTTGATATTGATTTGGTAACCAACAATAATGCCAAACTCTCTTATTTATTCTAAAACTGGCCCTTAAACTTTTAAATTTTCTAGGTAGGCATTTATAATATACTATCTTTAGATAATGACACTTTAAAAAAATTCCAAGTCCTCATTTTTTAATCTACTTCTCTGATATAATTACAACATCAAAGACATATAATACAGTGAGAAACAGATGTAGTGATAATGAGCCTCTTTTTTTCAGAAATTGATCTTTAAAATTTTCACCATTAAGCATAATGTTTGCCATAATTTTTAAAGATATTGTTTATCTGGTTAAGTAAATCATTGTTTTTCCTATTATTGCTAAAGATATCTGTATATGTATATTTACATATATATATTTAGCCACAAGTGAATGCTAATTTTATCCAAACACTCTTTTTCATATCTATTTAGATAATCATATAGGTTTTTTCTTTTAATATGTTAATAAAGTAGATAATATAATCTTACTTTCTAATGTTAAACTAATTGTATTCCTGGGATAAAACCAACTTAACCAAAAATTATTTACTTTTTTTTTTTTTTTTGAGACAGAGTCTCACTCTGTTGCCCAGGCTAGAGTGCAATGGCATAACCTTGGCTCACTGCAATATCCGCCTCCCAGGGTTAAGCAATTCTCCTCCCAAGGAGCTGTGATTACAGACATGCGCCACCACACCCGGCTAGTTTTTGTATTTTTAGTAGAGATGGGGTTTCACCATGTTGGCCAGGCTGGTCTCAAACTCCTGACCTCAAGTGATCTGCCTACCTCAATCTCCCAAAGTGTTGAGATTACAGGCGTAAGCCACCACGCTTAGCCTAAAAAAAGTTTACTTTTAATGTATTATAGAATTTGATTTGACAGATACTATTTAATATTTTTATATCTGTGTTTATAAGTGACACTAGACAGTAAGTTTAATACTCTCCTTGTCTGATTTTGATATTGACATTTCCCTAATCTCAAAAAATCAGCTGTGAGATGTTTCCTCTTTTTCTGTATTCTGAGAGTTTTTGTAAGATTGGAGTTAGCCATTTATAAAATTTTTGGTAAAACTTGTTATTTAGTATTTGATAAAATAAGGATAGATTACTTTTTAAATAACAGTTTTAGATTAACAGAAAACTTGAAAAGATAGTCAGAATTGCAATGGGCTTTGCATCATTTCCCTTATTATTAACAGGTTATATTAATATGGCATATTTGTCACAACTAATGAACCTATATTGACCCATATTATTAATTTAGGTTGTTAATTTATTCAGATTTCCTCAGATCTTACCTAATGTCTGTTTTCTGTTCCAGCATCTGATCTGGGAAACCACACTGCATTTAGTTATCATGACTTATTTGGCTGTGACAAATTCCCAGACTGTCCTTCCTTGACAGTTTTGGAGAGTACAGTTCAGGTAATTTTGTAGACTATCTCCTATTGGCATTTGTGTGGTGTTTTCCTCATGATTAGACTGGGGTTATTAGTTTTTTAGGAGAAAGAGCTTAAGGAGAAAATGTTGCATCATATGAAGGTTACACAGTATCAACATGATTTATTCATTGTTGATGTTGACCTTGCTAACCTGGCTGAGGCAGTCTTTGTCAGGCATATTCTTTTCTTCTTTTAAAAGTAGAAGAGTCTTTTGCAAAGTGTGGACCATGAGTCAGAACATTCACGTCATCTGGGAGTTTGTTAGGAATGCAAAATCTCAAACTTCATCACAGATAACTGAAACAGAATATGCAGGTTTACCAGATCCTATGTGATTCATATTTTTTTTTTTAGACGGAGTCCCACTTTGTCATTCAGGCTGGAGTGCAGTGGCACAATGTTGACTCACTGCAACCTCTGACTCCTGGTTTCAAGTGATTCTCCTACCTCAACCTCCCAAGTAGCTGGAATTACAGGCATGTGTCACTACCCCCAGCTAATTTTTGTATATTTAGTAGAGACAGGGTTTCACCATGTTGGCCAGGCTGGTCTCAAATTCCTGACCTCAAGCCATTCACCTGCCTTGGCCTCCCAAAGTGGTGGGATTACAGGAGTGAGCCACTGTGCTCAGTCTCATATTCTTTTTAACATTTGAAAGAACTGCTTTAAGATAATCTAGAGCAGATTTTATCAAACTTTTTTTATAGAGAGCCCAATAACAAACATTTTCAGCTTTGTGAGCTATAGGTTCTTTGTCACAACTTTTCGATTCAGCCCTTTTAGGAGAAAGTATCCAAAGACAATGCATAAATGGCATAGAGTTTAAGTCCTTACTTAACTTCGTCAATAAATTCTTGGAAACTATGTGTATTAGCCTGTTCTCATGCTGTTAATAAAGACATACCTGAGAGTGGGTAATTTATAAAGGGAAGAGGTTTAATTGACTCACAGTTCCACACGTCTGGGGAGACAACGAATCATGGCAGAAGGCGAACGAGGTGCAAAGGCATGTCTTACATGGTGGCAGGCAAGAGAACATGTGCAGGGTAACTGCCCTTTATAAAACCATCAGATCTCACGAGACTTATTCACTATCATGAGAACAGGATGGGGGAAACAGCCCCATGGTTCAATTCTCTCTACCTGGTCCCTCCCATGACAGGTGGGGATTATGGGAACCACAATTCAAGATGAGATTTGGGTGGGGACACAAAGTCTAACCATATCACTATGACTTTAAGTGAAACAACATACGGCAGGTCCTCAAATAACATTTCTTTTTTCAAAGCCTAATGATAAGGAAAAAACATGTTTTTTTTATAAGTGGTTTTGCTTAAAGTTACATTTTCAAAGAACCTATTGGTGACTTACTGTATTTTTTTTGGAAAAACTTATAGACACTAAAATTTGAATTTGAAATTGGAAATAAAATGAAAACTTGAAATGTGTTGTGAAATATTCTTATTACCTCTTAAAAATTTAAAAAACATTTCAAATAAAAATTTTAAAACCTTTAAAAATTATTTTAAAGCATTTATTTCAAACATTTAAAAAATTAAAAACAATTTCTGTTTTGCAGAGGCTTTGGGCTCTGCCAAAATAGGCATCCAGTTGGAGTTGGCCCATGGGCTTAGCTAGGCCATCACTGATACAGTGGCTTTTCTTTGGATCCTGCCAGCTGCTAGCTCTACCTGATTAGTAGCTTTTAAAGATGATTTTCATGAAAAGGTAACACTGTGACTCTCATTCAGAAATATAAAGTGAACATGTATCAGATATTTTATTTAATCCATTAATTAAATGAGAAAACTGAAAAAGATGTTAAAACTGGCTCAAAGAAAAAAAAATCCAAAAACAGATATATTTCTAAATCAGGAATATTGAAAACTTAAAATGGACACAAAGTCACCTTTTTCAGAGGAAGATTTGCCTCTCTACCCTGCCTCAGACAGAATTATTTGCATGCTTATGGTCAAGAGTAATTTGCATTGCTTGTTCTCTACATGCTAACTTTGATCTCTACTGAGTTGTACAATGGCCTAGTCAAAGATATGGAGGGTATTCCATGGGACTAGATAATCCCAGGAGGCTGTAGCATTTTATTAAAAGAATATCCAGTAATCTCTTTTGCTTATTTCAAAGTGTTAAGTTTTTCTTTGTAGTTGATTGGGATATTTTCCTCTCCCCACTCCCTTAAGAAAAAAATAGATGAGGAAATTGATGGCTCACCTTACTAAATGACTCACCTAACTTCATGCCAGAGCTACTCATAGGCAACCTCAATGCAAAGAAGGCTCTCCTTTGGGTCTTTCTAATTGGGAGGATTCATCTGACAGATTAGACTCTTTAAATAGAGACAATGATGGGCCATTTCAAAGACACCAAAATGTTTTCTACAGCTTCAAGCACTCATTTATCACTTATTTACTTACTAATAGGAACAAATTACATTGTTGTGTTTTTTTTTTTTTCCTTTGGCACAACATGGGGACCAGGAACCTTGTTCTCAGTGTGGCTGTGCCATGGAACCCTCTGCAAGGAACTTTTTGAATGGCAATTTCCTCCTGCCAGACATGAGGAATTGAAGCAATTTTTGAAATAAAGCAATCTATGGGCCTTCTAAAATTATATCTCCCCACTATGATCCATAAAACTGGACCCTTATGTTTTGGAAGGAGTCTTAGAAATCAACTAGTTGACTATGTTTGCACCATGTCTTCATTATGCTTAGTTGTGACTACTCTTATCCTTCCTCTAGTTCTTCCTATGCAGTTCCACTTGAAGTGCTTATGAGGTGATAGGTTAAAAAGTCTGGATGTCTTTGACTTCTCCAGTCTCTGGAGTAAGAGTCCACCCATCCAAATACTAACTTACAGTTGAAAATAAACTTTGGTCTACTCTAGCTGATCACATTTAAATGATTAATTTTGTTAAATTTTCATATTGATAATCTCTACTTTTCACAATAATAGAAGTGCATTGATGATGTAATTAGTATATTATTTTATTTCAATCTATCAATATCTCTATCAATTCAGCTGCTTTAACAAAGGAACCTCTTTCTTTGAGTAATAACATCAATTACCGACCTAAAAACAGAATTTGGAGCTAATAATGGGAAGTATAGGAAGAATTCCAAGTTTACTCTTGTTCTCTTTCTCTCCTTGACTCCACATACACATTACTTTTTCAGGCATCAATATTACCTCAAACCAAGGCTTTTCAAACCTTAGCATGTAAAAAATTAGCTGGAAGACTTGTTAAAACACAAATTGCGGGACCCTCAAATGGCATTTCTGATTGAGTAGATATTCACTACAGTTGAGATTCTGCATTTCCACCAAGCTCCCAGGTGACCGAAATGTTTCTGGCTGAGGACCATACTTTCAGTAGCAAAAAACAACTTAGTGGGAAAGAGAAAGTCAAACATATGCTAAGGCATAAAGATTAAAATAATAAATGACAAGACCCGAAAGGGTTTACAATCTGTTGGGAAAGGTAAATATGAAATAAATGAAAACAACAAATTGACAGAGATGATGCAGTATTTTTGTTTTCTGTTGTTGCTGTAACAAATTACCTATAAAAGTGGGCTTAAAACAACATCCTTTATTATCCCACAGTTCTCTAGATCAGGGGTCCAAGTGGGCTGGGCAGGGTGATCTGCAGAAGGCCTCACAAGGCTGCCATCCAGATGTCAACTTAGCTGTGTTCTCATCTGGAGCTTAAACTTTTTTCCCAAGCTTATTCAGGTTGTTGGGAGAATTCATTTCCTTGGGATTATAAGACTAAGGTGCTTATCATCTTCCTGGATAGTAGCTGGGGTAATCTCAGCTCCTACAATCCACTCTCAGATTCTTCTTATGTGGCTCCTCCATCTTCAGAATTTCCTGTGTGTTTAGTTCTTCTCATGCTACCCATCTCTGACTTCCTCTGTTTCTGATCCTAGACCCAGACTTAAAAAACTCATGACATACATCAGGCCCACCTGGGTAATCTCTCTTTCTTAAAGTTAACTGTGCTATTACCTAATCACTGGAGTAAAACCCATTATATTTACAGTCTTGGAAAAAGTTGTGCATGATGAGTACACCAGGAGGCTGGGATCTTGGAAGTCATCTTAGAATTCTGCCCATCACATAGAGGTTTGGGCAAAGTGCTATTGGAACAATGAGGGTGATGTATCAAGTCTATCCCAGGGAGTTACGGAAGACTGGCTGAAGGGGATAGTGCTTGCTGGGGTCTTAGAAAATGTAGGTTTTTGGCAGCTTAAGCATGGCTCTCTGAAAAAATAGTAAAAGGGAATTCCAAGGAGAGGAAACTGTGTCCAGATGTATGGATCTTTTAAGGCATGTTCAATAACATGGAGAAGTTTTCAGAGACAAGAGCATAGAATGTAAAGGAGAGATATCAGCATGAAATATGTGCCTTATGATCCAAAGAGCAAGCAGAGTAAAGAACAATCAGATTCAAAGCTAGCTGGTTACTAGAGCAAGTCCCTAACCTCTCTTATACTCAGCTTCTTCCTCTATTAAATGCATATCTTGGCCTAGGCCAGTGTTTGGTAAACAGTGACCTAAGAAGCCCTAGAGTTTTGGAAGAGAGGGGGTTGATATACACACGAGAGGGTGGTGCAAGGGTCTGGGAAGCTGTGTGTCAGTCTTTGAGGCCCTCACTCTCAGTTTCACCAAAGTCCCACTCAGCTTCTATCTGCCTTATATGGTTTGGCTCCAGATAAGATTTTACTTAGAGTTTATATGTTTAAATGTTCTAAAACCACAGATAAACTCTTTGCATAACATGATTTTTTTTCTATTACACTCAGCTCTTGTATTTCATTAATTAATTCATTCGTTCAGCTTTTTTTTTTTTTTTTAAATTGCGCCTACTATGTGCTGGGCAGTGTTCTAGGCAGGAGATTTATTGGGAAGATTTATGGTTCTTTTTGTCCTGGAGCTTGTCATCTTATGGAGGATATAAACATTAGTCAAATAATCATAACTAAATGTCAAATTGCAACTGCACTAAGTGTGACAAGCTGGTGATTCTTGATGCTATTATAACTGAAATAGTTTATCTTATAATGTAGAAGCAAGAAGGCCTTCCTGAGAAACTGACGATGAGTTTGAGAATTAGAGGATGAGTAGAAGTTAACTGAATGACTACAAGGAGGAATTGTGTTTGATGTAAGGTGGATGTATATGCAGTGTCCTTTGGCAGATGAGAGCACAGCGATGTGAAGGACAGAGGGAAGGTCCATGTGGCTGAAATAAAGAAAATGTAGGGGAGGCCAGAGCTGATGCTGGAGAGGAGGAAGGCCAAGATCATGGAAGGCTTTGTTTTTAATGTTAAGGCATTTGCATTTGTCTTTTATTTTTAGAGACAGGGTTTCTCTCTGTCACCCAGGCTGGAGTGCTCTTACACGATCATAGCTCACTAACCCAAACTCTTGGGCTCAAATGATTCTCCTGCCTCAGTCTCCTGAGTATCTAGAGACAAGAGGCAGGATCCACCATGCCTAGCTATTTAAAAAAGAAAAATGTTTTTGTGGAAACAGAGTCTCACTATGTTGCCGAGGCTGGTCTTGAACTCCTGGCCTCAAGGAATTCTCCTACCTTGGCCACCCAAAGCACTGTGACCACAGGTGTGAGCCATCACACTCAGCCATATTTGTTTTTATTATAACAGAAATAGACTTGTCTTTATCCTAAGAGACTTGGGGTTTCAAAAGAATATGGTCTGAAAAGAGAAAATGGGTAGGAAAGAGGTAAGGGGTATTGATTCAAGTAGACTGATGAGGAGGATTGAATGCAGGAAAGATGATTACACAGGAACTCAAGTAGGTGGTGGTAGAGAATATGAAGAAAATCAGTACATTTAGCAGGTGTCAAGAGGTAAAATCAAACGGGTTTGGTGAAGGACTGGATGTGAGAGATGATGGAGAGGAGACAGAGGTTTCAAAGGTAACTCTAAGATTTCTGGATTGCAAAACCAGAGCAAAAGCCCTGACATTAATGGAGACAAGGTGCTGGAAGAGGTCCAGGTTGACGGAGAAGATTTTGATTTATTTAGTCATGTTGCATTTTAAGTTCCTTTAACATCCTTAGTTTTAACTAAGTCAATTCAATCTGTAGGACTAGAGCTTGAAAGAGAGATCAATTAAACTCCCTGGGTTTTCACATCTTCATCTTCTTGTAGCAATAATAAAATATCACTTAAAGACCATTGTAAAAATAGATAACAAGTACAAATGGAAAGCATGATGCAATGGAATTCATGCCAGTAGTTACTATAACACAAAAATAACATCAAGCTTTTCACTAGTGGCTGTTGGGCAGTTCGAGGGACTCAACATTGCCAGTATTTTAATGGGTGTAAAATTGTCCATATGATACAATTTTGGGCAAGAGAGTTTTTGACAGAAAACTTTTGGAAGCAATACATTGACCTCAAATGACTACAAGTAAAGGATTTTAGCCAGAGTTACAAAATGATGGGGTAAGATTTTCTTCATGCAGGACTCTTTCAGACCACATCTTCCGGTACTCAACTTTTACTGCTCATTACTGGGAGGAACTTCTAAGAATTCCAGCACCTAGGCCAGTTAAATCAGAATGCCAATACCTAGGCCAGTTAAATCAGAATCTCTAGGGATTAGGGACCAGCATTGATTTTTTTATTTCTTTGTTTGTTTGTTTGTTTGTTTTTGAGACGTAGTCTCGCTCTGTCAACCAGGCTGGAGTGCAGTGGCGCGATCTTGGCTCACTGCAACCTCTGCCTCTGGGGTTCAAGCGAGTCTCCTACTCAGCCTCCTGAGTAGGCACCTGTCACCACACCCGGCTAATTTTTGTATTTTATTAGAGAGGGTGTTTCACCATGTTGGCCAGGCTGATCTTGAACTCCTGACCTCAAGTGATCCACCCACCTCGGCCTCCCAAAATGCTGAGATTACAAGCATGAGCCACTGTACCCAGCCAGCATTGATAGTTTTTAAGCCTCCAGATAGTTCTGGTGTGCACTCATGATTGAAAACCACCAAGCTAGAGTGAGAGTCTTTGTGTGAGGTGAACTTGGGTAATAAGCCACCCAGAGAAACATTTAGAATTTTCTCCCACGGTCCAGGAGGATTGAAGTAGAACTAGTGGCTTTGGATTTTTCCTCTATTTCCCCATATTGCCTACTCATCAGGCATAGCTCCTTTGTTCATACTGCCTGAGGCTGTCCCTGATGTCTTCCATCAGACACTGTCTGATTCTCCTCACTACCTAGATGTCTCACTTGAAGACTGTGAGTCAAAAAGTTGAGGTTGGAGACCTCACCTGAAAATCTGTGTTTTGAGCAAGTTCTATCTGTATTCTTAAGACAAAGAAGGTGGGTTTGAGAAGCAGTGTCCTAACCATTGTTACTCAAATGGTAAGTGCTTGGACTGGTATCACCTAGAAGATTGTAAGAAACACAGCATCTCACACATTCCAGACCCATGAAACAAAATGCACTTTAACCACATGTCCTGGTGATACATATGTTCGTTAAAGTTTGAGAAGCACTGCCCTAAAACTAAGTTTCCCAAGAGAGATGCCAGACCACCTACATCATAACAACTTGAGATGCTAATAATCTACTCTGAACCTTATGAATCAGAATATCTTGGGTGAGGCCTGGAAATCTTCACATTTAACAAAATCAGCTATTGGCTCTTACGCACAATTATTGTTTAAAAGTACTCGGTCTTGTATTGGTTTAGTGAACACATGCTCAGGCAGCTCTGGGGATCTGGTCCAACATCACAGGGTAAAACAATGTGAGTTGGGTTATTGGTCTCACGTACTCAAACATGGGCTACAGTTGCCACCCCACCCACCACACATTGGTCTTCATGTATCAGTCCTTCAAGCCTTACTCATGGGTCAACATGTTAATTGTGTGTAACTCATAGAGTGTGATCACAAAGGGAGATTTATTTTTCTCTCTCACTGTCCCTTTAAACCAGTTTGGTGGGAAGCCAAAGTGGCTACCTCCTCTGCTTTCAGACAAAAATCTAGGCAGTCATCATGGTTTTATAGTTACCTTTAAATTAATAGAAAGTCATATATGAGCCAGATGTAGTGGGTGCATGGCTGTCATCCTAGCCATGTGGGAGAATCACTTGAGCCCAGGATTCATGACCAACCTGGGCAGCATAGTGAGACCCCGTCTCTTAAAAACAATGATAACAGGAAAGTCATATATCATTTCAAGCCATTTAGTCACAATTAAACACTTAAAATATCTACCTCTAGATAATAATCAACTCTGAACCAGATTTAACATTAGCATGCGTTTTCTCCCTAGCTGGGGCTGGCTACAGGCTGGCTCCCTGCTTTTGGAGAGAAGCTATGATTACGTTTCTCTTTTTCCCTTTTCTCTCCACCACTCAATAGCTATATTAATAACATCTCCTTGAATAAGTGAAGGAGGCAGGAGGGAAGGAAAGGAGAGCAGAAAATCCTTATCAGACACTACCATGAAATAGTTTCACATTCTCTGGTTTTGGTGGAGGTTGAAATCACACTTTTATGGACGCTTTCAAAGGTTTATTTTGGTTCTCATGCTGGGCTGTGCTAACCCACCTCCTGTGATGTGGATGATG
This sequence comes from Homo sapiens, assembly GCF_000001405.40. Taxonomy (NCBI): domain Eukaryota; kingdom Metazoa; phylum Chordata; class Mammalia; order Primates; family Hominidae; genus Homo; species Homo sapiens. The sequence goes on from NC_000020.11 coordinate 11,395,765, forward strand.
TGTTCTGTTCCTCTAACTCTGACTCTGCCCTCAGCCACTAGTTTTCTGGTTACTCATTCAACACACACAACTGGATTACCAACAGCCTACTCAATGGTCATTTTGGACAAGAATCAAGGTGGCTTTAGGTTCCTACTTTTCCATTTGACCTACATACGGATCATAGGACACCAATGCATCTTTTGTCCCACTGTTGTTGGAACTGTGGTTACTTCCTAAATTTGATCCTCAACTCTCACTTCTTCTTGTCCTGCCCTCTAGAGCTGAAAGTTGTAGGCTTTTTACCTTAGGATACTCAGGTGGAGATCAGACCCGAGTCACTGTGATCTTCTTGCCATGAGGACAACACTTTCCAAGTTCTTCAAGTGGTCCCAGTAAAGCCACTCTCAGTAAACTTGAGGGGCAGAGAAAATGTTTCCTCACCTTTCTAGAATAGGACCTGGATCTCATAGCACAACTCATCATAAAGAAATCTTCTCTCTAGTATTCAATCACTGACCCTTTATCCTTTTGTGACAAATTCAAAAGTTATCAAAATGGTTCCCAATCATTTCCTTTTGCTCATGGTTCAGCATCTGATTGGAATCTGATGTCTATCATGTCTTGGTGCTTCAGTTGAAAGCTCCAATTTAACATCTTGATAACTCTGAAGCACGCACATGCTCCTTTACGTCAAATCAAGTTTAAAGCAATGAGTTTTAAGATTGGTGGTAAATTCAGCCAATCAATCAACAAATATATATATGGAAATATTGTGCCATTTTATATCAGGAACTTGAGTGTTCATGGATTTTTGCGTCCAAGAAGTGTTCTAGAACCAGTCTCCTACACATACCGAGGGACAATTTTATAAAGCAAAATAGTTAAAATTATAAACAAAACTGATTACATTGGAACACAGTTACCCCAAAACATGAAAAATAACAAGTTTGAGATAAAGCCATTTGGATGGTTAGTTTTATGTATCCAATTGACTGGGCTATGGGATGCACAGATAGCTGGTGAAACATTATTTAGGGGTATTTTTATGAGGAAGTTTCCAGAAGAAATTAGCATTTTGATGGGTAGACAGAGTCAAAAAGATTCGTTCTCTCTAATGTGGGCTTCATTCAATCCTTTGAGGGCCCCCCTCCCCCCCCACAAAAAAAAGGAATGGAAAGGTGAATTTGCCCTCTCTGTTCGAGCTGGGACATTCATCTTCTCCTGCCCTTAGACATCAGCACTCCTGGTTCTTGGGCCTTTGGACTTGGATCAGGACTTACACTGTTAGCCTCTTGCTTCTCAGGCTTTTAGGATTGGACAAAAACACCACCACTGACTTTCCTGGGCCTCCAGGTTGTAGGAGGAAGATCACGGGACTTCTCAGCCTCCATTATCCATGAGCCAATCCCTCATAATAAATATATTTCTATATATCTGATTTTATCTAGTATATAATTGTATCTAATAATATATAAATAACATACAATAGGCCAGGCATGATAGCTCACACCTGTAATCCCAGCATTTTGGGAGGCTGATCAGGAGTTTAAGACCAGCCTGACCAACATGGTAAAACCCTGCCTCTATTAAAAATAAAAAAATACGCCGGGTGCAGTGGCTCACATCTGTAATCCCAGCACTTTGGGAGGCCGAGGTGGGCAGATCACGAGGTCAGGAGATCGAGACCATCCTGGCTAACATGGTGAAACCCCATCTCTACTAAAAATACAAAAAATTAGCCGGGTGTGGTGGCGGGCCCTGTAGTCCCAGCTACTCGGGAGGCTGAGGTGGGAGAAAGGCATGAAGCCGGGAGGTGGAGCTTGCAGTGAGCTGAGATCGTGCCACTGCACTCCAGCCAGGGTGACAGAGCGAGACTCCGTCTCAAAAAAAAAAACCAATACAAAAAATACAAAAAATAGCTGAGCATAGTGGTGCCTGCCTGTAGTCTTAACTACTCAGGAGGCTGACACAAGAGAATCACTTGAACCCAGAAGGTGGAGGTTACAGTGAGCCAAGATCCTGCCACTGCATTCCAGCCTGGGTGACACAGCACGACTTTGTCACACACACACACACACACACACACACACACACACAAAATATATATATATAAATATATATATATATAAAATATGAGGTTAATAATAAATATATATATTTTATCTAATGATTTTATATGTCAATTATATATTAGGTGTGTTTAATTTTATATATTTAAACAGAACTAATTTATATAGTATTAGTATAGTATATTAGTATTCAATATATACTATTCTATATTACTAATATATAGAATATATACTAATATTCTATATTAGTATACTATATTAGTATATTAGTATATATAGTATTAGTATAGTATATTAGTATTTAATATATACTATATTAGTATATTATATACTATTACTATAGTACAGTATATTAGTATTTGGATTTCTATATATAAATACAAATAAATACTAATTTATAAATTAAAATTTTAAATATGTATACATAAACCCTGGCCAATAGAGTCATACATGTGCTTTTTTATCAATACCTACAATAATAGAATCAAGGCTAGATCTAATTCATTCATAATTTCAAAGTAGTGATGAGTATAAAGAATACTTGGAGAGATTTGGAACAGGAAATACGACAATAAAATACCTGTGATTTCTATTTCTAATACCTGTGATTCTATTTTGCAGTTATGTATAGTACAAACCCTGCTGTCTTTTTTTTTTTTTTTGTAGCCCCATCTCAAACCAAAAGAAATGGTGAGTTTTAGTTAGAAACTGGTGAAAGTAAAAATGTAGTTTTTTTCTTACCTACACACAGGGTGAATCATTTTTTGAATCATTTTCTATTTATGTTCTGTGATTTGTTTATTGCTGAACTCTACTCCTGTTCGAGAACATTCTTCAAATTATATGCTTTGGAATTGTTGAGATTTGTTTCATGCCTTAGCATATTGTAAATTTGTGTAAATATTCCATTTATGCTAGAAAATAAGTATTCTACAGTAATTGAGTACAGCATTCTGCATTTATGAGGACAAGTTTGTTAATTCTTTTGGGTCAATCTTTCAGATTATTACTGATATCTTTGCTGCTTCTTTGATGAATTACTGAAAAAGAAATATCTTATTATTGGTTTGGAATTGTTTTATCTTCTTGATGAATTGAATATTTTTGCTATTTGGATAGATTCTCTTGATTTCTAAAAATGCTGTGTGTTCTTAAAGTACATTTTACAAAACATGAATAGAGCTACACCAACAAATATTTTCTTAATGATTATATGCATGGTATACTCTTTACATCTTTGGTTTTCATTTGTGTGTGTGCATGTGGGTGCGTTCTCATATATTAGAAATCTCTCCCAAAAACAGTAGATTATTGTTTTCTAATTATTCTTTAAAAATCCAGACTGCCCATTCTTTTTGAAGCAGAGAACATATCTACATTGTGCCTGGATTCTTGACACATTAAATATGAGATAAAATAATATATATCATTTCAGGCAACTAACTTTGTGGAAATATAGTTATACTATGATGAATAACTGATGCACACTGTTTCTTTTCTTAATTTTTTCAGTAGTTACCCTAAAAATTAAGGCATGTATATTTAACTAAACAAATTTAATTTTTATTAACACCTTTACCCTCATTCAGAAAATATAAGGGAATTAGAGCACTTTGGATACTCTTAAAACTTACATGTTATTATTACTGTTAACTTTACTTACATATAAATATATATTAACTCCTCTATCATTATTGTTTTCAAGAGTCAATATTCATTTAGATTTATTGGCATATTTAACATTTCCTTTACTTTCATTTTCTTCTCTCTGGGATCACTTTCATTCTTCCTACAAGGTGTTATGTATTGAAATGTCTTAAAAAGATCTGCTCAAAAGAAACTCTCTTAGGTTGTCTAAAATGTTTTCATATTTCTTTATTTCTTGATGGGTACTTTGGTTAAATACTGAATTCTAGGTTGCCAGCCATTTTCTTGTCTTCTGGCTACATAGACGTATTGAAGAATCATTGGAAAGCCTGTTTTACCTTTAAAGTAATCTACTCCCTCCCTCCCTCTATTTTATTCCATTATTTTACTTTTGTTTCTGGGTTGCTGTTGTTTGTTTGTTTTGTTTTATGAAATATATAAGAGGGGATGATTCTTATTATCTTGCCTGTAATTTGTTAAATTTCTTGAATGGATTGATATTTTAAATTTTCAACCACTATCTCTTTAAAAAATCTCTATAACCCATTCTCTCATTCCTTTAGTTCTAAAATTTCAATTAAATATTATTTAGATTTTCTTACATACATTCTTTATCTCTTAATCTTTTTTATTTATAAAACTTTTTTCACTCCCTATTTCATTTTTGAATTGTGTGTGTGTGTGTGTTGATGTAACTTTCGTTTTGCTAATTCTCTGTTGATCTATGTTTTAGCATCTGTTAAACTCATTCACTGTGTTCTTAAATTTGGTCATTATACTTTTCTTTTTTAGAATTTTTATTTCTTAAAAAGTCAAATGTAATTTTTTAAAGTTTATCGTTTTCAATTCATTCAAATTAGGTTGAAGAATTTTAGAGTTAACTTTGAAATACACAAAAATTACTGAGTTTTCAACATTTTTAAGGATTATATAAGCAAAAATATTTTAAAATTAAAGATATTTTAAGATTATTTGTATGTAAGATAAAATGGATATTATATTTGGCTGTTTAGTTAATTTTGCACTTACTAGGTAACTGGATGACTCCCTACTTTTCTTGTTCTTTTAATCAATCAAAAATAACATATCACTAATAAATAATTTTTAAAATCCAGTTTGCATTTAATTTACCCATTAAATTTTTTCAAGATTAACATCTTTTTAGAGAAGGAAATTAATTGGTTTATGAATCATAATGACAGAATAATTGTTTATTTTGTGCTGAGTATGTAAGAGTTAGAGACCTTGAGGTGAAGAAAATATGAAAGAGAACAAGGAAATTAAGATGGTTGGATCACCAGATTACTTCCTCCATGGATGGGAATGACATTGGAGAGCTGGAATTTGTTTCAGTCACGGAACTGATAACATAATTGCTAGGTTTTAGATACTGGAATGACACACAATTATATTATAGCCCAAACACATCCTTGATAATTTTAATGTTTAAAAGACTCAGCTTTATCTGTGAAATATTTTAATTAAATACTTTGCTTTTAACCTCTATCTAAATTTCTTTGTTGAAAAACTGAACAATTATCTGTACTACCTTACTTACATCACAACGTTGTTTTCTATTTAAATTACCTCTATTTATTAAAAATATGTACCTAAGAGTACATAGGTGATGGAGTTCAGAATACACTACCCCAAACAATGGTATGTTGGTATCTGAGAAAATGGCAGAAGCAGGAAAGTCACTCTCACAGTCCCTTCATCAGTTCCCCTAAACCAAGTCATAAAACCCTCATTTGAGAGGGGCCCTCCCTATGCCCAGAGGAAAAAAGCATTCTTAGCTCTGAAGACACAGGGAAGAGAAGAGTAAGAACAAACAAGCCTTGCTAAGTTTTCCCTCGTTTATTACCATTATTATTCTCTTTCCCTCCAATCATATTTCTCCATAACTATCCACTCTTCATCAAACCTAGGCATAAAAATACACATATTTGTCTATTTCTTTGTGTCTTCATTTCCTCACAAAGACCTCAGTGTTATGTAAACCTTATATTAAATACATCGATTTGCTTTTCTCTTCTTAATTAATGTCTTTTGTTAATGAAGCCTCAGCCATGAACCTCAGGAAGAAAATATGTTTATTTTCGTTTCCACTTCATAGACTTTTAACACTTGACATTTTTCTCAGGTCCAAAAAGAATCCCAATCTAACATACTTTCAAAATTATTATGACAGATTTAAGGGTCTTTCTTCAATTTTATAAATTATTTAAGTACACATTTTATCATTCTTCTATAGAATGTTATATTTTAACTTAGTTATAACTTAATTATATTTTAACTATTTTTGTTATATCAAACTACTTTCATATAACTAACCTGCAAATATTTTTACCTCTTCCTTCTCTGTGTTAGTTAGCTATTCACAGACTGACAAATCACTTTAACCCAATGACTGCTATAGTTTGAATGCATCTTTCAAGGTTCATGTGTTGGAAAGTTAATCCCCAATGCAATAGTATTAAGAAGTGAGACTTTTAAGAGGTGATTAGAGGGCTCCAGCCTCATAAAAGCATTAATGTCATTACTGTGGAAGTGAGTTCATTATTGTGGGAGTGGTTATCAAAGGACAAGTTCAGGCCCTCCTCTCACCCTCTTTCACTTTCTCTTTGCCCTTCCAAGAATGTCCTCACCAGGTGCTGGCCCCTCAATCTTGTATTTCCCATCATTCAGAATTGTAAGCCAAAAAATTCTGTTCATTATAAAGTACATAGTCTGTGATATTCTGCTATAGCAGCACAAAATGAACTAAGATCGTGACTTAAAACAATAAGCATGGTAAGCAGGGGAATGCTAACTTACGTAACTTTCAAAATGAGTGAGGACTGTAACACCAAATGCAAAAGGAGCTGTGCACAAACGCTGTACCTCAGTGGATAAAGTTGTTTCCCACAGAGTATAGGCTAACAATTCTGAAGCCACTATGAATGTACACTGTAACTGATCAATTAAGTAAATGGATGACCGATGGTGAGAGCCAAGTTTCTCATTGTTGGAGTGAGAGAGAAAACAGAAGAAAGTGGAATGGGCTACATGTGTTAATGGATTGGAATTAGAGACTGCAGCATGAATTCATCTTCAAACGAATGTGGATATAGATCATTAGATGGAAAATATTAATACACATGCATATAGACACACAGGTTAGTATGCATACATATATTTTCTGACTCTGTCAGCTGGGAAGGCTGAGAAGCATTCGCACCCCATTGGCAATGAACACATCTAACATCCAGATCTTGGTTTTCAATACCATTCTCCAAAACAAAAAACAAATAAAAAACAGACAAACAAAACCTTGGGAAAATGGCTGATTCTTGGACTAAAGCAGAAAATATATAAGTCTGAAGCATCTTGAAATGCCAAAAAAGTGAGGAAGTACTTAAAGTGCACACACACACACACACAATAATGGGGTAAGTAAATGGGATATGGAAGCCAAGTGAAAGAGCCCCAAGTGGCCAAGTTAGAATGATCTGGGCAACACAATACATAATGTAGCATTGAATTGTAACCCAAAGTATAAAATAAATACCTATGATTCCATAGTAACATAAATAAATAGGATTGAACATACTAAACTGTTGTGCAGAATAATTGCAAATAATTTATGTAAATATCTTCAAGGAGTTGGAACATAACTCTTCCACTCCTTAAGTGTGGGCTGTCCATAGTGACTTCTTTCCAAAAGTACAATACGGAAAGCAGGTGAAGAGTAAGTTTACCATAGAGAAACTTGACAAAAACTACCTCAGGCAGATCATTGAGATTAATATCAATACTGATGTTATGTTGATAACATGACATCACTTTTGGTATTATGATGAATATGACACTTTACATTTGTGGTCTTCCTCCCCGAAACCTAGAACTCAAGTCAAATTATAAGAAACAGGAGACAAATTCCAATAAGAAACTTTTCATGAAATACTTCAGCAGTACTCTTCACTGCTGTCAAGGTCATCAAAACCAAGAGGAGTCCAAGAAACTGTCACAGACAAAAGAAGTCTAAAGAATATGAAGACTAAATGCAATGTGTTATCCTGAATGGGATCCTAGACCAGAAATAAGACATTAGGTAAAAATTAAGAATATCTGAATAAAGTATGAACTTCAGCTAATAACACTGCATTATTATTGTGCATTCATTTAAACAAATGTACCATGTTAGTATAAGATGTTAACAATAGAAGAAATTGGGTATGAGAAATATGGGAACTCTGCCCTAGCTTTGAAACATTGTTGTAAATCTAAAAATACTCTGAAATAAAAGTTATTTTTAAAAACATAATTCAACAAAGACAGATTTACCAGAGGTAATAAAGAAGACTCAGAAACAAAACAACAGGCATGAGTTATGGTCATAGCTCTGTCTCAGCCAGAAGCTTTTTTTGGTCTCACTCATACGTCTGTGGACTCTGTGAGGAGAGGCAGCTCTGCTGATTTTGGCTGGAATCTATCACATTTTTGGCATTGCCTGGCTATAGGCTGGTCTAGGATGGCCTTATCTGAGACAGTTGGGCTCTGGCCCACCCCTCCTCTTATCTTCTAGCACTGCTGGTCTGGGCTTGTTCACATGGTGTTACATGGGTTAAAAGAGAGAGTGGAAGTACACACGATTCCAAAGGCCTGGAATCACAAATAAAACATTATCACTTCCTCCGCATTCTGTTGGACAAGGCAAGTCACCAAACTAGACTAGACACAAGTAGAGTGGGGTGTGTCAGGGGTTGGGGGGAAGCAGAGTAAGTGAAAAGAGATTCCATTTCCTATAGGAAAGAGTTCCAAAGTCATATTGCAAAGGCATGAAGCATTGGAGACATTTTTGCAGACAAACTACCACACTTTTTTAAGATGAACCAGAATAGGTCAGATTATCTTTTTATGACAATTCTTGATATGCTTTTATTTCTAGGCCATAATTTCTGCCTTGCATTCATACATGTATCAACAAATATTTATGAGTGCCTTAAATGTATTAGGCTCTTTCACCTATCTTCTTAGAACTTACAATTATATATTATAATCAAAAGTGAAATGCTAGATTCCTTTATTTTGGGACATTATTTTTGAACACACTTGGCTAGGAAATAAGCCACAATTTATTTATTTTTTTGTCAATGTTCCTTGAACCATACTAGACATTCTGGTATAAATTCTAACTAGTCTTTCCTTAGGGATAAATATAGAAGAACTTCAGTTACTAACCAACTGACATATGTAACTGTGGGGGCAGAAAAATTTCAACTTCCTCCTCTTAGGGTTCCAGCAGAGCCTAAGAATTAAATTGACATAGATAGATAAAAGCATGCAAATTTATTTAACAAGTTGTATGTGTCATGGGGACCCTCATAAAGAAATAAAGACCTCCCCAAAGCAATTAGAGTATATTACTTATATACCAGATTGAACAAAGAATAGTAAACTGTGAAAATGTGGCTAAACTATGTGGGGGACCGGTAAAGAGGAGTTATTCTAATAAGGTCTGTATAGTATTCTCTCAGTCCCAGCTTCTCATTCTTGAAGACAAACATCTTGCCTTTTCTTCGGGTATAGGGAGAGTGTCTTATACAGGAGTTAAATCTTTTGCTTTTAGGAACAACATGAAGGCCAAAGTCATCTTTTATCACCAGCTGCTATACAAATGTCTTTAACTTAATGAGTCAATAAGCCAAAATAAGGTATTTCAGCCTCTTCATAACATTTGAGCAACAGTACTCAAAGTGTGGACAGACTGTGGACCAGAAGCTTCAGTATTACTTGGGGGCTTGTTAGAAAGGTTAGAATATCAGACCCTAAACCAGTCCTGCTGAATCAGAATCCCTGTGGGTGGAACCCAGGAATTTGCATGTTTTCTAGTTCTCCAGGTAAAGCTGATGAGTAAAAGTTTGTAAACCACTGGTTTATGATCCAGTTTTTCAACGCTTTTTCATCATTAAGAATAAAAGGAGGCCAGCCGGATGCAGTGGCTCACACGTGTAATCCCAGCACTTTGGGAGGCCGAGGAGGGTGGATCACCTGAGGTCAGAAGTTCAATACCAGCCTGGTCAACATGGTGAAATGTCATCTCTACTAAATATACAGAAATTAGCCAGGCGTGGTGGCAGGCGCCTGTAATCCCAGCTACTCGGGAGGCTGAGGCAGGAGAATTGTTTGAACCCGGGAGGTGGGCGTTGCAGTGAGCCAAGATCACACCACTGCACTCCAGCCTGGGCAACAGAGCAAGACTCCATCTCAAAAAAAAAAAAAAAAAAAAGAAGAATAAAAGGAGTTGGGTATTTCTGTATCACCATTAAATGAAGTAGTGACCATGATGCAAAAATATAACTTTATACAAAAGTTATATTTTTGAATTAAAATATTTATTCTTATTCTACTGTATTCTGAATATTAGGCTTTCAATTTATTTAATTCTGCATTACCCCAGTCCAGAACATACTATTCTTTGTTCTGGATATTAGGCAATGGCTTTTGAGCAGAAGAAATAAAGATTAACTTTGACCTTGATATAACACAAAAGTATAAAATTCACCATGGATATTTCTTTTCATGTTATTAATGTTACTCTTTTTAGCTGATTTCTTAGGTTGTTTTATTAATTCTTTGTATTGAAAGATATAATAAAATGGGATTTCATTACCTCAAGCTTTTTCATTTTTGCCCTGATATTCATTCTGTCTCATTGCATTCAGTCAGCCTCATTTTTCCCTCTATCAGCTCTCAACTTTTTGGACTCAGTGTTCGTCCATCCTCACACTTTCCATCTTTCTTTTATCTTTAAACAAACAACTCATTTTAATTGCCTGTGTCTTGATTCTTTTCCTTTTGTTTCATGGATGTCACTTTCTCTCTCTCTCTCTCTCTCTGTCTCTGTCTCTCTCTCTACCAAATCTGACTGCAAAAGCCCTCAGATTTCATGCCCTTGAGTTTGTGGGTGAGCTGACTGTTCAGGAGAATCAAGACAATCTTATTCCAGGTGGTGATTCGGGAATCCAGTCTGCCTGCACCTTTATCTTTGCCATTTTATCATCCATCATGTAGGAAAAGAGAAGAGAGAGCCAGAATGTCTCTCAGTGGACTTTACTGTTTGCATTGAACAATGTCTGGGGTTGTCCCGTGATCCCTGCCTCCAGGCTTCACAATTCTTCCCCCTTGAGTGTGGGAGAGCCGGGGACTTGCTTCTAACCATTAGAACACGGCAAAGGTGAGGAAATGTACATTGTTTCGTGTCATTACATTTCATAAGATGTTGAAACTGCCTTGCTAGAAGACTCTCTGGCTTAGAAGAGGTAAGCTCCCATATCACAAGCTACATATGGAGAGAATTGTACAGCAAGTTGCTGAGGGAGCCTCTAGCTGACAGCCAGCAAGAAACTGAGGCTCACAGTCTGGCAGCTGGCAAGGAACTGAATGCTGCCAACAACCATGTGAACTTGGAGGAGGATCTTGTCTGGGCTTTTCAAGCTAGCACGTTGATTACAGCCCTGTGACTCTGAAGTGGAGGATCCGGTTAAGCTATGGCCAGAATCCTGAACCCCAGAAACTGTGTGATGATACACGCATATTGTTTTCAGCTGCTATGTTTATGGTAATTTGCTGTATAACAATAAATAATCCACGCCCTTAGCCCGGAAGTGCCATGCATCCCTATTATTCACATTTCGCTGACTAGAACTAGACATATGGCCAATTCTTTGCAAGGGAAGTTGGTAGAACAGTATTTCTTGTACCCAGGAAAGAGATAACTGCATATAGGTGGGCACTAGCAGTATCTACCACAAAAAAAGATTCAATAAACTTTTACTGCTTTTTTAACATTCATGTTCTACTGGTGAGATGGGAAATGAATACATTATTAGTGGAGATGACTATATAGTAATAAAAAGTGGAATTACATTTGCCATTGACTTTAAAGTTAACTATGTTTATTTTTTACCAGTCTTTATGCACTAGAATGTGAAGTCTATGTAACTAAGTTTGATATTGCACTTCTATTATCCTTTATTAATTATAGACCCTCACTTAAATAGGTACCTGTGTGAACACATAGTAAGTATTATGATTTCATTACATGGGTTACTATAATCTAAGAACTTGTACTATGACAAAACTTTTCAATCTCAGGAGTATGATAGAGATGTTTTATCATGACAATTGTAAAAGACATAAAAATCTTTATTTTCAAATGAATATCAGATGAGAAAAGAACTATGAGTCGTTAGATCGTCATGATGTCTTTACTTTTTCATAGCCTTGGTGGTGGGTATCAGTCTATGACTTATCAGGCCTTTCTAGTTTAAGAGACTGCCTTAGGGATGGGTCAAATGTTTAGTGGATTTGAAGACAGGGCTGCCAATGGTAATGAAGAATGTGATTCAATAAATGTTTACTGCTTTTTTAACATTCATGTTCTACTGGTGAGATGGGAAATTAATACAAAATCAATAATAATAACAGCAAAACTTAGTAAACCGGAGCTGCTCATATAGGGAGAAAAGTAAAAGAACAATGTCATTCTTTGCTAATCTAGAAATAAAATACTATAATTCTCTTGTGTCTGAATTTTGGCAGTCTGGTTCCTTCTGAACAAAGATTTATTAGCAGTGAGACTTTTGCTATGGAGACCTCATTATGCCTATAAAACATTCTACTGTGGTTTTTCAAGTAAGATAGAGAGTTGCTTCTTAAGAAATCAGAAATTGGCATTATCTAAAGAAATGAAAAACATCACAGAAATTTTTGACATCTGCATTTCTGAGACTATGGGAAATGCCACAACAGAGACAAAGTGGGCGGCGTTCTGAGGATTCTGTGTCACATGGTAGCTCCAAAGGCTATCCCTGGACCAACTAAAAGTTATCCACCATCCCACAAACCTCAAGAATGTCCTGACATACATCATGTATCTAAAATTCTCCCTAATTTTTTATTATTAATTTATTTTCAAAATTTAACAAAACTCTTTCTGAAATTGACTAAAATTTATACTAAGTTGACATGCCACATTCATAATCACACTGTGTATATTTACAACTTGGACATTAGGTTTGCCCATGTAGAAAATCAGGGAGACCTCGATCTCTTTCTTGGAAGATCTGGGGGGACTGCTAAGTATATCAGTGCTTTATTGTCACTCAAGTGAACTGCAGCATAGCCATCCCCTCTACAACAAGACCTGAAGTCAATATTGCCTACAGGTGAAACCAACTAGCCCTGTGTTAGAGGAGGAAATGTCATGATGAGATGATGTCTCCGAGCCTATGCAGTTCACCTGCCAAGGAAAAGCCCAAGGTGCTATGTATTCTTCTCTTTAGGATTTAGGATTATCATTTATGTGCTGTTACACAGTGAAACCTTGCTTGTGTGTATGTGAAAGCTGGTTGGCATTGTTTTCAATTCAGTTTTTGGATGGCTAACTTGATTGTTTTTACTGTGCTGCTGGAATGCCTCTGTATCTTTCCGCCTCTTTGCCTATCTTTTCTAAAATTATAGCGATGAATACTTTAGCCAAAAAAAACAAAAAGCAAAAACTCTCAGATGAGAGTCAGAATTTTAAACATTATAAACTAATGGAGAATTGAAGTGTATAGAGTCAATGTATTTGACCTCTTACTTTTTAAATGTTTAATCATATTTAATTTTAACTACATAAGTAGTAAATGCTAATGCTGAGCCACAATGCAACACTCTCACTATATTCAAATTTAAAGTTTTGTGCTTCTGGAGCCCTATTTAATAAATCTTTTGCATAACAAATGATCATAAAGATCATTTGGGCATATAGTAACTTCTGGAAACTTCATTAATTTATCTTTTATATTTAGATCTATAATCCACCTGTAATTGTGAATCTTATATGATGTCTTCAATCTTCTGGTGTCACCTTTGCTATAGTAAGTGACTCTCTTTCTGAACATTTTGTTCTATTCAAGTAAAATACTTATTTGCTCTCGTGCCAATATGACACTGTTTTACTATTTATAGCTTTATTATATGTCTTGATAGCTAATAGTGTAAATCATCCAGGTTTCTCCTTCTTGTTAAAGATTGCTGTGGGTATTTTTGGTTTATAGTCAATTTAATTTGTGGCTTATAGTTGATTTAATTACTTGTCTTCCTTCTTTTGTAGTAGTACTATACAGCTATATATTTACCATAGCCAGATGCCTGCCAGGTATATTCTCCTTGACTTTGGCTTGACTGTTGACTTGATTTTATTGATAGAACATTGGCAGATATGAGATGAGCAAAGGCTTCAGACATGCTTGTTTAGTTGGCTTCTTTCTCTTGTGTTCCTGACATTGCCATGAGAAGAGCATATGCTGGGTAACCAGGGCTCCAAATGAGCCAGATTGATCCAAGCTGCCCCAGCTGACTTGCAAACCTGAAACTAAAGCAGAATCATCTCAGCCAACCTTCAGACCTTCCAGTAGGAGAGCAAATGCATGCTCATTGTTAAAAAATATGTTTACTCCTAGCTTTATTTATTTTTAAATAAATTTTATTTCAAAATAGTTTTAGATTTACAGAAAATAAAAATGGATCTAGAAACATTTATAGAGAGTTCCTAAATACCCGGTTTCCACTATTACTAATACCTTACATGACTATGGTAGACACTGGAGTAAGACCTAAAAACACCAAAGAATCTCCTACTTGAAACAAAGATATATGATCTGTAATTAAGGCTTTTTGATTTTTCACCCCAGTTTTCTTTATTTTCTCTGCTAAATACATTTTCACCACTTTAGAATTGTTTGGATTTTTTTTTTTTTTATTTTAGAATAGTTTTAGATTTACAAAGTTAGTAGAGTCCCCATGTACTCCATACTCAGGTTCTCCTATTATTAATATTTTATGTTAATATGATACACTTTTTATAACTAATGAGTCAATAATGATACGATATTATTAACCAAAGTCTGTATTTTATTTAGATTTCCTCAATTCTTATCTGGTGTCTTATTTATATTCCTGGATCCCATCCAGAATACCACTTTACATTTAGTCTTCATGTCTCCTTGGCTGCTTTTGGCTGTGAATTTTTCAAACTTTCCTTTTTTTTGATCATCTTGACCATTTTGAGCAGTATTGCTGAAGCACTGAGTAGTACTGCTGAGGTAGAACATCTCTTTTAAGAGTTTCTGTGATGTTTTCCTAATGATTAAACTGGGGTTATGGGTTTTGGGGAGGATGAAAATAGAGAAATAAAGTCCCCTTCTCATTACATCATATCAAAAATATTGTTAAATGAAAGTTATAGGAGGCCATTGTTTTGGACTAAGCTCCTGTAGTAGGCTCCAACAAATCAGACTAAAATCAAAATGGAGTCACCTATGCTAAAGTTCCATGTCACTAAACTGAAACTAAGCTATCTGATATTCCCAGAAATCAGGAAAGAGAGATGATTACCAATTACTCAATAAGTCAATTTCTTTTTTTTTTCTTTTTTGACACGGAGTCTCTCTCTGTCGCCCAGGCTGGAGTGCAGTGGCGGGATCTCAGCTCACTGCAACCTCCACCTCCCGGGTTCAAGTGATTCTCCTGCCTCAGCCTCCCGAGTAGCTGGGACTACAGGTGCGTGCCCCCATGCCTGGCTAATTTTTTGTATTTTTTTTTTTAGTAGAGACGGGTTTTCACCGCGTTAGCCAGGATGCTCTCGATCTCCTGACCTCATGATCCACCCACCCCGGCCTCCCAAAGTGCTGGGATTACAGGCGTGAGCCACACACCCGGCCAGTAAGTCAATTTCAAACTCCAATTGGCATGATAATGAAGTTCCTTCTGTTTTAATCCTTAAAACACAAGGTAACCTGAAGTGACCCGATGCTAACCAATCAGTTATTTTTTACTGTTTTGTTTCCCTGTTCCTGACTTCCAAGGAAAGTAACTTCTAAATGACCAATGTGATTTTTGTTTTTTGTTTCTGCTTTTTTCAGCCTTTACTGTCTATAAAACCAACAGCATGTGCTCAGCTTCTTGGAACATTTCCTCTCTTTTATAGAATGAAATGTTGCCTGATTCTAGAATTGAAATAAAGATAATTGAGATCTTTAAGCTAAATATGTTCTGATTTTGTCTTTTGACATATATCATCAACCTGAGTTATCAGTGTAGATGTTAACCTTGATGACCTGCCTGTGGCAATGTTTATCAGGTGTCTCTGACATAGGAGTTAAAAAGAAATTATTTAGGCAGATACTGACGGTAAAGAAGTCCTCAGTAAGGTTTTCTTTTTAATGAAAAGCAGCCCCCAAATCTTCTTCTTTTCTAACAAAGAGCAGTTTGTAAAACTGAGCTGCAGACACAAAAACGCAAGCTGGAAGCTTGTATGGGTGAATGCTGGCAGCTGTGCCAATAAGGAAAGGCTACCTGGGGCTAGGCGTATTCAAAATGGCGGCTCCACCTTCCCCTTTCCTTGCAAACCACACAACATGGCCCCAGGCCACGCAAAGACTCCATTTGCATAATAAGATTCCAGTAGGGCAACCAGTTTCCTCATGCGCTATGTAAATGTCACACCTGGTCCAACCAATCTTTGGATCCTATGTAAATCAGACACCGCCTCCTCAAGCCTGTCTATAAAACCCGGTGCATTCCACTGCTAGACGGAAGTCCCATTGGGGCGCCCCTGTCGCTTAGCAGCAGAAAAAGCTGCTCTCTTTTCGCTTTCTTTTTTCTATTAATCCTTCGCTCCTAAACCCACTTCTTGTGTCCGCATCCTCAATTCCTTTGGTATGAGACAATGAACCCTGGGTGTTTACCCTAGACAATGATGCTGCTTCATTTCCATTACAAAGTTACTCTTTATTTCTCTCTAAACTCTTCAGAAGAAAGTCACTATGCACAGCTAATGCTTAAGGACTGGTAGTTATACTTCTCCCTAAAGACAGAGAGTAACTACATACATAATTTTTTTTCTGTACAAATTTGTCTATTTTCCCCAATTTATTTACTTATTCAATCATTCATTTATTTATATCAGTGTGGACTCATGGTCATTTATTTTATATTTTGGGTTGTAATACAACACTATGTCCTGTATTATGTTCCAGCTTATCTTTTTCCAGCTTTGGCTATTGAGAGCTCTTTCAGTTAGCTCCTGGGTCCTGGGACAGAGACTTACCATTGCGGAATTTTTTTTTTTTTTTTTTTTTTTTGAGCACTTTCTCAGTTTATAGAACGGTAAAAATGCAGTTTTCATTACCACTGGGTAAAATTACTTCTAGACCTCTTAAGCTGACAAAGCCTGAAAAACACGTGTGTACACTAATCTGTGTACTTACAAATATCCATAAATATTTCTATATGTAACCATCATTATTTATATTAAGGTAAATACGACATCATGCCAATGTCTCCAACTCTAACCCAATACCACATGGATCATTCCAGACTTCTCCCCTGCTTATCAGTAGCATTCTACTCCCAACAGTCAGAAAAATGCCCCCCACCACCTGACATTTATGTACCTAATTTTAAAATTTCAATATACATGTATAGTGGCTATTTAAAAACTGTTAACAGTACCCCCATTAGATGCACACTTATCAACTGAGGTACAGTGCTTATATAGAGTGTCTTTTGGTTTTAGTCTTACAGATCCTACTCATTTCCAATCTTAGCTCAGTATCTCTTCTTCACTTCCCTTTAGTGATGTTGTTTTACATTTGTAGTACAGTTAGATTCTTTTGTCACATTCTGTATTCTGTTTCTGGGGTTTCCTGGCCTCCTAAATAATTTTTTAAGCTAATACGCACTAAGTTTCACTTTTTGTGCTATAGAGTTCTATAGGTTTTTTGACGAATGGATAGATTCATGTATTTACCAGTACAGAATGATACAAAATACTTTCCCTGCCCTAAAATTTCCCCCATATCTCCTCCCCTATTGCATCTATTCAACTTTCCCCCTGCCTCTGAAAGCCCTAGATCTCTTGACCGTCTCTATCATTTTGCCTTCTTTAGAATGCCAAAGAAATGGAATCATATACCACAGAGACTTTTCAGACCAGCTTAATCACTGAACAACATGCATTTAAGACTCATTCATGTCTTTTTGTGGCTCAGTCCTTTTTATCACTGAATAAAATTCTATTGAATGGATGTCCACAATTTGTTTATCCACTACCCTGTTAGATGACATTTTGGTTGCTTTCAGTTTTTGATGATTATCAATAAAGCTGCTATAAATATTCATGTCCAGATTTTTTAAGGGTTTAGTGTTCAAAGCAGTCAGTTAAATACCTAGAAGTGTCACTGCTGGATCCTATGGTAAGGCTATGGCTAACTTAGTAAGAAATTGCCAACTGCCTTCTAAAGTGACTACATCAATAATGAATGATAGTTCCTGTTGCTCTATATCCTCATCAGCATTTGATATTGTCAGTGTTTTGGATTTTGGCCATTTCATTCATCATGTGTATAGTTGTATCTAATGTTGGTTTAATTTACAAATCCCTAATGGCAAATGATGTTAAGCATTTTTTCAAGTGATTATTTTCAATATGTAAGTCTTCTTTAGTGAAGTATCTTTTCAGATATTTTGCCAGTTTTTAATTGGATTATTTCTTACCTTATTGTATTTTAGGAGTTTGATGTACATTTTAGATGCATATTCTTTATAACATATGTGTTTAACAAATATTAATATTTTCTTCTAGCTTCTGTCTTGTATTTTTATCCCCTTAACATCTTTCCAGAGCATAAGTTGTTGGGTTTTGTTTGTTTGTTTGTTTGTTTTTTGACAGAGTCCAATTACTGTAGTTTTATGGAAAGTCTTGAAATTAGGTAGCATCAGTCCAATAACTTGTTTTGCTTCTTCAGGTTTGTATTGGCCATTCTATGTCTTTTGCCTTTACATGTAAACTTCAGATCATTTTGTCAATACCTACAAAACAGCTACCTGAGATTTTGATTGGGATAACTGGGTTGAAACTATAGATAAAGTTGAGAAGAATTTATCTCTACAGTATATATAATCTATGAACGTGGACTATCTCGCTATAATTATATTTTTTATTTTCTTCACCATCAATTTGTAGTTTTCTACACCCAGTTCCTGTTATGTTTTGTTAGCTATATACTAAATATTTCTCTCTCTTCATATTATTTTAAATAATATCTTTAAATACCATTTTAAATTTCCAATTCCATCTGTTCATTCTGGGTATATAAGAAAGCAATTGGCGTTTGCATGTTGATATTGTACTTTACAGTTTTGCTCTATTCACTCATTAGTTTCTGGAAGTTTTTGGTAGAAATTTTGAAATTTTTGAGATTTACAATCATGCCTTATGTGAATAAAGACTGTTTTATTTGTTGCTTTTCTTTAATTTCTCTGTTATTATTCTTTAATTTTCTATTATTGTACTAGTTAGGGATTCCAGTACAATGGAAATATGAGTGGTAAGAGAGGACATCTATCTTTCATTCTCAGTTTTAGAAAAAAAAGTAGCTAGTCTCTCATCATTAAGTAAGATGCTAGGTATGGGATTTTTGTGGATGTTTTCAAATTAGGTTTCAGAAAGCACCCTTTTTTATTAATTTTATGAGAGTTTTTAAAATATTATGAATGGGTATTGGATTTTGTAAAAAGCTTTCCTGGTATCAATTAATCTAGCATATATTTTTTTCTTCTTTAGCATGTTTATATAGTTGAATAAATTGATTTGTTTTCAAATGTTGAACCAGCCTTACATACTTGAAATAATCCCATTTAATCATTCTGTATAATTATCTTTATACATTGTTAGAAAACTTTGCTAATGTTTTGCTGAAGAATTTTGCATCAAAGTTCATGAAAGATGTTGTTCTGCAGTTTTTCTATATCATAATGTCTGTGTCTTGTTTTAGTTTCAGGGTAATACTTCTATAATAGAATGAGTTAGGAAGTGTTTCTGCTGCTTCTATTTTTAGAAGTAATTGTGGAGAATTCATATTATATTTTCCTTAAATGTTTTGTAGAATTCACCAGTGAAACCATCTAGGCCTGGTCCTTTTATTTTTTTGAAAATTACTAATTCTTGATTTGATTTATTTTAATATCTATAGGCTATTTGGGTTATTTCTCCTGTACATTTTGGTAGATTGTATCCTTGAAGGAATTGTTTCATTACATATAAGTTATTAAAAGTGTGAAACAAAATTATTCAAATATTCCTCTTTTTCTCTCTTTAATACCTATGAGATTAGTAGGGCTGGCACCTATTTTATTTATTGTATTGGTAATTTACGTCTCTCCTTCTTTTTATTTGTTAGCCTGGCTAGAGGTTTATCCATTTAATTGATCTTTTCAAAGAAGCAGCTTTTGGTTTTGTTCAGTTTTGCTATTTTTTTGTTTCCAATTTCATTGATTTCTGTCCTATTATTATTTATTTCCTTCTGTTTGCTTAGGCTTATATTTCTTTAGTTCTCTAGTTTTACAAGGTAAATTAGGTTATTAATTTTTAGGTTTTTTTCTAGTATTTGAATTTTATGCTATAAATTTTCCTCTTAGCATTACTGTTGCTGCATCTCATATTTTTTTTCAACTTTTATTTTAGATTCAGGGGGTACCTCTGCAGGTTTGTTAATTGGGTATATTGTGTGATGCTGAGAGTTAATGATCCCATCACCCAGGTACTGAGCATACTACTCAATAGTTGTCCCCCTCCATGCTCCCTCCCTCTAGTAGTCCCCAGTTTCTATTGTTGCCATCTTTGTATCCATGAATACCCAATTTTGCCTCCCACTTAGGAATAAGAACATAAAATATTTGGTTTTCTGTTTCTGTATTAATTTACTTAGGATAATGGCCTCCAGCTGCATCCATGATGCTGCAAAGGAAATGATTTCATTCTTTTCATGGCTGCATAGTATGGAATACTAAGTATTCCATAAAAATGTGGTGCATATATACCATATTTTCTTTATGCAGTCCACCATTGATGGGCACCTAGGTTGAATCCATGTCTTTATTATTGCATCCCACAAATTTTGGTGAACTGCATCTTCATTTTCATTTAGTTCAAATTTTTTAAGTATTTTTTTTTTAGTTTTCTTATTTGAACATGGGTAATTTAGAATTCTTTTAATTTCCTAATAATGTAGATTTTCCAGCTATCTTTCTATTATTGATTTCTAGTTTAATTCCATTATGGTCTGGAATCATACTTTGTATAATCTATATTTGTTCAATTTATTACGATGTAATTTATGGCTTAGAATGTAATCTATCTTGATGAATGTTCCATGTGAGCTTCAGAAGAATGTATGTTCTGACATCCATATTTACAGTATTCTATTCATTTCAATTAGATCAAGTTGCTCAATAGTGCTATTCAGATCAATTATATCCTTACTAATTTTCTGCCTCCTTGATCTAACAATTACTGAAAAAGGCATGCTAAGGTTTTTAACTATTATAGTGACTATTCTATTTCACCTTTATTTCTATCAGTTTTTGTCTCATATGTTTTGATATTCTGTTTGTAGGTGCATATATGTTTAGAACTGCTGTCTTTTTGGAGCATGGACCCTTTATCATTATACAATGTTCTTCTTTATCCTTCATGATCTTCCTTGTTCTGAAATCAGTTTTGTCTAAATTTAATATAGCTGCTCCAAATTTCTTTTGATTAGGTTTAACATAGTATATATTTTTTCATCTCTTTACACTTAATGAAATGTTTATATTTAAAGTAGATTTCTTGTAGACAACATAGAGTTGTGTCTCTAGTGTTAAAACCTACTCTGGAAATCACTATTTTCAGTAGACTTTTTAGACCATCCACATTTAAAGTGATTATTGATATAGTCATAATAATATTTGCCATATTTGTGACTGTTTTCGATATCTTGCAATTGTACTTAGTTTATTTTGTTTTTTAAATCTTCCTCTCTTTTTCTGCCCTCTATGGTTTTAGTTGAGCATTTCATGTGAGTTCATTTTATCTCCTTTCTAACTATATCATCATGGTTTCTTAAAAGCATGTAGTCTTGACTTATGCACTTATGTTCTGATATTAATTCACCTTCAAATAATGCCACACCACTTCACATATAGTGAGGTTATCTTATCCAGGGTTTTTTCAGTTCTTCCTTCTTACCCTTTGTGATATTGCTGTCATCTGTGTTGCTGCTCCATATATTACAATTATCTAATAAACTGCTGCTATTATTGCTTTAAAGAAATGGTTATCTTTTAAATAAATGAAGAATAAGAAAAATAAAATATCTTTCTTTACCATTATTTATTTCTTCTCCAGTGCTCTTCCTTTATGTATAGCAAATTTTCAGACCTATAATATTTTTCTTCTAACTGAAGAATTTTTTAGCATTTCTTGCAAGTCAGGCCTGCTAGTGATTAATTCTCTCAGTATTTTTTGTCTGATAAAGTCAATATCCCTCATTTTTGAAACATAGCTTTACTAGATATAGAGTTCCAGATTAATGTTTGCTTTTTTTAATCACTTTAATTAATTTATTTTAAATTAATTAAATTTAAAATTTAATTAATTTTAATTCTTGCTTTCATGGTTTCTGGTGAGAAGTCTGCTGTAATTTTAACCTTTTTCTCTATAGATAAGGTGATTTTTTTCTCCCTCTGACGTCTTTCAGAATTTTTTGTCTTTGGTTGTCTGCAGTTTATGATATAATATGCTTAGAGATGTGTGTGTGTGTGTGTGTGTGTGTGTGTGTGTGTGTGTTTGATATTTGTGCTGCTTGGTGTTCTCTGAGCTTCCTTGATGTACCATTTAGTATCTTTTATTAGTTATAGAAAATTTTGGTCATTATTACTTCACATATTTTTTCTGCTTCATTCTATCTTAATTTCCATTGGGGTATCCAAATTACGTGAGTATTATATCACTTGAAATTGTCCCACACTTCCTGGATATTCTGTTTTGTCTTTTTCATTCTTTTTGCATTGCAGTTTGGAAAGTTTCTATTGGACTATCTTCAAGCTTACTTACTCTACCCTCAGCCATGTTAAATCTACTGATCCAGCCATCAAAAGTTTTCTGCATTTCTCTTACAGTGCTTCTAATTAGATTCTTTTTAAGAGTTTCCATCTCTCTGCTTATATTACCTATCTCTTCCTGCATGTTGTCTCCTTTGTCCATTAGCGGCCTTAGCCTATTAATTATAATTACTTTGAATTTCAGGTCTGATAATTCCAGGATTATCTGATTCATATCCGAATCTGGTTGTGATGATTGCTTCATTGCTGCCTCTCTTCAGAATGTTTCATTTTGTTTTTTATCTGTTTACTTATTAGCAGGTCTTGAAATTTTTTGATGAAAGTTGGACGTACTGTATTAGGTAATAGAGAAATGGACTGTTAGTGAGGGCATTTATGTTAATCTGCACAGGGGTTTGGCTTTGTTAAGTGCTTGCTGTAGCTATAGGTGCCAGAGTCACAACATTTCTGTAATGTCCTTGTTTTGTTCTCTTTTGATATTTGATTTTCATAATTACTTTTCCTCAAAGAAGAGTAATTGTAGCTTTTCTAGTTATAATTCACTGTTACACTTTGAGCCCTGTAGATGCAGTGGTAAAATTTGAGAGGTGGGAAGCATCCTATAGTCTTCCCATTAAGTCTCAGTCTTTTAGTGGGTCTGTGTCTCAGGACTGTGAGTTTCACGAATTTTCCTATAGTGCTACAGCTTTCCCCTACATCCCTACCACAGTTCTTGGCTGAAGTGTTCCCAGTTTATCTCCTTAAAGCCAATTACCTCCCTCTTAACTGTGTGAACTTTTTCCCCTTAGGTGAGACAGAAAAACTGGTGGCACCAAGATCAAGCCTTTTCCTCAGCTGAGACAAAACTGTGACAGTTTTCTCTCCTGGAGAGTAAGGCTTTGATATGAAGGAGGCTTTCACTATTACACATTTGCTCCTTTACCAGAACCATGAGAGTCAATATTTTCGGATTCTCACTGCGAGAAACTGGTGGGGTTCTCCTGAAGGTAAAGCCTAGAAAGTGTGACTCTCCTCCTCCCCACACCTTTACCCACCAAGACCGTCCCTCACAGTAGTTTCTCAAATTCATTCTAGTCCATACTCAGCCTCCAGCAATTCATCAAAATTGCCATTTAAATGTTCCTACCAGTTTATGACTGCAGTAGATACTGCTCTAGGTAAATAGATGTCTGCTATGACTCTCTCTAGGTGCCCCTTTCTCTCCAGATTCCAGGGTGTTGGTTTTCCCTGAAATCTCAGTTCTCTGATGTGTCCAGGAAAAGTCACAAATTTTCAGTTTATCCAATTCTTTCTTATGATAAGGATAGGAATTATGACCTCTAAACTCTTTATTTGATAGAGTTAAAACAAGAGAAGTGCTCGCTCTTTTAAGCCTCTGAATTTTTGGATAATTTTATATGCAGCAATTTTATAGAAATAACTAGTTGACACATTTAATCACATACTGTATGTGTGTGCGTGCACTTATGCACACACACACGATTTTGATTGAGATTACATTGAGTTCAAAGATCTTTTGAAGGGAGTTGACATCTTTACAATATTATTTGTTCTGATTAAATGTATGGACATAGTACATCTTCAATTTATTTCTTAAATTATGCACTGTAGTTTGCTGGGTAGAATTCTGAAACATTTTTTAATCATAATTTGACTTCTTTTGATATCATAAATAGCATATTAAAATATTTTCTATTTGTTCATGGTATATATAATAAAAATATATATTTATTTATATATAAAAATGTATAATATAAATAAAATTTAAAATGTATACATGAAAATTGCTTTTTACATTTTTTTAATTTTGGTGTAATTCTTTTTTTTTTCTTTTTTTAAAATTATACTTTAAGTTCTGGGATACATGTGCAGAATGTGGATGTTTGTTACATAAGTATACATGTGCCATGGTGGTTTGCTGCACCCATCAACTCATCATCTACATAGGTATTTCTCCTAATGCTATCGTTCCCTTTGCCCCTCACCCCCTGACAGGCCCTGGTGTGTGATGTTCCCCTCCCTGTGCCCATTGTTCAGCTCCCATTTATGAGTGAGAACATGGGATGTTTTGTTTTCTGTTCCTGTGTTAGTTTGCTGAGAATGATGGTTTCCAGCTTCATCCATGTCCCTGCAAAGGGCACGAACTCATTCTTTTTTATGACTGCATAGTATTCCATGGTGTATATGTGCTACATTTTCTTTATCCAGTCTATCATTGATGTGCATTTGGGTTGGTTTCATGTCTTTGCTATTGTGAATCGTGCTGCAATAAACATACCTGTGCATATATCTTTATAGTAGAATGATTTATAATCCTTTGGGTATACACCCCATAATGGGATTGCTGGGTCAAATGGTATTTCTAGTTCTAGATCCTTGAGGAATTGCCACACTGTCTTTCACAATGGTTGAACTAATTTACACTCCCACCAACAGTGTAAAAGTGTTCCTATTTCTCCACATCCTCTCCAGCATCTGTTGTTTTCTGATCTCCATTCTCACTGGTGTGAGATGGTATCTTATTGTGGTTTTGATTCGCATTTCGCTAATGACCAGTGATGATGAGCTTTTTTTCATGTTTGTTGGCCATGTAAATGTCTTATTTTAAAATGTGTCTGTTAATATCCTTTGCCCACTTTTTGATGGGTTTTTTTTTTCTTGTAAATTTGTTTAAGTTCCTTGTAGATTTTGGATATTAGCCCTTTTTCAGAAGGATAGATTGCAAAAATCTTCTCCCATTCTGTAGGTTGCCTGTTCACTCCGATGATAGTTTCTTTTGCTGTGCAGAAGCTCTTTAGCTTAATCAGATCCCATTTGTCAATTTTGGCTTTTGTTGCAATTGCTTTTGGTGTTTTAGTCATGAAGTCTTTGCCCATGCCTATGTCCTGAATGGTATTGCTTAGGTTTTCTTCTGGGATTTTTATGGTTTTAGGTCTTACATTTAAATCTTTAATCCATCTTGAGTTAATTTTTATATACGGTGTAAGGAAGGAATCCAGTTTCAATTTTCTTCATATGGCTAGCCAGTTTTCCCAACAACATTTATTAAATAGGGAATCCTTTCCCCATTGCTTGTTTTTGTCAGGTTTGTCAAAGATCAGATGGTTGTATACGTGTGGTGTCATATCTGAGGCCTCCGTTCTGTTCCATTGGTCTATATATCTGTTTTGGTACCAGTACCATGCTGTTTTGGTTACTGTCACCTGGTAGTATAGTTTGAAGTCAGGTAGCGTGATGCCTCCAGGTTTGTTCTTTTTGCTTAGGATTGTCTTGGCTATACGAGCTCATTTTTGGTTCCGTATGAAATTTAAAGTAGTTTTTTAAAATTCTGTTACGTAAGTCAATGGTAGCTTGACAGGGATAGCATTGAATCTATAAATTACTTTGGGCAGTGTGGCCATTTTCATGATATTGATTCTTCCTATCCATGAGCATGGAATGTTTTTCCATTTGTTCATGTCTTCTCTTATTTCCATGAGCAGTGGTTTGTAGTTCTCCTTGAAGAGGCCCTTCACATCCCTCTTAAGTTGTATTCCTAGGTATTTTATTCTCTTTGTAGCAATTGTGAATGGGAGTTCACTAATGATTTGGCTCTCTATTATTGGTGTATAGCAATGCTTGTGATTTTTGCACATTGATTTTGTATCCTGAGACTGCTGAAATTGCTTATCAGCTTAAGGAGTTTTGGGGCTGAGACGAAGGGGTTTTCTAAATATACAATCATGTCATTCTGCAAAAAGAGATTATTTGACTTCCTCTCTTCCTATTTTAATACTCTTTATTTCTTTCTCTTGCCTGATTGCCCTGGCCAGAACTTCCAATACTATGTTGAATAGGAGTGGTGAGAGAGGGTATCTTTGTCTTGTGCTGGTTTTCAAAGGGAATGTTTTCAGCTTTTGCCCATTCAGTATGATATTGGCTGTGAGTTTGTCATAAATAGCTCTTATTATTTTGAGATACGTTCCATCAATACCTAGTTCAGTGAGGGTTTTTAGCATGAAGGGGTGTTGAATTTTATCAAAGGCCTTTTCTGCATCTATTGAGATATCCAGAAAATTTAGAAGAAATGGATAAATTCCTGGACACATACACCCTCCCAATACTCCCAAGATAACCATGTGGTTTTTGTCATTGGTATGTGATGGATTACATTTATTGATTTGCTTACGTTGAACCAGTCTTGCATCCCAGAGATGAAACTGACTTGATCGTGATGCATAAGCTTTTTAATGTGCTGCTGGATTTGGTTTGCCAGTATTTTATTGAGGATTTTTGCATTGATGTTCATCAGGGATATTGGCCTGAAATTTTCTTTTTTTATTGTGTCTGTGTCAGGTTTTGGTATCAGGATGATGCCTGCCTCATAAACTGAGTTAGGGAGTCTTCCCTCTTTTTCTATTGTTTGGAATAGTTTCAGAAGGAATGGTACCAGCTCCTCTCTGTACCTCTGGTAGAATTCGGCTGTGAATCCATCTGGTCCTTGACTTTTATTGGTCGGTAGGCTATTAATTACTGCCTCAATTTCAGAACTTGCTATTGGTCTATTCAGGGATATGACTGCCTCTTGGGGTAGTCTTGGGAGGGTGTATATGTCCAGGAATTTATCCATTTCCTCTAGATTTTCTAGTTTATTTGCATTGAGTTTTTATCACTTGGCTCCCTGCCTTCAGCCCCCTTTCCAGGGGAGTGAATGGTTCTGTCTCAATGGCATTCCAGGTGCCACTGGGGTATGAAAAAAACTCCTGAAGTTAGCTCGGTGTCTGCTCAAACAGCCATACAGTTTTGTGCTTGAAACCCAGGGCCCTGTTGGTGTAGGCACCCACGGGAATCTCCTTGTCTGTGGGTTGTGAAGACTGTGGGAAAAGCATAGTATCTGGGCCAGATAGCACCATCCCTCCAGGCACAGTCCCTCACGGCTTGCCTTGGCTAGGGGAGGGAGTTCCCCTACCCCTTGTGCTTCCCGGGTGAGGTGATGCACCATCCTGCTTCTGCTTACCCTCTGCCACACCCACTGTCTTACCAGTCCCAATGAAGTGAACTGGGTACTTCAGTTGGAAATGCAGAAATAACCCCTCTTCTGCATTGGTCTCTCTGGGAGCTGCAGGCCAGAGCTGTTCCTATTTGGCCTTTTTGCCCAGGAGTTTTTCATAAGTTTTTAATTGAAATAAAACATATGTGACGAACAATACAAAAATCATTAGTGTACACTTTGATGGATTTTACAGCTCACTGGTATAATCATCATGCCAGCAGCAAAGCTACATGCCACCATGTAGTTCTTATACCCAAGCACGAGTACCCACTTTCCTGACTTCTAGCAGATAGGTTATTCCTGGCTGTTTCATACTTTATATTAATTAAGCCATACTGCATATATTCTTTTGTTTCTGGCTTCTCTCAGCATTATGTTTTTGATATTCTACCATGTTGTTGAGTATAGGTTCATGGAGTTTCATTGCTCATGGATTCCTGTTGCAGATAGTTCATGGAGTCTCAGAGCTATATAATACTCAACTTTGTAAATGTTCCACAATCTATATATCCTTCTTACTATCAATAGGCACTTGGGTCATTTCCAATTTTTAACTATTATTTACATATATTTTTGTAATATATATACATATCTGCAGCAGTATTATGGAAACAACTTATATATGTAATATATTAATGTAATACCTATATACATATATTTTTGAGTGAATATGCAGCAATATTATGGAAATAACTAGATGTATGTTATATATAACTAGTTGACACATTATATATATATATATATGAAATTCAATTCATCATTTTCAAAAATAAATAGCCTTTTGGGTCTTGTTTAAGAAGTCTTTACTTACTACAATGCCATGAAGCTATTTTCTCATTTTCTTTCTAAAAGCTTTATATTTTACTTTTCACATTTAGACCTTCAATCTTTATGGAATTGTTGTTATGTATGGTATGAGATAGGAATCAACACATATATGTATATATTCATATATATTTTTCTATATCAATATACAAAAACACAAAACCATATACTAAAATCACCATTCTTACTCCACTGTACTAGTGTTACCTCTGACACAAATCAGATGACCATACATGTGTTGAGCAGTTTCTGGTTTCTTTATTCTTTTCCATTTGTTTGTTTTGTTGATTTATTGATTTACCTGGTGTCTATATCACAATATCTTAATACGTATACTATATATTTGGCCTTAATATCTGATAGTACAAGTCATCTAGTTTGTATTTAATAACAATAACAACCACTTTGGCCATTCTAGTTCTTTTGCAGTTCCAAAGGAACTTTGATTCTAAATTTTTATAATCAAAACTCTGATAAAAATGTTGCATTAAATTACACTGTATTTTAAATCAATTTGGAGAACACTGAAATTTTAAAATGTTTAGTCTTTTATTCCATGCATATAATCTCTTTGGGTCTTTCAAAATTTCTTCTCAATAGCATGTTACTGTTTTCAGTGTAGAGGTCTTTCATGCCTATTATTAGATATATTTGGAGCTATTTGATGTTTTTGATAGTATTTTAAGTGTTATTTTATCAAAATTGAATTACCTATGTATTTATTGCTGATGTCCAGAAGTAAATATGATTTTTACATTAACCTTCTATTCAAAGGCCTTGTTACATTAATGTATTAATTCTACCCATGTGTCTACAGAGTATTTTGTTTTTTTAATGTACAAAACCATGTTAGCTGCAAATAATAAAACTTTTCTTCCTTCCTATTCAATTTCTAAACAGTTTATTTTTCTTATCTAGGTCTTACCTAGGACATCTAGTCTATAGCTGCACCTTTATTTTATTCAGATTTTAATTTTAAAGGAACAAATGACAATTTTCATTGTGTGCTGTTTATTGTAGGTTTTGTGTAGACACTATTATCAGATCTTAAAAGTTGTTGCCTATACCTGTTGTGCTAATAGTTTCTTTTTAATCATTAATGAATATATAATTTCATTTAAATATTTTCCCCCATTAATTAAGAAATTTTTTTTTCTTTTTTCTGTTAGTGTTGTAAGTGTCTTAGTTGAATTTTGAAGGATAAGCCAACTTTAAATTTCTGGAATAAATCAATGTCATCATGATATATTGTCCTAGTCATATGCCACTGATTTTCTAAAACAAAACAAAAGACTACAGTTAATCCATCCCCCCTGAATAAGATAAAAATATTATTTCAGCTCTCTAGCCTTCTATGTACACTACCATCTATAGAATAACTAAATTTGTTTTGTTTACTATATGTTAGATGTTCTTCCAGGTATTAAATCTATATTAACCTCTTTAATACTCATGATTAAAATGAGAAATGATATCTCATTTCTATTTCACAAATGAGAAAATTGAAGCAGGAAGAGGTTAAGTACCATGCCGAAGGTCACCCCAAACTAAATTTTGTTCCTGGCTGGCTGATTCCAGAGCTGGTGTGTTTGTGATTCCACCATGCTGCTGGGCTGTGTCTTTCAGCTGAGATTTTTAACCTCAAATATTTTAACAAGTTATTTAGAGATACCAATAGGATTCTCTGGTTTTCTTACTATTGTTTCTTGTACACTGGATTCGTTTGTTTCTCTACTGGATCATATCTGCTATTGCATATTTTAGAGAAAGTCTAGGTATGATAAGACTCCTGAATAAATGCATGTCTGAAAGTATATTTCTTTATTTTCACATGTAAATGATAGCACTGGGAAATATGGCGGTACATTTATTTCCCCTCCACTTACTCTTGCATGTATCTGTTCCAAATCTCCAAACACTAGGATCTTTGACCATTCTTTTTTTGTCATTCCGAAATTTAACCACAATATGTGAATAGCTATATCTTTTACAATTCATTCTGCTCAACAGACCTTCTTATCCTGATGATGTATGACCTCTTTAATCCTGAGAAATTTTCTCTCATTGTTTTGAGAATTTCAGGCTATATGTTTAAGATTCTTGCAGCTTCATTCAGGTTTACTTAATAATTTTTTCACATACGAAGACATTTATAAGAGAAAAAAACCCTTCATAATTATATCATCCAGATATATCAACTGTTATCATTTCTCTGTAATCGTCTCTTATAAGCCATGTCTGTGGTTTTTAAATAATTTAAATCACTTGATGTTTAGTGCTATATTTTGCTTTTATCTCATTACGTGTTACGTATTTTTTTTACATATCGCAGAGCATTAGTAACCATTTAAAGGCTTATTTTACTCCATTGAGTTAAAGGCTTAATTTATTCCATTGAGTTGTCAAAACTTTTTTTACCTAGAAAAAAAAGATTCTGGAGAGACAATCACATTCTTACATGTAGCTTGACAAACCACCCACACCTTTCCCTGCTAAGCCCGATGAGTTTACAGCCAACTAAGAAACCATAGGTATTAGACAGATAGAAATTTAAAAATACTAACTTTACAACTTATAAAATTAAGTGAAGAAAAAACACTTTGTCTGGTAGCCAGGGCGCACATGGGATCCCGCACTTAGAAGAGACCAGCCCTTGGTTTAATGCTACTCCCTCAACACTTTCAAATTAGTCACCATTTTTGAAAAGGGAGCTCTGCATTTAACCGTGCACGGGGCTCTGCAGATTATGTAGCCAGTTCTGCTAGTAGCCTTAGTCAGTATTTCTAGTGTTTCCTTTTAAGTCTGGACCTTGTAATGACCCCCCATGAAAAGGAATTTGCAGAGCTGACCTTTGCTTTTCAGCTGAAATGGGATCACTCCCGCCCTTACATCAAGCCCCAATTTCAAGAACAGAGAGAGAAAAAAGGCCTCATCACTAACCTCTAGATGTGTTTATCCCTTGGAGAGGGAGCTGTTGAAGAGGATCACTGTTCTTTCCCAAACATTTGAAAGGGCAGAGGCACTGCTTTATGAGCTAAGTTATGACTTCCTAAAGAGGGAGGAACATGTTTTTCCTATGACTTCAAAAATGTGAAGGGCTGTCAGTGGAAAAGATCTCTGATTGATTCAGAACTATAACAGGTATAAAACTCAGTCAGAAGAGTGAAAGTAAGAGGCAGGCTTATTTGGAGAGAATGTGAGATTAATCTATTTTAAAACGAGTATTACTGAAAAACTAGAATCTGATAACTTGAGATATAAAAATTTGTTATCATTGGAAATATTCAGCCACGAAATAACTGAATGCATATCTACTGGGAAGAGGTCTTTAAATACAGAGTTGAAACTACTGCTTCAGGAGGAATAAATAAAACAACTTCCTCTGTAATTTATTTCGTTTTCCTTCTTCAAGGGATGCGTTATTAATCTATTGCTGTTCTTTTCTGTTCTTTTAATTTTTCAATACTCTTTCAATATTGAATACATCTCTAAGACTGTGCTTATATCCATACTCAACTGTCTTTCAAAAGTATATATGTATATATCACTTTTATTAAATATATAGTAAGAAGTTATTGTATGTTTCCTATTGCAAGCCACTGGACTGAAATTTAAATTATGTATATAACATCTTACTTGATTTTATCAGATACTATCATTATCCCATTTTATAGAGCAAGAACCCAAGGCTTAGATAGGTTTACTGTCATGTTCATAGATACGCAGCTAGAAAGGCCCATAATTTTATTCAAACTCCCACCCATCTGATTATAAAACTAGGATTCCTAAATACCACAATACAGTGTTTAACACATCCTAATATTTTTGCCCTATATTTATACACACTCAAGGTATCAAACCTTTTGCCTTTTTCCCAGCAATCCGGCATACCTGTCATTAGAAAGTTCTGTAGTTAATATTACTATGGCAAAAAAAAAAAAAAGAAATGCCACATCTGACTGGTAATCATCATGGAAATTCCATGAGATGGGTAGAGTTTATTATTCCCATCATGGATGAAGCAACAGAAATTTAGAAAGATTAAATAATTTGCCCAAGAACCCAGGACTACTTTTTTATCAATTTTCAAGAATACAGTATATTACTATTAACTATAGTCACTATGTTGTACAATAGATCTCTTGAAGTTATTCCTAAGATTACTCCTAATTGCTAAGAGAGTAGTTTTTAGGTTTTCTCACCAAGAAAAATGACAAGTTTGTGAAGTAAGGTCTATGTTAATTAACTTGATTGAGCCATTTTACAGTGTACGCATATATCAAAACATCATATTGCACAGGTAAATATATATAATTTTATTTCCCAATTTAAAAATAAGTAACTAAATGAAACAAATAATTTTAAATAAACAAAAATAAAATTAATAAATATAGACTTTTAAATCATTTTGTATTATTGAAATTCATAGAAATTAAATATACATAAAAAGCAACCACACTGTATTTTTTTGGAAAAAAAAATTTGTTTTTCATACAATTGTATGTTTGAGTAAGAAAAAAATCATTCAACTCCTATCTTTGATTTATTATTTTTATTTGCATGGTTTACACTCTGTTCAAGCAAGGATTCCCTATCTGGACACCACAAGCTACCTATAAACTGATATTCGCTTTGTGAATGAATTACACAAGAGAAAAATAAAGCTCAAAATCTGCTTGTCAAATCAAAACTCAAAAAGATAGTAAATGCTACTATTTAAATTTCTAGATATCAAACAACACATAAGTTATGATTACCTGTATAACTTTTTAACATAATAAATGAAATTTAAACATTAAATTTAAAAAAGAACCCATGAATAGTGACTTGATAGAGAGGCAGGCACAGGAACAGACACCTTGAATTACACTAAGGAAAATACTAAGGCTTCAAATTAGGATGAAAGAACTGCAGAATTTGGCAGCAGCCATGATCCTTGAATCTTTCTTGCATCCTGGCTTCCTTTGTCACTTTTGTGATCTCAGTGACTTGTCATTTTTGCTCCTTGGTTTTCCATCTCAGACACTGAGCTGACTCATAATCCCCCAGGGCAGCAGTATGGAACCAGAACAACCCTGTCCCAGACAGTTCAGTTGTGTTTTATCAATGTCTCACTCATACGACCCACTTTCTTCCTCATTGTCATGGCCACAGTCCTATGTACCTTTGCTGAGATGGTGTTCAAAGAAATTTCACAGCTTCACTTTGTTCTCAGGTACATATGAATGTTCAGGGGCCGTCCCTTGCCTTCATTCTGCATTTCAGTATTAAGAGTATCTTTCTTACTGAAATAATAACAGAAGTTTTTCTTTTTGCTTTTCTAACTTCACTGAACTATACCATATTGAGTCTTTGGATTAAAAAATATTGCCTCTGCCTTCTTTCCATGATATTGCATAGTATAAAAGAGATTCCTTAATTTATGCTTGAGTTTATCACTAAACAGATGATTATTTTAAATTAACACTTTTTATTTCTTTACTTGTGCTTCAGGAAAATGCCACAGAGAATTATTTAAGACTGTTGGGCTTGGCGTACCATTCGTGTTCTTCGGGTTAATGACCAGTTTCCTCAAACTACAAAATGCTAACATTTCACTGTTTCATCATAGAATGCACAGGCTTTATATTGATGCAGAGAAGGGCTTTCACAGCCCCAGAATGAAGCTAATTGTACTATTTATTATACTATTTATACTTGCTGCACCTCCTTCCATTCAAGGAGAGAGAACCTTTTAAGAGCCCTGTCAAAACTGCAGGTGTGCCAGAGGCTCCTGCTAACAGCAGGGGCAGGCTTTATAGCATTTCCTCAAGACTGCTTCGGATCACTTTTCAGTGTGTAAAACCGGATTTTCATTAATGGCACTAATGACACGCTAATGGGGACAGGGCAGCACACCCAATGCCAGAGGCAGAGCAAGCCAGGCTGAAAAGTGGCCAGCCCAAGCTGCTGTAAGATGAAATGCTGCAGGGTGTTGATACATTGCATTTCTTCTCAAATACCAGGCAGGCCCAGGGCCTACTTGTTAAATGGGTTGCCTTTGAGGCTGAGCAGAAGTGGATCTAGTTACAGTTTTTCACGTAAGGACAAAACAAGAAGACAGAAAAAGCTCAGGCTTCAGACATTTGCAAGCTGCAGCTGTTTTTCATGGCAGGAGATTCTGAAGACTTATGAGCTGACACATTACCCTCGACATTACCATGCATTGACCTCTCTGCTCCTTCTTCTCCCTGGAGTGGTGTTCAAGGCTACTGTTTGACACAAGGGCCACCAAAGACCATATCAAAGCAGTGGCCCCATCACAACTCATCACTTTTAAAACACATACAATCTGCTCTAGGTGGAAATGTGGAGGAGCAAATCCAGTGTTCTGGCCTTTCCTCCAGGGAGGGAGCTCAGGTGGACGGTAGTCCCTGATTTCTAAAGCAGCTCTTCATGGTAGGTCAGTGTAATTTTTAAACAAATGGTGTAAGGGCAAGGGAGGCTACAGAAGGTTGATGGAGATGGATTATTTTGACTTCCTTCTCCTTGTGTGATCCATCAGCACGGAAAAGGCTTACTGTGCATTATTCTTACCTTTCTTTGATCTTTTTTAGGGAATGCTGGGAGAAATGTTGGCCTTTCCGGTTTGCTTGAGTATTTGTAATATTAAAAGCAATGAACAGGCTGCTTTTCAGAGAGGATGGTCAGTCACAGAACCAGGAATGCATCTTAACAATCAGGTCTATAGGCATAGCAAAAGCAAGTTGCCTACAACACCTCTTCCTCTCTCTTTACTGAAGCACAAGATATTGGCATCCTAGGAAAAACTCATTGTCATTCCTGTTCTAATTTTACAGACAAAGGTGAAAGATGCAGAGGGAAGTTGAATAACTTGTCCAGAATTACATAGAAGTTTGCGAATGAGCCAGAACTAGGAACCTGGTCTTTTAACTTTCCATCCACTACTGTTCTCTGCTTTGTATTGCTTCTCAAGAAAATCTCCTTTAAATTGTGGCTGTGCAAGTTGTGCCGCCACAAGAGCCTCTTTGGTAGGGCAGCAGTTGCAGAGTCAGCCTCCTGGTCAGTAGCTGATAGTTCTGCTTCTGTCGTATTTGACATAGTTGCATTCCCTTGGATGTCATAGCTGTCTCCTATGCAGGGCCCAAGCAAAAGGGCAGGACCATTGTTAATTCTCTTGGTCATTTTTCACTGAGACCCATGGAGCTTCCAACAGGAACTTTCCTTCTAATGTTCCGTTCTGGAAAATTGGGATTTTCTTCCATTTTATTTCTCCAGCTGGATAATCCCTCCAAGTTTTACACTGTGAATTTTTCATCAAAGTAATTTTCTCACGTCCATATTTGTAGCATTAAATTACCAAGAATTCTTTGCAATTCATGTGTACATAGTAGCCATTTTTATGTCAGTACAAAGGATTACTATGCTGAAATACACATAATGAAGCAATGGGAGTTAGCCATTTCAGCATTCTTTTTTTTTTCCCTCTTTATCTAGATTTTGGTTTGGCTGGCACAGAAGTATGACCACAAGATGGACCTAAAATATGCACATTTGTAAGATTTTCCCCCATGGTAAGTAAATAGTTGGCTCTCTGTGCCAGTGCACTGACATAAAGCTATTTTGAATATTCTTGTTAAGGCTGGTGGAATTAGGTTGTGATAGTAAAGAATTTAATGTATCTTGAAGGGCCAGGATAAAATAATTGAAGAAACAAAAGCATGAGTTAGTAATCACTGGAGAAAGAAGAATGGACTTAAAGGCTACTTTGCTTGCTTCTTTGGCTTGAGATGATAAAATGAAATAATAAGAAAGGAAATACTCTGTGTAATATGGCAAGTTTTATATATATATGTATATGTGTGTATATATATACACATGTGTATATATACATGTTATATGTGTGTGTGTATGTATATATACACACATACACACACATATATGAAACTTGTCTTATTCCACAGGAGATACATATGTATATATACACACACACACAAATATATTTAAATTATATTTTAAATAAATGTAAACATTGTAAGTTGTTTTATTCTTGAGTCAAATGATTAGCCTTCCCATAATTGACATCCTGAATTCAAAATCAGCAAGAGAATACAAATTCTCATAGTACAGTCTATTGGTTAGTTATTGCCACAATAATGTTGCATACAACCACAAAATCTCAATAGCATGCATTTATTTCTCATGCATCTGTGGGATTCCATTGATCTGGGCCTGACTTGCTCATACATTCACAGTTCAGCTGGCTTACTTATACACGTCTAGGTTGGCTCTGTTCCACGTTATTGCTCATCCTCTTCCTGGGACCAGTAGGTTAAGCTGAGTATGTCTTTTCATTACAATGACAGAGGTACAAGAACTAGTGGAAACACACAAATGCTTTTTTAAGCTTCTGCTTATATCAAGTCAGCATTTATCACAAAGCAAATCACATGGCCAAGACCAGTTTCAAGGGATGGGGCAGGTCACTCTGTCCACGTGGGAGGGACCTGAAAATTTACTTAGCAAAGGGCATAAATACAGGAAGAGATACAGATCTGGATCAACTACTGAAATTTACCATATAGACACACCATTGAAATCATTAGTAGAAGCAATGGATTAACTGACTATAAAGCAATCTGACTGGATTTTAATAATACAGGACCTAGTGGAAAACACTGGAAGAAGAATAAGCAGTATAACAATATCATCTATAAAAATTTAAAATGTACAAACTCAGTAACACATTCAAATAAAAGTACCCCAACTGAGCCTACTAAAATGGTTGACTGTGGGGAAAAGAGAAACATATCTGTAGTGTAGTATATGGATATACTTCTGGATATATACAGAAATATATTCTTGTTAAATGTTAAATGCAGTTCCTGCCATAGCTTCCTTTTCCATGGATAGGAAGGGAGTTATGGAAGGAGCTGCATTTAACATTTAACAAGGAACTGCATTTTTAAAAAAAGTCATTGGTATATACTCTGACCACTAGAGACATATTTGCAATCATGATCAACAGACCATTCATCAATTCTGATTTTAGGCCAATAAATGAGGTAGTCTTCCTTAGGGCTAAGTGATGGTCTTCAGGTTACAAAATCTCCCCTTCTCATAGTTATTTTCTCAAAAGGCTCAACAAAGCCACTTGGCCCTAACAAATACACATACTTGTGCCCTATTATCAGAAATTCTAAATGAGTAGTACTGAGTATGATGGTTAATTCTATGTGGCAACTTGACTGGCCAAGGGGTGTCTGGATGAAACATTATTTCTAAGTGTGTCTGTGAGGGTATTTCTAGACGAGATTAGCATTTGAAGCAGCGGACTCAGTAAAGTGGATTGTCCTCTCCAGTGTGTTTGGGAATCATCCAGTCTTTTGAGGGCCTGAAACCAACCAAAGGTGGAGAAAGGAGGAATTCACCCAGTTTGTCTTTCCTCACTGCTGAGCTGTGATGTCTCATTTCATCTCATCTTCTCTGGCTTTCCAGGTGGGATTCACACCATCTGCTCCCCGGTTCTCTGATCCAATCTGTATTCATCACCAGATTTCCTGGGTTTCTAACTTACAGACAACAAATTGTGAGACTTCTCAGCCTCCATAATCACATGAACCACCTTCTCTTAATAAATATATGTATTTATGTGCTGGGCTCAGTGGCTGACACCTTTAACACCAGCAATTCAGGAGGCCGAGGTGGGCGGATCACCTGAGGTCGGGATTTAGAGACCAGCTTGACCAACATGGAGAAACCCCATCTCTACTAAAAATACAAAATTAGCCAGGACTGGTGGCTTATGCCTGTAATCCCAGCTATTTGGGGGGCTGAGGCAGGAGAATTGCTTGAACCCGGGAGGTGGAGATTGCAATGAGCCAAGATCGCGCCATTGCACTCCAGCCTGGGCAACAAGAGCAAAACTCTGTCTCAAAAAAAAAAAAAAAAAAATATATATATATATATATGTATACACACACACACATATATACACACACACATATACACACACACAAAAAAAACACCTCTATTTTTATAAAACTTTCTCCTTAAGAATTTTGATATATTTCAAAAGTCAAGAACTCTTGACCCAAACATGCTGTCGTCACAAAGACACAAGTTAATTTGTAAGAGAAAAGGTACATTTTGTCAGTCCCATTTTCTATTTCCACGCTTTTTCACACCCTTCCAATTGGCTAGGTGCTTCCATCCCTGAGAGTTATTATCTCCTTTTGCTAGTTCTTCCCATTTCCCTCTTGACCTAAGGTTTAGTTAACTTGTTTCTGCTTACTTGCTTTTCTAGAGGATTAGGCAAAGTTATTTATAACAAGAAACAGAGTGGAAATATTGTTCTCTTGTCATAGAGAACAAAATAAAAGACTCATAGCCTTTCTAGTTGCATATAACATTGATCACTTTATACCTTTCAAAGCACTTCCATGTTCTGCACTTTATCCCTTGTATTCACAAACAGATATGATAGCATAGTGGCCTGGTAAGATAGTTCAGCTCTTCATCTAGAGAGCTAGGTTGCAGCCCTGGCTTTGCCAATGACCAGCTAGGTGACTTGGAACAAGTACAGTGGTTCATGACTTGCCCTGCCCATGAATAGCCACTAATAGATACACAGCCAGTCCTGCTCTAAGTCTTGTTTTGGAAACATAAATTTGTGTCAGTGATATTGATAGACTATGGAAGAATCTGAGCATAACATGAATTGTGTGTTTGCATATTATGGTAGTTCATTTTCACACTGCTGATAAAGACATACTCGAGACTGGACAATTTACAAAGTAAAAAGGTTTAATTGGACTCACAGTTCCACGTGGCTGGGGAGGTCTCACAATCACGGTGGAAGGCAAGGAGGAACAAGTCACGTCTTACATGGATGGCAGCAGGCAAAAAAAGAGCTTGTGAAGAGAACTCCCATTTTCAAAACCATCAAATCTCATGAGATGCATTCACCACCACAAGAACAGCACAGAAAAAGACCAGCCCCAATGATTCAATCATCTCCCACTGGGTCCCTCCCACAACACATGGGAAGCAGGGGAGCTACAAGATGAGATTTGGGTGGGGACACAGAGCCAAGTCATATCATTCTGCCTCTGGCTCCTCCCAAATCTCATGTTTTCACATTTCAAAACCAATCATGCTTTCCCAATAGTCCCCCAAAGTCTTAACTCATTACAGCATTAACTCAAAAGTCCACAGTCCAAAGTCTCATCTGAGATAAGGTAATTCCCTTCCACCTATGAGCCTGTAAAATCGAAAGCAAGTTAGTTACTTCCTAGATACAATGGGGGTACAGGCATTGGGTAAATACAGCCATTCCAAATGGGAGAAATTGGCCAAAACAGAGGGCCACAGGCCCCATGCAAGTCCAAAATCCAGCAGTCAAATCTTGGAGCTCCAAATGATCTCCTTTGATTCCATGTCTCACATCTAGGTCACGCTAATGCAAGAGATGGGTTCCCATGGTCTTGTGCAGTTCTGCCCCTGTGGCATTGCAGGGTACAGCCTCCCTCCCAGCTGCTTTCACAGGCTGGCATTGAGTGTTGATGGCTGTTCCAGGTGCACGGTGCAAGCTGCCGATGGATCTACCATTCTGGGGTCTGGGTTTGGAGGACGGTAGCCCTCTTCTCACAGCTCCACTAGGTGGTGCCCATTAGGGACTCTGTGTGGTGGCTCTGATCCCACATTTCCCTTCCTCATTGCCTTACCAGAAGTTCCCCATGAGGGCTCTGCCCCTGCAGCAAACTTCTGCCTGGGCATCCAGGCGTTTCCATGCATCATCCAAAATCTAGGCAGAGGTAACCAAACCTCAGTTCTTGACTTTTGTGCACCCGAAGGCTCAACACCATGTGGAACCTACCAAGACTTGGGGCTTGCACCCTCTGAAGCAATAGCCCAAGCTGTACTTTGGCCCCTTTTATTCATGACTAGAGTGGCTAGGATTCAGGGCACCAAGTCTCTAGTCTGCACACAGTGGAGGGACCATGGGCCTGACCCAATATTTAAGACGTTTATTCCTCCTAAACCTCCTGGCCTGTGAAGGGAGGGGTTGTCACAAAGGTCTCTGACACACGCTGGAGACATTTTCCCTATTGTCTTGGTGATTAACATTCAGCTCCTCATTACTTTTGCAAATTTCTGCAGCTGGCTTGAATTTCTCCTCAGAAAATGGAATTTTCTCTTCTATCTCATTGTCAGGCTGCAAATTTTCCAAACTTTTATGCTCTGTTTTCCTTTAAAACTGAATGACTTTAACAGCACCCAAGTCACCTCTTGAAAGCTTTGCTGCTTTGAAATTTCTTCCACCAGGTACTGTAAATCATCTCTCTCAAGTTCGAAGTTCCACAAATCTCTAGGGCAGAGGCAAAATGCAACCAGTATCTGCTAAAACATAACAAGTTCCTCATTTCCCAACAAGTTCCTCATTTCCATCTGAGGCCACCTCAGCCTGGACTTTATTGTCCATATTACTATTAGCATTTTGGGCAAAGCCATTCAAGAAGTTTCTAGGCAGTTCCAAACTTCTCACATTTTTCTGTCTTCTTGTGAGCCCCCCAAACTGTTCTAATCCCTGCCTGTTACCAAGTTCCAGAGTCGTTTCCACATTTTCAGGTATCTACAGTAGTGCCCCACTCTACTGGTAACAATTTACTATATTAGTCCATTTTCATGCTGCTGATAAAGGCATACCCAAGGCTGAGCAGTTTACAAAAGAAAGAGGTTTAATTGGACTCACAGTTCCATGTGGCTGAGGAGGCCTCACAATCATGGCAGAAGGTAAGGAGGAACAAGTCATGTCTTACACGGATGGCAGCAGGCAAAAAAAGAGCTTGTGTGGGGAAACTCCCATTTTCAAAACCATGAGATCTCATGAGACCCATTTACCACTGTAAGAACAGCACAGAAAAATACCCACCCCTATGATTCAATCATCTCCCACTCAGCCACTCCCACAACACATGGGAATCATGGGAGCTACACGATGAGATTTGGGTGGGGACACAAAGGCAAAGATTTCACATATGCAAGATTTCATCCTTGAGAACACTATATGCATACAGAAAACTGCACTCAGTCGAAATGAACTATGTAACTGTCCACAAAATGCACACAAGCAGACACCTCAAATATCTACTGGCTACTTCAGCTCACTAGGAGCCACAACTATACATATCCAGTGTTACAACTTTCTGATTTCAAGTAAGCCTCTCTCCACCCTTCACAGTCACTCACAAGAGCAACCTTTCTAACATCCCCATCCACAGGCAAGCTTCAGGTCTTTTTTAAAGCAGGACACCATAATTATTGTAATATTTAAGTGACATAAGTCTGTATTTCTAGACCTTTGGGACCCATTTGACATCTCACCCTGCAAAGGCTTCCAAAATAGCCTAATTCTGAGAGTGCTTTTCTGAGCTTCAGCGGAAGCATGGGAGAACACTGCCCACCTTCCCGCATTTTTGTCTCCTGCATCTTTCAGTTATTCACTCTTTAGGAATGTGCCAAGGTGAAATCCATGTTGAATTCAATATAAGCCTTCAGTCTCACCCATTTTTGAAACAGAAGCAGTCTCTGAAGAATGGTCTAGCACAATTTTCAAATTGTTTAGATGTGATTCTTTGTAAAATGAAGGAAGAAGGAAACATGAACTCTAAAATTTTCCAATTTGGGGTCACAACTGGTCCCACTCTAGTCACTTGGGATTTAGTATTCATATTCAAAATGCTGAGACTTAAAGTTTTTTTTTTTTTTTGAACATTTCATTAGCACTGGAGTCACACCCCAGTGTACTCCATAAGGTAACAAAAGAAAATAAAAGCAAAAATCTTTATCCCGTGTTATTGTTTAGTGAGTCAGTCACACACAACAAAGGCAGTAAATCTCCACAGCTAAAAGGAGCTTAATGGTTGAAACATCCTCAGGGGATATGAGAAGCAGCAAAATAATA
Source organism: Homo sapiens (assembly GCF_000001405.40). Classification (NCBI taxonomy): domain Eukaryota; kingdom Metazoa; phylum Chordata; class Mammalia; order Primates; family Hominidae; genus Homo; species Homo sapiens. The sequence continues at coordinate 11,438,264 of NC_000020.11, forward strand.
ATTGCAAAGAATAACACATGATGCCTGCGATTACTAATGTTTAGTTTCTGAAGATCGCTATAGTATAATATTTGAAAGTGAATTACTGTATTAATCCTCACTAGAAGCTCCAAAGAGGAGTATTTTCAGTTTTAATACAGACTTACACCATGACTAAAGGTTCTTTTAATCTTTGTTCCCTATCTCTGTCTTTCCGTAAAATGGTCCATCTAAATTTTCTTACCTTCCTAAAGTGGAATGAGGATTATCTATTAAATAGTTTCAAAGCCCCTGGGAAATGTGAATTGTGGCGCTATGACTGCATGACAGTAGATGGAGCCGCGAAGACATGAGGAATTGGCTGATTCACTGGGGAGAGAGGACAAGTGTCAGTGAGTATAGGAAACCTTCATTCGTTGATCCCAAGGGATCACAGAGTGCCCCACGGTCCATTCATGGGCACTGCACAAAGAAACAGAAAGAAACCTGCATGTCCTCTTCATGCTCACAATGGAAACAAACCTCACCTCTTCCCTCACTCTCTTCATGTTCCCCAAGTTATAAAGTTATAAGTAAAATAATATCAAACACTATTTTTTATTCCATTTTTATACAGGCATTTATACCTTATTTAGCTTTTTATATTGAAAAAAAAGTAGCAAAAAGTTGCAAAAAAATTACAATAAACTTTACAATACCTGTCACCCATATTCCTCAGTCATTGACATTCTGCTGTTTCCTCTCTCTCTCTAAATAGATCTACATCTCTATCTGTATGCATGTACCTACATATAAATATATTTATGCATTTGTACTTGAAATTATTAATACTGACGAAACTTTTGAGATTGTTTCAGACATCATAACTCTTAATTTCTAATTACTTCACTGTGTATCTTCCAAGAATATGAAAATTTTCTTACATAACCACAAAACAAAAGTAAATTGGAGAAATTTAATATTGATGGAATACAATAGTGCCCCCTTATTCTCAAGAGATGCATTCCAAGACCACCAGTGGGTGCCTGAAAACACAGTACTAAACCCTATATAGACTGTCTCCAACTTACTATGGTTCAACTTAAGATTATTTTTGCCTTTAGGATGGTATGAAACCATTCTGTTTTTCACTTTCAGTACAGTATTGCATAAAGTAATGGGATATTCTAGACTTTTTTATAAAAGGGGCTTCAGGTTAGATGATTTTGCTCAACTGCAGGCTAACGTAAGCGTTCTGGGCATGTTCAAGGTGGGCTAGGCTAAGCTATGATGTTTGTCAGGTTAGGTGTATTAAATGGATTTTCGATTTACAATATATTCAACTTACAATGAGTTTATAAGGATGTAATCCCATTATAAGTGGAGAAACATCTATACATACTGTTTTTTTCTATGCACATCTATAATAAAGTTTAATTTATAAATTAGGCACAGGAAGAGATTAACTGTTATAAAATAGAATGATTATGACAATATACTATAACAAAAGGGTATGAATGTACTCTCTCTCTCTCTCTCTCAAAATATCTTATTGTACTGTACTCTAGGTAATGGAAACCATGAAAAGAGAAATCGTGGATAAGCAGGTGCTACCATACACACAGTTTCTGACTTACAATGGTCTGACTTACAGTTTTTCAACTTTAAGATTAGTTTATCAGGATATAGTCCCATCAAAAGTCAAGAAGCATCTGGATTATGATGGTTCAATTTATGTATTTTTAAGATGGGTTTATAGGAGTATTAAATACATTTTTGACTTGTGATGTTTTTGACTTACAATGGTTTCATCAGTATGCAATTTTAATGTAAGTCAGAGTATCTGCTATTATCTAATATACAATACAATCCAAGTCAAATTCTGTCCATTTTCAAAATAATGTCTTTTGTAGCTATTATTTTCAGTCTAGGACACAATTCAATTTTATGTATTGCATTTAGTTTTTAATGTTGTTTAGTATTCTTTAATGCAAACAGTTCCTCAGCTATCTTTGTTTTGTATGTCATTAATATTTGAAAAATATATGAAGATTAATCTATACAAGCATATTCCTGTGTGTTTCTTAACAATTAGATGCAGGTTATATTATTTTGATAGGAATACTACAGAAGCTTGAGACAATAACTATTTCTTTAGTTCATAACATGGGTTGGCAATTTGGACTAGGCTCAGCCAGGCGCCTCTGTCCTGTCTGGCCTCACTCATGTTTCTGCCACCATTTGACCAGGAGGCTGAGATTGACTGATTTAGGATGGCCACAGCTGAGATGGCTTGTATCTTCTCCAAATGGTCACTCATCCTCCATAGGCTGGTCTGAGTTTGCTCACATGGCAGCTGGCCAGGGTTTCAAGATAATAAGTGGGAACATGAAAGAGCCTTGAGACCCGGGCTTGGAAGCCGCACAACCTCATTTCCATCACAATGTACTTGTCGTAGCAAATTATAAGACCAAGCAACATTGAAGGGGTGGGAAATTCAACTCCATGTTTTGATGGTAGGAGCTGCAAAGTCATATTTCAAAGCATGTGAATTTAGGGCATGGAGGAGAATTATGGCTATTTATGCAATCACAGATAGCTATCACCATCCACAGTTTATAGTAGTTTTTAGCAGTGTTCATTATCAAAAGGAAGTCATAGCATATGGCTTGCCATTCCCATCAGCAGCCTCTTTGAATTTGCTATCTGAAAATACCAGGTGTAAAACCCTGCTGGTTGAGAAGGGTTCAGTGTAGACTAACTCTACTTAAGGGCCAAAAACAGCTTAGTATATTGTTACCAACTTGACTGTGATTTCCTCCATACATATAGATTATTTGTAACTTTGAGTTTAACACATTGTGTCCATTTTATAGACTCAATCTATTGAGAAAGAGTTGGATCTCTCTCTCTCTTTGTTTTAGAGGTTGTCCTCGCTCTGTCGCCCAGGCTGGAGTGAAGTGGCATGATCTCAGCTCACTGCAAGCTCTGCCTCCTGGGTTCACGCCATTCTCCTCCTGCCTCAGCCTCCCAAGTAGCTGGGACTACAGGCACCTGCCACCACGCCCAGCTAATTTTTTGTATTTAGTAGAGATGGGGCTTCACCGTGTTAGCCAGGATGGTCTCGATCTCCTGACCTCATGATCTGCCCTCCTCGGCCTCCCAAAGTGCTGGGATTACAGGCGTGAGCCACCGTGCCTGGCTGGATCTATTATTTTAAGTAATCAAGGGTTATATGTCACATTGTGTCTTGTCATATTACATGAAAGGGCTTTGTTGAGTCAAGGCAAAAAGAAAGAATGATGGTTTTTCAGACTTTATAAAACACTGCGACAGACATCAGAAAATAACAGACCCAAGACTCCCAGAGGATGACTGGGGAAAGCCAGCACTGTATTTTCACAAAAGTGCCACATGAAAAAACCAAGACACACTCTTCTGGAGCTCCACAGGGTCATGCCAGATGCATGATCGAATAGAGATTGTGGAAAGTGTACATTCTGGAGGGAAGAGCATTCCAACCTCAGAGCAGAAAGTAAGACCCCAAGCTGGTAGGTCACAGAGCAAACTTAGGGGATGCAGCCAAGTGGGGACATCTTTGGACAGTCATGACCTGAAGGTGATGGGCTAAAAAGAAAAATGTCAACAGGATTTAACATCTCTGCCTTCGGAGTTTTGATATGGTAGCTATCATCAAAAAGTTCCACAAAACAAAGTGGGAATACTTCTTCTCCAGGATTAAAGAAGTTAAGTTTTGTGTGGAAGCACCCAAAATTGGCATAGTGCAATAACACATAAACGGTGACTGTTTCTCTCCCTAAACAAAAATGGACAGAAGTGATATATCAGATATATGTAGAGAGAGAGTTTAAATAAAATTTTGTTAACTTTAGTACTATTTTTGCATGCTTTAGTGAACATACCTCAAGCATCTGCACACTTTTATTTCAGAATGTCATGTGGCTTTAATTTCTTAGCAGGATCTTGAATAATCTTTAGGCTTGAGAACACAGGAAGTAATTTATAATGATATGGCATTTAGATCATGTTCATGCATTTAAGTGCCTTAATTTTATTGGTAAAATCTGTCAATGAAAGAGTAATAGTTGCTGCATATTTAGACTTTTCAAGAGATTTCCATCTTTTTTACTTGACACATCTTATACTTTATATAATTTTAAATATTCACAAATCTACAACAATCAAGATCTTATTAGTAATAATTAAAACACGATGTGGTAAAGGGAGCTCCCTAAGTAATTTGGGGCCCCAGTTTTCTAAATTAAAGCATCTTATGGTTCAAATTTTAAAGAATAAAATTTCCACCCAGGAAAGTAATACTGCCACCGTGGCCAAAGATATTTTTCTTATCTCCACAAAGCAATTAATTCAGCTGAAATAAGAGAAAATGATCTTTAGAAAACACCCATTTTATCATGTTACTGAACTAATTATAACTGTTCAGGAATTCTCAGTAATTTTCACAAGACTCTGACTGTTGACCCTCAAGTTCTGCCAAAATTTTTTATACAGGAAAAATAGTGGTAGTAACCTAGTCATTAATCTTATCTCTCTGGATACTTACTTATCTCTCTTTATTTCACTTATTTATTATGGTAAATATCAACTCATTTTTCAGATGAGAAAGCAGTTGAGGGATCACTGAAAGTTAAAAATCGTCAACGATACAGGGAAAAATAAGATAGAACATCTTGATTTCTGTCTCAGCGGATTAAACAAAATGCTCCTTTTAAGAAGTGATCTTTCCATATAAGACTTGTGCTTCAGCCACAACAGGAAGCCTCGTTTGGGCACTGAATTGTACTCTACAAAGTCCTGGGCTGACCCATTAGCACACATTACTTTTGACATTCAACTAATGCAATGTCAATTTAACTAAACAAGTAAACTTGTTCTGATGGACATAAAAAACAGAAGCAAATGGAACCATAAAATACACTTGATGTGACAGTCCTTCCTCATCTACCGTCAGGGTACTTTATTTAGTTGAATAACTGGAGTTGACTGGGTTATCACGCAATTATTTTCTTATTTATTCCTTTTGAGCCCAGCTTAACTGTGGCAGAAGTTCTTCCATTTAACAAATGAGTCTTCATACTAGTTTACATATTACTGTAGACATTGGAATTATAATAATGAATTGGGCTAAATCTCTCCTCAAGAAGTTTAATTCGAAAAGAAATGTAGGCACCAAATTTTATTATCACGTGGTAGATGAATTAACAAAAGCAGACACAGGGTGTTTTAAGAGACCAGAAGAAAGCAGCTTATCTTAGGCTAGGAGGTCAGGAAGGGCTTCAGTTCATTCTTAAAGGTATGTGGGATTGATTCAGGAAGAACAAAGAGAAAAATTCAGATGAGGTAACATGAGAATGTCATGGCATGAGAGTTGGGAGGGGGTAATTATAAGTGGGTTTTTTTAAAGCAGACCATAAGCTCAGGTCAAGAAGTGGTGGGAGATGGAGGCAGAGAGATGATTTTATCTTGTTCCTCGGTACAACTGAAGATGTAGTAATTTTATTTAGAGTCTTTTCAGTTACTCTAACCTGCCTGGGTTTCTCCTAATTCTTTTACATTCTTTTCTAATTCCTTTACCAGGGTTTGTTATAAGCTCTCCAGTGGTGCAGGGGTCTTAGTACAAGAGCTTTCTGGATCTTTTCTCCTTTTCCACAATGTCCTTTTCTTGCCAGAGGAATTTGGTTTTTTGAGCCTAGCCCAGCCCAGGAGCCTGGCTTTATTCAGGGAAAGCCTTCCTAATGCTATTACCTAAATGTGGCCAAATTGTTCCTATATAACTAACTGTTCCTGCAGTAATTGACATAATTGTTCTCTGCACCCAGCCAGGTGAAACTCCAGCTTTTAATGATAAATTTGTGGAAAAAAAAAGTTAAGGTATATACACAGATATTTACGTCACACCTCCCACCTTTGCCCCACTTCTTTTTCCACTCTGTTGGCAGCCTCAGAAATTTCAGTGCAAAGACAGTCATTGAAATGTTATTAATTATTATGAAAAATTAGAAATGAGAGAATGGTTGAATATATTATAGTAAGTTCATATTTGTAAACTCATGTTTAAAAACTTTTAAATGAAGTTTTCTAATATTGTACAAAGATATGAAAACTTCCTACGATGTATATTTAATTGAATGAATTGAATTGAATTAAATACATGTCTTTGCTTTAATTTTTAATTTTCAAAAATATTGCAACACTTGAGAAAGTTACAGGGAATAATCTAATGAACACTCAGAGAATCTGAAGGATGTGGTCCGTGTTGAGTCTGTGACTTGGCCAAGAATTTTGGAAGCATCGCCTTAGAATCCAGGACTCCTTATTTCAAGCCTAAGTTTGCCTTCTACACTGTTTCCTCCCTTTCCATGATAAACGTTTTATCAGACTATCTCTTTTCCTTACTTCTCTTAGAGCAGCTAGAGGTAGAAGAGGAAATTGCTTCAAATTCACCCTCTGGTCATAAATTATATCTCCCATATTTTATGGCAGGACAATTGTTTCAAGTTTTCTTCTATTCTTAAGCCAAAGTTGCAATATGTTTCAGAGATTTACCAGAATTTAGATTTTAATATAGAATAAGTGAATATATAAGTAAATCAACATATAAATAATATTTTAGATTTTTGTAAAATGTCACTAGGTCTGTAATACAGTGACATCAATCAAAATAAAACAAAAGTCAGTTTAAGAATGTTCTTCATTGTCCCCACCTTCAAAAAGCCTGGGTGTGCTAATGTAATTAATTGAAATTATAGGTTTAATAACTGCAGTGAGTTTTTTGCCATTCAACATTGAAGCCAATAACAATTTAATTTGGCTTTACATTGAAGATCAACACATTCTTTGACCATTTTCCTAAGAATAGCTTCTTTGGGCTATACATTTTGGAAACTAACAAGTGATTTTTAGGCCTGGAAATTCACTGGTGGATGAGAGAGACACCTCACAGAAGGTAGCTGGAGTTGGGATCTTGATTTCCTTTGAACGGAGGTGGATAGAAGCATACAGGCTCAGTGTTCTTTATTTAAAGAAATTGCTTCTGCTGGCAGTGTCCAATCTTGGCACCAATTCAGGTCACTCTTAGCTGGGGGCCAGTTCATTCCTCCCTCAGTACTTCCCCTGTTCTAAAATCGTTTCCTCAAATGACCCTGATCCTCAGCACTCACTGACTCTCTGAAGTTGAGGACTGGAAGAAATGACAATCATCCAACCAAAGCGTCTCAATGTATTTCTAGTTGAGCCTTTAATAAACATGCATGACATGCCACTTTTCTATCTTAAAATTCTGCTAGGGTACCCTACCCTTGTCAGAAAAGTAAGTTCTTCTGACCACTAACATTCAGAAATTTTTTTCTATCTACATGTTTTTTTTTCCTACCTCATGTCAGAAATTCTGATATGCATATCTCCCTCCCAAATGGTATGCTATTATTATTAATTGACAGTCATTGATTTAATCTAATCATCCAACTTTACAGGTAAAAAGTTTGTAATTTCCACAAGATTAAAGAACTCATGAAAGGTACAGAGTGAAACCTGAGTTTTCTTATTCCCAAACTGGAACTCTAGAATAGAGCCGTGTTGAGAATTCAGGCCTCACTGCTTCCTGTTCAGTTTCTCCATGCCATTGCTTCCTGTTCAGTTTCTCCATGTTGTCCTTGAATATTGCCTCCAACTTTTATATCCTAACCACCCCAGAACTGCCATCCCACCACCAAGACCTTACAATAGTGACTGCAGAAGCCAATCAAGTTTCTGTAATGAGTTTACAGACTAGGACACAGTAACAGATTGTGCAACTCACCAGTGGTTAGATCCTGTCATAGTAAGTATCCATTTACTGAATACCTTTCATGTTTTAGGCCAGTGCCTGGAAATATAGATAGAAATACAATACATAGTTCCTGGAAATAAAGACAGATATAAAAGCTAGCAGTTAAAAGTATTATTTGCAAAAGATTTCCCAACCTTTGCCATTTTTTTTTTGTATGATGACACAGAAAGTAAAGCCATTGTTTTCTTCTTCTGTGTTCCTAATTTCTATAACGTGGGTGAAAGCAGCAACGTGTAATAGGTTAAACAGTAAACTAGTTGTTCTAGCTAATTCTCAGCTTTGGCATGTCTCCTCATTCATAAAATGAGAGAGTTGAGGCAATTAATCACAAAGATCCTCATCAACTGTAACATTCTATGATGTTCTTTTATCCAAATTCTTATTGACTTGATGGAAATGCTTGTCATTTTCCTATAATATGCCCCTGTTAACCAATGGGTCATTATAAAATGACTCATGAAACTAGAGATTTGTTTGTATTGAGGGTCAATTTATAATACCCACACATAGTAAATTTCTCACTATAATGCAAAAGACATGTAGCATATGTATGAAATAAGTGATACTAGCTATTTCTAGAGGTGACTCTACCCTATTCTGACACTTTTAAAGCACGTGTTTCCATTATTTAGCCAAAGATTACCAGGGAAATTTCTCATGGTCAAGCCTATTCTACAGATAAAGAAAGTGGTAGATTTCTGTCCAAAGTCCTAAGAGCCCAGCTCACACATCTCCCTGCCTAATAACATAGCCTCCCATTGCCTCCAAACAAGCCAGCTAACGATCACTAACCAAGATGGTACATCTAGTGATAACTATGGTCTGTATAATAAACCAGACTTCCTTTTCAAAATAAGCATTTCGTCTCATATAAATAACCTTACTAGGATTGAATGAAGGCAAATAAACTTGGCATCCATTTAAAATGGAAAATATGGTCACCAACTGTGATAGGCAACCTCTATGATAGCCATCAATGATCCCTTGTACCTCCTAGCATCCATGCCCATGTGTAATCCCCTCTCCTTGAGCGTAGGCTGGACTTCTTTACTCACTTCTAATGAAGGGAATACAGTACAAGTGATGAATTGTACTTCAGATATTAGGTTACAAAAAGAACGTGGCTTCTGCCACATCAAGGCCTGCGTTCTCCCTATCTCTGAGTCTCTGTCTCTGTCTCTCTTTGTCTTTCTGTATCTCTGTCTCTCTCTCTCTCTATCTGTGTGTGTGTGTGTGTGTGTGTGTGTCTGTGTGTGTGTGTGTGTGTCTGTGTGTATGTCAGAGGGAGGGTCTTGGAATACCTGTTCTGGGAGAAGCAAACTGTCATTTTGTGAGTGGCCTATTGAGAGGCCAGTGTGTCAAGGAGCTGATAACTCCAGCAACAGCTAACAAGGCCTCCCAGCCTGCCAACAGCCATGTGAGTGATCTTGGAAGCAGATCGTCCCCCACTCGAGCCTTCCGATGACTGCATCCCCAGAAAGGACCTTGACTGCAGCATCTTACAGACTCCAAGCCAGAGGCACCCTGCTAAGCTGCACCTGGATTCCTGATCCTGTGAGATAATAAACTTTTTTCTTAGCTGCTAATCTGAGGGTAATTTGTTATGCAGCAATACATAACTAAATTCCAACAAAGTAATTTTGACACCCCAAGTGTACTCAGTCTTCTAATCTAAGGGAAACTCATAGTTCATGCTCTCATATTTGCTGTCATTTTTTCAGCAACGACAGAGCTTTATGAATGGATCACAGCTGTCCCAATGTAATTCTCCAAGAGGAAACCCTGGCACCATCTGCCAGCAGGGAATCAGCCAGCCCATTGTTAACGACAATAACAGAAATTCTATCTAAAGTATTTTCACTTCCTCACACTCATGTTCAAGCAGAGCTTCTGAACTTTCCTTTTGGCAAACATGTCTCCTACTGCATCTTTAGTCAAACAATTGCATTTTCTAGCCCTTTGCCTGGGGACATTCCTTGCTATGCCAGCTGCCCAGTGCTCTTCCAAAGTCAGTGCCCACTCAGGGGAAATGCCACACGTTTTCATTTCAGGTTCATGTGGATACCCATTTGAATGCATACCTGTGTTTTAAACTTTCTTGGCGTGAAATAAATTTAGGCTTTTACATTTGTCTTGTAAAAGGAGGACGGTCTAAGATATTCGCCTTATTCCTTTAGTTTGTTCCTGGCTTCTAAAGTGGCATCCACGTGCATAAAAATGCAACTTATTTCATCATTTGTCAGCATTTCCAAAACAGAGAAATACCACTTTCCTTGTAAAAGTTATATTTAAATATAATAAAATTATTTTTCAGGAAGGCAACACCACAAGGACTCAAAAGAGACAAATCTATATGCTCAGAGCATGGTCACTGAATTAGAGCTTTGGAAGAATTAGAAAAAAAATTGAAATTTTATCAGGAGGAGAAGTGTGCTTTTAACTATCTAAATAGTCTACTAGACATAAAAGTATATATTGCCGTATCTAATAAGCCATTACACTCACCAATAAGCATTGATGGTCATCTGTTCAGGTTGGGTAGACAGGTACCAAGTGGTAAAAGTGTTTAAGAAGAAGTTCATGTGTGAAAATACGAACACTGAGGGCTCGGACTCAGACAAGTGGGAGAAACGACCTACCTGCACTGAAGATGTAAATTTAATGATGGAGTGAAGGATGACTATTTTGCTTATTCATCTAATTTTACCTAACCTGGACTGATGTTAACTCAATTTTTTTTTATATTCTGTATTTCATGTTATTTAAATAAAAATATCATGTTTTCCATTGTCTGCAATCTATTGGTCTGACCAAAAGTAGAGAGCACATTAAAAATATAGCAGGATTAAACTCTATGAGAGCAGAATAATATTATTGCTACTTGAGTGGTAATCTAATCATAATGGCAGTAATGGTTCCCAAGAATCCAAACAAGACATTACAGGAAAAAATCAAGGCCCACCTCCATAGGCACTGACTTGTTAATGCAGCTTTCCCAGATGAGGATATGTCTGCATGTTGTGATAGAGTCTTAAGAGAGAATCAGGAACTTATACAAATAAAATTGTATTTGATGAACCTACCATTTCTAAAATTAGAACAAATGTATTTAAATCCTCCAATCACTCTCCAGAATTATGATGATGAGCTATAAGAGATCAGTACATTTTTCTTACCCATTTTGCCTTCTTTGTCAATTTGAGGAGTGATGGTAGGAAGGTGTGTATGGCTAAAGAGAGGCCCACATGGCCATGCCAGCCAGGGTGGCCTTGAGTGAATTTAGTGGGAAAAGAAGTTGTAAGGTCATAGGTAGATCATAATTCCATTTTTCTTATTATCAATGCTACGTATTGGATATTACAAATTTCTTGAGTTAGGAAGATTTTATATTCCTCCCTCAAATACATTTTGATTCTAAATAATTAGCTTAAATCAAGTCAGCCTGATAGAGAGAGTACTGAATTCCGAATCTGGAGAACAGAGGTTTCTGTCTCAGCCCTGTTCCTTATGGTAGGCCACACTGTGTTTCTACACATCAACATGCAATGTGAAAGGTAAGAATCTTAAATATTTATTTATGTATCTCAAAAGGTTGATGTGAAGATTAATATTGCAAGTGGAAAATCAGAAGCTATTGATTATATGATTATATTATTATTACTTCTGCTAAGATATTTGAAACTGATCATTTTCCATAATGCAAAGTAATGACACAATATCACCATAAATGTTTATGTGAGACCTAAATGAGTAACAACAGAACTAGGGTGTGTTGATGCCTCTAGTTCTTACTTTTTTTCAGAGACTCTTAATTTATTTCAAATTGTACACCAGTCTGATTTATATCCAGACAAGCCCATTTCAGTTTGGGGGCTCAGGAAGGCTCTTTGCAACACCCCATTCTCACATGTAACTTCTACTTTTTCTCATTGCCTAATAAAAATCTCAGTAATGGCTTTCATTCCACAGTGTGCACTAGATTTAAAAAACTATTGCCCTCCCCACCCCTGCCAGGTAAGATAATGCAATGTCTTCAATCCACTAGAAGTTAGGAGTGACTGATTGCTGCTGCTTGGCTGAGAGCTTTGGTGGTAGGTGGGGAAAGAACAAGACACCAGGAGTCTGGAGAATCACCCATGTATTAGTCTCTCCTCATACTGCTATAAAGAACTGCCAGAGAGTTGGTAATTTACACAGAAAAGATGTCTAATTGACTCACAGTTCCACATGTCTGGGGAGGCCTCAGGAAACTTAGAATCATGGCAGAAGGGAAAGCAGGCACATCTTACATGGTGGCAGGAGAGAGAACATGTGAAGGAGGAACTGCCAAACACTTATAAAACAACCAGGCCTCATGAGAACCATTTGCTATTATGAGAACAGCATGGGGGTAATCACCCCCATGATCCAATCACCTCCCACCAGGTCCTTCCCTTGACATCTGGGGATTACAATTCAAGATGAGACTTGGGTGGGGACACAGAGTGAAACCATATCAACCCACATGTGAAGAGTGAGGATTCAGTAGGGTTAATGAAAAAGTTGTGGTTATTTTACCCATGAATGTCTCCCTTCAGTAAAATTAGAATTTGACAGCAGATCTTCTCTTAGAACTGTTAATATCTTTTTATTTTAAGGTCTAAGAGAGAAAAAAAGACAAATTCCAAATATATCATGCTATGGGTTTTTGGATAAAGCAAGTTTGATTCAAAAGGCTAAGTACTAGGAGTCCATTTATGTAGAATTCCAGCAAATACTGAAGGACCATAAAAGCAAATATTAACTTCAGAGAACTAAAATAATTAGAATAGTTTATGTATACATATATGCACACATGTGCTATATTATATACATATGCTACATATATACACATTTGCTCCATATATACACAGATATGCTACATATATGTAGCACATATGCCACATGTATATGTATGTAGCATATGTGTATATATACATATATACACATATGCTTTCAACATTAATCTTCATATCAACCTTTTGAGATACATAGACAATTATTTAAGTTTTTTTTTTTTTTTTTGAAACGGAGTCTCAATCTGCCGCCCAGTCTGTAGTGCAGTGGCGTGATCTCGGCTCACTTCAAGCTCCGCCTCCCGGGTTCACGCCATTCTCCTGCCTCAGCCTCCCAAGTAGATGGGACTACAGGTGCTTGCCACCATGCTCGGCTAATTTTTTGTATTTTTAGTACAGATGGGGTTTCACCATGTTAGCCAGGATGGTCTCGATCTCCTGACCTCGTGATACACTCGCCTCGGCCTCTCAAAGGACAAATATTTAAGATTTTTACCATTCACATTGCATGTTGGTGTTTATATATATGTAGCATATGTGTATATATGTAGCATATGTATATTTATACATCTATATATACATATATATAAATATATATTTAAATTGGATCAGCAGTTAAGAGTCCAGATTCCAGGAGATCAGATGTTCAGTCTGCCCTTGTAAGCGCAGTCCAATTGGATGCTAGTGTGTAAGATAAACCATCTTCTTTGCCCTGCATAGGGCCCCAGAAGTTTATTGTAGTGGAAAGGACACTGGGGACATGAGATAAATCCTCTCACTAATAGAGGCAAACATTTGTAAGTAAGATTGCAACTAATCTTCTCTCGCTCCAGCCTTGCATGATGGAAAACTTTGAGTGAAGATATGAACAAAAACAATGGGTTGCGTTAATCCTTTTCAACCTGGGAAAAGGCATCCACACCTGTCAATTTGGGGTGGTTGCCCAGGAGGGAACTGTGGGAATACAGCCATGGGAGAATTAGAGCTGAGTTGCCAGGCAGGCCAGATAATTCCTTCTTTAACAGCTTGAAGCCCGGGAGTCACATTTCCTACTTACAAAAAGCTTTCCAGGACGTAACCAAATCTGCGGTTTCCCAGGAGGTCTTGGCTTGTCTCACCAACAGCCCATGTCCTTGGAAGACACAAGCTTTTGTTGTTTTGGGGGAAATTTGGGTTGTGAGTGTGCTCAACACACCCCTGGCAGAGCCTGGATGAGAGAAAGAGGCTCATCTTTCAAGTCCTCTGCCACTCCCTTTGAAACAGGGCTGTTTTTAAAGGGCCTCGAGACTTACTTCCTGGCTGCGACTTCAAAGCACAGATGAATGCTTGATTTAGAGCTCCGGGGCCTCCATGTCTATTATTATTATTGTAAAATACGAACAAGTCAGCCACGTGTTTATAAACGTCCCATGACAGCAAACTCACTGGCTAGAGGATGCAACATTAGGCTGTGTCTGCACCAGAGGTAGGGAGGCTTTGCCAAGGGGGGCAAGCCCAAGTAAGGTTCGTTAAATGCCATGAAAAAAAAATGCTTCTGGAGCACAAGGCGCAGGAGCATTTCCTCATTTTTGGTGAGCATTGTGTTCGTTTATTAAGAAATGGTCACTGACAGCAATACTGTCTGCCATGTTCACATATTCTGAGAATGCAGAACAAACTTGTGACTCAGAGGGCTGAGAGAAAGCTGTAAGGAGTTGGGGAAGGGAGCTCAACATTACTGTTATAATTGAACTAAGGGCTCAGGCCTTTATCAGCCCACCAGGCTATCAGACGGCGGGGTAATGTGACTGTAAGTCTTTGCCTACGAATGAGTTCAGTGCATTTCCTGAAAGTAAGTGAAAATTGAATTTATTGGTTTACTTTCTGTTTTCTTGGCAGGTGAGATAGAACAGGTATAAACTCATATTAGTATAAACTAATGAGCAAAAAAATAAAAAAGAAAAGAAAGAAACAGCAATCAAAAGCAACAGAACACAAAGTAAAGAAAAAGATAAATACAGAAAAAAATGAACAAAGGGGTGTCTTGGTTCAGGTTCCTTAGAAGCAGGGCTTAAAACAAGAACTCAGGTGTGCATGATATATTGAGGGAGGACTCGTAGAAGAAGAGAAGAGAGAAACAGGAAGAGGTAGGGGTGTAGACTGAGATGGAATCTAGCCTTAGCCTGATGCAGTGGTAAGCTCTGGAGCATGACCTGAACAAGAGTTGGTGTTAATTTGAGGCAAGAAGACTGTCCTTTCATACTTCAGTGTTAGTTGAGCTTCCTGGATGGGGGTTAAGGGAGAATAGCCCTCAGGCTGATGGCTCTTGCTGAAAGCAGTTCTCTGAGGAGGGAGCGGCTGTGAGCCATTAGCAGCCCACTTACAGCAGCAAGGCAGATGGGTCTGCAAGCCAGCAAAGAATATCTACAAGACACCAACAGTATCCACTCCAGGGGCCTATTGGAGTGATAGCCAGAAATCATCCTCCTTGCCAAGAACCACTCTGCATCTCTCACTCCTTCATTATCTACGTGTGGGATAGATTAATGTGGCCTAAAGCAATGGGCTCTGAAACATTGGTCCCTTGGAAGGTTTGGAATTGCATTTAAAAATTCCCATCCCCTATATCCTAGTAAATTCTACGTTTAAATCGATGTCACCAGAGAAGATCTTCCACATGTGAACAAGAAGACAGGCCCAAGGATGCTTGTTGAAGCATTATTTGCAATGATGAAATAAGATAACATTCTGAAGGTTCACCAATGGGGCAACAGGAAATGAATTGTGATGTGTCATTCCCTAGATCACTGTGTACCAGATAAGTGAACTCACTGATACATATAGAAAACCTGAAGTTGAATGAAAAAAGCAAGATGCAGTGCAATGAAAATAATATGGTATATGTAGATAACATTTTTAAATATAGGCACAAAATATTGTTATGCTTTCATCTCATACACACATACATAAATGTGTTATATATAATACATATTTATTTGTCAAAATATTTTTTAAAGTTTAAAAGAAAATATAGCAGACTCATCAAGGAGGTGAGAATGAAAATGGAATTTGGGATGAGGTCAAAGCGTTTTCAACTATATCTATAATATTGCATTTTTCTAAAAAAAAAATTTTTAAATTTTAAGTAATTAAGCCCCTAAGTAATTAAGCATGCAAGGTAAGGTACTACTAGGAAGTATGCATGTGAGGAACCAATGGGCCAGGGTGTTTTAGCCCTGACCTTGTACACATCCAGTCTGGCTTCATAGACACATGTTGCAGAATGGCAAGGAAATAGTTGGGATAGCAAAGGGTTCAGCAAGAGGTCAAATGGGACAAGGGAAATAAAGAGCAAGATGAAGACTCTGAAGAGGAATCCCCTACTTTCATAGATATTTCTAGAACCATTGTTGGCCCCAGTGACACAGTTTACCAATCTTCAGTTATAGCAATGCTGTTCCCTATGCATATGTACCTTAATCTTACAGATCATTTGTTTCAGGCATTTTTTACTTGATTAGTTTCCAATACATTGTTTAGATTTCTTTAGATTCGGAGAGAAGGCCCAAAACATAAAACAATTTATAATTAGAAGTCTGAAGCTATAAAAGTCACCTAACATTTGTGCATACTATTTTCAAAGATGTGGAATTGTGTTACATACTTAAAACAGCATCCTTCTAAGTGTATTACAATGATCTGCTTTACTCAAAGTCTACTGATCTCTCAAAGACTCCTTGATCTCTCAATATGTTTTATTTTATATAATTCAAAGAGAAAACAAAGGAGGATCCCTTGGTTACGTATCTTCTGGAAATATTGGGTTACAGCTAATCATCTTTCTGTATTGTCTGACTTCTCCAAATCTTTAATATTCCACAGTGGGCTGTGAATGCACAAGTGTGAAACATAGTATGCAATATTTCCCTAACCTATTTGCACAGAGAATTATTTGTTATTGGGGCTTTCCTCCCCACACCAGACTTTAGAAAATACAGACCTAGAATTTAACCAGTAGATCAAATGAAACTTTAGTTTTATGTTTAAAACAAAGTTGAAAAACACGCTTCTCTAATCACATGAGTGTTTTTCTCTTTGGATTGAGACTCCTCTGCCCAAATTTGTATATAGCTTAGTGTGTATAACAGGGGAGGGGAGGGATTTCAACTACTCCTTGGAGCTGTCAAGTACTGAATCCCACTGATTAGCAAGGAGTTTCTCTCAACGTCTGAACAGCTTCTTGCCCTGGAGTAATATGTCGCTGAGTCATAGGGAAACATTGCTTGGTAATAATTGATGTACAGCTAAATCTTCTAAGCACTTTTTAACTATACAAATGCTTCTTGCCCCCACGAACAATGAACAAGAGAAGAGGCTTCCTTTTAACTTTAAATTAACTAGCATTTCAAAGAGTTCCAGAACATCTTTCAAACTCACTTCTCTGAGGACATCTAAATAGGACCAGTGACTCCCTGAAGGCACCTTCTACCCCAGAGCTCTGTTTCCTTTAGATACTGAAGTACAATAAAGTTGCTTTATAGTCATAGAGGAAATAAACAGGCTGCTGTTCTCAAAGAATGCGAAGCCCTTACCTGTGCCTTGAAGATAGGAACGTTTATGAGTCCCAGGGGACAGGGACAGCCCCCGGATGTGAGTAGTTTCCAGAGAAACAAGTTGATCTGAAGTTTTTCCTGGAGAGTTGGAAAATCTGCCACATGTCATCCAGCGCTTATTTCTTTGGTGGGTTTTACACTTGGGTGTCATTCAGCAGTTTTATGAGAGCAAGACAATGGATAGAGAAGCCATAAAAAAAATTCTTCTAGTTCTTTAAGGTATGAGTCATCTTTACCATTGAAACCTTTGGTCACAGCCTGAATAGAAGAGGCAACATGCACTGCTTTTTTTTTTTTTTTTTTTTTTTTTGGTAGGGGTGGAGGGAGAAGAGTTTTCAAATGTGTTGCTTCCATTCAGGAGGGAAAGATTATTTAGGGATCTATTGATTTTTCATATGTGGTTTGATTGCATTTTCCCTCACTTGAGTTTCTGGATGTGCTCATAGATTGAACCTCAGTTATGTGGGAACTTTCAGTGTCAGTTTCTAAGAGTAAGAGGCACGGCAGCATTAATTTGACCTTCTCCATGATAAGGGATCCATTTTAGAAACAGTAATAATAGCTCACACTTGTTGAACACTTATTTGTTGTCAGGACCTGATATAAATGTTTCATATGTCTTTACTTATTTAATGTGCATAGCAGCTACAATGCAGTAGTTGTGGTAGATTGTGCAAAAGTGGCTGCAATTCTCCAACCTTCCCTGTATCTGCATCCCTTTGCAATGTAACTGCAACTCCTTGCATCAAGAGATGAAGTCAATATCCTCACCTTCTAAATCTGGGCTAACTCCCTCGTGGCTCTGTGATTAGAGGTGCTGGCTGACCTTGGGTGGCCCCAGATGGATGGCTCCTCTGGCTTCCTCCACATGGTCTCTTATCCTTCAGCTAACTAGCCCAGGCTTGCTCACCTGGCTGATGGACAGGGTCTAAGAGAAGAAAGACAAGGGCAAGGCCTTTTTGAGGTCTAGGTTCGGAAATGCCACAACAATACTTCTCCTACATGCTGTCAGACAAAGAAAGTCATAGTGGCCAACCCAGATTTGAGGGGTAAACAATAATCTACCTATTGATGGGAGTTGCCACAAAGTCACACTACAAAGGGCCTGAATACAGGAAGAGCCATTTTCCCCCATGGGTTTCAAATGACCATGAGAATCCACATTGCCATCATCTAGAACAGTAAAAAGTGAACTAATGATTAATACATTCAAACATCAGCTCTTCATTAAGTTGCTTCTGAAGTGGATACTGCACAATCTTGTAAATGATTATTCATGGTCTTTTCACATAAGTCACCCAATAGTTTGACATTGTCTTTCAATTTTCTCCTTTATATCATTAGTTCCTTTACTTTTAAGGCAGACTTGGACAAAATTCATTGTTTATTATATAATAAGTATAGTGAGTATACCACTCCAAAGAGGACTGGACAAAGCAAGAAGACAAAAACCTGATGCAGTGCTTTTCAACAAGAAGGTACATATTAGAATTACCTGGGGAATGTTCTCAAACTTCTTTCCCTACCTCCATTCTGAGGCATATGTTTATTTCCAGGGCAAGGAAGATGAAGACAAGCACTTGTGTTCAAACAAGCCCTTGGATAACTCTAATACGCATTTCCTTCACTTCTCCTCCTCAGTTAAGAATGTCTGCCTAACAATTTGATGGAGTTGTTTGAATACCTTTGATAAGGTGAAATTATTGTGGCAGTATAATTAGAACAATGTGTTTTCATACAAGCTCTTCTATGTTATAGCTAAGAAACCTTGAGAAAGTCACTGGTCTTCTGGGAGCCTCAGTTTCTTCATCTCTAAAATGGGGATCATAATAACTTGCCCATCTCAGAGGCTCAAATGAGATAATTAGGAGAAAAAAAGTGCTTTGCAAACTGTAAAACTCTAAAAAACTGAAAGGAATAGAAACGTTTAGTAACTTCCCTTAATTATGCCAAAGCCCTGCAAGTTAGTCTAGAGTATTCTGTATGAAATATTCTAAAAGTGAATCCTGCCATTTCCTGACAGGCGTCAGTCATTTATCTTTCCCATGATCTCTCTGAATGAGACTTTCCAAATCTAGTTAATTCCTATCTTTTAATATACACCACTGTAGTGTTGGAATGCTGCCGGAGATTTGGAAACGGGCTCAGAGATGAAGTTAAGAGGTCATTTTGCTGTTACTGTGCACTTACCACAAAAATGTGGCTTTGTGGTTATTCGACAAAAAGGTGTAATAATTACTTGCAGTGACTGTATAGAGGCATGTTTGAAAAACAGAATTTTAGAGGAAGGAAAGTCAATAACTTACATGTGTGCTGTGAGGAGGGAAATAGAACTAGAAATAGTTTGGAGACGGTTGCTTTTCATAGAGGAGTAGGATCAGACAGATGGGGGGCAAGTTGAAGAGTAAGCTCCCTGAAGGTTAACAGCTTCTCAGTTTTGTGGACACACACACACACACACATCTGAAATTTGATCCAGATTATAATATATGTGAAAAGCAAGTTGTGAGACAGTGTATATCCTTAGATTTCACAAGCCATAGGTAGAAGAGGCCACCACTGTGTTGGAACCCAATATTCTTTCTCAGCGGTGGGAGCAGGACCACCATGTGTACCATTCTATGGGAGCCATCTACACCACAGGCTGAGTGTCAGCCTTGGGTGGGAGAGACACTTATGTGTACATCATTTACACAAAACGATGGATAATTGCCACATTTCAAGTTACCTATTCCATTTGAAGTTGTGAAAGGTAAATGTTTTCACTTCTAAGAAAACTTTGCCCTTTTCTCTCATTTCAGAGGGAACAACACAGAGACTCAGAAAGGATAATCCACTGTCTCTGGTCCCACAGCAGTTGAACCCAGGTAGATAATCAGATCTGAATTGTTCTGTTTTTTTTGTCAACATGTTTCAGAAAGTTATGGTAGCCACCAACTGAGCTATTTCCTAATCCCCTTCTGCTAGAAGTGCCCCTATGTTTGCTCATTACGGTGTTGACGGTTATTTCACTTCTATACTTAGGGGGCCTTCGGGGATTCTACCGGCGACTTCTCAGAAGCCGTATTTATGCACTACCCAGAAGGAAAGGCCTGCAGTGTCTAAAATAGTTATAAAATGTCTGTGAGATTTGAGTGGGGTCTGCTTTTTTCTCCTTTCTTTTCTTTTTTACTCCCTCTGCCTTGTTTCATTTTATGACCACTCACTGGTAAACTGACGCTGGAACAGCAGGTTGAAATGCCTTTCAAGCGCTTTGATTGCCACCATGAAAACAAACTGCTTTTTGGCCTTGTGTAGACACGATGTCTGAGAATTATTATAGTCAGTCTTTGCTCATGATTCCATGAAACTCTCCAATTCTGCAGCAAGCCCCATATTGCAGCTTTTCCAATTCACAGCCCAGCATACATGCAAGATTCCTTGGAGTATCTTTAAGATTTTGGGTTCTATAAAACAGCTCCCGCTCATAAAAGCACACACAAACTTACCATTGTTGAGTGTTTTTTAAATAGAATCAGGAACGAATCTGTGACCTTGTGGCCCTGAGGTGGGAACACTATCTATAAAGTTGCCCAGACATTCTGCCTGTCAGTAGGACATTTTCATTGAACATAAGTATAAAAAAAGAAGGAGCCAGAATAGGCCAAAATTTTTTACATGCCACAGCTCACTTTATGCATTTTAAACCTTGTTAACATTTGCTAACAAGAAAGTTAAGAACTTTGAGCTATAAAAATAGGAATGTCTTGCTAACTAAATAAATATATGTGTGAACTTTGGGTTCTGCTCCTTGCTCTGGACCGGCTCATGATCATGCAAAAGGAAAAAGAAAAAATTAAAAGGAGCCTAGTTTGGGCTTGTAAAATCTCTAACAAGTCCTTAGAGTTTTCTTCCTTGCATGTTTCTCAGAGTTTCTGTTGATTGCATCTTTTAGCAGAATTGAAATTCACATGAGTCATTCAGTTGCTGATCATCAGTAGAATTGTGAAGATTCTGAAGTGTTTAGATTTACCTTTTAAATATTAGCAAGATCACACTAAGAATGTAGAAACAACAGAGAGAACTAAGTACTGACTGGATGGAAGCTTTAACTTTTGGAAGCAGAGTTGCCTGGGGCATCCTTCTCCATTGTCACTGTTCATCAATTTCCATCTGTGTGTATTTTCTGGGGACTTGTAAACCATTTCCTCTTTTCAGTTTCCTGTTTCCCACTCTAGTCGTCTTCACTTCCTTGTGGTAAACAGCTTCCTTGCTGGGCAGTAAACAGCATTATTGCTTTCTTTAGATTACATCAATTCATGGGCTTTCCCTGAGAAACTGAAGTTGCTTGAGAGTCCTCTCTCTCTGTCTCTGTCTTCATCTAATATGGAAGCTCAAAGAAATATTTAAAAAAAACTATTGAAGGTAATAAGCTAGAGGATAAAAAATGAAAATAAAGTTACAGTGAAACCCAAGACAATTTAGGTGGATGCATCTTTGGTAGAAAATTCCTGTGGTGGCTATGAATTGATTCACTAATAAAATTTAATTTTTTTCAGTGTAAAGTATGTCTCTAAGACCTCACTTCTCTGAGCTGGGAAAACAGTTCAAGCCATAGCAGTGTCAGAGTTCTGGGAGCTTAAGCAGTGCAAAAGCCTTTAATTCACAGACTCTTCTATATACTTTATGTAGACAAAGCAGTTGACGCTTATCGTTCTAGAAGGTAGGTACTATTATGTCTATTCCACAGATGAGAAGACAGACTCAGAGATGTCAAAACTGACCTCCCCAAGGACAAACAGATAATAAATATCTGAGCTAATATTTGAACCCAGGCCTTAGGCTCCAGAGTCCTTGTTTTAAGGCCTCCTCAGGCACTGTGAGAGAGATGGGGGGCTGTCTGGTCTTCATTCATCAGCCCACACAGGATGTGTCTCAGCAGCCCACCTTCTAAGCTTCTGTAATTCCCCTGGCCAGTGTCTCTGCTGTTTCTACGGTATGCTTGGGGTTCCATCAACCCTTTGTGAGGCAGCCTACAATTCCTCCTTAGACACACTCTATGGTTGCTTTTCTCTCTGCGGATCTGCCACCTCCCCACACTGCCGCCTATTGCATTTCACACACAATCTCATCTCTGCCTCCATCTCCTCCTTCTCAAGCCAGGATGGAAGTGGTTCCTAGGTGAGGTCCTTCTTCAGCACTCACTTGTGCTTTATGCTCATGAATCCTCTCACCTTCCAGGCCTTTGGAAATATAATCCAGCCTCCCTCAAAGGCGCTTGCTGGTTTTCATCTGACTTTCTTATGAAGAGACTTTCTTGCAGCAATGCAGGAGTAGAAAGAAGTAGATGGGGGTCTGATGTTTGCATTCCAGCTTCTAGTACTTTCCTCACATAGATATCCTGACTTTGTGGTTCCACAGTCTACCACCAGTGACTCCTACCCTCGATATGTCATCTCCAGTGACGATTTTGTCTAATGATGGGCCAGACCAGAGATTTACTATCTTAGAGCATTGCTCAGCCCTCATTTGCTTTGCCAGCCTGGGGTCTAGAGGGTTGCCACTTAGCAACCAAGCCCCATTTCCTGAATTTGTCACCAGAGTTAAAGGGTTCCCGCACATTTTTGAGGCAGTAGGTGGCTGCCTCCCTCTACTCCATGAAGCTTCCTGAATACAGAGAGGCTTAGAGAGTTATGAAGACTTTTAAAACCTGGGAATAGTCTCAGGCAGCAATGCCTGAATCCCAGGGAAGAGCTGTGTGGCTCTGAGATCTGAGCACAAGTTCCCTAGAAGTAGATCCAGAGAAGGGAATTTGGGTGTATATGATTCCCTGAGGGAAGTCTCTCAGAGGAAAGGGAGAGAGAAAGAAGCAGAGGAATGGAAGGAGCTAGGCAGCAATGTGATCTCAGCTGAAGTCCAGCCTCAGCCTGATCACATGGGAGGCTCTGGGCCATGGATTGTACCAAGTCTGTCTCATATTGAGACAAGGTGCTGGCCTCAACTTCCCCTCATCATTAGCTATAGGATGCCCCAGGTTATGGAATAAACTTCTGGGAAAGTTGGCACTTTTGATCAAGAACCATCCTTCAGGTAAGGATGGGGACAAGCATGAGCAATTCAACACCCACAGTGACTGGAGGAACCACGTACACTGATTTGGCAAAGAGGATTACATGTACACCAAGAGTATTCACTACACAATTCAAAAGACCAGAGCCATCCTTTCACATGAGAGGTCTTTTCCAGAGAGGAGCTTTTGTTGGATTGACTTTATTTCTAGGAAGCTCTAACTCTGGTTCTGACAAGCCTGAGTATTGTGACTTTTTGGTCCTAGAGTGCCCATATTCCATATTGGAGTACTTAGAGAAAGTTATGCAGTCTCAGTATCTTCCACAGAGTAGATATTTAATATGTAGATATTTAACTAAAATACTAGAATGGAGAATAAAATAAATTAGTATCCTATGACTCTACCAACATTTTCACTTGAATTTGGATAGAAAGGGAAGAAATATAACATATTTACTATTATTTATGACTCTTGATTTTTAATCTTATTTTTAAAAAGAGATCACAGAACTTCAGAGCAGGCAGAAACCTTAGTGTCATCTAGTCTAACCCTCTCATTTTACAGGTAAGGAAACCAGGACCCCAGGAAGTCAAGGTCTTATGGATTGTGGTTTTGTGTGTCTTCCTTTCTCTGTGATGGTAACCATACTAATGACTAGGCCAAAGGGCTTTGTTTGGTTCACTTACATGGATTTGAAAGAGCCCCTGCATCTGGAAGGCCTATCGGATGGGAACCAATTTCCCTGGGGTGGTAGCAACTTAACTAAATAACTTGCTATGATCAAAGCATCTTCGGGAGCCATTAGCTCTATACAGCAACATGCTGTTGAAATCTGCAAAAGAGTTGGATCAAATCGGTGGAAGATTCTTAATGGCTCCCCAAGTCCCTATGTCAGATTCTACTTTTATAAAACTCACCTTGGCCATGGCCTCATCATTCTCATGTGTAAAATGAAGCCACAGCTGCCCACCCTCTCAGAATGTCATGGTGGTTCTGAGGTTCCCATGAGCATCATAAATATATAGCCCTGTAAATCTAAGAATAATAATCATGATTGACTCAGTATCTCCAATTTACTTATTGGTAAATACATTGAGAACAGTTGAGAGAATTCTCCAGGTTTATAATGTGGAATGAGGCATAACCTCTAATATAAACCAGGTCTCTTCACCCCTTGCCTTTTAAATTAAGCAAAGTTTCCTAAAATGTAAGATAAAAGGGCAAAATTATATATAGTCATCATTTACACAAGCCTTAAATTTATTGTGTTCCTAGTTCTGTGCATTCACTTTGAGAAACTCCACAGGAATAAATTCCAACAAAGTTAACAGCAGATACATCTACTTTGTTTATTCCAGAAACTGGAAAATATTTTTTTATCATTCCTACCAGGACTAGAATATTATTCTATCTTAGAGTCAAATGCTAGATGGCTTCAGGACTAAAGGTAAGCTCCAAGCTTCAGCCCAAATAACACCATACCAGGCTAGGCTGGAAGATGCACCAAGCCCACGTTCCCAGCAGACATTATATGAATCCCTGCCATGTCATTTATATCTAGTCATTGCAGACTTGGCCAGCTACTCCCAACCCAAAAGTCACATTTATATTTGGTCATTTCTTCAAGAAAAAAAAAATAAAGGCTAAACTGCACCTTGCCTTCTCACAGTAAGTCACAATCATTAACTTGGTGTATTATTGAAGTGACTTATTTATATTACTCAATATAAGATGTACTTTAAAAAATATATGTGGAATGAATGGATGAATGAATGAGTGTTTTAGAGAAGAGACACTGTATGTGATAACAGCTGATTATAAGTTGAAGGAATCTGCTAAGCATTAAATCATTGTCCAGTGCAGGCCTAAACTCATGGCCGTGAGGACAGTTGTTTTTGAAAATATTGGAGTAAATCTTTGTTATTTACAAATATTATGTCTCCAAGGTTTGAATCTGATAACTTGCTTCTGCTGGGGAATAAATAGAAGGTATTTACTCAACACATCTTTAAAAAGATTATTTGTATAAATTTATGAGGTTCAGGTGTAATTTTGTTGCCTAGTGGTGAAATCAGGGCTTTTAGAGTATTCATCACTGGATTAACATAGATAGTGCCCATTAAATAATTTATCATCTTCCACTCCCTTCCCACTCACCACCTTTCTAAGTATTCAATGTCTATCATTCCATACTCTACAATCATGTGTACACATTATTTAGCTTCCTCTTACAATTTTTCAATGGTATTCTTTTGTGTCTGAATTGTTTCATTTAAAATAATAGCCTCCAGTTCCATCCGCATTGCTGCAAAATACATTATTTCATTCTTGTTATGGCTGAATAGTGTTCTATTGTGTATATAAACCACATCTTCTTTATCCAGTCATCCATTGATGAACACTTAGGTTGATTCTGTATCTGTGCTATTGTGAATAGTGTTGAAATAAACTTACAAATGCAGGTATGCTTGATATCATAATTTCTTTTCCTTTGCGTAGATACCCAGTAGTGGGATTGCTGAATCAAATAGTAGTTCTATTTTTAGTCTTTTGAAAAATATTCATAATGTTTTCCATAAAGGTTGTATAATTTACTTTTCAACCAATGATGTATAAATATTCCTTTTTCTCTGCACCTTCACCAATATCTGTTATATTTTTTGTCTTTTTAATTATAGCCATCTTGATTGGTATAAGATGATATCTGAATGTGGTTTTAACTTGCATTTCTCTGATAAGTTAGTGATGATGAGCATTGTTTTCATATGTTTGCTGGCCATTGGTATGTCTTCTTTTAAAAAATGTCTATTCATGTCACTTGCCCACTCTTTAATGAGATTATTTGTCATTTTGTTATGTTGTTAAATTGTTTGAGTTCCTTCTAAATTGTGGATATTAATTCCCTGTCAGATGTATAGTTTGCAAATATTTTCCTGTATTCTGCAGGTTGTCTGTTTACTCTATCAGTTATTTCTTTTGCTGTGTAAAAGCTTTTTGAGTTTAATTAACACCCATTTGTCTCTTTTTGGTTTTGTTGTCTGAGCCATTAAGATCTTAGTCATAAATTCTTTGCCTAGACCAATATCTGGAAGAGTTTTCCTAGGTTTTCTTCTAAAAATTTTATAGTTTTATATCTTACGTTTAAGTCTTTAATTCATCTTGAGTTGATTTTTTTATATAGTGAGAAATAAGAGTCCAGTTTCATTCTTCTGCCTTTGGCAATCCAATTTTCCCGTCACCTTTTATTGGAAAGAGAGTTTTTCCCCAGAGTATGTTCTTGTCAATTTTGTCAAAGATCAGTTGGCTGTAATTGTGTGGCTTTATTTCTGGGTTATCTATTCTGTTTCAGTGATCTATGTTTCTGTTTTTATACCACTATCATGCTGTTTTGATTACTACAGCCTTGTAGTATAATATGAAGTCAGGGAATGTCATGCCTCCAGCTTTGTTCTTTTTGCTCAGGAGGGCTTTGACTATTCAGGCTCTCCTTTGGTTCCATATGAATTTTAGAATATTTTTTTAAATTTATACAAAAATGACATTGGTATTTTGATAGAAATTGCATTGAATCTCTAAATTGCTTTGGGCACCATGGTCATTTTAATGATACTAATTATTCTAACCTATGAGCATGAGATGTTTTCTCATTTTTTGTGTCATCTATATTTTCTTTCAACAGTGTTTTGTAGGTTTTTGTAATTGTAAATATCTCTCACTCCTGGGTTAAATATATTCCTATTATTTTATTATTATTTGTACCTATTTTAAATGGGGTTACCTTCTTGTTTTTGTTATCAGCTACATGACTATTGGTGTACAGAAAGGCTATTGAGTTTTGTACATTGATTTTGTATCCTGAAACTTTACTGAATTCATTTAGCAAATCTAAGTTTTTTGGTGGAATCTTCAGGGTTTTCTAGATATAAGATCACATCATCGGTGAGTAGAAGTAATCTGACTTTTCTTTTCCAATTGGGATGCCTTTTATTTACTTTATCTTGCCTGATTGCTCTGACTAGGACTTCCAGTACTATGTGGAATAGGAGAGGTGAAAGTGGGCATTCTTGTATTGTTTCTGTTTTTAGAGGGAACACAATTAACTTTTCCCCATTCAACATGTTAGTTATGAGTTTGTTATACGTGGCCTTTAATATTTTGAAATATGTTCCTTCTGTGCCTAGTTTGTTGCAGGTTTTTACCATAAACTGGTGCTGAATTTTATCAGATGCTTTTTCTGCATTTATTGAGATAATCATATGGTTTTTGTCTTTAATTCTGTTTATGTGATGTGTCACATTTATAGATTTGTGTATGCTGAACCATTCTTGCATCTCTGGTATAAAAACCATTTCATTGTGGCATATTATCATTTTGAGGTGCTGTTGGATTCAATTTGCTAGTATTTTGTTGAGGATTTTTGCATCTATGTTCATCAGAAATATTGGTCTGTAGCTTTCTTTTTTGTGGTGTTTTTGTCTGGCTGTGGTGTCAGAGTGATACTGATCTCATAGAATGAGTTAGAGACAATTTCTTCTCATCAATTTTTTAGAACAGTTTTCGCAAACTTGGTATTAGTTTTTCATTCTATGTTTGGTAGAATTTGGCTGTGAATTCAACTGGTCCTGGGCTTTTGTTTGAGGTGTAGGTATTTCTTATTACTGATTCAATCTTGCTGCTTATTATTAGTCTCCAGCATTTCTATTTCTTTCTGGTTCAATTTTGGGAGATTGTTTGCTTTCAGCAATTTATCCATTTCCTCTAGGTTTTCTAGTGTGAGAGTATATCGTTCATAATAGTCTCTGATAATCTTTTGTATTTCTGCAGCATCAACTGTAATGTCTCCTTTATTATTTCTACTTTTATTTATTTGGATCTTCTCTCTTCTTTTCTTGGTTAGTCTAGCTAGCAGTTTATCAATTTAATTTGTGTTTTCAAATAATCAACATTTGCTTCATTGATCCTTTGTATTTTTTTTTTTTTTTTTTTTTTTTTTTGCCTCTAGTTATCTCCTCTCTGATCTTTGTTATGTCTTCTGCTTCCTTTGGGTTTGGTTTGTCCTTCGTTTTCTAGTTCTTTGAGGTGTGATGTTAGGTTGTTAATTTGTGAGCTTTCTACTTTTTTATTGTAGGCATTTAATGCTACAAACTTCCTGTTAGCACTGCTTTTACTATATCCCAGAGGTTTTGCTATGTTGTGTTTCCATTTTCATTCGTTTCCAAATTGTTTTTAGTTTCCATCTTAATTTTTTCATCAGTAAGATCATTCTGAAGCATGTTAATTCCCATGTATTTGTATAGTTTTGGAAGTTCCTCTTGGTATTGTTTTGTAGTTTTACTCTGCTCTGATCTGAGAAGATTCTCGATATGATTTCAATTTTTGAAAATTTGTTGAGGCTTATTTAGTGGCCTCACATATGGTCTGTCTCAAAGAATGTGTTATATGCTGAGAAGAATGTATATTCTGCAGCTCTTGAGACAAATGTTCTGTAAATGTCTGATAGGTCCATTTGGTCTAAAGTACAAATTAAGTCCAGTGTTTTTTTGTTGATTTTCTGTCTCGAAGATCTGTCTACTGCTGTAAGTGGGGTATTGAAGTCCCCCACTATTATTGTTTTGTACTCTCTGTCTTTCTTTATGTCTAATATTCGTTTTATTAATCTGGGTGCTTTGGTGTTGGGTGCATATATATTTGGATTGTTATATCCTCTTGCTGACATTATCCCTTTATCATTACATTATGATCTTCATTTTTCTAACTACTTTTAATTGAAAATTTGCTTTATCTAATATAAGTATAGTTACTCTTGCTCACTTTCGGGTTTCCATTTGCAAGACATATCTTTTTCTATCCCTTTACTTTTAGTCTATACGCCTTTACAGGTAAGGTAAGTTTCTTATAAGTAGTATATAGTTGAATCATTTTTTATCCATTCCTCCAATCCATATCCTTTAGGTGAAGTATTTAATCTATTTATAGTCAAGGTTAATATTGATATATAAGGTTTTGTTCCTGTCATGTTGTTAATTGTTGTCTAGTGGTTTTAGACATTCTTTATTTTTCTGTTTGTCTTTGTGGTTTGGTGGAATTCTGCCATGTTGTCATTTGATTCCTTTCTCTTTCTTCTTTGTGTGATTGTTTTATAGGACCTCTGAGTTTTATGCTTTTGTGTGTTTCTATGATGGTAAATATCATGCTTTCATTTCCATGTTTAGGACTCCTTTGAACATTTCTTGTAGGGCCAGTCCAGTGGTAACAAATTTCCTCAATATTCTCCTGTCTGGGAAAGACTTTATTTATTTTGCATTAATCTTAATATAGCTGGACAGAAAATTTTTGGCTGGCTATTTTTTGTTTTGTTTTGTTTTAATTTTAGTACTTTGCAAATACTATCCCATTCTCTTCTGGCTGGTAAGGTTCCTGCTGAGAAGTCCACTGTTAGTCTGATGGTGTTTCCTTTCCAGTGACTAGATGCTTTTCTCTTGCTGATTTTAAAATTCTCTTTCAAACTGACTTTACACAATATGATGACAACATTTCAGGCTGAGTTTCTTTTTGCAATGTATTTGCTGGGAGATCATTGGGCTTTCCGTCTTTGAATGTCTAAATGTCTTGCTAGAGTTGGGAAGTTTTTGTCAATTATTCTCTTAGATAAGTTTTCTAAACTTATCGGTTTTCCTTCCCCCTCAGGAATACCAGTAATTCATTAGTTTAGTTGCTTTATATAGTTCCATATGTCTCATAGGCTCTAAGCCTTGTTCATTCCTTTTTGCCTTTTTTTTTAATTTTTAATTTTTTATTTTTTTGGTCTGGATTATTTCAAAAGACTTGTCTTCAAGTTCTGAGATTCTGTCTTCTGCTTGATCTAGTCTATTGTTGGGGCTTTTGATTTTATTCTGTAATTCCTTCAATGAACTTTTCAGTTCCAGAATTTCTTTTTTTTTTTTTTAAGATATCTATCAACTTGGTAAATTTCTTGTGCTTATCCTGAATTAATTTTCTGATTCACGTGAATTGGTTTCAGATTTCTCTTGCGTCTCCTTGATGTTCCTTACAATCAATATTTTTAATTATCTGGCATTTTAAAGATTTCTTTTTGGTTAGGGCCTATTGGTAGAGAATTATTATGATCATTTGAAGATGATGTTACCTTTTATTCATCTTTTCTATACCTTTACGCTGCTTTATTCACATCTTGAGTAATAGTCACTTTTTCTCATTTTTTAATTTGCTTTTATAAATGTGAAGGGGGATCTTTTTTCACTTGAAGATATAACTATGATGTATGCTAGGTAAGGCCATTTGGCTTTGTTTCTGGGTATATTCAGTGGCAAAGACTCTATATGGTTTCCTTGGCTGTAAATAGCCTAGTGTGGTGCTTTATCAAATGGCAGGTATAGTAGCAGTGTGCCAAGTGTGTGAGCAGGCTCACAACCTCCTGAGCAGCCAGAAAGGCAATGGTGATAGGGATAGCAGCGATCACTAGAAGCTTTTCTCATTCCAGAGTACTGTGCTATTGTGTCAGCAGTTATAACGGGCTGTGTGGACTGATATCCAGGACAGGACAGTAGGTGGCACTTTCAGGTAAGAACCAGCTGTGGTGGTGGCAGCAGGTTTCATGCCTACTCTCTGTTGGCCAGGAAAGGTACCCAGGTGTCCCAGGTGGTGAGCTGGGTTGTGGAATGCCCAGGGGCCTGGGTCCCACACTCCATTTTAGAGTGCTTGTGGGTGGAGTGGTGGGTGTGAAGCTGGGCAGAAATGGACTATGGAAGACTACATTCAGGCCTCCCAAGGATAGCTGCAAGCACCATCTATGACACAGGTGGCAGGACAGTCCTCGGGCTCTTAGCAAAATGCTTGGGTGAGGGATAACTGCAGCTGCACCAAGGTCTCAGCATGGGAGAGAGGGGCAGTCCCAGTGACAGAGCATTGGCCAGTGGGAATGAATTCTATTCTCTCTCACACTCCAGACCTGGTTGAGCTTTCTCACTCATCCCAACTGTGGCAGGCACTTGGGATAGCCAGGTAGTCACTGCAATTTGCTTCTAGTCTGCCATAAGCCCTGGTCTTAGAAGTCACTGCCCAGGTCAATATTATACCTCCCCAACAACTCTCCTCCTGGTCTTGTCCCAGGGGTTGGGGGAGCCCGATTCTGATGCCAGTGGCAGGTCCCCACGTTATACTCTTATTTCACTTCTGGCTATGGGAGCTCCTCTCCTGTCTGAGCTCCAGTTCTTCATGCCCCAGACTAAGTCTCTCTAATGCCAGAGACTTATGCTGCTGCAAGCTCTGAGGACCCTACACAGCTTACTAAGAGCTAGGATCAAGAATGAAGTTCTACTCTTGGTGCCCAGGCATGATGGCATTCATGGGACATTTCCCAGAACAGTTCCTTCTCACAGTCTCCCAGACACTCCCCAAGCTAGTTTCAATGCTTAGGAGAGTCAAGCTGCTCTCTTATGGCCTGGATTGCACAATTCTCCAGTGGGAAAGTGAACCACAAAGAGACACTCACTCACCGTCTCCCATATTGAGGATTCACATCCAGTCTTCAGTCAATCCCAACCATGTGGGCTACATGCCCTTCTCTTTCACAGACTCCAGATTTTCACTTTACTTTTCTGTTTAACTCTCATGTTCTTTCTTGGATTAATGTTCAAAGTGTGATTGTTTACACATTTTGACTCTTCTAAGTGGATGAGGCACACTGGAAAAGCCTCTAGTCATGCATCTTGGAAAAAAACAGTACATCTTAACAGAAGCCAACATTATTCTATTTCCTCAGCCAAACTCTGATTCAATGCAACATGCTTAAGTCAAGTGTGAATTTGAAATAGAGATTAGATATTTCTGTTTTCTACTTTTTTCTTAGTGTTGAAAAACAGGATGTAATTGTTTGCCAAATCCTCTTGATTTACCCGATTCTGATTAAGACCTTGAGATTAGATGCAAACAGAATGTCATTCAATGAAATCAGACTCTTTAGAGTTTGTTGGTTGTTTTAGTCTCTGCTACATTGACTGTAAAACTGGTCCCAATTCTCCACCCCACCCTGAATCCATGCCCTTGGCAATGTGACTGCAGCTACTTCCAATGTCAACACCTATAAACAGGTGAACTCTATTTCTCCTATCCTGGAATCTTGGCTGGCCTCATGACTTGCTCTAGCCAATAGAAAGTGGCAGAATAGATAGTGTGACACCTCTGAGCTAAACCTACTGAGGCCATGCATGTTTTGATTTTTCAAAGAACTCTCTCCACCTCATGAACAAGCCTAAGCTAACCTGCTGGAGGGTGAAAGACCATGTAGAGGGGAGCCTCGTTGCCTCAGTCTAAGACTATCCTTGACCAGTCTACAGACAGTTGTATCCCAAATATATCAGACAGTTCATTCAAGTTCAGCTGAGCTGCCTGCTTCATCTTCAGCTGATCACAAATATATCAATGAACTCAGTAAAGACCAGAAGAACCTCCCAGCCAACATTGTAAGCAATAATATGTGCTTATTGATTTTTAAGACATTAGGTTTTGCTTTTTTAAAAAAACATGGATCAATAGTTACTGATATTGTTTATATGTATAGATAGTATAAATGAGGCAGGGAATGCAAAACTGGCTCATTGTATGAGGGAAGTTCTTGATGGCATTTGCTTTGGATACTGGAGATCTAACCTAAGAATGAGGTAGGTATTTTACTGCAGAAAAGACTCAGGGGATACCTGATAGCTGAAAGATGCATAAACTGTTCTATGCAGCCATAAAGTATGAAACTGATACCAACACCAGAAAGTTCAAGGAAGACAGATACATAAAACTTCCTATAAGCCCAAGCTATACAGAGATGGGCTAGGCTGCCTAGGAATATGTAGAGCTCTTGTCTTTAGGGGAGACACCTGAAGGGTAAGCACTTCAAGGGGGATGTAATTACTGTGGAATGTGTTAATCACTATTTCTAATTGGTAAAAACATCCAGCTAAGTGATAAAAACATTTCTTGCTTAAGCAAAGAAGACCTAAGATAGAGCTCACTCTCTTCCTCACCCTCACCCTCTCTACCCACGCCCTCTCCCTCCTTTATTTCTCAGACCTTATCTTTTTTCAGTATTGGCTAATTCTCAGGCAAGGTGTCTTCACACATGATGGCCCTAGATTCCCAAATTTATATTTTACTTTATAAATTCTCATAGAAGTACAATTTTTATCAAATAATTTTCAAAAACAAATCCTAGAATTGACTCCACATCATCCCAAACTACATCACATAACCACCCCTGAACCCCAAATGCCCCACTTCCATGTTGGAGCCAAGGTTATGTTCCTGCCTCCAGAGATAATTGAGTTGCAGAAGTCAGCCTCATCTGAACTACATGGAATAAGAATGGAGTGAGGTGCTTCTCTAAACTAAATATGAGAGCTATTATCAGAAAAAAAAGGATGAGTTCTTGCCAAACAAAAAGAGAATGTAGTCTCTACTAAAGTGCAATTCGACTTCCTAATATGTTATTCTGGCTTTTCTTCACAGAAAGAACAAGGTCAGCCTAAAAGACATAAATTCAAGAATGCAGGGAAATAAACTTGTCTTCTTGAGGCAATTCAGTTCAATGCAGTTTAATTCAACAAATATTCATCGAGTGCTTAGTATGTGGTAGGCACTCTTGCAGGTGATTTGGCTCTGTCAGCCAGCCAGCCCCCAGGTAGCTCTTTACCTCCAGCCAGGGCACTACCCAAAAAGGCTGTAACAGGTATGCAGAATTTCCTTTTTTACCTTCCTACTTGTTTGTCTTCTCTCCCTCATGTCTTCTTTTCTTTTTTGATTTTGATCTCAGGGGTAGATGGTTGAGTTGATCATATTCTTAATTTCCTGGCATATTAACATCACGACCCCATATCTCTTATTTTTTAATTATTTGTTATATTGATAATCCCCCTTCTCCATCCTCATCCTTTTCACTCCCATAGGCAACACAAGTGTCTTAAATAAATAGCTTTTTGTTTGTATATGTTTCTATAATAACTATTACAATAAGTGTATTTTTATATGTTGCATTTCTTAATTTTTATAAATTATGTAACATTTTCATGTAATATGCTTATATATATTTGCTAATTATATTTTCTGTTACATATATAACTGTGCATGTATTTATTTCTATATCTTAACATACAAATAGTTTAGTTTTCTACTGCCCCTTCCTGTTCTAGATTTTAAATCCACCCATGTCTCTTTGTTGTCATCTAGAACAGTTTCTTTTAAATGTTGCAGGTGAAATTTTTTTACCTCATAATTGTTTAAGGAGCCATAAAATGTAAGTGTCCTTTAAAGAAGGGACTCACTGTTGTATGTAAATGACAGGCACTGGCCCTGAAAGAAGTCTGGGACTACAGGCGCCGGCCACGAGGCCAGCTAATTTTTTGTATTTTTAGTAGAGAGGGGGTTTCACCATGTTAGCCAGGACGGTGATCCTCCCGCCTGACCTCGTGATCCACCCGCCTCCGCCTCCCAAAGTGCTGGGATTACAGGCGTGAGCCACCACGCCCAGCCAAGTGTCTTTGTTTTTATGAAGCTTTGATATAGGACTTAAGAAGAAATTACTTACGCAGAGAGTGAGGGTACTGGAGTCCTTGGTAAGGTTTTCTTTCTTAGTGAAAAGCAGCCCCAAATCAGTTTCCTTTCTAACAAAGAGCAGCCTGTAAAATCAAGCGGCAGACATAGATGCCAGCAGTTGTGCCAATCATGTTCAAAATGGCTACTCTATCTTCCCTTTTCTTTGTCAGCCACATGTCCAGTAAGGAGCAGACAAGATGGCCTCAGCCAAGGGGAAAGCCTATCTGCATAATAAGATTAGTGTGTGTGGCTAGCCTTCCCCATGTGCTATGTAAACGTCACACCTATTCCAACCCATCTGTGGGCCCTATGTAAATCCCACAATGCCTCTTCAAGCCTGCTTATAAAATTTGGTGGACTCCGGCCAGGTGCGGTGGCTCAGGCCTGTAATACCAGCACTTTGGGAGGCCCAGGTGGGCGGATTGTCTGAGGTCAGGAGTTCAAGACCAGCCTGGCCAACAAGGTGAAACCTTGTCTCTACTAAAAATATAAAAATTAGCCAGGTGTGGTGGCAGGCGCCTGTAATCCCAGCTACTTGGGAGGCTGAGGCAGGAGAATTGCTTGAACCCAGCAGGTTCACTAGAGAGAAGGGCTTTCTTCTATTAAACCTCCACTCCTAAACTCCTCGTGTGTTTCTGTGTCCTAAATTTTCTTGATGTGAGATGATGAACCCCGGGTATTTACCCCAGACAATATAGTCATTTCAGCTTCATTCTAGTTGAGGAAGAGGAACTATAAATAAGTGGAATTGTGTGCAATAGTTTCAAAAAGTGCTAAGTGTAATAAAGCAAATAGAAGAGGGTAATGAAATAAAGAGTTACTGTGGTAGGGGAGGCAAAAAAAAATGGCTAAATAGAACCCTCTAACAATCATCCCCACTCCCCACAAGAACACTAAATTGAACAACTACCCACACAAGAAGGCACATTCATAAGAAACAAAATCAAATGAGTAATCACAGTTTGTGGTTTAACATTATATCCAGGAAAGGGTCCCTGAAGAGGGAAAGAAAGACAGTCTTGAAATGCCAACACTACCCCTCCCCAGTCTCCTGGCAGCAGTCACATGGTGCTGAGGAGAGAGATTTGTGTGACTGGGGGAGGGAGAGCACAGTGATTGTGGGACTCAGTACTGCCCTGTCATAGCAGAAAGCAACACAGACCAGAAATTGGCCAGTACCCACAGAGGGAGCATTTAGACCAGCCCTAGCTGGAGGCAAATTGCCCATCCCTGTGGTCAGAACCTAAGTTCTGGCAAGCCCCACCATCATGGGCTAAAAGGTTCTGGGGTTCTAAATATACTTGAAAGGCAGTCTAGGCCACAAGGATTTCAATGCCTAGACAAACCCTAGTGTTGTGCTGTGCTCAGAGCCAGTGGACTTGGGGTACAAGTGACCTACTGCAATACCACCTGGGGCAGCCAACAGTGGGCTTACATCAACACCCCCTAGTGCCAGGTGGTGCAACATGAGGAGAGGAGAGCAGTGAGTGAAGAGGATTTTGTCTTACAACTAGGATATCACCACAACTACAGTGGAATAGAGCACCAGGTAGAGTCCTGATGCCTGAAATGGAGGTAGGACCTCCATTTCAGGTCCTAGCTCCCAGACCACATTTCTGGACACGCCCTGTGCCAGAAAGGAACCCCCTGCCTTGAATGGAAAGACCCTGGAAGGATTAATCGCCTACTGATTAAAGAGACTGTGGCCCTTAAATAAGCATCGGCAGCACCCAGGCAGTACTCACCATGGAACTTAGGTGAGACCCAGGGCCATGCTGACTTCCAGTATAACCCAGGGCATTCCCAGCTGTGGTGGCCATAGGAAAAGACTCCTTCTCCTTGAGGAAGAGAGAGGGAAGAGTAGAGGTGACTTTGTCTTGCAGCTTGGGTATCAACTTGGCCACGGTGAGGTAGAACACCAAGAGGGCTCCTGGGCCCCCTAATTCCAGGCCTTGGCTCCTGGATGGCAGTTTTGGACCTTCCCTGGGCCATAGCAGAGCCCACTGCCCTGAAGGGAGAGTTTCAGGCCTGGCAACATTCACCACAGCTGATTGAAGAGCCTTGGTCCTTGAGTGAACATTAGCAGTAGCTAGGCAGTACTTGCTGTGGGCCAGGGGCAATGGTGTTCAAGGAGAGAGGTTTCTTCTGCTTGAGTAAAGGAGAAGAAAGAGTAATAAGAACTTTGTCTTGCATCTTGGGTGCCAGCTCAGCTGCAATAGAATAGAGCGTGAAGTAGAATCCTAAGGTTCCCAACTCCAGGCCCTGGCTCCCAGATGGCATTTCTGGACCTGCTCTGGGCCACTGCTCTAAAGGGAAGGCCACAAGCCTGGTTGAATGTCTTGCCTGCTGATTGAAGAATTTCTCCCTTTGGTCTTGAGAGAGCATCAGCAGTAATCAGGCGGTGGTTGCCATGGGCTTTGGGCAAGACCCGGTGCTGTGCTGGCTTCAACCCAGTGCAGTCCTAGAGGTGGTATCCCCTAGAGAGATGCTTGTGTCCTCAGTTCTAGGCAACTCAGCACGGACAGAAAGACTCTGTTTGTTTGGTGGAAAGTAAGGGGATAGAACAAGAGTGTCTGCCAGGTAATACAAGGAATTATCTCAGATCTTAACTGAGACCACCAAGGCACCTTGATTAGTTTGCAAGAGTCATGGAGTTACTGGTCTTAAGGTGCCCCCTAATGCAGATATGGCTGCAGTGACCAAAGACTTAAATCACAACACTCAATTCCCCTTGAATAAATTTGGAAAGCCTCTCTAAGAAGGATGGGTATAATAAACAAGGCCCAGACTGTGAAGACTACAATAAATACCTAACTCTTTAATGCCCATACATTGATGAACATTCACAAGCATCAAGACGATTCAAGGAAACATGACCTCACCAAATGAACTAAATAAAGCACTAGTGACCTACCCTGGAGTGACAGAGATATGGGACCTTTCAGACAGGGCATTCAAAATAGCTGTTTTGAGGAAGGTTGATGAAATTAAAGATAACACAGAGAAGAAATTCAGAATCCTATCAGCTAAAGAGATTTATCAAAGAGGTTTACATAATTAACAAGAATCAAGCAGAAATTCTGGACCTGAAAGATTCAATTGACATACTGAGGAATGCATCAGAGTCTCTCAATTGATCAAGCAAAAGAAATAACTAGTGAGTTTGAATACAGGCTATTTGAAAATATACTGTCAGAGGAGACAAAAGAAAAAAGAATAAACAATGAAGAACACCTACCAGATCTGGAAAATAGCCTCAAAAGGGCAAATCTAAGAGTTACTGGCCTTAAAGAGAAGAGACAGAGAGATATTTGGGTAGAAAGTTCATTCAAATGGATAATAAAAGAGAACTTCCAAACCTAGAGGAACATGTCAACATTCAAGTACAAGAAGATTGTAGAACACCAAGCAGATTTAACCTGAATAAGACTATATCAAGACATTTAGTAGTCAGACTCCCAAAGGTCAAGAATAAAGAAAAAATCTTAAAATCAGCAAATGAAAAGAAACAAATAACATAAAATGGTGTTCCAATACATCTGGCAGCAGACTTCTCAACAGAAACTTCACAGGCCAGAAAAGAGTGGCATGACATATTTAAAGTGCTGAAAGAAAAATCTTTTCTCCTACAGTAGTATATCCAGTGAAAATATACTTCAAATATATAGGAGAAAATAAGGACTTTCTCAGAGAAACAAAAGCTGCGGGATTTCATCAATACCAGACCTGTACTATAAAAAATGCTAAAAGGAGTAGTACTTCAATCTGAAAGAAAAGGATATTAATGAGCAATAAAAAAAATTATATGAATGTACAAAACTCACTGCCAGTCATAAGTACACAAACACAGAATATTATAACACTGTAATTATGGTATGTAAACTACTCATATATTGAATAGAAAGACTGAAAGATGAACCTATCAAAAATGAGAGTTACAGCTTTTGAAAGCACAGTATGATAAGATAGAAATAATGAAAAGTTAAAAAGCAGATGTGATTAAGTTAAAGTGTAGAGTTTTTATTAGTTTTATTTTTACTTGTTTGCTTTTGTAGTCAGTGTTGTTATCAGTTTAAAATAATGGATTAAAAATATTATTTTCAAGTCTCACAGTAACCTCAGTTTAAAAAAAAAGCCTACAACAGATATGCAAAAAAAAAAAAAAATCAAAACATACCACCAGAAAAAATAATTGAATTTTGATCTTTTTCTAGGTTCGGAAAGTTCTCTGTTATCTCTTTGAATAAAATTCTACCAGAATCTCTCTCTCACTAGCTCTTCTTTAAGGCCAAACACAGCAGAAACAAACGAATTTGAAATAAAAAAATACAAAAGTTTCAAGAAAATGAAAAGTTGTTTGCAAAGATAAACAAAAATGGCAACTTTAGCCAGATTAACTAAGAGAAAAGAGAGAAAATCCAAATAAATGAAATCAGAGAGAATATTGTCTTTACAAAATGGAAGACAGGAAGGAAGGAAAAGAAGACTATAAAACAACCAGAAAACAAATAACAAAGTGGCAACAGTAAGTCCTTACCTATCAAGGATAACATTCAATGTAAATGGACTAAATTCTTCAATCAAAAGAAGTAGGGTGGGTGAATGGATTAAAAAATAAAACTCAATGATCTGTTGCCTGCAAGAAACACACTTCACCTATAAAAGCACGCATAAACTAAAAATAAATAAATGGGCAAAGATATTTCATACAAACGGAAACCACAAAAAAAGCAGTATTAGCTGTATTTACATCAGACAAAATAAATTTTAAGACAAAAACTATAAAAAGAGACAAATAAGGTCATTACATGATAAAAGGGTCAATTCAGCAAGAGGATATAACAATTATGAATATATATGTACACAACGGTGTAACACCTCGATAAATAAAGGAAATAGTACTAGAGCTAAAGCGAGAAATAGGCCTAGATAAAATAAAAGCTGGAAACTTCAAAACCCCTCTTTCAGCATTGGATAGAACACCAGCTAGAAAATCAACAAAGAAACGTCAGATTTAATCTGCAATATAGACCAAAAGTACCTGATAGTTATTTACAGAAAATTTCATCCAATGGCTGCAGAATACACACTCTTCTCCTCAATGCATGAATCACTCTAAAGGACAGACTATATGTTAGGCCAAGCAACAAGTCTTAAAACATTCAAAAAACATAAAATCATATTGAGTATCTTCTCTGATCACAATGGAATAAAACCACATAATAAGAGGAACTTTGGAAACAATACAAACACGTGGACATTAAACAACATGCTCCTGAAAGACCAGTAGATCAATGAAGAAATTAGAAAGAAAATTAAGAGATTTCTTGAAACAAATGAAAATTGAAATACAACATATCAAAACCTATGAGATACATTAAAAGCAGCACTAAGAAGAAAATTTATAGCAATATGCACCTACAGCAAAAAAGCAGAGAAACTTCACATAAACAATCTAACAATGAATCTTAAAGAACTAGTAAACAAGAGAAAACCAAACCCAAAATTAGTAGAAGAAAAAAAAATGTAACAGCAGAAATAAGTGACACTGAAATTTTTAAAAATTACAAAAAACAACAAAATGAAAAATCTTCTTGCAAAGATAAACAAAAATACAAACCTTTAACAAGATTAACTAAGAAAAAAGAGAGAATATCCAAATAAATAAAATCAGAGATGAAAAAGGAGACATTACAACTGATACCAAAGAAATTCAAAGTATTATTAGACAGTACTATGAGCAACTATATGCAATTAATTGGAAAAACTCTAAGAAATGGATAAATTTCTAGACACATACAGGATTGAACAATAAAGAGATCCAAAGGCTGAACAGTCCAAGAATAAATAATGAGATCAAAGCTAAAATAAAAATTCTCCCAGTAAAGAAAAGCTCAGACATGATGACTTCATTGCTGAATTCTACCAAACATTTAAAGAAGAATTAATACCAGTTCTACTCAAGCTATATCAAGACATAGAGGAAGAGAAAATACTTACAAATTCATTCTATGAGGTCAGTATTATCCTGATACCAAAACCAGACAAAGATGTATCAAAAAAGAAACCTATAGGCCAATATCCTTGATGAATATTGATGCAAAAATTCCTTAAAAAAATACTAGCAAACTGAAGTCAACAACACATTAAAAAAAACATTCATCATGACCAATTTGGATTTATCCTAGAGATGCAAGGATGGTTCAACATATGCAAATCAATCAGTGTGATACATCATATCAACAGTGAAGGACAATGATCATTTAAATTGATGCTCTATAAGCATTTGATTTTCAACAACCCTTCATGATTTTAAAAAACTAAAAACACTTGGTATAGAAGGGACATATCTTAACACAATAAAAGCTATGTATGACAGACCCACAGTTAGTATCGTAGTGAACTGGAAAAAATTGAAAGCCTTTCCTCTAGATATAAAACAAAACAAGGATGCCCACTTTCACCACTGTTATTCAAAATAGTGCTGGAGGTCCTAGTTAAAGCAATCAGACAAGAGAAAGAAATAAAGGGTGTCCAAATTAGAAAGGAAGAAGTCAAATTTCCCTTGTTTGGAGATAATATAATCTTATATTTGGAAAGACCTAAAGACTCCACTAAAAAAACCATTAGAACTGATAAACAAATTCAGTAAAGTTACAGGATATGAAGTCTGTAAAAATCAGTAGCATTTCTATATGCCAACTGTGAACAATCTAAAAAGAAATCAAGACAGTAATCACAATTACAATAGCTACCAATACAATAAAATATCTAGTAATAAACTTAATCAAAGAAATGAAATATCTCTACAATAAAAAGTATAAAACATTGATGCAAGTAATTGAAGAGGACACAAAAAAATGAAGCTAGCTCATGTTCATGAATTGGAAGAATCAATATTGTTATCCAAAGTAATTTACAGATTCAGTGCAATCCCTATCAAAATATCAATGACATGCTTTACAGAAATTGAAATAATAATCCTAAAATCTATATGGAACCACAAAAGATCCAGAACAGCCAAAGACATCCTGAGCAAAAATAACAAAACTGGAAAAATTACAATACCTGGCTTCAAATTATACTAAAGACCTATAGTAACTAAGCAGCATGGTACTGGAATAAAAACAGACACATAGACCAGTGGAAAAAATAGAGAATCCATAAAGAAGTCCACACACTAACAGTGAACTCATTTTCAACAAAGGTGTCAAGAACATACACTGTGGAAAAACAGTCTCTTTAATAAATGGTGCTGGGAAAACTGGATATCCATATGCAGAAGAATAAAACTAGACCCCTATATCTTGCCATGTACAAAAATCAAATTAAAATAAATTAAAAACTGAAATCTAAGAGCTCAAACTATGAAATTACTAAAACAAAGCATTTGGGGAAACTCTCCAGCACATTGGCCTGGGAAAATAATTTTTAAGAAATACCCTAAAAGCATAGGCAATGAAAACAAAAATGTACAAATTGGATTACTTTATTAAAAAGCTTCTGCACAACAGAAGAAATCATGAACAAATTTAAAAAACAACCCACAGAATGGGAGAAAATATTTGCAAACTATCCATCTGACAAGAGACCAATAACCA
Source organism: Homo sapiens (assembly GCF_000001405.40). Classification (NCBI taxonomy): domain Eukaryota; kingdom Metazoa; phylum Chordata; class Mammalia; order Primates; family Hominidae; genus Homo; species Homo sapiens. Next base: position 11,480,749 of record NC_000020.11, read on the forward strand.
GAATATATAAGGTGGTCAAACAACTCAATAGGAAAAAATCTTATAATCTAATTTAAAAATGAGTAAAAGAAATGAATAGAAATTTCTCAAAAGAAGACATACAAATGGCAAATAGGCATATGAAATGGTGCTCACCATCACTGATCATCAGAGAAATGCAAATCAAAACTACAGTGAGATATCCTGTCATTCCAGTTAAAATGGCTTTTATCCAAACAGCTAACAACAAATGTTGGCAACTATGTGGAGAAAAGGAATCCTCATAAACTGGTGGGAATTTAAGCTAGCACAACCACTATGGAGAAAAGTATGTCAGTTCTATGGAGAAAAGTAGGTCAGTTCCTCAAAAAAACTAAAAATGAATTACTATATGATCCAGCAACCCCCTGCTGGGTATGTACCCAAAATAAAGGAAACCAGTATATTGAAAAGATATCTGTATTCTCATGTTTGTTGTAGCACTATTCAAAATAGCCAAGATTTGGAAGCAACCTAAGTGTCCATCAACAGATGAATGGGTAAAGAAAATGTGGTATATATACACAGTGGAGTAATATTCAGCCATAAAAAAAATGAGATCCTGTCATTTGCAACAACATGAATGGAGCTGACGGATACTTTGGTAAGTGAAATAAGCCAGGCACAGAAAGACAAGCTTCACATGTTCTCATTCATTTCTGGGAGCTAAAAATTAAAACAATTGAACTCAGAGATAGAATGATGGTTACCAGATGCCGGGCAGGATGGAGGAGAAGGGGAAATAGTTAGCATGTACAAAAATTTGTTAGATAGAATGTATAAAATATAGTATTTCTTTTTGTTGTTTTATTTGTTTGTTTGTTTGTTTGTTTTTGACATGTGGTCTTATTCCAATGCCCAGGCTGGAGTGCAGTGGTGTGATCATGGCTCACTGCAACCTCGACCTCCTGGGTTCTAACAATTCTTCAACCTCAGCTTCCCAAAGTGTTGGGATTATAGACATGAGCCAGCATGCCAGGCCAGATCTATTATTTGATAGCACAGCAGGGTAATTACAATCAACAAAAATTTGTTGTAAATTTTAAAATGACTAAAACTGTATAATTGGAATGTTTGTAAAACAAATAAATGATAAATGCTCAAGGTGATTGATGCCCCACTTACCTGATGTGAATATTATGCACTGTATGCCTGTATCAAAATATCTCTTATACCTCATAAATATGTACAACTACTATGTACCCATTAAAATTAGAAAAAAATTATAAAAAGAATTACTGGAATATGAAGTGTAGGTGGTCAGAGAAGGACTTTTGGAGGAAGTCCAGATCTGAAAGGTAAGATGGAGCCAGGAATGGTCTGAAGGCAGGGAGGTCCCATGCAGCAAATAAACAAACACGAAGTATCTGAATCAGAAATACAGTTGGAAATTTTGAGGAATAAAATTGTCAGTGTGTATTGAGCATAGAAAACAAAGGTAGAGAAGTATCAGATGAGCTCAGAGTTAGACAGGTACCACGTTATCTAAGATGTTATAGGCTGGAGTAAGAAATTGGAATTTTATTATAATGTCAAAGGGTAGCATTGGCAGGTTTCAAGCAGGGAAGTGACATTACCTCATTTGCATGTTTTATATAAGATCACTTTAGCAGCTGCATAGAAAATGGGTTATGAGGATGTGATATGTAGAAGTAAGGAGAACAAATATGAAACTATTGCAGGTGTCTAGGGACAGACGGTGGCAGGTGAGATGAGATTAGTAGTAGGAACTATGGTATGAAGTAGTCATATCAAAATTTTGGAGGGATAGCCAACAGGACGTTTGTAGACTGAAAACAGATGGATAAGTAAAAAGTGGAATGTTAGAGGAATCACAGAGTTTACGGCCTGGGACATGTGTAAATCATGATTTTGTAACTGATGAGATAGAGGCAGGACAGTGGAGACAGTTCTGTGGGAAAATCAGTTTGTCTTTTGTGTATGTGTTATTTTTGAAATGCCAATTTGATATCCAAAACTCAACTGTGACAATTATAGGGAAACTTGGATTCAGGAGTTTAATGTGGGAAAACAAGTTATTTGCATTTTCAGTGCTAAGAGCTTTTCTCAGAAATATAATTACAATTTTAGTCATTCTCTTTTAAATTCTATTAGATTAATTATTTGCCACAATCAACATATTCATTTAATAAGACTCTAAAAAGCATGTCATGCATCCAGTCACAACACGTAACATGACCATAGGTTATTTTTAATACAGGCCCTACTAACTTTGTCCTAAACTACACGCTTTGGTGACTGAAAAATGTTTGTCCCATGAAGTGATCTCATGAGTAAATGATGAAGTAGAGATGGAGAAATAGTAGTGAAGGCCTCTGGTCCCTAATGCCCTAGCCATCTCGCCCACTGTCATCCCCGCTAAACACACAGCACAGATTTTGAACTCAAGACTTCTTCCTGTGACTTTATTTAAATATAAGGTCATATAACTTTTTAAAAATTTGTATTCCTTACCCCTAAAGTCTTGCCTTTGTCTGGAATGCTTTATTCTACTGCAATACTTAGCCTTGAGTAAATTTATTTATGCCTTTTATTTCATATCTTTAGTTCTGTCTTGAGGTAAGATGACTTTAGAGATTATGAGGAATGAAACAGCCCTAGGTTCAGAGGCCTCAGACCGGCCTGCAGCTGAAGGAGAGTTAATAAAGAAAACCTGTTATTAAATGGAAGTGCGGTGGCAAGCATATCTGTCACTTTTCCCAATCAATACAGAAGCCGTGAGAATGAGCTCCCATTTCATACATGTTATGTTATAGGGCTGAAGATCTCTCTAGCATTCGTAAAATGACAACGGGATAAGAGCATGCAGTGGCAAAAAAAGAACTATTTATCTGCAGAAGCGCTATAAGCCCTGAGCAGTATTTCCAGAAGCATGTCCTTAAACGTTCTATTAATTTATAAATATTTTGAAGTGACCCTGGATTTCATGTGTGTGTACATTATATTGAGCCAGAGTTTTGATTACTTTCCAAGGAAACCAGTAAGTGTAATAATTTTTATGTAGCAAAACTGCTAGTCATTTCTGCTACACAAAAATCCCCTGGTCACTTTTTGTTATTTGTGTGACCAGGGAATTTTTATGTAGCAGAAATAGCTAGTATCACAAAAAAAAAAAAAAAAAAAAAAAATCATACTATTGTTTCCTTAACATTAGGAAAGTGGCCAGTAGGAAGTGGCTACATGGTTAGCCAGAACCCCCTTGCAGTTAGGTAGGGGCATGTGACAATGTTCTGCTCAATGAAATATTATACAGCAGAAGTGATGGGCACTCTTACAAAACTGACCCATAAACAAATCATACGTATACTTCTCCATGATCTTTCCCCCTTCTGACTGAAATGGGAATATTTCACAGAAAAATCTTGGAAGCCATGTGTTGAAGATGCCAGGGCCTCGGTTAGCCTAGCTCTTTGAATTCCCACAGGAGAAGAGTTGAAGATGCAGACCACCTCTAACATCTCCAAAATTAAACTAAACAGTTTTTACTTACTGTTTTTTTTTCCTTACAGCTTTTAATGGCATCATATTTTTTAGGATATAGGGAATCTAAAAAATACTCTATGCAGGAATATGGCTGATCCTCACAAGATTGGATGAGCTCTGCTGTTACCAAGCCCTTGGCAATTTCCAGAACTATCAGGCTATTGGGAGATGACATCTGTTTTTGTGGCCTGCTCAGCATCCTTAACCTCTTATTTGATAATAACATCTTGGATTGCCTCTGAGGAACTACAGATCTCCCACTGCATACATTCTTAGCAAAGTACCAATCATGGTACTCCACTACTCCATTCTTTCTTGGTCAAGGGTTGAGCAAAAAACAAATCTAAGTAAATCAGACCCTCTGTACCTGAAATCTCTAGGGGTGTGTCAGGCAGAATGTAAGAGGAACTGAAAATGGTTGTCACAAATTCATTTTGACAGCTGCACTCTGAAAATCATTATGTCCTACATCCTAGATCCTCAGATTTATCCTTAGAACCTGAGGTGTTTGTTTGTTTGTTTGTTTGTTTGGTATCTCCTTCAATTCTCTGAACTTTCACATTTCCTTTCGATAAATCCCTTTGTATTTATATTGCTTTATGTTAGTGTCATATATTTGTTAGCTATTTCTGAAAAACACATTACCCTAAAACTTAGTCACTTAAAAACAACAGTAAATGTTTATTTCTCATGTTCTGTGGTTAAGAGCTTGGGAGTGTCTTTAGCTGGGTGATTCTGGCTCAGGGTCTCTCATGGGACTACAGTCAGATGTCAGCTAAACCCGTAATCATATGGTGGTTTGATCAGGAATGGAGAGTCCCCTTCCAAAGTGGCTCACTCAAATGTTTGACAAGTTGGTGCTGGCTATTGGCAGGAGGCCTTAGATTTGTTCTTCATGGGCTTTCTTCTTCTTTTTTTTAATTTCCAATTTCTTTTATGTTAGGTTCAAGAGGTGCATGTGCAGGTTTGTTACACAGATAAATTCCATGTTGTAGGGTTTTGGTGTACTGATAATTTGGTTACCCAGGTAATCACCATAATAACTCATAGGTCTTTTTTCAATCCTTACTCTCCTTCCACCCTCTACCCTCAAATAGGCCCCAGTGTCTTTTGTTCCTTTCTATTGTCCATGTGTTCTCATCATTTAACTCCCACTTGTAAGTGAGAACATGCAGTATTTGGTTTTCTGTTCCTGCATTAATTCACTTAGGATAGTGGCCTCCAGCTTCATCCATGTTGCTGCGAAGGCCATGTTGTCATTTTTTAATAGCTCCATTCTTTCTTGGTCAAGGGTTGAGCAAAAAACAAGTCTAAATCATGGTGTATATATGGTGTTTATATATCACATTTTCTTTATCCAGTGCACCATTGATGTGCGTCCTGGTTGACTCCATGTCTTTGCTATTATAAATGGTGATGCCATGAACATATGTGTGCATGTATCTTTATGGTAGAAGGATAATTATTCCTTTGGATATATAAACAGTACTGAAATTGAGGGATCAAATGGTAGTTCTATTTTAAGTTATTTGGGAAATCTTAGGACTGCTTTCCACAGTGGCTGAACTAATTTACATTCTCTCATGGGCTTTCTTGGGAATCCTCATGGCATAATGGCAGGAGACCCCAGAGCAAGTATCTAGGAGACTGAAGTGGATGATTTTTATGGCTTAGCCTCAGAAGTTATAGATAAAGGAAACAGAGATATGAGGAGGCTATTTTAAATTTTCTAATTAAAAATGGAAGAAAAAAACTGTAATGAGATATTTTCATTTATATGTCATTTATGTCACATTCTATTGGTCAGCCAGTGTGAGTCTTGATTCAATGAGGGAGGGTCTATACAAGGGTGTGATTACTAGGACACAAAGATTATTGGAGGTCATCTTGGAGCCTGATGACCACATAGGGTTAATTTCTGTTTCTTGCAACCACAGAAACCTAGCTGGTGCATCAGATTAAGTTGAAAAAGTGCGGGCTGCTTTCACATATTCTTAATAATTTTAAGAGGTCCTCTAGAAAAATTCAACTTCTGAGAGAAAAGATTCCAATAATTTGGCAGTATTCCTCAGAAAATATGTATTTCTATTAGTTATGTGTTCCTGGCACTGGATTTTGATTATGATGATTATAAAATTTTCAGTTGTAAATGTGTCTCCAAACCATGGGAACTTTTAAATAACAATACTGTACAAATCTTGATGATGGTGAGACTAGGCCCAAGACCACTTTCTTAACCATGGCATGTGTCCATAGTAACTAATCTCTCACATTTCCAAAAGATTAACCATTTATCTGAGCATTTGCAGTAATACTTAGAGACATCAATGCAGATGGTCCCTGACTTACAATAACTCAGCTTATGATTTTTTATCTTTCCCATGGTGTGAAAGCCACATGCACGTAGTACTTAAAGTACCCATACAACCATTCTGCTTTTCATTTTCAGTACAGTGTTCAGTAAATTACATGAGATATGGAACACTATATTATAAGTAGGCTTTGTGTTAGATGATTTCCCCAATTGTAGGCAAATGTAAGTGTTCTGAGCACGATGAAGGCAGGCTAGGCTAAGCTATGATGTTCCACAGGTTAGAGGTATTCAAAACATTTCCAATTTATGATGGGTTTATTAGAATGTAACCCATCAATACAGAGGAGCATCTGTATACCAATACAAGTACTTTTTTTTTCCCTGTGAGTCATAGTATAAGATTAAAGTAACTTCCTTTAGTAAATTAGAACCAAAAAGAGTTGGCCCTGTAATGCAACTTTCTTGTTTTAGAATTGAAGAAACTGAAGCCCATAGAAATTATGCAATGTTCCCATAGCCACCCAGTTGATTGGAAAGCCAGAACTTGAACCAAGGTATCCCAAATTCCATAGCAGTATTTTTTTTTTCTATTACATAAGTCTAAACTGTGCTATTTGACTAGAAGCTTACAAATCAGTCCAGTTGTTCCATTTGGTATTTGATTGACAAGAGCATTTCATACTTCCTTCTGGATTTTATCAAAAGTAATAGTACAGTAAGTATATGAAGAAATTGTACCATATGACTACTTAATCCCTCTTTAAGCAGGATTTGGAGATCTGAGCAGGCAATTCTTTAAGTTTCCAATTAAAACTGAAGAGAAAAAGCATAATGAGATGTTTAAAAGACAATTTATAGGGTGTACAGACTTGTTGTACAGTTCCTTAAGTGAATTACAAAAGCACTTAACTTATACTTGGGATGTGATCTTCAACTCACAGGCAGTGCCCAGTGGTTTTCTGATTTTACAACCGATATACTTGAAGAATACTTGGGAGGCTGTCATTTGGAGTGGGGGAAGATTCTTAAGAGGCAAAAAGCCAAGAGAGTGAGACAGAAAAATAGGTTTTGGTTCTTAACTGGTGAGTTCAGCAAATGGTCTTAAAGATTGCATTTTCTCTAGAGTTCTTGGATAAGCTAAGTTATTTGTAACTGCTTTCCCTGGAACTCTTAGATTGGTAGTAATATTTGGGAGCATAAAGATTCTTTGCCATATACCCTCACCTAAAATTCTAGATCTGAGGATTTCAAGTCTAGCTCCAGTTGAAGGAAAACTAAAGTAGGCTTTCTCAATTCAGCATATTGACATTTGAGTCATATAATTTTTTGTTGTGGGTGTTGTCCTGTGCATTGTAAGATGTTCAGCAACATCCCTGGCTTTCACCCTCAAGATACCAGTAGCAGCCCTCCCCTAATTGTAACAAAAATATCTTCAGACATTATCAAATGTCCCCTGGGGGACAAAATCTACCAAAGTTGGAAATCACTATCCTAAGGGAAGATTCTGAATCATTCACTGAGACCTGAGACAGTCTGGACAAGTATTTTAAATAGCAATACTGTACAAATCTTGATGATGGTGAGACTAGGCCCAAGACCACTTTCTTAACCATGGCATGTGTCCATACTAACTAATCTCTCACATTTCCAAAAGATTAACCATTTATCTGAGCATTTAATAAAGCACAGATTTATTTTCTTGGACACATAACACTCTTCAGGATCACTGAAGTCACTTTCATCAAATGATTATTTTGTACCTGTTATGCCCCAGGCATTGTGTTAGCCACAATGCCCAATCTATACAGTTCATGTCCCTGAGGAGACTCCAACTACTTAATGGTCTTACTGTCACTCAGGCTACAGTCAGACTTATTTACTTCTAGAATTTTTCAGTAATGTTTTTGTCAAACTTACAATCCTCCAAGTTTGGAGCCAAGTCCATAAAACAGAAGTATGTCAAGACAATGTCAATCAATTCACTGGTTCAGTGACAAGACTACCAGATGATGTTTTTGGCTAAAAATTAGCACTCAAACTCATAAACAAATGGAAACAGTCTACACTCTAAAATTAGTTCTGATTTTCTCCTAGATTTCTTGAGAGTTTTGTGAAGAGAGACTTTTCTAAAACTGGAATATGATTTTTGCTCAGATAAATTATGTTGTTCACTTTGCCAGCCTGAGTAGCTTTAAGGGTAGAAGTGGTAACACATGAAGCTCCCTCAAAATTGCTTTCAGGGAGATGAGAGAGATACTAAAAACAGGGATGGAACTGTTCAATTTTTGGATCTGTTGAGCTGGAATCACGAATCTGCTAACAAGTGAAACGAAGCCATTTGTAAAAGGTTCATCTTCCAGGGAGTCCCATGGCAATTTTAAGGCAGATTTCCCATCGAGACCGTAGGATGTCAATTTATGAAAATTGAACTGGATTCCTGAATCGCTCTATAAATTTTAACTAAAACAATACTCCCATTTCAAGTATTTATGGCCTCTGCCTCTCTTGGCTTCAGATCGTCAGAAGTACATATTTGGAGGCATTCAGAAACTTACAAAAACAAAAGCATGCACTTAAAACTTCTTTTTTAAATCACCGACTCACCCTCTAGCTAGAGAAGAAAATCCCAACAAATCAACTGGAGACTTAGCAAGAAAAGAAGTACTGGAGGAGGTTTTAAAAGGGAGCAGGAAAACAGAGGTGAAAATAGCTTCTAAGTCATCAGAATAGATCTTTCTGCATGCAGTGAAAGAATTTAGGTGCAACATATATCCTCAAAACCTTGAAAAAAATGTATTAATGGGAAAAGGGGTTTAGTTCAAAGAATGTGGATTTTGAAAACACAGTAATGTTCACGTTTCAACTTGGCCATTTATTAGCTATGTAACTTTGGGCAAATTACTCAATCCTTTAAGTGCTGGTTCTCCCAATCGTAAAGTGAAGTTTTAATCCACTACTTAAGGGTGTTTTAAGGACTAAATGTGATAATATATTTAAAATGTGTTTTGCATGACCTATGCCTCTTACACTGTAGCCACAAATTTAATTATTGGTTTGCTTGTTTGTTTGTTTGTTTCCATCTGGACTAAGTATGAGGATAAATTGTGGTAGACAAGAGTAAAACTGAAATGTAGAGAGGAATGAAACTTCAAAATAAATATTGGATATATATACATAATAAATATATATATATCGTATGTACACACATATACATGTATATACATATATTATATATACAATATACATACATTATATATACATATATACATATATTATATATACTATATACATACATTATATATACATATATACATACACACTTATGTGTATGTATGTATATTTGATGCTATGAATACACATATGTAAAGCAACAATGCTGTGTAATCACAGGAATATGAGCACCAGAATTAGATCATTTCTATTTGAGCTTTGAATCTACCACTAACTGTGTTATCTTGGTTAGGTTATATCACATCTCCATGTCTCAGTTTCTTCAACCTTAAACTAGGGAAATTATATTTGCTACTACAAAAAATTGTGATGGGGGCTCTCAAAGGTAATGAAAGTCAAGTAGTTAGCACCTAAAAAGCTCTCAGTAAACAATATTATTATTTTAGAGACAACGATGTCCACAGCTCATGATGGCAGTACACGTATAACATTTCGTTTCTGTGTATACATCTGTACATCATGTTTTTGGGTATCATCCTAATAAATTTAAAAGTCTCTGTTTATCAAATTATAATAAAATTTGATATGATAATTTCTTCTGTCTGTTATCAAAGTCAAAATTTGTCTTTATGCTGTATTGTTCAGACTCTAGCTTTAAGAAAAGCTAAGAAATTGAGCCCAAAGGGATTCCTCTCCAGCATTAGCCCTTAAATGTATGATTTCTGTAGCTGGCTGCTGTTTTGTTGTTTCTTGCTGTACATTATCTAGCCTAATGACAAAGCTTAATTAACACATTTTATTCTATTAAAGTGCTTTGTTTTGCAAATACATTTGGAGGGATTTTTGTCTTTTACATAAAGAACTCACATTTATTGTGTATTCTTCCCCCTACAATACACACCCTAAAATTTGAATAAGAAACAAGAAAAACAAGGAGAAAGGCAACTGCCACAGACATTTTATGCAAGCAGAACTGGTTTTGTATCTGATATGTTGAGTAAAGCAAAGCAAGTAAAAGTGGGGGACAGTGTCATTGGAGATATGTTTATAGCTTTGGGGATGGGGTGGAGAAAGGTCAAGGGGGTTTATATAATCCAGGACAGGAAGAAAGGAATATACTATTACATGAGCAAAAAAATGAGGAGCACTATTTATCAGACCAGATCTTGAATTTTATATGCTTTATTTCATTTAATCCCAAATCAATTTTGTAAGGTAGGAATTATTATTATGACCAATTTATAGCTCAGGAAACTAGATCGTGAAAAGATGAAATACTTGGCCAAGGTCACAGAACTGATTCAATGCAGAATTAGGACTAAAAACATCGTCTGCTGAGGTTAGACTCAGCTCCTCTTCTTAATTTTTTTTTTTTTTTGACAATGGCACTTCAAAGTTAATGGCATTTTGTCCATTTTCCTGAGAAGAAAACAAGGTTTAGATAGCATAAGTGACTTTCCCCTTACTGACAACTGGGAAAAGCCAAAGTTTTGATCCAACTATGTATCTGGGTTCATACTGAGTCATAGAAAACTACTTGCTATTTTTCTAGCTATGGAGTATCAATATGGTGTGTTGGATTTCCCTTCAAGGGAGTACACTCAATGAACTGCATTCAACTTGGGGAAAAAAGAAAAGACTAATAGCCAGAACTGAGTGCAAAAAAGTGACATGAGGAAGTTTGTGATAAGACTACTTTTCTCATAGGTGCATGCCTTCCCTTCAGTTGACTGGTCTCCATGTGTCTATATCAGTTAGCGACTGCCAGGTAACAAAATACCATAAAATTCAGTGGGCTTAAGTTGATAACCCTTTAGTGTTGCTCAAGAGTTAAGGAGTCATCTGGCCACGTCTTCTGGTCTTGATTGAGCTGGCTTACACATCTGTGGTCAGCTGTGGGTCAGGCACAGCTGTGCTGGTGCACACTGTGCATTCTCTGTGCTTAGGAAAGTCAGCTGTTGGCTAGGATACTTTGTTGCACCTCCAACTGGCCTCTATCTACCAGCTAGCCTCAACTTGTACATAATGATGGCAGAGTTCTAAGAACGCAAGCAGATACCACAAAAACTCTTGAGGCCTACATGCGGAGCTAACACACTATGCCTTATCTGTATTTCATTGACTAAAGCAAGTTGTGAGGACATCCCAGATTCAAAATGATGACAAAGGGGATCCACTGCTGCATATGAGGAGCTGTAATGTCACATTGCAAAGGAGTAGAAAATTTTTCCTTCTTCGAAGTTAACCTACCACACTGCTCTCATAAAAATGATCAGCCAAATGTGTTCTCACTAAGATATAAATGGATTATGGCACTTGTTGCATGACCGCCTTGTGAATGTTTGCATTTTTGATGTAAAAGTATTATAGAAAGACTTCTACCATTATTTGATCACTTCTAGCAGCCCCAAAAGACATTTTTGAGATTAACAAATAACTCTTTTTAAAAATATATGCCTAACAAATATCTATAGATAAATCTCAAAATCTGAGAATGAGGCATAATTTCTTCTCTCTCAAGGCCTACAATTAAATGGGAAAAACACAACATTTATAAAAGGGTTAAATAAGCTGGTAGGTTTTTCTACAAATAAGGTAAATACATGTTTACCCTTTCTATCCTTTTGATTATACCACCTTACTGAGAACAGAACAGAATAACCAACTCTGGGAAATCCTAAAATAACACTTGAAAAGGAGGCAACAGAGATGAAAAATGGCCACCTAATTTCTTGTTTATGTCTTAAGGAATAAAAACCATGTGAAGGACTGGTCTGCTTATTGAAAGGAAGCATCTTGTGGTGTCAGGAAAAAAAGCCCAACTGGTAGGAGAGGGCTGTGTTGATTAGGGCTACCTCAGAACACATGTTAGACTGATAAGGTCTAGAAAGAGCTGGGAGTTTGTGCTAAGAGTTCCCACTTCCCTTTCCCTTAAGAAAAAAAAAAAGCTAGCATATATATATGCATATATATAGCTAGTTTTATATATCAAAAGCTATATATCACTTTTTAAAATATAAAAAGTATATCTATGTAGATGTAGATATCTTTTTATTCAAAGGATAACCATGTTACAAGGAAAAAGACTGATAATACCAAAACTTAGAGGATATATGGAGCCATTGCAAGTCATACACTACTAATGGAAGAATAAATTGGTAAAACCACTTTGGAAAACTGCTTAATAGTATCTACTAAAATTGAGCATATGCCTTCCTCTTGACACCAAAACTTCTCTTCTGAAAATATGCCTAATAGAAATGTGCACATATGTTCACTAGTAGACATGTACTAGCATGCATATAGCAGCACTATTTGTAATAGCCCTAAGTAGGAACCAAACCACACCTGTGCAGGTAGAAATCAGGATAATGGTTACCTTTGGTGAGGAATGTCTGGGAGGGAGCCTCTGGGGGCTTCTGAGTGTTGACAATACTCTATTTCTTGATTTTGGAGAAGGTGTGTTCATTTTATGGCAATACATCCAGCTGTTCAATTATGATATGTGTGCTTTTCTGTATGTATATTATATTGCATTTTTTAAAAATAGCCATATTGTAAAGAAGTTAAAAGTCTAATTGAATAAAAGTAAAATGAAAACCCACAGTGCTAAACAAAGCAGAGGCTAGCACATTGCCAGCCTTCAATATCAGAAGCCAGCAGAGGCATCCAAGAGTTGAATTTCTGTGGGTCAACTGGGACCAAATGCCCTGCATAAGTAGCAGAGTACCACAGGCTCACCAACTGAACTTCATAAAACTGGAGCGAGCTGGGTGGGATTTCACTGTTCATGAGGGGAGACTGAAGAAGGCTGAAATTCTTGCCTGAAATGGTGACTGCAGATAGTTGACTGGTTGACAGAGTGACATATAGCAGCCATGCACAGAACTTGTGGAAGCCTAAGACTGGCTCACTGATGGAATCACTACTCCCCTAATAGCTATGGAGCAGAAGTTATGAGACCCAATATAAGTTCTGGTTCTGGACTGAGAATCCATGGGGACTCAGGTGGGGGCAACTGCAAAACAACCAGGGAGAAATGAGCAAGAGAAAGACAGAGGGAAATTTTAAAAGATCTTTAAGATAAATATACAAAATAAAATTTCAAAACAAAGGACAAAAATTAACAAAAGAAAGTGAATAACAGCAAACAAGTAAGAGATGAAATGACTCTTGAGAGAATGAAATGGTAGCCTACTCAACATAATTTTTAAAAGGACCTTTATGTCTCTGAGAGATAGAATAAGAAACAACATCTGTAAAATATATTAAAAGTTTTAAAACAAATATATTAAGAGTGAATATGAAGGAAGATAAGATTGAGAACAGATGAATATAAAACATGGCAAAGGACTAGCTGATAAAAATGTATAAAATACATGCAACACTTTATAATATCCCAAACTGGAAAAATAATCTAAGTATTTATCAATCAACTGATGGATATGTTGCTTATCCATCAAATGGAATTTGAGCAATAAAAGTGAACACATTACTGTTATGTAAAGGTAATTACTACAACATGAATAGCCCTTAAAGCTATTATGCTAAGTGAAAGGAGCAAGACATGAAAGCCTACCTATCATACGATTCTATTTGCTATGGTTTGACTGTTGCACTCCCTGAAAATTCATGTATTGAAACCTAGTCAAAAATCTGATGCTAAGAGGTGGTGGCTTTGGGAGGTGATTAAATAATAAGGACAGAGCCCTCATGACTGGAATTGTTACCTGTGTGAAAGAGGCCCAAGAGAAACCTCTCACCACTTCCATAATGGGAGGACTCAGTGAGAAGGTGCCATCTATGAACCAGGAAACAGGCCCTCACCAGATACTGCATCTGACAGTACCTTAATCTTGGAGGTACTGTCCTGGCTTCCAGAACTACGAGAAATAAATTTCTGTCGTTTATATGCTACCCAGTTTATGATATTTTGTTATAGTTTTTATATATATGTTTTATATGTGTTATAGTTTTTATATATATATAGTGTGTATATATATATAAATATATATATGGTTTTATATAAATGGTGTCTAAGTCTGTTTATATATATACTGTTTTTCTATATATACTCTTTATGCATATATGTACATACTGTTCATATATGTGTATATATATATACTCAGTATATATAGAGTATATATATACACATATATATACTGTGTATCTATGCATATACATACTGTATATATGTATAAATACTGTATATATGTGTGTATATATATACCATATATGTGTGTGCATATACTGTATATATATGTGTGTGTGTATATATATATAAATATATATATGGACTTAGACACCATTCATGTACAACATCCAGATAAAAGCAAATTTATAGAGAGACAAACTCTTTCACCAGGATTTCTGATTCTCTTATTATCTCTTTGCAAGTACTTTCGAAAGTCTTCTAAAAGTCTTCTTAGAACATTTTGATATATAAATAAGCAAGAACAAAAATTGGTGTGTATGTATGATTTGTGAGTGATAGAAAGACAGAGACAAATAGAGGGTGAGAGACAGAGGGAGGAAGGAAGGGAGATATTTGTTATCATTTATCTGATAATATTCAATAGGAACTCTGTTGTTCAAAATTCCTCCCATTTAGATACATGGGAGAAAATGTGGTTTAGCCTATTAAGACCCACATGAACAGGCTTACTGCCTTCACTAATGCCAATAGTTTATTGGAAAAGAGGAGGTTTTATCTGAAAGAGGCCAATAGTTTGCCTGCCTGCATTTTTTCTTTATCTGTTTTTGTATAGACAACATCTTAAAATGTTAGATTTGCTCCACTTGGAATAGTTTCATCTGGAGCAAATATATAGTCCCTTGGCTTTAAAGAATGGGACATTCAGAGCTGATCACACCCTTGGATTCAATAATCAAAATAGCCAAATTTAATCTGAATATGACTAGAGACATTGTGTGTCTGCATCCCATGTAAGTCTATTAAGGACTGAGCTTAAGGCATACAACCTAGAGGTTTCTTCCAGTGATTTTCAGTCTTAGAGTTTAGGAGTTGAACCAAATAGATTTCTATGCAATGTCAATAGATGGAGAGTTCACTTTCTGTCCAAGTCCAAGTAAGTCCACTATGTTGATATCTGGGACTAGGACCAGAACCTTGCATGCACTTAATAGTTGAAAACAGAACTTCCTATTTTTAAAAAAAAATGAGACCAAGGAAAAGGTTTTTCTTTGAAGTTTTCTATAAAACCTCATGGGGTGGTTATAAGGATTTGTGAAACATTAAATATCTTTGAG
Organism: Homo sapiens; assembly: GCF_000001405.40. Classification (NCBI taxonomy): domain Eukaryota; kingdom Metazoa; phylum Chordata; class Mammalia; order Primates; family Hominidae; genus Homo; species Homo sapiens. The sequence goes on from NC_000020.11 coordinate 11,496,026, forward strand.
TTTGGAGAATTGGCATTGTAGCAGTACAAAATTGTGTTCCTTTTTTTCTCCTTTTCTTAATAACCCCATTACATGACCTTCTAAAGTGTTTGTTCCCTTAGGAAACATAAGATGATTTGCAATATTCTGTAATAAAACTTGGAAAAGATAGTCATAGCGCTACTTCAATAATTATGAACATTGCTTTTAGCTGCAATTTTCCAACAAACCGTTCATACAGTAATTGTGAATCCTGGAATAATGCTTTGGCCTAGAGTACAAATGTCCCCTCATGTTGTTTGTGGTATGGGCTCAGCATTCCTGCTCCTTGGGTATCCTGAAGCTTTGTCACTTGGCACATGAATGATCTTAATCTCTAAACTGGATCATGAAAACAAACAAGCATTATGGCCTTATTCCTGGAAGTACAGATCTCTTCCTGGCTAGGGCTTCTCCTTCAACTCCAAGAATCATCCCACCCTCTCCCAACCGGCACAGGATCAGCTTGTTTGCTCACTGAAGACTCATGCTTCAGTGAATACTGTGATTGAAGTTCCCAGTTGGTGCAGTCAACATTCCAGTGTTCTGTGATGATTGTGAGCCAGCATCTGTCTGCTGATGGCAATCTCTCCGTGGCTTTCTCACAGCTCCACCTTCCCCTCCACTCACATACATTCCCCCAACACCAGGGCTCCAAGAGATGTGTTTCTCCAGAGTGACCCATGCACCTACCTGTCATAGAGACAGATTGTTTTCTTGTTAAGAGATGGTCACCAGGTTACGTCCTCAGATTTCTGGAAGGAAGAATATTTCTCCTCCTTTTTGCTCAGCCAAAGGACTTCTAATTAAGATTTTTTTTTTCTTCTTTTGAGTTTTCATTGTCCTCTTGGCAATCAGACAGAACATAGCCTGACCACTTAGGTAACTTTACAGAGAATAAATGAAAGCTGGACAGTTTATGAAAAACTAAGAAAAGCTGAGCTGCTTGACGGATTTCTAAAGAAGAACTGCTTTCATGAAGCAGGAAAGAAAGTACAGATATTTGTAATGAAACCAGGAACTTCAGGGCCATTCAGCCAGAGGCTACAGACCCCCACAACGGTACTCATTTTGGAGACAGCACAATTAATTTCAATTCTACAAATACTGCATAGAGAAACAAAGAGTGAAAAGAGCAAGAAAAAGAGAGCAAGAGAGAGAAAGAAAGAAGGGAGAGACGGGGGAGGAAAAAATAATAAGAGTAAGAAAAGAGGGGTAAAGGAAGATGAGGATTTCTTTTCCCCAATTTGCTTATAGCAGGTGTTAAAAACAGTCCAGGGAATCTAAAGAGGTTCAACAAAATTGTATTCAGGATGCTGAGATGGGAGGATCATTTGAGCCTGGGAGGTCGAAGCTGCAGTGAGCAATGATAGTGCCGCTGAACTCCAGCCTAGGAAACAGAGGGAGACCCTGTCTCAAAGGGAAAAAAAGAAAAAAGAAAACACCTCAAAAACTTACTAAGATGAGATTTGGTGCACACTTGGTGCATGGAGTGTTCCTGTTTGTTAATCTATGCTCAGGGACTTGCAAATTTCAAGGACAGCATCTATAAACTCATGAGGGTTTGCACCCTAGGCAAATAGCTCTCATGTCACCCTAGTATTCTGCCACTTTTTAGCCAGGCTGATGACTGAAATGTCATTTTACTTGGTCTTAGTCCTCATCTGGGTGAAAGCCACAAGGACCCTCTTTCTGATGATGTCAGCACAATTTCCAAATATTTTCCCAGCTTAACTCTGGCATTTTTGTCTATCTTTTTGATGGGCTTTATGAGTCAAGAAAATGAAGAAGCTTTTAATGATTATGTTCTCCTTGGATTGGACTGGGTTGCCATTGTGATTCCTCCACACTTGGTGGCAGCGCTGATGAACAAAAACAATGGGCTTTTTTTCTAGGCTTCTTTCAGAACGCCTTAATAGGAAACACATTCTGCATTCCCCATGTGCATGTTTTCAGTGAAAATCTTTATTTAATTTTAGTAGAGAATTCAGTCCAAGGGTTCTTCCATGTAACAAAGGGTAGTACTGATGGGAACACATCCCTGGAGGAAATTTTAGATGTAGATTCCTCAGGGGGCATCTAGGAAAGCAACAATGCTTAGGTCCCCAAATCATGTTGGTATTTCTGAAAAGTGTTCTGCTCCCCTTGGGTATGGATTTTTTTTTTTCTAACCAAAACAGATAAAGAAGAAAGCAAAGAAAGAAGACAGGAAGGAAGAAAAGAGGGGAAAAAGGAAGGAAGAAAGAGAGGGAGGAAAAGAGAGAGGAAGGGAGGGTGGAAGGGAGGGAGGGATGAGAAAGGGATGGAGGGAGGGAGGAAGAGAATGAAATTCTTTAAACTAATCGTTAATCTTTAGGAATTCATTTTCATTCTTACCTTCACTTTCCAAACAAGAAGTTCCAATCTGTTCCAATTGATAATTTAAAGGGAAGACTCTGCCAGCTGAGCAAAAACAAAGGGTAGGGGGTGTTGAGAAAAACTTCTTAAATGTTTTGTTGCAGCCAGCACTGGTGCCTTCTGGATACTAGGGATACCAGGGTCATTCAGGGATATCTAACTTTCTGTTCATTTCTGAGAAACAAACTTCCCCTGGATTCCTTCTTTCTCTTTGGCTTCACCTAATTCTCCTCACCTGTTTTCAGCAGTGAGGAAGCTCTTTATTTTACCCAGAGTCACTGTTTCCCCCAGCCCTCTTTGTACTAGAGAATCTGGATACCTCCACCTGCAGCCTGCCACCCTGCATACTCTGATACTATGTGTCTTGGAAGCTTTGCCCTGAGGAACCATCCAGAGAAAGTTCAGCCATCCTTTTTGTGGGTTTATGCCCCGTTAAAACTGGGATTGGAAGCATGTTTCCATGTTTCCATCTGTTAATTACCAATACACAGCTTGACATGCCTGTGGGAAGCCAGGAGCCACTTGGAAAGGTGTGGGCAGAGGATTCATCTCATCCAAGCAGCCCCCTAACACATGACTGCTGCTACGTGTCATTGTATATAGTTAGATTGACATGGGCATAAAGGAGCAAAGGAGAAGCCCAATCCCTACTGTCTAAGGAAAGCACCGGTGCTATTAAGCTATTTGAACTTTCCCTATCACAGCCTAAAAAGCACTCAGACATTTTTATCAGCATTCCAAGGCAAAGATTCATTGGATAGAGTATTTTTTCCCCAACGTAATCCAGATCTCCCTTTAGAAGACGCTGGGAATTTACACGAGAAATGGGGCAGGCCATGAGCAAAACAAAAAAATGACTGATATCCTTCTTCGGCTTTCATGAATTTTTCTTTTAGCTTTGGCCCCCACCTCTACTACTGATCAAAATTCCAGGGCTTATAAAGTGCTGGTGCTCAGCTAGGATTACGTTAGGATAACAGAAAGTTGAGTCACTACAGGAAGACACTGAAGTTGGCTTAAAGGCTTAATTATCTCCACCCAGACCTACATTTATGCATAAAAAGCTACCAAGCTAGGTAAATCTTTAACAGTAGCATGGCAGGCTGTGCCACACAAAGAATCTTAAGTCATGTAAATCAAATTATAAAGAAGATTTCTGCCTTGATATTTCCAGAAGACCAGTCTTGATCAAAATCTCAGGTGTCCAGTTTTGGAGCTTCCCATGTGGTGAAATATTTGACAACCAGCTTTGAGGGCTCGTTGCTTCCCTTTGAAAACACCACAGACCTGTGGGATTTGAAGAGCTATTATCTGAGTCTTAGAGATGGGGGTGACATCCTTTTCCCACTATTAGCCCAATCTCTAATAATTGGCTCCATATAGACTGAATAATTTCTTAACCATACTTCTTTTTCAGGTTCCTGTCTCATTTCATCTTGAAATCAGAGTATTAGAAAAATCCAAAGTTATTCAGTGTTTCCTGACTAAGGAAACCTCACAATTTCTAAAAGTCAAAAAAGTTCAAATATTCCCCCTATCAACAAGCACACTTGCCAGTGGTATTTCAAAATTAAAATGAAAAACAGTAATGATAGAAGTGCTGCAGCCTCACTCCTGGCATGAACAAAATGCTAACAAAATCTCTTCTTTCTGCTTATCTTCAGATGCAGGGTATATGCTAATATGTATTTCAGGGCAAACTAATGTCAAGGGAGGGAAGGCAGTTCCTGTCTTTTTGCTATTTTTTAAGCAATCCTCTCCAATAGGGCTGCTTCTGAAAATAAGTTTCTAATTAAACTTCCCATACTATATTGCAGTTAAATAGGGTAAAATTTGCTGTTTGATGTATTGAGAAAGCATGCAAACATTAGAAGGCAATGTGAAGGTTGCTAGAAGCAATGTGAAACCACAATTTCCTAGGCATTACGAGTAATTATTAGCAGGCAAGTTGTTGAGTTCAACCAGAAAATGCTTTAGTTGTATCTTGTTGTATATCAGGAACAGCCTAGGTTTGCATTCCATGTAAAAGGAGAAGAGACCACTGTTCCAGTTGGTTTTCCAAATAGAAGTGAAGAAACCATGAAGATGTCCCTATATCCAGTCCCTTAGCCAGGACCAGTTCAGTTGGAGCATGGACAGTCAAGGAGGCTGGAGTTCTCCCAGTAAAGGATAGTGTAAGGTTTGGACAGTGTGCCTTTTTACTAATTTTGGCAAGAACATCTTCCAGTAACAGAAAAGATATTATACATATGGTAAGTAGATGGTTAAAATCCAGTCCTGACTCTGCCTTGTCCTTTTTTGAATGGGTCAATGTGTCAATTATTCCCTTCTAATGCCTTCTGGGTTTGGGAAGTGTTCAAACTATCTTTCCTTCCTGCTGCAATTAGATTTTTATAATGAACACATGTAAAGGCCTGCCTGATGATTCAAAGATATTCTATTTTCTCTTGGCCTTGCCTGACTTACATGTCCTAATGATACCCCTGCCCCGGTATCCTTTAGCCTTGATTCCCCATGTGTTTCCTTTTCTGGAGATGGCAGAAAGGCTCCTCATTCTGCTTCCAAACCTTGAGCCTGGAAGAAGTTCTCCCAGGTCAAATCTCTGAGGAAGAACTACCCTACCACTCTAAAGAACAGAGTCACTTTTCTTCCAGCTCTTCCTAGCGTTTCCTTTAAAAAAAAATCCTCTATATCTATGGCTGTCAGGCAAAGGACTTAAATAAATGAAATGTATATACTAACACTGTTGCTCCTTTAGCCCAACATAACCATGCCTTTTGGCCTTAAAAGGATTAAAAGGTAATACTCTGTTCCTTGACTCTGGGATACAGATCTATTTTAATAATGACATGTGTCTTCTTATCCCTTGTTCCAGCCTTTTTGTTTTCCTTATATATTATTGTTATTAAACATACTATTAATTCCACTTGTTTATTTTGTTTCTGTCTCCCCCCACTAAGTTGTAAACTCTGTGAAGGTAAGGATTTTTATCTGTTTTATTCACAGTTGTATATTTAGTACTTAGAACACGGGTGTGGCATATAGTATGCCCTGAATACATGTTTGTTGAATAAGTGAATTCCATAATGTTAAGTATTAGATGTGATATCAAGTAACCAGCAATCATCCACTGTATTTACACCACCAGGTCGAGTGCTCAAATACATCAAAGGAATGTGTGACTGCCAGTGTCAGCCTAAGGCACCTACTTTCCAGAGATAAGAATGGAACCAACTCTTACTCCTTGCTTAAAGGAAGCCCATCATCATTTCTCCTAGATCCTAGGGAGAAGGAGGATCTATTCCCATGGTTGCCTCTCACTCTGAACATCTGCTTCTCCCTTGGTCTTGGGTCATCTTGCCATATCCCCATTCTGAACCAGAAGGATCCAGATTTTGCATTCATCTACAGTCACCCACAGGGTGTTAATGGAAGATTAAGGAGATAATTCAGGACACACACGCAATCCTAAGTTAAATTTTAGAGATAACTACTCTGAACAAATTCTTTGGCAAATTTGCCCTATTGCCAGACAATCTTCCTATTTTTCCCGTTTTGCTCTCTGGTCCCTGATCCCAATTGCAGCTTAATGATAGAACTGGAACAATCTGAGGAGTCAAGTAAAATGCATCTCAAAAATGTCCATCTCAAGAACAGAAAATGGGAGCATATAGGCACTGGATCCCATGGCTCTGTTGGTCAAGTATTACCCCCTGGGATATTAAACTCCCTTCCATTCCAGGCTTGCACAGGCTGAGCAGATTGCCAATGGCCAGCCATGCATAAAGAAGCCACAGGGCAGACAGCAAAAGAAACTTATCTTGTAGCTAAAAGGAAGTTCTGCCAAGTTACACATGTGCAAAGTATTTCGCCATGGCAGTGGCTAAAATAAAATATGGTCTAGGGAACTAAGAGGGAAGGTATAAGAGATATCCTTTATAAGGGGAAACTGTAATGGCACTTCCCACACCAGAAGAATTAAGACAATAAGAAAAGAACAATTTTTTTCAATCATGATATATATTTATATTTATATACATATACATATAAATGTATATGTGTGTGTGTATATATATATGTATTTTTATACTTTTTTTTTAAAAAAAGAATGCTAAACTTTCAGTTCCAGTAATAGTAGAACAGGTTCATATAAATCCCCTGCTGAGAACCACCACAAAAGCTGGTTGAATTACTAAAACAAACAAAAATGTCTTGAAAGCATCAAAGACCTCAAAAGATAGGAGAAAAAAATAAAATAAAATAAAAACCTGTGCAATTTTTGGAGAAGACAATACCCAGAGATGTAAGCACAGTTAATCAAAGTTCCTTTGGCCTTGAGCACAATTTTCTAATCCCAAGAAAGAAGTCATAAACCTAAGCTGAACTTTTCATAGCTTCACAGGGATAGGGCAGAAATCAAAGTCCAGACCCTTCCAAGGCTGGGAAACCTGAAAAATCACCCCTCCTTGAGCAAAAGTCAAAAGGCTTATTTCCTTCAATGAGAATAACACAGTAATAATGGCCTTGCCTAGAGTACTTCCTTTCACCTGGTGATTTAGGGCACATCAGGCCTTAAGCCTAAATTCAGGTTATCTGGGGCTGGTGAACCTCTGGGGCCCATCTATCCTTCCTTCCTCCCTCCTTCCTTCTCTCTCTTCCTCCTTCTCTCCCTCCCTTCCTTCCTTTCTGCTTTCCTTCCATCTATGGAGAAATTGTCATTATTCTAGGCCTCAAACTTTTCCTGTAAATAATACCTTAAATAAATGTCCATCATTTGAAAACTACCAGGAAACAACAGAAATGTGGCTCATGGAGCAAGCAGAAGTAACATACAACAGAAATCAATTCACAGGGACTCCAGTCACAGATAATATCATAAATAGTCACAGAATAGTAATTGATGACTAATCAGCAACACATAAAATGGTCAAAAAAATTAACAGTGTACTTGGAAACTTCAGTAGGAAAATTGGAAACTGTAAAAAAAGATTGGTAGATTCCAAGCGTTTAAAAATTTCTTATCACAGAAATTACTTAAAAGTGTGTTTAAAAATGAAGAAAATAATACAAAAGATCAATGAAAAAAAGGTTTTTTTAGAAGATAAACAAAATGGACAAACCTCTAGCCAGACTAATGAAAAAGAAAGGAAGAAACCCAAATAAATAAAATCAGACATGAGAAAGGAGATATTAGTGTAGTTGCTTTAAAGTCTGTTTTGTCTGATATAAGAATAGCTACTCCTGCTCAGTTTTGGTTTCCATTTGCAAGAAATATATTTTTTCATCCTTTTACCTTGAATTTATATGAATCCCTATGTCTTAGCTGAGTCTCTTTAAGACAGCAGATATTTGGAAAAGAAGTTCATTATGTAATGATAAAAGGCTCAATCCAAGAAGAAGATATTACAATCCTAAATTTATAGGTACCTAACACTGGAGCTTTCAGATTTATAAAACAATTACCACTAAACCTAAGAAATGAGATAGACAGCAATACAATAATAGTGCGGGACGTCAATACTCCACTAACAGCACCAGACAGATCATTGAGATAGAACGCCCATAAAGAAACAATGGACTTTGGCCGGGCGCGGTGGCTCATGCCTGTAATCCCAGCACTTTGGGAGGCGGAGGCGGGTGGATCACAAGGTCAGGAGATCGAGACCATCCTGGCTAACACGGTGAAACCTCGTCTCTACTAAAAAAACAAAAAATTAGCCGGGCGTGGTGGCGGGCACCTGTAGTCCCAGCTACGTGGGAGGCTGAGGCAGGAGAATGGCGTAAACCTGGGAGGCGGAGCTTGCGGTGAGCCGAGATCACGCCACTGCACTCCAGCCTGGGCAACAGAGCGAGGCTCCGTCTCAAAAAAAAAGAAAAAATGGACTTAAACTATACACTAGAAGAAATGGACTTAACTTATATTTACAGAACATTCCACTTAACAACTGCAGAATATACATTCTTCTCATCAGCGCATGGAACATTCTCCAAGATAGACCACGTAATAGGCCACAAAATAAGTCTCAATAAATTTAAGAAAATCGAAATTATATCAAGTATCTTCTCAGACCACAGTGGAATAAAACTAGAAATCAGCTCCAAAAGGAGGACTCAAAACTGTAAAAATACATGGAAATTAAACAATCTGCTCTCGAATGATTTTGGGATTAACAAATAAATAGTAGTAGTGACACAAGTTATCAAAACCTCTAGGATACAGCAAAAGTAGTGCTGAGAGGAAAGTTTATATTGTTAAATGGCAACATCAAAAATTCTGAAAGAGCACAAATTGACAACCTAATGTCACACCTTAAAAAATTAGAGAAGAAGGACAAACTAAACCCAAAGCAGAAGAAAAGGAATAACAAAGAACAGAGCAGGACTAAATGAAATTGAAGAAAAAAATACGAAATACAAATGAAACAGAAAGGGGGTTCTTTAAAAAGATAAACAAAATTGATAGACTATTAGTGAGATTAACCAAGATAAGGAGAGATAAGATACAAATTAGCTCAATTAGAAATGAAACTGGGGACATTACAACCAATACCACAGGAATACAAAAGATCATTCTACATTACGATGAACATCTTTATGTACACAAACTAGAAAATCTAGAGGAAATAGATAAATTTCTAGAAACATACAACCCTCCTAGATTAAATCAGGAAGATATAGAAACTCTGAAGAGACCAATAAAAAAGCAATAAAATTGAGTCAGTAATTTAAAAATTGCCAAAAGAAAAAAGCAATTCTGGAACCTGACAGATTCACAGGTGAATTCTACCAGACATTCAAAGAAGAATTGGTACCAATCCTACTGAACTATTTTGAAAGATAGAGAAAGAGGGAATCCTCCCTAAATCATTCTCTAAAGCTGATATCACCCTAATACCAAAACCAAGAAAGGACATAATGACAAAAAAGAAAACTACACACCAATATCCCCGATGAACATAGATGCAAAAGTGTTCAACAAAATACTAGTTAACCAAATCTAATAGCACATCAAAAAGATGATACATCATGATCAAGTGGGTTTCATCCCAGGGATGCAGGGATGGTTTAACATATGCAAGTGAATAAATATGATACATCACACAAACAGAATTAAAAACAAAAACCATATGATTGTCTCAATAGATGCAGAAAAAGTATTTGATAAAATCCGGTATTCCTTTATGATAAAAACCCTCAACAAAATAGGCATAGAAGGAACTTACCTCAAAATAATAAAAGCGATATATGACAATCCCAAAGCCAATATTCTACTGAATGTGGAAAAGATAAAAGTATTCCCCCTGAGAACCGGAATAAGACAAGGATACCCACTTTCACCATTTCTGTTTAACATAGTACTGGAAGTCCTAGCCAGAGCAATCAGGCAAGAGAAAGAAATAAAGGGCATCCAAACTGGAAAAGAGGAAGTCAAGCTATCGCTGTTCACTGGTGATATGATTGTTACCTAGAAAACCTTGAAAACTTATCCAAAAGACTCCTATATCTGATTTTTAAAAATTCAGTAAAGTCTCAGGTTACAAAATCAATGTACACAAATTAGCAGCACTGCTATACACCAACAAGGACCAAGCTGAGAATAAAATCAAGAACTCAATTTATTCTACAACAGCTGCTCTCTCTCTTTCTCTCTCTCTCTCTCTATACACACACACACACACACACACACACACACACACACACACATATGAATATACTTAACCAAGAAGGTAAAAGATCTCTACAAGGAAAACTAAAAAACACTGCTGAAAGAAATTATAGATGACACAAACAAATAGAAACACATCCCATGCTCATAGATAGGAAGAATCAATACTTTGAAAATTACTATACTACCCAAAGAAACCTACAGATTCAATGCAATTTCCATCAAAATACCATCATCATTTTTCACAGAACTAGAAAAAATAATCCTAAATTTCACATGGAACCAAAAAAGACCCCTAATATCCAAAGCAGTTGCTATTGTTTGGCTCTGTGTCCCCACCCAAATGTCATCTAGAATTGTAATCACCACGTGTTGGGGGAGGGGCTTGGTGGGAAGTGATTGGATCATGGGGGCAGTTTCCCCATGCTGTTCAAGTGATAGTGAGTGAGTTCTCATGAGATCTGATAGTTTAAGTGTGGTACTTCCCCCCTCACCTTCTCTCTCTTTCTTGCCACCATGTAAGACGTGTCTTGCTTCCCCTTCACCTTCTGCCATAATTGTAAGTTTCCTGAGGCCTCCCCAGCCATGTGGAACTGTGAGTCAATTAAACCTCTTTTCTTTATAAACTACCGAGTCTCAGGTGGTTCTTTACAGAAGTGTGAAAATGGACTAATACAGCACTACTAAGCAAAAAGAACAAATCTGAAGGCATCACATTACTAGACTTCAAATTATACTATAAGGTTATAGTTACCAAAACAGCAAGCAGTACTGGTATGAAAATAGGTACTTAGACCAATGGAACAGAATAGAGAACCGAGCAATAAAGCCAAATATTTACAGCCAACTGATTGTCAACAAAGTATACAAAAATATAAACTAGGGAAAGAAAACCATAATTCAATAAATGGTGCTGGGACATGTAGAAGAATGAAACTGGATCCCCATCTCTCACATTATACAAAAATCAACTCAAGATGGATCACAAGACTTAAATCTAAGATCTGAAACCATAACAATTCTCAAGGATAAGATTGACAAATTCTTCTGAACATTGACCCAGATAAAGAATTCATGATTAAGACCCCAAAAGCAAATGCATCAGAAACAAAAATAAATAAATGAGACTAAATTAAACTAAGAAACTTCTGCACAGCAAAATAATAATAATAATAATAATAATCAGCAGAGTAAACAGACAAACCACAGAATGGGAGGAAATATTTGCAAACGATGTATCTGACAAAAAACTAGCATCCAGAATCTATAAGGAACTCAAACAAATCAGCAAGAAAAAGAAAACAATACCATCAAAAAGTGGGCAAAGGACATAGACATTTCTCAAAAGATATATACAAAGACCAACAAACATATGAAAAAATGCCCTACATCACTAATCATCAGGGAAATGCACATTAAAACCACAATGTGATACCACCTTATTCTTGCAAGAATGGCTATAATTAAAAAGTCAAAAAACAATAGATGTTGCTGTGGACATGGTGAATAGGAAACACATTCACACTGCTGGTGGGAATGTAAATTAGTAAAACCTCTATGGAAAATAGTATAGAGACTCCTTAAAGAACAAATATAAATCTACTATTTGATCCAGCAATTCCACTACAGGGTATCTACCCAAAGGAAAAGAAGTCATTATATGAAAAAGACACATACATATGCATATTTATAGTAGTACAATTCACAATTGCAAATATATGGAACAAACCTAAGTGTCCATTGACCAGTAAGTGCATGAAGAAAATGTTATATATATATATATATATATATATATATATATATATATACACACACACACACACACACACACACACACACTCACCATGGAATACTACTCAGCCATAAAAAGGAACAAAATAATGTCATTTGCAGGAGCTTGAATGGAGCTAGAGGCCATTATTCTAGGCGAAGTAACTCAAGAATGAAAAACCAAATACCGTTGGTTCTCAGTTATAATAGTGGGAACTAAGCTGTGAGGATGCAAAGACTTACAGAGTGATATAATAGACTTAGGGGACTCAGGGAGAGGAGAATGGGAAAGCAGTGAATGATAAAAGACTACGTATTGAGTACAGTGCACAGTGTTCGAATGACAGGTGCACTAAAATCCCAGAGTTCACTACTATAGAATTCATCCATATAACCAAAAACCACTTGTACCCCAAAAGCTATATAACTTTCTTAAAAAGCAAAAAAGGAGACATCACAACTGATATAGAAATTCAAAGGATCATTAATTGCTACTTTGAGCAACTGTATACCAAGAAGTTTGAAAATATAGAGGAAGTGGATAAATTCCTAGAGACAGACAACCTACCAAGATTGAACCATGAAGAAATAAAAAACCTGAACAGATCAATAACAAATAATGAGATCAAAGCTGTAATAGTAAGTCTCCCAGTAAAGAAAAGCCTGGGACCTGATGACTTCACTGCTGAATTCTACGCTACATTTGAAGAACTAATATTAATCCTACTGAAACTATTCTGCAAAATAGAGGAGGAGCGAATTCTTCCAAACTCATTCCACAAGGCCAATATTACACTGATACGAAAACCAAACAAAGACACATTAAAAATAGCAACTACAGGCCAATATCCATGATAAATACTGATGCAAAAATCCTCAACAAAATAGCGGCAAAGTGAATTCAACAATACATTAGAAAGATCATTCATCATGACTAAGTGGGACTTATCCTAGGGATGCAAGGATGGTTGAACATATGCCTCAATGTGATATATCATATTAACAGAATGAAGGGCAAAAACATATGATCTTTTCAATTGATGCTGAAAAAGCATTTGAGAAAACTCAACATCCCTTTATGATAAAAGCATTTTAAAAGCTGGGTATAGAAGAAATGTCCCTTAACATAATAAAAGCCACATATGACAGAGCCACAGCTAGTATCATACTGAGTGAAGAAAGACTGAAAGTCTTTCCTCTAGGATCTGGAACATGACCAGGATGATCACTCCATAAAAAAAAAAAAAAAACTATTAGAACTGATTTTAAAAATTCAGTAAAGTTGCAAGATATAAAATCAACATACAAAAATTAGTAGCATTCCTATAATATATACCAATAATTAACAATCTGAAAAAGAAATTTAAAAGGTGATCCCATTCCCAATAGTCACAAATATAATTAAGTACCAAGTAATAAACTTAACCAATGAGGTGAAAGATCTCTACAATGAAAACTATGAAACACTGATGAAAGAAATTAAAAAGGACACAGAAAAAGAGAAATATATTTCATGTTCATGGGTTGGAAATCAATATTGTTAAAATGTCCATACTACCCAAAGCAATCTACAGATTGAATGCAATTCCTATCAAAATATCAATGACCTTCTTCACAGAAATAGAGAAAATAATTTTAAAATTTATATGGAATCACAAAAGACCAGAGTTGCCAAACTTCTCCTGAGCAAGAAGAACAAAACTGGAGGAATCACATTACATGACTTGAAATTATATTATAGAGCTATAGAACCAAAACAGCATGGCACTGGCATAAAAACAGACACACAGACCAATGGATCAGAATAGAGAACCCAGAAACAAATCCACACACCTATAGTTTACTTATTTTTGACAAAGGTGCTGAGAACATACACTGGGAAAAAGACGGTCCCTTCAATAAATGGTGCTAGGAAAACTGGACACCCACATTCAGAAGAATGAAACTTGACCCCCATCTCTTGTCATATATAAAAGTCAAATCAAAGTAGATTAAAGACTGAAATTTAAGACCTCAAATTATAAAACTACTCAATGAAAACATTGGGGAAACACTCCAGGACATTGCTTTGGAAAAAATTTCTTGAGCAATACCCTACAAGCCCAGGCAACCAAAGCAATGTACAAATGAGATCACACCAAGTTAATATGCTTCTGCACAGCAAAGGAAACAATCAACAAAGTGAAAAGACAACCCACAGAATGAGAGAGAATATTTGCAAACTATCCATCTGACAGGGTATTAACAACCAGAATATATAAGGAGCTCAAACAACTTTATAGGAAAAAATCAAATACTCTGATTTAAAAATTAGCAAAAGATTTGAATAGACATTTCTCAAAAGAAGACACACAAATGGCAAACAGGCACACTAGAAGGTGCTCAGCATCATTGATTATCAGAGAAATGCAAATCAAAACTACAATGAGACATCACCTCACCCCAGTTAAAATGGCTTTTATCCAAAAGACAAGCAATACCAAATGTGGGTGAAGATGTTGAGAAAAGGGAGTCCTCATACACTGTTGGTAGGAATGTAAATTAGTAGAACTACTCTGTAGGATAGTTTAGAGTTTCCTCAAAAAAAACACAAAAAAACAAAAAAACTAAACTAAAAGTAGAGCTACCATACAATCCAGCAATCCCACTGCTGGGCATATACCCAAAAGAAAGGAAATCAGTACATTGAAGACATATCTGCACTTCCATGTTTGTTGCAGCTCCGTTCACAATAGCCAAAATTTGGAAGCAACCTAAATGTCCACCAACAAATGAATGTATAAAGAAAATGTGGTACATTGTTTACTGTATACACAATGCAGTACTATTCCCACATAGGAAAAAATAAGATTCTGTCATCTGCAACAACAAGGATGGAACTGGAGGTTATTATGTTAAGTGAAATAAGCCAGACACAGAAAGACAAATATCGCATATTCTCAATTATTTGTGGGATCTAAAAATCAAAACAATTGAACTCATGGAGATAGATAGTAGAAGGATGGTTACTAGAGCCTGGGAAGGGCAGCAGGAGTATGTGGGAGAAATGGGGATGGTTAATGGCCACTAAAAATAAATAGTAAGAATGAATAAAACCTAGTAATAGCACAACAGGGTGACTAGAGTCAATAATTATTTAATTGTACATTCAAAAATAACTAAAAGAGTGTAACTGGATTGCTTGTAACACAAAAGGTAAATGCTTGAGGGGATGGAAACATCATTTTCCATGATGTGATTATTACACATTGCATGGCTCTATTAAAAAAAAATTGATGTACTCCTTAAATATATACACCTACTATGTACACACAAAAACTTAAAAATTAAAGAAGAAAATTTATAGTGTTTTTTATGACTTAAAATATATAAAAATATTTGGTTTATGTTTCCATTGATTTCTATTTTAATTACATCATGACTAAATATGGAGATCAGTATAAAGCAAAATCTTTGAAATTTATTACTTGAATAATGACCAAGCACTTGGTCATTTTTAAAGATATTTGTTTCCTAATTTTTTAGCATAAAATTACATATTTACATATATATGGGAAGAAAACCCCAGTTAATTTTATTGCTCAGTCCTTTCATTTGCATTGTTAATTTTGTTTGCTTGATTAGTATAGATCTACTTGTGATCAATTCTTTTTCTTCCTATCTCTCTCAATCTAAAAGTGTTTTTATCTTGCGTTTCTTACTGAAAGATCTTTTTTTCTATGTTGAAGTTATTTTCTCTGAGCAGTTTGAAGATACTATTACATCTTCTGGTTTTCAGGGCTGCTAATGAATAATAGTCATTATCAGTATAATTTGTATTCCTTTGTTGGTGACTTTTCTGTCTGGCTGCTTTTCAAAGTGTTCAATTCTTGTATTTGTATATGTTTGCCTTTCATTGATTCTGAAAATTTTCAGCATAATATTTTGCAGTTTTACCCTTTCCCCTATTCTTTATTTTTGTTCTTGTACAACAGATCAGACTTACTCATTAACATTAGGCGTTTTTATTTCATCATCCATTTGTGACTCTAATGAAACTTTGAATCACCTGGGAAGCATATTAGACTACAGATGCTCAGCCCGAGCTACTGAGATTCAGAGTTTTCAGGAGGCAGGGCCCTGGCCACTGGCACATAAATGACTCTCCATGTGACTCTAATGAACCACAGAGTTTGAGAACCACTGTAACTAGGCAACTAGGAACGTAGGAACCAAGATAAGATTGTGCCTCGTGTAGTGAAAGAATGAAAATGTTGGGGGAAACAGTTTGGCACATAGGACAGAGTACACAGGCAGAGAGAATCATACGAATGCTAAAGCAAGGGCTGCTTGTTCCATTTGCAAGCTCAACGCCAACGCTACCCCACTTCATCCTAGTACAACTTTGTCATGTGGGGGTTTCAGCTGTAGCCTTTCACTTTAACGTGAATTTTCTCAGAAATTGACTTGGAAGAAGACCATGCCTGTGTCCCTGAGACATGTATTATGTTTAATATATATACAGAGAGAGAGAGAGAGTTCAATTCACAAATCATAGTTGAAGGTTTCCACAAAAGTACAAGATGCTATTCTTTTTCCCAAAGCACCACTCAGATAATACGCAGGAGGCTGAGTCCACTAAAGGATCCAGTAAAAACTCCATTATTTTATAGGTACTCTTGGCCTAAATCTTTAAAAGATTCAGGAAAATAAATAAAAATTTTCTCACACAAATTATTTCTTTGGTTTTTGTGATTCATCAATAGGCTAAGTGATTTTTCAAATCAGCTAAAAAATGGACACTTATACACACCCACACTCACATACCCTTTTAAGTTCTAAACCAACATAGCCACTTCTGCTATATTTAGCTTTTTTTTTTTTTTTGGCAGCTGGTCCTATTGTTGTATGGATTTGTTTCTTTTTTTTTTTTTGGAAATCTTTTTTTTTTAAATTTATTTATTTAGTTTTTTATTGATCATTCTTGGGTGTTTCTCGCAGACGGGGATTTGGCAGGGTCATAGGACAATAGTGGAGGGAAGGTCAGCAGATAAACAAGTGAACAAAGGTCTCTGGTTTTCCTAGGCAGAGGACCCTGCGGCCTTCCGCGGTGTTTGTGTCCCTGGGTACTTGAGATTAGGGAGTGGTGATGACTCTTAAGGAGCATGCTGCCTTCAAGCATCTGTTTAACAAAGCACATCTTGCACCTCCCTTAATCCATTTAACCCTGAGTGGACATAGCACATGTTTCAGAGAGCACAGGGTTGGGGGTAAGGTCATAGATCAACAGCATCCCAAGGCAGAAGAATCTTTCTTAGTACAGAACAAAATGAAGTCTCCCATGTCTACTTCTTTCTACACAGACACAGCAACAATCTGATTTCTCCATCCTCTCCCCACCTTTCCCCCTTTTCTATTCCACAAAACCGCCATCGTCATCATGGCCCGTTCTCAATGAGCTGTTGGGTACACCTCCCAGATGGGGTGGTGGCCGGGCAGAGGCGCCCCCCACCTCCCTCCCGGACGGGGCGGCTGGCCGGGCGGGGGCTGACCCCCCACCTCCCTCCCGGACAGGGCGGCTGCCGGGCGGAGACGCTCCTCACTTCCCAGACGGGGCGGCTGCCGGGCGGAGGGGCTCCTCACTTCTCAGGTGGGGCGGCTGCCAGGCGGAGGGGCTCCTCACTTCTCAGATGGGGCGGCTGCCGGGCGGAGACGCTCCTCACCTCCCAGACGGGGTCGCGGCCGGGCAGAGGCGCTCCCCACATCTCAGATGATGGGCGGCCGGGCAGAGACGCTCCTCACTTCCTAGACGGGATGTCGGCCGGGAAGAGGCGCTCCTCACTTCCCAGACTGGACAGCCGGGCAGAGGGGCTCCTCACATCCCAGACGATGGGTGGCCAGGCAGAGATGCTCCTCACTTCCCAGACGGGGTGGCGGCCGGGCAGAGGCTGCAATCTCGGCACTTTGGGAGGCCAAGGCAGGCGGCTGGGAGGTGGAGGTTGTAGCTAGCCGAGATCACGCCACTGCACTCCAGCCTGGGCAACATTGAGCACTGAGTGAACGAGACTCCGTCTGCAATCCCAGCACCTCGGGAGGCCGAGGCTGGCGGATCACTCGCGGTTAGGAGCTGGAGACCAGCCCGGCCAACACAGCGAAACCCCATCTCCACCAAAAAAATACGAAAACCAGTCAGGCGTGGCGGCGCGTGCCTGTAATCGCAGGCACTCGGCAGGCTGAGGCAGGAGAATCAGGCAGGGAGGTTGCAGTGAGCCGAGATGGCAGCAGTACAGTCCAGCTTTGGCTCGGCATCAGAGGGAGACCGTGGAAAGAGAGGAGGGGAGAGGGGAGAGGGGGAGGAGGATTTGTTTCATAAGAGATGTTGGTGGGGTAACCCAAAAAGAGATTAAGAAACTAGAGCTGCCTGTCATTAGTTTCTGACATCTTAGACCTTAGTGATCTTATCTCTGGGGCAGAAAAGAACAGAGTAGACATAAGATTACACAGAAATGGTTAAGTGTAGTATTAGTAAAACAATCACCTGGGAAGAGAACATACCCCTCTCTGTCGCGGTGTGATTCCATAGGAAATCAACACACTAAAAGGAACACGCACTTCAGGCAACATCAAAATTGAAGGAAAAACTTTTCCAAAACTGAGTTTGTCATGTCAGATCTAGAAGACTGCATGGAGATTTTCAGTTGCTTATCTGTATGTGGTTATAGTGAGTGGGGAAAAGCTCAGCCCAGGCTCACTGAACTGGAGTGTAACAGCCACTTCATGCCTATTGCCCCTGGTAGGTGTGGGGCTGCCTGATTACCGCGAAAGATCAGCCTGACTGGCCTGTGCCTTTGTCCTGCTTGCAGGGGAATTTGCTTCTACCTTGCAGATATCAGCATTTATAACCATTCCCTGCTTGACCCATATTCAAGATGTGTGGCTTCTGCGACATTTTAGGAACTATTTTTCTGAATTGCTGTCCTGGATCTAAGATATTTGTACACAATCTGTTTGGCAAACTAACTACTGCTACTGTTACTTCCACACTTGAATGACTAAGTAGAACAGATGATGTACATTAATTTTATGAGCTCTGGACTGATACTTAAACTTCATTTTAATCTGCATTAGCTCATTTTTTGCTTCCAAAACATTTATTCTTCTGAGAAGCAATTCTTGCCCACAGCCTTAATAATGTGTAGATTAGGTTTTGTGAGATCTCCTCCTTTCTTCTCTGTCTCTACCTCTGCTCTCTCTAGGTGATTATTTACCCTTTAACTGTAAAATAACTTTGGTTTTCTTAATTCTGAATTTTTAATAAAGGAAAAAGTATAAATTACATAGAAGCATGACAAAGAAAAATGGACTCCAGATCTTTGCATAAATACTGACCTTATATTTTAACTAAAATGTGTAAACCAAATTTTTTTAGGCTATCTTGGTAGCACAGATGATGGAAAATTGTATCAATATCAGCCATTAGTTGGCAGAAAGAAGAAAGCAAATATACTATTACTCTAGGGTTGCCAGGTAAGATTCATTTAATATTTGAGGCATACTTATATTTAAAAATATATTTATTGTATATGTGGAATTCAAATTGAACTTGGTGTCCAGTATTTTTATTTGCTAAATCTGGTAACCCTATATTACTAGGATGTACTGCATTTGATATTAAAACCATTCTCAAGGCTTACTTTGTTATCAGTCACAACAAAATATTAAGGGCTTTTTTTCTTTCTTTTTTTTGCATATTTCCACATATGCAAAAATGTCTAATGCCTGTGTTGCTCCTTCCTGGGTTTCATAAATTTCTCCGCTGCCTAAGACCAGCAACCTCAAATGTTGGAGAACTTTTAAATCAGTTATTTTCCAATGAAAAGTATTTCAGATTCAAATTGCCATTCAAGTGTTTCCTGTAGCTCTATACTAAAGCTTAATCGTTTTCAGCTCTAGGTTTTTAGAAGTGGAAAGCATGGTTTTGCTAAGTACAGCAAAGAGTTTCTGAGGACACTGGGAATTCTATACCTGCAGAAATGTAATATCTTCATTGACCAGTGTGCAGGGGAGCCGCAGGAGTAGCAGGATCCCAGACTTTGATGTCAGATGAGCCTTGCTGGGTTCTTGGCAATGG
The DNA here is from genome assembly GCF_000001405.40 of Homo sapiens. Classification (NCBI taxonomy): domain Eukaryota; kingdom Metazoa; phylum Chordata; class Mammalia; order Primates; family Hominidae; genus Homo; species Homo sapiens. The sequence continues at coordinate 11,515,987 of NC_000020.11, forward strand.
CAACAATTAATCAAGGGAACTTTGGCAGTTTGTTTATCTGTCATATAGTTCTTCATTCATTAAAAATTAGAGATAGAGAGATGGAGGCATGTTAGTATGCACTTTCAATAAGGCACCAAATGAAAATTAGTTGTTGTTGGATAAGATTTTGGCGTATTATCCAATATGTTGTTTGCTCCCAGTCAAGTTACCTATCTTGGCCACGACAGCTGAGGCAGCCATTGTCTTAGGAAGAAGGCAGATCCCCAGCAGAAACAAAAACAGTATTGCCTCCATCGCTCAGGTCTGAGTTTCAAAATAGACAACAGTATGCTATGCTAGTAAGTGTTTAGCTAATAAGCAACTCTTTAAAAAGAAAAAAGGCCATAATTTGTAGCACTTATGATTTCTGTGTTGTAAACATTCCCATCATGTCTGATTTCAGCCTACCAATGTGACATCACTGAACTCAAAGTTGACAGGACATGCACACAGGCCACTGGGCTCGGAGAGTGTTATTTTGGAACTCCCGGAGTTGGATTTTATTTTTTAGTCTTGGAAGAAGAAAGATTCAGGATATAATGTGATACAGTTTCCTGCTACCCAGCAGTGCATGCAAATTTTTCATATGCTGATAGGAGAATTGTGGAGTGATTCAGAGGAGATCAAACTAATAAGTGGCCCAGCCTATATGCCCTTATGATCTGGGTGTGGTGAGATAATGGAAACCTAGGTAGAAAGAAAACTCCAAACGTCTTATCGTGTTTCCTCTTTGAATTTCCTTAGATTAGAATAATTGTGTGCCATTGTTAGGCAGAGAAAAGGCCTAAGGTAAGACTTCTGACTCTCCAAGATCTTCTGGTAGCATGGAGAGGAGCTACAAAAACTTTAAGCCTCCATAGCTAAAGATGCAATATTGACTGGCATGTGGATACAACTCTGGAAGGCCCAGAGACCTCTCTTTTTGTATCTCTTTCTAAGGATCTTGCTAATTTTTTCAGTTCTCTCCTCTGTGTTGTGGGAGCTAGAGTCCTGCAAACAGCACTTCCTAGCCTGCTGTGCCTGCAGAGTTCCCACTTGTATTCCACCAATGAGAAGTGCTTGGTGAGGTTTGATAGGTGGAACAGAAGAATATTTCATTATGTTTCTGTGCCTTTGGGCAGAGTGTACGCCTCAGCAGACAGCAGACATGAGACAGACCCTTAAGAATCACCCATCTTAGTGCTGCAGGTAGATCCCAACTATGGCCAGATTCTACTTTCAGACCTTCTAATAGACACCCTTGTCCAGCAACTGCCTATACACTTCCAGTGATCAGAAACTCAATAGAACTAGAGACAGCCTCTTCTACACTGGACAAATCTAGCTCTTTTTGAAAGAAAATGAAACTTTTGAAAATATTTAATTATTTCTAAATATGTCTTTAAAGGTCACTTTATGCCCACATACTCTGTGTACTCCTTGTATTTAGTTCTGGGTAAGTTGGAAAGGCCTATTGTGATTTATTCATTGTCATTGACTTACAGCATAAGTTATTGTCAAGGTTTAAGAGGAGTCATCCGAAGGTTTAGAATTGAAGCGGCGTTCCTGTCTAGGATAAATACCTGAGTTTCATCATCTCACACCAGGAAAATAGAGGATGCAGACACACAAGAAGTGAGTTTAAGAGCAGAAGCTCAATAGGCAAAAGAATGAAAACGGAGAATAGCTTCCTCTCCTGCAGAGTGAGACATATGGCGGGGATGTGAAGCGGGGGATCTTCTGGTTCTGTGGCGAAATGCCTGGGGTTTTATAGATGAGCTTGAAGAGGCAGTATCTGATTTACATAGGACCCAAAGATTGGTTGGACCAGGTGTACCATTTACATAGTGTGCAAAGCTGGTCACCCCACCCTAATCTTTTATTATGCAGATGGGGTCTCTACCTGGCCGGCGCCATGTTGTCTGTTCCTTACTGTACACGTGGTTGTCAAGAAAAAGGAAAGATGGAGCCACCATGTTGAACATGCCTAGTCCCCAGGTAGCCTTTTCCTATTGACACAGCTGCTGACATTCACCCCTGCAAGGCTTATCTATGTCTGCAGCTCAGTTTCGCAGGCTGCTTTTTGTTAGAAAAGAAATGATTTGGGGGCTGCTTTTTATTAAAAGGAAAACCTTACCAACGACTCTCTTACCCTCACTATCTGCCTAAATAATTTCTTTTTAACTCCCTCCAATATTTTAGACTAATACCATCATTTGCTCCTTCTTTCTTATATTTAGTTATGCAATGCTTATTAAGGCATTGTGCTTACACTGGGGAACCAGTAGTCTCAGGCTTTCAAACAACTTTCGGTCTAACGAGGAGACATACAGGTCAACTAGGACCTAAAATACAGAGAATTAAGTGTTACTACAAAGCTAACACAGGTGTATTGGTAACACATAGAAAAGGCTCTCAACTTAGTCTTAAGGGAATATAGAAAGCTTCCTTCTGTGGTCTTCCAGAAGTATGGGATATGAGAGAAGTGAATAGAAGTTGAATGTAGGGTGGGATGATGGAGCCCTCACAGTTGAAAGCACTTGTTAGAAAAGGGTATGAGCCAAAAAGAATGTAGAACCCTGAGTGAAAAACAGCGTACCCAGCGTGGAAAGCCCCTCAGTGTCTGAAGAGGCCAGAGGAGCCACTCCACCAGTTCATAACTCACCACCCAAGGCCCAGTTGACTGACCAAGGAAAACAAGCGAGCAGGAAATAGATGATAGGCCTTGGCCTACACAGAGTAGTTAGAGGAGAAGTGAAATTTGTTGAAGAGCTGAAAAACTACAAGTGACTAGAAAAACAGCACATAGACTACCAGTAAGTTTAAATTGTGGTTCGACACAGAGTAAGGTAAAGTAGCAGAAAACAATTCCAGGTAATCTGAGAGTAAATTTTTTTCTCAAGGTCTCCCATGTGTTAAAGAGGTCAAATTTTATTAGAGGCACAGATATTTTATGTTGATTAATTATAAATGAATTGAGAACAAAAAAAATGTTATTTTTTTCAGCCATATCCTGTAATATTTTAAATCATTGACCCAACAATAAATAATACCATTGTTCTTCAGCTTTTTCTGACTGCCAAGAAACTCAGATTCGGGCAATTCATTAGGAAAGAAAAGAAAGGAAAAGAAAAGGAAAGGAAAGGAAAAGAAATATACACATATATATATTTTTTGAAGTTCCTATTAAGTCTTTTGTTTATATACTTGGTTTGCCAGAGCTGTACCTCTTTCTTTATAGAGCCTGGGGCCAGCAAGGAAGGTGCCAACTTTCCAACATTAAGGGAGGAGAACTGTAATTCCTGGGTGACAATCCAACTGATTAGTTCAAGAAGATTACTGGAATTCTAAGAACTGAAGAAATGTAGGTTTTCTGACCATAAAATTATTTTCAACACCAGCCTAATACACTCTGTAAAGGGCATTCCTCCATGGCTAGACAAACTGACCAAGCAAGGGAAGGATGTAGTATGGGGCGCTTTCATCTATGTTAACATAGAGTGAGTGTATCACATGCACTTGGCTTGCTCACAAACTGAAACATATATATATATATATATATATATATATATATGTATGTATATATGTATGTGTATATATAGGTATATACACAAATCTCTGTAGTGTTCACATTGTAAAAAGACATCCAAAAAGGGGGTTTATCATGGCAAATTCAAAATCATGAATATATGACACACTGTGTAACAAGCTCAAGAACTTTAAGTGTAAAAATATCACCCTGATGCCATTTGTTCCAAAGACAACTTGGAGAAAGTTTGCTTTAGCAGACAGGACAACCACAAGGCGCACACTGGAGAGTTAGGAGAAGAGTATCCCCTCTACATTGCTGAGCCCACAGCCTGACAGATGGGAAGAGCAATGAAGCACTCTGAAAAGCACAAGGTGATTTTGGTGGATTAGGCTTATATTCCCAAAGTGCAAATAAATATAAGAGTTTTCCATTTTCTCAGAAGAGTCTGCTATATGCAGGACTAAACAAGTGAGATGCTCTATATAGGCTGACCTGAAGACCTTCCTTTCCAATAACACCTCCTTCAACTTTCTTCCACAGAGCCCGGGCTCCCTTCCCAGGTCACCCCTTTGTATTAACACATTTCCCCATGAAGTTCCTTCTTTAACATGCTGACATGTCTTGTGAAAATTATTTTTTTTCTATAAGAATAAAGGTATATAGGATACGTGATTTATGGTCCATTTTTAAAATAACGTTCTCTTGAGAGTTAGAAGTTCATTCAAAGCATTATCAGCAAGATTTTCTTATAAATTTTGGACGAGTATCCAATAGTACTTGATGGATTCATTTTGCATTCCTTGGCCAGAAGCTCTCCAGTGGAGCACCTGTGCTGGGACTCTTTTTGGTGCTGTCCAATTCAGCAGTGAGGCCAGATGAAGTAGAAGTAAGGTCTGCAGGCTGGAGTTTCATCCAGAGAAATCTTCTTGGCTGTGAATCAGTACAGGAGCATAAGGTGGGGACAGTGAGGGATAGTAGTAGGAATGGCAACAGAAACAAAAAGAGGAGAAAGGGTAGCTTCTAGGAATTGCTTAAAGAGCACAAGAAGAATGTGGAAGTTAATAAAAGGAAACTATTGGTGGTGACAGAAGCCAATGATGTTGGAGGCTCTTGTTAATGGAAAGCTACCTTGAGAATTGAGTATAAGCCCTAAGCTTTGCATTTTTTAAAAATGGAAAGCAGCCATTTCATATTTCAAGAGTGTTCTCCCTTAAGAAAATGAATGGTATACAAGCTATTTCTATTGTGGTCTGTGAGCCACAGCTTCCTAACTGTGTAAAAGCAACACTTGGCTGAACAGTGACTACAAGAAGAAAAAAAACTACCACTTTTACAGCACAATGAAAAGAACGAAAAAAAAGGAAAATTTCCTTTGCCATGGAATTTCCTGCTGGATAGAATTATTCACCCATCCTTTTCTTCTAGCTGTCATGACTAGTTAGGGTGTAGAACAGGTACCACCTCTCTTTGGTATAATGCCACACTGAATTAATCCAACTTGGAGTCATGGATCATGGGAGCCTAGAACCTTTAAGCCTGATCAGTCTGCAAACATCCAAAACAAGTAGTTTTTCTTCTCTTATTTCTGGTAATATACAGAGTATTTTAAGGCATTATGCCCACATTTCTCTGATATGCTTGACTTTTGAAGAGAAAGCAAAAGGAGTTCCCTCCTCAAATATAATCTTAAAGCTGCTAATTCATTAGCCATCCAGAGGTTGGTAAAAGGAATGTCCACTTATTGTTTTTAAACCTGTAGACTGTAGACCATACTGAAAGCAATGGCCAGCAGAAGTAACAAATGTCATGAAAATAATTAGTGAATCGTTAAGTGAAAGTAGCAATTTTATGCAATTACTTTAAGTAGCTTAAAAATCTTTATTTTCCTAGCATCACATAGAGAGTTTTTCTAATTTTATATCCAAACACTCGTATACACTATCTAAAGAAAATAAATGTTTAAAAACCCCCAGTAACAGAACCCAACCAGATATTGCTTAAATCTTAACATTTTGACTAGGAGAATATGTTTAAATCCCGAAGAATGGAAAATAGCATGCCTCAGTCTGAGGAATGCTGGTGTTCTTTCCACGGCAGGCTCACTTGGGTCAAGTGAGTGTAATTACTTCTATGGAGCCAGTCTTTGTTTAAAGGCTTGATACTTCTCCATTGCCTCTTGGAATTGCTGAAAGCTACAATGATTCACTTGGGTACAATTATAAGCATTGCTTTTCAGAAAGTCTTATATAAATACTACTTGGAAGAAAGAAGGAGAAGGAAGCTGAAAGGATAAATCAGTAATCAGAAAAACTTTCTGATTTTTTTTTTCCATCATTTGTAATTACTTGATTATGGAATTATAGGTAAAAAGTCATGTCCTTCTGTCACCATTGTCCACAGCAAAAACCACACAAAAAATATAATGATCCTAGAGAAACACTTGCACATGCAAACACACACACACACACACATACATACATACATACAACCATGTTTTTGCAAGAAAAAGGGAAGTGAGACACACATGATCATTCCCTTGGCTGGATCTGATCCCCCTGTAGGAACATAGATATTTTGCCATGTGCAGATTTTGGGGAAGGATGTTGGAGGGACTCCCTTTTCTCCCAACAGCAAGGTGACATCCTGATTTGTGTTATTTCCATGTACCCTGGTGATAATCATTCTGACTTATGAAAGACTACTCTTGGAAGACTATCAGGGCCACACAAGTCAGGTTCTGGGGCCAGCAGTCAATTGTTGGTTGGGAAAGAGCCAGGTTTTGAGAAAAAGAGAAATTCGGTCTGGATTTTCCTACTTTTCTCTGCCGCCAGAATCTATTGTTGGAGGAAAAATCATGCAGATACTTCAGCCTACTCTCTGTAGTTCTTAAAACAAATCTCCACCCGTTTCTCCTTTATTCAATATGCTGTGTGGCAAGGCAAAATTCCACTGGTGCCATTTAAACATAAAAGCAAAGCCACAAAAATTTGCTGCCTCAATTTGAATTCTGGAACATAAAAGAGATTCTCAAGTTGCCTTCAGATCTGTGCTGTATGTGAACTTTGTGCTATTCGATTGCTGGTTATGGCCAAGCCCTGGAACTCTCTTCCACAGCTGAGATGTTTCCTGCTGTCCCCACCTCCTTTTCTCTAGTCAGTGTTCCTGGTTAGGTGCAATTAGAAGCTCAGCTGAGCTAGAAGTATTTCACTGGACTCTCTAAGAGTGAACTGGAGGGATCCCCTAGAGAAGTGGTTCTCGAACTTTAGTGTTCATTAGAACCACCTGGAAGGCTTATTAAAACACACATTCTTGTGTGCTTCACTACTAGAGATTCTTGTTGACTGGAGGCAGGCGGGGGGAGGTGGGGAGCTGGGAGGTGGGGAGCATTTTTAAAAAGTTCCCAGGTGCTTATGCTGCTCAGAAGGCAACACTTTGAGCAGCATCTGTCTAGTGTTATTCATAAACACAAATCTAGGCAATAGGAGAACACACTGGTTCATGTATCCATTCATCTAACATTAGTGACATGTCCCAAGCCCTCTGCCAGGCTCTGTGATGCACACCTGAATAAAGCCCAGAGCAGTAGGGAGGGTGCACAAGCTTAATAATGTGTTATGGGAAGTATACATAGAAATATGCACAGGGAAGAGTGGGGTGCAAAAGAGGGGAGGCTCAAATCTCTCTGGATGTGTGAGTGGGGTCAGGAGCTAGCATGAAAAGTTTGAAGAGAAGATCGATGCTGGACTACATCTTAAAGGGAAGTCCAGTGCCACAGCAGGGCAGCACCATAAAGAGTGGCCTGAGATTGTAGTAGAGAATACTGCATGGAGATCTGTAGTGGCATATAGCCTCAGAAATAGGAAGAGAGGAATGGAAACCAGATATAAGACTTGAATAGTCTTCGATAGTCAAGGCTTGGTTAAAACATGAATCCTAAAAGAAGCAATAGAATAGAAGATAGAAATAATACAATAGTGCTAGTAGGCTTAAGAACAGATTGAATAAGGGGAGTGAAGGAAGGGAGATGATCAATGATGAAGATCAGGATTAGTGGCGAAAGAAAATGAGTTTGTTTCTGAACACATCAAATTAAGGTGCCTATGGAGCATGAAGTTAGACCTCTCTATTGCCTAATTCCATCTTTCTAGATGGACATGCAAGCTCTGGAGCCCAGGAGAGAGATTTGGGCTGGGATTACTCAACTTTGACCTATGAGCAGTTGAATTCTCAGAAGTGAATGAAGCTGCCCATTTGTTTATCCATTCATTAAATGTTTACTGAGCACTTAGTACATGTCAGGCACATGTGAGAAGTATATTAGTATTCTGTGATGACAAATTATGACAAATTTAGTGGCTTAAAACAACACAGATTGAGCATCTGCCCATTGTCTAAGTCAGAAATACAGGTTGGCTGGGCTGGTTTATCTCCTGTAGAGTTAACAAGGCTGACATCAAAGTGTTGCCAAGGCTGCATTCCTTTCTGGAGTCTCTAGGATGTGTCTGTTTCCAAGCTCATTTAGGTTTTGGCAGAATTCAGTTCCTTGAGGTTGTAGGACTGAAGGTCCTTGGCTGTCAGCCAAGCTGTAGTTTCCACCTACAGGCTGCCTGCAGTCTTTCTCACTCCTTCCTGAAGATTCCCTTCAGCAAACCTGAGTCTTCAGAAAGGAAGATTCCCTGTGGGCTGGGTCACTCTCACGCTTCAAGTCTCTCTGACTTCCTTTCTGCTATACCTCTCTGCCGCTTCCTCCTCTGAGACACCACTCAGTGAATTTTCTCTGCTTTTAAAAAGTCATGTGATTAAATTCAGCCCACTTATGTAATTCAGGATAACCTCTCCATCTTAGGCCCATAATTTTAATCAAATCTTCAGAGGCTCTTTTGCTACATAAAGTAACATACTCAAAGATCCACCAATTAAGGCACAGGCATCTTTGAAGGTCATTCTTACCATCACAATGAACTGGAAATTCTGCATTTAACAAAACAGACACAATCCTTGTCTTCATTTTTATTTTATTTTATTTTATTTTATTTTGTTTCTATTTTGCTAACTTTCATTTTACATTCAGAGGCTACATGTATTGGTTTGTTACATGGATAAATTGCATATTGCTGAGGTTTGGTGTATGAATGATCCCTCACCCAGGTACCCAATAGGTAGTTTTTCAACCCTTGCCCTTCTCCCAGCCTCCCCCTCTAGTAGTCCTGAGGGCCCAGTGTTTACTGTTCCCATAAAATTTATGGAGTAGGAAGATGTTTAGATAGATATGAAATGACAACCTAAAGAATTATATAATTATTAAATATGTTGAAATCTCTAAAGATTGCACCAGACTGTAAAAGGTACAGTGAAAAAAAATGGCAGCTTAACTGTTTTGTAGAGAGAAGGAATTCTTCCCCAAGAACATGAAAAGTGATTTGAGCTCTGAATGATGGATCAGCACTACATCCATGAAGAGGACTGAGAGAAGAGCATTTCAGAAGGAAGAAACAGCATGTACGAATGCCTTAAGGCAAACGTGGTACAAATAACTGAAAGAAGGCAAGACAGCTGGAGCAGAGGGAATAAGGGATGTGGGACAGGAGAGAGGGGTTGGGCATGCAGGACAACATGGGGACACAGAAAGGCTTTCAGCAAGGAAATGCCATGTTCAGACTTTAATTTTTAGATGACTATTTAGAGTGCAGTATGAATAAGGTATTGTAGGTGCCAAAAGAGCTACAGTGTTAGGGATGTAGTTCTGTGTTCCCAGAATGAAATGATAAGAGCTTTAGGCTAAGCATATAGTGAAAAGGGAGGAAAGTGAATAAATTTAAGAGCTGTTTAAGTGGTCTATTTTGTCAAGATTCCTTGGTTACATGTAATTCGAACTTTCAAATGAGTGAAATGTGAGGTGAGAACAGTATTACTAGCTCACAATTTCCAACCACAGAAAGACCAGGGATGGCAGTGACAAGTCACGGACACAAGGGCCCAGGGCCCTCTCACCGTCTCTCTGTGCAGTGGGTTCCTTGCCTCTGAATGCAGTAGACCAGTCCAGTGTGACGACTGGGGCAGGGGTGGAGAGCATGTCCTGCCAGCAATCCCGGCATCCCATCTTTACGCCAGAGGAGAAAGAATCTTTTAAATTTTAACTCCATCTAGCGATAAGCAAGTGATCAAGTCTGGCTAATTCCCTGATTAGTCTAATTAGTCAAGTTTGACTAATTCCCTGGATCATTTGTTTATTCCTAGAAAAACATTAGGTTAGAGGTAAGGTCCTAATCTGGGAGATCTAGATATTTTTTAAGGATATTTTTCAGAAAAAAAAAATGTTCTGAGAAAACAGAACAGTAAGTGCTCAGTACAAAAAGCAAAGGCATAGGTAAGATAGATATGGTACATTATAGACAGGGTGCAGTCCAAAGTACTTTTTATAGCTTGATCATCTAAATCAGTGATTACCGAATTATGCTTGTTTTCTGTTTCCATCAATAAAGTTTTATTGGGACACAACCATGTCCATTTGTTTATGTACTGTCTATGACTGCTTTCACACTGTGACAGAATAGATGAGGGCTGGGCACGGTGGCTCTCGCCTGTAATCCCAGCACTTTGGGAGGCCAAGGTGGGTGGATCACGAGGTCAGGAGATCGAGACCATCCTGGCTAACACGGTGAAACCCATCTCTACTAAAAATACAAAAAAATTAGCCGGGCGCAGTGGCGGGTGCCTGTAGTCCCAGCTACTCGGGAGGCTGAGGCAGGAGAATGGCGTGAACCTGGGAGGCGGAGCTTGCAGTGAGCCTAGATCGCGCGCCACTGCATTCCAGCCTGGGTGACAGAGCAAGACTCCGTCTCAAAAAAAAAAAAAAAATACAAAAAATTAGCCGGGAGTGAGGTCACACACCTGTACTCCCAGCAACTCGGGAGGCTGAGGCATGAGAACCACTTGACCCAGGAGGCAGAGGTTGCAGTGAGCCGAGATCATGCCACTGCACTCCAGCCTGAGTGACAGAAGAGGTGAGCAGTCTCAACCAAGATCGTATATTCCACGAAGCCTGAAATTTTTATCTCCCCTTTTACAGAAAAATTTGCCAGTTCCTGATCTAGATGAATAGTTGTGTCTTTCAAGAGAAGGATCAAGTTTGAACAGAAAAGCATACATTTGGTTTTGGACATGTTGAGTTCAAGTGCTTTTGAGACATCAGGTTGAAACAGTGAATACATGGTTGGATATTTGAAGGTGAATTTATTTAAAAAAGAAACAGCTTTATGAGAACTTTAACAATTTCTCATGCTCCTCAGAAACAACTGATTGTTCTGTAGCAACAGTTAGAGTTACCATCACAACCAGTTTTAAACCCACTTAGTCAATTCATGATAACTTTCTCAGAGCAAGTTTTTGAAAGCTAACCAATGAGTAATAGTGTTCCTCTTTGGAAGGACAACCAGTTGGCAAGAGCATGACTCCAGTGAACATACTGGAAAGGCAACCAATCCACAAGGGTCTTCTCCCAAGAAATCATGCTTCTATAGCTGACATCAACCCATTCTCTGAACTATTTATTTTCTAAAATTTCCACGTACAATCAATAGTCTGCTTTGTTTAGAAAGACTGCCTAAAAATCATAACTCTCCCTTGCTTCAGTAATAAATTTAACTTTGTATTTCAGTTAGTAAGTGGTGGTTTCTTCCTTAACCTTAGCCTGAGATATTTTTTTTAAGTACCTTAAGTGGGCCGGGCGTGGTGGCTCACACCTGTAATCCCAGTGCTTTGGGAGTCCGAGGCAGGCGGATCACCTGAGCTCAGGAGTTCACGACCAGCCTGGCTAACACGGTGAAACCCCGTTTCTACTGAAAATACAAAACATTAGCTGGGCGTGGTGGCATGCACCTGTAATCCCAGCTACTCGGAAAGCTGAGGCTGGAGAATCGCTTGAACCTGGGGGGGCGGAGGTTGCAGTGAGCCAAGATGGCACCATTGTACACTAGCTTGGGCAACAAGAGCAAAACTCCATCAAAAAAAAAAAAATGTACCTTAAGTGCGTAGGCAGTTGCGGCCGTGGGAGAAGTGAGTTCTAAGGGAAAGCATACTGAGAAGTCAAGAGGGGCTAGAGTGTAGTCATACGAATGCTCACATTTAATGACTATGTAAAGAAGGATAAGACTACAAAGGAAAGAGTGAAGGAGGAGCCACAGAGATAAAAAGAAAATGAAGTACATATGTTGGCATAGAAACTGAGGCCAGAAACTGTTTTAAGAATTAAGGAACAGTCAACAAAGTAAAATGTCACTGAGGCCCTAGTTGGGATAGGAAATGAAATATGTCTACTGCATTTGGTGAACAAGCAGAAATTTGTGACTTTTGTGAGATTTGTTTGTGTGCACCAATGAGAATGAAATTAAGATCAGAAGTTGAGATGTGAGTGGAGACGAGAAAATGGGAACAAAATGTATAAACAGTTCTTTTGCAGATAGAGAAACAGATGGCTTAGTGTCAATTTGATTTTTCTAAGATTAAAAAAAAAGATGGAAGAGGTTCAGTAAAAAAGAGATTGAAAATATAAGAGAGAAAAGATATAATCAACAGTATGGTGCATACGTAGGCAGTGACTGGAAGAGAACAGAGTGGGCAGTGAAGGAGTTTGGTTCAAATAAAAGCATATGTGCCTATAAAGCAAAACATAACAAAAACATGGAGCAAGAGTGGGTGGAAATGTAGAATGGGCTATACATTGGGTAGCATAACATTGGAGGAGGACAAATTTCCTTCTTTCTTTCATCTCTTTGGAGGAAGAAAGCAAAATTATCTCCTGAGGGTGAAAAACCAAATAAATGAGGTAGGTTGAAGTCTGAGAAAAATTAGGACATTTAGAGAGAGAAGAGACAGAGACTCAAAAATATAACATTGAGAAAAGAGGTGGGGAACAGAAGAAGAACAAGAAAGCTAGCTGAAAATGATTAAAGAAAAAGGAAAGAGAAAAACTAGGAGAGTGGTATAACAAAAGCCAAGGGATGTTGTACAAAAAAACATTAGATGCTAGTTGCAGAGGACAAGGAAGATAAAAACAGAAAATAGTCTTATTTGACTTAAGACATAGGAAATTGTTGGATTTTCCATAGAGTAAAACCATACATCTACTTACAGTATGTTAAAAGGTGAATTAGAAGATTTCAAATTAAACAACGTCATTTGAACATATTTGTTTCTGTCCCTTTAATAATTAATTTATTAAAATTATAGTAAATAACTTAATATCTACATTATACTTAATATAATGAGAGTGAAGAAGTTAAAAATAATCTACTTATCTACTATAAGAGCAAATAACAGAAAAGACACAACAAGAGATAACAGTTGCTGAGACATTTTAGGAAGATGGAAAGCAATGAAGGAGTAAGCAGAGATGAGCACAGTAAATAGCAACTGCCTGCAAGTGCCCAAGAGAAAAAGCCATTTCAATAGAGAACCATAAAAATATTCAGAATTTAGAATCAACAAGTCAAGATCTGGGCAAAAAGCCCATATATGGAACAGGTAGATGATGCAAAATTCACTATACTAAGTGATGAAGTCTCCAAACCCTTTTGACCACTTGATTCCTAGAATAATAGGGCCTAGACATTTATACAGGTTGAAGAATGAGAGATTTTCTTTCAATAAAATGTCAGATACTGACATCTCAAATTGCTCTTCACTCCAAAGGGGCAGGTCCCTTCCCAATCAATCACCAGTAAACACATGTCTGGCCATGCCACAGAGTTGAGCTGACTGGTGACTCATTTCTTTCTTTCTTTTTTTTTTTTTTTTTTCTTTGAGATGGAGTCTCACTCAGTCACCAGGCTGGAGTGCAGTGGCGTGAACTCGGCTCACTGCAACCTCCGCCTCCCAGGTTCAAATGCTTCTCCTGCCTCAGCCTCCCGAGTAGCTGGGATTATAGGCACCTGCCACCACGCCCGGCTAATTTTTGTATTTTTTAGTAAAGATGGGGTTTCACCATATTGGCCAGGATGGTCTTGATCTCTTGACCTCATGATCCGCCCGCCTAGTCCTCCCAAAGTGCTGGGATTACAGGCACGAGCCACTGTGTCCAGCCTGGTGACCCATTTCTAAATGTAAGTGAATAACACAAGACCACCAGTCATTTAAGGAACACTAACACAGCAGAAAGAGGCCAAAACAAAGAGAAAAAGAACACACAAAAACTAGAAGCAGAAATCCTTCTCATTACCACAAACAACATCACTAGAATTAATATTCCCAGAGAGTTAAAAAAATGAAATTGATAGATATAGATATGCATTATGCCCAGAAAGAACAACAGAATTAGGAAGGGAGTGCTGATGAAGCACAGTTTTGGAGCTGAGTAGCTGAACAAATAGAAGTATTGGAGAACAGAGTCTCAAGAATGTCAAGGTGGGAATTAAGAGAATCTTATTTTACATGATTAAGCATGTATTGCTATTTGACTTTTAAATGTTTGTGCATACATTAACTTTTTATGAATGGGAAATAATAAGTGTATTAGACATGAGATATGTGAACAAAGGTTATAAATAATCTTTCCAAGATCTTTGTTCTACTCTCAAAACCACATGATTATATAGAAACTTACTCCTGAATGACTTTTCAGTAAGCAAAACAACTAAGGCAAAAATAAAAAAAAAATTATTTGAAACAAATGAAACTAAAGACAGAATGTACTTTAGTACATTCTGAATGGGAACCTCTAGAATGGGGAAAAAGCAGTGTTAAGAGGAACGTTTATAGTGCTAAATGCCTACTTCAAAACGTTAGAAAGATCTTAAATAAACTAATGCTGCATCTAAAGAAACTAGAATTAAAGAGCGAATGAATCCCAAAGCTAACAAAGAAAATAAATAACTAAAATCAGAGCAGAACTAAATGAAATTGTGACCCAAAAACATATAAAGGGTCAATAAGGTGAAAACTTTGTTTTTTTAAAGGATAAATGGGAATAATAGACCAGACCACTCACTAGATTAACAAAGAAAAAAAGAGAGATGATCCAGATAAGTATAATCAGAAGAAACAAAGGTGACATTACAACCAATCTTACAAAATATAAAATATCCTCAGAGACTACTATGAACATCTCTATGCACACATGCTATGAAATCTAGAAAAAACTGATAAATTCCTAGAAACACACAACCTCCCAATATTGAACCAGGAAGAAATAGAAACCCTGAAAACACCATTAATGAGTTACCAAATTGAATTAGTAATAAAAAACCTACCAACCATAAAAAGCCCTAAACCAGCTAGGTTCACATCCAAGTTCTATCAAATGTAAAAAGAAGAGCTGGTACCAATTCTACTAAAAATATTCCAAAAACTTGAGGAGGAAGGATTCCTCCCTAACTAATTCCACAAAACCAATATCATCTTGATACCATAATCTGGCAAAGACACAACTAAAAAGAAAGCTACAGGCCAATATCCCTGAAGAACATAGACACAAAAATCTTCAACAAAATATTAGCAAATCAAATTCAGCCACACATCAAAAAGATAATCCACTGTGATCAAGTAAGCTTTATTCCGGAATGCAAGGATGGTTCAACATATGCAAATCAATAAATGTGATTCACCTCATAAATAGAATTAAAAACAAAAATTGTATGATCATCTCAGTAGATGCAGAAAAATGATTCAATAAAATCCAACATCTCTTCATGTTAAAAACCCTCAACAAAGTATGAATCAAAGGGAACTCTTAAAATATTAAGAGTCATCTATGGCAAACCCACAGGCAATATCATACTGAATAGGCAAAATGTGAAGCATTCCTCTTAAGAACTGGAATAAGACAAGGATATCCACTCTCATCACTCCTATTCAGCATAGTACTGGAAGTCCTAGCCAGAGCAATCAGGCAAGAGAAAGAAATAAAAGGCATCCAAATAAGAAAAAGAGGAAATCAAATCATCTCACTTTGCTGAAGGTATGATTCTATATCTAGAAAACCCTAAAGATTCTGCCAAAAGACCCTTAGACTTGATAAACAACTTCAGTAAAGTTTCAGGATACAAGATCAACATACAAAACCATACACCAATAACATTCAAGCTGATAACCAAATCGATAATACAATAAAATTTACAATAGCTACAAAAAATAAAATACATAGAAATACATTTAACCGAGGAGATGAAAGACCTCTATAAGAGAACTACAAAACACTGCTGAAAGAAATCATAGATCACACAAACAAGTGGAAAAATATTTCCTGCTCATAAATTGGAAGAATAAAAAATTATTAAAATGTCTATACTGTTCAAAAGTGATCTATATTCTCAATGCAATTCTATCAAATTACCAACATCTTTCTTCACAGAATTAGAAAAAAACTATTCTAAAATTTGTATGAAACTGAAAGGAGCCCAAATTGCCAAAACAAACCTAAGCAAAACGAACAAAGCCAGGGACACCACATTACCTGACTTCAAGCTGTACTATAAGGCTACAGTAACCAAAACAGCATAGTACTTGTACAAAAATAAACAAAAAGACGAATGAAACAGAAAAGAGAACCCAGAAATAAAGCCACATATTTACAACCAACTGACTTTTGACAAAGTCAACAAAAGTAAACAATGGGAAAGGATACCCTATTCAAAAAATGGTGCTGCTGAACCTGGCTAACCATATGCAGAAGAATGAAACTCTATCCCTACCTCTTGTCATATACAAATATTAACTCAAGATAGATTAAAGACTTAAATCTAAGACCTGAAACAATCAAACTTCTAGGAGAAAAACTAGAAAACATTCTTCTGGACATTGGCCTAGGCAAATAATTTAAGTCTTTAAAAGCAAATGCAACAAAAGCAAAAATTGGCAATTGAGACCTAATTAAACTAAAAAGCTTCTGCACATCAAAATAAACTATCAACATAGTAGACAGACAACCTACAGAATGGGAGAAAACATTTCCAGACTATGAATCTGACAAAGGACTAATATCCAGAATCTGCAAGAAACTTAAACAAATCAACAAGAAAAAAAATCCATTAAAAAGTGGGCAAAGGACATGAACAGACACTTCTTAAAAAGAAGACATATAAGCAGCCAACAAACACAAAAAAATGCTTATCATCATGAATCATCAGAAAAAATGCAAATCAAAATCACAATGAGATATCATCTCACAACAGTCAGAATGGTTATTACTAAAAAGTCAAAAAATAACAGATATTAACAAGGTAGCAAAGAAAAGTAATGCTTATACACTATTGGTAGGTATGTAAATTAGTTGAGCCACTGTAGAAAGCAGTTGGATATTTCTCAAAGAACTAAAAATAGATTTATCATTCAACTCAGCAATCCTATTACTGGATACATACCCAAAGGAAAATAAATCATTCTACCTAAAAAACACCTGCAGTCATATATTTATCACAGCACTATTCACAATAGCAAAGACGTGGGAACCAACCTAGTGTCTTGTCAGTGGTGGACTGGATAAATAAAAGGTGGTGCATATACATGATGGAATACTATGCAGCCATAAGAAGAATGAAATCAATCCTATACTTTACAGCAACATGGATGCAGCTTGTGGCCATTATCCTAAGTAAATTTATGAAAAAACAGAAAACCAAATACTGCATGTTCTCACTTATAAGTGAAAGCTAAACATTAGTACATGCAGACATAAAGATAGAAACAATAGACACTGGGGACTCCAAAAATAGGGGAGGAAGGGAATGGGGCAAGGGTTGAAGAACTATTTATTGAGTGCTATATTACCTATTTGGGCAATGGGATCAATAGAAGCCCAAATTTCAGCACCACGCAATATACCCAGATAACAAATCTGCTCATGTACCGCTGAATCTAAATTTTTTTTTTAGAAAAGTTGAACATATACTAACTATATAGCCCAGAAACTTCACTCCTCAGTAGCTTCCCAAGAGAAACAATGACTCATCCTCATTCAAAGACTAAAATGTAGAGACATTAATCAAAGACTAAAAGGTGAAGACACCAATGTTTGTAGCAATTTTATTCATTAGTTAAAAATGAGGGAAGTCCATCAACTGGGGATTGGATAAACATCTTGTGGCAAACCCTTCAATGGAATACTATACAGCAATTTAAAGGAAAAGACTACTGATGCATGCATAACATAAATGAATCTCAAAGCTCTTATGCCAAGTGGAAACATTTAGGCACAAAAGTCACGTGTGATTAATGCCCAGAACTGGCAAAATTATTGAGACCTAAAACAGATCAGTGGTGGCCTAGGGCTGGGAATGGGCAATAAGACTGACTGCTAAGGAGCAGGAAGAATGTTTTGGGGTGAGGGAAGGAACTGAAAACCAGATTGCAGGGATGGTGGCTGTGTGACTAAAACTCATGGGACTATACACTTAAAATGAAAAAAAAAAATATGCTATGTAAATTATCACTCAAAATAGATGCTTTACAAAGTTAAAAAAAAGACCTTTGTTCTAAAGGAAAAAAGAGAATATGATTCTGGTAATAACAAAGATACAGGATGGTGGAAGGTTTTCTATTTTACTATTTTTAATAGGATATATTCGAGTGTACTTATAGGTTAGGAAGAAGAAGAAGGAGAAAGAGAATCAAAACGCAGACAACAGAGCAAATAATGGAGAAAATGTGGGGTGGGAACAGGACCCACAAGGCAAATTTTAGAGGTGGAGCTTCAGCACAAGATGCTCCCTCCTCTGCACTGAAAGGGATAACATTGATGAAGTTTTTGTTGTCTTTTCAGTAAAAAAGAAGCAAGGCTACCTACTGCAAGTGACATCAGTGATGAGCAGGTGGATAGGTGAGAATGACATTTGAAATATCCTTGTGGGTTACTGAGAAAGCAAGCAAGCTAGTTGTGTAAAATAACTTTCAAACCAAAATGAAGACTCATTGGAGATTGGAAACCACAATCTGTAGCAACAATGGTCTACAGAGTTAAATGATTTTCTCCAGGGGCATTTATCAGCTACATTTTTTGTAAGGGTATAATGAATGGCTAGATTGATGCTAATTTGCAAGGCCATGAGGATGTTGAAGCAACCAAAAACAGAACATAAACACTGCACTCTAGAGAGGTGGGCTATCAAAGGAAGGAAAGAGTTCACTGAAGAAAAAGAGAAGGGTTGAGGAATTGAATTCTCAGGGTATCCAGAAAACCTATGTATAGGGAGCAAGGGAAAAAAAGAAAAAAAACATGCAGGGATAATTATGGTCAGAAATTGAAAATTGAAATTTAGGATTTCCCAACAAGTGCCCAGGTCTGGAGTATGATCCTGAGAGAGAGTGGCTCAAGGGGTTGAATGGAGATTGTTGGAGTATAATAAGTCAGGAAGCTTTCCACATGGATAACAAAGACAACCAGGATGATTGTTCAGCCTAAAAGGAGTGAAAAGAAAGACAGTAAGTCAGGTACCAATGCTTGAGCAACAATGGAGTACAACAGCTACATGGAGGACCTCAAGGAAGAAATGCTTCCTAAAGGTAGAAGCAAAAGGATCTATAGGTAATAAAAGGCATCAAGACCTTTGTAAACATTTCTCAACCTCCCCTTGTCTCTTGACTCTGCTAGTTATGGTTACCTGGCCAGATCAGCAAAAGAATCAGGTGTCACTAAAAAGCAAGTTGAACAAGATTAAGAATTGCTGCTAAACGAAATTATCATGAGAAATACACTGGAGACGGTGCAATAAAAGAATTCAAGTCAGCCACAAAAGTGTACCTGCCCAAATGCCTAGGGCCAAGACAAAAATCAGGATGGGCACAACAGAAAGCAATCAAGATACCAGGGCCAAATCAAAGAGAGTAGCTCCTTTTAATTCCAATTTTTATGTACATGTATACTTAGGGGAGCTCCCTATTGAATTGGCTGTGTACTACAAGCTTAATGGCGTGATAAATAGAAAGATGCAAAGAGGCAAGAATGGATGAGCAGGGGTCGTTCTGGGCAATGTAAAGGGACCAGTTCAAAGCCTGTTCCAGAATGACTTGGCCCACTAACCGTGGTAGAGAAGACCATTTGGAGTGGTCAAAGCACTGGCCATTGACTGCTCTGCTTTGCATTTGCCTGTGAGCACAGCACAGAAGTCTTTGCAATAGATGGCTCATCCTCATTCTCAGAATGTTTCCTGCCTTACTTTCTTCTCTAACAACAAATGTTCAATGCTTTCCAGCCCCTGTTGTGTGTTACATTAGGGCACCATGAAGACGCTTCTTGTTTATTATCTCTCTCCTCTGTCTTCCTGCTCCTTATTCCCCTTTCTTTAAAGGCAGACTCTTTCTTGGCAATTTTTTTATCTCCAAGCTTGGAGCCCCTCCCTATTTCCTCTGCCTCTTTACTCCTCATATGTACTTTTAACAAATCTATAGGGTGCCTTCAAACTAAGATACTTTAAAAAATAATTGCTACATTCCTCTAATCTTCCTGAGCACAAATTCTAGGCATCAGCTGCCTGACTATACACAGAAAGTTATTTTAGGGTGCAAATTTGGGACCATTGTGAAATTCCAGTGGCCATGCACAGGTTTCCTCACAGCTTTCTGATATTTAAGTTTTTTAGGCAGGATTGTCTGAAGCTGTGTAGCTTAAGGGCCTTTGAGTAATAATTATCATCATGGCTTTACCTCTAATGCCCACTGTAAGAGCAAGATCATCTGAATCTTTCTTTCTATAGAATAGAGAGCACAAAAATAAGCAAACTTGAAGAGCTGTGATCATAAAAGCTAACTAAATACTGCCATGAAACAGCTAGGATTTGGATGCAGAAACAGAGTGCCAGAGAAACACTAAACAAAATGACAAACCACAGTTAGGATCTCAGGAATTGAGAAGATGGACCTGTCTGGCAGCTGAAAACATTGATGTCCATCATTAATGCAGAGTCAGGACTTCCCAGAGACGAAATTCTTCTGCAGGAAAAAGGGTGCAACCATCAGCCTCTGCCCTTCCTCCATGTGAGATCTCTTTCTCAGTCTCCAGGGAAGCAATGTCCTTTTGCTTCCTACTAAATACCTGGACCTCTCCATCCCTATATTACCCACTCCAGAGCAATTTGCACAGTGCTCCACACTTTCCCCTAATTCCTTCTCTTCAAATTCTGTCTTGGCCGGGCGCGGTGGCTCACGCCTGTAATCTCAGCACTTTGGGAGGCTGAGGTGGGCGGATCACCTGAGGTCAGGAGTTCGAGACCAGCCTGACCAACATAGTGAAACCCCGTCTCTACTAAAATACAAAAATTAGCCGGGCGCAGTGGCGGGCGCCTGTAATCTCAGCTACTTGGGAGCCTGAGGCAGGAGAATCGCTTGAACCCAGGAGGCGGAGGTTGCAGTGACCCAAGATCGCGCCATTGCACTCCAGCCTGGCAACAGAGCGAGACTGCCTCAAAAAAAAAAAAAAAAAAAAAAAAAAAAAAAACAAATTCTGTCTTACGTGCAAACTTCCAGGATTTAGCTGTCCGCTGGATGACGATAGATAGTGAGTGGATTAATAAAAGCTATACTCCTAGCAAAATGTTTTGTTAGATCTCAGTAGCAATGCCTCAACTGTACAAATGTGCAGACTTTCATAATTGCCCTTAAGTATTCACTAATCCTGGAAATTTCAAGCAAAGTAGCTATCTCTCTGTGTGGAGAAAAGATGTTAAGTTATTTGAGGTTTTCAGCATGCTGAAGTTTACATTATAAAAGGAATTGCTAATTCCACCTACACCCTTGAAGGAGGGCCATCCATTAACAAGAGAAAGCAATACCTTAGGGCAAAGTTTCTGCCTATCTGCAAGGGAATATACCAATTACTAAGACAACTTTATCCCCTACATCCAACTAAGCCGTTTTTGATCTTGATCCAACTCCTTAATATTTTAGGTAATGCAGATAAAGTCAATTTTCGACTATCCATGGGTGGATTATCTGCAAATCTGGATTTTATCTTCTTGTGTTGATCTTGTCATCTGTTTTGTTTATCTAAGCCCTTTAAAAGCACTATTGTTGCTTCTGTTTACTCTTATTTCCTGCATGCAGTAATGATAATTCCCTATATTTGTTTGGCATTTTATGGTTTGTGAAATATTTTCACATGCATTCTCTCATTTTGATGTAGCCTCCGTTAATCCAAAGTAGGAAGGGGAGTCTTTGAAACCATAGCATTTTGTCATCAAATTATTTTCTTGGGAAGGTATATGCTAACATGTTGGAAGTTGATTAAGAAACAAAACAAAACATATCTGAGATCATGTTGGTCGTTTGCACAGGCCTGCGTGGTGCCAGTGATTATACCAACATCAAATGGGGTAAAAGGAGGAGATAACCAGATAGAAGATCACCAACTGACAGTTGCTCATAGCACTGTTCTACTGTAAGGCTCAAATCCTAGAATATCAGCCACATTCAAAGGCAAGGCCAAACTCACATTTAAGAGTGAGTTTATACCTCTATGTTGATGATCAATTGATTTTTAACACAAACAACTAAGCAAGTCAACAGGAACAGCGATTTTTTTTTCTACTATGGTGCTGAGACATCTGCTCTTCACTGATGTCACTTGCAGTAGGTAGCCTTGCTTCTTTTTTACTGAAAAGACAACCAAAACTTCATCAATGTTATCCCTTTCAGTGCAGAGGAGAGAGTATCTTGTGCTGAAGCTCCACCTCTATAATTTGCCTTGTGGGTCCTGTTCCCACCCCACGTTTTCTCCATTATTTGCTCTGTTGTCTGCGTTTTGATCTTCTTTCTCCTTCTTCTTCTTCCTAACCTATAAGTACACTCAAATATATCCTATAAAAAATAGTAAAATAGAAAACCTTCCACCATCCTGTATCTTTGTTATTACCAGAATCATATTCTCTTTTTTTCCTTTAGAACAAAGATCTTTTTTTTTAAGCCAAACATGAACTTAGACCCTTACCTCCTATCACAAACAAAAATTACCTCAGAATAGATCAGAGACCTAAATGCATTAGGTAAAGCTATAAAACTTTTAGAAGAAAACATAGAATAAAATATTTAAAACCTTGAGTTAGATAAAAATTTCTTAGATATGATATTATGTCTATGATATTATGTCAAAAGCATAATACATACAAAACTTGATAAATCGGCTTTCACTGAAATTCAAAACTTTTCTGTTTTAAAAGACACTGTTAAGAAAATAAAAACACAAGCCATAGACTGAGAAAAAAATTTACATATCATATATCTGATAAAAATTTATCCTCAAAATATAAAATGAACTCTTATAGCCCAGTATACAAGGTAAACAACCAATTATGAAATGGGCAGAAGACTTTAATAAACATTTTACCAAAGAAGATATACAAATGTCTAATAGCACCTGAAAAGATGCTCAACATTATTAATTATTAGGGAGATGCACATTAAGACCATTATGAGTACCATTTCACCTCCACAAGAATGGCTATGATTTTTTAAAAAGATAAATAATAACAAATGTTAATAGGATGTAGAGAAACAGGAGCTTTATATATTAGTGATGTTATGTAACATAAAATGGAACAGCCACTTTGAAAAACTATTAACAGCTCTTACTGACACATGATCGAAGGCTGGAGGTAGAGAGGAGAGACTGGAAATAAAAGGTATCCTGTCCTCCCTGTGACTGATGCTATAAGAGAAGGATGATAGGACTCATCTGTCTATGCTCACTTGGAATTCCACAAACTCCCTTTATACAACCACCTAGAGGAATGGGTACCCTTTAGTCTTACATTTGCATAGCTTAAGGGAACAAATTTGGTGGCTGTTCTTGGAAAAGTTGAGTTTTTTTCAACTACATTGACTTGGCGACTTAACTCTAGAAAGAGTAGCCTCTAACAACCTTAAATAACTAAAAATACAATGCAAAATAAACTCTCTGCTTGACTGAACATTCTGATTCTATGATAATATCTCTACCTCCTTAGCTTCACTCCAAGACTTTGTTTCCTAAAGTTCATAGGCAAGGCTTATTCTTGCAGCTTTACAGAAACTAAGCCCAAATGAAGAGCTTCTGAACCATTCCCTACTCTAAACAGCCATTCCTGCCTGTTTGTTCGGAGGAGCTTACAGCCTCATTGGCCAGAGCATCCGCGCAGGGAAGGGAGCTATGAGCATGAAGGATGGATGCTGTGTCCTGGCTACAGGACGGCTTCAGCATAATTATCCTGCCTGGGACTTTGCCCATTATATTATAATGAATTGCTTTGGAGGAAAAGATCAAATGGTGGAGAAATCCTCAAGAGAAAGAATACATCTGTTAAAAACTCCCACCAAAAATGTTATAAAGTGTTTTTGTTTACTAAATCTTTCAAGTCTGAAACTGGTTCAAGTATAACTTAGCAGCTTGTTGTGAGAAAAGAGAGAAAGGAAGACCACATAATCCACCAAAACTAATTAAAAATAATACACACACATAGAATGGAATTATAGATGATTTTGTGCAGCATAAATGTATAAAACATGTTTATAAATATTGATACACATGTTAAGATTGTCTCTGTGTATGCATTTAAGACAAAAAGATTCCAAAAATGCATAAAAGTGTTCTATACATGAGCACATGTGATCCCAATTTAGGGTTATTTCTAAAAGGTTTTAATTCTTGGCTTTGTACTTGATTGCAAGAGATTCAAATGAACAAATTTGGTGGAAGTCCTGGGAATTCTCTCTGCTCTTCAGCAACTACTCTCTAATTTTCAGCAATTACATTTTTATCACCCATTGTGATCCTATAACGTTAAATGTGCATTAGAAAAGGAGAGGAAAAAGCCTGTAATTTCACAAGCTTTGGGGATCACAGGTTGGGCACCTGCTTTATTACACATACAAGGAATTGATGCTAAATTTTATTCCTCGAAATGATTCTGATTACAGGTAGAATGTAATAGAATTTTCTATCCTGTGACTACTCACAGGATAAAAAATACACATATAATACTTACCATGAAACACCAAATGTGTATTTGCTGGAAGGGACATGCAGAATACACATACAGTACTCAGCGTGAAACACCAAATGCACATTTGCTGGAGTTGAGAAATCAGGCTGGAATTTGTAGGACGTAGAACAATTGCTCTACAAACCCATGACCAAGATGACTGATCCTAAACACGTTCTCAAGAAGCCACAAGAGCCTTCCTTTCCTCTCCTGTGTCTTATCCCTTTCCTCCTCTTGCCCCCTTCCCCACTATGCAAAAAGACAAATAGTTATTTAGATCTCCCACAAAAGCCCAGGAAACTGGACAAAGGGTGACAGGCTTGGGGCAGGAAGGGGGAAGCCCCTGCCACAGAGTTGCAAATAGGTCTCTTTTTCTTGGGTTTGCATAGAAAGTCCTCTGAATGAGCTTGCTGTGGCCTGCCCCTTACCTTCTCATAGATTGTTAATATAGGCAGTAGGAAAAGTACACACAGAACGGTTTAGAGGGAGAAGGGAGGACTCTGGGAAATTTACTAAAAAATTAATGGATCTCCGTCTGGTGCAGTAAAGGCAATTCTTGATTGTTTGCACCAATGCAGTGAGCAGATTATCAAGGCACAGACAAGGTTTCCTTAGTCCGAAACATAGAGAACTCCGGAGGCCCTTATCAAAACCATTTCCCTCCTGGTTTAGCGACTGGTTATGGCTTTAACTGCATCATCTCCATCAGCAATGGCAGGCCAAGCTGCTGCTAGGAGCAAAAGCTAAGGCTGGTTTTCCTGCAAAGCAGAAATACTTGTCATTTCACAGGGGCCTGGTATCTGAGTCTCATTCAGCCATCTTGTTTCCTGTGAGGCCCAGGCTGTATGGACCTGGGCTTATTACTGGGCTTATTTGTGTTTTGGTTTGAGAATAGGATTGAGCGTGTGGTAATCAGATGATGCTCTCTGCAAACCGCCTGGGGCAGAGCAGCTAGAGTTCTGAGGGAAGCCTCCAGCTTCATCCTTCGGGAACTCCCCTTAAGTCCCGTAGCTCCCTCCCTGCTCCTACCTTTGGCCTGAGAATTCTCATGCTGCTCCTTAGAATTCTAAAGACTCATGATGTCTGGCACTCTGCTAGGCTGGACCTTCACTTTTGAGACGGATTCAAAGGTAAATTTTGTTTTGTTTTGTTTTGTTGATATGGAGTCTCACTCTGTCGCCCAGGCTGGAGTGCAGTGGCGCAATCTCGGCTCACCGCAAGCTCCGCCTCACCGCAAGCTCCGCCTCACCGCAAGCTCCGCCTCCCTGCAAGCTCCGCCTCACCGCAAGCTCCGCCTCCCGGGTTCACGCCATTCTGCTGCCTCAGCTTCCCGGATAGCTGGGACTACAGGTGCCCGCCACCACGCCCGGCTAACTTTTGTATTTTTAGTAGAGACGAGGTTTCACCTTGTTAGCCAGGAAGGTCTTGATTTCCTGACCTCGTGATCCGCCTGCCTCGGCCTCCCAAAGTGCTGGGATAAAGGCAAATGTTTTAACCAAAAGGAGTAACTCTGTAAGGGTTCCATGTGAGACACTGTGGTATCTTGTAGGTGGAAAAAACTTTATGATATGAGAAGAATAAGCTGCGAATTCTTCTTCTTTTCACATTACCAAAGATACATGTTTTCTCTCTTATTTTAATAAGTCTTATTTTAATAATAAAATTGTAATTGCAAGCCACCTCTAAAGTCTATACATGTCTTATTAGTCATTTTATTTATTTATTTTTTTAATGCTCAAGGGGTTGTTTTGATACAGACACGTGGGATACCAGAATGCCTTTATTTTGCAGAAGAACAAACTGAGGCTGGAAACAGAACTATGCAAAATGATGACTTAAAACATGAATACTTACATGTTTATACGTGTCTTTTTAATAGAAAATAAATAGCCATTAAAATCTAGGGGAAAATTACAGAGAAATTCAGAAATAAATGAACCAGAACATCACCCCCAGGTATTTCTGCTATGGAGTTATCGATGAATTTTCTCCCAGTCATATTGTCTATGAATTTGTTTTAATTTGTGGTGTTTTGCATTCATACTATTTGCACAATTTTGTATCTTTATGTTTTTAATGTTAAGAACATAAACACATCAATTACTTGTTTTCACAACAAAGTATTTCCATGAATGAACATGCCTTTGTATGCTAGACAGTTTCCTGGATTTTTAACCTTTAGATGTTTTCTGGTGTCACATTAATATAATACTGTGTCCAAAATCTTTTTACCTTTTTTGCTTTAAAAAAAAACTAGTTAAATTAGTCAACCAATGTTCTGAAGAATATTGTTAGATTCAAACTTTTAAAGTATGTTTGGAAGTTAGTTTTAGATGAGTTGCTTCGAAAATATCTAC
This sequence comes from Homo sapiens, assembly GCF_000001405.40. Lineage (NCBI taxonomy): Eukaryota > Metazoa > Chordata > Mammalia > Primates > Hominidae > Homo > Homo sapiens. The sequence continues at coordinate 11,542,815 of NC_000020.11, forward strand.
GTTTTTACCTTGCTTTAGTTTTTTTCCTTATGTAAGCATATCTAGTTTACATTTTCACAAACAGATATTAGAGGTGTGTTGTTTTATTAACTGTTTAAAAGTCTGTCCAGTATATTCAATGAAGACATCAATCAGAATAAAATTACAAGCTAAAAATAATTCTGAAACCTTTCTTTATAAAATGGTTATCATGTGTGTCATCTATGTTGTTGTGTTTGTAAATACCTATGCTAAGTGGATGGGCATAGCTCACCCAATAACTGAAAAGATTTTTTGTGGGGACACAAGGACCCTTCTTTTAGGTACAGAAACTGCAACAAGCTATATAGTGGAGCTAAACTTAGGCGTACAGCAGCCTTTCCAAGAATTTGTGGCACAAAGCAGACAGGAATATTCTACACACACACACACACACACACACACACACACACACACACACACACACACATTCCGCTTCCTGTCTCTGACTTTCTAACTTGACCTTACTTACTTGCAAACTTGGAAATACAGGCATTCTCTCTCTCTCTCTCTCATAGAGTCATGATTCTCAAACATTAAAATAGCTTAAAAATTAACATACCTTAATGTCATCTTAAAGAGTGAGGAAATATTTAGCGATCCTGTGAACAATTTTTATTTTCTGTAAACTTCCCCAATCCTCACATTTACCTTCCTAGGTAACTATGTGCTTGACTTATATATTTTTTCTGCATTCTTTGTAGCCCTTTCTTTCCCCCCATGGACAACTGTGTGTCCCAGCATTACAATACATGTGTGGACAAAGAAGCTTTCTGTCCAGAGAGAAATTAAACATTCCAGTGGCTTTTCTCACCAAGTCCTGACACAGAGTGACCCTTGGCATCTCATTTGTGGGCGAGCGTTGAAGATGGTGGAGAGATAACCTGAAGCAAATCTCAGCCTGTTGTTCAGGCTGCCTTGGGCAGTCCAGAGAAGAACAACATTTAGAACATTTATGACCTGTAAAATTTATCCTCTAGAGTTGAGCCCACAATTTTTGGCCAATAATTATATGTGAGAGTAAAATATAAGGGACATATCTTGGAAGCAGTATTGCTGAGTACTTCAGAAATGAATGACTATTTTAATCAACCTACCTACATTTGGGCGATTATCCAAACTATTTGGCTTTTTACTCCTCTCCCCTTCCAAACTTACCCTCCTAAAAAATGTTTGAGAGTTAATAAAATGATGTATTTAGAGCTCTTAAGCCCTAGTTCACCTTGTTTTTTTTTTTCTTAGTTACCTTCGTGATTACTTCTAATTCTGCCCTGAGGTGCAAACTTGATTCCATTCAAAGGAAAAGGAAACCAAAACAAACAACAAATAAAAAGTAACTGAGGAGTGTCTCCAAAAACTACTACTGAAAACCTAGTTTACCTACAGTTCAAATATGATCCACTCTCGCCATCTGCTGGCTGTATTTTTGATTTTTTAAAAGGGAAGTACTGGCACAGACACATGGGCTAACGTTATTGTGTTTTGATGTGTTGTGAATATGTGTGGGGAAGCTGGGCACTAAACCGTCCAACATTCAAATTCAGTATGTTTTTGAGCACCTATATTTAGCTGAGTCTCCCTAGTTTATAATTTGGTGGAGGGTTTTATACGTAGAGAATCATCACAGTCAAGACGAAGTAGAGACTGGGACCAACGGCTGCATCCGTCAGGGAGAACTTCTGTCAAAGAATAACGCACAGACACTGGGTCTCAGAAAGTGGCTGTCTCTGAGGACTCAGCGTGTTTCTTCTCTTTGATGAAACTAATGATGACTCAACTCCATGGATCTAATTGTCTCCCTCTAGAATTACCTTTTCTGAGTGTTCAGGGCTCCTTGATGGTTTTGGGTTTGTTTGTTTGTTTGTTTGTTTGTTTTTTGAGATGAAGTTTTGTTCTTGTTGCCCAGGCTGGAGTGCAATGACGCGATCTCGGCTCACTGCAACCTCTGCCTCCCGGTTTCAAGTGATTCTCCTGCCTCAGCCTCCCGACTAGCTGGGATTACAGGCGCAAGCCACCATGCCTGGCTAACTTTTGTATTTTTAGTTAAGACTGGGTTTCACCACGTTGGCCAGGCTGGTCTCGAACTCCTAACCTCAGGAGATCTGCCCACTTTGGTCTCCTAAAGTGCTGGGATTACAGGCGTGAGCAACCGAGCCCAGCCTACCCAGTGGTTTTTTCTTTAGACGGAGTCTTGCTCTTGTCACCCAGGCCAGAGTGCCGTGGCACAATCTTGGCCCACTGCAACCTCCACCTCCCCAGTTCAAGCGATTCTCCTGCCTCAACCTCCCAAGGAGCTGGGATTACAGGCTCTCGCCACCACCCCTGGCTAATTTTTTTGTATTTTTTTAGTAGAGACGGGGTTTTACCATGTTCGCCAATATTCTCCTCCTCCAAAAGGCGTGCCTCAGCTGACCCATCGAGGTTTCCCCGAATATAACATTAACCAACCTATTTGGAGTGTTTTACCCAAACACATGTATTTAAGCCACACAATAACCCTATGAGGTAGCCATTATTAATCGTGTTTTATAGATGAGGAAATTGAAATCCAAAGATATTGATGACAGAACTGCTAAGTGATAGAGTCAGCACAATGCCTGGATGGAAATTCACTTCCAGAACCACATCTTCACCACAAACATTGCTGTCAGGGCTCTCCAGGTAACCCTGTTTCTGTCCGTGCAGTGTGCAGCTAACAGAATTCCCTTATCTCAGCTGGGAAACAGGAGTGATGGAATCATTTCCCACTCCCAAGTCATCGCCACAAAACTTCTCCTTCAAAATTTGTCTCCGGAATCACTTGTTCAAAAAGCCCTTTGAATTTCTCTTTCTCTCTGAGTACTCAGAATATGCCTGTCCTATAAAATTTCATTTGGCGGCTTGTTTTCTTCGTGCCCCTCTAATATTCACCAAGATTATATTTATTTGACTTTACTCTCAGAGTGTACTTTGTGGGGGGGGGACAAAAGTGATTATTTTTCCTCTAATGCTGTCGTATAAATGCTATGGCAATCTAGTACCTCTCATACGTAGGGATATGCCCAGGTCTTAGGGAAAACTCACTTGTACATATCTGTGTTATTGGGCCTGTGGGCCAATGATATTTCTATTTCCTGTTCTGCAACTTTGTGTACAACAATAATTTAAAGTAGCTTCCAAAGGATAAAAAATGTTCTCTAAGAAACTGATGAATCTATATTTACTTATGTTGCCCCACATCCTGCACATTCTTTTTCTTCGAATTAACTTTCATTTTCTTTCTATCTTTCCTTTCCTTCAGGTTAATAACCTTTGCTGGTGGGGTTCTCCAGAATCAGCTGCCAAAACAGAGTCTGAGTTTCAAGGTACTTATTAGGGATCAAGCCCTGTGGAAGACACAGGGGAAGCTGAACTGTGAGGGCAGCCCACAGAAGCCTCCCCTGCCCTGCAGGGAGCTCTGGAGTGAATACTGTTCTGTCCACCAGAGCTGGGCCCCAGTGGGCGAACAAGACCAGGCCTTTGCACCCCCACCTCACTCAGCATCAGGCTGTGTGGGTTGTCCTAGGAAGGGGTCGACTCAAAGAAGAAGACACTGAGGAGATGACAGTGGGACCATCTGCCAACTCTACTCCCAGAAGCTGGGCAGTGAGGCTTTCCTTGCTGGGATTCTTGGTGGAGAATCTCCCTATTGATCACGGTGGCATGAATTCTGCCTATAGCTCACACGGTGCTCTTTCTTTCTTACAATCCATGTCACACAGGCTGTGCTTTTGCATACAAACAGGGACTATCTACTGATGCACATACTTTGTCTTCTCAGTAAAGAATTTACCAAAATACAAAAGAGCTACCTCAGTGTCCATAATCTGCAGGTGAACCTGAAACTCCAAGAAACTGACCAGGAAAGAGAAGCATGGGAAATTAAGAGCCCTACCTCTTCATTTCCAGAAACATTTCCATAGGGCTTTCAAATGTTCCTTTAGTTCCTTGTAAGGAGTAAGAGAAGGGCCCGTATTTGCATCCTCAGGAAGGGGAGGGTAAGTGTCTGCTTTCCCCACCCTGCCATAAGAAAACTCCCTGACTCTGTGCCTGCATCACTGCAGGTCCTCTGAGACGCAGACACCTACAGGGAAATAGACGTGTGAACAACGTGTTGGAAAAAATTCCTGTGAAGGATAAACAGAGCAGCAGAGAAAAACTTCAGTCTACAATGGAGGTTCAATACCTGAGAAAGACCAGAGGGAAGAAGGGGGACCGAGCGAGCCTGACAGCACAACATAGCTCTGGGAAAGCCTTGGCCAGGCTGACGCACAGTTCCAACATAGAGATGGTCCATTAGAGGGAGTCGTGGGATAATCCAATTCTATTTCCCTTACTAGGCTCAGTAATAATCTGGAGACAGCCCAGGAATCGTGCATCCTCTGTATGAATGCTGTTGTGGGTCCTAAAGGTGCAGCAGCAGCTGGATACTGTCAGGTGATAGACATGAAAGGTTATTTTCAGAAGGAGACATGAGCAGTGTATTCCTGGGACTGCTACAATATGCTTAGTATTCAGCACCAAATCCTCAAGAATGGGTTCATAGTTGTCTCTGGTCAGGCTACCATATAAAAAAAATGCCATAGACAGGGTGGTTTAAACAACATTGATTTCTCACAGTTATGAAGGCTGGGAATTCCAAGATCAAGGCACTAACACACTTGCTGTCCAGTGAGGAGCTGCTTGTTGGTGTTCAGATGTCCGTCTTTCTCTTTTTTGCTTTCTCTCTCTTTTTTTTTTTTTTTTTTTTCTTGAGATGGAATCTTACCCTGTCACCCAGGCTGGAGTGCAGTGGCATGATCTCGGCTCACTGCAACCTCCGCCTCCCAGGTTCAAGCAATTCTCCCTGCCTCAGCCTTCCAAGTAGCTGGGATTACAGGCTCCCACCACCACACCCAGCTAATTTTTGTATTTTTTTTTTTTTAGTAGATACATTGTTTCTCCATGTTGGTCAGGCTAGTCTTGAACTCCTGACCTCAGGTGATCCACCCGCCTTGGCATCCCAAAGTGCTGGGATTACAAGTGTAAGCCACCACACCCAGGCTGTTCATCTTTCTCATTGTATCCTCACATAGCAGAGAGCAGAGAGACAGAAAGCAAGTGTTCTGGTGTCTGTTTACAAGGACAGCAATCCCATTCATGAAGGCTTCACCCTTATGACCTAATCACCTTCCGAAGGCTCTGCCTCCTAATATTATCGTATTTTTGGTTAGGATTTCAACATATTAATTTTAAGAGAATACAAACATTCAGTCCATAGCAATAGTTGACTTAAAAGAACACATTAAGAAAGTTTTTTTTTTTTAATTTCTCTTTCATACCTGCTTAATTCCTGATCCTAAAGAAGGGTCTCCAAACACACTCCTCAAATTGATAACTGATACAATTGAAACTTAAATCAACAGATCAATAAAGAAATAGCATCTTTTTTTTTTCTTTTTTTTTGAGATGGAGTTTTGCTTTTATTGCCCAGGCTGGAATGCAATGGTGCAATCTCAGCTCACTGCAACCTCCACCTCCTGGGCTCAGGAGATCCTCCTGCCTCAGCCTCCTGAGTAGCTGGAACCACAGAGGCACACCACCAGGCCTAGCTAATTTTAAAAATTATTTTTAGAAATGGGGTTTTCCTATATTTCTCAGGCTGGTTTCAAACTCCTGGGCTCAACAGACCCTCCCGCCTCCCAAAGGGCTTAGATAACAGGTGTGAGCCACCGTGCCCAGCAGAAATAGCATCTTAACCACTGGAATTAGTTAAGCATTTTTAACCACTGTGACTCTAGTGAGAACTCAGCACCACCTCAATTACATAAAATTACAAAATTGTTTAATGTATACCGACTATGGGCCAGATACGCTGCTGGATCAGCCAAACCAAGTTAAATCAGGCGAAATCTTGACAGGCCTCTAGGGTTTGACATCCTTGATAAATGAAGGATAATATCTTGTTTGCGGATTTTTGTGCTTCCAAACATTTCTATCTTTTCATTTAGTATGTTACCATAATATTTCTATCTCTCTTTTTGTTTTTGTCAAAGCAATATCCATAGGTCAGGACACTGAAATAATGCATATAATGCATAAAATCTTGTGATGAAAAGATGCCATCTTCTGCCTTCATTCCATTCTTAAAGTAACTGTTTCTAAGCTTCTTCTTCTAAAGTGATTATTTCTGTCCATTTCTGTGGTACTCTTTTTGGTATTTCATTCAATTCTCTAAATACTATGTTTCTACTAATGTCTCCGGAACTATCTACTATCTCTTGCCTCTTTGCTATGTTGAATTTCACTAACATGCTACCAATCTGTTAGTAATGCAAAGCTGTATTAACTAAACATTTGAGCAGTTTTCAAAAATACCACCTTGAGAGAGTTTTAGGATTATCGCAGGGGAAAAGTCAGAATGTATCTCTCTAGGGTCTTGGGATCTACACCAGAGTGGTTTAAGCAATCGAGATTGGGCATTAATTGTGACATTGTGAGACGAAGTTCTTAAAATGATTCTGGGTAAGAAATTTTTGTTTGATAAGCAAAATGTTTTCCCAGCTGAGCCAATGAGCCAACTTTTGTCTCAAAATAATTGATCTGCTGGAATTTCCTGAAGGCAGTAGTAAAGTTAATTATTGATGATTAATCTTACCTTTCTCAGGCAAAGTTTCTCTGGTACAAACAACTATGTCATGTTGACAAAGGTTGCCGTGGGTTTTTGGCCTTAATAGCTAGGTAATGTTGATGCAGGTGGTTGTGGTTCTCAGCTCCATGGGTATTTAGCCCGTGTATCTCCCACTACTATCTTCCTTTTTCACCTCTTCTCTGTAGTTATATCCCTGTTTTTAATTCACCTTGTGGTTATATTCAGCAACTTGAAATAGCTTTCATCACTCTGCCTTTTTTATTCTAGCAGTTTTGGCCCTTGACTGTCACTCTGTAAGATGAGTTATTAAGACCTCTACTTTTCTACTTTTCTTCCCCCTTTCTTCCTGCCAATTTCTGTCAGCTGGGCTGTGTGCCAAGGTGTAAAACATTTGCGTTATGCTTTTAACCATAATTACATTTTCTGAGCTGTCACTAATGATTGAGTCAACAACTTGAAAATAACAAGTTGTATTTACATGAATGTAATAAGAATGATACATTTCTACAAACATTTGACTGTGTGTTGAGCACACATTTAAGTTCTCTCTGCATATTAATTGATTTCAACCTAATACTAGACACTATTATTAGCTCAATTTCACAAATGAGGAAACTGGGGCACAGAGAGGTTTAGTATCTTGCCCCCAGTGGTTTGCTGCCTACTCTTTTAAAATACCATGCCTTCATTCTCTACCCTAGAACAGGCACCCTCATTCTGCCATGCCTCCAATTTGTTCATTTCACAGGGATTTTTCTTACCCTGAGCCATCCCAGAGGCTGTTCTCAGTGTTTTTTGAACTTCTTCTCCCAACTTTACCTCAACAGTTCCTACTTACCATGCTGATATCAGCTAATATCAGTTCCTCAGAGAGATCTTCTCTAACAGGGTATCAGAAGTTTCTTCTTCTTCTTCTTCTTTTTTTTTTTTTTTTTTTGACAGAGTCTCGCTCTGTTATCCAGGCTGGAGTGCAATGGCACAATCTCGGCGCACTGCAACCTCCTGGGTTCAAGTGATTCTCCTGCCTCAGCCTCCCAAGTAGCTGGGATTATAGGCGCCCACCACCACACCCAACTAATTTTTGTATCTTTAGTAGGGACGGTGTTTCACCATGTTGGTCAGGCTGGTCTTGAACTCGAGGCAGGTGATCCACCCATCTTGGACCAAAGTGCTGGGATTATAGGCGTGAGCCACTGCGCCCAGTCAGAGGTTCTTCTATTGTCTCTCTCATAGCTTCCATTATGTTATTTCCTGGAAGTCAGCGTAATTTGCAAATACATAATCCTTTTTGTGTGTATCAGTATACTGCCTCTTTTTCCTTCTTGACAATGAGATGCATGATGTCTTGTTCACTCTAGTATGCTCATAGCCTAGGATAGTGTTGGCACTTAGGAAGTAATCAATTTTCTTCACAAGTAATGGCCTATAAAGGCTCATAAACGTAATTTCACTTTCTAGTTAAATACAAGGCTATTATCATGAAAATACTATTGGTCATTCAGTGAAGAATGGTGGAATAAATTTGCATAAAATCTAACACCTACAATAGAAATCAATTTTTAATGCAACTAGACATTCATTTGCTTTCCTGAAATTTGACTCACAGAAGCATAATAAATAAAGGACAGGTGAATAAGCCTCTGGACCATGGAGCAGAGCAATAATAATCATCCACATTTGTAAAGGTCTTGGCACTTTGAAATGCCTTCACAATGCACTTTATTCCATTAATCCCTCCCAGTGACATTATTATGTCATCAAATACGTTATTCAGGATTGCACAAACAACACGTGGCGGGAAGAAAACACGGTTTTTCTTTTCTATGTCCAGTGTTCTTACTCAGACCTTCCCACCTTCCCCTTTCTAAATACAAATTCTGAAGCAGCATTCTCTGAAGGACGGTCTTTCCTTTGACAATGGAATTGTTTTTATGTTACCATCAGTCATTTTGCCTTGTCTGTAGTATTTAAAACATTCTCATTTCAACAATAGTAACTTTGATCTCTTAGTCAGGTATTTGATAAAGAACAAATAAATTATTCAAACAACATCATGTTTAGTGGTGAGCAAAATCCTTTCAGGAGATTTAGCCAATATCTGGAAGAAGCTTCACTGAAGAGGAATTGGAGTGGAGCCTTGATGTCACACTAGAAAGCTTAGATGAGGGAGCAGCTGAGTTTCTAAATCTGCTTCATGATACTTTCACTGAGGAGCTTTGGCACTCATGCACACTCTTAGGAAACTACCACAGTAGATAGTTACAGTGTGTTTATATTTTAGGACATTGATTTACTCACTCATTGATGCATTTCATAAAGAGCTGTATAAAAAGGATTTTATTTCTTAAGAGATTCAAACTCTTTGAATCTACCTTTGCACTTATTATCACCCTGTATATGAGATTGTGTTCAATAACTACAGTTTTGCTGCTGCATTTCCTGGTTGATTTTGGACTTGGGCTACAACAACTCGTTGTAATAAACTTTGAAATTCTGTCTTAGGCCACATTTCCTAGAAGTAGAATCTGAGATGGGAATTTGAGTATAAATGATTTCTTGTGGGGAGGGCTCTTGAGAAATGGAGTGATGGGAGCAAATGGAACAGAGGGTGGAACTCAGCAAGGATGTGTGCTCAGCAGGAAAGCTTCAGCTGATGCCAGAGAAAGCCCAGGAGAACTCACTGTACCATAAAGACAGTCCCACCTGAGGCAAGGGGGCTGGCCTTTTGCACATCCTTGCAAGTCACTCTTTGGCTACTGGTTACTGGGGGGAGAAGAGGACAGCTGTGAGCCATCAACAGCCAACAATCTCAGCATTTGGGGGGCATGGATGCACAGCCCAGTACAGGGAACTGGACTTCAACATCAACAAAACCTGTTACTCTGTCCACGTAAGTGCAGGCATTCATCCTTAAAAATGTGAGAAATCCACTTACTTCTCTAAAACATCAACCATCACCTTCAGAATGACATAGCACTATAATTATAAATCTAATAAGTATAAGCTAAGTTTAGGATAAGCATCTTCACCCATGTTTGAGTGACAGTAAGTCACGTATGTGTCAATGCATTCTTACACAAATTGCCCCATATATTTTTAAACGTTCAAGTTGGCGTATCTCTCCTCCCATTTCATTCAGGTATCACATAGTTTTTGTAGTACACTGAAGCAGATTATTATACAGGGATAAGCATTTGGGAGTTCCAAAGAAACGTGAGAGCATATGCAATTGTAGGAAGCTGAGGAGGAAAATGGCCCAAATTAAGACCATCCAGTTATCCCCAGTCATGAGAGCACAGAGTTTATTTGAGATAAAATGAGAGATTCGATTAGGAAATGAAGGCAGAGACTCGATCATGACAGGCCTTGAGTAATATAAAAATACATTTACTATTATCTTAAGAAAAATAAGTGCTAGGTTCCTTGGCTAACCTTACAAATTACCATAAACTAGGTGGCTTGAAACAACAATAATTTATTCTCTTATAGTACTGGGGATTAGAAGTTTGCAATCAAGGTATCAGCAGGGCTGCACTCCCTCCAGAGACTCTAAGAGAGAATCCCTCCCTTGCCTCTTCCAACTTCTGATGACTGTGGGCAATCCCTGGCTGTGACTGCATCCCTCTCAGCTCTGTCTTCACATTGCCTTCACTGGGAATCTGTCTCTCCCTGTCTCTCTCTTATAAAGATAGTTGTGATGGTATTTACGATCCACCCCAATAACCTAAGATAATCTTCTCATCTCAAAATGCTTAACTTAATGACGTCTGCAAAGACCCTTTTTCCAAGGGTCCCATGCACGGATTTCAGGATGGGGATGTAGATATATCTTTGGGAGCCATTATCGGCCTACCATGGTGGAAAATGTATAAAATTATTTAAATCAAAGGCTCAGTATGATCAAATTTATGTTTTAGAGAAAAAAATACTCCACAAGCATTATAGAATATGAATTAGATGGAGTTAATACTAAGGTGAGGAAACCTTACAGGAGGTCTGGTCAATCGTTCAGATGATTAGTGGTGAGAAATTGTATGAAGACATAGGTCTTGAAGAAGGAGAAATGTGGCCAAGATATAATTGGCAGCATGAAGGGACAGGTTACTATATGGGTGAGAGAGATCTAGGAGCCAACGATGATTCCCAGGCTTCTAGACTGTGCAACTGCAGGACGATCTTTTGTTCACTGAGGCTGGTCATATACGGAGGAGGAGCAGACCTGGCGAAAAAGGATTATAGCTTCCATTTTGGCCAAGGTACAGGAAGTATGCAGTAGAAGAGGGAGACAAACCAGTGTGGTCATAACTGATCTGTCCAGAAGATGGCTCTCACACATTTTCTTTGTTTCCAGTTTCCAACTTAGTTGGAAAAATAATTGCTAATTTACAATGAACCAACACATTGACACATGACTGAAATGTTTCTCTATAGAGTGATAAATACATGTCCTAAAATGTAGAAATTATTTCCTATTTTTCCTCCCTAGGGTTTCAGGACATTGCATCTGGGTGCCAAAATTCTACATTAAACAATCAGAGAGGGAGTCATATTGTACACGTAGTGCACATCTGTATTGATCCTTGGCAGCCTACTTACGATTTTTGGATGGTTGAATTGCGGTGTGACTGTAAGATAAGCAAGTGGAGATGTCTAAGACACACCCAAGTGTTTGGTACCTGCCAATGTCATCTAAAGACATTTTTAAACAATGCACATTCCATTATAGGAACTCAAAAGACACTAGAACCCCTGATACATATTTTGAAGAGTTTAAGGAGATAAAACAAAACAAAACAATACAAAAAGTACCTTCTGTTCCCCTCCATAATTTCAACTGAGGAAAAAGGCGTAGGGATCAATTGGATAAAAATCAAAATATTGCTTCTATTACCAATAAAGCTGGATTTGATAACATAATTTATATGTGAATTAACAGACTTTCTAATAATTCTCTGAAGTATACTCCTTGGGACAACCCAAAAACCAAAAGAGAGTTTGGGTCTTGAAGAGAACACACTGGAATCTCCTTGGAACATGAGTGACATGTGTTCCCCTCCCAGCTTTCATGTGTTTTGCTTGGAACTCCCAGCACATGTGGCTCTTCTGTAGGGAAGTTCCCTGGGTTGCTGGGACACTTTGCCTGGTCATACAGAGGCAGAAGTACCCGAAGCAACGTTTGATCAATGACAGAGAGGGAAGAAATAAAAGCCCAGCTTCCTCAGATCCAGAACAACTTTGAGATGGAACTCACAGTCCCTAGTACCCCTGTGGCCACTTCCTTGCTTGGGACTCTACTCTTGCTTGACTTCCTTCTATGTCTGTCCTGCTTCTCCTCCTCTCTTCCTGTCTCCCCTAGGTGCCTTACCTATGTAAATTGTGTGTGTACGCCTTCCTATCTTAGGGTTTACTTCTGAGGAACCCAACCCAACTCTGAGCTGTAGAATGGATGCAGTTCCTCAGAGTGTTGCTTCAACTTTGGCACCTATAGACAGCTCCACTTTTTCATGCTAGGCCTTTCAATTCCAAAGCCTTCCAGATGTCATTTCTAAACTGGCAAGATTTCCACCCTTTCAAGCTGTGTGCATTCTCTTTTGGAAATCATGAAAACATCACAGATGGCCTTATGATATAAATAATTAGTGAAGAAGACAATTATTGCTCATCTGTGATGAATCAAGCTTCTTTTTATTTAGTCAGCAACAAGCTGGACATAGTCATTACATAGCCCTAGGGTCTACGCAGCCACACAGATTATAAGTTTGTCCTGTATTTTTGCCTCATGGGGTCATGTGCTAAATATTTATATGAAATGTCACTATCATATACTCTCAGACTATCAATTTCTATGTTAATATTTTTCTTGGCAATTGCTCTGCAGGCAAAACTACAGCCTATATGTGTAATAGCTTCACATGTCAGTACTTTTCTTAATGTCTCATAAAAAGAAATTGTTCCTCTGACAATTTAACTAAGATACCCAAAAGAGCCAAACAAGTCTTTCAACATCCTCTTTAATGACTTCTTGTTGTTTTTATTCAGTTTTATGAAAACATCTAATTTCATCACTCTCTCTGACTTTTATTGATTTAAGCTGGCATGATTACCCTTTATAACTCAATAAGTTGGCTTCAGAAGTACACACAGTCATATGTCACTTAACAACAAGAATACATTCTGCAAAATATATAGTTAGGCAGTTTCATCATTGTGTGAACATCATAAAATGTACTTACATAAACCTGGATGTATAACCTATGACACACCTAGGCTATATGGTAGAGTATATTGCTCTTAGGCTACAAACCTGTGCAACATGTTACGTACTGAATACTGTAGGCAATTGTAACATAATGGTAAACATTTGTGTATCTAAACATATCCAAATATAGAAAAGGTACAGTAAGAACACCGTATTATAATCTTATGGGACCACTATCATATGTGTGGTCCATTGTTGACCTAAACTTCATTATGCAGTTCATGACTATACATAAAGATTTTCTTAGGTAGGATGATCAATAGAGAGCAAACTGGACTAGGAGTCAGAGAATCCAGCTATCTTTTTGTATCTGCTTTAAATTGTTTAACGACCAAGACAAAATTACCAAACTTTTAACTTTGTTTAATCAACTTTTGAGAAAATGATTTTTACATTATGATTTCCAACATCTACTTTAGTTCCAAAGTTTTCTGACTCTGGGAGCTTTAATCATACCTCATTGGACCAAATACACATCTGCCTTTGAAAAAAGATTACTAATTAGCATTTACATTAATCAAAGTGTGATCCTTGAATTAGCAATATCAACATCAGCTGGGCATTTATTAGAAATACAAATTATAGGCCCCATCCTAGATCTACTGAATCAGAAACTCTAGGGATGGGGCTCAGCAATTTGTTACCTGTCAAAGTTTGAGACCCATTGATTTATACAAGTCAAAAACAATCGTCATGGTAACAGGAACTGAGTTTTACCGACAAGAGCCAGTAGTCCTCCAAATTACTCAATGTGGTTTGCCAATGGCCACCCAAGAGCTTTTGATTCAGTATATTTGGAACAGCTTCCAGGAATCTATGTTTTAAACAAACAATAGAGAAAATTTCAAGGACCAACTTTAGACAGTGATTACCTAAAGACAGTAACTGAGTTGCTGGTCTGCCCTCCTGGCAGGTGTCACAGAGTGAGTACTCTAGACCTAATTAATGGAGGAAGGAAAAAAAGGATGGGGAGGAGATAAACAGAGCAAGAGACAGAGATGCATGTCATGTCAGTGTCATTTCCTCAAGGCTGGGAAGTCTAGAACAGTATCAGTGCTCCCATTTGTTGCATGTGATTACTACAATATCAACTCTTACTGGAACAAACTACAAAGAGTCCTTGAGAACAAACGTCCTGAGTATTTTTTATGTTCAGTCAATCCTTGGTATCCATGTTTTCTGCATCCCCAGATTCAACTAACTGTACATTGAGAATACTCTGGGAAAAAGAAAATAGAAAATAACAATACAACAATTAAAAAACAATACAAATAAAAAATACTGTATGACAACTATTTGCATAAGATTTACATTGTATTAGATTATTATAAGTAGCCTAGAGATTTAAAGTATACAAGAGGGTGTATATAGGTTACATGCAAACGTGATCTCATTTTATTTAAAAATATTGAGTATGCATAGGTTTTGATATCTGCAGGGTCCTGGAACAAATCCCCCACAGATACCATGAGATGTCTGTATTTTTGCTTAAGTGACAAGATGAAACAAGGCAACACTATAACATCCTACTCACTATGGAGCAAAGGATAGGCTATATTGGGTATATAAACAAGATAAGGGTCAACGAAAAAAAGTGTATAAGCCTCTATTCTCCCTCATCTCACAGAAAGGGACACTATTCCTGAGAATAGCTACTGCACATGCAGTAGGTTTGCATTTTAAGAGAGGAACACTGTTCACCTCATTTCTGCTACTCTATCTTCTTATAGTACAAGTGTGAAAGTGCACATATAATTGAGAAGAAAAAAATTGGAATTTACTCAAGAAAGTATATGAATTTACAGAATGTGATAGTTTTCAAATATGTTCACTAATTGTCATTCCACTTTTTTTCCTTCAACTTTTATTTTAACTCAGGGGTACGTGTGCAGGATGTGCAGGTTTTTTACATAGGTAAACGTGAGCCATGGTGGTTTGTAACACAGTTCATCCTCATCCTGTTAGCTGGGTATTAAGCCCAGCCTCTATTAGCTATTCTTCCTGCTGTTCTCCCTCCCCCCACCTCCCAACAGGCCCTAGTGAGTGTTGTTCCCCCTCATGTGTCCATGTGTTCTCATAATTCAGCTCCCACTTATAAGTGAGAACACACAGTATTTCTGCATCAGTCTGCTGCAGATAACTCCATCCATGTCCCTGCAAAGGACATAATCTCATTCCTTTTTATGGCTGCATAGTGTTCCATGGTGTATATGTACTACATTTTCTTTATTCAGCCTATCATCAATGGGCATTTAGGTTGATTCCAAGTCTTTCCTACTGTGGCTATATCACTCCCCTTTTTTTTTCTTTTTTTTTTTTGAGACGGAGTCTCACTCTGTCGCCCAGGCTGGAGAGCAGTGGCGATCTCGGCTCACTGCAAGCTCCGCCTCCTGGCTTCACACCATTCTCCTGCCTCAGCCTCCGGAGTAGTTGGGACTACAGATGCCCGCCACCACGCCTGGCTAATTTTTTGTATTTTTAGTAGAGACGGGGTTTCACTGTATTAGCCAGGATGGTCTCGATCTCCTGACCTCGTGATCCACCCAAAGTGCTGGGACTACAGGCGTGAGCCACTGTGCCTGGCCGTCACTCCGCTTTTTAAAATGTGAAACTTAAGATCCCTCTTTTTTAATTTCCAGGCTTAGTGGCCCACTCCTATAAAATAGAATGTGGTGGATGATTGCAGAAATTAGGTCACAGAAAGCATTTCCTTCTGTGAAATACTTCTGTGAAAGGCTTGATTGCTTCTGCAGAGATTTTTCACCCATTTGGGGATGCCAGCTCCGATACTGTGGGAAAATGCAGGCAGTCTGTGGGAAGTTTCTTATGGAGAGGTACTGAGGCCACCTGCCAACAATCAGGCACAACCTGCCATCCATGTGAATCAGCCACTTTGGAAGTGGATCTTCCAGCTTCAGTCAGTCTTCAGATAACTAATAACAAGCCTTCAGATGAACTAATATCTATGACTTCTAGGAAAGATGACCACTTGCCTCCGAAAACCTTTGCACAGTTGCAGCAAGTGGGAGGACTCCACAGGAAGCGCTAGAGGTTAGATGTGGGCAAGCTCTGCCGCTGGAGTACAGGCAGTGCCTGGTCCTGCCAAGCCATTGTCAGGCAGTCAGAAAGAGCTCCCAGGATCATTCTAAAAATCTTGCTTATCACTTCACATATAGCAAGCTTCAGTCCCAAGGCAAACACTACCAAACCCTACTACTTTGCCTTGAAACCACCTGAACGTGGCATATGGTCTGAAAAGAAAAGAGAATAAATAGGAAATTTTAGGAATTTATACTGTGGCTGATTCTCTTGTCTCTTTAATTATAGAGGTATTTTATATATCATGTTTGAAGTTGTTTAAAGCAACAAGCTACAAATGGAAGTAAACAATCAAGCCTTAGTCACTCAAAGGCATCACTTGCATTGTTCACAGCAACTTCTTGGCAAGGACATGCCATGCTAGTGGCTCATCAGTGATGGGATAGAGCACAAGCCATCTGAGCATGGAAGATCCACAAGATAGGATGGGCATCCACGAATGTATCCAGAGCAGTGGAAAATTCTCTAGAAATCAGCAATGGTGACGCCTTTGATTGACAACAGCTGTTCAACAGCACAAAGCAAAAACGAAAACAAAAAACAAATAATCTGATCAAAAAATAGGCAGAAGATCTGAATAGACATTCTCAAAAGAAGACAGACAAATGGCTAACAGATGTAGAAAAATATACTCAATATCACTAATCATCAGGGAAATGCCAGTCAAAACCACAGTGAGATATCCTTTCATCCCATTTAGAATGGCTATTATCAAAAAAACAAAAAATACCAAATATTGGTGAGTATATGAGATCTCCTCTTATACACTGTTGAAAAAATAATCAGTATCACTAATCATCAGGGAAATGCAAATCAAAACCACATTGAGATATCATCTCATCCCAGTTAGAATGACTATTATCAAAAAGACAAAAAAAAAATACCAAATGATGGTGACTATGTGCAGAACTCCTCTTATACACTGTTGGTAGGAATGCAAACTAGTTCAGCCATTATTTAAAACAGTATTGGAGGCTCCTCAGAAAAATTGCAAGTAAAACTATCGTATGATCCAATAATCTCACACTGGGTATCTATTCAAAGAAAATGAAATCAGTATGTCCAAAGAGATAACTGCATTTCCATGTTTATTGCAGCAGTGTTTACAATAGCCAGGATATGGAATCAATCAATAACAAATAAATTTTAAATTTCATATGTATACACAATGAAATATTATTCAATCATGAAAAGAATGAAATTCTGTCATTTGCAATAGCATGGGTGAACCTAGAAGACATTATGTTAAGTGAAATAAGCCAAACACAGACAGAAAAATACTGCATGATCTCATTCATATGTTGAATCTAAAAAAGTTGATCATGTAAAAGTAGAGAGTAGAATAGTCCTTACTAGAAGCTGAGAACAGTACGGAGGAGAAGGAATGAAGAGACGTTGGTCAGTGGGTACAAAATTACAGTTAGGAGGAATAAGTTCTGGTGTTCTATTGCACAGCAGTGTGACTGTAGTTAACCATAATGTATTGCATATTTCAAAATATCTAGAAGAGAGGATTTTGAATGTTCTCACTAAAAAGAAATGACAAGTATTTGAGATGATGGAAGTACTAATTTCCATGATTTAATTATTACATAATGTATGCATTATTGAAACTTCGTGATGTACCTTATAAATATGTACAGTTATGTATCAATTAAAAACAAAATAAAACAAAAATAAACAACTGTCATTTTGAACGTGGCAATGGGAGACTTCAACATAGCAATTCAGAAGATAAGATCAATAATCAATGCAATTTCAGCCATTGTGCTTCCCTGAGCCTTCAGAGTAGCTGAGCAAGTCCTGAGGAGGGTGGAGTCCTGAGCTGGTTGACTCTAGTGAGAACCAACCACTTTTATGTACCCCAAACCACAGGTGTGTTTGGTATCTGTTAGGATAAGCTGGGTAACACTTTTCAATATTAACAGAGATTAAAACTTTATTGTTTATTTCTTGATTGTGACATATTGGCTGAGCATTCTGGTCCACATCATTGGCTTTCACAGATGCAAGCTTATAAATCCTCCACCACCTTGCACATTGCTAATTGCTACAGCACAGGTTAGGAAACTTGACAAACCAGGCAATGGCTCTGAAAGCTTCAGCCTAGAAGTAACATACTTTCAATGGCTAAAGTAAGGGACATGTGAGGCCTACCTTTAGGAGAACAGAGGATACAATACTTCAATGTGTGCAGAAGGAGAAAAACTAGAAATATTGACCAGCATGAATGATTACCATGCCTATAAATGTTGACATTTTCTATGTGATATAAAAAAAGCCTAGGAAGCTCTGGTCTGTATCCCTTGATAAGAATAAGCAACAATTTCCAAAATATACTAGTCATCAGATGGTACCGCCTGGGTGATGGGATATAATTTTAAAATGTTTTCAATGTGGGGTGGGCAAATAGAGATATATAAGAATATCTCTTATATATGTACTTATAAGAATAAGTACATATCTTGGCCTTTACTGATGTGGCCAAATAAAAACAAAACTCATTGACTATCTACAATGACCACTTACATACTTCTTTGTATCTTTTTTATCACATTTAGGTAAAGTAAAACATATCAGCTTGTAGGCAATAAGTAGTTTAGACATCATAGTTAGGGATAAAACACTTTTTCTTCCCTCCTCTGGTTTCCATGAAGGGGTATTTTCCCTGAACACACCTCAACCCTTGCCCAACTCCTCACTCAGGGAAATCAGGATGACTTATCAGAATCTGAGCTTGGAATGAAGACTGGTTGTGCATAGCTCAGCCACCTCCCTTCTCTTCTACCTTATAGCCAGATTGCCTGCATAAAATAACAGTCCAATATTCTTCTCCGGAATCTCCTGGAGATTTTACACTGATATATCTGCAATTGGGAAACTTGTGATGGTTGAGATGCCTATGGCTGAGTTTGAAATGTGATTTTGTGGTTCAATAATAGGATGTCCCCTTGTTTCTGGATATTTAGAACAATCTATTATTATCTGAAGTCCTCTTCATATTTGGATTCCTATTTTTTTCAATTTCTTAGACTATCTCTGAATGAGTTTCCAGCTAGGGTGAGCAATAGTAAGACTCTTATTTACTGGATATCCTCAACAATTCCTCTCCCCACAAACACCAATACTGAATTCCAAGCAGCTCAGAACATTTCTGAAATCACTGTTATAAAGATATTTCATTGATTTTGATCAGTAATAAACCATTTATTGATCTACTATTTCCTACACATGAGGCAAGAAACAAAGTATAAGACATGAGCCCACCTCATAAAGAATTGGTAATATGGGATGTCTCTCCTTGTAAAAAAGCTGCAATTTCATCAACCAAAATGAAAGCATCACATTTTTTTATTTCCTGTAACTGATTCTTTTTGTTCTATAATTCAAATTTTTGCCAGTGCAAACAGAGACTTCCCATTTGACAATAATGTATTTCCTTGATTAAACAGTCTTTACCCTTTTATTAATGGGGTTATTTGTTTTTTGCTTGGTGATTTAAGTACTTTATAGATTCTGGATAGTAGGCCTTTGTTGGATGTGTAGTTTGCAAATATTTTCTCCCATTCTGTAGGTTTTCTGTTTACTCTGTTAATAGCTTCTTTTGCAGTGTAAAAACTCTTTAGTTTAATTAGGACCCACTTGTCAATTTTTGTTTTTGTTGAAATTGCTACTGGAGACTTAGCCAAAAATCCTTTGCCAAGGCCAACACTGAGAAGAGTATTTTCTAGGTTTTCTTCTAGGATTTTTATTTGGCCAACAAACATATGAAAAAGTGCTCAGTATCACTAATCATCCAGAGAAATGAAAATCAAAACCACAATGAGATATCATCTCACAACAGTCAGAATAACTATTATTAAAAAGTTAAAAAAAATAACAGATGCTGGCGAGGCTGCAGAGAAAAAAGAACTATTATACACTGTTGCTGGGAATGTAAATTAGTTTAGCCTCTGTGGAAAGCAATTTGGAGATTTCTCAAATAACTTAAAACTGAACTCCCATTTGACCTAGAATGCCATTTCTTGGTATATAGCAAAACAAAAATAAATCATTCTATCAAAAAGACACAGGCACACATATGTTCATCACCACACCGTTCACAACAGCAAAGACATGGAATCAACCTAGGAGCTCATCAACAGTGGACTGGATAAAGCGAATGTGGTACATATACACAATGGAATACTAGAATGAAATAATGTCCTTTGCAGCAGCATGTATGCAGCGGGGGCCCTTATCCTAAGCAAATTAATGCAGGAACCAAACACTGAATACTACGTTTTCACTTTTAAGTGGGAGCTAAACATTGAGCACATGTGGACATAAAGATGGGAATAACAGACACTGGGGACTACTAAAGGGAGGAGGAAGGGAGGTGGGCATGATTTGGAAAACTGCCTATTGGGTACTATGCTTACTACTTAGGTGATCAGATCCCTACTCCAAACTTCAGCATTGTGCAATATACCCATGTAGCAAACCTGCACATTTACCCCCTAAATCTAAAATAAAAGTTGAAATTATTTTAAAAAATTTTTAAAAAGAATCTTTAGTCTTTTCCATGGTAACATTCTATGAACTTAATGTCCGCAGCCCCTATGACTTTCATTTCCCCCTTCTTTCCTAAGATGGCTTTTCAGTATAGAAAAAGATTCTGTGTGTAGTTCATATACTCTTCTGTGGGTTATCCTGTGGTCCATATACTCTTGTGTGGATCATCAGAAGCCTCTTCTGAGTTGTTGTTTTCCTGCCTGGTACAGTCTGGGGATTGGGAATGGTTCCATAGCACCTACCACCGTCAACCATAAATATTACCATTTGCCTTTCATCATAAAGATGGTGCATTTTGCAGCCACACCAATCTTCTTTTCAATGCCACACCAATCTTCAGGTTTTGGGGATGGTGAATGGCCATCAACTCAGAAAAGTCAACATGGATTAACCTCAAGATCTCACTGCAGGTATGATGCTAAATTCATGTGGTCCAGGATATCCTTTGTATGAAGTTTCTCAAGACTGCAGGTCTTCTGAAAATCCCCATGCTTTCTCACTTTACCAAACTCTTCTTTTTCAATGTATTCATGGTAAATTCATTCATACCAAAATATAACAATTATGTTCAATAGTTTTTCATTATGCAAATTACTTTCCAAAAATAATCACTGCCGTTATTTTGGTACCATCTTTTCAGATACCTTTACTGGCTCTTTATTTATTCAAGAAATAGTATTTATTGCCTGAAAGGGGTGGCAAAGACAGAGTTGAGTTTTTGAAAAATCAAATGAGTTTCTGGTTGGAACTTTATTTTTCATAGATTGTGAAGATATAGTATTGAAAGTGGAGATATTGGATTGTGAGAGCCATGTTTTTGAGAGAAAAGTAGACCTTTTGAGTTTTAAGCCTGGTTTTGAATATTAAGAGCTAAGGAGGCTGGAGGACTCAGAGGACAAGATTGATACCAGAAGCAGTAGCACAGGGAAGAACGCACAAGACTGTCAAAGTAATTTCTGGGGATAGATTTAGTGTAAATTGTTGTGGGAGCAATGAGAACTGAGAAAAGTAAGTAAGAGTTGGGTGTTGATAAGAATATTTGAGAGAGCTTTGAGCTTTTCCCGACCAATGGTGGGATTTTGCACTGGACCAGAACTCAGCTAATTTCTCAGCTCATATAGGACTCCACTGGTGCCCACCCAGATCCCCTTCACCTGCAGAGGCCCCATCCCACAGCTGCTCCAAGTTTTGTTTGCTTAGGCCCTTAGCTAGCCCCTCCTCAGAGAATTGCCTTCACCCAATAGGAATTGCCTCTCCTGCGATAGCACACTTCTCCACCTGTGCTTCCAAGAAGCAGCCTACAGCCAATGATTGACCGATGAAGGATACTTAAGCCCAGCCCCCTTGCCTGGAGGTGAAAGAAGTCTGTGGTGCTATTCACTTTCCACAGCGACTCTTGGAATCGCAACGAGGCTGGACTTTAGCTAAAACCACACCACTTTTTTTTCTAAGTTCTTTCACTTCTCCTCATTGCTTCTCTCACTCCCTCATAGTAACACTTCAGGGTTATTATAAATTCAAAAAATTAACTTTATTCCTCTGTAACTAAATTTGGCTTTGCATCAGTTTCTACTGTTATCAGAAAACCTAATCTTGCTCAAAGTAAATTCAGTCACTTCTGGTTTAAATTTCATTAGGATTCCACTTCCATCTCTGTTCCTCCCTGTTCTGAGATTGGAGAATGGCGCTATTGGATATAAACTTTTGTTGGCTTATATTTTCTTCCATGGACCCACTTGGGAAGCAGTACAGAAGTACTGTACCACACAGGGAGTCGGGTGCCTGTGATTTGATGGTGCACTGCTTCTCATATGCCTTGGGGCAGAATGGGTTGAAGGTGGCTTAGCCCCAACACAAATTCACCCTTTATCTTCTGAATCCCTGAGTGTCACCCAGATTCCATTCCATTAATAATGGCTAAGTTACATGAGTTTCCCAGTCAGCCTCTACCCATCAAAAGCATTCCTATCTCTCTTCCCACCTCTCTGTCGCCTGGAATAAAAATGCTTGTTTAAAATTGGAAATTTTTGATTTATGAAAATCTATTTCTTTGGCTCTGCTTGAAAATGCACGAAAGATAATCTCATGTATTTGCATCAAACGCTCCATCTTTTTTCTTTATGAGATCTCTTGCTCATCTTCAGGTAAAAATTTTTGATTGCTTTTTTTTTATTGGTGTGGAAAATAGAAAAGGGAGACATGTTTTCCACACTGTCAGGTTTCAAAGCTCTTAGTTATGCTAGTCAGTCATAGAAATAAACAGCTTTAAACTATTTTCATGCATATTTATATCCACACAGCAAAAAATACAAGTCAAGGAAGTGTTTTCTGTGTGAATGTCAAGTGAATTAATTAATAGCTTCCTAGATATTGGCGAAATTTCATTTGACTCTTTATTAAAGGTTGTAAATGGATCCCCTGTTATAGTATTGCATTGGATCGTGATGATGAATCGTCAGCAAAATGCCTGACTGGACCCTGGGATTAGGGGACTGGAAAATTGACAGGAGTTTCAATACTGTATCTCAATGCCTTCTCGGGTAGCTGTTCAGGAAAGCAAGGCAAATCTTTGCTTTTGTCTTGGGTTGTTTGGTTTTCTATTGTTTTAATTATTAAATAAATCAGAGGGACAGAACTTAAAAAGGAAATAAGCAGTGGGCCCTTGTGTGCCCACCAACAAACTTAGGTTATAAAGTTTTAAATATTCATCCCTCATCCCATTTCCCAAATGTTTTTCTTCTTCCAAAGAAGCTACCAGCTTGTGATGTTTATCACGTCTACTCATTGGTAATAATTCTACTTGTGTATGTATCAATCAGTAACATACAGGATTCTATTTTATGCTTTTAACCTTAAATGGTATCTACATATGGTGTTTCCTTCAACATTATAATATTTAGTTGTGTTTTTTTAATTCACACTACTAGATCCAGCACTCATATCCACTTCTGTATAGTGTTTCATCATAAGATGAATCCATCCTCTTCTTAAAATATTTTTTATTTTTAATTTTTATGAATACATAGTAAGTGTATATATTTGTGGAATACATGAGATACTTTGATACAGGCATGCAATGCATAATAATCATATCAGGGCAAGTAAGGTATCCATCACCTCAAGCATTTATCATTTCTTTGTGTTACAAACAATCCAATCATATACTTTCAGTCATTTCTAAATGTACAATAAATTGTTAACTATAGTCCTCCTGTTGTGATATCAATTATGACCTTATTTATTCTATCTAACTATATTTTTATATCCATTAACCATCCCCCGCACCCCTCACTACCCTTCCCAACCTCTGGTAAGCTTTATTGAGTTCAATTGCTTTAATGTTTAGCTCCCACAAATGAATGAGAACATGCAAAATTTGTCTTTCTGTACCTGACTTATTTCACTTAATATAATGTCATCTAGTCCCATCCATGTTGCAAATGACAGGATATTATTCTTTTTTATGACTAAATAGTACTCCATTGTATATACATACATTTTCTTTATCCATTCATCTGTCGATGGACACTTAGATTGCTTGCAAATCTTGACTATTGTGAGTAGTGCTTCAATAAACGTGGGAGTGCAGATATCTCTTCAATGTACTGATTTCCTTTCTTTTGGGTATACCTAGCAGTGGGATTGCTGAGTCATATGATAGTTCTAGTTTTAGTTTTTTGAGGAACCTCCAAACTGTTCTCCATAGTGGTTGTATTAATTTACATTTCCATGAATGGTATATGAGGGTTTTCTTTTTTCCACATTGTCTCCAGCATTTGTTGTTGGCTGTTTTTGGATAAAAGCCATTTTAACTGGGGTAAGATGATATCTCATTGTAGTTTTCATCTGCATTTCTCTGATGATCAATGATGTTGAGCATCTTTTCACACATCTGGTTGCCATTTATACATCTTCTTTTGAAAAATATCTATTCATGTATTCTGTCCAGTTTTAAATCAGATTATTAGCTTTTTTTCTCTTGAGTTGTTTGAGTGCCTTATATATTATTCGTATTAATTCCTCATCAGATAATTTGCAAATATTTTCTCCCATTCTGTGGGCTGTCTGTTCACTTTATTGATTATTTGTTGTGCAGAAGCTTTTTAACTTAATGTGATCCCATTTTTCTACTTCTGCTTTTGTTGCCTGTGTTTTGGGGTTATTACTCAAAAAGTCTTTGTCCATGCCAACATCCGGAGAGTTTCCCCCAATGTTTTCTTTTAGTCTTAATAGTTTTATAGTTTGAAGTCTTAGCTTTCAGTATTTAATCCATTTTAACTTTACTTTTGTATATGTTGATAGATACGGTTCTAGTTTCATTCTTCTGCATATGGATATTCAGCTTTCCCAGCACTATTTATTGAAGAGACTGTCCTTTCCCCAAGGTATGTTCTTGGCACCCTTATCAAAAAAGAGTTTGCTGTAAATGTATGGATTTATTGCTGGGTTCTCTATCTGTTCCATCAGTCTATGTGTCTCCTTTTATGCCAGTACTATGCTTTTTTGTGTACTATAGCTCTGTAGTATAATTCGAATTCAGGTAATATGACTCCTCTCGTTTTGTTCTTTTTGCTCAAAATGGCTTTAGCTATTCTGGGTCTTTTGTGGTTGCACATACATTTTAGGATTTTTTTTTTCTACTTCTGTGAGGAATGTCATTGGTATTTTGATAGGAATTGTATTGAATCTGTAGATTACTGTGGGTAGTATGGATATCTTAACAACATTGATTCTTCCAATCCATGAACATAAAATATTTTTCTATTTTTTGTATTGCTTTCAGTGTCTTTCATCATTGTTTTATACTTTACATTGTAGAGATCTTTCAACTCTTTGGTTGAGTTTATTGCCAATTTTTTTTTTTTGGAGCTATTGTCAAGGGATTGCTTCTTTATTTCTTTTTCAGATTGTTCATTGTTGGTATATATAAATGCTACTAATTTTTGTATGTTGATTTTATATCGTGCAATTTTACTAAATTTGTGTATCAGTTCTAAGGTTTTTTTGGTGGAGTCTTTGGTTTATTCCAAATATAAGATGGTATTATTTGCAAACAAGGATAATTTGACTTCTTTCTTTCAAATTTGGATGCCCTTTATTTTATTCTCTTGCCTGATTGCTCTAGCTAAGACATCAAGATTTATTCTCTCAATGATTACATTGAGGCTGTTTCCATTTTTTGGTACTGTAAATAATGCATGAATGATAATTTCACATCTCTCTCCTTATGTTTATTGGCAATATTCTTTCCAGAATACGTATTGTCAATTTTACTAGTTACTGCCAAAGTTTTCCAAAATGATGGCACCAATTTATTCCATCACAATTAGTGTAGGAGACTCTCATCATTCCATCTTCTTAGCAAAATTTGTTGTACACTACTTTTTACTGAATTAATGGGTATGAAATTGTTTTTTATATCTGTTTTAATTTCAATTTCTTGGATTATACCTAATGTTAGGCAACTTTTCATATATTTATTGGGCATTACTTTCTTCTTGCTTGGGAATTGCTTGTTTATATATTTTCATAATGCTTAATTTAATTTTCTTCTGAGTTGTCAACATTTATATATCTATTATATATATCTTTGTAGTAAGTCTGATAATTTATATTCATTCAAATATTGTCTTGATCTGTGGCTTACATTTTACTTTGTGCAGAGTATCTCATGAAGCATTTATCTGTTTTTATTTATGAAGTTTTTATTTATTGTATCAGTTATATATTGCCTTATAACAAATCACTCTAAAAATCAGTAGCATAGATTATTTGTTTGCTCCATTCTGTGGATTGGCAGTGTGGGCAGAAATCATCCCTGCTCTCTGTGGCTTTGGCTGGTCTCACTCGTATTTATGGTCATGTGGCAGGTCTGCTGGGGAACAGCTGGTCCCAGATGGCCTCACTCATATGTCTAGCTGTTGGCTGGAACATTTAGATGAGGTACCTTTGTTCTCCTCCACGTGGTACCTCCCCCTGATTGGCTAAGGCTTTCCTCTCTCTTAGCAAGGTGGTTGCCAGAGGGTGGCGGTGCAAGCTTCATGTCTCTTGAGGCCTAGCTTGGAAGTCGCCCACATCAGTCCCACTGCTTTTGATTTCTCAAAGCAGCCGCAAGGCCAGCCCAGATTCAAGATGTAGTAAAGCTACAGATTCCCTCTGCATCTGGATGGGCAAAGCATCAACATCACACTGTAAAAGGAGATATGCCAGAATAGAAAGAATTTAAAATGTAACTTAGTCATACTTAAAAGGTATGTATCAATGTTTTACTTTAAATTCTGTATCTTTTGTATCTTGAATAAAAATTCCCCCACTCTAATTTCATAAAGATATTACTTTTTTTTTCTAAATTTATTAGAGTTTTATTTTTTACATTTAGGGCATTTAATCCAGCTGAAATTGATTTCTGTGTATGATGTGAACTAATCTCATGTTTTCTTCATGAATAACAAGCTTTGTCAGTAGCATTCATTGACTGTTCCATCATTGCAGTGCTGGTTTGCAATGGCACTTCTGTCATATTTAACAATAACATTGATTAAGCAGAATCCATGAGGCACCAGCAGGTAAGAACTTTATAATTTTCTTCCAATGTGCTTTCAAACACATTCACTTCCCTACCTGAGTTTGGAATCAGCTATGGAAATATCAAGAACTGAAGCAGATAGATGTCAAAATATCAGCCTTCTTGCTAGATAAAAGCAGGATTAAAGGACATGACCTACATGTTTAACATCAATGGGCTTGTTAACCCTGAGGTCCCAAATCGACCTGCCAACCTGCCCAGAGCTGTGCTGAACAGTCACATTAACTCTGAAGGAAAATTGCAATGTACTCTCCTGCTGGACTGGGTGTACTAACAACTGAATGGAAACGGTGTGAGAGACAAAAAATGTCTGGAGAAAAGTTTAATGCTTGAGTATAAACAAGAAAATAATGAGACTTTCTAAGATTTTATCCAAGGGACAGGTTAACTTCATTCTGCCCTACATTATTGGTACCACTGTAACTAATAATCACAACAGCTAACCATTTCGAACACCTTACCATGTGGCAGGTACATTAAAAGCTTTTAACCATCAAGTAAAATGTATAGGGTGTATTAGTCCAGGTGCTTTAAGGAGAAGACACTAAAACAAGATTAGGTGTGCAAGAGATTTACTAGGGGAAATTGCTGTGAAGGAAAATTAGGAAGAGTTACAGGAGGCTGGGAGAGCCATCAGACTCCAGGTAAAGAAAGGAGGAAAGAACTGAAGATTTCATGAAGAGTCTTTGCAGTGTCCATGCTAAGGTATTTTTCCAAAGCTAATGTGGAGTCTATCACTGCTATGTGACCACAAATGTAGTGGCTTAAAAGAAAACAAATGTATTATCTTACAGTTCTGAGGTCAGAATTTCTAAAATCAAGGCACTGGTGAGGTTACACATCTTTTAGGG
This sequence comes from Homo sapiens, assembly GCF_000001405.40. Lineage (NCBI taxonomy): Eukaryota > Metazoa > Chordata > Mammalia > Primates > Hominidae > Homo > Homo sapiens. The sequence continues at coordinate 11,570,831 of NC_000020.11, forward strand.
GCTTAGAGAATCCCTTTCCTTGCCTTTTCCAGAGTCTAGGAGCCACCTGCATTCTTTGGCGTGTAGCTTCTCCATTCTCAACTCCACCCCTCCCCGCACCATCTCTGACCTCTGCATCTGTGATCACATCTCCTTTTTCTGATTCTGACCCTCTTGCCTCCCTCTTAGAAGGACTCTTGTGACCATTTTGGGCCAACCGAGGTAATCCAAAGTAATCTTCCTATTTCAAGATCCTTAACTTATTCACATCTGCAAAATTCCTTTTGCCATATAAATAGTAACAGGTCCAGGGGATTAAGACATAGGCATCTTTCAGAAACCATTATTTTGTTTGCCACAGAATCTTCAAGCTAAAAATTACTCATCAGAGAAGCCCATGAAATGGGCTTCCTTTAACATCCCTGCTGTTCTCACTTGTCTGGGAGCAGCTCAGGGGAGGTGATGCCCCCACTGAAAACACAATCAGAAAACTGGGAGGCTGATTTTCATGACCACCACAAGAGGTTAGCAGAGGAAACAAAGACATACTGAGGGTGAGTAACTTATGTACGAATACAGAGCCAGTGGAATAATCTCTCTTTCTCTCCCACATGCTCCTTTTCTCCTGGTCTTTCTCTCTCTCAATCTCTTGGTCCCCTCTTTGTCTATATCTTAATCTCTGACTTTTTTGTTTTTGAATTTTCTGTTTTGGAGCCTGAACACAGTGATTGCTTTTCGATGGTGTTATAAAACTTGCCAAGTTTTCTCTGATTCTAGTAACTAGTTTGCCAAATGGGAAATTATCAAAAATAATCTAAAATTATGAGGAAGTAGAATAAAGTCCCTCCATAGACCTGATTTGCCTCCTTTCACCAAGAGAATGTTACAGATTGGATGGATATGGAATAAACACTGTTGGTCCTGTATCAATGGCTAGAGTTTAATTTGAATATAATAGTGAATTATGCTTAATGACATTAAAAATTGGCCAGGAACGGTGGCTCATGCCTGTAATCTCAGCAGTTTGGGAGGCCAAAGTGAGTGGATCACTAGGTCAGGAGCTCAAGACCAGTCTGGCCAAGATGGTGAAAGCCTGTCTCTACAAAAAATACAAAAAATTAGCTGGGCATGGTGGCAGGTGCCTATAATCCCAGCTACTAGGGAGGCTGAGGCAGAGAACTGCTTGAACCCGGGAGGCGGAGGTTGCAGTGAGTTGAGATTGCACCACTGCACTCCAACCTGTGTGACAGAGCAAAACCCCATCTCAAAAAAAAAAAAAAAAAAAAAATTAACAACTAAAATCTTGGTAACCAGGTAGCCCTGGCCTGTTCCTCAGTAGCTCCCTGAGTGCACCACAGACAAGGAGCTTTGAAATTCTACTCCAAACACCAGAGAGCACACATCTTCGAATGCAGTACTGGGGACTCTTCAAGGGTCAATATGTATGGGCATCAAAAATATGTTGGTTCCTAACCCAAATGCCCATCAATGACAGACTGGATAAAGAAAATGTGGCACACATACACCATGGAATACTATGTAGCCATAAAAAAGAATGAGTTCATGTCCTTTGCAGGGACATGGATGAAGCTGGAAACCATCAAAATAACACAGGAACGAAAAACCAAACACCACATGTTCTCACATATAAGTGGGAGTTGAACAATGAGAACACATGGACACAGGGAGGGGAACATCACACACTGGGGCCTGTCAGGGTGTGGCGGGGGAGGGGAGGGAGAGCATTAGGACAAATAACTAATGCATGCAGGGCTTAAAATCTAGATGATGAGTTGATGGGTGCAGCAAGCAACCATGGCACATGTATACCTACATAACAAACCTGCCCGTTCCGCACATGTATCCCAGAACTTAAAGTATAATTTTAAAAAAAATGTTGGTTCCAGAAGAATTTGACTTTGACATCAGATATTGAATATAAATAAACCTACTTACATGCTATATCGTAGTAAATATATTCATTCTATTAAGCCTAAATGGTTGTATACTAGCATGACATCAATGCTAGTGATTATTTGTCATAATTCTAAAGAAGAAATTATTAGAATTCTAAATAATAGCTGTATATGAAGCCATTTCCTCCCAAGAATTCAGGGAGTTTCTAAAGTAAAGCCTCAGACAGACAAATCCAAATCAAAAAACTTTCCCTCCTTCATCACTAGAGAAAGACTAAGAGGATAGTTTGTCAAGAAAAGACTCTACGGAGAGATAAAATGCTGAAAGTTATGAACATATGGTACCCAAGGGTTGAACATTTTTAAAAAATGGCCTTACCATTAAGAAAATTGGCAGGAGACCTTACCATATTATTACACTATACTTTCTAATATTTTCTTCTTCCAGATTAAACTCTAACCAATAATACAAAGGTGTTTTATTTCATATCCATCCTTTCAATAAAAATCTCCACAAAATTTAAACATGGTAGCCAGTTACGTATCTAACTCATTAGACACATTGCCGTTCCACATAGTGAAAAATGATATTTTTGGATGTTTATTTCATTTCAGAAGGAGAGAAATCTCAGAATCCCAATGGCCCCATTTTGGTCTTTTTTTTTGCAAAGTTCCAAAGTAATGAATCAGTAGAAATGTTTGTAAAGATACTAAAAGGTTGATTTCCCATTTTAAATAAGTACCTCTATTATAAAAAGATAGAGATTTCAAAAAATACAAATTAGGAGAGAAAAATCAATTTCATTTCTGGGAAAATCTGCAGTGTGTTTCTCATGAGAAAACAACAAAATATGGATTTTGGCTTTCCTCCTCTTTATTCTCCACAGGGATGCAATTTATTTCTTTACCCCCAAGACCTTTCTCCCCTTTGATGTTCTTGCTGTCTGACCTCGACCTTTCCAGATGGAAGGATTGCCTGAGGCCTGAAAAGATTCTATTTTCCAGTTGAGGCTGCAGCATCTGCCCTTCTTTCTTAAACCATCAATGAGGCTAGAGTGAGAAGAGGAAGGAGAGGCGCTGTCGGTGGCATTCATCTTTACCCTACATGGCTCATGCTTTTTTTTTTTTTTTTTTTTTTGGTACACGCAAATTGCTCCTTTAGAACCTGAAGCTGAAAAAAACATTTTTTTAAAGGGGTGTGCTGAGTTTTACAAAAGCTATTGCTTTGCTTCATGTACCATTTACTCTCAGGGCTGAACAACATTCATTAACAAATATATCCTGTGCCACTTTTCATGCAGTGATTTTTTTTACTAGTTATTTCAGTCTGATCTCCTATGTCATGCTGGAGATACATCAGAAAGAAACTTCCGGTCACAAATGTTGCTGACCTCAAATAAGGAATTAAGAAACCTAAATTTAAACTATTTGGTGAATGCAAAATTTGATTCTCAAAATGAAAGGCTATGTGATTTTTATATCAGAGTGATCAATATATATTATCTTATATTTTTAAAATATTTATTTTGACATATACTTATCTGATCCATTATATAACTGAAAAATCTCTTGGGACAATATATCATATATTAATATTTATTGTAACTGCAATAGTAATAATAATAGCAACTAACACTGAGCACTTAACATGGAAAGAACATGGTATTATGTACATTATATGAATTCCCTTTTTAAATCCTTTTAGCAATTCTATGAGGTAAATACTGTGATGCTGCTTATTTTACAGGTTAATAACTGACACAAAGGAGATAAACTTGCCCAAGGTCTCCCATTTTGTAAATGGTAGAGTGGAAGTTGACATCAGATCTTTCTTTCCAGGTACTAAACCATTATTTTATACAACTCTAAAGAATGTTATTGAATTTCTTCACAGACATTCACAGAAAGTTTATGCAAGGAGAGGGACTATACTAATGGTAACCAAAAAGAACATGTTCACAGTCTGTTCAGATATGTGCCAATCTTTCTGTACTCCTCGGTCAAACATACAACAATGTTTCTGCCATGGATGATCAATTTCAGGTCCTATGATATCCCAATAGCAGAGCAAAGTCAAAGAAACCTGACTTATTACTAAGAATATCACTGAGTGCTCTTCAGTCTCTTTCAGCTCAGGGCTTTTCAAACATTAGCACATGTAAGAATTATCTAGAGAGCTTATTAAAAAACACATTCCTGGGCATCAGCCTTATATATTCTCATTCAACAGGTCTTGGGTAGAACCAAGAATGAATTTCTCTACTCCAGAACCAGTTGAGGCTGATGCTACTACACAGTCTCACTTTGAATAACACTGGTCTAGTGGATAACAATAACTTTCTACCTGTAAGTTCAGTTTTGCCAAAGATGGAGGGTCTAGATCTTTAGTAGACATCACTAGAAAGCTTGCTTGAAGTGAAAGCTGCAGAACGCCAACACCAGAAATTCTTGTTTATCTGATAGTTTATGGGAGAAACTTTGAGAATAAGTGCTGGTCTCTAAATCGGTGAATGAGAAGCTTTGATGTATAGGTGAAGCGTTCCTGCTTTTTCCAACGAGGGTCTAGAAAATGTCTGAAGTTATATTACCTCCTGTCTCATAAGCTTGATATTTAGTCCTCTAGTTATATCCTCATCTTTATGACTCAACAAATATTTACTTCATGTCCACATGTACCAGATATTGTTCAAGGCAAAAAGCAAAACAAAACAAAACAGGAAATGTCCATGCACACATCAACTTACAATTCTCTTCCCAATTTCCACTCAGGAAACCCCAGTTAGCCAGGGAACTGCAAACCTCTACCCTCCTGCCTGCAACCCCTTTCCCTAGTATAGATCATAGGGTTAGCTCCCTTGACATCAACCACAGGGCATTATGCTATGATGTAGGCATCCCACCTGAGGACAAAGATTGTCCTGCCTAGAAGTCATAGTCTCATCTCCCACTCTCTTACAAGTGTTGACCCCTTGGAAACAGAGTTCATTAGGCCTCCTTGGACCTGATGATTTGGAATCCTGCCCCTTCAGATGGTAACCACTCCCTTATAAAAGGTTAATTCCAAGCAGTCAGCCCTTCATTCCCATCAAGCATTCCCAGCGTGAGCCTTGACAACTATGGCAATCTCAGACCATATAACCTCACCTGACTCTTCAGATTCCTGCTGTGGTAGAACTGATTCTGTTTCAAGTGGTAAACGACTGGGGGACCAGTAATTGCAGGAAGCAGTGTGAGAAAGAGTAGAAAGAAGTTATGCTTTACAGAGCATCAGAACTACTACCTGAATTTACCACTTAATATCTGTGTGATTGTACACAAGTTTAATGTCTCCATGTCTCATTTTCCCCATCCAGTAGAATTGCTCTGATCATTGATGAGACCAAGTTGGTAAAGTCCCTAGCACAGTGCTTGCTATAAAATAGGGATGGAAATGATTGGTCACTATGGTAATGTTATTGCAAAAGTAACCCAGTATTCCTCCTTTCCCTGTGTCCATGCTCCTGTGCAATGTCACCTGCAGTTCCTCCATTAAGAAGCCAAATCTACTTCTCCAACTCTTGAGTCTGGGCAGGTCTCCAACTTGACTTGGCCAACAGAATGTGGCAAATGTGGCATAAGCCAGTTTCAGGCCTTGGTCTCAAGAAGTCCTGTGTGTTCTGCTCATTCTCTGGGATTCCTGTCCGTATTGCCATATCAATATGAATAAGCCCAAAATATGAATAAAGCCCAAAATATGAATAAGCCCAAAATAGCCTGGTGGATGATACAGACCTCATGAAGCCCACTTGTCTTGTCCAAGTCCTCAGGTATATGAGTGAGCCCAAGTGAAACTGCAAATTGACCTTATTGATTTGCAGCTGAAAACAGAGGCATGAGCCAGCCCAGCTGAAATCAGCTAACTGGGCCTCTACCAGCAGGACCACCAAGCCAACCTATAAACTATTGAAAAATAATAAATGGTTATTGTACTAAGCCATAAAATTTTAGGGTGGTTTCTTATATAGCATTATGGTCGACATAGATAAACTTCACTGTTCTTTTCCCCAATTCCTTCAAATATTTTGTTCAATGTTATACATCAAAAATCAAAACTAAAAACTTCTGTGTCCCTTTTAACTCCTTTCTCTCCCTGTATCCCAACACAAAGCCAGTCAGTCACCAACCGAAAATGACTTGGATTCAAGTGTCCTGCAGATCTCCTGGCAAATTTTCTTCCCTGGGAAAGAAAGCTCTTCCCCATTCGTTTTTCCAGAGAAGCCAGTTACATGAAAAGTTCCTAATACCAGTTTATATCCAGCCTGCCTCGTGGGTTGGACAATTACCTGGAACAGAACTTCTTCTGGGTCAGATCACACAATAGCAATGGTTTCCTACTTCTCACTGAAGCTGCAAAGGTCTTTGGACACAATGTTGTTCAGTACTAAGCCCCTTATTTTGTTTTATTTTGTTTTGTTTAGTTTTGTTTTTAACCAGCTTTCTCAGGTTGAGGAAGGCCCCTGTTTCTGAACTGGACCCTGTCTCATGCAGAGGACTTGGTCTCTATCCCGCCCTTGTCTATTTCTTCCTCCTGTCATGCCCAGTAGCCTGACATCATGACTGTGCTCTTTACCACTATATCACTAACACTGGTTCATTGAAAGTACTTTTAAAACGTGTGTTTGATGGGAAAATAAATAAAAACTGGATAAATTAATATTCTTCCCACTGAAAACATCTTTCTCCCCTTTTCCATCTATTAAAATCAAACAATTTATGTAAAAGGCAGCTTAAGTAACAATCACAATGTATTATTTGCACCTCTCCAGGTGCAGATTACTTTTCTGCGTTTTTAATAGTTTATTGTCTATCTGTCTGATCCTTGAAATATATGGGTTAGTGCAATTAAAATATCGCAAAACCTGCAATTACTTTTACACCAACCTGTAGTATAAATGCTGAATCATATTCTCAAATGAAAATTGTTCCATGTTGAATTGGAGCCATAGTATAGAAACGTCTCTTAACTCTAGGCCGGGCACGGTGGCTCACCCCTGTAATCCCAGCACTTTGGGAGGCCGAGATGGGTGGATCACGAGGTCAGGAGATCAAGAACATCCTGGCTAACATGGTGAAACCCCGTCTCTACTGAAAATACAAAAAATTAGCCGGGCTTGGTGGCGGGCGCCTGTAGTCCCAGCTACTCCGGAGGCTGAGGCAGGAGAATGGCATGAACCCGGAAGGCGGAGCTTGCAGTGAGCCGAGATTGTGCCACTGCACTCCAGCCTGGGCCACAGAGCGAGACTCCGTCTCCAAAAAAAAAAAAAGAAAAAAGAAAAAAAAAAGAAATGTCTCTTAGTTCTAAACAAGGAGGAATAAATATAAAAGGCTAACTAACCTTAATATTCAAAGCACCACAAGGAGCTTGGAGATGTACTGAGCAAAAAGAATGAAAAGATGCCTCAGTCTGCTGTATACAATATAATGCTGTGTAACAAACTATCCCAAATTTAGTGGCTTACAAGACACATTTATTTCCTGTTTATATGTCTTCAGGTCAGCTGAGATTTGGCTGATCTAAGCTGGGCTCAACCAAGCTTAGATTCAAGCTGCAGTTTGGGTCCAGATCTTAACTATAGCTCTCATCCTTCTTAGACCAGTAGTTTCCAGAGGCAGGCTTTCCTCATGATAAAAGGCAGGAGCACAAGAAGTCGAGTTCAACCATATATCACATTTAAAGCTACTTTATGCAACATATCCACTAATGTTCCATTGGCCAAAGCACTTCACATGGTAAAGCTCAACATAAATGAGTTGAAGTATACTCTGCCTACTCTAATTGGAGGAACTACAGAGGTACAAAGAGTGTGACTCTGGGAAGTGTTCAATAGTGGAGAACACAAATATAACACCTGTGGTTGGAAACTTAATGAATGACAAATAGAAGTATTTTGAGCTTACTAGAACTAAGACAAGTAATTCAATTCCAAATTGCTGTTTCCTCACTGAATATACATGAATCTTTCATTTTATATACATTATAGGCTAAAGGTCACTAGAAAAGAAATGTGGTATTATAAATAAGCCAATCACTAGTATGCATTTTTAGATGACAACACAGGACATACATTTCTACCCTCTTTTCTTCTGTTCAGCTGAATTATAACCTTCAAAAAGACTATTTAATTTGGAAATGGCACTAGTAACTAGAAACAGCTTTGATATTAATTTATTATTGATAGAAAATTTCTGTTTGTGCATGAATTTTCTGCTTTCAGAATTGCCTCTGAGATCAAAAAGAGTCTTTGTTTTGTTTAAGAAAAATACATTATTGGTTAACATACCATATAGTATAGATAATCTTATAAACACATAGGAGGTATGAATTTGCTGCTACTATGATTCAAAGTCAAAGAAATGTCACATTTCTTTATGCTCGTTCAGTCATATTAAATCTAACTTCAAGTCTGGGAGGAAATTGAGTCTTAGTCATTATTAGGTGCTATCCCATGATTTCCCATTGACCTTACCTGATTCCCTCTTCCTCCACTCTGCAATGCCTTGAATTATACCAGGGATGTCAAGCAGAACAGAACCCTTTGGGAAGACATGTTGATCATCTTCCAGCTAGCCTAACAACCCCTGAAGCCTCAGAGCTCTGCAGTTTTCAAGGCATCTTCAGACAAGAATCCTCATGAAGCATGGCATTTCATCACCACTCTATCCAACTTCCTAGAATTACCACAGAACTATCTTTTTGAGGTCCTGATGACTTTTGGAGCATCTGAGACAGGAAGGGAATATTGGGTTACTACTTCTTGCTAGACCAGCATATTAGACCAGCATATAACCTTCCACTCTTGTTATAACTTCTTTTCCCTCCACTTATTTATGATTCTCATATTTGACAATCACTCATCTCCCTTCCCTCCAAATAAAATAAAGGTCTACCTTCTTGGAAGTGCCTCACGTAATCTTATTGAGATTTAGCTTTTGAAAGATCAAACAAGAAAAGGGATTTTCTTAAAGATATTTGCTTTTGGCTCTAAGGCAAAAATTTTAACTGAGTCAGAGGAATAAAGAGGTTGGGTTGGGTGGGGTGCATTGGGTTGGGATGGGGAGTGGTGGAAACAGAGAATAGAAATCACGAATAGCCCTCAGTCTACTGCTTATTACATAGCAGGAGATTCAAAACACAAATTAATAAACCTATAATTTTCCTGCCACAAAGCTATTTATTTTATTATCATTTTATGTCAGCTTCAGAATGAAATTATTCCCATTTCTTCCATGCCATATTATTCTATTCAGTAGCATAGTTAATTAGAGGACTTCATTAATATGGAGACATGCTTACTTAATTAGTTACAATATATATTTCTATTGTCTATATATTTTTCCTTTTAGCAATTGCAGTCTAAAGGGTAGAGTTCAGAAATTAATTTTAGCAGCTTCTGGGAAACCCTGTACATAACAAAAACTAAAATGTCAATATGCCATAAGAGGATACTTCACAGCTTTTCAATTTATTTTAATATAAACTAGTGGGCACTAACAAATTAAAGCACATGTATCTTCTTGAAATAACTGGATTTGTTGTAGAGGAAAATTTTACTCTAATTCATTCTTGCAATCACTTGCTAATATTTTATGCTTATTTCTTTCATTACTGTAATCCGATATATGAAGTTCTGAGAAGTTTTCTTCATCGGTCAAACAAAGAATTAAGCTTTTTTCAATAGTATTCTATGTCAGTCACTAATTAAAATTTATTTAGGACTCATAATGTACCTTTATAGAAGATACATATATGAGTTCAATTAAGTGAAGAACTGCATGTTTTTGTAACTTCATTTATGATCAATCATATAAAGCAACATAAGATACGGTTATTTCCATGTATCCACAGCAAAACAAAACAGTCGACTAGAGCTTATAAAATTCATTCTTTCAAAAAGTACTTCTTTAGCCCTTACTATGTTCTCAGGTAAACATTTTAAAACAACAAGATAATACATATTATGGGACAAAACTGCTATGTAATTTCATTTGTATTAATTCAAACAAAGCTGAGATATAAAATAATGTATTTTAACTACAAAATGAATAGACGTACTGCTATGTCCATCTTTAAATGCAATTAAAAACCCTCTTCTTATTCTTTACGAACCAATCAATCAGTTATTTCCAAATCTTCTTGATTAGATTAAATTTTATTAAATGTGTGCCACTGTATTAAATTCTAGGAATACAGCCAATAACAAAGCAGTCATGGTCCCTGCCTTCAGGATACTTATAGTCTTTAAATTATATGTGAATACAAACTAATAAAGTACAAATACCAGAATATGTAATTCAAACATAGTTATCTCATTTTAAAATATCCACCATGGAATTTTATATTGGGGATACTTACCTCCTTTGGGATTTCTTTCAGAGTTAAATTATGCTGAACCAAAAACAATACTGCCCAATGAAATGCCACAGCACGCTGCCCAGATTTTTGCATTAGTTAGGTAAGTAGCCCATTTTAGCAATTCAGCCTTCCAAAAAGTCTCTCATGCCATCAATCCCAAAAGGAATGTCTGATTGAATGGCAGGCTTGCATGCCCATTCAGGGCCCAATTCTCTTCTGTCTTCCTCTATTCTGCCTCTAGAGTGTTAAATGGGAAAGACAGAGCACAGAGGATTGTGGGAGGTTTCCATGGTCCAGGCCAAGAAGTACTGCAGTTACTGCTGGTCACATCTCTTTCACCAGATGCAATCACGTGACTGCAACTGACTGCAAGAGAGGCTGGGAAATGTAGTCTAAGGTTGAGTCCAGAGGAAAGAGGAAATGGTTTTGGGGAGCACATAGCACTTCTGTGTCACAACTTGTGTCTGGATGCATTTTAGCCGTTCCTGGGGAAAGAAAGAAACAAACAAAAAAATAAACAACAACATAAAACCTGCTTTTAAAGAATATTTATTCTATGGAAAGTTATTAAAAACTATGTCACAACCTTCTTAATTAGCTCTTTTCTAGTTAATTTGATATTTTAAAAAATTATTTTCAGTTCATTTACATCTATAGAAGAGTTACAGAAATAGCACAGAGAGTTATTGTACATCCTGTACCCAGCTTCCTCTAATGTTTAAATCTTACATAACCATAGTACACATAGAAAAAAACTAAGAAATTAACATCGGCACAATGTTATTATAGATTTCACCACATATTTTTGACTTACGTCTTTTCTTCTGTTCCAGGTATTTCTATCTACTTTTAACTCACACATACACACACACACACATGAACACATCCCTAAGGCTTTATTTCTTCTTTGAGTTTCCTAATTTCTAGAGTAAAAGACATTTTTCCATTCTCATAAGTAATCATTATTCAAATATCATTGGTTTTCCAAAAGTGAAATCTTACATAGACTATAACCATTGCCAGGAGTGTGGCAGTCATCAGAGGAAAGATGCTAACACATGGTAATAATGATAAGAATAACGACATAATTGAGGTCTACTGAGCTGTTACTACATCTGGCAAGTGCTAGTATGACTCACTTAATTCTTGAAGAAGTTGTATGAGAAACAAATTATTTTAACCCTCTTTTCCTGGTAAGGAAACTGAGGCTCCAAGAAGTTACACAATTCATCGGTCCCACAGCTAGTGAGGAAAGAGCCTAGGTTCACTTCAGTCCATTTTAACCACAAAACTTCAAGGGAAAACTGAAACTAATAAGGACAAAAGCATATCCAAGGCATTTCTGGATGGGGTTATATCCAAGCATTCACAAGAAGTATCCATTAGAAGGAGCATTTAGAGGTAGGTTTTTGAGGACAAAAAGAACAAAAAATGAGCCTAATGATTTAACTTTTTGCCTTTATTCCTAGTAGTTCAGCATTTACCTAGGACAACAATCCTTCTTCCCTCTCAGTTGTCAGGGGTCACATAGGAATTAAACTGGTTGCAAGAGCAAGAGCTGAGGTTCTGAGCCTTGGTACTTTCTGAACTTAGCATTTCCGACCTTGAGTCATGTTTGCCACCTGTGGCCCTTTCTGATCTTTGCAAATCCGATTTCTCTAGTCAGCCTAGTTTTGAGACCTAATTACTTGGCATTTCACCTCTGACGGTCTCTGCGCAGGCCTGAATGTTAAGCCCTGTGATTCTAGCAATAAGATGCCCCTGTGTCTGCCAGTGAGTCCAGGCTCCTTGCATGAGTACCATCTGAGATCCATCTTAGAAAAAATATATTCCATTAGTGCAATCATTCCCAAAATGTGAGCCTTGGGCTACCAACATCAGCATCACCTGGGAACTTGTCACAAATGCAGATCCTCAGGGTCTTCATGCCAGCCCTACTGAATCAGAAATTCTAGGCAACAGGGAACATCAATCTGTGTTTTAACAAACCCACTATGATTTTGATGGATGCTAAAATTTGAAATTCCTGAATTAGTATCTGTGTCTCCTCATTTGCTATGATGCCCATTGGTACAATGGATTAAGACAGGGAGGACTTAGTGTCTGACAGCTCAGCAACTTAGCTGGTTGCATGCCCCTGGGTCCTTGCTCAGCCTCTGTGCTTTTCCATTTTCTCATTTTTAAAAATACACCAAAGAGCTATAATCGAGCTCTCGTTTTTCTGTGTTTGCTGATGAGTAACTAATGGAGGGTTGTGCTATCCCATGTTAATCTTAACTGCCTGACTAATGCTTAGCAATGGCTTTTGTACAAAGGTTGTCCTTGTGATTTCTGAACCTCTTCTCCTGCTTGGATTTAAGCAGCAATATCCCATCACATTTGTATTACATAAATCATTGGGGCATGGGTTGAATGTTATATACTCATAACTATGTGTAATTAAACTTAATATGGATTTGACCATTAGTTAAACTCTCACGCTTTGAGATTAGCTATAATTGAGGAAGGCATGACCTTTATTCTAACAGGGTAGAACTTTCTCTTGGAGCATTTAAGGTTAAGGTATGAGAGGACTTTGCTGTTATACAAAAATATTCCACATAGGAAGTTCAAGTAAAATACTAAACCTTTCTAGGCCAGAGTTCTTTAAGAAATTAATCCAGATAAAACCATGAGATAGAGATAATTGCCACAGAAATTAGCAATCCTGCCAAAAGAACTGACCATGCATAGGCTGATCTTTTAGGAACACGGAAGGGACCTTAAAAATGTCACATGGAAACCACTCTTTGGGAGTTGTTTTTTGGATCAGAACAGAAATTAAGAAGCTAGATAGAAAAAATTCATGAAGATGAGTGTCTTAGTTTGAATTCCCCAGAAGCAGATTCTGAGTAAGAATTTTAGTGCAAGTGCTTTATTTGGGATGTGATCCCAGACAATACTAGCAGGAGGGGAGCAGAAATTGAGACAGGACAGAGAATGAAGGCAACACAGTGTGTATTATCAAGCAAGTTATCACTATCAGCAATTGAAGTGTAGGGTCAGAGTTTCTGAATACAAGTCTAGGATAGGCTCTGTGGCTTATCAACTCAGCCCTTGAAGAATTATACCACTTCTTTACGCATTACATCCTTCTTCAAAGAAATGAAGATAAAAATGCTCTCCAAATGGGATGATGCGGTTGCTATTGATAATAAATGGCTACCTTTTATTGAATACTGATCCTGTACCAGGTTCAGTGTTAATCTTTACTCCAAATCCTAGGAGATAGGTAAATGTTCTTCAAATTTTACTAAGAGATCATATCAATTATATACATATATATGTATTATATAAATATATATATTTAACTTTTAAGTTCGGGGTACATGTGCCGGTATGTTATATAAGTAAACTTGTACCATGAGGGTTTCTTGCACAGATTATATCATCACTCAGGTATTAAGCCTAGTACCCATTACTTATTTTTTCTGATCCTCTCCCTCCTCCTATGTTTCACCCTCTGATAGGCCCCAGTGTGTGTTGTTCCCCTCTATGTGTTCATATATTAGCATCATTTAGCTCCCACTTATAAGTGAGAAAATGTGGTATTTAGTTTTTTGTTTCTGTGTTACCAACTATATAATTTTATAAACATAAGGGGCTTTGCAAACTGTAAGGTGATGTTAAAGAGAACTTGTTGCAGCTTTTCTTGAGTCAATGGAAAGTCCATACTTAAGTTATAATTTTGCAACTCATTAGCCATGAGGCTTCAACCAGATAACTTTGCCTCTTTCAGTCTGCCTCCTATATTAAAAAGTACATAAGCCAGATGCTAATATTAGGCATTAGGGGAGGCTGGATACATGGGACAGAGGTCTCTGCTGGGTATTTCTTTGCAAATTCTTATAAATCTGTAATTATTTAAAAATAAAAGTTAAATAATCATAGTTGGGCTGGTGGAAATATAAATTGGTCTAACCAATTTAGAAAATTGGTATAATTTATGAAAGCCAAACATATGCATACATGTAGCCCAGAAACTACAGTCCTAAATAGATACACAACAGAAATACAAGCATACGAGCACCAAAAGCTATGTACTAGAATGTTCATAGCAAGATAATGTGTGACAGTAAAAAATGCAAACAACACAAGTGGCTATGAACTGTAGAACTGAATAAGTTGTGATTTACTCATGTATTGAAATATTATGAAGTGATGAAAATGAATAATCTTCAAGAATACATGACAAGGATGAATAATATTACAGATGTGATAGTCAGTGTGACAAACGTCATACAAAAGAGAACAGTATAATTCTATTTAGAAAAAGTTCCCAAGAAGCAAGATATGTCTATGCTATTGGAAGGCAGGATGTCTGGGAGGGCAGTGACTGAAAGAACACAAGAGGTGGGCTTCTAGGAAACTGAGAGTTTTCTGTTCTCGTTCTGGGTGCTGGTTACATGGGTACACTCATGGAGCAATTAAATTATTATCTGTGTACTTTTCCATAAGTACTTTGTATTTTTTAAAAGTTTACCTAATAAAAGCACTATGAGTTGGGTTAGATGACTCCAAAAGATTCTTCTAGCTCTAAAATCCTGATCATGAGATGAGGCTCTGCCATCTTCCCATATCTATTGAGATGAGGCTGGGAGTTGAGTTGGTCCACTTGCCAACATGAGGTCAACACACTGGCTCTGTTTAGTTCTGCAACACGAGGATGCCCCTTTGCATGGCACAGTTCATTTTCCTCTCGCTGGTACTCAGCACAGAGATTTATACAAACAGGTACTCAGCAGACACATGTTCAAAGATTTTAGATCATGCAATTTTAGAAACTTCCACAGGGTGGCAAGGACGCTATTACTTGATAGTCTTTACACACATAACAACCTTTCTCCTCTTTTTTGTCCCCCTCAGTCTCTTTCACAACATACAGGTTTCCCTATCCATGGCTATTATAAATATTGGAAAATACAGTTTTATAGACTATACTATTTCTAATGAATGCTCCATATTACAATTAAATTAGAGGACTAATCTGAAGCTTGAGTAGACTAAATAAAATAGTGGGTAGGGGGAAATCAGTGTTGTACCAGAGAATATAATTTCTGAAACATAAGAAAATTAGCACAGAACATGACCAAGGGGAGGAATTACAGCAAAATGAGTTGCAAGGTAATGGAATAAAGATGACATAATATTATTTGCCCCCTTTAAAAAAGGTCCTGGGCATTTGATAAGCACAAAATGAATTCAGATAGACAATAGCCAGAAGGTGGTAGATTGTTTGCAAAATAATTGCTGCAATTATTTCCTTCCACATATCTGCATCATTTTGCAATGTGGTTTTTCAAAAACTCCCATTAAGGGGTGGAGCTATTTCCCTACCTGTTGAATTTAGGTTGGTCTTTTGACCTATTTACTAGAAAGTAACAAAGTAATTATCTTCTACTTTTAAACTTAAGACTAAGGAGTCCTTGCACAGTTCTGCTTTTTCTCTTTGACCATAGCCTCTGCCACGTGAACAAGCCTGAGCTGGCCTGTTAGAAGATGAGAAGCCAGGTGGAACAGTCATTCCCATTGTCCCAGCCAAGCACCTCCTAGCCTTTAACCTACCCAGCAGCAGACCAGAGATACCTAAGCAAGGCTTGCCAAGAGCAGCCGAACCTCACCCACATCAGTAGAGCCACCCAACATGACTGATAAACTTGTTAGCAAAAAATTTTTTTTAAAAGATAATTGTTTAAGTCATGAAGTTTCATGTGGTTTGTTAGGCAGCAGTGGCTAACTCACGGCCATATAAAAATATCAATTGCACTAGCTTATTTTCTGCTAAACTTCCTTTTAGATGCAGCTTTGTATGCAGTGAGAGCCTCAGCCTGAAAGTCAAGAACTTTGGATTCAAACTTTTGTAACAGTAAAAAAATGAGAGATCTTGAAAAATCGCCTTTGAAGTGCTTTTTTATCAACCTATCTACCTATCAATCAGTCATCTATCTATCTGTGTGTGGGTATATTAATCTTGTAATGGGTGCACGTGTATGTGTTTAATGTAAACACACGAAGAATGGTCAGTGTCTTCGGTTAAGTTTTCCCAGCAGCAGGCCCCAAGACAAGCATCCAAGTGCAAGTAGTTTATTTGGGATGGGACCCCAGGACCTTTTAGGAAGTTGGGAAGTGACAAAGGGAAAGGAAGACAACCATGAGACTGCATTAACAAATAGGTTACCATTGTGAATAATTCGATTTTTATCTTCCTGGGGAACTCCAGAAAACAGTTTAAAATTTAAATTTTAAACCTTAAATTTATCCTATCCAGGGGTAAGGGAGCTGGAATATTTATCCTACCAATCCCAGATATTACTGGTTGCGAGTTGATCATGAAGGGAATTTTTTTCCCAGTACTTCCCATCACATGCATGGACAAAGTGGGCTCTGGTAGCCAAAGAAAGTCCTCAGGCAAAGAGAAAGGAGTGCGGAACAGTGGAAAGTTGGGTAAGAATGGTAAGGCCCAATAGGAAGCAGCAGAGCACTGGCAGCATCTGCCAGCAACACTGTATCTTAAACCTGGGACATGCTAGATGTACAATTAACCTTTGTATACAAACATTTTTCTATTTTAGAACTTTATTGCTTACAATCTTTAGTATATAAAATGGGTTCTATTTTCACTCTCTGAATGAGAATTCAAGGGAGAATTCTACCTCCTCTGTAGAGCTCATCTTATGCAATTTTATCTACATTCTCCATCAATAAAGAGATCAATAGATAAATAAATACAGACATATATACATAAGATAGATGAGAGTGTGTTCTTTATTCTTCAATAACGATCTACGTTTTACAAATCACAATGTCTGAATTTATCATATTGAAACTATAATTATACTTAGGGGTCTCTTTTCTGCTGATTTTTTAGTTCTGTAAGTATTTATGTAATTCCAGTATGATCCCTGACATATATTAAGCATTTGTGAATGTTGACTGCCTAACCAATGGAATGCACTGATGGGTACTCACCAAATGCTAGTAGAAAATCATAAATATAATTTACATATACCCTATGTGGTTGAATGTCTCAGCAGGCATGTTATATGCTCCACGAAGATAAAGATTCTATTTGTATTGTTTACTTTTATACCCTAATGCCAAACAAAATGATTCTAGCAAAGTAGAAACTAGAAAAATACTTGTTAAATAAAAGAAAAATTGTTTGAAGTCTAAAAACATTACTGAGAATTTAAAAATAGCAAAAATAAATTACTTACATCTTTCTGTATATTCTGTTGCACTGGACACATTCAATTTGCATTAAGCACACAAGATAGCAGAATTTTAGATGACTTCTGTACAATTCATAGATTACCTATACCTAATTGCAAACTTCATTTGAGAAAAAAGTTGATGGTCCTCTTGTTTGAAGAATTTTATTTCTGTTATGAAGTTTCACTGTGGGATCCCAAATACAATAAAATAAGTCAAAGCATTTTTGTGGTCATGGAAAATAATGTATAGCTGATTGTTCATTATTAAACTGCAACATATATTGAATGTTATCATGTTTCAAGGCTATTTTATAATTAGTAAGTTTTTGCAAAATAAAAATCCTAGAATTTTATTTTTCACACCTGCACTCTTCAGAGTTCAGCTTCATCCATATACCTCTTTCTACAGTGAGGTGCATTGGTTGAACTAGGAAATGCAGAGATTACTCTCAATTACCAGTTATTACTGAGTTGCTGTGAAAACATTCAAAAAATGTTGAGATTATTATCAAAGACGCAGGCCAGAAAAAATAAAAAACTGTATAGGACCAGGAAGAGCTGTATTCACACTAATGTCAGAGTTCACTGTACAAATGTCTTAATTTGTCATTATAAAATGAATCTGGAAATACCGAACAAATCAAAAAAGATCTGTTGTGACGTGGTGATTTTTTTTTTGAAAGCTACATACCACCAGAGAGCTTCTGTCATCCAAGTTATTCCAAGACAGTTTTCTATTCTTGCCATGGCTATGAATGACAGCTTAATATAACGTGTGTGGAGGGGAAAAAAAAGAAGAAATTCTTACTCAGACTCAGGGCTTCCAAGTGTCTAATAACAATCCTAAAAAACAACTGCATCTTCAAATAACTCTTAAACTCTAACTTATGGTTTAGCATTCATCTTTACTCAAGTACTAGTAGATGAGATGAATTCAATTATATCAAAGGTGTGGCATCCTATGGAAAATCAAAGACATGCTGGGCTGCTACCATTTAGAAATTGATTTCTCATGAGGAACCTTTACCTCTTTGTCTGTCATCATGAAACTGTCCCTTACCAGTATTGATAGCATTTAACCCTCTGGATGAGGAAAACACTTGAAATAAAAAATAAAACTGGGTAGCCCATAAGCTGCTATTATCTCTAAAAGGAACTGACATTTTAGGATTGATGCTAGACATAAAAATATTTTATTTGTGCTATTTTTTTATTTTTACTTTATTGCAAAGTTTCTACTAAAATAAAATTCAGGGCAGAAATTAACCAAAATTCCATCCCGAAGTCAAAGTTAGTGTTTTTATTTTTCTAATACAACTTCCAGTCCTTGCTCATATTCAAAAGGCTACCTTTTCAATTTTTGCAGTCTACATTTTTACTTAATTTTATACTGTGGCTTCTCCCTCCCACTTTCCTACAACTGTTTTGTGGTTTTTTGTTTGTTTGTTTGTTTGTTTGTTTTTAGCCTTTCTTTCCCAATTCTATCTATTCCATCCACACCATCACATTCCTAATGTAACAAATGTTACCATCTTGGGGTATATTTTTCCAGATCTTTTTTCTGGTCTTACAATCTGTATTAGGCAAAATTCTAAGATTTCCCCCAATGAAAAATACCCTTGTATAATCCCAGCCCTTGAGTATGGGTAACGCCTGTGCGCATAATATGATTATCACTCCTGTGATTATATTATGTTATATTATATTATATTATATTATATTATATTATATTATATGGAAGTTATTTTGCTAATGTAATTGAGGTCTGTAACTAGTTGACTTTGAGTTAATCAAAGGAAAGATTATCCTGGGTGAGCCTGACCTAATCACATAAGCCCTTAAATTAAAGAGTACTGAGCTCTTTCTGAAAGGAAGGTGATTCTTCTCTATGTTTTGAAGAAGTGAATTGTCATATTATAAGAGGACTATGTGGCTAAACCTGAGGGTGGCCTCTGACAGGTCAGAGCAACCCTTAGCCAACAGCCAGGTGAAAAATAGGAACCTCAGTCTTAGAGTTACAATTTTGATTTTGCTAACAACCTGAATAAACCTGGAAGAGGACTTCAAGTTCCAGGTGAGAAAGCATCCCAACAGACACATTGATTTTCGCCTCGTAAGATGCTGAGCAGAAAACCCAGTAATTTTGTGGCCAGATTTATGGCCCAGAGAAACTGTGAAATAATAAAAGGGTGTTGTTTTAACTGCCAAATTTGTAATTGCAATAGAAAACTAATTCATAATCATTTACACACATATAGAGATAACGTCACTATTGTTTGTAATAGGATGTTAAAATGGAAATTTGTAGCAGACAAATTCACAGTTATAGTCAGAGGTTTTATTGCCCTACATCAATAATGTTAGAATAAGTTGATATAAAATTATTAAGAATGTAGACTATTTGAACAACATGAACAAAAACCTTAGGCTAATTAAATACTCAACCCAACAATAGCAAAACATATACCCTTTCCATGGGCACAGGAAACACATTAAAATAGATCATATTCTGGGTCCTAAAACAAATCTAAAAGAAAGCAAATTTAAAAGAGAGTACTTTATCTGAGCAAAATGAAATCAAATGAGAAATTAATAACAGAACAACTCTAGAAAATCCTTAGATATTAAAAAATTGCATATCGCACTGCTAATAACCCCATGAGTTAGAGAAGAATTTCAAAAGAAAATTATAAAGTATTCTGAACTAAATAAAAATTTCAAGACCAAAATATCAAAATTTGTATAGTGCTACTGAATTAATAATTAGGAGTAAATTTATAAAAATAAAATTTTATATTGAAAAAAGAAAGAACTCATATTAATTACCACAGCATTTATATAAAGAGATTAGAAAAAAAAGAAGAGCAAAAAGGAGCCAAATTAAGCAGAAGAAAGAATAATAAATATAAAAGCATTTCTCAGTTAAATAAAAGTAGAAAAACAATACAGAAAATTTAATGAAACTAAAAGGTGGTTCTTTGAGAAGACCAAAACAACTGATAAACCTTTAGCTACACTGACGAGAAAAAGAAAGAATAAAGGCACAATTTACCAAGTCAAAAATAAAAGAAGTGTCATCACACAGGCTATATAGATAATACAAAGATAAAAGGAGAATATTGTAAAAAATTTAATGTTAAAGAAACTTAGAATAAAAATTTTATAAAATACACAAACTATTAAGATTCACTACAGAAGAAATAGATGACCAACATAGCCTTATATCTATTAATTAAACACAATTTAAAGTTAAAAGCCTTACTGACTAAAAAATTCCAGCCTCAGATAGCTGGCTCTACATTGGAAAATTCTTAAACATCAAGGAAGGAATTATACTAATACTACTGAAACTTCTAAAAAGCTGAAGAGGAGAAATAATTGAAAAGTAAATCTATGAAAAAACAAATTATTTTATAAAGTCACCATTATCCTCACACCAAAACCAGAACAATAAAGAAAAACTATAGATCAGTATCTCTTATGAAGATAGATGCAAAAAATATAAATAAAATTATAATAAATTGAATCCAACAATGTACGAAAAGGCTAATATATCAATCATGACTAAACAGCATTTATACTAGGAATGCAAGGTTGGTTTAATATTCAAAAATTAAGAAATGTAACTTATTATAAAACTCAAAAAGAAAAAAGTAAGGTCATCTAAGTAGACATGTAAAAGTAAATTTGACAAAATCTAATATACTTTCCTAATAAAAACTCTCAGAAAATAGAAATACAAGGAGATTCCTCAATCTCTTAAAGGGCATCTGCCAAAAACTCATACTTAATGATGACATCATACTTAATGATGAAAGAAAGTGTTCCTCCTGAGATTAAAAAAAAAAAAAAATTTTCATGACCTGCCTGCAACATTGTCATGGAGGTTCTAGCCAGTGTAATAAAGCAAGTAAAAGACATTAAAAGAAATGAAGATTAAGAAGGAAGAAGAAAACTGTCTTTATTCACAGAGGACACCATTGTCTATGTAAAAAATATAATGGAATCTACAACATATCAATTAGAAATAATAAGGGAGTTTAGCCACATTGCAGGATGCAAGATCAATATAAAAAATTAATTATAGAGCACAACATCAGGAACAGTAGCATCAAGAGCTCCATGGAATCTCCCTCCAGCAAAACAATCATAATAGGTAAAAACTGAAAAAACAACAAAAACCAGATTACTTTAATCTCTTGAAATTGTTATAAGAGCATACAGAAAATTTTTTAAAGATAATTTATTATAATAAATCTAGTAAATATTGGTAAGAACAGTGCTACTCTGTGGCATTTGAGCCACTACCTGTTCCCTCCCTCCTTTCTTCCTGCTCAGCATGACAGAAACATTATGTCAGGGCAGTGCAGTGAAATACACAGGACTCCCTCTCACCCTACTTCCCACTTAAGGACTATGACACCTTTTGGGGAGAATCAGGCCACCAGAATTTCTCCTTCTCTCCGTTTTTTGGTATAGAAATTCAGTCAAGAAGACCCCTAAACGAAGTCAAGAAAGAATGAAAGATATGGGACTTTCTTTCCCCACACAGTTCTAATTAAAGGGTAAAACTTTTATCTCAGGCATGACAGCCTGAGACTATTGGAGCCCAATTTACTCTTGTCCCAGATCACTTGTGAGGCTTCACACTAGAAGATTCCATACCAGATGAGGCAAACTAAAAAAGACAGAAGCCACTGGCTCTGTCCACTGTCCTGCTAGTAAAGCAGATGTGTTACTCCAAGACAAGTGGGTCATTGCCCCCCTCCACCCCACCCCACTCAAGAGCAGTCACAAAGCCCATTTGCCTAGAAAGAGAGTGATCAGATCTCTATGAAGAAACGGATTTTATTTGGAATAGCCTGTGGGAAAGTTCAAGCCTTAGGGCAATTTCAAAAACAATGAAGGTTTTGGTGGTAGGTAATTAAGAAGATGCAGGTAATTCCATGTAAGCATCTACCTAAACCTTAGACCAGCTGAAGTTTACCAGAGATAATACAGGAAAAGATACAGAAGAGCACTCCTAGGGTTGAAGATTCATCTTAAAGCCTACCTCTGCAAAGAGACCTGACTTTCTTGAAAACAGGCTGCAAAGCAATTTAGGTGCCCAGGGCATTGTTGAAAACAATAGAGCAATTATCCATCAGTTCATGTAACCTAACAGCTAGATGTGACCAACAAAGTCAAATAACCTAATAGACGAATCAAGGAAAAAGTCAAAGACAGCCCTTCTAAAAACATTGTCATCCCATAGTGACAGTGCACATCTCATACCACCTTTTTGTTCTAATTGGGCCATTAATGTATTTGATGATGCCCAACCATGTTGCTGAAGCCAACTTTCTTTACTCAGTCTATGACTTAAATGTTTCTCCTGGAAACACACTCACAGACACACCAAGAAATAACGCTTTACCAGCTATCTGGACATTCCTTAGTCCAATTAAGCTGACACATAAAATTAACCATCACAGGCAAAGAGGAGAAGCAGCAAACTTGACAGTCCACTTGATATTGCATTTAAGGAGCAAAATCAAAAGGAATGAAGAAGCAAAAAGAGACTCTTGAAAACAAAAAGTGAAAAGTGACTCATCACATAAAATATATCTCCAATAAGATTAGCAGCAAATTTCACAAAATAAACCTTGCAGGAAAGAAAGCAGTAGGATGATATATTTAAAGTCCTGGAAAAAAAATGCAAGCTGAGAATTCTATATCTGGCAAAACTATCTTTCAAAACTATGGGAGAAATTAAGACATCCCAAGACAACAGCTAAGGGAGTTTATTATCACTAAAACTTTCCTACAAGATATGCTAGAGAGAGAGTCCTTCAAGTTGAAAGGAAAGGACATCAGACAGTAATTCAAAGTCATGTAAAAATATACAGTTCTTAAGCAAAGGTAAACATGTGGACAAATGTAAATAAACAATATTATTGTAATTTTGGTTTGTAACTTAAGTCTTTCATTTTCTACAAAATTTAAAAAACAAATGAATAACAAATTGTAAACCTATGTTAAAGACTATGTGATATAAAGATGTACTGTGTGACATTGATAACATAAAGGGGTTGAAACTGTATAGTAGTAGAGTTTTTGTATGTGATGAAGTTAAATTGGTATGAACTTAAGATAGAGTAACATAACTTTAGGACATTATATGCAATCCCCATGATAATCTTAAATAATCTACCTATAGAATATAAACAAAAGGAAATAAAAAGGGAATCAAAATGTATCACCACAAAAAATCAACTAAAAATAAAGAAAATCAGAAAAGGAAGAAATAAGGGACAAAATAGCGATAAGAAAACAAAATTTACAATGTCAATTGTAAGTTCTTCCCTATCAGTATTTATTCTCAACATAAATGAAAATATTTATATTTTCATTCAAGAGACAGATTGGCTGAATGGATTTTTAAAAATTAACAGGATCCAGCTATATACTGTCTGCAAGAGACTCACTTTAGACCTAAAGACACACATAGGTTGAAAGTGAGAGGATAGAAAAATGATATTAAATTCAAAAATTTACCAAAAGAGATCAGTGGCAATTATATTAATATCAGACAAAATGCACTTTCAGTGAAGAATGGTTACAAAAAATGAAGTAGGACATTATATAATAATTAAAGGATGAATTCACCAAGAAGACATAACAATTATAAACGCATATGAAACAAACATTGAGAGAATTGAAAGGGGAAATAGACAGCTCTACAATAATAGGAGACTTTAATAACCCACTTTCAATAATGGATAGAAAAACTTGAAAGACCAATAAGAAGATAGAGAACTTAAGAACTATTTTAGAGCAATTGTATCTAATAAATATACACAGAATACTCCATTTAACAATGCAGAATATGCATTTTTCTGAAGTGCACATGGAACATTCTCCAGGATAGACCATGTTAGGCTACAAAACAAGTCTTAATAAATGTTAATGTATGGAAATCATATGAAGTTTTTTCTCATCACAATGGAATAAAACTACAAATTAATACCAGAAGGAAAACTTTAAAAATCAGAAATGAGTGAAAATTAAGCAACACACTCTTAAACAGGCCATGGGTCAAAGAAGAAATCACAAGGTGTATTAGTTTGTTTACATGATGCTGATGAAGACATACCCGAGACTGGAAAGAAAAAGAGGTTTAATTGGACTTACAGTTCCACATGGCTGGGGAGGCCTCAGAATCATGGCGGGAGTCAAAAAGCACTTCTTACATGGAGGCGTCAAGAGAAAATGAGGAAGAAGCAAACCCAGTAATCCCTGATAAACCAATCAGACCTCATGAGACTATTCACTATCATAAGAATAGCACAGGAAAGACTGGCCCCCCATGATTCAATTACCTCCCACTGAGTCCCATTTGAATTCTGGGAGATAAAATTCAAGTTGAGGTTTGGGTGGGGATAAACCCACCCAACCATATCATTCTGCCCATGGCCCCTCCAAATATCATGTCCTCACATTTCAAAACCAATCATGCCTTCCCAACAGTCCCCCAAAGTCTTAACTCATTTCAGTATTAACCCAAAAGTCCACAGTCCAAAATCTCATCTGAGACAAGGCAAGTCCCTTCTACGTATGAGCCTGTAAAATCAAAAGCAAGCTAGTTACTTCCTAGATACAATGAGGGTACAGGTATTGGGTAAATACAACCATTCCAAATGGAAGAAATTGGCCAAAACAAAGGGGTTACAGGGCCCATGCAAATTTGAAATCCAGCAGGGCAGTCAAATTTTAAAGCTCCAAAATGATCTCCTTTGACTCCAGGTCTCACATCCAGGTCACACTTATGCAAGGGGTGGGTTCCAATGGTCTTGTGCAGTTCCACCCCTGTGACTTTGCAGGATACAGCCCCACTCCCAGATGCTTTCACGTGCTGGTTTTGAGTGGCTGCGGCTTTTCCAGCCACACAGTGCAAGCTGTCGGTGGATCTACCATTCTGGGGTCTGGGGATGGTGGTCCTTTTTTCACAGGTCCACTAGGCAGTGCCCCAGTAGGGATTCTGTGTGGGGGCTCCGACCCCACATTTCCCTTCCACACTGCCTTAGCAGAGGTTCTCCATGAGAGCCCTGCCCCTGCAGCAAACTTTTGCCTGGGCATCCAGGCATTTCCAAACATCTGAAATCTAGGCGGAGGTTTCCAAACCTCAGTTCTTGACTTCTGTGCACCCACAGGCTCAGCACCATGTGGAAGCTGCCAAGCCTTGGCAGCTTCCACCCTCTGAAGCCACAGCCCAAGCTGCAAGTTGGCCCCTTTCAGCCACGGCTGGAGTGGCTGGGACACAGGGCACCAAGTCCCTAGTCTGCACATAGCACGGGGACCCTGGGCCCGGCCCATGAAACCACTTTTTCCTCTTGGGCTTTCGGGCCTGTGATGGGAATGGCTGCTGTGAAGGTCTCTGATGTGGTGGCCTGCAGGCATTTTCCCCAAAGTCTTGGGGATTAACCTTAGGCTCCTTGCTACTTATGCAAATTTCTGCAGCTAGCTTGAATTTCTTCCCAGAAAATGGGTTTTTCTTTTCTATCACATAATCAGGCTACAAATTTTCTGAACATTTATGCTCTGCTTCCTTTACAAAACTGAATGCCTTTAACAGTATCCAAGTCACCCCTTGAATGATTTGCTGCTTAGAAATTTCTTCCGCCAGATACCCTAAATCATCTCTCTGAAGTTCAAAGTTCCACAAATCTCTAGGGCAGGGGCAAAATGCTGCCAGCTACTTTGCTAAAACATAACAAGAGTCACCTTCGCCCCAGTTCCCAACAAGTTCCTCAACTCCATCGGAGACCACCTCAGCCTGGATTTTTTTGTCCATATTGCTGTTAGCTTTTCGGGTAAAGCCATTCAACAAGTCTCTAGTAAGTTCCAAACTTTCCCACATTTTCCTGTCTTCTTTGCAGCCCTTCAAACTGTTCCAATCTCTGCCTGTTACCCAGTTCCAAAGTTGCTTCCACATTTTCGGGTATCTTTTCAGCAACCTACTCTACTGGTACCAATTTACTGTTTTAGTCTGTTTTCATGCTGTTGATAAAGACATACCTGAGACTGGGAAGAAAAAGAGGTTTAATTGGACTTACAGTTCCACATAGCTGGGGAGGCCTCAGAATCGTGGCCGGAGGCAAAAGTCAGGGGGGCAACAAGAGAAAATGAGGAAGAAGCAAAAGCAGAAATCCCTGATAAACCCATCAGATCTCATGAGACTTATTCACTATCATGAGAATAGCATGGGAAAGAGTGGCCCCATGATTCAATTACCTCCCCTGGGTTCCTCCCACAATATGTGGGAATTCTGGGAGATAAAGTTCAAGTTGATATTTGGGTGGGGACACAGCCAAACCATATCAGAAGGGAAATTAGAAAATATCTTGAGACAAATGAAATGAAAACACTACATGCCAAATTATGGGATTCAGTAAAAGCAGTGCTAAGAGAGATAATTGTTAATGTTAAACACTTGTATTAAAAAAGAAGAACAAGCTCAAATAAAAAATCCAGTGAGGAGAGTAAAAATCACCTGGTGACCATCAAGCAAGCCCCAAAGACAAAAATTTCTTATCTGAGGAATTTAGAAGTAATTAGACTTTCCTATTGTCTAAAGGCACCTGGTTCCAGGCCTCTTTTCAACTTAAAATTTATAAATATAACTAGAATTTCTATACATCTCTGGAATGCACGCATATCAAAACTCATTGTGCAACCTTTGCCAACATTAAGGAACCATAATATCTACAAATGTAATCATTTATTGTGCAAACTACCTTTCACTTCCTGCTTTAAGGTCCATAAATACTCCTAAGGAAAAATCCACTGTGGGCACTCAGTCCTCTCTTGCTGTGGTGCCTGGCTGCACTCTTCTGCAGTGTTCTTTGTATCTAATAAAACTTTCCTTTTCAAATCTATACTGTTGTTGGTAAATTCTTCTTACCAACCCATGAGTCAACCACTTCCCTATGCAGGAACTCTGACACCTCGCCTGATACCTAGGTTTACACCTGAAGGACCTAAGAAATATATAAAAACAAACTAAACCCAAAGTTTGCAGAAGAAAATAAATTGTAACATAAATAAATAAAATAGAGACTAGAAAAACAACAGAGAGCATCAACAATACCAATAATTGGTTCTTCAAAAAGATCAACAAAATTAACACCTTGTAGCTAAGTTGACAAAAAAAGAGAGAAGTTTCAAAGAACTAAAATCCAAAATGAAAAAGAAGACATTATTAATTACTACTAATTTTTTTTTTTTTGAGATGAAGTCTCACTCTTGTCCCCCAGGCTGGAGTGCATGGCACAATCTCGGCTCACTGCAACCTCCGCCTTTCGGTTTCAAGCGATTCTCCTGCCTTAGCCTCCCAAGTAGCTGGGATTACAGGCACCTGCACCACGCCCGGCTAATTTTTGTATTTTTAGTAGAGACGAGGTTTCACCATGTTGGCCAGGCTGGTCTCGAACTCCTGAACTCACGTGATCCACCCACCTCGGCCTCCCGACATTACTACTAATTTTACAGAAATAAAAAGAATTATAAGAAAGTCCTGTGAACAACTGTACCTCAACAAAATAGGTAACCTAGATGAAAATGGACAGATTTCTAGAAATGTACAATCGACTAAGACTGGATCATGAAGAAATAAGGAATTCCAACAGATGGATAATGAGTAAGGAAATTGAGTCAATCATCAAAAACCTTACATGAAAGAAAAGTTCAGAATCAGATGGCTTCATCAGTGAATTCTAACAAATGTTTAAAGAAGAATTAACATCAATCTTCAAATTGTTAAAAACATTAAAGAGGAAAGAATACTTCTATAGTCATTCAATGAGGCCCGTATTATGCTGATGCCAAAGCCAGAAAAAGATATGACAAGAAAACTACACACCAATATTACTTATGAATATCGATGCCAAAAATTGTTTGGTTTACTAGGAAACCAAATTCAATTGCATATTGGAAGTATTATATGCCAAGATGAAGTAGGATTTATTCCTGGGATGTAAAGGTAGTTTTAAATACAAAAATTAATTTGCCATACCACATTAACAGAATGAAGTTGGGGAGCGTGATTATCTAAATTGATGCAGAAAAAAAATGCCAAAATACACATTTTCTCGTGATAAAAACACTCAACACACTAGGAATAGAAGAAAACCATCTCAGCACAATAAAGATATATGTAGAAAACCCATAGCTAACATCATACTCAATGGTGGAAAACTGAAAGCTTTTTCTATAAGATCAGCAACAAGGCAAGTACGTTCAATTTTACCACTTTTATTTAACATAGTGCTAAAAGTTGTAGCCAGAGCAATCAGGAAAGAAAAATAAATAAAAGGCATCTAAATTGGAAAGACAGAAGTAAAATTATCTCTGTTCTCAGATGACATCATCTTATATGTATAAAATCCCAAGAATACACACAAACATCCCCCCCAGCACACACACAGGAACAAACAAAACCTGTTAGAACTAATAAACATATTTAGCAACGTTTCTGTAAACAAAATCAGCACATAAAAATTGGCTATATTTGTGTCCTAACAATGTGTAAGCTGAAAAGAAATTTAAGAAAACAATTACATTTACAATAGCATCAAAAGAATAAAAAACTAAGTCTAACCAAAGAGATGAAAGATTTATACACTGAAAATGACAATCCACTGCTGAAATTCAAGAAGACACAAATAAATGGAAAGAAATCCCATGTACATGAACTAGGTGATTTACTACTATTGTTATGATATTCATACTATCCAAACTAATCTACAGATTCAATGCAATCC
This sequence comes from Homo sapiens, assembly GCF_000001405.40. Lineage (NCBI taxonomy): Eukaryota > Metazoa > Chordata > Mammalia > Primates > Hominidae > Homo > Homo sapiens. The sequence continues at coordinate 11,600,172 of NC_000020.11, forward strand.
CTTTTAAAATTTCAATGATGTCTTTTGCAAAAATTAAAAAAAAAATCACTCCTAACATTCATAATAAATCTCAAGGAATTCCCAACTGCCAAAACAATCCTGTAAAGGAAAAACAAAGTTAGAGGTCTTATATTTTCTGCTTTTGAAACTTACTACAAAGCTATGGCAATCAAAACAGTGTAGTAGTAACATAAAGACAGACATATAGACCAATGGAATAGAATAGAGAGCACAGAAATAAATCTTTACATTTATGATCAAATAAACAATGGTGCCAAGATGGCTTAATGGGGGAAAAGACAGTCTTTTCAACAAGTGGTACATAGAAAAATACATATTCACATGCAAAAGAGCAAAGTTGAACATTTTATTGTCTAATATTATTGAAAAAACTTAACTGAAAATGTATCAAATATCTAAACCTAAGAGCTAGAGCTATAAAACTTTTGGGAGAAAACATAGGGGAAAAGCTTCATGACATTGGATTTGGTAGTAATTTGTTGGCTATGACACCAAAAGCACAGACAACAAAAGAAAAAAAATACACAAATTGGACTCCATCAAAATTTAAAAGATTTGTTCATCAAAGGATGTTATCAACAAAGTAAAACAAGTAACACAAAAAATGAGAGAAAAAATGCAAATCACCTATCTGATAAAGGAATAATATATAGAATATAAAAAGAGCCCCTACAACTCAACACCATAAAACAAACAGTTCAATTCAAAAATGAGCCAAGGATTTATAGACATTGGTCCAAAAATATATACAAATGGTCAATAAACATATAACAAATACTCAACATCACCAGGAATCAATAGGAAAATGCAAATCAAAACACAATGAGACACCACTTCTCTTCAAAAATGCATGGGGGATTTGTGGTAATTGGGTATGTCAAGATTATTATAGACACAGAAATGATGATTGTGAAGAACTTTATACTCACAGATTCCCCAGAAACAGGAGGCATAGCAGCCCACACAGGGCCACATGAGAGAAGCAACAAGGTCAGTTAGGAGGCACAAGGGGAACATGGGAAAACATGGCCTGGAGCCTTTATTCGGGGTTTCCTGGGAAGAAATGGGCAAGGCAGGATAGGTACACCCAGTATATTTGGGATATGTTTTAACAATTTTGGTGAGCTGTAGACTATAGGAGTCATCTCTAGTTGTCTGGTATCTGGCTCCAGGGTGATTTAGGACAGGAAAAATATTGGCTCGGTGTGTGAAAGTTTGATAAAGGAGATGGTTGGGGATGTGGACTGAATTGTTTTGTTTGTATATCAAAGACAGGCTGAAAGGGGAGTTGTTTGCTGTCTGAAATTAGTTAGTTACCCTTGGGAAAGGAAGTTTATCTGGTATCAATGAGGCCCCAATTTCCAGAGCATCAAGAGTGTGGAAAACTTAGTCAATACAACTTTAGGATGGCTATTTTTCAAAACAAAACAAAACAGAAAACAAGTGTTACAAGGGTCTGAAGAAATTTGAACCATCAGTATTTCTAGTAGAAATAACAAATGCAGCAGCAACTGTGGAAAACAGTATGGCAGTTCTTGAAAAATTAAACAGAATTAAACCATAGGATTCAACAATTCTACTTCTGGGAATATTTTTTTTAATTTTAAAAAATAAGTTTATGAATATTTGTACACTAGTGTTCATATCAGCATTATTCACAATAGCCAAAAGTTGAAAACAATACAAATGTCCATCAATAGATAAATGGATAAATTAAGTGTGGTCTATAAATACAAGTGGAATATTATTCAGCCTTTAAAAAGAATGAAATTCTGATACATGCTACATGGGTGAAACTTGAGTGCATTATGCTAAGTGAAGTAAGCCAGACACACACACACACACACACACACAAATGCATGATTCCACTGATATGAGATACCTACAGCATTCAAATTCATACAGACAGAAAGTAGAATGGAGTTTTACAGTAGCTAGGGGAGGAGAAAATGGAAAGTTATTATTTAATGTGTATAGAGTTTCACCATGGTATGATGAAAAAGTTATGGAAATGAATGGTGGTGATTGTTACACAACAATGTGAAACTTAATGACACAGACATGTACACTTAAGAATGGTTAAAATGGTAAATTTTATGTCTTGTACATTTTAACACAATTTTAAAAATTAAATCTAACAATAACTAAACAAAACTAGGCAGTTTTTCTCCATAAGCTGTGCTTTTAATCATTTTGTTGTAAGTAATGATACAGAAATGTTTTCACCAACAAATAAGTTTATGAATATATGCAGACATATAGATATATAAAGCACCATTAACTTAAGGTTAGGGTAAAAGCATTTGAGTATGATCGTAGTACAACAGCTCATAAAGCAATATTTAATAATAACCTAGACAAGACAATACATGGTACAAATATATTACGAGAGAAAAAAGGTTGTAATCCATTGTTCAGTCTTTCCTCAATTAAAATAGAGCTTTATTCCTTAGTTTACCTTCATCTTTTCTATTCACTTACATCTTTCTTCTTCTTCTTCCTCTTCCATTTTCCATGCCATTCATGGTAACAGTCTCTGCTGTAAGCATGCAAAAGGAAGAAGGTATTGGCATTTCCATACAACAAAGTTCTTGAAAATTTTCAATGAATTCACTAAATGTTTCTGTTACAAAGATATTCAAGAGAAAACTGAAGAAGCAGCGTAGGGAAGTGTCTTTCCATAGAGAGGGCATGACTTCTAGAATTTACTAATCTAAGAACAAAAGAATACGGCCTATAGAAAAAGTTTGCTTCATAAACAGGAAGTAGAAGTCTGTGTAATGTCATTTTGACCAAAGTCCTTTATCTTAATAGAAAAAGGTGATTTTTCTCTCTAAGAAGGCTAAGTTTAGTAGGGTCAGGTTCTCGAGTTAAAATAAATAAAATCTACTCTGTCTAGGTTAACCAGTAAGGGATTTATTTATAAAAAGATCTTAATAGCTACCAGAATAGCAGTTATCTGGGGGAACAGATAAGGTTGAGATTCCAGAAATAAAACAACACAAACCATTCAGTAGAACAGGCTGCATTTAACAAACAAACAAATAAAATTAATAGCACTGCCATATCAATTACTGGAAGAAAGGAAGTCAGCTTTTCTGAAACCACTGTTGATAAATGCTTTGTAATTTTCTAAAATGTGTTAACGTAATTAGGTGATAGTCCCCAGTTATTTAATTAAATGCTAATCTAGTGTTTTTGTGAAGTGACTTTGGAGATGTCATTAAAGTCCCTAATCAGTTAACTTTAAATAAGGGAGATAAGCCTGGATAATCTAGGTAGGCATGACAATCACTTAGAAGACCTAAAAAGCAAGGCAGAGTGTTTCCTGAAAAAGCGCAAAGAAATTCTTTCTGTTGACAACTTTGGCCCATGCCCGTGAAGTTCCTCCTACTCATAATCTTCCCTTTCTGACTGCCCACCCTACAGATATCAAACTTGTTTCAACTGTATCAGTTCACACCACTGTATAATTCAATTCCTTGGCACACCTCTCTAGAGAGCTAGAAAGCGAATTAAATATGTATAGTTAGAGAGACAGGAAATTCTGTCTGCTGTAACACCCTATGGCAAAAACCTGACTTTGCAACCACTTCCATTCCCCAAATCCACAGGCTTCCCATAACCAAAGGACAATTCTACTCAAAACAATGTCCTCTATTTCCTGCCTTCAGATCAGTGAAACTAGTGGGTATATGTAAGTCAAATGCCTACAGCCTAGCTCTAAGTGAGACTAGGAACTCAATTTTGATTTCTACTTTGAAAAGACAGACTTCTCACAGGTGAATTTTCCCAGATACTGGAAGCCTATCCAAAAGGTTGAAAACAGCCATAAATATAATTCCTGGCCGGGCGCGGTGGCTCACACCTGTAATCCCAGCACTTTGGGAGGCTGAGGTGGGTGGATCACAAGGTCAGGAATTTGAGACCAGTCTGACCAACATGGTGAAACCCCGTCTCTACTAAAAATACAAAAATTAGCCAGGCGTGGTGGCACGCACCTGAAATCCCAGCTACTCAGGAGGCTGAAGCAGGAGAATCGCTTGAACCCAGGAGGCAGAGGTTGCAGTGAGCCAAGATCATGCCACTGCACTCCAGCCTGGGCAACAGAGCGAGACTCTATCTCAGAAATATATATAATAATTCCTGCTCCTCAAATTTCTGGCTTCTCAAAAGGTCTTAAAGGAAGAATTTACTCTTTAACCTATTAATCCCAATTAATAATTGAGTAACATATTCAGGATTAATAGCTGAAAGAGCAAATTGTGTTTTATCAGCTTTGAGTATGTTACTCAACTGACTTGAGATCTCAACATAATGGTGATCATGCTAGCTTTGATTAAACAATCACGTGATGACTATTTTCCTATGTTAATGCATATTAGTCTGTGCATCAGTCTGGATGCTCTAGATTATAGGGCTGTAACAAGTAACCTCCAGAGCTCTGTGGCTTAATACAACAAATGTTTATTTGTTGCACATGGTACAAGCCCTATGTGTTGGGCAGGGGGCTTTTTTTACCATAGTCACTTAGGAATGCAAGTTGAGGGACACTTCTTCTTGAAGTGCACTTCCATAATTATCAAGGCAGAAAAAAGGGACATGGTATATTGTGCATTTTATGTTAAAACTTCTATAAGAGAGGTCACAGGTTCCTTCTGCTCACATTTTGCCAACCAAATATAGGTCATTCTTAGATTCTGGAGAATATGGCAAGTGTAATCTAACCATAATTTTTGAAGAAACACAATGTTTGTTAACAACCTTCTTTTTTTTTTTCATTCCCAGTAAGTCTTTATTTATTCACTGTATTTTCCCAGGGAAAGGAGAAGGGAAGGGAAGAGTCAGCATGTGTTACAAAATGATTAGAAAATGGGAAAGGAAGTACCCAGTACAGCAAATTCAACCACAAATAAATACACCCCAGTGATGGGGTCACCAAAGCCCAAAGGGGCTCAGTCTCCTGCAGTTCAGGAATGAGGGGAAGGGATCAGGAAAAGAACAGACAACCTCAGGCTTTCCTACCCTCCCTCCCAATAAACGCAAAATTTCACACAAAGCTTTGGTTTCTAGCAGCAAACATGGAGTTACATTCATTTGTCTCCTATTAAACAATCTTGCGGCCACTTTGACAAAAGTTTCTTGCACTTGCATAACAATTCCTGAGTGCCTTGGATATACATTCGTATTCCCTTTCTTGGCCTCCTGACCCCACTTTCCACATGGAAGGCCCCCAGTTGCTTCTCTCTACTTTAGGATTAAAGATTAACTAGGTTTGATCCATCCAAAGTACAGCAGTGTCTTAAGAGTTTGGCATGGATACATCAGGAAATGGTCTTGACTCAGGAAGTTGGGAACAAGCGATGGAGGGTTCCTAGCTTCTTCAGGATGTTTGCATAAATCATTTAAGAGTTGTGGAGACACTCCGAGCATTAAATGTGTATGTGTCTGGGTGTGTAGGTTTTCTTTTGGGGATGAACAGAAAACAGGGCAGGGTAGGAGACAAGTTTTTAGGACAGAAGATGTGGTCTAATAGGTAATGGGGAAGAGGAACACAAAATAAAGGATGGTTCAAGATCTCCACTTTAATAAGAGGGCACCCCAAACTAATGTTTGAGATCTTTTTGCCTGGCGCAGAACCTTCTGTCAAAGATGGTCTCAATACAAAAAGAAGTTATAAGTAAACAAGTAAACAAGAAGTAAACAAAACCCCAAAAGAACATGGAAAAAGACCAATGCATTGTATTTACATAAAGTAGGCCCTCTAGCAATCACCAACTGGGTGAAGTCCTACAAAGCCCAGACAAATACAATAACTGGGGGAGTGGGGAGGGCAGCATTACATAAAGTAGGCCCCCTAGCGATCACCAACTCGGTGAAGTCCTACAAAGCCCAGACAAATACAATAACTGGGGGAGTGGGGAGGGCAGCATTTAGGGAAGATAAGAACCCATGATCAGACACACACCACCCAGTGCGGTCCATTTCATTTGTCCCGTTTCAACACAGTGAGGTGGGTTTGTGGTGATCTCAGAGCATGTAAACGAAACCCTTTTCTCCTTTAGCTACCGATACTATTAATCACTACTGTAGCAAGCAGGGCATGGGCTCCAGGCACCACAAAGAAGCCCTCGCATCAGGAGATCGAGACCTTCTTAGCTAACATGGTGAAACCTCGTTTCTATTAAAAAGAATACAAAAAATTAGCCGGGCGTGGTGGCAGGCGCCTGTAGTCCCAGCTACCCGGAAGGCAGAGCTTGCAGTGAGCCGAGATTGCGCCACTGCACTCCAGCCTGGGCGACAGAGCAAGACTCTGTCTCAAAAAAAAAAAAAAAAAAAAGAAGCACTCGCTTATGGGTTTCCCTGGAACCCCCAAATTTTGAAAGGTTAAGGATTTTAGACCTTGCTTCATATACCCAGCCCTCGACAGCACAGGATAAGTACAGAGGTATTGGTCTTTAAACTTATCCCTACCAACTCACATTTTTTTCCAAACACACATACCCTCTGGAACATGGTAGACCTAATCTAGTGAAGAATGGATCTGGGATGTAAAGCATGTCCTGTGCCCTAGGATTAGACAAGCCTCACCTAATCTTGGCTTCCTCTCTGGGCCTTTCACCTGGCCCAACCTCTCCTAATCTCTCTGCACCACCATTTCCTGTTTAGACTAATTTCCAATCTTCCAGTAGTTGGCTATCGAGTCATGAGGCAACCCAGTTAAAACCTAGTCTCCCATAAAACATTTTCAAGGCAGAGGGGGTTTCAAGAGGATATTATGGCAGAAAAGCCAGCTCTCATTAGCAAAAATGAGGTAGTTCAATAGGCCAGGCACTCCAAATAGTTGCTCTCCCTGGTTCCAAAAATGACAAAAAGTATTTCTGCTGTGCAAACCTGGAGTTGCTGCCGGCTTGTTCCTGAGACCGCTCATGTACCTGAGAACACAGTGCAGGAAATGAGGGCCTTAGGTTAAAATATACAAAAATACAAAAGCAGAATATTTACATTAAGGAAAAAAACATTAAAATGCACAAGATGACGTCAGTCGCACACAGCTAATGCAGTTGGCATCCTGCAGAAAGTGAGACCTGAGGTGCTGTATCCAAGGGCGCAAATAAATAAAATCACATTGGCCCAGAATGGGGTGGGGGTGAGCATAGGAGCAGCAGGTTTGCAGCTGTTCTCCCAAACACCCTTCTTGCCATCATCTGTAGCCATTGCTTGGGAGAGTTCCCAGGACCCTAACCCAAAAGTGGGTATAAGGATACAAGATGTGAAAACAAAACAAAAACACTGCCTTATTCCTGAGAGATTCCCTCCCACAGAATGTAGTGGCTTGGCTCCATGGATCTGGTCTTGTACTTAATCACTTCACTCTGGCGTGGGAATTATTACTATATATTCTTCTTTAAAAGTGTCGGAGGTGTTTGAACCAGAGTAACTCCATCTTGAATAGGGGCTGGCTAAAATAAGGCTGGGACCTGTTGCGCTGCATTCCCAAGAGGTTAAGGCATTCTTAGCCACAGGATGAGATACAACATACAATTCATAAAGACCTTGCTGATAAAACAGGTTGCAGTAAAGAAGCCGGCCATGTACCAGCAAAACCAAGATGGCGATGAGAGTGACCTCTGGTTGTCCTCACAGCTACACTCCCACCAGCACCATGACAGTTTACAAATGCCACGCCAACGTCAGGAAGTTACCCTGTATGGTCTAAAAAGGGGAGGCAGGAATAATCCACCCCTCGTTTAGCATATAATCAAGAAACGACCATAAAAACGGGCAACCAGTAGCCCTCAGGGGCTGCTCTGCCTATGGAGCAGCCATTCGTTATTCCTTTCCTTTCTTAATAAACGTGCTTTCACGGACTCACCCTGAATTCTTTCTTGCGCCATGTCCAAGAACCTTCTCTTAGGGTCTGGATCGGGACCTCTTTCCGGTAACAAAGGAAAACAACTTCCCTATCTAGGCCATTTTCAAAAGCTGGAAATTCCCGCTGCCATCCCCCACCGCCCCCAGAAGCCCTCACTTGCATATGGACAGAGCATGGTTGGAGTTCCTTTGCCTCACCTTTTCCCCCCACCTAGAGGGAAGAAGGGGCGATGGTGTGAACCCCAGCCTGAGATACATGGCAGTGCCAACTGGCCCAAATGCACCCTATTCCCACTTTCTCCACTTTGCCTGTTCCATGAAACTTCCTGCTCTTGGGAAACAGGAAGCTTCACCCTTTGTGGCTCAATTCTTGGAACCCCAGAATCAGGGCAGGGCTGTGGATTTCTTCTTCTTCCCTTGGAGAGTAGGTTGGCTTGCCCTGTGCGCTAGGGGCCTGCTGGGCCTTCAGCAGACACGAGGCTACCACATGGCTGATGCTCTGGCAGAAGTGGCACTTCTTGGGCTGGGGTGGCAGCTTGCATTCCTTAGCATGATGGTCTAGACCTCCACAGTTGTAGTACCCGTCTCCTTTTGATGTGCGTTTCTGCATGTTCTTCTCCTTTGGCCGCCTCTCACTCCCAATGCAGAACACCCCACCAGGTCCGGTGACACAGGTAGTTTCCACACCCTTGGGTGACTCCTCCACTGTTTCGTCCTCCTTCAGGCTCCAGGAAGCCCTCCGTGTGCAGCTTACTCTGGTACACAAAGACGTCCACTGGGGGATCGAGCGCGACCCTGGCTAGGGCGGTCATGGACAGGAAGACAAACCCCAAGCCCACGTTGAACCGCTTACAGATGCCCGCATCGTGCAGCAGCTGAGGCTTGTCCGCCGGCGGGGCCGTGTCCTCCGGCACCTCTTTAGGCGCCTCCTCTGCCACCTTAGCGCAGCCACCTGCTAACTGCTGGTTGGACACGGAGCCCAGGGTCGTCAGCTGAGCCCGCAGCCCTGGGTCCCTGGTTGGGCGGCTGCTGGCCCCAGAGAAGTCCGAAGGCTTCAACCTTCTTCACTACCTATGTTTTCAACGGCTGTGTAAAAGAATGCATATACTTCACCTTTAAAGGGTTTACTTGGTGGAAATAAAAAAGGAATTCATAAATTTTAAAGTTTCCGCTTACATAACAGCAGCTAGATCTGGTAGGGAGTCGGAGCATGACAATTCCATGGTATGCCTGCTGCAGAGAGGGCCCAGGGTAAGGTACCGCTTCCCCACCTGGGAACACACAGAAAGATTTCTAGGGCAGTATAATTATTTCTAGAATGAGAAATCATTCCAAGAAAATAAAGAGGTTGAAAACACCTGTCTGGCTTCCCTTAGGGGAGATCACAGATGGTTAAAACGGGAAGTAGAGAAAGGAAATTATCTATATATATGTGTATATAATCATTGGAGAACCTGAAAATATCAGGAGATAGATGAGTAGATTCATTTCATAGATGCAGCCTTTAGCGGGAGGGCACTTCACTAAAAGAAGCCCCAGCCCCATGTTCTCCAAACATGCATTGGGAAAATAGCATTTGCACAGGGTACTTCTGAAGAAGATCTGTTTTCTCACACTCTTCAAGGAGGCATTTCGAGATTTCAGAAATCCTTCTGTGCCTCAGAAGGGAGGGGTGGACTCACAGATGTGTGGCAATGGCCTGAGTATGTAATGAAGAAGCCACAGTGTGCAGACTTAGAGCAGAGGCAGAATGGTGGACCCTGAGATATTATCTGTGGATACCTGGAAAGCAAGTCAGAAGGAAAGGCAGGACCAGTCATGCGTCAGCAGTCACCAGTCCAGGGAACAGAAGAGACACGTCACCAGTGGCAACAGCCATTGATGATCTGAGGACAGTGAACATCTTTATTGGTTCTGTGGAACTTCACAAACCTCCTGCCCTGATGCGCCATCTCCAGGGAGGGTAAAGAGAGGCTGGAAAAACAAAAAAGGCTGAATTATCCAAAATCAGGAATTTAAGCCAGAAGTAAGTGAAAGTTGGCAACTGGAAGAATGAGTCCACAGGAGGAATATTAGGACTGTTATAGAATATAAAGTTTATTTTATGTGTAGAACTCATTATCATTTTATATAAATGTATAATCCAATGACAAATACCTTCAAATATTTAGCAAACTTGGGTCTAGTTCCATGGAAAAGTTGAGCATTTATGAAAGTTAAGAAATATTTAAGAAATTAAAAATCTTTCAAGTGTTTCTTCTTTTTTTTTTTTTTTTTTTTTTTTGAGACGGAGTCTCACTCTGTAGCCCAGGCTGGAGTGTAGTGGTGCGACCTCGGCTCACTGCAACCTCTGCCTCCTGGGTTCAAGCAATTCTCCTGCCTCAGCCTCCTGAGTAGCTGGGACTACAGGTGCACACCACGGCTAATTTCTTTTGTATTTTAGTAGAGACAGGCTTGCCCAGGCCAGTCTCGAACTCCTGAGCTCAGGCAATCCACCTGCCTCAGCCTCCCAAAGTGCTAGGATTACAGGCATGCGCCACCATGCCCAGCCAAGTGTTCTTTAAAAATTGTGCTTTGTGACAACTCTAAAGATAAGCCTATTCTAGAAATCTCTCCATTGAATGCTTATTTTAATTTCAATAAACTTGGGATAATAGTGTAATAAAGTGTCATATGGTTATTCTTCATCTTTAATAATTATTAATACTCTACTATTTATGCTTCATTTTTCTTTCTTTTCATTTTTTCTTTTTCTTTCTCCACCTTCCTTTTTAATTTCCTCCTTCCTTCTTTCTTTCCTTTCTTCCTTCCTTTTTTTCCTGAAGTATCTTAAAATACAAATACACTCAATAGATGTTTTCTAAGTAAATAAATGACACACATGTGTGGCTTTAAATGTCAATTAAGAAGTTATTGTGGGCCAGTTAAAATTACAAGTTGTTAACTCTTTCCCCTTTAGAAGTTTTGAGTCATGAAGACAGGAAACAGATAAACAATTATAATTTAGTGAACTAAACACAATAATAAGAGTATGAACTGGGATAGTATGTAAATGAAAGGATATAAATTAATAGGAAGAGCATAATAGGAAGAAAAAAGATGATAGAATATGATGGAAGAAAGGCTACTACGGGTGGAAGGAAGAGCATTGGGCACCAGGAACACTTGTCTGTCCACGGTATGTAGGAGGATAGCGTGAACAAGGGCAGTAATTCATCTGAAAAAAATTCAGGTTTTTACTTCCAGATTTTCAGGAAAGGTAAAAATGAGAATCAAACCTATTAAACACATTGTGCCAGAGACCAATAGTCCCCTTTTTGATCCTCTCTTCACCTACCCCTTGAGGGAGGCACTTAAGGTAGTTTGCATGCATGTGGAAATTACAAACATATGTACATGTGAACATATGCATACAATATATAGACCAATATGTATATGCTATGTATATTTATATGGTGTATCCATAATGTAAGATATATGTGTGTATATATGTGTGTACAAGTTTCATTTGTGTATGGAAATAAAACAACCTTGGATGGGAAAAAAAAAAAAAGACGAAGAGGCATGAGAGGAGAGCATGTTACCTTCAGAAACTGCAAGTGATGAAGCCTCAATGGGCCACAGATGAGATTTATGGAGAAGTGGTGGAAGACGAGCCTAGGGAAAGCCTATAAAGGAACAGGCCTTTATATCCTTGTATATATGTTTTAAATCCTTAGATTTAGGGGGAGTTTTTCAGTTTTAAGCTGAAAGGAATGGATCAGATTTAGTTTTGGAAAAATCAATGTGAAGGATAAACACAACCTGGTATAAGGTAAAGACTAATGAGATAGACAAAATTGGCAAGAGTGATAAAAAATGAAACAGAAAGGTTACAACTAAAACATATTAGGGGTAAAAGAAATATATAACTGAGCTCCAGGTAGGATTTGAAAAGAAAAATAAATTATAGTGAACAACTCGAAGCCAGTGCTATGAAAAATCAAATAGTGAAACATTTTTAGGCAAAAGATAACATCAAAACTAACGAGAAACATGACAGTTTTATAATATTTCAATAAAGAAATTTAATAGTTAGGCCAGGCGCGTTGGCTCGTGCCTGTAATCCCAGCACTTTGGGAGGCCGAGGCGGGCAGATCATGAGGTCAGGAGATCGAGACTATCCTGGCTAACACGGTGAAACCCCGTCTCTACTAAAAAATACAAAAAAATTAGCCAGGCATGATGGCGGGCGCCTGTAGCCCCACCTACTTGGGAGGCTGAGGCAGGAGAATGGCGTGAACCCGGGAGATGGAGGTTGCAGTGAGCCAAGACCGCGCCACTGCACTCCAGCCTGGCCGACAGAGCGAGACTCTGTCTCAAAAAAAAAAAAAAAAAAAATGAAATTTAATAGTTAAAAAATTCAGCCCCCCCCAAACAAAACAAAAACATAAAAAACCTAGTTTCATAGTTCTAGCAGATTGTTTCATAAGCAAATACTAACAGATATTCAAAAATCAGTAATTTTTTTACTATTCAAGAAATCACATCCTCTCCCTTTCCCTCCCTTCCTCCTTCCCTCTCTCCCTCCTTTCTTCTTTCCCTCCTCTCTTCTTTCCTTCCTTCTTTTCCCTCTTTTATTCTTTTCCTCTTTATATATTTTATTTTTAAGGGTGACATAATCTTGATATCCAAATTTATAGATGATAGTACACGAAAAAAAGCTTCCTTAGAGCATCACTGATGGCCATAGGTACAAAAAATCCAAATAGAATATAAGCAAGAAAATCCAGCTTCTTAATACATGGACACATATACACACATATATAAACACCATTAGGAAAAGTTGGGTCTATTCTAGGAAAGCAAAAATATTTTCATTAGAAAAATCTATTAATGTAATTTGGTATAAACTGATTAAAAGGAAAAAATTGTAATTTTCAACAGAGGCAGAAAAATCATTTAATAAACCCATATCCATTAAAAATAAATAGTTCCAAATTAAGAATAGAAAAAACCTGTTAAAACCTGATTGAGCAAATTGCATTCTTAAAAATAAATGATAGGAATATTTTCTTTGAAATCTGCAACAAAATTAAGACACTCACTGTGAGTGTTACTTTTAGTATTGTATAAGAGTTTCTAAAAGGAGTTCATTAAGATGAGAAAAGGGAATTTTAAAATATAAGTATTGTAAATAAATAAGATACTCATTATTAAAAAATGTTATGACTATTATAATTGTCAACATAAGAAACAAAACCAATAGAGTTAATAAAGAGTTTAAGGAATATTGCTAAGTACAAAACCTTTATTTAAAAATGTATCTCTAGATATCAGGAATTAATACTTAGAAAACACTTTTTTAAAGGTATCATACAAAATGTTCGTAAATATATAAAAGTATAATACAGTATTCAAAATCATAAAAGAGAACATCAGTAATTGAGAGATAAACCAAGTTCATGGATGGGAACACTCAAACTCAATATTATAAAAATGTCAGTTCTCTCAAAATTAATCCATAAATTCAATGCAATCCAATCAAAATACCAACAGAGTTATTAAGAAACTTGAAAATTTATTTTAAAATTCATAAGGAAGAGTAAAGGGCTCAGACTAGTCAAGATAATTGAAGAAGAACAGTGTAGGGGTTCTTAGTCTACAAAATAACAAACATTATTATAAAAGTGCTACGATTAAGAGACTGTAATACTGGTTTAAGAATAGACAAAGAGACAAAGAATTCAAACAGAGAACCCAGAAACTGAATCACAAAACCAGGTCAACTTGATTTATGACAAAGACAAAGATTAGTGAAGAAAGGATATGCTGGTCAATAAAAGGCACTGGGGAAATTATCATCCACTGAAAACAAATAGTATTCCTACCACAAACCATATGAAAAAAATTGCAGTTGAATGAAATGTTTCAATGTTGAAGGCAGAAAATCTCTTTATGACTTTGGTGTATTGGGAGGATTCATTTTATAATACACAAATAGGGAAAAAAGAGAAGATAAATCCAATCTCACATTGTATTAAAAACTTTTGTGCATTAAAAGACACGATTTAAAAAGTGTAATGACAACCTACAGATGTAGAGAAAAGGTTTGCAAGGTATACACACAACGAAGGAGGAGTACAATACCTTCTTTATGCATGTAGAAAAGTTTTCTATCTCTGTCATAACAAATTACCATGAATTTGTCCGCTTAAAGAACGCAAATTAATTATCTTACAGTTCTGTAGTCAGACACAGGACACAGGCCTTGCTAGGCTAAAATCAAGGTGTTCTATTAGAATGGCTTTTATCAAAAAAAGAAAAATATTGGCAAGGATATGGAGAAAAGGAAACCTTTGTACATTGTTGGTGGGAATGTAAATTATTACAGCAATTATGGAAAATAATACAGATGTTTCTCAAAAAATTAAAAATACACTTAACATATGATCAAGTAATCCCGCTCCTAGGTACATACCCAAAGGAAATGAATTCAGTATATTGAAGAGATATCTGCACTGCCATGTTTATTGCAGTATTAGTCACAGTAGCCAAGATATGGAGTCAACCTAAGTGTCATCAAGTAATGAATGGATAAAGAAAATGTAGTGTGTGCATATTATACACATACACATATACATACACAGTGGAATACTATTCACCCAGCCTTTAAAAATAAGAAAATCCTGTAGTTTGCAATAACGTGGATGTACCTGGAGGACATTATGCTAAGTGAAATAAGCCAGGCACAGGAAGGAAAATATTGCATGATCCCTTATATATGAACTCTAAAAAAGTTGAACTCATAGGAGTAGAGAGTAAAATGGTGGTTACCAGAGACTGGAGGTTGGGGATTTAGGAAAAGGTGAGATGTAAGTGAGCGAGTACAAAGTTTTGGTGAGACAGGTGGAATTTGTTCTGGAGATACATTGTACAGCACAGTGACTGCAGTTTATAATAATGTGCTCAAGATTTGAAAATTGCTAAGAGAATACATTTTAAATGGTCTCACCACAAAAATGATAAGTATGTGAACTGGTGGATATTTTAATTAGATTGATTTAATCATTCCACAATGTATGCATAGATCAAAACTTCATGTCATACCCCATAAATATATATAATTAAATAAAATGAAATAAAATTAAGGTGCTGTCAGGGCTACATGCCTTTTTAGAAACTCTAGCAGAGATCTCTTCCTTTGCTTATTAAGGTCATTGACAGAATTCAGTTCCTTGTATTGTAGGATTGAGATGACCATTTCCTTGCTGGCTATTAGCTGACGGCTGTCTTCAGCTTCTGAAAGTCATCCACGTTCCTACCTCCAGCTTCAGAGCCAACAACGATGGGTTAAGTTCCTCTCATGCTTCGAATCTCTTCTTCTTCCATCTATCTCATCTCTCTGACATCTTTTTTTTTTTTTTTTTTTTTTTTTGAGCCGGAAGGTCTGGGTTCCATTTGTTGACAGCAGTTTATACACATGGATTTCCTTCCCATAGTTATTTCCTTCCCAGCACAGACACAGAGCCCTTGAGAAGGGCAGTCTCTGAACAAGGGAGCCAGGAACACAGGTAAGACACATCCTTGGCAGGCACGTTCAGTCCCAGCAGGATGCAATCCTTCAAGTTGGAATTCCAGTGGGTATTTGAGAGGGACCAAGGTTGGGGGTAGAGAGGGAGTCTTCAACAGGACTCACATCTCAGTCCAGGCCTCCTCTCTCACTATCTGAGTCCATCCAAGTTTTAGGACCGTGGGGGACAACAGTCAGGCCCTCCCACCTCAACAGGGCAGATCCTTCAATCTGTGCCAAGTTCACACACGCCTGCTTCCACTGGTCGCACAGTTAAAGAGAATCAGCCTTATGGTCTCTGACCTTAAGAGGTCTTCTGCTTTTAAGGACTCATGTAATTACTTTGGGCCCACTTGGATAATTCAGGATAATATCCTTATCTCAAAGTTCTTTAATTAATCACAGCTGCAAATTCACTTTTTCTATGTAGGGTAACATATGCAAAGGCTATTATTTTGCCTGTGGGTATATCCATCTCTACCTATGCGTGTATCTTAAGATGAATATAATTAAAATTACCCAGTTTTTAAACATGGGCTCAAAGATATGAGCAAGGAATTTAAAGAAGTTCAAATTGAAAGACGTATTAAAAGATTCTTCATATCACTAGTAAACAGTGTGAATAAAAATTAAAACTGTGTATCATTTTACCAGACAACAGCTGATGCTGGTAAAGCTGTGAATCAGTGGAAACTCTCACATTATTCTGATAGAACTTAAATGTAGAAAACCACTTAGGAGAGCAATTTCATAATTCTGGTTAAGTTAATAATTCTTACCCCTCAATCCAGTGACTGCAGCTTCATGTAAGCATCCCTGAGATAGTCTCATGCACAGCCAGAAAGGAGACAGGAACAAAGATTATTACTGCAACATGATTTGTAATATAAAACTAAGAGAAATAAATGTCCATCAATGTAACATTGTCTAATTATTTTGTTTCATTTCATTTCATTTTAAAGCTGTGAAAATACGTGATCTAGAAATATACTCACGTAGATAAAAGAATCTCCGAAGATATTAAGTGAAAAAAATCAAACTACAGAATATACTCAGAGCAACATAAATTCTATAAGACTTGCAAGCACACAAAACAAAAACATATACTGTTTTGTGATACAATCATATGTAGTAAAAATTATGAAGATATGTGTGGAAGTTCTTACACGCACACGGGAGTCAAGAATTTAAAATTCAGGAAAACAGTTTCAAGTGGGGGATCAAGGATAGATTAGGAGAATGCAGCTCCATTAGTACACATTTTAAAGTAAAAGATGAATAGATAAGTACTTGTTATTTTTAAATACTTCATCAACATAAAGAATTTTATAGCTTTATAAGAAAAACATCACTAGGATTGAGATGAAGGAAAATTTGGAATGGGCAGGTAGAGATGCCATAAAGCTAGAATGGCTATTGCAACAATTACATGAAAGATGCTAAGATGCCAAAGCAACATGGTGGTGAAAAAATACAAATGAAAAGATAGATCCCAAATATATTTTGAGATTTAATATGCAAAACCAATTTAACAGAAAGGCTTTAATAGTAGATTCTAGGATGCATTCAACTTTTTGATTCTGGTGACTTTGTGAATATTGGCACCATTGACCAAGATGTATGGGGAGGAACAGGTTGCTAGGGAAGATAATAATTTGAGTCTACACTTTGTTGGCAATACTTGAGATGAAATTAAGGTGACATTGGGTTAGCTACTCAGTAATACCCAAATACAGTCTTCATGTAATCATCCCTCCCTAAGAGGGCCTCAAGAAAAATACATGTACAAATGGCATAGTAGTAAATAATACTCTCTGGTCCATATTTGAAGCAAAACTCTAAAAGACTGGACATGACTCGAACTCCTGTGATCCAGACTTGAAGTCATGGCCAAACTTCAAGTTGTAACAGTGGACTTTATTACTTCAAATGAGAGGAAAAATTAATTCAGAGTCTCCCAGCATAGGAATCGGAACACAGGTTTCAATGCAGGGCTACAGGTTTATAGAGTAAATACAGTGGAAACAACAACAAAATGTCGGCAATGTCTAGGCAAAAAGGTGCATCGGGCAGAAGCTTCATCGTTTGGGAGAAAAAGAAAGTCCCCGGGACTAGCAATTTTCTAGTCTAGGGAAAAAACAGTGTGGTCCATAGTGTAGCCCTTGCCATTTAGTTGCATCCATACCCGTCAGCCCCCACCTCTGCATTTTCAAGGCTCCTTACTGAAAACAAGGCTTCTCTGCCTGAGGATATTTTGTGTTTTTGTTTGTTTGTTTGTTTGTTTTTCTCTGACCAGCGAGCCTGCTCCACTGGCATAAAAGGGAAGATACAACAGGTCCCAGAAGCAGCCATTACTGTTGAGTACAGGAAGTTGATGTATATGTACCGCTTACTCAATCCTTGGTCAGGAGCACTCTAAGGCTTGTACGTCACTGTCTCCTAGAGTTTCCAATGCAGCTCCAGTTGCCTGCAGTGCTGACTTTCTTGATAACACATCCACTTTCCTGTATTGACTTTCTTCTCTGTCCTATCTCCTGTTCTTACTCTCCTGGTGCATGTCCCAACTAAACAACGTGCACTCAAGCTTCATGGTTTGCTCCTAGGGAAACTCAAATGAAGAGAGCAAGACATTCAAAATGGCAGTGGGTAATGGAATAGAGAGGGTGAATCCCGGCAGCCGTCTCCCTCAGATTTTGTCTAGTTAGCTGGCGAAAGATGGCTGAAGACTCCCAGCATAGCTGGTACTCCAGTGCACAAGCTCCTGGCATGTCATCGGTATTGCACCCCAACACCAACACTGACAGAGACCTTCCCAAGGGTGTTCCATCTGTGTTGTTCTGTGACAACACCATAGGTGGCTGGTAAAGTTTGCTTAGTAAAACAGAATAACACATTAAATTTTTATTGCCATTACTCTGGCTAAAAGAATTACTACCGTGTAGGAAGAATTTCTGCTTGCGGAAATACTGTTAATTGACAGCTGGGAAAAATTGTGGTGATAAAAGTTAATTAACTTTACCAGGTTTCTCTGGATTTTACAATACCTGCCGTTTTTAAAGGCCACTGCCAGCAATCTTGGCAAAACAAATGGAAGAACTCTGCAATAGTAACTCAAACTTCCTATTTCCTTTTTTTTTTTTTTTTTTTTTTTGAGACGGAGTCTCGCTCTGTTGCCCAGGCTGGACTGCGGGCTGCAGTGGCGCAATCTCGGCTCACAGCAAGCTCCGCTTCCCGGGTTCACGCCATTCTCCTGCCTCAGCCTCCCGAGTAGCTGGGACTACAGGCGCCCGCCACCGCGCCTGGCTAATTTTTTGTATTTTTAGTAGAGACGGGGTTTCACCTTGTTAGCCAGGATGGTCTCAATCTCCTGACCTCATGATCCACCTGCCTCGGCCTCCCAAAGTGCTGGGATTACAGGCGTGAGCCACCGCGCCCGGCCCAAACTTCCTATTTCACAGCAAAGTCTGAAGTGAACCAGAGGCACTAGCAGGAAAAACATTCAAACAGTTCAAACAGCTCTTGGGAGAAATTGACCATCACCAGCTTTCTTTCAGATAGCTGGAGCTTCCAGTTCCGTTTTGCAAAATATAATGCATGTATGACTTGTATCAGAACCCCTAGTGATTTAAAAATCACTTCTAAAAATATGCGAACTTGGGGTCAACCTCAGATTTACTGACTTTGAATTTACTGACATAGAGCTCAAGACTACATTTTTAGCCGGCTCATAAGGTAATCCTTCTATAATCTCGAGGTGAGAATCATTTATACTTCCTTCAGTGCTACCAATTTGAGCTGTATTTAAGTTAGCAAGCATTATTTTTAAAATAAGAAAATTAATGTGTTTTCAACCATTCACATATCAATATTGAATTTGAACTAATGGGAGCTGAGTTGCTCTAAAGCAATGGTTATCAAACTGCATTCAGAATATGCAAAAGCAAGCGTATGTTTGATTCAAATTCTGTTTTTAAAATATTTTAAAGCTGTATTTTAACAACCCACATATTCAAATGTGTCACAGCCCAAATTTTTAACACATTAGAGACAACCAACTTAAGCCATGTTACCACTTCAACTAGGCTTTGTGCTGACTTCTAATAGTTTTCCACTATACCTCTGCATCTATTGAACTTGGAAGAAGGTCATAGACAAGAAAGATTTAAATTCTGCTCCGATGGCTTTTTGCAGGAGTAAGCATTTCTGCACACATAAAATTGTACACCTGAGTTCCAAACAGAAGCTCATACTCATCACGTTCAATTATGTGCCAGGAAAGTCCATGAATAGCAGTCTCTGCGCCCAGAACATGAAATGATTCAGTAAGTGAACACAGAATACATTTAAGCATGCTGATGTCAGAGTTTTAATCTTTATAAATGTTAAGTGTTTGGTCTATGATTTATACTCATACATTTTTCGTAGTATTTCAGGTAAAGGTGATAGGATTACTCAAAACAAGAAATGGATCAAGGGTTAAAGAAAGAAAAAAGCCGAAAGAACTGTGCTGCTAGAATGGAGAGATTGAGCAGGCACAAGAAAAATTGACACACTGTGCTATGTAAATAGCAACTGGTTTTTCAGCCAAAGGGGGTCCCACTGGGGAGAGTATGAAACAAAAGTCTTGTGAAAATTCTTGGGATGAGTCTCTCAGAGACAGTAGAGCACAAGAATAATTATTAGGCATGTGGCTTCACCTTTATAAGGCAAAAGTGCCCAAGTGCTCCTGTGTTTTATGGAGTGATATGTTTCCACATTTTCTGTATCCCTTTCCAACTTACAATGCCATATTTAAAGCAAACATAGTGAGTAGAAAAATAAGGATCTTGGTTTCTTTCAGCATAAAAATTACAGGGCTTTATATAAAAACTGTATGCAAGCGAAGTTTAGATCCAAAGATTAAAATACATATATAGATTTGACATTTTTAAGAATAACGTACACTATGGCATCATTCAAAGGTGTCACTAAATGTGAATAAACAGAAGGGCAGGCTACTCTGGTGCAGAGTCATGCAGAAACAAAATGCCGTCAGTACCTTTGCCTGATGAGAACAGGGAGCATGCAACGGCCTTTATCCAACATTTGATCAATGAGTTTGTAATCATTTTAAATTTAATTTGATTGAACACAAAAAGGACTGACCCATGGCCATCTTGACTTTATTTTTTAAGCGATCTGAGTATTTTTTGAGGGTGTGTTTTTGAAGATAAACATCAAGAAGACTTACGTTAGAAACACTGGAAATTTGGGAGGGGGATGTATTGCTAAATGTTTATATCCATTTTCAAAGTGCCATCGTATAATTTGGTTTCTATATGTCAGCGTACCCAGACTGAAGGGGAAGAAGAAAAGGCACAAAATATGACAGGAGTAGAGAATTTCATTAAAACATTGCTCCCAGCCAGCACCACGTCCCCAGCTTGCAACCATGGCTGCCTACACACTGGTGCAGATCCAGCATGGCCAGAGTGCCTGGAACCTGGGGAACCGCTTGGGCCATAAGGAGTGAAGTGCAGCAGGCAGGCATTGCAAGATGCTGGCTATGAGTTTGACATCTGCTGCACCTTGGTGCAGAAGAGAGTGATCTGAACCATCTGAACAGTGCTGGATGCGATTGACTAGACATGGTGGCTTGTAGCAAGGACTTGGCGCCTCAGCACTATGGGGGAACTGACTAACCTCAATAAAGCAGAAGCTGCTGCCAAGCATGGTGAGGCCCAGGAAAAGGTCTCAAGCCCTCCTATGATGTCCCACCCCCTCTCATGGAGCCTGACCATCTCTTCCATAGCAATGTCAA
The DNA here is from genome assembly GCF_000001405.40 of Homo sapiens. Lineage (NCBI taxonomy): Eukaryota > Metazoa > Chordata > Mammalia > Primates > Hominidae > Homo > Homo sapiens. Next base: position 11,621,420 of record NC_000020.11, read on the forward strand.
TGAGGACTCCAGGTATGCAGATTTCACCGAAGATCAGCTACCCTCCTGTGAGAATCTGCACCCACTCCCTTCATACGCTGTAGTCAGAATAGCACCTCTGGGGCATAGGTTCTCAGTCCAAGCCAAAAGAAATCTCCCCTTACCCAAGAGAATTGAAAGGTTATAACTCAGGTTTCTGCCAGTGCTATGTTTACTAAAGACCTGCTTGAGTAGGAAACAGGAAGGAATCATGTTAAGGCATGACCAATGAGGAGAATCAAGAGAGCCTATTTGCTCTCCAGAGCCAGTCCGGTACTCTTTGTAGTCAAATCAAAGAAAAGATCTAGTCATTCCCATGGAGATAGATGTAACCTACATGATAATGTGAAAACCATTTTCCCCCTGACCCCAGAGGAGCTGGCTCCAGATAAATGTAATAAATGTAACCTGCATGATGATGTGAAAACCATTTTCTCCCTGACCCCAGAGAAGCTGGCTCTAGAAGTCTTCAGAAGGTTGGGATTAATCCTGATTTCAGTTTATACATAGCATTTATTTTTATAAATATATATACCTATATAAGTATATTATAAAAGTATATATAGTTTATATACTTATAATATGTAATAACATATATGCTTATATTATTATATAAGTATTATATATTTATATAGGTATATAAGTATTTTTATATTTTATATATAGATATACACACACACACACACACACACAAAATGACCCCTTTTTAAGCTTTTAGTGTTGGTTGAAAGAGTCCTACATGTGGTCATGAGAAAATGAGCCATTCCTCACACTCATATGGGATAAGCATCTTGACCTCCTAGGGGTTGGAGTACATTCTGCTATGAACCTTACATTCCCTTTCCAACCTTGTTTCGTGGCAGTGAAATGCCTCTTGATCATGTCCACGTGTGTCTTTCACTATCTGATTTCTGAATCATGTTCTAGGGGTTTGGCCCTGTTACATGGGCCTAGTACTCATTTTGAGAATTACTGTATTAAACCTTTTTTCCAGATCAATATAATAAAGGAGTAATATGCATTTTAAAAAATGCTGAAATATGTTCGAGAGAGGTTAACACTAACTTTGATGCCAATACTTGTCAAAAGTGTTGAATGATAACACAAATGTAATTTTATAAGAGTGCCTTTCCAATTAGATCTTTGTGAATTCTCTGAAATAACATGAATGATGATGTCCAAATGTTATCATACCTGCAGGTGTTCATAGGCAGCCCTAAGGTGAGGGGTTCCAAAGAATATTTCTGTTGAAATACACATGCTATATATCTTTATCTATAAATTGTGAATAGAAAGTGAGGAACCATGGCCTCATGCATGCACACAGGTGCTCCTTTTCTTGTAATTTTATCTGGATTATACACTGTGTACAATAATAGGGTGAAATTCATTGAAGTGAAGCCCCATATGCCCAAGACTTAATAGACCTGAGTAAGAAGAGTGGAGGTGCCAGAGCAGAGGATGAAGGTAACAAAGTTGTGGAGAGGAGGAAGGGACTGAATCCCAGAGTGCATATAAGCTGGGTTCTATCCACCTCATTGACTTTTCCCTGGCCTGGAGCTTATCACTGGTAAGAGGACACAACAGTGAGAGCAAAATGACAGTACTTCCTTTGAGACTGACCCCCGTGCTTGGCCCCACTTTCATAGTTGGAGATAATGTTGGATGGGGTCAGTGAATCCTGAAGTATAAAGAGATTATCCAACTGCACCTCCAAGTCAACATAGCTGCCCAACCTTCGATGCCTTGCTGGGCTAAATGAACTTGATCTGGACTTCAGAAAATATAAAACATTTTGTTGCATGCCAGGTAAAAAAGATATAATTTGATTTTTCTGAAATCTTGAGTAAATCTCTGAAAAGATGAGCAATGAGAAAATTTTTTAAGTGAATTGCTGAATCTCATGTTACTGAATGTATTTAAAAAGCATTTTTACCCCTCCAAAAGGGATGTGTATTAAAATTCAATAATTAAAATAATTGGATAGTTAGATATTTAAAATAATTCCTATTTTGAAATTAAATTTTTATTCCATTTTCAAAATTATAGACATATTTGTTTGAAGTGTATTTTAATATTTCAAAGTGACTTATGAACTTGTTACCATTTGCAGCAACTTGTTTGTTGGCATCAGGATTTTTTAACTCTATATGCAAAACATATTTTACAAAATGAGAAAAAAATATATGACAAGGTTGGCTTAAGACTCTGAATGCCAACAGTAAGTTTTGGTGTTGTATCTGTGTTTAGGCAACATCCTCAATAAACTCTTGGTTGAATTTACAGTAAGTAAACCTAACATATTTGAAACTGCAAATAAATGTATAATAAAACAACACTGTTTTTATCTACCCGTTTATTGAAGGAGAGTGTAAAACTTCATAGGATCTCACTATAAAGAGCATTTACAAACCACAGCTCTAAGGCAAGAAGAATGGATTTGAAGATGACATGCGAAAGCGTAGGTTAGGGGTGCACATGAGGTCTGGGTAGGGCCTCTGTGGGTGCTATGAGAAGAGGGAGACCCTACAGAGGGAGGAGGAGGGGGCAAGAGAAGGCTGGAAAGGGGCATAAAGAGGAAGATCCGAAAACATATTTTCATCCCCAACTTTTGCCAGAGAATACTTCTCTCTACCCAGGAGAGAGAGAGAGAGTCTGTTCTTACATTGAAGTTTCAGGACAGGTACCAAATTGGAGTTGCCATTATGAGGATGTTTTCTATTAAGAGGTCATAGTGACTGGTGACTTTTTTATGTCTACAATCACACATGAAAATTGCATCATAGACCACATCATTCTAAAAGTTGAGAAAATCTGCCTCCTACGAAGTAAACTGATCACCTTTACAAACAGGATAGAAAATTTAAAAGGGTTAATAATATTCATGAATTAAAAAATGCTTTAAAGAAACTTCAATTTCTTTCCCTCTCAGTACAGTTGTTTTTAAGGGGGAGCAAAGATGCAAAATTAAGTCAAAGTTCCAATTACAGAAAAAGGTCAAATTAGGATAAAAAAATGTACAGAACATGATAAACAGAAATTAGTTGTAACCTCTTGGGCAACCTGACAAAAGTGGGAAATGAATTGTGTGCTCAATAATTAGGGTGGAAGCCCAAACACACTGGGCTTTCAGCACACCTTGAGGGCTTCTGAGGAAAACAAAGCAATTTATTATCTAGGCCAAATCTGAAGAGACGGCCTTGAGGGCAGAGGGCTTGCTGCAGTGTTACCAACTCATGGGGAATTTTAGCTGTGTGATAAGTGCCTGTTAGGACTCCAATGCTAGGAAGAACATTTTCAGATGAAATCAATGGTAAAATAATATACTATGATTAAAGAAAATCAGTTGCAAGCCAAAATCATTAAGCAAAATTGCAACCTCTAACCTGGAGTAGCAAGTTGGTACATTATTGTGTTCTGTTAGGTAGTGAGGCAGTAACACATATCTGAGGATTTACGTGTTAGTATGATTTTCTTGGCTCTTGAGTCAAAAATGCTTTTAGTTATGCAAGCAAAACAAGTAGAAATGATTTGTACTCCAGTGACTGTTGGGATTTACTGGTTTTAAATTTAGACGATTTCAAATTTTGTTTGATCGTGAACTGCTATCAAAGGGGATAAACATTACATGTGTTAGTTGTCTTTTGCTGCATAACAAATTACCCCAAGACTCAGTAGCTTAAACAAAATACGTATTTATTATCTCACACAGTATTTTTGGATCAGGAATTCAAGAGCTTCTTAGGAAGCTAGGATTGCAGTCTTTGGAAGGCTTGACAGGGGCTGGAGGATCCACTTCTGAGGTGCTGGCTGTTGGTGAGGCCTCAGTTCCTGTCCTGTGGGCCTCTATATAGACCAGCTTGAGTGTCTTCAAGACATGGTGGCTGGCTTCCATCAGGATAAATGATCCTAGGAACCAAGGCAGTAGCCATAATGTGTTTTATGACTTCTTAGAAGTCACTCACTGCCATTTCTGCAGCATTCCACTGGTTACAGTATTTTCATATGGGAGGGAACCACACAGGCATAAATAACAAAAAGGAGACCATTAGGGAGTCATCTTACAGGCTGGCTACCAAATTCTCAAAAGTAAATTTATGTGGACCCTAATCCTCTTCTATCCCTTTCCTATTTTAGGAGGATAAAAACCTCCATAATGCCCTCAAACTTAAAATACTAACCAGATAGAGCCATTAGCCATTCCTAGGAGGAAGATCAAATACAAGGCTGCTGATCTTGTATTTGGGAACACAGAGGGATTTAGAGCTGTACCAATTCTGGAAATGCTAACACCAAACAGATGCCCAAGAGAATCTGTTTGGAAAACTGTGAGTACCAAGGTTGACCACAAGAACACAGGAAGTGACTTGTTCAGAAAGCTGAACAAGTGGTCCCGTCTCAGAGGGAACTGGTGGACAGCATAGACTGCTAGAAGGTAACACAGAGATAGACCTCAGAGACCACGTATGGCCACAAGAGAAAGATCATCCACTATCCTCAGGAGCTGATGTGATCGAAGACTATGCTTCTTGGGAGACTTTATCACTACTGGTACACTGCACATTTAATTGCATTTCCTGCTAAAATAAGAAATTAAAATCACAGTCTCAAGAATGCTTTCATATACGTGGAGGGATCTCAATCCAGGAACAATGTGAATTCCACTTTATTTTTGCCTTTCTCTAAAGGATCCTGATTCTTTGCAACATGCTTAAGTGTGTAAGATATCTGGCTTATAACCAGTGGTATGCTGGTAAATGCTTAACACCTGACTCTCCAGGAAATATATATATATATACACACACACACATATATATATATTTGTAGCATTTGACAATTTCCATTTCCATAGTGGAAATGTTTCCATCATGGGGTGATATCAAGCTACCAATGTGCTGTTACATAGAGAGCTGGAAAGAGATGAAGATGCGCACACTCAGTTCCAGCACAACACTGCTTACAACACAGACTTAATACATACCGTGTTTTGGTCCCTCCTAGATTTTGTCTCTCTGAGCTTGTCTCATGTCTTGGGTAGAAATCAGCAAACTTTTCCTTCAGTATTTCAGGCTATGTGAACTATACAGTCTCTGTGGCAACTATTTAACTCTGCTGTTATAGGTCAAAAGCTGCCACAGGCAGTTTGTAAATAGTGGGCGCAGGTGTTTTCCAGGAAAACTTCATTTATGCAAACAGGTGGTGGCCTGTTAGCAGTAATTTTTGTAATTTTCTGAACTGTGATGTGAGTAAGCAGATTCCCTGGAATCAGAGGCTGAGGCAAGGATTTGGGTATACGTCATATGTTGAGGAAGGACTCTCAGGTGAAACCTTCAAGGCAGTGAGGCAGTAAGACAAGGAAAGCAAAGATCTGAGTAAGAATATGGCATGAGTTAAACAAAGTGTAACCTTGGCCTGACTCCATGGAAGAGCTCTGGAGCATAAGTCACACTGCAGCGTTGTCCTACCTTGAAAACAGGTGGCTGGGTTTTTCGTCCCCAGGCCAGTCAGTTGTTGGCCAGGCTCCAGAGTGGTGATTATGGAAAAACCTCCAAAGGGTCTCCATCTCTGGGCAAGGTGGTTCAACCAAGGTGGGCAAGGTGGTTCAACCAAGGTGGTTTGGAGAAGGTTACAGCTGTGAACTGTTAGTGGCAATGCTCACAGATGACTGTACCAGCTGGTAAAGGGAATCTAGCCTGGTCCCCCCAGTGTCTACTACAGTACAGGTTCTCAAACATTAATGTGCATGAGAATCTCCTGGAGGGCTTATCAAGACATCGTTTGCTGGGATTCACCTCCAGAGTTTCTAGTTGGTCTGGGATGAGACCCAAGAATTCATACTTCTAAATTCCCAGGTGATGCTAATGGTGCCGATCCTGGGATCACAGATAAACTTCAGAGACCATGTATGTCCACAAGAGAAAGATCGTCCACTCTTTTCAGGAGCTGACGTGATTGAAGACTATGCTTCTTAAGAGACTCTACCACTATACTTGTACACTGCACTTTTAATTGTACTTCTGGCTAAAATAAAAAGAAATTAAAATCGTAGTTTTAAGAATGCTTTCATATACATGAAGGGATCTCAATCCAAAAACAATGTTAAAGCCATTTTCTTTTGGCCTTTCACTAAAGGCATGTTGCAAAGAATCAAGGCACTTTGGGAACCACTGTATTATGATAATAATTCCTGAGAGCAGAAAGCTAAGGGCTTAGATGACCCATAGTTTTTATTATGGCTTATTATCTGAAGGATGGGAGGGGAGGTGTAGGGGAAGAAATGAGTTTCTCAAATGGTTTTCATTCTCTTTGGCTATGGCTTTCCCTTATTCAGTAAATCTAGCTTTTACCTGAGATACATTTATAGTATACTGCATGGACTTAGTAAAAAAAAATTCACAAGATTATCTAAAGAAAATTTAATAATCAAATCCTTTTAAGGTTACTATGCCCCTGCTTCTGACCACTACCTCCTTCTATATTGCGTGAGTCAATCTACAACACCTTTAAGGCAATAAGTTATCAAGAAGTATCACTTTTGACTTGGAGCTGATCTTTATCATCCAACTTCCATGATGCAGGGAAGAAAACAAACTCCCAGCTTATCCCCCAGGCTTCACCTAGCACCTGCCTGAGATGTCTCACCTCCAACAAGCTTGACAGTGGAAACTTGAAGGACAGTTGCTATTGCCACACCTTAGGGCAGGTGGAAACAAGACTATTTGTGAAGGTGAGCAAAACCAGCACCAGAACTGCAAATGTACAAGAGGAATGCCAGGTCTGTGCTGCTGGTTGGGCCATTTAGTCTTGTCACCTTGACTGTTTCTTTTTTTTCCAGTGAGTTCACTGTTGGCAGCCTCAAAAAGGAAAGCAGGGGATCTGTGCCCCTGGTGAACAAAATAATCCAATAATGAAAGAAACTTCTAACAGCCAATTTTCCAGAGATAGCCAGGACCAACTCGCTAAAAAAGGCTTTTCTAAGGCAAACAGCTTTACATATGCAAAGATCATTAGCTCATCTTCAAAAAGGGAAAAAATGATAGCAGTGCTTCTGACGTCCTCCAACTTACAAACAGGTATGTGTTCTACTTTTGCATCTTTATTTTCCATTTTAATCTTATAGAAATTCGACAGCTGGGTTTTGGTTCATGGAACAGAACCACAAAATACAAAAAATTAGCTGGGCGTGGTGGCGGGTGCCTGTAGTCCCAGCTACTCAGGAGGCTGAGGCAGGAGAATGGCATGAACCAAGGAGCCGGAGCTTGCACTGAGCCGAGATCACGCCACTGCACTCCAGCCTGGGCACTGAGCGAGACTCTGTCTCAAATAAAAAAAAAAAAAGGAGAATTCTAAAACACTGTAATGTCTTGACACACTAGGATGCTACTTAGGTTTGAAGTGCAACCAAATAATTTGCTCCTAATGACAAATAGCAACATTTGCAAATAATTAACTTTTTAAAATGGCTTGGAGTGGACTTGAATTACTTTTATAATGTTAATGTCATGCTCTTGCATTCTACGGTTTTTGTTTTGTTTTGTTTTTCAGCATGTGAGAAAAATCTTGACATTAGAACTCATGTTCCTGGAATCGTGCATCTCCCTGCATTCTTCCAGTAGGAGTGTTTCACTTGGAAATGTCAATGCACTTGTAGATGAAGAATTGCTAGTGTGATCACTACAAGCCCATAGAAATATAATGTGAGCCACAAAGTTAAATCATGTATATAGTTTTAATGTTTCTAGTAGTCACATCAAAAGAAGTAAAAAGAAACAGATAAAATTAATTTTAATAATATTTTTATTTTACCCAATATATCCAAAATATTATCATTTCAACAGAATCAATACAAAAAAACATATGAGATATTTCTGCATTCTTTTTAAATACTAATTCCAGGAAATCTGGTGTGTACGGCAATCTTAATTTGGACTGGCCACATTTTCAGAGCCCAGAAATCTCGTAAGGCTGGAAATGACCACATTGGACATCTCAGTTCTAGATTGATTTCCTTAATTTATGGCAAGAAGTAGAATCCCAAGGCCCAAAGTAACTTGCCCAAGGTTCTGAAGCTGATTAGCAGAGAAAAGGGGAGGTAATCTATGCACTGGGTTTCACACTAGCAAGTCACAGCACCTCCATTATACAGAAGTTGTTGTTGATTTAAGTATTTCCCTCCTAAGAAAAAGCTAAATAAGAACACACCAACTTGGCCTTAGGGAAATATAGTGTGATGATTAAGAACAGAGGCTTTGGGGCAAGAATGCTGGGATTCCCACCCTGGTTCTTCTATATACTAGCTGTGTAATCTTAACCAGGCTACTTAGCTTCTCAGTGCTTCAGTTTCCCTATCTGTAAAGTGGGGATGTTAATAACACTACCTGTTTCTTAAGGTGGTATAAGAATTAAATGTATTAACATACACATATGTAATCATACACATATAGATGTAACATATGAAACTCAGAAAAGTAACTGGAACATAGAAACTATTATGTAGGTGTGGGCTATATATTACTAATATTGTCCAAAATTTTATGAGAAACAATTTGGGATGAGTATAAATTATGATCAAACCCATATGCTTCTACCTGACAGTCCTTCACTATATTAGAAGAAAAGGGTGTAAATGTATCACCACAATGTACTTATTAAAGTGATAGATTTTAGAGAATTTTTATTTTAAAAAATGTTTTCGCCAAAATGAGCTCCCAAGTGACTTTTTTAATCAAAAAATCTAAATATAAACCTCCCCGTACTCCCAGTAATTGGGTTTTTATTAAGGTGTTAATATATTGTTTTTGCAGTGTTTTTCCTGATATCTAAAAGGAATGCAGTTGAGTTTAACATTCAAAAAGGCACACATTTGTATCTGAAATCTAACACAAAGCACAAAAATCATGATTGCCAGATTCAACATGGATCAAAACCATTTATTTACTGCCTAGTCAGTACAAAATAAGGCCTACAGCTGAAGTTCCTCTGAAGTCTGCTTTACAGCTAGGAATCGTTTTTGGATTCTCTCTCTCTCTCTCTCTCTCTCTCTCTCTCTCTGTGTGTGTGTGTGTGTGTGTGTGTGTGTGTGTGTGTGTGTGTGTGTGTTTTAAAAACTTAGGGAAATAAAGGTCAAAATAATTTTCTTTATTCCAAAACCAGAAAATCATCCTGAAAAACATGTCCTAAAAATAATAACATCTGATTACCAAAGAAGGTCACTTTATCTAAGGGATTTTAGTAGCTGATATTGTTTGGGGGAATTTCTCAGGTGAATTTATTGTGGGTAGGTTGTGAAATGGGGTCATAGTCCCATAGTTTATTTTACAAACTTTCTTACACTGAACCAAACTACAGAAATATGTAATTTCACCTCAGCTGGCGACATTTGTTCTCAGAATCCAGAAAGTTTTTATGTGCTAAAAGTCATATTATTTCTCAGGGACTATACTATTTTAGATTTATATATATAGTGCCTATTCCCTGAATTGGCTAAAGCCCTTTTACATATCAGTAATGCTATCCTTTGAACCCAAAGATAACCCCTTGGTTGGTGGTGCTTTCAAGAATGGGGACATTTGGGGTGAGTTATGGTGGCCCCAAAATCGTTTTTCATAGCATATAACTGTCAAACTATGCCTTTGGGTTATCACTGGGCCTGCTGGTCTCACTGCCATTGCTCACTGGGACTACTTCTTTGTCTTAAGTAGCCCATGGCTGCCCACACAAAAATAATAGTAATAATAAAGTGGGGTATGACTGCTTGCTGTATGTTAGATTTTTCTTCTTCAAGCTGGGATTTAAACACATTTGCCTATGATGATATGTTATTATTTGCCTCCACAATGCAGCTCTTTTCTCCTTCTTGATTCCAGTCTACTCTCAATGTACCTTGACATAGACTTCAGTGACCTTTTGATATCTGTTCCTCAGGTCTAAAGGAATTCTTCAGTGGTAAGCATCATTGTAATGTTTGTTGATTGTCAACATTTTATAGCCTGGCTAGAAATCTTACTGTTTATTTTTCACCAGTGACTTGAAGAAGATTTGGAAAATCAATACCTTATTTTCTTTCCAACTCATTTGAAGCAAAATAGCACAAGTAAGAAACAATTTCGCTAATAACAGCAATTCAGGGATAGGTACATTAAGTACATTTTCAGGCTCATAGGTACAGTCAGTGCCAAATCATAATCAGTACTCTTCTTCTCACTAGCATTGTAGAGGGAAGACTGCTAGATTTAGGATCCAAGGAGGTGAAGACGATTTCTTTTGCACTGCTTACTGACTATGTGACTCTGGCAAATCCCAGAATTTTTCTGAGCTTTCATTCCCTCATACATAAAATAGGGCTTAGGACTCCAGTAGGAGTCATTTTGCCTTCACAGCTGAGCTGACCCTTTCTTAGTGACAACAATCCATTCTCACTTCATATCATATGGTGGGGCTCTCAGTGATGGGGCCAAAGCCCTGCCCTCAGCAGGACAAGCGACATACTCTAATCCAATCACAGTCCCTTCCCCGAATTTACATCTTGAGTGGAGATTCACAGAATGGCGAGTGAAGGAGCTGAGCCACTTTGTAATCCCATGAATCCTGGCTATTTTACTGAGTGAGGGCTTACAAATTGCCATGTGCTGTTCCATGTGTTCTACATAAATTACCCCATTTAGTTCTCACAACCACTGAACTTAAATGTTTATCTATGAGACAGCATATCATTGTCTTAAATCAGATTTCTCCAAAAGTAGAACCCATGGCAGAATTTGGAACCACACAGTTTCTTTGAGAAGTAATTCCAGGAGGCATCAGATGTCGGTGGTGAGACAAAGAAAGTAGAAAAGGCCATAAAGATTATATTAATGATCCTGACACAGCTTTTATGATGTGCCCTATGCATTGTAACCTCTTCAAGGATCCTAAATCATGAGCAAAACTAGGTATTTAGATGCTGCATGTGAGTGGATTTTTGTATGATATTCTTTTATGGTGTTTTGTAGAAATCAAGGGAGAATGACTTTTATGTTTGGTTCAGCATAGCATTCCACAGAGTGGTATAAGTGAAAACAGTAGCTCAGAAACAGAAGATACCGTACATTTTTTAGGACTTATAGAAATCATGCGGCGAACTTTGAGATTTCACAGGCTATGGAATGGGAAGTTAAGAATATAAAATTGGGGGCAGCACTGTTTTTTTTTCTTTCTAAATCATCAAGATCTGGTAAACCCCAGATAATGTCAAACTTACATTAAGACAAATAAACACAAAGCCATATCTGCACATCTACTGAATTTTTGTAATTCATGTGTATTCAAATTTGGGTCCATGGTAAAGAATAACTTCTGGTTTTGAGGAGCCAAGATGGCCGAATAGGAACAGCTCCGGTCTACAGCTCCCAGCGTGAGCGACGCAGAAGACGGGTGATTTCTGCATTTCCATCTGAGGTACCGGGTTCATCTCACTAGGGAGTGCCAGACAGTGGGCGCAGGCCAGTGTGTGTGCGCACCGTGCGCGAGCCGAAGCAGGGCGAGGCATTGCCTCACCTGGGAAGCGCAAGGGGTCAGGGAGTTCCCTTTCCGAGTCAAAGAAAGGGGTGACGGACGCACCTGGAAAATCGGGTCACTCCCACCCGAATATTGCGCTTTTCAGACCGGCTTAAGAAACGGCGCACCACGAGACTATATCCCACACCTGGCTCAGAGGGTCCTACGCCCACGGAATCTCGCTGATTGCTAGCACAGCAGTCTGAGATCAAACTGCAAGGCGGCAACGAGGCTGGGGGAGAGGCGCCCGCCATTGCCCAGGCTTGCTTAGGTAAACAAAGCAGCCGGGAAGCGCGAACTGGGTGGAGCCCACCACAGCTCAAGGAGGCCTGCCTGCCTCTGTAGGCTCCACCTCTGGGGGCAGGGCACAGACAAACAAAAAGACAGCAGTAACCTCTGCAGACTTAAGTGTCCCTGTCTGACAGCTTTGAAGAGAGCAGTGGTTCTCCCAGCACGCAGCTGGAGATCTGAGAACGGGCAGACTGCCTCCTCAAGTGGGTCCCTGACCCCTGACCCCCGAGCAGCCTAACTGGGAGGCACCCCCCAGCAGGGGCACACTGACACCTCACACGGCAGGGTATTCCAACAGACCTGCAGCTGAGGGTCCTGTCTGTTAGAAGGAAAACTAACAACCAGAAAGGACATCTACACCGAAAACCCATCTGTACATCACCATCATCAAAGACCAAAAGTAGATAAAACCACAAAGATGGGAAAAAACAGAACAGAAAAACTGGAAACTCTAAAACGCAGAGCGCCTCTCCTCCTCCAAAGGAACGCAGTTCCTCACCAGCAACAGAACAAAGCTGGATGGAGAATGATTTTGACGAGCTGAGAGAAGAAGGCTTCAGACGATCAAATTACTCTGAGCTACGGGAGGACATTCAAACCAAAGGCAAAGAAGTTGAAAACTTTGAAAAAAATTTAGAAGAATGTATAACTAGAATAACCAATACAGAGAAGTGCTTAAAGGAGCTGATGGAGCTGAAAACCAAGGCTCGAGAACTACGTGAAGAATGCAGAAGCCTCAGGAGCCGATGCGATCAACTGGAAGAAAGGGTATCAACAATGGAAGATGAAATGAATGAAATGAAGCGAGAAGGGAAGTTTAGAGAAAAAAGAATAAAAAGAAATGAGCAAAGCCTCCAAGAAATATGGGACTATGTGAAAAGACCAAATCTACGTCTGATTGGTGTACCTGAAAGTGATGTGGAGAATGGAACCAAGTTGGAAAACACTCTGCAGGATATTATCCAGGAGAACTTCCCCAATCTAGCAAGACAGGCCAACGTTCAGATTCAGGAAATACAGAGAACGCCACAAAGATACTCCTCGAGAAGAGCAACTCCAAGACACATAATTGTCAGATTCACCAAAGTTGAAATGAAGGAAAAAATGTTAAGGGCAGCCAGAGAGAAAGGTCGGGTTACCCTCAAAGGAAAGCCCATCAGACTAACAGCGGATCTCTCGGCAGAAACCCTACAAGCCAGAAGAGAGTGGGGGCCAATATTCAACATTCTTAAAGAAAAGAATTTTCAACCCAGAATTTCATATCCAGCCAAACTAAGCTTCATAAGTGAAGGAGAAATAAAATACTTTATAGACAAGCAAATGCTGAGAGATTTTGTCACCACCAGGCCTGCCCTAAAAGAGCTCCTGAAGGAAGCGCTAAACATGGAAAGGAACAACCGGTACCAGCCGCTGCAAAATCATGCCAAAATGTAAAGACCATCGAGACTAGGAAGAAACTGCATCAACTAATGAGCAAAATCACCAGCTAACATCATAATGACAGGATCAAATTCACACATAACAATATTAACTTTAAATATAAATGGACTAAATTCTGCAATTAAAAGACACAGACTGGCAAGTTGGATAAAGAGTCAAGACCCATCAGTGTGCTGTATTCAGGAAACCCATCTCACGTGCAGAGACACACATAGGCTCAAAATAAAAGGATGGAGGAAGATCTACCAAGCCAATGGAAAACAAAAAAAGGCAGGGGTTGCAATCCTAGTCTCTGATAAAACAGACTTTAAACCAACAAAGATCAAAAGAGACAAAGAAGGCCATTACATAATGGTAAAGGGATCAATTCAACAAGAGGAGCTAACTATCCTAAATATTTATGCACCCAATACAGGAGCACCCAGATTCATAAAGCAAGTCCTGAGTGACCTAGAAAGAGACTTAGACTCCCACACATTAATAATGGGAGACTTTAACACCCCACTGTCAACATTAGACAGATCAACGAGACAGAAAGTCAACAAGGATACCCAGGAATTGAACTCAGCTCTGCACCAAGCAGACCTAATAGACATCTACAGAACTCTCCACCCCAAATCAACAGAATATACATTTTTTTCAGCACCACACCACACCTATTCCAAAATTGACCACATAGTTGGAAGTAAAGCTCTCCTCAGCAAATGTAAAAGAACAGAAATTATAACAAACTATCTCTCAGACCACAGTGCAATCAAACTAGAACTCAGGATTAAGAATCTCACTCAAAGCCGCTCAACTACATGGAAACTGAACAACCTGCTCCTGAATGACTACTGGGTACATAACGAAATGAAGGCAGAAATAAAGATGTTCTTTGAAACCAACGAGAACAAAGACACCACATACCAGAATCTCTGGGACACATTCAAAGCAGTGTGTAGAGGGAAATTTATAGCACTAAACGCCTACAAGAGAAAGCAGGAAAGATCCAAAATTGACACCCTAACATCACAATTAAAAGAACTAGAAAAGCAAGAGCAAACACATTCAAAAGCTGGCAGAAGGCAAGAAATAACTAAAATCAGAGCAGAACTGAAGGAAATAGAGACACAAAAAACCCTTCAAAAAATCAATGAATCCAGGAGCTGGTTTTTTGAAAGGATCAACAAAATTGATAGACCGCTAGCAAGACTAATAAAGAAAAAAAGAGAGAAGAATCAAATAGACACAATAAAAAATGATAAAGGGGATATCACCACCGATCCCACAGAAATACAAACTACCATCAGAGAATACTACAAACACCTCTACGCAAATAAACTAGAAAATCTAGAAGAAATGGATACATTCCTCGACACATACACTCTCCCAAGACTAAACCAGGAAGAAGTTGAATCTCTGAATAGACCAATAACAGGCTCTGAAATTGTGGCAATAATCAATAGTTTACCAACCAAAAAGAGTCCAGGACCAGATGGATTCACAGCCGAATTCTACCAGAGGTACAAGGAGGAACTGGTACCATTCCTTCTGAAACTATTCCAATCAATAGAAAAAGAGGGAATCCTCCCTAACTCATTTTATGAGGCCAGCATCATTCTGATACCAAAGCCGGGCAGAGACACAACCAAAAAAGAGAATTTTAGACCAATATCCTTGATGAACATTGATGCAAAAATCCTCAATAAAATACTGGCAAACCGAATCCAGCAGCACATCAAAAAGCTTATCCACCATGATCAAGTGGGCTTCATCCCTGGGATGCAAGGCTGGTTCAATATACGCAAATCAATAAATGTAATCCAGCATATAAACAGAGCCAAAGACAAAAACCACACGATTATCTCAATAGATGCAGAAAAAGCCTTTGACAAAATTCAACAACGCTTCATGCTAAAAACTCTCAATAAATTAGGTATTGATGGGACGTATTTCAGAATAATAAGAGCTATCTATGACAAACCCACAGCCAATATCATACTGAATGGGCAAAAACTGGAAGCATTCCCTTTGAAAACTGGCACAAGACAGGGATGCCCTCTCTCACCGCTCCTATTCAACATAGTGTTGGAAGTTCTGGCCAAGGCAATCAGGCAGGAGAAGGAAATAAAGGGTATTCAATTAGGAAAAGAGGAAGTCAAATTGTCCCTGTTTGCAGACGACATGATTGTTTATCTAGAAAACCCCATCGTCTCAGCCCAAAATCTCCTTAAGCTGATAAGCAACTTCAGCAAAGTCTCAGGATACAAAATCAATGTACAAAAATCAGAAGCATTCTTATACACCAACAACAGACAAACAGAGAGCCAAATCATGAGTGAACTCCCATTCACAATTGCTTCAAAGAGAATAAAATACCTAGGAATCCAACTTACAAGGGATGTGAAGGACCTCTTCAAGGAGAACTACAAACCACTGCTCAAGGAAATAAAAGAGGACACAAACAAATGGAAGAACACTCCATGCTCATGGGTAGGAAGAATCAATATCGTGAAAATGGCCATACTGCCCAAGGTAATTTACAGATTCAATGCCATCCCCATCAAGCTACCAATGACTTTCTTCACAGAATTGGAAAAAACTACTTTAAAGTTCATATGGAACCAAAAAAGAGCCCGCATCGCCAAGTCAATCCTAAGCCAAAAGAACAAAGTTGGAGGCATCACACTACCTGACTTCAAACTATACTACAAGGCTACAGTAACCAAAACAGCATGGTACTGGTACTTAAACAGAGATATAGATCAATGGAACAGAACAGAGCCCTCAGAAATAATGCCGCATATCTACAACTATCTGATCTTTGACAAACCTGAGAAAAACAAGCAATGGGGAAAGGATTCCCTATTTAATAAATGGTGCTGGGAAAACTGGCTAGCCATATGTAGAAAGCTGAAACTGGATCCCTTCCTTACACCTTATACAAAAATCAATTCAAGATGGATTAAAGATTTAAACATTAGACCTAAAACCATAAAAACCCTAGAAGAAAACCTAGGCATTACCATTCAGGACATAGGCGTGGGCAAGGACTTCATGTCCAAAACACCAAAAGCAATGGCAACAAAAGCCAAAATTGACAAATGGGATCTAATTAAACTAAAGAGCTTCTGTACAGCAAAAGAAACTACCATCAGAGTGAACAGGCAACCTACAACATGGGAGAAAATTTTTGCAACCTACTCATCTGACAAAGGGCTAATATCCAGAATCTACAATGAACTCAAACAAATTTACAAGAAAAAAACAAACAACCCCATCAAAAAGTGGGCGAAGGACATGAACAGACACTTCTCAAAAGAAGACATTTATGCAGCCAAAAAACACATGAAGAAATGCTCATCATCACTGGCCATCAGAGAAATGCAAATCAAAACCACTATGAGATATCATCTCACACCAGTTAGAATGGCAATCATTAAAAAGTCAGGAAACAACAGGTGCTGGAGAGGATGTGGAGAAATAGGAACACTTTTACACTGTTGGTGGGACTGTAAACTAGTTCAACCATTGTGGAAGTCAGTGTGGCGATTCCTCAGGGATCTAGAACTAGAAATACCATTTGACCCAGCCATCCCATTACTGGGTATATACCCAAAGGACTATAAATCATGCTGCTATAAAGACACATGCACACGTATGTTTATTGCGGCACTATTCACAATAGCAAAGACTTGGAACCAACCCAAATGTCCAACAATGATAGACTGGATTAAGAAAATGTGGCACATATACACCATGGAATACTATGCAGCCATAAAAAATGATGAGTTCATGTCCTTTGTAGGGACATGGATGAAATTGGAAACCATCATTCTCAGTAAACTATCGCAAGAACAAAAAACCAAACACCGCATA
Source organism: Homo sapiens (assembly GCF_000001405.40). Lineage (NCBI taxonomy): Eukaryota > Metazoa > Chordata > Mammalia > Primates > Hominidae > Homo > Homo sapiens. The sequence continues at coordinate 11,638,565 of NC_000020.11, forward strand.
TTCTCACTCATAGGTGGGAATTGAACAATGAGATCACATGGACACAGGAAGGGGAATATCACACTCTGGGGACTGTGGTGGGGTCGGGGGAGGGGGGAGGGATAGCATTGGGAGATATACCTAATGCTAGATGACACGTTAGTGGGTGCAGCGCACCAGCATGGCACATGTATACATATGTAACTAACCTGCACAATGTGCACATGTACCCTAAAACTTAGAGTATAATAAAAAAATAAATAAATAAAATAAAATGTAAAAAAAAAAAAAAAAAAGAATTCAAAGACACAGATAACAAAAACAAAAATAGAAAATGGGACTATATTAAACTAAAAAGCAAAAAAAAAAAAAACTGAATAGAGTGAAGAGACAACATGTTGAATGGGAGAAAAATATTTGCAAGCTATTCATCCAATAAGAGACTAATATCCAGAATATACAAATAATTCAAATAATTCAGCAATTTATAAAAACAAATAATTTAATTAAAAGTGGGCAAGGAACATGAACAGACATGTCTCAACAGAAGACATACAAATGACCAAGTATATGAAAAAAATGCTTAACATCACCAATTATCAGGGAGATGCAAGTCAAAATTACAAAGAGATATCACCTCACCCCAGTTAGAATGGCTTGTTGTTAGAAAAACAAAAATAACAGATGTTGGCAAGGCTGTGGAGAAAAGGGAACTCTTAGACACTGTTGGTGAGAGCATAAATTAGTACTGTCACTATGGGAAACAGTATGGAGGTTTCTCAGAAAACTAAAAATAGAACTACCATATTATCCAACAATCCCACTTTGTGGTATTGATCCAAAGAAAAATAAATACATATATCAAAAAGATACCTGCCCTTGCATGTATACTGCAGCACTATCTGCAATAGCAAATATATGAAATCAGCCTTAGTGTCCATCAATGGATGAATGAATAAAGAAAATGTGGTATATATACAAAATGGAATAGTATTTAGCCATTAAAAAAAGAATTAAATCGTGTCATTTGCAGCAACATGAATGGAACTGGAGGTCATTATGTTAAGTGAAATAAGCCAGGCACAAAAAGACAGATATGATATGTTCTCACGCTTATGTGGGAACCGAAAAAGTTAATCTCATAGAGGTAGAGAGTGAAATGATGGATACCAGAGGCTGGAAGGGTGTGCGGGTAGGAGTGGGGGATGAAAAGAGGTTGATCAATGGGTCGAAACATAAGGTCAGATAGAAGGTGTAAGTTCTAGTATTCAATAGCAGAGTAGGGTGACTATAGTTAGCAACAATGTGTTGTATATTTCAAAGTAGCCAGAAGAAAGAACTTGAAATGTTCTCAATACATAGAAATGATGAATATTCAAGGTGACAAATACTCCAAATACCCTAACTTGATCATTACACATTCTATGCATGTAACAAAATATTACATGTACCCCATATATATTTAAAATATTACATATCAATAAAAAAGAAGGCTGGGCACGGTGGCTCATGCCTGTAATCTTAGCGCTGTGGGAGGCTGAGGCAGGCGGATCACTTGAGGCCATGAGTTGGAGACTAGCCTGACCAACATGGCAAAAACCTGTCTCTACTAAAAATATAAAAATTAGCTTGGCATGGTGGTACACGTCTGTAATCCCAGCTACTCAGGAAGCTGAGGCATGAGAATTGCTTGAACCTGGGAGGCAGAGGTTGCAGTGAGCCGAGATCACACCACTGCACTCCAGCCTGGGCAACAGAGCAAGCCTCTGTCTCAAAAAATAAAATAAAATAAAAGAGAAATTAAGATAAAGGCTTGGTAAAGACAAATCAACAAGAAAGAATACTTGCATTGTGTTAACAGTACTTGCACAAAAATTGTCCAGGTGTCATCTGGGGTGTCTCTAAATCTTCAGAGCTAAATTTTTCATGTTTCCAGGCTATCCTCAATAGAACATCAAAATTTTCCCCCAAGACACCTGAAAAATTCAGGGATGCTTGCATTCTTAGTATACCCGCTCTAAACTCTTGCATCTGCCAAAGAAGATTGGCTTGCCATCCTATATATTTGCTATGTATATACCCATATACTTATGTGTACACACACACACACACCACCTACTTACTCCCCTACATAAGCTTATATGTAGAATTCATTCCTATCAACTTTTAAGGAACTAACAAGAAAACTAAAAACACACATATTGCATGTTTGTACACAACAGATTTTATTTGAAAAGTTTGGGGCTTATATTTTAGCCATGAAATCAACTTCATGTGGAATATATAAAACTCAGTTGCACCACTATAATTGTCTACTGGCTACTGCATTTCATGTTATTATCCCTCCCTTACACTATATCCCTGATATTTCCCTTTTTTAAAAAATTATTTCTCATTAATCCCTAAACCCATATTCACTCTAGGAATTCAAAGTTTTCTTTTTCCCTCACTCAAGTGTAATAGTGGCTCTTACATCTTGGAGTACATATGAAACTTATTTAATGTAACAATTCTTAGGGCCAACCAAAGACTAGAAATCAGATTTAGGGTGGGACTCTGGAAACTGCCCTTTTGACAAGTATATTAGATAGTCGTTTTGCAGCTGTCCCACAGAACACATTTTGAACAAAGATGTCAATGACTTTGGTTCTATCCACCTATCACACCTAAACTCAGATCCATATCCACCTTTGTTCAGACGAACAAAAGTACCCTTCCATTTAATAAGATCTGCACACTTCAGAAGGCTGATGAAGTTGTAGACAGCAATGCTACCCCGCTCTCCTGTAGTTAGAAACACTTCTTACAAAAGCCTATCTTGTTGAGAAGACAACCTGCCATGTTCCAGGCAGATTATAGGTTTCTTGGAAAGTACAAGGATTAGTTAGAGGGCATTTTTTTGTATTTCCAAGGCTTCACAGTACTCTGAGGGAGGCTGTAAATGGTATTTTTGCCCAGAATGCAGAGCAAAGCAGGATCAATACTGTGATAAATAGTGGAGTGTAGTGGAAAGACAAGACAGGAAAAAATTAATTCCCTCTAGGCAAATACGAAGGCTGCAAAGAAATTCTCCAGTAGACAACAGATAATGGGAGGATGGGAGCATTCCAGCCAAGGGGATGCATAAGCAAAGGCCCCAAGTACGGTTTCTACAACACATTCTAAAAATGGAGAGTAAATTCAGTAGGCCTAAACTGTAGCTGTGATGGAAGCTGACCTTAGGAAGGGAAGACTTTCTATGCCATGGAGGAATTTAAATTTTATTCTTTATACCATATATCAGGTCTATAAAAGCAGTCATGGTGATGTTAAAAAAATAAGAAACTGATCATAGTAATGACTGCATAACATTGTGAATGTGCTTAATGCCACCGAATTGTACACTTAAAAACAGTTAAAATGGTTAAATTTTATGTTATGGATATTTTACCAAAATTTTTTAAATAGGAAGGAAAAAATCAGCAATCAATTTGGGATGAAACAAAAAGAAGGTTTCTGGTGAGACCTAAACATCACAGAGAGGGAAGGATTTGAAAGTGTCAGAGCACTCACTCCGGGCTGTTTGAGAGATACTAGTGAACACATGGAAACAATCCTGGTAAGAGTGATTGGTACTTATAATTAAATTAAATCTAAAGAAAATTACTTATTGGAAAGAATTGACTGTGGCTACTGGCAAATGGAGATCCCTAGACTTAAATGAATTATATTCTCCAAAGAACCACTAGTCCAACTTAAAAAAACAGAAACAAACAAAAATCTCTACCGGAGACTTAAAATGACATTCGGGGCACCCAGTGTTCTACGAGCAGGTAGCAAATTGAAAGAGTTGCTCGACCCCAAAAAGGGCATAATCTACAATATCCATTACAAATGTGACCAAGAAGGACAATGGAAGAGGAAAGATCTTCAGAGAAGTGAGTCAAGAGTCTTGAGAGCAAAAGAGTTACTTCCAAGGAGCAGCACTGGTGCATAATCAAGGAACATTTCTTACCCCAGAAAAGGGAGACTTCCAGCATTTGTTGAGCAGAATTTCAGATTTGCTCTAAACCAGTGACTGCTCCATGCCTCCCATCCTTCTCCCTGATGAATGGAAGTGATTGTTTTGACTTTCCTGTCCCTATTCCACCATTATGCATTGGATTTTCCAGTGCAGAGATGCCTATAAAATCCTGGGCTTTGAGCCGGATGTCACAATTGGATGAGACCTTGCAGTATGTTCCATGGGGCCTTTGAGTGTAGTTTGTAGGCATAATGGAAAAAGGAGGAGATTTGTGATTAAGAGGACAGACTAAGATAGATTATATTCGTATTCCTAATATTTACTCTCACTTCCATAAGAAGCTTATACACCTCGGCATATTGCTATGACATACAATGTTTGTGTGAGAAAGACATGTCTGCATACCTGCCTCTGTAGGGGCTGGACCAAGTGACATGCTTTCGCCAACACAATATGGGCAGATGTAATGTTTGCCACCGAGGAGTTTAAGCCTTAAAAGTGATCATGTGTTTCCCCCATCTGTCTTGCTCTTTCCCTCTGCCAGTGAATATGCACTTCTAAATAGTGAGAAAATGTGGAACAGAGTTGGGCAAGTGGCAGCAGCCAGCTGCACCTGCCCAAAAGTAACAAATGTTTGTTGTTGGAAGGCACTGAGATTTGGAAATTAATTGTTACCAAATGAAAGCAAACTAATGAAGAAATCTAACTCTCATAAGAAGGTTTCACATAAGTCTGTTGCAGCTGATACTAGTATAGCTACACAAGCTTTTGTGGTTGTTGTTGCTAATATTTACCTGGTGCACATTTATCTATAATTTTTAGACCTCTCTACTCATGTATTAGACATGTCTTTTGTAGGGAACATATAGCTTGAGCAATGGTTATCAAACTTGAGCATGCCTCAGAATCACCTGGAGTGCTTGTTAAAGAACAGGTCTTTAGGACCCAGCACCATAGATTCTGTTTCAGTAGGTCCGGGGTGGGTTTCGGAATGTGCATTTCTAACAATTTTCCAGGTGATGCTGAAGCGGCTTTGCCCAAAGATCACAATGTAAGGACCACTCAGCTAGTTGTTTCCTTTTTTATTTTTATCTTGCCTGACAATCTTTTCCTGAAACATTTAACCCATTTTTAGCCACTATAATTACTACTATATCTATATCCATGTCTATTATTATTTCTGAGTTTATTTATATTGTTTTTGTGTGTGTGTCTTTGTAGGCCACCTTTTCTGTTGCTTCATCTTTCTTACTTTGTTTAGGTAAATTTTTTTGTTTTTTAATAACATAGAAGTCATACATTCTGCCTCTCTTCTTCTATTGGTTTCCCTAGAAATTGAAGAAACTAAGTTACTAAAGTCAAAAGTTTGTCAGTATCTTTGCACATCGTCCAGACAAAACAAATACTTTAAACACAATAAATTCAATCACTTCTCTTTTTGTTATTATTATCATGTATTATATCTTTTTAAAAAATATTTTGCAAATTATGCCTTATAAAATTTCTATCTGGAATCTGAATCTTGAATTTCATCAGAAATACATCCTCTAGATTTTATTTTACAAGACTGTTAATGATTAACCATATTTCTATTTACACATTTTAACAAACCTTATTTTCACTGTGAAAAGATCATTTTAAGAGAGAATTCTAGGTTAACTACTATTTTCTCCCAGATCATTGAATATATTTGTTGACTATCTTCTGGTTTCCATTGGTTTTACTGTAAAGTTTGCAGTTGGTTGTCTTTTTCACTAAGTTCCTTTGAAAATCTCTTTGCCATGGATTAGTATAATTTTTTCATTTTATTCTGTTTTAAATTTGTTGGGCATCCTAAACCTGAACATTTTTGTCTTACTTTAGTTATACAGAAGTCTCTGACAGTGTTCTCTTCTTCATTGTCTTTCTAAGCTTTATTCTAAATACATTTTCAGATCTATATCTCAGTTAAAAATAATATTCTCTTCAGCTAGATTTAATCTTCACTGAAATCCATCTACTAACTTTTAAAACTTTATAATTATATATGTATTTTTATGTCTAGAAGTTCTATTTGGTTTTACCAAACCTTATTATTTCTATGAGTTTCTTTCTTCTTCCTCATATTTTCACTCATACATAAATTATTAAAATGTATTAAATATCCATTTTATATCTCAGCTGGATAATTGTAATATCTGAAGGATTTGCTGAACTAATTCTCTCTCCTAGCATTTGTTTTCTTTTGTGTTTTAAAGTTATGACTTGTGATTTCATACCCATAATAGACTGAATGCTTGTGTTCTTTTTAAAATCTATATATTAAAATCTAATCCCCAATGTGAATGTATTTGAAGGTGAGGCCTTTGAGAGGTGATTAGGTCATGAGGGTGAAACCCTCATATAAGGGATTAGTGTCCTTATTAGAAGACTCCAAAGAGTTCCCTTGCCCCTCTTTCCACCATGTGAGGATACAAGGGGAAGGCGGCTCTCTGCAGCCTGAAAGAGGGCACTCACCCGGATTCAACCATGATGGCATTCTCGTCTCAGACTTCCAGCCTCAAGGACTGTGAGAAATAAATGTTGTTTAAGCCATCCCATTCTATAGTAATTTGTTATAGCAAGCAGAATTGACTAAAACTATACCCTCAGGATGTTTTACATGGAACTTCTCTGAGATGTGAGTTGAAGCTGGGTCTCTGCCCTCACTCAAAGTGTGATCCATGGGTCAGCAGCAGAGGGTTCACCTGTGAGATTGTAAGACCTGCAGAATCTCAGCCCCGCCCCAGACCTCCTGAATAAGAATTTCTATTTTAATCATAACCTCATGCACAGGAGAATTTGAAAAAGGATAGCTAAGGGAGAATTTGGATTTCTGGGGCTTTTTTTTTTTTAGGGCTTTTTTGCAAGGTACCTGGAGGAATCATTGCACCTTACATGAAATTCTAAGCTGGAGGTTTTTTGGGATCACACAAGTTATATCAATTCAGGATGCAAACTCTTGTGCAGGCTGGTTATAAATTCTCCAAGATGTTTTTCTCCTTTCACCCAGAACCACAGTTCAAAAGGGGCAAATTTCCTAGCAGTTCTCTTAGGGAGCAGGTGGGCAGCATAGATTTACTAATAGATCCCCTGACAGCAAGGGGGCAGTCCATTATAGTGCCAATTTTGGGAGCAGAGATAAACCTAATACACTGCTCCATGGTGTGGTGAGGGCCGAAGGCTGTATCTCCTAATTCTTGCATGCCCAGAAGGCCATAAAATCCGAGGCTCCACATCACGTAGATTCAACAAATGCCTTCTGGACAAACTTGCTTCTCCTATATCCTGCCTGACTCCTACCTGCACTAAGTTTTTAGCTTTTGAATATTCTTTCTTCTTATCGGTTCAGTAATAAATTTGAACATACTCTGTTTTTCAATACTTCTGAGTATTTATTTTTGTTCTAGCAGAAAGGTCGTCTAGAGTAACCTTACATACTCCAAGAAACAGGAACTCCAGCCTTAAGACTCACTTTCATCATGAAGGAGAATGCACACCCAGGGCAGAGACGGTGAAATACTTAACTCGATGACCAAAAGAAGAAGAAAACCAATCGAGAAAGCCTTTTGACTCCTCCCTATTGTTTAATGCAAGTTCCTATTATGTCTTTATCTGGGGCCAAGCACAGTGCTTCTCATATATTACCTTATTTAAATCTCACATCACCCCATACTCACTCTAATTATCGTCATCCTCCTTCCACACATGAGGAAATGGAAGCCCAAGAGGGACAGAATTTTCTCAAGGTCACCTATCCACAAAGGACTAGGATTTGGACCCATGGTCACCTGAGTCCAGTGCTTGCTTCCAGTGTTATGCTGCTATTCTGAAACCGCTCTACCCTACCTCCTGATGGCAGCAGCAGGCTGTCCAGAGCAGCTGTTGCCATCATGTCAGCCACTGCAGGGAGGACACCAGGGAGGAGGCACAGCTGGGTCAAGGGTTGTGCCACGCTCCAGAGGGCCGGTGGAAGCCCCCCTGGAGACCACTGCCCTGGGGGCCACTGTGATGGCGCAGGGAAGGGCGGGCAGAGAGGGGCTCAGTGAGGACCTGGAACCCCCACCCCAGGCTGAGAAAAGGCATGGCCAGGGCTGCCTGCACACTCTATGGAGTGAGCAGGAGCCCTGCTCTCCCAGGCACAGGGTCCCTCTCTGCACTCTGCACTCTGCAACCTCGGGGGCCCCAGGCCCCCTCGGCCTCTCAGGCTTGGGGGTGTCTCCCACTGCCTGACCTCCCCCTACTCCCAGAGCCTGCTCTGATCTCGGAATGGAGTTGGGGCCAAGCCCAGTTGCTGTCACAGCCTGATCAGATGTGCACACATTTGGGGCAGCTCTGACACACCACCCCCCTGCCACCTCAGCCCCCTCCAGAGTTTGGGGTCCAACAAGCATGGGGGAGAAGCTGAGGTGGGGTTGAGGTCAGCTTGGCACTGGCCTGCATGTGCCCCTTGGTGCGAGCAGCCTGGGTGCGATGGACAGTGGCAGGATGCAGACAGGCTCCTGGGTGGAAGGTGGGGGTTCCCCAATGAGGCTCCACCTTCAGGCCAGGAAGGGCCTGAGGGTTATGGGCCCAGCTTCCAGTGCCAGGGTCCGGAGTGGGAACTTATGGTGCCTTCTCCTGATCCACCCATGGCTGCCCATGGACTAATGGGCATGCACTTCCTCCCTTCTGAGGCCCATAAAAGCCCTAGACTCAGTTAGAACTGAACAGACATGGGACAACCAGCTGTGGGGAGGAACTACCAATCTGCTGAGAGCTGGAACAGACAATGGGAGGACTGGCTGCAGAGAGGAGCTACCCTCTCTGCTGAGAGCTGAACACTCATTGGGACGACCTGCCTAGCAGAGAGGAGCTACCCCCTCTGCCAGGAGCTGAACACTCATCAGGACACCCTGGCTATGGAGAGGAGCTGCCTGCTAAAGGTTTCCTCTGAGCTGTTCTATTGCTCAATAAAGCTCAACTTCAACTTGCTCACCCTTCAGTTGTCTGCATACATCATTCTTCCTGTTCACAAGACAAGAATTTGGGACCCACCAAATAGTGAAGATAAAAAATCTGTAACACGAACAAGGCTAAAACATGCCTCTTGCTTACCATGTTACAGGTGAAGAGAAAGAGAGAAGAGCTGGGTGGTCCTTCAGAGAGCCCAGACCTGGGAGCTCCCCAAGCCAGGGCCGTGACTTCCTCTTTGGCAAATAGTGACAAGAATCAAAGGAAACAGAATAATGGAATCCTATGATTGCAACTAAAGTAAGTAAGGAGAAACGTGATGCCCGGATTATGAGTTATTTTTGTCCGTAGATGTTTATTCCAAGAACTGCCTTGATAGATGCAGTTTAGGCAACAGGTAATTCTTAGAGATGATTAATTCCAGGTGGATCAAACCTTAATATCCTTTTGAGGATGATTCACTTCAATTTACTGCATCATTACTTTTAGGAGGCAGCAAATGATACCAAATCCTATACACTCTTGCACATTCACTCCAGCTTCCCTCCCAAGTTGAAAACCATTTAAAAATAATTTGAGATAAAGTTCAGTCAGTTAGCTAGTTACAGCATTCTCTTAGGGTAGCATTAGCATTAATTAATGCTTGCAGATTGCTTTGAAAATCACAAATGCTATGGAAGTGCTGACTATTAATTTAGCAAAAGCACAGGCCATGAAAGTTGAAATTTGAAGGCAGTTGCACACTGATGAAATGTTTTAATACTTAAATGAACCAGCCTGAAGAAAGTCTCTGACATCCCATGTTTATAAATCATGAGGAAAAGAGGTTTAAAATGGAGAGATTTAAAATGAGATTTAGAAGAGAGTACTGAAGTGGAAGTGAATGGGAATGACTGTTGACTATAAGAAGAGAGTAACAAACCTTAGGGATCATCAAAATCACAATTTGGGGTTTCTACATTCATCAATTGGGAGGTCCCCCTTGTGCTGGTAATTGGCAGTAATTCAGGAGATAAGAAAAGGGGGAGAATAGGAAGAAGAGCAACAGAAAAAACAAAAAATATTAAGCGGAAGAAGAAGAAAAGGAAGACAGAGACAAAGCTGAGGAAGAAAAAGGAGAAAACTTATTTAATGAGATGCTAATGAAATGGCATTTCTCCAGTGCGAGTCAGCCCAAGGAGCAGTTATATCCCAATAAGGACTCCAAATTGAAACTACTGTCTGACTCCATCGTCACAAACAGTCCTCTCCAAATTTCTCCTCCTTTCCTGGTTTACCTGTGGATCTGAATGAGCAGATCTTGTGTCCCTTCCTTTTGCAATCATCACATGGCTTCTTGAGATAGGACTGGCATCCTATGCCCCTCCTCATCCTCATCCTATGCCTCCACCAAGACACTTAGGAAGGACTGGTTCTGCTGCCTTCCACACATCTCTGTGTGATCTTTAACTAATTCTTTAGGACTGTCCTTGGTGTTCAACTTCTCCAGTGAGGTCAGCAACATTGGGCCTTTGTCCCCATATCTGTGCTGCTCTGATGGCTGAGACCTATATGCTCTTCCCAATGAAGATTTCCAGGAAAGTGGATTTCCATGGCTGTGAAGATAGCTGAACTATTTAACTTGTTCCCTGGAAGAAACTTTCTCCGTAATTTTGTTGTGGTCCTACAGGAAGGTAAGAACATGAATTAAATGAGCTTATATAGCAATCTGTGATGTTATAGAAAAAGCTCCTTATAGAATAGATAAGAGATTACCTCCCCTACCTCTCTCCTTCCACTTTTCTTTATGTCTTTCCTTATGTTACATTAATTTTTTATTTTAAGCATATCATATATTTGTATTGCAGGATATTTAGAAAATAAAAAATGCATAAAAATTTAAATTTATAAGTGTGTGTGTGTGTGTGTGTATATATATATATATATATATATACACACACACACACATATATATATATATATATATATATATATATATAAACTATAGGTCATCTACCCAGGCATATTCATGCCTTGCATTTAGTCATAGTGTCTGCCTTATATTGATGTATGTTTATATTATATATAATAATATTGTATGGATATTTTTATATTTTATAATTATTTAAATTGTATTATATAAATATAAATTATGTTTGTACTGATAAACTTACAAATATGTTATATTTTTATTTACAAACATATGAATATAAATTATTAAAACAATTATATTATTTATATGTTATATATTTCATTTACATTCTGTTAAAATATAAATACTTGAAAATATTTATCAGATATAAATACTTGTATTTTCATAATTTATATTCATATAAATATTCTTATAAGTATCAGATACAAATACTTGTATTTATAAGATATAAGTATAAAATGCAAGTATTTATATTTTAATATTAATATTATAAAGTATTTTCCATTCATGTCTTCATAATGGATGCTTAATATTGTGTCATGTGGGTATATCACAACTTTTGCTTAAACTTGCAATTGTATTTTTAGTTTTCTCACAGTATTTATCCTTATAAATGATTTTATAAAAAATATCTTTGGGTGAAAAATTTTAAAAGAATTTTTATTAAATGAGACAAGGCTCATTTTCAAAAATATCATTCAAATTTTATGTTTTCTAATTGTCTCTTTTTTTTTTTTTTACTGTGGCTCTTTCTGTAAGTTGTCAAATATACAATTGGACAAAAAGTTATCCTAATCAGGGTAATCAGGTAATCTTTGTGAGTTTAAGGTAAGAAAAACTTTTCGTCTATCCTCTTAGGTTCCATTGCTGGAACCTGTAAATTAAACTGACAAAAAAGAAGAAAAAGTTTACATGCACAGAAGCTTCATATAAAAGAAGTAAAAATCTAAAGGAGTGGTTAGACTTGGGGACTTATATGCTGTTTTAACAAATGGCAATACGTTGTGGAAAGTGACTAGACAAAGAAAAGAGATTTTGGGTTTCAAGAGGCAGTAACTTATGGGAAGGTAAACATATGAGGTAAATTAGTGATAAACAAGGTTTATTTAGTAAGGTTTGCTTACGTAGACTCATTTCAATGCCATCTCTGGTAGGGAGCCATCTCTGAAGTCATTTTTCTCTTCCTGGTTCTGGAGAGAGGGACACCAATAAAAATGGAAATTTCTGCCTTGCATATAGTCAGATGGAGGAATTCAGACAGCTCTTTCTAAATCTGCTCTTTCTCGACTCTCTTCAGCTCAAAATAATCCTTATGCCAATGTAGCATATTTTGAAGTGGCATATTCTGATCCCCTCCATGAGTATGATAATCACATTTCAACAGAATTTGGATTCTGATCAGAGATTTCGAAGCTTATTTAAAGAGCAAAACAAAATGAATTAAACTCTTTCTAAGACATTTGTTAAATGTCCAAAATATGTCAGATGCTAAGCACACCAAGATGGTGCTAGAGAAATCAAGATGAATGAAACATGGTCCCTGTCTGTGAAAGTCTTCTGATCTTTTATTTGGCCTGTGTAGCACGTTGATTGCAAAAAGGGACATAATTCTTCCCCTCTCTGTATTTACAGTATTTATGGCACTGAAGCATTTTATATCTATTTCTCCACCCTTGAGTCTTGGATGGCATGTGACTTGCTTTTGTCAATGAAATGGAACAGAAATGTCAGTATGCTGGTTCCACCTTGAGCCTCAGAGACTGGGTGCACCTGGCAACCCCTGGGAACCTTGCTACTGGCATATAAACAAACTTAAGCTAGCCTGCTGGAAGATCAGAAACCACACAGAGCAGAGAGGAAGTGGCCTACAGAGGCCAACTTGAACATCCAGCCCCTAGCCAAGCTGGCAGTTGACCATAAACACATGCCGTCTAAGGCCAGAAGAATTGCCCAACTATGTCCGGAGTTGTGCACTAAATAAAGGTCATTTGGGAAGGTTGGTAACATGAAAGATACTAATTGATACAGCCTGTAAACCAATTGCACCAATGTGCTTAGTGTCATAATAGAGGAAGAAGCAAGAAGCTATAAGCTGTTGGCTTGTCCTTCTGCTTCAGCTGCTTTTGATCTTGTTGACAACACAGTTTAAGATAATGAGGGTCAAGATATCTTGAAGAGGGGGAGCTTTCTACGAAGGAGTAAAAACATTCTGATAAAGGAGAGTCTGACATATTTTTCTTAAACAATTTTAACTCCTCACATGTGCCTTTCCTGGGCAAGGGTGCAAGGTTACCCAAGCAATAGAGGAAACTGTTGTTGAACTGAGCTACAAATTCTCTTGTTTTTGGATCTGGTCATGGGTGGTTATTGATGGTGCCAGGGAAGTAATTGCATAGGCATTCTGGCCCTGAGAGGCAATACCACTGAGCCATCAGGAATTGCCTAATGTGCCTAAGTTAACAAGGTTATCCAAACAGCTCTTTTCTGCTCCAAGTAGTAGCTTTGAATTTGCAGCTTTGATTCAGTTAAGCCAGCATCCTCATGCTCTCTGGGCTTCATCTCTTTGGTAAGCCTATAAATAATTCTTTCTTTCCCAAACCTCTCTCTGTTCCCATCAAAACTTAGCAAACAACTGGGCCTTTCTTCCAGACTCCCACTTTCTACTATATTAGTGCAACTCAAACTTTAATGTGCATAGGAATCACCCACAGATCTTGCTAAAATGCAAATTCAGATTCAATAGATCTGGGGTAGGGATCAAGGATTTGCATTTCTAATAAGTTCCCAGATGATGCGAGGCTGCTTCTCCCAGGATAACACTTTGACTGTTAAGGTACCACATAACAAATGAAAGTATCTCTACTAACCAAAAGCTAGTTAATAGATAACCCAGAGTGCCTGATCTCCATTAAAACTTCCTGCTCTCATTCATTCATAGGCAAGTGAACAACCATAGCCTCTGCCTTCATTCGGGGAGGAAACAAAAACTTAGACTAATTTTGACAGTTCTGTGTGATGAATGCTTCCATAAAAGTGCATTCCCAGGTACAGTATCTTTTTAAGTACTCACTTGCCAGAAGCCACTCCTAACAGGGCGTGATGGCAGGTCATGACATAAATGCCAGAACATCCCCTCCCAATTTTCTCTTCCCTGTTTCATCCCCCACTGTCCTATTTTTGATCATCCCTATTCCATGATTTCTGTCTTGTATAGCTCATCTAAATTAAAATATTCTTGGCTAATTTTCCCAGATCTCCCAACTCCTATTTAATTTCATAGGCTCCAGGAGCTCCCACACCTATAGTACCACATTTGCCTTGTTAGGATATGGCTGATTTAAATATCTGACACCTGCTTCTCCTCAAAGCAGTCTTTTCATTTTAAAGTGCAGGCCTTAACTCTCTACCTGGCCATGCATCCAGTAGTGTAGATCCTCAAAGCTCTAGGTGGATTGCCGGACCAGCAGCATTAGCATCACCTGGGAGCTTATCAGAACTGTAGACTCGCCCACCCCACCCCAATCTACTACATCAGAGTCAGCATTTTAGCAAGATTCTCAGATAATTTTTATTGAAGTCTAAGACACTCTAGTGCAGAAATTTCAAAACACCTAGCTACACCTGCAACATGCATTTCAGGGCAACTCTCACACTATGAAAGAAGAAAGACTGAGTTTCAAATCTCCTCCTTCTAGTCACTAGGTGTGCGATCCTTATGCCCGAGGATAGGTAATAGAGATCACAGCTACTCGTAGAGTTGTAAGTGACAATAAAGTGAGCTAAGAGATACAAAAACATCTTGCCCAGTTCCTGGCACATTGGTGACATGGAATAAAAGATAGAGATGAAAAAGTTTGAAGGATACTCTTGAGATTAATACACTTAAGAATAGAATGTTGCCATAGCGTTGAACATTGATAAGCAGTATTTTATAAGTACAGAGTAATATATGTATAATTGTTAAGAATGTGCTTATTAGCTTGGCGTGAGATGACTTTTTTCCTCAAGTGTAAGGCATATATTTTGGATATTAATGCTATCAACACTTGAATAGTGCTAGAGATGTGAAATCAGAGACACATTTACTTTGCCATTGTTCAGAAAGTCACACGGCTGCTTCGTACTCACAAATCTAGCATGGCATGTCCTTCCAATACAGAATGTAGATGTTTAAAGAGCCACATTACTGTTGACTATGGCAATATTTTGAGGGAAGTTACTTCTAAGCATCCAAAATCAATGGAGAGTTTAAATAAACTCACTTGGAGTTTAATGTTTCCTTGGAATCCTATTTAAGTGGCCATAGAAATGCAGATCTCCTTTCAAAACGAGGTTGTACTCGAGCAACACTAATCACTTATAGAACTAAGTTTTGAATATCTTGAAATCAACAGTAAGTGAAAAACTCAGCATGATCACCCATTTTAATGCATAAAAAACCAATACAAAGATTTATACAAAGATTTCTATAACCTTAAACCAATGCAAAAGAGTTAAGGGCCTGAGATGCAAATATATTTTTATATCTTGAAATCAGCAATAAAGAGAAAAAAATCCCTTCAAATTATCACTCTCTTTAACATATCTCTCTCAAATGTCAGTTTGAATATAGAGAAAAGACATCGTGTTACTTTCAAATGCCGCGCTTATGGTTCATTACACTACTTCATTGACTATCTCTGTATTTCCTTTTTATGCTAACAGGATGGAAGAGATAAATCTGTCTTTTGTTTCCTTCTTTTTCATAAACAGACTGTTTTAATTTCAAATTACTCTAAAGAAAATATGACTCTGTGGGAAATTTCAGGCCATCTACCAAAAGTATCCAAGTTGCTATTTTTAGATTCAAACTTTTGAAACACCTGCCACATCAGCTGTTAGACTAAACCACCTAAAATTGCCAATATTTGAGCAATTTTTACCCACAAATATGGCAATTTTATGTATTTCAATCTAATAGTTTCCTGTCTGTACACTCTAAAAAGACATTCCATGTTGACATTTTCTATTTATTGAAATGTCAGTTAGGAAAACAGATTTTTAAATGGCCAAAAAATTAAGTTATTTTCTGATCCAATTCTTGGCATTCCTTGGGTCACATAAATTACAAGTCCTTAATTTGCATATAAAACTTACCTGTTATGTAGAACATTCTTACACTGTTCGGACTAATTCTTGGTAGTTGTGTCAGCAGACATGAGGTAGAGCATTCTTTTATAATTAGAAGGGAGACAAAATAAGGAAATACGATGTTCTTTTAAAATGTTTTATTTGAAAAAATTAAACAATACAATGACTTTAAAAATCAACTTCTCTTCAGGTAAATGCTTTGAGCCAAGAGTCTTGTATGTGAAATAATTATATTGAAAAAGCTTGAATACCTTCTCATGCCCTTAACTCTACAACTCCAGTTTAAATGGTTGAATGATGAACAAAGTTATCAGAATTTTGCTCAATAAATAGCTGGAGTGTGTCATAGAATAAAACAGAATCAGGCCATGATTCAATCCTTTTGTGTTTGTTGTCCAGCACTGTGAAAAGTGTTGCTTTTAATGATTACACAGAGAAATGGGAAAATCCTGAACTGCCTTCAAAGCCATTAAGGAGATTTTAGTCATGTTCAGCAGAGCATTAGATGTTTACGTATTTCATTGCTTCTCAATTTCCTGAAAACTTGTAAATTGCTGATGCTTGCAAGATGATGGTACACAGAATTAACTTAGATGTGGGCTAACCAAAATCTATATATACTCTGAATAATGAACAAGACATTCTTCTGAAAAGAGGCCTGTAATACCCCACCTTTTTCAGGTGATAAATTCATTCCTTGGCCTTCACAGTATGCGTCTATGATTCAAAGTCTTACAAACTAGAATGCACCATTAGAAGGTGCAGAGACTCACTTACCAGACCCAGGAGTAGCCTACGAAGCTCCTCACTCTAATTAATAAAACAACACCTTTCAGCCTGCTCTGCAGTAGACAGGAAGTTTTCTTATATTTAATGACCATTCATCTGGACAGAAAGCCTTCCTACTGAGTGTTCAGAGACAGAGGCTCAATTTCCAGGTGAACACAACAGACAAGCAAGGCCCAATCATTTAGAGGAAACTGATCCCACGCCCACTACTTTATCTAAACATGCCACTATTCGTTCTATGTGGAACATTTTTTTTAAGTTTCAAGGAAAGTTAAGAAAAAATAGTAACTGATGTTATCAAAGGTTCATCTGTCAAAAAACCCAATGCATTTAAACTGAATACAAAAGCAAGCAGTGTGCTGGTTAGCACATATTATTATTTCTTTATTGAGCAGTAAATCCTCTCTCTCAAGCAATAAAGTATTCTTTGAAGAATATCTAAACGTGTCAGAAGGGTAAGCAGTTCTGGCCTGAACAAAAAGGCTTTACGAATTTATGAATATTTCAATTCTTTATGGAGAAGAGAGAAGATATAAAGCAACAACCAACTGGAGAAAGAGTAAACAGATGTGAAGTTTACTCAAAACATCCAGGACATAAATACTTTGACACATTATCTAGTCCAGTTGTATTCAACATAGGTTCCACAGACCTGCACTGCTGCAAGAACTGTTTCTTACAAGTCTTCATAGAGATTAGTACAGAAATATTATAAACTCATATAACAATTCAACTCTATTTTATGTCTGTTGAATCTCATAATAATATATTTGGTCTTGAATTTTATCTTATTTAGTTTTTAGTATCTCATTTGTATTATATTTTATAAAAATACTGGTCCACAATGAATTGGAAATTTAAAAAAAAAATAAATGAACAGCAAGCAAACAAAAAAGGTTTTGTTTGTTTGTTTGTTTTACAGAAGTTTCAGTCAATTTCTGGCTTCCAAGTATAATAAGTTCTTATTATAGGTCAGGCATTGCTAGGCACTTTTGTCCTATTTTTTAAAGTACCAATGAAATTTTTATGACTTCCTTTGGCATTCATTTTAGTACTTGGTGCCCTCACTACCAGGAAAGCCAGACTTATGAGAAAACCAGATTTATGGTGCACTATCATGCACCATAGCACTGTGGATAGACATGAGAAAAGGCCATCACATTCTTCCTAGTCAATTCTCCATTACTGAGAAGACCCTGAGTAAAAGGTTGCCTGTGTTTTCTATGCTCATCTTCCCATCCACCCCACTTCTCCCTTTTTGCAGAGGAAAAAGATAAGAAGAACAGAGAAAGTGGAATTGACTGATTTTTGCCTGACGTAAATTTTAACATAGTTTAGAATAATAAGCACCCCACGACTAAATTGATTACTCATTGTTTTCTTGTAACTACCATGAGGCTGGAATCAGAATTGCTTTGTCCACATTTACAATAATATCAAAAAGAATAAAATAATTAGGAACAAATCTAACCATGAAGGTAAAAGATCTGTACACTGAAAACTATAAAACATTGACGAAAGAAATTGAAGAAGACATGAATAAGTGGAAAGATATTCTGTGTTCATGGATTGAAGGAATTAATACTGTTAAAATGTCCAGACTATCCAAAGTGATATATAAATTCAACACAAACCCTATCAAAATTCCAATGGCTCTTTTCACAGAAATAGAAATAAAATTCTAAAATGTCTGTGGAACCACGAAAGACCCCAAATAGCTAAAGCAATCTCGAGAAATAAAAACAAAGTTGGAGTAATCACAGTATCTGATTTCAAATTGTATTACAAACCTATAGTAGTCAAAACATTTTAAAACATCTTGGTACTGGCATAGAAACAGACACCTGAACTAATGGAACAGAATAGAGAGCCCAGTAATAAACACAAGAGTATACAAAAAACTAGTTTTCAATAACAACACCAAGGAGACACAAGGAGAAAGGATAGTTTCTTCAATAAATGGTGCTGGAAAATTGGATATTCACTTGTAGAAGAATGATACTGGACCCTTACGCCACACACAAAAATCAACTCCAAATTAATTACAACCTAAATATAAGACCTGAAATTATAAAGCTCCCGAAAAAAAAAAAAAGGGAAAAACTCCATAAAACTGGTTTTAGCAATGACTTTGTGGATAGGACAACTCAATAGCATAAAATGAATAGCCCAGTTGAAAAACGACCAAAGGATGTGAATAGACATTTCTCCAGTGAAGACATAGAAATGACCAACAGGTATTTGAAAAGGTATGCAACATCACTAAAAAACAGGGAAATGAAAATCAAAACCACAATGAGATATCGCCTCACACCTGTTAGATGGCTATTATCAAAAAGACAAAAGATAACGACTGTTGACACGGATGTAGAGAAAATGGAACCCTTGAGCACTTTTGCTGTGAATGGAAACTGGTAAAATCACTATGGAAACCAGTATGGAAATTCCTCAAAAATTAAACATGGAACTACCATGTGATCCAGCAATTCCTATTCTGGCATATGCTCAAAGCAAATGGAATCAGCACTTTGTAAAGATATTTGCACTCCCATGTTTATCGAATCATTATTCACAATAGCCAAGATATGAAAACAACCTAAGTGTCTGGCAACAGATGATTGGATAAAAAATTGTGATACACGCACACACAAAATGGAATATTATTCTGCCTTAGAAAGGAAGGAGATCCTGCCATTTGCAATATGATGAACCTAGAGACATTATGCTAAGTGAAATAAGCAGAAAAGAAAACATACTGCATGATCTTTCTTATATACAGCATCTTAAAAAAGCTTGAATACATAAAATTAGAGTAGAAATGTGATTACCAGAGGTAGGGGGAGATAGGGAGATGTAGACAAAAAGGTACAAAGTTGCAGTTTTTCAGATGAATGCATCTAGAGTAGATCTAATGTGCAGCATGTGGACTACAGTACATAGCATTGTACTGTATACTGGAAATTTGCTAAGGCAGTAGATTTTTGGTGCTCTTGCCACACACACACACACACACACACACACACACACACACAAGCTATCTATGTGAAATCATGGATATGTTAATTGGCTTGAGTGTAGTAATCATTTCAATGCAAATATGTATATCAAAATATGATGTTATATATTACATATATACAATAAAAATAATTTTATTAAAATAATTGTGGTATCCAAAGTCCACAAAAAGTTTCCAAACACTTGAAAGAGGTCGTTTTCCAAATAGGTCAGACCAGGGGCAAAGCTTCTGTGTTGGAAGCAGAGGGTATATCTTGAAATTTGGCTGATTGCAATTGCTTTGTCCTTCAATCTAGACATTAAGGGTTCTCATTGTTTTGCCACCAGTAGAATATTTTCCAAAGGCAGTGCCTCTAATTAGGCATCAATTAACCTTAATTAAGACAGTTCTTGCGTAACAGCGTACCCAGAGAGTTCACTAAACAAACAGCTTGACAAACACTGGCATTTTAAATCTTTTCCAAACATGTCACTTTCTTAATTAGGTAGTCAGGTTGTGAAGACTATATTCACAGACATTATTTGGGAAATTAGAGCAGGGAAGATGGAGCCAGTTCCTCTTCACGCTCCTTAAATGCATTGGTTACAGCAGAACTTGCTGCTAGAAATGCACCCATAAGGCAGCACCAGGAAGAACACAGCATTTGCTCCAGGTGGGAAGCACGATGGCAGCAAATTACTAAAGTTAGTTTCATTTTTCAGGGAAAGATTAGAAAATAAAAGGAGAAATTTTATGGAAATAATGAAAGGACTTACTATTGATCTTTTTCCTGTTTGTATTAAGCTGAAAGTCACACATACATTATAAATTTAATAGAAAATGATGACAAATTTGGTCTTTTAAACTATGTCTTTGACATATTGATAATATTGGATCCTATGATTTAAAAGACCTATTTCCATTCATTCAAGTCATTATTTAGGATATTCAACAGATTTTTTTATATTGAGACTGCACAGTTCTTATTATTTCATTTTTTGTTGCTTTTGTAAATGAAATAGCTTTTAAACATATTTAATTTTATCTTAAAATATTTTAATGTAAAATTTATTATATAAAAATGTACAAAATATGCATATGTAGCATTTTAAAAATATATACAGTACTTATACATTTTTATAACACCAGCTTAAGAAATAGAACATTAATATTCAGTTTAAATCCCCCTGCATTCCCTCCCTAATTGCACTCATTTTCTGCCTTCCAATCCAGAAGTCTTTTCTAAATCTGTGCTAATCATCTTGATTATATTTAGATGTTATTCTGCACCTATGTGTATTATAAACTTAAATTTTGTGTAATTCTGCACATTTTTGGCATTTATATTAGTGGAATCATGCTGTAATATTTTTATTATTTAATTTTTTCCATTAACATACTTTTGACTTTCATCCAAATACATGTAACTCAACTTTGTTTTCACTACTGTAAGTTATTGTCACATGACTATATCTTAAAACATATAATTATTCACTCTAATGAAATAGAACATTTGGACTGTGCAGCAGGCAGAATTCCGGGATGGCACCCAAATAATCAAACCCTGATGTATAGATACCTTCTCCCACTTATTGGATCACACAACAATCTAGGAGCTGCTGTGAAGAGGCTTTGCAGATGTAATTAAAATCCCTAATCAGTTGATTTTAAGTTGAGAAGATAATCATGGGTGGCCTAATCTACTCAGATGAATCCTTATATAAAATCAGAGCGATTCAAAGCAGGAGACAGTCATATGGCAAGGAATTGCTGGTGACCTGTAGAGTGGAGACGGGCCCCCAGCCAACAGCCAGCAAGCAGATGAGAACCCCAACCCCACAGCTGCAAGAAGCTGAATTCTGCCAACTGTGTCACAGTAGCTTGAGAGAGAACCCCACATTAGAAATAAACGCAGCCCAGCCAACACCTTGACTTCAGCCATAAGTAACAAATTCAGCTAGGCTGAGCTCAGACTTCTGACCTATAGGACGTGTGAGATGATAAATGTTTTAAGCCATGTAATCCGTGGCTATTGGTTAAACAGCAAAGGGAAATCAATACAAGCTATGTTCATAATTGTCTACTTTAGACAATGCTGTTCTGAATGTTTTTGTACATGTTACCTGGTACACTTGTGCAGGAGTTGAAGTCATATACCTAGAAATAGAACAGAACTATGTAGTTACATAATACACACATTACTGGATAATGTCAAATTATTTTCCAAAGTAATTTCAATTTATATGTCCACCAGCAGTCATGAGAGTTTTCTTTTGCTTCATATCCTTCCCCAAGCATGGGATTGGCAGGATTTAAGTATTTTCCAGACTAGTGACTATAAAATAATATTTAATTGTTGGTTTTAATTTGCAATTCTCTGAATTATTAATGACGGAGCATTTTTTCATTTTCATGGGTTTTTTTTTTTGCCATTTGCGTTTCTGCTCGTAAGAAATGCTTTTTCAAGGGACTCATTCTTATTGATCCACAGGATTGGTTAATTATTTCCTCACTAATTTGCTGAGTCAGTTTGAATTATATCAGTTTTTCAGATTCCTGAGTCAACATTTGGTTATCTGTTATGTGCCTGTGGTAGAATATTTGTTTATTTCTATGACATATCATACTTTATTACTTATATATCCACTTATCTACCTCTAATGCAGCTTGTATTTATGGTTATTTGGAGCCCTTTGCTCTTCCAGATACATTTTAGAACAATCTTGTCAAATTTTATTTGATAAAATAAAAATACTATTGTAAAATGTTATTTTATTTCAATTATATTGAATCTGTAAGTCAATTTGGGAACAAATGGCATCTATAATGCTGAGAGTGAGTCTTTACTCATGAAAACAATGTCTATATATTTAGTTCTTCTTTAATGTCATTTTTAAGGTTTTATAATTATTTACATAAAAATCTTCCATGCCTTTTGTGAAATGTTGTCCTAGGTACCAAACACATTAATTGCTATTGTATCTGGTATCTTTTTAAAATTTTTATTTTTCTAACATTTATTTTAAGTTTAGGGGTACATGTGCAGGATGTGCAGGTTTGTTTCATAGGAAAACATGTGTCATGGTGGTTTGTTGCATATTTTATTTCATCACTCATGTATCAAGCCTATTATCTATTAGTTATTTTCCCTGGTCCTCTCCCTCCTCCCACCCTCTGCCCTCTGACAGGACCCAGTGTGTGTTGTTCTCCTCTTTGTTTCCATGTGTTCCTCATCATTTGGATCCCACTTGAAAGTGGGCATATGTAGTGCTTGGTTTTCTGTTCTCACATTAGTTTGCTAAGAATAGTGGCCTCCAGCTCCATCCATGTCCCTGCAAAGGACATAATCTCATTATTTTTATGGCTGTATAGTATTCCATGGTGTATATGTACCATAGTTTCTTTTTCCAGCATATCATTGATGGGCATTTGGGTTGATTGCATGTCTTTGCTATTTTCATGTCTTTGCTGCAATGAACATACACATGCATGTGCCTTTATAATAGAATGACTTATACTCCCTTGGGTATATACCCAGTAATGGAATTGCTGGGTCAAATAGTATTTCTGTCTCTAGGTCTTTAAGGAATCGCCACACTGTCTTCCACAATGGTTGAATTAATTTACATTCCCACCAATAGTGTAAAAGCAGTCCTTTTAAACCACTACCTCACCATCATCTGTTATTTTTGGATTTTTTAATAGTAGCCACTCTGACTGGTATGAGATTGGTATCGCATTGTGGTTTTGATTTGCATTTCTCTAAGTATCAGTGATATTGAGCCTTTTTTCCTGATTGTTAGCCACATGTATGTCTCCTTTTGAGAAGTGTCTATTCATGTCCTTTGCCCACTTTTTAATGGGGTTTTTTTTTTCTCATAAATTTGTTTAAGTTCTTTATAGATGCTGGATATTAGACCTTTGTCAGATGCATAGTTTGCAAAAAATTTCTCCCATTCTGTAGGTCTGTTTACTCTATTGATAGTTTCTTTTGCTGTGCAGAAGCTCTTTAGTTTAATTAGATCCCGTTTGTCAATGATTTCTTTTGTTGCAATTGCTTTCGGCATCTTTGTCATGAAATCTTTGCCTGTGCCTATGTCCTGAATGGTATCCTACATTTCCTTCTAGGGTTTTTTTTTTGAGATGGAGTCTCACTCTTTCGTCCAGGCTGGAGTGCAGTGGCGTGATCTCGGCTCACTGCCACCTCCGTCTCCTGGGTTCAAGCAATTCTCCTGCCTTAGCCCCCCCAGTAGCTGGGATTACAGGTGCCTGCCACCATACCCAGATAATTTTTTTGTATTTTTAGTAGAGATGGGGTTTCACCCTGTTGGTCAGGTTAGTCTTGAACTCTGACCTCGAGTGATCCATCCACCTCTGCCTCCCAAAGTTCTGGGATTACAGGCGTGAGCCACCTCGTGCGGCCTCTTCTAGGGTTTTTGTAGTTTGAGGTATTTAAGTCTTTAATCCATCTTGAGTTGATTTTTTTTTTTTTTTTTCCTGAGGGTCTTACTCTGTTGCTCAGGCTGGAGGGCAGTAGCATGATCTCGGCTCACTGTAGCCTCAACATCCTAGGCTCAGATGATTTTCCCACCTCAGCCTCCTAAGTAGCTGGGATTACAGGTTCGTGCAACCACGCCTGGCTAATTTTTGTGTTTTTAGTAGAGACGGGGTTGCCCAGGCTGGTCTCGAACCCCTGGACTCAAGCAATCCACCTGCCTCGGCCTCCCAGAGTGCTGGGATTACAGGCATGAGCCACTGTGCCCAACCTTGATTTGATTCTTTTATACGATGTAAGGAAGGGGTCCAGTTTCAATTTTCTGCATATGGCTAGGCAGTTATATAATATCTTTTTAAATTGCATTTTTCTAATTGTTTGTGGATAACATTTGGAAATAAAATAGACTTTGTGCATTATACCCAGAAAATTCACTGAAATCTCTTTTCAAATCTAGTAATTTTCTGATAGAAAATTTTCTTTGAGACAATCATATCACGGGGAGATCATAAAAATTTAGTTTCATCCTTTCTAATTTTTTCACTTTTGATTACTTTTTCTTGTCCTATTATACTGGCTAGGACCTCTGACCCATGCTGGATAAAAATGTTAGTAGCAAATGCCCTTGTCACTCTCCTGATTTTAAAGAAAATACTTTCAAATGTTTTGTTACCATGATGGTTAATTTTATTTGTCAACTTGGCTGGGACATAGTGTCCAGGTATTTGGTAAAACACTATTTTGGATGTTTCTGTGAGTGTGGTTTTTTTTTTAATGAAATAAACATTTAAATGGGTGGACTCTGGGTACAGCAGATTGCCCTTCATAATGTGAGGGGGTTTCATCCAATCAGTTGAAAGCCTGAATAGAAGAAAAGACTAACTTTGCCCTAGCAAAGAAGAATTCTGCCAGCACATAACCATTAGATTTCAACTGCCACATGGGATGTTCTTCAGATCTTCAGCCCCCCACCCCACCCTGCAGGTTCTGAACTTGCCAACCTGCATAATTGTGTGTACCAGTTCCTTAAATCTCATGTATGGGTGTGTGTGTGCACGTGTGTGAGGGAAACAAACACACACATACACAAACACCCTCATCCTATTTGTCCTGTTTCTTTGGAGAACCCTGACTAATACAATCATTCAAAAGATTTTGTGGTTATTTGTTAAATAAAAATGTTTTATCACTTAAGAAAGTTCTATTCCTATTTTGTTGAGAAATTTTTCTGGTTGGATTTTGTCATGAATGGTCATTAAATTTTGTCATTTTGAAACATCTATTGCAATGATTATAAATCTGTTATACTTTTCTTTTTCAATATCTCAGGATAGTGAATTATACCACATAATAATCTTACATATAAGCAACAAATCCAAGTTGGTCAAGATGTATTATGCCCTTTGTTTTATTATGCAGTACTGGATTCCATTTTTATTGATTTTGAGTGGGAGGTGAAAGATTTGCATTCATGTTCATGAGGGCTTTAATTATAATTTTCATTTATCCTATTGTCCTACCCTGATTTTGATACTAATATTTTATTAACTTCAAAACATGAGTTTCAAAGTACCATCTTTTTCTAGTCTCTGAAAGAATTTTCTTAAATTTACAGTCGTCTAGTCCTTGAATACTTGGTATAACTATGATTTAAAGTAAGTAGGGTAAGAAAAAGGGAATTCAAATTTTCTATATTCTGGAAACATTCATATTTCTTGGAATTATATCTCAATTTCACTACATTTTTCAATACATAGGAACCCATTGCTCTACGATCACCTCTATTATTTTATTCCCTGCATCTTCAAAAATGCACATTTTGCATTCGTAAAGTTACTTATTTGGGACTTTTATTCTTTATATGTCTTGTTAGAGGGTTGTCAGTTTTTATGGTATTTTGAAATGAATAGAAATTGATATTACTGATATTATCTATGTTACATTTGTTTTCTTTTTACTAATTCCTGTTCTTTATTGCTTCCTTTTTTGTTTTTGATTTGCAATGCTTTATTCTGATGATTACTTTTATTTTTGTTTGATTTTTGTTGCTTTTTATTAAGTTGAAATCTTAGCTCATTAATGTTTAGCCTTCCTTCTGT
This sequence comes from Homo sapiens, assembly GCF_000001405.40. Lineage (NCBI taxonomy): Eukaryota > Metazoa > Chordata > Mammalia > Primates > Hominidae > Homo > Homo sapiens. The sequence goes on from NC_000020.11 coordinate 11,664,938, forward strand.
TCTGGTATGGTATAAGCCTTTGAGGCTATGATTTTCCCTGTAAGAATCATTATCTGTGTCACACAAATTTTAACAGATAGTAGTTCTGTTATTATTTAATGCAAATAAATTGCTAAATCTGAACAAAATCCTTTGTTTCTTCTCTTAGTCTATGCCAACATGTGAACGCCCCAAATGGGATTGTTTTATGTTTTCTGTTCTGCTTTTTTTTTTTTTTATGTTGGGCTGTGCTTCTGTTTCAGGGCTTTACCTTTCATATGAGACTAGTGACAGGTCCAAGGGCTACCAGTTCACCAAGGAAATCTTTGATTGGTCTTTTCGCCGTAGGGATAATAGTTCACCTTTTTTCTGTATTCTTTCTAAGCTTAATGATCATGCTAACTTCAGTAGATCCACTTCCCAGCTACCAGTTACCAGACTAAGATAATGCTGATCTTACCTTGACCATTCTACCTCACTTGTTTCCACTATCAGTATCCTTTGATCTGTAAGTCTTCAGATTCTGTCTCCATGCACATAGGTGAACATTATTTTATTCCTGAACTTTCGGTCAAAAGATGGTGTCTTCTGGACAAGGTGGAAATGACCATTGCCGGAGGAAGCAACAGACCCCCTCCCGCCTTGCTGTGTCCGCCTGACAGGGATTTAGCAGGTCCTGTGAGAACATCAAAGGCTGTGGAGAGCTGAAGGAAAGTCACCTCATGCCTTTTAAATCCTTTATCTTTCTTTTCAAACCTGCAATGTGTGAGTATTCATTATATACAACTTGTATTCAAATTTATGCTATTCAAGCAGAAAAAAATGTCTTTCATCAATCTTAAATTCTTTAAATATTTTCTAATCCTCTACATGTAGGTTAGAGTGAGCAGCCATTTGGAAGACTGGAATAATTTCTCCTGATACATGGACTTGGGCAAAGTATTTTTCACTAAAGTAATAAAAATACAATTGTAGAAACATAAACATAAAAAGGGAAAATATTAGGAAGATACAGAGGTTTCTGTGAACTCTGTGGTCTGTTGGGACTGAGGAGAGTCTTGGAAACAAGAGTTAGAAATTAATGTGTTTGAGCTTGAAAGTCACTTTAAATCCCAATTATAAATTCTCAAGAGAGAGGAAATCTATTGAATGTGAGTTGGGATAGATCCCCACTCAGTGTCTAATCAATGATGGCAACAGGGTGAGGACACAGAGTATTGAAAGAACTTTGGAGATCAATTGCTTTATGTGAGGGCCAATGATTCTTAGAGGGAAAAAGGTGGCTCTTCATAAAGAGGAGAATTGGTCCTGCAGTCAAATCTTAATAATTTCTGCCAGACTTTAGAGGGAAAGGAAATAAACTGAAAATGAATAGATATAATATTATTTTATTTTATGGCAGCAAATGGAAAGTTAAGATGTGAATAATCAGTTTGTCTTTAAAGCAAAGAAAAAAGCAACAAACAAGAGTTGATATCAAATCAAATGGAGTAAACACAATACAAATATATAATAAGATAAACACACGCCCTTGGAAACGATAATTAAAGATAAGATTTCTAACACATATGGGGACTATCTCAAATGTAAAGAAATAATGTATGAATATCATAAGCACTTACAAATTTCATAAGGTGAAAAAAACATTATATGTAAGCAAGAGAATTTGGCTGGCCTTTGATTTCTTCTGTGAAATTTAGATACCAAAACTACTCCGAGAAACATCTAAAGGTTTTGAGTAGAAAACCTGAGATTCCCATAATTTAAAATTAACCAAGTTTCCTTTCATGTTCTTAAATCAAAGAAAGATGTTTTCCTCCTTCCAAGTAGGGAGGAAGTGTTCTGCCAACTAAGAGAATCCGTTTCCTCAGTGAATAAAGTTTCCACTCCTCTCCTTACCTGGCAACTCCTTTTTGTTCATCATCCTTCAGAATCAACTCCACGGCAGTTTCTTCCCTGGGTTCTTCCCTGGGTTCTCAAACTAAAGCATGATAGTGTGTTATTGTCTTTTGCAGAACAAAATCTTTTCTTTCATAGCATATTTCAAAGCTTGTATCTGTATTTCTAATGGGTTTCATTGTTAAATATCAGCCTTCCATATTAGGTTATGAGACTCACGAGGACAGGCACTGTTTCTATTTTGTTCACCACTGTACACACCGTGCATAGTGCAGAGTCTGAGAGAACACAGTTACTCAATACATGTGATGGGAAGGGAAGGGAAAAAAGAGAAAGGAGTCATATCCCTTACTTGAATTGGCCGTGGGAAGCCACGTGGGGAAAAAGGACAGGAGCAGTAAAAGGCAGGAGGGTTGATTGCTGGTCCCAGGATCTGATTGGGGTTCCAAGAGGTCCACTATAAAAGGTTTTATTCCCAGAGAGAGATGGAGAGAGGAGTTTATGAAACCATAGAAACAGAAGGAATGAAAGATGACACAAGAATATCTTTCTCTAATCCCCAGTAAAGATCCCTTTCTTTCAGATTATTTTTTACTGAATAAGTACAAATTAGTTCGTGTCCCAAAAAGAAAGGTTACAGTTGATACCATGTCTTTGCATAGGGTGGTCTCCTCAGAGTTAAAAAGGAAAAAAAAAGTTCTTCATACTGTGTCTGTTCTGTTTAACTTCAACCTTAGCAGGAAAATGATCTGTAGCAAACAACAGCATCCTGAAAGTACTAAATTATCTCCAGCTTTCTTTTTTGTTGTTTTTTTTTGTTTGTTTTTTTGAGACAGAGTCTCGTTCTGTCGCCCAGGCTGGAGTGCAGTGGTGCGATCTCGGCTCACTGCAAGCTCCGCCTCCTGCGTTCATGCCATTCTCCTGCCTCAGCCTCCCAAGTAGCTGGGACTACAGGCGCCTGCCACCATGCCCGGCTAATTTTTTTTTTGTATTTTTAGTAGAGACGGGGTTTCACCATGTTAGCCAGGATGGTCTCGATCTCCTGACCTTGTGATCCACCCGCCTCAGCCTCCCAAAGTGCTGGGATTACAGGTGTGAGCCACTGCGTCCGGCCTCCAGCTTTCTTTTTAATTGGGGAGCTCTCCTTACCCATGTGAGCAGTTCCGGGCTTTGCCCTTCACACCACATTTCCTCTGGCTATTAAGGACCTCATTGTTGAGGTCAACCATAGTATAGATGTGCTTATAAGAGTCACAGAATATTGACATTGAGGAGGGGGTTTGTTCATACCAGGCCATTCAGAACTGGTTGGGCAAAGTCCCAAGGCATGAGCGGCATCCTGCTACTAAGACTTCCTTAGGGGCTGTGCTGACACTTGTTGTGGGCCTTCCAGTACCCACAGTGAGAGATGAGCAACTACTCTTGCTCTTCCACCTGGGGAACATGCAGTGTTCACTCAAGATGGTGGTTCAGTTTCCATGCAACTCTCAGCACTGGATACTAATAGGGCATGGCTCTCTCTCAGGGTGCATTACTTGTACTTTTTGTGGTTCCGTTGGGTCAGTACTCTTACCCCAACCTCCTATAAACCCATATGTAACTCACCTTACCCAGGTGAGGCTCCTCTAGCTTGGCTCTTCCTGGGATTTTGCTTCTTCAGAACTTAAAAATCTTCATCATTCCCTTGCAAATTCCAGAACAGCATAATTATAAACTCAGCATTTATAATTCCTACTAAAGTACTGAATATTTTAACACTTGCTAATTTTTTACCCATGAATATTATATGTAGAATGTAAAAAAAAAAAAGAAAAACAGAACAAGGAAAGTCGATCTATAAGAAATTGTATTACCAATCAGCGATCATAGGTCAATGTTTTAATTTTTGTTGTTTAAATTATATATATGTATTCTTATTTTTGTCAGCTTAATTCATCCAGTTTGGATAGAGTTTTCTTAAAGTCATCAGTTTCCGTATTTGTTAGTTTTTCCTTAAAATTCTGTAGATTTTACTTTTGTTAGCCTCAAGCCTATGTTGTAGAGTGCTTACAAGTTCAGAATTGGCATGGTTTCTCATTAGCTTGTTTTATTTTTTTTTCCATTACAGGGTGTCCCTTTTTATTCTACTAATGTTGTTTTAAATTTTATTTTGCCAGACATCACTTTTCTTACACTGATTTTTTTACTTAGTATTGGTTTTGTTTTTCATGCTTTTATTTTAAATCTTTCTATGTGGTGTTTTTTTTTTTTAGGTGTTTGTTTCTTTGTCTTTATCTTATGGAAGCAGCCTATTTCAAATTCAATTTTATAAACTGTAATTGTTAATAGGTGAGTTTAATTCATTAACATTTTCTGTGAGTCTAGTGGGGTTTATGTCTGTCACCTTATTGTTTTTGTGAGATGATCATGCTTTTTCTTTATTGCTGTATTTTCTTTCCCTGCTTTCTTTTTGGTTGGTAAAATTTCCTATTTTCTTTGCTTTATTTGCTTTGCAATAAATTGTTTTGCTTATTTGTTTGATTTTTGATTTCACAGCTGCCTCCTCTGGGGAGATCCTAACCTGGAGCTAGGTCCTCTTACAAGTAGCCATGTTGGGAACATGGCAGTTCCGGGCTCAGATCAGTGGCCAAAGCTCCTGATCATCCAGGTGTGTCTATGTGTCTCAGTTGCCACCCCTCTCAAGTTTCCACTCTCTAGGAACTCTATCCCCAAGAAAGAATGGGCAGAATAATTTCCCCTACATGTGCTAAGTGAGAATGTTCACCCCAGCCCCTAACATCTTCTGCAGAACACTATTGGTCCTCTGCCTGGAGCAACCCAAACCCTGGAGCTACTGCCTACTTCATATTCAAAGTGCAGCAAAGTCTTACCTTCTGCTGTGTTCCCCATTTTGTTTTTCTATTCTGTTCCTCAACTGTGGAAATGATCATCTTTTATTGATTCCAGCCATGTCTCTTTTTATGTATATTTTTCCCTCTTGCTACATGATTGGAGCAGAAATGCCATCTTGACCTGAAACCTCTGTGTTCTCCTTCTAATTCTATGATTATGGCCTAACCACTGCCCTGTCTCTCTCAAGCCAGCCCTTTTGATTCTCAAAAGACTGTTTTGGAAGTCAGAAACCTGAACATTGACTGTTTCTTCTTTTCATTTTCTCTCTAATTATGTTCTTATCCTCAAAGCAATGTAGATTCCTCTAACTGAGAAGGGGAAAGATCACAACAGAAAGGAAACAATAAAAAGCAAATGTTCAAAAATTACTATTTTGAGACGTTTTCTCTGCATGTCCTTAATGAGGTATATGCTTCAAAGCCCAGGTTAACCCATTTATGTGTTCATGGATTTAAACATAGACTACCCTAGAAGCAACTACTGACACTGAATTAACGTGGCTTATTGACTTCTCCTAGCACCTTCTACTCCCTCTGCTGTGTCAGTCCAGAAAATTTAAAAAGATAAAGAGGATAATGGGACATTCTGTAGGCCCTGCTGCCTGTGGGAAGGGAGGAGCAGGGAGGAAGAAAGTTTGCCATAATGGGAAAAGGAAGAGATGACAGAAGCAGATCTATCCCATGGCGACTATGAACACAGGACTCCTTGTTGTCTGGGGTTAGATAAAGAGATGACACCTGAGTAACAAAATATGACACCTTCAAATAGGTGAGGAGAGTAAATGGCTTTGAAAAACTTCCTGACACTTTAAAATACACACCTGCTGAATTGCTACTGTGCTCACATCCAAGACCTACTCACTTTTTATTCTCTTTGGGCTGACTCCCATGAAATCCTTTTCTCTCCTAGAACATGCTGAATGCTCAGATGAACAAGATTCTTCATGGACTTTAATGTCTGTGAAATGAGTCATACACGATATGGTACCCATGGATGATATAGGCCCATGGATTACTGAATAACTGTAGGCTTGGCTAAAAAAAATTCTACCTCAATATATATTTTTAAAAGTAAGGATGCTGGAACTAAAGATAAGAAAAATTAAAGCAAAGCATAAGCAAAACTATTCTACTTTTTAAAATCATGTTTGGTGCTTGAGGTGATGTTCAATTTTTTGCATCAGCTCAGCTGGACTACACTCTCCAGTCATTCAATCAAACACTAATCTAGGTATTACTATGAAGGTACATTGAAGATGAGACTAACACCTACAACCAGCTAACTGTAAGTAAAGATTAAAGATTATCTTCAGTGGTATGGGTGAGCCTCACCCAATCAGCTCCAAGGCCTTAAGAGCAGAACTGATGTTTCCCTGAGAAAGAAAAAAATTTCCCTGTTATCTGCAGCTTCAGTTTATACCCAAGAATTCCCACCTGCCCTTCCTGATGGACACCTTGGATTTCAGAGTTGCCCAGCCAGCCCTCACAATTATGTGGGCCAACACCCTGCAATAAATCTTCTGATATATGCATGTGTGTGTTTATGTGTGTGTGTGTGTGTGTGTATCCTGCTAGTTCTGTTTCTTTGTGGAATGCTGACAGATACAAATTTTCATACTAGAAGTGGTTCAAGACAAACAAAACATTAAGAGTGAGCTTCTAAATTGACTCCGAGTTTTTTGGAATTGGTTCTTTAGTTTGATTTGATTCAAAGGCACTAGTGACTATTTCCAGTGGTAAAGAGGGCATTGATAATCCATGACATGATGTCACAATAAAGATTTGCAAAATATCACCACTGGACACTCCTTATCAAATACCCATAAAAGTCAAGATTCTGGACAACTATCTATTTAATACTACAAAACATTTCAATCAAACTAAGGAGTATAATGGGATTGGCTAGTTGTTCTTAACTGCACTGGAGGAAATATAAAAAAGGAAATAATGCACCCAGGACTTCAAATTCCAAGCTCAAATGGTGTATAAGTTACTTGGGATGTTCTACATCTGTTGTGAAAGAAACCTTTATCTCTTATAGCTGCAAAGTTGAGATTTCTGAAAACTAAACCCAGAGTCTCATTCTGAGAATGATTAAATTATAATTCAAATTGAATTTCAGCCTTACAGGTGTCTTCTGTTCAAATGAGGGCATTGACTGAGAAGAAACAGGATTCCGAAAATTGGAATAGAGACATACGGGAAGATCTTAGGGAAGCTGGGGACACTGAGCTCCTAAATTCTGCTGAGTGTTCTTTACCAGCAGAAGAGAGCATTCTATCACTAAGGAGGTTAACCTTGCTTTGCCTGCAGAAGTCATAATAACCTCTCCTGAAATAGTTGCCTTGAAAGACACTGTTGATCTCCCTCAGGACTCACCCCCACCATTCTTCTTTGTATCTAGACCTGTAACTAGACTCAAATCCCAGCAGGTCCCAGAAGATGAGATACAAAGTGTGACTCAAGATAAAGTACACTATACATTGAGAAAACAGCATAATTTTCCCAAATTACACACACAGAAATTTGGGTTATATGTTTGTGAATGGATGTTAAAGGTGTTTAATAATAGTGGAAGGAATGTAAAGTTAAGTCAGGCTGGATTTATTGATATTGATCCACTAAGCAGAGATTCTGCTAGTTGATCATCACATCCCTAGGAAAAAAAACAGATGAAAATCCACTAAATTCTTTCTTGCTTTGTATAAGTGGAAGAGTTATAGGTTTACTAAACAGAAGTCTAATTTGAAACATGAAAACAGAATCACATTAATTGATTCCAAGATTTGAGCCAATTTATAAACCCACAGCACCTTGAATGAAGGAGAGGCCCCTATCCTCTTCAGGAAAGACTCTACTCCACTGCCAAAAATCTGTGCATTTCTACTAAAATAGACACTTATGCTAGATAGGAATTGGCTTTCCCTAAACACAGTATTTCTGCGAAAACCATGGACTCATAGAGCGGCTTATTCATCACCATGATATTCCATATAACATGCTTCTGATCAAGGAACTCACTTCACAGTAAATGAAGTATGCAGCAAATGGCTCAGGCTCATGAAATTCACCATATTCCCTGTAATCCTCAAGCAGCTGGCATGGATGAACAGTAAAATAGTCCCTTTAAGATTCAGATAGAGTCTTATCTACTGGCTGTATTTTGCAGGGCTGGACCAGTGTCTCAGTCAGCATCCAATATATGGTGCCAGTTCTCCTATAGCCAGGATTCACAGGCCCAGGGATCAAGGAGTAAAATGGGAGTAACATGACCCCCTTTACTACCGCTATTACTACTAGTGGCACACTAGCAAAATTTTTCCCTTCTATCCCCATGACTTTATGCTCTGCTGGTTTAGAAGTCTTAGTTCCAAAGAGTGGAACTCTTCTGCTAAGAGACACAACAATGATTCTATTGAAGCAGAAGTCAAGACGATCACGTGGCCACTTTGGACTCCGCATGCGTCTGAATCAACAAGCTAAGAAGAATGTTGCTTGCTGACTTGGCTGATTAATCTTGATTACCAAGGACACTGGATTTCTATAATACAAGGATAGTAAGAAAGCGTATGTCTGGAATACAGAAGACCATTCGGTGTGTGTCTTAGTACTACCATGCCCTGAGACAAGAGTCAATAGAAAACTATGGCATCCCCATTAAAGCGGGACTGCTAATGACCCATACCCTTCAGAAATAAAGATTTGCATCACTTCGCCAGGCAAAGAACCCGACTAGCTGAGGTGCTTGCTGAGGGAAAAGGGAATATGGTAGTGAGAAAATGTACTTAAAATATTAGCTATGTGACTGAAACCATGTGACCAATTGCAGAAAGTACGACTTTCATAGTTTTATTTCTTCCTATTTTGTTATGTAAATGTCTGTGTGTATGTATATCTCTGGCAATTATTATTGCTTTTTCCCTTTCTTACCCCTTATCATATAACATAAGATGTGTGAGTGACAGCCAACTCTACATCACTATATTTAAGTTACAGGAAATCAAGGAAAAGAATGAACATTACCCAGGGACTTTGTATCTTATTCTAGAGAAAGAGTTAGAGTATTTTCAGTTTCATGCAGGATAGTTGCATTATGTTAGATGGAAGCATGTCTTTGTTGTTGTCTTCAAAATATTAAATATGATCTAAAGAGATGTGTATAGACACCAAGTTGACAAGGGATGGGCTGTGATGGTCAGTTTTATGTGCTAACTTAGCTAGGTTATAGTCCCCAGTTATTCAAACAAACACTAACCTGGCTTTACCTGACTAATACACATGGGCAGAGAAAAAAGAAAACCAAGTACCCAAACTTTTCACTTTCCCTTCTATAAAAGCGTTAGTTTTCCAAAAGAAGGGTAATATACAATACTGATTAGTAGTAGGCGCTTCATACATAGTGCCTTATATAATCTTCACTGTGACCTATGAGGATGAGTAATCAGAACAAGAGGGTGAAACCTAACTTGAAGTCTTTCAAGTAATAAGTTCAAGGTCAGGATTTAAACTCAAGTTTTCCAACTCCAAAACGCAACCTTTTTCCACAGAGATCATGGACTCCCCCACTATAACTGTAGATTCCATCAATATTTGGCCAGAAGGTGTGATTCTATGCAGACTGCCCTAACCTTGGGTTCCAGTCTTGTCTTTTATGATTCCATATCTTATTTATAGCAAATAAAATTGTTTTCTATACCAAGTACTTTTTCAGTAGTGATAGATTTTTATTTTAATTTCTTTATTTATTTTAAAAATAAAACTCTTGCTGCAGGGAGCTGGCATCATTTAAGGACAAAAAAGAATCGAAGCCAAAGCCCAGCCACCCTTTCATTCCTTAGTTGTATAATTGAGCAAATCACTTGAGTCCACTGAGCCTCCATTTTATTCCTAAATTATTTTTTTAAATTAAAAATAATGAAAAAAATAGTAATCTTTAAATTGTTCACAAGATTTTTACAAGAAGTTTTTGAGATACCATAATTGAAGCTAGTGCATAAATTTAAGAATTGAGTTTAATATTTATGTTTTCTACTGACATACTATAAACTGCTTGATGGTGAGTTCTGTATCTGTCTCATTTTATGCAAAACAGTGGCACAATGAGTATGGGTTGATTTGGAGGAATAGTAGGGGTTGACTTGGATCAATATTAGGTTATAAACTATATAAAGGTGGTGGTTATGTGTGGTTTTCATACTGATGTATCTCCACTATCCACTATTAGTTTGGCACACAATAAAAATGAATGGCCATTGAAATGACATAATTACGCAGTAGATTAATTTCCAGGGCTTTTCAGTGATGGATGCTGGGAAGGTAACTTTGCTATTTTGTCTACAACTTCCCATTTCTTCACTGTCCCTCTCAAGCTTCCGCATTTGTGTTCATCATTAAATGTGTGTCCCTTCCTTACTGCCCATCTTTTCCTTCCTCCTCCTCCTCAGAGTGTGCCATCAGAAGTTACCATAGTCACAAGACTATTGGTTATAAAAGTTTGAAATCCCTGTTGACTCTGCTCTCCTTCCCATCCCCAGAGAATTCAGATATTAAGATCTATTCATTTTCTATCATCTAGGAGATGTGAAGATGACTTGCTGAGAAAGCGATACATATTTCACATTACTGCCATGTCAATTAAGTATCCATAACAAAATCCCATTACATACTTGCAAAATGAGTGGATGAGAGCCTTTGATTTTTTAAGTCTCAGTTCTTTGCCTACTAAATTAATTTTTACTAGAAAATATTCAAAAAGGTCTAAAACAGTAAGGTTAACTTGTAGTCCGGCACTTTTCTGATAACATTATCGTAAGAGGTATACAAGGACTTAGGCACTTTATCACTAGTAATTTTCAGTCACCTCTATTCATGTCTGCTCTTTTCCAGTGCCTTCCACCTTACAGCTTGGTCTCTTGGGCAGCAAGGGATTGAGATAGAGCTATTCAGTGCATGGTATCCATGCCATGTTCCCCAGAACTCTTTTGCTGCCAACCCGTCTACTTTGGCCAAGATGGGAAGGAAGGGGAGGGGAGAGGAGAGAGAAATATTTAACTTTTATGAATAATGAATAAGTTCATTCAGTATTTAGTGGTAGAAGAAGAGATTTCCATAAAACTCTAAAATGCTAAGACATGAATTACTCATCCTAATATTCAAGCATTCAATATGCTTCTATGTTAAACTAATCATTTTGAAAAGGAGGAAGCAGGAAACAATGAGACTTTGTATCAAATTAATTTGGGAATGGTGGTTCTTTTCCTTTCCTATTTTCTTAATATAAATACCCCATGACTCCTGGAATAGTTGGATAAGATCCCCCTCCCCATCAATAATTGCCTAATGAGGTGTGGAGCGCTCTTCTCTCTCTCTCTCTCTCTGCCAAGGACTCTTGGATAACAACGTCGGGTAGAGAATCACTGGCCCGGATGACTTGGTTCCTGGGAAAGAATCCAGGCTGTTGAGGCACTCGTGGAAACAAAAAGAATGAAACATGAGCCTAAGAAATTTAGGTTTCACTCTGGAGAAAAATCTGAGAATGGTTCTAGGAGCTTTTCACCATTGAGTCTCTAGGTTTGCCAAACAGAAGCTATGGGGTCCTCTTCTCTTGTACTAACAAGCTAGACCCCAAGCAGTGAAACTGCTGCTATAGAACAAAGGAGATCTCCAAACCCATTCTGTTCTAAATCCATAATCCTGATGGCTGAAGGCACCGAAGCTAGAAGCAGTGTCTTGTGGCTTAAACTTCAGGCGCTTGTCCCTGGACCCAGGACGCTTCCAGCAACGCTGCCGGCTTGCCGAGGCTCATGGCAATCAGATCCTCTTTCTGAATCTGAGTTTTCTCACCTATAAAAAGTAAGTAGTACCAGATACATAAATTATAGACCGTTACTATATGAAGCCTCTAATATTGGCCAAAGAAACGCCTGAGGAATTATTTTTTCCCAGCATATTTTCTTTATCTGGGAGTGGAGTGGGTTGGAATGGAGGCTAGGAGTACCAGGATATTCCTCTGCCTGACTCCAGGGGGCAGCAGCTACTTGGGTAAAGGGAGGTCAATGACCCATCCAAGGGTTGGGTGACCTTAGTTCTTAAACCCTGAGGTAAAGAGACAGATCCAACAAAATGGACTTTTTAAAAGAAACATAAAATCCTCAGAAGTCATGCCCCACTTCTAAAGAAACTATGGCTCCCGGGAGATCCTCAGAACATGAAAATCATTGGTGAAAGGATAGTATTTCTCCTGAAGGGTTTTCCTTAGATTTTCCTGGATAGGTTTTTGGTGAGAGCAGATTTATTTTTAACAAATGCACACACATGGCATCCTCTTTCTTGATGACAAGGATTTTTTATTTTTTCCAAAATGTGCCTGGCAGGCCCTGGAGCCAGAGAAACAAGACTGGGAAGCCTGATGTTACACAATGCATTGCAAGTGATAGCCGAAACTGGTCTGGTTTCCAGACACCTCCTGATTCAACAGGGATGTGTTGCATTAGCACTCAGAGTTTCTAACATAGTAGCAAATCTACATCTTTACTCTATTTTTCCATCTCATTAGTAGGAAGGAAGGAAGGTAACTTAATAGAGGAGGACGCAGAGAATTCTAACAGAATTGCCAGCTCTTTTTTTTTTTTTTTTTTTTTTTTCTGTGTGGCTTTAAGCCTGGTGCTTGCAGCAGAAGAAACCCTTGAAATTCTTGAAGCTAGGAAGCTAAGGTTTCTGAAGGAATGAATTTGCACTGCACACATAATCTATAATTTATTAGCCTGCTTCAATGGTCATTATTGAGATTTGATTGTAATGCTTAGTGGCGTTAACATCCCTTCCACATCTCCCTAACAACATTTATGGTCAGTAATAATATTGGTTCAGTGCTTGAGCTGTGCTCTGAAGAATGAATCTGCTAGAGCTCATCTTGCCTCATTACTTCTAACAAGGCTCCTGTAGTCATGTCAAACTCCGGTGACATGCCAGACAGAACGACATCTTTTAAATATTATCTCTGACATACTTCATTTGAAATGCTAGCCTTTCAATTAGTGCTATGCACCAGGAAGTGACAGATTCTGGAGGAAGCATTGCTTCTCTAGATGATCATAATGAGAGTAGGGTGTCACAACAGTGTGGTGGAACCAGAGAAGATTCCCATGAACAAGTCCATGAAAGTCTCTTTGAACTTGTTTCCCCACCCCCGGTGGACATTGTTGGTGCTCTATTTGGATGTCCTCATATCCCTCTTATTGGGACTGTGCACCCGTTCCCCCAGTTTCCACTTGCTTTGCTACTAATGGCTGCCTTCTGCTCCCATGGACACTGCACCTGCACAGAGCCTGACTCTCACAGGCACCCACAGCTAGTGACTGACTGGTGCAGAAGTACAAAAGCTTGGCTCCTCTGCTTTAAGGCTGGGCAAACTCTGGGGTGTAATTTATGCTCCAGAGCCTCCAGCAGAAGCAAGCTGAGTTTGGGGATTCACTTGAAATCACACTTTCGCTTGGCTTCCTCCCCCTCTTTTTCCTGCTTCCCACAATCCCTTATTGGCCTTTCCAGGGGATCCTTCCTTAATAAATCATTTGCCAGGAAGGTTTGGCTCAGGGTCCATTTTGGGGAGAAGATGATATCAGATGCATCAGGCAGGATCTTGAATCTCCAGCTGTGTGCAAGCCTTGTAACCATTCTGCTTCTGAATTTGCTCCCCTGCAGTGGGAACATCTCCTAGCAGCACGAACTGTATATACTCCCAAAATACCCATCTCCCTCCTTCACCTCCACTCAAGGTATGAGCTGTTCCAGCAGCTTGGGCCTTTTATGCAAGACAGCCTAAAGGGAATCAACACTTTTTTTTTTTTTTTTTAAGAAAATGGGTCTGGCTCTGTCACCCAGGCTGGAGTGCAGTGAGCTCACAATTCTTCAAACTCCTAAGCTCAAGCCTCTGCCTCCTGTGTAGCTGGGACTACAGGCATGCACCACCAAGCTTTCAACACATTTTTAATTGCTTACTATTGTCATTAGTATTTGTATTTCCATCGTATCTTCTCACCAACCACTTCACATGTTTATTAGTAGATCCACTTTACAGTTAAAGAAACTGAAGTTCAGAAAGCTTATGAAAACTGAACAAATCCCACACCCAAAAGATGTGTGGCTTTTAACCCAGGCTTTCAACTCCAAATCCACTGAGTTTTTCACATATTGTACTACAGTGGCCCCACTGGCAGCCAGGCCATGATGTTCCCAATTAAATATAAGTAATGTTTAGATCAGGTCACATCATGATCATGTTTGCAATATGACAGAGACAAGTTACTCCACAACCACAATGACTAGACACCCTCTTTTGACTAATGTGAATAACTAGTGGGTTTTTTGTTTTTGTTTTTTTGCCAATGACAACCTTAGCTTCACTTTAATTTTTCTGCCCCCTAGATGAAATTTGCTCTAATTTCTTGACAGCATCTAATCTAGAGCAAGCCCCTGCTTTATTAATTTCTCCTTAAATTCATCCAAAGCCCTAACTCCGTCAGAAGCCTTCCTTCAATTTCCCTTATGAGATTCTCCAAGGCTTCCTCTGGGTTCTATTCTCCCTTTGCTGCAGCAAACTAATAAACCTAACTTTGTTGACTTCAGGTGTGACCCTGATGGTTTCATCATCCAGGTTTCATCAACCCCTCAAGTTGTTTTCCAAAATAATTTTGCATAAGATCAACTATGCTGTTGACTAGCACCATGTTTTATGCAATGTCAGCCCCTATTCATTGTAAAATGTAAATGTACTGATAAAACCTTTAAAAAAACAGACTGCCAGTTAAACTACGCCAAAATACCTTTATGTTAGTCCTGAGCAATGCACAAATCAGTCACATCGGCTTATCAGTTTATTTATTTTTACATATTTCAGAGGATGTGACTGTTTCTCCTGAGTTCAATTGTACTCGTTGGCATAGGATAGATAATGTTTTTGCTTGTGCCTTGATAACAAAACCTAACTGCTTTACCTGTGAGTAGCTTCCTTTCTTATTAACATAAAGCACTTGGTGTAGCTTTGCAAGATAATGTGGAATTGCATTCATTCCTCCAACATCAAACATATGCTTCATTAATATCAAATTAATATCCCAAAGCCTTATCCTTCTGCATTTCTGCCTTTGAGATATTTTAAGGCTAAATTATTGATGGCAATTAAACAGAACCCAGATAGTAACAACATTGCACATAAAACAAATGAAGTGGTAACCAAGTTTTTATAAGCACAGGTAATGCTGCTAGGTTCTGACTTTCACCTGATGCAAAGGGATAGTAAAGGGCAACATCCCATCCTGATTTTGCCAATAGTAAATTGTGGAAAAACATTCACCTTAGTATCAATGAAATATGTGAATGTGGCTGCAATTAGTTATTTGAAATAGAATTTTTCTTCATATTACTTTACAAGTATAAAATAGAATAAACTTAGTAAAGGAGCAGAAACAAATAAAAATGGAATTAACCTTTCTCCCAGCTAAAGGAAACATGAAAACACATTGTTTTTCTTCTTTTGGAAAAAGAAAAAAAATGCATTTACATTTAGAGAGACAAAATATTTCTAGGACCTACATCTAAATAGTAATGTTAGTAATACTCTCTACTGCTTTTCAATGCATATTTAATTATGTTACCTGAAAAAATATATACTCCAAATAAATGATCTAATTCCGGTATTCCATGTACATGGATAGGCGAGGAAGGGAAATAGTCCATGTACATAGATAGGTGAGGAAGGGAGACAGTAGGTTTGGATGGAATAGAGCTTCCTTTGATTCCATCCCATGCCAGGAGTCAACTGCTTATAAGACGTTGTCCACCCTCATCCCAGCCCTAGTGACTCCTTCATTGTACCCAATACTGGGTGCCTAGTAATTACTTCTAAATGATGAAATCTTAGCATATGTGGGAGTAGGAATTGGTGCCCCACCCAAAACCTCTTTAATGGGCCATTTTACCCATCCCTCAGCTACCATATTGATTGTTACTGGCTCAGAGTTGTCCCCTACTTTAATTGACCTTGGACAACAGAAGTCACTTCACTTGTGGGCAGATAGGGAGGGAGGTAAGTCGGTAAGCAGGGTATTTATCCACTCCCTGGGAATGGTCTGCAGCTCATGATTTCAGCCCCTGACATTAGGTACAAATTGGCTATCCTTGACCTCAAGGTGGGAATTACTCGGTGGTACAATTCATACTCCAGAAATCTCCCTGAGATCAGGCGTGAAGTTAGGCTAACCTACTTACTTAACCCATTTTCCTGCCTCACCCTACTGAATTCACATCCCTTGCCCATGTTTCCACTTAAGAGAACCCCACTCTTACCCTCATCTCAATAAATCACCTGCATGAGAATCCTCACCTCCAGCTCCAGGATCAAAGAAACTTAAACCAAGGAAGCTCTATCCCAAGGGTCTTTGCATTTTTATATTGAACCTGTTCCTTTCTCTGTCTCTCCATATGCAGTCAGCTCTACTCGTAGAATCTAGATCAGAAAGACAAACCTGGCTTTGCCTTCGCTAAGTTACTTTTTCATCTGCTACCACTCCTGTCTCATGAAGGGAAGAGAAAGAAAACTTCAAGCTGCATCCTCTACCAACCACCCCAAAGAAAAGAAATAAAGAGATAGAGACTTCTCAGCCATTGCCCAGAGATAATTTCAGAGCTTACAGAGAAAACCTTAAGGAAAATCGTTTTTGAAGCCCTGGACATTTGTCCATCCCTTTAGTAGGGGTCATTCTCATGAATGTGGTTTTAAAAGGTTTTTTTTGGATTCCATCATCTCTCCATCTATTATCGTCCTTTGTCCTGGGCCAGCTGTGCTGTGATTGGCAGATTTACCCGTGCAAAATTCAGTTCCCTTTACAACTCTTTCCCTTTTCACCATGCTTATTTTTTCTAAATTCCTTCTTTTTCCACGCTCATCCATGAGATGGATGGTTGCTTTTTATCTGGGCAGTTCTTCTGAAAACAAAGCCTTCAAAGGATGTGAATCAAAATGTCTCTATGTTGGAGAAAAAATAAAAAAGAAATATCCTTTTGAATCAAAGACCTAAAAATTTCTTGGTAATATTTTTTAAATTTATGCTAATTTCTTCCCTCCCCCATACTTTATTTCCATCACAAAAATATTTTTTTTTTGCTGATGATTTAATTATCATTGTATCACAGTCCCTTAATAGATAGATGTTCTCCTTAAATTACTGTTTAATTCCTTAAGGTTTTACTCTTTAAATTCTTCCATTCTGTTCCTTTCACATAGTTTATGTAAGCATGTTTATCTTTTTCTTATATTCAGTTCCTGATTTATAGTTCTCAAACTCTTTTAGAAAACTTATATAAAATATAAATATAAAAAATAAAAGATTAGAAAAAATTATCTAAAACCCACTGTTTTATGGAGTTTCCTTTGATCCCACTAGTCTGTCTTCTTTTTGATTTTATAAAGGACAGAGATTTTGGTAAGCTCTTAAAGTCCTAAATAAACAGAAGGGTGATCAATTAGTAAGTCAAAATGAAATGATTGTCCCTGAACCCAGATTTGTTTGCACTGGGAATCATAGCCTCTTTCCAGTCTTCCTGCCGTGTTTCTATGCCATTTGACTCCTCTTGCTTTCTCGCATATTCCCAATGTGTCAAAAGGGCACTAGGTGAGTCAAACAGGAGTCAATCAAGAATCAAACATTTTCTGTAAAAGGCCACACAGTAAGAATTTTAGGTTTTGCTAGTCGTGTGGTCTCTGTCATGCTGCTCAATCCTGTGTTGGGGTATAAAAGCAGCTATAGACAATATGTAAACAAATGGGGCTGTTTGTATTCCAATAAAACTTTATTTACAAAAGTAGGCCATAGGTTGGATTTAGACAATGGGCCATAGTTTGCTGACTCTTGAGTTAAAGATAAGAGGACTCTGATATCTAAAGATACATATATTTGGGCTGCTATAGTTATGAATAGAGATCTTAGAGGTACAAAGAGACAGAAATGCAAAAGAAAGGTCTCAAAATTTATCCATTAATTTAATATTATTGTTTAAGGGAATTCTCTAAATGGAAGTAATTTTGTCTTTGTATATTTTCTTTTCTGTGGTCTGTTAATATTTGAGGCAAGATTTCTGTTTTAAAGAAAACATTTGGTACATTCATACTAAGGCAAGAATGGCTAATTAATTTATTATCTTTCCCAAAGTCATTTGCAATTTAACAGAGGCTAAGCCTGCTTTCTATAATCTAGGTCAGTGAATGGGGAGGGAACTAATATTTGTTTGGCACTTACTAGGTTCCAGTTCCTGAATGTCAATCATGTCTTTTTTTTTTTCTTTTTTTTTTTTGAGACGGAGTCTTGCTCTGTCATGCATGCTGGAGTGCAGTGGCACCATCTCGGCTCACTGCAACCTCTGCGTCTCGGATTCCAGCAATTCTCCTGCCTCAGCCCCACCGAGTAGCTGGGACTTACAGGCGTGCGCCACCACACCTGTCTAATTTTTTTGTATTTTTAGTAGAGATGAGGCTTCACCATGTTAGCCAGGCTGGTCTCGAACTCATGACCTCAGGCAATCTGCCCGCCTCGGCCTCCCAAATTGCTGGGATTACAGGCGTGAGCCACTGCACCCAGCCCATGTCATCTTTTTATTCCTCTCAGTAACCCTGTGAGATACAAAATACTATGATGTCAACTTCAAAGATATGGAAACTGAGACTTAGAGTAATTGAGTAACTTGGTCAGAAACAACTAGCTGAAAAGTTGCAGAACTGAAGCTCAATCCTAATACTCTCTTTTTCCAAAATCTGTTCCATACCCTTCAATGGTCCTACCTTATTTTGCAGTGGATCCAAAAGACCCTGAGGTCCCAGTCTCCTTGGAGAATCTGCTGCAAGCTACAGGTTAAAAAAAAAAAATCCTATGAGTTTTGTACACAATTTCAGGAGCTTCACTGAAGTGTGCATGAAATATCAAAGGCTACACAAATCCCTCCAGGTCCCATTTCCAGAGATATATTTCTCCTGAGCATTTCTTTAGAAGCTTGGAATCACATCACATGCCAGCTGCCTATGGACCCTTAGACTCAGCACTTCATTCCAGGTGGCCTTGAGATGCCAGATCAGCCCTGCAGTTATGTTCAATGGAGAAAAGGAGAATGATAGAGGGCAAATCACTTTTAAAAATTAGCTTTTTTGAATGTTTTTGCATTTATTGTGCATTTCCCATGTGCCAGGCAGTGGTTTCAAGTTTTAGATGCATGCCCAGGAGGTAGATATATGATTATCCCAGTTTATGGAGGAGGGTATTTTTTTAGTCTGTTCTCATGCTGCAATAAAGAAATGCCTGAGACTGGCGAAACTGGGTAATTTATAAAGAAAAGAGGTTAAATTGACTCACAGTTCTGCATGGCTGGAGAGGCGTCAGGAAACTTACAATCATGGTGGAAGATGAAGCGAAAGCAGGCACCTTCCTCACAAGGCGAAAGGAGAGAGAGTGAGTGCAAGCAGAGGAAATGCCAGATGCTTATAAAACCATCAGATCTCCTGAGAACTCACTCACCATCACGAGAACAGCATGGGGGAAACCGTCCCCATGATCCAATCATTTCCCACTGGGTCCTTCCTATGACACATGGGGATTATGGGGATTACAATTCAAGATGAGATTTGGGTGGGGACACAGTCAAACCATATCAGATATTATGATACATTACAGAGGCAAGATAACTTGCCTTAAATCACACCCCTGGCAAAGAAAAGACCCAAACCAGGGAAGTTTATTCTCTAGGGCATCAGTTCTTATCCACCTTTACTGCCAGCAAGCCTTCCATAGACCTGTATGTGAAGACAGGTCTCTGTGTCCTACATAGAAACAACTGGAAACCTCTGTGTTGAATATTTATACCTTAAAGCTCCTGGTATTTGTGCTATATACATTGTCGTCATTAAAAATGTGAAGGTAAATATTTATAAACAGCTGTTAAGGAAACTAGACTTCTGGGGAGAAATATTAAACTCAAATTGCTGCTTAGAGGTTTTCTTTTAAAAATATGAATATGCAGACTGACTCTAAATATAAACCTTTTTCCTATTGTAATTCTACCTTTCATAGCCCAGCTAAAAATCTGCTAGAATTCAGCAATAGGTCCCCAGGAAAATGACTGCTTTGAAAATGTTTGGCTGAAATCAGATACTACTTCTCACCTACTACAATGGCTAAAGCAAACAAGACTAGCAATACCAATACTGTAATTGGAGGAGATGTGGAGCAGCTGGAACTCTCAAATACTGCTGTGATGGAATGATAAATGGTGCAAACCTTTTGCTAAATTGTTTGGCAGTTCCCAATAATGTTAAATTCGTTCACCTACCCTATGACCCATCAATTTCACTCCCAGGTATTTATCCAAGAGAACTGAAAAGATACATCCATCCAGATAAATCTAAAAGAATATTCATTGCAACTTTACTCATAAGAGCCACAAACCAATATACAGCCCAAATGTCTATCAACAGATGAATGCATAAACAAATGGCGGTATAACCATATCATGGAATGTTACTCACCAATAAAATGAAACAAACTACATATAGATGCTCTCGATATATGTTCCTACATGGGTGATCTTCAAAAACATCATTCTAAGCAAACAAAGCCAGAAAATGACTACATACTGTGTAGTTTCATTAATATGACATTAGAAAATGCAAACTAATCTGTAATGACAGAAGGCAGATCCATCAGAGGTGTCCTTTGATGAGAGGAAGATTGAAACAAAGGGCACGAGGGAATCTGCTGCAGTGATGAACAAGTTCTTTTTTTTTTTTTTTTTAGAGACAGAGTCTTATTCTGTCACCCAGGCTGGAGTGCAGTGGTGCAATCACGGCTCACGGCTCACTGCAACCTCCGTCTCCCATGTTCAACCGATTCTCCTGCTTCAGCTTCCCAAGTAGCTGGGACTTACAGGCATGTGCCACCATACCGAGCTAATTTTTGTATTTTTTTTTAGTAGAGATGGGGTTTCACTATATATTGGTCAGGCTGGTCTTGAACTCCTGACCTCAGGTGATCCGCCTGCCTCGTCCTCCCAAAGTGCTGGGATTACAGGCGTGAGCCACCATGCCCGGCCTAAGTTCTGTTTCTTGATGGGTGGTGGGTTCCATGGGTGTACATACTTGTCAAAATCCATAGATCAGTATACTTAAAAATCTGCATTTTATTGTATGTAAATTATACTTAAAAAGTAGCAGTACTGGAAGAAACACAAAAACAGTTTTTCGATGAATGCCTATCTTCATCCTTGGGAGGCTCAGCTGTGGGCCTGGCTTCCTATGTCACAGCCTTCCCTGCATGTTTACGGACCATGGCAGGTTCTTCTGCTGGCCCCCTCTGGTACTCAGAGGGGTTCAGGCAGGAAACAGATGCTTTTGAATACTTACTGCCCCACTTTTCGTGCTCTTTGAAGGACGCAAGAAAAAGGAGTCAATCTTTACATGCTTCCCAATTACAAAAAGTAGCTAGGATGGCAACAATCTGTCTTGACTTCCCCTGTGTTTACATCCTCCAACCCAGACCTGAGAAATGACTGTGAAATTCTGACCAAGACTCACTGTTTTGGCAGCTTCCTTTTCCTTTATTTGCTCCCCATCCAAAATTCTCCTCCCTCTTAGGGATGTCTAATTTATACAATTTGTCTAGCAGGTATGGTACTGGTTTAGGCTACATTTGGGAATTCCAGCTGGGGCTGGGAGGAAGTGAAAGAGGAGGACGGTTCCCAGAAGGCGCATAACAGGCATTTTCAGTGGGGGCTTTCCTTCTGCCACTCCGATAAGCCCCTCGAGTTCCTGCCTCCTCCCTAGGAAAGGGTAAGCAAGACAGAAGAAAAGGTCAACAACCACAACCTAGACAGTGAAAATGTCTCTGCCAATTTCGCTGGGGCCCTCCAGGGCTAGTAACCCTCCAACCCACTTAATGAATTTAGAGACACATTAGATTCATTTACATAACAATATTTTAAAGACCACACGATTGCTTTGGAAAATTGTCTTATTTTTTTTTCCTTCCTCAAACTGAACTGCAGAGTTACAAATACCCTCCCAGAGAGCCTCAGAGGAGGCAAACTTGGCAGAGGAGAGAACGGAGAAAAATCCATCCCTTGCAAATGCCAAGCGGAAGAACAATCCCGTTAGGCGGCCAGTTGATGCTTAACTGCGGGACTGGGGGCTCGGGCAGGGATCTTAAACATCATTTCGCGTAGGGAAACAGGCACTCTCCTCTCCCGGAAGACAAGGCTGCGCGTAGGTTTATCTCGGCCTCCTGGAGGACCTGTAGTTTTTGGGAGAGCAGCTGCGAGGGGACAGAATGCTTCGCTGTGGTGGTTCCGCCGCGGGCTCCGCTGCCAGGAGGCCGGCGTGCGCGCAGCTCTGCGGCGGGGCAGGCTGCCAGGGCCCGGGGAGCAGCGGCAGTCTTCCTTGGAGGAGCACCTGTTCTTCCTCTCCCTGCGCCGGAAACGTGCCACCTTCCCCCACCCCATGCTGCTTTCCCCTGCGTGGCTCCATTTTGTCTTTCCTGATGGCAGATACCCCCGCGGCCTTCCTCTCGAACACTTGCGGGGCGCTGGGGGAGGGGACGGCCACGTCAGGCGCATCCCTTTTCCCAACACCCCAAGGTAGCAGCAGCAGCAGGTGCTGTGACATTATGACAAACACTCAGGTCCCCCGTGACTGGATGCGTCACACACTATGTCTAACAGTCGCTGACATCTCATCAATCACGGCCTTGATTATGCTGCTGGGGTCCCTGGGCTCAACTTTGGGCTCTGAACAGAATTTACTGCAAACTGAACATCCTTATTTCCAACGTAGGCAAGCCCGTCTTGTTTATAATGGCATAATCCAGCTGGAAGATCACACTGGCACACTCAAATTGGCCCATCTTTTCTCTTGTCAATATTGCAATTAGGTGCACATCCGGCATCAGAAATTGCTGGGACCTTTTTCTCTCCTGCACTCTCCCACCGTTTATTACAACTGAAGGACACATTTTGTTGTCCCTGAGAGTGATGTATTTGAGGAAAGGCTATGACTCAGTGTATGACAATTAAAGAGGAAAGGACATTGGTAATGATTAACTAGCTTGTCTACATGATGTGAGGCTGTTTGTCAACTAACATTGATTGAGCCAGTAGTCTGTGACCAGCCATGTGTGAGACTCTACTGGGAAACACAGGTAGGAAAAAAATGATTATTGCCCAGGAGAGCCTCAAAATCTAGTTGATAGGATAATTGTGCAAATGTTTACGTAGGAAAATATTGACCACTCTTCTTTGCCTAGTAATAAAGACAGCCGAGAGCCTGACCACAGTGCATGGATCTTCTGCTTTCCTAGATTGGTTCACTCCCTTTCCCCAGAATATTCCCCTGTGTTTTCTTCCTTTAGAAATAGGCTGATGGCATTGTTCTAACTTGAGGCCCCACCCCTCATGTATTTCTCTAAATCAAGGTCAGCAAGCTTTTTATATACAAGATCAAATAGTAAATAGTTAAAACTTCGTGGACCCAGAGGCAAAATGGAGCAACTGATATTGCTAAAAGATTAATAACCTTTTTTTACACTTTACATTTAAGAATGAAGAAAACACTCTTTAGTTTATACACCATACAGAAAAAAGTAGTGGGCTGGATTTGGCCCAAGGTGCACAATTTGCTGTTTCCTTATCTAAATCCTATTTGTCTTTTAAGATCCAGCTCAAACCCCAGGTGCTATGTGAAATATATTTGACACTCCCCATCCAAAATTCTCCTTGCTCTTAGGGATGTCTAATTTATACAATTTGTCTAGCAGGTAATCTCATATATTTATTCACCAGGTAGTATGGTAGGAGAAGGAAGAGTCTAAATTTTCAAATCAAACAATAATTTTCAAATTCTGATTTTGCAACTTACAGCTGAGTGGCATTCTGAAAACTACTTAAATTGTTTGATTCTTGATTTTCTTATCTGTTCAGTTGGTAAAATGTCATATTAATAATTTACACAGAATATTATTAAAAGAAAATACATCAAAAATGTTTATGTGTTAGGTGTTAGTTTTTAAAATTTCCTTACCTAGAACATCTAAAATTATTGACATAAAACATATACCTCCTTTACAGTGCAAAGATTTAATTTATCTAATCCACAGGGCTACGTGCATGAAATAAAATGATATGTTTGAAATGTTGTAAAACCTTAGTAAATATTATATTTATCTCTTCACAAATTATTTCTATATCCTCATCAGGAAAATGTCTTGTGTTAGATATTAAATTACATTTCTGATAAGGACAAATATACCTCATACACTTTAAGTCCTCCACAATGCTTAATTAAGACCTGGTATTTGGCAGGTGGTGAGAATTATTTGCTATTAATTTAAACGATATCCAAAATGCTTTTATACTAAAACTTTTCAAAAGAATGTTATCTGTTTATTTCTATCTGATTGCCCTACTCCTCAATCTAATTCAATCTGTCTTCTCTCCCCAGTACTCAATCAACTTCCACGTCTCTAAATCCAGTGAACATACGTCAGGGCTCATCTTACTTAACTTTTCACTTTTCATCAGCACTGGATTCAAACATTCCCTTTTTTTTGACAGCTGATCCCTTTGAATTTCATGACTGATAGATATGCTTCTTCCTAATTCTCTTCTGTCTCCATTCCTATCTCATTTGCATGATCACCCTCATTTGGAAATAATTCACCATCAGCATTTCTAAAGACACAGTCCTTGCTGTTGTCTCTCCATGCTTTCCATCCATGCCTGTGGTTTCAGATAACACCTACACACAGATTCATCACTAAATTTAATCTCTAGCCAAGAATTCTTCTGTAAGGTCTAGCTCACTCATGTCACTCAAAGACCCCTGAAAGTCAACGTGAGCAAGACTAAATCCAGGATCATGGTAACCACTCATCTCTATCACCCACTAGTTTTTCTTCGGAGTTTTCTATCTCAAAAAAAGGTGTCCCATTCTTCCCTTCAAACAGGCCAGAAACCTGGGAATTATTCTGAACACCTCCCTCTTCCTCATCCCAATAGGTAATCACCAAACTCTGCAGAGTTAGACTCTTAAATAACTCTTGAATTCCTTCCATTCCTTTTTTTTTCATGGTCAATGCCACCACCACAGATCTGATGCCTACAAACTGTGCTAGCTTACCTTCACTTCCTCTGAACCTCCCTGATCTGTCCTCTACTCCACAGACTGATGTTCTCACAATGCAAAAATCCAAATTGGATCACATGACCTTCACACTTATGAACTCCTACTTACGCTTTGTATCAATTTGTGTCAATCCTGAGGGACAGCTCCCCTTAACTCCAGCTTTTACAGCCTAATCTCAAACTGGTCCATCCTTCTTCTGAGTTGTTGTTTCAGCATGTAATTAATCACTCAGCAGAGTGATTATTTGGTAGTTTATCTCTTCTGCTAGGATCTTTGAGAGCATCTAATTGTGCCTGAGTCTACTGATGATTGAAACTCAAACGTGGCATGGTAGTTGGCAAATACCCACTCAATCAACATTTGTGCCATGAGTAAATGGATGGACACATTGGAAAGGATGGCTGGAAGAATTTGACCACCAAAACTCTCTGGTTTATATGAAGAGTCAACCATTAACCAGTTTTTTAAGTTGGAGTATTAATGTTTTTCTTTGAACAGTGGATTATTTTGGGACTTCTAACCTTCATTCATCAATTCACACAGTGTCTAAATGTTTTTTTGCAGATCATTTGGCCTATCATGTTATACAGTCAGTCCCTTTGGATGTAAGATGCAGAGACCCATCCAGGTGAACCCAAGTAATCAAAATTGATTATAAAAATAACATGGAAATAAAGAGCATAAAGCTTTTAGGAGTTTCTATCAAACCAGTCTACAAAATAACTGGGCCTCATGGGCACCAAAAGTTAAGGGCTATTTGGCATTAGATTACCTCATGCTCTTTCATTTATGTGAGACAGGTGCTATCTGAGACCCGATGCTCTGAAGGTGACTTCTACTCTAGTTACCAGTTGATTGTTCCAGCTATGTCCCTTGGCTGACATGCTTATTTATGGGACAGAATCTGATCATCCCAGGTGGCAAACGGTTGGCCTGTTCAGATAGCCATCACTCAGCCAAAGGACTGCGGCCATTGAATCAAGTCTGTATAAGCCAAAGGGAGTTTGGCTTATACAGACTTGTACTCTCTGCTTCCGTAGAGACACCTTGGGACTACTTATCCCAGAAGTAGTCCTTGCTTGTAGGGCTTCACTGAGATCTCTTCTTGGAAGCCAGAACATCTAACTCCAACATGCTTTTGATGTTGAATGCTAGATTCACACTTGTACCCTCCCCCGGAGAACTGCCCTTAGCTATTAGAAGTGAATTTCTTTGGAATGGTTGACTTAACAGCACAAGGCCCTTAATTCCACATTTGAAAAACTAGTATCTCACAAAAGCAAGAAGACAAGTCACAGATGGGGAGAAAAAATTTGTAAATGACATAACTGGTAAAGGACCATTATCCCAAATATACAACAAACTCTTAAAATTCAATAATTAAAAAAATGAACAACTTAATGAAAAAAAAATGGGCAAAAGATCTGAACATGTATCTCACCAAAGAATGTCTACAGAGGGCAAATAAGAATATAAAATGTTCAACATCATGTGTCAGTACAGATTGTAAACTAAAACAACAATGAGATATACCACTACATACCTATTAGAACAGCTAAAATCCAAAATGCTAACATCATATGCTGGTGAGGACGTAGAGCAACAGGAACTCTCATTTCTTGCTGATGGGAATGCAAAATGGCACAGCCATTTTGGAAGTCAATTTGGCAGTTTCTTAACAAAACTAAACATAGCCTTACCATATGATCTAGCAATCACGCTCCATGGTATTTATCCAAATGAACTGAAAACTTACATGCACACAAAAACCTGCAAATAGCTGTTTATAATAGGTTTATTCATAATTGCCAAAACTTGCAAACAACCAAAATGTCCTTCAGTAGGTGAATAGGTAAATAAACTATGGTACATCCACACATGGAGTATTATTCAGTGCTAAGAAGAAACGAGCTACCAAGCCATGAAAAGATATGGAGGAAACTTAAATGCATATTACTAACTGAAAAAGCCAATCTGAAAAGGCTACACACTATTTTTCTAACCATATGACATTCCTGGAAAGGACAACACCATAAAAACAATGAAAAGATCAGTGGTTGCCAGGGGTTGGGGAAAGAGAGAAATAAATACAGCTCAAACGACTTTTAGAGCAGAGAAAATATTCTGACTTTATAATGGTAGATACATGCCAGTGTGAACCCTAATGTAAACTATAAACTTTAGATGACAATGATGTGTTAATGTAGAGTCATCGATTGTAACAAAAGTACCACTGTGGTGTAGGATGTTGACAGTTGGGGAGGTTGTGCATGTGTGTACAGGGGTGTATATAGGAACTTTCTGTACTTTTTGTTCAATTTTGCTGGGAATCTAAAACTTCTCCTAAAAAATAAAATCTATTAAATAAAAACTCTAAGGCCATTCATTCTGGTGGGAACAGGCCAAGGTTAGACTTCACAGGAACCAACATCTTTTGTTTAGCTTTTTCACCTGCCTTATCCTAGCTCCCCCACTCATTTCCCTGAGGTCATTCTCTCAATAAATCACTCGAGAAAAAACACCCATCTCAGGCTCTACTTCTAAGGAATCAACCTCAGACAGAGCTGCAGGCCTGGTGTGCATTATTGCTGACCTGTTTAAAGCTTTTCTTCTACTTGAAGTAGTGGACCATGGCAGAGTGATTTTGTTGGAAGAAGAGAGAGTTAACAGACATCAGGAATATAGAAAAAATAGAAAAAAAAAATGGGCCTGGAGAGAGTTGAAAAGAAATCTCATCCGTGTTACCACCTATTTTGAAGATTTGTCTGGGTGCCAGCTTCTAATTCTTTGGGAGGGAAATGAAATACTCTCAGTTCCTTTCACTCATTGTGTTAGTTTCCTGTGGCTGCTCTAACAAATTAGCAGAAACTAGGTGGCTTACAGAATAGATATTTATTGTCTCATAGTTCTGGAGGCCAGAAGTCCAAAATCATAGCTTGGCAAATCCACACTCTCTCTGGAGGCTCTACGAGAGAATCCTTCCTTGTCTCTTCCAGCTTCTTGTGGCTTTGGAAATCCTTGGTTTGTGGCCACATCACTCCAATCTTCACCTCTGTTTTCATGTGACCTTCTCTTCTGTGTCTGTCTTCTCCTCCATGTGTCTCATACAAGGACCTTTCTCACTGAATTTAAGCTTCACTCAGATAATCAGGATGATCTCATTTTTCAAGATCCTTAATTACATCTGGAAGACCCTTATTCCAAATAAGGTCACATTCATAGTTTCCGGGATTAGAAGGGAGACATATCTTTTGGAGGATCATCATTCAGCCCACCACGCTCACCAAATTCTTTTTGCCCCCTATTGGTTTTTTGTTTTGTTTTGTTTTGTTTTGTTTTGAGATGGAGTCTCGCTCTGTCACCTAGGCTGGAGTGCAGTGGCATAATCTTGGCTCACTGCAACCTCCGCCTCCTGGGTTCAAGCGATTCTCCTGCCTCAGCCTCCCCAGTAGCTGGGATTACAGGCACCCAACACCATGCCCGGCTAATTTTTGTATTTTTAGTAGAGACAGGGTTTCTCCATTTTGGCCAGGCTGGTCTCGAATTCCTGACCTCAGGTGATCCACCCACCTCGGCCTCCCAAAGTGCTGCGATTACAAGGCCTAGGTCCAGCCTTGCCCCAGAATTCTATATGATAATATTTCTTATGCTTACATATTGATGTATGGTCTTCACAGTTCTTTCAACTAAATAGTCTATTAATTACCATAGTAAATAAACATAAGAGTACTCACTGTCTAATACCTTTTTCCTATGCCCAGACATAACCTGCGAGATGTTATTATTCCTATTGCACAGCTGAGGAAACTGGGTCTTGGGTGAGCTTTAATTTTTCACCCTTGGTATTTCAAACTTGGTATATTCACTGTGCTTCTCTCTCCAGTGATAGTTAGAAGTAGAAGGGGCTCCAGCAGGAAGAAACTTATCATGATCTTTGGGTAACCATTTTAAGTATAAGGCAAATAGTAATATTCATAGGAGCAGAACAGATTAAGAAGAGTTCAGGTCGGTATGCAGGGGCCCTCATTTGTCTTGTAAAGTAGTATGGTGGAATGAGAAGGAGCTTTGAGTCTTGCAGTGATAACTGGGATCCTCATTGTTCTTTTACTGGCTTCCAGAACTTAAGCAAGTTGCAAATGTTTTCTAAGGCTGATTTCTAACCCATTAAATTAGGATGTCCCCACTTTGCTCACATGGCTGTTGAAAGAGTAATTGCATTAAGAGTAAAATCACGCTCACCTGGCTCAATACATATTAATGTCCACATAACTCATTATGTACCTGCAGACCACAAGCAGGAAGGCACCTAGGATAGCTTTATATCTCTCCACTTATTAATTCTTTTCAAAGATCTCTCACCTACTCCTCCAGGCTGGCTCTCTCCTCTATCACACAGCTGGGAGAGAAAAGTCAGATATCATGAGTATTATAAATGTTCCCATCTCATCTCAATTGATGCTTCCTAATTTATATAAGTTCTTTTCTTCAATTGCCCCCAAAGCACCCATTTTTAAAAGATTATGAGCCAATATGAATTAAAGAATACAGTCAATTTTTTGACACCCCCGCCCCACTATCCCAAGCAAATGGACAAAATTTAATGTGTAAACCTCTTAGACAATGAGATAACAAGCTCACGTATTTGGAGAAAAAGGAAATTATTCAGCAAATCAGTGGCTATTACGGAGGCTGTCAAGGGTTCTTTAGCCAGGGAGCTCAGACCAGCAACACTAGCATCACCTGGAGGCTTGGAAGGCACACACATCCATAGCGCACCCCATACCTGCTGAATCAGAGTCTTTGTAGCAGGGCCCGGGAGTGTGCCCTTGGCAAGATCTCCAAGTAATGATGCACACTAAAGTTTTAGCAGCACTCTACTGCAGCAATGGTTCTCAAATTTTAGTGTCCATCAGAATCACCTGGAGGATTGTTAGAACAGATTGCTGGGCTTCACCTCCAGAGTTTGTGGTGCATGGATTTGGAGGAGGGCCAGAAAAGTCTGCATTTCTCACAGCCTTCCAGGTGATGATGATGCCATTCAAGATCCATAATTGGAAATAGTTGTACGTACCCATCCAGAGATAAATGTATTGGTTTATTTTTTTCTTTGCAGATGAATCCTTAAATAGGGATTTTTTTTAAATTAAAGATTTATATTACTTTTACACCTGACCCATTACACATAGGTTCTTTTACACTATCTTGATAACTGTTAAGTCAGCGCCTCCATTCTCTACAGACAGAAAGTCGCCTGTCACTTCTGTCTCCCTCAAGATATTTCTCAGACCATCCTCCTGACACTGGTAATTGATCCAAGCTGATCCTCACTATCTCAAATCTATTGTATTCATCTCTGTTTTCTCCAGGGTACCACAAAACACACCTTCCCTCAACCACACCTTCCCTAAGCCACATTTTGGTTGCATCTCTCCCTGTTTGTAGAGTATTCAAGGACTCTTTAATTCCTTCCGTATTACACATAAACTCTCTCTTTCTCCTGGGTTTTAAGTCCCCTGTGATCTAATTTCTTTTTTACAGCCATTCCGCTAACTCAGTAGCTCATTCTCTGCTCTGCTCAGATTGGTCCCCTTCCTGTACCACACAGCTGAACATTCGTTTTTCACCGTGACTACTGTTTTCACTCAGAATCCTCTCCTTTCCCATCCAAAACCAACATATTCTTCAAGGCCTAAATAAAGTGCTATCTCCAACCCAGGCTTCCACACCCGCCACCACCTCTCCCTGTCCACTGCCCAGGTTGCTATTCAGTGAAGCAACTCTTCAAGCTGAGCTATCAGATACTTAACACTACACTCTAGGCCATTACTCCCAATCAAAATAGGCACAGAAATGAGCTTAGAAAATAAATGGAAACTTTAATATTTCCTCAGTATTCTACCTCCTTATGACCTTGGTTATTCAACGTATTTCTGAATCCACTCTCTCTTCATTGTTATTCACCAAATTAGAAACTCACTTAGAAGACTAATTGACTTAAAATATTTGTGTACCCCTCCAAAATATCACATAATTCTGAGTATAAGGCCTGAAGTTACCTGTTTGTATTCTAATTGAAAAGAAGGTATGGTAATAGATGTGCAGTGATGCTTGTACTTGATCTGGCTGTCTTCACTCCATAGAGAGCCAGGTTCATCTGACTTTCTCATTCACCACATCGAAGAATAACACTAGAAATATTTGCTTAGTAAATTCCTTAGGATTCCACAGAACAAAATGGAGCTTATCTTCATCTCTTCAGTAGGGAGGGGAATACAAGGACATGAAATTTATTATCAGCTCAAAAGCAGCAGATACCAAATAAGGCTGAAAATCAAGCATTGTGTCTAAGATAAGAGTAATAGTAAAAGAAATACAGTTTACAACCGTGGCACCATGTAAATACTGTGCCTTATCTTGGTTTAAATTAACATTTACAGGAGCTTTTTTTTTTTAACCTAAAATATAATCTTGACCTCAACTCTGTTTTTTGTTGTTTTTTTTTTCCTTTTCATGTCTTGACATACACAATACTAAGGGGGATATGGGGGAGGCACAGAGGCTATGATTAAATCTACTCCTAGCTACCATTATCTTCTCACTTTTCATGAGCTCTAATTTAAACATCTTATTTATAGTGCAATGTTCTTAAGAGTTTTCTGGGTGTATTTAAATGGGGATAGTTAATTGGAACTGTTCTGGCAGAAGCCAGCTTCAATCTCATCCTCCTAGGTGGCAGCTCTTCTCTGCTCCTGAAAAATAATGTAATTTTCTCTTCTTTCATCTAATTTTCATGTTTATTGTTACTGCTCTGAATATTGTGACCTAAGGTATATGAGATTAATAATGTTTTTTGTTTTAATATTATTATTAATATTTTCAGTCTTCACATCATGAATTTGGTATTTTCCTACAGTACTTCTCACTGTTCTTGACATAAAAATAAGTAAAGCCTAATGCAGGGAAAAAACTTAAAAATAGTGTGAATTGGAAATTGAAAAGAAAAAGTGAAAACTACATGCTATATTTTAAATATATGTTAAATGACCTTAGAAAATAAGCAAAAACTATATCCAACTTCACGAAAAGTTGCTCTACTCACCTACTCTTGTTCCCAGATAATAAACACCTTAGATAAGAAGTACAATTGTATTATTTATGGCTAATTTGATGCCCAGTATGTAGGGCCACATGCAAAGTTAGGTTAACTTACACGTCAGCTTCTTTTGTTCTCCCCAAATAAACTATCTTAGGGTGAGTTCTCCTGAAACAGATCCTGAGACAAGACTAAGTTGTTTATGAGGAATGTGCTCAAGGAGAGACTGATAAGAGAAGGAAAAGCAGGACGGGGGAGTGGGGGGGGGAAGGGGCGGAGACCAGGCAGAGGGTAATTTCAGGTGAGGCATCAATCTCTGCCTGATCTGCAGGGAGCTCCAGAGTACAATAACACCTAGACTTTATCCCTCCTTAAGACAAAGGATCTAGGCTTTCATACTCACCAGTCATTGGCTGCTGATAACTCCTGGTGAACATTACCTCCCAGGCACTTCTGCCTCTCAGTATGTCTGTGCAAAGAAGGTCACAGCTGCCTGGTATTGGCATTGGTCAGCTTGTCCATCAACTCAGCTACAAGAGTCCTTTGTTGCTCTTCCTAAGGTTTGTTTTTTAGGGAAGAGCCTCCAGCCATACTCTGTCCAGCCCATCAGAACTTCTGCACAGGAAGTAGTGTGCAAGGAGGTCATAGTGTTCTAAAATGCTATTTGCTCATACTCCCAACTGCAGGGACACTCTATCTTTTCTTTGTCAGGGGTACTTCTTTCTTCAACCATGTATTGACTTAGTTACTGCTACATAGTAAACCACCCCAAAATGTAATTGTCTTAAAACAACCACCATTTATTTAGCACAGGAGTCTGTGGGTTGGCCAGTTGGGCTGGGTTCAGCTGGGTGGTTCTTCTGGTCTTGGCTGGGCTCCCCCATGTTTCTGAGGTCAGCTGCAGGTCAAATAAGAAATTTTCTGATTCTGGGCCAAGCATAATCAGGTGGCTTACCCCTGTAATCTCAGCACTTTGGGAGGCTGAGGTGGGCAGATCATCTGAGGTCGGGAGTTTGAGACCAGCCTGACCAATATGGAGAAACCGCGTCTCTACTAAAAATACAAAATTAGCCAGGCGTGGTACCTGTAATCCCAGCTACTCAGGAAGGCTGAGGTAGGAGAATTGCTTGAACCCAGGAGGCAGAGGTTGTGGTGAGCCAAGATCACACCATTGCACTCCAGCCTGGGCAACAAAAGTGAAACTCTGTCTTAAAAAAAAAAAAAGAAAGAAATTTTCTGATTCTGAATGAACTTTACCCCATCCCTAGAGCCTCAGGTAAGACAAGTAGAATGACTCATGTCTGTTCCACATGGAATGTGTTCTCTTATCCTTGAACAGAATATCCCAAGCTTACTCATGTGACAGTAACAGGGACACCAATATAATACATAGTGATGTGTAAGGTTTCTTAAGGTCTAGGCTTACTACTAGCTCACTGTCACTTCTGCCACATTCAATTGGTAAAGCAAGTCACACAGTCAGGCCAGATTCAAGAGGTGGAAACTAGATACAGAGTCATAATGCAAAGGGCATGGATACAAATGCAAGCAATAGAGCTTTTTTTCCAGCATAACACAGCCTTTCAATGCACAACCCTACTACTCCCAGAAATGTCAAATTAATTCCCGGACGAACCTAACCTTCACAATGGAGAACGAAGAGGAGATTTCCTTTGTCTTGTTTTCTGCCATCCAAAGAAGCTTCCAGTGCAAGGTCTTCTCTTTTCTACAGGGGTATGGAATAGAGATGGGCAGTTAAGTTCATTTCCTTTTTTTCCGTAGCAGCAAGGACAAGACAGAAATTACTCTGAGTCAAATATCCCTCTAGATGCATTCAACAATGCTTATTTTCTATTCACTTTGTGTGTGTGTATGTGTGTGTGTGTGTTGTGTGTGTGTAAGGGGTAGTGTCATGCATCTTGTTTATCTTCGTGTGATATCTAATGATTAAAAATCACAAAAATAAGTAAAGAACATAGCCGATGAGTATGTTTAGCTCTTCTGCCAGGAGATAATTCCTAGTAGCTCTAATTTGTGAATTGGATAAAGATAAATGTTTTTTATGCACTTTCATATGCAGGAGGCCATTTTATATAATTTGTAACCAAAGGCTGTCCATAGAGTGTGAAGTTAAGGAACGATCTATATAAGCTTCAAATGTTGTTCCCAGGGAATTTCTTCACAATATATAAAAGACATCCACTATTTAATCAGTTATGAGATATACATCTTTTATATTTTAACATCTCTGAAATTGGGATGCATCTTAAAATGAATGAGCTCTTAAAATTATTAATTACCATTTTCTTAATGGCCTATAAAATAGTGGTGAATCTTACAAACAATATTGTCTTAGATTCAAAGATATATGATAACCAGAAATAATAGCTGTTTTATCATGTAAAGCACTGGTCTGCAAAACCCACATAAAGTCATTAAAAAAGTAACAGGCAAGCCTTTTGACACAAGTGCTCCATAATTTAACAAGCTTTACTTCTTAAATGATGAGTGAATTAAATTCCAAGTTCAGTCTAGTTGAGTGTATACATGAGATACGATGACCAAGTTAATAAGATCAGAGGAATTCTTCAGAATCATCCTTGAAATCTCTGGAGATAAAGGAAAAAAACAAACATTCTGGCTTCCTTAATTATCAGCTTAAATTTTAAGTTAGCTGTCCAGTGTAAAGGAGTGTTACTGGGTTACTATTAGAAAGCAGCCTCAGATGCATAAAGTATGGCAATTCTCCTGGCTGATAATTTAGAAAAAGAGAATTGCGGAGGAGTCAATTCAGATGTGGCATTTCCAACCTCACCCTCTAAGTTCACACCTCATATACTCTGTTAGAAAATATTTCTTCTCAGCTGGTGCGGTGGCTCATGCCTGTAATCCCAGCACTTTGGGAGGCCAAGGTGGGTGGATCACGAGGTCAGGAGTTCAAGACCAGCCTGGCCAAGATGGTGAGGCCCTGTCTCTACTAAAAATATAAAAATTAGCCGGGTGTGGTGGCACGCACCTGTAATCCCAGCTACTCGGGAGGCTGAGGCAGAGAATTGCTTAAATCTGGGAGGCAGAGTTTGCAGTGAGCTGGCAGAGATCGCGCCACTGCACTCCAACCTGGGCAACAGAGCAAGACTCCGTCTCAAAAAAAAAAAAGAGAGAGAGAAAAGAAAGAAAATATTTTTTCTCATTTTCACAACTGATTACTAGTCTACAACCCATCCAAATGAGTTCACTTTACCTTTACATATACATATACATTTTAATCTACGTATATGTTATAGTCTTCAGGGTATTTTTAAATGTTTATTTTTCTGAGTTTTCCACATCTTGCCAATTTTCCCTAGTACATATGTATTACCTTGATCATCAGAAATATTTTTAGGTAAAGGAAAAATCTGCAGAGAAGCAAAACACAAGTGAACTAAATACAAAAAAAACAAACAAACAAAAATCCTCAGTTGTTTTACTTACTGTACGCCAGGCCACTGACCAGTTGGAATCCTCATATTTTTATGTGGTCAGCACTGTTATCATCTGTTATCATCTTCATTTTACAGATGAGAATAACATAACACAGGATGAGAGCATCGCTTGCCATAGACCACAGGTCTGGGTGTCAGCAGGGAGATTTGAGGGTAGGAGATCAGGCTCCAGAGTCCATGCTACCCACACTTTGATGGATAAGCAGGAAATGAACATGAATAAACAGGTCAGAGCCTCAAGAAGCCCTCCCATTTGCTCACCTATTCCTAGCTGCATGACTGTGAATAGAGAATTTTATCTCTCTCAACCTCATTTTTCTTATTTATAATACAAGAATACGGGCATTAATAACTGTCCTTTTCAGAGGATCCAATGAAGTCACAGACATAATTATGGCTTGGAAACTATCAGGTGATGTTTAATATGTATTAGCAATATCGACTTCTTTTTTCCCTCAGAATTTGGGTACAAAAATAAACAAAACAAAACCAGGAAGTGGTTATCTCCCTAGCACCTGTTCCCCGATCATACTGCTTCCCCCTTTCTGGCAATAAAAGTACTGAACTATTTCCTCTTATATCTTAGAATTACCTTCATTAGCTACAGTCTGCACTGTGCCATCAGTGTTTTGCTCAGGATTTCACAACCAAGACAGCCCAATGCAGGGCACATGTGCGTTTCACCTCCCGCCTTCCTTGCCCACAACAGAAATTGATAATCAAGTGTAGATCTCACTGCTGTTAGCCAAGCCCAGATACTGCCTCAGAATCCTTCCTAACAAGTGATCTAAGTAGCCATTTGCTATTGCCAATCAGACACAATGAAATTCTGAGATTAAATGTTTTTCTCATTCCTGTTGGAAATTAGTCTAAAATGCAATTACAAGCAGAATTGAGAGTTTAAAAATAAGGGGACTCTTTGAAATATGAACTTGATAGTAGACATTGGGCTACTGCAGTTCTGTCACAAATTAGCTATTGGGCAGGTGGTTTAGTCTTTTGTTCTAAAGTAGGAGTTGGCTTCTGATCTCTAACAGAATCTATTATATATTCTGAGCTACAAATTATTTTTCTAACTTTTAACATGTTCCTAATTTATTTTTGCCTTTCCTCTTTCCCACCTGAAGTGCTACTTCTAATTATTTATCTTCGTCCATTTAAGCCACACTGCCATACTTTCAAATTCTGCATCCTCCACAAAGCAGTTTTTTGGCTTCTCCAATTGATAGGGACCACGTCTTCCACTGGCCAGCTCTAACTTTCATCACCCATGGATTCAGCTGGCAGGATATGTTCTGGCAAACAAGACTGCAAGCTCCCCAGAGGGCAGGCCGAGGTATTATGTTTCTTTGAATTGCAGTGCCCTGCAGAGAGTTATAAACATAGTAGATGCTCAATGATAAATACGTAAGTTTAACAGCTTTATAATTTTCAAAACGTTTTCAAGTTTGTTTGTTTGTTTTCAATTGATACAATGTCCCTAGTAGTTTTAACCCTAGAAATTTTGGTTAATACCAATATCTAGGGAAAAGATTGAAACTTGCTCTTCTAAGTTATACTTTAAATGCATTTTGTTTTTTCATAAAGACTAAATCTAACTCATTATGCCAGGAGGAAAATAAGTCTCAAATAATAAACTCAAGATATTTTTTAGGTTTTAGCTTTAACATGCATCACTCTGAGGCTGGTTTTAAGTGTTTTTAGTTATTTTCTTTAATATTATTGTACATACTTAAGTATATTTTGCAATTCATATGTAATTCATCCATAATATGATCATATAAAATATAACATATACTATAATTTATAACATAAATATTTTATAACTTGAATATAGTTATAATTTATATAGTTGTATGAGTTTTATAATTATATTTAATTTTTGTACTATAATCAATTATTATTTATACTCTCTCTTTTTAAAAAAGTTTAATTGAATTTTCTAGAGTGTAGCTGACGTAATGAGATGTACTATAAAAAACGGCTTTGTGGTTTTTACTTCCCACTTACCTTTACCCCATGTTTTGTTTTTTGTTTTATTTTGATGTGAAATATTTTGCTTTTTTCTCTTTCCAATGCTGGCTTCCCCATTGTGGGCCCTTCTAGTTAGTTAGGTCTCTGGGCCACATCAGGGAGTATTAAGAAAGTAGAGAGAATGAAGACACAGTTGGATTATATGATGAAGAATCTAACTGGAAAAAAAATTCCATTATCACCACCCTGGAAGCTGAGCTTTTTTCTTCACATCAAAGGAAGGGAGAGAAGGAGGGGAAATAAGTCTTCAAAATGGATTTCCTTTCAATTTCCACTTCAGTTCACTGTGGTTGGGTGTTTAGTACATTCCATACTCTCAGACCCTGAAAGAACTTGAATCTGACTTTCACACATTGGGAACTTCAACTCAAGCAGATCTGACAGGAGAAGACAGACGCCTGAACAGATGCAGCTTGTGTAGAGACAGATTATTTTTTTAACCAAAAGTTGCTGATTTTTCTTCTAAAAAATCCTTTTCCCTGATGAGATAAGTTTTAAAGTGTGAAAATGTTGACATTTTTCTTTGCACATCACAGGTTTACTGTGCTTATTTTTATTTTTTATTTTTTTGTGTCTAACGTAATCATCCTATGGAGGCTCAAGAAGGCAATATTTAGATTCTGTCAAAACCCCTGGGCTATTGCCATGTTTTCTGAAACTTCTAGCACTTCACTGAGTGTACCAGGGGCCTTGTTTCCCCAATGTGTGAATTGCTGCAAATATTAAAATGTGGCCAGTGCTGGAATCTTTGTTGACAAGCTGATGAGGTTCATGTCCCCAGAGCTCCTTTCAAGTCTCACTACTCTTGTCAGAGAAATCACTACACCTGCTCCAAATTGCTACCTGCTGAGAAAATTAGAACCTTACAGGCACCTGAAAAGGTTGTGGAAAAGAGGTGAGAATTCTGAACAAAGAAAGGAGATCTTCATATGGACAAGGTAAACTTAGTTGGTGTAAAATACACACATGACCTTTGTTCTGTATCTAACATGGAGAGAGATCTGAGAACAGAGATAATTACAGAGAAAATGGAGAAAAATGCTTGAAATGAGTATTCTCTCTGTTAGTCCAAGATCTACAGTTTCTGTAACCATGCAGCAAAACATACCACATAAGTTGGTTGGGTGACTTGTCCCTGAATGTAACAATGAGAGAACAAAACCAGGAGAGAAAAACCCATATTCTCTGCCTCCATTTTTTTCTTTTTCTCAAAGACTTCATTTCCTTCTTTCTTTAGAGCAGGTGCCCTCAGAGTGTGGTCCCTGGACCAGCTGCATCAGCATCACCTGGGAAGCTGTTAGGCGGACTAGTTCTAGAGCCCTATCCCAGAACCCTAGAATCAGAAACTCTGGGGTGAAGCTCAGCAATCTGTGTGTTCCCAAGCTTGCCATATGTTCCCAATGCACACAAAAGTTTGAACGTCATTGCTCTAGTGTAGGGTATCATCTGTCTCTGACTCAATTATTGATTTATTCTCATCAGCATGCAATATGTCCTAGTATCTGCTACATTTTAAAACAATTCTCCCTTATCCTTATAACTTCCAGCTATCTTCCATCTCTCTCCTCTCTCACATCACTATTTTTTGCTTGTTAAAATGTTGTCTATAGACCAAGATACAGAATGGGAAACCTCAGACTTCATTCCCTCATAGAGACACTGACTTAACAATATACTGCCCAAAAAGTCGTTAGAAGTATTCCAGAAATCAGATAAAAAGTTGCAGTACCCCAGACATGTTCAAATCTAAGAACAGATGCATTGAAATGGCTGTAAAAATAATTTTATTTCACTCATAATAGTTCTCCACCAAACTGGCATGGCATGATGCAATGGGGAGTAAAAGTCAAGCACACAACTTCTTCATCAGGAGTGAAGGATAAGAGCTGAACATTTGTCCAACTTTCCAGCTTTTAGAGGGGCTGACGGAGGGACTGGATTCTCTGCCTCACCTGAATCAGGGTGCTGAGTAGGAACTGGCATACTTTCTGCGCCTGGGGCCACTGAGAACAAAAGACAGTTCAGTGGCTTATTGCAGCACCAGAAAACCTTCAGTATCACAGACAGGCGCCAGTACAGCTCAGGGAAATTAGGAGAGAATGTTCAATTCATAGCTTTTCCTCCAGGAGCAAGGAGGAGAAGAGTGAAATATGCAGCCAATGTTTTAGCTTTTTGGGGAGATTTATTGCCTAAGGAATTGCCTTCTATCTCCCCTGACTAGAAGCGATGATGGAGCAGGTATACTTTGGTTACCTAGAAGCTGATGAGCTCAAAAGAGAGCTCAACAGCTTGCTGCAGAGCCAGAGGGAACAAGAGATTACAAGCTTCTGAAAGAAAATTTTTTAAAAAAAAGCTTGTAACCCTTTCTTGGAAGTTACACATATAAATTGTGAGACGATGCATTTCCCAAAATGTTTGAGATTCCCTCCGAATCTCTAGCTGGGAGGAATGGGGAAGGTCTTCTGTACAAAGCCAGTCCCTAGAGACTGTGAAAGGAAGCAGTGTTTCCAAATGCAAAATTCCCACCAAAAAATAAGGCATATAAACAAACAGGGAGCCATGGCCCAATCAAAGGAACAAACTGGATATCCAAAAACTGACTATAAAATGAACAGAGATTTATTAATTTGAATTACCTGACAAATAATTCAAAATAATTTTTTTTTTTTGAGACAGAGTCTTGCTCTGTCACCCAGGCTGGAGTACAGTGGCGTGATCTTGGCTCACTGCAACCTCCACCTCCCTGGTTCAAGCAATTCCCTTGCCTCAGCCTCCCGAGTAGCTGAGATTACAGACATGTGCCACCACGCCTGGCTAATTTTTTTGTATTTTTAGTAGAGACGGGGTTTCACCATGTTGGTCAGACTGGTCTCGAACTCCTGACCTCAGGCAATCCAACTGCCTCTGCCTCCCAAAGTGCTGGGATTACAGGCGTGTGCCACCACGCCCGGCCCAATAATTTTCTTTTAAAAGGTCAATGCACTACAAAAAGCACAGACAGAAAACTAATGGCAGCAAAAACAAACAAAACACACACACACACACACACACACTTGAACCAAACAAGACTATTAACAAAGAGAAACTATAAAAAAAGAACCAAACAGTAATTCTGAAATACATTCACTGAATTAAAGAAAAAAATACTAGAGAAATTCAACAGTACAATTGACCAAATAGAAGAGTCAGCAAAACCTTATGAGACAGTGACAAGCTGACCAATATACACATTATGAAAATTCCAGAATGAGGAGAGGGAAATGGGTAGAAAGCTTATTTTTTAAAATGAGGACCAAAACCATCCTACTGTGAAGGAAAAAAAAATGGAAAACAAGTATGGAAAGTTTGATTAACTTCAAATAGGATAACCCAAAAAGACTCACATCAAGATACACAAAACGAAGCACTCAAAAGTCAAAACAAAGAAACAACCTTGAAAGTGGCAGAAGAATGTTGACTGTCACATACAAGGGAACTCCCACAAGCTTATCAGTGAATTGCTCAGTAGATATGTAAGAGGCCAGAAAGGAGAAGCATAATGTATGCAAAATACTAACAGGAATACAAATGCCAATAAAAATACTCTAACAGAAAAAACTGCCCTTCAGAAATGAGAGCAAAATAAAAACCTTCCAAAATAAGCAAAAGCTGAAGATGTTCATCATTTCCAATCTGCCCTGTAAGAAATGCTAGAGGGATTTCTCCAAGTTGAACTGAAAGGATGCTAGACAGCAACACGAAAGCAAATGAAAATATAAAGCTCTCTCATCATGGTAAATCTATAAACAAACACAAAATCTTATAGTATTGTAATGGTGGTATGTAAATCACTTTTAATGGTGGTATAGAATTTAAAAGATAAAAGCATAAAATAACTATAAAACTATGTTAATGGATACAAAACATAAAACGATGTAATTTGTGTCTGCAGTAACATATAGCAGGAGACGGAGACGTAAAGGTGTAGAGTTTTTGTATGTTATGGAAGTTAATTATGAGTTTAAAGTAGACTGTTATAAGAACGTTTATGTAATTCCCATGGAAATCACAAAGAAAATACCTGTGTAATCCCAGCACTTTGGGAGGCCGAGGCGGGCGGATCACCTGAGATCAGGAGTTCAAGACCAGCCTGACCAACATGGAGAAACCTTGTCTCTACTAAAAATACAAAAAATTAGCCAGGCGTGGTGGCACATGCCTGTAATCCCAGCTACTCAGGAGGCTGAGGCAGGAGAATCGCTTGAACCCAGGAGGTGGAGGTTGCAGTGACCCGAGATGGCGCCACTGCACTCCAGCCTGGGTGACAAGAGTGAAGCGAATCTCTGTCTCAAAAAAAAAAAAAAAAAGAAGATACACAGAGGAAACTGAGAGTGGAATCAAGATTGCCACCAAAAAAGAACAAAGGAAGGCAGCAAGAGAGGAAGAGAGAGGAATAAAAATAAATACAAGACAGAATAAAACAATTAACAAAATGGCAATAGTAAGTCCTTTCCCATCATTACTTACTTTAAATGTGAATTGATTAAATTGCCCAATCAAAAAACATACAGTGGATGAATGCATACAAAAATGAGATCAAACTCTATGTTTTTTACAAGAGATTCACTTTAGATATTAGGGCACACATAGCCTGAAAGTGAAAAGTTTAGAAAATATATTTCATGCAAATCGTAACCAAAAGAGACCAGAAGTGGCCATGCTTATATCAAACAAAATAGATTTAAAGTCAAAAGTTGTCACAGGAAAAATAAAAAGGACATCATATAATGACAAAAGTGTAGATTCACCAGGAAGATGAAACAATTGTAAATATGTCTGCACCTAACAACAAAGTATCCAAAGATAAGAAGCAAACATTGACAGAATTGAAAGAAGAAATAGATAATAATACAATAATAGTTGATTTCAATACTCAGTTTTCAATAATAAATAAAATAACCAGACAGAAAATTAATAGGAAGTCAGACTTGAACACTATAGACCAATTAGACCTAACATACATATAGGGAAGGTTTCACTCAACGAGAGCAGAACACATTCCTCTCAAGCATACATGGAACATTCTCCAGGATAGAACACATGTTAAGCCACAAAACAAGTCTTAGCAATTTAAGAAGATAGAAATCATACCAAGTTTTTTTTTTTCTGGGCACAATAAAAATAAAACTAGAAATCAATAGCAAAAGGAAAACTGAAAATTTTACAAATATGTGAAAATTAAACAACACACTCTTGAACAACAAGCAGGTCAAAGAAGAAATCACAAGGGAAATTAGAGATTGGGTGCTGTGGCTCACGCCTGTAATCCCAGCACGTTGGGAGGCCAAGGCAGGCAGATCATTTGAGGTCAGGAGTTTGAGACCAGCCTGCCCAACATGGTGAAACCCTATCTCTACTAAAAATACAAAAATTAGCCAGGCATGATGGCAGGTGCCTGTAATCCCAGCTACATGGGAGGCCGAGGCAGAAGAATCACTTGAACCTGGGTGACAGAGTGAGACTCTATCTGAAAACAAACAAACAAACAAAAACAAAAACAAAACAAAACAAAAAAAACAAGGGAAATTAGAAATGCTTTAAGATAAATGAAAATTATAATGAGGGACGAGAGAGACCCTCTCATATTGTTTTATATTGTTTTATACTCAGTACCTGTTTTAAGAAAAAAACAAAGAAGTGAAATCAAAGAGAGGCAGCCCGGCACCAGGCCCAAAACCAGACCTGGGCTTACCTGGCCTAAACCTAGTAGTTAAAAATCAACTCATGACTTAGAAACAGATGTTATTCATAGATTCCAGACATTGTATAGAAGAACATTGTGAAACTCCCTGCCCTGTTCTGTTTCTGTCTGACCAACGGAGCATGCAGCCCGTCACGTACCCTTGCTTGCTCAAATCAATCACAACCCTTTCATGTGTAATCGTTAGTGTTGTGAGCCCTTAAAAGGGACAGAAATTGTGCACTCGAAGAGCTCGGATTTTAAGGCAGTAGCTTGCCGATGCTCCCAGCTGAATAAAGCCCTTCCTTCTACAACTCTGTGTCTGAGAGGTTTTGTCTGCGGCTCATCCTGCTACAATAATACAACATATAAAAACATGGTATGCAACAAATGCAGTACTGTGGAAAGTTTACAGCAGTAGATACCTACATTAATAAGAAAGATTTCAAGTCAACGACTTACCTTTATACTTCAAGTGACTGGAAACAGAAAAAAAAATAAAACACAAAGTTATTATAAGGAAGAAAATAATAAAGATTAAAGCAGAAACAAATAAAATGGAGAATAAAAAAGCAATAGAAAAAATCAATAAAACTAATAGTTGCTTTTAATTAAAGATCAACAAAATTGACAAATTCTCAGTTAGACTAAGAAAAAAGAGAGAAAGATTAAATAACAAAAATCATAAATAAGAAGAGACATAACTGATGCCACAGAAATAAAAAAGATCATAAGAGACTACTATCAACAATTATATACCAATAAATTGGATGAGCTAGAAGAAATTGATACATGCATAGACATATACAACATACCACAACTAACTCATGATGAATAAAATATCTGAACAGACCTATAGCTTGTAAAGAAATCGAATCACTAACCAAAAATCTCCCAACAAAGAAAGGCCCAGGACCAGATATTTTCACTGGAGAATTCTGTTAAACATTTAAAGAATTAATGTTAATCCTTCTCAAACTCTTCCAAAATGTCAAAGAGAAGGGAACACTTCCAAACTTATAAGAATAGCATAAACTTGGGCTGGGCGCAGTGGCTCATGCCTGTCATCCCAGCACTTTGGGAGGCCGAGGCGGGTGGATCACGAGGTCAGGAGATTGAGACCATCCTGGCTAACACGGTGAAACCCCATCTCTACTAAAAATACAAAAAATTAGCCGGGCTTGGTGGCGGGCACCTGTACTCCCAGCTACTCAGCAGGCTGAGGCAGGAGAATGGCGTGAACCCGGGAGGCGGAGCTTGCAGTGAGCCGAGATGGCGCCACTGCACTCCAGCCTGGGTGACAGAAGGAGACTCCGTCTCAAAAAAAAAAAAAAAAAAAAAAGAATAGCATAACCTTGATACCCAAATGAAAAATGCTGCAA
The DNA here is from genome assembly GCF_000001405.40 of Homo sapiens. NCBI lineage: Eukaryota > Metazoa > Chordata > Mammalia > Primates > Hominidae > Homo > Homo sapiens. The sequence goes on from NC_000020.11 coordinate 11,709,629, forward strand.
GAAAAGAAAACAACAGACCAATGTTCCTGATGAATATTGATGCAAAAATCTTAAATAAAATACTAGCAAACCAAACTTGATAACACATTAAAAGGACCAACACCATAATTGTATGGAATTTTTTAATTCCTGGAATGCAAGGTTGTTCCAACATGTAAAAATTGATCAATGTAATATACTACATTAACAGAACAAAGGTCAAAACTTATGTAATTATCTCAATTGATACAAAAAAGTATTTGACAAACTTAATGCCCTTTCATGATAAAAACACTCAAAAAATCAGGAGAAGAAAAAAGTTACTTCAATGTAATAAACGCCATATATGAAAATCCCACAGCTAACATTATACTCTATGGTGATAAAGTAAAATGTTTCCCTCTAAGATGAATAAAACAAGGATGCCCACTCTCACAACTTTTATTCAATATAATACTGAAAGTTCTAGACAGAACAACTAGATAAGAAAAAGAAATGGAAGACAACCAAATTGCAAAGGAAGAAGCAAATTTAACTCTGCTCACAGTAGTTAGAAAACTCTAAGGATTATACACACCCACACACAATTAGAACTAACAAATGTAGCAAAATTGCAAGATACAAAGTCAATATACAAAAATAAGTTGCATTTCTATATACCAACAATGAACAATTCAAAAAGGAAATTAAGATAACAATCTCATTAAAAATAGCAGCAAAAGGAATAAAATACTTAGGACCAAAATTAACCAAAAAGGCTAAAGACTTGTACACAGAAAACTACAAAACATTACTAAAAGAAATTAAGGATACAAATAAATGGAAACACATCCCATGTTCATGGAGTAAAAGACTTAATAGAATTAAAATATGCATACCTCCCAAAGCAACTTAATATGATTAAAAGTTTGTATTATCTACAGATTCAATGCAAATCTTATCTAAATCTCCATCAAAATTCCATGATTTTTACAGAAATAGGAAAAAAAAATCATCCTGGAATATATATGGGATCTCAAAACTTGCCTTGCATAGCCAAAGCAATCTGAGAAAGAAAAACGAAGCTGGAGGCCTTACACTTTCTGACTTCAAAATGTATTACAAAGCTACAGTAATCAAAACATTATAGCACTGGTCTAAATACTTAGAGATCAATGAAACAGAATAACAAGCATAGAAATAAACTCTTATGTATATGGTCAAATGAAATTTAAAAAGGGTGCTAAGACTGCATAACAGGGAAATGATAGTTTCTTTCACAAATATGACCAAATTTATTTTCTTTGTGACAACTGTCGCTATGAAACATTATGCTATTTATTTTCTGTTTTACTACCTGTTGACCACCTCTACATACACAACGCAGAATATAAGCTCTGTGAGGAAAGGAAACTCATCACTCTGTAATGTTCCCTGATGTACTCCAGCTTCTAGAACATTGATATTAATTTTTTAAAATGTAGATGAAATAAATGAAAGAGCACACCTTTCATTCTCTCATGCTCACCCTGCTTCAGACTAAAATGGCCCTTCCTATGCCTTTTATCTGGTTAGATCCTTTGGCTCTCAGTAGGGCTCAAGTATTGCTTGCTCTAGGAAGCTTTCTCTAATTTTGTGAAATCTCTCTCTTGAAAACACACATCTCCTTTGTAGCACTTATCACAGTTGCTGTTTTCCTGTTTATGTGATTGCATTTGACTCGTTATCTGTTTCCCCAATGGCAGAGACTTCATTTTGTGTCACATCTTCCACCACCTCAATGTGCACAATAACTTCTCCATAGGGGTTTACCGACAAATCCCTCTAGTGGCTTGCTGTCGCATGCATCTGCATCCTGGTTTTCCCAGGACAGCTCTGGTGAATGACTCTTGCCCTGGCATCACTGTAGATAAAAGCATCGCAGTTTGGATGATCAATTATATGGTCCCTCCAGTTATGCAACACTGGAGGTATTACTGAAAATCCAGCAGGATTAAAAATCTAATTAAATCATTTAAACGTGATTAGCTTTTAAGTAGTATTTACATATAAATCAACATTTTGAAACTGCAGGTCACCACCTAATAGTAGACCATGACTACTGTTTTGTATGTGTGAATCTGGATACACTAGAATAGCATATATAGCAAATCATTTGAATTGAACCACAAGTGGACAAATAAACATTATTTGGGAATACTTTCTTTAAAATGTAGCTATGGATATGTAGGTAATAATGCAAAGTACTTAGCTTTAGGCTGTGGGTTGAAGTGATGCTGAGGGTCCCTCCCAGATTTCACAGATGAGGCTGGTGCAGCCATCTCCCAGTCGCTTTGAGTGTTGGCTACTAACAGTTTGAAAATACCCTCTTCTCAGGAGAATTGTTCTCCAAAGAGCCCCGCCCCTGGAAAAACCTTGAAGTTTTCCTCTCTCCAGGGTCCAGTGATGAAAATAAGGGTAGTAAAGCCCAGGCCCTGACCTCAGGGGGATCAACTATGCAGTACGTTTTATGTTCCAGAACTTTTTAGTGGGATCAGGCTGAAGCCAGATTCCATATGAGCCTATGTCCTTTCCAGGCTTCCTCCCCTGCCCCATCCTGCTTCCTTCACTCCCATACAGGGTCCTCCCGAAAAGCCTCTCTCAGCACATCTCTACAAAAATCCACATTTTGAATTCTAAGAACTTAACCTAAAACAGTTGTCATTTTAAAAATATGAAAAAAGGCTGAGCGCAGTGGCTCATGCCTGTAATCCTAACACTTTGGGAGGCTGAGGTGGGAGGATTGCTTGAACTCGGGAGTTGGAGACCTGCCTCAGCAACGAGAAGCAAAACCCTGTTTCTAAAAAGAAGAAAAAAGAAGTATTAAAGGAAATAACACTCCATAGTCTATATAATTTAATCAATCAATATGAATACATTGTTTTCAAATTATACTAGTTTACATTTACAGTTTTCACTTTCTGCATATTCTCTAGAAAACGTGTAAATTTTTACACAGAAATCTTGAACAAGCAAAATGCTGTATTGTTTTTGGAACCAAGACTCAGGAAGACAGGTGTGCCAGCCATCTGTCAGCATGCTGGGGATGCTCTTCCCCAAAATGTGTCAGTCTGGACATCAGTTCAGATAAGACTCAAAAGCTACAACGCATTGAGGAACATAGGATCAAAGATGAAGCCTTGTTTCTTTCTGTAAACCAAAGCAGGTAAATGGCAAGGCTGCTTTGGAAAATGTGACTTTGGAGTTAGCTGTGCTTTTTCACTGAAGAGTCCTCCCACTTCATCCCCAGACAGGAGACAAACAGGCAGTCAGTGCAGATTCCCCAACTCCCAAAGTCATCAGGGCCACCTGCCAGCCAGCCCATGCAGCATCTACTGGGTCCCTGCTGGGTGCCTGGCTCCATCACCTCACGCTGCTCATCGTTTGACAAATGCCAAGGCTTCTGTGATGATGCCTCTCTCCTGGGGTTCATGGAACAGTGTCCAGACAAGAGAAAATAAACCACAGGCTCTGAACAAGAAGAACAAATGGGAGATTTTTGTACCAGTCAAAAACAGGCTTTGGAAAACATAACCAAGGGGAACAAGCACACCTTAGCCACACCATCATGATATTTCCGTTGGAAACTTATTTATTTATGGAGAACTCACCTTTGAAAGGCATTTCAAACTGTTTTTAGTTTTGGGGGGGGGTTGTGTCTGTGTGTGTGTTTGTTTGTTTGTTTGTTTACCAATATCGCTAGGCAGAAATCACCTGGGTTTGCTGAAGGTTTTGAGAGAAAAGGGAGTGGAAAGAGCAAGGGAAAAGGAAGAGGCTACGGCTGAACCAAGAATAGGATTCTTAGAAACTCACAAAATAGCCACTAAGTAACCAGAGTAATTAGCCCAATATTCTGTACAGAACAAGAGCTCCTCATTCTCTCTCAGTATCCCTTCCTAATTAGAAACCAATTATCAGGATTTGCTAAATAAATTCTCATTCCTCCGAACAACGAAACATGATATTAAAAAAGAGACAGATCTTTATGGTTTGATATGAAATATGCTCCAAGATACAATGTTTAATGAAAAAATAAAATTAAAAAAAAGGAAGGTGCAAAGTAATGTGCAAAACATTTGTGGCATAGCAACAAGAATCACTTTATATATGTGCACATATAAAGTATATGAATAAATATGTGTCACACAATATGTATAATATTCTATATATATATAGACACACACATATACATATACACGTGTATTTTGAGAAATTGGGAAGCAGATGTGGGAGGGATCTCCCTCATCTTGACCTCAGGGAGATCCTTTTCACTGTTTGCTGTTTTCCTGGAATTTGTATTTTCCCATATGCTTCTTTTTTTTTTGGAGACGGAGTCTCGCTCTGTTGCCCAGGCTGGAGTGCAGTGGCGTGATCTTGGCTCACTGCAAGCTCCGCCTCCCGGGTTCACGCCATTCTCCTGCCTCAGCCTCCCGAGTAGCTGGGACTACAGGCACCTGCCACTGCGCCCAGCTAATTTTTTGTATTTTTTTTTTTTTTAGTGGAGATGGGGTTTTACCGTGGTCTCAGTCTCCTGCCCTTGTGATCCGCCTGCCTTGGCCTCTCAAAGTGCTGGGATTACAGGCGTGAGCCACCGTGCCCGGCCTTTTCCCATATACTTCTATAACCTATTCATAAGCATTTAAAAAGACTGCAACCCCAAATCAAAACCACTAATAACATGCTAAACAATATGAGTTTGGCTGTGAAAAATGGATGATTAAATACTGCTGATCATATTTGCGAAGCCAAATTCTTACAATCTATATGTTATTTATTGGAATTCCTATAGGTGCTTTGAAAATATTTTGATGATTTTTCCTTCCCAGGATACCATAATGGGTTCTTAAACTATAACTGCTATGTTTTAGTACAGTGGTCTTAAAGAGACATCTGTATTTCCTGATTCAAAATTGAACCCTTAGGCAAAATGTATGCAGAGGGAGCACCCAGATTTTCCCATCCCCAAAATAATTCCAAGGCTGCCTTGGAGAGAGATTGTCTGGAACAATGGGTCAAAGTCACACTTGATCCTTATGAGGAAAAGACTAAGTAACTTTGAATAAATAAGGTATTTATCTCTTTGTAAGAAAGAGTGATTCTGAGATAGATGAAGACTTTGAAGTTCAGATTGATTATTGATTAATACTGAATTGTATTAAGGAGTGGCATTCTTAATCTTTTCAAAAATATTAGGAATAAGGACTGGAATCTCTAGAATGTTTACTTGAGCACAAAGTGTAGCACAGGCCTAGAAATTCTCAAGGATGTAGCTGCTAAGAGCTAAAAATATCTTCAGGGGAGGCTGTGCAGAGAGAGAGTAGGGGGAGGAGGTGGAGAACCCGGAAGAGCAGCTCTGAGCAGATTTCACACGATTAATAGGGGGTTTGTTGGCTGGTGGACTTTAAAAATAGAACCTAATTTCTGAGGGGTGGGTGCCCTGCTCCAGAGCCCTAAAAGGAGCCTGCTGAGAGGGATGATTAAAATGAAAGATTGTGCAGCTTTAAGGAAATGTTGGCCTAAAGAAATGGCACCAATTACTGATGCTCCAGCCACCTTCTAAAAGGTTTCTGCAAATTGCTTTCCTTGGATGAAATACCAAATATCTGTTCCCAAATGTTATGAAGCAAAATAAATCACATTCCATTGACACATCTAATATGTCGTATTAGAGACCCTGAATCCAAACAAAGCCAAGCTGCTGTTACCACCGAGCTATTACATTTCTTTCTCTTGCTTTTGTATTAAGGCTGCAAGATGAAAACTTGTTCCTTGCAAACAAACAACAATTATCTCTGCCTCCTCCCTGCATTAGAGGAGAAATCAAATCAGCACCTAACAAGATTTTAGAATTCAAAAGTAACTCAGAAATAATTGACTCTAACCCCCAACTCTTGTAAATAAAGATGGTGAATCCCGGAAATCATAAACCACTTATCCAAAGTTGCTTTGCTGAAGAGCAACACAAGCAGAACTAGAATCCAGATCACTCAACTCTCAGCTTATCAATAAATACCCCTTTTGTTAAATAGGCATACACTAAAGCATTCAAGGTAGTATTCCTTTCCAAGACTTTGCATTTTCTCTAAAATAAAAGTTTCAAGAAAAAGATGATTTTCAAGCAGTAGCGAGTGCACAAAAGTGGCATTTTTCTGACATATGCAGGCTGGAGTACAGTAGCGCACTCTCGGCTCACTGCAACCTCCGCCTCCCGGGTTCAAAAGATCCTTGTGTCTCAACCTCCTGAGTAGCTGGGATTACAGGCGCCCGCCACCATGCCTGGCTAATTTTCGTATTTTTAGTAGAGACAGGGTTTCACCATGTTAGGCTGGTCTCAAACTCCTGACCTCAGGTGATCCACCTGTCTCGGCCTCCCAAAGTGCGGGGATTACAGGCGTAAGCCACCACACCCAGCCTTCTGTTGCATTTTATAGATGAAAATACTGAGGAGCAGTGCAATTGACAGTATTTATCCAGGTGTAGAAGTTGCTATTGGATCACCTTCACCAGCACGTATGCCCATCTCTCAACTACTGCAAGTATTGGCTGCTAAGAACTAATGGCTGCCTCCTTCTCCAGTGAATATGCCTGTTCTAGAAATGCCTGAGAGACTGCCAATGAATAATTGATATGGGCTACAAAAGGCCAGCCATCTTGCTTCAACTGTGTGGTTTTAGTCACCCTCCAAAGCTCCCCTTGTGGTCAGACTGAAGCTAGACTCCAGCTGGGACCACTTCCTATTCAACTCCTTCCTCTGCTCTTCTCTGCCCCTGCAGGTTTGTCCTGAGAACTTGCCTTCAATAAATCAAGTGCTTCTAGGAAAGCTGACCAGAAACCTCAAGTGAGTGTGTAGGAGGGATAGTAAATGCCAGATAGCAAGTTGTGATAGTCTACATCTTTTCCATCTCATTTTCACTTTGGTCTCCATGCAAACGTGTAAAGAGACAGGGAGTTCTGCATATTTCTGCTGTGAGCAGATGCTTGTGATCTTCTTTGGTAATATGGAATGTTTTCCAGCTTTTCTGCTTAGTCATATGCATTCTGACTTGTCTATTCAATTTTGCAGCACCCTTTCAGTAATCTTTAAATTTTTCCTAAAAACAAATAAGCAAAAGGAAGATTTTTTTTTTTTTTTGGTATGGTAATGGATAAACAAGCAAAGAAACAGACATGCAGGCACAATGAGAATTCTTAGTCACTGACCTGTAATGGAGCTTGGGTGACTCTCTTGCCCTCTGACTCGAGTTTTCCTATGTGTGGTAAGGAGTTTGATACCGAGGGCTGAGACTGTGATTGATCTAGCAGATCGAGAGCCCTCAACAGATATTTAGAGTGACAAAAAGCTCATCAGTTTGCTCAGTTGAGATTCATTGGCTGTAAGAAACAGAAAATGACTCTTCCCAGCTGATCCCAGTGTGACAGTTAATTTTAGATGTCAGCTTGACTGAATAAGTAATACCTAGAAACCTGTTAAAGAATTATCTTGAGGTGTTTCTGTGAGGGTGTTTCCAGGAGAGATTGGCACATGAGTCTGAGTGGAGTAGGTAGAGAAGAGCCACTCTCAAAGTGGGCAGGTACCCTCCAATCTGATGGAGGCCCCAAGAGAACGAAAACAGAGAAAAGACAAATGTGTCAATCTATCTGCTGGAGCTGGGATACACTCTTCCTCTCCTGTCCTTACACAATTCCAGGCTCCCTTGCCTTTGGACTCCAAGATTTACATCAGTCCCCCAGCAGGTTATCAGGCCTTTGGCCTCAGACTGAGTTATACCATCAGCTTCCCTGGTTCTGAGGCCTTTGGACTTGGACTGAGCCATGCCACTGGCATCCCAGGGTCTCCAACTTGCTGATGGCTTGTTGTGGGACTTCTCAGCCACCCTAATGCCATGAGCCAATTCCCTTAATAAATTCTCTCTCATATGTATATTTCTATATCTACATCAGTATATTCTCTTGTTTCTGTCTGGAGAACCCAGATTAACATACTCAGCAAAAGTGGTATTTATTGATAAGGTACAGGGAAGCTCAGAGGATTGGAACAACAGATATGGAGAGAGTACAGAGCAGACAATGCTGTGCAGCCTTGTTTGAGGGCTGCTACAGAATGCTATTCCATTTGCTCTTCGGATTCAAAGTTCGGGTAGAGAGTCCAGCTAGCCAGGCTGAGGTCACAGCCTCACTGCTCGACTATACTGGATCAATGAGAGTAGAGATCTAGGGAATTGGCTGTCTAACTCCAGCTGCACATTAAAATCACTTGTTAGGGGCTCTAAAACCCTGATACTTAGGCCACACAACAGGTTAATCAAATCAGACTACCTGGAGGTAGAACCAAAGCATTTGATATTTTTAAAACCCCCAAAGTGATTTAATAATTAGCCAAATTTCTAAAATACTGATGTAGAGGAAAAGCCTTCAGAGAGTACTTCAAGGTTTTTGTAGGAGGACAGGATGCAATGCTTAACATCATGGCATGACTATACCAAATTGGAAAAAAAGATAATTTTCCAAAAGAAAATTGGGTTACATTTAAGAAGCAGGGAGGATGAATACTAAATCGCAAATCAATGAATCCGTTAAAAACAGACAAAGATCCATTGCACAGGCAATCTAGTCAAACATCGTTCTAACACTTAGAGTAAGGTCTGGCACATAAGAGATGCTCAATAAATATTTACTGAATAAATAAGTAAATAAATAACCAGAGAGTCTTGAAATTTCATGTACCATGTAACTCCACCAAGAGAATTACCTGTTTTTCTTGTTTAATCCAAGAAACCCTCTATAATAGATTAAAAGGAGCAAACTTTGTTCAAAAAGAGGATAAAACAAAGAGATTGGGGAAATAAGGAATACATTTATGAAAAATTATTATAAAATTTCTGTAGGCTTATTAAGCTTTGCACTGCTCTACTAGACCCTAATGTTTTGCCTAACGTTACTGTTGATGATCAGATTCTGCTGATCTCAATTTGCTATACTATACTCTTTTTTGTTTACATTTCTAATACTATCATCTGCCTTGACTGGTCAAATAAAGGCCATCTGTTTCATGGTTCTAACACCTTGTTACTTTCAGTATCAAGTTGGTGGGCCCATAGTGCCTCCCTGAAAGTGCTAGAAATGCAGAATTTGGGGCCCTACCTTAGACCTACTGAAGGAGCATTTGTATTTTAATAAGATCCACAGGGGAGCCATATGCACATTGAAATTTGAAAAGAACTGGCTAGCACAAATGGCTCATATGCCTAAAATGGCTGATTGTACCTGTCATTCAAACCCACTGGGAGGAAGTGTGGGAACATGGCATTCTGAGCATGGTGCCTTGATTGCTGCTACCAACTCTAATCAGTCTGCCTCTCCTAAGACAAATAGCAAATGAATGTAGTGAAGCTCTGGCTTCTGCTGGGATCCTGGGCATAGAGAATGGTGTAGGTCTTTTGACCTCATAATTTGAACAAGTAAAATGATAAACAGCATCATAACCTACTTAAGAACCCAAAAACAGAAAATTCTGGGGGAAGATGGAGCATACAAAGATCTGTGGTCCCTTAAGGGAGTACTGATGTCAATTCAGTATGAACGTGCCAAATTCCCAAAACACTAAATGAGAGATGAACAAGTAAGCTGAGTATTTCCTTCCTTACGGGAGAGAGACTACAGGGAGATAAGAGAGGCAGCAGGTGCCAGCCTGCCTGATTCTACACTGCAGCTCAGGGGGATAGAGGTGCCTGTGCTTTCCATGACTGTAGGATCCCTGCTAGGATACTCTCGCCACCACACTAGAATTCCAATGGGCCAGCAAAGGAAAATAACAAGCGAACTATGGGAAACCATTAGCCAGAGAGAAGATCAAGTGGAACTGTTAGGACTTACACTCAGCAAAATGGAATTATTAGAGCAGAAAAAAAAACCCTGAATTAGAAAATAAATTAAAGGTATTTTAAAGGAGATTTGAGTATATCTTATTCAGCAGATTCATTCAAAGAGAAAATGGGGCTGCTGAGATTCACATCAGCAGGCTTGGAAGGTCAAGTATAAGAACTTCTCAAGCAGACAGCATATACCATGAGACAGATGTCATGAGAGATCCACAGAATGGAATCAGAGGCCTAAAATGTGAGTAATAGTAGTTGCAGAAGAACAAAAAGGAATGCATAGAGAAAAACCGACAATAAATACTAGAAGAATAATTCCAAGAGATAATGAAAACCTGAAGTAGCAAATTTAAAATATTCACTAAGATTCAAGCTGGATTTCAAAAAAAGACACATCAATATGTACATCATGAAAAAATTCCTGATCTCTAAAGAAAAAGAACATCTAAAGTCAGAAAGAAGGAATTCACTATAAAATAATACCACCAACAGTGGAAGAAAATGGACAATGGAACAGAATCAACTTATATCCAGCCAACATATCATTACTCTGTCAGGGTAAACAAAAACTACTTGAGGAGAGAAAATAATTTGGAAAGAATAACACTTCAATACGACAACCGAGAAAAGTACTACAAAGACTCTATCCCAATGACAAATGAAAAAATTCAGAAACCTGAAAAGATGAGTGAGCAATGATTATGTATACACAGGTTGCACATACATATATGTGTATATATTTGTATGAAATATTTATACAAGCTCATATATAGTTATTCAGCCATATAGGTAAACATGAACAATGTTCATAATTGAATAAGAATAGGTTATATTGCAAAGTATAATATTAAAAATTAATGACAATAATTAAGAAAATAAAGAAATAAAATTAAGAAAACATTAATTTTTTTAGGAAGTTAATAAACACTAGATCTCATCTGTCAAGCCTAGGAGAAATGGTTACCAGGGAAATAGCAAAAACATTTCAGCATCTCTTTAGAGGAATTACAAAAGGAAGGAAGAAGAGTGGAAGTATCTTTTTAAAATTTCATTTTATTGGAATGAAGCAAAGTAGAAAGAAAACTGCTGGTTTTTTTTTTTTTTTTTTTCTGAGGAGGAGGGAGAAGTCTCCTTTTTAAAGGATAGTAGATACTGATATCTGATCATTTAGATCAAGATAATAAAAATTAACCATCAATAACAAGGGAGAAAAAAGTAGGCTTTCCCAAGCTAGCAAAGAGAGAAAAAGAATAAACTGCACAAGTAAAACACAGAAAAAGAAGAAACAGCTATATGTCCAAAAGTAAATCTAAAATCAGATAACAGTCATATAGCAAGTATATCAGTCACCATATAAAATGTAAAAGAATAAGATTTCATCATGAAAAGGCAAAGGCAACCCATTTCTTTGACAAACAAAACACAGCTAGATGTTATATATAAGAAATACTTAAATTAAATTTAAAATAACATAAATATAAATGAAGTGAGCAAAAAGATATTGGAAAAATGGAAACAAAAGGGAACCAAAAGTGACAATATCAACAAAGTAGAATTTAAGGGTGGAAGAACCAGGCAGGCACCAAAGGGACATGATATAGTGAAAAATGGCACAATTAGAGATATACAGCAGTCATAACTGATGTGAGGCGATCACCATAGGACCTCAAAGCTTAAAGCAATTTTATTTGAAATGCAAGGAGAACTTGCTAAAAATATAATTATGATGAAAACATCAATATCCTTCTCTCAGAACTGAAAGATCTAGTTAAAAAATAGAAAACAGAGAAAATAAAAAATACAATTAATAAACAACTTGATATGAATTATACCTTATCCCTTGAAAGTACTTTTAAAAATACTCCTAGAATATTTATAAAAGTTGGTCATATATGTCGCCACTGGGGAAAAAGTAAAACAGGAAAGTGTGTAAGTGAATAGCTTTTATAGACTACGTTCTCTGATAATAAGCTAATAAAACTAGAAATAAATGATAACAAAAAATCTTAATGTCTTGACACAATGAAGGAGCATGCTTCTAGATATTCTTTGATCAAAAAGGAAATTAAAAGGGAAATTAGAACCTGTCCAAAGGTCAATGAAAAGGAATACGTCATCCATAATAAAACCTACAAAACAAATCAAAAGCTATCATTAGAGGAAAATTTATAGCCTTAATTGTCTTCATTATTAAAAGAGATAACTGGTTTAAAAAGTAATTTTTCATCTCCAAACTGAAAGATGAACAGCAAAATTAAATAACAGTTAAGGACATTTTAAAATATTTTAAAATGGGGAAAAAAGAAGAGACAAATGATTTCAAAAGCTTGTCCTTTGAAACATTAATAAAATAGGTGAAGTATCTCATGATTCTGACAAAGAAAATTTCGAACAAAAGCAAAAGCAGATGGAACAAGGAATGAGAAAGACATAGCCACAAACACAAGAGATTAAAATTGTGGTGAGAAAATACTATGTCTAACTCTATGGCAACAGATAAAAATGAATCTTTTTTTAGCAAAATATCTCTAGCTCACCGACTTTCACAATTCCTACCCTTATTTCACCATATTACTCTCCTTTTTATATATCTCGTTTTAACCAAGCACCGTCTCTTCTATGCCCAGCTCCCCTACCTTGAATTGGCACATTTTTCTGCAATCGAGAGTCATTTAGTTTGACTGGCCTACTGTGTGCCTGAGAGGAGAGCTCAGTATGCGCTGATTCTCTACTCTTATTTTCATACTTTTCTTCCAAGTTCCTGGAGCATCTCTTGCATGCACCCCATTGAGGCCATGCGTCGCAGCTCTCGTCTCCTTAAATATTTCAGAGCACTTTCACATTCATTGTAGTGTAATCTCACAGGGTTCTTTTTTCTGTTTTTTAAGTAGCAATTTTCAAGATTTTAGACTGAAAAGTAAATGTTATACTCCAGGTGATAGTTTTATATGAAAAGTAAAATGAATTATTTTGACAAGCTAAGTGACAGGAAGTTTTTCACTACTTTTTAATTATCAAAGACATTCACACACACACACACACACAGGCGCAGAGAAAGAGAGAGACATTCAGAATAGAGCTAATTATATTATCTCACCAGGAAGAAAAGTCAGCCATGATTTTCAGCCTCAAGAGATTTAGGATCTAGTAAAAGTGCTTAGAACTTAGTGAGATTTTAGAAGTTGCCTAACAGTTTATATAACTGGTAGGGACCTAACTGATAGGAGTGGGAATCTACTTCTGAGATTCCTATTTTCCTCAAACCTAGACAGTCTCTTACGTGGATCACGTGCTTTTCAGATCACTGTAAAAATAGTCTTAATTTCCAGAGAGAAAAAATATGTAACATAATCAATAACAAATGTTCACTCTATTAGCAAGTGTTTGCTGTGTAACAAACCACTCTCAAATTAGTAGTTTATAATAATGACAAATTATTCAGCTCACAAGCTGTGGATCAGCAATTTAGGCTGGGTTTGGCTGGGTTGGGAGTTCTATGGCTCTCATTGGGCATTTGCATGTCAGCTCTTGCTTGTCCAGGAGTTTGGCTGGGGCAACTGGGTTGATCAAGATAATAAAAATTAACCATCAATGACAAGGGAGAATAAAGTAGGCTTTCCTAAGCTAGCAAAGAGAGAAAAAGAATAAACAGCAAAAGTAAAGAAAAAGAAGAAACAACTATATATCCAATAGTAAATCTGGTTTATGTGATCTCAAATCATGCAGCAGACTTGCTCATTCTTTTTAATGTGGCAACGGGCAGGCTTTGTGAAAGAATCAGTGTGTGAAGCATCTTAAGGCACAGACTTGAAACTGGTGCAATGCGGTTACTGCCAAATTCTATTGGCTAAAGGAGGTCTCAAGGCCTTTCCAAGGGGTGAGGAAAGAGACTGTATCTCTTAACAGGAGAAGCTGCAGAGAGACATTGCAAGGGTGTAGATACAGAGCGGAGAAGGATCACAATCTTTTTGCAACTCCAATAACCTACATATCATTTCCGTCCTGTGGATGCATGCTTGGCCCACAGGAAACGTCCTCTGCACCTATTGTCAATTCCATTCAATCTCTCACCCTCTTGCTTCTCCAGTTAGGTGTCAGGCATCAGTCCCTGTGCCTCCCGCCTTTAAACTCCATAGGCACATGTCAGGTTTTCCAAGTGGAGCTCCATAACCAACCCCTCCTTTAACTTCCCCCCTACCTTTCTTCTGTGGTTGGGGAAATTCATGCTTTCCAACAATTCTCTCCACTATCAGCCCTCCTCAGCATCTCTTGATCACCTTGTCTCCATTTATGGGTGATGTGCTAAGGGCTGAAAAACTAGTTTCATCGGCTTCTTAGTTTGGGTACCTGTAGAAGCAAGAGGGGATGTGAATGCAAGATTAGTTAGCGAGGTTATCTCAAGAAACACAGATTGGAGAGAGGAAAAAAGAGATACAGGGAAAATAAGAAAGCCAGTGCAAGGTGTGTTTTTCAATACAGTTATCACTGTGGGCAAAAACTCTGGGAGTCAGTGTACAGCACAGGTCTTAGAGTTGTCCCACCTGGGAGTGAGAGGGCTGGATCACTTATACACCCATCTATGTATAAATACACCATTTTCTACACTCTATCTAGCATAAACTGAGCGCAGCTTTGGGTGAGAGTTGGTTAATTCCCTGGCACTTCCAGCCTGCTGTGAAGATGTGTAGGCAGAGAAGGCATCAACAGCCAGAAAAAAAAAGCATCCAGCAAGAAAGAGAGGTTCTGGCAGTTGAGAAGTCAGGCCCGTTTACACTGAAGTGATAAGAGTGAGATGTGGTGATAGCTCCCTGGCTGTCATCCTTGTCCTCTGTCAATGTGTAGCAACACCGTCTAACTCCAAGGCAACAGGACACATTGAATTTAGCATTCTAAAATAAATGCAATACTCTCAAAATGTCATTCTCTTAGTCTCATCCTCTCTCAAAAGCATCCTGTATCCTTCTAGCTGGTCCCTAATTTTACCATTATCCATATTTGCATTCCTGTTGTTCAGATAGCCTTTATTCCTGGTACTGAGATTTGTTGCTCTCCTTTTTTCTTTACCTGTATTCTCTATTACCATAAATTATCCTTGGAAATATCTTCTCTGATATATATCTTTGCATCTACTACATGGTCTGGCCCACAGTAGAGGCTCAACAAGTATTTCTGGAATAAATGAATTAATAAGTGAGATTCATTATTCTTTGCAATCAGGCATCTAGGGTATTTTCCATGACAATACCAAACACAAAATATAGTTGTGTATTATCTCTTCTAGGTTACCTTGAGAGGTGCAGGTTCTCATTACCTGAAAGTGTGGATTAGTTTGAACCAGTGGTTTATCATGGAAGAAATTCAACCTGACAACTCCCATTTGTCATAGTCATTGTATTTCATGCAACTTTTAAAACTTGTGAAGTGAAGGTCTATGCCTATCACTTTCTATTTGGTAAGCATAGGTTTCCATGAGTTTTATGCATTATCTAAGACTAAGAAACTGCATTTCTGTCTCCTGCCACCTTCGTCCCCTCTTTCTCTCTGCGTCTCTCCCTTCTGTCTCTCAGCACACATACAAACGTAGCAATTGAATTATGCTTTTTCATGTTGTTCTCTCTGCCAAGAATTTTATTTTACTCTCATCATTGTCTATACACCTCAATTGTTTTTAGTAAACTTTCTATTGATGTAAAACACACAAATAGAAAAGTACGTAAATCATGAAAACACAGCTCGGCGAATTTTCACAAGTGAACACGCCTGCTCAATCAGTGCTTCTTCCCCAGTCTTGGGGAATCCAGCAGTGCACTCCAGGGCTCTTTCTGTTGAGGGCTCCTCACTCTTCTGGGAAGATCTGTGACAACCCCACTAAGGCTCTCTCTCCCATATAGTTTATGTCCAGGATGTGGAAATCCCCAGGGGACCCCCTTCCCCAGGGAAGGCCAATCTCTGGCCTCTACTCTGCTACATCTTCCTATCATGGCGTTTGTTTTGTTTTCCCATGTTGAGTGCTATTAGCTGACCTTCTAGCTATTATCTAATGTTAGATCTCATCTATAAATGTATGTTACTTCCCTTGCTCTCTGTAATTTCTTTAAGTTTGTAGACGGAATTTGCTTGAAGGGATTCTGTTACATGAAGTAACTTACCCATCAGCAGCCCTCGCCTGTTCTTTGTATAGAACACTCTTACCTTTTTGGAAGGAAGTGCCACGATTTCTCAGTCTAATTCATGGTGTATTCCCTGTGCCTCAGACAGTGCTTGGTTCAGTGCCTATGCACAAATATTTGCTTAATTAACATGGGATGAATATTTGCCTGGTTTGAATGTTAGAGATTTTTTGGTTTCTTCCTAATCTTTGAATGAGGGCAACTCTCTTACACCATTCAATTTATTGAAAAACATCCAGACAGGTTTATGAGGTGGAGAATGTGCAGTGGCTTATTAGGTGAATACATAGCAAATTGGGCCAGCCAGTAGTATGAAAATGATGGTGTTGTTTTGTAATACTTTTCTGCTAATTTTCTACAGTCTAGCCCAAAGAATCACCTATCAGCTTTAAATGTCTCCCCGCAATGCATACATGCATAGCTCCCCACAAACATCCAGTGAGTATCATTCTGTTCAGTGGACCCTGATGAACAGCTGCCAAGCTGGGGGCCACTTCCTCTTGTGAATCCATACTGCCTGGGCTCCAAGCCAGTTCTCTAGAGCAGGGATGCAGGCCGTGAAAAGGAACAACCATAAAGATCAAGTCTTCAAACTATCTTTAGCCCTCTGCCCCACGGCTATGCTAAGCCAAGTAGCATATTTCAGGGATCTGTTCTCCTTTTCTGACTACCACCACATTCCATTTCTCTATTATTTCAAGAGGAACCTCTACTATGTTTTCAGAGAACACTACATCCTGCTGAAAATTTGAATGTTTCTGTAATTATTTTTGGCATCTTTCTCTGAATTAGTCCAAATTTATTTATCTTTAGCTAATATTCTCTATTGTCTTTAGTCACAGTCTTCAGCAGTGTATCTAGTTGCAGGTCTCTTAATTTATACTCTATTCTCACATCCTAAGCAGATATCAGAGAGAAATGTCAGTAGATTTCAGGAGACAAAATGGAAAGGAGCCATTGCTCCACCACCTTTTCCTGGAAGTCTTACTCTATATTTTAAAACACCTTTTTTAATTACTAAGATGCTCTGACGCAAATGTTCACACATTGCAACTAAATGCTACTGCCTTTGAAGTAGAAAGAAATAAAATAGGAAGAATAAATCACTAAATAAATAAATTTCTTAAGCTGACCATTCTCAAAGGAGACTGTGGGGGGTGACATTCTGTTATCCTCAGTCAAGCCAGTGGGACAACACCTAAATCAGTGCCTCAGAAGTGGTTGAGCAGTGAGCTTGTGAGCTTTGAAACTCTTTTAGGTAACGTCTTGGCTTTGATTGCTACTCTGTCCATATTTATATCTTCTTGGGTTATGATTCTTTGTTCACTAACAGCAAATCAGAGATTGGAGAAAGAAGAAACTCCGTCAGTAACTAATCACACATCCATTCTAAAGTCTAGAAAAGCTGCCAGAAAACCATTCTGCTGGACTTTGGAAGTGTTGCTTCTCATGTGCCCTCCTGAGCCAACTTGTCATAGATGTTCCTGTGGCTCCTATGAAAAAGTACTTGTCTGATGAGGGCCACATGTATAAACAGGCCCAATATGGTATGCACGTATACCAACCCCCAACCATAGGATTGGTGAATGGCCATGGCACCATGTGGGCACATTCCCTCTGTTTTCCCTCTGCCTCCACTCCCACATTATAGCCAGATGCTCACTACTGCCCCCTGTGCACTAGGATCTTTTTAACCAAACATTTCAAGTATATGGGCTATTTCTCAAACTGGTTCCACAGGGCTCTGAGGTCCCATGAGGTGTCTGATGGGAAGTGAGGGTCGTTCAAGGGGAAATCTGAGCATGTGAGTCTCCAGATGCTTCATCATCAGTTCAGACAGAATTCTGTTTACCTGTCTTACTTGTGAGATTCCTTACAAAATTCTGATGCAAAAAAAGTTCTCCTGCTAAGTCTAAAAACTTCTGCTACCCATAGAATGATGACCCATCAGTCTTCTGCACTCCAAAACTGTCCATATTTTTATCAAGTACTCTGTAATTAATAATGCATCAGATATTTAAATTGTGTAACTTCACTTCATTTTCCTTCTTCCTCTTCTGTCAATGTCCTAGTAAAATCAATGGTCTCTCCTCCTCCTCCCAGAATTTTGGTGGCACCCTGGCAGGTCCTAAGCCTTTTCTTTCAGGCATATAACTGGATGAAAGGGGACTGGGAATGGGTGGGTATGTTGGCCAGCCATAATCATGAGGCCTGGGTGGGACTCCCACTCACTGAGCACACTGGCAGCAGCTGGCCAGAGTCATAATTAAAACCAGCTTTGCTCCAGCTTTAGCATAAGGCTCAAAAGTGACAGTCCATAGTCCATGGGTCTGAGAATATTCAGGCTAATGGGAAAGACATCTTAGACCCGAGTCTCTCAAAACCTATCACAGAGACAACAATCTAAACATCTCAATGTCCAACCTCCTACTCTCCTGCTTTAATTTACTCTGCAGAATATGTGGCATGCAAGAAGTATTGCTCAGTGGGCCCCACTCCCACTAGCTAAGACCCACTGGCTTGGAAACCCCACCAGTCAGTGGCAGCAGGCTGGAGACTGCCTAAGATGACTGAGTTCCCCTGGGGGAGTGGCAGCCACCATCACTGCAGCCCCAGTCAATCATTTTCTCCTGCCGGTGCCAGGGGACTGGGTGGTTCGGATCAGGAGGAATTCCCCACAGTGCAGCACAGTGGCTGTGGCAGATCATGGCCAGACTGCTTCTTTAAGTGGGACTCAAATCTACCCCTCATCACTGGGCAAGACTGCCCTGCAGAAATTCCGGCAACTCCAGCCAGGGGTATACAGACAGAACTCTTATCTCCCTGGGATGGAGCCCCTGTGGGAAGAGGCAGCTGTGGTCTCCACGGTTCAGCCAACTTAGTCTCTCCTGCCTGCTGGCTCGGGAGAGTCCGAACAGTCTGGATGAGGGGGGTTCCTCCCAATGCAGTGCACCCACTCTGCCAAGGGGTAGCCCAGACTGCTTCCTTAAGTGGGTCCTTGATCCTATTCCTCCTGATGGGTGAGACCTTCCAACAGGGGTTGCCACTTACCTCATACAGGGGTGTTCTGGCTGGCAATAGGTCAGTGTGCCTCTGGGACAGAGCTCCCAGAAGAAGAAGAAGGCTGCCATCTTTGCTGTTCTCTAGCCTCCACTGGTGATACCTCCATGTTAAGAAGGGACTCAGGCAAATAAGGTCTGGAGTTGACTCCCAGCAAACTTCAGCGGTGCTACAGAAGAGAGGCCTGACTGCTAAAAGAAAAACAAAGAAATAGAAAGCAACAACAACAACATCAATAAAATGACCCACAAAAAAAAACCATCCAAAGGTAAGCAGCCTCAAAGTTTGAAGGTATATAAACCCACAAAGATAAGAAAGAATCAATGCAAAAATGCTGAGAACTCAAAAAGCCATAGTTCCTCTTCTCCTCCAAAATATTGCAACACCCCTCCAGCAAGGGCACAGAACTGGGCTGAGGCTGAGGTGGATGATTTGACATAAGTAGGCTTCAGAAGATGGGTAATAATGAACTTTGCTGAGCTAAAGGAACATGTCCTACCCCAGTGCAAAGAAGCTAAGAACGATGATAAGACGTTACAGATGCTGATAACCAGAATAACCAGTTTAAAGAGGAACATAAATTACCTGATGGAGCTGAAAAACACAATTTGAGAACTTCACAATGCAATCACAAGTGTCAATAGCTGAATAGACCAAGTGGAGAAAAGAATCTTAAAGACTATCTTGCTGAAATAAGACAGGCATACAAGGCTAGAGAAAAAAGAATGAAAAGGATCAAGCAAAACCTCTGAGAAATGTGGGATTGCGTAAAAGACTGAACCTATGACTGACTGGGGTACCTGAAAGAGACAGGTAGAATGGGACCAAGTTGGAAAACATACTATAGGATATCATCCAGGATAATTTCCCCAACACAGCAAGACAGGCCAACATTCAAATTCAGGAAATCCAGAGAACCCCATTAAGATACTCCATGAGAAGATGAATCCCAAAACACATAATCATCAGATTCTCCAAAGTCAAAATGAAAGAAAAAAAATGCAGGGGCAGCCAGAGAGAAAGGCCAGGTCACCTACAAAGGGAAGCCCATCAGACTAACAGTGAACCTCTCAGCAGAAACCCTAAAAGCCACAAAATATTGGGTGCCAATACTCAATGTTCTTACAGAAAAGAATTTCCAACCCAGAATTTCACTTCTGGACAAATTAAGCTTCATATGTGAAAGAGAAAGAAAATTCTTTTCAACAAGCAAATGCTGAGGGAATTTGTCACCACCAGGCCTGCCTTGCAAAGCTCCTGAAGGAAGCATTAAATATGCAAAAGGAAAACTATTACCAGCCATTGCAAATGCACACTGACGTTCACAGACCAATGACACTATGAAGCAACTACATAAACAAATGTGCAAAATAACCAGCTAGAATCATGATGACAGGATCAAATTCACACATAACAATATTAACCTTAAATGTATATGGGATAAATGCCCCAATTAAAAGACACAGAATGGCAGGCTGGATAGAGTCAAGACCCACTGGTGTGCTGTATTCAAGAGACCCATCTCACATGCAAAGACACACATAGGCTCAAAATAAAGATATGGAGGAAATTTTATCAAGCAAATGGAAAACAGAAAAAAGCAGGGGTTGCAATCCTAGTTTATGTCAAAATAGACTTTAAACCAACAAAGATCACAAAAGACAAAGAAAAGCATTACATAACGGTAAAGGGTTCAATTCAACAAGATGAGCTAACTATCCTAAATATATATGCACCCAACACAGGAGCACCCAGACTTATAAAACAAATTCTTAGAGACCTACAAAGAGACTTAGACTCCTGCACAATAATAGTAGGAAACTCTAACACCCCACTGTCAATATTAGACAGATCATCAAGACAGAAAATTAATAAGGATATTCAGGACCTGAACTCAGCTCTGGATCAAGTAGACCTGATAAGATATTTACAGAACTGTCTATCCCAAAACAAGAGAATATGCATTCTTCTTGGTGCCACATGACACTTCCTCTAAAATTGGAAATAAATTTCAATAATTGGAAATAATTGGAAATAAAACACTCCTCAGCAAATACAAAAGAACTAAAATCATAACCAACAGTCTCTCAGACCTCAGTCCAATCAAATTAGAATTCAAGATTAAGAAACTCACTCAAAACCATACAACCATATGCACATTGAACAACCTGCTTCTGAATGACTCCGGGGTAAATAATGAAATTAAGGCAGAAATCAAGAAGTTCTTTGAAACTAATGAGAACAAAGAGATAACATACCAGAATCTCTGGGAGGCAGCTAAAGCAGTGTTAACAGGGAAATTTATAGCACTAAATGCCTACATCATAAAGCTAGAAAGATCTGAAATCAACATCTTAACATCATAACTAAAAGAACTAGAGAAACAAGAGCAAACAGACCCCAAAGCTAGCAGAAGACAAGAAATAACTGAGATCAGAGTAGAACTGGAGACAGAGACATGGAAAAACCTTCAAAAATCAATGAATACAGGAGCTGGTTTTTTGAAAAAATTAATAAAATAGATAGACTGCTAGCTAGACTAATACAGTACAAAAAAGAGAAGAATAAACAGACACACTTAGAAATGATAAGGGGATATCACCACTGACCCCACAGAAATGCAAACAACCATCAGAGAATACTATAAACACCTCTATGCAAATAAACTAGAAAAATCTAGAAGAAATGGATAAATTCCTGGATGCATACACCCTCCCAAGATTGAACCATTAAGAAGTTGAATCACTGAATAGACAAATAACAAGTTCTGAAGCTGAGGTAGTAATAAATAGCCTACCAACCAAAAAAAAAAACAAAAAACAAAAAACAAAAAAAACCACAGGACCAGATGGATTTATAGCTGAATTCTACCAGAAGTACAAAGAGGAGCTGATACTATTTCTTCTGAAACTATTCCAACAACTGAAAAGGAGGGACTTCTCTCTAAATCATTCTATGAGGCCAGCATCATCCTCATATGAAAACCAGGCAGAGATACAACAAAAAAAGAAAACTTCAGTCCAATATCCCTGATAAACATCAATGCAAAAATCTTCAATAAAATACTGGCAAACCAAATCCAGCAGCACATCAAAAAGCTTATCCAGCATGATCAAGTTTGCTTCATCCTTGGGATGCAAGGTTGGTTCAACACATGCAAATAAATAAATGTGATTTATCACATAAACAGAACTAAAGACAAAAACTACATTATTAGCTCAACAGATGCAGAAAGGCCTTCAATAAAATTCAGAATCCCTTCATGTTAAAACTTCTTAATAAACTAGGTATTGAAGGAATATACCTCAAAATAATAAGAGCCATTTATGACACACCCACAGCCAATATGACACTGAATGGGCAAAAGCTGAAAGCATTCCTTTTGAAAACCAGCACAAGACAAGGATGCCCTCTCTCACCACTCCAGTTCAAAATAGTATTGGAAGTTATGGCCAGGGCAATCAGGCAAGAGAAAGAAATAAATGGTATTCACATAGGAAGAGAGAAAGTCAAATTATCCTAGTTTGCAGATGATATGATCCTATAGCTAGAAAACCCCATTGTTTCAGTCCCGAAGCTTCTTAAGCTGATAAGGAACTTCAGCAAAGTCTCAGGATACAAATTCAATGTGCAAAAATCACAACCAGTCCTATACACCAACAACAGCCAAGCAAAGAGCCAAATCATGAATGAATTCCCATTCACAGTTGCTGCAAAGAGAATAAAATACCTAGAAATATGACTAACAAGGGAAGTCAAGGACCTCTTCAAGGAGAACTACAAATCACTGCTCAAGTAAATCAGAGGAGACAAAAACAAATGGAAAAACATTCCATGCTCATGGATAGGAAGAATCAATATCATTAAAATGGCAATAATGTCCAAAGTAATTTATAGATTCAATGCTATTACCATGAAAGTACCATTGACATTCTTCATAGAATTAGAAGAAAACTATTTTAAAATTCATATGGAACCAAAATTGGCCATATAGCCAAGACAATCCTAAGCTAAAAGAACAGGGCTGAAGGCATCACATTACCCGACTTCAAACTATACTACAAGGCTACAATAACCAAAGCAGTATAGTACTAGTACAAAAACAGACAAATAGACCAAAGGAACAGAATAGAGAACTCAGAAATAAGACCACACATCTACAATCATCTGATCTTTGAAACCTAGCAAAAACAAGCAATGCGAAAAGAATTTGCTATTTAATAAATGGCTCTGGAAGAACTGGCTAGCCATGTGCAGAAAATTCAAACTGGACCCGTTCTTCACACCTTTTACAAAAATTAACTCAAGATGGATTAAAGACTTGAATGTAAAACCCAAAACTATAAAAATCCTAGATGAAAATCTAGGCAGTACCATTCAGGTCATAGGCACGGGCAAAGATTTCATGGTGAAAACACCAAAAGCAATTGCAACAAAAGCAAACATTGACAAATGGGATCTAATTAAACTAAAGAGCTTCTTCACAGCAAAAGAAACGATCATCAGAGTGAACAGACAACCTACAAAATGGGAGAAAATTTTGCAATCTATCCGTCTGTCAAAGATCTAATATCCAGAGTCTATGAAGAACTTAACTTTACAAGAAAAAAAAAACAAACAACCCCATTAAAAAGTGGACAAAAAACATGAACAGAAATTTCTCAAAAGAAGACATACATGCGGCCAACAGACATGTGATAAAAGCTCAATATCACTGATCATTAGAGAAATGCAAATCAAAACCACAGTGAGATACCATATCATTCCAGTCAGAATGGCGATTACTAAAAAGTCGAAAAACCACAGATGCTGGCAAGGTTGCAGGGAAATAGGAACACTTTAACATCATTGGTTGTTAGTTCAACCATTGTGGAAGACAGTGTGGTGATTCTTCAAATACCTAGAACCAGAAATACCATTTGACCCAGCAATTCCATTACTGGGTATATACCCAAAGGAATATAAATCATTCTGTTATAAAGACACATGCATGCGTATGTTCATTGCAGCACTATTCACAATAGCAAAGACATGGAATCAACCCAAATGCCCATCAATGATAGACTGGATAAAGAAAATATGGTACATATACACCATGGAATACTATGCAGCCATAAAAAGTAACAAAATCATGTCCTTTGCAGGGACATGGATGGAGCTGGAAGCCATTATCCTCAGCAAACAAACTCAGGAACAGAAAACCAAACACTGCATGTTCTCACTTATAAGTGGGAGCCAAATAATGAGAACACATGGACGCATGGAGGGGAACAACACATACTGGGATCTGTCAGGGGTCAGGGGAAAAGGAGGGAGTACATCAGGAAAAATAGCTAATGCAGGCTGGGCTTGACACCTCGATGATGGGTTGATAGGTGCAGCAAACCACCATGGCATGCATTTACCTATGTAACAAACCTGCACATCCTGAATATATACCCCAGAACTTAAAATAAAATTTTAAAAAGAATATGTAGCACCTTTTACACATTGCATACACTCTACACTAAATATTATTGAACATCCCCAGTTACTCTTCTTCTAAATAAAAATATCAGCAACACTTACAGGCTGTAAATGAAGTATTACAATGTTCCTTGAAAAAAAAAGTTCTAAATCCTATGATTAAACAATAATTAAATAACCTGAAATAGTTTCATGGTGTTAAAAAAGAAAAAAAAGGAGCTGATGTGAAGTGTTTATTAGCCAGAATGTAATAAATCTTTTTTAAATTGAGGATGGGGAGGTATGCGTGCATGTGTGTGTTTATCATGGCTATTAAACTTAATTTGGTGCTCACTGAGTTGTAAAATAAATGAAGAATCACTCTACACTCTTTATGTCAGCCAAATGCTGGGAGGCTAAAAATCACTTGAGATCTAGTTGAACAGGTGCACATGGGGGTTTTCTGCCAAAGAGATGGAGCTGCCAGCAACAAAATTCTATTTCTTTCCCCCAGTTCTAGCTAGAGGAACTGTGTTTGTTGATCCTTGACTTCAGCTCAAAAACAAATGTGGGTTTCTTGGGGACTGGTCTGGTGAGATGGATGAGTGAGGGGGCTGAATGACATAGACACACATCACACATACACACAGGTGCAGTCTCCTAGGGATGAATCAGGTGACACCTTACAAGACCTCAGTTCTGCTCCCTTATTTTATCTGTAGAAGAGAGGGCTAGAAGAAAGAAAAAGGAGTATCATTTCCTATAATTTGCTTCAAATAGAGCAGCAAATTGTTAGTCATAGTGGAAGGGCATCCATAAATAAAGCTTTCATGAGTGGTTTGTGGCTTCCTTAAGTGTACACACACGTACAAAAATAGAATATGTATTTTTGTGTTTTTTAAATTTTTGTGTACATACAAAAATATTTCAAAACAGAAGCATGTGTTTATTTTCAGCAAGAAATGAAATATACCTTTGTTTCTTAATTATGCCTAGGGTTGTCAAGTTGTAAAAGGGTAGACTGAAGCTTCAGATCTTATTCAGTCCAGAAGAATGGGCATGTGTCCTAGTTATTGGGAAGAAACTTTTGGTCCAGGGCTTGGTTGCCTTAAGGAGCTTTCCCCACCGAAGACTTAGGAGGTTTCAAGCAGAACCAGAATCAATGTTCTTATTAAAGACACTGAAAGTGATATCTATGTTGTATAATATGAAGGCCACCTTTCCCCAAATATTCAAAGCACCATTGCTTTATTTCTGTTGGTTAATCTCTTTGGATAGGTACACTTCTTCCTTAAATTCCTCTTTTAAAATGCAAATGCCCACAGGAAAACATAATACATCATGGCACAAGTTAGTTTTACAGATCCACTTTCTCCCTCCCTGAGGTCAAATGGAAGAGTGAAATCAAAGTGAGAAAATGTTGACAGAGAAAGGAGATAGGCTATTGGGTCACTCATGTCTCTGCTTCAGTTTGTGTAAGTCTGGCTCAAGGCTATCTAAGCTAGCTGTTAGCTGCCCAACAACTTTGCCCAGTTTTAAAGTTTATTAATAATCATTGAAGCTATTAGTATGCAAACCATCCAGCAAAAGAACTCAACAGATAAATAGCAAAGTCGAGCTATCTCTCCAAGTTTGTTGAATTTCCATCCAGCCCCTTTGTCTCAGTCATTGTCACTCTACTGTAGCTTTCCAAAAGGCTTCCCCACGTTGATTTTCCCCACAACTCCCACACATTTTCACAATGCAGCCAGAGTGATTTGGTTTTCCAAGATGAAAATCTGACCTAGTTAGCTCTCTGCTTAAAACTCTTCAGTGCTTTGTATTGTCCATATAATAGGGTCCAAACTCCTAAATGGCCCACAGGCCTGACAGGGGAAAGCTCCCCCAGCCTCCGCCAGCATGGCATCTCCCTCTTCCACCTGCTTCCCAAGAACTCTCCTTCAAAAGCTCTTTGAAGTCCCCACTTCTTTCTTCACCTACTCATCCTTAAGATCCAAGTCTCACTCCCTCAGAGAATACTTCCTGATTTCTCCAATTAGATCAAAATGAGCTATAAATAGTAAGCATTCTTTGATACTACATTTTTCTCCTTAACGATAACCTCCAAAGTTGAAATTGCCCATTGGTTTTATGTGTTATTTGGTTAATGCCCATCTCCCCAACTATATTGTAAATGGCAAATGAGCAGGAAGAAAGGCTGTTTCATTAACTCTAGATGCCTAATTAGCCTACATTTCCCAGCCTCCTTTTTAGTTAGGTATGGCCATATGCCAGGGTTATGACCAACGGAATGTGGACAGAGGGAATGTGGATCATTTCAAGAACAGACCCATATGAAATTTGCATGTGTAATGCTCCATATTATTTTTTCTTAAATTGACTGGAACATAAAAAAGGATAAAGACTTTGGAAGCCCTGTTTTGAAGACAGGGGTACCAAAAGGCAGAAAAAGCCTGAGTCACAAACAGAAGGACATTTACCCAAACTATTCGGGAATTTTTCATAGATGGAAGCATTGCTCTAATAAAACACAATTCTATTATCCATGGCTAGCATAGTGTCTAAAACATAGTAGATATTCAACAAATGAAAGCATTGGTTCTTGGTATGTGGGAAATTCTTTGTACTTGGTAGAGGCAACTGGGTGTCTGCATTTGATCAGGATTTTGGGGAACAATGCCATTTTTCTATGATTATCTGAAGAAGAATGGAAGATGCATAGCTACCAAGGAGAGACTAAGATTTCACATAACAAAACATGACTGATTCTTGACTGGACACGGTGGCTCACGCCTGTAATCCCAGCACTTTGGGAGGCCAAGCGGGGTGGGGGGGGGGGTGGATCATGAGGTCAGGAGTTCGAGACCAGCCTGGCCAATAAGGTGAAACCACGTTTCTACTAAAAATACAAAACTAAGCCAGGCGTGGTGGCACACACCTGTAGTCCCAGCTGCTTGGGAGGCTGAGGCAGAAGAATCGCTTGAACCCAGGAGGCAGAGGTTGCAGTGAGCTGAGATCACACCACTGCACTCCAGCTTGGGTGACAAAGTGAGACTCCATCTCAAAAAAAAAAGATTGATTCTTAATTTTTTTTATGTACTCAATCAAGGTAATTACATGTGCGCTCAAATTTAATGGCAATCAACCAAGTATTAAAACACTAGTTCAAGTACCCGAGATTTCCATCTGAGCCCGGTTGGAAACTTCTGTGAGACATATCAAAGAAGAATGGAAGCAGATTCTGCAGAGCTGGGCAGACCTGTATGTGACTTAGTCTATTCCAAGTTTGGGCTGTGTCACCTTGAGAAAGACCTATGATCACTTCAAGCTTCAGTTCATCCTCTGTAAAATGAGAACAATAACAAAAAGAGTACTGGATGTAATATGTATAAAGCATTTGTCAGAGAAGGGACATTTTGGGAACTCAAGCTATGGTACTGATGATGATCGTGGTGCCAGTTGACAGCAGCAGCATCTCTGGGAGCCACTGTGAAAATAAATGAGCATTAATGTCTTGGGCTAGAGAGTTGATGAGTCAAATGGTGCAGTTTGGTAGGCTTGTCTGAACTCTTCACTAAAGAGAAGTCACCAGGCTGAGGTCACCTTTTTAAAAGTACTTTTCCATGATGACAAAAGAAATTTTTACTGCATATTTTTAAACATTTGAATATAAAGAGGAAAATAAAATTCTCACTATCAAAAGAAAATTGATATTAAAATTTTAGTGCATCTATGTCAAGACTTTGCATCTCTACTTAGAAATACTTATAAAATATAAACCTGATTGTACATGTGAAATTACAGTTTAATTCTTCAGAAACTGGCCCTGACGCTAGATTTCCTGTATTTTCATTTTAGCCTCACAATCACTGTAGGCAATTTACCGCAGCTTTCTAAATCTGAGTATTTTTTTTTCTGTAAATTGTAGCAAATAATAGTCCCAACTTCATAAGATTGCTAGGTCAATTAAATGATGAAATATATGGAATGTGCTTAGAATACTTTCTGACACAACAAAAGCATTACATAAAGGTTAGCAATAATGATAACTATAATAATTAAGTGATGATAATGATATGTATGTGTTTCTCTGTAGAAATAAATGCAAAAAGGATAACAAAAGATAGCACAGCAGCATTTTATTTTGAACATGGACTTTGATTTCATATTCAAATATATGAATACTTCAATGAGTGAGTTTAAATCTATAGAAAATTACTTGATTCTTTCACAGTTTCAGTTTTGAAGTCTATTCTAGATTTGTTTTACTCTACTTCACCAATTTGGTCTATGTATTCCTGAAACCAGTACCACATCCTTTAAAAGGTTTTTTTGCTTTATTTTGACTACTTGGCTAAGCACATTAATTATTCAGCTTTTCCAAAATATTTTTGGAATTAATATCTTTTCATTATCACAAATAAATTTTAGAATTTTTATATCACATTTTAATCTGTTTTGGTATTTTTTTGTAATTGCACTATCTTTTAGAAGTATTTTGGGAGGAATTATAAACTTTATGATATTGTCTTTTCTTGTAAAACCTGGTTCGTGTCTTCATTTATTCAGTTCTCCTTTGCTGTATGTCTTAAGTTGTGTATTTTTCATTTTTTAAAATAGAACTTATTTCTTCTTTATGTCTAGGTAGTTTTCATTTTTATTGATACTGTGAAGGAAATTTTTTTCTTCTCATTTTGCTTGCTAACTAGTTAATTTTGCTGTAAAAGAAAACAATGGATTTGGGCCAATTGATTTTGTAGCTATAAAAATTACTAAGCTCTTTGACAAGTTTAACAGCTTATTCATCAATGTTCCTGAATTTCTCAGATGAACAATCAGATCATCTACAAATAATAAAAATTGGATTTCCTTTTTAGCAATGATTCATTCATGATTCATATCTGCTATTTTAATTGTACTGGTTGAAATGTCTATTTACAAAGGTAAATTATGGCAGCAATAAGAGGAATCTATATTATTGTCAATTTTCTAATTCTACGGGAGGTACTCCTAGTGCTTTACCATTAAGAAGAATGAATGTCAACATCCTTGGTTTGATGCCAGTGTTTAAAATTAATTTTAAAGGAGTATCCTTCTAATCCTAGCCTAAAGGGTTTACTTTTAAAATATTTTATTTTATCGAGGCATTATGCTGACATTTATCAAATGAATGTTGTTAAACAGTAAAATAACCATATAATTTTGTCTTCTTTGTATCACTGCACGGGAGAATTATATTAATCAGTTTCTTCATATTGAAAATGGTTTACATTCCTGGAATGAACCCTAGTCAATTTGTGTTATCATTATTGTCTTTTCTTACATTTGAATCACTAGCATTTTAAGTAGGTATTTTTCACCATTATTTTAAAACTTAGTGTTACTACTATATGTGTGTGTGTTTAATAACATTTTAGAATCAGAAATGTGTGCAGTGAATAAACTGTAAGGCACCATTGCCCTACTTTTTCTCTGAAAGTTTCAACATGAACACTGTATTGTTGTACTCAATTTATTCTGTGAATTGATCTTTTCAGGATTTCAACCTCTCTTGACAGTGTTTTGGTCAGTTGTAATTGCCTAGACAATCATATTTGTCATTTAGATTATCAAGTTTATTAGCTAAACATTGCTTATTATTATAATTTATTTTAAATCTCTACTTGTTATTCTGCTATTATTTTAAAGTATTCTCTCTTATCTTTTCAAGTAAATCATTTCTCATTATAAATATTGGTTAAATTTTTCACATACAGTATGTCATCTGTTTTTCAAGAATTAGCTTTTGAATATATTCTTCCATTTTAGCCCTTTTAAAATTTCTGTTTCTGACTTTATTATTTCTTGCTTCTACTTTTTTAAGAAAATTTTTAAATAATTTTCTATATTGAATGCCTCTTTATTGAGAAGAAGACAGTCATAAAATTGCCTTTGAGCACATCTTTGATTACACAACATTAATTTCAGTAGGCAGTTTTCTCATCCCCATTTTCTAATGAGTTATATAATTTTTATTTTTCTGATTTGAAATATGTTATTGATTTTCATGTTTATATGCCTAACTTTTGTAGAAATTTGTAGTTTTACTTCAATCTGATGACAAAATATGTTCTTTAAAATTTCTACTTTTGAAATTTATTGATTTTTTTCAAACTACTTTCTTAAGACCAATTTATATGTTTGTAAAAAATATATATCCTTAGCTTTAGAGAGAAAAAACTCATTAACTATTAATTAAATTATCTAAGTAAATGTATTCAAATCCTCTATTCAGAATTATTATTAATTGATCTGAGAAAAAATTGACTAGTATATGAAAATCACTAAATTGTTTTGTTATTTTCTTATAGTTCTAATAGTTTCGCTTTATATATTTTTAATCTGTATTAGACCATCATATTCTTATTGGGAAAGATGTCTTTTCTCAATGATTAGTTATAATTGTATCAGATTCCTTTGATCTTAATAAATATATTTCACTTTAAATTTTTTCTGTTATTAATATTGTTTCCCTTGCTTGCTTGTTGTTGATTTACATTTTCTTAACATATTTTTCCATATTTGTATTCTTAGTCATTCTTTAAGAAGCTTTTATTTCCACATTGGATCTCCTATTAACAAGATACAGTTAGTATCCCACACTCTTAAAGGGATTAGTGTCTGTATCCAGAATAACTAAAAATATCCAATATGGGAAGGACTCTTTGGAGGCTCACGCTAAGCAGTGTATTTATCAACAATTTAATACTGGATATCTCTTATAAACCTGAAAACAAATCAACATTTAATTTTACTTTCTGAAATTAATATTGTGTTATGGTACCTTATATCCTAAATATTTTAAATTTCTATTGGCTTATCTTTCTATCAATGAACAACATTAAGATGATCTGGCTAGCTCTGCTTTGAGTGGTGCTAGGCTGGCAGGGCAGTAAATTTTGAGCTCTTCCTGCTGTCCCTTTGGCAGCCTAGGGTCTCTGAGCTGTCATCTGTCTCTAAGGAAGGCCAGGGCCTCTCCTCCTCCCCAGCTGGGCAAAAAGGGAAATGATATTATCTGAACTAGTCGGAAACTAGACCGGCAGTCTTCTTTCTTGGCACTGCTTTCCTTCCTTAGAAGAGAGGATTGATATCTGAGCCTAGGAGGAAATGTTGGAAGAAATGATATCAAATAGCTTTAGAAAGTAGCATATTCTAATCTCACAGGAAGTTTTATCTTGGGTGAATTACTTAACATCTTTGTATCATATTATTTTCATGTGTAAAATAGGTATAATAAGGTCTACTTAATAGGATTTTTGGAGGTCTTATGTGTGAAAATCTATCAAATTTAATATGGTGACAAGCAATTCATCAGCTATAGATAGGTGTTGTCATCCTTTATATAATGTGTTTATGTTTTGTTCATCTTACCTTCTAATGGTTTTCTCATTTTGACTGTAGAAATTCTTTCTCCCTTGCTTTCTTTTCTTCCTTTCTTTTGTCCTTTTGTTTCTCTATTTTCTTTTTTTCTTTTTTTTGTTGAGATGGAGTCTTGCTCTGTTGCCCAGGCCAGAGTGCAGTGGCGTGATCTCGGCTCATTGCAACTTCCGCCTCCCAGGTTCAAGCAATTCTCCTGCCTCAGCCTCCCAAGTAGCTGGGACTACAGGTGCACACCACCATGCCCAGCTAATTTTAGTATTTTTAGTAGACACGGGGTTTCACCATGTTGGCCAGGATGGTCTCGATCTCTTGACCTCATAATCCACCTGCCTCGGCCTCCCTGTTTCTCTATTTTTAAATGAATCTTTCGTTAGTTCAGAGGAAAGAGCTAAGATTTACAACGTCAGAAAAAAATTTTAAAAAAGAAATATGTATTTCAATCACACCCACAAACTCACAGCTATACACACACTCACATGTTCTCATACTCAACATAACCAAAATAGCATTTCTATGGCTTGGGGTCGATGCAAATCTAAGTTCACTTCTAAGCTTAATCACTTTACATCTATACAATCATTCGCTATTTTTTAATCCTATGAAAAATGCAAATGTGTCCATAATCTCAACTCTGTAATTATAGCTCTGCAGGTTAACTGCTCTGAGTCTGAGTTTCCTCATTTGAAAAACTGGGGTACTAATAACACCTATTTCACATAGATGATGTGAAAATTAAATAAGCAATAAGTAGAAAATTAGCTGTTATCCAGAGGAAGATCAACAAATGATGGCTGTTGTTAAAAAAATAAAAAGCAAAGAGAGTAATTCTTTTTTTAATAAAGCTTTAATGAGGCTTAAGTGACCTACTATGTGTAAGAGGCTTTGCACCGAGTAGGAACTCAACAACATTTAATTCCTGCACTCCCTTTCTTCCTTCTTTGCTTAGTGAAAAAAAGAAAGTTGATGGACACACTCATTGTGGATAATTTATACTATTTTCTGAAGCAGAGTAGACTCAGTCATTTCTTTTATCCAGTGCTAGTAATAATGTTTGGCAGAAAAAGTCTCACTCAAAAATGAAAGAGGTAACTGACTCAACTAAAGACGTGGCATGCAAAATCCTGTTGGTGTCAATCCAGCTAACATTTCTCCCCCAATGGTGGATGCCTAGAATTTCACAGTCTCTTCTCTACTTTTGATTTTGGTACCTCTTAAACCATTACTGCTCCTACAAATACTTCTGAGTAAGTATCCATACCTTCCCTGGAGTATGAGAGTGAAATAGATTTATAAGTAGATTTTTAGAATTAATGTTTAGGGATTTGCATGAGGGAAGGAAGAGAGGAGGAAAGGAATGCTTGTGGCTGCTGAATTTCAGAAGGAAATGGAAGTAGAATCTACAAAAAGGGAAGGGAAACATATTGAAGACAAAAAAACAGTTTCCTACTGCATAAATTTTCCTGGATTTTATCCTTAATCCGAATGCATAAGGAACATCTACCATGCATTTGAGATGTCTGAGTGGGTCTCATCCAAGGGAAAGAAGCATGTACTTTCTTAATGGTTTCTTTGTTGCTACTTTAGCCTTACAAACTGGTGACTCAAAAATGGACTGCTCTAGCTCTTCAACTCTTTTCTTATCTAGCTAAAGATTTTAGGGTATATTCTGTTAAATCTATTTCAGGAAAGATGGGACCAAAATACATGTTTGGTATCAAAGTTCTAAAATGGAAGGTGAAATTACTCATGTTTGACTATGAATTTCATGGAGTTGCTCCCCAATAACTGGAGGAAAAAAGAAAAAAAGATGAGAGACATTCACTTTATTTAAGAAAAAAATCCACTCTTCCATTTAAACAATTACCCCTAAAAGACAACAAAAGAATGTATTTTGGGTGATTTTTCTTTAGGACATGCCCACACATTTTATCATGATACATGTACTATTCCAGAAGGGCGGGGAGAGTGGGACTGTTGAAAGTCCATGTAAAGAAATCATAATGTGAAGCAAGCAACAAGAGAGAAAACCCTTCTTATGGTTTCACATCTATACATCAATTGCTACGATTTTTTTTAAGTTTTAGTGTAAGATATTTAAGTTCATGTTTGCATATCAGTGTGCAGCGTAGAAACATACATATTTCTCCGGGCTCAACCACACATGTGGCAATGTCTCTCCAGCAGCAGACTCCTCTCACAGTAAGTCTAAGGAGCGTTGGCCGAATGAGACTTCACATTCAGTGAATTTCCACTATCTCTTCAGTTTCTCCGTGCTACTGAAATCTCATTGTTCCACTCAGAATTTATCTTCTCCTAGGAATCTCTTTCAAAGCATTTCACTGACTATGTCAAGCCAGAGTAAGTAAAACGCTGATGAGCTTGGATTTCCACTCCAGTCTCTCAGCCTTTCTGTCTTATAGTTTGGCATCTCATTTCTACATGATATCAGATGCCATATTAGAAATTCCTGCTTGATCTTGAGATACATCAAAGGTACTGACTGACAGGTCATTAGGTACAGCTTAAATTCAGTCTTTAATCACTACCACTTTTAAAACATTTAATAGTGTAATTAGGAAAAATTCATAAAGACTTGAAAACTTCACATCATAATAAATCCAGATTTTAGTGAGGCTGTCAGATGTTGTTACCTCACTCTCAATACCAGTACCAGAAGGATGAGACCGATTCTCCACATATTCAGAAATCATATTCTAGATGAAGATATGAGCTAAATGCCCTATTCTGGTCTATTCTTTTCATGTTTGTGTGTTCCCTTCTCTGTTTATTGAAAGATGTCACTGAATTTAAAAAATGATAAGATTCAAAGTTCTCACTTAAAAGTAAGGATACAAAATGTCTTAATCAGGGAGAAAATTTTGGGAAAGAAGAATACTTTTTTGTATCAAAAGATTAAAAGTTCTTTTCAAAAATGCTATTAAATATGAACTAATACCACATTTGACTTATTATACTGAAACTAAATCATCAAATCATCAAGCACCCAACATTTTGCACTTATAAATTTAAGATGTCCCAGATAAGGAGGCTATGAAGAAAAGACAACACTGGGAAATATTTATTTTTCAATTAGTAAGTTTTCTCAACAGGCTGTTCTATATACCAAGAATTTTATTTCAGTGGGAAAGAGGCCATAGTTATTTTTATTTCATTATCAAATCATAGCATGATCAATAAAACATATAGATTGCATATTAAATACAAATCTGCTGATAATATTGACTATGCAACTATGATCTTTTTCCTGGAGGGTGAAAAAGGTTCAGAGTGCATGCTATCCAATATAATCATGTGTTTGGTATCATATGCTTCTTATGCCTTCAACAAATCTCTAATTTTACATTAAAATAGATGTTGGGTTTTATGCTCCTGCAAGGAGAAAACCTGAATTCACAAGCAGAGCCATATGACAGGAGATACATTCAAAATATTTTGCAAATAGAATATGCCAGAGTTAGCACAAAAGTCTGCTTTGGGGGAAACTTCTATTATGAATAAAATTGTTGTTTGTCACTTTTATTTTACCAAGAGGCAAATTAGTCATTGCATAGCCTGTTCTATTTTTTTCTTGAAATCAGGTCACTTAATCCCTTCTGGGATGTACTCAGAATGAGAGCCTATATTTTCCTCTCAGATTAATCTGGAGAGAATTTCAAGTTGCAGGTCTTCATATAATAGGGCATATGGAAATGGAGTCTAAAGTGTCTGACACTTTAAATGATATAACTTTATTCAAAATGGCATTACTTGTGAATATGATTTAAATAAAAATGTAGGTGAATTAATCCCCACATGACCTCCACTGCAGTAAAATTATATTCCTGCAATGTGCTTTGTATCTCCTATATCCTGAATACAGCCGGTAACCTCAAAATGCCAGCATTTGTGAATGGAAACCTATTTCTGAGCACAATGTATTATTTCTTCCTAGGATGTAACAGTTATTATTCATTTTTCTTGGACAAGGATTCATGTTGAATAATATGTATAAAGTTAGAACTAGCTAAATGCAGGGAATTCAAAAGTGCAGGTGAACAGTCAATTCTTTATTCACATGCCTGGCTTTCTTCATGTTTCTAACTATTGTGGCACACTCTGAGGATGAAAGGTGAGGTTGTTTCAGTTCCATGACTTAAAAGCTGAACAACTACTGCATAATTATTCGACTGATATTATCTGTAAGAGAAATCTGCAAGATATAAGATTTCTTGTTTTCATAAAGAGTCAAAATATGGATTTGAATTCTTATTAGAACCCTAACTACATAGGAAAAAGATACAGAGAAAAATAAGCCTAGAAGTAGATAAATAGATATACAGAGCAATAATTAGCAAATGCTCTATAGTGAAGAATCAATTCATTATATTTTTAACTTCCAATCTGTCAAGGATGGATACTTTTGTAAAAATAAAATAAAAATGATTAATAGAACATGAAATAAAAAAATAAGCAAAGGGATACAAAAGACAGGCCCAGATTTTTATTATTTGTTTAAAGAGTCACAGAAATTACATTGCAATGAATATGATTATAAAAAAGCATAACAGAAAAACTGCTATAAAAGTTTCCAACTGCTCGCTTGCAACTCCTGTACTTTTTTCATCACAGATGGGCACTAGTCCACGGACCTCACTTTGAGAAACATCGAGATAGAACATATATTCTTGGTTTTTCCTTCTCCATATTTATTAGGTATTTGGTACATATCTCAGCATTTCTAAACTGTATGCTAGCAGCAGCACTTTAGGAAAACAAGTATTTCTTTTTCTATGCCTGCCTCTTCATCCCTGAGTTTGTAGCTGGGGATGATATCAGGAGGCTGGCAAAGGTATTCTGCTACAGGAAAAAAAAAAAGTAAGACGGTTCCTATCCTAAAGAAGCATAACCCAGTAGAAAAGAAAAACATCATTAACTTGCTAATGTAGTGTCTTCTCATAGTGGTCATGGATGAGTGGCATATCATAAACTTATTTCAAGGTGAGTTTCCTTATGTACACCACGTAGTGTCAGTAGACAGAAAAAATATTCTATGTATATGGATTCTCCCACATTTCCAATAAATGATGTCGCTGTGATTAATAAAATATTTGTTCATTTTTAACTGGTACCTAAATTGATAGTAACTATTTGTCAATATGTATACATTCTGTGAATAAATTCTAGAGATGCAGCTACAGTTGTAGAGGGTGGCATTCAGAAGGGGAAACCCTGGCCAGGCGCCATAGCTCACACCTGTTATCCCAGCACTTTAGGAGGCCCAGGCGGGCAAATCACGAGGTCAGGAGTTCGAAACCTGCCTAGCCAACATAGTGAAAACACCTGTCTACTAAAAGTACACAACGTTAGCTGGGTGTGGTGGCGGGCACCTGTAATCCCAGCTACTTGGGAGGCTGAGGCAGGAGAATCACTTGAACCTGGGAGGCGGAGGTTGCAGTGAGCCGAGATCACACCATTGCACTCCAGCCTGGGCAATAATGCAAAACTCCAAAAAAGAAAAAAAAAAAAGGAAAGAAAGAAAGAGAGAGAGAGAGAAAGGAAGGAAGGACAGAAGGAAGGAAGGAAGGAAGAAAGGAAGGAAGGAAGGAAGGAAGAAAGGAAGGAAGGAAGGAAGGAAGGAAAAGAAAAGAAAAGAAAAGAGGAAGCCCCAACAAGAGCTTGTAGAGAAGATGGAGCAACAAGGAGAGCTGAAGTGGCTGGAGAAGGCAATGGGTAGAATAGAAATTTGAGTTTGCAATGAAAGGATGGGTATAACTTTTTTTCATAGGAGTCTCTCTAGATGAAGGGACTAACAGAAGTCAGAATATAATGCTATAAAAAAAACTCTCCCATTGAAAACAAAATAGATTGTGGAGTTGAGTTGGTTGAGAAGAAAACATGTAACTTGACTGTGGGCAACTTGGAACACTACTTAGGGTGAACTTATCGGGCCAGAAAGAACAAAAACATTTCAATGTAAAAGTTGGAATCTCTGATTGACAAGTAGTAAATTCCTAATGCTCAATGTTGAGAATAACTCTGAAGTTGTCCCACACTCAAAGAGGAAAAGCATTGTCATTGACTACTCATATCTGCCATGGCACCTGCTAGAGAAGCAATGGTAGATGTTTATTATTTTGACCACAGAACCATGGTTTCTGAGCTTGGCTAAGAGTTAAAGAAAATAGATGCGTTTTTAAAAATTCAGCTCTGTGCAGCGTTTAAAAGCTGGTCTATATAGTGGAGGGAAATTAAAGATTTTGGGGTAAAGTGAGGTATAAGATGGAAAGCTGTGCAGTAGGCACAGAAGGGACAGGAGCCCAGAACATGAGCTGATGAAGGATTGTAACAAAATACCTTCACAATAAAACCAAAACCTCATTTCTGAAACATTTCAAAAAGTCATAGACTATTAGAGCTGAAAATTAAACTTAAAATATCACTACCCAGCTCTTTCATTTAGAAAATGTGGAAACAGAGACACATAGAAGTTAAGTCTCTAGCCCAAAATATCTGTCGGCAACTTGAAGAACAGAAAGAGAACCACAGTCTCCTGTTTCCCAGCGTTTCCACTCTCCATTTCCTATGTCAATAGAATTTAGCTAACCAGTCAATGTGGGAATCAAGATTGAAGAATCACAGATAATTCCCAGATTTTGAGACTCAATTACTGAAAAAACAATACATTAACTGTCAGTATAAATCTTTTATTTTAACTCTGATGACGAAATATTTGTCAATAAAATTAGCCATTGAAACATAATGCTTTGATGAGTAGAGGTGTTTCACCCTCAGTTAAACTACATGGTTTATTCATCAGGATAGACTGAGTTGGGCTGCAGCAACAAAGATCTCTAAAAATCTCAGCAACTTAACACAAGAAAAGCTTATTTCTTGTTTTCACAAAGTGCACTTATTGATCCAAGAAACTATCAAGGCCATCTGTCCTACAGGTGTTAACTCAAGATTCCAGCTTCTTATTCTGGCAATTAAATGCTCCTACCCAGCAATGACACACATTACATCACTGACATTTCTCTGGCTAAGGCAAGTCACGTGGCCATGACAACTTCAAGGGAGAGTGAGGTACAATCCT
This sequence comes from Homo sapiens, assembly GCF_000001405.40. NCBI lineage: Eukaryota > Metazoa > Chordata > Mammalia > Primates > Hominidae > Homo > Homo sapiens. The sequence continues at coordinate 11,748,688 of NC_000020.11, forward strand.
CCTGTGTGTGTGCAAAACGAGATGCTTCTGAACAGTCAGAATGTGGCCACCAATAACACATGCAATAAGATTTAAAGAAAATAGATTGTGCCCCAATTTGATATTTGACTAATATCTAATATATGAATGTGTTCTGCTTACTTTTTTGGGCCAGAAGTCTGGTGTGAGTTTCATGCAATCCCTGAAGGGATTCTAGTTCACAAGTATGTAAATAATCAGTAAAGCTGTATTTTTCTACTTCTCCATATGGTACATAGCTCAAAGGGAAATGCTGTAAAGGAAAAGCAAGTTTTAGGTCAAGATGAGGATACATTTTATGACAACATTATGCCAAGTAACAAACATAAATTTAAAAGACACCCATTTTAACAAAATAAAATTCTAATTTACCTATGAAGTAGAAACATAAAAATGTATTACGATTTTACAAGTTAGGAAAGAAGACATTATAATATCTAGCTAGATATACATGTGTATGTCTTTTTTGTTATTCAAAAGCTCGTGTTTGTAAATTATGTTCCTGAAGAATTTTTAAGGGATTCCTCAAAATTAGTCAGAAGTACTATGTCTACATCATCTCTATTAAGTCTTAGCCATAACCTGACAGGTCAATTTTGAAAAAAAAAAAAAAAAGAAAAGAAAAGAAAATGAAAAAATAAAAGACGTGAAGCTGGAATTCCCAAACCCCAAATACTGGTTGGGTAGCCACCACAGCAATGCAAATTATTAAAAATTGAGAAGTCTTGATGATCATAAGTTATTTGTTGCCATGGTTCCCAAGGGCCACGCTGTATTTTCTAGACAGCTAATGGACCATAGTGATACATCCTCAATTCTTGATCTTCATGTCTCAAAAATGTTAGAAACCATGTTATGTTAAGAGAAATGCCAAGAGGAAAAATTGTTGCTTCGTTTTTTATGCAGACTCTAAATGAGGGTGATGTTTGGTGACTTTTATGCCCTGAAGTCAGTTCTCTCTGGGGGTCAATGTGAGAAGCAGAAAAGGGCCCCTCCCTGATCTTCATTTGCCTATGAGGGTTGCTCCTCTGCAGGCAGGGAATGACATCTTTCCACATGTTGCCACCTCACTGGCTTATAGCATGTCAGAAAGGAGCCTGCAGGGTACCTGAGCCACTTTCTTGTAGAATGTTTTGGACACAAATGTTGTGGATGTACAACTTGAGTTCCAATGCCAACTTGTTTTTCAAAGGGGCTCTGCCAAAGTCTACTCCCTCCATCGATGTCTGAGAGTCCCTTTGTTCTATGAAGTGCAAACAAGGGCAGCTGACCTAGCAGTGAATACATCAAACCTGCTGAAAAAGTATTTGCTGGGGAAACTCACAGAGATGCGGTCTGTAGTAGATGTTCCTCCATCACACTCTGGGGCAGCACATGCAAAACTAACCTGGCCCAAAGTCAGTTTCTGGGAGAAGGATCCCACATCTTGGTCTTAGGGGGGGTTTTAACATTCATTACTGGGAAGCATCAGTCTCTCCCCTCATATGATGAGAGGCTCCAACACGACACAAATAAGATGTGGCAGAATCTTGGCCCCAGCCCTCTCCTTTCAGCTCATTGTGTATAGCTGGGGTATAGCAGGTGTCCCTCCCCTGGCATGATTTGAGGACTACAGTCCAAGCCATCAATTGATCCCTTATATGCTACACTAGAGCCAGTTTCCATGGAGCTTGAAGGAGACCGGTTTCTTTTTGGGAAGGCCAGTCTTGAGAGTACCAGTATTGGAAAAATCAGCCTTTCCCTCTCACTCCACATCTCTTTCTTTTTGGTATTATTTTGTTATTAATCTCTAACCTAATTGGCTAAATTAAATAAGTAAGTGGTCATTAGTCTGAGGCTTTGTACTTTGAGTTCCTATGTTAAAAATAAAAACTTCACCCTAACTTGGCACGTAAACAAACCAAAACCTGGTAAGAGTATTTTTTTTAAAAAACAAATAGCCTGGTTTCAGCCAATCACAAACAGCCATGATTTAGCCAATCACAGGCAGCCAGCTGATGAGACCTTGCACAAATAAGGCCAACTCCTAGCTGCAGCCAATCAGATGATTTCTCTACAATGCTTCCCTATTCAGCCTCCCTCTGCTCAGGCTGCCAGGTGTAGCTATTTAAGCCTCTTCTGGCGCTAAGTGCTGCCCAATTCATGATTCATGTTTTGAAGAAATAAACTCTGTTAAATTTAATTCTTTTAAAGTTTTTCTTTGAATGATTGTACTAGAGTATATGGTATGTATGACTATACATTTTTTAAAGTTAAGAGTTTTGGCCTAACATATCATTAATTTTCATAAATTTTCTATATATTGCCAGAAGCAATGTAACTATTATATGAAACCTTTTAATTATTTTGTTGAAAACTTCTTTGGCTTTAGTCTTGCTTGACTAACCTATTAACTCCTTAGAGAGCTATGTTAAACTTTTCTAATAGACTGGTAGATTTTTCAGCTTTCTCTATAACATTTTATAATTTTTTGGCTTATTTTAGGCCTATTTTGTAAGATGCATACAAGTTTTTAACATAGCTTTCTGGCCAGTAAAAACTTTTGTCAATATATAAATAATCCTCTTTATCTCCTATAATGCTTTTTACTTTAAGTTAATTTTGTCTAATATTTACATACTCCTACCAACTTATTTTTAATTACTTTTGGATGGGTATTTGTTCTATATTTCTATTTTCAACTTTTCTGTGACCTCTATTTTAGGTGATTGTCTTTTAGAAAACATTCCCTCCCCCTACCTTTTTTATGGACAGAAAATATTTTGAAATTTTTTAGTGGGGAATTTAGTCCTTTATTGATTATGGGTGCAGATAAACTCATTTTTTAAATTTTTCTGAGAATATTTTGTACCTACTTGTATTTTTGTTTGTTTGGTATGTGTTTATTTACCCTTTCTCAGTGCTATTTGAACTGAGGTTTATTTTCTCCATTCATTTTTAACATCTACTGGCTTGGAAGTTCTGCATTTAATTTCTATCCTGTTAGGGATTTCGCTAAAAATTTAACATTCAGTCTTAGCTTAAGATGCCTAAAGTTGATCAGTATCTTACCTCTTCTTCTGTATAACACACAAACTTTAAAACAGCTTTACTCACTCATTCTTCTAAATTAGATTCTATTTTCCAGAATTCAGGTCTCTCTTGATTTTTTTAATCTCACAAATTAAATATTATTATTGTTATATCTATTCAACTTTTGTTTAGATTTACCAAAATGGTTATTATTTTAATTTTTTTTGTTTTATTGTCTGCTCAGACACATTCTGGAATTTTCTTTCTACCTGAGTATATTCCTTATATGTGCCCTAAGTAAGGGTCTGCTGCTTGTAAACTCTCCCAGTTTTTGTCTGCGATTGTCTTTATTTCCCACTCATGCTTTCTCAAGTCATACTTTTATAGATTGACGGTATTTTTAGATCTTGCTCCCTGACTCCTGTCTTCCCCTGTTGCTGCAGGAAGCCAGCTGTCAGTCTAATAATCATTCTTCTGTAGGTGATTCTTGTCTCCTTTTTCTATAGCTAATTGTAAGATCTTCTGTCTTCAGTGTACTATGAATTCATTACAATGTGTCTAGATCAGTTTCTTTTTATTTACTTATTTTTTGAGATTCATTGAAATTTTTAATCTGGGACTGTTTTCTTTAATCGATTCTAGGGACATCTTAGGTATTATCTTTATGAACATTCCTACTCCCCTTTCTTTTTTTTTAATCTCTGTTTAGACATACTTAGCTATATCTTTCATGTGTCTTAACCTGTCTTTCATATTTTCCATTTCTTTGCCTCTCTGCACTGCATTCTAAGTAATTTCTTCAGATCTTTTTTCCAGTTCACTAAGTACCTCTTCACTTGTGTCTAATCTGCTGGTAAAATCTTCCATTGCGCAGCAAATTCATATCTGAAACTATATGCCTTAGAAATACACAAGTGCATGTAGGTTTTGTGTAAGTAATGTTTCTTGCAGCCTTATTTGAAATAGGAAAAAGAAAACTCACACTTCTCAGTAGGAAAATGGTTCAATAAATTACACACATCTGTTCTATTAAATTAATACTATATAGCTACAAAGCTATCTCAACCAAGGATGTTGCTTTAGCTATTCCAACTTGGACCAATGCCAGCCATCTATACATAGTGGAAGAAGGTAGGCTTCTGCATGTGTGTGTATGTGTGTGTGCATGAAGAATTGTCTAAAAGCAACTATTCCAAATTGATATTGTGCTGTAAGTATAAAATCCACCCAGAATTTCAAACTTATGAGAAAAAATGTAAATTGTCCCATTAATAATTTTATATTGATTACATGTTGAAATAATAATATGTTAGATATATTGGGTTAAATAAAATACATTATTAAAATAAATTTCACTTATTTTTACTTTTTCATACTGCTAGTAGACATTTTTAAATTACATACTATAAAAGTGTTGATTTTCTAAGTTAATATTGTGTTTCATATTTCTATAATTACTATTTGCTTCATTCACTGGTAAGAAGAACTTGTATTCTCCATTGTTTGTGACACTTTCAATACTCTTATTTCTCTGGACATATCCTTATTTTCTGTTTACTACCTGGTAATTCCAGTATCGACTGTTATTGTAGGTCTCATTCTGAAATATATTGTTTCTACCGACTCACTCCCATAGTGACTCATTTCTTCTTGTACTTATTAACCTTTAGCACTTTATCTATGAATATTCTGAGTTTAATTTACATTTCTCCAAAACAAATATGCATTTTCTTCCCCCAGGTATGTTAGACTCTACCACCCTGGGGCCAAATTAAGACAAATATTCATCTTAGGAGTTTGTGAAGAAGTCAGATAGGTAATATAATATTTTTATTTTTTATGAAAGTAAAATACGTATGCACAAAAATGTGCACGTATTACAATGAAAGGGAAAAATGAATTTTCACAAACTAAGCATATCTGTGAAGCCAGTACCGAAAACAAGAAACAGAAAATTATAGGTACCTAGATGCCCCCCACACGCTCTGCCGTGTGTGTGTGTGTGTGTGTGTGTGTGTGTGTGTGTGTATATAGTTTGTTTGCTTTTGTTTTATTTTTCTTGGCCCTGAGCAAAGGCTGAGTTCAGGAGGTGCCCTCCACGTCTCCTGTATGGGTTTAGCTCACCTGTCCTGGGGCTGGGCTCTGTTTTCTCACCTGTTGGGGTCCCAGATATTATCCACCCACGGTCCCAGGTTGTATCCACTCTTCTGTCTGTGATTGGCCAAATTACGCTTAGGGAATTAGAAATATGTAAATATCCCCAGGGCAAACATTGTTTCTAGCACTTGAATATTCTCCAGATTTAAGCTTTTCTCTAATTTTGGGTTTAGAAAAAGTCCTTGTTTTCCCCTAAGCTCAGAAATGTAAGACAGCAAAAAAGAGAGAGAGAGGGAAAAAAGGAGAGAGAGGAGAAATACTGATTTTTTAACATTTAACCCATAAATAGAGACTTGGTTCAACAAATTATGAATAATGATAAAAATGAAAATTCTACACTATTAAAAACCTTGTTATTAGGATCTAATGATATGTTAAAATATCTATGACATTATTGAAAAGAAAGCAACGATTCAAACCTGTAAAGTATAATCCAATTTTGTAAAAAATTTAAAAAGATATGAATTTTTACATACCTACAAAACATAAAATAAATGAATTAAAGCATTAACAGTGATTTTCTCTTGGGAATGGACTCACACGTTCTTTTATTCATATGCTTTTCCATTATTTCTGCAAGGTTCACATCCTTATTGTGTAATGCGAACAAAAAACAGGAAGAATTCAGAAGAAAAACCAGGAGCTAGAAAACACTTTTTCCACACACCTGCACTCTTAGTCACACACTCAGGCTATGTCAGTGGCATGACAGAAACTGGAAAAAAAAATGGAATGGCTCCAATAACATTCGACAAGACAAACCTACAGCCAAGCAGGCACAACACTGCTGTGCCTTCTACTCATGCTGATTCTCATCAAATGGAAAATGCGACTTCATCCAGGAGGAACCTTTTGACTCTTCCCACCCAGGGCTTTTCTTTCCTGTTGCACCATTAAGCTGCCTTTCTCTAAGCAGCGCACTGCAGGTGTGGACAGAATATAACAAAACTCTTCATAATCTTTAATTTAAGATTGACAATTTTTTGTCCCTCAGCTTGATTGACTTTGTGAAATACTGGAAAGCCTGAGATTCAGGCAAGGAGGCAAAAGCAAGAATACATTTTTACCAATTCACATTGTTTGTAAATAAGTTATTAGAACTGTACCCTTTTTTCAACCTAGCATGGTTGATCTGCAGTCATCTTTTTGAGCAGCGATTTGAAAACAGGACCAGTATTTAAGACCTCCCTTTTAGGACAGACAATAATAGTAACAATCATAATGTGCCAGTGAGAATGCTTTTATGATTCTCTCTCTTTGGCATTGTTAGTAGAGATACCTCAAACAGACCAGTGCCAACAGCAGCTTCTGGGAGCGTGCTGGGAATGCAGACTCTTGGGCCTCACCCCAGACTTACTGAGTCAAAATCTCCAGGGATAGACGGTTTAACAACCTCTCCAGTGATTTGTATGCACACTAACATTTTGAAACCACTTGAGAGCATCCAAAAATAATGTTGAACAATCACAGTTCAAACCGAAAAGAAAAGACAGTTTTATTCCTCTGTTTATTGGTCTCTCCTCTGGGAGGAATTTTGCTATAAACCCTCACCCTAGTGGCAACAGTTAGGTGTGGAAACTCTTAAGTGTATCACGGAGCAGAGGTCAGGGCTTCATATAAACAGCCTGGTCCCTAACTGCTTCCCTTCTGCAGTCAACCCCAGGAATGGACTTTTTGTTCAGTGTCTCCTTTCATCCTCTTTGAAGAGATGCAAATTTGAACAGACAGTGTCGCTGTTGGGAACTGTTTTGTCCCTGCCATCAATTGTATGTTCCTCTCTGTGATTATCTGGTGAGACAGTGCAAAAATAGGGACAAAACTAACAGGAAAAAATACAAGGAAACAGGAAACTCTAGCGTACAGGAGTTGGCCAGCATAATTTATTTTTTTCTTATGCATGGTCATGCTATGTGGTTTTGTAAACTTCCTTTTTAAAATCATGGTTGATTGAACATTTAAGAAAAGTTTTGACTGGACACGGTGGCTCACGCCTGTAATCCCAGCACTTTGGGATGCCAAGGCAGGTGGATCACCTGAGGTCAGGAGTTCGAGACCAGCCTGACCAACATGGAGAAATCCTGACTCTACTAAAAATACAAAATTAGCCGGGTGTGGTGGCGCATGCCTGTAATCCCAGCTACTCAGGAGGCTGAGGCAGGAGAATTGCTTGAACCTGGGAGGCGCCATTGCACTCCAGTCTGGGCAACAAGAGCGAAACTCTGTCTCAAAACAAAATAAAATTTTAAAAATAAAGAAAAGAAAAGTTTTGATAGCAAGCATATACCAAACTATGAAAAATATGCAAAAAGTCTAAATGATGCCTTTGGAATCTTCATTTACAGTAGTTTTACTATTATACTAAGGACTGACACTTTTATTAATCCAACTTTTGACAAATGCCGATTACTTACTATGTGTAAGGAAGGTTTCAGAGTAACAATTTCCTCTAATCAAAATTTATCTCATCTATTTCCCATTTCTTTAGAACTCTGGATTATGATAATATATTAAATTATTCTATAATAGTAATTGTGTATCAATGATGCCTTTGTCACTTTGGATCGCTTAGAACAGAATACCATAAACTGGGTGGCTTAAGCAACAAACATTGATTTCTCACAGTTTTGGAGGCTGGGAAGTCCAAGTTCAAGGTGCCAGCAGATTCAGTGTCTGGTGTGGGCCCACTTCCTAGTGTGTAGATGACAGCTTCTCATTATGTCCTCACATGGTCGAGAGAAAAATCACTTTTCTCTTGTCTTGTTTTATAAGAGCACTAATCCCATTCATAAGGGTTCCACCCTCATGACCCAATTATTTCCCAAAGGCTCCACCTCCTAATACCATCCCATTTGGAGCTAGCATTTCAACATATGAATTTTGGGGGGAACACAAATATTCAGTTTATAACAGATGCTTATATCCCAAATATTTTTCTCCCTTTCTCCTGTGTCAGTGTGTCTATTGCCACAATAATGCTATATAACTAACAGCCATAAAACTTCAGTGGCATAATACAATAGCATTTATTACTCATCTATCAGGAGCCTGCTAGAGATCTGCCAGGTGGCTCTATGTCTTTTGGTAGGGCTATGTGCCAGTTGGCTACGTATTGATCTAGACCAGCTTCGACTAGGACACCTGCGCATCTTGGGTCTACTTCACGCATCCATCACATTCCAGCAGGCAACCACAGGCACGTCCTCATGAAACTAACCAAAATACAGCAAAGAGCAAGGCCTCTCAAATCATAGACTCAGAACCACCACCTTAGCACTTCTGCTTCATTCTGTTGGCCAAAGGCAGGCATATAGTCAGGTTTAGAGGCAGAGCCAGATAATAGTTCAAAATTACACGGCAAAGGGAGTGGATGCAGAGGGAGTGAAGGATCAGGGTCCTGTTTGCAACCAATGTACCACACCCTCTCATCCAAACCATCATTAAGACCTGTCAGTTCAACCTTATCACATTCATCCAATTTTCTCTATCTTACTACTGCCACCACTTCAGGGCACTGTTACCGCTTGCCTGTAGCCTCCCAACTGTTCTGTCCACATCTACCTTGTTCACTGCTCCTTAGATTATTCTCAAGACAGCATTCAGAATAATAACTTTAAAACAATCTTATTGTTTTAAAAAAACTGCTCTTGCCACTCATTTGCTGAAATCCACTCAATGGTTTCCTATTGCTTTCAGGATAAAGGTAGAAATCCTCCATATGGAGTATATGGCCTTGTCCCATGTGGATGTGGAGCATGCCTCTCTCCCCAGCCTTATTTAGCCCCCTTCTCCTCTCCGGGCTCAAACTATCCTGGCCTTCCTTCACTCTCCCAGTGCCATGCTCCCCACCTCACAAGGCCTGCGTAGATATGGGTTCCTCTATCTCAAATAAGTCTTTGCCTGGTTCAATTCCATGCATCCATCAGATCATTATTCAAACATCATTTTCTCAACCTCATCATCCCACTGTCACTATAATAGGGTGTCCTAGTTTCATGCTCTAAAATCTGTTTGTAATTTTCCATCACTGTCCTTAGTTTGTAATGAACAATTATCTGTGTTGTTAATTGATTACATCTACCCCCCACTAAACTGTAAAACTCCATGATGTCATGTCTGCAAGATCAATGTGGTTTCCTAAAGGATTTACCAAACTACAAAAGAAAAATAAATTGTACTTTCCTTCTTTTTGAATATAAATTTCTTATATCTTGAATTTAAATTAGTTTGTGCAATTACACTATGTAACTGAGCTCCTTAAAAAGGGCATTATAAATAAGATACTGCAAAATATCAATCATTCTTCCACTTTCCAAATTTACCAGTAAAATCTTTAATCTTCTCTCTACTTTGCACAAATATTTCTTGCCCAGGGGAATAAAACCATAAACCAGATTAGTCAGATTGATAGTAAAATTACTCTTAAAGAGTTTGTGTTATTTCTTGGTCATTTCTTTAATGATTTCTGATATTCTCTGTAGGGAGAATGCCTAAATTAAAGACTGTGAGACACAGGTGTGAAGCAAGTGTTGGATTTGTGTTCTGACAATGGAGAAGCACTATCTACATGTTCAAAATAAATAGTATTTCCTTCCATTACAAAAATGTAAATTATAATAAACCTGTAAGAACATATGCATGCAATAATATTTAACAGTGATTTGGTTTGTACCGTTTGACCAAAATCTCCCCACTTCCTCCACCTCCAGCCCCTGGCAGGCTCTATTCTACTCTGTTTCTATGAGTTTGACTTTTTAGATTCCACATATAAATGATATTTTATAGTATTTGTCTTTATTTGTCTGACTTGACTTCACTTAGCATAACATCCCCAGTGTTCATCATGTTGTCACAACTGGCAGGATTTTTTTTTTTTTTTGGATACACAATTTTGCTCTGTTATCCAGGCTGGAGTGCAGTGGCACAATCATGGCTCACTGCGGCTTTGGCCTCTCAGGCTCAAGCAATCCTCCCAACTCAGCCTCCTGAGTAGCTGGGACTACAGGCCTGTGCCACCACACCAGGATAACTTTTGTATTTTTTATAGAGACAGGGTTTCACTCTGTTGGCCAGGCTGGTCTTGAACACCTGGGCTCAAGTGATTCGCCCACCTCTGCATCCCAAAGTGCTGAGATTACAGGCATGAGTTACCACGTCCAGCCAGGAATTTCCTTTTTTTTTAGATTGAATAACACTCCATTTTGTGTATATGTATGTGTGTTTCTATATATATTTAATATGCCTATATATACACATTTTTCTTGTCCATTCATTCATTGACAGACACTTAAGTGGTTTCCATGTCTTAGTTATTGTGCATAATGCTATAAAAACATTACTAGAGTGTGGATATCTCAGGGGTAACAGATTTCATTTCCTTCATTTCCTTCAGATACATATGCAGAAGATATCGTAGTTAGATTTTTAAAGTTTCGAAGAACCTCCATACTCTTTCCCATAATGGCTATACCAATTTATATTCCCTTCAACAGTGCACAGGATTCCTTTTCTCCACAACCTCACCAACACTTATCTTTTTCTTTTTAGATAACAGACATGGTAGCATATGTGAGGTAATATTTCATTCTGATTTTGATTTGCATTTCCCTGATGATTAGTGATGCTGGGCACCCTTCCAATTACCTGTTTGTCACAGTCTGTCTTCTTTTGAAAAATTTTTATTCAGACTCTTTGCCCATTTTTAAAATTGGGTTATTTGTGGGGGTTTTCTTCACTATTAAGATATATGAGTTTTTTTATACATTTTGGGTATTAGTTCCTTATAAGATAGATGGTTTGCAAATATTTTCTCCCATTCTGTAGGTCGTCTTTTCATTTTATTGAATGTTTCCTTTGTTTTACAGAAGCTTTTTACTTTGATGTAGTTGGACTTGTTTATTTTTGCTTTTGTTGCTTGTACTTTGGGTGTCATATCCAAAAATAATTATTACCGAGACTTCTGTCAAGCAGTCTTTCTCCTGTTTCCTTCTAAGAGTTTTGGAGTTTCAGGTCTTACGTTAAAGTTTTTAATACACTTTGCATTGATTATTTTGTGTAGTGTAAGATAAGAGTCCGATTTCATTCTTCTACATGTGGATATCCAGGTTTCAGTATGGTTTATTGAAGAAACTATTCTTTCTCCATTGTGTATTCTTGGCACCCTTGTCAAATATTAGTTGATAACTATGTATGCATGGGTTTATTTATTTCTGTGCTCATTATTCTGTTCCATTAATTAATGTGTCTGTTTTTATGACAGTACCATACTCCTTTGATTACTATATTTCTGTAATATAGTTTGAAATCAGAAAATATGAAGCCTTCAGCTTTGTTCTTTCTCAGAATTGTTTTGGTTGTTCTGGGTCTTTTATGGTTCCATTGAATTTTAGAATTATTTTTTGTATTTCTGTGAAAAATGTCATTGAAATTTTGTCAAGGATTGTGTTGAATCTATAGATCATTTTGGATAATATGGACATTTTAATAATGCTGATCCTTCTGATCTGTGAAAATGTAATATCTTTCCATTTACTTGTGTCTTCTTCAATTTCTTTCAACACCTATGGTTTTCAGTATATTGATTTCTCACTTCCTTAAATTTATTCTTAAGTATTTTCTTCTTTTTGATGCTTGTCTTACTTCATTTTGTGCTGCCAAAACAGAGTACCACAGACTGGGTAATATATGATGAAAATAAATTGTAGGCTTATGATTCTGAAGGCTGGCAAGTCCAAGATCAAGGGACTGGATCTGGTAAAAAGCATTCTTTCTGTGTCATCCCATGGCAGAAGGGCAAATAGAGGGTGCGTGTGTGAGAGAAAGAGAAAAGGTGCTGAATTCATTCTTTTATAAGAAACCCACGCCTGTGATAACTAATCCAATTCACGAGGGCAAAGCTCTCACTGGCCTGTTCACCTCTCTAGGCCCCATTTCCCAACACTATTGCGTTTGGGATTAAGTTTCCAAAACATGCTTTTTGGGGGACACATTTAAACCACAGCAATGCTATTATAAATGGAATTTTTAAAAAATTATATTTCAGATAGTTTATCACTATTGTATAGAATTGTAATTGATTTTTGTATGTCTACTTTCTATAGTGTAACTTTACTAATTTGTTAGTTCTAACAGTTTTCTGGTGTAGTTTTTAGGGTCTTCTATATATAAGATCATGTCATCTGCAAACAGACAATTTTATGACTCTCTTTCTGATTTGGATGCTTTTAATTTCGTTCCTTGCCTACCTGTTCCGGCCAGGACTTCCAGTACTATGTTGAATAGAAGTGGTTAAAGTAGGCATTCTTGTCTTAGTCTTGATCATACAGAAAAACTTTTCAGGTTTTCACCATTAAGTATGATATCAGTTGTGAGGCTATAACCTTTATTATGTTGAGATACATTCCTCCCATATTCAATTTACTAAGAGTTCTTATCATGAAAAGATGCTGAATTTCTTCAAATACTTCTCCTGCATCTCTTAAGATGGTTATATGATTTTTATTCTGCTATTTATTCATCCTGTTAAAGTGATGTACTGCATTAACTGATTTGTGTATGTTAAACCATCTTACAGCCCTGGGATAAATCCCACTTCATCATGGTATATAATCCTTTTAATGTGCTGTAGAATTTGGTTTACTAGTATTTGTTGAGGATATTTGCCTCTATGTTCATCAGGGAAATTAGCCTGTAATTTTCTTTTCTTGTAGTGTTTTTCTCTGGCTTTGGTATCACGGTAATGCTAGCCTCATAAAATTAGTTTGGAACTATTCTCTCCTCCTCAGCGTTTTGGAAGAGTTTGAGGATTGGCATTAATTGTTTAAATGTTTGGTAGAATTCACAGTGATGCCATCTGGTCCTAGGATTTTTTTGTTGTTGGAGGATTTGACTACTGATTCAATGTTCTTACTTGTTTTTTCTTTTTTTTTTTTTTTTTTTTTTTTGGTTTTGGTTTTTTGTTTTGTTTTTGAGACTGAGTCTCGCTCTATCACTGAGGCTGGAGTGCAGTGGTACGATCTTGGCTCACTGCAACCTCCACCTCCCAGGTTAAAGTGATTCTCGTGCCTCAGACTCTTAAGTAGCTGGGATTGCAGGTGCCCACCACCATGCCTGGCTAATTTTTGTATTTTTACATGTTATTGGTTCATTCAGATGTCCTGTTTATTTATTATTTAGTCTTGGTAGGTTGTATATTTCTAGTACTTTATCTATTTCTTCCAGATTATCCAATTTGTTGGCATATAATTGTTCATAATGGTTTCTTATTATCCTCGGTATATATTCTGGGGATCTAATGTACAACACAGTGATTATAATTAACAATATTGTATTGTGTACTTGAATTTGCTAAGAAAGTAGATTATAAATGTTCTCACCACAAAAAAGTAACAATGTGAGATGACAGATGTGTTAACTAACTTGATTGTGGAAATTATTTCATAATACATATGTATATCAAATCACGATACTGTACACCTTAAATTTATGCAGTTTTGCCAACAATACCTTAAGAAAACTGAAAAAAGCAACAGAGATTTGATATGATCAAATTTTAAATATTTTAGAAATTTGGTTGATGTATTTCTATGTGTTGATCTAATGAAAATCTAATAGATTGTTCTAGAAAAGTCACTCCTTACATTCATTTTTTTTTCTTTTTTTATTTATTATACTTTAAGTTCTAGGGTACATGTGTGCAACGTGCAGGTTTGTTATATATGTATACATGTGCCATGTTAGTGTGCTGCACCCATAAACTCGTCATTTACATTAGGTATTTCTCCTAATGCTATCCCTCCCCCCTCCCCCCACCCAACAACAGGCCCCAGTGTGTGATGTTCCCCACCCTGTGTCCAAATGTTCTCATTGTTCAATTCCCACCTATGAGTGAGAACATGTGGTGCGTGGTTTTCTGTCCTTGCGATAGTTTGCTCAGAATGATGGCTTCCAGCTTCATCCATGTCCTTACAAAGGACATGAACTCATCCTTTTTTATGGCTGCATAGTATTCCATGGTGTATATGTGCCACATTTTCTTAATCCAGTCTATCATTGATGGACATCTGGGTTGGTTCCAAGTCTTTGCTATTGTGAATAGTGCCACAATAAACATTCGTGTGCATGTGTCTTTACAGCAGCATGATTTATAATCCTTTGGGTATATACCCAGTAATGGGATGGCTGGGTCAAATGGTATTTCTAGTTCTAGATCCCTGAGGAATCGCCACACTGACTTCCACAATGGTTGAACTAGTTTACAGTCCCACCAACAGTGTAAAAGTGTTCCTATTTCTCCACATCCCCTCCAGCACCTGTTGTTTCCTGACTTTTTAATGATCACCATTCTAACTGGTGTGAGATGGTATCTCATTGTGGCTTTGATTTGCATTTCTCTGATGGCCAGTGATGATGAGCATTTTTTCATGTGTCTGTTGGCTGCATAAATGTCTTCTTTTGAGAAGTGTCTGTTCATATCCTTTGCCCACTTTTTGATAGGGTTGTTTGTTTTTTCTTATAAATCTGTTTAAGTTCTTTGTAGATTCTTAATATTAGCCCTTTGTCAGATGGGTAGAAAATTTGTAAAAATTTTCTCCCATTCTGTAGGTCGCCTGTTCACTCTGATGGTAGTTTCTTTTGCTGTGCAGAAGCTCTTTACTTTAATTAGATCCCATTTGTCAGTTTTGGCTTTTGTTGCCATTGCCTTTGGTGTTTTAGACATGAAGTCCTTGCCCATGCCTATGTCCTGAATGGTATTGCCTAGGTTTTTTCCTAGGGTTTTTATGGCTTTAAGTCTAATATTTAAGTCTTTAATCCATCTTGAATTAATTTTTGTATAAGGTGTAAGGAAGGGATCCAGTTTCGGCTTTCTACATATGGCTAGCCAGTTTTCCCAGCACCATTTATTAAATAGGGAATCTAGGTATTGATGGGACGTATCTCAAAATAATAAGAGCTATTTATGACAAACCCACAGCCAATATCATACTGAATGGGCAAAAACTGGAAGCATTCCCTTTGAAAACTGGCACAAGAGAGGGATGCCTTCTTTCACTACTCCTATTCAACATAGTGTTGGAAGTTCTGGCCACAGCAATCAGGCAGGAGAAAGAAATAAAGGGTATTCAATTAGGAAAGGAGGAAGTCAAATTGTCCCTGTTTGTAGATGACATGATTGCATATTTAGAAAACCCCATCATCTCAGCCCAAAATCTCCTTAAGCTGATAAGCCACTTCAGCAAAGTCTCAGGATACAAAATCAATGTGCAAAAATCACAAGCATTCCTATACACCAACAACAGACAGAGAGCCAAATCATTAGTGAACTCCCATTCATAATTGCTTCAAACAGAATAAAATACATAGGAATCCAACTTACAAAGGATGTGAAGGACCTCTTCAAGGAAAACTACAAACCACTGCTCAATGAAATAAAAGAGGACACAAACAAATGGAAGAACATTCCATGCTCATGGATAGGAAGAAACAATACCGTGAAAATGGCCATACTGCCCAAGGTAATTTATAGATTCAATGCCATCCCCATCAAGCTACCAATGACTTTCTTCACAGAATTGGAAAAAACTACTTTAAAGTTCATATGGAACCAAAAAACAGCCCACATTGCCAAGACAATCCTAAGCCAAAAGAACAAAGCTGGAGGCATCATGCTACCTGACTTCAAACTATACTACAAGCCTACAGTAACCACAACAGCATGGTACTGGTACCAAAACAGAGAAATAGACCAATGGAACAGAACAGAGCCCTCAGAAATAATACCACACATCTACAACCATCTGATCTTTGACAAACCTGGCAAAAACTCCTTACATTCATGAACCATTTCCCCTCAGCCCATGATTTATTGTTTATGAACCTGTTCTCAGACAGGTCCAGAGGGGCAGCCCTAGAGAACATGGCAGCACTCCCTGTCATGGATGGTTTGACCCAGTTTGCACTTCTAATTTGAAGTGGACCAACCAGAGTTCTCCTCCTGGCAGTTTGTAATTAGGACACAAAAAGATTAAGTTCCATGCAACTGGAATGTCAGGTAAATTCCAGGGCTGAATCTCTCTGTAGGGGCTAATGGGCAATCAGAGGAAGGCAGTCTTTGAAAAGGAAGAAAAGAAAATAAAAGATGTGTACAGAGGAACCAGGAAATTCTTGTGGTGGGAGAGGTAAGGTGAAGTAGAAAGTGTGCTGGAGGAAGCAAGATATCCTGGGTTCCTGATGCCACTGATCTCCAAGTCCATGACTGGCAAAGCTCGGCTGTATTTTCTGTCATGCATTCTGAGAGAATTTCTTGAATCCATGGAATAAATTCACTTACTTATGCAGTGAGTTTCTATTTTTACAAGAAAATAGTTACTGGCCAACACAGAGATCTTCAAGAAAAGTAATATGCCAGTAAGTGTGCTCAGGCTCAGGGCATGTTGCCTTTTCCTGAGTTCACTATGGAGTCTGGGTTCCTTCTTTCTGCAGATGGCCTAATGTAATTCCAACTTTATCTGGCCCTTTACTTACTATGTGCCTTTAGAGTAGAGTATAACCTTAAAAAGGTGTCTCAGAATAATACACTCTGAGTGCCCGAAGAAAACCTTGAAGGAATTCTTTCATTCTGGCTGTGCATCAGAGCCACTTGTGAAATTTATTAGCACATAGAAGTTGGAGCCGTCACCCTGCTTCAGTTAGTCTGTAATAGAAACAGAACAGGTTGATTGATATCCACAGATAATTATAGTGCACAGCCTCAGTTAAAACCACTGTGCCTTAGATATCAATCACTACCCTTCCCTTAAAGGCAAAATAACTGAGGTCATTATCAGTTAACTCTTGCTGTTGACAAACAACCCCACAACTCAATGGCTTAAAATAATAAGAATTATTACTCATGAGCTTATGGGCCACCTGGGCAGCTTTTCTGGTCTTGGTTGGATCCATGCATTCATATCGGGTCAGTTATAGTTTGGATATTTTTCCCCGCCCAAATCTCATATTGAATTGTAATCTCCAGTATAAGAGGTGGGGCTTGGTGGGAGATGACTGGATCGTGAGGCTGAGTTTCTTTTTATTTTATTTTTTTGAGATGAAGTCTCATTCTGTTGCCCAGGCTGGAGTGCAGTGGCATGATCTTGGCTCACTGCAACCTCCGCCTCCCAGGTTCAAACAATTCTCCTGCCTCAGCCCCCCGAATAGCTGGGACTACAGGCACGAGCCACCACGCCCAGCAAACTTTTTATTTATTTATTTTTTTATTTTTAGTACAGGTAGGGTTTCACCGTATTAGCCAGGATGGTCTCGATCTCCTGACCTTGTGATCCTCCCGCCTCAGCCTCCCAAAGTGCTGGGATTACAGACAGGAGCCACTGCGCCCAGCCCGTGAGGCTGGATTTCTAGCGAATGATTTAGTACCGTCCCGTTAGTGCTGTCATTTAAAAATGTGTGGTAACTCCCCCTACCCCTGCCTTCCTCTCATTCTCACCATGTGAGATGCCTACTCCCCTTTCACCTTCCACCATGATTGTAAGCTTCCTAAGACCTCCCAAGAAGCCGAGTAGATGCCAGTACCATGCTTCCTATAAAGCCTGCAGAACCGTGAGCCAACTGAACCTCTTTTTTAAAATAAATTACTCAGTCTCAGGTATTTCTTTATAATAGTGCAAGAATGGCCTCATACAGGGTCACATAGGCACTCTGCTGTCATAGCTGCACTCTCTGACATGTTTGAGGTCAGTAGGTTGGCTGGTCTAGAATGGTCTGAGACAACTGTGTTCTCTCGATGTCAGTTTTTACACTCCAGCAGGCAGCTCAGGATTACAAGATGTGTGCAAAGCTTCTTGAGGATAAGTTCAGAATTGGAGCATCACATCCACTGAATTCTATTGCTCATAGCCGGTCATGAGGCCAACCTAGATTCCAGGAGTGGGGGGAAATAGACTTTATTTTGGGATGGGAGGAGCTGCACAGTCTTACAAATAATGTGAATACAGAGAAGGAGGGAATAATTATGGCAAGTCCTTGAAATCAATCTGCCAGAGGCCCAGAAAGAGTTAAGAACAGCCCAAAGGAGCAAAGAAACAAATTCCCTATAGTTAGTTGAGTGTTTTCCTACCACCAACACTTAAGATCCCTTTCACATGTATAAATGTGGGCTCTTCTTTACAGCTTCCCCCGGACAAATACTTGAGTGTTCTAATGGCAAAGGTTGCTTCAGTTCTCTTTTTTTTTTTTGAGGCTCCCTGTCAGCTCGCGCCAGCTAGCACTGCCTGAAGAGCGTCACTAACTGCCAGGTGGCTTAGAAGGACTCAGCACACAAAGCCAAGAATGCTTCTCAAATTCAGCCTAAATGACTCAGTCACCTCCATTAGGATGAATGCATCTCGGAATAGTGCAAATTATGAAGATTTCATTCTGCTTTCAAATGCAATTCCTGGGAGTGATTACTGTGTCTACTAAGCAGCCAACTAAGCTCACGGCAGCAAAGGCAGAACTGGACGCAAATCAAGTGAAAACTAGATGCAGGTAGTTGGTCGAAGTGGCAAAAACAAGAAGACAGTGGCAAAATCAAATGGAATAAGAAGGTGTTTACATGACAGCCCTGCCTCTGGGAAATAGTGTGGAATGAGAAAAGGCCCAGAGTTAACATTCCACATCTTTTTACATGGATGTTACTATAGCACTTGCTGCTTCTTGCATCTCACATCCTATATCATAGAAATGCAATTATATCTTAAGCAGAACCAGCAACTATTAGCCTGCCTCCCTCAGAGCAGGAATTTGTAACTTTGGCTGCCCAGAAGAATAACCTGGGATGCTTTGAAAATACTGACGCCTAGGCCCAGCATGAGTGATTCTAACTTAAATCACTCCAGTGTGTGACTTGAGCATTGGGACTTTTTTAAAAATTAAAAACTCCCTGATTGATTTTAATATATGCCTAAGGGTGAAGACTTAACTAGGTGCCTGGGTAACTCTTAATTCATGCAACTAATACATTCTTTTGAGCATTTATTGTGTGCAGAGAATTTTGCCAGATGCAGTGTTCAACAAGAAGTTGACCTTTTGGCGCAAAGGAGAAAAAAGATGCCTATGCAGTTGAAGTCACCACGGGTTGAGCCACCATAAAGACAAATCTAGTGTGAAAAAAGAAATGGCACAGAGGAGGGGATAATTCTCCACCTGTTGCTAATGCCCCAATTTAAGAATTATCCACAGACTTCCACAGATCAATCAGCCACAGGTTAGATTAATGAATCACTCTGGACCCAGCGCCTAGAATCCCAGGTATAAACCCTCATTCAAGCTCATATCATCTGAGTAGCCCAGGATACAGAACTGAAGTCCTCAAAGTTTCCATTTCTCAGTTATAAAATAAGAGCAATTGTCTCCCCTCATATAGTTGCCATGAGGTTTACACAACATAATTTGAATGAAGCAGTAGGCACAATGCCTGATACATAGTAGATGTTCAGTAGAGATTAAGGAGCAGCTGGTAATTTGTCATAATTAAGAATAGAATAACAACAGTAATATCTGATTCTTGAACCCTGTCATGAGTACATTTCCTTGTCCAGAGGAGAGGAAAAAAAATTAAATCCTCAAAGATAGCAGACGTGAGAGGTAAGACAGGAACAGGAGAGAGAAGAGGGAAAAAAACATAGAATTTAAGTAAGGATCAGTGAAGAGATATTTTGCCTAATTTCAGATGTGTTGCAAGAAATCAAAAAGTCCTGGCAAATCCACCTCCCTCTGCCTTGATATTGTGTACTAAGGAGACCCCACAGATCCTCCTTAATGCTCGGCAAGTCCCTCTTCACACTCCACTAAAAACTGCCTGAGAGATCAGGCACAAAAACATGACAGAAACAATCCCCTTGTGCCTTGTTTTCCTCTTTACTTTGATTGCCAAAAATGTCCAGGTTATCCTGCATGTCCTGGGCACTCATCCTTAACTAACCCCATTTATCCTCCTATCTAACCCAATCTAATCTCTTTCTGATCCTCTAACCCTTCCTCTGTCATCTTTAACCTACACAGTGCATCAACAGCAAACCTCCAACAGCCACGTCTTTCTGAAACAAATCCTGTTCCCTATTTGGCTCTATTTGGAACCATGTGGTCTCCTAAGACTACTTCTCCCTGTAGCCATCGCCAGGACTAGCTGCAATTTTAAAATTATCACTCTATTTACTGCTGAATTTGGAAGAATCTGGAAGAATCTCTACTCCTCTTCACTTGCTTCCAAATAATTGTTCTCTTCTGTCTTCTCCTTAGACAACTGTATCATTGAATCTCTCTCGCTTTTTTTTTTTTTTTTTTTTTGAGACAGGGTCTTGCTCTGTCACCCAGAATGGAGTGTAGTGGTTCAATCACACTCATTGTACCCTTGACCTCCCAGTCTCAAGGGATCCTCCCACCTTCTGAGTAGCTGGAACTACAGGCAAACACTACCATGCCTGGCTAATTTTTAATTTTCTTATAGAGACGGGGGTCTCACCATGATGCCCAGGCTGGTCTTGAATTCCTGGGCTCAAGAGATCCTTCTGCCTTGGGCTCCCAAAGTGCTAGGAATATAGGTGTGAGCCACAAGTCTGGTCTTTTGTGAATCACTTGCTTAGGCTACACCATCTGCTACCCCTTCTTGTTGCTGCCATGGACAGTTCTAGCAGAAATTTCTTCCTTCATTGAAGATGTTAACAATCTCCTTACTTATTGAGCTCCAACGTCGTTCCAGTTATCATTCCTGGTCATTTTGATGCCATGCATTATAACTTGCCCGTCACTCGGACCTCTCAGATGTTTGCTGTGCTCGTCCTGCACAATCTTCCCTTGCACTGCCCCCCCACCTCAGCCATGCATTTCCATGACCATGCCCTCTGCCTTGTCATTTTCTTCTCAAGACCAATAACTTTGCCACGTCCAAATCTCAAGTTTAAGCATCCCATTCTTTAAACACTACTTCCTGTCTTCCCAGCTTACCCCTTCTAACAGCCGGACTCCCTCACTCTGTGATGTGACTTCTAATCCATTGACACTGCCACTTCTTTACTGTCTGTCTCCTCCTTCATGGCTTTACTTCCCTCCTCCTCTGGCTTGGAGTCCATTCATCATTATGATGACACCCTCATACTTTCATATGTGTGATCATTCTCTCCTGTATTAATCAGAATTCTGCTGAAATAATATTGCATAACAAATACATTCCAGCACTTTGGGATGCGAAGGCAGGAAGATCACTTGAGCCCAGGAATTCAAGACCAGTCTGGGCAACATAGTGCGTCTTCATCTCTACAAAAAAAAAAAAAAAAAAAAAAATTAAAAAAAATAGCCAAGCATGGTGTTGCACACCTATAGTCCTAGCTACTCAAGAGGCTGAGGCAGGAGGACCACATGAGCCCAGGAAGTCGAGGCTACAGTGAGCCTTAATCATGCCATAGCAGCTTGGAAGACAAAGGAGACCTTGTCTCAAAAAAAAAAAAAAAAAAATATATATACACACACACACACACACACACACACACACACACACACACGCATATATCACTGTGGCGGATGAGAAGAGGCATTTATTTCTGAATCATGTATCTGCAGGGCAACTGGGCAGCTGTGCATCAATCTGCGTGCTTGGTTCAGGTCTACTACACATTGCTTCATTCTAGGACAGGACACTGCCTGGAGCAGGCTTTTCTTCTGGTAATTACAGCTCAGCAGAGCCATCAAAACATGCAAGCATTTGTAAAGTCTCTGCTCACATCGCATCTCCTCCTATTTTATTGGCCAAAGAAAGTCATATGACTGGGCCCTTGGTCAAGAAGACAATGGTTAGTGGCAGATGCTACAAGTCACATGGCAAGAGGTGTAGATGTATAATCCTATTTACAGGAGAAAGTGAAAACTGGAAACAATAATCTAATCCATGCCATTTTCATTCTATTATTTCACCCTCTCCCTCTATTGTAATCATGAAAGGAAACTTCAAGTCCTGTTTAAATTCTCTGCACTGACTCTCAAAAAATAGTTGAACATGGTAGGAGAAAAACTACCAAATGGCCTCATCTTATATTCATGACTGCTGACCTCAGTGGCTACCTAAGTGATGTCCAGAAATTCTGTAATTCCCTCGTCAATCTGTTCTTCTTTTTCTTTCTTTTTTTTTTTTTGAGATAACTATTTTACACCTCCTCAGTAAGCTCACTTCTAGCTCCCAGCCCCTTCCTTCCCATCAATGTGTGACTTCTTATTTCAATAAGAAAAATGAAACAATCAAAGGGAACTCCATCTTCTGTAAAATCCAATTTACCAATATTTCTGCTCAGAGCCTGTGTGTTCAGTCCCCTCTATTGGAAGACGCTTTCTTTCTCCTTGTTCCACATGGATTCTGGACCTTATCACTACTTGCTCATCCAAGTATTTAACTCTTCCAGGTGTTTGTCTCATTTCTGCATCCTCAATTTTCCCCCTTTCTATTGAATTATTCTCAGGATATACAAACATTCTATAATATGTTGTAACATATCTCGGTTTCAACAATATTTCCTTCAACCCCATATGTCCCTTTAAATACAATATCATTTCTCTTTACATTGCCAAATGCAATGGTTGACTCTCATTCCTAAACTCACTGGATCCACAAGCACCATTTAAATCACTGGATGACTCTGTCTTCCGTAAGTCATTTTCTCCACGCCGATTCTGGGACATTGCAATCTGCTGGTTTTCCTGCTACTTTGTGGTCTCCTTTCATATTAGAGCCCGTTCCTCCTCTTCATGTTAGAGTATTCTAGGGCTCAGTTTAATGACATTATGTTTTCTCTAACTATGGTTATTTCTTAAATTATACTATTCAACCATATAGTTGTAAGCATCATTTATGTTTTGATTTCTGTCAATTTTATTTGTTCAGTTCCACTTTTACCCTAAGCTGCAGTCACATGTAAGTATATCTCAAAACTCTAATCTTCACAGGAGTACCTACTAGAAATCATAAACATAATATGTTCAAAACCTGCTCCTCCTTCCATTATCTCCCAGATACTCAGTTTAGAACCCCTGGAGTCATTCTTGACTAGTATCATTCTCTTGTACCCCATGATCTATCTACGAATCTTTTTGGGCTCATCTTAAAGCTATACTCAGAATCCTACCATATCTTCTGTCTTATATACCAAAACCACCCTACCCAATGCACTCTCCTTATTCTCCTGCGCAACTATAATAGCCTCAACTTTCTCCACCCACTTTTGCTTTGCTATAGTTTATTCTCCGTAGAACAGCCAGAGTTGCCTTCTTAAAATATAAATTCAATTATGTCATATTCCAAGCTTCCGATGGCTCTGTTCTAGTTATTGTTGTTGCATAATAAAGTATCCCAAAACCTAGAAGCTTAAAACAACCATTTTATTTTGCTCAAAGATTCTGTAAATCAGAAATTCAGATTGAGCACAGAGGGAATGGCTTGTCTATTTTATGATGTCTTGGGCCTCAACTGGAAAAATGAAAAAGCCTGGGGGCTGGAATTACTGGAGGACTCATTCACCATTCACGCACTTGAGCTGGAATGACAGGACACTAGGCTAACATAGCCATTCTAAAATAGACTAGAGTATGCTCCATAACAAAGCCTCATTCTCCAGGAGAAAAAACTGTACCAGAGCCCTATCTTTCCCAGTAAAATAGCAATTGCTCAACTCTAGCCCCTCTAGCCTTCCTGTCTCACCTAAGAGGAAAAAGAAATTTAAAAAGACTGACAAACACTTCTGGACTTCACAGTCCAAGAGCTCAGAACTACTAGAAGACTGAGATTTAGTGATAAGATTATAGAGAATGTTCACTGTCTACCACAACAGCGCTCCAGCATAACAGTAAATTAAAGCTGAAAGAGATAAAAGACACAGATCTTACTTTAAAAGGAGTTCTTAGGAAAACCTAAATACCAAAGAAGAGAAAAAAGGAAACACTAAAAGAAACCTTAAACTACAACAACCATTAAACTACACCTTAAACTACAACAACCTTAAACTGCAACAACCATTAAACAAACCTCAAACATAAAAACATCACACTAAAGTGTTATTTACCACATAACTCAATACATTATGTTCAGTTTTTAACAAAAAACATTTTAAAAGGCAAACACACACACGCACGCACACACACACACACACACACACACAGACACACAGTCTGAAGAGATAAAGTAAGCATCAGACCAAGAATCATATATGACAGAAATTTCTGGAAGTATCAGATAAGGAATTTAAAATCACTGATTAATAAGTTAATTATACTTTAGCTATGTTAAGATCGCTAATGGAAAAAGTAGACTACATAAATAAACACGGGTAATATAAGCACAGAGAGGAAAATTCTAAGAAAGAATAAAAAAGAAATGCTAGAAATAAAAAAAATTATAATAGAAATGAAGAATGTCTTTGACAGACTCATCATTAGATTACACAGACAATTTAGGTGACCTAGGGTTTGGCAGTGAGGTTCTGATATAACACCAAAAGCATGATCCATGAAAAAAACAAAAACAAACACAAACTTGATAGGTTGAACGTTATTAAAGTGGAAAAAATTCTGCTTTGTGAAAGATACAAGAATGAAAAGAAATACTTGGATAAAATATTTGCAGAACATATAAGGGACTTGTATTAAAAATATATAAAGAACTTGTAAAACTCAACAATAAGAAAGCAAACGACACAATTTCAAAATGTGCAAGGAATATAAACAGACATCACACCAAAGAAGATATAGATATGACAAATAAACATATGGAAAGATGCTGAACATCATTTTTATTAGGGAATTAAACAACAAATTAGAACAACAATGATATCATCGTACACCTATTAGAATGTATAAAATACAGAAAACTGATATTACCAAATGTTGATGAGTATGTGGAGCAACAGAAACTCTTTTGCTGATGGAAATGCAAAATGATACTGACACTTTGACATGCACTCTGGCAGTTTCTTGCAAAACTAAGCATAGTCTTATTATTAGATACATCAAATGCACTCCTATGTATTTACCCAATTTATTGGAAAACTTATGTCTAAACAAAAACTTATACACAAATATTTATAGCAGTTTTATTCCTATTTTCCCAAGGCTAAAACCAACTAAAATACCCTTCAATAGGTGAACGGATAAATAGATAAACTTTGATGCACCCATGAAACAGAATATTATTCATGAAAAGAAATAAGCTACCAAACCAGAAAAATACATAGAAAAATCTTAAATGCATGTTAATGAGTAAAAGAAGCTAGTCTGAAAAGGCTATACCTTATATAATTCCAATCACGTGGTGTTCTGGAAAAGGTAAAACTACACAATGATATAAGCCAAATTGTGTTCCCCGCAACATTCAGATGTTGAAGTCCTAACCCTTGTCAGAATGTGACTGGATTTAGAGGCAGGGTCTTTAAAGAGGTAACTAAATTAAAATAAGTTTATTAAAGTCAGCTATCATCCAATATGACTGGTGTCCTCATAAGAAGAGGAGATCAGGACACAGACATGCACAGAGGAAACACCATGTGAAGGCCCAGGGACAAGACAGCCAACTACAAGACAAAAGAGAGGCCTCAGAAGAAACCACCCCTGTCAACACCTTGATTTCAGACTTCTAGCCTCCAGAACTGTGAGAAAGTTAATTTATGTTGTTAGAAGAAAGTACCAGTCTAAGGACTTTATTATAGAAGCCCCAGCAAACTAATACAGAAAGCAAAAAAAAAAAAAAAAAAAAATCAGTGGCTGCCAGCGTTGAGAGAGGGAGAGGGATAAATAAGATGAAAAGAGCAAGATTTTTTAGAGCAGTTGAAACTATTCTGTATGATACTATAATAGTGGATTCATGATATTATGCATTTGTCATACCCATGGAAATTAATAGCACAAAGACTGATATTTGATATGTGCAAATTTTAAATGATTATTTAGAAGATCCTGGAATTGCAGCAAAAGAGTACAGATTGTGACAACACAATATAACTTTATTACAAATGTATGAAACAAATTCAAACATTAGGGGTGGGGAAAATGGTGCTGACCTAAGTAACTTTGAAAATGTATAGAGCCTTTAAGGATAAAGGCAAGAGTGACTCTACAAGAGAACTGCACTCTAGTTGGTAAACTTGTTCCCTAAGGAGACACAGGTTAACAGTTCTGCCACTGCTATAATTTACCCTAAAATTGAATAACTAAAGTCAGTGAATGGCTGAGGTAGGTGCTCACAGATAAGCAAAGGGAGAAGGCTAACATGATCCCTATGGTAATAGACTAGAGTTGGAGACATCAATATGAACTCCTGTGTATATTTACTATCACCTGAAATTTAGATACAGATGGTTACATATAGAAATATTTACAGATATGTGTATATTCGATGTTTGGTATATGTGTATATACTTTATTGCTCTGTGAGCTGAGAGGGCCTATAGGAAAGGACACTACAGTAGTAACATTCATAGCTAGTGCACCCCCGCCCCCCCGCCCCTGCACCTATCTTATTTTGTAGTGCTAGAAAGTAAAGAAGTACAAAAACAAAAACGCCCCACAACAACAAAAGAAACAACTTCACACTGATAGGAGTTTGTCCGATGGCACCGCCGAAATAATTTTGGTAACAAAACAGGATTGGATTATACCCTGATACAGTTTGGGTGTTGCCCCTGTTCAAATTTCATGTCCAAATGCAATCATTAATATTGGAGTTGGGACCTGGTGGGAGGTGATTGGATCAAGGAGGCAGGTTTCTCATGAATGGTTTAGTACCATCCTCTTGGTACTGTCCTTTCGGTAGTGGGTTCTTACAAGATCTGGTCTTTTAGAAGTGTGTAGTACTCACTCCCCCTTCCTCCTGCCTTGGCCATGTAATGTGTCTGCTCCCCCTTCACCTTCCGCCATGATGGTAAGTTTTCTGAGGCCTCTTTAGAAGCCAATCAGATGCCAGCATCATGCTTCCTTCACAGCCTGCAGAACCGTGAGCCAATTAAATCTCTTTTCTTTATAAGTTACCTAGTCTCAGGTATTTCTCTGTAGCAATGTGAGAACAGAATACTATATACCTCAAAGTATAAAATAAATTGACATGAGTCTTTAACAATATTGTTTTTTATGAAAGAATAATCTTGCTGAAAAAGCTGATGAATACCACTTCAGCCTGGTGATCAAGGTCAATATCAGCAGTCATAAATCATGTTGATAGTATTATATGTACCATTGTTATGCTGAAATTATCTTTCTCTGTGACCTTTTATTCCCCAAAACCCATAACCTCTGTCTAATCCTCAGAAAAACATTAGACAAACCTCAATGAAAGGCATCTTACAACATAGCTGACCAATATTCCTCAAACTGTCAAGGTCATCAAAAATAAGGAAGCCTGAGAAACTGTCACAGCCAAGAGGAGCCCGAGGAGATAAAACAACTGAATGTAATGTAGAATCCTGGGTGGGATCTTGAAACAGAAAAAGGACATTAAGCCAAAACTAAGGAAAGCTTGAATAAAGTATAGGCATTTCAGGGAATAAAAATGTATCAATATTGGTTCATTAATTTTAACAAATGCACTATACTATTTAAGGTATTAATAATAAGGTTAATTGTTTGGGTGAGAACTCTCTGTATTATCTACCCAATATTTCTGTAAAACTAAAATTAGTCTAATGAGTAAAATCTCTAAATTTTTTTTAAAAAGTCTGATGTGTATTCTCCAAAGAAAATATACAAATAGCCAATGAGTGCGTGGAAAGTTTCTCAACATCATTTAGGCATTAGGGAAATGCAAATCAAAAACCATGATGAGATACCACAGCACACCCAGTAGGATGACTGTAAACAAAAGATAAACAAAAACAAGTGTTGGTGAGGGTATAGAGAAAGCAGAGCCCTTGTGCACTGCTACGAGGAATCTAAAATGGTTCAGCCACTTTGGAAAGCAGCTTGATAGCTCCTCAAAATTTTAAACGTGAGTTACCATATGACTCAACAATTCCATTCCCAGGCATTTGCCCAAGAAATTGAAAAGATATATTCACAAACATATTTGTGTAAAAATGTTCATAGCAGCCTTATTTGTAATAGCCATAAAAGTGAAAACAACCCAATGTCTGTAAGTGAATAGAAAAATGCAATGTGGTGTATTCACTCATACAATGGAACATTATTCAGCCATAAAAAAGAAGAAAGTACTGATATATGCTGCAATATGGATGAATCTTGAAAGCATTATGCTAAGTGAAAGAAGCCAGATACAAAATGCCACATATTATGTGATCCTATTTATACAAAACATCCAGAATATGCAAACCCTCAAAGAAAGAAAGTAGATTAGTGATGGCTGAGGAGATGGGGATGGGGATGGGCAGGTGATAGCTAAAGTGTACTGGATTTCTTTTTAGTGTTAACAAAAACGTTCTGGAATTAGGTAGTGGTAATGGTTGCACAAGCTTGTGAATATATTAAAAATCACTGAACTGTGCTTTAAATGGGGAACGTTTCTGGTATTGAAATTTTATCTTAATTTTGAAAACTCTGATGTACATTTGACACTTACAGCTCATCTCAATGCGGTGCTCACTATCCCCTGCAGCGCTTACATTCTGTGTTAGGTAATGCAGCTCTAGACTCTTGCTATTCAGATCAGAGTGTGTTTTACAAACCAGTAGCATCAGCGTCACCTGGAAGCTGGTTAGAAATGTGGAATCTCAGGCCCCAGCTGAGACCTACTGAATCAGAATCTGCATTTTAACAAGATCCTCAGGTGACTGCGATGCACTCTCAACTTTGAGAAGACCGACTGCGATAATGTCGCTGGCGGCTGACACTGCTGAGAAACTCTATGACTGCTCACAAAGAGAAATCATTCTTTTGTTAGACTAAATTATCTACCATTGTCCAATCAGCATTTCAATTCTTTTCCACTCACCTCTCACCCCACATGCCAGAATTCAATCTTGTTATTTTTCCCTAATTGCTCCTTAGACGTTGGTCCACTCCCGGGTGAGAGTACCAGTTTGGGATTGTTCCAAACTCAGGGTCACTGACTAAATTTAATGACAGCCTCTTTGTGACTGTAAATCTACCAGCGACGACAGTTTTGAAAACCATCCAACTTTGCTTACCCGGAGTTCTGTCTCCAGCAGGCAGGATGCTCTGGAAGAGCAGACACTTTATCCATAGTGTAGCCAACTGGGTTGAGCAAACTGGGGCCACTTGTGGGTCAGATGTTTTCTGTGTGAATGGAAGGAATGTGTGCTAATTTTACAAACAATTCCTGACATTCCGCATCTCTCTTCTTTTAATAATAATAATAAAAAAAAGCAGAGGTACCGAGTAAAAAACCACTTCTGTTTCTCAATTATATTTTAGTTTCACTTAGAACAAACTGTCCTGTGTTCCTTCAAGGGCATTCATTATTCATTAAACACCATTCTATAGCAGTTTAAAATACATTTTCGTATTATATTTACCAGGAAGTGATTGTATCTCGAAAGAACTCTCAACTCTAGTCCTTTTCCTGTTACTGCAGAGTAGGAAATTTCAAACAAACAA
The DNA here is from genome assembly GCF_000001405.40 of Homo sapiens. Lineage (NCBI taxonomy): Eukaryota > Metazoa > Chordata > Mammalia > Primates > Hominidae > Homo > Homo sapiens. The sequence goes on from NC_000020.11 coordinate 11,778,442, forward strand.
AACGTGATTGGTATTTATGGTGTTGGGAAGTTTCCTTTTTTAGTTGTGTGTTCTGAACTCACGTTCTTTATGTCACCAGAACTTTTGTGTCTTTTTTTTTAATCTGAGAAATACAGAATATTAAGACTATATTAATTATAGTTTTCATGAAAAACCTTGAAATCTACCCTGTCCTAATCCCCAATGTGTTCCTATGTATAAAATTGAAATATATCATGAGTACCATAAATATATTTATTCTTCATCCATATGCAGAGAGCTTCCTTTATACAGTGAACTTTGCTGAATGGAGTGGAGAATACAGAAATGCATGAGACATATGCTCTGCCTTCCAAAAGTATGCAGTATACTAAGAACATGTACATAATGTGGCAGAGCCGAAAATATGGGAGAAAATTCAAGGTATACAGAAAGTATTGTTCATGTTCTATGTGATAACAGTGAAGGAAGGGCAGGTCACTCTGGCATGGGAGAGGAAATGGATGGTTAAAGGAACTCCTGGGAGAAAGTTGCTTTTGAGCCAAAATTTCAGGGTGGGTGAGTAGAATTTAGAAAAATGGCAACCACGTTGAGACACAGCACTCTATGAAATGGGAAAAACAAGTTTTTAAAGAGTCATGGAAAAAGATAAATAAAATATTAATCAACTTCTGTGCTAGGAACAATTTTGATAATGTTTTTCCACAGGAGTTATTACCAGATCAGTTGTAATTGAGGACCAAAGAAGAGGAAAACAAAGGTGAATTGTAAGAAATAATTACTTCCTACTGTAACAGTTGGAAAAGAAGACAAACTTAGCAATTTTAATTTTAAGGAAATATTCTACCGCCAGGCACAGCGGCTCATGCCTGTAATCCAGCACTTTGGGAGGCCAAGGCAGGTGGATCACCTGAGGTCAGGAGTTCAAGATCAGCCTGGCCAACATGACAAAAACCCATCTCTACTAAAAATACAAAAATAAGCTGGGCGTGGTGACTGACGCCTGTAATCCCAGCTACTCGGGAGGCCGAGGCAGGAGAATCGCTTGAACCCGGGAAGCAGAGGTCACAGTGAGCCGAGATCGTGCCATTGCATGCAGCCTGAGTGATAGACCGAGTCTCCGTCTCAAAACAAAACAAAAAAAAACCAGTATTCTACCATTGAGCAATCTGCTGACCAATTAAATATGATTTCTCGGGTTTTCATTTATGTTTTGTGGTAGTCTCCTGAACTCTGTAGACAATAAATATTAATTAATTAAATTAGTATTAAGTAGCTATGGCTGTAATATATACTAATAAAACAGTTATAGTTTAAGAGAATTGCAAAATTGTTTTTTCTTTGTTCCTTAAAGTTTAAAAAAATTAAAAAGGAGAAGAAAAGTATTGGTGCACAGAAAAATTTGAAGGTACATCTTCTTATGTGTAAACCATGTTCTTACAAAAGTAAAAATAGTAATTTAGGGACATAGTTGTAATCTTTAGGTAACCATTAGAATCTTTTTTTTCCTTTTTTTCTTTTCTTTTCTTTTTTCTTTTTTTTTGAGATGGAGTTTTGTTCTGTTGCTCAGGCTGGAGTGCAATGGCATGATCTCGGCTCACTACAACCTCCACTTCCTGGGCTCAAGCCATTCTCCTGCCTCAGCCTCCCAAGTAACTAGGACTACAGACATGCACCACCACGCCCAGCTAATTTTTGTATTTTTAGTAGAGATGGGGTTTCACCATGTTGGCCAGGCTGGTCTCAGACTCCTGACCTCAGGTGATCTGCCTGCCTCGGCCTCCCAAAGTGCTAGGATTACAGGCATGAGCCACCATGCCCGGCCCCATTAGAATCTTAATAAGGGTACTGATACATTCACTGAAGAGCTTTCTAGAAATCTAAAGACCCTTATACATTCAGGAGAAATGAACTTTTAGCTAAGGAAGAATTCAGGAACTAAGATAAGCAAACACTTATTTGTATTTGTATATGCGTGGCTGTGATTTATATATATAAAGCAAGCATCTCTTTGTTTTTTTTCCTCAAAAAATAATGTATTGCAAAAATGTTTTGATTGTTTTCAAACCTCCAAATACATTTCTCTTTTTTCTTCATATAATGTTGGACATTATTTTTGGCAGATGATGCTGATAGCAGAAAATGTTTAGTTTAACCACTTGGGCAGCTGTGGGGTCTTTTTTCCTTTTCTTCCTCCTATTAATGAAAAAGCAGTTCCTTGCAGCAAAGAATGGGAGTGAAGTTAGCAATTAATTGACAATGTAAAAATCTTGAATAAAAATAAGTATCTGAGTAGGAAGAAAAAATGTCCTCAAAAATATATTTATGCATCTCACATAGACATAGCCTCTCTGCACCTGTTTTCAGAAGGGAAGAATTCCAGGTCATATACAATAAACTTCTCCTTTCAAATTGATTGTTTCTAAATGGTAGCTCAACATAACAGATCCTCACAGTCTGTATTTCTTTTTAGCAAAACACAAAACTCTGTATTGGTTTTGTTTTGCATGTACAGTCATAGCAACTTCAGAATATGTGTACATCTTTCATCCCAAAACTTTCATTATTAATCATAATGGTTAGCTCTCTCTCCCCTCAATCATTAACCCTGTCTGGTTAATATTGTTTTTTGTTGAAGCCATTAGTTATTTTATTAAGGTGTGTATGGGGCAGGGAGCAGAGGGGTGCATCCTCTCTGCTTAAGTAAATGGCAAGTTCAGCAATATTTTCAAGGTCACCCTCACTATGTTCATTTGGGGTAAGGATTGAAGTTTTTGCATTTGTGAAATGCTGCATGTGCAAAAAGAAATGGTGTCAGAAAGGAAACTACCTTATTTCTCTAAAACTTTGATGAGTTTGAAATGTCTGCCGTTAGCAGTTTGAAAGATCTTACCAACAAATGAGGAGTTCCAGGCTTTACTCTGAAACGTGCCTGCAGCACAGAACTTTTATATTTATGGAGCATGACCTCCAACTATAAATGATCACTCGTTTTTTAAAAAGCTATTTTGGGGTAAATGCCAATTGCTTGAGAAGTCAGGAATACGTTAGGCTCTGGATTCAATATTGTGCTAGCAATAGACAGGGATTTCACTTTCATCGGGACAGCCATCACTGTTGATCACCAATGGACCACTCGGGCTTTGTCACAAAGTGGTGATGACACCAACACATTATAACCTTCCAAAAACAATCAGAACTTGTTTTATCCAAAAGAACAATCATATCACTTGTATTCCATGTTCTTCTGGAAATGGATGAAAGAGCAAACTTCACAGTTATCTAAGTGGTAAAAATACAACTGAAGAAGTAAAGTGTCCACAATAGGATATTTTAAGTCCTTAGGGTATTACTTTTTTCTTTAAGGTGAAAGAATATTAAAGTTTGAAGGAAGCATCCTAATTTTAAAAATTGAAGAATTACCTTTGAAGGGAATTGAAACCTTTGTTCAACAAAACACAAAGTGTTCCGGAGCCTGTAGAAATCTTCAGAAGAGGTGTGCACCAGAAATCTACCTCAATTCCCCAGAGGCCTGCACCTCAAAGCGAACACTGTCATATTCTGAGCCGGCTTCCTCCAATGTTTTCTTTTTAATCCATATATATGCTTACATGTCTTTTTATGAAGTTGAAGAGATTTATTATGATATAATCACTTCCTTAGCAGCTTGGGACTACACTGATGAGCAAGCAAGATGGAAATAGGCCATTAGCATTTTAGTCCATGGGAATGTGGACTTTGTAGCACCCCATGAAGTGTGTATTCCCATTTTGTGTAGGAACGACAAAATGTCATTTGACAGAGTAGAAAATGCTAACCTAAGAGGGAAAAAATATTTGTTTTAAATTTTCAGATGAGTTAAGGTGGTTAGCTCATCCTAAAATAGACCACCTGAGGTGTTTCATTTGAAATTTCCTAAGTAACTGATTTTCTATTGTGCTCTTCTTTAGCTGCTAATCAAATAAAAGTGATTTTTCCAATGTCCTTGATTGATATGTGATGCAGTTCTTCAATGCTTCAAGGATGAAGTTTTACCTTAAAGGGAAAGGAAAAAGAACAACTTGATAACAGGAGCAAAAGATGTGTGTGTATATGCATGTGTGTGTGTGTCCCTATGAGCACACCTGTATGTGTGTGTTCACAAGCACATTCTCTACTTCAGTGAACTCAATAGTATAATCATATACTGGGGAAATTTTTGCTTGTTATTTCCCTGGTCGTTCAACTTCAAAATATTATTCTGTACAGCTCCCACATTGATCAAAAGGCTGATACTCAAACTGAAACAGGGAAAGTTCATTCAACAAATATTAAGTGCCTACTGAGTGCTGGTTTATTATAGGCACACATGGGCCATATCAGGGACCAAAAGCAGACAAAGACTCTGCTCTCATGAGGTTAGATTCTAGTGGAGGGAAGGGTAAAATATTTAAAAATAATAAATAATCGTCATCCTATATTGGAAGAAGGTAAGGGCTATAGAAAAAATGGAAAGTAAAGTATGATAAAGAAATCATTTGTTTGTTCGAGTTAAGGCCATTTAAATAGAAAACTCATATTTTAGCAAAAACCCAAAGAGGTTGAAAAAGGGAGACATACGGATATCTCGAGAAACAGTGGCCCAGGCAGAGAGAACCATCCATGGAAAGGCTCTTCTGCAGAAGCATGTCCAGTGTGTTTGAGGAACAGCACAGGCCAGTGAAAAGGGAGTGGAGAGTGAGGGGGAAGAGCCATAGGAGAGATATCACAGAGGTAGTGGGTTTGGAGCAAGTCCTGTTTTGTAGGGTCTTGTAGGTCACTTTAAGCCTTGCCTTTTACCCTGAAGGAAATGAGAGCCAGCAGAGTGATCTGCCTAACAAGAGGATTGCTCTGGCTGTGGTGTTGAGAATGAACTGTATGTAGCACAGGGAGGGGGACCAGTTAACAGGCTTTTGCACCAACCCAGACAAGGGATAATGGCAACTCAGACCAGAGTGATGACAGTGCAGGTGGAGAGAAGTGGTCAGATTCTAACTATATTTTGAATGTCAAGAAACAAAATTGATTCTCTGGTGGAATCGAGGTAGGGCATGTGAGAAAAACAGCAATCAAGGGCGCCTCCAAGGTTTTTGGCTGGGCAGTTGGAATGATAAAGTTGCCATCAAATGAGATAGAGCAGGCTGCAAAAAGGGCAGCTTTCAGGGAAAACAAAGGGTGGAGTTTTAGATATGTTGCGTTTGAGATGGCTTCAACATCTGAATAGAGATACTGACCACCTGGAGGCAGCAATTCAGATGTAAGACTTAATTTGTGCTCACCAGCTCAGTTTAGGTAGTGAAATGCAGAGACAGACGGAAGAGTGTTTTAGTTATCTCAGCCGCCAACTCTCAATAAAAATTACACTAAGAAATCGCTTGGGAAAGTTAAGACAGGTTTTTATACCAGATCTTTCATGTACAATCTGGGATAACCTTGATCAGTTTCTAACCTCTGCTAAATTCAGTAATCCCATTAATAAAATGGAGTATCTGAAGTCAGAATCCTAAGAAACAGAGCTTGAGATGGGGAATTTTGTGTGAACAATTTGTTAAATGTGCTCTCAGAAGAAAGGGAGTGAAGACAGCAGAAAACAGTTAGGAGAAGGTGCTAAGAAGGGCTGTGTGCTTTCAGCTAAAGTCAAACTTCTGCCTGATACTATGAATAGCTCTGGAGCTAGAATTACACTGCAGAGTTGGTCCCACCTTGAGACAAGGCAACCAACAGCATCTCTTACACAGGGCTGTAATAAATACCACTGTACTGTTGTGTAATATTTGGAGGAGTATTGTGACTGTCACACAGTAGGCCTTTTGTGAAAGTTTATGAACTTCCCTCACTACAGCTTTATGTAAATTCTAATTATTTGATGGGTTTCTTTCTTTCTCTCTTCATCAATGAATGATTTGCTGGATTGACTTCTAATTACATACAGTTCTATTGCCATTCCCTTCCATTAGAATTTCATTATAGAGATAATTATTCACATATTTTAAAACATAGCCCACCTCTTCAGTAATGAAGCTACAGGTATACTACTCTTTAACAGGCATGGCAAAAACTAAGGCTGGTAAAGTCCTCTCTCCACCAGTTGTGAGCAAAACACTTTCATTTCAGAATCAAGAATCTGCTGCATATCAAAAATATTTCGTTTACTTATGGGAATCCTTCCTCTCAGTAAAAAAAAAAAAAAAGGAAAACACAGGTAAAGAAAAATGGAGGAATGGATTCTAAAACCATTTTATGTTTATTGCTGATCTAGAAACCCAAGCATTTGTCCATTATATCAGAAAAGGACTCAGTGGGACTTGCTCACAGTCAAGAAGTAATTTGACAAGTAGAATCAGCCTTGATTCGTAAAATGTCATAATGCTGTAGATCAATGTACTTTGCCTCTTGTCCATTTGCTGGGGAAACAGGAGAATGTTGTGTGTTCTGGTTACCTGAGCTTGAGTGCATATCAGAAAAAGTATTTTTCTGCCCCAATCTTTGTTGTCAAAAATTATTTTAGGCCAGGTGCTGTGGATCACACCTGTAATGCCAGCACTTGGGGAGGCCAAGTTAGGTGGATTGCCTGAACTCAGGAGTTCGAGACCAGCTTGGGCAAAATGGTGAAACCACATCTCTGCCAAAAGTGCAAAAAATTAACTTGGGCGCGGTGGCACACGCTTGTGGTCCTAGCTACTCAGGCGTCTGAGGTGGGAGGATTACTTGAGCCTGGGAGACAGAGGTTGCAGTGAGCCAAGATCATGCCACTGCACTCCAACCTGGTTGACAGAGTCAGAACTTGTGTCCAAAAAAAAAAAAAAAATCATTCTAAAGTCACCCTAAAGTGTGTGTCTTTGTATATCTGCAGATGGACACTTAAAATACTCATACTCTCAGCCCTAAGGTGATCCTTGGTGGTGTGTGAGCCAAGCATAGCCCCAACATCCAGTCACCTCCAGCCTCATCCGTTTACCCTGAGGGCCACAGAGATATCATTGCTTTTGCTGTGAGCCAAAGCAGCTCAAAGGAAGGAAGCACCGAGCAAGCAATCTGAGTGAAGGAGATGTAAGAGACTGGGTTGAACGTGTCTTGACCCAGTGTCTTACATTGGTTTCCTCATCTGTAAAAATGTAAAAGTATCTACTTCTAAAATACACCACAACAAAGAGAAGAAATGTATGCTTTGTGGCCAAAATGAAACCAAAAAACCCCCCAGAATATCTTGGGTAAGAGGATGAGGGATTGATCATGTACCCCAGTGTTATTCATTGCTATAAGGTTTTTCCTGTGATTAAGCAGAAACCAGCTCCTGAAAAGCATTACTGAAACAACTACAACTGGAAAATTTCCTAAGCAAATCTGATAGACCAGCTTGAAGCCAGTGGACAACAACCTTGTGGTCCTGCCATAGCTCTAGTTAGACAGAGGACCAGTTTTATAAGCACTCATTATTGATGAATGGCTGCAGACCTTAAGCCAATTTGAGCCCCTTTGTGGAGACTGCACACAAATTGTCTTTGTGCCCTGTAGTTCGCCTTTTGACCTAAAGAGCTGAATTCCACCTCATTTTAATACTAAAACCCCACCCCAAAGTGAACATAGGGTGTATGTAACACATATGCTTACCCAGTGAGCAAATAAGTGCCTGACTTTCCCAGTGAATATTCATAGAATTTCTGCAACACTGCTCAATATGTATGTAAGACTGTGTAAGTGAAACTGAGGAGTTAATTTGATCAGGTCTGTGTGGCCTGCTTGCTTGTGGTTGCTTGCTTTTTAATACCTTTTTAAAATTCCTTTTTCCATGAAGCTGAAGGTTGCAGTAGCTGAAGGCCTTCCTGCTGAACACAGCAACTTAACCTTCACTGGCTACGTCATAGATAACGTGTATAGGTCACCGTGGTACTTGTCACTTCAATTGTTATTTAGGAACTTGGGCCAGCTCCTGTCCAGTTCAAACCAATTGAGGCCATGGATCCTTCAACTGGGCCTGCACAAGTGCTTGAAAGGTGGCCTTTTGACATGAGAGGGCCAAAAGCTCCACCCTCAGATCATGCTAACTTGTCCATTTTCTACATGTACATCCTGTGAAATGCCATGAACCTCGACTACACTTGTGAAAAACAAACCTGTTATTTCATTTTTCCCCACTGCCAATCACTTTTCCCATGCCTTAGGCCTCCACACTTCCCTAACCCATAAATATCTCTGAGACTTACCTTCAGAGAGGCGGATTTTTGAGAGCTGTTCTCCCACCTCCTTTCTTGGCAGTCTTGTGAATAAATCTTCTTTCTTTTACAAAACTTATGTCACAGTAATTGATTTACCGTGCACCAGCAGGACAGATCTGAACCTGGCTGGTAACATAAGGAATATAGAGCAGCTCCCCCCTCCCCCTTCTGAGCCCTTTTGGACTTCCCTGAAAGCAGTGTTTCCCCATCCTAGGATTGTTTCTCCCTCTGAAAATAAAGTCTTCTCCTTTCCTTCCTCCATGATCCTCATGGTCTTTAGTTAACACTATCCAGGACATTGCTGTGAGAACTAAATCAGTCACTATATACAAATCACTTAGAGTGATGATATATAAGTGTGATGATACTGTGACATATATACAGTTGGCCCCCCGTATCTGTGGGTTCCACACTCATGGATTCAAACAGCCCTGGATAGAAAATATTCCAAAAAATGGATGGTTGCATCTGTACTGAACATGTACAGACTTGGTTTCTTGTCATCATTCTCTCAAAAACACAGTATAACAACTATACATAGCACTTGTATTAGGTATTATAAATAATCTAGAGATGATTTCAAGTATACAAGAGGATGTGCCTAAGTTATATGCAAATACCATGCCATTTTATATTAGACTCATGAGCATCTGTGGATTTTGGTATGAAGGAGGGTATCCTAGAAGCAATTCCCCATGGATACAGAGAGAGATAGAGACAACTGTATTTGCTCTTCATCCTAGTTTTCTGAAATATAGCTTCCAAAATCCTCAGAATTTCCAGAATAATGAATGTCTTTTTATATGCTAATGAGGTGACTGGGGACAGCTGGTCCCCAGAGAGCCTCAGGATGGGGGTTGGTCACCAGAAAGACCAAGGCAGCCACACCCTCCAATCTCGGGGAAGCAGAGAGGGGCTGAAGGTTAAGCTGATCACCAATGGCCAATGATTTAATTAATATGCCTACATAAAGACACTTCCATTCAAAAAACCAACAAGACTGGGTTTTGGGGCCTTCCAGACAGCCGAACACGTGGAGGTCCAGGAGGGTGGCACCCCCAGAGAGTGCATGGAAGCTTCATGCCCCTTCCCACCTTCTCTGCCCTGTGCATCTCTTCATCTGTATCCTTTGTAATATCCTTTGTGATAATCTGGCAAATGCAAGTAAGTGTTCTATGAGCCATCCTAGCAAATTAATACAACTGGGAGGGTCATGGGAACCCTAACTTACATCCAGTTAGTCAGAAGTTCTGGAAGCTGGGAATTGCAACTGATGTCTGAAGTGGGAGGCAGTCTTGTGGGACTGAGCCCTATGGGATCTGACACGATTTCCAGGTAGATAGCGTCAGAATTGAATTGAATTAGAGGAGATTCAGCTGATATCTGCTGCAGAAAAGAATTGCTTGCTTGGTGTGTAGGGAGAAACCCTCATACATTTGCTCATAGAAGTGTTCTGTGTTGTGTTGTGAAAGTTTAGGAGAAACTGAGTTTGCTTTTTCCTATATCCTAGGAATAACAATTCAGTATTATTCTTACCAAGTAAGAATTATAACAAACTTCTTAGCATGTAATAGGAATTTTATATGGGATCTGTTGTAAAAATGGTTAACCCCCAGATTAAATATTTGGTGAAAGAAGATCTATATAGAAGAAGAAGAAGAAATGAAACAGCACACTACTATTGAATATTTCATACTCAATACCACATTCAATATCTTTGTTAATTTTTTAGAGATAGGATCTTTCTATGTTGCCCAGGTTGGAGTGCAGTGACTATTCACAGATGAGATCATTGCACTCTACAGCCTTGAATGTATGGCCTCAAGTGAGCCTCCTGAGTAGCTGGGATGCTCACCACCATATTTAATATTTTAAACAGCACTGGGACGGAGATGTTGTTGTTTCCATTTTACAGATATAGAAATTGAAGCGTGGAGAGATGACTTCATACGTCTTCATACCTCTCACAAAACAGATCTCTGTACTTGGCTGGAAATATGCTCCACACCATGTAAATATAACACTGTATGTTTTCAGATCACTGACTGTCTTGTTTTTGTAGGGAATGAGGGAAAACGTACCTTTGGTCTGCTGTAGTTTCACTGAAAAATCAATTGACAAAAGGCAGACTAATAGGCAAAAATGCATACAAATTTATTATTAATATGCACAAGAGTCTTATAAAATATGAGATCTCAAGGAAATGGCTAGATGGTTGATGGTTTTACACAATCTTGAGGTTACAGAGAGAATGAGGACTCAGAGCATGGCCAGAAGCAGGTTATGGTGGTAAATTCAGTTATGGTGGTGAAACAAGTTACAGGAGGAAGAGAAGAGCAGGCCTGGCTAGCGAAGGGGGCCTTGTTACACAGAGGAAACCTCACAGGCAGCAGCCTTCAGAGAGATAGATGGCAAATGTTTCTTTTAGACCTTTAAAGATGTCAGACACTCAGTTAACCTTTCCTAGATCTGGACAAGGAAGAGCCTCAGAGAAAGCCATGCTGCATCAATGCAGATTTGCTTTACAGATGCAAATCTTCCCCACAAAGATAGCTTCTCAGCTAATCTTGTATTTCCAGCCCTCTGAGAGGTAATCTTAAAATATGTCAAAGCAGAATATTTTGGGGTGAAATATTTTGGTTTCCCTCAGTCCCCTTTTCACAAATTTTGGGAATTTACTGGCCACCCTTATCAACTGTACTTTGGCCATGACTTAAGGTGTCCTTGGAATAACCTGTTGGCTCCCCATTAACCTTGTGGACAAGGGAAGTGTCAATTCCTGGAGAATGGCTACAGGGCAGACCAAACCAAAGGTATTTATACTCTAAGAGAGCACACTCTTAACTACTCTTACATAATAAAGATGGTCAGTGATTACAGGATTCTTGCCTTCATTCAGCCGCTCAACAAACTTTTGAAAGTTGGGAGTGTGCAAGGTCCTTATGACAGGTGTTTTACCTCAAGAAAAACAAAAAAGAATATTGATTGAAGGATACTGAAAAGTTCCCAATATTGAAGCTTTAAAAGAACAGGCTTCAAGAATGCAGTGAACCTCAGCTTCAATACATATCCTCCTTACGTGGACCTGCTAGATTGAATTTTCTAAAGAAAGAGTCTCATTGTCACAGCCTGAGTTTTATTCTGGTTCCCTGACCCATGGTTTGGGTTAAGGGTAGAGGAGCATGCCAAAGGGTGAGCAAACAGCTATTATCAGGGAAAGAAAAGGGGAAGAGATGCTGTGTTTAGGTATCATTTGAAACACCACTGTTCATACTAGAATACAAGCCGATAAAATATTATCTATCTTCAAGAAGGTTTTAGACTGACAGAAAGCAAACATGCATACAACATATAGATGTAAAATATTCATCATTGCAAAAGAATCTCCAATTCTCCACCCTTCTCTGAACCACGTTAATTGTAGTGTGGTTTTACAATTCCTCCCACTAAGAAGTAGAACCCATATCTTACTCCTTGCACCTGGTCTGCCTTGTGATTTACTTCAACTAATAGAAGGTGGAAGTTTCAAGCCCAGGCCTCCAGCAGCTTTGCACACTTAGGCTCTCTATCAGAAGCCTGCCCAGCTGTCATGTGAGCAAGCTTAGCCTAACCTGTTAGACCACAGAGACCACATGGAAGGCAGCCCACTTGTCTCCTGACTATTCTAAACCACCTAAAACCTGCTGGGTCCAAAACATGTGAGAGAGCCCCAAATAAGGAGGAGAACCAGCTCCCAATCTGCAGCTGACATCAAACACATCTGCAAGCCCAGATGAGAGAGAACCACCTAGCCGATCTATAGTGTCATGACCAATGATTCATTTTTATTATTTTAAGCCACTGAGTTTTGGGGTGTTGGTTATGCTGTGGTAGCTAATTGACACAATATGTTTATGTAGTTGAAATCCAAGAGGGTATTAGATGGCAATTTGAAAAGGGCTGAACTAAATTTTACAGGAATTCAGAGAAAGAGTTGGCTTCTTGGTTAGAAAAACAGGAATAAACATTACCTTCCTCATCCTCCTCTCATAAATGAATGAAATTTCAACTTAGCTTTGAAGGTTAAGTGGAATTTCCTTAGCTAAAAATAAAAAGGGAGCATAACATCTTTATTTATTTATTTATTTATTTGTTTATTTATTTATTTATTTTTGAGATGGAGTCTTGCTCTGTCGCCCAGGCTGGAGTGCAGTGGCACGATCTCGGCTCACTGCAAGCTCCGCCTCCCGGGTTCACGCCATTCTCCTGCCTCAGCCTCTTGAGTAGCTGGGACTACAGGCGCCCGCCACCATGCCCGGCTAATTTTTTGTATTTTTAGTAGAGACGGGGTTTCACCGTGTTATCCAGGATGGTCTCGATCTCCTGACCTTGTGATCCACTCGCCTTGGCCTCCCAAAGTGCTGGGATTACAGGCTTGAGCCACTGCACCAGGCCAACATCTTTATTTTTAATGAATATTTCTTCATTTGAAGTTTGCAATGACTTTCTTATGTATTTCATATGTTAAAGATAAATTACCTGCCTCTGTGACTAAGAATAAATTATATAAATACATAAATTTCTCGCTCTCACATGCCAGTGATCAAGACCAGAGTTACAGTTTTGGAAAGACAATTACATTTGCAGTGAACAGAATAACAGTCTACAGCAAACATGTACAATCACCCCAGCACCTATTGGATGAAAACACACATATTTTATTCATAAAGGTCAACTAATGGGATGCGTTACATTACAGAGCATAAACAGCACAGGCCTCATCTTGAAGCATGCCACAGGCTTTCATCTCCTCCAGATCAGTCAGCTATTTGTTGCAGATTACCCCAAGAGGTGAGGGCTCTATCCCCTCAGGCAGTTCTGGGTGAGGTGGCTCCTACAGACCAAGGGGAATTCTCTGGAGGAGGAAGCCATGAGCCAACTCTCAGGGCAGCTGGAGGGAGAACACACTGGCCCGGCAAAGGGGACCTGGGTGGGGACCAACAGCATCTTCTATGGTTTTATAATCCAGCCTGAAATATCTGGCTGTCCCTCACTCCTGCTCTTCTTTCCAAGTGAGACACAGTAGGAGCAAGGCTTGGCTTCAGCTCACCCCCGACTAGAGCATTTTTTTTTACGCATTTCCACTGGTCACAAAACTCACATCACTATTTCACTGACGCCACAGCCATTAACAGTCATGCAAAGAAAATAGCCATTCTATATTGTTCTCCTGTACTTGCGTAATGTTTAACCATGCCTTTTACTTGAAGAATTCCAGAAACTAGTCTTAAGAGATCCAAAATTGAACAAAGGTTGTGGAGTGTCCCACCTTGAGAAGGAATTCTGAACAACTGATTTATAGCCTTGTTGCTGCAGGCAAGACCAGCATGCGGCCCATCACTAAAGATAACCATCGCAACCAGATACGCTGCCCTTATACCCTACCCCATACAGGCTTTGCCCAGCCCAGTCTGCATACCTAATCTCTGATGTCAATTCCTGTGCTTTGCCTAATAAAAAAAATCCCTACCTACTGACTCTTTTCAGGGAGCCAGCCTGAAAATCCTTGTGTCTCTGCTGTCTCCCTTGTCCCGCAACAGAGACCTATGTGGGAAATCTACTTGATGCCCCGTGTTAATTTCCATTACATGAGGAGTGTAAGACCCTGTGGTCTGTAACACAAGCCCTCTATCAATGATCAGTGGTCAGTGAACAGCACAAACGCTTTCACAGTGCTGACTTTGCAGAGTCTGTTCCCTCAGGCTGGACTCCCCATTCCTCTTTTTCTCTTTGAAAGCTCTACTTTATTCTCTACAACCAACCCCAATTGTTGCGCTCTCACTCAAGTCTCCTTTGATCCCTGGAAAGGATCAATTACTCATTTTTTTCTATGGTTTCAAGGCCTTTTATATAATCCACTCTTACGGTACAGACATCATTTTAGATATGTTAAATGAGTTGACTTCCTGGCTAGATTATTAGTTCCATGAGGACAGGGATTACATGTGGCTTTTTTTCTCTATCCCCAGCATTTACAACAGTGCCTGGAGTACAGGAGATGCCCTGTGACTGATTGATGAATAAATCGATGCCTACATGAGAACAATGTTCTTCTTTGTGGAAGAACAAAGTAATTCATTCAGATTCTGCTTTCTATTTAAACTAAAGAATCCTGCTGAGCTGTGTCCCTGAAATAGCCTGTGTAAGCACCCTGTTTACTCATAACCTGGGAGGCTTTTAGCTTTTAGCTAAAATTGTCCATGTCAGTGGCATAGGGCATGCACACAATTAAAAGAGGACAATAAAACGTCCTTGTTCAAGCAAATGCTGATTCAATTATTGGGGCTCCCTGGCATTAGCCACTGGATTCAATTATCTCCAAGAGCAAAAGCTGGAAATCAAGGGGTTGAAAGAAGGCACTGACATTTAAGCATAGAGATCAGACTCACCTTGACCTCTCATCTTTTTGGATATAGTGATCATATAGAACGTGATGATCCTCTCATCAACTTTTGGACCAGCTTTCCCCCGTTATTCCCCTCCCATCCATTATAAAAGAGACCTAAAATTTCTGATAACTTTTATCGAAATATAATCTACATACCAACAGTGCAAGAATTATAATGGATTTATAAGTAAATTATAGATTAATTTTTTTAAGTGAGCACACCCATATAACTAACACCCTTATCAATAAGTAGAACATTAAGCAGTTCAGGAACTTGCTTCATTTCCTTCCTGTCACTTCCCTCCCAAGCACTACCAGAATCTAGTGTCTAACATCGTTAAACAGATTAGGGAATAAGGAGACTCATACAAGGGTGATTTTTTTTTTCTTCTTAGAACTTGTATTATTTTAAATTGACAAATCATAATTGTACGCATTTATGGAGTTCAATGTGATGTTTTGACAAATGTTTATAATAATGTGATTCATTCAAGCTAATTAACGTATCTATTGTCTCACTTGACATTTTTTGGGGTGATACATTTGAAATTTACTCTCTTGGTTATTTTGAAATTTATAATATATTATTATTGACTATAGTCAAACAAAAACCCCAAAACATAACAAAATGTTGAGACTTCTAAGTCTAATAAGGTATGGAGGATGCAACGGAAGGCTTCTCCCAGGTGGGCAAGCCACCTAGCGATCCTGTGAGGTGTCATGGCAACATGTGGTAATATCTTTACCAGATGATGGATGCCTGCTTTTTTTTGTTTATGCTGTGATGTGAATGTGTGTGTGTGTGTGTGTGTGTGTGTGTGTTCTAACCATGTATTAAGAGAACAGAAATTTTTATTATCCGTGTCTTTATTTGAAAACCACTTGGCAAAGAGACATCTGGGGAAACGCGGCTCTATCTTTCAAAAGCAAATTTCCATTTTTACACATAGAAAAGAGATTTCGTGTGTGTGTGTGTGTGTGTGTGTGTGTGATTTGGTTTGCAATGGGAGCTCTCCAAGGCCCCTTTCTTATTTCATGTTTTAAAATGCTGTGATTCTACATCTCATCAAATATAATAGAAAAGTTCAAGTTTAATATATCTTACAAAAATTGCCTTCCTGTAGATTATGCCCTTCAGCTATCATTTTAAATTGTAATTTGCAATTTTGAAATTCTCCCATAAAAGAAGATGCTTTCTTTAGTCAAAATAGAAGTAACTTAATTTTTATTGTCTGGCTAAATTGATCCACTTTTCTTTTCTTTTGTTTGATGGACTTGTCATGAAATTGTAGAGGTGCACTGTTTTCTAAGGAAATGAATATATTCTTTGGGTCTCAGTGAGTGACTCTAAAATGCACTTATGGTAAAATAGCTATAATTCTGTTATAGTTTTATTCTTGAATCCAGTTTTTAAAGGACAATAAGTATTAATTAGTTCCAGTGGCCTTCAATGCAACTAAACATATATTTTGGAGTGTGTAATAAGTGTGATACACTGCAGACACTGAGATAAGGTAAGAAGGCACAGGGTCTCTTCCCTTAAAGAGTTCACAGAGGAGCAGGGTTAGGGAAAATAAGGGGTCTGGTGGGGTTGTCTTATGATAGATTAAATGAGTACTTTGGAGATTGCGTAAGTTGCCTTGCTGCATGCCTGTTAACTTAGTTCAATATCAGTGCTCGAAAACTACATTGAAAGAGTGGATGGCCTAGTGGTAGACACCTGGGGACAATTTTGTTTCATCCACATCTTTAGTGAGTTCTAGAAAACTTGAAAACTGTGTGCCTTTCATCTGCACTTTTCTCAGATCGCCTCTCCTTCCTGGATGGATGTGAAAATCATATGGAATTAAAAGGCCAAAACTCTTCCTGTGATATTGCAAAGTCCTTGTAAAAATACTTTTAAGTGGTATTTAAATAGCAACTTTAAAGGTAACAAAACTACGTATGATTGAAAGAAAAGTAAGACAGATAGAAAACAGATAGGTCAATGTAAATCATGTGCGAAAAAATTAAATGGAGAAGAGAAAGGCACTTAAACACAGTTCACATCATTCATTTTAAAATTCATCCAAGAGTAGTTACAACAGCTTGGGAATCTCTGTGGTTACTCTCTAGAAACAATATCTTGAAACTTGAAACTTATCTTGAAACAATATCTACTGATAACACAGCGGACTGAAGGACAATGACAAAATACCGTAAGGCACACAAAATAGCCACACCCAAATCTGAGAATTATTGCTATGTTCCCATATGAATGTCCTCAGGCTGCCATAACAAAATACCACAGACCAGGTTAAACACTGACATTTATTTTCTCACAGTCCGGAGGCTGGAAGTCCAAGTTCAAGGTGCCAGTACAGTTGGTTTTTGGTAAGCGCTATTTTCCTGGCTTGCAAAGAGGCATCGTCTCATTGTGTCCTTATATGGTCTTATCTCTGTGCATGTGCAGAGAGAGGAAGAGAGAGAGAGAACGCTGATATTTCTTCTTTTATTTATTCGGACCTCAGTCCTATTGGATTAGGGCATCACCTTTATCACCTCATTTAACCTGAATTAGCTCCTTACAGGGCCTATTTCCAAATACGTCCCATTGGGAATTCGGACTTCAACATATGAATTCACGGAAGACAGAACTCAGTCTATTAACAGTAGGCCTCATTATCATTCTCAGTACTAAAGTTCTAACATCTTAGAAAATCAACTTCATAAATTAGCTAAGGTGTCTGGGCCCAGATCCTTGAGAAAGAAAATTTTCGATAAAAATTGTTAATCCAAAAAATTAGCCCCTCTCATGTATCAGCATGATCTTGATTGGAATGGGAACGTCCTGCCGGCTAATTTGTTGAGCAATTCTGCACTTATTCTATCTGGCAGGAAATGGTTTAATTTATATTTAAACACAATTGGCCTCCGCTGCCTTCTCCTCCTGCTTCTCCTCCTCCTCTTCGTCCTCCTCTTTCTTCTTCATCAAATCCACAAGTTTCACCCAAATCGTTTCAACACTAACCATCTTTTCACTGGAACAATTCCAGCTTCAACAATGCTTTTCTCTCTAAAATGAAGCCTCACATAGGCAATTATCAGCATTTCAGGTTTTGAAAGCGACTTTCTTTCCCCAACTTGGGTAAATGAACAGGAAGCAGTTGTCACTTCAGCTACCATACTGTAAATTATTACGTGAATAGCCTTATGAGTCAAGTTTCTTTTGCACTCTTTGTGCCCTTTGCATGCAGGCATTTTTTTTTTCCATTCTCCCAGGTTGCTCATTGTGATTGTGTAGGACCCATTAACATGTTAACAGTAAAAATGCCTTTTATCATTTATTAATATTTGCCTTTTTCTTTGAAGTTTGTTGTTGTTGCTGTATTGGCCTTTTCTACTTACTCAAAATTAGTATGCAGACATTTTGAGGGTCTAACTAAGAAATACGCTTCTACAGATGGCATGAGACAGGGTGAACTGAAATGAGAATTGTATTTTGGATGAAGAAGATCTGAGTTTCAATTTTGATTCTGCCAAATACTATGTGTGTGTTCTTGGGAAAGTTGCTCCACCTTTTTTGCCTTACTTTTTAATCTATTAAATGGAGAGAGTGAAAACAACCTCACAGAATTGCTTTAAGCACCATAGACAAGAATATATTGCATTGCTGGGCATGTAGGGGGTGCTTAATAAATGGAGACTATTACAATGTCTTCAATCCTCATTAGTTTACAGACATTAAAGCAGTCGTATTCACTGCAATTTTCCTGATTGGAGCATAACACCAAGGGGGCAAATGTAGGTCCTCAAGTCCCTTCCTCAAGCTTCACACAATTATTTCCAGGATTCCTAAGGGGTAGGTCTCAAACTCACACATCACTGCTTTGGTTTTTGATAATCCTTCTAGTTGAGGGCCTCTACCTGAGAGCAGCTGCTGCATTGTCCATTGCAATTCAGTGCCAACTTTGCTGGGGGAATGTCAAAGATGAACAACACAGGGCTCTAGTTAAAGTGGTAAAGACAGATTTTAATCAATAAGAAGAGTTGCAATAGAGAAAAGAGTGCAGCATGTACTGAACTCAACTTCCATTTGTTCAGATGTGAATGCATGTTTTAAAGAGAGAGTAAGGGAATATGGAGGGGGGAAATGGTGGTGGAGGGGAGTAGTAGAGTCAGAGAAGTGAAAAATTACAAAGGGTTAGTCAGTTTAAATGCCATTAGGCCAGCTGTGTCTGCCAGCTAGCAATTAATCAAAGTTAGGATTCTATCTTCCCACTGAGACTGGAAGTCAGAGGCCCTATCCTTGGGTGTCAGCCACAACAAACAGTGAATCTTCTTTGGCAGCCTTGAGTTTTCTCAGGCAGTCACTTTAAAGAGGGGTAGGGTCATTTAGGGATGTGGCCTTAGCTGTTAGAAACTGTGCTAGTGTTTGCTCACATTTATAAGCCAAGGTTAGACCTAGTTGAGAGGAGGGCTCAAAAGAGCCTCACTAGAGTTTGGTAAAGGAATCTTTGGGTCGTCCTCCTTGAGCTTCCAAGGCTTCAAACCCTGGGGCCACTCAGCATTCCCTGGAGCCTCCGAAGCCTGCAGATGGAGGCCATGCTCTGTTCCCAAACCTGGGCCCCTGAACACATGTGCAGGGCACCTTAGTCAAGAGAATGACTTGGCCTGCCCCTTCTACCTTGGCATCCTTGTAAAAAGCCACTTTTTTTGCTTTTTTCCAATCAAAAATAAAATAAAAACCCATCATGGAGATTGGCATCTGGCAGCATGTCCCCTGATTTTGTCAAACTTGCTTCTTCATGTCCAAATGCCAGTTTCAGCCTAAAGTGGGTCTTCCATTTCATTGATAAATATAGGTATTCAGCCTTCTCTTATTTACTCTTTAAGACTACTAGATCTATCCCCCAGAGATTTTAGGTCAATTGATCATAGATTATTAAGAGCTGCTGTTATTTTAGGTAATTTTTATTCTTTGAAAAATTAGAATATTCTCTTTCTACATTCTGCTCCAGGACATGGATAGCCACCTCCCACAAGAGTCTCTCCCCACAGGATTCACTAGTCCGGTTCACACTTCCCTATTCCATGTAGACTGGGGGTTGTTTTCCAATTAGAAGATGTAGGTAAAATGTCATTGTCAGGAGGCTCCCAATTTCCTCCTATGTATCTCACTTAGAATCAGAATATGCTCTCATTGGCAGCTTCACTATGAACAGCCACAGTCCCCAGAAGTACAGCTTACAAACTAAAATGGAAAGGATACTTTTTTCTACTCAATTAGGTTTTTAAGGGGAAAATAACTTTTTTTTTTTAACTTAGAAATGTTAAATTGAAGAAGGAAGGGACCCTAAGTATGAGTTAATACCTTGGTTATTACGCTGTTTGTCTCCATTCACTGTTTAGAACTAGCCCTCCTTTTATACCCAGGTTTGAGTAGAATGTATTTGTCTGCAGCATGCTACCTTAGAGTTTAAAGCCCTCTGCACGGCTGTACTTACTGTGTTAAATCTGTGAAAATACATTTTAAATGCTTTTCTCAGCTATCAATGGCTTCATAGCATTGTAGCTTCAAATAATCTATTCACTGTGCTCCAAATGGAAGCAGAAGAGAGAAGCCACTCTTGGGGAGGACAAAAGAAAAGGATAATAATAGCTAACACTCATAACTTACATGCTTATCATGTATATTTACCTGCATATGCCCAAAATTATATATTTACCTATATATGCCCAAAACTCTTCTAAGCACTTTATATTCATTAAGCCATTTATTAAGTAAACTAAGCACAAGGATTAACAGCCTGAGTATTTTACTCTGAGATATCTGAGTTTAGATTTTCTAGCTGAAACAGTGGAATGAGGACCTTGGCAAACCCTCTTCCCTATAAAATAATAAAAATACAAGCAAAAAAAAATCACATACAATCATTTCTTTAAAACAGTGAGTCTGTGTCATTTTCACTTGGGACTATTCCCATCCCACCGCCATTCCCAGCTCAGTGGCCAGGTGACTATAAAATGCCTGCAGCCTGGCAGCCAACAGAGAAAACTGACCTCTTTGGAGCTCCATTAAAAGCTGCAGCTCCAGAGGATAGTCAATATGTTGATCAAATTAGCTGCTCTCCAGTAAATCCCCATTCTAAGGCAGGTTGTTTTTTCTATTTGATTTGACTTGAATCTCAGATCAGATAAAAAAAAAGTACTATCCTGAGGGCATGAATGAAAACAATAGCAATCTCCTGGTAACACTGTCACATAACAGCTGCCTAAGGCTGTAATTTCACTGGGGGCAAACAGAACCCTGGACAAAAATGTAAAAGGATGACTTAGAGAACTAGATGACCATAGGGAACTTTAAAAAGCTCTGACATATTTCTGAGACTCTAGAAGGGATGTGTGCCTGTGCAGGGTTATGCACATGAGTAGGGCGTGCCCAGGAAAGACCTGGGAAAGGTGAAAGCTCCAAACACTCAGCTCTTATTGACCTTGAAGTCATGCATAAGCAGGAGGTGAAAGCTAAAGCCGACTCCTATGCTGCCTGAAGATTGAAGGTGTGTCTTTGCATAGAGAGCTCCATGACTCCAGGCAGTTAAGGAAACCTGACAGATCAGTGGCTAATCCCTAAGTGTACTGACCCAGGAGTGAACTCTAACCCAGTCTTAAAACTGAAAATAACACTTAAATTAAACAAACAAACAAAAAATGCTAGTAAGGAAGTCATGGGCTGCATACTGCAGGGAATATAGAATCTAGAGGATTCCTCTAGGAAAGCTGATGACAAATAAGTAACAACAACAAAATGCAAAGTGGAAACAACCATTTTGTTAAGTGGGGTGAGGGGCAAAGGAGAGAAGTCTGATACCAGAGTTGCTACTATGTTATCTACAATGTCTCAATTTCAGCAACAAATTATGAGACATGCAAAGAAAGAGGAAGGTATGGCCCATATAAAAGAAGACAAGCAGCCAATAGAAAATGTCCCCAAGTAATTCAGATGTTGGCTTAACAGTTAAGGACTTTTTAAGTTAGCTAGTATAAATATAGTCAAAGAGCTAAATTATGTCTAAACAATTAAAGAAAATTTTGATGATGTTTCATTGAATAGAGATAGGATTATAGAAAGAATTCAAAAAATTCTTGAGTGGGGAAGTTCAATAATTGAAATGAAATATTGACTGGAGAGGCTCAACAGCAAATTTGACCTGGCAGAAGAATCAGTGAACATGAAGATTGGCCAGTTGAGATTATCCAGGTTGAGAAAAACAGTTTGGCAGTTCCTCAAAACTCAAACATAGAGTTATTATATGACATAACAATTTCACTCCTAGGTATAAACCCAAGTGAATTGAAAACATACATCTACAGGAAAATTTGTACATAAATGTTTATTGCACCATTATTTACAATAGCCAAAAAGTGGAAATAATCCAAATGTCCATCAATTTATAAATTGATTTTTTAAATGTTATATATCCACACAATGGAATATTATTCAACTATTAAAAAAATTAAGTAATGACACTGCCACCATATGGATCAACCATATGCTTAAAAGCACTGTGCCGGCTGGGTGTGATGGCTTACGCCTGTAATCCCAGCATTTTGGGAGGCCCAGGCAGGCAAATAACGAGGTCAGGAGATCTAGACCATCCTGGCTAACACGGTGAAACCCCGTCTCTACTAAAAATACAAAGAATTAGCCGGGCGTGGTGGCAGGAACCTGTAGTCCCAGCTGCTCTGGAGGTTGAGGCAGGAGAATGGCGTGAACCCGAGAGGCGGAGATTGCGGTGAGCCGAGATCGCACCACTGCACTCCAGCCTGGGAGACAGAGTGAGATTCCGTCTAAGAAAAACAAAACAAAACAAAAAAAACACTGTGCTAAGTGAAGAAGCCAGTCACAAAAGACCACATATGTATGATTCCATTTATATAAAATATCCAGAAT
Organism: Homo sapiens; assembly: GCF_000001405.40. Taxonomy (NCBI): domain Eukaryota; kingdom Metazoa; phylum Chordata; class Mammalia; order Primates; family Hominidae; genus Homo; species Homo sapiens. The sequence continues at coordinate 11,801,015 of NC_000020.11, forward strand.
AAGCAAATCCATAGAGACAGAAGGTAGATTAGTAGTTGCCTAGGACTGGAAGGGAGGATGGAATGGGATTTATTGCTAATGGGTGTGGGGTTTCTTTTTGGGGTGATAAAAGTGTTCAAAATTAGATTTTGGTGATAGTTGCACAATTCTGTGACTACACTAGAAACCACTAACCTGTACATTTTAAATGGAAGAATTTTATGGTATGCAAATTATATTTCAATAAAGCTGCTAATAAAAAAATTCTTAACCTCTCTGAACCCAGGATCCCACATCTGTATAATATTACACTGTGTGCTGAGAATTAAATGAGATAGTGAATAAAGTGCCTGCCAAAGCCCAAGACATAGTGAGTAATTTAGATAAGGAAGTTTTCTAGCAGTTTTCCATGAAATGTAACAGGAAAAAACAGTAATATGGTGGGTTTGATTGTTTTGAACTGTAGGATCTAGTTAAAATAGAGTTACGGTTTCTTCTTAATCAAGAAAGTATATCCCTTTTCAGTAGATATTAAAGACTGATATTTAGCCAAAATCATTCACAAGCTAAAATATCACTCTTCTTTTATATAAACAGTTTGCTTTCAGATGAACAGATTTCTTCAGGAATTTGAAGTAGTAAAATCTAAATATACGGACAAATGAGACTTCAACAAAGATTTCAAGCAAATAAATATATTGCTTTAAATTCACGTTGCATCTACAAGATGCACTAACAATATATTTCCAGTGAGAGTTGGAGTCAAGTATTTATCTATCAAATAAATTCAGTCGAGGTCTATAAGATGTAAAAAATAGTAATGTGTATTAAGAATCTCCAAAAGTATATGTAGTTGAATACATTCCCCATAATTTCATCATGGAATCCTTTTCCTCTTAAATATGCATATGTGACCAGTGTTCTATAAAACACACTTTGGAATACTGATATGCAAATAATATATATGAAATAACTCTGGGCCAGGCAGGGTAGCTCACGCCTGTAATCCCAGCACTTTGGCAGGCTGAGGAAGGTGGATCATGAGGTCAGGAGTTCGAGACCAGCCTGACAAGCATGGTGAAACCCCATCTCTACTAAAAATACAAAAAATTAGCTGGGCATGGTGGCGCGTGCCTGTAGTCTCAGCTACTCAGGAGGCTGAGGCAGGAGAATTGCTTGAACCTGGCAGGTGGAGGTTGCAGTGAGCCAAGATGGTGCCACTGCACTCCAGCCTGGGCAACAGAGTGAGACTCCGTCCCCCTGCCTCCCGCCCCCCCCCGCCCCGCTGCCAAAAAAAAAGAAAGAATTCTTCTCCACAAGTACCAAATGCACAAGTGGGCTTTTTTGCATCTACGAAGGCATACCTGTTGTCTTTGTGATGCTGATGAAAGGCATGTTCCTTATATCCAGGAAAAAAAGCACACTAATTTTGCCTGTAACTTCAGGTGTCTATATCTCCTCTCCAAGGGACATAGCTGGTTTAAAATTCTTCCAAAAAGTGAAGAATCTCCTTAAACTATGTGTCTCAACTTTTGCCGTGAAAATTAACAATCTTCGTAATTCCTTTCAATTTTCTGTGTTTCAGACATTAATGATGAGAGTTTTACACATGAACATTGCTATCTCAGTAAGAGCAATCTGTCTCATCTTTTCAAACAAAAATATGAAATTCTTAATCCTTTTCTAAAGAATATAAGCATTGTGAAAATTACATGATCAAAAATAACATTCACAGTAATACTGAAGTGTCTCAGTTCAGAAAACAATGCAGAATAATTACCTTTTGTATTAGTGTCACCTTTCATCCATACTCCTTGAAGACAACCAAACTTTACATTTTCCTAAAGTATTCTGGCATTTGTTCATATGCACTAAACTTGGGTTTTGAAAACTGAGTCCTTGTCCTCACAGATTCATTTTAAAACAAAAGATTTATCCACCACATCTTCCCTGGCTCTAACAAAGGAAAGGAATAAGTCAGAAAGAGGAAAATGTATCAGAGAGAAACTTGAGGGCGCCTCATGATTGTAGGGGGATTGGCAGATAGGCTTAAAAAGAGAAATGCAACACCAGCAAACTTTTTAAATTCACATATGAATCTACTATGTGTTTGATAGTTATGAGGGGTGTTTCCCATCAGCCACTGTTCTAGATATTCACAATAAAAAGTTGTTTCCTACTTGTGAGATGGTCTAAATCACTGTGTTCAATAGAAATACAAGGTGAGCCACATATGCAACTTTAAATGTTTTTAATTTACTTGTAAATTTGCATGAGTAAACTTAATTTCTTTTGATACACAGTTCTATGAGTTTTCACAAGTGAACGCTGTATTAATTTTCTATTGATTCCAGAACAAAATGCCAGTTTAGTGACTTCAGGAAAACAAATATAGTACCTGAAGGCTCTGTAAGTCAGAGTCTGGTAGGATTCTCACTGGGCTAATATCAAGTTGAGGTCAGAGCTGTCTTCCTTTATGGAAGCTCAGGAGATAATTGTTTCCTTGACTTTTTCCATCTCCTAGAGGCTGACCACATTCCTTGGCTTGTGGTTGCCTTGCAAAGGCAAGCTAAGTCCTTTTCAAATTTCCTCTTTTTCCATCTCCCTTTTTCACCTTTAAAGATACTTGTGATGATACAGGGCCTACCTGGATAATCCAGGATAATCTCTCTATTTGAAGGTACACTGATTAGAAACCTTAATCCATAACCTTAATTTCCCTTTGTCATGTGACCTAACATATTTACTGGTTCTGGGGATTCAAATATGAACATCATTGTCAAGGGCCATTATTCTGTGTATCACAAGGGCATGAAGTCATGTAAACTCCATCATGGTCAAGACAATAAACAGTTTCATCTTCCTCAAAAATTCTCTCTTCCTCCTACTTTGTGCTCAAATGCTCCCCCACCCTAACCTCTGCAAACACTGATGCATTATCGATTCCTTTTGTATGTCCCTTCGAGATGTCATATACATGGAATCATACAGTAGTGGTCTTTTGAGTCTGGCTTCCTTAAATTAGCATAATAAAATAATTATCCATCTCACTGAAAGTTTTCAATTGTTCCTTTTTATTTCTCAGTAGTCTTTCTTTAATCCCTTCACCAGTTAAAGGACATTAGGTTGTTTTGGAAATTATGAATGAAGCTGCTTATAACTATTAGTGTACAGGTTTATGCACCAACATATTTTCATTTCTCTTGAGAAAATACCTAGGAGTGGAATAGATGGGTCATATAGTAAGCATATAGTTAACTTTGTAAGAAACTGCCAAGCTGCTTTCCAAAGTGGCTGTACCATCTTACATTCTCGCAGGTGATCTATCTATGCCAGTTGCTCAAAATCCTCATCAGCATTTAGTATTGCTGTTTTTATTTATTATAGCCATTCTAATAGGTATGGAGTGGTATCCAACTGTGGTTTTAATTGGTATATCTTCAATGGCTAATGATGTTGCACTTCTTTTTACGGGCTTATTTACCATCAATATATCTTCTTTAGTGAATTGTTTAAATATTTTGCACATTTTACTTTTGGCTTGTTTTCTTATTAATGAATTTTTGAGTGTTTTTCATATGTTATGAATAAATCTTTTTTTCCACTCCTTTTCCTGAGCTGTAATAAATGTTCTTTATGAGATATTCTATTTGCTATTATTTTCTTCTAGTCTGTGGCTTTTCTTTTCATTCTCTAATAGGTTCTTTCAGGGAGCTAATGTTTTAATTTTGATGAGGTTGTATTTATCTTTTTTAAAACAGATTGTGCTTCTGATGGTGTATTGGAGAACTCTTTACTTAGTCAAAGATCACAAAGATTTTGTTTGCTTGCTTTTTTTATAGTGAATTAAATTGACTTACTTTTGAGTGTTGTATTCCTGGAATGTGCTCTACATAGTTATGAAGTATTATCTTTATCAAAATTGTTGAATTTTATTTAGAATTTTTACATGTATATTCTTGAGGAATATATGTCTATAGTTTTATTTTCTTGTGATGGCTTTGATTTTGATATCAAGGTTGTAGTGGTCTCAGAGAATGGATTGGGATGTATTGCCTCTTCTTCAATTTTTAGAAGAGTTTACCTGAATTGTTTTGATTTCTTACTTAAATGCTTGACTGGATTTACCAGTAAGGACATCTGGCCCTGGATTTATCATTGTAGGGAGGCTTTTAACTACAAATTTAATTTCTTAAGTAGATAAAAGGCTGTTTGCGCTATCTTTTTTTTTTTTTTTTTGAGTTAGCTTTTGTAGTTTAGGTCTTTCAAGAAATTTGTCCATTTCATATATATTTGTCCATTTCATATACGTTGGCTATCATTTTTTTGAGTTAACTTTTGTGGTTTAGGTCTTTCAAGAAATCTGTCCATTTCATATATTTGTCCATTTCACATACATTGTCAAATTTACTGGCATAAAGTCACTCATCGTATTCCCTTATTATCTTTTAAATATATACAGAACGTGTAATGGTCTCATTTCTATCATTCCTGACATTGATAGATTGTGCCTTCTCTTTTTTTTCACAATCATGCTTGCTAGAGTTTTATTATTTTTATTGATCATCACAGAAGTCCAGCTTTTTGCTTCAATATTTGTCTCTACTGTGTTCCTGTTTTTTACTTCTTAGATTTCAGCATTGACTTTATTATTTCCTGTCTTCTGCTTACTTTGTTTTTAATTTGCCTTTTTTCTAGTTCCTTGAGATGCAAACTGAAGACACTGATTTGAAACCTTTCTTCTCCTCTGTTATGGGTGGTTAGTGCTATAAATTTCTTCCTAAGTACTACATTAGCAAAGTCCTGCAAATTTTGATATGTTGTGTCATTCAGTCCAAAGTACTTTCTAATTTCTTTTTTGATTTCTGCTTTAGCTTCTGGGTTATTTTGATGTGTGGTATTTAATTTTTAGATACGTAGCAATTCTCTAGAGATATTTCTGTTATTGATTTCCAATCTATTCCATTGTGATGAATGAACATACTGAGTGTATTAGTCTGTTTTCATGCTGCTGATAAAGACATACCTGAGATGGGATAATTTACGAAGAAAAAGAGGTTTAATGGACCCACAGTGCCACGTGGCTGGGGAGGCCTCACAATCATGCCAGAAGGCGAAAGACACATCTTACGTGGCAGCAGGCAAAAGAGAACTTCTGCAGGGAAACACCCCCTTACAAAAGCGTTGGATCTTGTGGGATTTATTACTATCACAACAGCACAGGAAAGACCCATCCCCATGATGCAATTATCTCCCACAGGGTCCCTCCCACAACACCTGGGAATCGTGGGAGCTACAATTCAAGATGAGATTTCAGTGGGGACACGGCCAAACCATATCACTGAGTAGGACTTTAATTCTTTTAAATTTATAAGGATTTGTAATATAATGCAGAATATCTCCTATCTTGGTAAATATTCCATTCTTTGCACCTGCAAAGAGTGTTTTGTTGAAGTCTTCAACATACTTATTGATTTTCTGACTACCTACTTGATGTGGTTTGAATCTGTGTTCCCATCAAATCTTACGTGGAATTGTAATCCCCAGTGTTAGAGATGGGACCTGGTGGAAGGTGATTGGCTCATATGGGTGGAATTCTCATGAATAGTTTAGCACCATGCTCTTGGTGCTGTTCTCATGAGAGCGAGTGAGTGAGTTACTGTGAGATCCGGTTGTTTAAAAGTCTGTGTGTACTTGTACCCTACAACTTCAAGTATAATAATAACAGAAAAAAAAAAGTCTGTAGCACCTCCCTTCTCACTCTTTTCCTCCTGCTCCAGCCATATGAAGATACCTGCTTTCGCTTTGCCTTCCACCTGAGCAAAAGGTCCCCGAGGCCTCCCCAGAAGCAGAAGTCGCATGCTGCCTGTATAGCCTGCATAACAATGAGCCAATTAAACCTATTTTCTTTATAAATTACCCAATCTCAGGTATTTCTTTATAGCAATGTGAAAATAGGCGAATACACTAGTCTATCAGTTATTAAAGTGGAAATACTAAAATATAGGCTATAGTTGTGGATTTGCCAATTTTTTTCTTGCAGTTCTATCAGGTTTTTTTTAAATGCATGTTGAAGCTCTATCATTTTTTTTTTTTAGTTCTCGAATTTCCATTTGGTAGTTTTTTACTTATGTCTTTGCTGAGAGCTTCTATCTTTCAAGAGCATTAACTTTATCTCACAGAAGATGGTTATAATAGTTGCATTAAAGTCTTTGACAGACTATTCCAAGGCTTAGGTCATCTTATGTTTGGCATCTATTTACTGTCTTTTGCCTTGAAGACAGTAAATTTTTCAGATTTTTCTCATTCTTATTATGTCACATAATTTTGGATTGTATCCAGAACATTTTAGTTTCATCTTGCAAGTTTGTAGGTCCTGTTATAATCTAAAAAATGTTAATTTTTTTTAGTAACTGATAATTAACATGATTAGCTTCAGACTGTCAAGAAGTTTCACCTTCAATGATGGTGGTCCCAATGTCAATTCTGTTTTCAAAGTCTTTACTGTGCTCTTTGGGCCAGGCTGATGCACGCTGCACTTGGAGAAGAGCCTGAAATTTGAGTCATAGTTTATATTGTAGTTCAGCCCTCACAATCTTTGCTATGCCTTGGTGTTGTTCCACACATACTTAGCTCAGGGTGAGTCCAAGAGTTATGTCATTACATACCCGAAATTTGGAATTCTATTTCTTCAGCTCTTTCATCTCTGAATTTTCTCCCACATGTTCCCATAATCAATGACCTTTTTCCCCTGGTATCTCTAGCCAGAAAGATTGAATCTTCTTAGATGTTTAGCCTCTCACAACGTCATGTACTTTTGAGTAAATAGGGTTACTTTAAGGTTAAGTGGAAAAAGAAAAGAGAATGAGAAAAATGGCATGGATTGTACACACTCTGGACAATAGGAGCTTCTTTTTAGCTCCTCTGGCTAGAAAGACAAGCCTTCTGCCATGGTTTTAGGTTTTTCTTCACTGCCAGACATCTATGCAGCTCAGTTACTGAGCTGCTCTGGGCAGGGTCTGGAGGTAAATGATTTAAAAAAGGAGATGGGGGATTCTCCCCACATTCTCCAGCATACAGAGGTCCTTTTTACTTGTCTTTAGTCAAAAAGAAGGGATTCTTCCCTAAAGCATTTGCTTTCAGCACCTGCTGTGCAGTTCTAGGACTTAAACCCCCTCTTGAGACAATGCTGACAGACAAAGAAAACAACAACACGAAACTCACCTGCCATATCCCACCCCTCTGCTCTACCCCTTTTGGGTCATTACTCATGTTTTGACATCAATCTTCAACCCACTTGCTGTGGTTACTTTGCAGAGATCTTGGGCAGTTCTATTCACATTCTGCCCAGATTTTTTAGTTGTAATCAGTAGGAGAGACAGACTACACTAGACTTGTTCCTTAGCCAGCCAACATATATAATTTCAACGAGTTGGCTTCTCTCTTACTGGCTATCTCACCATGTGACAGGTCTGCTCCCCATCACCTTTTGCCATGATTGGAAGTTTCCTGAGGCCCCACAAGAAGCAGATGCCAGCACTATGCTTCATGTACAGTCTACAGAACTGTGAGCCAAAATAAATCTTTTTTCTTTATAAATTACCTAACCTTAGGTATTCCTTTATAGCAATGCAAAATGAACTAACACAAGTACACAGTATATATCCTATATGAAAGTTTTGTTTCTACATTTCTGTCCCTGTAACATCATACTTATACTTATTTCAAGGTCTTCCTCATCAAAGGGGATATGCTATTATGGTACTAGCCACAAATATTTATTTATTTTTGCAGTGCCTTATACCATGTAAGCCACTTCTGAAGGGATAAACTAGAGAAATGACTTCTGTGGTGCCAGTCTCGACCTCCTGACCTCATGATCCTCCCACCTCAGCCTCCCAAAGTGTTGGGATTACAGGCATGAACCACCGCGCCCGGCCAAGTATCTTATTTCTTTTTCTATTTGATAGCTAATCGTCAAGAATCATTTTGGAATGCTTCTTGGCAAATCTGTATGGGATGATGGCCATAAAATGAGATCTAAAACTGAGCTGCATTTGAATAAGAACTTAGCCTCTGTATTAATCCTCTCCTCACCCCCTAAGCATCTCTTACTTGGGTATGACAATCACTTTAAATTCCACAAAGCAAGGAAACTTAGAAGCAAACAGGCCCTTCTCCAGGATTTGGTAAGTATCTAGTCCTGAGCTTAAGTGGGGCCCCACCATGAATAGGGGACCAGTTTACAAAACATATACATAATAGGATCTCAATAATTATTTCTTTGAATAAGAAAAATATGCTATGTTTGCTATCACTATTCACAGACCAATTCTTTTTTTTTTTTTTTTTTTTTTTGAGACAGGGTCTCACTCTGTCAGCCAGGCTGGAGTACAGTGGTGCAATCTTGGCTCACTGCAACCTCCGCATACCAGGTTTGAGCAATTCTTGTGCCTCAGCCTCCCAAGTAGCTGGGATTACAGGGACACACCCTCACACCCAGCTAATTTGTGTATTTTTAGTAGAGACGGCATTTCACCATGTTTCCCAGGCTGGTCTCGAACTCCTGGCCTCAAGTGATCCACCCGCCTTGGCCTCCCAAAGTGCTGGGATTACAGATGTGAGCCACCATGGGCAGCCCATAGACCAATTATTTAAAAATCATGTAGGCATTCTCTTAACCAGAGAATGTAGGTTTCAATATCCTGCTATTCTATAACACAGAAAGTTTCCTGAATTTCTGGAATATGTAATACCTTCACCTCCGAGGTTTAAGAAACTACATGAAGATTCCATCCTTAAATTATAAATGTACAGTTTTCATGGTAATCTTCCTGGTATTTTTAAGCAATAATAAAATACTTCCAGAAAAAAATAATACGGTCCAGGTATGAATACTGCTCTGAAGAAAGAAGAAATTGGCAATCTTAAAAGCGGAAGAGCTCCTATATATCTAAAACACTAAAATCTTCCAACTGACAATAACACTAATATGTGAGTTCAAGTGGTTTATTTGGAGGCAATCCCAGGAAACATTAGTAGGAGAGCAGCAGGAAGACAGAGCAAGGAGGAAAGGCAATCTTTTGTGTATTAATAGGCAGCTTATCACATGAGCAGCTAGAGCTCCATCCAACTGGGGACCTTTGGAAGAGAGTGTAGAACACATCTTATTCAGAGTTGTCTCACTTGCGGGGTGAAGGTTGAAGACTGCTCCTTGGACAATGCCTTCTCCATTTCCTCATACTTCACCTGCCTGTGATTGGGCCAAGCCTGGTTCCCATTGCCCAAGAAAGCTCTCAGGAAGATGCTCAAGTGCTTGCAGTAAGAAGCAATCAGCTTGCAGGGGATGGTGAGGGCCACTAGCTTCGCCTCTGTCCTCTTTGTTTTTCAGTGTAGATGATAATTGCAGGAGACTGATGTAGTCCTCAGCACAGGCCACGAAGAGACTGTTAGAAGGAAAGTGGAGGAAGATTGATTATTCTGATGACTCTTCACCATGTAATCTTGTATTCTGATGACTCTTCACCATGTAATCTTGTTGAGTATAAAGTCAACCCTGAAGAATGAAATCACATCTTTCCTGTTTTGATATATGCATTGCCAATAACTAACACAGCTAACTAAAAGTTATTTTCTCTCCTTTTTTCCTTTGTCACTGGATATTTTTACTGTGTTTTGGTCGCTTAAGAGTATCATTTACAACATGTCTATTCTAAGTCAAGCAAGAAAAAGAGCAGTTTGTTCAATCTTTTATCTCCACTATATTGGTTTAAAGGATCATCTCTCTCTACACCCTACAGTTGCCTTTAGTTCTACATTTATTGGAAGCAACCAACCCCAGTGGTGGCCTATTTAACACCAGCACAAAACCTAGAAGGTTTAATTGAAAGCACTGGCATTCAAGCTGTGCTTAGTAGCTTTCAGAAAAAAACTATGTATTTAAGACCGGTATTGAGTGGAACCCCATGGGTCTCAGGGCACAGAGCCCAGGGAGCAAGATCTGAAAGAGCTGAGAGAATGTCCAGTCATAAGTGATCACAATTGTGACTTAATCTAATAATACAGAATGAATAAATTGTTAATAGTTTAGATAAGGGACTGTCAAAATAAGATTAAAATAGTCTTTCTCCCAATAAAAACAAAAAGATTATAGCACCAACCTATTCCTTTTTTATAGCTGATAATTATTCAAAGATACAGAGGAGATCAGCAAGGTTATTTTTTGTCACTGCACTGCTTGACAACACGTCTCAATTATTACCCATTGTTCAGGATTAATGTCATTTTTCTCCCTATAATACATACAGTTAGAGGATTTTTATGGCTATAATTTCCACCACCATGAAACTAAAACAGAGCCAGAAATTTTTTTTTTTTTTTTTTTTTGAGACGGAGTCTTGCTCTGTCACCCAGGCTGGAGTGCAGTGGTGCGATCTCAGCTCACTGCAAGCTCCGCCTCCTGGGGTCACACCTTTCTCCTGCCTCAGTCTCCCGAGTAACTGGGACTACAGGCGCCCGCCATCATGCCTGGCTGATTTTTTGTATTTTTAGTAGAGATGGGGTTTCACCATGTTAGCCAGGATGGTCTCGATCTCCTGACCTCGTGATCCGCCTGCCTTGGCCTCCCAAAGTGCTGGGATTACAGGCGTGAGCCACCATGCCCGGCCCAGAAATGTTTATATAATTATAACTTCAGTGTTTAGAAAGCCCATGTCAGAATTGTTAACGAGATATTATGCATTAAAAAATTAAAGTAAATGTACCAAATAAAAGCTTCATGAAATAGGTAGAGAGGTATCACCATGTCCTCATTAAGTAAACTAGAAATTGTTCTGTATTGGTATTTTATTTTCAGGCTAATGTTTTACCAAATTGCTTTTTTTTTTTGAGGCACTTTATATTTAAATGTGTTTTTATATATGTGTTTATATAGGTTTTATATGTGTGTGTATGTGTATTAACCATTCTTCCTCAAAATAATTCTCCAGAGAGATTACAAATACAACTAATTGGTCACTACTTTTCTGAACTCCACAGTCCACATATAAATCTGCCAAAACTTCTTAGTGAGTAAATAAACCATTCAAATAAAAAAAGACTCAGATTCTCCACAGAGACCTAGTACACTACTAGGCAGACCACTGATAGATATTAAATATCAAATGAAAGATCATATGAATAGCACACTCTGTATATTCAGACACTTAGTCGTGACATTCATAAATATTTATTGAACCCCCAACTGTGTGTGCATAACTATTCGAACCCTTTTGGAGAATACCAAGAAGCATCCTACCTCCCGTCTTCATTTTTCTCCATAGCATTTATCATTTTCATGTATACTATACATTGTATTTATTTGTTTTCTTTATTGTTCTCCCCTACTAGAGCAGAGGTTCCCAAACTTTTTGGCACCAGGGACTGATTTCATGGTGTTACCAGTAGAGGGTCTTGACTGCAAGTTGTCCAGGTTCTTGGCGTTTTGAACAAAGAATTGGAAAAATGCGCAACAAAGCACAGAAAGAATGAAGCAACGAAAGAACGAAAGCAAGGATTTATTGAAAATGAAAGTACACTCCACAGTGTGGGAACGAGCCTGAGCAGCGGCTCAAAGGCCCGGATACAGAATCTTCTCGGGTCCAAATACCCACTGGCCACTTCATGCTCACCTCATGTAAATGAAGTGGTGGCCTGCAATCAGAGGAGTTGCGAAGAGTAGTTACAAAGTGGACTGAAGTGGAGTTAATGAAGTTCACACTCCTGTGCAAATATCTGATTGGTTGCTTTTTGTAATCAATCACAGGCTAAGGTGGAGTTACAAAGTTGCACTTCTAGGCAAAGGAAGACTGGACCGGCCATCAGTCTGATTGGTTGCGGACAGCCAATTTCCCATCTGCTTGGCAGAAAAGGTCGGGGGTTTGCAAAGGGAGTAGCCTCTGGTCCTTTTTTCCCTTAGGCGTGGAAAGTTAGGGTTTTCCTTTCAATTTAGTTCTAGGAAGTCAGCATGAAACGACCTTAGGTTCCCTCACTCCAGAACCTATACTCCTGCCTCAATGGAAGACACAAGTTTCCATGGATGGAGGGGGGATGGTTTCTGGATGAAACTGTTCCACCTCAGATCATCAGGCATTAGTTAGATTCTCATAAGGAGTGTGCATCCTAGATCACTCATACGCGCAGTTCACAACAGGGTTCGAGTTCCTAGAGAATCTAATGCCACCACTGATCTGACAGGAGGCGGAGCACAGGAGGTAATGCTGCTCACCTGCCACTCAGCTTCTGCTTTGCAGCCCTGTTCCTAACAGGCCTCAGACCGGTATCGTGGGGAGACCCCTGCTGGTATCAATTGGGGACCCCTGTACTAGAGTATAGATCCTTTGAAGTAGAGACTACATCAGATGCTGTCAGCATACTGACTTTTATCCCCTGATATGGGTTGAATTGTGTCTCATAAAAAATATATGTATTTGAAGTCCTAACCCCCAGAACTTCAGAATGTAACTTTATTGGAAAAAGTCTTTACAGAAGTCATCAATTCAAATGAGTTCATTGGGGTGGGGCTCTAATCCAATATGACTGGCGTCCTTATATAAAGGGGAATTTAGACACAGACAGAAGACAAAGTGAAGACAGAGGAAGAACACCATATGTAGAGGATTAGAACGATGCCTCTACAAGATAAGGGATGCCAAAGATTGCCGGCAAACCATCAGAAGCTAGGAAAGGACAAGGGAAGATTCCTCTGCAGTTCCAGAGCAAGCCTGGCCCTGCCGACACCTTGATTTCAGACTTCGCGCCTGCAGAGATGTGGGACCATCAGTCGCTGTTGTTCTAAGCCATCCAGTTTGTGGCGCTTTGTTACAGCAGCCCTAGGAAACTGACACACAGTCTCAGCAAGTTTTACTTCAATCCACACTGGCCCATCTTTTATTATGTACAATTATTCGCCTGCAAGCTTTTTCTAGTTGCTGGAGTTCAGATTTGCAGGAGGGTTCAGGAATTCATGCGGCCCCTCCCTGCAAGCAGCCCTGATGGGAGTTGGTGGGAATATAAACCTCCCAGCTCCCTCACTCATCAAGTGTGTAATACTAAGATAGGTGTTTCCTCGGGTTCCCTAATAGGTTGAAGCTCTGGTTGGCCCCAGTGTTTAACCTTCTGGAAAACATACCTCTTCCTTGCTTCCTCTTCTTGCCATCCCACTTCCCCCACACCTCTACTGGTGTTTTCTGACATCACTTCTCCAATAAACTGCCTGAAGATGAACCCATATCTCCAGGTCAGCTTCTAGAGGAGCGCAGTCTGAGACAGGGAGTTTCTGTAGCTCACTGTGAATTCTCTGGACTAAGAACAGTGTCTGGCAAGTAGTGGGTGTTGAATATATATATGCGGATGAAAGAATCCATGAAGCAGAATACTTATCACTTGCCCTCAAAGATTCTACAAGTTAGTCATCAAATGCAGAGTTAGTGAGTAAGAGCAGGTGACCTGTTGCAAAAGCAATGCAAGAGAGGCCACAGGAGAATTTGAGGTTACAAGCTACATGAAGAGTACAGACAACAAGCACCCTCAAGATATTAAGTGGAAGAAGAGAGCACAGAGGGCATTGGTAGGCTCACAAGGCTTCTTTGAAGGGCGACAGTCTTCTGCTGAAGGGCATATGCCACATACTTACTATTAATGAAAGAGACTTTTGCCGACCTTCCTAACCAACAGGTATTCTATAGTAGAACAGACCAACCCTAAGCAATGTTGTAGTTGTGCAAATGCACAAAGCTTGCCAGTCCCAAGTTCCACAGCAATTCACTGTGAATAGCTGAACCAAAACGAGAGCTGAGGTATTATTTTGAGAGAGAATTTGATTTGACTCTGGTTAATTCAGATCAAAGTGCATTAATCAGATTTACATAAATTTCTAAACACTAATGCATGTGAGGCTGGGGAGCCTACTTATTGTGAAATTTAGATGAGCAGCAGAAGAAAATCTATTGACATGACTTAAAATAGACACCTTTAAGTACATCACTGTAATTACTACTATTAATTTCTATCTCCATCACTACCACTCCCTACTAAAACCAGTAGCTATATGGTAGGTACTCTGCTCAGAGTTTATGTGAATTTTCTCATTTAATCACCATAACCACCCTGAGATAGGAATTCTTATTTGCAGATGAAGATACCTGCATAGAAAATAACAGAGCTGAGATTCCAATGCAGTTCTGTCTGATTCTAATGCAATTCCCATGTGCAAAAATGTTGAGTGTGATATGTAATATGAGTGTTTTCTTAATCTTTTTATCATTTCCAGTTGTTCTGTTCAAGGAATCGAGGTCAGGCCTTAAAAGCTGTGAGTTATTTTGTCTAGTAAATAATGAGAGAGAATTCATAGTTCTGCAGTTCAGCATATGTTATAAGAAGCAAAATATGGCAGACAGTATTTTCTAAAGATGACCACACCATTGTATATCATATCCCATGTGCTTATCCTACAAGATGATATCGACACTCTTCCATTGAGAGTTAGAGTCTATGTCTCATCCTCAGGCATTAGAAGGCAATATGGCTTTTCCTGACACTATCCTTTGGGGCATACACTTTGAGAACCCTGAGCCAACAGGTAAGAAGTTCATCTACTGAATGAAGCTGCAATGTGGGGCAACCACATGGAGATCTCCTATAGAAACAGAGAGCCATGCCTTAGGAGCCCCAGCCTCACCAGCACTATTGGAGTCTTTCCACCATCAACAGGCAGACATGCCAAGGAGTAGGGTTTTAGGTTTTTCATCTTGCAGCCTTCTTTCCAGTGGAAGACACGTAAGGAGAGAGGAGCTATTCCCCATCAAGCTCTGCTGCTAATTTGTAAGCAAAGTAATTCTATTGTTTTAAGCCACTACATTTTAGGGCAATTTATTATGAAGATGGAATAACAGGAACATAAAACAAAGGTATTTAACTAAGAGAAAGCCAGCCTAATGCAAATGAATCATCCCTCCTTAAATTTTTTCCTGAAAATGCATATGAGGAAAATGCCAAAATGGGCTTACTACATTTATCTTTTTCCCCTCTGTTCATGACATAACTTAAATCGTGGAAGTCTACCTTCAGTCGGAAGTGAAGTGGATTTGAAGACCTTTCAACTTGGCCTCCAGGGAATGTTCTCCTCCTCAAAGTTATTGAGTCTTAAGACTTTGATCAATTCTGAGATAGACAGCAATGTCTCAGGTCAAGAATGAAATCTATTTTTCAGCTCTGCCAAAAAGGTTCACGGCCTCTAGTCACAGATATAGCTGGTTGGGGTTAATGCTCTTATCCTTTGGTTTGGGGAGGATTTATGTCAAGATTTAGGCTGATTCATCTTTGAGATTAATAACATGAGGATGTACCCCAAAGAAGATCTAACCAAAATGCAATAATGGGAACATCCCAGTCTGAAACCTGGAAATACCTCTGCCCAATTCACAGACTGTCATTTCAACCCTTTCATACTATCTAATCCAACAATATGTGCTGTCTTTGCTCATATATCTAATTTTCTATTTAATAGGAAGATCCTAAGGTTTCTAATTAGTTTGACTATGTATATTAATAACATTTAAATACCAGGAAAAATGGCCTGTGTGCATTGATAGACTATTTAAGATCCATTTAGACACTGGTGACATTCATAAGAAATATTACATTTCCACAGCCCTTAGGCCAGAAAAATTTTTCCCAGCCCATTTGTTTTCATCTCTACCCTCACTCCCTATTTGAAGAAGGGGAAAGATGGAACTTTCCTATATGAGCTCATTTCCAGCTCTAGTCCTTCTGTTACTCACTTTTCTCTGGCCCTGTTAGTCTCTTGCGGTTCCTTAAATAGACCAAGAATATGTTGGTTTCATGACCTTTGCACTTGCTCTTCTTTCAGCTAGGATACTCTGTTGGTTTGCTTTCTCTCTCTCTCTCTCTCTCTCTCTCTCTCTCTCTCTCTCTCTCTGCAAAGAGCTTTCTGTTGTGTAGGAACGACCAGGGGTTTGTGGGTTACTATTCATCTTGGTAGAAGGGAATACTTGCTACCTAATTTTGGGTTCTCAAAAACCGAAACTTGAAACAATTATTTAAATTTATTCAGGAGGGGACCTCAGAAAATTTCAGTAGGACAATAGAAAAATGAAAAAGGGAAAGGAAATCAGCCAATGAAATGTGTGTTATCAAGCCAGTTCCCACCATGGGCAACCAGGACTTACTCCCACTTGGAAACTCTGAGCACAGTTATCCTACACAAGGAGTAAAGAAGCTGAAGTGTTTATTTACCATAGGTTGAGGGCTCCTCCCAGCATTTCTGCCCAGGCAGAGCAACCTCTGGAAGGCAGAGAAAGAAGGCAGAGAAAGAGACCAAGGGTCAGGGAGGAGTAGCTGCTAGCACAGAAATCAGGCCAGTGTGCAAAGAAATGCTGAGTGTCATATGGAGAGGACACAAACAGCATCTACCAGGGCACCGCTGGGAACTATTTGTAAAAGTACTATGCCAGTTTAAAAGACTAGTGATTATGTATATTTGGTGTAAAAAAGTCCAGGCTTCCTGGAAGAGCTGTCATTTGATGTGAATCTTAATAGATGCTTTCGCTTCCCATCAGAAACCATGAGGTTTCTCCCATAAGGGAGGCCAAGAGTCTAGAAAAGGTCTTTCCAGTCAGAACAAAGAGAAGGAAGAAAGCGGGGGCTCTCTGGGAAGCAGGGACTCTCTGGTTCTCCAGACACAAGTGGAAAGCGCTGCTCATCACTAGCAGAAACAGCAACCTGTAGATAGGTTAACAGGGAGAAATATTTTTATTTAAAAAGATGCTAAAAAATCTTAAAGGAATTAATTAGGCAATATAACAAAAATAAAAGAAACAAAATGAGGGCAAAGTATGAAGAGATATTTCACTGAAGAAAATATACGAATGGCAAATACGCATATAAAATGTTCAACATCATTAACCATTAGGAAAACTCAAATGAAGACCATAATGAGGTATCACTACACACCTATTGGAACAACTGAAACTTTAAGGTAATGATAGTACAAAATGCTGGTGAGGATGTAGAAAAACTGGGCCTCTCATACATCGCTGGTGGGAATGTAAGATGGTACAGCAACTCAGAAAAATTGCTTGGCAATTTCTTTACCAAAAAAAGGCAACTAAGTATATACTCACTATACAACCCAGCAATTGCATTCCTGGGCATTTATCACATAAAAATGAAAACTTATGTCTGTACAAAAACCTAGATGTGATTGTTCATATCAGTTTTATTTGTAATATCCAAAAATCAGAAGCAATCAAAATGTCCCTCGAGAAGTAAATGGTTAAACAAGCTGTGGAATATCATACTGTGAAATATTCCTTAGTAACAAAAAAAAGTCAACTATTGATCCAAGCAACAACCTGGCTGGTTCTCAAGGGCATTATGCTAAGTTTTTAAAAAGCCAATCTGAAAAGGCTACATATTATATTATTCCATTCGTATAATATTATCAGAAAGGCAAGACTGTAGAGATAGAAAACAGATTAGTGGTTACCAGGCATTAGAAATGGTGTAGAGGAGGGAGTTGAGTATGACTACAAACACACAGCATAAGAGAGTTCTTTTTGGTAGTGGAATAGTTCTGTATCTACATCATGTGGTTGTTATGAAAATCTACCCATGTGATTAAAATGATATAGAACTATACGTGCACATTGTAGCAGTGTCCATATCTTGGTTTTGCTATTCATACATATTTTTGATATCTATATATTTTTTGAGATAGATAGATGGATACGTAGATAGACAGATAGATAGATAGATGATAGATAGATAGATAGATAGATAGATAGATAGATAGATAGATGATAGATAGCTTGTTTGGAGGTTCTAGCATGGGAGCGGAGGTACTCGTATGCCCTTGACTGAAGACTGGTCCTCCTCTGTCGGGGATGGTCATCCTCTTTGACAGAGCATGCAGCTTTGGGAGGGATGCATATGGAGCAGTGAGGGAGGAAGGGGACACCCGTCTAACCAGTCAGATCAGCCGAATCAACCCTGGTGATCAATGGGGTGACAGATGCCGCAGCCAGATTGCCCTCACATCAGATAGATGATAGATAGATAGATGGATAGATAGATAGATAGATGATAGATAGATAGATAGATAGATAGATAGATGTAATGATGTAAAATGTAACCACTCAGAAAAACTGAGTGAAGCCTACATGCATGCAACCTCTCTGTGCCATCTTTGTAACCTCTTGTGAGGCTATAATTATTTCAAAATAAAAGGGTTGAAAAAATACTAAGGATCTTCAGCCAGTTCACACAGTCAAATCTGAAAGTGAACAGCATTGCTTGGACATGATTGTAAATTTTCTACTCTTGTTATTGAATAGAAAGGAAGTTTCCCAGAGGGCACATTAGGAAGGTAGAGCCTGCTGGATCTTCAGAAATTGTCCCCTCGTAAGCAGCACCTGGATCAGGAAACAGACACTTATCCTTTTCTGCCATTGTCCCCCATCCCTATAAGGGTCACCACTGTCCTTACTTCAAACCACATAGGTACATTTTGAGTATTAGTGTGTTTTATATAGATGAACCAATATAGTTTTTAATGAGAATTCTAGTTCTTTTCAATGTAACTATTACATTTTTGCATAAAACAGTGAATCTTCCTCCTCAGCTTAAACCCATAACTTAAAAAAAGGAACCAAGTCACCTACTCCAGGATTAGGTATTGATTCATTTACACTCAATGATGTAAAAGTAATTTGCATCGTCAACTTCTACCTAAGTATACCTCCCTAGGGCTGAGAAAAGGAGGAAGAGGATCAGGCCAATGTGGGATGGAGGAGGGGGATATTCTGTAAAGCTAAATTCCAGAAATAACTCTCAAATCAGTGAAACTCTACTTTTTGACATAATTATGTGTGAAGTATGGTTACTTGTACCTTCACTTTTTCAGTTCAGCGATGGGAAGTGAATCGCTGAAGATGTTTTGATTGTCTAAACAAGATCCAATTTCAAGCTAATCTGGGTAATGTGTGTATTCTACATGCAGACATAATTTCTTTTTGAGAAATGACTACTAAAGGAAGTTCCTTAAATTGACAGGAAAAAAAATGTTCAGTGTATCTCTCAAAGGGAAATGGGGGCTAATGGTGGGGTCCCTTGTCTGACTCAGTGACCTGGGGTTGTAAATGCCCTTCATTAGGCCTCCTTAGCTTTCACTGGGTCTAAACATAATTCATTGAGATGAAAGATCTCAAAAGATCTTTATTTTTCTGAAGGTTGTTGCCTTCTGGCAGAAAAGATTCCTTCCTTTGGAGCAAGTTTGTTTTACAGGAATAAAGAATAACAGGAAGTTGTACTCAAGGTATACACCTATATGCGATAGCCTGTACATCAGGCAGATAAGCTTCTAGTTGAATGTTAACCATGAAATCAAAACATCTTTGGTAAGTCACTTCCTCTCCCTATCCCCACAGCACTCATGTTATAAATAAACACATTTGTATATAACTGTTGAAAAAAAGTACCCCAATGCCAACTCTACATTTTGATTTTAATTTTTAGATTATCCATTTGGTGTGATATATAAAATAATTAGTACTTTCCTTTTGTTACTTTCAGCTTCTTTAAAAACCTGTAGTGCCTTAATATATTGCATCTATTGCCCAGAATATAATTTTGAATACTCCCTTCCCCACCATGTTGGAAAATCAATGTTTTAAATCTACCTTTGAGTGACATATTCTATGCAGTTGACAAATCTAGCTTCCTGTCTTTGCATTTTCCTTTTCTTTTTCCCTTTGGTATTTTAGGGTAAGTTGAATGCCAGCAAGCAAAATAAAATACCATAGTAATGGATTAATTAATACTAAACTTGCTTCATTATCAAGTAGATGGCCAGGAGTACATCTTGTGCAACACAAAGAATAATCTTGTATAACACAAAGAAAAACAGTCATGTAGAATACATTTTTTTTCTCATTGCTTATCAAGGGAAAGAATCTACTTCCAAAAAAGAAAAGGAAAATCAATGTCAGTTCTGCTTTTTACTGCTGTATTTTAATTGCACCAGTGGTAAAAATGAGTTGGCCTTTTAGGACCATTGATTTCATTTGGATGCATTTATTGTACATAATATTAGCTGCCTCCTAAATTTCAATAAAAGCGATAGTCAATGAGATGGATCTGTGTGATTCAAAATGTTTTCCAATTAAGAAAACATGGCAGTAGTTGTTACTATTGTTACTATTATGACTATTATATATTTATTACTTTGTGAGAAAAAAATAAATAAATCCAACGCCTTCTCCAAGTTCAACACCTGCTTCTCTCTAATGGAGCTCTAAGAAAAATTGAGACTCCCTATAAGAATGAAGGAACCTGGGAAAATAGTCACATAAAACCCAAGATGCTTTCAGGACACATGTTTGATTAAATGCAGAAATAAACATTCCGAGT
Source organism: Homo sapiens (assembly GCF_000001405.40). Classification (NCBI taxonomy): domain Eukaryota; kingdom Metazoa; phylum Chordata; class Mammalia; order Primates; family Hominidae; genus Homo; species Homo sapiens. Next base: position 11,821,460 of record NC_000020.11, read on the forward strand.
GAATTATTGGTTTGGATTGAAAAAGATGTCAATGATTCAATTTTGTTTCTGTCCAGTAGATTTGGAGAATATATACTTTGTTCCTCTGTTTTCAGTCGAGTTAAAAATATTTGAGACCAGGCATTGTGTCTCAGGCCTGTAATCCCAGCACTTTGGGAGGCCAAGGTGGGAGAATCACTTGAGCCCAGGAGTTTGAAGGCTGCCTGGGCAACTTAGCAAGACCCTGACTCTACAAAAAAAAAAATGTGAAAAATTTAGCTGGGTGTTGGTGCTGCCTGCCAGTAGTCTCAGCTATTTGGGAGGCTGAGCTGGGAGGATAGCCTGAGCTTAGAATTTTGAGGCTGCATTGAGCAATGATTGTGTCACTGCACTCCAGCCTGGGCAACAAGAGAAACCTTGTCTCTTAAAAAAAAACAACTGTATGTATCTACACACACACACACACACACACACACACACACACACACACATATATAAGTTTCATCATGCACTTTGTGATTCGTTTGACTGATATTCTGGTTTTTATTAAGTTCAAACAACATTTCCAAAGGGGTTTGCATTTTTATAAGCAACTAAAGACTGAAGAAAAGTTTTATGTTAATGTGGCTACCACTGAAAAGTGTGTGTGTGTGTGTGTGTGTGTGTGTGTGTGTGTGTGTAAAATAGGGTGATTTATGTGTAGGAAATTTTTAATAAGGGAAAACTAGTGTATTTTTAGAGAACTTCAGAGTTAGGCCTCAGGGCTCTGTCTCAAAGTACAGTTTCAAAAACTTTATCTTAATCCTTTAGATCTTATAGCTTATTTACACTACTTAAGAACATTTTTCTTTCCTTATGCAGAGCTGTGGGAACAAAAGAACCACCACCACAATAAAAATAGTTGAATTCAGAGATGCCTTTTCTGGTGTTCAAAGAAGAAAACTGTAACCTGTCCACATGGCCTGAAAGCCTATGAGCTTTACACAAAACTGCTGCATTTTGAGGTTTCTTGAAAGAGTTATTAATGTTTTGATAACTTTTTAACTTCCCCGTTTTCCTGCACTACACCCTTTATTATTGGACTATGCTATTTAGTGACATGAAAGGAAATCGAAGTCTTGAGCTTCGTGACACAGAGCTTGGTTTAAAATAGCTCTTCTACTTTTAAACTGTATGTACAGGTTTATCTTATTTTTGACAAGGTTTTGCAAACATTCTTGATACTATTTGACTTTGTGACATTGGATTTGAAGTCTTTCTTCTGGAGGTTATGTTAGGACAGTACACAATATGTGAAACTGAGCTTAAGATTTTATTCCCCAGCCTTTTATTATACTGTAAGTGTTCTTAACATTTAAACACATTTCATAATCTAAATCTAAGCTTTTTTTGAGTTAGCATGATATTTCTTTACTAAGTTTATCACCAAACCATATGTCAAAAAAATTCTTTTAATTTTTTCCTCTAGAATTACAATGTTCCAACTCAAGGAGAATGCTGCTTTTTGATGAAGGAATTTGGAAATAGAATATTGACCATTACTCATTTTATGGGGATAGTTCATTAACTGCTTAATAGTGCCAATAATTCTTTGTGCATAAGGACCTCTTTTTAAAGAGAAATCAATTGAGTGTCTTGTACATGATAATGTTATACCTTAATATTCATTGATTAATAAACTGAAAGATGACAAAAAGATATTATTCAATGTATTCAACAAAACAATTTGTGTCTTATTGATCACAAAAGTATATTTTGGAAACCTAACATACAAGCATTATTATTTATTCATTTCACAAATAATGTGGTATTCAAGTACTTGCAATTCTTAGTAATGATTTTTTAGTCCCCTGGAGACCCACGGCTTCATCTCCACAATTTTACAAAGTCTGATTTATTTAACTAATATATGTATATATGCTCATACATATTTAAAGGATATACTCACAAATGTAGAGAGATAGATGAAGGCAGACTTAATGTTCCCCTCAGCTTGACTAAACTTTAGACATGTTTCTTTCTGACCATAGATCCCTGACTTCCCTTTTCTTAGAGCACTCACTTTAGAAAACTTGTAATTGCAAATTGTTTCTTTACCCCTTTGAAATGTATATAAATCTTTTTTAAAGCCTCTTTGCAGTATAAAGACCCAGGGAATGTCTTCCTCAAGGACCTGGGAGCTATTCTTCAGAAATAGAAGCATCAAGGAAGATCATGCCCTTATCTCCCAGTCTCTGTGGGAGGATAGGAGCCTAAATTCAGCCTTGTTCCAACCCTGTAAAATTATCTCCTGTCATGAAGATACAAGAAAATTTACTTTTCATTTGGAAAACACTTAGCAAACACAGGTGGCCTACAATCCCTTATCCCAACTCTTAAAAACTCTCAACCCTTTTCTCAGCTGAGTTGGGTGCTGGCCTCTCTCCCCTATTGCAATAGGCTTAAATAAAATCTTTCGTTCTTGTTTAACTTATTCTGGTGTAAATTTTTTGACAAAATATACCACAAGAGAAACAGCCGAATCAGTGACAGTTTCTTCTTGTCAGTAAGTAAGAAAGCTGTAACTCTCTCACACAGACCTCAAAGACTACTGGGCTTTATTTGCGGTTTCTTGAAAGAGTTATTAATGTTTCAGTTACTTCAACTTTTCTTTTCCCTTTCCCTCTTTATTATATAAACATATACAGTGTGTTATATATAATCATTATATAATATATAATAATGTTTATATAATAATATACATTATTAAATTATATAACATAATGTTATGCTATAATATAATATGTAATATATTATTATAATATATTATAAATAACATAATTTATAATTTGTTATTTAGCCTATTATATAATATAATGTATATGCTATATTATAAAGGGTGAAAGGGGAAAGAAAAGTTGAAATTTCACCCTTTATTATATAACATATGCATACAACTGATTCTCATTATTCACAGTAGTTTTGTTCTATAAAGTCACTGCAAAGACCGAATCAACAAATAGTGAACCATTGCTCCTAGGGAAAATACACGATTAGGTTTCTGAGAGTCTCTGGTCACAACATTTTCACCAACCTACCAATACATAACTTTGCTTTGTGTGTTTTTCTGTTGAAAGACACCTTATTTAACATACATTGTTGCTTCATTAACATTGAACTCACAGTCTACAGCGCTATAACTCAGGCCTAAGCGAAGCTTATCTAACACACATATGTTCTCCATAAGGCACGTCACAGTTTTCTTGCACTTAGAAACACTTCAGCAGTATGCCTGGGATCCATTTTAAACAGCAAAAGTACCAACAAAAAAGCACAAAAATGTGAAAAAGATAGTAATAAATACACCACAAAAAAGGTCCTTGTTTACAGTATGAAAGCTGAAAGAAGAAGGCAGAGCAGCGCTTTGTTCATCCTCCACTGGAAATGTGTGCATTGAGCTATGCTAATTTTTTTTAGATGGAGTCTGGCTCTGTCGCCCAGGCTGGAGTGAAGTGGCGCGATCTCGGCTCACTGCAAGCTCCACCTGCCGGGTTCACGCCATTCTCTCGACTCAGCCTCCAGAGTAGCTGGGACTACAGGCGCCCGCCACCACACCCGGCTATTTTTTTTGTATTTTTAGTAGAGACGAGGTTTCACCGTGTTAGCCAGGATGGTCTCGATCTCCTGACCTCGTGATCCGCCCCCTCGGCCTCCCAAAGTGCTGGGATTACAGGCATGAACCACCGCGCCCGGCCGAGCTACGCTAATTTTTTGCCTTTCTGTGCATGTTCACAAAAGACTAAAAAAATTCTATAAGTACTGATTTGGGATTACAAATAAATATTACCAGTCAAATTAAAAAATGTGGGCTCTGTAAGTAATGATGATCAACTGTGTATATGCACATGAAGCATATATATGTGTACGTATATACATTTGTTATATATTATTTTATGTTAAAAGATGTGTATCCACACATATATTTGTTATAAATTTATATATGTTATATATCGTTAGTTTTTCGTGTGTGTGTATATATATACGGAGAGAGAGAGAGAGAAAGGAGAGAGAGAGAGAGCCAGATTGCCTCATGATTCTGCTCTTCTGACTAATCTAAACCCTAACTGAACCAGGGTGCAGGTGTGTATTTAAAAACATCATTTTGAGAAGGGCTTCTAGGCTTCACCAGTCCACCAGTGGGGACCATGTCTCCAACAATCCCCTGCTCTAGGGCATATGGTCAACTTCTCCAAATATGCCCAAACTTTTCTTATCTTATTTGTCTAGAATCCATCCCAGTATACAACATGTTATGTCTGCTATGTTATTATAGACATAGACATATCCAAAATGGGGTGAGCCACTTAGTTAAGAAGAAATAAATGGCTTACTACCACTCTCAGTCAGAAGGAAAACAGCTAGGGGCCTTGAAGAGTCAGCTGGTTGGTGAAAGAATGAGGATCTACTACGTATTCCCTTCAAACCAGTCAGAACCCCAAGCCAATTACACTACCCTCTTCAAAGCCCTATAACACAAATGTTTTCGATTTCCAGGCGCAGTAATAATAATTAATTACTTATTCATAAGAAATGCAAATCTTCTGATTCCTTCTTTAAATATCTTAAATGTCAAGTAGCAGGTGGTTTTCAATTCAGTAAACAAACTGCATTTGCTTGGATAGATGCGAACAGTGCCACAGCTACATTTACATCTCTCCTGGCTGAGTGAATGCTTCTATATCTTCTAACTTTGTTAAGCCAGATATAGACAATATTGAAAAGCAGGTTCCAAAGTTATCTTGCAAAGGCACCAGAAGGCCATATCAGCTTCTATATATCTTTGATAGTAATGACAAACACAGTGATGGACTTTTCTAGAAAGCTAAACAAAAGAGTAACTTTTTTAGAGAAATGGGACATGAAAACAAGGCAATGTGTGATCCAGAATTGGATCCTGGACAGGAAAAAAAAAGTTAGTGTAAAGGGCATTTTTATAAAAATGAACAAAATCACGTCCTTTGCAGCAACTTGGATGCAGCTGGAGGCCATTATCCTAAGCGAATTAACACAGAAACGGAAAAACCCAACACCACATGTTCTCACTTACAATGGGAGCTAAACATTGGGTACACAGGGACACAAGATGGGAACAATAAACACTGGGGATTCCAAAAGCGGGGAGGGAGGGAGAGAGGGAGGAAAGGGCTGAAAAACTATGCAAACAGTATTATGCTCACTCCTTGGGTGATGGGATCAATTCTACCCCAAACCTCAGTGTCACACAATATACCTATGTAACAAACTTGCACTCCTGAATCTAAACTAAAAGTTGAAATGTTTAAAAAGAGTGTGATTGATTGGAGTAATTTAAATAATATCTGTTGATAGAATATTAGTATTATATCAATATTAAACCCCTTGAATTTGATAATGTACTGTGGTTATGGAAATGAATAGCCTTGATCCTGGGAAACACACACTGAAGAATTACAGGTAAATGGGCATAATTTCTGCAACGTGTTCGCAGTGGTTCGGAAAAAACGTGTGTGTGTGTGTGTGTGTGTGTGTGTGTGTGTGTAAAGGGAGAGACAGTAATACAACAAATGTGGCAAAGTTTTAACAATTGGTGAATCTGGATGAATGGTATGTGAAATGCCTTTGTATTAGTCTTGCAAGTTTCCTGTAAGTTTGTAATTACATAAAAATTGCAAAGTAAAAAACCAGTACCTCTACTTTATAAAAATACAGGCATAACTGAAAATGCCTTCAGTATTACATGCTAATTTACTACTTAGTAGTTCCAATCATCAAGAGCAGCCATTATTATCTCCAAGCTCTAAAAAAAAAAATAAAAAGATACAGTAATTACCTGCCTCCCAGCTGAACTTCAAGCCTGCCCTTTATTCTCACAATAACAGATAAGTCTTATCTCGCTTTCTCTGTCTCTGTCTCTGTCTCTCTCTCTCTCTCCCCCTCTCTAAGTAGTGTCAGGACCTTTCCATGTTCTCTTTCCACATGGACTAAACTGGGCTTCCTCACAACATGGTGGCCTCAAGGCAGCTGAATTGTTCAAATGGTGGCTTAGGAATCTCAGAAGCTGTCCTGAGAATCACGTCTACATGGCCTTTTATAAAACAGCTTCAGAAATCCACAGAGTTTCTTCTAACACAGTCAGAAGCCTGCCCAGTTTAAGGGGACAAAATATAGACACCACTTGCCATGGGCGATGGTCAGAATGTTTGTGTCCCCTCCAAATTCATAGGTTGAAACCTAACTACCAATGTGATGGTGTTAGGAACTGGGGCTTTGTGGGGGTGATTAGATCATAAGGGCTTGGGAACAATGCCCTTAAAAAAGAGGCCCCAGAGAGCTGCCTTGCCCCTTCTACCATGTGAAAAGACAGAGAGAAGCCACTGTCTAGGTATCAGGAAATAGACTCTCCCCAGACATTGAATTTGTTGATGCCTTGATCTTGGACTTCTCAGACTTCAGAACTGTGAAAAGTAAATTTCTGTTGTTTATAAGCTACCCAGTTTATGACATTTTGTTGTAGAAGTCCAAACGAGCTAGGACCACCACATTTTGATGGCAGGATAGTCAAACTTACATTTTAAGAAGAACATGTGAGATGAGAGATCTTGTTATAGTCAATTTGAAACTACAATCTGTCACATCTTTCTAATATACATTTGTAAAATCAGATCATCATGAATGACCTCATATGAACATCTATTCCTAGATTATTTGTAGTCTCAAGGCCTGTGGAGAGACAGACTTATCCAATAACAGAGAGCGCCCAAATCAATGCTTTTGGTCTGTTTCGTGTCTACAGTTTCTAAATGTCTTGTCTATATATCATACTCTTTCTGAGTAAAAAATTACACATGCATGCTCCAAATCACTGCAGGTATCCTTGGATAACACAAGCCTTCTAGGATAGTGGTGCGAGACCAGATGGAGTCAGTGTCTTAATTGGGAGTGCTCTTGAAAGCAGAGCCTGAGACAGGGCTTCGGTACAAGTAGTTTATCGGGAAGTTCTCTCAAAGATCAGGAGTGAGGGCAACACAGAATGTAACAGAGATGGGAGGAAATTCAATCCAACAATCCATTATGGAGTTGTAAATGAGCTTGTTGTAAATGAAGATCAGTGGAGAGAAATAATGATCCATCACCTTCTTTCCCAATTAGGTAAGGGTTGCCCCAGTGGGTGCAGACAGCCCCCATGCTTCCATGTTAGGCCCAAACAGTCCTGGGCATACATCAAAAGATGAAAACAAGTGGCATGAGGTTGATAAAAACAGCTGTATCATAGGTGAGTCTGAAAGAGTGGGAAGTAGGGCTCAGAGACATCCAGAGCACTCATAATTGCTAAATAATCCATTTCACATCCTCAGCAAGAAAAGCCTATTTTCCTTTGTGTCAAAAAATCGTCACAAAATATTAACAATTGTATTTAATACATTAACAATTTTGAGGTGCTGAGAGCCTGTTATGAAATTTTCAGATGTTTTGTGAGCCAGTTAAACAAAACCATTATTAAAATTAAATTACCTAAACTTGCCATTAAATAGATTATATTAAAACAAAGTTAAACATAATTTATCCTTTGTAATTATTTCACTACATTAATTATTCTGTATGGTCTTGGTATTAGTTATGTCTTTTGCATCTGTATGGTGAAAATACTACATAACGTGCCCTCCCACCTATCTTTTCTCAACTCTGTGTTGCACATCGGTGATGTCGCATAGGTAATGTGAAACCAGCCATGGTGGGAGTGTTTACATGACAGAAATCAGTAAACACTACAAATCAAGGCTTTTATCTTTTTTGTTTGTTTGTTTGTTTGAGAGCAGGTCTTTAAACATTTCCCAATACAGCAACAATCATTTTCACTTTTGTCCTTTTCATTCCTTCTACTTCCTGTTGAATCCTGTCTTCTCCTCTCACCCCCATTCTGGTAATGTCATGTTTATGTTCATTGCCTCAAAAAAATGGAAGATACACTAAAAGGAGAGGAATAACAACTGTTTTCCAGGCTTTTGAGTTGTGAAAGGTTAGGCCCTCTGGGAAGAAAGCAAGCTCATATACACAGATAATAAAATAGATTTTTGAGAAGGTAAGATTTAGATAAGTAAAGTTTGCTGGCTTACCCTCCCCTCAAACAAAATAAAGGACTTGGGGAGAAGAACGGGCATGGGGGTGGCTCCCTAAGAAAGGAAAACAATAAGACCTTAGGCACACCTCCTTGGGACAAGACTGATTGAAAACCAGGATAGGTTTGGAAGAATGAAGTAAGGGTTAAGCCTCCTTTGGTGAAATTCCAAGCAGTCAGGAAGACTGTGGGTTAGAAATAGAAGCAGATTATGTCTAGCCAGTTGGCCTTCATCAACTTGACCAAGTCCCTGCCTTCAACCCCATGTGGCATAGGGATGTTGAATATCTCCTGCAGACCAGGATGACATGACAATGCGAGAAAGACCCTCATCTGGGATCTTGCAACAGAACTTTAGGATTATGCACCAGTAATCTGTAGGACCAAGGACAGAGAGCCATGTGAAGGATGGCTCACAAAGATCAATGTGACAGAGGAATGCATACCCCGGATCCAATGCCATGCAAACCATGACACAGTGAATACCTCAGAGCTAAACATCCAGCCCTGGGCAAACATGTGGAGACCCTGAATTAACTGAAATTAAATTATACTTTATTGTGGCATAGGGTCTTATAATAGAAATTAACTAGAGTTGCAGAAAATAAAGACAGCTGAATTCTTATGCACTCGAGTTTGTGAGCTTGGATTGGTACCGGCTGACCTTGACTGGATGGGAAACCGAGTTTGGAAAAAGTACCTATTTTAAGTGTTCTTTTTGAGTTCATTTTACCATTTGCCATATGAGGAACAGGTATATGCCTGTTGCTTCCAAGGGCCAGGTTGATAATAGGTTGTATTAATTGACCTAGAGGTTATGCCAGTGAGGGGTGCCTATATGCTAAAGGGACTTTCAAGGGACAGAATTTTGGAAAAATGAAAGTGCATTACAACTTTCTCATGTCTTGTCTAACATCCAGGAATCATTCTCATGCCAGGATAATGTCTATCCCAGACACCAACATACTGAAAGAAACCTACATTTTTTCCCTCTCTCTAACTTCTGTGAAATATTGTATTATTTTACAGATATTCATTGCCAATCTGTGAGAGAGGATTCTGTTTGCCTACTGGGTTGACACCTGACTTGGCCACATGACTTGCTCTACCAAAGAAATGTGAGAGAAGTGATGTGCTTATGTTTCCTTTGCCATCATGACCAGCAATGCTCCAGGTTTTAGAACACTGATGCAAAAATGACTGTCACTTCTCACTTCTCCCTTTGTAATATGATTCTATAGCAACTTCCACCAAATTTGGAGATATGGAGATCGCTGTCCCTAGAAGCTGGGCTAGCCTGAGACATGATTTGGTCAATAGAATGTGGTAGAAGCAGTAATGTGCCTTTTTGTTAACTAATTTGCAGGAGGGTTTACACTCTTCCATTCACTGTTTTGGAATTCTGATACCATCGTGTAATTCAGCACGGGTTAGCTGAAAGAGGAGAGACCAGTGGACCAGGGATGCATTGTCTTAGCTGAGGTCATCCTAGACCAGCCTATGCCAGTCCATCCCCAAATAGGTGAGTGAGCCAAGCTGAGCTCAGCCAAGCCAGGCCCAGATCAGCAGAACTTTCCAGCTGCCATGTAGACTCACGAGAAAAAAATAAATGTTTATTCCTGAGTGCTGCTGAAGTTTCATGGTGGTTTGGAATTACAGGATTAATGTGGCAAGAAATAACTAATACACAGATTGAAGCTGCTCTGTTGGCCTGCACCTGGAGTACAGAAGATGTAGGACAGAGCTACAGCAAGCAGGCACAAGGCACAAAGCATTAACAAGAAAGAAACATTCATGTAAGCCACTGAGATATGGAGTCTATTTGTTACCCAGAGTAACCTAGCCCATAGTGACTGATATACCAACTGACATGCCTAACTGTGCTTGATTCCTCAATTTCTCATTTCTTTTTTTCTCGCTGGTTGATTTCTTTTCTATGCTTTCTATTTCATAGAAACTGCGGTTGCACAGATCTCCTGTGACATGGACATGCAACCTCTTCTTTCTTGGTTATTCATCCTGAATTTTCCCTGACTTTGGTCCTATTTCTTTAATTTTTTTAAATTTTAATTTTTTTAAGCGATGAGGTCTCACTATGTTGCCCAGACTGGAGTGCAGTGGTGCAATGGTGAAATCACAGCTCACTGCAGACTCGAACTCCTGGGTTCAAGTGATCCTCCCACCTCAGCCTCCCAAAGTGCTGGGATTACAGGAATGAGCCACCACATCTGGCCCCTGACCTTAGTGTTAAGATTCATTTCTTTCCCTTATATTCGAGGATCCTGGGACCAAAAGACTGGGTTTTGTTGAATTAGAAATTTTTTCGCTTTGCTTGATGACGAGAGTCTGCAAGACAAAGGCTAAGGTTATATTTTTGCGGGTCATTTGCAGATTACTTTTAGAATTTACTTACTTTTATGTTTATTCACAAGATCATTTAAGGTATAGTGTGCCAAGCAGCCAACAAAGCATGACTTTTATTTTTCAGGTTGCTGGAAAATTGCTGAACTCTCCTGCAGTATTTTAAATAACAACTGAACAACATTCAAAACAGCCCATCCATCTTCTCTATAGAAATACAGGTGCTACCAGAGAGCACTGTAGAAGAAGCTTTATTTCTGTCATTCAAGACATGGTTAGACATTCCAACAGAAATTTTTAAAAGAGATTGTCACCCCACTATATTTGTTAATGTGAAATGTTATTATTGCTTTGGAAAGTCTGCTTTGACCATAACACTTTTCTCACTCTGCCTTTAAATTCCAAGTAATTCTAGTTGGAGAAAGACTGTCGTCTTCTGAGTTCTCCTACCAAAACTCTTCATGCCCAGGAAGATCAGATGCAAGGTTATCCGAGCTAACACTAGGAGGTTAGCTCCTAGTGCTGAGAAGGCCATGGATGAACACAGAAATGCCTCTGCTTAGGAACCATTGCTGAAGGAAACTTCCACACACTAATGGTGGGTGTGGACATGGGTACAACCACTTTGGAAAGCTAGCACTAACCATGACAGTTCAACATTTGTAACCCACCATGACTCAGCACTCTTATTCCTAGGTATATATTTAATAGAAATGTATATATTTCTTTACCAAAAGGTGTATAATATAATTTTTTTTAGAGTCTTACTGTGCCACACAGGCTGGAATGCAGTGGCACAATCATGGCTCACTGCAGCCTAGAATTCCTGGGCTCAAGAGATCTTCTCTCCTCTGCTTTTCAAGTAGCTAGAACTACAGGCATCCTCCATCATGCCTGGCTAATTTTTAATTTTTCTTTTGTAAAGATGAGGTCTCACTTTATTGGACAGGCTTCTTTTGAACTCCTGGCCTCGAGCAGTCCTTTCATCTCAGCCTCCAAAAGCACTGGGATTATAGGCATGAGCCACCACATCCCATCCTATAATAGAGTATTTATAGCAGCATTATTCATAATAGCCCCAAATTGGAAACTACTCAAATTCCCAACAGAAGTAGAATGGAAAAAATAAATTGTGGTATATTCATACAACAGAATGCTACCCAGCAATGAGTATGAATAACCTACAGCTATAGCAAACCATCATGAATCAATCTCACAAATATAACATTGAGGTGGAAAAACAGATGCAAGAGTTTAGACTGCATGAGTTCATTTTTATGAGGTTTGAAAATAAGCAAAACTAGTCTATGGTATTAGAAATCAGGGTGTTTGCTACTTTTAGAGGGTGGTGACTTGGAGGGGGCTATGAGGAGGGCCTCTGTGAGGATGGTAATGTTCTGTTGGCTGATCTGAGTGTTGGTAACATGGGTATGTTTCCTTGTGAAAATTCTTTGAATTCCAGTTTTTTTTTTTTATATATTCCTCTGTATGTGTGTTATCCTTTACTAGAGAGTTAAGGGGAAAACAAGACAAGAAAGAAAACAAACAATTATTCCAAAGTGTTCTTTTGATTATAACCCTATTATGAAGTCTCCTAATATCACTGATCTCTTTGATCTCTTTTTATTGTACATGTTCCATCCAAAATTTTATACTCATTTGTGTGTCAGCCTTATATATTCCAAAAACAGTACCTAGAATATATAGACATTCAATAAATACTTTTCAAGGAAATGAAAGGATGGATGGATGGATGGATGGATGGATGGATGGATGGATGGATGGATAAACGAATGTCTATGTTCCCAAATATTCAGTGAGCAACATAAGGTGAGAAACTCTTTCTGGTCTTGCTCGCCAATGACCCACATGTTTGGCACAATGCCTGATACGTCGTGGGCCCTTAATATATATTCTTATTTTAAAAGACAAGAAGAAAAGAAAGGAGGAAGGGAGGGAGGGGAGGGAGGAAAGTAGGGAAGAAGGAAGGGTAGGGAAGGGAAGGGAAGGGAAGGGAAGGGAAGGGAAGGGAAGGGAAGGAAGGGAAGGGAAGGGAAGGCAAGGCAAGACAAGGCTAGGCAAGGCAAGGCAAGGCAAGGGAAGGAAGGCAAGGGAAGGGAAGGGAAGGAAGGCAAGGGAAGGGAAGCGAAAAGGGAGGAAGGAGACAGAAAGGAGGTGGTGAGAGGGGGTGTTGCAGGGCCATGGTATGTCATTTCTACCATCCTGCCTGTAGATATTTAATGGAGAATTGTGCTTTTCTCAAAGTAACTTTTTTGCTGTTGTAGTCATTGAGCAAAAGCTCAAGTGGGGAACCACAGACAGACCAGGTGATTCTCAGGTTTCTGAGTGAGGGGGCTCAAACCAAATGACTTGGATACTCCCCTAGTGCCCTGTTGCCTCTCCCCCTAAGAGATACACCAGGCCTTTGGGCCTGCCTAAAGCACCATTACACAGGCTGTATTTAGCAATCATAACTTTATATCATTACTGTGTAGCCCAGAATATGCCACTTTGGCATGAGGATTATTTTGAGCCAAAGGCAATTAAGAAAAAGAAGATACAAGGAAAGCTCTCTTGACTCCCCTTATTTGCTTAAAAGCAGGGCATAAATTTACAAAAGTGTCCTTCCTCCCCTTTCTACCAGGAAAGACAAAGCATCTGTAGATGCTTATCAACCTAGAGGTGGCACCAGAGGAGTCTACAGAACAAACTTTACTAGTTGGTCTTTACCTACCAGTCATTTCCCATATACTTGCCTTCTCACAATCTGCCACTGTTAGAGACTCAAGGTCCCTTTCTTTTGTCTTGTCACTTCTTTAAAAATGTATTATTCTTCTTCGAAGATGTCATATAGGTTGGAGTTCTAAGCCATCTCATGAGAGTTACTCAATCCCTGGGTATGTTCCATGTATATATGAAATGAACATTCAAAAACTGTTTTGTTGTTCTTGTTGTTGTTAATGTGTCTTTTGTTTTAGGGGTCCACAGCTAAGAACTCATAAGGGTAGAGGGAAAATTATTTTTCCTCCACTATAAATGTAATGGCTAATAGTACCGGTGATTACATTTTTTCTTGTGTCCCAGGCACCTTGACATTCTTACAAGAGTTCCAGAAGATAGTTGCTAGTATCAGTCCATTTTAGAGATGCAGAGGCTGAGCACTTAGGTATTTTGCCTCAGGCCTTACAGCCAACATTGACTAGAGTCTGCGTTTGAACCTAAGCTCTTAACATCCTGTATTAATCAACCCCATCCACCAGAAAATTGCCAATTTTTACCAAGGTAAGCACTTTAACCATGATGACAGGTAAAGTTTCTTGAGCATGGCACCAAAGGTACAAGGCACCAAACCCTGTTCTTAATGCTCACATACCTCCTGTATTACTACTATCTGCCATACTACAGATAAGGAAACAGAGACTTTGAGGTTCAGGGAAGGTCCCAAGGTTATAGAACTTGCCCATGAGGGACGTAGCCTGGCTCCAGTGCCTATGTTCCCCATCATTACACTATGCTTCATCTTAAATGCTATTTCATTTAATTTGCTGCTTCTCAGAACTGAACCAGCATCAGAATCACCAGGAAGGCTTATTAAACATATTCCAAGACTCCATCCTTATGGGTGTTAATTCAGCAGGTCTGGGATGATGCTAGGGATCTGCATTTCTAGCAAGTGCCTAGATTTTGTGGAAGCTGCTGGTCCAAGGACCACACTTGGAGGAGCAGTCATTTCATCTTCACAGCACCCCTGCACGGAAGATGCTATTACTTCCTCATTTTAAAGAGGGGCTTAAACATCACATTATCTGCACAGTGCTTTGCACATGGTAGGTGGAAATCAGTGCATTTTGAATAAAGCAATGACATGATTTGCCCAAGATCTCATAGCTTAATGACACTGTGAATATTTAAATGTCTACTTTTATTTCAGGAAAAAAAAACTTTTAAGAACAGTCCATGGAGTCAAGGCTTTCAAATTCTCCATCTCCCACAAGATCTCGAATAGCTTCCTGACTATAATGAGCAAACAGGAATTGTGCTAAGTTAAACTGAAATTAGAACATCGCCCAAGAGTTAAGATTCAAGTAGTTAGATTAGATTAGAAAATATTTGTTGTTTTCCTCAAGTGCCTGTTTTTCCCTCATCTATCACAATTTAGTTTGTCACTACAGGTTGCTCTTGCATATATTTTAACAGACAGAAGTAATATTTTTCATTTAATCTAACCCTGGAGGCCAGATAAAATGCATAACAGTTTCTAGTTCATTCTTGTTTAACTTGAACAATATACTAATGTGATCAATATCTAGTTCCACTTTCCTCATTAGTAACAATAAAACATTGCCATCCAATTATGGTTCCTCAGAGTAACTGAAAGCATTTAAAAATGTTTCACTGTGATCACCCTCATGTGTAAAAATTAGGTAGACATTTCTGGAAAATGAAAAGAAATTAATGCACTGAGGTGGGAAGTGGAGACCCACCATTACAGGGGCTCTGAGTTCATACAACTTACAAAGTTTTAGGGCCTTCGCATCACTTGAAAGTTGAGCTGAGCTCTGATGTTCTCAATAATGGATTCATGGAAAATACAGTTTTGTGCATTGTCTATCCAAAACTGACCCCAACACCTTCCTTATCTTTCTTTGCTTGACCATTCTCCCAAGACCAAGGGCACGGAGATTGGTGCTGCCCTCACTTCCTTTCCATCACCCTCATCTTCATACCCCACCAGCTGCCATGCACTCAAGCTGCACCACCTCTGAAGCGGATGCTGTTGGTGAGCTCCCAGGTCCTAAGGACCTTTACTGGTTCTCTGTGCCTATCTCTTTGATTCTGCCTGCTGTGCTTCCATAGTTTCAACCTGAGAGCTGCCTCTGAGACTCAGCATTCTTTCCTCCCAATGCTTGAAAATACGTATCACCCTGGGTGGTCTATAGTCAATGACTGACTGGTACCGAAGGATAAAACCCCAGTTGTCTCGACTTCAAACAAAACCAAAGAAAGCTTATGTTCAGCCTCTGTCATCATCACATTCATTCCACCCACTGCCCCCTCACTCTTAGTAGAAACAAAGTCTTTGGGCCGGGCACGGTGGCTCATGCCTGTAATCCCAACACTATGGGAGAGATCCCCACCCGAGGTGGATGGATCATTTGAGGTCAGGAGTTGGAGACCAGCCTAGCCAACGTGGTGGAAACCCCATCTCTACTAAAAAATCCAATAATTAGCCGGGTATGGTGGTGCGTGCCTTTAGTCCCAACTACTTGGGAGGCTGAGGCAGGAGAATCACTTGCACCCGGAAGGCAGAGGTTGCAGTGAGCCGAGGTCGTGCCACTGCACTCCAGTTTATCTCCTCCCAAGTACTTACATGTGTCCTGTGACACAAATGATTGAAGATATGAGATGGAAAGGCCAAAAAAAAAAAAAAAAGAGGAAGCCAGGGCTGGGCATGGTGGCTTATACCTCCCAAGTAGCTGGGACTATAGGCGCCCGCCACCATGCCTGGATAATTCTTTGCATTTTTAGTAGAGATGGGGTTTCACCGTGTTAGCCAGGATGGTCTCGATCTCCTGACCTCATGATCCGCCCGCCTTGGCCTCCCAAAGTGCTGGGATTACAGTCGTGAGCCACCACACCCAGCCGGCACAGTGCTTTTAAGCATATGGTTGATCCATATGGTGGCAGTGTCATTACTTAATTTTTTTAACAGTTGAATAATATTCCATTGTGTGGATATATAACATTTAAAAAATCAGTTTATAAATTGATGGACATTTGGGTTGTTTCCACTTTTTGGCTATTGTAAATAATGGTGCAATAAACATTTATGTACAAATTTTCCTGTAGATGTATGTTTTCAATTCACTTGGGTTTATACCTAGGAGTGAAATTGTTATGTCGTATAATAACTCTATGTTTGAGTTTTGAGGAGCTGCCAAACTGTTTTTCTCAACCTGGATAATCTCGACTGGCCAATTTTCATGTTCACTGATTCTTCTGCCAGGTCAAATTTGCTGTTGAGCCTCTCCAGTCAATATTTCATTTCAATTATTGAACTTCCTCACTCATGAATTTTTTGAATTATTTCTATAATCCTGTCTCTATTTAATGAAACATGGCGTGAACCCGGAAGGTGGAGGTTGCAGTGAGCTGAGATCGTACCACTGCACACCAGCCTGGGTGACAGAGCAAGACTCTGTCTCAAAATAAATAAATAAATAAATAAAAGAAAAAAGAAAAGAAGAAAAGAAACGAGGTATTCTCCAGACTTTCCCTCCATGTGAGCAAGTGAGTTCATCTACATGCAGGGATCTGGGAGAAGAGTGTGTGAGTCACGTGATGCTGAGGGTATGGTCCAGAGGAAGCTGGTGCAGTGGTGCAGCAGGTGCAGATCTGACAAGGTTAAAGCTCCAGGAAAATGAACAGTGAGGTACAAAGAGATGGAAGAATCTTGGATTTGATTGACAATGCTTGGTGAGAAGACAGGCTACCATAGGAGGACGCTGCAGTTCCACTGAATGAGCTTCCTAAACCAGAACAAGACAATGTTGGCTCCCAGAATCTGCCAAAGAACAAGAAATGAAGTGTACAGACTTAACCTTACAGCACCTCCATGAGAACATTCCCCTCACTGGAAACTGACACTTGGCTCCTTTCTCATGCATGGATTTTTTAAAAAATATATAGATACAAAATGTTCTATTTCCATCTGCTAATTCAAATCTTTGAGTAATAAATCAACACTAAAAAATGTACACTTATTTAATTTGTGGCCGCTACAGGCAACATGAAAATATTTACAGAATGAAAAGCTGAGATTTCTCAGGAGTGCAGAATATTTGGCTCTATAAATCTAAAACTCTTCATTGAGTAGCTTGTAATTGGATATGATTGGTTAAACATTTGCCTTTAACTCTGATTTTGCTTTACTGTCAAAATTTATCTCCTCCCAAGTACTTATATGTGTCCTGTGACACAAATGATTGAAGGTATGAGATGGAAAGGCAAAAAAAAGAGGAAGCCAGAGCTGGTCATGGTGGCTTACACCTGTAATCCCAGCACTTTGGGAGGCCAAGGAGGGTGGATCACCTGAGGTCAGGAGTTCGAGACCAGCCTGGCCAATATGACAAAACCCTGTCTCTAATAAAAATATAAAAAATTAGCCAGGCATGATCGGGTGGGGGAGGTGCCTGTAATCCCAGCTACTTGGGAGGCTAAGGCATGAGAATTGCTTGAACCTGGGAGGCGGAAATTGCAGTGAACAGAGATCATGCCACTGCACTCCAGGCTGGGTGACAGAGCAAGACTCTGTCAAAAAAAAAAAAAAAAAAAAAAAAAAAAAGGAAGCCAGAAGCCAGACATAGGAGTGTTAGAGTGTTATTAACATTCCGTAGTATAGAACTTGCCCATGCGCCAAGTAGTCCGGCTCCAAAGCCTGTGTCCCTAATCATTACACTATGCAGCATCTTAAATGCCATCTCATTTAATGTGGTGCTTCTCAGACTTGAACCTGCAGCAGAACCACCAGGAGGGCTTATTAAAAAACATAAGCCCTCAGCAAAAAGCATTCTGAGTGGGTTTAGCCTATAGATGTTATGGATATGTAGATATCCCATTCACTGATTACTGGCATTCCTAGGATTCTTCATGGTATTTTCAAACTTGGGATAAATCTGTGAATTAAAAAATTATCTGACAGTTACCCCTGTTCTCCCTACAATGTCCATTGGTGCTGCTGGAAAGCACGTCTGGCTAGATAGACTGCTAGTTTTATCCATTAATGGCATTTCTTATTTTCTCAAAGCCCTTTCAGATAAAAACAAACCACCATGCAATCAGTATTTACTTATATATTTGTATAAGAACCTGTATTTTGCAAAACACATCTGTGTATATTTATTTCCTGAAATTACTTGCCTCTGTTAATCAGTGTCTTTCATGTTCTCTATCCAAATTGTAAACTCTGGGAAGAAGCCATGGCTTATATTTCTGTATCCTTTATTTAAAAACTAAAAACACTGAATAATTGAAATCTCTTCTCAAAACAAACAAACTCTGAACTGTAATTTGTGCTCCAGAGCTCCTTGTGTGACCAAGCTAAGGCTGGCACTTGCCCTGAAAGCACAGTCTTGCTTGGCCTCTCCTCCTTCCATGTCCTGCTTGCTCCACAACCTTACTGACTTCTGGGAGCAATGCTCTGATAATTAGTTGCCCGTGTAGCCTCACCTTAGGGCCCGCTTCTAGAGAACTAAACCTCAGACAGTCTCTCTTGAGTGACAGTCTCTCTTAAGTGCCCACCTTTCCATTCCCAAAGCTACTATCTTGGTTCACTCCTTATGGTATAAGCAATTCTCCTAGTCATTGTGCCCCTTCCATCTAGTGCACTGTCAGACAACCTCCTAATGCATGTCTCTGATCACACCACATCTCCAATCAAAATCCAGCAATGGTTCCTCATTTGCTGTGGAATTTAGGAAAGACTCCTTGGCCTGGAATTTAAAGCCTTCCGTACCATAACTCCAAGCTACCAATTTGTTGGTTTTTTTTTTTTTGAGACAGTCTTGCTCTGTCACCAGGCTGGAGTGCAGTGGATCTCGGCTCACTGCAACCTCCGCCTCCTGTGTTCAAGCAATTCTCCTGACTCAGCTTCCTGAGTAGCTGGGACTACAGGTGTACGCCACCACGCCCAGCTAGCTTTTGTATTTTTGGTAGAGACAGGGTTTCACCATGTTGGCCAGGATGGTCTTGATCTCTTGACTTCATCATCCACAAGCCTCAGCCTCCCAAAGTGCTGGAATTACAGACGTGAGCCACCGCTCCTGGCCCAAGCTACCAATTTTTAATCATTGCTCATAAGTTCCTAATATCACATGGAACTCAACTCTAACAAACTCCCACCCTACCTTCCCTGTTCCTCTGCTCAACACTGTTTCTTTTATCTGGAATGTCCTCCCACTTTATTTAAGCAGGAAAACCCTGCCTGTCAATCAAGTCTCTGTTCAAGTGTCTTTTCTATCATGACTACTTTATTGATTCTCCCTTTTATTAGTGTCTTATTGCTGCCATAACAAATTACTAGAAACGTAGTGACTTAAAACAACACACAATTATCTCACAATTTTGTAGTTAGAAATTCAGGCAGGCTTGGCTTGATACTCTGCTTGGGATCTCACAGAAGACAAATGGAAAAGTTGTTGCCCAGACTAGCTCTTGTCTCTTGGGGATAAATCGACTTTAAAGCCCTTTTGATTAGTTGGTAGAATTTATTTCCTTCCAGTTGTAGTACTGAGGTCCCTGAACCCTCTATCATCAAATCCAGTTGTTCTGAAGCCTCAATTCTCTTTGACTTCCTCTCTGTTTCATCTTATCTGCCTCCAGCTGAGAATGTTCTCTGTTAGATTAAGCCCACCCAGATAATTCAGCATAAGCTCCCCATCTCAAGGCCTATAGCCTTAATCACGTCTGCAAAATCTCTTTTGCCATGTCACATAACATATTCATGGGCTACATGATTTAGGATGTGGACATCTTTGAGGGGCCATTATGCCTACCATGTATCCCCCGCCATAAAGATGATCTTATTCTACTCTGAAATCCTATGGACCATCATATCTCCTTTCTAGTAATTTTATTTACATATAAAGTAGGAATAGCTCACTTGAATAGTGCTATGTGCCAGGCACTCTTTTTATATATATATATATATATATACTTTAAGTTCTAGGGTACATGTGCTCAACTTGCAAGTTTGTTACATATGTATACATGTGCCATGTTGGTTTGCTGCACCCATTAATTAGTCATTTACATTAGGTATTTCTCCTAATGCTATCCCTCCCCCAGCCCCCCACGCCTGACATGCCCTGGTGTGTGATGTTCCCTGCCCTGTGTCCAAGTGTTCTCATTGTTCAATTCCCACCTATGAGTGAGAACATGCAGTGTCTGGTTTTTTGTCCTTGCGATAGTTTGCTCAGAATGATGGTTTCCAGCTTCATCCATGTCCCTTCAAAGGACATGAATGCATCTTTTTTATGGCTGCATAGTATTCCATGGTATATATGGTGCCAGGCACTCTTTTAAGCATTTTACATATACTGCCTCACTTAATCTTCATAACAATCCTATGTGGTCAGAGTTAGTACTGTTACTATCTCCATTTTATGGATGAGAAAACTGCAACAGAAAGTTTTGTGTCTTATATGTTAATAAATGGTAGAGCCAGGTATGGTAAAGATGATGTCATGTTTAACTAAATTGTTTAATTTTCCTTCCAGTTGCCACAGGAAGATTTTATTTCCAGCTGCCCTTCATCAGTCACGTGACTGATTCTGGCCAATGGAATGTGGCCAGAAGTGATGAAGGTCACTTATCTGGCCTAATCACTGCTTTCTGAAGCATGGTTTTTTATTCACTCTCTCTCTTTCTCCCTCTTTCTCTCTCTCTCTCTAGAAGCAAATGGCCCCGAGATGGCAAAGCCATACCATGAAAAGCGACTGGACCTCTGAGTCACCTCTTTGAGCAGAGAGAGCCAGAAGATCCTCTTCACTCACACTGAACAGTGGCACGTGGGTGAAATCACACTGTGCTGAGTTTCTGGAACCTCAGGAATCTTTGGTACAGCAAAGATGATACTTTGATTAATACGCCAAACTCCAAGCTTAGAAAATCTGGATGTACAGCCTGTGTTCTTAATTGCAATGTTATTTTTTCTCTTCCTTCTTCCTTTTCTGAATAATAATACTTCTAAGATTGCTGAATAAATCCGATATTGATTGAGATAATATAAGTGTGGTAACTATAATGCGTTTGTAGCATACCTGGTATTGTGGTGACTCAGACACTTGCATTCTTAGTCTAGGAGGCTGGGGTCTAGGTGTCATTTTCGTTTCCACCTTCTGCTATACTCAGTGCATTGTTTAACATACAGGAAGTAAACACTTGCTGAATTCAACGTAGAAAATTGGAATTTTCAAATAAATTAGTTATAAAAATCTATTTCAAGAAAAGTATTCAGTGTACTAAAAGAAAAAAGGTAACCTCTTTCAAACATTAAGAACGCAACCTATTGACACTGAACGTACACACGCTGAAGGGTTCTTACCTGACTGTTGACACATGTCAGGTGGTAACTCCTTGTAACAAGTTTATTAGGAAAAAACTATGTTACATTAGAAATATCAAAATGCATTAAAGACCTGTGATAAAGTGGCTCACTTAAGGGTAGCTGTGGTTATTTTACCCCAATGTCCTCTCCAAACAGTGAAATAATGTCTCTTTCTCTAACACTCAAGGTCAAAACAGAGGGAAGCCTCTTTTTCTCTACCACGAGAACATTCAAATATAACATGTATCACTTTGGATTTTAAATCAATTTGCATATGATCTGGTAAGATTTATTTGGCAGGAAAATCAGAGGAGACAAGTAGGATTGCTGAACTAATTCCACTCAAACGTCCCTGACTTAAAACTGCAGATTCTCAGAAGGACCAAGAAATGGACATAAAACCAAAGTAACAAAAATGCAAACTGTTTATTATAATACCAAATGTCAGAATGCTGACACAGGTATATCCTGGAACTAGCCTCAAAGTAATATGATTCTAAAAGGATTCTAAAATCTCTAAAATAAAAAGAAAAACCTTTTTTTTTTTTTTTTTTCTATTTGGCCTATGCTCTCTTTCTGTTGTCCTGGAATGTAAAACTCTTTTACAATTATATTTATAAAATATGTTCTCATACAAATATTTCTATATATCTATGAATATATTTATAATTGAATGTTTATATTTATAAATGTACATGCTATAACAGATTGCCAAGTTATAAAGATTTGCATAGATGTTTGTCTATCATGATGATGATGAATGCTTTTGTCTCCAGCCTTCCGCGCTTCCCTGAGGTCTAGACCCAAATTTTCACTCTGCAGCGGACCTCTCCCAGGTATCCTGGAAAGTATATTAGATTCTAATAGTCCTAAATCAATTTCATCTTTTTCTCCCCAAAATGTACTCTCCGAAGATAGTCCTGATCTGGTTGATAGCATTGTCATCTATCAACCACCATAAGCAGCCTGATCTTAACAAGATATCTAGAAGTTGTCCTCTGTTTCTCCTTTATCCTACACTCAAATAGTTGCCAGAGCCTGTGGAATCCACCTCAAAAATATCTCTTCAAACTGTTCACTCATCCCTTCAGAAACTGCTTGTTGAGTTTTACTAGGTTGCTGTCTTGGGGTGTTTATGTGCAGATTACATGATAGTGAGAAAAGCCAGGAAAAAAAAAAACAACAACAAAAAACAAGAACAGGGAAGAAACAAAGGAAAAAAGAAAGAAGGAAGGAAAGAGGAAGAAAGGAAGAAGGAAAGAAAAGGGAGGAGAGAGGGAGGAAGAAAGGAAATTGGGAAAGGAGATGGGATTATTCAGACATATGCTATGAAGGAAATTAAACAGTGATATAATGGAATCTGAAAAGGTAAGTGGAATCTACATCAGAAAGGAAAGAGAAGACAGGCCACTCTGAACAAATGATGTCTGAACTGAGACCAGAATGATGAAAACAAACAGAAGTTAACTTCTTTAAAACATTAAGAAAGCATCCTATTGACACCAAATATACACATGCTGAAGGGATGTGTCAATAAAATAGCCATAGGATACAGAGCAGAAGAGAGTTCTAGGCAGGGGGAGAAAAGCTCAGAGGAGGACGTGGCTCAGTGAGTTCAGGGAACAGGAAAATCAGTGGGGATGGAGGACAATGGCAAAGAAAGAGAGAGGTATAGGATAACTCCAAAGAGGCAGGCAAAGCCAGTGCATGGGCAGCCTTCCATTTTATCTCTATTACCAGGGGAATCACTCAGAGAGTTTTAAGCAGGAAGCAATATGGTCTGAATTATCTTTTTTTCCAAGAATGACTCTGGCTGCTATCTGGATAATGGATGTATATGGGAAACAAGAGTGATTACAGGAGAAAGTGGGAAGCTTTTGTGGCCAACAAGCCTAGGAATGGTATTGGCTTAGACTAGAATTGCTGCAGCAGATGTCATGAACCATTGTCAGATTTGGCACATTCTTGTACAGAAAGCTGACAGTACCTGCTAATGCAATCATGTGTGGGGAGGAGGGAGAGCACATGGAGGGTGTTGAAAGAGAAAAAGAAGGATCAAAGATGGCTTCTTCGTTTGGGGCTGGAGTGAATGTTCTCTCCCATCACCTGCTTTGGTTAAGGTTCTTTATGACTCTATCCTGGACAAAATCCCATTAGTGTCCTGGTTTCCACTTCTTTCAGTCTCCTATTCTCCCTACCTACTCCTTGTTCAAAACTGTCCTCCTGATTTTCCTGTAAGTCTCAGAATCATCTCCCTGGAAAACTAGATCTGTCAAGCTCTAGTTAGGAAAAAAGAATCTACACTAAGTATTGTCAGAGAGGATTTAATAAAGGAAACTTTTGTAACCAGATTAGAAAGCAGAAAGAGCACAACGGGGGCACTGAGCTAAAACCAGATATTAGCAGTTTCAAGGTTATTGCCAATTCTAAGGTTGAGGTAATTCAGAGAATATCTGAAGAATGCAGTTACTACTCTGAAGGCTGAGATAAACACAGGGAAAAGTGAGGAGCTCATTACCCTGGAACTTGAAGAGGCTCCTAAATTTCATTGATTCCGGCCTTGTTGTTTCTTAACCCATCAGTTTTTTTAGAACCGAGTCACCTTTGCACATGTCATTTACTCTATTTGCAATTTCACTTCCCTTGCCCAGGAAACAGCTCTGAAAAGCCACCCTCAATTTCTCAAAGCAAAGTAAATCACACCCTCTTCTCTGACAGCTTTGTACTTCCATAGCTGTATGTCAACATGCATCATATTGGATTGTCATGTATCTATTTATGGAGCTTTCTTACCCAGAGGTCCATGATTTCTTGCAGATAAGAATTATGTCTTGACAACTTCTCAGTGCTCTTCTGGAGATGTTTGTTGAATCAATAAACATCAATCATCTCTGCTGCATATGGCACCTCACCTTCAACAGGCTACCCTGGGCATAGTGACTGAGCAGGTCCCAAGACCACCTGAAGGCTATGCTTAGACTCATTCACCATCATTTCTGTTGCAATCAGTTGGCCAACACAAATCACAAGGCCAGACAAAACTCAGTAATATCCACCAGCAAACTACAGGATTTGTGTTGATATTTATACAACTTTTTGAGGTTCAAATTGAAGTACAAGATTAAATACTACTCACCTCAAAATTTATACAAAACAGATGCACAGTAAATGGTGGCCATTTTACATGTAAGACACTTTTATTAGTCAGTTTTTGTGCCATTAAAGAAAAACACTCCTAAACTTAGTGATTAGCCCAGCATTCTATGGATTGACAATTTTGGCTGGGCTCAGCAGGGTGGTGTTTCTTCTGGTCTCACCCTCCTCACTCATGCATCTCTAATCAGCTGTGGGTGGGTCGGGGCTGGCTAGTCTGGGGTAGCCCATCTCTGCTCCATGTGGCACCTCACCTTCAACAGGCTAGCCTGGGCATAGTGACTGGACAGGTGTCAAGACCACTTGAAGGTTATGCTTAGACTATTTCACCATCATTTCTGTTGCAATCTTTTGGAGAACACAAATCACAAGGCCAGACAAAACTCAAAAGGTGGGGAAATAGATTATATCTTTTGATTGGAGGAGATTCAGTCCTGATGATGGTGTGCCAGTTTCAAGCCTTAGCTTCAAGAAGATGTACACATATCTGCTTTCTCACCCTTGAAACTTTGCTGCCACCATAACTGAAAGTCTGCGCTAACCTGTGAGGAGATGAGTGACCACATGGAAGAGAGTCCAGTTATCACAGCTGAGATCATCCCAGACTAGTCTACAGCCTGCCAACCCTTAAACATGAAGGAGAATTCAGCAAAGACCAGCAGAGCTGCTGCGTCACCCATGGCTAACCCCAGACACGTCAGTGAGCTGAGCCAAGAACAGAAGAGTAATAATAAATTCACTGAGTCTGGGGGTGGTTTGTTATGTGTCAATAACTAACTGATAGAATGAGTTTATTATCATCCTGCTGTAATACTAATCTCTATCTTGACCCAAAGCAATTTTTGAGGGTTTTTTTTTTCATTTATTGTTGAAGATGTTTCCTTGAGTGACTTCTCATTTGTACATGTTTTCTTTCTTCTTCTTCTTCTTTTTTTTCTTTTTTTTTGAGACAGGGTCTCACTCTGTTGCCCAGGCTGGAGTGCAGTGGTGTAATCTTGGCTCACTGCAACTTCCATCTCCCAGGTTCAAGAGATTCTCCTGCCTCAGCCTCCCAAGTAGCTGGGATTATAGGCACCCACCACCATGCCTGGCCAGTTTTTGTGTTTTAGTAGAGGTGGGGTTTTGCCATGCTGGCCAGGCTGGTCTTGAACTCCTGACTTCAAGTGATCTGCCTTCCTCGGCCTCTCAAAGTGCTGGGATTACAGGCGTGAGCCATGGTGTCCAGCCAGTTTCTTTCTTTCTTTCTCAGTCTTCCAATATCCAGTGGTAAATTTTTGCATTCATGACCGGGACCATAAATACATACGGCCAATGGCCAGGGTCAGTTATGTTACCTGTCTTCAACAGAGTGAGTGGATAGAGCACAGCCTCCACAATCAGACAAATCCAGGTTTAATCCTGGTTCTGACACTGACAGCCAATGTATCTTTGGGCAAATTTTTAAATCCTTCTGATTTTTGGTTTCCTTATCTGTAAGATGAAGATAATGATGCAAACCTATGAACCCCACATAATGCTGTCCTGGTTGTGTACTGTATAATTCCAAATTCCACCAACGGTTGTTCTTCAGTATATAACCTGCATGGCTGGTCATGGTAGTTTGGGGTTGTGGTAATGGTAGTTAGGTTGTTTGGGTAAATATGAGATGGCGTGTACACAATAGGTACTTAATAATAGTAGTTCTTCTTACCTCCATCTACAAACTTCCAAACAGAATGTTAAAACCTGCAACAACTGACACTCCAGGCTCTAACCCAGGGGTTGGCAAATTATGGCTTATGCATCAAATCTGGCCCAGAGTCTGTTCTTGTAAATATAGTTTTGTTGGAACACAGCCATACCCATTGTCGCTGGCTGCCACTCCTCCAGTGGCAGGGCTGAGTCATATAGAGCCCATTTAGGTCCACAAAGTCCAAAATATTTATGAATATTTACAGAAAATGTTTGCAGACTCAGTTCTAATGTCCTGTGCCTTAAACTTTTACTGTATGTAAGAATCACCTGGAGAGCTTGTTTAAAATGCAGATTCTAGGGCCTTGCCTAGCAGAGATTCTGAATCAGTACATCTGGGTGAGGCCTGAGATTCTGATTTACAACAAGCACCCAAGTAAAGCTGACATTGTGGGTTTAGGGACCACACTTTAACTAGCACTGTTTTTAACCATCTGAAGTAACTTAATTACATTAAATCCTTATTTTTTAAATGGTAAGGTATTAATCAATTAAAAACCCATACAAACACACTGCACTCACTTTGTGAAAAAGCTTAAAGTTGTGCTACAGGAATTGACTAAATAATGACTGCAGGTCATTTTAAGTACTATGTGCCTCATAGATAATTCATGTTTATTCATAGGAGGAAAAAGTTAATCTAGGCCAAGTACAGTAACCACCAGCCAACATGAGAAATCAAAACACAAAAACAAAATAAAGACTGTATATTAGACTTTAATTATTAGCCTGTGTACGAAATGAAAAATCCATCTCAAGGTTTTCTTAAATTACAAGGTTTTGCTTCTCCTAATTGTGCCATTTGTCTTATTCCCTCTAAAATATCTAATAGTGGTATACTCAGTGGCAACCACATACTCCACGGCTCAGAATAATTTATATTTTCCCCACTAATAACAGATTGCAGATGCTCTCTTGACAGTCTTTAAGATTTCAGACCGATTGCTAACCAGCTGCTTATGTAAGACATACTAGGTCAGATTGGTTGCGATCCAATTAATATTTTAAAATCATCCTACAATGAGCTTCTAGAAATTATTATAATTAAGCTGGTTGTTATGCGCTTGCCCTTCCTTGGTCCCTAATTTAATTTCCTTCGGTGATTTCTTTCTTCTACCTATCTTTCTACTTCCATGCTTAAAATAAAAAGAGCAAATCACTTCCTTCTAAAATCGTATTCATATACCCTCATTTTATCTTGATTATTTAGATCATCTTCCTTTTATTAGTAGAAAAATTACATGAATACTATTTTAGGTCTATTTTAAATATGGAATAAGCCTCCGAGAGCAAGAAACTCTTAAAAGACTATGGGAGAGTTAACAGTTACATCTATGTCTGGTCCAAAGATATAAAGTTAAAAGAAAATGCTAGCTTCTGTAATATGGGACCTGAGAGGGGAGGTGTGGAACAAAAACCTCACACACTCCATGTGTAGATTCAAAGATTTATGAGCTGTTACAAGTAAACACACACCCATACACTCTAATGGAATTGTCTTTAGATCTCATAATGTGCTCCCGAAATAAATCCCTTATGTCAACTGGGGTGTTAGAATGAAGAAAAGAGAAATCTGGCTTACATCCAGGTTCTACCTTTCTCTCTCTCTTTTTTTTTTCTTATTTTCTCCCTCCTTTCTCTAGGCTCCCTGTTTTCCTTTCTTCCTCCCTTTCTTCTTTCCTTCCTTCTATGAAAGTTGATCAGATGAAATCGGGTCATTCTTGTC
Source organism: Homo sapiens (assembly GCF_000001405.40). Classification (NCBI taxonomy): domain Eukaryota; kingdom Metazoa; phylum Chordata; class Mammalia; order Primates; family Hominidae; genus Homo; species Homo sapiens. Next base: position 11,849,651 of record NC_000020.11, read on the forward strand.
ACGGTCATCTAAAGCAGAGTCAAGAGGCCAGTGAGGAAAAGCACTCCGGGAACATAACATTGCTCTAAGACTGTAATTCTGTGCAATCTTGGCTGCTAAAACTGCCTACTGTAACCTGAAACCAGTTTTATCTAATGGCTTCTGAAACAAGGGGGTGCAACACAAAGTCTAGTTTTACCCACCAGAGTCACTCACCAGTCAGAGCTTCCCAGCTCCCCACAAATTTTACCAGTGCTAATGAACTTTCTGAAAGAGGCGTATGTAGTGATTCTCCTTTTTATAATATAACATTTCCAACCTCCTCTTTGTTCTGCAGACACACCAAAGACCACCAACCAGGTCTGTGTATATGACCTGAATTTCAATTCTTTCTTTCCAAATAAAACATTAAATCTAGAAATTCACTTGTATTAAATACATATTTTATTTTGCCTTTGATCCTCTCTTCCTTCCTTCCTTTCTCCCTCTTTTTTCCTTCCTTCCTCCCTCCTTCCCTCTCTCCCTCCCTCCCTTTCTCCTTCCTTCTTTCCTTCCTTCCTTCCTTCTTTCCTTCCTTACTTTCTTTCTTTTGCTACAGCTAACTCGTTGGATTTTTGAGGATTAAATCAATTAAATTTAATAAAATGTCACGGTAAATGCTTGATAAGTATTATTATTATTATTACCTTGGTGACTATAAAACAGAATGCTGTTCATTAATCCTTTTGTCCTTGGCATCTGCTATGGTCTGAATGTTTCTGCCCCCGCCAAATTCATATGTTGAAATCCTAATCCCCAAGGTGACTAAATGAGGGGGTGGGGCCTTTGGGGAAGTGATTAGACCACAGGGAAGAGTCCTCATGATATGATTCATGCCCTTATAAAAGAGGCCCAAGAGAGCTCGTTCGCCCCTCCTGCCAAGTGAGGACACAACAAGAAGTTGGAACCTGACCATGCTGACACCTTGATCTTGGACTTCCCAGCTTCCAGGACTGTGAGAAATACATTTCCACTATTTATAAGCCACTCCTCCATTTATGGTATTTTGCTACAGCAGCCTAAGGGACTAAGCATTTATCTGACCATTATGTAGAACCCAATTCTTATTGACTATAATCTCTCTGTCCTGGACATCTACATTTATATTCTTTTCATAATGCAAATAGAGTTTGGTTTGATGTATGATCCAGCTTTTTGGAATCATCTCCCAAATAAATATTTGCCTTTGAATCCTTGTCTCAAGGTCTACTTTTGGGAGCTCTCAGACTAAGATATATATTTAATGTTGAGAATGTTAAATTGAAGGAAACATGGATAAACCTAAAATTCATAGCAGACCAGACTGCCTAGGAAATAGAAGAGAATCTAGTGGAATGAAACAAACGTTAATTAACTCTGAGAAGCAGGGCTTGAAGGCAAGAATGGGCTTGTTCAATAGGTCTCCTTGGGCAGGGAAAAGTGGGGGTGGTGTCCATCTTGATCTTACTCATGGTTCTGAAATGTAAATTAGCCACCAGAGGTCACAGTGAGTGAAAATGTCATCAGGACGTTTCTTAGAGTACTCGTGGTACTATTTTCCAGTTTAAAAGAACAAAATAACAACAGCAAAAAAAGCAGAGGATGTGAATAGGAAACTCACAAAAGCAAAATGAGACGAATTAATTTATAGAAGTTACGAAAAATACATAAACTTATTATAAATTTAAATGCCTTTAAAAACAAATGCCCAGTTCTCTTACTGGGACTATTGAAAATTACAAAATCAGACTGACCCTCATACTGAAAACAATGTAAAATGCTAGCTAAAATATGAATAACATATTTTTAGATGCATGCTGACTTAATAAGTAAGTGCGGACTTTTCAGGGGCCAAACACCAATTGAAAATAGTACATCGGACAGGCCAGCAGACAGTCAAGGCCAACTTCAGGCTAAGGACATTTGACAAGTCCAAGGAAATTTGAGATTTGGTGGTTCTCAAAATCTAGTTGGGGGATGGAGCTGACTGGGATCAGGAGACAAAGCCAGAGCTTACACACATACAATGCGATCCACACAGGGCTATGCCCAGAGCAAAGATAAATGGTGGGGAGGTGGGAAGCTGCCTTTACTGCCTATCCTCCACAAATTCCCCAATGCTTCACACCACATGGATCAGTAAGAAAAGTGGATAATCTGAGACCTTAGCATTGGGTGAGTCACAGCTTGTTCCTTTCATAAGTCTGCAACCTAATTACTATTACCTGTATGGTCTGAAAAGCCTCAAGCTAAGAACTTGGCTTAAGGCTGCATTTTTGGGGTTAGATTAGCTTTACTAAATAAACCCTGGAGGCCAGGAGTTTGAGACCAGACTGAGCAACATAGTGAGAACCTATCTCTAAAAACAAACAAACAAACAGCCAGATGCAGTGGTATACTCCTGTAGTCCCAGCTACTTGGGATGCTGAAGCAGGAATATTGCTTGAGCCCCAAAATTTGAGGTTGCAGCAATCTATGATTGGGCCACTGCACTCCAGCCTGGGTCACAGAGTGAGACCTTGTCTCTACAAAAAATATTAATTAAAAAAAGCCCTGAAATATCAGTGGCTTAACACAATGCACATTTATTTATCGCTTTCACCACATTCAACGCCACAGGTTGGAAACTGGAGGTGGGGAGTCCCCCCTATCTTCATTATATGGCTCATAAGGCTTCCCTGAGCATCTACATCTACCTGTCAGTCAGGGGAAAAAGGAGTGTGTGGAGATGTCAGAGGTAATGTGGTAGAGTGTTAAAAATGGCCCCTGGTGAATCATGTCTCCCTGTCCCCATGACTCCTTGCAATATGACTTTGAAGAGGTGGAGTCTACTTTCCTATGCCTTGAATCTGGATTGAACTTATGACTATCATGGGCCAATAGAATGTGGTGGAAGCAACATTACAGAACTTCTCTCTCAAGCCTTAAGTGGACTGGCAGCATCTACATTTTCCCTGTTGGGCTCAACCACCATGTTGTAAGGATGTCCAGGCAAACCTGCTGGAGAAAGAGGCCAGGTAGAGGCCAGAGGTATGGGTCATCACATAGAGAGACAGGTCACAAAGAGGGGAATAATAGCATCCCAGCTCACAGTGAGCACCAAAGATCCCATATATGGTAGAGATTATCTTGGGCTTTCCAGCCCCTGCCAGCTTATACCATAATGCAGTCATGTGAGGAGCCCAGACAGGACCAGCAAAGTCTGGCTCAGTCAACTGACTGTTGAAATAAATAAACCTATTGTTATTTTAGGGCACCAGGTCTTGGGGATTGTTTGTGACACAGCAAAAGGGAACTGAAATGGGTGGTGTTCATTTGGTAGTATGGATTTTATATTCCATGTTTGGAAGTGGGTCATCACTCCATTCCACTCATATTTCATTGATGAGAACTCAGGCACAAGGCCACACCCAACCCCAAGAGAGGCTGGGAAATGTAGTCTAGCTATGCATCCAGGATGAAGAAGGAAATGTTTTGGTGGACACCTATTTCTACTAAAGAAGTGTTCCTCGTTTGTTAGTTCCTACACTCTAAGAATAGGCAGAAACAGATAGTGTCTGAGGGAATTTACCATACTCCAGACTTCAAAGAATTATCATAAAGCTCAAAATAAAGAAGAAGAGGGAGACATAACTCTAACTATTATAGCTATTTCAAAAGAACATAGGAGGATGTTATCCCCCTAAAATTCAAAATAAGCCTATTCCCATGAAGATGATGTATCAACACTGACTCAACAGTAATAGGAAATCTGAGTGGCCTTATAGCCATCAAAGATAAGGAATCAGCACTTTAAAGCTTCTCTGCAACAAGAATATCAGATCCTAACAGATTTGTGGACAAGTTCTAACAAACATTAGGATAATTCAATATTATTCATACTGTTCTAGAGAATAGCAAAAGAAAGAATATTTCCCAACAGTTTATGAGGTTAGCATAGTCATGACACAAGAACCAAACAAGATTTAGGGAATGGAAATTTACAGAAAATTCTTACCCATGAACATAAGTATACAATCCTGAAAGAAAAATTCCAAAAATTGAATTGAGCAATATACAAAAAGGGTGTATCACAACCAATTTATATTTGTCCCAAGAATGTGATGCTGGTTTAAAAAGTTATATATATACACATAATATATATGTAACTTTTAATATATTAAATATATAAATTTATTACATATAAATAATAAAATTTACTGTATTCTGTATTAACAAGTTAAGAGTCTGGTTTCCAGTCTAACATGTAAGGAACTTGGAAGTCATCACTCTGTCCTAACAATACATAACAAGTTAAACTAAAATCAATTAGTTCTATCAGAGAATTTAGGTCACAGGGTAAACTGCTGCCCTAAAAATTGGACAGACAGACAGTTGGATACAGAGAATCAAAATTTAATAAAGCAGAGATTCACAGGTTAAAAACTCTCTGTGAGGACCAGTATTGGAGCAAGAAAATCTGAACTGTAAGTGATGAATTTTTGGAGGCTCATTGTGGACAAGCTGAGAGTTTAAAACTCTGAGGGGGCCTAATTTTGGGGGACATCCATACTTTTGTGAGTTTTACCTCAAGTAACTCTACTAGGTTCTCATAGTAATGCTTAAAGTTCCCTCTGCTTGGGCCAGGCGTGGTGGCTCACGCCTGTAATCCTAGCACTTTGGGAGGCTGAGGCGGGCGGATCAGGAGGTCAGGAGATCAAGACTATCCTGGCCAACAGGGTGAAACCCCGTCTCTACTAAAAATACAAAAATTAGCTGGGTGTGGGCCGGGCGCGGTGGCGCGGTGGCTCATGCCTGTAATCCCAGCACTTTGGAAGGCGGAGGCGGGTGGATCACGAGGTCAGGAGATCGAGACCATCCTGGCTAACATGGTGAAACCCCGTCTCTACTAAAAATACAAAAAATTAGCCAGGCGTGGTGGCGGGCGCCTGCAGCCCCAGCTACTCGGGAGGCTGAGGCAGGAGAATGGCGTGAATCCGGGAGGTGGAGCTTGCAGTGAGCCGAGATCGCGCCACTGCGCTCCAGCCTGGGCGACAGAGTGAGACTCTGTCTCAAAAGTAAATAAATAAATAAATAAATACATTTTAGTTGGGTGTGGTGGCACGTGCCTGTAATCACAGTTACTAGGGAGGCTGAGGCAGAAGAATTGCTTGAACCTGGGAGGCGGAGGTTGCGGTGAGCCTAGATCATGCCACCACACTCCAGCCTGGCAACAGAGTGAGACTCCGTATCAAAAAAAAAAAAAAGGTTTCCTCTGCTTTTAACATGGGGATGGGAAAAATAGCCATTTTGAAATAGATCGCTCTATTCTTAACAAGGTCTGCCCTCAAGATAAACTATTTTACCAAAGCCAAACCTATGGTGGTTTTACCAAAACCAAACTTATCTGAGAGAAGGAAAAAATCTAACTCCAGTCCCCTCTAGCCATCCTGTCCCAGCTAACTAGGGGAAAAAGTGAGAAGCACTTTTGGGTTCACACTCCAGGGCACAGGCTTAAAGCAGGCTGAGACCTAATCATGGGACTATAGAACCTTCTACCCTTCTCCTCTCCCCAAACTTTACCACACATCACCAAACACCTATTTACGGTGGTTCCTTTTACCAAAAACATCATGTCTGGCTATCAAGAAAAAATTACAAGGCACACTAAAAGGTAAAAACCATAGTTTGAAGAGCCAGAACAAGCACTGAAACGAGAGTCAGCTATGGCAGGGATGTTGGAATTATTAGATCAGCAATTTTAAACAACTGTGATGAGTATGCTGAGAGCTCTAATGGAAGTAGACAGCATGCAAAAACAGAGGAGTAATGTAAGCAGAGAGTTGGAAATTCTAAGAAAGAGTAAAATGGGAATGGGGAAGATCAAAAATACTATAACAGGAATGAAGAATGACTTAATAGGCTCATTGGTAGACTGGATATGACTGAGGAAAGAATTTCCAAGCTTGATGATATGTCAATATAAACATCCAAAACTGAAAAGCAAAGAAAAAAATACCAAAAAAAGAGGACTAGAATATCCAAGAACCCTGAAGCAACTACAAAAATTATAACAAATGTGTAATGGGAATAGCAGAAGGAGAATAAAGAGAGAAAGAAATAAAAGAAATATTTAAAGCAATAATGCCTAAGAATTTTCTTCAAATTAAAGTCAGACATGAAACCACAGATTCAGGATGCTCAGAGAACACCAAGAAGGAAAAATGCCCAAAACCACAGTTAGGCATATCATATTTAACCTGCAGAAAATCAAAGATAAAGAAGAAAACCTTTAAAGAAGCCAGAGGGGAAAAAAACTTATCTATAGAGGAGCAAAGAGAAAAATAACATCTGATTTATCAGAAACCATGCAAATAAGGAGAAATAAATGGACAAAACATTTAAGTACTGAGATAAAAAAAAAAAGCCCACCAACCTAGAATTCTGTATCCTGCGAAATTGATCATCAAAATTTAAGGAGAAACAGAGACACTCTCAAACAAGTAAAATGAGAGAATCTGTGGCCAGTAGGCCTCCCTTGCAAGAAATGTTAAAAAAAAAAAAAAAAAAAAAAGGTGGCCAGGTGTGGTGGCTCATGTCTGTAATCCCAGCACTTTGAGAGGCTGAGGCGGATGGATCACCCGAGGTCAGGAGTTCAAGACCGTCCTGGCCAACATGGTGAAACCCCGTCTCAACTAAAAATACAAAAATCAGCTGGGCATGGTAGCGTGTGCCTGTAATCCCAGCTACTCGGGAGGCTAGGGCAGGAGAATCGCTTGAACCCTGGAGGCAGAGGTTGCAGTGAGCCAGGATTGCACCACTGCACTCCAGCCTGGGCGACAGAGCGAGACTCCGTCTCAAAACAAAACAAAACAAAACAAAACAAACAAACAAAGTTTCCTCAGAGACCGGGAAAATGATATGGGTCAGAAAGAAAGAGCATTAGAGAAGGTATAAGTAAGGGTAGAAAGAAAGATTATAACAAAAAAAAATTAAATCACCTCAATACATATACGTATAGAAAGGATGATACATGAAATTAAGCTTACATTCACTACCTTTATTTGAAAAAACTCTTGAGCAAATTAGGAATAGAAAGAAATTATGCTAATTTGATAACAAAAAGAAAGAAAGAAAGAAAAAGAAAGAAAGAACTACAACAGCATCTAATTTTATGTGCAGATTTTAAAGAGTTTCAGAACAGGAAAAAAAAAATAAGCCTGCTATTCCACCTCTATTCAATATTACCTAGTGAAGTAAAGTAAGAAAGAGCGCTATAAAGCATAAAAATTGGAAGGAAAGAAATAGAGCTGTCATAATTCAGAGCTAATATGATTGCCTGCAGAAATTTCCCCAAAATCTATAGGCATATTATTAGAATGAATAACAGAGTTTAGCCAATTTGCTGGAACAAAATCAATATGGAAAATTTAATTGTATTTCTATAATCCCTAAATATTGTAGTATATAGAAAACATTATGTCAAAAATATTTAAAGTAAAAGGCAGTACTAGCTTGTGACTTTCTGTGAAAACAGCTAGATAGATTATGGAGTCAATTTGAATCTATAGATCTATTTAGGCAGAATTGACATCTTAACAGTATTGAGTCCTCTGATCCTTAAAAATGGTATATCTATTTTCTTATTTAAGTCTCCTATAATTTTCCTCAGCAGTGTTTTGGAGGTTTCATTATACAAGTTTTAAGTATTTCATATTGTTATATATTATACATGGTAGATTTTTCCATTATATTTTCCAGTTATTTCTAGTAGTTTTAATCCTACTATGTTATTGCAGAAGTGATATTATACATCAGTAGAGATAGATCAGCACTTAACAGTTATCCTTATTAAAAAAAAAAGAAATTGAATCCTTTACTACACACACACACACACACATACACACAACACACAAAAACACACACAAAATCCTCAATGGACTAAAAATTTGAGTGAAAGGCAAAACAGTTCTCAGAGACAGCCCAGAAACCTTTACTTACTACATTGGGATAAGGGAGGGTTTCTTAATTAAGACATGGAAAGTGCAATCATTGAAGAAAATGATTTTTTTGTTTTGTTTTGAAACGGAGTCTCACTCTGTTGCCCAGGCTGGAGTGCAGTAGAACGATCTCGGCTCACTGCAAGCTCCGCCTCCCAGGTTCACGCCATTCTCCTGCCTCAGCCTCCCGAAGAAAGTGATTTTTATGTCCATCATAGAGAAGTGTACAGAATAGGGGTTAGTATATCATACTCTAGAGAGTAATGGCTCATCTTTGAATCCTGGTTCTGTCACTTACCACCAAAAACTTGGGCTATTTTTATGCTCTCTGCCTCTGTTCCCTCAAAAGTAAAGTGGGGTTGATAATAGTATCCATAACATCAAGTTGAGATGAGAATTAATGAGTTACTATAGGATAGTAAGTGTTATATATAATAATGTAAATGTGTATACAATAAACATTTTTTAAGACAGAAACGAGAGTGAAAAGTCAAGCTAAAAACTGTAAGGTATTTGCAACACATAAAACTGACCCAAAATATTAGAATATCTGTCTATCTATATTCATTCATCTATCCATTCATTTATTCATCCACTCATCCAACTATTCATCCATCTATTCTCTTCCTGCAACTCAAAATGAAAAGGCAGTGAGCAAGAGACATAACAGGCATTTCCCACAGAAGGAAACAAGACTTTTCGAGAAAAATTTGTCATTGTTTAAGGAAGTTAAAGGTGACCCAACAATGTCACTCTTAGGAATATACCCTGGGAGAAACCATTACAGCTTTGCCTCAAGAGATTTATGCAAGAATGTTTATAACATTGCAAACACACACACACACACACACACACACACACACACACAGACACACACACACACAAAACAGACAAAAATTTCTGGTAAAAGTAGATTGGATAAATAAGTTGCATAATTCGGCTTTTAGTAAAAATGAGCAATTGAATATATCAACCTGGATGACCCTCAAAAACATGATATTAAGCCAAAAAAAGTAAGTCACAGAAAAATACAGGTAGTTTTATTCCGTTGATATAAAGTTTAAAACATTCAATATGAAGCAACAGGCTGTTTAGGCATAAAAATATATGTGATAAATGAAAAACAAAGGAGAATGATAAAACAGGGCATTTAAGCTGATTACCTCTGAGGGGACTGGTAGGGATGGGATTAGAACAAGACATGAGGCATGGGGCACTACATTTCCAATAGAAATGTTCTGCCTATCAAATCTGGCAGTCCAAAAGTCAGACTATAAAGTGCCACAGAAGTATCAGCCATAACAATTATAAAAATTTTAGTTATAGCTATTTGTTATAAGACAGTGATTTTCAGATTGTTCAAGAATAAAATTTAGGAGAGAACTTTATGACAACAAATAAAAAAAGAAGTTATAGAGTTAAATTTAAAATTTTAATTAAAAAATAAGAAAACAACAAAACAAAATTCAGCTATATGGAGAAGTGTATTTCATGAAAATACAAACAACACATAAACAACAAGCAAATAAAGAATAGCAGTATAAGCACTAGCCAAAATAAAATTTGAGACAGAAAGGTTTAATTTGAGCCAAAGGGTTCATTTTATTTTCCAAATTATTTTTAAAAACACATTGAAAATAGTATAGTCCTGACTCTAACAATTAACAATCTAAAAATGCATAGTTGTTTTTTATTATTCACGAAGTCAATAATTGTGTTTGTCTACTTGCTAAAATGTATTTGCAACCCCTAAAATCAATACTTGTACATTTTCAGTCATTCACTGACAAGTACAGAGCAGCAAAAAATGTGCAAGTTTTTGCTGTGGTCAAACTAAGCAATGCTCTACCTTCTTATTTCAGTTCTCATACTCTAAACAAGTGTCTTTTTTGTGGTCTATTTAGCACCTTTTTTTACATTTCTGTGCTTTTTTCTTATTGATTAACTGTTTAAAGTGGCCCCCAAGATTAGTGTCTCATGCTTCTAAGCTCAAGAAAGCTTGAATGTGCCCTACGGAGAAACTATGTGTGTAAGATAAGCTTTGTTAAGGCATGAGTTATAGTGCCATTGGCCATTCAATATTAATGAATCAAAATACATATATATATATATATAAGATAAGATGTCTTTAAGCAGAAGCATATGTAAAACACAATTGCATATTGGTTAGTTGATGAAAATATGACCAGTAGCTTGCAGGAACTTAATACAACATTTCCCCTAGGAGCAATGTTTCAGTGTTTGCTAATTGTGTTTGCACCATATTAATGGTGCATAACTACCTTAAATAGGGAGAATCAACTGTGTAAAGCACAAATCACAATCATAGTAGGAAAATTTAACATGTCTCTGAGAATCAAAAAATCAGTTAAATAAAATTTAATTGAAATACAGAGGGTCTGAATAATATAGACAATAAACTTGTTTTGGCTTTTGGTGTTCCTCTCCGCCCGAAGGAAGTTCTGCAGTTATCTCACATAGGTGAACTCTCCAACACCGCAGACAGCTGGATCCTTACCTCTTTACCATCAATGTCTTTTCTCTAGTCCAACTTAGTCACCCACTCCACTGGTCACATCTTAAATATTGTCATCATCAGAAACTGCACTATTTCTGAAATCGTAATTTTAAACATCTTAATCTCTGTGTACCATCTTTGCTCTACCTCACTCACAAACTCATAAACCCCCACTGCTACAATTCCTTAACTCTTCAGAGACTGCCAAAATATGGACCCCATAACTTTTTTATTCTCTCCTGTCCAACTCTATGTCCACGACTTCTCAATGTAATCACTCCCTTGCCAGTATCCCCAGATCTCTTTTCCTCTCCTGGTTTCCCTCTAACAAATGATCTCTCTTCAAAGCTCTAATTGGCCAGCAGCCTGTAGTTTTTTAGGACTCCACCAGAGTGTCAGTTCTTCTAGACAGCCTTTCCAGATAACCCTATACAAATTGAGTGCAGCTTGGTCTCTGCGTTTATTCCTTTCTTCTTTCAAAACACTTATAGAGGCTTGTAAATATTTTAGTAGACATTTGCTTTTTCCTCCTGTCTTTTAGACTACAACATAAGTTCCATGAGTACAGAAATCCTGTCTTGTTCTCCCTTCATTCCCAGTACCTAATATAAAACCTTGCATATATTAGAAGCTCAAAGGAATGGTTATCTAAATTTTTACCCTATAAAGAAAATACATTATTTTTAAATGTCTATCAGTGTAATGGCTACAAAGTTTAATTGCATATATAGATATCAATATAACCTTAATTAATTCTATCATGTGGGAATTGTGCGACCTACATGCTTTCACCATACCATAATAAAACTAAAAATACAATAAGGATAAAATAACCATAGCTAAATCTAACTAACTGGAAATCCAAAAACCTTGTTTTTAATAATTCTTGGAGAGGAGACAAAAGAAAAGATTAAAGAGTACAATTAAAAACATTTTATAAATTAAAGAACATTATGTATCAAAATCAACTGCATAAGTCTAAAATTGTCCTCAGAAAAAAGTATAGTCTAAAATGCTTTCTATTATTAAGCAAGAAAAATTAAAATAAATTAATTAGGTATTCAAGAAAAGAAGCTGAGGGTAAAAAGCACTAAAATGAACACAAAGTTAATTAGAGTTGAACTAATCAAGATAAAAACAATATTGGAGATAAAAAGGAAAAAGAGAAAATTATTCAAACACACTAATTCAGCCGATAATCTGTTGTCAACTGCACAAAAGGAAATAAAACATAAACAGGTATTAGAAATAAAATCTGGCATCTAAACAAAGGGAGGAAAATAAATTTAATTGCAGGAGAGTCTTTTTTAGCTAACATTTCCTCTTTGCTTTTTCTAGACATGTCTAAGAGCCAAGCTAAGCAGGAAAGTTTCATGACAGTTCACACAATGGTTTTCCTATATAGGCAAAGATGTCAACTTTAAAACGGCCTCAACAATGCCTGAAAAATCCTGCCAAGTTTCTCTGTCTGGTCCTCAATGACAAGGCTTCTACATTTTCCCACTGGGCCTTCCCAACTCCCTGCCAACTTCCTCCTATCAATAGCCTGACCTTCAACTTCTCAGAGAAAAGTGCAGCGACATTACCTTTTAATGTGTAAGCCCTTTAAGATCTTATACTCTGTTATTCACAGAGGCATCTCAAGTACCTCAGACAGTGCCTGGCTCAAAGTTACTACTGAAAATACATTCGAGGAGTGAAGGGATATCAGATCTGCACCCATCTGCATTCATTCCCTCTCCACCCTCTTCCATTTCAAGGGGAGCAGTGCCTCTCTTCCCAACCATGGCCAAGACTTCAACCCCTGCCTGAACTCCTATCCTTTCCCAGCTTCTCAGGAGTATTATATTGACAGTTAAACTTTTTTGCTTTATTATTTACACTCTAAATCTAATTCTTCCCAATAGTTTCTCATTTAAAACATAACTTAAGTCTTCTCATTTAAAACATAACTCCCCTCAGACCAACATCTTCTCTCCACCTTTTATCGCTCTCCTTCTTGTCAACTTCACGGATTTCCTGAAGAATTGTTTACATTGGCCTCCATATACCTTGGATCTCTGTGTATCCAAGTGGTAGCGGCATTTCATTTTGAAGAATAAAAGCAAAATGTGTTTCAATTTTTCTTTCTTCCCTGTGACTTCATTGAAATTGTTCTTGTCATGAATGGTCTATCTGAGCACATATCCAAAGATTATTTTTTCACAAGTCATCAAATATAAGCCTTAGTCCCCATTTGGAGTTGTTAACAGTCCCCTCCTTCTTAAAGTACTATCTTCCCCTTGCTTTAGGAAACCATACTTTTCTGGTTTTCCACCTACCTCTTCAGAATCTTTTTCTGAGTTCATTGCAGATTCATTCTCTTTTCCCCAGCCAGTAAATATAAATGGTCAGCAAGGCATTTACTCTCCCAGTTTAGTCTTGCTCAAGTATTACAACTCAGAGTTTTAAGGACTACCTACAAGCAAATGACTTAGAGTTTTAGCAACAGTTCACGTCATCTCTCTGACCTCCACACCTGGATATACAAGTGCCTTCCTCCATCCTTGCATATTCACTACAAATCCCCTCAAATTCAAAATCTTTGAGAATGTTGTCCTAGCCAGGTGAATAACAAAAACAAACAGCAACAGCAAAAACAGTTTATCTACTATTTACAACATATCTGACACCAAATTTGTAAGGTTTCTTTTTCATACCAACCACTTGTTTGAATGATGGTATTCCCTCTCAAATTTATTTTGAAACATAATTGTCAATGCAACACTATTGAGAGGTGGTGTGGCCTTTAGGAGGTGATTAAGTCATGAGGGGTCTGCCCTGATGAATGGAATGAGCATCCTTATAAAAGGATGCTGGGTTGAAGGGAGGGCTCTCTTACTCTTCTGCTTTTCACCACATGTGGGCACAGCAGATACAGCAACAAGGCACCATCTTGGAAGAAGAGATTGGGCCCTTAGACACCAAAACAGCTGACACCTTGATCTTTAACTTCCCAGCCTCTAGAATTGTGAGCAATACATTTCTATTGTTTATAAATTACCCAGTTTGAGGTATTTTGCTATGGCAGCCAAAACAGACTAAGACATCAACCAATTCTCCAACTCTGGGGACACCAACTGAGTTTGAATTTTGACATTAACTACCCATATTTACTGTAGACCCCCCAGGTTAAGGACTCAGTCCCTCAGGTCTTCTGTCAATTTTATACACCAACTGCAAGTCCCAGGTTGTTGTCCTGTACTTCTAATCAACTGGCTATAAATTAAGGGTTCCCAGACTTCCCACATCAGGTTAGATAACTTGTTGAATGTCTCACAAAACTCAGGGAAATATTTACTTATGTTTGCCAGTTTGTTATGAAAGATATTCTCAAGGATCCAGAAAAACAGCCAGAAGAAGTCCATAGAGCAAGATCTGAAAAGGTCTTGAAAGCAGGAGCTTCTGTCCCTATGGAATTGGAGTATGCCACCCTCCTGGCATATGGTCTCTTGTACCAACTTGATAGCTCTCCAAAATCCATCCTTCAGGGTTACAGAGGCTTAATTAGGTATGATGGATTAAGCCGTTGGCTATTGGTGATTAAGACAGTCTCCAACCCTTGTCCCCTCCCCAGAGGTCAGAAAGTAAGGTTAAAAGTTCTAACTCTCTAATCATGTCTTGGTCTTTCTGGTGACCAGCCCCGTTCCTAAAGCTATCTAGGAACCTCTGCCATCAGTCATCTCATTAGCATAAAAAAAGACACTTTTATTTCTCTCTGGAGATTCCAAGAGTCTTAGAAACTATTCTATAAGAAGCCAGGGACTAAGATAGAATATTATAACAACAGATGTTCCTCACTCCCTACCATCTTCTAAAGGATTTTAGAAGCTCTGTGCCAGGAACCTGGAAGAGATTAAATATATATTTCTTCTTGCATCATACCAAGTCAGTTCTAAATCAAATGATATAGAATGAAAGTAGAAGAGCTTAATCCTTCTGACTGCATTTAAATTGGCCTACAAAATATTGCATATGCCTTCAGGTAAGTTGCACACTAGCAGTATTAAGAACAAATAAACTGATATTAGTGATATTGATAAATTAATATTAACAAATTTTTTAGTCACAAAGCAGATCTCACTGACATCAATTTTGGGAAAGATTTCCATCAGGAGCACGAGAGAAGGTTAGTGGAAATCTATACAACCCTCACTCCCCATGTTTTATCCTTCACTAAGTTCTGTAGCTTGTTTTACTTCCATAGGCTTCTTGCTCCTTAAAGTTCCAGCGTGCCTTTTATTCCACTCTCAGCTCATAACTCATTTATTTTAATGCCAAAATTGAAGCACCCTAAAACACTCTTTAAGTTCCCACCACTTTAACAAATTTAGAAGCAAAAGGGCCCATGCATCCTGGTTTCTTTTCTGCTAATTAAAGATAAAGTTTCTCCTCCTCTCATCTAAGATAAACCCTCTGCTTGTGCCTTGGATATTCGCAATTTCTCTCTCTCCTGCATCCTGTCTTTACCCTCCTCACAATTGAATCATTCCCTTCAACATTCAAACATATCGTAATTTCTCACAACTTAAAAATGTTTTCTGGGTTCCAATTTCCATTTCTGGTAGTATGTCAGTTTTGTTCCCCTTTGTACTAAAGCTTTGCGAAAAAAAAAGTCTCCTCTTTCTCTATACTGCCTTTAATTTCTCTTCTTCTTCTCTTGAGCCATCAGAATTAGACTTTCAGGCCAAGTGTGATGGCTCATACCTATAATCTAAGCACTTTGGGAGGCCAAGGTGGGCAGATTACTTGAGGTTAGGAGTTTGAGGCCAGCCTGGCTAACACAGTGAAAGCCCATCTCTACAAAAAAACACAAAAATTAGCTAGGCATGGTGGCGTATGCCTATTCCTAGCTACTTGGGAGGCTGAGGCAGGAGAATCTCTTGAACCCAGGAGGCGAAGGTTGCAGTGAGCCAAGATCGCACCATTGCACTTCAGCCTGGGTGACAGAGCAAGACTCTGTCTCAAAAAAAAAAAAAAAAAAATTAGTCATTCAGCCCCATCATGCCAACCAAACTGCCATCTCTAATGTAGAGTTCAGGAAGCAGAGCAACATCCAGAAAAAGAAGCTGAAAAGGGCATGCCAATGTGATAGGAGGAAAACCAGAATAATGTGCTGCCCTAGAAATCAATGAACAAAAGTAATTCAAAAGGAAGAAAATGATGGCCTGATTCAAATGCTGCTGAAGATAGAATAAGATGAGGACTGGAAAATGGCCATTGGACTGGACAATCTGGAGGTCACTACGACCTTGATAAAAGTGAATTCCACAGAGACACTGAAATGAAAAGCTTAATAAATGGGCTCAAAAGAGAATGGGAAGTGAGGACTGTAAGAGTCCCCAAGATCACAATACTCAGGGAGAACGCACAATGCTCAGCATATAGTTGTATTTACAGTTATGATTTATTGCAGGAAAAGGACACAAAACAAACACAATTGGCAAAAGGAAGACGTGTAAGGAGTGAAGTCTAGGGGGAAATCAGGCATGGGCTTCCAAGTGTTCTCTCTCAGTAGAATCACATATTTAATTCCCCCAGCAATGAGTTGTGAGAAGTTTTACCAACTAGAGAATCTCATTAGAGTCTCACAACCCAAAGGTTTTATCGGACACTGGTTATGTGGACAGTCTTTGACTGATGCATACCAAAATTCCAAACTCCCAGAGTGACAGTAGGTGTCTGACATGAACCATATTGTTTATGTAAGCAGTTTGTATACAATGAACCACTCTTATGGTTAATGGTGGTGGAGACTCTCCTGAAATCCAAATTCCATTATAAGCAGGCCATTTAAAGTCAGGCTTCTCATATAAACTCTTTTCTGCACAAGGAGAGAGAGTAAGCAGGCAGAAACTACTCTTCTGATGAATTTTGATACAAAAGAGATAAATCAGACGGAAGTTGGAAAGAATATAGAATGTTAAAAGGATTTTATTTTTTATTTCATCTTATTTTTAATATGAGTGAGTTTACCGGATGTTTGCATGATGACAGGAATGATACAGTAGAAGAGGAAATTTGGTGAGGCAGGACAGAGTGGGATATTTGAGTGGAAAAGGAGAATGGGATTCAGCTCAGAATTAAAACATAAGCCTGGCTGGGTGGGGTGGTTCACGTCTGTAATCCCAGCACTTTGGGAGGCCGAGGGAGGCGGATCACGAGGTCAGGAGATCGAGACCATCCTGGCTAACACGGTGAATCCCCGTCTCTACTAAAAATACAAAAAATTAGCCAGGCGTGGTGGTGGGAGCCTGTAGTCCCAGCTACTCTGGAGGCTGAGGCAGGAGAATGCCATGAACCCGGGAGGGGGCGCTTGCAGTGAGCCGAGATCAAGCCATTGCACTCCAGCCTGGGCGTCAGAGTGAGACTCCATCTCAAAAAAAAAAAAAAAGAAAAAGAAAAAAAGAAACATAAGCCTTACGAGGGAACAGGGTAAGTTCACCCATCATGTAAGTAATTATGATTGTCAATAGACATAATAAATATGTGTCTACTTTAGTTATAAATTGTATTAACAAGAGAGTTTTGTATGGTCACAACTAATATGATTAAGTAGACAAAATCAATAGCTATCCTATTTCAAAAATCTAATGGGAAAGAAAAGATCATCATTCACGGTATCAGTAGGAAAAATACACTTATTTGGTATATGGAGAACTTATATGAAAAATGCTGTAAAATATCACTAATGGCATAAAATAGAGAAGAATAAGTGGAGAAACATATCAATCAATGTTCTTGAAAAGAAAGACTAAATATTGTAATAGAGTATTTTCTCCTCAAATTAATTTAATCAAATGTACTCATTCAAATCAAAACTAATTTCACAGTGAGGAAGGTTAAAATAATGATTTAAAACTTTTTATTAACTAAATTATCCTCAAGTTATCTGAATCAAATTAAGTTTACTGATTCACATCAAAATTAACTGGATTTTATAGAAGTAAAGTAAGTACTAAAATTTTTCCTCAATGTTATTTATTTTGTATTATACAAATAATATATATTAATTGTAGGAAATTTTAAAATACAAATAAGAATGTTTTAAAAAACGCAAAATACAACTATCTGGAAATGTAAGACCCAGGAACAGCCACTTCCTCTTTATATTTTATTGCATGTTTTTCCAGGCTTTTCTTAGGCTTGCAGTCCTTGACATGCCTGGTTCCAATATGCAAAACTTTCTGTTGCCATAGTTCAGTTATAAGTCAGTCCCCCATTAAGAAGTTTGAAATTTCAGTTACTGCATTATGTTAACTGTGAGTAATTGCATAAACTACAAACTTTACTTCTTGCTCTTCTGTCCACCAATCCCTTTGCACATAACATATGCACCTCAAAAATCAGTGACCAAAGACAACACCTCTTTCAAAGTCTGTCGGTAATTAGTCACTGCACATTTGTTATTCAGCTCAGACACAGACAGCAAAGCTTATAGCTGTGTTGCCTCTGTGTCTCCCAGTGATAAACCCATGTAACATTTTATAAAAATGAATAATTGAAAGAGAGAATTGACCAATAAAGTGAAAGATCAGCAAAAAAACAAAAAGTCGTCATGTCGGAAGTGCAATTCAAATAGAATGTAAATGGAATTATAGAAGAAATAGCTAACTCTGGGAACACTGGTACTGTTGCCACTGGATAGGAGCTTAGTGGAGGCAAGCGTATAGACATGAATGAGGAGTGTAGTTGTGACAGGAAGGACGAAGATGTCCCAGAGACGGTGATGCCAGTAAAAATACTTGAATTAAAGAAACTCACAGAGATATTTCATGACATTGAAAGGGCAAAGGATTTCATGTTGGAAGCCCATCCAAACTTAAAGGGAATATGACCATTGGCCAAGGCATAGAAAAGATGCTTGCTCCATATCATAAGTTATATGACCTGAAGGCAGGCACTATTTAAACTACCCTTCATAATTTTTTTTTTTTTTTTTTTTGAGACTGTGTCTTGCTCTGTCACCCAGGCTGGAGTGCAATGGTGCAATCTCGGCTCACTGCAACCTTCACCTCCTGGGTTCAAGAGATTCTTGTGCCTCAGCCTCCGAGTAGCTGGGATTACAGGCATGCACCAACATGCCTGGCTAATTTTTGTATTTTTAGTAGAGACAGGGTTTTGCCATGTTAACCAGGCTGGTCTCGAACTCCTGCCCTCAAGTGACCTTCCCTTCTCTGCCTCCCAAAGTGCTGGGATTATGGGCATGAGCCACCACACCTGGTCTATGATTTTTATTAATAAATAAAACACTTTAATTCCTAATGCTTCTAATGTGTTATATTAGAGGATATTAAACAGACACGGTCATGCCCTGTGTAATGACATTTTGGTCAACAATGTACCGCAATGATGGTGGTGCCACAAGATTATAGTGGAACTGAAAAATTCTTGTCACCCAGTGACATCATAGCCATTGTACCATTACCATGTACTGCAGCACACTACATTTTCTATGTTTAGATACACAGATATGTGCCATTGGGTTACAACTGCTTACAGTACTCAGTACAGTAGCATGCTGTACAGGCTTGTAGCACAGGAGCAATAGTCTATATCATACAGCTTAGGTGTATAGCAGGCTATACCATCTAGGTTTGTGTAAGTACACACCATTATTTTCAAACAATGATGAAATTGCCTAAGGAGGCATTTCTCAGAATGTATTCTCATTGTTAAGCCGCACATGACTGTATTAGGTTTACTAGTATTTCATTTCTGTTTATAACTTAGATAGTAAGAAACAATTTGTGTAGTCATTTTTACAGTGTTACACTACCATACCAAACAAGGGCTGCCAGTATATAGGATATTCTTTCCTTCTTTCTCTTTCCCGCTCTCTTTCTCTCTTTCTTTCTTTCTCTCTTTCTCCTTCTCTCTGCTTCATCTCTTGACCATTTCATAATAGTATAAGTACTTTAACAAAAATGGGGCCATAAGAAAACCATTGTTTTAAATTCTACTTTATTTGTTTCACATATAATACATTACTTTCACATTAACAAATATAAATAAACATCATTTTACATTCAGTAAATGCAGACTATTCCACTGATTGGACTGTGCCAAAACCCATTCAACTATTCTCCCATTAATAAACATTTAAATTATTCCTTTTGTTTACTAGCATGGGCAGAACAGCAAAGAGCTTTCTAGAAGCTTAATTGCTGAATCAAACAGTATATGTATGTATTTTTAAATTTGATACATACTGTTGAACATATTACTAAACTGAATTTCCAAAAGTTACCCCAATTTACACTTCCAGGAGTGAAGAAGAACCCAACACTCAGAATCCATATCAACAGTAGTTATTTTTAGTCTTTTTAATCATTGATAATCTGATAAGTAATTTTTTGCATTTTTTAATTGAATTGTTTAACTGAATTAAATTTGTGTGGTGTCATGATATATATGTTGGTTTTTATCCACAGTTCCTGGCTCCTAACTTCTACAGTACTTTCTATACTCTTGAGGCACTTTAGGCCTCAGGAAACAGAATCTCTCATTCTGGCCTTCTCCTGACTTTCTTTCACCTGCCCAAGGCAGGACTCTAATCTGATTGTGAGTCAAAAGACCCTCATTTCAGAGAGTCCTGCCCATAGTCTAGAGAAGGGAATGCTGCATGGAGAGACCTAGAGGAATCTGAACAGACAGGTCTTTCTGGGTTTAGATCATACTGTTTTTGTCCAATCACATTTTGACACAGTTGCTCATGCTTCCATCATGGACAACTGATGAAGCCTCCATAAAAGGCCCAAAGGACAGGATTTGAGGAGCTTCTGGATAGCTGAAGATGTGGAGCTTCCTGGAGGGTGTGTACCAATGCATCTCTTTATCTGTATCCTTTGCAGTATCCTTAATAATAAACTGGTAAATGTAAGTTCTGTGGGCCATTCCAGCAAATTAATTGAATCCAAAGAAGGGATAGTGGGAAATCCAACTTGAAGCTGGTCGGTCAGAAGTTTTGGAGGCCCAGACTTGAGACTGGGGGGAAAGAGGGGATGGTCTTGTGGGACTGAACCCTTAACCTGTAGGATCTGATGCTATCTCTGGGTAGATAGTGTCAGAACTGAATTGAAGGACATTCATGTGGTATCCACTGCTTGGTGTGTGGGAAAAAAAAAAACCCCATACCTTTGGTCACAGAGGTCTTCTGTGTTGATGATTATTGTGATGTGAAAGCAGAGGACAAATTTAGTTTAGGAGAGTTTTTCCACAACACAATGTGTATTGGAGCAAAATTAAGAGACCGTAGCAAATTTCTGTTTTCCATTGAGAAGCATAAAATTTTAGGTCATATGGTTTAAAGTTATTCATATTCAAATAGACTGTTCTGCAGTTCTTCAAAGACAGCTTTTATAGAATCTGATGTTATCTCAGCCTTTACAGACTAGAAAATAGGGGCTACCAGAAACAGAATACAAGTTTTAGATTCCATGAATTGTTCTTTTTACTGACCTGTTTGCCATAGAGGTCTAGGCATTCATAGTAATCCACTTGGATGTTGTTGTACGCTAAAAATGCTTCCAACATTGGAATCCCTAGAAAACAAAGCAGGGATTGACACATACTGATTTTGACATTGACTTTCTATCAAGAGTAAAAACGTAACACTAAAAGTGGGCAGAGGTAAGGAAAAAACCCAAGCTAAACTAAAAGTGAGCAATAAATCAAATTTACTTAAATATCAGAGTTAATTATCAACTTTATTACAACAAAAACTTCAAAGTTTAGCAATAATTTTATATTTATTCTGTGATAAAATGATGCCCTTGCTATTTATGAGGCTTGGGTAGCATAGCAGATTTTTAGTAGTTGAGAAAATTTTAACACTGGGAGTGTTCAAATTTCCAAGTTTTCTTGAATCATCAAAAGTTCTGATAAGATGAGACCTCTCATTCCTACATGACAAATATAGGCAGGAGCTGAAAAGTAACTGCTTCCTTTACTAAAGGGCAAATTTAATAATGTCTAACTTACCTTCTTTATTCAATTATATTGCCTGCCTACCCTTTGCTTAAGAAAATAAATCAATCTCGAGCTTCCTTACAAATTTATATTACTAGGAGAAGGAAAAGAAAACTCATTATGGAGCCTGATTAGCATATCAATTATACTTCAAAGGGACAGCAAATAAGCTTTATCATTCTCTGTAGACATTTTATTTCAGGAAATTATTTTTTTTCTTCAACATTGTTCTGCTAAGTTCTTTCCAACTACCTGACCAAAGAGATGACCTAATGCTGACATACCCTGAGTTAATGTGCTGTTTAGGGGTTACACAGGTTTCCACAGACGTTTCCATAGTCCTAATGAAAGCATTTATCCAACTTGATGTCACTGGACTCTGCTTTGCAGCTGAGAAACTTAGTCCTTTTATGTATCAGCCCCACAAATACCAGCTCCCTTTTCCCTAAGAAGAGGGTATATGTAATCTGCCTAAAGGCGCTCTCAATATTTTGTAGGTAAATGTCAATGTCCTCTGAGAAGGTTATGCTCTTCTACTCCAGTTGTAAATTATTTGCTTCAGAATTGACTTGGCTCTGAGAAAATTCTTAAAATGTATGTTTTAGATAAGTAAGTAAACTTATAGCCCTTATTCCTTTCTACCCCCAAGTAACCTTCAAATTCTCAAAAGAAGGAAATAAAGAAAGACAGGGTACAAAAACATTTAACCAGCCAGCAGGAGGATGGTCCTCCTCTAACCTTTACCCTTGATCTTGCTGAGGTAGGACCCTTCGTGCCCAGGCATAACACACACTGTTGGAACTGTGCTGAATTTCTCAAGATTGCATTTACCCCCCAGCTTCTGCACACTCCCTCCTCCTCCTCCTCCTCTTTCTCCTCCTCCTGCAACTGCTGCTGTTCCTTCTCTTCTTCTCCTTCTCATTTTCCTCCTCCTTCTCCTTCCTCTTCTTGTTTTTCTTCTCATCCTTCTCCTTCTCCTCCTTCTTCAACTTCTCCTTCTTCTCCTTGAAATGAGGATCACGTAAGTTTATTCCTGTACCTACTCACAAAAAAATCACCATGAATTCCAAAAAAATACAAAATTGGTGTGTTGTTTTGGTCACTTAGTTATCACAAGTTACAGTTACTATCAGTGTTGTGATTTGCCAAAAGGATGAACATTTCTTGTTAAAGCTCTGCAAATAACAAAGTACAATCTTCTTACACTACCATTCCATTTCTAGAAAAATCAGTCTATGCTAAAACCATGCAAAATGTGTAATTTGTGTGGATATGTAAAATGGGGTTAGGTTCTAGGTTAACGTAAGTGGTTTTTTTGCCTCAATGAATGTCTGGTGGAATATTTGATTGCCATGCTACTGGGGACTTTTTCACTGTGTGAGGATGAAAACATCTACATATTTGTCTCTAGCCTATTAAATGACACTGTTACCTCCCATTCTTTTGACAACCACTAAAGCCTCTGAAATTTTTTGAGACATGCCCTAGGACTGAGCAGTATTTCTCTGTTGAGAATGATTGCCCCAGACTTTCTCATTAACAATAGCTGGAAAACCCCCTTCATCCCAATTTCAAGGGTTCTACTCTCTCAGTGGATATTACCTCTCTCTAGGCCATTTCCTACTACCTTGGTACTGGCAATTCTTTAATTCCAATAGGACCTACAATTCAGTAAACACACTGCCTCTTCACTGTCCCTCAAACTCCTCATGTCCCTCCTCACCCAATTTAAAATCCATTTGTTTCTTACACTTTGCACCTGGGAACTCCTTCCAAAGGCTGCCCCTGAGCTCTGCAACCACTTTCCCCATTGATAGCAAGCTAGAAGTGCCTGGGAGTATGGCGTGTTCGCCATAGGCAGCCCATAGCCAAAGACTGATTGGTCCCAGAGTGTAAAAGCCTCGTTCCTTTGCTCCAAGGCTTGACAAGGCCTAAGGTGTAATTTATTCTCCAGAACTCCCCCACTGAATCAAGGCAAAGCAGGGAGTTCACCTGTAATCACAGCATTGTGTAGCTTATTCTCCTTCCTTGCTCTGCTTCCTTCACTCCTTTGCTGGTCTCTCCTGGGGAACATCTCTTTGTTAATAATTTGAACATGACTATTCATCCCAAAGCCTGCTTCTGGAGAATCCAACCAAAGATACTGAACAGAATAACACAAAAGCTCACTTCTGAAGGTAGTTGGCAGGACTTCAAGGAATGGTCTTGCACTGCTTTGCAAAGCTGAGACAATGAGCACCTGGAATCTTAACTCATCTCTCCCTGAGTCTATCTGCCCGGAGTTAGTTATGTTACCCTAATCTTTCTTAGGTAAGGAACCCTTGGAAGATAAGCACATCCCTCAAAGCAACCATCACTGAGCAAAGACACTGTGCTGGCCCAGCCGTTTCTGTAAGAAGATTCTAGAACTCTAATTTTGAGTCTTATTTATTTTACAAATATTAGAGAGAATAAAAGATAGTTAGCTGGTTTCTCATTAAGGAAATAGAATTCATTATGGCAATGAACAGAGGCAAGAACAATCTAGGGTTAGAATGTTGTTTCTCAGCTCCCCAAAATGAATGCTTGTTAATTAAGTCCAATCACTCTTTTCTCAATGATATCGTAGCACATTGTGTGTTCCTTAATAAAGTCTCTTGTTTTGATTCTGTGACATACAGCTAATTTTTACTAATTGTCAGAGGTCTTTATCTTCATCATCTTTATAGATGCTCCACAACGACTAACTTCTTGGTTTGCCCAAAGTAAGCTCTCAGTAAATGTCAGTCTGTTGACTGACTCACATAGTGATTGGCTGAATATCCTTTTCATGCTCCTGTTGTGGGAGGGTATAACTCTCTTATTCATCAAGTCAATCACATTCTCCCATTAGCACTAGTAAGTGTATGTCATATCCACCCTTATCTCTCACTTCATCCCTCCTGTCATAGCCCAGGATCAGGGATAGGGTATATCTCACCCAAACTCTTGAAATTCCAGCCCTGTTGTCCTCCCTGTCACTGATCATTTTCAGCTCCAGTCCAACTTCCTTATTGTGGTCTGATTCTAAAATCAGAGCATGCCATTCATGTAAACCCTTTAGTGCTCCCTACGCACCTCTCTAACTTCATTTCCCATCACACCTATGATCCTCATAAATTCCACCTTTACTGAACAACGTCCAAACATGCCACCTCTCCCAGAGGCATTTCCACAGGCCATTGCCTCGAATTGGAATGTGCACCCCCTTCCTGTGAGCCTGGGAACACCCCCTCCCCCCAGTTCCTTTCAGCTCCAAAGTGCCTTCTTTGAAATCTTCTTACTTCTCTAGGAAGGCCCATAAAAACTCACTTTCATTGGCACATATCTCCAATGTAGTTCTCCAGATATTGTAAGGAAATTTCTGTTTGGAAGTGTTTTTCACCCATAGACTGTGAATTCCTCCATGGAGGAGGTTGTCCCCATTCTAATTTGCATTCCTGGAACTTAGTAATGACAGGTTAAGGGAGTTTTGTACAGAGAAGGTACTCAATTCATTCTGGTGGAAGGCAGGGAAGAATAAGGGTTGACTAGCCATTTCTTGAGAACTTCATTTATTCATTCATTCATTCAATCTTCATTCATTCATTTGTTCATTTTGATTATTCTTTTATTGGGTGATTCCTAAAAATGGGTAGAGTATTATAATGGAAGCTCCTGAGAGGCCTAATATCATAAAGCATGAGGCCACTTGTCAGAGCCAGAAACGCTGAAAGCCAAGATCACTCATCTCAGGATTTTGCTTAGAGCCAACCATGTGAATATAATAAAAAGAATAATATAAATAATAATAATAATAATAGCAAGATCTCACATGTATATATCACTTAACAGTTTTGAAGCACTTAAGTGTTTTCAATCTATTTATTACATTTTAAACCATTAGGAAAATTTGGGAGAGGCTTCTGGGTTATAATCACCCCCGTTGTATTGACAGCAGAACTGATTACATGACTTGTCTCAGTTTACTTGTGTGATGGAGTGTGAAAATAGTCCAGTTTTTCACCCATTTTTTGTGCCTATGGTTCTGGCTAGATAACTTTGCAATACTCCTACTCGGACTCTGGCTCCAGCCACATGACTTTCTTCGGTCCATGGAATGTCAGTGAGTCTTGAAGAGACCCTGTACAACTAGGCTTGCTCACTTTTGCCCTCACCGTAACCATGGAAAGGACCTGACCAGGCTATCCTGCTGTTAACAGGGAAGAAAGAAAACTACCTACAGCAGAGACCAGCCACATCAGTCATCCCAATCAAGGCTAAGAGTCCAGATATATGAGTGAACCAGCCAAGACTAGAAGAGCTGCCCAGATGACGCTGGACTAAATCACCAGCCCTCAGAGTCATTAGTTAACTGTATCTTATTGTTTTAAGTCACTTAATTTTGAGGTGGTTCTTTATAAAATATTATTGTGACAATCCATCCATTTAATAAAAGCAAAGGTAGGACTAGAGAAGATAATGACTAAAATCTTATTTTTATAGTAGTATCTCTTTATAGATACTGGCTGCCCTGTTGACCATTAGTGGCCTAGGCATTGAAGATGCAACATATCCAATTTAAAGAGTTTCTATTTCCCTCCATTCCCTGGAGCATTATCCATCTTGAGTAGCTCTGTGACTTATCAGTGGGAAAGTACAGAGATACTTATTTACATCATGGACTCCTCATGATTTTCTAACTTCCAAATTATCTTTCTTATTGGAAATATAATTTTTTAATGGCAATTATCCCTAGCTATCCTACATTGAGAAATATGTACCTAGTCCAGTTGTGAATGGTGAACTATGGAGACGATGGCATTCACTCCTGAGAGGTAAGACTTAAGTTTTATATGTAAGTCTCAGGGGCAGAAATGTGAGATATGAAGAGATGGATAAAGAGTCTGTAGAGGAGGTTTATTCCAAGTTCCCCCTTACAATCAGATATGAAGAGCCCAGAGAGAGAGAAGAAGATCGCAAGGCATGAGCTGAAATGAGGGATTTGGATGGGGTTTGGCCAGCTGGATCATGGCAGAGTTTGGGAAGGAGGCAGAGGTAATGCTTTGGAGCCCAAGTAACAACGTTTTTCATGGAACATAGAATGTGGCTTTCATGAAATAAGAACAGAATGGAACACGGCATATGCCCGTCAGTAGCCTTGGACTTCAACAGCAGTTGAATGACTAGGCAAAATGCCTCTTGGGGGCACAATACTCACTTATAGGGCTAGGCATCCATGATTCTGATGCAAGCACTTGTCACATGCCTTATGGGTACCAAACACTGATGAAATGACCGGAAGAAGATTTCTACAGATTCAATGGATAACCCAGAATAATTGCATGACCTTTAGCGCCCTGCATTTATGTAGGTGGGGGCAAGGGGCAGCAAGTTTTGGTGTTAAAATAAAGGTTTAACCTACAGGCTGGTGATGTCAAAATATTTGGGTTTCAATTATTAAAATTAAATTGAAACAAAATATCACCATGATGTGCTACTGTATCTAAGAGAATGGCTGTGATGAAAAAGGACAGATAATACCAAGTGTTGACAAGGATAAAATGCAACAGAAACTCTCACAGAATGTTGATAGGAATGTAAATTTGTACAACCACTGTTGGCCAGTGCCCACTAATGCAGAATCTATGCATATTCTTTGACCCAGCACTTCTGCTCCTAGATATAAACTCAATAGAAATATGTACCTATGTTCACCAAAAGATGTAGAGAAAAAAAGTTCATGGCACTGCTACTTGCAATAGGCAAAAACTGAAGACAACACAAATGGCCATCAAATGATCAAATGGATAAATAAATTCTGAAATGGTCACACATGAAATAGTATAGAACAATGAGAATCAACAACTTGCAGCCACATTCAATAATCTGAATGAAGCCCACAAACTTCATATTGACCAAGAAGAGAACATAAGAGGACACGTGATATAATTCCATTTACATAAAATTCAAAAACAGGCAAAAGGAAACAGTGCTGTCAGAAGTGAAGATAATTGGTTATCTTGAGAGAAATAGGCAATGGTATCTAAAAGCGGAATGAGGGGTTTTGGAGAGGATGGCTATGCTCTGGTTCTTGATCTGGATGCTGGTTACGTGGCTGTTTTTAGGTTATGAAAATTCATAGAGTTGCACACTTTTGTACACTATCTGCAGGTACATTATATTGGAATTAAACATTAAGTGAAAGTAATATGATGTGATAAAAATGTGGTTGTTTTATGAAGAGTTGACACTCTGTGTCTTCATTGCTGAACTAGTAAATTATGATCTCTGAGTTTTAGCTTTCTCGTTTTAAAAATGGGGATAATGCTATCTGTTCTGTCTATTTATATGGTTAATTTAAAAATCAAGTGAGTTAATGGGCATTATAAAAAAAGAAGCTCTGTAAACGGTGTAAATGTATACACATGGAAGTTATCCTTATTGGAACAAAAGCAAAAGAGGATTTTCATTTTAATTTTTAAGTGATTTTGCACTGTTAAGGAATACCTCCCTTTGGCAAATGATAGTAATTGTAAGTGTTTTGGATCAAGTTTTAAGAAGCAGGTTTGTCAATTATATAATAGTCTTTAATGTACCCAAATTGTTGCTTTTGTTTCAGAAAACAGAAAATTACATGATAGCTTGTAAACGGCACATTCAATTTCACACGCTGAGAATGCTTGAAAAGTGAAAGGTCCACATATAATGCAGGAACTCAAATTTAATGGCATCAAATGATACATAATTTGATTCGTTCGACCACATTTCCAGAAATTAATCACTGAGTGTCAGCGTCTTTATGTCCTTCATGACTCGGTACATCAAAAGAAATCTGCCCTTTTCTGCCATTGCACTACTAATCAGTAATAGTTAGTTCTTTCCATTTAGCATTTCAATCCTATGTTCAGCATCTGGAAACATTTTTAAAGGTTAGACTGCTACTCCCCTATTCAATTTAGTAAAGTTTCAAAAACCATAATGAGCTTTCTTTTTGTACCTCCCAACATGCTTAGAATCACCTTTAGAAATCAATGGAAACTTTGCATGTTAGAGTAAAAATTGAAAGTAAAGATTAGGAGAGAAAACTGGAATGCATGACCTGCAGTTTCTTCCTCTTCCACTGATGTTTCTTTTTTTTTTTTTTTTTAAGATGGAGTCTCGCTCTGTTGCCCAAGCTGGAGTGCCGTGGAGCGATCTCGGCTCACTGCAAGCTCTGCCTCCCGGGTTCACGCCATTCTCCTGGCTCAGCCTCCCGAGTAGCTGGGGCTACAGGCGCCCGCCACCGCGCCCGGCTAATTTTTTTTGTATTTTTAGTAGAGACGGGGTTTCACCGTGGTCTCGATCTCCTGACCTCGTGATCCACCCGCCTCGGCCTCCCATACAGGCGTGAGCCACCGCGCCCGGCCTGATGTTTCTTTAGATCAGGGTTTCCCAACAGCATCACAATGGAACTTTGAGGATGACTATGATTATGTGCATTGTCTTGTGCCTTGTAGAATGTTTAGCAGCATTCCTGGCCTCCAAGTACCTGATGCCAGTAGCACTTCTCCCACAGCTGTGACAAGCAAAACCAAATATTTCCAGCTATTGCCAAATATCCTCGGTGGCGGAGGGTGGGGCAAGTGTTGGATAGTCTGTAAAATCTCCTCCAATTGAGAATCACTGTTGTCGATGAGTATCTGCTAGCACCTTTGTCTTCAGATCTGCTTCCGCACATCTACACCTTCATGCAATTTCTTCCAGACTTTCTGGAAATCATCTGCATCTAAGGTGCCTTGATCAGAGAGCACACACGTAGCCTGATGGTTTGGCAAACCCGTATTTTTGCCTTGTTCACTGGGTGCAGTGGGTCACTGTCTACTATGTCCACCTTCAGAGCATACCTCTGTTGAAGGTATTAAAATGTGAGAGGGTCAGAGAGGGCAGTAAAGACAATATAGGAAAGAAGGCAATCCTTGAGGAGAATAAGGTAATATTCAGGTGTGCCTGAGAAAGACCTTCATGATGCTATGCTGTGTGTCTCTGCGTATCTGGTGCATACTGGTGTAAGAGTCCCTTACACATTCAGGTGCAAGAGGGATGACTTCCAATTACCAGCAAATAAGATTCTTTGCCTTTTCTTTTTCTTTTCTTTTTTTCCGGCCACAGAACCATGTGCAGCTCATGAGCAGGGACTGAATGTAGGTGCTAGGAAACTAGTTTTCTGAGAACAACCCACAGTCTTTGATGGATGGAAACTGGCAGATAATGCTTTCAGCTCTCTTGTCCCTTGATGAATGGGAGTTAGTAAATAATGATTCCAGCTCCCTCCACCTTTCATCAGGATCATCAGGATATCCCTGCCAGTTCCCCCAAGCAGGATTGAGCTCCAGCTGGCCACAGTGGTAACATGGTGGCCTCCTCTTGTTTGTTTCACTTCCCTACTTCGCTACAGAGTTTCCTCTGATCATTGCAGAATAAATTGCTTTCCCTTGAATCCTGTTTAGGCGGTTGGTTCTGAGGAAAACTAATGCAAGAGGATGTGGTGGGATATGGATTTGTGCTGTTACATTGGGCTCCTGTATGCCCCAAGACCGTGAAGATCATCTTGAGAGAATCCAAATCCATTGGGCTTCTCCTGGTCCAAGTATTATGTGCTCAGAAAGAATACTTTCTCCAGTTACACACAAGAGAATTTAGTCTTTTCTTCCTTGCTAGGATTTGCAAAACAATACATATTTTCAAAGAGTAAACAACATAACATAACTAGATGATGTTTTCTTAGTCTATTTTGTCATTTACTCAGATAGGCACAAAATGTTGCATGGTAATTCAAAGCTCTTTTAATCTTATAAGGTTATATTCTAGGAACAAATAATTTACAATGGCTGTATAATGGGGAAAAGATAATTCTATAGGATTCTGAAACACCAAAGACACAAAATAAGTCATCCTAGAGGAGGAAATGCACTTGTTTTACTTTTTAAACATAGTTTACTCATATTTCCAGTTGATAAAATATAATGCCTTTTACTCTAATGTCCAAGTTTGAGAATCTCTCCACATACAACTCTTTAGGATGTTCACATCAAAATTCAACCAGAAATGATTTTACAGGATGAATTGAGCTGATTGTGAAAAAGTGCAGTGAAAAATGTATATGCGAACTACAAATATTGAATGGACAATGAGTGGTAGGAAGGGAACATGTATCAATATTGTATGCCTATGAGGACTTACTTATTTAATCTTTTTGAAATTAGGTTGTCTTAAAACATTTTTGGAACTCAAGACAAAGCATAAAGCCTTTTAAACATATTGCATCTGTTTACTGACTGCTTACTTGAGCAAAGATTACATTCATTTTTATTATTTATTCATATAACCAAGTTTAAACAGGGGTTTTAAAAGTATAAAAAAGACTGAACCATAAAATATAGTTCCAAACAATAGGATACTAATAAAACTTAAAGGCAAGACATTTAGTTTGGGAAAAAAAAAGATATTCAACACTGCAATAACTAAGAATGTTTTGGAATGAGAGCAACTGTAATGGACAGAATAAAACATGGTGGGGCTAATTGCATAAAGCACTATGCGTAGTAGATTGAATATGCTAATACCGGTATCCATTCCCTTCAGTAGTGTCCTCCCACCTTGACTCTGGGCTTGTCCTTGGGAATTGCTTTGGCCAATGAGACAGTGGAAACTTGATGCAATCAGACTTGAACGTGTACTTCCTGCTCCACATGGTCTCTCATGCTCCAGCAGGCTAGCCTGGCTTTGTTCTCAGAGCAGTGGCAGCCTTCCAAGAGAGACCACATGGAGCAGAATGAGTTGTTTCACCTGAGGCTGTCCTAGACCAACTAGCCTCCAGGTACCCACCCACTAAATGTCAAAGTTTGAGAGAACCTAGGAGAGATTAATGGAGACTGGCCGAGAAACAAAACTTTCCAGCAGATCCACAGGCATAATGGAAGTAATAAAGATGATTTCAAAGCCACTAAGTCTTGAAGTACTCAGCAATATTAAGTATACCTACTAGGTACAGATAATGAATAATCCCTGGAGTAGAAAATAAGATGGGAAATATTTGTTAAGCATGTGGGTTAGCCTTCATACTTGTCATTCAGGGTACTGGACACGAGAGTTAACACATCAAATAAATATAAGCATGATGAAAAGGTTTCCTGACCCACTGTCAGAGGCACTTTCTCTGTTAGGAGATTTGCTAAACAATTATAAAGTTAAAAAATCTTTGGGACCAACTTGGGCCTTCAGAATTGATACAAAAATTATTTTAAAATAAAGATATTTGAGATTCAACAGATACAGAAAGGCAGCTTCCCAGGGCTTCCCTTATCTCAGTAAAAACAAAAATTCTGGGAATGAGGCTGCTATAAATCCCCTCTCTGAGGGAGTTTTATGGCTATGAAGAAAAAAATGGAGAAGGCCATTTGGACTTGCATAAACAAACAGTATCACGAACTTTTATCTCCCATTGGTTTTCCTAGAAACCCATTGGTTTTTCCCACAGAAGCCTTTTCTCCACACACCATAAAATTATGTATATAAACCCTCATCTTTAACTATTTATAGAGCCACAACTTTCGTGCATTCCCACATGCATATGGATAAACTTTGTTTATTTTCCTGCGAATATGTCAGTTTCAGTTTAGTTCACATGTCCGCAAACACTGAACTTAAGAGGGTAGAGACAAAGTTTTTCTTCCTCAGTAGAACACATACAGAAGTGCCAGTACTTAACAGTTCAAGTGCTGAGACTAAATTCTCACCTGGAGGCTGGGCATGATGTGGCTCAGACCTCTAATCCTAGCACTTTGGGAGGCTAGTGCTGATCCCTTGAGCTCAGGAGTTTGAGATAAGCTTGGGCAACCCCGGCGAGAGCCATGATGAAACCCTGTCTCTACAAAAAAATTAAAAAATTAGCTGGGAGTGGTGGTCTGCACCTGTGGTCCCAGTTACCTGGGAGGCTGCGGGCCAGGTGGAGGTCTCAGTAAGCTGAGATCGCGCCACTGCACTCCAGCCTGGGTGACAGTGAGACCCTGTCTCAAAAAATAAAAAAAAAAAAAAAAAGAGGAAAAAATCCTTACTTGGAATCATTCATGTTACATTTGAACCCATGGCCATATTAATCAAAGCACTGACATTTTATCAGCGATTATTACTTTTATTAAAATATACCAGTGATGTACATATACCATGTATGCTTTTTATGCTACAGCACCAGTATGCCTCAGCATGATTTTTAGATGATGTTGGTTTTAAATAAGGAAAATGTAGAATAATTGCCACAGATTTCATACTTGCCACAGATTTCATAATATCAAAGTTCTGATCATGCTTTTCTAAATATGTAAATAAGTGAGACTAGCAATTCTTAAACTTTGCTACATATTAGAATCACCTAAAGACCTTTAAAAAGACTCTCAATGCCCTGGCAGCACCCCAGAACAAATATGCTGGAATTATGGGACTGTGATACAGATATCAAAAATGTTTTGTTTGAACCTGGGAGGCGGAGGTTGCAGTAAGCCAAGGTCGCGCCATTGCACCCCAGCCTGGGGCATAAGAGCGAAACTCCGTCTCAAAAAAAATATTCAAGTTTCTCAGGTAATTCCAATGTGCAGCCAAGTTTGAGAATCAACAACTTAGTCCTAGATCTGTGCTTTCCAATACAATAGCCATGAGTCACACGTGGCTAGTAAGTATTTGATATATGGCTGGTCTGAATCAAGATGAGCTGTAAGTAGAAAATACACACCAGATTTTGAAGACGTAGTGTAAAAAAATGTAAAATATCTTGTTAATAATTTTTTACACTTGCTACATGTTGAAATAATAATATGTTGATATTTGGGTTAAATACATTATTAATTTCTTCTGTTTTGTTTTACTTTTTTGTTTCATTTTTGTTTTCTTTTATTGTATGCAAATATTGTGTATAGTTCTATGATCATATATAGATAATTTTGTATCTTATTATTATTTTTTATTATTTTGCTCTAAGTTCTGGGATATATGTGCAGAACGTGCAGGTTTGTAACATAGGTATACATGTGCCATGGTGGTTTGATGCACCCATCAACCCGTTATCTATCTACATTAGGTATTTCTCCTAATGCTATCCCTCCCCTAGCCCCCCGCCCCGACAGGCTCCAGTGTGTGGTGTTCCCCTCCCTGTGTCCACGTGTTCTTATTGTTCAACTCCCACTTATGAGTGAGAACATGCAGTGTTTGGTTTTCTGTTCCTGTGTTAGTTTGCTGAGAATGATGGTTTCCAGCTTCATCTATGTCCCTCAAAGGACATGAACCCATCTTTTTTTATGGCAGCATAGTATTCCACATGGTGTATATGTGCCACATTTTCTTTATCCAGTCTATCATTGATGGGCATTTGGGTTGATTTCAAGTCTTTGCCATTGTGAATAGTGCTGCAATAAACATACGTGTGCATGTGTCTTTATAGTAGAATGATTTATAATCCTTTGGGTATATACCCAGTAATGGGATTGTGGGGGCAAATGGTATTTCTGGTTCTAGATCCTTGAGGAATTTCCACACTGTCTTCCATAATGGTTGAGCTAATTTATACTTCCACCAACAGTGTAAAAGCATTTCTATTTCTTCACATCCTCTCCAGCATCTGTTGTTTCCTGACTCTTTAATGATCGCCATTCTAACTGGTGTGAGATGGTATCTCAGTGTGGTTTTGATTTCCATTTCTTTAATGACCAGTGATGATGAGCTTTTTTTCATATGTTTGTTGGCTGCATAAATGTCTCCTTTGGAGAAGTGTCTGTTCATATCCTTTGCCCACTTTTTGATGGGGTTATTTGTTTTTTTCTTGTAAATTTGTTTATGTTCTTTGTAGATTCTGGATATTAGCCCTTTGTCAGATGGATAGATTGCAAAAATTTTCTCCCATTCTGTAGGTTGCCTATTCACTCTGATGATAGTTTCTTTTGCTGTGCAGAAGTTCTTTAGTTTAATTAGATCCCATTTGTCAATTTTGGCTTTCGTTGTCATCGCTTTTGGTGTTTTTAGTCATGAAGTCCTTGCCCATGCCTATGTCCTGAATGGTATTGCCTTGGTTTTTTTCTAGGGTTTTTATGAGTTTAGGTCTTATGTTTAGGTCTTTAATCCATCTTGAAATAATTTTTGTAAAAGGTGTAAGGAAGGGGTCCAGTTTCAGTTTTCTGCATATGGTTAGCCAATTTTCCCAACAACATTTATTAAATAGGGAATCCTTTCCCCATTGCTTGTTTTTGTCAGGTTTGTCAAAGATCAGGTAGTTGTAGATGTGTGGCATTATTTCTGAGGCCTCTGTTCTGTTCCAGTGGCCTATATATCTGTTTGGGTACCAGTACCAGGCTGTTTTGGTTGCTGTAGCCTTGTAGTATAGTTTGAAGTCAGGTAGCGTGATGCCTCCAGCTTTGTTCTTTTTGCTTAAGATTGTCTTGGCTATGCGGGCTCTTTTTTGGTTCCATATAAAATTTAAAGTAGTTTTTTTCTAATTCTGTGAAGAAGATTAGTGGTAACTTGATGGGGATAGTATTGAATCTATAAATTACTTTGGGCAGTATGGCCATTTTCACGATCTTGATTCTTCATCCATGAGCATGGAATGTTTTTCCATTTGTTTGTGTCCTCTCTTACTCCCTTGAGCAATGGCCTGTAGTTCTCCTTGAAGAGTTCCTTCACATCCCTTGTGAGTTGTGTTCCTAGGTATTTTATTCCTTTGTAGCAATTGTAAATGGGAGTGCACTCATGATTTGGCTCTCTATTATTGGTGTATAGGAATGCTTATGATTTTTGCACATTGATTTTGTATCCTGAGACTTTGCTTTTTAAAATGCTACTAGTGGAAAATGTAAAATTACTTATGTAACTCACATTTGCGGCTCACATTTTTTTTTCCCATTAAACAGCAGTAATCCAGACTGCCCCACTAAACTAGAATATGATGTATGGAAATACTTATTCTAATATTCATGTGATTTTACAAAAACTGATTTAATGAAGTATGTGTTTACATTCTAGAAAACTGGATTTAATGTTTTATAGGAGGTTCATTTTCAAAGAAAAACTGTACAGCCAGGCTGGGTGGCTTATGCCTATAATCCCAGCGCTTTGGGAGGGCAAGGCAGGTGGATCACGAGGTCAGGGGTTTGAGACCAGCCTGCCCAACATGGTGAAACCCTGTCTCTACTAAAAATACAAAAATTTCGCTGGGTGTGGTGGCAGGCCCCTGTAATCCCAGCTACTTGGGAGGCAGAGGCAGGAGAATTGCTTGAGCCCAGGAGGTGGGAGACAGAGGTTGCAGTGAGCGGAGACCACACCACTGCACTCCAGCATGGGCAACAGAGTGAGACTGTCTCAAAAAAAAAAAAAAAAAAAAGGAAAAGAAAAGAAAAGAAAAACTGTAAGCCAATAGTGGGTTTCTTGTCCTGCTTTTGTTGTTGCTTATGCAAAATAATTTATATGCATTTAATTGTTATGATTACACTCAATTTAGTATTTTAAATGTTGCACTTACGTAAAGTTAACATACAATTCAAGTTACAGATGTCATTAAAATTTGCAAAAGTCATCTTATTGAAAAGTTGTGTGCCAACCAATCATATTTTGTTGAATAAAATCTTAAAGGAGAAAGGGAGATAGAACCTGTAAAAAAATAATCAATATTGTTCCTGCTAGCCATTTTATTAAATTTGGATTTTTTCATGATCAAATATTCTTCCACAGATGCTCCTCAACTTACAATGGAGTAACAGCCCAATAAACCCATCGTAAGTTGAAAACATAATAAGTGGAAAATGCATTTAATATACCTAATCTATCAAACATAGTAGCTTAGCTTAGCCTATCTTAAACGTGTTCGTAACACTTCCATTAGCTTCGGGTTGGGCAAAGTCATCTAACACAAATACTATTTTATAATAAAGTGTTTAATATATCACATAATTTGTCAAATGTAGCACACTGTAGAGTATCAGTTGTTACCCTTGTGATCAAGTAGCTCACTGGGAGCTGTGGCTGACTTCTCAGCATAGTGAGAGAATATCGAACCAAATATTGCTAGCCTGGGAACAGATCAAAATAAAAAATTCAAATTACAGTTTCTACTGAACTCACACCATCATAAAGTCAAAAAATTGTAAATCTAATCATTAAAAGTTGGGGACCATTTGCAGTAAGAAACCCCTACATTACCTGTGATACTGATGTTGTTGAATTTTTTTGAATAGCATAAGTAAAAAGAAAGACCATGAAAGGGAGAATGCTGCATATGAATAATGTATAGCTAATTCTGTTTTTAGTCTAATTTTAAACCATTTAGAGCTAGCACATTGATTATATTTGCAAGGCACCATGCCAGGTTTATATATATATTTTTAAAACTCTGGCCCAGGATACATTTTAACTTATTTCCCATCTCCTAGTATCATCCTATTATTCATCAGATATGGAGACAAAAGTGGCTCCATCTTGGATGCTAATCTGCAGTGTTAATTTCTGATCAGCCCTAGTCCCATGAATACCACCTGATTGCTACTTTATTTACTGTCCCTAGTGTAAGAAACTGTGCTCCTGCTTTTAGAGCAAAGCAACCTTGATGTTATCATAAAAATTATAGGTTGTGACACACATAGCATTCTTTCTTGTTTTGGAGAGTTGCCTTTCATTGTCTTGCTGGAATACGTATACATTTTCCCTATAGTAGATAAGCCTTGGGTATGGGGAGTAACAGGTGCAGAGATCTACTTGTCTTGTGGCTATCCAAGGACATTCTTCTGTCTCTAAGTCCCAGAATAAATCCACCAACACCGACAAACTAAATTTGTCTGCCTCCTCTTTGGCTTCTTGGCTCCTTTAGAATTTGGGGGTCACTTTGCTTATATGACTCTTTCATGGAACATCAGATGATAATTATCATCCACGGCTTGAGGCCATTTCTTTCAATTTCTAAAACATTGTATTTGTAGTACATACAAATACTTTAATTCCAGTTCCTTTAATTCCTAGCTTCCTTTAATTCCAGATACATTTATTTCCCAGTCATTGTGGCAAAACTTTAATATATTCACAAATCTCATAATAAAATACCATCCTCATTATTTAAAATATACTAAAATGTGTATTTTCCCCAAATCATTTGTTTTTGCCACTCCTGGAGTTTGTTTGTACTTATGCATGGTGGAATATTTCGTTCTTAGCCAAAAGGAAAAAGGAGTCACCTTGTGACAACGCTGGTCATGGGACAAACATGATCGTCATCTTTGTCCACCTAGTTAATGGTTTCCAACTCAATCATTCATCACCCTTTCATAAATCTAAACCCCACCTTTTGTTATTTTCATGTTAGTTTTTATGTATTTGGTCATAAATCTTAAGTCAGAAAAATTACCTGTTATTTTTTGTTTTTCACTCTAAAGTCAAATCTGCCTTAAATGAAACAGCCGAGACAAATAATGAGGAAGAAAAGGAGAAACTGTTACATTTGAATGGATTGTGCTTCTCCTGCTTCACCCTCTCTTACTGTATTCCATGAAAGTGAACTCAGAAGCAAAAGAGGGGAATGAGAATGTTGACTTGATATTTACCAACTTTGCTCAAAACATATTTATAAGATGCTCATGTATTTCATTGGCTTTCACCGTAAGAAAATATGAAAAGCTGGGAACCACTATGGAGACATGATTAGGAAAGTGAGCCCTCAGCATTAACTACCTGAGCAAGGTACAATTGGCCCAACCATTTATGTTCCCCTTAAGGCACTTGTCACAGTCTGCCTTAAATTACAGTTATAGTTATGCATTTTTCTGTT
Organism: Homo sapiens; assembly: GCF_000001405.40. Lineage (NCBI taxonomy): Eukaryota > Metazoa > Chordata > Mammalia > Primates > Hominidae > Homo > Homo sapiens. The sequence continues at coordinate 11,887,986 of NC_000020.11, forward strand.
CTATTTGATAAATTCTCTGAGGGCAGGATGCTGCCTAGTACATAACAAATAGTAATATTTGTAGAATAAATGGAATATTTTAACCACTTTTGCATACTCCCCAAAACAATAAGCTCACCCAGAAGCCTATTCAACAAACACATTGATTGAGTGCTCTAGCATGCACCTACTCTGTGCTATTGGGAATTATTTCAAAAATAAGCTCTTTCCAGGTTTCTCCTTCCTAGTAGCAAGCAGAGTGAATTCGACTGGAACTTAAATTGGAGTAAACTGTTCAGATATGAATTCATATCTCTGCTTTGCATGTTTAGTGTTTGAGAGTACAGCTAGAGTCTATCTTTAGTTAATGGCTCTTAAGGAATTTATTTGCAAGTAATTGCAATATTTATCACATTTTTAGTGTGTCAGAGCTAGGGACACCAAAATTTTCTTTTACCTCTTAAATCTGTTTTTTACATATTTATTACCCAGTGAACTGAGAAAAGGCTTTCAAAGTGCTAATATCTATCCTATCTCTTTGTCTGGTTTTTCCCTTCTGTGTTCATTCACAAGTAATAGTAGTTATCATTTACTCAGACTCTGCTATAAACTGGGTGCTTTATGCACTTGTGTTTAATTTTTTACAGCCTCACAAATTAAAGATTATAATGCTTGTTTTTCAGATGAGAATTAATTTACATAATCTTCATAACCTTTCAAGGTGTATTAGTCAGAGTTCTCCAGAGAAACAGAGCCAACAGGATGGATATATATCTATATATCTATTTTAAATATATGTCAATTAAAAAAATTTCACCAAATTGAGTTTCAAATATCTGATTGGCTTTTATTAGCGATTCATGAACTGGGCAGCATCCAGTCTACAAAGTAGAAAGAAACTCTGATGAGCTAAACAGAGTGGGTGAGTTTTATGGGCAGAAAAAAGAAGAGAAAAGCAGAAATAAAGAACAAATAGAGGGTTGGTCATTTCAAGGTTACTTTTCTTCTACAGATGTAAGCAAAATCTTGTTGGCCTAGTTGGATTCCACTGTTATCTCTCTTCTGATTTCTCACAAGGTCAAATCTTGCAAGTAAATAACGCAAGTTTTGGTTTGGTTATGTGACACTAGTATGAGTGACTCCATTTTGAACCTGCTGTCTGTTTGTTTGTTTGTTTGTTTGCTTTTTGCAGTTTAAGAGAGAGAAAAGAGAGAAAGAGAGAGAAAGGTATTGGCTTATATGGTTGTGGAGGCTTGGCAACTCCAAAATCTTCAGAGTAGGTAGGCGGGCTGCAGGTCTAGGGAAAAGGCTGCAAGTCAATGGCTGTTTGCTGCCAGAATTCCTTCTTGCTTAGGGGAAGTCAGCATTTTTCTACTAAGGTCTTCAGCTGATTGGATGAAAATCATACACATTATTAAGAGTAATCAGCTTTCCTCAAAGTCTACTGATTTCATTGTTAATCTCATCTAAAAAATACCTTCACTGAAACATCTAATGTTTGTCCAAATATCTGGATACCATGACCTAGCCAAGTTGACACATAAAACTTACCATTATACAAGGTAAATATTATGATCCCATGTTACAGATGAACACAGTAAGGCTCACAGATAGTAAGTAATTTAGACAATATAGTGTATTATGAGGTATTTGGACTTTATCAAAGGGACTTTTGTTGTCCAAAGCCCAGGTGTCTTTCACTATGTATGCTGTCTCTCAAATTAATGGTTTTTCATCTGAGCAGAAATACGTTCTCCCAGGGCCAAACTCTTGCTAAAAGAAGCATCCACTTGTCCTAACAGTATTGTATAGGTCTAATTTATCCACCGATATACATTTTGCCAAGGATGATGATCTGATCTAATGAAGTAGGCGCCTGTCATGATAAACATCTCTCTACCCAAGAGGCAGTGACATAAGTAAGGGAGTCATTCTGTCCTTCACAGTCTCTGGAAACTTTTTGATCCTTTCCATTCCTGATACCAACCCTTGAACTTAGGACCCTACTACTTCTTACCTAGAACATATATTACAGCATTTCATGTCTCTAGTTTTCACTTTATATTCCTAAATTCTGCATTTTATCAAGCCACCACCGGGCTCCCCTTCTCCCCTTCTTCCGTGCCTCTCAATTATCCACGGAATAAAGCTGAAGTCGTGCTAAGCATTAAAGATTATTTCCAGATGAGCTTCAACTACCTTTCCGGCCGCCGTTTTCATCTTTCACTAAGAACAATACACTCAGATTAAACTTGTCCCCGACAGGATGCATGGATTCATATGCTGTTTGATTTTTTTTTTTTTTTTTGCCACTTATGCCTTCGTGTTCACCTTTCCTCTTTTTCGCTTCTCAACGAAGTTTCCATGATCAACCCAACCAGCAGCTACTCTCCTTCCCCAGATCACTGAAGAGTGTAGTCGTTAGGTATTACGAGACCTCTATTTATGCACCCTCCTTATCTGTTAGAGAGAGGGCTGGCATCAGTGCCTAAAAAGGAGCCCCAAAGCCAAATGCAATCGGCCCTCTATTACCGGAGGATGCCCTGTATCCCGCACATCCACTCTGCCAGTGCAAGTGTTCAATAAATGCTTAATACATTCATTGATGAATGACCCAGAGAGAAAAACTGCAGTTCGTGGGACAAGGACGAAGTGGCCTCTCAGAGATGCGGGAGTGCTGGCTCTCCTCCACCCTCCCCGCCTTCTCCAAGCCCGGGTTCCCGCCCACCCCTCACTCCTGCTTGAGGACAGGGCAGACATTGCGCATGCCCCGTATCCAAGGCCGCCTCCGGGAGCACCTCCCATGCCGCTCCGCTCCCTCCCGGTGACCGGGCACGCGCGCTCGCTCCCGCAGAGCGTGCCCTGCGTGCGGGTGCCCGCCGAGCCCGCCGGGCGCTGGATCTCCGAGTGCCCCGGCCGGGGCCTGAGGAGCGGGCACAGGGCAAGGCGGCGGACGGCTGCGTCGCCCGAGGCGAGGAGGAGCGCTGGCGGTGAGTGAGGGCGCCGCGGGCGAGCGGGTCGGCGCCTCCGCGCGTGCGCAGCGCGGGACCGCCCGGGCAGGGGCGCGCGCCCTGCGGCCGGCCGGAGGGGCCGAGCGAAGCGAGGAGAGGCCGGGCTGGTGGCCGCAGGTCGGCCTCGGACCCACGGGACCAGAGGATCCCATATCCGTCCCCCGGGCTCGAGAGGCGCTGGCCGCGCGGGCTGGCTTTCCGAGGGGGGGGGGGTCCCAGTGGGGCGCGTCGGGCCCGCGCGGAGGTCCTGGTGCCGGGGGCGGAGGGGCAGGGCCGCCTCAGCCGAAAGACCGCGGGGAGGGGCGCACGAGCCCGCCTGGCCGTGCGGACGCCCGCGGGGTGCGCGACCCCGGAGGTGGCGGAGGTCCAGGCAGGGGGCGCGGTCGGGAAGCCTCGGCGCCTAGCAGGTGGCGGGGGCCGCGCCCCTCTCCCGGGGAGGCGCGCGGTGGGAAGCGGAGCAAACTTCCCCTAAGTAACTTTCCTGAGGCGCTGCCGGCGGGGACTCCGGGGACCGACGCTCCGGGTTTGCGCGGCCTCAGGCGCCGCGGGAACCCAGCGAGTGGCGGCGGGCGATGGCGGGGGCGGCTTCCTCCTGAGGCTGGACTAGTCCTCCGAGTTCTGAGTGGCATTTGTGGCCCGTTTGCTCTAAAAATAGACGTACAAGTTTGGTGTTCGGGAAGAAGGATGTTTGCTCTCTTGGGAAGAAAAGGCTTTTACCTCCTGGCCTTTTCAAAGAAAGTATTGTTCGGGCCTGCTGGGGATCCCTATTTATCAAGCAACCCATTGTCCTGTGTGTGCCTGGTGAAAGCGAGCTAATTCTATTATTAGTCCTCAAAAGACCAAGGGAGATCACGGTGCTTTTTCTTTTTTAAATATTCCCCGCCACCTCGCCAAATCCTGTAATACAGTTTCCCCAAACTTGGCTGCACAGAGGAGTCGCTGGGGAGTTTTAAAACTCTTAAAGCCCAATCGCACACCAGACCAATTAACACAGTGTATTTTTTAAAGATCCCCAGGTGATCGCGCAGCCGAGTTTGGAAACACTGGTTTAATATAAGAAAGTCAAGGCTTTAGTTTCACATAGTAGTAGCATTCAGTTTGTAATTGGTGAGATGAAACTCAAATTCATTTTCCTAGACAGGAACTCACAAAGAGCGGTTTGTTTCCCACCAGGGAGGGAGGGAAGCGTCTCTAACGGTTCAAACTTTGTGAACTATAATGTGACTCTAGCACTCAAAACAATTGTTCTAAGTGTTGTTTTGAATTTCTGTTGAGGTTACTAAGCCCGCTTTCACTGACTCCCTGCCCAGCCAAGGGCTTTCCCCTTCTTTTAACCCTACCTCAGTCCCCTACTCAACCCTCTGCCAGATCCCCTGTTTTAACTTTAACCTGAGGGAGGATCTTCCTCCCCCACAGGTTACTGGCTTTAAAGGGTTACTGCGGGTTCCCATAGCAACGAGTCCTCCAGGGGAAGTGGGCGGGTCCTCTTACCCTTGGGTTTCTGAACAGGACTCTTCCTTTTCGGAAGAATTTTTGAATCACCCTTTTTCATTTCTTGGCCTCAGCAGGTAAGGGTGAGCTTATGCAGTTCCAAGATGTTCTTTCTGAGATACTTACAGATTATTAACGCCGTTGTATGGGATGATAATTACTAGCAGCCATGTTCTTTCTTGATTTCTCATTCTTTCCCAATCCTTGCACTGATAACTTGTTTAACAAACTTCCAAAATGAAGTGGAAACAATGTTTTCTTTTCCTTTTTTAGCATGTTTTCTTGGAGGTGCACATGCCTAAGAATTGTATGCACTATTTCTCTAAAGCCCTAAGTTATATCTTATATTTAAAAATTTAAAAAAAATATAACTCCACATCTGTGCGGAAAAACTTTTGATAATTTGTGGCAAAAATGCCATGCTTAGCTTTTAAGTTGTTTTGTTCCTAGAAAGTACTCTGCCAACATTCTTTACAAAATGTTAAACTGCTTGTAATGTTATACTTTAACAAAGGAAAGGCACAATTAGTCTACACATTCTCCTACTTCCCTGCCCAAACACATGCATCCAAAGATCAATTTGAAAAAATGTTCATTTTTTTTTTTAATGCTCAAAACAGGTATGCTATAGACATCTAATTCCATTTTGCCTTGCAAGGAACTGTTAAAACTCTTCTGAACAAAATAGTACAGAAATAGGTCATTTAACATACTTGTTTTTAATTGTGTTTTTTAAAAAATATTTTAAACTTTGTAAGTTATCAGACTTTAGTCAATTCCAAAATACCTTTAGGATTCCAGTGATTTTTGAGTTTGTGTTGGGAGTTGAAATGGTTTTCTCTTACTAAAATCTATTTTATGTGCTGTTTAAATTTCTGTTAACTGAGCTATCAAGCAAATCCTGTAAGGTGAATTTTTCCCATTTACTGTGAGAAAGGAATACTGGTGGAAACCCCTATCATGTGATGGACCTTGTAGTTCCAGCAGTGATGCTGGGCTGCTAAAATAATAATCTTTCACTTAATCTTCCCTTCTTTCATCACACATTTAAAAATTACCTTTAAGCCTTTTCAATTTAGTATCTCTTTCAGCATAGTTGTCCAGTCTCAAATTCCTTGAAGGTGTGCATTAATGTACATTTATCGACATGTCCTTTGTTTATTCAAATTAAGCAAATACAGTTGAGAATTTGTTGTTGCTTTGTTTCTTTTAAAAAATTAAATAAAAAAATATTTCCTGTTGGGAGACATTTTGGGAATCACTGAAAAAAATTAAGAAAGTAAAAATCACCGTCATATCATCTAAAAAGAAACAACTGGTAATTAGATGATGTGCTTCCATTTTACTCTGTTTGTCTGCATAGACATACTTTTGAACAAAATTGGCCTTTAATTTTATCTGTAGTTTTAAATATTGCACTTTTATTTAATATGAAGTAAATATTAGAGACGTTTCCTTTTTCTGTAAACCCTTTGAAAATAAGATTTTTAATGATGAATACACCCAAGTTTATTGAACTAGTTTTCTGTTGTTTTACGTATTATTTTTAGTTTTAGTGGCTTGAGAATACAGTATTAAACCCTTTGGTTGCCAATCCTAGCACGGCCACTTCCTAAGTGACCTTAATTACCTCTTTAATCGCATTTCCTTGGAATAAGGGTCATGGTGCCTGCACCATAGAGTTTTGGTGAGATGGAATGAACTAAGTAGAGGAAGGCCAGCAGGGTCGACCAAATGACGTAGGCTCAGTACGTAAGAGTGGACACACAGGTGGAGCTGAGAAAAATGCCCTTGTCTGAAAGTTTAAATATTTCGGATTTACTCAGGTTAGATTTATAGCAGTGGAAATCCTGGGGCAGAGGTGAACTCTTTTATGACTCTTGTGGCTTGTTGCCAAATTGCTTATGCCATAACATTCCCTTACAGAGTGTATGGTCTACCTGTAGTGTGTCAGCACTCCAGTGTTCATCATCTTTCCTGATTTTTCTATAAAAATATGATCTTTTAATTTATTTTTTGGTAGCTATTGAAATTGATCATCTGTTTTTTTTCTTTTGTTTTCCTTTTTGGGAGCTCTCTCTTCTGGTACTTTGCCTACTTTAAAGTGGTGATTTAAAAAAATTAAATACCCGTTTTATCTAAAGAAGATTGAGTGTTTATCATGTTTTTAGTTTTCTTTTTTTTCTTCTCCACAGGCCATTATTTCTTTCACTTTTTGGCGTTTTTCAACCAATAAAATATTTTTATTTCTATATAAACAAGTCTCTACCTTGTCCTTTATGATTTTTTCCTTGTATTTGTTCATGCTTGGAAAGCCCAGAAAGACCCTGCAAATGGCCCCAGTGAAAAACTCAGGAGAAGCAGTAAGCAGTCAAAAGTGGATGGGGAGGAAGACTAAGGCGTTGAGGAAGACCACTTATTTTACAATAAGGCTTTTAGACTTTAAAGCTGTATGCATATATTAAATTTAATAATCTTTATCTGAAAGGTGAGATAAACAACATTTTGGAAATATGTTAGATCTTTTTACATTTAATTCTATAATTGTACATGGATATGAAGCGCTCCTATACCGCCGCTGCCTCCTCTTCCTTTTCCCTAGTTAGCGAGTTCTACCACCATTTGTTAAATAGTTCCTCCTTTCTTCTTTGCTTTGTGGTCTTTATTGTTTTTTAAGATCTTGACTAACTTTGAGGTCTGCTTCAGTTTTAGGTCTTGCTTCTCTGTGTGTTGATCCTCTAGTCTTAATCAATGCCACATCTTTTTAATCATAGATTTAGAATATTTAGAAATACCTGGCAGAGCAAGTCACACTATCCTTTTAACATTACAATTCTATGCCCTTGTCCTTTCAGATAAAGATTATTGTATTTAATACATGCACAGTTTTAAAAGTCTAGGAGGCTTATTGTAAAATAGATGGTCTTTCATCTGCCTCTTCTTCCCCCCATCCCTTACTCTCCCTCCCCAGTGGCAGCTACTTTGGATTGTTTACTGTTTCTCCTGCGTTTTTCACTGGGGCCATTTGTAGGGTCTTCTTGGGCTGGTCAGAGAGTGGTCTTCCAGTAAAGTTTTGCACTGAGGAAAGAGTGTAGGTTCCAGTGTTCATGGAGGAATCTGGCTGGGGTTTCAGCATTCTCTGTGTAGAGTCATGTTGGAGAAGGTTCACCATACAGACTTACCTGTTTACCTACTCTTCCAAGAACAAATCTCTAGTCTTGCTAGGTTCTAGGATTGTCTGCCAATGGTCTACAGTGAGGAGGTGGGGAAGGCATCTTGGAATTTTAGAGCTTCTCATGCAGCTTTTACTGACCTTATTTTAACCTGTCACCCTTTTACCCTCAGTCTTTGAGCAGACTGGAGTGAGTACTTCTCGGCTTTTCTCACTGTTGGTATAGCATTCCCTCTCTCAAGTTGGCTGAGACAGTTGCCACTTGTCCATCTGTTTTCCACTTTCATGATTTGTAGTTTCCATTACAGTTCTTTAAGTCCTTGGGTCTCTATGTCTTCTAGAAAGATCTCTTACTGTCACTTAAGTGGGGTTTAGGGAAAGGGTGTAATTGGATATGTGTGTTAAATTTACCGTCTTAATCTGGAAGGCTCGGAAGATGAATCCTTAGAACTAAAAAAATACCGGATCATGTTACATTTTGTTTCGTTGGCAAGGACTGCCATCTGTAATCAGTGTTTCTTTTAAGGGTCATGAAAGATTATTCATGACCTTTTATCTCTCAGCAGAGTTGTTTTCTTCATCTGAATCCTAATGTTTCCTGTTAGAGTTCTTCTTAGGTATTTGTTTTTGTTACTTTGTGATGGGCTCTTCAAATTGGCTGTCGGTAGTCTAAGATGGTGGTTGATTTTGGTGTATTTATTTTATAGCTGGCACTTATGCGAAAAGCTTTGCAGTTTATTTTTGTATGTTCCCAAGTTATATGAGTGGCAGATAATGACACTTTTATCTACTTTTAAATAGTTATGACTTTTATTTTGGTTCTGTGGCGGTTTGCACTAGATTTAGCATTCTGTAACGTTATAACATCTTTCTGGAACATTATCGAATAGTAATGGTGATAATGTACACACTTTTATTGTTCTTTATTTTAGTAAGGAAAAGAATAGTAGAATATTGGCTTTTTGGTTTATCATAATTCTTCATCAGGACAAAGAAAATCTATCCTTTCATTTCCAAGTTGCCTAGAGGTAATTTTATGTTTTTAAGACATGGGAATTGAATATTAGCAAGTGATCATTAGCATCTGCAGTTTATCTGCTGGTATTTCTGAAGAGTCTACTGATTTGAGTCCCAAATATTAAATTGGATCAAAATTTTCCTTATGGATGGTTCTTCAGAAAAAGAAATTGAATGCATGGGAAGAATGTAGTATAACATATTCAATGCATGAGCATATTGTCTTGGTTGGGGTGGTATAGGAGATGTCACTAGGGATTTTTCACAAGCAAATATTCCAAGTTATAGCTGACACTCAAGTCACATCTTTACCTGTTGGCAGTATTTGATGTAATTTGTTATTCCTCCTTTTTTAATATTCTTCCTTCATTTGATTCTTGAGGACACCACACACTGTTGCCTTCCCTTCTATACCGCTGGCCTTCTGGTTTCTTTTCAGTTGTTTTTAAATTTGTGTTGGTTTTCTCTTCTCACCAGCCTATGAATTTAGAATGTGCCAAGGCTCAGTTCTCACCCGCCTGTTGTCACAAATAGTCACAGGGCTTTAATAAAATACTGTGTAGCTACTTAAGACTCCTAAATGTATATTTCCACCTCAGACATCTCCAACTACTTTTTTGACTTCTTAACGTGAATATGTGAAAGACGCTTCAGCCTAAATATGGCCAGAACAAAATTTCTGATCTTTCTCTGCAAACCTGCTCCATCTGCAGCCTGCCCCATTTTATTAGGTTGGTGCAAAAGTAATTGTGGTTTTTTGCATTAATGGCAAATTACTTTTGCACCAACCTAGTGGGTGTTAGCTCCATTTTTTTCATGTTATTTAAGCAAAAAAAAAAAAAAAAAAAAAAAAAGAACATGGAATCCTCCTGACTCTTCTCTTTCTCTCCAACTCTGTTTCCAGGTTGTCAGCAAATCCTGCTGTTCTGTCTTCAAAATGTATCCAGAATCAGTTTAACTACTTTTCCCATCCGTACTACCAGCATCTTTGTCCAAGTCTCCTGCATTTCTTGCCTGGAGTATTGCCGTGGCCCATGGCCTCCTAACAGATCACTGGTCTCCTTTTCCTTCCCTGGCTTCTCTTTGATTTTCCATCTGCTTAACATCAGAGTGATCTTTTAAAAACATAAGTCAAATTGTGCTTAAAACCCTCCAGTGGCTTCCATGTCACTCAGAATAAAGGCCAGTGTTCTTATGATTCATAAAACCTTACATGATCTGGGCCGGGCATGGTGGTTCACGCCTGTAATCCAGCACTTTGGTAGGCTGGGGTGGGCAGATCACTTGAGGTCAGCAGTTGAAGACCAGCCCGGCCAACATGGTGAAACCTTATGTCTACTAAAAATACAAAAATTAGCCAGACGTGATGGCATGCACCTGTAATTCCAGGTACTTGGGAGGCTGAGGCAGGAGAATCTCTTGAACCTGGAAGGCGGAGGTTGCATGCAGTGAGCCGAGATCGTGCCATTGCATTCCAGCCTGGGGGACAGAGTGAGATTCTGTCTACAAATAAATAAATAAATAAAAATTAAAAAGCCCTACATGATCTGATTCTCACTAACTGACCTCTTCTCCCGCTTGTCTCCCACTCGGCACTTTCCATTCCAGCCTTCCTTACCTCCTTGCTAATCCTTGAACGTGGCAGGCACATTTCCATTTTAGGTCTTTGCACTGGACTTTTTCCTCTGCCTATAATATTTATCCTACCCCCCCAGCCACCTCTTTCAGGTCTTCACTAAAATAGCATTTTGTCTGTGCGATTACTCTAGTTACAATTGCAATCTGCATCCTGTATGTCTCTTGCAGTGCTCTGCATTTTATTTTTCCGTTGCATCTGTTACCTTCTAAGTTACTATTTATTTGTCTATTTTGTGAATTGCCTCTCTTTCCTACCTCTGCTAGACTATAAATTCCTTGAGGTCGAGTATGTTTATTAATGTGTCCTGAGTGCCTAGCACATAGAAGATGCTCAGTAAATATTTTTTGAATGAATGAATGTAGTCTGCCTTCTCCAATTTTTTTTTCAGTGAATTTCCCATAAAGCAACACATGCATAGTGTTTTAGCATTTGTGGATCTAACGTTGACTTATCCCACCAGCAAGGGAGAAGTTCAAGAACATTTATAGTTTATAATGGAGATAATAATACAGAGAGTGGTTATGAGAATTAAATAGGGTGCTCTCTGTAAAGTACTAATGGATAGGACCAGGTCACTTAACTGACAAAAAAGCCTGGCCAAGTGCCCTGATTCACATCTGAATGATGTGAATTGTATTCTAGAATCTTCTCTCTTTATATTTCAGTTTTTAATCAAGAGTAGGTGTGGCATCACCTGGGAGCTTTTCAAAACATACCTGGGTTCCCTGGTAAATATCAGTGATATACTGTTACTATATTTTGTTCTTTAACCAGTCTGCAAATATTTGTCCCTTAATGTGGGTGATAACTATTTGCTCTCCCCCTTTTAATGCCTTCTTGCTGTTTGGGACATCTTTCATGGCCCCTTCTAGTCTTTTTTCCTATGAGGTTCTTGCTGAAATAACTTCTAAGGTGATTTTGAAATCCTCAGAGCCACTTGGATGCACGTAATTGAACCTTTTACTAAATCCACAAAATCAAAGGATCTCAGTCCTTTACCTTCTGTTTTCCAGACAAGAGAATGTTGTAGTCATCCCTACAGCAATCCTTATAGCAGTCATTTTATTTTATTGTTTTTAAAATACCTGATTTTTATTTTTTCATATGAATTATATTAAATAATTATTATGCCCCCTCTAGTCGTCACACAAATCTGAGAAGTGGATGAGCACTGTATTTGATCTCTTGGACACTTCCCTTTATTTTCCATGGCTCCTCATGTCTCAGACCCTTAAAGTATTTGCATTCTTTTCTTTTCTTTTTTTTTCTAATTGTATTTTATTTTTACTTCCAGGATACATGTGCAGGACATGAAGATTTGTTACATAGGTAAATGTGTGCCATGGTGGTTTGCTGCACTTACCAAGCAGTCATTTTAAAGTTTTGCTTATTGTGTTTCTAGGCTCCTTTTGTGTCCTTCAAATCCAAGAATATCTCAAAAACATCAGACTCACTTTCCTCCTCTTTCTTAATAGAGCAAGAAACATTTGTAGATTTTTACTGTTGCAATTTACTGTGCAAGCAAGTGCTGTGATTTGCAAGAAAAAAAAGATGATTATTTTAGAGATGGTTTATGCAACTGAAGAATACACAATAAATAAAAACCATGATGTATGTGTGTTTAGAAATGGATAAGCCCAATAGCTGTTACCTATACACAAAAATGTGAAAATTTTCTTCAACTCTACTGTCAAAATAATTCAAAATATACCTAGCTCCTTGTGTATATTTGATCTCTCCTTAATTTTTCTATGATGCTATATAAGTAAGAGCATTCCCCATATTTAATTAGGTGTAAACATTTTAGCGGTGATTACCATGCACATTGGAAATAAAATGTCACAAGTTCCATTGCTTTGAATGCATCTGTTCTACCTGATAAATTTCCCTTGCCTTTGCAACTCTGATTAGATCTACTTTTTGTTGTCGTGAAGACTCATTCTTTTGAAAATAGTGCTGTTACAAATTCATTTTATATTGAACCCTAAATATTCAGTACTATTGGCCAAGGCTGAATGGAAAAAATTGACCTATGTATCTTTCTGATGATAAATCACATTGCCCTCAGTTTAGGCCATTAATGGACAGCCCAGTTGGAAAACACATCTCGTTTAAAGTTCTACACCTGCTTTGGAGACTCTTGTAAGTATTTGTTGCCTTTGTGAGAGTTTTTGTCTTTTAATGCCACCTAATTTCTTCTACTAATCTGTTTTTTTTGAAAGTGGCGGTCTTGCCTACCCATCACCAGCAAACATACTCTATAGTGAGGGACTAATTTTGGCCCTCTGCTATGATGTTGTACTTTAGGTCTCTGTGGATAGAGAAGGACTTCTAATGTAGACTGCCACCTATTTTCATACCTTTGTTCATGGAGAATGTAGCAAAAAGTCAAATATAATAAAGTCCACCTACTTTTTTTTTTTTTTTTTTTGAGACAGAGTGTGGCTCTGTCGCCCAGGCTGGAGTGCAGCGGCGACATCTCGACTCACTGCAAGCTCTGCCTTCTGGGTTCACGCCTTTCTCCCGCCTCAGCCTCCCGAGTAGCTGGGACTATAGGTGCCCGCCACCATGCCCAGCTAATTTTGTTTTTGTATTTTTAGTAGAGATGGGGTTTCACCATGTTAGCCAGGATGGTCTCGATATCCTGACCTCGTGATCTGCCTGCCTCAGCCTCCCAAAGTGCTGGGATTACAGGCTTGAGCCACCGCACCCGGCCAAAGTCCATCTACAAATTTAATGTGTTGTTGGAGAATGATCTATATTCCTAGAAAACCTGGAAATTGGTACAATTCTTAATTGAGGTTATATCAGGTGACTTTTCCCAAAATCTTATTTTCAATAGAAAAAAATGGTGAGAAGCTACAAAAGTCCCTCCTTCTGCTCAGGATGCAGGTTCAGGCTACAGGGAACTGTTGGTAGCATTCTCTTGCACAGCACCTCCCCGCTCTACCACTTAGACATCAGTGTTGGGTGGAGGTGCATTCCAGAGTGCTCTGTCTCTTCCTGTGGTTTTTTTGTTCACCATCTTTTGTGGCCTTGGGAGACAGGATGAATAAGTGCTTGAAGCTGAAGATCATCTGTTGGAGAGTGAGCTGTTACTGAAAGTGGTCAACAGTGGAGGGAGCGTGCACATGTGCAGTCACTTTTGATCCCTATGCAGTCGCAGTCAGTCTCTCATGGTGGACTTCCTTACCCTTCCCCAAGATGATTTCAGCACCTACTTAATAAATGCTGTGTAATTTATTTATTTAAATTAGTAGATTGTCTAGTTAATTTAATACCATTCAATAAGTATTTCTGTGGGATCAGCTCACGCGTACTTGAAATGTTTTATTACTTTATTAGCTACTTTCTCTTATAAGTGATCCCCCCAAAATGTCAGAATCAGTTCTGAACTCTTAGCTAGCAAATATCTCCTAGCATATACTCAAAATCATCACCAGGCAGTGATGGATTTGACTAGGTGGGTGTGGGTTAGGGATGTCAATATATAATGGTGTTCGGTTTGGCTTATAGGAAAATGAGATGCTCAAGATAAGGACAACCTATATTTTGATTTTACAGTGTTTCTATAGTATTATATAGTTACTGAGTGTGAAGTAGTTGTGAGGATCAGAATCCTACTAAAATGTACAACCTCTTAAAATTTTTTTAAGAGTGAAGATGGGAAGGTGTTTGGATGCTAGCTCTAGTAAAAGACTAGACCCTTGAACAACTTGAGCATAAAGAGGCACTGATGCCTGCCCCCACCCCACCAACCTCCCACCCCGCACAGTTGAAAATCCATGTGTAACTTTTGACTCACAAAAACTTAACTAATAGCTTACTGTTGACCAGAAGCTTTATTGAGAACATAAACAGTCAGTAAACGCATATTTTGTGTGTCGTATATATTATATACTACATTCTTACAATAAACTAGGGAAAATAATATATTATGAAAATCATAAGGAAGTGAAAATACATTTATAGAAATGTACTGTATTCATCAATATTGTAAGTTTACATCATCTGTTTACAAGATGAATCATCTGTCTGAAATGGTGGGTGACCACAGCTACAGACCTCAATCTACAGTACATATCAAGCAATTCAACTTTTTTCTTGTAGTGTCTTTTCTATGCTTCTCGGAAGCACTTCTAGCATCACTAATGGCACTTTGTATGGGTCTCATGATGTTATTCGTGGTTTACTGTATTGCACTAAACATGATGAGAAATGCACAAGAACCACCAGAGATCACATTTTACTGCCATAAGCAATATATTGGGGAGAGAAAGTGCTCATGCTGAGATGATTAGCATCATATGGCACTTTAGGCAGATACTGGCAACACTTGAGTTCACCACAGGAATAACAGGAGATGGCTATGAAATTATTACAGTAGAATAGTATGTACTACAGTTAATTTTATGCCTTTATGATTTAATACTGCATTTTTACATTTGTTTACATTTCTCTGGACTGGGAATGGCACTATATACAGTCAGTATGTGTTTGTGTGCATAAATTTTGGTAACTCTCATAGATGTGTGTATGTTTTATGGTAGTAAATGATAAAATAGACTCACAGCTACATGTTTTACCCATTAATGAAATACAAAACTTAAAAAAATTTCAATATATCTAGGCTGTGCAGTTCATCTGTTTTTTTTAATTGTTACACAAATCTCCAACTAATTTTCCAATATAGTTATTGAAAAAAATCTAGATATAAGTGGACCAGAGCAGTTCAAACCCATAGCGTTCAAGGGTTACCTGTATTTTTAAATAAAATGTTATTTAGATTAAGTATTTCTTTTGGACTTTTACAAAGTCCTAACCTAAACTTTATTTCCAACAAACTGTTTTCTTCTATTTAGTATATAGGAAGATTTCGATATTTTATGGTATCAAATGCCATACTCTGTAGATACAATATTAAAATGGCACTGTAGGAAGAGTCATATTCTGCCTGATATATCTCTCTTTAAATGAAAGAAAAAAGTTAACAAATTATCTTAAACATTGGCAGCCATGCTTGCTTTAGGAGAACACCAAAGATTGCTACCCCCAATTCTCCTAAGGAAATGTGATGTAGGAGAAAGCAGATTTTCAGAGAGAGATGTTTGTTTTCTTGCTGGTTTATGTGAAGTTTGTAGGGATACTTGTCTACCTCAAAGCTCATTTACAATTTTTTTCTTAATGTCTTCAAAGAGGATGTCAATTAATATGATTTTGCACCCTAAATTCTGTGAATTTTCTGAGGTTGGGGTATTGACGAGATGCCAAACAGTGCCATTGAACAGATGGAAGATTAGCTCTTTGACTGTTCTTAATTTTTTTTTTTTGAGGCGGAGTTTCGCTCTTGTTGCCCAGGCTGTATGCAGTGGCATGATCTCGGCTCACTGCAACCTCCACCTCCCTGGTTCAAGTGATTCTTCTGCTTCAGCGTCCGGAGTAGCTGGGATTACAGGTGCCCGCCACCATGCCCAGCTAATTTTTTGTATTTTTAGTAGAGACAGCGTTTCGTCATATTGGCCAGGCTGGTTTCAAACTCCTGACCTCAGGTGATCTGCCTGCCTTGGCCTCCCAAAATGCTGGGATTACAGGTGTGAGCCACCGCTCTTAATTTTTGTGGCAGAGATTGTCTCTTGTATCCTTCATTCTGTCTACAATGTGCAAAAATATATTTTGGAGTGAATGGTTGAGATTTGTGCTCTGAGAATTAGTTACTGTTTTCTAGGAGAATGAAAGGGAAAAAGTAGGTATGTGTAAAAAGTTGGCCCTGATCTTGTATATAGTTCATTAAGAATTTTTTTTGTTAATAGCTGTATGAGTCCGTTCTAACACTGCTGTAAAGCAGCTACCTGAGACTGTTTAATTTATAAAGAAAAGAGGTTTAATTGGCTCACAGTTCTGCAGGCTCTACAGGAAGCATGGCTGGGGGTGGTGCTCAGGAAACATAGAATCATGGCAGAAAGTAAAGGGGAAGCAAGTACATCTTCACGCGCTGGCAGGAGAGAGCAAGCAAAGGGGCAAGTGTTATGCACTTTCAAACAACCAGATCTCATGAGAACTTACTCACTATCAAGGTGGAAATCCACCCCTATGATCCAGTCACCTCCCACCAGGTCCCTCCCTCAACATTGGGGATTACAATTCATCATGAAATGTGGATGGGGACACAAATCCAAACCATATCAAAAGCCTCTAGAGGCTTACAATTACGCTTACGATAAAATCCAAACTTCTTATGAAGCTGGGCATCAGCTTTTCTCATACGTTTTGGTTTTGGGACCTTTTTATACTCTTAATTATTTTCAAAAGCCCAGAAAACTTGTTTATAGGGGTCATATCTATTAATATACTTTTGTCAAAATTTAAAAAATTAAGTATTTATTTAAAAATAATTGTTTTCATTGAAGCATATGAAGAAAATCTGGCCTCAAACAGATGTATAGCTGGAAAAGAATATTTTAATAGCATTTTCAGATGATTGTGGATATTTGATACCTCACCAAAGCTTCATAAGTAGTAGTTTCTTAAAGGTTAATTGCCATGTGGAATCTAAAACCATATCGATGAACGTTTTGTACTCTTGTTATACTTTAAATCCATTGGTCGACCATTGTACTTTGGATCTTTTACCAATGCATGATTTTGTATTGTAATTGCATTCTTATTAGAAAAGGTTGGTTCACTGAGTTATGCAAATCTTTCAAGTGTTGACACATTTCATTATACAGTATCAAAAATCATGTTCATTTAATATCACTGCTCTTATAAGAACAGTCTTTTGAGTATTGGGAAGCTGTCAGGCTCATGGTGGTGTAATCAAGGTTTCCAAATTCTAATTTTTGCTTGAAGCCTTGAATTTTATTATCAGCAATAAATACTGTCAGTTTTCCTTGCAGTGACAGGCTCACTTCATTCATTTTTGAGAAAATGTCTGCCAGATACCTTAGTCTGAATAAGCATACTTTGCTGCTTCTGTCAAGTAACAATGGCATTTCAAGAAAAAAGCTGCTGGTTTGACTTGTAACACAAATAGTTGTACACGTGTTTTTTCTCAAGGAAACCATTCTATTTCAATTTGACCAGAAATGCTTTGTGCATACTTCCCAATTTCATGACGTAGAATATTTTAAAAGTGTTTACTCAACAGCTGAAGTTTAATAAAATCAATAATTTTTACTATTGCATCTCCCAGAGATTCCCCATGAAACAATACATTGATTATAGCAAAGGGGAATGCACAATAGCTATTTTGCACTTAGCCAGGCCGTTTTACCGCTATGCGTAAATAAATCCCCCATCATTCAGGTGTGGGTGAGGAGGACTGCGGAAAAGTAAGGTGACTTTACTGCTCCTTTGGCACTGTTCACTTTTGCTTAGTCACTGGAGTGACCTTCAGATGGCTTAGAAACCAGCAGCATCAATAGTAATAAAAGTTACAGAGCCAGACTATGGAGCCATTTTTATCTTTTTTAGTTCCTGGTGAAACTCTTGCCTTTTCTGTTAGGAGCAAATGATCCCTTCCATTGTGGCCTTTGTTCTGCATCACCACTAGCAGATGTTGCTGGGAGGTTGCAGAGAGATTTGGTCACTTGTTCTACTTACTTTCTTAACCAGTGCAAGTCAGAACTGCTTAAAAGGCTTCATACTTTTAAGTCATATACACATTGAACAACAGGCACACATGGAATGAATTTACCTCACCCTGCCTTCTAAGAAATATACTTTTATGGCCAGTGAATTCGTTATTGAAAAATTTGAGCAGATTTATTTATTTATTTATTTTGGCCAACACAAATCTCAAAACTATGACTTTACATTTTCAACACTCTTAATGGTTTTTAAAATCATTGCTGGTGGTAAAGGTTCCATAAACACACCGGCCCAGCAAGATACTTTCCAGTTTTGGCCAAAAATAAGTTATTCCACTACTGATACCATAATTTCCATTTATTATTACTCCTTTTTTTTTTTTTTTTTTTTTTTTTTTTGAGACGGAGTCTCGTTCTGTAGCCCAGGGTGGAGTGCAATGGTGTTATCGGTGCTCACTGCAACCTCTGCCTCCCAGGCTCAAGTATTCTCCTGCCTCAGCCTCTCAAGTAGCTGGGATTACAGGCACATGCCACCACACCTGGCTAATTTTTGTATTTGTAGTAGAGATGGGGTTTCACCATGTTGGACAGTCTGTTCTTGAACTCCTGACCTCAGGTGATCCACCCAGCTAGGCCTCCCAAAGTGCTAGGATTACAGGCGTGAGCCACCATACCCGGCCTGTTACTTCAATGTTGTAAGGGAATATATAGATGGAAGTTGAGAATTCTTTATTTTTTGTAAAAAAGTCAAACACCTGATTACTTGCCTGATTCTTCTTAGTGAAGTGAGACAGAGACTCATGCATGTAAGCAGTATACTTTTCTACTTGTGCTTTTGCTCTGCAGTAATCTGAAATGAGACATCGCCCATCTTAGAATTGTGGTTTATTTGCAGGGGAGGCATGCATTTTCCTACTGCCCTATACACACAAGCCTATTTTATTACTTTGTTTGAAGACTGGGTGTGTCTAATGTAGTGGAAATTCATCGATTCAGTGTTAAGTACAGGTGAAACACATTTCAGGACCACATTAGACAGTCTTTTTAATTATCCTTTTTTTTGGATTATTCATGTGACTGCTTTCCTCTTTTCACGTGAATTGCTGAGAATTTATCATCCTTTCCAGTTCATTAAATCATTAAAATTCTTTACTAGCACTATAAATAAATATGCCAGGCCATGAGTTGAGGCCGGTTGATAAAGGCAGCTTTGTCCTGGTAATAGTTCTTGTTCCTGGTTAACCCACACTTCTCTGTGAATATGTGTATTACATTAAATTTTAGACTTTTAATGTAGTGAAGCCTTACTCTAAGCATGTAGGGACTTGCTTTAAGTTGAGCTTTGGTGTTTACAGTTGGATTAGCTGTGAGATTAATGTGGTATTATAATACTGCATTTGTGCTTAGACATGTTCAGGAGAGCCCCAGGACACATTTAATAGGTATTCAGGTTCTTTTCCACTCTACCTAGTCTAAGCTTGCATCTCAGTCAACTAGAAACACTGTAGATCTTAGTTTCAGACCATTTTGGTCTAGGACCAGTTGCACCCCACAAGTGTGATCTGGAGTTCTAATTGGACTTGGAAGTGTTGGGCTTTAACCTCCTCTTGTGTAACCATTGAAAGCCAGGTGCATGGGCATGGCACTGTTGCAGATATGGAGATGCAGTCCTCAGAGAAAGCACACTTTAATCAGGCAACATAAGGCAAGATAGAATGTGAGAAAGTACTGCATTTGGGCATGATGAGTCTGGAAGCACCAGGAAACCTTCCTTGCTTAGGTATCCTTTGGACTGCGTCTTGAAGGATGGGTGGGTAGGCTTTTTATACGTAGGGTTGTACAGAAGAAAGGGCAGTGAGGATGGCAGGAAGCAATGGACCCATTTGTAGTGTGGGAATAGTCTGGTTTGCAGGGTGGGTGAATGAAGAGGATGAGTCAAAAGATCTAATTGGGAATTGAGCCAGGTCATGGAGATCCAAAATGCATTGCAAGCCATGCTTCCTCTCACTGGGAAAGGTGAGACAGAATTTCTTCCCTTCTTCCGGGGCGGATGCTTGTTTGCACTTCTCTGGTATGTGAGAGAGACCTTCCTCAATTTAGATGATAGCCCCTTAGGGAAGAGCATTATAGAGTAAAGATTTGACCACATGCCTCTTTTTGTCTCATTTTTGATGCTATATTTTAAATTTTACAAGAGTGTTACTTCAGTCAAATACTGACATCACCCAGGTCTCCTATACGGAACTCTTAGTAGAAATTATGGCATCTCCGCAGATGACAAGTAAAATCCTTATGCAGAGAGACCTGACTCAGATGTAAATTGTGATCACCATTTTCAGAGATTGTCCTTCCTTGGTCTGGTTCCAGTCATCATCACCTTGGATCTTGTATGAGTTCATATCTCTGTTAACTATGGTGGAGTGGTTGCTTCTCTGTGGTTTTTTTTTTTTTTTTTTAAATAAGGTACTGACAGTTGAGTTGCCACTCTTTGAAGATGTATTTTGACTTTAATGTTTTTAATCTGTTTATTATGGTTAAAGTTCCTATGTATTATAAATGCTGTCCTCCCTATTGTTATGTGATGCAGAGACTGGAGAAACTCAAATTTAAGAACATGTTTTCATGAATAGTCCCCACTTTAAGTGAGACTTATTTTAGCATTATTTCATGAGCAATTAGATTATTTTACTCTAAATCTCTGGGCAGTTCAAGTACTGACCTACTTATATAGTAGCTCTTAATTAAAAAAATAATTATTTTTATTTTAGAGAATATTAGAGAATTGAATTTTTTTTGAAATACTCTATTTTCTTAGTTCTAATACATGTGATAAAGCTAGGTATGGAACCTCAATTTTTATTCTGATTATAATAGCATGAGAGGTTGAAGCAACAAAGAAGTGCTTTATCAGTGTCGAATTATTATTTCCTGCAGCAAATGGTGGTAGTTTGTGAATGTTACTTGGTGTTATTATATTTAAGGTTATACCAACATTTAAAGTATACTGTGCCTTTCTATTGTGTACTTCACAACAGTTGATGGGGATTGTATACTTTTAAGCTAATTAAAAGTAGCATAAAACGGCCAGGCGCGGTGGCTCATGCCTGTAATTCCAGTACTTTGGGAGGCCTAGGCGGGTGGATCACATGAGGTCAGGAGTTCGGGTGGATCACATGAGGTCGGGAGTTTGAGACCAGCCTGACCAACATGGTGAAACCCCGTCTCTACTAAAAATACAAACTTAGCCCGGTGTGGTGGCGCATTCCTGTAATCTCAGGTATTTGGGAAGTTGAGGCAGGAGAATTGCCTGAACCCTGGAGGCGGAGGTTGCAGTGAGCTGAGATTGTGCCATTGTGCTCCAGCCTGGGCAACAAGGGCGAAACCCCCTGTCAAAAAAAAAAAAAAAAGTAGCATAAAATGTATCTTTTAATTTGGTTCTAGAAGAGCTTTTACTGTGAGTTTTTGCCAGAAACTGGTTTCTGTAATAATGCTCTGTTACAGCCTTCTAATTCTACTTGAATTTTTTGTTAGGGAATATTATTGTTATTTATTTTAGAAATGTAGGTGCCTTTTTTCATTTTTATTTGGTGGTATCTACTCGAGAGAAGGTATGTTAGAAATTGAGTGTTAAGCTACTTTGTAACTTCATGTATGTTTAAGTTTTCCCACAGCAAGATTTCTCAGATTTCACTCAGCATAGCAGACCTCTTAATGTTAGATCTTGTATTGTTTGCCCAAAATAACTATATTTCATTCTGGTCGCATACATTGTAAAACAAAGGATAGCATTTCATTAAATAGTAATTAATTGAGACCTTCTGGATATGTGTATAGTGTTTGTCAAAATGTGAAATTGTAACTGGTCTTTTCTATGTGGTTTTGCAAAACAAAACAAAACAAAACAAAACAACAAAATAAAAAGCTTTTTCTGGCCTTGCCTTTCCCAACCTGTCCTGTTCATTTTACAGTGAGCACAATTTAAAATCTAAGATAATTGATATAATTCAGGTGTTTGGTGTTGATGGCGGGGAGGCAGTAAATTGAAGGACAGGAGAGCAGTGTTTATTTCTAAGCACTGAGTGACTAAAGGTATAGAACTTAGTTGTGGATGTTGGGGAAATTTGGCTGTGATACTTGGAACCTCACTAATAATCAGGACTGATGTAGAATATCTGGTGATTTGGGAGTTGTCTGGATTCTTTCTTCCCGTCCCATGTGTTCTTGGAAAAGGTGTTTTTCCCAAATAGAACAAGATACTCTTTGGTTAATATGTGAGAGAAGCTTTTGGACTTTGATGATCTGATGGAGGAGATGTTCTTGGTGACTATCTTTCGAATATCAGAAAAAAAAACAAAAAAAACTAATACTAGCCAAAGTAAAACATATCTTTGGAAACACTTTCCTTTTTCTTTGACCGAAACATATTATTTTCTTCTTCTGTTATTTAAAGCCAACAAATGACCTGGAGAAAGCCACAGCAATGGTTGGGTGAGGTTGTTCCATTCCAGCATTCCCAGTAGGATTGATTGAAGTCCTTTGTTGGAACAGCCCCATTCAGGCCTTTTTGAAAGGGACCTCCTGAGCCTTGATTTTACTTTTCTTTGGATAGACTATTTTCAAGTACCTAGTAGAAAGTCATATATATATATTGGGATCATTGTATTATGATAATGTTTCTCTCTCTTAAGCTAACATTTTAATATGGATTCTATTTGTTTGAAAGTAAGCAATATCTTCTAATGAGTCATTTAGCTCCATATTTAACCTATGTATAAAGTAGTTGTAAGTTAATAAATCTTGAATTGATTGATAAAATATCTTTAGCAAATATTACCCAGAGAGTTACAGGCTTATACTGATCAGTTTTATGTACATTTTATGTACAATTGTGTGGCATGAGAAAATACTAGAAATGCATTATATTAATGCTGGAACTCTTACCAGTCCTGGCAATGCAAATTCTCATTTTGAGATTTCCATCTAGATATTCTACCATATCAATGGTTGTCATAGTAGCAGTCTCAATTGAGAATTGTGATTATATACTTTATCAAATAACTACTTGATGAAAGCTCAATTATTCTAATGTAGTTCAGCCAGAATTCTGAGCCATCATCTTGCCTGGTTAAGGAAATAATTAAGCAACCTAAAAAAAAGATTTCTTTCTTTCTGTTGAATTGTACAAATTTTACCGTATTTCACTGACTGTAGGGTGCCATCAGGTGTAAGACATGCCATTACTTTATGTACTGCTAAGAAAGGAAAAAAAAAAGCCTAATAGTTACACTCATGAGATGGCATCAATTAAAAGACACAAACCAGTTTCAGAGATGTTAAAGTGGCGAGGGTGGGGGAGGCACAAGGAATCTACAGTCCATAAAATATGGCACTTACATATGTACACAGAGTTTTAGTTGGGTATTGGTCATAATCATATTAAAATGTAAAGAAAATTATATTAAGTAAATAACTATTTCTGGCAAATATTATACAGATTTTTTAAATCCTAGAAACCTATAATTGGAAAAGATAGGCGATCATGTAGTCAATACACCTGAGGAAATGTACCATGAGATCATCTAGAGCAGAGTTGTCTAACCTTTTGGCTTCCCTGGGCCATGTTGGAAGAATTGTCTTGAGCCACACATAAAGTATGCTAACACTAAGGATAGCCCATGAGCTAAAAAAATTGCAGAAAAAAAAAATCTCATAATGTTTTAAGAAAGGTGGCGAATTTGTTTGAGGCTGCATTCAAAGCCATCCTAGGCCTCTTGCAGGGCCGCAGGTTGGACAAACTTGATCTAGAGTATGTAAAACTTAGCAATTGGTTGCCTTTTTTTATTGAAGTATCTTCAACTTTACAAAAGAAATTATAATATTCCTTTAAATAGCCATCTTCAGAGTATCTCCTGGTAAACTTTATATACCCCTTTTCAAGATCACTTAATGTATGGAAGAGAATAATTTGGGATTTAGATGAGTAGTTTAGTATTCCAAACAAGGTGCACACTGAGACACAGTGTGTATGTAAGAGCTATAATCGTCAAATGTCATGGTAAGTGCCATATGGAATTTTAAAAAGAATCATCGTTCCCTGCCTTCTAAGAATTACCACATTCTACCTTTGGGCATTCCTCCCCACCCCCCGCTCACCCCAAATCTAAAGTACAATTCAAGGTTAACTGGAGCTCTGTGTGGTGAAAAGGTGGCTTAATGAAACTGACCATGAACCTTATACTGTGGACAGCACTGAGGTATGCCTTGGCCAAATACTTGGCCTTAGTTATCAACCTTGGTGCTGGAATTCAAACTGGGTCATTGTCGAGAGAGGCCAAATTGAGTTGCTAGTGAGATATGGCTGGGTGGCTAGATGGGCTCCTTGCAGGAGGCTGTCTCAGGAAGTGGGCACAGCAGTGAATCAGCCAACAGGTGGCCTCATGGAGGTTTGAAGTCCACAATGGGCACCCAGCCTGAAGTGTGGGTTCAAGTGCAGGTTTGGAAATAACACTGTGGGATTTGGACATTGGGTGTGGACCGGATCACAGTGCACAGCACAAATCTTGCTTATTATTGAACCTTCCCTGCAAAATCAGATTCACAGCAAAATGGGACCTGCTTGGCCCATAGGTGGGGCTAGAGGAAGCCTGCAGATAGGATGAAATGTCAGTAGCTGTGCAGTCTGAAAAGAGTACAAGGATGAGGAGCTAGATTAATCTTTGAGATTTTGTGTTTTAGATGATTGCATCACAAACGTTTCCTGCTTTGGGCACAATTGCTGCTAATGGTGAGAACTTACCTTTGTAGACTGTTTTTAACTAAAGTGCTTTCACAAAACATATAATCTTGCCTTCACAATAAACCTGAGGGAGAAGCTGGGTCTAATTACCCCATTTGGCAGATGTGGAAAATGAGGCTCACAAATACTGACCTTAAGGTCACTTGTTGTTAGCTCTTGCTTTTTTAGCTATGCTATGCTTCCAGCGCTTGACTCCATATTTATTTCCAAATTTAGAAAGCATATATAGTCTGTTTTCCAGCAGCTTCTGCTGACTTTGGGGACTGCCAACATTTTGTTGCTTATCTTTTTACCTCCCAAATCAAAAGCATAATTTTTGCTCAGTATTGAAGGGACAAATAAGCAAAAACAAAACACTATTCCCTCATAACTTACCAGATTAAACTACTCTCCTCTGTTAGGTTATGTTAATCATTTTTGGAAGTGATAGGTATTTCTTCAGTCTACCTTACCTTGTTTAAACCTCTGTTAACCTCACTGCTGTTGCTTTTTAGCGGCCTTGTAGTAAACCATGTACAAGTCCAGACAAGGAGTCCAGAGTTAGAGCAAGTTAAACAAGAGTTGCCAGCATTATTAGTTGTTGACATAGAAGTTGGTGTTAACCGTGAATAGCTGGTTTCTAACTTTATTTTACCTGGAGAGCCTCTTCTGTTTTTGAGCAGCGTCCTCACTGCAGTTCCTTCCTTCCATCTCATTCCACAAGTATCCTTTCAGCATTCTTGCCTGTAGTGTGCCCCTACAGGGGTGCAGACTACATATGTTCATGGTTTTCATCTTTGTAAACTTTAAAAGAAAGCTCTTCTTTTAAAGTAGATTAGAAATATGACAATTGAGCATTCTGTAAGTGTGTGAGGTAATTACTGTGAGTGAATATTAGAGTGAATGAAGCAAACAACATGACAAGCCAGGAGATCCGCCTCGTAGTCCAGGTGTTGCCCCACTTCTTTACTGTGGAATTTTCACAAACCCCTTATACTTCTGACACCAGTTGCCATACCTGTGAAAAAAGAGTTGCATTAAATGATTTCTGGAGTCCCGTTCAGTTTCAAACCTCATTCAGGTCTGCAAAGTGAATATGTCAGATTGTATTAAATAAAGGTAGGATTGCTGACAAACCTTCCAGTGGTGAAAAGGATGATCTAAGTGAGCTTAAATTCTGTGGATAATTTTGTTATTATTGGGAATTGAATGGAAATAGGTTAACAGTGATTCAGCTTTCTGGCAATTATAAAATCAACTGAAACACACTATTATTAGCTAACTTTTTAAGTTTGGTTTCTAGTCTTGCTCACCGCCGTATGCCCAACACCTAATACACTGCATAGTCAGTATGTTTTATTTTGGGAATACTTTCATACAAACTTGATGGACTTCTTGGCCTATTTACCTCATTAGGGCAGACAGCTCTAAAATTCAGGAAGTGTAGAAACAAGTGATAAAATGCCTATTGGAAAGAAATTTTAGGAGTAAAATGTAGCAGTAGACATCAGGCTGCTATCCTTTTTTACCCTTCAACCCAGTGGGTGATGTTTCTGGGTTACAGACTCAACAGATGGAGTTTTAACTATTTATGTTTAATCAAGGAGGAAAAGAAGCCATAATTTGTATTTAATGTAGTAGACTATAGAAATGAAAGAATAAAGTGATACCAAAATTTTGTATATTCAAATCAATCTTATAGTTTTATAACATTTTAACCCTAACATTTTATTGTATTTTGGGTTGCAATTACTCATGGCAGATGAAAGCCATGGCTTCTCTTTCTAGAAAAATAAATGCACACATACTGCCAATTTCACCGACAGCTTGAGGAGTTTCATGAACTTGCCATCATCTGGTGGTCCCTAGTCTGAATTCTTGATAGAAAATAACCTAGTATGTTCATGTATACATATGTAACTAACCTGCACATTGTGCACATGTACACTAAAACTTAAAGTATAATAATAATAAAATAAAAAAAAAAGAAAAGAACCTAGTGTGTTAAACCTTAAATGCCCTTAGAAATAACCTAGACCAGTGTTTCTTAAACTGTGGTCATGAGATCAGTTGAATGGATTATGACCAACATTGAAAAGAAAAGAAGAAAGAAGAAAATAGAAAATATCAGAGTGTATATCATAACATGCTAAGAGTAGGTTTTGTTTTTTGAGCCATGTCTTTCCATTTGTATGCCTGTATGTGTGTTTATGTTTAGTACTAAGTCAGAATATAAAATGCATTTCTTACTGTGGATTGAGTGTAAAGTTTGAAAAACATTCATTCTGGGTGAATCTCTTTCATCTTATAGCTGAGGAAAACTGAGGCCCTTAAAGGCTAAAT
This sequence comes from Homo sapiens, assembly GCF_000001405.40. NCBI lineage: Eukaryota > Metazoa > Chordata > Mammalia > Primates > Hominidae > Homo > Homo sapiens. The sequence goes on from NC_000020.11 coordinate 11,915,002, forward strand.
GATTTGTTCAAATACTCGCCTTTCTCTATTTTAAGTGGCCCAGCCAGGACTGAACTAGATTGGTTGCTAATTTTACCATGCTACATTGCTAATTTGTTGAAATACAATTGTGAAGTAGACCATTTAAAAGTACTAAGTGATTATCTGCTTCATAGTTGACATTTTTTAATTCCTTATTTTTCCTGCCGAAATCATCACTGTCATTATCTTTTAAAATAATTGGGGCTGGCGCTTCCTTTCCAGAGAATATCTTGGTCCCTCTCAGTTGGCTGTCTGCACACCTCAATCCTAGAATTTGACATTTGGGGCCTAATCAGAAGAATTTCAGAACAAGATGTGAGGGGTTGTTAAGTTTTTAATGTCCAAACTAAATTAAATTATTTTGAGTTATTTTCAATTCACTTAATAGTTGAATGCAACATATGGCACCAGATGTTGGTACTGGATCATTGGGAAGACATCTAGTAGTCAGTAGTTATCTATGTGAAGTTTTTTTCAACCTTGAATACTGTATGAAATGCAGATTCTGATCCAGAGTCTGGCTGAGATTCTGGGTGACTAATAGGCTCCCTGTAGATGCTGCTGCTGATCCTTCAACTACATTTTCAGTAGCAAGAACCTGCATTACTTGCCTTATTACCGTGGTAAGAAAAAGTAGCCGTCAGATAATTTTTCTGTCTTGATTTTAAACAGCCATGCTCATCAGTCCTTACATACATTGGAGTAATAATGCCCTTCTTTGTAGCACTCTTGTAGATGATTCAGATTTAGCGCTACTTCATTTAACTAGTATTGTCAGAATTTTCTACAAAACTTATTTTTCTAAATAACTGATATCTGTAATTTTAGAAAACATGTTCTACAATATTGCATACTTCTCTTTCTCAAACTGTTACATCCACTTTACTTTTTTTCTTTAACTTAGTGGTGTAAGAGCCATGTGTTTTGGAGACTTCTTGGTGATGGGTATTGAGCCATATGCAAAATGAGTAAAGATCACAAACCCTTCTAAGTTCTTGTATCTGTGTTTTATGTTTTTTCTATTTTGTCTCCATCCAGCTACCAATTAATAGTATGTCTGCCTAAAAGCAGCTGGTTTCCCTTTCCATTCTAATTGATTACTTCTGACCTGAAAAGCCAGATACTAGATTTGTTAGAAATATTTATGAGATTAATCCCAGTCAGAAAGGCCTACCTGGCATGGGAGCTTTCCTGCAAGGAAGTGGTCAAGGAAGTTCAGTGGCACTTGAGCAAGAGAGAAATCCTTTAGTGTTAACCCTATTCTGAATAATTAGGTCAATAGGAGCTTACTTGTTTCTTCATGACTTTCTCTATGTGCTTTTTAAACTGGTTTCTAGATCCCTCTCTAACATTGTGTGTTAAAGTGTGTATGAAGATGATTTGGAGGTATCTGTATGTGTGTGTTCTGCTGTTGAGAACATGATAATCATAATAAATAAGCAGTGCTTCAGGATCCATCTAAAATGGAGACAGGTAACTGTGCTACAGGCCCTGGTTCTCTTACAGAGGCTTTGCAAATGGTTTTAAGAATAATAATAACAACAATAAAGAGGATATTTCTTGGTTCAATTTAGTGTTCTAGGGATTTAAAGACTGATTTCTGGTAACCGCCTTTAGCAGATTATTAATTATAACAATAACAATCGTAACTCTTATTTGCTGAGCCCTCACTGTGTCAGGTAGTCATTATTCAGACAAATGTTAAAACAAGGAGGGCTGTGGTCATGAAGGGTGCATTTGCCTGAGGGGTAGCAAATGGCTGCTGTGCTTTGAACAAATGAGCGTGATCCAAATAGATAGGGGTGAGATTAAATATTTTAATTAGTCCCTCTTTACAATAAATAAGCATATGCAGAACCTATTGCCGGTGTTTTTGTTTTTTTTACTCACCAACGCTAGAAATGGTTGGAGGATTCACACCTACAAAAATCAAATGGTAGCTTATATTCTTCTAATTCAAAGCAGAGAGAACCTGTTTGCATTTTAACTAGGTGGAATCCGAACATTTATCATTTTGAATAGCCTTGTTATTTGTTCTGTCTTAGAAGTTGTGGATTATATTCTTTAAAATTAAGACAAGACTAAATGTAGCCTTAACAGTTAAGTTGAATTTTGAGATCCTGAACATGGCCCCATCTGAAATATTTTTAGTGAATTACAGCCTTTGAACATTGATCATCAGATTTGTTTTTATTTGAATCTTATTTTTACTTCTAGAGTTTATCTTATGCTTTAGTGTACTTAGGTGTACGGGTATAATCTTAATCTAATTAACAGTATTTTGTGACCTGAGACACCTGTCAAAGACCATTATAGAAGCTAGAAAACATTGGGAGGTAAACTGAACACATGGCCTCAGTTCTCTTCTTTAGCACTAGACTATGACTTGCACTCAAAAGAGGCTAAGAAAAAGAAAAATAACGTCCTTTGCCTTTAAAGTGTAATAAATGTGTTTTGCTATTAATAGCCCTTTTCAGTTTATAGACTGGAGGATTTTGTTTTAAGTATTTGAAACTAAATGCTGCTGGGAAAAAGATTTTAGTAGAAATATAGATATCTGTCCCTACCCTTTGTTAATTGATCCTGCTTAACTGGGGACATAATGTATGTCTACTGAAGAGAAATCTGTGGGCATAAACTCCTCCCTTCCTGTTGTCAAATATATTTCATATGTTATTATCTTGTTTAAATATACAGTAGACAAGAAAATGCAACTGCTGTTCCTTTAATATCAGAACTATGCATGTTACAATAGGTGTCACTGTTTTGCTTGGTCCAATCATGATTGGTGACTTCAGCTATTGGCTCGGAGCACTGGCTGTCTGACTCCATCTGCAGGGCTGTAATACCTACTCTCCTCCGATCCATTCACCACACAACTTCAGCCGGCTGAACAGACTCACGCAGCTCCAGCCCATCTTGCTGACCTAATTCAGAAAAGAAGTGCTACAGCTCTGTGCCTGTCATCTTTGCAGTGTAGCATTTTCAGGTGATCTAGGAAACAGTTATTTTTATGAGCAAATAAGAGAAACAGGAATCATGATGGGGATATATTTAACAGACCCAGTACTGGATAAAACTTAAAGCCAGTTTCTATTCAACATAGTGAAAAGGTCACCTTGCCTGGCTGAGAAAAGCAGCAAAATATCAGCTTTGTTGGTTTCAGTTAACCTCTTAGCCCGGGCTAATCTCTTTTCCTTGATGTTCAAACCAATTTGGGATATCTAACTCTAAAGAGAGACACACTGTACTCATGGTAGATGACAAGGAAAAGAACATGAAATGTCTCACCTTCTTCTTGATGCTTCCAGAGACGGTAAAGAACAGGTCCAAGAAAAGCTCAAAGAAAGCAAATACCAGCAGCAGCAGTAGCAACAGCAGCAAGTTGCCACCAGTTTGTTATGAAATAATTACCTTGAAGACTAAAAAGAAGAAGATGGCTGCTGATATATTCCCCCGTAAAAAGCCAGCCAACTCCAGCAGCACCAGCGTCCAGCAGTACCACCAGCAGAATCTCAGTAACAACAACCTTATCCCGGCCCCAAACTGGCAGGGTCTTTATCCCACCATTAGAGAGAGGTAAGTGCCGCGCTAGTCTATTTACTTTAAAAGTTTTCCTGTGTTGAAGTTTCTGCTTTTGCAAAACCTGTAATGTATTTGAACACAAATCTGTTTCCTCTTTTCCCAGAAGCTTTTTATTGGTAATGGAAAATTGCCTTGTATCTTTTCCAAAACAGTACAGCTGTTTTCCTCTTAGATAAAAATGTTTTTGCAAGCTGTAACATTCAAGTGACAGGGTTGTCTATGGGCCATAGAAAATGGGAACCTTTTATTTGTCCTTAGCTTTATTAAAAGTTTGTATAACTTTTATTTTAAACTTTAGTTACTTCCCTTATGTTTGCAATGATTATGAACAGTTTAGTTAGAACCTTTATTTGTTGTTTTGCCTTGAAGTTACTGGACTGTTGCTTAGCTTGCAAGTCTTTTGTGGGTTTTGTATGTTGGGGAAGGGGATGTTAAAAATGCAGGCTGCTGTGAATTAATGAGTTGCCTCTGTTTATAGAAATGCGATGATGTTCAATAATGATTTGATGGCAGATGTACATTTTGTGGTTGGGCCACCAGGTGGGACTCAACGGTTGCCAGGACACAAAGTAAGCAACAGCTGCATGACCGGTTTAGTCCTGACGTTTACAAAGAGGGACCCTTTCCATAAGCCTGTAACTTGGTGTGGGCAGCTTGCCGATGTCAGGCAGTGCATGTTTCACTCGATTAGGGAGAGAGCGCACCCTCTCCAGAGGGCTTTGGCCACGCTTAATTTTTTCTTTGTTTCCTTCTATACTGCTTTATATCTCACACATCCCCTCTTAACTCTCCAGACATGGGAAGTTGTTGTGACAGGTCAGGAAAGTCGTATGTTTACCCTTCTCCTAGAAATTAGTTATGTAAGCTATTATTGTATGTATTTAGTAATGAGGGGACATGTGCATTAATCTCTTAAAGCTTTGAAATAATTAGCAGCATGGTCTTATGCTTCCATGGCAAGCTACCCTGTGTACCTTGGCTTTTTCAAAGCAGTAGATTTTAGGTACGCTATGTTTACTAAACCTGATTGCCTAGTGTTGTTTTTCTGCATTGATTTGCTGGAAATGCCTTCAATTTAGTGTATGAAATAAGATTTCCCTTTCTACACAGTATGTTTTAGCTGTTGGGAGCTCTGTGTTCCATGCGATGTTTTACGGAGAACTTGCAGAGGACAAAGATGAAATCCGTATACCAGATGTCGAACCTGCTGCTTTTCTCGCTATGCTGAAGTAAGCATCATTCGTGTGTTTGGAAAGAGTTTGTTTATGCTGTATTTGTACCCTGCTGGTTTCACAGTTAAATTTAAGTTCTGCATAACAGAAAAGAAGACTGATGAAGAAAGAGGGTGCTGCTTACCTTGTAAATGTTTTCGGAAAAGAACACTTTAGCTTTCCGTGGAAAGCATATGGAATTATGCAGCATTTATAATCGCACCTTGACGTAGAATTTGGGAGCAAGTGGCATGTATAGTGATGATTTTTAACAACTTAAAATTAAAGACAAATAACTTTCTGGTATTAGCATTATTTAATAGAAGATGTTCTCTCTGAAAGCATTGTGTGTGAAAAAGTCTTTAAACAAATGTTTTTGCTTCACAATTTCAGAAGTTAAGTACCTTATTTAAGTAACACCAGTTGGGAGATTTCTGAGTATTCTAAGAGTTATTGTCTCCTAAGAGCAAATGAAAAACTTACCATCTGTTGAAATAATCTGATCTTTGTGTACACATACATATACATACTCATATAAAATCAGACACTCTCAAGGGTAAAAAGTACTTGCATTTGACATTACAGGGGAAATCTTAGAAAGATATGGATAGTCTCGTACAGTTTCATGTGGATTTATACAGAAGAACTTTCATTGGTAATACAGAAGTATGAAACTTAAAGATACGTTATATATTTATAAAAAAGATAGTTTTCTGTCTGGTGGGTCTTCTGCAGGCACCAGTATGTGTTAAACAGGTTATAGAATCAGCTTCTTTATCATGTACGGTACTAGACAGTGTGGTAGTTCACCAAGTGATCATAATCTAATTATTATTCTAAGTAGTATTTATATGATTTTTCCTAATCTTTATTCTAGCACAGCAAAGTGTATTACTTTAAGGTTATCTGTTGCTCTAGGGATTTCAGTTCATTGGAATAAGTAAAATGTTTGTTGAAAAAAGTATTCAGTGGGTCAACAAGTTGGACAGTACTCCTACATATAGTTAAAATGTTGCCATACATTGTTTACTGTCTTCTGAAAAATAAGTACTGTAGTTAGTTCTAGAACTTAAAAGTATTTAATTCATTATTCATCTTACAGTTTTGAAATATAATTGTCACTGACAAGACCTTCACAGTAGGGGATAGGGAAATTAAAGGCAAGTGAGCATGTGAAGTACCAAAATGTAAACTAATCTGCTACTTTTAACCTTTGTAATCTTTTGGAGATATATGTACAGAAACCAGTTTTACCTGCAAGTATCCCCACTGCATGAAGTCAGCTTTGTATTTTTTATAGTGTTTTCTGTTGCTGAGGAGATTGCTAGCACTAGTTCAGCATTTTGTCTTCACTGCAGTCAAGTAGGATGTTGTATCATTCCTGATATATACATAATTAGGAAACATGAACAAGAATGGCAGAGAATTACATCTCACCTAAGTCATTTGATGAATCATTTGACAAGTATCTTTTCCCACAGATGCATTGCCTATAGCAGATATTGATAAAGCTTTATAAAATTATACATGCAGTCCACAAAATGTGGTAAGATCAGAAATGAGTCAGGTGCCATTTGCTCTAGTGCTGTAGTTGTGAAAGCGGTGGCCTGCTTCATCGAGTATGAGTAGCCAGTATTCCTGGGGTTGTCAGAAAAAGAGGACAGCTGCTCCCTTGACAGTTCCAGGGTAAGAGCTCGAAAGTGCTGACCATGCTCTAGGATCCTCCCCAGGGTCCTGGCTCACAGTCAGAGCATCACTGAGCCGCAGGTGTACTATCAAGTGGCCTTGCCATCAGTAGGTGACTTCGCCTATCAGAGAAGAGAAAGGTTCCTGTGAGCAAAAAGGCAGGTTTCATTTGTGCTCGTGGACATTTTTCTCATTGCCATTCTTGTGTTTTACTTTCTTATAGAAGCTGTTGCTAATTTCTTAAGTTTTATGTGTTTCACTAAGGTGAAATACAATAACTAAAGGAAAACTCAAGATAAAGTAGCTGTAGACCTTAGGTAGAAGAGAAGCAGATGATGACTACCTTTACGTGCCTCTTTGGGAGACTGCCACTGTCTCCCAAAAAGTGTATCCTGTGAAGTGTTTTATATCCTGAAATAAGGACAGTTCACAGAAGCACAGGAATAATACATATTTAAGCTTTCCTACTTTGTCTTTTAATTAAATATATCTGGAAATAATGTAATCTTGAATTCTGAAGGTAGAAGGAATGTGTGGAGAAGGAAGAGTTTTGAGTTTAAAAAACAAAAACAAATAAAAAGTCTGTTGGATTCTATGTAAAGTTAACTGGACGATAGCATTGCAGTCCATACTTTTGATAATCCATTGAACTTGGAACTATTTGGAAAATATTAATCTCAGGTTTTATTTTGTGCTTAGGAAAACTCCAAAAGCATGAAGATGCAATAATTGCTCTTAAAACATAACGAGACTATTCTTGGTTAAATATAATGTAGTATATATAATAGAATTTTGCTATTTTTTTGTAATGTTGACTATTCAATATGCAGTTGTTTTTCAGTTTCAATAGCTTCTGTTTTGTTGAGATGACACTGAATGCAGCTTATAAAATAGAGGCTAGAATGGTAGCACAAAGTTAATATCTTTAATTATACAAACTTTACTACTGGGTTAAAATATTAATAATTTATTAATATGTTTCGAATGTTCCTTTACTCTGCAAATATGTTTGTATTAACTGTCACATAAGATGATGTTCTCAGAACAAACTTGAAAGTGGTTGTATCTTTTCTTGCTGGATGTACTCATTTTGTGAAAATTCCACTTACATGTTATGTGCTTTTTACAGATATATCTATTGTGATGAAATTGACTTGGCTGCTGACACAGTGCTGGCCACACTTTATGCTGCCAAAAAGTACATTGTCCCTCACCTTGCCAGAGCCTGTGTTAATTTCCTGGAGACCAGCCTGAGTGCCAAGAATGCCTGTGTGCTCCTCTCCCAGAGCTGCCTGTTCGAGGAGCCAGACCTGACCCAGCGTTGCTGGGAGGTGATTGATGCCCAGGCTGAGTTAGCTCTCAAGTCTGAGGGATTCTGCGATATTGACTTCCAGACACTAGAAAGTATTCTCCGTAGGGAAACTCTGAATGCCAAAGAAATTGTGGTTTTTGAGGCAGCTCTCAACTGGGCTGAAGTAGAATGCCAACGACAAGATCTGGCGTTGAGCATTGAAAATAAACGCAAGGTTCTAGGAAAGGCACTTTACTTGATCCGCATACCCACAATGGCCCTCGATGATTTTGCAAATGGTGCTGCACAGTCCGGGGTATTAACTCTCAATGAGACCAACGACATCTTCCTCTGGTATACTGCAGCCAAAAAGCCTGAGCTTCAGTTTGTGAGTAAAGCCCGTAAGGGCCTTGTCCCCCAGCGCTGTCACCGTTTCCAGTCGTGTGCCTATCGAAGCAACCAATGGCGCTATCGTGGTCGCTGTGACAGCATCCAGTTTGCAGTTGATAAAAGAGTGTTCATTGCTGGCTTTGGGCTGTATGGCTCCAGCTGTGGTTCTGCAGAATACAGTGCCAAGATTGAACTTAAGCGGCAGGGCGTTGTCCTGGGGCAGAACTTGAGCAAGTACTTCTCAGATGGGTCCAGCAATACCTTTCCCGTATGGTTTGAATACCCAGTGCAGATCGAGCCAGACACCTTCTACACAGCCAGTGTGATACTGGATGGCAATGAACTCAGCTACTTTGGACAAGAAGGCATGACAGAAGTTCAGTGTGGCAAAGTGACTGTCCAGTTTCAGTGCTCCTCAGATAGCACCAATGGCACTGGGGTACAGGGAGGGCAGATCCCTGAACTTATATTCTATGCTTGAAAACTCACTTCCTGAAGCAGCTTGAGCTCCAAAGTGCACATCTGGTTCCAACTTGCCTGATGCTTAGCTCATCTGCAAATATGTGATCAGTGCCGGTAATTTGTAATGAATGAAGCGGTAGGCAGGTTCTAATTTCTTTTAACCTTTTAATTATGTACAGGCAAAAATGCAGCATTCCGCTTTTAACTATCTGCTTAAAAGAGCTAACGTTCTTATTAAGGCTTTGTGGTTTTTAGAGTTGCATCTATGAACCTGGGGAGATTATGTGCTTTCCCAAGCGTTCCACCACCCTCTCAGTTTTGTCCCTCTGAAGATAATTTTGGATCACCTTGAATTTCCTTTTGGACGTTATTTGATGAACAGAAATAAAGTGATAACAAGAGTTATTTTTAAACAGAACTCCTCTTACCCCCCAAAACAGATAAACCTCAGTGTACAATTTTGAAAGAAGTTTTGCCTTGTAATGAGTAATAATTTAGAAAGTAGACAGTGGTTGTGTTTGGCTCTCGTTTTATTCCTTTTACATTTGTTGCTTCTGGGATTTAAAAAATTACTAAATTCATAAGATAGTTAGGTATTAAACACTTCAGAATATCAATGTAAAATTGGAAAATAAGGAACTGGGGGCATTTGTTTAGGCCATGACTTCTACAAGCAGATTTCTTTTCTTTTAGTTTAGAAGACAAAAAATTTCAATACAGATACTTCTTTTAGAAGTAAATTTTTAGATTTTATTGTCAGTAGAAAAAAGTTAAACTCCTACTAATTTAAACTAAGACAGTTTAAAAAGGAAGCCTGAAAAAGACTCATACTACAAATAATTTAATTGATGGCATATAAGAATATGCAGTTTGAAAAAGCCAAACTCTTCTCTCCACTTAGCTTTTGATCCCCACTGTTTGCTTATTTGTATAAGTCATACTGTGTAGAATTTCTATTTTCTTTTTCCCCATTAAAAGAGGACCAAACAATTCTTTATACAAATGGAGTAGCAACTAGTTTTGTAGCACTACATTTAATGTAATGAGATACCTTTGTTCATTTTTTTAAATTTGAAATATACTTTACCTGATCCACTTTGATTGTATACTATATTCTTTGTTAATTTTAATTTTGTCCTGTTCCTAGACTGCTAGAATCTGGCCCCTGGCCATCTTAAAGTGCCAACATATGCCTGCAGGGTTTATAAAAAATGGCCTGGAGTGACACATTTTATTATACCTAATATTCACTGCATCAGTATCACATCTAGCTCCCTTACTTGTCCACAGATAATGTAAACAAAGGAGGGAAAAACTTATTAAATTCTCCTTCGCTGCTGGCTTGTGCTGGTTTAGTGCCTGTGTCCCTGGCAGTGTCCAGTGTGTTCACTTCCAGTTGAAGTATCCATGTGTTTCTGGGCAGCTTTTCTGCTCAGTGTGATCCTGAGATGGCTTCCCCGCCGCCACCCAGAGTGTGGTCCTTGGCCGCCTCCTGCTCCTGCTCTGCAAGCCTGAAACTGGCTTGTCTGGAGCCAGGAGTTAGTCCTGGGGTGTGTGTGTGCCTGCGCACCCATGCGCATGCAAGTGTGTTTGCCAGCTCAGGAGCTGTCTCCTCTCTACCTGGCTAGTAAGAGGTGGGACAGTAATGGTCCTCCTGCTGGCCCCAGCAAGGCCCATGAGTGACTGCCCTGACGTATTCACTGTGCCTCTGGGCCACTTCTTCCCCTGTAGATGTGGGCTTGTTGCCTTCAGCCGGCTTCCCTGAGGGAGGAGAACACTGGATTATTGGAAATGTTTTAATCACTCTTGCCATTACCTACATCTATTAGCATAGATGATGAAAAGCTGTTACTGGTGATTATAGATGAGTATTTCCAGGACAACGTTCTAAAAGTACAATTATTTCTTATTGGGGAGATTACAGGTAGTTTGGCAAAGCATTGAAGTACAAAGGTACATTTTCAATTAAAAAGCACACTTCTACAAAAGATTTGGTTTTTAAATTATGGTTACACATTTCAGTAACTCATAGCTGCTGTGCAAATTGGTAGACCTTATAAGAAGGCACTTGTTTGTAAGCCAGAGAAGAAACTTTAATTGCATCCTATCAGATTGTTGAGGTGGGTGTGATAGTCTTCAGGTGCAGTGCGTTCATTCACTAACGCTCACTGTCAGTGCCCATGTTTGCTAGCTGCCTCCATGTGACTAGTGAGCTGCTGGTGAAAGTCGTGTGAAATCCTGTACACTGTGTATAGAATAATGTAATTTTATGTTAATTGTTATTACTTTAAAACATATCTACCATCTGATTGGCTGGTACCGAGAGCTGTGGGTAAAATTTGAAAATTGTATTTAGAATAAGAAATTTTACATTTTAAACCCTATTGTCCTTTATGCATTTTCAATGAAATGGAATGAAGGCTAATATGCTTGCTTTATTTACTTTTGTAATCTTGGATTTTGTAGCTTTTAAAACTAGAAACCATTGTTCTAACAAAGCAGGCAACTTTATTCTATAAACACAACTTTATTAAGCAGAATACACTGTAGATGCTTTTCCCCAACGTATCTGGCTGGCAGTCTTTGTCGTTGTTCATTCTGGGGATAAAGGGGAACTAGGCTAGCAGTTCTAATGTGACATTCTTTAAGCATATCTTAAAATAGTATTTAAGTAAATGGTCTAATTTCTACATAATTATTGCACTGAACTTTTTTGTTTATTAAGGTGTTTAAATAAGCTCAGCTAATTCAAGACACTGTAGCCACTTGTGCATCAGTGTGCTTGAATTTAGTAGCTTACAGCATTATTTATGAAGGAAAAAATACATAAATATGAAGTACCTCATGTTGAATGTTATTGTACTGTATTTTTAATGTAACAGTGCAGATCTTGTTAGACACATGAATGTGTATAATCATGTTAAATGCAAATAAAACTAGTTCATAGATTTGTTTTCCTTTAGTGCTTTTGTCACACCCTTGAGATAGTAAAAAATTCATGCTGGCACTTTTGATGCCCACTACGTTTTGCAGAGATGGTTTCGCAGAGGCATTTGTTAGCTAAGTGTTCAGATATCTTTGATCCCTAAAGAAGTAAAAATTTGAGGCAAAAGGATAACAGAACAATGAATGTGTTAATCACTTGCATTGTTCAAAGCCTGACTGTTAATGAGAGGGAATGAATGGATGCATTTATATTTCTATTATGGAATTCGTGGTTGGCCGGTATTCTGAAGCTATAGTTGCTCAAATGTCTGGATCTTCCTGTGCTAAGGGGGGTGTTGATACTGAATGACATCTGGCTTCTGATATGACCAATGCTGCTTTTTCCTTTGTTACAGTAGCTTAAGTCTAGGAATTTAAAAAATGGCACGTAAGAATTTTGAATATAGTTTTTATGTGCTCAACTAGTTTTCCATTATATTTCTTTATATCAAGTATTTATATACACACATCCACATAATCATACATAATTATGAACATACACTTCTTTTTTCTGCAGTTTCTGATGCTTTTCTACTGCAGTTTAGTGTGAAACCCTGTATATTTGCTTAACCGCTTCATCTACTCGGGATTCAGTTTCCATAGCATACTTGCCCAGAGGAGTTTTGGAATTACTCCAAAGAACAAAGGCACTGGAACTCCCCACTCTCATCAGTTTAATCACAGTTACAACCTGAGTTGTAAGATCTTTAATCCCGGAATGCCTTAGCCATTATCTCATCTTTGTTGCCACTTAATCCATATATGTTTATTTTCATTATTCCAAGACAATTGGGAACGATCCTCCTTCATTGTTGGGACTTGGGATCTACGTGTCGAGGAAAGTACACTGTCTTCTCAGTCGACTCTATAACTTGCCTGTGAAAGCCATGGGCTTACACTTGGAAGAAAACAGGAAGGAGAAAAGCATTTCTGAGGACCTAAACGGTATAAAATGTGGAGGCCAAAACAAGCAAGTTGCCCTGAAAACCTGTGGTTAAGTGTTTATTAGAGCAGGGTTTTGAGTGCCTTTGAGGTGCTTCGGTGAAGATGAACACACTTTGTGGATTCCTCGTTAGTACATTTCAACATTTTTATGGAGCCATTTACATTTATTGACCAACTATTCCCTTTGCTCTACACTTCCCTTATCCTCTTCTTTTCAGAGTATGTGTTCTAAAAACTAATACCAGGGAAAATTTCCAAAAATAGTTTCTTCATTTATTTCCATAACCAACATAAACACTGGTGAAAAGTTTCTCAACTAAGAAATTGCCAGGTAGGTGAGATGGAAATACCTGTGAAGAAGAAGTGAAGACTGTGGCCGACCCTGCCGCACTTCAAGCAGTGTAAGGCACTAGCAGCTACAGATTGGTCTCCGGACAACGTTTGGGTATACTTTCCGAACTTGGGCATCTCCCCCTGTTGCCTCTTAAACTTTTTTGAGATGTGAAGGGCAGTAGGGAAAGTGTAATTCCTATTTTTGCCGACCCTAACTATCCTCCTGATCGTTGTTTACATGCCCATCTACTTCAGTGTCCAGTGGACAGCAGTTTTACTAGCAGATGCTGCTGTTTTATGCTCTGCCATCTAAAAAGTCCCTAACCTCAAGACAGGTAGTGAGACAAAACAACCCACTCTTGGTCAAACCTGTACTTTAAATACATCTGTATGTAGGACATAATAAAAGTTATCTATGAGACTACTAGCCCTTAAACAATACTCTTAAGATCTCTCTTTAAGCTGTTGGTAGTAATCAGAGTGGGCATGTGCTCAAAGTTACTATGAGGATGATGTCCTTTTTCACTTCATGTGACAACAGTACGGAAAGTTACTTCAAATTAAGACATTTTTGTTTTTATGACTGGTGGGCAGTTTTATATTTAATAAACTCTCTTTGATTTCAATGGTTTTAGAGTAAAATTACACCTGAAAGAAATTAAAGACAAGTCATACTAGTGGCCTCCATGTTAGCTTTGACATGGAGTGCTGCAGCAAATCAGTGAGCAGCCTGAACTATGAAGACTTTCGTGAGAAACAAGGAAAGTCTATAAAATATTTTGATATGTAGCAGCCTTTACTGTGGCTATACAATATGAAGTTTCTTCCCTAAACTATCTTCGAAAAGTCAAAAGAAAGATAGTGACTAGGGAAGCACAAATAATCTTTCAAAGCTTGAAGCAGAGGGTACATTCTGTTATACTGTAGAATATGTAAAAATGTGCTTTTGAGAGACATTCTAGCTGTCTTAGGGAATTTTCATTTTTGTGCTTGTCTTAAACAGTACTAAACTTTAAATTATTTCAGCACCCCTTATAATTGTGTTGATACAGTGCATTGAACGTTAATCAATTCAAAATTAAAGGCTGTCGTAGCTCTTCAGTCTTCAAGAAAAAGTCCAAGAACATTTGGAGGCATTAATGGACTGAAGAATATATTGGTTTTTTGCATAATTGAGTTCCCTAGAAGAGACAGAAGGTTTAATGAATCATTCAAGGGATCAACCCACCATTCATTCATTCACCAATCATTTATTGATCTTTTGCTTCATCCCCGGCAGTCACAGAGATGCCGGAGAGTCAGAGACCAGTAAGAGGTGATGTGGCTTGCCTTGGGGTAGAACAGTAAGTTTCCCAGAGGAAATGATGCTTAAGTTGGGTTGTAAAGGATGCACTAGAATGATCTTTGTGAAGACTGGTGATGCAAATTGTCATGAGGGGAAAGGGGGATGAAGGGAATTCTGGAAGAGGAAATATCAGTGGGGACAGAATGGCAGACAGCTTAATACAGTTCAGTAAAGGGAACCCGTGGAAGAATGAGGCCACCTACTGTGTGCCAGGTTTGGAGTAGGATGATCAGCTGGGCAGAGGCATGAAGTAAGCACTTCGTGTATTAGGCTAAATTATCTGGCTTTTATCCACAAAATAAATCAGTGACATAGAGATTTGAGTTACAGAAAACAACAGTTTTGTGTTTTAGAAACAGCCTTGGGAACAGTATGCTGGATCAGACTGGAGGAAAGAGGCGCAGTTTGGGCTGAGAGATCCATGCCAATGCCAGTGAAGGCCAGAGGGGCCAGGGATGGAAAGAAGGATGGAGGTCTTAGAAGTGTGGAGGGGAGATCCCCAGGGTGCCGTGTGCTTTTCAACATCCAGTCAGAAAGGGGCTTGCTGAAGTGGGATGCAACCTCTTGCCTTACATTTATCCTATGGAGAGGGAAGGCAAACAGTTTTTTCCTCTACCATCCTCTGTAGATAGTTGGTATATAGATATCCACCCTTGATTGTATCTTTACAATCTTTTAGGAAGAAGGTAAAACAAGAGTCGACAGGGTAGAGGTTAATAGCTCAAATCCTAGAGCCAGACCACGGCCTGGTTTTGACCATGGCTCTAACCGCAGGTGACATTGGAAAAGTTACTTCACCTCTCTGAGCCTCAGTTCCCTCAAGAATGATGGCAGTAACAATAGTGACTTCCTCAAAATGGTCATTATGACTATGAAATACATTATTTCTAAAGCACTGACAATAGTACCTGGCAAAGAGGAAGTGCCACATAAATGTTCATTAAGTGAAAAAATGTTAAAAGCCACAGATTAAACCCATGCATTTGCCTCATTTGCATTTATGAGAACCAGTTTACTTATAGTTTATACCTACTTTTAACAATTTGGATCAATGCAGACAATTAAAAAGTGATTTTGTTGCTTTTTTAAATTACTGTGGTCAATAGGGAGAATATAAAGCTACAGAGAGCTGGGTTATTGAGGAATTCTCATACTCTAACCAAACTTCTTATAAATATTTCAATTTTGTCATGTTAATGAGAGATAGAAATGATTTATTCTGATTAGATGGATTCTAGCACATCAGACAGCTTCTCTGCTAGAGAATTGTGTAGGATTTTTCAGAAAATTACTTTGTAAGAGCTGAACGTGTGTGTGCATAACAAGTTTTTGAGACATTTTCCAAGAGGAGTCTATTTTGCAGGGAAAAAATATTAATATCACCTTTACTAGTTATGCTAGAGTCAAAATAAGGTCTTTTTGTGGCCTACAGCCTTACGCAATTTTAGATATAGTGCCCTCTACAAATATTTTGAGATTGAAATCAGTTTTAGCATTGACTTTATTTGTTATGTGTTGAGGGCAGGTTTGACCTTTATTATAAGTAATGTGAATGTTACAGGGAATATTTGAATGGCTAATTGTTTTTATTCAAGTAAACACAGGTGTGCCCGAAGCACTCGCAACTTTATTTGGGTGTCCCCATGGTTGTTGGTACTTCATCTCTGTCTTCCCCACGAATGTCCCCATCTGCAGTCTCAGTTCATGAGCCAGCACTTGGACCTCATTTCCCTAGGGCTCTACCATCCCAGAAGCTAATTCTGTGTCCCCTTTTCAGGACCATATTCTCCTCTGTTTTGCAAAGTAAACCTGTAAGAGCATCCTCCAACCTGTCCCCAGAGATTCTCATTTAGGAGGTCTTGGGCACAGCCAGTCCCATTTGTTTACATGAAGCTGGAGAGGGGTAGTCAGGTTTCTGCTAATGCGCGTGAAAGGTTGAGAACCCTGATGTAGACAAATCCTGGAACCTTCCTTCGATGCCACATGGACTTCCAGCTTAGCACTGTGATTCTTGCTGGGGACCCTGGCACCACACACTCTGAGAAATCAGTCTGGTGCTTATACCCTGAACCCATGACCCTGGAGCCAACTCCAACAAAACCACCATCTGCATCTGGGAAGAACAGACTGGATCATGCTGGAGGCCAGAGGAGCAGTTAGGGCGGTGAGAGCCATGCCAATGAAGACCACAGGGGTCAGGAGATGGGGAGAAGGATGAAGATCCTAGAAAAGTGAAGATAAGCTACCCAGGGTGCAGTGGGGCTGATTATCAAAGGCCCAGTCTCTGACTCTTAACTTTTTGATCCTGATCTCTGCTAGTTGACCTGGCTCCTGCCTGTTCATCTCCCTATACCCTCATCCTTCCATCTGCTTCTCAGAGGGCCAGAGATCCAGTCTGATCAGCAGTGTGCTGATTCTAACTCATGCACTTGACATGCCACCTACTTAATGGTCTGATCACCATGAACTGGTCTTAGTGCCTGCCTATGCTTGGGACTGTCTCTGTAACCATTGCACTTCCTCCAGATAGGTGCTGGCCTGCAGTGCATCCTCTCCCAGCCTCCAAACCCAAGCTGACTTATCTGCCCACTAGGCTTCACGGGGCCCCTGTCCAGCCTGTTCTCTAGCCCCAGTCTCTTGTCTTTTTCCTTCTTGCCTCTGACCTACCACCCAGAATGTCAAAATTAAAATACATTTGTGTCAGCTTTCTGTTGCCCACGTAATACAAAACAAACACAACACCTCAGTCGCATATTGCAATGCAGTTGTGCTTCCACAGGTGGTCTAGGCAGCTTTGCAGGTCTTGACTGGGTTTACTCACATGTGTGAGGGTTGACTGCCTTCTGCTAGGGCAGGTTTACTCTGATTGTCTCATCCTCCAGCGAACTAGCCCAAGCACATCTTCATGGCTATGGTGGAGGCACAAAAATGTCACATGCAACAGGAAGAAACACATATGGCCTCTTGAGGCTTTGGCTCACAACTCGTAAACTGTCACTTCTGCTGCATTCTATTGGCCAAAGCAAGTCACAAGGCCTCCCAGGTGCATGGGGTAGAGAATTAGACTTCTTTACTGATAAGTGCTGCAAGTCACACAGACAGGGCTGTGGGTACAGAGAGGGATGGCATATTTGGCCATATATACAGTCAAGCAGCCACAACTTTAACCTAGGCTTGGAGAAGCCTACAGATAGACACTCTGCTCCTTTTCAACCTAGACCCTACATTTAATGCCACTTGAAGTTATCCACAGAAAATCTACTTGCACAAAAAGCGTTAGTGAACTGAAGATTTTACTGAAGGTTTTATAGAGGAGAGGAGGAGAACTCTCCCTCATACTCGGCATAAACTGTCCAAATATCCATGTGGCAGTTCTCCTCCCATGTAACTAGTTGATTCTGCTGATAAAAGAGTTGCTTCTCAGGCCCCAACCCTCCAGCCAGCATAGCTGTAGCTTTTCACTGGACTGTGTCTCACCCCCAAGCTCTGACTCCTCAAGCTGGAACTTGCATTTGGAGTTAGTAAACACCTCATTAGATATAATTTTTATCTTGTCACTTATGACCTTACTTCCATTCTCACATACTGCCCTGCTCGCATCACTGCACAATTTAACTCAGGAAACCTGGCCCTAGTAAAGCAAAAAAATGTTGTGGAGGTGAAGAGGAAGGATCTTTTCTCCTCTGTTTTATTACTGTTCACAGCAACACCCCAAAGGAAACCTTAGATGGTCCATGTGCTTCTTCCAGGAAGATGGGGCGAGACTGTGTGCTGAAAGAAAACAGCTCAGCCAATCCTTGGAGTCAGAGAGAACTGCAGAAGGAGGATTGGCTGGAAGAGGGAGGAAGGATGGGGCTCAGGTTAGCAAGAAGCCTCACACAGCTTTTTACTTAGAGCTTCTCTCCCATTTCTTCTCTTCAGGGTTCCTTGGCATGGGCCCAACTCACAGTGTTCAACCTGGGAAAGCTCAGCACATGGGGAAAGTCTAGATAGGGCTAGTTCACAAGTCGCTGGTCTGGGCACATCATCCTTACTCCTAAGCAGTGTTTGACAAGGTGTTCCTTAATCTTCTCTGCATTTTGTGACCATATCACCAAGGGCTTCTCAACAGAATAGGTTTCTTATGTGACTTTCCTACACTACACCGTGTGTCTTGGTTCCCTTTGACAATTTCCACATGCATTTGCATGTCAGCTCCTTGCTCTGTGGTCTTGGGGGAGGTACAACAATGCCGCTGATCTTGTTTGTGTTTCTTCCCTTTCTGAAGCACCCTTCTCTTGCCAATGGCCCTGGAAGGAAGCCCTGGCTGCTTTCTCACTGTCCTTCCACAGAACAGAAAGTTTTAACTTCTAGAGTATCTCAGATCCTGCATTCCTTACTGTCCTAGACAGTTCAGCCTATGATAACAAAATAACTAACTAGGTGGTTGATACACAACAGAAATTGATTTCTTACAGTTCTGGGGCTTGGAATTCCAAGATCAAAGTGCCAGCAGATTCAATGTCTGGTGAGAGTCCACTCTCTAGTTCGCAGGTGGCATCTTCCTGATGTATCCTCACAGGGTGAAAGGGGCAAAGAGTCTCGCAGACTTTTTTCTAAGGGCACTAATCCATTCATGAGGGCTTCACCCTCCTGACCTAACTACCTCCTGCTACCTGAAGACCCCACCTCATGATACCATCACATTGGAGGTTAGGATTTCAACATAGGAGTTTTGAAAGCACAGAGACATTCAGACTATAGCACTTATTGAGGAATCATATTTACTTATTAAACAGCCAAAAAGTCAACTACAGAGTTGCTAAATCACTCCATTCCTTCCCCAAATTTGAGATTTTATTTGCCACATAGATTTACCAGAAATCAAGAGAGGGCAGCCCAAGAAATTTAACTTGTTTGGGCTTTGAGCACTTATTTTATCTATCTTAAATGAAGATATATTTAACACTTATCTTAAATAAAGATATATTAAAATAGAGCAATTGTGATATAATTCAAATATTTTCAAGTGCACCAGTGAGTGGTTTTACCTCCTATAAAAATGCCATGACTGTAGGTACAGTTGTGTTGGTGGTAGCATTCAATGTGAATGGGAGTCACATGCCATGGTGGCTTCTCAGAGGTTGGCTCCATCACTCACCCTAATCAGAAAACTAGGGCTGCAGTTGAGGACAGATCTCTTCCCAGCTGCGGAATGTTAAAGCTTCTCGCCTCCTTTTTGTTACCCTCTCCTGCTACATTCAGGAGGAACCCATATTCCCATAAAGACAAACACCCCAAGAAAGCATAACCAAGCAGAGGTAGTTACATCTATTTCTGATATGGTCCAATGTATACACATAATATATGTGCAAGAAAGCTCTACTTGGTATTTTTTGGATGTTTGTGGTGGGTCTTCTTGTCATTCTTTAATGTCTCATTTACGGAGACAGAGTCCAGGTAGTAAGTGGACTGAACTCTTTCCTGTAGTTGCAAAGAAACACCCACTGTGTCAGTTGAACAGGTATTAGATCAGTAAAACCAAATCTTCCATATATGCAAGTCACATTGGCCTCTGACTCAAGAAAACTCCAGAAAGGAGCATGGATGTGGCCTAACTAGAAACAGGATAGTACAAGTGTCTTAGTTTATTTTGTGTTGCTGTAACAGAGTATGGTAGGCTGAGTGATTTATAAAGAAAATAGGTTTATTTAGCTCATGATTCTGGAAAGTCCAAGAGCATGGCACTGGCATCTGCTCAGTTTCTGAAGAGAACCATATGCTGCATCAAGACATGGCAGAGAAGCAGAAAGACTAGCAGGTGTGTGCAAAGAGGGACAACACATGAGGAAGAAACTTGCTTTACAACAACCTGCTCTTGCAGTAACTAATCCATTCCCAAGAGAGCAGGAACTCACGCATTCTCACAAGACAGCATTAATCTATTGGTGAAGGATCTGTCCCCGTGACCACAAAATTACCCATTATGCCTCACCTTCTAATGCTGCTGCACTGGCAACTAAACTTCAACATGAGTGTTGGTGGGAACAAACCATATCCAAGCAATAGCTGCAGGCAAAATAAATCATGAAAGGAATGGGGGTGGAAAAGGGAGTGAGCACAGAGAGAGTAGAGAGGAGAGAGAGAGAGAGAGAGAGAGAGAAAGAGAGAGAGAGAGAGAGAGAGAGAGCATGAGCCAGACCATTTCCTCTGAGATGCAAAGCTGTTGGAAGAGGGATGAAGGAAAGGAGTCAGCTTCTTTTGGGTGAAGTAGGGGGATGTCGCACAGTGACAAGCTGCCAGGGGTAGGGAGGTGTCTCTGTTAGACCTTGGTGGCCTACTGCCCAAACTCTGTAAGGAGCCTTTGTGGATTTGCCAAGCCTTGGCTGGAGTCCCATGAATGATCTTTGTAGATCTTTTCCTTGGGGGGTTTTCAGCTGCTGGGCCTCCAAGTAGGGCCTGGAGTGCAGGCCAGATCCACCAGCCATTCAGGATAAAGAGAAGAGGCGAGAAACCAGGCCCCTCCTGACTCCTCTCCACAGAGCACTGCCCTCAGGTCTTGCAGCAGCTGAAAGGATGTGCGGGGTTTGTTCCTCGCCACAAAGTGCCCGGTCTTGCTCACAGCAGCCTGAGAAATATCCGGAGTCCAGAAGACGGTGTCAAAGTTTCTTTCCTGTCCGCTTTGCTGTTCTCTCAGGCTGGGTAGAGCCAGCCTCACATGGGGAGCTAGAGGTCCTCTTGGATACACTCACCCCTCCTTTCTACCCTTCCTGCCTCAGGGGCCTCACCAGTGCTGCTCACTGACCTCCCTTTATGGCCTTTGGACTTGGGCAGCCTGTCCCACTTCCTGCATCTTCATCCCCACATTGATCAGCAAAGATTGAAGGTGAAAGAACATTATCTTGCAGAATGGCACTCACATCTCAAGCTAAAAGACTGCTTCACAACAGGTGGGAGAGTAAGGAGGGACCAGGCTGGTGGACGAGCCCGTGGGGGCCATGTTGTCACAATGATGGAGACGGGTGGGAAGAAACAGCTTAATGTCACCAGACACATGACAAGTGGCTTCTTACAGCCTAAATAAATAAAATGAGCCAGGTGTTGGGCTTTGCCATGTGACTGTCATTTGCACAGGAGCCATGCAGTTTACCCAAACCCCTGCTAAGTCACCCTGGTTAGAAAAACAAATTATCGTGTGTCGTCAGAATGCAGTCTTTCATAGGTCATTATCAGAACGGGTCTCTTGTCAATAGCATGTCTGATTGGGAGCAGCTCTCTGAGTCATTTAGCTTTTCTTGTCAGGGGAAGCTTTTTAACTGCTTCCTGCTGTCCTGTCATTTTGTGCTAACCCCAAATGGCTTTGTTAAATTGATGTCACCTTTCCAATTTCTTCCTAGAAGCATTTTCCTTTCTGGTTAACAATGGAAGCATTTATGCAATAATCAGGGGAGAAGAGTAGCCAAACATGAATGCTGTGAAAACCCATACGTGGAATGAATGCATTTATCTATCTGTAGATGTTCATTGGAGAGCAGGTCCCCATCATTCTGGTTGACACAAAGAGGAAATATGAAACTCATTCAGATAGCTAAAGAAAAAAAAAAAGAAATAAAAGTAACCCCTAACCAAGAAAAATCCCCATTGCCTTCAGTCAAAAAGAGGATATTCTACGTCAGACTATTGTGGAATTATCACCAAACAAAAAATTGAAGGAAATGTTGGTGATTGTTGAAATGGGTGAGGGGTACATTGTTTCATTTTACAATCTATGTTTCTTTATCTTTGAAAATTTTCATAAGAAAAAATATTTTAAATTGTGATAGGGATTGAATCAAAGAATTCACACATGGCCTGCAGTTCCTGGGCAGAGACAATGTTTCCCCTAAATTTAATTTGCAATGCTAACAGGACCCACTCCAATAATTTATAGCTGAAAATATGTTTGAAAGTAAACCTGGCTTGTTACAGATACTTCTGTGAACAAAGGGGTCTCTGATCAACCAAGCTCTAGCATCTTATAACATAGACTAATGTTTTTACAAACACTGGACTCCTGAATTTTAAAACTTAAATAATACATCCCATTAAATGCAGAGATTGAGATTTATGCATAGCTGCTTACTTGAGGACTCCTACTTCATAAAATCCCTAATTAAATAGAAAAGCATTCTCAATCTTTGTTAATCATATCTGGGAGAGGTCTGGAAGTTTAGAGCATGATTTTATTAGAGCATTCTCACAGTTCCCTTGGTGGCAACATAATCCAATTTTTGCAAATTTTAATGGCCAGTGCAGCATGGGTTTCCATGGATTGGAACTGAGGCTCAGATATCCTGGCTTCTGGAGGTAGCCACACTGTCCCACCTCAGACCCTTCACCTAACTATGCCCAACTCTAACAGTTAGAGAATCAAGAACAATTGAACAAATGTCTCCCTACATATGTCAAAATATTAAAAGTTATAAATTAAGCTAACAAACTGCTAAATAAAATATATTCTAGCATACTAATCAAGCTGAAAAACTGCTAAATAAAATATATTCTAGTATTCTACCTTGACAAATATGACTTTGTAGCAACCTGGAAGCCAGGTTCAAGTTTCGAATTCTCAGTCCCTCCAAGTTCTGCACCAAGGAATATGGTGATTGATGAGAGGTGGTTCCTGAGTCCTGGGCCCCTGCTCATAGCATACTCCCTTTCTCTTACCGCCTCTGACTTTATCTCATAGCACAGGGGGTCTCCCTACTTACATATGGTCTCCCCAGATCATACATTCAACTCACTCCCTCCCAATCCAACACCAAAAAACTGACCTTAGCAACTAGGGGTGCACACAATGGCTGCATGGCCTGTCTTTTTGAGGAAGGGAGCTCAAGACCACGAGGACAGAGAATGCCAGGTTCTGTTTAACTGCATAATGGAGAGGTTGAAGCATAAGTTCTAGGTAGGCATGTCCCCTTGACTAATTTTGCGAGGGGCTCAGGTGATCCATGGAAAATAACTTTGTTGCTTCCTCTTTTATCACACTCCCTAAATGTTGGAGTGTCCCTGAGGGCTTGGTATTGAGCCCTGTAATCTTTCCTCTAGTACTTTCTCTCTAAGTGATGTCATCTGGTTCCATGGTTTTATATCCCTCATTCATTCATTCATTCAACAAATATACATCTTTCTAGGTACTAGGGTGTGACAGTTAATCTTATGTGTCAACTTGACTGGGCTCAGGGATGTCCAGATAGCTGGTAAAGCATTGTCTCTGGGTGTGCCTGTGAGGGTGTTTCCAGAAGACATTAGCATTTGAATCAGTAGATTGAGTGAAGATCTGCTCTCACCAATATGGATAGGCATCATCCAATCTATTGAGGGCCTGAATAGAACACAAAGGCAGAGGAATGATGAATTCTCCTTCACTCTTCTCGATCTGGTACCTCTGACTTCTCTTGCCATCAGACATTGGAGTTCCTGGTTATCAGGCCTTTGGACTCTGGGCCTAAAACCAGTGGCTCTCCTGGTTCTCAGACATTCAGATTCAGACAGAATTATACCACCAGTGTTCTGGCTTTCCAGCTTGCAAACAGCTGGCATGGAACTTCTCACCTCCACAATCATGTGAGCCAATGCCCATAAGAAATCTCTTTTTAAATTATTTTTATTTTTTAAGAGATGAAGTCTCACTCTGTCTCCCAAGCTGGAGTGGAGTGGCACCGTCATAGCTCACTGTAGCCTCAAACTCCTGGACTCAAGTCTTTCTCCCCACTCAGTCTCCCAAGTAGCTGGCATGTACCATGACACCCAGCTATTTTTTAATTTTTTTTTTTTTCTAGAGGCACTGTCTTGCTATATTGCCCAAGCTGATCTTGAACTCCTGAACTCATGGGATCCTCCTGCCTCAGCTTCCCAAAGTGCTGAAATTACTAGCAGGTGTGAGCTACTCTACCGTACTATAAATCTCCATTTATATATTTCTCTATATATCCTCTTGGTTCTATTTCTCTAGAGATCTGTGACTAATACATGGGATACAGAAGTCCCTGTGTCACAGAGCTTAATTTCTAGTGAGGGAGATGATGAGTAAGATGCGGTAGCTTTAAGCATGATCCTAAATTCTTTGCTACTCCATCCTGTACAAGGTAGAGTCAATGTCTACTCCCTTGAACTTAGGTGGCTCACAGTTCCCAGTGGAAGTGACGCTGTGTGACTTTTAAGGCTAGGTCATCAAAGGCCATGACCTTGGTCACTGGGAACACTTGCTCTTGGAGGGCTACATAGTCCTATAAGAGATGGGCTACCCTAGTACTTCACATTGGCATCCTGGTCAACATTTCCAGCTGAGTCAGGCCTTCAGCCCAGGGAAGAGGCACGGGAGGGGGGAAGCCATCTTGGAAGTGGATCCTCCAGGTTCAGCTGTTCCAGCCTCAGCCATTCAAGTTATTCCCAGCTGAAGCCCTAGACATCAGGGAACATGGAGGGTCTGTACTCACCATACCCTGTCCAATATGAATCCCTCAAATCTGGGAGCAGAATAAAATGATTACTGTTCATGCCACTAAGTTTTGGGGCAGGATATATAATGACTTCTAAATGTATGTCTTCCACCAGTACCTGAGTTCCAGGCATGTATGTTTAGCTGCCTTCTCACAGCTCCGTTTGGATCTCTAAGTTGACAATTAAAAATATCCATTTCTAAAATGAAAGTCTTGATTAATACAACTCCTCCCAAACAAAAACCAAGCAAATAAAAACAACTTGTTCATCTTCCCAATCTTAGTAAAAAATACAACTCCCAGCCTAACTGCTTAAGATAGAATCATCCTGGATTCTTTTTCCATCACTTCCCATATCTTGTCCATTGGCAAATCCTGCTGTTTTGACATTGAAAACATATCTTTAATCTGTCCATTTCTCCATAGCTCCACTGCCCTCATGTGAGCCCTCACTGCAGTTGTCTCTTACCTGAAACAGCCTCCTAACACATTTCGTGGTACTCAAACCTAGCCCACTCTAGCAGCCAGGAAGATCTTTCAAAAGCAGGAATGAAGATTTCCAGGTCAGTGTGGTGTGGTGAGTGAAAGCTTCATCACTTTCCACTCCTCTTTAACAAATAGTAACAAAGGTTATATATTAAAAGTGACAAATTGAAAAGACAAAGTTGGGATTAAATATAGAATAAACATGTCCAGGAAAAAGGAACGGAATCACACACACGTGCGCGCACACACAGTGAGGAAGCTGGAAGCTCCAGCCTTGCTATCTTCAGGTCTCAATGCAAACAGCAGGTCCTGGAAAGGTCCATGCTCCATGAGATATTTCTTTGGAGGAGCCAACTGCTTGAAGCCATAGGCTGAGAGTGGGTTCTCAAACTCATAAAAGGAGAAAGGAAGAACCACCCATCCAACTACAGCTGCCTCTTACTATAGCTCCTGGCAATTGCAGATATGGGGAGTTGAATAGCACAGACATAGCCTTGAGACAAAGAGCTGAGCCAAGCCACCCCCAGCTCTGCACCACCATCTGAGATGTAGTTCTGGATTGTTCTGCAGAAACACAGGCAGCTGGAGGTATGCACAAAAGGAAGGAGGTGTGTGTTGGAGGAGACTCTCCCATTTAAAATAAGTCTTTAAACAAAACGTCCCATAAACATGAAATAATTGAACACTAAAAAGGACAATAAAATAAAAAATCAGCATGTAAATATGCTCTTAGAAGAGCTGTATATGAGTTAGTTATTGCTATGTAACAAATCACCCCCAAACTAAGTTGTCTTTAAATAGTTGCTTTTATGAAAGATTATAATGAAGATGTTCAGTATTATTAATATCTGTTTATCAAATAGGTAAATTTACTTGCACCAGAAAGAGAATAAGAATTTATGAACACAAAGTTCAGACATAGAAAGACACATCTGATAGACTTGAAAGATGGGGCAGTGGAAGGTAGATTGCAGAAAATGTCATGGGGTCAAGAGAGGGAAAATCATGATAAATAAGGAAGGTTATTGGTCATAATCAGTAGCTGGGCTGGAAGAGGACAGCAGAAGTCTTAGATTTAGTCTCAGAGCTCCAACTGGTGGAGTTCTCCTGTACCGTAGTAAAGAGAGAGAGGTAGACTAAAATAGGGAAATACGTTTCACTCAGGAACCAAGCAGCTTTCTCTACACACAAGAATGTATACAGGCACACAGGCATACATGCATGTGAAGAGAAAGAGAGCTCCTTTCAGCCTGAGAGGTGGGCACCAGAGCTCAAGGAGGGGCCTGTGGTTCTGAAAGCATGACCCAGTATAAGCCTCTTCAACACAAGGGTACCTAGGGCATCTGGGGATGGGAGTTCAGATGGCGGTGGCAGCAACATCAGTGACGTCAGAGAGAATAAGTGACCAGGATAGGTTTGTGTAGATATAGTTGTATGAACCAATGAGGGAAGAGAGGCAACTGTAATAAAGCAGAAGTTAGAAAGAACTGAGTGTGAGACAAGGTAAGACCAACCCCTGCCAACCCTGGTGCCTGCTAGAGAGATACAGGACAGGCGTGAGCTGAATCCTGCCATTTGGCTGTGGTAGCCAATGAGTCCGTGGACTTTAGAACAAACTGTTGAAGTAGCATCCTCTGGGAGCTGCATGCTGGTAAGGCCTAAGAGATATTCAGGTAATGCAAGAGTGTTATCAAGAAGGAAACATACAGCTCTTGGAGCACTATCCTTGAAAGTCTAAATTTACAAAATCATCAAGCAGCCCCTACGATGGCCTCCAGTAATTTTCATGTTCTGGTATTCAAACCAGTATGATTTCCTGCACACTGAATGGACTGACCTATGAAACCAATAAAATATTGCACAAATAGTGGTGTGTGACTTTAGTGACTAGGTCATAAAAGACATTATAGCTTCTGAGTTGCTTTGTTGGATAACTTGCTCTATGGGGAGCCAGTGGTCATGTTGTGAAGCCACTCGATGCACAAGCCATCCTATAGAGAGATCCAAGTGGTATGGAATGGAGGCCTCTGCTAACAGCCAGCAAGGACCTGAGGTCTCCTAATGTCAGTCCTGAAAGCAAGCTCTCCTGGAAGTAGATACTCAGCCCCAGGCAGCCTTCAGCTGACTGCAGCTTCAGCCAACATCTTGACTTCGACTTCCTGAGAGACCCCAAAGCAGAACCACCCTGCTAAGATCCACCCAGATTTCTGAATGTTTGTTATTTTCTAAGCCCTTACATTTTAGGGCAATTTATTATGCAGCAAGAAATAACTATTACAGATTTTGATACCAGAAATGAGGTCAGAAAAAAGGCCCTTTAAAGATTTTAAGGATTTGCCTTCTCACAGATTCTATGGATGCACCCATTCTAGGGCGGGATGATTTCATTCTGCTCCATGTGGCTACAACAAGCTAGCCTGAGCTTGCAAACATCATGGTGACAGGAACCCAGGAAAGAAGGAGAAAACAAACAAGCACTTTTCAAGCCTCTTCTTTTGTCAAATTTGCTTCTGCCTCATTGGCCAAAGGGAATCGCATGGTCAAGCAGAGTTGCCTGGTAGCGTGATACTTAAGTGCATGGATATAGGCAGATTTGGTCAACTGGGGCCATAAATACTATGAATGTACCAACAGCGTACTAAGATCTCCTTAAATAAATGTGAAATTATAGGAAAATGTTAAGATACCAAAACCTTTATTCACGTGTTCCTGTTTTTCACAGCTGTTTAATATAATCCAGTTTTCCTTAGTTTTTATGGATGAGTCCTTAAATTTATACATAGTATTTGATGTTAAATCTTGTCCAATCTGTCTGGTCAGTTTTGATGGGAAAATTCCTTGGAGTTGCCTTCTTTTATCAGTTACCAGAGGCTTCCCCTAAGCTTTGATATGCTGTCTAGTAATAAAACCTGACTACTTACAAATACTATTTTTAAAATGCTATTAAATTGTTTCAGGACTGCAGATCACTTCTCCCAGCACGCACATTCTGTAGTGCTTTTTCTTCCAAGATCAGAAGGGAGATTCAAAAAAGGAAATGCAATGCATGAGATGTTTGCTGCAAGAAGCATCTCTTCCCCATTGGAAGGTAATGCTGTTTCCTTTCTCTTAATGGTAGCTATTTGCCCTTTGAAGTCCAGCTTCTATTACTATTTTGTATTGGATGATTCTTCTTCTTCTTCTTTTTTTTTTTTTTTTTTTTTTGACGGAGTCTCACTGTATTGCCAGGCTGAAGTGCAGTGGCATGATCTCAGCTCACAGCAACCTCTGACTCCCTAGTTCAAGCAATTCTCCTGCCTCAGCCTCCTGAGTAACTGGGATTATAGGCACGTGCCATCACGCCCAGCTAATTTTTGTACTTTTAGTAGAGATGGGGTTTCACCATGTTGGCTAGGATGGTCTCGATCTCCTGACCTTGTGATCCTCCCGCCTCAGCCTCCCAAAGTGCTGGAATTACAGACGTGAGCCACCACACCCAGCCTGGATGATTCTTTTACACTATTTATACCTGTTAGGTTAGCACACTTCTAATGCACATACTTTCTTTTTCTGTTTCTTTTTCTTTTTTTTCTAGGATGTTTTCAATCCTGTCCCAGTTGCTTTAAAGAAAATTGGAACATAAATGTTAAAAAACATATTGAAACAACACTCGATGGTGTTTCCAAGCAGAGTTACCAAGTGGTTTCATTACATTGATATGTATTGCAAGAGGAATCCCTTGTTACAGAGAGCATCCAGAAAAAAAAAAATATGTGTGAGTTATGGGCCTTAAATGCCTACGCTGGATCCTCATGGGAAAACATGCCCTACTTAGTACAGGCGGCTCTCTTTTTTGAAGGCTTTCTGAGCTTAGAAAGCGTGGGATTTGGCCTCAATATTTTTTATATGGAATGTGAGAAACCGTTAGTACTTAAAACATTGATGTCGGTAGATTTGACCTTGTGGTTTCAAGAATTTTCAAGCAACCTGAAATTTCAGGGTAGTCGGTAGTTTGTACTTTTGTTGAGACAGGATATTTAATCTGAATGTGCTGTGAAGCTGGCTTTGGGTAGGAGTCACTTAATCCAGTGTGGCTACTCTGTCATTCTCATATTATTCCATCATCCTTCACCTAGGAACTCTTATGAAGTGATAGTAGTGGACAGGCCATTTGTCCACAGTGATTGCACCATCCCCAGTTTTCTCCCATCCTCTTAATAATTCTTGATATTCATTCAAGTTTCTCCTTCCACTTCCCCATTACAGCTCAAGTGGGCATTGATTGGACTAGGTCCAAGCATTTGGTTTAGAAGTGAGCCAGTGACTTAAAAATAATGCAATCAAAGCAGCCTTAAAGGACCTATGTATTGGTTAGATATTGCTGTGTAACAAACCACTCCAAAACTCAGTTGCTTTAAACAATAAACATTTGTTACAACTCATGACTCTGTAAGTCAGCTGTGTGGTTCTTCTGATCTCAGTTGGGCTTACCTAGATATCTGTGGTCAGCTGCGGATCAGAAAGTAGCTCTGTTCTCCCAGGCTGGGCCCTCGTGTGTTTTGAGGTTGGCTGTCTACAGGTTGGCCTGGGTTAGGCCCAGCTGAGGTGGCTTATCTCTGCTCCGTGTAGTCTCTCATTCCACATCAGGGTAGCTAAGGCTTGTGCTTATGGTGAAGGAAAAACTCTAAGACAGAGCGGAAATGTGCAATTCTCTTGAGGCCTAAGCTCCGAACTAGTATGTTGTCATTTCCAACATATTCTATTGGCCAAAGCAAGTCGTGAGGGCATCCCAGATTCAAGAGGTGGAAAAATAGACCCTGCTTCATGGTGAGAGGAACCACAAGTTCACATGGCAAAGGACATGGTTTCAGGGAGGGGTGGAATGTTGGAGCCATTTTTGCAATTAGTTTATCAGAGTCAGAGTGAAATGCATAGACCAGGACTAACTCTGTCTCACTTTTGGATATGAACAAGGAAGTGGATGGAATTCCTCAGAACTGCTGACTGCCTTCTTGATACCAAGAGGGAAGACAGCCTGAAAACAAGGCAAATGTACAGGGAAGGACAGAACAAAATAATCACAGAAGAAAAATGTCACAACCCTCATGACATCTGGATCAAGCCCTGGACTTTGCAGATGCTTAATCTAGTAAATTCTGGTATTACTTATGCCTGTGTGTTTGGAGTTTTCTCCTTGGAACATAGAGACATCTAAATAATATTGCAACTCAAAAGACTACAAATTGGATGTGGTGTATATTGCTCAGGTGATGGGTGCACAAAAATCTCAAGTTACCATTAAAGAACTTACTTATGTAACCAGACACCACCTGTTCCCAAAAAACCTATGGAAATAAAACAAAAAAAAAAAAAAAAAAAAAAAAAGAAGAAGAAAAACACATACCATAAAATTTTAAACAATAGAAAACAGAAATAAATAATACTGCAATTCAACAAAACAATAGCTTTGCTTCCCCCTTAAAATGGCTCCTCCCCCAAGAAATTTGGCTGCTGGAATGTCAATGAAAGTGAAGAGAATGAAAGATATGTAGGAGGCAGTTCTTTTTAAGAAAGTCAAAGTTTCACATAAATTACAGAGTGAAATACCTTATTCAACAGAAGTTCATATCTGTGACTTTAGTCCTATACTTATGGAATATTCAAGAGTCTGAAAGCGTCACTTACAATTTTCAGTTATAATTTACTGTCTGTTATGGGAAAAATTACATGTTTCAGTAGACAGTTCCTCAAACTTTTCTTTTTTTAACTTATATCTTCTAAACTGCTATCTCAGTTTGTTTTCTCCCTATTCCCACCAGTTAAGGTTTTTGCTGACCTCTGTGTTCTAAGACTTTTATTACAAGTACTACTGGTGTGTTGAATACACTTTCTTAAACTGTACAGTTCACAGTTCTTCAAGATTCCAAGAAAACTCTCTGGGGGGCATGGAGCTTACACCCTCCCCATCCAGTTTGGTAATTATAGCTTCAGTAGTATTTGAAAATGTGTAGGTTCACAAAGGACTTTGGGATACATGTTTTCTAAGCATTGAGGTTCAACACTGTTCATGATTCATTTATATATATATATGTATATATATATATACACACACACACACACACATATATTTTGTTTGTTTTGAGACAGAGTTTTGCTCTCGTTCCCCAGGCTGGAGTGCAGTGGCGTGATCTCGGCTCACTGCAACCTCCACCCCCTGGGTTCAAGCAATTCTGCTTCAGCCTCCCGAGCAGCTGGGATTACAGGCGCCTGCCACTACGCCCAGGTAATTTTTTGTATTTTTAGTAGAGATGGGGTTTCGCCATGTTGGGCAGGCTGCTCTCAAACTCCTGACCTCAGGTGATCACCCGCCTTGGCCTCCCAAAGTGCTGGGATTACAGGCGTGAGCCACTGCGCCCGGCCCATGATTCATTTATTTAAATAATAAATGGATTTCTAAAACTTTAGAGTACAATTGGAGCATCAACAGCAGCAATAAAACCAAATGGTACAACGCTGAAGGTAAAGGGTGACAATTTCTTTTTGCTGTGTTAGGAACCAAACCAGGATGGAAACACTGAAAGAGGATGAGAGATCATACACAATTTCAGGTCCATCCTAATTCTCAGGAAGGCAAGTTGACCGTCCCAAATTTTGCATCAGGTTTGCCATTAGGTCTAGTCTGGAGAAAGTTGTCAATGTTTCAAAGACAAAGGGCTGATACCAACAGGTGTCTGAGAATTTCCACACTAGCTCTATAACTTACATGTTTCTACCTAAGCAGGGCCACCATGTGTAGCTGTGTGGTTTGTGCACCACATGAAGCCTGGGAGCACTGTTCGTATAGACTATCATGTGAATGGCTCCTCCTGGCCTCACGCAGGTGCAATATACTTACTTATTTGTGGTAGCCATATAATCAAATCCCTATGTCATTTATTAATGGGATTGACATAAGTCCTATCCAATATCAGAAGCTGTGTATCTACTTTCTGTGGTTGCTCAGGTCTTTTGGCCTCAGCTTTTCACAATTAAGAAAAAAAGTGAACCTAGAGTATCATTACTCCTTAGATGCCCCAGACCTAAAGACCCAGTCCCTGTGGTCTTTTTCATCAAAGCTCTCCTGGAGGAGGATGACATTAGAGGGTTGGAAAGTGGGCGACGGGGCAGTACCCATCTCAAATCAACCAATCAGCTTTCTCTCATGAGCTATCATCAGCCAAAAACATGCCTTCTTCTCCCTCCTGAGAACAGTGTTTCTTCCTGCATCCCGGCAGAGGCTGTTTGCTTAAATATACATCAAGCCCTTTCTACTGTGGATGAATCTGCTCCATTAATATCTGTCACTGTTAATGGAGTTGCTTTGCGCTACTCCTTTCTCACTCTGTCCACTCTTGAGGAAATTTACATTGTCCTCTTAGATAATAATAACCATGGTAAATGCTATAATTTATTGAGCATTTACTTAGTGCCCTGTGTTGTCCATTGTCCAATTTCTTTCTGACAGGGAGGGAGTGCTTTCCCTCCTCCCCCTTTTTAAAAATGAGGAAAGTGAACTTGAAGGCATTAAGTCAGTTAGGTTGGAACTGGCACAGGATTCAGGCTATGCCCTCTCCAAAGCCTTTGCTCTCAGTCATGTGCCTGGGGATTTCATGACTCTGTGTTGGATTCAGGCAGAGGAGAGCCAGGACTGGATGAAGCGGTGTGGGCACTGAGGTAAGCTCATAACATCTTACCTTCAACATGGTATTCCGTAAACATTGTGTCAGTATTGAAGCCTGTTGTAAGGAGAAATGGCAGAGGGGAAGGCGACTGGTGAAGGTGCTCAGTCTCTCCTTGGTTGTCTTCAGTTATTCACTCTATCCCTAGCCAGCCTCCCATTCAACACAGCCACAGCCCTACAGCTAACAGGTCCTACCACCTTAAAACACAGGTTAGTGGCAGAGGTAGCTCGATTGCATTAAATGCTTACATTGATTCTGCACTTGGCTATGCGATCTGCTTTGGCCAATTGGACAGTAAGCAGATGGAATGCAAAGAGGGACTGTAAAAAGCACTTGTACATTTTTACTTCCTCTCTTTAATCTTTGCTACTATTGTGAGAACAAGCCCAGGCTACCCTGCTGAAGGCCTCCAAGAAACATGTGGAGCAGAGATAAGTCATCCAGCTAAGGCCATCCTAGCTGACCAGTTAGCCCACAGCTGGACACATGAGCAAGCTCAGCCGAGTTCAGCCAAGCTAAGCCCAGACCAGCAAAACTGTCCATCCAATCTCTAAACTCATGAAAAATAATAAGCAGCTATTAAGCCATAACGTTATCAAGTTTGTTACATAGCATTATATAACTGACATAGTGACCATGGCTTGTTAGTGGACGGCAGCCATCGAAGTACTCTTTCCCAAGTGGCCCTTAGATGCATGGTGAGGCCAGCACAGATGCTTTATGAGAACAAGCTGCAGTAGCATGCACCATAGAATCTTCAGATTTTCCCAAGGACACCACGCAGCCTATGCCTTTACTGAGAGTCCTCCTTGCAAAGGCCAGAAGAGCATTTGCTTGTCTGGACCCCTTCTATTGGTTGATACTCACTGGCCACCTGACATACAATTAAGCTTGTGCCTTGGAGAAACCCAAAGGTCAGCATCTTCACTGAAGCACTCACTTTTGCTCACAGCCTTGCCTCCACAAATACACCTTCACCTATGGACAAAACCTCCACAAGGGTGAAAGCCTGTGAAGCTGGCACTTTAGACTTCATGCTGCCTGCCTGCATCATAGTAGCTAAGGGCCCAAGTGCAAAGTGATAAAGCCAAGTCCCATGACCAACACAGACATCTGCAACTTGCTCTGTTCACAAGAATGTGCCATGGCCCATGTTGCAGACACATCCCAAGCTTTTCTGTTTGTTATTATGATCCATCAGTGACACTTCCTTTATGTTCCTTGAGGTTCCTGGACTAGTTCTCTGGTTGCTACAGTTTTTCAGGATGGAGCCAATAAAGAATATCTCTCATTTCATCTCAAGTTCTGAAACAACTGAGAAGTAAGATTAAACACTGCAGACAGAGATGGATTTTCTAAAATAAAGCTGATATTGGAGGACATGGCTTATATCTGTGGGAAAGTGGGTTTCTGGATACTGAGCCTCAGACTGAGATTTAATCTCAGACACGGTCGGATGGACTGAGTTAGCCCTCCTTACCACAAAGGGTTGAGCAAATGCTTGCTTCTTGTAAGCAGCTCGATTCCGAGAAAGACAGAGAAGAAGGGGCTGGGCTAGGCAATGCCGGTTCTTGCCCCAAAAATGTTCCACTTACCTTGGCGAGAAAGGCCCAGAGGGTCACACTGATGGTCTCCCCTCTCCTTGAGAGAGACATCACAAAAAGGATGCTTCCTTCCCCATTGAGGAATTCTGGTAAATAAAGTTGTGGCATTGATTTTTAAAACAATTTTATTTCTAGAAATGTCTTTGGTGCATCTTTTAAATTGGAGCATTGAGAAGCTGCCAGGCTGGCCTTTCTCCTAATGTAACTTTGAGGAGACCTGACCTTTGCACAAGTCTGACAGAACCCTAGTTATTTTGTTTCCTCTTCCGGATATAAAGGTACACAAGAATTATCACTTCAGAGGAGATGCAGTTGAAACCTTTTTTACAAGCACAGTGAGCCTTTGCTCTCCTATCATGAATATTCTAGAATTATGGAATAGCCTATCCAGGCTTAGAGCCTGAGTAAACATGAGCTTGATAATCCCAGATTGTCCCTCTGTGGTTGGTTGGCTGGCATTGTCTCCAAACTGGGGGCCGTGTGCAAATGAGCCTTAAGCTCACTAAAGGCTTGGCTTCCCACCCCAGACGGTTTTATCTGAGGACCTTTGGATATGATATTCTGTGTTTGAAAATTATTTCCTCTATATTGTTATATGGATGGCTTTCTTGTCACTTACATCTTAGGTCAAAATTGACCTTTTGCAAGTAACCTTCTCTAACTTCCTGGTCACATAAGCCTGTGTGGTAGTTTTAAACCATGATAGAGTCCAAGTCCTTACATCTTGAATCTGGGCTAACCTTGAAGACTGTTGACACCAACGAAACGCAGCAGAAATGACACTGTGTAACTCCCATAACTTATGATGTCCAGCCATTAATGGCATAGAGCCCCTGCATTGCTTGCTGGGACTCTTGCTTTTGGACCTCTGAACCAGCATGTATGAAAACAGGCTACCCTGAGGCCGCCATGCTTGGAGGAAGCCCAAACTACATAGCAAGGTCACATGGAGATGTTCCAGTCAGCACTCTCCATGTATGTCCATGTGCATCACCACCAGATGAGTATGCAGGGCCTTATGATGGATTATTCCAGCCCCCAGGGGTCAAGCACTCCAGCCTTAGAATCTTCGCAGCTGAGACTCTGGATATTGTGATAGAGACAATCTATTCTCAATCTGCCTTGTCCAAATCTTGACCCGACACAATCTGTGAGCATAATAAACTGGTTATTTGGTGCCATTTACTTCTGGGGTGATTTGTTGTGATTCAATAGTGATCAGAACTCCTCATTTATTTTTTATATTAAATAGTACTACTTATCACTGTCAAAATACTGCATTATTTATTTGTTCATTTATTTATTTATAGCCTGTCTTTCCTACTTATATGTGGGTTAGCTCTGCTCTTGCATGAGCTTGTCTGCCTTAGACCTACAACACTCTTGGCATATAGTAGACAGTCAATAAGTATTTGTTGAATGAATAAATAGACAAATGCCTTTTCCCTTGTAGAACAGAAATAAGAGTTTTTGGGAGAGTATTTCAGTCCTTTTATTCTTTATCTCTAGGCTCTTGGCAACAAAATTGAGGCTATTTGTATGAAATATAAAGTAGACTGTTCCTTTATAATATTCAGGTGAACTATCCTGTCAAACATTCAGTTATTCATTCAATACGTATGTGCTCAGCACCAAACCCACACCACAAGACAGGCACTGTAGTTCTCACTAGGGACATTGCAATAGGTAGAACTTAGACTGTCTTCAAGGAGTCCATTGTCTAGGAAGATCATGGGCAAATTAAAGGATAGAGAAACATCTTTGGCAGCCTCAGAGTCAAGCTCCTTACACGGCATGAGCAATGACTCCTATCTGCATGTTACAGTTTTCCCCAGGGCCCTGCTCGGTGCCTAGCACTTAACAGGTGGTCAAACAAGTATTTGTTGACACTCCAATGAATAAAACAGAAATTTTTTTCTGAGCCGGTCAAAAAGCAAAGGTGCATATAAAAGAGAAGTTTGGGTAACTATGCAAAATGGAGCCTTATATATCTGAGTAACATTTGGTTCTTGGTCAGCGTATTCTTCAATCATAGAGTCATTATAGAAACCAATGTAAAATATCAAGGACCCAGCACTAACATGCCACTGCCTTTTTAAAGAAAGCCCATTAAAATGACATAAAAAAATGGCATCTGCCTCAGGTTTCTGCTTGGAGATGAATTCATGTGATCTCAGCATTTTATCCTGGAGGTTCCCCTGAGAAGATGCACTGGGGAAGCAATTTGTATCTCTTTTAACTAAAACAGGGAGCCTGGAAGTCCATGGGTTGTCCACTTCTGCCAAACTCTAATCCAATCATGGTGAAAGGCCTCAGATCTGAAGATTTTGTGTACTGTTAACTGCATGCGATTTTTTTTCCCTTGGTATTTACATCTAAGGCTATGCCAAGCCTCTGATTTTACAGCCAAGTTAGGATTCTGAGAATATTTCTGAGTAGATTGTGCCCAAAATTTAATTAAGATACGAGAAAATTTGAGCATATCATCAGAAAAAGAGGAGGTGTTGAATTATTATTCAGTGAATGAATGAGGATAATTAACAAAACTGATTTATACTTTCTACGGTTTTATACATTTTCAATGCAGTCTCATCCAGCTCCCCATATTCTGGGAGGAAGGGAGGACAGGCTTTACAAAGATGCTTCTGTAGAGAGAGAAAGTGAATTTTAGGAAAGCAACACATGGAAGAGTCGCCTATGTGCAGCAAGAATGTAGCAGTTTCTGATTGATTGAGTCCTTATGCTTGGTGCTTTTTGCCACATCACACTTTGGTGGCTAATATGGACCTTTCTGACCCCAAAAGCTTCATCGTCAGAGAAGTAAAGGATGGGGCTCAACCAGAACACAGACAGAAGGCGATGAGGCTGTAGACAGTGTTACCTGGGGTAAGTGTGACTGTGATATCAAAATAGCTAGTGGTGTCTAAACATCCATAGCTTTTAAGCATTACTCTTTTATGCCATTTAATCCTCAATAACTTGTCCAACAGTTTTTATGCACGTGTCTTACCCCCCTTCTAGGAAGCAGTATTATGTACTGGGAAAACACAGGTATTTAAGTAAAACAATTTCTAGTTTCTCAAGCTTCGTGAGCCTTAAATTCTTTATTAATAAGTTAGGGATGATCATGCCTATATTGTAAAATTCATGTGATGATCAAATGTTTTACCTTATGTAAAGTAACTTATGCATAGTCTGCCACATAATAAGGCAAACAAACATCAGTAGCCTGCCCTTATTTTTAAGCCGGTGTCTGAGATCCTTGAAGGCAAAAAGCTGGCACAGTGCCTTGCATGAGAGAGGATTTCATGAATATTTATTGAATGAGTGAATGCATGAATAACCATAGGATGCAATAGCGTATTAATCAGGGTAACTCTAGCAACAGAAACGAATATATTTCCATGGCTTGTCAAAATAGAATGTTATTGCTTACTCACCTAAGAGTCCAATTTGGGTGTTCCCGTCAGCAGAAGGCTGTTGATTGCATGTGGATTCATGACCCCAGATTCTGTCCAGCCTCCATAGCTTGGGCCTTGGAGTCTTTGTAGATCAGCCTCAGTTGCTTCTTAACCCAAGACCTGTAAAAGAAGGGACACTCATCGCTTCCACTCATGGTCTGTGGGAGATACCTGGTCATTTGGTCATACCTGGATGCAAGGACAGCTGGGAGGTGAGATCCCTCATTAGGAAGCTGCCTTCCTACTTCACACTCTAGTAGAGTGACCCAATTGTTACTGCCAAAATAGTTAAAAGAGAAAGAGCTAGAAACTTGAGATGAGTGAACACAAGCCAATAATCTAAGTAGAAGATACTTCCATAACATGCCTTGACAAGAGACATTCTTTAATACTTGACCCACTCAGATACCTGGAGGAAACAAGCAACTAAGATAACGGATCAAATGTAAGACAATGGGGATGAGAGGAAGCTACGGCTGGTTGGTGAGTGCCTAACTCTCCCTTTTATCTTAGGCTTTGGAGTAGAGAGTTGAATTCATAACGCCCTTCAGTTTGTATCATGTCATGGTCACAAGTCCAAACTGAACAAGAGCCTCATTTTGCCTCATTTTATTTTAACTTTTTTTTTTTTTTTTTGAGATGGAGTCTTGCTCTGTCTCCCAGGCTGGAGTGCAATGGCACGATCTCGGCTCACTGCTATCTCCACCTCCCGGGTCAAGCAGTTCCCCTGCCTCAGCCTCTGGAGTAGCTGGGATTACAGGTTCCCGCCTGTAAATAGTCGCCTGTATTTACAGGCGGGAACCTGTAATTCCACGCCTGGTTACTTTTTGTATTTTTAGTAGAGATGGGGTTTCACCATCTGGGCCAGGCTGGTCTTAAACTTCTGACCTTATGATCCACCCGCCTCGACCTCCCAAAGTGCTGGGATTACAGGCATGAGCCACCATGCCAGGCCTTTATTTTAACTTTTAATTAAAATATAATATACCTACAGGAAAGGGTAAAATCTCAAGTGTACAGTTCAATGAAGTTTTTACAAACTAAACCCACTCGGTGCAACCAGCACCCAGATAACAGCATCCCACAAGGTCTTCTTATGTTCCCTTCTAGTCAAATCTAGTATTACAAACTATGCTAGAAGTCTGAAATGGAAAGTAATTTTTCTTTCTAATTTTGAATGTATTCTGGTAGCCACCTATGAGACATTTGCAGGCTAGAAATGTCTCCCTTACAGAGATGAGACATTTCATATGTAGAAATGTCTATAGAAATGTAGATGGTTCGTATATTTCTTATACAAAAATAGGACTCTTGTTCAGTCTGGGCCTATGGCAATGAAATGACATGGGCCGATTGCAAAGAGTATAGACAGAAATCGGGAAAGAATAGGACCATTTTGCAATTAGCACGTCCTGGAGTGAGTACCTCAAGCTACCTGAAAAACAGCAGTCACTTAGGAACATCAGGCAGGAAAAGGAAACCACACAACACTCATCTAATAACATTTCCATCCCCGAGTATTTATCAGCCATGTGGGCCTACTATGGCTACGCTGGGTTGGAAAGAAAGCAAAGGAACAAGAAGAGCCTGTGGTCTCTTCCTTGAACAACTTGCATCTAAGCACAGCTTCAAAACCAAGACAGATGAAGCTAGGAGAGAATTCGTATGTTTGCAGTGATGCCTCTGCTCATAACTTCTGGGTGGAGAGAACTGGGGGAGCCTTAGGGAAAAAGGGAAAAGAATAGGGCTTTTATAAGTAAGGAGAAATACCATAATCAGTGAGGTGGAGGGAGGAATGGAAAGCAGGGAGCCATCAGGACCTCCAAGTTCTGTCAGCCATAGACATAGTTAGGCAGTGGGTGGCGTACGGCCTGGTGTCTGGAAGCATTTGAAGGAAAGATATGTCGCTTTATAAAGGAAGAGGTGAGACTGTGTTTGCTAATAGCTCCAAAGCTCCAAAAGATGCCCACGTCCTTATCCCTGGAACAGATGAATGTTACCTTAAATGGCAAAAGGAACTTTACAGACATGAATAAATTAAGGATCTTGAGATGGGGCAGATTACTCCTAAGATGGGGAGATTATTTGGGTGGACTCAGTGTAATCACAAGCATCTTTATAAGAGGGAAGTAGGAGTTAGAGTAGGAGCTATGATAATGGAAGCAGAGGTCAGAGTGATGTGGCCAGGAGCCAAGGAATGTGGGCAGCCTCAGCCTGGTCCTGAGCTGGAGAAGACAAGGAATGGGTTCTTTACCAAAGCCTTTGGCTTTAGGTTCATTTCAGACTGCAGACCCCCAGAACTGTAATGTCATATATTTACCCTGCTTTCAGCTGCTGTTGGTTGGTCATTTGTTACAGCAGCAACAGGAAATGAATACAATATGCTTTTGCCATCTTGGAAACCCTGCCTTTCATTACATCCCTGACATGGCAGTAGATGTTCTTGCCTGGCCAGAAATATTATTGCCCTGCTTTGGGCCCTGCACAGAAACAGTCCCTCTCTGGCCCCCTCCAGCTGTGTTCCTCCACAAGGAGCTGAGGGTCTTTGAGGCCAGTGCTACTCCAATCTGATATGCATGATAGCTGCAGCAGCGTCACCTAATGGTTTGTTAGATATGCCATGAGCTCCCTTCCAACCTAATGAATCTCAATCTCTAGAGTAAGGCCCAGAAATGTGGGTTGTAATCAGCCCTCCAAGAGATTTCCAAGTAGGCCTAAGGTTGAGAACCTCTGCTCTCCTGGGTCTGTAGGAATCTGTTTTTAGGGTTTGTCTTTCTAAGGGTGAGACACATTGGCGTGTGTGCAGCCCAGGGCCCAGGAGTTGGAAATTTGAAGAGAACCGGGGGAGGATCAAGCTCAGTTACATCAGCTGGGGTATCTGTACTGATGCAGAGGAGGTCCTAGCCACGCTGGAAGGAGCTGGCAGTGGGAAGAGAAAAGAGGATGGATCAGATTTTTCACTTAATTTCTTTCCCCCCCGGAGAGCCTAGTAATAACAATGTACTGAAATAGGGGAAAGCGAGTGTGCTTTGAAAAGTGCTGAGTTTTGCACATTTGGAGAAATTATCATCTTCTTTAGGAGCCCAAATCACTTTTTAAAATACGACTGCAGTAATAATAATTGTTATGATAATAAAATCATGATAGTTACTACAGTTTTAGGTTTGGTTCCCCAGAAGCAGAGCCTGACATAAAGATTCCTGTTCCAGTGGCTTATGGAGCAACTGTTCTCAGGAGGACCTGGAAGTGGGGAAGCAGGAGAGAAAGGAAGAAGAAATTATGCAACTAAGCAATTATAGACGTGGCCCCAGCCTCAGCCTGGTCCTGAGGGGAGCTCTGGAGTGTATGTAACACTTCATAGTTTGTCTGTATGAATGTAAGGGCACTGGGCTTCCTGACTCCTGCCCCCATCAGCAACCACCTGCTTGGGATAACACCTGGCACTTGGGCTCCCTGTCTGTCTGTGCGGATAAAGTGGCTCAGGGGGCCCAAGGGCAGCCTCTGAAGAAGGTTTCAGGTGCAAGCTGTTGGCAGCAAAACACACGGGAGCCAGGGGATGCATGTGCACAACCGTTACCTTAGGTCCCCAAGGACCTGCACGGGGCACTGACATGTCCACTATGACTGTCCTGAGCTCTTTTCGGTGACAGGCACTTTTCTCCAGGCTTCCTTGTATTCAGTCACCAAACCCTTACTGGTAAGAACAGTTGCCATCCTCACTTTGCGAATGTGAAACCTGAAACATAGAAAGATGAAGTAATTAGACTAGGAATCCACTGGAGGTAGGAGGTAGCCAGGCTGGGACTCAAACTGAGGCACAGCAGTTCCTCGATCACTGCCTTCAATGGCCCCCTCCTGCCTCTGCTGTCCCACGAACTCCTGTACCCTCCCTGCCCCAAGCTTCTGGCAGGGGCAGTGCTTTTCCAAGGAGTAGCATGAAGGCAGTTCTCCAAGTTCCCTTTATCCAGGAAACCAGAGCAAGGCTTGTGAAGAAAATGGAATTTTTCATTAACCAAGAACGAAAATCTCAATCTATGCACTTAATTAGGTCAGATACCCATTTTCCTCTGAGTCTTAGTTCTTTGAAGTCAGAGGAAGCCCTGAGCATTGGAGACGGGAAAAGAAAAAATGGAAAGAGAATTGGGAGGAAAGCTCCTACATATACACACACTCACGAAAAAAAAAAACAAAACCAATCCATCAATCCTTGTTAAGGGTTGAATGCAGATAAAGTTAGCTATCAACCTTATCAACACTGAAAAAAAAAGCTTAAAATAAAAACTAGGGCAATCCCCTGAAGGAAGAAAGCCTTGGCATCAGTCTGGAGACTTCACCTACCTTGTTAAGAGCTGCATTCCCTACTCTCTTATGAAAATACTGAACATGTTTGCAGTCAATTCCATGACTCCTTGGTGATTTAGATATTTTAGTTA
Organism: Homo sapiens; assembly: GCF_000001405.40. NCBI lineage: Eukaryota > Metazoa > Chordata > Mammalia > Primates > Hominidae > Homo > Homo sapiens. Next base: position 11,957,400 of record NC_000020.11, read on the forward strand.
AAGCAGAAGACTAAAAATATAGATTTGAAATTTTCAAAGGCAATGTGAGGGGTAGCCTCCGAAGAGCCAGATGCCGTTGGGGAGGCAGCGTTGGAGCGGTGGTCCAGAGGTCTGGGCTCTAATTTCAGCTCTGACACCGGCCTGCATGGTGGCTCCAGAACGGCACTGTCCAGCACACCTGCGAGAGATGGTGGGAATGTTCTGTGACTGTGTTTCCTGGACACTGGCCACTAGCCCTGTGTGACTAGTAAACACTCGAAATACATCTAGTGTGACTGAGGAACTGAATTTTCACTTTTATTTAATTTCAATTTATTGAGTTTGCATTTACATAGACACATGTGGCTGCAGGCTACCATGTTGGACAGCTTGGCGCCAGGCCTTAACCCTCCATCGACTTGATTTTTAAAACTGTACCTGAAAAATGAGACAGATATGTGTCTCATCCCTTTGTTGTACAGATGAAAAACCAAGTATGTCAGTTAAATTTGGCTATATAACACACCACCCCAAGACTGTGGCTTGAAATAATAATCCTTTATTTAGCTTATGATACTGTGAGTTACAAATTTAGGATGAGTATAACTGGACAGCTTTTATTGTCTTCCTGGGTTAACTTTGCACATTTGTGGGCAGCTTCTGCTCAGCTGGGAAATGGCTGGTTTAGGATGGTCTCAGCTGGGTGGCTCATCTCTGCTGCATATGGCCTGTCATCTTCTCAGAGGCTGGCCTAAACTTTCCATGTGGTGACTGGGAGGGTGCCAAGTAAGGAAACCTTAGTGTGCAAAGCCTCTGAGGCCAAGTCCTAAACTGGCATACTGTCACATCTGCTGCATTCTATTGGCCAAAGCAAATCAGAAGACCAGCCCAGAAGAAGGGGCCAGGAAACAGACCCACATCTTGATAGGAGACACAGCAGAGTCACATGCAAAGTGTGTTGATATAAAGAGGTGTGCACCACTGTGGCTATTTTTGAGATCAACCGTATTGAGGTTCAACAGGTAAAGTGAGGTCACAAAGGAAACTTTTAGTAGCTCTGAGGCTCTGACCTGGGATTCTTGGCTCTCAGACCAGTGCTGGCCCTTAGTCTATTTCTTGGATTCTCTGTATAACCCTTGCCTTTGTGGGCCTTCGATTTTTATATCTACAGAGAGAAATAGAGAAATGCAATGATTTTGCTCTTTTTCCAGCTCTCAATTGGTTTAAGTGTTGGACTGGCGGTTTCCTTTAGGTGGGGTCCTGGGGAGGGGATACATGGTACTGGGCAGACCTGGATGAACCCACTTGGAATTCCTGAAAGCTGCATTTTTTTTCCCCAAATAGCTGTTTGAAAGCCAGAAATGAAGGTATACTCAACCAAACATAAGGTGTTTACCATTGAGCTTAGCCTTTTGGAAGGAAGTTCCTAAAAGACTGAGTTTGGAAAGGACAGAGTTTTCCTTTCAGGTCCTTCTAATTTATAATCTACCCACTTCCTTTTCCTTTCGTAAATATGATGTACGTGAGTGGAGTGATCTAAATATCTTCCTAGCTCCAGAAGCCTGACAGTATTTTCACGTTGATCTCCCGTTCGATAAATCAAGCCTCGCGGATGTGTGAACTGCGACGCCAACGCAGTAGCTCTGGAGGAGCGGGGCTGCGGCTGCCGCGCTTCCCGTTTCGCAGGCCGTGAGTCTCCGCGACGGCATTCCACGCTGACGGAAATGCCTTGGAGCAGCTACCTCACAACTGTCAGTCCAAACGTGTGTGTTTTGCCAAATCGCTGGTTCACAAATCTTTACTTGTGAAAATAAACAGAAATGAGTACAAGGAAGAAGATTCAGAAGAAAGAGACCATGGAGAAGATAGTGATACTTATAAAGATGATGATGAGGATGATGAGCTGGTGAGAGAGGGAGAGGAGGGGGAAGAGAGAGAAGACGGGAGGGAAAGGAGGAGAAGGGGAGGGTTAGAGGAAAGAGAGGGGAAGGAGGGTGGAGGAGGAGGGGAGGAAAAGAGGACTAAGTGGAGGAAGGAGAGGAGGGAGAGGAGAAAGGGAGGTAGAAGGGCAAGTGCAGGAAGAGAGAGGGAGAGTAGAAGAGAAAGAAGAAAAGGAAGAGAAGGAGAGGTGGGTGGAGAAAGAGGATCAGCAAAGGCTGGAGCTGGTACCAAAGCCCAGGAAACTATACAGATCTCACAAACAAGCTGCTCTCTGCTCAGTCTGAAAACACGTGGGTTAGACCATCTTTCTGCAAGCCGACCCTGAGACAAGGGTGCGGGAGCCAATGATCTATTAAGGAGGCGCTCCCAGGAGGGAGTGAGGAAGGCAAGACAGGGGAGGGGAAGAGGCTGAGCAAAGGTGCAGTTTCAGGCAAGTTCCCAGCCTCAGCCTCAACCTGTGGGAGGTTCTGGAGCATCCATTACACCTTAGAATTTATCTCCATCAAAGTAAGAGAGCTGGGTTTTTCTATTCTTGGCTACATGTCACCGGGGGATATCACTCTCAGCAACTTCTGGTTCTCCATGATGGTGAGGATTTCAGGACTCATCACCCCTTAGCAGCAAAGCACTGCTGAACAGGGACATAGACACAGGAACCAGCAAAAGGGACCCTGGGGGTCTGGGCAGGGTGCCCACAGTGTTTGCCATACCATCTTTATGAGTTTCTCCAAAAGCTGAGGTCTATGTAGGCAGCTGTGGTCCACAGAAAGGGAGCCCATCCTAGACTAGAGAGACAGGAGCCGCAGCCACACGTCAGGCCCAGCACAGAGCTGCAGAACCACAGATGAGGCCCACAGAATTGTTAGCTTAATGGTTGTTGTCTTAAGCCATTAAATGTTGGCATATTTTGTCTGCAGCAACAGCCATCTGATATGGAGGGAAGGAAATTACCTGATCCCTGAGTCTAATTTCCAACCCAAAAATATATTTGGGTAGAATCTGAATATGGGGTCAGTCCTGGAATTAGAATTGACCTCCATCCAATTTTTATTTTACTCCATCTTACAGTGGCAAAGAACTTCACGAGGCACTAGACAGTTCTGCCTGGAAGGAGGCAATAAGAATAATGTCTCTCCAGTTATTACTGAATTAATATTAGACAAATGACCTCTTCTTTCAAGTCATCCTCAGTATTTTAAGTGACTACTAGGTTTTAATCTACTGCCTCATAGTCCTTGAGGTCACTGCTACAATAGAATTTGTTCTTGAAAGATAACTCAGCTTCTTTGAAAAGAAGGGAGCAAATAATATTAAGAAGGAAAGAATAAAATAAGATTGCATGGCTAAGCAAAAAGTGAGGGGAAATAAAAGAAGAAAGAAGGAAAAATTAATTGAACTGTGCTTTGAATGATTGGCTTGGTGGGCATTTCCTTATACTACTAAGATTACAGCAGGGAGGTTAGGTCAATATCTCCTTTCTGTACATGTATATATCTCAGACATTTCCTATGACTTTAATTAAAGTTATTTTTAAGCTTTGGAGAAACCCAAATACAAAAGCTTATTTCAACATGATCTTTCTGGGGACTTTGCAGGTTGCATGTTAAAGATGCATCCTATTCTGGCTTGAGTGAGGTACCTATCACTCTCCTTGACATCATTTCTCCCCAGAATCACTGTATTTACATACAAAAATTAATGTAAAAAGTGTGGTGAGCCACTAGGCAGATGGAAGCCTTTGACTAATTAGTTGAGAATGGTGACAACTTTGAAGACATGCTTTCGAACAGCTTTAGCGTTGACAATGCTCTGCAAATATGGGGACACAGTGTTACTTTCTCAGGAGTTGGGAGGGGAGGAGGTACCAGGCTTGAGTCTGGTATCTTGGCTTTGGAGGAGGAACAACTGAGGCTGTGCAAGGTCACTTGGGCAGCTCAGGTGACAGTGCTGCCTGCAGAGCTCTCAGGAGCCTTTCCAGGTTTTTTGGCCTCTTCCGTTTCTTCTTTCTGGATCTGTGGATGGGAGACTTTTTCCCTGTCAGTCCAGACCCTGTCTCAGATGCCCTATGCCTTACACAGCTGGTCCTTTTTGCTTCTGGACCATCTACATAGATGTAAGAATCACCTGAAGAGCTTGTCAAACCCAGACACCTGGGTCACCCTCCCAGCCATTCAGGTCCTGCATGTCTAGCCAGCTCCCAGGTGATGTTGATGTTGATGTTGGTATCTTGAGGGACCACACTTGGTGTATCTCTGCTCTAAAGAGCGATACATTGATGTAAGCACAGGGTTGCAAACTGGCCTCCTGCAGGCCAATTCCAGCCCTAGAATCTATTTCTTTCCTTGTAATATTTTAAAGGAAAATTACCCACAAAAATCTAAATGTTTTGTCTTCTTTTGCAAAATGAAAACGTCTGTCATTGTCAATGGTGACAATTGCCTTTAAGTCTCAGCATTCTTATTTTGAAGGGACATACACTCTTCAGTTTGCTACAGTCCCCATCATCCCCTCTTGCATTACACCAGGCCACATTCATTGTTGTCTTAATGCGTCAGGTCTCTATTGGCCCCTAAGTTTGTGTCCTCTAACTTAAGTTTGCATAATACTAATTAATTAGTATTAACTTTCAGGGCTTTCTGGAGATAAGGCCTTAATTAAGAAGTGTCGTACTGATAGGGGAAGTCTCAGAATGCAGTGGCTAGCTTCTGCAGAGAATTGTGGGGCTTCTCCAGTGACCCCACAGAAGAGTTACCTGCCACGTCTCCATGAGATTAACCCAGTTTCCCAAAAGTTGACATATAATACAGTCATGTACTATATAACCATGTTTCTGTCAGCAATGGACCACATATGTGATGGCATTTCCTTAAGATTAAAAAGATTATAATATCCTGTTTTTACTGCACTTTTCCCATGTTTAGATAGGTTTAGACACACAAATACCATTGTGTTACAATTGCCTGCAATATTCAATAAGTCACATGCTGCACAGGCTTGTAACCTAGGAGAAAGACACCATATAGTAACCTAGGAGCAACCCACCATATAGCCTGGGTGAGTAGTAGGCTCTACCATTTAGGTTGGTGAAAATACACTCTGTGATGTTCACACAATGATGAAATCACCTAATGATGCATTTCTCAGAGCATATCCCCGTGTGACACATGATTGTAATGTAGAAATAGAAGAGAAAACACTATTCACACCCTTTTGGGAAGAAAGAGCCTTTATAAGCTCTTTTCTTAAACTACAATGTGTCTGGGCTAATAGAAACTTAAGTCAGGTTAAAAGATGCAAAAAGTTTACCAGGGTTCTATTTATGAAGAACTCCATTTTCTTCTTCCATTCCTCCTCCCTCAATTCCCCTAAAAGATGCCATATGTAGTTGACTGGGAGCCCTGGCTGGGTTCGAATTCTGACCTGGAAGTTTACTTTCTGCATTACTTTGGTTAAATTATTGAACTTATGAGTGCATTGACTTCCCCATGCATAAATCACACTGACCTCCCAGGATTATATGTGATGATTAAATGAGATAAGTCATGTAGAGGTTGTAGAACAGCCTGTTGCCTAGTGATGTCAGTCATTGTCATTACCGTCTGCTTCCTGTCATAATAAGTGCATTGGTGGAGGGATCCAGCCAATCTAAGCTCCAATTCCTAACCTAGCAGGTGTTGAGCATGTGACCTTGAACGATGCTACCTCTTCTTTTATTTATACCTTCAACAGATATTTGTTGAGCCTCTATTTCCTCATTTGTAAAATTTGGATAGTAGTATCTGCTTCATAGAGTTGTAAAGGTTAAATGAAATAATCTATGTAAAGTATAGTGCCTGACATTTGAGAAGTGCTTAATAATTGGTTGTTCCATAGAAATTGCTATTTTTTTCAGTCAAAAATGGCTGATATTGACAGCTTTCTATAGTTCAAACTATATAAGCAGTACTATTATTGCTTTTAATAGGGTTTGTTGTTGTTGTTGTTGTTGCTGCTGTTTTATTCCTACAAACTCTGTAGGGGACATATCAGTTAGCTCTTGCTATGAAACAAACTACCCCCAAACTCAGAAGGATAAAACAATAAGCCCTTATTATTTCTCGTGAGTGTATATATAAGCTCAGTGGTTCTTTTGTTCTAGGCCAGACCTGATGGTCTTGAGCAGGTTTGCTTAGTAGTCTGCAACCAGGTAAGATGACTGTGGGCTTTCTAGTCCTGAATGGCCTTGCTCACTTGTCTGGGGCAATGGAGTATCTGGACCACGTGTTTCGCCCTCTAGCAGGGTAGCCTGGGCTTATTCATGAGGTGGTGGCAAAATTATTTCAAGAAGAGTGAAATCTTTTGGGCCCAGGCATGGTACTGGCATTGTGTTGTGTCTGCTGTATCCTATTGGCCAAAGTAAGCCACATGGTCAAGCCCAGATTCAAGGGCTGAGAAAGTAGACTCTATCCTTTGACAGGAGGAGCTGAAAAGTCACATTGCCAAAGGCAAGGACACAGGCAAGGGAGGAAAATTGAGGCCTTTTTTATTTTCAACCCATCTAAGGCAGGAGATGTAAATAATACTTGTGTTCTTTGCCTCACCATTTATATTATTTCTTTAATTTAAAAATGATTTTTGAAAAGCAGTAACAATTTCTCTATATCTTAATTATTAGGTAATTTTGATCTTTCTACCTTTTTTGGTTCTCCTGGAATTTTAGGAGGCTTCTGGCTGGGACTTACATGAAGAGGCTAATTTAGTGCCACAAATGACTCCATCTCTCTGCCTTCAAGTAAAAGAAGCAGAATCACCTCTGCAAGAAAACAAAATAATTCTGCATCACCTTGGTTGGTTTAACACAGGTCTCTTGCTTATGAAATGCACACTTACCTTTGACATTCTTTTTTACCGAGTACTTCTAATCATCAGTGAAGTTTTTTAAAAAGACACTGCTAAATGTATTCATATCATAAGTAGGAAAAAATCTGACCTAATTTTTAAGATCTACAGTTACTGGAGGCTTTGTGAGGACTTTAAAGGGCTTTATGGATTGAAATTATGAAAGCCAAAATTACTGTATCACTCTGTACATGCATTTTCCTGTTTTCTCCTCCCAACAAGATTCTAATGAAAGTATTAATACTAGTCCTATATTACAGGTTTGAGAAAATTGAGGCACAGAGGAGTTAGAAACTTGTCCAAGTCACATAGCAAGAAGCAGGAGAGTCAAAATTTGAGCCCAGAAACTCTACATTGCAGGCTATATACTTAACCATTATGCCATCATGCAATAAAGTAAATGATTGTCCTGTCTCTAACCAAATGATATTAAGTCCTTTTCTATTCCGTGGAAGATCCAGAAGCCATTACTAGGACCATGGAGGTAGATTGCAGCTCAGTATACAAACAAATATGTATCCTAACTTTTTAGAGTTGTCTAACAACAAAAGGTGGTGTGAGGTAGGGGTTCCCAGATATGATTGAACATCACTGATTCAAGAACTTAGGCCTCAGAGACTGGGTTCAAATTCTTACTCAATGGCAGTGTCTAAGGCACCTAAGTTATTTTTGGCCTCAGTTTCATCTTAAGAAATAAACAAGCAAAAAGTAGGAACAACTCTAGGTAATTACGTGTTATTGTGAGGACAGAGTGACATATTTAAAGCTCTTAACTCATTATAGGTCACCAGCAAGGATTCATTTCCTTTCTTCATCTGCCTTAGGAGTTGTCCAATAGAACTTCCAAGTGATTTTACAGGAACTTGAGTGGTAAGAAGAGGTATTTTTGTATCAGGAAAAGGATGGGTTGAGCTACATGGTACTAAAAACATCACCTGGTGAGCTTGTTAGATACACAAATTCATGGCACTACTTCTGACCTACTGAATCCAATCATCTCTGGGTGGGGCCAGAAATCTAGTCTCAAGGTGATTCTTATGCTTCTTAAACTTTGCAATGCACTTGCCTGGATGACCTCCAAGGACTCTTACTGCTTTAATTCTGTGGTTCTGATTTATCCATCCCTCGCCACCACCCATCTAATAATTGCTCCTGTTTGCTGAATACCTCCTTTGCTCAGACATGTGAGTAAATTCTTTGCATGCATTTGTTTAATCTCTACACCAATGGAGTGGCATTATGATCATCCACACTATACAGATGAGGAAACTAAAAAGTTAAGGAACCTGCAGACTAGGATTCCAATGTGAATCTGTCTGGAGCTTCATAGCTACAAAGCACTCTGCCAAACGAATCCCTCCAGAGGGTCCATCTCTCAGAATTCCAAGAAGGACTCAAAGGGGAGCTATTTGTCTTTTAAATTCTCTTACTTGATAGTGCAAGGAATGAAGAAATTAATCTAATGATCCCAGACAAGTCATAGAAGGCTTGTGTGGAAGGTCATTGGCTGATAACCTGAATCCTCTCAAGATTAAACAGTGCTGGGAGGATATGGGGCTGAGGAGAAGAGGGCCAGGCACTCTCTCCCAGGGAACTGCTCAGCGAGGAGCCACCTGGTGGGTGGAAGTGCTGCCTTAAGTGCCCTGCAGTTGAGACATCCAGCTGTAGATAATTATTTTTTCCCAACTATAAATAAAATGATCCTTAAGAAGAATAAAAAGGAGAAAAGCAGTTGGGAAGCCTCATGTATACTCTCCCCATCCACTGCATTGGATGATAAAGCAATGAGTTAATTTTAACCATTTCCTGCCACCTGACACCTTTTCTGCTGGTAATGTGTCTGTAAGGAACTGGTCTCGAAGCAAAATTTATGGTCAGCTAAGCCCGGAGAAGAGGTGACTATGTGCACTTTCCTGCTCTGTGGTCCTGACAAGGAAAACCCACAGCACAAATCTACAGTTTATTTTGTGCGGGGAGAAAGACCTTGTGTCCCCTCACCCTGGAACCCCTACCTCCGCTTTGCATGTGCTTCAGCCACACAGATGTATGCTTCCAGCACTGGCCTCCTGCCTGGGCACTGCTCAATGTAAGTGGGGCCTCGAGATATAGACAATGATCAGGATTTCAGATGATTTGAGAAGGAAGTCCCCTGGGCCCAACTCAAACCACCTCCAGCACCAGAATTTCACAAGCTGACATCAGTCCTTTGGTGAAGCATTCTTCCTCTTATAAAATGAAAAATATGCCTGGAATGAAAACACACCAACCCTCCTCTCTCATTTGAACCATTATAATCAAAAAAGTTATTTTTTTATGACTCGATTTTGATGGGTTTGGGGACAGAGACTACAGAAGCCATGGATATGTGCTGTTCAATGTGTGGTTTCCATCAGCAGCGCTGCACCTCCTGGAGCCTGGAAGAAATGCAGAGTCTCAGGTGCCGTCTCCCACCTCCTGAATCAGAATCTGCATTTTAAAACATCCCCAGGTGATTGTGTGCATATTAAACTTTGGGAGGTACTGATCTAGATGTCTGAGACTGAAATGGCACCACATAGTAGTCATGTGGGGCAAGGAAAGAGGCCCAGAGATCGTTTAGCCTGGTGGGCAAACACATAATCTAGAAATGCAGACAAAATCCTCAAAATGCATGCAGAGCAGAAAGCAGCTGAGAGATCAAGATGTAATCTCTAACCATGGGTCAACATTTAGGTCAATAGCAATATCTCTTGGTGGCCTCTTAGGGACGGAGCCCTGGACTCTCAGTGAGTAATAACAAACAAAGGTAAGAATAACAAACAGAGGTAAGAATGGTATTGCCTGGTTGACATCTGCTAGGCAACCTTCCACAGCAAAATTCCAGTTAAAAATTTCAAATGTGACTGTCTGACAAATTGTCAGACATCATATTTTCTACCCGAAACCTATTTTGGTTTTCAGTTCCCACTGAATGTTGTCCATGAGGTACTGAGCCAAATGGTGGGCTTCCCAGACCCTTATCTTGATGCCTGAGAGTCTGAGAGTCTCCAGGTATTTGAGTCTAAAGGTGAAGAAGGATCATTGTCCTGGACACTGTAGATGGGGGAGGTCCAGGAGGGTAGAGCCTGGGCTGAAGACTGGGGACACTGTGTTATGTTTCCTCTGGTTAATTCAGCCAAGCCTGCCACAAACCTGTAGGAGAAACTATTGATAGTTGGCTTTGGGAGGCCAAGATGGGAGGATCACTTGAGCCCAGGAGTCTGACACTTGCCTGGAAAACATAGTAGGACCCCAGTCTCTACCAAAACAATTAAAAAATTATTCAGACATAGTGGTATGTGACTGTAGCCCCAGCTACTGGGGAGGCTGAAGGAGGAGGATCACTTAAGCCCGGGAGGTCAAGGCTGCAGTGAGCCATGACTGCTCCACTGCACTCCAGCCTTGGTAACAGAGTGAGACTGTCTCAAAAAAATAAAAATGAAAAAAGAAGAAGAAACTTGTCTGTGTGGGCCATGTTGCCTGTGTTGCCTGTTATTGTGAATTGGAGAGAAAAGTTTAAATTGTCACATATTTGTTTCTAAAACATTATTATAAATAAGTAGTTCAGCAATTTCAGTAAAACCTCATAGACTTTACACTCTTCAGCTGAGGATGGATTTAGGTTCCTCAGTCCCAGCTCCACCATCAGCTACTTTGTAGCTACGATCTGAAGCATGCATGGGTGGGAGCTGAAGTCTGCAGGAATCCATAGCGCATCTTCTGTGAAGGGAGGCAACTTTGTAATTCAGATCACACTCAGGATGATGTGGGGTTCCAGGTTAGGAAATATTCTCTTCCATGAAATGGAACACATGTATACGATAATTTAACATCAATGGAAATGTCGAATCCTAATGAGATACACAGAGACTGCTCTGGTACCTATGGAACCGCATTGCAAATCTCCACAATGTTATCTACATAGAATATAAATCTCTTCACCACCAGGCCCTGATGCGTCTCATCCAGTTTAAAATTCTTGAAGATGATTTTATCATTCCCCAACAGTGAGGAAGAACTGGAGACCCTGGTTGGGGAGGGAGCAATTTATAGAAATGAAAATAGATAATTAAGCTTTAAACTAAATAAAATAGATAAGAACTAGTTACTGAGAGAATTCAAATGAGGCAATTATGTGCTGCAGAATCTCAGCAGGTCTAGATTTTCAGGGAGAGGCAAGCTTTCTTGTTTATAAGCAAGTCTCTTATTACACAAGGTTTAATTGGGGATGCTAATACCTGTATCTCTTCGCAGTCATGATGTCTCATCCACAGTAAACCCCAAGCATCTATCGGCAACATCAGCATTTGGTGGTCTGTAGAAAGGTCTCTATTCAAAAGCATGGACCTTTTTATCCTAACGTCTTTTCTGTATGTTCCTAAGGAATTAAATCCATCTCAATCTTCACATTCCATCAGTGTCTCATTTACTCAGGGACTGTTCTAGAGACAGGGCAGATCCTGAACTCCTAGGGCTTACATTCCACTGGAGGAAACAACCAAAATACATGTAATAAATCTACACTGAAGGTATGAGAGGGAAAAGGACACTAAGACATAGTATAACTAAGGTAGGTAGGTGACTGCCTGTTACACATGACAGTCAGAAAGAGGGAGGTCCAGACAGAGAGAACAGCAAGAGCAAAAGGCCGAGGCAGGGATGAACTCGGTATGTGTATTTTTCTTTTTAACTAATGTTTATAGCACTTATCAAACACTGGAAACTGACCTAAATAATTTGCAAGGACTAGCTCCTTTAATCCTCATAAAAACTCTGAGTTAAATACTATTATTATTTGTAAAATGCAGTATTTTATAAGAAAGTTGAGGCACAGAGAGTTTAAGTAGCCTGCCCAAGGTCACACAGCTGGCAAGTCATACAGCCAGGATTCAAACCCAAGTCTGACCCCAAGGTCTGCGCTCGTAACTGTTTTGCCAGTGGTTCCCAAACACTGCTGCACGTTGGAACCCCCTGGAAATCTTCAAAAAAACAACAAAACAATGATGACAACAACAAAAAAACAAACAAAAACAAAATTGATGCCTGGCTCCCTTGCCTCGCCATTCAGATATAATTGGCGTGAAGCAAGAGTTGGGCACTGGGGTTTTGAAAGCTCCTAGGAGGTTGGGATATGGGACAGATTTGGGGACCAAGGGCATCGTGCCATGTCCCACTTAGCATTTGAGTGTTTGAGGGCCTCAAACAACACCAGCCTGTCTAGGCTTGGTGAATAAGGGAGAGAGAGGCATTCCCTCCCTTCTTGTTTCAGTTGGTTCACTTTTTTCTATTTTTACACTTGCCAAAATCAAAAACATCCACATAAAGCAGGTGAGCTCCTTTGAATCAAGAGGGCTGTGGTTGCAACAGAGATATCATTCACATCAGCAGTATGTTGTCAGGGCCTCAGTGTGCCTGGCTCTTACCCATGCCTGGTGCACTCCCACCTTGCTGCTTGACCTCAGGAGAACACCCACAAAGGCCACCAGAGGCCAGCCTTGCTGGGACAGTGGCAGGGACAGAGCTAGTCCCTGTCCTGAGGGGCGTCAGCCCTTCCCTTTCGAGTGGGCTCCTTTTGTATTTTCTGCAGAAGTCATTGCTGAGTGAAAGTGGACCTTGTTTTTCTTCACCCTACCAATTGGCTGACTTGTATTCATGCTACATATTGCTCTGCCATTCACCAGAAAGTTCGGCGAAAACACCTAGTGGTCAACTACAGGCCATGGGGAAAAGTCTGGGCTGTGTCTGCTCTGGGATCACAGTGAGCATGGACACTTAGGGAGATGCCAGGGAATTTATTTAGCCTGTAGGTACTACAGAACTAGGTAGGGGTAAGATTGCATTGTCGATTTCAAGTTTTGGCTCAGACATATCCCTACTATCTCCCCAAGGTTGGGAACTAGGGCTATTTTCCTGGGGCCAAGGTTCTCCTTGGTAAAACTGAGGCAGGTTAGGTGGCCACTACGGGGCTGTGGCTCAAGATTTCATTGGTGTAGGGGGGAAGTTGGTTTGAGCATCTGCAATAGGCCTTCCAGAGTCTATTGACTCTAGAATGGGGAAATGTTAACTGCTCGGAAGACTGAGGAAATGTCCTTTCCCTGTTGATTAAAAAAGAGCACAAGGAAGTTGGGAGAATTTCCCAACACCATCTTTGGTGAGTTGTTTAACTGGAATTGGAAGTGTTTTTGCCAGGCGTGGCTGGTTACACTCCTCACCCCTATTCAAGTGGAAGGAAGCCTTCTAAAGACTCCTAAATGGGCAGTGAAGCAATGAAAGAGGTAATTAAAGCCCAGATGTCAAGGATAGGCTTGGTATTACTTACAGTGCTACAGCATAATATTTTATGTGATTAAAATGTTTCATAGGGTAGCAAAGTCTGTGTTGTAAAATGCCCCATCAAAGTCCCAGCTGGTGAACCAGGGATTATGAAACAAAGTTGCAGGTTGCAAGGCCAGTGCCATCCACATTCTCCATTCATGTTGTGCACAATTAGCATCCATGAGTAATGGCTCAGAGCTGACTACCAGTGTAAAGTTTTATGGGGCTTTCTACAGAAAGACAGAAAAGTCAAATGCACGTCAAAGACACCTGATTAAATTCTATTCCTTTAATATTTCTAAAACTATGAAATATTAGGACTAAGAGTTGTATTTGCTCCTAATTTCAAACTATTTGGAGATTTCATGAAAAGTCATATGCTAAGGTAAAATTTTAAAACACTGGTGATATGTGATAAGTATTAGCTAAGTTAATTCTCAGCCTGTGGATTGTGGAGAGGTGATGGTGGTGAGGGGGCCATGGGAGGATTCTTTTCAGGATCTATTACAGGGAGTCTGAATCTGTATGTACAATCATCTCTTGAACAACATGGATATGAACTCTGCAAGTCCACTTATATGTGGATTCTTTTACCTCTGCCACCCTTGAGACAGACAGCAAGGTTAACCCCTCCTCTCTTCCCTCCTTCTCAACCTGTTCACCATGAAGACAGTGAGGGTGAAGACCTGTATGAAGATCCATTTCCACATAATGAATAGTAAATATATTTATCCTCCTTATTATTTTCTTAATAACCTTTTCTCTGGCTCACTTCATTGTAGTAGTACAGTGTATAATATATATATATATATATTATATATAAAACATATACAATATGTGTTAATCGACTGTTCATGTTATCAGTAAGGCTTCTGGTCAACAGTAGGCTGTTAGTAGTTAAGTTTGCGAGAGTCAAAATTTATATGTGGATGACAACTGCCGTGGCTCATGCCTGTCATCTCAGCACTTTGGGAGGCCGAGGTGGGTGGATTGCTTGAGCCCAGGAGTTTGAGACCAGCCTGGGCAACATAGAGAAACCTTGCCTGTACAAGAAATAAGCAAAATTAGCCAGGCATGATGGTGCATACCTGTAGTCACAGGTATGTGGGAGGCTGAGGCAGGAGAATCACTTGAGCCCAGGAGGTCGAGGCTGCAGTGAGCCAAGATTGTGCCATGACACTCCAGCCTGGGTGACAGAGAGAGACCTGTCTCACAAAACAAACAAACAAACGAAAACCAAAACAAAGCTATATATGGATTTTCGACTGTGTAGGGTGTCAGCATTCCTATCCTCCACACTGTTCAAGAGTCAACTGTATATCACACATTGTATATAGACTCTCTCTCTGTCTCTCATTTATATACATATAGTAGGTGCTAATCAGTTGAATAAAAACTTTACAGATTTCACACCAGCCTTTTTGCCATATTCTATTTTCTTAATCAGCAAACATTAGAATTTTAATAATAAATATCCTGCCCCTTTTCCTTGAAATAAAAAGGAATGAAATCCTTGTATTAATGATGTGGCAGTAAGTAATGAAACCAAGCTCAGATGGTGTGAGAGAATGAACACCTGTGCTCTCTTCCTCCTGGTTGGGAGAATTCTAGGTCTGTCACTAGATCTGGACTGAATCAGGCCATTGGGCAGAGCAACAGGCCTGAGGGGGCCAGGTTCTGCTGTGCTTACCCACACTGGAGAAAGAGGAAAGCCAGTGTCTCAAGAGGTTGGCAGAACAGATCCGGGGATGGAAAAGAGTGGGAATGAAGGGTCTGGAAGTACAATGGCTCTGGTTTGTTGGAGAGTTAGGAGAGTTTAAGAGAGAAGAAGGAGAGGACATTGGGGTAGCTTCTATAGATGTGAAATATTAAAGAAATATAAATATCAGGAAATATGATTTTAAACTGTCTTTAAATTTAAAGTGGACAAATAGAATCCCCTCTCAAAAGACTTCAGGAAAGATTCAACTGGCATTTTAGGTGTTTAGCTGATGGATCATTATTTCTTTGAAAATAACACTATACAGGAATGAACTTTCGGGGAGAAGCCATGGAAGGCATCATTGTATACAGATTACAATGGCTCTGCAATTTCCATGCCCTTTCTCCCTTTCTTCCCCACTGACACCCCATGCATCTGGAAAGAACAGCTGCTGCAGCTAGAGAGACTGAGCATGAGCCCGATGAGGTCAGAATCTCTGATAGGCAAATGGATTTGGACCTTGTCATTCTTAATGCATGAAAGTTAATACCCTGGTGGAAATCACTGGTAATTTGCTGGCAATAGCTGAGTTATGGTTTTAGGTAGCACATCAGCAAAAGAGGTCATGAGAGGGAGAAAATTGGAATATTAAAAATACTGTCATTTTAGAGGGAAGGGGACTTTTTTCTAGAACTTGGAGGGAACAGCTTGCCATTACAGATGGCCAGGTCCATTACTAAGGGGTGCCGAGGGGCAAGAATTACACAAGGTAACACAATACTAATTTGGAGCTCTGGAAACCCAGGACTCACCTCCCAATCATAAGCACTATGCCATGCTTATCTTCCTGCCAAATGTGAGTGCAGTCATGCAACACCAAATTCATACTGGTGGCCATGGTCAAGGGGAAGACACAAGGTCAGGAGGGAAACCTCTAACACTGCTTCATCATAGAGAAGGCTGAGTTTATACAAAACCAGAGGAAATCATGTGAAGTGGAAACCCCAAGGACCCAGGAGCTTTGGTTAAATTTCCTCTCAAAGCAAAGCATCTTGTAATTTTCATTCTTAGCACTCCTTACAATTACAATTAGACATTGAGTAATTATTTATTTATTGTCTTTCTCTTTAGACTGTAAGTTCCATGTGAGCAAGGATACTCAGGGTATTGTCTTGTGTGTGGATATATCCCTAGTGCCCAGCACAGCATCTAGCTCATGATAGGTGCTCAACGATTATTGGTTCAGTGAGGGAATAAAATTAGTGTCATTGAAGGTGGAACAGGAAATGAACACTCAAGTCTAGGGGATGGATGGTAAAGGAATATGATCTAGAAGAAAGAGGTAAGACGAAACTCTGTACAAATACAGATTTAGGCAAAGCAAGTAAGTTCCTCCCATTGAGGGTAAGACTGGGTCCTCTACAACATGGGTGCATAAATTACAGTCCATGGACCAGGAATATTAGCATCACCTGGGAGTTTTATGGGCTTGAAGGATCTTGGCCCCATTTGCTAAAATAGAATCTGCATTTAAACAGATGTCTAGGTGATTTATGGGCACATTACAGTCTGAGAAGCACTGCTCTACTGCACAAGCAAATACCTTGCTTCTAAGGAAGAAGAGGAGGAAGAAGGAGGAAGGAGGAAGAGGCCACTGCTGAGGACGCTCAGAACAACAGTGGCCAAGGATGGAGGAAAGTGTGGGAATCTGTCCTACTGAACCCTTCACACAATAGGTGTGATATTCAATCTTAGACCGGGAAGTCTACTATTAGTACAAGGAAGAAGGTGAAACAATGTCATGGAACCTCATCATGGCCATTCCTGAAGCTGGTATGTGTGATGTGACTGAGAATCAGCAAGTCAAGCCAAGTTCTAGTGCTATGAATCTTATTGACTCCCACAGGGAAACATCACATCATCCACATAGAGAAATGGAAAGCCTAAAGTGTAGAACTGTTTACTTCCAGTTTATTCATACCAGTTGGCTAAATTTGAGAGACATGAGAAAAAATAAGTACAAATGAGCGAGCCTTGGGAGGTAAAGAGTTGGTTATACCGATGGTAAAGGTCAGTGATGTTCAAACTCTGTCTTCTGAAATTCTGGTGTTCTCAAGCGATCCCTCAGTAGGTGACATGGAGGTGGAGGAGGTGAGAGGAAGACAGAGCAGGAGGCCAGATGCAGCCAAAGTCTCTGTTTTGAAGGTGTGGGTTCTGCCAGTTACTGGAATGAAGAAAAAGAACATGAATTAGTTTGTATGACATTTCAGTGAGATTAAGAAAAGATGGTTTGATGAGTGGGAACAGTTTTAACCTAAACAATTACAAAAGATCATGAGGTATGTTCAGATTCTCCCTTTTTGAAATGAGTGAAACACAGAGCCTGAAGATGTTTACTTTTGCAGGTACCTGCTATTTAACACCCACCATGCAGCACCCATGGCTTCATCACATCTGGATTTCAGTTCTCTTTCCAGCTGAGCCCAGGTGTAACCTCAGAGTATGTCTTAACATGTAACTCTAGGCAATCATTAGCAATTAATTGGAAATGGCTTTGGAAATGAAATTCATTTAACAATTTCAGGTTCCAGGAGATAGAAAGACATGTCAATATTTTCTCCAACTACTTACATTTTGGTAGTGTAACAATGATCTTGTATGAGGACAAGACATGAGCATTTGTGAATTTTCCTAGCTACTCAGCACTGTTTGAAACACCTTTTCTATGACTGGGATATTTTCTACCTTAAAAATAACACTTCCCTAAGAATGGAGCCCGCAACTCATTTCTTCCCATCCTCCTTGCAGATGGACCTATGCAAGACTTCTGATTGAAAGACAGCAGCATAATGAAGCTGGTGCTTCACAGAATCCATATTTGAATAAAGGGAATGGTGAAGGAATCTAGCTTTCTAAGTCATTAATGGTGGAAATTCTGGCACCTGGCTACCAACTTCAGTGGTATGAGCTGAAGTATCTTTATCCAACTGCAGCAGAAATTAGGTCCTGGCTGAAGCAGAGGTATCAGAGGTGCTTTCTGAATTGTTGTTGCCTTTATAGCCTCTAGACCTGATGCTCTAATTCTCCTAGAGATTTTTAAATACTCTTTACTGTTTCTTTTGTGATTAAACTAGCTGGAGTAGATCCTGTTGTTTGCGACTAAGAATTCTGACTCTGTAGTTTAAAAAAAAAATCTCTAATTCTTCATCCTTCCTTACATGTGTTATCGATTGCTGCCTAATATATTATCCCATGCCTCAGTGGCTTACAACAATAATAAAACTACATTATGTCTCACAGATTCTGTGGGTTAGGAATATTCAGGAGTGGCTTAGCTTAGGCTTGCAGTGGCTATGTGGGCAGGGGTGGCAATCATCTGAAGGTTTGACTTGGGCTGGAGGATTCATTTCCAGCATGGCTGGCAAGTTGGAGCTGATTGCTAGTATTTGACTTCAGTTTCTCTCCATGTAGACTTCTCTACAGGTCTGCTCGACTGTTCTCATGACAAGCGGCTGCTGGGCTTTCTGCAGAGCAAGAAGTCCATGGTGAGAGAAACAGGCAGTCTATTTCCAGCCTGGGCAGTCCAACACCATCACGTCTACCACCTTTTATTCATTAGAAGTGAGTCACTGGCTGGGCATGGTGGCTCACGCCTGTAATCTCTGCACTTTGTGAAGCTGAGCTGGGTGGATCATGAGGTCAAGAGATCGAGACCATCCTGGCCAACATGGTGAAACCCTGTCTCTGGTAACAAAAACAAAAACAAAAACAAAAAAAGACAAAAATTAGCTGGGCATGGTGGTGCATGCCTGTCGTCTCAGCTACTTGGGAGGCTGAGGCAGTAGAATCGCTTGAACCTGGGAGGCGGAGGTTGCAGTGAGCCGAGATTGTGCCACTGCACTCCGGCCTGGTGATAGAGTGAGAATCTGTCTCTAAAAAAAAAAAAAAAGATGTGAGTCTTAAGTCCAGCCCACCTTCAAGAGGAGGAGAATAGCACTACCTTTTGAATATGGCAGTGTCAAAGAATTTGTGGACACATTTTAAGACCACCAACCATGCCATTTGCCATGTAACTTTGCAGTATCTTCCTACAATAGATGAGCTAAACTGCCCTGCTTCATAACTCTGGACTCAGTCATCTGACTTGATTTGGCCAGAGGGATCTTAGAAGACATGATGCAAGGAGAGATTTGAAAAGTGCTTCATGTCTTCATTTGTTCCCTTGCATCTCTGCTATCACCACAGAATGTATCCAGGGCAGCCAATTAAAGGATGAGAGTTGTGTGGTACAGAGTCTGATATATTGGTTATCTATGACCACATAACAATTTATCTCCAAACTTAGCAGCCTAAAACAATAAATACTTGTCTTTCAGGATTTCTGTGGTTCAGGAACTCAGCAGCAGTTTAGCTGGTCAGTTCTGGCTCAGGGGTTGCAGTCATCTGAAGGCTTGACTGAGGCTGGAGGACCCATTTCCAAAACATTCATGTGAATGTCAAATTGGTGCTGGATGTGGAAGCCTTGGTTTCTTGCCATGTGAATTTCTCCATAGGGCTGATTATGTGTCTTCATAAGATAGCATCTGGCTTCCATGAGACTAAATGATCCAAGAGAACATGGTAGAGGCTACAACGTCTTTTGTGACTAATCCTTAAAATGACTCTGTTGTTTTTGGAATATCGTATTAGTTACACAGGACAGCTCCATTTTATGTGGGAGGGGACTACATAGGGGCATGAATATTAGGAGGGAAAAGTCACTGAGGACCATCTTGGAGGATCACAACTACACAGAGTTGCCTGAGTCATTCCAGTTGAGGCCAGCTTAGATCAGCCAGTATCTAGCCTAATGCCAGACATTAGCCCTAGGAGCTTAGCAGAGCTAGCTGCCCAGGCAACCCCAGCTGGCTCCAGATGTGTAAACAATAAGCGAGGTTTTGTGGTTGTTTGTTTAGCAGCATTCTTATACGCAGCTATGAAAATGTGCTGATACAGCACATTAGCGACACTGGAAGAAATTTTACAGGACTATGAATTAGAATTATAAGAATCCCTAGCCTTGGTTTTCCGATTAGCTAATGCTAAGATTCGTAAATAAATAGGATCTCTACTTTTAGGGATTTATATTCTAATCATTTATATACATTTAAGCATTTGGGCCACTCATTTGTTTCTCTTGCAAAATAAAGCTCAGGAATAAATGCATGCATTTGCTTTTATTCTGAGTTGTTCACAAACTGCTTTGGTGTATGAAGACTGGAATTATTTTTCCTAGACTTTTTGAGATTTAAAAAATCACTTTTATTAATCCTAGTTTACATATAATACAATTCACTAATTTTAAGTATACAGTCTGGTGAGTTTTAATGAATGCATATAGTCCTGTAGTCATTACCATAATCAAAATATAGCACATGGCCATCAACCCCCAAAGTTTGTTTGTATCACATGCACCTTAAAGCAAACTTATTATTGAAGTAAAACATATGTGCAAAAAAAAGCATAAGCCATAGGTGTGTAGCTTGATGAATTTTCACCAAGTGTATCCATTATCCCAATCAAGAAATAGAACATATAGAAACTCCAGGGGTTCTCACATGTCCCCTTTCCCAAGTGGTAACCACTAACTTAAGTCACCATAGGCTGGTTGCCTGATTGTGAACTTTAATATAAATAGAATCATATTATAAGTATTCAATTGTGTCTTTTGTTAAATAATATGCTTGTGAGATTATTTCATATTGTTGCATGTAGTTGTATAATAGTTTATTCTCATTGCTGTCTAGTATCCCACTGTCTGAATATATAACAATTTATTTATTCATTTTACTCCTGAGAAACATTTGGGTTGTTTCCAGTGGGGGGCTATTATGAATAGACCCGCTATGAACATCCTGGTACATGTTTGTTTGCATTTTTTGGTGACTTTCCTTTTGTTAGGGGATAGTAGAAATAGAATAAAAAGTTGCTCATTCATTTTTGATCCAATTTGCTATTTTGGGCACTTGCCAGAAAAGAACAGAAATTTCAGAGGCGATTTTACTGATAGAAGATTAGGTCTCAGGTTTATATTTGCTCTATTTTATGAAAAAAATAAAAATAAAAATGAAGACTGTATTTTGAAATTTGTGAGGCAGGTTACCAAGATGGTCAAATAGTATTCACATTCTAGTCTCTTGAGTACCAACCCTTCTTCCCTCCCTCCCGCCTTTTTCCTTTTCCCTCTCTATCTTCCTTCCAATCATTTGTAGATGGATATAAATTTTAAAAACTGAGTTGGATAATCCTCAGGTGGGTTTTTTTTTTCATGAAAATGAAGATAAAGTCAAATGGTTTTCAATTTGCTCTAAATGTTTTATTTTCCTGGGAAATAGCTTTCAGTTTTTGTAAACACAGACATTTTTGTTGTCTCAAATTTCATTCTGTTTATTACATCCTGCCAGATGGGTCTCCATAAGCCATAAAGAAGGCCAGGGCAGCCATCGTAACCCACATCCTCTCCATTCCTGAGACTGCTAGCCCTGCCATTACAGGCAACCTACCATTTCATCTGCCATTGATGGTGGGCAAGTTTCAATTTGGGCTGGACAGACCACAAAATGATCTACAAATGGCAGGTTGCAGGCTATTATTTTGTAGACTATAGGCTAGTTTGAAAGTCCTGTTCCATCTAGGGAAGCTCACCTGTTCAAAATTGAAATTACTACTGTACAAGGACTAGTGGAGGACAATCCTTATGCTCTACATGCCACACGTGTATTCAGGAAAAAAAACTACACATTCTAGTTGCTTCTAGTTCTTTTCTTGGACAAACTACCAGTTAATCTATTTTAGAAAGGTCATTCTACCTGTGGACTTTAAGGTAGACATGAGAGTTCAGCTCCCCGATGTTCACTCCCCTTTGACCTTTCTCAAGAGCCCTTCATGTCCGAGTCAGGTGGGACCCCACCCCCAGCATCACAGTTGACCCCAACTGGTTAAGCCAACTGCACTTTAGCCTCTGTGATCTGGTCATCATTGGCCACATGTTGTAAGCCAGGCCCATCTGACCAGTGCATTCACTTTTGTCGCTTTGGTTTGTGTTATTGGAATAGCAAAATGTCTGCATTTTGCAGGATTTGAAAATGCAATCACCTAGCTTGGGGCTCCTTGCAGTCTTCTTCTCTGCAAGGCCACACAGCCCGTTGTGTAAGGAAACAATATCAAGGAAGCAGCATTTGTCATACTTAGGCTCTAGCCTTTCCCCATTCTTCTGAGGTAAGCTTGGGGCAAAAGCTTTTTTCTCCCTCTCAGTAGGGTCCATATCAGTAAATGCACACCCATTTTCAACAACTGAATTGAGAAACTGTGAGTAGCCAGAGAAGCCGACTACTTCATTTAGGGTGACTTTCAATACATTTGCAAAAGAGCCTATAAATAGCCTAAGGGTGAGGTTTCTGTTTCTTCTTCTCAAGGCAGATCGGATTCTGTGAAGTACACAGTGCTTGGTGTTACAATCTCATTCTTTTTGAGGTAGAAAACCCACTCAATAGGAATCATTTGCATTTCTATTTGAGCAGCCTGGAGACAAATATAGTGAAATGAATAGCCTTTTAATTTAATTGGCTTCCCAGTGTGAATCCAAAAATAGAAGGCACAATCCATCCCGGAGTTACTGTAGAAATCACTGAGGGCCAAAGCCCAGCACATAACACCCCCCACCGCCCCAGAGTCTAAGCATCTTTCTCCCTAATGCCAGACTTCCCATGGAAACCAGGGTGTGGTGGAGCTGGGGGATCCAGTCCCTAATGGACACACTATTGTCTATTTACTGGTGATTAGTTTTGGTTAGCGTCTCTTCTCTTCTTCAGATATAAACTATGCTGGATAGTAATAAGAAGAAAGTCGTATTACATATTCATGTACTTTTCAAAATCAAAATAGAGCCAATGAAGAGAAGAAAGCAAATACATTTTGAGTTTTTAAAAGGAAAATACAGGAGGGTATCATAGTGTGGCTAAAAGTAAAAGCCCAGTTAAAAGGCTGCCTGAAAGTTCTGACATCTCTATTTTCTGTCTCTGAGAGCTGAAATTCTGTTAGAGTCCTGGGGTAAACCTGGCCTTTGCGTTGGAAGTGAAGAAAGGAGAAGGTAGATGCTGCTGGGGCTGCAGGCTAATGTTTCCTATTCTTTCTACAGTTGAAAGACATCTAAGCAGAATACCAGCCTCTAGTGGTCACTTCTAGAGGAGGATTTGGGGGAGAAGAAGACCAGGTGTAGACATGGTTCCTTATGTTGCTGGGGAGGGTTGGAGAAGGTAATGGGGACAACATCAGCCTTCTGTGGAGACCAGGTGTTTTCCTCAAATGATCTTTTCTTCTTCACGGACTAAAAGAGCCATTTATGTCTGGCTTCTCTGAAGCTTCTGTTTTTGTCCTTAAAGGAAAACAAATTCCTTAGGTTGAATAATATGTACTTCTGTAGAATTTTGGGAGAATTCAAATGTTGAGGGGAACATATGACAGAAACACCATAAGACATTGTATTTTAAAAATAAGATAATAACTTGCCTTGTTTGGCTAAACCAGAAGGTTCCAGAGAGGAGAATAACCAGTGTCCTCTTCATCACTGAAAGCTGCCCACTTGATTCAATCCCGTACTTCCAGTAGCAAAGGAAGCATAGCTCAGGTGACCCTCACCGACCTCCCCGGGAGCAGGAGCAATTCTTTCCATAGAAGGACTGTTTTTTGTTTTGTTTTGTTTTGTTGTTGTTGTTGTTTTGAGACAGGGTCTCACTCTTGTTGCCCAAGCTGTAGTGCAGTGGTGGGATCTCGGCTCACTGCAGCCTAATCTCAGCCTCCTGGGCTCAATTGACCCTCTCACCTCAGCCTTTCAAGTAGCTGGAACTACAGGCACGTAACACAATGCCCAGCTAATTTTTGTATTTTTAGTAGAGATGGCATTTTGCTATGTTGCCCAGGCTGGTCTTGAACTCCTGGACTCAAGAGATCCACCCACTTCAGCCTCCCAAAGTGCTAAGATTACAGGCATGAGCCACTGCACGCAACCAAGGATTGTCTTTTAACCAGGTTCTGTGTGTGTGTGTGCGTATGTGTTTAATTATTTCTGCAAGACCATGGACCTCTACAAAACTGTATAGGAGGCTCTAGTGAATTTTGGGCTACTCATGTACCCCTGCCCTCTCCAACTCTCTTGAGTGTTTCTCCTCTCTTCTTGCCTTTCATGTGGTTCCCAGCCATCCTCAACTAACCCTCTACCTGTGTTGGGAACTTGAGTGGATCACCTCATTTTCTTCCTTCTTTCCTTCCCTCCCTCTTTCCTTTCCTTTCCTTCCCTCCCTCTTTCCTTTCCTTTCCTTCCCTCCCTCTTTCCTTTCCCTCCCTCCTCCTTTCCTTTCCTTTCCTATCCTTTCCCTCCATCCTCCTTTCCCTCCCCTCCCCTCCTCTCCCTTCCCCTTCCCTTCCCTTCCTTTCCTTTCCTTTTTTCTTTTTCTTTCAGACTGAGTCTCCCTTTGTCGCCCAGGCTGGAGTGCAGTTGTGCAATCTCAGCTCACTGCAACCTCCGCCTCCTGGGTTTCAAATGATTCTCCTGCCTCACTCTCCCAAGTAGCTGGGATTATAGCTATGTGCCACGACACCAGGCTAATTTTTGTATTTTAAGTAGAGACAGGGTTTCACCATGTTGGCCAGGCTGATCTCGAACTCCTTACCTCAAGTGATCCACCTGCCTCAGCCTCCCAAAATGCTAGGATTTCAGGCGTAAGCCACCACTCCTGGCCCCTTAGTTACTTTTCAGAACAACCTGAAGAGGAAGGTCAAATTGTTTGTTCCATTTCACAAATGAAGAAAGTGAGCCCTAGAGAAGTGTCCCAAGTTCCCCTAGTATTCACATTCTAGTCAGGCATTTCTGAAGCTCTGAGCAACCCCTACATCCCTAAGAAATATATCTCCATTTGGGAAATACTAGTTGCTAGGAGAGGTTGAGGATGTGGTAGTTCTTTAGGGTAAATCGCTGTTAGGACCACCTGACGTGTGAAGTCTGATTCTACACTGGCCATCTCACCTGGGGGAGGGAGGCACCTGCTTAGATGGGATAAGTGGAACCAACCAAGTAGGGATGGATTCCCTGGCTTTGCAAACAATGACAACTTTCTTTATTTTGGCCAACACTTGTCATCCTCCTATGGTGTCAAGTATGGCACTACTCACTAATAACACTAAAAGAGACAGTGTTACTTAGAGAGCAGAACCGGCAGTAAAGAGAAACATGCTTTGCTGCTGGCTCTGTCACTAGCTGTCTTGTAACACAGGGCAGGCCCCGCTTTGGGCTTCAGTTTTTCATCTGTGGCATGAGGGCTTTTCATTAGGTAATTGCTAAGGTCACTATTTTAGTTAAACTGCTTGCAAAAAGGAATTAAATCTTCATTTAATGTATGCACAGTACAAACTGGAAACCTTTGAGTACAAAGGTTTCCAGTCAACTTGTGTGTGTGTATGTGTGTGTATGTGTGTGTATATGTGTGTGCGTGTGTGTGTGTGTATGTGTGTGTGTGTGTGTACATTCTTGCCTTTATCTCTCTCACCTTTGGGATCATTTCTGACTTCCTTCTTGGTCTGTTAATAATTAATAGCACTGACATTTATAAGCCAGTGGTAATATGTTTCGATTTTATCATTTCTTTTCATGAATTATGGATATCATTAAAAAGAGATATTTTAGAAGTCCGGAAAGGGAATGGAAGTTGCTGGGGGGTCAGAGGAGGGTAGAGGGCACACAACCTTGCTCTGCCATCATCTGTCAGGTTTCATAAATTACTTTCAGCTTGAAAGAATTTGAAACGGCTGGTGGCTCCTGTCCGTTCTTCACATCTCCTTCGTGGGTGGGAAGACAGCCACAGCTGGAACACAGATTTATAACTAGAGCTGTGAA
The DNA here is from genome assembly GCF_000001405.40 of Homo sapiens. Classification (NCBI taxonomy): domain Eukaryota; kingdom Metazoa; phylum Chordata; class Mammalia; order Primates; family Hominidae; genus Homo; species Homo sapiens. Next base: position 11,983,160 of record NC_000020.11, read on the forward strand.
CCCCTCCACCTATGAAGAAGTAGATCACCACCGAAAGTGGGTCTCCCTTAGATGCCATTCAAGACTGTAAATCCCAGAACTGCTCAATTGACAAACTCAAATTTCCCGCAGACCTGGAATCATAAAACGGAAGTTCTCATGCTGACATTGTCTCTGGCCAACTGTGGCTTTGAACAAGGCGATGAACCTGTGGGCTTCCTTATTTCTAAAATATTAAAACAATGCCAGACTCATCTTGTTAATAAGACTGTTTTGAGAGTAAAATTAAATTGTGAGTCTTAAAAACAAACAAAACATACATTCTTTGAAAGACACCATTAAGGAAAAACGGCAAAAAAAGGCAAGCCACAAACTGGGGGAAAATATTTCCCAAACATAACAAACAAAGCATTTGTATCTAGAATATATATATATATAAACCTCTTATATCTCAATAATAAGAGAAAACATCTGATTTAAAAATGGGTAAAATATTTGAATAGACACTTTGTAAAAGAATATTATAGTCAAAAATGTACAAATAAAATGGTTTTCATTTCTCTATATGAATTTTATCTTGTATATTTGAGATTTTTTTTGTTTGGTTGTTTTTTGTTTTTTTGAGACAGGGTCTCCCGCTGTAGCCCAGACTGGAGTGCAGTGGCATGATCTCGGCTCACTGCAACTTCCCCTTCTCGGGTACCGGTTCAAGCAATTCTCCTGCCTCAGCTTCCTGAGTAGCTGGGATTATAGGCACACACCACCATGCCCAGCTAATTTTTGTATTTTTAGTAGAGATGGGGTTTCACCATATTGGCCAGGCTGGTCTTGAACTCCTGACCTTGTGATCCGCTCGCCTCGGCCTCCCAAAGTGCTGGGATTACAGGTGTGAGCCACCACACCCGGCGATATTACTATGTTTTAAAGTTTACTTATCTTTTCTTCTGTTAATATTACTCAGTATAATTATTTTATTGCACACATTTTTCTCCATTGTGTTTTTCTCTTCTTTCTTTTCTTTTCTTTCTTTCTCTCCTTCTTTCTTTCTTTTCTTTTCTCTTTCTTTCTTTCTTTCTTTCTTTCTTTCTTTCTTTCTTTCTTTCTTTCTTTCTTTCTTTCTTTCTTTCTTTGTTTCCTTCCTTCTTTCTTTCTTTCTTTTTCTTTCTTTTTTTTTTTTTGAGACAGGGTCTTGCTCTGTTGCCCGGGCTAGAGTGCAGTGGCACAGTCATAGCTCACTGCTGTCTCGAACTCCAGGGCTTAAGTGATCATCCTGCCTCAGCCTCCCAGAATAGCTCCCAGAGTAGCTGAGACTACGGGTGTGCACCACCACACTCAGCTATTTTTTTAAAAATATGTTGTAGAGAGAGGGTCTTTCTATGCTGCCTAAGCTCCTGGGCTCAAGTTGTCCTTTAGCCTTGGCCTCCCAAAGTGCTGATGTTACAGACATGAGCCACCACGCCCAGCCTCCACTGTGTTTTTTGGTCTCTAGAAGTTATATTTGAGTCTTCTTTTACCTTTTATGTCGCTTTGCATGCTTTTCTTTACCTTCTTATTCAAGAGTTATATTTTAGGTGTTCATGAGGTATATTTATGATAGTTTTTTAAATGTCCTTGTATATTAAGGATATTAATCTGTGTCATTTCTTTATTTCTTTTTTTTGTTTTTGAGACAGAGTCTTGCTCTGTTCTTCAGGCTGAGGTGCAGTGGCATGATCTTGAGTCACTGCAACCTCCGCCTCCTGGTTCAAGTGATTCTCCTGCCTCAGCCTCTTGAATAGCTGGGATTATAGGCGCAAGCCACCATGCCAGCTAAATTTTTGTATTTTTAGTAGAGGTGGACTTTCACAATGTTGGCCAGGCTGGTCTCGACCTCCTGACCTCAGGTGATCTGCCTGCCTTGGCCTCCCAAAGTGCTGGGATTGCAGGCATGAGCCACCAGGCCCGGCCCATTTCTCTATTTCTATAGATTGATTTTTTTCCTTATTATGGGTTCTATTTCTATACTTGTTTGCATACCTGGTGATTTTTGACTGGATGTCAGACACACTGTTGGATTATTTTGGTCTTCCTTTAAATATACTGGAATGTTATACTTAGAAATAGTTGTGTTCTTTCGAGGCTTGCTTTAAGCTTTATTAGGCAGTACCAGAACCTTTATTCTAGGGCTAATGTGATTCTACTGCTGAGGCAATATCCTTCTCAGTACTCAAACAGATGCCCCATGTATCATGAAGTTTCTTCATTTTGCTATTAAAATGGAAGCTATTTATGATTCTGAAGGAGCTCTGAGAAGTGTTCCATTTACTTCTTTCCAGTGGTTCTTTTTCTAGCTTTGAGTGGTTTCCTCACATACATAGGCTAATCAGCACTCAGCTAGAGATATAGTGGGAACTGCCTGCAGAACTCTGGAACTCTCTGTGCCTCTTTCTCTTCTCTCACATTCTACCTTGCAAACTCTCACTTTCTTGGTTTTACCTGCCCCTGGCTCTGTGTGGGTTCCCCTCCCTGTACTGAAGTCTGAGAACCCTCTCCTAGCAGTAAGCTGGGACAATCATAAGGTTTACCTTCTTTCACTCCCTCGAGAATCACTGTTCAGTGCTGCCTGTTGTACAATGCGTGAAAACCATTGTTGCATATATTTTTTCTGGTGTTTTTAGTTGTTTATGGTGAAAGAAAAAAATCTAGTTCTTGTTACTCTATTATGATGGCTGGAAGCAAAAGTTCCAAATGTGTGTATTTCGCTGCATGTAAGTTATACTTCCTCATGAACTATCATGATGCACTCTCTTCCATGAGACTACATCATAACCTGGACACTCAGGATAATTTTGTAAAACTCCGCATGTTGTGGAGGGGCTAAAAAGTAACAGAGGAGACTGGCTAGAAATTGCAGAGCAGTGTGTAACTGAGCCCCGTAGCTCTGCTATAAATGCATCACCCATATGGTTACTGCAACCCATGCCATTTCAGAGTCAGCTGGCTGTGCATCACTTTGCCTGGCTATGCTCAGGGCAGGCTGGAAGTGCTGCAGAATCAACTCCTTTCAGAGCAGTCTTCAACCACTGACTGGTGGGAATTGTAGATGAACACTCCAGCGACTTCATCCTCAGGGAGATAACTCTGCAGAGTGTCTTCTACATTGTTTCCAGACTTGCCAAGAAAAATCAACCTCCAGTTGCTCACAGCGGTGACTTGTTTGTTAACACACCCTTTCTTCACTACCCTTCATGCCCTGTCTCGTGTATTTCCTCCTCTCCACTCCACCCCACAATTAGTATTTTCTGAGATTACCCTCTAAAGTAAGCCACTTATAGATGAATACTTGTCTCAGGGTCTGCTTCTGGGGGAGCCCTAACTATGACAGTAACCGACAGTGCCTTAATCAGGCTACCCACTGGTCAGCCATTCCCCACTGGGGAAAGACCAGAGTCCCACAAGCCCAGTCTGTTCCCAGTTCCCTGCTTATCCTTACCTATGATCTCACACATGAATGATGTAGCATGTCTTTTGCTGGTGGAAGTATGAAATGATAATCCATTTCTGGAGGACAATTTGGGCAGTAAATACAGATTTGAAAATGCTTATTATCTTTGGCTAAGTGATTGCATCTCTAGAAATGTATTTAAAGAAAATAAATGAGGGTCTATACAAAGTTTGGCTCTGAGACTTTGCATTGCAGCTATGAATGTCAACAATGGGCCATGAGAAAATGATGGCCTACTTTTATAATGGAATACTTTGTGGTTATTAAACATAACGTTGAAGATGATTGTATTCTGGTAGAGGAAAATGCTTACCATCTATTGTTAGGTGCAGAAGGCAGGATATAAAGCCATAAATACAGTACAATCTTGTTTGGTTTTGTAGCTAAGGAAAATTTCTGCTTGGACCTTGCACATACACTGAAAGCCCTGACTCCTGCATAACCCAAAGCTTGCTTGAGCCTTTAACTGCTCATCTCAGACCCAGATGGGAATTATAGTCCAGTTTAATGCCCATCTAGATGACATCATACAGTGACAATGACCCATCTAAGGATCTCAGGAGAGAAATTTCCATCTTCTACAATTAGTCACAAAGTGCCTGTCAAATCCTCTCTTATTTGGAAGGACTTCCTCCCTGCCTTCTGTCCAGCCCTCACACCACCCACTGGAGAGGCCTACTGAACTCCCCAAAGAAAGGCATGGCTTTCCTTGCTTTACATATGCATTCAGCCTCAACAGAGAACATTTTTGGGCTTTGGTTATTCTTTGACATATTTGAATGTAGTTGTTTACTAGTTTTGGTCAAACAAATATTATACACAAGACTTCTCTGAATACCTTTTGAGTGCCACACACCTGTGCAGTGTAAAACATAATAACTTTGAGTTACTGAGGATAGAGGATTTTCAAGAAGTAATTTGAACCTGAAGTGAAAATTCTACTCATGACCTGCCCTCCTTTCCTTTTCCTCTTTGATTTTTTTTTTTTTTCCTGCCTGTATAAGGTACCAGTTGAGCCACAGGGATGAGAGTTGAAGACATGGCTCATTCATCTTTAAGGAAGGTATTTTAAAAGTGGCAGGGCTTTGGCTAAGAATTGAGAGATATACGGATATAAATAGTTCAGAGTTTATTCTGGGACTGGTGCATGACAGATACATAGAGAGTTTTCAAGTCATCTAATCTAAGTTTGCCAATTAACAGCTGAGGGATAAAGCCCAGAGATTGAATGATTTTCTGTAATCTAACAAGTAACAAATGAGGACAATTGAGTATTTGCATTAAGATCCTCAACTCTTTTCTACTTATTTATTCAAGGGAGAACCTTCCTCTCATTGCACCCCCGTGTTTATTTAAAGGAGGCAATAGTAGGTTTGTATTAAAGTAATTCATGATCTTGGCGGAATCATTTTTAGAGGAGAGATTCTCAAACCAGGCTATTGGCTAGAATTACCTGAAGAACATCTGAAAAATATTGACCCTTGTGTTTCATCCTTTGAAAGTTCTGATTCAGCAAATGTGAGGTGGGTCCCAGAGAAACATATTTTTAAATTACTCTCCAGGTAATTCCTAAGTGCAGCTACATACTGGACCTGGGTTTGACAAAGCCTTGGGCAATAGGACTGAGAGGGAACTGGGGAAGATGGGAAGAGAAAATAGGAAATTTACTCTCAGGACTCAGACTACTTATTTCCTCTAGAGCAAATTCATTGCCACTCTGGTTGGTAAATACTATCAAATGTATAAATGAAATCTGTACCTTCACAGGAATTTCCCAGTTTGGGTGGAGATGAATTTCAGGACTGGCAAGCAGTCTTCTGCCTCCTCTAATATGATAATGAACATTGAGCTATTGGCTCAAATATACCTCTGTCAGAGATTAGCAGTAGATGTGACTTTGCTGTTTGTCTTGTTGTAGAACAGGGCTTTCATATTTCCCCATTTTATTTAAAAGCCCGTTTCCTCCTTCTCTCTACAGTATAAGCACAAATCATAATATTTTCTTTTCTTTTCCAATAATAAATGTCTGTAGGGGCTGCAGGCTTCATTGTTTGGTAAGCCTGACAGATTTCTCCTATCATTTGTTTGATTAAAAGACTCAGTAACTTTTAGGAGTCTTGCTGCTGGTTTCTTCCCATGTGAATGAAATACAAAACAAAAGGCTTGACGTGCCAAGGAGTAGGCAGGTGTGTTTACATGGATTCTATCTATAGCAGCTGTTTACTGTTGGAGAATGGATTTCTTCATGCTGTGAACAACATTATGGAACTTTAAGATTGTGTTAGCTCAAAGTGCTCTTTGACTGTCTTCTCTCTTTCTAACTTTGCTCATGTTGGTCCTTGAGACAGTTGAGCCAGTCTTGTTCCTGGCGTTGTGGTGAGCCTGAACTAGAGATCCCATGAATGGATGAGCTGGAGACCTTATCTATGCTGAAGATATTATGGTTACTATTAGAAGAAGGAAGCTACCTTCAAAAAAACAACTATTTAATACTTCTAATGAGTCTAGGAGTTGAACAGGGCTGTTCGGCTGACGTCGGCTGAGTCCAGCTGATATTGCTGGGATCTCTGGTGGGTTTGTTGTCAGCTGATGGCTCTGCTAAGGAATGTCTGATCTAGGTCAGCCTCAGCTGGAACAATTCTGCTGTCCCCCGCCACATGTTTCTTATAAGCTTCTAATGGGATAACCAACGCACGTAATCAGAGAAGCAAGAGAGAAGGCAGAAAACTCACATGGCTTTCAAGCTTCTGCTAGCATCAAATGTGCTACTCTCGCCTTGAGCAAAACAAATCACATGGCAGATGTCAGTGTGGGAGGTAATTACCAAAGCCATAGGGAGGAGTAAAAAGTTGGGTTATGAATATGAATGCAATAAATCTATCACAAAGATTGAACTGATAAATGATGGTTTATTTGAGGGTAATGGAGGGACTATTATTCTCCTTGTCATTGCTGAAAAATGTGATAGGTTTTCAAAAACAAAGAATGGGAATGCACTCAGACAATAGTAAGTATAGGGGTGTGTGTGTGTGTGTGTGTGTGTGTGTGTTGGAGGAGGTGATGCTTTTCATTCTTTTCTTTTTTCTCCTCAAACCAAGAGCAAAGAGACTTTTGAAGACCTTTGACAACTCTTCTATCAGTCCTCTTGGGAACTCTAAGAGGATGATTTTAAGGACACTGTCAACTGGGAGATCTTTTTCCAAACAAACACTGCTCTCATTTTTGACATCTGGATTTTGACATCAAGAGCTGCCCACATTCTGAGCTTAGAACTCATCTTTGAAAAGTTGGCTACTTTTTCTGACACAAGCCAAGAAAAGGTATTTATTTTAAAGGTAAGAATGAGTAACAAAAACAAAAAACAAAAAATAAAACCACCCACACATGGATTGGTTATTTTTGCAAAGTAAAAATTGTGAGTTTTTTTTACACACCCATATTCAAGCGAAGATAGGAAAAAATATGAGCCGATACTAATTTATAAACCTTTTCTTTTGCATATAAGTGTTGCCACTACAGTCCCATACATAAGCATCTTAGATAAAGCAATAAAGGCTGAAATGGTGAGGCTACATATCACTTATTTTTATTTCTAGAAGATAACTTAAACTACAATGGGGGAAAAAAGCACATTGTTCCAAGGCATTGGTTCCAAACTTTTAACAATGATAAGAAATACCAAAGCATAGAAACCTCAGTCCATTTTTTTGGCCACTGCATTTGGTAAATGCTTAGTAACACAAGAGAATAATGAGGAGAATGACACAGCTGAGAAAGCTGAATTCACCAAATGTCAGAGCTGAGAAAAGCTGAATTCACTGAGGCCTCAAATGGAGTCCCAGGACGGGCAGCAGCATCATCACTGGGGAGCCAACCTTGGCTCTAGCCAGACTTGTGATAACAGAGTCTGCATTTTATCAAGATCCCCAGGGATGAGTATGTACATTAGCATTTAAGAAGCACTGATGTATAATTGGTTATGTTATTAATTAGAGGCCACATCTAGGTTTAATATAATAGAAACATTGATGTTACCAAACTCCTATTTGTAGATCGCTATAGCAACAGCCATCTTTGGATCTCACTGTTTATATCTGTCAAATGGGGACTCATAACTCTCATGCATATTTGTCAAAGGAGTGGAGGAGATCAAGGAATGGCTATCATAAAATGCTCTAAGACAAATGAAGAGGGGTGTAAATATTAGGGCTTGTTATTTTATTAGGGAAGTGCTTAGATCTTAATGCCTCAGCTAGCACAAGTTCTAAACACTGAGGAAACTACGCACTCAAGAAATGCTGTTCTATTCTCATGTTATTGTGAATGTCCAACAATTAACCCTGGATAATTGGTGTTTTAGTATACTGTAGCACTGACCAAGTATCCACTTATATTGCAAAACGTACAACCTACAACCTGCTCCATTCTGTCAGTGATGACTCACCCATCACTTCGAAGAAGGGTCTTAACACCTTGCACTTGATTTCCTCTAAGGCTTTGTTGCTGAAAATGTGGTTCTCTGATGAGCAGTGTCAGCCTGGGGGCAGGCTGGAAATGCAAAACCTGCAGACCTACCTTCTATCTGCTGAACCAGAACCTGCCTTTGACATGATCCTCTAGTGATTTCTGTGCAAATGAATGTTTGAGAAACCTTGACCTAAGGAAGTGCTTCCCAACCCTGGCTGCACATTAGAATCACCCTGGGGACTTTTAAAAATATCAATACCAAACTCCCCGTTTCTCCCCACCACCAATTAAATTAGAATTTTGGGAGTTGCCTCAGGCATCTATAGACTTTTAAGGCTCCTAAATGATACTCTGATATACTATTTGGTGGTGTGAAGTGAGACCTGGAGAAGGGCCAGGAAGAGTCAAATGACAAGAGTCTTACTACTACTGACATTTGAAATGAGTTGGAGTATGAGGGGAGTAAGTAAAAAGAATGATGGAAGAGAGAGAAAGTTATGCCAAGTGGAATCTCAATTGTGGAAATGGCTGAGTGACTTACGGAAAAGCTAGACCCAACATTGAATGTTAATTTACGTGTAGCTCTGTAATATAAAAACATCTGTCTTGCCAGAACTATAGTAAAGACTGTAGGTGGATGGTTTGCTTCCTATGAAATAAGAGATAAGGGCGGAGACCATTGCTTGAGTTTATGTAGAAAATGGACAATGAGTTGGATAGTAATATAGGTTGCCAGATAAAATATAGGACACCTTATTCAATTTGAATTTCAGATAAGCAGTGAACACCCTTTTAGTGTTAAGTATGTGTTACACAATATTTGAAATATCTGATATTTAAATTTAACTAGATGTCCTTGCATTTTGATCTGCTGAATGTGGTGACCTTATGATAAACCCTAAGCTGGTTTATGAGAATCAGAAGCTGAGGGCTGCAGGCCATCATAAGAATGTTAGTTTTGAGTTGGTAGAAATCTTGGCAAAGACATCCCACTTCAATTGAGCTGAGGCATCTTGTTTGCATTTGGTTTGAATCGGAACAGCTTTTTCATTATTCTCCATTTTTCAATTTTCTTGGGTCTCCCACTTTCCCCTCCCCCATTTGCCTTGGCCTTCCCTTGATTTTTTAAAGTGAACTTTTGCTTGACCTTGTGTTTGCTGTTTTTCAGCATGTTCCAGTCCTAGCAAAAGAAAAGTTCTTAGTCTTAAATTTAAATTCGTTGGTATTTCAGAAAAGGCTCTTATTTATTTACCATTTTCTAGTATACCACAGCATTAGAGATATGGTCATAAATTTACATTTCTAAAGTGCTCTCAGCCTTCTGAATTTTGTGATAGACAATTTCCCGGGGCACAAAATGGAGTTAACCCAGGATGTGGTGAGAAAAACATGGGAGTGGAGATGAAAAACAAGAGCAAAATGAAAACAAGAATTTCATCTGAAATCAGCTCCTATCAACAATGCTGTCTCTCCCTATGCCTGAGACAAAGGGCCTTTATCAGATGGCACGGTGAATAGGCAGGGCCTTCTCTCAAAACTGCCAAGTCTGTTTATGTATCTATTATTTCCTTTGAAAATTGCCTGAAGTGGAGCCTTGTGAAGAATTTCTCAAGCATTGCCTCAAACCATTGCCAAGGTTGGGTTGTAATGGAAGTGCAGAAAGAACAAAGGACAGGCACCAGAATGTTCTTTTATTGCTTGCATGACAAAGAGGAAAGAAAAAGAGAGGAATGGGATAGACCAGTGGTTCTCCAAGTGTGGTAGCTGAACCAGGTTCATCCACGACACTAGGGAACTTAATAGGACTGTAGAATCTGAGGTCCCACCCCAGACCTACTAAATCAGCAACTCTGAGGACCAGGGTCCGTCCAGCTTGTGGTTTAACAAGCCAGCCAGGTGATTCCAATATCAGCTAAACTCTGCGATCCACAGGTACAGACATTTTACCTCTTTAATCTTAATTTAAAAAACCTCATCTTCTCTGCCCGAGCCCAACGCTTCTGCCCGGGACATGGAGGACCTAGACGTGCAGGACTGGGCTGTCAGCACCAGGTAGGAGAAGGGTTTTGTTTTGTTTTGTTTTTTTGCCTAGAAGTATTTTTCTTTAGTTTGATGACAAAAGGGGACCAGGATAGTAAGGACAGAAGGAATAGCACAGACAGAAATGAACCTTACTCTTTCTGTCAGCTTCACAAAGTAAACAGAGTCATATAGAAGGAAAAGTTACCATTAGGTAGTTTAATGGACTAGTCTATCTCTAGGACAACAATGGCTTTAAACAGAATTTTCTGTTTTTATTTATTACACATTTCTACAATAATAATGGCTACAATTTATTGAGAACTAACGTCTGACATGCACTGCACTAAACATGATTCAAAATTATGTCATTTGATGGACACACTACTCAATAGGTACCAGGGATCTACCCCTACAGTAGGGGGTAGAAGGGGTATGAAGGCGGTAAGGCCCTTGCCTAAGAGTTTATAGCCACAGAAGCAGGCTCTGAACCAGCTGCTGCTCTTAAGAAGCCAACTCTTGTTTTTTTTTTTTTTTAGGCGGGGTCTTGCTCTGTTGCACAGGCTGGAGTGCAGTAGCATGATCTTGGCTCACTGCAACTCTACCTCTGGGTTCACACCATTCTGCTTCAGCTTCCCGAGTAGCTGGGACTACAGGTGTCTGCCACCAAGCCCGGCTAATTTTTTTTTTTTTTGTATTTTTTAGTAGAGACGGGGTTTCAACGTGTTAGCCAGGATGGTCTCGATCTCTTGACCTCGTGATCCACCTGCCTCAGCCTCCCAAAGTGCTGGGATTACAGGCATAAGCCACCGCACCCGGCCAAGGAGCCAACTCTTAACCCATGCTTCTGGGTCTCGGTTGCATATTGAGCTTGCCCAGGGAGCATTAAGAAATATCATTACTTGAATCCTAGCTGCAGAGAGCCTGGTATATTAGGCCTGGATGCAGCCAACGCTTGTGGTTTTTATAAGCTTCCCTAGCATTCCAGTGCAGAGCCAGAGCTGAGGGCCACTGTCTTACTAAGCCTGTCAGTTTCCTCTTGGTGCCTTTAGCTAAGTGGATCTCAACCTTGGATGCAAATTAGAATCACCTGTTTCCTCTTTGAACCATACCAGTGTTCAGGCCCATTTCCTGAGATTCAGATTTAATTGACCACAGGTGGCCCAAGCATTGCATTGTTCTGATGTGAAGCCAGGGCGGGCGTCACTGGTCTGACGCTAACTGCTGGAGCTGAGGGGATAGAAAGTATGTTGGGTTTGTGATATGGCCCTGACTCTGATGTTACCCCTGCTGATAAAGTCCTCAGCAGGAATGAGACAGGGTGGTTTCAGAACAGCAGGTGTGAGCTGTTTAGTTCAGGATTATTGGTAATTGAAGTAAGTGTTGTGTGTGAGAGTGTGGACACCCGTACATGTGTTGTGAGGACAAATACAAATTAAAAATAAGAGGCTTAGTTCCTCCTGCCGAAAATAAGGGAAGGGATTTCCTTTCTCTCTCTCTTTGTCAGGATACTTATCTTGGAAAACTTGTAAATGTAAGTACATTATTTATTACTTGACAAAGTATATTTTAGAAATGATCTGAGCCACTTTTTGAATGTCTTTCTCCAGGTCCTGGGAGCCATCTCTTTGGAATGCTAACACCAAGGGAGATAGGACCCTATCTCTTTTTCAGTTTATTTTTAGTTATTAATTTTATTTTTTTTTTAAATTTTATTTCTATGGAAGGGTAAGAGGTTAACTTCAGTGGGCATTTCACACCAAGTTGTAAAACCACCTCTTTTCGAAAAGACAGGTATTTGCATGATTTTTTTTCCTCTGGATAAAGTCAATTAGCTAACATAGCTTGTCACCCCAATTACCAAGTAAAGTTAGGATCAGCTATTTGTGGCAAATGGTGCTGTCCAATCCTCTTGCTTGAGCACTAGTTATTGTTTATCTCCAGCACACGTATGTAGTGGGTTGAATATGTTTGGCTGCGTGGAAGGGTGACTGTGAGTTCTTCCTGTCTTTGCAATCTCTTACTAGGTTGCCAGTGATGCTCAGCACATTCTGGTTTTTCTGATGCCCCTGAATCTAGGAACACTTGGCTAAAAACTGCAAATTATTTTCTCAATTTCATCCTGTTAATAATCCATGAGAAAGCTAATGAACATATAATCTTATCCAACAATAAGAGTGCTTCTTTACTAGCTTTGTGGAGATGATTTGTGGGTTGGAAGAAGACTTCGTTGTTGTTTTTTATTGTTTCCTCAACAGTGTCGGTGTGCATGTATGTACGTGCATGCGTGAGTATGTATGTGTTAAGGATAAGGGACTGAGCTTAAGATTTCTGCCCTTCCCCCTCCACTTCACCTCTCTGCCCTGTTTCTGCAACTTTTATCACTTTTCCATTTTAGTTTTCCATGCAATGTTTGAGAGACTTTGCCCTGGTTCCAAAAAAAAGAAAAGGTTTGAGCTGGTTGCAGTGGCTCTCACCTGTAGTCCCAGCTCCTCATTAGGCTAAGGTGGGAGAATTACTTGAGCCCAGGAGTTTGAGACCAGCCTGGGAAACATAAAGAGCCCTTGTCTCTAAAAGTTAAAAATTAAAAAAAGGTTTGAATATCAGTTAACTTAGTGTTTCTGGGGTCTTCCCTTCTTTTCTAGTTCTTACGTGCCAGAAATCTGTGGCTCATGCTAGAACCCAAACCTTCTTGGGTTTCCCTGATGGGTCAGAATATCACTACATGCAAACAGGGGCTGGGAAAAAGTGTCGTATCATCCCCCCAGAGGAGAGGTGCTCCTGGAAATCCTCCTGGTGATGATGGCAGAGCTGTAGGACAGAGGACAAATACAAAGTAGAGACGAGGTGGAGAGGCAGCGGGGCAGTGGGGAAAGTGGAAAATTGGAGCGTGATCTACTCTTTGGAAATAGTTCTGTGCCCTCTGGAGCCTGTGACACATGGTTCCAGCCTGATTTATAACAGCTTTTCCAACAGTCCCAGGGTAAATAGACTAGAACGATATTTGAGCTTATGAGAACAGATGTGGCTGCATTTGCCTTTTAATAAAGACAAGAGTCTGGCCAGGCCCAGTGGCCTCCAGAACTGTTTCTGCTGGCCCAGGAGAGGTACAAGAACATTATTAGGATTGGTGGGAGCTCTATTTCCTCTTTTCTTTTCACATTCACCATTGCTACCATAATTTTAGTGACTCATTTAGGATCTGTGGTGGAGAGAGTGAATGCCAGACCTCCCAGATTCTCTCTCCACCCCTCCACCCACCACCCCAACAAAAAGCCACATTGTACTCACTGAACCCTGGTACTGTGAATGGGGCCTTTATTCTAGCCCCGTTTCAGAGTGTGCTGCAAGTTTCCTTAAGTGCAATCATCTTGACCTCAACTTATAAAACCATAAAACAAGAGCGCTAGAAGGAATTTCTGAAATGGCCTGATTCAACTTTATTCTTTTTCTTTCTCTTTTGTTTGTAACAGAAAAGAACATAGGACCAGAAAAGTCAAGGGACTTGTCCAAGATAAAACAATTGGTTGCCCACTGAGCTGATCTGCTGCCCATGAATCTAGAAACACTTGGCTGAAAACTCTGTAGTTTATTTTTTCAGTTTCATCCTGTTAATATTCCCATGGGAAAGCTAATGGATATATACTCCCAATAAATGATAAATAATGTTCTCCTGTTTACGCGTCAGGGGAAATTAGAGCAGGAACTCACAACTTGGCTCCAGTCCCTGATCTCATGGGTGAGGTTTGCTGTAGAATCTGTATGTTCAATGGATGGATTTCCAGCTTGAAGGACTTTTGCCTTTTATCACTGTTGAAACAAATGAAGAGATGGGTATGGCAATAAGGTCGGAATCCTTGCTGGTTAGAAGTATTTGAGTCTTAGAGTTGCAGGTTTACATTTGCCTCGGACCCTAGGCTAAAATATAGGACTCTTTACCGTCAAGTAGCTTCTCTTTCCAGGTAGAAAGCTTGTTTATTTTAATGTCTTCCCTGTCTTTGGGCATGAGTTTTCAGTACCTGAAAGTCTTTTTCCTTAGCACTTGGTGCTTGGCTTACTTTTTGGCCTCAGTAGATTATGTCCTCCTCTGAGAAGACTTCCCTGCCCTGTTGCCAGTGTTGGTGGGTGTCTCTATTTCTTCCTGGACACATCTCATTACAGCTCTTGCTGTGATGCCGTGTTATTGTTAGCTACACAGTGAAAAGGGAAGTTGAATATTTCATTCTTAAATACATTATTCTAAGTGAAAGAGATCAGACTAAAAAGGCTAAATACTGTATGATTCCATTTATATGAAATTCTGGAAAAGGAAGAACTACAGGAGTAGAAAACAGATCAGTGGTTGCTTGGGAGTAGGGGAGGGATTGATTACAAAGAACATGAGGGATTTTTATTGTGATTGGAACTGTTTTATACATTGTTTAGGGTGGTAGCTACCAGATTATATGTGTTTGTTAATACTCATAGAACCATATGGCAAAGGGTGAATTTTATAGAATGTAATTTACACCTTAACAAACCCATCTATACCTAAATAAATAAGAACACAAAGAAAACAGCTCAAAAAAAAAAAAAAAAAAAAAGAAAAAGAGAAAAAAACAAAGCCCCAAGCCAATCAAAATTTCCAACTCTTGTCTAATAACTGGAATGATAGAAATACAGCCTTCTTTATTTCAGGAGCCCAGTTGTTATGCTTTGATAGAAATAAAACTCCAACTAGCCTCAAAGATTGTCTGAGTTCTTTTTGAAGTTAGCATGGAGGTCCCCACAAGATAAACACTAGAGCCAGTTCTACCACTGGCCAAGAAGGGTCACCTTCACCTCTAGGTTCTGCCTCTTTCCTTCTTCCAGAATTGTGCCCAAGTACAATTTTACCTTGTGAAATGGGAATAACAAAATGGAAGCTGGGTGGGCCCAGAATCCAAGGAGTTTGGGTCTGGTAAGTGAGCCGTGATGCTGCAGTTCTCCAGGTTGTATTGTGCCTGTCTGATTTGATGGAGGGCCCTGTAGAAGCTGAGGGTGAAGCTACTAGAAGTTCCAGGCCCAGCAGAGATGTGAAGACAGGGGTGAAAACCAGGGGGATTAGGTGACATTCTAGTTCCACGGTTGGTGTGAAATGGCAGGGATCAGATGGAGGCTGTAGCTCAGTAAAGCCCCTGGAAAACCCTATGGTTTGACAAGTGCGAGGATGTGATTTTTCTACCTGCCTTGACCAGGATAGACCAAGAATTGCACTTTACTACATCCAAATGCTGACGAAACTGATGACAAAAGCTAGAAGAGACAAGCCCACCAAGTGCCTTCTGACCTCTCTCAGGGGGGACCACTTCTGGGATGCTGATTGGGGTCAGCTGACCACTTCCAGGATGCTGATTAAGGTGGCACCATTAAGAGATGGGACTGGCTTTTTAAGAAATATAATGGTAATTTAGTATTCACGGTGGACACTTCAGGAATTTATAATTATAGATGTGTAGCCTAAAGAACTGAACTTCTTTAATAAACCCAGCTCAATCAGGGAACTACCCTTTGTCCTACTTATTATTACCCCAACTTTATGACTTACATTCACCCTGATTGATTGAATGATGCTTCCAAGCTTCAGATTCACTAAAGCTGCTTTGTCCAATATGATAGCCATTATCCATATGAGGTCATGAACATTTAAATTTATAGTAATTAAAGTTAAGTACAACATATAATTTAGTCCCTAAGTTGCATTGATCACATTTTAAGTGCTCAACAGTTAGATGAAGTGGCTGTTCTTTTGGGCAGTGCGTATTGATAGGATGTTTCCATCACTGCAGAAAGATTTATTGGACAATACTGTACTACAGACTATTTCCTCAAAGATGTAAAACTTGAGTGATCTCTAATTGTCAATTGAATAAAAACATTTAGTCCTAAAACAATCAAGTTCATCTCATGTGCCCTATCACTCAGGTTAACCTTTCTCGGTTCCCAGGGTGATCCTGCCATCCTGCAGTGATGGAGATTTTGCTCTCATTGAGTCTGTCTGGATTATTTCTGGTTCATGGACAATCTGGTTTATTCCTGTCTTCATATCATCTGGACCTCTTTCCTGGTGGTAAGTGCTGAGGAGATGCTGTCATTGTGTTCTGGGTTGGATGTCTTTGGAAATCTGGGAATATTCTGACAAATTTCTTCCTTCTCGACCCTTAATGATCCAATCAACTATAGGCCAGTCTGGATGGCATGGATGAGAAGGTTGCCTGAGTCATATTCTATACTTCTAACACAATTGTCACCCTCAAGTTGACTAGTTTGCATCTTTCTTCCCTGCAGGTTGTTTTTTTTTCAGCTGTGTCTGTGCCTATATTTGCTTTGTACCTGTGGTGAAAGTTATGCTGCTTGCAATTTTCTGGTATTAGGTTGGTGCAAAAGTAATTGCAGTTTTACCATTAAAGGTAATGGCAAAAACCGCAATTACTTTTGAACCAATCTGATAGAAAACCCTCTTATCTAGTGCTGTGCTGGTAATGTTTAACAAATGTCTCTAAGAGTGGAAAAGGCCTTGTGATTGGCTGAATATCATGATATAAATACTCCCACTGTGATGGATTTCAAATTAACAACTTGACTTCTTAGAACACAGAGCTGGGAAGTTTTCTCACCATGCAGGCACAATAACTGCAAAAAACCTCAAGAGTATAATAGTAGTAAATGTCATAAAATAGATGATAACTTGTGATTATTTGTTACTTTTGTTTTTGTTATAATTTATTTTACTTCAAGTTTGTATAATTCCATTTCTAATAATGGCCATGTTTAACAGCTGGCTCACAGAATTCTGAAAAATTTAGGACTGGCTCCTGGGAGCTGGTATAAGCAGGCTCCAGATCACCACTGCCCCCCTCTTTTTACTGAGGACATATAATTGGCCTTTACAATGAGTGGTCTAATTGTAACCCCTTTGTATGTACAGCAGGATTGGGGAGTACCCTTGAAGATTCATAGATTGTAGGAATCTGTCATTTGTGACCACTGTAGGACTGTCTAATTTTAGCAGACAGATCTGCCATCGAATGTGAGTAAATGTTTGCAAAAATTTAAATAATTAAATTGGCCCAGGAACAGAAATCTCTGCCTCTTAAGAGGGCTTCGCCTGGCCTGCTTGAGCCCGTCTGAGTGAACCACATGTGTGCTGGTAGGGAATGCAGGTGGAATAGGAATGACTTCTGGCTCGTCCAGAGCTCTTTGCTCTCCTATTAATACTACCGCTTTGAGAAAGCTAAAGAGGTTTGAGTGCATGACATTTTCTGTTTTTATTTAGGAAGTTCAGTTCTGAAAGATGGACTCCTTTGTCTTATACTTTATTGCACTTAAAAAAAACTTTCCTCAGTGCTTAAAAGTTGTTTGAGTTTTTTCTCTAACAACTGGGGACTCCTGAGAGGTGAGATCAAGTGTCTGTTGCAGTGATTTTTTTTTAAGCACCTGGTATGAAGTCTGGTCTGGAGAAAGTGCTCAATAAATGTGGGCTGAATAAAGGCTGAGATGCTAGAGGCATGAACTGGTTCAGGATAGGGAGTAGACAACTTGTACCATGCTGTTGGTTTAGGTTACTGATAATTCTGGGTATGTTATGAAAACTGTTGAGTATCAAAGGAGATCCCTGAGTGCTTTTCTGCTGTTTTTCTCAGGTCCTTAGACCCCCTATGGGGCAGGAAAGGAGAGTGGCAGAATAAAGATAGTATGAGCCTGTTAGCTAAGAGCTCTGCCACAAAGCCTAGATTTCTAGTTCCTAACTGCATGATTCTGGGCAAATCATGCCTCCAAGCCTCAGTTTCCACACCTCTAACATGGTAGTAATCACTCCTACTTCACAGAATTGGCAAAATTGGATGAGATGAAGCATGCAAAATGGTTGGCACTCAAAACATGAATGTTATTGACATAATGCACTTCCATTTCTTTGGTGTTGGGTAAAATGGAAGCAGCTTCCCTCACAGTTGCATTTCTAAGAGATAACAATATATGGATACAACCTGGACCCAGCAGAACCATAGCAAGAACAGTTATTTTACCCCTCCTGTGTACCAGGTGCTATTCTAGATGCCAGGAACAAAGAGGTTAGTAAGTCATGCTTACTGCCTTTAACCAATCCAGAGATCAGTGAGTGAATGGAATACATAGTCATTTATCATGATGCAGTGTCAAACAGGAATTTTTTCACGGGAAGAGGATTTGAAAAAAAGAAATTGACTAAGAAAAACATTTTGACTGTTAACTTTGAGCAAACTTGACCAAACATCTCCCAGACCTCTCTCTCACAACCTCTTTTGAGAGCTCTTGACTTTCAAAATCGAATCCAGGTGCACCCCCCAAGATAAGTGGGCAGCCTCATGGCCTTTCTCTTACAGTCAAAGGTAAATGATGCAGCTGGATATTACAAAGCTTTCTACCTTGACTTGATGTCTATGCCTGTTAAAGCAAGCAGCCAGCGTCTGACATCTCAGGGTTGTTACAACTTTGATTATTTTTGGATGGAGGCACTGCTGTCCTTATTTCGGTGCCTCTCAATTATGCCTCGTGTCTCAACTGCTCCTGAACCTTCATTCCATAAAACAAAAGAGATTGCCTGCTGCGGTTTTCATAGGTCTTTGTGGAGTCTCTTTAGATTTGGGCATTTTGAGGTCAATGCGGTGAGTGTTTTTTTCATGCGTTTGTACTTTTCTAGTTCCCTCCCCAACACTTACCCTCACCCCTACCCAAGATAGTTTTTATAGTTTTATGAAATATGCATCATAACTTCTACAGAGAGGACAGGAGGAGTGCAAACATCCAAGAAGATACAACTTTAAGAGAAATTAATTAATTTTTCCCCACTCTCCCTTGTGTGTCCTCAGTGCTCTGAACCCTTCTGAAACAAACGAGACCCATGTGAATTGCACATGAGGTAGGCAGTTACCTCCTCAGAACAGTTTGGGCGGTGCACAGCAGATAGAATTTTCATTTATGAACAAATTTGTCCAATTCCCAGGTCTTTCATATTCGTTTTTGAGGTTTTGGTACTTAAGTGTATCTTACTAACATGAATGTACCCTAGAAATGGTGCTACCCCCCAGCAGTTCTCCTCATTTCAGTCAGGAATTGTTAAGGGCAAGAATGAGAAAGATTTCAGGACTTGGAGGTGGGGGAAAGAGGAGCTATCAAAGAATAGCAAGGGCCTTGAAAGACAAACCCCAGCTACTACTGACACCAGGCTGGACAGCTGCATATCCTCCAAGCCAGCAGTCCTATACTATGGTCAGCCTAGCACCAGCATTGACACTACCTGGAAGCTTCATAGAACTGCAGAATCTCAGGCTGCTCAAGATTTGCAGAATCAGAATCTCTGGGGGCAGCTGGGGTCCAGAAATCTGTGTTTGAATGAGCCCCCAGGTGATCCTGATGCACCCCAAAGTTTGAGAAGCACCACTATAAGTCACTGATTCAGACCCAGTTTTCTTCAACTTTTCAGCATAAGTAGCAGGTGTATGGTTTTATAAAATATAGACTTCCTCTGGCATAAGAAGATTTTAATGTGTGTACCCTATTGTTCAAGATACTTACAATGTTTCGCTGCAAACTTACAATGGGAAATGTAATTTGTCTCTTACTGTGCTGCAATAGCCCCCTTCCTTGCAGTTCTTACAAAAGAGCAGCTTCAGAGACAAATCTTGTTAATGGTAATTATGTGATGCTGCAGAACATTTTTCATCATTCTTCTTGATCCAGAAAATATTGGCTGTGATTCAAAAAGATTTGTGTAGGCTCTCAAACCCCTCATAGATTTCCTTATAGAACTGATCACCTGTTTGAGTAGGAATATAGATGTAAAGAAAAAAAATATACATATATGGTAGGCTAAAAAGAGGGCCAGCAATTGAATGTCTGAGAATTCCATTTGATTTTTTGCTGATAACAGGAGAAGTTCCCCACCCCCTTTTCTTGGGTAATATTCTATTTGTTGTGTTTTAGAACTCAGTAAAGCAAATTGCACTTTTGAAAAATCCCTCCAGTAGTAGAATTGGGCACAGGGCAATTCCAAGTGACTGGAGTGCACCTCAGAACATGGGAGAACCCTTGCTTGTCCTTGTGACTCACTGGCCATAGGACCTTGGATAAGTCAACCACTGATATGGTTTGGCTCTTTGTCCCCACCCAAAACTCATCTGGTAGCTCCCGTAATTCCCACATGTTGTGGGAGGAACCTGGAGGGAGATGACTGAATCGTGGGGGCAGATCTTTCCCATACTGTTTTTTTTTTTTTTTTTTTTTTTTTTTTTGAGACGGAGTCTCGCTCTGTCGCCCAGGCTGGAGTGCAGTGGTGCAATCTCGGCTCACTGCAAGCTACGCCTCCCGGGTTCATGCCATTCTCCTGCCTCAGCCTCCAGAGTAGCTGGGACTACAGGCGCCTGCCACCATGCCCAGCTAATTTTTTGTATTTTTAGTAGAGACGGGGTTTCACCATGTTAGCCAGGATGGTCTCGACCTCCTGACCTCGTGATCCACCTGCCTCGGCCTCCCAAAGTGCTGGGATTACAGGCATGAGCCACTGCGCCCGGCCGAGCTGATGGTTTTAAAAATGGGAGTTTCTCTGCACAAGCCTTCTCTTTGCCGTCATCCACATAAGATGTGATTTGCTCCTCCTTGCCTTCTGCCATGTTTTGTGAGGCTTCCCCAACCACGTGGAGCTGTGAGTTTTCCATTAAATCTCTTTCCTTTGTAAATTGCCCATTCTCGGGTATGTCATTATTAGCAGTGTGAAAACGGACTAATACAGTAAATTGGTACTAGGAATGGGGTACTGCTGAAAAGATAACCAAAAATGTGGAAGCGACTTTGGAGCTGGGTAACAGGCGAGGTTGGAACAATTTGGAGGGGTCAGAAGAAGACGGGAAAATGTGGGAAAGTTTGGAACTCCCTAGAGACTTGTTGAATGGCTTTGCTCAAGATGCTGATAGCAATATGGAGAATAAAGTCCACGCTGAGGTGGTCTCAGATGGAAATGAGGAATTTTTGGGAACTGGAGCAAAGATGACCCTTGTTATGTTTTAGCAAAGAGACTGGCGGCATTTTGCCTCTGCCCTCGAGATTTGTGGAACTTTGAACTTGAGAGAGATGATTTAGGGTATCTGGCAGAAGAAATTCTAAGCAGCAAAGCATTCAAGAGGTGACTTGCGTGCTGTTAAAGGCATTCAGGTTTTTAAGGGAAGCAGAGCATAAAAGATAGAAAAATGTGTAGCCTGACAATGTGATAGAAAATAAAATCCCATTTTCTGAGAAGAAATTAAAGCCAGCTGCAGAAATTTGCATAAGTAATGAGCTGAATGTTAATCCCCAAGACAATGGGGAAAATATCTCCAGGGCATGTCAGAGGTCCTCATGGCAACCCCTCTCATCACAAGTGTGGAGGTTTAGGAGGAAAAAATGGTTTTGTGGGACAAGCCCAGGGTCTCTCTGCTGTATGCAGTCTAGGGACTTGGTGCCCTGTGTCCCAGGTGCTCCAGCCATTACTAAAAGGGCCCAGGGTACAGCCAGGGCTGTTGCTTCAGAGGGTTTAAGCCCCAAGCCTTGGCAGCTTCCACATGCTGTTGAGCCTGTGGGTCCACAGAAGTCAAGAACTGAGGTTTGGGAACTTCTGCCTAGATTTCAGAAGATGTATGGAAACACCTGGATGCCCAGGCAGAAGTTTGCTGCAGGGACAGGGCTCTGATAGAGAACCTCTGCTAGAGCAATGCAGAAGGGACATGTGGGGGTCAGAGCCCCCACACAGAGTCCCTACTGGGGCACTGCCTGGTGGAGCTGTGAGAAAAGGGCCACCATCCTCCAGATCCCACAATGGTAGATCCACCAATGGCTTGTGCTGTGCACCTGGAAAAGCCACAGACACTCAATGCCAGCTTGTGAAAGCAGCCAGGAGAAGGCTGTACCCTGCAAAGCCACAGGGGTGGAGCTGCCCAAGATTACGGGAACCTACCTCTTTCATCAGTGTGACCTGGATATGAGACAAGGAGTCAAAGGAGATCACTTTGGAGTTTTAAGATTTGACAGCCCTGCTGGGTTTCAGACTTGCATGGGGCCTGTAGCCCCTTTGTTTTGGCCAATTTCTCCCATTTGGAATGACTGTATTTACCCAATCCCTGTACCCGCATTGTGTCTAGGAAGTAACTAACTTGCCTTTGATTTTTCAGGCTCGTAGGCAGAAGGGACTTGCCTTGTCTCGGATGACACTTTGGACTGTGAACTTTTTGAGTTGAGTTGAGACTTTGGGGGACTGTTGAGAAGGCATGATTGGTTTTGAAATGTGAAGACATGAGATTTGAGAGGGGCCAGAGGCAAAATGATACGGTTTGGCTCTTTGTCCCCACCCAAATCTCATCTTGTAGCTCCCATAATAACCACATGTTGTGAGAGAAACCTGGTGGGAGATTATTGAATCATGGGGGTGGGCCTCTCCCATGCTGTTCTCGTGATAGTGAATGGGTCTCACTAGATCTGATGGTTTTTAAAAATGGGAGTTTCTCTGCATAGGCCCTCTTTTTGCCTGCTGCCTTACACATAAGATGTGACTTGCTCCTCCTTGCCTTGTTACATGATTGTGAGGCTTCCCTAGCCACGTGGAACTATGAGTTCTCCATTAAATCTCTTTCCTTTGTAAATTGCCCAATCTCAGGTATGTCTTTATCAGCAACGTGAAAACAGACTAATACTACCACTTGCTGAGCCTTGGTGTCCTTTTCTATAAAGTAGGATTGTAGTCCCCTCCTATTTTAAGCATTTTTGTGGTGATAAAAAGAAAATGTATATAAGAGTCATTGCAATAATGATAAACAGGTATGAAGCATACCAGAAGGAAGGTAGCCTAGGACCACATATCAAAATTCATCCTTGTACCCCAACCCCTCTCCTTCCTCTCTGCAGAAACAAAATAGTCTGAGAATTGGAAGGGAACATCTGAGATACACACGCTCCTGATCTTTCCAGGGATGGAGAGCCCTGGCACCTTGGTAGAAGCAGCTGGCTTTTTCTAGAGATCCAGATTGAAGTCTACAGATTTTGCAGCTACTTAGGGGAGGCTCATCCGGGAGAGGCCTTGGAGAGGAAATGCACCCCCCTACTCAGGGCATGTGATCTGTGGAGAGGCTCTCTGACCCTGTGACCCCAGTAAGCCTAGAGGAAGCCCCAGTGGCCTGGGCTGCTGCTAGACCTTATATGGGGAAAGGATTAGCACTTCTACCTGGAGAGGCAAGCATTTGACTTCTCATGAACAAACAATTTAGCCAAAAGGACTAGAGTTCTGTAATGCTTTACCTGGCCAAGAGATCATCTATCAGTGCCAGCAATAGGCAAGTCTTTTCACAGTGGCCAGGTCTCAGAGTAGTAGAGGAATAACTAGAAAACAAAACTTCATGAGTTTTGAGGAAAACATTCAAGGACGCAGTTCAAGGACACAGTCTATCAAATAATAATAATAGATTCACAACATGGAGCTCAAGATAGGGGAATGTGCAAAGTACAGAAAGGTGGGATCAGCAATGGCCCCTGCTGTTACATGTTTATAGTTACAAGGAAAAGAAAAGCAACACAATGCAACAGAGAGCACACAAAATATTTTGGACAAATAAACTTTATATCAGTTATTAAAATAAATATAAATCAGTCAAATTCTATCAGAGTAGAAAGATTATCAGTGTATAAAGCAAAAATAATCAACTTCATGCTATTTAGAATTATGATACATAAAACACTGATGATAAAATATGGATAATAATTTATCAAAGATACACTAGGAAATCAGGGTAAAAATGAAGCTAAGGTGAGAATATTAATGGCAAACAAAACAAAATACAACAATAAAATATCAAACTGAGAGAAGAAATAATAGTAAGCATTTTATTCAAAAGTTGCAAAAATTTATGTATCACCATGTCTGCCAAAACAAACTAGAAATACAAGAAAACTTTGACAATGCGCAATTATAATGTAACCGTTGATAAATAGCTTTTTGAATTCTAAATATCAAATAAGCAAAAAGTAAGAAACAATATACTAAAGAATATAATCAACAAACTCAACTTAGTAGAAACATGTTAGGATATGGACATTGTGAGTAGTGAATATAGACCTTTCTTTTTGTAAACTAGAGACAGAAAATGTACATTCTTCCCTATTTTGACGGAGAATCTACTAGTATTGATCATGTATGTAGCCACAAAGAAAGTCTTAATAAAATAATCCAAAATAAAGATTTTATAAAACACATTCTCTATTAAGCTAGAAATAAGCAATTAAAAGGTCAGAAATAATAACTACATGGAAGTTAAAAATATTCTTCTAAATAATTACTAGATCAATAAAGAAATTAAAGTAAAATTACATACTATTTAAGGTATTTGGAAAATAGTGGAAAAAAAACATTTTGTACAAAAACCTGTGGGATGTAATTACAGCTATATTATGCAAAAATATATCTTTATTGCTTTTGTAATTTAAAAATAACTATAAGTAGGTGAACTTCAAATTAAGAAATCAGAAAAACAATGGGAACCAATATAAATGAGAAAAGATGTAAATTATCAAAAAAATAGAAATAGAAAAAATAATAGAAAACAGAAAAAAGAGTTTCATTGAAAGGACAAAGTAGATTGGCAAGTATTGATTTTTTTAAAAAAGCAAAAATGTAGAATATAAGACATCAGAAGGCAGAGAAACCATAGATCTATGAGAGATTTAAAAATTATTGGAGAGTATTATATATAAATACATGGCAATAAATTTTATTATCTGAAAAAGTATAATCAAATAAAATTGACCCAGCACGATTGAAAACATTCGATTAGGTCAATAACCAGTAAATTGCTGGTAAAATAATTAAATAACTTTCATTTAAAAATATCACTAGGCCCAGTGAGTTTTATAGTCAAATTTGGCCTAAGTTTTAAAAGCTAAAAAAACTTCTCTGCAATTTGAGTGATTAAGGACTGCAGAAAAATGATGGATAGTGTTCTTGTTCATTTTATCAAACTTACATAAGCTTAATGGCAAAACCTGTTAAGGTTCATATATAAAATAAATCTGTGAATCAAGTTACTTGTGAATACAGATGGAGATTTTAAAAAATAAAGCGTTAGCAAAGAAATTTCAGCTGAATAGTAGGAGAATAAGATTGTCACACCCGAATGGTACTTATTCGAAGAATTCAAAGAGATTTCAAATTTTGAAATATATTACGTGGCTCCATATTTCAACAAATTAGAGGGAAAACCATATAATTATACCACTAGCTAGTGAAGGGTTACTTTATAAAATTCATCATCTAGTCTTAAAAAAAAAAATTTAAGTAAAATTTGAATAGAAGGGAAGTAGCCATGATAAAGATTATTTACTTAACAGAAAACATGAGAATGGATGGTAAAATCCTGAAATCAATTTTGTTACAATATGGAAAAATTAGAGATGACTTTTATTACTATGGAAATTGAACAGTGTTTGACAAGTGCTAATTGATGCAATGAAAATAGTAAATAAAATAATCAGCATAAATACAGCAAAGGAAGAGATTCAGTTATTGTATTCTTACAAAATTAAACAGACTCCACTAAAGCAACTATAAGCAACTATTAAAATAATTAGGAGAACATAGAGATTGGGGGTGAGAGGGACTGGATAAATACATAAAATCGACAGCCTCTTTCTATAACAGAATAACCAAGTTAGAAATGGGAAGAAATTATTTGTACTAGTAACAAAATAATAAAATACTTATATCCTTCTCATTTTTTTTAGTTATATGTCAGAAATGAAGAAAATTATAAAATCTTACTCAAGTATATCAAACAAGGGATTTTGAAAAATACCTTATTTTTGGATGGGAGGACTAATATCATAAAAATACCAATTTATCCCAATTTAATATATAAATATAATGCAATCTTAATCTGAATTGGACTTGGTCAAAATAATTAATAATTCCATTGAAAGACTAAATAAAATTCAAGATTTTGAAAAAGGAATGACTAGACATGTGATTTAACATTTATTAAAAATGTAAAAAGCTCTTATATTAGTTTTCTATTATTCCTGTAGTAAATTACTACAAACTTGGCTTAAAACAACAGAGATTTATTATCTCACAGTTCTGGAGAAGTTTGAAATCAAGGAATCCTCAAGGTTATGCTTGTGCTGGAGGCTCTAGGAGGTCTTTCGTTCCCTGCCTCTTCCAGCCTCTGTTGGCTTCTAGTACTCCCTTACTTGTGGCTACATCACTCTGGTCTCTGCCTCTGTGATTTTCTGTCTTTGTAATTTCCCTCTGTCTTCTCTTATAAGCACATATTTTGTGATGGCATTTAAGGCCTATGCCAATAATCCGGGATAATCTTCTCATCTCAAAATCCTCAAAATCACATTTACAGAAGCTTTTTATAAATTTAAATAAGGTAACATTTACAGGTTCCTGTGATTAAGGTGTGGATATCTTTTGGAGTGGGGGAGGTGGCATTTCTCAGCCTACTACAGCCACTGCAATCAAAACATTTCACTATTAGAGCAGACAAAGAGGTCAATGGATAGAATAGTCCAGACATAGAACCAAGTACAAATGGGAACCAGAAATGTGGCAAAGGTGGGATTTCAGTTCACTGGAAAAAAAGATGCTTTATTTGGTAACTTATCTATAGAAGAGAAAATAAAACTAGATACCTATCTTATTACCATATAAAAAATAAACCCCTGGTTCATCAAATGTGCAAATGCAGAAGAAGAAAAATTAGCAGAAATTCTAGGATAATATCTGCAGAAGTTTGGCCAGTAAGGGACAGACATATATGACTGTACTGACAGTCCCCAACTTAGAATGGTTTGAGTTACGATTTTTCAACTTTACAATGGTCCAAAAGCAATATGCAGTCAGCATGCTACTCCACCTACAATGGGGCTATGTCTGGATAAAGCTGTTATAAATTGAAAATATTATAAGCTAAAAATGAACTTTTAATATTTTCAATTTATGATGGCTTTATCAGGACATAACCCCACAGTAAGCCAAGGTGCATCTGTATAAAAATATAAAAATAAAAGACTAACATGTCATAAACATCTTTCCAAAGATCAAGATTCTAAAGTTAGACAATAATTTTCATATTTTTCTTCATACATCTTCTATTTTTTGTGTTACAATGAACATTACTATATATGCAATAATTAAAATGAATAACATTTAAAGGAGAAAAATATTATATATGATTTGGGCCCACATAGGTTTGCATCTTGGCTACATTCCTTACTTAGTACTTCTGAAACTTACTTTCTCCATCTGTGAAAGGAGGACAGGTTGAGGTATTCCATGTTTAGAAGTGTTACAGTGAGGAATTGTAAGTATAGCAAACTGTAGAGAAACAAGGAGTGAGGTAAGGAGAGAATGAATATCTTTCTTTTTTTTTTTGGAAACGGAGTCTCGTTCTCCCCAGGCTGGAGTGCAGTGGCGCAATCTCGGCTCACTGCAACCTCCGCCTCCCGGGTTCACGCCATTCTCCTGCCTCAGCCTCCCGAGTAGCTGGGACTACAGGCGCCCGCCACCATGCCCGGCTAATTTTTGTATTTTTAGTAGAGACGGGGTTTCACCATGTTAGCCAGGATGGTCTCGATTTCCTGACCTCGTGATCCGCCCGCCTCGGCCTCCCAAAGTGCTGGGATTACAGGCGTGAGCCACCGCGCCCGGCAGAAGATGAGTATCTTTTAGTTGATTTGAAAAGTAATTTACATAATCAGTAAGAAACCTGAGAACGTGTATATTGACATTAAGAAATAATGGGGAGACTGGGAATTACGGTTAGAACTAAAGCCCCATCTCTACCCCAAACACTGTTTGCTCCCACCACTAGTGGTTGGGGCTCAAAAGTATGTATGTTTCCAACTGGCATGGTGATGAGAACACACTTTCTTTCAAAATGACTACTTGCAACTTTATTGTCTTAACTTTCATTTCCTGGTAAAGTCTTGAAAGTCTTGAACATTTTTTCCTTTTCATTTTATGTTCCCAGGTTCTGAATTTATTTTGCTGAAAGAGAGAGATACTTTCTGAATTTTACCAGCAAGGCTATTACAGGAATTCCTTAAAGAGTTTAGCTAAGGGGACTTTGAATTACAAAAAGCACAATTTCCCAAACCAGTATCCATCAGTTAGGACACATTCAAGCCCTAGGAGATTATTACAGCCGTTTTTTTTTTTTGTTTGTTTTTGTTTTTTTTTTAACAATTACCATCACTGACCTGAATAATAAATTAGCATTACTCTTAGAGACTAGAATTAAAGAGCTGAAAAATTCTTTCTTTCCTTCCCTTCATTTCAGAGGGAAAGAAACCAAGGCGGAGGAAAGATCAAGTTGACCTACCAATGTCACACTGCTTGCCAGCACCAGCATCTTTCACCTTTCAGTCCACCTTCCTTCCCACACAGATACACTGCCCAGTATAAATCCTGAAAAAAGGGTCTCCTCCAGACTGCCCCAAAGGGTCTATTGTCCCTATGTCTTGCAGACTTGAAAGGCTAGTTTTCTTCTTCGAAGGGATAGAAAGTGCCAGAACTTCATTGTCCACCTCCAACATGCCGCTGTGAATCTTTCCAGCCTGAATTCCACAGGCATCACAAAGTGTCCTTGACACTTCCAAATACGAGTGAAGGATCTCAGGAATCCATTAACTATGCTGATGGATTAAATGGTCATGTATATCTGATAGGCTGACTAACAGAGGCAGGAATGGGAAAAGAAAAACCCTGACAGAGGTTTGCTATTAAAATTTTCTCTAAGAGGCATGGGGCAAACAACTGGCTTTAGGCTGGCATGCCATTCATCTGTTTCTAAGTAGGGTTAACACTATAGGGAGTTATTTTAAGTTTTTTGCTTGCATAGTTGAGAGAAAAATAATTTCCCTTATCTTTCCAAACTTAATGTCAGACAACTTGACAATCCACCAACGCTCCGTAACTAGAATGTCAGTCCAGACTTCTCCCTTTTTGGCCTATCGAAGGAGCAGTGTATACTTCCTAGAAGCTGGTGGGGAAGTCTTATTTTTATATTTCCTGAATCACAGGGAGCTTTTATCAAGATCTGTGCAGCTCTTTTTGGTCTAATAAAATCCTCTTGTGGCATCAAAGCTTGGGTTTCCCTAGAAACAGACCCTGAGTCTAGGATTGAGATGCAAATCAATTATGTGCAATTGTGATTGCAAGAAGTACCTACAGGGAAGTAAGGTGCTGAGACCAGAAAGGGAAGGAGACCAACAGTGTGTTAATGACAGGCTACACCAGGGGGAGACAAGGCTCAATTCCATTGGGAACCTTTAGGGGGCAGTGTAGAACACACTTCAGAATTGTCCCTCGGAAGTGGTGAGAAGCTGGGGTATTTATTTATTAACTCTCATTCCTCCTTAGCCGAAGCCTGCTTCTTGAGGTATGAACTCACCAGCATTTCAGCCCTGTTTGGTGGGAGCAGAGAGAAAGCCCACAGACAGGGAGTTGGCAGCTGCCTGCAGCAGGTCACCGTTACTGGGGCACCAATACCATTTGGTATAATGACCTTCTAGGAAGATAACTCACTTCCTAATTTTCAACAACCTTATTTCATAAATAGGTTAGGGCTTCTAACTTGACTTCACAAAAATAATTTAGGCATTTATACTTAAGCAGAGTGCAAATACTAAATTCATTAATTGGTTAGCACTCTTTTTGTTTCTCATATTAAAGGAAATAATAGTTTTAATTAAGATTCTGTTTTTTGTTTTTGTTTCTATTTTGCTATTACCTGGAAAGATCGAGAGTGGCTGGGTCCTGACCAGGAAGTTAAAGAGCGACACAGTTTGCTCAATGATGACATTTAAGCCCATATCACCTCATCGGTGGGAAATGAGGCTTCCACAAACTTTAGCTTTTCAAACGTATGAGTCATTGGAGCTGACAAAAGAGAATACAAGTGAAAATGTTCAGTGCATTTGCATTGCGACTAAAAGTCACCATAGTTATCCCAATTATGAAATCTGGCCAATGGGGAATGCCATGGTCCTTCCGGTATGTGTTTCTCTGGATTCTCTTCTATTCCCATCCTTCTCAGCACTTATTACCTTTCCAGGGACTAGACTCAAGAATGCAGGTGTGAAAGCATTATAGCCAATCCTATTTTGCTTTGTGTGAGAATATTCTCTAGCATTGACAGTTTGACGGTCCTTGTTGTTTTTAAAATTGTGACAATTTTCTTCAAATCTGGACTTGCTCTGA
Source organism: Homo sapiens (assembly GCF_000001405.40). Taxonomy (NCBI): domain Eukaryota; kingdom Metazoa; phylum Chordata; class Mammalia; order Primates; family Hominidae; genus Homo; species Homo sapiens. The sequence continues at coordinate 12,013,384 of NC_000020.11, forward strand.
TATTAAGGCTGGCACCCCGATGTGTGTGCTGCATTGACATCTGAGGCTTGTCTCATTGCCAGCAGGTCTCAAATTCTAGTTTTCTGTCTAAGATATAAGGGCAGAATGTTATTTATGGGCAATTACAAAGATCACCTTGCTCCATTTGATTTATTGGAGAGATTTCAATCAAGGCTTAGAGCTCATCCCAAGCAGACAACCATGCTGACAGTATTTAATGATTTATTGAATGCTGGCAACTCCAGCTCTTCCTCTTTTTCAGTTTTAAGTTGGTGGATTTGGGGGAGTGCTTCAGATGCACTCAAAGCTATGGTAATATTTGGTAGATTCTGAAGTATGCTTGAAGCCCTTTTTTTTCTTTCCGTTAATTAGGTTTGTTGTATTTGCTAGTGTGCATAGATAGGAAGGGCTTGAAGTATCACCTGAGGGTCTTTAGCTCTTCCTGACTGTAGGATTGACTGCCAAGATGTTGTGATGCTACTTTAACTGGCGGAGACAGGGACACTCAGGAAAACAGAGTTAATGATGAACTTACTGTTTAATAACACAAAGTGAACTTATTTACATAGAGTGTATACAGACGCATATGGGTTATAGGATATATTTTCCAAATATGCCAATATTATGTTTTGTTAAACATTTTTCATAAATGAGGTATAATTTACAGATTGAAATGCATGAATATTATGTACATGGATCAATGATTGTATATATCTTGATCAAGAGATCACCCCAGAAACTCCCTCCTGTTTCCAGCCAGCTCTCCTCATCTTTAGCCAATCACACTTATGTTTTCTATCACTATAGAACAGTTTTGCTCATTCTTGAATTTAACATAAAGGAAGTCATGTAGAATGCACTTTTGTTTGGCATGTTTCACCCATTATCATGTTTTGTTTTTGAGATTCAACTGTGTACTTGCGTGTATCAAGGTTGTTTCTTCTTATTGCTGAACAGTATTCAGTTGTATGAATATACCACAATGTATTTCTCAAATCTCCTGTTCATGAATATTTGGATTGTTTCCAATTGTTGGTTAGTATGAATAAAGCTGCTATAAATAATCCTGTACAAGATATTTTGTGGGCATATGTTTTCATTTCTCACATAAAAACTAGTATCAAGATTGCTGGGTCATAAGAAAGGCACGTGTAAATTCACGTTATTTCTGGCTTAGAAATGTATGCTTACGGTTACATGATTAAATGTAATGGATTTCTGCAGACCACTCCTAAACTTTAGAGTGGACCACTCCTAAACTTTATCTATACATAGTGTCATAGACATTTCTATCTATATACAACATATTGTTCAGCAACTCAAAGTGTATGTTATTTGCTTTATTGGCATGTGAGAATGTAGTGTAAAGGCCATTTTGAGGAGAATATTCAGTCTATGATGTCTCTCAAATTCAATTACCATCTTGAACAAGAAAGGAGCCAGTGACATCAATTAATACTTATTGTGTTGTCTTGCATATTCAGGTCTTCCCTAAGAAGAGGCCCTTCTTGAAACCAGGTCCTGCATGAGCTAAAACAGATGGCTGATGTAATCACCCACAAATAGTGTGTTGTAAAAGGGTGCAAACTAGATACCTTCTAAATGACCAAAGAAAATGCAAAGTCAGAAGTGATTTGCAAGAGCAACTAAGAATAGAGTCAGCGCTACATTATAGACAATGATGATAGGATTCCAAGAACTGTATAAATTACTCATTTATTTAAAATTTTTTGTCCTCTGTTTTTTCTGCAGTGATTTGTAAGAAGTTAAGTAAGTAAGTAAGCCTCCTAATGAAACGGTGGTGGCAATCTTTAGAGAAACCATATTTTATTCTGGGAGCTATGCAGAAAGGAAACTAGGCATGGAAATCAGCTGGTGGGACTTTGGAATTTGTGGTTGGTCGGCTGGGCCTGGTGGCTCACACCTGTAATCCCAGCACTCTGGGAGGCTGAGGTGGGCAGATCCCTTGAGCTCAGGAGTTCAAGACCAGCCTGGCCGATATGGTGAAACCTCATCTCTACTAAAAAAATACAAAAATTAGCTGAGGTGGGTGTTGCACACTTGTAATCCCAGCTACTTGGGAGGCTGAGGCAGGAGAATCACTGGAATCCAGGAGGTGGAGTTTGCAGTGAGCTGAGGTCATGTCACTGCACTCAAGCCTGGGCAACAGAGCAAGATTCTGTCTCAAAAAAAAAAAAAAAAAAAGAAAAACAAAAAGGAATTTGTTGTTGGCAAGCTGATGGTGGGATGCTCTCTTCAGTTCTTGAGGCTCAGGCTAGGAACAGTATTGTAAAACTGTCATCCATTGCTGTGAACCAACCAACTGCTGCTCTTGTACTGGTCTAGTTAGTCTCTCACTGTATCTCTCACTGTTGTGTCATTGTGTGACCTTGACAAGTCCACTTGACATTTGGTTTTGGCAGATTCCCCTGGGAGGTTTTGCTTGGTGAATACAATGCTAGAATTTTCTGCTGTTATCCAGGCAAAGGTGATGTAATTCCTTAATTAAATGATTGGATTTCAGTCTGCACTCTTTTAGCCTGTGAATTTCCTACATGAACATTGCCTAGCTTGATGATGTAGGAGTTTTGTTGCTTGGCCTCAGCTCTTGATGGCAATTCAGTTTGATTAAAATGTCTGGAGACTATCTTCAAGTAGAGTGGCCTTTGTTGTCCATTGTCATTGGATCGTTGAGTGGACGTCTGTATCTTCTGGCCCTCTCCACTTGAACTGTATATCATTTATGAAATACTGCCAGGCTGAGAATGCAATCTCATCAGGAAGATTTGGTGAGATTAATTAATGCCTTAGTTGTTTGGGAGCTAGAGGGCTGTAACTCTTCACTTGCAAAAGTGCCAGCCTATGGCATTTCCCAAATGTAGGTTACTAAAGGACAAGTCCTTATGTTCTGAAAAAGTATTAGATGTCCAGACTTCCTTCCTCCTTTTGGTGGGAATTGCAGTTTTTAAAATTCAACATTGGATTCTAAGTTTCTCCAACACTTTTTTCTTTGTAAGCAGGAATCCAACTCAATTTATTTGCTCGATCTTTTGTCACCATATGTCCTCAGTCACCCAGTGAGAATGGAAGCAGCAGGCAATTTAATTTGTTCACAGTATAATCTTGGGTCCCTTTGAGTAAGAGCTTTTAGCAGCTCTGCTCCCTAATTGTGGAATTTACTACCGATTTCTAGTCACAGTGCCCTGCCTGTCCCTGCTTAAATAAACTAAAGCTTACTGCATTAGCTGAAGCATTTGAAACTCTTGGGTAGGGGTATGGGCAGTGGGTAAAAGGGTCTCAAAGATGGGGAGAAATGTTTATTGTTCACTGCCCAGGTTTTCTCCCTGGAAGGAAGGATACACAAATTCTCACTCATATAATTCATGTTTCTGTTTCAGGAGTCTGCATAAGAAAAATAAGTGTAATAAAATAAAATTAAAGAAAACATTGGAGGAGAAGCATGGAGAAGGGCAAGAGGGAAAAAAAAATAGAGGGAAAAGCCAAGAGCTTGGAGGAGCAGAGGAGGAAATGAATCTACCTATTCTCTCAAATCCTTTCCTCTTACTTCTCTGTAACTGCAGTTAATTTAGTGGCTTTCTTAATTCAGTGACATCCACATATATCAGAGCAGTTCTTTTTGCTGAAATATTAATTTGCCTTGAGTTGGACTGTATGAAACATTAACCACAGATTTGGAAACTGACATGCACAATGTTCCTGTTCTTGCTTTGCTGGGAGCCTTTGCCTGGGGAATGAAGGCCCCAGGGAAGGACTAGAACCCCTGCAAACCCCCTGTCCATCTCCTCAGCTGCTGCATCCATACCCCGTAGAGCAGCAGTTACAAACATGGGTTAATTTTCTGGAACCATTTCACCCTAAGTCTCTAGGATGCACACAAGATCCAACATTTTTCTTTGTTACTTGCTCATTTAATTTATTAACTGTAAGACAGAGAGAGAACATTTATAAGAATACTAGTAAAAGCTAAGTGGTAGAAAAGGTGAACAGATTTATGAATGTGATTTCACTATAGGCTTCCCAGGGGAGTTGGAAATCCTTTCCCATTTCTATACAATGGGGCTATATGAAGACTCACTGGAACTAGATGTCACGGCATAAGGTGCAAAAAATGTTGTGAATCCGAGGGCTTCCAGTGACCTGCATTAGGGGCATAAGATGACGTGATGAGTAAAGATTTCAGCTTTCAAGGAGGTAGAAGGAAATGGTTGATGGTACTTACTTGCAAACACACACACACACACACACACACACACACACACACTCTTTACATCAATAAGGTAACACCTGGCATCTTTTTCACAGTGAGAAGATTCTGGAGGCCAAGCAGGTGCCTGGGGTTCTGAAGCTCTCTACTCAGCCTCTTGAGGAATCTGAGTATTTATAAGGCTTTGGGGATTAAGGGCAGCATCTTTTTTCACAGCTGAGCTTAGAGTCCTCTTACAACAGGAGCCCCTGTTATAATGTGTGAAGAAAATCTCCACCTTGCACAGAAGGCTGCAATGCATCCATGGTGAAGGAGTTTCCTCATTTATAATTAAGTTCAGGAAGCAGACTAGTGTGTTCTTTTTCAGATAAAGGAATGGCCTTCATGCTGAGAAAATTTAACCCTACACTACTATTAGGTGTCAGAGTCCTTTTAAAGATGAGATGAGCCAGACAAGTGAGGAAGGTGAGAATTGGATTAGTTTGGAGGATAGGATAGCCACAGGGGTATGAGGCATGGGATAATTTAAGGTAGCATCAGGAGAAGCCAAGAACTGAATCAAAGTCAGGCAGGATCAGAGAGGCTGAGAGAATGGATCATCCATGGGACTATAGTCTAAGGTGGAGGTAGAACTTGAGTAGCTCAATTAAAATGCCAAACTTAAGGAGAATGGATAAGGTGACCTGCCATTTTGCTCCCTGATACCCTCTCCAAGTGTTGACAAGAGTCTAGCATGTGGCTGATGCTCGATAAATATTCATTAATTGAATAAATGAATAAGTGAATGAAATAGAAAACTGTAGAGACTGGGCAGTATATTGAGACACATTCTGAAGAACCTAGGAATAAGCCAGTAATACACTGAGTAGAACAGGGGCATGGTACCCTATTCGGCCCCAAGCACAGGGAAGAATGGCTTCATGGAACAAGGCATGGGTTCTGATGGGTGCTTAGATTAGAATTTCGTGAAAGGATGGCTTGAATGTCAAATGACCCATCTTCAAGCTCATGACTTTTACATTCCTGCCGATTGGACATAGGTCTGTTATCTGAGCCTGGCATGGAGGAATCTCTAGGCCAGGAGCAAAGGGTCTCTCAGCTAAAGGAATCTGAAGAGTTGGAGCACTGGTTTTCCTTGATTTAACCGGCTCCAGGAAAACTCACATTTCATGGCTAAATGTAAGGGTACAGGCAAGAAAAGAGATTTGTTGTTGAGGTTTGTGCCTTCAAATCTTAAGTGATAGAAGTGTACATGTGAGTGTGTATGATGTGTGCGCATGTGTATTTATAGGAGATTTTGAGATAGTACACAGAAGCAGGAATTAGAGAGAAGGTCACACCTGCAGGCACATAGAAATAGTAGAGATGTTAGAGATGCAGAGAAATACAGAGATACACAGAAAGAGAATGAGAAACTAAAGAATAGAGAGTCAGAGAGAGGCTGTTTGGAATCTCCCCTCCCCATTAATCATGATAGTTGGTACGATTGAGGATGAGGTTGTTCTTTAATAATTGAAACTCTAGGGATCCACTTCTGCTGGATCTCCGAAGGTTTGGATAAGTTTTCAAAAAAAGAAAAAATATCACCTTTGAAATAGAAGTTACTCCCTAGAAAGACACACCTGTGATTATGAAATAATAAAACTGTTTACATCCAGAAATATAGAAAATACATGCAGATGTGTCCCAGTCCCCCAAGATGTGTGCTGGGCAAGGAACGAGGCCTTGCAGGCTGTTGTGCTGAGGCTAGAGATTCTAGTTACAGGTTCTTTCCTAAGATTCCCTTATACATCTACGTCCACGTAGATACCTGACACTGTGATAACTGAAAAAAATATTTATGGTTCAAGTGTGGTGGCTCACGCCTGTAATCCCAGCACTTTGGGAGGCTGAGGGGGGTGGATCACCTGAGGTCAGGAGTTCAAGACCAGCCTGGCCAACATGACAAAACCCCATCTGTACTAAAAGTACAAAAATTAGCCAAGCATGGTGGTGCGTGCCTGTAATCCCAGCTACTTGGGAGGCTGAGGCAGGAGAATCTGTTGAACATGGGAGGCAGAGATTGCAGTGAGCTGGGGTTATGCCACTGCACTCCAGCCTGGGCAATAAGAGTGAAACTCTTGTCTCAAAAAATTATGGATCAAAACCTTAATAAGCAGATGCCCTTTTCATTGTTCTTGCTCATATCCAGATAAGAGCTAAGCCAGTTTCCTTCCTGACTCCTCCACCCCACCTCACGAGTAAACAGAAATAATTATAAATTATACTGCAGAGGCTAGTCAAGAGGAAGTCTTCCAAGCCCAGGCTTTAATTCATCTTGGGTGATAGTTCATTTCACACAGCCCCACCAGACAGGAATAACTTATTTTAATTGGCTATCATTTGTGAACCGGCGCATGGTCTACTTTAGAAATGACACTGCCACTTTATTGTAACTGCATTTCTCTGACTCATGGTTATGAGGGGAGTAGATCAATTTTTCATAAATCATAAAAGTATGTAGAAAAATAAAATGGATTTCTTTCCCCAGTCCTTTCTAGCTTTCCCACACAATACCAAAAAGAAGGCTATCCGATTCTGTGACCATCCACCTATACTTGGAATCCCCCCAAAGAAGATGGCCTTAGGAGGAAAGAACCAACAATAGTCACAGCATGTTGAAAAAGAAAAAAAAAACAAAAAAAAAACAGGCCATTCTCCAAGCTTCTTTGGCCCTTTGTTAACTGGTCTGACACAGTGAAGATTCCTGTTATCCTGATGAAAGCAATTGCTTTTTCTCCCATAGAGTCCTTGTTCTTTATTAGAAACATCACTTAATGTTCCCAGGGACTAGGATAATGACCTATGTAATGGCCTTAGGAATCCTAACCTTTCAAGGTAAGAGAGGTAGCAAAGATATGCCCAAGAGCATGGATAGATGAGGAGGGACAGTAAGTTCCTGTGCTTCCTTTGGAGATCTCTGTCATTACATTGCTGGGTGGACAGAAGACCTGACAAAAACCTCAGTGTCATCTTCTTTTTAGCCAAGACCCTTTTTGGAAGGGGTTGGAAGGGGATGGAAGGAGGGCACCCACTCTGTTGTCAAGAACTGGCATCTTAGCAAAGACAGACTCACAGTGGGTGGATTAATCTAAATAGGGGCAGAGGAATCATGTCAATTCCACCCACAATCACTCTGTATGTCCCCTTTCCTCCCTTAGCTGCCTGAGGTCTATATACAAATTGCTCTCCAACACCTGCTCAGAGATCCATGTCTTCTCCCTGCAGAAGGCAGCCACTTTTGGTTCCACTGAAGCACTTTAGTCATACGCATTTAGATTATAGAAGAGGTCACTTGCATAGTTAATAAAGTTTTTTTTTAAACTAGAGAACACGATTTTTGAGAAATAGGAGGGACATTAACTGTCAAAGATATGTAGGTATGTGTGTGGGTATGCATATTCGTACATATGGTTTCAATCCTATCCAGAATCTACATTATAAAGGTAAAAGCTTAAACAATGCCAAAGACTGTGAAGTTTCTATTAGTGCACACACTTTGGAAGAGTACACGTTCATGTATGTGGGGTGTGTGTGTGAACACAAGAGGTTATCAGTGTACAAATAGCCAGAAACTGTTTTTAAGTGAGGTGTTTAAACTTGAAATATGTTCCCTTACAAAAGAGATTATGGAAGGTAGATTCCCTGGCTTCCCACATCCAAAAATGAATAAGCCTATCAGACTATTACAGATTTACCAAAATTTTTTTTAAAGTAATAATGTTCACTCACATTTTTTTGGTAACGTCATAAAGTATATTTGGAGGCATTGATTCACTTCGTGGAGGTCCTTGGTTTCCTCTTTCCTTTCTTGCGGTGTTTCTGGTTTCTGAACAATTGAACATCCCTTACTCTCTCCCTAGTAAAAACAAGGTTCTCTCCAACTTAGCTCCTCATAAGTTATTACCTAACTTAGCTGTTAGGTAATAAATGAAAGAAAACCCACCATTGAAGTCTAAGGGAGGTGTTAAAGTTTGATGGGCACCTTTTCATGTGTTTGCATAAAACCTCATATGTATGTGCAATTTTGTGTATATGGATACAGAATTACACATGTATGTATGGCGGGGTTAGATAGGTGTACATCAGACAGTGTGACTGTAATCTGTAAATGTTCAAGAATAACCATTCTTAGGTAAAACTGGTATATTTTAGTTTGAAATACTTCAGTGGGCAAAATTTTCTTAAGAATTATTGACTTGGGAATATTTTTATGCAATCTATTCCAACTATTTCAAATTTATTTACTTTGCTTATTAATAAATGGTACAGTTTAGTATTGGATAACTGATTCATGGAAACATATAGGAGTGAGGAGCTTCTTAATTCTAATTTTGTAGAGTTGTTTTGGATGTTTGCCAGAGTCTTCTGGTTCTAGAACTACTAGTTTTATATTCTGAATCATTTACTTAGTGGGCTTTCTTGTTAACTCATCTCTGGCTCCCGTCTATAAATAAAGTGAGTTTAGGTCCATTTCGCCATGTCTGTCTTCCAGTGTGTCAATTTACTTTTCAAATGTTGTTCGGTGAGCATACCTTTAAGAACTGGGTTGCCAAGATGGACACAATAGAAAGATACAATTACTCAACTAAGAATGCTGGAGACATCTCTGAGCAGGTATGGAGATAAAGATGTCTGGAAAGTTTATTGCCTTTAATTTGCACAGCTTTCCGCCCCCACCCTCCTCCCCTGCCTCCCATCTGTAGGTGTTAGATCTTTAAGGGAGCTTGACATTTAGCTTTGAAATGAATACACTTTTTTGGTTCTTAACAACCAGGGTAAGTTTTCATAGGTAATTTAGCAAATGTCAAACTTTTCTAATAATGTAGATTTGATTTATATATCCAAGCTTGCTATTCTCATTATCCAGACATCTCAGAAGTTGGGTGGCTTTCAAGCCAAGGCAGCCCCCATCACCATTCACACTCACACACGCACCCCACTCACTTTTCTTTTTTCTTTTTCTTTCTTTTCTTTTCTTTCTTTCTTTTTTTTTTTTTTTTTTTGAGACGGAGTCTTGCTCTGTTGCCCAGGCTGGAGTGCAGTGGCGCGATCTCGGCTCACTGCAAGCTCCACTACCGGGTTCATGCCATTCTCCTGCCTCAACCTCCCGAGTAGCTGGGACTACAGGCGCCCGCCACCACGCCCGGCTAATTTTTTTGTATTTTTAGTAGAGACGGGGTTCACCGTATTAGCCACGATGGTCTCGATCTCCTGACCTTGTGATCTGCCCGCCTCGGCCTCCCAAAGTGCTGGGATTACAGGCGTGAGCCACCCCGCCCGGCCCCCACTCACTTTTCTTCTTTGCATTTCTGTCTCTGTCACCTACTCTGCATTCTCTCTACCTCCACCAGTTAGGATACCAGTGGGTACAAATACCAGATGTTTCTTTTCCTTTCTGCTTTCTCCTTATCACACAAACAATAGTCACTTTTCTAATAACACGTTTTCCTGTCTTTCAATGATTAAAGTGGGCTCTTAAGTTTGTAACCTGGCAATCAGGAAATATTTGTTAAATGCCTATTGCATGCAAGGTCCTCACAGTGCACCCTTCCTAAAGGACTTAACTAGCATCAATTTCTATTTGTTTATTTTCTGGAAACAGCATCCTGACTTATTTTGGTGATCCTTCTTTTTTTCTTGGTGTGTATCATTTGGTTCATGTCAAAGTCCCACAGTGAAACTGACTCTACTTTCACTTCCTCATCATGCAATTTAGCCTGTCAAATTGGAGCCTAGCCTCCCCTGGCCTCAGTGATGATGGGTTAAAAATAGGCAGGTTACCTGATGAGGACCAACCAGAGCTTAGAATGACCATGAATAAAGATCTCTTTCCCATTGGAGTTATTGAAAAATGAATTGTAGGCCTGGAATGGTGTGTCCATCTATGGGGATAACCTGCCTGAGAATGAAGCCACCTCAGAGAGAAGCAGAATCAGGAAGTGGAGAAGGGCATACTTTGAGCCCCTAGAGCCACCACACTTAAAGGCAGAATCCTCCTCTTGGTCTTTTCTTTATTTTTTTCTTAAGCCAATTTGAGTTGAAATTTTTTGTCATTTGCAACGGAATGAGACATGTTCCTCTCCCCCAAGAGCTAGCGTGTGGTATAGTGATACCAGGTTGTGTTTGATATATGGGGCGATAGAGACACATGTGGGGTGGAAGCTGTCCCTGTGAGTATGGAGTGTCTGAAGGCTTCACATCGTCAAGGATGTGGAATTCCAGCCAAGCCTTGGAGTATGACGATGGTTTGGGAAGCCAGAGAGGGTCCTCATGTGAATATCTGTGCCTCGTTCCACTCCTTTCAGATGGATTCGGTCTCCTCTGGGTGTCTTCTCTCTCTGTTTATCCATTCTTGCATCCTTTTCTCGGGATTTCGTCCTTGGATGACTTTCTATTCTATTCTCAAGCTGTTGTTTCAATCCACGCCATATGCAAATAATTCTGAATGCAAATAATTCACCTCTGTATGCAAATAATTCTGAAATCCATCTTTCCTACCAAGACATTAGTTTTAAAATAAAGGCGACATTTCCAACTGGCAACAATCTTCACCTTTATGTCTGAGAGGCCTCTCACACTTAATATACTAAGCTAAATTCATTACTTTCCCCAGTCCTACTTTTTTTTTTTCTCTCTTTTTTTTGGGACAGAGTCTTGCTCTGTCACCCAGGCTGGAGCACAGTGGCGTGAACTCAGCCTACTGCAACCTCTGCCTCCTGGATTCAAGCGATTCTCCTGCCGCAGCCTCCTGAGTAGCTGGGATTACAGGCACCTGCCACCACGCCCAGCTGATTTTTGTATTTTTAGTAGAAACAGGGTTTCACACATGTTGATCAGGCTGTTCTCAAACTCCTGACCTCAAGTGATCCGCTGGCCTTGGCCTCCCAAAATGCTGGAATGACAGTCGTGAGCCACAGTGCCCGGCCCCCAGTCCTATGTCTTATCTTCCTTCCAGGTTTTGGCCATATTTTTGACAGAAGACACTCTGATGCCTGCATTGTCCACCTCAAGGATTAACCCTGCGTTCATCCCAGATTCCCCTCTCTTTAAATTTGAAATCATTAAATTTGGTTTATTCTACTCTCAATATCTTAGAGATCTATATCCTCTTCTCCATTTCCCTCTCATTAGTCTTGTCATTTTTTAGCAGATTTTTGCAAGAGTTTCCTAGCTGGTTTACTTTACAACTTTCACCTTTCTGCTATCAGAAATATATGTATATGTGGGTCTGTGTGTGTATGTATATACCTATATTTATATTTTTAAATCTATTTTTTTCTTATGTCACACCCATATCTTGGGTTCCCTTTTGCCTAAACAAGATTACATCTAAACTCCTTAGCATGATGTATAACACTTGTCATGATCTCCCTCCTGAATTTCTTTTCTTGCACATACCATTTGCAAATCACCAATGTCCTCCCAGGGATAACAAGCTAATTATAATTTTCCAAACACACTGTGTTTTGTGTGCAACCACTGAGTTAAAAAATGCTGTCTGCAGGCTTAGATGAGCAGGGAGACTAGGCACCAGTAATACTCAGGTAAATCAAGGTTACAAACAGTAGTCAAGCTGACTAGAATTCAGGCAGAGAGATGAACCACTTTCTCCAAGGTGGATGGAGATGCAATCTTCCTGGCTACAAGATCCTCATCAAGGGGTTGCACAGTAGAAGATCATGTTTGAATAAATGAGGATCATAGCAGATCTTCTGGAGTTCTAACCACCTTTGCCAAGCCTAGCCTTCCCTACAGGAGACTGGGGAAGTTATCCTTCTAAGTTTAGATGTAAACATGTCAGGAATTACCTCCCCTGGGCCAAGTGCCCCACATAAATCTTGGAGTTAAGCAAGGCAGATTCCAGAATAATAGGCATGAACCCAAACCTCACGTATGACTCTTTTGCACCCCAGGTTAATGCTGCTTGGATCAAAATCATTTCAGAACTTGGGTTTGTCATCGAGTCATCTGTGGAGTCATTAGATCCTTAGGCCAACCAGATCCTTAGGCCAGCTATAGGGACCATTCTGCAAGATGCAAGGGTCCCACCTGTGGGTCTTTGCATGTCCCCTTGTCTGATCTAGCCTTTCTCTTTCTGTCTCTACCTGGTGAACTGCTACTCATCTCTCAAAACTCAGTATGGATGTTACAACCCTTGTAAAAATGTCTCTCCCCTTTCTTTTTTTTTTTCTTCCTTTTTTTTTTTTTGTGGAGAACGGGGTCTCGCTATATTGCCCAGGCAGGTCTCGAACTCCTGGGCTCAAGCTGTCCTCCTGCCTCTGCCTCCCTGAGAATCTCTGCCCTTTCATTGTTGTACTTCCATTGTTTTATATCCTCATTGTGCTGTGTACACCCCCTCTTGCAGGGCACATCAATATTTTTGTAATTGTCTTTTGCCTGACTGTGTTATATTTATCTTCACATCCCAAGGACATAGATAATGTCTGCCACTTAACAGGTGCTCACACATGGTTTTCAAATAAATGAGTGAAACAAGGGGTGGAAGAAACAAAGGTAACAAACACAGGCAGCCAAATATTCACAGCTTGCTTATAAGAGCTCATTAGGGATGTTGTAGAAGTGAATTTGTTGGTAAAAATATTCAATTTAAAGGTCAATTTAAAGTATACATATGAGACAATGACTCACAGGGTTGATGCTGGAAATGAACTAGGTGTATCACTCAGTGTCAGTTAACTGCTATAACAAACAAACCCTCAAATCTAACGCCTTGACCTCAAAGAAGTTTGATTCTTGCTCATGCAAAACATAATGAGCATATTCTTGAATGGATGGTTCTGCTGCAAGCAGTGAATCAGGGACTAAGCTATTTCTATCTTGTGACTGTACTATCTTGGAAGTTCAAGGTTGCCTTGGTACCAGCCAGCTGGCTCTAGGGATGGCAAAGAGGGCATGAAATTTCACTTAGGTTCAAGGGGGTTAAAAAATGTAGTGGAAAGAAAATGAGGCAGCCGGGCGCGGTGGCTCACGCCTATAATCCCAGCACTTTGGGAGGCTGAGGCGGGTGGATCACAATGTCAGGAGTTCAAGACCAGCCTGGCCCAAATGGTGAAACCCCGTCTCTACTAAATATACAAAAATTAGCCGGGTGTGGTGGCGGGCACCTGTAATCCCAGCTACTCAGGAGGCTGAGGCAGGAGAATCACTTGAACCTGGGAGGTGGAGGTTGCGGTGAGCCGATATTGTGTCACTGCACTCCAGCCTGGGTGACAGAGTAAGACTCTGTCTCAAAAAAAAGAAAGAAAGAAAAAATGAGGCATTCTCATGACCACTATCCCTTCTGCACTGGGGAATCAAAAAAAAAAAAAAAAAAAAAAAGCGAGTGTGCATTTAAAGCAAACAGTAGCTCAATGGGAAATAATATTTGCATCTCTATTTTATCTAAAGTCTATTTTTAAAAGGCCTATAAAATCATAAAAGTCATGTGGCATTATTTTTCAACTTTGTAAATGGTTGCTTGGCACTCATTCAATTAGACAGGATAGTTTAACAGCAGTGATACTATCAGCATCATCATCACCATCATTGTCATCATCATCATGACCACATCTTCATTGAAGGCCTCATATGAGATATAGGTCACTGCATCAGGTAATGGAGTTTCAAGGAGGCATAAAGTCTTGAGGATCTTATCAAGTTGGGACGTCAGAGTAACTACATTCATAAGGTAAATCATAATGCAAGCCTGCATGTGCTTAATGCTAAATGACTGACAGTGATATTATGGAGAAATGGGCATCCCTGAGGTCAATGTGATGTACTCTCAGAAATATGAGTATTGACTACATCAGAGAATCATAGACTATAAAAACCATGAAGGCCTTTAGGGATGTAGGCCACCTCCTTCATTTTACAGGTGAGTATGGCAGCTTCTTTCAAAAGATTTCTCCTCCCCTCCTCATCTTATGTAAGACCTTCTACTGAACCTGAGCTGCCCCATCACTTCTTCATTACCCAGAGAATGTGGCAGAAATGATGTTGTACTGGTTCCACGTTTAAGAGACCAAAGCCTGGCAGTCTCTTAGAATTCACACTTTAGTGGACAGGCATGATGGCTCACACCTGTGATCCCAGCACTTTGGGAGGCCAAGGCAGGAGGTTTACTTGAGGCCAGGAGTTCAAGACCAGTCTGGTCAACAGCAAAATCCCATCTCTACATAAACTTTTTAAACAGTATGCAAGGTGTAGTGGCGTGGTGATGCATGCCTATAGTCTCAGCTGCAGTGAGCTATGATCCTGCTACTGCACTCCAGCCTGGGTGACAATGCAAGTCCCTATCTTAAAAAAAAAAAAAAAAAAGGCGAAAAAGCATTTACATTCTGGGGGAAGCTAGCATCATGTAAGAGGTCCATCACCTCTGAAATGACCATGCTTTGAGAAAGCCCAAGCTCGTCACACAGAGAGACTTTATAGAGAGTGGGATTCCTAGCCAGCTGTTAGCCATTCCAGTTCAGATGCCAGGCATGAGAGAGAAGTAGCAATCTCCGATGTGCAACTGAGTGAATCATTCTTATGACCCCAGCTACCGCCTCCACCTGATTCCAAGCACACAAGAGACACCAAATGAAAACTTCCCAGCTAAGTCCAGCCAACTCACAGAAACATGGTTGCTTTAAGCCACTGAGTTTTGGGGCAGTGTGTTACACAGCAGTAGATAACCAGAACAATGAGGAAACTGAGACCACAGAGGCTGAGTTCCCTTAGGGAGTACACTATTTTATGCAGAGCCAGGAATAGAGCCACATTCTGCGATTCCTAATCCAGTGTACTTGAGTCCAGGGCTTCTCAAATCTTAGTGGGCACCAGAACCACTTGGGGAAGTTGCTGAACACTCAGCTTCCTGGACTCCACCCTCAGATATTCTGATTAATAGGTCTGAGGTGGGAGTCTGAGAATTTTTATATCTAACAAGCTCCAAGGTGATGTTGATGCTGTCAGTCTGTTGACTAATTTTGAGTAGCCCTGCCTTACACCAGGCCTGAGCTAATCTCCCAGCACAGTTTAGACAAACGTTGGCATCTGCTGGTTTACTATTGTGCTTCTTGACAATTACCCGTTTGCTGCATTTCCAGGTAAATAATTGAAAAGCACGAAGTGACAGGTATTTTTCAGGATGCGCCCAGTTGCAGCTGAGACCAGTTTTAGCTCTTCCAGCTGTAGGCTGAAGAAACCCGTATGGTCTGTAAGCTAGCTACCCTTATCGGAGTTCTCCTGTCTGTAGGTATGACAGTGAGGGTTTCATAACCTTGTTACCAGAAGCAATTAGGGTGATCATCCAGATTTTCAGATCCATTTCCCATAGAGACACACGTTAGGAATCTCCCACAGTGAATTTAATTAGTGGGAAACACGGCTCAGCCAGCGACCTGCAGTGCAGATAACAGCCATGGCTGCCCAGAGATAGTGGCTCCCTTTTCTTAAAAAATGACAGGTTTCCTAAAAGGTGGTGATGAGTCCCAGCCAGACTTCAGGTGGGAATCTCTGTGCAGCCTGATTTCATGTAACCAAGCAACTCACACATCTTCCTTCTATTCAATTTAAAGAACTCACCTAGGCAGAGATGCGAGTGAGAAAGGATAACGGACTGCAAATGACAGCATTAGGCATTTCCCCAGTGTACCTGGGCTTATTTTGGCCACTGGTGTATTTCTGCAGATGTTCTGCATGTGATACAGTAGTCATATTTACTTCTGGAATTGTTATTGAAGGTTCTCTAATGAGTAATGTAGGATATCTAATAGCCCACATTAATGGCAGGGAAGCTGTGAATTTGCTTTAGTTTATCTCTGCATAAAAAGCCATAGGATTAGTCTGCTTGCATTATGTGCTGGAGTTTAAAGATGACCTTGTTAAGCATTAATGAAAGTCGTAGGCAAACATTTGTCAAGCATCAGTGGGTGAATAGACCCCTCTTAGGCAGAATATTCATGCCGTCCATTACAATAACTATTAGATACAATGCGAAGAATTGATCAAATATGCTCCTTGTAATATAATCCTATATGAGGATTAATGATTATATTAAGTACCAGATGGCATAATTTGGCATTGACTAAAGTTATTGGTAAACTGAGAATGTTTCATGTCCCCAGTGTTTCTGGTTTAGACTAATTGATGTATGTTCAAAATCTAGCTAGAGCTTTTACATTAATGGGGCCCTGTGGCTTACGGCAGGGGATCATGGCACTGTTACCTGGACTTCTGAGGAGTTCTTTATGAAAGGAGGGAGCTCTTGGGTCAGTTAGCGAATGCCTCTTGTTTTTAATTGTGATACCAATTCATACTACCACAAGCGGCAATGTTTGAAGAAACTCACCCCTTAATTATTCATCGTTTCCAAGGTGAAACAGTATTATTTTTCTCAGTGACTCTCACCATTAAAAGTCACAGCTATTTGTTTATTGACATTTATTTGATCACTACTGAAAAGATTTTTTTTTCTTGTGTTTATAGGGCCTTTGCTTCTCTTTCTCTTTTTCTAGTCTGTTTGTGAATGTTAACCAATTTTTCATTGATATTTTTGCTTTCCTTTTTATTGACTGGAAAGAAGTTGTATTTGCAAAAGATTGCTGAGCCTGGGTCCCTGAGTGACATCAGTAGCACAAATATTGAGGGTACTCAGGAGTGTCAGAAGCCATGTGGCCAGGCAAGTTGATTATATAAAGATGGTTGGGGAGCAAAGGTGGGTTTCTGTGGACCCCACTTAAGTGTTTGCATGGGGGTGGCTGGGTGGGAGTAAATGAAAAATATTTGTCAAAGCAGGACTAGCAAGCAACTCTAAATAAGTTGAAGTTTTTGGTAATGTATTGCTTTAATTTACATTCACTTTATAGTCCATGCACATGAGAATTATTTGGAAGAGGTTTAATTTTACTAGCTGCTGAATGCAGTAAGGTTGCTAGCAACAGAGCAGAAAGAGCTAGGCTGTTTGCTAATGCACTTGGGCTGTACTGTAACTACGCAAGGCAGTGCTAGTGGCGGTGGAGTCAATAAACATGCAGTTCTCTGGCTTTGAGGGTTATTTGTTTTACTGAGCCAATATGTTTTTTCTAGTTAACATTTTTCTGTAGTGTTTTCGCCTGTGTGTGAAAGGCTTGTAAATACACTTGAAGGTGCTGGGGAAGGAAAAGGTATTGCCAACTTCATATTGGTGGATTAAATTCACTGTATCTGCTTCTTTCCCCGTGAAACCCAAACATGCGGAGCTTGCATGTCTTTTGAGATATGGCAGAACTGAACTTAAAACCTGGGCTTTTTCGGGTGTGAGGACCCTTATCTTTAGTAGCCCCCAAATAACTCTTAAAATGGCCGGAAAATCTAATTTCTTCTTATTATGACCTACCCCAGTTTTGTCACATGTTTTATGTTTGGAGTCACATAAATACTCTGGCCATTTTAATCAGTGAAAAAACTATATTTGGTTAAGAGTTTAGTTTGTTACTACTGGGAAATTTGATTTATCTGTTTTAAGCAACCATCTGGAGTACGTTTATTCATATTACGTGTCATGCATATATTTATGCTGCAAGATCAAAAAACCTTAAATTACATCCTTTTGAAAGTTTATATGTTATATAATGACAATTGCCAACACCACAACGATGTGATTGCATGGCTTTCAAAAATGGAAACATTGTACAACAAAAAGATTACAATGTATAATGAACAAGTTCATTTGCTCAAATATAAATGTGTAGTGAATAATGAAATGCATGCACAATGAGCTGAGATGAATCTTCTGTCATTAGAAATGCAATTACAGTGTATTGAAATTTCCAAAGTCTAACAAAAGTAAATAGATATATGGTTATGCAGCCAAAACCAGATTCTATTCATTTGTGAAAGTTTTCCTTAATTATGCCATAAATATATCAAGTAACTTATACTTAATAAGGATTATGCAAAAATATTGATAATGTGTATATGTGCACATGTGTTATTTTTTTCAATCGAAGGAGTAGTGTTTATACAAATCTGCTCTGTGTATAATTTAGTGTTCCCAGGTAGCTTTTAGTCTCCTACTATTGTCACTTGACCTCACACCTTCATATCTTTCTGAGAGCACCATTGCCTTCCCTTATGCCTTACTCTCTTTCCAGCAAAATCATTTCACAGGAAAAGATCTGCAGAACACAGTCATGCAAAAGGATGACCTAATGGAATGCCAAGTTGGCATGCACATAGCATGGCAGATCCCTCCTGACATTGTACTCATACCAGCATGAACTGGAATACCAAGGTTGCCACTTAGTATTTGACCTTAGGTAACTACTAAACCTTCCTGAGTTTTCGTTTTATAAAACAGAATATCCCTAACATCTTCCTCTGGTTTTGGTGAGGATTAAATGATGTATTTTATGTATTGCTTTTGATAGAGGGTGTTGTTCATGAGTTAATAATATAATTTCCTTTCCTCTGCTCTAATGTTGGTTCATTTCTTTTGCATATTGCAATGTTGTCTTCTTGGCCAAGGTATTCATCTTCTCATGTCCCTTTCCCTGGTATCAAATAGGATGCTTCAGCTGCAAGTAACATAGTGTCCATCAAAGAGTAGATTAAATAGTGATTATATCACATAGCAACCAGCCTAGAGATAGGTGGTTCTAGAGGTGGGGCGGTGGCTCAACGGTGTCATCAAGGATCCTTCTTTCTGCTCCCCACCTTCACCATATTGGATTCTTCAGCTTTCCTTGTGGTTGCAAAATGGCTGCCACTGTTTCTGACATCATATGTAGCCATGACAACATCCAGCTGAAGAAGAATAGTGTTTCTTCCTTGCATCTGTTCCCAGGAGCATCTGCCTCATCCCAAAATCATGTGAAGTACTTACCTTAATCTATCCTTAGGTAGATAATACGTTGCATGTAGCTGAAACATCTTACCTGATCCATTTCAAGAGGGGCAGGCTCCAAATATTTACATTTGTCCATTTATTCTACATATATTTATTGAAAGCCTATTATGAGTAGGTGTCGGACTAGGTGCTGGAGGTTTAATGGGGAACAGGGAACAAGACAGTTCCTGCCTTCAGGGAGCTCATGGTCAAGTGACAGAGGCAGCTTTGCACAGACCACTTTACTCAATTCGGTTTAATTGAATTATTTCAGTCATAGTTCTATAGTGTGCTAGTGGTAAGCCTGGGGCGTCAAGCTCTGCATGGAAGGGTGGTTGTCAGGAAGTTTCAGTGATGATGGCTGTAGGATTTGCAAAGTTAGTGAAGGAAGAAGAGGGTAGAAGGTCATTCCAAGTTATAAGATAATAAATTCCACCATTGGCATTGTACTACATGCTTTACATATATCATTTGTAATCGTTACAGCAGCCAGGCAAGGAGGGTGACACTGCAAGGTCCTTTCCTCCATTTCACAGATCAGGTATCTGAGGCATGGGAGGTTAAGTGGTTTTTCCGAAGTCACATAGTAAGGGGAGGAGTTGGTATGGGAATTCAGGCCAGTTTGATGTGGAATATATGGTTTTTTTAGCTAATCGTCTTGTATTTTCATTGACCCCAGGGAGCCTCCTAAATTTGAAAATCAGGGATCAAGAAGGAGACATGGGAGACACATCACTGGGTTGGATAGAGAAGTGCTGTCATACGACTCAGTGTTCTTTTCACTACAAGCTTTCTGTGGACATGGTGGTTCTGCAAGGCAATAGTCTATACCTCCCTCACTAGTGATGCTACCCCTCAGAGCTAAGCCTGAGAAGAGTGCTAAAGAGATAATGCAGATCTTGCAAATCTTATATGAAGAGTCCAAGAAACCCCCCCTTAGTTTAGAATTGTGTGGTTATTTGATCAGAGTGTGAACCAGTTCAGAACCTCATGTACTGGAAAGCCCTACTATATTTGAACCTCGGTTTATCTCAGGGATATTCCATTGCATACTTATATATTTTTTCATTGTGTATCATTAGTTTCTCCCTTTAGGCAAATCATAGATTTTTGATTCAGACGTTTTAACCCTAGCTCCACAACTTGCTGTTTTTGAATTCTTAAGTTTGTTAAACTTTCCCAACGTCTCAGTTTCCATTATTTGTTAAAAGGGTCGCTATGGTTTGAATGTGTCCCCCAAAATGTATGTATTGGAAACTTGGTTCCCAATGCAGCAGAACTGGGAAGGGGTCCTTTGAGAGGGGTTTAAGTTCTGACAGCTTCCACCCTCATGAGTGTATTAATGTCAGGTATTGTGAGAGTGAGTTCCTTATAAAAAGACAAATTCAGCCCCCTCCCCTCTCTCTCTCTCTCTCTTTCTTTCTCTTTCTCTTTCCCTCCCACTATGTGAGCACACAGCAACAAGGCATCATTCTGGATGCAGAGAGAAGCCCTTCCCAGTCACTGACTCTGCTGGTGCCTTGATCTTGGACTTCCCAATCTCTAGAACCATGAGCCAAATAAATGTGTTTATTATAAATGATCCAGTTTGTGGTATTCTGTTATAAAAGCACAAAACAAAGACAAGGGTCTATTGGGAACATATTCTCAGTGTTATTCATAGAGTCAATGAGCTAATATAATGTTCTGGCATATCCATCTACCTTAAAGCCACCTGCGGATTTTAACCAGGGAGACTGGACATTTCCAAGTCTATTGGTTTAGCTAGCAGTGGAAGCTACACATCAGAACGGCCTGGGAGAATTTTCAGGACTCACCCCAGACAGATTAAATAAGAATTCTGGGGGAACACTAGTGTTTTTGTAATTATTCCCAGGTAACTATAGTGTGCATCCTGGACCAAGACCCACCAAGCTAGGCTATTGCTTCTCAAACTTTAATGAGCACACAAATATCCTGGGTTTCTGGTAAAAACTCAGATTTTGCTTCAGTAGGTCTGGGGCAAAGCCTGAGATTGCAGTTCTAACAAGTTCCAGTAAATGCTGATTCTGTTGGTCCATGGACCAGACACTGAGTACCAATAAGAACTAGGAAGTAAGAACTAGTAAGTCTTACTTCCTAGTTCTTAGGGATAGGAATATGTTTTGCCTCAAGGCTGGGACAGCTAAATAATTTTCCCAAGCCCTGGTGGCTCTCTCTTTTCTGGAATGAAAGCTTTAGGCAAGTGGACTGCATTGAAATGGACTACATATTTTTCCTCATCTATTTTCTCATATCACAAAGCCAGCATGGGATCATAGAGAATTTAGAGTTTCAGGCATGGAAGATCCTTAATAATTGTTGGATGAACTGAGATTCCTGCTGGATGGTTGAAGATGCTGAGGTGTTACTGGAGGCTGCTGAGGTAGCATCCCTGCTGAGATGCTACTGGAGGCTCAGATGCCATAGGATGTTACAAGTTATGTCTTGAAGATGCTGTCAACCTTTAGTGGAGCTTAACAACAGAGGGATCACTTAGGTCTCTGAAGACAGTGCATCTCAAATTTAATATGCATAGGCTGTGGGTAGAGTGGGGTTGGGGTGGCTTATTTCAACAGATCCCTACCCCCGAGTTTCTGATCAGTAGGTTTGGGTGGGGTCCCCAACATTTGCATTCTAACTAGCTTCCAGGTGATATTGCTGGTCTCAATGATACCTTGGGAAGAATCCTTTCTCAAAGCCAGCAAGGGGCCAGGTGTGGTGGCTCATGCCTGTAATCCCAGCACTTTGGGAGGCCGAGGGGGGCAGATCACGAGGTCAGGAGATTGAGACAATCCTGGCCAACATGGTGAAACCCTATCTCTACTAAAAATTCAAAAATTAGCTGGGTGTGTTGGTGCATGCTTGTAATCCCAGTTACTCAGGTGGCTGAGGCATGAGAATCGCTTGAACCCAGGAGGTGGAGGTTGCATTGAGCCAATATCACGCCACTGCACTCCAGCCTGGTGACACAGCGAGACTCCATCAAAAAAAAAAAAAAAAAAAAAAGGCCAGCAAGGAAACATTTAACTTGGAACTTCCCTGTAAACCATATGGACTGCTTCAAAGCAAAGACTCTCATGAGTCATTTCTCTCCTGGGAAAAGGTACACGGGTGAACCAGCCATGGGGTCGGGGATGGTTTTTCCCCCAGTCAGCCTCAGGAGTGAAATGGAGAGCAGAACTGAGGGTGACACTGCACAGTATTGGGGTGCAGGTGGGAGCCATGAAAGGAGCTTCCTGAACATCCTTTGCTATTTGAAGGAGTCGGCCAGGTGACAGGACACCTGATTTCCAGGCAGCAATGGTGCTACCCTCTCTTTGGAGGGCTGATTAGGCTACTCTTAGGTACAACTACTGAGCCTTCCTGCATCCTGGAAGATCCTTTTCTAGGAAGGTGGGTATATGAAGGAGGAGCATCTTTCCCTAGAACCTCCAAAGAGGCTCTGTGGCTGCTGTGATGTGAACATCTGCAGAATCACAACATTATCTTATCAGTAATTGAATTCAGCTTGTGCATCAGCCTCACATTAAAGACAACTCAGTCCCTTCTGATTTAAAATGTAACCTCTCTGTGGTCAATATTCAGATGATTCCGGCTTCCAGGCATTTCTTTCTGAGTTTAAGGCCATTCTACCTCTCTCTAGAGGTTCTTCCTCTCTATGCTTCCCAGAAGGGTGGCTGGATTCAGAAGATATACTTCTGCAATGAAAAGGGATCAAGTTATACTGATCGTTTAGACCTCACTGCCTTTTCCTAGGGGGTTCTAGGAAAACTCCCCCACCTCCATTCCCATCAGCTCTGGTTGCTGGATGTGCTCTGGCATCCACTGCTCATGTCTGTGATCCTGCCATGGCTTCCAGTTGTGATGTCTTCATCTGTCTTGTCTGGTGGATGGTAGGGTCCCAGTCCATTCTTTGGGACTTTTTGTTTTTAATTTTAATTTATTTATTTATTTTGAGATGGAGTCTTGTTCTGTTGCCCAGGCTGGAGTGCACAGATGCGATCTCAGCTCATTGCAGCCTCCGCCTTCTGGGTTCTAGCAATTATCCTGCCACAGCCTCCTGAGTAGCTGGGATTACAGGCGCCCACCACCACGCCTGGCTAATTTTTGTATTTTTAGTAGAGACAGGTTTTGTCATGTTGGCCAGGCTGGTCTCGAACTCCTGACCTCAGAGGATCCACCCGCCTCAGCCTCCCAAAGTGTTGGGATTACAGGCGTGAGCCATTATGCCTGGCCTTTGGGGCTTTTTGGATCTACCTGTGCTATGGGTAGCAGGAATGAGGTAAGCTGAGGTGGAAGCTCCTGACCGTTTTGCCTAAACAGAACTTGCCTATCATCCATGAGGCTGTCCTACAAACTGTGGGGTCTCCTAGAAGATTCTCCTCCCAGAGTTCCAAGCAGGAAGCCGAAAGCTGGGTGTCTCCTCTCTGCTAACAGATTCTCTCAGGTCCTCTCTACCAGCCGCAGTCCAGGAAGGCTCTTTTCAGTCCCCATGGCTCAGGAAATGCCCTGAGGTCACACCCTGTCCTGAATCTTTCCTACTCGATGGCTTTTGGTTAGCAAACAAACAAAAATATAAATATTCCTTTCTCTCTTTTGAACATGCTAGCTAAAAAAATTTTTTTTTAATTTCTGGTTTTGCAAACGAAAGCTTCAGTTTTCACAACTACTCTTTACTTCCTGAAACCAGATTCCAGAGACTTCTTTGGAATTAGGACCTTAGCTCGGAGTCCTTTGCTCTTCCCTGAATTTAGCTCCATCCCCAAGCAATGGTTGCCTCAGCTTCAGGGGTAGGAAAGTTGGCAGGAGATGACAGTGGAAAGAAATAGATATATATGGGATAAAATTCGAAACTACCACGCCACTTCACTCTCCAGGCCTGTGTGTCTGTATAGCTTCTGCTCTAACACCTCCACTTGGCTTCCTTTGCACTTTCTTCTCTTTTCACTCTCCTGCCTCCTCCACCTTTCCTTTTCTTCCCTAAGGTAGCCCTGGTAGTAGGGGCAATGGGATTGAGCAAGACAAATAAGTCAAAGATATTTCATCTTGTCTCTTCCAAATTCAAAGAAATAGCATTCTATTTTCCCCTCAATTGCTGATAGTACCTAAAAGTTCCTCTTTTTTATATTAATTTTTTTCAGCTAAAGCAAAAGTGAAAAATCAGGAGTTTACATTTTCTACAAAACATTTTTCTTAATGCGGTTTTAGCTGTCAAGCTTGTGAGACTGTTATTGTGACTTCAGTGCAGTCTATTTATGTTTAACGCTAGTGTATAATGTAGAAAAGCGTGCACACGTCGAAAATGACTCTCTGGAACTCAGCATATAGGTATGTTTAAAAGCTAATACCTATATACAGCCAGCAAGGAAGCTCTATTTCAGTGTACTAACAGCCATTTCTGAATGCATACAGGTCTGTCTGTATTGAAAATCTTTCCACCAGACAGCCAGAAAAATGCACTGCAAATTTAGAAGCAAACTATAAAAATGCAAGCAGCTGGCTGGAGCACAGTAAGGCTCAACAGAGGGACCTCATGAAACCACCAATGGTAATCGTTATTTAAAGAAACTGGCTTACTCTAAACAGCATATTGCGTTTGGATGTTTTCTAGGTGGCCAAAATTGTATGGACATAACAAGATCCTAGAAATTAGCTTTCTGGTAGGTTTCAGTGTGGGGATTATTTATGTTGATCCATTGTTTTGTATCTCCCACCCAGAATGCTTTTTATCCAATTGGCTCTTTTTTTAAAAAAAAAATTAGTTTTTGTTGTTTTATTGTTGTTGTTTTTGAAACAGGATCTGGCTCTGTCACTTAGACTACAGTGCAGTGGCACAATCTTGGCTCACTGCAACCTCCGCCTACTAGGCTCAAGCCATCTTCCCATGTTGGCCTCCCATGGGCCTACAGGTGAGCACCACCATGCTTGGCTAATTTTTGTATTATTATTATTATTATTATTATTATTTTAGTAGAGACGGGGCTTTACCATGTTTCCCAGGCTGGTCTCAAACTCCTGAGCTTAAGTGATTTGACCACCCCAGCCTCCCAAAGTGCTGGGATCACAGGCATGAGCTACTGCACCCAGCCAGTCATTGTTTTGATGAGAAGCAAAACCTCTATGTTAACCGTGTCTTCTATGTATTTAATGGGTACTCTTCCTATGTATAAAAAAGAGTAGAATGGTCAGAGGTTCTGGGATGCTGGTCAAGTTCTAGTCCTTGATCTGGATAGTGATTACATAGGTTACATTATTTTAAAATTTTGATTTGTCATTTTTCTCTTTGTATATTCTGTTTAATAAAACAGCTTTCTGTTCAACAAAACAGCTTTAGAAATTCAGAAAAATTGAAACACAGCTATAAAATCTTTGATATGGTTTACACGTAAGAGATCATTTTATAATTAACTTCAAAGGCAGGAAATCTCAGGGTAATTGGTAAGTGTATTGGTACATGAAATATTTGAGATGAAAGGAATTTAAGAGCAGTATAATCCACTCTCTTCTCTCTGCTAGTGAGAAAGAGGAGAACCAGAGAGTCAAGGGACTTATTCAAGAAATTCTGGCTAATGTATTGTGGAAGCAGAATTTCAATCCAGTGCCACATTTTCTACTATGCCATTCATGTAGGACCATGAGGAACCTGTACTGATAAAAACAAAAGCTATCATCTATTATGTATTTATTATTTATTATTTTTTGAGACAGGGTCTCGTTTTATCACCCAGGCTGAAATACAATGGCATAGTCACGCCTGAGTGCAGCCTCGGCCTCCTGGGTTCAAGCGATCCTCCCACCTTGGCCCCCTCAGTAGCTGGGACTACGGGCATGCCCAGCTATTTTTTTAAAGTTTTTGTAGAGGTGGGATCTCCCTATGTTGCTCAGGCTGGTCTTGAACTTCCTAGGCTGAAATGAGCCTCCCACCTTTGCTTCCTAAAGTGCTGGGATTATAGGCGTGAACCACCACACCCGCCAAAAGCTATAATTTATTGAGCACCAAACACTATATATGCATGATCTCATCTCATCCATAAAACACTCCTGTTGAGAGATAGGATTTTCATTCCCATTTTTCACATCAAGAAACTGAGGCTTCTCCAGGTAAGTGGCTTAGTCAAAGTCGCAGAGTGAGCAAGTGTCAGAGCTAGGATTGGAACCCACATCTCCCTGATTCTCGACTTTACCTTCATAACGTTCTCCTGTAGCGTGTTTTTTTTACAATTAAAATTTTGTGTTTGGATTTTGTTTATTTCCGTACTCAAGTTTTACTTTTTCCTTTTTGTGTGAAGCATTGAATAAGTAGGAAAAAGGGCAAGGTTTTTCAGGGAAGTATATAAATAACTAGAAAATTTGTTTCCATTCATTTCTTTTTTGTATACATATAAAAGATGTATAGTTCTGGCCGGGTGCTGTGGCTCACGCCTGTAATCTCAGCACTTTGGGAGGCCAAGGTGGGCGGATCACCTGAGGTCAGGAGTTCGAGACCAGCCTGGCCAACATGGAGAAACCATGTCTCTACTAAGAAATACAAAAATCAGCCGGGCGTGGTGGCAGGCGCCTATAATCCCAGCTACTCAGGAGGCTGAGGCAGGGAGAAGTGCTTGAACCCAGGAGGCGGAGGTTGTGGTAAGCCGAGATCACGCCACTGAACTCCAGCCTGGGTGACAGTACGAGACTCTGTCTCAAAATAAAATAAAATAATAAAAAAGTATACTTCTTTTTCTTTAGATATTAGAGCCAACATTATATCTGCTTACGTAGGGATTTCACCAAACTTCAGTACGTTTAACCATGATATTAAATCAGTGAGCACAGATGCTGCTACAAAGAACTTGTTCACGACATAAAGACCTCTTCTGTTCTTGAAATAGAACTTACAAGTTTCTGTAGCGGAGTAAAAGTAAACTGGGAGTGGCATCCCATCTTGATGTCATATCCTTTACGCACATCAGTTTAGGAAAGCAAGTCCTGTGCCTTGAGGGTGCCAGCCACCACCCTGCATGAAGCCAGGCACTTCTCTCCAGAATTATGAGCCTCGTCCAGTGCTCTGTGAATATAGGTACTTCCTGGGTGATTTTGCAAAGGCCTTGTGATGCGGTATATACTAAATGCTGGCATTACTGAGCTATAATGGCCGGAAGT
This sequence comes from Homo sapiens, assembly GCF_000001405.40. Classification (NCBI taxonomy): domain Eukaryota; kingdom Metazoa; phylum Chordata; class Mammalia; order Primates; family Hominidae; genus Homo; species Homo sapiens. Next base: position 12,040,668 of record NC_000020.11, read on the forward strand.
AATTTTCTCTCAGCATCGGGGACCACAGAGAACTTGTTTTGCGCCGGTTATTAGTCTACATTAGAAGAGAAATTTATTTGCTGGAGGAAAGTTATTAAAATACTCTAATTCAATATTTGTGTGAGAAATAATAAATTGGTAAGTTACAGGTGAACAAGAGCAGCGAACTCTTTTGTTTCTTCCTTCTGGGACCCACTGCAGATTTCCAGTGTTTACTGTGTTGCTGCTTCTTAGATGAATGATTTGTCTATTTGCTGTGGGATTAACTACACATGTTCTTGGCAAAGAAGGCAAAATGCAGCCAAAAGATCTTCCATCCTGCTGGAATATTGCCATTCATAGTGCCACCATTCATGTGTGTGTTTTATCTCCAAGTGATCAAAGCTCTGTTTTGTAGAGGACGGTCTTGATTTTTGATTTGTCAACAAAAAATAAAATATTATTATTGGAGCTACTGATGCTGATGCTTACCTTTTCCCTAACTAATCTCTTCACACAAGTAGTTTAACAGTTTATCAGGAAGCCTAAGATAAGTACACATTAATTGTATCTTGCCTTGATTTTCGCAATGAAATGCACCATAATTTTCTCATAGTCCTTTGAGAGTCTTTCTAGTGTGTTGTTTTCTTTTCTGCTTTTTTGCCCCTAAAGAAATTCTCCAATGTGCAAATTTCTTTTCTTTGGGCTGTACATGTTCTCCTTCAGTGATCTCATTGGCTGTCTAGCCCAGTGCCTCTCAAACTTCAGTGCATGTGGAATCACCTGGAGACTCTGTTAAAATTCAGATTGTGGGCTTCATTTCAGAGACTCTGATTCAGTGGGTCTGGGATAGAGCTGAAAAAGTGAATTTCTCATATTCTTCCAGATGATGCTACTGGTCAGTGGCAGCATGTGGAGTGGCACTGCTCTAACCCAGATGATCATTACTAGGTAAATAATATCAACTTATAGGTCTTTCTCCAGAGTTTCAAACTGATGATTTATTTTTTATTTTGTTTTTTAAACATTTTATTTTTATTTTGTTATTTAAACATTTATTTTAGGTTTCAGGGGTACATGTGTAGGTTTGTTATATAGGTAAACTCATGTCATGGGAGTTTGATGTATAGGTTATTTTGTCACCCAGGTACTAAGCCTAGTACCCAGTAGTTATTTTTCTCTGCTCCTCTCCCTCCACCCTCTTTAGGCCCCAGTCTCTATTGTTCCCTTCTATGTGCCCATGTGTTCTCATTATTTAGCTCCCACTTATAAGTGAGAACATGCGATATTTGGTTTTCTGTTCCGAGATTAGTTTGCTAAGGATAATGGCCTCCAGCTCCATTCCTGCTCCTACAAAGGATATTATGTCTTTTTTTTTATGGCTGCATAGTATTCTGTGGTGTATATGTACCACGTTTTCTTTATCCAATCTACAATTGATGGGCATTTAGGTTGATTCCATGTCTTTGCTATTGTGAATAGTGCTGCAGTGAACATACGTGTGCATATGTCTTTATGGTAGAATGATTTATATTCCTTTGGGTATATACCCAGTAATGGGATTGCTAGGTCAAATGGTGGTTGTTTTTAGCTCTTTGAGAAATTGCCACTCTGCTTTTCACAATGCTTGAACTAATTTATACTCCCACCAATAGTGTATAAGCATTCCCTTTTCTCCACAACCTTGCTAGCATCTGTTATTTTTTTGACTTTTTAATAATAGCCATTCTTTCTGACTGGTGTGAGATGGTATCTCATTGTGGTTTTGATTTGCATTTCTCTAATCATCAGCGATGTTGAGCTTTTTTTCATATACTTGTTGATTGCATGTATGTCGTCTTTTGAAAAGTGTCTGTTCATGTCCTTTGCCCACTTTTTAATGGGGTTGTTTTTTCTTGTTAATTTGTTTGTTAGAGATGCTGGATATTAGACCTTTGTCAAATGTGTAGTTTGCAAATATTTTCTCCCATTCTGTAGATTGTCTGTTGATAGTTTCTTTTGCTGTGCAGAAGGTCTTTGGTTTAATTAGTTCCCATTTATTAATGTTTGCTTTGTTGCAATTGCTTTTAAAACTAATATTTTAAACTCCCTAGAGGGCTGTATGGGCTGACCTGTCAGGGTCTCATAAGTAAGATGGCCCTTATCATTACCATCCAGTGATTGCTTTCCTGTGCTTACTAACAGTGCCTCCTTTATCCCAGGTATCCAAACTTGAGACTTCAAAGTCTACTTGCCCAACTCTCTTATTCTTTTGCTTTTGCTCTGTTGGGTACCAAATCCAGCAGAACCCACCATATCAATGACCGCCATAGATACTCCACTGCCACAAACACTCCTGTAGCTCTGGAAGTCTTCTCCCATGTTTTCTGTTTATAGGGACCAAGGAAAAAATCTCCTCTTTACTCTCTGAAGTTTTACTAAAAATCAATGCACAAGAGGCAGATTAACAGGAGAAAAGGCATACAACATTTATTAATATGCACACCTGTACACAAGAGTCATAGAAAATATGAAAACTCAAAGAAAGTTCAAGATGGTTGATGCTTTCATATCATCGTGAGGTTACAGAAAGAACAGAGGCTTGGGGAATGGCAAGGCAGTTTATGGGAAAGAGAGAAAAAGGCATCAGGCAAAGGTGGTCACAGGTAGCAGCTCTCAGAAAGAATAAATGGTAGCCTGTGGTTGGTTAATTTTTTCTACATCCAGATAAAGGTAAGGGCCTCAGAGAAAAGCCTGGCTATTTATTTCACTAATGTAGATTTTTCTTTTTTTGAGATGGAGTCTTGCTCTGTCACCCAGGCTGGAGTGCAGTCGTGAGATCTCAGCTCACTGCAATCTCCGCCTCCCAGGTTCAAGTGATTCTCCTGTCTCAGCTTCCTGAGTAGCTGGGACTACAGGCACACACCACCACACTGGATTCTTTTTGTATTTTTAGTAGAGACAGGGTTTCACCATATTGGTATGGCTGGTCTCGAACTCCTGACCTCAGGTGATCCACCCACCTTGGCCTTCCAAAGTGCTGGGGTTACAGGAATGAGCCACTGTGCCTGGCCGATTTTTCTTTATAGTTGAAAATCTCCTCCATAAAAGGCAGTTTTTCAGGGCTATTCCTGTCTGCAGGCCCTCTGAATAGCCATCCCAAAATATGTCAAAGAAGTGTATTTTTGGGTGAAACATTTTTGGTTTCCTTCATCTACTTATACTCCCTGATTTAGCTACAACTACACCAAGCACTAAAATAGCTTTGTGTCTTTAAAGGTGCCGCTTCCTCAGCCTGTAACAACTGTTTGCTTCTTTTTCACTGTGATATGGCTACAAACTTATGGGGTCATGCAGGGATGGAGAGCAGGTTATATTATTTTTAGAGATCTGACAATTCTGATTTATAAAGAAAACCTTAAATAATCTAGTTCAATTTAGATAGGAAATTCCTGGGGTAAGTTGGGGTAAGGATATATGTCTTCCTTTATTTCCTCGGCTCTATCCAACGGCTTGTGGGATCCATTTGCCTCCATATTGACTGAATACAAATGGAACCACAACCTACTTAGAAATACTGGTCTTTCTTATATTGTATGTCTTCCCTCACACTCCCCCACATCCCCTCTTCTCGAGGAATAAACTATTCTCAATAATTATGATCACTCTATTTTTCATGTAAAATTTTTGGCTGTAAGTCTAATAGGAAGCCTGAGACATTTTGGGGACATTTATTTAGTTAATGAGGACATATGTCAGAGTACCTGAAATGGAAACTGACCCATACAACCAACAGTCATAAATATTTTAGATTTTCAAAGTGTTTTTTTTTTTTTTGCGTGACAGATTTTTGAAGTTTGCTGAAAGCCTTTCAAAAGTATATTACCCATTTCTATGCGTTATTAAACAAAGATTGCCAGCTAACCCTGTCTTTTCTTGATGATTCACAACCATAATCGCAAATGTCACTTTTTATGTCATGCAGTGTTTTTCCCTTTGATCTCCAATTTCCAGTTATGGCTTTATTGGTGACTGGCTAGTCTCCTGAAGCTCTCCTGCCTTTAATAATGTGTTGATTTTAATCTGCGGGGAGCTGGCAAGATAGATAACCAAGGACGTATCAAAAATATGCAAAAGATGTCAATAGGCTGAGAGTGGTGAACTGAGGGCTCATCTATTAAACTGGCATTTGTGCTTTGCCACAGCCATTTCAACAACCCAGAGTGCCTTTTTTTTTTTTTTTTAACACGGGTTCTTTCTCTGTCACCCAGGCTGGAGTGCAGTGGTGGTATCCTACTGCGGTGGCGGGATCCTGGCTCACCGTAGCCTCAACCTCCTGAGCTCAGGTCATCCTCCAACCTCAGCCTCCTGGGTAGCTGTGACTACAGGCAGATGCCAACAGGCCCAGCTAATTTTTTTTTTTTTTTTGAGATATGTGGTTTCACCAATTTGCCCAGGTTAGTTTTAAGCTCCTGGGCTCAAGCAATCCACTAGCCTAGGCTCCCCAAATTGTTGGGATTACAGACATGAGCCACCACACTCAGCCTGACTTTCTAAAAATTATTTCTTTCTCTTTCTCTTTCTTTCCTCCCCTCCTCTTCCCTCCCCTCCTAAGCCCTCCCCTCCCCTCCTCACCCCTCCCCTCCCTTCCCCTTCCCTCCTCACCCCTTCCCTCCTCACCCCTTCCCTCCTCACCCCTTCCCTCCTCACCCCTCCCCTCCTCACCCCTCCCCTCCTCTCCCCTCCCCTCCTGCCCCCTCCCCTCCCCTCCTCTCCCCTCCTGCCCCCTCTCCTCCCCTCCTGCCCCCTCCCCTCCTCTCCCCTCCTCTCCCCTCCTGCCCCCTCCCCTCCCCTCCCCTCCCCTCCCGTCCTCTCCCCTCCTCTCCTTTTTTTTTTTTTTTGTAAAGTAACTTTGGATTGCTCAGCTATGTCTGCTGTTTTCTAGACAGTTGTTTCCCCGTGAAGGCCTGACCTTCAGATGAATGGAGTGCAACTCTGTTACATTTTCACTATTTCATTAATGTAATTCGTCTCCCTTTCTGAGACATACATTTAAATCCAAGGGGAGGATGCTCACTGGAGTTTAATTGCCATCGTTTAATATCTCTGGAATGAAAATTCTGGCAGTGAAGAATTCAAAGCCTCCATTTTAGACTTTGGTCACATTTGTATATATTTTGTTTCTTGCAAAAAGTTCAAATTTTAAATCGTTTTGCATCATGTGGATTTAGAGTACATGGTATAGAGATGGCCTTTACACTGGTTGAATAAACCATGTTAATTACAGAAGATTTTAAATTTAATTGGGAAGGAGAAAAGAGAGGTATTATAATATTGGAATAAACCTGTAGCATTTACTACCAATCTCTACTGCTGTTTACATTTTATATTGACAAACTTAACTTGCTGAAGGCTAAAAATTGATTTGTCCTGCCCCATTTCCATTATAGTTAAAGTCATTATGTGAAACAACAGAAGCTTTTATAAAGGGGGGAACTTGTGTCTATCTTTACAATTAACTAGGAAACTGGCATTAAAGAATATCAGTCTACTGGCTCTCTAGTGTAGAGAACCTAATTGCTAAAAATGTGCTATTCCAAAATGGCAAGTCCCAACCACTTTGTTAACATTTTCTGTGCTTTGACAGTTAGGTTAGATTGCATATCCTTTGCACTATGAAATGTTAAGTATGACTCTAGACTCTTTCTTTTAGATAATCAGTTGATACATGTCAATTGAACAAAGTACTATGGAATATTAAATTATAAGAAAGATACGGTCTGTCTCCATGAAGGCCTGCTATTTAGCTAGAGACAAGATATTTGAGTAAAATAAATGGTGAAGGCAGGTGTTGTGCATAAAGATAGCATATAAGGACTTCTTTAAGGGCTAAATTGCTTGAGTAGATGTTACATGAAGAAATGGGTGAAGGAGATCAATGTGGGCTGGAGTTGGGGAGAAGGTTTCCAGGAGAAAATAGGTCTCAATTTTGACTTTGAGTGCTTTGTAGAAAGGAGTAGAGCATTAAGGCTGAGACAGTTCACTAGGGTCCTGCTTAAGATGGAGGTTATCTGGTGTTCATGAAGTCAGAAGAAGGGTTAGTAGAAAAAGACCTTTAAGATGCTGAAGAATGGTAGTGCTACAACAATCCCTGTGCTTTGTAAAGACAGAAGTTAGAATGTGCATAAGTGATTAACATTGCTGTGGAGGAGGACTGCCTCTTCCTGAGAGCCAGTGGGAAAGAAGAAAGGATAGGTACAGAGAAATGTTGAGGGAACTTCTGATGGATGGTTAGAGACCTTTCAGGAAAGCAGATTTTCTTAGGTTGTGTTCCTAGAAGTTGAGCCTACTATGAAGATTCCAGTACAAGTTAGTCATTGAAGAAGAGCTTCAGGAGAAAGAGGAGTGAGGCTGGATAGGGTAAGAAAGAAGAGAGCAAATAAAAGGCCTTCCAATAATGTTGAGCCTCCACCTGACCCTATGTGGAGCTCTGGAGTATGAATGGCACCAGAGGGTTGTTCTGCCTTGAGAAAAATGGGCCAGGTATTTGCATTTGCACCCTGTTTCCATTAGTGATTACCCAGCTGCAACCTCCCAGGTGCAGTCATGTACCACATAAGGAGGTTTGGGTCAACAGTGGACAGTGAGCTGAGAAATTGACGTTGCCTGGTGACTTTGCAGCCCTCATAGTGCAACGCATTACTCACGTGTTTGCAGTGATGTACCCAAACCTACTGCAGTGCCAATTGTGCATAAGAGTCTAGAAATACAATTATGTATATTACATAGTACTTGATAATGGTGATAAATTACTATGTTACTGGTTTCTGTATTTACTATACTATACTTTTTATCATTATTTTAGAGTGTACTCCTTCTACTTATGATAAAAAGTTAACTGTAAAATAGCCTCAGCCAGATCCTTCAAGAGGTATTCTAGAAGCCATAGTTATCAAGGAGATGACAGCTCCATGCATGCATTGCCCCTAAAGACCTCCCAGTGGACAAAATAAACATACTGATAGTGCCGACTCTGTGTAAGCCTAGGCTAATGTGTGCTTTGTGTCTTAGTTTTTAACAAAAATGTTTAAAAAGTAAAAATATTAAAAATAAAAATATTAAATGTAGAGGAAGCCTTATAGAATAGGGACATAAAGGAATAAAATATTTTTGTATATTTGTACAATGTGTTTACATTTTAAGCTAAGCATTATTACAAGAGTCAAAAAGCTAAAACAATTAAAAAGTTTATAAGATAAAAAAATTATAGTAAGCTGAGTTTATTATTGAAGAAAGAATATTTTTAATAAATATATAGACTGTGTAAAATGTTTATAAAGTTCACAGTAGTGTACAGGAAATGTCCTAGGCCTTCACATTCACTTACCACTCACTCACTGACTCACTCAAAGCAACTCCCAGCCCTGAAAGATTCATTCATGGTGACTGGCCTATACAGATGTACCCTTTTTCAATCTTTTATACTGTATTTTTACTGTACCTTTTCTATGTTTAGATATGCAAATATTTACCATTGTGCTACAATTGCCTACAGTGTCCAGTATAGTAACAAGCTGTACAGGCTTGTATTTCAGGAGCAATAGGCTATGCCATATAGCCTAGGTGTGTAGCAGGCCATGGCATCTAGGTTTGTGTAAGTGCACTCTGTGATGTTCACACAATGATGAAATCACTCAACAGTGCATTTTTCAGAAAGTGTCCTGTTCATTAAGCGATGTGTGACTGTATTTCCAGGCAGGTGGCTTCTGTCTGATGAAGGTAAGTCATTGGCAAAGAGGGCAGGTGTGAACCATTGGCAGCCAACAGTTACAGCAGCCTGGGGAGGGATACACTTGTCCAGGAAAGAGAATCTGAGTGCACCAAGGAATCTACTGGACAGACCTTCTTACTATCTCTCAAAAAAATACTTTTTAGAAAATCCCTCTTCTCCCTATTTTGCCACTGTGTCCAAGAGCAATTCTCTGACATATACTTAAATAGAAAGTAAAAACAGCATAATATCTTAAACTGCCCCCAACCCCAACCATGATCTACTGCTCATATCCCTTTTGTGCCAGGTTTTGACAAAGTCACAGCCGAAACTAAGTAGCAAAAGGGCTTATATCGGCCAGCAACCAAAAGGAAGGTAGAGGGACCCTCAGGGGACAAGCTCTCTCATCCACCCCATAAGTCATAGCCTTGCAGATTGGCTTTTGAGTCAGAAATCACTATCTTATTTCCTAGAGAAACTGATGGGCAATTAGGGAATTGTTTTGCATGCAGGAAGACAGATTCATCTTGTTCTTCTCAGTGATGTGTATGTAAAAGCAAACATACCTTACTATCGTCTACACCTAAGACAACAAATGCCCCACTTACCTAGAATTTTAATACTTGGAGGAGTCGGGGGAATTTCTAGTCCAGGAGGTTTTTCACTCTGGCCGCACATAAGAATCACCTGGGAAACTTAAACAGAATAAAACAGTACCCAGGTGGTTAAATAGAATCTTGGGGTAGGGAGGAAATGGGGCAGGCATTAATATATTTAAAAACTCCTAGGATGTTGTGATGTACAGCCAGGATTTACTCTGTATCGGTTAACTGTTGTTATGCAAAAAAATCACCCAAATCTCAGTGGATTAAAACACAGGCATTTATTATTACTCATGAGGCTGAAGGTCAGCTGGATAGTGTTTCAGGTCTGGGCTGGGCTTACTCATGCATCTGAGTTCAGCTGTAGATTAGATAGATGGATGGTCAGCGTGGACTGGAGAGATCTTGGCTAGGTTCTCACAGCTGGTTGCTAATTGATCTAGGTGAGATACTAGATCTGGAGAGACTCTGCTTCATGGGATCTCTCAACCTCCAGGTTAGCCCAGCATGAGGTTCCAAGAGATAGAAGTACACAACGTCTCTTAAGTCCTAGGCTTAGAACTGGCGTCTTCACTTCCATCATATTTTGTTGATCAGAGCAAGTCAAAAGGCTAGCCCAGAGTCAGAGAAGGAAGAGACGCCAAAGTCAGAGGGCCAATGGCATTGCTAGAGGGAGGCCAATAATTAAGGCCAACGGTGCAATCAATGGATCACTTAAACCTAACCATTAACTTTATGGTTATCAAAAGTGATTAATTTAAAATGTAGACATTTCATTCACAACTCAGTTCATTGTCTCCCCACACTGCTCCATACACACTCCTCCATTATGGGAAATACTTAAAATTTGACCTATAGCCATGGCATGGACACCAGTATATAGACTATGTAAATATCTGTATCTTTAAAAGTCTAATTCACTTTTATTATGTTTGTGCTCTGGTCTCAATGTACGGAGAGTAGATCCACAGATAGACAAAGTGAAAGTAGACACTTAAAATTTATTTTCTGAAGTATTAACTATAGAGTGTTAATGTGAAATATTAACAGGTGGAGTATGTCCTGGGAACGTGATTATGCATGTTTACTCTCTCATATTTGACAACCCATATGAGAAGAGCCTTACTGTATTTCAGTGGGTTTGCTCACCTGAAGAGGCATTGCTCTGAGGAGGATGGAAGGATAAGGGGTGAGTGTTCCCTAGAATGTCTTCAATCTGCACATAAACACGTCGAAAGAGAGTTTACAGCAACCATCCACTTTCCCACTATTTCTCAAAGTAAATATTATATTAAAGATGTTGTTTTGGCCAGGTGCGGTGGCTCACGCCTGTAATCCCAGCACTTTGGGACGCCAAGGCGGGTGGAACACGAGGTCAGGAGTTCAAGACCAGCCTGGCCAAGATGCTGAAACCCTGTCTCTACTAAAAAATACAAAAATTAGCTGGGCGTGGTGGTGGGCACCTGTAATTCCAGCTACTCAGGAGGCTGAGGCAGAGAATTGCTTGAACCTGGGAGGCAGAAGTTGCAGTGAGCCGAGATCACATCACTGCACTCCAGCCTGGGCGACAGAGCTAGACTCCATCTCAAAACAACAACAATAACAACAACAAAAAGATGTTTTTCCATAAATGATGCCTCTACCATCTGACCCTATTTCTCCTACATAAGGCCCACAGAGGGCCTAAACTCTGGCTTGACTGGGGTTGTCATGCCTGGCCCTTCATATGTGCTCTCGTGTTCCTCCCTCTTACTCCACCCTCTGAGGATGATCTCCTCTCCTCTCTGATTTTTCAAGTCCTACTGTATCCTCATGAAAATGATCAAATGTTTTTGGGTCTCCGGAGACTATTTTGGCCACATTAACCCTTCTGTGTGCTGAACAACTGCATAATGTATCTGACCCTGTTGACACCATTCTGTTGGAAACAGTTGCCTGGCTTTTCTTTAGATATGTAAAGTTGCCTCGTCTGCTGGGCCTGTGAGTGTGGCGGCTTGAGCCAGTTTCGCTATTTTGAGTGTTCACCTATTGCTGGACACAGTTACTATAGGGTCAGCTCCATGAGGCCAGGGGATTCATCTGCTTTCCTCACTACTGTATCTGCAGCATGTCGCCCATAGAAGATGCTCCATAACCTCTATAACTATTTAATATATTGGCATTTCAGCAATAAGAAAGAACAAACAATTTAATATTTCAAGGGTGTTTGGAATCCACCATATGTACATTTATCTATTTAAAATTAGCCCTGTTATGCAGAAGGCAATTTGCTAGACATTGGGAAGTTAAGAGAAAGCAAGACATAGTCCTACCATCAAATGCCTAAGGCTTGTTTGGGAAGTCCGCTACCGTCATTACTGAGTGACTTCTCCACGCCAGGTGCTGACGTTGGTGATGTGAGTAACTGGCTCATGCTATCAGCAACTGCAGTAAACAGTGTTAAAAGCCCCCGGTCCTAGGACATAACCTGTGTGATTATTGGCCCCCAGACAGCTGAGGGTCTTGGGTAAGTTATATAACCATTCTGAGGCTTAGTGTCCTCATCTATAAAATGAGAAGACCTCAAGGGAACCCTCTAGTTTTTACTTTCTCTGACTGCATTCTCTTAAGAAAGGCTTAGCATCTCTCTGATGAAATCACATGACTTCAATTCTAGGAAAACAAACCCAAAACCTGAAAGCAAGCCATTATTCTATTTGTCCAGCATTCCTTTCAGAGCCTGAACGACCCTCTTTCATGTCAACGCACTTGAGAATGTTGAGGTTTCAAGGCTACTCTACATGACATTTACCAGAAACGATATTCAGCACATTGCCACCCTATCTATGATCTGGAGTTTGTTAAAACAAAACAACAAAACAAGAACAGAAGTGTTTATTACTTCCTAACTGGCTTAGTCTAAAGGATATTTCATCAAATCCTGTTGCTAATCCACCTACCCAAATGTTCTCTTTAAATCTGCCCAGGGACACAATGTAACATTTGGAAATGTATCACTGTTTGTAGTTCCCTCAAAGTGAAAAACTGAGTGGTGAAATACTTGTTCTGGGTAATGCTAGACCTCCATCCCAAACCCCTGGAGTTGTCCCCAGGGGCAATTGGACATGACCCTAACCTTCTGTGACTCTGAGGAGCAGGGAAGAGCACAGCAGCCCGTTCACCTCTAGACTCACCGTCAATGCCATCATTGCTGGGGTTCCCCTTGCCCTCTTATCTGGAGGCTATCCAGTTTTATGAACTCCCAAAATGAACACCTTTATAAACTTAGCTCCAAGTGGGGGGGCTGATACTGCACCTCACATGGATGTGTTAACCTGTTTAAAACCTTGGCAATGATGGATTCTTTTAATGTTCATCTTTCTGAGCCTCTCAGCATTGAAAAACACTTTGTTTCTGGGACTGCATTTGCCTGTCCTCCCACACAATGAAGCAAATGTCTCTGTGACAGATGGGCCATGCTGTAGTCCTTAAAAGTCAGCAAACTAGAGGCTTCTCAAGCCACAGGGAAATTGAAGTCCAAAGCCTACACGGAAAGCCCCCTTTCTCTCACCCCATTTGGGCATTCACAGGTCTACAGTGGCTGAAACGTAAATAGGCAGGATGCTGAGAAATCTCCGTAACCCAGGTAGCCAGCGTGCTCTTGGGATCCTTAGTGCTTACTGTAGAGGAAAATATTAGTTTTGTGACAGGGAAAGGGCTGGTCAGATCGGTGTGTGAGTTTGTCACCGTGAGTACAAAATGGTGCTCATGGGAGGTAGAAGGAAGACTCCCTCTATTGGAAAAAACTTCTGCCCAAGGGTGTTTAAGGACTTGTTGCCCCTGGATGCTGCCCTCTTAATGATGCCCAGGACCTGGAGTTGAGCAGCATTTAACTGTTGGTCTAGTGACTTTGCCATTAGAGTGAAAGCCAAAGTATTTCTGATGGCCTGTAAAGCCCTCCAGGATCTGGCCTTCTCCTCTCCTCCCACTGTCTCTTAACCTAGCTCCTTCTAGCCACAGCATCTTCTTTGCTTGTTTTAATTACCTAGTGCTATGACCACCCCCAAGACATGGTGGTTTAAAACAACAGCAATCATTTATTTTGCTCACAACTCTGCCATTTGATCAGAGGTCCCTCATTGCTGCTGTACATGGTGTCAGCTGAGGGGACTCAACTGGAGGCTGGAGGATCTGCTTAAGAGTTGGCTCATTCACATGGCGGCAGGCTGTGAGCCGGAGGCTCAGCCCAATCCCTCTCCATGTGGCCTCTGTGCAGCCTAGGCTTCCTCACAGCATGGAGGCTGTGTCCCAAAGGTGAGTCTTCCAAGAAAGAGATTCGCACACAAGCTCTACTGCCTTTGACAACCTAGCCTGGAAGTCACATAGCATCCCTTCTGTCATACTTGCCATTCTCTACCAGTCTGGGCAATCCCAAAGGCCTATCCAGGTTCCAGGACAGGGGACATGGACTTCACCTCTTGATGGGGTGGGGGATGGCAAGGCTCTAAAGGTCACATGGGATGGAAAATGTGGTGGCTATTTTAGGAATGTAAAACCTGTGGCTGCAGCTCTTACCTCAGACATGTTTCCTGCCAGTGCTTCCTCTTTGTCTAGGGTTGCATGTGACTCACTCCTCATTTCCTTTACATCTTTACCCAAATATTTTCTTCTCTGCAAGGTCTTCCCTGGACAAAAACTAAAACCCATTCTGCTTCCTAACCCCTTTCAGCACTATCTACATATTGTACATTTTACTCATTTATTCTGGTTTTTACTGTGTCCTCCATGAAATTACAAATTTCCATGAAGGTAAGGGCTTTTGTCTGTTTTATTCATTGCTTATTTATTTATTTTTGAGATGGAGTTTTGTCCTTTTGCCCAGGCTGGAGTGCAATAGCACGATCTCAGCTGACTACAACCTCCGCCTCCCGGGTTCAAGTAATTCTCCTGCCTCAGCTTCCAGAGTAGCTGGATTACAGGCACCCGCCACCACGCCCAGCTAATTTTTGTATTTTTAGTAGAGATGGGGTTTCACCATGTTGGCCAGGCTGGTCTTGAACTCCTGATCTCAGGTGATCTGCCCTCCTTGGCCTCCCAAAGTGCTGGGATTACAGGCTTGAGCCACCGCGCCTGGCCTGTTCATTGCCCTTTTCCCAGAGCCAGGAGAGTGTCTGGCACATACTGGGGGCTCAATCAATACTTGCCTCAGTGAGTTAATGAACTTCTGCCCTCATAAGACAAGAAACAGTAGCGGCCATTTTCCACATTTTCTTTGGTCCTTGGGTGCCTACCACACTGCCAGGTACGTAGACCCTATAAGATTATTTAATTAGTGATTCACTAAATATAGCAGTTTGAAACGACAGCAATCATTTCTCAATCTGAAAAAATAATAGGCCAGCAGCGTTCCATTCACAGTCACTTATTCGTAATGCATCCCCCTGCCCCATCTACAAAGTTACAGTGCTAGCCAATACGGACACTATTAAATTCTGCTCTAGAAGTGCTTCTCCTGCTTCTGATTAGAGCCAGGAAGTTAGAAGAACAGACAGAAGAAAATCACACAGGATGCCCAGGAGACAAGACACAATTCTGGCAGCAAACCTGTGGGTGTCCGCTTGATGTTCCTGCCATTGTCTATTGTCTGAAGGGGTTGACCTGTAAGTCAATGGGAAGGTGGCTTTCCCCCAGTCTGGTTCAATGTTCACAATTCCAGTAATAAATATCTTGGAAAATGGGAAGAAAGCAGGAAGACAATTACTTCAAATATTATTGTGCAATCGATGGGGTAATTTTGCTCTCCTTGAGGAACGACCTTTCTTATTTCAGCATCGTTCTTTAAACAGGGAGTCACCACCTTGTGCTTGTTAGCACATTCTCCGAAGGTGTTTGGAGTACAGTAGTGACATTTCAAAATGGATTAATCAAGGATGCTCTAAATTGGAGGTGTTCTTGAATTTCATTTAAATATGATTTACTAAAGAACCCAAGTTGGAATCAGGCTGGAATGCCCTGGGTGCCATCATCATCCTAGTCTGTTCTGAGATGGACTTATGATGACATTTCAACGTATTTAGCATTTGACAAAGTTTTTCCCCAGCAAAAGTAAAGGGAAATAAGAACCACGGCCTTGCCAAACAGCTTTAACTTGGTGTACACGGTTACAGGAGCGACCCGGATGTACTCCTTGCGTCAATTTAGCATGCAGAGTCACCATCACGCTCCTCTACAAGGGCACTGAATCTGGGACTGCCTGGAGACAGGCAGAGTGTGGCCATTTCTCCATGTCTAGGGAGTGTACGGGGCAAAGGAGATCCTAAGGCCCTGCCTGGGTTGCTTCCTCCTCAAGCAGAGGTTACAAGAATGAAGGGACTTGGCATGCTTTCAAGTTCATCCAAGACTATGTAAAAAGAATATAAACCATTAATGTAATTTATGGGCAGAAGCACTTTGAATATAAATGAAGCAACCAATGGCCCTTTTGATTGGCATTTATATCTCCTTTTATAGAGATCACATAGAGTAGTGTTATAATTCTTGACAGTTTTGATTGTAAAATATATGGGACTTTAAGCTCCCTGGAAGAAAGCAGAGATGATTAATATTAATAATAGCTAAGTACACAACAGATATGAGTAATATGTTTTATATTTATATATATCTATTGTTTTAACTCATTGGAAAACACTATATGCTTTATTATTAGGAATGTAGTAATAATAAGACTATGTTATCTAGGTCACATAAAAGAAGATGTTCAAGCTAATCTCTAAATCCTATTAATTTCTTTACTTACATTAAAAAAAAAATAGTCAATTGGCTCTACTATTCAAACTAATGTATTCAAAACAATGTGCCTTATTAAAGGTATAGATCAAAATTCAAATAACTTGGTTCAAATACAGTCAGTCCCAGAGTCATTCGGAAGTGTCAAGGAAGAATGCAGAGCTCTAAAAAAAAAAAAATAAAATATAAGAGATCAAGAAAATCAAAGTATATTCATATTAGAGCAGTTAGGGTTTTTTTTTTTCTATATGCAGGATGCTGAGTGAAGCAACTCTGGGCTCTGTCAGCAAAAATACGGTTTTAATAAGAGTGTATATTGTTATGGGGGAAGCTATTTCAATAGAAAATGTACATATCTTAGATTATCTCTAGCACTTGGAAAATTGCAAAATGTTTTATCACCTCTATTTTCCACTTCCTCCTCTCTTGCCATGACTCCATCCATTGCCATGTGGAATAAGGTATAAAGGGAAAACAAAAAAGCTTGGACATTGTGATCAGCTGAATTTAAGGTTTGCCTTAAAATCAAAATAGAGCAAATCAATAAGTAAATTTCATATGTATCGAGTCTTCATTCAAAAGGCATTTTGAATGCTTTAAAGAAAAATATAATAGGTTACAGGTGAGAAAGCAGTGAAATGTGGGTAAATATTTGTATAATATGTGGAAAATGTGACCAAAAAATGACCAGTATACATACTGTATTCTGGAAAATCCCATGCACTTGTTAGAGGTGAAACATAAATTGCAATAGGAGTTTCTCTAAACCAAACAGCTTGTGAAAACATAAATAGTTCTGTAGTTTACAGAACCTTAACTGCTCTTCTCAAAAAATATACCTATTCGATTTTCTAAGATTTGAAAGAAACTTTTGCTCTCATTTTATTTTGTATTTTTGTTGTTTATTGCATCTTCATTCCCCCATGGGCTTTTAAAATAAGATTCTGATGATGGAGAAAGAAATGAATGCTGCTCCTATCCCCTCTGCAATTTGCTGTGGTTTGGAAAGCCCATTCTGTATGAGGAGGTGTTATAACTTCCCACTGTACCATATGCTTCTGACTTCGTATACCTTATTTTTAGTGATACATCCATTAGCTTTTGCTTCATAAACTATCCCAAAACGTAATAGCTGAAACCAACAATCATTTATTTGCTCATCCTTTCATGGGCTGGACTAAACCAGGTCATTCTTCAGCTTGTCTTGCCCAAGCTCACTCATGGAGCTGCTGCCTCCCTGGCAGCTTAGCCAGAGCTGGAGGGGCTCAGATGACCTCACTCACAGGCCTGGTGGTTTGCAGATAAAAGGCTCGGGGCTTTGGTTTTCTCCATTTAGCTCCTTCAGCAGGCAAGCTTGAGCTCCTTCAAATTGTCTCAGACTTCCAGCACACAGAAAAATGTGCAAGCACATTTCAAGCCTCTTCTCTCATTTGCTGCTGAAGTTGTGTCAGCCAAAGCAAATGTTATTTCCAAACACTGATTCAAGGATGAAGGAGAAAGACTTTACTTTTATAGGCAGGACAAAGAATTTGTGGCCATTTTTTTTTTTCATTCTACTACAAGTTCAATTTTCCTGCCGCTGCTGGAGAGAAGGAACCACCTTCCCCTTGTTTACATGGTTGCTTGAATAACAGAATAGTAGCTGCTATTTTTTTGCATAAAATCATGTGTCTTATGGGGAGAGAAACTATGCAGACTGTGAGATGCTGTTTCGGAAGAAGAGGGATTCACCTCTCCAGCTGATATGGCAGGAAATAAGAAACCATATGATCTAAGAGGTGCTGGGAGAGTAAAAAAAAAAAAAAAAAAAAAAAAGGTAGAAATGAGTAGAAATGATGCAGGTGGAAATTGTGTGTGAATGCATGGAAATGCATGTGAAGTGAGAGATGAATAAATTTGTATTTCAGTCTTAACTAGTTTTGTTTTTGTTTTTTTTTATGGCAAAGGAAATAATTTTTGAACAATTACAAATAGACTTTTATAAATTATTTTCCTAGGTCCACAGCAGGTTGTGGGGTAAGTTAGAGTAAAAATTAAATATGTATTATCCTAAGGTATTCTTTCTCTGGCAGGACCTTTCAAAGTGCCTTCTTTTATTTCTGGCAGTCCCCTGGCTGCAACTCAAACGTTCTCACCATCACAGTCTTCTTTGCTAGCATGTGGTGACTACCATTTTCCCTGCGTCAGTTCCCTGCAGAGATGTCAGCTGCTCGGGCCGCTGATGCTGGCCAAAGCCCTTTGAAGATTCTGGGGGTACTCAGGTGCTGATGCAGGCTTTGTCTCCCACCAGTGATGAAAGTGCTGGCTGCATTGTTGTGGGATCAGCAGGTGCCCCCTTGTGTTCTTATAGCCTTGTAAAGGTTTTTCCGTAATAGCCACCTATCGATTATGTTGGCTCTTGCATTTTTTTCTTTGACTCAGTTGCATGACTTCTTTTGCAGTCATTTTTTAGTTTTTTGTCCAAATAGAGCTGTGGGGGGCCTACTTCGCAGGTCCTTAATATAAACTTTGTATCAGTTACCTATGGCCATGAAATGTGGTGTGACAATCTTATAACCGCATGAGTTCTTCTGGCTGCTGGGGGACTGTGGCTCACAAGTCTATCTGTGGTCAGCTGTGGGTACTTAGGCAGCTTTGTGGCATCTCTAGGGAATGTAGCTTAAGAGAACTGGCTCCACTCCATGTCTCATCGTTGAGCAGGCTAGGCTGGGATTGCTCTCATGCCTGTGACGGGGTTCCAAGAGAGAGGGAAGTGCTTAAAGCCTCTTGAGGCCTAGGCCCAGAATCTCCACAATGTCACTTCTGTAGTTCAGAGAAAGTCACCAGGCCATCCCAGATTGAAAAGAGGGGGGAATAGACTATCTCTTAATGAGAGAAACTACAAAGCCACATCAAAGAGGACATAGAGGTAGATAAGGATAGAGAATTAGGGCCAGCTTTGCAATCAATCTAACTACCACGCACCTAAACACCTCTGAGTCCTGGGGTGAGCACAGTTTGGCAACCTGGACAACTCTAGATGCATGTTAGAAAGATTAATTTGGTAATCCTTCTAAAAGGTGGATGATAAATTGACTCCAGTTGTAACAGGGGAGGTTGGTGCAACCAGCAAAGTGGCTTTTGCCTTAATACAAGTGATAAATCAGGAGGGTCTGGGATAGGGATAGCAAATAAGTTGCACATTGTGTGATGGATTTGTAGTAAATGCCTAGAGTGGGGTGTTGAGGAGAATTATGTGGCTACTTTCCTGGTGAGCTGAACACAGGCCCTGATGGATTGGCTATGTTCGCCATGGCCATTGAAGGGAGGAGTGATAGCATGCCAGCAAGTATTTGCCATCTCTGTCCTATCAAGGGCAGTGATAGTCCTACAAAGGCCAGTGGCAGTTTCAAAGAGTCTTTTGAAAATAATCAGGAGGTAAAACTAGACAATATTGGTGACTAAGTACAAATGAAGGGAAACTATAAGTCTAGGAGAGTCTTAGATATTGGACTGGGTACTAGGTGAATGTCATTTCTTAAAGTGGGTCAAGGCATGAGTCTGTATTATATACATCAGTATTGTACTGTATCATACTATATAAGGAGTACATTTTTTTTCTGTCATCTACTGATGCATAACAAACCACCAAAGAGGTTAGAAGCTAAGATGGTTAGTCTTATGTGTCAACTTGACTGGGCCATGGGGTGCCCAGATATTTGGTCAAACATTATTCTAGGTGTTTCTGTGAGGGTATTTTTAGATGAGATTCACATTTAAATCAGCAGGCTGAGTAAAGCAGATTGCTCTCCCTAATGTGGTTGGGCCTCATCCAATCAGCTGAAGGCCCAAATAGAACAAAAGGCTAACACTCCCCCAAGTAAAAGAGAATTTCTACTGCCTGAGAGTCTTTGAACTGAATCATCAACTTTTTTCTGCCTTCAAATTCAGACTGAAACAGTGGCTATTCCTGGGTCTTGGGCCTGCTAGCCTTCAGACTGGAGCTTATACCATCAGTTCTACCTAATCTGTTCTGCTGATTCTCAGGCCTTGGGACTCAGATCAGAACTACACCATTGCCTTTCTTGTGTCTCCAGCTTGCCGGGTCACCCTGGAGACCTTGAGCTATCTCAGTCTCCATAATCACATGAGCCAATTCCTTATAATAAGTCTCTTTCTGTATTTATATACTTCCTATTGGTTCTGTTTCTTTGCAGAACCCTGACTAATACCGATGCTTAAAATAACTATTCTACTTCTCATCATTTTGTAGCCCAGGCATTTGGACAGGGTAGAGTGAAGATGTGCTGTATCCTCTGGGGCCACCAGGCTTCTGCCCATGGCCTCGCCCTTTCGTCGTGGTCCCATCACACAGAAGTCTAGTCTGAGCTTATTTATAGTTTGGGAGCAGTCTCCAGGAGCAAGCATTCCAAGAGGACAAGCTCTTGTTAAGCCTCAATTTCTATCACATTTGATAATGCCCATTGGCCAAAGCAAGTCCCATGGCCAAGGGCACAGTCAGTGTGAGAGGGGACTACACAAGGGTGTGGATGCCTGGAGATGTAGATCACTGGGGCCATCAAAGTAAAAGTTATTACTAAGAAGAGTTTGATGAGTTTCATCTTAAGCATATTGACTCTGATGTGTCTATATGGGAACAAAGTAGGAAAAGCCAAATGACAATATGGGTCTGAGGCTAAGAAAAGATGTTTGAGTTGAATAGATACATTGGGAAATCATGAATATAAAGACGGGGTAATACAAAAATATTTAACAATCAGCACAACATAGACACTGACCAATCAGAACAGATGCTGGCTATAACCTTGAACCAGGGCCCCAGAGGACCCCTGTTAAGCCAGGCATCTTCCCTTTAGATACTCGGTCATTGAGAGATGTCAGGAGTCTCAGGAAAGGGGCAGGGCAGTTAGGGCACTGGGAGGGCTCTGATGGAAGGAAGACAATGGGCAACAGCTACTTACTCATGAGTAGGAAACATGGCAGTATTTTAACAACCCATCTGAGTATCAGCCCATCGTACAGGCAGTAGCTACAGCCATGGGTGGTGTGGTTAACAATTAATGGGATAGGGCATTAGGTTAAACCATATGATATGACCAACATTTAACCACTTTTGGCCTATGCAAAACATAATTTTGCATGCTTCAACCTAATCCACAATGAGACAAACATAAGCCTAAGATGGACACCAAAATGTAACTAACAGGCAAGTGACCAAGAGGATCCCCCAAAGGAAAATGAAAGGAATGGCTCAATGGAAGTTAAATGAAGAACAGCACACGTGAGGGAGGGAGTGGGCAAATGTCTTGAACATGACAGAGCTCCAGGAAGATGAGGACTGTGTCTTTTGTTATTTGGCAAGAGGAGGCTGTTGATGACCTTGGCAAGTTCAGATTCAAGGAAATGGTCAGGGCAGAAGCCGTTTCAGAGTCTTATGAGGCACCTGGGATGTGAAAACTTGACAAAGATGGGTTTAGAATAATATTTCAGGAAGCTTTGCCTGACAGTGAGAAGAGAGACGGTAATTTATTGGGAAGTAGGGTTAGGGGAGCATCCTGTCTTTAAAGATGAGAAAGGTTTGTTCACTTGTATATGAGAAATGGAAAGAATACTGAACGAGCTTCAGTTGGATGTTGTAAAATATGTTAAAAAGGTAAGCTGGTGGGTGAGAAGAGTGAAGTCTAAGGGCTGGGAGCCCTGCATTCTTGTCTCAGTCTAGAGGGCCAGTGGCAAATTTTTCTTCATGAACAGTGATTCTCATCCTGACTGCATAGTTCCTGGGGAACTTTAAAAATTCTCCATGCTCAAGTCTCACTGCAGACTGATTACATGGAAATCTCTGGGGATGCACCCAGGCCTCTCAGGGCCCTTTTAAAGCTCCTGCCTTATTGCAGCGTGCATCCAAGATTGAAAACCACTGCTGTAGAATGTACATAATTTATCACCTATTGCTTCAGCTTTGGGGCTTCAGCCAAAATTCTGACATGGTGGATAAAGCCCTACTCAACATTCACTTAAGCTACCATCAGTGCCAGTGGCTTTCCTTGATGACAGTGGCTGCTGCAGACCTTCTCCCAGGCTAGTGGTTCTTAACCCTAGCTGTGTATTAGAATATCTGGGGCACTTACAAAATACTGATGTCTGGGCTTCACCCTAGAAACTCTGATATAATTGTTCAGGGGTGGTGTTATGGCTGAATTGTGTCCCCCCAAAAGATATGTTGAAGTCCTGGCTGGGTATGGTGACTCACGCCTGTAATCCCAGCACATTTGAGAGGTCCAGGCAGGAGGATTGCTTGAGGCCAGGAGTTTGAGACCAGCCTGGGCAACACAGTGAGACATCATCTCCACAAAAAATAAAAATATTAGCTAGGCATGGTGGCACATGTCCGTGGTCAGAGCTACATGGGAGGCTGAGGCTGCAGTGAGCTGTGTTCATGCCACTACACTCCAGCCTGGGTGACAGATTGAGACCCTGACTCAAAAAAAAAAAAAAAAAAACAAAAAAAAGATATGTTGAAGTCCTAAGCCTTAATACCCCCAGAATGTTATTTTATTTGGAAATAGCATCTTTATAAAGGAATCAAGCTAAAATGAAATCATGAGAGTAGATCCTAATCCAGTATGACTAGTGCCCTTATTAAAAGTGAACATTTGAACACAGACGCAGACATGCACAGAAGGAAGGCAATGTGGAGAGACACGGGGAGAACACCATGTAAAAATTAGATTGGCATTATGCCATCACAATCCAAGGAATGCCTGGAGCTACCAGAAGTCAAAATAGACAAAGAAAGTTCTGCTACAGGTTTAAGAGGGAGCATTCAACATCTTGATTTTAGATGTCTAGCCTCCAGGACTGTGAAACAAGAAATTTCTGTTGTTCTAAGCCACCTAGTTTGTGGTAGTTTGCTGTATCAGCCCTAGGAAATTAATATAGGTGGGCTTGGACACTGATGGTTTTAAAAGTTATCCAGATGATTACAGTGTGCAACTGGCATTGATTTTCATAATGATTAAGGAAATTAAGTATATAGCAGGCATAACCTAAGTAGAAAATAATGTCAAAATCAGTTTCAGAGCCATGCAAACATAATTATCAGAAGTATAATATTTAAAACTCAGTAACATGCTGAGTCGTTTTAATACATGGTTATATATTTCTTCTTAACTTGGGGCTTTGCATTAGCAGAGAGGCATTTGCTATCTTGCCCCTCTGTAATTTCTTGCTTGGATGCTCATTGTTAGTATAATTTCTCACCTTGAGTGATGAGATTCTGGATTTCCACTTCATGGGTGCTTTATAGTTCTCCTCATGGTGTATCCTTTCTTTTTCATACCTAAGGGCACTGTCTTGCCCTTATCCCTATTGGACTTTGTCCTTTTCATTTATAATGTTACAGTTCTCCAATCTGTCAAAGTTACTTAGAATTCTGATCTTGCAGTCCAACATTCTAATTTCTGTCACTCTAGGAGAGTCCCCAGGACAATTGAATTAAGAATTATATGAACTACAGGAGGAATCAATTTGGAGAACATCAGATAATGGAAGGTTTATTATATTGTGTACTGCATTAAAGTGTAAAGATGTATAAAAGATAAATGGTCAATGCATGAATTATACAAAGAGTTCCTTAAATGAAATTGTTGGATCAGTCCTTGCCCAGGCACAGTGTGAGATGTAGAATCCTGTCACTGTCACTCAAAGTGTGGTCCACAGACCAGAAGTCTTGCATCAGCCAGGAGCTGATTAGAAATGCAGAATCTCAGACTTCACCTCATATCTACCATTATGGGCTAAATTGTGTCCCTATAGCCCCTAGATTTATATGTTACAGTATGTTGAAATGTGACCATATTTGGAGATAAGAAATTTCAACAGATAATTAAGTGAAAATTAGCTCCCGAGGGGTGGGTAATGCAGTATGACTGCTGTCCTAATCAAAGAAGAAGTTTGTAGACAGATGTATACATGCACAAAGGAACGACCATGTGAAGACAGAGGGTGGAGAGGGCCTTCTACAAGCCAAGGAGAGAGGCCTAAGAAAAAATCAGCTCTGCCAACACCTTAACTTGAGATGTTCAGCCTCCAAAACTGTGAGAAAATAAATTTCTGTTGTTTAAGCTTCCCAGTCTTTGGCAACCCCAGAAGATTAGTACACCTACCAAATTAGAATCTGCATTTTTAGTAAGACCCATAGTTGACTCACATATATAAGAAAGTTTTAGAGGCACTAGTCCAGAATACTGGTTCTCAACCTTTAGCGTGCATCATAGTTACCTTAATAACTTGTTAAAATACAGATTGCTGGGCCCCACCACCCCCAGAGATTCTGATTCAGTGGGTGTGGGATGAGACCAGAAAAGTCTGCATTTCCAACAAGCTACCTGGCAACGTTGGTGCTGGTGGCCTGCAACCCACACAAGTGTTACAGTTGGGACCAGAAAATTACCAGCCTCACCTGGTTATTATTAGAAAAGTAACTATGGAGGCCTCAGCCTAGAATTCCTGAATTAGAGACTCAGGGGCAGGGCCCAGCAAGGTAATTCTCAAGCTTTAGTTTGAGAACTGGTGCTTGATAGTTCAACTAAATCTGGGAAAAGGAACCATGAGTAATTTAAAATACTCGCTGCCCACAGGTGATCATTTGATGTTTTTCTAGACAGCATGTTCTCACCCTTTCAGCTAAAAATTGCCAGAAAACGATTCTGGGGCAGTAGTGTTACAGGATCTTTGGGGTGTAGTTTTTCTGGCCAGAAACATGTGTGGCCTGTGTGCCTTTGCTCAAGTTTTGCTCAGGCCCACTCGTTTTGCTCTCTCAGGCTGCTCTTGGCTCACGCTACCAGCCTGGGTCCCATGCCTGCCAAGGGTGAGTCAGGCATGGAATGGCGAGGGGTGTGTGAGTGAGCATGGGGTCTGGCCACTGTGCACAGTTACATATACAGGCTGCTGCAGCAGGTCAGGAAACTCCAGGTGCCAACACAGGTGCCAGCTCTCTGCAAGGCTTCAGCTGGACCAGGCACATCACAAGTAACTTGTATGGCTGACACCAGGGAACACGGTGGCACCCAGAAACTTGGAGATGCCAGGGACTGCAGGGCCCCAAAGAGGGAGTCAGAGCCCTGGCTCAGGGAGCTCCCAGATCTGGGCTCCCTGACGGGCTGCAGCTCTTCTTTCCTTTTCTTTTCCTGCAACTTGACAAGCAAGGAGCATGTCTCAACCCTGTTTGTGTTACAGTTCTTTTAGCCTTGCCATTTGGTGGGTCCTGAGTTCTCGTCCTGCAACCAGGAAGAATGAGGTATGCAGACAAGTGGAGGGTGAGCAAGATGAAGAGGAGCTTTATTGAGCGATAGAATAGCTCAGAGGAAACCCACAGGGGGCAGCTTCTTTCTACATCCAGGGTGTCCTGACAAGTGTTCAGCTCCTAGCAGAGAGGGTAGTTCCTTTCTGCTAGGCAAGTCACCCTGACAAGCTATCAGCAGAGAGGGCAGCTCCTGTCTGCAGCTGGTTGTCTCGTCGTCTGCATAGCTCTCAGCAGAGAGGATGCCCTAGAGTAGGTGGCTCCTCTCTGCAGGCAGCTTGTCCTGTTATCTCCCCATCATCTCTCTGTAGTCTCTGTACTCTCAGCAGAAAGGATACCTTGGAGCAGGCAGCTCCTTTCTGCAGGCAGGTCGTCCTGACCTCTGTAGCTTTCAGCAGAGAGGAGGCCTTGAAATGGGTAGTTCCTGTCTGCAGCCAGTCATCCCTGCTCAGCTCTGGCTGAGCCTGAGGCTTTTATGGGCCTCAGGGTGGAGGAAGTGTGTGACGACTGGTCCACGGGCAGGCCCAGAAAAGGCACCACAGGTTCCCTCTCCAGTCCACGGGACTGGCAGCCTGGCATCCATGCTTCAGGCCCTCCCTGGCCTGAAGGTGGGGCCTCATCAGGGACCTACTCCCTTCCTCCCAGGAACTTGTCTTCCTCCTGCTGCTGTTCATGGCACCAGGCTTTAGGTGCCATTGGGCATCTGCAGGGCTGCACTGAGCTGCCCTCAGCTGCCCATCAGGTTCCTTCCTATGCTGGTCAGCGCCCAAAGTCTGGAGGGGGTCGAGGCAGCAGGGGTTTGGAGTGTCAGCACTGCCCTGAGTGTGTGCACACACAGCCAGGCTGTGACAGTGCCCAAGTTCTCCCCTGACTTTGCTCTGAGGTCAGAGCAAATGCTGACAGCAGGAAGAAGAAGCCAGGCAGTGGGAGCAGGCATTTTTAAGCCTGCAAGGGCAGAGAGGGGGACCTTCCCAGGCTCCCAGGAGTGCAGGGATGCCTGGGTCTGCAGCCGTGGTTTGGGCAGCTGCAGCTGTGTAGCAGGAGGTGGGGTGCTTCTGCCTGCTCTGTGGAGTGAGAGGCCCAGGTCTGCAGCTGTGATTTGGGTAACTGCCCCCAGGGGAGCTCCCACCCCATCAGCTTGGAAGAAGTGGGGCTCCCACTTGTCTCTGGTTCCCACTGGCTCCACAGAGGGTGCAGCCCTGGCCACACCTCCCTGCTGCTGCCAGCGTGATGGCAGTGGCTGCTCCAGGTGGGCCACCACTGCCATCAATAGCTAAGTCAATGGCTCTCAAATGTGAACGTGTGTCAGAATCATCTGATCATTACTCCTTTCCCACAGTTTTTTATCCATTTCGTCTGGGGTCGAATCCTAGAATGAACATTTCTTAAATTCCCAGTTGACTCTTATGCTGCTAGTTCAGGAACCATATTTTGACAATCATTGAACTAAGGGCTTGTAAAATAGTGTGACGTGGGTCAGAATGCTTGATTTCCTGGCCCATGGCAGGCGCTATTGGCTAACCAACAAAACACCCATTCCTGACCCACTTTTTCTTCACCTTTCACCAATATAGAAGCTAAGAAAAGGTAAATGGCCACTTTCTCAGACTACTTTGCAGTTAGGAGTGAGCCTGTGACACTGTAACAGATTTCTAGTTAACGGTACTAAGCAGAAGTCTGCAAGGGATGAGAATCAGTTCTGGGAAGGTTATTGCTCTACCTAATCACAAATCAAGCACCATATCCTCCCCTTCTTTGGCTTTGAGCACAGATATGATCCCTGGAACTAAAGCAGCCTTCTTGGGGCCATAGCATACATACATAAAGGAAGAGACCAACAAAATAAAGTTGGCATGTGGCCAGTGAGGAACACCAGATCATTGCCAATAGCCCTCTACTTCCAGATGCTGCATTTTGTGGGATAAAAATCTTTATTGGTTAAGCCACAGTGAATTGAACTTTCTGTTACTTACAGCCAAAATTACTCCTAACTGACAACAAACCATATGTTTTATGTATGTGTGTATTTAT
The DNA here is from genome assembly GCF_000001405.40 of Homo sapiens. NCBI lineage: Eukaryota > Metazoa > Chordata > Mammalia > Primates > Hominidae > Homo > Homo sapiens. The sequence goes on from NC_000020.11 coordinate 12,067,096, forward strand.
CTATTTATTGGAGACAGAGTCTTGCTCTATCCCCCAGGCTGGAGTGCAGTGGCACAATCTCAGCTCACTGCAACCTCTGCCTCCCAGGTTCACACAATTCTCATGCCTCAGACTCCCGAGTAGCTGGGATTACAGGCGTGCACCACCATGCCCAGCTAATTTTTGTATTTTTAGTAGAGACAGGGTTTTGCCATGTTGGCCAGGCTGGTCTCGAACTCCTGGCCTGAGGTGATATGCCTGCCTCGGCTTCCCAAACTGCTGGGTTTACAGGTGTGAGCCATTATGCCTGGTCCCCATATGTATAATTTAAACAATATATATAGAGGCCAACCTAAACCTCCCAGACTTCATTTCATTAAGCTAGAACATAAAACAAAATTAGACAAAAAACCCCAATCACATAATTATAGCAACAGCTATGATACTACCATCTACCATGATCGTCATTGTATGAAAGAATGGGCATTTTAACCCACACAAAAAGAATTAGAAAATTTTAATTGACTAAATCTAGCATTTGAAAACATCTTTCTTCCTTATTTTGATGTAGATACGTGAAAATGTGTCAGCGATCCACAGGCCTCTTCAGACCAACATTTGGTAGCTGCTAGTAGAGACTTTACACCTTACATTCTCCCCTCAATGAGGTGTAGTTCAGGCAAATGAAGCTACTCACTTACTGAGATGTGTCTGTTTAGCTTCGATCAGCAATCATTAATAAATGAAGCCCACTTAGCATTTCACAAGTGTTTGAGCTTGACCATGTCTTTCCGGTTCACACCAGGTTTCCAAGTTTAGTCAACACATTCCTATAGAGATTCCTTTCATCAGTTGATAAACTGTTCTTGCCTGCTGTGTCCTGATATATGTGCCTATATAAGCACACATAGGCACATTGAAGCATCAGCAATGAAAAAATTAAGCAAAGGTAGAGTCACAGGAAGTGTTAGAAAAAATGACTGTGTATCTTAAAATATCCCTTACAGATGTGCTCATTGCTGAGAAATTGCTTTGCTCAAAACTAAATCCAGCCTGAATTTTTATGGTTACAAAATAATTAGTCTCTGAGTCAGGTTTTAATCCTATGTTAATGAGACCCCCTGCTGTCTTGACTCATACCTTCAAATTAGAGGTTGATCCATAATTAATAAGTCTTACAATCCCAGTACCTGAGACAAAGAGATCTTTGGGTGGCTGGGAGAAGAGCAGAGAAGTGTAGCAATGGTATTGCAATTGCATTCCTACCACATACCAAGTTGGATTGCGGTGACAGAAATGGTGTCTTTGGGCAGTAAATCCACTGGCTCAAGCTTGTTTGACAAGGGAAGTGTCTAAATGCCCCTCTCAAGTCTTAGGAAGGAGAATGGGTGCTCTCTGTCCTTAGCAAAAGCTTTTCTGCTTACAGCAACACTGGTCTGTGTCTGCACGAGATTTCCACTTAGCTTGAGAACCTTACTTTGAACTGCCTTTAACTTCTGACCAAAAAAAAGAAAAAAGCATCAGAGCAAAGAATCATTTGTTTTTTCCAGCTATTTTTGAAACTCTGTGACTTCTCCACTTGGTAGTTTTATAGCCTCGAAATTTCCAGTGATCGGAGGAAAGAAACCCTTGCTGATTAATTACAATCTAATTTTCTATTCTCTCATAATTGCAGCAGTAGAGGAAAAAAAAGTGAGACTTATTATTCCAAAAATGAAAATGATCCCTGGACTGTTTGGGCTTATTATGAGCTCCGTGTTACAATTTATTTTAAATTGAATCAATAGAATAAACATGGAAATGAGCTCTGTGAAATCATTTATTTTTAAAGGATCCAAATATGCTGCACCATTTTGTTAAAAATTTTCCAGACTCTACCTGCATAGACTTCTTGATGAAAACAAAGGGAAAAGAGGGCTTCAGTTTAGATCTGGGACAATCTTACAGGTCTTCCTGTGCATAGTTCCATGACCATGATTTCTGACCCTCTTTAAAACACCACAGTAGATCCTCTCTTTTTTCAAGAGAGGACCTGAAATTCTCAAAAAAAACAAAAACAAAAACAAAACTCAAAATTAATTTGTTTACTTTGAATTTTTAGTCTTTGTATAACACTGGAGAACTTGGATGGCTGAACTGAGACATGCAGGAAAGTATTAGAGAGGCTGGATTTCCTGTCTCCTAATTTGGTTCAGAGCTTTTGGGCTGGGGTGTGAAGGGTGTCCATATGAGAGGTGGTTACCCGGCACTTTGGGATTAGAGCTGGCTCTCCTTGTGCAATTACCTGGTTCACTGCTTCTAATAGGAAGGACGGGTTGATTTTTGCCTCTTCACTTTCCGCTGAGTCTTCATGTAATCCACAAAGGTTTATAGCTTTTAGTTGTGTGTGGGAGTCGGGGGCGGGCCGGGGAATGGGAGATGGTTAGTGGTGGATACCATGGGAATTTTAGATATCTACCTTGTGAACGTCCTGCTTAAATGGGTGAAGTACAATATAGCACTGATTGTAAAAAGTAGGTTATGAAATTTTATATACTTATGGGGTTTCTTGTGTGTTTTATTTTTATGTATAAAAGCACATATGTTTTAAGTAGACAAAAATAGGCAATGTATCGATAATACATATTTTATATAAATGATGCTATGTATGTATATATGTACATTTTTATTTCAAGAGCTCTCTTACATATGTATATATTACACGTATGAATGTTTTATATGTACTATATATAGTATCAGTATATATTCCTAAATAATATAAACCATAAATATGTATATATATTTACATATTTATATGCGTAACATATGTATATGCATGTGGGTATATGTATATTTGTAGAAATATTTCTTACTATACAAATATATATAGTTATATGTGTATCTTTGGCAGGATATAAAATATATACCAAAATATCAAATGTATAGAGTGGTCATTTCTGAGAAGTAGGATTGTGGATAATTTTTATTTTCTATGTGTGTTTCCATATTTTATAAATATTCTATGAATATAAAGCATCACAGTGCAAGCACAGAAAAACTGTTAAAGGAAAATGAGATGAAATGCCTTCCTGCAAATCATGCAAGTCCTCAGGAAAATTGTTTTCCTGCTCTGGTGAGTGAGGGTTCCTAATTCTCTGCTTATGAGTCCTTGTCTTCATCTCAGATTGTGGTCTGCATCCCCTGGGCATACAGTCTACAGGCTCCATGGGTTTCCATGGTCCTAGGATTGCTCCCTCTCCCCCTTTCCTTCTCTTGGCATGAAGAAGCTCACTCATCTGATACCATCACAAAGAACCCCCAGATCCCTCAAATGTTCCTGTTCCCTGTGTTCACTGATGCTGCTACAATTTTGTCACATGCATGTGTTATTTCCCTCAATCTTTCAAGGCAGACAAGGGGAAAACAAAGCTGTAATATTAGTGAGGCACAAGTTCTAGACTGGTATTCTCATATCCATGACAACTGACAGGGCTTTTCATAACACAGATCTCTGGGTCCCACCCCTGCAGAGATTCTGACTCAGTAGGTCTGACTGGGCCCTAAAGAACGGCATTGTTAACAAGCCCCCAGATGCTACTGATGTTGTTGGTCCTTAGACCACATTTTGAGGAGCAAAGTCTAATGGTTTTTAAAGCATGAACCCCATACCAGCAGCATCAGGAATACCAATGAATTTTCTAGAATCACAGACTTTCAGATTCTATTCCAGAGGTGTTGTATGCCTACCATATACCAAGTGGATCCTTATCATCAGTTTGGTGACAGAAAAATCTGTATTTTAGCAAGATTCCCAGGATATTCAAGTGCACGTAGAAGATGGAGAAACACCAGAATAGACACCAGGAAGAAGGCAGGTGCATCTAAAAGAAACGAAGAGGCACACTGACCTGAAAGAGCCTGGCTGCCCCCCTCCCTTAGGTACCTGATTAAAGTCACTGTGTCCTAAATCTGAGAATCAGCACCAGGAAGAAAAGATGAATTTCTCAGGGGTAAAGAGGCAAGTTCCTAGGACTGAGGCATAAAATCAGAATGCCAGTATATTCATTTATAATGAAAAGCAAAACAGGTGAGAGATGTGCAATGGCTGGAGGAATCTCCCTGGGAAGGCAGGCAACAGTGAAAATCCAATCAGACCCAGCAAGTGACCGGGTGAGCAGAGAGCAAGACCCCCAGGAGTCCAGGGCAAGGTTCTGAAGTTCAAGGGCTCTAGCAGTGAGAGCCTTATCCACAAGACCAAGACTCTTCGGAGGCCAGCCCATGGCATCTTCTCTCCTGTGCCCTGTCTGAATGGTGTCAGGCGGTCTCCTTGGTCTGCCTTTGTTACTCCTCTTTCCAGGACTGAACAAACCATTTCCCATCAAGATGTTCTTTTTTTTTTTTTTTTTTTTTTTTTTGAGACGGAGTCTCGCTCTGTCGCCCAGGCTGGAGGGCAGTGGCGGGATCTCGGCTCACTGCAAGCTCCGCCTCCCGGGTTCACGCCATTCTCCTGCCTCAGCCTCCCAAGTAGCTGGGACTACAGGCGCCCGCCACTACGCCCGGCTAATTTTTTGTATTTTTAGTAGAGACGGGGTTTCACCTTTTTAGCCGGGATGGTCTCGATCTCCTGACCTCGTGATCCGCCCGCCTCGGCCTCCCAAAGTGCTGGGATTACAGGCGTGAGCCACCGCGCCCGGCCCAAGATGTTCTTTAGAGAGGCAACTGCTTCAATTAGGCCACCCGTTATGCTCTGTGGATGTTGTGTATTTCTGCTTTCTTTGTTCACTTAAAAGTTGAACTATTAGTGGAAAATCCCCTTTCTTTTATTTCAAAGTTCCCTGGGTTTATCACAGAGCAGGATTCACAAGATTCTCACAGATTGTTCTGTGATGTTTTCAGCATTTTCTTTTCCTTACTCAAAACAAATCGATAGACTAGGAATGATGATCCCCATTTTCTCAAGTGAACGATTGAGAATAAAGGAGTTGTTATCAGTTGAATTGCGTCTCCAAAACTGATATGTTGAATGATGTGTATCTAACACCTGATACCTGTGAATCATTTGGAAATAGGGCCTTTGGAGAGGTAATGAAGTTAAGATGAGTTCATATGAGTGGGCTCTAATCCATTGTGACAGGTGTTTTTATAAGAAGAGGAAAATGCTGTGAGGAGACAGAGACACACAGGACCAACGCCATGTGAGGTCAGAGGCAGAGGCTGGAGGGATGCAGCTTTAAGCTAAGGAATGCCGAGGACTGAGGCCACCATCAGAAGCTGGAAAGAGGCAAGGAAAGATTCTACCCCAAGTCTCAAAGGCAGGCTGTTCCTGCTGACGCCATGACTTTGAACTTCTAGCCTCCAGAACTGTGAAACAAACATATCTCTGCTGTTATAAACCACCCAGTTTGTGGTACTTTGTTTTAGCAGCCACAGGAAACTAAGAGAGAGATTTGTTTGTTTTAATTGCATCATAGGTTATCCAAGTTGGTGATAGAGACAGACGCTGGTGGGCCCCCACCCCCAGATCCCCTTGGTCCTCACCATATCAGCATACACTGATGGCATCAGCCTGCAGACACCTGCTCTTCTATACCCGAGGGCTTTCTCTTGGCCCAAGAAGTGAGAAGTTTGAAAGTGCTGAGAAGTCAACATCTCCAGGAGCAGCCTTCAGCCAACAATGGATGGAAGCTGGAGGATAAATACACCAGCTTTATTCCTGCAAGTGAGGCCTCACTGAAGTGTGTTCCAATCCATCTCCCGGAGGTCCCAAGTGGCCTTGAGCCTCTGCTGTCCACACTGGTGATCTGTTCACAACTCGCCCCACGTTGACTTCCTCTCCTTCCCTGCTCCCCAGTGGTGTTTCCTAGGACCATCTGCAAATAAACCCCTGCTGCTCTGCCTTAAAGAATCTTCTGGGGAAACCCAGCCAAAAGCAGACCTAAGACTGACTCACACCTAAGGCTGTGTTCCTTCCACTCTAGCACTTTTAGGAGATACTAAATGCCATTTTTATTCTTTGGTATTTTCTCAAACAATGCGCATATAATCAACAAAACATGTAACCACAGACTTTAAAATGCATTCCTTTGTGCTCCCATAGGTTTTGTTATAAACTTCCCAGGAGGCCGGAGGTGAGGTGGGGCTGCTGATGCAGTGTATCATGGTGAAGCTGTATTTTAGTGTCAAATACATGTCAGGCCCATACTGAATGCCTTATGCACACTATATTATTAAATCCCCGATAAGTCTTTGTATTATGGTTAGTCTTGTGTAGGTTGTCCTTTGACATAGAGCAAAACTCTTTGAGGTCAAGCATCATGTCCAACCCATTAAAATAGACTGAAAAAACTCCCATTAACACAACAGTGTTTGGAGAAGTGAGGGGCAGGATGGTGGTGTGCCTTCAAGGCATTCCCTGTCTTCCTTGTACACCCACAGTGCTTTGTGCTTCTTAAATGTTCAATGAATATGTGATAGGATTGAATGATGGGCAAACAAGAAAAATCCAGCCTAGTGGAGCCTCAAGCTAACACAATTTGGGAGCCTTTGTTATTATGATAAAATATTTATAACATAGTATGTATTATTTTAACCATTTTAAGTGTAAGATTCAGTGGCAGTAAGTATACATGGGCTGGGCCCTGCGGCTCACACCTATATTCCCAACACTTTGGGAGGCCAAGGCAGGAGGATCCCTTGAGCTTAGAAGTTTGAGACCAGCCTGGGCAACATAGTGAGACCTCGTCTCTACAAAAAATTTTAAAGATAAATTAGCCAAGCATGGTGGTGCATGGCCTGTAGTCCTACCTACACAGAAGGCTGAGGCAGGAGGCTGAGGTGGAAGAATAATTTGACCACAGAAAATCAAGGCTGTAGTGAGCTATGATCCTGCCACTTCATTCCACCCTGGGCAACAGAGTGAGACCCTGTCTCAAAAACAAACAAACAAACAAAAACAAAGAAAAGAAAAAATCAGTTTACGTAACAATGTTGTATGACTGTCACCTCTATTTCCAGAACATTTTAATGACCCCAAACAGAAACTTTGTAACTATAAAGCAATCACTCCATTCTGCAATCTCCCTAGCCCCTGATAACTTCTAACTTACTTTCTGTTCCTATGAATTTACCAATTCTGTCCAGTGTAAGTTAGCACAATGTTTTCCAGGTTCATCCATGTGGTATCATATATCAGAACCTCATTCCTTTTAAAAGCTGAATAACATTCCATTGTAAGTACAGACTACATTTCATCTATCCATTCTTCTGTCTGTGGACATTTGGCTTGTTTCTACCATTTAACTTGTGAAGAATGCTCTTGTGAACATTGATGTATAAGTATTTGTCTGCGTTCCTGTTTTCAACTCTTTGGGGCATATAGGAGTAGAATCACTGGATCACATGGTGATTATTTCCTGTTTAACTTTTTAGAGAACTACCAAACTGTTTTGCATGGTGGTTACGCCATTTTATGTAAAATTTAGCCTGGGAGCTGGAGGGGGAGAGTTTCAAGTTAAGAATTTAAAAATATCTTACCTTTACGTATTACAAAAATACATTCTGCCATCTTCAGATGATGATGTCTGCCCTCTTGTTCACAAGATGGCTGCCTCCGTATTGTGTGAATATGTTGTCGAGGCTCTTCCTCAGAACCTGTGCCAGTGAGAAGCCTTGAGCTTCAGCTTCATTGGCTTCTTGATAAATCCATCTCTGTGGATTTACATCTAAGAACAACTTCTCGTCATTTGCTGAAAATCACTGAAGTTCGAATCTTACAAATAAGATGAAAAAGGGAAGAGCTACTTTGTAAATACTTCTGGGGACCAACATGCTGCTGAGGTTTTAAGATTTCAGCCTGTCTCCTGGTGATGTTTGGGTGAACATCTTCCCTTGACAGACTGTTTCTCAGTATCACCTTAGACTCAGTCAGGAAGAGCCCCTACAAAAAGCCACATGCATTTGAAGGCCTCTCTCCTGCTGTGTTTCAAAGTTCCAAGCTGTTTTGTTCAGGCTGTTCTTCAGGTGCCCAGGACTCTGACATTTCTTTCTAATGGGCCATGATTTGGTTTCAGAGCCATGTGTGCCTTTTCCCCGGTCCATCCTTCCACAGCTCTGCATACCTTGGTGTCCACAGGGGAGCCGAGTATGTCTATTGGAAGTATGGGAGAATTGGATGACATTTGAACTTGCAGGCTAAAGTGTCTGAATATGTTCTCTCAAGACATCTCACAGGTAGGACAGAGCTGGGGAATGGGAAGGGAAGATGCCCACCCATGGATCAGGGACTGGAACTAGGATCTTCTTGTATCACCATGTTCCAGCACAATGCCCCAAAAGGAGTTCAAACACTCAAAATTGCAATTTGTCTTCTCAGGTTGTTATGATGGCATACTATTTTCCAAGGCATGAGGACAGAACACATTTAACTTAGCAGTTTATACCTTAATTTTTAACTGGTAAATATTTAGTATGTGATTTGCGGGTCATTGTTCCTAGCTTGCTCTGGGTCCCACAAGTGTTAGGAATGGTCCTGCTGTTTCCTTCTCATCTGTAGTTTGCTAAATTCAAATTCATCCATCCAAATACCTGAATAAACGCTGATCAAATTCATCAAGAGGGTTATTATTTATTTAAGAATCTTGTTGTCAGGTAGTCTCAGGATTGGTTGGGAAACTCAAGAAAGCAATGACAGCTTGGCACTTTCTTCCCTTCTCATCTGTCTTCTTCAAAATGAGAGATGTCTGTCCTCATGCACGCAAGATGGCGGCCTCAGCTCCAACCATCACATTGTCACAGACATTGCCCTGAGAAAGACAAAGGGCATCAGGAAGGCTTTCTTTTTTCTGGTAGTACTCTTCAGTGTGGAAAATCTTACCCAAATGCCCCAGCAGAATTCTTCTTCCATCTTATTGGCCATAAGTAGTTACATTATCTACTTCTACTCAAATCACAGCCAAACAGAATGAGTTATTTGATTTGCTTAGACCATTTGGAAATTGTCATTTGGAAGTTGCACACATTGCCTCCTGAAAATAAGAGAAATATCAGGTTGCTCTCAGTAAAAAGGAAGGGAGAACTTGCTTTAGGCTGGGAAGCCATAGCAACAGACAGACAGAGGAGTTACTTTCCTTAGAATTATAAAGGAGGATTAGTAATTAGGAAGCAAAGAAGAAAAGGGAATTTGTCACTGGATAGAAAAGGCAGCCACAGATAAGCTTGTAATAAGCAGATGGTGAGAAGAAAATGTTCAAATGAAGTTCTGTGGGCCTTCATTATAAATGGTGAATGATTAATTATGTTGCGTTTCATTAAATTTATGAGTCGTATTTGTTATACAACACATCACTAATAAATAATGGCTGATGGATTATTATTGCTGTTCTCCATCACTATGGAGAACATGATGTCTTTTCACCAGAATTAACTGTTGCCAGGAGAAAAATCAACCCTAAAGCCTTCATTGCTCGTGAAACAAAATGACTTAATCAGCTCATCCTAGAAATGAAAGAGATCTGGAGCCACCATTTAAAATCCTGACAAAGCATTCAACTCCTGACATTCCAAGGAGAAGCATCTGGGTTTGATTTTCTTTTGTCTTATCCCAGGGACAAGCATAGATGTAGGAAAAGTGCGCACATGTCAACAACGTGCCATACATCTGACAGCTGCTCAAGTGCTCACCTAACCCCAAGGTATTTTTTTACACTGTCCTATTGCTTGCCTACAACTCTAAGTTTACATCTCAGTGCTAGTAAGGTTATGGTGCCCTTCTTCTATGCAAAGAACAGTGCATTTATATGGAACATAAATATTATGACCTATGGATACCAAATATATAAAAATGGCCTGGAGGTCAGGATTAAGGCTCAGTAGCTACATTTCTACACAGTCCTGATAAGTGGCATTTTTAGGTAGGAGCGATAGGACAACAATAGAGGTGATATCCACTTTTGGAAGTGATATGTGGCAGGATACCACAAGGTAGGGCAGACCTATATAAGGTAGCACACTCACTGTGTGCTGCTCGGGCTTTCTCACCATGTGGTGGCCAGGTTCCAAGAGGCTGTGTCCTCCCTGAGACAAGAAATAGAAGCTGCCAATTTCTTCAGGTCTGAGCCCAGGAATTGTCACAGCATCATTTCTGCTATATTCCATTCGTCAAGAAGTCAGAGAGCCCAGATTCAAAGGACTGGGACATACACTCCACCTGTTGATGGGAGGAGTATCAAAGAATTGGGAAGCCATGTCTTCAAACCATCACATTAGCTTGAATGTTGTTTCAGGGAGCCTTGCCTAGCCACCTCCTCTTAAGCAGCCCTGGCCACTCCTTGGAGTTACTCTCTATCACAATATCTCTTTGGTTTTCTTCATAGCACCGTTGCCTGGACTTACTTTGTAAATGCATTTATTTAGTTGCATAATTAATTTTAAGCTTATTTCCCATTTAGTATGTAATTTCCACAATAGCAGGAACATTAGTGATCTTGTTCACAGCTATATCCCCATATAGTAGGTGCTCACTAAACAAAAAGTTGCTGTACAATAAACATTTGTTGAGTGGATGAGTGGATGAAATTTTTATCATGTAACTCCTTTAACAGCTCATAACGAGGATGTGTGCAAGACTTACCATTAACACTGGTTCCTCAGGCTTCTTTGTATAATCTAGGGCTCTCATTAATGTGACCACTCCTAGACCTAAAAATCCAGCTAATTATCGCAGATTTAACCTGTGAAGCTATAACTCAAGCTGCCTAGAACTAACGTAATTGTGGCTGAGCGTTGCCTTATGGAAATGCACCAAATCCCTGTCACACAAATTCCTAGCTCTGACATGAAAAAATTGGATTAGGAAATAGCTAAGGAAGAGACGTTCATGAAGGCGCAGCTTTCTGAGTGCAGAGAAGAATACGTCTCTGCACATTTGTTACTGTCCATGGTTATAGAGTTATTGGGAAGCAAACAGTAACAGTGCAGCGGTAATTCTGAGAAAATGGGCTGAGTGACTTATTGCCTGTTGGTTCAGAGCCTGCAAATCTGTTTTCCAAAGTGCAGCTGGGAAAAAGCTACAGAATAATGTTCTGCTTTTTACCTGCTCCCACATCCTTTATTGGGTCCCAGGAGGGAACATTGAGCAAGGAGTAAGAGAAACTCGCGTACCAGATTCTATGTGTGACGCAGGCTGGGTAGCTACAAGATGGATATTTACCAGACTTCAATTTTCATCTCAAATTAGTGACGCATCTCCATTAATGAGGGCAGACCTCATTATGATTGTGCCTCTCTATTTCTTTTTGGAAGAAAATAAAGTCAATTAAAATCATTGCATTTCAGAAGAAAAGCAATTCACACTGTGTTTTATTAGTAGCACAATGGTGCTGTTTTCTTTGTTACCAAGACAAAAATTAACAGGCGTCTAATGGCACAAAGGTGGGTGACAAGCAAAACAGGCTATTAGTAATGTGGCTGTTTTCAGACTTCGAAACAGAAGGAGGCTTCCAGGATTTAAAAACAGAATAAAAGTTCTTCTCTGTGCTGTCAGTCTCTTTCTCTGAGTTTGTAGTCCTCCTTTCAGTCACCACCTTATGCTGTCTGGTTGAAACATTTAAAGACTGTTGTTTTTTTCCCTAGCACATCTCAAGTATTAAATTAATATAAAGGAAACCTTTAAGTCATTACTGGAGATTAAGAAGTGGTTTTAGATGATTTGATGGCTATAAAGTTCCAGTTGGGAGTTTTGGTGTTTAATTGTATGTGTTGTATACTTAATATGTATTGTTTTTAGTTTTGACTCTACTTTATGTATTATTATACATATTTGTTACTGTTTTAGTTAAAACAGTAACAATTTTGGCTTCAGGAGAGAAAAGAAAGGCTTCCTTAGAAGTTGGTGACATTTTCCCAAAGAAGTCACTGTGAAACTAAAGAAAGTAGAAATCAAAGAGGTAACATCTGACAAAGATTAGTGTGAAAATAGGGAAAGACCCCAGGTCTTGTGATACACATAAAACTGAGCAGGGGAAATACTCTCACCAGAGACCTGATATGATCCAAATAGAACTCTTCATATTTCATCCTAAAGTTGTTTTTTTCTGTCCGACTCCCCCAATTCTTCTCCAAAATATTACCATTCTTTCAGATTACCAGCCTGGAATATTCTATCTCTGTGTCTTTTATCTTCTTGTTGTTTCTTAAAATTAGACCTTAAATATGCCATTTATTTCCATTTTTTTCTCTTATATCTACCTTTTTGTTGTTCATTTTAAGTTTTTCATTTCTAGTTCAGAGTGAATTGTTGGCTTAGTTCTGGTTATAATGAGTTTGTATAAGACATAGAGGATGAAATGTTCACCAAATGGGTGTAAATATGTGATTAGAATTCTGGAGAACCTTCAAGGTATGCAAAGAAATCCATATTTGAAACCCACTCATAAGAAGAGACAGTGGTGGATCTCATGACACTGAACTGAATGGAGGTAGTCCGGCGAGAGGTCAGGTTTAAGAGCCATCACTAGGGTAAGAGGAGCATGAACAAGAGCCAAAGGACGCATGTGCAGAAATAGAAGAAAAGAATGTGGTAAGTCCAGTATACTGGTCAGCAAAGAAGAAGCTTTGAGAAGGATTTGTCAAGTCATCACTGTCAAGTATTGTAGAGAGGTTCAAGAGGGATGGAAAATCTCATCAGTGAGTTGAGTTTGACTTCCAGGAGGGGACTTTCTAGGTTGTGTAGAGTCTTAGGAAACAAATGGAATAGGAGCAATGGATGGCCTGTGGTGTAGAAGTCTAAACAGGAATGAATAATCTTCAAAATAGGTCGGAAAGCTTCCCAGATCATACTCACCTTTACTCTTGTCCTAGTCTTGATTTCTTCCTTCCTCTCCCAAAGCAGAGGCCGAGGAAATGGCTTGAGTGCAGGTAGTTTATGCAGAAAGCGATCCCAAGAAACAAGAGTGGGGTCTGGGGAGAAGTGAAACAAGGAAGAGAAAGAAATATAAGGATATATTGCAAAGCCAGTGAAGCTGAAGCTGTTTGCACCTCAGGACCAGAAGGTGAAGTGAATGTTAGCCTGGTTCCCCACCTTTTCTCCTTATTTCTTCCCAAACCCGACATTTTTGAAGCTCTGTCTTCAAGGTTGTTGGAGAAACATCTGGCTAGAAGACTCTCTACTCATCCCTGCTAACCTCTCACTCCCCACCCCCCTACCAATCTAATGAAGACTTTAGCTCCAGACATTCCTGCACCGATTCATCTTTCTCTCCCCCTCCAAAGCTTAGGGAGTATATTTTATTTACTTCATCTGGAAAGGGAGTCTTCCTACTTCTTCAGGTCATTCTCTATTCATTTTTTCTCATCCCCTCTCCCTCAGTGGATTTAGGTTTTGGGGACAAAAGTCACATCTGTGTAGTTCTCATATAAGACAGCCACCCCACCAACACACACACACACACACACACACACACGAACAAACCCAGTGAAACTGGCAGATAAATACTCCTCTCTCCCATTCCAGTGTGAATAAATTTGGTATTATGCCCTTAGACTGGCCTTCCCTCCTTCTCCATCTCACTCTGAGAATACTTGAATGAGAAAAGGAAAGAGGAGAAATAATGTGGAGAAAGCCATAGGTGAATATCTCCAAGTATATTCAGTTATTCATGTCTTCAAATGAATACTTGAAACAAGTTTCTATTTTCAAATGTCACCCAGACACAAAAGTTTATTTTTCTTCCCCTTAGCTTGATTGTAACAGGCTGTAAGTTCATTGAGATTAGGCACTATGTACTAAATATATTTTATTCCCATCTGTTGCCTAATACAATCCTGGGTATATGGTCACCACTGCAAGATTTGTATAGTGGTACTGTCATTGGCTCTTGGAAACATTTTTGGGCCTGAGAGATGTAAATGTCTTTTTTTTTTTTTTTTTTAACATATTGACTAAAGCAGGTGAGCACCTTTATTCTGGTAGGAGAGAGATGCTGCCTATGTAAAGGTTCATTAGGTACTTGCCAGCCAGGGGAAAAAGAAGGAGCAGCAAATTGCCTTCATGGGGGAAAATTGCCAGCCTGCCACTGGGCTTACCCACTGTTCTTTGTAGGACCTCAGAGGGCAAAGGAAGCATCACACATTATCTAGCAACATCAGTGACCGCAAATTCTCATCGCAGCCAATTCTCCCTACTTCTCTACCAGAATACTTCTCCTTAATCTTGTTCTCCTTCATAGCCTTTCCTTGGTAGGTGCTCTTAGTATGATCAGTTCTGGCTGTTTATGCTGTAAATTCTTCCCTATTGTCCACAACAGAAAACTCTTGGGCAATGCAGTGAAATGTCAGGAGATTATCTATCTAAACTATCTATCTATCTATCTATCTATCTATCTATCTATCTATCTATCTATCTATCTGTCTGTCTAAGTGCCTTTTAAAAATTACCCCTCAAGTTAAGATTACTTGTCTCAGAAAGTCTTCCTAATTTAAACCGTGTTGTTTTTCATCATTTCATAGATCTGTGTGAAGCGAAGAATTTTCTGTTACAGTATGACTGGACCAGACTAAACACCCTTGGTTATTTTCACTTTGTCTTTATTTCCAGAGATTAATGTCACTGCAATGGACACTGAGCAATGACCCAGTCCATTCCTTTGTTTCTGTGTGGACAGTACAAAAAGTATCCACACTGAACACTATTCATTTTCAGTAGTGAGGAAATGTTTCAGTGATTTTGTTAACATGTAGGGCATTTGTAAACAATTCCAACTGACCTAAAATCTGGGCAGGAATTGAAATAGGATTCCATATGAAGGAGATGTTTCATCATAGCAAATTGGGAGAGCCACTTTGGGAAATAGTTTGGCAGTTTCTTATGAAGCTAAACGTGACTTTACCATATGACACAGCAATCCCACTCTTAGATATTTACCCAAATGAGAGGAAAACCTATGAATGCACGTGCTTATTGTGGCTTTATTCACAATTGCCTGAAACTGGAAACAAACCAAATGCTTCTCAAGAGGGGAATAAACAAGCCTTGGTACATCCATATGTACAATGAAATACTACTCAGCAATAGAAAGGAACAAACTACTGTTCCACACAATAACATGGACAAATCTCAAATGCATTGTACTAACTGGAAGAAATGAGACTTGACATATCACATATTGTATAATTCTATCCATAAGACATTTTTGAAAAGGGCAAATGGTAGAGGCAGGAAACACATCAATGGCTGCCAGCCCCAGGAAGAGGTTGATGACAGAGGGATGTAGAGGAATTTTGGGGGTGAAGAAGCTATTCCATATCCTGATGGTGGTGGATACACAACTTCACATACTTGCCAACTCATACAACTTACAACATAAAAGCACACACCCCAGACACACACGTGCACACACACACTCACGTACTCTGTAAGGATGGTTGTGCATCCACTAGCAATCTGTCTCTTTTTCTTATGATTTTCAGTGGCTTCCTTCTCTCCTATGCAATGCAGGAACAGCAAGTGCCTTACACACAGGTACAGGCTCACATTAACTCAGCTTAATAACTTCAGAGAAAAGGGGTTACTTCTTGTCTCCAATGATGTGCATATAAAATCCTAGGAAGAAACTTGGCCCATTTTGGATCAAGTGAAATTTCTTGGCCAATCACTTATACAAAACTGATGAAGTGCTATTTTTGGAGATTACACATTTATTCCTATGACCTGGGAGATGGGATATACTGATCTATCACATGGAGTAGAGGGCAGGCCTGGCTCCAGAACTCAAAGGTGTTCCTATTAGAAAAGATCAGGAGACTAAAAAAGCAGAGACCACTCTACTACTGGTCTTACATTCACAGCATATAGGAAGGCCATTACTTGGGAACTTAATGCAATAAATTGCCACAAGCTGTTCCAGTTAGCCATCTAAATCTGTCCTCCCAAACCACGTCACAGTCACTGGGACCTTGAGACAAATAGAGGTTCCTGATTGCCTAACTGGTTATGTCTTTGACCTTGTTATTGTTTCTATTGTTGTTGTTTTTGTTTTTCTGTGGATCGTAAACTCTCTTGAGAATCTAATGAGAGCTTTAGACCGACTGTCTTGAAAACTATAGCAGACCTGAGGACCCATACCCAACTCTCCGTCATCTCATCCTTCCCACCCCTCACCTCCACCAGTTCATAAATCTCAGGAAAAGATTATTCATCTAGACCAGTGGTGCTCAAATGCTGGCCCACATTGTGATACCCTAGAGAGCTTGTTAAACATAGATTTCTGTGTCTTACCCCAGAGTTTCTGATTTAGTAGGGCTGGGATGGGGCCTGAAAGTCCACATTAACAAGTTCCTAGGTGATGTGGATATTACGGTCTGGGGACTAGACTTTGGAAACCACTGCTCTAAACCATAGACTAATGATGTCATCACTTACTGTCCTAAATCACACTTCTCTACTGCCGAATTTTCCTGAATGTGACTTAGCCACCAGGGAGTGTGAATTTGAGTTTATTGTAACATATGCAATCTTGATGCCTCTGTAAGGAGCACTGTTGTGAACAAAAACAATAACATAATTAAATACTTATTCACATATTGACTCATATCTTAAAATTGAGCTACTTAAAATATGGACAGTGTTCTTCCAGTGGATTAGAAAAATAAACGAGAAATCAGCCCTTAAAATTACACTTAAAGATCTTAACAATTATTGTTAAAAGAGCCTGCCTTTTAAAATGAATCATTTGCATGTTTTCAGTTATCCCATTTTGAAAAACCCTAACAATGCATATTCATATATTTTTACAAAGTTAAGGCCAGACTGTGTAAACAATTTTGTTTCTATTTTTGTGTAACTTTCTGTGTGTCTCCTCACACCATTCCAAACCCTTCAAAAACAATTTCCCATTGGAGGTGCAAGACCGTCATGTGGATGGGTAAGAATTTGCAAAAAAAAAAAAAAAAATTCCATGTTTGATTTTGATCATTGAAGTTTCTGATTTCCAAAAATTGAGAATTATAAATAATGCTTTGATCATAGCCTCAAAAATAAATGGTTTATTTCCCTCAAATATAATCAGTATGTCTACTGGATCAAGGCATCTGAATTTTGTTAAAGGCTTTCCTTCACAAATATTGTACACTCTGATTATCTAGGCAACATAGCCAGTTCCAAGGACATTTGTGTAGGGTTTTAAGTCCCCAAAAGAAGGGAGACATTAGAGGCAAGTTGCACATATGTTGTTACTCCCCCACCTCTTTAAGAATGTCTCACCATGCCTTCTAATTTCTAGCCATTTAGCCTTTTAATACAAATCTACAAGGCAACTTATTAGGCAAACACAAAGAAATAGAGAGGCCCTGGAAATAACTGTGTGACCTGAGGATGAAGACAGGGTGATTCCTTCATGCCCTTTCCTCGGTAGCCTGAGTGGGCCCCAAGTAGACACATGTGTCTGAAGCATTTGTGACTCCTGCTGACAACCCTGGGGATGTCCTGACCCTCAAGGATCCAAATCACGCCCATTTCACAGTCTGTTGCAATCCAAACCTCTCTAATTGACAACCATTCTCTCCCAACTTCTGACTTCATGGTCTTTAAGGTCATTTTCCTGTCTCTGTTTTTATCTCGGCTGTAGATCAGTTCCTGCAGGAAGTTCCTGCACCCTTGTAAGACCAAGAGGGAGGCACCCAGGTATATTAGTTTTTTATTGCAGCTATATAAATTATCATAAACTCAGGAGTTTAAAAAAGCACTTATTATCTTATAGTTCTGAGTGTCAGAAGTCTAAAACAGCTCTCATTGAGCTAAAATCAGTGTGTTGGCAGGTATGCATTCCTTTCTAGAGACTCCAGGCGAGAATTCCTTTTCTTGCTTTTCCAGCTTCTAGAGGCCCCTTCGGTTCCTCCCGGCCCCTTCCTCCATCTTCAAAGCCAGCAATGGCCAGCCAAGTTTTTCTCCATCACATCAATTTGACTCTTACTCTTCTGCCTCCCTCTTCCACATTTAAAGACCTTTTCAGTTATATGCCACCCCACCCCCCAGATAATCCAGGATAATCTCTTTATTTGAATGCCAGTTGATTGTTAAACCTAATTCCATAAGCAACCTGCATCCCCCCCTTGTCATATAATGTAACATGTGCATAGGTTTTGCGGAAAAGGGAGTGGTCATCCTTGGGAGGTCATTATTCTGCCTACCACACCAGGACTCCAGGATCCTTTGCCTGGACAGACCATCTAGTCCATCTCCAAATGCAGAGGCACAGTCAGTGAGAACACCCCAGGGCTGAGGGGTTCCCAAGATTGCTGGAGAGTGGTGAGAAAACTGGCTTGGATGTGCAGGCTGGGGGTCCACACACAGGCACGGAAGACCCCTCACGGTGCTGACAGAGACATGGCAAGATGTGAAAGGGGCAGGGCAGGCTGCCAGCCAAACTGGGGGGCTTCTGTTTGCACCTAGGCCCTGGGACTCATAGCATGGGCTGGGGGTGGTAGGGTACACCTCTAAAAGGGAGGAAAAAAAGAGAAGTTGTGTTTCCATTTTCTGCTTCAGAGAAGGTTAATTGATATTTAAATCCAAATCCTGTAAGTTCTTTGATATTTTTGAGGAATTAAATCACAGATGTTTCTGTTCTCTTGCTGCACTTTATGTTGCTTTATAGTTTGGCTTTAATTATTTCTGGAACAAAATGAGGGATAAATAAATACACTTTTCAACTTTACTGGAAATTTTCTTCTTTATGCACACAAGCTCAGAAATGTAATGTGGTGTTATCTTATAATTTCATTTAATTACATAATGGATGATTTATATTCTAGGAGAAAGAGAGGCTAGAATGTGGTTACCTTGTTGATTTGAACATTTATCGTTACAAAAACCTATTGGTTAGGCTTACTTTGATGTGGTTAGAACATTTCCAGAGTAATAAGAACTTATCCACGGTAAGCCAGCGTATATATATATATGATACAAAAACAGTCTTCTAAACTACAAAGCCTGGTACTCAACCTCAGTGATTCAGAATCTTGAAAGCCACACAATGACTCTTTCTAAAGTGACAAGTGTCCAAGTACCCAAAGCATTAAATAAACTGTTAAATGACAACAAGAAGAAGGAACTCCAAGCAGTCTCTGGAGTTTAAGCATCTGCAATCTTATGTTACCAAGAATTTGACACCTTTCTTATTCCGAAAATTAGCTAAAAGTTTATTTGTCAGTTATTTCCTTTTTAATCTTCGAAGCTCTGTTGTCGTGTCCTGGTGACGGTGCCATGCTTCCCTGAGGTACAGCACTGAAGCTTGAATATTACTTTCCTAAATCTTCATTTAATTTTGTTAGCTTTTTTCTTCCATAGATCTTTGTGATTGGGCTCAACCGTTCTCAGCATGAAATCTTAACCTTTTTGACCCTTAATCCCAATTTCCAAGATGCTGAGGAAGCACTTGTTTCTTTGTACTTCAATTTTCTTGGGAAGCTTAAAATAAGACACTCCAGGCAGCTGACTGTGTGTGAGGAATCATGCTATAGTCTCAGAGTATTTTCCTCAGAGTGGAGTTGAAGCATGACTCATGCAACAAATGCAAAGCTAGTAGTGGGTAGATTGATTTAAAAAATTATTTAAAGTAAGGGCTCCTGAAAATGATTCATATATGCCTTAAACATTTTTATTTTAACTTAAAACACAAATTGACATTCATTTGCCAATCTTTGATGTATAGCTAAGGTCTCTTCTCTGACTCTGGGTCCCTTAATTGGCGTTATGTGTTGTCTCTCTTAATAAATCATACCTTTAATGTATCCCCTATGATGCCCAACTTCAGTTTCTTTACATTGGAGTAAGAATTAAAGTGACGTGCAAAGCAATCCTATTGAATAATCTTTTTGATTGTTACAATTTCTCTCCAATACCTCCACAGTTTTCTCAGCCATACCTAATTCAACAAACCATTTTTATTGGCTTGCTTTCACCAAACCATTCTGAAGCATTTGCTGACCAAAGAAAAAAAGTCTGTTTTTTTAAAGGATTCAAGTTAGTTGTATTCAGCGGTCTTAATGAGGACTGTAGGCCGAGGCCTCCGGCTTGGGAGCAGTCCTGTAAGACTGGCCCAGTGTTTCAGCCCACAGCTTACATCCAGGTGGTGGGGGCTCAGTATGGGCAAAATCACATCAAAGTTACTCAGAAGTTGTGTTGAAGCAGAATCATGTCAAGGTTTGGGTGTGAGAGTACATCTGGTTTTACATTACTAAAGTTCATTTGCTTATAGATTGTAGAAGCACAGTCACTAACCCTGTCACATGTAATCTTCTGTGTATTAAAAAGAAAGGACTAGGGTCATGTATCTTTTGAGGAATACAGTGACCCAGGCAAGAGACAGGAGGGGTCCATGTGCTCTATCCTGTTTTGTCTTCAAAGCATCTTTCCAGAGAGCTGCACATCGTCACAGAGTCAGGGGCTTTGTGAAGTTATCCTGGCAAGCAGAAATAAGCAAACATGGCTTTTGTTTGCTACTTTGTCTCACATATCCAACTTTTATTTCACTGAAACAGCTTTTTCTCAAATTTCATTGATTTGCATAAATCCAATTTACATAAATTAATTTGCTTTCATAATTATAATAACAATTATAATTCTAATACATTTGGTAATAAACCCAGTTGACTCTTGGTAAGTAACCCTGTTATCAAGGCAGAAGACGAGTGCCTGGGCTTACTAGAGAGATGCTTTGGCCGAGGAACGGGGATGTTTGGGTCACTGTAGGGGAAGCTGGCTGTAGCCATCATTGACTCCTGGGCCCACTTTGGCCGTCACCTGCAGCCTTGCTGTCTTCCTCCCTCAAGTGCCCGTGCCTCCCTACCTGAGGGAAGTCTGGAATTGCTGTGGCGCTGGAACTCTCAGGCATGAGATTCATGAGGGACAGATGTTGATGGGTAAATAGTCCAGCATTCTTCTGCTTCCTTAGGACTGTTCTGAAACAGATTCTACTCGGTCCCCAAGCTGTCCACAGTAGTCACCTGCTCACTGATAGACCTTTTCTTGGTTCCCTTTCCTTCTGCCTCGCCTTCTCCATTCTCATAAGTATTCCTGGTATCACTTCCCAAATCAACAACTTACACCCAAATCTTTGTCTCTAGATCTTCTTCTGAGGGGATCCAAATTAAGACAATCACCAATCAATATGTTGTAAAGAGAGAACTCAGAAAATTGATCTGGTGAGCGTACTGAATAGAAGCTCCATAAGAAATGTTCCACTGTTTTTGGAAATCTCATTTGGTCTCTCTGTCTTCTGACTGTTAAGCAGTTTTCATCCTTATATTTACACACAGGGTCCTTTCTCACAACCAACATTTTGCCTTCTTCTTTGTGAGCCCATGGAAGACATGTGTTGGGGAACGTGTTACAAGCTTCTCGCTGGGGCCAGAGTTTGACTGGTGTCTTGCTTTCATCCTTCTGCCCCAGTTCACCTTTTTAACTCTTCATTTGCCCTGAATTTTACGAACTGGTCATCCTGGGTCTTTGGTACCTTCTGTGGCTCTACTTTAGTCTCCTATCCTCTAGCTCTGCCTTACCTAGACCTACAATTTACCTGTGGTTCTGGGCCCCTGCTATAGGAATCTACTCTAAGCTGAGATCCTGTCTTGGATTTATGCCCTGAAACTACCATTCCCACTTCTCATTCTGTGTCTCTTTTCCTCCTAACCCTTCCACTTCCCTGGACTGTGCTCATGGCCCTCTGGCCCATCTCTTGCCTGTGCACTTCAGGTGGTGTTTCTAATTCATGGCAAGTGGTATTTCTAATGCGTGGCTTTCAAAATATTTTCCTGTAAAACTTACCTTCCTACCACTTAGAGCCATCTAAATGTTTTTCTTCAAAGATACACAATATTGAATTAATGCTCTTTCAGAAACAGAACGAAACTATTGTACTGTCTCTCCCCCATTCTTAAGAATGAGTGTTTGGATTGTAAAGTGATTGAACCACACTCGATTCTCTCTTATTAATGGAAAATTGGCCATAAATTGCTGAGGCGTGACTAGCTCATTTCCCAATACAGCTGCAAATGCTTTATGTGGGGATCACTTTCGATTTCTGAGAAAGAAAGGAGAAAACTCTACAGAACTGACACCTCACTAAACAGTACCTCGTGTCACTCCCTACCGAGAACTACTGTTCTGAAGAGGCAACGAATTGAAGATAGTGCCACCTTCAGCCAAGGCTGTTTCCTTAGAGTGCATATTTTTAATGTTTTTATGGTGTGGTAGATTTGGCTGCAAGCTTTGAAAAGGCAGCCATTAAACATTTTCGTTTTTTTCCCACCATTTAAAAAACTAGTCTAAAATGCATATATGCCTGAGAAGTGCTCTGTATTTAGCGCACAATTCATAATGACATCTTATTATAATTTTGAAAGCACAGTACATTTTACAAAGCATCTTCACCCATAAATTATCCATTTCAATCTTTAGAAATCCTCATAATATATATACTAGTACCCCCATTTTATAGATGAATAAGGTGTTTGGATAGATTCATTGATATATACTCAAGGACACAATACATAAAAAGACACTTGAGGTCATATCTTCTGATACCATGTCTAGTATTCCAGTAGATATCCATCTTCTGTCTCCCCCACCAAATCTTCTTTTCTCCTGGGATCAGCCCTCCCTTTGGAAAATTATTTTTTCCTGACTTCAGATGAAAGTCATAGAGTGGCTGCTAAACACTGTGCCCCACTGACCCCATTTCCCAGGGTCTATAATCCATGCAATAAAAAGAGAGTTGCAGTCAGCATTTTTTTTTTCTTTTAGTGAGAACCAAGAGTCACTTCTTCCCTCTCAGTTAATGAACTTCAAAGGTCTTCTCTGTCATGTTTCCAGTCTCATAAGAAAAGCAGTAAAGTCCATGAGAATGAAGCTGACATGGGAAGAGGAATCAGAAATGATGAAAGGGAATCCTTATGGTTTGTAAGTAGCTTGTGCCAACCCATGAGGCCAGCTGATCCCATGCCTTATATAGCTTTCTTACCACGTCAATACAGTCACTCCTTCCCCTAACCCTAGGACTTGGGGGTCTGCCATGTGTGTTAAAAAGAAACAGGTATTGGGTGGGTGTGGTGGCTTAAGCCTGTAACCCCACCACTTTGGGAGGCCGAAGCTGGCAGATCACTTGAGGTCAGGAGTTGGAGACCATCCTGACCAACATGGTGAAACCCCATCTCTACTAAAAATACAAAAATTAGCTGGGCGTGGAGGCATGTGCCTGTAGTCCCGGCTACTCAGGAGGCTGAGACAGGAGAATCGCTTGAACCTAGGAGGCAGAGGTTGCAGTGAGCCGAGATCGCACCACTGCACACCAGCCTAGGCGATGAGAGTGAAACTACATCTCAAAAAAAAAAAAAAAAAAAAAAAAACCAGAGAGAGAGAGATACAGGTATTCCAGTGCTGCATTAGCTCACTTGAACCTTACAAGAACACGATGAGTTAGGTGGCACAGTTATTACAATATTTATTTTTAAGTTGAATTAACTGAGACTCTGTTCATTTGAGTCTAATCCACAGAGATAAAACTAGTAGGTAACCAAGATGAGATTATAGCTCTCTTCTTTTTTATACCAAGTCCAAAACCTTTCTTTCTTACCACATAGTATACCTACTGCTGGTGGATAAAGAAGGTGAAACAAGACAGAATTCTACCAGTTGACAAAGTATACTTTTCCATTGCTGTGGAAGTCAAAATCTCCATGTAGTATTAACTCAGATGATCCCGTTTTTAAATTAACAACCATTTTTTCTCCAGCTCACTTTATATCGCGAAAGTTTCTATTTAGTTTAATCATTTATTGAGCACCTGTTTCACCTAAGAATCAATATTATTGGTGGAAAGTTGAACAAATGTATAAGATATAATCCCTGAATTCTAAGCATTCTATAGCTTTTTTTTTTATTTCTCTAATGTGCCTGTTATTTTTCATACCAGGAGTGGTATCCTGTACAAATCCCCTTAACCAGGATGGAGCCCTGTCTCCTCCAAGCTGCTGTGTGTTGGGTGTTGACTCACAGCTTCCTCCTTCTCTAAGGCAATTGCCTTAGGCTTCCGGGAGCTGCTGCAAATGTCTACAGGTTGTGCCCTTTTCTTGAGGCAGCTTTCAAACAATGACAGACTGATCCTGGTGCCATTCACACTTTAAAACTTCCTGTGGGACCAGGATGAGCCTAGATTTGTCCTATTCTGCTTTTCTCCCTCCACAGCAGTCCCTCCTGAGAGCACTCCATTACTTGCCAAGCATCCCCATCTCAGGCTCTGCTTTTAAGGAACCAGACCTAAGACGCCCTCTTCTTAATGTCTCATCTATATCTTCACATCCACGTCATGTTTGTCTTTTCTACTGGCTCTTGCACCCACCCAATCACACATTTGCTATGTTGGTCAACTGGAACAGAAGGAGCATCTTGGTGGTTTCAGGATTTGGTACCATATCCGTATACCCCATGCTGCACAGGGCTACTCAGCTGGCTAAGCTAGTGGATGTAAAGAGTGAGGGATAGCCTGTATTTCCTAAAATAGCATAGCAGCAACTGCACTAATTTTAGATAAGGACACAAAATGCCTGGGGATATAAAGATGTGTGTGTCTGTGTTTTAATCCAAGTTGAAATTATACAAAGAAACTTGCAAGAAGCACAAGAAAAAAGACCTATATTATGATTTTCACTTGAAGTGAAGTAAATGGAGGGGCTGGGAAATAGATGCCAGGCACCCCTCTCCAACGTGGGTATGCCTGGCTGAGTCCCTGAGACTGCAGAGTGGCAGTGTTGAGTGACCACCATGTGTTCAGCGAGGAGTGAATGCCAGAATATGCTCTAAGGAAAAGTGCAGATAATAAACTTAAAAAGACAACTTAGCAAAATTGGTAGTTTCTCAAGGAGTTGGGGGTCACCAGGTGAGTAGTGAGGACAGAGCCAGCCATAGGATAAGAAGAGAAAAGGCAGAAGAAGGGAGAAGAAGCTCAGTAAATGCCAGATGGGGTGCTTGTTGATACATGTATTCCAGAAAGTTTGGCTGGAAAATGTGGACAAAAAGAATTGATCTTGATTGGGCACATATATTATAAAACAGGAAATAGTGCTTATCTTTTTACAATTACGTGAAGTATGGGCAATGTCTCATCTTACATTTGAGGAAACCAGATTTGAAGTTGGATAACTTGTCTGAGGTCACACGGCTAGCAAGGGATGGGAGCTGAGGCTCAAACCCATCTGCTCAATGCTAAAGCATTATATGCTATGTTGCTTCCTGTGCCAACTATTTTTCTGCTCTATAACCTCACTGCATCCCTTTGAAATTTATTTTCTCCATGTCAAAGAATTGGAAATCTGCAACTGACTATTGACCAGACTCTGTCACTGATATTGTACAGCTAATTATATATATCTATTTTATAACTGTAATGGTTGTTAAGGTAATGTTAAATAATACTTTCTAAGCATCTGTTATATGAAGAGTTATATCCTCTGCATAGTATAAGGTTGAGTTTCTTTTTACTTCTTCTCAGTTTTTCCCCTTTTTCAGCTTTAAAAGATACTAGAGACTGGGAAAGAAAGGGCAAGGAGAAGTGGATGGGAGAGAGAGATTGGGAGAGATTTGTTAAATGATACAAAATTACAGCTAGATAGGAGGGTTAAGTTTCAGTGTTTATACCATTTTAGGATGATTATAGTTAACAATAATATATATTTTCAAAATAGCTTAAAGGAGGATATTGAATGTTCCTGTCACAAAGATATGATAAATGTTTGATATGATGGATAGATATGCTAATTACCCTGATCTGATCACTGGATCTTACATGTATGTAAACATCACTATGTACCTCATAAATAGGTACAATTACTATATGTCAGTTAAAAACATATCTAGCTAATTTTTTAAAAAAATGATAGTTAAAAAATAAAAAGATGCTTTCTAGCTATGGAGCAGCCAGAATTAGTAGTTCAAGCGCAGGGACTCATTAACATTGTGATCGGCCTTTTTTCTTATGATTTCTCCCAGATTCTACTTGTAGAAAAATGTAGAAAACAGACATTTTTAAAGTGTGTTCTCACTTGGGTCCTCGTCCTCTTCCTTCATTAATTGAGTTGTCCGCCTTTCAGTCATACTCAGCTCTAAGGTGGAACCACCACAATTGCACCACAACCCTTCTAACTCCTGACCTCTGATCATTGCCTTTGTCCTTAACCAGTTCTGCATTTCTTTCATAGCAGTAATCAAGCAAAAACCACTTCCTAGAAAAGTCTTCACCAACAGCTCTATAGGTTATAACATTGCTATCTTTCTAGAGCCTTGTAGCGTATGTGAATATGTATTAATACCTCATTCATACACATGCGTACGTGTAGTATATTATTTTAGATTAGGAAAAGTTCCCTGAGATCGCCACAGTCCCCATTTCCCCATTTTATAAATGAGGCACCGAAGCCCAGAGCTGCGACTTTGTCTAGGGTTAAACAATCACATTGTGGAAAATCCAGGACCACAGCCCATCAACATCTGTGTTTCTTCCCATGACTCTGTCACCACTCAAGAATGCCAGGACAAGGCACATTACATGCCTGGCAGGTTTTCTTTCTGTGTGTTTTTTTTTTTTTTTTTTTTTTTGAGATGGAGACTCACTCTGTTGCCCAGGCTGGAGTGCAGTGGCACAGTCTCGGCTCACTGCAACCTCTGCCTCCCTGGTTGAAGCTATTCCCCTGCCTCAGCCTCCTTAGTAGCTGGGACTACAGGTGCCTCCCACCATGCCCGGCTAATTTTTGTATTTTTAGTAGAGATGAGGTTTCACCATATTGGTCAGGCTGGTCTTGAATCCTGACGTCAGGTGATCCACCTGCCTCAGCCTCCCAAAGTGCTGGGATTACAGGCATAAGTCACCACACCTGGACCCTGATGGATTTTGTATGACTCATGTTGGTGTGGAGGACATCCTGGGGCTGCTTCCAGAAGCATATCCTGCAATGAGGATTGGAGTGAAGGTGGTTTATTTAAACTATGTGGTTTATTTAAACTTTCAAGGTTAACCTCGAAACCAGTGAGGTTACAGAAATAGCAGCTCAAGGAAGAAGAAGGACCAAGGAAGGATATGATTTCAGGCAAAATTTCAGCCTTGGCTTGATCCCATGAGAATCTCAGGAGTGCAAGTGGCACTGCAGAGCTCTCTCCTTCTGGGTTCAAGGAGCTGGGTTTTCATATATCGTTATCAGTCAGTCACTGGGTTTGGCTCCCCTTAGGAGATGGAAACTTCTGACTCCGTGCCCCAAGTGGCTCCAGCAACCCAAGAGAAGACCTCTGAAGGAAGCTGCAGGTGCATGTGTGCAGGTGCACAGCTATCTTCTTCATCCTTCATGTCTGAAGACCTCTTCAAAGAGGCCTTCCATGGCCCACCTATCTAGTGCAGGTCTGTCTCCACCCACCACTCTCTATTCTATTGCCCTACTTTATTTTCTGTAGTGCACTTAGTTGCTCTCTGAATGTATTTATTTATACGTTTAAAAGCTCTGGGTCAATGAGGCCTGAGATTTCATATTTCACCAGTTTACCTTCAATCCTGAAAGAATGCTTGGCACATAGTAGTTGTTTAATGTATATTTGTTGAATAGCAATGAGTGGATGGATTAAAAAAAATCATGAAGGCTCTGTAGAGAAATGTGGAACTATTAGAAAGTTCTGGCAGCATGGACTATGGCACACCAAATTTGTTATTCCCTCCTTAACATTATGCAAGGGAACATATGTGAAGAATTGTATTAAAGTTTAATCTGAGAAAGGTGTGTAGTCTTTCACATCATTGTAGATAATGTTAGTCTTAATGGGTGTATTTTACAGTGGTGTAATGCTTCCAGAATATTTTTTGAAGAAAATTATGGCATTGAAGGGAGGCTTTTAGTTCTTTGATACATTATATCTCTCAATAGAATATAATAGCTTCTTTTTCCCCCAGAAGATGTGTGCATTTCATTATATGTCATTATCTGATATATATGTTTGGCATAAAAGGCACTTTTCCTTTTTTGCATGGGACACATGTAGTAGAAAATTTCCATGAGTTGATGTCATATTCTGCTCTACCATGTATTACATTTGGGATAGCTGCAGCCCCTTTTCTTTTCTGCCACGGTGTGGAGAATATATTGATTCATTACATCATTTGTATTCTATTCCTCAGACCAGAAATTGGCCTAGGCATTCATACTGGCACAAATCTTTCCCCCTGCACCAATAACTTTTTTTTTCCTTTAGCCAAATACCGTTTCCCTGAGCAGCAATTTAGTCATTACCCCACGATATAAAAGAAATGTGAAATCTGTCACAGGGAAGATGATGTTGTGACACAAAGAGGGATCCTCTGGGAGGTTTAAGCAGGTTTTCAACAAGATTGAAATGAATGTGACATTGTGTTCGTATTCATAATTAAATGTATTCTTTTTGATGTGTGTGTGAATGTGTGTGTTCTTTACTACAGAGAGAATGAAAATGAAAAAATGTGACTGACTGCAGACTAATAACAGAAACCAATCTTAACTTTAAATATAGCATCTTAAATATGTGGGTCATGCTTTAATTTAAGTTCCAAGGCACTCAATCTAAGACATCAACTCTATAATTGTGACTTCAGGTATAGGCTAATAATAGCTAGCTAATGTCATCCCCAGGAGGGCTGCAGTCATCTTTAGATGTCTTTCTCCTGTGCTAGGCATGAGAGAAGCAGCTATGGCTGGCCTCTTCACTGCTGTGTCTCCAGTATGTGGACAGTGTCGGCACAAATAGGCACCTAACAAATAGTTGTTGAAATTGGAAATAGAAATAGGTGTGATTAAGATGGGGGTGGGGAGATGTGGGAGAAGAAAGAAGGGAGGAGAGGGGAAGAGGGGAGGAGAAGGAGAAAAAGAGAACTTCTGAAACAAATACGCCAGAAGCTCAGTCCCATGAGGGCAGTCCTACACTCACTGCATTGTAAAGAAGTGCCTAAAACAAGTGAAGCAACTTGAAGATGTCAAAGTCCTGAGATGTTAATTAGGAAGAAAGCAAATCGACTGTTAATTATACTGCAATCCTCCATGTCTTATATTATCTCGATTCTTCATTCCTCCCTGTATCCATTCCTTTGCCAGACAACTTTGCAGTGTTCTCTAGACCATGAAGTGAGTGACTTGTTCCACTCCTTGATATGGGCTCAACCATGTGCTTTCCTTTGGCCAATAAAGTGATAGTTCAGAGACACAGGGAATGTGTGTGTGACTCTGGCAATTCTTCTGTGGGGGGCCTCTGTTTATATTGATAATTAGATTTTTAAAAATGTGTTATAAAATTTATGAGCCCATGTGAGAATACAGTGATATATTGATGAAGATTTAGAATAATGGATGAAGAGGTGCTTATGTATTTGCTTCCTATCCAATCAGTGCTTGAGAGGGGTCCGCATAATCCAACTACCGTCTCTTTCTGTCAGGTCCAGGAAACTTCTCTTCATTTTTTTTTTTTGTTGTTGTTTGTTTGTTTTTAAATGGTCAGATGTGTTATTCTGGGCTAATGTCATATTTTCTTACTGCAAAAAAAGGCAGCAACTTGGCTGGGTGCAGGGGCTCACACCTGTAATCTCAGCATTTTGGGAGGCCAAGACAGGTGGATCACTTTGAGGTCAGGAGTTCGTGATCAGCTTGACCAACGTGGTGAAACCCCATCTCCACTAAAAATATAAAAATTAGCCAGGTGTGGTGGCACACATCTGTAATCTCAGCCACTCAGGAGGCTGAGGCGGGAGGATTGCTTGAACCTTGGAGGGGGAGGTTGCAGTGAGCTGAGATCACACCACTGCACTCCAGCCTGGGTGACAAAAAACAAAAAGAACAAACAAAAACAACATAAAACAGGTAGCAACTCTCTTATTACTGAGATTATTACAGGTAATTCAGAACCTGTTTGTATACTAATAGCGTGAAATGATATGGACATTTTTTGACTGCAGTTCCTTAATACCACGTATTTACTGCTGATGAGTTTATTACTCATCATGGTGCATGCCCCACTATGCCACCATAAGTACTGTCTTCTAGTGACTCTCTTAAAGGTTGTTGAAGAGTGTCACAATTGTAAATCTTGACCAAACTATGCAGGAAATTAGGTATAACTGTTTTCTGGTCATATTAGTACCATTTGGATTTTTATAGAATAAAAATAGAACAACACACCTTCCAAGCACTTTTTCTCTTTAATTCTTTAGGCTATATTCACTATCCTAGAAGGTGATTTCTTAATGTTGATCTCACCCCTAACTTTTTCTCATCAACACCAGCAGGAAGAGTAGATTAGGGGCTCTTAGATGGAGCAAGTAGAGAGGTCCCACAAGAGCAAGGAATGTGCATCTCTTGTGAGGCATGGTTAAGACTGATTCAGGAAAGCATTACTTCATTACATCAACTGGAAGGGTCTAGTGACATTGGAGACCAGTGGTCACCAAAACCTCGGAGAAGATAAGAACAGCCGACTCCAGATAATTTCTTGACATGGGCATGGGGTCTGAAAAAGAGACAGTGTGACAACTCTGGGAAGCAGTGCAGAAGCTCACAGAGTAAAGGATGCTTCTGTCACATCCATTGCCTTCAGGTATTGTAGACTCATGGAGGCACCATGATCAGAATGCAAATGGATAAGCACTAATCAAGCCCAAGGATGGGCTATGGATCATCAGTAACCCAGAACCCTTATTTTGTCCCATGTCTGATGTGAGGTGAGTCACCACAAAGTAGCAAGTCAGCACTGTCCTGCTGGCTCAATTTCATGTAACCTCATAAAAGGAAGAAATGTTCTGCTGGCCAGTCAGTGCAATCTGCTCACCCTGCCACCCTCCTGGAACCCCAGAACAACCGCATAGGCAGGAGTCCTGGAGATCTTTGGGGCATCTGGTCAACTCCATGCATGGACTAAACGGTCAGAAAGTGTGCTGAAGGGAGAAACAGTGACTAAGCCCTACACGGATTCCGCTCTGGGCTTTGCGTGCCCTGCTCAGATGGCACAACCAGCTCCAGCTGGTCCCAGCCACCAGAGAGGGATTTAGAAAAAGCCACAATAAGTGCCTTGGAAGACGAGGACCCACATGAAAACAGGTTCAGGGTTGAGCACACGTCCTTCCAGATGACACTGCTGACTCCAGCTCGTCCCAGGCAACGGAGGGGATTTGGAAAATTTGACAAAGGCACTCTAGAGCATGGACCCACTGGTATCCTGCACCCGACTTGACCAAGTCTTAGGGAGTTACAGTGGGATTCTCTGCCAGTTCCCAGCCCAGGCCTCAAGAGGACTTGAATATTTCTGCTTGCTTTCCATCGTCTCTGCTATCTCTATAAGAACATGCCATGCTAGCACATTGGAAGATGAGACACATGAAGCTGAGCTCTGTTGCCCTTGCCCTGGTAGTTCCTACTAATAATTAGCCAGCCCTGAGACATATGAGAAATCAGAACCAAGATCAGCAAAACCACGTAGGCAACACCCATCTGAACTCAGTTATGAGTGCAATGAACATATGATCGTATACCACTAAAGTTTTATGCTTGTTTGCATGGCAGTGTTGTTATAGCAATAGGTAACTAATCCAGTTGGCTAGCTGAGGGTTTAGAAGCTAAGTGGAAAATCACTGCTCCACAGCAAGCATCAGACATCCCAGCAAGGCTTTTCCATTGTCAGCAGCAGCTGGAAGGAATGTCTGTGTGTGCACAGATATGCTTGATTCTTCAGATATAGAAATGACCAAAAATAGGAGAATTCTGCAGATGAAGAAAGATCAGTATGAAGGCTTTCTTCAGATTGAAGGCAATAATAATTGCTTTTCTCAGCAGACTTTTAGGTACAGTCTCTGAGTGTACAGATTTTTAGCTTGAAAGGCTTCAAGGAACAATACTAGAGCAATGCAGGATGATAAAGGCCAGATAAGTGCTGTTACAGTACAGGATGGAAAATAAAATCTTCTCAGGCAAAATTGGAGTCCTCAAGTATCCTCAGGGACAGAAGAGAATCTGGATTAGGCATAAAGAACTAGTAGGACTTGTGTAGATGAGAAAGAAAGCATTTTAGGTGGCAAAATCTTGTGTGGCAAAATAGAAAGAGTTCCTCATGGGAAGAATGCAATGGCAGTTTGTACTGTATCTTCTGAGTTCAAGAAAATGTCCTGGTTTAAAGTAGGAATGGGAGCATAGATTGGCATATACTGATAATATTAGAAATAGAAGGAAGATCCTCTCTCTTCCTTTAAGTCTAAAAATAAATTCTTTGATTCATGATTAAGAGAGCTGATGTGCTTTGTGGCAACATGGATGTGTCTGGAGGCCATAATCCTAAGTGGATTAATGCAGGAGCAGAAAGCCAAATACCCATGTTCTCACTTATAACTGGGAGCTAAATATTGAGCACACATGGACATAGACATGGGAAAAATAGACACTGGGAACTACTGGAAGGGAGAGGAAGGGAGGGGAGAATGGTTGGAAAAGCTACCTGTTAGGTACTATGCTCACTACCTAGGTGATGGGATCCAAACCCCAGACCCCAGCATCACACAATATACCCATGTAACAAACCTGCACATGTGCCCCTGTATCTAAAATAAAAGTTGAAATTAAAAATAAAATATAAAACAAGTCAAGAAAAAGAGAGAGATGATACCAACCTTTATGTGATTCTGGAGCTGGTTCCAGTCCTGCTTGTTCTCCACTATCATTCAGGCATTTTACAAATAGATATTTGTTATTTTTTATGGGTTGCATGCTTGATGGGGTATAGATAGAGCAATAATAAACATGGCTGCTGGCGTCAAGGGCTCACAGATAAGCAAGGAGGAAAAAGGTGCCAACAAAATTGTTGTACAGTGTG
This sequence comes from Homo sapiens, assembly GCF_000001405.40. Classification (NCBI taxonomy): domain Eukaryota; kingdom Metazoa; phylum Chordata; class Mammalia; order Primates; family Hominidae; genus Homo; species Homo sapiens. Next base: position 12,099,953 of record NC_000020.11, read on the forward strand.
GCAAGCATTATAAAAGACATTATAATGGGTACCAGGTGTTGTCTTCTGTAAAGGAGATTCAGTCAGCTCAGTCTTGGTGGGATGGGAGAGGAGCTTATGTTGAGATTTACAGAAAAAAAAGGGGTATTGATCCAAGTCTTCAAGGATGAGTTGGAGATCCCCCAGTAGACACAGAGACTAGTGATTTTTTTCCCCACTGGACCTAACACAAGTTTTTGAAGGCATAAACTAATCCTTATGAGTTGACTGTATGTTCTCTCTGATGACTCCAGCATTTGATTTATAGTTTTCTTTTCTTTGTTTTTTTTTTTAGAGGCAGTGTCTCATCTCTTGTCCAGGTTGGAGGGCAGCTGTAGAATCATAGCTCACTGCAGCCTCAAACTCCTAAGTTCAATCAATCTTCCTACCTCACAAGTAGTTGAAATTACAGACACACACCACCACACTGGGCTAATTTTTGCTATGTTGTCCAGGTTGGTCTTGAACTCCTGGCCTTAAGCAATCCTCCTAGGTTGGCCTCTCAAAGTGCTAGGATTGTAGGTGTGAGTCACAGTTCCCAAGCCAGCATTTTCTTATTTGATAAGTTCAGCTAGTCTCAAGGAGGCACTTTCTGCTGCTGTTATTATTGTTATTATAATATGTGACTGGTTGAATTTGATACTCTTCTTTTGGTCCATAAGTGTTTATTGAATTCCTCAGGTAGGTGGTATTCATGGAGGTAAGACGTTCTGGTATTTGGGTTGGACCAGGTGGGATATCTTAATTTAAAGCTAAAGGAAGTGAAGCCAAGGGGATCCTGAACTGTAATTAAAATGGAAAAAAAATAGCAAACCTGGAGAGGTGATATTGAGTGTAAACCCTAAAGGGTGAAATAAGGTCTGTCCTAGCTCAGAGTCCCTAGAAGCAGAGCCTGGGATGCAGATTCTTGTGCAAGTGAATGATTGAGGAAGGGCATTCAGAAGAAAGGGACTAAGAGAAGCAAGATGGGACAGAGGAAGGAGTCAAACAAAACAGTAACTTCAGCTGAACTCTAAGCCTTAGGCTGATCCCACGGAGAGTTCTGGTGTATACATGCACTGTAGCACTGGTCACCTTGAGTAACAGGCCTTTGTGCTCCCCTTTCAGTCTATTATTAGTTACAAGCTGCTACCCTCCCATCTGAAGGGGGAAGAAGCGGCATAACTCCTAGGCATTCTTGCCCAAGGTGACCCCCATTGGTCAGAGACAGTTCTCTGGAAAAGACAACTGTGAGCAGTTCGTAGTCAACTCTCATAGCAGCTGGGGAATGGTACACTGGCCTGGGAGAGATAATTTGGGTGAAGCATCAAAATCAAGGAGATATATGGGAAAAACATGCCATGAAACACAGACAGTCATTAAAAAGGGGTACTGGGCTTTTCTTTCCTGGGTACTGGTTCCATCACTTTCAGCTTGTCAAGTTTCTCTGTGTCTCCATTTCCTGGTCTGTACAATGTTAATAATGGCAGTGTCTACTTTATTTATTTTGGTGAAGATTAAATAAGACGTTTCATGTAAAGCTCTTAGGAAAGTACCTACCACATATTAGAGATTTAAAAGTGTTTGCCATTTGACGGAGCTTCTGACTATGACCATCTCATGCCATGCCTCTTGGTGTTCCCAGTTGTCTTTACCTCTTGCTAGCAACGTTTGTCTCATTGAAATGCACAAGCTCTCCATTTAATTGAACAACAAAGTTCCTGAATCTTTGAAAAAAAAAAAAAAAGCAGGGTCAGAAATGTGAAGACTTTAGAGCAACAAATAGAAGTCAAAAACATGTGCATGCTGTTCTGCCAGAAAGATGGAGCCACACCAAACTTTCTGCAGAAGGCATACATGATAGATAATAGAGGTGACAGCTATTGGTGTATAAAAAAACTTGTAAAACTAAGATTATAAGTGTTATTATTTTTCCTTCCTCCCCTTTCTGTTACCATGACTTCTAATATTATTGGTACTTTTACTGCCATTTTTTGAACATCCAATAAATGTCAAGCACTACACAAGATGTGTGCCACAGAAAGAAAATGAATGAACAGTGCTTTATGGTTGCAGTGAGGGAATAAAATGTCTATATACTTTCAGAGTCTCAAAATCAAAACAAAACAAAAAACCAAAAAAACTGTTATTTAGTAAAGGGCCCCTGGGTTATCTGGAAAAGGCTTTTTTTGTGAATTGTACATCCAAAAAAGCAATAATGTATATGTGACTTTAAAAATGTATATTTATTTTAATATATTGAATGTGAAACAGGAAGTGTTTATGTCTAAATAGGTGGCAGTCATATCTGGATAATTATTTTATATGGAATTATTAAAATTGGCCAATTAATGAGTAGGTGAAGGGGACCCTTCACATTCAGTAAAAAGGTCCCTGGTTCTGGATAGAGAAGATTTAGTGTTTTTGTTAACTAGCTCGGCGTATTACTTCAGGTATGGCAATTAAAAAATAAGAATGTTGAAATAAGTGGACTCAGCCTGTGATTGTTTGCCTAAGGTAAACAAAATGTTGTTAGTATTGTTTTATGGAAAAGCCAGCAATGTCACTTCACACTTAAATTGGGTACTTTAATGATGTCCTATTTTTAAAAATTCTGTAACAATGGGTCAGAATAATTGAGGAAAATCCAATGGGTCTTACTTTGGGAGAATCATTTCTATTTATTGTATTTCTATATTTTATCACATAGTAATTTTTTAAAGAACTTGGAGTAGTTCCAACTCGTGTTAATTCATGCTGAGGCAAAAGTACAAAATGCAAAGAGACGGATGGCAAAAAAGCATGTGAAAATATGCTGATGCTCATTAGTAATCATGGAGGAAAAATTACAACTATAGTAAGGTATAGTTTCATAACATCTTATTGGCAAAGATATTTAAATCTGATAATATCAAGTGTTAGGGAGATGTGGGAAACCACTTTTGGTGAAAGTGCAAATTGGTTCAACTCCTTTAGGGCAATATTTAGCAATATCAAGCATTTCAATTATCTTTTACATACAATAATACTGGGCAACAAACCACCCTAAAACTTAATGTCTTAAAATAAGAATTATTTATTGCTACTGATAGGCTCACTCAAGTATCCATGGTCAGCTAGACACGTCTAACAAGTTTAGGTAAGTCATGCGATTGAGTTTTGGCTGGCTGAAAGCTGGTCTAGGATGGCCACTGATACACCTGGAGTCTCCTCCACCTGTTTCTTACATGTATCTGTTATATCCTTTTAGGCTAGATATATTTTTGGTAGTTTTAGATAAACAAACATGAGAAAGTTTAATTATGCAAAGGAGCAAGTAGAAATGCACAATCAGTTTTCGTGCCTGTACCTGGATGACATGGCTAAAGTAAGTCACATGGCCAAACTCAGAATCAGAGTACAAGAGGGTTACATTGTTATAGGCATGGAGGAAGGGAGGCCATTAACTGGGGCCTATCTAATTCATTAAGTAGCATGGAAGATTTACATATTCTATGACCCAGTGATCTCATTCATAAAATCTCTGAGTCAAGGAGAGATTTATGGGTTTGTTGATTGTGGTATTGTTTGTAATTGAGAAAAAAATGTTTGAAAAGGTGCTAAATGTTTACCAAAAGAAGAGTTAAAAATTTGATAAAGTCATGTAACAGATGCCATTGTAGAGAGAAAATAAATGAACTGGAACTACAGCTAACACAAGATATGAATCTTCAAACTGAAATCTTAAGTACAAGAAAGCAAGTTGAGAAAGGATATTTAGAAAATGATATTATTTATAACAATTTAAAATAAAGAAAACACACCTACATGCAAAAGAGATTCTTTGTTTATAGCAACATATGTAGTAAAAGAAACACCTACCAATTTATGTGGTTACCTATGGGATGGTAGGAAAAAGAGGAAGAGAAGAAGAGAGGAAAGGAGAATGGAGGAGGACTTGATTCAGTTGTATATGCATTACGTCTTTAAGAAGTTTTTAGTAAATTTATAGGTGCTGGAATACCTTCTCAATTTTGAAATAATTAATAATATTAGCAGTTTCTTTTATTTCAGCCCATGTGTGTTCTTAAATCTACAGTAACTCTCTTTAAACAGCATATAATTGGATCTTGATTTTTATTCATTCAGCTACTCTATGTAGTTTGATTGAGGAGTCTAATTCATTTACATATTATATAATTATTAATAGAATGGAAAAACATAGTTTATGCAAATGGTAACCAAAAGAGAATGGAGCTCGCTATTTTATATCAGACAAAATAGACTTTAAGTAAAGAAAAGTTACAAGAGACAAAGAAGGATATATAATAATAAACAGGTCAATTTAATAAAAAATAGCAATTATAAATATATATGCATCCAACATCAGAGCACCTAAACATATAGCAAACATTTGCAGAACTGAAGGAAAAAATAGACAGCAATATAATAATAGTAGGAGACTTCAGCACCTTATGTTTAAAAATGGGAAGAGTGTTCAGATGGAAAATCAATAAGGAAACAGCAGACTTGAAAAATATTGTAGACCAAATGGATCCAGCAGACATATACAGAACATTCCACTCAATAGCAGCATAATACATTCTTCCAAACACACTTACAACATTTCCCTGGATAGATTATCCAAACAAGTCCTAACAAATTTAAGAAAATCAAAACCGTGCCAAGTGTCTCTTCTGATCACAGTGGAATGAAACTAGAAATCAATGTCAGAAGGAAAGATGGAAAATTCACAAATATGCAGACATTTAACAACATATTCTTGCACAATCAATGGGTCAAAGAAAATATCGAGAGAACTAGAAAATATTTTGGGACAAAAACGAAAACTCAACATATCAAAACTTACAGGATGCAGCAAAATCTTTACTAAGATAATTTTTATAGTGATAAATGCCTACATTAAAATATGGGGGAGATCTCAAACAAGCAAACTTCATACTCCAAGGCACTAGAAAAAGAAGAACAAACTAACCCCGAAGTTAGCAGAAGGAAACAAATAATAAAGATAAGAGCAGGTAAATGAAATAAAATGCAGAAAAACGCTAGAAAAAAAAGAATAGGGGTTTTGAAAAGATAAAATCGATACAACTTTAGCTAGATTAAAAACTAGAGACAATTTAAATAAATAAAGTCAGAAATAAGAGAGATAATACAAATGATGCCACAGAAATGAAAAAGATCGGAAGAGACTACTATGAACAATTACACACTAATAAATTTTATAACCCAGAAAAAATTGATAAATTCCTAGAAATAGACAATCTACCAAGACTGATTCATGAAAATGTAAAAAATTTGAACAGACCAATAACTAGTAAGATGATTGCGATGGTTAATACTGAATGTCAGCTTGATAGGCTTGAAGGATGCAATATTGATCTTGGGTATGTCTGTGAGGGTGTTGCCAAAGGAGATTAACATTTGAGTCAGTAAGGGGGGACGGCAGACCCACCCTTAATCAGGTGGGCACCATCTAATCAGCCCCTGGTGAATATAAAGCAGGCAGAAAAACGTGAAGCAATGAGACAGGCCTAGCCTCCCAGCCTACATCTCTCTCCCCTGCTGGATACTTCCTGCCCTTGAAGACTCCAAGTTCTTCAGTTTTGGGACTCAGACTGGCTCTCCTTTCTCCTCAGATTGCAGACTATTGTGGGACCTTGTGATCATGTAAGTTAATACTTAATAACCTCATATGTATATATATGGTCATACATATATGTATATATAAATCCATACATATATATATATCTCCTATTAGTTCTGTCCCTCTAAGAGAACCCTGACTAATACAATTATTGACAAGTAATCAAAAACCTCCCAACAGAGATCCTAGGACTAGACAACTTCACTGGTAAATTCTACCAGATATTTAAAGAATTAACACCAATCCTTCTTAATCTTTACCAAAAAAATGAAGAGGAGGGAAACACTTATAAAATCATTTTATGAGGCCAACATTATCCCAATACCAAAGCCAGACAAAGATGCTAAAAGAAATCTATAAATTGATATCCTTGATAACCATATATAAAAATGCTCTCAATGAAATATTAGTGGTCAGGCATGGTGGCTCATGCCTATAATCTTAACACTTTCAGAGGCCAAGGCAGGAGGATTTCTGGAGCCCAGAAGATTGAGACCAGCCTGGGCAACATAGTGAGAACCCATCTCTATTAAAAAAATAACAGTAAAATTAAAAAACAAAACCAGAAAAAACCAAAATATTAGCAAACCAAATCTAACAGCACATTAAAATATCAGATAATAAGATAAAATGAGATTTAACTCTGGGGTGCAAGGACAATGTATTATATAAAAATCAATTAATGTGGTACATCAAATAAATTGGAGGATAACAACCACATGATCATCTCAATAGAGGCCCAAAAAGCATTTGAGAAAATTTAACACCTTTTCATGATAAAAACTCTTAACAAACTAGAAGCAAAAGAAAAGTTCATCAACATAACAAATACCATTTATGAAAAGCCCTAACATCTTACTCAACTGTGAAAAACGGAAAGTGTGTTATCTGAGATCAAGAACAAGGCAAGTATGCTACTCTTATCACTTGTATTCAACATAGTCCTAGATATAGGAAGTCCTAGATAGAGCAGTTAGGCAAGAGAAAGAAATTAAAAAGCATCCACGTTGGAAAGAATGAAATCAAATTCTCTTTGCTTGCAGATGACTTGATCTAATACATGGAAAACTCAAAAGGCACCACGAGCATCCTCCCCCAAATTGTAAAAACTAATAAACAAGTTCAACGTAGTTGCAGAACGCAAAATCTACAAGCAAAAAATCAGTTGCATTTCTTACACCACCTAGTAACTATCTAAAAAAGAAATTAAGAAAACAATCTCACAATAGCAACAAAATAATAAAATAATTATGAATGAAAACTAAGGAGACAGAAGACTTATTACACACTGAAAACTATAAAATGTTGATGATAGAAATTAAAGAAGATACCAATATATGGAAAGACATCCTGTGTTTATACAGAAAGATTTAATGTTATTAAAATGTCTATACTATCCAAAGCAATCTACAAGTACAGTAAGATCCTTATCAAAATTTCAGTGGTGTTTTTTAAACATAAGTAGAAATAATAATTCTAAAATTCATTTCAAACAACAAAGGATCCCAATAGCCAAAACAGTTGAGAAAGAAGAACAAAGTTGGCAACATCGTACTTCCTCAATTCAAAATACATTACAAAGCTATGGTAATTAAAACAATATGGTAGTGGCATAAATACATATTTAGATCAATGGAACAGAAAAGAGAGCTCAGAAATAAAACCACACATGTGTGGTTAACTGATCTTCAGTAAGGATGACAAGAATATGGAATGGGGAGAGGACAGTTTCTTAAACAAATGGTGTAGGAAAACTACATATCCACATGCAAAATAATAAAATTGAACCCTTATCTCACACTAGACACAACCATCAATTCAAGATGGATTAAAGACAAACATAAGAAGAAAACTTAGGGCAAAAGCTTTATGACATTGGTCTTGGCAATTATTTCTTGAATATGACACCAAAAGCACTGGCAACAAATGCAGAATAAACTAGTGGAACTACAGTAAACTAAAAAGCTTCTGCAGAGCAAAGAAAACAATTAAAAGAGTGAAAAAGCAATCTAATGAGTGGGAGAAAATATTTGCAAACCATATATTTGATAAGGGGGTAAATATTCAAAATATATAAGGAACTCTTTGAACCAAATAGCAAAAAAAAAAAAAAAAAAAATGGGCAAAGAACTTGAATAGACATTTCTACAATGGCTAACAGGTATATGAAAAGATGCTCAACATCATTAATCATCAGAGAAATGTAAATCAAAATCATAATGAGATATTATCTCATACTTGATAGGATGGCTATGATTAAAAAACACAAAAGTTAAAAGTTGGTGAGTATGTAGAGAAATTGGAACCTTGTACAGTGTTGGTGAAAATGTGAAATGATGCAATCCTTATAGAAAACAGTATGGAGGTTTCTCAAAATTAAAAAATAAAAATACCATATGATCCAGCAATTTCACTTCTGGGTATTTCTAAGATATAAATGAGGATCTCAAAAGACATCTACGCTCTTATGTTCATTAAAGCATTATTTGCAATAGCCAAGATGTGGAAACATCCTAAATGTCCATTGATAAATGAATGCATAGAAAAATGTGGTAAATGCATACAACAGAATATTATTCAGCCTTGAAAAATGAAGGAAATTCTGCTGTTTGCAGCAACGTGGATAAACCTTGATAACATTATGCTGAGTGTAATAAGCCAATACAGAAACAAAAGTACTGTATAATTTCATTATATTATGTATGTATCTAAAACAGTCAAAAACCTAGAAGCAGAGAGTTGAATGGTGGTTGCCCAGTCGTATTAGTCCATTCTCATGCTGCTATGATGAAATACCTGAGACTGGGTAACTTACAAAGAAAAGAGGTTTAATTGACTCAGTTTCACATGGCTGGGTGGCCTCAGGAAACTTACAACCATGGCAAAAGGCACCTTTTCACAGGACAGCAGCACGGAGTGAGTGCAATCAGGGGAAAGGCCAGACGCTTATAAAACCATCAGATCTCATGAAACTCACTCATTATCATTGGAACAGAATGGGGAAACTGCCCCCATGATCCAATTACCTACACATGGTACCCCCGCCCCCGATACATGGGGATTATTATAATTCGAGGTACAGTTTGGATGGGGACACAGAACCAAACTATATCACCAGAGCTGTGGCAAGGCAGAAATGGGAACTTGCTATTCAACACTATAGTTTCAGTTGTGAAAGATGATTAAGTTCTACAGATCTGCTGTACCACAGAATGCCTATAGTTAACAATACTGTATTGAACACAAAAATTTTTTGGGAGTAGATCTCATGTTAAGTGTTCTTACTGCAATTAAAAAATAATATTAACATTTTTCAGGGGATCATTCTGCAAGCATAAAACATTTAGAGAATTTTACCTTGGAAGAAATGGAGAAAGAACTCTTTCAACCATCTAAGAAGTGTGCACGTGTGAGTTACTAAATCTACCAATGCAAATAAACTGACATTTTCTTGGAATGACATCAGAGAAGGGCTAGTAATGTATGTATACTAGTAAACTGGACCAAAGAAGTTGCTATTCAGCTTTTAAGCAAATTCTCAAAACAGACCAGTTTCTATTGAACCAAAACAGCCCACTTATAGATAAATTGAGTTAAAAAAAAAAATCCCTGTGGCAAGCATTATCACCCACCATAACAATGGAAATAAATGCTTTGTATATGCAATTAGGTGCAGATCCTTAATCTTACTTTGGTGGCTCCACTTCATGGAGCAGTTCAAAATTGGACTAGGGATAGAGGAATGAAACAGCACCCTGAGAGCCCAACTGACCAGTGTTACTCCAAGGCTGGTCCATGACGCAGGAGCACTGGCATCACCCGGGAGCTTAGGAGAAATGCAATACTCGGGACCTGCCTCAGGCACTCTGAGTCAAGATGCCTGAGGGTGGAGCCCAGCAATCTGTAGCTTGAGCAGCTTCCCAGGTGGTTCTCCTACACAGCCAACTTTGAAAACCACTGCTGGCCTGGAGCGGTGGCTCATGCCTGTAATCCCAGCACTTTGGGAGGCCGAGGCGGGCGGATCACGAGGTCAGGCGATCGAGACCATCGTGGCTAACATGGTGAAACCCCGTCTCTGCTAAAAATACAAAAAGTTAGCCGGGCGTGGTGGTGGGCGCCTGTAGTCCCAGTTACTTGGGAGGCTGAGGCAGGAGAATGGCATGAACCCAGGAGGAAGAGCTTGCAGTGAGCCGATATCGCGCCACTGCACTCCAGCCTGGGCGACAGAGCGAGACTCCGTCTCAAAAAAAAAAAAAAAAAAAAAAAGAAAAAAAAGAAAAAAAAGAAAAGCACTGCCATCACCTCTTTTCAGATAACAAACAGATAATTGCATTTAAGCAATGAACACACCCACAGAATAGCAGTGACATGTGAGTATTCTACTGTTACTGAGAAATACTCACAGGAGGTTTCTAAGGGACTGTGATGAGAAATGGGACATCAAGACAGGGATTTCAGTCCTTATTGCACTGAAATATATTTATTACACTAGTCATCTGAGGATAATACCAAGCAAAGTTGGGGACTGAAGAACTAAGAATGAAACTGGAAGATATATATATTTGCACTTATTTCCCATACTTTGAATGTTTTCATACCTTGAATATTGCTTTTTCATGTAAAAATATATAGCTTTTTGTCATGTAATATATACATCACTGTCTATTTCACAGAGATTTCTCACAGAAAGAAAAGAGACTGCTCAGCTTCAAATCACGGTTTTATTTGCCTTAATAAAATGCCTGTGGAATTTAATAGAATACGGTACATAAAAACTAATTTAACTTTTATTCTAGTGGCCACATCTATAAAAGTACAATTTTCAATGAAGGTAGAAATTCTGTAAAATTTAATCACCAACTATTCCCAAAATAGCTGACTATGAAATATATTATAATTTTCATTTATGTGTCCATTTGTATCTTATTTTACTTGCCATCTATGAATTCTAAAGAACATTAATGTCTTCAGAAGAGTATATTCTTTGTTAAAACACCTTTATGTTCTCTTATATTACTATTGACATTCATATGGAAGGAAACCAAAATAATTCACCCCACAATATATTTCTTTGACGTATTTTGAGATGGCTATTTAGAGAGCTTGCAGACCGGGATAGCCCTGCAAAGCTGTCTTTTGTAGAAGAGATTTATACCTGTAGAAAAACTAAAGTGAAGCAAAAAACAGATACAAACAGTCTTTCTCTGAGGCTCTCCCTCGTACAGATCTAGGAGAGAGTAATGAGAGTTTGACACCTTTGAAAATCTGACTAAGAAACTTTAACCACAGACTACCATCTATTTTTTTGAGGACTGTTATATGTGAGGTTTCATCTGCATAACAAGAATGCTTTTGCTAGCTCAAACATTTCTCCTTTTCTATTTCTGTCCGTCAGCACTCTGAGTCAAGACCCTATTTTTTCTGTAACCTCAAGATGGTTAAAAGCATTAACTATTTGGACATTCTTGTTGTCTTTATGTTTTGTATGTCTCCTGTGCACATATTGTGTTTGCCTTTTTTTTTCCTGTTAATCTATTGTCTGTTTTATGGACTCAAATTATCAAAGCTTCAGGGAAAAGATTTAAACTTCCCTACAATATATTAGTTTAACAAATATATATTGAGCATAAAGTATGTGCCAGCCACCATTCTTGGTGGTCAAAACAAATTAGCAACCAAAACAGACATGGCTGCTGACGGCATGGGTTTACAAGCTAGACCAGGTTTGGGAAGACACACAAAATACAAATGCACAATTTTATAATGTCACAGGGTGATAAATGTTGTAAATAAAATTGAAGCAAGGTGAGTGCATCAAGAATCATGGTAGTGCTATGAGCTGGGTGGCTAAAGATGTTCTCTGATTAAATGACTTTCTAGGGGGAAGAAAGAAGATGAAAGGGGTGGGGATGGTAATATGGGAAAAAGGGATCTCAATGAGAACCAATAGAGAGTGCAAAGACTATGAGGCAGGAACATGCTAGGAGTTTAAGAAAGTAATGGGGCCAATTTGGCTGAAGCTGGAGAAGAGAGGAAAGTGCCAGAGGTCAGTTGCACAAACCTGTTTGATTTGGTAACTTGTAGGCAATCGTCTCTTTTAATGCCAAAAGAGATTTTGGAGGCTTATCTCAAATCAATTGACTTCATTTTTATGCCATATGCAAATTATTCAGCTAACAGCAAAATACCATTTAGAGGATAATTTGCACTCCTGTCAGTATTAGTGAATGCTCTATCTGTTGTCTGCAGTATAACATTGGCTGCATGGTTGGGGAGACCAAAAAGAAAATGCATGCACTCCTGAACGGTGTCCTCTTCCTCTTTTAGGAGAGCTCTCTTGCCCATTTCCCATCGTTGTATTGAAATTTAGAAACATGTTTTTTTTTGTTTTTTTTGTTTTTTTTGTTTTTTTTTTTTTTCCTGGGCCAAGACTCAGAGCAGAATGGGAATGGAGGGTTTTATAAATGAGTTATAAACACCTTTATTTTTTAACCTGGGATGATCCTTAGAATTTTGGTGAAATCTTTTTGACTTCACCTATTACATTCCTAGCGATGAATTTTTTAATACAAGGTAAAATGTTTTAAAATACTTTGGATAGTAGTGACTCAGAGGGCAAGTCCATGTCACAACGTGTCTGTGATGTATCTGTAGCTACTGAAAATTTGGGAGGCCATGGCTTTCTTCACCCTGGCCTTCTTCCAGCTCCTAGAACCTGTCAGGTCTCCTCCTGCCACAGAACAGAGCATGTGCTGTTTTTTTCCTGCTTGGGTGTATATTGCGATGATCTGGAGATGCCCAGACCACACCCCAGGCACATTCAACCAGGATCTCTGGGGTTCGATCCAGCCATCATTACTTTTTAAAGTTCCTATGAGATTTCAGTTTGCAACCACTGGCACTTTGCTTCTCGCTCACCTCCCATCGCACTTCACCCGGCTCATCTTTGGTTTCCTTGCTTAATATTAGTTCCTGAGACACCTTCGCTGACACTCCCCTGCACCAACCCCAAGTCAAATCCTCCTATTCTACGTGTACCTTCCCTTTGGAAGGTTTATCATAGTAGTAATTTTACATTTCTTTGTGACAATATTTGCTTAATGTTTGTCTTCTCCAAAGTCTTTAATAGACTTGTTTACTGTGACATCTCAAACTTGGAATCCTGTTATCTTAATACCAAGAATAATGGTTAAATCTGTGTTCAATTATTTCCCTACCTTTTGTTTTCCTGAATTATCAAATGACCTCTGTAAGCACAGGAAAATAATGCTGATTGAGGTTATTTAAGGCAATTTATTTTTCCCAAACAGAGCTTTGTAGTTCAAACTAAAGTAATTGAGAGGACACCCCATAACAGGAGACTCTAAGTAGAATGCACGTCCTTATTTTCTGCTAAACAATTTTTGTGAACATGGACTTTGCTTTATGTGCAGGAAATCATGCAGCGTTTAAATGTATTTTCTCCTCTTTGTGAGCTCCATGAAGGAAGTGACTATGTCTGATTTTCTAACCATTAAATAAATTCCCAGGGCCTAGGACTCGGCACACATTAAACATTCAATAAGTGTTTGTTGAATGAATGAATGGGGCTCGCGGAGGACTCCTCTAGTGTATTATTTTATTTTTCAGGAGATTCTGATTCACTGAAGGAAGAATGGCAGTGATTCTCATTCCTGGCTGGATATCAGCATCACTTGGGATAGGAGGTGTTGAAAAATACTAATGTCTAGACTCCAACCCAGAACAACCCCCCAAACCAGAATGTTGGAGGTTGGGGCTTTTCTACTTGAGGCCTCTAGTTTTCTATTACTGATTAATAAATTACCTGCTTAATTGTCAGCTTAATTTAGCAGCTTGAATCAACACAGAGTTATTACCCCACAGGCTATGTAGGTCAGGAGTTCAGACGCATAGTAGCGGCATTCTTTGCTCAGGTCCTCATCCAGCTGAAATTAATTTGTTGGCCAGGGCTGCAGTTCTCTCTGTGACTCTTGATTCTCTTCCAAGCTCCCTGGTTGTTGGCAGAAGTCATTTCCTTGTGGTTATTGGACTGAGGTCCCTGTTGTCTTCCTAGCTGTTGGCAACAAACGCTCTCAGTTTCAGGAGGCCATGCTAGGTCCTTGTCGTGTGGCCCCCTCTATCTCAGCAACAGAGAACCTCCTTGCTACAGAACCTGCTTCCTGCTTCCAATCTCTCTGACTTCTCTTCTGTGACCAGTGAGACAAACCTCTCTTTGTTTTTAAAAGGCTTGGATGATTAAGCCTGGCCTATCCAGATAATCTCCCTTGCTTTAAGTCAACTGTGCCATAAAACACGACCTGATGACAAAAGTGAAATCTATCAAATTCACATTCCTGGTGAGGCAGGAGAATACACCCGGGAGGCAGGGAACCTAAGGACTTCCTAGAACTAAATCAAACAGAAACACTTCAGCTATGACAGGAAATATCCTCTTCATTTACATAGGGTATACACCAAGTAACCAACAGGATACCTCTAGAGTATATTGAAACCACAGATAATTCTGTGACCAAGGCCCTCGAGCCACTTGCTCATGCCTGCTCCCACCCTGTGGAGTGTGCTTTCATTTTCAATAAATGTCTGCTTTTGTTGCTTCATTTTGCTTTGTTTTTGCGTTTTGTCCAATTCTTTGTTTAAAGTGCCAAGAACCGGATACCCTCCACCGCTAACACTGGGGAATATGCAGGGAGTGTGAACTGGGAATGGGTGTACAGTGCCTTTTGGAGACTATCTTATTCTGATGACCACAACTGATATTAAACAACTTTCCAGTTGAGATTGAGAACCACTGGGCTAAACATATCAAATGTTTCAAACGGCAAAGTATTAAGTGATCTTTCAACAAAATAAAACTAAAGTAATTGAGAGGACACCCCATAACAGGAGACTCTAAGTATAAAGCACGTCCTTATTTTCTGCCAAACAATTTTTGTGAACATGGACTTTGCCTTTTGTGCAGGAAATCATATCATTCTGCTGACCACAACTGTTATTAAACTTTCCAGCTGAGATTGAGAACCATTGAACTAAACATATCAAATATTTCAAATGACAAAGTATTAAGTGATCTTTTAACAAAATAAATTTTTAAAGAAATGCTTCTTCTAGATCAAAAAAAAAATCACCAATTAAGGGACATCAATAGAAATTCTAACAGAGATTTACTTAGGGCATGATGTGAATCACAGAAGGAATACCATCTGAGTATCCCTACCTATGGAATTGAAATTAAACCATTTCTGAAATCTGGTGTATCTCTCAGGTTCCAACCAGAAACAGCACTCACCCAAGCAGTCCACTTGAAGATACTTGGTGAAAAGATTGATTACTGAGATTAAAGTTGAGGCTCAGGGAAAAATCATGGGATAAAGAAACAGACCATCAGGAGGGGAAGATAGCCATCACCTGGGGGAAGATTTGGCATCTCTGGAGTCCCTGAAGAGTCAGAAGTGTGGAGGAGGCTATAGATGGGAGAGACATAGCTGCTGTCAGAGCCCAGGTAGGGAAGCAAAGACAGAGCAGGGAGAAATTGACTTTCTCATCTCCCATGTGTTGATCTCCTGCCAGCACTTCCTAGAGGCCCGGCTTAGGTGGAAATTGGAAGAGAGGCTGTATAGAGAGAAAAGCCTCCTGGGGTACAAAGCTGGGAGGATAATGGGAGAAGGGAAATTGGTAGGCAAATGGAGAATAACCATCACACCTTAAAGATGATTTTTTTTTTTCTCTAATTGAGGAAATAGCTGTTGAAATTGAAAAACGGTGTAACGTGGGAATTCTTTATGCCCTGAAATAACTTATCAGACTGATTTCCTATACGGGTAGGTGTTGCCACCTAAATCACTTATTATCAGTGCTGGGGCCCAGGTTCCCCTCTGGTTCTATTTTTAACTTTTTGAGTTCCATGTAGATTGGCTGAAGGGAAATGAGGTTGGCAGTGAGGTAGGAGGCAGGAAAAGAGAAGTTGAAGATGTATATGTATCTTGTTTTCAACACCGAGAATATATATATGCCTTTAAAATAGTATAAGCAAAAAGTTATCTTGTTAATAGAAAGAGTAATTGTGTCAATAAATTAGGACATTCCTAGGTAATATACCTCCCACTAAATATGAGTAATCGACTTGATATGTAAGAGTAAAATGAAGATAAATGATATTTTTAGCAGGCATGGAACTTTGAATATTTGTTAATTTCTAATTTATGCTAAGATTTATAGCATAGGAAAATTTTAAATCCTCTTCCAGCACATTTCTGATCATTCTTCATTACAATCAGAAAACCACCTAAGCGATTGCCTAGGGAGAGGGACAATTTCTCTACTGTTTTTGTTTTCCTTCTTACCTATGCATGTGTTTGCATGTTTGTCTCTCTCAAGTGTTGTCAAAATAACATTGAACATATTATACAATCACTTTAAAATTCCTTAGTTGCATGTTATTAATATAACACTAATAAGTAATAAGCAATATTCAAATTGCAAAATTTTTAAAATTTAAATTTAAGAATGTTGCTTCATTATATATTAGCCTTACCTGTTTCTAAAGATATAATAAAATGTTAAAACAAAGCAAAACAAAAGGTAAAAGATTGAAATGATGGGAGGAAATTATAATAGGAGACAGGAATATCAGCAGAATGAAGATCATGACAAATTTCTGGAAGACAGAAAGAAGTTAGTTGTAATCATGCCAACAGGTGATTTGAATGAGCTCAGAAGTTGGCAGTTGAGTTTGGAGTTCCTCATTCCACGGCCTGTGAAATTGGCTGATATGTAGAACAGAACCAAAACTGGATAGGAAGTAGGGGGCTGACTGAACTGTTTGCTAAATGGCTTATAGAATGTCTTCTCCAGCCTTCCTTCATCATGAATGCAGTTGCAGGACTCATTTCCAGGATAAAGCCAGAGTGGGACCTTCTAGAAAGAAGTTCTCCCCAGCAGAGCTTGGGCATCCAGAACAGGGGTTAGCTCTCCAGATTGGGACCCATCTTATTATGCCATTTGGAGAAGTAGTGCAGCTTTCTGGGTACTCTGTTAGTAGAGTGTGGAAGAGAAGCCTATCAATTGAACATCCTCATAACATATACAGAATTTTACTGAGTCTTCTCCTTAATGTAGAAGTCAGTAAGGGCTGAGCATACCCCAGCCAGCTGCTGCTGTTATCAACATAGTCCTATGATAATAAATGACTGGAAAACAAATAATTTCCATATATTTGTAAAAAACTAGCATTGCAAAGGAAAAAGATGCAAAAAAGATCAATAGACTCAAGGGGATACATACATAACTCAGAAGAGATACAAACTTATGGTTAAAATCTTAGAGATATTTGAGAGGCACCGATAAGGAGAGAAATGTCCTTATATTGAATCCATAATTAAATAAATTAAATCCATTAGTAAAATATTTTTAAAAAGAACCTTTAGGCAAATACACTGTCACCAGAAAATTCCTCCATATATATGAAAGAAATGATACATATTTTATATAAACTTAATAAAAAAGGAAACACTTCGAGACTCATTTATTAGGTTAGCATAACTTTGATAATAACACTTATCAGTCATACTCCAGTGAGAGAGAAATAACAGGTCAGTATCTTATATGAAAATATATGAAATAATCCCTTAAAA
This sequence comes from Homo sapiens, assembly GCF_000001405.40. Taxonomy (NCBI): domain Eukaryota; kingdom Metazoa; phylum Chordata; class Mammalia; order Primates; family Hominidae; genus Homo; species Homo sapiens. Next base: position 12,117,248 of record NC_000020.11, read on the forward strand.
GTTAGCAAATAATATGTACACCAAACATCAGATTACGTAAGCATGTAAAGCAAACATTGACAGAACTGAAGTAAGAAATAGACAGCAATACAATAATAAAAGAAAACTTCAGTACCCCACTTTCAATAACAGACCAATGAGAGAAAAAATTAATGAGAATAGCAGACTTGAACAACTCTTTAGACCAAATGAACCTAACAGACATATGCAGAACATCCTACTCAACATCTGCAGAATACACTTTTTTCTTAAGCACACATGAAGCATTATCAAGGATAGATCACATGTTCAGTCACAAAGTAAGATCTAACAAATTTAAGAAGATCAAAATCATATCAAGGATATTTTCCAACCACAATGCTATAAAACTGGAAATTAATAACAGGAGGAAAGCTGAAAAATGTAGAAATTAAACAACATACTCCTGAACAATTGGTCAAAGAAAAAATCAAAAGGGAAATTTAAAAATATCTTGAAAGAAACAAAAACACAACATATCAAAACTTATGAAATGCAGTGAAAGCATTACAAAGGGTGAAGTTTATATTAATAAATGTGTACATTACAAAAAAATCTCAGATAAATGACATTTTACCTCAAGAAACTAGAAAAGGAACGAACTAACCTCAAATGAGTAGAAGAAAGGAAATAATATCAGAGCAAAACCTAAATGAAATAGAAACTTAAAAAACAAAATATCAATGAAATTACAAGTTTTTTTTTAAAAGATAAAATTGACATACCTTTAGGTAGTCTAACAAAGAGAAAAAGAAAAGATACAAATGAAAAAAACAACATTTTATGAAGCTGGCCAGCATTACCCTGACAGCAAAGCCAGACAAAGACACTACAAGACAAGCAGTATTCCTGATAAACATAGATGCAAAAATACTAAACAAAATACTAGAAAACCACATTTGACAGCACATTGGACGTATCATTGAGATTTAACCCTGGGATGCAGGAATAACTCAACATAAAAATCAATTAACATGATACCTCACATTAACAGAATGAAGGATAAAAACTACAAGATCATATTAATAGATGCAGAAAAAGCATTTGACAAACTTCAACACCCTTTCATGATAAAATAAATTCTCAACAAACTAGAAATAAAAGTCCCTCAACATAATAAAGATTATATATGAAAAGTGCACAGGCAATATTATATTCAAATAAACAATTGAAAGCTTTTTCTCTAAGATCAGCAACAAGGCAAATATACTTATTCATCACTTCTATTAAACATAGTACTGGAAGTCCTAGAACGAGTACTTAGGCAAGGAAGAAATAAAGATACTCAAATCAGAAATAAAGAAGTAAAAGTATCTCTGTTTGAAGATGGTATAATCTTATGTGTAGAAAGCCCTAAAGAGTTCACCAAGAAAAAGTTGGTACTAATAAATGGGTTCAACATAGCTGCACAATACAAATCAACATACAAAATTCAGTTGCATTTCTTACACTAACAATGAACTATCCAAAAAAGAAATTAAGAAATCAATCCTATTTACAATAACAACAATAAGAATACAATAACTAGGAATAAACAACAAAGGAAACAAAAAACATACACTGAAAACTGTACAATAGTCATGAAAGAAAGAAAATAAATAGACATCATGTGTTCATAGACTGGAGTACACAATATTGTTAAAATACCTATACTAAAAGCAACTTACAGATTCAATGTGATATGTATCAAAATCCCAATGACATTTTTAACAGAAATAGAAAAATCAATCCTATAATTAATATGAAACCACGAAGGACTCCAAATAGCTGAAACAATCATCAGAAAGAACAACAAAGGTGGAGGCATCATACTTCCTGATTTCAAAATACATTACAGAACCAAAGTAATTAAAACAGTATGGTACCAGCATAAAAACACATATTTAGACCAATGGAAAAGAGAGCCCAGAAATAATTTTCCACATATACAGTCAACTGATATTCAACAAGAGTGCCAAGAATATACAATGGGGAAAGAAAGGATAGTCTTTAACAAATTGTGTTGGGAAATTTGGATATCCACATGCAAAAGAATGAAATCAGACTCTTATCTCACACCGTACACAACTATCAATCAAAATGGATGAAACACCTAAATATAAGACTTTTATGTGTAACACTCCTGGAAGAAAACAAAGGAAAAATTTTATGACATCAGTCTTGGCAATAATTTTATGGCTATGACACCAAAATACAAGCAACAAAAGCAAATATAGATAGATGGAGCTACATCAAACTAAAAAGTTGCAGAGCAAAGGAAACTGTCAACAGAGTGAGAAGGAAACCTGTGGAATGGGAGATAAATTTACAAAATGTGCATGTGATGAGGGATAAATATTTAAAATCTACAAAGAACTTCCACAACTAAACAGAAAAACAAAACAAAACAAAACAATCTGATTTTGAAACTGGGCAATGGTACATTTGTGTAGTGCAGATAAGAGGAAAATAAAAGAAAAAATAGAGACAAGAAATTGGAGAATTGACTTTGAATGGATTTTTTTTTTCCAAAAAAGACATAAATGGCCACAGGTATATGAAAAGATGCTCAACATCATTAATCATCATTGAAATGCAAATTACAACCACTATGAGATATATCATCTCACATTTGTTAGGTTTGCCATTTTTACAAAAAAATGACAAGTTTTCATGAGAATGTGGATGAATTGGAACTCAGACACTGTTGGTGGGCATATAAAATAGTTCAGTTAATATGAAAAACCATATGGAGGTTTCTAAAATAATTCAAAATAGAATTACCATATAATCCAGAAATCCCACTTCTGTGTATTTTTCCAAAAGAATAAAACCAGGATCTCAAAAAGATATATGCATCCTCATGTTCAGTATTATTCACAATAGCCAAGTTGTGGAAACAATCCTAAACGTCCATCGACAGATGAATGGATTAAGAAAATGCGCTATGTGTGTGTGCAATGAAATATTATTCAGTCATAAAAAGGTAATCCTACTATATGGAACAATGTATATGTACCTCGAGAATATTATGCTAAATGAACCAAGCCAGTAACAAAAAGAGAAATACTCCCTGATTCCCCTTATATAAGGTAAATAGTCAAATTCATAGAAGCAGAAAGTGGAATAGTGGTTCCCTGAGGCTGGCGGGAGGAAAAAATGAAAACAAAATAACTTTGCATTCATAAAAAATCTCCCCAAACCCAGGGTTTTCCACTGAACTATCTTCATAATATTTATTTCTATGAATACTGGAATAAAAAATGAAAACAAAATTTTATACAAAAAATATATTCATGCATTAAAAGTTGTATGAAATAAAAAAGTAAACAATGTGTATAAATACATAATAGGTATTGTGAGCAAGTTAGATTTATTCCAGGAATGCAAGATACTTTAAACGCTTACCAATTAATGTTTTCTATAACATTAACAGAATCAAGGAGAAAAACTAAATAATCACTTCAGTCAATGCCAAAAAGCAGTTTATAATATTCATTCTCTTAAATGCTGCTTCCTGATTTATGATAAAAATCTTTAGCAAACTAGGAATAAAAGGAAACTTCCTTTTTTTTTTGTGAGACGGAGTCTGGCTCTGTCACCCAGGCTGGAGTGCAGTGGCGCAATCTCGGCTCACTGCAAGCTCCGCCTCCCGGGTTCACGCCATTCAAAAGGAAGCTGTCTTAAATCTGCACCTTTTAAGCTTTCTTAAATCCTAGGTATCTGGGAAAGAAACTTGAGATCAGGATTAAGACGAGAATATCTGACTATCATTATGTATTTTTAATTTTGTACAAGAGGTTCTACCAAGCTGCAACAAGGCAAAAAGGAACAAACACACACATAGTTTAAAATTGGAAAGGAAGAAATAAAACTTATTATTAGGAAACAACATGTCTTTATTGGTTTTTGTGTGTGTTTGTGTGTGTGTAAAACATTTAAGGGAATCTTCAGAATTAACATTTAGTTTGGTCATGGGATATAAGGTCATCTTAAAATCATTGTGTCATACACACCAGAAGCCAATATTTAGAAAATAAAACTTAAATATGTGTTATCATTTATAAAGCATCAAAAGTATCAAATGCCTAGACTAAGTCTAACAAAAATTGTGCAGGACATTTACATAGAAAATTATAAGATGTTATTGCTTAAAAATAAACTACACAATAATACATACCATTTTCATAAAAGAGAAATATTAGTATTTTTAAGGTATTAATTCTCCTCAAATACATCTATATATATATTTACCTATTTACATTCCTTCTGCCGTGATTGTAAGTTTCCTGAGGCCTCCCCAGCCATGTGCAACTGTGAGTCAATTAAACTGCTTTCATTTATATCTATTTTATAGATACATCTATCAAATATATCTATTTTAATCTATTTACATATATATGTAAAATTTCTATCAAAATCATAGGAAGTTATTTTATGGAAATTTGCAAGTTGATTCCAAAATTTATATGGAAAAGTAAGATGTCAAAAATAATTAAAGCTATTTTGAAAAGTTAATACTGTTGGTGCACCTACAGTACCAAATCTACCTATACTATCAGTATAAATTAATCATAATTTAGGAATATGTAGCATGATGCCAGGATCAACTAATAGAACAAAGGAACACAGTAGAGTCCAGAAAGACCCATGCATCAATTGACTTAATTTATGTCAAAGGTGGCAATGCAAACTAAAGGCAAAGGACATTTTCCTGTTAATAAGTAGTATTGAATTGATTGGTCATTAATATGGAAAATATGAACATTGACTTCTACTTCTCACTATACACAAAAATCAAGTCCAGGTGATTATAGATCAAAATATGAATGATAAAGCAACAAAACTTCTAAAAGACAACAAAAAATATTATCTTCATGACCAAAGTGTAGGTAATGCTTTCTTCAAGGGGACACTAAAACATTAACCATAAAGGAAAAGACTGATAAAATAACTCTTCCTGTTCATTAAAACATATCATTAAAAGGGTATAAAAAACAAATCAAAAAATGGGAGAAAATAATTGCCACACATATAACCATCTAAGGGCTTCTAACCAGGGTATACATTCCAGTTGGAATAGCTACAATTAAATACATTGGCTATACCAAGTGTTGGTGAAGATCTGGGGGAAGAGAACTCCCATGCATTGCTGATAACAGAGATACTGATAAAACTGCTTTGGAAAATACTTGGAAATATCTTCTAGTATTTATTATAAACACACTCTATTACCCTAGGTGGAGTAAAATAGAACACATTAAAAATGTGAGTATATGTGCACCAAACAAAAATGTTCTTAACAACTTTATTTATAATAGGCAAAGACTGAAATAAATCCGAATGAGTATCAACCTAATTTCCTGTATATTGATATAATAAATAATATTCAGATATTGATGTGAATAGATTATTTTGTAAGCAACGATGTGGATAGTCTCATTAACATAATATTGAATGACAGCAGTGAGTCACAAACAATATATGTTGTTTCTATTTTGTATGAATTTCAAAAAATGATAATCTGTTGTATGATATTCAAAGTCAGGTCAGTGATGCTTCCTGGGAAAGAGGGGTCGGTAATTGAGAACAGGGCACAAGAGGAAACTTCTGAGGCACAGATATTGTTTTATTTCTTGACTAATGCTGTGATTATGCTGATAAGATTATTTTGAATAACTCATCGAGCTATAATTTGTCCACTTTTTGTATGCATATTATAATTAAATAATTTTAAATAAGCACAACTGCATTGCACACTAGAGATAAAGATTTAGATTGACAATAACATTCTCACTTCAGCAATCTTATATCTTAAAAAATGCTTCAAAATTCTGATGGGCAAAAAAACCTCTAGAATTTCCTAGAATTCTATCTAGGAAATGAAAGATATATTTATTTTTGTGATGAACTCATTATATTCATCTTTTATACACTATTCCTAAAAGAATTCAGGAGAAATACAAACGCCTGAGGAAACAATAGAACTAACCCAGGAGAACAATAAAAAGAAATAAGAAGACAGCTGTACTTACGGCCTCAAAGCATTTTATGTCATCCAACAAGTAGCATGATAAAGTGGATGCTTTTTGGAATGTGATAAATACAAATTCTTTCTGACAACAAGAAAAAAATAAACAAATACAATGAAATTCTCCAGGAAATTTACAAAGTTGTATAAAAAAATCATGTTACACATTTGAAGAAAAACAAAATGTACCTTATCTTGAACAAGTGATGGAATGTAATAGAATACATTTGGCATTGACATTTGAAATATTCTCTCCTTCAAGTGACTCAGCCTAAAGGACACACTACCTCTTTGTGAGTTAAAGCACAACAATTGATTACTGCATACTCATTGCAGTATTAATACTGTTTATCAGTTCATAATTTTCAGAACCAAACTATGGATGCAAAACTTTATTAAAATAGAGGTCAGACTATAAATGCTATACAATGTAACATTTTTTTTTTATTATTATACTTTAAGTTTTAGGGTACATGTGCACATTGTGCAGGTTAGTTACATACATATACATGTGCCATGCTGGTGTGCTGCACCCACTAACTCCTCATCTAGCATTAGGTATATCTCCCAGTGCTATCCCTCCCCTCTCCCACCACCCCACAACAGTCCCCAGAGTGTGATGTTCCCCTTCCTGTGTCCATGTGATCTCATTGTTCAATTCCCACCTATGAGTGAGAATATGCGGTGTTTGGTTTTTTGTTCTTGCGATAGTTTACTGAGAATGATGATTTCCAGTTTCATCCATGTCCCTACAAAGGACATGAACTCATCATTTTTTATGGCTGCATAGTATTCCATGGTGTATATGTGCCACATTTTCTTAATCCAGTCTATCATTGTTGGACATTTGGGTTGGTTCCAAGTCTTTGCTATTGTGAATAATGCCGCAATAAACATACGTGTGCATGTGTCTTTATAGCAGCATGATTTATAGTCCTTTGGGTATATACCCAGTAATGGGATGGCTGGGTCAAATGGTATTTCTAGTTCTAGATCCCTGAGGAATCGCCACACTGACTTCCACAATGTTTGAACTAGTTTACAGTCCCACCAACAGTGTAAAAGTGTTCCTATTTCTCCACATCCTCTCCAGCACCTGTTGTTTCCTGACGTTTTAATGATTGCCATTCTAACTGGTGTGAGATGGTATCTCATTGTGGTTTTGATTTGCATTTCTCTGATGGCCAGTGATGGTGAGCATTTTTTCCTGTGTTTTTTGGCTGCATAAATGTCTTCTTTTGAGAAGTGTCTGTTCATGTCCTTCGCCCACTTTTTGATGGGGTTGTTTGTTTTTTCCTTGTAAATTTGTTTGAGTTCATTGTAGATTCTGGATATTAGCCCTTTGTCAGATGAGTAGGTTGTGAAAATTTTCTCCCATTTTGTAGGTTGCCTGTTCACTCTGATGGTAGTTTCTTTTGCTGTGCAGAAGCTCTTTAGTTTAATTAGATCCCATTTGTCAATTTTGGCTTTTGTTGCCATTGCTTTTGGTGTTTTAGACATGAAGTCCTCGCCCATGCCTGTGTCCTGAATGGTAATGCCTAGGTTTTCTTCTAGGGTTTTTATGGTTATAGGTCTAATATTTAAGTCTTTAATCCATCTTGAATTGATTTTTGTATAAGGTGTAAGGAAGGGATCCAGTTTCAGCTTTCTACATATGGCTAGCCAGTTTTCCCAGCACCATTTATTAAATAGGGAATCCTTTCCCCATTGCTCGTTTTGCTCAGGTTTGTCAAAGATCAGATAGTTGTAGATATGTGGTGTTATTTCTGAGGGCTCTGTTCTGTTCCATTGATCTATATCTCTGTTTTGGTACCAGTACCATGCTGTTTTGGCTACTGTAGCCTTGTATTATAGTTTGAAGTCAGGTAGTGTGATGCCTCCAGCTTTGTTCTTTTGGCTTAGGATTGCCTTGGCGATGCGGGCTCTTTTTTGGTTCCATATGAACTTTAAAGTAGTTTTTTCCAGTTCTGTGAAGAAAGGCATTGATAGCTTGATGGGGATGGCATTGAATCTGTAAATTACCTTGGCCAGTATGGCCATTTTCACGATATTGATTCTTCCTACCCATGAGCATGGAATGTTCTTCCATTTGTTTGTATCCTTTTATTTCCTTGAGCAGTGGTTTGTAGTTCTCCTTGAAGAGGTCCTTCACATCCCTTGTAAGTTGGATTCCTAGGTATTTTATTCTCTTTGAAGCAATTGTGAATGGGAGTTCACTCATGATTTGGCTCTCTGTTTGTCTGTTGTTGGTGTATAGGAATGCTTGTGATTTTTGCACATTGATTTTGTATCCTGAGACTTTGCTGAAGTTGCTTATCAGCTTAAGGAGATTTTGGGCTGAGACAATGGGGTTTTCTAGATAAACAATCATGTCATCTGCAAACAGGGACAATTTGACTTCCTCTTTTCCTAATTGAATACCCTTTATTTCCTTCTCCTGCCTAATTGCCCTGGCCAGAACTTCCAACACTATGTTGAATAGGAGTGGTGAGAGAGAGCATCCCTGTCTTGTGCCAGTTTTCAAAGGGAATGCTTCCAGTTTTTGCCCATTCAGTATGATATTGGCTGTGGGTTTGTCATAGATAGCTCTTATTATTTTGAAATATGTCCCATCAATACCTAATTTATTGAGAGTTTTTAGCATGAAGGGTTGTTGAATTTTGTCAAAGGCCTTTTCTGCATCTATTGAGATAATCATGTGGTTTTTGTCTTTGGCTCTGTTTATATGCTGGATTACATTTATTGATTTGCATATATTGAACCAGCCTTGCATCCCAGGGATGAAGCCCACTTGATCATGGTGGATAAGCTTTTTGATGTGCTGCTGGATTCGGTCTGCCAGTATTTTATTGAGGATTTTTGCATCAATGTTCATCAAGGATATTGGTCTAAAATTCTCTTTTTTGGTTGTGTCTCTGCCCGGCTTTGGTATCAGGATGATGCTGGCCTCATAAAATGAGTTAGGGAGGATTCCCTCTTTTTCTATTGATTGGAATAGTTTCAGAAGGAATGGTACCAGTTCCTCCTTGTACCTCTGGTAGAATTTGGCTGTGAATCCATCTGGTCCTGGACTCTCTTTGGTTGGTAAGCTATTGATTATTGCCACAATTTCAGCTCCTGTTATTGGTCTATTCAGAGTTTCAACTTCTTTCTGGTTTAGTCTTAGGAGAGTGTATGTGTCGAGGAATTTATCCATTTCTTCTAGATTTTCTAGTTTATTTGTGTAGAGGTATTTGTAGTATTCTCTGATGGTAGTTTGTATTTCTGTGGGATCGGTGGTGATATCCCCTTTATCAATTTTTATTGCGTCTATTTGATTCTTCTCTCTTTTTTTCTTTATTAGTCTTGCTAGCGGTCTATCAATTTTGTTGATCCTTTCAAAAAACCAGCTCCTGGATTCATTAATTTTTTGAAGGGTTTTTTGTGTCTCTATTTCCTTCAGTTCTGCTCTGATTTTAGTTATTTCTTGCCTTCTGCTAGCTTTTGAATGTGTTTGCTCTTGCTTTTCTAGTTCTTTTCATTGTGATGTTAGGGTGTCAATTTTGGATCTTTCCTGCTTTCTCTTGTGGACATTTAGTGCTATAAATTTCCCTCTACACACTGCTTTGAATGCGTCCCAGAGATTCTGGTATGTTGTGTCTTTGTTCTCCTTGGTTTCAAAGAACATTTTTATTTCTGCCTTCATTTCGTTATGTACCCAGTAGTCATTCAGGAGCAGGTTGTTCAGTTTCCATGTAGTTGAACGGTTTTGAGTGAGTTTCTTAATCCTGAGTTCTAGTTTGATTGCACTGTGGGCTGAGAGATAGTTTGTTATAATTTCAGTTCTTTTACATTTGCTGAGGAGAGCTTTACTTCCAAGTATGTGGTCAATTTTGGAATACTGAAAAAAATGTATATTCTGTTGATTTGGGGTGGAGAGTTCTGTAGATGTCTATTAGGTCCGCTTGGTGCAGAGCTGAGTTCAATTCCTGGGTATCCTTGTTGACTTTCTGTCCCGTTGATCTGTCTAATGTTGACAGTGGGGTGTTAAAGTCTCCCATTATTAATGTGTGGGAGTCTAAGTCTCTTTGTAGGTCACTCAGGACTTGCTTTATGAATCTGGGTGCTCCTGTATTGGGTGCATATATATTTAGGATAGTTAGCTCTTCTTGTTGAATTGATCCCTTTACTATTATGTAATGGCCTTCTTTGTCTCTTTTGATCTTTATCAGTTTAAAGTCTGTTTTATCAGAGACTAGGATTGCAACCCCTGCCTTTTTTTGTTTTCCATTTGCTTGGTAGATCTTCCTCCATCCCTTTATTTTGAGCCTATGTGTGTCTCTGCACGTGAGATGGGTTTCCTGAATACAGCACACTGATGGGTCTTGACTCTTTATCCAATTTGCCAGTCTGTGTCTTTTAATTGGAACATTTAGTCCATTTACATTTAAAGTTAATAGTGTTATGTGTGAATTTGATCCTGTCATTATGATGTTAGCTGGTTATTTTGCTCGTTAGTTGATGCAGTTTCTTCCTAGTCTCCATGGTCTTTACATTTTGGCATGATTTTGCAGCAGCTGGTACCTGTTGTTTCTTTCCATGTTTAGTGCTTCCTTCAGGAGGTCTTTTAGGGCAGGCCTGGTGGTGACAAAATCTCTCAGCATTTGCTTGTCTGTAAAGTATTTTATTTCTCCTTCACTTATGAAGCTTAGTTTGGCTGGATATGAAATTCTGGGTCAAAAATTCTTTTCTTTAAGAATGTTGAATATTGGCCCCAACTCTCTTCTGGCTTGTAGGGTTTCTGCCGAGAGATCTGCTGTTAGTCTGATAGGGTAACCCGACCTTTCTCTCTGGCTGCCCTTAACATTTTTTCCTTCATTTCAACTTTGGTGAATCTGACAATTATGTGTCTTGGAGTTGCTCTTCTCGAGGAGTATCTTTGTGGTGTTCTCTGTATTTCCTGAATCTGAACGTTGGCCTGCCTTGCTAGATTGGGGAAATTCTCCTGGATAATATCCTGCAGAGTGTTTTCCAAGTTGGTTCCATTCTCCCCATCACTTTCAGGTACACCAATCAGACGTAGATTTGGTCTTTTCACATAGTCCCATGTTTCTTGGAGGCTTTGCTCGTTTCTTTTTATTCTTTTATCTCTAAACTTTCCTTCTCGCTTCATTTCATTCATTTCATCTTCCATCACTGATACCCTTTCTTCCAGTTGATCGCATCGGCTCCTGAGGCTTCTGCATTCTTCACGTAGTTCTCGAGCCTTGGTTTTCAGCTCCATCAGCTCCTTTAAGCACTTCTCTGTATTGGTTATTCTAGTTATACATTCTTCTAAATTTTTTTCAAAGTTTTCAACTTCTTTGCCTTTGGTTTGAATGTCCTCCCGTAGCTCAGAGTAATTCGATCGTCTGAAGCCTTCTTCTCTCAGCTCGTCAAAGTCATTCTCCGTCCAGCTTTGTTCTGTTGCTGGTGAGGAGCTGCGTTCCTTTGGAGGAGGAGATGAGCTCTGATTTTTAGAGTTTCCAGTTTTTCTGTTCTGTTTTTTCCCCATCTTTGTGGTTTTATCTACTTTTGGTCTTTGATGATGGTGATGTACAGATGGGTTTTTGGCGTGGATGTCCTTTCTGTTTGTTAGTTTTCCTTCTAACAGACAGGACCCTCAGCTGCAGGTCTGTTGGAGTACCCTGCAGTGTGAGGTGTCAGTGTGCCCCTGCTGGAGGGTGCCTCCCAGTTAGGCTGCTCGGGGGTCAGGGGTCAGGGACCCACTTGAGGAGGCATTCTGCCCGTTCTCAGATCTCCAGCTGCCTACTGGGAGAACCACTGCTCTCTTCAAAGCTGTCAGACAGGGACATTTAAATCTGCAGAGGTTACTGCTGTCTTTTTGTTTGTCTGTGCCCTGCCCCCAGAGGTGGAGCCTACAGAGGCAGGCAGGCCTCCTTGAGCTGTGGTGGGCTCCACCCAGTTGGAGCTGCTTTGTTTACCTAAGCAAGCCTGGGCGATGGTGGGTGCCCCTCCCCCAGCCTCGCTGCCGCCTTGCAGTTTGATCTCAGACTGCTGTGCTAGCAATCAGTGAGACTCCGTGGGGTAGGACCCTCCGAGCCAGGTGCAGGATATAATCTTGTGGTGCGCCGTTTTTTAAGCCCGTCGGAAAAGCGTAATATTCTGGTGGGAGTGACCCGATTTTCCAGGTGCCGTCCATCACCCCTTTCTTTGATTAGGAAAAGGAACTCCCTGACCCCTTGTGCTTCCCCGAGTGAGGCAATACCTCGCCCTGCTTCGGCTCACGCACGGTGTGCGCACCCACTGACCTGCGCCCACTGTCTGGCACTCCCTAGTGAGATGAACCCGGCACCTCAGATGGAAATGCAGAAATCACCTGTCTTCTGCGTCGCTCAGGCTGGGAGCTGTAGACTGGAGCTGTTTCTATTCGGCCCTCTTGGCTCAATGTAACATTGTTAAAGCCATACAAGGCTTGGAAAATTCTGACAAAGGGGTAGCGGTAGAGGCTGTGAAAGCCAGGTTAAGGATTTCACAACATTAAATACTTCATCTCATATAGCAAGGCATCAAGAGCTGCAGCTTAAAGCTGATGGGTTTATAATAGAGATCTTAGTACATGATGTAAAATCTTTACAAATTTAATTTAAAAAATAAGAGGAACAAGGTAGGAAAGGTATAGAGAAAATATGCTACATGGTCCTTGTGTATTGAGCCTCACCAGATACTGCTTAGTATTGATAAATCCAGACATAAAGGCAGGATTTTACTTAGTGTTACCTCTAAAAGACGAAACACAGAACCAGTCGAAAATTCTTGTCTATTAAGGCAGGGTATGGAGGGGTGAGAGAATGTGAAAGATATGGGAAAAAGTCTTGTTTTTTTTGAGACAAGGTCTCGCTCTGTTGCCCAGGCTGTAATTCAGTGGTGTGATCATGGCTTACTGCAGCCTTGACCTCCTGGGCTCAAGTGATCCTCCCACCTCAGTCTCCTAAGTAGCTGGGACTAAAGGCATGTACCACCGCATTTGACTAGTTTTTAAACATTTTTTTTTTTTTCGCAGAGACAGAGTCTTATTATATTGCCCAGACTGGTATAAAACTCCTGGGCTCCAGTGATCCTCCCACTTATGTCTCCCAAAGTGTTAGGATTACAGGTCTTAGCCACCATGTCCAGTCCTGAGAAAAGTCGTCTCATATTGTACCTCTTTGTTTTCTGATGTTTTATTTCTATGTGATCATATTACATCTGTTAAAATAACAACTAATAAAAGTGCTCAATTAAGATAAAATAACTGTTACATTATCTAGAAGAAGCAGAAATATTTAAATAACCCATATACCATGCTCATGTTTAGAAATTCCATGCTAAAGACCTAATTTTGCTACCACTGTGAAATGTCCCTCATTTTGTTTTATGTGGTAAATTGCAAAATTAGCCACATTTTGCAGCTTTTACCATATGGAGGTGGATTTTTTCCCATCCCCTAAAATCTGGCTGGTATTGTGACTTGCTTTGACCAATGGAATGGTAACAAATTTGATGCAAGAGGGTTGGAAATTACTTACAAATTGAGGTTTCCCTCTCTTGCTGCTCTTGAACTTGAGACTTCTATGTGAAGAAATCTGGGCAGGGTGTCTGAAGGATGATAAGCACATGGTACCCTAGAGCAGGCCAAACCCCAGGAAATGAGTGGAGGCTATGCAAGATTATTCAGCTGTCAGCTGACCTGTGAACTCATCACAAACTCCTGTGTGATCCAGTCCAAGATCACTTTAATAATCTCCGATAAGATAACTGTCTAGTCATCCTACAAAATTGTAGGCTAAGCAGGCAAGCAGTCATTGTTTTATGTTTTGCAGTGGTTCTTTGGAGTAGAAGCTAATTGATAAATTTCTTTTAAGATAGGGTCATTTTGACTATTAACATCTCATAAGAAGATTGTAGATAGTAACAAGATCATATTAAAATAGATTCTTGAGAGATGACTAAATAAAAGGTCATATATCTCCTACCTTCATGACATTGGCTAGGCAAAGTTTGACATAATACCAAGCACAAGTGCCAAAAGAAAAGAGAGATATATTAGACATCATCAAAATTAAATACTTTTGTGTTTCAAAGGGTACTATGATAAAAGTAAGAAGACAATCTTCAGAATAGGAGAAAATATGTGCAAATCATATACTGATCAGGTTGTGGTATCCAGAATATAGGAACAATTCTTAAAACACAACAAAAGACAACCCAATTGAAAAATGAGCAAAGACTCTTAATAGGCATTTCTCCAAACAAGATGCAAATAGTCAATAAGCACATGAAAAGATGCTCAACATCATTAGCCAGCAAGGAAAGGCAGATCAAAATCATAATACTATAACACTTCATACCCACTAAGATGGCTAAATTTAAAAAGACACATAATGACAAGTGTTCGTGAGGATGTGGAGAAATGAGAGTCCTTATACATTGTTGTCAGGAATGTAAAATTGCATCGCCGCTTAGAAAAACAATCTGGCGGTTCCTCAAATTGTTAAGCAAAGAGTTACCGGGCGGTCCAGCAATTCCACTCCTACGTATGTACCCCCACAAAATGAAAGTATAGGTCTACACAAAAGCTCATATATCATGGTCACACTAGCATTATCCATAACAGCCAAAAAGTAGAAACAACCCAAATGTCCATCAACTAATGAAGAGATAAACAAAACGCAGCATATCCATACAATGTAATATTATTTGGTCATAAAAACTGAGGTACCGAAACCTGATATAACATAGACAAACCATGAAAACATACTAAGAAGCCACTCACAAAAGGCCACATATTTTGTAATTTTACTTGTAGGATATGCCAACAATAGGCAAATCCATAGAGATAAAAAACAGTAGTTGCCAGGTGCTATAGGAGAGGGAATGAGGGATGTGGGATTTCTTTTGGGGGTGATGAAAATGTTCTAAAATGAGATTGTGGTGATGGTTGCAGAAATCTATGAATAGACGTAAATCAACTGAGTTGTAAACTAAAATTGAGTGAATTATATAGTATGTGAATTATATCCCAATAAAACTGTTATGTTTTAAAAATTATATCAGATGACTTACTTGACCTCAAGTGAATAAATTACCAAAACTGTAATGTCCTTGACCAAATAAAATTGAATTTGATGTATTTAGGTATTTAAGAGACAGCCAAGGAATCTTTCATTTTCAGTCAAGGATAAAAATCTAGATATAATAAACTCAAATCTGCTAACTCAGGATGAACTTCCTGTTCCTGAATACTTAGAGGAGAAAGTGTTTGGCATTCTATCCTTGGTAAAGAAACAGTTACACTGTTCTAAGTTTGGCTTGTTATATATTTCTTTCTTTCTTTTTTTTTTCTTTAAGATGGAGTCTTGCTGTGTCGCCCAGGTTGGAGTGCAATGGCACGATCTCGGCTCACTGCAACCTCGGCCTCCTGGGTTCAAGCAATTTTCCTGCCTCAGCCTCCTGAGTAGCTGAGATGACAGGCGCGCGCCACCATGCCTGGCTAATTTTTTGTATTTTTAGTAGAGACGGGGTTTCGCCATGCTGGTCAGGCTGATCTCGAACTCCTGACCTTGTGATCCACCCGCCTCGGCCTCCCAAAGTGCTGGGATTACAGGCATGAGTCACTGTGCCCGGCCTATATATTCCATATCTGGGTTGTCCAAGCTATTATTTGGGAAAAGCATCAAGAGAAGTTATGAGGATTTTAAAAATACGAAATATAAATAAAAACAAAATAAAAGTGAGCTTTTTAAAGTACTTTTCCCCAACATACTCATGTGAAAAACACATGCTTATATTTCATCTTTGTTTCTTTCTTCAGCTTGCCCAGGAAACAGGCAAGGTGTGATACTTTAATCATCGATGTTGCTTTAATATTCTAATGACATTTTTTTTTGCTCTAAATTCTGCACAATTTCTCAAACAGACACTTTAAGAAGAAATGAGAGAAACTTTATCTTGTTTTACATGAGAAATTCATCAGATGAATTGATAAATAATAAAAATAGTTTATGGGAAGGGGTGACGAGTGGGTTGTAAGGAGAAATAACTGAAATCAAATTACTCATTATTTTTAGTGTTAAATAAGATAATTCAAAAAGTATAATCAGTAACTCGATTGAGTTCAAATTACAGTTATGTATTTAGGTTAATTTCCAATTTATGCTCATTCATTTTTTTCCTTCCTACATTGTAAACTTCTCAAATCCAAGTAAGAAATAACTAGTTTCTTACCTAAAGTATCAGTAAAAGTCACACAGTGCTTAATAATGTCAACAACCACTTGAATTCTGCACTAGAAGAAGCATTCCCATTTAGTCTTCAAAGCGTTGTCAGGGATAGAGGTGTAGGATTATTTCACATCACAAATGAAGAAATGGAGCCTCATACAGATCAAATTATTAAATCATTACTGAAAAATTGAATATAGATAGAGGACTTGAATCTAAGTTATTTGCTGAGTCATTTATTTAAGAATTTCACTGTTGATTGACCTAATGATGATCCTATACCATGATTGACAGATTTGGCCATGGATCTGCTTTCTAACTCACTCAAAACTCTGGGTATCTGTGTACAAACAGGTAAGTCTAAGTTTCCTGGGGGGCAACAGAGTGCCTTGAGTGCATTCTAAACACTTCCACTCGTGTACAAGTGCATTTGCTACCCTATTCGTGAACCTAGAGACTTTGCCTCTTGATGGAGCTGAATGTTTTCCTCTAACTTTCATTCTCATGGATGTGTTTCATCCATATTCTCTACCTATGGTCATGCTGTTCCATTTTTAAAAAACTATCTTCCCCTGTATGAACCCAAATCTCTCCATATATGTCATTTTCATTCAGTAACTCTATGTGCAATCTTCAGAGCTATGTATCAAGTCTGTTCTTTTTCTCATGATAAATTTCAAATGTTCAAAGGTAGCTTTTACATGTAGTCCTTTAGATAAGTTATTTTCTACACTAAGTAGAATGCTTTTCAACAAGTTTTGATAAATTGTGCAGTAAATGAATGTATTCATTCCTCTTTCTATGTGATGATATATTGGAAGTAACTATTTTTTATTTCAAAAGGTTTTGGGGGAATAGGCAGTGTTTGGTTACATTGATAAGTTCCTTTGTGGTGATTTCTGAGATTTTGGTGCACCCATCACTAGAGCAGTGTACACTGTACCCAATGGGTAGCATTTTATTCCTCACCCTCCTACCACCCTTCCCCCTGATGCCCCAGAATCCTTATCCCTTTGCATCCTTATAGCTTAGCTCCCACTTATAAGTTAGAAAAAACAATTTTTGGTTTTCCATCCCTGAGTTATTTCACTTATTAGAATAACGGTCTCCAGCTCCATCTAGACTTCTGTGAATGCCATTATACATCACATTTTCTTTATCCATTTGTTGATTCATGGTCATTTGAGCTGCTTCCATATTTTTGTAATTGTGAATTGTGCTGCTATAAACATGTGTGTGCAAGTGTCTTTTTTATATTATGACTTCTTTTCCTTTGGGTAGATACCCAGTAGTGGGATCGCTAGACCAAATATTAGAGTCTACTTTTAGTTCTTTAAAGAATTTTCATTCATACTGTTCTCCATAGTGGTTGTACTGGTTTACATTCTCACCAGCAGTGTAAAATATTCCCTTTTCACCATATCCACGCCAACATCTATTATTTTTGTGATTTCTTAATTATGGCCATTCTTGCAGGACTAAGATGGTATCACATTGTGGTTTTGATTTACATTTCTCTGAAAATTAGAGATGTTGAACATTTTTTCATATTTTTTTGGCCATTCATATATCTTCTTTTGAGAATTTTCTATTCATATTCTCAGCTTAGTTTTTGATGGGATTATTATTTTTTTTCTTGCTGATTTGAGTTCCTTGTACATTCTGAGTATTAGCCCTTTGTTGGATGCAAAGTTTGCAAAGATTTTCTCCCACTCTTGAGTCATCTGTTTACCATGCTGACTATTTCTTTTGCTGTGCAGAAGCTTTTTAGTTTAATTAAGTCCCATTTATTTATTTTTGTTTTTGTTGAATTTACTTTTGGGTTCTTGGTCATGAAG
Source organism: Homo sapiens (assembly GCF_000001405.40). Classification (NCBI taxonomy): domain Eukaryota; kingdom Metazoa; phylum Chordata; class Mammalia; order Primates; family Hominidae; genus Homo; species Homo sapiens. The sequence goes on from NC_000020.11 coordinate 12,135,355, forward strand.
TCTTTGCCTGAGGCAATGTCTAGAAGGGCTTTTTCTGTGTTATCTTCTAGAATTTTTATGGTTTGGGGTCTTAGGTTTAAGTTTTTGATCCATCGTGAGTTGATTCTTGTATAAGGTGAGAGGTGAGGATCCATTTTTATTCTTCTACATGTGGCTTGCCAATTATCCCAGCACCATTTGTTAAATAGGGTATCTTTCCCCACTTTTATGTTTTTGTTTGCTTTGTCAAAGATCAGTTGACTGTAAGTATTTGGCTTGTCTCAATTTCATTCTACGGGGTTTGGGTTGTGTTGACTCTACCATCAGATTCATTTTCCTTGCCTGGCTAAGCAGTGGGTTCTTTCTTTCTATCTGTAGGGATGGATGCAATCCAAGCCAGGCCAATTAAAATCAATTCTAGGACTTTTGTTGCAAATATTAAGAAAAATGAATCTTTCTTCCTACTGGTAGTGCTAAGAAAAAATGGTGATATATGATTCTAGAGCTCCTAGGAATTAACAACTGCGAAGAGACTGCCCAAGAGTGGAGCTCACACAGAGGAAAGCAGTGCCAAGAAAAGAGACAGAGATTGAGAACATTACTTTTCATATACATAAGCTAATATGGTCTTTTTTAAAAGTGTTAAGACCATTTTATTTGCATTTTGTGAATTGTTTCCAAAATGATCTTTTTGAAAATCTATTTTTTATTTTTATTGATATATCATAGTTGCACATATTTTGGGGGTATATATAATATTTTGATACATGTATACAATATGTAATGGTTAAATTAAGTAATTGGATTATCCATCATCTCAAACATTTATCACATTTATCTTTTCTTTGTGTTGGGAACATTACAGTTCTCCTAGCTATTTTGAAATATACAGTAAATTATTTTTAAACTATAATTTTACTAGTCTGCTATAAAATGCTAGAATTTATTTCTTCTAACTGTATTTTTTTACCCATTTACCAACTTCTATTCATGTCCTCCTCCCCACTTCCTTTCCCAGCCTCCAGTAACCACCATTCTATTCACTGTCTCCATGAGAGCCACTTTTTAGCTTCCAGTTGTGAGTAAAAACATGTGATACTTGTCTTTCTGTGGCTGGCTTATTTCCCTTAACATAATGAACTCCAGTTAAATTCATGTTACTGCAAATGACAGGATTTCATTAATTTTATGGCTGAATACTATTCCATTATATATATATACTATATATGTATGTATACATTCATGTTACTGCAAATGACAGGATTTCATTTTTCAATGGCTGAATACTATTCCATTGTGTATATATACATTTATCCATTGATGGACACTTGGATTGCTTCCAAGTCTTGGCTATTGTGAATAGTGTTGTTATAAACTTAGGAGACAGATATCTCTTTAATATACTGATTTCTTTTCCTTAGGATATGTATCCATCAGTGGTATTGCTGGATTATATAGTAGTTCTATTTTTAGCTTTTTGAGGAACTTCCATACTGTTTTCCATAATGGCTGTACTACTTTACATTCTCAACAACAGCATATGAGCGTTCCCCTTTTTCTGCATTGTCACTAGCATTTGTTATTTTTGTCTTTTTGGTAATAGCCACTGTCATTAGGGTGAGATAATATCTTATTCGGGTTTTGATTTGCATTTCCCTAATGGTTAGTGGTGTTGAGCAGTTTTTCATATACCTGTTGACCAGTTGTATGTCTTGTTTTGAACAATGTCTATTCAGATATTTTGACCATTTTTAAAATGGGTTATTTGTTTATTTCCTGTTGAGTTGTTTGAGTTCCTTATATATTCTGGTTATGAATCTCTTATTGGATAAGTAGTTTGCACATATTTTCTCCCATTTTTTTTACATTGTCTCTTCACTTTGTTAATTGTTACCTTTGCTGTGTGAAAGCTTTTTAACTTGAGGTAATCTCATTTTTGTTTTTGTTGACAGGGCTTTTGAGGTCTTATCCAAAAAAATCTTTGCCCAGACCAAAGTCCTGAAGCATTTCCCAAATGTTTTTAGTAGTTTCATAATTTCAGATTTTATATTTAAGTCTTTAATCCATTTTGAGTTGATTTTCTTATATGGTGAAAGATGGAAATCTAGATTCTCCTGCATTTGGATATCCAGTTCCTAGCACCATTTAACTATCCCAAGGACAAAAAACCAAACATCGCATATTCTCACTCAGAGATGGGAATTGAACAGTGAGAACACTTGGACACAGGAAGGGGGACATCACTCACCGGGGCCTGTTGTGGGGTGGGGGGAGGGGGGAGGGATAGCATTAGAAGATATACCTAATGTAAATGACGAGCTAATGGGTGCAGTGCACCAACATGGCACATGTATACGTATGTAACAAACCTGCACGTTGTGCACATGTATCCTAGAACTTAAAGTATAATTAAAAAAAAAAAAGACTTTCCTTTTCCCAATGTACATTCTTGGCACCTTTGTCTAAATGAGTTGGCAGTAAATTTTTGGATTTGTTTCTGGGTTATGTTTTATTCCACTGTTCTATGTATTTGTTTTTTCTACCAGTACCATTCTGTTTTGGCTACTATAGCTTTGTAGTATAATTTAAAACCAGATATTGTGATGTCTTTAGCTTTGTTCTTTTTTCTAAGGATTTATTTAGCTATTCTGGGTCTTTTGTTGTTCCATATGAATTTTAGAATTGTATTTTCTATTCCTGTGAAGAATGTCATTGTTGTTTTCATAGAGATTGCATTTTAACAATATTAAATCTTCCAATCCATGCACATCTTTTCGTTTTATTTTGTGATCTATTCAATTTCTTTCATCTGTGTTTTCTAGTTTTCCTTGTAGATATCTTTCACTTTTTTGGTTACATTTTTCCTAGATATTTTTATAGCTATTTTAAATGAGATTGCTTTCTTGATTTCTTTTTCAGATTGATCATTTTTAATGTATAGAGATGCTACTGCTATTTGTATGTTCATTTTGTATCCTGCAACTTTACTAAATTTATCAATTGAGTGTTTTGGTGGAGGCTTTAGTTTTTTTCTAAATATAAGATTATGTCATCTACAAACAAGAATAATTTTACTTCTTCCTTTTCAATTTTATTTATTTCTCTTACCAAATTGCTCTGGCTAGGACTCCTAGTACTATGTTATAATAAAAGTGATGAAAGTGGTCATCCTTTTCTTATTCCAGATCTTAATGGAAAGGGTCCTATTTTTCCCCATTCAGTATGAGAATAGCTGTGGGCTTGTCATATATGGCCTTTTTTGTGTTGGTGTATGTTCCTTATGTACTCAGTTGTTGACAGTTTTTATCATGAAGGGATATTGAATTTTATCAAATGCTTTTTCAGCTTCTACTAAAATGATCATATAACTTTTGTCCTTGATTCTGTTTATGTGGTGTATCATATTTATTGATTTGTATATGTTGAACCATCCTTGTAGCCTTGGAATGAATCCCATTTGATCATGATGAATGATGTTTTCATGTGTTGTTGAATTTGGTTTGCTAGCATTTTGTTAAGAATGATAAATCTATATTCATCAGGAATATTGGCCTGTAGTTTTTCTTTTCTTATATCTTTGTCTGATTTTGGTATCAAGGTAATACTGACCTCATAGATAGAGTTTGCAGATATTCCTTCCTCTTTAATTTTTAAAAATAGTTTGAGTCAAATTTGTATTAGTTCTTCTATAGATGTTTGGTAGAATTCATCGGTGAAGCCATTAGGTCCTGGGCTTTTCTTTGATGGGAGAGGATTACTGCTTCAATTTTATTTCTCATTAATGTTCTGTTCAGGTTTTCAGTTTGTGGTTCAGTCTTGGTAGGTTGTATGTATCCATGAATTTACCCATTTTTGCTAGGTCTTTCTGTTTGTTGGCATTTAGTTGCTCATAATAGTCTCTAATGATTTTTCCTTCCTGTGGTATCAGTTGTAATGTTTCTTTTTTCATCTCTGATTTTCTTGAGTCTTCTCTGTTTTTTCACAGTCTAGCTAAAGGTAGTTGATTTTGTTTACCTTTTCAAAAAGCCATTTTTTTGTTTTGTTGATCTTTTATGTATTTTTTAATCTCAATTTTATTTCTGCTCTGATCTCTGTTTTTTATTTTTCTAGTTTGATTTGTGCTTATTTTTCTAGTTCCTTTAGATTGATAGGTTATTTTGGAGTCTTTCTTCTTTTTGATGTGGGTATTTATTGTTATATACTTTCCTTTTAGTACGGCTTTTGATGTATTCCGTAAGTTCTGGTATGTTGTGCTTCCATTTTTATTTGTGTCAAGAAATTTTTAAATTTTCTTCTTAATTTCTTCATGGCCCATTAGCCACTCAGGAGCATGTTTTTAATTTCCATGTATTTGTACAGTTTCTAAAATTCTTGTTATTGATTTGTAGTTTTATTTCATTGTGGTCAGAAAAGATATGTGATATGATTTTTACTTTTTTGAATTTGTTGTAATTTGTTTTGTGCCATAACATATAGTCTATCCTGGAGAATGTTCCATGTGCTGATGAAAATAGTTTGTTTTCAGTAGCGGTTGGATAAAATGTTCTGTAAATGTCTGTTAGGTCCATTTGGTCTAGAATATAGTTTAACTATTGTTTCTTTGTTGATATTCTGCCTGGATAATCTGTCCATTGCCAAAAATGGGGTGTTGAAGTCCCATGCTATAATTGTGTTGCAATCTATTTTCTGCTTTAGATTTATTAATATTTGATTTATATGTTTGGGTGCTCCATATAAATTTACTATTGTTATATCCTCTTGCTAAATTGACCCCTTTCTTGTTATATAATGACCTTCTTTGTCTCTTTTTACAGTTTTTGAGTTAAATCTATCTTATCCAAGTATAGCTAGTCCCGTTCTTTTGTTGGTTTCTGTTTGTATGAAATATCTTCTGCATCCCTTCACTTTCAGTCCATTTGTGTCCTTATAGGTGAAGTGAGTTTCTTGTAAGGAGCATTTAGTTAGTTCTTGTTTTTTTAATCCATTCAACCAGCCATTCTGTCTTTTAATTGGAGAAGTTAGTTCATTTACATTCCTTGTTATTATTGATAAGTAAGACATTACTACTGCCACTTGGTTACTTGTTTTCTAGCTGTTGTGTAACACCTGCCTTCCTTTTTACCTTTCTTACTATCTTCCTTTGTGGTTAAGTGATTTTCTCTTAGTATGTTTTAATTCATTGCTTTATATAGATTCTTCACCATCTTGGTCATTATTATGAACACTTTGGCTATGATAATGTAAGAGAAGCATGCCTCCAACTAATACTCACATTATTAACATGGTGATTATTATGTGAATAGAAAAGTGGGCATTTAATTGGAGGATAAAATTGAATAAGTGTTTTAGAGGTAGTCTTTGAATCTTGATTGCCTTGCTAAGACTTTAGACTTTATTTTATACAAAAAGACACCATTAAAGTGGTTTTTGTTGCTGTTGTTTAGTTTTTTTTTTTTATTTTTTTATTTTTTTTTTTTATTTAAGAGGAGACTGATGTTATGCAAGCTGTGTTCCTGTGCTTACTGTGGTTAAACTAAAAACCTCTAGGGGCAAAGGAAGGTTATATTTAAAAACATAGGGCTTGAATAGGAACAGAAGTTACTCAGGCAATGAAGCAGAAAAGCAGAGAAAAGATGAACCTGGTCTCCAGCACTTTAAAGGAAGAAATAATAAATGTGTTGGTAAAAGATTCAAAATTTTGCAACTGATGGATCATGGGAATAAGCAAATAAAATATGTGGTTATGAGCCAGAATGTTTTTCATTTTTTTTTCCTTTGTATTATTCTACTCACAGGTATTCTCTAAAATTTACAAGTAAGTGAAAAAAAGCTTAGTTGAATTTAAGGAAACTGTAGAGTCCATTCTCATAACTTTTTTTCACTGAATTATTTTTCAGGACACCGTTGTGAAAGGAAATTTATATTGTGCATTATATCTATGCTTTGATTATTAGTTATATTTATGAGTAAACTGCAAATTTTAATTTTATTGAATTATATTTTAATTTTATTTTGGTCCAATGTTATGATTAATTTTCTTCTAGAAACGATTTCTATTTAAAAAACACCCAAAAGGAGGGGCCATCCAACAATTACCATTTTTTTATGTGCATGAATTTCCTGGGTCAGGATTTTAAACAAGAATGGCTTTTCTATATTTCATGATGTCTGAGACCTCACCTGAGAAGATTATCGCTGTGATGACTTGAATTTCTTGGGGGCTGGCATTTTCCGGGAGTTTCTCAAGTTTAGCCAAGGAAGACTTGAGGCTTAGGGTGGCGTAACTTGAAGGCTGAGCTCAGCCAGGACTGTCAGCTTGAGCACTTACATGTGACCTCTCCAAATGGCTTGCAATTCCTCACAACATGGCATCTGGAGTCTGGGTTTGTAGCATGAAGGTGTTTTAACATGAATGGTTTTTAATATGAAGCATGGTAAATGTTATTAACAGACTTTTCTGCATCTATGGATTTGTGTGTGTTGAACCAAACTTGCATCCCAGGGATAAAACCTACTTGAGTGTGTCGGATTAGATTTTTAATGTGGTGCTGGATTGGGTTTGCTAGTATTTTGTTGAGTATTTTTGCATCTATTTTCCTCAAGGATATTGTCCTGAAGTTTTCTTTTTTTGTTGTTGTGTCTCTGCCAGGTTTCAATATCAGAATGATGTTGGCCTCATAGAATGAGTTAGGTAGGAGTCCCTACTCTTCAATTCCTTGGAATACTTTCAGCAGGAATTGTATCAGGTCTTCTTTATATATCTGATAGAATTCAGCTGTGAATCTGTCTTGTCCTAGGATGTTTCTGATTGGTAGTGTTTTCATTACTGAATCAACTTTGGAACTCATTAATGGTGTGTTCAGGGTTTCAGTTTCTTCCTGGTTAAATCTTGCGAGGTTGTATGTTTCCAGGAAATTACAAATTTCTTGCGGGTTTTCTAGCTTGTGTGCATAGAAATGTTCATAACAGTCTCTGATGGTGTTTTGTGTTTCTGTGGGTTAAGTGGTAATGTCCCCTTTGTAATTTCTGTTTGTGTTTATTTGCATCTTCTCTCTTCCTTCTTTATTAGTCAAGCTAGCGGTCTCTCAATTTTATTTATTCTTTCAAAAAATCAACTTATAGGTTTGTTGATCTTTTGTATGGTTTTTCATTTCACATCTCAGTTTCATTCAGTTCAGCTCTGATTTGGGGTATTTCTTATCTTCTGCTAGTTTTAGGGTTGGTTTATTCTAGTTTTTCTAGTTCCTCAAGATGGGATGTTAAGTTGTTAATTTCAGATTATCCTAACTTTTTGATGTGGATAAACTTTCCTCTTAGCCCTGCTTTAGCTATGTCCCAGAAAGTCTGGTATGTAGTTTCTTTATTCTCATTAGCTTCAAAGAATTTCTTGATTTCTGCCTTAATTTTTTTGTTTACCCAGAAGTCATTCAGGAGCAGGTTGTTTAATTTTCATATAGTTGTATGGTTTTAAATGATCTTTTTAGTACTGATTTCTAATTTTATTGTGCTGTGGTCTGAGAGTGTGGTTGGTATAATTTTGTTTTTCTTTTCTGATAATTGTCTTATGGCTGTGGCCAATTTTAGAGTATGTGCCATATCCAGATGAGAAGAATGTATAGTTTGTTGTTTTAGGTAGAGAGTTCTGTAGATGTCTGTTAGATTCATTTGGTCAAGTTCAAGTTCAGATCTGGAATATCTTTGTTTTCTGCCTCAACAATCTAATACTGTCAGTGATGTGTAAAAGTCTCTCACTATTATTGTGTAGTTATCTAAGTCTATTAATAGGTCTCTAAGAACTATTTTATGAATCTGGGTGTTCCTGTGTTGGATGCATATGTATCAAGATAGTTAAGTTTTCTTGTTGAATTAAACCCATTACTATTATGTAATGCCCTTCTTCATCTTTTATTTTTTATCATCATTTGTTTAAAGTCTGCTTTTTTCTGAAAGTAGAATAGCAACCTTTGCTTTTTTCTCTATTCCATTTGCTTGATAGATTTTTCTCCATTCCTTTGCTTTGAGCCTATGATTGTCTCTTGAGCATGTGAGGAGGGTCTCTTGCAGACAGCATATAGTTTGGTTTTTCTTTATCCAGCTTACCACTGTATTCCTTTTAATTGGGGGCATTTCGCCCATTTACATTTAAGGTTAATATTTATATGTGTGGATTTGATTCTGTCATCATGTTGTCAGCTGTTTATTATGCAAATGTGATCATGTAGTTGCTTTATAGTGCCAATGGTCTAAGTACTCAAGTGTGTTTTGTAGTAGCCAGTAACAGTCTTACATTTATATATTTAGCACTCCTTTAAGGACCTTTTGTAAGGCAGGCCTGGTGGTTACAAATTCCCTCAGCATTTGCTTGTCTGAAGAGGATCTTATTTCTTTGATTTTGAAGCTTCAGTTCATTGGATATAAAATTTTTGGTTGGAGTTTCTTTTCTTTACATATGCTAAATATAGGCCCCCAATTTCTTTTGGGTTGGAGGGTTTTTGTTGAAAGGTCTGCTGTTACCTCAATGGGATTCCCTTTGTAGGTGACCAGCCTCTTCTCTCTAGCTGCCTTTAATATTTTTCATTTCATGCTGACCTTGGAGAATCTGATGAGTATGTGTCTTGAGTATGGTCATCTTGTACAGTATCTCACAGGGGTTTTCTGGATTTCCTGAATTAGAATGTTGGCCACTGTAGTGAGGTTGGGGAAATTTTTGTGAATGATATCCTCAAATATGTTTTCCAAGTTGTTTGCTTTCCCACCTTTTCTTTCAGACATACAGATGTGTCACAGATTTGGTCTCTTTACATAATTCTATGTTTCTCAGTTTTGTTCATTCTTTTTAATTCTTTTTTCCTTATTTTTGACTGACTGAGTTAATTTAGAAAACCAGTCTTCAAGCTCTGAGATTCTTTCCTTAGCTTTATTCTTCTGCTAATATTTGTGGCTGTGTTGTGACATTCTTGTAGTATACAGTTTTCGGCTGTATCAGATCGGTTTAGTTCTTTCTTAAAGTAACCATTTCATGTTTCAGCTCCCATATTGTTTTGTTGTATTCCTTAGATTCCTTGGATTGGGTTTAACTTTCTCCTGAATCTCGGTGGTTTTCATTCCTATCCATGTTCTGAATTCTATGTCTGTCATTTCAGCCATTTCTAAGAAATTAATGTGGTCATTTGTAGGGAAGAAGACACTCTGCATTTCTGAGTAGCCAGAGTTCTTGCACTGGTTATTTTTCATCTGTGGGGGCTATTGTTCCCTTAATCTTTAAAACTGCTGTCCTTTGGATGGGGTTTTTGCTTTTATCTTCTTTGATGCACTTGGGGGTTTGATTGTGGTATAAGGTGGATTCAGTTAACTAACTTTGATTCTGGAAGACATCAGTGGGCCAAAGCTTAGCTCTGCACTCCTGGGCTGCATGCTGTAATTCTAGAAGGCCAGTACTAGGTCCCCAGTTTCGTTGTCTGACTCCTCAAGATTAGGAACCTGGTGGGCTGGAGGGGCCAAGGTGTTCCCAGTCTGCTAGACCCAACGCTCCAATGGGAATGCCATCCAAAGTTTTTCATAGGGGCAGTGCCAGTGAGATCCATGGTTGCTTGTGCATGCCAGCAGCCATGGCAGTGCAGCAGGGTGCACACACGTCATCTGGAAAGGGGCACTGGTTGGAGCAGGTCATCAGTGGGGATGGGGTATCAACAGGGGTGTTGTGTATGCACTTTCACTGGGGGAGGTGGCGGTGGTGGCTTTTATGACCATTTAAAAGTAGAATATGTATATTGAAAAATGAGTTTATGTTTTTTAGAAGTTATTTTCATATAAAACTTTTAATTGCAGGGCAGTTAAAAAATTCTGTTAATATTTCCTTTAGATTAGCCCGTGTTTTTCCTGATTTCCTTTCTGATCCAATTATTCTACCCTGTCTACTGCCCATTTATCCCTGCAGTAAATACTCTAATAAACTTGAAGGCTGCTTTTCCTTATATAGGGAAAAGGGAAAAAAACACTCCTGTGGGTCCCTGTAATCATTCCCTGTCTGACAATACCTACCTGGTCTCATGTGGATCTAGAGTTTTCCAACATTTTTCCTAGAAACTCCGCTATAAAACATTGCTGTCAACTTCCTTTTCTTTTTTCTTCATCAACTTTTGTATTAAATTCTGCGGTACATGTGCAGGATGTGCAGGTTTGTTACATAGGTACATTTGTGCTATGGTGGTTTGCTGCACAGATTAACCCATCACCTAGGTATTAAGCCCATCATCCATTAGCTATTCTTCCTGATGCTCAAACTCTCCCTGCTCCCAGACAGGCCCCAGTGTGTGTGGTTCCTCCCAGTGTGTTCATTTGTTCTCATTGTTCAGCTCCCACTTATAAGTAAGAACACGCAGTATTTGATTTTCTGTTCCTGCATTAGTTTGCTTAGGATAACGGCTTCGAGCTTCATCCATGTCCCTGCAAAGGACATAATCTTGTTCCTTTTTATGGTTGCATAGTTTTCCATGGTATAAATGTACCACATTTTCTCTGTCTAGTTTATCATTGACGGGCATTTGGGTTGATTCCATGTCTCTGCTATTGTAGATAGTGCTGCAATGAACATATGTGTGCATGTATCTTTATAATAGTATGATTTATATTCCTTTGAGTATATACCCAGTAATGGGATTGCTGAGTCAAATGGTATTTCTTCTTCTGGATCTTTGAGGAATCACCACACTATCTTCCACATTGGTTGAACTAATTTACATTCCCACCAACAGTGTAAAAGCATTCCTTTTTCTCCACAACCTTGCCAGCAACTGTGGTTTCTTGATTTTTTAGTAATTGCTATTCCGACTGGTGTGAGATGGTATCTCATTGTGGTTTTGATTTGCATTTCTCTAGTGATCAGTAATGTTGAGCTTTTTTCTTATGTTTGTTGGCTGCATAAATGTCTTCTGATGAGTGTCTGTTCATTTCCTTTGCCCCCTTTTTAATGGGGTTGTTTTTTTTCTTGTACATTTGTTTAAATTCCTTGTAGACTCTGGATATTAGACCTTTGTCAGATGGATAGATTGCAAAAATGTTCTCCCATTCTGTAGATTGTCTGTTCACTCTGCTGATAGTTTCTTTTGCTGTGCAGAAGCTCTTTAGAGTAATTAAAACCTATTTGTCAATGTTTTCTTTTGTTACAATTACTTTTGGTGTTTTTGTCATGAAATCTTTGCCTGTGCCTATGTCCTTAATGGTATTGCCTAGATTTTCTTCTAGTGTTTTTATAGTTTTGGGTTTTACATTTAAGCCTTTAATCCATCTTGAATTAATTTTTAGAAGGTGTAAGGAAGAAGTCCAGTTTTAATTTCCTGCATATGGCTAGCCACTTGTCCCAGTACCATTTATTAAATAGGGAATCATTTCCCCATTGCTTGTATTTGTCAGGTTTGGTGAAGATCAGATAATTGTAGGTGTGTAGACCTATTTCTGAGTACTCTATTCTGTTTTGCTTGCCTATGTGTTTTTGTACAAGTACCATGCTGTTTTAGTTACTGTAGCCTTGTAGTATAGTTTGAAATCAGGTGTGTGATGCCACCAGGTTTGTTCTTTTTGCTTAGGATTGTGTTGGCTATATGGGCTCTTTTTGCTTCTGTATGAATTTTAATATACTTTTTTCCTAATTCTGTGAAGGATGTCAATGGTAATTTAATGGGAATAGCATAGAATATATAAATTGTTTGGGCAGTATGGCCATTTTCATGACATTGATTCTTCCTATCCATGAGAATGGAATGTTTTTTCCATTTGTTTGTGTCCCCTCTCATTTCCTTGAGTAGTGCTTTGTAGTTCTTCTTGAAGAGATCCTTTACTTCCTTTGTTAGCTGTATTCCTAGGTATTTAGAAATGATAAGGAGAATATCACCACTGACCCCACAGAAATACAAATAACCACCAGAGAATACTATAAAAACCTCTATGCACATAAACTAGAAAATCAAGAAGAAATAGATAAATTCCTGGATGTATACACCCTCCCAAGACTGAAACAGGAAGAAATTGAATCCTTAAATAGACCAATAACAAGTTCCAAAATTGAGGCAGTAATAAATAGCCTACCAACAAAAATAAAAGCTCAAAACCAGATGGATTTACAGCTGAATTCTACCAGAAGTACAAAGAGGAGCTGGTACCATTTCTACTGAAAATATTCCAAACAATTGAAAAGGAGAGACTCCTCCCTAACTCATTTTATGAGGCCAGCATCATCCTGATACCAAAACCTGGCAGAGATACAAGAAAAAGAGAAAACTTCATGCCAATATCCTTGATGAACATGGATGCAAAAATCCTCAATAGAATGCTAGTAAACTGAACGCAGTAGCACATCAAAAAGCTTATCCACCACCATCAAGTTGGCTTCATCCCTGGGATGCATGATTGGTTCAACATATGCAGATCAATAAATGTAATTCATCACATAAACAGAACTAAAGACAAAAGCCACATAATTATCTCAGTAGACGCTGAAAATTCAGCATCCCTCCATGTTAAAAACTCTCAATAAACTAGATATTGAAGGAACATACTTCAAAATAATAAGACCTGCATATGACAAACCCACAGCCAATATCATATGGAAGGGGCAAAAGCTGGAAGCATTCTCCTTGAAAACCAGCACAAGACAAAGAGGTCCTGTCTCACCATTCCTATTCAACATAGTATTGGAAGCATTCAGCAGAGAAAAAAAGGCAAGAGAAAGAAATAAAGAATATTCAAATAGGAAGAGAGGAAGTAAAATTATCTTTGTTTGCAGATGACATGATTATATATCAAGAAAACCCCATTATCTCAGCCCAAATGCTTACTATGCTGATAAGCAACTTCCACAGAGTCTCAGGATACAAAATCAGTGTGCAAAAATTGCTAGCATTTCTATACACCAACAATAAGCAAGGAGAGAGTCAAATGATGAATGAATTTCCATTCGCCATTGCCAACTCCCTTTTCAAAATGGCTGATATTGTGTAGATTCCTGGTTTGGGGTAGTTTAACCTTCTTTTCTGCTTGTACCTAATGTTATCCTAAGGTTTGTATGCTCTGTTCCCCCATCAAAAATAGCTGATAGCTCAGGTGATGGTGAACCAACCCAGAGCCCCAGGAGTTCAGAAAGAGAGAGGAGTGGAGGTCTCAGTAGTAAGTCAAGTTAGGAGGTCCAGGGAAGTGGAAAGTCAGTGCCAGAAATATTCAGTGGCAGAGAAAGCAAAAACAATATGGTCTGAGGGAGACAGGAGCAGGATTTTTGTTCTTGGAGCAATGTGGTGTTTGGGCTGCTACTTTAAGTTGGGTGCCAGACACAGAATTAAAAGATAAGAGAATACAACACAGCAAACAAAGAAACAAACAAAAATTATTTTATTTGACTGGTAGTAAGTGATGGGGCAAGGAGATGGAGAATGTAGTAAAATTACTGCAAATAACTTACAATATAGGTACAAATTTGTAGCTGAATAAGGCAAGAACTAAATTTTTATATCTTAAGTATATTTTTAGGATTGCCATAACAAAGTAAAATGAACTTGGTGTTCAGAAAAACAACTGGGTGGCTTAAAACATCAAAAATGTATTCCCTCACACTTCTGAAGATTATAAATCTGAAATCATGGTGTTGACAGCGTTGGTTCCTTTCTGGAGGCTTTTTCCCGGGAAGGTCTGTCCCATGGCTTTCTCCTAGCTTCTGTTGGCTACTGGCAATCCTTGGCATTGCTTGACTTGTAGATGCATCACTCCAATCTCTGCCTTCTTCACATGGCATTCTCCTCTCTGTGCATGTCTGTGTCCAAATTTCCCTTTTATTAGAGTGCCAGTTATTGGATTAGGCCCACCCTAATCTAGTATGTTCTCATCTTAATTAGATTAAATTTGCAAAGACTATTCCAAATAAGGTCACATATACAGGTACTGGTGGTTAGGACTCGAACATATCTTTATTGAGGATACAACTCAAACCATAATACCAAGATATAGATGAGTAGAAAAGACATGCGAATACTTTTCTCAGATTCTTTCAAGTCTTCCCATCTAGAATCATGGTTGACCTTAATATGTAGAGCCCAAAAACCCCACCCATGAAATCTAGCTCTAAAAGTTAGTGGGGCAGGGTGCGGTGGCTCATGCCTGCAATCCCAGCACCTTGGGAGGCTGAGGTGGGCAGATAACTTGAGGTCAAGAGTTCAAGGCTACCATGGTGAAACCCCATCTCTACTAAATATACATAAATTAGCTGGTCATGGTGGCACATGCCTGTAGTCCCAGCTACTTGGGAGGCTGAGGTGGGAGAATTGCTTGAACCTGGGAGACAATGAGCCAAGATCGTGCCTTTGCACTCCACCCTGGGTGACAGAGCAAGACTCTATCCAACCCCGCCCCCGCCTCCAAAAACAAAACAAAACAAAACAACAAAAATAAAAGTAGTGGAAAAAGAGTAGAAAGGACCCAGCAAATGGTGAGAAAGCCCACAGAGAATACTAGAAACTTGGGATGAGCAGAATATACAAGTGAAGAATGAAAAACCCCAAACGAAAATCTGTGGTAACAACTTGTGTCTGTGGTACATTCCATGGTTGTCCTCAATTATTACCCTTCGTTGCATCCATACCTTTGCTATAGTTTCATGAGAAGAGTGTATTTCCCAGCCTCTTGACTTTGACTATGAGACTTGCATAAGTCAGTGGAGTGGAGATGAGGTGATAGGGTGTCAATTCCAAATCACACAAGACCTAAAGCATTTCTGATTCCCTCTTACGTCTCTGCTATTGCCATAAAAACAAGTTTGCTGGTGCGAGAATAAAGAAACACATAGAGCAGAATTGTGTCAGCCTCTCAACAGGACTGGAGTGAGGAGCATAGCCATCCTGGTGCAGTAGGCTGTAGCAGAGTCATTCATCACTGAGGATTCTCCAGGGACACCTGGGAGAAAAAAATGACTCTTTTCTTAAGACACCAAGTTTAAGGAAGCTTTATTATATAACATTATCATGGCAAGAACTGATATAGCAGTCATAGCATGAAACTTCAGAAGTCTTAACTTCAGTTATCTAGAATGCTTACAATTTTTTTAAAGGATTAAAATAAATTAGACAATCTAGTACTTATACAAGAAGATACACATGTGGCAAATCAAGGGTTAATATTTCACACAACTGCAAGAGAATGTTAATATTAAGGGATAAAACTCTGGAGAAGAAGGAGAATCAGTAGGGCATGTCCAGTTGGAAAAAGTGCTGAAAATTAAAATGAAGAAAAAGAAACTGAAGGTTTTAAAGATAGCTGTTTTAGTCTGCTTGGTCTGCTATAACAAAATGCTGTACACTGGAGGGCTGCTTAAGCAATATAAATTTATTTCCTACAGACCTGAAGGCTAGAAAGTCCAAGGTCAAGGTTCTAATAGGGTTCAGTTTCTGGAGAGCGCTCTCTTCCCAGCTTGCCAATGGCAGCCTTTTCACTGTGTCCTCACATGGCAGAGAGAGAAGGAGATCTCTGGTACTTCTTTCTCTTTAATAAGAATATCAGTTCTATCAGGTCAGGTTTTTAGCCTTATGGCCTCATTTCATTTTAATCATCTTCTTAAAGACCCTGTGTCCAATACAGTCACATGGCTGATTAGGGCTTTATCTTAGACTGTTTTCTGTTGCTTATAATAGAATATCTGAAACTAGGTAATTTATATTAAAATTCTTACAGTTCTGGAAGCTAGGAAGTCCAAGGTTGAGAGGCTGAATCTGGTGAGGGCCTTCTTGATGGCGGGGACTCTCTGCAGAATCCCAAGGCAGTGCAGGGCATCACATAGCAAGGAGGCTAAGCCAGCTAGCTCAGGCATCTCTTCCTCTTCTTATAATGCCACCAGTCGTGCTCTGATGATAACCCTTTAATCCATTAATCAATAAACAGATTAATCCATTCATGAGGGCAGAGCCCTCATGACTCTTTCACCTCATTAAGGCCCCACCTCTCAATTCTGCCATACTGTGGATTAAATTTCAACATCAGTGTAGGAGGGTACAATAATTCAAACCATAGAAGGCTTCAACTTACGAATTTTGAGGGAACACAATTCAGTCCATAGCAATAACTTACATAGCACTCGTGGTTCTGAATTCTTAAGTAATAGAATAAAGAAGATAAATAACTAATAGTAATAATAGTTCCTTACCTTGAGATGATATTTTATATTTTTCACTGTTTTATTTTCACAATAACTAATGTTCTATACCACAGTGGTGTAAATAATTACTGCCCTTATTGTATAAACGAGGAAGCCAAAATATTTTACAAATGAGGAAAATGAGTGCTTTGTTTAAAGGGTAAGAATGATGACGACTCAAGAGTGTGGAAACCTAAAAAGCCTGAGTACTCACCCCCAATATCCTTTTGTAATGATAGCTTTTAAAATCAGAGAATAGAAATCTGGCACCTACTATTACATAAGCCACTCCCATTCTGGACATTAGATTTGAGACGTTCTTCATTTTCCAGGTTAATTTCAAAATCTGTCATTTTAGAGATGAGTGTACTGAGGTGAAAGAAGTTGGGTTGGCTTGTTCTAAGTCACATGTGATGAAATCTAGCTCCATCTTCCGAACCCATAGCACCCAGCTTTGACACCTTTAGCAGATATAAAGGTAACAGTAACTATTGCTAAACTATCAATTTTCACTTGTTGATTAGACATGATGACAAAGTGTATACTGAAGATTAGTAATAAATTTGCATTCTAACTGAGCCTGCAGGCTGACCAGTGCTAAAGTGAAGACACAATGAAGTGGTTGTGGGTAGATAGAAGTGGGAATTACAAAAGTTATCAGACTAATTAAAATCTGCTCAAAATCAAAATTAAAGTCTAATTCCTTCCAAAATTAGAAAGTTATTCATTTAAATATATTAGATATATGTTTTCCATTTCTTTCTTTGTACATTGGAAACCATTTTGTATGCTCTGTGTACCAGGCATTGTGCTACAAGTTGCACAAGAGTAGAAAACCAGACAAAATGCTTAAATATAAATAGCAAGTTGTTGGGGGTGGGGGACAGATTATTGAAAAAAACTAAAATGTGGGGACAAAATCTGTAAGTAACTAATTTCAAGAATTGAAAAAAATCTTCATACAGAATATTCTCACCTGATCATAGAGAAATTAGGTTCAGACATCTAAATTCACATATTTTCCACCCATGTCCTCATAACCAGGAAGCTATTGGTTAATGTTCTCCTGCAAAAGAAGAAGTAACACAAAGGACAAGAGAAGGAAGATCCAAAAAGGAGAGGAAACATGACACACAAGACCAGTGAATGGAAGCCCCAGAATGAAGCAAAGACACGTCCCAGGAAGACAGGCCTACAGAAAATATCTGGATTGGAGCAAGAAGGCAGTAGCTCTTGGACAAAGGTTTTCATGGGGAAAAAAGGAAGGAATTATTAGGTTGTCTATTATGATATGCCACTTGGAGTAAATAAATCTTCTAAGAGGTATCATCATTCCTCCTTATTCATAGGGAGCACATTTCAAGACCACAGTGGATGCCTAACCCATGGATAGTACTGAACTCTATATATACTGTGCTTTTCCTATACATACATGTCTATGATAAAGTTTAATTTCTAAATTAGGCACAAGAAGAAAAAATCGCAATAACTAATAATAAAATAGAAGAATTATAACAATATGCCAGCATCACTGCTCTTGTACTTTGGGGCCATTGTAAATAGAATTAGGGTTACTTAAACACAAGCTCTGAGTCAATCTGCTAAGTGAGATGACTGCTAAGTGACTAATGAGCAAGTGGTATATACAGCGTGGATCCTCTAGACAAGGGGATCATTCAAGTCCCAGGTGGAATGGAGCAGGAGGGCAAGCAATTTCATCACACTACTCAGCACAGTATGCAATTTAAAACTTATGAATTGTTTATTTCTGGGATTTTCCAGTTCATGTTTGCAGATTGCAGTAGACCACAGGTCACTGAAACCCTGGAAAGTGAAACTGAATAACTGGGGACTATTATATATTGTAGACCTGATGAAGTATTCTGAAAAATCATTGGGATAGATACATAGATAACTATGCCTGGTAAAAATGGCAATTTTTACTTCCAGGTGGAACAAATAAGTTCTAAAAGAAGGGACATGCAATCAAAATTAATTGGATCAGCAGTGGGTAACATTTACTTAGGTAAAATATAAAGAGATGTTATTGATTAATTGTAAATGTTATGTAAGTGTACTATGAGTATGAGAGAAATGTTTTAAAGTACTTTATTAATTATATATTTCCATATAACAAATCATCAAAAAATTTGTAGCCTAAAGCAATAAGTATTTATCTTCATACTTTTTTTTTCATTCAAAAGTTTGGAAGCGATTTAGCTGTATGAGTCTCTCATGAAACCACAGACCTGAGGCTGGCAGAGACTGTGGTCATCTGAAGACTTGACTGGGGCCATGGCAACAATTTCTAAGCTCATTCACATGGTTGTTGGCAGGAAACCTTGGCTACTCAGTGGCCACTGGACAGATGCCCAGTTCCTCACTGTATAGGCCTCTTCTCACAACATGGTTGCTAACCCCTCCAGGTGCAATTAATCCAAGAGAATGAACAAGAGAGAGACCACGATGGAAGCAACAGTGCCTTTTTATGACCTGATCTGCAAAGTCAAACACTGTCATCTGTGCTTTCTTCCATTTGTTAGAAGCAAGTTACAAATTTCAGCCCCATTTAAGAGGAGGAGGATTCAGCCTGCCTCACAATGAGTTTCAGAGAATTTGTGGACATATCTTTAAATCCACATAGAAATTTTTTTATCAATTATAAAAGGCATCAAAACAAAAACTTTAAATTTGATTAATCAAAATAAGCATTTTATTTTAAAGTATAAAAAATGATATTAAAAACAGCTGAAAGAAGTAAAAGTGATTGGAGAGGAAAATTAAGAAGATAGGGAGAAAAGAGATAGGAAGCTAGGTTTTACATTGCTTTGCAGCCCTTTTGTAATTATTTTTTCAATTAAAAGCAAAGAAAGAAAAGATGGAAAATTAAAAAAAAAACTTTCTCACCATGTGTTTCAGCGTTATTTAATGCCATATCTATTTACCATTGAAAGTTTCCTTCTATAACACTTGTGTTACTTCTTCCATGCTGTGAGAATTACAGACCTAAAGAAAGAAAGTAAAATGTTAATGCAATTCTTCTTCCCACCTGTTTTTCCTGAAAGAAACAGAAGGGAATGGAAGGAAAAGAAAAGTAAAAGAAGGGGATGAAAGAAAAGGGGAAGAAGTAAAGGAAGGCAGAAGACAGGGGAGAAGGAAAGGAGGTAGTTACATTCTTCTTCAAAGTCACTGTATCTGGCAGTACCTTTAGTATTTGTGAAATAAGAAAGCATTAATTAAATTTAAAGAGAATTGCTATACATCAGTTATCCAGGAGCTTGATTCATATTTGTTGAGTGAATTAATGAATTTCCAAAAACTTTAATCCACAAATGCTGTCAAGTTCTCGAATGTTATTGATTTTCCCACAAGGATAGTAGATGAAAAAAATTTCTATATTCCTGGGGAAAATCTTATCTGAAGGCTTTCTTGTTTTTATTTCCATTTGTGTATGTTTTCGTCTTTGTCCCCATGGCACCAAATATTGCTTCAGAAATATAATTGTTGAAAAGCAATGTATCCAATACTGGGCTGTGCTCTAGGGCAGGAAGCCATCATTCTCGCTCTAGGATGGATCTGGATGGGATTGTCTCTTGTTCCCTGTGTCCTTGTGTCCTTGTTCAATTTACAGTGACCCAGGAGACCTACCTGGATGCATGTTTTCTTGTTTCTTTCTCCTGTGTGGCCGCACCATTGTGAATATGTTCATTGAGTTTCCTACACCATGATGTGCCATGGTGTTTGTATCAGTGAGGATGTAAATTCAGCACCACTGAATGGCAGGAACGACCTAAAGTGGGTCAAACTAGTAAGAAGTTTTATTTTTCTCCTATAAAAAGTAGTAGGGAAATAGCCTGCAATTGTCTCCTTTTTCCTTTCTGTTCTGCCATCTTAGGATGTGGTTTTCAGGCTCACTCTTGTTGCCTCAAGGTTTGAAGACGCTGGCTTCTCCTCTGGCTTTGCTTCTGCATTCCTGCCTTAAAGAAGTGGAAGATTCAAGGCCAAATATATGAGGCAGCCAAGCCTTTCCTCTTCTAAGCAGCTTTCTCAGAAAGTCCAAGCTATGAACACAGGTTTGTTGCCTGACTACCCTTCAGTGTAAGGATGGCTGAAAAATGTAAGATTCCTTTTTCATTTTCAGTTTTTTCTGTTTGCTTATTTCTTTTCACCCAGACACACTGCTGCTTGTTCTAAACTATGCATATTGGTTATGGTATGGTCAAGTCAGTGTAGCCGCTGGAGGAAAGAAAAATGAAGCTTGCAAGGAAGAAGTTGTTTAGGCCCACAGGTCCCAGAGAGGAGGGTCACCCTGGGTCGTGTAAGGCCACAAGGGACAGCACCAGTGTGGTCGGGAGACGAAGACAGGAGGCAGGGGAAATATAGGTGAGACCGTTTTTTGGGGTTTCCATGAGAGAGGCAAGGCAGGGTGAGATAAGCAGTTTAGGATTGACTAGTTTAAATAATGCCAGTGAGCTTCAGGACATTGTGGTGGTCTTTCGTTGGCTGGTACCTGGTCCTGTGATGATTTAGGACAGGAAAAATAGTGGCTTGATATGTAAAAGTTAGTTAGATAAAGAAGTGGTTGTGGCTAAAGTCTCACAATTGGTTGGTTTATGTATAAAAGATGTGCTCACGGCTGAGCTCCTTGCTGTCTGTAAGAACTGGCTAGCCTTGGGAGAAGCAATCTCTGGCTTTTCAGATGTCAAAACATCATAAAATACAGAAAATAAAAGACATTATTGATATTAATATACTGCTATGGCAAATTGCTTGCAAAACATCAGCAATGATTTCTCTCCTTTTTCCCAGTCCCCTTGCAATGTAACTTTGAACCTTCTCCCACTGAGAGGTGGAGTCTGCCTCCCTACTCCTTAAGTCTGGACTTACCTTGTGACTTGCTTTGGCCAG
The DNA here is from genome assembly GCF_000001405.40 of Homo sapiens. NCBI lineage: Eukaryota > Metazoa > Chordata > Mammalia > Primates > Hominidae > Homo > Homo sapiens. Next base: position 12,156,410 of record NC_000020.11, read on the forward strand.
TCGAATGAAGTGGAAGTGATGTAGTGCCAATTCCTAGCCTAGGCCTCTAGGGGTAGGTGCTTGAATGCTTTGTATCACTCTCTCAGAACTGTATCGATCCCCCATCTAGGCTATTCCACTGGATGGTGAGAGAAACAGGGCCCGTCACCCCTGTCACGCAGCCAATAGCTAGCCAATCCCCAGAACTAGAGTTATCTAGTTGAAAAGCAAGTGATTGCAGACATATAAATGAGACTAGCTGAGACCAAAAGAACACCCAACTGAACCAAGCCCATAGAGCTGACATACAGAATTATGAAAAACTATTGTTTTAAGCTACTCAATTTTGTGACAATTATAATACATCAAAGGCTAACTGACACAATTGCCCTATAAAAGTAGGGTTACATTATTAAGGGAGAAGGTAAGAAAGGAAATTGGTTAGGCAGCTGGTTGAGTCTGCCATGGGGTGACCAGGATTTCCAACTCTGTGGTATTCTTGGGACTTAATGGAGCTGATGTCTTTTTAATTTATTTTTAAAAGTTCGATAATATGGCTGGGTGCCGTGGCTCACTCCTGTAATCCCAGCACTTTGGGAGGCCAAGGCGGGTAGATCACCTGAGGTCAGGAGTTTGAGACCAGCTTGGCCAACATGGTGAAACCCCATCTTTGATAAAAATATAAAAATTAGCTGGACGTGGTGGTGGGCACCTGTAATCCCAGCTACTCGGGAGACTGAGGCAGGAGAATTGCTTGAACCTGGGAGGTGGAGGTTGCAGTGAGCTGAGATCACACCATTGCACTCCAGCCTGGACAAAAATAGTGGAAAATCTGTTTCAAAAAAAAAAATTCAATAATATGATAAATATTTATTATTTCTTCATTCACTTAACTTTTAAAATTTTCATTTTACTGGCATAAAAACACTTAACATGAGATCCATCCTCCTAACAAATTTTAATTATGCAATTCATTATTGTTGACTCTAGATATTTGGAGAGCATATTCTTAGAGCTTATTCATCTCATTTAACTGAAACTTCATGCCTGTTGATAATAACTCATTTCTCCTCCCCCCACCCCCTGGTAACTCCCATTCCAGTCTTTAATTTTATGAATTTGACAATTTTAGATGCTTTATACAGGTGGAATTATACAGTACTTGTCTTTCTGTGACTGTCTTATTTCACTTAGCATAATATCCTAAAGATCCATGCACTTTACTATGATTTTAAAACAAAGCTGAGATAGTCAGATATTCAGGATGCATATCAACTGGGCACATGGAGGGCATCTGTGCATACTACAGCCCTGTGTCTTTCTCAGCTTCTCATTCAGTGGAACATCTGCAGCCAACATGGTGGTTTGGGCCATCATCAGGTTTAGATGTTTTCGTTTTTACTTATATGTTATTTAACTCATGCCAGATAGGACTGATGGCTAGATAGGAGAATGAAGAAATGCTAATTTGGAAAATTAACAAGTTGCGTAAAAATCTCATTAAATTGTCTTTACCAGCCTGTGGGCTACAGTCATGTTGTCTGCTTCTTGGATAGCAGGGAGACTTTCCATGGCACTTCAGGAGCCAACGGTAAAAAGGAAAAATATAGCAATGATTATTATATCCAATATGGCATATCATTTATTGAAATAAGCACTAACCATACTTATAAAATGTAATTTGAAAAGAAATACTCCTAAGTACATGTCAGAAACCTTCTCTTGCATTTCCTCATTTTGAAACATGAGAAACGTGTACATATAAACCATTTAATGTTTTATGCAAATGTTACAATTCCAAATATCAGGTCATAAAATTTAGTATTTGTGGTATGTACATTGGATGCTATGATATGAAATTTTATCAAGTACAATTTAATGTATATTCGTTACCAAAACTATGATATATCTCTGATAATCAACTTAAACATTATGTCTCATATGAAATTAGAAAATTTAAAAGTCTAACTTTATAGATTTTGTATAGTTATTAAATACTTTAGTAAGTACATATATTGTATAATATATTCATGTATAGAGACTATATATAGGTATATATGTGTATGTATTGATATGTGTTGCGATGTTTTTCTCTCTAATTTCAGTCTTGAGGTCTCTCCCTCTTGCAGGTGGCTATAGACTCTAGCCCTTACAAGACTTCAGGTGATTTGGTCATGGATGTTTATAGTACACCTTTCAGGGGGTGCCTTTTTATACTGGAGGATGGCCTAGTGCCTAAGTGTCCCACCCATGAGCAGGTGTTCCTCTCACAGGAAACTTGTTGATACTGGCTGATGTTCTTGTGGCTCTCCTCTGACCTGTGTCCACTTTATTTCTAGCAAGATAGCCAATGTCTAGAAGAGCCCTGACCTGGAGAGATGTGAGTTTCAGGTGTAGGGTTCAGGTGAGGCACAGAGGAGGCAGCACAGGGGACACATGAACTCACAGAAGCAGTGCATTACAGTGTATTCCTAGAGGCCACCAGAGAAGAGGAGAGCCATGGAGAGCGGGGGGACAGTCATGGCATCACTGTGCTCAGCCAGCAGGTGGAGAGTCCACAGGAGAGATACCTGTGGGCCTGAGCCTTATTGGGTCCAAGGCATTGCCCAAGCAGCTTTCCCTCAGGCAGTTCTAATGGGTGGGTTTAGAGAAAGCCAACACGAGTCCCAACAGACCACGCTGTGACTTGTTAAATGTCATCATAACATATCTGCACAGTCCATGTGGGATGGAAGGGCCGGTGGAATGAGTCTGGTGGGTTGTATGTATCTATATGTCCCATAGGGAGATGGTGTGCCAGGAGGCAGGTGTATAGGGCAGCTTTCTGGATCAACCACAGGGAGGAGGAGGCAGAGAGCTAGAAACTGTGTCAAAGGTGACTAAGCCCTTCTTGTATGAGATAGTTAGCCCTATACTCAAAATGGATGCCACGGCAGTGCAAAATTACAAGGGCTCACTACAGCATGTGTATGTATAAGCTGCGTTGATGTACGGATGTGTTTCTCCAGGGCTGCTGGGCATCTTTCCAGATTTTGAGTTGCTTCTCTCTTCCGTAAGCTTGACTGACTATGCGTCAGACTTTGGGCTTTGACAGAGGACAAGTCATCTGCAGCTTTAACCACTATGTCAGCAGAATCGGAACTGGCTGCCCCACTCTGGGTGTCTCAGTTTCTTCAGTCTGGGCATCCCAGCTGTTTCTGTGTGTCCCAGCAATCTGTTTCTTCTTTGTTCCTGAAATGGCCTTTTCTTAGCATGCCCTTTCATGCTGTGGGCTCTTTGGGAGTTGCAGGTAAAATTAATTTTCCCGGCATGATTCTTATTAGAATTCATTTCCAAGAAGCCACTGTCTGATAATCTTGGACCAATTCAATAGAGAAGTGCTGAAATTTTCAGAGGCTAAACGGGACAAAAAATAATGAAGGCCATCTTCTTACTTTTTATCCGAGGGATGACGGAAGTCTGGAGTTTCAATCCACTTTGAAGTTCCCAGCCAGAGGGATAATTTAAATTAATTAATATAAAACAATAATGCTTTGTGCAGATGCGGTTGAGCCTGCATATAAGAAACTCCATATACTTCATAACTAACTGCTTGTATTAATCTTCTGTCTTAATTCATGATGGGCCTGCTCTCTGAACATCTCCATCTGTAGCAGACCTGGTTTCTTTACTTAGCAGTAGGTACTAGGGCAGAGAGGAGTTCAGTGGTTTCCTTAGCTTCCCACAAATTTGTAAAGAATAATTAATGCAGGGCCAACACTAGAACCTATTTTCAACTCACTTGACATAACTATGTTTTCTGGGTGCACAGCTGAGATTTTCCAAATAACAATAAACATACCTTCTTCACGTCCTTACTGTGAGCTACTGAGCTGCCAGGAGTGATTACAGGTAGGTCTCTTCTTAAGGAGACTAGACTTTCACACAGAAAAACAACCTTATGGAGTTTTTACATTTTATTTCGGAATTGGATTTTGTATCTCTCAAGGCACTAGACTATTTTACTCTTCATTCTTATTGCAAATCTATGTTGGGAGCACAGATATTTATATATATTTGGAGCACACAAAAATTTATTGATGGGACTTACAGAGTATGAAGTTGAAATATTCATAATTAAAGGAAAGAGCTTCTCATATTTGTGCATTGGAGTCATCTGTAAGAATTCCGGAAGAACACAGGTATTATTTGTTCGAATCTGGACAGGTGTATGGCAGAGAATGTTTTAGGTAGTGAAAGAAGCAGCCCCTTAGGGGCCAGGTAAAGATCAATATGTGAGAAAAAATGGGGTGGGGAGAGAAGGAACAGAAGAAGGGACACATTTGATAACACAAGGTCCAAGTGAGGTGAGACGCCTTCATCCCAATGGCATTGTTTGGAACATTCTATGATATAACCCATGCAAAGTCCTTTCCACAGTGTCTAATACACAGTAATCACTCAGGAAACATTTACAGAGGATTTTCTATGGGGCAGGCACTCCACTCAGTGAGTTTTGTGAAGCTCACATAATTTTTAGAACAATCCACGAGAGAGATGCTATTATTATCACCAATTTACAGGTGAGGCAGCTGAGAACAGACAGTAAGTTACTTGCCCAGGGTCATGTAAGCACTAGCCAGGAATCCATCATTTAGTTGCTAGAGTAGTCTGCTTCTTTGTTAGCCATTATCATTAGTTAATGCTAATTGGCTGTTGTTATTAGCTGTTATTATTATTTGTTAATAATAATACTGCATACTACTAATACTCCATATTACTACTCTGCACTGTCTTCGAATGCCAGCTTTTATTACTAGTAGCAGAGTTTTATTATGATTGTATGCTTTTTAAGAACTTAGGATCTGGAATTCAAGCTCCCAGGGTTCATGTCTTTTTTATTCTTTTTTTCTAACTGTGTAAGACTAAATTTAATCTTTCTCAACTGGTATTGTCATCTGAAAAATGGGATCATATTAGTATTGTGACCATTAGGACATTTGACAGATATGTTTTTAATCCTTTCCTTCTGGGCACTTGGTAGGATGGCACTTCTCCATCTTCTCTGAAAGTAGGAGTGGCCATGTGACTCACATTTGGCCAGTGAAATGTGCATGGAAGTGATTGGTGTAACTACCAAGCAGACGTTTTAAGAGCACAGTGAACAATATCCTCTGTTCTGCATCGGCAATCACGATAGAGGGTTGTCACCTGAGTCCTTGAGTTAACTATATTAAGCAGAGTCCTCAGACGACCCATGATGGGGCATGTAGCATGACAACAAGTAAATCTTAGTTAGTTTAGCAATGAAATTTTGAGGTGTTTGTTCTTGTAGCATAATCTACTTGACATAACTAGATCTGCCTAGATCTAGATGCAGCGTAACCCAGTCAGTCAGTCAGTCAGGACTGGTTAAGTTGTGCTGTAGTAACAAACAACCTTTTAATGACATTGTGTAGCTTATGCTTTATATACATCAGAGGTTGACTGAGTGCTTTTCTTCCTATCATCCTCATTCAGAGACCTAGACTAGCAGAGGAGCTGCCATCCTGAAATTTCCTGGTTGCCATGGCAAAGAGCATGACAAATCATGCTTTGGCTGCTAAAGCTTATGCCTGCAGTATTTGCAGGCACTTTTGCTCGCATCTTGAGAGACCCCACCTAGCTACAAGAGTTCAGAGAACAGCAATCCCACCTCTATTTTATTTATTTATTTATTTTTATTTCAATAGCTTTTGGGGTACAAGTGGTTTTTGGTTACATGGATGAATTGTACAGTGGTAAACTACCTCTATTTTAGGGAGCCAGAAATACTTGGTGAATAGCGGTGATAAATTACACCTCTTATATCTTTTCTCTGTATCTGCATCATTTAACATGCATATAATCTATATTAATCCTTTACATTTTGTATGTTTATATGCAAATTTCCTAGGTACAGAAAGCAATTTGTCAGCAATTGACATCTTAGTTCTAGGATTAAAAAAAATATTTAATGAAATCGATCCAGATAGAATAGAATTTTCTTTGAGACCTGAATACCTTCTCTTAACTTGTATGGAAATTGTTCTTTTGGACAGAAGAAGAGATTGTGATCTCCATCTTGTGCCATACTTAGTTATCATGGCCCTTTTGGAAAATATTAAGGCTTAAGGGTATTTAAAGGGACATCAGCACAACTTTTTTCTCTCCAGTTTTCACTTTTCTTCATCCTAGTTTGAAAAACCTTTATTATGATTATGTTATAATATAAATCATAATTATTTTGTATATTTGTTATCATGTATCTCTTATTACCATCCTGCAAACACATGACTATACAAATTATTAAATTTTCAAGATTAACTGATTGAGGTTAAGCTTGATTTCAGATTTAAACCTTATTTTTGTATGCTTTAACTTAGTTGATAATACATGTCATGTGGCTAATACTCATTTGACTTAAAAAAAGAATGAAAATAGAACACTGTCCCTGATACCAATGCCATAATTTTTCATTTTGATGATAAGCCACCCAATGTCTGAATGAGTTCCCATATACAACCATTCATCTGGAACTTCCAATAATGTCACTGTGATTGCCTATACACAGAACTTTAAACAAGCTGAAGGCCAACCAGCTTGCTTGCATAGAAAATTAAATTCTTCTCCCTAGAACACACCAGGGACAAGCAGAATGTGAGGATCAATGCAAATTAATGGCATATTCCTTGATACAGATTAAAACAGACAGAAGAAATGTAGTCTCTTGGGTTTAAACACAGCCTTAGCAGCAACCAGACTTTAGTTCTCAATTGCAACTCCAGTACTTTTTCTCTGAGATACAGATGCTATTCAAGCAGCCACTGCTGCCCAGCAGTGAGAGAGGCACATGTTTGATGGAGTTTTGTTGCATTGGGGTTAACAAAAGGGAATAAGACCTGTCAAACCAATATATTTGTCAAGGTCCCATAATATTTTTCAGATGTCAGTGACAGGAAAGCCTGTGTGTATCTCCTAAAAGTCTTGTGGCCAGAGTTCACAAATGACTTCATGTGTCTAGCCACTGAATATGTTTCCCTCTTGACTTTGCTGCTGAAAGTTCAGAGTTGAGTCTGGGCACAGTGTAAACATTTTTTTTTGCAGAATTTAGAACATTTTGGAGTACTGTTCAGCCTTTGTTTTGCTTTACCTAACCTCATGCATTGTCTTTTGTTAATTATTTGAAGTCTTTTTATGAAACCAGGCAGGGAATAGATGAATGCATACATTAATTCATTGATATTCTGATGGCTAAATACCAATCTTTAAGGTTACAGTGATGAGACAAAGACTTACCAAAGTCCAAAATATCTCATAAGCTGCAAGATATATAAGCCTACAGAGATTGATGAGGTTGTTAAAATGGAATCCACTTGGATTGAATGGTGGCCAATCTCAGAGCTGTTTTAAGCAGAAATGCATTCATTTCTTAAGGAAATACTAGAAAATGTGAACAGGCCCTAGAGAGGAAAAGGAAAGGCCAACTGCTCTAGATAAAACACAAAAACAAACAGAAAGGTTGGAATATAGAACACGTCTTGAACATCAGCTTTGAAAGTGGAAGCTGGTTCTTCATTGTGAGGAGAAATGGAGAGCGGTTATCAGTATTAATGAACTCCTTATACTTCCCAGGTAGGCCTCAACTGCTTGGGATCTGATGCAATATAACTAACTTAGTGAATTAGCTGGGGTGGAAGACAGAGGTTGTGTTTCAGTGGTGGGGTCTGTGACAATCTGTAAGGTACACTATGGTAAGTCAGGAACTACAAGTTGTCTGCAGCTCCTAAGCACGTGGAGTTAAGCTCCTGAGGCTGGTGCTCTATCTTCCTAGTAATTTATTGGCGATGGTGAGCTCAGAAGGGAACCCAAAGGCACTTTGGACAGTGCTCTTTAGAAATTTAATTGAGCCAGAGGCTCTGATTGGTAGCCAGTGTCTGTGTGGTGTAAAGAAGAGGAAAATATTTTGAATGGACCAAGTGGCTGTGGCTGGATCAAAGAGTGTGTGTTGTGTGTGTGCGTACATGCATGTATATGTTGGTGGAGCTCTATACTAAGGTGGAGTTGTGACTATGGAAGGAGGCAGGGCTGTGACAGAATCTCTTGTGATGATACCCATGCGTGTTTAGGGTTTGGTAAATGGCAGAGCAGCTCTTGGTCCAAGCACTTTTTAAAGAACTTTGCATATATTAACACTTTTTAAAGATTCATGCTACAGGTACTATTATTATGCTCATTTTAGAGAAAGGAAAATTGAGACATAAAACACATGAATGACTTTCCCATGGTCACTCAACTTCTAAGTCTGAGAGCTCAGATTCAAACCCAGACAGTGGATCTTCAGACTTACCCACTGCTCCCCATAGACTTTCCTGTTGTGAATTCCTGCTGGAATGGCCCTGGTGCACTATGCAGGGGCTATCAAGATACACTCAGGAGTGGCAGAGTTGGAAAGATCTTCCAACAGCAGTCCTGAGCTACTTCACTCCTCTACCATCACCCAACATATAGGACCTATTTTATTTAGCTTGGATCTTAAACAGGATAAATTCCCTTTTCTAAAATAAAAAAAAAACAAAATCATTTCTGGAGACTTAATGCCTTCATTTTCCAGCGGACTGGCCTGTGAGGATCACATTCCTTCACTTGTAGATCTCAGGGAACAGAAACCTGGCCTTGATCTTTTCTTTTAAAGTTGACCCACTTTCTCTGCAGTGAGCATCTTGACAACAGGTGTGGCTCCTTTTGTTAAGCTGGTATATAATAGTAGGTTCCCTTTCATCCTTTTCTTAGGATAAAGCATCCCTTACTGGTCCTCAAAATATACAATTCAGGGAACAGCTCAAGTGATCCTCTGCAGGGCAAAGTAAGTCTGCCTCTCTCAGTTAAAATTAAACAAAACGTGGCACCCACTTCATAGTTGGACTCATTAGAGTCCCTAAGTACTGACACCACCACCAATTATCTCATGACTCTTCAAACCTTGCTTTTGTCACAGGAGATCATGACCAGACAAATGCCTCCTTGGAGGGGGAACATCCCTCTGTAATAACTTGCTGTAAAGACCATTAATAGTGAAACTTCTGCCTCTGATCTGCAATATGCTCCAATTACAGTTGACAAGATATCAGAAGACAATCTATTGCCAGATAGGACTATTGAATGCTGTAGCTCTGCTGTTTGAAAAGGGTAGAAGATAGAGAATGTTAATATTACCCAATAAAATATCTGTATTCTAAAGTAAACAATTGAGGGCATATGTGAGAAAACAAAGAAAGAAGGAAATAAGATGCCAGTGCCCCTAACTGCTTCCTGGATTTTTTTCTCCTTCTTTCCTTCACTCTTTTTTTTTTTCCGCAAATCACTCTAGAGCTGTCCATTTTGTGTGTTTACCTTAAATTGTTTTTGTCTTAGAGATTCAGGATCACAATTAGCATTTATAATGAAGATTTAAGAGATGTCAGTTATGTAGGAATTTTAATGGCAATTAAAATGTTATCAGGAAAAATTTAAATTCCAACTGAAGAAAAAGAAAAAAAGAAAACAGTATCATTAAAAAATCGGCAGTGACATTTTAATGCTGGAAAAAAAACTCTTTTCCAGATCTCACAGGTAATATTCTGTGCATGGTTAGACCTTTTAAAATAAATGTCATGTAGGGTGGGGGCCCACCTGCTTAGTGCAGACCAGGCAGCTTTTCAGAGGCTCCAGGCCACAACACTGGGCTCTCAGAAGAATGGTTTACATATGGCTCATGCCTGGAGACTGTATCAGTTAGGGTTTAGCCAGGAAGAGAGAGATACTATGAGTAATACTAAATGAGGCCTTTATTACGGGAATTAGATCTTACTCATATGTGGCAAGAACTGGAAGTGCAGTTCTGGAGGGAGGAATTAGAGAATCAGAAGATTAGCTACTAACTTCTCTGATTGCAGCACTGGTGTGGTGACATCAGAACTTGCAGGAACATTCTGTAGCCAAGGGCATCTGGCCATCAATGTGGGAGGACAGATAAAAGAAGGAGAGGCATATGGGAAGCTGTTGCTGCTTTGAAGATCTCACTTTCGTGGATCCAAAGCCCAGCATCTGGTGGGCATCTGGTGCTGGACATGGGATACCATTGGCCAGCAGTTTCTGCAGCAAGGAAGAGGAGTGGGACAAGGAGCGGAGGAGATATGGATAAGCTGGGCCTGCCAGACACTTCTGCTGTGTTCACTGCAGCTCTCAGCATCGTGACCTTTTAGGAGTAATGGCTCCTGTTTCACTTCCTCCTTCCAAATCCCATGCATGTTCTTCATTTGGCCAACTCCAACTGAGATCAAATAAATAATTCTGGAGAACATACTTCGTAGGATAAGCCTAGTTGATATAACACAATCCGGTACTCTAACTATACAATAGCTTATTTATGTCAAGGATTTTGGCTATTTATTTTTAAACACTTACTGAGTACTCGCCACTATTCTAAACATTCCCATAAAAAGTGTGTTTTTGACCTTTAAGGAGATCACAGTCTAGTTAGCAAAGAGAGAGATGTGAATAAAACAAACAAACAAAAACCCTCAATGAATTCAAGGTTATAAATGCAGTATTTCAAATATGAAAAAAATATATATTTAGAAATAACAAGGAAGAGACTCTATCTAAGGCAGTCATAGAAGGCTCCTGTTGGCCATAAAATGGCAGTTAATACAATCCAGCAATTCAGCTCCTAGGCTTCTAACCTGGAGAAATTAGAACATGTCCACATGAAGACAGATATAGCAGCATTTTATTTATTATTATTTTTTATTAAAAAACTTTTAGGTTTGAGGTTACCTGTGCAGGTTTGTTACATAGGTAAACTCATGTCATGGGGGTTTGTTGTACAGATTATTTCATCACCTAGGTATTAAGCCTAATACCCAATAGTTACCTTTTCTGCTCCCCTCCTTCCTCTCACCCTCCACCCTCAAGTAGACTCTAAGGTCTGTTGTTCCCTTCTTTGTGTTCATGAGTTCTCATCATTTAGCTCTCACTTATTGAGTGAGAACACACACTATTTGGTTTTGTTCTTGCATTAGTTTGCTAAAGATAATAGCCTCCAGCTCCATTCACGTTCCAGCAAAACACATGATCTCATTCTTTTTTTTATGGCTGCATAGTATTTCGTGGTGTAAATGTACCACATTTTCTTTATCCAATATGTCACTGATGAGTATGTAGGTTGATTCCATGTCATTGCTATTGTGAATAGCGTTGCAACGAACATTCACATGCATGTGTTGTTATAGTAATTAATATTCCCCTGGATATATACCCCCAATGGGACACTGGATCAAATGGTAGTTCTGCTTTTAGCTTTTTGAGAATTGCCATACTGCTTTCCACAATGGTCTAACTAATTTATGCTTCTACCAACAGTTTATAGGTGTTTCCTTTTCTCTGCACCCTCGCCAGCATCTGTTATTTTTTGACTTTTTAATAATATCCATTTTGACTGGTATAGATGGTATCTCACTGTGGTTTTGATTTGCATTTCTCTAATGATCAGTGATATTGAGCTTTTTTCCCATAGGCTTATTAGCCACATGTATGTCTTCTTTTGAGAAGTTCATGTCTTTTGCCCACTTTTTAATGAAGCTATTTTTCTCTTGTAAATTTGTTTAAGTTCTCTATAGATGCTGGATATTAGTCCTTTGTCAAATGCATGGTTAGCAAATATTTTCATCCATTCTGTAGGTTGTCTGTTTACTCTGTTGATTGTTTCTTTTGCTGTGCAGAAGCTCTTATGTTTAATTATATCCCACTTGAAAATTTTTGCTCTTGTTAGAATTGCTTTTGGTGTCTTTGTCATGAAATCTTTGCGGGTTCCTATATCCGGGATGGTATTGCTTTGGTTGTCTTCAAGGGTTTTTATAGTGTTGAGTTTTACATTTAAGTCTTTAATTCATTTTGAGTTGATTTTTACGTATGGTATAAGGAAGGAGTCCAGCTTAAATCTTCTGCATATGGCCAGCCAGTTATCCCAGCAGCATTTATTAACTAGGGATTCTTTTCGCCATTGCTTGTTTTTGTCACTTTTGTTAAAGATCAGATAGTTGTAGGTTCGTGGCCTCATTTCTGGGCCTTCTATGCTGTTCCGTGGGTCTATGTGTCTGTTTTTGTACCAGTGCCATGCTGTTTTGTTTACTGTAGCCCTGTAGTATACTTTGAAGTCAAGTAATGTGATGCCTTCAGCTTTGTTCTTTTTGCTTAGGATTGCCTTGGCTATTCTGGCTCTTTTTTGGTTCCATAAACATTTTACAATAGTTTTTTCTAGTTCTGTGAATAATGTCATTGGTAGTTTGATAAGAATAGCATTGAATCTGTAAATTGCTTTGGGCAGTATGGCCATTTTAATGATATTGGTTTTTCCTATCCATGAGCATAGGATGTTTTTTCATTTGTTTGTGTTGTCTCTGATTTCTTTGAGCAGTGCTTTGTAATTCTCATTGTAGAGATCCTTCACTTCTTTGGTTAGCTGTATTCCTAGGTATTTTATTATTTTTGTGGCAATTGTGAATGGGATTGCCTTTCTGATTTGGCTCTCGGCTTGGGTGTTGTTGGTGTATAGGAATGCTAGTGATTTTTGCACATTGATTTTTTATCCTGAAACTTTGCTGAAGTTGTTTATCAGCTGAAGGAGCTTTTGGGCTGAGATTATGGGGTTTTCTAGATACAGCATTTTGTCATCTGAAAACAGAGATAGTTTGAATTCCTCTCTTCCTATTTGGATGTCCTTTATTACCTTTTCTTGCCTGATTACTCTGGTCAGGACTTCCAATACTATGTTGAATGGGAGTGGTAAGAGGGGACATCCTTGTCTTGTGTCAGTTTGCAAGGGGAATGCTTCTAGCTTTTGCCCATTTAGTATAATATTGGCTGTGGGTTTGTCATATGTGGCTCTTATTATTTTGAGGTATGTTCCTTCAATACCTAGTTTATTGAGAGTTTTCAACATGAAAGGGTGTTGAATTTTATCAAAAGCCTTTTCTGCATCTATTGAGATAATCATGTGGGTTTTGTCTTTAGTTCTGTTTATGTGATGAATCACATTTATTGGTTTGCATATGTTGAATGAACTTTGCATCCCAGGGATGAAGCCTACTTGATTATGGTGGATTCACTTTTTGATGTGCTTATAGCAGCATTTCAATTAATAATCCCAAACTGGAAACAGTCCAATGTCCATCCAATGGTGATTGGATAAACACAATTTAGTGCATTCATAAAATGGAGTATTATGTAGTAATGAAAAAGAACAAACCGCTGAAACATGTAACAATATAAATGAATATCAAAACATTACACTAAGTGATAAATGCCAGAAATACTAAAAGCATATTTGTACTTGCCTGGGCTGAGGATAGGGGCATGGATTGATTGCAAGCAGAAATGAGGCAACTTCAAGGTTGATGAAAGTATTCTACACAACTGAATATCTTTACTAGAAATCATCAAACTGTATAGTTTCAATGTGTGAATTGTATGCTGTGTCAGTTAAACCTCAACGAAGCTGTTAAAAGCATTGCTGTAGTATCACCTGGGCATGGCAGTTTTTAACCCTAAGGTGATAAATATATCCCAAGCACATATATGCATGTGAATTCTACAAAGGTCTGGTTTTGCTCATCAGAGACCCATTATGTTAGGCTAATGCTAGCAGGTATAACTGATACATTCAATATCTCCAAGAGTTAAAATAATAGAAATGTATTCCTTGTTGCTATTAGTCTATAACAAACACTTCCCATTTGGCAGGCAGCCCTCCATCATGTACTTTTTCAGGGCCCCAAGCTTTTCCTATTTTGTGACTTTGATATTTCCAAAATACTTTCTAAGATTGTGCTGTTCATCAGCATCAAGCCAAGGCAAGATAAAGAGAGCATGAAGGAACACATGTGGTGGTGGTAGTGCAGTTTAAAGGCCAGGTCTGGAAGTGATAGGCTTCATTTCTACTCACATTCCATTGACTAAGACTCTATGATGTGGCCATATCTAAAGGCAAGGAATGCTGGGAACATCATCTAGCAATGGGCTCAGGATAGAGAGAAGACAAGTTTAATGAGATGCTGGCTGGGTTCAACCATATCAGCTGTACCTATTTCCCTTCTCATCTCTTTTTACTTGCCCATTTGAGGTTTGCAACTGATATACAGAGACACACTGGCCAGATAAGGATGCTATTTCCAGTGATTAACTGATTTTAAAGAGAGAGTCCTTCCTGACATTACTGGCCATGAGCATCAGACGATGTTGTTTTTGTTGCATCATTATGTACTGCACTTATCTTTGTCTAGAATGTGCAGTGGAACTCATAAAAGAGGATTGTGCTGATATTTGAACTGTTCTATAGTTATACATCAGACTGTGGCAGCAATTACAAACATCATCCCTCCATGACACTTATTTTTCCCTGCGGACTTGGAAATTTGTGGATTAGGCCTGACTGGTGAAAATGAGTGCGTTTAGCCTTTGAAGGAGCCTATTTCCAGTGATGGGGCAGGCTTCATGATGGCAGAATTTGGCTCATTACCTGTAATGACTTTTGTGACTTAACAATCTGAGCAAAGTCCCCATCTGAGCAAAGTGATGGCTGCTATTTAGAGAACAGATCGATGCAACCACATATGACATCAATATTCTAGCTAATTAGAGTTTTACACACAGAGACCACTGGTAGAAGTCATAAAAACAATGGTGCCCCCTTTGTTGACAGACCCTAACCTATTTCATGCTCAGCTCTTCTAATTCCCTGCCTCATAAAGAAATTATTTAAGAGGGTTTATTAAAGCTTTCAGCGTCCTCATAAAATAGTCCTAGCATGGTAGGAAGAGGGTATTGATGGATTGTCCATTATTAGCTGTGTGTGAGATCTGGAGAAAGGGCTGATGCTTGTTGCGTCTCATGATGGAAGACCAGAAGTGCTTAATTACACTGAAGCACTATTATCCCAGCAGCAATTCTGTTATCACTATAAACACTTGAAATCTTTAGGATGAACTGCTCTGACTCAATAGTGGTAATTGACTGGAAAGGAGCATTTAAAAAGTTCTGCTTGTACCTTTCCACTTGTCTTGGGAACTCAAGTGTTCCTGCCTAAAACCTTCCAATGCCATCCCAGCACAGAAAGAATGTCCCGCCTCAGCCTCATGGGGTCCAGCCCCACTCACCTCTCCAGAATCATCTCCATCTACCCTGCACTTCTGGCATCCCTGCCATCCTGGCTTTTTCTCTTTCTCAAACAAACCAAGGGTACTTTGCCCTGGCAGATTTTCTATTTACTGTTCTCTCAACTTGGAGTCTCTCTTCCCCTAGCTCTTCACAAGGCCAGCTCTTTTTTACCTCTAAGTTTTCAGCCGAAACATCACCTCCTCTAGGAGGCCTTCCTTTACTATTCAATCTAACATTATCCATCCCTCTTTCCCATCATCTGATTCTATTTTCTTCGTAACATTTTGTCATCGTAATACTTCCTTAATTTATCTGGTTTCTTATTGTCTGTGTTTCCTGATAGAATATTAGTCCCATCAGGGCAGAAGTCTTTTTTTCTGTCTTGTCATTAATTTTAGCACCCAGAACTGTGATGCTTGAATAGCTGTGTGAAAATAAGCAAAGACCACTTAAATGAGAGCAAGTGAAGGCTACTTATTCAGAGCTTGTTCTGGCAAGAGAATCAACATCATTTGCATTTGGCAGAGACTCAAAGGTAGGTAGAGGAGTGGGAAAGCTCTGGAGTTAGAAAAAAGGGAGGGCTTCAGATGTGCACTGATTGGAGGCTGCTGGCATGAGGAAGCTGGAGGTGAGCTAAATAGATGTGGGGTATCCTACAGAATGGGTTACGGCGGGGTGTATTTGGCTTTCTCCAGTTGTTTTCACATTGGAAGCAGAGGCCAAATTTAGGGAGGCTGACAGTTATTAATCAAGTCCTGGCCATTTTCAGCCAATTGCTACAGAGGCTGTGGTTTGGCTTCCAGCAGCAGTTGCTTCAGGTTGTGGGTAAGAGTTCTATTTTTACACACAGCCTGGTCATTGTCTGTTTGTGTATTCAGTCTCTCAGAAGCAACTCAGCACACATTCTTTATTTAAGGTCTTTTCTGCTTTGATTTTGCATCTGGCATTCATTTTTCTACTCATTGTTCATATTTTTCTTCTTTCCCTCTTTCACAGAAAACCTTCTTTCTTTAGGACCTTATCTTTGGACAGATCATTTATCTCAAATGGCATTTTATTCATTGGGATCACACAACCATTATGCTTATACTACACATTGTTCCAATGGGATGTATACATAGGCATTAACCTGTCTCCAGGCTCAATATTCCTAGTTCTTCCTGCTTATTACAAATCCAGGATTTCCTTTACAACATCTACCTCTGTTATTTTTCAGTCATATCCCACCACATCCACTAAATTCTTACTTTCCCACTATGCATGGGGTCTCTTTCTTTCTTTGTTGGGAACACACACAGCATTGAGTCTTTTCTGTAATGTTCAGATCACATCACTGCATTTGGTCTCTTCCATAATACAACATTGTCACTTAATTTCTTGCTTCTTTCTCAGCAGTTATCACTGAGATGCCCCAGATTATGGGCTACTCCAAGCACCAACATAGTTATTTCCTTGTACCTCTCTTACCACACAAAATAAAACTGTCCTTTAAGGGATAGAAATGGAAGTTTGTCATACTTGTTCACTAAATTTCTTTTAATTCCTGTGATTCTATGATTCTCTGTTAGACAAAGACACAGTTAGAGGCCTTCTTCTCACTCACCTAAGACTTCCTTACCTACAGGTCTTCCCTTTTATAGCTGAGTTGAAACAGAACTAAGTAAAAGAATCTCTATACTCTTAGAAGGCAAAAGCTTTAAAGAAAAGAAAAAGAAAAGAAAAAAAAAAACTGTGCCAGAAGGGCTTAGCGCTCCCCACAGTACCTTTTACCTCCCAGGTTTAAATGGCTTATTGTCCTGGTTGGCCAATTATCTAAATGCCATTTAGTCATAATTACCTTGATGAAAACTGTATTTATGCTCTCATTTTTCCTCTTTTGAGTGTGAAAACTTGGAGGACAGGAACCAAGTATGACATGGTTTATTTATAGAGCCAAGTCAGGGCTGGCTCACTGTGGGCACTTAAATGCTGTTGATAAATAATGCATACAGTAGAGCTCTGGTTGGAATTGGATTAAACCTTGAGTTCAAACGTGTTCTCCCTCTGGTTATATCTGCTTCATATCCTAGCAAAATGCATCAGTGAAGTTCAATATCAGTAACTAGAGGAGTGAGAAACCAGCCCCAAAGAACTAAGATTTTTGCATTTTGAGCTATTGAGAATCTTTGTCCTAGAAACATAAATTTTCAGCTTGCTACAATGTTTTTGTTGCAGACACAGCAGTTGCCTTCTTCCAGCTGAATTAGAAATGCAAAATTGGCTTCATAGAATAGGCTGATAATTGCATTCTAAACATCATGTGTGCAATTTTTTTTAGCTTGCAGTTCAGATAGAGTCACATGTGAGACAGACTGCAAAAAAGATGTGATAATCCTTGCCCTCGATGAACTTATAGTTTATCAGAAGTGATGAGAAGTAGACACATAACCATAATGAAAAATACTGGGAAAAAGAAGTTATCAAATATATAACAATGTGGTCCTACAGATAGATGTAGGACATCAACATCTACTTGGGATAAACTGCAAAGGACTTTATGAAGGACATAGCACTTGTTAAAAATGTTAGAGAGCTGAAAGAAAACTGTAGGTAATATTAGAGATGACCTTTCAGATAGAACAGGGTGAATAAGGCACAGAGGAGGAAAAAGCATAATTTTGAGGAAAAGAAAAACATTTAACATGTGGCTCCTTGATCAGCAGCATCAATATCACCTGGAAGCTGCTAGAAACAACTCATTCTTGGGTCCAGCCTTGACCTTCTAAATAAAAATCTCTGGGTCTGGGGCCATAAGTCTGTGTTTTAGTGAGGACTCCAGGTAATTTGATGCATACTAAACTTTGGGACACCCTGCTCTGAGAACAGGCAGAGAGCTAAATCTAAGCCTGCAGGAACAGATATGAGGTTGCATTATATTTTCCCCTCCTGCTTCCTCTTAGAACTGCTCCATCAAGTTTACCTTTGACCTGTTCCTCCAAATAATTCCTTCAGAAGAGTTTATAAATTTGGCTAAGTCCCCTTCCTTCTGAAAATGCTTTTTCTTGAGCCCACATTTCCTTCTAGTTCTTCTATCCAAACACGTTCCCCTTATCAGCTAACTTAAGCCACTGAGTCTGGGCTTCTTTTTCACTCCTCTTTGAAAAGCCCACTTGCTAATGTCATTGGACATCTCCTGATACTAAGACTACGGTACCCCTTACCTACCACCCCTTGCTTTTGCTACATATAACACTACGAATTGCCCTCTTCTTCTTGAAACGTAACACCTCTTTGACGTTTGCAGCCCATACATCCCTAGTGGTCCTGGATGTTTTGACTTATTTTTTACTTTCAGTTTAGGATCTCTCTGCCTTCTGTTTGTACTTGGTGTTTCTCAGTCTGCTGTCCTGAGTTCACTACTCTTCTCATTGCTTTCTCTCCAATGGTTTTACTCATTCTCATGGGTTTAAACATTTTCTATGTGTTGGTGACACACAAAATTGTATCTAGCCTTGACTGCTTTCCTAGACTTTAGAGTCATATATTCAACTTCTTGCTCAATATGCCTTCTTGATGCCAAGAAGAATATCAAAATCATACTGCTTAAAACTGTACTCCTCTTTCCCCTCCAATGGGTCTCTACTCCTGTAGGCCCATTTGTGATTATTGGAACTAATTATGTCCCAAGCTAAAAGCCTCCCCTAGACAAACATCAAGGATTTTAATAAACCCTGAATATCATCTCCTTAACTTTTTTTGAATTCAACTCCCAATTTCCATCTGTGATACTCTTGCATGAATTCAGGCTGCCATTATTTATAATAGGGACCACTTTCACAGCCTACTTCCTGTTCTTTAATTTTTCTTGCTTCCTTAAATTCTATATTTCCAAACACCTTCCCAGCGGTCTATAATATTATCATTCCATTCTCTGCTTCACACCTACTAAAGGTTACTTCCTTACATAAGAAAGAATCTATGGCCTGCCTTTACTTACCTTTTACTGTCTCATCTCTCACCACTCCCTAGCTTACTATTTATGACTTAGCAATATTCATCATGTATAAAACACTTCTTGTTTCCCTGCTATGTTTGTATTATCAGTTCTATCAGCTATGTTCTTTCTGTGAGTAACTCCTACTCAGCCCTGGAGATTCAGCTTGGGTGTAGCATCTTCCAGGAAGACTTAGACTGAGTCAAGTGCCTGGCTTTGTGCTTTTATATCATTCTGTGTATAGGATTAACATGGTGCTTAGTCCACTGTACTGCTGGCATCATTTCCTCTGCTTGTCTTCTCTGGACTGCAAGATCCTCAGTGCTTTCATTTTCTGCAGTTACCATAATGCTCTTTATTGATCTTTATTTTAATCTTTATTTTATTTAAAATTGAATTTTCCACTTCCATTTATTCTTAAATTTTATTTTAGCCAGACTTTCTTGAATCTATTTTGATACCCCTCGTTGAGAATTGTACTTATTTTCCCAGTTTCAGTTTATTGATTACTTGCCTTCTTTCATGGAAAGAAATGAAGATATATTCTCCAAATTTTGTTGTGAATTCTAGAATCATTTTTCATATATGTATATATTTTTATGAAACTTTTTTCCCTTTAATCCTATATGTTAAAGGAAAAACAGCTGATATTGCATGATGAGTTCAAATGTTTTCCAATTAAAATGGGGGTTGACTGGCTTTATGGCCTACCTTTTCCTTCTGGCATCAAACCAAGCCAGAGATAGATTCAAACACTTTTCTACCTCTCCCAATTTACTTTCCTCCACTCTCACACCCAAAATGGTTCATCTTGAAGGTCCTCGGGCAGGGTTCTTTCCATTTCTACCCTGTCTTCCAAGGCTTACCCTTATATAACTAAACATTTCAGGACACAACCTGTCTCTAAGCCTCCCACTCTACCTTCTGCCACAGTGCATGCTGGAAGCCACAGTTTCCTGAGGACGAAGTAAAAAAGATGCAGGTGGGGCCCAAGGTGGAGGGAGAACCCTCAGGATAGCTCAGGGCATGACTTCTTAGCTTTTGGGACATGGCTTCCCATCTTTCAGAATCACGCAGCCCCTTCATCTAGGATGTAATACAAAGAGTGAGAATGAATCAGTCTTCTTCTGTCTTCTCTCGGCCTATTTTGAACTTGCTCTGAGTATAGAGCAAGTATTGTGTAGTTTAAAATTAAAGTCCCTAACCCAACCCATTTTGGTTGTAGTTAGTAGAAATTCCCTTCCCACATGGCATCTGGTCTTCTCTTAACTTTCGTTTGCATTGTTATTTCCAGTGTTGTTTTTTTCTTTAATTTGTTTATATTTGTGGGTATTTTAATAAAAGATAGAAAAATACATGGCAGGCTCAGTTACTTTGCTACTATTTAATCTAGAAATCATGTGTATATATTCTAAGGAAAAGCTTCATAGAGAACAATTTTTAATTAAATACAAATAAGAGCATTTGGGCAGGCTCCTTTTTGATTGAATTTCACTATCAGGAAACACTGAGAGAACCAAGTCACAGGGCTTCACCCTCCTGCCAAAGAGCTGTACTTCAAATCTTCTCCTATAAGCAAACTATTCTTCTGCTCATAGTTTATTTATGTCTGTGAATATCTGGAGATTTTAGTAGCAGTCGTGGTGGACAGAAATTTTTTGTACCCTGGAAATGTAGTGTGGTGCTTAGGCATATCAGCTCTGGAGTCAGAGAGCCTGGGGTCAAATCCCAGCTCCATCTTGCACTGAATGTGTTTCTGTTCTAGTTTTTGAACCACTCTGTGTATAGTTTCCCCAACTGTGAAAATGGAAGCAATACACAAAGTATCTTCAACTCCTTAATACGATGATGATTTAATACAAGTATTGTAAGTAATCAATACAGTAAAATCCTGAGAGGAGTATCTGACATGTTATAGATTTTCAACATAATGTTCTTTGTTGTTATTAAGAGAAACATGGTTTTCTTACATATTTTAAAACATATACAACTTAAAAACTTTAAAACTAATTAAATACTTTTTATCTAGAATGCTTTCTCTAGTCATCTTTCTAACTTCTTTGTATAATTCCATTAAAATTGTTTCAAAAGGAGCTTACTCGTTTTCTGTCCTTACAATTTGATATTTGTCAGTGTTGCATTTTCCTCAATCTCAAGTGACAGGGAGGAGCTGTTCAGCTTTGCCTTGCTCCTTTCTCTGCCATGCCGTGGGAGTAATGTTACTGACTATAAAGTTTTCATAAAATTGCTCACTGTCACTCCTGGGACACCCACAGTAATGATTAACCCAGCATGAATGGTGCATTGTCACAAACTCTGATGAGATGTGTGCAAAACTTTAAAAATAACTCGCTTCCTCTTCTCAAGCCAATGCTCCCATTAGGCAAAGAAGAGCCCAGGAACTGCTGAAAAGTGGGTGGGACAGGAATATTTGGAGCCTGCTCTGCTATTTTAAAGTTTAATATCTTGTTGTTAGGTTTGTATTTTCAAAGCATGGCCATCCAACCATGTGGCACTGAAAAACACAGCTGCCGGAGTCAGATGGGTGGCAGGGGTGGTGACTCATTATATATCTCTGGGATCACTGGCCAATTAAAATGATTTGCCCTAGAACCTGGGGAAAGAGCAAACCCCAGAGTCCTGCTCTCATATACTAAACATGAAATTAAATAGATTTGGTAGTATGGTTACCAAATGACCTGGGATGATTGGGACTATTCTGGTTTTAGCACTAAAAGTCCCACTTCCTGGGACCCCCTTAGTTCAGAGTAAACAGAACAGATAGTCATTCTGCCAGGAATTAAGCTACAGCTTTGCCATTTAGAAGCAGGTATATGAACTTGGATAGACCATGTGGCCTAATTCCCAAGGCCTAAGTCCTCTTTTATAATGTGGAAATAATAATATCTGCTTAGCAATATTATGAGAATCAAATGCAATATTGTCCATTAAGGAGTTCTGTGTCCAGTGACATACTATGCCAATGTCAGCAGATGCAATCATTGAAGATGTTGTTCCTCTGAGCCACAAAGGACTACCCGGAGAAATACAGGATGGAGGTGGTTAGACAGGCTTAAAGCCTGTGTCTAGAAGACTTCTCCAAAGCAATGGTGAGCATGACTCCACAAGCAATTGTCTCAAAGTTGGCAGAAGAATTCAAAAGAAGTTTAGAGGTGGGGGAGAAAGAAAGTGGGGTGTCACAAAGATCCATTGCATGAGATGACTCCAAATTTTACTCAATTCTTGCAGTGTGCTGAGGGCATAGGTGCCCACCCAAAACTTTGTATGTGGCCTGGAGTAGCCTGGATTTTCTCTTGGAACCTGCTATTCTTATATGTAGAATATATGTACAATGAAGAACCATTTTACATAGACTCAGTTGTCTCTCTACCCTTCCAGCTGTAAAGCTATACCATACCAATGCCTTTCAGGCATTAGCAATTGAGGGAGATGCAGGTTGTCTCCTGAACTCAATCTTTCTTAGGTCTCAGGCCATTGTCTTTTTTACTTGGTTACATATTTCTTTGATTTTTCACCTTGCTCTCTTCTTACCTCCTTTGTATATGTTTTGCTCTTATTTCCCTGTTTGCTCTAGAATATTACATTCCATGAAGGATGTGCAATTCACCTATCTTGTTGACTGTCATCTCTCACAACCAGCCTGGGAGGTGACCAGCCAATACCTGTTAAATGAAAGAGTGGACTGGACGTTAGATCTGTTATATCTGTTATATTCTACAGATCACAAGTCACACCAGCTTTATGTTCTTTAAATAAATAATGATCGAATACATTAAATGACCCAAGTATGAGTAATGAAGTTAGAGATAACATAAACTTTCTGCCTGTGATATTTTATTTTCTTTCAAAATCAATCTTTGGTTAAAGTTAATAATGAAGAGGGCAAAGATCTGAACCATACAGTTTTTAGACACCTTTAATGCAAGGATGTTGCAGACTTTTAGATATGAGAATGGTGGATTATAGCTTAAAGAGCAGATAGCTTATTGAAAATTTAAGGTAATCAGCAATACTTTTCGAACAATTACCTCAACTGTTAGCTACCACTTACCCTGAAACTCTTCTTTCTCTTCATCTCACAGATTGTCAGTATCATCTAAAGTAAAAGATGGTAATGCATTCACAGTGTGAATGTGGTGAATTCTACTTCTTTGATGGTGGTAAATTGCCTGAGATGATCTCCTCTTCCTTCCACCTCTCTCTCCCAAATCAGCCATGGGATGTTGACTGGCATTAAAATAAGAACAACAACAGGGCAGGCAACAAAGGGGATAAGGAAGAGAAGGGAGGGTATGTATAACTCAGACTAGGTCTGCTCCCACTATATGATTTGCAGCAGATGTTATCTGTTCAACTCAAACAGCTGATCCTTGATTTAAAGATAATTTGTTTATTATTATACTAAATGGAGCCCATAAATCTCTATTATAGGCTGATGAGAACGGAAGAAAATAGTGTATGATGAAAGCACCAAACAGAACACATTTTTCCTAGCTTCATTCTCTCCTATAATCTCAAACACTGATAAGCAATATTGACATTTTCAAAGAGGCTTATAAGCAGTAAGCAATTCGAGTTTTATATAGTAAATGTGTCTTGAGTTACATTTTCAAGTGGAAGTTGGGCTTAGCTTTGGTAATCTACCAAGCAGTATGTTTTGGTGCTGGCTGAGTCTTGTCCTGAAAGTCTGTGCTCTTTCAAGCTTCTTGTGTACGTTCCACTCCCCTGGGTTCACGTTCTCAGGGAGAAAATTGGATGCACAAAGAATGGAGTTTGCATAAGGCCCTTGTAAGCCTGATTATGGGTATTTACACAGCTGTAATCATTATAAATAAATTACTTCATAAATTTCAACAAATGAAATCATGTCATGTTATTTTGTCTGCTTTTTCTCTTCTTTGTGCCGCCAAGTCACCAGTGTATCATTTATTTCGGCTCATTTTTGTGAAAATGAGATTTAAGGCATAGTCCAGTTACAGCATCTGAGAGCCACTGCTCTCCCACCTCAGTGTTTATCTTTTCTGTTGGAGAGAAAAAATGACAGAAAATAAAATATCTAATGCACTGATACAGGAACACATATGTAGTGTTATGTTTCTGGAGGATTTTTCTTTTCTTTTGTTAGGTATGTTAAGGTATTGTTTATATGTAATAAAATTCACATTTTATAGGGACAGTTCTTGGAGTTTTGACAAAAGTGTAGCCATATGGCCACAACTAGGATTACCATATAGAATATTTCTATCACCTCAAAGAGTCCTACACCTCCATCTTCTACTATTGTTATGTTTTCTGTCCCTGTAGTTTTTCCATTTCCAGACTGTCATATAAAGGAAATCATGCAGTGTGCAGCCTTTTGGTCTAGCTCTTCTTTTACTTAGCTTAATGTTTTTCAGATTCATCCCTGTTTATGTGTATATCAGTAGTTCATTTCTTTTTATTGTTGAGTGGTATTTCATTGCATCAATGTATCACAGTGTTGTATCCATTCCTAAGTGAGAGACATTGGGTTATTTTCAGTTTGGTGTTATGAATAAAGCTTCCTATATACATAGTTGTGCGGGTCTTTTGTGGATATGTCTTCATTATTTTTGGGTGAATACCCAGGAGTAGGATTGCTGCCTCATATAGCAAATATACGTTTAACTTTATAACAAATGGCAAACTGTTTCCAAAGTGTCGGTACCATTTTACATTCCCACCAGTAATGGATGAGGGATCCAGTTGCCTCCACCTTCTCCTTAGTAGTAGGTGTTGTTGAGTTTCATTAAAAAAAAAATTCTGATTGTTTGGTGACATCTCATTGTGTTTTTTATTTGCATTTTCCTTATGCCTGATGATGTTGAGCCATTTTATGTGCCTATTAAACATTTTTGTACCTTCTTTGGAGAAATGTCAATTTAAATTCTTTGCCATGATTCTTCAAAAAATGAAGCATAGAATTGCCATATGATGAAGCAATTTTACTCCTTTGTATATACTCAGAAAAAATTAATGCAAGATCTCAAACAAATACTAGTACATCAATGTTCATAGCAACAATATTCACAATCCACCAAGAGGTAAATTGATAAACAAAATGTGGTATTTACACACAATGGAATATTATTGAGTCTTAAAAAGGAACAAAATTGTGATATATACCACAACATGGATGAAACTTGAAAACATTAGGATAAATGAAATAAACCAGACACAGAAGGACAGATATATAATTCCACTTACATTGGGTACCTAAAAGGGGCAAATTCAGCAGGGTGTGGTGGCTCAGCACTTTGGGAGGCTCAGGTGCGTGGATCACCTGAGGTCAGGAGTATATCAGGTACCTAAAAGAGGCAAATTTGGCAGGGCACAGTGGCTTACACCTGTAATCCCAGCACTTTGGGAGGCTAAGGCAGGTGGATCACCTGAGCTCAGGAGTTCGAGACCAGCCTGGTCGACATGGTGAAACCCCATCTCTACTAAAAATACAAAAATTAGCTGGGCGTGGTGGCGGGTGCCTGTAATCCCAGCTACTCAGGAGGCTGAGGTGAGAGAATCTCTTGAACCCGGGAGTCGGAGGTTGCAGTGAGCGGAGATCACGGCATTGCACCCCAGCCTGGGCAACAAGAGTGAAACTCTGTCTCAAAAAAAAAAAAAAGAAAAGAAAAGAAGAAGAGGCAAATTAATAGAGATAGAAAGTACAGTAAAAGTTACCAGAGGCTAGGGAGAGAGGGGACCACAAATTAATTGTATAACAGGCACAGAATTTCTGTTTGGGATGACGAAAACATTCTGAAAATGGATAGTGGGGAGAATTATTTAACAGTGTGAATGAACTTTTGGCCACTTAATTGTACACTTAAAAATAGTTAAAATAATAACTTTTATGTATATTTTACCACCATAAAATAAACCTTCTCTTCACTTTATATTTTTGTCTTTTTGAGTTTTAGAAGTTTTTTTTTTATATTCCAGAGACTAGAGCCTTATCAAATATATGATTTGCAAATATTTGCTCTCATTCTGTGAGTGTCCTTTGATGCAAAAAGGTTTTTACTTTATAATGAAGTCTAATGTATTTATTTTTTTCTTTGGTTGCTTGTGCATTGGATATCATATCTGTAAAACCATTGCCTAATTCAAGGTCGTTATGACGTACGTTTGTTTTCTTCTAAGAGTTTTATAGTTTTAGTTCTTGCTTTTAGGTTTTTGATCCATTTTGAGTTGATTTTTCCATGTTGAGATAGGAATCCAAATTTGTGTTTTGTGTGTGGCTAGCCAGCCGTCCTAGCACCATTTGTTGAAAGGGCTAAGCTTTCCCTGTTGAATTTTCATGGCACAATTTGATAGGAAAAGAATTGATATTTTCAATCAATTGGCAATAAATGCATACTGTTATTTCTGGACTCTCAATTTTATTCCATTTATCTATATGTTTTCCCTTATGCTAGCTTCACACAGTCCTTGTTACTGTAAATTTGTAATCTGTTTTGAAACTAGAAAAAGTAAATCCCTCCATTTTATGTTTTCTGGATTGGTTTGGCTAGTCTGAGTGCCTTCCATTTATACATGACTTTTAGTATCAGCTTGCCAGTTTCTGTAAAATGATGACTGGAATTTAGATATAGATTGATTAAATCTGCAGATCAATATGGGGATTATTGCAATCTTAACGATATTAGGTCTTCCAATTTGTGAATATGGAATATTGTTTCATTTATTTAGGCCTTCTTTTATTTCTTTCAGTGATATTTTATAGTTTCTGGTGTACAAATCATGTACTTAATGGGTTAAATTTATCATAAGTATTTTACTCTTTGTGATAGTATTTTAAATGGATTAATTCTCTAAATCTCATTTTGGAATGGTCTTTGTTCATGTATAGAAATACAACTGATTTGGTACATTGATCTTGATCTTGTATCTTGCAAACTTGCTAAATTTTATAAGCTCTAATAGTGTATTTGTGCCAGATTTATGGTTTTTGATACGTAAGATATGTAAGATATGTTTCATTCCATTCACTTGTTTCTTTCCATTTCCCTTGTTTCTTGTTTCTTTCTTTCCTTTTATTTCTTTTACTAGCCTATTTCCCAGGATACTACCTCCAGTACAATGTTGAATAGAAGTGGTGAAAAAAGGAGAAAGATTCTTAGGAGGTAAACTTTCAGTATTTCACTGTTAAGTATGTATTTTTTATAGATGTATGCGTTTTTCATAGATGTCCTCTATCAGGTTGAGGAAGTTCTCCTCTGTTCCTAGTATATTGAGTGTTTTTATCAGAAACTTGTATTTTGTCAAATGCTTCTTTTGTGTTTGTTTTGGATTTTTGTATCCTTGATTCTATTACTATGATTAATTATAATGTTTGTTTTGTGAGCCAATCTTGCATTCCTGACATAAATCCCAATGGGTCATGGTGTATATATATTTAAATATGCTTCTGGGTTTAGTTTGCAATATTTTGTTGAGGATTTTTTTTTCTAATTTTTAAAGAGGGAACATTAGTTAGAAATTTAGGGGGAAATTTAGGTTGTTGATTGGAGATCATTATTTTTAATGTAGGTTCTTAAAAGTATAAATTTTTCTTTGAACACTGTTTGCAGTGCATCTCATAAGTTGTGGTATATTGTGTTTTCATTTTCATCTGTCTCAAAGTATTTCCCAATTTCCCATAAAATTTTGTTGACATATTGTTTATTTAGAAATGCATTTTGTAATTTACACATAATTTTGAATTTCCGAAATTTCCTTCTGTTCTTGGTTTCTAATTTCCTTCTACTGTGAAATGCTTTGTAAGATTTCAGTCATTTTAAATTTATTGAGACCATTTATAGCCTACCATCTGTTAAAGAATGTTTCATCAGCATTTCTGATAGAGAAGAATATTTATTCCACTGCTGTTGGGTTGAGTACTGCTTAGGTGTCTGTTAGGTCTAGTTGGTTTATAGTTTATGTTTCAATCTTCTGTTGTCTTGCTGATCTTTTGTCTAGTTTTTCTATCCATCATTGAAAGTGAGATTGAAATATCCAAAATTTATTGCTGAATTTTCTATTATTCCTTAAATTCTTTCAACTTTTACTTAATGTGTTTTGAGACTCTGTTGCTATTTGCATACGTGTTTATAATTAGTATATCTTCTTCAACTATTGACCTTTTATAATTATACAATTTCTTTGTCTCTAGTAACAATTTTTTGTTCTAAAATCTATTTTGTCCTATGTTAATAGAACCAATCTAGCTCCCTTTTGGAATCTGTTTGCGTAATATATCTTTCCCAATACTTTTACCTTCAACCCACTTATGCCTTTGAATTTCAAGGTTGTCTCTCATAGACAGCATACTAGTTTATTGTTTTATTTTTAAGTCAATTCCACCAAACTCTATCTTTTAATTGGAGATCATAGTGGGTTGATCCGTTGTCCCCTCACAAGTGATCAAACCACTATGACTATATATGTGTGTGTATATATATATATATATATATATATATATATATATATATATATATATATGTCTACCTTATACCTGTGGGTGTGAACTTGTTTGGAAAAGGGGTCTTTGAAAATGTAATCAAGTTAACATCTTAAGATGAGATGAATTCTGGGTATGGGGGAGGGAGGCTTAAATCCACTGACTGGTGTCCTATTTTGTGTCATGTTTATTCTTTATTCTATTTTCATGGTTAATTACAATGATTGTTGTAATTAATCATATTACATGTAAGTAAAGAGAAAGAGAAAAATTTGACACACAGAAGGGAAAACGATGTGAAGGCAGAGGTTGAAGTTAGGCAATTCTCTGCGTATTCCTTGGTAAGGAATAACAAGGATTGCTGGCAACTACTAGACATTAGGAGAGAAGCTGTGGAATAGCTTCTCCTTCGGAGCCTCCAGGAGGAACCAACTCTGCTGACACCCTGATCTCAGATTACTGGCCTCCAGAACTGTGAGAAAATGAATTCTTGATGTTTTAAATGACCCAGTTTGTGGTATTTTGTTACAGCAGCCTTAGGAAACTGATAGAGACAGAATCCTTTTATACATAACGTAATTACTGATAGGGTAACATTTGCAACTGACATTTTGCTATTTGTTTGTATATGTCTTATGTCTAGTTTTCCTTCCTTCATTAATTATTGGCTTCTTTTTGTGTTAAATGGACATTTTCTAGTGTGCCATTTTAATTACTTTGCTATTTCCTTAACTGTATAACTTTGTGGATTTTATTTTTAATAATTGCCCTGAGATTACTATTAACCACTTAATTTATGACAATTTACCTGGATTAATTTTATAAGCGAATTTAATTTAGAGCATTAAAAAACTTTTCTCCTGTTTAGCTGTTTTCCTCTGCTTTATGTTGTTATTGTTACAAATTCTATGTTTATACAATATAAAGAAGATTTATAATTTCATATAACTTCATCAATCTATAATTACTGCTTTATTTTACAATCATATCAGAGAAAAATGGGAGTTACACACAGGAGATGCATTTATACTGTCATTTATATTTACCTACATATTTACCTTTACCAGTGTTTTTTATTTCTTTGTGTAGATTTTAATTTCTGTCTAGTGTCCTTTCATTTCAGCCTGAAGAACTCCCTTAAGTATTTATTATAGGGTGGGACTGTCAATAACAAGCTCACTCTGTTTTCATGTGAGAATATCTTAATTTTCCCTGCCTTTTTGATGGATTTTTTAATACATAAAGTTATTTTATTATTATTATTATTATTAATGCATTTGTTTGTTATGTAATTGTCCACTTGTTCTAAAATAATTTCAACTTTTATTTTAGATACAGTGGGTACATGTGCAGGTTTGTTACATGGGGATATTAAATGATGCTAAGGTTTGGATTGTGGATTCTGTCATCCTGCTATTGAGCATAGTACCTGATATGTAGCTTTAATCTACCCCCCTCTACCCTCTAGTATTTACAATGTCTATTGTTCTGGTAGTTATGTCCATGAGCGCTCAATGCTTAGCTCCCACTTATAAGTGAGACATGTAGTATTTGGTTTTGTGTTTCTGCATTAATTTGGTTAGGATTATGACTTCTGGCTCCATTTATATTGCTGCAAAGGATCTGATTTTATTCGTTTTTATGGTTGCATAGTATTGCATGGTGTATATGTTCACATATACAAACTACACATTTCCTTTATACAATCTACCATTGATGGGCAACTGGGTTGATTCCATGTCTTTGCTATTGTGAATAGTGCACTGATGAACATACAAGTGCATGTTTCTTTTTGGTAGAATGATTTATTTTCTTTTAGGTATATACCCAGAAATGGTATTACTGGGTCAAATGGTAGCTCTGTTTTAAGTTCATTGGGAAATCTCCAGACTGCTTTCCACAGTGACTGGATTAATTTACATTTCCACCAACAGTGTATAAGCATTACTTTTTCTCTGCAGTCTCGCCAGCATCTGTTGTTCTTTTAACTTTTTAATAATAGTCATTCTGACTGATTTGCATTTCTCTGACGATCGATTTATGAGCATTTTTTCATATGTTTGTTGGTCACTTGTATGTTTTCTTTTGAGAATTGTCTGTTCATGTCCTTTGCTTATTTTTTAATGGAGCTATTTGCTTTTTGCTTGTTGATTTATGTTCCCTATAGATTCTGGATATTAGGCCTTTGTTGGATGTATAGGTTGCAAATATCTACCCTATTCTGTAGGTTGTATGTTCACTCTGTTGATAGTTTCTTTTGCTTTGCAGAAATTCTTTAGAATAATTAGGTTTCACTTGTCTATTTTTGTTTTTGTTGCAATTACTTTTGCGGCTTTAGCCAAAAATTGTTTGCCATGGCCAGTACTAAGAAAATAATATTTCCTAGGTTGTCTACCAGGATTTTTAGAGTTCAAGGTCTTACATTTAAATCTTTAACCTATTTTGAGTTAATTTTTGTATATAGTGAAAATATGGCATATGTTTTTTGTAATTTTTGTAGGTGTACTGCTTTAATCTTCTGAATATGGCTGGCCCATTATCCTAGCACCATTTGTTGAATAGGAAGTCCATTCCCCATTGCTTGTTTTTGTCAGCCTTGTTGAGGGACAGATGGTTCTAGGCGTGTGGCTTTATTTCTGGGTTTTCTATTTTGTTTTATTGGTCCACGTGTCTTTTTTTTTTTCCAATACTGAACTGTTTTGATTACTGTGTCTTTATAGTATAGTTTGAAGTTGCATAGTAAGATGTCTCTGGATTTGTCCTTTTGGCTTAAGATTTCTTTGGCTATTCAGGCTCTTTTTTGGTTCCATATAAATTGTAGAATATGCTATTTTTCTAATTCTAATTTTCCTAATTCTGTGAAGAATGACATTGGTAGCTTGATAAGAATGGCATTGAATCTGTAAATTGTTTTGGGCAGTATGGCCATTTTTTGCAATATTAATTCTTCTAATCCATGAGCATGGAATATTTTATTTATTTATTTGTGTCATCTCTAATTTATTTCAGCAGCATTTTGTAATTCTCCTTGTAGATTTTGTAATTCTCCTTATAGAATCTTTCATCTCCTTCGTTAGCTGTATTCTTGCATACTTTATTTTCTTTGTGGTTATTGCAGGTGGCCTTGTCTTCTTGATTTCACTCTCAGCCTGGATGATGGTGCATAGAAATGCTACGGATTTTTGTACGTTTATATTGTATCCTGAAACTTTATTAAAGTTGCTTATCAATTCTAGGAGTCTTTTGGCAGAATATTTAGGATTTTACAGGTAGAGAGTCATATCAGCAACAAAGATAGTTTGACTTTTTTCCTATTTGGATAGTTTTTTTCCCTCTTGCCTGATTGCTCTGGCTAGGACTTCCAGTACTATGTTGAATAGGAGTGGTTAGAGTGGGCATCTTTGTCTCAGTTATAAATGGGGAATGGTTTGAGCTTTTGCCTATTCAGTGTGATGTTGGCTGTGGATTTATCATAGATGGCTTTTATTATTTTGAGATATGTTCTTTCAACGCCTAGTCTGTTGAGGGATTTTATCATGAAGAAACATTGGATTTTATCAAAAGCTTTTTCTATGTCTACTGACGTGATTATATGGTTTTAGCTTTTGATTCTATTTAGTGCTAAACTCTTTCATCAAGAAGCTAGAAAGGTCTCCAATTAACAATCTAATTTTACACCTAAAGGAACTAGAAGAAAAACAACAAGCCAAACCAAAGCTAGCAGAAGAAAAGAACTAACTAAAATTAGAGAACAACTTAATGAAATTGAGATGCAAAAATCTATACAGAAAAATCAATGAAACCAAGAATAGGCTCTTTGAAAAAATAAGATTGATAGAACCCCTAGCTAGATTAACAAAGAAAATACAAGAGAAGATCCAAATAAGCACAATCTGAAAGAACAAAGGTGATATTAAAACTGATCCCACAGAAATATAAACAATTCTCAAGAACTACTATGAGCAACTCTGTGGACACAAAATAAAAAATTTAGAGGAAATAGATACATTCCTGGAAGTATACAATCCTAAGATTGAATCAGGAAGAGACTGAAACCCTGAATAGACCAATATAAACTTCTGAAATGGAATCAGCAATAAAGAATCTGCCATCCCAAAACAGCCCTGGACCAGAAGGATTCACAGCCAAATTCTACCAGACATAAAATGAAGAACTGACACTGACTCTACTGAAATTATTCTGAAAAATCAAGGAATATGGGGTCTTCCCTGACTCATTCTGTAAATCCAGCATCAGTCTGATAACAAAATATGGCAGAGACACAGCAAAAAAAGAAAACTCTAGACCAATATCCCTCATTAACATAAACACAAAAATCCTTTAAGAAAAAAGCTACCAAATTGAATCCAGCAGTACATCAAAAAGCTAATACATCTCAATCAATCAGACTTCATTGCTGGGATACAAGGCTGGTTAAACATATGCAAATTAATAAATGTGATTCACCATATATGGAATTATTGATTAACAATTTTTTTCACTTTTTGAAGATATCATCTGAGTGACTTCTGGCCTCCAGGGTTTCTAATGAGAAATCACCTGTTAATTTTTTTTTCTTTTTTTTTTTTTTTGAGACGGAGTCTCACTCTGTTGCCTAGGCTGGAGTGCAGTGGCATGATCTCGGCTCACTGACTCACTGCAACCTCCTCCTCCTGGGGTTCAAGTGATCCTCCTGCCTCAGCCTCCCAAGTAGCCGAGATTACAGGCGTGTGCCACCACACCCTGCTGATTTTTGCACTTTTTAGCAGAGACAGGATTTCATCATGTTGGTCAGGCTGGTCTTGAGCTTCTGACCTCAAGTGATCCACCTGCCTCAGCCTCCCAAAGTGCTGGGATTACAGGCTTGAGCCAGGTGCCTGGCCTCAGCTGTTGATTTTATTGAGGATCCTTTGTACATGAAGAATTGTTTCCCTGTTTCTTTTTAGCTTCTTTCAAGATTCTTGTTGTCTTTGGCTTTTGGGATAGTTGCTTATGATGTGTATAGGTGTGGATTTCTGAGTTTATTCTATTTGTAGTTCATTGAGTTTTGTGTATGTTTTGGTTAATGTCTTTCATTAAAATTAGGAAGTGTATGGCCATTATTCCCTTTAGCCTGTTGATGTAATGGATTACATTTACTGATGTTTGAATGTTGAATAGTCTTGCATACCTGGGATAAATCCCACTGGGTCAGGATGTATAGATCTTTTCATACATCGTTGGATTGAATTTACTAATATTTTGTTGATGATTTTTGCATTTATGTTCAGCAGAGACATTTATCTGCAGTTTTATTTTTTATTTTTTGTGATATATTTATCCAATTTTGGTATTTGGGTAATAATGGCCTCATAGAATGAGTTAGGAAGTATTTCCTCTTCTTTTATATTCTTGAGGAGATTATAAAGAATTTAAATGATTTCTTTATTAAATGTTGGGTAGAATTTGCTGATGAACCCAAGTGGTCCTGATGCATTCTATTTTGGAAGGTTATTCATTATCAATTCAATTTTTAAAATAGATACAGACCTATTCAAATTGTCTGTTTTTTCTTGAGTGACTTCTGGCAGATTGTTTCTTTCAAGAAATTGATCCATGTCATCTATGTTACTCTATTTGTGGAAATAGAGTTGTTCGTAACATTTCTTTATTATCTTTATAATGTCCATGGGACCTGTAGTGATGGCCCTTCTTTCATTTATGATATTAGTAATTTGTATATATTTTTTCTTAGCCATCTAGAGTGTTATTAATTTTATTGATTTTTTTCAAAGAACTAGCTTTTGATTTTGTTGATGTTTCTTCATTGACTTCCTGTTTTCAATTTCACCAATGTCTGCTCTCTTATAATTTCTTTTCTTCCGCTTACTTTGAAATTAAATTTATTCTTCTTTTTCTAATTTCTTAAAATGGAAGTTTAGACTATTCACTTTCGATCATTATTCTTTTCTAATATAGGCATTCAATGTTATAAATTTCCCTTTGATCACTGCTTACACTGCATTCCTTAAATTTTGATAAGTTGTTTCCAGACTGGAAACTGGAGCCCCTTATTTCTTCTTTTTTTTTTTTTTTTGCCCCCGCCTTTTTTTCTGTCTCTGGGACTCCCAATATGGTTATGTCAATATGCTCAACAGTTTTCACAAGTCTGTGAAGCTCTATTCATTTTTCTTCATTTTTTTCCCTTTAGTAATGGACTGAATAATTTCTATTAACCTATGTTTAATTATATTTGTTTTTTCTTTTGCCTGCTCAACTCTTCTATTGAGCTTTTCTAGTAAATTTTTTTGGCCACCTTTTTTTTTTTTTAAATTTAAGTTCTAGGGTACATGTGCACAATGTGCAGGTTTGTTACATATGTATACATGTGTCATGTTGGTGTGCTGCACCCATTAACTCATCATTTACATTAGGTATATCTCCTAATGCTATACCTCCCCCCTCCCCCCACCCCATGACAGGCCTCAGTGTGTGACGTTCCCCTTCATGTGTCCAAGTGTTCTCATTGTTCAATTCCCACCTATGAGTGAGAACAGGTGGTGTTTGGTTTTTTGTCCTTGAGATAGTTTGCTGAGAATGATGGTTTCCAGCTTCATCCACGTCCCTACAAAGGACATGAACTCATCATTTTTTATGGCTGTGTAGTATTCCATGGTGTATATGTGTCACATTTTCTTAATCCAGTCTATTATTGATGGACATTTGGGTTGGTTCCAAGTATTTGCTATTGTGAATAGTGCCGCAATAAACATACGTGTGCATGTGTCTTTATAGCAGCATGATTTTTAATCCTTTGGGTATATACCCAGTAATGGGATGTCTGGGTCAAATGGTATTTCTCATTCTAGATCCTTGAGGAATTGCCACACTGTCTTCCACAATGGTTGAACTAGTTTACAGTCCCACCAACAGTGTAAAAGTGTTCCTATTTCTCCACATCCTCTCCAGCACCTGCTGTTTCCTGACTTTTTAATGATTGCCATTCTAACTGGTGTGAGATGGTATCGCACTGTGGTTTTGATTTGCATTTCTCTGATGGCCAGTGATGATGAGCATTTTTTCATGTGTCTTTTGGCTGCATTCTCTAGTAAATTTTTTATTTTGGTTAATACAGTTTTTGACTCCGGAATTTCTATTTGGCTCCTTTTATAATATTTATCTCTTTATAAAATTCTCTATTTGGTGAGTTATCATTTTCACACTTTTCTTTAGCTCTTTAGACATACTTTCCTGTAGCATTTTGAACATATTTAGAATAGCTGGTTTAAAAAATCTGTCTAGGCCGGGCACGGTGGTTCATGCCTGTAATCCTAGCACTTTGGGAGGCCGAGGCGGGTGGATCATGAGGTCAGGAGATCGAAACCATCCTGGCTAACACAGTGAAACCCTGTCTCTACTAAAAATACAAAAATACAAAAAACTAGCTGGGCGTGGTGGCGGGCGCCTGTAGTCCCAGCTACTCAGGAGGCTGAGACAGGAGAATGACGGTGAACCCAGGAGGCGGAGCTTCCAGTGAGCCGAGATTGCACCACTGCACTCCAGCCTGGGCGACAGAGTGAGACTCCGTCTAAAAAAAAAAAAAAAAATCTGTCTAATAAGTCCAACTTCTAGGCTTCCCTAGGGAGTTTCCATTGATTGCTCATTTTTTCTAAGTGAGGGCTATAATTTCTTCTTTCTTTGCTTACCCTATTTGTTGTTGTTCTTGTTGGACAAGGACACTGTAAATAGCATGCAGTAACTTGGGAAGTCAGATTCTACCCCCTCACCAGGGTTTTTTCTTGTTGCTGCTTGTTGTAGTTATTTGTTTCATGATTTTTCTGAACAAATTCTGTAAAGTCTGTATTCTTTCAGTGTGTCCACTGAAGTGTCACTCGGTTAGCTTTGTGGATAGCTCATATTTGAACAGAGATTTCCTCAAATGTCTGGAACCAATAAATCTACTCTTTGCCTACGGGCTCTGTGTGTGTGTGTGTGTGTGTGTGTGTGTGTGTGTGTGTGTGTGTTGGAACATGGCTTCAACTCTCACCCAGGTAACTGACAACTCTGCCTTAACTTTCACTTTCTGCTTGTGCAAAGCCTCAAGGTCAGCCAGGAGTAAAAGCTAAGGGCCATCTCAAGTCTTTCCTGAGTATGCATATAACCGTATGCATGTATGTGGCCTTCTAGCTTCCCAGGAATATGTTAGAGGTTTTGAAAGTCTCTTTGGATATCTTATTTTTCAGCTGTTCTTTTTATGCTTTTTGGATAGAATATTGTTTGCCCAAATTGTTATCTATCCTTTCAGGCAGCCATGACATTCAAACCCTTGCTTTTTATTGTTTTTGACAAATGTTACCAAGGAGAGGCTTTCTGCACTGGGTGAGCTCCAATTTAGGTCAAATACAACCAAGTCTTCCAGGGACCCACCGATGAGGTAAAAAAAAAAAAATGACAATTTGGGGGGAATTAAGCTTTGAAAAATCTCCAGTTCTATTCTGTTCCCTCCAGACTGGAAATGCGGTCTTTTATTTTCAAGGCTACTGTTAAGTTGGAAAGTGAGGGATAGGACTAGGGCAAATTAAAATGCCACAAAGCTTTGTATTCTTCCTGAGATTTCACTATATTCCCTGAACAAACATTCTCCATGTTCCTGAAATCCATTAAAATCCATCTAAAAAAGTTGATTCTGATCATTTTTGTGAGTTTTTCATTGCCTTTAAAAGGGAATGCTTTTTCGTAGGATTTTACTTTACCATGTTTGCTTACATCTAAAATGTGTGTGTGTGCATGTTCTTATATGCTAGTGCCCAAATAGATGTAATGAGCGCTATATCCCTTTTAAAAGTGATATAGAGGTTAAGATTTGCTTTTAATTTGAGTAAAATATGTAGTAGGTGATGTATAAGAAGACCCACTTTACTAACTGGTCAGATGTAGGATTGGAAAATCTGTAAGGACAATAATTTCATGTTATTTTAAGGGTTCCTGGACAAATCCTATTGTAGGACTTGGGCCACCTCAAAGAATTAATGTTTTCTAATAATTACTTTTTTCTTTGGTCACTAGACTCTCCTCTAAATTAATTAAAACATGAAGGCCTTAAAAAAAACACCTGACAATTTCAACTGTATTATGATGCAACGGTTTTAATTTAGGCACAAATGAAAAGTTGAAAACTAAGAGTGTGATTTTTATTTCATTGTTTTATTTTAGAAGGTCAAAGGATTGTTTCTGCCTTGGAAGAACAGTATTTGAATGCTTAACCTCTCTCAATAAGTCTCAGAATACACTGGGTTGGGCCAGTAAAGAAAGATGGTCCAACAATCATTTATTTAAGCAGGACAAGGACCTGATCTTACTGTCACTACAACTGCTGAGACCCTTTGGCTGAAATTCTTTTGTACATCTAAATACCGAAGAAGAACTCAGTATTATTCAGGGCTCATTCTCTGCATCTTCTTACCTCCTTCTCTGTGCCTTCTTTTCTCTTTCTCCATTCCATACTTGGTTCATTGTAGTGAGAAACTGTAGCTTTTCATTTCAGTCTTTGGTTAGGGGCCCTTCTTTTTTCCATACTGAATCCAGAGGACATGGGATGTGGCATGGAATCTTGTTTTTAATCATAGCTGTAAGTATACATTTTTTTTTGTGCACC
The DNA here is from genome assembly GCF_000001405.40 of Homo sapiens. Lineage (NCBI taxonomy): Eukaryota > Metazoa > Chordata > Mammalia > Primates > Hominidae > Homo > Homo sapiens. Next base: position 12,194,666 of record NC_000020.11, read on the forward strand.
ATCAATTTGGAGAGGGAAAAAGACTCCACTCTTGGCTTCATCTATGTAACTAGAAGTTTATTCCTAAATCAAACAGTCTTAGCAAGGATGACTTATTTCATAATATTCAGCAAACATTATGTAAAATCATGCAGCATATTGGAGGCCTCACTCTAGAAAGAAGTGGAGCTAAGCATAAAGTATGTGTGCTAATAGCTTTGTGACTGACTTGGCCCACATTTATGAAACGATGGTTCTTCATATCTGGTCTATCAATTGACTGGGTTTACACTCTGATTAACCGAGACGTCGATAAATTATATTCATCTTGACTCCAGATGGCAAATGTGCTTATGAATTTGGGTACTTGACTACATTGCTCTTCTAGTAAAGTTGCATACAGTTGGTAAAGGGATAATGCTGGGTTGCATATGTGAGAGAAATACAAAATATCTGGAATATGAAGAATTTATTTGGAGTGTAGGTTCTTTGCATGTCATTGCTCATGGCCCAGTCAGAAGACACTATGGCCATGATATATTTGGTCTGGCAATTGTTCTCACCTAAAATAACTACATCAGACCAATGTATAGTTTATATGCATTATTGTTTCATTCTTGGTTGCTTACATTGCAAAAAGTTCTGAAGTAGGCCAGATCATATCTGTATAGAAGACCTAATTTGATTGGGCAGAGCACATCTCATTAATTCACTTGTTTATTTAACAAATATTTATTAAAAGCTTACTATGGGCCAACAACTCTGCCTGATGCTGAAAGATAACACCAAGGATAATGCATAGTGACTAAACAAAGCTTTGCCTGGTGTTTGGATCAGAAGCTGACAGAGGAACCATCGATACAAATTTGGAACAAGCAGCTGCTGGAGACAAATGAGCCTTACTACTTTCTTTTTCACCAGAACTGCTACATAGAGCAGCTCTGTCTAATATGGGAGCCACTAGCCACAGGGAGCTCTTTAAATTTAAATTTTAAAATTAATTAGCGTTAAGTAAAATGTAAATATTTGCAGTCATGCTAGCCTCATTTCAGGTGCTCAATCAGCACATATGTCTAGTGACTACTGTGTTGTGTAGCACACGTATAGGATATCTCTACTATCACAGAAAGTTCTATTCTATTTAGCAGCCCTGACACAGAAGTTGGAAGGAAAAAAAAAAGCCTGGTAACTTCATTTACAACTTTATGATTAATATCAGGCAGAATTTATGAGTTAACACTATTTCCTACAATAGATACATTTATGAGGACAAGAAATTCTCTAAAATGTGTTTTACCAGCTTTGAAGTTAACACAAAAAGACAGACTGTAGTTAATTTAAAAAGTTGTTACCTCGAGTGTCCTCATTTTCCTTATAGTGAATATTAGAAAAGATAGAAAGCTAATGTAAAAACTAATAATGGTTGCACTCATTTCTAACTCTTCACGAAATTCATTCTCCTCTTTCTTCTTTCAATACATTGCAATAATACAATGTACTTAGCTGACCAACTACCCTCCCTTACGGCTGGGTATGGTGACTTGGTTCTCACCAATGTGAATTGAAGTAACATCAGTTCTGGACAGAACCTTTAACTGGCTGACGTGCTGCCTTCATATCTTTTTTTCAGAAAAACTTTGCTGCAAGTCAGCTTTTGTCTCATGACTTCCATCATGCAGCAAAGAAGACCACCCTGTGTATACCATGGTGGAAAAACATGAGAAGTTTGAGTCTCCAAGACTGTGTGGGGTCAAGAGGCCCTCTAACCTGAAACTGCAACTGATATATACAAGAGAAACACATTTGCACCTTGTTTGGTCCATTGCATTTGATGGTTTGTTTGTAAATGCAGCTAATATTACCCTTATTTACATAAGAGCAGATAGAAACTTAATTTTGCTTGAGAATAACTTTTCAATCTTAAATGTTAGAGACAAGGTTTTTTGTTTTGCTCCCTCAATTATAAATATTCTGCATCTTTTGTAATTTATTCAAAAAATAAATTTATTATTTCAAAAAAAATTTTTTAGCACTTCTTGAATAAACAGTACTTTTATTCTTAATGAGATTGCTTTCTATATCTGTAAAGCCCTTATCTTTGGTTTTATAAGAAGCAATGTCTGAGTTGTGGATTCTCTTGCATTTCTTGAGTGGGTACTCTCAAGAACCTGTGAAGTGGTGAGGGAAGCTGGATATGGAAGAGAAAAGAGCCAAGAAAAGATGTGATTCGGCTGAAAACAAACCTCAGTCTGATTGCACAGGATGCTCTAGGTAGAAATCTCACTGCAGAGTGGTTCGTCCCTGAGGCAGCAGCAGTTTTTTGAGCCTTAATGTATATCAGTCATTGGCTAGTGGGAACTCCAAGACATTTGTCAGAGGATGGGCTCTTACTGGATGAAGGCAATCCTCTGTGGAAGAGGGCCGCTGAGAGCTGAGAGCAGACAACAGGACCGCACTGGGGAATAAGTACATCAGCCCAGTGAGAGCCTCTGGGCATTGCACCAGCATTCATTACAGCTCCTTTTCCTTAAATATGTGAATTCATGACCTGTGGTTTCCCATTAGACAAGGCTGATGGGAATATTCTCTTCCCCAAGGGGAATGTATAGTTTTCATGACTTCAAATATGGTCTCTAATTTTGCAGAACAAATTCTTTCATGGGAAGACACACCGTCAGAAAGTTAAGTTTTGACACAAGTACAAAACCTCGGACAGTGTCTTTGAATAATAAAGAGAAGAAAGAACAACTCTTCCTGGGGATGCCTGTCCTAGTGTAAGCAGGTTACACGAGAAGACAATTGTGTTTGATGGTACAAGAACCTGAATTCTGGAACCAGATAGTCTCTGCTTGAATTGAGATTCTGTCACCAACATGCTATGTGACCGTGAGCAAATAATTTGACTTCCTGTGCCTCAGTTTCTTCCTCTAAAATGTAGATAATGATGAATAATAATAGCTATTGGTTGTTGAGTATAATAAATAATTCAGTGTATACAAAGGTGTTTGCACAGTGCTTGGAAACACAGGTAAAGCCATGTAAGGATGGCTCTTGTAATAGGAAAGCTAGGCCTTGAAATGAGAGGTGACAGGTGCCAGGCACAGGATAGGAGAGGACAATGGTTAAAGAAGTCCGTGTTCTCTGGAGGCAGATATTCTAGAATTAAATCTCTGCTCTTGACCTTGAGCAAATTACTTAAATTCTTTTTGCTTGTTTCCTCACCTTTAAGCTTGGAATAATGATAGCACTTTTCATATAGAAACATAGTGAAAATTAAGTAAAATAATCATTGTCAAATTCTTACAATAGTACCTCATACATAATACACTTTCAATAAATACTCTTGTTCTTGTTATGTAATTATTATTCCATGAGGGAAGGCAGGGAACTTTTTCAGCGAAAGGAGAAAACTTCATTGGGACAGGTTCATTGCTTGTACACAGCAGTTTTATAAGATGAGTATGAGATTGTAAGATAAGTAGAAGCCGAGCTGGCAAATCCCTACTGTGCAAAGCTAAGGTGCTTTGACTTGGTTCTCTGTAGGCACTCTGAATTCATTGAACATCAAATACATTTTCCCAAGTCTCTTTCAGAGGAAAGAAGTGGTACTTGTTATCTAATACTGCATAACAAATTATCAACTTAGTGTCTAAAGACAACACCTATTAATTTAGCTCATGATGTGTAGGCTGAAAATTTGGGCTGCAATCAGCTGAGAGACTCTTCAGGTCTCAGATTGTCTCCTTCTTGACTCTGTGTTAATTTTATGCTTAGATGGGTAGCTCTGCCTGAAGGTTTTGGGTGGGTACTGGTTTGGAGCAGCTTGGTTCTCCTCATGTGGTCTCTCATCCTCTGGCAGGCAAACCCAAGCTTGTTCTTTTTGCAGAGGCAGTGTCCCAATAAAGAGCACACAATGGCTCTCAAGGCCTAGGCTCAGAACTGCACAGCATCACTTGGAGGCATTTTATTGGTTAAAGCAAATCACAAGCTCTAGCCCAGAGTCAGAGTGGGTGGGAATTTTAATACAAAATTACAGGGGAAAGAACATGGATACAGAACAGCCATTAATTCAGACATCAGTGAAAACAATCTAACAAATTCTCCAAGGATCACTTCTTTAATTCATGAGAATGGGCAGAGGAAGCAAGTACAGCATTGCTCCTCCCTTGAAAGTGGTCAACTTTTGTAAGGTCCTAGTAAGGTCACTGGTAGGGAAGGGAAGTGAGGAAAGACCAACTTGTGGAAGGTCCTGGGCAGGAATGGTTAATCTAAAGTGGTGGGCCACCTTGGCCTTGCTATTTCTCCAACCTTCTCTTCTGTGCATTTCATAGATTGGCAGTTGGCACCAGCAAGAGATCTGGTTGGGCAGAAACCTTCATCCTGGAGGATGCAAGGCCTCACAATTTCACACATGATTTAAAAAGAGGCATTCAGTACCAGGATAATTCATTATGAAAAAGAAAGGAAGATTTTAATATATAAAAGCAGAACTTTTAGAAAAAAAAAATTTAGACTATTCTCTTCCATCTGTATCTCTTTATTCAGAAAGGTAGAGAATGAATAAATTTCATAAAAGACTAAAGGACTAAAGAATCAGATAATATTGGCTATATGTCATTGGTTGATAAAGAAGAGTACAAAGTAAATATTTGAACTCTACACTGTCATACATGTTTAATATAATTTATAAAAGCTAATTTTCATGTAACCACTTAAAGTTTGTATAGGGAATATATATTTTATTGAGGACCATTCACCTGTAAGGCAAGAATCAATTGGTGAGCATAGGTTAATATAAAGATCAATGGCTATGTTATGCTGATATTGAATTGGGAAGCCAAAACTTAGGTTTTGAATCCAAGCCTTGCCTGGGTCCCTTCAGTTACACACCTAAGCTCTTTGAACAATAATTTATTGAACTGGGCTATGACTTGGTTTGGGTTGACCCAGAAGCTGCCCTTGAGGTAAGAATTTGAGTACAAGTAGAGAAGGGAGCCCAGGAAACCCTGGCAGGGAAGGGGATTGAGGAAGCAAGGCAGCAAAGGGAGAGCAGCTGGTAGGAGATGTATTATCAGGGTTACCAATGCAGGCACCTGGAGCTTAATCCCACTGAGGAAGCCTGGGAGTACGGCAGACCAGATGCCTCAGAGATATCCTGTGTGTGAGAGTAGGGAGCTGGGGTGTTTATACACCCACTGCCATCAGTCTTTGGTTCAGGGCTGCTCCCAGGAGACGTTACTTGCCTGGAATGTCCAGCCAGCCTATGGCAGAGGAGGCTCCTGCAGCCAGCGAAAGTCTTTAGGCAAAGATATGCCAGTGATGTGCATGGAAATGGTAAATGCTGACGGAATGTGGATTGTGATTTGACAGCATCTGCTCCAGGCTAAATTCCGATTTTCAAGTGTTTTTTAAAAGTAGATACTCAAATTATTTTATAAAACATAAAACAGCATACAAGATTGATTTTTAAAAAAGGAGTTACAATATTTTTTGTGATCGTGAGTGTGTGCTTGGGTGCTCAATGCTTTCTCTTTCTCTATGGTGCTAAAAACCAGCTCAGAGGTACCTCTGAGAAATGCAAGGGCTTCTTGAAAAGTAGCTTAAAAACACCTGATTTCCATCTTTAAGAACATTTCCAGTTCTAGCTCTCTGACATTTTTGTACCAAGCTGCTTTCTGCCTTTTCCTCTTCTGTTAATACCTCTTCTGTGCCCTTTCCTCTTAAAAACAAAATCAACACAAGGTTTTTTCAAACCTCATAGCCGGGCACTGTGGCTCACGCCTGTAATCCCAGCACTTTGGGAGGCTGAGGCAGGTGAATCACCTGAGGTTGGGAGTTCAAGACCAGCCTGACTAACATGGAGAAACCCATCTCTACTTAAAATACAAAATTAGCTGGGTGTGGTGGCGCATGCCTGTAATCCCAGCTACTCAAGAGGCTGAGGCAGGAGAATTGCTTGAACCCGGGAGGCAAGAGGTTACGGTGAGCCAAGATTGTGCCATTGCACTCCAGGCTGGACAATAAGAGTGAAACTCAAAAACAAAAACAAAACAAAACAAAAAACAAAAAAACACGTCATAAAAAAATCCATTTGAATTTCAGTGGTAATGGGGGTGGTGGGTTGAAGGCTCAAAATGGGGAATACACACAACAAAATGTTACAAAACAGCTAATTGGATGACTGTTTAAAACCCACAGTGACTCTCCAGGAGAGGTAGTCATAGTAACACACCCAGGAATATCCTCCCAGTATGTGTGGCGCAAGCTGGAGAAGGAGGGTGGGTGGTGCAGAGGGCAGGGGTCTGCTGGGTGAAGGACTTACCAGTACAGATTCCGTACACAGACTGAAAAGGAACAGCCTTAACAGAAGCTGTGAATCCCCTCTACAAACACAGACGTTTATCTATATTTTAGGCAATTTACTTGTGGAATCAAAAGTTAGCCTCTTTAGAGATAACTTATATGAAAGCGTTTGAAAAAAAAAAATAACCTTTGATAAAATTCACACTATAAGGAAAAAATTAAAAAAGAGAAGACCAAATGGAAACTGTGGGTGATATCTGTGATTGTGCCTTTTGAAGCTGTTCCTTAGACATTGCTCTGGGTTTGGACTCTCATCGTGTTATATTCACATTGACTGAAACTGTATGGGAGCCCCATTAGATACTGTAGTAATAGTTATGAGTGCCTGCCTAATGCTCCTCTGTCCAGCCTGTGCACCAGCTGTGGTGAATAGTCAAAGCTAATGACTCACAGATGCTTCCTATCCAGAGGAACTGCCTCTCCAGGAAATGCCCGGAAAGCTATGCTCTTCCTAGAGCCCCAAACCAATGACTGATCCTGGGGTATAAAATCTTGGCTCCTTGCCTCAATTTGGGACATAACTGTGGTACCCTTTATCCTTACCCATGGGATCAGCCTTAAGCCAGACACCAGCTGGAACTATTTCCCTTGCTCAGCTCCTTCCTATGTTCCACCCATTTCCCTCATGTTCTTAAAGATTTTTTCTAAGACTACTCCCTCAATAAATCACTTGCAAAATATCTCCTTTTTAGGACTTGTTTCTAAAAACCCTATCCTAGACAGGCATCTTGGGAATAGCCGTGCAACAGGGTGAGTCCATCTGCTTTCAGGCCCTTGGTCTACCACTGGGGAGCTATGAGACCATGTGCAAGTGTCTTGATCTCTCAAGCGTGCGGTTACACAATGGTAAAATTCAACTAGATCATTGTTGTTATTGTTTTCATCTGTACCCGCTCCCTTGCCAGCTTCTTCCCTGTCTTCTCTTCCCTCTCTCTCTTACAAGTTTCTTTTGAGATCACTCAATCAATATGTCACTTGCAAAACCCCAAACATGAGGCTTTGTTTCTAGAGAATTTGACCAAAGACACATGCTGGTGGTTGGGGGTGGGGGGCAATGTGTTACCTGTAGCCCAATGGGAGCCACCTAAATCTATGAGTGATGGGTACCCTTCCTTCCCCACTCCATCCAGAATGAGTCCTCTTTCGTTGGATTTACTCATAAGATTTCCACAAGATTTCTGGTAAAATGAGAGCTCTTTGTTGCTAATATCTGAAATCTGTTGGACCAGATGATCTCTCAAGTAGGGTGTGGCTCACCCGTTCTAAGACGGCTTTCTCTACTACTTACAAAATAATGGTGTCCCAGATTTATTGGGATTGGAGAATAAATGGGATCAAGCAAGTACTAAAGAAAATGTGGTTGGCTGGAGGAGGCTGGGCATCACTAGGAAATTCTTCAAATTAATTCTCTAGGAGAAGGATGATTTATATCCGTCAGCTTTTCAAAGTCTGCCATTTTGGGGCTGCTTCCCTGAAAAACTCAGGCTTTTCATGCCAGAGTAGATAATATTGTTGTCCTGCCTAGATTTCCTTTACTGGACCTAGGCATTCATCCTCTAATTGTCCTTAGCTAATGGCAGCTGTCTCACCTGGAGATGCTTGGGTGTTTATCCCCTGCTCTCCATGGCCAGAAATTGTCACGGACAATCACTGAATGATGTTGGAATTTTAAAGCCTGTCGCCTTGCTACCAGTTGAGACCACACTGTGATGTAATACACATTCTAGAGCTCTTCATAGTATCAGGCTGAAGCTCAACTAGAGCTGAGACCACATTGTTGCTCAGTCCCTTTCTGACTCTATTCTGCCTCCTTTGCTCCCTCATGGGTATCTTCTGACAGCATTCCCTCAAAAAGTCATTTGCAAAATAACTCCTAGGTGAGGCCTTGCTTCCACAGAACTCACAAGCTAATAATTCAGAGGGTTGAGGGCCACGGGGAGTGAGATTTGGCTGGGAACTGACTGCAAATTGTCAATACTGGAGTTCACAGTAAACAATCAGGAGCCACTCATTTAGAAAGCCTTGTATTTTATTCTCCTTTGGGGTTTCCCCAAAAATCTCTTTAATGTGTGAAAATAAAGAGAAAAAAGTTTTCCAGTATGCATTCTTATTCAAAAAATTGGAGAATTGTTTTTGTTTGTAGGTCTTATTCACAGTTGTATCCTTAGTGTTTGTAACAGGGGGTATTCAAATACTTGTTGAATGTAATTGAACATATATTCAACAACTATCTAGTTGGTAGATTTTTATATTTCTGAGTTCATTTGGGATACAATAAAGGTATTAAAAAATGGTCAGTTTAAGAAATAGAATACATGGTTAACCTACTTTTAAGTTTATTAATTTTGCTTCTAATATTTTCATTGAAGTAGAACAATCTTATTAAATACTAATTATCATCTCCATTCTTCTGCATTCTGATTGTTTTGTTCTTTTAGAGAATATGCTTCTTACAGAGAAGTTAGCTGTATTCAGAATTGTGCATTCAAATATCCATCATATCTAGGCTCTAAGCTACAATTTCTCTGGACTGCACTTTACTCAATTCTAAATGCCATTTTAAAAGCTAGTTTTGACATTTCTTCAAACCATCTGAGGTCTCTAGTCCTCTGGGAAGACTGTGTGTGGTGCTGAGTGACTAATATGGATTCAACTATCCTTTGAATGGTTTACAGAGCAGGCCATGATATCAGGATTTTTGAGAATTTCAATGGGATTAAATCTGGCACCATTTCTGCTGGTATCTTTCTTTATCAAGGATGAAGTGCATACATTACTTGATGGATACAGAGTAGAAAGAAAATCAATTTAGAGAAATTTGGACAATATGTTATTTTGATTTCCTTTTCACTGCCTCAGTTACAACTTTTGGATGGTAGGGAAGTGCAGAGCCGGGATTTATCTGAAGTGCAAAATTTAAGAAGGTGCCAAAAAATCGAGTAATCAAGAAATATAGTATTTTAATGCAATTTTTAATTATAGTAAAAGCATTTAACATAAAATATAACATCTTAATTATTTTTAGAATACAGTTTAATAGTGTTAAGTACATTCTTATTGTTGTCAAACAAATATCCAGAAATTTTTCACTTGCAGATCTGAAACCCTACACCCACTAAACGTGAACTCCCTTTTTTTCTCCTCTCCACAGTCTCTGGTAACCAAAGTTCTGCTTTCAGTTTCTATGCATTTGACATCTGTAGATACCTCATAAAGTGGAATCATACAGTGTTTGTCTTTTTGTGACTGGTTTATTTCAATAGCATAAAGTCCTCAAGGTTCATCTATGTCTAGCATGTGACAGGATTTTCTTCCTTTTCAAAACTGAGTAATATTCTATTACACATACACATACAAGTGCAAATATATGCATATATATACATATATATACAACACACATATACAAACATATATATAATAGTGCATTTATCCATTCATTTATCAGTGGACATTTAGGTTACTTCTACCACTTAGCTATTGTACATAGTGCTTCTATGAACATGGGTGTACAAATATCTCTTTGAAACTATGGTTTCAATTTTTTTGGATATATACCCAGAAGCAGGATTGCTAGAAAATATGGTAATTCTAATTTTAATTTTTGAGAAAACACCATTCTGTTTTCTATAGCAATTACCTCATTTTACAGTTCCACCAACAATGCACAGAGGTTCCAATTTTATCACATCCTTGTCAACACTTGTTATTATTTTATTTTTCTCAATAGTAGCTGTCCTAATGAATGTCAGGTGGTATCTCATTTGGTTTTGATTTGCATTTCTCTGATGATTAGTGATGTTGAAAATATTTTCATTTTTTTTGGCAATTTGTATATTTTTTGGAGAAATATCTATTTAAGTCCTTTGTACATTTTTAAATTATTTGATTTTTGTTGTTGAGCTGTAAGAGTTCTTTATATATTCTGATTATTACTCCTTTTCAGATATAGTAAATACTTTCTCCTGTTCTATAGGTTTCCTTTATACTCTGATGATTGTGTCCTTTGATGCATAAAACTTTTAAGTTTGATATAGCTCCATTTGTCTATTTTTGCTTTTGTTGTCTGTGCTTTTGGTGTCATAAAAGTCACTGCTAAGTACAATGCCGTGAAGATTTTTGCCTATTTTTTTCTAGGAGTTTTATAGTTTTAGGTCTTTAATACATTTTGAGTTAATTTCTATATATGTTGTAAAATAAAAATCCAACTTTGTTCTTTTGCATGTGGATATCCAGTTTTCCCAATACTATTTGTGTTCATTGTACATTAAGTAGTCTCGGTCTGTTTGTCAAAAATACACGGTGGTTTACTTTTTGGCTCTGTATTGTATTCCATTGATCTATTTGTCTTTATGCCAGTACCACACTGCTTTGATTACCATAGCTTCATAATATATTTTGAAATCAGGAAATGTGAGGCCTCCAGCTTTTTTCAAAATTGTTTTGAGTACACAGTATCCCTTCAGATTTTATATGAATTTTAGGAAGAATTTATATATTTCTGTAAAAAATGCTTGTGGGGTTTTGATAAAGATTCATTGTATCTGTAGATTGCTTTGGGTCGTATGAACATCTTAACAGTATTGTTTTCCAACCCATGAACATACTATGACTTTACAATTATTTGTGTCTGTTTTAATTTTTGTCAGCAAGTTTTGTAGTTTTCAGTATGCAAGTCTTTCACTTCCATAGTTTTCTAAATATTTCATTTGTTGTTGTTATTGTAACGGGATTATTTTCTTTATTTCTTTTTAGATTATTTATTGCTAGTGTATAGAAATACAACTCATTTCTATGTACTGATTTTGTATTCTGCAACTTTACTGAATTCATTAGTTCTGACACTTTTTTGAGTGTTTTTACATACAAGACCACATCATCTGCAAACAGAGATAGTTTTACTTCTTCCTTTCCTATTTTTATCATGAGAGGGTGCTAAATTACGTCAAATGTTTTTCTGTATTAATTGTAACGTTCATGTGACTTTTATCCTTCACTTTGTTAATGTCGTGTATTATGTTGGTTGATTTTTGTATGTCGAACCATCTTACATTCCTTAAATAAGTCTTACTGGTCATATGTACAGTCTTTTTAACGGGCTGTTCAATTTGGTTTGCTAATATTTTGTTAAACATCTTTTGTTAAAGATGTTTGCATCAACATTCGTTGGGAGTATTGGTCTCTTGTTGTATTGTGGTGTCTTTGGATTTGACATCAGAGTAATACTAGCCTCATGTAGTTAGCTTGGAAGTATTTTCTCATTTTAAACCTTTGGAAGAGTTTCGGGAGGACTGGTGTTAGTGATTCTTTAAATGTTTAATGGAATTATTCAGTGAAGCCATCTGATCCTGAGCATTTCTTTGTTGGGAAGTTCTGATTACTGATCCAATACCCTTACTAATGATAGGTCTCTTCAGATTTTTCTATTTCTTTGTGATTTAGTCTTTGGTAGGCAGTGTATTTCTAAGAATTTATGCATTTCTTTTAGGTTATCCAATGTGTCAGCACATACTTGTCCATAGTGTTCTCTTTTAATTTTTTATTTCTGTGGTATTAGCCATAATGTTCCCTGTTTTATTTCTCTTTTAGTAATTTGAGTCTTCTCAAATTTATTAAGTTGTTTAAAATTTTAAAGTCACAGCATTCTATTTTAAACTGGTAATAACAATTTCAAGTTCATATTAAAACTCTATTCTTTTGCAGGTCTCCTCTTCACTTTACGTTATTGATCTCACAACCTACATCTTGATATATTGTTTAGTCATTGGCATATATATAGTATTTTAAAAATGTTTTTGTCATTTAAATTATATGCATCAAATTTACAATAAAATAGGTTAGTATATTTGTTCATGTATTTACCTTTACTAAAGAACCTTATATTTTCTAAGCCTTTGTATTACTATCTATGGTTCTTTCATTCTAAGTTGAAGGTTTTCCTTTAGCATTTCTTCTAGAGCATGTTTAGTGGTAATGAACTCTCTCAGCTTTCATTTATCTGAATACATCTTAATTTCTTCTTCATTTTTAGAGGACACTTTTGCCGGACACAATATTCTTGGTAGACAGTTTTTGTTTTTTTTTTTTCTTTTAGGGCTTTGAATATATTCTCCCACTCCTTTTAGCCTACAAAATTTCTGCTGAATAATACGTTGATAATGTTATGGAAACTCCATTCTACATAACAAGTACCTTTACTGTTACTGCTTTTGAAATTCTTTCTTTGTTTTTTATTTTAGATAATTTGATTATAATATGCCTCAGTGTGGTTCCCTTTGGATTTATCCTATATGGAGCCCTTTGAACTTCTTCAATCACTATACCAATTTCTTTCCTCAGATTTGGGAAGTTTACAACCATTATTTCTTCAAATAAGTTGTATGCCCCTTAATCTCTCTTTTCTTTCTGGATTTTCCATAATACACATATTGGTTGCTTAATAGAGACCCATAAATCTCTTAGACGTTTTTTCACTTTTCTTTATTATTTTTATATATACTTTTTGCTCCGCTGACTCAATGATTTTAAATGAAGTTTCTTCAATATGCCTGATTCTTTCTTCTGCCTAATCAAGTCTGCTTTTGAATGCTACAAATACATTTTCAGTTCAGTTGTTGTATTTTTCAGCTTAGAATTTCTGTTAATTTTTTTCATAGTTTCCATCTCCGTGGATATTTTTATCCCATTTTTCTAATTTTGTTTACTTTGTGTAAATAAAATTTTGCTTAATTTTGTTTACATTTGTGTTCTCTTTTACTCATTAAGCATTTTTATGACAGCAGTTTTAAATGCTTTGTAAAGCAGTTCATAGATCTGCATTTCTTTAGGGTCAATTTCTGTCTTTTGATTGCGCCACGTTTTATTTACTTTATAAAACATGGGCCATGTTTTTCTGCTTTGTTGTTGATTAATTCTTCCCCTGACCTGTATACTGGCTTTGCACAGACGAGGGGTTTCACCAGTCAGCCTGGCTGGGAGTTCTAGACCCTCTCAAATGGTTTCAAATCTTTTCATCCCCCTTGTGTCTCCCTTTGGAACTGCACCTCTAGCATGCTGTGTACCCTGATTTCAGCTACTTCCAAATTCTGGCACCTGATGCCTCAGTGCTCTGAGTCAAGCCAGATAGAAACCAGTCCCCCAGGCTGCTCCTGGGCAAGACAATACATGGTCCACCCTTTTGTTTGCATTTGGAAAGAGGAGCCCTGTAAGATAGGTTTCCTCCCACTTGGTTTATGGTATGCTGCATAAGAGAAGAGGAATCAATAGGTATGCCAAATGCCCTGATTTTTACTACAGATTTCTCTGGAATTTCATCTTGATTCTATATGGCCTGGGTGCTGCAGCCTCCTACCTGGTCTCTAGAGTTTTCAGAGGTATTTTGGTACATATATTGTCATTAACTTGGTGTCTCTGTGGGGGAAGAAGGGCCAGTAGCTTCCTAGTCTGCCATCTTGCAGACTTGTCTGGATGCTCTTTTATGCAATATTTTTAGAAATCAAAGTAAATGCACAGAATTCATTATAGAATTTCAAAATTTTAACTAAAGGTAAGATCAGAGTGTATATTATATTTTTAAAGTAAAGTTCTTAGAGACCACTGACTTGTTACAGGTAATACATCTTTAATGCAAGGAAGAAAAGTTATGTGTGATTTAGTATGTTGTCACTAGTTCAGGCTCATAGGCTAAGATGGTTGCAACCACTTCAAGGAATAGATGGAATCACCTTATGGAAAACAGATTTTCCATTAGGCTAAGATGCAGAATTTTTAAAAAAGTGGAAGGAAAACAATGTGTTTTCAGATTTTTTTTTAAAGTTGGAGGAAAATAATGAAATACGAGAGGTACATTTTGTCTTATTTAATATGATCAGACAGCTTATGGTCAACAGATAAGCAAAAATGAAGGAAAACTTCGGATGGAAAAGTTAGAGGGCCAAAGTGTGTGTTACATAATGCATTCTTGCTAAGGCAAGTTAAAGAGGATATTTTTGATCCTCGTACCTTAATACTCAAAGGAGAAATGCAAATTTTGAAACAAAAGATATATTATCTGTTGTAAAATGCATCTTCCATTTTGCAAGTCCGTTTGGAAAAAGGTAGTAACTGAAAATTTAAACAGCAAAATTTTAAGTCTTATTAAAAATTTGTCTTTGAATTGTCCCTAAATTGGTAGATAAGTCTGAATTTTCTATACTCAATCCTGTCCAGCCTCTAGACTTCTAGATCTCCTCTCTCTGGCTCATATTTCTCTGTGTACACCTGCTCACATTTATCTTTGCTCAAGTCTACCCTCAGGAAGATTTCACATTTGTTAAGAATGTAAGCCAGTGCTCTCTCCTGCCTAGGCTCTTGCATTTAGATATTATTTCGCTGCAAGAGTAAAACAGCCTATTTACCTGTCAAAGGGATTTCAGACCTCATAGAGGAGATTGTAACTGCTAGTGGAGTGCAGTTGGGAGATGTCACACTTTCAATTTTGCTTCTGCAAAGGCTGCTCTTCGTAACATTGATCATGCAAAAAGAGCTACTGATGAGATAATCTTTCAAAAGTATATGAGATCGAAATGATGTTTTATATTGAGTTGAACCATCTTTATAGAGAAAAAACTTGATATGTCTGTACCATTTTTTGACATTTGTTTTCTAAACAGTCTGAGGATAATCAGCAACAAGTATTTTCCAAGAACCCTCAGACAGTTTGGTAGGATTAGAGACATGCCAAACTGACAGCCTCTTAGAATTAATGGTTCTACCTGGAGTAAGAATGCCACCTCAAAAATATTTTATGAACATATCCACTTATTTTTTTAGTTAAAACATTCTTATGAGCTTGTAATGTGTGCCAGGCATTGTTCCTGAAACTTGCTTTAGAGAAGATAACAGATAAAAATTCTTGTCGTCTTGGAGTTTACATTCTTCGAATTAGAAGGGGAGACATAGAGAAGACAATAAACATAATACTTAAATCTTATTGTGTATTACAAGATGGAAAGTTCCAAGGAAATCAAAGTAGGGCAGGGTCAGGGGTATTGAGAGTTAGGAGGGTGGTGCGAGTAGACTGCACTCTTAAATTGGTGCTCCTTTGCATAGCAATTCTTAAATACCCCTTTCTTTGCCTTCTGTAGGAGTCTACAAAGTATTTTTTTCTTCTGCAAAGATCCAGAATATAAATATTTTAAACTTTGTGGGCCATATAGAGTCTCTGTCACATTTTTTTTTGTTTGTTTTATATAAACTTTTAAGATATATATATATCTTTAAGATATCTTTAAGATATATATATCTTTAAGAGATATATAAAGTATTCTGAGCTCCTGGGCTATAAAAGAACTAAGAACAGACTGCATTTTGATTTTGATCATGGGCAGGAGTTTGCCAACCTTTGTCCCGGAAGACATCAAACTGACAAGGTTTGCCATGGAAAAGGGAAAAAGGTTGTTCTAATGACTTGATAAAGCCTCTATGATTAGAGTAGATATGTAGAGAAACAAGAGTCCCAAGAATGACTCCACATATCCTGAGTACCTTTAACTTGGCCAGTAAGAGCACACTTATAATATCCATTATTTTTAAGACATAGTTTCAGCAATACAAACCCATTTTTGACATTGAATGTGCTACCATATTTCTGTTAATCACCGATAGAAATAAGGGGCTGGCTTGAAGTAGCCATGTCTAGAGTAAAGCCCTTCCTGAAACGTGCTGGTTGAGAACATTTGACTGTGTTTTCTGGATTAGCAAATGGATATTGCCTTCAATTAGGCAACACACACAGTAACATGTGATATACTGAAGCATTTTTATGGGCAATCACTGGCTTATAACTGTGACATTTTTGGCATCTTGACAAAGGTGGCTTTAGGTTCTTTATATCTGAGGTTGCCAACTTAGTCGACTTGGGAGGCAAGCCCTTATTGGTTTCCAGGTTTGTCTTCTAAGTCAGTCTTTAGAGAAAGCCCAGATCTGCCACCTTGTCAAGGTGTGGGTAGGATCTGGCTGTGTCTGTAGTATGAGATGCTTATAAACATGAGACAAGACTAAGAGAACCAAACATGAGTGATGGAAAAGCACTGCCTGATTTGATGCTTGTCTTTGTCTCTAAACTCAGCTTCCTACTTGCCCACCGAACTCTGCAATCACCTCCACCATATCTGTTGCCAGCATATCCTAACCTTATTTCTTAGCACCTTTGCCCTTGCTATCTCCTCTGTCCTCAGCATGTTCTTCTTTCAGATAATCAAATGCCATGTTCCATCAACCCTCCATTCCTCTACTCAGATGCCACCTTTACAGAGAGCCCCCCATCCGTGGTCACTCTCTCTCAAGTGGCCTGGTTTTATTTTCTTCATAGCTCTGTGGCATGTGCATTTGGTGAATGAATACTTTTCTGTCTGTCCTCCCTAGCATCTAAGCGCCATGAGAGCAGGAATCATGTGCCCCCATGGTCCAGGAGAGTGCCAGACACAGAGCTGATAGTCAGGAAATGTTTGCTGAACAAGCAAAGGGAAACAGGAAGAAGATGAAAACACAGATGCACACTGGATACAAATGAGTTCCCCTAGATAACGCCGTCACCTGGGATATCACAGAGGACCACATGCAGCTGTGGTTCAAACTGTAGAGAACATAAGAGACTCCTGAAAAGAACAGAGCTTGGTGTGTTGACTTCTAAAAGCTGTTTTATCGGCATGTATCAATTAGAAATCTTGCTTAGCTAGCAATTGATTTTCCTAGCAATGATGATTAAGTAGCACAAGATGTAAAAATGCTCTCTGCGTCATCAAAGAAAATTAGATTCTGTTAAACACAGAACGTTTGTTAGATGTATTTCCTAATTATTTGAAAATCTGTGAGTCTCTATTAATCAGGCAACGTGATTAACTAGGAGAGCTTGTTCCCTGGCCTCGCAAGGCAACACTGGGTTTGCTGTAATGTGACTGCTTAAAGCCAGCAAGTCTGTAAAAATGTCCAGGAGGAAGCAGGAGGCAAATATATTTTAACTATTCATGAGTTGATGTAAAAGCCAATTGTAGGGAAAATTGATACAGAAAAAAAAAACCCAAAAAACAGTCAGACTGATTCTTGGTGTTTCACACTACTAGTAATATCCAGTACAAAGCTATGAAATTACAGATAATGAAGGCTTAGCAATCTGCTATTACCTATCACCTCTAGCTGAGTTTTATTCCTTCTTCCAGTAAATTAACAGAGAAGATTCTTCAACAGAGCCTTACTTGGGAAGAATAGGGTTTGGAGGAAGAGAGTGAACAGATTGACATTGCTCCTGGCTGTCCAGAAATAACCAAATGGAACATCTTGCACCTTGTGTGGCAAGCCAATCAATATCTTTTTTATTTCAAAGTCATAAAAATTTGAATATGGAAACTGTACTGTGAGAACTGGACCAGCAGGGGACATACAAATAAATAAATAGCAGATATCAAAGTTCAAATGGCCATGGCAATTTCCTCACTGTTTTTGTTTTTTGTTGACCTGAAATTGCAGCATACGCCTAATAAGTCTTTGATATGAAGTGATGTATCACTGTATGAAGAAAGAATTCATAATGACTCTAAGTCGCTGTAGCAGCTTCTTTTGTAAGTGGGGTAAAGAGAACATTTGAGAGGTAATGAGTTTTAGGCCCAATGCACTTGGGGTGGAGAAAGTTAATAACCACAGGGAAGAAGACATTAGTAAAAGAAGCCACTCTTATTCAGAATAGTAGAGAGGGTTTTAGCTCAGAACGTCCAGAGTGGGAAAAGAAAAATAAAGGGGCAGGGCAGAAAGCAACACAGTCCATTTACCTTATAATAGAAACATAAAACTCATTAAAAAAAGAAGGAAAGAAAGAAAGTGCATCTTGGTTTCTGTCCATCAGGTAAGAAGCTTGGAAGCTGTCACTCCATCCTAACAAGTAAAAAACTGGAAACTGAAAATCAACAACTCTTCTTAGCTATCGGAGAATTGAGGTCACAGGACAAACTGCTGCCCTAAAAATTGAAGAAACAGACAGGCAGATACAGAAAATTATAATTTACCAGAGCAGAAATTCACAAAGAGAAACTGCTGTTCATGAGAACCAGTACCAGGGTAGAAAAGCCATAACTGTCATTGATGAATTGCTGGAGGCTTGGTGAGAATAGGTCAGAGAGGTAAAAAGGCCATGGGGACCCAGCCTTAGAGGGCACTTAGGCTTTTGTAGTTTTATCTCTAGGAGCACTACTGGGTACTCAGTAAAGACTGGAGAAATATCCCTTCATACTTCCCAGCATGTAGCCAGTTTAAAATACTCTAGAACATTCTGTTCTTAACAAGTCCTGCCTTTAAGAAAAACTATTCGAGCCCCCAGTTGATGGAGGTAGCTTACAGAGTGCTTCAGCACTGTAAGAGAATCGTTCTGTAAGAGAACGATTGTACTGTGGGGGTCACCTGAACCGTTCACAATTTTTCCAAGAAAGAACTAAACCTTTGTTTTTTTAAGCCAATAAGTGACAATCTGGAGTTTTGATTTTAGAAAAACTGAAGCTAAAGAAAATCTCAAGGGTAAGTGTGGCATGATTAATTAGCCTATCTACCATGAACAAGAGGAAGCATTGTTCTTGTATTTGCCAATGGTGAGACCTTAGCATAGTGATGTCCGTTAGAGATTTTCTGCACTGTCCAATATAGTAGCTATTAGCACTAGTGGCCATTGAGTACTTGAAGTATGGCCAGTGCAACTAAGAAATTGAAATTTAACATAATGTTGATTTAGCCGTGTATGGATCATGCTTGTCATATTGATCAGCACAGCACATACCCTATTTGCATGCATATTCTAGATTTGGTAGGGTGAAACAAAGAGCACCTGGATACTAAGAAGAATTTTTAACCAGTTCTTCCTACCTTTAAAAAAATTACTCAAAAGTGAATACTTATAACATGATTCTTTTGTAAGCATGGCCTATTTTTTGAATTTCTTGAGACTGTAGGGTGAGGAAAGTATGCCTAGTAGTTTTAGGCTTCAAAATATAATTTAGTAAAAAATTTAAAAAGTCATGATTTTCAAGATATAATCTACTATACTGAGACATTATCCCTTGTACAAAGTGTTGATTTTAGAATTTACCTAAAAGCAAACACCAAGATAAGGGTTTGAGTGGGGACGTATTTGGTGATGTGATTTGAAGAAGCACAAGGAAGAAGAAGGAGGGCCAATGAAGGGGAGATTAATGAGTAAGCCATTTCTGTGGGTAACTGAGGTTCAATCCTATTGAGACCTTCAGAGAGATTGTACAAAGTATGCTTATCATTGATCCCCCAAGAACTGAAGAAGAAGGGGTATTTATCTATTTACTCATATGCCCAATTAGTTAAAAGGTAACCCTGAGGGACGTTAATATCCCAGAACTTTCAGCGTTTTAAACCAGAGCTGCTTATTTGCCAAAAGACCTCAAACAGAGGTAGACATGGAGGCTTGAGTAGGAAGCTGCCTGCATGGTCAGGAATTGACCTCCAGAGCTGCAGATGTCCTCCAGGATGGGCTAAGAACAGTATCTGCTAAAATGTGGAATATCATAAAGCTCATCCTTGGTCTCATTGAAGGGGTTGGCCTTCTTTCAGTATAAATACCTAATCAGAATATAAGCAAAATATGAAATAGGAAGCTCTGTCTCCTTTCTTATTTCAGAGTCTCAATGTCCAGTTGACTGCTTAGTTCTATATGCTCTTCCCAATAGGAGCTCAATGTGCTCAGGCTCCCCTGGTATTTCCTCACTCACCTTAGCCCACATCACCTACAGTACACGGCACCTCACTTATAATCTGCTCTTACTAAATGGTCCATGCTGCAGATTATGTAAATACATCCAAATGCATTCTTTTCTGGCTCATTATTACAGGATTCTGATATTAGATGTGAGAAGAGCTATAATATCACGAAAAGCATTCATATTCAGTGATATCCCTCAAGAATATGAGTTCTAACTAAGAAAAGCCAACCATAGAAAAATCTAGAAATGGTGAGACTTTATCCATTAAAACAGGTCAGTAGAGATGCTAGATGGGCCCTGGAATAAACATTGTCTCTTCCCTACCCAATATCGACAGCCCTCTATGCCGCCTTTCATCTTATTTCAGAGTCATGATTTCTCAAGATACAGCCACACCAGGATCCCAAGAAATATAAGCTTCTACCCTAGTTTTCAGGGGCAAATCATGATAGGTCTAGACCTGTGCTTGTCCAACACACCGTCCCTTGCTTCTTGTAGTGCTAGAGTACTTAATATGTGCATAGATTCCACTGAGATGCACTTCAAGTGTAAATGTGAAATATCTTGTTAATAATTTTTATGTTGATTATGTAATGAAACAATAATACTTTGGATATACTAGATCATATGAATACATCAATAATTAATATAATTAATAAAACATTAAAATTTATTGCACCTCTCTTTACTTTTTAAATATGGCTACTAAATTATTTACAATGTACATATGTGGCTTGCATGATATTTCTAATGGACAGTGCTGTTCTAAACAAATCATGATGATCTCATTTCCCATGGCTAGTAATCGATTCAGGGGTGGCAATGTGACCCAGTTCTCTCGAGATCTAAGAATAAATACGTGTGTGTAACTCCTGGGAAAGTGCTTGTTTTCTTGATAAAAATAAACAGTTTTGGCTGGCATGTTTCTCTGTTCTTTTACTCTCTTCTCTTCCTTTGCCCTGAAACACAGATGAGATGCCTGTGGTGTGGTAGCCATGTTGTGACTGTGAGGCAGGAATAGGCCAACAACTTTAAGGAATCAGTGTAACTCAATGTGAAAGGTGTTGGGTTTTGGATGATATTGTAGAGCACCTGCATCAACACTGGACTGTACTTCTCTTGACTTCTTGATAAGTCTCTATTAATTTAAGCTCTGCGTTGCATTCAAGGTTTTATTTACATGCAGATAAATTGTGGATTAAGGGCAGAGAGCCATTCCATCATCCTCCATTTACACTCACCATACTTAAGGGCAAGCCATTTAAAGAAGGCATTTTGAAGGAGTTTTAATCTTATAAAATGGTCTTCATTCACTACTAGAGGGCAGTTTACTAATTATCTTCACTCAAGCTCGGTGTTATTTCACCTGTCTATGAAGAGTTGATTCTGTATTTGTGTTTACCTAATATGTAAAATTATTTCACTATATAATCAACATAAAAAAATTAACAAGATATTTTACTATTTACTTAACACTTGCAGCACATCTCAATAGAATCTTCTCACATTTTAAGTACTCTGGAACTACAAGAAGCAAGGGACTGTGTGTTAGACAAGCACAGGTATGGACCTATCATGATTGGTTTCTAAAAACTAGGGTAGGAGCTTATCTTTCTCATGATCCTGGTATGCCTGTTTCAGGATTAGGCTAGTCCTGAAAGTGTGGGTAGCAGACATTGTTGCTATTCTGCCCAGGTCCACTTTGCAGGGTTAGAGTACCAATACCTGCTGCTACAAGCAGAAGTTGTTAACAGCTCCCAGCTGCCTCCTTCTCCAGAGGGTTCCTGTCAGCCTATGAGAGTCATCTCACCTAGAAATAACTGAGAGATTCTATGTTCTCCCCTTGCGGACAACCCAGAGCTAATGACTGACCTGTAAGGAAGACAAAAAAGTTGACTCTCTTTTCTCCAGTTGGACCAACTCTGTGGTAGCACGCATGCTCCAGAGCACCCTGTGGGACCTAGGCTGGACTCCAGCTAAGACCACATCATTGCTTGGCTCCACATCATTGCCCTGTCCTGCTTCCTTTATTTCCGTTATCCAGAGAGCTCTTGCTCAGTAAGTCGCTTGGTCAAGAACCCTTGCCTCAGGCTCTGCTTCTAGAAAATCTGACTGAAGACATATTTTTATAAGAAGTTGACACTCACTGTTTTAATCCATTAATCATGAAGAAAATTTATAAGTGCAATTAATGATGTTATATCAACGTTTTTAACATATCCTGGAATAGCTACCAATTATTTAAATAAATTGGTAAAACAGGTATTTTCTGCTTCAACAGGTAATTCTTCATGAATTCTAAGAATTCATAAAGCTACTCTTTATACAAAGAGGAAGGCTATTCCACTGTGTAAAAGTAAGATAGTATGCCAAATCCTACATAATTTTGTGTTGCTCTGAATCTTCATTTCACTTAAAAATTTAAACCATCTACAAGCAGCATATTCAAACTAAGTAAAATATCTTTGCTTTAAAACTACTTTTGCTGTACCCCTAATGAATAGAATAGAGGAACCATAGACAGAAAAGGGTTTTGAGATTGTCACAAAATTGATTTCATGCTCGACAGGGGCATGAACTAGCAAGGATAGTTCTTTGTAATTTCAGCCAGGTGCCCAAAGGAAATCAATATGTAGATATGAAAAACATAACTCTACTTCTACTACAGAGTCAGGCAAAGAATTCTGGTGGCAGAGTGACTGGGTAAGAGATTCTAATTAGGGAATGGGAAGAAAAGGAAATGAATATGCTCCCCTAAGGATCTGACTGAAGGGTGAAGTTCCCATTCATTTGCATTAGGTATTGTAGTCAAAGCTGGTTTTGTTCCCTGAGTCAAGGGAGAACTATGGATATGGGCCAGATTTAAATGTGTTTTGTGTAGCATTTCCTGTGCTCTCTCATCTTTACATTGCATAATTTCATGGAAATGCTTAAAATATTTTGAGAAAGTAGGTTATAGGTTTTATGTTCTTTGGAAAAATAAATTGCACATATCTGGAACAGGGCTGCTCTACTGTTTTGGTCATTAACATTATCAGTATTGTTGTGTGAGTTCAGATGAATCTATAGGCTATCTTGTAAAGATGAAGGATGTATTATCTAGAGTTTTTTTTACTAATTTACTTTCACACAAGCACCCTGTGGCTATTTTTATTTATTCAGCAAGTACTTTAAAGCTCCTACTATACCAAGACTTAGTGTGAGACTTTGGCGAGATCTTATGACTTCACAAGAGAAAAAAATATACAAATAGAATTCCAGATCAACATTGAGAGAGATGTATGTTAAAAGACAAACATGTGAAATGCCCTGGGGATTAAGAAGAGAAAAGACTATCTTTAGCTACTACTGTGACCACTGGAGGAAAAGGTGGCAAGTATCTGAAATCATTATTGTAGACATCACGCTGGATATTATTAAGACAGTCTACATGTTAAGCAGAGATAAACAGGGCTATGATTTAATGAGTTAATCTCTCTCATATACTAAAATCACGCTTCTAACTATTTTAAGTCTAGAAACTTTTCACAAAGACTGAAAATCCAGGAGTTATTTTTCAGAAAACTTCCAAGGATTTCAAAAAAATGACTTACTAAATAGAAAGCTCTTCACAAAAATAGCTGGAGACAAAGTCCCAAAGAAAAGAATTTTGATGGCATCTATTTATTAAAAGAATGTTTTTTTCCAGCATCACTTCAAAGTGAAGAATTTCATTTTGAGGAGTCAAGGTTTTCAGGGACAGAGGTTTCTAAAAATCATCAAAAACCAAAAGAGAAAAAGAAAAAATACATAGTCACATCTCATCTCTGGATTTCTGAAACAATGAGGAATGAGAGCGGGGAGCGAAGGAAGGAGAGAGAAGGAAAAGAAGCACAGATTTACTAATTGGTTTAGAGAAGACCTTATGCTCTTTACATAGTTGACCATATTTTCAAAAAGAAAAGTAAAAACTTTCATTAGCTTGAGGATGAAAGTAAGGTAGATATTGGAGAGAATAAAAAGATTTAGCAGACCTCAGAATTTTTACTTTTATAACACTTTCTGCTTTTGAGATTTGCAATAAATTTTAGGAATTTGTTTCTTGATTCTATATGTAGATGAGCTTTATTTTAAAGCAGAAAGTTGGTCTTAGTACTCTATGCTTATATAATATTTATTGATTCATCAACTACCGGGTGTTTACCCTGTGCCAGGCACTGTGCTAGACATCAGGGATACAGAGATGAGATTTAGTACTCACAAGTTGTAATCTAAGGTGACAAACAAATTCATCTCTCATATCAATACTAATAACACTGAATATATAATCTGTTTCATACTCTACTAAACACCATATATTGGATTTATGAAGACGATGGGTTTTTACTATTAAATTAGATTCTTACTCTTAATAAATAGCCCAGAGAAGTTAAATAGCTTGCCCAAGATCCCCTCTGCTGAGGTTAGGCTCCTAACCATCACACTATTTGTGTATTATTTAAGAGCTATGTTAGAGTCTATAATTATTTTTGCAAAAGAAGTGAGAAACCCTGCCTGCCTAGAGTTGGGGATGGGGGAAGGAAGAGAATTTGTTAAGGCTCTTCAACACTGGAATATTTGAGATGAATCTTAACAAATGAGTGGCTGGGGGCAATGAGAAGAGTGTATGCAGAAACTCAGCAATAAGAGCAAATAGCTCAGGATGGGACACTGAATAAGCTGGGAAGAGGGGCAAGAGATAAAGCTAGAAAAGCAAGCAAGATTCCAGGGAACCTGGCATGTCTTGCTTGTAGGTGTTTGACATGATCGGGGAAGGTTATATGTTAAGGCACGTTCCACAGAAGCAGGCTGTGAGACAAGGATTCATTCAGCTATAAATGATTTATTAAGGCAGCACTCCCAGGAGAAACTGGATGAGGAAAGAAGGACAGGAAAGGAAAAGAGGCTAAGCAAGGATACACTTTCAGGTAGAGTCTCGGTCTCAGTCTGATCCCATGTGGGAGCTCTGGAGTCTAGCATACATCTCAGAGTAAATTTTGCATAAAAGCAAATATTCTGGGATTCCTACTGTCCCAGAGAGATATAAACTCCCAGAGACTTCCAGTTCTCTGTGAATATGGGAAAAGCAACTCCAGTAACCCAAGAGTGGACCTCTGAAAAAAGGTGCAGAATGCAGTCATTTATCAGCAAAGCAGGCAGAAACTGGGACGCTGTGAACAGAACATGGACAGGGAACATCAATGTCTGTCACAGCTGGTAATCCCATAACTGTCATTAGAATAGACATTCAATTAGAATGGTTGTCATTAGAATAGACATGTCTATTCAAAGACATTTAAACTCTTGAATTGAAACATGTTAAAGTCTCCAGGAAAAAAGAAAGTTGTCTATTAAGCAATGAAAGTAACAGAGGCAGAGATGAAAAGCCTGTGGAATTATAGGCGATTAGGACAGAAATCAGAAGGAAGCTTAGAAATTACCCAGCCTGAGGACTATGTATAGATGAAGAAACCACAACCAAGGAAATCACTACATTCATATAATTAGTAGAAGTTTTTTTAATTTGGTAAAATTAAGTTTTAAATTTGGTAAAGTGAATGTGTTTCCATATGTGTATCCTAGGAGGTAGAAAGAGGTGGGAAGATGAGGTATCCTAGAAAGAGACTTCTCCAAAGTCTCTTTGGGCATTTTGCCTTAAAAAAACAGAAGTTTTTCCTCCTGTTTCCAAATTGAGTCTGTTCTGTATCCTATTACTTTCTATCCCACAACTTTAATGCTGAGGAGACCTTCTATTCTAACTTTAAGTTGAAAAATGACAACATCTATCTTAATCACTGAGATTTTAATTGATTAACCATTCCTTGTCAGCCTGAGTATGTTTCCTAGGCTCCGTTGCAGTTAGGTGTGGCTTTGTAATTGAATCCTAGGCTGTAAATAGAGATGATACAGCTAGAAGCACCACTTCCAGACCTTCCCACAAAAATATTCAGGTAGCCTTCTGTGTTCTTGTGTTCCATATGCTGGCCATAATGAAGAGAACTCCAAGGAAGTGAAAAAAGGTAGGTCAACAAAATGACAAGATTCTGGATCTCCAAACTATGTAGAGCAACCCCTCCTCCCCAGCTCAACTAATCATCCCACATTGAACTATAACATGGGCAAATAAATAGTAAACACTTATTTTGGTCAATGACCTAAATTTGGACTTGATTTGCTACAGCAGTTATCTACCCCTACTAATATATAAAATTGGTGAGATTGATCAAACCTTATCAAGTGCCTTTTGAGCCACTCTAAGGCACCAGGCTGGTATAGTAGGAAACCCAAAGATAAATAAAACATGACCTTCTTCTGAAGTGTTCTGTATCATAGCCAGTGAGAAAAGACATGAACACAGGAGGAGAGGTCAGGACAATAGATGCTATTGGAATTAGAAGCAGTAATAAAACACTTTGGGTTGCATGGATGATCTTTCAAAGAAATAGTAGCTTACTAAAACCTTAAAGGATTGATCAGTATTTTTGTAAGTTAAGATGGTAGAGTGAGAGTCAGTCACATGTAGGAACGACTGAAACAATGACAGGATGTGGGAGTCCTCTTGGGATGTAATCAAGAAGTATGGTAAAACAATGGAACCAGATTTTTGAGGACATTGCATTTTAAACTGTGTGGTTTAATCAGGTGTCTGTTACTAGATAGCAAGTGGCCCCAAAATTTGGAGACTTAAAACAACTATTTATTATTTATTACAGGTCTATGGTTTGCCCAGTAGAGTTTTTCTGCTATGGTACAAGCTTGGCTGATCTTGACTGGGCTCGCTCATGCATTGGCATTTAGCTAAAGGGTCTGCTGGAGACTGGCTGATCTGGGATGATCTCAGCTATTGCAAATTGTCCCTATTCTTTGTTTCTTAAGTTCTCCATCATGATAGCCTGGAGTTATTTTTATATCAGTAGCAGGAGACAAAAGAGAAAAATCTGAAATGCATAAGTACTTCTTAAAGTCTCTGCTTGCATCCAGCTTGCTTCTGTTCTATTGCATAAAGCAAGTCTCATGATCAAGCCTAGCATCAGTATGGGAGGGTGTACCACAGGGTATCAATAGAGGGAAGTGTGCAAAACTGGGACTATTAATGCCAGTGATATCCATAATTGGTATATGCACTCAAAGATGTGAATAAATAACTCTGAAACTAGAACCACCTGGATTCATATCCCAGCTGTATGATCTTACGCATGATATTTAAACTTTCTATTCCTCAGTTTTCTTATATGAGAAATGGGGATAAACTACCACCTATATCATAGAAGTGTTTGAGGATCTAGTAAGTTGATATATGTAAAGTGTTCATAGCAGTGCTCGGCACATGTTAAGTTCTTTCCATATATAAGTTAGTTATTACCAGGTCAATTTTAGAAATTTGGTAAAGTGAGTGTGTTTCCATGTGTGAATCCAAGAAGGTAGAAAGAGGTGGGAAGATGAGGTATCCTAGAAAAGACTTATCCAAAGTCTTCTTGGGCATTTTGCCTTAAGCTACCCCAGAGTACAATTCCAGTTCCTTTATTAGCTGGTGGCATTTTTGTAGATAGTCAAAGTCCAATTTCTCTTGACAAAGTTAACAGTCAAGGAAGAGTTTACTCAGGGCTGTTACAATAGTGGAGAGAGGCCAGATCTGAGTCTGAACTAAATATCTCTAAAACAAAAGATGAAGAGTTCCTAAGAGCTGAGGTGAGAGGAAGATCATAGGTCATCTGTGTGTGCTAATTGGTTTTATCCAAATTAAATATAACCCCTTCCCACAAGATCAACAAATCCTCTTGTGTCTTCATGACGTGAAGCAGTTTTGCAACTGGGAAATTAGGCTTCTTCCCTTCCAGAGGAACTGGGAGATAGAGGCCTGTCCTCCTTGATGATCACATTTGAAAGAAATGGTTCCCAGGGCCTTGAGAAAAACACTCCTGGGTTGGAAAACTGGCAAGATGCTTTTACAAGGCTTTTTATATCAAAGGGACAGTGAAAGGTTTTACAACTACAAGTTTTATAAAGTAAATGCTCTAAGAAAAGGGAGATCAGGGGACTAGAGCTGAGAGGACACCTGATTAAATTGTAGCCAAGCTGAGGGAATGTTAGGGCTTTCTTGGTCAAGAAAATCTTGTAGAGTTTCTATGCACTTTACCACTTCAACCTTAAACTGAGAAATTAAAAAGATTCAGTAGATGGCCAGTCAGTAACTTTTTGTTTAACAATATTTCTTGTGGGATTTTAAACCCGTGGTGGGTAACTACTTTAGACACTAAACAGGGCCCTGGTGAATATTCAAAATGCCTATTTCATGGCCACGGACACTCTAAACAAAAATGTTTTACATGAATCAAGAAGAGAAGGGCATTTAAAATGTTTAGAGCCAATAACATTAATCAAAACAACGAGCCAAAGGAAAGAAGAGGCACTTTAAATTTCCATAACATATTGTAATATGTAGTTTGTAATGCATCTATGCATTTCTTTCTTGGAATAACATGCTTCTTGGAGCATATTTTTATTTGAATCTGGTAGTGCAGATGGCACAGGAAAGTGTGAGTCTCTTGGGGTGCTGAGAAAATGAGAGGGTTAGGCTGGAATATAAAATGAGAAAGAAAGACCTATTTAGATGGTAAAGGAAAAGAGGGGAACAAAAAATGTTGATGATGAGATCTGAAGGGTGAAAGAGAAAGGTACCTTGCAGAGTAGCATGGACAACATATTTGTCTACCTAAGCCTCCTCCATATTTATTTTGGAAAACTCAGTACCATTCCCCTATATAGGGTAACTCTTCTTCCCTCGGTTTCCCATGGAGTAATTTTACAGAGGACAGACAATGCTAAGACCTGAATCAACAGGAGGGTTGGGTGTACTACTCAAAATAAGCTAAACAGTGGTGTTCAAACGATGTAGACCAAGATGGATGAGACATTGTAGAGTGGCCAACTGTCCTTTTTTTCCCATGACTGAAGAGTTTTCCAAGGAAATGGGGTTTTAAGAGCTAAAATCAGGAAAAGCCCAGAAAAAACAGGACACTTGGCAGTTTAGATGAACGTTTCTGTGGCTCACGATCAATCTTATCTTGACGAATAAGGTAGAAAATTATTGTAGTCAAATTTGTCAGTTTTCAAATGAAAATCACTCTATGAGAAATCTGGTGGAGATCTTTGCTTTAACACCCCTCACGCTCAAACCAATTTAGTTAAGACAAGCATACGAGTTGGGATACTAAATGAGAGATTATAATTTTAGAAAATGTGAAAGGGCACATCTAATATTCTCTACTTACAAATAAGATTTCATAAAATTTCTCCCATTTAGCAAAAAGATCACATCACACATTAATTAAGCCATATCCTCATCTCTCTCCCTAAACTTCACAGGTACACATAGAGAACTATCAGTGAGGTATTACAGAGAATGGTAAAGAAATAGCCTAAAATGGTTAATTGCATCTACATTAGTTACTAATATATTGTATACCACCCAATTCTGCATTCAGATGGTAACACTTCTCTAAAGCCTAAAGTCTTGGTTTGGGTTCTCCACAAAGCAAAACCTGAGACAAGAATATCAGTGGAGGTCATTTATTTGGAAGTGAGTCCCAGGGGCAAAAGTAGGGATGTGTGGAAAGTGGGATAGGAAAGAGAGAAAAGCCAAGAAGGGTGTATTAATCATCTGGTTGCTGCTGTAAAAATCTGGGGCTCAGTCCCGCTGAGAATTTGAGAATTATGTAGAAAATTCCCCAGACTTATAGGAAGATGAAGGTGCAGGAATATTTGTCCAGTGGCTCTCTTCAAACCCTAGTGGAGAGCTGACCCTGAGGGTGTTAATGGCCGGAGCATTGGGGTTTTGCAGTTTGGCAATGTTTCATGGCTAAGATGCACACTTCACTGACCCATGCCCCACCCCCATTGTGCAGAAATTAGGTGGGCCAAGGCAATGAGATACAATGCACCAGAAGCATCTGCTGCAGCATCCTAACATTTCTGCATATAAAATATTTTCCTTATACAGTCACCCTACAGGGACCTAACATAAGCTAATGAAGACTCTTGAAGACCGTATAGGAGCAATAGGCTTATTTACTAATGATCAATTGAAGCTGAGCGAAGTTAAGAAGTGACTTAAAACCGCACATGGACTCTTGGTAGAGAAAGATAAAAAACTGAAATTTTTTTCCTTCATTCCAGGGGATATCTGTTCACACTGAATGTGTGAGTATAGCCAAAGAGCCTGGAATGTGGGACAGCTACAAACACGATTTTGATATTAATGTGGGAATGATTCAGAGTTTCTCTTCTCTCATGCTTTGAAAATTATTCTTAATAGAAACATTTCATTGTATAAAAGCAAAACAACATGCTATTTGGAAATAGAAATTGTGAAGTTGAATACTGAGCACAGTACCTACTTACTGGGAAACATCAGGCAAAAATAAAATGCTTTCGTTTAGTTTCAGTTTCTTCATCTGTGAAATGAGTACGGCTTACTCTGTCTCGAAGTACGCTGCTGAAGATTAAATGAAATCAATTAGGTAAAAAGCATTGTAAGTCATAGCTACCAATGTTGTCAATATCATTAAAAGTACTACTAAAAATTTCCCCAAGTGTGACTTTTTGGAGGGTCTTTGAATCTGAGTTCTGCATACTTGCTTTCCAGTGCCCCTCCATACTGCAAAAGACCACCATGGATATGGTGAGACATGCAATAAAGCTAAGGAGCAAAAATTAGAAATCCACAACAATTTATTGTCAATATAACAACATATTGATTATTTATTGACTGAACTTTAGCACATGAAAATTGTGTTTGCAAATAAATGCAGACTAACCCAAGAAGGGCAACAATGGTTTGTTACAAGGGGTAAAACAAAAAGTATCTTAGACTACTGTTCATTTTTTTGGTTACAGTGTTCCAAAGAGCCCAGTGAGTTTGCTGTGGGTTTGTGTGTTTCTGTTTAACTATATAGCAGGCCCCAGAGAATACAGGAGACTTTTCATATCTTTGTTGCACGATGCCTTCCCTGGAACCCCAGAGAATGGCTTTGATGATTTACTCTCACAATATGCTTGAAAAGAAATCAGCATTGTTTTTGTTTGGCATATTTTTTTTCTTTATTCTTTCTGGTTTAAAATTGCTCTATTAAGCCATATGCAAAAAAGGCTTTACCCCAGGCCAGACAGATTTCAATGAAGGAGGTTAAAAAAGAGCTGAGTTAAACTCACTGTTACATCAAACTCAAACCTTCTAGGTGATAATCCCTGAAGTCAAATTTCAAACTCTAGTTTTTGTTAAGCAGCCTGTAGGCAACTCCACTAATAAAAGCCTCTTATCGGTATTGTATATCAAAGTTCACAGCTATGATTCACCACCATTATCATATGCACAATTTATGAACAGTTTGATATAAATACATATTTTTTCTATGTATTGGTGGGCTGGAGTATGCATTGAACTTGACCATTGACAGCTCTTGCCAAGAACTGAAAGGCCAGCAATTAAAAAAAAAAAAAAAAAAAACCCAAAAAAACCATACTACTGGTACATTTACCAACAAGGATGGGTCTCACAGGTATTTTGTTGAGTGATATGGTTTGGCTGTGTCTCCATGCAAAATCTCATCTTGAATTGTAATCTCCATAATCCCCACATGTCAAGACAGAGGTAATTGAATCAGGGGGCAGTTTCCCTCCTTGCTGTTCTCATGACAGTGAGTGACTTCTCATGAGATCTGATGGTTTTATAAGAGTTCAGTAGTTCCTCCTGCATTCATTTCCTTCCTGCGCCCTGTGAAGAAGGTGCCTTGCTTCTCCCTTGCCTTCTGCAATGATTGTAAGTTTCCTGAGGCTTCCTCAGCCATGCTGAACTGTGAGTCAATTAAAACTTTTTCCTTTATAAATTACCCAGTCTCAGCCAACTCTTTATAGTAGTGTAAGAATGAACTAATATATTGAGTGAAAAACATAATGAGACAAAAAGAACTCACGTTGTATGACTCCATTTATATGAAGTTCAAGAACAGGTGAAATTAATCTATGGCGATAGAAGGCAGAGAGTGGCTATCTCTGGGTGAGTGTATACAGGGGGGGCTTTAGAGAGCCTTATGAGATATTAGAAGTGATCTACATCCTTATTTGGGTGATAATTATGGGGGTTGCATATATACATAAAAATCATGAAACGGTACACTTAAGATTCCCAGCTTGTACACTTTATTGTATGAATGTTACATTTTAGCTTAATTACAGACACACACACACACATACACACAAACATGCACATGATGAGGGACCCAGATAGGTAAAGAGTAGGTTATTTTAAAAACAACTAGTTTAGTGGTTCTCAAATCTATCTGTGAATAAGAAGTCACCTGGAGAGCTTGTTAAGAATACAGATTTTGTCTGGGCGTGGTAGCTTGCGCCTGTAATTCCAGCACTTTGGGAGATGGAGGCAGGCAGATCACTTGAGGTCAGAAGTTCCAGAACAGCCTGACCCACATGGCAAAAACCCCATCTCTACTAAAAATTAGCTGGGTGTCGTGGAAGGTGCCTATAATCCCACCTACTCAGGAGGCTGAGGCAGGAGAATCACTTGCTCCTGGGAGGTGGAGGTTGCAGTGAGCCAAGATCATGTCACTGCACTCCAGCCTGGGTGACAGAGCCAGATTCCATCTCAAAAAAAAAAAAAAAAAAAAGAAGAAGAAGAAGAAGAAAAAATACACAATTTTAGGCTGCTTCCTTGACAGATTTGGCCTCTGAGAGTAGGACCCAGGGATGAGTACTTTAATTTTTTTTTAATATGCACTCCGAAGTGATTACTATATGATCAGTCTGTAATTGTCCACATGTGGCATTGAGGAAGCAGAGTTAGTTTACATAGGGCCTATGATATGTGTTCAGAGATCCTTTCCATTGATCATGTCATTTGAATCTTAATCTTATAGGGCAAGTAAAAGTAATATCATTTCTCTTTTACAGATGAGGGATTAAAGTTCAGTGAAATTCAGATACTTACCTTTAGCTCACTGAGAGTAGAGTCAGGTCTCCTAGTCCACATTTCATTTTGCTCTACCATTGTGAATGACAAGCCTTGCCTCTCCTTGAAGACTTTCTTAAATGGGCAGTTAAACGCCTCCTGTGATACCCTAGATCAGTTCAAACCCTCTGGCTACCTATGGTGACAAATCTGCTTTTTAAAAATATATATATTTTTTAATGAATGAGACCAATATGTTTACAAAATACAATAAAAGCCAAAAGCTAGAAAAATAAAATCCAAAGGCGTATAAAATACAACCTTTCATTTTTTTATTTGTGTAAATAGACTTAAAATACCATTTCAAAAAATAAGTAAGTGTAACATAGAACGATTGCTCATAAACATTTTTAAATGTTTGTACTCAGGTTTTATACTCTTCTCATCTCAAGCTGGTAACAAATAGTTTGCTAATCAACACTGGCCTGATTAGCAGTCAGACCAGTGGCCAGACCAGTGCTGATTAGCAAACTATTTGTTACCAGTCTGAGATGAGACTGGTAACACTTTCAGCAGCTGTCCTTCGCTTCATTATTGGGGGGAATTCAGCCCTTTTTTAGGAAACCTCTTTTCCCATGACTTCCAGCCAACAGGATCTGGTTCTATTTTCTGGAGCAATTAGTCGCAAGCTAACTGTCTTACATTATAACACCCCTGCCACTTGAGGACAGTTGTCTGCCGGAGATCCAACCAAACCTTCCCAGTTTCTTCTATTGACTTTCCTAAAATGGAATTCTTTTGTACTCCTTATCCTGGGCCTTCTCATCTAAACAGTCATTTATATTCCCCTAAACCAGCATCCAGGAGTGGAACACAGAACTCTAAATATGAAAGTGCATATTCTTTGCAAGACTTCTCACCTCCTCCTCCTTCTAATTTTCACAATTTATAGGCCATTCTTGGCTTTGGGTCTATAAGGACAAATTTCACTATGTTCTTTATCCCTTGTAGGGATAAAGTCTACAATCTGGCAGTTACCTAGGAGCTAAAACATCCGAGTAGCAGAGTTCCATAAGCCATTGAGTTGACAGAAAATTGCAACAAGGAAGGAGTAGCCAGTGGAATACGGCAATGGCCTGAGAGTCTAAGTTGAGGGGCAATCTTAAAGTGGCTGACAACATTCCCTTCATTTCTTGTTCTAGTGGAAAGCTTAGCACTTAGCTTCCTTTGTAGATCAACTGGTGGTTGTTTTTCTTCTCACACTGTCAGTGCCGGCTACTCTGAAGATGGGGTAGGTGTCCTACTCACTCCTTAGTGCGATCTCTGAATCATCTCCCAAATTCCTCTCTAAACACTGCCCCCTACAACTTAGAATCCCAGGCCATTGCCATATTCCACCTGCTACTCCCCCCTTGTTGCAATTATCTGTCAACTCAATGGCTTGTGGACTCTGTTACTTGGACGTTTTAGCTCCTAGATATCTGTCAGACTCTATTTCTAATGTCTTGGTGGCTCAGTTTCTTACTTCTCTTGGCATACTCTTGCCCTGCACCCTACTTCACACACACTGGGTCTTCATACCTGAGACACTGCCATTGCCAATAACTGTACCCCCTCCATTCTCTCAGTGTCAAACATCTCACACTAGCACTGCCACTTCCACACCTTCCTTCTCACTCCCTCTGATACATCACCTGCGTAGTTCTTAAATCCCACTGAGAACTCCAAATAACTGATGCTATCACCTCTTCTTAGTCCCTCAAAACCATACAGAATCCTTATCCATCTTAAATTCTGTGGCCAGCCATTATAATCACATTTTTGCCAACAAACACAAGTACTTGTGAAACTAAGCCATAGTCTTTGCTAAATCCAACTTTCTGTCTGCCCTATACTTGGTCACCTAGAGCTGAAAGTGGCTGAAAAAAAAACATACAACCATGATTGTTTGTCTCACATTCACTTCCTATCATCAACCTCAAGTGGCTCTTACCGCTATATGGTACTTAAATTTTCCCCGATCTATTTATTTATTCTCAAATCTCCTAGGAAACTATTTCATACCTTTTAATCTCTGCTCTACTCCTCCACACCTCCCTCCTCATCCTCAATCTCAGATGATGGCTCTGCTTTCTATTTCATAAAGAATATGGAAACATGCATAAGAGTATTCCTGCAGTTTCCCACTGCCACTTGTCCCTGCTTAGTTCCATCCATGCCCTATATTTGGTTTCTCTCCTATTAGGATCTCAGCATTGCCCATACTCCTAGCTAAGGGCAGTCCCTCCATTTGTCCACTAGATTTCATCCCTTCCTCACTTTCTAAAGATATCAGTCTAGAAATTCTGTCACTCTCATCATTTTTTTTTTTAAACTGGAATTTTCCCAACAACATGTAAGCACTTTTCCATTCCTAACACTATCTAGCCATTACCTTATTTCTTACCTTCCCTGTATAGCTTATCTCCTTGAAAGAGTTGCTAGTGCAGGCTTCTATTTGCCTCTTTCATTCTCTCTTGAGCCCACTCTGATCAATTTTGTCCCCATGACACCACTAAAACTGCTTCAACCAAGGCCATGAATGATTTCCATATTTACAGATCTCATTGTAAATTTATTCTGATTTCTTGTTTTACTTACTCTTTCAGCAGTAGATGACCAGCTTCTCTCTTACTTGAAATGTCTTCTCCATTTGGCTTTCTGAGTACCATAGAGATTATCTAATAGGTATTTAAAATAAATCTGTTAAAAACTGAGTTATTATTATTTGACTGAAAACATTCTCATTTGCAATCTTCTTCATCTCTAGCAAATGCTCAGGCTAAAACTCTTGGTATTACTCTTGACTGCCCTGAAAAACTTCCATCAGATAAACCTCTTCCATCAGATCAACCATATCTGATGAATAAGGAAATTCTGTTGGTGTCCATTCAAAGTATATCCAGGATTTGAGGACATCACATCTTCACTGTTAGCATTTTGGTTCAAGCCATCATCATCTCTTACCTGGGTGATTGACAATGTCTTCCAACCAGTCTCCCTGGACCCCTTTCATACAGTGGCTACTCTTGCTGATTTGGTTAAATTTCCAGTCAGATCACGTCATTCCTCTGCTGAAGCTGATGTCTCCCTTCTTTACTCAGAATGAGATCCAATGCTCCAATCGTGACTCACAAGGCCCCAGACAATCCATCTTTGATAGCCTCTCTGACTGCATCATCTTCTGTTCCCAGTCCTGTTTTTGCTCCAGTCACACTGGGCTCCTCACTTCCAGGCATTGCCGACTCAAGGCCTTTGCCTCAGATGTTCCTTCTCCCTAGAACTTTCATTCTGAGATCAGCATGGCTTGCTCACGTCCATCCTTCATATCTTTTCTCAAATAGCCTCTCTCAATGAGGACTTCCTTACTCAACTTATCTAAAATTGTAACCCTTCTATTCCCAACATATATTCCTATTTTTGCTTTCCTTTTCTTCTTACCACTTTTTCCTATAGAATTTTTTTTTCATTCCTTATTTGTCCTTTCTACTAGTTTTGGGTTTTATGAAGGCAGGATTTGGTGTGTGTTTTGTTTACTACTATATTCCTAGCACCTAGGACGCTGCCTAGCACACGGTAGGAACTCAATAAACACTTATCGTGTGAATCAATGGTTAAGTGAATGCAGGGGATGTTGGACTTTTACTTCTTAAGATACGAACATTTTATTCCATAAATACAAACTAAATGTGGATCAGCTTCTCTTATATTTAAGCAATCACATCCTACTCTTGATATATACCACGCTTATGATCAACTACAATTCCCAGCTCTTTTTCATGTGAACTTCTGCCAAGCCAGGAGTTCCCTATTATGTATTCATAGAATTATTTTTAAATTCCCACACATGGCCCTTTATAAACTTCATCTTGTTAAACTCAACAGCCCAAGTCTGCCAAGAGATAATTCTGGATCTTGATTTTGCTATATCTTACATTAACATTATCTTCTAGCTTTGACAAACTGTTTTGTTTGACTTTATTTTTGTTTATTATAATGATAATCAGATAGGACAAATAAAAAAATTTGTGGGCCATCAGAAGAGAAGTTGGGACAGACTGCATCTTTCAAAAACAGCTGCACCAATGAATGCTCTTTTATACTGTGGTGGTACTATCCCTTATTGCGATATTGGGTCTCATTTCCCTTCCCTTTAAACTGAAGACTCTTAAAACTGCCTCAATCAATAAAGTAGGGTAGAAGCAACTCTTTGTGACTTCTGAAAGTTAAATTAGCGGTGACATTACTTCTTCCTGTTTTTTTCTTTCTTGGGACATGCACCTTGGACCCTGAGCTGAAATGAAAGAAGTCTGGTTACACTAAGGCCACCATGCTGGAGAAATCACCTGGACAGACCACATAGAGATAGAAATTAAAGCCTGAGGTGCCTCAGATGTTCCAGCCCCTAGTTGTTTACATTTCTGAAGCCCTGGCACCAGACATGTAAGTGATGAAGGCATCAAGATGACTCTAACACTGCAACTTCATGAGGGACCCTGAGCCAGAACCACCTCACCGAGTTGATCCTGAATTCTTGACCCACAGAAACCATGAGAGATAAAAGAACAATGATTGTAGTTTTAAGCCACTCATTTTTTAGATGATCTGCTACAGAGCAATGGGTGACTATCACCTATTGTAGTAGAATGAGCTTCCTGGTGATCAGGAAGTTAAAAAGAATGGGTAAGACTTTACACACTGTCTTTTATAGATTCTCATGCCCACAATATCTGATCCAATGTTTCATAGTTTGATACATCTGATTATCAGCTCCTCCTCCTGTGGGAGAAGTAAGTAACAGGGTGCAGGTACACAGTTGAAATACTGTTGTGGAGAGTGGTGGACTCTACTGAATTAGGTCTTGGGGGCTATATATCAGAAACACTCAAGGTGTGGGAGAACACTAATATTCTCTGAGGGGAAACACAATCAATTTTCTTTAAGCATATGCTGAGTAGCAAGTTTCCAAAACACAGACTCTTTGGGGTAAACAAGAACAATGGTTTCAGTGAATTGAGATAGAATGAAGATGACTAGAAAGCAAGCTTTGGGAGATTGGTACAAGAATGGTGATAGGCTTTGATTCACGATTTTGCTTTGACCGGCCCCATTTGTCATTTATTTGAAGAAAATTTGAAGAAACAATTGTTTTGCATGGTGTTGAAATCTCTGTTGATACAAGCTCCTTTTCTGCATTCACCAAGTTCTCTGTGCTCACCACCTTTGGGTTTGATTTGCCAATGGGAGGACACTTTTAAGCTCTAAGGCAGAATGTTACCTTTCCATATATTTGCTCCAAATTTACATTCTCACATTTGAGTGAAAAATAAAAAGAAAAAACTCTAATTATTTCATTTACTCCAGTAATGTCTAATATATTGCAGTCTTTGGAGTGCCAACATTTTATATGGGATTTCAATTGATTCTTCTCACCTTGTCTTTTGATTTTAGGCAACCTGGGTTCATTTAAAGGCACAAACCCTATCTCAAGTTTTTCATTTAAGATACTGGCTTTAACTCTGTTCCTTCGCTCCTATCATTGTCATAATACCATTGTTTTTATATTAATAGCTTTACCAACTTGAACTGTAGATAGATATTCTAAGGTTTTGCTCTTCAAGAACAGATATAATAATTTATTAATATCTTCTTTCCCCAACACCTCTCTTTATGATTTCCTAAACTGATTTTAATCATAATGTCTGAAATTTTCCCTTTTGGACATTTATTTCAGGAGTATACAGAACAAAGAAAATTAGCCACAATTGGGTTTAAATGAACTTAATCAGATGATTTTTTAATGAGCAATGAGGGGTTGTCTCCCTCTTATTTCTCTTTTTCCCATAGAGTCGGACCATGCAAAAAATGCACACAGAATCTGTAGCCAAAAGAGAAGCAAATCACAAGGTTGTTAATTTCTGGAACTTAAGTTTTGGATAATTTAATCCCATATTTAAGTAATATCTGAGCTGCTTTTAGTTCTGGGGCCAATGGGTGTTGTCACCCATCTCTTACTCAGAATCTAAATGATATAATTTGGCATTTTTACTTCTTTCTGCAATGAAGTGATTCTGATACCTCCTCTCCAGTAGGTCACGTGGACAAGGATGGTCCTTCTCTCTGGAAAGCAGGCCTAGGGCCCCTGCAGATATGCTCACAGCACGGTGTCAAGTAGAATGAGCTTCCTGGTGATCAGGAAGTAAAAGAGAATGGGTGAGACTTTACACACTGCCTTTTATAAATTCTCATGCCCACAATATCTGATCAAATGTTTCATACTTTGATACATCTGATTGTCAACTCCTTCTGTGGAAGAAATAAGTAACAGAGCGGAAAGAGACCAGAAAGTCCTTTGTGGGCATTCCTTTTGAGTGGGAAGAAGGGGAAGAAATTACCTTGGGGTGGGCCAGTAAGGCTAAACGAGAACTGGAGTCTGTCATCCTTCACTTGCACCATCTTCCTAGACTCTATTTCCTCTTATCCAATTATGTTTAACAGCTGGGTCAATAGTTGAATTCGATTGTGGCTGATATTTCAGGACAAGTATATCAAGCCTAGTGGTTTAAAATAATAACCATTCATTGTCTCTTGTGAATCTCAAGGTCAGTGTGGTGGTTCTGGTGATCTTGGCTGGGATCATTCATGCATCTGCAGTCAACTGCTGGGTCAGCTAGAGCCCAGCTGGTCAGGATGACCTCAAATGGGATGACGCTACTTTCTTCCCTATATGTCTCAGCTGTCTCCATCAGATAGCATGGGCATGTCTTCATGGTTACTGCCAGGGCAAGAAAGTCTCTGCATGCATCCCATTTCTTCTTGTTTCATTGGCCAAAGCAAGTCACACAACTAAGCCCAGATTCAAACTGGGAAGAGAATACACAGTTATAGAACAGGGAGAATTCAGGGATCCTATTAGTTGGGACTACGAATGCAATCAAGAGAAGCAATGTATCAGGAGAGTCATGGTATTAACTTCTTGATTCTGATGTCACCCCCAAAGAAGTTTCTGTAATAATGAAAATGTTCTGTACCTATGTTGTTCAATATGGTAGCCACTAGCTACCTGTGACAACTTAAATTTAACTTTAATTTAAATAAAAGTGAGAAAATGAGTTTCTTAGTCACAATAGCTGCATTTTAAGCCTTAATAGCTAGCAGTATACTAATAACTTTTTCTAATATTTTACCTTAAATCAGTGAGGTGAAAAATTATTCACCTACAAGTCTCTATAGTAGGTTAAAATGGGACATTAATTTGCTATATTTTAGGCATTTTTGTGTCCTATTGGGAAGTGATTTAAATTGATTAGGTCATGCTCAGCCAGTTTATTCTTCTGGGGAACCTTTAGCAGCTTACTGTAATGGAGAAGGTGATATATCTGCTCTCCACAGACCTGCTAAAACATTACAGTGAAGCCAAGTTTCAGACATTGCTCTGTCTCACCTGTAGACATTTATTGGCAAACAGGCTTGAGTCTGTTTGAGACATACCCTGCTCTGCAGGATCAATCAAGACACTGTCTCTACTTTTAGGCATGTTTTTCAGCTTCACTGAATTGTAATTCTATATATTCAAGGCATACAATGTGATGTTTTGATATACATATATATTTTGAAATTATTGTACCAATCAAACTAAATTAACATAGCCATCACCTCACATAATTACCTTTTGGTATGAATATGTGCTGAGAATGCTTAAGATCTACTCTCTTAGCAAATATCAAGTATATTATATATTAACTATAGTCACTGTGCTTTATATTATGTCTCCAGGACTTACGTATCATGCAACTGACCAATGTCTGTCTATTTTCCCCATCCCTAGACCCTGGTAACCATCTTTTTAGTCTTTGTTTCTGTGAGTTCAACTTCTTTAGATTACTCATGTAAGTGAGGACATGCTATGCTTGCCTTTTTGTCCCTGGCTTATTTTACTTAGCAAAATGTCTTTCAGGTTTCAGGTTCATCTATGTTGTTACAAACAATAGAATTTCCTTTTAGTTTTTTGAGAGAGCGACAAAGGTCTCACTATATTGCCCAGGCTGGTCTGGAATCAAGCTATCCTCCTACTTTATCCTCACAAGTAGCTGAGACTACAGGCATGGCACTGTATCTGGCTTTTTATTTTATGACAAAATTTATGTTTTCCAAAAGTCTGTTATATTTCTATTTTGTTTAAAGTTTTTCTAGCAATTTTTAGTTTTAAAACATAAATGCTAGAACATGCAGCAAATGTAATTTTTGTTAATAAGAAATTGTAATCTTTTGTGGATGGTAATGCATGATCAATTTTTGTAAAGATGTTAAGAAAAATTAGGAAAAAGATATATTTTTTGTTTACAGATTATATATTTCCCTACAAATTCCAGCTTTTATTTTATATTAT
The DNA here is from genome assembly GCF_000001405.40 of Homo sapiens. Lineage (NCBI taxonomy): Eukaryota > Metazoa > Chordata > Mammalia > Primates > Hominidae > Homo > Homo sapiens. Next base: position 12,236,163 of record NC_000020.11, read on the forward strand.
TTAAACTATGCATTTATTTATCTTTGTGTTCCTCATCTATCAAAGGCTGAAAACTAATGAAGGCTTCTTCATTGGTTGCAATTTTGTCCATTTCATCTTTAAAGTTTTTAATTTATGCATTTGGCAAGCTGTGATTTTATGCATGCCATTTTATGACTGCTAAATTTACATTGTGAGTGTATATTTTAACAATAAAACATGACATTTTAATTTGAATCATCCTTCACTCGGAAAGAATGTAAACTTTTGGTAATGTACTATTAATATTATTCAGAAAGGGTACAGGATTGATATAATTTCTTAAGACTTGCATACTTAAGACCTTATTTTTCTTCTGTCCAAAGAATGCCGATTTGACTGTGTAGGAAATTACTGGATTACAATCCTTTTTTGTTTTTTTCTTGACTCTGCTTCATTATCTCCTGACATTTCTTTCCTTTTTTTTTTTTTTTGAAGTAATTTGTGTTTTCTTACCATGTCACTGTTGGATTTTGTTTTCTGTGTTTTGCTAATTCAAAAATGCATCCAGTAGTTGTCAAGTTGTAATGTTTTTTCTTATTGTTTTTGTTTGGTTGTCTGTTGGAATGTGTGAGCTTTTTTAACCAGCATACTTGAGTACTTTCTTGAACTCTTTTCTCTTTTTCAAAACTTAGATCATTATTGTCTTTGGTTCTGATTTTCCTTGTTTTGTCTCATCAGGTATGCCTATAAGTCTTAAGCTAAATTTTTATCCCCTAACTCTTTGTATTTAATTTTATACCATATTGTTTTTGTCTCTTTATCTTTTTCCTTTCAGTTCTGAGAAAAATATCTCAATTCTGACCTTCACAGTCTCTGCCCCATCATGAACTAGATTTTCAGCAATGCTGCATCTGTTTTATCTTAGCTCTAGTGAGGACTTTAATTGGATTTTACAACGTCAGTGTCCTTAAAACCCTTCCCTATCTCCTCAGTCACCTTCATCTCAGCTCACTGTTTTGTACCTTACCCTGAGGTTATATAATCATCTTCGTTATTTTTTCTTATACCTTTCTGTTTCTATTTTATATAGATGAAGACGTGTCTTCTGTATTAATAGGACTCAGACTTTCAATCAACGGTGTTTGCTGAACATCTATTTTGTGCTCAGGGACACCTTTATTAGGCACAGACATTATACAAAATAATCACCCAAACAATTGTATACTGAAAAAATCATAGGGTGCCCTGAGAGGATGTAACAGGAGGCCCACTTTAATCTGGGGGGTGAGGAAGGGACTCCTTGAGCAGCTACCATTTGAACTAAAACCTGAATAAAGAGCAGAGGGAGCCAGTTACGGAGAGGTGGGGGAGAGGCTGGATGCTCAGCAAAGCATGCAGCATGGCCCAGGAAGCCAAAAATGCTGCCTCCTTCCATGTACTCATTGCCAAGATTTCATGAAATCATCTTTCCCTTAATCTGTACAGTTTTTTAAATTTTATTATTATTTTTTGTTTTTTAAGGGGATCCTGTATTGCTGTTTTCTTCTTAGGTTGAGAGGAGTTTTTCTCTGGACCCTAATCAGGGCACAGGCCCTGTGGATAAGCCAGAGCTCATCTGCCAACTTTGGTGACAGTGGAAATCCTCTCTCATGTCAAAGCTGAACTGAGTTAGTGCCAATGTGTGTAGTTTCCAGTGCATCATGCTATCGAAGCGTGTTCATCTAGTATGACATTGCTGGACTAGGCGATGTCTTCTGCTATGCAAATTGCCTGATGTGCCTCTCTTACTAAAGAACACCCAGGCACGGAAGGGCTGCCAGCTTTCCTCGTAGGGAGGGGAAGTTTAGATACCAAATTCTGAGTCAGTGTCAAATTGGTGGAAGGCATTTTTGTCTTCATGTTTCCCAGCCAATAGAGCTGCTTTGTCTCATGAACAAGGACTTCATAGAGAGAGGACATTCCTTCCAAATTCTGAAACTAGATTACTCAGCACTCCTTGTTTTTGGGTGATGTGATCAGCTTGTTTTATTTTAGTTGTTTTATCGTCTGTTCATTTACATATGTTTTAGTGGTATGTAAGAAGTTGTAACAAGATGCTATTTTAAACTAGAAGTCTTATAACTGAGAACATGTGGTATTTGGCTTTCTGTTCCTACATTAGTTTGCTAAGACTAATCGCCTCCAGCTCCACTCATGTCCCTGCAAAGTACATGATATCATTCTTTTTTTATGGCTGCAAAGTATGTTGTATATGTACCACATTTTCTTTATCCAGTCTATCACTGATGGACATTTAGGTTGACTCCATGTCTTTGCTCTTGTGAACAGTGCTGCAATGAACATAGACATGCACGTGTCTTTATAATAGAACAATTCGTACCCCTTTGGGTATACAACCAAAGTAATGGGATTGCTGGTCAGCTAAATGATAAGACCACATGGACACATAGAGGGGAACAACACAAACTGGAACCTATCAGAGGGCGGAAGGTGGGAGGAGAGAGAAGATCAGAAAAAATGACTATTGGGTACTAGGTTTAATACCTGTGTGATGAAATAATCTGTACAACAAACCCCCATGACACACATTTACCTATGTAACAAACCTGCACATGTACCCATGAACTTAAAATAAAAGTTAAACAAGTAAAATAGAAGTCTTTTATGTGTTTTTGCTCTGTGAAAGTTCCTGGAACTAGTTGATTTTAAAACCAGTCTTTTGGCAAGTGAAAATTTCTTTTAACAGCAGAAAGGAAAAGCATGCATGAAGGTCAGGTCAGTATTCTTTATTAACCAGTTCTTTTATTGTCTAGTATGAACTTGCGGGGATTTGGGTAATGTAGAAAGATGGCGAAGAGAGAGCATTGATCTGTGTATGAGGATTCCCAGCTCTGACATTAAATGTGACCTCCCTGGAGTCACGTTCCCTCTTTGCCAATGGAAGAACTCAGACAAGTCCATCTTTTTCAAGTTGTTCTGTAATATCCTAAGTCCTTGCCACTCCAAGTGTACTCCTGCACCAGCGGCATCATATCACTTGAGAGCTAGTGAGAAATCCAGATTTCAGGCCCCACTTTAGAGCTATTGAATCTGAACCCGAGTTTTTAACAAGACTCAGTGATTCCTATACTTGTTAAGGTTTGAGGAGCGCTGATTCTGCATGAGTCTATGATGCTAGAGGGCCCCTCATGGGAAAGCCAGGGGATGTGGCAGAGGGAAAAAGCAGGGTGTTGGAAGAGGATCTTTCTTCACTGTACTCTCTCCAAACTGCTTCAAACAGGGAAACCTCTTTTTTGCCTTTCTTTTCTTTTTAATAGATTAGCAGTGCTCATATATTTCCTTTCGGGAAAGACAGGTCCTTCTGCAAATAAGAAAATTCTTTGGCTAGGGTATCATCAACATTATTTCAGCCCAAAAGCTTCACAAATACACTTTCAAAGGCAAGAGGAAGGAAGGCAAATTGATTATAGCTTCAGAGGAAAATAATTAATACAATACTAAGCATACAGACTTGTTTTCTTGGAGCTCGTGTGGGATTAGACTGTTGCAGGGCTGTTGGAAATTCAGGAAAGGTTACCTTGATTTCTGCAGGAGGGAAGAAACTGGTCCTATACTACCACCAAGGCCCAGGAGAAACCCCATACCTGGATGCTCACAGAGCTCAGAGTAGGGGCAAGACAGCTCTCCCAATATTTCTAGCCTCCGAGCAAATTTTAAGGAATGTCAGATTTTTGGCATAAAGCATAGAATGGTCAAATGGCATATTATTTCTGCAATGGCAAGATTTATTTATATTCATTTGACAAGATGCATTATTAATTTCTGTTTGGCCAAAAAATGTTCATATGTCCACCTTCTATAATCTTCCCTTTCTCCCAGCTATCACCACAATAATTCTGCACAATTACCTCCAACATAATGTCTTAAAGCATGAAGTATTTTGTTTTGTTCTGTTTTTCTCGCAAATCTGCAGGTTGACTGAGAGACTGGCTGGCCTGGGCCAGGCTTGGCTGATCAGGGCTGGGCTTGCATCTGAGTCTGAAATGTGCTGGCAGAATGACTGGAGCTGGCTGGTTTGCCATAGGCTCCACTGAGATAACTCAGGTCTCCTCCCCGAATCATCCACATCTCTCTACTATGCTAACCTGTAGCTGTTATCACAAGAAATTGCAGAAAAGCAAGAGAGAAAGCAGAAATGCAAAGATGCAAAGATGCTTTTTAAGCCTTTACTTTCCTCCCATTTGCTAACTTCCCATTGACTTGAAGAAGTCCCATGGGCACCTCCAGGGTAGAAAGCCTCAGGGTAAAGGGTGTGAATACATGGAGGGCATTCATTAAACAAACTTGATTGGATTTAAATCAATTAAATTGAATATCAAGCTGACACATATGATCTTAAAACAGGAATTGGCAGGAAACCAGCTTAAGAAATGCTAAAAAGTTGAGTGACTTAGGAATAAAGTCTAAGTTCATGCCCTTTGCAGGGACATGGATGAAGCTGGAAACCATCATTCTCAGCAAACTAACACAGGAACAGAAAACCAAACGCCATGTGTTCTCAGTCATAAGTGAGAGTTGAACAATGAGACCACATGGACACAGGGACGGGAACATCACACACCAGGGCCTATCGGGGGTGGGGGGTAAGGGGAGAGATAGCATGAGGAGAAATATCTAATGTAGATGATGGGTTGATGGGTGCAGCAAATCACCATGGCAGTTGTATACCTATGTAACAAACCTGCACATTCTGCACATGTATCCCAGAACTTAAAGTATGATCATAAATAAATAAATTCTCAGAACATGGCTACCTCAGACAGATGGGGTTTGTTGCATTACAATAAGAAATAGGCACAGGTACAAAGTGAAGAGATTGACGACTTTTCAATCAGCCAGTTAGATTAAAATAACATGAGGAAAGGCCTATGGCAAGTATTCTATTTTTTCCTGTTTCTGGTTTGGGAGATACCATGCCCTGTCTTGCGTATTAACTCTCTAAACAAAGGCATGGTGTACTGCTGCCCAATTGATTTATGACTAATTCAACTTTACACGGTACTAATGTGATATTTACATGTGACCAATCATCTCTGCCAAGTACTTCTTCCATGGTCGACTTAGGCCCTCCTGTCAGGCACTGCCTTTAAAGTGCTTTTATGTAAGCATTTAATAAAGCCATGTGGCTGGCAATTACTGCAAGAAATGTTTATCTCCTGAATCTTAGATAGTCAGAAATAAGCTATGTGACTGACATACTCCTTTATCTCAGAACAAGCTTTGCTGGAGATGTCCAAACCTGGGAGGAAAACTCAGACTGAAATCTGTGAACTATCCTAAGTATATCAGGAATAACCCAGACTAATTTGAGTCTTGTTTTCCCTCCTACTGGGGACAGGAGCATGTGGGGTGGGAAGGTTAATGTAGTGCAGCCTTATCGCCTTTGGGCAATTCTGCCAACTTGGAATAGTTTTGTGTCTCTTCTCTGAAAAGGAAATGTGCTTTGCCATAGTGATAAGGAGGATAGTAAAGAGGTCAATCCAGGGAGATGAGGATGCCTACCAATGCTCCCTGTTCTACCCGGGATTATTATGAATCTAGGAAGTGAGAGGCTACAGTTAATTTTAGTTCTGAGTAATTCAGTCTCTAAGGGCTTTCTTTGAGAAATACAAATAACTCAACAGAACCTTGACAAAAAGGCCACATTCTATGCACCCAGGGCGAGGGCCCACATTTGATTTTTACACAGGAGTCAACTCAGACCTAATTCAACAAAGACAAAAATAAGATTTCTATACTTTTCAAGAATCTGTTATGCTCATCTTCCATGCCTTTGCTAAATAGAATAATTTTGCTCTATGGCTCAGGAAAAAAAGAGCAGGAATTGGTAATAACTTCCTTCTAATCATTATATCATTTTTTTTATGGCAAAGGAGAAATTTTCAAGGCCTTGAATACTAATAAGGTGCCATACTGCTGACAGGAACCATGTATAGTGAGAGGAGTTCATACCTAACTTCTGGGCAAACTTTCCTAAAAAAGCCACACTCTTCCATATGCATGAGAAAAGAGGAGGAGGAAACTCTTAGATACAACCTGAATATTGGTCCCTGTCTCCTGCTTTCATAACTCTTCTCTCTCCTTTCATGGACCTCTTTTCTATTTTCTCTCAGTAGCTCAGAATACCATCTACCTTCCTATTTAAAACCTATCTTGCTCACCTCTTATCTTCCAACTCTATACTTAAGTCAAGAAGATTTTTAGGATATTCTGGAGGTGCAAACCTTAGGCCTCCAAAAGAGCAAAATAATCTAAATAAGTGAATGAGTGGATGCATGGGTGAATCAATAAATGGATGAATAAATGAATAAATAAAATATGTTCCACTCTCTCTTCAGCCAATCCCAACAAAACAGAAATAATACAATAAACTTTCATTCACCTTCAGTACGACGGAGTTCCCAGGTCAATTAAGGTTGAGACTTCTCCCAGAATTATGGGAACCACAATCATGTCATTAAATAGGTGCATTTTCAGATTATTGGCATCTCAGGAAAGCTCAGAACTCCCTTTTCTCCATAGTTCCTCTGCCCCCACCACTTATACTGCCAGACTGTGGGGAGAGAAGTCATTCCAGAGCAATGCTATCCAATAGAAAATTACTGTGAGCTACACATATAATTTTACATCTTCTGGTAGTCATTTTTAAAGAAAAGTAGACAGTGTTTTATGTGTTGAGTCCCAGCAAAAAGTTATGTTGGAGTTCCAATCCCTGATACCTCAGAACGTGATCTTATTTGGAAATGGGGTCTTTACAGAAGTTAGGAAATTAAACTGAGGACATTAGTGTGGGCCTTAATCCAATATGACTGATGTTCTTATAAAAAGGGAAAATTTGGACACAGAAACCAAAATGCATAGAGGGCAGGTAAGGGGAATAGACACAGAGAGAAGACAGCCTTCTGCAAGCCAAGGAGAGAAGCCTGGACAGATGTTTCCCTCACAGCCCTCCAAAGGAACCCACCCTGTTGACACCTCGATTTTAGACTTCTAGCCTCCAGAATAGTCAGACAATAAATAATCAGTTGTTTAAGCCGTCTAGTTTCTGGTACTTGGTTAATGGTAACTCTAACAAACTCACAGCACAAAACCTAACACAGTGAAAAGATATTGTAATAATATGTTTTATTTAACCTATTTGATAATATTTAATATATCAAAATTATTATTATTCCACATGAAATCAACATAAAAATAGTTTACATTCTTCCAAATCCAGTGTGGGTTTGACTTTTACAGCACATCTCAATGTGGACTCACCGCATCTCAAGTGCTCAGTAACCATGTGCGGCTTGTTCCCCATCGGACAGCACAAGTCTAAGATGAGCTGAGTCATGCGGGAAGGGCCCTGCTCCCCACTTCCCCAAGAAGAATAAGTGCACATCCACTGCCCCAGGGAACTGTACAGTTGGGAGCATCTGGGGACTTTAACTTCATGTCAGAGGATACTACATTTTTTAAAAAAGCATTCCATGTTTTTCCATTCATATGGCTTCTGTTTTTAAAGGTTCATGTATTTCGAAACCTGACAATAGGGTGCATTTCCTGCTTGGGCAAATGGACCGATTCAGTGTTATTACTTTCATTATACAAATGCAAACTTTACAAGCAATTTACCATAGAAACTGAGAAAAAAACCCACCTTCTTCCAACTAAAAATATAACAGTCTCTATATAAATATGCACAACCATATGATGAACAATTTCTGGGGCAGAGAGCTCCATTTTATTTCCCTTAAAGAAGTCAGTGTGGTGGATCTTGAGTGCTATGTGCAGGCACGGATTCCTCATCCACATGCCCACCACAGGCGGGCGGGCAGTGCCTTCATCCTTGGGTTGGCCCTTCAACTCTGACTCTTCTATCTGTTGCATGGCACCAGAAGAAAAGAGCAGAGGGAGAAGACATTTCTCATATTGGTCAACTTTCTTTTTATAGCTTAAAAAATAAACATTCACAAATAAATATGGTTTATCTTGCCAAATACCTTTTCCAAGAAAAATAAGCACTGCCTGGAAAAGCTGGCACAAACTACTAATAAATGGGAGAGTTATCCAGGTAGATTCTAGTAGGGGAGAGAAAACGGAGTCCTGTAAAATTATGAGGAAAATGGGAGCATGAAAAGTATGAGACTGTGTTGAGAAAGGCACTGAGGCTGGCATTAGTCTGGGCCCGGGAGGGCCCTCCTCTATTTGTCTGCTTTTCATCTTTTTCCTTATGACTCTGTCCTCTCTTTGGTGTGACATCACCCATTACCACGGCTTCACTTGCCATATGTATTTCACTGATGGTCTCTAAGCCACTCACCGGCCCGGACCAAACTCTGACCCTCCAGAACCTTCTTTTTGCCTACTGTCCATCCTCATTCCCGGTTTCTCCAGCAGACCAAACTCCAGGTAGCAACAGCCTCAGCTTTTCCTCCTGAGCTTCTCCTCTTCTTGGCTTTCCTCCTGGCATAATGCACACCATTTATCACCTGAACGCTAAGGATCACACGTGACTCCTTTCTCCTCCTCATTCTCCACCTCCAGTCAGCCCCTGAGCCTCATGCCTGTTGCTGCTTAAAAACCACTTGAATCTCTGCTTCTCTTCGATCACTGGCACTGCACTGCCCACCTCAGGCCAAGCCACTGTCATTTCCCACCTGGACCATGAGGCAGCTTCCTCATGGGAAGCTACTTTCCATGATTCTGTTCCTTCCAGTTTGTCCTCCAAGCTTTAGATGGAGGGATTTCCAAAACAGGCAGATGTGATTAAGTGCTTGCTGGTTTTCATGCTTCTGTGGTTCCTCATTTCCCTGAGATTAAAGTCTCCATGTTCCTGCATGTTCCAGCAGCTGCCCCATCACTTTCCTCTCTCTGTTGGGTTCTACAGTGAATCTGAAGGTGAGGTGCCAATTGAGCAGCCTGACTCTCCTGGGAAGTTGTTAGAAAGGCAAATGCCAGGGTCCTCCATGACTTAGTTAATCTGAACCTTTGGGGCAGTGGTCAACATCTGTGTTTTTTAACAAGGCCTCCAGGGGATTCTGGTACATGGTCAAGTTTAAGAACTCTGGCCAACATGGTGAAACCCCATTTCTACAAAAATACAAAACAAAACAAAACACACAAACAAACAAAAATTAGCCTGGCATGACGGCGGGTGCCTGTAATCCCAGCTACTCAGGAGGCTGAGCCTGGAAAATCACTTGAACCCAGGAGGCGGAGGTTGTGGCGAGCTGAGATTGCGCCATTGCACTCCAGCCCAGGCAACAAGAGTGAAACTCAGTCTCAAACAAACAAACAAACAAACAAAAAAACAACAAACAAAAAAAACTACCAGTGCCCATGCTCAGCCATGTCAAGTAAAAAACACATCAGGACTCAGGAAGGGAGGGACTTCACTGGAAAGGAGCATTATAAGGGTACAGGGAAAGACTATTAGAATAAGAGGAATGCTCTGACCGCAAGATCTGCAAGCTTCTCAAGAGTTAGGCAAAAATCATTTTTCTTTTATGGAGGGTGAGCAAGGTTAGAAAGAGCCTAGTGTGACTCAGAAGTAGGATGGAAGAGTGTGGGATGATGTGACAGTGGTTTCAGAAGTGGCCTCTTCTCAGGAGCTGCTGTTGAAGAAGGTCTGCATGCTGGCTTGGGCTGAAGAAGGACCAAAGTACAGGGACCTGGGGAAAGGAGAGAAAATCTTCAGGTTTGATTAACAGACATTTTGTTACAACTGGTGGGTGAGGACAAACAGTTCAGCTAATCATTTATAAGGCAAAGCATAAGAATTTGGAGGGCCTGTGTCTATGCCTAGCTTTGTCACGGGTCATCCTTGAGTCTTCTCTATGTCCTATGGAGAAGGGAAGTTCCTTGTAGCAGACTGTTCTGAACACAAAAGACTAAGGGATTACTGAACCTTCGCTGTTGCCCAGGAGCAGAGGATTCAGGTAAAATGTAGCAGTGTCGGTCACTTGCACCTGCTGTGTCCCCTCTCACCTGTGGCCCTTTACACTTGCTCTCCCCTCTGCCTGAAGCACTCCTGCCCAGTTCTCCACTTCTCCTCTTCATTACATGCTCTTCCAGACAGTTCAGGTCCTGGTGTCATTTAGAGTCTGCTCTCCCATGCCAGACTCTATGTATGTCACCTTCACTCTGCATCTTCAGCTCTGACCCAGCACCTGACAACTAGATGGAGTCCATAAATACTGGGGAAATGAAGGAAAGTAAAAAGTTCTTGGAAGTTTTGTCAATTTAAGAAACGCTCCATGATTATCAACAATAATCCCTCAATAACTTTTTTCTTCTCTGCAGTTAGAAGGCAGCCTGAAATTTTGCATTTTCCCCCTGAGAGCTCCTCCACACTGCTCCTGAAATGGCTGTCATTCTACTTATTCACTGGGGTTCTCTTTTTCCAGGCTCAACTACCTGGTGGGGTTTTTTTTGTTGCCATTGTTGTTTTTTTTTGTCTTTTTAAACAACTTCTCTCGTTTTCCAGGGCAAGTTAGAGGTGTTAAGTTCCCTAATGTGCTACTAGGCTGCAAATGAAGAATTTAACAGCCCATGGGAGGACCAATTAGAATCAATTATGACATAATTGAACTGCCTTGTATTCCTTGTCGGTATAGAACTTCTTTCTGGAAGGAAGATTGTGCCTTTCTTCACACTATGATGGAGTAGCTGCATGAGTTCACAGGCAATGGTTCTGACCTAATCAATTCTAGAATAGAGTTTCGTGGAGCTAGCATGCCTTGTGATATCAGGGCCAGAGAAGCTCAGCTCAAGGAAGCCCTGACTTTCTCATTTCTGCCCTCCACCCCCCAGTTTTTTTTCCTTTCTTAAGAAAGCTGCTAAATTCTTACAAAGTATATAAAATACCTTACATGGGCCTCTGGAAAGTCAGGACACTCCACCTATTGAAGAAGTGAGAAGGAAAGATTGAGTCTGAGGTCACCATCCATTTCCCTCCATTTTCTTCATTATTGGGCGTGAGAGATCAGACAACCATGAGAAGATCAACTCTGTCCACTTTTCCCAGTAACCGTCCTCTGGAATCTGGCCTTTGGGCCATTGGTGATGGGAGCCAGTAGTTGCATGATTTCCTCTTTCTTGCTACACCCAGCCTCATCAGTCCTGGGTTGTAGCTTATATGGCTTCCAAAGGCTTCAGTCCATGATTAAGTAATCGGTCTCCCCAGCAGCAGCCGTCTCTATAACGCAGGCTCTTTTCAACTTCCTTTCTTGACTCTTCCTGTTTTTCATTCTTCCTCCCTGGAAATCTATACCCTAATAAAATAAAATAAGGTAAGCCCTCAATTTCACCCTCAGCTTTGTAATGAACCCAGGGAAGACCAATTAAACTTGTGAAAATGGTAAAACGAGAACAGGTTTTGACTTATTTGCATATTTTTGAATATTAGCAAATAGTTGAAGAGATCTAGTGACCAGTTCCTGACACAGGACTCTAAAGTAATAGAAGGAAAACTACTCTATGGCTCCGAATTTTGTGTTGTTTGAATATCCATGTCCAGTCACGTATCTGTTATATGCCTTCCTAGTTCCATTCAACTTCCTTTTTTATATCCTGGAGCAATTTCCTCCATCACTTACTCTCTATACAGAGCTTGTTTTGGTTTGGATCCCTCAGAAACAGATCCTGAGATAAGGATGTATGTGCAAGTAGTTTATTCTGGAAGTGATCCAAGGAGATGCTTGGATTCAGTGATCCAAGTTAGAGGAGTGGGGAGGTGAGGGGGAGAGAAAAGCAGGGAATAAAATATATGTCAATGTGGAACCCAATCCTGCTGGGGAAACTTCAGGAGACAATGTAGAACACAATTTGGAATTATCCCACTAGAAGGGCAAGGGAGCTGGAGTATTTACACACCAACTCCTATCAGTTGTATTGGTTGAGGGCTGCTCCTCGGGACAGATGGGATTAATTCTCTGTCACCTCCAGCCTGCCCTGTATGTAGGCAGAGAGGTTTGGGAAGCCAGAAAGAGTCCTAGGGCATCTGGAAATCAAGCCATTGTTCTCTATGACAGTAAAGCTGATAGGATATTGGTGGGATACAAGAATGCTATCAAGTTTACCTCCCTTAAGTCAAGAGAGCAAAGAGGAGCTCTATGTCTAGTGGTCTCTGGGAGTTCCAGCTTTCAGTAATCATCAGTTCTGGCTTCAGAATAAAACCACCTAGGAAACTTTTAAAAAATGCTATCACCCAGACACCTCACCAGAAAACTAATACAAGTGAAAAATAAGCGTATAAAAGAGTACTCAACATCATATGCTATCAAGGAATTGCAAATTAAAACAATAGACTATCACTACATTCCTATTAGAATGGCTGAAGTTCAAAACACTGACCATAACAAATGCTGGTGAAGATGTGGAATAACAGGAACCCTCATTCATTGCTGGTGGGAAAGCAAAATGGTACAGCCACCTTGGAAGAGAGCCTGGCAGTTTCTTACAAACTAAACATAGTCTCACCATATGATCCAGCAATAGTGCTTCTTGGTATTTACCCGAATGATTTAAAAACATATGTCCACACAAAAACCCCTCCACAGAAATGTTTATAGCAGCTTTATCCATAATTGCCAAATGTGGAGGCTTCAATGGAAAACGTCCTTCCATAGTTGAATAGATGAACAAACATACAAATGTGCATCTATATGCATATATACAATGAACTATTCAGCAATAAAAGGAATGAGCTATCAAGCCATAGAAACGTATGGAAGAAATGTAAGTGCATACTGCTAAGTGGAAAAGAAAAACTCAGAAAAGCCTACTATATGACGTTCTCTAAAGGGTAAAAAGCTACAGGCACCAAAAAGATCAGGGATTTCTAGGAATTTGGAGGAAAGAGTGGAGAGATGAACAGGTGGAACACATGGGGATTATTAGGGCAATGAAATGGTGGATGTATGACATTATGGATTTGGCTAAACCCATAGAACAGTATAACACAAACAGTAAATCTTATTGTAAACTATGCACTTTAGCTAACAATGATGTATCAGTTTTGGCTCACTTGTAACAAATGTACCATGCCAAAGCAAAATGAAAATAATAGGGGCAACTGTGTGAAGGCGGGGAGAGAGTATATGAAAAGTCTGTGCTTTCTGTTTAATTTTTCTGGAAATCTAAAACTGCCCTAAGAGATAAAGTCTAATTTTATATAGAACATACTCCATAAATTAAAATTTCCAGGGGTGAAAACCAAACATTAGTATCTTTTGCATGATCCCTGGGAAACCCTAATGTGCAGGGAGAGTTCAGTTGCACTGGGGTAAGTGTACAGAAGAGTTGAATCTCTCCTGGTTGTCTTTGTGCAAAGGTCTTTCCCTTGGAGGCAGTTGGTCTCAGTAGCATGCTGTTTAGGGAACAAGAGAATTTAAAAATTAGTGTAGAATCTGCAATTTTTAATTCTAAGGAGCCCATACATGCAAAACAGGTCACATACAGTTATGAATCATTAATAGTTTAACTACTTATTAAAATATATGCCTGTAATTTCATTAAGGTAAAAAATGTAGCCTTTGCTGTTCCAGAATGCTCCTCCAATCAGTATCACCTGGGAGCTTGTTAGCAATGCTCTTTCCTGGGTTCCCTCTCATTCTATGGAATCAGAAACTGTAGGGGATGAGGCCCAGGAATCTGGGTGTTGTCAGCCTTTCCAAGTGAAACTTAAGTGCCAATTCGTGAAAGTCGCTGTTTTGAACAGAGGACGAAAGTGTAAAGCAGTGGTTCTAAAACTTGGCTGTACAATAAAATGACCTGGGAAGATTTAAAAAAACAGCAATGTTAAACATATAGTGATGTTTAAAAAATATTGACATTTTGGTTCTATTTCCCCAAATTGTGATTTAATTGGTCTGCAGTATGTTTTGGGCAATGGGATTTTCAAAAACTCCCCAAGTGAGTCTAATGCGTAGGCAATCTGAGAAAAACTGGTGCAAAGACAATAATCAGCAAATTCTGGGCCTGCTGTCACCAACAGGTTGATCTCCAAAACTCACTTCCTTGAAACCCTCTCAGGAAACTTCTCCCAACCCGGAATATTTCCATCTTCCCCTGCCTCCATGCTCTCCAATTCATTATTACTAATACCACATTTTTGCCTCTGGTTCTTTTTCTCTTTCATGGTCTTAGGAAATGCAAAGTGCATCATCAGGGAAGTGTTAATAATGCCCATTTATTTTGTGATTCTGCCCCAAAAGACTTTCCTGCAGCCCAGTTATATAGTGCATATTACAAGAACTCACCCTGTAAAGAGAGGTGAGTTTAAGCGCTTTAAAGAGAGTTACTGTAATATGCACTAATGCTAATAAAAAACATTTAAATGGTGCTGGAATATTTTCTTTTGCTAACTTTTATTTTAAGTTCAGGGGTACAGGTGCAGGTTTTTTACTTGTGTCATGAGGGATTTTGTGTAGAATATTTCATCACCCAGGTATTAAGCTTAGTACCCATCAGTTGGTTTTCTTGGGACTCTCCCTCCTCCCACCTTCCATCCTCCAAAAGGCCCCAGTGTGTGTTGTTCCCCTCTATGTGTCCATGTGTTCTCATTGTTTACCTCCCACTTACAAGTGAGAACATGTGGTGTTTGGTTTTCTGTTCCTGTGTTAGTTTGCTAAGGATAATGACCTCCAGCTCCATCCATATCCCTGCAAAGGACATGAGCTCATTCTTTTTCATGACTGCATAGTATTCCATATTGTATATATACCACATTTTCTTTATCCAGACTATCATTGGTGGGCATTTAGGTTGACTCCATGTCTTTGCTATTGTGAATAGTGCTTCAGTGAACATTTGCATGCATGTGTCTTTATAATAGAGCAATTTATATTCCTTTGGGTATATACTCAGTAATGGGATTACTGGATCGACTGGTATTTCTGCCTCCAGGTCTTTCAGGAATTGCCACACTGTCTTCCACAATGGTTGAACTAATTTACACTCCCACCAACAGTGTATAAGTGTTCATTTTTCTTCACAACCTCGCCAGCATCTGTTATTTGACTTTTTATTAATAGCCATTCTGCCTGGTGTGAGATGGTATCTCATTGTGGTTTTGATTTGCATTTCTCTAATGATTAGTGATGCTGAGCTTTCTTTTCCATATAATTGTTGGCCACATGTATGTCCTCTTTTGTAAAGTGTCTGTTTATGTCCTTTGCCTACTTTTTTATGGAGTTGTTTGGTTTTTTCTTGTAAATTTAAGTTCCTTATACATGCTGGATATTAGACCTTTGTTAGATGCATAGATTACAAAAATTTTCTCCCATTTTGTAGGTTGTCAGTTTACTCTGTTGATAGTTGTTTTCACTGTGCAGAAGCTCTTTAGTTTGATTAGATCCCATTTGTCAATTCTTGCTTTTGTTGCAATTGCTTTTGGCATCTTCATCATGAAATCTTTGCCCGTGCCTATTTCCTGAATGGTTTTGCCTAGGCTGTCATCCAGGGTTTTTATAGTTTTGGATTTTACACTTAAATCTTTAATCCATTTTGAGTTATTTTTTTGTATATGGTGTAAGGAAGAGGTCCAGTTTCATTCAGTCTTCTGCATATGGCTAGCCAGTTATCCTAGCACCATTTATTGAATAGGAAATTCTTTCCTCGTTGCTTGTTTTTGTCAGGTTTGTTGGATATCAGATAGTTGTAGGTGTGCAATCTTATTATTGGGTTCTCTGTTCTGTTCCATTTGGTCTTTGTGTCTTTCTTGTACAGTACCACGATGTTTTGGTTACAGTAGCCCTGTAGTATACATTGAAGTCAGGTAGCATGATGCCTCCAGCTTTATTCTTTTTGTTTAGGATGGCCTTGGCTATTTGGGCTCCTATTTGGTTCCCTATAAATTTTAAAACAGTTTTTTTCTAATCCTATGAAGAATGTCAGTGGTAGTTTAATGGGAATAGCATTGAATCTTTATATTGCTTTGGGCAGTAGGGCCATTTTAACAATGTTTATTCTTCCTATCAATGAGCATGGAATGTTTTTCCATTTGTTTGTGTCATCTCTGATTTTTTTGAGCAGTGGTTTGTAGTTCTCTTTGGAGAAATCTTTAACCTCCCTAGTTAGCTGTATTCATAGGTGCTTTATTTTTTTGTGGCAATTGTGAATGGGAATTCATTCCTGATTTGGCTCTCTGCTTGACTGTTGTTGGTGTATAGGAATGCTAGTGATTATGGCACATTGATTTTGTATCCTGAGACTTTGCTGAAGTTGTTTATCAGCTTAGAAAGCTTTTGAGCTGAGATGATGGGGTTATGTCATCTAGATATAGGATCATGTCATCTGCAAACAGGGATAGTTTGACTTTCTCTCTTCCTATTTGAATGCCACTTATTTATTTATCTTGCCTGATTGCCCTGGCCAGAACTTCCAATACTATGTTAAATAGGAGTGGTGAGAGAGGGCATCCCTTTCTTGTGCCTATTTTCAAGAGGAATGCTTCCAGCTTGTGCCCATTCCGTATAACAGCACTGTATTTTCTACAAGCTGGAGATGTTCTTATAACATTTCTCTTCTCTTTTTTTCTCCTTCCAAAAATTGATAAGAATAGGGCTTTGGGGTTTTGTGTTCAAGGAGAAAAACTTTACTAGGGATTCCAAAGAGGAAGATGATCAGGGAAGAATAATAGGACCCAGAATCTCATAGCAGGCTGTCATGGAAATAAGAGTTGTTTTGGAGAGGGGGCATGATGGGAATGGATCTCTGAGTCAGATAAAAAAAAGAAGTTTTGAGGGTTTTCTGTGTCTGGCAGAGACCCAGGCTGGCTTGCATACGGAAGACGAAGACCCAGGCTGGCTCGCATATGGAAGACGAGGCTGGTTTGCATACCAAAGACGAAGGAATTGACCCTGGTGGCTAAAGGTGGCTGAAAACATGCATTGTGGCCTTGAGAGCATTGGAGGGGAATTCTGTCAGCAGGTCCGCTGTCAGTGGAATAGACCATGTGTGGCGTGCCTCTGAGTATGTTAGTTCCCTATTGCTTGTAACAAATTGCCATAAATTTAGCAGCATAAAACAACACACAGTTAATATCTCATGGTGGATTCCGTGGGTAGGGAGTACATTATGGCTCAGTTGAGTGCTCTACCCAGGGTCTTACTGGCTGCAATCAAGATGTCAGCTAACAATAATGTTTTAGAATTGGCTCTTTTGTAGCAAATGTACCACAGCCAAAGCAAGATGTTATAATAGGGGCAACCCTTCTTTCCAAACAACTCATTTTTCCAAGACAGCCTCCTAAGGGCTTCTATTAATTATTCTTCCCTGATCATCTTCGTCTTTGGAACTCCTAGTAAGTTTTTTTTTTTCCTTGAACACCAAACCTGAAAGCCCTATTTTTACGAAATTTTGGAAGGAGGAGGGAAAAAGAGAAGAGAAATGTTCTAAGGACAGCTCCAGCTTTTAGGAAATACACTGTTGTGTTCCATTCTGGAGCTTGGGGTCTTCTTCCAAGATCACATGGTGTTTGGCAAAATGCAGTTTCTCCTGGTTTTCTTGCTGCTGTCAGGTGGGTCCACTCTTATCTCCTATGTGCCACCTGCAGTTCTTTACCACATGATCCTTTTAAAATGTGACAACTGACTTCTTCAAGGCAGCGGAACAATCTTTTGCCTCAGAGATGGCTTAGTCCCCCTTTATATGGGCTTTCACCTCATCATTATAGGCCCACCCTGGAATATCTTTCTTTACTCAAAATCAGCTCGCTTGGGATTTGAATTACCTCTGCCAAAATCACTTTACCTTTGCAATATTGTAATGGCTAGAGGCAAGTTGCAGATCTCAGCCACACTTAAGAGGAGGGGATTACATGAATGCGGGGATACCAGGAAGTGGTAGTCATTGGGAGTTAGCCTAGGGTCTGTCCCTCACACCGAGGTAATGCAAGGTACAGGCCAGAAATGACATTAGAATTAGGTCACAGGGGAGCACTGGTAAAGTCAATGACGTAGTGGGCCAAAGGCCTGGCCCTTTTCCTATTTCATAGCTTCTAAAAGACCCGCAATTCTTGCATGAGGCCATCAACAGAGACAGAGGGCCTCAGTAATGATGAGCATTAACAAAAATCATTCCAAACTTGGATGTAAGATCAAAGGTGAAAGGCTGGATTATTCAGTGTCATACAGGAATAAAGAGTCCACCCAGGGATTAGGCAATACATGTTGTTTAACTAATTGTTCCCTATGGATTAGAAGTCCCAGACGTAGTGAAGCTACTTTGTATCTTGCAAATTTTTGTTCAGTGTACAGATGCAAATTATTTCTACAGTGGAGCAGATAACTTCAAAGGGTATGATTTATCACCCTGGTAGGCATTAACACATTTTGTATCTAACCCAGCAATATCCTAACCTGCCTTTATTACCTCACCTGTAATAGAGACTTGAATTACAAGTCTTGAATTGCAAAACAGCAACAAGAAAACCATGAGAAACTGAATTTTGCCAAATACCATGTGATCTTGGAAGAAAACTCCACGATCCAGAACAGAACACAGCCCAGCTGACACCTGGATTGGAGCCTGCGAGGCCCTCAGCAGAGCACCCAACTGAGCCATAATGGACTCCCTGACCCACAGGAACCATTACAGGTGGTTTCTTTATGAACTCACTATAACAGGTGAGTTAATAAAGGCAGGTTAGGATAAGATTGCTGGGCTGGATTTAACATCATACTGTTTCTCTCAGTAATTAGTAAGTTGAATAAATCTTTGACCCATGTTCATTTTATATTTACCTGATAATTATTTTATCCTCTTGAAAATTATATTTTAACAATGGGAAGGAATTCTCCATCAACCAGGCAGGAGAATACAGTTTATTTGATTTTGAAAAATAAAGAAAAATGATTTCTTTTTAACCCAATGGGGTAGGGGTACAATTCATCCTCTGCAAAATCCTCTCAAATTCTAAGAGGAAATAATGTTCTTTTGAAGGAAGGAAGGAAATAAATCCTCCAATAGCCACATAACTTTTTCCCTGTAGACTTATAAAAGCCTCATCTGTGGTTTGCAGGCTTAAGACAATAATACTTAACCACCAGATCTGGTAGTGATTGTAGCCCTGGCAAAACATTGAGACCCAAGTCAAAGATTCATTGTGAGGGTAAAGCATGCAGGTTAGAGCCTCTGTCAGAAATGCTCTGCTGAAAATATCTCAGACTGAGCACTCGCTGATATGACAGATTTCTAGCTAAATCTTTTCATTTTTTTCAAGCATGGTTTGACCTGGTTCTTGGCATATATAGTGTAATCCAATTAAATAAAAATTTAATCTGTTAAATTTATTTATAAATATATATATATCCTTCATTATGTATAGTTTATTTTATTCATTTTATATACATGTATACACACATGTGTGTATGCATGTGCATATACATGTGTTATGGTAATTTTGACTTCATGCTATTTTCATCTCTTACATTTACTTTACAACATAATGCTTGGATAAGACATGCCACCACTGCATATGGACCCAAGCCTGGCGTTGGATGCCACTTCACAAATGCTTGGTCTGTGTTGCATAACATATTTTCACAGAAGTTCAGGAAAGAACTGAGTCTTAGGCTGAGCCCTACTTGGACTTCTGAGTAGACCTTGTGGTGCCACCCAGAGTCCGTTTATAGGGCTGATACATGCATTGCTCAGCTACCATGGATGTTGCTTCTTAAAGGCACATAGCTGTCCTCCGTTTGTCTTCCTGAGAGAATCATCTTAATCAACAGAAGCTGTCTTTCCCAGAAATACTTGGAGATTATTCCCTTTAACCCTCAAAGTTGGGGCAGCCTGGACCCAATGATTGACTGATATCAAGGTGCAGAGCTGGCCCCATTTGATTCATAGGGTGGTCACTCAGTGACACTCTGGAGCTTTCTGTGGGCCAGGCTGAGACTGGATTTTAGCTGACATCACATCCTTACTTGGCTCCTTCACTGTCCTATCCCACATCACTCATTCTCCTTCTCCTCAGAGTGCCCCACCCAATGGTCACTTTGCACAAGAATCCCCATCTCAGGCTCTGCATTTGGGGAGTGCAGCATAAAACTTTCTGAGACAAAAACCTTCTGAGCTGATTTTCCTACTGCAAGTAATCCCAGAATGTTGACAGTGTGTCAAAGGAAGTACAGTTCCTTTCCTAGTAGTGATACTTCCTGTATTTAAGAGGGTAATAGTACCTTCCATATAACTACATTTCTACCTCTTTAATCCCTGACACTATCTTATCCATAGACATTTTTGGAAACTAATTCTATTACATCAGCGAAGTGGGAAATTCTTTGGACATGAAAGCAGTGGACTTTGTTTCTCAGCCAAACTCTACGGCAGACTTGCCATGTGGATGCCGCAGGACCCTACAATGGCGGCTCATTTTCACCATTGATGAAATGGGAATTGTCCAGCTGTCCAGACCACTTTGCAGATTACTGGGAGTGGCTAATATGAATGGATGGTGAATATAAAAGTATTTTGAGAACTTCCAAGTATGTTAGGATAAAGTACTTTTGTTTGTAAGAGAATATAGTATAATTGCAACTGACTTGAGGGAAAAAAAGTGACTATAAAAGCTTGTCTGTCTAAGAAGTTCACAGATTGAAACTGAGATCAGATTTAGGAGCTGTCATCAATGGAATTTTTCTTTACTTTTATCTTTGGGTAATTCTTACTTCTTTTTAGTTTTATTCTCAGGCACAGGGAAGTAAATGGCTTTAGTTAGCACATCTCCATCCCCCCACCACCACTACTCAGGCATAAGAATATCCTTAGAACTTATGACTCAGGGGAAAAGAGAACAATTTTCTGAGTAACTCTGGCAAAAATCATGGGAAAAACTCCCATGGGACAGGATTGTATCACATGCCTATCCCTGAACCAATCACTGTGGCCAGGGATGGTAATATACGAATTGGCTCAAACTTGGCTTACTGACCTATTCTAGGGTCATGGGATCTAAATCCACTATGCCATATGGAATAAGCAGGAAGGCTGTGGAGTAAGAAGTGATGATTTTCCCCCCCAAAATAGATACTAGATCAATAACCATATGTCCAGTGTTGTACACATTGCAAGGTATAATAATTATTAAACAGATAATATCAAATGTTGGTTGCTCTCAAGACCATAGATAACTAATTAGTCCTTGTGGTATATTACTCTATTGTGATAATTCATATGATAGGTAAAGTTGTTAGTATCACCAAATTGTCCTAGACTCTTAAGCATTGTTAAATATTTGCATCTGTATTATTCTGAAGTTTTTCTGTTTTCCTCTTGTCCATTATTGAAATTTTAATATGCTTTAAGTGTCCCTTCCACCCATTCTACCATGGACCAAGATTCTAGACATTTATGTTGAGATAGAACTTTGTTTAAATGAGAATATGTAGTTTTGAGAGAGACTCTCTCCTCTAAGAAAAGTTCACAGGTATTGAGACATCTTATTTTAGTGCTTAGAAGATTTTTATTCTCTGCTGATTTCTGATTTGTGACTTTTTGTCTCAAGAAGAAAAATAGTCCATTCTACCTCAAAAGATAGCTCTGTTAAGGAATCTGGATTGGATATCTAGAGTTTAGAGGGTTTTCTTGTTTTTCATTTTTTTCACTAATGAGAGAGCAGGCAATTGTGGCATGTGCTACAACTTCAGAATGGTAAGACTTTGATTATATTTCTGAGTCTTCCACTTACAGGTTAATCAAGTTAGTTCAATCTTCATTATTAAAGCACTTTTTAAATTACAGGCACAGTTATAGATACTACAGATATAATAAGGGTTATAGTAAATAGCTTTTCAGTTATCTATTGCTATAGAACCATTCACCTCAAAACGTATTGGCCTAAAGTAATAATCATTTTATTTTCTCCTGATTCTGTAATCTGCACTGGACTTGGCTATGTGGTTCTTCTGCTGGTGTCACTTGAAGTCTCCATGGGGCTGTAGTAATTTTGATGATAATCTGGTCCTGGCGGATCCAGGAGGGCTTCACTTACAAATCTGGCATCTTAATGCTCCTCTTCATGGTCTCTCTTTTCACATAGACTGATCATACAGTGACCTAGTCCAAGCTTTGTTACAGCATGGCAATTGGTTCAAAGTGTGAGTACCCCAAGAAGATAATGCCCCGTTGGCCATTCACATGACCAAGTCTCTACCCAGTGCTGGAGGGGAATGCACAGCAGTGAGTTTCACTGGGTACTATCAAAGTAATGGCCTACTACAAGTGGTTCTAACTAAACCTGTGATTTTCAAAGTGTATATCTTAATTTGTTTTCTGTTGCCTACAGCAGGATACATGAAACTGGGTAATTTATAAAAAAAGAAGTTATTTCTTGCAGTAATGGAAGTTGAGAAGTACAGAGTTGAGGGACACATCCAGTAAGACCCTTCTTGCTGGTGAGGATTCTCTGCAGAGTCCTGAAGTGGTTCAGGGCATCACATAGTCAGGGGGCTGAGCATCCTAACTCAGATTTCTTTTCCTTTTCTTATAAAGCCACTGGTCCCACTCCTATGATAATCCATCAATCCATTAGCCCATTAACCTTCTAATCCATAAGTGGATTAATCCATTCATGAGGGCAGAGTCCTCATGACCCAATTGCTTCTTAAAAGTCCCACCTCTCAATACTTTCACATTGGGAATTAAATTTCAATATGAATTTGGGAGGGGAACAAATATTTAAACCATAACTGTGTTCTTTCACATCCCTAGAATTCCAAACAACACTTCAGAGTGAAGTAGATAAGCCTCAATTCAACAGTAAGAATTTCACTTACAAGTATTAGGCATTAGCAGTGAAGATTTCTATTGAGGAAACTGTTCCACTGCTAAGAGTATATATATTTTAGAATCATCGAACTATATGATTTCTTTTAAGTTAAACATTTTGTGATTTTATGACTCAAGGAGTTCTCGGGCCACTTAGTTGATCTGTCCTCAGATGATAACACATATTCTTATCTACTCTACTGGATAGTTTCCAAATGGATGCAATAATGTCTCCACACTGCTTAGAAGACCTCAACAGCAACACTGAATGCGCCCATTGGTTTTCAATTCATTTTCTGCATCACATCCTGCATGGGAAATACCTCTGCTATTTAGAGAGTTAATATCCGTAATTATGAGCACTTATGAATTTACAGGCAGGTGTTAACATTAAGGAAGTCAGTACTGTGAACATATATTCATTTGAAATGTACTGTCCTGTATATGTGACCATGATATCATCATTCCCTGTGAACAGCACACACACTATTTTATTTCTAAAATTGTAAGTATTTTTCAAGTAGCAACTATAACAGCTATCATATATTGAATCCTTATTGTATGCCAGTCACTGTGCTAGGTGCTTCTCATATCTCCCCCTAAATACTTTCAAAACCTCTTCAAAGTTGGTGCTAGTATTATTCCCATTGAATGAACAAAGAAGGAAATGGAAACTTAGTAAGTGATCCAATTCCATGCAGCTAAGAAGAGAGTGCCAGAGCTGAAATGTGAATCCAGACTTTTCTGGATTCACAAAACCAGTCGTCTTTCTCTCCAGCATGTTTCGGTCCTCCCATACCTCACCCCATTCCTCTTGTGATTAAGGACATAAGCTAAGGTGTGAGGCTTTGGCATATGGAAAAGGAACATACTTGTCAAGACAGGGCTGGACTCTGGCTATTGCCAGCAGCGTGGATGGGTTCTCAACTTTAGCTGCACATTGAAATAATCCTAGGGGCATTTAAAAAATCCTGATGCCTGGGTTCCGCTTTTTGAATCCCTGATTGAAATTAGTCCTGGTGCAGCATAGGCATTGGAGTTTTCCAAGTAGTTCTAGCAATGCAGCCAGGGCTGAGAAGCCCTGACATAGAGGAACCACATTTAAGTGCCTCCAAGATGTAATGAGCTACTTGCCAGTATCCCCTCTTTCATGTCATTGCATGTAATAATGTAATACTTCTTTTATTTATATTTAATTACTTATTTATTTATTTATTTTGAGGCAGTCTCACTCTGTTGCCCTGGCTGGAGTGCAGTGGCACAATCTCGGCTCACTGCAACCTCTGCCTCCCGGGTTCAAGCGATTCTTCTGCCTCAGCCTCCTGAGTAGCTGGGACTATAGGCACACGCCACAACGCCAGGCTAATTTTTTGTATTTTTAGTAGAGATGGGTTTCACCGTGTTAGCCACGATGGTCTCGATCTCCTGACCTCAAGATCCTCCCGCCTCGGCCTCCCAAAGTGCTGGGATTACAGGAGTGAGCCACCGCGCCTGGCCCATTGCATGTAATGCTCCTATATGGAATGCTCTTACTTTGTTTTTCCTTGAGAAACTCCTAATCATGCTTCAAAACCCAGACCCAGTGAACAAAAAGGAAATAATCAAGGGGAACCAAAAAGTGTGCAAACATTCAGACCAACATTTTAAAAATATCCAGGTTAATGATCACTACCTCCCAAAGTTTCTTAGCACATTCCCTCAACATACTGACTGATTCTACCTAAAGAATTTCTGCTTCTTAATTCTTAGACTCCACCATCTGCCCCATCTCTTTTTAGTCCTCTCACTTTTGGAAGAGATGCCCCAATCACTCCTGGTTCTGTGAATCAACTGGGAGCTAGCTGGGGAGGAGGAAATGATGCCAGTACTCCAGTTTTACCTTTTTAAAATCTCTTCTGATTATAGAAAAGTCTTGTGAGGATGCACAGTGGGCTGCAGGGCTGTTGAGCTCATAGAATCAGTGAGAGTCACATGCGGCTTTCTCTCATGGGAGGGTAAAATGTGTTTACTCATTCAGCTTAGTGCAGTTTACTATCATCACTTTATCCTACACAATTAGTTGGATTTGAGGGGGCATGAAAAAGATGAGAAAAATGTTGAAAATGGAAAACACTATAGGGAAAATAACAACTCTTAACACGCTTGAGACATATCTCAAGCAAGGCTATTGGACTATGGGTAAAATTCTCCCAAGGTCTACGTTGTTTATTAAAACCTATTGTGGGCTGAGTACGGTGACTCACACCTGTAATCCCAGCACTTGGGGGGGCTGAGCCAGGTGGATCACTTGAATCCAGGAGTTTGAGACCCAGCCTGGGCAACACAATGAGACCCCATCTCTTAAAAAAAATGTATAAATGAGGCAGGTGTGGTATTGTGCATTTATAGTCCTAGCTACTTGGGAGGCCAACGTGGGATCACTTGAGTCCAGGAGGAGTTCAAGGATGCAGTGAGCTATGATCATACCACTACACTCCAGCCTGAGTGACAGAGTGACACCCTGTCTCGGAAAAACAAAAACAACAGCAAAAATACAAACCAAAAAACAGAAAACAAAAACCCAACCTATTGTGTCTAATTTTTTAAAGATCTCTCAACCTTGCTTAAGTGACCAACACTTAAATCTTCTCTAATTGTTTAGTTTACATTTATTTCACCTCACAAAATAAATTGCAAGATTCTTAAGAACTATATTTGTCACTGCATGATTATACCATCATCATCATAGTCATCGTATCATTCTTATCTTCATAGCTAACAGTTGTATAGAACTTACCATTTGCTGAATACTCTTCTAAGAACATTAAGCATATAAACTAATTTACATATTTTATGGTTCACAACATCTCTATGAAAAGTTACAATATCCCTATTTTACATATTAGAAAACTGAAGCATAGAAACATTAATTGATTTCATTTTCTAATGTACACTCAGTTGATAAATGGGAAATACTCTGATGACCCCAGAAATCTAATTCTGAGGTCTAGATTCTTAATCTCTATATGTTACCATTTTCTGGCATATTCGTAAAAGGAAAATAAGTTATTGTTATTATGAACAGGTAACATATGGTTCTCTTTATTTAATGTACTCAGGAATGATAGAGAGAGTCACTGCTAAGGTTTCAAAAAGACAGTCTAGGGAAAGTACCTCCCTTAAATATGCATGTGCAATCTGTACATCTATACATGAAAATGAAATGTCAATGGCATACATCAAAATGTTAGCAGTGGATATTTGGGATGGTGGGATTTTGGGTGGCATTTTTTTCTTTCTTTGTGTTGTTTTGAACTTTTACAAATATTTGCTACATTGAATATTAGATATTGCTATATAGTATATATTATATTTATTATCCAGAAGGAAAGAGGCAGCTTATGAGAGTGTCAGCAAAGTATAAACTGTATCCTTTCCCTAGAAGAATCAGAAAACAAAGCCTAGAAGAATCAGAAAACCCTAAAGGAATCAGAAAACAAGCGTAGAAAGCCATAGAAGAAGAAATTGGAACAGAAAAGAAATTTTCTCATGTTCCCCTCCTTCCTCCATGGTAGCCTTATGCTAGCAGCAGGCTGCAGCCCAGGTAGGAAGGCTGACCAAAACTGAATCATGTTGGAGCTTTGACATTTACAAGAACTAGACATTTTAATTACTTTTCTGATTTAAACTCATGGAGAATTTTTATCACATACTTGTCATGGGATAAGTCATAGGACCTGCTAAGCTTTTTTTCAGGGCAAAGAAAAAACAACCAAGGAGCAGATTTAAAAAGAATTAAAAAAAAAAAAAAGTCAGTGTGAGGTGGCTCACACCTGTAATCTCAGCACTTTGAGAGGCCAAGGTGGGAGGATCACTTGAGCCCAGGAGTTTGAGACCAGCCTGGGCAATATAGGGAGATCTTGTCTCTACGAAACATAAAAATTCATTAGCCAAGTGTGGTGGTGGCATGTGCTTGTCGTCTCAGCTACTTGGAGACTGATGTGGGAGGATCGATCGCCTCAGCCCAGGAGGTCAAGGCTGCAATGAGCCACGGTGACGCCACTGCAGTCCAGCTGCATAACTGAGAGAGACCGCGTCTCAAAAAATAAACAAATAAAAATTAAAAAAGTAACGTTAGTTACAGGATTAACCCACCCCCACCAGGAGTCCTGCCTCGTTTACTATCCATCAGGAGTCCTTCAGTGTTTACCATTTGTTTGCATATACAAATATTTATGAAGAAAGAGAGGCAGAGAGAGGAAAAGGAGAGAAAAAGATAAAATGATTTTATCATATTTTGTATAAAGTTTAATAAATATATTTCACCTTTGGCCTTTTTTAAAGAGCCTGCTAAAAGATTTTAGCTACTTTTCTACAATTTCTGAACATAAAACTCACTGATGTTTCTTCTGATTTTAACAAAACGTTGAGATAGACCTTGAGGGGGGGCTCTGGATTATGCAGGTACGTATGTAAATGTGTTATGGGGGAAGGAGAATACACTCGACTAGCTTTGCTATCACCAAAAAAAAAAAAGGCTCTTCATGCTAGGGATAAGCTTTCAACTTGGCCTTGAAGGATAAATAGAGAGGTAGTATAGCACAGTATTTACATGCAAGAACTTAAGAGTTAGAAAAGCCTAGATTCAAATTCAATGATCAGTCCTCCTCCTCCTCCTCCTCCTCCTCCTCCTCCTCCTCCTTCTTCTTCATCTTCAGACAGGGTCTCAATCTGTTACTCAGGCTGGAATGCAGTGGCAAGATCCCAAGATCCTAGCTCACTAGAGCCTCAAATTCCTGGGTTCAAGCAATCCTCTTTTCTCAGCCTCCCAAGTAGCTGGGATCACAGGTGCACACCACCATGCCCACTAATTTAAAAAAAAAATTTTTAAAAAGACTACATCTCAATATATTGCCCAGGCTGGTCTCAGACTCCTGGACTCCAGCAGTCCACCTGTCTTGGCCTCCCAGTGTGCTGGGATTAGAGGTGTGAGCCACCACATCCAGCCAATGCTCAGTTCTTATTAATTGAGGGACCTGGGATAATCTTTCCAAGCTAAGTTGTGAAATAAGAATTATTATTTAATCACATTTTGTTGTATCTTTCATTTTATATTAACTTAATTAAACATAATCAGATAACATAGTATTATTGATTATAGATGTATAATAATAATAATGCAGGTGTCTTTCTCCGGATTTATGATTATTATACAGTCTAACTCTGAATATGCCAAGCATAGTGCCTATTAGGAGGTATTCAAAAAATGGCAGCAGGCCAGCCGTAGTGGCTCACGCCTATAATCCCAGAACTTCGGGATGCCAAGGTGGGAAGATTATTTGAGCCCAGGAATTTGAGACCAATCTGAGTAAGGTACTGAGACCCTATTTCTACAATAAATATACAATTAAAAATATTATCTGGGTGTGTTGGTGCACATCTGTAGTCCAAGCTACTCAGCAGGCTGAGGTGGGAGGATCACTTGAGCCTGGGAGGCTGAGGCTTCAGTGAGCCCTTGTTGCACCACTGCACTCCAGCCTGGGCAACAGAGTGAGACCTGGTCTCAAAAAAAAAAAAATAATAAAATAAAAAAAAAAAGGTGACAGCAGCTACTACCACCATCAGAAATTGGCTAGATCCTCAAATAGGGGGATGAGCTCCCAGGCAGAAGGAAGAATGCACGTAGGTGTGTTTAGAACATGCTGATTATGCTACAGAGAACCCAAGAATGAGGAAGCTGCTTTAAGATTATCTGGAAAATGGAAATGGAAACCTGTATAAGCGGAAATAGGAATGTCAGAAGTGAAAGGAGACTGTGGCATCTTCATCTGGGTCCCTTCAGCCTCCTCTTTGGTTTCATTTGCATCCCTCCAGCCCCGGAATAACCCCCTCTGACAGCACATTATAAAGCTTTCAAGAGCAGGCGAGAGAAGGCACAAGGAAATGGAATGACCGCACTAACAAGTAATGAGTGGTTCCCACACAGCCTTTTACAAGGGAATTAATCTTTTATTAAGAGAGGAAAGTATGCCCAAATGCTTCAGGGTCTTTTTGCTCATGATTACACGTGCCATGGGAAGTTCAAATTCCTCCTGAGAGCCTCCGTCAAAAGCAATCTTCTAACGTCTCCTTTGGAAGCTGAAACTCTCCAGGGATTAGTATCGTTTTTCTTTTTTGATCTTGTGTGAATGAGGAGTTTAAGGACAAAATATACTGTTGGCTGCTTACTAAATACCTCCTTTCTGTACAGGATGCTGAGAGAAATTCAAAGTTGTGTGGGTGATCCTGTACACTGATGGGACAAGCTTAAAAAGAAATTTGGCAATTGAAGTACACTCATACTCCTGTCAGAAGGCTGAGCTGTGTGTGCAGATCTGGAAAGAAGGAGCACTTGAGCCTTTAGCAGAGATGCTAAGAAGGGAGATGTATTAAAAAGTGTATCCAGTGGCCAGGTGTGGTGGCTCATGCCTGTAATCCCAGCACTTTGGGAGGCCAAGGCAGGCAGATCACCTGAGGTCAGGAGTTCGAGACCAGCCTGGCCAACGAGGTGAAACCCCCATCTCTACTAAAAATACAAAAATTAGCCAGGTATGGTGGTGCACACCTGTAGTCTCAGCTACTAGGGAGGCTGAGGCAGAAGAGTTGCTTGAATCCAAGAGGCAGAGGTTGCAGTGAGCCATAGTGGTGCCACTGCACTCCAGCCTGGGCAAAAGAGCAAAACTCTGTCTCAAAAAAAAAACCCAATGTATCCAGCATCCATGCATTGAGGGCCCGTTATGGGCAAAGCACTACATGGGCTTGGGTTCTGCCCTCGGAGCTGTCATAATCCGGTGGAGGTGAAAAGGCTCCTACAGGAGAACTTCTGACAAAGGCCAGGATGCTTGCCAGGGCTGAGGCAGGGTGCCCAGTGAGGGCAGGGGTGAGGGCAGGTGTGATTTCACAGAAAGGAATGCAAGAGGGTCAGGTGCACACATGCGGGTCTGAAAGGGCGGGTGTAGGCATTGCACGAGGAGGGGCGCAAGGAGCATGGTACAGGACGGAAGAGAGGCCCAGAAAAGGATGGGCTGGCAAGAGAGTTCCCTTAAGGTTTTGTGAATGCTGAGGACCTCTCCTGCAGGAGTGAAGAGCTCATAAATGGGAACAAGGCTTCTGGGCCTACAGGAAATGCTAACTATAAAACCTGGAGAGAATTAAATGTTACCTAGAATGCCATTTTAGAAATGAAACATGGCACACATAAGAAGACAGGTCTGTGTAGCGGTTGAAAGCACTAAGTCGGGAGATAAATAGAAACACAACACCTAATGCTGTCATTTCTTAGCTGGTTGGCCTTGGGCATGTTTCTCAAACTCCCTTTGCAAAAAGGCTAATTGTCACTTTCATTTAGGTGGCAAGATTTCAATGAGATTGTCCCTGGAAGTACTTTGTACGTTATCTGGCTCATGGTAAATATGCAAAAGATTTGACTGTATCATTATTGCCAGGCCAGCTCCTCTTCCTTGCGAAGATAAAGTCCCTAAATAATAAAAATATAGCTAATATATAAGCCCTAAAAATAATGTTCCAGATCTAACTTGCAACCGTGGAGTTTTTGGAGACGTTTGAAAACTGTGGAAGGAGAGAAATGGAGACTTCAATGCAATTAGGAAAAAGAGTCCCAAAAGCCAAGTATGCTCATTCTTATAGTATTTGAGCAGATAACTGCATGGAGACTCAAAGGGAATAGAGTTTTGTACAGCATTAATACAACTTTTCAATAGCAAGGATTAAAAAAAGAAAGGAATGGAGGAAGGAAACAAGGCGGGTAATAAAGAGGAATGAAGGAATAAAGGAGACAAGAAAGGGAGATGTTGAAGGAAGGCAAGGAGGGAAGGGGAAGAAGAGAGAGCAGGGAGAGAATGAGGAGAGGGAGTGAAGTTAGGAGGACGGAAAAAAAAGGAAGAGGGAAAGGAAGAAAAGAAGAAAGGAAGAAAAGCAGTACTGGTCCTGTAGGGGAATGAGATTCTGACAAATGACCCTATCTACACTTTCCCCCAGAAGTATTCAAGCCAAGAATAAATGCTTATGAGGGATTCCTGCATGAGTGGGTTCCTGCAAGATTTTTAAAGGCCTTTCTAAGTCCATTTTTAGATGAAACTTTGGATTTTGAATACTGCAGATGATGGGATAATGCAAATACGTAAAACAAACCCCTTGTGACTGTTTTCTTGCAGCTATGCTTTCAAATCCCAAAGAGCAAAACTAAAATTTTTTCCAAAGTCATTATATGCATAAAATGTGAGCTATCATTACTGCATGTCCAAGGCTGGCAGATACCTTGCTCTTTCACTCAAATTTGTAGAAGTGCATGACATTTATGATCTAATTCCTCTGGAGTCCAACCCTCATTAAACATTCAGAAGTAGTTTCTTTATCCAAATTAGCAACCAAATGACATTTTTTCACTTAGGGCAACTCAGTGCTGCAACATTTGCTCATGAATACTTATTTTTTAGTGGAATTTAAGAAAAAGGGCCCTTGTCCTTACAAATCTAGACCTTTCTAAGAAAGCATATGTGACCAATGTCACCTTTGATTTTACAGAATTTGACTTTTCCCCACTTAAAAGAGCATCTTTGACTTCTACCAAGGATTCAGGTCTTGCGTATGCTATTAATTTGACTGTTGAAATGTATTATTATTACACTATTGTCTTGGATTGAACTTGCATTTGCCACCTTAATTCAACCTTGAAGACAACATGCACTATTGATCCTCTTGAATGGGTTTATTTAGAGAAGCATAGCTCAGCTCTCTGTACCAACTGGGGGTTTGAACACCTGCTGTGTCTAGATTCTGCTATCGACTACACAGATCTGGGAACACTTATAGGCACTGATGTTTACTGTCATTTTTAAGTATCTGAGATTGTGTTTTATTTATTTCTGGATACAATGGCTAAGGTTTGCGTAAGCTGCTACCTCTGAAGCTTTGTAGCAGCTCTGTATTCTGAATAAAAAGTTTTTCCTTAGGCATGGTTTATTCTGTTATCAATCAGCACATTTTCTCACAAGTATGACTTTTTATTTAAAAATATTATACAATGGGAAATAATAAATGTTGTATAACACTGACTTAAGGGTATTTATTCATGTAGGTAGAAAGCCAAGACACGACACAGAAGAACTTCCTGCACAAAGGGACAGCATGTCTGAATTTTCATGTTATGAAAAGTCATGAGGTGAAGAATTTCCACTAGATGTTTATTTAAAAGAGCTACATGGTACCTAATTTCAAGCAAATAAAAAACAATGTTGTCATTTTACGGGCCTTGCAAATGGGAAATGACCTTTAATAGGAGGAATAAACTTCAGCCACGCTAGTTTAAAGACAGAAGGTGGCATATCAGAAAGATTCTTGGTTCATAAAACAAAGCTTGGGATTTTTTTTTTCTGATCAGAGATTGTATGAGAAGCTTGTCAGTATCCTCAAGCTCAGTCTCCTTACTTTTAGAGAAGACAAAACTGACGCTTAGAGAGGAGAAATGTTCAGGAAATGCCCTAGTGGAAGATTACCAACTAGAACCTTGGCTTCCTGAAACTTGGCTCAGTTACCTCAGCCCAACTGATGTAGAGGAACTCCCCTACAAATTCAGTATGTGCCAGGACCCTCCCAATTTCAACCTGGATCAGCTGGAGTGGCCTCCTTGACCAGTAGAGTAGGCAAGGTGGGACCACGCATGAGGGCTAACCCTTGCTATTAAGGGAATGCTGCTCAGTTCTGACTTAGGCTAGGGGACCACACTTGATGAGTTCTGGAATGTCCTCTCTGGCCCTGATGCTGTGAGTGCCTAACAGGGTGCTGAGTATATAGTTGGCATTTAATAAATATGTTTTAAATGGCTGCATGCTTGCCCATCTTGCTATACTCTTCTATAATAATCTTAATAAATCAGTGCTCTTATTATATACTATGACCATATTAATCTTCACAATACCTCATTCTTTACGGGGTCAAGTTCAAACTCCCATTATTCTGCTTGGAATAATATTATATTCCTTAGCCTCTTATCTATCTCAATTAAGACAATCTTCCTAGCTGTATATGAAAATCTTGCCTCTTGTGTGAAACCTTCTTTGATTAGCCTAAATTTATCTCATCTTTCTCTGAAAGCACATTATGTACAGCCCACAATCAGGGCAGCCAGAATGTGCTGTGGAATTAACCCCTTCAGGAGTCATCGTCATACAGTAAGGAAATGGGAACCAGTGGTGCAGTTGTGTGTTCATTCTTCAAAAAGTCACTGATGGCATTGAGTCCCATTTGCCCAAAGTGGTGACCTGCTGTACAAGGGGTTTTACTACATACAGTTCACAATTTATTTTGAGTGAATCTTTTCCTCCCTCCCCATCTCACTTTCCCTACACCCTCATTTGTGCTTCCTGGGGCCACCTCATAGATATACTACTCGCACCTTAGTCTTTGTTTCAAGGCTTGCATTTAAAGAAACTCAAAGTAAGACACCATATATTAAAAGGCTTAGAAAACCACAAAGTGCCTAGTGTAGAGCAATGCACATTATATAAGCTAAAATTATACAGATTAAATAAGTGGATGAATGGAAACTAAGTAAAAAATATGCCCTATGTCAAAATATGTTTGGTGGTTTTTTTTTTTTTTTTTTTTGTCTCCCGTGAAGCTGTCAGATTGTACGAAGTTCCGAATTCATGATTAGTAATATGGATGCATCAGAGTTTCTGTTTACTCCTATCATGCTCCTATTATAGACCTCTTTTTGCCCTGGCAACCTCTCCTTTCCTGGCTAGTGCACCCATTCCCCAGCTGTTGAGCTGGCCATTAGAGAATTGCCCTAAGCCAAGCAGAGCGACTTCATTCAGGAGGTCACGTCCACCCTCCAGAGGCAGCCAAAGACTGACTGGTATGATGGGGTCACTAAAGGCGATTCCCTTCACCTCAAAGGGGGGTTCTGCAGTAAAATTCATGATACAGAGCTCCTGTGGGATCAGGCTGAAGCTAGAATCTAGCTGATATCACATCAGCTCATCTCACATTGCTCAACTCCTTTCCCTCCCTTTTCATGTTTTCCTCACTCCCCTTTCCCTGAGAGCCCTCTTTCAATATATCACATGGATCTGAATTCCTATCTCAGGGTTTGATTGTAGAGAACCTGATTTAAGACACCTCTTGCTATGCATTGATCTTAACCTCCAGGTTAAGACCCTTTGACCACCTACTATTATATTTCTCATATAATGTGGCAATTCATTTATTTAAATATATTGCAGAAATTTCACCCACGCAAAAAGGTAAGACCTGCTGCTCCTTATTACCATTTCCATCTCTCCCTATGAAAAGACTAAGAATACTATTTGGCATCTCTTTGTAGAAGCAGCCAAGGAAGGTATAGACTCCATTCAGCACACGGAATAAGAAAGCGATAAATTTCTTTGCAAAGCATAAATTAACTTTCTTTGAAGAAAAAACATGCTTTTTCTGTTTCTGGCCATAGAAATTTTACTGACACATCATGTATAATGATATTTAGTATAGCTCAGCTAATAATTTACAAGAGGCCACTCTGAGGTTAGAATATTTTAACTGCCCTATTGCTTTTGCAATTGAAGGGACCAGAGCAGCTAGAAAGACCAAAAACAACCTTTTAAATTCCCTAAAGCCTTGTTTAATGGAGTGTATACAGTCAAACTTCAACAATTCATGGCTAGATTATCTATGACAGTGTTTCTCAGACTTTAATGTGCAGGGGAGTCACCCTGGGATCTTGCTTAAATGCATATACTCTGATTCAGTCACTAGGGTAGTGGCGGAGAGTGTACATATCTGAAAAATCTCTTCTAAGATGATGATCCCGAGATAGATTTCACTCTAAGTAGCAAGGTCTTATATTTTTGTATTTTTTTTTGTTCTTCTGTTACTATATGGATAATGCAATCTAAAGATAAGATTTAAAGTTTTCTTTTCTTGTTTTGCATTGCTATAAAGAATACCTGAGGCTGGGTAATTTGTAATAAAAAAAAAGATTATTTGTCTCATGATTCTGATGGCTGGTAAGTTCACGATTGGGTATCTGCATCTGGTGAGAACCTCAGGCTGCTTCCACTAATGGTGGAAGGTGAAGGGGAGCCAGTGTGTGCTCCCTTTCCTTTGATGAGAGAGGGCGCAAGAGAGTGGGGAGTTGCTAGGCTCGTTTTAACAACCAGGTCTCACCCAAACTAATAGCGTGAGAACTCATTTATCCCTAAGGGATGGCATTAATCTGTTCCTGAGGGATCCACTCCCACTAGGCTCCACCTTCTAATACCAACACAGTGGGAATCAAATTTTAACATGAGATTTGCTGGGGACAGACAAACCATATCCAAACCATACTAAAAGTCTAACATTGAGGCCCTTCCTGACTGTGCCAAATTGACCTCCTTGACCATGATGATAAAGTCTTACTCCAGGAACATATAATGGTCTTGCACACGGTATGGAATAAAACACAGGCTGGTTTTTGGTCAATTAATTTTCTAGAAAGAATTGGGCTGAGATTGGACTTCTCCTAAATACACATCTTCACCTAGATTTTAGAAAAGGCTATCACCTTAAGTGATAACAAAAGAAAAATAAACACAGTCAATACAAAGACCATGAGAAATCTGGTTTATAACAATAAAGTTCTGATAGTATTCTACCTTTCTTGTTCTTTGGAGCTACCACTTCATAACTGGAAATTTTACTTAGTTTTTCAATGCCTCACAAAGGTCCAGTCTTTATCTTCAACATGAACCATTTAAATTAAGGCCTATTTTTACAGTAATTCAAAATTTTCTTTTTTTTTTTTTACTTTTTTACTTTCAACTTTTAGATTCAGGGGTACATGTGCAGGATGTGCAGGTATGTTACATAGGCAAATGTGTATGATGGTGTTTTGCTGCACAGATTATTCCATCACCCAGGTATTAAGCCCAACATTCATTAGCTATCCTTCTTGATCCTCTCCCTCCTCCCACCCTCCACTCTCTGACAGGCCCCAGTGTGTTGTTCCCCCAGTGTGTCCATGTGTTCTCATCATTTAGCTCCCACTTAATAAGAGAGAATATGTGGTATTTGGTTTTCTGTTCCTGTGTTAGTTTGCTAAGGATAATGGCCTCCAGTTCCATTCATGTCCCTGCAAAGGACATGATCTCGTTTCTTTTAATGGTTGCATAGTATTCCATGGTGTATATGTACCACATTTTCTTTATCCAGACTATCACTGACGGGCATTTAGGTTGATGCCATGTCTTTGCTATTGTGAATAGTGGTGGAATGAACATATGTGTGCATGTGTCTTTATAATAGAACAATTTGTATTTCTTTAGTTATATACCCAGTAATGGGATTGCTAGGTCAAATGGTATTTCTGCCTCTAGGCCTTTAAGGAATCATCACACTGTCTTCCACAATAGTTGAACTAATTTACACTCTGACTAACAGTGTAAAATCATTCCTTTTTCTCCATAACCTTGCCAGCATTTGTTTTTTGACTTTTTAATAATAGCCATTATGCCTGGTGTGAGACGGTATCTCGTTGTGGTTTTGATTTGCATTTCTCTAATGATCAATGACGTTGAGCATTTTTTCATATGATTGTTGGCCACATGTATGTCTTCTTTTGAGATATGTCTGTTTGTGTCCTTTGCCCACTTTTTAGCAGGGTTTTTTTCTTGAAAATTTGTTTAAGTTTCTTATAGATGCTGGATAATAGACCTTTATCGGATAGATAGATTGAAAACATTTTCTCTCATTCTGGAGATTGTCTGTTACTCTGTTGATAGTTGTTTTTGCTGTACAGAAGCTCTTTTGTTTAATTAGATCCCATTTGGGGGATCAGCCATTTCAGCCTGCAGTCTTTGGAGAGTCCAAGCTGACTAGGGCAGAGGCAGCTCCCCAGCACGGCATGGCTGTTTTGTCAAGGCGTGGCCAGACTGATTAAAGCGGGACCTCAATACATTCCTCCTCACTAAGTAGGACCTCCCAGCCAGAGCCTCCAGCCACCCTCACTCACCCATATTCTATGGAGACAGCTCTGATCTTTCCCTGGGATGGAGTGTCTGACAGGAGGGGCAGGCTGTCACCTTGGTTGTTAGGACAACTCAGCCATTCCAGCCTGTGGCCTTTAGAGGCAGAGGAGGTTCCCATCACAGCAGGGCAGAGTCCCCAGCCCATGAAACCACTTTTTCCTCCTGGGCCTCTGGGCTTGTGATGGGAGAGGCTGCTATGAAGTTCTCTGACATGGCCTGGAGAAATTTTCCCTATGGCCTTGGAGATTAACATTAGGCTTCCTGCTACTTATGCAAATTTCTGCAGCCAGCTTGAATTTCTCCCCAGAAAATGGGTTTTTCTTTTCTACTGCATCATCAGGTTACAAATTTTCTGAGCTTTTATGCTCTTTTCCCTTTTAAAACAGAATGCTTTTAACAGCCCCCAAGTCACCTTTTGAAGGCTTTGCTGCTTAGAAATTTCTTTTGCCAGATATCCTGAATCATCTCTCTCAGGTTCAAAGTTCCACAAATCTCTGGGGCAGAGGCAAAATGCCACCAGTCTCTGCTAAAACATAACAAAAGTCACCTTTGCACCAGTTCCCAACAAGCTCCTCATCTCCATTTGAGACCACCTCAGCCTGGACCTTATTGTCCATGTCGCTATCAGGCTTTTGGTCAGAGCCACTCAACAAGCCTCTAGGAAGTTCCAAACTTTCCCACATCTTCCTATCTTCTTCTGAGCCCTCCAAACTGTTCTAACCTCTGCCTGTTACCCAGTTCCAAAGTTGCTTCCATATTTTTGGGTATCTTTTCAGCAACACCCCACTCTACTTGTACTAATTTACTGTATTACTCCATTTTTACACTGCTGCTAAAGACATACATGAGACTGGGAAGAAAAGGAGGGTTTAATTTGACTTACAGTTCCACATGGCTGGGGATGTCTCATAATCTTGGTGGAGGGTGAAAGGCACTTCTTACATAGCGGCAGCAAGAGAGAATGAGGAAGAAGCAAAAGTGGAAACCCCTGGTAAACCCATTAGATCTCATGAGACTTATTCCCTATCATGAGAATAGCATTGGAAAGACCAGCCCCCATGATTCAATTACCTCCCCCTGGGTCCCTCCCACAACATGTGGGAATTCTGGAAGATACAATTCAAGTTGAGATTTGGGTGGGGGCACAGCCAAACCATATCAGTAGCCTAGTCTTTAGCTTTAAGAAACTTTCTAGTTTCTAGAAAAAGAAGATAAAACCTAATGCAAGTAGAAGGAAAGAAATAATAAGCATTACAAAATATATTAATGAAATAGTAAATAGAAAAATGGTAGAGAAAATTAAACACACCAAATGTTGGTTCTTTACAATAATCAATAAAACAGATATACTTTTAGAAAGACTAACCAGGTAAAAAGTGAGAAGGCTCAAATTATTAAAATTATAAATGAAAGAGATGATATTACTACTTACCTAACCAAAATAAAAAGGGTCAAAAGGGAACAAAATGAATGATTTTATGCCAATAAATTATCAACCTGGAGAAAATTGACAACTTTCTAGAAAGGCATAAAGTAGGAAACTTATTTAAGAATTAATAGAAATTTTGAATAGACCTATAACAAGTAAAGAGAATAATTAATTAAAAAAAGCTTTTTTTAAAACTTTTTTTAACTTTTTAAAACAAATTTTAGAAAACTTTTTTTAACTTTTTAAAACAAATTTTAGAAAACTTTAACTTTTAAAACAATTTTTAAAAACTTTTTTTTTAACTTTAAAAAAATTTTTTTAAAACTTTTTTTAACTTTTTAAAAAAGATTTTTAAAACCTTTTTTTTTTTAAAAAAAATGCTGAGGATCAGATGGCTTCCCTGGTGAATTCTTTCCAAGTTTAAAGTAGAATTAACAATAATTTCTCACAAACTCTTCCAAAATGTAGAAGAGGAAAAACTTTCCAACCATTAGCTCAGGCTAGTATTATCCTTATGCCAACCTCAAACAAAGTCATTACAAGAACAAATACCTACAATTAATATATTTTATGAATATAAATGCAAAAATTCTCAACAAAACACTAAGAAAGCAAATCTAGCAACATATAAAAAGAATTACACATTGTAATCAAGTAGGATTTGTTCCAGAATGTAAGACTGGCTCAACATACAAAAATCAATCAATGTAACATACCGTATTAATAGAACAAAAAACAAAAATACATGCTCATCTCAACACACACAGAAAAATCATTTGACATAATCTGACATACTGTCATAAAAATATTCAACATGTACAGAAGCAAATATTCATAAAAAAGAAAAATAATATAAACAAAAAATACTCAACATATAAAGAATGTAAAATACTTTAATAAAAGGTATCTACAAAAAATCCCACAGATAACCTTACATTTAATGACAAAAGTCTGAAACTTTTTCTTCTAAGATAAGGAACATGACAAAGGCATGTGTTCTTGGCATTTCTATTCAACATAGTAATGGAGATTCTAGGCTGAGCAATTAGGCAAGAACAAGAAATAATAAAAGGCATACAGAGTATAAAGAACAAATAAAACTGTCTGTATTTGTAGATGGCATGATCTTTTACATAGAAAATAACAAGGAGAGGAGGCAGATCAAGATAACCAAATAGAACCCTCAAGAGATCTTCCCCCACTCAGGAACACAAAATTGAAACAGACAAAAAAACA
The DNA here is from genome assembly GCF_000001405.40 of Homo sapiens. NCBI lineage: Eukaryota > Metazoa > Chordata > Mammalia > Primates > Hominidae > Homo > Homo sapiens. The sequence goes on from NC_000020.11 coordinate 12,275,652, forward strand.
TAAAAGAAAGTTCTCCACACAAGAAAGCACCTTCATAAGAACAAAAAACCAGGTGAATGATCACAGTATCTTGTTTTAAAATCATATTAATAAAAGGAGCATTGAAGAGGATAGGAAAAACTGTCTTGAATTGCCTATATTATTCCTCCCACATCCCCAAGCAGCACTGTGTGGTGGGAGAGAAAATCTGTGTGTTTGGGGCAAGAAGAGTACAATTATTGTAGGACTTTGCTTTGGAACTCAATGCTGCCCTGTCCCAGCATAAAGCAACACAGGGCAGAATTCAGCTAGTGTCCTCGGAGGGAGCATTTAGACCATCCCTAGTCAGAGGAAAATTGCCCATCCCCAGAGGTCAGAGTCTGAGTTCTGGCTAGCCCCACTACCATGGGCTAAAAGGCTCTGGGGTCCTAATTAAACTAGAAAGGCAGGAAAGGCCACAAGGACTGCAATTCCTGGGCAAGTCCTGGTGCTGCGATGAGCTCAGAGCCAGTGGACTTGGGGTGCATGCAACCCAGTGAGACAACAGCTGGGGCTGCCAAGGAAGTGGTTTTTTTGCCCCTCCCCCCAACTTCAGGTAGCACAACTCACAGCTCTAAGAGGAAAGGAAAAAGTGAAGAGGACTTTGTCTTGCAGCCTGGATACCAGCTCAGCCACAGTGAAATAAGGCACCAAGCAGAGTCCTGATGTCCCTGTTCTAGGTTACATCTAGGGCATTTCTAGACCCATCCTGGGCCAGAAGGAAATCAACTGCCCTGAAGGAAAGGACCTAGTCCTGGAAGAATTTACCACCTGCTGACTAAGGAGCCCTTGGGCCTTGAGTAATCATCAGCAGGAGCCAGGCAGCAGTTGCCACAGGCCTTAGGCAAGGCCCACTACTGTGCTGGCTTCAAGTGTGACCCAGCACATTTCCAGCTGTGGTGGCCATGGGAAGAGACTCCTGCTTGAAGTGAGGAGAAAAGAGTAAAAAGAACTTTGTCTTGCAATTTGGGTGCCAGCTCATCCACAGTAAAAAAAGCATGAAGCAGGTTCCTAAAGGTCCCCATTCCAGGCCTTAGGTTCTAGAGGGCATTTCTAGACCTGCCTTAAATCCTGAGTGAGTTTCAAAGAAGGAAACCCACTGCTATGAAGGAAGGAGGCCCAAGCCTGGTAGAACTCACTACCTGTTGACTAAAGAGTCCTTGATCCTTGAATAATCATCAGCAGTAGCCAGACAGTAGTCACCATGGGCCTGGGGCAGTGGTGGCCATGGGGAAAAACTCCCTCTTCTTGAGGAAAGGAGAGGAACAAGTAAACAATACTTTGTTTTGCAACCTGAGTATCAGCTCACCCCTAGTAAAACAAAGCACCAAGTAGATATATAAAGCCCTCAATCCTATGCCCTAGCTACTGGGTGGCATTTCTAGGCCCCCCATATACCAGAAGCAAACCTGCAGCACTGAAGGGAAAGACCCATTCATGACAGGATTCACCAACTGCTGACTAAAGAGCCCCTGGGCCTTGAATAAAAATCAGCAATGTCCAAGCAGTACTTGCTGTGGGCCTTAGGTGAGATTCAGTACTATGCTGGCTTCAGGTGTGACCCGGCACAGTTCCAGCAGTGGCGGCCATGGGAGTGTTTGCATCACCCACCTCCAGGCTGCTCGCACAGAGATAGACACCATTTGTGGTGGTAATCCAGGGAAATTTCCCAGATCTTACCCAAGACCACCAAGGCAATACCTCTATGAGACTGCAAGAGTCACAGTGTTTGGCATGCCTTCAAATGCACATGCAGCTGCAGTGAACAAAGACAGATCTCAACACTAAATTCCCTTTGAATACTTGGAAAGTCTTCTTAAGAAGGACAGGAACAAGCAAGCCAGACAGTGAATATCAGAGTAAGTACCTAGCTCTTCAGTGCCCAGACATTGATAAAAATCCACAATCATCAACATTGTCCAGAAACACATGACCTCACCAAACAAACTAAATAAGATACCAGTAACCAGTTCTAGAGTGACAGAAATATGTGACATTTCAGATAATTCAAAATAATTGTTTTGAGGAAGCTTAATGAAATCCAAGATAACGCAGAGAAGAAGTTCAGAATCCTATTGAATACATTTAACAAGGAGATTGAAATAATTAAAAATAATCAGGCAGAAATTCTGGGGGTGAAGAATTTAATTCACAAACTGAAGAGTGCATCAGAGTCTCTCAACAGCAGAACTGATGAAGAAGAATAAAAGATTAGTAAGCTTGAAGACAGGCTATTTGAAAATACACACAGGAGTTAACAGAAAAAAGAATAAAAAATAATGAAGCATACCTACAGGATCTAAAGAATAGCCTCAAAAGGGCAAAGCTAAGAATTATTGGAGGTAGGGGTAGAAAGTTTATTCCAAGGTATAATAACAAAGAACTTTCCAAACCTAGAGAAAGATATCAATATTCAATTACAGAAGGTTATATAACACCAAGCAGATTTAACCCAAATAAGACTGTCACAAAACATTTAATAGTCAAACTCTTAAAGGTCAAGAATTAAGAAGGGCTTCTAAAAGCAGCAAAAGAAATAACGTAGCATATAAAGGAGTGCCAATACAGCTGGCAGCAGATTTCTTAGTGGATCTTTACAGGCGAGGAAAAGTGGCATGATATATTTAAAGTGCCGAAGGGGGAAAAGAAAACTTTTATACTAGAATAATGTTTCTAGTGAAAATATCCTTCAAACATGAAGGAAATACAAAGACTTTCCTAGACAAACAAAAGCTGAGGAATTTTGTCAACACCAGACCTGTCATTCAAGAGATGCTAAAGAGAGTTCTTCAATCTGAAGAAAAAAGATATTAACAAGCAATAAGATATCATCTGAATATGCAAAACTCACTTGCTATTCGCAAACCTCATGGTAACCTCAAGTCAAATATCTTAAAACTGTTACATGATAAATATAAAGCAAGAAATTAAAATATAATGCTAGACAAAATAACTTTTACAAAAAGGAAGATAAGATGAAAGAAAGGAAGGGAGAGAGGAAGAAAAAACAACCAGAAAACAACAAAATGGCAGGAGTAAGTTCTCACTTACCAATAGAAACATTAAATATAAATAAACTAAATTCTTTAATCAAAAGACATAGTGGTTGAATGGGTAAAAAAACCCCGTAAGATTCATTGGTCCGTTGCCTACAATAAACACACTTCATCTATAAAGACACACATAGACTGAAAATAAAGGGCTGGAAAAAGATATTCCATGCAAAGGGAAATCAAAGGAGAGCAGGAGTAGCTATACTGAGATCAGATAAAATAGATTTCTATAAAAACTACAAAAAAAAGACAAGGAAGGTCATTATACAATGATAAAGGAATCAATTCAGCAAGAGGATGTAACAATTATATATATGTGTGTGTGTGTGTGTGTGTGTGTGTGTGTATATATATATATTATATATATATTTCCAACACTGGAGCACCCAGATATATAAAGCAAATATTATTAAGCTAAAGAGAGGTAGAGAGGTAGACTCCAATACAAAAATAGCTTGAGGCTTTAACACCCCACTTTCAGCATTGGAAAGATCATCCAGACAAAAAATAATCAAAGAAACATCATAATTAATCTGGACTATAGACCAAATGGACCTAATAGATATTCACAGAACATTACATCCCCTGGTTGCAGAATACACATTCTTCTCTTCAACTTATGGATCATCTTCAAGAATAAGCCATACATTAGGCCACAAAACAAGTCTTTAAAAATTAAAAAAAGAAATTATATCAAGTATTTTCTCTGGCAACAATGGAATAGAACTAGAAATCAGTAACAAGAGGAACTTTGGAAACTATACATGGAAATTAGACAATATGCTCCTGAATTACCAGTGGGTCAATGAAGAATTAAGCAGAAAATTTAAAAATTATTTGAAACAAATGATAATGGAAACACAACATACCAAAATCTATAGGATATAGTAGAAACAGGACTAAGAAGAAAGTTTATAGCAATAAGCAACATCAAAAATGTAGAAAATCTTCAATTAAACAACACAACAATAAATATTAAATAACTAGAAAAGCAAGAGCAAACCAAATTCGAAATTATTTATTGAAAGAGAATAATAAATATATGAGCAGAAATAAGTGAAATTGAAACTAAAAAATATAAAAGATCAATGAAATGAAAAGTTGGTTTCTTGAAGGGATAAACAAAATTGACAAACCTTTAGCCACACTAGAGAAAGAGAGAAGACCAAAAGAAATGAAATCAGACATGAAAAGGAGATATTAGAACTGATACCACAGAAATTCAAAGGATAATTAGAGACTACTGTGAGCAACTGTATGCCAATGAATTGGAAAAGCTAGAAGAAATGAATAATTTCCTAGACACATACAATCTATCAAGCTTGAATCATGAAGAAATTCTAAGCCTGAATAGACCAATAACAAGTGATGAGATTGAAGCCATAATCAAATGAATCCAAGCAAAGCAAAGCACAGGACCCTATAGCTTCACTGCTGAATTCTACCAAATTTTTAAAGAGCTAATTTCAACCCTACTCAAGATATTCCAAAAAATAGAGGAGGAAGGAATACTTCCGAACTACTTCTATGAGGCCAATATTACCCTGATGTCAAAATGAGACAAAGACAAAATCGAAAAAAGAAAATAGGACCATGTCTCTGATGAACCCTGATGCAAAAGTCCTCAACAAAATGCTAGCAACCTGAATTCAATAGCACATTAAAAAGATAATTTATCATGACCAAGTGGGATTTATTCCAGGGATAAAAGCATGATTCAATATATGCAAATCAATCAATGTGATAAGTCACATTAACATAATAAAAGGCAAAAACCATGTGATCATTTCAATTGATGCTGAAAAAGCATTTGATAAAATTTAACATCCTTTCATTATAAAAACCCTCAAACAACTAAGTATAGAAGGAACATACCTCAACACAGCAACAGCTGTATATGACAGACCCACAGCTAGTATCATACTAGATGGGAAAAAATAATGGAAAGCCTTTCCTCTAAGATTAAGAAACAAGACAAGGATGTCCACTTTCACCGTTGTTATCCCACATAGTCCCAGATGTTCTAACTAAAGTAATCAGTCAAGAAAAAGAAATAAGGGGCATCCAAATTAAAAAGGAAGAAGTCAAATTATTCTCCTTTGCAGGTAATATGATCTTATATTTAGAAACCTAAAAAAACTATTAGAATGGATAAACAAATTTAATAAAGTTACAGGATACAAAGTCAACATACAAAAGTCAGTAGCATATCTATATGCCAACAGCAAACAATGTGAAAAAGAAATTAAGCAAGTGATCCCATTTACAATAGCTACAAGTAAAACAAGATACCAAGGTGCAAACTTATTTAAAGAAGTTGAAGAGCTCTACAATGAAAATTATAAAACACTGATGCAAGCAATTGAAGAAAACACACACAAATTTGAAAAATATTTCATGTTAATGGGTTAGAAGAATCAATATTGTGTAAATGCCCATACTACTCAAAGCAATCTATAGATTCAATGCAATTCCTATCAAAATACCAATTACATTCTTCACAGAAATAGAAAAAATAATCCTAGAATGTACATGAAACCACAAAAGACCTAGACTAGCCAAAATCATCCTGAGGAAAAGGAACAAAACCAGAAGAATCAGGTTACCTGACATCAAATTATGCTACAGCACTATAGTAACCAAAGCAGCATGTGTACTGGCAAACAAACAGACACACAGACCAATAGAACAAGGTGGAGAATGCAGAAATAGATCCATACATCTACAGTTAACTCATTTGTGTCAAAGTTGCTAAGAACATACACTGGGGAAAAGACAGTCTCTTCAATAAGTGGTGCTGGGAAAACTGAATATTCATATGCAGAAGAATGAAACTAGACCCCTATCTGTCACCATACACAAAAGTCAAATCAAAATGGATTAAAGACTTAAATCTAAGACTTCAAGCTATGAAACTACTAAAAGAAAACATTGGGGAAACCCTCCAGGGCATTGGTCTAGGGAAAAATTCCTTGAGTAATGCCCCCCAAAAAAGTCAACCAAATAAAAAATGGACAAATGAGATTAATCATATCAAATTAAAAAGCTTCTGCACAGTAAAAAACAAACAAAACAAAACAAAACAAAACAAAAAACCCACCAAAAATCCAAAAAACACAAAAGAAAACCGTAAAACAGTCAACAAAATGAAGAGACAACTCACAGAATGAGAGACAACAGTTGCAAGCTATCCATCTGACAAGGGATTAAAAACCGGAATATGTAAGGAGTTCACACAACTCAACAGGAAAAAAGATCTAATAATTCAATTTAAAAATGGGCAAAAGATATAAATCGGCATTTCTCGAAAGAAGACAGACAAATTGCAAAAAAGTATGTGAAAAGTGCTCAACATCACTGATCAGAGAAATGCAAATCAAAACTACAATGAGATATCCTGTCATCACAGTTAAAATGGCTTTTATCCAAAAGACAGGCAATAACGAATACTGGTGAGGATGTGAAGAAATAGGAACCCTAGTACACGGTTGGGGGAAATGTAAATTAGTACAGCCACTATGGAGAATAGTATGGAGGTCCCTCAAAAAACTAAACATAGAGCTATTATGTGATGCAGAAATCGCACTTCTAGGTATATACTCAAAAGAAAGGAAATCAGTATATGAAAGAGATATCTGCACTCCCACACTTATTGTAGCACCATTCACCATAGTCGAGATTTGGAGTCAACCTAAGTATCCATCAACAGAGGAATGGATAAAAAAAAATGTGGTAAATATACACAATGGAGTACTAATTCTGTCATTAAAAAAAAAAAAAAAATGAGGCCGGGCATCATGGCTCACACCTGTAATCCCAGCACTTTGGGAGGCCGAGGCAGGTGGATCGCCTGAAGTCAGGAGTTTGAGACCAGCCTGGCCATCACGGTGAAGCCCTGTCTCTACTAAAAATGCAAAAATTAGCTGGGCTTGGTGGCGGGTTCCTGTAATCCCTCCACTTGTGAGGCTGAGGCAGGATAATTGCTTGAACCCGGGAGACGGAGGTTGCAGTGAGTTGAGATTGCGCCACTGCTCTCCAGCCTGGATGACAGGGCAACACTCCATTCAAAAAAAAAAAAAAGAGATCCTGTCATTTGCAACATGGACAGAACTGGAAGACATTATGTTAAGTGAAGTAAGGCAGGCACAGAAAGACAAACATTGCGTGTTATCACTCATTTGTGGGAACTAAAAGTTGAAAGAATTGAACTCATGGAGATAGAGAGTAAAATCATGGTTAACAGAGGTTAGGAAGGGTAGTCGGGTAAGGAGAAGAGTAGGGATGATTAATGAGTACAAAAATATAGTTAGATACAATGAATAAGATATAGTATTTGATAGTACAACAGAGTGACTACAGTCGGCAATAATTTGTTGTACATTTTAAAACAACCAAGGGAGTACAAATTGAAAGTTCGTAACAGTGAGATGATGAATACTTGGGGTGATGGATACCTCATTTATCCTGGTGTGATTATTACACATTGTATGCCTATATCAAAATATCTCATGTACCCCATAAATATATATACCTGTTATAAATTAAAATATGTATTACAATTTACCATAAAATATGCCCATAAAAATTAAAATTTAAAATAAAAAAAGGAATCTAGAAAAATGTATCAAAGCAAATAAAATTCAGCGAGAATTCAGATCAACAAATAAAAATCAATCAACTGTGAAAACAAGTTTATCTCCTTCATGCATGGAAAGTACTTCAATAAATTGTATTTCAATAAGTGACCTTGTGAATGGCAACATTTGAATGACTAGTACTCCCACCTATAAGGAATTATGGCCATCTCTATAATGGGTTAAAAAGGTTAAAAAAAAAATACAATGTCTCATCAGGGGCTTTTGACTTACAAACAAACATCACAGAGTCCACCATACTTCACTCCCTGAACTGCCACTTAGAAACTTATCTCACTGAGGAAGAACAGAACCTAGTGAGGTCTCTCTTCCTGGGCCTACGACAGAAAAATGCGGGTAGGACTAACCTGCTCACTTGATGTTGAGCCTCTTGAAGATAGAGCGTTAAGTCACCAGTACTCAAAGTAGTCATTCTATAACATTTACTGAACACCTACTGTGTCCTCTAGCACTATGATAATTTATTCAACCATCATAATAAGAAAGAAACATGCTCCTTGAGAACAAGGACTTTACCTGGATCAATCAACATTTTACTTCTAGCAGCTGGAATGATGCTTGGCCCATAGTGGGCATAAAATATATTAGTTGATTGACTCAATGACCTGTTAAAGTCTAGTCTTTCTTTGTAGCAAAACTACATATCAGAATAAAATGCATGAGAGAAAATCCAGCCTAATTTCTATCAAAATAGGTTATTCACAAAATATAGTAAGAAATTACCAGGAGCACAGCAGTGTATCCTGTGGCTGAGAACTACTATGCCTAGGGTTGCCAAATATAGCAAATACAAATACAACATGCCTAGTTATACTTGAATTTTAGATAAACACCGAACAATATTTCAACATAAACATAATGCAATATTTGGAACACATTTATGCAAAAAATTGTTTGTTGTTCTTCTAAAATTTGTTTAACTGGGTATCTGGTATTTTACCTGGCAATCCTAACTGTACTAGATAATGCCCCATACCCAACACAATACCAGGATCCAATAGGTATTGGTTGAATGGATAAATGAATGGATGAATAGATAAATAAATAAACAAGTGTTTGCTTACAATCTCTACTTCTCTTTTTTGGGCACAATATTTAGGCAAATGTCAGCATATGTCCTATTTTATATCATCTGCAACATCATCTTCTGCCCTTGGAATCAGAGCTTATCACTGAGGGTCAAGAGGGTCATTTGGCCTGGGCTACACAGTTTCAAAGGGTTTTTATTTTAGATTTTTCAAAATTATCTTTAGATTACATTACTTATGGGGATGGCATTGGGGTATAAAAGTGAAAGAAAATCACTGAGGGCCAAGAGGGTCATTTGGCCTGGGCTACACAGTCTCAGAGGGTTTTTATTTTAGATTTTTCAAAATTATCTTTAGATTGCATTACTTATGGGGTTGGCATTGGGGTATAGAAGTGAAAGAAAATGTCTATCAAACAACTTTAAAATTAACTGATTAATAGACCACACCACCAGCCTTGCATTAGTTTACTACTGCCACTCTAACAATTTACCACAAACTCTGTGGCTTAAAACACCACAAGTGTATTATCTTACAAGTCTGACCATCAGAAGTTTGAAAATGTGTCTTAGAGGGCTAAATCAAGGTGTTGGCAGGGCTGCATCCCTTTTGGAGGCTCTAGAGGAAAATCCATCCCTTGCCTTTTCCAGCTTAGAAAGGCATGCATCTCTCTTCCAACAGTGGCATTTCTCTAACCTCTGCTCCTATCTTCACATCTCCTTTTCTGACTCGGAAACTCGGGACTCCTTTTTATAAGGATCCTTGTGATTACATTGGGCTCACTCAGATAATCCAGCATAATATCCCCTCCTCTCAGGATCCTTAATTTAATTACGCCTGCAAAGTCCCACCTATCATGTAAGGTACTGTACTCACAGGTCCCAGCAATTAGGACATGGAACTCCTTTGGAGCCATTTTTTGGCCTACAAGAAGCACTGTAAGTTAATTGTAATATATTGCATGGTGCCCTTTACAAGTGTTCACTGGTTAAATGTAAACTTTAAAAAATTCACACATTTTTATAATTTGTGTTCTTTTTTTAATTTTTTAATATTTTTGGAGGCTCTTTTGCCTTCTGAGAGGTCCTCCTTGAAGCAACATGATTTCTTATCTCAATAATGGAAGAATTGTTTGTTACACCAAACCAGTGGTTCTCAATCTTGGCTACCCATTAGAGTCAACTTTTTTGTTGAGTTCCTATGTTAAGGCTGCACACCAAATTAATTAAATCAGGATCCCTGTGGAATGGACCAGAATTCAATATTTTTAAAAGGTACTGAAGTGATTCCAGTGGGTGTCTGAAACTGAGGGCCACTTCATTCAGTTTATCCTTCCTCTGCTTACCTAACCTGCTTTTCTCTTCTTCTACTCCTTCCCTATCTTCTCTTCTGGCCCCTTTTTTCCTGTTATCTGTAAGTTTGTCTCTCTCCCTTATATACTCCAATACAATATATTGGAGTATATTATTTTATACTCCAATACAATATATTGGAGTATATTATTTTATACTCCAATAAGTATAAAGTATATTTTATTTTAATTATGTCATATTCAATAAGAAAAAATGTATAGATGCTCTCAAAACAATCAATATGGTATGGCTTAGTGTGTATAGACAGAACTGTTCTGGGAACAAAATAATGCTTCACTTTACCAAGAAGCTTCATGTCTGCAAATTCCACACCTCTCTGATCCTGTTTTCTCCTCCGTAGAATGAAGCGTTTAGAAAAAAAATTCTCTATGTTCTCTTCTAATTTATAAACTCCACAATTCTAAATATAGAAAAAAGATCATGTTCTTATGGAAGGAGTTCTGGACCCCAATATCAGAATAGATCTGATTTAAAGACAAATGATTTGGCTTAGTTTTGCTTCCCCCAGAAGAAGAATCATAGGCAAGGATTTGCAGGTGGGTTATTTAGGAGATAATCCCAAGAAGCACCAGGACATCAAAGCAGGTGATGTAGGGTGGATCGTCAAGAGTGATGCCACTGTGTGCCACTGGAATTTAACGCTTTGGGTAACTCTGGGGGCCAGTAGAGAATATGGGCCTCAGAGTTATCCCGCCAGAGGCAAGAAGGAGCTGGAGGTGGGAAACTGATTTTTGATTTTTTTCAGTCATTGGTTGATGACTACTCCTGGAAAACTTAATTCTCCAGCCCTTTCTGCCTGCTGTGCACAAAGGCAGAGAAGTATGGTAGCAAGAGAAGCCCTCAGGCAATGAGATGCAAATGTTGACATTCAGATGTCAGGTCAATGTGCACCACGGGGTTGAGGCCAAAGATATAAGCAGATGCCAATGCAGTTCTTTTTAAAAAATGGCAGTAAATTCTTTCTCCTTATAGATTTAATAAAGACATTTGAGAAGTAAATGAATTAGCATTTCTGAAACACATTGAGGGCCCTTCCACAGCACCTTTGAGTAAGTGACTATAGGCAGAGTACTGAGGTAAGTGTATTCTCTCTGTTTAAAAGGCTTTTTAGGATTCCTTTAGACAGCACATAAACAATTTCAGCTTATTTGGGCACCATTTAGTTAGATTCTGTTTCAGACCACTAAGTGGCAACTTTTTCAAATATTGGGAGGTTAAGGAATTAGATTTTCATACTGAAAGTAAATGAAAATAAATGTTACTTTCAGATACTGACAAATTATATTGCAGGTGTAAAGAAGAAAAGGTGCTGCTGGTATACTGTGAATCTCCTGCTTAAGCCCAAAAGGAGAAAGGTGGACAAAGTACTGATATTTGTCCTTTTCATACCTGTGCCAGAGCCTGCAGATGCGTAACAGGACCATGTAGATTTGTTTTCTCCCTAATGAATAAAAAATGTCACCACTGTTGTTCAGGCTCATCATGGCGATGTTCTCCTAAGACTATGGACTCTTTCTGTGTCTTACTGTAACATACTGAACAAGCTGTGTTGATCTCTTCTTGACCTAAACATTCCAGAACATTCCTGATGCTAAGGGATTTTTTTAAGAGGCAGGGTATTACTATGTTGCCCAGGCTGGCCTTGACCTCCTAGGTTCAAGTGATCCTCCCAACTCAGTTTCCCAAGTAGCTGGACTATAGGTACTCACCACCACACTCAGCTGGGATAATCTATTTTAAGGTTGGGTAAGTGGGATAGACTTATCTCTAATTTTAATATCTCACTTAGAATTTCTTCACTGTGGCAAAAGATAAATGTTTTTTCTTCAGACCCATTACTCTTATCTCTCTTGATATCATTCGAGGGCATCAGAGACTTCCCCATGGCACTCATGGAAAAGCAAAATCAATGAACCAGATCCCACCTAGTGTCAGAAAGTTTCAAACCAGAGCCACTTTATTTTGAATAGGGGCTGAGTAAAATGAGGCTGAGACCTGCTGGGCTGCATTCCCAGAAAGTTAGGCATTCTTAGTCACAAGAAGTTTATGGTTAAGGGAACAGGTTAATCATGTTTACTGAACAGACGCAGGACTTACTAGATCCAGGACTTAACAGACCCAGGAAATGCCCTGATGTTCCCATATCTCAGGAACAAAAGCATTCTTAGTTTAAGCATAAGTTTCATGTTAACAATAATAATATAGATTCTTGCAGTAGACAGTAGTTACACAAAGATTAACAATCATTTGTCATGAGCCTTTGTAATAGAACACATCTCCGCATGATTTTTTGCTTTGTAATCTTATACGTAAACAAGCATTGTACCTAAGGTGGATGTGTTCCTCCTCTTGCTTTCAGGAACATCGTTCTCTGTCTATGGTGTAACCATTCTTGTATTCCTTTACTTTCTTAATAAACTTGCTTTCACTTTATTCTGGATTCACCTTGGATTCTTTCTTGCTCAAGATCCAAGAACCTTCCCTTGGGATCTGAATTGGGACCCCTTTTCAATAACACTAGTGCAGAGTAAAAGAAATGCAGGAGTGTAGACTCAGAAATGGAGATAGTGCAATCGGGGTGGGGGAGGATGTGCCCCAATATGAATGAATCTATGGGTTTAGACCAGGGGAGTCCAATTGTTTGGCTCCCCTGGGTCTCGTTGGAAGAAGAATTGTCTCGGGCCACACATAAAATATACTAACACTAATAATCCATGATGAGCTAATTTTTAAAAAAATAGGGTCCATGCATAAATCTCGTAATGTTTTAGGAAAGTTTATGAATTTGTATTGGGCCACATTCAAAGCTGTCCTGGGCTGCATGTGGCCCATGGACTGCGGGATAGATAAGCTTGCTTTAGATTGTCTCTAAAACAGAAGCATATATTTGAAGCCACCCACCCCCATTTGAGCTGCCAGATGACCCAAGCTGCATAAGTGACCCCAGACTAGACCAACAGAAGAATCGCTTAGTTAAGCACAGTTCAAATTGTTCTTCCACTGAATCATGAGTATATAAAATGGTTATTGTCTTCAATCACTGAGTCTGTGGTGGTTGGTTACGCATAAATAAATAATTAATATAGTAATTTAAGCAACAACCAGTGATTGCTTAATAAGGGAAGACGTTGACATTTCAAAAATATTTGAAAGATTATTTAGCCCTGGTTAAAATATCTCAAGATTTTATTGTAAACTCTTTGTTGCAGGTAGGCCCACTGTGCATCAGATATATCTCGTAAACTCCCTTCTGTGCCGTTGCTTATGCATCCCCTAAGCGTGGGATGCCTTCTCTGCTCCTCTCAGCCTGCCTACAGAAAGCTGCTCTCCAAAATAAACCTCCTCCATAATGTTTGCCTTGCAAACATTATTATTAAGACCAGCCTGCTTCTCAATAATTTATTCAGTCACTAAACCCATATAACCCTAATAAAATTCACTTATTTGGCACTATATCAACCAATTCGAAAGCCTTATCTCCCATCTGGACTACAAGCTTCTTGAAGGAAATATGCCTGCACCTAGTATGGTATCTGTGACATGGCTCAAGATGTGTGACAGCCCACCCACTAAAGTAGGTGACTTTGTGTTTGCCTACTGTTCTCTGAGTTAACACATGGCAGGAGGGGAAGAATCAGAACACGATGAAAGCTTCTAAGTGCTTGGATCTTAGCTCTTTAAATATGAAACTGTTGACTTTTTTATGAACCTTCACTTTTTAGTTCCAAATATATTTTACAAATATGGAAAAATACCAGGAGAGTGTTATCCTCAGAGTCATTGCTGAGTATTGTTGCTGTGGATGTGGTTGTAGGAGTTATAGTGCGGTTCACACGGGAGGTGGCAGGGGTACTTCCTCACGGCAACAAAGTGAGTAAACACGGAAGTCCTTCAATACATTTGTGGTACCAAATTCCACTGAATGAGCCTCATCTCCACTTCCTTATGTTTCTTTCTGTTCTTCCTCTTTACAACACACTTGGGAGGCAGATTGAACCTCTGGTCCTGATTTTAGTCAATAAGGTCAACCCTACACAGAAGGATTTCCTTTCAATTTAGTGATTCTGTTTTTTGAACTTCAAGAAGGTCAAGTTTTAGAGATATTACATTTCTGGTGGATGCGCCTTTATTCTTGATGATAATTTTAAATCTCGCTCCCTAAGGGAGAATGACTGGCAGCTATCAACAGGAACTGTAAGAAGGTCTAAGCCACACAAGCATAAAAATGCAAAAGAAGAGTCAGCTCAAGCTTTTCTCTATGGAATGTAATGTAAAACCCAGAAACATTTACAGAGTTGACCTAGGAGAGAATCTGAAAACAAAGACAGAATTTCCTGGGACTGTTTTAACCTAGAGGTTGAAATGGATGCCTCTGGAAATAAATACTAAAGGATCCCCTTTCATACCTTCTTGGTTTCAAGTTCAAGGGTTCAAGGGTAGTGTGCTTCTTCACTCTATTTCTAATTCATTTTAGAATTTGAGTCACCCAGAAGAACTTAGGTACCAAATGACCTGGAGTATAAGCATGCCACTTATGTGATAGAGATTTTAAAGGAAAATAATCAAGCCCATGTCTCCTGTTTCAAGGGCCTGCTTTGGCTAAATACGTGAAGCAACTTGCTCAATTTCTTCAATAGTAGTGACAGTCATTATTATAAACAACCTAGCACACACTACGTTCTTCCTTTGCACTAGGCACATTTTGCTAAGTGTTTTAAAAACAAAATTTATAATTCAAATAGCTCGGCAATATTGATATCATTCTTAATTTACAAGTGCAGATGTGAGCCTTAACTAATAACTGATCGGTACTGAAGTAAGAAAGATCAGCTTATTTGCCTTGAGGTAGGACCAACTGTGGGTATAATTTATACTCTAGAGCTTCCTTTGGGATCAAGCTGAGATTGGAATTCACATTCATTCTCCTTCCTGCTTTGGTTCTTTCCTTTCTATTAGCTTCCCTCACTATTCCTGAGAGCAATTCCTTAATAAATCATTTGCTCATGAATCTTCATCTCAGGGGTAGCTTACTTAGGACACTAATCCAGAAGGATGTTCTTATTTATTATAGGACTAAAGAAAGGTCGATGATACAACTTGTTCCAAATCACAAGGTTAGTAAAGATGGGAGCCCACATTTGAACTCAGGTCTGGCTCCTTCTCAAAGTCATATTGTAAACCTCACCTTATACTTTCTTTCTTAGACTGAAGAGGACACAGCAACTAAGGTATAATTCAATAGATAACCTGATAGTGTCATGACCCTCATCATGCCCAGCTCATCACCCTCAGCCTCCTCTAACTCAAGAACAACTATCTCTTCACAGATGTTGAAGATATGAGGTTCTCCGATATTGAGATATAGAGGACAGGAAGCAAACCTCCCTCCCCTGCTAGTACATTGATGTAGCCTGAGAAGTTTTGTTTTCCTCAGTTTTTGTCTCTTAATTTGAGAAAATGCTTTAGACACAGTCACAATTTGAGAAGGGAGGGATATGGATTAAAGGCAGATATAAAAGGACAACTAGATGCTATTGGAAAATGTAGGCGATGAAATAAAGCCCTTTGTTCTCTGAATTCTGGACTTTGTTTGTAGGGGGTGCACAGCTTTGCAGGCCAGTTGCATTCATTCCACTGACTCAATCTGTTCTGTAAAACATCTCCAGTTGCATGACTATGACCTGACCTAAAACTTGACCTAACTGTGGCACCAAAGCAATTTGGTTTTTTTTTTTCCCCAATACCTGCCTAAATGCTGTATTTCCAAACGGTGCAGGAAGCAGTCTTATCACTTTTTGCCATGTAATCATAAAAGTATCCGAGTTTTCCTCATGAGTGGACTACACACACATGTTACTTGTGTGGAGGTAGCTCCTATAAGCTTTAATCATTAGACAAATGTTGATATATTATTGTTTATCTTACATTGATTCATTATACAATTTACAGATACACAATATACGCACAAGATAAACAATAAAAGTATTTTTCAGCTAGAGTTGCCTAGAAAAAGTCACAGACTAAGATTGCAAGAGGTACGAGAGAAGGTGAAGACAAAGGAAAGAGAGGCAGAGAAGGGTGGAAAACAAGGTCACAGGATATTGTACTAGTTATTATTTCATGATGATCTGTGCATAGATAATAGTACGTTGTCTGGCAGGAGCTTAGCCCCATGTAATGTTTCTGGACAGGTGTTGCAAAGACATTGCCCACAGAGCAGTCCATGAAAGGAAATATGATGAGGACATTTATTTATTTACTTGCCTGATCCCTCCTGTGTCCTATTTTCTACTGCTCAAAGGTGATCTCCTAGTGGATTGACTCCTAGCATTTCCAGTTTTGTATCACCTAGTATTTAGCAGCTTCTCTTATAAAGACAGACACTGGGTTCCTAAGCATGGCATTTACGTTAGTCAGATCTCGTAGGATGAACCAGAAACTCAGCTGTGTGGTAAGCCTGACATTCCCGCAGGAAGCAACTGGTGGCCCAGTTGCACAGGTCCAGTCACTGTTGGTCATTGCCCAGCACCTAAGAGCATGGGACTGAGAATCTGGAGAGGTTGGCATCACTCTTTCTTGGACCTTCTGCCACCAGGAGAACAAGCATGAAGAAGCCCGCTGAAGGTTGAGCGATGACATGGAGCACAGATGAACCATCCCAGCTGAGGCCATCCTTGACCAATGCTATGGTTTGAAAGTTTGTGTCTCCCCCAAATTCACATGTTGAAATCCTAACATTCAATGTGTTGGTTTTAGGAGATGAGGCCTTTGGGAGGTGATTAGGCCATGAGGGTGGGACCCTCATAAATGAGATTAGTGCCCTCACATAAGAGACCCCCAAAACTCCCTGTCCCTTCCACCATGTGAGGACACCGTAGGAAACTGGCTGCCTGCAAATGGGAAAGGGTCCCTCAACAGAAACTGACCATACTGGCATGCTGATCTCAGGCCTAGCCTGCAGAACTATGAGAAATAAATTTCCATGGTTTTAAGCCACCCAGTTAATTGTATTTTGTTATAGCAGCATAAATAAGATAATCAGCGAGATCTGATTTACCAACGAACTCACCCAACATACATAAGCAAGCTAGCCAGAGTCAGGCGAGACCAGGCCAGATGTGTAGGACCTCCCAGCCAATCCACAGATTCATAAACAAGAATGCATGTTTATTACTGTAAGGCACAAAGCTTTTGTACATTTTTAAGCAGCATTATTGTGGCCATAGATTACCAATCAAAATCTTAACAACAATCCTACAAGGTAGACATGACTTTTTTTGTTTAAATGTCAACCAATATGGAAGCAGAAATGTTAAACGATTTGGCCAACATCTCACATTACACTTTTGATTGGAACCTAGGGATTCCTAATTCCGTGGTTTTAATTGCTATAATTTACAGCTTAATTTTCCTTAGATCCTTGATATTTATTATTTATTGACTAGTGACATTTAGTGGATAATTTGATCATGTTGTCTTCCTCCTTAAGGTACTATATCTTGTTTAAATTTTATGTTTTCAGAGCCTGGAGTTTTGTAATTAAGTAAATATTAAGGATATGGAACATAAAGTAGAGAGAAAATATCAGAAAGAGCGACAGATAAAATATACTAAAGGAAAGACAGTTAAGTACATATTTTTACCGTAAGGGAGAGAAGACAGGTGAGGCTTGGGGTGGAGTGATGTGCACAGTGAACTCATAAGGGGATTGCTGGTTTCCTAGGTAGCTTGAGCATGATGCATGCATAGATCTCTGTGGTTCAAGATTTTTTTTTTTTTTTTTTGAGACAAGAGTCTCGCTCTGTCGCCCCTCAGCCTCCCAAGTAGCTGGGACTACAGGCGCCCACCACCATGCCTGGCTAATTTTTTTGTATTTTTAGTAGAGATGGGGTTTCACCATGTTAGCCAGGATGGTCTAGATCTCCTGACCTCATGATCCGCCCACCTCGGCCTCAGGATTTTATAACTTATTTCTAGAAAAACTGAATCTCTGATTTGCTTTGTCTGTTTTTTGAAAGATGTAATCATAGATGAGTTGTACAGACGTGGCTTATGGAATCAGTTTCATGCGTTCATTTACAGCCATACCCTATAAACTACTGCTGCCAGAGTGAAGACCTGGTATCTATATTCAATCACGGGTTCTCTGCCCTATTTATCTAGCTGGATTTGAAAACCAAAGCAAACTACATGCAGGGTGAGGCCAGTCAGAAAGTCTGGACTGCCTGAGGCGCCAGCATTTATACGTCTGCCCCATCAGTGTGATAGGGAGAGATAGCCCTCATTCCCATTAGTGTTAATGGAGCCAATCATAGGAATCCACCACATATCAATGTGTATCCTCTCATGTTTTGATATCTTAATGCACAAAATTTCATCTCTAGGGAAAGGCTTGTCTCCTCTTAAGTGCTCTAAATTCCCATTAATACTAATGGAACAAAGATACATACACCCACTGATGCTCAGAAAAGTGGGCAAAATATAGGAGATGATTAGGTTTTAGGAGTGCCATAAGAGATTCACGGAAGCTGCAGGGATTGTCTAAAATGATCCATCTTTCCAAGCTTATTTAAGCAGTTTCATATACAGAGCCAATTTTTTTTTCTCAGAATCATCAACAGATAATTGGCCACATTCCGCTCTCCAGGAGGAAGAAGCTGAATCAATATATGTTTGAGAACACCCTAATATCCTTTGGGATGCTGGGTGTATTTATAAAAAAAGAGAGTGGAGAGGGTTCTAGAAGAACCCCAGATTTTTCCAGGAGAGAACACAGAGGTAGGTCAGCCCAGAGGAAGGAGGAGAAGCAGAGAGTGTGGGGGCTTCTTTTAGCGGGTTTCTCCAGGCAGCGGGAAGAACTGACACAATCTCTGCAGGCTGCTCTGTGCTGCAGAAGTGCGGTGTGAGCTAGTAAACTGCCCATTATTCCTCTGCCTGCATTTTCTTTTAAAAGATGCTGTTTTAACTTATAGGACATGCAAGATAAGCAATGCTGGCCTTACCCTACCCCTTCACTTTGTAGAGAGGGTAACTGATGCAGGTTCTTACATGGTCTGAAGTTATTAAAGAGATAAAATTATACAACTTAGAGATAAGGCTATGTGAGCAGAATATAAATGGACATGATAATAAGCCAACCTTTATTTGACCTCTCAACAAGTTTGGCTGGTTTTTCTCCTGTTGAATTAGAATTGTGTCCTTTTAGCGATCTTCCGTAGTTTAAAGAAGAGGCTTGTCTGGATCAGCCACACCCGTAGGCAGCCTCAGATCATCACTTGTTGGTGGGATTAGAGAGGTGCTGGGAGGGACCCCTAAGTGATTTAAATCCAGGGACCACAGTGTCCAAAACTCTTACAGAATTAGTTTTTGGCTGAAGCCTTACTTTTTTGTGTGTGTTTTAAATGTAGAACAAAAGAATTGTTGTGAGAAATAAACTATCATTACATCCTGCTATTAATACCTTTGAGACAATAATTTCACCAGAGAGTACCTGGACATAATTCAGAGGACAAGGATGCTTCAAGGGGAAGGAGAAAGTGAAAAAAAGAAATAGAAGATGGAAAGAAATCAAGATGAGCTTTGCCTACACTGTCTTTACAGACTTTGAGAGGATGAAAAGAGTAAATGTATCATGGAGTTGGGTGCACACTATAGGAGGTATGCTTCCTATACACAGTCTTCCTTACCTTTTTAAGGATGAGTGTTACAGATCTATTCTGATATCCTGATGAAAGCTACAGACCTTCTTGTAAAAAAAAATGTGTACACACACACACACACATGCATACATGGTTTCAGGGAATTTGGGATGTTCACACGTCCCTTGATGTCCATTCACAGACCCCCACTTCAGGGAAACGGCCTAACATGTAGAAGAGTTCAAGGTCAGAACTAGGATGGCGACGGATTTTACATTACAAAGAACAATGATCTTGGGTCTCTCATTTCTAACAATCTCATACGGAGGATGAAGTTTTTGGTAAAAGTGGACATTTATTGAAGATTTTTGTGCTTTTACTGATACATAATATTTATACATATTTATGGGCTACATGTCATATTTTGTTACATACATAAAATGTAATGATCAAGTTACAGTATTAGGGTATCTATCACCTTGTGTATTTATCATTTCTATGTGTTGGGAACATTTCAAATCCTCTCTTCTAACTATTTTGAAATATACAATACATTGTTGTTAGGTATAGCCACCCTACTCTGCTATTAAATATTAAAACATATTCCTTCTATTTCACTGTATGTATATGTTCATTAACCAATCTCTCTTCATTCCCACACCCCGCTACCTGAACCTTCCCAGCCTCTGGTATCTACTATTCTATTCTCTACCTCCATAAGATCAACTTTTTTAGCTCCTACATACGAATGAGAATATACAATATTTGTCTTTCTGTACCTGGCTTATTTCACTTAGCATAATGACCTGCAATTCCATCCATGTAGTTGCAAATGACATGATTTCATTTGTTCATGTTTTTACTTTTCTAGTTCCTTGAGATACATTGTTACATTTTTTATCTGAAATCTTTCTGCTTTTTAACTGTGAGCATTTTTTGCTATAAACATCCTTCTTAACACTGCCTTTGCTGTATCTCATTGGTTTTAGTATGTTGTGTTTCAATCTTCACTGGTTTCAAGAAACTTTTTGATTCTCTCCTTAATTTCTTCCTTGACCCAATGTCATTCAGGAACATGGTGATTAATTTCCATGTATTTATATTGTTTCTAAAGTTCCTCTTGTTAGTGATGTCTACATTTATTCCATTGCATTCTGACAAGATAGCTGATATAATTTCAATTTTTTAAAAAATAGGGATTTTTTTTTTGTGTCCTAACATATAGTCTATCCTGAAGAATGTTCCATATGAGAAGAATGTGTGTTCTGTAGCCGTTTGATGAGATGTTCTGTAAATGTCTGTTAGGGCCATTTAATCTCAAGTGCAATTTAAATCCATTTTTTGTTGTTATTAATTTTCTGTCTAGATGATCTGTCTATTGCTGAGTGTAGAGTATTAAAGTCCACAACTACTGTCATATTGGAGTCTATCTCTCCCTTTAATCTAATAATATTTGCTTTGTATATCTGGGTGCTCCAGTGTTGGGTGCATATATGTTTAGAATTGTTATATCCTCTTGCTGAATCAATATTACTATCATTACGTAATGACCTTCTTTGTTTCTTTTTTTTAAATGTAAAGTCTGTTTTATCTGATATAAGTGTAGCTATGTCCTGCTTGCTGTTGGTTTCCATTTGCATGAAATATCTTTTTCCATTTCTTTACTTTCAGTCTATGTATCTCTTCATAGGTAAGGTGAGTTTGTTATAGGCAGCATATAGTTGTGTCTTGTTTTCTGTTTAAATTTATTCAGCCAGTTTATATATTTTAAATAGAAAGTTTAATCAATTTACATTCAAGGTTATTATTGATATCTGAGCATTTATTTCCATCATTTTATTAATTGATTTCTGGTTGTTTTCTATACTCTTGTTTCTTTTTTTCTCTCTCATGGTTTATCATTGTGGTTTTGTGGTTTTCTGTACAGTGGTTATATTCAAGTTATTTCTCCTCCTCATTTATGCACTTGCTCTACCAATGAGTTTTATACTTCTGTGTGTTTACATTATGGTAGATATTATTCCTTTCACTTCCATGTGTAGAACTTTCTTAAGTATTTCTTGTAGGACCAGTGAAGTTGTCATGAATTTCCTCAGGTTTTACTTGTTTGGGAAAGGCTTAATTTTTCATTCATTTATAGAGAATAACCTTGCTGGGTATACTATCCCTCACTGACAGTTTCTTTTTTCTTTCAGCACTGTAAATATATCATCTTATTGTCTCCTGACCTATAAAGTTTCTTCTGAGAAATCATCTGGTAGTCTGATGGGTGTTCACTCAGTAATGACTGGATGCTCTTCTCTTGCTGTTTTTAGAATTCTGTGTTAGCCTTTGACTTTTGACAGGTTGACTTCAATGGGTCATAGAGAAGATTTTTTGAATTTTATCTATTTGGAGATCTCTGAGCTTTCCTATATCTGGATGTCTAAATTTCTTGATAGACTTGGGAAGTTTTCAGCTATTATTTTGTTATATAGGTTTTTTTTACCCCCTTTGGTTTTCTCTGCACTTTCTAGAACACAAAATAGTGAATATTTGGTCTCTTTATGGTGTCCAATATATAATGTAGGCTTTGTTCTTTTTTTAAATTATTTTTTATTTATTTTTGTCTGACTGTGTTTTTCAAAATTTTCAAATTCTGAAATTCTTTCTTCTGCTTGATCTAGTCTATTGTTGAAGTTCTCACATGTGCTTTTCATTTTATTCAATAAATTCTTCAATTCCAGTTTTTCTGTTTGGTTCTTTTACATATATATCTCTTTGGTGAATTTCTCATTCATATCTTGAATTGTTTTTCTGATTTCTTTGTATTGTTTATTTGTGTTCTCTTGTATCTCACTAAGCTTCTTTAATGTCATTGTTTTGATTTTTTTCTGGCATTTCATAAGTTTCTTTTTATTAACATCAGTTGTTGAAGAATTATTGTGTTTTGGGGGAGGTGCCGTAATTCCCTGCCTTTTCATGTTTTTTGTGCCCTTACTTTGATATGTGTACCTCTGGTATAACAGACACTTCTTCCAAATTTTTGTATTTGCTTTCATATATTACAATTTTTTTTTCCCTGAAGATCTCTCTATGGTGTTGTTTGGTTAGGTCACTTTGGCTTTGAATCTGGGTACTTGTAATACTGTAGTCTAAACAGTATTAGTGGTATCTGTGATTTCCTTAGTGGCTTGGAGTATGGTTGCTAGTAAAGGCTGTAGTGAAGTTTTGTCGGGGATGTGGATACCATATGGGTCAGTTCTTGGGCCCCAGTGGTGGAAGCAGTGGGCGAAGCATGCCTGTCCTTGGGCCCCAGAGCAGCATATGCTGACACCAGTGTTAGTGGGTCCAGAAAGGCCAAATCTCAGGCATTCAGGCAGCCTGCTTGGGTGTTGGCAGTAGCAGTGGAGGGCTGGGGTTTGGGTGGATCCTCGGCCCCTGGGAAACAATGGCAGTGGTGGGACAATCCTCTGGCTTCCAAGCAGTTTATGTGAATGTTGGTGGTATGTGCAATGGCCTGGGCAGGCCGGTTCCCAGACTTCAGGTGGTGTGTGCCTCAGGTAGGAGGAAGTTCTTCAAATGTTAGCAAATACTGATTCCTCAAACAAATATACTTGATTTGAGGTGGATGCCAGCTGTGGGAGTAGTAACAGGTTAAGTGGACTCATCCTCTGGCTCCTGAGAAGAGTGCTCAGGGACCAACCAGTGGTGGATGGAGCAATGCAATCTCTAGGATGCCAATAGTATGCTTGGGTGCTGGAGAGATAAAATCAGAATGTCTCAGCATCCCCCACAACGAAAGCTGTGCATGTGGGCACTGGCTGTGGTGGGCAGGGGTAGGGTGATCCCAGCCACCTCAGCAGAGTGCTCAGTGGGGATGGCAATGACTATGCTATGGCCTTGCTACTGGGGAAGGCAGGGTTGCTTTCAGTGGCAGCAGCTGGGGGCTGGGGGCTGGGTACCACACACTTTGTCTCTGGGTGGTAGATATAGGTATGGAAGCCTGTCCTCAGGATGCTTCTAAATGCTCAGCAGCCCCTCTGCTGGGAGTATAGGATCATTGCTAATAGTTCATGCTTCAGCCTTGTTGGCAGCAGCCAGCAGTGGTTGTGGCTGTGGGTGGGGGATGTTAATGGGACCCCAGGCATATGGCGATGCAGGTGCTGTTTGGCCCCAGGGCAAGATGCTATCTGAGGCAGGCCAGGCTTCCAAAATGGTGCTGTGCTGTAGCTACTTAGGACTTGGGAAGTGTGTGGGACCTCCTGTGAGCTCCCTCCGTGAGCAATACTGTCTCACAGTCTCCAGGAAGCTCCCTATGTTAGTCTCAGGGCAAGTGGTCAACTGGCTCTGCACTGGCTGAGATTGCAGAATCCCTGTTGAGAACAAGGGTCACTGGGGGTCTCTCCCTTATCTGTTTTCTGCATTGGGAAGCCTCCCTGGGCTCCAAGCCAGCTCCAGATGAGCAGGCTGCCTTGCTTCCCTCTCCTTCTTGGCCTCAAGTGTTTCCTGTCACTTCTCGGTTGAATTCCAGTGTTCTTTCTTAGATAATCTATTCAAAGTGTGATTACCTATTTGCTAATTTGGTTTTACTTTGTGGAGGAAGCAAGTGCCACTTGCCTCTACTCAGGCATCTTGAAGCCCCCTTCTGAATGGACATTCTTGAGGCTCATGGAAATACTAAAATTTGCTGATACGGGTTGCAGTGGTATGTGTTGAAAGTGTTACGTAAATAACTAGGTGTGGGAAAGAATTAATTTTAAATTGGTAGACCTATATAGTCATGTGCACAGAATGATTTTGCAAATTATTCAAGCCTTCTGTCCTACCCCTTTATTGCGTGCTCTCTCTCTCTGTCAGACTTCTTCCATATTGGAATCACTTAAGCAGGAAAGAATTAATAGATCTTTAGCAGCATTCCATCACTGAGACACCAACTACTTCTCCTTGTTTACCTGCCTCTTAATTGCTGTGGTTTCCTAACAAAAGCCTACCATGTTGGAATAGTGCCCTATTCCAGAATATCTATCATTCTTGTTCCTAATATATATATATTTTTTACCAGCAAATAACACACTCAGTATTATACCTATAGGGGCAGGAACAGCAGATAAGTATTTTTAAAGATTTTGAAAGACAAAATGCAAACATTGAATTTCATGGGGTTCAGAAAGAAAAAAGATAACTTTTTCATATGGGGTATAGTGATTACTTTTAATAACTCTTAACTGTTGCATATTGGGAGAAAGTTCTTCCAATGTAAACAAATGCTGAATCCTCAATCAAATATATGCATCCTTGAGCTCGCAAGACACAGATGACTATGCCCTCAATTATTGAAGGATAAGCTTGTCTTGTTTTAGCTCCCTATTTTCTAAAGAAAACATAAAATTCCCTTGGTAAACATGGGTAAATAATACAGAATTGCATCTTACTTGCTTTATTTATTTATTTTTTATTTTACAAGTCATTATTTGAAGTTGAATGGAGGCAGTTAAGGCAAATCCTGAACTACAGTTTTATTTGTACTTAAACCAGATGAGTCTTCCTCTGGAACATTAAAGCATTATTTCCAGTGATACCCACAGGTCCACTTTAAAGCTCTCTTACAACGAGTCCCATTATTTCAGCCTGACCATTTGCTTGAAATGATAGAGAGGGGTACAAATGAGATAAGAACCCTGTCCACAAATTCATTATTCTTAACTGTGTTTACAAATGGCTGTGTCTGACAGTCCACTTTGTCAATGACTGCTGCAGAGCTGATTGTTCCTGTGGCTGTGAGAAGTGAAATGAGGGGTCCTTGACTATATCTAATTTGTGAAGGTATTGAATTATTTCTCTGTAAAAGTTTCCCCATTCAGTATGAACTCTTTACCAAGGACACTTAATCACATCTCATGGAAAAACAGGGACCTCCTGTAGGTTACACTTAGTTACCTGGCATGGATCATCTTCATTTATCCTCTTTTCAGCATCACTCCAAACTCCTGGTTGCTAAACATAACATTATCCAGTGCTCATAGGCAAGGAATTCCCAGATGCAATTCTGGAAGATAGGCTGGCTAAGAAAACAAGGTACTCATTTTCTTAAATTCCAAGGCACTTTTCGTAAGAAAGAAAATTAAGAAAATATGGTTAGATAATTACGTTCACCGTAGTTTATCTTATTAGTCACTCTCTCCTTCCTTGGCTTCAGATGTGAAAAAATGACAGATGATGCATAGTAAGTCGGAGGATTTGATTAGTAGGTAGATATGGATTATGAGTATTTAGAGGTGGGTTATAAACATCTGATGGTTATAACAGAAAATGATCTGCTAGCCTTCATCAAATCTCCTTCAGGCACCACCTTTCAATTTTACTTTTCATAAATAGTAGTTGAGAGTGAGGAGAAGATGCTAATCAAAGGTCTGTAATACTATAAACCTGGTGTTACCAATTACAAATAGACTTAGCCATAGATAAAAGTCTCCAAAGAGATTGTGGCAAATATGATTGAAGTGTGTTATTCTAAACAGGGGTATAGTTGTATATATAATGAAGTACCTACTGTAAATCACACCATTTCTGGATAATAAAAAGCTGATGGTTTGATGGCTTACATCTTCTTACGCATTTTGTGACTATGCTCAGATCCAGTGATGTGAACCAGTGGTAAGAAGATGTGTATGTTCCAGTGAAACACCATCCCTACTAAAAATACAAAAAATTAGCTGGGTATGGTGGTGGGCGCCTGTAGTCCCAGCCACTCGGGAGGCTGAGGCAGGAGAATGGCGTGAACCTGGGAGGTGGAGCTTGCAGTGAGCGGAGATTGCGCCACTGCACTCCAGCCTGGGCAACAGAGTGAGACTTTGTCTCAAACAACAACAACAACAACAACAAAACAACAACAAAAAGGAAGACATGTATGTTCAAGCTATTGCACTTACGCTGGTCCCATGTCAAAATGCCACACTTCTGATATTTTTCCCATGGTATTCTCTATAGTAAATGGTTGGTATTACAAAGTGGTCTGGATCACAGAGAAGACACTGAATAATCATCTTCAACATACAAACTAAGTGACATTTCAGAAAATCAGACATTAAAAATGGAAAATTGTAAATTCAACTGATTCAGGACCAAGACTGCAGCAGAAACATCTAAGCTGAATTGTCATCTGTCTTTGTTTATTGCTGCAATTGTGCCACTGAATACCCTCCTTTCTAACTTTCTGCTTTGATCTAGTGAGAAGAAACTATATTTGAATTGTATCTAAAGTGCAGACTATTAGGTTCTAAATTATATTCTGAGGGGTTATATTAGTCCATTCTCATGCTACTAGAAAGAACGGCCCAAGACCAGGTAATTTAAAAAGGAAAGAGGTTTAAGTGACCCAGTGTTCCACATGGTTGGGGAGGCCTCAGGAAACTTACAGTCATGGCAGAAGGGGAAGCAAACAAGTCCTTCTTCACATGGTGACAAGAAGAAGTGCCGCACGTTGGGGAAAAAGCCCCTTATAAAACCATCAGATCTTGTGAGAACTCACTCACTATCATGAGAACAGCCTGGGGGTAGCCACTCCCATGATTCAATTACCTCCCACTGGGTCCCTCCCACAACATGTAGGGATTATGGGAACTACAATTCAAAATGAGATTTGGGTGGGGACACAGCCAAACCATATCATTCCACCCCCAGCCCCTCCCAAATCTCATGTCCTCACATTTCAAAGTATAATCATGCCTTTCGAACAGTCCCCGAAAGTCTTAATTCATTCCAGTATTAACCCAAAAGTCCAAGTCCAAAGTCTTATCTGAGACAAGGCAGGTCCCTTCCACCTATGAGCCTGTAAAATCAAAAGCAAGTAGTTATTTCCTAGATACAGTGGGGGTACAGGCATTGAGTAAACACACCCATTTCAAGTGGGGGAAATTGGCCAAAACAAAGGGGCTGCAGGCCCCATGCAAGTTCAGAATCCAATAGGGCAGTTATTAAAACTTAAAGTTCCAAAATAATCTCCTTTGACTTCATGTCTTACATCCAGGTCATGCTGATGCAAGAGGTGGGCTCCCATGGCCTTGGGAAGCTCTGAGCCTGTGGCTTTGCAGGGTACCTTTCCCCTCCCGGATGCTTTCTTGGGCTGGCATTGAGTGTCTGTGACTTTTGCAGGTGCATGGTGCAAGCTGTTGGTGGATCTACCATTATGGGGTCTGGAGGACAGTGGCACTCTTCTCACAGCTCCACTAGGGAGTGCCCTAGTGGAGACTCTGTTTCTGGGCTCACACCCCACATTTCCCTTCTGCACTGCCCTAGCAGAGGTTCACCAGGAGGGCTCTGCCTCTGCAGCAAACTTCTGTCTAGACATCCTTTGAAATAGGTGGAGGTTCCCAAACCCCATTTCTTAACTTCTGTGCACCCACAGGCTCAACACCATGTATAAGCCGCCAAGGCTTGGGGCTTGCACTCCCTGAAGCAATAGCCTGAGCTCTACGTTGGCCCCTTTGAGCCATGGCTGGGATGCAGTGTACCAAGTCCCAAGGCTGCACAAAGCAGCAAGCCCTGGGTTTGGCCCAGGAAATCATTTTTTCCTCCTAGGCCTCTGAACCTGAGAGGGGCTGCTGCAAAGGTCTCTGATTAACATTTGGCTCCTTGTTACTTATGTAAATTTCTGCAGCAGGCTTGAATTTCTCCTCAGAAAATGGGCTTTTATTTTCTATTGCATTGTCAGGCTGCAAACTTTCCAAACTTTTATGCTCTGCTTCCTCTTGAATGCTTTGCCACTTAGAAATTTCTTCCACCAGATATCCTAAATCATCTCTCTCAACTTCAAAGTTCTACAGATCTCTAGGGCAGGGACAAAATGCTGCCAGTCCAGTCCCTTTGGTAAGCATAGCAAGAATCACCTTTATTCCAGTTTCCAACAAGTTCCTCATCTCCATCTGAGACCACCTCAGTCTGGACTTCATTGTTCAGGTGACTATCAGCATTTTGGTCAAAGCTATTCAACAAGTCTCTAGGAAGTTCCAAATTTTCCCACATCTTCCTGTCTTCTTCTGAGGACTCCAAACTGTTCCAACCTCTGCCTGTTACCTAGTTCCAAAGTTGCTTCCACATTTCTGTGTATCTTTATTACAGCAGTGCCCCACTATTAGTCCATTCTCACACTGCCCAAGACTGGGTAATTTATAAAGGAAAGAGGTTTAAACTATTAACAGTTCCACAGGGCTGGGGAAACCTCAGGAAATGTACAATCATGGTGGAAGGGGACACAAACATGTCCTTCTCATGGTGGCGGAAGGAGAAGTGCTGAGCAAAGGGGTGAAAACCCTTTATAAAGCCATCAGATCTCATGACAACTCACTCACTATGACAAGAACAGCATGAGACTCCATGATTCAATTACCTCCCACTGGGTCCCTCCCACAACATGTGGGGATTATAAGAATTACAATTTAGGATGAGATTCGGGTGGGGACACAGCGAAACCATATCAGGGATTCACCTATGAGTAAAGTTCACAGTGGAGCTTGGGGGATCAATGCATGCCACTCAAGCATTTTTTTCCTTTAGACTCTACTTTATCTAGTCATTATTATTGTAGCCTAAATTTGTTACTGTATTTTAAGACCTGTAAATCTTGCTTAGCATTTATTAGTCAAGGTAGGTAGATTAAATTGTGAAAGCAAACTATCCTGAGATTTCAATGTGTGAACATAGCAAAGGTATACTTCTTGCTTATGTGATGTCCACTGATTGTCAAGACCACCCCCACCCCACAAGGCAACTGTCCTCTGTACAGCAACTTGTTATTCCAGGTCAATAGGATGCTGTAACTATTACCTGGACTATTGGAAACAAGTGGGCTCCTATTCAATCAAGTGAGGGAAGAAAAACTGGAGAAATGTGTGTGGGCTTTTCACAGCTAAGCTTGACGTTGTACACATCTCCGTCCATTGGCTAGAACTAGTCAAAAGTCTCCACCACAGCAAAAGGGCAAGGGTGTTTAGTCTCCTTAAGCTTCCGCAATCAGATTTGGGCGAGTACTAGGCGTGACTGTAATGACATTTATAATCTCAAAGTAACATTGTAACTCAAGCTAGAAAAATATCTAGTTTTCAGCTTTTAATTCTGTGTCCTCTTATTATAATCCCTTGATGCTACATTGCCACAAAAGAAGAAAGAAAAAGAACTGCATTTCCTTTTGTTTGTGATAAACAGGAGGGCACAATGGCTGGTGTTTTCAGGTCATGATTTATTGGTTCAGCCGGAACCACTGCAATGCTACATTCTTCTAGGACACTCAGCAACACAGCAGGCCTTTTAAAGAATCCCAACTGGCTCCCACGCTGAATAGAAAAGAAGGGAAAAGTATCATCCCAGCTAGCTTTGGCTGAAATGAAAATCTGCTCGAACCAAAAATAGAACTCTCATGGGGATTGTCTTTTAAAAAGAACGGCAGGGCTCAGTAGTTCTATGTGACATATGTTGAATCATTTAAAATTTTTTCCCTCCACATAGTTTAGTCAGAAACTAAATGGCTTTGAGGTAGGAAAAAATAATGAACTTTAACTCAAAAAGACATTTCAGAAATTTCAGACCAGGGCAGCCAAGGTATTTGTCAGCCCAGGCTATTTTCCTTTATTCCCTCTTGCTCTTGGAATGTAAGTTTCTAAAACTCTATTGAATGGCAATCCTGTAATATCTTACTCTATTATTGTCCCCCATCTCTCCTGATGCATGCAGTTATCCTCTCTGGAAGTGCATATCTAACATTTTCTATCTGTTCTTCCTATCTATAGGACATTCAAGGTCCTCTTTCAAAACTCTCAGCTCCCCAAGGCTTTCTGTGCATGTGCTTTATGTTGTGCAATTATCACTTTATAAAATACCGTCCTTTTCTCCAGGAGCTCCTCTATGTGGTTGAGAACTTAATCACATGCTGGTTTACGCAACAAATGTTGGAATTATGTCAGTCATGTCCTCCCAGAGAGGTCAAGTAGCCCTTGACATACCTTTTCTCTATTGAACTCAATAATACCAAGTTGATGTTGCAGACTGGGATCTCAGTAGCTATTTGTTGGTTGATGGTACCACACTTATTCAAACTGGGGTAATGTGACTTTTCTGAGACATGTGGAGTATATATCAATATGCTCTTTGGCCATCCCTGATGATGTGGTCTCATCTATCCACTTCCAAATGACTGCTGGGGCTGAGTCCCTATTGGAGCCAAGGGGTAAGCCATACATTATGCTGTTCCTGTCCCTGATGGTATTGAGAACCCATTGTATTGCTGTCTCTGGAACATTGGAGAGATCTGTAGATAGGATTACCATTCTTAATTCTTTACTCATTCCTAAAATATGGTTATATGTTTCTGTGCTCCTTTACCATATGATTTTCCCTCACAGCAGAGCAGGCAGAATATGTATGTACCCTCATCCTGTCCATTTTGGGCTCATGTAACTTCCTTTGGCCAATGGAGCATTAGCACTTGGATCCTATGCAAGGGCCTTATGCTTATAGTTTGGCCTCTTTTGCTCTATTCTCTTAAGAAGGATCTACCTTTGGTGTTTATTTGGCCTCAAAATGATGAAAACACGTGGAGCAGACTTGACTGTGATCAGCAGCTAAGAATCCCTCGTAGCCCACCTGACCCAGGTAAGCCCAGTCAATATTAGCCAAACCATGACTACTTTTTAGAACAGAGTAAGAAAAATAAGCATTTGAGAAAAAACACTGAGATTTGGGGATAAGGAAATTGTTACACAAAATTATCACAGTAAAAATCTTACAAAAAAATAGATTCGGTGGTGCGACATCCAGGATAGGGAGGCCTCAAAGACAAACCGATCATAAAAGAGTAGTTGCTGGTTTGAGGGAGGAAGCAGGGAAAACACTGGAAGAAACCAGTGTGTTCTTACTGGAAAGACATCGTACAATAAAAGAACATGGCTTCAGGCAGATGACCAGGTGGAGTGGCTGCCCTTTTGGCACTGACTTCTGGTGACAATCTTCCCTATTTGCAGAAATTCTCTTTTCTGCCACACTGGCAAATTGTGCTACCTTTCAGACCTCAAGATTCTAATATGATGTAAAGATAAGTAGTACAGTGTAGTGGTTAAGAGAATAAGCTCTAGAGCCCAGCTGTCTGGGTTTTAATCTTGGCTCTGCCACTTTACTGACTTCCTGACCTTGGCAAATTATGTAGCCTTGTCATGTCTTAGTTTTCTTATCTGGAAAATGGGGCTTGTAATAGAATCTACCTCATACAATCATTGTGAGGATTAAATGTTTTAATATGCATAAGTACTTAGAATGGGGTCAGGAACTTAGTAAGTTCTCAGTAAGTCACAGCTATTATTAATGTCATTATTGTTTAACCAAAATTTAGGGCACAGAAGCCCATAGTACTCTGCTGGGTATCCTGTAAGAAATTCAGATGAATATAAACATGGCCACTGCCCTCAAGAAATGTATAATCTAAAATCTGCTAATTTTGTATTCTCTGACCTTACTAAATTTTTAAATTAGTTCTGATAGGGGTGTGTGTGTGTGTGTGTATGTGTGTGTGTGTGTGTGTGTGTGTGTGTGTGTGTGTGTGATTTGTAGGGATTTCTACATATAGGATAATGTCTTCTATGAACAGAGATAACTTTATTCCTTTTTAAATTTAGATATCTTTTTTTTTCTTGCCAAATTGCTCTGGCTAGTATTTTTAGTATTTTGTTGAGTAGAAGTGATAAGCATGGGCATTCTTGTCTTGCTCCTGATCTTTGAATTTTTCACCATTGAATATGACATGAATTGTCGGCTTTTCATTTTTGGTTATTATTATATTAAGATATTTTTCTTCTATTTCTAGTTTGTTGAGAATTTTTATAATGAAATTGTGTTATATTTCATCAAATGCTTTCTTACATTTATTGAGATGATCCTGTGTTTTTAATCCTTTATTCTGCTATGTGGTATATCTCATTAACTGATTTTCATCTGTTGAAACATCTTTGCATTACAAGGATAAGTCTGATTTGGCTTTGGGGTATGATCTTTTTAATGTGCTGTTGGATTTGGTTTACTGATATTTTGTTGAGAATTTTTGCATCCATATTCAACAGAGTTATGGCCTTTAGTTTTATTTTATTATAGCATTTTTTTCTGGCTTTGGTAAAAGGAGACGGTGGCCTCATAAATTGAGTTTGAAAGTATTGTCTCTTTTTCAATTTTTTGAAGAATTTGAGAATAATTGGCATTAATTCATCTTTAAGTGTTTAGTAGAATTCACCAATGAAGTCATCTGGTCCTGGGCTTTTCTTTCACTGGTGTAAATAACTTTTAATATGAAAATATACAAAAATGCTGTAGAAAGAGCACAATGAACACCCAGATTTATCTATTGCTAGCATTCTGATCTATTTGTTTATAAACACATACACATAAATGTAACTTTTGTAAACCATTAGGGAGTGGGTTGCATACATCATGGCTCTTTACTTTTAGATTCTTAAGTGTGTATTTCCTAAGGAAAAGAATATTTTCTTTTTTTTGAGACGGAGTCTTGCTCTGTTGCCCAGGCTGAAGTGCAGTGGCGTGATCTCGGCTCACTGCAAGCTCTGCCTCCTGGGTTCACGCCATTCTCCTGCCTCAGCCTCCTGAGCAGCCGGGACTACAGGTGCCTGCCACCACACCTGGCTAATTTTTTGTGTTTTTAGTAGAGACTGGGTTTCACCGTGTTAGCCAGGATGGTCTTGACCTCCTGACCTTGTGATCTGCCCACCTTGGCCTCCCAAAGTGCTGGGATTACAGGTGTGAGCCACCACGCCTGGCCAAGAATATTTTCTTACATAACCATAATCACTTGTAGATTTCAGGACATTTATAAAACGACTTTCCTTCCAGTATATGATTCAGTCTAGGATTACACATTTCATTTAATTGCCATGTCTCTTTAGTTTTCTTTAATCTGGAACTATTCCTTAGCCTTTGTTTTCAGTTATAACATTGATATTTTTAAATACAACCCTCACCTTATAATGAAATATGCCTCATTTAGGGATTCCTTCGAATCCTTCAGGACTAGATTGAGGTTGTACATTCTCATCTAGAATATTGCATGGGGGATACAATGCCCTTGTCAAGATATCACATTCAGAGGCATACAATGTCTATCTGCCCCTCATTAGTGACATAGATTTTGATGATACAGTCAGTGTTGTCCAAGTTATTCCCCATCAAATGGTTATTCAATTTCTGCACAGTATAGTTAGGATGTTTCCTTTTCGATTAATAAAACAGTCTGTCAAAGACACTTGAGATCTTCCAACTATCTATCTTCTCATCAAAATTTCTTCCAACTATCTACCTTCTCATCAAAATTTCTTCATTAATTTAGCATTCTTTGATGATCCTTGCCTGATCCAATCTTTGCTATAATGGTTGAAAAATAATGATTTTTCCAACTCCGGCTCATCAGCCTTATCTACTAGTCAGTAATCAGCATTTTATTTAAGCAAGAGCCCTCCTTCTCTCCTGTTTATTTATTGATTTGTCTAGCTATTTTTGGTACAGATTCATGAATTACCATCCTTAAATACTTTGGTGTGCATATTGTCCTCTATGGAGATGGCAAGAGCTCCTTCAACCTAGTCCCGTGTCCTTGATCCTTTTGCCATAACTGTATATGTGTGTGCACGCACACACACATGCTTGTTTTTTCTTTTGAGATTTTTTAAATTTTTTAAACTTTCTGGTGTAACAAACAACTCTGGACAGAATTATTTTCTTTGGCCTTGTAACAGAAACTCACAAGCTCATGAAGTGATCAACTTCAGAACTACTGCCTTCATTAATTCTTTGTTATAAGCAACTAAGCTATGACCGCAACCCTTACTGAAAGTTGCTTATCAGTCACACAGCTTATCTAAAAGCTCTTTCCCTTAGAAATGGCCTTGGTTGGTTCAGAATTTCAGCCCTGAAGCCTGACCATATTCTTATTCAGTGCTCTTTCTACTTCTGGGCTCAGGTGTTTCCTGCAATTTGAGATTGATAGATGGTTAAGCTAATATGTTACCAGGCAACGAAGATTATGAATCACAAATTCATACAATAATGTATTTTCACCATGGTGCTCTGTGGGATAAAGAAAAGCTGGGGTTAAAAATGGAGGATGTTCTGAGACTGGAGAATCGCTTGAACACGGGAAGCGGAGATTGCAGTGAGCCAAGATCGCGCCACTGGCACTCCAGCCTGAGCGACAGAGCGAGACTCTGTCTAAAACAAAAAAAAAAAAAAAAAAAAAAAAAAAAGAAAGAAAGGAAAGAAATGGAAGATGTTATGGAGAGCTCAGACTTCTCATGGAAGCCTTCTTGCTATCTCTAAGATCTTTGCCCGAGATGCCCCCTTTAGATTGGTGAGTTGGAGCAATGTCTCTTTCAGCTCATCCCCAGAGGAGAAAACAAAGGACAATTAAAGACTTGACAAGTCACCAAAACATTCTTTCTTTGAAATACTCTAAGATGCAGTTATCTAACATTAACATCAAGACCCATATGTGGTGGGCACTGTTGGTGCCTTACCCAGATCCCTTGTACCGGGACAGTACCCCCATACTTAGCTGCTATGAATGTTGGCAGCTAAAAGGTCACAGCTGCTCCCTTCTGTAGAGAATTCTTCTAAGCTAAAGAGAGCTCCATGCCCAGGAGGCTAAGCTCATTCCCCACTTGGCCTCAGGGCAACACGAAGCCAGGGATACAGATGCTGATCCCTTTACCTCAAATTGGGCCCAACTCTGGCGTAATCATGCTCCATGGATCCCCAGAGGATCAGGGTTAGACTGGACTTCAGAGGAGCCCAGTCCTGCTTAGCTAGTTCCCTTCTCCCATCTGCTTCTTTCCCTCCCTTAGAGATCTCCCGATTGCACTCTCAATAAATTATATGTCATGGGACTGAAATTCCCGTCTGAGGCCCTGTATCTAGGGAACCCAACCTACATATGTCAGAATAATCTGGGAAACATTTTAAAGTTATAAATAATCTCATATGTAAGTGATTTTAAAAATAAGCAGAAATGCATATCTTTGACATGAATCATTTGAAAAAAGGAAAAATAATATTTTAAACCATGCTGTAATATCCTAGTACTAATATTCATTTAAAAGCATCACCATCTCCCAGTTGTATTAGTTGGAAGTCCCAAAGCCATCTTTGACTTTTTTCCCTCTGACCTGCTTTCAACCAGATGCAACCTTTGACTGCAGAATCGCTCACTTCTGCAGCCCACTTCACACTCCCAGTCAAGAACATCATGACCTCTTCCCTAACATGTCCTCCTTGCTGTTATTTCTCCTCCTTTCTTCCCCTCCTCTATTCCCTACCACATCTGTCATGCAGGTCAAGCTCTGCATCCGGCAAAACCCACACTGGTCTCAGCTGGTCTCTCTAGCTTCCTACTGGTCCACTGGCCTCCTTGTACCATTTGCTTTCTCTATATTCAGAATAAACTCTGACAGTGTTCTGCATATTCTTATCTTTCTTGTCTTTGAGCTTGCTTCCCCTCCACTCAAAATGTTTCCTCTCCACCTTCCCTGCTTGAAATCCTATGAAAATTCAGTTCAAATGCTTGTGTCTCCATGAAGCCTTCCAAGATTCCCTGAAAAAAAGCCAGTTTCTCTTTCTCCCATATTTCCTCTGGCTTTTATTATTTCTCTAGCAAGGCTCTTCCCGTATTCTACTTGTCACTTTATCACCAGTGAATGCATCTCACTTCTGCACTGTGCCATAAGTGATTGAGGAAAATAATTGTATCTTATTCCTTTCTATGTCCATCTCTTCAGTTCACCCCGCTTCTGACCTTTTAAGCTTGGTCAGCTTACCTATATCCTGCATGGTTCATTAAAAATAACAGCAGAAAACAATGTCTGTCCCAGATAATGCCTCAGATCATTCCTTATCGACATGTCACACCCTGCTTCTTGCTTTTCTGTCTTTATGCTCACCTTTGCCTTTTCTGCCTTTATGCTCACCTTTGCCTTTTCTGCTTCTTGTCCATTTAAATTTAGTGACCATTACTACTTGTCCTTTTGAACTTTTGTATTTAGTTTATAGTTTGGCTCTGGGCTCAACCCATTTGGTGTCCCCTGCAGCCTTGGGTGAGAGTTGCTTTCCCAAAGCACATACTTATCAAGGATGCAATATGTATGTGTATTCTAGAGCCCATGGGAACACTCAGCCCTGTTTGCTTTCAATGAGCACTCGGTCTATCAGTATAATTTCATTTCAAGCATCCTTTGAGGAAATCAGAAAGGTGACAGCTTATCTACTGTTAGCTCCCCTGCAGCTCTCCATTCAAGGTAAGGCAACCACGCCTAGACTCTCCCTTGAGTTTTTCTGGTCAGTTGCCTGGCCAGGAGAAACAGGCTCCAGCCTCTCAGGCCATTCTACTCTCCCTCTCCCCCTTTCCTGTAGTTGCTATCAATCTTCCTACTGTGAACATGAGAAGTCATTTCCATCCTATTAAACACTGATGCTATTGAGAACTCTTTGGTTGCAGATGACAGAATATATAGTTCATGTGGTGTCAACAAAATGGGGAACTTATTTGTTCTTATAATTTAAACTTCCAGGGTGTGTCTGACCTTAAGTGCTGTAAGACTCAGCTGTAGTAACAGCATTTTCAGGAATCTGTGTCTTTTCATCCCTTGACAGTAAGAAATTTTTCTCCATATAAGATTTAATCTCAGAAAGGCTATTCCACACAGTAGTGATTTGGCCTCCAACAGATAAGGATTTATATTGTACTAATTTGGTCACTCTGGAGGAAACAGAGTTCAATCTTCACAAATTTGAGCCTGAATCATTGGACTCTTTGGGGTCCTAGGTCCAAATTCTTGAACCGAGCACCTTGGCTGGGGAAGTAAAATACTCTGATTGCACTGGTCTGAGTCCTAGGTCATCTCTGGAGTTCAGAGGTGAGGTTGATTTCACTCAAACCATATAGACTGACTTTGGGGAAGAGACTTTTCTTCAAAAGAAATGTAAATATAAGCTCCAGAAGAAGGGGAGATGGATACTGGGTGTCTCAAGTGATATACATCTACTATATTCCTTTTCACCTGCACTTTCCCATGAGATAAGCAGCTACGAGAGGCTAAAGATCAAAGAATTTCTTATAGGTAAAGTCATTGGACTGGGCCATGGCTCAATGAGACTTTCTGATAAATGGAAATGTTAAGCCAATTGATATTTACAACTTCTTTTATATACAAATTACATGTTTCCCAATGGGTCAGAATATTTTATTTACTTTATTCAAATGTTAATTTGCTTTTCATCTCTGTTTTTTTTTTCTACTCCCTCCTCTAATCATTTAACCATGCCGTCTGAATTTTCTTTCCTCAAGGATTTTTACAAGACTGAAAGAATTTTCTTGAAATGTAGAGCCTTTACTCTTCTTTGTAAAATCTTAAGGGAACATTTCTAAGTGTCCTGGAGAGGGTGGAGAGAGATGAACAAGTCTAAGGGAGAAGCTAGAGACTAGACATTTCCCCAACTTGGTAAGCTGCTGAAGGGCTTGGAGCATATTCAGCCTTCTTGATCATGGAAATAGTAGAAAACTGTTTGAGGAGTACTTACATTGTATCAGACCCACTACTAAGTCTTTTATGTATATGATTTGATTATTCAATTCATCAGCACAATTCTTCAGGAAAAACGGTCTCAATGCCATTTTAGAGACAATGAGCTAACTGTAGACTTAGGCAGTTTGAGGCACACATATTAGACCAAGTAGGATTTGACTCTAGGCATGTGGGGATCTTGAACCCATAGCCTTTCTGTTGTTACACTACAGGTTAGCCAAAGCAAAGGTCATTTACCCATGCTTTTCTGTGTTTCCAGTGAAAAGGGAACTGGAAGTCACAAAGAACCAACGAGTTGGTCTACACGTAGGTTTTACAACCAATGAGAGGGAGGCTGTCCGCCAGTGTGTGGACCCTGGCTCAGCCAACTTCAAGCTGTTATCTTTTACCAGTGTTTGGTATGTTCGCATCCTGGTTCATACCTTTAGTTTTGTTTCCTCCCTACAAGCTCAGGATTCATGGAAGTTCTCATGGAGAGTGATGGGGACCATGGTCCAGAGACCAAAAAGATAGGAGTGAAAGACTTTGGGAGGTCCCAGTTTTCTTTAATTGCACTTACATAGGCCTTTGCTTATTGGTAGAAAAATGTCTATTAAATTTTCTCTTTCCAGTTTAATTCCTTTTTTTTTTTTCGAGACAGAGTCTTGCTCTGTCACCCAGGCTGAAGTGCAGTGGCGTGATTTCGGCTCACTGCAACCTCCACCTCCAGGGTTCAAGTAATTCTGCCTCAGCCTCCCGAGTAGCTGGGATTACAGGCACCTGCTACGCCACCACACCCGGCTAATTTTTGTATTTTTAGTAGAGACAGTGTTTTACCAAGTTGGCCAGGCTGGTCTCGAATTCCTGACCTTGTGATCCGCCCGCCTTGGCCTCCCAAAGTGCTGGGATTACAGGCGTGAGCCACCTCACTGGGCCTACCTAGTTGCTTTTAAAACTGCTTTCCATTTTGTCTGAATTGACTCCTAAGTGGTTCTTTGTAAGTGAAAGTGTCTTATAAGTTTCAAAACACTATGAAAATGTTAGTTGTAGCTGTGTCAGTAATTGATATTTAAAGAGAGAAAAAACTTCATTTTGACTGTCCCACTCTTCTTAAATTTGAGAAGCTCTGAACTCTGACATCTAATTATTCTCATAATTATAGCTAGAGAGAGGGAGAATTAAAAGTAAAATTCAAGCAATTACATGTACAAGGGCAAAAGTTGTTATGTTAAAATGCATAGTCCATTGTAATTTTTTACTTAAGATGGTTGTAAAAGAAAGCATCTAGGTGCAGGAAGTGGGAGCAAGGCCTATACATTAAAATGTTGACCTCAAAGACCCACAAATGCATTTTTAATTTTTTCAGCCCCAAATAGATATCTTAGATAAAAGTATTATGTGTGAGACATGAGGTAATCTTGTAGCTTTATAGAAAGACAAAAATTTTTTTCTAATAAATATTTCTAGATTTTTGAGTATTCATTTATTATATACCTATATCTTAGGTATGTTTATTACAAGCCTAAAAATATCTTTTCATTCCACAAATGCCAACAAGACTAGAATTTCTCATTAGAACCAGCTAAATTGAGGATAGAATTAAAACAAGTGGAATCTTAGTAGCAATTGGTAATTTAAAAAAAGAGTAAACACATTCTTCATGGAAAGGAAACTACCTCTCCCAGCCCTGCTGTGGATAATGTTCTGTTTATTGATTTGCTTATTTCTTTACCCACAGGTTACTGGATCTATGTTTTAATTTTTTTTAACTTTTTGTTTTGAAACAATTGCAAGTTCACAGGAAGTTACAAAGAAATCAAAGGGAGGCCCTGTGAACCCTTTACCCATCCTCCTGCAATGTAAACATCTTGCATAACTGCAGTACTATTATCAAACTCAGGAAATCAATATTGGCACAATACACAAAGCTTATTCGGATTTCACCAGTTGCACATGCAATAGTGTGTGCATGTGTGTGTATCTTTATGCAATTTTATCCCAAGTGTAGCTATGTGACCCCCACCATCATCAAAATACAGCAGAACTTTTATCACCATGGGGCTCCCGCATGCTGCCCCTTTACAGCCATGCCCACCTTCTCCTCTCAGGGCTAACCCCTGTTAACCACTAACCTGTTCACTGTCACTCTAACTGTGTCATTTCAGGAATTCTATATACATGGAATCATGCAGCATATATTTCTTTCATACTGGTAATTTTCATTCAGCATAATTTTCTTGAGGTTTATCCAAGTTGTTGTGTGTATGAATAGTGTTCCTTTTTATTCCTAGTGGTGTTCTATGATGAATGTACCACAGTTTGTTTAGCCGTTTGCTCCTTGAAGGACTTATAAATGTAGAAATGTATTTAGCAATTTCTATGTATATTTTAGTTGAGTGGCTAATGAATATTAGACATAAGCTGGTTGGTTATGAAACAGGCTTTGATTACCAGGAGTGTTGGTTTTAAACAAAGGGAGAATAAGAACGAGGCAGCCATCTAGGTAACTTCCTGCTAGAAGGTGTGGCCGTGGAATTCTTCCTGGATCTTGAAGATGCTGCTAAGAAGAGTGGAAATCAGAACAAAGTCCCAGATTTGAGCAGTCCCCCAATTTATAGAATGGCAATAGATTACTTCCGTACTTTTCCAACATTAACGTGCATATGAATCACTTAACCATCTTGAGAAAATGCAGATTCTAACTCAGAAGGCCTGAAAGGGCCTGAGATTTTGCCATTCTATCAAGCTCCCAGGTGATACTGAGGCTGCTGGTCCACAGAGCTCTCTTTGAGATGAGATAATAGCTGAGATTCCCCTATCACTTAAAATACTTTTCCTGGCTTTCTTTAGACAGGATTAGAGGCTAAGCAATCAAAGTGCTGGGGATAGAAGATTACCTGGCAGGAATTCAGAAACTCAAGATATGCCATTGAGAGAACTGAGAGGCTAGAGAACCAGCCAGTCCTGCCTCCTTATGGGCTCACCTGGGATTGGCATTTGGGAACTGCGGATCACTTCTCCAGGACCAGAGCTTTGGCCCTTTTGAGCAGCCATGGCAAAGAGCATGTCTGGTGGGACTTGGTGAGTCTCTGCAGTACCCAGGTCTTAAATACTGTATATATCCTAAATGAACCCCTGGGAGCCCACTTAAGAAGGCTTACTAGGAATACGAAGGACAGTTAGCAGTGAGTAATGGACTAGGTTGCTCTGTAGGCTCAGTGATGTGGAGGCTCGGGTCAATGATGCTGAGCCGTTGACAGCACTGCGTGTGTGTAGTGTTGGCAGTGGAAGAATTTTCCTCTTCTTATTTCATTTTGCTTTCATGCAAGAAAGTGGTTAGATTTATTCTAGGTCCTTCCAACAGAGCTTAAATAATTAGTCCCAATAAGTTGAAAATTTGAGTCAAAAATAAGAATAGTTTTGACAATTGTTGCTGACTGTCAACATTCCAGGTTGACTTATGAAGTGATGTCATTCTGGTGTGAGGCACAATGCAAGAGGGTGCTCTATTGGATCTATACAATGATCAAGTGGGAAGACGGTCAGCCAGTTCTTTCTGTGAGGAGCCAGACAGTAAGTAAGTAAGTAAGTAAGTAAGAAGTCAGGCCATGTGGTCTCTGTTACAATCACTCAGCTCTCCTGTTGTAGCACAAATGCAGTCTCATAGAGAATATGTAAATGAACATGCATGGCTATGTTCCAATAAGACATTATTTATGGACAAGAAAATTTAAATTTTATAGCTTTCATGTGTCACAGAATATTGTTCATCTTTTGTTGTTTTGTTAAGCTATTTAAAAATATGAAAACCGTCCATAGCTCACAAACCATTCAGAAACATCCAGCAGGCCACTGTTGGCTTGTGGTTCTGTTTGCCAGCCCCTGGACTAGATAAACCTCCAGATATCAAGAGTCTGGGGGAGTGAGGAATCTGCCCTTGTTTGGCATCCTCTGAGAAGTGGTTTCCTCCAGCTGAGAAAGAAGGACTTACCTTCCCCAGGTAAATCCTGCTGAAATGTGTTTCAGAGAGAGATGGCTGTTTCACGGAATCTTACCATGCCAGAAGATCCAATGGTGTTTGCTGCTTGCAGTGGGAACTAGGATCTGGGCTGCCCAAGGTTTTCCTTTCTCAGACTCCAAGCAATAGATTCAGCCCAGGTTCCGTATCCTCTGCCCCAGAGGGTTTTCCCCCTTTCATCCGGCTTGCTCTGTGGGGCAGGCTGATGTGCCTGTAAACAACAGCCCTTCAGAATAATCCCTGGCTTCGTTACAGCTTTCTGAGGTTGAACTTTGTGGTGCTTTCAGTTACTGTGACTGGCTGTTAATGCTTTCCGTGGTTCTTGAATGAGCATCTTAGAGCAACAACCCTGTGCTTTCTGCTGCAGACGTCAATATGCACCCCTATCTGATAATCAATATTAGGGGTTACTGCAAACACAATCATTCCCTGGGTGGATAAGTAAAGTGAATCTGTTCCCGGCTGAATGCTGTCTTTTGTCTTAACCTTTCCACTGCCTTTATCTCATCAGTGAAGTTTCTTAGATCAGACCAAGGGGGCAGAAAATGGTTTGATCTCTGTTCACAGAAGAAGAAATGAAAAAATCAAGGGGTTGAGAAATTTTTGTAAGGTCACTGAGCAAGTCCCTGACTGAGCTGGAATGAACATGAACATGCACAAGCATAAAATTCTGAAGCTGATCAGTCTTTCTGCTATATATATATATCCTATTCTCTTCAGAAATACATTTCCACATCTTAGAATTAAATGACTGCATTTCCAGGTATAGAACTTGTATTTCAAGAGCAAGATGGGCTGGGGATTATAAAATACTAACCAGGAAAAAAATGGCTGGCTTCACAGAGAATTGATAATCGGTTCGTAGCAAATAATGTGCTACTGTAGGTGAATAATGCATCAAGGATAGTACTAATAGAAAAAGACTAAATTTATGTATACTATGGAGGAAGGACAGTATTCAGAATTTAAAAGGCCTTCAGTTGCATTTGATTCAACCAACTGAGCTGATCATGAATTGAAGCAGACTTAGCATGTATTGGATTATAATAGCCATTCAAGGCTTAAGAACAAAGCTTTATAAGAAAGTTAAAATATCTAATTACTCAAGTAATTCTAACAAAATCAGGAAAAGAAAGGAATTACAAAACATAATATTAATATAATTAATACATAGTATATGAAATATATTTTTGAAATTGCTGAATTACTGACTTTATGAACTAAATGTTTGTGTCCCCCCAAAATTCATATGTTGAGGTCTTAGTTCTCAATAAAATAGTATTAGGAGGTGGGGACTTGGGATGATAATTAGGTCATGAAGGTGAACCTTTCACGAATGGGATTAGTGCCCTTATCAGAAGCCAGGTAGCTAGCTAGCTGTCTTACCTCCACGTGAGGATTCAACAAGAAGTTGGCAGTCTGCAATCCAGAAGGCCTTCACCAGATCTCAGATGCAAGCCTCCAGAACTCTGAGAAATAAATTCAAGTAAAACCCAATTTCTCTTGTGTATACTGGTCGATGACATTTTATTATAGCAGCCTGAATGGAACAACTTATAAGTAACAGAAAAAAAGCCCATGAAGTACAATTTATAGAAGAAACACAATAGTAAAAAAAAAAAATAAAAAATAAATTGAGCCTAAAAAAGATCCCCCAACTAAAATGAAAAATCACTTTATTGGATTAAATTAGCAATGATTTTTAAAAAAACACATGATTCAGTAAAACCACTATATCAGTATATACACCTATCAAAATAACTATAATAAAAAAAATAGTGACAGCATCAAATGCTAACTAGCAAGGATGAGGAGAAACTAGATTACTCAGAAATTGTTATGAGAATGTGAAATGGTACAGCCACTCTGGAAAACAGATGGGCAGTTTCTCATAAAAATAAATTTGTAACAGCCATGTGACCCAGAAATTGCACTCTTGAACATTTATCTCAGAGAAATGAAAATGATGTTGACACAAAAACAGGAATACAAATGTTCATGGTAGTTTTATTCACTACAGTCCCAAACTAAAAACAACTCTGATGTGTTTCAGGAAGTGAATGGTTAAATAAACTGTGGTACATTATTATCATGTATTATTACTCAGCAATACAAAGGAGCAGCCATATTGATATGCAACAAACTAGATAAATCTCCAAAGAATTATGCTCGGTGAAGAAAGGAAGCACTCAAATTTGCATACTGTATGATTCCCTTTATGTAACATTCTTGAAATGACAAAATTATAGAAATGAATAGACTACTGGTTGCCTGAAATTAAGGATGAGATGGGGACAGGAGGAAAGT
Source organism: Homo sapiens (assembly GCF_000001405.40). Lineage (NCBI taxonomy): Eukaryota > Metazoa > Chordata > Mammalia > Primates > Hominidae > Homo > Homo sapiens. The sequence continues at coordinate 12,320,320 of NC_000020.11, forward strand.
GGGTGTAGCTATAGAAAGGCAACATAAGGAATCTTTGTGGTGATGTTAATATTCTATATCTCCACTGTATTAGTGTCAATATCATGGTTTTGATATTATACCCAAATTTTCCAAGATGTTACCACCAGTGCGATACATACGGTAAAATGTATGCGGAACTTATCTGTATTAACTCCAAAAACTATGTGAATCTACAATGATCTCAAAATGATGAGTTAATTTTTTTAAAAAATTATGATTCTTAGAGTTCAAAAAGATGTAATGAAGTCTGCTTCTTACCTACATATTTGGTGTCCTATTTTCAAATATGGGAAAGGTTTTGAAAATATTTTGAGAATAAAATGACCTGAAATATTTCCTATATCTGCCTTAGCCATCCATCCTACTTTTAAGAACTGATTTTAAGGAGTTAACAGAACATGTTTGTAAAGATTTCTGTGCAAATATGTTCAATGTTGCATTATTTACAACAGCAAAAATTTTCAAACACACACAATATTTAACAGTTAAGGAATATTTACAGTATTGATGGTACATACATGTTATAAACTCTAATGCAGAAATGAAACTTGTTTTTATAAGAGAGATAGTAGGCAAGATAGCAGATAAGATTCTAAGTAAGATAGACAAGCAGGTAAAAGAGGCAGTAGTGCCCTGCAGAGGGGTAAAGCATGTGGGCGCTGGCTCTTCAATTCATGGGGTTAAGACCTGATAGCACTATGTGCTGACCTTGGGCTGGTTATTTAATATCTCTGTGTACCATTTTCTTCTTTGTAAAATAAAGGTAATGGGGTTGTTGCAAGGATCACATGGTGCTAATAGTGGAAAGCACTTCCACTGGCACTCCATAATATCAACTACTTTTTTTATATTTTGGGTCATTTTTTAAAACTCCCTACATTTAGTATATATTATTAGTTTTATAATTTACAAATATGAGAAGGAAACAGAGTTATCATGGAACAAAGACCAGGCAATAAAATGTTAATGCTAGTTCACGATGATGACTACAAACTGGGAAGAACCTTATTTTCACTGCAGTGTTTGTGATATGGGTTGAGTACACTTATGAATTAATCCTTTATTCATCAGGGAATCTATGGTTTTCTGTACATCAAATCTAGGTACCTTTCAAATTTCCCTGTACTGCATAATTGCAGTCTGCTTTCTCTCCCACATTGTAACTATCTTTACTATTCACAGTGGTCCTTGTTGACTTTAGCTGCCTTCATTCTCTCAACTGCACTGTCCCTCACTTCCCATACTATTCCTGTTTGTTGACAGTTTTCCTTGAACCTGCTGTCTAACTTTTCAGCCTCATTTTTTTTTCATGAAACTTTCCTGCCAATAATTCCACCATGCCCTCCCAGGTTTCTCTTTTCAAAATGCCTTCTGCATTCAGTACCATCCCAGATGATTTAACACTTTATGGTTACCACATAGAATGTTATTTTATGATGTTGTTTTTCTTCACGATGCTACAAGTGAATAACTCTTATAGTCTTAACTAAAATGTAAGCCTTTGTGGTCAAGGCTGTTTTTATACTTCTTTAGTGCTACACAGAAAAGGTCACTGTTGAATGAAAGACGAGCCAAGGGTTGGCTGCCTGGGCTGGCTTAGCCCTCAGGACTGAAAAGTGAGATGTGCTTCATCATGAACTTGGTTATTTGGGGGAAGATCTTATAAATGACAGGAAGTGGCTGTTCTCTTTCCAGAACTATCATGTGGCAGAAAGTAACATTAGGCAAGACATCCTAGGACCTGAATTGTGAGACTTTAAAAATTCTTACAAAGAGCAGCTGGGAAAACAGTGTCTCTGGAGGTATTGAATAACATAGTATCTATATCTGAGGAGTTGGAGGGCAGCCCTGTCAGGAATATGGAAATGAAATAAAATATTCTCCTACAAAGCAAATCATTTATAAAACACACGAGATGCCTTATTTATGTGTGATCTTATATAATCCTAATACATAAACAACAAAAGGAACATTTTGTTCAAATAAGTGCATTTTCTTATGTTAACTCTTTAAAGATAGAATCAATGATATCAGTAAGACTGTTCTGATAAAAATTAGAGAGCTAAAGTTGAGATTATAGATGCCTGTTACATCCCAATATCTTGCTTTCTGATTTATTTCTGTATGTTGTTTTGAGCTAAATCTTGAAAAGTTTGATGCAATATATTTAACAATTCTTAATTATTACAAAATCATAGGTACTGTCGTTTTGTTTTTAAAGAGCTTGTCTTGCAAGCTCTTTAAAGTGAAGATATTTTAAGAAATATCTTAAAGATATTTAAGAAAGTTTAAGTGAAGATATTTTTCACTTAAACATGAAAACTTGAGAAAGAACTAAGATATTTTGGTTTCCTCATCAAACCCCTACACTCTTCAAGAACCACTTACATCATGTTCTCTGTAGCTCTTTTGTTTTTTTTTTGAAATGAAAAAGTTTAAAAGGATTCAGAGATCCTTTAACAAAGACCACATACTCATCACTAAGAATTTAGAAATAGTGGTATTTTCTCCTTCTTGTTTCAGATTTATTTATATATTTATAGACATGGTGTTACAGACACTTGAAGCCTTCTGTTCAGCTCCAACTCCAAAAGAAACCACTGTTAGGAAATTTCTTTTTATTCTTAAAGCTATCTATAATATATTCTAAGAAAATATATATCTATGTAACATGTAGAACTATATTATACAGTTCTCAAGCTTTAAAAAGCGTTAGAATTTACTGCAAGGCTTGTTAAAGCAGATCTCTGGGTCCTACCTCAAGAGATTCTGATTCAGTAGGTCTGGCCTGGCCCCTAAATTTACATTTCTAACAAGTTTCCAGGAAATGCTGATGTCATTGGTCCAGACACCAGATTAAGAGTACCACTTATAAATATATTATTTCTTACTTTTAAAAATACTGCATGTATAATTTATCATTTTAAGAAAAGAACTCTATGCATCATTTATCACTTATTTTAAATTCAAAATTATGTTCTCATGGTCTATCCATATGAAAAAATATCTATATAGCTCATTTACATTAATTGCTCTAGAACAATTTTACAAACATTTCTTTATTGTTGGTTACTCATGTTTTTCCAAATCGTTGCTATTACAATAAGGCTGCAATGAACACTTTTGTACATGTCTCCTAGGATACCTGTACCATGAAGCAAAGTTGTTAAATACTAGTGATAAGCACCTTCACATTTTTTTAGATATTGTCAGATGAGTCTTTTGGCAATAGTTCCCATTTGCACGACCACTTATGATTTATAAAGGTTCTCAGTTTCCTCTTTACCAGCCTTCAGTTATGTCATACTTTTCTTTTTGCACAATCGATGAAAGTTATTGACTGTCCGTTACTGTCTTAACTTGCATTTCGTAAATTTTTATGTAGGACATTTTTTAATGTTTGTTAGCTATGTACTTTTTTATTTATGTAAATTACACATTCAAATATTTTGTCTATTTATATTGTAATCTTTTTATTATTGATTTTAAATAAATTATTTCTGTATCTTCTTTGCCAATACTTAGAGATATAAGTACTATGAATACCATTTTAAATTACCAATATGAAAAAACTCACTATTTTTTTTTTTTTTTTTTTTTGAGATGGTGTCTCGCTCTGTCACCCAGGCTGGAGTGCAGTGGTGAGATCTCGGCTCACTGCAAGCTCCACCTCCCGGGTTCATGCCATTCTCCTGCCTCAGCCTCCCGAGTAGCTGGGACTACAGGTGTCCACCACCATGGCCAGCTAATTTTTTGTATTTTTAGTAGAGACGGGGTTTCACCGTGTTAGCCAGGATGGTCTCGATCTCCTGACCTCATGATCTGCCCGCCTCGGCCTCCCAAAGTGCTGGGATTACAGGTGTGAGCCACTGCGCCTGGCCAAAACTCACTGATTTTTAAAAAGGCAAAAAACATAAATATGTGTGTCACAAAATAACATATATGAATAGCTAATAAGAGCATGAAAAGGTGTTCATCATTATTAGTCATCAGGAAAATTCCAATTAAAACCACACTGAAATATTACTATCTCAAAAAAATTAAAAAGACCTAAAATTAAACAAAAATTAATCAAGTTTTGGAATGAATTAAGAGCCATGGAAACTCTCATATACTGTTAATCAGATTGCAAATTGGTAAAACTACTTTGGAAAATTGTTTGACAGTTTTAATCAAGTTAAACATGCACCTACTCTATGACCCAGCAATTCTACTCCCAAGTATGCCCAAGAAAAAATGAGTGGATGGGTCTACCTAAGCCACATACACAAATATTACTAACAGTGTGATTCATAATAGCTCCAAACTAGAAACAACCCAGATATCCATCAGTGGGAGATGAATAAATAAATTGATTTTTACTCATATAATAAAATACAGTCAATAAGAGAAAAATAGGCCCTATTGACAGGTGTTTACATAAACTCAAAAACATTTTGATGCATAAAAGAAGCCAGGTACAAAAGAACACATACTATATTATTCCTTTTACAAATAGTTCAAGCATAGTCAGAGTACTGGCTACATTAGAGTCTGGAGGCTTCTGACTGAGGAGCGGCCTGAGGGAACCTTCAGGGATGCTGAAAATATTCTGTATCTCAACCTGGATAGTGTTACCAGGTTGCCATACATAGGTAAAAGTCTTGTAACTATACACTTAAGATTTGTGAATTTTACTAAATGTAAATTATTTCTCAATAAAATAAATTTTTAAAAGTAAATTAGAATATCTAACACTCAATTTTTTAAAAATATGAATTATGGGGGAAGGGTATTTATTTTATTTACAAGGGGAAATAAATGCTAACTTGCTTTCCTGTAATACAGCAATGTGTGCTTGATAATGACTGCTGGCATTTTGAAGATAATCGCTACAGGAATTAGAAAGCATACCTTAGTGTCAAAAGGAAACAAGAAGAAAAAGTTCAGAAAGCAAAGTAAAATAAATAGAAAATGTAAAGAAAGGTGAATGGAATAAAATCAGTACTTCAGTTGTTATCTTGGGTGAGAAGAGCCTGAATTCTCTGAAAAGCAGAAATGATTATATTTGTTGACAAAACACAGCCTTACATTAGTCACAAGATATAAAAAAATGAGAGCAGAACATTGCAAGTAAATATAAAGAAAATCAAAAGGAGAGAGAAGACAAAAAGAGACAGTGTGTAATGTTCAAAAGGCACAATGTATGAAGAAAACACTGACCCCACACTTACATTTGGTAAACAACAAAGCAAATTACATATATATGCATACATATTTATATGTGTATAGGTATATATGTGTAAATAGATGTTTATATGTTCTATGTAATCTGCCTTTCAATTTGCATATATTTTCATGTATGAAAGAATATATGCACACTTTTTAACTATATGAAAATATTTAAAAATTGAAAAGCAGTAACATTAAATAAAGCTATAAGCTTATATTATTGTCTTTTGAATTTTTGACAGTATTTAATGTTTTAATTTATACTAAATGAAGCTGAAATGCTTATTTTTAGGGTATTACTATTTCGTCTAAATATCACATTATTACTTGCTTGATAAAAATAGTTACAGGAGGCCGGGCGCGGTGGCTCACGCCTGTAATCCCAGCACTTTGGGAGGCCGAGGCAGGCGGATCACGAGGTCGGGAGATCGAGACCATCCTGGTTAACACGGTGAAACCCCGTCTCTACTAAAAATACAAAAAATTAGCTGGGCGCGGTGGCGGACGCCTGTGATCCCAGCTACTTGGGAGGCTGAGGCAGGAGAATGGCGTGAACCCAGGAGGCGGAGCTTTCAGTGAGTCGAGATCGCGCCACTGCACTCCAGCCTGGGCGAAAAGTAAGACTCTGTCTCAAAAAAAAAAAAAAAAAAAAAAAAATAGTTACAGGATTATTTTGCAAAAATGACTACAAGGTTATTTTACAAAAATTCTGTAACTGAGCTATGATAACAATTTTACTATTGTCACAGAGTAACCTGCATTTCTCCCATAAGCATCTGAAAGCTAATGAGAGACGCCTAATCTACATCCAGGGCTCACTGTGCCCTTCCAGCCCCCTTGCCAGACACATGCTAACAAGAAGATAGCAAGAAAGATTTGGGTTCTGGAAATAGCTTGGAAGATTTTGTGTCTTGCTCTCTGGGTCTGTTTTGCTCCAGGAGAGAATGAACACTTTTTGTTTTTGCAAGTTGTGGCTCTTGTGGATTCTAAAGCTTGATTTTTTTAGAGGATGAGAGACTCCAGGGCTAAGGAAGTGGGGAGGGCTGGGGCTGGCATGATGGTGGAATTTGTGTCCCATTCCCAGATAGTAGTCTGTGAGGCAGCAAGATTTCTAGGACTGGCAAGAACATGCCTGGGACACTATCATGAAGCTTCAAATTCTATGGGGCAGAATCTAGTGGCCCCCTGTGGTCAAGGCTGCTTGCAGATGAACTTGGACATGGCGCCATCCTCCTCTTCAGCGTCACTGCCCAGACCATGATTGAGATTGGCACTTAGGGCATCAGAATGTAGTCAAAAGAGTGAGAGGAAATAGGAAAACATCACCAATCATGGCTTGGAGTCGAATACATAAAATTTAGAAAAAAGAAAGATGGTTCTTAATTCCTGCAGTATTTAGGAGTGAATTCATACTTGCTACATTATGGTTTTAGTTATTTATTTACAAGTGAGTATGTGACCATTATTTTTGCACATGTGCGCTTTTATATACTATTTTCAGTATGCTAATATAATATGATTTGCAGTTTTATCTTGGTGATTTTTGATCTTGCATCATCAAATTTTCCACTCACATTATCACATATTAATTTCAAATATTCTGTGTTTAATTAATAATCAATTTCTGGCTTAAGTAATTGTTTTACCCTGAGAGAGAAAAAATTTATTAAAATGTAATAGTAAAAACGCATTAAATATAAATACAAAATTTTGCATAAAGTATTTCTACTCTGATGAAACATTCTACTTTCTCTTGTTATTGCACAGTCAACTGGGATTTCACAATGGGAAGCTGTGCTAAGCCAATATGCCTGTGTTTTACTTGTATTTAATAGAGCATGCTGTACTTGTTCTGCAGACTTGAACTTACTTACACAACTTTAAGTAAATGGACATTCGCAGGCCTGAAGTCACAAAAGGTCAGTGAAGAACAGCAACCTTTCACATCCACAGAACTTTTACTCAAAATCCAGATACATAGGGAATCTTTGCAGACTCAGGATACACTTTAATTAACCTGAGACAGGAGGAAGGCTATTATTTAGAAGTTGCATAAAAGTAAGTTACTCGCAAAGCATAAAGTAGGACATTGGTATTCCTCAGCGTATTTGGTGTATTTTAATATATGTGGTTTTCTTTAACCCTTTTAAAAGGTGTTTAAAACACTTTAAAAGAAGCATTTGAAGTAGAAAACTGAGAAGCCAGAGATACCTCTACGGAATTCTCAAATGTTTAGAGAAGTTGACAATCACCAATCTAAGGAATCTTTTCAATTCTCTGACTCCTTGAATTTATGTTTTGATTGAGTAGCGATTATTCATATTATCATTATTCAGAGCTTCACAAAATAGATCTATAGTTGACCTACTTCCAAACTCAAGCAACACATAATCCAGCCCATCCTTGTAAAGTCAGTCCTCATTCTCTGCAGTCTGGTACAGTGACAACAACCTTTTTGGGAAACACAGTGCACTAGTGATACTGGATGAATCCCCGTGCATGTATTAAATAAAGGCTTCTTAGGAGCCATCACAATGAGAGGGTAGGACTTCATTTAGTGTCCTCAAGTGGTTATTTCCTCATAGAAAATTACTCGTGGTGCTTAAAAAATAATGAATTACAAATAATGAATATGTTGGTAAACATTTTACAATTCAGAGTATAATCTTTCCTCTTACACAGTTATTGTTTGGCAGTGCAGTTTGAAGGCAAAATCCCCAAAGAGACGGTGGAAAATACATTAGGAGAGCACCACTTTATTATTATTATTATTATTTTGTTTTATTTTTTTGAGACGGATTCTCACTCTGTCACCCAGGCTGGAGTGCAACGGCGTGATCTCAGCTCACTGCAACCTCCGCTTTCCAGGTTCAAGCAATTCTCCTGCCTCAGCCTCCTGAGTAGCTGGGATTACAGGCGCCTGCCACCATGACCAGCTAATTTTTTGTATTTTTAGTAGAGACAAGGTTTCGCCATATTGGCCAGGCTGGTCTCAAACTCTTGACCTCAGGTGATCCGCCCACCTCGGCCTCCCAAAATGCTGGGATTACAGGCATGAGCCATTGCGCCAGGCCAGAGCACGACTTTCCATTTTAAACAGCTTTATTGAGGTAAAATTGACATACAGTAAACTGCACATATTGAAATTCGATCAGTTTTGACATATGTATAAATTCATGAAATCATCACTAGCACCAAGGTAATGAACAATCTGTCTCTCCCAAAAGTTTCTCCATGTCTCTTGGTAATTCCTCCTTTTCACCCTGGATATTGATTTTGTATCCTGAAATCTTGATAAACTCACTTATTATTTCTAGTAGCTTTTAAAAAGTTTTGATAAAATTTTTAAAATGCAGTGTTGAATAGAAATGGTGAGAGTAAATATCCTTGTCTTTTTTCTGATCTCAGGTGAAAAGCCTTTAGTCTTTAACTATTAAGTGTGACGTGAGGTGAGTTGGAGCTTTTTGATAGATGCCCTTAACCTAACCCTTAACCCATCATTAGGTTAAGGATGTTCCCTTCTATCTCTACTTTATTGAGAGTTTTTATCATGACTGGATATACGATTTTGTTAAATGTTTTCTTCTACATCAATTCAGTTTGTCATATGGTTGTTTTTATTACTTAGTTTTCTAATATGGTAACATACATTGATTTTCCAAAGTTAAGCCAACCTTGCATTCCTAAGATAAACCTTACTTGGTAATGACATGTTATTTTTTATATGTTGATGGCCATCCTTATCTTTCTTCTTCTTCTATATGTAATATGTCTTTTTCTTCTGACTCTTCTAACGTTTTCTTTTTATCACTAATTTTGAGTGATTTGATTATAACATATTCTGATGTTTACTTCTTGGTTATTAGACTTGGGTTGTTTGAGCTACCCAGATCTGCAGGTTTTCACCAAATTTGGAAAATTTTCAGTCATATGGCTTAAACAATTTTTTTCTGGCTCTCCCTTTCTCTTCTCTTTGGCCACTTCTCTCTCACACACACATAGATATAATTAGGTCACTTGAAGATGTTCCATAGCTCACTGATACTGTTTTTGTTGCTGTTATTCTCCTTTTCTCTCTGTTTCATTTTGCATCATTTCTACTGCTATGTATTCAAGTTTACTAATTTTTCCTTGTGTGTGTGTAATCTGCTGTTGATTCTATCCATTGTAATTTTCTTTTCAGACATTATAATTTCATCTTTAGATGTTTCTTCACACACATACACTGGTCAATATGCAGCAAACTCAAGTGGAACCGTCTACTTATTTCTCAAATTCTTTTTGTACTCAGCTTTCTTCTCTCTGGTCCTTTGTCCTGTAAACTCTAACTACACTGATCTCCAAAGACTCTCATCTCTGTCTTCTCAACTCAGAAAATCTACTAGTTTCATCCTGTGTTGTTCTTCCCTGTAGCATGGACTGGAAAATCTCTGGACAAGTGGGATAATCATAGGACTAACCTTAGTTGTTTTCTCTCTCTTGGAGATTACTGTCCTTTGTTGCCAGTTTCTTGAATTCAGTTTCTTGACTTATGCTTTAAATATTTTGACTATTCTTAAATTGTTTCAGGTGATAGCATAAATCTGGTCCTTATTATTACATCTTGGCCAGAATTAAAAGTCCAAATCATTGAGTTTTAATTTTTTTTTTTGATAGGCAAGTTTTGGAAAGATGGCCACACTCTGTGAGATAGTAAAACTTCATGGTAAACTTAGCATTGGAGTAAATCATTGTATACTACAATTATATAGCACCACCATTTGTGTTTATGATATAAAATATGTAAATAAATATTTATATTTAGTATATAATGTGTGTAAATAAATATTTACACACACACACACACGTGTTTGGGAGAATAATTGAAATAAATGCCCCAAATTCTTTACCCACTCTACTCCTTTGCAATGTGACTTTGCAGCTCCTTCCACCAGGAGGTAGGGTCTACTTCCTCGCCATTTGAATCAGGGCTAGTCTTTCCATTTGCTTGGCCGACAGAATATGACAAAACACGACCATTTCTACACCTAAACCTCAAGAGGATTTATAGGATTCTGCTGTCTTTAGGAACTGTGAACAAGAGTTTGCTGGAAGATCGGAAAGCACGTGGAGCAGAAAGTAGTAACCCCAGCTGAGACCTGCTTAGTGCAGTGAGTCCCCAGCTAGACCCCCACCGAATATAGATGCATGCATGACCCTGGGCATGTCAGACAACCCTAGCAATTGGTCAGAGAATTATGAGCCAATTGATGATATTTGTTTTAAATGATTGTGTTTTGGAGTGTTTCATTATGCATATAATAATGTATGTTTACAAATAGACATAAATGTGCTAGACCCCAAACAAACATTAGCCGTCATTAAATAGGTATGTCTGAAAAATTAGTGTAGCTTGGCCACTCTAATTCCTTGGATTAAACTCTAAATCTTTAACGCAGTAGTTAAGTTTCACCACCTTGAGTAAAATATTTTTAATGTAAAAATGACATTAGTAACACAAATTAATGTTCTTTTAAAGTAATATGTAAGAATTTTGAGCATGATTTATGATCATGCACACTATAGGTACAGTTTGCTGAAAAACAAATTGGATATATGAGGATACTGAGAGTTAAAAAGTTACTTAAACACTATTCTCATTTTTCATAGAGATTTATCATTAAATTCCTGACTTTCAATTGCAATTTCTTTGGTTTAAAAAATATATTCAGTTTTTGTTATAAATATTTCATTTTAAGAAGATGTAAAATTCAATTTGCACAAATTGCTGGAAATCTATTTGTTAAAAACCTGCGGTCACTCAAGGGCAAAATTGGGAAACTTTTGGCAAAACTGAAATCATCTGGCTGATAGTGCATGCTGGATTGTGCACTGGAGTCCTGCCAATATGTCCTTCAACCATGGGAAGTCTTTCCAAGGAGAATGACCCTGGAAATAGCAGAGAGTGAGCCTTGTTTGCACACCTGACAAGCTGGTGGGTTTTCTGTAAAAAGGTTGGTTCATCAGATGTTTCACTGAACAGAACAATTGGAGGTGAGCCTTTTTTTTTTGTAACAGAAAGCTGTGCCTGATCAATTATTTAGTCCTTTTAGAAAATAAGAAGTCGGGAAAGAATATGTTAATAAGAGGTAGTTACAAGGTGCATGCCTATACAACATTCATTGAGATTTAAGATTCATAGACTTTACTATGTTATTCCCAAAAACTGTTTCTAATAGCAGGGAGAGTCCAAGAGAATATTGTGTGGGGATCTTGGAAAGGGATTTGAGTGTTCACAAGAGCATCCATCATATTTTTACCTTTCAAAAGGCAGTCATTTAGAAGAATAATGTCAAATAGACATTAGGCTCACAATTAGTAAGGTGACTAAAATGAAGCAAGGTTTCTTAAAGTTGAAGAACATAGGTCAGACACAGAGGCTCCTGACTGTAATCCCAGCACTTTGGGAGGCCAAGGTGGGAGGATTGATTGAGGCCAGGAGTTTGAGACCAGTCTAGGCAACATAGCAAGGTCCTGTTTCAACAAAAAATTTAAAAATTAGCTGGGTGTGGTGGCACATGACTGTAGTCCCAGCTACTCAAGAGGCTGAGGTAGGAGTATCACCTAAACCCAGGAGTTTAAAACCAGCCTGGGCAACATAGCAGGAACTCATCTCTACCAATTTTTTTTTAAATTAGCCAGCTGTGGTGTCACACAACTGTAGTCTCAGCTATTCTAGAGGCTGAGACAAGAGGATCACTTGGGCCCAGGATTCGAGGCTGCAGTGAACCATGACTGTGCCACTGCACCACTCCAGCCTCGGCAACAGAGCAAGAACCTGTTTCTCTCTCTCTCTAAAAAAAAAAAATGTTGAAAGACATGTATAAACTAACAAGTGGAAGAATTAATAATGTATGTATTAAATGGTAACATCCTAACTTGTTATCTTTATACCAGTAAGCATATAACAGCTGAAATTATGAATAAATTCATTCTCATAGGAAATCATTAAGGAGAATTTGAGATTCAGGAATTACTGCATAATGTTTAAGGGTGACAATATAGAGACAGTCATAATCTTCAACTGAACCTCCCCTACTGTTATGATCTGGGAAAGTCAATAGCAAGGGCCACGAAACTATGCCCCACACGCCAAGTCTGGGATGCTGCCTGTTTTATAAAGAATATTTATTGCAGCACAGCTACCCTCCATTAATTTAGTATTGTCTTCGGCTGCTTTCACATTACTAGAGCCATGTTGAGTGGTTGCGACAGGGACCACATAACCAGGAAAGCTTAAAATATTTACTATCTTGTGCTTTATCAAAAAAGTTTGCTGACCCCTGGTCTATAAGAATGATTATTCATTATCACTACCCTCTTGAATTCTTATTGTACATACATAGTAAAACTGAGAGTATTATGTTCATTTATGGTTTATGCACCTATGTGGGGCAAGCAGGATTACAAATATCTTGTATCTAAGTCTTACAGCAGTTCTGCTCTCTTAGCAGTTTAAGCAAATATAAGTTAGAGAAAGTAAATAACCAATAACTTTCCAAGCCCCCATGACTAAGTGGCGAAATCTAAACCAGAATCCAAATCTGTCTCATTCCAGCCTCTCTGCGGTACACCATGGAGTTTCAAATTCAAATTTGCCATGTGTAAAACCTGAGACCCAGAGTAGGGTAAACATGGATATCTAGTTTTAGTGCTAATCCCAGGTCATATGCAACAAAGTGGCAACAGATAGGACTGTGAAAGGAAGACTTGGGGAAATGCACCAAAGGTGAGCACTTCTCTGAGTCTCTTGTCAGAGCCATTTGGGTTGTGTTTCTCCTAAAGGGAACTGATCAATCATCCTTAATCAATCATCCTGGTAATCAATTATCCACATAAAACCATTCACTCTCTCTTTACTTTGTGTATAAAATCTGTAAGAAATAAAATCAAAGTCTCTTTTAATCTTAAAGTTTTGAAAAGATTAATCCATGCCTTTGCCTTATGTTTTTTATTTTTTTCTGCCTACAAGTTGATAGTTTTATATTGTATAACATTCATTTCTCCAGTTTTCTCTTCCTCTGACGTAAAAGTAAGAGTAGCTTGCGTGATATTGGCAAGCATGAAATTGTGGAAAGAAAGGGATAAGAGTATAGTTTCATTTTTTAAAAAATGCCAATCTTAGGCCCTTTGAAGGATGATGGAAGGGCAGGCAGAGCTTTAGAAGTCTTTCTAGGCCTTCTATTCTCTCACAGAAGTTGCCTTTGGTTCCTCTGTAGGTATCTAACAGACTGAACATCAACAAAATGCTGGTGTCTCAGTGCGTGATTCTTACACATAATTCAGGAGGAGGACCTCTTAACATTGCCTATACAAAACCTTATTTTATTTTCTAGATAAAGGAAATAACATCTAAGTTGCTTTTACTATTTTGAAACACTCTAATGACCTGAGCCCTAGCCACAGGAATTCAAGGTCTTATTAAATAATTTAAGCTTACAGGAAAGAGCCCAGACCCTCACCTAGAGTGTGTTGAACTCTGTCCTTGAAACAGATGGGGTTAATCTTGGGAAAAGAATAAAACTTTGGAGAGGAAGACTAATTAAGAAGAAAATAAAGATTAATTTCATAGGACTCCTGAAAAAAATTACCATAACCCTCGTGGCTTTGAACCACAGAAATTTTTTCTCCCATAGTTTTGAAGGCCAGGAGTCTGAAATCAAGGTGTCTGCAGGGACATGCTTCCCCCAGAAACTCAAGAGGAGAGTCTGTTCCTCGACTCTTCCAGCCTCTGTTGATGTTTCTTGGCTTGAGGCCGTATCACTCCAATCCCTGCCTTTGTTGGTCACATTTCCTTCTCTTCCGTATATTTTCTCCTCCGTGTGTTTGTCTCAAACTCCTTCTGACTCTCTTATAAGGATAAATGTGATCACATTTTAGGCCCACCCAGATAATACCGGATAAACTATTCCTCTAAAAAGCCTTAATGTAATCACATCTTCTGCCTGGAAGGTAATGTTTACTCTCTTGCCATATGACATATTCATCGGTTCTGGGGATTAGGATGTGGACATATCTTTTTGGAGGCCTCCGTCCAGATTTTAAAGAAGAGTGTATGAGAATCTTCCCTTCTCTAAAAATCTAAATGTATTTGTTTGGCTCTGACTCTAGAACTCGGAGAAGACTGAAATGGTTCTGGTGGGTGTGGGTTGTAATAATCTCGTGTCTGGGCAAGCAGAGCTTTCAGATGGAGCCGTGCTTGCATTCTTGGTGTTACATAGTCTCTGTTGTGCTCTTCTAACATTATCTTCAAACTTCAGGAAAGCCTTGTTTGAAGTTACAGCCCTGCATCTGTGTGTTCTGAGGACTCAGGATAGGGCCTGTGCCCACACTTGGGCCAAAGAGATGCCGAAAATGCTGTGTCTCAGACTTTTAGAGGTAACATCAACCAACGAAGGTGGCTGATATCCAAGTATGAGGGTTATTCTATGAAAAGTTATAGGAAAAGAGAAACTGCTGGATGGAAGAGTGAGGAGGGCCAGGTGCAGGAACATGAAGTGGTTGCGTGCCCATGATGTAGTGTTATGGGGAACTCTGTAAGGCAGCTGGGGAACATTTTGAGATGAAAGTGGAGAGTAGTCACCTCCAAACAGAAGCTCATCAGTCTGGTGGTTTCAGGCTATGATAATCCCCATGCCTTCCTCATAGGCTACTGAGTTATGATTCCTAAAGTAAATGTAATATTGCTATTTGGGGATGAAGTTGTGATTTCCTGTACAAGGGAAATTTTATTTTTGGTTCACTTCAACTAAAATATGTTGAATACATCTAAGTATTAATACTATTATTAGAGGACGAAGGTTTATGATTTGAAATAATGTAGCTTAATTTTTCACTTATCGGTGTGATTTCATGTGTCACTTGATCAACTGTACACATTCCATTTCCTTTGCAGAAAAATAAAACCATTCTAATTTCACAATAAAGAGCAGTAGTCCTGGAGAACATGGGCGAATCATGCTGGCTATTAATCCAGACCCACTGCAAGGCTGTCAAATGCAAAAATTGAATGGTAATGATACAGGGAAATTGAAACAGAAAGAAGCCAAACTCCTTTTGTAAAATTCAAGAAAGATGAAAAGGCAATTTGAATACAGAATTGACCCTGGTGAATAATTTGGCAAGATGTATTGGCTTCCTCTAGGCATGGAGTTTACAGGCAGATTAAATTCAACAGGCAAGAAACAGACAGGAAGTGGATGCAAAGCGAGAGACGATGGGGTCCTTTTTAAAAATATCGCCATGATGTTTTTTTTTTTTAAGTTTATATGTCATAATGGAATAAATAGTAATACAAGTTGGCAATAGAATAGGTCAATATTTTCCATCTCCAAAAATGTCACCAGCAGTTAGGAAATAATGTCAGCCACAGATCTCATGGGCACTACTCATATTGTAACTAGGGATTGAAGGAATTTGAAAATACATTGCATATTGTAAATCTATGTTGCTGAGTTAACTCAGGAGTATTAGTAATCCTAAAAGAAGTACTTATATTAAATAGTGTCCAAATCAATAAGCCGTGGTGTGTAAATGGAGAGAGAGTATCTGGAGAGAGTAATGGGAGTAATGATGGGAGCTGCATTGCATGTTCTGGATGTTAAGAAATATCCTTCCATAACCACCCCTTACATTCAGTGAGAGTAATTCAGAATAACAAGAAAAGTTTGGATTAAAAAGGTGAAATTTATGGATCAACTATTATGTGCCAGGTATATGCTCAGCACTATCAGTTATGATATTTAATTTACTCTTTATAACATTAGTAATTAGGGATCATTGTTGTATATTTTTATTGATGAAGACATAAAAGAAATATTAAAACCTTAAACATAGTCAGACAACCAGTAAGTATACAGTCACAATTTCAATGTGAGTCTTTCTAAATTTATAGGTTTTTTAAAATAGCATATTACTTGTAAAACCAATACAACATTTACTACTTGAATAAGAGTAAGATTTTAACTGAAAATGGTGGCTTTTAATAAACATTCTTAAAGTGCCCCCTGAAAATTTCTTAAGGTGGTAGACCAATGAAAACTTCCTTACTTAAAAATTGTATCATATGTATAAATATGTATATTACATGCATACTCATAATTTTAATTAAATATATGACTTGATAGATTGTGCACTATCGAGACAAAATAAAAATGTAAAAAGTGAGAAAAAATGATATAAATATTTTAAGCAATTCTGTTTCTATGTTATTTTATATACTACTGTATTATCATATATAATTTGTTTTATTAATGAGATTGAATATTCTAATTATTTTTTAAAACCTTAACACTTGTAATTGGCCTTCAGCACATAGCTTTATTTATATAAATACTTTAAAAAATATATTTGAAGTATATTGTACATTAAGAAAAGTGAACAAATCATATGTCTATATTTCAATGAATTATTACAAAGTGAATCTGCAAAGCAAAGGATTTCCACATTCCATAAGCTACTATTCTGATCCTAACTGTAACTCCCCAAAGGAAATATTTTCTATAGTGTTTTTAACATTTACATAAACGACATCATACAGCATGTTCTATTTTATTTTGTTTATATTTGTCTGATTCATCCAAATTGTTCAAATAATGGTAGTTCATTCATTTTCATTGCTAGGCCAGTGCTGGATATATGAATATAACTCAAATTATTTATACATTTTAATATTGATAGGCATTTGCCTTGTTTCAAGTTTGGGGATATTACAAGTAATGATGCTATAACCATCACCCAGGCTGGAGTGCAGTGGCACAATCATGGATCACTGAAGCCTCCACCTCCTGAGCTCAGGCAATCCTCCCATCACAGCTTCCCAGGTAGCTGGGACCACAGGTGCACAATACCTGGCTAATTTTTTGTAGAGACGGGATTTTGCCATGTTGCCCAGGCTGGTCTCGAACTCCTGGGCTCAAGTGATCCACCCACCTCAGCCTCCCAAAGTGCTGGGATTACAGGTGTGAGCCATCTCACCCAGACACATGTCTGCATATCTGTTGAGTATATACGTAGGAATGGAATCGCTGGGTTATATGGTAAATATATGCTTAATTTTATAAGAAACTGCCACTTTCCAAAGTGGGTTTACCATTTTTCACTTCCACCAGCAATGCATGACAGATCCATTTTCTCCATATATCTGTCAACACTTGACATTGTCACTCAAATAATTTTAGGCAATCTTGTGTATGTGTAATGATAGGTATCTCAATATGATTTTAATTTGTATTTCCACGTAACTAATGATGTCATGCACTTTTTCATATGTCAAGTGGCTCTTTGGATAACCTCTTTGTGAAAAAAACATTCAGGAATTTTGTTCATTTTTCCATTGGATTATTTGCTTTTTGCTTTGTAAGAATATTTCTATTCTCTGAATATATGACCTTTGCATATACAAGATACTTGATTAGCAAATGGCTTTACTCACTCTCTTCCTTGCCTTTTCGTTATTTTAATTGTGTGTTTTGATGCATAAGTTTCTAATTTTAATTCACATTTATTCATCTATTTCTTTATGGTTGGGGCTTTTTGTTAGAAACAAGGCATTCTCCTACATTTTGTCCTAGAAGGCTTGTTGTTTTGTTCTATGATCATGATCAGCCTGGAATTGATTTTCTATAGATGATGGTGAGGGAAAATTTGTATTTTTCCATATGGATATTCAATTGGCCAAACACCAGTAATTGTAAAAAAAAAAAAAAATTGTTTACTTACTAGTCTATAGTGTCACCTTTGTCATAAATCACCGGCTGTCATGCATGAGTCTGTTTTTGAACTCTATATTCTGTTTCATCAGTCTATTTATGTATTCTTCAGACAATCCTACTCTGATTTACTTACTGAGGTTTAATCTTGATAACAAATAGTGTAAAGCCTTCATATTCAGAAGGCTGGTCTTTTAAATTGCTTTGTTTATTTTTATCCCTAATCACTTGCTCCTCTTCACATATAGACAAGAAAATGTGGCAATCCCTAAAGGGACTTCACTAGACCTTTAGATAAATTTGAGGAGCATTAACATCTTAATAAATGTTGAGTTCAATACAAGAAAATAGTAGATCTCTCCATTTTTAAATAATATTTTAGTCTGTTTAGATTTTTCTATGCAGAGATTTTTAAAATATTTCATTAGGTTTTTAATAGGTGCTTGTTTTGTGCTGTTATAATTGGTATTCTTTTTTGAAGTAGCATCATTGTCTGGTGCACCTGATTTTATAGACAGGTTTGAGGAGGCAATGTCTAATTTATGTAGGGCCCACAGATTGGTTGGACCAGGTGTGATATTTACATAGCATGAGGAGAAGGCTGGCCACCCCACTCTAATCTTATTATGCAAATAGGTTTTCCATTTAGCCAGTGCCATGTTGTCTGCTCTTTACTGTACACCTGTCTGGTGAAGAGAAGGGAACATAGAGCCGCCATTTTGAACATGCCTAGCTCCAGATAGCCTTTTCCTATTGGCACAGCTGCCAGCATTCACCCGTGCAAGCTTCCAACTTGCTTGTCTATGTCTGCAGCTCGACTTTACAGGCTGCTCTTTGTTAGAAAAGAAAATGATTTGGGGGCTGCTTTTCATTAAAAGGAAAATCTTATCGAGGACTTTCTTACCCTCACAATATGCCTAAATAATTTCTACTTAATTCCCATATCATTTTAACTATTGAAGTTACAGTGTTTATGAGGGCTTTGGTAAAATACCTGTGTTTTTAGATAAAAACAACAATGAAAAATAAGCTACAGGAATAAAAACTTAAACATACCAAAGGTGTGAATGGTATTCACAACATCAAGTGTATGATATCTTACCTCATGGGGAGGAAGCTAACTTGGCAGGAATTTTGCAGAGTCTTCAATGCCTAAGTGAAAGTTATCAATTACAAGTAATCATTTTCTAATTGTTTCTTGATTGACTATAGGACTGAAATTATACTCTAAATTGATCTAGCATTCAGTGGCCTTGTTATATCCACTTTTTAATACAAATAGTCTATCTATAAATTACTTTGGATTTTCTGTGTACACAACCCTTTCATCTGCAAATGACAATGTTATTTATTCTTTCCAATTATTTCACCTTTTTGTTTTATTTTTTATTTTTTCCTGAGTCTTGCTCTGTTGCCCAGGCTGGAGTGCTGGAGTGCAGTGGCACCATCTCAGCTCACTGCAACCTCTGCCTCCCAGGTCTGAGTAACTCTCCTGCCTCAGCCTCCTGAGTAGCTGAGATTACAGGTGCATGCCACCACGCCCGGCTAATTTTTGTATTTTTAGTAAAGACGGGATTTCACCATGTTGGTCAGGCTGGTCTCTAACTCCTGACCTCATGATCCACCTGCCTTGGCCTCCCAAAGTGCTGGGATTACAGATGTGAGCCACCACACCCAACCACTGTTTTATTCTTTCTTACTGTACTGACTAGATCTCCAGTGCAATGATGATTGGAAATTACTATAGCTGCTATCTTGGTTTCATCCTACATATCACAGAGAACGGTTGTTTAGAAACTCTTTATCCAATTAAGGAAGTTTCCCTTCTAGTCCTAGTTGTTTATGAGTTTTGTTGCTTTGCTGTTGATTTTAGAGACAGTCTTTCTCTACTACCCAAGCTGTAGTGCAGTAGCACTATAATAGCTCACTGCAAGCTCAAACTTCAGGGCTCAAATGTTCCTCTTACTTTCATGCGCGTCCATGTGAAAAGACCACCAAACAGGCTTTGTGTGAGCAACATGGCTGTTTATTTCACCTGGGTGCAGGCGGGCTGAGTCCAAAAAGAGAGTCAGCAAAGGGAGATAGGGGTGGGGCCGTTTTATAGGATTTGGGAAGGTAATGGAAAATTACAGTCAAAGGGGGTTGTTCTCTGGTGGGCAGGGGCGGGGGTCACAAGGTGCTCAGTTGGGGAGCTTCTGAGCCAGGAGAAGGAAATTCGCAGGGTTAATCACTCAGTTAAGGTGGGGCAGGAACAAATCACCATGGTGGAATGTCATCAGTTGAGGCGGGGCAGGGCCTTTTCACTTCTTTTGTGATTCTTCAGTTACTTCAGGCCATCTGGGTGTATACGTGCAAGTCACAGGGGATGCGATGGCTTGGCTTGGGCTCAGAGGCCTGACATTCCTGCCTTCTTATATTAATAAGAAAAATAAAACAAAATGGTGTTGACGTGTTGCGGCGGCGAAAATTTTTGGTGGGTGATATGGAGAGAAGAGAATGGGAAATGTTTCTCAGCGCTGCTTCAAGCGGGATTAGGGGCAGCATGGGAACCTAGAGTGGGAGAGATTAAGCTGAAGGGAGGTCTTGTGGCAAGGGGTGATATTGTGGGGATGTTAGAAGAAACATTTGTCGTATACAATGATTGGTGATGGCCTGGATACGGTTTTGGATGAATTGAGAAACTAAATGGAAAAACAGAAGAAGAAAAACCGGTATAAAAGGTCTAAGAATTGGGACGACTCAGGATATCTGATTAGAGAGTGCCTAAGGAGATTCAGCATAGTTCTGCCAGCAAAGATTATTTATTTACTTCAAGAGTTAAGAGTGGCAGTTTGGGGATAGCACCAGGAGATATCAGCTGTGATGGCTTGGAAAAACAGTGTAAACTGGCAGTGTAAACAAGAGCAGGGCATGTATGAGTAGTTGAGAATGGTGAATAGGAGTATGACTAGACAGAAGATAGTAGGGATGACAAGTTTTTTTGGGGGCACAGTCTAAGTTGGTCTGGTGTCTGGAATGAGACTGGGGCCTAATAAAAAGGAGCGTCTATACAGGAGCTCAAATGGGCTATACCCTGTAGCATTCCGAGGACAGCCCTAAATTCTGAGAAGGGAAAGTGGTAAAAGTATTGTCCAGTCCTTTTTAAGTTGGTGGCTGAGCATGGTGAGGTGTGTTTTTAAAAGACCTTTAGTCCGTTCTACTTTTCTTGAAGACGGAGGACCGTAAGGGATGTAAAGGTTTCACTGAATACTAAGAGCCTGAAAAACTGCTTGGCTGATTTGACTAATAAAGGCTGGTCTGTTATCAGACTGTATTGAGGTGGGAAGGCTAAACTGAGGAATTATGTCTGACAGAAGGGAATAAATGACTGCGGTGGCCTTCTCAGACCCTGTAGGAAAGGCCTCTACCTATCCAGTGAAAGTATCTACCTAGACTAAGAGGTATTTTAGTTATCAGACTCAGGGCATGTTGAGTAAAGCTAATTTGCCAGTCCTGGGTGGGGGCAAATCCTCGAGCTTGATGTGTAGGGAAGGGAGGGGGCCTGAATAATCCCTGAGGAGTAGTAGAATAGCAGATGGAACACTGAGAAGTTACTTCCTTGAGGATAGATTTCCAGGATGGAAAGGAAATGAGAGGTTCTAAGAGGCGGGCTAGTGGCTTGTATTATAGCATAACCTGCCTTTGCTGGTGTGTGGCGATTAGGCCTGGTGGAACCGCCATCAATAAATCAAGGGTGATCAGGGTGAGGAACAGGAAAGAAGGAAATTTGGGGAAATGGGGTGAATGTCAGGTGGATCAGAGATACAGTCATGGGGGTCAGGTGTGGTATCAGGAATAATGTGGGAGGCCGGATTGAAGTCTGGGCCAGGAACAACGGTAATTGTGGGAGACTCAACAAAGAGTGAGTATAGCTGAAGGAGCCGGGAAGCAGAAAGTACATGCATCAGGTATGAGGAGAAAATAGATTTTGGAAGTTATGAGAACTGTAGAGAGTGAGTTGAGCATAGTTTGTGATTTTGAGGGCCTCTAAAAGTATTAATGCAGTGGCAGCCACTGCACGCAGACATGAGGGCTAGGCTAAAACAGTAAGGTCAAGTTGTTTGGACAGAAAGGCTACAGGGTGTGGTCCTGGCTCTTGTGTAAGAATTCTGACCACGCTAACCATGCCTAGGAAGGAAAGGAGTTGTTGTTTTATAGAAGGTACTGGGGTTTGAGAGATCAGTCAGACACGATTGGCAGGGAGAGCACGTGTGTTTTTATGAGAATTATGCCGAGATAGGTAACAGATGAGGAAGAAATTTGGGCTTGATTGAAGTAATGGGGGCTGTCTGTGAAGCTTTGTGGCAGTACAGCCTAGGTAATTTGCTGAGCTTGATGGGTGTCAGGGTCAGTCCAAGTGAAAGTGAAGAGAGGCTGGGATTAAGGGTGCAAAGGAATAGTAAAGAAAGCATGTTTGAGATCTAGAACAGAATAATGGGTTATAGAGGCAGGTATTGAGGATAGGAGAGTATATGGGTTTGGCACCACGGGGTGGATAGGCAAAACAATTTGGTCGATAAGGCGCAGATCCTGAACTAACTTGTAAGGCTTGTCTGGTTTTAGGACAGGTAAAATGGGGGAATTGTAAGGAGAGTTTATAGGCTTTAAAAGGCCATGCTGTAGCAGGCGAGTGATAACAGGCTTTAATCTTTTTAAAGCGTGCTACGGGATGGGATATTGGCATTGGGGGGTAAGGGTGATTAGGTTTTAATGAGATGGTAAGGGGTGCATGATCGGTTGCCAAGGAGGGAGTAGAGGTATCCTATACTTGTGGGTTAAGGTGGGGTGTTACAAGAGGAGGATGCAAAGGAGGCTTTGGATTGGGAAGAAGGGCAGCAATGAGATATAGCTGTAGTCCAGGAATAGTCAGGGAAGCAGATAATTTAGTTAAAGTGTCTCAGCCTAATAAGGGAACTGGGCAGGTGGGGATAACTAAAAAGGAGTGCTTAAAAGAGTATTGTCTAAGTTGGCACCAGAGTTGGGGAGTTTTAAGAGGTTTAGAAGCCTTGCCGTCAATACCCACAACAGTTATGGAGGCAAGGGAAACAGGTCCTTGAAAAGAAGGTAATGTGGAGTGTGTAGCCTCCGTATTGATTAAGAAGGGGACGGGCTTACCTTCCACTGTGAGAGTTACCCGAAGCTCGGCGTCCGTGATGGTCTAGTGGGCTTCCGAGGCGATCGGGCAGTGTCAGTCTTCAGCCGCTAAGCTGAGAAGATCTGGGAAGGAGTCAGTCAGAGAGCCTTGGGCCAGAGTTCCAGGGGCTCTGGGAGTGGCTGCCAGGTGAGTTGAACAGTCCGATTTTCAGTGGGGTCCGACACAGATGGGACGCGGCTTAGGAGGAATCCTGGGCTGCTGGCATTCCTTGGCCCAATGGCCAGATTTCTGGCATGTGTAGCAAGCTCCTGTGGGAGGAGGTTCTGGAGGAACGCCTGGCCACTGCGGTTCAGGTGTTTGGAAGTTCTTGTGTGCTAGAGATGTGGCTGGGGTTTGTCTCACAGTGGAGGCAAGGAATTGCAACTTTTTTCTATTATTGTACACCTTGAAGGCGAGGTTAATTAAATCCTGTTGTGGGGTTTGAGGGCCGGAATTTAATTTTTGGAGTTTTATTTAATGTCAGGAGCAGATTGGGTAATAAAATGTATTTTGAGAATAAGACAGCCTTTTGACTTTTTAGGGTCTAGGGCTGTAAAGTGTCTCAGGGTTGCTGCCAAACAAGTCATGAACTGGGCTGGATTTTTATATTTGATGAAAAAGAGCCTAAACGCTATCTGATTTGGGATAAAGAAAAAGGAGCATTAACCTTGACTATGCCTTTGGCTCCAGCCACCTTTTTAAGAGTAAATTGCTGGGCAGGTGGGGGAGGGCTAGTCACGGAATGAAACTGTAAGCTGGACCAGGGTTGTGAGGAGGGGAGGTGATAAAAAGATTATAGGGTGGAGGAGGAGAGGCTGAGGAAGAATTGGGACCTAGCTCGGCCTGGCCAAGAGGGGAGAGGTCAGACGGGTCTGTAGAAAAGGAAGATTAGAAAGACTCAGTGACGCTTGGGGTTGGTACTGAGGGGACAGGTGGGAGGGAAAGAAGGAAGATTTGGGATGAGTTGCACTGGACACAGAGACTAGGAAGGGACTCATGTGTAAAAGAATGCCTGGACGTCAGGCACCTCAGACCGTTTGCCTATTTTACGACAAGAATTATTTAGATCTTGCAGGATGGAAAAATTCAAAGTGCCATTTTCTGGCTATTTGGAACTACTGTCGAGTTTGTATTGGGGTCAAGCAGCATTGCAGAAGAAAATAAGGCATTTAGGTTTTAGGTCAGGTGTGAGTTGAAGAGGTTTTAAGTTTTTGAGAACACAGGCCAAGGGAGTAGAAGGAGGAATGGAGGGTGGAAGGTTGCCTATAGTGAAGGAAGCAAGCCTAGAGAAAAGAGAGAGTATAGAAACGGAGGGAAGGGGTTCGGGGGTTCTTACCTTCCAGAAAAGTGGGAAAAGGGGTTGGGGTGCAGAGATAAGAGGTCGGGGGGCAGAAATAAGGGATGGGGCACAGAAGTAAGGGGTCGGGGCATGGAAATAAGGGATTGGGGCACAGAGATATGAGGTTCGGGTGTGGAAATAAGGGATTGGGGGTTCTTGCCCCCTAGAAAAGCAGGACTTGCCACTAAGGGTGAAGGAGAAGGGGTTGAGGGGTACTTGCCACTCCCCCAGAAAAGTGGGACTTGCCGCTAAGGGTGAAGGACCAAGGCAGGCGTCCCTGCGTGGTCTGACACCTTTGAAATGTGGGTGAATTATCAGAGAGGCATCCCTGCAATGATTAAACACCAAGGGAAGGCTGCCTTCCCAGTCCGTAACTGGCACCGGAGTTTTGGGTCCACGGACAAAACGTGTCTCCTTTGTCTCTACCAGAAAATGAAAGGAATTGAAATTAAGGGAGAGATTGAAGTGTGGCGCCAAGATTGAAAGGAGAAAGAGGTTGAGGGATAGTGAGGGAGGTTGGAGAAGAGAGTAAAAAGAGGCCGCTTACCGGATTTGAAATTGGTGAGATGTTTCTTGGGCTGGTCAGTCTCAGGACCTGAGGTCGTAGGTGGATCTTTCTCACGGAGCAAAGAGCAGGAGGATGGGGGATTGATCTCCCAAGGGAGGTCCCCTGATCCGAGTCACGGCACCAAATTTCATACACGTCCGTGTGAAGAGACCACCAAACAGGCTTTGTGTGAGCAACATGGCTGTTTATTTCACCTGGGTGCAGGCGGGCTGAGTCCAAAAAGAGAGTCAGCAAAGGGAGATAGGGGTGGGGCCATTTTATAGGATTTGGGAAGGTAATGGAAAATTACAGTCAAAGGGGGTTGTTCTCTGGTGGGCAGGGGCGGGGGTCACAAGGTGCTCAGTTGGGGAGCTTCTGAGCCAGGAGAAGGAAATTCGCAGGGTTAATCACTCAGTTAAGGTGGGGCAGGAACAAATCACCATGGTGGAATGTCATCAGTTGAGGCGGGGCAGGGCCTTTTCACTTCTTTTGTGATTCTTCAGTTACATCAGGCCATCTGGGCGTATACGTGCAAGTCACAGGGGATGCGATGGCTTGGCTTGGGCTCAGAGGCCTGACACTTACCTCAGCATCCCATGTGGCTGGGACTATAGGCGTGTGCCACCATGCCTTGCTATTTTTTTTTATGTTTTATAGCGATGGGGTCTTGCTATGTTGCCCATACTGGTCTCGAACTCCTGGCCTCAAGTGATCCTCCCTCCTCAGTCTCTCAAAGTGCTGAGATTACAGGCATGAGCCACTGTGCCCAGCAGCTATGAGTTTTTATTGTGAATATTGAGTTTTATTAAATGCTGTGTCAGCATCTTTAGAGATGATCTAGTCTTTATTCTTTGTGGTGAATCACATTGAGCTTTGAATTTATACCACTCATGAATTCTTAGAGCCACCTCTACTTTGTCAGGCTGTCCCTTTATTCTACTACTGTAATTTCAGGGCTTTGATTATTATTTTGCTTTGGTTTGCATCAATGTTCCTGAGAAAAATGGACCTATAATTTTCTTCTCTTTTAACGTCCTCATTAGGTGTTAGTATCAAGATTATACTGGCTGTATAAAAAGAGGCCCAGTGAGTTTTCTCTTTTTCTATTATCTCGAATAACTTTTGTAAGATCGGTCTTATTTTTTTCTTAAACATTTGGTAGAAATCACAAGTGAAGCAATTTGAAGTCTAAAGTTTTTCATTTTTTGATTTGTTTGTGTGTATATGTGAAAAGATTCTTTCATGGATAACTTTTAGATAACTATCATAATCATTAAATTTTCTATTTTTTTCTTGTATCAGATTTGGTAAGATTTATTTTTTCAGGAGTTTATCAATTGTTTCTTTTTTTTTCCAGAAAGTTTTTCATAATATTCTCCTAATGTTCATTTGCATTTACTGACCATGGTTTTCATCCTGCATGTTGGTGCTTTATGCCTCTTTGTTTCTTGATGTGTCTTGCCAGAGGTTTAAGTAATTTCATCAGCTTTTCCAAAAAAGCAACTTTTGGCTGTGTTCATCTTCTGGATCTTATATTTACTTTTCATTTCATTAATTTTGTCCCCAATCTTTATTATCATCTTCCATTTTTTTTACTTAATTTGCTATTATTTTCTAACTGATGGAGATGAATACCTGATCATTAATTTTCAGTTTTTTCTTCTCTTCTGTGGACATGTGGCTATCAAGTTCCCTGTAATCATCGACTGAGTTATATTCCATACATTTTGATTTTTCTCATTTTCATTATTATTCATTTCAAACTACTTCCTGTTTTCATTTACCCATGGGTAATTTAAAAGTATAGAAATTTTCACACACACACAAATTTTCTTTTCTTGTCTTTTTTTTTTTTTGGTTATTGATTTTGAGCTGAATTCTACTCTGACTAAAAAACATACTCAATGCTGTGAATTTCACAGGATTGTAAAATTTCAATCCTGTGAATTAAATTTGTTTAGACTTGTCAAGCATATCATCAACTTTGGTAAATGTTTTTTATACATTTAAAAATAATATTAAGGTGATGTTAGATACAATATTGTAAAAATGCCAATTAGGTCAAATTTATTATTCATATCATTTACTTTTGCTATAGACTTCCTAAATTTGTCCACTTATTTAATTATATACTACAGAATTGTAATAAAATCTTCTGCAAGTAGTGTGTATTAGTCTATTTTTTTCATTTACTTCTATTATATTGAGTTTTATACATTTTGAAGCTGTATTATTAGGTACCATGTTACCTCTCATTCGTTACAAAGTTTTGTGAATATGATGCTTTGACTTTTTCAGAGAATATAATTCATAAATCAGTGCAACCAGAAACTGCAACATGTCACATTGTAATGAATGTTTACAAGTAAATAGAGAAGCCAAAGTCAGCCTAGCTGAACCTCAGTCTCCCACTTTTTCCTCACAAGCTAAATGAACATCTGATCCACTCTTCTGCACCAAGATCTCGACCAAAACAAAACTTCAGCTTCAATCAGTATTTTAATTGAGGAATTAGTATTTAGAATTTTATATTTTCTTGTTTAAAAAATTGGTATCATTATACAAAGAACCTCTCTAACTTTAACCTTGATTGCTATCTTTTTGACTCATTTTAGTCTAATTATTTTAGATTTATTTTGTTTAATGTTTGCCTTATATCTTTTTCCCACATCTTATATATCTTTTGTTGTATTGAAGTGGAACATTACTAAAGGGCATGGAAATAATAAAACCTCAGTGCAGGAAATATACCCTAGCTTCAGTGGAAAATAATCCAAGAACTAGAAAACTGCTGGGATTGACAATCTTCCCTGCCGGGGCTCCTATTTCTTCATTTCTGCTTTGTTTTGCCCACTATTTCTATAATTCCTTCTTTCAACTTTTTTGTCCTGTTTGGAGTGTGGGAGACCTGAATGTGCCACCCCAAAATATACCCTTTACCATGAGGATTGCCAATCTGAAAGCAAATAAGAAGCACTTGTAGGAAAGTTCTCTGTCTACCCTCTATTTGCATAATATCAGGACATAAACTTACAAAGAAAAAAGATACCCCACCTCCCTTTTCTACGAGGGAGAGCAAAAGTTAACTGCTTAAGACAACTGTAGACCCTTATGCGTGTGGAGTTGGCACCAAAAGCATCTACATAAATAAACCTTACTGACCAGCATTTAGCTGCCATTATTTGCCTTCCCATAAGTTGTTGCCCTTAGAGACTCAAGGTCCTTTTCCTTTTACTTGTCACCTCTCTAAAAATGTACTGTTCATTGTCAAAGATGGTATATCAGCTGGAAGTCAAAGCCACCTCTTCGAGAATTACTTCTTCTCTGGATACCTCTTATACGCCTATACATGTTAATATACATGTTAATAAGCATCTATTTGCTTTTCTCTTGATAATTTGTCTTTTGCTACAGAGTTTCTTTTGCAACCAAGAACTTATGAGGATTGAGCTTACAATAGCCTAGCATGGCTTCCATGCCCCTCTCTCATCAGCTGGCTCTGGCTTTTCGTATCTCCTTTTTTCTAGGCTCTGTGTTGATTTAGCATGTCTCTTTTAAGCCACGTGTTTAATATTAGCTTTCAGGTCAAGTAACGACAAACATCTTCAATATGATACATGGACAATGGTAGATAGGAAAATCATTTCTGCAGTAGGCAATGAGAAATGCCTCATCAACTGCAGTGATCATTCAATCTACAACTCTTCTTTGCAAAAGGGTATAACGAAAGGCTAAACCTGATCGCTAACTTCAAAATGTCTTTTTAATTTAAACATTTAATTATAAATTAGAAAATATTGCATACAAATCTCAAATGCCAGCTTCTCTTGAAAGTTCAGAAATCTGGCAGCAGTAAAATAACATTCTTACATAGAAACAATGGCTGTGCTTAACAATGCTGGTTTCTTCCTTTATAGATTGGGCCTGGGATCTGCACCATTGCCCCTGACCCAATTTTTTTTTTTTTTATAAAGTTGTCCTGAATGCTTTTCAGTTTGTGATCCTTGAAAAAATCTGACAGTAAACTCTTAATGCTTTGAGGGAAAGTACTTTATCTTAATTATCTTTAAATCACAACATGCTGCAGAATGTTTGGATCACATTTGATGACTAAAGTGATGTCAGTGAAATAGTTAAAGCTTTCAAAAATTATCAGTATTTACACCTATCTCTTGATTGTTAGTAAGAAAGTGGATTTATTTTAATTAATGCCTGAAATCCATAGATGTCATAAACACTTCAATTCATCCAATAATTTCTTCTTAAATCAAACTTTCAAAAAATAATTGGAGGTGCTAACAAGTAGCAAATCTGACTGTGAATGGAATTGGCTTTCTTTTGTTTAGTGGAGGAAGATAATTAGCAGGAAATGGCCAACAGATGATGAGCAGAAAGAGGAAGCTGGGGACACAAAAGATCTCTCACAAGAAACCAAAGACCTCAGATCCCTAAGAATTGATTTCACTGCAAATCTCAATAATTGCTGGAAAGAGTTTCCTGGGACAGCAGTTAAAGCAAGTCACACATATTAAAAGACATGCTTTGTTTGTAATATTGGAAGAATTGAAAATCATACCGATTTTTATGAGTAAGCACCTTGATAATCAATGAAGAACATCTGGCAATTTAAAGCTTTTTTTAAAGTCCTTGAATTTGTTATTTCATGGAGCCTCAGTCCCTCAACTTAGCTAGACACAAACAAGACATCTGTGTCCAAAAGTTTAACTTCCACTCTCTTTGTTGGATGAACCAGAAAGCAAATGCTCCTTCAGAACAGTCTGACCTCAGAAGGCTCTAGAACATCCGGAATCTGGGAAGGGCTAACAGGATTTATATGTACTGATAGGAAAGGACCACTCAGCACCTGGTGATAACACCATATTCAATCCAGGGAAATTAAATTCTAACAGGATTAAAGGAGTCAGCAGTTAATACATAGGAGTATGATTTCCCCCAAGCCAACATGCACATTGAAAGCCCATCTTCTATGGGAGAAACTGCTAAGAACATGACACAATGCATTAAGGTAGGAGGCAGCTTAAAATATGTGCAGAAATTCTAGCTTTTCATTCTGCTATAGCAACACAGAATACGTCTGAATTGCCTCATATTTATTGCCCTGTTTTCTAACAGCAAATGCAAAAACATGCATCAATATAGCACTATGGAACCAACCTAAATAAACTAAAGTTATATAGGAAATTTATTTATCATGTGACTATCACACACACACATACACACAATAAAAATTACCAAAGAATTGTCCCGAAATATAAAATATGGAAATCTCAAATACATTTTATTATTTCAAATCAAGACTCTTTAGTACTCTGTTATTGTGCCTCGGAAATCTAACTGTTCCCTATCCGTGTTTCCGTACTTCTTAATTTGCAATTTTGACAAAATTCAAAGGAGATTCCCATAGCTTATGCAATTCAAGGAGCAGCACTTCCCTAACAGCAGTTACAAGGGACCTGTCTTGTTCCCAAAAGCATCGTCTATCCCTGAGAAGAAGTATGCCACTTCTTTATAAGTACTGCCACTTAGCTGGCTTCCTGTCATAAGTTCAATGTTAGAAAAAGGACTCTGCTTCTCCTTGGTTGCTCCTTTCTCTTTGTTAAAACTGATTCCAAGCAATTAGAAGCTCCAGCTATTCAAAAAGCAAGCAAAGATTGGTGCCAAAGGGCAAGCTTGTCCTTGAGAGAGGTCATGCCTCTTCAGCTGAAGCTTGTCTTTGCTTGGGGACAACGGTTCCCTGTCCACCCCATCTTTAAGAGGCTTATTGTTATGTTCATACCCACATTTCTCAGTCAGGGAAAGATATTGGTCTCTGTGGTAGATTGATTTAATGGCCCCAATACTTGAGCCCTACTAGTATTGTCACCCTCTTCCCTGTAGCATTCTAGTGCCTGCTTAGTCTGGCTTTAAGCCCAATTATACAATTTCTTTTGGCCTATGGGATATTAGCAAGCATGATGGAAAGACAGGCTGGAAGAGTGTTACATATTGGGTTTGTTCACCTTGCTCTCTCTATAATGTCTATGTGAAGATGCCTAGGCCAGCCTGCCAGAGGATGAAAGACATGTAGAGTACAGTCGAGTCAGCCCAGCAAGATGATCTTAAATCAGCCAATAGCCAATGACAATCATGTGATGAGCCCAACTGTAAAAGATCAGTCACCTCTTTTACAATCGACAGCCATGAAGCCTTTGTTCTCTTTTGATAATCTTTTAATTTCCTCCAAGGGCCTAGTCCTTCGGAACCATAACTATGGCTTGAACAATTTTCCTAATAAGAAAAAATATATGCCTGTGTGTGTTGGGTGCATCTCTCAAAGTTTCTAGTTACACCTGGGCACTTTCTTTGCTAAATTGCTAAATGCCATAAAATAACATGGTTCAGTAATTAGATATTTGTCTTGCTTAGATAAATCCCTGATACGACATATTGTTAAATCTGTCATTATAAGATTTGAGCCATTTTTGTTTCCCTTTGGAAAATTTTTATTCATAAAAATTGAGATGACCCAAAAAATACTTCTTTGACTTTTAGGACTGTGTCCAAACATGTTATTCTAAAAGAAGCAGGGTGGAGATAAATAAACTTCTTTGAAAGTGGCTAATTCATCTTTATGGTAATAATTAATTGTGTGACAGAATCCAATCCATTAATTTTATAAGCTAGCATACTCTGTGCCTTCACTTATATTAAATTTTTAAAACAGTTGTAGCTGAAAGTTTAAAAATTCATTGATGATTTTAAGTTATTGAATTATGGTCAGATTGTATTAAAACAAATCCATTTTCATGCTTTTTATAAGAGGTACACCTAAAATATGAGAGCATGGAACATGTGAATGTAAAGATATGAGAAAAATTTTACATGGCAAATTTTAACTAAAATAAGTACGGTATAAATGTATTCAAATGAATCAAAAAGACAAAACAACAAGGCCAGGGTTGGAAAGGGTCTTTGTATAGTTATGAAAAGCTTAAAACAGGAAAATAATAAAATTCTAATCTTTCATGCACCTAATGAAAAGCCTCTATAAAAATATGTTTCTGAAAGATTAAAGACTTTAATGTAAAATGCAAACAAATATTTAGAACAATATCTTCATAACTTTGGAGAAGGAAGACTCTTATATATGTCACAATGTGCTAAAATGAAAAAAATCAGATGGATAATTTTGACTAAATGAAAATTAAGAACTTACGGTTATCAAAGATATCATAAGGAAAATGAAAAGACACAAAGTGGAAGAAGATATTTGCAACCTATGTCATATCTGGTCCATTAATCAAAGGACAGCACAATAAATTATAATATATTTACAAAATAGAATACTGGACTGTACTGAAAATGAATGGGGTCTGGTTCTTGCAACAAGTGAATAAATGTAAAAATAAGAATTGTGTTGAGTAAAGAAAGCGAATAGAACAAATACTATGTACAGTATAATACCCTTTTAATAAACTCAAAACTAAACAATTCATTGTTTAGAACTGTATATAACTAGG
Source organism: Homo sapiens (assembly GCF_000001405.40). Lineage (NCBI taxonomy): Eukaryota > Metazoa > Chordata > Mammalia > Primates > Hominidae > Homo > Homo sapiens. The sequence continues at coordinate 12,352,880 of NC_000020.11, forward strand.
AGAGAAACTAATTTTGAAATATCAGGGAACGATAAAAATAAAATTTAGAACAATGTTTGCTCCAAGGATTGAGGGAAGAAGGAACAGAGAGAAAGGAGAGACAGAGAATATAGAAGACTTAACCAGCACTAAGTTTCGATATTATGGATAATACTTTTGGCTCATATTTTTATCCTACCTGCTTCCATAAAATGATAAGGAAGGATAAGTTGGATTAGATGCATTCTTGGCATTTACTATTCTAAATGTATTTTCCATCTTGAAGTTACTGTTCGTGAAGCCAGGAGCAATTACTTTTTGAGTGGATGCACTGTCACCACCTTTCAAGGTGTCATTGTCCTGCCTTTCTTCAGAACTACTTGAGCCAGCTAGAGCTTTACATGCCAAGCATTACAAAATAAATAGAGAATTGGAATTCTTTCCATCTGTAAAGCAAGAAAATGCACATTTGAATTCCGACTAAAGGGACACACCCCTTTTTTTGAGAAAAGCACCTATTGCAAGGTTTTGGTGTTGGTGCAAACACTCATTTTGATGTCTTTCACTTCTTATAAGTTATTGGCCTTCTTTTCTAAAATATCTCCTACCTTTCCAACTAAGGTTTCTCCTATTCAGAAACAATGGCTTAATCATTTTCCAAAGGACTCTTTTCTTCATAGCAGTCTTGATAGCCACCTACCAGAAGCCTGATTTAATAGGTCTTCGGTGGATCCATTTCACCCATGAGAACAATCAGTAAGGACTGGTGGCTTCTCAGCCAGGTGTTTTTTGAGTGTGTGGGTGCCTGAGTGGTGCCATACAAAACAACTCTGATTCATTTGTCCACAGAGAACTCAAGTGACATTTTGGGTAATTCATTTGTTTAGAGATGTGTCCTTTCTACCCACCTTCATCTTGACCCAAGTGTTTAGCTTTAAGGCTATTTTTGGACATATGACACTAAAAAGGATATTAACTGCTCCTGAGAATGTGACACTCCTAGTGAGTCTCAAATTGGAAACAGGCTTCAATGCATCAGCCATTTTTCATAAGTATTTAATAGCTTCAAGGAAATGACAGTTCCACGTCCCACGTGGGTTTTAGTTAGGGTGTAAGGTTCACAACTGAATACATGGGAGACAATTGTTGAACCATACATTATGCAAACTGTTGTGAAAGTTAAGGATACACAACTGGCCTACTTTATACATATGCACATGAAATACTACCCCTACCCCTTAATCTATTTAAAATATGTTCCTAGACTTTAAATTCCTCAGGCCTTAGGGAAATAAAACCAAGGCCATAGCTATATAATTGCAAAGCTCCAACTGTGTCCTATTAACCCAGTCATTTCATGAACTAATTCAGGGACAATGGGTTCACAAAGCCTCAGTGTGTTTAAGATTTATAATTAAATTTCAAAAATGAAAGCTCATCTTGCCTGTTTAAGAATCTATGAAGTGTGTGGCTATCCTACAGAATCTTGTAGACAGACTCTGTTTCTTAAATCCAGCCTTTTCTTTTTATTATGATGCCAGTTTGTATTTTAAAATATGCCATTTCTTTCTAAAAAGTCCAGCTTAAAACTCAAGATATTAAATAACAAACCCTGACAGAACATGTGAGAAAGTTTCATACTTTTTTTTCAATTTGCCTGAAAAAAAAAAAAAGCTAAAAATACAGACAATTTCTATCTATGAATATCAACGATTTTAAAATGCCCACCAGAGAACATTGTTTCTAAGTCTGGAGTAAGGAAGAGATAAGAGATTGTCCTAGTCCAGGTCTTTTAAGAAACTGATTAAACACAAAGGGAGCGTTTCGTGGGATATTCCGCTGAGAAAAAATGCGGAAGGAACTGAGAAAAGGTGGGAGAGCTGTCGGACTGCAGTGTGTATTTAATGAGAAGAGAAAGCTGGAATAAAGGAAGTTGGGACAAAAACATTAGAGCACTTTGCAGTCTAAGGAAGTTTCTGCAAAGCCATTCAGTGTTCTTGAGCTAAAGTCTGTCATCAGAGGAGCCCCCTGTCTCTCAGATTGGACCCACCTTAGCATGATCCATGATGTGCTCACTCATTGGCTGAGAACAGCCTGTGGGAGGTGTGGCCTCAATGGAAACTTAACTATGAGTTACAGAGCTCAGTGACTAGAGCTCTGTAATTTCAACTTAAATGTCTTCACATACTATAAACAAGACACAGAATAATTTGGATGATATTTAAAGAAGATGATTTCCTTATTAGTCAGCTTGCTACTGTAAAATGCTGCATAACAACCCCCAAATCTCAGTTGAATCCAAAAACCAGTATGTATTTCTTGTTCATGGGTCTCCAGGTGTCTTGGCTAAGCTCAGGTTTGTGCCAGTTTCATATGTGTGTTATTCTAGGACCCAGACTGAAGAGGAAAAGGCTACATAGGACATGCACTTATCCTGGCAGATGAAAACAAAATGAAAAAGAACAAACCAAACCACATAAACACATTTAAAACTTTTGCTCACATCACATGTGGTCACATACCATTACCAAAGTAAGTCACATGGTCCAGCCAAAAGTCAATGGAGCGAAGAAGTGTAGTCTACATGCTGGGCTAGAAAATTCTGCACAGCCAGTGGTAAAGGATGTGGGTTGTATAGTCCTAGTATGTTGAGGGAGTGGAGGAGTGAAAATAATTTTCTATTTTAAACTAATATTGCTTTCTTGTTAAACAACATGCAATAGTAAAAAATAGTCGTAGAACACACACACATACACACACACACACACACACACCCTTGTGAATGGACATACAGATACGCTAGAAGAATATAAATATACCTATCTCATGTGGAGTCATATACCTAAATCTTGGATATAAATAAACCAGAAAAGCTGCTAAATTTTTTCTATTTTTCTTTGGTCATTCAGAATAGAAGAAGAAGACAGAAATAGTCTATGAAAAAGCATGACTTATACTAGTAATGGATGCAAGAAATCTTAGTGCAAGTGAGAAAAAATGCATAGATCCACAAAATCAAAAAGTTTTCACAGCAACGTTTTCACATCAAAGTGACTGGCCTTTTTGATGCACAATTTTAAAGCCCACAAGACTGGCCACTTCCATCCTGTTGGCATGGACACAATATAGGAATTAAAAAAAAAAAGACTGGAGTAAAAAACCAAACATTTTCTTACAGCAGCTGCCCCAAATCAACTCTAAATATCAGCCAACTGAGGCAGCTAAAAACTCACCAAAAAATAAATAAATAAATAAAAATAAACAATGCAAAGACTTTGAGTCTTTGTTGAAAAAGTTGAGGGTGGGGATTCAGATATTAATTAGGTAAAAAGGGAAGAAGTTAAGGAAAGTCTATTTCAGTATGTGGAAGCAAATAGAAGACTCCATGGAATAATCTCTGGTATAAGCCAATAGGAATAAACAACATGGGACCCAAGAAGGAAAAAAAGTGATGGCTCTGAGTTTATTCCACCACCTCACATACACACATACTCACACAAGGAAACAATGTAGCACACACATGAAAAGATGAAGAATGGATCCTGAAGAAAAATCTACCCCAGGAAACAAAAGAAAACTTAGTGATCACAATGAAAAAACAAGTAAACAGAGCCAGCAGAACTAAGAAAAAATATTGAAGGAAAAATAACCTGAGTGAGACCCTTAAGATATGTTAAAAATAATAACTTAGAGAATAGGCTTGATAAAATCACCAAGATGCAGAGGAAAAGGACATAAAAATTAAAATAATTTGAGATAAATGTAATGAAATAAAAATAAAACAGATACAAAGACTATGATACTATAGAAGCAGCAGAAATCTCCTCAGATGAAAGAAGAATAAAAGCCCAGGACCTTTTAAATGTTTTCAAGGGCTTGTTTTATTTCATAAAAAAATGAATAGAGAATCACCGATAATGAGATATACTTCATTAAATTTACTAAATGTCAAGCATTCAGAAGAGATAAACAGATTAATCTTTACATATTTTGAAATTGTTTTATAGCTCTTGGATGTTCTAAGTTTTTTCCACTTTTAATTTCCTCTTTATATTTCGGCTTGCAAAGTTTCCATTGACATATCTTCAAACTCATTGATTCTTTCCTTGGCAAAGTTGAGTCCATGGTAAGCTCTTTGAAAACACATTTCTTCCCACCCCCCACTTCAAGAAGGTGGATTAGAGGCCTTTAGCTTTCCTCAGCCACTTGGAAATAGCAAAATAGTACATAAAGATGAACTCTGTGAGCTTTAATTCAAGAAGAAAAATGGGAATCTACCAGAATAGTAAAGGACACCGCAGATCCCGGGGAAGAGAAGTGGGCAAACAGCCACCTAGGGGACTCACCTTTCCACTGCAGATCCATGCAACCCAGGCCAAGGGAGAGCACATTATTTCTTCCAAGTCCCTGGAGCTAACTTGGATGGAGGCTTGGAGACACAGAGAGGGAAAGACGTCGGGAAAAGCTGCGATCATTTTCCCAGACCCAGGTTGGAGACGAGGATGCCATTTTTAATCCAGGCTCATACAAAGTCAGTCATTCTTTGGCAATTTGGCAACACGGCCTCACAGTCATTTTAGTGTCAGGCCAGAGATTGAAGCACTTGCTCTAGAGTAGTATAGAGCTTCCACAGCTGGAATTGAGCAGCAGGGGTGGAAAGCACCCCAGCAGTAGGTGCTAGAATTGTGCTTTCCCCCATTGCAGGTCTGGAGTGGGAGGAGAGTTGCTGTAGCTGTGGGTTCTTTGGGCAATGAGATCTTCAGACAAGGCCAACTTGGCAACCTAGAGCCAATCTGCATGTGTCATTATGAGGTGCCCCAGCCTGCTCCCTAGAGATTGTGGTGTAGTGGGGCACTCTCTGCTCCATGGCCAGGTAGATTTCCAGGCATTCTGAGTGTCTGTTCACCTGGATAAGCTGCCGAAGCCACCCCACCCTTCTTGTGAAGAGATTGTGGTGCAGTGGGGCTCTTTCTGTTCCATACCCAGGCAGCTCTCTAGGCACTTGGAGCATTCACTCTCCTAGATGGGAGAGTTAGGCCACTCACCCTTCTTCATGCTGGGAAACTGGGGAAAAGGAGGTTTCTCAGCTTCATGTCTAGGCACACCTCTAGGCGCTTGGTGGCTGCCCAGTGAGCTTGTCCTTGGAGCTAGTGCTTGTGCCTGATATTGTGGGACCTGTAGGTGTGCCTGCTTGATCTGGCCCCACCCATCTTGCTCCCACTCTCCAGGGCTGTGCATTCCACAGTGGTCTGAGCTCCCAGAGAGTTTTAACCAGGAAGCAAGGATCAAGTATATACCCATCCACATTGGCTGTAGCCAGCTCTTACCCACAAGAGCCACCTACTGGCTTGGAGAAATAATGGCACAGCACTCTAGGATTTCTGCCGACACAAGTACATAACACTGGAGAAAGTTAAACTTCCTGACCACTGCCAATTTGGCCCCACAGGAGGCAGTGAGCCTGCTCACATGCCCAGAACATCACTACTATAACCAGCATTTGGATAAACCATCATAAAAAGGCTACCTATAACCAAGGAATTTATACAGACACTTTGACACTGAAAATACCCAGAACCGGAGCTCTAACCCTTAGCACAGTTCACCCGTAAGGGATGGGGAAGAGCAGCTGACCAAAGGCCACCTTGGGTAAAAGGCAATGTGGGCGTGGCACTAGTCACTGAAGGCAGCACCATCACAGCTCAGGAGCAGACATGGAAAGGAGGTCATCTCATCCCCCATTCCACCCTCCTCAGTGCACTGTTGAAGACTCAGTAGTAGCTCTTCCCATCAGGGCTCGGAAGCATGGGCTGAAAGAGATCAATTCTAAGCATTCTATAGTGGTTCCACCTCCACTGAAGGTGAATGTATACTTGAGGAAAATGCTTTTCATACTTCTTTATTGCCTCTGCTTCTGCACCTACCTGCCAGCTCTTACTCTTAAATGCCAACTACTGGACTGCAGCTTGAACTGCACCACCAAACAAAATTACATTGCTACTACAAGCAACATCTGAGAAAGCCATTGCATGAAACTGCCTGCAGCCAAGGAGTCCATACAGAGCGTTGGCACCCTGAAAGCACCCAGAAACTAAGCCAATTAGTCATGTTTAATATACACCACAGTTGTATCTACAAGGGAAGAAAGAGCAAAAAATCAAGAAGTCCCATCCAAACAAAAGTAAAATTAAAAAAAAAAAGGAAACATGAGCTCTCTCAGATGAGAAGGAATCAGTGCAAGAACGCTGGCAATTAAAAAAGCCAGAGTGTTTCATTACCACCAAAAGATCCCATTAGCTTCCAAGCAATGGAACCTAACCAGAATGAAATGTCTGAAATGGCAGACACAGAATTCAGAATTTGAATGGCAAAGAAACTCAATGAGATCCAAGAGGAAGTTCAAATCCAACACAAAGAAAACAGAAAAATGATACGAGTATTGAAAGACAACACAGTTATTAATAAAAAACCAAACATAACTTCTGGAATTAAAAAATTTCCCCATTAACTACAAGTGCTTCAAAATACAGTTGGAAGCCTTAACAACAGATTAGACCAAGTAGAAGAAAGAATTTCACAGCTTGAAGACTAGTTCCTCAAATTAACCAAGTCAAAAGAAATAAAGAAAAAAATAATGTAAAAAATAAAGCCTTTACAAAATATGAGATTATGTAAAGGGACTACATATATGATTTATTGGCATCATTTTTTTTATTATTATTATACTTTAAGTTTTAGGGTACATGTGCACAATGTGCAGGTTAGTTACACGTATACATGTGCCATGCTGGTGTGCTGCACCCGTTAACTCGTCATTTAACATTAGGTATATCTCCTAATGCTATCCCTCCCCCTTCCCCCCACCCCACAACAATCTCCAGAGTGTGATGTTCCCCTTCCTGTGTCCATGTGTTGTTCTCATTGTTCAATTCCCACCTATGAGTGGGAATATGCGGTGTTTGGTTTTTTGTTCTTGCGATAGTTTACTGAGAATGGTGATTTCCAGTTTCATCCATGTCCCTACAAAGGACATGAACTCATCATTTTTTATGGCTGCATAGTATTCCATGGTGTATATGTGCCACATTTTCTTAATCCAGTCTATCATTGTTGGACATTTGGGTTGGTTCCAAGTCTTTGCTATTGTGAATAGTGCCGCAATAAACATACGTGTGCATGTGTCTTTATAGCAGCATGATTATAGTCCTTTGGGTATATACCCAGTAATGGGATGGCTAGGTCAAAAGGTATTTCTAGTTCTAGATCCCTGAGGAATTGCCATACTGACTTCCACAATGGTTGAACTAGTTTACAGTCCCACCAACAGTGTAAAAGTGTTCCTATTTCTCCACATCCTCTCCAGCACCTGTTGTTTCCTGACTTTTTAATGATTGCCATTCTAACTGGTGTGAGATGATATCTCATTGTGGTTTTGATTTGCATTTCTCTGATGGCCAGTGATGGTAAGCATTTTTTCATGTGTTTTTTGGCTGCAAAAATGTCTTCTTTTGAGAAGTGTCTGTTCATGTCCTTCGCCCAATTTTTGATGGGGTTGTTTGTTTTTTCCTTGTAAATTTGTTTGAGTTTATTGTAGATTCTGGATATTAGCCCTTTGTCAGATGAGTATGTTGTGAAAATTTTCTCCCATTTTGTAGGTTGCCTGTTCACTCTGATGGTAGTTTCTTTTGCTGTGCAGAAGCTCTTGAGTTTAATTTGATCCCATTTGTCAATTTTGGCTTTTGTTGCCATTGCTTTTGGTGTTTTAGACATGAAGTCCTTGCCCATGCCTATGTCCTGAATGGTAATGCCTAGGTTTTCTTCTAGGGTTTTTATGGTTTTAGGTCTAATATTTAAGTCTTTAATCCATCTTGAATTAATTTTTGTAAAAGGTGTAAGGAAGGGATCCAGTTTCAGCTTTCTACATATGGCTAGCCAGTTTTCCCAGCACCATTTATTAAATAGGGAATCCTTTCCCCATTGCTCGTTTTTCTCAGGTTTGTCAAAGATCAGATAGTTGTAGATATGCGGCGTTATTTCTGAGGGCTCTGTTCTGTTCCATTGATCTATATCTCTGTTTTGGTACCAGTACCATGCTGTTTTGGTTACTGTAGCCTTGTAGTATAGTTTGAAGTCAGGTAGTGTGATGCCTCCAGCTTTGTTCTTTTGCCTTAGGATTGACTTGGCGATGGGGGCACTTTTTTGGTTCCATATGAACTTTAAAGTAGTTTTTTCCAATTCTGTGAAGAAAGGCATTGGTAGCTTGATGGGGATGGCATTGAATCTATAAATTACCTTGAGCAGTATGGCCATTTTCAGGATATTGATTCTTCCTACCCATGAGCATGGAATGTTCTTCCATTTGTTTGTATCCTCTTTTATTTCATTGAGCAGTGGTTTGTAGTTCTCCTTGAAGAGGTCCTTCACATCCCTTGTAAGTTGGATTCCTAGGTATTTTATTCTCTTTGAAGCAGTTGTGAATGGGAGTTCACTCATGATTTGGCTCTCTGTTTGTCTGTTGGTGTATAAGAATGCTTGTGATTTTTGTACATTGATTTTGTATCCTGAGACTTTGCTGAAGTTGCTTATCAGCTTAAGGAGATTTTGGGCTGAGACAATGGGGTTTTCTAGATATACAATCATGTCATCTGCAAACAGGGACAATTTGACTTCCTCTTTTCCTAATTGAATACCCTTTATTTCCTTCTCCTGCCTAATTGCCCTGGCCAGAACTTCCAACACTATGTTGAATAGAAGTGGTGAGGGAGGGCATCCCTGTCTTGTGCCGGTTTTCAAAGGGAATGCTTCCAGTTTTTGCCCATTCAGTATGATATTGGCTGTGGGTTTGTCATAGATAGCTCTTATTATTTTGAGATACGTCCCATCAATATCTAATTTATTGAGAGTTTTTAGCATGAAGGATTGTTGAATTTTGTCAAAGGCCTTTTCTGCATCTATTGAGATAATCATGTGGTTTTTGTCTTTGGTTCTATTTATACACTGGATTACATTTATTGATTTGCATGTATCGAACCAGCCTTGCATCCCAGGGATGAAGCCCACTTGATCATGGTGGAAAAGCTTTTTGATGTGCTGCTGGATTCAGTTTGCCAGTATTTTATTGAGGATTTTTGCATGAATGTTCATCAAGTATATTGGTCTAAAATTCTCTTTTTTGGTTGTGTCTCTGCCCGGCTTTGGTATCAGAATGATGCTGGCCTCATAAAATGAGTTAGGGAGGATTCCCTCTTTTTCTATTGATTGGAATAGTTTCAGAAGGAATGGTACCAGTTCCTCCTTGTACCTCTGGTAGAATTCGGCTGTGAATCCATCTGGTCCTGGACTCTTTTTGGTTGGTAAGCTATTGATTATTGCCACAATTTCAGAGCCTGTTATTGGTCTATTCAGAGATTCAACTTCTTCCTGGTTTAGTCTTGGGAGGGTGTATGTGTCGAGGAATTTATCCATTTCTTCTAGATTTTCTAGTTTATTTGCATAGAGGTGTTTGTAGTATTCTCTGATGGTAGTTTGTATTTCTGTGGGATCGGTGGTGATATCCCCTTTATCATTTTTTATTGCATCTATTTGATTCATCTCTATTTTCTTCTTTATTAATCTTGCTAGCAGTCTATCAATTTTGTTGATCCTTTCAAAAAACCAGCTCCTGGATTCATTAATTTTTTGAAGGGTTTTTTTGTGTCTCTATTTCCTTCAGTTCTGCTCTCATTTTAATTATTTCTTGCCTTCTGCTAGCTTTTGAATGTGTTTGCTCTTGCTTTTCTAGTTCTTTTCATTGTGATGTTAGGGTGTCAATTTTGGATCTTTCCTGCTTTCTCTTGTGGGCATTTAGTGCTATAAATTTCCCTCTACACACTGCTTTGAATGTGTCCCAGAGATTCTGGTATGTTGTGTCTTTGTTCTCCTTGGTTTCAAAGAACATCTTTATTTCTGCCTTCATTTTGTTATGTACCCAGTAGTCATTCAGGAGCAGGTTGTTCAGTTTCCATGTAGTTGAGCGGTTTTGAGTGAGTTTCTTAATCCTGAGTTCTAGTTTGATTGCACTGTGGCCTGAGAGACAGTTTGTTATAATTGCTGTTCTTTTACATTTGCTGAGGAGAGCTTTACTTCCAACTATGTGGTCAATTTTGGAATAGGTGTGGTGTGGTGCTGAAAAATATGTATATTCTGTTGATTTTGGGTGGAGAGTTCTGTAGATGTCTATTAGGTCCGCTTGGTGTAGAGCTGAGTTCAATTCCTGGGACCCTTGTTTACTTTCTGTCTCGTTGATCTGTGTAATGTTGACAGTGGAGTGTTAAAGGGCTTTCTTGATATAGAAGAAGAGAAAGTAAGCCACTTGGAAAATATATTTGAGGATATGGTTTAGAAAAATATCCCCAGTCTTGGTAGAGAGGTTTACATGATATAAGAAATCCAGAGACCTCCTGCAAGATACTCTACAAGACAACCATGACAACCATTACCAAGGCACATAGTCGTCAGACTACCCAAGGCCAGTGCAAAAGAAAAAATCTTAAAGGCAGCTAGAGAAAAGGGCCATATTACCTATAAAGGGAAGCCCATCAAAGTAACAGCAGACTTCTCAGCAGAAACCTTACAATTCAGAAAAGATTAGGAAACCTTTTTTTTTTTTTTTTTTTTTTTGAGATGGAGTTTTGCTCTTGTTGCCCAGGCTGGAGTGCAATGGCACCATCTCGGCTCACCGCAACCTAAACTTCCTGGGTTCAAGCAATTCTCCTGCCTCAGCCTCCCGAGTAGCTGGGATTACAGGCATGTGCCACCATGTCTGACTAATTTTGTATTTTTAGTAGAGACAGGTTTTCTCTATGTTGGTCAGGGTGGTCTTTGAACTCCCAACCTTAGGTGATCCGCCTGCCTTCGTCTCCCAAAGCGCTGGGATTACAGGCGTGAGCCACCATGCCTGGCCTGGGGAACCATTTTTAGCATTCTAAAATAGAAGAAATGTCAGCCAAGAATTATATGTCTTCCCAAAGCAAGCTCCTTAAACAAAGGAGAAATAAAGTATTGCCCAGACAAGCAATTCCTAAGGAAATTTGTCACCACCAGAATGGCCCTACAAAAGATGATTAAGGGAGTTCTAAACATGGAAATGAAAGAATGATACTTTCTACTACAAAAGCACACATACGCACATAGCCCACAGACTCTATAAAGCAACTACACAACTGAGACAGCAAAGCAACTCGCTAATAACAGTATGACAGAAAAATAACCTCACATATCAACAGTAACCTTAAACAAATCCTTAACTCATTATATGAAACCGGTATCATTCTGATACCAAAATTTGGCAAATGCACAACAACAAAAAAGAAAACTATAGGTCTATATCCCTGATATAGTTGCAAAACTCCTCAACAAAATACCAGCAAAGTGAACCCAACAGCACAACAAAAGGTTAATTCAACACAATCAAGTGGGCATCATTCCTGGAATGCAACGATGGTTCAACATACGCAAATTAATAAACATGATTCACCACATAAATATAATTAAAAGCAAAGACTGTATGATCATTTTAATAGATACAGAAAAAGCATTTGATAAAATTCAGCATCTCTTCATGATAAAAACCTTCAAGAAACTAGACGTCAAAGGGACAAACCTCAAAATAATAAGAGTCAACTATGAGAAGTCCATCATCAACATCCTACTGAATGGGCAAAAGCTGGAAGCACTACTTTAAGAACTGAAACAAGGCAGCGATGTCCACTCTCACCACTTCTGTTTAACATAGTATTGAAAGCCCAAGCCAGAGCCATCAGGCAACAGAAAGAAATAAAAGTCATCCAAATACGAAAAGAGGAAGTCAAATTATTTCTCTTTCCTGCTCATATGATTCTATGCCTCTAGAATCCTAAATAATCCACCAAAAGACTCCTAGACCTGATAAACAATTTCAGCAAAGTCTCAGGATATGAAATAAACATGCAAAAGTCAGCAGCGTTCTATACAACAATAACATTCAAGCTGAGGATCAAATGAAGAGTGCAGTCCCATTTAAAATAGCCAGATAAAAAATAAAATACCTAGGAATACACCTAATCATGGAGGTAAAAGATCTCTATGAGGAGAATTACAAAAACTGTTAAAATAAATTATACATGACACAAACAAATAGAAAAGCATTCCATGCTCATGGATTGGAAGAATCAATATTGTCCAAAGCGATGTTCAAAGCAATCTACAAATTCACCTCTATTTCTGTCAAACTACCAACTTCATATTGCACATAATTAGAAAATACTAGTCTAAACTTCATATAGTATCAGAAAAAGATCCTGCATAGCCAAGGCAATGTAGAGCAAAAAGAACAGACCTAGAGAAATCACATTATTGCTTCACACTATATCTCAAGGCTACAGTAACCAAAACAGCATGGTACTGGCACAAAAATAGACACACAGACCAATGGAAGAGAATAGAGACCCTTGAAAGAAAGCCACACATCCACAACCAATCTTCAACAAAGTCGACAACAACAACAAAAAACCACAGGGAAAGAACACCCTATTCAATAAATGGTGCTGGGAAAATTGGCTAACCAATATGCGGAAGAATGAAACTGGACTGTTACCTCTCACCAATACAAAATTTAGCTCAAAATTAACTCAAAAATGTATTAAACACTCAAACATCGGGTGTCAAATTGTAATAATTATAAAAACTCAACATTAACTCAAAATGATTAAAAACTCAAATGTCAGATGCCAAATTATAAAATTTCTAGTAGAAATCCTGGGAAATTATTATAGGTATTGGTATAGGCAAAGAATTTAGGATGAAGACTCCAAAAGCAAATGCAACAAGTTTTTTAAATAGGCAAATGGGACTTAATTTAACCAAAGAGTTTCTGCACAGCCAAAGAAACTCTCCAAAAGAGCAAGCAGACAACCTACAGAATGAGAGAAAATATTCACAAACTATGCAGCCAACCAAAGACTAATATCCAGAATCTATAAGGAACTTAAGTGAATCAACAAGAAGAAAACAAACACCTCCATCAACAGGTGGGCAAAGGACATGAAGAGACATTTCTCAAAAGAAGACATAGAAGTGGCCAACAAACATATGAAAAAATGCTCAACATTACTCTCATCAGAGAAGTGCAAATTAAAACCACAATATGGTATCATCTTACACCAGTCAGAATGGTAACTGTGTTTATCAGAAACAGCCAAACTATTTTCCAGAATGGCTATACATTTTATGGTACATTTTACTGTACCATTTTACTAGCAATGTATTGTTACTAGCATCATATGAGAAATCCAGTAGTTCTACATTTTTTGTCAGCACTTGGCATTAGCAGTATGTTTTTGAAATAATTAGTCATTCTAATAAGTGTGTTTTGGTGTCTTATTATAACCTTAAGTCTCACTAAAGGCTAGTGATGTTCAACATCTTTTTGTGGCATGTCTGTCATTCCTATATCCTGTGTGGAAAAATGTTCAAACTTTTGCCCTTTTTGTAATCAAACTGTTTTTTTTCCCTTACTGTTGAGTTAAAAAAATTATTTATATATTCTGGATTCAAGTCTTTTGTCAAATATGTAATTTGAAAATAATTTATCTAAATGTATGCCTTGTCTTTTTGTCATTTTAACAGGGTGTTTGCAAAGCAAAGTATTTACATTTTGATGAAGTTTAACTTGGTGATATTTTTAATAGATCATGCTTTTGGTGACATGTATGATAACTCATTATCTAATTTTTAAAATAGATTAAAACTAGTGAGAAATACATTTTAAAACAAAAATTATAAATAATGAAAAGTTTTTTGAGAGAAGAATGAACATATATGAATGTATATTTGTATACTATATAAATACATATAATGATGATGTATACATATAAATATACATACCTGTGTATACATAGCCACAAAATAAATTTGCTAAATAAATCATAAGCAAAGGAAAATATTCAATACCCACTGAAATTTAGACAATTGCCAGACTATATGCCTAGCTTTATAATAATAAATTTAGAAGCTTGAGGGCAATGAATGCTGTTTGTCTGTTTGTTTTGAGATGGAGTCTTGCTCTGTTGTCCAGGCTGGAGGGCAGTGGTGCGATCACGGCTCACTGCAATCTCTGCCTCTCGGGTTCAAGTGATTCTCCTGCCTCAGCCTCCTGAGTAGCTGGGATTACAGGCACGCACCACCATGCCCAGCTAATTTTTGTATTTTTAGTAGAGATGGCATTTCATCATGTTGGTCAGGCTGGTCTCGAAATCCTGACCTCATGATCCGCCCGCCTTAGCCTCCCAAAGTGCTAGGATTACAGGCATGAGCCACCTCGCCCGGCCCAATAAATGGTTTTCTAAAAAAATTTAAACTATTAAATGTAAAATCTAAACAATACAATAATCATGTGGAAAATGTAGTAATTAAACATATTCCTGCTGAAATGGAAAACAATACATGGGTCATTATGAATATTTCAAAAAACTCATAAATTTCTGCATTTTGTATAATTTTAAAATAAAAAATGAGAACAAAATTGTCTAGTTAACTAAAAATAATGCAGTTATGATTGAAACCAAATCATGACAAAGTAGCAAAATGGAGACATAAATGACTAAACAATTTATACTTAACAAAATGTGAAATGAAGTCAGAAAATGTCAATTACAGTGATCGAATGAAGTTAATATTAAAAATGAAAAAAATCTAAATTTCCAGAAATCTACTAAGAGATTTACTAATTTGATTAATATATCAAATAAAAAAAATCTAGAAAGTTACAATTATCTCAAAATATTCCATAAAGGTATATAATACAATTCAAAAATACATCTATGGCATATAATAGTTTTAATAGTATTATGATAATATTTATTAAAATTATATATGAGGAATATATGCTATATATATGTATATATACCACACACTGGTAACTAGCATCATGATTAATATTAAAACATGAGGCAGTTTCTCATTTAAATGAGAAACAAAGAAAGGACATTTGCAATAATCACTATTATTTATAATTATTCTGAAAATATAAAAGATATAAATACTGGAAGTAGAAAGAAAGTAATTATTGTTATTTGCAAATTATGTGATTTTATATTCAAGAAGTTTTAAGAAAAGCAACAACAATTAGAATTAGTGAAAGAATTAAGTAATGGGGCCAATCACACAATATTCAAATATAGTTTTCTGATATAATAATAACTCTTCAGATATATAATACAGAAAATGATTACATTCACAATAACAAAACTAAATATTAATATTTCATGAATATAAAATATTAAAGAACATATATCAGAATAAATGGACACATATTGCATAAAAGATATACAACTCTATATAAAAACTTGGAAGAAGACAACTAATTGTAGAACAGTGTCTTATATGGCTAAATAACATACTATTGGAAAAAAGACAATTTTCCTCAAATTAACCAATACATTCAATTTACATGGAAAATCCCAATATGATTTCGTTTTTATTTCTTTTTAAGAACTGATAAAAATAATTTTACCTGAGAAGGTAAATAGGCAAAAGTGGCTAGAAAAAACCAACAATAAAGGAAGCATAATGAATTTGGTTTACCTAATATTAAAATATATTGAGTGAATCACAGAAAACGGTAGAACCTCCCTTCATAAAGAAGACAATAACAATTATAAATATATATTCACCTAACAATGGAGTCCCCCCAAAAATGAAGCAAACACTGACAGAATTGAAGGCAGAAATATTCAAACAACACCGTAAACCAACTACACCTAACAAACATGAAAAACACTCTCCCCAATAACTGCAGAACATACTTATTCTCAAGGGCACGTGTAATATTCTCTAGGATAGACACTATATTAGGACATAAAACAAGTCTTAATAAATTTAAAAATACTATAATCATAAAAAGTTTTATTCTCCAAGAACAATGGAATGAAGCTAAAAATCAGGAAGAGAAGGAAGCATAGATAATTTGCAAATATGTAGAAATTAAACAACATACTCTTAAACAATCAGTGGGTTGAAAAAGAAATTATTAGGAATATTAGAAAAATAGTTTGAGACAATGAAAACAAAAATACAACGAACCATTGGATGTAGTAAAAGCTGTGCTAAGAGAGAAATTTATAGCTGTAAACACTTACATTAAAAAATATAGTTCTCAGATAAACAACCTAACTTCAAACTTTAAGATATTAGAAAATGTAATCAAACCTAAAACTAGCAGAAGGAAAAAAATAACAAAGATTAGAGCAAAGATAAATAAGATAGAGAACAGGAAAACAATAGAGAAAATTAACAAAAATAAAAATTGTCTTTTTGAAACGTTAACAAAATTGTCAAACTTTTAGCTAGACTGACAAAGAAAAAAGAGAAAAGACTCAAATTAATAAACTCAGAAGTGGAAGTGGGGATATCACTACCAATATTTCAGAAATTAAAAGAATTATAAGAGAATACTATGAATAAGTGTACACCAACAGGTTAGGTAGTCTAGATAAATGGAACATAATTCTAGAAATGCATATACAAAAATCAATTCAAGATGGATTAAAGACTTAAACGTTAGACCTAAAACCATAAAAACCCTAGAAGAAAACCTAGGCATTACCATTCAGGACATGGGCACGGGCAAGGACTTCACGTCTAAAACATCAAAAGCAATGGCAACAAAAGCCAAAATTGACAAATGGGATCTAATTAAACTCAAGAGCTTCTGCACAGCAAAAGAAACTACCAGCAGAGTGAACAGGCAACCCACAAAATGGGAGAAAATTTTCGCAACCTACTCATCTGACAAAGGGCTAATATCCAGTATCTACAATGAACTCAAACAAATTTACAAGGAAAAAACAAACAACCCCATCAAAAAGTGGGCAAAGGACATGAACAGACACTTCTCAAAGAAGACATTTTTGCAGCCAAAAAACACATGAAAAAATGCTCACCATCACTGGCCATCAGAGAAATGCAAATCAAAACCACAATGAGATACCATCTCACACCAGTTAGAATGGCAATCATTAAAAAGTCAGGAAACAACAGGTGCTGGAGAGGATGTGGAGAAATAGGACCACTTTTACACTGTTGGTGGGACTGTAAACTAGTTCAACCATTGTGGAAGTCAGTGTGGCGATTCCTCAGGGATCTACAACTAGAAACACCATTTGACCCAGCCATCCCATTACTGGGTATATACCCAAAGGACTATAAATCATGCTGCTATAAAGACACATGCACACGTATGTTCATTGCAACACTATTCACAATAGCAAAGACTTGGAACCAACCCAAATGTCCAACAATGATAGACTGGATTAAGAAAATGTGGCACCTATACACCATGGAATACTATGCAGCCATAAAAAATGATGAGTTCATGTCCTTTGTAGGGACATGGATGAAATTGGAAATCATCATTCTCAGTAAACTATCGCAAGATCAAAAAACTAAACACCGCATATTCTCACCATGGGTGGCAATTGAACAATGAGAACACATGGACACAGGAAGGGGAACATCACACTCTGGGGACTGTTGTGGGGTGAGGGGAGGGGGTAGGGATAGCATTGGGAGATATACCTAATGCTAGATGAGGAGTTAGTGGGTGCAGTGCACCAGCATGTCACATGTATACATATGTAACTAACCTGCACATTGTGCACATGTACCCTAAAACTTAAAGTATAATAATAATAAAAAGAAATGCATAAACTACCAGCAAAAAATTTTAAAAACATATAAATTGAACTTCATAAAAATTAAAATTTTTATGCAGTAAAGGACATTATAAATATAGTGAAAAGCAAATCTACAGAACAGAAAAAATATTTCCATATTATATATCTGACTTAGTTTAGTATTCAGACAATATACATAACTGTTACAGCTCAATGACAAAAAAAACCTAAAACAATTAAAAAATGGGCAATGGACTTGAATAGACATTTCTCTAAAGAAAATATGCAAATTACCCACAGTGATCCTCAGGAAAAGATATTTAACCTAATTAGTCGTTAAGAAAATGAAAACGAAAATCATTTTCATTTCACACCCACTAGTAATCAATAATAATAATAATGGAAAATAGCAAGTGTTGGCAGGAATATGGATAAATGAAAACCATTGTACATTACTGGTAGGAATGTATAATGGTACAATTGTTGTAGAAAATGTGGTGATTTCTCAAAAAGTTAAGCATAGAACTGCCATATATTCCAGAAATTTCCTCCTAACTCTATACCCAAGAGAAATGAAACACATGCCCACATAGAAATTAGAACATTAATATGAATGAGTATAGCAGCATTATTCATAATAGCCAAATTTACAAACAACCCAAGTGTCCATTAATGCATGAATGGATTAACAAATTATGGTATATACACAAAATAAATATTATTCAGCCATAAAAATAAATTAAGTACTTGCACATGCTACAACTTGTCTAAACTTCAAAAACATTATGCCAAGTGAAAGTTTAAAGCCAGACACAAAATGTAACATATTGTCCAATTTCTTTTAAATGAAACCCTGGGATAAGCAACCCATAATTACAGAAAGCAGACAGAGGTTGCCAGGGCTGGGGAGAGGGACTGGATGGAGTCTGATTTCAAAATAAGATTATAAATTATTTGGTGTTGAGATCAGTGGCATGTTCCAATTTTGTATTTCTCCCCCAGTTATGAGTGCCATAACTGAATTAAGGGTAAGACCTCATAAACTTCCTGCACTGAATTGAACTAAGGCCAAATTGGGCCATAGGAACTTTGTACAAAGCTACCTTCAGACTTTAACTTATATCTTATATAAACTTTAATATACCTTTGGGGATTATATTACTTAATTACTATGTTAAGTTTAAATATACAGCTTAAAACTGCTGATTCCCTTCATTTCTAACTTAAGTCAGTAAAACAAGCATATAAGGAGTGCCTGCTTTGTAGTTGGCAAGGCACCTAGGGGCTGGGAAGATGAGGGAACAGAGGCTGAGACTGCAACCAAGCTTAATGCATGGGAAGCACTTTCATCTCTTTGCACTAAAGGCCCTGTTCTACCTGCTTCTCTCACTTTCTTACTAATTACTTCTGAAAGCACCATCTCGATAAATTATGTGTGCATGAATCCTCATTTCAGGCTCTGCTTCTAGTTATGCTGTTTCAAGTTCCTGTACACATATGTATCCCTAAACTTCTTTGCTTTCCTTTGTGTAACTAGGAGCTTTGCAGGGGCACTCACTGAACAGGTGCACTGTTCTCTGAGGAGCACAGCTGGGGATGTGTGAGGGATGAAGGGAGAGATTGCTTCCTGTAGCTGCTGTTGACACAGGAGGAGAGGTTATAGAGATATGGCAAATGAAGTCAAGGCTCAGAAAGCTTAATGGTCTTTTTCTGCATTGTAACTGTGGTAAATGGTGGGGATGAGATTAAAATGAATAGATGTCTAAATGCTCATTCCTAGCCTCATTCTACTGTACTATACTGCACCTCACTGCACGTTTCAATTACACCTAATTAGAACTGACCTAGGGAATAGTGTAGGCTTAAAACCAGCCCCCAGCAGGTGTTTCCTTTAGTACAGGGCTCTGACAAAACATGTGATGATTCTCTTTGCTCTGGTGCTCATAAATCCCCGATTTCTCTCTTGCCTCTCCTCCAAAATTCACACCCCAAGTCTTCACATCATCCATGTAAATAATTGAGCAATTTCAGATGAATTTCCTTTAAAATATTGAAATAAAATTTACACCCAGATTCCAAGTAAACAATATGCGCAGAGTTCAGTTCAGGAACCTCTTCTCCTTGTGTCAACAGCAACTACAGGAAGCAACTTTTGCCTTTATTCCTCACACATCCCCAGCTGTTCTCCACAGAGAACAATGCACCTGTTCAATGAGTGCCCTTGCAATGCTCCTAGTTACACAAGAAGAATCCTGGCACAAAAGGCTGTCTATGGTTCATTCTAGAATATGGGAGGAGATTATTTGTCTTGTCTATGGTTCATTCTAGAATATGGGAGATTATTTGTCTTGTCTATGGTTCATTCCAGAATATGGGAAGAGTTTGGCTCTTTTGCCAGACACTTAACAGTGATCCTCAGCTCTAGACACAAATTCCAGCATGGCAGCCGTTCACAAGTTGCAAGGGTAAAGCCAGGAAGAGCCATGCCTACCTTGGCTGTCCCCTGAACAAAGACTGAATATAATGATATGAATTGACTGTGCTCACCACAGTAAAATTCTCTTTTTCTCATTTGAAAATACTCCTTCTGTCAAGTAAAATGACATTCACTTTCAGAGTAGTGCCCCTGAAAGAATTCATAAAGGGAAAATGTTGAGTTAAAGGTGGACCATTGTCAACAAGGTGTGCTTTCTCTTCATTCAAATGAGGAAGACAAGAAACAAATCAGCTATATTCTGCTTCCTCCAGAGCAGCCCAAATGCAGCTATAGCTTGGATTAGAAACGTTTCTTTTAAAACGAGGGGCAAAAAGATGCATTTCCACTTTTTGTCATCTAAAGCTCACAGATGACTATTTTTTTTTTTTTACTATTGACTTAAGTCTCACTTGCTTTTATTTGTCAAGGGTCTTAGGAGTAGTGTATCACAGACCCACCAAGCCTGCTCCTACCTCATGGGATTTGGAACAGCTGTTCCTTCTGACTGAAATGCTCTTCCCTTCGGGCTCATTTCTGCAGAGTTAATTTTCTTACCCCCTTCAAGCCTGTGCTCAAATTTCATTTGCTCAATGAAGCCTACCCTTTTCCTATTGAATTCTGCCTCTCTGCTTCCCTCTGGCATTTAATTACTCTTCATCAGGCTCTACTGTGCACCTTCCTTGGCATTCATTATTTTCTAATATGCCATATAGATTATTTATTTTGCTTATTGTTGATTATCCGTTTCTCCTACACTAGCATGTAAGCTCCTAAAAGACAAGCTGTTCATGTTATTCCTTGTAGTGCATGCCAGTATGTGCTGTTCTGACATCCCCATTGCCTCCCCCTACATCTTTATGACTAAAGCACTCATTCCCCAGCTCCTGGGAATGATGGAAGCTGACAGCTCAAGAGATTCTCTCTCTTGGATCTGCTCTCTGCATAAGAGCTTCATTTTTCCCAATGTCATGCTCTTCCCCAGAAACATTCTATGTCCAGTGACTTGTGGATTCAAAGGTACAAAGGCTCAAATTTGTTACCTCCATTCGGGACAACTCTGAAGGGCATCCAGGTTCCACAGCTCTGTGGTAGGTGAGCTGAGGCCTCTGCTGCAACTGCTCCATGGGCCCGCTTCTCTCTTCTCAGTCTTATTTCCCTTCCTTCCACAGGTGTCAATCCTAACAACATGACCTCCAAACTTCCTGCTCCTCTAACATTTATTTCGGTCTATTTTCTGAACACCTGCAAGAGTATCAGGCAGGACATAGTTGCCTAAGAAATACTGAATGCATGAATGAATGTAAATGCAAAAACAACCTCTTCATACAAAACCTCAGTGTTGATAACCAACATGTCTGTGCATACCTTCTTACAGGTCAGATTGGAATTTTCTGGTGAGACATTTTTCCATTTTTTTTTCACTCAACAATATTTATTAAGCATCTTATGCATCTGGTGAAGATATACCAGTGAATTAAAGGGACAAAATCTCTTCCCCATGAATCTAAGATTCTCACAGTGGAGTCAGAAAATATGCTAATAAAAACTGTATATAATAGGATATCGGTCAGTGACAAGAGCCCTGAGGATGTCATAGAATGATGTTGTGGGAATGACAGTGATATTTGAAACTGGGCAGTCAGGTAGGCCCCTCTGATGAGGTGAGATCAGCTAAGACAAAAATAAAAGGAAGGAGCGAGTTACACATATGTCTGGGTTAAGAATGGTCCATGATGAAACACTCTAACAGCATGTGAAAAGGCCCTGGAGAAGAAAGGTGCTTGGTGTTTTGAGAAAAAAGCAAGGGGGCTGGAATGGAGTGAGCAAAGTGGGGAATAATAGCCAGAGAATATGTGGTGCATTTGGAGCAACAGCCAGTTGCCAGACCAGGCAGGGCCTGTTGAGAAGTTGGCATTTTATTGGGTGATGGGATGATTTTGAAAGGTTTTGAGCAAGAAGGGGGCATGAGCAGACTTCTATTTTTAAAGGAATCCCATCCTCTAACTGCCTGTGGCAGTTTGGGACATGTATCAACATCCTGCAAAATTTCTCCATGGCATATACTGTAGTTGCTCAGTGGAAACTCACAGGACAATGTCCCTTGATGCCACTATTCAGTACTTTTGACTATCACAGAGACCCTAAATACATTGAATTCTGAGTCACTTCTGGATCAACCAACACATTTCCAGAGCCTACCATGTGTCAGGGACAGGCCTTATTTGATCCTCATAATCTTTAGAAGTTGACATTGTGATCTCCTTTTGCAGATGAGAACACTGAGATGCACAGAAGCTGAAGGACTTACCCAAGTTTGCACAGCTAGCGAGTGACACAGATAGTATTGAACTCACATCCTCATTATGTAGCATATATATGTATATAAATATATATAAAATATATATATATTATATATATATATTTTTTAGACGGAGTCACTCTCTGTCACCCAGGCTGGAGTGCAGTGGTGTGATCTCAGCTCACTGCAGCCTCCGCCTCCCAGGTTCAAGTGATTCTCCTGCCTCAGTCTCCTGAGTAGCTGGGATTACAGGTGCACACCACGACACCCGGCTGATTTTTGAGTTTTTACTAGATACTGGGTTTCACTGTGTCAGCCAGGCTGGTCTCGAACTCCTGACCTCAAATGATCCACCTGCCTCGGCCTCCCAAAGTGCTGGGATTACAGGGGTGAGCCACCGTGCCCACCCATATCTTATACTTTTTATACAAAACCTGCCACATATATTTGCTCTCCTCTTTTATAGTCTGAGAAGGAGTAGAAGGTAGTAAGAGAAATGACCATTCATTGTTCACAGTGTTAAGAAACTTAGACACAGCATTTGAATTGGCCCCCAAACAACTTTGTGAGTAGGTATTATGGTCCCCATTTTATAGATGAAGACATTGCGATATAAAACCATGTATTCAATGTGTGTTATATTGACTGGCATCATCAGTACCACCTGGGAGCTTGTTAAAAATGAAGAATCTGGAGTCTAACCAATAAAACAGAAATAATAACAGCTTCTTTATACATTAGTGCTTCCACTTTTCATTGTATCACTGGACAAGAAATTTATGTTCTCTTTACAAATTCAGATTACAATTCAGGTCTACTAACATTTTATTAGCCAAAGCAGGTCACCCAGCCAAGCCCAGCATCAATGCCTGGATACATTCTTTGCCCACAGAAAAAGAGAAAGTAGAGAATAGTTGCTAAATGCTAAAAACAAACTGTCACAGAGGTTATTAATGAATTGTGGCCATTTTCTTAAGCTTTCTTAATGCATACTAAAGGTCTTTGCAACTGTTTTGAGGGTATTCTACCAAATTTAACTGTTTATCAAAGGATCATTTTTTAAACATGTACAATGCCATCTCTGGAAGAAATTCTGACAAGTACAATTTTCTATATCTTCTATCCCCAGACAGGCCTTAGCATAAAGTGGCACCTCAGACAGCTGCCTGGATGGACCACCCATTAATCCGGCCCTGTTCCTATTCTAAGGGAAGATTAAAGGCTCTTGGCCAATAGATTAATGATTGTGCATTAAATCAGTTGGACTCCTAACCACCCTTTTTTCTATGAGGTGTGTTAACTTTTAGAAAATGTATTGAACTATAAACTATCCCCAGTCAAGAAACTGAATATTACCAGAATAATGAAAGCCCTCCTCTAAGTCTCTCTTCCTGTCACTATGCTCCAAAACCGGTATCACTATCTTTACTCTGGTTAACACACATTGGTTTTGCCTTTTTCTGTGCTTTAGATAAAAGGAGTCACAGGCTATGTGCTCTTGTCTTACTTCTTTCACTTAACATGCTTGTGAAATTCATCTATATTTTTGCATGTAGTTGTAGATCGTTACTTCTCATTCCATATAACATTCATTTATCTATATATTTTATATAAGTATGGACAATTTGGAAACTTCTACTAATTTTTAGCCACTAGGACCAGTGCTGCTATGAATATTCTACTATATCTTTTGTTGAACTTATGGACACATTTCCTCTGGGTATACACTTATAAGTAGAATTGCTGGGTGTAGGATTTGTGTATGTTGAGCATTAGTAGATTCTTCCAGCTTGTTTTAAAAGTCTATTTTTAAGTTTAATAAGAGGGTGATGTAGACTTAGTCATAGGTACATGTGGCTACACTTTGCTTATAACTTTGTGATTTTCCACTTTAAACTTAACAAATCTATTTATCTCTGGGCCTAAGCTATTCTTTAGTTGCAAATTAGGCAGTTTTGAAAGCTGCTCTAACTTCTTCAGCTCCCTGGGGCTCTATCCAGTGTATTACTCACAGATTGGTAAGAGATGAAGGTCCTTGCTACCAACATTATCATGCACAGAGAAACTTCCTAACACACAATCACCCAGTATTCCTCTAAGAATTGATAATGTGTCTGGAAAATTACTATTCTTTTAGGGTCCCAATGATGCTGCAGAGAGGGCCAAGCCTTGTTCAAGAGCTCTGCTAATGAGATGAGGCTCTGCCAGGGGAAGAGAGGTACTGCCTCCTTCCTGATGTTTGCATACTCCTCTTTGTCAAGGGAGATAGTCTTAGGCATTAGGATATGGAGGAAAACAGAGCCTTTGGAGGAAGGAGTTAGATAAAGAGAAAGACACACTACTTCTGTCTAAAACCCCTATTTCACCATTCCTTATGGCTCCAAGATAAAGTACATGCCAACGCTGAGAGTCAAAGTTTTTTTTTTTCTCAATGTCTCTCATCAGTTACAAACTATACATTTATCCAAGAGAATCTAGAATAGAGAGAGAACAAATATTGAGTTGGGGGTCACCCTTCAAAGGGCATTATCTGTCAGATGAAGGTTACCAATGGAAATAAAAGACAAGATACACAGAGGAAAACGTCATCACAGCACCTTATATCAGGTTGAGTTTTTATGCTCTTTTCTTGCCGTCTGTTTTTGTTTCTATGTAAGTACAAAAGCCATTTAGAGAGCTTCCTTCACAGAGTGTCCACTATGGTAGAGAAGACGTAGAGAATATGCAGGAAACAGGATGTAAATAGAATACAAATTATGAAGCAGAGTGATTCATAAGAATATAAGAAAGCAAGTGTTTTTGACCTTGCAAATTATTTCAACAGAGAGGTAGCATATTTGGCATTGAAATAGCCCAAAGGCATAGCTATATCTTAAAGTATATGTTTAAAAACATGTGTTTAAATAAACATTTAAGTGCGCCGTTTAATACACCTATTTTATTATGTATGGAAAACAGACTCTCTAGGAGTAGTGGTCAGTGCTCCAGAAGGAATTAGTTGCACACTCAGGTCGGGAAATTAAGGACAGTTAAAGGAACATGTTTACAAGGTTGTGGGCATGATTAAGAGAAACAAACAAGGAATGTGAAGCCTCTGGAGCTAGCAATAGTGAGGGGCTGTTTATCACTCCTAGGATGGAATGGGCTAGGGGAGGAAATAACAACCAGCACCCAGGAGCTGCGGCTGGAGGTAAAGAATTTCAGCCAACTTGCAGTAACCTGGCACAGGGGGAGCCAAATTGCACTTTCCTCCCTCCCTCCAATCTCCCATTGGATGGATCCACCTGAAAGCCGGGAGGCATGGGGCCCACTGATCCGGCCAATGAAGATCTTCCTTGACCTCAGGTGAAAAACAGAGAGATTGGCAAGAGGAGATCCATCCTATGAATAGTCACATTTCTCAAGAAATGAAACAAAGTTCTTCATGTAGATCATGTTTTTTTAAAAAGCATATCTATTTTACTGTTATTATTTAATGTTCATTAAGCACTTCTGGCTCATTAGGCATTCATTAATTAGGATCTAATTCTGCATGCTCCTTTTCCCAGCTATAAAAATCAGCAGGCTTTTTTTTTTCAGCTGCTTTTATCTGACTAAAATAATGGGTTCTTTTTTCAACAAATGGTAGAGGGTTATATAAAAACTCTGAAAAAATACCAACAATCACCTTCAAAAGGTGAACACAAAATTTACGGAAGAATCTATAATTATATTAGGATTTTACAGGGAGAATATTATCTCCCTTCCTAAAGCACCTTCCTAAAGGAGGAGGTATCTCAATGTGCAAAGTGAACCTAATTTCTTATTAAATATAATTTTAAGGGGGAAAGCTGGTGCATAAAAACTCATAAAAAAGAGCAACCCAAACTGGAAACTGGCAATTGTTTAAGGCTCTTTTACAATTATTTAATCTGTGTGTCTTTCCTGACTCTGGGCATTCTGCTCCTTTTGCATGTTTGTAAGCTGAGATGCGTGGGAAATAATAAAATATTATGCACAGCCCACACCCCACATAGAAAGCTTGCTGTTTCTCTGTGGGAAGTTTTAACTTAGGTCAGCTTCACCTAAGAATTATTTTTCTTTCTTTCTTTGAAGAAGGCAGATTCCTGGTCCTGCCACTCAAATTTTCAAAGTGAAAATATTTGGTCTGATTTTCCAATGTATTTCCTTGATGTCAATCAAGTGTCTGAAACATTAGTGATTGTTTTTACCTTGTACAGTGAAGTGAGGTAGCATTTTAATTAGGGAAGAAAAAAACTGACTTATGCTCAAAAGTTCAAAGCTTTTGTGACAGAACTCAGAGATTGAGGCCAGGAAGTCATGATTTGTGAATCAATGATCAGATCATCTGAGCCCTTTGTAGAGAAGTAAAAACTGGCTTCCCCCTATCCTTCTAGGTTTTTTGGTTGGGCTACAAATTAAATTGACATAAGGCAGATTCACAGGAGAAAAAAGAAAATTACATATACAGGCACTGGAGTCCCCAAAAATATGAGACTCAAAGATTGGTCAGATGATTGAAGCTTATATAGATTCCTGAGCTATAGAAAAAAAGTAGGGCTTAGGGCTTCTTGAGGGTGATACCTACACAAGTTAAGAGAGGATGACAAGAAAAAATATATGATGAGTAGAAGTGGTCTTGTTACACAGATACAATTTCTGAGGTAATAAAAGTTGTTTGGGAGAGGAGGCGGCTCAGGAGAAACGAGGCTGCAGTGGTGGTAGTAGGAAGATGTTGGGCAAGGTCCAGCAGCAGGAGCAAACTATCGCCAAGGACCTGGTCGTGACCAAGTATAAGATGTGTGGGGGGACCACATCGCCAACCGGGTACTTCGGTCGTTGGTGGAAGCATCTAGCTCAGGTGTGTCGGTACTGAGCCTGTGCGAGAAAGGAGATGCCATGATTATGGAAGAAACAGGGAAAATCTTCAAGAAAGAAAAGGAAATGAAGAAACGTATTGCTTTTCCCACCAGCATTTCAGTAAATAACTGTGGATGTCACTTCTCCCCTTTGAAGAGAGGCCAGGATTATATTCTCAAGGAAGGTGACTTGGTAAAAATTGACCTTGGGGTCCATGTGGATGGCTTCATCGCTAATGTAACTCATACTTTTGTGGTTGATGTAGCTCAGGGGACCCAAGTAACAGGGAGGAAAGGAGATGTTATTAAGGCAGCTCAACTTTGTGTTGAAGCTGCCTTATGCCTGGTCAAACCTGGAAATCAGAACATACAAGTGAGAGAAGCCTGGAGCAAAGTTGCCCTCTCATTTAACTGCATGCCAATAGAAGGTATGCTGTCACACCAGTTGAAGCAGCATGTCATCGATGGTGAAAAAAACATTATCCAGAATCCTACAGACCAGCAGAAGAAGGACCATGAAAAAGCTGAATTTGAGGTACATGAAGTATATGCTGCGGATGTTCTCGTCAGCTCAGGAGAGGGCAAGGCCAAGGATGCAGGACAGAGAACCACTATTTAGAAACGAGACTCCTCTAAACAGTATGGACTGAAGAGGAAAACTTCACGTGCCTTCTTCAGTGAGGTGGAAAGGCATTTTGATGCCATGCCGTTTACTTTAAGAGCATTTGAAGATGAGAAGAAGGCTCCGATGGATGTGGTGGAGTGCACCAAACATAGACTGCTGCAACCGTTTAATGTTCTCTATGAGAAGGAGGGCGAATTTGTTGCCCAGTTTAAATTTACAATTCTGCTCATGCCCAATGGCCCCATGCAGAAAACCAGTGGTCCCTTCAAGCCTGACCTCTACAGGTCTGAGATGGAGGTCCAGGATGCAGAGCTAAAGGCCCTCCTCTAGAGTTCTGCAAGTCGAGAAACCCAGAAAAAGAAAAGAAAAGAAAAGAAAAAAGGCCTCCAAGACTGCGGAGAATGCCACCAGTGGGGAAACATTAGAAGAAAGTGAAGCTGGGGACTGAGGTGGGTCCCATCTCCCCAGCTTGCTACTTCTGCTCCATCCCCTTCCCACCATACCCCAGACTTTGAGAAGTACAGTTCTTCTTCTCCACCTAGGACCCGCAGCAGAGCAGGGGTCTCCCTTTCTCCCCCATCCCAGTTCCCCAACCCACTCCCTTCCAACAACAACCAGCTCCAGCTGACTCTGGTCTTGGGAGGTGAGGCTTCCCAACCACAGAAGACTACTTTAAATGAAAAAAAGAAACCAAATAATAAAATCAGGAGTCAAAAAAAAAAGTTGTCTGGGAGCAGCCCTCAGATAATTGTTAATAGTCTGTCTGGGCATGAGTCAACCTCCAGTCTCCTGTCTTGTAATTTCAGTTCATCTTCCCTGGTTGATAAGATTACAGGGGAAGGGATTCATGACAATTGAGTCTCTTTTGAAGAATGTCTTCCTTAGGCAGATAAAGGAAGTTCAGTAAAGCCCTTCTTTTGCATTTGCTGTTCCCCAAATGCACTTGATATGTTGCTGTTCCTCAAATGCCCATTGGTATGTTGAAATAATCAGCATACCAAAGCAATAGATGTTGGGGTGGCTAAACTTCCTCACAGTTTTGGAGTTCCACTGGTTAAAAAAAGCTAGTTCTGGCTGGGTGCGATGGCTCATGCCTGTAATCTCAACACTTTGGGAGGTCGGGGCAGGTGGAACACTTGGGAGTCAGGAGTTCAAGACCAGCCTGACCAACATGGTGAAACCCCATCTCTACTGAAATTACAAAAATTAGCTGGGCGTGGTGGTAGTTGCCTGTAATCCCAGCTACTCGGGAGGCTGAGGCAGGAGAATCACTTGAACCCAGGAGATGGAGGTTGCAGTGAGCCGAGATCGTGGTATTGCACTCCAGCCTGGGCGACAGAGAGAGACTGTGTCTCAAAAAAACAAAAACAAAAACAAAAACAAAAACAAAAACTAGCTCGAAGGAGCTTATAATACTGCTCACAGCTAAAGATAATACTGAAAGTGGTTGGGGATGGTGACTCATGCCTGTAATTCCAGCACTTTGGGAGGGTGAGGCAGGTGGATCACTTGATGTCAGGAGTTTGAGACCAGACTGACCAACATGGTGAAATGCCATCTTTACTAAAAATACAAAAATTAGCTGGGCATGGTGGCAGGTGCCTGGAGGCTGAGGCAGGAGAATTGCTTGAACCTGGGAGGTGGAGGCTGCAGTAAGCCAAGACAGCGCCACTGCACTCCAGTCTGAGTGACAAGAACAAGACTCCATTTATAAAAGAGAAAATACTAAAAGTTAACCCTGAAATTGTTAGTGACTTTGATGCACTGTTTCAGCTCTAGAAAAGTTTTTACCCCACAGAGACAATGGCTACAGAAAAAATAAATGCTGGGCTCAGTTACCTCAGGGGACCTGGCAGATGACCGTAGTTAAGAGAGGGAGATCAGATGTTTTATCCAGGGAATTGTATTGGAGAAAGAGGGGCTGAAAAATGGGATTGAAGTTTGTGTCCAGGTAGAAGCTCTTTCTCCTTTATGCTTTATGTCCAGAGCCTGCTTGGACCCCATGAAGCAGGCTAGAGGCTTGAGTGAGAACATCATTCCTGACTGAAGCCAGAGCAATATGCCGGGCCTCTCACATATATTTTTATCCTGGACACTTTTCCCCAATGATATGCCCTGGACTTTTCTTTCAAATTAAATTGCCCTCTTTTAGCCTTGACCAAAAGTGAGAATCTGGGCCCTTGACAGATATATTGCTATTAATTTTTTTTTGGAGATGTAGCCTAGCAAGGAGGGGCCTCATCTTCTGAGGAAACCTTAGCATTGATGAGTACTGACTGAGAGGATTGGCAAGGTTCACTCAGATGAACGAGATAGGGTGAGAAATCCACTCACAAGTGGATTTAACCCAGGCCTTCTGCAGTTATCGGGGCATGTGATATCAAACAATAGAATGAGCAATTTATGGGTGACTGAAGTATTAGCATTGTCAATATTATTTTCAGTTGTTATCATGGTTGTACAGTTCTTACTAGCTTCTTTAGACCAATGGTATTTAAACTTTAGTGTACACCATCATCGCTTGGAGAGCTAGTAATCCTGAAGATTCAAGAGCTCCACTTCCAGTGATTTGGTCTTGAGCAAAATCTGGGAATTTGCATTTTAACAAGCTCTTGGGCGATGCCATTGTGCTGGTTGTGAGCCACAGTTTGAGGAGCACTGAGGCACTCATCTGCTGACCACTGGTTGGGCCCGGCGGTCTGTTTTAAAAAGCATCCAGGTGATAACCAATTCTCACTAAAGTTTGAGAAGAGCTGTTTAAAACCACTGGTTCGCAGACTTAACTAAACATTGGACCCACATGAGCAGTTGCTTAAAGAATGCCAATGCCTGGGTCTCACTCGGCTGATTCTGATGAAATTGGAGTGGGAAGCAGCCTGACATGGGGATTATTTGAAGCTCCCAAGATCACTGTAATGGGCAGCCAAGGTTGAAAACCATTTGTAGACCATACCTTCATTCCTGCATTGCAAGACTACACGATCTGCAATTTGTACTTTCCAGTATGTCACTATGGTAGAAAAAGAGATGGGTAAAATTCTAGCATCTGAAAGGAAATAATCTTTGCCAGGCTTGCATGAATTTGATCCTAGCTTATCTTACATATTGTACAGACTGTGAGTAATGAAGGGCTCAATTTGAAAGAGCTGGGAGTGAGTCAGCCGGAAGAGGTAGAAATTTGGGCAAAAGAGCAAGTTCTATAAATCTGTAGAAGTGAAACCCATTTAGTTACCTCCAAAGGGCCAAATGTGCTGTTTAAAATGCTCCAATAGAGCATTGAATTTCACAGCTGTCTGTAGCTTTGAGGCCAAATTCTCATTCCCTAAAGTTAGAAAACAGAAGTAGGAGCAGTACCAAAAAGCCACACATACTACTGAGATATTAATTAAGCCCCAAAGACTTCAAGGACCCCTGTCTGGTCTTCCTAAATGCACTATTTTTTGCCAACGGATGCAAACAGATTTCTCTTGACCTTCCCCATACTTGACCCAGATCTCTAAGTCTAAATATTATCACCATAAGAAGATGTCAACATTTTAAGTTCCAGATAATAGATTCCTGGGAAATGAACCCACATATTTTTGTTATTTCCCCAAGATCTTGAAATTTTTTCTGTTTTTATTAAAGTCTCTTATAGGAATGTATTAAACAATAACAACAAAAAATCCCAACAAAACAAAACAAAAACTAAGCTAGATTCCTGTCCGGAAATCCAGCAAACGTTTTAGGCAGGAAATGTAGGTATTTTGCCAAGTCAAAGCAGTGGATGGAGAGTCAGAAACACAGGATCCTTGTCCTGGTTTTGTACCTTACTATGTGACCTTGAGAAGGTTGTGCAACTCCTCTGAGCCTCATTTTCACATGTGTCAAATGGCAATGATGTCTCAGGATCCCTTTCTACTTTAACATAAAAGAATCGTGGTAGGACATGGGAATCTGAAGAATTATTATTATTATTTGTTTTTTTGAGACGGAGTCTCGTTCTGTTGCCCAGGCTGGAGTGCAGTGGCCTGATCTCGGCTCACTGCAAGCTGCACCTCTCGGGTTCACGCCATTCTCCTGCCTCAGCCTCTTGAGTAGCTGGAACTACAGGCGCCCACCGCCACGCCCGGCTAATTTTTTGTATTTTTAGTAGAGAGGGGGTTTCACCTTGTTAGCCAGAATGGTCTCAATCTCCTGACCTCTTGATCAGCCCGCCTCGGCCTCCCAAAGTGCTGGGATTACAGGCGTGAGCCACCGTGCCCGGCCCTGAAGAATTCTTTATGATTGCAATGCATTGCAAATCTCTTGTGTTTGGTTGCAAACTTTCAACTGAAACACTGAGTGAATTGTTGCCTCTGCAATGACAAAATTTTGGTGGTGCCCCCTCCTCCTTTCTTTCCTGCTGTATAAGGGCTGTCCTTTTTCATTGATATGATTTAAGAGACTGGAAAAAGTAAACTATTCTTCAATTCATTCCTCTTAAAGTGATAGAAGACACGATTTTTCCTATGATCTGCTTTCAAATCACTCTCACCGGCTGTGAATCTCCTCTTGACGGCTGTGAATCTCCTCTTGACACAAAGTTATCAGCTGAAGATTTCTCCCTCAGTTGGTTTATACTTAGCCACCCTTTTGAAATGAGGTTCCATTTACTTTATTGGTTCTAGGAAAATGCAGGCATTTTAAGGCCCATTTTTGCTTCTTCCTGATTGGAATGGAAGGGGAGGAGGGGCAGGGACAGCTTCTCTAATTTGCTGGTGAACTGAAAAATACTCCAAAGACCCTTTTTCAGTCTTCCTGAGTAGATTTGCCTTTGCCAAAGGATACAAATACACTTATTTTAACTTTGCCAGCCATTGTGTCAATGTCTAATTTTGGACCATATTAACAAAAAAAAGTTGACAAAATTTAAGTCATTGAGGGAGACAGATCCAGCCAAAGCTGGCATTGGCATTAATGATGGACATTGATAGTGATTGGATTAATTTTAAGTGGTTGTATGGAAGGAGTTACTTATATTAACTAAGAAGGTGCCAAAGGGAAGAAAGCAAAGCAGGAAGAAGACAGAGTTCTGGAATTCAAGAAATCTTGGCTTGAGTTTTCATCATCAATTAACCAGCTATGAGTATTTGGAACAATTTCTCAATGGCTTAATGTGTAAAATGGACCTAGACCCGTGCTGTTTGAACTTTAATGTGCATTTGAATTTTCTGGGATGTGTTTAAAATGTAAACTCTAAAGTAGGTCTGTGGGTGAAGCCTGAGATCCTGCACTTGTAACATCTTTTAGGTGATTCAGATGCTACGAGTCAGAGGACCACACTCTGAGTAGTGTCCTCAGTGGATAATTCTTCTCATGCTACCTTCCAGATCTAGAAGTAAGCAGATAACTAAGTAAGTAAAGAAATAACACTCTTAAACTATTCTGAAGAGCTCTATTAGGAAAGATACTGAAGTCCAAATTTTATAAATTAGCATGTGAATGTGAAATGGTACCTAAGTGGATTCTTTACAATTTCACACCCACTGCAGGAAAAAATGTCAACCACAGAAGTAAGATCTGTTGGAGAAATAGGCCTCCTGGTTATTTTTCCAAATTATTGTTCTTTGCTTATTGGATACCTCCTAATCTCACTTTAAAATTACCCAGAAGAAACCTGTAACGAAGGTTTCTCATTTTGTCTATCAGCCAGAGAATTATGCTTTTTAAGTTTTTCTTAAATGTATGGTACATAAACAATTGGTTTTGTTACTAATAATTTTTTAAATTGTCAACCTAGTAATTTTCTTTTAAACTATTTGTATTGTAGCATAAATTACTAATTTTCATCCTAAGACTGAATCTACATTTCAGCTAGTTACACAGACTATTAATGTATATTTGCATGCTACTGATGAGAAACTCTCCATTGAAATCCTAACCAGAATTAATGTAGACAAATCAAAAAGCCTTCGTAGTTTGATGTGTGTGGGTTGGTTTGTACACCCCAAGACACACTTATAACATTAATAAACATGATGGTTAGAATATAAGTATGAATATAAATTTGGCTTTCTGCTATTTTATGTTTAACTGGTTAGTTTTTATGAGGTTTCAGAGCATTCAGGTTTTCACTCAGAAACGTAGTCACTTGTGACAGGATGCATCTTTCTGGCAGTAACAGCCAGAACAAGCTGCCCAGCTCTCCTTCTGAGGAAGTCATTTTCAGGTTTCATTCCCCAAAGACTAAACCAGCAGCAAAGTCAAAGATGTGGCTTCCTTGCAGTGTATGCTTCGGCCACTCTCACTTTGATGAAATAGAAAGAGGTGAACAGGGCAGCCGTGCTTCTATTTCACACAAGAAAACAGAAAAGTAGAGGAGAGAATTTTATTTACAGTGAACATCAATGCCTCCTGTTAAGTGTCAAAAAAGTTTCTTCATAGAATATGAATCTTTTGAAGATACTTAAAAAAACAACTTTACTTCTTCCTCACAGGATAAAATAGAAAACATTCTTAGGGTTTTTGTCATAAGTACTATATTATAATAATCCTACTAAAATTTAAGCTAACATGAATTTCTATATGGTACCATATTAATAATAAAAGCAGTGAATTTGGCATCAGAAAACATTGAATTGAAACCTGACTTTGAACCAGTCAGGGTTCTCTGGGACTCAATGTTTTTTACTTCAAAATATTGGTTTCGGTATTCACTAAGGTCCTACCAGCCCTGAAGTTCTTTGATCAGTTTTTCAATGATGTTTTAGTGTTCTAATGTTTATTTAAAAATTTCAAAATATGCTTACTGCTCTTCTTCACATATGTTGTTTTTCACATTTAACATTTTTCATAACTGGGCTATTCCCTTGATAAAAGTCCAGTATGTAGTTTCCTGTTTGATATTAGGGCCTCAGAACTGAATACAATTATTTTGGTCCAGGATACAGAAGAGGGCTCCAGGAGCGTAGACAGATGGGCC
The DNA here is from genome assembly GCF_000001405.40 of Homo sapiens. Lineage (NCBI taxonomy): Eukaryota > Metazoa > Chordata > Mammalia > Primates > Hominidae > Homo > Homo sapiens. The sequence continues at coordinate 12,387,751 of NC_000020.11, forward strand.
AAGGTAATGTGAGTGTGCTCTTTCTAGCTGGTATCTTGGTGAGTGAGTTTGTCTTGTTAGAAAGCTATGCTCTTGGGAGAGGAGTTTCAAACTGACCATGGATAATTGCTTTGTAAGAGCCATTTTCAGATGGTTAGCCATTGGCTCACAGAGGTGCTCAGTGAGAAAATGAGGTCAGTGGTATGTTGGGGCTGACTCAGCTCCTATAGCCCTGCAAGGTCAATCATGCGCCTCTACTTAACCCCATATTCAGTGACTTCGTATCTGTGGCTTGGAATTGATTACAACGGGTATATTTACATCTTGGAACTAGCAAATGTTACAAATCAGGATCCTTATTGTAGTCAGTTGTTAACAATTTACAAATACTACAACTGGGTATCTCACAACCAACACACACATTCAGAATTTTGAAGTGTCTTTTCATCAAGGCAAAGAATGGGACTAGAACTTCCCTCTCCCAAATGTCCATCTTTTATGATTTATTCCCCAATCTAGGATGTCTACACAATTAATTTTTTTAAGTGTGTAAAGTGTACTATTTTTATAATTATATATTTATATTTTATAATTATTAAAGGATTACACATTTGTAATACATTAAAATGAATTATAAATGGAAGAGACAAAATAATCATCCATATTTACATAATCCAAATTATTACTATTAGTAATATTATTAGTAGTATATTACTATCAGTAAAATTTTTCCTATAAGCGATCCTGTGAAAATTGAATACAGGTAATTTGCTTAACCTATGACTCTTCCACGACTTAGGTTTCTTCCCAATTTGCTATTATAAATAATACTGTGGTGAGCAACTTGATACAACTTAAATAGCATAGAAAGGCTGTGAAGAGGAAATATAAAATGTTTGTTTGAGACTTGAACCTCTTGAATTGTTGACAAAGTAGGGGAGAAGATGGCATGAACAGTTTAATCATGGCCGAGAAAAATTCAGCTGTCCACAGAGCAGTTTGGAGAACCTGGTGATTTATTGAAGTCCTCTAAATACCAACTGAATGGTGTATGTGGGTGTGTTGCGATGTTCTGCCAGGTGGTTTTGAAAAGAGCTTTCCAAGGTTTAAATCAACCCTATCATCAGAATCAGAGCAAATGCCAGCTATTTTTTTCATACCCTAATTCTGGACCTGATTGGGAACACCTGTTAGGAATATTGTTCATTTGATGCATATTGAGTCAAGCAACATGGTCACAAAGAGTTTGGTAACAGCAAAGGTAGAGCCTTGTGTTGGTGGGTGAGGCAAAAACTTTCTGTGAAGCCTTGTTTGCCAAATCCACCTCCAGATTCCTGGGCCAGCGTGTTCCTGAACCTACCGCCGAGGCAGCACAGCTATCTGGTACATTGTGTTCCCTGATAGCTGTGCTTTGAATGGATTTGTGTGCATCTCCACCTGCTCTGTTCACCCAAGTAAAGGTTCTGTTGCTGAATGCACTGGTTCTGAATTTATTAAATTCTTCATTTAATTTGACTTACCACACATTTAATGTGCAGGTGTCCACTGCAAGGTAGGCTTCTGTGGTTGTTTAGAAAGTTGAGCAGACACTGCCCACATTTTTGAGACTGGCAGTCTAACAGAGGGCGATAAGAGGTATTAAAATGCCCTGAGTAGAAGGTACATGGGATGGAGGCTATCATAAGAATTACCACTATGATACGAGAACAGAGGGAAAAAAGAGAGAAATCTGAGAGAGGAGATGTAAAACAATGCCTTCATCAGAGTAGTGGCATGGGTAATTTTTCAACTTGTGAACACAGAATAAAGAAATGCTAGGGACAGTGAGTTTCATGAACAAACAGGAAGCTAATAACAATTGCTCATTCCTAAGATCTATTTTTTACTCACAACACTTCTGACACCAAATGTGTGGGTTTTCCACACCAAGCAATTCTCTTGCAGATACCAACTGTTTCCTACACTTTTATTTAATTCTGACCCTAATTACCTGGAGTTAGTACAGATCCGACATGTTAAGGGCTCAGTCCCACAAGATTGCCCTCCTGCTTCTGACCAATTATAAGTAGTGGATCCTTAGGTTACCCGCACTTCTAACTTGGCCAGACGTTGTGGGTTCCCACAACCCCCTCCTCAGGCTTTATAATTTGCTACAACAGCTCACATAACTCAGGGCAACGCCTATGTTTGCCAGTTTAGTATAAAGGATATTAAAAAGGGTTGGCAGATGACAAGGTACATAGGGTGGGGAAGGGTCCCTCAATGCAGAAATTTCTGTCCATGTTGAGTGGGGGTGCACTACCCTCCCAGCGCACGAAACCAGAAGCTCATCAAATCTTATTGTTTAAGAGTTTTCTTAGAACTTAATCACCAGCTCCCCCATCATTCCCAGAGGTGGGCAGGTGGGGATGAAAGTTTTAGTCTTCTAATCACTTGGTCTTCCTTGTAGCCAGCCCCATCCTGAGACTATCTAGAGTACCTGCCATAAGTCACCTCATTATTGTAAACTCAGGTGTGATCAAAAGGAGCTCCTTATGAATAATAATAAACATTCCTATCATTCAGAAAATTCCCAGGGTTTTAAGAGTTCTGTGCCAAAACAAGGGGCAAGGACTAAATATATTTCTTATGACATCACACTTATAATGTTACGGTGCTTCTTGATAAAGAGCTTTCACATATGTTATCACAGTTAAGTTAGGAATAGAAACATGCTGAATTGGCTGAGCTTAGGTTTGAGGGACAAAGGTGGAACTGTTTCTGGGACAGTTCGTTGTTGCTACACCACAGATGATATGCTAATTTGGATTTTCTCAAGAGCAGATCTCAAGATAAAGATTTTAAGTAGTCTATTTGGGAAATAATCCCAGGAAGTAGGGTGAGGGAACTGGGGAGCGAGGCAGGGAAGGAAGGAAAAGCAACCAAAGAAACCTGAGTTAGCAGATGACTCCTAGGGCTAGGACAAGTGTGAGGAGAGGGAAGCTCACCCAGGTTGCTGAATTTATGGGAGTTTCAAACACTCAGTAGTCAATACAGACAATATTGTAATATAATATTTTAAACCATCAAAATTAACACAAAAATCCATGATACACACATTATTAAAATTTTAAATAAGGACAGGATCTAACAATACTGCATTGGGCCATATAGGAGCCTGAGGAAAAAGACAACAATATGCAAGAATACCTTTCTTTGTATTTTTAAAATGGGGAATTTTTTTCCAGAACATTTAAGTACCTGAAAAATGTAAAATTTAAAAGTAGAAGTATTAAAACTCACATCATTATTTTAAATTTAAACATTGTATTTATATCAAAAACATTTAGCTATACTTTTACTTTATTGGTTTCCATGGAAGCAAACACTAATAGTATTTTTATTAAAACCATTAGCCATTTAAAAATACATAAAAACAAGTACACAGAAGCATACATATTTCCTTTTGCCTCAGGCTTCAGTACGGCATACATGGCACTGGTTACCACTGTGGACTTAAAATGCTGGGGATCCTCTGAGAATTGTCCTACTGAGAAGGTAGGAAATTTAGGCTCATTGTTTAGAGCTTTTCCTGTGGGTGTTGACTCTGGCACTCCCCACCATGCCCACAGTGGGGAGGCCAAGACCTGTTGGAAAGGCACTATCATTGTCTGCTGTTGAGGGCTTGATGAACATTCAAGAACCACAGGCTTTTACAATGAACCCTGTGGAAGCCCCAAGGGTTTTGAAGAAGGTGTGGGACAATGATCAAAACTCCACTTTAGAAACATTTTTATGGAGCCAGACACAATGACTCACTCCTGTAATCCCAGCAACTTGGGAAGCAGAGGTGAGAGAATTGCTCGAGGCAGGAGTTTGAGACTAGCCTGGGCAATATTTTGAGACCCTATCTCAATAAAAAAAAAATAAATAACTTAAAAATATTGTAATGCATTCACTATGTATAGTGGGTTGGGGAATGAGAGAAGCTGAAAGCAGGAAGGGTGATTTAGAAGCAACTGCAATGCCTTGGTTGGGAGAAAATGTGGGCCTGAGCTAGGAGTGTGTCTATAGAGCCAGAAAGAAAAGAGAAGGGGAAAAAAACAGAGCAGGACTTGAGTCATTGTGTTCTGGCCACCAAATGAATGTATTAGGCCAAAAGAAAGGAAGATGTACAGATGAGGCTGCTGTTCCTCATCAATGGCTGAGATAATGGTGGTTTTGTTTTTAGAGATGAGCGCTTGAGAGAAAGGGCAGATTTGGTGAGAGAAAGGTTTGGGTTGCAGTCAGTGGAGAGAATTTCAGGTTGGACTCACATGTCCATGGAGACAAAAGATTTGGAGGGCCAGAAAATTGCAGAACTCTTTTTGCCTAGGTTGATGTTCATGGTATAACAGTTGTGGAATATTTACAGTTTTGAAGGAGCTTGATCCCCGCCCCCATACCTCAAGTCAATGGGAAGCCATGGGGTTTTGTGGAATAAAAGGCTGTGGTTTCCATATTGGACACCATGAGAAATGGTAGCAGAGGCAGAGTGAAAGTGGATATTAGATTGGAGGCTGCTGCAGGAGTCCTGGTAAATAAGGATGGTGGTTTGGACATTTATGGGTGTATGTCATCTCACATTGGCCACTGGCCTTCTGGAATATTTACATTACTATGTTCATGAGACATCCAAGTGGGGAGGTGTTTTAGGCATTTGAAACCGCTTGTTTTAGTTCAAGAGAACATTGGTGCAAAGTACAAAATTTTGAGAAAATGACATAATCTGTGGCACCATTACCTAGAGGCAGTGGATACAGATGTGATTCAGGAAATAGAGTAGAAAATATAGCACAGAATCTCAGACAAGACTATTGTGAGTTGAATTGTGTTTCCCTCAAAATATGTCAAAGTCCTAACCTCCAGTACCTCAGAATACAATCTCATTTGGAAATAAGATCATTGAAGATGTAATTAGTTAAGATGTGGTCATTCTGGAGTGGAATGGGCCCTTTATCCAATGGAACTGGTGTCATTATAAGAAGAGGAAATGTGGACATAGCACAGACCCACGAAAAGATAATATCAAGTAGCAACAGAGGCAGAGATGGAAGCAATGCAGCTAACAGTTAAGGAACACCAAGGATCGAGCCTACCAGCGGAAGCCAGGAAGAGGCAAGGAAGGATTCTCCACAGAGTCTCAGATGGAGCGTGGCTCTGCTAACACCGTGATTTCAGACTTCTGGCCTCCGCAACTGAGAGAGACAAATGTCCGTTGTTTTCAGCCACCCTGTTTGTGGTACTTGGTTATGGCAGTTCTAGGAAACTAATACAAAGATCTTATTTTAGAGGTGAGAGAAAATGTAAATGAATAAAATCAAGAAGGACTGGTGAGAAACACAAAAAAATAAGCTGGAATGTATAATACAGCAACCACAAAAATTAAGTGTTTTAAGAAAAAGGTGTTGAGGAGGGTAAATTTACTTGAGCAGTGAAGGAGAAGAATTGAGCCAAGGCTCTGTTCATTGTCCACCTTAGCGAGGGTGGGGGAGGCATGGAACCCAGAGGATGGACAGAGAGGGAAAGGCAAGACTGTGGAGTCATGGGGTACAGTCTCTATATTGAGACATTTGGAGGAGGAGAGATGGAGCAAAGATACAGTAAGGTGAGAGTTGAAGGCACAAGGCTTTATTTTTTTATTTTCTTCCCTCTGTGTCTTTTTTTTTTTAAGGATAAGGGAGGCTCACACTTATTAGCTGAAAGTAAGTTTGTAGTTAGTAAGACCAGAAATGAAAAAATAGAAGCAATGAAGGGTGCAGGCTTCTAAACAAGGCAGGATGAGATAGGACCAACACTAAGGATGTGAATCAGTTTAGAGACAAGGAAACAGTGATGAATAGAAATGCTGGCCTGGATTACGGCTTTGCTGCAATCCTTCACCAGCTGTCTCACCTCAAGCCAGTTACTTTGCTTATGTAAATCTCAGATACGACAAGTAAAAAATGCTGTACAGATTAAATGAGACAATAAACTGTCAAGTTTACCACATTCCCTAGAACCTATTAAATAATTAATTTATATACAATATATAATATACATATTATATGTGAAATACTATATTTTATATAATATGTATATTATATATTGGATACAGTAGGAATATTTACATCATGGAACATATTGTACTGCATATACATAGGTATTATATATGCATATATGTATATGTTATTGTATGTGTATATTATATATAAATTTTTATATAGTATATATATTATATATTTTGAAATATATATTATTCAAATACATATTTGTATATTATATACTATATATTTGAATATACATATATATTTTGAAATATATTATTCAAATACATATTATATAATATATAAAATATTTCAATATATAACATATATATTTTGTATATTATCTAATATGTATATTATATGTAATATGTAATATTTGTAGTTATAATATGTATGTTATATAATATGTACATATAAAATATGCACATTATATAATATACACAATATATAATATGTTATATATTTTGAAATATTTTATATATTATATATAATATGCATATTATATATTATATATTTGAATAATACATATTTCAAAACAGAGCTTGGCCAATAGATAGTATTCAGCAAAATTACATTTCCTTCGTACTCTCATTCCTTTTTGATGAGACAAAATAGAAAGGAGGATTTGGATATATACATAGATTAAATTCTGAAGTAAAGGAAGAAACTAGAGGGAAAAATAGATGACTTATCTTTGGTCATGAAGTAGAAATTCATGAGCTTTGTCCTCTGAAAAGCTGGTGAAGAATCACATGAACAGAAAAGATTCAGGGCAAACACTGAGTGGAATGAAATGGGGAAAAATAAAATGACTATGGAGCAAACTTAAGAACCTTGGAGGCAGAATGCAACACATTTGAGAATCCTAAGGGTTCAACTGACTTTCTCTGTGGGAAGCCCCTAAGATGAACCCCAGTGATATCCACTGCCTGCCTGGTATCCACACCCTTGTGTAATCTCCAACTCTCACGTGTGGGCTGGACTTACTGACATATCTAACAAACAGAATACCAAGCAAGGGATGGGATGTTACTTCTATTGTTAGGTCATAAAAGATCATGACTTCTGTCTTGGGTGCTCCCGTTCTCACTCTTTTGTCACTTACCTTCCAAGGAAGCCAGCTGTCATGTCATGAGGCAGCCCTGTGGAGTGCATGTGTGGTGAAGGACTGCAGCCCTCAGATGGGGCTATAGAGCCACCAGTGGCTTGACTGCAACCTTGTGAGAGACTTCGAGTCAGGGTCATGTGGCTAACTAAGCTGCCCAGGTTCCTGAACCACGGAAACCATGAGACAATGTTTGTTGTTTTAAGCTGCTAGGTTTTGGGTAATTTGTTACTCATCTCTAGATAACTATAATAATACACTCATTATCCACTAACCAGCTGAAACAGAGATATCTTACAAAGGCGTTTTCCTGGGGTTGGGGACCAGGTAGCTGGGTCAAAGAAAAGATATTTTTTTCAGTGTCTTTCAGAAGTTCAGTGCCCTCTCCTGCAAAATGCACCAACCTTTTCCTGGTGAAAGGACATTTATGTAGTTCAAGACCATTGGCTCCCACTGAACTTGTGAAGGAAAGGGTTGCAGCTGTCAGCTTTTACCCCATTTAAAATTGTCAGTGCCCTGTGCCTGCTGAGTGTGATAATCTCAGAAGCCCTGAGGCTGCCATCCACGTTTAAGACATCTCACTACTCAGCCACCAGCAGGAACCGCTTCTACCCAGATGTGCCTCTTAGCTGCGGTGTTCACAGATACCCATTTGTCTAGTTCATTAGTGACTGTAATGTAAGAATTTTCTGGAAATGACACATTGGGGTTAAGTGGGAGAGTTCACTTGAAGTTCAGTTCACAGTTCACATCTTAGAGGGATGGCCTCCTCTTGGGCTGTAACCCATAAGAATGTGTGCCTTTTGCACTTCAGGATTCCTGGAGATTGTGGAATGTGACTAGCATAAACCAGATAAACAAGTAGACAAGGTGGCATATTTTGATAACTAATGCATGTCTCATGGGGTTTGATTTACCACTGTCTTGGCCTGTGGGTGGAAGTCTGTCCTGCTAGTTGTTCCAAAGATGTAATCCTCTCCTACCTTTATCCTTAGGACTACTTTTCATTTAGGGTCTTCTAGGTGTCTTGAAATGCAGTAAAGAGAATTTTCCACATGAATAAGTTGAATGCTGACCCAGCAGTTTCGGAGGCCATTTGGAAATCCAGCTACTGTTGAAAGTTGTTCTTTAATAGGTGACAACAGGCAGAACAACTAACATCTCCACCAGAGGAAACACAGTACTTGCTGAAATGCACTGGACTGTTTGTGGGACCTCATTCATATCCCACACAACTCCAGGGGGCATGAGATGGAGCTCACCTGAGTGGATGCGCCTCTCCAAATCCTGCCTTCATACTTCCCATGTTGTTTCACCATGGTCTCGTTCTAAACCTCTACTGTCCATAATTTATCTTATACTCTGGGAAGTTTTTCCTATTTAGTGAGAAGAGAAGACTTTCTCCTAAAGCTACGATCTCTGCTCCAGGTTTTTGGAAAAATTAAAAAGAGTAAGAATTTTTTTAAAATTTATGTTTTTTCTGTATCATCTCTTCCCTGTTGTCTCAAATATACAATTCCTAACCTGACTGGACAGAGGAAAGTACAAGGAATCAACTAAAAATGGCTTAATGCTTCAAATATATTATCTTTGTATTTGCCACATATGCATAAATACATTTATAGAATCTAGAAGCTATTTATGATGCAGCCATTTCTATAAACAGTAATTTATAAATAATTGATGTGGTTTGGGGTCCTTAAAGTGATTAAGCTCTACAGCTTAGCATCCTGGGACAGCCATTAAAGTCAGAACATCACAATTCTGCACCTGTAGTGCCTGGGGTGCCCCTGGGATTTGCTCAGGCTGTAATAACAATAATTGCAGCTATTTGTTGAGCACTGATGTTGTGAAAGACCCTGTACTAAGGACTGAATGCTTTTTATCCATTATCAATATTCCATATATAACTCTACAAAGTATTATTTTTTCCCATGTTACAAATGAAGAATCTAAAGCTCAGAGACGTTAAGCAATTTGTTCAAGGTCTCCTAGGTAAAAACTGGCAGAGCTGATGCACAGACCCAAGTCTGCCTGATTCCAGAGACCCTGGTCTTTCTGCTCTACCATTGGATTGGCTTGTATTTTCCCCATGAGGCCAGGACATGTGTACAGGCAGTTTATTCGTGAGGTGATCCTAGAGATTAGGACAGAGGAACAAGAGAGTGTGAGGAAGGGAGGAAGAGCCAATATGAGAAGCATTTTCCTGGGGTCACTGCCATGAAAAACTTGGATTCAATCCTTTCTAGAACTTTCTAAACAGCTTACAGATGTCTCTCAGAGTCTTCAATTTGAGAACCAACAGGGAGAAATGATTATCCCCCGATATTTGAGGGCTGTCTCTGGAGGTCCTAGAAGCTCTGTACTTCCAGGAAGTCCATCCATACCTGATGAATGGTCTGTGTTGCCTCTGAAGCATGAGGGAAGCCCCATAATAGAAAGAGAAAGACTCACAGGAAACAATTGAGATGAGATACAGTGGGCACAGAGGAAGTCTACGCCTATAAGGACCTGCCTGCTGCACCCGCACCTGGGATTGCAGTGAGGCTGAGACTGTGAGCTGGGGCACCAAGGTCCTCTGATACAGTCACACTCCCCCACATTCAGCTCTTTCAGGCCACATTGACCATGTGAAGCCATGTGAAGCCTTCTGCCTCATTGACACCCAAGTGACAAACCAGCTCCACCCCACAAATTAAGTCTTCAAGGATTTTCTTCCTTATTGAAAATAGCAGATAGACCAATGAGATCCTGAGTTTCTTGTTGAAATAGGTGCTGTTTTCCAATGGAAAATAGGAGGCTAGAAGAATTTAGTTAAAATATTCTCCTATTCAAGATATAAATAACTTGATGTTCAGTATCATGTTGCCATGAGACCGAGTAAACAAAGGTATAGCTTTGATTCAATAACTCAGAAGGGGCTGAGATTTCCCTCCACTTGCAAACAAATGGGCGGGTCTGCCATAGTTTCATGGAGGCAGGCAGAATATAGGAGACTCCTGTGTCAGAGAAAAAAGGACTTTCTCACTCAGGGCACACCAAGAAGCATGAACATTCACTTATTTTTGTTGGTTCTGCTTACCCTCAAGTCCAACAGGGGCTATGCAAGTGGGCCCAAATGGATGCCTATACATGTAGTAGGTTGCATTAGAGAAGGGAGGAGAGACCTTGAGCTTAAGGAATCTGAAGCTTGTATATTGGCAGGCAAGCTCTCCCTTTGCTCAGAAGGAGACATTATTTTATTATCCTGGGTAGTAAAAATGCCTGCCTTTTCCTCTAGAAGGAGATACTGTACCTACCTTCCAAGGATATGAGCAAACCTCCCCTTGACATCAGAGGGAGACACTATCTTTGTCTTCCAAGGCTGCTAAGTATACAAATATCATTGAAAAGATAACCTGGAACAAAAAGCAGATTATGCCTCACTCACAAGATGTGCAGAAATGCAAGAGATCCATAAATAATTTCCTTTAATACTTTGTTTGTAGTCTAGTAGCAACAGAATCGACCTCTGGTTGACCAGTACATAGATTTTGTTACTGCCTTGGTGACGCATGGCACATTTCCTGACTTTGGAGGGACAGAGGATGAAAGGACAGGCCTAAAATACTTGGATTTGCAGCAATTTTGAATGGAGAGAGGGAGAGGAGGATAGTAGGATGGTGGGGGTGGGAAAATAAAGAAATAAGGAGAGAGACTCAGAGAGAAAGTATATGACATATTCAGAAGAGGAGACGGAGGTATAGAAAGCTTGGGTGGATGGATGGTTGGATGGGCAGATGGAAAAATAAAGATTAATGCATCCATGGATGGGTATATAAATGGATGATAGATGGATTAATTATGCAAATAGAGAGATTGAATGAGTGAGAGAAAGAGAATGAAAGAATAAGACACAGGGAAAAACGGGGAGACAGATAGTAATCCACAGGGTCTGAGACAGAGTTAGAGAAAGTCACAGAGCTAGAAAGAGCAAACAGGAAGACAGAGAGACACATGGAGATACAGAGAAAGGCAAAGAAATAATATGATTGGATGGACAGACAGAGATGATGAGTGAAAGAAATGAAAGTAATGGATAGATGGATGGATATATGGATACAAGATAATTAAAGAGAGAGAAGAGGTAATGTAATAAGAAGGTCATGAGTCTGGGCTCTATATTCAGATCTGGTGGTTTGGGTTCTGTCACCGTCTAACTGCATAGCTTTCAGCAAGTTCCTTTCTTCATCTGTCAAATGGGAATGATAATGATAATGCTGGCCTCAGAGGGTCAATTTAAGTCTGAAATAAAATAATCCTCATACAGGCTTAGGAAGTTGGCAGGCACATGATAATGATATTACATAGAAAGATAACTTGTTACATCAGCTGAGACACCCATTCCTATAAATCTTATAGGCTTTAACATTTTCAGCACTCACGTTAAATTTTTGCTTCCCATTGGAGCTATAGCTGAGTCTGGCAGATGTGTCAAACCCTGATAAAGCCAACACTAGCATCCAACACTCAAATAGCAATTTTATGCAAACGGGATCTTCTCATTATGTTATCCTTCTGCAATCCATAATTATTGCTTCTGAATGAATCTGAGGTTTTCTTCATTTCCGTGAAATGAGGTCACACTACTTATACAGTAAATTAAAGGCAAATTGAGCAGATGATATGTATAAAATAGGAAACATGCAGTTTTTAGGGCTATTGACACAGTGCTAAATGAGTTGGTTTCCAATCCAAACCAAGTATTTATATAATTTGGTTCAGCATCCGTACATTCAGATGGAAACCCACACTCTTTACAGACTTGTTACTCTTTTACTCTTTATAGAGTTAGCATTTATGATGAGGAATTACTTCTTGAGTCCTATGATTCCAGTTTTATATCCAAGCACAGAATGTTTTACAGTTCATTCTTGCTAAAGAAAAAAAAAAGATATCCTTGCCTAAGTGCCTAAGTTATTTTGGTATTTCACATTATGGTGAAGCATTGCCAAATAAATTGACGTGAAAAGCACAACCTAAAATGTTTTGGCTACTTCACAATGCGTTAAATAATCTTCTTTTGGGTTGCTTCTTTAATTGTTCTTCATACATCTAAACATTTACATTTCAAAGGATGGTTATAATTTCTAGGACATACTAATAACTAATTCAATTAGTTACTCACTTTTAATGAGGGTGAAATGAATAAAAAATATACTGATTTAGAAAAAATATGTGTGTTTTTTTCAAACACTTCTTTGCCTCTCTCATCTCTTAATCCTCATTGGCCTTATGAGTAAACAATTACGCAGATGGTACAATTTGAAGAGCAACATCATAATGCATATGAAAGAGCTTCACAATGCATTCCTGTCCTTTTTCTGTTAAATATCTCTTTAGTCATGAATTTCTACTATTAGATAGTCTTTTATTTGGTTTAGATAGCCTTTTCTATATAAACCCTATTTCTTCTTAGAGACAGAGGGTCTCACTCTGTTCACCCAGGCTGAAACATAGTGGCGCAATCATAGCTCACTGTATTCTGGAACTCCTGGGCTCAAGTGATTCTCCTGCCTAAGCTTCCTGAGTAGCCAGGGTTACAAGCATGCACCACCATGCCCACTAATTTTTTTTTTTGTGAGGTGGGGAGGGCATGGGTAGAGATGAGGTCTCACTGTGTTTCCCAGACTGGTCTTTAACTCCTGGCCTCAAGCCATTCTCCCACTTCAGCCTCCCAAAGTGTTGAGATTACAGGCATGAACCGCTACACCTAGCCTATAGATCCCTTTTTAAGATGTAAACACATCTAAATAGGAAAGTTTCAGGTATGCTTGAGGTAAAATCACTTTATTTAGATCATTTTCCTTTCTAAGCATTCAGATTCGACAAACATTTTTGAACCCAACTTTAGTGTTGGTCTTGGTGGAGTGACACAGTAAAGAAAGGAGGCCTGTCACTCATTCATTCATTAATTTGCCCGTTGTTCATTGAACTCTTACTATGTGTTACACACTGTGCTATACAACTGAGTGTATTATATAGACTTTTTCATCATGGGACATGTGGTTTATTTAGTGAAGTGATTAATATGTAAATAATCACAGAATTAATATCTAGAGATTGCAGTGACCTCGATGAAGGGGAGTTGCAAGGAGTTACAATGATCTGAAAAGATTCTTTAAGAATGTGAAAGTCTCCAAAAGTTAACTTTGCTAGGGCCATGGGGCTAACCAAGACAGCAAGCTCATATTTAAAGGATCAAATGCTTCTGAACAAGAAGTAGAAACCTTTGCAGAAAGGAGAAAAACAGCAGCTTGATGGTCTAGTGAGCTAAATATTAAAAGCAAAGTTTCCCTGGAAAGTAAGGTTCCATTCACTATTTTCTCTGGCCCAGAGTGTTGATTTCTTATTTCTTTTCAAATAAGAAAACAGGGTCAGAGTGATTTCATGATTTACCTAATGTTACCCATCTAATCTGTGGCTATATCTAGACCTTGACCCAAGTTTTCTTAGCCCCAGAACATGTTAGAAACGTCCTGTCTCGTAAACAAAGGTAAGAAGCACTGCCCTAACGCTTGAAATTACTGAATGTGATGCTAAACATATGTCTAATTTGTGTATAGATTTGCAGAGAAAATGTATATGTTGGGTTATGTTACAGTAACAAACAAACCTCAAATGTCAGCGGTTTAAAGCACCAATAATTTGCTTCTAAGCTTCTATATGTCTACTGCAGGTCAATGGGAGGTTCTGCTCATTCCTGCTACACATGGAGCAGTCACCATTGCAAACATTGCTTCTCATCATGCCAAAGGGAAATATAAAGCTTTATAATGTCTTCCAATTAAATTCTCCAGCCTGGAAGTGACACAGTGCTGCTTCAGCTCATAACTTATTGATTAGAACTAGTCATAAAGCCCTATTCTTTCTGCTGGAAGATGCAAAGACAGAGTGTTTGGCAGAAACTAATGACTCCCACAGATGCCAGGATTTAGACTTCTTTTATCCTGTCATTTATCCACCAATTATTTACTGGGCACTTGTTATGTGAATATAATAGTATATTCATCCACTATTAATGCATAATTATCACAGAATCTCACTGACATACAACAATAAGCATTATTTTTCTTTTGTTCATGTGTTCAGTGCCTTGGGTCTGTCTGATCTAGCTTGTGCTCAGCTAAGCAAGACTGTGAGCTATAAACTGTTTAGGTTGTATGGTTCTATGACGTATAGCCCATATTCTCCTGATACCAGTGGTTGCATGAGGCATGTGATTCTCATGGCAATGGCAGCAGTATAAGAAGGGTAGTGCAGACATGTAATGCTCCTTTAAACCTAAGGCTTGGAACTTCCATGCTGTCACACCTGTCTACATTCCATTGATCAAAGCAAGCCTATGGCCACGCCCAACAGCAAGAGTGGGCAGAGAAGTGTAATCCATCTCTCTTGGGACAAACTGCAAAGACTGTGACAAAATACGGAGATTCAAAACAGGGCAATATTTCAATCAATACAAGCATAAATCAGACTGAAATTCTTAACTTTGTGTAGCTTATATTCTGTAGAAAAATTATCGATAAGGAAAATATGTAAAACTTTAGGTGACTATAACTGTTAAAGAAAAGAAAATAAGGGACTGGGTGTGGCAGCTCCCACCTGTAATCCTGACACTTTGGGAGGCTGAGGCAAGAGAATCTCTTGAGTTCAGGAGTTCAAAATCAGTCTGGGCAACATAGGGAGACCCTGTCTTAAAAAGAAATAATTTTTTTTTTTTGAGATGGAGTCTTGCTCTGTTGCCCAGGCTGGAGTGCAGTGGCATGATCTCGGCTCACTGCAAGCTCCGCCTCCTGGGTTCATGCCATTCTCCTGCCTCCTGAGTAGCTGGGACTACAGGCATCTGCCACCACACCCGGCTAATTTTTTGTATATTTTTTTAGTAGAGATGGTGTTTCACTGTGTTAGCCAGGATGGTCTCGATCTCCTGACCTTGTGATCCTCCTGCCTCAGCCTCCCAAAGTGCTGGGATTACAGGCGTGAGCCACCACGCCCAGCCAATAAATAAAAATTTAAAAAAAAAATTAAGCAAGGAAGGAGGGTAAGAAGAACAATCATGGAAATAGTGGTTGAAATTTTAGACCAGGAAAGAAGACCTTGTAAAATAAAATGACAATCCAGTACATTTTAATGGAAGTGAAAGAGGCATAATGTAGATATCTGAGGAAAATTAGGAAGAAGCAACTGCAAAGGCTGATTGATGTTGGGGGTCTATATGGCATGCTTGAAGAGCAGAAAGAGGGTGAGTCAAAGTGAGTGAGGAACAGCAAATGAGGGATAAGCTCATATTGTTTAGGATCAGTAAAACATTTTGTCTTGTAACTCTGAATGGGGTGAAGGTCCACTGGGATATTTCTAGAAAAAGAATGATACCATCTACTTATACCTTTTATTAGACCAATCTGGCTAGCCTTTGGGGAATGGAATATTGGTGGGGAAGAAATAGAGACTAGCTAAAAGATTATCACAATATTATAGGGGAAAGATAATGGTGGCTTAGGGAAGTATCATAGCAGTGGATGTGGTGATAAAGCATTGAATCGGTTGAATTCTGGAAATGCTTTGAAGTTGAGACAATCAGGTTTGCTGACAGATCATATTTGCAATATGGTGTTAGGAATAATGGCAAGGATTTTGGTCTGATCAACTGCATAAAAACAGCATTGCTGGCCGGGCACTGTGGCTCACACCTGTAATCCCAGCACTTTGGGAGGCTGAGGTGGGTGGATCACGAGGTCAGGAGATTGAGACCATCCTGGCCAATGTGGTGAAACCCTGGCTCACTAAAAATATAAAAATTAGCTGGACGTGGTGGTGTATGCCTGTAATCCTAGCTACTTGGGAGGCTGAGGCAGGAGAATCACTTGAACCAGGGAGTCAGAGGTTGCTGTGAGCCGGGACCGCGCCACTGCACTCCAGGCAACAGAGAGAGACTCCGTCTCAAAACAAACAAACAAACAAACAAACAAACAAACAAAAGCATTGCCATTCCCTGAGAAGGGGAAAACTTTGTGAGGAGCACATGAAAAGGGAAGATCTGGAATTTGGTTTGGGAAACGTAATGCTTAATGTGCCTGTTAGTTGCTCAAGTGGAAAGGTTAAGTAGGTTATCAAATAAGTGAGATGAGTAGCGGATAGGTTCAGGCCGGGGAGATCAATTTAGAAGCCTTCACATATTTGTATGCTTGCATGTATGTCTAAAGCTATACAAGGTCATGAAAGTAGACGAGATCACCAAGAAAGTGAGTTTAGATGAAATAGTGATGAAAGCCAGGTCCTGAACCATGGGGCACTTCTAATTTCCATATCTAAGAAACAGCAACAGAGATTTAGAATAGATGGCTAGAGTATAAAAGAGAAATGATGAGAGTGTAATGTGATAGAAATCAAGTGAAAAAACGTTCTAGAGGAGGAGGAAGGTTTCAACTCTGCCCAAAGCTGCTGACGTGTCAAGTAAGATAAGAACACATAACTGTTAGGTTGAGCAATGTGAAAATCATTGATGATTTTGTGAGAACAGATTAATGGAAATGATGAGCAAAAGGTTTGTCAGAATGGGAGAATGAGATAAGAGAAATTGATGACAGTGAGAAAAGATCACTCTTTCAAGGAGTTTTATAAAAGGGGAGTGTAAAAGTTTTTTGTTTGTTTTCCGGAGACTGATGGGGTATTAAGGGAGAATAATTTTCTTTATAATTGGGAAAAAATATCATCATAAGACCCACTAGAGTGAGAAAAAACAGTGATACAGCTGAGAGGAAAAAGTTATTGGACTGATGGGCTTGAGGTGAGAAATTTCTGTGCAAGAGAAGTGGGGTGTGCTTTGTCTATAAACATGGATCTTTCATCCATATCCTGATGAAAAGAGTCAAACTCTGTAAAATATTTGAATAGATTTATTCTGAGCCACGTATTAATGACCAATGTCCTGTGCCACAGCCCCAGGAGATCCTGAGAACATGTGCCCAAAGTGGTTGGGCTACACCTTGGTTCTATACTTCTTAGGGAGACATCAGACATTAATCAATATATGTAAGATGTACATTGGTTTCACCTGGAAAGAAAGGACAACTGGAAGCAGGGGCTTCCAGGCCATAGGTGGATTCAAAGATTTTCTGATTGTCAATTGGTTGAAAGAGTTGTTATCTGAAGACCTAGAATCAATAGAAAGGAATGTCTGGGTTAAGATAAAAAGTTGTTGAGACCAAGATTTTATCATGCAGGTGAAGCCTCCAGGTAGCAGGCTACTGCAGGCTACAGAGCTCTTATCAGATCTGAAAAGGTGCCAGACCCTTAGTTAATTCTCTCCTGGATCAAGGAAAAGACCAGGAAAGCAATGGGGATTTTCTACAGAATGTAGATTTTCCACCCAAAAGATGGCTTTGCAGGGCCATTTCAAAGTATGTCAAAGAAATGTATTTTGGGGGTAAAATCTTCTATTTCTTTCAGGGCCTGCTATCTGTCATGTGATGCTATACCAGAATCAGGCTGGAATTTGGTGTCTTATTGCTACAGAAATTTTATTTGATTAGTCTTAATATCTCTGCTTCAATGTTAATGCTGGTCAACTATGCCTGAATTCCAAAGGGAGGAGTGTATAAGGGAGCGTGTCTGATCCCCATTTCCCATTATGGTCTGAACTAATTTTTCAGGTTAACTTTGGAATGCCCTTGGCCGAGAGGAGGGTCCATCAGTTGGTTGGGGGTGCTTAGCATTTTATTTTCGGTTTACCCATACTATCAAGAAGGAAGGCAGGTAGGTGAGATGTGCTGGTAGGAGTTAGTGCAAGTCTCTTCTGGAACTTCTATTCTCCCACTGAGGAAGGAAACATTTGTCCACTGTCCAAAGTTAGGTGTCTTATTTTCAACTGACGTAGCCCCAGTCAAGTACCTTCTTAAAGCCAGACTGGTGCTGCAATGCCAAACAAACACAATGTATTTGAAATACTCAACATAGGGAGAAAATAAGGGCCTATAGAAGTAATCAAAGACACCCGCAGCAAAGACATTTATAGCAACAACCTGCAGATGCTTTTTTGACTTGGAACAAGTGGGATTGTGAAAAAGCACAAAAATACTTGGTCTTCCTGCAGAAGGTCTTTTGTATTAGAGTCACCTGGTGCTTAGATTTGCATTCCTCTGATGCTCGAGTCTGTGATTCTAAAAAGAAAGTTTATTTGCTTGAGGAAACACTGTTGGATCTTTCTGGGGAGAACAGGGGTTGCTTCACAAGCCAAGGTGTTGACAATCCCCTTCCTGAGAGTTGCAGAACCCAATCCATTGTTGAGGGTATGCTTTGAGAGATCCTCATCAGCTGTCTTGCTTGTGGCTTTGCATGGCCTTCATGTATTCAATATCCAACCTCTTCCCCTCTTGGTATTCAGATACATTCCCCTTCAAGTAACTGAGATAGTCAGGTTTTGCATACCTTTGCCAACTTTTTGAGAGAGGCTTCTCCTTATGCTAATTAATTTAAAATCAACAATCAAATGATATTTTGGAGCATGTTCTCCCCTTCTGTATTATCCTATCTTTGAGAGCAGGGACTGTCCTCTTATTTTTGGCATCTCTTGAAGGCCCATCATATATAGAATAGGCATTGAAAAAATTAATGAATAGGTAACTTTTTCACTTTCCCCAGACATAATTAAATTTTGGCTAAGAAAGGAATGCATATGCAAAGTGCCAAAGGTTAACAGCAAGCCTGTTTAAAACAATAGCATATGTTAACTAATTATGAAAAGATATTTTTTAATTTAAAAGTCTAAAATTATTTTTATGGCAGTTTATGTTTAATTTTACCTGCCTCACCTCTGGCTTAGATGACAGATTTCTATTTTAATTATGTAGCTAGTGATTACTACAAACATGTTGAGGCTTTTTTTTTTTCTCTTTCTCTCTGGAGATTGGAAGTGAGCAGCCATTAGGTATTATCAAGTTCTCCTGGAAATGGTAATGATACGTGGTCAAATAACTAATGCTTGCCAAATGGCTGAGGCTGACATGCTTCCCCAGAGCCTTGGTATATAAGGAATATTAAGCAGGGGAGGAAGTCTCTGGGATGACACATGTAAGTGTGAGAGTCAGGCTTTGCATACCTTTGTTTTCTGTCCAGCCCATCTGCCAAGAGCTAAATTCACTCTTTAGCAGTTAGATTTTGTGGCTCACAAAGCACCCTTTTGCTTAGTGTTTTAAAACAACAACTGTTTTGTTAGTCCATGATTCTGCAGGTAGGTTAGCCATCTGGACTGGGCTCAGCTGGGTGGTTCTTCTGGTCTTGACTAGGATCACTTATTTGTCTGGGGTTGGCTGCCAGGTTGGCTGAGGGCTGGCTATTTCAAAATTACCTCCATTAAGATTGCTATTTTTTGCTCTAAATGCCTCTTACCATCCAGTTAGATTAGACAGAGCAGGGTTCTAAGAAAGAGCAGAAGCATGCAAATCTCTTTAAGACCAAGACTCAGAAGAGGCATGCTATTACTTTTGTCGCATTCTATTGATCTAAGGAAGTCTGAGATCCAGTAACATTTAAAGGGAGGGAAATAGAGTTTATATCTTGATGGGAGGAGCTAGAAAATAGTATTGCAAAGGACTTGGATACAGGGAGGTTGTTTGCATAATTTAGCTAATCTACCACACCAGATAAAATCTTATTTATTTAAAAGATCTACATGTGCAAAGTAAGTCCATCAGTTGAGTCTCCAGATGTTGAGAACCATAAACCAATGTGGATTTTGTGCTAGAGTCAGAAGCAGGGCCCAGTTTTGCTATGCAGGATGAATGTACTATTTCTTGGAGAGGGATAATGAGTTATTGCTTCAGGACTGAGAGCTCTTTCTGCTGATGTTTGTTACCAGTTTGAAGGCAGTAAAGTCTCATCAGGAACAAAACAAAACAAAACAAAACAGCATGGTCAATGAATGCCAAAAAAAAATCTCTACACTAAATTAGGTTCTTCTTTATCAGCATGTTTTTGTCTCTCTAGACATGTAATACTCCAAGTCATCACTGCCTTGTCCTCTGCCAACCTGGACATAGTCATAAGTATGGTGCTGGCTTATAGTTAAGGTGCTAGGAAAAAAAGTTAAGGGTATTTCCATTTTTATAGGGGTCTATTGAAGTTCCAAAGCCTTAATGGGCGAAAGACTTAAAGTCATAATGGTGGAACGACAGGCAGAGGTTCTAATGCCTCTGAAAAGTGTACTCTATGTAGCTTCTGGATAATTCTTCTCCTCCTTTTCTGGCTAAGCATAGAACTGTCTCTTATTGTCAGTCCTGAATTCACATGAGAGGAATGCTGTACAAGGCATTGCCATATATATGAAGTAAAGGGTAATGTTGGAGATGATCACTGTTGTAGGGTGTCCAGTGCTGTGGTGCCAGCAGTAGCATCATGTTGAGATGTAATAAATTTGGTTTTGTTTTTTTCTATCCATCTTTTTTTGGTTCCTGTCATTTGTAAGAGGTAGATTTTCCAGCCTTTTCAGCAGTTCCTGGAGCTACTTGATAATAAAATCCCTCTCACTAATAATCCCCTTTGCTAATAAATCTCTCTTCTGCTAAGATAACCAGAATCGTTTTTAGTTGATTACAACCCAAAGCCCTATTGATTTATTTAAAAATGTTTCCCTGTAAGTATCCTCAGGCTTTCTTAGTTCTTAGCTCAAATATTTAGTTTTTGGAGACCAAGGTTGTGATGAAAGTTGCATTAAAATAGGTTCACAACAATCTTTTAATGTAAGTGAATGAGAAGCAGTGGTGTCCCTCCCAGGGCTCTTTACCAGACATATGCAGCCTGTCCACAGATAATATTTCTACTGGCTGGTGAGGCATCACAATTTTCTTTCCTACCGCTGAACCCTCAACTAAAGATTTAACCTCGGTACTCAGAGCCACTTATGCCTCCCTTTTCTACCAGCCCCCATGGAGGCAACTCACAGCCAATAACTAGTTTATATGAGGGTATATTTGTTCTCAGAGAGAACAAATCAATACTGTGTCAGAGCCCTCAGGGATCAGGCCAAGGCTAGACTCCAGTGGAGACCATATCCTTGCTCAACTCCTCCTGCCATCTTGTTTCTCTCATTCCTTTTCTGATAGCCCTTCCTCAATGAACAATGTACACCTGAAACTCTGCTCAGGCTTTTCTTCTGGGAAACTCAGCCCAGGACTACAGGTTTGGATATGAAAGATAATATATTAAATGTAGAGTCTAATTACAGTAGCAATGGACTCCAAATGTCAGTGGCTTAAAACACTAAAAGATTATTTCTTGCTTACTATAGATCAATGTACCTTTGTAGGCACCAGGAAGTCAGTCATTCAAAGACCCAGGCTCCTTCCATCTTGTGGCTCTAGCTTCTCTAGCATCCTCTCTCCTCAGGGGAAAGACAATGAGGCTTGCACTAGGGCCAAATTTAGAGGGAAGTCCTGGAAGTGGCAACCTTACTTCCACCTGCATTCCGTTAAGCAGAACTCAGACATGTGTGCAAGGGAGACTGGTATATGTTGTGTAGCTGTGTGCTCAATCAGGGGAGAAGACCCTACGGAAGGCCTCAGGCTCTACATATAAAAGATATGGTGTGAGGAAGCAGAGCTGTGAAGCTGCAGTAATTAAAAACTCCTTTGCAGAAGAACACCCCTTGCCCACTGCTCAGGCAACTATGTTGACTAAACAAAGCCTGTTTTTCAGAGCAAAAGGGTGGAATTTTAATAATTAAGCAAGTACCTAGAGGTAAAATGGGATTGTTCCAGGTAAACAGGATGTGGAGTCATCCCAGGTATTGCTGACTCATAGGCAGTCAAGAAATGGCTGATTCACACCACGTGGATAATAAAAATATTTTAAATGTTTCCTTGCTAGGGAACATGTCACAAAGCTGTGTTAAAGGGGAAGAGAAATAGAATATAGAATTTGGAAACTTCACGAGTCGTAACTGCATCCTTCCCCAACCCTTCAAAATATTCAGAGCCTCTGAAGAGTCCATGTTTTCCTCCCCACCAGATGCTCCTTCCTGCTTTCTCTTCTGTATTCATTTCCCACAGTGGTGTGAAGCTGCACATTAATATTTCTGTGAGGCCTTTACTGATTCCCTTCAGCTGTCTGTGAAAACTTGGGTTGTGTTGCAGATCTCTGAGGCCCTTCTGATATGGACATTCTCTGATTCAAAAAGATAAAGAGGCTCAGTTGGGACAAGGGAAAGAACCTAGCCATTCTGTTAAGAGCTGGGGGTCTAAGAGTGGAGAGAAGCAATCAGTGATGCACTATGAGTGACAGGTGGTCTCCAAAGGGAGCAGTGGTGGTGGACCAAGTGGTGGATCATTTACAGACGTGCTCAGGGTAAGCCTGGCTCACCTGAGGACCCTGTCTAAGAACCTGAGGAGGGGAGGGTGGGAATGGGGCTTATTTGTTTATTCTCAAAATTCATATGTTGAAATCCAAACGCTCAATGTGATGATGTTTGGAAATGGGAACTTGGGAGGTGATTAGGTCAGAGGTTGGACACCCCCATGAATGTGATTCGTGCCCTTATAAGAGAGGCCCCAGGGAGCTGCCTTGCCCCTTTCACCATGTGAGGTTTCATATTAAAAGAAAAAAAAAAAAAAGAAAGAGAGAGAGAGAAGGGAGGTTTTCACCTGTCTCTCTATCTCTCTCCACCATGTGAGGATACAGTAAGAAGGCACAATTTGTAAACCTGGAAGAGGGCTCTTCTGAAACCTGACCATGCTGGTACTCTGATCTCAAACTCCCTAGACTCTAGAATTGTGAGGAATAAATCTCTGTTGTTTAAGCCACCCAGCCTAGGGTATACTGTTATAGCAGCCTAAACTGACAAAGACAGGGGCATTTAGGCCTCTATAATCTCCACCAGCATGTTCCCATTTTTATTGATCTCCATAATGGATATGATGGGGCACTGCCCAGATCCCCTCTTCAGGAAAATACCTCTACCCTCTACTGTCAGGAATTTCAGTTGTTGATTGCTCATACCAGGGACTCTACCTTGAAATTACCCTTGGCCTCAAGGGACTCTCTCATCATAGTTATGTCTCCTTCTAGGGCAGCTAGGCAATGCTGACTAATGCAAGAACACAAGGGCCTGGCCCCCTTGCCTCAAACAGACAACTGAGAAAGCCAATGTAGACTTAGAGCTCCTGGCAGGGTTGTCTAAGGCCTTTGCTGTTAGTGCAGTGGGGGGGTCAGCTTTGCTGTCTGCCCAGTCCCACCTTTCTCACTCTTTTGCAGGTATATATCCCAATTGCAGTCACCAGAAGACTGTCTGAGCCCACCTCCCTGACTCTGTTTCTAGAAGATGTGAATGAAGACAATCTGAGACATAAAATCTAAATAAGATGTTTGTGCTAGGAACATGCAATTTCAAGCAAATTCTACAGCTCCATTTCCAGGCCACTGCTACCTAGTCTCCTCCCATTCAGACATACCCCCCAAGAATGGGAAAGGTCTGGAGGGGAGACCAGCAGGGGATGGGAAGCAGCTCTCCACGACTCTCTTCTCTGCTGCTGCTCTTACATTCCCTCCCCCTTTGCCTTCTGTTTATGCTAATTCCAGGTCTTAAAATGGCTTTTTCTTTTTCTTCTTTGCAAGGCACGTAACACTTCATCATTTTCTTCTGTCATACGTTTTTGGTTTCCTCTGTCTAACTGGAATTTCCTATATTTAAAGAAAAGTCAGAAGCTAGTGTGTATGCGTGTGTATGTATGTGTTTATCTGTGTGAGTGTATGTGCATCGTAACATTATATAGAAGATCCCTTGTCTTTTTGGCACTTGGAACTCAGAGCATCTGGCAGACAAAACCCGCAATATGGTCAGGCTTCCTGTCTCCCTCCAGCCACAGTCCCCATTGCCTTCCACCTTATGAGTTATTCAGGTACGTTGGTGGCCAGTGTGCCCCTGTCTATGATTTTGAGATTCTCTGAGTCCATGAGCACCTTCT
The DNA here is from genome assembly GCF_000001405.40 of Homo sapiens. Taxonomy (NCBI): domain Eukaryota; kingdom Metazoa; phylum Chordata; class Mammalia; order Primates; family Hominidae; genus Homo; species Homo sapiens. The sequence continues at coordinate 12,411,876 of NC_000020.11, forward strand.
CTCAATCACTGCAATATTCTTTAAAGTTCTAGAGACCTGGGACTCTGACCACAGACTGAGATCCTAGCTTCTACCCCAGATTGCCGTGGGCACGAAACCCACAGGTGGTTTTTCCCCTGGAAGGTGCTCCTAACCAAGCCATTTCACTGTGGCTAGAACTTGAGACGGTGGTAATTTGTGTTACTGAAAGTTGCTAACTCCCAACCCACGATGAGCCAAACACCCTCACAGTGTGATGATAGAAGATACACATTCACACACCATTTTCAGTCTTTCATGGCTTGTTGCACAACTGTTAATCCTATGGTTTCAGTACTTTTGTTCAGAGTCTATCTCTGGGATCACATATTTAACATCTTCTTTCAAGGTGCACTTCGTGTTACACAAGAGTGGTGTTCCTGAAAAAGTGCTTATGCATTGGCCTTTCTTAAGACTGTGGCATTCTCTGAAACCTCTCTGCCCTCCAGAAAGTTAGAAAATGAGTTCTAAAGCCCCATGCCATGGTTCTGTGCATTTCTCGCACTGGCATGATCCCCTGTATATTTCGTTCTGTGATTTTTTTTATGCAAGCCAGTTTGGCCTTTCCTTGTTTGGATGCAAAATGTGATTCTTTCTCCAGATTCTAAAAGAAATCCAATCAGACAAAATGCATTGAGGGTGTAGACTCTCACTGTCCCATGAGGAAGGCAGGCAGGCCCAGCATCCTCTTAACTTCATTCTTGTTCCACTTTTTTGTTTAGCGTTTCCTTGCAGCCTTTGTGTCCCTTTCCTAAACCCCAGTCCCCAAAAGATGACCCTGGAGGGTCATCTTTGCTGTCTGCTATCACTGCTGCTGCCTTAGGAGAAAATAGCCTTGCTTGCGTTTCTGGGCTCTATCTTCATGTCTGATCACTTTCTTCAATTAACAATGGCATCTAAAGCTTCAAGTTGTTTTTGTTTTTGTTTTTGTTTCTATGAGTGCAGCCTCTCTGTCAAGCTTGAAGCACTTTAAAAAAATAATGAACACAGGTGAACTCGTTTCAAGGAGTCTCCAGTGAAGAGTCAGTCAGCCCCTCTAGGACAAGACATCTTTCATATTCATGCTTACATCTGCACCACCTGGTAGAGTACATGGCACAAGATGGCCATTAATTGAGTTGATGGAATTAAAAATGCTACAGAAAATTATTTCCCAAAGCAAAGTATCTTCTTCAATGAGGATGATAAGCTCTGTTTTCAGTGCAATTATCAATTTGTGTTTTTGCATGTGGGGGGTTTCTTAAGTATAATAAGATGAAATGGACTTAATCACTAAGAGGTAACTATAAACTAAACCTTTATAAGGCAGTTGGCTACAGATTTCTCTTTGGAGAAAAGAGGCTTTACTTGGCAAGCAACAGTGGGTCGGGGGCAACAAATCTGTTCTTGTGTCATAGACAAAATTGTAGAAGGTATACTGTGAGCTCTAGGCAGCAAGCCAACATTCTTTTTACTCCTGATGCTTAAAAGCTATGCTTTAATTTTTATTTTGTTTCCAGTGCCAATGCTCCTGGGTCAATATGCTAATTCAAAAGCTAGTTGAATATATTTGCATATTGTGCATATTCTTGACTCCATAGAGGCAGAATTAAAATTAGAGTTCTCTACACTTTCACTAGTATGGCCTTAAAATTCTACAGAAAATTCCATTCTCCTTCATTGTTCTCAAAGTCTTTGAAATTATGGAAAAGATAATGGTGTTGGGCCATTGTCAGTTTAATATAGTCAATGTAACTGAAGAATGGGTTACCTTGACTAGAATTATTTAATCGACAGTGACCAGATAATTTTCATTGTTCTGGACCTAATGTCCAGATACTTAAATAGGGTAGTTGACCAGAGGAACCATGAACTTGTAAGAAAAAATGTTACAATACCTTCATTTTATTGGAATTTAGCATTCCCTTTGATAATGTATGTAGGCAAACAACTGCAATAGTATTGGCCATATCTAGGTCTTTGACATCGTAGAAATCACAGTTATTTTAAAAACACATTACAATTGTTTCAAATATTTTAAAATGTCCTTCCCCTAAACCTGACTTTAAAATGTTATTATTAGACTTTCCACTGATTCTTATTATTTATTGTACTAATAAAGAAGCACAAACATTACTGCATCATAAATTTATGTTTTTGATATTTGGATTAGTAAATTTCACTATAATTTTGTTTCTACTTTGTACTTCTGTGCATTTCCCTTTGTGAATTTAAAGACATTAGCCTGAGGGAGTGTCTATCATCTTGTCAAATGGCTATCAGGGCCCAAGGGACAGGAAAGGCTGAGAACTTGAAATTCACCTAATACTTGTCAATACCAAACTTTTTTTTTTCATCTCTTGTTTAACCACTGCTCAAGTCTTGTCATCTCTTTCTCCTCAATAGGACCCTGCTAAGGATGTCAGTTATCTGCTGAATGGCTCCTTTCCCCATATGCCCCAGGATAATCGAAACTCAGCAAACTATTTCTAATGAGCAGGGAGCTTAGCCATGGCTTGATGCTCTGAAAAAGAGTCATTATATTTTAGAATGAGCGTGAGCTTTAAAAAATGTGGGTAATCAAGTCTGATCACACCACGAAGGCTGCTAAAAAACGCAGTCCTCGATTTGGGCTCTTATAAATCTCAAATCTTTTGGAAAGATTCTAAATTTAGAACCACCTTTTCAATTCCATCAGGACAGAAGCTGCTTTAAATGATGTGTCATCCACTGATGAAAGAGAAATTGGTATCATTTTCAACTTACCATGTTTGGTTCTTGCCGGTGCAATGCTGAGGCTGGGGAGAATCGGGCACGTTGCAGAGTTTGGAGGAGCCTTGCCCTACTTAGAGAGAATATTTAACACATGGGAGTGTTGGATGCACTGACTCAGTTCATTAGTGGAGATTCAATGTTATCGTACTGTTAGTTTTTCCAGTCTGAATTTAGGTGTATTTTGTTTTTGGTTTTGTTTTTTTTGGTTTGTTTTTGTTTTGTTTTGTTTTTACTGCAGCAATGACAGTAAAATTTTAGTCGAAGATTTGCTGAGGAGGAAACATTGAAACTATTTTCTGGAATCCCCAAGTAGTTTGGAGGAATGGGAGGTTTCCCTGTTGTGAGAGTGTGGATACTGTCACCACACTCAAGCCCACCAGCTGTCAGATCCTTATCCAGTTCTGCGGCTCTGCCTCTGTTGTCTGAAACTGGCTGTCTCAGTTGCTGAGTCATCACAGTGCTAAGAAACCAAATCCACTGAAAATCACCCTCGGTGCCCTTGAATATTTACCCAGCATATTTTGGGAGTCAGACCAGAGCCAAGTAGAAGCCTCAACAGTTAAATAGGCAGCCTCTGCAGGTATAAATCCCACTCTGCTTGTGAAGGTCTCTAAACCTTCAGCCTCCCTCTTCCTCCAGCATTCTGTGTCTGCAGGCTGCTGCAACCCTCCCCAGTGGCTGATATGGCTGTTCACGATGAGCTTAAAGTCAGTGTGCCCTTCAGAGGGGATATCTGTCAGCTGATACCAGCTAATAAAAAGCATGTGTCATAATGAGTTAAATTCTTAAGGTGAGCTGCTAGGTAAAACCTTGGAGCTCTCCTGGCCAGCCTCCCCTCCCTCGCTCCCACCACCAATCACAGACCAAGCCCTGCCTACTTCACCCACTAAACTTTCTTCAAAGCCCCACCATCTCCTTCATATCACCTCCTAACTCACCCAAGCTGCCATTGCATTGCTTCTAGCTCAGCATTGTCCAAGATGTAGTACCTAGCCACATGTGGCTACCTAAATATTCTTTTCAAAATGAAGGCCAGATCCCATCTCATGGAGGTGTTTGATTTGTCTTGGGGTAGCAGAACTCCAGCTTTATTCCAGCCACCCTTCCCTGGCTTTCTCTGCCTCTACCACCTACTCTCAGTAACTTTGATCACTTCTGCCTCAAGCCTCTGCAAATCTAGCACCTTCTCTCCATCTTCTAAACTGCAACATTTGCTGCACATTGTAGCTCTAGTATCACTTCCTCAGGGAAGCTCAATTTATATTTGTTGAAAGAATGCCTGAAACAACATAAGCAAATACATCACCAGAGGCTGAATACCAGGCACTGGCATCTAGGTGGAATCTATCATCAGGTATCAGTGGAGAACAGTCATTTCTCTAGATCTGGTTTAGAATTAGAACCTTTGTTAGGATGAAGGTAAACTGGCAAGGGAGGCCTGGGGCAGAGCCTACTGTGCCTCCAGCCCTGATATGAAGACTTCTGGGCTTCTTTGTCCTCACCTCTAATAAGATAGTTGATATAGGAGGCAGAATGCTAAGATGTCTCCCAAGGTGTCCACTCCTGGTGCACACGCTTTGCATAATCCCCACCACTTCAGGGACTGTGACTCAAATGGGATATCTCTCTCATGATTAGACTGTTGATTCTGTTGTATGGCAAGTGTAAAGACGTTTCACAGAGGCAATTAAGGGCCTAATCAGCTGATGTTAGTTAATAATAAAAAATTATGTTGAGAGGGCTGATCTAGTAAGTTGAGCTCTTCTAAGAGGATTTAGAGGCCAAAAATAGAAGTTAGAAAGAAGCCAGCTCCTCTGGCCTCATGTGGAGAGATTTTGTGTGCAGCCTCTAGCGGCTTATAGTCTCAGTTCTACTGCAGTCACAAGGAACTAAATTCTGCAGACGTCCTGAACAAACTTGAAAGAGGACCCTAAGCTCCAGATGAGAACCCTGACTCAGCCAATATATTTATTTCAGCCTTGTGAGACCCTGAGCAGAGACCCAGCTAAGTAAGCTGTGTCCTGACTCCCGACCCACAGAAACTAGGAGATAATAAACTGCGGTGTTTGAGGTGCAAAGTTTGTGGTGATTTTCCTAATGCAGCATCATAAAACATACAATGGGACTCAAGATTCTTAACTCGTTTTGTGCCATGGGCCACTTGGGAAGTCTGGTGAAGCCTATGGACTTCTGCTCAGAATGAATTTTAAATGCTTAAAATAAAATACAAAGGGTTACAAAAGAAACTGCTTTTATTGAAAGAGTAATAACATATTTTTTAAAAATGTATCTGAGTTAGTGTAACGTGTGCACTTATTTGTTAGCACATTAAATAATAAGATCTAGTGGTAGGTCTAAGAGTTACTATTATGTAGAAGAAATACCGAGTAAAAACCATCTTCTGAGACAGCAACAGCAATAGTGTGATGAAATTACTTGCCATTTCTATGGGTGTCAATGTCACACGATTGCTAGTGCATTTACAGTTGGCTGCTTCTATTCATAGTGGAAGGAAAGGCTAAATTTCACATAGGAGTTGGTAAAAATAAAGATTTAGCTTTTTTTTATACATTCATTCATTTATTCATTCATTCATTCCATCCAGTTTATGCCACCCCGCATTCTATCCAGGTTAAAAATCTTTAGAAAGTTCCTGAGCTGCTTCTGACTTCCACATTCTCTGTTGGCTTTCATCTTCTGAGTGATCCCCCGAAATTTCCATCCAGTGGAACCAATGACATTGGACTCTTGTTTACACTCTTAGGAGGGCCCTCCCTCTTGTTTATCCCTAGCTCATTTTTCTTTAATTACATGAATTACTTGATCTGCATGTGTGATTCATGTCTTTTTGATTATGTAGAATTAACCTGAACAGAACACAGCTGCGCCAAGGTAAATTCTGGGTATATGTGTCCCAGTTTTTAAGTCCTTGTGTCACAAATGCCCTCCTGGGAAAGGTCAAAGCTCTTAAGTGTAATGTTGAAGCCAGGGTTGCAGGCTCAGATCCTTCTGTCTACACCTGCCCATCCCTGACCCCTTCTTGTTTCTGCAGCCCCAGTGTGGGCTGGTGCTCATGAAAACCTGCTCCCCAGCCCCTGCTGTCTGCACTGTAATAGTTATAAGCGGATGTTCTCTGCTCTTGGCTGAGCTGTAAATCAAACAATGCATGTTTCCTAATCATTTCTTTACTTCTTTCTTTATTCCTTTTTTCAAAAACTATAAGCATGTGGCTTTAAAATTTAAAGTTTACTTACAGCTTATAATACATTTCTTCTTTCTCTTGTGCCCAGCTCCTTTTACTATTTTCTTTTCCTCTGTTGGTTACCTTCTTAACTTTACATAACTTATCTATTATTTATTGATTTATTAACTTTACATGAAGTCTGTTGACTCACTGTTATGAAAAATGAGGATTTACCTCACTTTACTCCACATCTCCCATGGAGCTTGTTTTATTGTTTTTGCTGTATTCTTGCATTTATCATACCTCTATTTACATCAACATTAGCATTGCATCTGCCCACTGGACCTTCTTTCTTTTCTATTTCATTTTTTGTCAGATATATATGTGCCTTCATATTGTCAAGTTTAGCATTATTTGCCTTTTCTTCTTAAACCAAAATTGAGTCTTCTTTTCTTCCTCCATGGATTAATATTAGAAGTTGAAGATCTGCAAAGGGCTTTTACCTAACTTTGACCAGTAACATATTGTTCTATGTGGGCCAAGTGGTGACCAGGTCTCATTTGGTGACCTCCAGGATCACTGGAAGAAGAAGGTCCTGACCATCAAGGTTAAATGATTCTCATGTTGTTCACACCATCTAGTAATTAAAGGCATGCCTAATTTTTGTGTCTTGTTTTTTACATTTTAGTAAACAGTATGTGTGGAGGATGTTTTGTTTGTTTGATGTCTCTTTGAGTTGTCAATTACTTCTACATTTTTGGTTTTCTTGACAAATTATAGCATGTCTTCAGTCTCTAATTTTGAGGACCCTCCCTAAAACAATTAAATCAGAATTTCTGTGGATGGAACTCCAACACGGGCTTATCCCAAATTAAAGTATTCATAAATAAAGATAACATTGAACCAGATCTACTTGAGGGAGGAAGGACAATCACTGGAAAGTATAGATTCCACCTAAGATACATGATTTCCCAACTCGGGAAATAAAGAGCTCAATGGGCTGGTTCCTTGGGGAAGCACATCTAAATATTTTACATCCAGGAATTAGGAATAGAGCTCTATCTTCAGAGAGAGTGGCAGAGCATGTGGTTCACATCTTGCCTCTCTGTGTAGTTCAAGCAGGTACAAGTGACAACTCCTGGTCCCATTTCAAAGGCTTTGTAATATTTTTAAATAAATTCCTTGGTGATCAAAAATCAATACTGTTTAGTCTCTATGAATCTAATAACTCAGGGTTCTTCATTTCGAGTCAGTGACACAATGCCCCATTCTTTAGGTGATTCCTGAATTTCCTCTAAATACTGTTTGGTAAGAAAACTCCTAGAACCTGAATCCACACCTTCAGTTCAGAACTGAACTAATGGATTTCTTTCCTAAACTCAATTAATTTCTGTTGCTGAGGCACAGACTTTCCACTGTTTGGATCTGAACACCACTCTCTATTTTGTAAATGATCCCCAGGCTGAAGTGAAACAGAATGGTTAATGCATTTTTGATGAATATTAAAAATTCATGAAAAAAAATAAAAGTATGATACATATTTAAAGGAGCCTGGTTTTGGTTTCCTTGCCTTAAAGTTATTCCCTCTCTGATCCTCTCTCCCTTATCCTGCAAAGAACATCATAAAATGTCCATGTCTTTCTACATTATGGAAAGTCATTTTGATAAGAATGCCTTTATGTCTGTAAACTGTCAGGGGTAAATTGAGCAGAAAATTATGCAGTATCCTGGTAAAACCAAATGTTAATATGGAAATTTTCATTAAATGCCCTAAGAAGCTACAGATGTTTGAGTAAATTCTACTGATTGCTTTGGCCTGACCTCTTTTTAGTGCCCCTTTGCACAGTGTACTGAAATCCTTCGACAGATCTCACCCCATGTTATCAGTCTCAAATCAGGAAGCTTTTTCAGAATAGTTGGCTATGGCATTAACTCATTTTCTCCCCACCTTCTTCCTGCCCCCACAACAGTTCTCTGCAGTTCTGTGAGCAGAGAAATGCAGCGAGGCCCTCCTTCAATAAATAGCACATCCATTCAGGTCACTCATGCAGCTCATTTTAAATAAATTGAATCAATTCATGCCTATTAGCTGCTTGTCCTTGAACTAAGATAACATGGGATGTTCAGGTATCACTCAGAGGAGGAATTATGAGGGTGACAAAATTTGCTGAGTGCTCCAAGGCCAACTTTTATAAAATCTTGAGTAGGACAAGGGAAGGGACCTTCTATTACTCTTAATAAAGTATTATGTAAACTATTAACAGTGTACTATGCCCTTGGAGAAAAGCCTTAGAAACTTAGAACGTTTGAGCATATTTTTCTATCGAGTTTTATTTGTGTAAAATGAATGAGGCGCCATTGATAATATTTAGAAACTGCACATCCCAGATGACTGGGAATGCCCCATCGCTTCCCAGGGACATCATAGGGATATATCCTCAACAGAATCAACAAATCAGTGGAATCAATATGCTTAATTCAAATACTGAAGTTATCTGAGAAATAGATTCATGGTAGATTCTAAGATAGTATTGTTCTAGAATTTTTTTTCCTGTGGCTTTAAATGCAGGCTGTCTTCATTTACTCATTTCAGACTTTGCCTTTACCATTATTATGGTTCAGCATGATTTCAAGTTTCTCTCCCTTTCTAGCCACATGGGATGATGTGATTTTATTGCCCCTTTCAAGTTAGCCATGACCATGAGACTTGTTTGGACAGTGAAATATGTGCAGATGTAGTACCTGCAGCACTTAATTGCTGATGCTTGACTACTGAGTTTTGTCATTCCCTGTGACGATGATAATGGAAGCAGAGGTTGACATGCAGGGGCCAAAAGATTGATACCGCCTGAAAGGAGAGTGGTCCTGACTCATGGCCCACTCAAGATAAGTGGGAAATAAGTTTGCATTGTGCTGAGCCCCTGAAAGTTTTGTTTCCTGCAATATAACCTTGCTTATCTTTACTAAAGTAGGCCTCATGTTCTAATTCTCTTGAGTGAGGCCCTCCAGGGCTACTCTTCTTTATGGCCAGGGCATTTATATTGATTGTTTTTCATGAAAGTTCCGAGTTGCTTTGTGAAATGGACTGGCACTTGGAAAGTTGTGAGCTGGAGGGTCCAGATGTTGATCTGCCAACAACAAAAAAGTGTACACTTCATGAGTTTCTCTAATTAATAGAGAGGAGCCATATGATAGAATCAAAATCAGGCTCAGCACAAGGTTCTCTTGGGATCTCTGCTTGTGATTATTGAAGGAAAAGAATGCCTCATTTAATTGACACTAAGCATTTGTTCTTGGCTACTCCAACTAGCTCGCTCTCACACTGATAATAGCTTATAAGGATAACATTGATATGAGTAGTGGATTCAAAAGGCCTGTGTGTGGTATCAGTTTCAGGTCTCCTTAGAAATATGGCAACTCCACAACGTGGATGCCAAGTTTGTTTTCATTAAGTCCAAAGGAACACCATCCACAGGTATGGGGTAAAATTGCTCATCTGTGCTCTGTCTCATGGCTCAGTTCTCACCTATGAAATTTGCTAAATTCACCAAAAGGAGTGAATTATTTTAATAGTCCCTACACTGTAAATTCCTTTAAAAGTGGGAATACACTGAAGAAAACAGCCCTGTTGTAATAGGCATGAACTTTTCATATTTAAAAGGCCCTATTTCTAGAAACACTTTTCACATGTGAAAGGTTGGGGGAGGGGTATCTATTCGGTTGGGTTTCGAACAGTGCTTCATACATTCCTTGGTAGAATGAAACACTTTCAAAATGTAGTTGCAGTATGCTACCCAATCCTCCATTATGTTCTTTCTCCTATGGCAAGGAAATCTTTACTTCCCTTTGAAGTGGATTCAGTCTCCTAAAGCATGATGTTTTTGAATTAAATGGCTACTGGGAATTAAGTGGGAAGGAGGATAAAGCTGAAATATTTTGCCAGTGCTGCATGAAGGCTAAAGAAGTAAATTATCCCAAATGAATGAAGCTTTCATCGGCACTATTTATTGCTGATAAATAGGAAAATGTCTGAGCTAGAGGGCCTCTGGTCTCACTAATTTTTATGAAGCCCTCACACACAGAGGTGGGAATTCACTCCTCCTTTATTTATTTCCTTTCACTTGGCTCAAATTCCTTTGCAAAAATTGACTGATCCAAAGAGGCGCAAGTTTCCCTTAATGTTTACCCTGTTTAAAACAACTACTGTAATGACTCAGTCTACTCTATGAGTGCCCTTCTGCCGATATTATGTCTGACTAATACATATAGATTGTTCACAATTTCTCCTGTTCCTTGTATTCTAATGAATTATTATTATTATTGTTATCATTATTATTTGAGATACGGTCTCGCTCTGTTGCCCAGGTTGGAGTGCACTAGTGCGATCACGGATCACTGCAGCCTCAACCTTCTGGGCTAAAGCAATCCTCCCACTTTAGCCTCCCAAGTAGCTAGAACTACAGCCATGTGCCACTACACCTGGCTAATTTTCTATTTTTTATAGAGATGGGGGTCTCCCTATGTTGCCCAGGCTGGTATTGAAATCCTGGACTCAAATGATCCTCCTGCCACAGCCTCCCAAACTACTGGGATTACAGGTATGAGCCACTGCACTCAGCCTACTAAATTATTTTCATGGAGATCATCTTACCTAAACTTTTCTTCCTTAGCATAAGAAATTATCTTGCAGTTGCTGGTCTCCTTAATGTATTAAAGATTCTTGTGCTTGATGATTATTAGATTGAAAATGCTATTTTTTGTAGGTCAAAAATGGTTGGATATCAGAAATTTTGTATAGTTAGAACTTTATTTGCTATGGTTAGACATTCAAGGGGAACTTTTTTTATTTATTTTTCTTATTATACTTTAAGTTCTGGGGTACATGTGCATAGTGTGGAGGCTTGTTACATAGGTATACATGTGCCATGGTGGTTTGCTACACCCATGAACTCGTCATCTACATTAGGTATTTCTCCTAATGCTATCCCTTCCCTAGCCTCCCATGCCCCGACAGGCCCTGGTGTGTGATGTTCTCCTCCCTGTGTCCACCCGTTCTCATTGTTCAACTCCCCCACCTATGAATGAGAACATGCGGTGTTTGGTTTCCTGTTCTTGTGATAGTTTGCTGAGAATGATGGTTTCCAGCTCCATCCATGTCCCTACAAAGGATATGAACTCATCCATTTTGATGGCTACATAGTATTTTATGGTATATATGTGCCACATTTTCTTTATTCAGTCTATCATTGATGGGGATTTGGGTTGGTTCCAAGTCTTTGCTATTGCGTACATTGCCACAATAAACATAAGTGTGCATGTGTCTTTATAGTAGAATGATTTCTAATCCTTTGGGTATATACCCAGTAATGAGATTACTGGGTCAAATGATATTTCTAGTTATAAATCCTTGAGGAATCGCCACACTGTCTTCCACAATGTTTGAACTAATTTATACTCCCACCAAGTGTAAAAGCGTTGCTATTTCTCCACATCCTCTCCAGCATCTGTTGTTACCTGACTTTTTAATGACTGCCATTCTAACTGGTGTGACATGGTATCTCATTTTGGTTTTGATTTTCATTTCTCTAATGACTAGTGATGATAAGCATTTTTTCATGTTTGTTGGCTGCATAAATGTCTTCTTTTGAGAAGTGTCTGTTCATATCCTTCACCCACTTTTTGATGGGATTGTTTGTTTTTTTCTTGTAAATTTAAGTTCTTTGTAGATTCTGGATATTAGCCCTTTGTCACATGCATAGATTGCAAAAATTTTCTCCCATTCTGTAGGTTGTCTGTTCACTTTGATGATAGTTTCTTTTGCTGTGCAGAAGCTCTTTAGTTTAATTAGATCCCATTTGTCTATTTTGGGTTTTGTTGCCTTTGCTTTTGGTGTTTTAGTCATGAAGTCTTTGCACATGCCTGTGACCTGAATGGTATTGCCTAGGTTTTCTTCTAGGGTTTTTATGGTTTTAGGTCTTACATTTAAGTCTTTCGTCCATCTTGAGTTAGTTTTTGTATAAGGTGTAAGGAAGGGATCCAGTTTCAGCTTTCTGCATATGGCTAGCCAGTTTTCCCAACATCATTTATTAAATAGGGAATCTTTTCCCCATTGCTTGTTTTTGTCAGGTTTGTCAAAGATCAGATGGTTGTAGACGTGTGGTGTTATTTCTGAGGCCTCTGTTCTGTTCCATCGGTCTATATATCTGTTTTGGTACCAGTATCATGCTGTTTTGGTTACTGTAGCCTTGTAGTATAGTTTGAAGTCAGGTAGCTTGATGCCTCCAGCTTTGTTCTTTTGTCTTAGGATTGTCTTGGCTATGCGGGCTCTTTTTTGGTTCTATATGAAATTTAAAGTAGTTTTTTCCAATTCTGTGAAGAAAGTCAATGGTAGCTTGATGCGGATAGCATTGAATCTGTACATTACTTTGAGCAGTATAGCCATTTTCATGATATTGATTCTTCCTACCCATGAGCATGGACTGTTCTTCCACTTGTTTGTGTCCTCTCTTATTTCCTGGAGCATTGGTTTCTAGTTCTCCTTGAATAGGTCCTTCACATCCCTTGTAAGTTGTATTCCTTGATATTTTATTCCCTTTGTAGCAATTGTGAATGGGAGTTCATTCATGATTTGGCTCTCTGTTTGCCTACTGTTGGTGTATAGGAATACTTGTGATTTTTGCATATTGATTTTGTATCCTGGGACTTTGCTGAAGTTGCTTATCAGCTTAAGGAGATTTGGGGCTGAGATGATGGGGTTTTCTAAATATACAATCATGTCATCTGCAAACAGAGACAATTTGACTTCCTCTTTTCCTAACTGAATATCCTTTATTTCTTTCTCTTGCCTGATTGCTCTGGCCAGAACTTCCCATGCTATGTTGAATAGGAGTGATGAGATAGGGCATCCTTGTCTTGTGCTGGTTTTCAAAGGGAATGCTTCCAGTTTTTGCCCATTCAGTATGATATTGGCTGTGGGTTTGTCATAAGTAACTCTTATTATTTTGAGATAAGTTCCATCAATACCTAGTTCATTGAGAGTTTTTAGCATGAAGAGCTGTTGAATTTTGTCAAATGCCTTTTCTGCATCTACTGAGATAATCTTGTGGTTTGTGTCATTGGTTCTGTTTATGTGATGGATTACATTTATTGATTTGCATATGTTGAACCAGCCTTGCATCCCAGGGATGAACCCAACTTGATCATGGTGGATAAGCTTTTTGATGTGCTGCTGGATCTGGTTTGCCAGTATTTTATTGAGGATTTTCACATCGATGTTCATCAAGGATATTGGCCTAAAATTTTCTTTTTTTGTTGTGTCTCTGCCAGGTTTTGGTATCAGGATGATTCTGGCTTCATAAAATGAGTTAGGGAGGATTCCCTCTTTTTCTATTGTTTAGAATAGTTTCAGAAGGAAAGCTCACCTCCTCTTCGTACCTCTGGTAGAATTTGGCTGTGAATTCATCTGGTCCTGGACTTTTTTGGTTGGTAGGCTATTAATTACTGCCTCAATTTCAGAATCTGTTATTGCTCTATTCAGGGATTCAACTTCTTCCTGGTTTAGTCTTGGGAGGGTGTATGTGTCCAGGAATTTATCCATTTCTTCTAGATTTTCTAGTTTATTTGTGTAGAGGTGTTTATAGTATTCTCTGATGGTAGTTTGTATTTCTGTGAGATCAGTGTTGATATCCCCCTTATCAGTTTTTGTTGTGTCTATTTGATTTGTCTCTCTTTTCTTCTTTATTAGTTTGGCTAGTGGTCTATGTATTTTGTTGATCTTTTCAAAAAACCAGCTCCTGGCTTCATTGATTTTTTTTGAAGGGTTTTTCATGTCTCTATCTTCTTCAGTTCTGCTCTGATCTTAGTTATTTCTTGTCTTCTGCTGGCTTTTGAATTTGTTTGCTCTTGCTTCTGTAGTTCTTTTAATTGTGATGTTAGGATGCCAGTTTTAGATCTTTCCTGCTTTCGCTTGTGGGCATCTAGTGCTATAAATTTCCCTCTACACACTGCTTTAAATGTGTTCCAGAGATTCTGGTATATTGTGTCTTTGTTCTCACTGGTTTCAAAGAACATCTTTATTTCTGCTTTCATTTTGTTATTTACCCAGTAGTCATTCAGGAGCAGGTTGCCCAGTTTCCATATAGTTGTGCAGTTTTGAGTGAGTTTCTTAATCCTGAGTTCAAATTTGATTGCACTGTCTGTGCAATAAGTCTGAGAGACTGGTTGTTATGATTTCCATTCTTTTGCATTTGCTGAGGAGTGTTTTACTTACAATGATATGGTCCATTTTAGAATAAGTGCAATGTAGTGCTGAGAAGAAGGTGAATTCTGTTGATGTGGGGGTGGAGAGTTCTGTCGATGTCTATTAGGTCTGCTTGGTCCGGAGCTGAGTTCAAGGCCTGGATATCCTTGTTAATTTTCTGTCTCATTGATCTGTCTAGTGTTGACAGTGGGGTGTTAAAGTCTCCCACTATTATTGTGTGGGAGTCTAAGTCTCTTTGTAAGTCAGTAAGAACTTGCTTTATGAATCTGGGTGCTCCTGTATTGGGTGCATATATATTTAGGATAGTTATCTCTTCTTGTTTCATTGATTCCTTTACCATTATGTAATGCCCCTGTCTCTTTTGATCTTTGTTGGCTTAAAGTCTGGTTTATCAGAGACTAGGATTGCAACCCCTGCTTTTTTTTTGCTTTCCATTTGCTTGGTAAATATTCTTCCATCCCTTTATTTTTAGCCTATGTGTGTCTTTGCACGTGAGATGGATCTCCTGAATACAGCACACTGGTAGGTCTTGACTCTTTACCCAGTTTGCCAGCTTGTGACTTTTCATTGGAGCATTTAGCCCATTTACATTTAAGGTTAATATTGTTGTGTGAATTTGATCTTGTCATTATGATGCCAGCTGGTTATTTTGCCCGTTAGTTGATGCAGTTTCTTCATAGTGTCAATGGTCTTCATAATTTGTTTTTGTACTGGCTGGTACCAGTTGTTCCTTTCCATGTTTAGTACTTCCTTCAGGAGCTCATGTAAGGCAGACTTGGTGGTGACAAAATCTCTCAGCATTTGCTTGTCTGTAAAGGATTTTGTTTCTCCTTCACTTATGAAGCTTAGTTTGGCTGGATATGAAATTCTGGGTTGAAAATTCTTTTCTTTAAGAATGTTGAATATTGGCCTCCACTTTCTTCTGGCTTGTAGGGTTTCTGTAGAGAGATCTGCTGTTAGTCTGATGAGCTTCCCTTTCTGGGTAACACGACCTTTCTCTCTGGCTGCCCTTAACATTTTTTCCTTCATTTCAACCTTGGTGAATCTGATGATTATGTGTCTTGGGGTTGCTCTTCTTGAGGAAAATATTTGTGATGTTCTCTGTATTTCCAGAATTTGAATGTTGGCCTGCCTTGTTAGGTTGAGGAAGTTCAAGGAGAACTTTTTAAACTGGCTAATATATGTAAACAATCTATCCTTTGTCATTTTATTTTCTGTTCATCTACAAAGAGAACAGAAAAGAGATCTAAAGGAGCAACAGCAAGACAATCTAGAAAAGTGGCATGAGGTTCCCGTGCACTGCACATCACTCACCCACCTTGATCCTACTCCAGGCCCAGGGTAATGAGAATGCAGAGGAAAGCAAAGGAAAGATGACAGGCTACACTTGAGATCTAGCCAGCCTTGGGGAAAAGCCTCTATTCTGATGGGCATTGCCTCCAAACAATGAAATAAGGACAAATTCTGCCTTCTTTAAAGAGTATAACAATGAAGTATTTTATACTTTTACATCAAAGAAGCAGGACACATCTGAGACATCCATGAACACACTTGTCAAGTAACTGTAACCTCCCCCTTCCACCCCTCTAAATAAATAGAAAATACAAAACCACAGCAATCACAAACCCTCAGAATTCTCCAGGTCTCCTTTGACAACATGTCTATAAAAAAGAAAGAAGAGCATTTAGAAGAAAACAAATCAAGGGAAATTAGAAGCCAGGATGCCTACCTTTCCTCCTTGCCTACTCTGCTGTAAGCACTTTAATTGTGTTAGCTTATTAAATCTTCCCAACCCTTTACCTGGTGGAGAACATTATTCCATTTTACCAAGTGATATGATTTGGCTGTGTCCTCACCCAAATCTCATCTGTAATTGTAGTTCCCATAATCCACACATGTGGTGGGAGGGACCCAGTGGGAGGTAATTGAATCATGGGGACAGTAACTTCCATGCTGTTCTCATGATAGTGAGTGTGTTCTCATGAAAGCTGATGGTTTTATAAGGGGCTTTCCCCCTCTTTACTCTGCATTTCTCCTTGCTGCCGCCATGTGAATAAGAATGTGGTTGCTTTCCCTTCTGCCATGATTGTACATTTCCTGAGGCCTCCTCAGCCCTGCAGAACTGTGAATCAATTGAACCTCTTTCCTTTGTAAATTACCAAGTCTTGGGTATTTCTTCATAGCCATGTGAGAAGAGACTAATATACTGAGGAAGGGTCTGAGGCTGACAGAGAAAATATAGCTTGCTCCAAATGGAAGAGCTTGTTAAGTGGCAGAGGATAGACTCAAAGCCAAGGGAAGCTAATGCTGAAGTTACGCATCTTCTGACATGATACACAACTGCCTTTGAGGATGGTGGCAGGCAGGGGATTTTATGGGAATCAGGAAAGCGAAGGGTTCTACATAAGGGCAGGAGCTTGCCCATCCACAACTTCTCTGACAATACATACATTCTGCTCCTATCTTTGAGCCTTTCTCCAGCACATTAATGAAGCCATATATCTGATGGTCTCACTGGGGAAGATTGGGAGCTGTTGCAGCAGGTACATTGTCTACCATGCCCTGCCATTACTCTACCTGACTCAAATTACCAGATTTCCACGGGAAGAGAACTTAAAAGGCACATGTGCCCTTTGTAAGAGAAATGCCATAGGCAAATGACTCCAAATACATAGTCATAGGGGAACAAGCATAGTTTTATGGATCAGGCAGCACTGCCACTAAATATTTGTAAGATATTAGACATCTGAAAACGGAGATGATTGTACCTACTTTGTAGAAATGCCCCTTTATAGTAGTTTTCATTTTCTTATTTTCCTTCTGGACTCTTTTATACTTAAGAAAGTGTTGGTAACCCAAAATAACTTTTGCTTTGTTATATATAGGTAATATCTGTTAATATTAACCAGAAATTAAAACATATTTTAAAAATATTTATTAATTTTTGAAGTTATAATACAAGTATTACATGTTAACATAAATAACATATATTTCTTAAGAACAATAGCTATACATTCCAGACAAACTCAGCTAGAAAAGTGTTTTACAAATCTCTTTAATGTCTGGTTTAATATAAAATAGCCATAAGCTTGGTGCAGTGGCCCATGCCTGTAATCTTAGCCCTTGGGGAGGCTGAGGCAGGAGGATTACTTGAGTCTAGGAGTTTGAGACTAGCCTGGACAACATAACAAGATCCCCATCTCTACTAAAAAATAAAAAGGAAAAATTATCCAGGTATGGTGTCATGCTTCTGTAGTCCCAGCTAGTCTAGAGGCCTGGAGGCTGAGACAGGAGAATTACTTGAGCCCAGGAGTTCAAGGCTGCAGTGAGCTGTGATCATGCCACTGCAGTTCAACCTGGTCTACAGGGAGATCTTTCTCTATAAAATAAAAAATAAAATAAGAATAGCCAGATTATTTTATCTGCTTCTGCATTCAATTTGTTGTAATACATTACTTGTTTGGGTTAACAAATATAAAGAAAATCCGGCTTCATACAGATTTATAGTTAGAAAAGAGAGGACTTCATGGAGCCCCTGCAAGGAGACTCCCAGGGTCTAGGACTAGAATTTGACAGGAGCTGCTCTAAAAACAAACAAACAAACAAACAAACAAACAAAAAGAATGCAAAGTGAGAGTGGCAAGAGGCAGCCAAATGCCTAGGCAGATGGGGTGAGCCCCCACCTCTAAGTTGAAGACAGTTTAAAGCCTGAAAGCCAAGCTACAAGTTAAATCCTTGGATGGGATTGAGAGCTTGTCTTCCTATTTGGCATGCTTTCCTCTGATTGGTCCCCACCCTTCACCTATTTTAAATATACCTACCCTTTCCTAATTGCTTTTTCTATACTGTTGTGCCCACCTTTGAGTGATGACTTCACTTTAACCTTTTTTGCATACTCACAAACCAACCAGCACACACTCCCTATTCTGAGTTCATAAAAGGCTCCAGACCCAGTCACATGGGGGACTTTCCCGAATTCAGGTAGAATTCAGGTAGGGGAACCACCCCCTGTATCCCTTCTTTGCTGAGAACTTTCCTTTCACTTAATAGATTCTATTCTACTCACTCTCCGGTGTCCATGCGCCGAATTCTTCCTGATTGTGAGACAAGAACTCAGACCTAACTAAGCTCAGGAGCAGAAAGACCACAACAAAAGGATTTACTACAGTGTCAGAACACAAAGAGCAGATATTCACTAAATTGTATGAGAAAATGTTATCCTCAAACTTTATTGTACTTACATACATGTGCCTAAAAAATGTGTCCAGAAGCATATCACAGTGAGAGTAGTAGTTGCAAGTGGATAAACGGAAGCATACATACATGCAAACATTCATGTACACAAGGCTCTGAATTCCCTTGACTTCACTTAAGTCAGAACATCAGCACCACTTTGAAAATTTTAACAATTAATAGAGTAATCAAAATAAAAACTAATAAGACCTAAAATTCTTAATATGTAAGCACAGAACTTTAAATGAAACTCATGCACATGCGTTGATTTTAGGGATAATATTTAGCTAAATATTATCTTTTGAAATCCTGTAATCCTCACAATACTTTCAGGAATAATTTAACATTATAGGGCTAGTAACCCAAATACCAGAGGTCACATTAGAATTAACAAAGAAATGTAAAGTTGATTCCTTTTTTAAGTGTTGTTTTGATGCTACATAAAATTACACTGAGTTAATATTTGTTTTGTTTAAAAATAAATTAATGACCAATAATTCAAAACAATGGAATTTTTAATAATGACTATATGCCATGTAGTTGTTTAATAACATTGTCAAGTTTTAAATTAGGATTTCTATTTCCTTTTTTTACTAATAGCTTTATTAGAATATAATTCACATACTGTAAAATTCAACTATCTAAAGTATTCAATTCAGTATTAGTAAATTCAGAGTTGTGAATAAAATAAAATGTATGTTTTCTAACTATTTCCCAAAACAGCAAGGACTTAAAATATTAGGGTGCCTAGTTCTTGATCTTCGTTTCAGAGTGTGTATATTATTACACCCGTTTTAAGACGGTCCAATGATGAGAAATTCTGAGCACCAAGGCTTTAATTTTCCCCAAGAGTAAATCTTCCTGATTTATGCTAAGATTATTTTGTAGGTAAATTGATGGATGATATCAAGCTTAATATATTGACAAAATTTTATTTGAGACTTCAACGCTCTAAAGCTTTTTTTTAATAACACAGTCATTGAGTTACAATTAACTAAATTAAAAACTTTTTCCAAGATAAGCAAATTTAAAAATGATGAAAGGAGAAGCAAAACTTCATTAGGTTTAAGTAAAACTTAATTTATTTTTCTCCTCACTACTTTTTATTTTGTATGTCTTTTTTTTCTTTTCCCAGATAACTTTATTGCCTTAAACTCTTTAGGTCAAGTTTTCTGTTTTGTTTTGTTTTGTTTTGTTTTGTTTGTATATTTGCATCCAGTCCAGTTTCCATTAAGAAAGTTAATTTTTATTATTATTTATTTTTTCTGAGACAGAATCTTGCTTTGTCACCCAGGCTGGAGTGCAGCAGCGCAATCTCAGTTTGCTGCAACCTCCACCTCCTGGGTTCAAGCAATTCTCGTGCCTCAGCCTTGCCACTAGCTGGGATTACAGGCACACACCACCACACCTGGCTAATTTTTGTATTTTTAGTAGAGACAGGGTTTCGCCATGTTGGCCGGGCTGGTCTCGAACTCCTGGCCTCAAGCAATCCGCCTGCCTCGGCCTCCCAAACTGTTAGGATTACAGGCATGAGCCACTACACCTGGCCACCATTAAGAAAGTTGATATATATTTATCCGTTCAAGGTAAGGGTCATTATTTTAAAATGTCTATTAAATGGATTTAGCAAGCAACCTGAAGGTAACCAGACTGTGGGTACATTTGAGGTGATATTGATATATTTAGCGAAATTGTGTTAACTGGTATATCTTCACTTAAATTTTGGCAAAATATTACCCTTCTTTCCATTGGTACTGGGGACCCCAGGGAGTACTGCAAAATGGTCATGGAATGGGCCTGGAATCACACAGCTTACTTACCTGAATTACTCTCCGCCTCCTCTACCCCATGCCTTTACTGCTCTGTAATGAACTGCTGGTCAGTGGCCAATCTCTATCAACTGCATAGCTCTTTCTCAGGCTGCTTATACCCTTGTTTCTTCTGTGTACTGGTTACAAAATCATTCTTCCCCTCTTGGGTTCATTGCTGCTTGGAATATTTCAGAGTTCATGAGGGCTGTTCTTTTATCCAAGCCATTTCCTCCACTAGGTTCTCATGTGACGGTAACTCACTGGGCCCCTCAGACTCTACCACTGGGTCCAGCTGGCTGCTGGCTCATATCCCTTAGCATGAGTGCCTTCTCTCCATCCCTCAGCCCCATCTCCATCTTGTACCCCACCCCCCAGCATGCTGCCCACCTCAACCACAAGCTCACTAGTTGCAGACACTGCTTGGGTGCCTGAAGGAAAAGGCCTTCCTTCTTGTATTTCAAAGGAGCCACATGAATTTCATGCCATTCAGCGACTCCCTGAAAATAGAATCTTAAGTGGTTTTTCCTAAATTCGCACAGGAAGTATGCTAGAGGCCCAATTACAGCCCAGCCTAGGCCACTTTAATAGGATCTGGAGAAGAGTTTGAGTGACATAGGCACCAAGACTGGCTGGCTATATAACCAAGAAGATTTGGTGGAATGTCAGCTGCAGAGATGGACATCTGGATATCTCTCCCCTGCTGTAACACTTCAATATTGAATGATATTTGGCACAATCCCTGAGTTGGCAAGCGTGTTATCTGCTTGCACCAGGGACACCTGGCTTAACAGAGGCATTTGCAGTGCTGCCACAGCATTAAATTTGTTTGCGGTACTTAAAAGTATTTTAATATAAACTATGTCATGGGATATGGGGTCCTGCCAATTCGATAATTGAATGGGAGGTGTTGGGGGTTTATCTTTATTTTAACAAAACCAAATCCCTTTCAAAAAGTCTATTTCTTTTTCCCAGTATGAGCAAAACATCATATTATGAGGTACCTTTCAGAAGCGGACAATCCAGTCATTTTTGATTCATGCCTCTAGCTGGTGTCCCACTCTCTTACACATCCCTGGTGTTGTCATTACCCATGGGAAAGGTAGAACTGCCACCACAATTTCAAATCTGAATTGCTTCTTTTGGTTGCTTACAACTATAAGGTTAGCATATTATTATCTGGCACCGCTATTCAAAACTGGCAGAGGCAACAACAACAATGAAAAGAAAGATTCATGGCAAAAATAATGCAAGGCAGACATCTTTCTACATCTCTTCCTCATTTTTACACAGAAGATATTTATAGGTGAAGAAAATTCTCAAGAGAATGTATATTCAAACTATTTTTAAAGTAGCATTTACAAATTTAATTTATTCCTCTTACATTGGCTTTTAATTTTAAGCAGCAACATTTGAAGGGTGTTTGAATATACATCCCCATACATTGCTGCTGAAGACACCTGAGGATGTCATTTTATCGAGCACACTTGAGAGCCAAACTCTGTCCTGGGTGCTGGGGAACTCAGTAGTGACTCATACAGATGGGGTACCTTCCTTGCGGGGTCAGAGAGAAATGATAAACACACAATCTAACAAGTCCAAAAGAAGATTATCAGGTAGGTTTGAGCACCATGAAGATTGAAGTCTTTCAAAGCAGCTCCCCAGACAGTGTCTGGAGTTGAATCCAAGCATTCAGTAAGAGGCACATGTGGCGTAGAAGAAAACTTGGTATTCTGTAGGCAAAGGCCTGGAATTTCCTTCCAGGTGGTATGATGCAAAGCGTGGCCTGTTTCCCTTAGGAGGCCAGTTCCCATCAGTTCCTTGGCATTGAACCCATCCTTTCCACATCTTGCATCTCAACTGGCAGCTGAACAGATTCTGTGGGAATGTCAGGGTGGGGTACTGGGGAGGATGCCATCTTAGAGACTAAATACATAAAGGCTTGCCACATTTTACCACCACACTTTAACTAGCTTAAAGGTAATTTGAAGAGTTTCTTTTAGAAAATATAAAGTGAAAAAGCGTTGCCTGTTTCTAATCATTAAAGGCTTTCAACTCCAACAGCGAGGAAAAAGTCATTTTCAATGCATTTGTAAATGGAATGACCCAATCGGGAACAGCTACTCTTTTAACTACCCCTTATTTCCATTTCTTTGCTATCCTAATACACTTTCCTCCTCCCACGGACAATTGATGGGAAGTAATTACCTAAAATTGTCCTTATTCTTTATATATTTGTCTTTCCTATAAAATATTATCCAGGTATATCCTCAAGCCAGCTCATTCCCTTCACTTTGTACCTTGCTTACACAACTTTGCTCTGCAATTCGGTCCTCACCCAAAGCAACAGCAGATGAGTTATCAATCAGGGAAACACTTGAAGCCACATTCCAGTTGATCTTGTTGACACATTAGCCATTGTAATGGGGTGAATGGTGGTCTTCCCAAAACGTATGTCCACATCTTAAATCCCAGAACCTGTGACTGTGAACTCATTTGGGAAAAAAACAAGTCTTGGCAGATATGATTAAGCTAAGGATCTCAAGATGAAATTGTCTATTATCCAGTCACAAGTGTCCCTATAAGAGACACACAGAGAAGAGGAGGAGACAATGTCATGATGAAGGCAGAGATCGGAGTGATGTAGCCACAAGACTAGGAATGCCAATAGCTACCAGAAGCAGGAAGAGGCAAGAGACAGACTGTTGCTTCAGTCTTTGCCAACAACTTGATTTTGAACTTTTGGCCTCCAGGACTGCCAGAGAATAAATCTCTGTTGTTGTCAGCCACCAAGTGCGTGGTAATTTGTTATGGCAGCCCTAGAAACTAACACAGTCATTGTGAGTTATATAAACTCCACAAAGGCAGGGCATAAGTGATACCCTGGTGTGTGCATCCTACAAACAGAAACGACTGAATTGGTGTGATTTGATCAGGTCTGCTTGAGAATGGAGCAAAGTCAAAAAAGCATCTGTTACAGAAATTACAGAAATAGCCATATTTCTAGTATCTGTGTAGCATCTTAAGCCAAACAGGGATAGATATTTATCTTTCTCTATTAGAAGAAAAGAAAATGACAGATTTTTTTTGAGAGCCGTTCAGTTAGGTGACACCAGCCATATCACAAGGATTTGAATGCAAACCAGGAAATTAAATAAGCCGGTTAACACCTATGTCTTTCCTGGAAATGTTCCTCTCTTCCTTCATAGAAATGTTCTTATACATAAAACTCAATTTCTCAGCCCAGCGCTTAGTCCATCTCAGACTGATTAATCAGCACAAAAATGCTGTGTGGATTAACTGTTCCCTTCTTGCTGAAGAAAAAGCGACTTTCAAAATCTCTTGCATCTGAGCAGCCATAAATTTCTTGCATTGCCAGAGAACGGCACAGGCCAACTGCAGGGAGTGGGTTGTTTATTTCTCCAAATACTGATGAAAGGCTGTTGTTTCATGGTAATTCAGCTTCAAAATTTCTGGAGAAAAGATTCCCTCCCACCCCTCAGTAATAAAACAGTGTTGCTGGGAAGATGCAAAGACACTAAAAGAAACATTCATCAAGGTATAGATGCTCTGTCATGAAAACAAAATATGCCAAGCCAGTGTCACTGAATCTTAAGATGCTGTTTGATCTTCCCCTCCCTTCTTTGATGGTTGTGTCCGGGATAGGCTATGTTCTCAGTTAAAGGCGGCCTCCTGCCGACTGCTATAAAGAGACATATGTAATAAAATGAGAGTTCCTCCTTCCTCTCTCATTATTTTGGAACACAATTCAGTTCCACTCTGGGCTCTTGTAGAACCCCAAGACTTGTTTGGGGTTTAAAGATCAGGCAAATAACACAGCTCAAGAATTACCTTTGGAGGCACAGAATCCAGTCATCTTCTGTTAACCAGGTTCTGGTGGGGGCAGCAATAAAGTAGGATCTTGCTAAAGAAGCTCCAAGAAAGCCACCATTACTATGGTTTATTTTAAATGTTTATTATAATGTATACTCTCAGAATCTATTGATGAAGGTGATAGCACAGATTAATACCTTTACTACATTCTGAGGTTTTGACCTTATTGGAAGAAAACCCTCCTTAAAGCTAGTAGAACTAGACTCTGAAGCCAGCAGAATAACTTGAAGATATTTCAGGATTGAATGCAAGTGTTATACTCTCAGCAGAACCGCCCTAGGAAGCTAGCAATTTTGGAGAGGAATTCACACACTCAATACCATTTTAAAAATTCATTTATTCCATAATAAAAAATGGTCCACCCACCATTAAACAGAAGTACATGTGGACTATGAAAGGCCCAGAAAAGTGTAACATAAATTCCCATCTTCTATACTGTACAATCTATTAGAGAATAACTGGTGTACTTTCCAGGAAAGTTTTAAAACATTACTAAAGCGCCCACTAAGTAGCACCTAGTAATTGTCCAATAAGTAAAACATATAATAAATTATGTATTTATGGATACAAAAGTTGTGACAAGATGAGATGATTTGGTAAAGCAGAAGGAATCTGGGATTTGCTTCAGGCAACCTGAAATCACCTGTTTTTTTTTTTTTATTTTATTTTTTTTTTTTGCCTCTTACTACTCTAACTAGCTACTATAAGTCCAGGGCCAGTAGGTTAACAACTTCTGTGAGCTTCAACTTCATCAGAATGTCTATGCCAGAATCTTAAGGTATATGGCAAATTACAAACAGTGCATATGCAACATCTCACAGGTAATAGGTGCTCACATGTGGTGTTGCTTCGTTATTATTGCTTTTTCCCTCCTATAATTCACAATTTACTAAAAGGGAAGACCCAAATGGTTGGTAAATTCTGATGGATTATCTTAGGAAAAATAATTATAGCAATAAGGTATTCCAACAGAGGGCTGAATTGGCCAACAAGACTGCCAAGTTGCAGACTTACTTACCACAGATCTGGTGGTATTCATCACTGGACCCCCAGTTGAGGTCTCAGGGCCTTACATGGAAAACTCCTTACCCCAAATCCAGACTTTAAAATTCTATTCATAATAATAGTGAGAACTCTTCTAATTGGATTGGAAGTGATTTATAATAGCACTAAAAATAAAATTTCAAATTAAAACCCAAAAGGAACTATAGAAAGAAGAGGAAGCAAATATAGCAGCCTCCTTGGTTGATATGTTAATTATGGTTAAGCATTAAATTAGCTCTAAGCTTCCTGGCACCCAGGGGAACAATGGAAACACGGCAGGTTATATAATTTTCAGTGACTAATAAAAATGACCCAGGGAGTCTTCCTGGAGATTAAGTTCTAAGATTTAAAAGGTGTGACCATCAAGGAATAAGAATAAATTTGCAAGTTGCGTTCAAAAATATGCTTTATCTCTTTGTTTCA
The DNA here is from genome assembly GCF_000001405.40 of Homo sapiens. Taxonomy (NCBI): domain Eukaryota; kingdom Metazoa; phylum Chordata; class Mammalia; order Primates; family Hominidae; genus Homo; species Homo sapiens. The sequence goes on from NC_000020.11 coordinate 12,437,494, forward strand.
CAGTTGGGGCATCTAGCAACAGTTGGAGGTGAGGTAGAAAAATGTACACCGGGTGGATATAACCTTTAGGGCATATGACTCAGGAAGAAACCTGGGAAGATACAGATGTGTGTATCAGGGAATGAAAATAAATATGAACGGCATTAGCATATGTGAGATAAATGGAAAATGGAGGAAAAAACAGGGCAAGGAAATCTTTCTAGAGTGGCTTCTATGTAGAAGAGCTTCATAAAAGCATCCGATGTGAACAGCAGTAAAAATTCAGGAAATAAGATGAGGTTAAGGACATTGCCCTGGATGTTATATTTAAGTTAGAATGCCTAAGCTGGTTTTATAACAGAATGGATTGAGAAAAACCACTGGTTAAAGTCTGGGCGAATGCAAGAAAATTTTGACCCACTAATGTAGATAGATCTGAGCTCATCCAAGAAAGGAATCTTCTTCCTCAACGACCAAAGAAAGTGAGCAAAATAATTTTTGTCTTGGCCAAGAAATAGTGAGGGCCTAGGAGACTGGTTAATGCTTTAGTTCATATGCTAAAATTGCTTCCTATATTATAAACTATTTTGCCATTTAATAAGTAGAAATACGGTCTTAGAAAAGTAACAAGATGGTCAGATTTTTACAAGAAAAAATATATACGAAAAAAAAATCCCAAAGGAAAAATTGTGACTAATAATGTAACCCCATTGTTACATTGGGTAGAAATGGTGAAAAATCACCTAGTATGGAAGATGCACTATGAGGAAAAAGAAAACAAACCAATTAGGTGGTAGTCTCATTTAATTTTAGTTCTCATTTGTGAAAGGGTAAAGGTATCCCACATGAATGGATCCTCCTTTAAGACAGATTTCTACCTTGACTATTTATTGGAATCATCTGAAGAGCCTTGAAAGATTTATAAGGCAGATCCATCTCATTTTCTGGGATAGGATCTAAGCACCAGTATTCAGAAATTTCCCTAGGTGATTCCAGTGGGCAGCCGAGGCTGAGCTTTAAGGGGTTAACTAGTAAAGCAGAGAAGGATTACAAGGAAGGATAGGTAATGAAGAGTCTGGCTGACTGAAAATCACAATCGCCTCCAGAGGTGGAGTCTGTTTCCTCCTTCCTAGAATCTGGACTGGCCCTGTTATGTATTTTGGCCAACAGAATGTGCTAGAACTGACATGAAGTGAGTCTCAGGATAGCGTGTGTCTTCCACCTTTTGGAATATCCCTTTTACTATGTATGAAAGCCTGAGGGATGGGCACGGTGCCTCGTGCCTGTAATCCAAGCACTTTCGGAGGCAGAGGCAGGAGAATGGTTTGAAGCCAGGAGTTTCAGACCAGCTTAGGCAAAAAAAGTGAGACCCCATATCTATTAAAAATATACTTTTTAAAGTTAGCTGAGTATGGTGACGTATGCTTGTAGTCCCAGCTACTTAGGAGGCTAAGGCAGGAAGATCACTTCAGCCCAGGAGGTTGAGGCTGCAGTGAGCTAGGATCACATCACTGCACTCAAGCCTGGGTGACAGAGTGAGACCCTGTTTCCAAAATAAAAATCCTGAGGTGGATGATTGAATGAGAGACCACAGAGAGATGCTACACCAATAGTCAGCACTAACCTCCAGACGTGCAAATGGAATCATCTTGGACCATCCAATCACAGTCAAGCCCCCACCGTTAAGTCCCTAGCTAACACCTCATGAAACAGAGGCAACCCATTCCAACTGACCCTGGTCCAATTGCCCACCTCCAGAATTAAGACAAGTAATAAGTGATTGTTGTTGTAAGCCACTACATTTTGGGATAGTTTGTTATGCAGTAATCAATACAAAGATAGAAAGAGAACACAAAACAAAACAAAACTTCTTGAAGCTGGACTGTCAAACAAATCTGCAACAGCTAGCCTTCAGGATGGTCCTCAAAGATCTCCATGCCCTGGTATTCAAGTTCCTGTGTCATGCATTCAAACATTTTACTAGCATTGGTCTGTGTGACCAATAGAATATGGCATAGTTATGATATAAGACTTCTGAGGCTAGATCAGAAAACTCACGTGGCTTCTGCTTTGCTCTCTTTCTTGCACAAGGAAGCCAGCAACTATGTTATGAGGGTGCCATAGCCCCGTACAGGAAATCCTATATGGTGAGAACCTGTGTTATCCAGTCAACAGCCATGTGAGTGCACCATTTTGCAAACTTATTCTCCAGTCCCAGTCAAGCTTTCAGATGAATGCAGCTCTTGCCAAGATTCTGACTGCAACTCCATAAGAGACCTGAGCAAGAGTCACTCACCTAAGCTGCTCCCAAATTCCTTACCCACATAAGCTGTAAGAAAATAAATACTTTTTGTTGGTTTATTTTAAGTCACCAAATTTTAGGGTCATTTGTTATGCAACCATAAATAACCAATGCATAGCCTTTGTTTCTGAATGAATTGCACCTGGTGAAATAGGTCCAATGTGTAAGTACATGAGGAGGATGAGGAAAATTCAGTATCTAGAATTAAAGTTCAAGGTACGTGGTCAATAGCATTGTGGTGAAATAGATAAGCAGTGCTTTGTAACCTGGGGAAATGAAAAAGGGTGTCTCTCTTAGGAGTACAGAGCGAATGATAATCTTGTTTGGGAGCAGGATTCAGTCCTCTTTGAGGTGAAAATGTGCCACTACATGGGGATTCAGTACCTTCAGTTGTAAAGATTGGAAAACTGCAGGTTGGTAGACTGATCATTACACACATTTCCAGGGAACTGCAGAAACCACTTACAAGTGAGAAAAATCGTAGAAATTCATGTTAACAGGTGATAAAGAGAAATGCATTATTTCTGGAGCAAGTGCTAGCTAAGGACCAAAGTAACAAAAGAAAGAGAGTTGGGAAAATGAGGAGACAGCCTATGCAACAGAACCAGGCTGGAGAAAAAGAAAACAGAAGTCATAAATAAGGAAAATGAGTATGTAAGTGTATTTTTAAAGTTTTAGGAGAGTTTTTATTCTTTTTAAACTGCTGTAACTATAACCAAGCATGTCACAGTCCAATAATGGTGTCAATCTAAGAAAGAGGAATCACTATAGTAGCTATTGTCTTTAAGTCTAAAGTCCACCTGAACTTATGGTAATAAAAAATGATCAGAAAAATTTCTTCACTTGGCTTACTGAGCAATGTCTTTGCTCTTCCTTTTCTTTTAAATAACTTTTTATTATAGAAAAAAATTTAAATATGCAAAACTAGAGTGAATAATAATGAACCTCCATCTAATTAGTATCCACTATCAACAATTATCAAGCATTTCCACACCTCTACCATTGCGCATTCATACTCATACTCACTGCTCCTCCCATTTCATCCCATTTTAGACTGCTTTTATATAAATCTCAGTTATTGTATCATCTTAAATATGTCAGATAAGGACTCTATTTAAAACATAATCAAAATATCATTACTACCCCTGAAGAAATGATAATAATATCTTAACATTAGCCAATCACCAGGATTAAAATTTGTTTGATTGTTTAATATTTTTAAAACGTTTGTTTGTGCAAATCAAGATCCAAAGGTGGTCCTTATATTACATTTGTTGTGCTATATCTCTTAAGTCTCTTGCAATGTGTAGTTTCCTCATCATCTCTTTTGTTTCTTTGAAACACATCTTAAAGAAACTGGGAGTTTGACCAGTAGAATTCTTCATAGCAGCATTTTGATGATTGTTTCTTTAGGGTGTGTTTTAACACGTTCTTCTGTTTTCTGTAGTACCTGTACTTTTTTTAAAAATTTATTATTATTATACTTTAAGTTTTAGGGTACATGTGCACAATGTGCTGGTTAATTACATATGTATACATGTGCCATGCTGGTTACCTGTACTTTTTTAAATTTTCCTCTCTTTTTTTTTTTTTTTTTTTTCCAGACAGAGTCTCAGGCTGGAGTGCGGTGGCAGTGGCATAATCTCAACTCACTACAACCTCCCCATCCAGGGTTCAAGCGGTTCCTCTACCTCAGCCTCCTGAGTAGCTGGGACTACAGGTGCTTACCCTCATGCCCAGCTAATTTTTTTTTGTATTTTTAATATAGACAGGGTTTCACCATGTTGGCCAGGCTGGTCTCATCTCCTGGCCTCAAGCATCTTGGCCTCCCAAAGTGCTGGGATTACAGGCGTGAGCCAGTGTGCCCTGCCGCTTGTACATTTTTTTATTAGATCTAGGGTCATGATCAAATTCATGTTTGATATTTTTGACAAAAGTACTTCACAGGTGATATTTCTCTCTTCATGAGTGATCCAAAAATATCTGATTATCTTCCTTTTTGTTTTCAAAGGATATTAAATCTATAATTTGTTATAGATTATAAAATGGTAATATTCTAATTCTATAATTTCTCCAAAAAATTTTCTCATATCAACTCTTAGGATGCATAACAGTTTGTATAGCAAAGGTGGAATAAATGTTTATTTTTGTTTATCAATTTTCCAAACAATAGAAGCAATTTGTAAACAAATTGCTTCCTAGCATCTTCCAGATATGAAGACTACATTTATTGGTATTTTTAGGAACTCATAAATTTAAATATATTTGATGTTTTTCAGTTCATTTGAATTATTATTCACATTGATATTCAAACTGTTCCCCTACTGGCCAAACTGTTCCTTTGAAGTTAGTCTCTATATCCATTTGACATGATACAAATCATGTTTGATAACTTTTTTCCATTTGTTTTCTTTTTAACTTTTTATTTTGAAATAATTATAGACTCACATGAAGCTGAGAAAAAAAAAAACCCAAAGCTTTACCAGCTTCACACAGTAGTAACATCTTACATAGCTATAGTATATTATCTAAACCTGGAAATTGACATTGGCACAATGCAACTAATTAGACTATAGCACTTAATTGAATTTCACTACTGTACATATGCACTTGTGTGTGTGTGTGTGTGTGTGTGTGTGTGTGTGTTGTTCTATGACATTTTATTAAATGTATAGATTTGTATAACCACCAACACATTTTGTAACTTCTTTGCTTTCTGGTATAACATGAAATTCTACAAGTATCTTTTACATTTCCTGTCTTAGGCCTTAGGTCAGCCATTTCTTCAAGATGTCATGGTTAGTTATAGTGGGGCATGCTACGCAGAAACCATAGAATGGAGTCTATTTCCTTTCTAAAAACCCAATAAAAAATGGGTTTTTATTTCCTTTGGCTTGACCATGGTTTCTAGAACTGCTCAGTGGACAACGTTGTGGAAAACCTTAAAAACCACATACATCATGTCTTCTAATTGATAATTCCAAGTCAAATTCAGTATTATAGAGGTTTTACTTAATCTCAACAACATTATATTTCTATTTTCTTCATCCTGTGCCAAAAAAAAATCTCATTTCTCAATCCCATCAAGATAATTATCAATTCACTTTATTTTACAGGACTAACAGAACATTACCAGAGTAGTAATGCCATCGCTACTACCAAAACCATTATTATTTAAAACAGGCTAAGCTTTAAAAAATTGTTTTATTTGTACATAGGATAGATCCCAACAGTGATGTACAATTCAAAAGTTACTCTGAACAGTTCCTTTCTGTACAGTTACATTGGAAGCTTGATGCACAATTTGTTGCATTTGTTTTTTTTTTTTTTTTTTTTTTTTTTGCTTCTAGGGTTTTTTCTTTTAAATTATTATTATACTTTAAGTTTTAGGGTACATGTGCACCTTGTGCAGGTTAGTTACATATGTATACATGTGCCATGCTGGTGCACTGCACCCACTAACTCGTCATCCAGCATTAGGTATATCTCCCAATGCTATCCCTCCCCCCTCCCCCCACCCCACAACAGTCCCCAGAGTGTGATATTCCCCTTCCTGTGTCCATGTGATCTCATTGCTCAATTCCCACCTATGAGTGAGAATATGCGGTGTTTGGTTTTTTGTTCTTGTGATAGTTTACTGAGAATGATGATTTCCAATTTCATCCATGTCCCTACAAAGGACATGAACTCATCATTTTTATGGCTGCATAGTATTCCATGGTGTATATATGCCACATTTTCTTAATCCAGTCTATCATTGTTGGACATCTGGGTTGGTTCCAAGTGAATAATGCCACAATAAACATACGTGTGCATGTGTCTTTATAGCAGCATCATTTATAGTCCTTTGGGTATATACCCAGTAATGGGATGGCTGGGTCAAATGGTATTTCCAGTTCTAGATCCCTGAGGAATCGCCACACTGACTTCCACAATGGTTGAACTAGTTTACAGTCCCACCAACAGTGTAAAAGTGGTCCTATTTCTCCACATCCTCTCCAGCACCTGTTGTTTCCTGACTTTTTAATGATTGCCATTCTAACTGGTGTGAGATGGTATCTCATTGTGGTTTTGATTTGCATTTCTCTGATGGCCAGTGATGATGAGCATTTTTCCATGTGTTTTTTGGCTACAAAAATGTCTTCTTTTGAGAAGTGTCTGTTCATGTCCTTTGCCCACTTTTTGATGGGGTTGTTTGTTTTTTTCTTGTAAATTTGTTTGAGTTCATTGTAGATTCTGGATATTAGCCCTTTGTCAGATGAGTAGGTTGCGAAAATTTTCTCCCATTTTGTAGGTTGCCTGTTCACTCTGATGGTAGTTTCTTTTGCTGTGCAGAAGCTCTTGAGTTTAATTAGATCCCATTTGTCAATTTTGGCTTTTGTTGCCATTGCTTTTGGTGTTTTAGACATGAAGTCCTTGCCCATGCATATGTCCTGAATGGTAATGCCTAGGTTTTCTTCTAGGGTTTTTATGGTTTTGGGTCTAACGTTTAAGTGTTTAATCCATCTTGAATTGATTTTTGTATAAGGTGTAAGGAAGGGATCCAGTTTCAGCTTTCTACATATGGCTAGCCAGTTTTGCCAGCACCATTTATTAAATAGGGAATCCTTTCCCCATTGCTCGTTTTTCTCAGGTTTGTCAAAGATCAGATAGTTGTAGATACGCGGCGTTATTTCTGAGGGCTCTGTTCTGTTCCATTGATCTATATCTCTGTTTTGGTACCCGTACCATGCTGTTTTGGTTACTGTAGCCTTGTAGTATAGTTTGAAGTCAGGTAGCGTGATGCCTCCAGCTTTGTTCTTTTGGCTTAGGATTGACTTGGCGATGTGGGCTCTTTTTTGGTTCCATATGAACTTTAAAGTAGTTTTTTCCAATTCTGTGAAGAAAGGCATTGGTAGCTTGATGGGGATGGCATTGAATCTGTAAATTACCTTGGGCAGTATGGCCATTTTCACGATATTGATTCTTCCTACCCATGAGCATGGAATGTTCTTCCATTTGTTTGGATCCTCTTTTATTTCCTTGAGCAGTGGTTTATAGTTCTCCTTGAAGAGGTCCTTCACATCCCTTGTAAGTTGGATTCCTAGGTATTTTATTCTCTTTGAAGCAGTTGTGAATGGGAGTTCACTCATGATTTGGCTCTCTGTTTGTCTGTTATTGGTGTATAAGAATGCTTGTGATTTCTGCACATTGATTTTGTATCCTGAGACTTTGCTGAAGTTGCTTATCAGCTTAAGGAGATTTTGGGCTGAGACAATGGGGTTTTCTAGATATACAATCATGTTATCTGCAAACAGGGACAATTTGACTTCCTCTTTTCCTAATTGAATACCCTTTATTTCCTTCTCCTGCCTAATTGCCCTGGCCAGAACTTCCAACACTATGTTGAATAGAAGTGGTGAGAGAGGGCATCCCTGTCTTGTGCCAGTTTTCAAAGGGAATGCTTCCAGTTTTTGCCCATTCAGTATGATATTGGCTGTGGGTTTGTCATAGATAGCTCTTATTATTTTGAAATATGTCCCATCAATACCTAATTTATTGAGTTTTTAGCATGAAGGGTTGTTGAATTTTGTCAAAGGCTTTTTCTGCATCTATTGAGATAATCATGTGGTTTTTGTCTTTGGCTCTGTTTATATGCTGGATTACATTTATTGATTTGCGTATATTGAACCAGCCTTGCATCCCAGGGATGAAGCCCACTTGATCATGGTGGATAAGCTTTTTGATGTGCTGCTGGATTTGGTTTGCCAGTATTTTATTGAGGATTTTTGCATGAATGTTCATCAAGTATATTGGTCTAAAATTCTCTTTTTTGGTTGTGTCTCTGCCTGGCTTTGGTATCAGAATGATGCCGGCCTCATAAAATGAGTTAGGGAGGATTCCCTCTTTTTATATTGATTGGAATAGTTTCAGAAGGAATGGTACCAGCTCCTCCTTGTACCTCTGGTAGAATTCGGCTGTGAATCCATCTGGTCCTGGACTCTTTTTGGTTGGTAAACTATTGATTTTTGCCACAATTTCCGCTCCTGTTATTGGTCTATTCAGAGATTCAACTTCTTCCTGGTTTAGTCTTGGGAGAGTGTATGTGTTGAGGAATTTATCCATTTCTTCTAGATTTTCTAGTTTATTTGCCTAGAGGTGTTTGTAGTATTCTCTGATGGTAGTTTGTATTTCTGTGGGATCGGTGGTGATATCCCCTTTATCATTTTTTATTGCGTCTATTTGATTAATCTCTCTTTTCTTCTTTATTAGTCTTGCTAGTGGTCTATCAATTTTGTTGATCCTTTCAAAAAACCAGCTCCTGGATTCATTAATTTTTTGAAGGGTTTTTTGTGTCTCTATTTCCTTCAGTTCTGCTCTCATTTTAGTTATTTCTTGCCTTCTGATAGCTTTTGAATGTGTTTGCTCTTGCTTTTCTAGTTCTTTTAATTGTGATGTTAGGGTGTCAATTTTGGATCTTTCCTGCTTTCTCTTGTGGGCATTTAGTGCTATAAATTTCCCTCTACACACTGCTTTGAATGCGTCCCAGAGATTCTGGTATGTTGTGTCTTTGTTCTCCTTGGTTTCAAAGAACATCTTTATTTCTGCCTTCATTTCGTTATGTACCCAGTAGTCATTCAGGAGCAGGTTGTTCAGTTTCCATGTAGTTGAGCGGTTTTGAGTGAGATTCTTAATCCTGAGTTCTAGTTTGATTGCACTGTGGTCTGAGAGATAGTTTGTTATAATTTCTGTTGTTTTACATTTGCTGAGGAGAGCTTTACTTCCAAGTATGTGGTCAATTTTGGAATAGGTGTGGTGTGCTGCTGAAAAAAATGTATATTCTGTTGATTTGGGGTGGAGAGTTCTGTAGATGTCTATTAGGTCTGCTTGGTGCAGAGCTGAGTTCAATTCCTGAGTATCCTTGTTGACTTTCAGTCTCATTGATCTGTCTAATGTTGACAGTGGGTTGTTACAGTCTCCCATTATTAATGTGTAGGAGTCTAAGTCTCTTTGTAGGTCACTCAGGACTTGCTTTATGAATCTGGGTGCTCCTGTATTGGGTGCATATATATTTAGGATAGTTAGCTCTTCTTGTTGAATTGGCCATTACATAATGGTAAAGGGATCTTCTTTGTGTCTTTTGATCTTGGTTGGTTTAAAGTCTGTTTTATCAGAGACTAGGATTGCAACCCCTGCCTTTTTTTGTTTTCCATTTGCTTGGTAGATCTTCCTCCATTCTTTTATTTTAAGCCTATGTGTGTCTCCGCACGTGAGATGGGTTTCCTGAATACAGCACACTGATGGGTCTTGACTCTTTATCCAATTTGCCAGTCTGTGTCTTTTAATTGGAGCATTTAGTCCATTTACATTTAAAGTTAATATTGTTATGTGTGAATTTGATCCTGTCATTATGATGTTAGCTGGTTATTTTACTCGTCAGTTGATGCAGTTTCTTCCTAGTCTCGATGGTCTTTACATTTTGGCATGATTTTGCAGCGGCTGGTACCGGTTGTTCCTTTCCATGTTTAGCGCTTCCTTCAGGAGCTCTTTTACGGCAGGCCTGGTGGTGACAAAATCTCTCAGCATTTGCTTGTCTGTAAAGTATTTTATTTCTCCTTCACTTATGAAGCTTAGTTTGGCTGGATATGAAATTCTGGGTTGAAAATTCTTTTCTTTAAGAATGTTGAATATTGGCCCCCACTCTCTTCTGGCTTGTAGGGTTTCTGCCGAGAGATCCGTTGTTAGTCTGATGGGCTTCCCTTTGAGGGTAGCCTTTCTCTCTGGCTGCCCTTAACATTTTTTCCTTCATTTCAACTTTGGTGAATCGGACAATTATGTGTCTTGGAGTTGCTCTTCTCGAGTAGTATCTTTGTGGCATTCTCTGTATTTCCTGAATCTGAACGTTGGCCTGCCTTGCTAGATTGGGGAAGTTCTCCTGGATAATATCCTGCAGCGTGTTTTCCAACTTGGTTCCATTCTCCCCATCACTTTCAGGTACACCAATCAGACGTAGATTTGGTCTTTTCACATAGTCCCATATTTCTTGGAGGCTTCACTCATTTCTTTTTATTCTTTTTTCTCTAAACTTCCCTTCTCACTTCATTTCATTCATTTCACCTTCCATTGCTGATACCCTTTCTTCCAGTTGATCGCATCGGCTCCTGAGGCTTCTGCATTCTTCACGTAGTTCTTGAGCCTGGTTTTCAGCTCCATCAGCTCCTTTAAGCACTTCTCTGTATTGGTTATTCTAGTTATACATTCTTCTAAATTTTTTTCAAAATTTTCAACTTCTTTGCCTTTGGTTTGAATGTCCTCCCGTAGCTCAGAGTAATTTGATCGTCTGAAGCCTTCTTCTCTCAGCTCGTCAAAGTCATTCTCCATCCAGCTTTGTTCCGTTGCTGGTGAGGAACTGTGTTCCTTTGGAGGAGGAGAGGCGCTCTGCTTTTTAGAGTTTCCAGTTTTTCTTTTCTGTTTTTTCCCCATCTTTGTGGTTTTATCTACTTTTGGTCTTTGATGATGGTGATGTACAGATGGGTTTCTGGTGTGGATGTCCTTTCTGTTTGTTAGTTTTCCTTCTAACAGACAGGACCCTCAGCTGCAGGTCTGTTGGAATACCCTGCCTTGTGAGGTGTCAGTGTGCCCCTGCTGGGGGGTGCCTCCCAGTTAGGCTGCTCGGGGGTCAGGGGTCAGGGACCCACTTGAGGAGGCAGTCTGCCCGTTCTCAGATATCCAGCTGCGTGCTGGGAGAACCACTGCTCTCTTCAAAGCTGTCAGACAGGGACATTTAAGTCCACAGAGGTTACTGCTGTCTTTTTGTTTGTCTGTGCCCTGCCCCCAGAGGTGGAGCCTACAGAGGCAGGCAGGCCTCCTTGAGCTGTGGTGGGCTCCACCCAGTTCGAGCTTCCTGGCTGCTTTGTTTACCTAACCAAGCCTGGGCAATGGCGGGCGCCCCTCCCCCAGCCTCACTGCAGCCTTGCAGTTTGATCTCAGACTGCTGTGCTAGCAATCAGGGAGACTCCGTGGCATAGGACCCTCCGAGCCAGGTGCGGGGTATAATCTCATGGTGCGCCGTTTTTTAAGCCTGCTGGAAAGCGCAGTATTTGGGTGGGAGTGACCCGATTTTCAAGGTGCGTCTGTCACCCCTTTCTTTGACTTGGAAGGGGAACTCCCTGACCCCTTGCACTTCCCGAGTGAGGCAATGCCTCGCCCTGCTTCGGCTCGCGCACGGTGTGCGCACCCACTGACCTGCGCCCACTGTCTGGCACTCCCTAGTGAGTTGAACCCGGTACCTCAGATGGAAATGCAGAAATCACCGTCTTCTGCGTCGCTTACACTGGGAGCTGTAGACCAAAGCTGTTCCTATTCGGCCATCTTGGCTCCCCCCCCCGCATTTGTTTTATTTTACTTTCAAATTGTGGAAACTGCTTGTAAGTCTCAATTGCATTTAATAGAAATGTAAAATACTTACCTAATTACAAAGCCAATTTATAAAATAAGGTATATGCAGAGTGATATGGTTTGACTATGTCCCCACCCAAATCTCATCTTGAATTCCCACATGTTGTGGGGGGGCCCTGGTGGGAGGTAGTTGAATGATGGGGGCAGGTCTTTCCCATGGTTTTCTCGTGATAGTGAATAAGTCTCATGAGACCTGATGGTTTTAAAAATGGGACTTTCCCTGCACAAGCTCTCTCTGCCTGCTGCCATCCATGTGAGATGTGACTTGTTCCTGCTTGACTTTCACCATTGAGGCTTCCCCAGCCACATAGAACTGTAAGTCCGTTAAAACTCTTTCTTTTGCAAATTGCCAAGTCTTGGGTATGTCTTTATCAGCAGTGTGAAAAGTGACTAATTACCAGTATAGTGGGGTGCTGCTGTAGATACCCGAAAATGTGGAAGCAACTTTGGAACTGGGTAACAGGTAGAGTTTGGAACAGTTTGGAGGGATCGGAAGAAGACAGGAAAATGTGGGAAAGTTCGGAGCTTCCTAGAGACTTGTTGAATGACTTTGACAAAAATGATGATTATAAAATGGACAATAAAATCCAGGCTGAGGTGGGTTCAGTTGGAGATAAGGAACTTGTTGGGAACTGGAGCAAAGATGACTCTTGTTATGTTTTATCAAACAGACTGGTGGCATTTTGCCCATGCCCTAGAGATTTGTGGAACTTTGAGCTTGAGACAGATGTTTTAGGATATCTGGCAGAAGAAATTTCTAAGAAGCAAAACATTCAAGAGGAGACATGGGTGCTGTTAAAGGCATTCAGTTTTATAAGCAAAACAGAGCAGAAAAGTTCAGAAAATTTGAAGCCTGATGATGTAGTAAAAAAGAATATTCCGGCCGGGCGCGGTGGCTCACGCCTGTAATCCCAGCACTTTGGGAGGCCGAGGCGGGCGGATCACGAGGTCAGGAGATCGAGACCATCCTGGCTAAAATGGTGAAACCCTGTCTCTACTAAAAATACAAAAAAATTAGCCGGGTGTAGTGGCGGGCGCCTGTAGTCCCAGCTACTTGGGAGGCTGAGGCAGGAGAATGGCGTGAACCCGGGAGGCGGAGCTTGCAGTGAGCCGAGATCCCACCACTGCACTCCAGCCTGGGCGACAGAGCGAGACTCCATCTCAAAAAAAAAAAAAAAAAAAAAAAAAAAATTCCATATTCTGAGGAGAAATTCAAGCTGGCTGCAGAAATTTGCATAAGTAATGAGGAGCAGAATGTTAATCCTCAAGACAATGGGGAAAATATCTCCAGGTCATGTCAGAGACCTTCATGGTAGACCTTACCATCACAGGCCCCAGAGGCCTAGGAGGAAGAAGTGGGTTTGTCGGCCAGGCCCAGGGTCCCTGTACTATATGCAGTCTAGGGACTTGGTGCCCTGCATCCCAGATGCTCCAGCACCAAAGGGACCAATGGCTAAAAGGGGCCAAGAGCTAGAGCTGTGGTTTCAGAGGGTGCAAGCCCCAAGCCTTGGCAGCTTTCATGTGGTGTTGAGCCTGTGAGTGCGTAGAAGTCAAAAATTGGGGTTTGGGAACCTTTGCCTAGGTTTCTGAAGATGTATGGAAATGCCTGGATGCCCAGGCAGAATTTTGCTGCAGGGGTGGGGCCCTCATGGAGAACCTCTGCTAGGGCAGTGTGGAAGGAAAATGTGGGGTCAGAGCCCCCACACAGTGTCCCTAGTGGGGCACTGCCTAGTGGAGCTGTGAGATGAGGGCCACCATCCTCCAAACCCCAGAATGTTAGAAGCACTGACAGCTTGTACTGTGCACCTGGAAAAGCTGCAGACACTCAACACCAGCCCATGGAAGCAGCTAGGAGGGAGGCTGTACCTTGCAAAACCACAGTGGCAGAGCTGCCCAAGACCATGGAAATCCACCTCTTGCATCGACATGACCTGAATGTGAGACATGGAGTCAAAGAGGTCACTGTGGAGCTTTAAGATTTGACTGCCCTGCTGGATTTTGGACTTGCATGGGGCCTATATCCCCTTTGTTTTGGCCAATTCCTCCCATTTGGAATGGCTGTATTTACCAATGCCTGTACTCCCATTGTATCTACGAAGTAACTAAGCTGTTTTTGATTTTACAGGCTTATAGGTGGAAGGGACTTGCCTTGTTTCAGATGAGACTTAGGCTGCGGACTTTTGAGTTAATGCTGAAATGAGTTAAGACGTTGGGGGACTGTTGGGAAGGCATTACTGGTTTTGAAATTTGAGGACATGAGATTTGGGAGGGCCCAGGGGTGGAATGACATGGTTTGGTTGTGTCTCCACCCAAATCTCATCTTGAATTCTCACACGTTGTGGGAGGGACCCTGTGAGACATAGTTGAATCACGGGGGCAGATCTTTCCCATGGTTTTCTCGTGATAGTGAATAAATCTCAAAAGACCAGATGGTTTTAGAAATGGGAGTTTCCCTGCACAAGCTCTCTCTTTGCTTGCTGCCATTCATGTAAGATGTGACTTGTATGTACTTCCCTGCCTTCCACCATGATTGTGAGGCTCCTCCAGCCACGTGGAACTGTAGGTCCATTAAACCTCTTTCTTTTGCAGATTGCCCAGTCTCAGGTATGTCTTTATCAGCAGCATGAAAAAAAACTAATACACAGAGTAGTCTGGTTTCTATCTCTTTTCCAAAATACTGTTCGTTCACTATTTGTATTTGTAGTATATGGCATTCTCTCTCTCTCCACACACCTCCTCACACCTATACATACATACTGATACATATACATACATATGTGTATATATATTTATATATTCTAATATCTTTAATACCTCCATACATCTTTACAATATATTTAGACTCCACGTTTTAAAAAATTGTCCATTATTTCCTAACTCTAAGCAACTTTGAATTTAACTAGCTATATTTTATTCCCATGGGGCTCCTTTTAATATAGGGCCTTTATTCAAAGTTTAATAACATAACATCAGCCTGCCCTGTTAGTTCCTTAGTTGTAAAAGTCTAGGCTTTGCATGTCTGTCTCCATTACTGTTTTGTTCAAGTGTTTTTCTTTGTTACTTTCAATAATAGATAGATTATACAGGCATTATTTGTCAACCATCATTTCTAAAATGGAAGCTGAACCTCAAAATATGCCAAGGAATTTATTAAGAGATAAAATAATAGATAAGTATTATCTATGATAATACTATAAAAAAGAGAGAAATTGTGAATGTACAGTGAAACTAAATAATTTCAATGAAGGATGCTAATATGAAGATTTCAAACAAATTGTCAATTATTTCTGTAAAAACTACTAACAAAAGGAGCCTGAAGTTACCAGGTAGAGTGGAGAAGACAGAAATACTGAAAAATGTTCTGTAACTATTAAGTAGAGGATACTGAGCCAAAATAAACAAACAGTAATTCACCAAAATAAGGTCATGAGCTTCATGAGCTTCATAATTTTATTGCAAGACATGAGTCTTTGTAATTTTTTTTTTTTTTTTTTTTACCCAGAAGGGGTAACTTCTAAATGCTGAGAGGTAACACTGTTGAATTCCTTACCTCACTTTCCAGACATTCTCAAAATTGTTTTGAGACTAATGGCCTTCTCTTAAAGTAGACTTCAAGAGCCAACTTCTAAGAGGGTATATGTGAATAAATACACAATAACAAGAAGTGAAATCATAAAAAAGGAAGGGAAGAAAGATAAAAAACCAAAAAGTAGTTACAGGAATATGCGTCAAAGGAGGAATTAATTTGGCTAGCAGAACACTTAAAATAAATATTTATTTATACATTAGAAAAAGTAACGCAGTTAGTTACTACTGGAAAAACAATATTAGATGCCAGACCATATATACTCAAAGCCTGTGCTTTCACCTGTCATGTAATTCTGCTAAATAAATCTGAAAAAAAGGAAGAAACAAAGACACAGAACTGAATGCGTTAAGAAATAGAAAATGTGCAAAATACATACATTCAAAGATTGTTTCTTTGAACAAATTAATTAGACATATTAAACACTAACATAAAATAGGGAAAAAATAAAAATGCCAACAATCTAAATTCAAAATAAGAACAAAGAATTAGCCAAAAGTTAGATGACATTAAGAAATAGTTTCCTCAACTATATAAATAAGTTTGAATGTCTGATTGAACTGTAAAATATAAATTATTACAATTTGATTCAAGATACATAGAAAATCTTAAGTAGACCAGCAGCCATAAGTTAAAGGTAAACAGTTGCGAATGTATTCTATAATATGCCTCTAGAAAAAAAAAAATGTAATTCCCAGATAGTTTCACAGGTTCAATTCTACCAATATTTCAAGGAGTATTTAAATCCAATTTTATTTAAATGGTTTCATAGAATATAGAAAAAAGAAAGGCTTCCAAATATTTTTAGGATAGTATACATGCCACCACCTTGAAAAAATAAAATGGATAAAAATAACACATAGAACCATACAATTTCACACCAAAATCCAGTCTATTCGCAATACAAAGCAAGTACTCTCTTGAAAAGCAGAGATTATTGCTTTTAAAACAGTGTTCCTCTCCTCTTACAGATTATTGCTTTTAAAACAGTGTTCCTCTCCTCTTACCAGATATCCCCAACAGACCCCTGTAAAACCCAGTCTTTTAGAGTAGCTGACAAGGCCCTTTGTGACCTGCTCACTCCATTCTAGCCAGATGCAGGTACCCTCATATCTTAGGTATTTTGTCCTTTGGCGCTTCCTCTGGAAGAACTTTTCCTCATGTATCTTCCTGGCTAATGCCCTCCTTCAAGTCTTTGTCAAATCTCACCTTTTATAAATGAGGTCTACCCTAATCACTCCTAATCATTCTATCTAAATTAGCAACCAGTTCCCATACCCTCCTGGATCTCTCTTCTCTGCATCATCTGTTTGTTTCTGATAGCAGTGATCACTTTGCACCATGTTACATAAATGACTGAACTATTGTTGGTCTTTGTTTGTCTAGCCGTACCAGAATGTAAGTTCCAGAAAGTGAAGCCACTTTTATCTGTTTTGTTTGTTGATGTATTCCGAACACCTAGAAATAGTGCTGGAACATGATAAACTCATTATGTATTTATCAAATTAATTGGTTGATTTAAAAAATTGCATTCCTACTATTTTCTTTGTTCTCTCTTTTTGGAAACTACTATTATTTATATATTGAACCTCTTGGATTGAGTGACTAATTTTCCTGTCTTTTAAAAAAATTTTATATTTTTCTTCTGGTTCTACTCTGAAATTCTTCTTAAACTTTCTCCTCTAGTATTTGAATATGTTTCTTTTTCTCATTTCTGCTCTAATGGTTTTAATTTTCAAGGACTGTATAGTGCTTTCTGATTTTTCTTCTTCATATAGTGTTCTGTTCCTATTTCCTGGATGTCATATCTTCCTTAATCTTTCTGAATAATATGCTAAATAATCTTTCTGAATAATATGCTAAATGTGGGATTTTAGGGGGAGCTTTTTTTCCCTCCCATTTTATAATTATAGAAACAAAAAAGGAACTGATAACAGTGAAATCCTATTGGAAGTAGGAGCTAGGGGAGGGAAGTCTTTCATTTTTCATTTTATATCTTTTAGTACTACTTTAATCTCTTGCATTATGAATGTATTACTTTTATAATTATATTATTGATAATAATAATGAGAAGGTAGAGGTGAAGGAAGAAGAAAAGTCATTAATTAGATAAGCACTGTGACCTTTGACCAATGCCTTTATAATATTTATGCAAGAAAAGAAATACTCTTACCTATGGGCATAATACCTACAAATACATAATACATACAAGGAATACCTATCAGCATAGATCCAGACAGAATTCAAGTTTCATCAGGCAACTTAATGCCCCTCTGCATTCTATAGTAGTTCTTCAATGAATAATTTAGCGTGCCTGTAATGAGTTCTACTAACTGATGTGTCTATTCATCCTTATATATTGCAGAGTAGGACTATGGTGAAGGATTTTAATGTGATCTGGAATTTTATTCATCTGTAGTTATGCTACTTGTGTCTTGCATGGCAATGTAGGCTATCTTTAGCCTACTGTGCAGCAATCTAAAGGTTAAACCTTCAGTTATCCTTATTTGGTAGTTTCCACTTTGGCTCCCAGCCTGTTTGCTGTTTGACTATTGGGCCCCACCTATGTGCTTGCATAAACCTTAAGTGTTTTCTTTGCAAACATGAGCTGGGAGGCTGAGCCATCATTTCCAGAGAAGGTGACTTAAGCTTTATATCCAAGTTTGGACAGTTTGGGCCAACCTCACATGTATCATGTTTGGGACAATTTAGGGTAGACATTCCTGGCCTAAACCCATATTCCTATGCCAGTTTCCTTAAGCAGATACTATGAAGGCCCCATATTATGAGCAGAAGGCTACCCCATAGGTAGCCTGCTTTTGCAATTCTCCATCTACCTGATGGGCCCTGAAAGAGGACTGGTCATGCAGCATCAAGAGCTGGCCATCCTAATGCATGAAGCCCTTTCACTGGAGCCCTTTTCTTATGGAATGGCTATTATTCATTCACCATGGTGTGTCTGAAATGAAAGCATGTACGAACTTCTTGCAGATTCTTTTAATGATAAACTCCAATGTCCTCAGGAAGAAAACTGGGAGAAGCCACTTTGGAGGAACCAGAGGAGAGGCCTGCAAATTACAGGCAGTTCTATGCTGCATTGTGCTAAAGTTGCTGGAGGACACAGAACATGTGTTTTACAGATGCTTAAATTATTGTTCACTATTATAAAAGTGAGTTTTATTCTCTTTGTTTCTCTAATTCAGAGGAAGAAGATAAGTAAAGTGTCTAATTCAGAGTTAGACGAAAAGCAAAGGGTCCATCAAAATGATGGCATTGTTTTTATTTAGGATGAAGTAAGAAGTGAGAAGTCCAGAGACATAAATTTGGGGTTTCTTGAATTGTAACTGGGTTCACAGAGGAACAGTGATGAGGTTTGATTCCCATAAGCTTCAAAGAGAAGATTATGAGAACCAAAAAATAAAATTAAATACTAAAAGATGGTACAAAGCACCATTCATTGCTTGAAAAGGGCTGAGTGATATATGGCATCTCAACTTAGAGGTAATGGTTTGAGTCGGTTATTTCTACTCTATCAGGAAAAGAGAGAAAGAGACGAAAAAAGAGAAAAATAAAAATTCTCACATGTGATTTATTTTTGTGTTAAAATTGGGGAAAAACAATCTTTGAAATTGTTTATTTAACTCAATGGTGGATATAATTATTTAGAGATGTTGACAATAAAAAATAGTTGTACATTGGACTATCAGGGCTTTGTAATGATAGCTAGCATATCCTAAATACATTAGATTTTATTTTACGCATTATCACAATGATACCTAACATCCTTGTGAGGAAAAAACATATTCCTCAAAAAAAAAAAATCTTAATTTTCACAAAACATTTAGAACCTTTGGTAAATTAGGTCAATAAAGTTACTGGGTCCCACTTTGATTGGCTTATGACAGTCTCAGTCTGAATGACTGAACCTCCTTGAAAGGCATCCTCAGATTAATAATAAGAAGAATTTCCTAGTGGCAGAGCTCATTAGTGAGTTAGCCTTCTTCAACTGGGAGAAGACTTTAGATCAAGCCATTGGAATAGGGTGAAAACAAAGAAACAAAGCTTTCCCCTGCCAACCATGATAAAAAGCATTTTTGAAAATATTTGAATACATGGTTATAAAAAAGACATTTGTAGTTGTTGTTTGTAATAATTTATTAAAGCAACACACACAGTGGAAAATTAATCTCTCAGTTTGACTTTTTATGAATTTGTGTATGTGTGGATGGATAGATAGATAGACAGACAGACAGACAGATAGATGCAGATACACACTTTCTTTGTTTCTGCCCTCAGTGTGAAGGGACAGGGGTATGTTGAATAATTCTTACTGATGCAAAATTTAATTGCTCTTCTGCTTTCTTACAGTTATTGGGATTTGTGGACTAGATAGAAGAAGGAAACCTAGAACTTGCCAATGTCTAGATTCTTCTCAGTTGCTAAAGGATAGGTTCCTTTGTCCAACTCATCACCTCAGTGAGGTGGGGATGTGCAAGTTGATGATTGTATAATATAATGCTTCTCTAGGGCACAGTCAGAGGGATGCTAGGAGGACCCTAGGGGTATCTCAGGTGATCCAGAGGAAGTTTGGCAAGTTCACAAGAAAAAGTGACATAATTGTTTGGCTTATGCACAGTTCATAAGTGTGAAATGTTAGATTATTTTAAATTTTCACAGAAATTCTGCATGCATTTCACATTTTTCTCAAAGGTTTTGCATGTACTTAAAAAACTGAGTTGGTCAGTATACTTTGACTAACATTACATTAATAGAATGGTTCATCTTGACAATGCTATTTTCAACATCCAAGCAGCAAAATCAGATGCTTATGTATTGTTTTCATTTGTTAAATAGTCTTTGTTCTTACTAGTGTGTACTGTTATATCCCCAATTGACACAAATGAATAGATGACTCAGAAATACTTCATTGGAGATAATAGTGCTATTAAAAACAAATAAAAGGATTATATTAAGATGATGTTATGATATAAATAGTAAATAGATCTTCAGTATGAGTACAGAATGTGACTGTATATATGTATTGATAATTTCACATAGCTAAAAATTAAGAGTGCAAATAGGAAATATAATTGTTAATATCAAAAATTAAGATGTTTTTATTGTATGGCTGAGGTTTCATCTCCAAATATGCCTGCTGTGAAACTTTTGAAAGTATTTTATGAAGCCTTCTAGATTTTCATGTCATTTTTAAATTCATAAATGAAACATGCACTTATTTATCAGAACAAATGCAAATTAGTAAATCAGGACCAAATGGAAAATTTTATCTCTGAAGTCAAAGAAGAGATAAAAATGAGAGGTGCATAATTACAAGTTTTTTCTCTATAGCAGAAACCAATATAAATCTTATTTCACCAAAGTGCTTGCAACAGTCAACCAAAATTAATGTCAAGTAAAAGAGCACAGAAAGAAAGGTGATTATGTCATTGCCAAAATAAGCCATTACCATAATTCCTTTATCCATTATATTGTTGGATATTCCTTTATAACAGTAGGCAGTTATGATTAATACAATTCCAATTTGACCCAAAGCCTCACCTAAGGAGTTCTTCTAGTCTATCCTCAGGATGACTACCATGTCACATTTTGTGTGTTCATCTACCTCTTACAATCACAAAGTCAGCATATTACAGGAACTGGTTGGGTAACCTGGTTAAATTTGTCTTCATCAACTCAGTCCTCCCTTTGAGGTAACTATAATTCTGGTTATTTTTTTTTCCAAGTGAGTGAAAATTATATTATACCTTTGTGATCAAAACTATGCAAGAATCTTTTTTTTTTAAGTTCATTTTTGTAGATACCAATTGGGATTAGAGTGCTCTGTCTTTTCCCCTGTCCTTGCATATTGGATTCCAGGCAAAATTCAATTTATTTGGTTAGTTATGTCTATTTATCTTAAAATATTACTTGAGTATTCTCATGTATTTTAATGTTCATTGCTCTCTGCCCCATTATATTTACTCTGTAACTACTGTGGATATGCTAACAGGTGTTGTACCTTACAGCTGGATGAAACCAGAGGTTGTGTAGTGTGTGAATCAGTTCTTAGTATAGGAGAAAGTCTCAACAAAGGGAGAAATGTATAATTTTTTGTTTTGTTATATGCTAAAAATTCAAACTGGAAAAGAAGATAATTTCTATTTAACTTATTATTGTTTTGTGAGCATTCATATAGACTAGAAAAAAATTTATTCTCATAAATGCTAATACTAAGACCCACTAAACGTGCAATAAAGATTAGTGTTGCAGTGCAGATGAAATTGGCTCCACCTATACTCTCAGCCACACAGTGATTTATTCATAGAGAACAGTTAGCAGCCAACAATTTCCCTCTTAGTCTCAGTTTGGAGTGGAGAAAAAGGTACAAATTGTGACTGTAACTAAATGGTCATCAGTGAATACAGATAGAACAAGACTCTACTTTTTCATACTGAAGTTTTGAGTTTCAATAAAAACGGTAAGCACGTGAGTATTTGAAAAGAGGCTTGAAATGAAAGCATTTCCTCATAACCTAGACCAAAACAAAGACATCATTTTTATGACTTCCAGTACTTCCTTCCAGAAATATAATCCTAGAAATGTTAGGGCCTTTAGAAATATAAACATGTCACCCCAGGTCCAACATCCCACAATTCTAAAATGGAAGAATAGAAAATGTCAGGATTTCTTAAAGTCTACATTTTGGTACTATGACTCAATTATTAAAACAAAAGTTTTGTTTTTCAACGACTAACAATTTTCTTAACTTCTTGGTCAAGAAGGAAATACATGTTTACATTTTATATAATAACTTGATTGTTGAAAATTTGCCTTTTTGCCAATTTTATAAATTTTATTTACTTTTGTAAAAGAATTTGTTGGCCCAAAAGATGAAAGAGAATATAAAAACAAAAGAAAAACTAATAATACTTTTCAAGTCTTAATGCAAACAGTATAAGAATGAAGAATGCATTTTCAAGATGAAATATGTAGCCTTGCCCGCTTCGAAGGGGATGTAACTATCGACTCAGCACCCAACAGCACTGAAAGTTATCTTCACTGAGATCCACCACTATATTTTGAGTCCATATTCAAATGAGAACCCAGATATCTGGTATTCAAATAAGATACGACAGATATCTGGTATATCTCATTTGAACATGGACTCGAAACATACTGCCATCATTTTTGAACATGGACTCGAAACATACTGCCATCATTTGTGATACATAAGTATGGGTTAGGATTTTCTACTTTTGTTTAAAGTACGTATAGTAGTGAAAAAGAGAACGAAGTTGACAAATGAGTACCTATTTCTCAGGTTTTCTATTATCAATATAAGTGCAAAAATGTTGGTAAAAGTTTACAAGAATTTTTTTACTCTCAATATGAAACCATTATAATTGAACTTGAAATTATTTATGTTAAGTGGCTTTTTTATATTTAGAAGTATAAAGCTTTTTAAATATGAAAATTTTGGGTCCATATACATTCTGAATAATCATTAAATGCTCTATTAATGTAAAAAATTGACAATATTATTCTTACAAATATTCAATCACTTAAGCACAATAAAAATAATAATCATCATACTAATTATACTAATTGTCACTATTTAAATATGGAAAGTCAAGTAGTTTTATTTTAGTTATCTAAATTTATTAATCAAAGTAATGTACTCTTTATGAATTAAGACAAAAATCAGAGAATTAGGACTGTAGACTCAGGTGCCAGTAAATTTTTAGAAAATGAAATATTGTGTTTAAAATGAATACTGACCCTTATTGAGATATGTTAGTGTAATGAACACTTGACTCCCACTTTTTGTATTCCAGCTACTGCCCAAATAACCCATTCTTGACATTCACCCATTTCAACCACATTCATTCATTCTCTTATTTGTACATATAACACTTACCGATAGTAGCCATCCTAACAGAGATTATAATTCATTTTGGTTTTGATTTGCATTTCTCTGACGGTTAGTGATGTTGGGCACATCTTCATATACTTGGTGTCCATTTTTACTTTTCTTTGGACACATATCTATCCACGTCCTTGTTTTTAAAAACGGATTTTTTTTTGGTATTGAATTGTAGCACTTTCTTACATATTTTAGGTATTAATCCCTTATTAGATAAATGGTCTTCAAATATTTTCTGCCATTGCACAGGTTAACTTTTCACTCTGGTGATTGCTTTCTTTGCTACATAGGAGCTGTTTTTCACTTGATGTAGTTCCATTCATCTGTTTTTGCTTTTGTTGTCATACTCAAGCAGTCACTCTCCATGCAGGAGTCAAGAAGCTCTTCCCCTTCTGGGAGTTTCATAGTTTTAGGTCTTAATGTTTAAGTCATTGATCTATTTTGAGTTGACTTTTGTGCATAGGGCAATAATTTGATTCTTTGCATGCAATATTAATTTTTTCCAGCATAATTTGTTGAAGAGGCTACCCTTTCCCCATTGTGTATTCTCAACACCCTTGTCAAAGATAAGTTGGCCATATATGAATGGCTACTAGCAAAATATAACAAGTGTTTGTGAAGATCTCAAGAAATTGAATCCCTTGCATACTGTTGGTGAGAATGTAAAATGGTGTAGCCACTGTGGAAAGCAGTTTGGAGTTTCTTCCAAAAATTAAAAACAGAACTATCATATAATCCAGCAATACTACTTCTGAGTATATATTGTAAAGAATTGAAATCAAAATCTCAAAGAGATACCTGCACTCCCGTGTTCATTACAACATGATTCGCAATTGCCAAGATATGGAAAAAACTCAAATGTCCATTGACAGAGAAATGGATTTTAAAAATTGTAGCATGTACATACAATGAAACGTTATTCGGCTTTAAGAAAGACAGAAATCCTGTAATTTGGAACAACATAGATTCTTCAGGATTTGGTGATGACCCTGGAGTACATTATGCTAGCTATTCACAGAAGGACAAATACTGCATGATTCCACTCATATAATGTATCTAAAATAGTCAAACTCATAGAAGCATAGAATAGAATGATTTCCAGGGTCAGGAGACAGGGGGAGATGGGAAATTGTTGCTGTATGGGTATAAAGTTTCATTTATGCAAGATGGGTAAGTTCTAGAGACCTGGTGTACAACATAGTTCCTACAGTTAACAATATGTTAATATGCACTTAAACTTTGTTTAAAAAGTAGATCTTAAGTTTTCTTACCGCACACATAAAAACAACCAAAGGGAGAAAAAAAGAACACAAGTTTTTGGAGGTGTTGGATATGTTTAATACTTCAATTGTGATGATGGTATCACAGATGTGTGTATATGTTCAAAGGCATCAGATTGTATGCATAAAACGTGCATAAAATGTGCATTTTGTATATCTATTATACATCAATAAAACTGTTAAAAGCATTTATTGAGCACTTACTATGTGTTAGACACTGTTTCAGGTACTGGCATACATACTGAACATAATAGATCAGTGTTTCTGCCCTCATGGAACTTACATTCTAATGAAGGGAAGTAGAAAATAAGGAAGCAAATAAGTAAAAACATAATGTTATTATGTTCAATTGTATCAAATATATTGTGAGTAGTTAGTTAATAAAGCAGGAGAGGGTATATGAAGTGTCAGGGGTACCTCCAAAAGCCCTTACCGAGAAGGTGACTTCTTAAAAAATATGTAAAGGATGAAGTCAGCAAGCCACAGCTGTATCTATGGAAAAAGTATGTTAAGCAGAGGGAAGAGCAGGTGTAAAGGCCCTGAGGTGGGAGCACGTGTGATGTGTTTATAGAACAGTGAGAAGCTCAGTATGACCTGAGTGTAAAAGCAAGAGAGAGAGTAAGATCAGCAAGTAAAGGGTTGAGACAGTTTGTTTACATAGGGCTGTAGGGGTTCAAGGATTTTTGCTTTGATTCTAAATGATCTGAGTTAGTTTTTAACCATGTCACTGTGACTTGTATGATCAGGGAGACCAATTCCTAGCTAATCCAAATGAGAAATAATGATCATCTGAACAGGTAATAGCAGTAAAGATAATAACAAGTGGTTAAAATCTGGATATCTATTTTAATGCTAAATTCTTCAGAATTTGATGATGGATTAGATGTGAACTGCAAGACGAAGAGGTGAATCAGGTTGACACAAAAGGTTTTGGCCTGAATAATGCTAAGGTCAGTGTTGTCATTAATTGAGGACAGGAACATTTGCAAGTAGAACTTAGACTGGGGAATTAAGGAACACTTATTTAAGCATGCTAAGTTTGTAATGCCTACTAGACATTCAAGAGGAAGTGTTAAGTAGAAATTTGGATATTTACATCTAAAGCTGTGTAGTGGCAGGTAGAGGGAGGAGGAACAGCTGCTGATATTAGTCAGGAATCATCTGCAATGATTCACACAATGATCACACACAGGGACTGAATGGACAGAAAATGGAGAACTTCCAAGGACTGAATTCTGAGACATTATAGCATTTAGAGGTAGATGAGGAAAGGAGAAACCAGGAAAGGAGATGGAAAAAGAGAAGCCAAGACAAGAAAAAAACCAGGTGACGGTGATGTCCTAAAAGCTAATGAAAAAAAAAAAAAAGAAAAGAATTGGCCATCAGGTTTAGCAATATGGAGATAACAGGTGATCATGACAAGCCAAGTTTTCAGAAAGTGTTTAGGAAAAAACCTGATTGGTGCATATCCAAGCAAATTTGGACGGACGTCATTTGAGAGAGAGGACAGACAACACCACAAGGAATTTTACTGGATAGATGACCAAGAAATGGAAGACTAATTGGAGGGAGAAGTGGGCATTAAGAATGAATGTCATTTGGAAAAATAACATGTGTTTTTATGCAATATAAATGATCCAAAGAGGTTGATATTTATTAAATACTTACTTACATTAATTCATAATCCCCACACCAAGCATGAATATTAACAATGAAGTAAAATTTCATGATGAGGTGAGGATTTGATAAACTAAAAATTATATATATATTTCAAAGCAGCTGCACTAAAACCACAATTTTTAAATGGCTCCACCAAAATTGCCAAGTCAAATGCCTTGTAAATCTAACTCCTTCATGTCCTTTTCTCCTTTCCAAATACTTACACTCTCATAGGAATGTATTCCTTTTAAACTGCCATCTTTCCTTGAACTTTTTGTATTTTAAATCTTAAATATAAATTTAGGAAAAAAAGCTTTGTTTCTCTTTAAGGTGATTTCTGCTACTAATAAGCCATAGTATGGAAATATCTTGGAAGTCAAGAGGCTCCTTTGTATGATCTTGGCCCTGAAATCAGCCCAGGACCTGAGCTGACTTTGAGAATCATAGTCCGGTTATGTTAGGGTATTACATAAGACTGGATCAGGGAATGAGGGAAGCAGAATAGGACAGAGAAGAAGCCAGGCACAGATGTGGGCTTAACTAGTGACTAACTTCAGCCTGATCCCATGGGCAGCCCTGAGGCATGAATTTCACCGTGGAGTTGTTTCTTTCTGAGATAAGGGTGCTGGGCTCTTGTGCCACCATGTTTGTCAGTCATCGTCTATAGGCTGCTCTCAGTGCAAAAGTTGGTGATAAAGAGCAGTCACTTCCCAGATAAGGCAGCTTTTGTGCTTCCCAGGTTAATTTTCAGGAGAAAAGGAGCTCTTAGCAGCTAGACATGGATGTACCGCCCCAGGAAAGGGATCCGGATGGAGCGGCAACAGTGTCCACCACACTTGCCGTCAGTACCTACCATTTAGATGCCTCTACGTTCCTCTTAGGAAGAGTGATATAGGTTCAATAAGGTAGGCATGGATGTTGTTTATTGTTACCAGAGCACCAATAAAGGAAAGTGAAACATTCCAAAGCCTTGATGTCTGCAAAATATTAGTATACCAACTCCTTGTCTATTTTCCCATGTGCATCTTATGAATGGCCATGAAGGCTGATCAGGACCACAGTTTACCTCTGCCTGTCTGGGGTCACCCACAAGGAATCCCTGGGAGTTGAAGTACAAATATATCCTCTCTGCTACCCCCTGTAAGGAGAGTTCTCATCTATAATGCATCATCTATCATTGTCCTTAGGTGATATTCACAGTAGATTATAATGACTTCATACTTGACATGTATGTGTAAATTTCATGTGGCTTTTTGCTCATGTTAGATAACTGCTTTAATTGTGTTGGTGGTTGACGATAATCACTATAACTGCATCTATGAGATATTTGTGCAAGCAGACTTCGTGTTTTGTATTTATGCCTGTTAAACTTTCCTGTAAATATTGGCACAGGTACATCACCACATACTTTTACATAACACCAGAAAACATTGTTGTAGAGCAATTTTAGGAGGAGGGAGAACACTGAGATGTCAAACTTGTGTTTAGATTTTAGTTCTTTTACTTTATAGCTAATCTGGGCAAATAAGTTAATTGACATTCAGTTTTATCATCTTTAAAATGGGAATTAACCAATCCACCTCTATTCCCATCCCCAAGGATTTTAGTGATGCCTCAACATGATAAAAAAGAAAAGGAAACTTGTCATAAATTCTTTGCTTGGGCCAATGTCCAGAGAGTTTTTCCTAGGTTCTCCTCTAAGATTTTTATAGTTTCTGGCCTTACATTTAAGTCTTTGATCCATCTTCAGTTAATTTTTGTATATGGTGAGAGACAGGGGTCTAGTTTCATTCTTCTGAATATGGCCAGCCAGCTATCCCAACACCGTTTATTGAATAGGGTGTCCTTTCCCTTCTGTTTATTTTTGTCACCTTTGTTGAAGATCAGTTGGTTGTAGGTATGTGGCTTTATTTCTGGGTTCTCTATTTTGTTTCATTGATCTATGCATCTATCTCTGTACCAGTACCATGCTGTTTTAGTTACTATAGCCTTGTTGTTTAATTTGAAGTCAGGCAATGTGATGCCTCTAGATTTTTTTCTTTTTGCTTAAGATTGCTTTGGCTATTTGGGCTCTTTTTTCTTTGTTCCATATGAAATTATAGGATTGTTTTTTCTAATTCTGTGGAAAATGATGTTGGTAATTTGATAAGGATTATGTTGAATGTGTAAACTGCTTTGGGCAGTATGATTATTTTAACAAGATTGATTCTTCCAATCCATGAATATGTGATAATTTTTCATTTATTTGTGTCATCTACAATTTATTTCATCAGAGTTTTGTAGTTCTCCTTATAATGATTGTTTACCTCCTTTATTAAATGTATTTCTAGGTATTTTGTGCATGTGTGACTACTGTAAATGGGAGAAAATATTTGCAAATTATGCCTCTGACAAAGAATTAATATCTAAAAGGAAATTAAAGAACTCAACAAGAAAAATAACCTAATTCAAAACTGGACACGAACAGACATTTCTCAAAAATGAAATACAAGCAGCCAACAAGTGCACGAAAAAAAAATGCTCCACATCAATAATCATCAGAGAAATGCACATTAAAACCACAATGAGATGTCGTCTTACACTGGTCAGAATGGCTATTATTAGAAAGTCAAAAAACAACAAATGTTGGTGTGGATGTGGAGAAAAGGGAACACTTATACACTATTAGTGAGAATGTGAATTAATTCAACCTCTATTTAAAATAGTAAGAAATTTTTTCAAAAAACTAAAAATAGAACTGCTACTAGGTCCAGCAATCCACTACTGAGTATCTACCAAAGGAAAAAAAAAAAATCATTATTTAAAGAAGACACCTGCACTTGTATGTTCGTTACAGTGTTGTCCACAATAACAAAGTCATAAAACCTAAGTGTCCATCAATGGTTGACTGGATTTAAAAATGTGATATATAAACACCATGAAACACTTTGCAGCCATAAAAAAGAATAAAAACATATTCTTTGAAGCAACATGGATGGAGCTGAAGGCCATTATCCTAAGTGAACTAACTCAGAAATAGAAAACCAAACACTTCATCTTCTCACTTGTAAGTAGGAGCTAAACGATGGGTACACATGGACATAAAGAAGGAAACAACAGACACTGGGAACTCCAGAAGGGTGTGGGAGGGAGGGTGGTGAGGGCTGAAAAATTATCTGTTGGGTATAATGTTCACTATGTGAGTAATGCGTACACTAGAAGTTCAGTTCCCACCAGTATGTAATGTACTCATGTAACAAACGTGCACATGAACCCTATGAGTCTAAAATAAGATACAATAAAATAAAACAAATAGTGTAAAAAGAAAAAAAAAAAGAAAGAAAAGGAAACTTCTTCAATGCCTGGCTCCTTAAATTCCTGCTCTTTCTTTCTTCTTCCTCCCTTTTATCCTATGCAGAGGTAGAGTTTGTGTGTTTTCTTTTTTTCAAACCCGTCCTTGAAAGGAACTCATTTGCATTATGTCCTGGCGTGGAGTGTTGTACTGTGACTTCCTGTGATCTCTGCAGTCTGTCTTCACCTCAGGCCCAATTAATCTGGACCTCAGCACTCCTTCACTTTCCTCAAAAAATAAATAAATAAATAAGAAAAAAAAGAAAAAAGAAAAATTCACCTGTGCCAAATATGGTAGAGAAAAATAGGACATTTCCTCAATCTTCCAAAATGAAAATGCAGCAGTGTCCACATTTTCTTCCTATCCCTCATCAGCAATTTGCTCCAGACCCCACTCTGTTGCAGTTCCTCAAGGTCCCCACCTAGCCAAAGCCAATAGCTCCCCTCCCCACCTTCACCAGTCTCCCTTTGGCCTCTATTATGCTAACACTCCAAGCACTTATTAAAGGACATTTCCTGGTAAAGGACATCTGATTACCCACCCACATTATAGTAAGAAAGCAGGCAAGGGAAGGTTTGGGTGAGCTAATACAAAACAACTTCCTTTTACTTGGTAGGAAAATTACTTCTGCCAGTAATTTGTGATCTGAAGATTCTTTCGCTTCTAGGTCTAAATAATTGTGTAAACTCCATTTGTTTCATTTGAAATGTGGCTGTCATTTCCCGTCAGGAGGAAAACAAGAGAAACTACTAATATACGTTCATCCTCTGATCACCTGTCAGCCTCACAGGAACACGCATCTCACAATTTGTCCCTGCCCAGGCACTTCATCTTCAAACAGAAACTGCATCTTAATTATAGGCTTTAATGGGCTGTTTCACTCCAGGATCAATATGTCTGACAAAAACCAGGCTTCGCTAAAAGCTCATTAATTCACATCCGACTAATTCAGGATTTGTGATGATTTTGGCAGGGACCACGCTGAAGTTTTGCCTCTTATACTGCTGCTTACAAAGGCTTAGCTTGGCCAATTAATTAGGGAGAACAGAATTGCCAGGGAAGTATTTACAGAACACCAGTTTGCACAGAGATACAGCCTGTTTGTAGCTTCCAGACTGTTCAGCTCTTACCAGGCAACCTGATTTAACAATTATTTTTTATTAGCACTCTGGACATAGAAACTGAAAAGTGTACTGTCTCAAAAAGTGTCTGCAGATGCACCATGTTGGCTCCCTGTGGCCCATGCCTTCGGTACCTTATATCCATTACTTGTTTTACCTCTCATTGCAGCTGCAGCTGAGGTGGATGTTTCTATGTGGGGTCAGAGTCATTTCTACGGGCAACATCCAATCCCCAACAAGGAATGTGAGCATCTCCTTGTTCTTTATCTCAGGACCTCCTCTGAACCCACAGGAAAAACAAGCTAGAAGTGCAGAGGGTTAATCTCTTCAGAGAATAATGTTCTACCAAGGGGAACTGGTGTCAGTATTGGTGAACACCTTGCAAGTTATTCTCCAAGCTTTTCAGAAGTCCATGGCCAATAGCCGTGACTGTGATAACGTGCACTCTTTTGGCTTCCCCTGCTTTCCTGAGTTACCGCTTCACTTCACGGTATTGCTTCCCAAATAAACTATCTACCCCTAAGAGTCACACTCGGCTTTCAGGGGAACCCAAACTAAGGCACTCACTCCTCCAAACTTTTGTATGAATGAATGTACGTATTTGAGATGCTCTCTCATTTCTTCACCCACTTGTTTTTTGATAAATGTATTCGTTTCTTGGGCTTTTTGGGCTTAGGACCATCTTTTGGTAGTAATGTCAAACAAGCAATATCTGTCTTCATTATTTTCCTTTTCTACCCTTACAGAACTCTTTCTCTTTTTGCTAATGTCTTTTTCTTGGGTTCTTACAGTCCCCTCTACATCCCTCTACCCAGTTTCAATCTGTCCCTGCTAATCTCATTTCTCTGCCTCCTTCGTTTCTCCAATATCCACATAAATTATTCCTCCCCTGACTTTATTCCCTGTCCAGTGTTCCGTTTCTTAGTAATGTAACCTCTACTGACTAATGTGGTAGATGGATCCATGTCAAATGACTTGCGTGTGTTTATGTTACTCTGAGAAGGTAAGAAGTATGTGGTTATCCGGGGCCTTCTAAGCAACTGAGCCTCCCCATGATTGCCCAAATCATGTCTAGATTTGATATCCCAACTATTCCTGTCTTCTTGAACCTACATTGTCTTAGCATTTAGGACATAAACACCATTTTTTTTTCCCCCTGAGCTCCTCGGGTCTTCCTGCTTCATCTTTTTGGTCTCCTCTTCTTCCCATGCTTTAATTTCTTGTTACTCATAATGTGATCTGTGGATCTGTAACACTAGGAAGTCTTTTTTTTAGACAGAGTCTTGCTCTGTTGCCCAGGCTGGAGTGCAATGGCATGATCTCGGCTCACTGCAACCTCTGCCTTCTAGGTTCAAGCAATTCTCCTGCCTCAGCCTCCCAAGTAGCTGGGATTACAGGAGCCCGCCACCAAGCCTGGCTAATTTTTATATTTTTAGTACAGACAGGGTTTCACCATATTGGTCAGGCTGGTCTCAAACTCCTGACCTCAGGTGATCCGCCTGCATCGGCCTCCCAAAATGCTGGGATTACAGGCAGAACCACTGTGCCCGGTCAGGAAGTCTTTTTTTATAAATGTAGAATTTTGGGTCCTACACCAGATCTACTGGACCACAGAATTTGCATTTTGAAAACACCCCCAGGTGATTCAGCATCTTAAGATTTTAGAAATGTTGCTGCAATTGATGGTGGTTTCTTAGGTTTGCAGACCTGTTTCTCGTCCTCAATTTCTACATTCTTCAGAGAAATGTCTCTGTCCTTATAGCTCCAGATACCGTCCATAAACTGATGACTGCAAGAACTTATTCCCAAGGCCGGACACATTGGCTCACGCCTGTACTCCCAACACTTTGGGAGGCCGAGGCGGGTGGATCACCTGAGGTCAAGATTTCGAGACCAGCCTGGCTAACATGGTGAAACCCTGTCTTTACTAAAAATATAAAAATTAGTGGGGCATGGTGGCGCGTGCCTGTAATCCCAGCTACTCAGGAGTTTGAGGCAGGAGAATTGTTTGAACCCGGGAGGCAGAGGTTGCAGTGAGCCGTGATCGCACCACTGCACTCCAGCCTGGGCCACAGAGTGAGACTCCATCTGAAAAAAAAAAAAACTAAAAATAAAAATAAACTTATTGTCAACTCAGATCTCTATTCCATGCTTATGTTAATTTGTACAACTGGTAAACTGCCCACATGACATTTATATTTGGAAATCTCACAGATGAACCCAAATCAAGATAAGGAAATGTGATTACTTCAGTGAGGCTGTTGCTGGTTGGGTTAGCCTGGATACCTTTCAGAAGCATGTTCACAGGAGTGAAGCTGTTGCTGACAGGCTAGCCTGGATATTGATGTCAATGGAGATCAGTTGAAAACTGATACAGGTAGTTATGGTTGCTATAGTCAAAGAATAATTGGTCATATTCTTTCTTAAATTTGGAGTCTAAGAACTTTTTATTCCCCCAAATTAATAACTCCATTAATACTTAGTCCCACAAAAAATACTTTGTGGTAGATATTGTGGTACTTTTCCGGATCCCCTGTTCAGAGTAAACACAACCATTCCCCTAACACTGGGAGTATGTATCTGCAGCTGCAGCCCTTACTAGGAATTGTCCTAGGTTGTAGGAAATGTATTTTTTCAAAGGTATGTCCTTCACAGGGGGTAGACTAAGGCCAATGATGGGCCGATATGGGAATAGAGGTCTAGCTCCCTTATTTCAATATGAGATAAATCTGAAGGTCTCATTTGAGTTTCAGAGCTCCCATAGAACTAGCTGAGGCCTCAGTAGCAACCACACTGTGGATCAGATTCTCTCTATATCCAGTACTGCCTTCCTCACTTCCCCACAGATGTATCTCCTGAGAGCATTCCTGTACACAACTCCTGCAGGCAAAGCTTTATCTCAGAGCCCATTCCTAGAGTATACAACTTAAGACACCACTGCTTCTCCATGACTCCCCCTCTTACTGAATGCACCAATACTATCCTGTTGCTCCAGTCAGACAACAGGGAATCATTTTTTTTTACTTTTCTCTCCTCATATTAGCTCACATACGAGGATGACAACATCGCATTTATTCTTCCTTTCTATCCTTATGATCATTGCCCTAGCTGAAGCTTTCATTCGTCTCTTACCTGGATAACTGCAACAGCCTCCTGACTTGTTTTCTCACTGCAACTAAAATAATATTTCTAAATTTAAAAAAGCTCATATTATTTACCATTCTTCTGTAACCTCCTATTCCCTCAGCATAAAATCTACACTTTTGAAGGTACTGCATAACACCATTTGGTTCACTCAGCACTGGGCTTACGTGTCCCAGAGGAATCATTTCATTGTGTTGCCACAAGTTATCAAATTGTCTCCATACATAAAAGTGGCCTTTTGGATGCCAGGGATGTATTTTTGTCTCTCAGTATCCTTCTAGCCTTGTTCAAAGTGTGGCCTCTTGTGGGAACCTGAATGAAACTTCCCTGCAGACATCTACTCAATTCTCCTAAGTAAGTCATTTCTCTCATCCCACCCATTCTAAATTCAGGGAATGAAATGAGATCACTGTTTGCTTATGTATCTAAACTGTCACTTACGTTTACTTCTTAAGAACAACCATTTAAACTTGAGGGCACGATGATCCATCAGGAATTTGCTGGGGTGGCTGGTCAGCCAGGATTTACAGCACTCTGCTGATGGGATTTTTTTATGCACCCTGTAAATTTTAGTTATCGCTACACTTGTTTGTGGTCAGCATGGACAAGGCTGGCTCCTTTTTGTAATTTCATAAGCACAATAAAGTCATAAATTTCAAGCTGCCTTTTTCTTTTCCTGATTTTTTTTTTCTTTCCAGTAGCCTATTGCCTGAAGCACAATGGACTTTCAAAGGAAAATGTCAGCATTAATAGACAGCTACTCTAAATGAGCCAGGTAGTGCTGCTTCAAGGTTATTTGAAGGTCATCCCTACCTTATAACTGAAGACCTCAGATTGGAAAAGTGTGAGGATTTTCTCTGTGAACAAGTAACCAAACCATTTCAGAGCTGAAGGATAAGCATACGGATGATTATCCAAAAGTTAGTGCCATTCTCATGCCTCTACCAGATGGTGACTAGTCTTTGGAAAAACTGTACAAATAGTTTTGACGTGACAGAAATTTTCTCAGGCTTTCTGGATAATAGTAGCCTTCTTTTACTTCAGTACTGTGTAAATTTATCCCAACAACATAGTTTATGCTCACCCAAAATATTATTCTCAAAGATTGGAATGGTTTCTATAATAAACTTAATTACAATAGTTGTAGATTTATAGAAAAATTGAGAAAAAATACAAAAAGTTATCATATATACGATACCCAGCTTCTCTTGTTATTTAACTTCTTAAATATTGGTATGATATATTTGTTATGCATAATTAGCCAATGTTATCTAAAGATCCTGATTTATTAATATTTCTTTAGTTGTTTTGTTTTTGTTGTAGGTGGTGTTTTCTGGTTTTGTTTTGTTTTCTTTCTTTTGTCCATTTTGATGACCTGGGAAGTTTTGAGGAGTACTGGTTGGGTATTTTGTAGAATATTCTCAATTAGGATTTGTCTGTTTTTTTTTTTTTTTTTTTTTTTTTTTTTTTTTTTTTGTCATATTTGACTGGCTGTGTAGGAGGAAGACCACAGGAATGAAGTGTTATTCTCATCACATCATATCAAAAGTACATATACTACACGTAATCACTATTGATGTTAACACTGAACACCTGGCTGAGATAGCATTTGTCAAGTTTTTTCAATGAAAGGTTACTCCTTTCTCTTCCTTTCCATACTATATTCTTTGGAAGGGAATCATGTGCAACTCATACATAAGGAGAAGAGAATTATGCCCCATCTCTTTGATGGCCAAGTAGCTATACAAATTTTTTGAAATTCTTCTGCATGGGAGATATTCCTATTGTTACCCACTTATTTTTTATTCAACAATTTATTTATATCAATATGGACTCCTCTATGTGATACTGTAAGCAGATCTTATACTTTTGGTTATAATCGAATACCACTTATTCCTTATTTTATTACTCAGATTGTTTCAGACATGGCCACTGGGCTCAGTTGGCCCCTTTTCTTTTTAACATATTTCCATTACTGTGGGTTTGTTTGTTTGAGCACATCTTTACTTTCTGACCCTGCAAGATTCTCCAGGCTTATTTCCTGTCATAATCTTACAATCAGCCATTTCTCTAAATATCCCTTGTTCCTTTTAAAGGAGGATGATATTAGAAACTTAGATTTGAATATTAGATGTGCTTGTTGCTATCGGAATATTATTTCTTCTAGGACCTCTTTACTAACAGAAGGAGGAAATATATGTGTATATAATAACCTGTGTACATACATATATAGATAGTTATTCCTATGTGCAACCATCTGTACCTATATTAAGCTAAACATGAGTTTATACTAATATTCCACTGTATGGATATACAACCATTCGTTTTTGTATTCACCTGTTGAAGAAAATCTTGGTTTTATCTAGTTGTAGGAAATTATAAATAAAGCTGCTTTAAGCATTCATATGTAGGTTTTTGTGAGAACATAAGTTTTCCAATCAGATAGGTAATTAACTAAAAGAACAATTGCTAGGTTATTGTAAGATTATGCTTAGTTTTGCTAGAAACTGTTAGTTTGTCTTCCAAATGGCTATCCCATTTTCATTCTCCCTGGCAATGATGAGAGTTCTTAATGCCCTATAACCTTGCCAGCAATTAGTAATGTCAATTTTTTGGGTTGTGATCATCCTAATTGGCTTGTAGCAGTATCTCATTGTTATTTTCATTAGAAATTCCTTAATGATAAATAATGTTGAACATTTTTACATATGCTTATTTGCAATTTGTATGTCTTCTTTGGTGAAGTGTTTGTTCAGATCTTTTCCCATTTTTAATTGGGTTGTTTTTTATGTTGAGTTCTAAAAGTTCTTTGTGTATTTTGGATAGTCTTTTATCAGGTATCTTTTGCAAATATTTTCTCCAGTCTGTTACTTGTCTTTTTGTTTTCTTAAGAAAGTCTTTCACAGATCAGAAGTGTTTAATTTTAATAAAGTCCAATTTAACATTTTTTTCCTTTCATGCATCATGCTTTTGATGTTGTATCTAAAAACTCATCACTGAACCCAAGATCATTATTTTTTTCCTCCAGAAGTTGTATAGTTTTCCATTTTGCATTTAATTCTGTGATTTATTTTTGTAACAACTGCTTGAGATACAATTAACATTGCATACAATTTGCCCATTTGAAGTGTACAATTAAAGGCTGCCAGTATATTGATGGAGCTGTGCAACCACCACCACAGTAAATTGTAGAACATCATCATCACCCCAGAAACAAAATTACCCAATTTCCCCCACCTACTGCTCCTAGCTTTAGGCAATCACTAATGTGTTCTTTGTCTCTATGGATTTCTCTATTCTGAATATTTCAAATAAATGGAATCATAGAACATGTATTTTTTGAACTGGCTTCTTTCACTTAGCATAATGTTTTCAAGATTTATCTGTGGTGTACAATGATAGGTACTTTATTTTTTATAGCTAGTGTTCCGTTACATGAATATATCACATTTTGTGTATCCATTCATCACTCCATAGGCATTTGTATTGTTTCTGTCTTTTAGCGGTCATTAAAAATGCTACTATGAGTCTTTGTGTATAAATTTCTGAGTGAAAATATGTCTTCATTTCTCTTAGTTCTATACCTAAAAGTATAATTGCTGGTTTTTATAGTAACTTTGTATTTAAGTTTTGAGAAAGTTCAAGATTTTTTTCCAAAGTTGCTTCACCATTTTACAGTCCCATCAGGAGTATATGATGGTTCTGATTTCTCCACATCCTTGCCAACATGTATTAGTTGGCTTTTTTAGTATGGCCATCCTAGTAAGTTTGAAGTGGGTTTCAAATGGTATTTCACTGTGGTTTTAATTTGCATTTCTATGATTACTAATGACACTGAGCATCTTTTCATGTGTCTACTGGCCATTTGTACATATTTTTGGAGAAATGTCTTTCCCTAATTTTTATTTCCATTATTTGTCTATTATTGAGTTACAAGTATTCTTTATAAATTCGAAATATAAACCCCATATTAGGTATACAATTTAAGAATTCTTCCATTTTATCTGTTATGTTTTTACTTTCTTTATATTTGTTTTTGAAGAACAAGAGTTTTTAAATGTGATGAAATCCAGTTTGTCTACTCTTTTTCCTTTCTTGCTTGTGCTTTGGATTTTATATACGAAAACTTATTGCCATATCCAAGGTCACAGGAAGATTACATCTGTGTGTTTTTTCTAAGAGTTTTACAGTGCTAACTCCTTGGTCTTGGATCCATTTTGCATTAATTTTTGTGTAGGTGTAAAGTAGGGGTCCATCTTTATTTTTTGCATGTATATATCTAAGTGTTTTATAATTATTTGTTGAAAAGACTATTTTCCCCATTGAATGGTCTTGACATCCTTGCTAAAATCAGTTAGCCATAGATATATGGGTTTATCTCTGAACTCTCAATTCAACTGATTTATATGCCTATCCATACGCCAATACCACACTGTCTTAATTATTTTTGTTGTCTAGTAAATTTTGAAATTGGAAATTTTAAGGCTTTTGAATTTATTCTTAAGATTACTTTTGCGATTCTGGGTTCCTTTTGTTCCCATATAAATTGTAGTGTATGAGCCATTTTGAGTTAATTTATGTGAAAGGTGCAAGGTGTTTATGTTCATTTTTTGCATAAGAATGTCCAATTTTCCCAGCATCATTTGTTGAAAGGTTATCTTTTCTTGATTTAAGTGCCTTGCTCTTTTATCAAAGATCAGCTCAGTATATTTGTGAATCTATTTGTAGGTTCTTTGTTCTGTTGCATTGCTGTGTCTATTCTTTTGCCCTTATCTTGCTAAAAGTATTAATTACTGTAACTTTATATTGCTTTAAATAAAAATAAATAGTGGGAGTCTTCAACTTTGTTTTTCTTCTTCAGTATTGTGTTGGCTATAATTAGAATTTTACTTTTCCATATAAACTTTAGAATCAGTTTACTGATAAATACACAATAACTTTTGATTGGCTATGTATTGAATCTATAGATCACGTTAGAAAAGACTGACATCTTAACCATCGGGAATCTTCTAATTCATGAACATGGAGTATCTCTTCTTTGGTTTCTTTCATTATAGTTTTCTAATTTTTTACTGAACATACATTTTCTTTTTCTTTTCTTTTTTTTTTTTTTTTTTTTTTTTTTTGAGACGGAGTCTCACTTTGTCACCCAGACTGGAGTGCAGTGGCACGATCTCGGCTCACTGCAAGCTTGGCCTGTCGGGTTCACACCATTCTCCTGCTTCAGCCTCCCGAGTAGCTGGGACTACAGGTGCCCGCCACCATGCCCGGCTAATTTTTTGTATTTTTAGTAGAGACGGGGTTTCACTGTGTTAGCCAGGATGGTCTCAATCTCCTGACCTCGTGATCTGCCCACCTCAGCCTCCCAAAGTGCTGGGATTACAGGCGTGAGCCACCGCACCCAGTCCATATTTTGTTAGATTTATACCTAAATCTTTTGAAGTTATTCTAAAGGTATTTTTAAAATTTTTAAATTGTAATAGTTTATTGATCGCAGGTAGTAAAGCAATTCACTTTACTCTATTAGCCCTGTAAATGCAAGCTTGCAAACAAATACACTTTTATTTCTTCTTTCTCATTTTATATACCTTATATTTCCTTTTCTTATCATACTGCACTAGCTAGAAATTTCAGTACAATGCTGAATAGAAAATATAATATAGGAAATCTCTGCCTTGTTCCCAATATTATAAAAAAGCATCCAGTTTCTCAAAATTAAGTATCATGTTAATTGTAGATTTTATTGCAGTTTTTTTTAATCAAGTTGAGAAAGTTCACTTCTATTCCTAATTTGCTGCATGGGCAGTGTATCTAACTGATAAAGGAGTATATCCAATTGCTTCCTCCTCTCTCTTAAAATATTGCTGTCATTCATTTCACTTATCCAGAGTTATAATTACCCAATATATAGTTGCTATTATTATTTTGAACAAATAGATATCTGTTTGATCAATTAAGAATAAGAAGTGAAAATATTTATTTTACCTTCATTTATTTCTTCTCTAACACTTTTTTTCTTTATGTAGATTCAAAATTCTGTTATCATTTGCTTTCTCTCTGAAGAACTTCTTTAAATATGTCTTGCGAAGGCGATCTATTTTGACAAATTCCCCCAATATTTATTAGTCTGAGAAAG
This sequence comes from Homo sapiens, assembly GCF_000001405.40. Taxonomy (NCBI): domain Eukaryota; kingdom Metazoa; phylum Chordata; class Mammalia; order Primates; family Hominidae; genus Homo; species Homo sapiens. Next base: position 12,477,394 of record NC_000020.11, read on the forward strand.
CTTTACTCCTTCTGCAGTTTGGAAGAGTAATTTCACTGGGTACAATAGACCCTCACTCAAATCTATTGAAGCTTTTTTTTTTTTAAATGAGTACCAGAGACTTTAAGATCTCATATAATACCCCACTGTCAACATTAGACAGATCAACGAGACAGAAAGTTCACAAGGATATCCAGGAATTGAACTCAGCTCTGCACCAAACAGACCTAATAGACATCTACAGAACTCTCCACCCCAAATCAACAGAATATACATTTTTCTCAGCACCACACTGCACATATTCCAAAATTGACCACATAGTTGGAAGTAAAGCACTCCTCAGCAAATGTAAAAGAACAGAAATTAAAACAAACTGTCTCTCAGACCACAGTGCAATCAAACTAGAACTCAGGATTAAGAAACTCACTCAAAACCTCTCAACTACATGGAAACTGAACAACCTGCTCCTGAATGACTACTGGATACGTAACGAAATTAAGGAAGAAATAAAGATGTTCTTTGAAACCAATGAGAACAAAGTCACAACATACTAGAATCTCTGGGACACATTTAAAGCAGTGTGCAGAGGGAAATTTATAGCACTAAATGCACACAAGAGAAAGCAGGAAAGATCTAAAATTGACACCCTAACATCACAATTAAAACAACTAGAGAAGCAAGAGCAATCATATTCAAAAGCTAGCAGAAGGCAAGAAATAACTAAGATCAGAGCAGAACTGAAGGAAATGGAGACACAAAAAACCCTTCAAAAAATCAATGAATCCAGGGGCTGGTTTTTTGAAAAGATCAACAAAATTGTTAGACTGCTAGCAAGACTAATAAAGAAGAAAAGAGAGAAGAATCAAATAGACACAATAAAAAATGATAAAGGGGATATCACCACCGATCCTACAGAAATACAAACTACCATCAGAGAATACTATAAACGCCTCTACGCAATGCAAATAAGTGGAAAATCTAGATGAAATGGATAAATTCCCGGACACATACACCCTCCCAAAACTAAACCAGGAAGAAGTTGAATCCCTGAATAGACCAATAACAGGCTCTGAAATTGAGGCAATAATTAATAGCTTACCAACCAAAGAAAGTCCAGGACCAGACGGATTCACAGCTGAATTCTACCAGAGGTACAAGGAGAAGCTGGTACCATTCCTTCTGAAACTATTCCAATCAATAGAAAAAGAGGGAATCCCTCCCTAACTCACTTTATGAGGCCAGCATCATCCTGATACCAAAGCCTGACAGAGACACAACAAAAAAAGAGAGTTTTAGACTAATAATCACTAATGAACATTTATGCAAAAATCCTCAATAAAATATTGGCAAACCGAATCCAGCAGCACATCGAAAAGCTTATCCACCATGATCAAGTGGGCTTCATCCCTGGGATGCAAGGCTGGTTCAACATACGCAAATCAGTAAACGTAATCCAGCATATAAACAGAACCAAAGACAAAAACCACATCATTATCCCAATAGATGCAGAAAAGACCTTTGCCAAAATGCAACAGCTCTTCATGCTAAAAACTCTCAATAAATTAGGTATTGATGGGATGTATCTCAAAATAATAAGAGCTATTTATGACAAACCCACAGCCAATATCATACTGAATGGGCAAAAACTGGAAGCATTCCCTTTGAAAACTGGCACAAGACAGGGATGCCCTCTCTCACCACTCCTATTCAACATAGTGTTGGAAGTTCTGGCCAGAGCAATCAGGCAGGAGAAAGAAATAAAGGGTATTCAATTAGGAAAAGAGGAAGTCAAATTGTCCCTGTTTGCAGATGACATGATTGTATATTTAGAAAACCCCATCATCTCAGCCCAAAATCTCCTTAAGCTGATAAGCAACTTCAGCAAAGTCTCAGGATACAAAATCAATGTGCAAAAATCACAAGTATTCCTATACACCAATATTAGACAAACAGAGAGCCAAATCATGAGTGAACTCCCATTCACAATTGCTTCAAAGAGAATAAAATACCTAGGAATCCAATTTACAAGGGATGTGAAAGACCTCTTCAAGGAGAACTACAAACCACTGCTCAACGAAATAAAAGAGGACACAATCAAATGGAATAACATTCCATTCTCATGGATAGGAAGAATCAATATCGTGAAAATGGCCATACTGCCCAAGGTAATTTATAGGTTCAATGCCATCCCCATCAAGGTACCAATGACTTTCTTCACAGAATTGGAAAAAACTACTTTAAAGTTCATATGGAACCAAAAAAGGGCCTGCATTGCCAAGACAATCTTAAGCCAAAAGAACAAAGTTGGAGGCATCATGCTACCTGACTTCAAACTATACTACAAGGCTACAGTAACCAAAACAGCATGGTACTGGTACCAAAACAGAGATATAGACCAATGGAACAGAACAGAGCCCTCACAAATAATACCACACATCTACAACCATCTGATCTTTGACAAACCTGACAAAAACAAGAAATGGGGAAAGGATTCCCTATTTAATAAATGGTGCTGGGAAAACTGACTAGCCATATGCAGAAAGTTGAAACTGGATCCCTTCCTTACACCTTAAACAAAAATTAATTCCAGATGGATTAAAGACTTAAATGTTAGACCTAAAACCATAAAAACCCTAGAAGAAAACCTAGGCAATACCATTCAGGACATAGACATGGGCAAGGACTTCATGTCTAAAACACCAAAAGCAATGGCAACAAAAGCCAAAGTTGACAAATGGAATCTAATTAAACTAAAGAGCTTGTGCACAGCAGAAGAAACTACCATCAGAGTGAACAGGCAACCTACAGAATGGGAAAATTTTTTGCAATCTACTCCTCTGACAAAGGGCTAATATCCAGAATCTACAAAGAACTCAAACAAATTTACAAGGAGAAAAACAAACAACCCCATCAACAAGTGGGCGAAGGATATGAACAGACACTTCTCAAAAGAAGACATTTATGCAGCCAGACGACACATGAAAAAATTTTGCTCATCATAACTGGCCATCAGAGAAATGCAAATCGAAACCACAGTGAGATACCATCTCACACCAGTTAGAATGGCAATCATTAAAAAGTCAGGGGACAAGTGCTGGAGAGGATGTGGAGAAATAGGAACACTTTTACACTGTTGGTGGGACTGTAAACTAGTTCAAACATTGTGGAAGTCAGTGTGGCGATTCCTCAGGGATCTAGAACTAGAAATACCATTTGACCCAGCCATCCCATTACTGGGTATATACCCAAAGGATTATAAATCATTCTGCTATAAAGACACATGCACATGTATGTTCATTGCAACACTATTCACAATAGCAAAGACTTGGAACCAATCCAAATATCCATCAATGATTGATAGACTGGATTAAGAAAATGTGGCACATATACACTATGGAATACTATGCAGCCATAAAAAAGGATGAATTCATGTCCTTTGTAGGGACATGGATGAAGCTGGAAACCATCATTCTCAGCAAACTATTGCAAGGACAAAAAACCAAATACCACATGTTCTCACTCATAGGTGGGAATTGAACAATGAGAACACTTGGAAACAGGAAGGGGAACATCACACACCAGGGCCTGTCATGGGGTGGTGGGAGGGGGGAGGGATAGCATTAGGAGATATACCTAATGTAAATGACGAGTTAATGGGTGCAGCATACCAACATGGTGCATGTATACATAAGTAACAAACCTGCATGTTGTACACATGTACCCTAGAACTTAAAGTATAAAAAAAAAAAAGATCTCATAGTAAATGTATTTTCCTTTCTGAATCTTGGGCACAAAATTGCTTTGGATATTTTTTCTAACTATTCAGCTGACAAATACTGTGCTTACAAAACATTTATTAAGTGTTTTTAGTCTTTAGTCACTATACAATGCATAAAATCAAATACAAAGTGAGGGAGAAAACTTTTTGGTTATGTATATTAACTGCTGGTCAGTAACCAAAAGATTATTTTGAAATCCAAAAGAGAGATTGATCATTATTATTATTTTTTTGAAAATGTTGCCACATCAAAGAAAATATACAGAATTGCAGGATTGGAAATGAGAACTGAAACCAAGATAGCTTCCTATTTCTGAGTTAAACAACACTAAGAATGGGGATATTTTTCTATCTCTATGTTAAATACTACTAAAAACAATCAAAATAACATAGCTACTTGCTCCAGAAAATTATTCTTCCAGGAAGGCTGCAAACAACTGAAATCACTTAAATATTATGACCAATAGCATGTTTACCAAGTCTTTTTTCAAGAGCCTTACCAGTTTTGCTCAGTAATCCAAAGCTATTATGTCACAAACTCTGCCCAGTCACAAACAGTTCTTCACGTTCCCACTTTAAGTCCACCAGTCCTAGTCATAAAACCCTCTACAGATCCTCTTTCTACTTCTCCCTACTGAGACATCACCAAGACCTAGGAAGGTGGTGATATAGTTTGGATGTCGGCCCCCTCTAAATCTCATGTCGAAATGTGATCCTTAATGTTGGAGGTGGGGCCTGGTGGGAGGTGTTTGGGTTTTGGGGCTTGATGCCTATCCTATGGTAATGAATGAGTTCTTGCTCTATTAGTTTACTAGCGAGCTGGTTGTTTAAAAGAGCCTGGCATCTCTCTCTTGCTCCCTCTCTCACCACGTGACATGCCTACTCCCCCTTCACTTCCACCATGAGTAAAAGCTTCCTCAGGTCCTCACCAGAAGCAGTTGCTAGTGCCATGCTTCTTGTACAGCCTGTGGAATCATGATCCAAATAAACCTCTCTTCTTTATAAGTTACCCAGTCTCAGATATTCCTTTATAGCAACACAAAACAGACTAACACAGGAGGCACTCTACTTCACTGAAATAAATCTAACAATCTTAGCTTTGTTTGATCAGTAGGTATATTTAAATATCTTTTGGGCAATTGATAATTGACAAAAGAAGTTGAAAAGGGAACTGAATGTAGCACTTTTAAAGGCCTGTAGTATAGTTTACATTGTAGAGTCTACTATTGCTCTTGGATTTGTTTTTAAATGTATGCCTAGGCTGGGTGCGGTGGCTCACGCCTGTAATACCAGCACTTTGGGAGGCCAAGGCAGACAGATCATGAGGTCAGGAGATCGAGACCATCCTGGCTAACACGGTGAAACCCCGTCTCTACTGAAAAAATACAAAAAATTAGCCCAGCATGGTGGTGGGTGCCTGTAGTCCCAGCTACCTGGGAGGCTGAGGCAGGAGAATGGCATGAACCCGGGAGGTGGAGTTTGCGGTGAGCCGAGATGGCGCCACTGCACTCCAGCCTGGGCGGCGACAGAGCAGCAAGACTCCATCTAAAAAAAAAAAAAAAAAAAGCCTAAATCCTCTCTAGTAACAAGAAACATTATATTTATTTTCCTTGTTTTCTTCTAGGACAAATCTGTCAAAAACTTCTCCCTTATTTGGCTAAATTCCATCTCCTTTTTACATTAACCACTGGAAAGCTCATGAACCCTCTTGCATCATCTGGGATGATTTATGGCTTTTATGTGCACTTTCCAGAAACACAAATGCAATAATAGTTCTGTTGAGAAGCTTAAAGAGGAAGGTAACTTATGACTGTTCTAACATATTTTTAAAATATAGATGGCTCCTTAAAGACCTCAAATGGACCACAAAACATTTTAACAAAATCTGAGGAGATACCTACTAATGGGATTTATTATCAAAGATCTAATTTCTAGTGACAGCCATTCTGAAATATTATTTGAGATCATTGTAAATTAAGTAAGCAAGCCACAATCAGAGACTAGAAAAAGCTTCCCTACATCTCTACTTACTTTTTTTTATTTTTTGGGTCACTTCTTAAATCCACAGACCATAAAGAGCTTGGGAAATGATTTTCATGTCAAGGTATAATTGCATTATAAGCTGATATATAAATCATTTTCTTAAGCTAGGTAAATTATGCTATGCCACTGATCAATAGTGTCTGAATTTCTCTTTTTCATTGTGTTAACATAATCATAACATACCGTTTTGTGACTACATTTCTAAGCCCACATATACTGTTTTAAAAGCTCAAGATCTGTCGGGACAATCTGGACTTGGTCATGATCTGGCTTCTCTGGGTCATTGTCAGACATCTGGTCAAGGTGAGCCTGAACAGAAGAAAATCTGTGGAGGGACACACAAAATGATCATTTAACTGTCCACATATGCCGGCAAAGATGAGGATTTGAATGACCTGCCCAGCTCCATAATGTGCCTCTCCCCACTGGCCACATCTGAATGCCCTTGATGTATCCACTTATAGGCTTGTGGGACAAGTCACTACCCAAAGGAATGGGAGAAGCACTGATCCAGGGGTTCTAATACTATGATCTGCAAAGAACTGGGCTCCAGTGATCAACAGTGAGTACCTCTGAGACAGCAAAACTTACTTCAACCAACAAAGTGCTATATTTTTGTTTTCTTGTTTTACATAGTAATAGTTATGTAGATTTTATTTGAATAAAAAGAAAAAAGTGCATCTGATGAAACATTTGAAAACTTGTTATCTATTTCCATACTATAGGGACTTGTATCCAATTCAATTTAAGCTTTTTTCTATCCAAATTCATGGACCCATTCAAGTCTATGTGCAGACCTGGATGGTGCACAGATCCCAGTCTAACAGCCCCATCTTATGACCACAGATGGCTCTGTTATCTGCCAACAGTCTTCCTTGACACAAGTTACCTGCCTTGTACATCTACATATTGCTTTATTACATGCCCTTGGGCACCTTCTCCCAGGGACCCATTTGCCTAGCAGGTGACTCTCACAGCCTGTCCCCCATGGTCCTACCCTGATGGCCCTTCATCACCTATGGAGTCAGTATCACATCTTCAGCAGGTCTCCCCTGGCTGCCTTTTCCACAATAGCAACTACATTTACCCCCGATATGGTTTGGCTCTGAGTTCCCATCCAAATCTCACCTCAAATTGTAATCTCCACATGTCAGGTGAGGGACCTGATGGGAGGTAATTGGATCTTGGGAGTGGTTTCCCTCCTACTGTTCTCATGATATTGAGAGTTCTCTTGAGATCTGATGATTTCAAAGTGTTTGGCAGTTACCCCCTCATGCATTTTCTCTCTTTTGCTGCCATGGCCATGTAAGATGTACCTTGCTTCCCCATCACCTTCTGCCATAATTGTAAGTTTCCTGGGGCCTCCCCAGCCATGTAGATCTGTGAGTCAATTAAACCTCTTTCCTTTATAAATTACCCAGTCTCAGGTAGTTCTTTATAGCAACATAAAAACTGACTAATACATCCCCTCCGTCTCTTTCATTCTGTCCAGCTTTATTTGTCTTTGCAATTACATGGAACTACCTACAATGTATATTAAATAATGTACTTATTTATTGTCACTCTCTTGCACTAAAATATAAACTCCATCCATCCAAGGACTTTGTTCCACTTTCTCCTAAATCACCAGTGCCAGGCAACTCAATAAATTAATTATACTTAAAAAAAGAAAAAAACAAAACAAAATTGTGGTTCTACTCTGCAACTTCCTAGATTCTTGTTTGTTCTTTCTCTCATTAGCTGCATTAAGGGTTGTTCAGGTCTGTGTCATGGCCAGGTCATTTTCACATAAGCCCCATTACAAACTTAATAGGAAGATCAAAAGATCAGCCTCCTTCTTTCTTAGAAAGGACATTCTGTCTCATGCCCTGCCTTGCTTTTGATCCATGGATGGCTGACTTCTTTCCAATAAGATGCCCATTCATCTTACACAAATAGAGGGATGGGAACTACTGCCTATTACCTTGTGTAAAGAATGTCTGGTTCTGCCAGCTGCCTTAGTACCCTATAGCTACCCATCAAGAAAAACAAAAAAACATATGTCTGAAATGCTAAGAAGTCCGGGACTCTACACATCACAGTGAGATTGCATTGTAGTCCAATTACTGAAAGTAATTTAAAAATGTTTCTATCCTTACTCAAGTGCCAAGTCAATACCCACATTAAGCCTTTGTTTCTTCTTTTAAAAACACACATATAACACTTCCCTCTCTTCTCTGGTTCTTAAATAACACATTCCTGCACCAGAATGTCACTAAACTCTTCATCCACAAATCTATCACTAAAACTGTCATGAATACCCAAACTTCATAGGCCCTTCTCTGTCTTCCACTCCCTGCACCTCACTAACCTCACCTCCCTGGCCGAAGTTGCCAGCCTGACTTTTGCCTTCTATCAGTCTATCTAGCTATATCTGTCTGTCTGTCTGTCTGTCTGTCTGTCTATCTATCTATCTATCTATCTATCTATCTATCTATCTATTGATCCATCTACTATCTAATCATCTATCTCCATATCTGTGATTTAGTTATACCTCGCTCCAGAACTTAGTAGCTTAAAACAATCATTTTTTAGTCTAACATATCTCTTCCAAGACATTTATTTACTACAAAGGGAAACATAATCACTTTAAAATGGAACAATCAGGAAGAAACCACCTTAGCCTCCTGTGTAAGGTGATTAGCACTAGCAAAAGGCCAACTTAGCATGATGGATTTGTAGATATGATGCATTGAGAAGGACCCCACATCATTCCTAAAATGCAAAAGCTCAGTCAATCCCAAATTGAGAAATGTTTCATGAATGACTGTTCAGTACTCTTCAAAAGTGTCAAAATCATGAAAAACAAGGAAAGACTTAGGAGTTGGCATAGAGCGGAAAAGACTAAAGAGATCAGAACTAAATGCAGTGAATCCTGGATTGGATCTTGAAACATGAATGAAAATAGACTCTAGTGAAAAAACTGGTGAAATTTGGATATGGTCTTCAGTTAATAGTAACATGCCAATATTAATTTCCTGGTTCTGATATTTGTACTATGGTTCCATGTCATGATAATATTAGCAGAAGCTCAGATAGAGATTTATGAAAACTTTCTATATTACTTTAGCAAGTTTTGTGTATGTCTAAAGTATATCAAAATAAAAAGTTGAAGAAAAACACACAAGGATTTATTATTTCTCACACTTCCGCAGATTCTCTTGGTGATTCTTTTGTGTCTCTTCTGGACTCACATATCTAGGAGCATTTACCTTGTAGGTTGGCTGAGTGTTGGCTTCGCTGGGACATGAGGAAACTGGGAATCTCTCCATGTAGTCTTTCATCCTGGGCTGCTTTGCATTATGTCAGGAAATGGTTCCAGGAGGGCAAAACCATGAGCTATAAGCCTCCTCTGCCTTCCCTTGACAGTTGTACCACATTACTTCTACATTATTCTGTCAGTCAAAATGGGTTTTGAGTCCAGGGCAGATTAAAGGGGTAGGAAAATAGACTTTAGCTATTGATGGGAGTAGTGGCAGAGTCACATCACAAAAGGTTGTGGACACAGGGAGGTGTCTATGTCTCTTCAGGCTACTATAACAAAATGCTATAGAAACTATTGGCTTATAAACAACCACCATTAATTTCTCACAGTACTGGAGGCTGAAAGTCCAAGATCAAGGTGCCCGCAGATTCAGTGTCTCACTAGGGCCCATTCCTCATAGACAGTGCCTTCTCAATTTATCCACACATGGTGGAAAGGGATAATTAGCTCTCTGCAGTCTTTTTTTTTTTTTTAGTTTTTTTTATTTATTTATTATTATTATACTTTAAGTTTTAGGGTACATGTGCACAATGTGCAGGTTAGTTACATATGTATACATGTGCCATGCTGGTGCGCTGCACCCACTAACTCGTCAACTAGCATTAGGTATAACTCCCAGTGCTATCTCTCCCCCCTCCCCCCACCCCACAACAGTCCCCAGAGTGTGATGTTCCCCTTCCTGTGTCCATGTGTTCTCATTGTTCAATTCCCACCTATGAGTGAGAATATGCGGTGTTTGGTTTTTTGTTCTTGCGATAGTTTACTGAGAATGATGATTTCCAATTTCATCCATGTCCCTACAAAGGACATGAACTCATCATTTTTTATGGCTGCATAGTATTCCATGGTGTATATGTGCCACATTTTCTTAATCCAGTCTATCATTGTTGGACATCTGGGTTGGTTCCAAGTCTTTGCTATTGTGAATAGTGCCGCAATAAACATATGTGTGCATGTGTCTTTATAGCAGCATGATTTATAGTCCATTGGGTATATACCCAGTAATGGGATGGCTGGGTCAAATGGTATTTCTAGTTCTAGATCCCTGAGGAATCGCTACACTGACTTCCACAATGGTTGAACTAGTTTACAGTCCCACCAACAGTGTAAAGGTGTTCCTATTTCTCCACATCCTCTCCAGCACCTGTTGTTTCCTGACTTTTTAATGATTGCCATTCTAACTGGTGTGAGATGGTATCTCATTGTGGTTTGGATTTGCATTTCTCTGATGGCCAGTGATGGTGAGCATTTTTTCATGTGTTTTTTGGCTCTGCAGTCTTTTTTATAAGGGCACTAATCCCATTGAAGGCTTTGCCCACCAAATCTAGTTACCTCCCAATGTTGCCCCTATTATATTAATATCACTGATGTCAGGCTTCAGATTTCAACATATGAATTTTGAGGAAACACAAACATTGAGGTCATGGCAGGAGTCATAATCTATTGAGGTCGTTATTGTAAAAATCTATAATAAGTCACACTGAGCTGCACCAGGATACTCAAGCAACTGAAGGCAGAGACTGGATGCCTCCTTCCCAACTGCAGTCACATCTCTTGCTGAAGCCCCTGGAGAGCATGGGCCTCCTCTCACCCTGAATCATCCTTTGTCATGAAAAAAATCCTCATGGAATAAAAAATAATTCCACCCATACATCTCCTTGTAGAATGTATTATATGTGTATGTATGTGAGTATGTGTGGAGATTTACTTTATGTTTTTAGGTTTATTTTACTTTGTAGTAGCAAACCTGATTGTCCCATCCATTAGTTTAAATTTTATTTCCCAAAGCTCAATTCTGTGTTGATTGCAACACAGATGGTTTCTGGGTGTGTGTAACACTAAGAGCAGGGGTGGGGAGGGCAATGGGAACTTCACTGCTTCACGATAGTATTCACCATAGATAATTCAAAGACTAGATCACCAAGACATTTATAAATTGAAGTGACCCCTGAATTCCTATTTTTCCTAGGATTTTGCTGTGTTACAAACAAAAAGTTTTGCTTAATGTCAAATTAAATGAAGGATAAAATCAACAAGAAAACAGAAATCAATAGTTTTCTATAAAGCATGGAGGAAATCAATAGAAATTGGAAGGATAACTTATTATCTATGTTCAGAGTAATCAGAGTTGAGAAGAAATTCTGCTATTAGTTAATTGACAAGGGCAAACTAATGTGTCTCACAGATGGGATTGTTATTTATTATTTGATACTCAAAGGGGTATTACATTCAGAGCTTCCAGTTACAGGACCCAATAGAAAGTAGCATCTGTACACACTTCATTTTAATTGAATTTGGTGTTCAAATAGAAAATAAAAGTGAGTTCTATCAAAAGACATGAACTCTTAGTCTATATGAGCCCCAAAATAAGGCTAATGCCCTTTTCACTGTTTACTATATGTTTTGAGGCTATTTAAAAACAGGCGATATTATTTCTTATCTATGCAAATGGAACAGTAGTTTCTACTTTTGTCTAAATCTCCCTAAGACTTGATCTGTCAGGAATTTTATGTACCCATGGCCAGCTTCATCTGTCTTCCAGACAGAGTGATAAAAAGTGGAATCACAGCTAATGGAGTCCCATGCAGGTTTGTGCTTTAATTACCTTCAAAACTTTGAAATCAGGATAACCTTTCCAAAGAGAAGTATCTCTAATTTTAAATGATGCTAGTATTTCTTCTAGTTACCACACTTCTTTTATGTCTTTAGCCTGAAAAACTGAAAGCCTTTGATACAGGAAATGAGAAAAGCCCTCTGCTTTCATTCCAGGAGTTAGAAGATGAAGATAATGTCAATGCAGCTAACTGCTAATGTAGTGAAAGGTTATGATGCAAATGGTTTTGATAAAATAAAACTCTTGGTGCCTAGGTATATAGATTCTAATATACATCATTTTAAATACAGAACTTCTATAGAGCAATGTTTTATCTAACAGGTAAAATTAAAGATGTTTACTGAATATAGTTTGTGCTCAATAAAAGTTTCAACTTATGAATACATTAAAAAGGCTAGTGCAGGTTACTTTTTCTAGAGACATTTAGGTTACAAATATGCTTTTACACAACTTCACCTATTGCATTAAATTATGCACTTATGTTTAATAAGATAGCTTGGTTGAACACAGGTTTGAAAATTTGATTCTTGTTTTTAAAGTCCAACTTTTAAGGCTTTCATTATACTTTTCTTTAGAATAAAATCTTAGAATTTTTCTTTTTTGCTAAAAAAACCATAGAACGTCTCTTCTCCTTGTGTTGAAATGAGGTCCATATGGTCAATCTGTGGATAATAATTGTCCTAGGTGCAGGATAATGACCTGGTTGCTATAGGAAAATAGAAACAAAATAGAATAGAATACAGGAATCCTGACCTCCGAAACTTTACATTTTAAAGGAACAGCCAAGGTTAACATAATAGAGAAAAAAACACAAATCAAATATATTAACAATTACATATTAATAAATCTGTGAAAAAACAAAATGGATAAATTCTGAAAAAAATTACATATATATACACATGCTCACAAACTCTTTAAGAAAAGCTAACTTTTGTAAAAGAAATGGAAGAAAGGAAGGGAAGAATGAAGCAGGGAGGGAGAGAGGGAAAAAGAGAGGAAGGAAAGGAGGGATCTCAGTAGTGATACACAATACTGATTTGTTTCTCCATTGTGTCACAGATGCTCTGCTCTATGCCATCAATCATGGACTCAGGTTTCTACTATCTTTTTGTTCCATTGCTCTGTGAGTCCCTGAAGGCATCACTATTCAACTGAATAATTAGGAAGGAGAAGGTTGAACATGGAATAATTAGATCATGGAATATTGTAGGGAGTGTTTTCTGTGTGCCCAGGTTGGGAATAGTATAGATCACTTTCACTCATATTCCACTGGCCAGAACACAGTGCCAAGACAGCCCCCAGTGATCATTGCCTCCTGGTCTTCACACCCTTGTGATGTCCCCTCACATTGTATCTGTCAGAAGTGATGGTATGACTTCTAAGATTAGACTATAAGAGATTTCTGCTTCTATCCGAAGCTTGCCTTCTCTTGAATCACTCACTCTGTGGAAAGCAAACTGTCCTGTTGTGAGCCGCCCTAGGGAGAAACCTACATATTAAGGAACTTCTAGTAGATATCCAGCAAGGAACCAACAACCACCATGTGAGTTGGCTAGGAAGCAGCTTCTCCAATTCCAGGTGAGTCTTGAGATGACAGCAGCCTCTGCTGACATCTTGACTGCAACCCAGTGAGAGACCTGAAGCCAGAACCAAGTTGCTAAGCCACATGGAATTCTTGGATTTCTTGACTGTCAGGAACTGTGTGAGATAATAACTGTGATGATTTAAACTTCTGAGGTTTGGGTAACTTATTACATAGCAAGAGGTAACTAACATGCATAACCTCACCCAACTGAAAGGAAGGCTGGAAAATGACTGCCAGTTGTGTGTCCAAGAGGAAAGGAGAGAGGGTTTAGTGTCCATAGCTGTCTATACCACACTGAATATCCACCCTGGGCAGGTCTTAGGGTCAATGAGACTTTTACCTTCCCCTCAGGAGCTCCTATGGACAACACAGCCACAGAGGCATCACTCAAATTCTCTTCATGCTCTTAGCCTTTTCCATTTACTCTGACAGCCATGCAAGTGACCTCTATAAAGAATGCCAGAATCAATGGTGCCTATGGTTACCGATCTCAGTCTTACTTCCTCATAGATTGATAGTGAAGATTTTGATCTTGTCTAGGGGAATCTAGGAGCACTCAGAACTCCAGACTTCAAGAAATACCCCTGCTCTGATGCACACCCAGATCCTTGTACTTAACCTTCATACTCAAAGACTTTCTTCAGGTCTTTGCAAGCCAAAAGATAATCCATAATAGGCCCAGGGCACCAGAACACATTATCCTCAGGCCTGGAACCCTCCAGTGGATTAGTCAAAGAGCAAAGATGGGATAACTTTATCCACCTGCTTTCCATTGGATATTGCATAGCTCCATAAGAATGCAACACATACTCTGATGGGTAATTTCTTGTGCGAATATTTTTCAGGTAATCACCTTTCACTCAAACTCTTTACCTGTAATCTTTCCTGTAGCTAAAAACACTCTACAGGAAAGAGAAGGATAGCAGTTCCAAGATGGCTGAATAGGAACAGCTCCAGTCTACAGCTCCCAGCATGAGCGACACAAAAGATGAATGATTTCTGCATTTCCAACTGAGGTACCGGGTTCATCTCACTGGGGACTGTTGGACAGTGGGTGCAGTGCACCAAGCATGAGTCAATGCAGGGCGAGGCATTGCCTCACCCGAAAAGCACAAGGGGTCAGGGAATTCCCTTTCCTAGCCAAGGAAAGGGGTAACACATGGCGCCTGGAAAATCGGGTCACTCCCACCCTAATACTGCGCTTTTCCGATGGTCTTAGCAAACAGCACACCAGGAGATTATATCCCGCACATGGCTCAGAGGGTCCTACGCCCACAGAGCCTTGCTCATTGCCAGCACAGCAGTCTGAGATCAAACTGCAAGGCGAAAATGAGGCTGGGGGAGGGTCACCCACCATTGCTGAGGCTTGAGTAGGTAAACAAAGCAGCTGGGAAGCTCTAACTGGGTGGATCCCACCGCAGCTCAAGGAGGCCTGCCTGCCTCTGTAGATTCCTACCTCTGGGGGCAGGGCATAGCCAAACAAAAGGCAGCAGAAACCTCTGCAGACTTAAATGTCCCTGTCTGAGAGCTTTGAAGAGAGTAGTGGCTCTCCCAACATGCAGCTGGAGATCTGAGAACTGATAGACTGCCTCTTTAAGTGGGTCCCTGGCCCCCGAGTAGCCTAACTGGGAGACAACCCCTAATAGGGGCAGACTGACACCTCACACAGCCAGGTACTCCTCCGAGACAAAACTTCCAGAGGAACGATCAGGCTCCAACATTTGCTGTTCACCAATATCCACTGTTCTGCAGCCTCCGATGCTGATACCCAGACAAACAGGGTCTGGAGTGGACCTCTGGCAAACTCCAACAGACTGCAGCTGAGGGTCCTGACTGTTAGAAGGAAAACTAACAAACAGAAAGGACATCCACACCAAAACCCCATCTGTACGTCACCATCATCAAAGACCAAAGGTAGATAAAACCACAAAGGTGGGGATAAAACAGAGCAGAAAAACTGAAAATTCTAAAAATCAGAGCGCCTCTCCTCCTGCAAGGGAACGCAGCTCCTCACCAGCAACAGAACAAAGCTGGACAGAGAATGACTTTGACGAGTTGAGAGAAGAAGGCTTCAGATGATCAAACTTCTCTGAACTAAAGAAGGAAGTTCAAACCCATGGCAAAGAAGTTAAAAACCTTGAAAAAAGATTAGACGAATGGCTAACAAGAATAACCAATGCAGGGAAGTCCTTAAAGGACCTGATGAGCTGAAAACCATGGCACGAGAACCACATGACAAATGCACAAGCTTCAGTAGCCAATTTGATCAACTGGAAGAAAGGGTATCAGCGATGGAAGATCAAATGAATGAAATGAAGCGAGAAGAGAAGTTTAGAGAAAAAAGAATAAAAAGAAATGAACAAAGGCTCCAAGAAATATGGGACTATGTGAAAAGACCAAATCTATGTCTGATTGGTGTACCTGAAAGTGATGGGGAGAATGGAACCAAGTTGGAAAACACTCTGCAGGATATTATCCAGGAGAACTTCCCCAACCTAGCAAGGCAGGCCAACATTCAAATTCAGGAAATACAGAGAATGCCACAAAGATACTCCTTGAGAAGAACAACTCCAAGACACATAATTGTCAGATTCACCAAAGTTGAAATGAAGGAAAAAATGTTAAGGGCAGCCAGAGAGAAAGGTCGGGTTACCCACAAAGGGAAGCCCATCAGACTAACAGCTGATCTCTCGGCAGAAACTCTACAAGCCAGAAGAGAGTGGGGGCCGATATTCAACATTCTTAAAGAAAAGAATTTTCAACCAAGAATTTCATATCCAGCCAAACTAAGCTTCATAAGTGAAGGAGAAATAAAATACTTTACAGACAAGCAAATGCTGAGAGATTTTGTCACCACCAGGCCTGCCCTAAAAGAGCAGTGCCCTGAAGGAAGCACTAAACATGGAAAGGAACAACCGGTACCAGCCACTGCAAAAACATGCCAAATTGTAAAGACCATCAATGCTAGGAAGAAACTGCATCAACTAATGAGCAAAATAACCAGCTAACATCATAATGACAGGATCAAATTCACACATAACAATATTAACCTTAAATGTAAATGGGCTAAATGCTCCAATGAAAAGACACACCAGCCAACTGGATGAAGAGTCAAGACCCGTCAGTGTGCTGTATTCAGGAAACCCATCTCATGTGCAGAGACACACACAGGCTCAAAATAAAGGGATGGAGGAAGATCTACCAAGCAAATGGAAAACAAAAAAAGGCAGGGGTTGCAATCCTACTCTCGGATAAAACAGACTTTAAACCAACAAAGATCAAAAGAGACAAAGAAGGCCATTACATAATGGTGAAGGGATCAATTCAACAAGAAGAGCTAACTATCCTAAATATATATGCACACAACACAGGAGCAGGCAGATTCATAAAGCAAGTCCTTAGAGACCTACAAAGAGACTTAGACTCCCACATAATAATAATGGGAGACTTTAACACCCCACTGTCAACATTACAGATCAACAAGACAGAAAGTTAACAAAGATATCCAGGAATTGAACTCAGCTCAGCATCAAGCAGACCTAACAGACAACTACAGAACTCTCCACCCCAAATCAACAGAATATACACTCTTCTCAGCACCACATCACACTTATTCCAAAATTGACCACATAGTTGGAAGTAAAGCACTCCTCAGCAAATGTAAAAGAACAGAAATTATAACAAACTGTCTCTCAGACCACAGTGCAATCAAACTAGAACTGAGGATTAAGAAACTCACTCAAAACCTCTCAACTACATGGAAACTGAACAACCTGCTCCTGAATGACTACTGGGTACATAACGAAATGAAGGCAGAAATAAAGATGCTCTTTGAAACCAATGAGAACAAAGACACAACATACCAGAATCTCTGGGACACATTTAAAGCAGTGTGTAGAGGGAAATATATAGCACTAAATGCACACAAGAGAAAGCAGGAAAGATCTAAAATTGACACCCTAACGTCACAATTAAAAGAACTAGAAAAGCAAGAGCAATCGCATTCAAAAGCTAGCAGAAGGCAAGAAATAACTAAGATCAGAGCAGAACTGAAGGAGATAGAGACACAAAAAACTCTTCAAAAAATCAATGAATCCAGGGACTGGTTTTTTGAAAAGATCAACAAAATTGATAGACAGCTAGCAAGACTAATAAAGAAGAAGAGAGAGAAGAATCAAATAGACACAATAAAAAATGGTAAAGGGGATATCACCACCAATCCCACAGAAATACAAACTACCATCAGAGAATACTATAAACACCTCTACGCAACACAAATAAACAGGAAAATCTAGAAGAAATGGATACATTCCTCGACACATACACCCTCCCAAGACTAAACCAGGAAGAAGTTGAATCTCTGAATAGACCAATAACAGGATCTGAAATTGAGGCAATAATTAATAGCTTACCAACCAAAAAAAGTCCAGGACCAGATGGATTCACAGCCGAATTCTACCAGAGTTAAAAGGAGGAGCTGTTACCATTCCTTCTGAAACTATTCCAATCAATAGAAAAAGAGGGAATCCTCCCTAACTCATTTTATGAGGCCAGCATCATCCTGATACCAAAGCCTGCAGAGACACAACCAAAAAAGAGAATTTTAGACCAATATCCCTGATGAACATCGATGCAAAAATCCTCAATAAAATATTGGCAAACCGAATCCAGCAGCACATCAAAAAGCTTATCCACCATGATCAAGTGGGCTTCATCCCTGGGATGTAAGGCTGCTTCAACATACACAAATCAATAAACGTAATCCAGCATATAAACAGAATCAATGACAAAAACCACATGATTATCTCAATAGATGCAGAAAAGGCCTTTGACAAAATTCAACAACCCTTCATGCTAAAAACTCTCAATAAATTAGGTATTGACGGGATGTATCTCAAAATAATAAGAGCTGTTTATGACAAACCCTGAGCCAATATCATACTGAATGGGCAAAAACTGGAAGTATTCCCTTTGAAAACTGGCACAAGACAGGGATGCCCTCTCTCACACTCCTATTCAACATAGTGTTGGAATTTCTGGCCAAGGCAATTAGGCAGGACAAGGAAATAAAGGGTATTCAATTAGGAAAAGAGGAAGTCAAATTGTTCCTGTTTGCAGAAGACATGATTGTATATCTAGAAAACCCCATCGTCTCAGCCCAAAATCTCCTTAAGCTGATAAGCAACTTCAGCAAAGTCTCAGGATACAAAATCAATGTGCAGAAATCACAAGCATTCTTATACACCAATAACAGACAAACAGAGAGCCAAATCATGAGTGAACTCCCATTCACAATTGCTTCAAAGAGAATAAAATACCTAGGAATCCAACTTACAAGGGATATGAAGGACCTCTTCAAGGAGAACTATAAACCACTGCTCAACAAAATAAAAGAGGATACAAAGAAATGGAAGAACATTCCATGCTCATGGGTAGGAAGAATCAATATCATGAAAATGGCCATACTGCCCAAGGTAATTTATAGATTCAATGCCATCCCCATCAAGCTACCAATGACTTTCTTCACAGAATTGGAAAAAACTACTTTAAAGTTCACATGGAACCAAAAAAGAGCCCGCATTGCCATGTCAATCCTAACCCAAAAGAACAAAATTGGAGGCATCATGCTACCTGACTTCAAACTATACTAAAAGGCTACAGTAACCAAAACAGCATGGTACTGGTACCAAAACAGAGATATAGACCAATGGAACAGAACAGACCCCTCAGAAATAATGCCACATATCTACAACTATCTGATCTTTGACAAACCTGACAAAAACAAGAAATGGGGAAAGGATTCTCTGTTTAATAAATGGTGCTGGGAAAACTGGCTAGCCATATGTAGAAAGCTGAAAGTGGATCCCTTCCTTACATCTTATACAAAAATTAATTCCAGATGGATTAAAGACTTACATGTTAGACCTAAAACCATCAAAACCCTGGAAGAAAACCTAGGCAATACCATTCAGGACATAGGCATGGGCAAGGACTTCATGTCTAAAACACCAAAAGCAATGGCAACAAAAGCCAAAACTGACAAATGGGATCTAATTAAACTAAAGAGCTTGTGCACAGCAAAAGAAACTACCATCAGAGTGAACAGGCAACCTACAGAATGGGAGAAAATTTTTGCAATCTACTCATCTGACAAAGGGCTAATATCCAGAATCTACAAAGAACCCAAACAAATTTACAAGAAAAAAACAAAGAACCCCATCAAAAAGTAGGCAAAGGATATGAACAGATATTTCTCAAAAGAAGACATTTATGCAGCCAAAAAACACATGAAAAAATGCTCATCATCACTGGCCATCAGAGAAATGCAAATCAAAACCACAATGAGATACCATCTCACACCAGTTAGAATGGCAATCATTAAAAAGTCAGGAAACAACAGGTGCTGGAGAGGATGTGGAGAAATAGGAACACTTTTACACTGTTGGTGGGAGTAGTTCAACCACTGTGGAAGTCAGTGTGGCGACTCCTCAGGGATCTAGAACTAGAAATACCATTTGACCCAGCCATCCCATTACTGGGTATATATCCAAAGGATTATAAATCATGCTGCTATAAAGACACATGCATACGTATGTTTATTGTGGCACTATTCACAATAGCAAAGACTTGGAACCAACCTAAATGTCCATCAAGGATAGACTGGGTTAAGAAAATGTGGTACATATACACCATGGAATACTATGCAGCCATAAAAAATGATGAGTTCATGTCCTTTGTAGGGACATGGATGAAGCTGGAAACCATCACTCTCAGCAACTATTTCAAGGACAAAAAAACCACACACTGCATCTTCTCACTCATAGGTGGGAATTGAACAACGAGAACACTTGGACACAGGAAGGGGAACATCACACAGCGGGGCCTGTTGTGGGGTGGGGGGAGTGGGGAGGGATAGCATTAGGAGATATACCTAATGTAAATGCTGAGTTAATGGGTGTAGCACACCAACATGGCATATGTATACATACGTAACAAACCTGCATGTTGTGCACATGTACCATAAAACTTAAAGTATAATAAAAAAACTCTAGAATTCCTCTATATATTTCCTTCAAATAATGCAAATTTTTGGCACTACATATAAAATTATTAAAATCTTTTTGATGCCCCTCAGTGGCCTCTTCTGTGATTTTATCATTTCTCCCTAAACTGATGGAAACCATAGTTCTTCCAAGGACTTGATATCAATCTTTCACATCTTAATAAAAATTGAGTTTATTATGTAAAAAGCTTTGCCTTGAAATATATATTTTAAAATTTTTCATCATACACAAGAAGTTGTAGTGACACTGTTACTATCCCATTCAGATCCCCTCTACCATGTAGCTGGTTGCTGAGTGTTGTAGTGGCTGTGAATGTTGGATATTATTGGCTCTCGGCTCCTTACTTTTCTGTTGAACTGCCCTGTGCAGATAGGAGCCACCTTGCTGTGAAGATTATGCCCTCCCACCCCAGGAGCAGCTCACAGCCAATGACTGACTAATATAGGAGTATAAAATCTTCCCCCTTTGACTCATGAAGGGATAATTCTGTGGTCCCTGTCATACTCCAGAACTCCCTGTGGGATCAAACTGAAACTAGGCTTCAGTTGAACCACTTCCTTGTCTAGCTTCTTCCCCTACCCTCTTCTGCTTTCTCCACTCTCTGAGAGGGTTCTCCCTCAATAAATCGCTTGCACAAAAGCCCCATCTCGGTCTCTGCTCCAGAAACCCTAAGAAAGAATTTTTAGATATTACTGCAGAGAAAAACTAGCAAAAGGAAGAGTAAATGGCTTTTCTATCCTCTGGAAATAATAATGAAATGGACTCCCATTGTGTCTATACATTGAACTAGCTCAGAACATTGAGGTAGTTGTCATCACTTACCATTAGGGAAAATAAACCGACAAAATAAAAAAAAAAAAAGTAAACAACACTACCATCAAAAATTGTGGCTCTCTCCTTTTATCGTTGGTACTAGTTCTTGTTCAAATAGAAATCAGACAATTATCAAGTGGAAATATAGAGTTTAGAGTAAGAAGACCTAAGCTCACCATTCTCATTTTATAACCTGGAGATTTTGACTTCACTAAGTCTGCTTTAATTTCTGTAAAATGGGGTAAAAATGCTTTGTTATCTGTCTTTTATTATAGAAGCACAAATAAATAATATAGGAGAGTGGGAAATGTATTACTATTTTTATAGCAAAACGTGAATTTAATAATTCAACTTTGCCCTTTATTACTAAGGGCCTTTAATTTCTCCAACAGCATTTTTTAGAGCCTCACATTTTATTGTTCATACTATTGTGTGGGTTTCCTTCAGAGTGAGGAATTAAGACTGTCTTGAATTATGGGGAAGAGTTTATAAACAAAGCATTGACTAAGAACTGAAGTGACTTAAAAAATATTTACCACTGAACTTTGTTATGTGAATGTGTGTTCTACTCATGGAGAACTATACACATATTTTAGTGTGCTGCCAATCTTTAGCATCTTTGGAAGTTACATCCATCAGTGTGGAATTCTCACCTGAGGCCTGCTCTTTCAACAAACATTGTCTGAGGGCCTGCTATGTGACTGGAAATGTGCTAAGCGCTAGGCATGCTAATTAAACCAAAATTTTTATTTATGATTAATATTTGTCCACTGATAATTAATTTGATTTTCCCATGAATAGATTTTCCCATGAAATCTAACAATCACAGGGAATCAAGTCTATTAGAAAAGTCTGGAACTAAGAAATAGATGATTACACTTGGTATCAAACATGAGCTAATGATTGGAATACAATGAAACTGATTTTTCCAATAAGGCTGGCAAATTTGATCCAAAGTGAGTTCCAGACTAAGGGAAAACTAATATTTATTGAACACTTAATACGTTCCAAAAATTATATTTTCCAAATATCACTTTAGGGGATTATCTCAAAAGCCCGTCATCTGTACTTGCCAGTGAGATTCAGTGATTATTACAGATGAGTTTGTTAGGATTTGGCAGTGGCAGATACAATCTCACATCACTCTGATGTCAAAGTCAAAGACCATGTTCTTTCAGTTACAACAGTAACGTATCCCTGGGGGTTTCAAATGTTTTATGGGCAAAGGACATAAAATTGAAATATTTACATAGCTTCCCGAGGGGAACCACTTAGAAATAAAAAAAACATAGGGGATCAGTAAGTTTTGAATTGTTTATCAAAGAACATCATTCTTTTTGATAAGTGTATCTTGTACTTCCATGCAATAAGAAGAGCAATTTCCATTCCAACAAAAGACAGCAAATTCCAACTGAAGGATGACGAGCTGAGATTTACAATGGATTACCCGATGAAAATCACTGGACAGTAACTCCAAGGTGACGGGATTACAAAGTTTAAAGCACTTCAAACCTATAATTGTTTGCCACATTCGTGATTTAACTTGAGGGTACCTAAACCCTATTTGTTGTAATACAGAGAATTTCCCAGCACTAAAAACAAAAATGTCCAAATAGGTAATATGTTTCTTTGTTCTTCCATAACATTGTCATCACCAAAACCCAATCAGCCAGCCCTGACACGATATCCTCCTCTTAGAATCAAATTGGGGAGATAATAGCAAAAACCATCATTTATTACAAATTCACTATGTACATTATTATATTTCATGCTCTTAATATAGCTAAGAAGTGGACATTATTATTATACCTCTTTTATAGGTGAGGTTTACAGAATGTAAGGATTTTTCATATAACACATAGTTTTAAGCAATGAATGCAGGATTTGAACCCAGTGGTATCCAACCACACATCTTCATTTTTTAACTATTATATTATAATTTTATCATCACTGCAAGAAAAGTAAAAATAATTTTTAAAACATAAAAAATGAAAATAAAGGTTATAAATATCAATTAATACCACCACAGTACAAGAAGAAAATGGGTCACACAGTGCCAAATATATGGGAGAGTAATGAGGACCCTTGGATTTTGGGAGTCTGAGTCAGACTCCACAGAAAATGGTAAAGCATTCTTGAGAAGACTTTTTCTGTCTTTAACTGAAATAATAATTTATCATTCAACACTTTTCACTCTTCGGTTTGTAGATAAAATTTTTGTCATGAATTAAATAATATAATTGTTTGTTCAATAAATAGCAAGTTACAGAAGCATGAGTGCTGGCCTTTCTTAGCACAATGTCCTGCCATTAACCTACCAATTGTCCTCTTCAGCCCCACTTTTTTCTTCTTGACTCAAGACTGGTCCAGATAACGGAACCAGCAATTCAGAAAGGCTCAGCCACACTTATGGAGCACTCCTGGGTGCCAAGCATTGTGCAAAATGTCTCACAAACATCCCAGTGCGTTCTTTTGGTGGCCCATTATCTATATTTTCCAAATAAGGGATGTAAAGGATAAAATACCTGAGTAACCCTTAGAAAATTAAGAAAAAGTTCTTCCCAAAGTTTCCTTTTCTGAAATCTTACGAATCAACCTTTCTTCTCGTCTTAGAAATGAGCTGGATATGGCTCATTTACGATGCCAGAGAGAGAAAATATACTCACTTCTTGGATTCTTATGTGAGGCCATTCCCTTTCCGCCCACCCACTTTATTTTCTAGGGAAAGACTTGACCATCCTCTTTCCTCAGTTCAACAGTGGCCAGTCCATGTACTGGTTTGAGACAAAGCGATGAAAAATCTTGCATGTCTTGTTTTTCTCATTTCAATTCTCCTTGGGAGAATGGGATTGTAGTTACGGTAAACCAAACATTGCTTTTCGGCTTTCATGAGTTTAGTAAAGTCTCTCTTTGAGTTTCTTGGAGGTAGAGACTATATCTTATTGATTTTTATTCCTCTAGCTCCTAATTTAATATCTGGTGCATTATCTATACACCATGAGTATGATATGAATTTGATTCTATAAAAAGTCACTTACGTGATTTGGATGTTTAACATTATTTAACATGGGCAAGGGCACTCATTTTATAGGAAAGATAAGGCTTAAAGGAAATCATTACCACAAAAGTCAGGGGATCCGTTACCTTCAAGTTGAAGGAAAAATCTCCCACAGGCAAAAGATAAACAGGAACTTTTTGAGGCACTGTCAATATTTTATTTCTTGATTTGCATGGTAGGTACCCAAATGCTCAGTTGCTAACTATTATTTAAATTTTCATAAGCACTTTTCTGTATGCTTTATAAATTTTATGAAATACATCATACATGTATAAAATAGATGAAGCAAACAGACATGTGTTTGCACAATTTAAGGGAAATTATAAACCAAACACTACGTAATCACCAAACCACATGTGTTACTACCAAGCTAAAATGAAAAAGAAAAAAATAAAGGTGACTTAAATTAAAATGCCCCTAGACAAAGTAATTATCCGACTTAACTTCCAATGTCCATGCACGTGATACTTCCTTGTGAGGACAAGAAAGGGAGTGGCACAGTGAATATGGAAAAAGAGTGTCAATAATGGGATTGAAGGACAAGAGGAAATAGTTCTTGGTTCATAGGTTTGGGCAGCAAATATTCTATCTATGTGAGTGATGAAGAGATACGTACTCCTGTCAGAAGGATGGCTCCTTTCTCTTCATAGGGGATAAAAGATGAGTGGAAGTCAGACTAGTGAGGGGAGGGTGTTAGATGGTGGTTTTGATTAACCTGATAATTTCAGGTGAAAAATCAGATCTCCCAGATTAAGATTATGATGCTCCAATAATGCTGTAATATTACTTAAAGGAAAAGATGGGGAGCTAAGTCTTGGCAATTGTCACACAAAAATTATTGATATATTGATCATCTTAAAAGGTTACTACGTTTATAAATCATAACTGTTATGGAGCCATGGATTGGTGGGCTGCTGATTGGTATTACAAACTGACATCGATGAACTATGGTGGCTTGACATTTGTTCCTTTGTTCTTCTCTATGAGTTAATTTATGTGACAGGCTGTGTTTTTGAAGGTCTGAGCTTTAGAATGAATCAGAGTAAACAACTGCCCTGCAGTAATAAAATGCCTACACCTATTTGCTGAATGAATCCTTCTTAGAAAGAGGCAATTCTGAATGGAATGGCTCTCTACTTAGAAAGCTAATAATTAAACACTTTTTCACCAGTGGATCAAGACCCATGGTTGTGGGTGTTATTATCCCCTATATAGAATATGTTCCATTTTCCCATGTTTAAATTCCTAAGACCAATGGAATGGAAACATAGAATTAACCTGATTGAAGCAGAAAGCATTCTGGAGTAAAAACCTCTCATTCTCCTGGTCTGTCTTAATGGGAAATCAAATGTGATTTGTGTTGTGTGGAGATGATTACCGATGGGTAATTATTCTAAAATATCTCTTTTCAAATCCTTTACATGGCAATCAAGGAAGAATGTGAGAGGTTAGGCAATACATTACCAGGGCTAACAGCAGCATATAATTTCTTAATTATGCATAAAAATGAATAGCAATACCTACTGAAGGAGGTCTTGAATTTCCTTTGTGAAGTCTGGAGGACACACAGGCCTCCGAGCCTTATTAGAGAATATGTGGTTAAAAAGACAGAAGCAAAGATTCTTCTTTCTAATAATTGTGTGACTGAACCTCAGTTTTCTCATCTCTAAAATAGGAATAATGATACTTTTTTACTTGGAGCTGTGGTGTGAATTGCATTATGTAATGTCACAAGCTGCTTATTTTTGTGCCTAGCGTATAATACAAGACACTCAACAAATGATAGCCCTTATTATGGCTGTTATTATTAGTAGTAGTGTTACTATTACTACTTCTTGTACTACTACTTTTGGCTAAGGCTTACCTAATTCAGGTAGAAATAAATTTAATTGAAATGAATGTCACTTGGATATTTCATTTTGTTATGAAGTTATTGACACAGTTAAAAGTAACACACATTATTAAGGTAAGTTTTAAAACTGTTGTGGGAGAGTCTATCATAATATTTTCCTAAAAGCATCTTCTGTTTCACCATGGTAAATTATTCATCGGTTTCTTTTAGAGTGGCATGTGCTATTTGAATGTGGCAACCAGCTTTAAATAAATTAACGTATTTATTTACACATCCCAACACTGCATCCTCTAATTTTGGGGGGAAAATATGTACATTTAAAAAATCTATTATGAAGGCTTGTCAGGAACAGATGAAGTGCTATGAATTGTTACTATTTGTGTTCTCTTTTTTTTTCTCAGCGTAAAAAGAGTACTTTAACATTGTGCATCCTTTCTTAAGGAATTTAAGAAATTACCAAATCGAGCAGTTGGTTGAAGGAGACTTTAAGCTCTCAGCTACTCAAGTAGCCAGTGCCACAGATTTCCAGCTTTGGAATCACATTTATGAGCAGTGACAAACCAAAGCAGTACATCTACATGGTCTTGTTGCCGTGTTTGATTGAGGGTGATGAGGAATCTAATAAAAGATGTTTTGTGTAATGAGAATAACACTATACCCAACACTTCATATAGAAGCAAAGCTGGACTGAGAGTTCAACTCCCCTGGTGAGGCCATATGCTAAACACCTTCATCTCTGGTGCATCTCATTCCTCCTTCACCATTTTCACTTCCACTGTCCTAAGACCTAAGAAAACTGGAAGATAAAGGAAAGCATGCTACATTTTTATTGACTCACAAGGAGGCAGGAACAGAGATATTCCTAATCAAAACAATAGATGGTGACTATAGATTGGAAGTTAGGTGAACTGTGGCCCTTAGAAGGAAAGAATCAGCAACTAGAAGCCAACCAGCCTGAGCGGAGTCTCAGGCATTTCTCCTAGCCAGAGGCTTCCCATTCACTCTCAGATGTTCCCGCTGTACCCTGCCAGGCCACTAAGTCATTATCATGGGCAGAGCTTTGTGTCACTGGGCCTGGCATGTGGCAAAGGAGAATCAAAGATGGAACTTTGAATGATTTGATCTCAAAGGTGGGAGAGAGAGGAGTCCTTAGTTCAATTTACTCCTGCCATTAGTACTCCAGGGATAGCTAGAACTCTAGGGTCCAGGGAATATTGTCAATGAAAAACGAGTGTGCAGATTTACAAACAGAAAACGTATAGGTAACCTTTTGAAATATGACATTTGAGAACCTCTTGTGTCTTTTTATTTTTTGGAAGAGCAAAATCTGTTTTTATTTTAAACTTTTATAATTTGAAACTGTAAAGAGATAAGTGGATGCTGAAGTCTCTCAGCCTTGCAACTTGAGGTTTTTAAGAAACTGACTCATCAGGAGATTTGGACCTGTGGTTCAGCTTTGCGTGTATACACTTTTGTTGCTGACTTTAATGTTCTTTCAAGTGCATTGGCCTTATCTCTTCTGCTAGTCTGGAGGCTATCTGGTATCTCAGATGGTGCTTTTTCAGTGTTAGCCATAGAAGCTAGTATTTTGTTTATAGTTCCATTGGTTGTTGACACTTTAGTACAGGGTTCCTCAACTTTAGTGTGCATCAGAATGGTCCAGTGAGACTGTTACAACAGATTCCTGGATCCTAATTCTAGAGACTGAAATGTGTTAGGTCTAGGATGGAGCCTAACATTCTACATTTTTGACATACCCCTATCCTCCTCCAAGTGATCCTCATATTGCAGGTCTTTGAACTACACTAGACACTTTGGGTAACATTGTCTTGGAGTGTTGCTGCATTCTACAGTCTTCATGTTCACTTTGCTCTGGAAGATTCTAGTCTTAGTTATAATCTATTGTTTGGTCTACCAAAGTAGAGATGCACCAGATTGCACTTAAAATCCACTACACAAGTCCTCAAGGCCTCAGTAAAACCCTCTGGAAGCCCTTTTGTGTCTGTTATTCTTGGGTCTTTAAGCTAACAGAACCTGAGATGCATGTACCTTGGGATGGCTGAACAGACTCACTGTAGCAGTGGAAGTAGGAGGGACAGGAGATATGTATAAAATACCAAATTTCAGAAATGATTAGTTTTGTTTTTCACAGAACACAAAGGAATCAATTTAAAAGACTACTTGATCTCATCCCTATAATTTCATTCTGGTGTACAAGGAAAGTAATACACACTGCTGGAAAGGAGATGAAACATGGCTAAATTAAAGCTACGTATAATCCAAAAATCTTTTAGATCTGGCTTGAAATTCAACCATACCCTCACCTATTCACAGCCCCATTTTGGGCCTGGCTCTGGGAGATCTCTAAACATAATGAGACATTTGTGGAACAGGGGTAAGGTATGGGAAGGCAGGGTGGGTTATGGGAGTCAGGCAAGCTTAGCTTCTCTGACCCTCTGTTTTCTCATCTGGCAGATAGAAATGTTATATACAGAAGGTTCTTACAAGAATGTTATTCATACAGAGGTTCTTAAAAGAACCTCAAAGAGTTCTTTTAAGCATTGCATGTAAATATGTGTATAAACAGTATAAAATCTAGAACATCATAATGCCCAGTTAATATTAGGTTTTTTTTTAGTGATTTCTGCCCATAAAGTTGGAAAAACATGGGGACTGAAGAAAGAAAAGATTATTAAAAATTGCAAAGTGGTTAATCTCCTGGCACATGATTTATTCTATTTTTTTAAAGGCTACTGCTAGCTCCAAAGACTGGCCTAGAAACTGAAGTTACTGGCAACAGAAATTCTAAAAAATGGCATCAAATTTTCAAAGTAGAGGGACACATCTTGGATGTTAAAGATAAGAGGTATAATACGGATGGAAAATATTTATATAAAGTCTTCAATATTTGACAATTGTCCTTAGGAGCTCCTAAAATTTCAAAGTAAGGTGCAAATTATATGTAATTGACTAATAAGGGAGTCTGACATAATATAGCATATGGAAAGGCAGTGGAATTGGAAGTTGGGTTTTAATTCCTGTTCTACCCTTAACCAGCCTTGTGATCCTGGTAAAGTCACTTAACTTACTGCCAGTACACACACACACACACACACACACACACACACACACACACACACACACACACACTCCAGGAAGACCAGCTAAGTGACTTACAGCCCAGAAATATTATCCTTTGTTCAAAGTCATCAAGGATATACTTAGCTATATACTTAGCTAAATATTCCCATGAAAAAAAATGCTTCAAAGACAAAATATGAGGGAAATAAAGTTTCGCTATTGGGATGCTGATCTTTATATGACTGTACTCTGTAGCTCTGAAGACAGATATTTTCTGAAAGTCTTTCCTTCTTAACTTAGTCCTAGGTTGCTCTGCTCACAGGAGGACATTAGGAGGAGAGTGGGTCACTTAATCCTTCATCGAGGTAAGATCTCTTCTATTCATGCTATGAAAATGGGTCTACATCAGACTGTTCACTGTAGGCAGTGCCTACTGTGTAGAAAGAGCTCAATAAATGTTTGTAAACTGAATGATGAAATGGATGAATGGCAAACAATTCAACCCCAAGAAGGTTACCCCAGAGAGTCTATACAAATCAAATTGTAAAAATTTTCACCTTGCTGATTCTATGTGGACACAGCCTCAATTTCACCAGGGCCTGAAGAATAATTACAATGATCATTCATGTCTCCATGTCGAAATAAGGCATAACATTCAAACTTTCCCAAGGTGTATTATTGCACACACTTCATTTTGGAAAGGTTGATATAGTAAATTAGCAGCTCCACCACAAGGCTAATAAGGCTAATGAGAGGTATTGGTAAAATTGCAGCCATAGAAAATAAGACATTCTTTCCCATCATGAGAAGCAAAATTGTATAGCAGAAGGCCATGCATGGAAACACATTCCGTGACAAGCAGACCCTATCATCATACTTTTTGCAAAAGTGTTTTCCCTCTCTCTTCATGTATTAATTATTCAGTATTTTGTCTTTAAAAATAACATTGAGTGTGAATTATGTGCATGACACTATGATAAATAGTATGGGTGATAGATAACACATAAGTCAGTTTCTACCTACAAGAACTGCACAGTAAGTTGAGGACATAAACATATGCACACAAAATCTACACGTGAAATGTCTGATGGTTCCTATACTAAGTAGGGAGAGGCCTAATTACTAAGATTTCTGATACCTGCAAGTATAGAGTCAAGGGCCACCATGTTG
Organism: Homo sapiens; assembly: GCF_000001405.40. Classification (NCBI taxonomy): domain Eukaryota; kingdom Metazoa; phylum Chordata; class Mammalia; order Primates; family Hominidae; genus Homo; species Homo sapiens. Next base: position 12,507,735 of record NC_000020.11, read on the forward strand.
GGTAGGAGGAGGTTGGAAAGGTTGAAAATATGTTATAATAAAAATAAACAAAGTTGAGGTGGAACATCTCTGGATATCTGTGGGATCAAGTCAGTTCAATAATCATGAGGTGGAGAAAGTCGTGGGTCATCCACAGAGATGTGGCACTTGTGGTGACTAACAGTAATAATAATAACTGCTAAGTAGAGTAAAAGGAGCACTGGTTTTGGAGTCTAATCATGTACATTGGAACTCCAGTTCTGTCAATTACCATGCAACTAAACTTGAGCCAAAGCTATGAGCATCAGTTTACCAATCTGTTAGTAGTTGATAGGTATCTATCTCAGAGGGATCTTCAAAGGAACCATTGTGGCAGTATTTAAAATAAGAAACCCTTTGCCAGTACACAGGGAAAAAAGAAAAAAATTACATTTCTAGTACATGAATGAAGTTTAGAAGTGGGTACTAAAAGGAAAGCATAGAAACACTGTCTGGGTGGTGAGAGGCTCAGATTTGTCTCATGCATTTGGCTGAACCAGTCTAGACGAGGCTGAGTCAATAGGGTTACCCGTCTCCAAGACTGATGTTTGAAAGATAAACAAAAAGTCAAATAATCCTAACACCTATCACTGCCTTGTTTCAGCCTGTATGTCCCACTCAATGTGTTTAGCTTCCATTTGACTAGTTAACCTGCTCAGAGTGGAAAACTGAATTGGATCATTCAGCCCTTGCTATTTTTATGTTTGGATCAATTCAATTTGGCAGGAGACACCGAGGAAAGTAAGCAAATGACTGCCAAATTTCCACTTATCTTGGTGGAAATATATATACAAATCTTAGCTCTGAATAAAGGTATATCTGTGAGGGGGGGTATTGCTAAAGGGTGAAGAAGTTTCTAGAAAAAGAGGCAAGAGTTCTCTCAGGTTATCTTATTCTTGGAGAATTTTCACCATGCACAATGCATCCATCTATTTAAGTTATTTATGCTATAACCAGCAGCCTCCCTGGATTTCATTCCACTTCTGCCTCCTAAATGACTTCCGAACCTGGCTCACACTTTTCTTTACCATCTAATAATAATGATAACGACATCTACCAAACAAGGCATTTTGTTTTACATTTTACAAAAGCATTTTCACGTAATTATTCATTTAAGTCCCCTAAAAACAATGAAAGGTTGACATTGTTATTTTTACTTTAAGGACAAATGGGAGACTAAATTTAGAAAATAGAAAAAGGGAAAAATACAAAGTCAAGGGTGGAAAGAGGAGGGCAGCCTCCTAGAATTAAAAACACCATAGGAAGTAACACTGTCCAATGGATGTTATACCCCAGTGGCCACCAATTTTTGATAGTTTGTGAGGTTGAAGTTTGCACCTTCTTTTGAGAGCCTACAACCAAATGTTCCAAGTCTTCATACTAGCTCAGATTGGCTAATAAGGACCCAAGTCTCAAATCCTACATCATACTATCTCCTTGTGCCCCCATGCTTGAGATCTCAACCCTCTTATCTAATAACAAGACCCATTTTTGCCAAAACATGCCATTGAGTGCAGGAGGGGCAATGGTATATGGTGGTGCATGACAGAAAATCCTGATTGTAGAGCAAAACTATACAAGGAAGAAAAACAAGGGCACGAAGTTGTGTCGGGGGAAAAAAATGTCAGGATGTCAGGCACTGATTAGATCACAATGTATTTCTGCCTAAATGCATATCCCATTACCAAATATTTTGTGATGCATACAAGGTTCTTAATAACACTATGTCCATCCACAAGGACTTGTTTCTTGAGTTCTTTTCTTCTGATATCTAAGAAACTAATTATCCTTTGATACACACTAAGGACAGATGGGTTCAGGAAAATGATAAACGAGTAAGAGAGAAAGCCTATAAACAATAATTTGACGCTGCCTCTATTTCATTTGCTTTGTATTAGCATCCATGGCATATATTTTTCTTTAAACCAATGTTTCTTACTCAGGATATTTAATTCAGATGAGTTTCTTGTCCCTCTGAATTCTTACTTCATCTTTGCCCTTTTCTGCCCTTTACTTACAGGATAAAACTTCCCACAGATAGGGGAATCTATCCTGTAGATCTTTAGAGCAGAGTTGGTTCATGCCTTCACATGCAAAGACAAAAACATAACCCACAGAAACCTTTCTAAATACTCTATCTCAAAGTACCCTAACACAAGTAGCTGATTGCCTTCCCCACTTCTCACCATCCTTCCCTTTCCACCCACAGCTTCTCACTGAACTTTATTTCCTCTTCCGAGGTCTTTGCCCACCTTTTTAATGGCAGAGGTCTAGAGGTGGTTGTTAACTTGTAAAACCTAAGAAACAATCCGAGAGTGAAGGTAGGAAGGCTTGATCACCAAAGGAGAAAACACAAGAGCCTGGAAGCTCTCCGGGTTTAGGGGATTGGAGATTCATCTTCCTCTTTGTGCAATGGGAAAAAAGACAGAGAGAGAGAGTTGAAAGCTAGATGGGGTTATTGGGTATTGTGATGGTTAATATTGAGTGTCAACTTGATTGGATTGAGGGATGCAAAGTATTGTTCCTGGGTGTGACTCTGTGGGTGTTGCCAAGGAAAATTAACATTTGAGTCAGTGGACTGGGAAAGGCAGACCCACCCTCAATCTGGGTGGACACAATCTAATCAGCTGCCAGTGCGGCCAGAATAAAAGCAGGCAAAAGAATGTGAAAAGATTAGACTGGTTTAGTTTTTTGGTCTACATCTTTCTCCCATGCTGGATGCCTCCTGCTCTCAAACATCGGACTCCAAGTTCTTCAGCTTTGGGGCTCAGACTGGCTTCCTTGCTCCTCAGCTTGCAGACAGCCTATTGTGGGACCTCACCCTGTGATCGTGTGAGGCAATACTCCTTAATAAACTCCCGTTTATATATACAGCTATCCTATTAGTTGTGTCCCTCTAGAGAACTCTGACTAATACAGGTATACAGTGGGACTTGGTGGAAAATGGATCCAGACACTATGGGGAGGAAGTGGGTGCAAGGAGCTAGATGAAAATAAGGATACGTGAGGATGTGAGAGGGCTTCTTCTTAGACCCTGGTCTGGAAGCTAGAATCAAGCTGGGCATTGAATTGGACAACACAACTCCCCCAAATAATAGGTAGGGAAGTCAGATGAGTGAAAGCATTTTCTCCAGGGGAGAAAAGAGGAAATGCAGAGCGTAAGTGCAGGCATGGGCTTAATCAAGAGCAGCACTGCCCCAGTAAATAACCACAAATATTGGCTGCAGCTGTGGTTTACTTTTATTAACCCTTATGTTATTCCAAGTCCAGAAAATATCTTCACAGACACAGTTTCTGATGTGTGGTTCTCTGGTTTCTAGTTCATACTACAATTACACAAAGAAAGTAGAAAAATTACATGATAAATTTTTTTTTGTCTCTCTGTGGCAATATGAATTATTCACCTTAAAATTTTTCTTTCTTCACTTAACTTTGGAATGATAGAAAAATGTTGACTTTAAAAATAAATGGAGAGAATTGAGAGACAAGAACTCCAGAAGCACCTAGTCTTTATTCACTGATGTGTTCTTGTCCCAATTCTACCACATTACAGTAAATGGATGCCTTGGAACCCTTCTTAAAATATCAACATTTATTATTTAACATCTTTTCTAAAATGCATGACTCTACTTTGGGCAAATAATTAAATCTTTGATCATTTATGTACTCATGGAGGCCCAGAGGCAATCCTTCTAAATGCCAGTTTGTGCATAATACTGTGACAATAAATAAAAGAAATGTAGGATTTCAGCTGCAAATGCATGCCTGGTCAGGCATAGAGCTTCACTTTGTTTTGTTTTTGTAAAAAATCTTTTGTATATCTTTATTCTCATATTGATTGATTTTTAGGATTCATTTTCCTAAAGCAGAGAAAAATAAATATTGGGCGAGAACTCTACATTGCAGATTTTTAGCCAAGGAAGTTTCAATTACGTCATGCCACTCTGCCATGTGTTTTCCACCAAGGCCTCCTCATTACTTCTCTTCACTCAGGGATGCCACTCCTGTTTAGGTCTCATTCTACCTCTCGGGCAATTCCTGCCCAGTCTCCTTGTCTCTACTGCCTCATCTCACCAACCTCTAATGCAGTCTTCCAGGGCTCATTCCAAGGAGAGTTTTGCTGCTCATACTCACTCCTTATTTGATCTCATCCAGTCCCTTTGCATTTTGATGGTTCCCAAAATTACATCCCCAGTCCCAACTTCCCGCTAGGCTCATTATTCCAACCACCTGTTAAGTGCATCCATTTTGAGAGCTAAAAAGACATCTTAAAGCAAACATAGCAAAAATTAAACCGTGGATGTTTCTTCCAAATCTGTATCTCCTATAGTCTTTTCAGTAAATGGCAAGTCCATTTTTTCAGGTGCTTATATCCAGATCCTGGAGTTATCCTTGACTTTCACTCTGCACATTCAATCCATTAGAAAAACCTGCTGCCTCAGCTGTAGGATTTATCTAGACTCTCACCACTTCTGCCTTTCACTGCTAGGAGCCGAGTTTGCATCAACATCAACAGCAATAGATGTGTAACTCTCTTTCCTTTCTCCCTTATGCTGTGTACACAAAAGCCAGAGCAATTTTTTGAAAATGAAAGTCACATCATGTCCTGCTCTGTCTTAAACCCTCTACTAACTCAACTCACTTGAACTAAAATTTTATGGTCCTGTGAATCTAGTCATCTGCCACCTGGGTTCAACACTTTCCCATCATTTACTTCAGTCCTGCCTGGTTGATCTCCCTGCTGTTTCTTTGCTCTGCTTCTTCCTTGCGGTCTTTGCACAGACTGTTTGTGCTCTTTGAAATGTCTTCCCCCAGGAATATAGTTTATTCCTTCAGGTCCCATAAGCCTTTGTTCAAATGTCACCTCATCAGAGACTCCTTATTTAACCAAACTATTTAAAGCAGCACCCCTCTGTCCTAGCCTGTTTTGCATTGCTATAAAGGAATACCTGAGGATGGGTAATTTATAAAGACAAGAACTTTATTTGGCTCACAGTTCTGTGGGCTGTACAAGAAGCATGACACCAGCCTCTGTTTCTAGTGAAGACCTAAGGAATCTTCCAATTATGGCAGAAAGAAAAGAGGAAAGGGAGCCTCACATGGTGAGAGGAAGGAACGAAGAGTGGAGGAGATGCCAAGCTCTTTTTAACAACTGGATCTGGTAACTAATTGTAAGAATGCACTCATTATGCAGGAATGGCACCAAGCTATTCATGAGGGATCCACCCTATGACCCAAACATAGGTCATATGGCAGTTGCACCAGGCTCCACCTCAAACATTGGGATCTCATTTCAACATGAGACTTGGAGGGGAAAATTATCTGAACCATATCACCCTTCCTGCCCACTCACTCTCCATTCTTTCCCTGCCTTATTTTATCACATAGCCCTTATTTCTATCCCCAGGTATATACTTCCTATTTTCCTATGTATTGGCTACCTCCTCAGTATGATGTCAAATCCCTATGAATAGGCACTGCTAGTGTTTTATTCACTGATAGCTCCCCAGTGCCTAGAGCAGTGCATGATTCATAATAACGAATCAATACATGAATAAATTGGCTTTTTTTTTTTTTGAGAGGGAATTTTGCTTTTGTTGCCCAGGCTGGCTCACTGCAACCTCTGTCTTCCAGTTTCAAGTGACTCTCCTGTCTCAGCCTCCTGAGTAGCTGGGATTACAGGCTCCCACCACCACACCTGGCTAATTTTTGTATTTTTAGTAGAGACAGTGTTTCACCATGTTGGCTAGGCTGGTCTCTAATTTCTGACCTCATGATCTGTCCGCCTCAGCCTCCCAAAGTGCTGAGATTACAGGCGTGAGCCACTGTGTCCTGCCAAATTGGCCTATTCTTATTTAAAAATGTCCATGGGTAGGAGATCCAGAGGGAAATTAGAAACCCAGGATTGGAAAAAGATTGTTTTTGAGCCTTGCTCTTCAAATTGTGGCATCACCTGGGTGCTCAGTTCATTCAAAATGCAGTTTCAGGCCCCCAACCCAAACCTATTGGAATAGATTCTTCAGTTAAATCAGTCAGTTAAAATCTAAAGTTGATTTTAATTGTTCCAGGCCACATTGGTGTTATTTCATCCATTTTGGTGGGCATTGAGATGACATGGCTGTAGCTGTATGGGCCTCCTCTGTACCCTGGAGCAGGTATGGACTTCAACATTGAAATTGGTAGAGCTCACAAATACACACTTTAACAAGAGGTTCTCTAGTCACACACACTGGAGTAAGAAGCACTGTACTAGAATCCCCAGGTGGGTCTCTATCTTTCCTCGATGAAACACCTGATCCTGTTTGAACAAGGTTGCTGATTGTCTAGTATCTCACATTGGGTGATCTTTCAATGTTTTCTGCCTTCCAGAACTTGTGACCTATAAATGGTTGATAAATGAGTAAAATGACTTGAGTCAGGGAAACTAATAAGACCAGGTATCCTGCTGTCATTCAATCTTCGACATAGGAAAGACCTATCCAGAAGACTCCGCAGGGTCTTGAGAGTGATGATATTGCACTCTCAAGATCACTGTGCCCTATCAAGAAGTGAGTTGCCAGTTTAAGCCAAACAAGTGTCCATTGAGAATCACCACAGGCTCAGCCTTCCCACTGTCATGATCTGAGAAGACAGGTACTGTGTGTAACAGAACTTAACGTTCAGAGGGACAGAAGGGAGACAAAGCAGCCGCATGTGCATTGCACTTTATTCTTCTCTCTGGTGGTCTTGCAAAGAGCATCTCGTCTCCTGGTAGCTGCTATAATTAGTATCTTATTATCTTGTCACTGTTCAAATTTGATTTGCTAAATCATTCTGAACTTCCCTGACAGGCTGCTGATGCAAGGTCAGAAAATAACATTTCATACTTATTTTAGGCCAGCTTCCCTAGAAGCAGGGTCTGAGATGGGGATTTAAATGCATATGATTAGTTGGGAGAGTGCTCTTAGGAGAAAGGCGGAAAGTAGGATAGGACAGGAGAAGAAACTCAGCCAAGATGTGGTTCAGCTGAGGTTTTATCTCAGCCTGATCCTACAGGAAGCTATAGAGAATGAAGGGCACCGGAGACCAAGTCGTACGTTGAGGCAAAGAGGCTGGTCCTTTGAACCCTCTTGCCAATCAGCTACAGATTGCCCCCAGAAATTTAGTGTAACCCCATAACCTCCCAGATATTTCTCAGTGAGACAACTCCTCTAGACCAAGGTCTCAGTATAAGGAGGAAAGCAGTTATCTGGAAGCAAACAATAATCACAGCAACAGGGGATGGGGCTCCTCAGGTGAAGTGTATCTTGACAATACTTACTAGCAATTGTTTAGTTATTTTAGGCAAAAACGGAAACTCTTCCAATTTTAGATATTAATTTTTTTAAATTTCATTACCCTTCACTGCTTCAAGTTCAATATAACTATTAACTCATTTAATCCCCATGACAACCCAGGAATGTATGCACTATTGTTTTCATTTTATTGATAAAAAACTGGAAGCACTAAAAACCTTGGATATTTGCATAAATTACACAGCAGAGGTAGACATGAGATTGGGCAGTCTGGCTCCAGATTCTTTTTTTTTTTTTTTTTTTTTTTTGAGACGGAGTCTCACTCTGTCGCCCAGGCTGGAGTGCAGTGGCTCGATCTCCGCTCACTGCAAGCTCCGCCTCCCGGGTTCACGCCATTCTCCTGCCTCGGCCTCCCCAGTAGCTGGGACTACAGGCCCCCGCCACCACGCCCAGCTAATTTCTTTTTGTATTTTCAGTAGAGACGGGGTTTCACCATGTTAGCCAGGATGGTCTCGCTCTCCTGACCTCGTGATCCGCCCGCCTTAGCCTCCCAAAGTGCTGGGATTACAGGCGTGAGCCACCACACCCGGCCCTCCAGATTCTTTATTCTTAGCTATGAGGTATCAACCGAATGACTGCCATTCTGAGAGAAGGCATGGCATCATATAACCTCACTCAATGTTTGACACATTGTAGGTGCCCATTTTATGTTGCATAGATGAAACCAAATGAAACAAATGGACAAAGAGAAACAATCTTGGATGAAATATGGATCTCTTAGATCTTGTATAGGTTAGCTTTTGTTGCACATTAATGTATCTTAAAACTTAGTAACTTAAAACAACAAATATTAATTAACTTTCAGTTCTGTGGATTAGCAATTTGGGCTAGAAACATCTGGGTGTTTCTCTTGTTCTTTATGGGCTCATTCCTGCATTTCGTGGGTCAGCTGCCAGTTCTTTCTAGGCAGCTCTACCTCTTTGATTGGTTGTCTAAAAGCTGGAGTATCGGGAGCAAGTGGGCCATGTGACTATGATTATCTGACCAGTTGTCTTGGGCTTGTCTATCTGGCATCATGGCAAGATTCCAATAAGGAGAATTCAAGCATGCAAGAGGGCTTGAAGCCTACAATAAGTATTATCATACCATCACTTCTGTTTCATTCAACTGGCCAAAGTCAATCATATGACTACCTCAGATTCAAAGAATGAAATAGACTTCATATTTTGGTGGGAAGAGTTGCTGAATCATATTGCAAAAAGATAAGGGAACTGGGAGGGGAATAATTTGTAACCATTTTTTGCTTTTACCACAGAATCTTTCTGCATCTGTTAGTTATATATAAAAATGCCATATAAACCCTTCCTTCATATTTAGTGCTTTCTTTTACATATAAAATGTGGATAATATTAGATTGGAAAACTTAGAAACCAAATTACTACTGTTAATTGGTTTTAAAATATCAGAGTACCTTCTGAAACAACAAGCTTGCCTCTTGATGCTTATCTTTTTTGCCTCGGAAAATATTGTACAAATATCTCATTAGCAGCTCTAGAGCCCTATTTGTATATCTCTATTTTAAACAAAGTTAAAATAGAATAAAATGTTGGAGCTCCCACCTGCCCAATCTGGTACCCAGTTTTACTCTCCAGAGTGACCAACCACAGGAGTCATCTGCATGTATTTCCTAACGTGATCTCCCTGGATGGGTGCATATTATTATACTGTCCTCTTTCTCACTTAGCACTCTGTCTTGGAGAGATTTTCATATTAGCAAAAACAGTTTTACTTCATTTTAAGAAACCGTATAGTAGTCCCTCCAAAGTCTAGAAATATACCATAATTTACTTACTTCTTTGTAGATGATTATTTTTATTGCTCCCAGATTTTTGTTCCTACAGCGAGTGATGGGGAGTGAATTTTTTTCATATTTCATTGGATTCATTTATGAGAGAACATCTAGGAGAATTCTAGAAGTGAAATTTATGTTTTAAACATGACTTTTAAAAAATCTGAAAGATATTGCTAAATGAACTGCAGTGAGGGTGTGCCAAGCCTACCAATTTTAAATTCCCGTAAACAATGCATGACAGTAGGATTTCTCCACATGCTCATAGATAGTATATATTGGCAAATATCTACATTTTATCACTGTTCAACTCTTGCCATTTTGAGAGGTGAGTATGGTTACATGGTTAATTTGCATGTTTTTAAAATAAATGAGGTTATATGCAATTCCATAAATTTATAGACCATTTATATTTAATTTTGTTAAATGCCTGTTCATATTTTTCATTTATTTTAATATTGTGTTATTGATATTGCAAGGAAAAACCTTATATACATGTTTTATATAATAAAAAATTAACTTTTGTGTATGGCAAATATGGTTCTGGTTTTTCATACTTTATTGACAGATACAATACTCACACAGGAAAATGCACTCATCTAAAGTACAAAGTTCAACCAATTTTGACAAATATGTGCAGCAATGTAATCATAACCCAAATAAAGATATTCTTTGCTTGTTTTTTTGTCTACAATCCACTTCAAGTTAATATTTGGTATGATGATAGTCAAGTATTTTTTTCTAGGTAAATATGCAATTGTTTCAATATCATCAGTTTAAAAGTCTTTTTTCCCATTAAGTTGTCCAGAATATTTCTAGTATTCCGGAAATTTCCTCCTGTCTTTTCTAGTCAATCACTTCACACTTCTACAGAAGCAGCCACTATTCTGACATCTAAGTATATATACTCTTTTGCATGTGGCTTCTAATATATATGTAACATTTTCAACTGCAGCATTTTTCATCAGTAGCTTGTTGCTTCTTGTTTTGAAGTTGCTTTAGTATACTTTTTACAGTTTGTCTATTCACCTGTTGATGGACATATGAAACATTCTGTATTTTGTACTATTATGAATTAAGTTGCTATGAACATTCTTATGCATACATTTATTTCTCCTGAATATGTACCTAAAAGTGGAATAACTAAGAAGTGGAGTAGATGTATTTTTAACTTCATTTGGATTGTCAAACTAATTCTCAAAGTGATTATACCACTTTATACTTTCACTAGCAATGCATGGGTATTTCCAGGTTCTCTACATGTCAACACTGATGAATTTCAGTCTTTATATTATTTCGCCATGTGTATATAGTATATCTCCTTGTGATACTATTTTGCATTTCTTTGATAATTAATGATGTTGATCATTTTCTCATGCGGTTGGTGGCCTTTTATCCATCTTTTGTGGAGTATCTGTCCAAATGTTTTGCCTCTTTTGGTTGGGTTCACTTTATGTTAGCATTGATTTGTAGAAATTCTTTGTTCAGGATGTGAGTTATTTGTTATATATATTGCACATATTTCCAAAGTCTATGATTTGCCTTTCCATTTTTATAATGGTGTGGTTTTTGATTAGCATATGATTTTAATTTTGATAAATCTTATTTGTGAATTTGCTTTTTTTAGGTTAGTGCTTTTTTATAACTTTATAATAAATCTTTGCTTATTTTTGTCTATGAGCTATTTCAAATTAATATTTGTGTATGATAATGGTCAAGTTTTTTTCTATGTAAATATGCAATTGTTCCAACATCATCTATTTTTTTCCCACTAAGCTGCTAGATATCTGAGCTCTCTATTTTATTCCATGTTATACTTGTCTATCTTTACACCACAATCACACTGTATAAATTACTGTCAATCTTTAGGAAATCTTAAAATCATGTAGTCTAATTCTTGATTTTATTCTTCACAATTATTTTAGTATTCTAGATCTTTTACATTTCCATATTGATTTAAAATCAGGTTATCGTTTCCGTAAGAAAGATTCCTGCGATTTTATTTGGGATTGTGTTGAACCTATAGATTAATATAGGGAGATTTGATATCTACAAATTTCGAGTCATTCAGTCCGCTAACATAGTATATTTCTCATTTTACTTAGGACTTCTTTAATTTTTCACAGCAATGTTTTAACTGTTTTCAGAATGGAGATATTACATGTAATTCATTAATTAGATTTCTAGAATTTAATTTTTGAAATTATGAAAATGTCATTGTTTTAAATTGTAAGTGGAAGAAATTCTATTCCTAACTTGCTAAGGGATTTACTTATTAAGCATTGGTGTAAAATTTCATGAAATGATTTTCAGTATCTATTGAGGTGATCATATTTTTCCTTTATGATATTAATTTAGCACATTATATTGATTGCTGATGCCAAATCAGCTTCAATAATTCTGACTTGGTTATGGTTTACATATTGCTGAATTCAATTTGCTAAATCTTTCTAAAGAATATTTATGTCTTGGTTAATGAAGTATATTAGTATTTAATTTAATTTAATTTTTTTCTCATGCTTTGATATCACGGTTTTTCTGGTCTCATATAACTACAACAGCTATGTGTATGAAACTTGAAAAGCCAAACTGAAGAAAAAATATCCAATCTTGTAAGTTACTATATAAAATAATATTTATGATTAATTTGAACAATTTATGTTTAACTACTTATCCAGCCTTTGTCTACTAATTTTTAATGTTTCTGTTTAAAGACATCATATGTTGATGTGTAAAGCATAAAGTTTTATATGATACAGTATTTAATTTTTGAATTTTGACTTCTCACACAAGAAAAATATAAATGAGAAATGGTAGAACAAACTTATTCTTACCTCTTAACATTTTTATGAACTAATGCCTATTCCCTAACTTTTGTTCCTTGACCCCAATTAGAAAAAGAAAAAATATCACAGAAAAATAGAGAAAACTGTTTCTTCAAAGAAACCATGAATAATATTATAAAGCAACCTTCTTTAAGACTGCAAAATCCCATCCTGGCTAACACAGTGAAAACCCGTCTCTACTAAAAATACAAAAAAAAAAAATTAGCAGGGCGTGGTGGCGGATGCCTGTAGTCCCAGCTACTTGGGAGGCTGAGGCAGAAGAAGGGCGTGAATCTGGGAGGCGGAGCTTATAGTGAGCCGAGATGGCGCCACTGCACTCCAGCCTGGGTGACAGAGCGAGACTCCATCTCAAAAAAAAAAAAAAAAAAAAAAAGAAAGACTGCAAAATCTTGAACAAGATGGGCAGCAATAAAAATACTGCCTGGCACTTGCCACTACAGTGCTGTCTGGCGTCAAATACAGATATTCTGTATTTTTTGTTTTTGTTTTTAGAGACTGGGTCTCACTTTGCTACCACACCCAATTAATTTTTAAATTTTTTTATAGTAACAACAGGATCTCACCATTTTGCCCAAGTTGGTCTTCAACTTCTGGGCTCAAACGATCCTCCTGTCTGGGGCTCCTGAAGTGCTGGGATTACAGGTGCAAGCTACTCTGCCCAGCCAATATTCTGTATTCTAAATACTGTTTTTCTGAAAGGCTCGTCCAAGTGTCCATTTGTTATGGTGATGTGATTCCAGACCACAGGTGACAACAAATTTTCTTTGGAGTTCAAATTCAACCATAGATTTCAGGGATAGATTAAGAAACAAAACCAAAAAAAACAACAGAAGAGTATTCACAATATGAGAAACCACAACACAAACCGAAATGAGCATCAAAAGGAAATTGCAGACTAGCCTAATGGCAGTATTCGATATTGGATACAATGGGACAAAATTCTAAGAGATAGGAGATACAGCTTGAAATATTTGTACCCCATTATATTTTTATTCGTATATAATAGCTACATGTTCAAGCATGCAATATTGGAGATCACAGCAATCATAAACCCTGCTTATGAAAAAAATATCAAGCCAATCTAGAAATAAATCCAAGTTTAAAATTCAAGAATGGGGGAAAAATTCAACATAAAAGTAAAGGTAATGGTCATTGAATCCTCTAAACTTTAAAATCAAGATCAAACAATAAGCAGTATATTGATTATAAAATTTTTGGCAATGTAAACATAATAAACATCAAATATGCATTTATAATACATAAACACCAGATATCAGAGAGGAGTTTGGAGAGAATATTCTAGTTCCCTTATCATTCAGAGAAGGGGATCAATACAGCCCGTCTAAATTTGAAACATAAAGTTAAAAAAAAATTACTCTAACATCTTAAAGTGCCTCTAATTTAATTTGTTCATTTCATATTACTTTTTTGGTAATTAATGTCAGGTGGTGAAGAAACATTTATCTGAGGTTCAATATTCCTTAATTTCAATGCAATTTCCCCCCCCATTAGATGTAATTAAATTCTAACTATGTCTAAATAAGCGTAGCATTACTGTGAGATACCATCTTTGTAAAAGTATTTGTATTTTTTTATTATTCATCATTATATACATGCATATATACATATATATACCTGAAATAATATACATGCATATCTACATATATGCATATATATCTGAAATAATATGCTTAAGTGTTGACAATGACTATCTTTCAGTCGTAAATATGGAGTGATTTTGAAAATATTTTATATTTTTGGAATTATACGATTTTTTTATATAATGGCTGTATATTATGTGTGTAACTATACATGAAATCATCCTTTCAAAAAATTAATTACAGAAATTAATGTAAATGATATTTGACTTAATTAAGACTGAAAATCATATAAATTATACAAACTAGTCAAAGATATTTAAAAATGTGTATTTAGAGAAAAGACAAAGGACAAAAACAAACAATTCACAAAAAATGAAATATTATTGGCTAATACATTTTAAGTAAATAGCGCAAATTCTCCAGTAATCAAACAAATTCTAACTCAAATAAGCTGACCTGTGTTTTTTTTTTTTAACCTGCTAGTAATGGTTTATTGGGATAGGCCTTCTTACATTATAATGACAGAAGTATATAAATTGATAGAATTTTTCTGAAATCCAATTTAAAAACATATGTCAGTGTTCATAATCTTTTGCAACTTTGGGAACTTGAGCCTGTAAAAATACTCAAAAATACAACCAAAGATTTTTGAAAATGAATATGTATTACACTATTCTTTCTAGAAGTAAAAAAGAGGAAATAATTAAATGTTCAACGATAGGAGAAAGACTACAATTTATAATACATAATAATTATTTACTGAGTTCTTATAAAATGTACAATTTGTCAAAAGATTTGCTTATACAATCTCATTTTATCCTTATAATGACACAGAGGAGCAGTGACCATTCACATTTTATACTTGAGAGTTTGACCATCAGAGACATTAGGAAATATAGCTGAGATTACCGAACTCATTGGTGGTAAGGCTGGATTCAATGTGGTTAAAAAATGAAAATTCATCAATATTATGTACTTCCTTCCTCCATAGTGATATTGTGCATCCATTTTAAATGAAATATATTATAGAATATTAAGAAGAGAGATACAAGGAAGAAAGTAAATATTACTCACAAACCCACTCAGAGATATCCACTGTTAGGGCATTTAATTTATTTCTGTCTTTATTCAAATGTAATACTTCTCTCTTATATATATAGATGCATAAAACTGAGATCTAATATATAAATATTTTATATTGTCTGTCCATTTACTTTCACATTTCAAATATTTCAAATTATTAAATATTATTTGAAAATTCTTTTTATGGAATACATTCTAATCTATTTTGTTATTTTGTTGTTATGCAAACCTAGAGTTTTAGAACACCTTTATAAAAACAAGTAACATTGTGATAAACATCTTTGTCCTAAAATGTATCTCTAAATTCCTTAGTATAGACGTTGGAAGAGAAATTACTAGACCCAAGGGTGCTTATTTTTTTAAAGACTTTTCGTATCTATAACCAAACTTTAAAGAAAATAAATACCATTTATACTTGACCAGCAGTGTTTGCAGTCAATTTCAATGATGACTCAACCTAATGAACACTTGATTTAAAATGGATGCACAATGTTATTGCAGAGGAAGGAAGTCCATAATACTGGGGAAAATGAAAAAGTTTTAAAAAGAAGATAGTTTGTTAGGAGACTCTGGAGCATGCCCACCAAAACAACAAAAAAATGCCATTTTACAGTAAAGGTGCCATTGCAATGTGATGGGAAAATGACTATCTGTTCAATAAATGGTTCTGTGACAGTTGGATATCCACATGGAAAACTATTCATCTTGAGTCTTAACTTACATCCTGCATAAAACATCAATTCCAGTTGTATCATAGACCCAGATGAGAAGAATGAAGCAGTAAGGTAAAACAGTCTTGTCCAGTATAAATATAACACAGGTCCTATTGAGGTATAACTCACATACTCTACATCCACTCATTTTACGTATATAATTCAATGGTGTTTATTAGGTTGGTGCAAACATAATTGCTGTTTTTGCATTTACATTTTATGGCAAAAGCTGCAATTCTGTTTGCACTAACTTAATATTATATTCACACAGTTGTGCAACTATCATCACAATCAATTTTAGAACATTTTTATCACCTCCCTAAAAAACCTGTATCATTAGCAGCCACTCCCCATTGCCCCCCTGCCAAATCCACCAGCTTTATGCACCACTGATCTACTTTCTGTCTCTATAGACTTGTCTATTATGGATATTTCATATACATAAAATCATTGCAATGGGGTCTCTTGTGATTTTGTTTTCACTTAACGTGTTTTCCAGGTTCATCCATGTTGTAACATGAAGAAATACACTGCCATTCTTTTTTATGGCCAAATAATATTCCATTATATGGATGTATCACATTTTGCACATCCATTAATCAGTTGATGCATATTTGGATGGTTACCAATTTTTAATACTATAATTCATGCCACTATAAACATTCAGGCACAATTTTTATAAATGCATGTTTGCTTTTCTCTTAGGTATAAAACTAGCAGTGGAAATGCTCGGCCATGTAGTAGCTCTATGCTTAATATGTGAGGAGCTTCCAGGTTGTTTTACCACTAATATATGAATGTTCTCATCTTTCCACATTCTAGCCAACATGTGTTTTCTTCCTTTTTTATTCTAGCTATTCTAATGTGGGCAAAGTAGGATCAAATTTTTGTTTTGACTAAGTTTCCATGATGACTAATGCTGTAGTTTGAATATCTGCTTCTTCTTAAACTCATGTTGAAATCTAATTATTTTAACAATAGTAAGAGGTAGGACTTTTAAGAGGTTAGGCCATGAGGGCTCTAACCTCATGAACAGGTTAAGACTGTCATCACAGGAGTGGGTTTGTTATCATAAGAGTGGGTTTCTTATAAAAGGATGAAGTTGGCTCCTTTTTTCCCATCCCTTCCTTTCCTCTTGCTGCCCCCACAACTCCTTCTCCCTCTTCCCCCTCTCTCTCTCTTTTTCTCTCTCCTTCCCTTTTTGCCCTCTATCTCCTTTCATCATGGGATTATGTAACAAAGAGGAACCCTTGCCAGATGTGTTCCCTTAGTCTTAGACTTCACAGCCTCTAGAATTGTTAGCCAGTAAGTTTCTATCTGATATGGTTTGGATGCTTATCCCCTTCAAATCTCATGTTGGAATGTAGTCCCCAGTGTTGGAAGTGGGGCCTGGTGGGAGCTGATTGGATCATGGGGACAGACACTTACGTATGGTTTAGCAGCATCCCCTTGGTGATACGTGAGTTCCACTCAGTTAGTTCATGAGATCTGGTTTTTAAAAGAGTCTGGGACCTCTCCTTTCTCCTTCTGTCTTGCTCCCACTCTCATGTGATACACCAGCTTCCCCCTTTGCCTTCTGCCATGATTGTAAGCTTCCTGAGGCCCTCACCAGAAGTCCAGCAGATGTTGGGACTGTGCTTGTACAGCCTTCAGAACAGTGAGGCAATTAAACCTCTCCTTTTTTTAATTGCCCAGCCTCAAGTATTTCTTTATAGGAATGCAAAAAATGGCCTAACACACTGTTCATGAAAAATCAGGTACTATGGTACAGCAGCATAAAACTGACTAAGACAGCTGATAATGCTGAGCATCTTTCATGTGCTTATGGAGCACAGTACAATGGGTCATCATATCATGATAAATTCACGAGTGGAATACTAAGCAGCAATATAAAAGAACAGACAGCACATGAAGGCAGGAGTATAAATAGTGCTCATAGACACAATGTTTAGGAAAACATGCCAGATGTAAAAACATATCTATTGTATTATTCCATATATATGAACCAAAAGAAAAAGTAAATAGATATATAGCAACAGCAGTCAGAATAATGGGTACCTTGTGGAGGTATTGAGTGTGAGGCAGTATGAGGAAAGCTTTTATGCTGCTGGCAATATCCTTCATCTTGATCTGTGTGATGATTGCGGGAAGGTAAGCGTAAGTACAATTTCATCAGGTGGTGCTCCTAAGATTTGCGCATCCTACTGCATTCACATTACACCTCAACACAATTTTTAAAAAATTTAAAGGCATAATATGAGGTAATAAAAGATTCCCCTAGGTCAAACAACCCAGGAGTGATAGGAATAAAAATTTAATGATGTAGAAGATAAGTCATTTTAGGGAAATAAAGATTTTTGGACTAGAGCCTGATACAGACTTTTCTAAGCTGTTTTATCTATCATTTTTTAGCCAATTTAGTTTGAATTTAAATTATCTTTATATTATAGGAGTTATGACAGATAAATTGCTTCCATGATTTGAAATCTCCAGATATATTTAAGGGCAGGAAGAAAACAATTTCTATAATGAGAAAAAAAAAAAAAAAACCCTTTCTGCCTCAAACTTAAAAAATAAGAAGGCACTTACTGGCGCTTTTCCTTTAACTTTAACGTGCCCTGCATGGGGGAACCCTCTTTTCATATAATTTAATGATGCAGGAAGACTCTTCATGAGTGACAAACCAGTGTGCTGTATATAAGGTTCAGAAGAAAGAAGAAAGAGTAAAGGGACTGGTTTATGCCATAAAAGATCCAGAAACATTTATCCTTTGAGAGCTGGTCTAGAAAAAGAAAAAATGATGGTGAAGAAATAAACTTAGATATGGCACAAAAGGAGCAACTAGTACTTATTGTTATGGACAGTAGTCTTTAAAGCAACCACTGGCTCTTATATATGACTGGATAGAGAAGGAAAAAAATTAAGTAGGTCAGATTATTTACAGAGACTCGGAAGGTATCCATCTAGTTCCATGTTCCACGGGGCAATTATTTACACCTCATTATCTTAGGACAGATTCTCTAGAAGCAGAACCTGAAACAGGAATTCCTTTGCAAGGGATTTCCTGAGGGAGTGCTCTCAGGTAAAATTGGTAGGGGGATGAGGGAGGCATAGTAAGAAGTCAGGTATGAGTATGGGTCAAGCATAATTGACCCATACTCAGACCCAAAATCACTCAGCCTAGGGAAGGAGAATCCCATGGGGAGGGCCAGGGTGACAAAAATTCTCCGTTTGACGAAAATCTAGTCAGGCTCCTTTGAATTCTCTTCTCAACCAGCCCTTGACTTTCGGTTTTCTAGGTTTGTTTCTGAATTGTTCAATTTTAGCAAGAATCCTGCTAAGTCAATTGAGCCAGAATTCCTCATCTTTGGTATCTTATCACTCTCAATATGTGATCAGGCTTCTCATTCTCCACCATCTTCCAGGTAATATCTAATCACCCTGGCCTGTCTTTAACAAGAATCTTGTCAGGTTGTTTAACCAGAATCTCCCCCAACTCTGATTTTTTTTTCTCTTAGTAATTGTTCACTCATTGACCCCCAACCCTGCTCCTTTGGCAATAAATTCCTATTTTCCCTTGTTGTATTCAGAGTCGAGCCTCATCTCTCTCTGTCACTGCAAAACCCAATTGCAGTGGTCCATACCATGATGGTCCTAAATTAAGTATGTCTTACTGTTCCTTGCAAGACTCGTGGATAATTTTTTAACACGAGACAAGGATGTAAATACTCAGGAGAACAGGCAACAGTGAGCTGTTAGCAGCTTATGTGCTCAGAAGCTGGGGAATGAGGGAACTAGCCAGATAAAATGAATGCACAAGGAGTGCCAGTAGCATTTTGGTGTCCTCCAGAAAAGGGAAGTTGGAGACTTAACCTTACTCCTGCTTGCTTATCTACCAGGTTGTACCACTCAAACTTTAGCCATTTGCAAATTGCACTCATATCATTTTGGTATATATATATAATCATCTAATTAATACTTTTCTTTAAATGGACTCTATTTTTTCTTGACTGGATTACACTTTTGACAAGCAATAATGCCTGAAACTATATGTTTGGTTGCTGCATTTTTAGTACATCATTAAAAACATGTACAATTATGAATATTTAAACACAATGTATGGAAGTGATCTAAATGCCTCTGTTAAATCACTAGTGGTACAAGTGCCATCATCTGTGGAACAATAGTTTAAGGGATGCCACATGGTATACATGTTCTCAAAATATGCCCCTCATTGTAGAAAACTTCTTATGGTGTCTGAAGTTACCACCCTGAAGACCAATCTTTGCATTGAGGTATTGCCTTTAAAAGATACTATGTTGAAATGTGTAAATATATCAACAGAAAGGGATAAACATTATCAGGCATGATCACAGTCAATCTTACCCCTTGTACATAGCAGGGCTCTCAGGGAATGAAATATTGGAGAGATAAATTTTAATATTTGAAGTTAAGAGATCATAGATCCTGCCCAGGATGGCATGCTGGTGTAGGATTCAACAGAGTTAGATAAGAGAATGAGAATAATAGAACCTATATACATAACAGATGCTGAGAAGTGATCATGATGTCAAAGTCTCCAAATCTAGCCTGGCTAACACTTCAAACTACGGTGATCAATACTAATTGGCATTAGTGAAAAGTTAAACATGTAGATTAATGAAACAGAATAGAAAGCATACATATACAGTCAATTAGTTCATAACAAAATTACTAAGGGAATAGAGAAGGCAAAGGAAAATCTCTGCAATGAATGGTGCTGGATCAGCTGGAAATTCATTTGAAATGGGAAAAAAATTGATCTTGATAATTACTTGACAATATATACAAAAACATCAACATTATTCATTATCATAAGTATAAAGCATAAAACTATAAAACTTCTAAAATAAAACAGGAAAACTATTTGTGACCATTGGGTAAGCTTAATTGTTTATATCATAAAAAGGATAGAAAAAAGCTGGGTAAAATGGACTGCATTTTTTTTAAAAAAAAACCTCTTTAAAATATATTATGAAAACAAAAAGGCAAGTCGCAGAGTGAGAAAATATCCGGGATGTACAAAACAACTCTTATAAATCAATAAGAAGACACCTAACCTAATACAATATGGGCAAACATTTGAATAGAGGCTTCACTGAAGAAGATATGCAAATGACAAGTACACACATAAAAAGATGCTCAATATCTTTAGTCATCAGGGAAATGCAAACTAAAACCACAAAGAGACACCAATATATAACTGTTAGGCAAAGAGGAACCGGAGGGTTCTGATTTAACTTTTGGGGGGTTTCTTTCTATATTCAATAGCAGGTCTTTTCAATTTTCAAGGGCAAATGTAAGCAGGAATCATTAGCAAGCCAACTCATAGGGGAAGGGAGCATACATGATTTCATTAGGCCAATTTAAAAAATGATAATTCTAAAGATGTTATTTTTCATCTCTTTCATAATGAACTTGGAAGACTCGGGATGCTGTTTTGTGTGTCATTTCAGGCTGGGATAATGGGCTCCCCTGGGCCTTGCCTCAGTCATGCTGCCTCACTCTCTGGCAGGGAAACAAATGACACCAACTCACACTTCTGGCTTTGTCACATCCATGCCTGAAGATGCTTTTATGTAGGTGATTCTGGAAATGGGGAGATTTAAGTTCAGCTGCTCTAATAATTGTCTCAGAGAAGCAGGATATTTAGATGTCGGATTGTGAGGCTGAGAGGAGAAAGAAGATGAAGCTTATTACTAAATAAATGTCCTGCTTCTGCTGATGGGATAGATACATCATCATCCCAGCTGTCACCTGTCACCACTAAATGAGAGTGTGTTTCTCATGCTTCACTTAGCAGGCTTTCAGGACTGGCTGAGCTCGAGCCTGGCTAGGATTTATAGACTGTTTAAAGTCTCTAAAGCGGAGTTCATAATAAATCCCACCACAAAGCCAGGCCAGGAATGAAGGGAGCCAGGTTATTTCAGGGCTTTGTGAAGGGGATAAAGTTAAGATCAATACTGCAGAAAGGAGCTGGAGAAAGGAAAGAAGAAAGGCAGACATTTTCTGGAGATTAATCTGCATGGATTTTTCTGTTTTTTGTGTGAGCCTCACTAGCTGCAGGCAAATCACTATCATCACCACCATAATCATCATCAAGAAAAACCACAAAAGGTAATGGAAACTGAGTAAGCATCCAAGAAATTGAGAAGAGTTTTCAAGGAGAGCTGGGGCAGGAAATAAAAGAGTCCATTTTGAGTCTAGGCATTGTTACAGCCCTTCTCGTCTAGAGGTAGATACCTGTGGTCACTAGAAAGAAGCTGTGGCATGAAAGAGATGTGATTCTTCCTTGCACTCAATTAGAATGTTCTGCATTTGAACGTGTAGGTAACTATTACAAAAGCAAGCAGCTTATCTGATCTTGAAAGCCTTTCTGAGCAGTCTGAGTTAGGAGAAGCCCTCACGTCAAACTTGTCTTCTCTCATCTTTCTTGAGATATGAATGTCAACACTAACAACAGTGTACACTCAAAAAGTGGAGAGAAATCCTCAAGGTGCCTGCTAGAGAGTGTAGGTAGATTCCGGGTCCCATGTAGTGCAGCAAGAGGGCAGGCAGATATGAACAGGTATAAACTATACAGTGTGGCAGGAACTGGAGCATAGGTAGGCACAGGGAACCATCCAAATTACTCCTGTGAGGAGGGTGAGACAGAGTAGAGAGAGGTGTGTGTGAAGGATGGATGGGGCATAACATGACAGGAGAGGAGGATGGGACATGAGCCTGAGAGGATCCAGAGGCCAGATCATGAAAGAGCTTCACATCCATGCTCAGGAGATTAAACTTTATGCTAGAAATAATGGGGAGACATGGGGAAGTCTTAAGCCATAGGAAGGTTTTAAGATTATTATAAGCAGATGATTGATTGTATTTACAGTGTGGAGAATGGATTGGAAGGAAGCAAAGATAAATATAGGGAGACTAGTAAAGATGGGTACACTGATCCAGATTAGAAATGACAATGAACAGACCTGCTAAAGAGGCAAATGGAAAAAAGAAAAAAAGTGGATCGATTCAAGGAGGCAGGAAAGGTATGGATTTGCAGTTAGTTGATTGGTTACTGTGTTGCTGTATTTTGCTATTTGCTATTCACATTCGTGGGAAATCCAATACTTCTGACTAAGGTCTCTATTCACCAGTATGTCCAAGAAACCTTAGAGAGCATCCTCATGCTTCTCTCCTTGAAGCTGGAGGACTTGGTAACATGACAGAAAGCTGGGTCATCTGAGCTAGGAGGATCTATTATGCCACTGCTGCTACCTCTAAGTACTAGAAACCTTGGGATTACAAATAAAAACTAGTCAAGAATCCTAGCTAAGAAAAATTGTCCTGTCTCCATGACTGCAGCTACTGTCACCTTTATCTGATCCCCTATTGTGTCCAAAGCAATGTGAGCTTTCACTCTGTCCTCTCAGCCATTGGTATAAAGCACTGCTGAAGCTATGAAGCTACAGTGATTTTGTGTGTGTGTGTGTGTTTTACCAGCCCCAGTGGTAATTTTCTCAGCTAAAAATGCAAATGGGCCTCAAAAAAAATTGACCTGGGCTCACAACATCAAATTTATTTTGATTCAATCACATTGTCTTTTCCTCAGATTGTATGAATGTCCCATAAACTGTGATGGAAGAGTTTCCATTCTGCCATCTCATGAAGCCAGAGAAACCATGAGGTGATGATTTGTGTGCAAGTGGTACTTATTAAGAAAGCGTGGGGAAAAGAAAACAATAAGACTGGAGCGGGGAAGGAGAAGAAGCCAAGCAAGGGTGTTGTTTCAGGCAAAACCCCATCTTAGCCTGATGCTACAAGGAACTCTGGAGTAGAAGTTACACCCCATAGTTTACCTGGACTCAAGGGAGAGGAGCTGGGCTTTTAGGATGTGCGTACTCATTGGCCATGCCAGGGGATGTACCCAGACGCTTCCAGATCTCTGCTAGTAATGTGGGCAGACAGGCTTCAGTAGCCTAAGGACAGTCCTGCAATGAAGATCACAGGTATGCACCTTAGGGCTAGAACCCACAGAGGCTGAGGAACAGGCACATAGAGAGAGTAGGAGGAACCGGAGCAATACGAGGAGGTGCACCGTACCTTGTCTTAAGCACAAAATGGCCCACTCCATAGTCTTCTAGTCTCATAATGCTTTTATTATAGGTGCCTTATTGCCTTCATTGGCACTGGAAATTGTGTCATATTTATTTATTTATTTGTTTTTACCCAACCACATTCTAAAGTTTTGAACTTGAGGGAAGAAGGTGATGGGCTTTCGATGATTCATCTCCCAAAACACCCTGAACTCCTTATGCAAATAACTCTGAACTCCTTTTGCCTATAATTTTCAATCTTTACATTTCAATAGTGTCTTTCTCATATACATCCAACATTGAAGTTCCCACCTCATCAGAACTCTGGTTACCATTGCATTTAGAGGAAAAGAAGAGTGTAGAATGATACTCATCTGATGGGTCCCAGAGCACTGATTTCTCTTTGCTGACAGCAACCAAGGAGCAGACTCATGGGTCTGAGCTCCTTGTAGGCACTTTCCCTAGTTTATACAGCTTAAAAGGAAAGAAACTGATGCATTGGGTGATACTCCTGGACTTCCTGCAGAACATGAGAGAGCTGTTAGAGAATCACAGAAAGGACTTTGGACCCAGGCTCCTTTTCTGAAACTGAGGATGTAAAGGAAAGCAGGGTAGTGTATTTGTTGCCCTAAGGTACATGGTTCCTACAATCACAGAGTAATTAGAGCTGGAACAGAACCATGAGGTCATCTGATTACTACCCTCTAGTTACAAAGAAAGATACTACCTTTCATAAAAATCTTTGAGACTTTTAAAATTGATTTCTGTTTGCCTCACAAATATTGTCCAAATATACTGAGCTACTCTGTGCTGTTTGTAGTTAGTTGTCAATCTATGAATGTTTACTATTCTCATAAGCCTTGAAGGAATTCAAATAATTATTTTTTCAAGAAAACTTGAGGCAAAATACCAGCACATATACCAATGAGTACAATGACAACAAAACCACATCTTTCTGGCTGTAGAATATCAGCATGTCCAACACCCCAGCTCAGGGACCAGACTCAGCTCCCAGCTTCTATTCTCAGCATTCCCAGTTCCAAGACTGCTTAGCTCTGTGGTCCTTGGACAAGTTATTTAACCTTTCTAACAATTTCCTCATCTGTACAATAAAGATAACATTAGGATTTTCCTTACAGATTTGCTTATGGGTAAAAGTTCATAACGTATGTAAAGTCTTCAGCACAAACAATTATCTGGAATATAAGTATTCTAATAATGGTTGTTATTATCATTAACTTTTCCACATATTTTCCATTATGAATTCATAATTCACACACCTAAAATTCATCATTTTAAAATGTACTATTCAGTGATTTTTAGCATTTTCACAAAATTGTGCCACTATCAGCCCTATCTAATTCCAGAACATCATCGCCCACAAAAGAACCCTCATGCTCTTTATTAGTCACTCTCCATTCTACCCTCCCCAGCCCCTGGCAACTATTTACTTTCTGCACTTGTAGATTTGCTCATGCTAGATTTTTTCACATAAATGAAATTATGCAACACATGGCCTTTTGTTTCTGACTTCTTTTAGGTATCATTATGTTCTTAAGTGTCATCCATGTAGCAGCATGTCACCACTTCTTTCGGTTTTATGGCCAAAAATTATTCAGTTATATGGATATATTAGGTTTTGTTTATTCACTCATCAATTGATGGGTATTTAGGTTATTTCTACTTTTTGGCTATTATGAATAATGTTGTAATGAACATTTCTGTACAAGTCTTTGTATGAATATATATTTTCAATTTTCTTGGGTAGACTCCTTGGAGCGGAATTGTTGGTCATATGGTAATTCCACACTTAACATTTTGAGACACTGCTTAACTGTCTAAAACATCAGCACCATTTAACATTTTGACCAGCAATGTACAAGGGTTCCAATTTCTCCATATCCTCTTCAACACTTGTGGTTATCTGGTCTATCAATTATAGCCATTCTAGGGGATGTAAAGTGGTATCAAATTATGGTCTTAATTTGCATTTTCCTAATGATTAATGATGTTAAGTATTTTTCCTGCCCTAGTTGTTCATTTTTATACCTTCTTTAGAAAAGTGTCTATTTAGTACCTTAGCCCTTTTTAATTAGGTTTGCTTGTCTTTTTATTGTAGAGTTATAAGAATTTCACACATTTTTATTTTTATTTTTTTAAATGAGCCAGGTGTCATTCCAGAAGCTGCAGACATAAAGATGAAAGTATAGGTAAATCCCCATTTCATTAACTTACATACTAGTGAAGGTGCAGATAATAAAAAAAACAAACAAGTAAATGAGCAAGAAAACTGTCTGAGAACAATAAATGCAATAAAGGAAAATCTGAGGGATATATCGGTGACAGATGCAGGGAGAACAGCACAAGATGTGGTAGTCAGAAGGGAATATACTTTAAGTTCAGATCTACAGCAATAAACAGAAACAGCCACAGCAAGCTAAGCTTTCTATTGAAAATATGTACCAGGATTTCAGCAGCATAGGAACAAAAAAGAATTTGTATTTAAAATAAAATGTAACCATCATCAAAAGAGCCCCTTTTAGCTTAGTAATGTCACTGATAGAGTTTTTGGCCAACTTGGTCCTGAAATCTGCAATTACAGGAAAATATGTAATCTTCGATAAAAATTTCTTTCACAAGTTATTCAGGTAGGCAAATTTTGTCTTGATGTATTTCTGAAAAAAAATTGGACCTCTTGAATTCAAGGTTTATACAGTGTTATTTTTTAGCAGTTTATTGAGTTCATACATATTTACTAAGTACATACAATTCAAGCCTTGTCCTCACCAGTAATGAGGCCAAAGAACAAGGCATAATGTTAAATTATCCTCTTCATTAAGACAACAAATAGCAAGGAAAGAATTAGGCATTCAACAATGTCAGAGATAAGTTTTATGCTCCTAATATTGAACTTTCTTTGAAATCATTTTCCAAAGCAAATCCATAAAATATGAGGTGACCGTGTTTCCTATTTGCAAACAATGCATAAAACATAAAGTAACAGGCACAATATTCACATTTTAAAAATGCAATTTGGAAAGTAGTGCTCCCTTGCTTGCTTTGAAACCAGCTGCCAGAGGATATGAATAACAAGATCAGAAAAATCCAATAAAGGCTAAGTGTGCTTGTGGGTAATTTTCCTTTCTTTTGGGGGCAGTTCTACTTAGATGAAGGACAGATACCTGAAACCAATGCATACATTTCACTGGAATATAAGCCAAAAAAATGGTCCTCCATTCAGAAATTCAATGTAATGAAATGTGAACTATTCAACTGAACGTTCAACAACACCTTATTGTGAAGGCCAGTGTTTCTACTAAATTAAGAGCAGAAATTCATAACTAGAAGTTAACACAAATGTCTTAGGAATAACTAAAATATGAAAAGTACCATCCATTATTAGGATCCATTAAACACTGAATTATTAAACTGCTATTTATTGGATGCTTACCTTGTACCAGATACCATCTATAGGTGCTGGGGCACAAAAATGAGGAAGAAATGACACCCTGCTCTTAGTAAGCTTACATTCTAGCAGAAGATTCAGATAACAAACAAATAAACATGAAACTGTGGAATGTAATAAATGATACATTTATTACACTCATTCATTATGCATAATGATAGGAGGGGTTGAGTGGGGGCAACATTAAATAGGGTGATTAGAAAATATCTGCATGAGATTGCACAAATATGACATGAGATTTGAAAGACTACACTTGAAACCAATCTTTTATGTTATGTTTTTAATATTCTTCATGTGTTGTTTAACATTCTTTGTGGCGATTAAAGAATGAAGTCCAGCTTGTGTTGTTTTTCCCTACTTTTCTATCTCTATCATTAGTATTATGCCTACCAAAAAAGGCTTTGGTATTTGTGGGGAAGATGGCAGATAGGAGGCAGGAATAGCATGCAGCTCCCACTTGGACAGACAGAGCAGTGTGTGGAACATCACGTCGCAAACTTTTGCTCCAAGAACTACCACAGGAACACACCAGGAATGCTGAGAGAATCCACAGACCCTTTGAAGGATCTGGATGGCCACTGCAGGCTCCCTGAGATGCTGAAAAACTGTGAGTCTGCTTGCTTTCTCAGTGGGGAGGTTGGTGTTCTGGAGCAATTTCTCAGCCCTGGTCACCAGCTGCCTGGAAGTAGACTGGGTGCTGTTGCAGAGGCCCAGTGGAAGTGAGACTGGCCTTTAGGATTGCAGGCCACATGGGAGAAGGTGAGGCCTGTGACTGCCAGCTTTTCCCTACTTCCCTGGCAACCTGTATGACTCAGCAGAGGCAACCATAATCCCCCTGGGAACATAACTCCATTGGCCTAAGAACAACACTCCCATCTGCCACAGCAGCTGCAGCAAACCTGTCCAAGGAGAAGCTGAGCTCAGACATGCCTATCCCTGCCCCAACCTGGTGGTCTTTCTACACCTGCCCTCGTTGCCAAAGACAAAGGATATAATCTCTTGGGAACTCTATGGCCCTGTCCACCACCTGAGAAACCTGAATACTTAACCAGGGGACCCTAGGGAAAGTTTGCTTCCTTCCTATAGTATGGCAGCTGATGCACTCTTGAAAGTGCCAACTCCTGGCTGGAGGCAACCAACATAAAACCAGTGCACTAAAGAAAAACACAACCAGGGACTCTCACAGAGTCCACTTCACTCCCCTGCTACCTCCACCAAAGCAGCTGCTGGTATGCATGGCTGAAATACCTGAAGACGCATCACATCACAGGACTCTGCAGACACTCCCCAGTACTAGCCTGCAGTCTGGTAGCTCTGCAGGTGGCTAAACCCAGAAAAGCAAAAACAGTCACTGCAGTTTGGCTCTCAGGAAGCCCCATCTCTAGGGGAACAGGTAAAGCACCACATAAAGGGAGCACCCAATGGAACAAAAGAATCTGAACAGCAGCGCTTGAGTCCCAGATCTTCCCTCTAACATAGTCTACCAAAATGAGAATGAATCAGAAAAACAATTCTGTTAATATAACAAAACAAGGTTTTTTTTAATACTGCCAAAAGATCACAGCAGCTCACTAGCAATGGATCCAAACCAAGATGAAATCTCTAAATTGCCAGAAGAAGAATTCAGGTTGATTATTAAGCGAATCAAGGAGACACCAGAGAAAGGTGAAGTTCGACTTAAAGAAATTGAAAACATGATACAGGATATGAAAGAAAAAATCTTCAGTGAAATGGATAGCATAAATAAAAGGCAATCACAACTTCTGGAAATCAAAAACACACTTAGAGAAATGCAAAATGATGCACTGGTATGTCTCAGCAATACAATCAAACAAAAGAAGAAAGAAATTCAGAGCTCGAGGACAAGGCTTTTGAATTAACCCAATCCATCAAAGACAAAGAAAAATAATTGTAAAAAAATTAACAAAGCCACCAAGAATTGTGGGACTATGTTAGGCATCCAAACCTGAGAATAATTGCTGTTCCCAAGGATAAAGAAAACTCTAAAAGTGTGGAAAACATAATTGAAGGAATAATTGAGGGAAATTTCCCTGGCCTTGCCAGAAACCTAGACATCCAAATACAAGAAGCTTAAAGAACACCTGGGAAATTCATCACAAGAAGATTATAATGTAGGAACATAGTGATCAGGATAGATAAGTCAAGATGAAGGAAAGAATCTTAATAGCTTTAAGGCAAAAGCATCAGGTAACCAATAAAGGAAAACCTAGTAGATAAATAGCAGATTTCTCAGCAGAAGCTCTACAAGCTAGAACAGATTGGAGTCTTATTTTTAGCCTCCTTAAACAAAACAATTATCAGCCAAGAATTTTGTATCTAGCAAAACTAAGCTTCATAAATGAAGGAGAGATAGTTTTTTCCAGACAAGCAAATCCTGAGAGAATTTGTTACTACTAAGTCAGCCCTACAAGAACTACTAAAAGGAGCTCTAAATCTTGAAACAAATCCAAAAAATACACCAAAATAGAACCTTCTTAAAGCACAAATTCCATAGGACCTATATAACAATAACACAATGAAAAAAACCCAAGGTATTCAGAGAATAAATAGCATGATGAATAGAATAGTACATCACATCTCAATATTAACATAGAATGTAAATGGCCTAAATGCTCCATTTAAAAGATACAGAATGACAGAATGGATAAGAAGTCACCAACCAAGTTTCTGCTGTCTTCAAGAGACTTACCTAATACACAAGGACTCACATAAACTTAAGGTAAAGGGGTGGAAAAAGATACTCCATGCAAATGGACACCAAAAGTGAGCAGGAGTAGCTATTCTTATATCAGACAGACTTTAAAGCAATAGCTTAAAAAAAAAGACAAAGAAGGACATTATACAATGATAAAAGAACTAGTCCAACAGGAAAATATCACAATCCTAAATATATATGCACCTAACACTGGAGCTCCCAAATGTATAAAACAATTACTACTGGACTTAAGAATGAGATAGGCACCAACACAATAATAGTGGGGGACTGTGATACTCTAGTGACAGAACTAGACAGGTCATCAAGACAGAAAGTAAACAAAAAAACAATGGACCTAAACTGTACCCTACAACAAATGAACTTAACAGATATAAACAACACATTCTACCCAACAACTTTGGAATATACATTCTATTCATCAACACATGGAATATTCAGATATTAACAAAACTTTCTACCCAACAACTGCAGAATATACATTCTATTCATCAGCTCATGGAATATTCTCCAAGATAGACCATATGATAGGCCACAAAACAAGTCTCAGCAAGTTTAAGAGAACTGAAATTATATCAAGTAGTCTCTCAGACCACAGCAGAATAACATTGGAAATCAACTCTGAAGCAAGCATTCAAAACCATGCAAATACATAGAAGTTAAATATCCTGCCCCTGAATGATCATTAGGTCAACAAAGAAATAAAGATGGAAATTGAAAAATTATTTGAACAGAATGATAATAGTGACACAACCTATCAAAACCTATGGGATACAGAAAGATGGTGCTAGGAGGAAAGTTCATAGCTTTAAATGCTTATGTTAAAAAGCCTGAAAGAGCACAAATAGACAATCTAAGGTCACACCTCACAGAACGGGAGAAACAAGAACAAGAACAATCCAAACCCAAACCCAGTAGAAGAAAAGAAATAGTGAAGACTAGAGCAGAACTGAATGAAATTGAAACAAAAAAAAATACAAAAGATAAATGAAACAAAAAGCTGGTTCTTTGAAAAGATAAATAAAATTGATAGCCCATTAGTGAGATTAACCAAGAAAAGAAGAGAGAAGATCCAAATAAGCTCAATTAGAAATGAAATGGGAGATATTACTACTAGTACAACAGAAATACAAAAGATCATTCAAGGCTACTATGAACACCTTTATGCACATAAACTAGAAAAGCTAGAGGAGATGGATAAATACCTGGAAATATATAACCCACCTAGATTAAACCAGGAAGATATAGAAATTTGGAACAGACCAATAACAACCACTGAGATTGAAATGGTAATAAAAAAATATTGTCAACAGAAAAATGTTCAGAACCAGATGGATTCACGGCTGAATTCTATCAGACATTCAAAGAATTGGTCTTTGAATATGGACCTTGGAATATGGACAATATTCCACAGGATAGAAAAAGAGAAAATCCTCCCTAAATCAGTCTATGAAGCCAGCATCACCCTAATACCAAAACCTAGGAAGGGCATAACCAAAAAAAAAAAGGAAACTACAGACCAATATCCCTGATGAACATAGCTGCAAAAATCATCAACAAAATACTAGCTAACTGAATCCAACAGCATATCAAAAACATAATCCCCCCGATCAAGTGGGTTTCATACGAGGGATGCAGGGATGGTTTAACAACCACAAGTCAATAAATATGATACACCACATAACAGAATTAAAAAATCATACGAGCATCTCAATAGATGCAGAAAAAGCACTTGACAAAATCCCTCCTCCTTTTATGATTAAACCCTCAGCAAGATCAGCATAGAAGAGACATATCTTGATGTAATAAAAGCCATCTATGACAAACCCACAGCCAATGTAATACTGAACAGGGAAAAGTTGAAAGCATTTCCCCTGAATACAAGACAAGGATTCTGATTCTTACCACTTCTATTCAACATAGTACTGGAAGTCCTAGCCAGAGAAATCAGACAAGAGAAAGAAACAAAGGGCATCCAAATCAGTAAAGAGGAAGGCAAATTGTTGCTGTTTGCTGATGATACAATTGTACACCTAGAAAACCCTAAACACTCCCCCAAAAAGCTCCTAGAACTGGTAAATGAATTCAGCAATGTTTCAGGATACAAAATTAATGTACACAAATCAGTAGCTCTTCTATACACCAACAGAGGACAAGCTGAGAATCAAATCAAAAATTCAACCCCTTTTAC
Organism: Homo sapiens; assembly: GCF_000001405.40. Classification (NCBI taxonomy): domain Eukaryota; kingdom Metazoa; phylum Chordata; class Mammalia; order Primates; family Hominidae; genus Homo; species Homo sapiens. The sequence goes on from NC_000020.11 coordinate 12,539,627, forward strand.
AATAGCTGCAAAAACAAACAAACAAACAAAAAACCCTTGGGAATATACCTAACCAAGGAGATGAAAGGTCTCTACAAGGAAAGCTACAATACACTGCTGAAAGAAATTATAGATGACACAAGGAAGTAGAAATACATCCCATGCTCATGGATGGTTAGAATCAATATTGTGAAAATGGTTTTACAGTTCCAAGTCTTACATTTAAGTTTTTAATCCATTTCCAGTTGATTTTTATATGGTTTGAGATAAGGGTCTAATTTCATTCTTCTGCATGTGAGTATCCACTTGTCCCAACACCATTTCTTAAAGAAACTGTGCCTTCGCCATTGAGTGTTTTTGGCATCTTTTTGTTAAACCAGTTAAACATAAATGCATGGGTTTGTTTCTGTACTGCCAACTCTGTTCCATTGGTCTATGTGTCTGATTTTATGCTAGTACCATGCTGTTTGCTATTGCTGTGTAGAATATTTTGAAGTCAGACAGTATGGTATCTTCAGCTTTGTTCTTCCTGTTCAAGTTTGTTTGGGATAATTGGGGTCTTTTGTGGTACCATACAAATTTTAAAATTGTTTTTTCTATTTCTGTGAGGAATACAAATTTTAAAATTGTTTTTTCTATTTCTGTGAGGAATATTAGTATTTTGCTAGGCATTGCACTGGATTGCCCTGGGTAGTATAGACACTTTAATAATATTAGTTATTTTATCTATTCTGTGAACAGTTTTTCAGAATAGCTTCCCATTTATTTGTGTCTTCTTCAATTTCTTTCATCAATATTTTATAGTTTTCATTGTGTAGGTCTTTCATGTCTTAGGTAAATTTTATTCCTATTTTATTTAGTTTTGTAGTTATTGAAAATGATAGTGTTCATTTCTTTTTTTGGATAGTTCATTGTTACTGCACAAAAACTATACTGATTTTTATATTGATTTTCTATCTTGCAGCTTAACTGAATTTATTAGTTCTAATTGCTTTTTGCTGAAACCTTTATAATTTTACAAGTACAAATTTTAGTGTCTGAAAACAGGGATAATTTAATTTCTTCTTTTTTAATTTGGATATATTTTTCCTTCTTCCTGCTTAATTGCTCTGGCTAGAACTTCCAGTGCTATGTTTACTAGAAGTGATGAGAGTTGGCATCCATGTCTCATTTCTGATCTTAAAGGAAGTTTTCGATTTTTCAGTGTTGAGTATGATGTTAGCTATAGGTTTGACATATATAGTATTTGTTGTGTTGAAGTACATTCTTCATATATCTGATTTTCTGTGATTCTTTTCATGAAAGTATGTATAATTTCATCAAATGTTTTTCCTCATTCACATTCTGTAAATGTGGTATATCACATTTATAGATTTGTGTACATTGAACCAATCTTGATTTCCTGGGTAAACCCAGATTTATCATGGTAAATAATCTTTTGAATGCACTGCTGAATTTGGTTTGCTAGTCTTTCGTTAAAGATTTTTGCTTCTGTGTTCATCAGAGATATTGTAATTTTCTATTTTTGTATTATCCTTCTTTGGCTTTGGTATCAATCAGATTAATGCTGGCCCCATAAAATGAGTTCGAAAGTAGAGTAATCCCTCTTCTTTAACTTTTTGAAAGAGTTTAAGAACAATTTTTACTATTTTTTCTTTAAATGTATGGTAGAATTCGGCAGTGAAGTCATCAGGTCCTGGACTTTTTGTTCATAGTAGATATTTTGTTACTGAATTAATCTCCTTACTTCTTATTAATCTGTTTATATATTCTGTTTCTTCATGCTTCGGTTTTGGTAGGTTGTATTTCTAGAAATTTATCCATTTTTCTAGGTTATACAGTTTGTTGGTGTATAATTGTTTATAGTAGTTTTTTATAATCTTTTTTATTTCTGTGATATTAGTTGTTATGTTTCCTTTTTCATTTTTGATTTTATTTTAGTTGTCTCCCTCTTTTAGTCTAGCTAAAGCTTTATTTTGTTTATCTTTTCAAAAAACTAAATCTTTGTTTTACTGAACTCTTCTCTCGGTTTTTTAGTCTCTATTTATTTTGTTTGTGCTCTGATCTTTATTATTTCTTTTCTTATACTAACGTTAAGTTTGTTCTTATGTTTCTAGTTCCTTGAGGTGTAACATTAGATTGTTTATTTGAAATATTTCTTCTTTTTTGGTGTAGGTATTTCAAACTATAAACTTTTTTCTTAGAAATGTTTTGGCTTCATCTTATAAGTTTCGGTATGTTATATGCTCATTTTTCCATTTCAAGATATTTTAATTTTTTCTTTGATCCATTGGTTGTTCAAAAGCAATTTAATTTCTATATATGTTTGAATTTCTAAATTTTTTTTATTATTGATTTCTAGTTTTATATCATTGTAGATGGAAAAGATGCCTGATATGATTTCAATCTTCTTAATTTTTTAAGATTTGTTTTGTGGCCTAACGTATGATGTAGCCTGAAGAATGTTCCACGTCAACTTGAGAAGAACTCTGTTGCTGTTTTATCAAATATTATGTATATGTCTGTCATGTTTATTTGGTTTAAACTGTAGTTTAAGTCTTATGTTTCTTTACTGTTTTTCTTTCTGGATTATCTGTGCATTGCTGATGTGGAGCTTTGAAATCCTATGCTATTATTATTTTAAATTTTTGTAGTTACATAGTAGGTGTATATATTTATGGGATACATGAGATGTTTTGATACAGGCATGCAATGTGAAATAATCACATCATGAGGAATGGCATAATCATCTCTTAAGCATTTATCCTTTGTGTTGCAAACAATCCAATTGCACTATATTTTAAAATGTACAATTAAGTTATTATTGACTATAGTTACCCTACTGTGCTACTAAATTGTCGGTCTTATTCATCCTAATATTTTTATACCCATTAATCATCCCCATCTCTACCTCCCCCACCACCCTCAGGTCCCCACTACCCTTCTCAGCCTCTGGTAACCATCCTTCTACTCTCTATGTAGGGATACAGTAAGAGTGTTTCCTTTAGTATTTCTTGTAGGATAGGTCTGGTATTGATAAAAGTTCTGAGCTTTTGTTTGTCTGAGAAGTCTTTGTTTCTTCTTCATGTTTGAAGGATATTTTCACTGGATGGAATTTTCTAAGGTAATTTTTTTTTTTCTTTTAAATATGTTATGCCACTCTCTCCTGGCCTGTAAGGTTTCCACTGAAAAGTCTGCTGCCAGACATATTGGAGCTCGATTGTATGTTATTTGTTTCTTTTCTCTTGCTTTTAGAATTTTGTTTTTTTCCTTGACCTTTGGGAGTTTGATTATTAAATGCCCTGAGGTAGTCTTCTTTGGGTTGAATCTGCTTGGTGTTCTATAATTTTCTTGTACTTGAAAATTGATATATTTCTCCAGGTTTCGGAAGTTATCTCTTATTATCACTTTGAATAAACTTTTTACCCCTATCTCTTTCTCTGCCTCCTCTTTAAGGCCAATAACTCTTAGATTTGCTCCTTTGAGGCTATTTTCTAGATCCTATAGGCTTGCTTCCTTTTAAAATTTTTTTTCTTTTGTCTCTCCTGACTGTGTATTTTCAAATTCTTCTCAAGCTCACTAGTTTTGTTTTATATGCTTGATCAAGTCTGCTATTAAAGGACTCTGATGCATTCTTCAGTATGCTAATTGCATTTCTCAGTTGCAGAATTTGTGCTTGATTCTTTTTAATTATTTTAATCTCTTTGTTAAATTTATGTGAAAGAATTCTGAATTTTTTCTGTGTTATCTTGAATTTTTTTGAGTTTCCTCAACACAGCTATTTTGAATTCTTTGTCTGAAAGGTCACATATCTCTGTCTCCAGGATTGGTCGCTTGTGCCTTATTTAGTTCATTTGGTGAGGTTATGTTTTCCTGGATAGTGTTGACACCAGTAGATGCTGGTGTCTAACTCTTTGGTGTCTCTTTGGTGTCTAAGCTCTTTGGTGTCTAAGCATTGAAGAGGCAGGTATTTATTGTAGTAATCACTGTATTGGCTTATGTGTAGCTATCCTTCTTGGGAAGCCTTTCCAGATATTTGAAAAAAACTTGGGTGTTGTGAACTAAGCTGAATCTACTTTAGCGGGCACCCCAAGCCCAGTAAATTGGTGGTTCTTCGGGACTTCTAGAGGTACTGCCTTGATGGTCTTAGACAAGATGCAGGAGAATTCTCTGGATTACCAGGCAGAGATTCTTGTTCTCTTCTTTTACTTTCTCCCAAACATACAGAGTCTCTCTCTCTCTCTCTATTCTGAGCCACCTAAAGCTGGAGGTGGAGTGACACAATCACCCTGGTGGCCATCACTACTATGACTTCACTGGGTCAGACCTAAAACCAGCGCAGCACTGGGTCTCACCCAAGGCCTACTATAACCACTCCCTGGTGACTGCCTATGTTCACTCAAGACCCTGGGGCTCTACAACCAGCAGGTGGCAAAGCCAGCCAGGCCTTTATCTTTCACTTCAGGAAGGAGAGGTCCCCCAGCCCTTGGGTGTATCCAGAAGTGCCATCTAGGAGTCAGGGGCTAGAGTCAAAAACCGCAGAATTGTACCTGGTATTCTACTGTACTGTGGCTGAGTTGACACTCAAAAGAGAAGATGTAGTCCTTCCCCTCTCCAAAGGCAGAGGAGCCTCATCCCACAGCCACTGCCAACCCAGGTCACTACTGCCAATATTCCCTTAAGATGCAATCTCTCTTCAATCAGTTTGTTGTGAATGCTGCTTGGCCTGGGATTCACCCTTCAGGGCAGTGGATTCTCCTCTGGTCCAGGTCAGGTCCAGAATGCCATCCAAGAGTCAAGTCCTGGAATAGCCAACCTCAAGATCCCATTTGGTGTTTTATCCCCCTGTGGCTGTGCTGGTACCTAAGGTGCAAGACAAAGTCTCCTTCACTTTTCCCTCTGCTTTTCCCAAGAAGAAGGAATTTTACCCTATAGCCACCACAGCTGATAATGTATTGAGTCTCATCTGAAACCAGCAAGTCTCAGAGGTGCACCTAAGACCCTCAGTGTAGTACCTGGGTATCACTGCTGGTTATTCGGGGCCCAAGGACTCTTCAGTTAGCAAGTGATGAAGGCTGCCTAGACTGGGTCCTTTCCATCAAGACAGTGGATTCCCTTCTGGCCCAGGGTGTATGTAAATATGTCATCTGGAACTAGACCATGGAACAGTGGTCTCATGACTCTGCCCAGTACCCTATCTTGCTGTGGCTGAGCTGGTATCCTAGATGCAAGATAAAGTCCTCCCCATTCTTCCCTCTCCTTTCCTTAAGCAGACAGCAGGGGTGTCTTCTGGAGCTGTGAGCTGTGCAGCCTGGGGTTTGGTGAGAGATGATGCTAGCACTCCCTTGGCTGCCCCAGCAGGTGTCTCCGTATGTCACTTTTCCCCTCAGTCCGCTGTCTCTGGGCCTAGTTCAGCACCAAAACTCAGATTTGCAGTCCTTATGGCCTAGATGGCCTTTCAAGTTAATTTGGAGTCACACTGTGCTATAGCCCTCAGAGGCTATACGTTTGCAGGCACTCAATTTTGGACTGCTGAGATTGGCAATTCTCTTCTGGCTAGGGCTGTTTTAAATGCTCCCTCCATGAGCAGGCATCAGTTGAGTTTATTCTGGGTTTCCTTTCTTCTCTAACATGATATAAGTGAGTTCAATACCTCACAGGTGCTGTGTTCTCCCTTCCCCAGCAACCAGAGATGTTCTCAGCACCATGCTGCTGCTGTTATAAGTAGGAAGGGGTAGTGTCAGAGATTCAAATCTCTTTTTTCTATCTCTTCAGTGCATCTTTTAGCAATATAAAGTTAAAACCAGGTACTGTGAATGCTTACCTGATTTTAGGTTCTTATGAAGGTGTGTTTTTCTGTGTAGATAGTTGTTAACTTGGTGTCTTTGGATGGTGGGGAGGACACTGGTGGCTCTTTCTTTTCTCCCATCTTGTTCCACCTCTCCATGCTATTATTAAATTGCAGCCTCTCTCTCCCTTCAGATATATTAATAATTGCTTCATGTATTTATGTTCTCCAACTTTGGGTACATATACACTTGTAATTGTTATATCTTCTTGATGGATTGACCCCTTTATCATTATATTGTGACCTTTGTCTCTCTAAAAAACTTTTTTTGAGTTAAGGTCTATTTTTTTATATAAGTGCAGCTACCTCTGTTCTCTTTTGGTTTCTGTTTGCGTGAGGTAACTTTTTTCATCCCTTCACTTTCAGTTTATGTGTGTCCTTAAAGTGAAGTTATTCTCTTGTAGGCAGCATATGGTTGGGTTTTCTTTTAATTTTTTTAGCCATTTAGCTGCTCTCTTGTTTAAAGATTTAATCCATTTACATTCATCATAATTATCGATAGGTAAAGACTTACTCCTGTCATTCTGATAATTATTTTCTGGTTGTTCTATATATCCTTCATTCCTCTTCTCTTGCTGTCTTCTCTTACGATTAGGTGATTTCCTGTCATATTGTTTTAAATAGGCTTGGCTTTGTGGTTAATAAGAGGTTCCATAAAACATTTTATAGTTACAATGGGCTATTTTAAAATGATAATATCTTAAGTTTGATCATATTTGAAAAAAAAATTTTTTTTTGAATGGTGAAGATCTTTTTTTTTAAATTTTATTATTACTATACTTTAAGTTTTAGGGTACATGTGCACAACGTGCAGGTTTGTTACATATGTATACATGTGCCATGTTGGTGTGCTGCACCCATTAACTCATCATTTAGCATTAGGTATATCTCCTAATGCTATCCCTCCCCCCTCCCCCCACCCCACAACAGTCCCCAGAGTGTGATGTTCCCCTTCCTGTGTCCATGTGTTCTCATTGTTCAATTCCCACCTATGAGTGAGAACATGTGGTGTTTGGTTTTTTGTCCTTGCGATAGTTTGCTGAGAATGATGGTTAATTTTTTGAATTTTTTACTCCACAGCCCTGCCCCACACATTGTTATGTTTTGGCTATCACAATTTACATATTTTTATATTGTGTAGGCCTTAAGAAATTATTGTAGCTGTTATGTTTAATAGTTTTTGTGAGCTTTATAATGAATATATAAGCGATTTACACACCAGCATTACAATATAAGTATTCTGAATTTAACTATGTATTCCCATTTACCAGTGATTTTTATATGTTCATAAGTTTTCATGTTACTAGTTAGTCTTCTTTTTTTTCAAGTTGAGGATCTCTTGTTAGCATTTCTTGTAAAACAGTCCTGGTGGTAATGAACTTTTTTATCTTTCGTTTTTCTAGGAAGAAAGTCTTTGTCTCTCCTTCATTTGTGAAGATCAACTTTACTGAGTATAGTATTCATGGTTCACAGTATTCAGCACTTTGAACATACTATCCCATTCTCCCTGGCTTATAAGGTTTCTGCTGAAAAATCTGCTGACAGCCTTATTGAAACTCATATGTATAAACATATATATAAATATATATATATGGATATCCATATATATAAATATATATATATGGATATACATATATATATATGTATCTTTGTGTGTGTCTTTCAGAATCCTGTGTTTGATTTTTGACTATTTCATTTAATATGTCTTGGCATAGTCTTGTTTGGATTGAATCTAATTGAGCTCTCTTTATCTGGATATTTATATATTTCTAAGACTTAGACAGTATTTTGCTTTTATTTCCTTAAATAGCTTCTACTCCTTTGTCTTTCTCTTCTCTTTCGGAAACTACTATAACTTGAGTATTTTCTCTTTTAATGCTGTCTTATAAATATCATAAGCTTTCTTCATTTATTTATATTATTTTTCTCCTCTGACTGCATATTTTCAAATAACTTAATTGCTCTGCTTGATCAATTCTGCTGTTGATGCTTTCAAATTGCATTTTAATTTGATTCAATGTATTTTTCAGCTCCAGAATTTCTATTTGACTTTTGTTTAGTCCTGTTGTGGTCATTTAGTTTTTTCCTAATTTCATTGACTTGCTTCTCCATATCCTTTTTAAGTTTGCTGAGCTTCCTTAAAAATAATTATTTTGAATTTTTTTTCATCTGGCAGTTCACATATCTACATTTCTTCAAAGTCAGCCACTGAGAGATTATTGTGGTTTTTTTTGGTAGTTGTGTGTATCCTTGCTTTTTTGTGTTTCTTGCCTTATTTTGATATCCTAGGTCCACAGGGATGATCTGGAGCCTGGGATTGTGGTTGCTGGCCAGATGACGAGGACTTCAGTAGGCAGCTTTACTCTGGGGTGGGCCTGGAGCTTTAGTCTGTGGGGACTCACATGGCACTGGAGCAGGCTCAAAGTCTCAGGTCACTGGGGCCAGCTGGGCACTGCGACTAGTCCAGGGCCTGGAGCCAGTGGGATGGCTTGGTGGTAGGTTGAACCCAGAGTCTGATACCATCAGGTCATCCTAAAACCTGAGGCTCTAGGATCTTGCTAGGTGTTGGAACAGGCTTGGAAGCTCAGTCTTCAGGGACTGGCCTGGAGTCTGGGTCCATGAAGGTCTGCACAGTGCTGGGTTTTACTGGGGTGGGCTCAGTGATTGGGCCTCAGACGAAGTCTAATGTTCACTTCCCTCTTTTCTTCCACATGAAGATTTATCTCTCCGTGATGTGATGCCTGAGGTTGGAGGAGGAGTGATACAGGTAATACTGTCCTGTCTGCCCTCGTCAATGCAGTTTTCTTCTTACTTCTGTGCTACATTCAGGTGCTGCAATCTATCATCTCGGTTGTTTAGCTCTTGCACAGGTATTTTGTTGTGTAGATACTTGTTTAAATTGATGTTTCTATGGGGGGGTGAATAGGAGAAAGCCCTATTCTATCACCTTGCTTTTAAATTATATGCATTTAGATTTAAACTGTAAATTTTGTTATAAATTATAATATATATTATATGCATTCAGATTCGTCAATACTTGAGGTTTCCCAAGAACAGAAGATGGGATCTCTTCTCACAGTTACAAAATTAAAATGCCTACTCAGGCAGTTTTCGCAAAACAAAGTAGCAGAATGTCTCAAAGAAAAACAAACTTCATCTCTACTTCAACTCACATAGAAAGTGCTGCTTATTTAAAATAGATATATTCCACGTTCTACCCAGCAAAACTTTAAAAAATGTAGAAATCAGCCTTACTCAAAACATCTCTCTACATAAGAATAAGTTGGTGCCTACAAGTTTGCTGTAGACAGAACATAACAAATTTGCTCTGCTTAGTTTCTGTTTAGTTTCTTCTTGTTTAGTTTTGAGGCTAGGAAGATAAGAGTCCTGGCAGCAAGTAAAAGCTTAATAAATATTATTTTCTATTCCTCCTGCTTTCTAAACTTGTTAGATTTGGGAGACTTGGGAAATGTTCAAGTAGTGTCAGTAAATCTTCCTCTCTCTTTCTGCTCTGATCCTCCCCACAACACCATCCTCTTACCACTTCCCAAAAACAAACTCCAGGAAACACAACCCCCAAAGTGTTTAGACATTCCTAGATTGCCAATACCACATAAGCCCATAATTTTCCCCATTAAGTGGAATTGAATATAATTTAAAAGGTTTATGTGCTATTTTAAGATTCTTATTAGGTAATTTTCTTGTGGTAAAAAGGCTTTGCTTGACTTAAGAATCCACTGAAGCAAGATTATTTATAGATAACCAAATCCAGCAATTCACATTGTAATTTATTAAAAACTTTTTTTCTATTAAAGAATCAACACTTACTTAGAAATATAACTTTATTTTAACTTTATCAAGACTAGCACTGTGCTTTGTTTTCCAGGTCATCTTTTAAAAAGAAATCATTCTTTTTTTATCAGTTCACTAATACTTACTCACCTGTAGCATAAGCAATAATTGGTGAGAATGGAATACCTATACAGAGCCACAGAGCAGAGTACTTGGTTAGACTCACTAATTCCTTCCTACCTACCAGCTTGGTAGTGGGCATGATTCAAGAGTTTGTTCCAGAAAAATTAAAAATGACTACTTTAAAGAGACCTTCAAGAAAGCTCCTAACTAGACAACATTAAATATTAAATCTGCGGCAACCAATGTAGTAGTCTATATAAACTTAATTCTGCCATGTTCCTTGGCTCATTGTGGTGACTAAGAACATGAGCTCTGGAACCAGATTGCCTGGTGTGAACCCAGACTACACTAATTATCAAAATAGAACCTTCAATGAGTTCTTTAACTTCTCTTTGTTTTCCTTATGCAAAGATCTGATAATAACAATACTTACAACATGTTATTGTTATTTGGATTAAACTGGATAATGAATGTAAAGGACATAGAAGACTGCTTGGCTTATAATAAGCACTCAATAAATGCTGGTTCATTATTTCTACCCATTAATTACCCTCATTCTATCTCACCCTTGGGTTAAACATCATTTACATGATTTTCTAATGACTATTTCCCAAGCATGTTATCATGCAAAATAGATCAAATGAGCTCTATGTAATGATTTAATTAATTAATCATTTGGGCTTTATTTAAATTAAGTCCCAGACATTTTCATCTAAGATATATTAATTTTTCTGGCCTATTTCCTATACTCTTGTGAACAAAGAATGCTTGAACAAAACACATCCTTTATACTTGTCCCAAATTATCCTGACTGCAGGCTTTTTGAAATGGCATCCCTGTCAGGCAACTCAGAGAGTTTTAAAAACAAACAAACAAGCAAAACCCCAGCCAGGCCAGCTGTATTCTACATGATAATTAAGTGGAGCTTGGGTGAGCTGATACTCAGTAAGGGTCATTTCTTGGCTTTAGCGCTTTTGACATCTTTAAAGTCCATCTAACTTTATGGCAGCTTCTATTTAAACTGAAATGCAGTTTTCAAAACTAGGGAATCTAATCAAAATGAGTGAAAGCAGGAGAGAAACAACAGGTTTTCATGCTTTGTAGGTGTGATCTTTTTTCTTTCCATTTTGTTTTTCTTTTTGGTAGTGAATCCAAAACATTTATGATTTGCCAAGAGTATGTACTTTGGAACTGGAAAAACAACACAATGTAACAGAAATAATGTTTGAATCCATGGACTATCTTCCATGATGACATTTTGGAAAGCAAAAAGATGGATTTATTTCAAATTCTCTTCATTTAAAAAAGGTCAGAGGGAAAATTGTATCCCTTTAGTTCTCTAGACTTTGTCCTTTGACTTTCATCTTATTACATATAACAACTTTCAATTTAATAAGGCTTGTTGAAAAGCATTTTTTTCATAAAGGTTTATCTTGAGGGAGACATGGAGAAAGCTAATTTCCATTTCTTTGTTTTTAAAATGAAAGATGTTTTAGTTCATATACCTGATTCAACCTTCCCACTGCATATACTATTTGGAGAATATGTTCTTTATTTCAAAACCATCCCCCTTGATTCAAGGTGGTTCCAAATAGTCCTATAGGAAAGGGAGATAATTGAATTTATGTGTGGGAAGAGTGTTGAGAGAAAGGAGTACAAAAAAACAAAAGAGAATTTTTTTGTATTAAAAGAACAAAAGGTGGGCAGCAGATGACAGGCTTCCATTCTAAAGTATTAAAATAGTATTGTATTTTCTCTTCTTCCAAAGCACTGAGTCCTTAATTTCTTTAAAAATGACCCTAGAGCAAGGTCACTGATGTCATGGATCACATGTAGCCTACTGCATCTCAGATTGTCCAGTAGCTGTCTTTGCATTATTTAGTCAAAGGAAAACAAAATTTCAGGTTCACACTGCTCCTGCCCATTTGCTGATTTGTTTTTGATCTAAAATTTAATGCTAAATCCTCAGATTTCCTGAAAGGTGACTATCACCACTCTCTCTGAACACAGTTCGGTGTAGACCAGCCCAACCAGAGAATGTCTATGATGCCCATATTGATTAATTTATTCTTAGGGGATATCAAGAAACCCTTTTTTTTTCAGGAAGGCAAAGTGTGATTATGCAGCTCTCATAGATAAAGGGATTGAGATCCACAGAAATTAAGTGGTTTATTTAAGAGCCCTCCTCTTATTAGAGATAACGTCATGGGTTGTAAGTCTTTTGACATGGAAGGTAAATTTCTATAATTCTCTTCCGAATAAATCATTATTAAAATGAGACCTTTTCCTCTGTTCTTTTACACAACTCTTTTGCTAGAAAGAGTTACCCCAAAACATTTTTCCAGTATTGTCTACATTATGTCCTTGGTAATTAATCCCCTTTAGTCCTATGAAGCTTTTCATTGAGCTTGTATTTTTTCCTAATATTATATATGTTCACAGGTATGTGTTTGTTTTTTCACCCCTCCATAATATTTTGAATACATTAATGAAAAAATATTCTAATGCTTTTTGTACTTCCCAGGGTATGCAACACTACGTTAATTTACAGTTGGTTCCAGCATGGACAAATTTTATTTATTGGTTGCCTAATTCATGATATTGAAATGAGCATGACAAAAGGATCACTGGGCTGTTTAAGGTTTAGCTTATACCTCTATATTTTGGGAGAGGTGGAACATCACCTAAGACAGGTCATTTATGCAGGTCAGCCTCAGGTTTCTTGTAGCACATAGGATGACCGGGTGAAACAAATTGCATAATATATGGAATGCTTCAGTAACTGCACTTAACTTTCTTCACTCCTTGTGCATATTATTTGACTTTGGTCCTCACTGAATTCTCAGAGATTAAGTTAAATCAACTGAAAGTGTTATGTGTTGGGTAGAATAGGGAAATCAAAAAAAACAGACATGCCCTGGGCTGAGGGATAAGACACCAACATGGAACTCCATGAATCTAAGTTACCACAAATGGAAGTATGAATTGACCATGATTATATATGAACATCTTACAGTTTCAGAATGGCAGTCTGCATGTTGAAAAAAAAAAAAAAAGAAAATTACATTCATTCTTCATTCTCCTCCTTCACCTCATAAGAAATTATCCTCTTTGAGTTAAATGCTGCTTTCTTGTAATGAAGAACCTACAGGAAAACTGGATAAGAGGAGCACATAAGGCCGGATGTGGTGGCTTATGCCTGTAATCCCAGCACTTTGGAAGGCTGAGGCAGGAGGATTGCCTGAGCTCAGGAGTTCAAGACCAGCCTGGGCAACATGGTGAAACCCCATCTCTACCAAACATGAAAAAATTAGCCAGGTGTAGTGGCACACACCTGTAATCCCAGCTTCTCAGGAGGCTGAGGCAGGAGAATTGCTTGGACCCGGGAGTCGGAGGTTTCAGTGAGCTGAGATCACACCACTTCCCTCCAGCCTGAGTGACAGAGTGAAACCCTGTCTCAAAAAACCAAACAAACAAAACAGAGCACATATGCTCTTCAGAAATCTTCTGAGGAGCTGATCACCGTAGTTCTACTTAGTTATCTAATTTGCCTCACAAAGAACAAAATAATGCCGCTTGATTGTGGAGCTGATTGGGAGGATAGATCCATTAATACTTTTCAGGACATGTTGAATGACTGTCTTTTTAAGATTGCTCAACCTGATTTGGGATGTCATACCTCACATAAAAACGGTGCTTTATTTTCATTGAGGTATTGCTTTGTGCAGTCCCAAACCCTATTCACAATGTGTTTAATATGTCATAAGAAATAGATAAATCATCCCCAGCCAGAGAGTCAATGTGAGGTTATAGTAATTTTGCCCTGAGTGCTGAAATCCTGACACTTTTAGTGTTGTTACCCTATAATGTTATTTCAGTGAATAAATAACAGCACTTTTCTCTATCTCCTAGAAAGATCTTCTGGCATTTTCTAGGGCATTAATCATAAAATCTGTGTTTAATAAAAGGATAAAAGGAAAATATAAAGAAATGAATTAGGTATTAAATAGCACTGAAGGGAACTATGTGAATTCGGGGTATATTGGAAGGTGAACATTTTGAACTTTTGACAGGTTAAATCGAAGAATCTTAATAGACACTTCTCTATTCCTTCAGGATAGGAAATGTTGAATAAAGGTGTTTGATATATATTCAATTTTGTGTATGTGTGTGATTTTTTTCACAGTCATTTCCCCCAAATTATGCATTTAAAAATAAACACAAAAATATGTCTTCCCTGCAGTAAGTTAAAGTAAAACTCTGATGACTTGGAAATAGCCATTGGAAGGTAGCAAATTCAATTTAATTCACGTTTAATAAAAGAAAATTATTCAATTATCTCTGTTTTCACAGCTCAAATTTCTATATACATGAGGTAAAGGCAGATTCCTAACAATATGGGTGAGACAAAATAATTATGAGAGTAAATATTATAATTATGTAAATAACCTTTGGAATTTTGGGACTTTAACTTTATAACACTTACATAAAATGTAAAGGTCACAAAGGATAGGTTTTTCTGAAAGTAGTTCAAGTTGAAACAAAAAATGCAATAGCATAAAATGCACCAAATAAGCTTTCATAAGATTTATGTCTTGTTTCTGTTTAACCATTTACTACAAGCTCCAAGGTAACGAGGGGTAAAACTACTTAACTATCAATATTCTCATTCATACTCATTTAATCCTCATTATTAAGTATGGATGGTACTAACTGCTTCACTCTTTTTGAGGAGTTGTAAGCATCAACAAAGTGATGGATGCAATAGTAATTTGTGAAATGATAAAGTCCCGTACGAAGGTGAGATAGTATCCATCACCTCTGCCCTCCTTCAGCTCTGCCTCTCAATACAGCAGTTCTTACCAACACATTTCAAGGGCTCTTGAAAATTACAAGTCAGGAAGGACATCATAACAGCATTAAAATCCTATTTTTCCTCTCTTTCTCAGGGACTAAGGGATTCATTCAGGACTAATAAAGTCCCTTGCCAGATGCCTAATTGCACATACTTTCTTGAGCTACTTCTTTCAGTAAATTGTTTAGCTAAAATGAGTTTTCAATTAAGTGGAATATTTCTTTTGGGAAATTCCTTGAGAATATCACAATACATTGTCCATAGTAGGTCCTTAATACATATCTCTGGCTTGATGGAATGAACTTGTGTGTTAATAGCAAGTGATCTGAGTGTGATCCCAGCGTGTGAGCACATGCTGACTGATAAAGCTTTGTGTAGATTGCACTTAATAACAATGGACTGTCCACTGATGACTCATGCCATCGATGGGCATGCCAGTTCACATCTAGGATACACATTTAAACTCTTTCTAGTTTGATCATACCCCCAGGGAAGACTTGAGTCTTCTGTATCCTGTTAAACATTAATAAATCCCAAAAATAAATCAACTCAAATTAATTGCATGTCTGTTATGTACAAAACATTGCCTCACTACACACACAGAAGTGTATGAATTATTGTCCTGTCGGTACAATGAAATGCATAAAGTGAATCTCTACATGAACATAAATACAAATTAATGCATATAAAATATAAGAATGGAAACGTGCTAAGCCATCATAAAATAAAGGAGGAATTTTAAAACAGAAAGAAGAAACCCTAATTTCTAGAAATAAATGGGATCATAAAATCCTGTAAATAAAAGCATAACTTGATGCTGTGGCTGTTGGTGGCAGATCTAGCTCTTTATACCTGGGAATTTGAAGCTTCAATATCCATCTAATAGATGAGACATGAACCACAATCCTACCAGGATGAACAAACACACCTGCATACAGCCAAACTGATGGTTTCCTGCTCAGTCCACCAGCCCAAGAAAAGCACAAGAAAGTTGGTCTGTGGCTTCAGATTCTGGGTGTCAATTTTAACCCATGAGTAGATTTGTTAACTATCACCCAAATCAGGAAATAGAAGAGTCTCATTAACCTCACCTCCAAAAAGAAAATTTCTTGTGCTACCTATTTGTAGCCACTTTCCCCTCGTTTACCTCTAACCCAGGTGACCACTGTTCATAACCCCAGAATGTCATATAGATGGAATAACTCTGTATATAACCTTCTGAGACTGGCTTCTTTCACTTTGAGATTCATTCTGCTTAAGTGTATTGATAATTCTTTCCTTTATATGTTGAGTCATTCACTGTGTGGATGTGTGCCAACTTGCTTATCTGTCAGTTTATTGAAGGGCATTGGGTTATTTTCAACTTTTGGCTGATTATGAGTAATGCTTTGATAAACATTGGTATACAGTTCTCTAGACTAAATGCCTATTAGTGAGATTGTTTGGTCATATGGTAAGCGTATGTTAACTGTATTAGGAATTACCAAACTCTTTTCCAAAGTCACTGTATCATTTTGCTTCTACATCAGCAAGGTATGAGAGTTTCAATTCCTCTGCACTGTCACCAGGTCATGGTCTTTGCAGTTTTTGTTTTTTGTTTTTTGTTTTTTGAAATGGAGTCTGACTCTGTCACCCAGGCTGGAGTGCAGTGGCGCCATCTCAGCTCACTGCAACCTCCGCCTCCTGGGTTCAAGCAATTCTCCTGCCTCAGTCGCCTGAGTAGCTGGGACTACAGGTGTACACTGCCATGCCTGGCTAATTTTTTGTATTTTAGCAGAGACGGGGTTTCAACGTGTTGCCCAGGCTGCTCTCGAACTCCTGAGCTCAGGCAATCCGCCCTCCTCGGCCTCCCAAAGTGCTAGGATTGTGGGCGTGAGCCACGGCGCCCAGCCTCTTTGCAGTATTTTAAAAAATAATTGTTTTAGTCGTTTAAATAGATATGTTTCTCACCATAATTTTTATTTTTATTTTCCTGAAGTATATGGATAAGTCTACTTTTCATGTACTTATTTGTCTTCTGTATATTCTCACTGGTGAAATGTCCATTCAAATATTTCACCCATTTTTTAATAGACTTTTGCTTTCTACATTTTGAGTTTTTAGAAGTCTTTATATATTTTGGAAAATAGTCTTTATTAAATGTGTGACTTGAAAATCTTCACTCCCATTTCTGTAATTTGTCTTTTTATTGTCATCAGTGTCTTTTTCAGAGCAATTTTTAAAAGTTAATAAAAATTCAGTTTATAATTTTTTTCCTTCATTGATTATTCTTTTGGTGTCACATATAAGAGCTCTTTGTCTAATACCAGGTGGCAAATATTTTTTATTTACTCCCAAAGATTTTATAGTTTTAAATTTTATATTTAGGTCTACTTTGAGGTAAATTTTTGTATAAGTCATGAAGTTTAGGTCAAGGTTTTTGGTGTGTGTGTGTGTGTGTGTGTGTGTGTGTGTGTGTGTGTGTTTATTTTTTTTTTTGGTTTTGGAATCTGGATTTACAATTTTTTAAAACATTATTTGTTGAAATAACTATTTTTAATTTATTAAATTCTTTATGTACTTTTTTTCAAAAATCAATTGGCCATATTTGTGTGAGTCTATTTCTGGACTCTATATGGTTACATTGATTCCTTTTTCTATCCCTTTCCAATACTTTATAGTTTTGATTACTATAGCTTCATAATAACCTTAAAAACCAGCTGGCATAATTATCCCAGTTTATTTTTAAAAAATATTTTCCCCACTATTCTAGGTCCTTTACCTTTGAATATAAATATTAGCATCACTTTGTCTAGGTCTGCACAATATTGTGTAGAGGATATTTATTGAAGTGTTAAATCTGTAAGTGAATTTTGGGAGAACTGATATCTGTACTGTTAAATCTTGCAATCCATGGACCTGTTATATTTCTCCACTTATTTAACTACCTTTGAATTCCTTTGTATTTTATGGTATTCAGCATACATAGTCTGTACATATTATATTTGTATCTAAGTATGTCAATTTATATAACTATTGTAAATAGTATTGCTTTTTAAAATTTTGTTTTGCTATTGTTCATGATAGTATATTAAAAAGTAATTGATTTTTTGTGTGTTGATTTAATGTACTATGATCTTTCTAAACTACTTCTAAGTGGTTTCTTCCTTTTTTATAGATTTCTTGGAAATTTTCTGTATAAATAATGATGTCATCTCCAAATAGTGGCAATTTTATTTATTTCATTATATGCTGTTTTCCTTTTATTTCTTTCCTTCCTTTATTACATTGGCTATGACTTTCACTATGATGTTAAGTAGTACTGTAATAAGAATGGACATCCTTTCTATGTTCTTGATCTTAGGTAGAAAGTATATTGCTTTATAACACTGAGTAGGGTATTGACCAGGGGGTTTTGGTAGAGACTATTAGTTTGAGGAAGTCTTCATCTATTTTTAATTTGCTAGAATTTTTTTTAGAATTGGCTACTGAATTTTGTTAAATGTATTTTATACTTTGATTAATATGGCCATGTGGTTTTTATTCTTTAGTTTGTTAAAGTTGTGAACTACATCTTTTAACTTAAAAAAAAGACAAGGATTTGAATCAGACTTTTATTCCTATGATAAATAATATTTGGTCATGGTGTTTTTTATAAATATATTTTTATATTTGATTTGCTAATATTTTTGAGAACCTTTGTGTCTAACTTCACAAGGGATATTGGTCTGTAGTTTCCTTTTCTTTTATTGTATTTGCCTAGTTTTGGAATTGGGGTGATTTTGGCTTTATAAAATGAGTTGGGAATCATTTATTTATCTTCTATATTCCAGAAGAGATTGTTTATGGTTTTTTCTTTGTTAAATATTTGTATAAATGTATCTGTACAAACAGATTTTTTTTAGCTATTTTAACTGCAGGACTATTCCATTTCTCTGATTCATCTTGAATGAGGTTTGGTAGCTTACTGTTTTTGAATAACTTGTCACTTTTATCTAAGTTACTGAACATATATGTGTTAAGTGTAATGTTCCTTTATCAGTTTTTACAACCTATAAAATTTTATCATAAATATTTGAATTAATCAGGCCTCTAGATCTATTATTTTACAGAAAATTCAGGAAAGAGATGAATATATTAATAGACCCCACAGTGATACATTCAGGAAAAGCTTGATTGTGGAAAACTCTATGGCACAAAATCCTGATTTCATCAATAAACAAATTACAAGAAAAAAGAAAAACAGGGAAAGAAAAACAACTGCCAAAAAAAATTCAAGAGACATGTTAAACTATATATAGGGGCCGGGCGCGGTGGCTCACGCCTGTAATCCCAGCACTTTGGGAGGCCGAGGCGGGCGGATCACGAGGTCAGGAGATCGAGACCATCCCGGCTAAAAAAACGGTGAAACCCCGTCTCTACTAAAAATACAAAAAATTAGCCGGGCGTAGTGGCGGGCGCCTGTAGTCCCAGCTACTTGGGAGGCTGAGGCAGGAGAATGGCGTGAACCCGGGAGGCGGAGCTTGCAGTGAGCCGAGATCCCGCCACTGCACTCCAGCCTGGGCGACAGAGCGAGACTCCGTCTCAAAAAAAAAAAAAAAAAAAAAAAGAAAATGTCTATTAAATTATTTAGGTAATAATACTACCATGAAATTATTTTAAAGATTGAAAGATTGTAGCTTGTTATACATTAAAATAATTAATATAGTTGTTTTTAATTATGAACAAAAAATCTATAAACCCAAGGTGATATTAATGAAAATTACATTTGACTTTTTGTCATGAAATTTGAAAACAAAACTTTTTAGAGAGATGTACTCAAAAAGTTATAGATGAAATATCATAATGGCTCACATTGGTTGCAAAATAATTCAGTGCCTAAGAATGGAAATAAAACAAACTATAGTTGAAACAAGATTGTCTATTACTTCATAATTGTTGAAACTAAGTAATGTTGCTATTTTCTCTACATTTTCCATAATAAATTTTCCATTACAATATTCCATAGCCGGGCATGGTGGTGCATTCCTCTACATAGCCCCAACTACTCAGAAGGCTGTGGCTGAAGGATCGCATGAGGCCAGGAGCTCAAGGCTGCTGTAGCCTGTGATCACACCACTGCACTCCAGCCTGGTGACAGAGCAAGACCCTGGCTCTAAATAAATAAATAAATATGTAAATAATGCATAATAAATATTTTTCATAATACATTTGTGAAAACAAATATTTAAGAAGTCATAAAGAAAATGATGACAAATCATCATAAAATGGAATGACAATTAAGATATTTGTGATGACATTTATCGAATGCAGTTAAACCAGTGCTTAAAGGAAAAATGCATACATTGAAAAAGAAGATTAACAATAAATGGGCTAAGTATTATTCTCAATATATTACTAAAAGAGCAGCAGCAGTTGACTACAACCACCACCAAGCAGTTCAAAGTAAATAATGGAGTAGAAATTGATAAAATGCAAAACAAATCTACAAAACCAAAAGCTATTTCTTAAAAAGTACTATGAGGCCGGGTGCAGTGACTCATGCCTGTAATCCCAGCACTGTGGGAGACTGAGGTGGGTGGATCACGAAGTCAGGAGATCAAGACCATCCTGGCTAACATGGCAAAACCCAGTCTTTACTAAAAATACAAAAATTAGCTGGGCATGGTGGTGGGCGCCTGTAATCCCAGCTACTTGGGAGGCTGAAGCAGGAGAATCACTTGAACCTGGGAGGCGGAGGTTGCAGTGAGCTGAGATGGCACCACTGCACTCCAGTCTGGGTGACAGAGCAAGACTCTGTCTCAAAAAAAAAATAAAAAATAAATTAAAAAAAAGTACTATGAAAAGCTCTAGTCAGATATATTTAGAAAAAAAAGAGGAGAAAGACACAAATAAATAATGTTACAAATAACATAGGTTTTGAAAAGGCATTTTAAGTGAAGATAATATTACGAAGTATTTTATGCTAAAACATCTGAAAGCATTCTAGAAAAATATAAATTACTACAAGTACCTCATTAACAGATAGAAAATCTAGGGAGACCTATACATTTTTTCCAGGGCCAGACTTTATTACACTTCAGTTATACCGAACTTTCAAAAACAAATAACAAATCATATATAAAACTATTGCAGAAAACTTTAAATACAGATACATTGTTCTAACTTAATTTGAAAGAATAGAAATAGCATACAAATATAATAATAAAAGTAAAAATTGTAGGCCAATCTAACTTATGAAAAATGATAAAATCATGCTGAATCAAGTACTAGAAAAATTAAGCAATAAATGTTTGAAATTCATTATAAATATGTTGAGTTTAAATCAGAAATGCAATAATTTTTTTAACATTACAAAAACTATGTCATAAAGTAACAAAACATTCATGGTAGCAATACAAGATCTAAGATGCTTGAAATGGATCTATACGACTTTTATAGGAAAAACAAAGAATTCAAGCAATTGAAATATATTTTTGTTATTGACTGAAAAATACAATATAATAAAAATGTTCTCCTATATCCATTAATCAAAATTATGATCTTTTAATGGAACTTTAGAAGCAGTTATAAAATTAATATGAAAGAGTATAAAGAATAAAAAATACAAATTATAGAAAATATAGGTATAGAAATAGAAGTATAGAAAAAAAAAACAAGTTTGTAGAAGGTATCTTTTCTGATATCAAGACTCATTTTAGGCCAGGTGTAGTTGCTCACGCCTGTAATGCCAGCACTTTGTGAGGCTGAGGAGGGCGGATCATTTGAGGTCAGGAGTTCGAGACCAGCCTGGCGAACACGGTGAAACCCCATCTCTACTAAAACTACAAAAGTTAGTTGGGCATGCTGGTGCACACCTGTAATCCCAGGTACTCAGGAGGCTGAGGCAGGAGAATCACTGAATCAGGGAGGTGGAGGTTGCAGTGAGCCCAGATCATGCCACTGTGCTCCAGCATGGGCAACAGAGAGAGTCTGTCTCAAAATCGTGAAAAAGGCCATGTTGCCCAAAGTAATTTATAGATTCAATGCTATTCCCATTAAGCTACCATTGACTTTCTTCACAGAATTAGAAAAAACTACTTTAAATTTCATATAGAACCAAAAAACAGCTCATATAGCCAAGACAATCCTAAGCAAAAAGAACAAAGCTGGAGGCATCATGCTTTCTGACTTCAAACTATACTACAAAGCTACAGTAACCAAAACAGCATAGTACTGGTACCAAAACAGATAGATAGACAAGTGGAACAGAATAGAGGCCTCAGAAATAATGCCACACATCTACAATTATCTGATCTTTGACAAACCTGACAAAAACAAGCAATGGGGAAAGTATTCCCTATTTAATAAATGGTGTTGGGAAAACTGGCTAGCCATATGCAGAAAACTGAAACTGGATGGCTTCCTTATACTTTATACAGAAATGAACTCAAGATGGATTAAAGACTTAAATGTATGACCTAAAACCATCAAAACCCTAGAAGAAAACCTAGGCAATTCCATTCAGGACATAGGCATGGGCAAAGACTTCATGACTAAAACACCAAAAGCAATGGCAACAAAAGCCAAAATCGACAAATGGGATCTGATTAAACTAAAGAGCTTCTGCACAGCAAAAGAAACTATCATCAGAGTGAATAGGCAACCTACAGAATGGGAGAACATTTTTGCAATCTATCCATCTGACAAAGGGCTAATATCCAGAATCTACAAGGAACTTTAACAAATTTACAAGAAAAAAATAACTCCATCAAAAAGTGGGCAAAGGATACGAATGGACACTTCCCAAAAGAAGACATTTACATGGCCAACAAACATATGAAAAAAAACTCATCCTCACTGGTCATTAGAGAAATGCAAATCAAAACCACAATGAGATACTATCTCATGCCAGTTAGAATGGCAATCATTAAAAAGTCAAGAAACAACAGATGCTGAAGAGGATATGGAAAAATAGGAACGCTTTTACACTGTTGGTGGGAGTGTAAATTAGTGCAACCATTGTGGAAGACAGTGTGGTGATTCTTCAAGGATCTAGAACCAGAAATACCATTTGACCCAGCAATGTCATTACTGGGTATATACCCAAAGGATTATAAATCATTCTACTATAAAGACACATGCACATGTATGTTTATTGCAGCACTATTCACAATAGCAAAGACTTGGGACCAACCCAAATGCCCATCAATGATAGACTGGATAAAGTAATTGTGGCACATATATGCCATGGAATACTATACAGCCATAAAAAAGGATGAGTTCATGTCCTTTGCAGGGACATGGATGAAGATAGAAAGCTTCAATCTCAGGAAACTAACACAGGAACAGAAAACCAAACACCATATGCTTTCACTCATAAGTGAGAGTTGAACAATGAGAACATTTGGAAACAGGGAGGGGAACATCACACACAGGGGCCTGTCGGGGGGTGGGGACTAGGGGAGGGATAGCATCAGGAGAAACACCTAATGTAGATGACGGGTTGATGGGTGCAGCAAACCACCATGTATACCTATGTAACAAACCTGCATGTTCTACACATGTATCCCAGAACTTTAAGTATAATTAATAAAATAATTAAAACAAAGACTCATTTTAAATTAGAATAAGTAAAATACACTGACACCAAAAAAATTTTAATAAGAAATAATTTCCGAATCATTTTTAAAAGATTTATGTGTTTGACTACATCACAATTCAAAACTAGATTACCTTAAATTTAGATATCATTAAAACTTTCATTAAAACAAAAAGTACCTTAAGCAGATGAAAAGAAAATTCATGTAATCACATAAAGAAAGGATATACTGGTGACGCATATAATGAAAAGTGGGTTACCACTGAGACTATATAAAGAACACCTACAAATGAGTGAGGAAAAGCCAGCACAATTGGAAAATAGAAAAAGATGCAAATAGGAAATTAAAAAAAATAAAAGTCAAATATCTAATGAGCACAGGAAGAGATACTTCACCTTACTAATGATGAAGAAAAGAGGAAGTAAAAGAGAAATTAGACATTAGCTAGCATTTCACACTCCTTAGATTGGAAAATAAACAAATAAATGTGTGTGTGTGTGTGTGTGTGTGTGTGTGTGTGTGTGACAATCAATGTCAGCTATGATATAAGGAAACTGGAATTTTAATCCTGCTGATATAATCAGTGATATGCTGGTAGATGTTTAAAACCTTCCTTTCCAAGAAAATAAAAAAAAGTCCTGACTTGTAACATTTACTGATTTTCGGGGGCAACTATTCTCATTGTGGCTGTTTTCAAGCCCCCAATGGGATATGATGCTACTGAACGCAGAATAGCGATGTGCACAGCTAGAATTGTAAGACTAAAACCTAGTGTTCTAATTTTTCAGTATATACTACTAAACAACTCTAGTTTATGGAAACAGGGGATATTAATTTTAAAAGAAAAAAGCTGAAAATAATCTAAATAAACAAATATAATTCTGATTGTCTACAAAGAAACAGATGAATAAATTACATTGCATTTCCGTAATGAAATACTGCATAGCAATTGAAATGAATAAGCTAGATTTACATATAGTGATGGAGATAAATCTCAACAATATAATTTGGAGTGAACAAATAAAACTGCAATGTAACAGCATGTATGTACATTTAAAATCACAACATAATATCATTTATGAATATACACACATATGTAGTAAAATATGAAAACATCAATGAGAAAAATGCACCAATATCTACCCCGTGGCAACCTCTTTAGTGGGAAGGTGAGAAACAGTAATCTGGCATGGGGCTTTAATTGTTTTGGCAATAATTTATTTCTTTACAAAAATAAAGGTCTGCAGTGAATGTAGCAAAACTCATTTTAGATCAGGATAGAAGATAGGTGGTTGCTGGCTGTACTGTTCTCTTACTTTTATTTTATGTTTGAAATATGATATTTGGGGGAAAATTCTTATCTCTGGTGGGAGTTTCTTATAGCTTACCGTGATGAGGGTAGGATGCTTTGTAGACATGAATAGCTTACATAACTATATGGTCATGCTCAGTATTAAATGACAGTAATATGTGTGGAGCTCCTTGAAGGGACCGTCATAACCTGTAGAAGCCAAGGTGGGCTTCACCTCCCATGACTCTGCACCTAGTTGTTGGAACTAGAACAGTTCCTATGAAATTCAGTGGCTCTCAATCTGGAGCCACAGGACTAAGGCATCACTCTGCTCATAAGTGATTATAGTGTATATGTCAAGTGAGGTGTCTCCTTTCGTCATACATAAAAGCAGGGGATGCTTAAAGGAGTTCCCCTAAGATTACCATGGGGATGTCAACCTTGAACCAACACAGCGAAGGTGAAAGAAGCAAGATAAGACACAATTGCCCAGTTAACCACTGAATTCATTTCCTTTCTTTATGTGGAGTAGCTTCACTCAACCGATTTGATCTGTAACCCAGGTATCTGTCAGTGATTTCAAGGGACTGCTTGTCTATGGAAAATGAAATAAAAAATGGCCATTTAAAGCCAAAAGCCTTTGGTATGTGGATAACCATGCAGAAATGAGAAATTTCATGGAATCCCAGAATGTTAGTGTTAGGATTCAGAGATCAGCTAATTCACTCTTTTCTTCTTTCTGGTAAGGAAATTGAGGCTTCAGGGTGATTTTGTGACTTTCCAGACATCTGTAGTGGAAGAACTAGGTCTAGGCCCAAATCATTTAATTACTAGCTGAGCGACCTGCACACAACTGCAAGAAATTGTTCCATCACAAAACTTCAGGATGATTGGGGTTCTCTCTTTTTCTCTCTTTTATTCCAAGCTTAAAAAAAAAAATCTGCTGAACGTCCCACTGGAGCTGAAATTGTAGAAGACAACTAGCTCTTTAATTATGATGTGCAGTGAGCTGCTTTTACTTTTCACTTGTCTCTGAAGCTGAATTGCCCAGTGCCTCTGAATACTCCCTCACATGTCCCTGTGATTTGTATCAGCTCACAAAATTAAAAAAACGCAGACTTGCAGCTCTAATTTGCCAGAATCCTTAAGATCTCTTTTATCATGCCCTGCTGCCTGGATGGAAAGCAGCATTCTCTTTAGCGGCAATCTGCTGTAATCATTTTTTATTCAGGTGGCAGGCAGGGTTCAAGCAAAACATGAAAGACAGTGATTGGAGCACAGTGTCTTCAGATAGTTTAAACCGCATCATTCAGGAAATTTTTATCCTTTTTTATTTAGCTACATTTATACAGGCTTCTTTTATAGCTCAGGAGACCAAACCACTGCACAGGGATATAAATAAAGTGCATCAGAAAAGAGCATGGCATTTGTAGTCTAAGGTTACTCCTTTCTAGATGTATATAACCTTGGGTTTCTAAATCTGAGTCCTTGTTTCTTCATGTACAAAATGGGGAAGAAAAGATATATATACTCATCACCAGATTATTGTGACGGGAAAATGAGCCTTAAGAATTGTGTATGAAAGGGCCTTATATATTTTAAAGTGTTACACACATGTTGGGACCACATACCCATTTTGTATACGAATTTTTTAAACTTGCCAACTTGTCTACACAAGACACATTAACATTTTCCCAGTCAATATTTAACTATCCATGTCATCACTAAGAGTTATTTAAAAACAAAAATAAAACAATTCAGACTCTGGTTCTATTTTTTCTTAATAATACTCTATGCCGTGCCATTCTGAAACATAGATGGTGAGGACAAATTGTGTAATAAACAGCGGCCTTATTTACTATAGAGAAGAGAAAGAAATTGTTTCTCTGCCGCTAAATGACAATTTATTTTACCTTATGAGAAAAAAAAATCAATGAGAAAAAAAGGAGGGGAAGTGACAGCTACTGGGATCACAGGGGAATAACTTCTAACTGGCAGTTGGTTTTGGAAACTTCATTGGTTTAGAGAAAGGCTCCAGCCTCTTGAGCATGTAGTTCTTTTCCATGGGGCTGGGAGACCAGGGCAAGCTCTGTGTTTTTTCACTTAGTAGACTGTCTATTGCTCTTGCTTGGTTTCATTTGCAAATATTGGGGTGGGACGTAAAGAATAAGATACCATCACTGGGACTGTCACCTACAGTGGCCCACGCAGGCAGGCCCCAACACAGCTGCTGTGTCTGACGTCCAGGGGAGTACTGGTGTATTTTTATGCCATTGGAATACTTCTGTGGGCTCCCCATCAAGGGAAAAATTCTCTTGATGGAAAGAAACCCCAAAGGAAGATTCTCTCCTCATCCTTAAAGAAGCAGGACCACAAATCAGAGATAGTTGTTCAAACTACTGGGTCAATATTTCTCTGCCATTGGGACTTAAGAGACAACCATAAGTCCAATGTGACCAATTTCCTATATTAAGTAAATATCTTACTATTGTCATTTTCCCCCAATACCTAAAATCCCCATGGGTTCACTAAGAAAAATGTTTGTAAGTGAAACCTTTGTGCCTGATAGACTGCTAATGCTAAGTATAGAGCGATATCATTGTTCCTGTATAATATAGGATTTTTCTCTTAAAAGTCTTCTTGAGGATACATGCACATTTTAATGCCTGAGGGCATTAGACCTTGTAGATATATCATTTGGGTCACAAAGGTTGCTCTGTCTGATATGGCCATAGCCGTGCCCTCCCTTTCTCCACTGGGGTAAAGGAAGGGAGAGGAGTGAAAGAGAATATTCATCACTGAACTGCCATCCAATGTGGACACTGGAGAGGGAGCATTGAGTAGCTGGAGAATGCGAAGGCTCTGAGACACTGGCAGAGCCCCCAAGGTGGACTGAAAGGCAGGTTACAGAAGAGATAATCTGAGGTTTGTTTGTTTTAGAATCCTGTCCTGAGCTGAACGACATAGCAGGCTATAAATTGGAAGTAAATTTAAGCCACATCAAAGTCCCAGCCACCTAGGCCTTGATGGGTCTGAGGGCCGTGCTGAGGTGACTACAGTCTTGTTAGTCAAGGGGTGAACCCTGGAGTAGCAGTATTATCATCATGTGAGGTCTTGTTAGAAATACAGTGTCTTGGACCAGACCTATTGGGCCACAGACCTATGGAATCACAACCTGTATTTTCCATCAGTTCCCCAGGTGATTGCCTAGCTCTAAGTTTTGGGAGTAGATGGGCTAGATAATTTGATAACAGGGAAAACGGCTTATAGAGTTAATTGTAATTCTTCTCAAGCCACACTGAGACTAAATCTAACTGGGCACTTTTTAACATCTCTGTTTAACAAGCTCTTAGTGAGGAAAAAGGGATTCTTCATTGAGTCCAGTGGACAAAGCAAAACAAGGATGAAGCCTGTATGATTTTACCCGAATGCATCTCTGATCTCCCCTATGGCCCCAAGACAGGACGCTTTAATGGTCTGGACATATTTCTCTTTGGTATAGGTAGGACCTGGGTTTAAGGTGACAGTAAAAATGCCTACGGGATGGCTATTTGGGTCTTCAGGGATTTCCAACAAGCTTCCTGTTTGGGGGATGTTGGAAGTGCAGGCTTCCATCTCAGGTCATCTTCAAAGTTATATTAATCACAGAAGACCCACTTCACTCCTGTAATTCCCCTTCCCATTCCCATGCATCATAGAGTACCAATCTCAGACCTGACTTCTCTGGTGTTTTCACCTCAAAAATGGGGGTTTACTTGCCATTAAGCTAAGAAGATACCCTTATCTATTTATTACCATTTATTATGAAATACCAAGAAGAAAAAACACACATCTAATTATAATGGCTGAAGTGCTTTATCTTGCTTCAGGAGACACCATATAGAAAACATAAGAAATTTGAAACATACGTTATGGTAGGTCTTGCCTACCAGTAGTAGATCATTTGAATTTTGCGTGCTTAAAAAAGTATACGTTAAACCCAAACATATTTAGAGGAATGTGTATTCCTCTTTTTTCAAAGGTGAAAAAACTCCAACAATATTTTATCAAGAATTCCCCATATACACTACACATTTGCTAATGTAAAGCCCACTGTTGGTGAGCTGGTGAGGAACGATTAAGCGTTGTTCTTCAGGATTCCAAAAGAAACATAATGCTGTAGCATTTACACAAGTAAATGTGATGCTTGTATTAGATGGAACAATAGGACAATTTCATATGGCTCAACCTTATACAGTCAGTATTGTTAGATCGGGATTTTCCTGTGGATTGATTAGTTAGAGGTCCTCTAATAAATATTTATACAACAGGGGGAGTGAACTACGTGCTGATACTCAGACTAATGTATAATCCTCCCTCTATGAAATACAGGAAGATCAACCATAGTGTTTACAATTCAGTTGCCAATCACTATATGAACCCCTGTTCATCTCATTACTCACTATCCAAAGCAACAAAATGGAATGCATTAGGATAGTCAGAGTTAGCTCACTCAGTAGTGGCAAGCCATGGTACTTAACTGCTTTTCTATCCCCCTGACTATTTAAATAGCTTTAAAGTTAAAGAAAATACCAATTAACATTTTGTGGTTTCATGGAACAGCTAGCATGCTACTCAACAAATCTTTGTTGTCTTTTGTTGAATACTCATAAACTTATGTGAGCAGGTTAAATGAGGAAGCTTTTTATGAAGGAGAACATCCCTATAGCTTGGAGGGGCATTCCTAATCAGGTTCTAAAATAATAATTATTTGTTATTCACTACAGTCTTAACCACATGGTTGGGAAAACATGTTCCTCATAGGTATAGTGGTGAGTATCTCTGCCTGTCACATGGTTGAGAAAACAAATGCTTTTACCCTTATCCAGGTGCTTGCTAGAATAACCCCTTGAGGACAGGCAATGTATTTTCTATCTCTTTACATATTTCATGGTAAAGAGCCTGGCAAAGTGAAGACCACACTTACCAGGATTAGAATAGTGAATAAGATCTTTAGAACTGGAACTTAGAGAGCCCTCAATCTGTGAAACTCACAGTTTTGAAAGCATTTTTAAATCTCAGATTAATGCGTTGGCAGATCAACGGTTGGAAAAATTCAAGACCACTGTGTATATATCAGGTCAGTGGTGATATAACCATAATCCTCTTTTTGTGAACCTCAGTGGGGAATCTGAGAGACAGACTTCTACTCTGACTCCACAGCTGGCTTGAAGCCCCAGAATGAATATACAAATGGACAGTGTCTAAATGTCACATGGAAAGAGATTGCTGACCTACAACCTCCGCAGCAACCAGCCACGAAGCCAAACCATCACCTCTGTAGCAGTGGACCCAGAAAGGTCAAGACTTTGTTAATAACTGCTAAGTTCTTTAAATGTGCCCTTGCTTTCAACTCAAGACCAACTAGAGCAAACCAAATATGCTCCCCAAATCAATCACAAAAGATGCCCTCTTCTTAGGCATCCAGCTGGCTCCAGCTTCCCTAGGCCATCAGCCTCTCATCAAGGCACACCTGAAGCTTTCCCACTCCCCTGCCTGGACACACCTGAAGGGCACACCTGAAGCTTTCCTCTGTTTTATTATAAAGCTTTCCCACTCCCCTGCCCACCTTTGAGTATCTGCCAATGGCAGATAATGATTCCTATTCCCTGATCCCCAAACATGTCTAGATTTGTCTGAATATTTTATGATCATACTTCAGATTTCAGCTTAGATATTTTTACCCTGGGGATCATCCTTCCTTGATCCACTAGTTGCTTCCCCTGTCTTATGCTACAGCAGCTTTTACATTTCTTATCAGAACACTTACAATTCAGAATTAGAATTGCTCATTTGCCTATGTAACTGGAATATAACTACAGATTCAGGTGGCCCAGTCTCTGGACAGTATTACTTTGTCAAAAATAATTGTTGGGAGCAATTCAATTATCCTCATTTGTAAAAATACCAGCATACTCTTGTAAAGTGGGCACATTATTAAAGAAAGAGAAAACACTTAAAATTCTATTAATATTAAATGTTTAAATGTTAAATTTAAAATATTTAAATGTTTAAAATATTTCTCTCACATTCAATATCTTTCTTATGCCTGGAAGATGCTTAAAACAACAGGAACAGCAAAAGTGAAATCAAGTTAGTCTTCTTGCTTTGTTTTGTTCTTGTTTTTCTTCTTGTTTTGTTTCCCAAAACATTTCCCCACATCTAGCCCACATGGGGCTGACCCTCTTGCTATGGCAACCTCAGCCGTTTTTTTATTACTTTTGGATAATCTTAATTTATTTCCACACCCCCACTCTGTCACCACAATCAAGTACCTGGTCTCTAAACTCCTGATTGGAAAGAATTATTTTTTCACATCAATGAAGAGAATAATGAAAAACCAGCCACTTCCACTGTCAATACACAAGTGATACAGGCCTTTCACTGACTTGAATTTCCAGCAGCTGCCTTCTAGGGGTCGCTCTCACCACTTCCCTCTATATCCACCATGTGGCAGCTGTAGCTGGGGACAGCTCCCAAGAATAGGAGAAGTGTCCATTTTGTTTTCACATTGTTACTGGGTAGAGCTGGTGTGTACTCATTAAGCACTGTGTATATTCCCTAATCATACAGGAAGAGGTACTATTATTATCATCATTGTTGTCATCATCATTTTTATTAAATCTGGCATATGTGAAATAATTGTAGTTACAAAAAATCTATTTTAAGTTTGGTTCTGGGATTGTTTTGGCTTTATCAGGGGGCAACATTTTATTTATATGTTTCCACTGGTTCTGCTCAGCCTTGCAAATAATCTAGTTCCCTACCAATCTAGGCCAAATAAAACTGAACGCTAAGCAACAGGTAAGCATGAATATATTGACTGGCCCCTGATTTAAAGTAAAATGTAAGGACGATCCCAGAGTACTTACAACAGATGGAAACATTATGATTATAAATGAACTTTTTAACAGAAAACTTTAAAATCTTAGTTCTTAAGTCATTTATTTCTCTTTACTTTATGTACCTCACTTCCAAGTAAAATAGAGCCAAGAGATGTTGAGGGTGATTTGCCTAAAACCTGATAAATCACTTAAGCATGACTGTGGTCCTTGAACTACTATAGATCAACTCTAATCACATAATATGGTTTAACTCTGTAAAATGTGAGAAGAAGGTCACCTCAGGAGTGCTCTCAGCTCAGAAGAAAACAGAGAGGCCACTATTCACAGGCTTTAAAATCAGACTCACGGTGACATTTACAAGAAGTCTATTTTCCCCAATGTGTATGTTTATTTATTTATGCATATATTTAGGTGTCTATTCTTTGCTAGGTATCATTAAATGCTGAGAATATAGTATTTACCAAGACCTAATCTTTGTTTTCAATGTGCTTAGGGCACAGAAAGATGAGGAAATAACAAAAAGCAAAAATGTGTGAATATTCACAGCCTTTCTTCCCCTTCCCTCTCACCTCTATTTCCCAGCTGAAGGAAGATTCTCACTTGCTTATCATCTCCTCAACCACTAGTATAGCAAAAAGTGACAAGCGTTCAAAGAATGTAGAGAAGCTAAGTTTACCATCATAATAAGGTCTATGTCATAGATGAGGAAAGAAAAAAGGAAAGCCATGTGCACTAGGTGTGGGACAGAGTTTTGGGAAACAGACAAAGAGCAGCAAGAAGACTCACTCGATTTCATTTTGTTGTTCTTGTTGTTTTAAGAATCTTCCACGCAAAAAGAAAGATATTGAGTGTGAGAAAAATATTTTAAACATTTAGATATGTTACGTTTAACATTAAATATTTAATATTAATAATTTGTAAAGGTTTATATTTTATTTCTTTAAGAATGCACCCACGTTACAAGAGTACTCTGGTATTTTTACAAATTAACAAAATTGAATTGCTCCAAACAATTATTATTTACAAAGTAATACTGTCCAGAGACTGGGCCACATGGACCCCCAGTTATATTCCAGTTACATAGACAAATGAGCAATTCTAATCCTGAATTGTAAGTGTTCTGATAAGGGAGGTAAAAGCTACTGTAGCATAAGACAGGGAAAGCAACTGGTGTATCAAAGAAGGATGATTCTTAGGGGAAAAATATCTAAGCTGAGATATGAAGTACAATCATGAAATATTCAGTCAAAACTAGACATGGTTGGGGATCAGGAAATAGAGTCAGAGGGGGCAGTATCATTATAAGAAACTAAGTATTATTCATAATGGCTGGAATAGAGTGTGTGTTGGAGAATAAAGGGTAAAATAACATCGGGGAAGGCATTTTCATTATATAACGTTTTGGTGAGATCTGGAATATAACCTCGGGTTTCCATTAACAAATTCTCTTTCCATCTGTGTAAGATGCACTTCTTCAATGAGGTTGCAGTTTAACTGACTTTAGTGATTAGCCCTCTATGCCAACCAACTTTCATCTATTGGGCCTCAGAGTAGATTGTACATGGAGTAGGTTCAGTAAATAAACAAATTACTTAGTTGATTAGACATTTACTCTGTATCAGACCCTACGCACATATCACCTTCACTTCTTACTATAACCCTAAAAAGGAAGGTATTATTTGTCCTACTTAAGGAATGAATAACTCAAAGATAAGAGAGTCCATTAATTTTCACATCGAAGTGGGGACACAAGATTCATGGTTTTTTCTTCCACTATGCTAGACTGCTTTTAACTGCTATAAAAATGTAAAATCTCCATTTAGCCATGGGATTCAGTAAAAATGCATGTCCACTTTCTCAAGTCTTTCTCACACTCACCCAGTTTTTTGTGTCTTGCTACTTTACTTGTTTGTTAACTCCTAATATTACTTAGTAAGAGTAAAGATATCTTAGAATTTAGGAAGTCTTTGCCACTCCTTGGGAATATTACTTT
Source organism: Homo sapiens (assembly GCF_000001405.40). Classification (NCBI taxonomy): domain Eukaryota; kingdom Metazoa; phylum Chordata; class Mammalia; order Primates; family Hominidae; genus Homo; species Homo sapiens. The sequence goes on from NC_000020.11 coordinate 12,572,953, forward strand.
AATCCTCCTAACATTCAGGACCTCATGTGTAAAATAGGGATTACATTCGTACCTATCTCATGGGATTGCAATTAGAATAATATGATATTACTTAGGAAAATGTAGGCATAAGGACTAAAATAAGGCTGACACCCAGCAATGAATGTTAAATTCCCTTCATCTTTAATGGGAACTTTCTCAAACTCAGTCTTCTTTCATCTTCTTTTATAAGAACTTTGCCCGCATTATCACATTCATACTATCTGAGATGGACCTGAATTCTTAAGTTAACAAAATGCCAATATACTATTACCCTGTGTGTTATATGTACTTGACTACACACCATTTTAAAAACAGTGATTTTTCTTCTCCCTCACTCCCTGAATGAGAACTAACTTCTTTTTACCCTTAACGCTCTGTGGTGGAGGCAATCAAAAGATTTAAACCCTCTAGAAATAACTTCTATGTGACATCGCTTAGAATTCATGACACAGGAGGTGGCTCCAATTCCACCAGAGGTTCCAATCAGCCCTTAGTTCCCATTATCTCCTCCTTTCACTCAGTTAATTATCAAAGGTTGAGTAAAGAGAGAAAATGAACATAAATGGAACATTGTTCCTTTAAGAAACTTCTCCCTGCCATTGCCTTTCAGGTTGATGATTTTGATCTTAAGAATGCACTGTCTCAGAAGGAGGCAGCACGCAGAGACAAATGTCACAGTAAATAATATGTGAATAGTCCCTCGGTACAGCAGGCACCAAGCTCAGACCCCAGGCATTTCTCTTTCACGATGCTCCAGAGGAACTCTTCAGTCTAACATAGCCATATTGCAAGATGAATTGGGGAATCTTTCTTTTCCTGCTGATTGAGCTCTTTCAGTCCGTGACAAGACCAAGCAGAAGATGCCCTGTGGGACTGAGGGTTGGCACAGAATAAAGATATAACCAGCCAACATGACTCAGGAACACAATATCAGGTATTTTTGTCCTGAGAACAACTGCCCAGGAGAAACAAACATATCTATAAACACACCCAAGTGGGGAGTCCCACAGCCAGAAAGTAGAATTAAAAGTTAAGTTTGTGAGAAGAACATGGTTTGAGGATTTAGGTTAGCTTCCCTGGAAGCAGACAGGGGATTCTGAGGCTGAGAAGAGGATTCCAATGCATGTGATTTATTAAGGGAAGACTCTCAGGAGAGGAGGGACGCAGGGTATGACAGGAAGAGTAGCTGAGCAAGGATGTTATCTCTGCTGGAGATTAACCTCAGCCTGATCACACACAGAGATCTGAGCATGAATCAAACCACAGAGTTCATCCCACCTTGAGGCAAGGGGCAAGACATTGTGTAACCTGGCAGGCCACTCCAAAGGTGGTAATGTAGAACCTCCAAGTCAGACAGCTCCCTTACAGAAGAAAGTAGTCTCCAAAGAAGTTGGCAGCCTGGAGCCATCTAACAGCCATCACTCATGGCAACTGGGAGATGGCTACACTTGCTGGATAAAGGGAATCTGGGCAGAGAGCAAAGAGCATCTACTACACTTGGAATAACTTTATTCTTTCATATGTGTGTACCTATGGATGGAGAGGATCTCTCTCTTCCTCTCTCTCTCTCTCTCTCTCTCTCTAATCTATCATTTTGCAATTTACATTAGTCTATCTACCTATGATCTATTTATTTCAGGCTTTCCTTAAATGTTGCTATGTTGCTAAACTTGTAGATTAGTTCCATTTGATTCTATCTACCCAAAGCTATCTTTCTAAATGACATTTTAAAAAGCAAATTGTTTAAAAAGTAGCATAGTTATATGACGAGGTTTTACAATATGTTTTTGGTCCTCTGTTATGCTAGACCAAAAACTTTTTTAAAAAAGAATGAATATTGCATGTCAGCTGATAGAACAGAATTGCATCTCAGCTGTGAGAAGAACATTTTGTCTTTTTAGGCTGTCATAATTAATAGCTTCAGTGTTTGATTTGCGAGGTTTTTCAAGCTACAGAAGATTGTTTCTATATACACGATAAAGCTATTAAACACTGAAATATATTTTCAAAAGCTGCATACAAAAATCAGCTTTAAAACTTTAATATTCGCCACACATGGGCCTGGAAGTAAGGAAGGCATCTGCTATTCTCCTCTCCTCATGGCTATTTTCAAATTATCCTTCTCTTGGCTTTCTAAAAGAGCTAGGTGTTCATTTCAGGTGGTATCAGTAGTCTATTGCCGAAGTAACGCTGCATAGCAAGCCATCCCCAAAGCCAAAGGCTTAACACAATGAGCACGTATTTAGTTCTCAGGCCTGCAGTTTAGCAATTTAAGCTGATGTATTAGTTATATATTGCTGCCTAACAAATTATCCTAAAACTCAGCAGCTTAACACAATACCCATTTATCATTCTCAGTTTGCATGAGTTAGGAATTAGGTGCAGCTTAGGTGAGTCCTCTGGCTCTGGGTGTCTCACGGGTTACAATCAAGGTATTGGCTGAGACAAGGGTCATCTCAACGCTCGACTGGAGGTTGATCCACATTCAAGATCCCTGTTGTGGATGTGGCTGGCTTCAGGTCCTTGCTGGCAGTTTGCTGGAAACATCAGTTCCTTACTATGTGGGCTTCTACAAAGGACTATTCATAGCACAGCAGTTGGCTTTCCCCCAGAACAAGAATCATAGGAGAGGGAGAAAAGAATGAACAAGATAGAAATCACAGTCTTTTATAACTTCTTGGAAGTGACATTCCATCACATTTGCTGTATTCTATTCATTTAAAAACAAGTCCCTAGGTCCAGCCCACATCCAAATAAATGGGGTTACTTAAGTACATGTATACCAGAACCACTGGGAGCCATGCAAGCTGCTGCCTACCACAGCTGGGTTCAGCTGGTTCGTTTCCTCAGGTTAGATTGGTCTTGTCATATATCTGGGAGTCAGCTGGCCTTTGGCTGATCTAGGGTGGCTTTGGCTGTGGTGGTTTGGCTCTGAGCCTTGTTTGTTTTATCCTCTTAAAAAACAGCTGGGGCTTGTTTTCATGATGTTCTCATGGAGTCATGAGAAAAGAAGCAGAAACACCCAAAGCTGCTTGAAGATTAGGCTCAGAACAAGTATGACATCACCTTCTCTGCACTCTGCTGGCCAAAGCAATTCCTGAAACCAACACAGATTCAAGGTGTGGGGAAATAGGTTCTCTCCTTGACAGGAAATGTTGCAGGGTCACATTCAAAAGGACCTGAATACAGGGGCTGGGGGCGCTGAGGAACGGAGGCCACTAATACAATCAAACCAGTTGATTTTATCAGCAGATTGTTTCTCTTACTTTGTACCCTCAAAGCATTCACCCAGCTAGTAGCTATTCCCCTCATAACTTGAAGCTTCTTTTTCCACTCACTGTGACTCTACACAATGCTATTTCTGTTGGATTCTTGGGGCTGTTGATGTCCACAAACATCAGTGTTTTCCATTGGAGTACCATTGTTATTTGAGCAGAGAAAATTCTTCATTTATATGAAACTATTGCTTGGGTGGCAAGGAATTTGACTTCCCTGACTCCTGCCCTCTAAATGCCAATAACACTTCCCAGTTTGAAAATGCTCCAACAGGGAGGGAGGCTTCAAATAAGCAAGTGGAGAGGGCTAGAATGATCCATGTGACATCAGCATCAATTTATGTTTATCTTGATATAGATACATACAGGGACATACAGAAATGTTCAGCTGAGAGAGCCTAGAAGCGGCAGCACACCAGGAGCAAAAAGCAAAATGAGCGCCCAGATCTTTGTTTCTAACACCATTCTCTGAGAAAAGGAACCAGAGTTCTTTGGTGAAATCACTCACCTAGGACTGGCAGAGAAAATATACAAGATGAATCTGGAGCATACTTTAGTACCAGAAAGTAAATGTTAGGAAACAAACAAAAGCCCCACAATGATGGGGGCATGTCAGAAGATCACAGGTGCAAACTGAGAGAGCTCCCAAGGCTGACGCAATTTGTGTAACAAAATAAGTAAGGTAGAATCAGATTATAGCCCAAAGTATAAAATACATATCCATACTGATATAAATACATGATTAAATAAATACACAAATGGAGAAAAATAGACAACCCCCCCAAGTACAAGAATTCCAGATAATTTAGGTAACTACTCTGCACTCAAGCATGACTCCCTACTCCTTCGGTGTGGGCTGAAGATCATGCTTAATCCCAAAGAGTAGAGTATGGAAAGGAAAATAAAAGAGTAAATTTGCAGTGGAGCAACTTGACAGAAACTACCTTAGTCAGGTAACCAAGGTCAACATCAACAGTGATAAGCCATTGTTCATAGCATTTTGCCTTGATATGTGATGAGAATGAAATTTTGCCTCTGTAAAGTGGGTCTGTCTCCACAAAACCCATTAACTCCATTCTAATCTTGAGAAAAAAACAAATCAGACAAATCTCAGTTGAGGGATGTTCTACAAAATACCTAAACGAGTAGTCCCCAAAACTGTCAAGGTCAGCAAAAAAACCAGGAAAGTCTGAAAAGGCAACACAGCTAAGAGGAGCCTAAGAGACATGACAACTAAATGAATGTGGGATCCTGATGGGATCCTGGAGCAGAAGACAGATGTTAGATCAAAACTAAGCAAATATCAATAAAATATAGACTTTAGTTAGTAATAATCTATCAATATTGGTTCATTAATTGTAGCATATATTCCACGCAAATGTAAACTATTAATAATAGGGAAAATTGAGTATTAGATATATGGAAACTATGTACTATCTTAACTTTTCTGAAAATCTAACACTATTATAAAATTAAGTTTATTTTAAAAAATCAACACATTTTCAACCCCACCCACCCACCTCAGGTGAGTGGTAGCACTCTTGTTTGAAAGATACTTGTGTAGAAATTCTTCTGATGCCTGTCAGTCCTATGACCTCCTTTCTGTCCTTCACTCTTGCTCAACCACTCACTCCTGCAGTCACAACCAGACGCTATCATCACCAATAGTACAAATCCTTCATTGTCTCATTTCAAACATCTCTCTCCCTTTTGTGAGCCTCCCCTCTAGTACCAACAATTCTCCACACCTGGGTCAGGACCTTTACCCTACCACCTTTTCACTGCCTCCTCTTGTCCTCATATTTGAATTTACCTATGTTAAGTTGTAGAGTCAATCATTAGAATTGCTCCTTTGGTTATACTCTTAACTCTCTTGTTTCTCTTCTGCTTTGACCTATTATTTTGGCAAAACTCCAGCCCTGATTAAATTGGCCTCCCAACGTATTAATCTTATGTACCCATTTAGCTGAGAACAGCTGGCCTGTAATGTTGCCTGGTAAGAATGCCCTACTTGTCTAGTCAAATTTATTCCCCTTCTCTTCTAGACAACTGTTTCATGTTTCCTCCTCTTCTTAAACCTGCAATATATCTTTCCTTGTCCTCACTTTCAGCTGGTGATATAATTCCTTGTTTCAACGAGAACATTCAAGCATTCAAAAAAGAACTTGCATAAGCTCCCACCATCACAATTACCCACTTACCTGCATCTGTGTCCATTAGCCTGTATTCCCCCCATTACTGTGGAATACTCAACTGGATTTTCAACTAAGGCTAAACTTAGCTTTGGTACTATGTTCTATCTTTCATGCTTTTCCAAAGACATTATTGTAACAGTTTTTCCTCTTTCTTCTGCTTCATCAAAATTTTCCTTTCTACTGGATTTTTCTTGTCAGTGAATCAGTAAGTTGTTTTATTCTCCATCTGAAAAAATACATATATCTCAATCCACTTCCTTCCCCAGGTACAGTGCCATTTGTTTCCTCTTATTTATAGTCAAACTTCTTTTAAAAGTAGCCAGTACTCTTCTAGCTCCACCATTGCTCACTTCTCATTCTCTTTTAAATCCACTCTAATGAGACTTTTTCTCTACTACTCCACGAAGGTCAAACTTCCTCTCTATATTGCCAAACCCTATGGTAGATGCTTGGTAAATATTTATTGACATTTTTCCACAGCTAGCTCAGTCCTCCTTGAAAACTTTTCTTTGACTTCCAGGAATTCACACCTTTAAGGCTTTTTGTCTTATTGGCAGCTTCTTCTCAGCCTCTTGTGCTAGTCCTTGTATCTCTTTAATCTCTTAATTGTGCAAAGTCCCAAAGCTCAGGATGGATACCTCTTCTCAATCCATCTGCGCTTACTCTCTGGTCCTCATTTGGTCTTTGTTTTAAAGACATCTTCACACTAGTGATTCTCAAGTCTATATCTGCAGTCTGTATTTCTACCCTGAACTTCAGACTCATATATACAATTGCTTACCTAAGTCTCCATCTGGATGGCTAATAAGCATCTCAAACCGTACATGTCAAGAACTGACCTCCTTATGTTCTCCTCCCTTCCTCATCCTGATTTTTCTAGAGACTTTCTATCTCAGCAATGGAACACTATCCTTCCAGTTGATCAGTCTAACATGTGGTGTCATCCTTGATCATTTTATTTTACTCACACCTCAAGTCTATGCCATTCAGAAATTCGGTTGGCTCTATCTCCATAACACACCTCAAATCCCACCACTTCCACTTCTACTGTATCTGCTACAACCACGCTGACTTAAGTCACCATCAACTTTTGACTGGATTAGGTTCATAGCTTGTTAGCTAGTTTCCAAGCATCTGATCATGGCCTCTTCAATTTATCCACTACAGAGCTGAGAGTGTGCTGCTGCTAAACAAGTCAGGTCATGTCACTCCTCTGCTCAAAACTGTCTGGTGGGCCCCCATATCCCCTTGAGTTAAAATCCAGGTCATCATCATGGCTTGGAAGCTTATAAAGTAACTTTGGTCAGTTTTTAAAAATGGCTCCCCCTCTCTGCCTTCAGTGCTTTATATGGCTAAACCTTGATAATGTGGCTGGTGCCTTTGTAAGAATGAAAGTGCTCTGACCCCCCACTGGCAGATACCACCCTGCCCCAGAGCTCACACCTCGGCAAGTAGACAGTTGGCTCCCTCAACAGGCATTTTGTGCAGTGCACACACTGCACAGCTGTCCTAGCTCTATTCAGCTGCCTGATCCCTTCCCATTAATTCTCTGCATTCATTCTTCACCAATCTTCACTGCATTCACTCTGACCAATCACACTGCCCTCCTCACTACTCTTTGGACATGACAGACATTCTTTCACCTCAAGAGCTGTTTTCCAAACTCAAATTTCTTTCTCCAGGTATTATCCACAAGGTCCACTCCTTCAGGTCTTTGTTCAAATACCACCATTGCTATGAGGTCTTCCCTAACTCTCCATTTGATATTATAGTTATTTCTTCCTCTACTCTGTATCCCTCTTAAAGTTTTTAAAAATTTTCTTCACAGATATTACCTACCATCTATTTCATATTCCACTTGTGATTTTCTTTCTGCATGTTTGTTGACTGTATTTCTGACCTGAAGGTACACTCCAAGAGGGCAGGAGATTTATTTTACTTTTCGTTGTTGTTAATTGCTGATTCCCCAGGACCTACAGTTCCACATGCTCCATAGTAGGCATTCAAATCCTTATCACATAAATGAAGATATAGAAAGAGGCTTTTTTCTTTTTCCATTTTTACTTTAGAATCAAGGGGTACATGGGCAGGTTTGTTGCTTGGGTATATTGCAGGATGCTGAGGTATGGAATATGATTGAACTCATCACCTAGGTAGTGAACACAGTATCCAATAGGTAGCTTTCAGCCTTTGCCCCGTCTGTCTCTCCCACTTCTTTTTTTTTTTTTTTTTTGAGACAGAGTTTCACTCTTGTTACCCAGGCTGGACTGCAATGGCGCAATCTCAGCTCACTGCAACCTCCACCTCCCAGGTTCAAGCACTTCTCCTCCCTGAGCCTCCCCAGTAGCTGGGATTACAGGCACCCACCACCACGCCCGGCTAATTTTTGTATTTTTAGTAGAGATGGGGTTTCACCACGTTGGCCAGGCTAGTCTCGAACTCGTGACCTCAGGTGATCCATCCGCATCAGCCTCTCAATGTGCTGGAATTACAGGCATAAGCCACTGTGCCCGGTCTGTCTCTCCCACTTCTAGTGGCCCCCAGTGTCTATTGTTCCCATCTTTGTGTCCGTGTAACCCAATGTTTAGCTCCCACTTACAATGAGAACATGTGGCATTTGGTTTTCTGTGTTAGTTCACTTAGACAATATACCACTTCTCATACAAAAACTAGCCAGGCATGGTGGCAGGCACCTGTAATCCCAGCTACTTGGTAGACTGAGGCAGGAGAATCACTTGAACCTGGGAGGCAGAGGTTGTAGTGAGCCAAGATCAACCCGCTGCATTCCAGCCTGGGCAACAGAGTGAGACTCTATCTCAAAAAAAAAAAAAAAAAAAGAATGTACCACTTCTCTCTCTGACCTATTTCTCCTCCACTAATCAATATTTATTTCCTTTCCTCACATTCTAGTTATTCCTGAATGTAGGTTCTCGAGTTCTTCTTCCAAATGCATACTTACTATCTGCCATGCACATCCATTGACCTCACTCATATATTTTTTCTCCATTGCTCAAAGATTTCCAGATCAAACACTCACATAGTATGATTAATTGGAGGAAAGCTTCTACTACATAAATATTGTATTGGAAAACAATAAAGATGGAGACATTTAATCTTTTAAGCCCAGCACATATATCTGTTTGTAAAATTAACTCTCCAAAGAGAGTGAGAAGTGTAAACCAAATGGTATTTTAGGATGATTTCAAAAATAGCAGAGGAGCCTCAGTGAATCATGAATATAATGGTTGTTTCTGTTGATGTATAATTAAACATTAAGCAACCCCAATTGTTATAAGAGACATTTAACTGAAATCCATCGGCTTCAAAGGCACAAAGAAGTGCGTTCTTCTGCACAGTACTGCATTTTCCTCTTTGGTTATAAAATGTTAACTGGGGAAATGTGAGCTCTTTATTATCTTTGGCAAACATAATTTTCCTTTTCTGTCAAGTGACTGTAATGTCATTTTCTTGGTAACACCTCTGGCCTTGGAAAGTTTGGCTTAACTTTATTGATCTCTTTATACATTTACAACAAAACAAACATATTTTGTTTGTAGAAATATGTCATTTGTTGCTCTTTGTTTGAGCTCAGCTGGCGAATGGGATGAGAAACCGAATTTTAAGAAAAGAACAACAGTGCCATTTGAACAGCTGCAGGAATGGATCTCTGAAGCAAACAGCTGGGCCACATAATATGTCTCAGACTGAGCTCCTTTGGCCTCAAATTGGGGCCTGAAAATAAAAGAGAAGGGCCTGAGAGACGGGTGATGTGGAGCTGGAAGCTTGCATTTTAGTTGTCAAATTCATAGCATGTTCATGCCAAATTGAATCCTATTACTTTCCATGAGTTAGAATGGCAGGTTTTTAAAGCTACTTCTGAGTTTCAAAAAGTTACCACTGTCAAAGTCATTCAGGCCATACAGGGATAGAAGATATTCTTTCTACACCTATCCCAGAAAACAGTGATTTCATGCCTTGTACCAGTTACAAACATGCCCAGTAACAAGGAAGTCCATAAACCACCTGATTTCTGTCCACCAAATGAGCTATCAAGAAACAGCCTCGGGGAGGAGCCAAGATGGCCGAATAGGAACAGCTCCGGTCTACAGCCCCCAGCATGAGCGACACAGAAGATGGGTGATTTCTGCATTTCCATCTGAGGTACTGGGTTCATCTCACTAGGGAGTGCCAGACAGTGGGCACAGGTCAGTGGGTGTGCGCACCGTGCGCGAGCCGAAGCAGGGCGAGACACTGCCTCACTTGGGAAGCGCAAGGGGTCAGGGAGTTCCCTTTCCGAGTCAAAGAAAGGGGTGACGGACGCACCTGGAAAATCGGGTCACTCCAACCCGAATACTGTGCTTTTCTGACCGGCTTAAAAAATGGTGCACCATGAGATTATATCCCGCACCTGGCTCGGAGGGTCCTACGCCCATGGAGTATCCCTGATTGCTAGCACAGCAGTCTGAGATCAAACTGCAAGGCTGCAGTGAGGCTGGGGGAGGGGCGCCCGCCATTACCCAGGCTTGCTTAGGTAAACAAAGCAGCCAGGAAGCTCGAACTGGGTGGAGCCCACCACAGCTCAAGGAGGCCTGCCTGCCTCTGTAGGCTCCACCTCTGGGGGCAGGGCACAGACAAACAAAAAGACAGCAGTAACCTCTGCGGACTTAAATGTCCCTGTCTGACAGCTTTGAAGAGAGCAGTGGTTCTCCCAGCACGCAGCTGGAGATCTGAGAACGGGCAGACTGCCTCCTCAAGTGGGTCCCTGACCCCTGAACCCCAAGCAGCCTAACTGGGAGGCACCCCCCAGCAGGGGCACACTGACACCTCACAAGGCAGGGTATTCCAACAGACCTGCAGCTGAGGGTCCTGTCTGTTAGAAGGAAAACTAACAAACAGAAAGGACATCCACACCAAAAACCCATCTGTACATCACCATCATCAAAGACCAAAAGTAGATAAAACCACAAAGATGGGGAAAAAACAGAACAGAAAAACTGGAAACTCTAAAAAGGAGAGCGCCTCTCCTCCTCCAAAGGAACGCAGTTCCTCACCAGCAATGGAACAAAGCTGGATGGAGAATGACTTTGACGAGCTGAGAGAAGAAGGCTTCAGACGATCAAATTACTCTGAGCTACGGGAGGACATTCAAACCAAAGGCAAAGAAGTTGAAAACTTTGAAAAAAATTTAGATGAATGGATAACTAGAATAACCAATACAGAGAAGTGCTTAAAGGAGCTGATGGAGCTGAAAACCAAGGCTCAAGAACTACGTGAAGAATGCAGAAGCCTCAGGAGCTGATGCGATCAACTGGAAGTAAGGGTATCAGCAATGGAAGATGAAATGAATGAAATGAAGTGAGAAGGGAAGTTTAGAGAAAAAAGAATAAAAAGAAACAAACAAAGTCTCCAAGAAATATGGGACTATGTGAAAAGACCAAATCTACATCTGATTGGTGTACCTGAAAGTGATGGGGAGAATGGAACCAAGTTGGAAAACACTCTGCAGGATATTATCCAGGAGAACTTCCCCAATCTAGCAAGGCAGGTCAACGTTCAGATTCAGGAAATACAGAGAACGCCACAAAGATACTCCTTGAGAAGAGCAACTCCAAGACACATAATTGTCCGATTCACCAAAGTTGAAATGAAGGAAAAAATGTTAAGGGCAGCCAGAGAGAAAGGTCGGGTTACCCACAAAGGGAAGCCCATCAGACTAACAGCAGATCTCTCGGCAGAAACCCTACAAGCCAGAAGAGAGTGGGGGCCAATATTCAACATTCTTAAAGAAAAGAATTTTCAACCCAGAATTTCATATCCAGCCAAACTAAGCTTCATAAGTGAAGGAGAAATAAAATACTTTACAGACAAGCAAATGCTGAGAGATTTTGTCACCACCAAGCCTGCCCTAAAAGAGCTCCTGAAGGAAGCACTAAACATGGAAAGGAACAACCGGTACCAGCCGCTGCAAAATCATGCCAAAATGTAAAGACCATCGAGACTAGGAAGAAACTGCATCAACTAACGAGCAAAATAACCAGCTAACATCATAATGACAGGATCAAATTCACACATAACAATATTAACGTTAAATGTAAATGGACTAAATGCTCCAATTAAAAGACACAGACTGGCAAATTGGATAAAGAGTCAAGACCCATCAGTGTGCTGTATTCAGGAAACCAATCTCACGTGCAGAGACAGCCATAGGCTCAAAATAAAAGGATGGAGGAAGATCTACCAAGCAAATGGAAAACAAAAAAAGGCAGGGGTTGCAATCCTAGTCTCTGATAAAACAGACTTTAAACCAACCAAGATCAAAAGAGATAAAGAAGGCCATTACATAATGGTAAAGGGATCAATTCAACAAGAAGAGCTAACTCTCCTAAATATATATGCACCCAATACATGAGCACCCAGATTCATAAAGCAAGTCCTGAGTGACCTACAAAGAGACTTAGACTCCCACACATTAATAATGGGAGACTTTAACACCCCACTGTCAACATTAGACAGATCAATGAGACAGAAAGTAAACAAGGATACCCAGGAATTGAACTCAGCTCTGCACCAAGCAGACCTAATAGACATCTACAGAACTCTCCACCCCAAATCAACAGAATATACATTTTTTTCAGCACCACACCACACCTATTCCCAAATTGACCACACAGTTGGAAGTAAAGCTCTCCTCAGCAAATGTAAAAGAAATTATAACAAACTATCTCTCAGAACACAGTGCAATCAAACTAGAACTCAGGATTAAGAATCTCACTCAAAACTGCTCAACTACATGGAAACTGAACAACCTGCTCTTGAATGACTACTGGGTACATAAAGAAATGAAGGCAGAAATAAAGATGCTCTTTGAAACCAAGGAGAACAAAGACACAACATACCAGAATCTCCGGGACGCATTCAAAGCAGTGTGTAGAGGGAAATTTATAGCACTAAATGCCCACAAGAGAAAGCAGGAAAGATCCAAAATTGACACCCTAACATCACAATTCAAAGAACTAGAAAAGCAAGAGCCAATACATTCAAAAGCTAGCAGAAGGCAAGAAATAACTAAAATCAGAGCAGAACTGAAGTAAATAGAGACACAAAAAACCCTTCAAAAAATTAATGAATCCAGGAGCTGGTTTTTTGAAAGGATCAACAAAATTGATAGACTGCTAGCAAGACTAATAAAGAAAAAGAGAGAGAAGAATCAAATAGACGCAATAAAAAATGATAAAGGGGATATCACCACCGATCCCACAGAAATACAAACTACCATCAGAGAATACTACAAACACCTCTATGCAAATAAACTAGAAAATCTAGAAGAAATGGATAAATTCCTCAACACATACACTCTCCCAAGACTAAACCAGGAAGAAGTTGAATCTCTGAATAGACCAATAACAGGATCTGAAATTGTGGCAATAATCAATAGCTTACCAACCAAAAAGAGTCCAGGACCAGATGGATTCACAGCCGAATTCTACCAGAGGTACAAGGAGGAGCTGGTACCATTCCTTCTGAAACTATTCCAATCAATAGAAAAAGAGGGAATCCTGCCTAACTCATTTTATGAGGCCGGCATCATTCTGATACCAAAGCTGGGCAGAGACACAACCAAAAAAGAGAATTTTAGACCAATATCCTTGATGAACATTGATGCAAAAATCCTCAATAAAATACTGGCAAACCGAATCCAGCAGCACATCAAAAAGCTTATCCACCATGATCAAGTGGGTTTCATCCCTGGGATGCAAGGCTGGTTCAATATACTCAAATCAATAAATGTAATCCAGCATATAAACAGAGCCAAAGACAAAAACCACATAAGTATCTCAATAGATGCAGAAAAGGCCTTTGACAAAATTCAACAACCCTTCATGCTAAAAACTCTCAATAAATTAGGTATTGATGGGACGTATTTCAAAATAATAAGAGCTATCTATGACAAACCCACAGCCAATATCATACTGAATGGGCAAAAACTGGGAGCATTCCCTTTGAAAACTGGCACAAGACAGGGATGCCCTCTCTCACCACTCCTATTCAACATAGTGTTGGAAGTTCTGGCCAGGGCAATTAGACAGGAGAAGGAAATAAAGGGTATTCAATTAGGAAAAGAGGAAGTCAAATTGTCCCTGTTTGCAGATGACATGATTGTATATCTAGAAAACCCCATTGTCTCAGCCCAAAATCTCCTTAAGCTGATAAGCAACTTCAGCAAAGTCTCAGGATATAAAATCAATGTACAAAAATCACAAGCATTCTTATGCACCAACAACAGACAAACAGAGAGCCAAATCATGAGTGAACTCCCATTCACAATTGCTTCAAAGAGAATAAAATACCTAGGAATCCAACTTACAAGGGATGTGAAGGACCCCTTCAAGGAGAACTACAAACCACTGCTCAAGGAAATAAAAGAGGAGACAAACAAATGGAAGAACATTCCATGCTCATGGGTAGGAAGAATCAATATTGTGAAAATGGCCATACTGCCCAAGGTAATTTGCAGATTCAATGACATCCCCATTAAGCTACCAATGCCTTTCTTCACAGAATTGCAAAAAACTACTTTAAAGTTCATATGGAACCAAAAAAGAGCCCGCATCGCCAAGTCAATCCTAAGCCAAAAGAACAAAGCTGGAGGCATCACACTACCTGACTTCAAACTATACTAAAAGGCTACAGTAACCAAAACAGCATGGTACTGGTACCAAAACAGAGATATAGATCAATGAAACAGAACAGAGCCATCAGAAATAAAGCCGCATATCTACAACTATCTGATCTTTGACAAACCTGAGAAAAACAAGCAACGGGGAAAGGATTCCCTATTTAATAAATGGTGCTGGGAAAACTGGCTAGCCATATGTAGAAAGCTGAAACTGGATCCCTTCCTTACACCTTATACAAAAATCAATTCAAGATGGATTAAAGACTTAAACGTTAGACCTAAAACCATAAAAACCCTAGAAGAAAACCTAGGCATTACCATTCAGGACATAGGCATGGGCAAGGACTTCATGTCTAAAACACTAAAAGCAATGGCAACAAAAGCCAAAATTGACAAATGGGATCTAATTAAACTAAAGAGCTTCTGCACAGCAAAAGAAACTACCATCAGAGTGAACAGGCAACCTACAACATGGGAGAAAATTTTCGCAACCTACTCATCTGACAAAGGGCTAATATCCAGAATCTACAATGAACTCAAACAAATTTACAAGAAAAAAACAAACAACCCCATCAGAAAGTGGGCGAAGGATGTGAACAGACACTTCTCAAAAGAAGACATTTATGCAGCCAAAAGACACATGAAAAAATGCTCATCATCACTGGCCATCAGAGAAATGCAAATCCAAACCACAATGAGATACCATCTCACACCAGTTAGAATGGCAATCATTAAAAAGTCAGGAAACAACAGGTGCTGGAGAGGATGTGGAGAAATAGGAACACTTTTACACTGTTGGTGGGACTGTAAACTAGTTCAAACATTGTGGAAGTCAGTGTGGCGATTCCTCAGGGATCTAGAACTGGAAATACCATTTGACCCAGCCATCCCATTACTGGGTATATACCCAAAGGACTATAAATCATGCTGCTATAAAGACACATGCACACGTATGTTTATTGCGGCACTATTCACAATAGCAAAGACTTGGAACCAACCCAAATGTCCAACAATGATAGACTGGATTAAGAAAATGGGGCACATATACACCATGGGATACTTTGCAGCCATAAAAAAGGATGAGTTCATGTCCTTTGTAGGGACATGGATGAAATTGGAAATCATCATTCTCAGTAAACTATTGCAAGAACAGAAAACCAAACACCGCATATTCTCAGTCATAGGTGGGAATTGAACAATGAGATCACATGGACACAGGAAGGGAATATCACACTCTGGGGACTGTGGTGGGGTGGGGGGAGGGGGGAGGGATAGCATTGGGAGATATACGTAATGCTAGATGACGAGTTAGTGGGTGCAGCGCACCAGCATGGCACATGTATACATATGTAACTAACCTGCACAATGTGCACATGTACCCTAAAACTTTAAGTATAATAAAAAAAATAAATAAAAAACAAAAAAACACAGCCTCATCATGACTGACACTTTTGATTGACACCAATTTACGTAAGAGCTATTTTCCTCTTTAAGGGCTCTTAGCATATTCAAATAGTATTTCTTGTGTCCATCTAAGTAGCAAAATATGTTTATTAACTTTTAGAGACACGTCTTTTCAAATTAAAAAAGGTATACTTATTTAAACACTTAAGGTGTCATTGTTTTATCTTAACCATTCACCTCCTCCCACCCATGTTAACATGTATTAGTCCGTTCTTGAACTGCTATAAAGAAATACTTACGACTGGGAAATTTACAAAGAAAAGAGGTTTTATTGGCTCATGGTTCTGCAGGCTATACAGGAAGAAAAGCAGCTTCCGCTCGGCTGCTGGGGAAGCCTCAGAAAACTTTTACTCAAGGCGAAGGCAAAGCCAGAGCAGTCACATCACATGGCCCAAGCAGGAAAGAGAAAAAGTCGGGAGGTGCCACTCACTTTTAAACCAACAAGATCGCCTGGCGCGGTGGCTCACGCCTGTAATCCCAGCACTTTAGGAGGCCGAGGCGGGTGGATCACGAGGTCAGGAGTTGGAGACCAGCCTGACCAACATGGCAAAACCCCATCTTTACTAAAAATACAAAAAAATTAGCTGGGCTTGGTGGTGCGCGTCTATAATCCCAGCTACTTGGGAGGCTGAGGCAGGAGAACTGCTTGAACCCAGGAGGTGGAGGTTGTAGTGAGCCGAGATCGTGCCACTGCACTCCAGCCTGGGTGACAGAACGAGACTGCCTCAAAAAAATAAATAAAAAATAAAATAAAGTAAAACAACCAGATCTCAGGATAACTCACTCACTATCACAGGATAGGGCACCAAGCGGATGGCGCTAAACCATTCATGAGAACTCTGCCCCCGTGATCCAGTCACCTCCCACTAGGCCCCACCTCCAACACTGGGGATTACAATTCAACATGAGATTTGGTGGGGACACAGATCCAAACTATATCATCACCACTCTTAAAGACATGCTATTGGGAGGCCGAGGCGGGTGGATCACCTGAGGTCAGGAGTTCGAGACCAGCCTGGCCAACATGATGAAACCTCATCTCTACTAAAAATAGAAAAAATTAGCTGGGCGTAGTGGTGCACGCCTGTAATCCCAGTTACTCAGGAGTCTGAGGCAGGAGAATCGCTTGAACCCAGAAGGCAGAGGTTGCAGTGAGCCAAGATCGCGCCACTGCACTCCAGCCTGGGCAACAAGAGCAAAACTCCATCTCAAAAAAAAAAAAAAAAAAAAAGGAAGACATGCTAAATATTTTCTTTTTTTTCAGGCAGAAACTTCAATTAATACACTGAATGTTCTTTTACTATCAAATGCAGAAACTAGAAACCAGAACATTCAATTATTTAAAAACAAAACAAAACATACAAAGTCACAGAAACCCAACTACTCAGCCCATATCTCTGACCTGGCCATGCAAGTAAGAAATTTGTCCACTTTCTTCATGGCCCTTTTTGCTTCTGCCAGTGTGTGAGGTTTGTGAGGTCTGTTTGATTTCCTTTCCTACACGCAGGCAAAGCGGGTTAACACCAATGTCAATGGATGCTGTGTTAGGCTGTTGTTGTGTTGCTATAAAGAAATACCTGAAGCTGGGTAATTTATAAAGAAAAGAGCCTTAGGCTGGGCACAGTGGCTCATGCCTGTAATCCCAGCACTTCGGGAGGCTGAGGTGGGTGGATCACTTGAGGTCAGGAGTTCGAGATCAGCCTGACCAACATAATGGAATCCTGTCTCTACTAAAAATACAAAAATTAGCCACGTGTGGTGGTGTGTGCCTGTAATCCCAGCTACTTGGGAGGCTGAGGCAGGAGAATCACTTGAACCCAGGAGGCAGAGGTTGCAGTGAGCCGAGATTGTGCCAATGGCCTCCAGCCTGGGCGACAGAGCAAGACTTTTTCAAAAAAAAGCAAGCAAGCAAGAGAGAGAGAAGGAAGGAAGGAAGGGAGGGAGGGAGGAAGGAAGGAAGGAAGGAAAGAAGGAAAGAAGGGAGAGAAAGAAAAGAGCTTTAATTGACTCGTGGTTCTGCAGGCTGCACAGGAAGTGTGGTATCTCCTTCTCATGAGGGCCTCAGGAAGCTTACAATCATTCAAGAAGCCAAAGGTGGAGCCAGTGTGTTAGATGGTGAGAGTGGGAGCAAGAGAGAGAAGAGGAGCAGCCAGGGTTGTTTCAACAACCAGCTCTCCTGTGAACTGAGGAAGAACCCACTTGTCACTAAGGAGATAGTGCTAAATGATTCATGAGGGATCCACCCTATGATCCAATCACCCCCAACCAGGCCCGACCTCCAACACTGGAAATTACATTTCAACATGAGATTTAGAGGGGACAAATATCGAGACTATAGCAGATGGTGTTTTTTCCAAAAGTTTTCTTTGCTGAGTTTAAAAAGTGATGTATACAATATATCCTTAGAGACTTCATAATGATCCTTAGCATAGCAGAGTTTTTGAGAAGTCCAACAACAATTATTTAACTTTGTTTCACCCTGCAACTCTCACACTTTCTTAAGCAAAAACTTTTTTCCACAGTAGGATCCCCTCTTCTGGTAGCTGGGAGAAAATCACCTAGGAATGTACGAGACTCAGGCTTTTACTCCTAGTAGGACAAGAAACTATTGGAGGGTTTTTAACAGAGGAAGGACTTGATTTCTTAGGATTTATAGGGCCCACCTGGCTTCTGCATGAGCTGTGACTGAGGGAAACACAAAGGCAGAACATGATTTAGGAGGCTAGTGCACTCATACAGGTGAGCAAACAACTGTTAATTTGAACCAGGTGGTAAAGGTATAGCTGATGAGAGGAGATCATTTCCCAGATGCATTTGAAAGGCAGAGCTTTCAATATTTTTTGACAGATGGAATATGTGGTATGAGAGAGATGACTCCAAGGTTTTTTTCTCCCCAAGCAAAGGGAAGACTCTATGAGGAGCAGATTGGAGTATTTAGAAGTAAATCATGAATGTCATTTCGGAGATGTTAACTTTAAAATGACAATTAGCATTTCAACAATAGCCAGGACAGTCTCTGAAATCCTCTCTCTGAACTTGAGGTAGTTCAGTGCAGTGCCTATCAACCCTGGCAGCACATTAGAATTGCTTGAGGATATTTAAAAATTCTGATGCTCAGGATGCTACCAAACAAATTACCTAAATATCTCTGGGGTGGATTAAGCCACTGGTGTTTTTGAAACCCTCCAGGTGATCCCAGTGTGTGACAAGGGTTGAGAACCACTGGTTCAGAGGCATCAGTGGTTTCAGGTTTGAAAGGTCATGACACTCTTTACTGTTTGTCAGGACAAAGCATATGCATGCTTCCTGGATGTATGGAAATTGGAAACAAGGCAGGCACTATGGCTAGGAAATAGATAATTCCCAGGTTTACTCTCACTCTTCAGGCACACTCCCTTCAGTCTCTTTAAGTTTCTGGAAATGTCTAGCCTTCTTCCTTAAGGCAGTTGTTTTACACATTCTTCACTTAAATTAGGCAGCATTCATGGTGCCTGGACTCCTGGCTCAGAGCCAGAGCCTTTTCTCCTGGTCTCTGGAGAACCATGACAACAATCCATTACTGAGCTACCTGAGAATGTAAGAGCACTTCAGAGCTGCCCTCACAGCCCAGCCAGGAGTAGCTACAGTTGAAGCCAATCTGAAAGCAGCAGGAATTCAACAGCTCTGGATGAAGGGAAGAGACGACCAGGAGCATTGCAAAATAAGAGAGTGGAAGGGACTCTTGGTCAAAGTGGAAGAGTCCTTAGGGAGAAGCTCTTGGAACTGCCCTCAGTGAAACCAACACAAACATGTATGATGTTTGATTGCCTGAGTCCTCATGTGAACACATCCAAACATATCACAACACACACTTAACACACAGGCCACTCATATACACACAAAATATACACCACATCCCCCACATCACACACCCCTGTCATCCACTGCCCCTCCCATATCAAACATCTCCGGTAAGCATGTCAATGGGCTCATTCACTCTGTAGATGAATGAGGGTTAAGTTTGTAATGGGCTTTCTGTGCCCCCAGAAAATTTGTAATTTAACTGGGGGACACACATTGCCTGATGAACTTTGAAATTTGAGGTGTCATGTCCCAGTCTCCTTCCAAGTCCCCCCAAAGCTGATTATTTAGGCACTGACATACCCTGTCCACCTACAAAGCCACTCTTGAGTAAGGGAGGAATCAAGGTGGAAGAAAGCCCTCAAAACCCCTTTGCCCAGGGGAAAATTTTGTTTAAGGCACTGACTATTAACTCAGACCTCAGTAAAAGCCCTAAGGGGACAGTGATTCTTCTGCCCAAGTGCAACACGTGCTGTCAGTGCCTACCCACATCCCAAGTCCTTATCTGTCAGTGAACAGAAGCTCAACTTTCAAAGCCCAGGATCTGCATTTCTTGGCCTGAGGGCTTTCTCTAGACTAAGAAGGCTTCTTTGCCTGCTTCTGTACCAAGCTAGTAGTTGACACCACCAACAAGCAACTCTCTTCCTGTGACTGACAGCGAGGCATGCTCTGCACGGGTCTTCTAGAATTCCCCATCGGGATTGAGCCCCAGTTGTCTACAGTGGTGACTGGCTTGAGCAAATACTCTTCATTGACTGCATTCTTTTCTCTGGCTCACTTTCCCATACCCCTACCAATGCTTTCTGGGATTACCTCTCAGATAATCTATCTGCACTGAAATTCTTACTCGGGGTCAGCCTCTATAGAACCCCTACTAAGACACCAGGAAAGGGGGAAGTCCTCTGCAAGCATACGTGACAAAAGAAAGACAAAGTTCAGTTTGTCAAAAGGGACCAGAGTCACAAATATGTTTACAAAAACTCTGTCCTGTTACCTATACTTGATTTACAATGACCACTTGGGAAATTTGCCTCTTTGCTGGGGTAGGGACCTGACTGACCATGTAAAGGGGAAACAGATGCACTCAGCCTGCGGCCTCACACATCTGCTGGATGAGCAACGACTATAATTTGCCAGGAGGAGACAATAAAAAAATTCACATAAAACTTTTTATTGTGTAAGTGACACTGGTTATTGTAGTCGGCAATCAGAAAGTTACCCCGAGGACAGAACTTTTCTGCCTATTAATGTAGAGAAAATGGCTAGCCTGCTTCCCACGTCTCAGAATATAACACTGGAGATGCTAGGATTCATTCCAGAGGAGTTATGATACCAGCAAAATACAAAAAGGATGTAGCAAATGTGTGTTACAGTAAAGATCATAAAATAAAATCCAAGCATTTCAGAGCTCTTGGGGCAAATTGAATCCATGGGAATTGAAAAATAAATGGCTTGAAAAAAAGTATGCTCTTTTTACAGAGAACAGGAAAATAATATATTTCTCCTTTTTATGAAGAGTAAGCTCTTCTGGCCCCAAAACTGTAACTGAGATATTTCCTAACATATAAAAACATTATTTTATAAGGACTCACCCACAGTTTTGGTATTTGTAATCAGGTTTTAGTCTAAAGGTTTCCTTTTCAGCGTGGACAGATGCCAACACAGGAATACAATTTGTAAATAATGAGAGTAATCAGTATCCTCCTCTATTTGCCCCCATCATCCAACCTCCCGTTTGATACTGACGCTCCCTCCTGCAGATTCAGCCTCTGTGGGAGCAGCCAGGGTGCCAGCGTCTTCACCTACTCCATACCCTCCATTCCAACACAGCTCTAGAAGGCTCTGCATTCACCGCAGGGTGTGGGAGAGCTTGGGATGATGAAGGGGTCAGTTTTACAACATTA
Organism: Homo sapiens; assembly: GCF_000001405.40. Taxonomy (NCBI): domain Eukaryota; kingdom Metazoa; phylum Chordata; class Mammalia; order Primates; family Hominidae; genus Homo; species Homo sapiens. Next base: position 12,594,329 of record NC_000020.11, read on the forward strand.
GCATCATCAATAAACCTTAAATATTTGAGGAAAGGGGTCTATTCTGAGGTATCTTTTAGCCCAACCCAAGCGCTATAACAAAGACTAGCATTTGCATCTGCTTTTATACCCCAAGTCTTGATATTTAACAAAATTAAAAAAAAAATAGTGCTCATATCACAACCTAATGCATGTTAGTGGAGGGGCAAAGGGACCTAGTTTATGCAGTCACACAGGGATCTAGGCTGCCCCTGTATATTGGTTCTACAATGTCCTAGGACATAGGTCAGCAAGCATTATGTTTAAAGAGCCAGAGAGTAAATATTTTCAGATTTGTGAGGCATATAGTCTCTGTTTCAACTACTGCCACTATAGTGTGAAAGCCTCCATAAATAATACATGAACAAACGGCCATAGCTGCATAGCAATAAAACGTTATTTATAAAAACAAAAGGCCAGCCCACAGGATGTAGTATGCAGACTTCTGAACTAGGATCTTGAAGCTCTCTACTGCCTCTGGTCAGCAGACAAGGAAAAAGGGAGAGTGGAGGATCAGGATTCTGTGGGAGATATTTTTAGGGACCAGACATGGAATAAGCAGTAACACTTTACCCTCATTTCATTGGTCAGATCATGTGGCCTCAGCAACTGCAAGGGAGCTTGGGAAATGTAGTTTAACTGTATGTCCAGAATGTGATGAAAGAATTTTGCCTGCAATTGTACAGTACAATGTGTGAGAGAAGCATGACATAAGCAATTTCAGAAAGCCAACTACTTGGACTTAAGAATGCTCCATGTTTCCATGTGGATGAATTCTGCAAATCTTAATTAGGAATTAAAAGGGATCTGGCTGGACTTCTGATTATTAAAAAAAAATCTGCTAATACATTCATATATAGAAATAATAAATATTTCTTTTTAAAAGTTCATAATTCTTACTTTCTTTATGAACATTGGTCTTCCCCCAAATACTATTAAATTTACAAGATTCGACTGCATCCATGAGCTTGGCTAATAAATCAAGTTTAGTTTTCTTATGTAGCTTTAGAGGCAATATTATCAAATTCAGAGTTTTATTTCCCTCCAATAATACTTCAGATTGATTATTTTCACAGAATCTGAAAATGTAACATAATTATTTTTTACCATTCAAGGTGTGAAAGGAGACTAGATTTAGTAGCATTAGCAAACCCAAGGGGCTGAAAGGATACAAATGCAATTTCATCAGACACTCTTGCTATGAGAAAAAGAATTTTTAAAAATTCACTGTAATTGTTCTGGTGTCTGGTTTGGGTCAGAATAAGTAAAAGACAAAGAAATAAATCTAAAGCTCTTGTCTTCATTTTTCAGCCCTCACGCCTTCTAATGAGGCAGAGCTGTGCAGATAAATCTAAAATTTTAATAAGGAAAAATGAAAAATATATGTAGTTGGTGCTGCAGTGCCCTTCTAAGTCACCCTGAAATTTTTAAAGTTATTGTGATTTTTTCTGGATTCTAGATATATTTTGTATATAGTGAAAGTAACTTGCACCAAATATCAAACTACACTTAAAATTGCATTGGTTTATTTTGTTGTTTTGTTTTTTAGATGCTGATGCTTTTTTCTTTCTTTTGCCAATGATGTTGGCTTCTGGTGGGCAGTAGTTCTGAAAGTTTAGCATGCATAAGAATCACCTGGGAGGCTTCTTAAATACAGGTTCCTGAGCCTCACACTCAGGAAGTCAGCAGATCTGCGGTCAGGCCTGAGAATCTGCATTTGTAACAAGCTTCCAGTGATGCTGATGCTGCTGGTCTGGGGCCAAACTCTGATTAACACAGAATCAAAGGTCGTTCCATTGGAAACCCAACTCAAGCTGATTTAGTAAATAGGAAATATATAGGCTTGCAGGAGCTAAAAATTCAGGCTGCCAGTCTGTCTTTAGTCACTATGAACTCCATCAGCTCAAATGAGATCCCGAGGGTCCAGCTTTTCTCTCTTTCTCTTGCAGCTCATTTCCCCTGTGTTGATATTTCTCTCATGGCCACAAATGGATTCTGATGCTCCAGACCTTACGTTCCATGTTTCCAAGCCCAACAGACAAAACAGACTTTTCTCCCATCAACCGATGAAAATTGTTTCTATTATTGGTTATAAATGAGTCACACATTTGTCTTGAGCCAGTCCCCGTTTTCAATGTAACCCTAGGGATGCGATATCCAACCAGTTTAAATTAATCTGGACCTACCCTTGGATTTACATCCGCAAGCACCTGCCTTGTCTGTTTCTTGTTTGTTTGTTTGCTTCAGGGGTCTCTCCAAAGCAAGGAGAGGTCTCTCAGCTTGAGCTTAGTTGCAGCCTTGGCATGCATGGGGTTGATGCCGTTAGAGCAACTCCTAATCAATGGGGGATGGAGTTCATGGATAGATGTCCCATCTCCCATCTTTCAGAAGGACAGTTATTAAGTGCATTTAATATATAATGTTTCTTATAATGTCCCAGTAGGAGTCTGTTCCAGCTGTCCACTCTGGAAACCTGTGCTATGATAGACCTTGCACAGACGTTTCCTTTTCTCCTGTCTCTATCTCTTCACTCTTTCACCCTGCTTCTGGAATTACCTGCCAAATAAACTCTCTGTATCTAATCTTTTTCTTTACCTAAATGAACTGTAGTTTCCTCATTCATTGATAATATCCACAGATTGGGCTTCTTTTACATCGGAAAAAATATTAAAGAACCTAAATACCAATATACTCAATACATGGTCTTCATTTTTATCACTGACTTGGCATATTTCATTATCTCTGCATTAGTTTCCTAAGGCTGCCATTACAAAGTACTATACCACAAACTGGGTGATTTAAGATAACCAAAATTTATTGTCTCACAATTCTGGGGGCTAGAAGTCCAAAATCAAGGCATCAGCAGGCCCATGCTCTCTCTGAAACCGATAGCAGGGAATGCTTCATTGCCACTTCCTAGCATCTGGTGGTGGTTGCAGAGATTGGAGCATTCCTTGATTTACAGCTCATGGCTCCAATCTCTGCTGTCTTCACATAGTTTTCTCCTTGAGTCTGTGTTTTGCCTTGACTACCTTCCCATCTTATAAGGACAACAGTCATACTGGATAAAGGGGCCATCCTAATCACCTCATCTTAACTTGGTTATATCTGCAAAGATCCTGTTTCTTAATAAGGTCACATTTATAGAAACCAAGGGATAGAGTATATCTTTTGGGAAAATACAATTTAACACGTTAAATTCATAGGAATTCACGAATATTCCACCTAACCCACCTCTTGTATTTCAACCTTTGCTCTAATCTTTTTCAACTCATCAACCTGTTGCCACTACAGTACATTTCGTGTCCAGGAAGGAAACAAGTTTCTGATTCAGAGAAAACTGCAGGGACAGCAACTTCCTAAAGCTTTCAGACAAAAAAAAAAAAAAAAAAAAAAAAAAAAAAGCCTGAGACTGCCAGGCCCTAAATGCCAAACAGCTTAGAGAAAGAGATTTAAAGCTCGTAAATATCAAAGAGCCTCTGGAACACTGGGGGCAGGAAGAACAATCCTAAACACAGTGAAACATAAATGAAATTGCATTGGGTTCATTGGCTGCACTCCTAGGGCAAAATTATCATCCTCTTTCCAAAAGGAGCATTTAGCACAACATTAGTTGGGAATGGTTATTGTCTTTTTGGAATACAAAATATAAATTATTTTTATAGCTTATGGCAGAAGTTGACACACAACATTACATTATTCTGTATTTCCACTCAGATGAACACAGGTAGGATTGTAGCCCCGATAGACACTTTGGGACTGATTTAACCTAGACCTTAATCAAAAGGTCACTTACCTGCCCACAAAATGATAATCTCAACTTATTCCCCAACTCTAATGGGATTATTATTTATACTTTATGTTTCTTTTCTGATTAGAGGAAAAAATAAATTGCCATTTTACATACAGAAAATAAATAAATAAAAATATCCTATAAGCTCATTACTTATATATTTAAAAAGTATAAGCTTATTACTTTTTTAAAATTTCATCACGTAATCTTTGGAACCATGATGTTTAATAACTTCCTAGTACTCCATTGCCTGATGTACCATAATTGTTTTAGTTGACACCCTATCATGAACCATTTACTTTGTTGCTATGATTTTTATTCTTATAAAAATGCCATAATTATCATCTTTGTACCTGAATTGTTGTGTGCACTCTGGCATTATTCTTAATTTCATATCCTGAGTTCCAACAGTCAAAATATGTAAACTTTCTGACATAGAACCCTGGGTCATCTTGAAGAAGAAAGTAAACACACCTGCAGCTGTCCAAGTCTCAACAGGTTCATATGTCAGGAGTCACTGATAAGAAAGTAAAAATGAGCCCTTTCTGTTTCCATATTCTTAGGCTGTGTTCACTCACCTATCTGCATGCACAGATGAGAAGGGTCCACCTTGGGCTGTTCTCTGAAATCTCCTCATTTCTTATTTTCATGGGTCTTGGAAAGAGCTGTTAGGAAAATCTTGAACTTCAATCTATTTGAATGTGCTATAACCAGGTAGAAAGTGGGTTTGTCAAGGGCTCCCCAAAGTGAGTTTGTCAAGGGCTCCCCTCAGTGAGTTTGTCAAGGGCTCCCCTCATTAGACACAGAACATTTGCAGTGCATACATACATTGTGCTCCTCCTGATCACTGTGCCTCAATCAATCAGGGCAATTAGAGGTCTTGTTGTTATGTCCCTTCCCCCATGCACTCCCATCTTTCAGAGCCAATCAAGAAGCAGGTAGTGAGTCACTCCTTAACCCAAATCTACCTTGGCCAGGTTCCAACATTTTTCTTATTTTTTGCTCTCTCCTACAGCAGAGGGACCTCCATTCTTCAATCATATCTTTGGCGATTTAAATGACTGATGGCTTGTTGCACGTCGTTATCCAGGCTTGGAGAGAATAATAATTGCACAACCCCTCTGATCAGGGAAATAAGATACAGAATTCTGCTTAAAAACCATCTCATTACCTGACAGAGTACAGGCCAAAAGCCAATTTGGAAAAAATCTATTCCAGTGTTTGCTCTTTGCTGAAGGTGAGAGCTTTCTCATCTAAGTTTGTGAACAGTTCTTATCTGTGATGAAAGAACAAAATATATTGAGGGCACGCTGCAAAAAAGAAGCTTCATTTATGTCTTTCTGGAAGATGACTTTTTGCTATTCAAAGTGTGGTGCAGCCTCAGCATCACCTGCTAGTTAGAAATGCAGATTCTCTGACCAACCAAGATATTCTGAACCAGAACTTGCATTTTAATAAGATCCCCAGATGATTTGTATGGATTTCAAGGCTTGAGAAGCACTAGCATGTGCTTCTGAAGGTACTGGCATCCAGCTGCCAGAAAGAAGCCCTTTTAAAAACACAACTTGCATATGTGCATAGAGTGTGAAATGACAGACATTGGAGACTCAGAAAGCTGGAGGTGGGAACAGATAGATGATGAGAAATTACTTAATGAATGCAATGTACATGATTCTGGGTGAAGGATACACTTAAAGCCCAGATTTCATCTCTATGCACTATATCCATGTAACAAAATTACACTTGTACCCCACAAATATATACAAAAAACTTTGCTTATAAAACAAAACAAAATAAATGCAAACCATCAAAAACTTTTCTCCCTAGAAGAACATTTAGGTTCCTCCAGGATGCAGTTGAACAGTTTGTAAGGCTAACACCCAAAAATTAATTCTAAGGGATGGGATTCGTTTGTCTGGATCTCCTTTCATTTCTAATTACATAATTTTAGGTAGTTTAATTTATTAAAAAATAATACAGGTACACAGTAAAATTTTTTAAAGCATAGGCATAAAACTATATATATTTAAAAGTAAGACCTCATTCTAGGTACTTAATTTCATTCCTAGATGTAATCACTACTAATAGATTTTATATTTTGTATAACTTTCCAGAAGTAGTCTAATGTATACGTGTGTGCATATATTTATTTATATCTTAAAATAAACTTTTGTATGAGCTATTCTGCCCTTTGCTTTTTAGCAACTTTTAAATATCCCATAACAGCACATAGAGAGATACACCTTATTGTTTTCAATATTTACATAATATTTTGTATATGTTTGCATGAAAATTTGCCTTGTTTTATTTGCCTATTCCAAATGATGTTGCAATGAATATCTCTCCGCATATGGGTTTGTACACATGTGTATCCATCTGTAAGACAAAAACCTATGAGTAAAATTACCAGTTCTAAGAAAAGGAGAACTTAAAATTTTGATGGATTTCACCAATTGCTCTTCAAACAACACCATAGATGTTTAGCACCCCACGAACCATTCAAAAGACTTGTGATTTTCCTATATCCCTGTTGTACTAAGATATCAACCCCAGAAATGTGTAATCTGACAGTTGGAAGTTAGTATCCTATTTCTATTTAAATATACATTTCTTTTATTATGAGTGAATTTGAGCATATTTGCATGTTTAAAAGCCATCTGTATATCTATTTGTGAACTGTTTGTTTACTTTCTTCAGCCATCCTTTTTGGAGGAAAAAAAGGTCTTTTTCTGACTAATTTATCAAAACTTTTTTTATATTAATGACTTCATAAATTAACCCTTAGAGGGTGACACATTTCACAAACATTTCTCTCAGTTTGTATTTCATCATTTTTCTCTTTGTTATATTATTTTTCTTTTGAACAGATAATGCTTTTACCTAGTTTAAATATTGGAACAATGTATGCATGTTATGAATTAAGAAGTCTCACTCATTTTTATACCTGCCGCTGTCTACTCCCTAGCGACCTCCTTGTGGGTAACCATGTTCATTATTTCTTGTGTATGTATCAATGCTTATGTAATTATAAACAAATACACATATACAACCTTATTTCCTCCTCTTTTGTAGAAAAAGAATTTCACTTGCAATGTTCTTGCTTATTTTTCACTTAGAAAAACATCTTAGAGACCTTTCCATATCAATAGAAAGCAACTTCATCATTTCTCTTTTTTTACAGCTGTATAGTATTCCACTACGTGATTGTAGCATACTTTATTTCATCAAATTTGTAGTGACGGACATTTGTTTTGTTTCCACTTTTTCACTATTAAAAACAAATTTGCAGTGAATAACCTTGTAACCATATTTATATTTCATGTGAACAAATGTATATATAAAATATATTCCTAGAGGTAAGATTGCTGAGACAAAGGATATATTAATTTGTAATTTTGATAAATATTGCCAACTTTTTTACACACTCTTTTTCATTTTTACTAGCAACGTGTCAAACTTTCTATGTTGGCCAAATTATGAATTACTGCCATATGATTAATAAAGGATGGCATTTCACTGTGGTTTTAATGTACATTTCACTTTTCATGAGAAAGAGTGTACAAACAGTTTAAGGGCCGTTTGTATTTTATTCTGTTAACTGTTATTTATCTGTTCATATCTTTACCTAGTTTATCACCAGATTGCTGTCTTTTTAGATTATTGGAATTTTACTATGCATATCCAGGTACGAGTCCTTTGTCTTTTATATCACTTACCAACATTTTAAAACAGGTTATTATTCTTCACTTAATGTTTCCCATTTTTTCGTGTAGGACTTTAATTTTTTTTGTTATTTATCACCCATATTTATGTGTTATGTCTTTGATTTTGAATCATATCTATAAAGGAATTCCCTAATCCAAATTTGTAAAATAATGTGACCATATTTTATTTCAGTTCCTTCAATAATTCACTCTATTTGAGGCTTATTTTAGTTTACTACATAAAGTATGGCCCTAACACCATTCTTTTTCCAATAGTTACCAATATCATTTGTTAAATATATATATTTATATCTTCTTTCCCACTAGATTGAGATACTGCCTTAAACATATTCTAGATACTACGTGTATCTGAAACTACATGTGTCTGAACATCCTGCTGTGTTCCATTTGTCTGACTATTCATGTGCCAATGCTGTACTATTTTAAATAGTGAGTTTTCCTGGTATGCTTTATCTTGAGATAGAGCTTGGTCCCTTTCACTGCTCTTCATATGTAGAGATTTCCTGACAAATATTGCCAGTTCATTTTCTATATGAATTTAAAATCAGTTTGAATAGTCCTGGGGCAAAGGATAGAGACTTGTTGACATTTTTATCCCAGTCATGTTAAATTTATAAATTAATTTAGAGATATTTGGACTCATCATATTGTAGAATATTCTCATGCAAGAATCTGCTCTTTCCATTTTCTCGGATCCATTTTTTTCAAGTTGTGTTTTAATGCGTTCCTCCTATATTGTTTGCACATCTCTTACTATGTTTAGCATGGTGTTATTCTGAATGTAAAATGAGTATGTTTTACATTACGTATTCTAACTGATCACTATTTGTACATATGAAGGAATAGTTTTCCTGTTTTTATTTTATACCCTGATATATAACAACATTCTTTATTTATTGGTCATAGTTTTCAATGGGTTCTCCTAGGCTTCCTAGATATTTAATAATATCATCTGGATATAATAATAGATTTACCATTTTCCTTCATGTTATTTTATTCATTTAAGACAAGATACATAGGGGAACTCACCTCTCCCCACCCTCCACACACACAAGTAAGAAAACTGTATACAAGAACAAAGGAGCAAAATTCTAAGGAATCTCAGGAATACTTACAAGGGAGTCTCACAGAAAGCTGAAGTCACTTCTTAGGAAAGGAGTCAATAAAGTTTGAATTGTTCCCAGTCAAACGAAGGACTTCCTTAGTACCCACATGTTGGTCTTGTGGTTTATAGAGGAATATATATATTTTATGTATATATTTTATATATATTATATATATTTCATATATATATTATATATTATATATATTTCATATATATATTATATATTATATATATATTTTATATATATTATATATGTTATATTATATATATATTTATATATTATATATATTTTATATATATTTTTATATATATATTATATATATGAAATTTTTTTTTTAAGACAATGTCTCCCTCTATTGCCTAGGCTGGAGTACAGTGGTGCGATCTTGGCTTACTGCAATCTCCGCCTTCTGGGCTCAAGTGATTCTCCTGTCTTAGCCTCCTGAGTAACTGGGGTTACAGGCATGTGCCATCATGCCCGGCTAATTTTTGTATTTCCAGTAAAGATGGGGTTTCACCATATTGGCCAGGCTGCTCTGGAACTTCTAGCCTCAAGTGATCCACTTCAGCCTCCCAAAGTCCTGGGATTACAGGTGTGAGCCACCACACCAAGGCCTATGTTTTGGAATTTATTTTCTTAAGAACTGAGTGCATAAATAATCTTTTATCAACAATCCATGGATATTTGAGAGAAAAGCAATCTCATTTATTTTTACACAAGAATCTGTATTAGTCAGTATTCTTCAGAGATAGATAGATACATAGATAGATAGATAGATAGATAGATAGATAGATAGATAGATAGATAGATGGGATTTATTAGAGAAATTCACTCATGCAATTATGGAAGGTGAGCAGTCCCATGAAAGTCTGTCTGCAGGCTGGAGACTCAGAGACGCTGGTAGCATCATTCAGCTTAAGCCCCCGAGAGCCGCAGAACCAGGGAAGCTGATAGTGTAATTTGCAGTCTGAGGCTAAAGGCCTGAAAACCCTGGTGTAAGTCCTTGAGTCCCAGAACCCTGTATATACCACTTTAATTTGGTAATGGAGTGCTGTCATGCATACCCAATTTATGATAGGAAGCTCACGTCAGACGGTAACTTGGTGGCCCATGGTCAAGTGTTCATTTTCTACTAAGGAAAACTAAGACCTGCCTCTCAAAAGCAGAGTAGGTATCTGCAGAGGATGACAGGGCTTTGCTCCCAAATCCTAAGGCACTCTGCTGTGATTCACCTATAGAGTCCTGCCAAAGGCTCCAAACAGCATCCCTGTCTGCTACTGACACCTCAAGCACCATTGCATCTGTTGGACCATTGGCCCAAATGGCAGAGCACTTTGCACAGCAGCCTGGACTTGTGGCAGAGTCTTCTCCTGTTCTGGGCCCTACTCAAAACTAGCAGCTTTTCAGGTCTGTCAGTAGATGGGCTGAAGTAATACACCCAAATGAGGAATGTGTTGCCTCGAAAATATAAATAGGCCCACTAGATATTGTGCCTCTTTCTTGGTTGTAGGAGCAGCTAGAAGCAGCTTCGTATCCTTTATCTTAGAAGGGATTTCTTGACATGGCTCAAACCACTGGACCCCTAGAAATTTTGCTGAGGTAGAAGACCCATGAAATTTAGTAAGATTTACTTCCCATCCTCTGATGTGCAAATGTCTTATCAATAAGTTTAGAGTAATTGCTACTTCATGTTCACTAGGTTCCATCAGCATAATGTCATCAATGTAATGGACCAGGGTAATATCTTGTGAAAGGGGAAGGTAATCAAGATCCCTGCAAACTAAATTGTGACATAGGGCTGGAGAGTTGATATGCCCCTGAGGTAGGTCAGTGCAGGTATATTTAGCCATGCCAGCCATAAGCAAACTGCTTCTGGTGAGCCTTATGGAAAGCTATGGAGAAAAAGGCATTCGCCAGTCCAATAGCTATGTACCAAGTACAAGAAGACGTGTTAATTTGCTCAAACAGTGAAACCATATCTGGTACAGCCACTGCAATAGAACTCACCATTGGTTAAGCCTCTAATAAGCCACTATCATTCTCCAAGATCTAGGCCAAATAGAAGAATTGAATGGTGATGTGGTTGGAATCACCACCCCTGCATCTTTTAAGTCCTTGATGGTGGCACTAATTTCTGCAATTCATCTAGGTATGTGGTATTGTTTTCTTATTTATCATTTTCCTAATTAGAGGCAGTTCTAATTAACTATCATTTGGTCTTTCTCACAATAATAGCCCTCACCTCACAGGTTAGGGAACCAATGTGCAAATTCTACCAGCAGCTAGGTGCATCTATTCCAATTTTGCATCTGGAACTGGGGAAATAGTCACAGAGTGTTTTAGGGACCCACTGGGCCCACTGTGTGTCAGAACTGAGCTAAAACACCATCGTTGGCCTGAGCTTCATAAGCTCCTACTGTAACTGGAGGGCCACAGTGACATTTCTGGTCTCCTGGAATCAAGGTCAGTTCAGAGCCTTTGTCCCAGTAGTCCCTGAAAGGTCAGATGCTTTCCTTTTCCCCAATGCACAGTTACCCTGGAAAAAGGCTGTAAGGTCTCTTTCAGGAGGGATGAGAGAAAGAGTAACTGTATACATTTTTGGAAGTGTCCTGGGGTCCTTCCTGGAGGTGACCCAGCCTCTCCTTCATATAAGGTGTTGTAGGTCTGTAAACTGGCTCAAGTTTGAGAATTGATTGATGAGTCATGATTCTCGTCGACGTAATTCAAGTTAGACTTTTGTTCACTTGACCAGAAAGTTTTCTGCTTATACAGATCAAGTAAGATTTTAGTAGGCTTCCTATTTATTTCACATCTAAGAACACCATACTTAACCAGCCAATGCCATAGATCTACACGAGTGGGAGCATTCTGATTTTTCCTTTGCCTCTGTTGTTCATTACAGTAACTATGCCCACCTTGCCTTTGACAGTTGAGTGCTGCCACTTGACGCCTGCCACTTCAGGATCCAATTATTCCTACTGCATTTAAGTTTTCCAATTGAGTGACTGTGGCTCCTATGGTAAGATCTGGCCTACAGAGAGAAGCAGTATCAGAGCTCTTCAGACATGCTGTGGCTCTCCTCACAAATCTCTTTCTCATCATCTATTTTCTTATTTATTTTAGTGTCTAGTTGATCTGTCAAAAATTAAAGAAGTATAATAAATCCTCCCAAATCTGTTGTGCTTCTGTGTATATCTCTTGTTTCCTCAGTTAAGGTTATATCTATTTTGACATTCTGTTTTTCAGCACATACAGACTCATGAGGATTATAATTTGCATGCAACAATTCCCTTTGTACTGTTAGCATGCTTTCTGCTTTGAATTTTACTTTGTCTGATATTTATATTGTCATCTCTCTGTTTACTTAGACTGCCTTTCTCCAGTTAAATTTGCTCATCACTTTCTGTTTAACCTTTTGAATCATTTTATTTTAGTTATCTGTCGTAGACCACAAACAGTTGGGCTTTCGCTTTATGACCCATCTGCGAACGTCTACATTTTAGTATAGGAGTTTGACTCGTTTGTGTTTATTGTCAGAGTTGATATGCTTATTATATCTGACAACTTTCTTTCTACTTATTATTTTTACATGCTTCATTGTGGCTTCATTTGCTGTTTCTCATTTGCTATATGGCTTATGTTTTGATTTTATTTTTTCCTCTTTTTGATATATACATTTTCTATATAAAATCATTCATGGTTATACTTAAGATTTTCAAAAATATTCTTCAACCTGCAATCCTTTTTGCATTAAAGTTAAGAACAATATAATAAACTATGATTTTCTTCCCTGCTAGAAGAACAATTTGGCACTTTTTTGTTCTACTTGCTATTCTCCGATATTCGGCTACTTACTTTTATGATATATATGTTCAGAGCTATATAATTCTAATTTCACAATATTTTAATATAACAGTAATATCTTTCAAAAAGAAAAACTGGAATTGGCGTTCAATTTTGTAATCACATTTTTCAGAATTTCATAAACCATTTTATTTTAACTTCTCTCAGTGATCATCACCTGCAGTTGTGCACCCTGCCTACGCATTCTTGAATGTTGATTAGGATTTCTCCTCTAGCTACTTGGCACTTTAGTGAACTCATGTTTTCAAGGATGGTACACAGGCATTTTAGAATCTGACCTCTTCAATAAATAACATCCTTTCTGTAGCTTACATGCATTAAATAAAGAGTAGCTGCAAAATATGAATTAGATAACCTTTTTCCCACAAAACTGGTCAGTTGTGATTGCTTTACTCTCGGTCATTTACTGTTTCACAAAAGAAATCTCCATTTTGCTAAATACTTGGGGTTTTCTTGAGACCTGTTGTTTCTCCTTGGAAGTTGACAAAATCTTTTTGTAATATTTAATTAATTTTTCTATGTTTGTTGACACTTACCTAAAATATGTTAACATGTTTCAGTATTTTTATGCAAGTCTGTTTGGGGCCAGAAGAAATTTTTTTCATATACATATTTTGTATTTTTACTTACGTTTTAATTTTCAATGTTTTATCCTCTATTATACTTTCAAGTCTTAGGCTAATTCTCTATCCTCAATTCTATTTTTTTTTTATCTTTTCATTTGTATCTTTTTCCTGTGGCTTGAAGTCACTTGGGAAATTGTTTAAACTTGTGATGTCTACTGGCATCCTAAAAATAGATAATGTGAGTGTTTGTGATTAGATCAAGTCACCTCCAACACGCCAATTCAGCCACATGCCTCTTTCTATCACTAACATATTCTGTTCCCCATAAGTAATAAACAGAAAGATAATCAGAAAAAGCAAATGGCAACAGCTTTAATGTTTATTTTTGGGAATTGTATGCCAAATACGGATGCCATTGGGCCACCAAAGATCACCTAATAGATATCTTGAAGGTTTTGTTTACATAGTCACCTGCAAAAAACTTCTTAACAGTCATACAACACACCTGGTTGTCTCCAACATCTTGTCCTATATAACATTATCCATTAAGTCCTCCCTGAACCATTAAATAAAATACAGTTGCCAAAATTGCATGGCTCTAGAGAATAGAGTCCATGTGGTGTATCACGTTTGTTTGGACTCAGGACACACCACCCTAAAATATGACTACAGGAGACCAGAATATGCCAACTCAAAATGTATTTTTGTGACATGTTTCAAGCTGGTTATTTTGAGAAACTGCAGAAACAGGAGTAGCTCTGAAAAGCTGTTCTTTTGTAAAAGAAATTTATATCTGTAAGGGAAATCTACATTGTAAAGTATCAGTATCAGGAAGAGGGCTGCTTCAGACCACTTTTATTCCCTAAGAGATGTTTTATCTACATAACAAGACAACCTTTATTCAACATACAATTCCTTGCCTCACCTTCCTGTAACTCATGTCTTCACTATTCTCCCAGAAGCCCCAAGTCCCTTTTCCTTTAACTCAGGGTATATAGGCTTCTTGATCTCTGGGGTGTCGGGTATTCACTTTTCTTTCGTATGATGCCCCAGTGCATTTGTATACCTTTTCTCCTTTTAATCTGTTTTACATCAATTTTCTTTGTAGCCCATCTAAAGAACCTGGGAGGATGGAGGAAAGCCAGTTTTTTTTTCCCTACACATTGCTCACAACTAAGAAAACCACAATCACAAAAGCATCACTAGGGAGAGGTTACCGAGGGCATATTCAGTGTTCTCTTTTTAACACAAGATGTTGCTATAGGAAAGATGCCACCAGTGCTCTCATATCGTCCTGGCCCTCATGCACATACATCTAAGGGAGCTTAGAATGAACACCTGTGACTCTTTGCCTGGTCTGCAGGAGCACACTTGGCCTAAATTCTGAGCAATACACATGAGGCCCTAAGAGCTAATAACCCCAGAAACAGCTTTGGATCAATAATGAATGAGGATTTGGTGGATAAATGCCCCAGCTCCCTCCCATTAGGTGGGGAGAACCCAGTGGAGTGCCCTACATGGTCTCCCAGAGTTCCCCAGCACGATGCTGCTAATGATGCTACAGTGGTAAAGTCATTGCTAGCTCGCTGTTAAAAAAAAAAAATCAACAGCTTTACTGAGACATAATTTACAGACCATAAAACTTACCCATCTATACTATACAATATAATTATTTTTAGTGTATTTGCAGGTTGTGCAATCATTACCAGGATCAATTTTAGAACATTTTAATCACTCTGAAAAAAACACTTGATATAGCTAACTCTTTATTAACTACCTTCCCCTCTCTGCTTCACGTCTCTCTACTCCTGAACCATTGTTTCTTGAGATGGCCACTCCAGTAAACGACATGCACTGAAATTCTCTCTAGGTCTGCTTTTGGGAGGATGTGAACCAAAACAGTGACAACCAGATAGACAAAAATAAATGACTAGAAAAACTTAGGTGATGCTCCATACACCATGTCACCAGAAAAACTTTCCTTTGAGCATCCACTAGTTTATATTTACCTAACAGATGTCTTGAAAGTTTTCTCCTCCTCTAAGCTCAGAAAGATATTTCACTTTCTTGATAATGCACTATGTTTTATAGTTTATATGTAATTTTTATTCCATTTTAATTCATCCTCAAAGGAGTGGAAATACAGACAGACCACATGTGTGAATTGCCCTTAACTCTGCTTCTTCTCCACTTGGGTCTGGTCATTTCCCATCCTCAGATCCACACTTCCAGAACAGGTTGCTTTGCTTACATCCCAGCAAACTTCCTCATACAAGCAAGGTAGTATATCACGGAGTTTTGCAGCCCTGAGGGGCTGTATTCTCCTAATACCCTACTCAAATGGGGTCATTCCGAAATTTCTTCTCCACCCCTGTTTAACAATTTTTAAAATACCATATTGACTCAGATATTTTATTGTGCTGTTTACTCTTTCTTAAATAATCTCCGCATTCTACCAATGAAGACTCTATTTCTTCTGCAAAAATACCGATGCCCACAGGATGCCAAGCACTGGTAGTTAGTAGCTTATTCTCTAGGATTCCTTATGCTTCTCTTTAATGCTTCCCAAGACTAACAGTATTTGTTCCCAAAACTGATATCACCGTCTATACTTGCTACTATAATTGTTAACATATTTGTTACTATATATAATTCAATGGTTATGTAAAACAGTAAAATATGAATGATAAAAGAGAAAGGTATTATTTCTATGAGAGCAAAGCTGATTACTTCCAAAGACTCAAAGGAAAATTGTTTAAAACAGCAATGTTGCATTTGATTTAGAGATCTGTGAGAAAACTGTAAAATATTTGAAAATAAAATTATATGTATATACACTCATATACGTCTTCTGCAATCATATGTGCATTACAGGTCCTATGAGTTTCTTTCATCACTTGAAAGAGATGAAACTGGAACACTTAGACCAGCAAATAGTTCTCAACCTTAAATGCACATTAGAATCACAGTGAAAGTTTTTAAAAAGTTGGGACTCACTCTCAGATTCTGATTCTATTTGTCTAGGACAAAACAGGCTGGACATCAGCTATTAAGACTTTTATTTTGTTTTTACAACTCCTCACAGAATCTGATGTGCAGTAAGGGTGCTAAAGGCATGGAACATCTTATCTTCATTTTGATTAGTGACTACTCTTCTGTATGTTGCAAACCTTCCTCTACAAGTGGTTTTTTTCCTTAATATTGCTGCATCAATTTAAAATTAGTAGCCTTTCTTTCAGATGCTGGTAGTATGTTGTTTGTAATCTAAGGTTTCAGTGAAGTTGCAAGTTTCCATTTTTTGCTGAGTCTTCACAGATATTTTAGAGGGACACTGCAGGAGGTAGGGTCAAACACTCCTATCCTGGTGAACTTTTAAATTGAAAACAGTTCTAAAAATTTTTAGAAATATGTTGAAGCTTAGCATGCTGCAAGTAATGCTTCCTTCCTGCTGCTTTAGTTTTACATTGACATTTTGTTTAAGGTTTTACTTCTTTGTGGTTCATGTTATGTCATAGTTTATTATTATTATTAATTCACACAATAAGAATCTATAATACATGTAAGAATAATTCAATGAACACATGTATACCTACTATTCAATTTATAAAACAGAAAATTACCAAAACCTTTTAAACTCTACTCAGTATTTCTTTCCACATTTCGTTTCCTCCCACCCACTGTTAACCAATTTCCTGTTTTGTAGTTATGCTTCCTGTTTGAAAATAGTTTTAACATATATTAATGCATCTTTAAGTGTACATTGCTTTATTTTGCATATTTAACCATTAAATATATAGAATCCAATGTACCTTTTCTGAGACTGTTTCCTTTTCTCAATACTATTATTTTAATATACATCCATATCAATATGAATATCTGTAATTATTTCACTCGTACTGCTGTATAGAATTCTATTATATGAATATACCTCAATTTATCCATCCATTCTGTAAAATGAATACTACATTAGGGTAATTTGTAGTATTTTGCTTTTGAAAACAATATTAATTTTTTTTATGTGTACCTAGTGTAGGCAAGCAATCATTGTTCTATTTGCCTGGTAAAGGGATTTCTGGATCATAATATATAAATACCTGCAACTTTAATGGTTAATTCCAAAGTATATTCTAAATTGAATCCAACAGTTTATATTTTCAACAACATCATATATCTGTCAAATCTTGATACTCTGTTTTAGTTGTTTATTATTATTTGCTTTTTGACAACATGTAGGTTGTATAATACTGCCCTGTGGATTTCATTTGCATTTCCCAGATAATTATTGAGAATAACCATCTTCCCCAAAGTTTTTCCTCCATTTATGATACCTATTCTGTGAAATGCCCATTTATATCTTTTCAGCATTTTTGGATCATGCTGTTTTTCTGTTTTTAATGATAAGTAGCAGTTATTAATATCCCCCAGATAATAAGTGCTTGTTTTTTTCTTGTAAGTGTAAAAATTTTCACCACAAATTGTTGTTTATCTTCTAATTTCTATTAAGGTGTTTTTAATGAACAGATGGTGGGACTTTAAAATAATTTTAAGATTTTCGTTTAAGGTTTGTCCTTTTCTGTCTTAAGAAATATTCCCTTACTCCAGGATAAAAAAGATATCCTCATATTTTATTCTCAACATTTAAAAATGTACCTTGAATTTTAAAGCCTATAATTCATACATATTTAAATTTTGCCTATGAATTAAGGTAAGAATCCAATTTCACTCTGTTTTCGTACCGATAAATTATTATGTCAGCACCAAATATCAAGTGGCTAATCCACTCAGCTGCAATCTGCAATGTCACTTCTCTCATACAGAAAATTCTGTATTTTATATTCTATTCCATTTATCTACTTGAAAATATAATGCCAATGGCATACTGTCTTAATAACTCTAGTTTTGTAATGTCTTTATTTATGGTAGGATAAATTACTTTGTTATTTTCTGGGAATATCTTGGTCACTTTTGCTCAGTACTTGGTCACAGAGCGATTAGAATTATCTTATTAAGTTATACACACACTCACACACACACTTTCACATCCCTATAGATTTTGATTAGAATTGCACTAAAGATAGATTACATTGATTAAATTAGGAGTTGGCAGACGACAACTCATAGGCCAAACCTGGCCTGCTGCCTCTTTAACTCTCCTTGTAAATAAAGTTTTATCGGAACACAGCCACATCAATTTCTTTACCTATTGTCAACAGCTGCTTTCAAGTTACAAAAGAAGTGTTTAGTAGGTGTGAAAGCAATTCTGTGGACTGCAGATAATATACTATTTACTATCTTGCCTTTTATAAAGTTTGCTGACACTTGATACATGTCATTTGGGGGGAATAATTACACTTTTATAATTTTGAACTTTCACATCCAGAATATAAGTCTCATTTGTTGGTTCCACTTAAATACTTCAAAATAAAGATTTATAGTTTTCCTCCATAAAGGGCTTTAATATATTTTGTTAGATTTATTCCCAGGTACTTTATGTTTTCTAACAATTGTAAATTGAATCATTTTTAAATTATGATTTCCAATTTTTTATTGCTGTTGAATAAAAATGCAATTTTGCACAATTATATGCAACAACTGCATTATACAAATCATGATATAATTATGCATAATGATTTTATTGCTAGAGAATTTGCTACACTGATTTATTAATTGTAATAAGTTATCTATATACTGCTTGCATTTTGTAAGTTCACAATCATATCAACTGTGATTAGTGATTATTCTATTTCTTCTCTTCCAATCAGGAATCATTATATCTTTTTCTTATCTTAGTACACAAGCTAGCATCTTCAGAACAATATGAATGCAAGTAGCGATACTAAGCAAGTCTATATTTCTGCTGTCTTAAAAGGAAATGCTTTAAATTTTCAATATTACCTTATGTGTGCGACAGGTTTTTGTGCATATACCTAACAGATTAAGGACTTCCCTTCCAGTGTCCATTTTCAATGAATTTTTATCATAAATGAATGTAAAAATATAGCAAAACATGTTCTGTGTCTGTTAAAATTATCATTAATTTTTGCCCTTTAATTTATTAATGAGGAGAATTTGGGGTGTGTGTGTATGCGTATTTTTACTGATTTTATTTATTTTCTCTCCACTAGGTTTTAAAGTATAGGACTTTTATATAACCTTTCAGTAGGTACCCTAGGCATTTTATCATCAATGGTTATCCTAAAACTGTCTAAAATTTATCAATATTTTAATGCACCTCCTCAAAACTATAAAGAATGTGGAATATTTTAATATTAATTAACTCCCATTCTCAATTGTATGCTGTTGTTAAAATTAAAATACTGGATAATTTATTGTGTCACTGTATTAGTCCTTTCTCACACTGTTATAAAGAACTGCCTCAGACTGGGTAATTTCTGAAGAAAAGAGGTTTAATTGACTCACCACTTCATAGGGCTGGGGAGGCCTATGGAAACTTACTAGGAAGGGGAAGAAAACACATCTTTCTTCACATGGTGGCAGGAGAGAGAAGTGGCGAGCAAAGGGGTAAAGCCCCCTGTAAAACCGTCAGATCTCACGAGAACTCACTCACTATCATGGGAACAGCATGGGAGTAACCGCACCAACGATTCAATTACCTCCCACCGGGTCCTTTCCACAACATGTGGGGATTACGGGAACTACAATTCTAGATGGGATTTGGATGGGGACACACCCAAACCATATTAGTCATCATCAATTAAGGCACTGTCATTGTTTTGACACAGAGTGTTTGATTATATTTATCCACAACTAGAACAATTTATTTACTCATAATTTATTTTTGTATTTTCTTTCTTCCCAAAGACCATCTTTCAGAAGACATTATAGTGAGAGCATTTTAGTAGTACATTTAGTTTGCGTTAGTGTTTAAAGGGTCCTTATATTGCCATTATTTCTAAAAGACTATGTCACTGTTTGGAAAAGCTTAGTTGACCAGCATTTTACTCTCAATATTTTAAAAATACCATTATTTGCTATATCTGGCTTCCACTGTTAATGAGGAACAAGTAAGCACCAATCTGATTTATCTCTGTTCTCTATAGTTTTTAGAACTTTAAAAAAAATTTTATGTTCTTCAATTTTAGTATTACATGTCCAAGTGGTAATGTTCTTTTAATTACTAATTTTACTTGAAATTCACTGCATTTCTTAAATTTAACGGTTATTGGACTTAATTCTAAAAAATTATCAGATACTATGTTCTAAATATTGCCTTTACACTGTATTCTCACTTCTTTTCTCCAGTTTTCTAACATCTTTTCACCAAATCTATCTTGTTGAGTTACTGCTTGACTTTTCTTGATATTCCGAGCTGCATTCTGGGTAATGTGTTCAGATCTATATTTGAATTCTCCAAAATTTTCTATGTATCAGTGTCTAAATATATAGTTTTCAAACTGAGAAACCCAGTGGCACTGATTTTCTCTGAGGTGCCACATTTGTCTCATAGTGGAACCAAAGAATATTTCAGATGTTTGAGGGAAGCACAGCAAAGCTGTATGGTAGAGTTAAAATTGTGCTGTGACTTCCTTGAGCGAGTTCACAGTTTCAACATCTATTTTGCTGAAACCATGCCTTTGCAGTAGTTATGGTCAGAAAGAAATGTCACACACAATCAATGTGAAACAAGAAATGAGGCTGGTTATTTTTAATCTGAATCAACAGTTTGGAAAGTTGTACAGTGCCCAATAGGTGGACATATCTCATTAATAAATTATGGTTATTTAATAAATTATGGTTTATTTTTTAATTTAATTTATAAATTAATTTTCAATGGCTAATAATCTCTTATGACAAATACTCATTATTTTCTGAACCTAGCTATTTAATAGATAGGGTAACTATTTAAGAGATAGAAATTATTTGTGATTTTTTTGGCCTAAAGTTACCTTAAAAGAATTACTGAGACACTAAAAGCACTGTAAAATGAGAAAGTTTGGGAATATCTTATTGAATTTATTCTCTACCTTTAGTTTTCAATCATGATTTTTTTCTCATCTACATACATTTAATTTGTTTTTGTTTTTCAAAACTGCTTGGCCATTTCATATAGTCTCTTTCTCCCCTCTCATATTCACTCATTCTTCTATTATTTATTTATTCATTTATTTATATTGCCTCTCAAGCCTACTGCCCCACTTTTTTGGGTGTGGTTGAGATTACTTTACTGCAAATCAAAGTCTTTGAATTATATCAGTGATGGTTGTTTGAAGAGTAGCATGAAGTACATTCATCCAAAACTTACTGGTTTTATTCATGCCTTGCTTAAAAGAACACTACCATCTCCAATCTCTAAAATAAATTCTCAACTTCATTTCTTTCTTTTTCACACAAAATAGAGAGTATGAATTTGGACACAGCTAGCAAGGAGTTGCTTATAGTTAGCATATCTTAAATCATTTTTTTCTTCCACCTAGCTTCAAGTTTAAGACATGCCATTTCGTTACTAGTACTCTATAAGGAGGGTCTTTCTTTTCGTACATCTAATTCACCCTTCAAATAATGACATAGTCTTTGGAGATCTGGCCTTATTCTGTCTTGGGTGGTCTTTAGGTTTGTCTTCATGACCATGCTGATATTGAAAAACACTTAGAGCTTTGTCAAGATGGCAAAGGACACTTCACTTCCCCACAAAAGAGAATCAAAATAGTGAGTAGATAATCACACTTTGAATAGAACATCTAAGAGATAACACTGGAATTCAGCAGGTGACAGAAACCACCTGAGGCACCAGAGAGAGATGCCAGTAATTGGTCAGGAGTCCAGACAGTCTCTCCAGTGCAGGGAAAAGGTAAAGTGAGAGATTCCCAGCAGTCCATATTTCTACCATAGACTTCTATAATCCTAGCCATAGGAGACTCCCTCGACCCCATGGGTCCCAAGACTGGCATAGGGAGCTCACTGGAGTCCACGAGATGGCATTGCTCCAGAGAGGAAGTTCACACTGGGTCCCACACATCTCCTGAGGACCAGGTAGCTGCAGCATGGTGCCATTTTGAGAGCCCAGCCCCCACCAGATTGCTTCCTTTCTTAGGGCCCAACAACCCCTGCATCTCCAAATCTCTGGAGCCCCACTGATATGCCCCTGTGTCCACTGAGAGAGCTGCAGTTCTGAGAGACACTGACTGAACCCAGTAAAGTTGCAGGGTCCCCAGCACTCTAGCCTACACAGTTTCCTGCATGCCAAGGAAAGGGCAGTGCAGTACACTGGGGAGAGAGCCAAAGCACACACTTCCCAGAGACTGAAACCCGCCTGCCTGGGGCCACTGGCAGTGATAGCAACCCTGCTCCCTTCAGCAGAAGGATTTCTGTGCACTTGCATGTAGCCTGATGACTGGTTCTCTTTACCAGCCACTACAGCCACTGCTCCCACCAGTGACCAAAGTGTGCACACCCCAGAGCCTGAAACCCATCTGCCTGGGGATGCTACCACAGATTGCAACACTGCCTCAACTCCCAGCAGCAAGACTGCCATGCGCAAACACGCATCCTGAGGACAGCCTTTCCCTACCCACTGAAACAACTGCCACCACTACCCAAGCACCCTAGCTAGAGCCTGGGGATAGTCCCGCCCTCACACCACTTCCTGTCCGTATGCACACCACCAGAGGACATGAGAACAGTCCTGTCCGACCACCCTTCCCAGTGCCTGAGCATGCTGCGTAGGGGCTCTGAGATTGTTCTGCAACATCATGTAGTCCAGACACACACACACACACACACAGACACACACACAAAACATCAGATGTCCTTATAACAGCCTACCATGGCTGGCAAGCCTTCCAGAGGCCTGAAGTTTGCCCCGCCCTCTCCATCACAGCCTACGCCTATGTACACCATCAAGAGAATCTAAAAATAGGCCTGCTTGCTGACACGGTGCTCAGTGCCAAAACATGCCAATTGGGCACCTGGGGATTGCCCAGGTGCATGTACACACCACCAGAGTCCTAACAACAGGCTCAGAAAACCAGCTGCCAGTGTCCAAACATGCCATGCAGAAGCCTAGGGATCACTCCACACCATCCACCACTACCGGCACTGAGCAATCCTCCTGGGGCCCTCAAGATGGGCTCACCCAGCCTGCCACCACCACCACTGTTGGCAACCACTCATACATATCACCTAGGGGTTTAGGGTCTGCCCTTCCCAACACTGACAACAGCAAGTGCTGACTGGAAGTCCAAGGGTTGTCCTGCCATTGCTACTACCATTGTCAACACCATGCATGCTGCTCAGGGACCTGAGGACATAGCCCACTGTTGCCACTCCTTACACCTGAGCAAGCCATCTGTGGGCTTAAGAATTACCCCTCCTGGACTTGCTAACACTGGTGCCCACATATGCCACCGAAGGGCCCAAGGACAGGCACACTTGGCATGATGCTGCCACCACTGGGGACTGATGACTGGCCCACCTGGTGTCTTGTCCCCAGCAAAACCTCATGATAGCCTCCAAAACAGCCACAGTCTAAGACACTGAGGAAATAACAAAACCACTGATGATATTTATGCTAAAGATATTATGTGAAGATTATACTACTGCACACATCCAAAATCAAATCTAAATTGCCCTACCAAGCCAACACCATAATTTATCTGCAGAAAAAAATTATTTCCCTAAAAAAGCCAATCCAAAAACTTAAAAAAAGTGACTCTTAAATCTGATATGCAGATATCAATGAAAGGACACATAAAAATGAAAAAGCAAAAAAGAAAAAAAAAAGACGTCTGCAAAACAACAGAATTATTCTTAAGCAACAGATTCCAAAGAAAAATAAATTTAGATAAAACCTAAAAAAGAATTTAAAATGATATTAAAGAAGTTCAGTGAACTACAAGAGAACACAGAAAAACAATACGGAGAAATCAAAAAAAAATTTAGGATAGATGAGAAATTCACTAAAGAGATTGATATCATTTAGAAAAACAAACAGAAATATTGGATCTGAAGAATTCAATACATGAAATAATAAGACACAATTGAGAGCTTCAACAATACAATGGATCAAACAGAAAAAAGAATTTCAGAACTTGAAGACAGGTATATTGAAATAACCTAATAAGAAAAAAATATTTTAAAAACATACAGAAAGCCTGAATAATGTATGGGACATCATGAAGTAACCAAATTTCTGAATTTTGAGAGTTTCAGAAAGTAATAAAAAAGGCAAAGACACAGAAAACTTATTTGACAAAATAATACCTGAATATTTTCTACTCTATAAAGAGATTTAGACTCCTACATACAAGAAGATTAGAGATTCCAAAATAAAGTAGAAAAGATCTTCTCCAGGGAATATGGAAATTATACTGTCAAGTGTCAACAACAATGAAATAATTCAAAAACAGCAAGGAAAAAGTCACACCTAAAGGAACCTCCATCAAATAAAGAGCAGATTTCTCAGCAGAAACCTTGCAAGCCAGAAGAAAATGAGATGATATATTCAAAGTGCTGAAAGAAAAAAAACCTGTAAGCCAAGGATACTACACCCAGCAAAGTTATTCTTCATAAATGAAGGAGAAATATTTTCCTAGATATGCAAGAACTGAAGGAATTCATCATCACTAGATTGGTTCTACAGGAAATGCTCAAGAGATTATTAAACCTGGAACAAAAGGATAAAATCTACCACCATGAAAACACACTGGAGTATATAACTCACTGGTAGAAGAAACAAACATATGAGGGAGAAAAAAGACTATGTTGGCAGTATGGAAAACTACTAAATCATAAAGATAAAAAATAAAATACAAAGGATATAGAAAACAATCAGAAAACAATTGTATTCAAGCTGCATGTTAGACCAAATGAACTTAACAGATATTAACAGAACACTTTATTCAACAGCTACAGAATACACATTCTTCTCATCAGCACATAGAATATTATCCAGAATAGACAGGCATAAAACAAGCCTCAACAAATTTAAATACCTGACATCAAAATCATGTCCGGTATTTTCTCTAAGCACAATGAAATAAAACTAGAAATCAATAACAAGATAAATTTTGCAAACTGTACAAATACATAAAAATTAATCAACATGCTCTTGAAAGACCACCTCGTTAATAAAGAAGTTAAGAAATAATTTTTTAAAAAAAGTCTTCACACTAATTAAATGGAAACACAACATACCAAAACCTATGGGATACAGCAAAAGCAGTGCTAAAAGGAAACTCTCATACACTGTTGTTGGAAATGTAAATAAGCATAACCACTATGGAGAATACTATGGATATTTCTTTAAAAACTAGAAATAGAATTATTATACAATCTAGCAATCTCCTTAATGGGTATTTACCCAAAGGAAAGGAAATACATATAACAAAGGAATACATGCATCTCATGTTTATTGCAGCAGTATTTACAATATTGAAGGTATGGAATCAACCTAAGTGTCCATCAGTGGATAAGTGGATAAAGAAAAATGTGGTATATTTACACAATGAAATACAGCCATAAAAAAGAATGAAATCATGTCATTTGCACCAACATGGATGGAACTGGTGGTTATTCTTCTAAGTGAAATAAGCCAGACACAGAAAGACAAATGTTGAATGCTCTCACTCATATGTGGGAGATAAAAAAGTTGATCTCATGGATAGAGAGTAGAATGATAGTTACTAGAGGCTAGGAAGGATGTGTATGCAGGGTGGCAGGAGGAAGAGATGAAGGGAGATTGGTTAATGGGTACAAACATAAAATTAAACAGAAGGAATAAGTTCTAATGTTCAATAGTAGAGTAGTGTGACAATAGTTAACAACAATGTATTGTATATTTCAAATAGCCAGAAGTGAGGACTTGAAGTGTTCCCAACACATAGAAATAATACATGTTCATGATGATTATCCTAACTAGCCTGACTCGACCATTACACATTCTACGCATGTGACAAAATATCACATGTACCCCATAATACCTACAAATATGATGTATCAATTAAAAAGTAAATTTAAAGCTATTAAAAGGAGAAACGACTAACAGAAATTTTTTAAAAATCAAAACTTAAGGTAGGTGGAAGTAGGTTAAATCTTCAAAACACTCACCAACCTCACTCCTTTGGATTTCTGCTTTTACTGTTTTGAACAATGAAGACTCCCGTATTTTCATAACTTAGAAATGCATTTACAATATTTTTAACTGTCTTTGCATGAGAGAATGTTCATTTTATTAATTCACTTGAGTCACCATACTGCAAGCTGAGGAAGTTGCCTCTTCCTTGAATGAAGAATGCTAATAATGTTTAGATTCTCTTTGATTATCTTCACTTTCTAATTGAGAGTGGATAAAATTCCCTCCCGGGTTTCCAACATTTCCATATACATTACCGCTATTCACATTTCAGAGTCTGGTAGATATTCACTCGATGGCACTGCTGGACCAAGGCTCTCTGGCCGCCCCAGGAAGAAATTTCATGAAATAGTGAAAATTGCGTGTTCACATTGGTATACGCTCTGAATTTCTAAGCTAATGATAGGAAATGGTGAAAGCCAAGCTTCTTCTTGTCTAAATCAACCAATGATTATTTCATAATTACGTCCTATCTTACTCTTTCTTCGGTTAGCAGAAACCTTTAACCCTGGCAAAACATAGTAATGCTGTACTTTCAATACTATGACAATTCCATTCCCTTTTTATTTGGGGATGGGGGTCTACCGTAAAGACGTTTTAAAAAGAATTCTAGGCTGGGCGCGGTGGCTCATGCCTGTAATCCCAGCACTTTGGGAGGCCAAGGCAGGCGGATCACGAGGTCAGGAGATTGAGACCATTCTGGCTAACGTGGTAAAACCCCGTCTCTACTAAAAATACAAAAAAAATTAGCCGGGTGTGGTGGCGGGCGCCTGTAGTCCCAGCTACTCGGGAGGCTGAGGCAGGAGAATGGCGTGAACCCAGGAGGCGGAGCTTGCAGTGAGCCGAGATCGCGCCACCGCACTCCAGCCTGGGTGACAAAGCGAGACTCCATCTCAAAAAAAAAAAAAAAAAAAAAAAAAGAAAAGAAAAAAGAAAAAGAATTCTATAGAGTACCCATAAAGGATAATTAACCTGACTCAACATGAACTCATGGATCTTTAAATGCCAGTTAATTGGGCCAACTGAGACCCGACACTGGTTTCTTAGGACATTTCTCTTTTGGCCAAGAGTATGGGTCTTGTGAAGAGTTGGTGCTGACAGGAAATGTTCTGGTGCCATGCAACAGAATATAAGATCCGGTCTTTGGCCAAAATTCCCTCCCCATATACTGAGCCAGAACATGAAAGAGATAACCTCGGACATTTTATTTCCTCCCGTTATCATTGCAACTGGTTTGTCCACCTAATGAGACACTACCTGGTGTAGAATTAGGGTCCACAGGAATATCCTAACCCCATATAGATCTGAGGCTGTGATACATCAATTGGCAAAGAATTTTAGCTTCCCCCAAACAGCTGAGCTTAACTTAATGTAAAACAATTGGGGTGCATTGAATACATTTTCTTGTTGTAGACTTATGTACAGAAAATAACCACGAGAGTTATTATTTAATGGACACTTTTTCCACATTACTACTGAAAAATACCATATTCCACCCCATCCCCACCTCCTCATACAGGATAATGTTCATTAAAAGGGCTGCATTTTTTTAATTATCAAAATACAGATGAAACAAGAAAAAAATATACTTAAGGCTAGGTTTGAGGAAAAAAAGGACATTGGCAATATAACGTTTTAAGGTGTTACCTGTGTACAGAAAGATATTCAAACTGCATAAAAGCCCTGTCTGTAAGAAAAGGCCAAACTATACAAATATATTTTAAGCAGATTGAGTCAGAAACAATGGCAAAAAGCTATACTATAGTGAGAAAGCTGCCATGTACCTGGAGGACAGGATTTACCCCACAGTATTACCATATTTGTGGTATGGTGTAAAATCACTGAAGATTAGAACCTCATGCCCATTTTCAGAGGATAAAACTGGGGCCCATAGAGGTTATGTGTTTTGGCCAATTTTCTCATCGCAGGTAAACACACTTTAAAGAACGATTGTCCTGCATCCCTGTGCCAGAGACTGAGATGACCCTGGCTATAATGTCTGTTTGGCTTAGTTGTTTATACTGTTTATGGTGAATGATGAAGATATTAGCTTGTTGGCGAATCGTGGGCCTGCTTTTTCTAATGAATTCAATTTGGTACAATGAAATGTTCTTTTGGGAAGGAAGCCAATGCTGTAGCAGCTAAAGTTGGGTATGAAATAATGAAATAATGGGAGAAATTTTGAAGGATACGTATACAAGTTTCCAAGTGATATGTTTGCTGGAGAAGGCCAGGCGGAAAGGCATGCAATGGAGTGGATTACACTGTACTGTTCTGCGGTGAGCAGATATATGGAAACCTACCCCCAAAGGCTGAGGGAGCTAAGAGGCTGAAGAAAGTGGATGACAGTTTCAGTTTCTCAGAAGCAAACGTGATGAAGCTGGAGGTCATTATCTTAAGTGAAATAATTCAGAAGCAGAAAATAAAATATCACATGTTCTCACTTATAAGGGGGAGCTAAACACTAGGTACTTGTGGACATATAGAGGGGAATCACAGACTCTGAGGACTCCAGAAGGGGGAAGAATGGGCAGAGGATGAGGGTTTAAAAATTACCTGTTGGGTACAATGTTCACTATTCAGGTGATGGGTACACTGGAAGCTCTAACTTCAACATTACACAATATATGCATATTATAAGCCTGCACATATACTGTTCAAATCTATAATAAAAAATTAATAATAATAATAATAATAGGGACTTATGAAAAGAAACAATGTCTCAGGCGGCCATGAGACAGTGGATCCCTGTACCTCCAGAAAATATTTTTTATATAGAAAGCTTTTAGTGATAAAAAAAAAAAAAAATAGGCAGCTGGTCATGTTGCAGACTTTCTTGCAAAATTTGTGATGATTGGGTAGGCTAGAAAGGCATTTTTTGAGGGGTTATTTATGCTACAGCACTGTTTAAAGACCTTGTTGCAGAAAACCTTGGTATTCAGGGGTCAAACATTAGTCATCATGGCAGTTTTGCTTCAAAATGGCATCACTCTTGCCATGCAACAGTCTGTTTTTCTAAATGTATACAGATTCCATTTCCAAACTAAATCATCATTTCAAGGGGATAGTGTGTATCCCTAAGTGCTCAATACATACCTAAACAAAAAGGTATTTATTGAACACTTAGGGAATACACACGCTATCCCTTTACTCTAGTTAATACTGTTAGCGCCCTCATGAACCTTACATTCTCATATAATTAATGCTTAATTTTTAATAGATTTGAATGTAATTTAATAGGCTTGATTATGATTTCTCATTTGGAAAAATGAGATAATACATCTAAAATGTTTTCAAGAAAGCTGAGACAGTTGTTTTAGTAAGTAAGAATATCAATTTCCAAATAGCTCTACAAAACACTGTTTTCTATATTTTTTTGTGCTTTCGCAGTACTAGCACATGGTAAACAGTCTCACTTCTTCCTGAGTGGCTAAAGGAAGAATACTCAGATACAAATTCAATGAATTTAAACAACTAATTTCACCTCATATTCTTACACCTATTTGTTTTACTCCAAAGTTATAATAGAACTC
This sequence comes from Homo sapiens, assembly GCF_000001405.40. NCBI lineage: Eukaryota > Metazoa > Chordata > Mammalia > Primates > Hominidae > Homo > Homo sapiens. The sequence continues at coordinate 12,624,024 of NC_000020.11, forward strand.
TTTCTGTACCTAAGTGCTTTGACAGGCATTCTATCTAAATATTTAGACTAACACACAAACAGCTGGGCTGGAAGGCTTCTTTTCACAGAACTCAATTCCATTTATTTTATTCTCTATAATGACATGATGGAAGAAAGTGCATTTCAAATGACAGTTATAAAGTAGAGGAGAAACACTACATATATTTTTACTGGGCATGGAGAAGGGATAAGAGAAATGTTCCCTACACTACTGGCTGCAACTTCCTTTTGTCATTATATTTCCCTTCAACTTTATTGAGGTATGGTTGTCAGCTAAAAATTATGTGTATTTCAAGTGTAAAAATTAATGACTTGATATACATTGTGAAATATTCAATGCAATCAAGTGAATTAACATATCAATCTTCTCACATAGTTACTGTGTATGTGTGGGGGCGAGGGTTGCTAAGAAAACTGAAGATCTATCCTTTTAGCAAATTTCAAGTATAAAATACGATACTGTTAATTACAGTTATACTGTTGTATATTAGATCTCCAGAACTTACTTATCTTGCATAACTGAAAAATTTTGACCAACATTTTCACATTTTCCTCTATCCCCAGCCCCCAGTAACTACTATTTTACTCTCTATTTTTATGAGTTACGCATTTTTACATTTCACATATAGATAATATCAGGCATATAAATCAGGCAGGATTTTTTTTCTTTGTCTGGCTTATTTTACTTAGGATAATGTACTCCACTTTCATCTATATTGTCATAAATGGCAGGATTTCCTTCTTTAAGACTGAATAAAATTCCATTGTGTTATATATAACACATGTTTTATTTATTCATCCATCTATAGACATTTATGTTGTTTCCATAATTTGGCTATTGTGAATAATGATTAAATGAACATGACAATGCAAATATCTCTGATATACTGGGCTCACGCAATCCTCCCACCTCAGTTTCCCAAGTAGCTGGGACTATAGGTGCATACCACCATACCCGGCTAATTTTTTTTTTTTTGTTTTGTTTTGTTTTTTGTTTGTTTTTAGAGATAGGGTTTCACCATGTTGCCAAGGCTAGTCTTGGACTTCTGGGCTCAAGTGGCTCAAGTGAGACCTCAGCCTCCCAAAGTGCTGGGATTACAGGCATGAACCACTGCACCTGGTCTATATGTCTTCTTCAATTTCTTTCATCAATATGTTGTAGTTCTCAATATAATGATTTTCTTTTATCTCCTTGCTTATTTCCAGGTATCTTGATTTATTTTGTAGCCATTGTAAATGGAATTATTTTCTTATTTTTCCAGGTAGTTTGCTATTAGTGTATAAAACTGCTACTAATTTTTGTATATAGATTTTTTATCAGCTTTCCTGAATTTATTCATTTGTTCTAATAGAGTTTTTTTTTTGGTGAAGACTTTCGGTTTTTTAAATATAAGATTATGTCATTTGCAATCAAGGACAATTGACTCCTCCTTTCCAATATGGATGCCTTTTATTTCTTTCTCTTGCATAATTGCTCTGGCTAGTACTTACAGTACTATGTTGAATAGGAGTGGGGTGAAACTGGGGATCCATGTATTGTTCCTCATCATAGAGTAAAAGCTCCTAGCTTTTCCTTTTTCAGTATGATGTTAGCTGTGGTTTTGTCATATATGGCCTTAATTATTTTGAGGTACATAAACAAGTTCTGTACCTAATTTGTTGGGGATTTTTATCATAAAGTGATGTTAAATTTTGTCAAATACTTTTTCTATTTCTATTGAAATGATAATATAGTTTTTATATTTTATACACACTACGAGGTGTATCACATTTATTGATTTGTGTATGTTGAACCATTCTTGCATGATTGGAATGAACCTCACTTGATTATAGTAATGATGTTTTTAGTGTGCTGTTGGATTCAGTTTGCTAGTATTATGTTGATAATTTTTGCATATGTGTTTATCAGGGATATTGCCTATAGATTTCTTTTTTGTTTTATTCTTGCCTAGTTTTGAAATCGAGGTAATGCTAGCATTATAAAATAAGCCTTGGAAGTATTTCCTTCTCTTTAATTTTGAGAAATAATTTTAGAATAATTGGTATTTATTCTTGAAATGTATGCTAGAATTCAGCAAGGAAGCCATCAGGTCAGATCCTGGGGTTTTCTTTTTGATAGAAGACTTTTATAACTCCTTTTACTTTCCCACTCACTGTTGTTTTGTTGACATTTTATATTTCTTCATAATTGAATCTTTCAATTAGGTCTTTAAATCTTTAATCTTTCAAGAAGGTTCTGTGTACCCAGTATTTATTCATTTCTTCTATGTTCTCAAATTTGTATAGTTGTTCATAATAATCTCCTACTATCCTTTGTATTTCTGTGATATCAGTTGTAATGTCTCCTTTCACAACTCTGATTTTATTTACTTAGGCCTTTTATCTTTTGTCCTTAGGTAGCTTAGTTAAAGGTTTGTCAATTTTATGTTTCTTTTTTAGAAACAACTTTTTGTTCTGTTGATCTTTTTAAAATTGACTTTTTAGTCTCTTTTGCTTATTTCTTGTCTGAACTCTATTATTTCCTTTCTTCTATCAGTTTTCAGTTTAGTTTATTTTGTTTTTCTAGTTCCTTGAGTTGCATGGTTAGTTTATGAGAAATGTTTCTTCTTTGCTGATGCAGACACTTAGTGCTCTGAATTTTCCTCTTAGAACTGCTTTTGCTGTGTCCCATAAGTTTTTGTATGATGTTTTTATTGTCATATGTCTCAAATAATTTTTTAAATTATCTTTTGATGTACTCCTGACTTATTGGTTGTTTGGGAGCATGTTGTTAATTTTCATGTGTTTATAAGGCTTCCAAAGTTGCTCTTGTTGTTGATCTCTAGTTTGATTCCTTTTGTTATAAAAAGATACTTGATATGATCTCTAGCTTCTTCAATTTGTTAAGACATTGTTTTATGATCTAACATATGATTTATCCCACAGAAGATTCCATTTGCAATTAAGGAGAATGTGTGTTATGCAGCTGTTGAATGGAATATCCTGTAAATGTCTTTTAGATTAATTTGGTCTATGGTTTAATTCCAATGTTTCTTTGTTGATCTTCTGTCTAAATGATCTGACCATTGTTGAAAATAGTGTATTAAGATGCCCTAGTAATGTTGTATTGAAGTCTATCTCTCCCTTTACATCTATTAATGTTTATATATTGGATGCTCCAAAGTTGAGTACATATACTTGCTATGTCCTCTTGTTGGACTGATTTTTTTTATCATTATAAAGTAACTTTTCTGTCTTTTTTAGTGTTTGACTTAAAGTTTCTTTTATTTGACATAAGTGTGGCTAATCCTGCTCACTTTTAGTTTCTATTTGCATGGAATATGTTTTTCTATCTTTTCACTTTCAATTTATGTTTTTAACCATGAGATAAATCTCATAAGCAGCATACATATGAGTCTTGTTTTTGTTTCTTTTTAAAAATGCAATTAGCCACTCTAAATCTGTTAATTTAATAATTTAATCCATTTATATTTAAGGTTATTATTGATAGGGAAAGACTTACTCCTGCCATTTTGTTAATCTTTTTTGGTTGTTTCATTTATTTTCTGTTCTTTCTTCCTCTCTCGTTATTTACCTCTGTGGCTTGGTGGTTTTCTATGCTGCTAAGCTTTATTTTCTTTTTCTTTCTCACTTGTATATCTGCTATAATTTATCTGTTTGTGGTTACCGTGGGGTTAACATAAACAGTCTTGTAGTTCTAGTAGACTGTTTTAAGCTGACATCAACGTCACTTAGGTTGCATAAAAATACTCTAGACTTTTTCCCTTCTCCCCGATTTGATTTTTGGTGCCCTTAATTTGTGTATTTGTCTTTTATGTGTTCTTGTTTCACTAATTTTAGCTGTTAAAGTTTTTGAGCTTTTTGGCTTTAAAACTTCATGCTAGAAAATTAAAATAGTGACATAGCATCATTCCAACCCTGAGTTATTTTGAGTATGATTATAGATATGCCTATATTGATGAGTTATATACTTTCACATATTTTTGTGATAGTAATTATCATCCTTTTGTCTTCTGTTTTAGCACTCCCTTAAGCATTTCTTCCAAGACCTGCCTAGTGATGATGAATTCCCTCTGTTTTTGCTTATCTTGGAAGGTCTTTATCTCTCTTTTGTTTCTGAAGAGTAGCTTTTCCAGATACAGTATTCTCTGCTGAGTTCTTTTTTCTTTCAGCACTTTGAGTATATCATTTTATTTTTTTCTAGCCCTGAAAGTTTTCTTCTGAGAAATCTCTAATATTCTAATGAGCATTCCCTTATATGTGACTTGATGTTTTTTCTCTTCCAGCTTTTAGAATTCTCTTTGTCTTTGACTTTTCACAGTTGAATTATAGTGTGCCTCAAGCAGGATCTTTTGGAGGTTGAATCTGATTGAGGGTCCTCAGTGGTCAAGGCAGTGGGTGTATATGCAATGATGGTGAGAACTCTTTCAGGGAAACTTATGGGCCAGGAGGAGTTCCCTCTCAGTGCTGAGATGTGCCAGCCTGGAAATGGGGTGATGGACCTTTGAGTTTCCTAGATCTAGATGTCCATATCTCTCCCAAGACTTAGGAAGTATTTAGCTATTAGTTTGTTAAACCAGTTTTATTTCTATAATTCCTGTTTTTCTCCCTCTGGCATTCCTATAATATGAGCACTTGTTCACTTCATAGTGTCTCAGAATTCCCATAGGGTTTTTGTTTGTTTGTTTGTTTGTTTTGACAGGGTCTGGCTCTGTCACTCAGGTGGCACCATCTTGGCTCACTGCAGCCTCAACCTCAACCAAGCACAAACAATCCTCCCACCTTGGCCTCCCAAGTAGCTGGGACTACAGGTGTGCGCCACCACGTCCGGCTAATTTTTCTGTTTTGTGTAGAGATGGGGTTTTGTCATGTTGCCCAGGCTGGTCTCAAACTCCTGAGTGCAAGTGATCTGCCCACACTGGCCTCCCAAAGTGCTGAGATTACAGATGTGAGCCACTGTGCCTGGCATCAATAGGCTTTTAAAATTCTTCTATATATCATTTGAGGTCAACACCAGCAAAGATTATGGGAGTTCTCAGTGGCCAAGGTTGTGGGTGCGTGCAGTGGTGGTGAGGGCTGTTGGAGTCCTCTGTGGTGAAGGCTCCATGAGTCCACTTGTTTTCTTTTCCCTAACGGCAGAAGTTAATGGCTAATGGGATTCCTTTTGGCACCAGGTTTGGAACGTGGGCACACTTGTGTTGGCAGTGGCACCAGTGGCCAAGGATCAGGCTCCCATTACAGCAGTGGCACAAGTGTGCAAGGCACAGCTGCTCACAGACCAGCCACAGAGCTAGGGTCAGGAGCATGGGTATGCATGGGTGGGCCATGCCCAGGTATGTTTGTGGCAGCAGTGGCAGGAGGTCAAGGATGCTGGTGGCTCCAGTCTGGGCTGGCACAGCAGTATCCCCTTCTCTTGTTTGGGGGCCAAGGGGGGTTTGTGGCAGCTGTAATGACTATTAAGGTTCTCAGCAATAAAGGCTGCTGTGGTCCCCAGTGGCAGCAACTGTGTGGCTGATACTGATAGCCCCTGCACTTCATGTTCCTAGCCATCTTTAAACACCTGCCCCAAAAGACTCGGCAAGCTGGTTGCTCACCTTGCTCTATTATTCTCCATGAGGAAAACTCATGGTTCAGGGAGGTCCCTCTCAGTGATGAGATAAGCCAGCCTGGAAATGGGATGATGGGAGCAAACTGAAACTGTTCTTACTACACTTTCAGTATGGTTGTTCCCATTTTTCTTTGCTCCACTGTGTTCCGTTTTTTTTCACTGGACTCCTGAACTTTTAGAGCTACTTGTGCTCATGGGTACATGTCTAATTATTTGCTGTGGGGCAAGGTAAAGGCTGGGATCTCCTACTCTGCCATCTTGCTGATGTCACTCCTGAAATTGTTTTTTAAATTCCCTGAACAATGCCAACAATAATTTTCTCAATACTTCAAGGTCCATTTATGTTTTGCCTCCTCAATAAAGCCTTACCTGGTTACTTTAGTACTTGCTTATCTTCTAATTCGTTGAGCTCTCTTACTAGCATAAAAACCTGTGCCAACAATTTAATTACTTAATTATAAATGAAATCCTGTTGTTTTATATCCTTTTTCATTAAAACTATTTTCTATTACTCTGTAACAGGGACCACAGGATTCAATGAAAGTTAACTAGATCTGCCTGATTTTCAGTATCAGTCAGTTATTGCCGTGATGAGTCTGTGTAAACAATCATCTCAAAATTCTGGGCTTACAAGAGCAATCATTTATTCTCCCTCTCCAGCCTGAAAATTAGCTTGGAGTTAGCTAGGTGGCCCTCAGATTTGACAGCTCTGTTCCACAAGTTTATCATTTTTCTTACACCAGCAAGCTATCTGGGGCTTGATTTCCTCCTTGCTACAGCAGAAGCACAAGGAGGCAACTCCATGTGCACAGGCACATTTTAAGCCCTTGCTGGTATCATATCTGCTAATATTCCGTTGGTCACACTAAATCACATGCTCAAGCCTGAAATTAAGGGTCAGGTAAATCTAGTCTGCCTGTAGAGAAAGAAACTGCAAAGTCACATGAAAAAGGAGTTGATTGTAGAAGGAGTCGGGAATTAGAGCCTTGTAATTCAAGCTACTATTTTACCTACTAGTTATACAATCTTGGACACAACATCTATTCTCTCTAAATTTGGTGAACACTACTCTCTTTTTAGTGATAAATTTTTCCTGATCAGGTCAAGCTAATGAAATGAAGCATCTTGCACCATGCCTGGCATTTTCCTTACAAATTGCACCCAATATGTAAAGTACCTGATTAGCACTGCACTGGACTTCCTAATAGAGAGCTTCCCAGCCAAAGAGTGGATTGCTTAATGAAGCATGAAATAGGAGCAGAAAATGTTGAACCAAGGGCTGGGCAGCATGAGATAAAAACCTGAACCTCTGCCACCTCTTTGATTCTTTTCATATGGATTCTGAGCTCCCTCTCATCCTATAAACTGAACATCCTATATGCTTATTTTTCTTGTTTTTGAAGCTAGGGCCTAGGCATATAATGAGATTCTGCCAGTCAATCCCACCCTTACCCATAGGTCTTTAACCTGTAGAGCTAGTGCTACTAAAAATAAAGGCCCACAAAGAGTACTTTGTTCGACAACTGTAGCTGCTGTGGCAATATCTGAAGCAGCATTAAAAGTAGTGTGAGACTTGGATGTGAATGCAGTAAGTCAAGTTTCTTGGAGTAGCAATAGGAACAACAAAGCATGCACCCATGTTAAGGACATAACAATAGCTATTTCTTCCACTAGTACATGGTTTGGTTATCACCCTTGGCTGCAAAGCTTTAAGTGTGGTTCTCTGGTGTTTCGTAAGCTATCCAGCATTATCTTTAAATTTGTATTTTCTACTTAAATATTATCTAGTTAATATCATAGCTTGCATTTATAGAGAAATTAGTAACAAAAGTAGGCAGGTAGCCTAAGTATATAGTCAACAGACTGGCAAAGAAATTTGGAGAATAAATTGGTCATCTGGCCTTGGCTGTGGCTATTAGCAGTGAAGGTATAATTAGTATTCAAGGATGGGATCAGGAATAGCATGGAAAAAAGTCAATATAATGCTCACCTATGGTCACTAAAGATAAAAGCACAGCTTTGGGAGATCAGATGGTTACTTCCATAAAATAATATAAAAACATTTCAAAGACTGAACGGTATTGTGTCTAATAGTACTGGACTTGAGAAAAGATACCAACAAGGTCACGTTTCTTAATTTTCACCTCAAAACTTAGGCTGAAAACCAGGAGTTTTCTCTCAACTGATAGAATTACTATCACTTTCTATGAATTTTTAATCTCCTCTTCCTTACATCCAGGTCTAAAAATTAAACAAAAAGTTGGATCCTGGTGGTTGTTAAATTACAGTGCCCACCTACTTTGTGGTATCATCAGGTCTTTTAGAGAATTGGTCAGGAAAGATAAGAACTAGAATAGTTCTACTAACCTACTCAAATGACAGTGAGTATTTAAAATCTTAGGAAATATCTGAAATCTCCTATAAGATCCCAAATCTTCACTCCCATTTAAGCCGCTCTGGCTGGCAGAAACAGCTCTTTTTCTTTTTTTTTTTTTTTTTTAGTAGACAGAGTCTTGCTCTGTCACCCAGGCTGGAGTTCAGTGGCACGATCTCAGCTCACTGCAACCTCCACCTTCTGGATTCAATCAGTTCTCCTGCCGCAGCCTCCCAAGTAGCTAGGATTGCAGGCATCTGCCACCACGCCCGGCTAATTTTTTTGTATTTTTAGTAGAGACAGGGTTTCATCATGTTGGCCAGGCTGGTTTTGAACTCCTGACCTCAAATGATCCGCCCTCCTCAGCCTCCCAAAATGCTGGGATTATAGGTGTGAGCCACCGTGCCTGGCCAGAAACAGCTCTTTATTTCTCTCTGATAGAGCTACTTGGACATATTGAAGACCCTCACCTGAGGAAGTTCTCTTGCAAAGAGAAATAATCTCTTCTCACCTCACTTCATCATCTCTCTAGATTTCAAATAAAGTAATATTCCAACATATTTCAGGGGTCATTTATAAAGCCACGTATAGAAAGAAAGGAATGACCACATAACAAACAAAGTGTAATATTATACCAGTTTCCATCAAAAATGTTAATAAATATGTGTAAGAATTGATTTCAATAATGTGAGATAAAAAAAGAAACAAAAACAATTTTGATCTGCCTAATTTTATCAACATGAATGAATGTTCCAGAGATGTTGATTCACACAGTTGCCAGTGGTGCTGACAGTTTGGTTGGCTGAAATCTGGATCTGAATATTAAAGTAGATTTATCATATATGACTTGCTAGGCCTTTCCAAACAGTGTCCCTCAAGAGAGCCCAGAAGACTCTTCCTTCACTAGAACTTTGAAACTTCCAATGGTGAGGAACAGAACCACAGTGATGATCTTTGTATTCAGAGAGCTGGTGAAAGGTGCTGCTGTTAAAGATAAATTCCCCTGATTCCAGTGGGGAATCCAGGATCTTGAGTAAGTAACAGAGGCCAAATTGAGGCACCTGTCAGAACCAAGGTGAAATGGTTACCATTCCAGTTGCTAGGCAGCACACCCACAGTTCTAAGTAAATACTCTGACCTACAGAGAACTTTGAATGGTAGCTAATTTGTCAGGAGAGAGAAAGAGCACACTGGTGAATATAAGACCCTTGACCCACTTGAAATCAGATCATATCACTCAATTCTTTCCTCTTCCTCTGCCTTCTCCTCCTCCCCCTTTCTCTTCTTCTTCCTCCTCTTCCTCCTCCTCTTTCGCTTCTTCCTCCTCCCCCTTCTCTCTCTCCTCCTCCTCCTCCTCTTTCTTCTCTGAACAATGAAGAGGAAAACAAATGACAGAATAAGAAATTGGGTACTGTTTACTTCTGTCCGATCTTTTATTTTGATACATCAGACTGGTATCAAAGATCCTTATTTTCTTCAGGTTTCTATCAGCTCAGACTGAGGCCTCACTCTACTTCATTGCCAAATATATTTAAGGACACAGGGAAGGTTTCCTCTCTGTGCAAGATTCTTTACCTTATTTAAGATATAGACACATACAAATTGGGCAAGGATCTCCAATTTCCTTTTTTTTTTTTGAGTCAGAGTCTTGCACTGTTGCCTGGGCTGGAGTGCAGTGGCGCCATCTTGGCTCACTGCAACCTTCACCTCCCAGGTTCAAGCGATTCTCCTTGCCTCAGCCCTCAAGTAGCTGGGATTACAAGTGCCTGCCACCATGCCCAACTAATTTTTTTCTTTTTCTATTTTTAGTAGAGATGTGGTTTCACTATGTTGGCCAGGCTGGTCTCGAACTCCTGACTTTGTGACCCACCCACCTCAGCCTCCCAAAGTGCTGGGATTACAGGCGTGAGCCACCATGCCTGCCCTCCAATTTCCTTTTTTAAAATTAATTTTAGGAAAAGAGGAAGTCAAATTGTCCCTGTTTGCAGATGACATGATTGTATATCTAGAAAACCCCATTGTCTCAGCCCAAAATCTCCTTAAGCTGATAAGCAACTTCAGCAAAGTCTCAGGATACAAAATCAATGTACAAAAATCACAAGCATTCTTATACACCAATAACAGACAAACAGAGAGCCAAATCATGAGTGAACTCCCATTCACAATTGCTTCAAAGAGAATAAAATACCTAGGAATCCAACTTACAAGGGATGTGAAGGACCTCTTCAAGGAGAACTACAAACCACTGCTCAAGGAAATAAAAGAGGATACAAACAAATGGAAGAACATTCCATGCTCATGGGTAGGAAGAATCAATATCGTGAAAATGGCCACACTGCCCAAGGCAATTTACAGATTCAATGCCATCCCCATCAAGCTACCAATGCCTTTCTTCACAGAATTGGAAAAAACTACTTTAAAGTTCATATGGAACCAAAAAAGAGCCCACATCGCCAAGTCAATCCTAAGCCAAAAGAACAAAGCTGGAGGCATCACACTACCTGACTTCAAACTATACTACAAGGCTACAGTAACCAAAACAGCATGGTACTGGTACCAAAACAGAGATATAGATCAATGGAACAGAACAGAGCCCTCAGAAATAAAGCCGCATATCTACAACTATCTGATATTTGACAAACCTGAGAAAAACGAGCAATGGGGAAAGGATTCCCTATTTAATAAATGGTGCTGGGAAAACTGGCTAGCCATATGTAGAAAGCTGAAACTGGATCCCTTCCTTACACCTTATACAAAAATCAAGTCAAGATGGATTAAAGACTTAAACGTTAGACCCAAAACCATAAAAACCCTAGAAGAAAACCTAGGCATTACCATTCAGGACATAGGCATGGGCAAGGGCTTCATGTCCAAAACACCAAAAGCAATGGCAACAAAAGACAAAATTCACAAATGGGATCTAATTAAACTAAAGAGCTTCTGCACAGCAAAAGAAACTACCATCAGAGTGAACAGGCAACGTACAACATGGGAGAAAATTTTCGCAACCTACTTATCTGACAAAGGGCTAATATCCAGCATCTACAATGAACTCAAACAAATTTACAAGAAAAAAACAAACGACCCCATCAAAAAGTGGGCGAAGGACATGAACAGACACTTCTCAAAAGAAGACATTTATGCAGCCAAAAAACACATGAGAAAATGCTCATCATCACTGGCCATCAGAGAAATGCAAATCAAAACCACAATGAGATACCATCTCACACCAGTTAGAATGGCAATCATTAAAAAGTCAGGAAACAACAGGTGCTGGAGAGGATGTGGAGAAATAGGAACACTTTTACACTGTTGGTGGGACTGTAAACTAGTTCATCCATTGTGGAAGTCAGTGTGGCGATTCCTCAGGGATCTAGAACTGGAAATACCATTTGACCCAGCCATCCCATTACTGGGTATATACCCAAAGGACTATAAATCATGCTGCTATAAAGACACATGCACACGTATGTTTATTGCGGCATTATTCACAATAGCAAAGACTTGGAACCAACCCAAATGTCCAACAATGATAGACTGGATTAAGAAAATGTGGCACATATACACCATGGAATACTATGCAGCCATAAAAAATGATGAGTTCATGTCCTTTGTAGGGACATGGATGAAACTGGAAAACATCATTCTCAGTAAACTATCGCAAGAACAAAAAACCAAACACCGCATATTCTCACTCATAGGTGGGAATTGAACAATGAGATCACATGGACACAGGAAGGGGAATATTTCACTCTGGGGACTGTTGTGGGGTGGGGGGAGGGGGTAGGGATAGCATTGGGAGATATACCTAATGCTAGATGACGAGTTAGTGGGTGCAGTGCACCAGCATGGCACATCTATACATATGTAACTAACCTGCACAATGTGCACATGTACCCTAAAACTTAAAGTATAAAAAAAAATGTATAATACACCTATTACAAAAATCAATGTGATTGATCCTGAATGTAGGACTTTTCTGTTTGAATTTCTGGTTTATCTGAATAATGGTTAAAATTCCAAATATAAAACATCTGAAGACATTTAGCTTATAAAATCAAAAATTCTGGCCAGGCGTGGTGGCTCACACCTGTAATCCCAGCACTTTGTGGGACTGAGGCAAGAGGATCACTTGAGCCCAGGAATTTGAGTCCTGGGAAACAAAGTGAGACCCTGTCTCTACAAAAAAGAAAAATTTATAAAATTAGCTGGGCCTACTGGTGCACGCCTGTAGTCTCAGCTACTCGGGAGGCTGAGGCAGAGGATCGCTTGAGCTCTGGAGGTCAAAGTTGCAGTAAGCTATGTTTGTGTCACTGCACAACAGCCTCGATGACTCAGCAAGACCCTGTCTCCCCAAAAATAAAATAATAAAATTAAAATTCCCATTTCTCTATATGGGAGAACTGTAGAAATTTGAGAGCTGTGACACAATGTAACTTCTATGGAGGCAGGAACTGCCTGTCTTATTCAAGTCACTATCTAGATCAAGCTTGTCCAACCTGTGGCCTCTGTAAATCCTCTGTACAGGCACAAAGGATAGACACTGCTGCCTACATACAATGTAGTAGAAATTTTATGTATCTATTCTATACTTAAGAATATATTTCTCTGGCTAAAATATCTAGAAAATAAAATACAATCATTTCAATTTCTTTATGAAATAGTCTGTTGAACTGCTTCAAAAATTCCTCTCTCTCTTTAGTGTTCTAATACAACCTTTCTGTTTTAAGTAGTTTTCATTCATGTGCACTATTATTACTGTGTAAATGATCCCAATATTTATCTCAAAATGTAAACTAAGGCAAGCCTCCAAATAAAAAATAAAATAAAATAAAAAATAAAATAAAATAAAATTAATTTTAACACCAAGTTCTTTGAACACTGCCTAAGACAAAATAAATGCTCAATAAATATTTTTAAGTGAATAGATGTCTTGGAATATGCTATAATTTTACTTCTTACACACAATGGATCTTAAAAAAAAAAAAAGATGATCCAGTTAACTGGGAGTGTGACAGAGATAAACAACTTACAAGGGAGAAACACAGGAGTCTGAGAGGTGCTGCTTTTAGCTGGGCTATTCTACAGCAGTGTGGTGTTTACAAAGATGCTTAACCTCCATGAGTCTCATAGATCTCTGACTAAAGCAAGTGGTCATAGAAGACATAGCTTTGGTTTCTTTCAGAATTTGTATTCTGTGATACAGGATATCTCTGCAGAAAGCTTTTACTTTGAGCCCAAATCTGTGCTCTGGAAGTCCTCTTGTAGTGTTTTCTTCCTTCTGGAGCCATGTAAATGAATATTACCCTCTTCCACCAGACTAACAAGTGTCGTTTCTTCCAGGAAAAAATGAATAGTTTCTCAGTACCCATCCAGCTCTAGGCCTTTCCAAATATGTTCCATAATCTCAATCTTTAAAACAGTTTCTAAATGTCAAAAATCTCAATTTTTCACCATCTGGGTTGCCTCCCTGTGGAAGTCTTCTAGCTTGTGATCTGGCTTCTTTGGGTGAAGTGTTGCAAATCTAGCAACTTTCGGATGCTGCAAGGTAGATTGGTAAGATAGCCCTCTCGTTCTGGACAAAGAACCTCATCAATGCGGACAGTTTTAGGCCCAGTTCCTGGTGGGCAGAGCCTGAGATGGTAGCATAGGGAAGTAATTATTTGGGCAGTTGTTTTCAGAAGAATGAGAGTAAGGGAAACAGGTTGTCTAGGAGAAAGAGCCAAGCAAGGATGCTGTCTCAGCTGGAGTCCATGCTGATCCCATAGGAAGTGCTAGACAGTGAACAGCAACATAGACTTGAACCCCATTTCCAAAGGCAAAGGATCCTGTAAGTCTCTTGCACCTGTAATTCCATCAATCATTGGCTATAGGCTACCAGAGAAAAGTGTTACCGTTCAGGCAATGTGGCTCCTAGCAGCCAAAGGCAATTCTCAGTCAATGGGGTCAGCTCTGAGCTATTTAGCAGCCAACACTCATAGGAACTGGGGGATAGAAGCATCAGCCTAATAAAGCAGATCTGGGCAGGGCACCAACAGTGACTCTACAGTGCCTAGCGTAACATTGGCTTCTATCAGTTGCATCATTTTTTTTATTTTTATTGGCTTTCTCATCTACTATAATCAATAAGTATTTTTCCATACCTACTGCTGTTCAAGGCTACATACCTCTTACTGCTTTTGTACAGATTAGTTTGGTAACCTAAGTAGAAAACATTACTTTCCCCGCTATTATGTGTCACCTCATTACATTTTTCCCTTCTATTCCTGTATTATTTTGGATGCTGCCTTCCAATACTTTCTAAATTATCTGATTTCATGTGTACCTTTGTTTGAGCTCTAGTTAAAAACAGATTGATTTTGTCAGCAACATATAGTGTCTGTTCAGTCCCACATACCAATGGCCCAATATCCAGACTGTCAAGATCAAACCCAATGAATGTCTATCACTGTAAAGTCATCATTTTGCTTTCTTGGAAATATAAGTTTGAGGATAAAAGGCTTCATTGGTTCAAAGAAAATAGCTCTGTATTCCTCAGATCAAAAGACTGTTATAGAAATGTTTGGATCCTCCTCCATCCCCGATTTAGAATTTGATTTTAGAGCATCGAATAGCTAAAGACAGCAGGGCTCTTTTGGCTGGCTCTTTGTTGATCAGACTTCTGATCAACAGCAAAATGAATCAGTCCTTTCATGGGAACCCTGAAACCTCAATGCCTGAGAGGTTAATGTGGACAGTGTCTGGTTGCCTGAGGTCCAAGCTGTACTTTCTGGCCATGTGGGTAGTTAATGCAATCAAGAATAAGATTAATTAAATTAGAAGTCTGCTTTTATTGCTCAGAAAAAAAAAGGCAAATTCAATACTCCTTGACTGCTTGGAGATGGAGGTCTGACTCTAATGTGATCACTGCTGGATAGGCAGAGCCAGACGGCATGTCATTTAGGGAAGCAGTACAACTCCGACGATTATAGGTGACCTCTATATTGCATTTAGAACCTTTCAGTAAGCAATCAACATAACCCTAATTCACCTTGACAGGTTGCTACCCAGGTCTGAGCCTGGCCCCTTCCGTTTTGCTCCTAAATACGCTACTCAGGAACAAGTCATCCCCTCCAATTTGCCTAGAGCCCTGTTGCTCTGTCATGCTTAAGAAATCTTAAGCACCTGCTCTTTTCATCTCCCCAGCCCTTTCCCAGAAGGACCTACTTAAGGAATTTTCTTCCGAGGGAGTATATGTGTGAAAATCCTTCCCCCTGGAGTGTTGAAGGAGACCAACCTATACAGAATCTATTAAGAGGAAGACACAATATATGCTCCATCCCATTATCCTTTGAATTAGACCCTGTTTCTTATAAAACATTGACTTTATAAAGAGAGATACATAGTTTTGAATCTTCCCTCAGAATTTACTCATTATAAGCTCCTGTACAATTATTTAACCTCTCCACACCTCTAAATTGAGACTCAAGATACCCATCTTTAAGGTTATCTGAGGGTTAAAAATAGTGCAATGTAGCATTCATTGGAAGTCTGTTAGGTTTTTTAATTTTTTGTTGTTTTTATCATTAACCGAAGTTACAGAGACTCAGAGAGACCAGGTGACTATCTTAAGGATGTTTGCTACTGTTCCTCCCTTACTTTTTTCCCTTTCGAAAACAGCCTCTATGGCTAATTAGTAGGAATAAGTTTTGGAGTTCTATAGCACTATAGGGTGACTACAGTGAACAATAATATATAGCTTCAAATGGCTAGAAGGAGAATATTTAGTGTTCTCAACACAAATAAATGATAAATGTTTGAAATGATGGATATGCTAATTACCCTGATCTGTCACTATACATTACATGTATTGAAACATCACTATGTAGCCCATTATTTTGTACAATTACGGTTAGTCAATTTTTTAATCTAAAAAAGCTTCTTATAAAAGTGAATGATATCAGTCATTTCCACATTAGCATGAATTTAATTCTATGGGCCACTCTGCTCAGATTTTAATATACATTAAGCCAGAGGTTCTTAGTTTCAGTTGCACATTGGAATTACCTAATATACTTTATGCCTGGGCCTCCACTTCTAAGGAAGAGTGAATTATAATTAGTCTAGGATGCTGCTTAGGCAGAAGAATGTTTAAGATCTTCACAGTGACTCCAAGATTGAGAACCACTTGCCTTCCAATCATTGAAGGAAATTCTTTGGTCAATGTTAAGAAATTTCATGGGGGGCTGCAGGACCTCTGACCTCTGAAAGAGTCAGAATCTTCACATATCAGGCAGGAAACCATCGGGGCCTACCCTAGGAGTTACTGCTATTTCAGGACACTGGGAGGAGCTTCATGAAAAGGTTGAATGATCTGCTAAAAAGGGAGCAAACCCCGCAGATTAAAGATTACAAAGTGCTCAATGGCTGTGCCTCATGTGGGTGTAGCCTGGCCCCAGTGTGCATTTGGCATGGTGCCCTTTGGAATGCACAGCTTGGCCCTGGATTGTCATTTATTTTTTCTATGCCTATCTCCCCAGCTAGACTCAGCTTCCCTGGCATTTTTAAACACCCAGTTAAACTTTGTGAAATAGATTTGGGACACTCTCCCGAAATGATTTTCAAAAGTGTTTGATTCTAACCGACTTTAGAGTATGATTGAGGAAAATTTTTAAGCAGGCCCAGGAAGAAACATTTTTAAACATATCACCAGTTTTTACAGGACAATGAGGATCTTTTGCCTTTAAAATATCAACAAAGAGATATTTAGGTCTTGGTAAACAAAATTAAACAGCAGCTAATGGATAGATGATTGTATTATTAATTCTTCTGTCACTTTAAACGTTTTCTAGAACAACATAGAAAACAAATTAATTAATTTAAAATTGGCAAACAAGGAGAAAGATAAATGAATTAATAACACTGATTTCTCATTCCCTTACAATACTGTTTTCAGAATCATTTTAAAACTGTTCTTCAAAACAAAACAAGATAAAATAAGACAAAACAAAAGTGTTTCTTCTTGTAACGTTTTCAGGATTCCCACTTGTCTGATCTAGCCCTAGGCAGAGTGTCCCTACACTAAGAAGTCAGAGCTTAACGTGTGGATATATTGGATAGCTTGTTTTTAGAAAGAGACATTAAAAAGTTTCCTTTTTCAAATTTTTTAATCTAGTGCCTGTCAAAAAGTTATTTACTTCAGTTAAATTTAATCTTACCTACTGCATAGTAATCATGGCATTTTAGGACAAAAAGAGACCTTAGTTTTGTCCATCAAATGCCCTTACTTTGCAGATGAAGAGACTGAAAACCAGAGATGCGGAGGAATTTGCCCAGAGCTGCCCGTGAGCTATTGACAGAATAGGGCTCTGAATTAAGCCTCCTCAAGACCCCATTCCTTGCTTGATTCATATCACATATTGTAGATTTTCAAGTTATTTGTTTTGAAAAAAAAGGGGAAGGGAGGAGCAGGAATATATTTTACATCAAGTATGGACTTGTGAACTCCTGGTTATTAAGTCATCTTCTTCAAGATAAGCCTCTTTGAGAAAGTCCCTTATTTTTAGAAGACCATAATTGTGCCCATGCCAACCCCCCCTGGGTGGCATCCATCTTTTCTTTCCTTTTCTTCCTTGTTATTGCATTTGCCTTGAGAATACAGCACAAGGCCACACCAAGAAAAGATGGAGAGAGAAAGAAGCTATGGTGTAAAAAAGAGTAATGAGGCTGACCTTTTCTGAGTGAGTGCAGTGCTGATCTAATTGGTAAGTCTATGTCATGTCTACCTCTCTCACCCTGTCTTCATCATTCTCGTTGAGTTCCCACTGTGTACATGGCCACATGTACTTCTGAGGCAATTCTTCCAGCAACTGAAATAAATAGCAGCGAACTCAGCCAAGGAATCTGCAGAAATTGATAGCCTCCTAGAAGAAGGGTTGGGCAGCAATGAGGAATCAGTGCCGTCCATCAGCAGTCACTGGGAACAGGGAAAATATTTCCCCCCGTGTCTTAATCAGTCAGAGGGATGTTGTCTGCCTGATTGAGAGCGAGCAGAAAATGAGTAGTTGTTTCAATTATAATTTGTTATCAGCCACTGATCTAAACAGAGAAAGTTAAGTCACAGCAGCTTGACCACAGATCAAGGCAGGTGTTTTGTTTAGCCCTGTGAAGAGATGCTAATTCAGCAAAGAGAGAAATGAGAGCTTTCTTCGAGATGCTCTGTTATTACATTTAATATAAAATTTATAGCCTTGCTTACACAGAGGATCTAGGCCACTAGAATGGAGATCAGAAAAAGGAGCACCACATTACTTTCTGGGTGTGGGAAGAGGAAGAAGGGAATTTTGTCCTTTCCATCCTGTATTCTGAGCTCATTCCTAGCACCTTTGCCTGGCTTCCCCACCCATCGTGCCAGGGCTGCTGCTTCTGGGCAGGGCAGCCTTCCCTGACCACTCAGTGCAGGGTGTCCCTGGTCCCAGTCACTCCTATCACATCGTCCTGTTTTCTTGTCTTTGTGGCATTGATCATCATCCAGAATCATCTTAATTTCTTTACCTGTTTCCCACTTTTAGAAAGTAAACTGCACAATAAAAAGGGAACCGATGTTGCCTTTGTTTTTCCTGTCACGTACAGTGGAGCCTAGAAGACAGCAGCTATGCGATAAGAATTTGCTTAATGAAATAATTATTTCATATGAGGTATTAGCTTAATTCTTTCCAAAGAGCTATCATCGGTTTGGGCTGTAGAAGCAAAGGGAAGAGCTTTGCAGAGCCAGGCAGGCCTCAGAGCTCAGGTGATCAGGATGTTGAGAATGGAGGGGTACCATCTGATTTAGACTCTGGGGTAAGGAGGGTCCAGGAGACACTGAGGAGTGTGAGAGCAGCTCCCAGGCAACTGAGACCAGAAAAACCTGGAAACAAGCAAACTCATGCTTCATCTTAGAAGGTTTCCAGCTTTATTTGTCCTTTGAAGGCAAGACAATATCACTAGGACTCACTAGTGTAAGACTTGCCTTTGTTGTTCAGTGAAATTCCCTGGCTGGAAAGGGAGAGAAATAGAGAGAGAAGAAGAAATTCTAATAGCAGGCCCTTGTTAATCTTCAGTAGGCTTTGCATAGACTGCTACTCCCTGGGTTCATGGCCTTTCATGACTGGACACTGAGGGGGCCACAAGATAAAAGCTAATCAAAAAGAGTATAAAGCATTCTGATTGGCATGTAGCAGTCAAGGTGTACTAAGACTAATACTCAACAATGGTGCAGGCTTTTCAAATTAACGGCGACATTTCCCCATATCTTAAATGCACCCTCATCACCACCATTAAATAACACTAAACATTTAAAGTGTTCTCATTAAACTAGGGAAGTCAGATTCTTGGGAGGGCATATGTTGTGCCAGGAGATAATCTAAGTATAAATATGTGTCACCTTCTCAGCATTGGTGAAACGAGGTTGAAATTTTATATTTTTAAACTCATGAAAAGTTTAGTTCTAAAGATAGGCCATGAGAATTTCAAGAAATGTGCTGGTGGCTGGGCTGTTTAGGATGGAGCCTCTGGTCTCAACAATTCTTGCCTGAGCCCCTTCATAGTCATTTAGAAGCAAGCTACATCCCTCATTACCTTTATCATTTTGGCACCTCTTTTCTCTTATGGATTTGGAATGTCTATATCTATACCAATTACGAATGAGATGTTCAGGGGCAACAAATATTTTATGTGTTCATCTGAATTTCTCAGCCCTTGCCATTAGGATGCAGACAAATAAGCTTTAATCAACAGATCATAAGTAGCAGTGAGGGATGTCAATTTATAGCTGAGGCAGTGAGGAGAAGAGAGAGCAATTTCTCAGCAACTTCTTACCCTTCTGCCTTCCTCAGTAACCTTGGGAATTCCATGTTGAGATGGTGGAAATGGGACATGCAAGGAGCGTGGATCCCTGAGTTACAAGGTGGAGGAGAGCTCCCATCAACCTGCCTCAGATTCTTCAAGAGCCAGAAATGCACTTTTATATATAAAAGTTTAGTAATGGACCACTGAGATTTTATGATTTTTCGGTTGCCACAGTATGGTCTAAGCTATTTTTTTCCAATACTGCACTTGTAATCACATCAAATTATAGGTACCAGATGAGGGTTATAAATCTTTGTTTTCTGACTGATCATGGAAATGTTGGATCTCAGTGTGTCTGCAGAGACAAGTTTGTAAAGTTCTGCTTCTGAGACATAGGAGACTAGGCAGGTTTATTCAAATGCCCTGGTAGGAGTTTCAGTAGACCCCCAAAGTAAACTTTAAGTTATTCTTTGCTTAATTTTTCAAACTAGCTCTGACAATTCTTAAGTATTCATTTAAAATTGTCTGGGTATTAAAGTCCTTGAGCTTTAAATAAAAAGGGTAGTGAGGGACTAGAAATACAAAAAAAAAAGAGTTAGGCCGAGTATATCAGAATCACAGTTGCTGTTTGAGAGGCCTCATCTCAACAGAGCTGAAAGAGCATGCAGAGCTTTCCTCATAACAAGGGGACCTAAATCATATTCCCATTGGCGAGAGTTCCCAATCTATTCTATTGAGCTGCTGCTATGCCCAACAAGAATATTATATTGCCTCTCAGGTTAAATTGTATTGCAGGAGGCTGGCAAGAAACTCAGTGTGCAAATAAAGCTTCAGATGAACACACTTGATAGAAAATAACTGAAACGGGGTAAAGGTCAGGAGTTGTAAGAGAGTAGCAGAGCTTTGGAAACACAGGGCCCTCAAATATTTCACCATTTGTCAGAGGCAATAATGCAGAATTATACACTTTAGGAAATGAACACAGTGAGCTAATCTTCCTCTTGAGAAGTGAATTACTTGCTCATCTTTTGATGCTGTATTACCTTTCTCCAGGCATAGGATTCCCTTATAAGCAAGGGCTATGTCTTAAAAATTTATCTTTGCAGAAACTCAATACCAGAAGTATACTTATAACAACAATGACTATTTACAGAGCACTTAATACAAGTCAGTCTCTACTGTATGTATAATATGTACATTAATTCTCAGAATAAGCCATATAGTAGGGGTTATTTTTAACTTCAGTTTATAGACAAAGAAACTAGGAACCTCAAGTTAGCAACTTTAAGTAAATTGCCTGAGGGCACACATCTAATGACTAATGAAAATGGATGTGAACCCAGGTAGCCTGACTCCAGAGTGTGAAACTTAACTATTGTGCCCCAGTGCCACTGTTAAGAATATTAATGAATGAGAAAAGGGAAGAACATAGTAGGCTGGATGAATGGATGAAAGTAGGGATTTTAAAACGTGATCAAAAAAGAATGAAAGAAAGGAGGAAACGAGTACTGGAAAAAGGCATGGAAGGTAGACTAGAAAGCAGCATGGAGGGAGGAGTTAAAGGAGGGATAAAAATGGATGAAAGAAGGGTTGGAAGGAGGGCTAGAAGGCATGATGGATGGATAGATGGATGGATGGATGGATGGATGGATGGATGAATAGATGGGTGGATGGAAAGAAACTAATATAATTGGATGGATATACATAACAAATAGAAATCTTTTTTTTCCTCTGCCTTAATGGAGTGTCCAATATTGCTGCTGAGAAGACTCCTGATACCCACAAAATAAAGATTCAAGGCAAAGATGATCGGAGCTTTCTCGAGAACCATGCAGTTTGATTAGCAACTTTTCTCTACCCCTTTCCTCATGAACATTAAACCTGTCTGTTATCTACTGCCCAAGATTTTTTCCTTCAAGGCTACCCTGGACTATTTTTTAACTGGATATTATCTCCATAAAAGGCATTGGAGACCCCAGGGTCCTGACTTTCCTGTGCTCCTCAAGGATGCAGAAAAAACACCTTAAACACATCAGTTTTGGTAGTTACAGAGGAAGATTGTACAGCTCTCTGTACAGAGGCGCTGTTATTAAAGTTTCCTTGTAAAAAAAAAAAAAAAAGATTCTCTGCGCTTAACACCCCGGCCTTTTGATTCTCCATTCACTCTCTCTCCATCACCTGCTACCAGCTGCTCAACACCCTTTAAAAAAAAAAAGAAAAAGAATAATTTTGTGTGGACATCTTACACAAGTACTAAGAGATTCATAGATAAGAAGGCAACAGCATGAGTGTTGTTTATCAAGTAAAACTGCTTAGGTTGGTTAAGTTAAATATTGCTATGATTTGAATGTTCCCCCCACAACTCATGTTGAAACTTAATTTCCAATGTGGCAATACTGAGAGGTGGGGCCTTTAAGAGGTGATTAGATCATGAGTGCTTTGCCTCCATAATGGATTAACTCATTTATGGATTAATGGATTAATGAGTTAATGGATTAGTGAGTTATCCACTAATTGCTCTAATGGGAGTGGAACTGGTGGCTTTATAAGAAGAGGAAGAGAGGCCTGAGCTAGCATCACAACCCTTGGCATGTGATGTCCTGCGCTGTCTCTGGATGCTGCAGAGTCTCCCCCAGCAAGAAGCCTTTCACCAGATGGGCCCCCTCAACCTTGGAATTCTCAGCCTTCGTAACTGTAAGAAATAAATTCTTTTTCTGTACAAATTGCCCAGTTCCAGGTATTATGTTATAAGCAACAGAAAATGGACTAAAGATAAGTATTAAAGGACAGAGTATGTATTGACAAATGTAATGATTGAATGGTCTTTCAAGGATCTGAAGAGGTACTGCAGCTGTCAGAATGGAACCATTTCCCTTCCTCGCTGTGGCCCATTGCAGAATTTTAGGTGAGATAGTGAAGTGGGGATGTCAACAAAAGCTAAGCTATCAATCAAGTTACACTATGGGTGACTGGAACTTAATACCCCCAGAGAACACTGATAACATGTATTGATAGGGACCCCAGGGCTATCCCACCTAAGGCATGAGGGACCTGGTAAATTTACATAGCAAATTCCATTCCTCATTAATTGAAGGCTGCTCTGGTGAAAATGGGTGCCTCACTTTCCAGCATGTCCTGCATGCTACATGGGTGTCAAGGGAGGTTCCAGCAGCCAGAAAAAGACCTCAGGCAAGGAAGTGTAGGTGCTGGGGGTGGTGGTGGGACTGGCATGCCCTGAGTCTATAAGAGCACAGCCATATGGGCAGAGCAATGCGTGTCCCACAGAGGGCTTACCCAACCTCATTCAGGACTGAATCAAGAAGAGGAATAATTATAATTGTTGCTTCCATAATGTCTCCAAATCATTTAATGTCTGTAGAGTCTTAACGCAGCATTGTGAGCCCTATATTATTAAATCCGGCTTAAATATGTGAAGACTCAATTCTTCAAGAAGTTAGTTGCCTTCCCCAAAGTCACAAAACTACAAAGTGGTGGCATCAAAACTGTGGCTCAAATCTTCTGACTTTGCATTCAGGCCTCTTTATACTATATTTATATGGTATTATACAGACAGTCCCAAAGTTAGGATGGTTTGACTTATGATTTTTCAACTTTATGATGGTGCAAAACTGTTATACATCTATTGTACTTGAATTTTGATTTTTCCTCTTGTTCCAGGCTAGCAATATGGGGTAGGATACTCACTCCTGATGCTGGGCAGTGGCAGCAAACCACAGCTCCCAGTCAGCCATGTAATTACAAAGCAAACAACCAGCACTCTACAGCGCACTGTGTTGCCAGATGATTTGCCCAATTACAGGCTAACGTGAGTGTTCTGAGCACATTTAAAGTAGGCTAAGCTAAGCTATAATGTATGGTGGGTTAGATGTTTTCGATGCATTTTTGACTTAGGATATTTTTTAATTTATGATGGCTTTATCAGGACTTGACCCCATCATAAGTCAAGGAGCATCTGTATGTATGCTGTCTGTGCTAAACTCAAATGGAAGGTACACCAGAGCTTTCTGCCCTTCACTAAAATCTAAACATGGAAAAGGACGGTGTTATTCCCAACTCCCAAGTATGTGCTGTGATTACTCAAGGTTCATGGAGGATGTGGCCATGCTGCTCCGGATGGTTCAATCTCCATGATGATTGCTTTGCCACTTCTTAGTACTACATCCTATTACAGCTTTGAGTTCTTTGGGAGAAGTATTTAATTTCAGTTTATATTTTAGATAGAAAGGAAAGCAAAAAGGCTGTGAAATTGAGACATGGGGCACATTACATATGAAGCTATTTATCAGTGTATTTCTGGGAGACATTGGGCAGGGTAGACAGAGACAATAAATGGTAAGTGGAGGTTGGGTACTGGAGTCATGTAATTGAATCTGAAGGGAGAAGCTGCTACAGTGTGGCCTCCGTTGGTACTCCCACTCTCTCTTGACCACCCAGGGCCTTCTCACAGAGAGTCCATTTGGGCCTCCCATGCCCCTTGCAAACACTCCTTCAAACACATCTGTCTATTTCCTCCACGGACCTTGGTCTGTGCCTGATAACTGGAATACCAACCCATGTGCATCACCCACTGCCTAGGAGGTTTCCCTTCCCAAGACATTCATTATCCTTACCTGATACTTTCTAGAGATATAAAGGCTTCCACCAAAGGAGGAGATGAGCAGGACATGAGGTGCAGGAGAGAGCTCTCTGGAGCTCTCGGGGGTCAGGAAACCTTTTGGTACCTCGGCAATCAAATAATCTTTCAGGCTATAGCTACTATTGTATAAAGCTACATAATCTCCTGTCCCAAAATTCTCACAACATTCCAAATCTTGGGTAACTGTGCTTTCTCTCTTTCTGTATATATTTAAGAGTGTATAGACATGTATGTGTATATATATTTATATACATGTATATATATAATTTCAGTAACCTTTGGGGTAGAAGTGGTGTTTTGTCACATGGGTGAATTATGCAATGGTGAATTCTGAGATTTTTGTGCATCCATCATCCAGGTAGGGTACATTGCACCTGATGTGTCATTTATTTTATCCCTGGCCTCCCTCCCACACTCCCCCCTCTGAGTCTGTACCGTCCATTATATCACTCTGTACGCTTTTTTATATTTGTAGCTTAGCTCCCACTTGTGAGAACATACTGTTTTTGGTTTTCCACTCCTATGTTATTTCACTTAGAATAATGGTCTCTAGCTGCATCCAAGTTGCTGCAAAAGACATTATTTTATCCCTTTTAGTGGCTGAGTAGTATTCCATGGTGTATCTAGAACACATTTTCTTCCTCCCCTGATTAGTTGATGGGCACTTAGGTTAGTTCTGTAAATTAGTACTGTGCTATTTTCATAAAAGTGATTTGTTTTATCTCTAGTCATGGGTTAATATTTATACTTTTGTAGGTCTTTTGATGGAAACAATCACACATTAGAACAGATTCTTTAACCAGACCATATCTTAATTTATATTTATAGAAAGTCATTTCAGATGCACAGGTCCACACACCTGGACATTCTCCCCTGCTCATCCTTCACTCTTAACTAAATGACCCAGCTTTCCCGCAGCTCACATGTGACTGAAACCATGAGAGTCTGGCAGGGTAGAAGGAAGGCAGACCTGCTGTAAATCTGGGGTATGCACTGCCAGAAGGCTAACGTTACAGTTTATAGATGTTAAACTGGCAAAATGCACAGTGTGTCTTATGTACATTCAACAATTTCTAACTACTGAGAGTAGGATGGGTGTGTAATCCATATGTTTCCTCAGTGCCACAAGTCATGAAGAAAGGAAAGGAGGAGGGGCGGAGGGGTCGGGGGGAAGGGAGAGAAAGAGGAAGAGAAAGAAGGTCAGAGAGAGAAGAGAGTCCTATTTCCTATGGCAGTTCTCACACAACAGTTTAATACAGATTCACTCCACCTGCCTTCTGCAGCCTGTTTTTGTTTTTTGTTTTTGTTTTTGTTTTGTTTTAACTTCTCTTATGTTCTCTTTCTAGAGGTTTGACCGAGGAGGAAAGAATGGCAGTTCCACATCATGACTGTCAACTGAGCATCTCAGCTAAGCCATGTAACAGGTGAACTGGAAGTGTCTTTCCTGGTGGGTGAGCCAGGCTTCTAATTTTTTAGTTTTTATCCTATTGCTGCGAACGAGTCTGTGACTGTTTTCTTTTAGGCTACACCTGCTCTGGGTAATGGAGGGAAATTGCCTGAAAAAGAAGTTGCCCGTTGCAATTTCCAGAGTAACAATGGGCTTGGGGAAACAAAAATCTGTTTAAAAAGATGTACTTTTCAATTATTTTGTGCCTTGTGTACTGCTAATGGTACTGCTTGTCAATTGCTATTAATGAGGATAATTCTAATAACAGTCACATTCATCTGTGATGTTTCTCAACCAACTGTGAATAAACATGCCGTAGGTCTTCCCTGTTTCTCTTGATGGCACAGTCTTGGTGGTTCTTGTAAATGTGAAGCTGCCTCTGGGCCAACTCGACAGACCAGTGTACTGGGGACAGGTGCTGAAGCCAGGCAGGAAGGCAGCTGTCTTCCTCAAAGAACAGGCACCAGCCTAGTTGCAATTCTCTTCCCATCACTAGAGGACTCAGGACATTTGTGTTCCTTTCAGAACAGGTGGGGGAGAAAAGGAAGAAGCAGCAGCAAGGAGTTTTCCCCAGAGAAAGAGGACTGGCAGTGTCCGCGGCAGGGAGGCAGCACGCTGGCTTGGTTTCCATCTTGCTACAATCCCAAATATATCCATGAGTAGGGAGACAGTAGTGGGTTTCCAGGGGAGATGGAGAAATGATGCTAGTTAATGTCCAACACAGGACATTAAAAAATAGAAATAGTGCCTCTCCCTTATTCACTCTGTCATAAAATTACCAGAAGCTGAAGTCGTGAGAATGGCCGGGGAGCTAGCGGGGAGCATGGATGTGACCATGCAGGACCCATGGCTGGAGCCACCTGGGGGCAGCCAGGTATATCCTGGCCACACAAACTGCAAAGCCCACTGCTCTTGTTTCTTTCATTTGAAGTGTGGAGGGGACGTGATAAAAATGGAAATGACCCTTTGTTCAACCAAGAGGCTGACCAAACCACCAACTGAGGCTTTGATTTAAAACTTGCCTAACTCAGAATCAATTGTGGTAAACTGAGGCCCATTGAGACAGTAGTTTATTAGTGAGAAAATAAAAAATAAGGGTTTTGTGCCTATTTTTAATTGGCTTAGGATTATTAAATATCCCACAGCCCCTAGGGAGGGTTGGGGTTAAATTTCATTTACTTTCTTACTATCGGCATTTAGCAATTAATGTAAAGGCTCTTGGACATTCACTATTAAAGCTATTTGGACTGTACAAAAGGTGATATGAATACTGATTTTTAAACACATGTGCTATATTTGCCATTACTGTAGAATTTTTTAGGTGATAAGGATGAACTACATCACCAGGTTGACATTCCAATTCAGTGGGTATCATGGAGGGACTCTGTGATGTTCCAGAACCTGCAGCTGCTATTATTATCTGATCTGTCTCGTGTGCTACAGTGGATATTTGCCCAAGCTCATATACATTTCTCTGCAAGGTCTATTGAATGTCGCTGGTATTCGTAACATAATAATCAAAATGAATTGTTGCTCTGGTGGTAGAATGAATACACAGGGCTGATTAATCCACTTGCAGAAACCCTGAAATGAAGATGAAAAACATAATAACAGCCACCCTTAACATTAACCCTGTGGGGCTTTTTATTAATTGGTCCAGATTTAAGCACAGCTTTTAATCAACTTGGAGGCTTTTAAGTCTACATCACCAGAACTGCTTGTTCATCTCCAAGAACAGTGAATTAAATGTTGAACAAATGTCAGGGAAGGTCCTTTTAAGAGAGCTCATCTTAGGACATTTCATCTACAACCACATCTTATAATTAAGCAGTGCAGCCACGCACCTGATCAAGCCTATATCTGGAGACAATTTGCTTTCAATTTTTTATAGAAGAAGGAAGAAGGGATATCTCCATGCTGTGGATGAGACACTCCTGAATCTATACCTGGGTAATTCAAGCCAAAACAAGCACTCTTGTGAGAGAGTGGTGCGGGGAAAGAAATCTTACCCAGACGATGGATTCAAAACACCAGGATAATAAACTGGCCAATAATGTTGATTTTAGCAGAGGTCTTAACATGTTTGAGTTTCAAGGAAACCTTTGAAATGTTCTCTCCAGAACAGTGAAAATATGAACATATATATGTCCTAAATGCAAATGAAATGCAGGGGGTTATGGATCCTTGAATGTCTACCCTCTGACTGAAAGGTAGGAGACCCAAGTCAGATATTTTCATAACAACTAGTGGTGTTTCTTTGATAGGCCTCTCTACATCTGTTATTATTGGTTTGTTGCCTGTCTTTCATGTTGGCCTATAAGCTCTCTGAAGGCAGAGGCTATGTAATCTGGGTTCCAAACATGATACCTTGAGGCATGGTGCCTTGGCATGCTGCATATTTTTGAGCTGAAGGAGATTGTGAGGGTTTCAGAAACAAAAGATCTCTCTGCCCTTCTTCCACTCTACTTTCTCGTCCTCCTTCTCCCCCTTTTGGGTATAAAAACTAGAACCCCTTTCCCCAGAGAACCAAGCCATCCAACCTAGGAAGGTCACTGTCTGGCCTCCTCCATGTGCCCCTGAAGATCCTCTTGTGACAGGTGTCCTGTTCTTTGTGGGAAGGAACGCCATGCAGAGATACAGACAAGCATATGAACATATAGACCTTGCTAAAGTATCCCACAGTTTATTACCATTAGATCACACCCCTTGTGTCCAATGACATTTCCCCACAACCATCACTTATTTCATCAGACTTCATATAAAAATACATCGTTTTCCCTGGGTCTTTGGGTCTTCATTTCTGAAGACTCCCATGTCACATCGAACATTGTTAAGTAAATTTGTCTTTTCTCCTGTTACTCTGTCTTTTGTTATGGAAGTGTCAGCCATGAACCTTGCAATGGGTAAATAAAAGATATCACTTTTTCTCTCTTACAATCTTTATTACTGAACCCCAGCATATAATGCAAGGCCCAGGACATAGGTAGAAGTCAACAAATATTTATGAAATTATAAGGAAGAATATTTCTCTATTAAACATTTAAATTTCTTGTCTAAGACAAAATAATGCTAAGATTAAAAAACAGTAGAAACAAATACCCAAAATTAAGAGAAAATTGATTATTCCCAGGCCTCCAATACACATGGTTAACTTTCACTGTAGCTGATTTACCTAATGATAATGAACTCATGGAAAGCAGTGTTTGTAATTATATCTGATTCATTTAGTTCTCTAACCAGCAGTGTTCGAACCTCAGCATGCATAAGAGCTACCTGGAGAGGTTGTGAAAGCATAGATTGCTGGATTTTACCCTCAGATATTGTTATTCTGGAGGTCTCGGGCTTGAAATTCTGCTTTTCTAGCAAGCTCCAGATGATGCTGACACTGCTGGCCCAAGGACTGCACTTTGATGAGCAAGGTTCTAAATTAGCCCATGAAGCGATTCTAATGATCTCATTTTACAGATAAGAAATCTTGAGAGTCACATCAGCCCCAGGTAACACAACAGAGCTGGAGGTCTGAAGACAGACCATTAGACTATGGTTTCTGTTTGTGAGTTCTTACTGTATGGTGCAACTCTACATGTTGGCCAGAAAAGCATCTTCTTCACATCTGTACTTTGTATTTCTCATAAGGTTCTTCTTTAGGAGATAGGACTACAAAGTAATTAAGCTCTTAATTTGTTTTATTAGAGAAACACTGTAGCAGAAACACTTATAGCAGCATTAACTCAATTTTAAAGAAAAAAAGTACATCTCTCTAAATCTCTCAATTTTATCTGAGGTTTCTTTTTGCATTTTTGTCAAAAGCATGGTAATTTTTAAATGAATGTAATCATGGTGAATGTAGAATTTGTGCTCAATTGTATTTAACATATTGAGCATTTTTCATTAGGTTGCATTTTTCATTAGGTTGCATTATTTTGATGATGGTTAAATAAATATACTAAGATATGCATGTGCAACTGAGTGTTATCAGTTCAATATAATTACCTTGAGAGGCTATAGGTCTACTCCATTGCAAGGGAGTTAATCAAACATATTTAGGATACATCTTTTGAAAAATTGTCTGATTTAAAATCTCATTCTTATGAAATACTAAATTCGAACTCATTTGTGAGCCGTTTTCTCTTCCATTAGCCCTCTTTTATGCATGTTTTAGAGAACTAGTTTTCTAGAATAGCAGTGTTATTCAGCCTTAATATTGGTTTTGATCATAAAGGGATTACTCAAGTTACCCATAATTATTAAGCTTGCTTGGCTCTGAAGGACTTTTGCCATTTCCAAAATGCAAATGTATCTTCAGGGGGTCAATACTGGCCACTACTGAGGATGTTTTAAACATGCCCTAGGGGACATGGAGAAGACGTACATGTTGTGGTGTGGACGGTTCCCTACTTTATGGTGTCACTCCAAAATTGACCTGTAAATCCCTATAAAAATGTACTTTCTTTAGAGTGGACTAGTGTAAACTTCTTTTGAAAATATAAATATATGTAAATGATATATTCTCATCTATTTATATGAGCAATTCAGTAGCCTAGGTCTACTGGTCTCCATAATGCTACAATAATGAAATCATTTTGGTACAGGGGCATGCACAAAAGCAGGGTGAATGAAAGAGAAAAGGGCTCACAAATGAGTTTGAATTCACTATTTCATAAGAATGAGATTTCAAATCATTGTGAATTGATAGATATTTTAGTTTATGGAATTGCGACAATATTAGCTTGATATTTGGATATAATGTAGAGGATCTTTATCTAAATTGCTGCACTGAAAAATAATGCAGATGGGTGGGAGTCGGGTGAGGGTTAAAAATGTACCTACTGGATAAAATGTATCCTATTTGGGTGATGGGTGCATTAAAAGCCCAGACTTCATCACTATGCAATATAATGCCTTTGTACTCCTTGAATCTATAAAAATATAAAAATAATTTAAAAACTCAGATGCAACAAAGATTTGAGCACTTAAATAAAGCTAAACTGTAAAACCACCCAAAGAAAATATGAAAGACTGATGCATTTGACTATACAAAATGCAAAGTTCAGTGTGGCAACAATGGCATATTATAAACAAAGGTCAAAAAATGATAAACTTGGAAAAAATATTCTTAGCATGTAAGAACAAAGAGTAATTTCCCTTAATATATAAAGTATATACCCAAAGGATTATAAATCATTCTACTTTGAAGACACATGCACACCTATGTTTATTGCAGCACTGTTTACAATAACAAAGACTTGGAACCTACCCAAATGCCCATGAATGATAGACTGGATAAAGAAAATGTGGCACATATACACCGTGGACTACTACACAGCCATAAAAAAGGATGAGTTCATGTCCTTTGCAGGGACATGGATGAAGCTGGAAACCATCATTCCCAGCAAACGAACACAGGAACAGAAAACCAAATACTGCATGTTCTTACTCATAGTGGGAGTTGGGCAGTGAAAACACATGGACACAGGGAGGGGAACAACACACATTGGAGACTGTCGGGGGTGGGGGGCTAGGAGAGGGATAGCATTAGGACAAATACCTAATGCATGCGGGGCTTAAAACCTAGATGATGGGTTGATAGGTGCAGCAAACCACCATGGCGTATGTATACCTATGTAACAAACCTGCAGGCTCTGTACATGTATCCCAGAACTTAAAGTAAAATAATTTTTAAAAGTACTCTTGCAAATCAATAATATAAGGCTAGAACCACAACAGAAAAATGTACAACAGATAAGACAAAAAAACAGAACTACAAATAGTCTATAGACCAGCAAAAAGCTGTTCAACATCAGTCCTATTAAGTAGAGGCACATTAAAACAAAAATGAGAATTTTTAACCCACCAAATTAGAAGCCATACTAATATTTAATAATTTATAGTATTACTAACAATTTGTTAAGGGAACTAGGCAGTCTCACATGCTCTTGATGAGAGTATGAATTTCTGCAACTTCATTGGATATCAAAGTAATGATTAAAAATCTACCACAAAATAAAATGTGCATATACCTTAAACCAGAAATTTTACTTCTAGGAATTTATCTTACAAACACACTCATAAATGTGCACTGAAACATATGTGTAAATATGCTCATTACAAAATTGTCTATAATCTTTTAAAAAATGAGAAGCAATGTAAAGTCGATAAGAAGGGGAATGGCTATATAAATTATGAAATATCCATTCAATAGAATACTAGATAATTACAAAGAATGAAGTAGAGCTTTGTATGCTGACAAGGAAAAAATCCCCAAAAGATATATTTTCAAATTAGAAAGGAGGAAGAAAGACAAGACAAATTGTAGGCTAGCATATAAAGTTTACATATTATGCTTCTGTATTTTATGAGGTGAGTCTTCAAGGTTAAAAAATAGTATCTAATGTTTATTTAGTTCTCCCTATGAGTAAGTACATATCTCATCAGAATATCATGAAGGTGAAATGAGGTGATGTACGTAACAATCCATGAGCTATGTTCCAGTTATCTATTGCCATGTAACATAACATTTGAGCACTTAAGTAGTTTAAAACAATAAGGATTCATTCATTGCTGTAATTCTGTCTGTTGTCTGGGTGGTGTTTCTGATGGCCTTACCTGGGCTCCCTCATATGCTGCATTAAGCTGGCTAATTGGCCAGGGTTTGAACTTATCTGCAAAGCCTGGAATGGCTGGACCTCTCTCTCCACATGGCCTTTCACCTGGGCTCCTTCCCGGGGAGTTTCTCCATATCATGGTGGTCTCAAGACGGCATTCCAAAAGAAAAGCCTCGGTGCACAAGAACTTAGCAGGCTTCTACTTGCTTCAAATTCATAAGTTTCATGACTTATAGGAGAGTCAACTTGGAAATGGAAAGCAGGAGGTAAGATTTTCTGGGAGCCATTATTGTATAAAACTATGGCAAGATTTGTATAATCTCTTCCTTTCTTACTAATGAGAAAACCCCAGGCTTAGAAAGAATTAAATGACTTGCCAAAGGTCACAGTGCTACTAAGGAGCAGAGTGGAAAGTTCACCCTTGATATTTTGGCTCCAGACAATGTGCTCTTGACCAGTACTCTCTGTAGAATCCCACCGTTTTCCCTAACTCAAACCACCTACTTTCTCTTTGTATCTTTAATTTTAACTTCAGTTTCCTTTGTGTACCATTTTAAACCAGCTGTTTCCAAAGCATACTCCAACTTCTGCTTTCTTTCACGTTTGGTTGATCCGATTAAACTTCTCTTGGAGCCTTATTGTTGCATTTTGTTGTTGTTGTTGTTTTTGAGACAGAGTTCTGCTCTTGTTGCCCTGGCTGGAGTGCAGTGGCATGATCTTGTCTCACTGCAGCCTCTGCCTCCCGGGTTCAAGCGATTCTCCCGCCTCAGCTTCTCAAGTAGCTGGGATTACAGGATTCCACCACCACACTCAGCTAATTTTTGTATTTTTAGTAGAGATGGGGTTTCACCATGTTGGCCAGGCTGGCCTGAAACTCCTGACCTCAAACGATCCACCCACCTTGGCCTCCAAAAGTGCTGGGATTACAGGCGTGAGCCACTGAGCCCGGCCATTGTTTGTTTATATGCTCTGCTAATAATGGTTTGGCTCTGTGTCTCCACCCAGATCTCATCTTGAATTGTACTCCTATAATTCCCATGTGTTGTGGGAGGGACCCAATGGGAGATAATTTGAATCATAGGAGCAGTTTCCCCCATACTGTTCTCATGGTAGTGAATAAGTCCCACAAGATCTGATGGCTTTATCAGGGGTTTCCACTTTTGCATCTTCCTTATTTTCTCTTGCTGCTGCCATGTAAGAAGTGCCTTTCACCTCCCGCCACGATTCTGAGGCCTCCCCAGCCACGTGGAACTTTAAATCTAATTAAGCCTCTTTTTCTCCCCAGCCTCTGATATGTTTTTATCAGCAGCGTAAAAACGGACTAATACACCTGCCTTTCCTCAACTCTCTGCATTTAACTGCCTCCTGGAATGTCTTCTCCTTTCATAACTGCCTCTCAGAATCCCAGCAATACTTCAAAGTCTATTCTGCATATCATACCTTCAACTAAGTTTTCTAACCCCAAGGCAATACTGATTGTTGCTAATGATCTAACACTTTATATTAACACTCTTAACATACATCACAATATTTAGGTATGAAACTTTTATGTGACTTTCAGCCAGCAAGATTGCAAGCTCCTTAGATGTGAGAGGTCTGGAAGAATACACCTTTGCATGCACCATTTTGCTGACAATAACATCTTATAAATGTCGAGCTTTGACTGAATGACTGTGAAGATGCCTTTTTTTCTGATTTGTAGTCCCTCTTTAAATATTCTATAACAGTGATGTTTAGACTCCATTGTGCATAGGAATCAGTTTTCAATGAATGGAATTGAGACAGGTTAGTTAGATATATGAAAACTTAATTTTGTTGTTCTCTATCTAAATTGGGTAACTTATTAAAATGCTAGTAGTTTCTGATTTCACAGGTCTATCTTAGGGTCTAATATTCTGAATTTTTGACAGACTTCTAAGCATCTAAGTGATGCCGATATTTCTCATCCATGGACCATACTTTGAGTAGTAATATCCTATAAGACACAATTCTTGGAGCCCAACCCTAAAATAATACAGCAAGAGTACTATAAAGCAAGCTATTATCTATAAAACAACCAATAAAATAGTTAAAATGAGAGTATTCAAGGTAAATTCAGTACAATTTCCACCACCAATTACAATCCAATGTTTATGGCCTTTGAACCCTCTGCTAATCCTGGTTTTTGTTTTGACCTGTTAGACTGAAGATGTAAAAAATAACCACTAATGTAGACTTGAATGTCTCGCTAGTTTATATTTTTCTTAGTTTATCTGAGATGATTTCAAAGATGAATGTGTCCTCATAATATCTTTCTTAGTTTCCCCAGCTTCACTGTAGTCCTGTGTTAGTCTAGTCTCCTAACTGCAACCAATATGGTCACATTACAATGCAAATATGGTTCTCTCTCTCTGTCTCTCTCCTTAGTTAAAAACCATTTGTGGATAAAGTCTGAACTCTGTGTATGGCTGGCATTGCCACTGCTTATCTCTCCAGTCTTTATATTCCATAATCCAATTGTATCATATGTGATAGTCTAGGTTTATGTTGAATAAATATTCACACATACCTCCTCAATGAGGGAAGAGTGTATTCCTCCATCTCATGGCTTTGGGCTTAGACACAATGACCTGTCATGAGAAGAACATGTCTGAGTGATTGCTGTCAGTAACTGCTGGGTAATTTCAGCATGGTCCCTAAAATAAACACATGGAATAATGCCTGACTGCAATCCACATTTGGACCTGGACCTAAACCTAGAAGAATGAGAGTCTAAATCTGAGACATCCTTCTGAGCTCATTGTAGATCAGCCAACCTATGAATGAAAGAATAAATGCTTATGGTAGGAAATCACTGAACTTTCAGGTGACTTGTTACACAGCATTCTTACAGCTGACTGATACATCACCAGCCTTTCATTTCCTATCATTTTTCTATCTCTATTTCTCCTCTGGGATTTTATACAGACCATAATTTCTGCCTGAACCACTCTTCCCCTTACCACTCCTGGTCTGGCTATCTTCTCTTTATCTTCATGGTCCCAGCTTTGAAGAAACTTCTTCCTCTGAAAAGACTTCCTTGCTCTGAGATCTAGATAGCATATCCTCCTATGTACCTCAGCATCATGATGTACTTCCCTAATAGTTTTTCTTATCCATTATAATTGCATAATTAATTTTCCTTCTCTCTCACTCAACTGTAAACTTCCAGAGAGCAGGAGGTATATCTGCTTGGTTAATTTTGGAATCCCAATGCCTACGACAGGACTGGGACGTTTTAGAGCTATTGATGAAATCTTGTGGAAACACTTCAATTTTGAGTATCTGCATTTTATTTTGTGACCTTGTTTATGTCCTATAATGCCTTTGCTCTTACCTGAAGTTAAAGCCAGGTTGATAACTGTTAATAGTAATTTAATATTGATAACTACTAATTATAGAAAGCAGAACTATTTGGCATTAAAAAAAAACAAACAAGCAAATAAGAAAATGAGCAAAAACAAGGAATGCATTTGAATAATAATATACCATGTACCTCATACTTTCACATGAGCTGGGAAGGAGGAGAGCTATCAACTACTCTATAAATAAGATAGCAGCTGGTTGCATTGGAGATTCTCATATTTCATGACTGTTGAGAGGTGTGTTTTGAGCAATGAGATTCATGGAGACACAAGTTAATTTAACTCCTGTCAAAAGGCGATAGGATGAGAATGCCAGTTTGTCTAGGAAAAGAGATGGTGACCCCTTTGGAGGAGACAGCAATGGATTAAAACATCCCATATTTTGTTGAGAGAATCTTCACATTAGATGTTAACTTTCTCACTGGAACTTGCATTTTTATATGATTCCATGATATTTCAAGGCATCTAGGACATTTTATCTGCTCCAATTTTCGATCTGCTTTTTGTGCTGAATTTCTTTCTCTTTAAGTCCCTTGGGAGCTGCAGTCATAGCCATGAAACATGCCATATAATCAATAACCAACCAGCCAGCCAACCAACCAAAGAAATAATATTTGCCTGTATTTTAAAAATATGTCATAGTTACAAAAGACAAAGAAAAGCTGAGCAGCTATCACAGATTAAGCTCTAAAAATAAATAACAGCTGAAGATGGTATATGATGTTGAGTTAGGTTCAAACTTTTAAATTTTTTTCATGAAAGATATTACTGCGACAATTATTGAAAGTGGATTATGGACTGCAGATTATGTGGAAGTGTTAAATTTAATGTTAAATATCCTCATTTTGATAACTGTTTAGTTTTATGTGAGAAATTGTCTTTGATTTTAGGAAATATGTATTAAAGCATCAAGAAATAAAAAAGCATGTTGTCCTCAACCTACCATGTAATAGTTCAGACAAGAAAAATAGACTAGTATAGCAAAATGGTAAAAGTCAATGAATATAGGTAAAGAGTGCATGAAAGTTTTTGTACTATTCTTGTAAGTTTTCTGTGAACTTGAAATTATTACACATATTTTTAAAGTTAAAAAGGAACAAACTTCTAGATTTGTTTGCAGGTCTACAGGGCCCATTTTAGTGAGCTTTCTGCTTTTGGAATTCACTGAACCACATGGGGGCACTAAATCCTATGTTCCTATACAACATCAAACTCCAGGGGTCCCATGCCAACATCCGCATGAACTTCAACAGTCTCGTATCTGCTCCACTACTAGAATGTGCTGATTATTCTCAGATAGCTGGAGCACTGCAGAACAGCTACAGAGCCCAGAGTTTATGCTGGAATCATAAACTAGATCCAGATAAAGCAGTGGTTCCAGAGTTTCTGTATGATGGGAGTTGGGAGGCCACAGTCGGCATTGGATGAATGTTTAGGAGTGCCTTGGGAGATAGTGAGAGAATAAGGGGATAAACCCCTGAAGAACACTTACTGGTGCTGCTGCTGATTCATATATTAGAATAGATTTATTTCTTTTGCCCAGATGTTACTGCAAGGCCAAAAACAAAGAGCAACTACAGCACAAGGTTCAGAGCAAGGAACGAGCTGAGACTATCTGAAACAGAGTTAGCTTCGCTGAAGTCATTTCATAAAAAGAAATTACCAGAACCAAACAGTGCTCCTAAATGAACAATAAAATATACAATAACATTAGCTCTCATTTTCTATATATGCAAACATCCACGCCAAATAAAACTCTTAGAGCTACATGAAAGTCTGTTAGTAAGTAATTTACTTTTTGGTGTAACTGATCCAAAAACTTATTTTGCTCTCAACTTTAACTGTTTACTTTCTCTAGGCTGTTCTGAAAACAAGCACACAGACACATACCAAAAAATTAAAATCCTTTATAACACTTGGCCTGTAATTTTAAGGATACATTATACGTTAAAATAAAAAGTTTTATGTTGCCTTTATAAACCATTCATTTTACGTTTTCCTTCAAATTGGGTGATTTATTTACTCATTTAACATTTATCCAATACCTACTCTAGTAGATATGTAAGTGCACCACCATAGCCCCTTGGCCTTCCCTGGAAATTGTCTACGGATTCATTAAACAATTCCCACTTTTAGCATTTGGGACTCTCGGCTTAAAGGCTTTCTGTGGCTGCAAGCATGGGCTGAAGGGATAGACCAGAAATGATGAGAAGTTACTGTTCCCTGTAGCAAGCATCAACCAATGAGGGGTGGGAACCCGTGGATAAGAACTTCAGCTTTTCACTGCCTCAGTGAAATAATTCTGAGGTGTGTCCCATGCAATTTTCCCAGTGGGGTTATCCAGTTGCACATGATGGAGACTTGCTCAACACCACACCCTTTACTGGTTGTCTTCTCTTCCCTCTTTCACTTTCCCAATCCCTCACCTCTGTTTCTTGGGTTGCATCTCAAAGAAATTACCTGAACCAAAGTTATTGTCTCTGTGTATTCAAACCAAGCCACCTTCTCTGCCCAAAGGACTGGTCTATGCATGACAGAAAAAGTCTCTGCCACAAGACAGAAAATGTTTCTCCTCTCCTGGAGCTTACCTTCAAGTGGAAGAAGCAAGCTCAACCAAGTAAACAGTTCAGAAATAGAAGACATTAGGAGTACTGAGGAGTGAAGATGTAATATAGGATAATAGGAGAGAAAATGGGTATGGAGTATCTGCTGGAAGAAATATTGAGCAAAACTAGGACATGAAAAAAGGGTAAACTGAAGATGGCCGAAAAGGAACAGCTCCGGTCTACAGCTCCCAGCGTGAGCGATGCAGAAGATGGGTGATTTCTGCATTTCCATCTGAGCTTTGAAGACAGCAGTGGTTCTCCCAGCATGCAGCTGGAGATCTGAGAACGGGAAGACTGCCTCCTCAAGTGGGTCCCTGACCCCTGACCCCTGAGCAGCCTAACTGGGAGGCACACCCCAGTAGGGTCAGACTGACACCTCACACGGCCGGGTACTACTCTGAGACAAAACTTCCAGAGGAACGATCAGACAGCAGCATTCACCGTTCATGAAAAACCACTGTTCTGCAGACGCCACTGCTGATACCCAGGCAAACAGGGTCTGGAGTGGACCTCTAGCAAACTCCAACAGACCTGCAGCTGAGGGTCCTCTCT
This sequence comes from Homo sapiens, assembly GCF_000001405.40. Lineage (NCBI taxonomy): Eukaryota > Metazoa > Chordata > Mammalia > Primates > Hominidae > Homo > Homo sapiens. The sequence goes on from NC_000020.11 coordinate 12,663,084, forward strand.
GTTGGAAGGAAAACTAACAAACAGAAAGGACATCCACACCAAAAACACATCTGTACATCACCATCATCAAAGACCAAAAGTAGATAAAACCACAAAGATGGGGAAAAAACAGAGCAGAAAAACTGGAAACTCTAAAAAGCAGAGCACCTCTCCTCCTCCAAAGGATCGCAGTTCCTCACCAGCAATGGAACAAAGCTGGACAGAGAATGACTTTGACGAGTTGAGAGAAGAAGGCTTCAGATGATCAAACTACGAGATACAGGAGGAAATTCAAACCAAAGGCAAAGAAGTTAAAAACTTTGAAAAAAATTTAGATGAATGGATAACTAGAATAACCAATACAGAGAAGTGCTTAAAGGAGCTGATGGAGCTGAAAGCCAAGGCTCGAGAACTACGTGAAGAATGCAGAAGCCTCAGGAGCTGATGAGATCAACTGGAAGAAAGGTTATCAGCAATGGAAGATGAAATGAATGAAATGAAGCGAGAAGGGAAGTTTAGAGAAAAAAGAATAAAAAGAAATGAACAAAGGCTCCAAGAAATATGGGACTATGTGAAAAGACCAAATCTATGTCTGATTGGTGTACCTGAAAGTGACGGGGAGAATGGAACCAAGTTGGAAAACACTCTGCAGGATATTATCCAGGAGAACTTCCCCAATCTAGCAAGGCAGGCCAACATTCAGATTCAGGAAATACAGAGAACGCCACAAAGATACTCCTCGAGAAGAGCAACTCCAAGACACATAATTGTCAGATTCACCAAAGTTGAAATGAAGGAAAAAATGTTAAGGGCAGCCAGAGAGAAAGGTCGGGTTACCCACAAAGGGAAGCCCATCAGACTAACAGCGGATCTCTCGGCAGAAACTCTACGAGCCAGAAGAGAGTGGGGGCCAATATTCAACATTCTTAAAGAAAAAAATTTTCAACCCAGAATTTCATATCCAGCCAAACTAAGCTTCATAAGTGAAGGAGAAATAAAATACTTTACAGACAAGCAAATGCTGAGAGATTTTGTCACCACCAGGCCTGCCCTAAAAGACCTCCTGAAGGAAGCACTAAACATGGAAAGGAACAACCGGTACCAGCCGCTGCAAAATCATACCAAAATGTAAAGACCATCGAGACTAGGAAGAAACTGCATCAACTAACGAGCAAAATAACCAGCTAACATCATAATGACAGGATCAAATTCACACATAACAATATTAACTTTAAATGTAAATGGACTAAATGCTCCAATTAAAAGACACAGACTGGCAAGTTGGATAAAGAGTCAAGACCCATCAGTGTGCTGTATTCAGGAAACCCATCTCACGTGCAGAGACACACATAGGCTCAAAATAAAAGGATGGAGGAAGATCTACCAAGCAAATGGAAAACAAAAAAAGGCAGGGGTTGCAATCCTAGTCTCTGATAAAACAGACTTTAAGCCAACAAAGATCAAAAGAGACAAAGAAGGCCATTACTTAATGGTAAAGGGATCAATTCAACAAGAAGAGCTAACTATCCTAAATATATATGCACCCAATACAGGAGCACCCAGATTCATAAAGCAAGTCCTGAGTGACCTACAAAGAGACTTAGACTCCCACACATTAATAATGGGAGACTTTAACACCCCACTGTCAACATTAGACACATCAACGAGACAGTAAGTCAACAAGGATACCCAGGAATTGAACTCAGCTCTGCACCAAGCAGACCTAATAGACATCTACACAACTCTCCACCCCAAATCAACAGAATATACATTTTTTTCAGCACCACACCACACCTATTCCAAAATTGACCACATACTTGGAAGTAAAGCTCTCCTCAGCCAATGTAAAAGAACAGAAATTATAACAAACTATCTCTCAGACCACAGTGCAATCAAACTAGAACTCAGAATTAAGAAACTCACTCAAAACTGCTCAACTACATGGAAACTGAACAACGTGCTCCTGAGTGACTACTGGGTACATAACGAAATGAAGGCAGAAATAAAGATGCTCTTTGAAACCAACGAGAACACAGACACAACATCCCAGAATCTCTGGGACACATTCAAAACAGTGTGTAGAGGGAAATTTGTAGCACTACATGCCCACAAGAGAAAGCAGGAAAGATCCAAAATTGACACCCTAACATCACAATTCAAAGAACTAGAAAAGCAAGAGCAAACACATTCAAAAGCTAGCAGAAGGCAAGAAATAACTAAAATCAGAGCAGAACTGAAGTAAATAGAGACACAAAAAAACCTTCAAAAAATTAATGAATCCAGGAGCTGGTTTTTTGAAAGGATCAACAAAATCGATAGACTGCTAGTAAGACCAATAAAGAAAACAAGAGAGATTAATCAAATAGACGCAATAAAAAATGATAAAGGGGATATCACCACCAATCCCACAGAAAAACAAACTACCATCAGAGAATACTACAAACACCTCTACGCAAATAAACTAGAAAATCTAGAAGAAATGGATAAATTCCTCAACACATACACTCTCCCAAGACTAAACCAGGAAGAAGTTGAATCTCTGAATAGACCAATAACAGGATCTGAAATTGTGGCAATAATCAATAGCTTACCAACCAAAAAGAGTCCAGGACCAGATGGATTCACAGCCGAATTCTACCAGAGGTACAAGGAGGAGCTGGTACCATTCCTTCTGAAACTATTCCAATCAATAGAAAAAGAGGGAATCCTCCCTAACTCATTTTATGAGACCAAAAAAGAGAATTTTAGACCAATATCCTTGATGAACATTGATGCAAAAATCCTCAATAAAATACTGGCAAACCGAATCCAGCAGCACATCAAAAAGCTTATCCACCATGATCAAGTGGGCTTCATCCCTGGGATGCAAGGCTGGTTCAATATACACAAATCAATAAATGTAATCCAGCATATAAACAGAGCCAAAGACAGAAACCACATGATTATCTCAATAGATGCAGAAAAGGTCTTTGACAAAATTCAACAACCCTTCATGCTAAAAACTCTCAATAAATTAGGTACTGATGGGACATATCTCAAAATAATAAGAGCTATCTATGACAAACCCACAGCCAATATCATACTGAATGGGCAAAAACTGGAAGCATTCCCTTTGAAAACTGGCACAAGACAGGGATGCCCTCTCTCACCACTCCTATTCAACATAGTGTTGGAAGTTCTGGCCAGGGCAATTAGGCAGGAGAAGGAAATAAAGGGTATTCAATTAGGAAAAGAGGAAGTCAAATTGTCCCTGTTTGCAGATGACATGATTGTGTATCTAGAAAACCCCATAGTCTCAGCCCAAAATCTCCTTAAGCTGATAAGCAACTTCAGCAAAGTCTCAGGATACAAAATCAATGTACGAAAATCACAAGCATTCTTATACACCAATAACAGACAAACAGAGAGCCAAATCATGAGTGAACTCCCATTCACAATTGCTTCAAAGAGAATAAAATACCTAGGAATCCACCTTACAAGGGACGTGAAGGACCTCTTCAAGGAGAACTACAAACCACTGCTCAATGAAATAAAAGAGGATACAAAGAAATGGAAGAACATTCCATGCTCATGGGTAGGAAGAATCAATATCGTGAAAATGGCCATACTGCTCAAGGTAACTTATAGATTCAATGCCATCCCCATCAAGCTACCAATGCCTTTCTTCACAGAATTGGAAAAAACTACTTTAAAGTTCATATGGAACCAAAAAACAGCCTGCATCGCCAAGTCAATCCTAAGCCAAAAGAACAAAGCTGGAGGCATCACACTACCTGACTTCAAACTATACTACAAGGCTACAGTAACCAAAACAGCATGGTACTGGTACCAAAACAGAGATATAGATCAATGGAACGGAACAGAGCCCTCAGAAATAATGCCGCATATCTACAACTATCTGATCTTTGACAAACCTGAGAAAAACGAGCAATGGGGAAAGGATTCCCTATTTAATAAATGGTGCTGGGAAAACTGGCTAGGCATATGTAGAAAGCTGAAACTGGATCCCTTCCTTACGCTTTATACAAAAATCAATTCAAGATGATTAAAGACTTAAACGTTAGACCTAAAACCATAAAAACCCTAGAAGAAAACCTAGGCATTACCATTCAGGACATAGGCATGGACAAGGACTTCATGTCTAAAACACTAAAAGCAATGGCAACGAAAGCCAAAATTGACAAATGGGATCTAATTAAACTAAAGAGCTTCTGCACAGCAAAAGAAACTACCATCAGAGTGAACAGGCAACCCACAAAATGGGAGAAAATTTTCACAACCTACTCATCTGACAAAGGGCTAATATCCAGCATCTACAATGAACTCAAACAAATTTACAAGAAAAAAACAACCCCATCAAAAAGTGGGCAAAGGACATGAACAGACACTTCTCAAAAGAAGACATTTATGCAGCCAAAAAACACATGGAAAAATGCTCACCATCACTGGCCATCAGAGAAATGCAAATCAAAACCACAATGAGATATCATCTCACACCAGTTAGAATGGCAATCATTAAAAAGTCAGGAAACAACAGGTGCTGGAGAGGATGTGGAGAAATAGGAACACTTTTACACTGTTGGTGGGACTGTAAACTAGTTCAACCATTGTGAAAGTCAGTGTGGCGATTCCTCAGGGATCTAGAACTAGAAATACCATTTGACCCAGCCATCCCATTACTGGGTATATACCCAAAGGACTATAAATCATGCTGCTATAAAGACATATGCACACGTATGTTTATTGCGGCACTATTCACAATAGCAAAGACTTGGAACCAACCCAAATGTCCAACAATGATAGACTGGATTAAGAAAATGTGGCACATATACACCATGGAATACTATGCAGCCATAAAAAATGAGGAGTTCATGTCCTTTGTAGGGACATGGATGAAATTGGAAATCATCATTCTCAGTAAACTATCGCAAGATCAAAAAACCAAACACGGCATATTCTCACCATGGGTGGCAATTGAACAATGAGAACACATGGACACAGGAAGGGGAACATCACACTCTGGGGACTGTTGTGGGGTGGGGGGAGGGGGGAGGAATAGCATTGGGAGATATATCTAATGCTAGATGAAGAGTTAGTGGGTGCAGCGCACCAGCATGTCACATGTATACAATGTAACTAACCTGCACATTGTGCACGTGTACCCTAAAACTTAAAGTATAATAAAAAAAAAAAGGGTAAACTTTGCTGAGATCTTTAAAAAAGAGATCAGGTAAAGAACCCAATAAAGTCAGACTCTTGGGTCAGAAACTAGGTAGGGCATTCCAAGGGGAAGTTTGGCTGGAGAATAGAAAAAAGAAAGAAAATCATCACATGAGCTTAGAAACACTGGAACCACTGATATACAAAAGTATTTTTATCATAAACAATTATATTTATATTTTGGTTGGTTTGTATTGTCCTACAAACAGTTAGTACAATAGTAACTAACTTGGAATATATATTCGTTCATTCAACAAACATTTTCTAAACATTTACTATGTACAGATACTATTTTAGGAATGTAGAAAACATTCTAGAGAGCAGTAAACCATTAAAAACCTTCCCTTTTATTTTAAATCACTGTTATTAAACACAGCACCTTAAATCATCTTTTCCTATCCCATTGCAATTTTGGCTCAATGTCATAACCATTGTAATCAATTTCCATTTTTAAAACTTAATCAAATCTGGTTTGATACTTTATAATCTGTGTGAAGATCTCTTCTTCCCTTAACTCTTCTAGATTTGAATGTTTCCAGTAGAAAAGAGAAACAGCAAGTGCCTCCTAATGATAAGATACAGTAATTATTATTGTTGTGGGGATGTGACTCTCTTCTTGCTCTCAGCAGATCTGTTTCCATCTTATATAGCTGGTCTTCCAGTAGGTATCTGTGGTTTTCCTGGGATAATGCTCAGGTTTGCCCTGGCTCTTCTGTGGGAAGCTCCCTTAAAGAGAGACAGCGGAGTCTTCATTTAGCCCTGGCACTGGTCTATCCATGCTTCCAACTCCTTTTTATGGTAAAGATTCCACTACTTTACTAGATAGAATCCCTGTAACTCATGCATCTCCATTAACCTCCATGATCCTACACATGGAGCCACCGGAACAGTTAAAGTTCTTGTTCTCACTCTCTAAGGGTTACAAAAACAACAGTACTACACAATACTTCCCAAGCCTGATGCATGAACCACTTTAGAGGGAATTCTATCTTTATAAATCATTGAACTAAAAGAGGACACTGGACTCTATGTTCATGTACAATGCCAAACTCTTGTGAACCTATGTCAAGAACTTCCATGAACTCTGACAATAAACTCTATTTCAATCAGAAATTTTCTGCAGGTTCTAACCCTTGGTACAAATCCATCCTGAGATGATATCAGGTTCCCTTTTTTATAGCATAGCAGCCCAAGACTTTATAAATCTTCCCTTAAAGGGTCCCACAACTTGGCTTTAGAACTTAGGAAATCACACCTTTCCTCTTGGTTATTATAGGAGAATTGTAGTAGATGCTGTAAGTGCCATGGCCTCATCCCCTTAGCTGCCACCATTCCAGTACACACGTACAGCATCCTACCAAAGACACCTGACTTTCACCTAAAGGCTTTCTTTCAACCTCATATGGGGCAGATCAGAAATGTTGAGATGCTGACACCATTGAGAACAGCCCTCAGAAAGAGAGGATAGGAGTGGGTGTTTAAATACCCCCACTTTCACACCCCTCACGTAGGACAACTTGGTGGCATATTCTATGCTCTGTCCTGGAGTTCCCCAGAAAGATAGGGACTCAACTGTTTTCAGTGGTAGCCTGTTCCATAACACACTTAGTTGAGTGTTCTTTTCTTTCCTTTCTCTCTCTACCTCCTCCGTTGGGATTTCCTGGGATTTTCCTGGGATCTATCCCAGGAAATCACATCCCAAATAAACCACTTACATTTGAAATCTACTTCAAGATGGACTCCCCCCCAAAAAACAATGGGGCACCACATTTTATGTGTCCTTCTCTGCTTTGAGAATTAGCTATAATTTTGTCTCATTAGGAGAAGTTTCACCCAATGCTAGATGTATTCAACTACATTTGTATTCACATTTACATTTATATGTAAATAAATAAATATCTGACAAGTATCTGGTTACTTAGATCAGGATGAAACATCTTGTGGTTCTTCAATCTCAGGGTTTTCATGAATAGTACCCAGTAGCTTTTCATCACATTGTTTTGTTCTGTAACAGGGCATCTGAACTTCATGCTAGTGCCTTTTTGAGCTGAAGATTTTATAGCTCTGTGAAAGTTCTGGAGCTCCCAGCACACGGGGGTTGAATATCAGAGTGTCTTTTTTCAGTAACACTCTGAATTTAAAAGAGTGGAAAAGACTTCAGGTGAGAAGGGAAATAAATGTTGTCCTCCCAGCTTAAATGACTCAGCAAAAATAGCCACTGAAGACTACAGCCTAGGTTCATGGACCAGTGGGCAGAAGATTTTTGACACATTTCTGATACCATTACTGGCTAAGCAAATACTTTGTGTTTTTCAGTTGTCTCTGTTAGAGGACACATCCTTAGTCCTTTAATACCATGGGGTAAGTCAATGTATCAGTGACATGCATGGCACCAATTTAAAGACTAGTTTAAGGGATTATATCAGGAAACAAAGAAACACATACTAGAATCTTATTTTGCAACAACCATTTGGCTCATAAGAACATCAATAGCAAAGATTGGGCTGTGCTATCCATATTTTCAACCTTGAAAGGGAATTCAGAAGATGATCAGTGCCAGTTCTGCCTTCACCTGAAAAGACAAAGCCAAAAACATCCTTGATTTAATTGGATAACCCCCAAGATCTGGGATATCTGCTCATCTCAAGATCAAAGAGTCTAGCTTTATTCTACATCATAAACTTTATTCTCACAAATTGATTACCTTTTTCTTGCCGGTGGAGAGCCTTGGCAGATGATCAGAGTTTCTGACTCTCAAAGCTAGTCATATTCACGGTTGTTTTTATAGCCAATCTCGTGGACACTAAGCACTTTCCATAGGAACTTTACCTGCCCCTATGAGGCAGAACATGGTGTATATCAGAGTAGGGGTCCATGAGCCAAAATCTTTTCTTATTTCAGAATCATAGCCACAATCCTACCATTTTGGTCAGATTGGATTTCATCTTTAATACTTATTCTAGTGGCATTTTCCAATATTCATCTCCTCCATAGCTAATAACCTTGTTTTGGGATTATGTGTTTAACCAAAACAGCCAAACAACTTTGACCCTGCTAAGGGGATAGAAAAACAAAAGGTAAGAGTAACTGTAAACCAGATGACATATCAGTTGTATTTCCCTTTGTTTTTGAGTGGCCTATTTGCTAGATGAAAGCTAAGATCAAAATATCTCATATACACCTGGACACTTAAGTCAGATGAAAATATCTTGTAAATTATATGCCCCAGGGGCTTAAAAAACACCCCTTCCGGTTCCCAGAAACAGTGAAGCTTGAAGTTTTTGATGAGGACACAGATGAACCAGAAGACAGAAACCCCAGACTCAATTATCGATCAGATGGCAATATATTTAGGGAAACACTAGGGAAAAGGAAACTAATGTCCTAGTCATCTGTCCCGATTATGAAGGCTGTGATATAAAATCCTCGCACTAACCTTGACCTACACCTTTAGCCCACTTCTGACATAGGACTAGAACCCCTCATTCAAGGTGTCCTCAAAACTCCATGGTCACAATTTCCCTTGCCATTGGTACCAGAATCCTGTCTCACCTCAAGTCTCCAAGTCCCTGATTGAAAAATAAGAGGTGCAAGTTTACTACGTGTTTTTCACTGAGCGTCCCATTGTTCCTGTCGTAAAGGACCCATCGATATCAAGTCACTGCCTTCCTGCTCTCAGCTGATCACATTCTCTGCCATGGTGGCAGCTCCTCAGCAGGAAATGTTGAGGTCCAGAGAACACACAGGCAGAGCCCTGTTTCTAATGTTGCCATCCCGGTTGTGCATTTCTCAGGACCCAGTGTAGGCAAGAGTGTCCTAGAGCCCAGAAATAATCAGGCTGGAAATGCTCCTAGGCTTGGAGAAGACTCATTCAGGGGCAAAGCTGTAACTCCTATCGACACAGGGCAGGGCCCAGGTAACTGTGACATAACTGTCTTAGCCTATCTCCTTCCATGAAGAAATAGAGAACTAGAGGAGGCTCAAACAGGGCTCTTTAGGTAGAAATAGTGAGCTCATTACCAAGAATGTGTGGCAGTCATTAAATGATATAGAATAATGCAGTGTCTATCGATAAAGCCCAAGGAAAAAGACTCTCTTGTTGACAACCTGAAGGGCAGGTTACCACTTTAGTACTTTGGTAGATGCTGCTATAGGGGTATCCAAGTTACCTTTGTTTGTCCTTTGTCAAAGAATGAGCCCTGTCCAGATTGTGAAGCTTCTATCAGTTGGAAACTCCAGAACAGTATTAAAACAATGAACAAACTGCCTCAGCCCCCATGTTAAACTGATGTTAAACTGATTGAAGGCACTACATGGGGGGAACTCAGAGGAAAATATCTCAGATTTGCAAACAGTCTGGATTAGAGAATGCCCCAAAAAGATGTCCCAGAACTTAACCCACTGACATCCATTGATTTGAGTTTGGGAAGAGCTCAGAAGGGGAAAAACAAACAAACAAACAAAAACAGAATTAAACTCATCTTTCTGTGGGGTAATTCTTTCTGTTTGCTAAATAAATTAACGGAGTAAATAAAAACATAGAGCTACCAATTCACCTTAGTTAAAGGAATAACTTAGGTTCAAGTACTTTAAAAACCCTAATTATGACATGTTGCTAATCATTCTTATTTGTTTTGCATAAGGAATTGCCTACAAATCAATACTTCCATCCCTAATTCACTTTATTTTACGCACTTGAAGCTGCTTTAAACTGCCTTTCCATAGCCACTTGTCCATAAGTCAGGGTTTTATTAAAATAGCCAGTGCCCCTCTGAAGGTTTAAAACTCAGAGGGGCACTGGCTATTTTAGGATTTACCTCCCAGCCACACTAACCGGAATGTTCACGTCTTGAGAAGTATAAAATCTACTGAAAAGTGGGCCACTGCTTCCCTTTCTAACCAGCAATTTCAGGTGAGTCCCTCTCCCCACTGTGTTCTGTGTTGTCATGACAGAACACAAACAAACAAAAATCACCTGCAACCGTTTCTGGGGGAGACACCTCAGTGTTTCAGGATTAGAGTTTTAGGAAATAAAAATCAAGTTCACTAAATATTTCCTTCAGTGTATAAAGTCTGCCATCAACCATTCCGAAAGCAAAGAAGCAATATTTGAGGTATCGTGGAATGTAAATACTAACTGGCTTGTGAAGGAGCTTTTTACCGCATGCAGAGTTTGTAAAGGGGCTTGCAATGCACTGCTATCACTGTTTGGATCGCCTGTGCAAGATTGCAACTAATAACTATGATTACATTCAAAAAACCCTTGTCAGAAAATGACATGAATGCATATCCCATGACTTGACATTATTGCATTCTACACTCTGCTCCTGGGAGTCACTTTTTTAAGGTCTGTCGGTGAGAAAATCTCTATTTCTCAATAGAAGCCCACATTTTACTAAATGAATACATTTTCTTTGATCAAATATCTATGTTGTTTTCCAGATAGACACTGTAATTTGTTTTTAAAGTGGGTAAACATTCTGCAGCCTTTCTCATTGCCTCTATTCTTTTATTATGGTCATCCCTCCAAAATAAACCTTAAAAATTACAACCTGCAAAGCCAGCATTGTTTTCATAGAGTCTCCTAATTTTCCCCATTGCTAAGGAGCATGCCATTTTGGTTAACTGCTGATAATAGTACATTGTGTTTAAGATTTGATAAAAGCATTCACATAAATTACAGATCAAGAGAGGTGTGTTTCTCTATCTGTAAAAGAGGTGGGTTAGACTAGAGTAAGCTTTAAGATCGCTTTCAAGTCTTACAGTATGAAAGTGGTCTTTAGGACTACAAAGAGCACATCTGTCCTCCAATCTTCATGCAGATTCTTGCTAATCTAACCCAACATGGAGGAGTAATGCTTCAAAAGAATTTGTTTCCACAACCTTTCTCAGAAACCCTCGCCGATTACCTTATCAAGGAGACCACTTTCTTTTTGAAGTGGAGTATTCTATGCATAATTTCAGGCTAAATGACTTTTTGTTGGGTTATTAAAGTGGGAGATGGAAAACAAACGGTACTGCTTAGAAATCTCTCTTAGAGATGAAAAACACTAAAGTTCAAAAAGATCGAGTGATTTTCTCAAGTTCACACAACTGGGTTGGGATTTTTGGCTACACATTCGCTCACTTCTTAATGAATCATGCACTGAGTCCCTATCCCATGGCAGGCCCTGTACATAGTGGTAGGAATCTCGGGGATGTAAAAGGCAAGACCTTGTTCTTCATGGATTGTGGTGTAGGTGAAGGAACTTACACTAACAAGATAATGAACAATTGTCATAGAGAGTGACAAATGTTTCAAAAGCTTATTGACCCCAAGGTGCAGCGGTGCACATTAGAGGGCACCTAAGACAGCCTACAGGGGTCAGAAAAGATGTCTCAGAGGGACTCACACCTGAGCTGAGTTGTGAAGGAAGAGCAGGATAGAATGAGCCAAAGATAAAGACTCCAGGCAAAAGCAAATGAGCCTGAGGGAAACTGGAGCCAAGGCAAGAGCAGCAGAAAAGAGCAAAGCCAGCCGGTGGTCAAGGTGGGCTACTGTGTATGCAGAATGAGGAAGCTGGCCAAGTAGACATGTTTCAGATGATGAACATCCTGTATACTAGATGCATTGGAACTTTTTTCATCCCCTCAACTCCACCAAGCCTCTGTCCACTCTTGGTACCTCTCTCCAAGTAGACATATTTCAGATCATGAACATCCTGTGTACTAGATGCATTGGAAATTTTTTCATCCCCTCAACTCCACCCAGCCTCTGTCCACACTTGGTACCTCTCTCTATTCATATCTCTGGCCTCAAGGAGGGTATTTGGCATTAGTAAATAAATTCCAGAGATACTAAAGTCAGATTTTCTAAGACTGGGTGAATGACTCCATGGAAGAAGTGAAAAAGAGGAAGTTGTAATAGGGAGACCTCTTCGGAGCAGATGCAAGAAGATAAGATGTCTCTGCTTCCCCACCAGCTTCAATTCTCTCTTTGAAATGGCTAAGCAACTCCCCTGTGGGTTAGCTGAGGATAATAGAGAAGACAACAATAGCTAATGTGCAGGCATTTTAGCAGGAGCTAAATGAGAAACACAGACACCAAACAGCCTAATTAATAAGGGAGCTATGAATATAATGTCCAATGAAGTATTCCCAGGAAAGGCCATTGGGGCCCACCCTGTTGAGTGCAGTGGGAGGAGAGACAAGCAGGCAAAGCTAGTATTCATTCCCCTACACCAGGGGATGGCCAACGTTGTCCTAGACTGTAAGGGTGATAATACCTGTAACATCTATTCCCAGGGTAGTGGGAAAATTAGGGGTGCCATTGTTCAAATTATGAGTGCCATTGTTCAAATTAGGAGTGCCATTGTTCAATGGGAAGTGTTTTGTTTGCTTATTTATATTTGTTTAGTGAGATGATGGGCAAGGCGTGGTGGCTGATACCTGTAATCTCAGCACTTTGGGGAGGTAGATTGCTTGAGGCCAGGATTTGGAGACCAGTCAGGGCAACATAGAAAGACCCCATCTCTACAAAAACTGAAAATATTTAGCTGTGCAGGGTGGTGCATGCCTGCGGTCCAGCTACTCAGGAGGCTGAGGTGAGAGGATTGCTTGAGCCCAGGAGTTTGGGGGAAAAGTGAGCTATGATCATGCCACTGTGCTCCAACCTGGGCAACAAGCAAGATCCTGTCTCTAAAAAAATTTAAAAATTTTAAAGTGAGATGATGGACACCAGCTACAGAAGTCAGGTCTTCCACACTTCTTCTTAATTGCATTATGGGAATCTCCCCAAACTACCTCACTACACCATTAGTAAAAATAGGTCCTGGAAAAATCTTTACAAGAGACATGTCTTCATCTTAAATGAATGAGGACTGTGAGTGACAGAACGTTTACTCAGCAGAGTGACAGGAAAGGTAGTGTGCATTTGCCCACGAAGTTATAGCTACAGCATAGACTTCTGGTGGCAAAGCAAGCACTGACATCCTAGGGGTGGTTTTTGCAGAGTTCATGCAAATGAAACATGAGCAGTGACTGTTGTAGGGCTTTGAATCAACAAAGTGATATGCCAGTAATTAGGTTTCAACTGACTCAGATCCCATTCTAGGCATTAATTGGGAGAAAATATGCAGATTGCTAGTTAAGAATAGAACAGTTATAGTTCCATAGTCATTTTCTTTCTGTTCATCAATTTGTTTGATTTCTTGTGTGGCAAACACTTGCTCTTCCCTGTATATGTTTAGCTATTTCAGATGTTTTCTTTTTTTTAAAAAAAACAGCCATTTAATAATTAAATTAGAGATGTCTTTAAAGCACAATTGTATGTCCCTATGGCCTATGGGAGATTTTGTTTTGAATATTGGTAGCTTCTGGGATGACAGTGTTTCAGAGAACCCCAGAATGGGAGGAGGAAAACCTGTGTCTTCCACCTCTGTGTGTGCTGGGGTGCGGGGGGAGGAGGCGACACTGAGGCAAGGCTGAAATTCTTGAAATAAATATGTACTAAAGGGTCAGGGTATAATGAGCCCTACAGTTTACCCACATTTAGATAAAATTATCTGCCCAGTCAGGTTGCAGAAATTTCTGTCCACCCTCATATTGCACACACTCCTTTTGTTCACATTTATAGTTCTGATTAACTTTACTTAATAGGCTTTTCTCTTGTAACTTTCTGGCACTTGCTCCTCCCAAGGCCTTTTCTCCTGACTATGATTCTATGACTTGATTTAGTTTGACTCCTGGCTGGATCAGGGTCTATTAATGTGTCTGGCTCTGTGTTAAGGGATACACATACAGCAGGTGCATGTCAAGTTGGTGAATGGTACAGAGAAAATGTAGGAATAAAAACTGTTCATGAGTTCAAAGTTTAAACCAACGATCATAAAAGTCAATTGATTTTAGGTAACATGAAGGAGAGAAACAGACTGTCATAGAGAATAAAGTGAAGTAATGGGCAGAAGAGAGCAGCGGTTCTCAAACCTAAGCATGCATTGGAAACATCCGGAGTACTTACTAAGACCCAGGTCCTGGGCCTACCCTCAGATATGGGGTGGGCCAGGAATTTGCCTTCCTACAAGTTTCAGTATCATGGAGCAACCTCTGAGTAGAGCTAAATTAGAGAGCACATCCTTCACAAAAGCATTCAAATTACACAACAAAAAGTTTTTAAAAAATGCAGCTCTGGAGCACACACACAAACACATATACTCACACAAACATAGTAACTGCAAGACAGATTAGATTCCTGTTTATAAATTCTGATACAAACAAAATTAGGCAGGAGAGTTATGAAGAACTAGGCAGTGAGCCTAAAACAAATCAGAGTTAATTTGGAACTGCTTCTTTTACCATTTTCTTTGTTGTTCAGGGAAGCCTCATTGAGAGATTTAAGAGTAGTTGCTATTATACTAGGCCTGTATCAAAGAGCAGGTGAGGACTAGGACAAGAAATATTATGAAACCCTCAGTAATCACCCCATTTTTTTTTACGAAGATGAAATCGAGCCGAGCCAAGCCAACCATTCACCAGACGAAGAGGTAAACAGGAAAAATCTTCCTAAGGCAAATTTCAGGTATTTAGAGAAAAAGAGATATCTTTACCTGGAAATTAGAGGATAAAAGACCAATTCTGGTGGAATCACCTTAGTCAGGAAATACATTTTGATTTCTTAAAGCCATAGTTGCCATATCTAATGCATATTATGTACCATGTACTATATTAAGAACATTACTTCATTTCATCCTCACAATAATCAAATAGTGCAGATATTACTATTATTTTCACTTTACAATGGAGAAAACTGAGGCATAAGGAGGTAAAGAAATTTGTCTAAATGCAAAAATCTATCACGTGACATAGCTGGAATTAATATCTTGGTTTGCTTTCTACTACTTTAATATTGTAAGAGATTGCATTATACTGTTCCCTCTCCTTATATGCTCATGATTTTGAGATCTCCTGGAAGCATTTCTTCCCCCACCTCCCTCTCTATCTATCAGCAACATAGCAATCCCCACAAAACATGCTGAGCAACAGGTTCTATTGACTGTATCCTGAGAGAAAATCTACAAGCTAGTGAAAGCTTGCCTAGTTAAAGCAAGTATATAGGCAATTGCCCCAGGAGTGCAGATAGTGCTATCATGAGACCTGGTACAGGTTTTAAGTCTCTGATATTTCCTGAAAACATATAGGGGCTGTAGTTTTGAGATATAACTCTTATTCACATCCATAAATATTGGTTTCACTAAAAATCTTTCTTGGTATACTCAAAGCATCATTATTCCCTTTAGGATATAGTTGACCACAAGTAACATTAAACTTGACCAAACGTGGCTTAAAATGAGAAGTCAGCCAGTTGAAAACAAGATGCCTGGAGGTGAATGGTCTAGGGCAGGTTCAGCCACTTGGTGATGCCACCCAGGACCCAGGCTGTTTCTCTCAATGCTCCCAGCCCATTACCTTCTCTTTTTTTTTGAGACGGAGTTTCACTTGTGTCGCCCAGGCTGGAGTGCAATGGCATGATTTCGGCTCACTGCAACCTCCGCCTCCCGGGTTCAAAAGATTCTCCTGCCTCAGCCTCACATGTAGCTGGGATTGCAGGCCTGAGCCACCACGCCCAGCTAATTTTTGTATTTTTTAGTAGACACAGGGTTTCACCATGTTGGTCAGGCTGGTCTCAAACTCCTGATCTCAGATGATCCACCCGCCTTGGCCTCCCAAAGTGCTGGGATTACAGATGTGAGCCACTGCGCCCAGCCCCATTCCCTTCACTTTCTGGGCTATCTCTGCATCCTTATCATGGCAGGCCAGATAGAAAGGAAGAACTGAGTTGGCATAAAGTGACTGTCTTTCCATCTAGGGTGAGAATCTTTCCTGGATGCCCTCTTCTACCCATAGTTGCAGTGGAGGACAGAAAAGAAGAAGAGGATAGACAAGATTGGTTCCAATCAATCAAGCTTTATTTCCTAGGTTTGGGCATGTGCTTCATCTGGGAAAAATAAAATTGCATCATGTTACAAAGATGAAGAAGGGTGTGGCTGTGGAGAGAAGGGCCACCGTGTCTACCATAGCCACTGTTTCCCAAGTATCAAGTCCTTTTGCACATAATGTCTCTGGTTGAGGAATGTAGGGAATAGATTAAATAGGACAGTGTTTGCCTTCTAAGAGTTCACGATTTAATGCAAAACAAAATGGCACTGTAGAAATCTAACATCACAAGGTAAAGTTAAAAACACCAGATAAAACAAAAACCTTACATATATTGTAGAAAAACAATTTCTCATTCCATCTTCTCAGATTTCAGATTTCATTATGCAGTAAATGCTAATTCCTGAGAAGGCTTTTATTTGTCAGATGAATATCTGATAGCAGAATCAGAATGTGCGTGGGCAGGCCACACATTTGCATCTGTTTTAATTTTTGAGAGTTGCTCTACTAAAGAGAAAAGGAACTTAATTTTATTCTGGGTCTGAAAATTATCATGAGTCACTCACAATAAATGTTGCACCATTACATATTAATAATAATTTTTAAAGTAGGCCTGCAGGCTGGGTCTTTATTGGATTCTCTTTCAGTGCTATTCAGTTATTGAGAATGTTGGCTTAAAATAAAAGGAAATTCACGAGTGATTTCTTAGGTGCCACATAGATTGTCTGTGATTTGGAGCACTGGGGTTTAATTTGCAATCTACACTATTTCTGTTATACTCCTGACCGCTTCTCTGCTTATGGGGCTTGTGATGACCTTCCTAGGCATTTCTATTCTGCAGTATTTTAAATAATTTCTAAAATTCATGACTAAGTAAAAACAATTTTTCAAACCTGTCTCTTTTGCCTCCTAAAAAGAGTCCATTTCATTTACACTCCTAGCCATTCAACTTGCATTGCTTATTAAAACAATTCACTTAAAGTCCTTAAGCATGGTGCCTGGCCGAGAGTCTGAGTAAGTGCTAAATAAATGCTAGTTATCAGCAGCAATAACTTTAAGATTTCAACTATCTCCAAACTTTACCCATGTACTCAAATGTTTAAGTGTGTAGACCCTGAAGCCAGACTACATGGAGCATTATCCTGTCTCTACTACCTACCGAGAACTTGGAGACTTTTTTGTCTCTTTACACTTCAGGCTTCCCCTCTGTAAAACAGGGTTAACAAAAGCACTATCTTAATTTTTTCTTTTTAAATATTATGTGGAAAAAATATATGTAATGCTACTATTACTGTAATGTTGCTACTACTGAAATGACTACTAATACTCCTACTTCTACTAATATTATTCCACATCACTCTTACTGTTATTGGACATGTTTCCATCTTCTCTACGAACTTGTATTCACCCTGTAGTCCAAAATTCTTTAAAGGTTGTATAACAAATTATCCCCAGAACTTAGTGGTGTAAAGCAAAATTTCAACATTTGCATGGCTCATCTCTGCTCAGCCAGGTCTGGACCCTGAATTCGGAGACTCAAAGGCTGGCGCCAACTGTCAGCTGGGGCAGCCACAGGCCGGGGGCTGGAATTATCCAGGCTCAGTCACTTATATGTCTGACACCTGGACAAGGAAGACTCAAACAATTGAGGGCTGGAACAGATGGAGCTCTCTGGGCATCTCTTTCCAAATATATGGTCTCCCTGCATCATGGTCCCTTCACAAAGACAGCTTCAAGTAGCTGGACACTTTACCTGACAACTTAGGGGCCCCAAGGTGTGTGTCCTCAGAGACAGAATGAAGATGGCAGAGGCATTATATTTCTTTTTATGTCCTTGCTTCAGAACTCATTCAGCCTCAATTCTCCTATAGACACAAGGCCACCAGTTTTAAGGGGAGAAAGTGTGGACCCCACATCTTGATGGAGGAGTGTCAACGCTTCATTGTAAAAAGAGTAAATGAGGTGGGAGACATAAGTGTGGGCTTAGGTGTGAACAGCTCTAAAAAATAGAATTGGTCATGCCCAGTCAAATCTGCTCTTTAAGACAAAGAGCAACAGCTTGTTCCTTTTGCAGATCTTGATTATCTCACATAGTACATTACTCTGGGAAAATGAAGGTCCTTCCTTTAATTGGTCTCTGAGCCTGTGTTTTCTGGAGTGTGTCCCATGGGGCCTGGGGCCTGAGCTGACAGCACCAAAGAGGTTCCATGTTGGTTGGTTGACGGCCATTTTTTTCTGCCTAATGAATTCAGATGCTTACTTTTCTGTTTGGAAGACACATCCTTAAAAAGAGCCCTTATTGTCCCCACTAATTGGATTTTAGCACTAGGTCTTAGGCTTCTAGTTTTCTGGGAATTTTTTTCTACCAGCTAAGATTTTCTTAAAATCATTCCTCACCCTACAGATATCTTCTTATCCCAAGACTTCTTAGCCTCCTTGTAAGAGGAACCATTGACTTATTTGCACCACCTCATCAGCCTAACTTTTTGTTACTTTTCTTATTAAGACCCTCCACAATTGCTTGTCTTTCCTTCACTATAATGCCTCATCTGGTTTCTTCCTTTACATTTTCAAGTTATTTGCCACTTTCAAGCCAGATTCAAGGTTCTCATCTTCCCCAGGAAGTTATTCATTCATTCTCGTATTCATCAGTACTAACAAAATACACACACACACACACACACACACTCTCTCTCTCTCTCTCATACACACAAACGTATATAGTACTTATATAGTCATTTTATGAGATATTTTTAAATAACTGAGATGCTGTACCATAAATGGAGTTTAGTTGCCTGCCGTATGCTTACCCTCCCAAGCACGACCATAGGATTCTTGATTTTTAATGTGGCTTTGGTGTTCTCATGCTGCAAGCACCTCAGATTGCATTCCATATTGTGTATCAAATGTATTTACTGCCAGGTGAATTATATGCCTGACAAAGAGGCTGGGTTATGCATGTCAGTGTTAAGGAAAATAAAGGCCTTCATCAGCTGATATAAATATTTTACCAGAAGAGGAAATCAGAACTTAGTCTAGTAGTAAATGTTTAGGAAAAAATGTAGTTTGGAAATATCACTAAAAAAAAAAAAAGAACTGCTGTCATGTCTCAGAGAACTTGAATATGGTTTATCTCCTCTCTATATTGGCCTCTGCCGTGTGTGTTAGACCATGGCTAAAGGTGTGTATTTTATCTCTTGGCTTTGGAGAGAAAACTGAGGAGATAGTCATAAGGAAGAGGAGGCATGATGGATCTTGAAAACAGTTGTGAAGAGTTGGTTGCCTGATGAAACTGTGTGTCTGTCCTTGAATGTGGCCATGCCACCTGCCTTAGAGCACTGGAATCACTGCCTCCCATCATTATGTGGCTGGGCCCCTAGTTGTACATGATGCTTTGGGGAAAGAGTCAGTGTACTTTCATGAAGGTAGATGGGGTGGCTTTCTTAACACATAAGCATGGCAAGGCTGCACTGTATTTCCCAGAAGTCCCTTTCTCTATGTTTCTGGCTAGGATGAACCACAACAGATGTGTTTGCAGATTTGGAGGGAGGTGATGAGGCATTGGCCATTTGCTTTTACTCTTGGAAGGTTGGGGAACAAGCTTTTGTCATGCACATGCCTTGTCATTAATCTGTTGGTTCACCTTGCTGTTGTGAGGCAGGAGCTGGGGCCTGCAACTTCTCTGTCTTCCCCACATTCTTCCTACAGCTTCCCTGACTCCTGGACCAAGTGTGTGTTTAGTGCAGGATAGAGCTCCTATTTCTGCAGGACAAACACATTACCAAGATCAGAGGCAACAAGACTGACATAGTTTCCACTTTATCCTTGTGGGTTTCCATTTGTCTTTAATTTCTTCCATTTTACATCCATCTTCTCTTTCATACATATATAATCCTAGTGGTCTTGCTTCTCTTATTAAACCTTGACTGAGACAGTGGGTTTTAAGCATTATTTATTATAAAATGGAAAACATATCAGATTTCAAGACTAATGTGTTCTTTCTAGGTAAAGAAAAAGTAAACATTTGGGATTTGGGTCAAATGTTGTGGGATCCAGACTTCCAGGTCATAGGTCACTCTTCCAAAATAATCCAACTCTATCTTCTGCATGTGGCAAGAAAACAAAAACAAAAAACAAAACAAGGAAAGACAAGCAGTTTACAAAACTATGATCATACTCTTTACATTTGATCTTCAGGACATGAAACTACCTATTTTTCACTGGGATTTTTTTTTCCCTAAAGAAGTCTACTGTTCACAGTCATATCAAAATGATGATGTCTTTCCAAACCCTGTCCTATTCCTTCCCGTATCAAAATGTATATCAAAGAGGTCCCATCTATTTATTTATTTTTGAAATTGGCTTTTGAATAAAAAGTTTTATCTCAGTTTAAAAATAATTTTTCTGCACTGCACCCCAAGCAGAGAAATGAATCTTAGCAGAGAAAGTTTTGCTAAGCTGGTAGTCCTAGGATTAGAGTCATCTATGTGATAGACATGTTCAATTCTATGTTGTTCCCACTATGAAAAGGCATTGCAGAAAAACTTAATAATAACTCCACTAGTTTTCCAAATTTATTTATCATTTTCTGTAACACCAAAGACAATAAGGCAAAAGCAAACTTCTCCTATCACCTTCTTATTTTAAGGCTTATGGCTGGGGAAATATTCATGGTGGCACCCTCTTGAATCTCCTTATGTGTGTTAAATTATTATATAGTCTGACTTACACAGATTCCAAGAAAACTTTTTTTCTATCATGTTGACAAATCACTATTTTCAATGTGTATCATGGTAGTGCACTGTACTGTATGCCATAAATTTGCTATTTGGAGTCCACTGGTTATATAGTGTGGAACAGTGGATGGAATTGGGTTTTTCACTTATTTGTGCATAGGGCAGGGGACTGCTACTAGACAGGGACTGTTCAGGATCCCTCACAGAATCTTGATTTTGGAAGGAATTAGGAAGAGCTCATCTATCCTCCCATGCCCCTGTTGATTGGCAGCTTACAATCCTAGATTATGAGGAGATGGCTATGCTGATATGGAATCAACTAGAAGCCAAACATTGGTGTACCTGGAATCCAAGCAATAAACAACTTTATTTCCCAAGATACCCAAATGAGATATAAAATGTTGCAGTTTCATTAGTTTCTGAGGCCAGCAGGCACTTTGGAGAGATCACAAGCTTCACCACTGGCCTGCCTGCCTGACCTGAGCTCAGATTACAGTCCCACAACTACTTGGTGACAGTTCTGTTGGGCAAGAAGTTTTACTTCTAAGCCTCCATTCATTCATTTGTAAAACTGAGATAATAATGCCTATCTTTCAGGTTTGTGGTAAAGATCAAAGAACATATTTGAAAAATCACTTGACCCAAGGTTCACACATCCTAAGTTGGTGGTGGTGTAGAATTTAGTCAAACTAATCAAAGAATTAGCTTGCCGTGATAGGCGTTTGGTGAAATGGCTTGCAGACTGGAGGGGAAAGAATAACATAGAGCAGCTGGAAGAAGCTTCTGTTAGTTATAAACAAGAATCAATATCATAAAGTGACAATATATAGGTGACTATTCACTTCATTCCATATGATGTGTATTTGGTCTATCCTGCCCCTTGTCATGTTAAATTTATCTCTCTGAACCATTAAGCATAGACAAACATTATGCCAAGCATCTATTATTTCCTGAGGAAATGACTTACTTTTGATTATGTCAATGAAGAGTAAACCAGACATCTATCTCAGATGGGGGAAGTTTCTTTGCCTTATTTTGACACACGAGTGAGCCTCTCTTGTGTGTACAGTAGTGCTGGTCATCTGCAGGGGACTGGAATGGAATTTGGATGCTCTCAAATCCCTAGGGTTTGAGGTGAATATTTTATACCCCTCAACTAAGTCCATTACTTTTAAACAGTGAGGGAAGGATTTCAAACATTCTGACATTATTTTTAAATTCATGACACAGAAAGAAGGAAGGTGTGTTTTTTAATAGTCATGAACGAGTTTTGCTTTGTAGAGATTATTGCTTGTTCTACTGCTTGGTAAATCAGGGAAGTGTTTCATATTGACTATTGGGTCCTGTATGTGCATGTCTGGTTTAGCTTTAAATTTACTATTCTTAGAGTCTAATGGGACAGAATCATTCACTTTTTCATTATTTTATTCTTGAGAACCTTGCCATCTGATTTGTGATCTTAATCCCTGCTCCATCTCTTGCTAGAAGCATAGTTGACACTGACTGGTGTTCAGTTCTGTAACTTCCTTAACTTCAATAACCTTCACCTCCACTAATCTTTGACCACACATTTCCATGAAAATATCAACAACCTGAAGTTGATCTACCTCAAAAGTCCTAATCTTTGACCACAAATTTAAAGCTTATTCTCCCCGGCCCTTTCTGCATCAGTTACTTGTTCTCATTATTCTGCTGGCCCTTGGTACCTCCCAACTTTCTGCTTGTCCTCCTAGGACATCATTGTGCATCACTGTAGCCATTTTCTTTATCCTATCTTTTTAATTCTGTCAACCCTTATCGCAAAATTCCAAGCCTAGATCCATTCGAACTTGCATCCTCATCCTTCCTGCCAGGGTATAATAGAATACCACTGAGGAAAGTTAACCAGTGATGAGCATTCATGCTACTCAGCAGGGTGCTCACTGATATCCAAGAATACCATTTCATGCTCTTGGTCAATGTTCTTCTACTCAAACATTCACAGTCTCCTCCATGAAGTTTGCCTCTCCATCTAAACTGTCTGCTGCTTAAGGACAAGAAGCATAATTATATCTACAAAGATGCTGCCTAATCTTCCCAGCACCAGTGCCTAGCACAGTGTCTGGCATGCTTTAGACAGTCAACAAATATCTGACAAATAAAGAAAGTTTTACTACAATCAGAAACCACTCAGAGGATGATTCCTCATGTCCCACAAATAAAGCAAAGAAATTAGTTATAATTATTTTTCCAATTCCCATACCATGATGATCATCCCCATCCCTTATAACAAAACTTGTGTCCACTTTCCTAATACTTTAATTTGAACACCTTAAAAGCTTTCCCTCATTAGTCACTTATTTTCACTTCTAAATTTTCATCTATCTGTTCTCTGAAATCTCCTTCCTTTCAGTGTAATCACACACTCAACTTTCTCCATCTAAAGAAACTCTTTTATTCCTTTACCCTCTCCCCTTTCCTTTTGGTCTTTTGGTTTTTTGTTTTTGTTTTTGCAGAGGAGCTGCTCCATTTTCTGTTAGATTAAACCTGCTGCAATATAGCATATGTATCCAATATTCCACTAATGTTGTTTCACAAAGATTATAAATGATCTAGTTTGCAAACCAAAAATGTATCTTTTTAGTTCTTAGGTTACTAGACCTCTTCGCCCTTGGTTATCCTCCATTTCCAAATATTCCTTGTCAGTTTCCTTTGTGGGGTGGTTTTACTCTCTTTAATTAAACCCTGGTGTCTTCCAAATATCCACCCTCAGAACTTTTGTTCTCCTACAGCCTATACCCTCATCCTGAGTAATTTCATCTATAAATTAAACTTAAGTGATAACTTTCTGGCAAATCAACAGCACGGATTTCTTTCCTTCCTATAGAGATTTTAAACTCAACAAATCCAAAAATGAACTATTCATGTCCCCTACCCACAACCTGCCCTACCATCCCACTGCCCAAGTCAGAAACATGAAAGTCACCCAGACACCTTCCTCACTTTCAACATTTATAGCGATCTACTTAGTTCAATCAATGCAAACTCTTAATACCTCCCAACTCAAGTATTTCCCAAGGTGTGCTCTCATTAAATGAGCTTGAAAATGCTTTGTATTTTATTGGCCTCTTGGGATATCAAAGGATCTGAGAATTTCTGCAGTAAACAAGGTTTTTAATTTCATTCAACTTGGCAATTTCAAACTTATAACCACCATTCCCATTGCTAATTCCTGTAGAAATTTCACACAATTAAATGTCCCCAGAAACATAGTTTGGGAACTATTGTTCTTTGTCCCCCTTTCCCATTACAGCTGTGTAGTGGATACCCTTGGTACCCCATTCAGATCCTCTAGGGTCTTTTAACCAACTTTTTTTCACCATTGCCCAGCTGTGCTCTTGCCATTAAAAGTTTATACCTTTGACCTTCAGAGGACTGACCTTGGGCCTGTAACCAGCCTCACCTGTAGAGAGAGTCAGAAGTGACTCAGAGTTTACATCTCCCTTAGGATGGATTCTAGCCCATGGCTAGCTGGTATGGGATACAGGGTGAGGAGTAATTAATGCTACAGAGTGAGGAGTAATTATTGCTACAGAGTTCATCCTAGGACCAGGCTGAGGGTGATGCTATTTCTGAACTCACACCCTTGCTTGACTTTTTCGCCTTCTCTGTTTTGCTTTTCATACTCCCTCACACATTCTGCTGAAAGTACTGCCTTCATAAACCACTTACACACAAATCCTTGGCTCAGGGTCTGCTTCCCAACGAGCAGCAGCACAATACCTTATTTCAGGCTCTCACCATCTGTGATGTAGACTCCCGCCATATGCCATTACATGGCCTCCCTGCTTCTAGACTTACCCTCTCCATTTCTTCCAGGATAAAATCCTTATCATGGCATCCCTAGGTTATCCACCATCTAACCCAGACCTGATTCTTCAGCTCCAGCGTCTCTTGTTCTTCCTAGCAAGTGCAACCTCTAACCACACCAAAGAAATTGCCGTGTCCCAAATATACAAAGGTCCATCATGGCATCATAATATTGCACAAGCTGTTTCTCTCACCAGAGCTGGTCTCCCCCAGCTTTTCTGGTAGGCAAATTCATATTCTTCCTTCAAAAGTAGTGTCAATATCCCAGTGAGAATTTTCTTAATTCCACCTCTTTTGCAGTCCAGCCCTCTCTTTTTCACTTCTAATAGTATTTTTTACATTGTAGTTTAACTGTTTGTTACTTTGTCTGATTTTCCTTCTAATGTTGATTCCTCCAATGTTACCTGTTTCTAAAGATAGGGAATGTTTCTCAATCATTTTGGCCCACATAGGGTCCCATTATGTACAGAAGATGCTCAGTAAATATCCATTACAACCTAGAAATCACATGCCCAGTCATCATGACTCCTGTGGTTAGGACATTCTTGTTATAGGCATTGTGATCAAACTAACCTGAGAGAAAAATTTTATTGCTTAGTTGTCCCTGTCTCCCACATTGTGGATTGTGAAGTATCTAAATCAAATCACATACACCGACAACACCCCAAAATGAAATATTTTATGTGTCAAGTTGCCATCCGTAAGCTTGCTTGCCAAACTTATTTACAGACTTTAACAAGATTAAATACCAACTCAATTTTTTGTGGAATAATTAGATACTACACTCTTAGGCACTTGTCTTACAGAGTTGAACAGTTAAAGCACATTTACAAAAGGACTCTGTTGAAGAAGAATGTTGGTAGTTCTTATTATCTCTATGAGGGGTGGATGAGATCACCTGGGATTTCAGCACTGATAAGTGCACAGTGACACTAGCTCATGACCTCACAGTACCTTCCTTTGTGGGCCTTCCAATAGCTCTATGAAGATAAATGCTACGTGTCCATGTTCCTGGGAGGCAGTTGCTTTAAAAAGCACAATTAGTAGTTTCCTTGCTGCCACCTTTCCTCAATCCCCACTACTTGGGTGACTTTGCTGATAGGCCTGTAACTGGTAGCTTCTGATAAATCTTATAAGCCTAAAATAGGAAACTGGCACTATCTATTGTTGCTTTAGCCTTGTCTATGACCTACACACTAGAAATGTCATCTGTTTCTTGTCTGGAACAGAATCTTCCAGGAAGTCTTCCCTCCTGGAGACTTCCTGGGTGTCTACGGACTGTTGACTAAATTTAACACACACACACACACACACACACACACACACACACACACGCCCCTCACCTATTCTTCAACTATATTACCAGAAAATATCACAAAAAATGTCATTTCAGAGACCCCAATGTGATATAATTTATTTTTGAGAAAGTAAATAAATGCTGGCTCATTCAGGTTATATGTAATACGTCCAGATGACCAACCCTAAACAATTTTTTTGAAGTAGTGAAATGTGGCTTCCATTATTCCCAGTCCCTATTATCTTCACTTACTTAAAAATAATCTTTTTACTTAATCTTCTATGTCAGTTAGCTAGTGCCGTATAACAAACTATGCCCAGAATGTAGTGGCTTAAAACAACAACCATTTATTATTTCTCATGAACCTATGAGTTGGCTGGGCAGTTCTGCTGATCTGAGTTGACTATTCCTGCGTCAGTTGAGTTATGGATTGACCAGGAGACTTTGTTGATCTTGGCTGGGTTCTTTGATGTATCTGGGGCCTCAGTTGGGACAACTTGGTTGACTTTGCTCTGCTCCCCATGTCATATATGCCAGCAGGCCAGCCTGGCATGTTCTCATGATGAAGATGGAAGAGCAGAAGAGAGAACAGAAGTGTGTAAGGGCTCTTGACGCCCAGGCTCCGAACTTGCTGCCAATCACTTCCACCACATTCTATCAGCTGAAGCTATTCACAAGACAGCCCGGATGCAAGAGGTGGAAAAAGAGATCTATTCTCCTCATGGGAAGAATTGCACAGTCACATTGCAGAGTATAGACACAGAAATGGGTAAAAAGTTGGAGTCATTTTTGAAAATAGTCTCTCCTCCAGCTTTGCAGGTGTTCTATAACACCAAGATTTTCAGTCTACATCCTTCTTGTCTTTAAAACTTGTGATTGGGAAATTATCTGAGACATATATTCACAAAGAGATGAATGATATTTAAAGCTAAATGTACTATCTGTCTATATGTAAAATAATGCCGAATAATTGGCCTCAGCCCCCAAAACACCCACCACATAGACTCTAAAATAAAGAATATCAGGTATAAGGAAGTAGTTGGAAATAGCATTCTGCATGGTAAGGAAAGAAAATGTGATATATACACACCATGGAATACTATGTAGCCATAAAAAGAACAAAGTCATGTCTTTTTCAAGAATATGGATGGAGCTGGAGGGTATTATCTGTAGCAAATTAAGGAAGGAACAGAAAACCAAATGCTGCATGTTCTCACTTATAAGCGAGAGCTAAATGATGAGAACTTATGAACACAAGGAAGAAAACAATAGACACTGGAGTATACTTGAAGGTGGAGAATGGAAGGAGGGTGAGGTGCAGAAAAGATAATTATTGGGTACTGGGCTTAATAGCTGGGTGATTAAATGATCTGTACAAAAAAACCCTGTGACATGCGTTTACCTATGTAACAAACCTTCTCATATATCCCCAAACCTAAAATAAAAGTTAAAAAATTAAAATTAAAAAAAGAAATATTTTCATTAAAATTCTTTACATAATGACAATTATAATAATAACAAATGACACAATGGTAACAATAATATCCATGTGCATTTATTGAGCATTTACTGTGTATTAGCCTTTGTGGCAAAAGCTTTGACTTTTTTTTAATCTCATTTATTTGAGGAGGATACTATTGCTATAATACCCATTTGATAGATGAGAATACTGAGGCTTAAAAGGGTTAGGTAATGTGCACCCAGGCTCTCAGTTATTGGATGGCAGAGTCGGGATTTGAACTTGCATCTGCCTATCATAAAGTTAATGCTTTTCACCATTCCATGTTTCCACAGGTGGCTCCTTCTAAAAATTGAAGGTAAGATTGATGCTATATTGCTCCCCACCAGTGATTCTCAGCCTTAACTGCACACTGAAATAACCTGATTTTTTAAAAGGCTGATGCCTTTGTCCTACTTCCAGAGATGCTGGTACTTGTTCTGAGCATGAGATTTTAAAATCTCTACAGTGATTCTAATATGTAGCTATACTACTGTTATATTGTATTAGTCTGTTTCTCATGCTGCTAATAAAGACAATACCCGAGACTGGGTAATTTATAAAGAAAAAGAGATTTAATGGACTCACAGTTCCACGTGGCTGGTGAGGCCTCACAATCATGGTGGAAGGCAAAGGAGGAGCAAAGTCATGTCTTACATGGTGGCAGGCAAGAGAAAATGAGAGCCAAGTGAAAGAGGAAACCCCTTATAAAACCATCAGATCTTGTGAGAGTTATTCACTACCACCAGACACTATGAGGGAAACTGCCCCCATGATTCAATTATCTCCCACAGGGTCCCTCCCGTAACACATGAGAATTACGGGAGCTACAATTCAAGATGAGATTTGTGTGAGGACACAGCCAAACCATATCATATATAACAGGTTATCTATGAACAAGCGATATCAGCATTACCTGAGCTTTTCAGAAATGCAAATTCTGCTCTGGGCTCAGTGGCTCATGCCTGCACTCCCAATGCTTTGGGAGGCCTAGATGGGAGGATTACTTGAGCCCAGGAGTTCAAGACCATGCTGGACAACATAGCTATAACCCTATCTCTACAACTAACAATAATGAATGCAAATGTTTAGGTTCCTCCCTAGACCTGCTAAGTCAGAACATCTGGAGTGAACTCAGGAAACTGTGTTTTAAAAATCCCTCCAGATGATTCTGATCCTCATGAAAATTTAGAAATTAGCATTTTACACCAATGATGCTCATCCCTGTGTATCAGAATCCCTAGAGAGCTTAATTAAAATTGGAGAGTCCAGATTCATGCCCCAGATCTATTAAAACTGTATTTTCACATAGCCCTTCAGGCAATTCTGATAAACTCAGGATTGAAAACCACATATTTATACAAAATAAATTGTACTGCTTTATACGCTTTCAGTGTTTGTATATCAGAATTTATCAGACTTGATAGTTTTTCTCCCTCTCAGAGAGAAACATAATACAAATCTTTGTTCCAAAAGAAAGATCTGATGATAACACTGAAGAACTCTCACTCTTTGTTGAGAGCAGAGCTAGATTCTGCAGAATTCCAGAATGACAGATTGATTAGTATCTCATCTATAATTAATAGGATGAATGTCAGAAGGACAGCTGAACTGTGAGCCCTGGGATGAAGTCACCTACAGCCCTAAGACCTGAAATGCACATCTCAGCAGAAGCCTGACTGCAGCCGTTATCCTTGCTGTGGAGATGAACCAAAGGCCCAAGCGTGAGTGACTTCAAGATGAAACTCAGGAGCTGAGGCTCAGTGTGGACATTAAATTTCCGATGCCAGATAAGAAATCAAATTCTAATTCTTCACAAAATTACTGTCTTCAATTTCCGTTGGCATATCTAAGAAATACTGGACTGTTACTAATTGGCCCCTTAGCTCTGTGTCCTGGAACAGAAGAAATTAAGTTCAGGAAATATTTCTGTTGCAGGCTATCTAGAAACTTAAAAAAAAAAAAAAAAAAAAAAAGCCTCCCTTAGTAACTTTTACTGATAGCCATTGATGTAGGAAAGAAAATCTATATTTAGAGAACATACTTTTAAAATCAGCTTTCTTTTCAATAAAATGCCTTCAATTCCTATGTTTTTCAATTAGTTCAGAGTCTAAGAACAAACATTTACTGAATGCTTATGGGATAGAAAGCATAGTACTAAATGCGGTGGGTGATTTAAAATAATTGATGTGTAGTAGAACTTGTTACTGAAAGTGTCATACACAGACCGACAACATTAGCATCACTTGGGAGCTTCTTAGAACTACAGATCTCAGGCCTTAATTTAGGTCTACTAAGCCATTTTGATAACATCTCTAGGGGATCTGTATGAATATTAAAGATTGAGAAATATTGCAATAGAAGATGTGGTCTTGCCTTCTCAAAGCAGCTGGAAAAGCACCATGTACATATATGAAAACGTAAATCATATTAAAAATTAGGGATAGACCAAAACATGGTTCCTCTTCACAGGAATCTTACATTTATTAGAGACAAATGAATGTGACAAGTTTAATAATTACCTTATATCAAGTTATCCAAACCTAGAAACTGAAAAAGAGATTCGAGACTCTTGACTTACTGAGAGAAGCTCTCAGGAGAAGAAAAATAAAAGTGAGAGAAAGAAAAGAGAAAAGAAAGCTGATTTTAAAAGTATGTTCTCTAAATATAGATGGGGCAGGAGAGGAGCGGAATGAAGATCTCAGCTTGGGCCTAATCACATAGGCAGCTCTGGAGTGTGAATTGTGCCACAGAGCTGATATTGCCTCAAGGCAAGGGAATAAGCCTCTTGTTCTCCATGTGAGAAAATGAGTTGCAGACATTTGCTATGGGCTGCTCCTGGGTGGAAGTATGGGACACAAATTTCTGGCCAAATGGCTGAGTTCAGCTAAGTTATCTGAGGAAGCAGAGCAACTGTGAGGTGTTAGCAGTCAACTCTCACAGCGGGTGGTGGGGGAAGGGTGCACTGGCTAGTAAAGGGAATCTGGATGAGGCACCAACAGCATTGCCATGTTCTGAATGTTTATGGGCCACCAAAATTTATATTTTCAAATCTTAACGTCCAAAGTGATGGTATTAGGAAACGGGGTCCTTAGGAAGTAATTAGGTCATGAGGGCAGAGCACTCATGAGTGAGATTAGTACCCTATAAAAATGGCCCCAGATAGCTCCCTTGGTCTTTTCCACCATGTGAGGATACATTGAGAGTTGGCAGCCTGCAACTCGGAAGAGGATCCTTACCAGAACTTAGCCATGCTGGCACCCTGATCTTGGACTTCCAGTCTCCAGAACAATAAGAAATAAATTTCTGTAATTTATAAGTGGTTCAGTCTATGGTACATTGGTATAGTGGTCCAAATGGACCAAGACAAGCATCCCCTGGAATAATCTAAGATGTAAAGAACAGTACAAGGAATTAGGAGAATGGCTGTCAGGCAAGCACATCACTTGCAGTATATTTTGTGTGTTGAGAGGGAGAAGTGGTCACTGTGTAAGATGTGTTCTGGAAAGATTTGCCAGAGAAAGTAGAATTTAAACTGGACATTGAGGAATGCAGTCATCTTCCCCTTTCCAATAATTGCATTTGATTTCCTCCTGGGGAACTCTCACCTCCTCCACCATCATCACATGTGGTTTATGATGGGAACTATATTCCAGACTTGAGGGGTGTCCATAAGACTCAGGTCTAACTGGCCAAGGCATCACATCCCCTTGGTCACAGGAATTGCTTCTGGGATGAGGACTTGACTGAAACCACAAGAGGAAGCCTAATAAACATGTTCAGCTGTTAGAAAAGAGAGCAGCTTCTAGGCTGTAGTGCTCAAAGATTAATGTCCACTGAGAAGACACAAGATTTGAAGATTGAGAAAAACTGAGGTCTGAATATGTGAAGCATGAATCCTGACTCACTCCTGGGACTTCTCTGGATATGTGAGCGAATAAATGACTAAATTCAATTTTTTGCTCAAGTCGATTTGATTAGCCTGGTTTTCCATATCTTGCAGTTAAAAGTGCTCTAGGATTTAGATATGAGTATAGCTTTTCCTTTTATATATACGTCTGTATATATATGTATATATATACACATCTATACATATATGTATATATATGTATATGTGTATGTATATATATACATATATACATATATACGTATACGTATACACATATATACGTATATGTATACATATATATATATTCTTGTAGTCTTAACAAGACGTCTTTCTTGTTCCTTTTATCTTTTTTATGATTCTTTTAATTTTATTGACATCACTGTAGAAACACCTTTTTTTCAGCTGTAATTATGTCCTGTGTTCAGATCACTCATTCCCAAAACCGAATTGAAAATGCTTTCTCACCAGTTACTTCAAACCTGGACTCTCTTTTTGAGCCCATAAACTTCATAGAAGGTAAAAAATAAGGTGAAAGCTAACATATTTTAAGGAAAGGTGATATCTTTTAACATTTAATATATTAATTTATTTTTTGACTTTGTAAAGTAAAACATTTTAAAGAAATTTTTTTCAGTAGCAACCTTTATCAAACTATATCTTATTTTCAAATAATGATAGAAATAGTCTCACAAATAAGCTGAAAATTCACTAACTTAAAAAAGAGACCTAATGAATATGACAGTTTAGTATTTTAAGATAGCATCAAAATTTGACAATTTATTGCCAGTGTCAAATAGCATAAAGCAATCAGAAATACCTCAAGGAAAGAAACACTGAAAATAAATAAACCTGAATTTTCAAAATTTCCCTTAGAACCAACTTATAGTACACAGTTCTAAAATTTGTGTTTCTGGGATTACTTATGGTAAAGTTCCAGAACTGGCAGAAAAGTGACCACTGTTTTAGATTATACTACTCACAATAATTGCCATCAATTGAGTGCTCACCAAGTAGACACTTCATATACCTGTCTTTCTTTCTTTTGTTTTTTTGAGATGGAGTTTCCCTTTTGTGGCCCAGGCTGGGGTGCAATGGCATGATCCCGGCTCACTGCAACCTCTGCCCCCTAGGTTCAAGTGATTCTCCTGCCTCAGCCTCCCTAGTAGCTGGGATTAAAGGCATGCACCACCACACCTGGCTAATTTTGTATTTTTAGTAGAGATGGGGTTTCACTATGTTGGTCAGGCTGGTTTCGAACTCCTGACCTCAGGTGATTTGCCCACCTCAGCCTCCCAAACTGGTGGGATTACAAGCATGAGCCATCGTGCCTGGCCTCTTTCTTAATCCTTATAACCAAATCTGAGCCTTCATTGAGTGGGTAAGAATCTGATGTAAAGCGTTAACCTTTCCTGACCACACATGGTGAATAAACAGTAGAGCTGGGGTCTAATCCCAAGTCCCTCTGAGTCTAGAGTCTGAACACTCTACATCTGCCATTTCTAATTTGATTTTCCTCCCTCCCTCTTGCCACACACCTCATCCTTCTGCAGTACCTTTGAACTCAGCACACTGAAGAGGCTGAAATTTACCTGGAGTGACCTTTTCACCTGGACATATCAACACCACCAACAACAGTAGCCTGGCACTGTTTTTTCCCCTTCAAGCCTGAAGGGGGCAATGGGCAGTATCAGAGCGGGAGGGCTCATCCCTGTAGCTTTTGGCAAGGCTGAGATTCTCCTGTGACAGAATTATCTACATTAGGCTTCATCCGACAGGAGTGCAGTGAGGAGTGACATTGGTGTTTCAGCCAGAGTTCCCTCATTCTCCTGTCAAAGATAAGTCATCAACGCAGCAGCTGCATCCAATGACCTCTCACTGCATTCTGGTCCACCCTGAGGTTCCACACTTCATTAAACACTTGCCCTTCCATACCTACCATTCACACTTGGGATGAAAATGCAAGCGACTCCTTGTTATGCATGGAAGAGTATGTATCTTAGCCTGGATATGCTTTGCTCTGCTCTAGGCTCTTAAAACATATGGAATATTTGCTGGAATGAATGAATCCTCAGATTAGGAGGAATGGGCATGGTTGTCCTTTGGAAGTTAAGCATCTTTTTTGAAAATGTGCGTGGAGACAGAAAATCTGTTTATATGGCTTTATGAACCCCCTTTTTTTTTTTTTTTTTTTTTTTGAGACGGAGGCTCGCTCTGTCGCCCAGGCTGAGTGCAGTGGCGCGATCTCGGCTTACTGCAAGCTCCGCCTCCTGGGTTCACGCCATTCTCCTTCCTCAGCCTCACGAGTAGCTGGAACTACAGGCTCCTGCCACCACTCCCAGCTTAGTTTTTGTATTTTTAGTAGAGATGGGGTTTCACCTTGTTAGCCAGGATATGAACCACTTTTTAACCAGTGACTTGTTGAATATATTTTCAAAATTGAGTTTTCTGTAGACTACTTAGTCCTGGAATTTTTAGATAATTAATTGTTGTGTCTTTTTATCCTGATTTTCTAGAATGTTCTCATAAATGTGTAAAAACCATCGCAATATAGCCCTCTTCCCCACCATCTAGCATAATACCATATAAATATGAATTACCTATTAAGGAAATAACAAAAGACTTTGTATTGGTCCACATCGAATTTAATAATCTTGATTTTTCCCTAAATGTGTACTCTGGTAATGGAGTGAAAGCTCCTACTATGCTTATAGATGGCAAGAACAGAAAGCAGCATTCTTCTTAAATCCTGAGCTCTACACATTTTCTTGGAGTTTGCAATAGAAATCACTTGTTTCTGCCAGCTTGATAACACTTGATGGACAACAGAGCCCTTAATGTCCACACAGGTGAGCACCCCCTTCTTTTCTTTTGATTCTCCTGGTTGGCATTGCCTTTACTCCAGGGTCAGACTAATTCAGCACTGGCCTTAGTAACTGGCTAGAAAATAGGTGCATGAACCAAGGCAAGCCCCTGAGTGCCCTCACCAGGACTTTTGATGGAGCTACCACAAAAGTTGATTTTTACTATGTTGGTGGCACATAAGCCTGGAACTAATAGAGGCCATCCTTGTCCTTATTTGAGGTGATGTTGCCTAAAAAGAAATTCAGCAGAGAAAAGCAGCAGGACTGAGAGATGAAGAGAAGATTTCCTAAGACACAGTTGTCATTGTGGCTGAAGTTGGGCTATTTTGAACTTTACATAATGAAACACACACTCCTATTTGTTTAAGCTCACTAGAACTAAGTTTTCTGTTACCTACAACCAAAGTGTCATACTAACACAGGAATTCTAAATACAATCTACTCATGTCCATAACCCATCGGAAATTTTCTATGGGATTAGATCTTTCAAGAAATATTCTTATGCAAGTGGGTTGATCTGGGTACTCTTTCATGCATTGAAGTTTTTCTAAGTCTCTCTGGTGCAAATCCAGGTGTGGTAAATATGTGGGATTCCCAAGAATATGCCCGAGATATGGGGTGAATCCCTACTTTTTGCAGGAACCACACTGAACTCAGCCAAGATGACTTAAAGAGATCTTGACAGTATCTGAGGAATACTGGCTTAGACAGTATCTCTCAACTTCTAGGGGTCAGAAGTGTGATGAAAAATAATTGAGAAGGGACTTAAAGGTTTTCATATTTACCTGAAACATTCTTCAGCTTCCTGAATTATGTACTAAAGTTAAAATCAAAGCACCCTTTTGTATTCTGAATACCCTAAATACGAGAAACTTTTCTGAATCTTTACAGATAAATAAAAAGTCAGCAGTCTTATCTCTTATACATCATTTTTTATTTCATTAGTTCTCAAACTTCAGAATGAATCAGAATCACCTGGAGGGCCTATTAAACCACAGTATTGTTTTCTAACAATTTGCATTCAACAAGTTCCAGGTGATGCTGATCTGGGGTACCATACTTTAAGAATCACTGACACATCTCAATACCATTCACATGATAAGTGACAGTGTTGGGTGAATGGCTAACACTGAGAGGGTAAGCTGCACATTTGATGACAATTACTCAGTAGAACCCATTGCTGATGAAGAAGGTAAAAAACATGTTCCTGGATATATTGATTTAATCATTTCTCATCTTTTTGGGGTGCAAAGATGCATTTCTATGCCCCTGAACATAGCAACCTTCTCTCCTAGCTGAGCCACGTTCCCTAAATAGCATACACTGGTGAAGTAAAGCCATTCTGTTGCCTGCTTCTCTTTCTGTGGCTTAAACAGAGTTTGCAGTGGCCTGAAAAGTCATCAGTCATGAGAAACAAGCTTTTCTAAACACTAGGCCAGACAGAACAGATTAGGAAATCTCCAAACTGGATAATTAGTCAAGAAAAATAAATATCCTTTAGCAAAAACCATAATAATCACATTGAGCTTTCAGCTAATCAATTTACTGGGCCATCTGTCTAAGGAACGATGGCAGAGGTCTATGCCCAATCTGTGAACCTGCGGGGGGGTTGGGGGAGACTGTGATCAATGGAAACTTCTTGTGGACCTAAAGGAACCTGAAAGAGCAAGTCTTCCACCCACAGCCTTTCATGCCTAGAGGTTGTGGGGAGCCTCACTTTCAGAGAACATTTCTGTGGCTGTTGCTGGACATTGAGATGCACATTTTCAGGCTGTCACCCAGTTTGCACATGAGATGGGCTGCATCTGTTCATCTAAAGATTGTGCCAGCAGCCTTTCTTAGGAAAATTTTTATATTTTAAATTATTACAATTATTTCCTAAAATTGTTGTATAATTTTTAGTTGATATTATTTACTTTTAGTGAGGTGGCCTTACAGAGCTCCTACTATGTGTAATCTTCCATATGAAAGCATTATAAATGACCTGAGATAATCGTGGCTTCAAGGAACTTGTGGAATGATTAGGGCAAGAAAACACATGAAGGGCATCATCTCCACGAGGCCTCCAGCCTTAGCCCAACAGTAATTAGATGCCCTCCATCTAGGGGCTTCTATGCATGGGGATAATCTCATCTGTCTGTAGTTCAGCAGACTGGAAACAGATTCTAAGAAAAGAGGAAGGTCTTGTTTGTATGCTCAGCATCTATTACAGTGACTGACATATGGTAGACAGTCCATTAGTGTGTCATGAATAAATGAGAATGCTCTAGAATGCATGGCAGCATGTACTATCTGCATCAGCACAGATTTTAATTATCTTAAGAGTTAAGAGGACAGGACAATTCATAGAGTGCTCAGGGAAATCTACTCCAAACATGCACTCTGTAAGTTTAACATAAGAGAAAAGAAGATGATCTATGTGGATGGTACAACATTCACAGGCAAGAGAAGGGAAGTGTACCCAGAGCTCTGTGACAGTAATGATACTGCTTCCTATAGTGGAGACTTCACCTTGGAGAAGTAGGAAAAGATGATGGTGAAAGCCATGTCAAGTAACTTAATGGATTATTTCACAGGCTCTACAACAATGCCACGAAGCAGCCACTATTATAGCTGAGCAAACAAACGCTGAGAAAAGATAAGCATCTGCTCCACATCCCACAGTGAGACATAGTACAGCTAGGCTTGGAGGCCAGTTCTCTGCTCTCAAGTCTGAACTGGTAACTACTGCAGTATACTGCCACCCTGTGAGATCAAGCAGAGGCCTCCCGGACTTGAACCAAGAATCACTGATCTAAAACCATTTTCTTTACCTTTGAGTTTTACTGAACTGTGAACCAGGGACTGCAGTCGGAAGTCAGTTGAAAGTCTAATGGTTTGTAGAGAATTAATGGTTCCTAGATTATCTTAATGGTACTGGCTGGTGAAGTAAGCCAGCCAGCACAGAAGATCAAAGTCAGCATACTAGGAAGAAACAAGCCACATTAGTCTGTGTCAGAGTTTGGGTCCTGAGTTCAGGGACTGGATTTGTCACAATCTTCCCAGGAATGTTAAGGGTATGGTATTTGTGTGGGTCTGCTGAGCCCATCATTGGTTTGAATATATGGACTCTTGCTCTGGAAAGCATTGTTTCAGTAATGGGGATCCCAGCCATCTCAGTGGACCATGCTTACTGGTTCTGATGGTCTCTGGCTTTCTACTTTGTACAAGAGTTACCATGTTGCTTTGAAATCCCCAATGCCATAGGCCAGGTGGGCTCTACTCTACCCATCCCTGTCCGTCATTTCACAGATATACGCTTCTTACTAATACAGGAGTTATTAAGAAATAATTTTTAGGCAGATAGAAAGGGTGAAAGTTCTTGGTGGAATTTTCCTTTAATGAAAAGCAACCACCAAACCATTTCTTCTCTAACAGAAAGCAGCCTAGAAGTCAGGCATAGATACGCACACTAGAAGCTTTTATATGTAAATGCAAGCAGCTCTACCTGGAAGCCAGGTGCATTCCATATGGAGCCTCTTGCCCTCTTTTCCTTGTCACTACGTGTGCCAGATGTCATGACAGCCTCCAGATAAAGCCACGTATGCAGGACAACATGGCGACAGGCCAGGAAGCCGTATTTGCATATTAAAATGCTAGAGTGGGAGGGCCAGTTTTTTTGCGGGCTACGTGAATGACGTACCTCGTCAAACCAATCCCCTGGGCCCTATGCAAATCAGACACCACCTCCTCCAGCCTCCCAATATAACCAACTGCTTTTCACCATAGGCAGGGCTTTTCCATCCGGAGCCCACCTCCCTCTTTATGGGGGAGCTGTTTTCTTCTTTCTTGCCCGTTGAACTTTTTGTTCTTTAAACCACTCCACATGTGTCCGTGTCACTAATTTTCTCGGCGCATGACCAAGGACCCTGGGTGCTTCTCCAGGCAACAGAGCCATATCATTACTTTCAATGTTTTGCTTCAACCATCTGAGACTGTAGCTAAGATGAGTGTCCTGGAAGCTCTCCATCCAAGGATCTGTAGGTACATGGCGGGCTCTGCTTCCCCTGGCATTGCAGCTTTTCTGACACGGACTGCTCATCAGTTTGAGCCACTATATAATTGGAAACATGGGTATGATACATCAGGATGCCCACAGCCTGAGTTCATAGTTATTCCTCAGCAGAAGTCAGACATCAATGGTACATGGCAATGGATGTAGGGGAAGAGGCAGCTAAAGTCAAGCATCCAGTTGAAACATCAGCACTGGAAGCATTATATTTTATTCGAATATTAAGCTCTCTCTGATGTATTCTGGGACAGGAAAAACTACCCTTGGTAGATGGAGTGATATTCACTTATGCAATGTCAAATATGGTTAGAGTACCCTAGGCACTGTCCTAGATGGTGGAAATATGGTGATAAAGGCAGAAAAAGCACCCATTTTCATGAAGCTTATGATCTAGTAGAGAGAGACTGATAATAAACTATAAGAAATATATAATTATATAACTATATAATATGTATATGATTATTATATAATTATGTAAGTTACATTATATAATTATAATGTGTAATAATTATATAATTATATCACATAATTATGTAATATATAATATTAACATGTTAAAAAGAAAAACAAGCCAGCTGGGAATAGAAAGTTATGAGATGAGCATATTGCTTTAGTTAGAATAGTCACAGAAGTTTTTTTTAAAGAGCTTGAGATTTGAGACTAGACCTGGATGAAGGAGAATGAGATGGAAATTTGGGGAAGAAGAGTGCTCCAAGAGGGGAAGTCATAAGTGCAAAGGTCCTAAGGCAGAAATGAGAGTAACATGTTTGAGAACTGCAGGGCCAGAAGGGCTAAAGCAAAATGAAATGTCACCACCCACATGTCCACCAAAATCTAGCCTTGATATATCAACGCCACAGTTTGAAATACACATACTGCAGTCTTAAGTTCAAGCTCAAAGTAAATCGTAAACAAATAATCAGGAAGTACCCCAAGAAGTAACTCTGAGACTGGGACAAATGCAGAGACATGGAAGCCAAGAGTTTCCAGAGTGGAATCAACGATAACAGGAACCAAGAACATATGAGCCTATGTTTAGCAAATGGGGAAGGTTGTATACATTCAGCTGAGTCTTAAAGAGTAAGACTAAAAGTCATCAGTGAATGGCTAAACTGTAGGGCAGAAGTGAAACAGTGTATAGAGAAAGCAGGTAGTCACAGAAAGGGGAAAGAATTAGTCAAGAGAGGAAGACCACAGAGGTAAAGTGCCACTTTCATCACATAACAACATTGACATTGATCACCAGGCTGAGGTAGTGTTTGTCAGGCTTCTCCCCTCTAAAGTTACCCTCTTTCCTCACAATTTCCATACTGTGCTCTTTAAAGGAAGTAACTATGCATAGCTCATACCAAACAGTAGAAGTTGATACCCACCTCTTCCTTGAAGGTTGAGAATTTAAATAAATTATTTGGAATTATTCTGTACTTGATATTTGTCCATTTCCTTCATTTAATTATTTATGCAATCATTTATTTATGTTAATATGGGCTCATAAATACTTTATACTTTGGGTTATAATCCAATATTTTTCTATTGATTTTATTGTTTAAATTTCTC
This sequence comes from Homo sapiens, assembly GCF_000001405.40. NCBI lineage: Eukaryota > Metazoa > Chordata > Mammalia > Primates > Hominidae > Homo > Homo sapiens. The sequence continues at coordinate 12,702,932 of NC_000020.11, forward strand.
TAGCTTTGACCATTGAGAACTCTTTAAGTTGGCTTCTGTGTCCCTTTGCCATATCCCCATCAGAGTGAGGTATTTTTCCAGGTACTTTCGTACTTTCTGGCAATACCACATTTTTAAGGCTCATCCTATATATTTCATTTGACAATCCTAGGAGCTACCATTTTTACAAGAAGCACTGTACTGTTAATGGTGAATGGTATGACAAACCAATATCTGGGTCATAGGTGTGCTCATTGCTACTGTGGTGTCATTGCTTCCAGTAGTATATTTACATATTTATAAAATTTATATATGTAGCCATATGTATCTATATTAAGCTAAATATCAGTTAGCACTGATGTCTCCTACTCTAATTTATTACCATGTGGAGCATTTGACTCTCCTCTCCTTATGTATTTATAACTTCCCCTCAACATCTAGAAATCTGATTCCTACCATCCACTGAATTGTCCAATTTCAGGATACATGTGCATTGGCAACAGAATTATTAACCCATATATTCATGAAAATCAACTCTATCCACCACAGTATGGTGTCTATGTACACTCTCTTTTGTCTTTAGTCTTACAGACTCTACTCCACTCAAAGAGTGGACTCCACTTATATCCAAAGTTATTGAGTTCAGCACCTTTTCCTCCACCCTGCTCAGTGAAGTTGTTTCATAGATTTGTAATTTAGGTAAATTATTTTGTCACGTGCTGCATTCCATCTCGGGCTCTCCCAAACTCCTAAATGATTTTTTAAAATTTTCACACACTAATGTTTGTTCTACAGTAAATTTCTGTGGGATTTAATATACGCATAGTTTATGTTTCCACAATTATAGTATTAAACAGAAAAATTCTACTGCCCTAAAAAATTTCCCTGTGTATCACTTGTTCAACCTGCCTTTTTTCCCTCTAAACCCCTGGCAAACATTGATATTTTTATCATAACTATAGTGTTGCCTTTTCCAGAATATCATATAATTGGAATTATACAGTATGTAGTCTTTTCATTGTTTTCTTTCACTTAGAAATATGCTTAGGAATAGGTTTTACTTAGAGATAGAAATTTCAGTTAGAAATATATTTATACCTGCCTTTTTATAACTTGATAGATTATTTATTTCTGTCACTAAATAATATTCCCTGGTATAGATATGCCACCATCTGTTTGGCTATTCACCTATTAAAAGACATCTTGGTTGCTTCTATATTTTTCTAACTTCATAATCATAAAGCTGCTGCTATAAACATTCATGCGATGGTTTTTATCTGGAAAAAAATTTTCAAATCATTTGGGTAAATATCTAGAAACAATGAAGGCTGAATCATATGGTAAAACTGTGCTTAACTTTATAAGCAACTGCTAAACTGCTTCTAAAGTAGCTATACCATTTGCATTCCTACCAGCAATATATGAGAATTCCTGTTGCTCCACATCCTTAGCAGTAATTAGTATTGTCAGATTTTTGGATTTTTGCCCTTCTAAAGCAATATGCATTAGGTATATACTGATACCTCATTATCGTTTTAATTTGAAATTCACTAATTGCAAACGATATTGAGCATGTTTTCATATGCTTATTTTCCATTTGAATATCTTCTTTGGTGAAGGATCTATTCAGATCTTTCACTCATTTTTAATGTTTTTTCCAATTATTGAGTTTTAAGAGTTCATTATAGATGTTGGATACAAGTTCTCTACCAGACATATGTTTTTGCAAATATCTTCTTCTAGTTTGTTGCTTGCCTTTTGTTTCTCTTGACAGTGTCTCTGCAGAGCAGTTTTAATTTTAACAAAGTTCAATGCATTAATATTTTTCCAAGGGTTGTGATGTTGATATTTTATTTAAAAACCCATCACAAATCCCAGTGGTCATAAATATTTTCTTTTATGTTTTCTTCTAGATGTTCCATAATTTTGCATGTTATATTTAGGTATATTATTTGAGTTAATTTTTGCATAAGATCTGTGTTTAAGATTTCTGTGTAGTTTTTAAAAAATTTTTATTATTATTTGCACATGGATGTCCAATTGATCCAGAATTATATGGTGAAATGACTATTCTTTGTCTATTTTATTGCTTTTACTCCTTTGTCAAAGATTAGCTAACTGTATACAGGGGGCCTATTTCTGGACTCTGTACTGTTTCATCATTCTATGTGTCTGTTCTTTTGCTAATACTGTACTAACTTTTTATTGTAGCTTTGGAATATCTCTCCATTTATTAATATCATTTCTTTTGTAATAGTTTTGTAGCTTCCCATTTATAGATCTTGTACATATCTTGTTAGGTTTATACACAAATATGTCATTTGGGGGGCTATTATAAGTGCTATTTTCTTTTCAAATTTTAAATCCCAATTGTTCATTGCTAGTACACAGAAAGTAAATTGACTTGCATATTAACCCTGTATCCCAAGTTTGCCATCCCTACTCATTATTTTCTTTTTCTTTCTTCTTTCTTTCCTTCTTCCTTCTCTCCTTCCTTCCTTCCTCTCTCTTTTTTTTCTTTCTTTCTTTCTCGTTTCTTTCTTCCTTTTTCTTTATTATTTTTTTTTTTTAGACAGAGTTCTCACTGTGTCTCCCAGGCTGGAGTGCAATAGCCAATCCCGGCCCACTGCAACCTCCGCCTCCCAGGTTCAAGCAATTATCTGGCCTCAGCCTCCCGAGTAGCTGGGATTACAGGCGCCCACCACCACACCCAGCTAATTTTTGTATTTTTAGTAGAGACTGGGTTTTGCCATGTTGGCCAGGCTGGTCTCAAACTCCTGACCTCAGGTGACCGGCCCGCCTCAGCCTCCCAAAGTGCTAGGATTATAGGCATGAGCCACCACGCCCGGCCCTTACTCACTATTTTCAAAGAGTTTTATTTTTGTCAGTTCTTTGGGATTTTATACATAGACTGTCATGTCATCTGTAAATAGGGACAATTTCTTTCTTTCTTTCTACTTTATAAAGTTTATATTTCTCTTTTTTATCATTGCATTATCTAGAATTTCAAATAGGAAATTGGATATGAGTAATGAGAAGGCACATCTTTGACTTGTTCTCAATCTTATGAGGAAAGTGTCCACTTTGCCACCATTAAGCATGATGTTAAATGTAGGCTTTTGTGGGCATTATTTTTTTTATCATGTTGAGAATTTAACAGCATTCCTAGTTTGCTGAAAGTACTGATCATGAATGAGTGTTGAATTTTTGTCACATGTTTCTCTGCATCATTTGGTATGATAATGTGATTTTTTAAAGCCTCTCAATGTGGCAGATTACATTTATTGGTTTTTGAATGCTGAATCAGTTTTGCCTGCTTCAAATAAATACCACTCTCTCATGGCGTATAATTCTTTTTATACTTTGTTGGCATCAATTTGATAATATTTTGTTGGGAATATTTGCAAATATGTTCATGAAATATATTAACCTGTAAGTTTCTTGTAATTTATTAGTTTAGTTTTAGTACTAGGGAAACAGAATGTGTCAGGATGTTCTCCCTCTGATCATATTACGTTGATGCAAAAGGAATTGCGATTTCTGCCATTACTTTTAAATAGCAAAAATCGCAATTATTTTTGCACCAACCTAATAGTCTCTGGAAGAAATTGTGGAAAACAAATAGTATTTTTTTTCTATAAATATTTGGTAGAATTCACAAGTGAAGCCCCCTGAGATACTGGTGCTTCATTTTTGTAGATATTGATCTAATACACACATACACACACACACACAATACAAATATTGATATATTGGACTTTGTTAAAATTATATATTATACATAGTATGCATATTATACACATATTACATATATTTTATATATATATATAAAATATATATAGGTGCCTATTCAAAGTGTTTCTTTTTGTGTGAGTTTTTGTACCTTGTGTTTTTCAAGGAATTGGTCCATTACTTCCAAGCCATTAAATTTGTGGCCACAGAGGTATTTATAATATTCTTTCTAATCTTTTACTCTCCATTGCATCAATACTGATCATCCTTCTTTCATTTCTGATATTGGTAATCTATGACTTGTTTCTTTATTCTTGATAAGTCTGGCTAGATATTTATTAATATAATATTTTCAAAAACCAGTTTTTGGTTTGTTTTTTCTCTATTTTTTTTCTTTCTTAATGTCATTGGTTTCTGCTCTAAGTTTTATTATCGCTTTTATTTTATTTGTTTCATGCTTAAGTTGCTCTGTTTTCTCTAGTTTTCAAAAGAGAAGTTTAGGTTGCTGATTTTAAATCATTTTTTTCCAATACCAGCATTTAATACTACACATTTTCCCCTAAGCACTGTTTCTGTTGCATCCCATAAATATAGATACATTTGATTTTCATTTTGACTTGGTTTATTTTTTTCATATTCTTTAAGTTATCTTATTTGCATGTGTCATTTAGAATTGTGTTGATTAATTTCCAAATACTTGGGAATTTTCCAGCTGTCTTTCTGTTAGTAATTTCTTGTTTAATGTCATTGTGGTATGAGAACATACGTGTTTTGACATCTAGCCTTTTAAATTTGTTAAGATGTTTCTTATGGCCCAGAATGTGGTCAGCCTTGGTGAATATTCCATTTGAGCTTGAGAAAAATCTGTATTCTTCCGTGATTGGTTGAGGTATTCTATAAATGTCATTTTGTTCAAGTAGAGTGATAGTCCTGATCTAGTCAACTACATCCTTGCTGGTTTTCTTCTTTCCTAATCTCTCAATCACTGAGAGGGGTGAGGGGTGTGTTCAGCCTCCAGCAAAAATAGTGAATTTGTCAAATTTTTTTTTTAGTTTTATCAGTTTTTGCCTCATATATTCTGACACTCTGTTGTCAGGTACATACACATTTGGCTTTATTATGTCTTTTTTGGACAATTGACTCATTTATCTATGTAATGCTCTTCTTCAATCCTGATAAATTATCTTGCTCTGAAGTCTGCTTTGTCTGAAGTTAATGTGACTACTTCAGCTTTCTTTAGTTTACTTTTAGCATAATATATCTTTCTCTATCCTTTCACTTTTTAAAAAATTTCAACAGTTTTTTAATGAAATTCATATACCATGCACTTTTTCCACTTAAAATATAAAATTGAGTTTTAGTACATTCCTCTTTAGCTATTACTCCCATCCCCTCATCATCCCCATTCTTAAGCAACCACTAATCTACTTTCTGCTTTTTATTGTGTCTTTTAACTTTTTGTCAAGAGTCAGACATGCACTGGTTAATAGGAAGAGTAGTAAATAGGCATTTAGTGAAGTAATTTGTTTAATCTAGCTAGAAGTTGGACCATGGTTTAATGTTTTCTGAAGCTGTGGGTGCCAGAGATTTCAAAGATCTCTTGTGTCATTGCTTTTGTCTCCTTCTTTTACTTTGGGCTTCCCTAAATACTCTTCCTCAGAGAGGCTGCCTTTTACAGCTGTTTCAGCTTTAACCCACTGTTCTTATTTGGAATGGTATTGGTGTGATGGTAAGGTGATTGCATGTGTGGTGGGGCAGGGGGTATTCTAAAGTATTATAATTAAACGTCTGCATCTTAGTTGGCCTGTCTCTGGATGGTAACCTTCAAATGTGCCACTCCAGTGTAGATTTTCCCCCTCTTTCCCTTACTCCTTTCCCTAGTTAAAAGTATTTCAAATCTGTTTTCTTCAGCCTGTGACCCCTGTCGACTATGTGTTTTTGTTCCCTCTTAGGTGAGATAGGAATATTAGAGGAGGCTGGAATAAGAAGAAAGCCCTTTGGAGCCGGATAAGTCTCTCAAAAAGCATTTTCCCCTGGATAGTAAGACTTCGTTATGGAGAATGCTCTAGATGCATTGCACAATGATTGTTCTTCCTCTGCCTTGCCAGGGCCTGAAGGGGATCTTTCTTAGATCTTCATCCCAGGAACCTGGTGGGTCTCATGGAAGTAAAAACTCATGAAAATATGAGGTTTCCTCAAGACTGGTCTTCAGGAGGTTCTTCTTTTCACAAATTGTACATACTCAGCTTCCAGAAATATTTCAACATTACCAACTGAGTTTCTTCTAGTTTATAACTAACATGGTTTCTCCTGGTTTCTCCTCCAAGTATGCAAACCTTAGCTGTCATTCTTGATTTACCCGTCTTTCCAAATTTCAGAAGGGTGGTTTGTCCTGCAACCTCAGTTCTCTAATTGGTCCAAGAAAGGTCCCTGGCTTATTTTTCTCAGCTTTGTTGTTGTTGTTGTAAACATGAGGGTAACAACTACCATCTCTTTACCCGTGAAAGCTAAAACTGGAAGTCTATTTACTTATCTATTTTTACATTAATAGACTTTATTTTTATTTTGGTAAAACACACATAATACAAAGCTTACCAGCTTCAAGATTTTTTAAGTATACAGTTTATTAGTGTTAAGTACATTGACATTGTTGTGTAATCAACATCCAGAAATTTTATCTTTTCTGTAGTTATTTTTAATTTTAAAAAATTTTTTATTGATGCATAATTTTACTGATACGTAATAGTTGTACGTATTTATGGGGTGCATGTGACATTTTGATACATGCATATGATGTGTAATGATCAAATCTGAGTAATTGGGATAGCCATCTCCTTAAACATTTATCATGTCTTTTTGTTGAAAACATTTCAAATCTTCTCTTCTAGCTATTTGTGCAAAATAAAAATTCTACACCTGTTAAACAACTCCCCATTCCTCCCCTTCCTCCTGCCCTTGGCAACCACCAGTTTACTTTCTGTCTGTATAAATCTGATTACTTATACTTTATGTTAGTGGAATCTTACAGTATTTGTCTCTTTGTCACTAGCTTAATTTACTTAGCATGATGTCCTTAATGTTCATTCATGTTGTAGCATGTTTCAGAATTTCTTTCCTTTTCAAGACTGAACAACATTTTATTGTATATATGTACCACATTTTGTTTATCCATTCATCCACTGTTGGACCTTTGGGTAGCTTTTACTTTGTGGATACTGTGAATTTGCTAAAATAAACTTAAGTGTACAAATGTCACTTTTTTGTTTTTGTTTTTGCTTTTTGAGACAGGGTCTTGTTCTGTCACCCAGGCTGGAGTGCAATGGCATGATCTTGGCTCACTGCAACCTCCATCTTCCGGGTTCGAGTGAATCTCCTGCCTCAGCCTCCCGAGTAGGTGGGACTACAGGTGCGTGCCACCATACCTGGCTAATTTTTGTATTTTTTTTAGTAGAGACAGGGTTTCACCATATTGGCCAGGCTGGTCTCGAACTCCTGACCTCGTGATCCTCCCTCCTCAGCCTCCCAAAGTGCTGGCATTACAGGCGTGAGCCACCGCGCCCGGCCTACAAATGTCACTTTAAAACCCTGCTTTCAATGATTTTGAGTATATACCCAGAAGTGAAGCTGCTTGATTATGAAGTAATTTTATTTTTAATGTTTTGAGGAACCACCATACTGTCTTCTGTAGCAGCTGTCTGACTTTATATTCTCTACAATAATAAAGGTTAAAATTGCTCTCCATCCTTATCAACACTTACTGTCCTTATTTTTATTACAGTAGTCATCCTAATTGGTGTAAGATGGTTTTGATTTGCATTTATCTAATGATTAGTGACGTTGAGCATCTTCTTTTGCCTTTGTTGGCTATTTATATAACTAGTTTGTAGAAATATCTATGCAAGTTCTTTGTCCTTTAATAAAAAACAGGTTATTTGTTTTGTTATTAATAGACTGTAGTTTTACGGTGGTTTTAAATTTAAAAAATTTTTTAAATGAGCATAATCAGAAAGTGCAGAGTTCTCATATATCCTCACCTCTTCCCACCCAGTTTCTCTATTATTAAAACCTTGCATTAATGTGGTATAATTGTTATAATTAATAAGCCACTACTGATAAATTATTAGATTCCATAGTTTACATGAAAGTTCAACCGTGTGTGTTTTATCTTCTATGAGTTTTTATGAATGTATAATAACATTTATCTAGCCTTACAGTGTCATACAGAATAGTTTTACTGCCCTAAAAGTCTCCTGCGGTCCACCTATTCCTCTCTCCCTTTCTCCCCACAGACAACTGGCAATCGCTAATCTTTTCAGTTTCTCCTAGTTTTGCCTTTTCCATAATGTTATATAGTTGAAATTATACAAGATGTAGCCTTTTCAGCTTGGCTCGTGTTACTTAGAAATTTGTATTAAAGGTTTCTTTTTGTCTTTTTGTGGCTTGATGGTTCATTTATATCAACAAATAATATTTCATTGTATGCATGTACCACAGTTTGTTTATCCATTCACCAATTAAAAGACATCTTGGTTGTTTCAAAGCTTTAGCAATTCTAAATAAAGCTGCTATAAATATTCATGTGCAAGTTTCTGTGCACACATGAGTTTTCAATTCATTTGAGCAATTATCAAGTAGTGTAATGGCTGGATCATAGGCAACAGTATGTTTAGTTTTGTAAGAAATTGCCAAACTGTTTTCCAAAGTGACTGTACCATTGTGCATTTCCACCTACAATTCATGAGAGTTTCTGTTGTTCCACAAGTTGGTCAGCCTTTGGTGTTTGCCTTGTTTTGGATTTTAGTCATTCTAATAGGTATGTAGAGGTATCTCATTGTTTTAATTTGAAATTCTGTAATGGCATATTGTATTGAGCATTATTTCATATACATTTTTTCCCATCTATATATTTTTAGCAAGTTTCTATTAAGATGTTTCACTCATTTTTAATCAGATAATTGGTTTTCTTATTCTTGAGTTTTAAGAGCTCTTTGTGTATTTTGGATACCAGTCCTTTATCAAATATGTGTTTTGTAAATATTTTCTCCCAGTCTATGGCATGTTATTTCATTCTCTGAACAGGGTTTTATATAGAGCAGAAATGTTCCATTTTAATGAAGTCCAATTTGTCAATGTTTTTCTCTCATAGATAAGGCTTTTGTTATTATATCTGAAAAGTGATTGGCAAAACCATGGTGACCTAGGTTTCTCCAATGTTATCTTCGAGGAGTCTTATAGTTTTGTGTTTTACACTTAGGTCTATGATCCATTTTAAGTTAATTTTGTGAAAGATATAAGATCTATTTTTTTTTCTTGTGAATGTCCAGTTGTTCCAGCACCAGTTGCTGAAAGGATTATTCTTTCTTCATTGAATTGCCTTTGCTTCTTTTTCAAATATCAGTTGGCTGTTTGTGTGGGTCTGTTTCTAAGTCCTTTCTTCTGTTTCATTGATCTGTTTATCTATTTTTCACTAATCTGAGACTGTCTTATTTATTGTAGCTTTTATAGTAAGATTTAAAGTAGGAAAAATCAGTCATCTATTTTTTAACTCCAAATTTTTCATTTTGAAAGACATATACCTGTGGATATTTATTAATGCACATTGTTATCAAGGTCTGCATTGGTAACAAAGATTGCCCATACCCTCTGTTTCTCAACATACCCCAAACTATGACCAGGATTTAGGAACTTGGGATTTCTGATATCAAAATGAATACACCAAGCCTTCCACCTTGTTAAATATTAAGAAATCCTGTACATCTTTCTATGCCCCTGGAGCATCTCTGAGGCACAGAATGCAGCTATGCCTCCAGGCACCTGGAGGACATTCAGATGACATGCCCAGAGTATGGATATATTGGGGGAATCAAGAGTAGGGTAACACTTGTCTTTTACATGTTAACCCATGCTTAGAGAGAGCAGTGCTGACAGGGGTCCTTTTAGTTGGGAGCTGCTATCAGGACTTGGCCTGCCCATCCTCTGAGGGCCTTCTGTCCTCACTGACCCCATCTTTCTGTGGTCAGTCTAAAGGTCAGCATCTTCCAATACTTAACTTTCATTATCCCCCTCTTAGGATGCCATAGTGCCTCCTCTTAGATCAAAAAAGTTTTCTGCCTGAAAACTTTCTGCCTTTGACCCATGGAGACAGATTAGACACACACACACACACACACACACACACACACACACACACACACACACAGTTTCCCTACTTTGTCATGGGTGACGGAAAGAAATAGGTTTTGTGCCTTCAAAATGAGGGATCATCTCTCTCCAGAGCATAGCCAATAAAAAGAAAAGACATTTAATCTCTGATAGAGCATTCTCCCTGTTGTATACATTTTTATTTGCTAGTAATCCTAACATAATCCACGCTACATATTGAAGTGCTCATTTCTTTCATTTTCTCTGTCTCCTGAGCATCCACTCCTGGCTATAGGCAGCAGCATTGGTTTTATATTGGCTTTTTAAATCAAAAGCCATCCTCCATCAAAGCTTAGACAAAAGAAATAGACAGGTGCTGAAATATTTACAGATAGATTATGCCTCTGGCTATACCATGCCTCAAAACAGCACAGTCAGATAATGTATTCCATCAAGGCAAGAAACTCAAGACCCTTGCCTCACTGGACAATTAGACAAAGAGGAGTAATGGGTATTCTCTTCACCTTGGAGGAGAGAACAAAAGGTAGTAGTACCCTCTCACAGCCAGAGGAACATTCCCACTCCCAATACCAATGTCATTCCAGATAAAATGCTCTTTGTAAGAGTCAGTATCGTTAACTGACTCAGTCATGAGTAAGTGGAGTTAGATCAAAAATGAGAGGAATTATTTTTGTGATCGTTAAATAGCAGAGAAATCTGTGTCCTCTCTAAAGAAAAGTTTTACAGTACCTTTTTTATAGTACAGGACATATTTCCATTAAAAAAAAGATGGGCTTGGTTTTCAGATTAGTATTCAGTTCATAACTCTAAGTTACATACTATAAGTAAAGAAACTTTTTTCCTTGTCATCACAATGAATAGAAACTTTCTCTCATGCTTATTTTTTTCTTAGAAATTAGGCATGGAGGATGATGCATGTTTTTTCATAACTGCTTTGTGCCTGTGTGACATCAAAAAGGTATTCATCCCCAATTTGAAACATGAACATTTTACTGCTTTTTTAGTTGTCACAAAAGTATAGAATGGACAGCAGAATAAGGAGCATATTTTCAGTTCTGCCTTTTTCAAGTACTAGTTAACTAGTTGGTGGCTCATACCCTCCTCTTCATTCTCTTCTCATTTATCCACAGTTTTGCCATTTCACTTTTTCATCATGTCAGAAGAGAGATACAAAGAGGTAATAAAATTCAGAGTAATCAGTTTTGGTTGCATTTACTATGTCTTATAAAAGGCTGAATGAAATGGATTTTGACATTACTGACTAAAAAATTGAGAGAAGAATATTTGTATTTCCTTTGGGTCCATGTTCTCCTGCTTTTGCCAATTCTTCATAGGATGAAGAGGATGTGGCTTGCACATATGCACACTCAATAAATAATATTTGAATGAATGATGTATAATGGTGGGACTTCATACACTTCTCACATCTCACCTGACTCTCTTTTCTCTCTTTCCATCCTTCTCTTTCTGTCTCTCACATGCACATACACACGCACATGCACATGAACACATACACAATGACTTTCAAATTTTAGTGCACATTAGAATTACGTAGAAGAGTTATTCAAAAGCACATTCATTACTGGGCCCAAGACCTGATTTTCTAATTCAGTTTGTCTGAGATTGGCCCAAGGATTTGCATTTCTAACATGTGCCTAGGTGATGCTCATGCTACTTGTCCAGGGACCACACTTAGAAAATCACTGCTCTAATACATGTGTCTTCTCCTTCCTATGGCCTTTCCCTCTACACACAAATACTCTCTGCAGCAAACAAGTATAATTCCCTTTGTCACATCCTCTCAGTTCCTCTCGGATTTTAACCACAGCTGTGCTGGGCAGGTCCATTCAAGTCTCAAGCTGCCAGAGGCCACCTTCATCTGGGAATTTCTCTGCTCTTCTGTCTTGGAGCCACCTTCAAAGAGGCAGAAGCCACTCAACACACAGCCCAGAAGTATAGAGGAGGTAAAGTCCATGAGGGATGGGAATGTGCCCCAGCCTCTTGTTTGTCATGAAGACAATTCTGAGATGTTTACTGTAAGTGAATGTGGCCCATGGAATCAAGACCCCATTTCCTACAGTGATGCCCTTGATACAGCACATTCCTATTGGCTGTTCCACCTTCCCTGTCTCATCTCCTTTCCTCACTCCTGTCCCCTACGTCACATTCTGATAAGCTACCTTTACCAGTGCCTTCCCTGTCTCATCTCCTTTCCTCACTCCTGTCCCCTACGTCACATTCTGATAAGCTACCTTTACCAGTGCCTTTTTCCTACATGTTGCTTTCAAGAGAATCTGAACACAAACACCTGCCCTGAATCCCAGAGGCTATAAGCTACTGTCCTACTTCCCTCACTCCCTTCATCAACAGCTATCTTGATGACTATGCACTCAATTTCTTCATTTCCTCACCTTTTAGTTGCTTCTCAAACTTGAAAGAAAAGATGATCTCTATCTGGTGCATTTTCCCAAAGCCCATGCCAGGAAATGAATTTTTTCTATTTCAGATTCCATGTGCTTTTTCCAGACTCCTTTCTCCTTCATTCTGCAAGATTTTATGGATGTTCACTCTCCCTTGCTTTTGAAACTCAGAAAAAGTGCCATCTCTCTTTTGAATTTGGACAATCTGCTTTTCTGCCAATATAGTGTTCTTTCAGATCTCTCTCACACTTTATTGTGCTTGCTTGGTCATATGTCCTGTCTCCTTCTAATGAGCTCCTTGTTCAGACGCTCCCAGGTTTTCTAGATTCATGACATCCTTGGTATCTTGGTAATTTGTTTCACAATGCCCTTAGGCCAAAGGAAACAATAATGGTTCCATTCATTAAAGAGTTATATCTGAGCAACTTAATAAGTATGTACGTCTTAACAAATTAGTAGCAATTTGAAAACATGACATACCTAAATACTGGCTCAGTTCTAAACAAGCACAGTTACTAATAGGTTGTGTGTACCTGTTGACCACTGCAAAACTTTTCAAAATTCAGGATCAGATCAAACATCCTCACACTCACTCCATTTTCCACATTGATTTCTATGTTTGCTTATTTGAAATCTTGTGTTTTCAAAGTTATGGCATCATTAACAAGAACATAGCATGAGTTAATGTTGAAACTGTGAGCTACTTTGATTTAATAATTTGTGCGGTCCTATACATGTTAAGTAGGCCTGTGTTTCCCCTCAAATTTAAAATATTCTACTGTACCTTTGTGAATTCACAATAGTACTGTGGGTTGCCTCAGTGCAGGATTTGGAAACCTTTGTCTTGAGAACACAATACGCTCTGTTATGGGTTGAATTACTTTCCCCAGAGGAGATATATAAAGTCCTAACCCCAGTACCGCAGCATATGACTTTATTTCTGTCTTTGCAAATTTAACCAAGTTAAAAATGAGGTTATCAGGGTGGGCTTTGAGCCAATATAACTGCTGTCCTTATAAAAAGGGGATATTTGGACACAGAGGCAGATGGACACAGAGGGAAAACTATGTGAAGATGCGTAGGGCAAATGCCATGTGAAGACAAAAGATTGAAGCAATGCATCAACAAGCCAAGAAATGCCAAAGACTGCTGGCAAGCCACCAGAAGCTAGGAAAATGCAGGGAAGGACTTCTTTTCCAGTTTCAGAGGGAGCATGGCTCTCTCAACACCTTGGTTGTACTGTGGACTTTTGGCCTGCAGAATTATGATATAATAGTTTCTGTTGTTCTGAGTTATCCCTTGTGTCATACTTTGTTATGGCAGTCCTAGGAAACTAATAATACAGCACTCACAAATAAAACCCTCTCTTCTCCATACAAGTGTAATATGAACTGCTAGGGGCAGAGACTATAATATTCACCTCTCCTGTTTCTTTAGTTATAGAACTCATATTTTTAGACACATCAATGATTAGCTAGATGTCATTTTTGCCTTCTTTTGCATACAAGGTGACCAATGAAATTCAAGCAGAAGTCATTAAATAGGACTTTTTTTTGAAAGGTCTTAAAATAGGCTGATTCATCTGAGAGGCAGATCCTTTCAGCTCTTCATCCTCATTTCTACCTAAACTGTGAATCTGATGGCTGGAACTTCCACAGTCCACTTGTAATTATTAGAAGACCTTAAGGAAGGAAGCCATGTGCTAAGGATAGAAGATGGCTGCATCCCTAGGCTATCATCTAAGTTCTAAACAGCTGACCTTCAGACTTTTTGTTTAGGAAAGAAAAATAAGCCTTTATTTATCTTATTTAGGCCATTGTTAGTTGGTTTTGTTGTATGCCTAAATTAGTCACTAGCCCTAACCTGTATTTTAAAGTTCAATTCCATATTTATAACTGCATTATGGACTTTTCTACCTAGGTATAATGTTTATTGCTGGAAATTTAATAACACTGAAGCCAATGCTCAACCACTGTCCAAACTAGGTCAACATCTGGACTATATTATTTCTATCAATGGAATCATCATCCTTTTGGCATTAAAACTTAAACTTTAGAGCCATATTTTGCTTCCCTATTTGCCTAGAATCCCTCCCAACTCATTGATTTACTATTGAATGAACAAGTAATTATTAACCAGCTACTAAGTCCCCAGTTCTGCTGGTGTACGTGCTGGAAACAGAGCAGTGAGTAGCACTGACACAGTCTTACTCTCAAGAATCTTACATTTTAGTTGGGATGATGGGTAATAAACTTTTAAGCAAACACTTGTGTAAAATAATGGCAAGTTTGGATCAATGTTATATAATAAAATAAGAAATTATATTACTTTGCTTGAGCTGCCATAAGCAAGTATGACAGACTAGGTGGCTTAAATAACAGAAATTTATTTTCTCAAAGTCCAGGAATTTAGAAGTTCAAGGTGTTCACACAGTTGATTTCTTCCAACTCCTTTCTCCTTTATTTGTAGATGTTCTCTCTCTACCTTTGCAAGGTCTTTTCTTTGTATCTGTGTCCTAATTTCCTCTTAAAAGACATCAGGGCTGGGCATGGTGGCTCATGCCTGTAATCCCAGCACTTTGGGAGGCTGAGGCAGGAGGATCACCTGAGGTCAGGAGTTCAAGACCAGCCTGACTAACATGGAGAAACCTCATCTCTACTAAAAATATAAAATCAGCCGGGTGAGGTGGCACATGCCCGTAATCCCAGCTACTCAGGAGGCTGAGGCAGGATAATCGCTTGAACCCGGTAGGCGAAAGTTGCGGTGTGCTGAGATGGTGCCATTGCACTCCAGCCTGGGCAACAAGAGTGAAACTCCATCTCAAAAAAAAAAAAAAAAAAGACAGCAGTTGCATTGAATGAGAGAGCCCACCCTAATGACCTCATTTAACGTTAATTACTTCTTTGATGGCCATATATCCAAATATAGTCACATTCTGAAACACTAGGGATTATACCTATAAATTTGGTTAAAAAGTGAAAACAACCCAAATGTCCATCAATTGGACAAACAAAATGATGAATGGACAAACAAAATGGTTTTAGCCTTACAACAGAATATTATGTCTTTAAAGGGAATAAAATACTGGCTCATGCTACAACATAGATGAACCTTGAGACCATTTTGCTAGGTGAAAGGAGCTAGCATAAAAGGTCACATATTATTTAGCCACGTTTATAAAAAATGTCCAGAATAGGCAAATTCATGAAGACTGAAAATAGATCAGTCTTTGCCATGGGCTGAGGGGAGGAGAGACTAGATTGACCACTAAAGAATATAGGGAGGTGGGGGTTTCTTTTTGGAGTGATGAAAATATTCTGGGACAAGGTTGTGGTAATGTTTGCACAACTTTGTGACTATATTGAACATCACTGAATCGTCTACTACATAAGGGTTTAACTGTATGGTGCGTGAATTATATCTCCATTGAAAAATGTCGAATCTCCTAACTCCTTGCTCTGGCTCAGTGGTTCATTGAACTTTATCTCTAAAGGGGAGGCTTGAATTTTCAACTACGCCTCCACTAAGACTCACAACCTAAGGTGGTTCCATTGATGTTGAGTGAGAGTGAAGAAAAACAGATAAGTTAGTCATAGTCTTCTTGGCAGAAAATGGTTTGCAAGGACTAAAGAGGGTTTTGCTTTGTCCAAATTTAGCAAAATCTGCCGAAGCATGAGCTGACCTTTTCTGTTAAGCTCCACCTTTTAACCAGCAAAGGGTAAAATGAAAGATTAAGGAGGGAGGGAGGATTGGCAGAGCAAAAGAGTGAAGAATCCAGATTCTGAAACCAGGATTTCTAGGTTTTAATCTCAGCAGAGCCATTTCTATCAGTGGAAGCTTCAGGCAATCACTAACCACTGTGTGCCACAGTTACTTCATTTCTAAACGTGGAAGTTAGTTCTACATATTAGAATTGTTATGCTGATTTAGTGAGTCAATATTTGTAAAGCATTTACAACTGTGTCACACACATAGTAAGCATGATATAAATGTTTGTTAATATAACATGTTATATTAACAATAAAAAATGAGGTGATGGTGAGCACAGTTATAACGTAGAAAATATAACTACACATATATGTAGTATATAATGTAGTACTTATTAAAATAAAGAATAACACAACTTGCTATTTATTAACCCTTATAGATTTAGCTTAACTTGGCTCAAGCCCCTAGTTTTGCATCTGAGTCTGATGCCTCCATTTATCTCAGAATTTCTGGACCTACATTTCCAAGGATTTACCTGCCTCCTCCCCTCCATCTTTAAACGCTACCTGCATTTATTTATTTATTTCCTTTCTTTCTTTCTTTCTCTTTTCTTTTCTTCTCTTTTTCTTTCTTTCTTTCTTGTTTTGTTTTGTTTTTTTGAGACAGAGTCTTGGTCTGTTGCCCGGGCTGGAGTGCAGTGGTGCAATCTCAGCTCCCTGCAACCTCTGCCTCCCAGTTTCAAGCAATTTTCCTGCCTCAGCCTCCTGAGTAGGTGGAATTACAAATGCACACCACCACATCTCGCTAATTTTTTTTTTTTTTTTGTATTTTTAGTAGAGATGAGGTTTCACCATGTTGGCCAGGCTGGTCTCAAACTCCTGACCTCAGGTAATCCACCCACCTCATCCTCCCAAAGTGCTGGGTTTACAAGTGTGAGCCACAGTGCCCAGCCCCTGCATTTCATCTCTTGCCTACATACCACACTACAGAAACCTTGCATAAACTCTCTTCCCCTGTGCTATGGACTGAGTTGAGTCTCCCAAAATTTACACGTTGAAGCTCTAACCCCCAAGGTGGTCACATTGGGATGGGAGGTAATTAGGTTTAGATGTAATGGGAGTGGGGTCCTCGTGCTGGGATTAGTGTCCTTATAAGAAGTGACACCAGGGAGCTTGTCACTTGTCTCTCTCTCTCTCCCTCCCTCCCCATTTGCCTGCCCCTGCTACCCCATGTCCATGCATGTACAAAGAAGAGCTCATGTGAACACATAGGGAGATGGAGGCTACGTATAAGCCAAGAGAAGAGGTCTCAGAATGAAACCTACCTTGCCGGTACCTTGGACTTCCCTGCCTCCAGAACAGTCAGAAAGATATTTGTAGTTCAAGCCACCCAGTCTATGATATTTTGTTTGGCAGTCCAAGCTGACTACCACTCTCCGCTTCAGTGGCAAACACCACTGTATGGAAAATAGCTCTTATTCTTGAAAGTTGGATAAGCAAAGAATGTTACATTTCTTTATTTTATCTCTTATTTTCTCTATAACTCAAGTTGAATCTAATTCTATGTACATTATCTGTTAAGCTGGCAAAAAAATTTCCAGAGCCTTCTTGCTGTCTCTCCACTCAGCGTCATGTCCTATTTTCAGATGCATGGCAGACACTCGTGGAGGGTCTTCTGGTGCCCAGCCCATTAATGGTGTCTACCCTGGGCTTTGTGAGCTCAAAGTCTGGCCTCTCTGCTACTCTGATGGCAGTCTCATGCCATGGAATTCCTGGGAGTGATTGAAATCTCAGAGTTTGGGGTCAGCCTTCTGACAGTCACTACACAGTCCTGATATCTGAGTTTGGTGACTTCCCCAGGGTGCAGGGTACAACTCTAATCCCTGGTGTCCTGCATGGTGGGGATCTGACCAGAAGAGACCAAGTCACGTCAGCATCCCACTGGTTATCCAAGCCTAGACCAGGGCTCTCTATTGAAACCTTGCTGGCCAATCCATCTTATTCCCTGAAAGCTGTCAGCACCACAGCCCTTTTTCTTTCTCTCATTTGTACTTCATAGAGAGTGAGAATTCTAGAATCTTCTTAGATGACATCCAAATTGTCCAGCATTCTTCTTGGAACTAATAATTCCAGTCCAGCCTGATTATCCAAAATATACACTCTGAGCATGTGTTATACTTGCTACACAGTTTCACATCTTAATGCATATGGACTTTCACCTCCCTGCTCATCTGTGATCAGCAAATAGATATAAAACCCACACAATTCTTCCAGTTGCCACACACCTGGGCAAGTATTGTTAGGCATCTCCCTAAAGAAACAGGCATCTGGGACTTGGAGACCACAGAGCGGTATGGTCCAGTAGAATTGTCTGTGATGACGGACATTACCTACGTTTGTTCTGTCAAACGCAGTAGCCACTAGCCACAGGTAGATATGGAACACATGAAGTGTGGCTGGGGAAGGTGTCCCAACTGAAACATTTGAAATGTAAGACTTCTTTTCATTTTCACTTTAGTGCATTTATACTTGCATTTAAATAGCCCCTTGTGGCTAGGGGCTACTATATTGCCCAGTGGAGGCAGCAGGAAGCATTCCCAAAGTGAGAGCACACAGCTTTTCCACCACCTTCAGACCAGAGGCCTGCCCCTCTTGCAGCATTTCAGTGGCATATTCTAACCCAGTATTTCCAAATATGAGTAACACATAGATATCTTTTAAAGAAAAATAGAATTTCTGTACCATAGTATTGCCTCTGAATTTCATATGACTTTAGTGCTTCCTGTAAAAGTGATGGCTCAATTCTCTCACCAGTTTTCTCTTATTAAACAGCCACAAAATCTTTATTGGTAGCATGTAAAGATATCTTAGAGCTATTACTTGTCTCCATAAATGCAAATGCTGACACTGCAATTGCAGGACAAGACTTACTTATACGGGCTTATCTGGGGGACCCAAAGTAGCCTTTAAAATGTTACTCTTTTATTCACTTATCAAATGAAAACCACAAATGCAAAATTTCCGCTAAAGAATTCATAAATCCCAGTTTGATTGAAACTGTTCTAACATCAATTTTAAAATATCCCATTTCCTGACACTGCATTCCTGGCAAATAAATATCTCCAGTTTCTGAAAATGAGTAGCCTTCACCAGGGCCCAGCGGTTACTGACAACCAGCAGTTTCTGACAAGCAGTTACTGTGGGACTGACACAGTCAAGTGCCTAGGGTACAGGGAATCCTCTCCCAACAAATGAGGACCCACTATGGAGCTCCTTTCCCTTCTAGAATGCTCTCCAGTTTCTACAACAACAAAATACCTTAGTTAAACATTACCAACTTCCAGTTTGGAATTTCATGAGTCACTCTGGTAATTTTACATCATTCACCTGGCTCTCTCATGCACCTGGATCCCTCTGAAGCATCCAGTCTTGGAAGTGCTTCCCCAGGGGCTTTAAAGCATATCTCAAAATAGTTTCCACATCTCTCCTGTTATAAAGAACACTGTGTCATCTATGGATCAATATTTACTCCCTGCATGATGAGTTGCAGTTTTGCAATTGAGGTTTGGTGGACTCAGTTCCAGGAGAGTGATTTAATGATACAGCTGGACATTGCTCTTTAAGATCCATATTCTGGAGAAACCCCCTCCAATGTATCGCCTGTATAAATAACCTGGAGTCATGCTGCCTGTCAGAAATTTAGGTAACCCTAATAGGAACACTCAACTTCACTATGTGGATGGTTCCAGTGTCTCTCCCCCAATTTTATAAAATCCTCAGTGGTACCATCCCATTGTGGTTTTCTCTCATCTCCATACTCAGTACTATGTCAGCCATTTAGGCTCACTCCCTTTACCAGCACCCTCAAGAAACAGTCACAACTTACCTGTTTGGAGAGAGGGATTCTCTAGCCATGGGTTCAGCTCTTACCATATCACTCCCTCCTCCACTTTCTGCCCATCTTCTGCTAACTTCCAAAGACCCATATTCCTAGCACACATCTTTCCCACCAGGCACCACGCTATGTAAACTATTGCCCAGCACTCCTACCCCAAATTCCTTTTCGTTATAAGAAGAAAAAAAAAATGCCAATCCACAATCTGGTTTGCATGACCTGTATCTCCATCCATTGATTCAGACTTTTATTTTAAGGAAAAGTTTCTGTAAGATCCTTCTGCCTTCTGTGTGTATTTAAAGTAGAATGCTTATTTCCTCAAATCTTTAGTATAGCCAAGTTTCATATGACACATCACCTTCTCATTCAATTCCAGCCACATTAAAGCAGGCACAATTTCTCTGAAGAGGAATAGAACTCCAAAGGCACCCTGATTATAGCATTATCCCACTCAAACGGAAATAATATCAGCAATTTGTCTGCTAGGGGATGAAGTTTAATGACTGAACTCAAATCTTTGGAGGGCATAATAAAACACTGAAAAACATTCTGAAATGATCAGAATCACTGAAGATGTAATATATATATATTTTATAACAGGCTTTTTCAGTGATAACTTATCTAGAGAGAAAATTGTTTTAGAATCTGGAAAATCAGCTGACATTAAAAGCACGTAAAACTAGACTATTTATAGCCTCCCACTTTCTTGTCTTCTAAATTGTCAGTATCATCTAACATTAAATTATTTTTTGAACAAGAAATATGTTTTCAATGTTTAAGTAGTCTTGCCACTTAAAAGTTACAAAGGAGCTAATCAATAGTAGTCACCCAACCTTAGAAACTTAGGTTCTATTGTGTGAGAGGGAAATAAAAGAATTCAAGGGCTCTCTATAGGTTAGCTTTTGCTGCGTAACAAACCATGCCAAAGCTAATCATCAATTTAGTACATCATTTTGTGAGTCAGTAATTGGGGTTGGGCTCAACGGGGTTGTTGTTCTGGTGTCAGCTGGATAACTCACATGTGTACAGTCAAGTACCAGATATTTGACAAGGGTGACTGTTCTGGAATGATCTTGCTTGGAACAGATTATTTCTGCTTCATACTTAAAATAAATAAATAAATAAATCTTCCACCAGGATAGCTTGGACTTGTTCTCAGCTGTTTTGTGGTTTCAAGAGAGAGACAGGGCATGCAAGGTCTCCTGAGATCCGGACTCAGAGCTGACGCACAGTTACTTCTGCTGCATTCATTAAAGCAAGTCACCAGCCAGGTCAAATTTACAGGATGGGGAATTAGGTTTCACCTCTCAACAGGAAAAGCTACAGTCACATGACAAGTGAGCATGGATATAGGAAGAGGAATTTTTTCAATCTCCCACAAAGACATGTCCTAAGTTTGAAGCATTTAAAATCTACAAGTTAAAAAAAAATACCCAGGAAACTCCTGAGAAAAAACAACAGGGTCCTCATCCATGATTGCTGTTAATTGATAAGCAGTTACTCAAATCACTGTGTCTCTCTGAAGGTAGTTTTTATTTGCCCACTCAATCGTATCTCTACTCCCACCACACCTGATCTCTTCCATCTTCTTCTCTGGTTTTCTTCAGTCTTCTCGAAACTAAACAAAGTTAATGGTTGATTACCGGTGATTTCTGTCTAAAACTTTATTGTGATAGTTGATGTCCTGGGCAATTTGTTTTGATATTTGACCTAAGTAGACAAGTACTACAACCCTAGAGATTTACTGATAGGCCTATATTCTCCCTTAAGGAACACTGTCCCTAAAGCTTGTCACACTCTTGTCCAAAATGAAAAACTTATAAAATGTTTTTATAAACAGTATTGCACTTGAGATGCAAGCTTAGATAAGGACTTTAAGAGTCCTGTATGTCCAGACTGAAAAGCTAAATGATACCCATTAAAGAGTCCTGACCGTGTATTTGGTCTGCCAATGAATAATATTGGTAATGAAGCCTACTTCTGGATTTTCAACAGTGTGGGCAGATCCCTCTAGACCAGTGTTATCCAATGAAAATATAATGTGTGCCACTTGTGTCAACTTAACTTTTCTAGTAGTCACATTTATAAAGTAAAAAATAAAAAATAGGTGAAATTAACATTAAAAGTGTGTTTTATTTAACTCCATATTTCCAAAATATTAGATCTTCAATGTAAAATAAAATGTGACCCTCATTTTGCCTTTGAGGGCTAAAAGTAGGTAATGGACTTCTTTTTATGCTCTGTGTCTAACTCAGTTCTTGGCACATAAGATGTGACTAATAGATGTAGGATGAATGAAAGAATAATGTCTAAATCAACAAAAAAAAGTGAGGGCCTATTATCTGATATTAAGTAATTCAGTCTTTAAAGACTATGTTGTCATTACCTAGAGGGATAACCATTTTTTCCCCATGAATTTTGGTTTTAAATTCTTGAAACTAAATGCCAGCCCAAGTGGTTTAATCATACACTTTTAAGCCTTAAACAACCTACATTGTCACTGAATTCCACTTGGAAGCTGATTTAAAGACAGAAATTCCTTAGACACAGGGTAAGTTTTGCATCAAGGCTAGTGTTGGAATAACCAGGAGTGCCTGGTAAGGACAGTCCTTGTCTGCCTCAGGGTCCTTCTTAAGGACATATATTTATTTTCCAGTAAATGGATTTCATGTAGTTTACACCTACAACTCCCACTTGACTCTCAGTTCTATGACAGCTATTTTTTCCTGCTATAAAAGCACTTAGTCTCTTAACTCCACTTGGTAGGCATTTCTTCAAATATTCATAAAGTTTTCTGCAAATGTCCAAGTTTTCTTTCTGCATCCATAAATATATCAGTAAAAGAAGAATCACATATCAAACCAAGACAGGTTTCAAACTTCAGCCTGAGATTCGCTTTGAACTTAAAAATCTCTAAAATGTACATCACAGTTTGTTTTTTCTAGTGCTTTTTTTAATGCTTTTTCTAAACAAAGAAAGGCTGGGTCTGAAGTGAGGAAAACTGTGAGCAAAAAGAAGAGTTATCAGAGGTTGGTAGACCCAAAACACTGCACCCACCAACTTGACCAACTCAAATGGCGTATTTTAATGGGTATGAATTCATATGGCTAACAAATCCGCTATCAACAAGGGACAGCTCTGCTTTTTACCTCCTCAGTCATTTAGTTATTAAATAAAAAAAAAATACTGAATATTTGCTATTGAACAGTGCTGGGCTAGCAGCAATGTTGAGCACTCTAGAAGCATAACTCATGATCCCTTCCTCTTTCCTTCAAGTTGTTTAAGTTCTATTTGGGCCAGGCACAGTGGCTCATTCCTATAATCCCAGTCACTAAGGAGGTAAAGGCAGGAGGATTGCTTCTTGAGGCCAGGAGTTCGAAACTGCAGTGAGCTATAATCACACCACTGCACTCCAGCCTGGGCAACAGAGTGAGACCCCATCTCAAAAACAAAATAGTTTGGTTTGGGAAATAAGCCCAAGGTCATCTCAATACCACTGTTCCTCCCTATTTCCTTTTTGCAAAATCCCTTTAGGGTGAGTGGATTGCTTCCTTAAAAAGACTTTCCTATCACCTCAATAATATAATATACTACAGTTAGCTTTATTATTTGGAATTATTGCTATTATCAATACCTGGAAAATATGTTTGATTGATAGTCTAATTGCTGATCTGTCTCTAATTTTGCTACAGTCATAAAAAGCTAAGAACAAAACAATAGGTGGCAGGCACTTGCACATTCTAAAATGAAGTATTGGGCTATTTGTGCATGACTTGCAGAGGAGATGGGGGAAAAGAAAGGTTGTCATGGCCTGAGCCCAATACTCACAAGTGTAAGGCAGTGTCAATTAAGAGTAAACTATCAAAGAAAGAGATGGGGAGAGTCATTGGTTTGCTGTGGATTTTCCCTCCCTCACCCAGTGTTGGTGGGAAGCAGGGTGGTTTGACCCCAGTCTGAAAGAGGCTTCAGGAAATCTGGTGGAGACTGTGTTCCCCAGGTGGTGTTAGACCCTCAGGTGGAAAGTCTCAGGAAGAGAAACTGATTATGGCTGCCCCAGCTGCCCTGACAATGAAGCAAGGAGAGTCAGCCATAATGGAAATGGCCTGGACTCTCACAGATCAAGAGGACTAGCCAAAGAAGATACCTAAAGTGGAATTCTCTGAAGCAGAACTAGAGGCAAGTCTCTCAGTTGAAAGGATCTTAGCAAATCGAGGCTGCAGGCTGCACCCGCAGAGAAAAAGCTGGGAGTTAGCGTCATCCATGTCAAGGACCCCTGAAGATTCCTTCAGTACATGTGCAGAAAAAGCTTTGTGCATTGGCCAAGCCCAGAGCATAACAAAGCCAGGGCATGGCAGTCTCACAAGGAAGACCTCCCCTGCCTCCCTCCACCCAGCTCTAAAGGGGTGAGAAACTATCAAAGGAGGTAGTAAGGAGGAGGAGGAGGAAAGGAGAAGCACAAGATAAGAAAACAAATCAATGATTGTCTACAATCCTTTTTCCCTGTTATAGGGTTCTATCAGTTGGCGAAGTGAGAAGCTTTAGCTATACTTGAAGTAGTTAAGAGTTTTGATTAGTCCATGGGGCTGGGTACTTTCATTACTGAAATGAAACTGTTTTGTGCTGTAAAGTGATTATAGAATTTTTGTAGTCTGAGTTATGATATAAATTAAAGATGTTTTCGTGTTGGACCAACATTTCATCCAGGAAATGATGCAAACTAATATCACACAATTTGGATAAGTTCTGAAGTGTAAGAGTACAGTTATTTTGTGATTCTTCCTTCTAGATCTTGCTTTTTCAATGAAGTAGTGATAGACATTTATGTGCTTGCTTATTTTCCATCTTTCTCACTGGAACATAAGCTCCCCAAGGGCAAGGACCTTTCTCTTTTATTCATCATTGATTCCTCTGAGCCTAGAAGCATGTCAAGCACATTGTGAGTGCTTAGCAAATATCTGTTGAATAAATACATAAATGAATAGCTGTGGATAGGGGATTACAGGCTCTTCTAAGTGATTTTTCTTGGGGAAAATGTCTTGGCTAAAATTTTTTTTAAAAGGAAACATAAAAATCCATAAATAATCCCTGCAAAAAGAATAGTCTATGAATAGTGCTTACCCAAACTAGCCATAATTAACACTGGCTTCAGTGGAGGAGGCTCAAAAGTCACATTTAGGCTTCCCTTGTCTAAAATCTCAGCTGCTTACAATATTCAGCTTATGTAACTAATTATACTGTGGCAGGTTTTCTTCCTCCTTTGCATCTACTCATGTGATATTCTACTGCTAATAAAACTGTCAATTTTCTTTTACTTCAATAAAAGGTCACACATGACAACAACCCCTTTTGCCTACTAACAGCAAGGGCCTTTATTAATATTTTAAATGTACACAGTGATATTTCCAAAAGGTCAGATTTTTTAAAAGACATAAAATGTCAGTTCTAATTCTTTTTCCTCCCCTTCTCTGCTCCCCAACCCATCACCACCACGTTGCTGTTCAGCCTTAGATATTGTGCTTATTATAAATTGTGTTCAACCAGGTAAACATCAGGTGGGGGTATCAGACTGGGGGCACCGCACAGGAGGCACATGTCTTAACCGTCCATAGTTATCCCATGGCTAAATGTACAAACATGGCTATAATGGGCAGCTTTCTGAATATAAATATTTTATGAGCTAGCACCAATAGGTCTTATATCCTAGTCTTTTTTTGCAACACTATACTAATCTATGCCATGGAACAAATTGCCCCACAATTTAATGGCTTAAAACAACAGACACTTTGTGAGTCAGAAGTCTGGGTATGGTTTAGTGGGTGCTCCAGTTTGGGGTCTCTCACAAGCTGCAATCAAAATGTTGGCAGGGGCTACAGTCAGCTCAAGGCTCAAGGGAGGGAGGACTTACTTCCAAGCTCACTCAAGTGGCTGTTGACAAGATTCAGTGTTTCTCAGGATGTTGGACTACAAGCTGGATTTTGACCAGAGGGTGCCCTCAGCTCCTTGCCACCTGGACCTTTCCAGAGGACAGCTCCAGCATGGCACTGAACTCCCTCAGAGCAAGCAAGTGAGAGGGTGAGGGGTAGCGAACAAGGTGGAAGTCACAATCTTTCTGTAGCATGACCTTGGAAGTGACAGCCATCATTGTTGCTGTATTCTGTGTATTTAAAGTGAGTCACCAGGTTTAGTTCACATTCGAAGAGAGGGGATTACTCAAGGGTATGGATACCAGGAAGCAGGAATCACTGGGTCCCATCTGAGTGAGGCTGTAGAGGCTGCATACTACAAAAGGTGAGCTTGAATTTTCACCAAATACTTAAAAAATAAAAATAAAAAAAGCACTGTCTACTATGCGATAAGCACAGCATTAGGAATTTTATGTAAAATAATTCATTATTTTAGAAAAAATTTATAAGGTGGATGGATGCTGCTAACATCCACATGTTATAGATGAAGAAACTGAGGCTCAGCAACATAAAGTAACTTCTCCAAGATCTCATGACTGGTTTGAGGCAGCCCCTGCTCTTATTCCTTGCATGACACAACTTTAATTTGCTCCCTCTCCAACCTTCCTTTGTGATCAGTGATAGACATTTACAGATAGTCAGCTAGGAGTTAGATCACATCTGTGGCTATGAGAGTATGAAATGAGCTAGATTCATGCATATGATTCAGGAATTGAACTGTAACTTAAACAGAGCAAACATTGTTTTTCTGTGCTGAAAACTAGGGATAGGAGTGAGTCAGACATGACCATTACCTACAGAGTGCTACTGTGTGCAGGGGACTGAGATGTAAAGACTGTGATATGGGGCAGAATGTATCAGTAACTAATCCATTAAGATTCAATGAATCTTACCTGGGAAGGGATATCATGAAAGGATTTGCCAATTTTATTTGTCTAAGGAAGCCAAAACGTGGTTTCTGCCTATGAACGATTTGTTAAGGACCCCACCTGCCTCCTTGTGGGGACATGATTTAAAACGTTACCTACTGCTAAGCTCTACTAAACCAGTGCCAAATTGCCGAAGTGCAAGAGAAGTTTCTTCTGCAGCTTAAATTCTCTAGAGTAGTTATTTTATTTAATTTGGGGTCCACAGAACCCTTTAAGTAGTTAATAAAAGCTAAGAAACTTCTTCTCAGACAAATTAAGATATTCTCAACACTACAATATCAGAGTTTCCATGTCACCAGTTTATAAACATCTTCTTTAGCATTAAGATAAAAATCAGGCCAGTAATCCCAGAACTTTGGGAGGCCAAGGAGGGAGGATTGCTTGAGCGCAGGAGTTTGAAACCAGCCTGGGAAATGTAGTGAGACTTCATCTCTACAAAAAAAAACAAAAATAAAAATAAATTATCAAGGAGTGCACCTGGATATATAAATTATCCAGGAGGCAAGCACCTATCCCAGCTACTCAGGAGGCTGAAGTGGGAGGATTGTTTGAGCCTGGGAAGTGGAGGTTGCAGTGAGCTGAGACTGCAGCACTGCACGATATTTCTCAAAAAAGAAAAAAAAAAAAGGAAAAGATAAAGTCACTTGACCACTTGATTTAAACATCAAGATACCAATGAGAATTACTTGATAATCATCATCTCTATCTTTTTCATCCACCCTGAAGAAGCAGGCTTATAAAATCATATCTAGTCCAGGAAGCAGTACCAGTATATGCAAGGAGGAACTCTAGTATATTTTGTCTTTAATACCATGCAAAATGAGGATGGCATCCTACTGTGGTATCAGTAGAAACCATGAGGAGAAATGGAAATCCCATTCAGCTCAGAAGTAACAAGAACAAACATAGAAAGAATAATCAATACCAATTCTATACAATCTTTTCCAGATAAATAGAAGAGAAAATAACACTTTTCAATTTATATTATGAAGCTATATTACCCTGATAGCAAAACAAATATAGCATAGAAATGGAAAACAACAGTTCACTATCCCTCAGAATTATAGATGGCGGGGTGCAGTGGCTCATGACTATAATCCCAACATTTTGGGAGGCCAAGGTGGGCAGATCACCTGAGGTCAGGAGTTTGAGACCAGCCTGGCCAATATGGTGAAACCCCATCTCTACTAAAAATACAAAACATAGCTGGGCGTGGTGGCGGGTGCCTGTAATCCCAGCTACTCGGGAGGCTGAGGCAGGAGAATTGCCTGAACCTGGGAGGCAGAGGTTGCAGCGAGCCAAGATTGCACCATTGCACTCCAGCCTGGGTGACAGAGCAAGACTCCGTCTCAAACAAACAAACAAAAATTAGTAAATAGAATTCAGCAATATATAAAAATAAGTATGTACTATAAGCAAATAGAGTTCATTTCAGGGAGGCAAACCTAGTTTAGTATTTAAAAATTCATATATCCCATCATATTAACAGGCTAAAGGAGAAAAATTATATGATTACATCAATTCAATGAAGGAAAAGCATTTTTAAAAATTCAATATCTATTCATAATAAAATTCTTAGTCAAATAAGCAAAAGGGGAGGTTCTTCAATTAAGTACATCTACAAAAAAACCCGTGGCTCGCATTATGATGAACAGTGAAAAACTGAATATTTACTCTCTAAGATGGAGAATAAGGCAAGGATGTCCTCTCATCACTTTTATTCAACATAGCACTGGAAACTTTAGCCAGGTCAATAAGGCACATATAGATCAATCAATCAATTGATCAACCAATCAATGGCATATAGATCAGAAAGAAAACAAATAAGATGATTTCTATTTTCAGATAATATCGTTGTCTACGTAGAAATTCTAAACAGATCTACAAAAACACTCCTACAACTGATAAATGAGTTCACAAAGCTTGCAAAATAAAGATAAACATAGAAAACTCAATTGTATTTCTATGTACTAACAATGTATATTTGGGAACCAAAATTAAATACTGTTTACAGTCACTCAAAAACTAAAATACTTAGGTATAAATCTACCAAAATATTCACAGGACTTATTTACTGAAAACTACATAATGCTAATGAAAGAAATAAGCGAAAATGTAAATAGATGAAAATACCATGTTGGTGGATTGGAAGACTCAACATACCAGTGATGTCAGTTCTCCTCAAATTGTTTTACAGCTTTCATGCAATTGCTAGCAAAATCACAGCAAGTTTCTTGGAGATATAGAAAAGATTATTCTAGAATTTCTAAGGAAGAGACAAGTGACTAGAATGGCTACAACTGAGTAAAGAGTACAGGGGATCTGTCTGTATTATTTCTTACAACTGCATGTGAATCTACAATTATCTCAAAATAAAATGTTTAATTTATAAAAGTTGGCGGAAAATCATTAAAAGAAAAAAATAAGAATGGCATACTTATCTACCGTGGAATCCCAAGATTTGTGCCACCCTACAAATTCAGAACTACCCTTGGCACTCCACATAGAGGGAAGCTAAGTCCTGCAGAGCAGAGATTCTGTTTTACAATTTGATTTAGAAACAATGAGCTCAGGCAAGTTACACATCATTGAACCTACAAAGTAGCCACACAAAATAATGACATGAATACAATCACCAACCTAGAGATGCCTTACAGACACTGCAACTGATATTCAGTTTTACAGACATTCAGTAACTACATACATCATGGGCATCTTCCATTGACACTTCTTTTATGAAACATTAGAAAATTCTACTTCACTTGGCAGCCACAGGACAACTGGTCCCCATTCCAAACAATTAGGAATTGCCAACTGATATACAATTATGGGTCACCTTGAAAAGAATTTAAAAAGAAGTAGTAGAGTTTGAGGCTCAGATGAATTAAGTGAATAGGATTCTGCATTGAAGGGAAGAACTATAAGGAAAATGGAGCTAATATTTGAGCCCATTTTTAGTCTTTAGTTTCATGCTTTTTCCACAGCACTATACTGTCTCTCTCCAGAGGCAATAGTAAGTCATATACCAGTATTGGTCTACCTTATTTCAATTACTACTGCCTCACACTCAAATATAATTTATTTAAAAATAAAAAGATGAAATATATGTATAACCATCTGCAACCTGACATAGAGGAAACAAAAAAATAAATGGATGAAACTGGAAGCTATTATCCTAAGCGATCTAACACAGGAACAAAAAAACAAATACTGCATGTTCTCACTTATAAGTGGGAGCTAAACTTTGAGTACATATAGACACAAAGAAGAGAACAACAGACACCAGGACCTACTTAAGGGTGGAGGTTTGGACTACAGGGAGGATAGAAAAACCATCTACTGGGTACTGGCCAGGTGCGATGGCTCACGCCTATAATCCCAGCACTTTGGGAGACTGAGGCAGGCGGATCATGAGGTCAGGAGATCAAGACCATCCTGGCTAACATGGTGAAACCCCGTCTCTACTAAAAATACAAAAAATTAGACGGGCGTAGTGGCATGCGCCTGTAGTCCCAGCTACTTGGGAGGTTGAGGCAGGAGAATGGCCTGAACCCGGGAGACTGAGCTTGCATTGAGCCGAGATTATGCCACTGCACTCCAGCCTGGGGGACAGAGGGAGACTCTGTCTCAAAAAAAAAAAAAAAAAAAGAAAGAAAGAAAAGAAAAGAAAAAGAAAAACTATCGACTAGGTACTACACTTATTACCTGAGTGATGAAATTATCTGTACACCAAACCCCCGTGACACACAATTTACCTATATAACAAACTTGCACATGTATCCCTGAATCTAAAATAAAAGTTGAAAAAACAAACCAAAACCAAAAAAATGGAAGTTTGCAGCAGAAGACCCAACACCACATCTCATTACTGTTAGCTTATTAATATTCTTATGACTTTATTAACCCCATTATTTTTCAGAGTCTCCTGTTCTTTCAATGAGCTTCATGTCTTTGCTGTTAGAGTTTTTGTTTTAAGATCAAATGAAATTAAATAGATGGAACTTGAAGAGTTAAAGGTACTATAATAAAATAAGACCCATCTATCATTAAGAAATAATTATTACAATAAACAGAAATTAAAACACCAGACACAGTAAGAAATGGGTCTCCTCCCTAAGCATGCCTATTCCAGATTATGCCTGAATGTCTTCCTTCCTCTGCCATCTGAAGTCTCTCAGTCGTAAATCTCAATAAAACCTTTAAAAAGCAATTTGGTAGAAAAATGTTTTAGCTAAATGCCTTCGCAATGATATGTTGAGAGGACTTAATTCCTCCTGCTTATGCTTCTCTCATCTTACAAGGATGTTGAATACCCAAATGCCCCCTTCTAGATAGTTCTTCAAGCAGAACAGAGTTGGCTTCCAGTTGATGATTAATTTAACTCCTGGGCACACTAAAAGATATTTTCAAGAACTGCACTGAAGTAAAAAAGAAAAAAAAGAAGGTATAGGAAAAAGCTTGTAAAAATTCGAGTTCTTGTTTTTACCCATTTCTCAAGAATAATTCAAATCTATTCTTAGAGCAATGTTTAATGGAAGTGACATTATATGCCTTGCTGCATTTGCCACCTACGTTACCCACAAGTGATTTGAGCCAAATTATCAGTGATTAATCTAAGAGAATCAATATCATGGATCTGAATAGAATGTTTTACAGAAATAGCATATGACAAGGCATTGAAATAAACCAGTTTGGGCTTATTAAAAGAAATGTACAAGGCAAAGTCAGTGAAGTTTAAAGTAACTGGTAATAGATATTCAAGAACTAGAAATTAAAGAGACCATGAATAGGTCCTGTTTTCCTATGTGTCATCTTTGCCTTGGGCACAGCTGTGGAGATGTCTTCAGGTTTTCATATTTGTGTCCTCTCTAGAAGGGTCATTTAAGATTATCAACCTAGAAGTGTGGCAATGGCTAAATGGCTACTAGGAGTTTTCAATGGATGGAAGATGCTAGTCAGAATGTCAGAAAATGACCTTAAATGGTGAAACCTTAAAGCTATATTTTTCCCAAAATGGAGTGACATCATCTCATCCTAGCACATCTCAAATTTTCCCTATTTCCCTATTCCATCCCCTTTGAACAACACCACTCTCCGGAGACACAGAAAAGGAACCTTTTTCCCTGTAGCAAGACAGAATTGATATTGGCTCTTCTTATTGAGTCCTTGAATCTACATAGAATAAGTGTGCCATCTTTTCCACACGGCAGACTCTCAAGTATTTGAAAAGAACTATCCCCTTCTTTTCTGTTCCTTTTCTCACATCCATATAAAAATATGCAAATGTATACAAATTATCATATTCACTATGTAAAAACAGTGTTCATAAGAAAGAATGAAAGATGCGTACTAAAATAGAGTAGAGGGGATATGGATATTTTTTCCCTGTTTCTATTTTTCATATGTTTTCTACATTTGCGATGTTGCTTTGGTAATGGGTAAAAAAGGGATACAAAACAAAAAGAAAAATTATCTTTCCCCCTGAAAAAATGTAAGCGGAAAAAGAAGCCAATAAATGTGCCGAATTTTTGGCACCAAAAGTGATCATATAATGAAGCATTTTCCTCGTCTCCATCTTAAAACTGAGGCCAGGAGAGATGAGGAGCAGATCATGGTTACTGCTGTAGATGGAGTAAACAATGGACTCAAAACGAAGTCTTCTGACCCCCAGTCTAGAGTTCACTAATACACCTACATTGGTTTAAAGCAACAGGATTGCTGTTTCCATTTTCTTAGTCCCTGCTCGTTCGTGTTTCTTAGATTGCCCTTCTAGTTTTTTGTTTTTCTTATGACAAAGATTGTTGTTATGAAAATTTTGTTCTTGATTTATCAAGGAATGGAATTTGGAGAGATGGTCCTGCTTCCCTATATCTCTCCTTAACCTTGGGTACGTCTGTGGAGATGTCTAAGGGATTTTCCATTTTTGTCTTATCTTGAAGAGCCGTTAGTAAGGACATCAACCCAGAAATTTAAAAATGGCTGCTGTAAATTTGTTCATGGAAGGATAGTATTAAAGACTTTATATAGGTAGAAAGCAACAGTTCAGAAAACTTCCTAACATTTCTGTATTTTGAGTTACAGAGATGCCCATTTTAACGCCCACTTTCTAGAATGTCAAGTAATAACTAAGACTTTATACATAACCCCATTTGTTCCAACTTACCAAGCAACCGCAGTTTTTCTTTTCTTTTTTTTTTTTTTTTTTTGAAAGAGTCTCATTGTGTCACCCAGGTTGGAGTGCAATGGCGTGATCTCAGCTCACTGCAACCTCTGCCTCCCGGGTTGAAGCAATTCTCGTGCCTCAGCCTCCTGAGTAGCTGAGATTACAGGCGCCTGTCACCACACCCAACTAATTTTTGTATTTTTAGTAGAGACAGGGTTTCACCATGTTGTTGAGGCTGGTCTGGAGCTCCTGATCTTAGGTGATCCACCCCCCTCGTCCTCCCAAAGTGCTGGGATTACAGGCGTGAGCCACCGCTCCTGGCCTCACAACTGCAGATTAACAAACTCATAGGTCTATCCTGAGAAGGAGTAAAACAGCCTGGGTTGGAGAGCATCAATCTATACAGAGATGCTACCACCACCCTGCTGGGGACAACCCTGAGGCACATGCTCTACACCAGCTCTCAGGCTTTCCTGGATGGATTCAACCCAAGTGGCCCACAGTCATTACCACTCAACAACACACCCTTTTCCTTCCCTAGCTCACTTCCCCACATCTCAACCACTGCTTTGTGGGATCACTTTTTAATATGTTGCTGGCACTCACAACTTTTTTTTAGGGTCTGCTTCTGGAGAAACTCAATCTTTGACAACCTCTTCACATACTCACACACACCTGGTCATATATCCCAAAGACAAGAAGACATGTTATCACATACACCAGTTAGAGCTAATCCAGAAGCTAATTCAGAAATAAATGCCTCATCTTTCCTTGAGCATAGCTGCACAGGGCCCTGACCTGTCCACATTCCACTGAAATTTGACCAGGAGGCAAATGACGTGGGGAAAGAATTAAACCCATAGATCTCAGCAGCGCATCTCTAGTTATTCCATAACCCCCTTATAGGTGCGTCCTCCTCCCCACTGTATTATGAAACAGCTCTATTTACCAACTTGGATGAAAGATAGATTTAGCTTGTCAATACAGTGATTGCAGGCAACTCAATGGAACTCACAAGAGAATGGAACTCACATAGCTATAAGCTGCATTGTGCTAAATGGTAACACACTGCCTTTCCCCCCACCCCCGACCTTCTCAGAGTGTGTCACTTTAAGAGTGATTCACAGGCTGTTTCTCTGAAGTTTCCCATTAAACACCTGGGTTTGGAAAAAAGCGAACCCAGTTGCCATTGAGAAACTTTACTAAATCAGTCCAAGGACATTACTAAAAATGTCCCAGACTTCCTATATAAGAGAAATTCACCTATAAAAATCCCAAAATGTGTTGCCTTTGCTGCTCTCATCATGCTTTGGAATTTATCCCCATAAGGGCAGAGTTTAGGGACCTGGATACAATTTTATTAAAAGATAGACTAGCAACTTAACAATGATGATGTAGAAAACCCCATTCATAGGTGATATCCTGAACCTTCAGCCTCTGAGATTGGCCACTGGACAATCAGATAAGTAGCCAGCAGCCTTTAGGGAGATCTGAAGGGCCTTGGAGGTGGGTTTGAGGCAGCAGTGTGTTTATCAGGCATTCAGAGTGCTCGAGGCAATAGCCCTTTACCACCCTGTTGCTGTACAGAAGTATTTAAATAGAACAACTATTTTGACCATCCTGGTGGGTGCCAACTGAATATTATGCCATGAGTGGTCATATCTCGGCTCTGGTCAGGGTGACTGACCTCCAGCAGGTATTCTCCATTCCGTTTCTGGTTGCTGCCATATAGTGTGAGCTGGAAAGTGACAATGACTTACCAGTGCTGAGTAACAAAAGCCAGTTTCCTTATCTCAAGAGAAGCAAAATCCTAGCGCAAGCCAGGCTGCAGAGCTCCCCTGAGATCAGGCTAAGGTTGGGGTTTCTAATATTGTGATCTTGCCCGGCTTCTGCCCTTCCCTTGCCCTGTCTCTCTTCCCCATGTCCTCACCAGTATGTCTTGGGAGTCCACAAATTCTGACCTCAAGTTCTGATTCTTGAAGACCTGATCTAACAAACTTTCTAAGTCACAGGTTTGGGATTTGTTTTTTATTTTTTATTTTCTCGACTCTAAATCCCATCGATTCCATTTGTTCCTCTTCTGTTCCTCTTAGGAGCCTCCATTGGTCCCTGTTCCACACAGGTCTTACTTATTTGTGTTGTAATGTTTGCTTTCTGATTCAGAGTCTATGTTCCAATTCCAGAGGACATTGTGTCTCCAAGACTGAGTTCAGTTTTGAAAAATCACCAAGCCTGTTTCTATTGCTTTAGCTATTTCTGTTCTGAATTGTTACTGCCAAATTCCAGGCAAATGTGGAACTGCCAGAGCATGATGTTTCCTCCAAACAAATGGTACTCCTATAGTGTCCTTAACCAATGTAGGAACATTTTTCATAGTTACAGTTATACTGTTACAAATAACAGTAAAAATTATCATGTATTGAACACTTACTAAGTGTGGTCTCCAACAGGGATGTTTTATGCATTATTTCATTTAAGTCTCATAGAAACACTTTAAGGTGGGTACAATTTACTGCAATATACTTTGGGGGAAACAAGGCAGAGAGGGTTAAGGAACTTGGCAAATGTCTCACTACTACCATGTGAAAGAGGCAGACTATGGGCTCTAATCTATCTGGTACTAAAGAGTGGTTCTAATCACACTCTGGTTGTGTCTCCTCATAGGGAAGAGTTGGGCAAAGCTTCCTAGCATTGGTGGGACAAAGGTAAAGCCCAGGTTACTTTTCCAGGTCACGAAAAGCCCCTTAGGCTCGGCAAACCTCTGCCTCTTCTTTCCCATTATCAAGGCTATTGCTCTTGTTACAGCAGCCCAGAACACAGCTGTTCATTTTCTGCCCTGCTGGGGTCCTGCTGTATAATCATCTGTCTTAACCCACGTTTTGTTGTGGTATTAATGTAATGCCACAGAATGAGTAAAATAAAATAAACAGAGATTTATTTGGCTTATGGTTCTGGAGGCTGAGAAGTCCAAGATCAACTGGCTGCATCTGTGAGGGCCTTCTTGCTGTGTTATAACATGGTAGAAGGCGTCACACAGGTGAGAGAGAAAAAAGAGGGCCAAATGCATCCTTTTACCAGGAACCTGTTCCTACAATAACTAGCCCACTCCAGAGATAATGTCATTAAAGCATTCGTGAGGGCAGAGCCCTGGACCTAATCACCTCTTAAAGTTCCCGCTTCTCAATTCTGTTTGCACTGAGCATCCAACACATGAACTTTGGGGGAAACATTCAAACTATGGCCCCCACTCTCATCAAATCACATTATTCCTTTATGTGGTTCAAATAGCCAGCCATTTCATTATCCTCTTCTAAGTTTCTCAAAAAGAACAGTCACACAAAAATATTTCTTAGTAATGTAGAATTGACTGAAGCGAGCATTTTAACAATGATTTATACAGGGAACAATGCAACAAGTCTCTTTAGGTGTAGGGGTCATCTCTCTCCTTGAACTTTCTGTATGCACACTGCTCAGCTGACCTCTGCCCCTTCTTTCTACAAAATTATTAAAGTTCTCTTCCATCCTTTATGTGAATGTGGAAGAAGGCTTAAAGCTAAATTCCATGCAACTTTGTTTTGGCTTCTTGCAGAGTCTGAATGATTAACTTCGTACAAGTAGAAAACTTAAATATATAACTTTACCACAAAATAGATAAACTTGTCACCAATAATTTGGAGAATAAAAATGTCATTGATATTCAAAAAATAAAAATAAAAAATAAATAAATAAATTCTATGCAACTGCCACATATCAAAGGCTGTTTTCAGAAGATACAGTTTTCCCAAAAAATGACTTTCTTCCATCTCCTGCTAAGATGATCATTTTTTCCTATGTGACATATGTAAGTTAAGTAGAGCAATCAATACCGGGTAGAGAGAGCAGCCGTTTTTACCACTGTCCTGGCCCCCAGAAAATGCAGATGAGGGAGGTTTGTGGCTTCTCAAAGCCAAGACAAGATCTTGCCAACTCTTGAGATGCTCTACATATTAATAAAAATGAAAAAAAAGGTCAAAACAAAGTTCAAACGTTGTGGCCAATTGGATGTATTTATCTTGGAAAAAATTCTACAACTTTAATATGTACGTACAAATGTGTAACAATATGATGATGCTATTCGCAGACAGTAGAAGATTTAGTTTTAGCTGAAAAAAATTGTTACGTACTACAAGTTTTGTAATGGTCTGATCATGAATTTGGGTCCAGTACTGGAATAAAAGTCTTTTTAGTCTGTGCCAGGGTATCCTCCTGACCATATGCCTATCTTCATTTGGAGAAAACATCTAGATCTAAACTTAAGATCTATTGTGAATGTGAAGCCCTACTAAATTGACCTCCCTTTCCCCTACCTGCTCCTCATTGCAATATCCCTTGAGTAAGGATCAGTCCAAATAGCTAGATCAATTCTTATTTGAGTAAGAACATTCCTTCCGTATACATTGATTACTATAATATATGGATAGCTATAGATACAAAGACAGAGCATTAAGGGGAAACTATACAGCCTGGCTAAATGAATGGAGAGACACATTTACACAGATGAGTTGCTTTCAGGAGTTTCCCTGAGCAATGAATCAGTCTGTCCAATTGCTGCTTTCATTCAATTCCATAAGTCCTGAAAAACCCCCACCAATAAGCACACTGCCTTGTTGTGTGTGTTGTATGTGCTTGCAGAATCACATCAATCTTGAATTAAGGAAACACCTTGCACTGTACAATCCCATGGTTGATGAAGTTACAAAACACATTGAGTTACTTGACAAGAAATTGCCACCGAAAAATAATGCAATTGCAACCTTAAGCCATCCTAATGCAGCTCCTCTTAAAAAAAAAAATCATAGTGCTCCGTAGTTTGTAGTTTCCACTGGAAATAGTGGCATCAATATCTTGTCAGTGAGAAATTAAAAGGGACATGTCATCCCTTTATTCTTTATAGACTGGAAATGACGGAGCTTCTTAGATGAACAGGCACCATCTAGCTGTGGAGCATGGTAGATGAACTCCAAAGATACAAGTAACAATTATTTCCCTCTCTGTGCCCTCATGTTATTCTCCTCCCCTCAAAACTGAGTTGGCCTTAATGACTTGCTTGACCAGTAGAATGCTATAGAAGTGACGTTCTGGACTTCTGAGGCTAGGTCTCTGGAAAATTCCACTTGGGACTTTCGGATACTTCTGCTTGGATGCCAACTCTATTCTGTAAGAAGCCCAAGCAACATAGAGGGGCCACTTGTAGATTTTCTAGCCAGCAGTGCCAGAGGAGCTCCCAGTCAACTGCCGTCCATGCAGATAAACCATCTTAGATGTCCAGCCCAACTAAGCCTTCAGATGACCATATCTTGATGTGCCATCTGACTACAACTGCATGAAAGACCCAAGGAGAGTGGGTGTATTACACTGTTGTTTTAAGACACTAAATGTTAGGGTGGTTTGTTACACAATAGTAGGAAGAGAAGAGGAGGGGAGGAGCAAAAAAGAAGTCCCTGGAAGGTCTATCAAATTATAAGACCCACCTTACACCTAAAAGACATATCTCAAGAGAAAGGATCTAACTAAGGGATCTGTGTTTTGAAAAGGTGTCCCGGATTCAGTGACTTTTGGAGAAGACCTAGTTA
The DNA here is from genome assembly GCF_000001405.40 of Homo sapiens. Classification (NCBI taxonomy): domain Eukaryota; kingdom Metazoa; phylum Chordata; class Mammalia; order Primates; family Hominidae; genus Homo; species Homo sapiens. The sequence continues at coordinate 12,741,494 of NC_000020.11, forward strand.
ATGTGGAACGGGGTTGCAGCTTGCAAACCTCACATATTTTAATTACTAGATAATTGTGACACACTCTCCTTAAACTAAGAAGCAGTGACTTCAATCTGCTCATTTTATAAATAATAGACTGAGATTGTAAGTGATTCTATGAGGTTAGAAATCCTTCAATTGGTATAGGCTTCAAAGTTATTTTGAGTCAATTAAAGCTAATCTTTATTTCATCCTATTTTAAATGTTGCCTCTTGATATGGAATTTAAATTTGAGGGTTTAGACTCTCAAATTTAGGAGCTCCCTGAACCCTCTTATATTTTCATTGTCATGCTTTTCATCTGAGTAATTAAATTTTAAATTCTATCATGAAGTAATCTTGATTTTTATTTTTTTTTAATTTGTAGAGTTGGCGTCTCACTCTGTTGCCCAGGCTGGAGTGCAGTGGCACACTCATAGCTCACTGCAGCTTTGAATTCCTGGGCTCAAGTGATCCTTCTGCCTCAGTCTCCTGAGTAGCAAGGACTATAGGTACACACCATCATACCTAGCTAATTTTTATTTTTATTTTTTATTTTTGGTAGAGATGAGATCTCACTGTGTTGCCCAGGCTCATCTTGAACACCTGGCCTCAAGCAGTCTTCCCACCTTGGCCTCCCAAAATGCTGGGATTGTAGGCATTTGCCACTGCACTAAGCCTGGAGTAAGGGTAATCTTTAAAGTGAAAGATGAACTATTACTTTATTCTTTTTTAAAATTATTTTATATAATTTATAACAAGTGATACATCTTTATTAACTTCAATTATGTTAACTTTTTGGTTTAGATTAACAGGAGTGGGCAAATTTGCTATGAAGGACCAGAGAGTCAATATTTTAGGGTTTGAGGGTCACATGTAGAGTTTGAATGCCCATGATGTACATTCTTCCTTTTCTTTGCTTTTTATTTTTTGTCTTTTCTTCTTTTTTCCTTCATTTTTTTTTCCTCTTTTTATAATCTTTTAGAAATGTGAAAAACATTCTTAGCTCCAGGATGTACAAGGCTGTGGTTGCTCTTAGTTCACGGGCATGAACAGAAGTTTATATACAGAATATACAGTAGGATGAAAAATTAATGATATTTCATGAATAAAAGGAACTATTATTGGTAGAATATGGTTATTGTTATTATTAATATTTTTGACATGCCTACATTTGCTTTTTATTCCTAGGTTTCTCAACTTATCCTAATAGGGCCAAATGGAAAAAGAAATATGTTCCAATAACGTATTTTCAAAAATAGTTTACAAACGTGTTTACCTGTCAAACATTTCCTTTCACTGAAAGAAAACAGTTTATGATGCATCTTATTCAAATATTACTTTGAAAATGCTGGATTAAACAAAATTAAGCAAGTTTATTTATTGCAGGACTTCTCAGGGCCTTGAATATGTGACTGTATGTTGCGGATTCCAAGAGATGAATGTAGTACTCAGCATTTCCTAAAAGCATTTTTAACTTTAGAAATATTATTTGCAAGATCATTTTAAGGAGATAGTGGTTTCCATAAAGCACTTGGAAACAGCACTTCTTTTATTTGTGTAAATTTAAGGGGTACAAGTGTAATTGTGTTACATGGCTATATTGTGTAGCAGTGAAGTCTGTGTTTTTAGTGTGCTCATCACCCAAATAGCGTACCTTGTACCCATTAAATAATGAAATAAAATCTGAGTTCTAAGAAAATTAGTGAGGGGTATGTGTGAACTAACAAGAAGAAACAGTGGGCTCTGGTTAGTGTGCCACCGGGAAGCATTGTTTCCCTGCTACAATTTAGTTTCTAAAACCATCCTAGGTTAAATATCTCCCGTACACTGCTGTGAAGCCTATCTTTTCACAGGAAAGTCTTTGGAGAGGTGCCTGACAGTTTCTTAAGGATGGTGGGCTGATGTTTAGGTCAGACCAAAATAGCATTCACACTTAGGAACTAACTGCCAACCTGGAAAATTAGCTCTCTGACCAGAAAGTTGCTGAAAACCTCTCTTTCTTTTTAATGTGCCTGACAACTTTAAAATAGAAACTAATAAGAATGCTTATTTCCCCTGATGTGATAAAAGGCTGATAAAATGGGAATTAAAATGATTGACTAAGATGTGAAATTTTGATATTCTCAGCTTTGGTTGCCCATGGTATTTTTTAACCCCTTTACTTAGGGTCATAGATATTTCACTCTACTAATCGCACTTTTATTTCTTTGAAGCTCTTCATTTTGTCATTTGAGTTACAAGATAGCGTAATGGAAAGAACACAGGTTGATGTTGCAACTCAGTTATGCATTAATAATGTGACTTTAAGGAAGTCACTTAACTTAACTGACCTTGTTAGTTCTCTGTAAAATTGATGTGATAAAAAATAACGTAGCATATGAAGAGTTTTTATCATGTCATATACATAGTAGATGGTTAAGAATGGTTTATTTTCTCTGCTTTCTTTCTTTACTTCCCTGTTGCCTAATTAACTCTCAGTTCTAGGCCTGCACAGCACAATATACTTTGAGTAGTTCAAAAAAATCGACACTATAGGAATGAGTTCATGATCTGAGATGGTAAGCAGAGGCAGCAGAGGGTTTCTTTTTGGTATCTACAAGGATGTACCAAAGCTTTGTGACAAACATCCAGAAATTAGTGATTTCCCCAGGGTGAGAAACTGAGTTTTAAAATAATAAGTGATGGAAATACTGGTTTCTGCCAAGCAGCTTTCTCACAAAGAAGACTCTATCTTTGTGAGTTATGCAACATCTTAAGAGCTTTCTACAAGCTCTGAAAACCTTCCCTGTCTTTTCCTGTCAGTCAAATATTCCTGCCAATTTCCATTATTGGAAGGCAGTAGCACATTTACAGTCAAGACACTTCCCTATGCTTCTTTTAGCAATTCTGTGGCACATGTTTGGAATTTACATTTTTCGTATCTCCGACTTTATAGAAGCTCACCAAGGAAATACAAGGTGCCCAAATAGCTGTCAACAATGTTTCCAAAAATATGATTTCTGTATAGTTAACAGATTCTCCATGGCCATTGCTGAGCAAAACTTGACCAGAACCAATTCAAGAAAAGATTAGAGAATCCAGGCAACCCAATTGCCATAGGGGGTGAAATATTTCAAAGACCTGCCTTTCCAAAACAGCATCAAGCACAGATGGTTTCCCAGGGCACTTCGACTAAACTTTGAAAGAACAGATAATTCTAATGTTTATCATCGTAGCTTTGTCTAAAGCACAAGAAAAAAAGAAAGAAAAACTTCAAATTTATTTTTTTCTTTGAAAATACTGTAACACTGCTACCAAAACCTGACAGTCAATACAATAAAAGAAAACTCTAGATCAAGTCCATAATAAAAAGTGATACAAAAATCCCAATAAAATGTTAGCAGACAAAATGCAGCAGCACATTAAAAAATAACACAGAATAACAAGATGGGATTCAATAGAAAAATTTAACAAGGAATACTAATAAATGTATTAATATAATTTATCATATAAATAGACCAAAAGTGGACATTCATCACCATAAATTCTACAAAATGCCTTTATAGAATTTATGATGATAAATGGCATTATATATATATATACATATATATGTACACACATTTATAATGCCACATATATGTCATACACACACATAAAATGCCATATATGCACACATATATGTTAATTTATATATATATACACACACACACACCATATCAAAATCCACTCTTGATTTAAAAAACCAATATGAAGTAGAAATAAAATAATGCTATGAAATATGAATGATTATAGCCTAAAGTCAGCAATAGGTTTATTGGGGAAATACTAAACAGCATTCTCATTAATGTTAGCAATAAGACAAAGATGCTGCTATCACCATTATTAGATAACATTGCTCAAGAAATACCAGCTAATATAAGAAAAATTTAAAAATTACAGTGAGAAACCAAGAAATGAAATAATCATTGCAGAAGTTCATATGAGAAACTGGAATCTAATTTAAAACAAAAACAAACAATTCAAGAATTCAAAAAGTATCTGGGCACAAAAATATAATAATACACAGACTTTAATAACCTTCATACATGCAAATTATTTGAAGATATGATGGAATAAGAAATGTCACATAAAGTAACAATCAAAAAAAGGTACATAAATAAATTTAACAAAAATATGAGCAATCTGTTAAAAAATACATTGTGACACAAAAACATGGAAAAAAATTCCATGTTCTTAGTATCATAAAGTTATTAAGCCCTCCTGGCTTAACTATAAATTGAGGGTGATCTAAATAAAAAGACAAGTAGTATTCTATTTGGAACAAGATAAATTCACTCTAAACTTCATATGAAAAAATGGGCAAGCAAAAATAACCTTGAATATTAAGGGGCAACAGTGAGGGTGGAGGATTAGGGCAAACAAATACTGAAGTTTATTATATAGCCACAGTAATTTGAATATTATACAGCCACAGTAATTTGCATGAATAGTAGTCTGATGCCCTTTCCATCCACTCTGATTCAGCATTTCAATTGGCCCAAACTTTGTCTAATATGGAGTTGGCTTTTCCATTTGTCCCTCTTGTTTTTCCTTCTTGTTTCTAGTGATTTATGTAGAGAGAGGGCATATGGCAGCTAAATACTGTCATCGTCAATCTAGAAATTTCTATTTCCTTTTGTGCCTTTTGAGCTTTTCACCATATACATATATCACTTATTAAAAATAAGTAGGAATGATTTTTTAAAACAAAATAAGGAAAGGTCAAATATTTAGCTTTGGTTATTTAGCCTTTCTAATTTGGTGGTCACATGATCTAACAAAGTCCTGAGGTCTCAGAGAGATGACCACAAAAGGCAAGGAAAGACTTGATTATTCCTGCTTTCACCTTAACAAAAATGAAAACAAAAGTGGTCCAGACTTTACCACTATGCAATTTGTCCACTTAGCCAAAAACCGCTTGTATGCCTAAGCTACTGAAAGAAAAAAAAAAAAGGAAAGGAAAAGGAAGTGCTCAGGTTTTTCAGTTTATTTGTGTTCTGACTGGAAGATGTCAATAAGAATGTGTTCTGCTGTTAAGTGTTTGAGACCCATTGAAACACTGTCTCTGCAGTTTATGACACCATGGATGCACTTAAAGGTAAATGTTTCCCCTGTGTATATGGCTGCTGAGCATAAAACATAATTTCACTATTTTAAATTCTTTGTATGATGTATCATTTTTATGTATTCACTACAGCAATTGTTCATAATTTTTTAGAGTTACTCAATACTGAGTCCTTGATGGGAAATGCAACCCTTAATTTTACTACTATTGCTTTAGAAACTTTATTTGGATTCCTGTTCATCTAGTTCATTTACTATTGGGGCTTCCCTGAATACCTGCTGGTGAAATTGAGAAGTTCCCTTTTTAATGCTTAAATTTTGGAAGAAAATCTATGGTCCAGTAAGATACACAGTGAAGTGATAAGTTGCAGTGGCCTGCTCCATAATTTATTAATATTCGGCTTAGTTGCTTCAGCAAATAACTATACATTTACTTTATACTGACATAAAGACAACACATTATGGATCCAGAATTTCATAGTTTGCTATGTTCTGGGGAAATATGCCTTGAAGGCTTCTTAAGTCAAAGTTAAAATATAATTGATAGAACTCAGCAGTTTCAATCAAAGAATGAGTGTTGTGATATGGATTGCAAATCAGAAAAGTAAAGGTGAGTAAAATTTGCTCTGAATGTATAAGTTTTCCAATTGTTATCTCTTAATCCTCCAATAGGTGTGGAGTCCAGAGTCACACAGGGAAATGGAGTGCAAGATGGGGTTCACAGATACAGTTCTTTTGATTCCTTCTCAAATGCTAAAGGCCCTAGATTTGATGTTGCAGTTAAGGACTAAAGAAAAGGCAGATGAGGTGGCATATCATCTCCTCTGCATTTTATATTACTAGTGTCTCATGCCTGTACTCTCAGCACTTTGGGAGGCCAACGTGGGAGGACTGCTTGAGCCCAGGAGTATGAGACCAGCCTGGGCAACATGGTGAGGCCATGCCTCTATTATATATTTTTTTTAAATGTTAAAAGAATTCACAACTTATGACTTGAAGGTGGGTGGCATGTCAGAAATGGCTATATTTGGTCAGGTACGGTGGCTCACACCTGTAATCCCAGGACTTTGGGAGGCCGAGGCAGGAGGATCACCTGAGGTCAGGAGTTCGAGACCAGCCTGGCCAACATGGTGAAACCTCATCTCTACTAAAAATGCAAAAATTATCCCTTTGTGGTGGTGAGCGCCTGTAATCCCAGCTACTTGGGAGACTGAGGCAGGAGAATTGCTTGAACTCAGGAGGCGGAGGTTGCAGTGAGCAGAGATCACACCATTGCACTCCAGCCTGGATACCAAGAGTGAAACTCCATCTCAAAAAAAAAAAAAGAAAGAAAGAAACGGCTACATTCTTCATTAACTGAAAAAAAAAAAAAAGAAAAAGAAAAGTAGGAAAGAAAAACACCAGAGCTGATCAATATTGGATTTACTTCAAAATTCCCTGGTGCTAGGGTTTTAGATAACTGTCTTCCTTTATTCCTGATTCCTTCAGCAAACATCTTTTGAGCTTCCATCATGTGGAACTGCCTACAAAGTGCAGGAGACCAGATGATTAAACGCATCATGGTTCTTGCCTTCTAAGTATCCCACAGTCTGGTGATGGAGACAGACATGGTATCACTTCATAAAGAAAGAACTGGCGGTTTTCTTAGGACCCCACAAAGTGTGTGTGTGGAGGAGGGCAGCTATGATGGGATCTGCTGGGGGTGGTTAGGGAAGGCATCCCAAAAAATTAAAGAAAAGCTGCATTTAGAAGACATAGACATGTGATATCAAGAAACATCTTGGGCCAAGGCTAAACAACTACACAGAGATCTCTTTGATTGTCCAATTAGGCAGAGACACAGGAGTATGTGCAGAAGTGAGAGGAACAGGACCCAACTGAGATCTCCAGCCTGGCCTATACAATCTTGTGGCAGAAAGTTAAGGGAGCCCATGGGGTCTGATTTTCTTCCTCTCCCTTTGGAAGGCAGAGAGGAAAACAGCAGGGTTTCTTTATTCCCCCAATTAGTGGTAAATTGTATTGCTGAAACTCTCTGACACATGCCTACCACACTAGCCTAGAGTTACATCAGTTTTAACTTCTGGTACTAATATCAGCAAGAGACAAAGGGAGAGAGAGAGAGAGAGAAAAAAAAGAGTATTTCATTTGACTATTCTTTGATCACCACCTGCAATAACAACCTTGGGGGAGCTTTAGCATTTGATGAGAAATCTGCAGATTCAGAAATGCTATGTCTGCAAATTCAATCATGTACTCAGTTTCGTTGTGTGACTCTGGGCTTCACACATACTTGGTAATTATAAAGCAGCAACTGGAAAACCTATAAACTCAGAGCAAATTTCATCCACTTTTAATTTTCTGATTTTCAGTCTACATCACAATATTCACTCTTTGGTTAAAAATGTTGTACTCTACAAATTATATTTTTGCAGATCATCTTTCTTAAAACACGCATTCAGCATTTTCATCTTAGAAGCTACTCCACATTAAGTAACACCATTTCTGCAAACCGTAACTTTAATCACCATTTCTCAAAATACGTAAATTCACTGTTCATGGTGGATTTACTTAATCAAGTATCCATGGTATGTGAGTGTGTTTGCGTGCATGTGTATAGGTTGTACATTGCATTTCATTGACATTCTTCTCGGCACTTAGAAAAGGGGTTGTTTGCACATAGTAGGAATTTAATAAGTTGAAAATATGAAGGACATGGTATTCCCACTAAAAGGATGTAATCATTTTGGATTAAATGTGAATAACCATCTGGATCTACAATCAGCCATCCAGGGTAGACACCCAGGTGTTATCAACCTACCACCTGCAATGAAGAGAGGGCATTGGAGGGGCGATTCAAATCAGTTTCCACTTTTTTAAACAGGAATTAAAATAGAAATGTATTTTGTCAGACTGGAAAATGCCATTTTGAAAACCATAATTGTGAACTGCATTTTCCCAACAAGTTATGATGGTAGACACCCACAAACAGCTGTTTGTGGCTTCCTTGAGTATAGGAACAACACAAGAAAGAAACAAGCTAACAGTGTATATAGTCTCTCCCAGGTGCTCTAGCCACCACCTCCAGCAAGCCTGGAAACCAGCTGACCTGTGAAAGTCCAGCCAAGTGACTGCTTCAGAAGTGATTAGAGATGGCCAATAACCGCCTCTCAGGAGTTCTGCTGAACTCAGCTAATGCCACTTTGCTTGGAATTTAAATCAAATTGTATTCTGTCCATTAGGAGATAAAGAAACAAATGTATCTTAAACCTGTCTTGTCTCTTTCTTCTCATCACTCTCCCCACTACCTTGGCCAAGATTTTTTTTTTTTAAGATAATGGGAAAACAGTCTGCATTTATTGCTTCAGGTGCTGAGTTCAGACAAAACTTTTCCTTTGTCCACTGGGATGGCTTTCATGTTTGGAAAGAACTCTTGAAAATGCAGAATTAGCCCATCTGTTCCATTTTCAGTTTTCTGTGGAGACTCTGCTTATTCTGTCTTTCATAGACTCTGGTTCCAAACTATACTCATGTTATAACCATTGTCGTCTCCTATATCTGTACTTACATACTTCCCTGTTCAATAAATTGCTACTGAAACAATGAGAAAAATCTAAAACCGTAAAACTGACTACTTTCATTTGCTTTTTCATTCTATAATGCAGTTGTTCTGGAAATGATGCAGAAGGGCTGGACCCCGGCTAAACCCCACTCTTAAGCCTGGAACCATGGCCCTAAGTGAAAACAGCTGACCCCATTTTTCTGTGCAAATGTTGCCTTTTTGGCCTGCCCCGCCCCTATCTTGTGCCCATAAAAGACTTCAGCTGGCAGAGCAATACTAGCGGCTGAGCTTTGAAGATACAAGTGGCTGAGTGTTGGAGACTACAGACAGACAAAGCTAACTTCAGAATGTACAGCTTCGGAAAGGGGCCCAGCTGGAAATAGCCGGGCTTCAGAGGAAGATCACCCTCCCTTCCCCTTTCCAGTCTCCCTTTCTGCTGAGAGCCACCCACCGCTCAGTAAAGTCTTCCACATTCATCACCTTTCAAACATTCCTATGACCTGATTCTTCCTGGATGTCGGACAAGAACCCAGGTGCCAAGAGGGCAGGGGCTGCCACCCTGACCCTCCACTGAGCCAGTTGACACTTGGCCATCCCTAGATGGCAGCTGAAAGAGCTTTGGTTGTAACACACTTGGAGGCTGCCGTGAGGTCTGCACAGAGCCTGCTCCCACCAGAGAGGAGCCACTGACTGGTTCTAGCATTCATTCACTCTGGTTCCTGCAGTCCCTTGCTCACATACTCCCTCCTGTGAGGAATGGCCAGCAGCAGACTATGATATGAGCCACTCCAGTTCCAGCCTGTGAAGGGGGTCAAGGGAACTATCCCATCTCAGTACAGTATTATATAGTTACAAATTTTCGGAGTATCTTAACTGAGAAGAAAATGGCATTGTTTTCCATACCAATTAGAATAAGAAATGCTTGCAAAGAATGACAGTAAAGGTGTGGTGGCTCATGCCTGTAATCCCAGCACTTTGGGAACCAAAGTGGGCAGATCCCTTGTTGCCCAGGCTTGGCAACATAGCAAGACCTTGTCTCTACAAAAAATACAAAAAAAATTAGCCAAGCATGGTGATGCATGCCTATAGTCTCAGCTACCCAGGAGGCTGAGGTCGGAAGATCACCTGAACTCAGGATCGGGGGTGAGTCAAGGCTGCAGTGAGTGAGCCGTGATGACGCCGCTGTGCTCCAGCCTGGGTGACAGAGTGAGACCCTATCTCAAAAATAAATAAATAAATAGTATTACATCTTAAAAGCTTTACAAATGCTTTCATACAAATGTAAATTTCTTACAGGAGAGTCCATCTAAAGAGTACCTGTATGTTCATTAAAATAATCTAAAGAATTTAAAAGTCGTTACCTCTAATAAATGATATCTTTGCCCTCAGTGTGTAAAATTATGTTTAGTTATTTGAATATTTTGTTTAAAAATACTTCTCTACCTGTTGTAGTGTATATAGGCTAAGTAATTTAGTAATAAAGCATTGTTTTAGAAACTCAATTTGGGAAATTTCCAGTTGTATGATTAGTGTGTTTCTATTAACACATGATAGGACCTTTAGTTAACTGTAACGGGCAGCATTTATTGCTTGCTTAGTGTGTGGAACATCTTGTCCTAGACATTGTACTTGTATTAATTGGTTTATTTTCATATCAACTTTCTGAAGTACATGTTATTATTTGATCCATTTTATAGATGAATAATTTGAGACACAAAAGGGTTAAATAGCCCAGGTGCAGTGGCTCAAGCCTGTAATCCCAGCACTTTGGGAGGCTGAAGCGGGTGGATCACTAGGTCAGGAGTTTGAGACCAGCTTGCCCAACATGGTGAAACCCCGTCTCTACTAAAAATGCAAAAATTAGCTGGGTGTGGGGGCGTACCCCTGTAATCCCAGCTACTTGGGAGGCTGAGGCAGAAGAATTGCTTAAACTCGGGAAGTAGAGGCTGCAGTGAGCCAAGATTGCACCACAAGAAAAAAAAAGGGTTAAATAATCCACAAAAGTTCTCATGGACAGCAAGTGTCCACGTGGTATAGAGTCCTAATTTTTCCAGTCTTAGCCTGTGCTGTTATCCACTCTAATATGCTGTGTTCTCTATGCAGCCTTGCTAAGGAGTGACCTGCAGTCATTACCATTTGTTGGCTCTTTAGAGTGATATAAGGAATGCCTCTGTTGAGGAGGCTAATTGTCCTAGGACTCTGGGTTTCTGCTACCAGGAAAATATATATACACATTTAAAAAAAAAAATGGAAGCATGAGATTTCTAATTCTTTATTTTGCTTTGGGAAAGTATTTTTCTAAAAAAAAAAAAAAAAAATACCCACCCATTAAATTGTCACATAAAGGAGAGAAAATTTTAATGTCAAAATGTTGAGAAGATATCAAACTAGATTTAGCTTTACAAGAATTTTACTACACTGCCTTTTTGTTTCTCTTTCTGCCGTGGACTAGAAAAAGTTGTCACAGTTTAACATTGGCCCATAAACCCATTCTCAAAATTTTCTGCTCTAGAGTATATCGTCTACATTGTCTTTTGCTCTCTTCCTCCTTCTTAATCTTCTTCTTCCCCTTGTCCTCCTCTTACCTTTCTCCTCCTCCTTCCCTTCTTTTTCCTTACTTGTCCCCTACTGGTAGTCATCAAGGATTTGGTCAAATAGAAGCCAACAGGAAGAAAGAAAGGATCAGGGCTTGGAAAACCTACATGCTTAATAACCATTCTGTGGCTATTTAAAAATTAATAATAGTGGGTGGTTATTATTAACCCAGTACTGTCCCTCGCTCTTGAATCAATGTATCAAATGTTCTCACTGTCAGGCCTCTGAGCCCAAGCCAAGCCATCACATCCCCTGTGACTTGGACATACACGCCCACATGGCCTGAAGTAACTGAAGAATCACAAAAGAGTGTGAATATGCCCTGCCCCACCTTAACTGATGACATTCTACCACAAAAGAAGTGTAAATGGCCGGTCCTTGCCTTAAGTGATGACATTACCTTGTGAAAGTCCTTTTCCTGGCTCATCCTGGCTCAAAATCACCCCCACTGAGCACCTTGTGACCACACTCTGCCCGCCAGAGAACAACCCACCTTTGACTATAATTTTCCTTTACCTACCCAAATCCTATAAAATGGCCCCACCCCTATCTCCCTTCGCTGACTCTCTTTTCAGACTCAGCCCACCTGCGCCCAGGTGATTAAAAGCTTTATTGCTCGCACAAAGCCTGTTTGGTGGTCTCTTCACACAGATGCGCATGAAACTCACATTCCTGTAATTTTTTTTTTTTTTTGGCTCCCTCTCTTTGCTTTATCTTCCCATGTGCAGGATATCCTCCTGCCCTTTCCAAACTCATCCCAATCTCCAAAGCCCTTTTCTGATATCAGTTCCTTCATCAAAATGCCACCATCTGTAGCACACCCTGCCACTGCCTCCTGTTTCTCTTCTGCACTGACCCTCCTTGCTCCTCATATAAGGTAAATCGGAAGCATATTCCACATCATTTCCTGGAGCTTCCCAATGAGATTGAGCTCCCATTGTCCCCAGTGATAATTTACTTAAAAACTCATGCTTTATCAATATCCCCTCATGCTTCAGTGTTTCCTGGGAGTGCTTTCCCAATAAACCACTTGCTCTTGGATCCTCATCTCAGAATTTGCTTCTAGGAAAATTAACTAAGATAGTATCTGTCAGGCCTCTGAGCCCAAGCCAAGCCATCACATCCCCTGTGACTTGCACGCATATATAAGCCCAGATGGCCTGAAGTAACTGAAGAATCACAAAAGAAGTGAATATGCCCTGCCCTACCTTAACTGATGACATTCCACCACAAAAGAAGTGTAAATGCCTGGTTCTTGCCTTAAGTGATGACATTACCTTGTGAAAGTCCTTTTCCTGGCACATCCTGGCTCAAAAAGCACCCCCAATGAGCACCTTGCGACCCCCACTCCTGCCCGCCAGAGAACAAACCCCATTTGACTGTAATTTTCCTTTACCTACCCAAATCCTATAAAACGGCCCCACCCTTATCTCCCTTCGCTGACTCTCTTTTTGGACTCAGCCCACCTGCACCCAGGTGAAATAAACAGCCATGTTGCTCACACAAAGCCTGTTTGGTGGTCTCTTCACACGGACGCACATGAAATTTGGTGCCATGACTCTGATCGGGGGACCTCCCTTGGGAGATCAATCCCCTGTCCTCCTGTTCTTCGCTCTGTGAGAAAGATCCACCTACGACCTCAGGTCCTCAGACCGACCAGCCCAAGGAATATCTCACCAATTTTAAATCTGGTAAGCGGCCTCTTTTTACTCTCTTCTCCAACCTCCCTCACTATCCCTCAACCTCTTTCTCCTTTCAATCTTGGCGCCACACTTCAATCTCTCCCTTAATTTCAATTCCTTTCATTTTCGGGGAGAGACAAAGGAGACACGTTTTATCCGTGGACCCAAAACTCCAGCGCCGGTCACGGACTGGGAAGGCAGCCTTCCCTTGGTGTTTAATCATGGCAGGGATGCCTGATTATTCATCCATGTTTCAAAGGTGTCAGACCACACAGGGACGCCTGCCTTGGTCCTTCGCCCTTAGCGGCAAGTCCCGCTTTTCTGGGGAAGGGGCAAGTACCCCAACCCCTTCTCTGCTTTTCTGGGCAAGGGGCAAGTACCATAACGCCTTCTCTCCTTGTCTCTACCCCTTCTCTGCTTTCCTGGGGCAAGGGCAAGTTTCCCTCAACCCCTTCTCCTTCACCCTTAGTGGCAAGTCCCGCTTTTCTGGGGGGGCAAGAATCCCCAATCCCTTATTTCCGCACCCCAACCTCGCATCTCTGCCCCTCGATCCCTTATTTCGGTGCCCCGACCCCTTACTTCTGTGCCCCATCCCTTATTTCTGCCCCCCGACCTCTTATCTCTGCACCCCAACCCCTTTTCCCACTTTTTTGGAAGGTAAGAACCCCCGAACCCCTTCCCTCCGTTTCTATACTCTCTCTTTTCTCTAGGCTTGCTTCCTTCACTATAGGCAACCTTCCACCCTCCATTCCTCCTTCTACTCCCTTGGCCTGTGTTCTCAAAAACTTAAAACCTCTTCAACTCACACCTGACCTAAAACCTAAATGCCTTATTTTCTTCTGCAATGCTGCTTGACCCCAATACAAACTCGACAGTAGTTCCAAATAGCCAGAAAATGGCACTTTGAATTTTTCCATCCTGCAAGATCTAAATAATTCTTGTCGTAAAATAGGCAAACAGTCTGAGGTGCCTGACGTCCAGGCATTCTTTTACACATGAGTCCCTTCCTAGTCTCTGTGTCCAGTGCAACTCATCCCAAATCTTCCTTCTTTCCCTCCCACCTGTCCCCTCAGTACCAACCCCAAGCGTCACTGAGTCTTTCTAATCTTCCTTTTCTACAGACCCATCTGACCTCTCCCCTCTTGGCCAGGCCGAGCTAGGTCCCAATTCTTCCTCAGCCCCTCCTCCTCCACCCTATAATCTTTTTATCACCTCCCCTCCTCACAACCCTGGTCCAGCTTACAGTTTCATTCCGTGACTAGCCCTCCCCCACCTGCCCAGCAATTTACTCTTAAAAAGGTGGCTGGAGCCAAAGGCATAGTCAAGGTTAATGCTCCTTTTTCTTTATCCCAAATCAGATAGCGTTTAGGCTCTTTTTCATCAAATATAAAAGTCCAGCCCAGTTCATGACTTGTTTGGCAGCAATCCTGAGAAACTTTACAGCCCTAGACCCTAAAAGGTCAAAAGGCCGTCTTATTCTCAAAATACATTTTATTACCCAATCTGCTCCCGACATTAAATAAAACTCCAAAAATTAAATTCCAGCCCTCAAACCCCACAACAGCATTTAATTAACCTCGCCTTCAAGGTGTACAATAATAGAAAAAAGTTGCAATTCCTTGCCTCCACTGTGAGACAAACCCCAGCCACATCTCCGGCACACAAGAATTTCCAAAAGCCTGAACCGCAGCAGCCAGGCGTTCCTCCAGAACCTCCTCCCACAGGAGCTTGCTACACATGCCAGAAATCTGGCCATTGGGCCAAGGAATGCCCGCAGCCCGGGATTCCTCCTAAGCCGCGTCCCATCTGTGTGGGACCCCACTGAAAATCGGACTGTTCAACTCACTTAGCAGCCACTCCCAGAGCCCCTGGAACTCTGGCCCAAGGCTCTCCGACTGACTCCTTCCCAGATCATCTCGGCTTAGCGGCTGAAGACTGACACTGCCCGATGGCCTCAGAAGCCCCCTAGACCATCACGGACACTGAGCTTCCGGTAACTCTCACAGTGGAAGGTAAGCCCGTCCCCTTCTTAATCAATACAGAGGCTACACACTCCACATTACCTTCTTTTCAAGGGCCTGTTTCCCTTGCCTCCATAACTGTTGTGGGTATTGACGGCCAGGCTTCTAAACCTCTTAAAACTCCCCAACGCTGGTGCCAACTTAGACAATACTCTTTTAAGCACTCCTTTTTAGTTATCCCCACCTGCCCAGTTCCCTTATTAGGCCGAGACACTTTAACTAAATTATCTGCTTCCCTGACTATTCCTGGACTACAGCTGTATCTCATTGCTGCCCTTCTTCCCAATCCAAAGCCTCCTTTGCATCCTCCTCTTCTATCCCCCACCTTAACCCACAAGTATAAGATACCTCTACTCCCTCCTTGGCGACCGATTATGCACCCCTTACCATCTCATTAAAACCTAATCACCCTTACCCCACCAAACGCCAATATACCATCCCGCAGCACGCTTTAAAAAGATTAAAGCCTGTTATCACTCGCCTGCTACAGCATGGCCTTTTAAAGCCTATAAACTCTCCTTACAATTCCCCCATTTTACCTGTCCTAAAACCAGACAAGCCTTACAAGTTAGTTCAGGATCTGCGCCTTATCGACCAAATTGTTTTGCCTATCCACCCCGTGGTGCCAAACCCATATACTCTCCTATCCTCAATACCTGTCTCTACAACCCATTATTCTGTTCTAGATCTCAAACATGCTTTCTTTACTATTCCTTTGCACCCTTAATCCCAGCCTCTCTTCACTTTCACTTGGACTGACCCTGACACCCATCAAGCTCAGCAAATTACCTAGGCTGTACTGCCACAAAGCTTCACAGACAGCCCCCATTACTTCAATCAAGCCCAAATTTCTTCCCCATCTGTTACCTATCTCGGCATAATTCTCATAAAAATACATGTGCTCTCCCTGCCAATCGTGTCCGACTGATCTCTCAAACCCCAGCACCTTCTACAAGACAACAACTCCTTTCCTTCCTAGGCATGGTTAGCACAGACAGAATTCTTACGCAAGAGCCAGGACCACACCGTGTAGCCTTTCTGTCCAAACAACTTGACCTTACTGTTTTAGCCTAGCCCTCATGTCTGCGTGCAGCGGCTGCCGCTGCTTTAATATTGTTAGAGGCCCTAAAAATCACAAACCATTCTCAACTCACTCTCTACATTTCTCATAACTTCCAAAATCTATTTTCTCCTCATACCTGATGCATATACTTTCTGCTTCCCGGCTCCTTCAGCTGTACTCACTCTTTGTTGAGTCTCCCACAATTACCATTGTTCCCGGCCCAGACTTCAATCCGGCCTCCCACATTATTCCTGATACCACACCTGACCTCCATGACTGTATCTCTCTGATCCACCTGACATTCACCCCATTTCCCCAAATTTCCTGGTTTCCCGTTCCTCACCCTGATCACGCTTGATTTATTGATGGCGGTTCCACCAGGCCTAATCGCCACACACCAGCAAAGGCAGGTTATGCTATAGTACAAGCCACTAGCCCGCCTCTTAGAACCTCTCATTTCCTTTCCATCATGGAAATCTATCCTCAAGGAAATAACTTCTCAGTGTTCCATTTGCTATTCTACTACTCCTCAGGGATTATTCAGGCCCCCTCCCTTCCCTACACATCAAGCTCGAGGATTTGCCCCAACCCAGGACTGGCAAATTAGCTTTTCTAAACATGTCCTGAGTCAGGAAACTAAAATACCTCTTAGTCTAAATAGACACTTTCACTGAATAAGTAAAGGCCTTTCCTACAGGGTCTGAGAAGGCCACCACAGTCATTTCTTCCCTTCTGTCAGGCATAATTCCTCAGTTTAGCCTTCCCACCTCTATACAGTCTGATAACAGACCAGCCTTTATTAGTCAAATCAGCCGAGCAGTTTTTCAGGCTCTTAGTATTCAGTGAAACCTTTATATCCCTTACGGTCCTCCGTCTTCAAGAAAAGTAGAACGGACTAAAGGTCTTTTAAAAACACACCTCACCAAGCTCAGCCACCAACTTAAAAAGGACTGGACAATACTTTTACCACTTTTGCTTCTCAGAATTCAGGCCTGTCCTCAGAATGCTACAAGGTACATCCCGTTTAAGCTCCTGTATAGACGCCTTTTTATTAGGCCCCAGTCTCATTCCAGACACCAGACCAACTTAGACTGTGCCCCCCCAAAAAAACTTGTCATCCCTACTATCTTCTGTCTAGTCATACTCCTATTCACCGTTCTCAACTACCCATACATGCCCTGCTCTTGTTTACACTGCCAGTTTACACTGTTTTTCCAAGCCATCACAGCTGATATCTCCTGGTGCTATCCCCAAACTGCCACTCTTAACTCTTGAAGTAAATAAATAATCTTTGCTGGCAGAACTATGCTGAATCTCCTTAGGCACTCCCTAATCAGATATCCTGAGTCATCCCAATTCTTAGACCTTTTACACCTGTTTTTCTCCTTCTGTTATTCCATTTAGTTTCTCAATTCATCCAAAACCGTATCCAGGCCATCACCTATCATTCTATACGACAAACGTTTCTTCTAACATCCCCACAATATCACCCCTTACCACAAGACCTCCCTTCAGCTTAATCTCTCCCACTCTAGGTTCCCACGCCGCCCCTAATCCCGCTTGAAGCAGCCCTTAGAAACATCGCCCATTCTCTCTCCATACCACCCCCCAAAAATTTTCGCCGCCCCAACATTTCAACACCATTTTGTTTTATTTTTCTTATTAATATAAGAAGGCAGGAATGTCAGGCCTCTGAGCCCAAGCCAAGCCATCGCATCCCCTGTGACTTGCACGCATATATAAGCCCAGGTGGCCTGAAGTAACTGAAGAATCACAAAAGAAGTGAATATGCCCTGCCCCACCTTAACTGATGACATTCCACCACAAAAGAAGTGTAAATGGCCGGTCCTTGCCTTAACTGATGACATTACCTTGTGAAAGTCCTTTTCCTGGCTCATCCTGGCTCAAAAAGCACCCCCACTGAGCACCTTGCGACCCCCACTCCTGCCTGCCAGAGAACAAACCCCCTTTGACTGTAATTTTCCTTTACCTACCCAAATCCTATAAAACGGCCCCACCCTTATCTCCCTTCACTGACTCTCTTTTCGGACTCAGCCTGCCTGCACCCAGGTGAAATAAACAGCCATGTTGCTCACACAAAGCCTGTTTGGTGGTCTCTTCACACGGACGCACATGAAAGTATCTGTATGAGTCAGATTTCATGCTGCTGATAAAGACATACCCGAGACTGGGAAGAAAAAGAGGTTTAGTTGGACTTACAGTTCCACATGGCTGGGGAGGTCTCAGAATCATGGCAGGAGGCAAAAGGCACTTCTTACATGGTGGCAGCAAGAGAAAATGAGGAAGAAGCAAAAGCAGAAACCCCTGATAAACCCATCAGATCTCCTGAGCTTTATTCACTATCACAGGAATGACCAGCCCCCATGATTCAATTACCTCCCCCTGGTTCCCTCCCACAACACGTGGGAATTCTGGGAGATACAATTCAAGTTGAGATTCGGGTGGAGATCCAGCCAAACCATATCATTATCTTAATTGACATCAGTGTCCCGGTGGTCTTCTGCCAGTGAATGATACCTACTATTACTAAAGTATGTCCCTCAAAGATGAGTGCCATAGCAAAAGACCTTTGTAAAATAATAAAAAAAAAAAAACTGCTCTCCTACGGGAGCTGAACAGAAGTCTACAAAATAGGCTGGGGCTCACCCTGACCTTCCTTTAACTACCACAAATCACTCCTCTTTGCTGAGTAACTTACCATTGCCTCTCAATTTTGTTTCATTTCAGGCATTACACCTAAAAGTAATTTGAGCACCTTGAGCTTAGAGCCTACCTTGGCTAATGTGAAACACTCCAGCTGTGCTAAGATGGTCCTCAATAGTCAACAAGCACTTCTGAAAGTCTGGTAGGTGTGTGCATTTGAATGAATCCTCAGTCTTCTCTAATTCTGTCTGGAAGGATTCATTAAAGGCCTTTCTCATGTCTTGATTAATTGCCCTTCAAGGATAAATTTTCACGACATATAGAAGCCGTTTTTATCTACAGCATCAATTTTACTGCTATAAATGAGCAAAATGAGTGTCCCATCTCTGGACATACCTGGTTATGCAAGAACTTAACATCCCCTGATGCTTTGTGAAAAGAACATTTAAGATCTTTTGCCCATGTAAAATGGAATCCATCTATTAAAATTGTACCTTGAATTGCTAAGTTTGAAAAGATCATACAATATCTCATCTTTGGTTTTTGAACTGCAGAAAGTTAATCTGAAATAGTTCAATTTGGGTAGTAGAATTTCCAAAAGCTGCCCAAAAGACAAAATCTATTTGAAAAAAGAAAAAAAACCAGCAAAGTGGGAACAGGTTAAGTTGTCTTTCCTTTCCTTTGGTCAGTATCATTCAGTTTGGATTATAATCCATGATTTCTGAAATATAACCCACTTCATTTGCCCTTAAAGACTAAGACCTCTATTAAAAGCAGAGCATTTCTTGTCATTCTTTCCATTGTATTGACCACTGAGCGATTCATTAACAATTGATCTGCATCTCCTTAAAGGAAAAAAAAAACCAGGTCAATAGGAAGTCAATCTGTTGAGAAGGAATAGAGGAAATATGTGATGCAGCAAGGCACATCTGTAATAAGACTGGAGGGATGTAGGCAATGGAGAGAACAGTGACATGGCCCCTACAAAAATCCAATTTCTGAAGTCAGACAAACAGACTAAACTAGAGTTTAACACAGACAAACCTTTATGCTAGAAAAGTTTATTTGCCACCTATTCCTGATTTAGCCATTGTGATTTCTCTTTTGCATAGTGTTTTGAATGGAAATTCACAGGTTACAATGTTAAGAAGTTACTAAAGAACAATTGAGGACAACATAACTGAAAATGGGGTGGTAAAAAGAACTGTTAAACTATTTCTTTGAGCCTTAGTAAACCATTTCCCACAATTATTCTAAATTCAAATTGGTCACTGATGACAAATAAGCAATACTTTCAAACAAGTTTTGTTCTCCTGTCTAAAACTCTATTTAACATTTGAGATAGTCATTAGCTAAAATAGATTCTCTGACTCAAGGCAACATTACCTTCTGCTAGCCTTGGCATTAGAGTGGTTGGAAGAAGGAGGCTTCATGTTCTGCAGTTGTCAGAAGAAAACAAACCACTTAAATTTATAACAAGTTACCAGCTAGAATCTGTTGTAATAATCACAGTCTTTTGTGAAAATCAATGAAGTGCATGGCATTTTAATTCACTATCTCTGATCCTCAAGGCAACCAAGCAAGTTGGTATTATGATTACTCTGTCTTAGATAGAAATCAAGGTTCAAAGAAGTTACATGTGCCCCACATCGAATAGCTCATAAATCCTAAAGTTAATATTGGAAGTCAAGTCTTACTATTTCAAAACTCATGCTCAATCTACTGCTAACCTGTAGTCGTCTAGCTTTAATTTATAATATACAATAAAACCTTACCTGGAACTCTAATAAGTAAACCAGATAAAATAAAAGAGGCTCTGGTTGAATTGGGAGGAGAAAGCCTGGAGCTTGACTACTTAGATTCCTTCCCCTTTTCCCAACCCTCTCTGTAGCAGCCCCCAGTGCTCTGCTCTGTAGCACTGGGGGTGGCTACAGAGAGGCTCTGTAGGAAACCCTATAGTTGGCCTTCTGTTGGGGCTCTTCCCAGCAACATCTTGCTCCATAAACACAAGCACCTGTATGCATATCAGGGGTCAGTCACAAACTCGGATGCTTACAGGTGCCCCAAACACAATCCTGCTGCACCTTTGGAGTGATGGAAGTTTCTTTTCATTCCCTAGCCATGAGTTTTAAAGTTATTGGTCTCTCAACCAATGGGGTTTTTTTAATTGAATTTTAATTTCTGAATCCAAATTCCAAACTCAGAATACTGAGGAATGATATTAATAGAAGGCCATGGAAACATACGATAGTCAATAAAAAGAGAAAGATCTCATTTAATAAACATGGTACATAACCTATAAACTTGACATTCTGCATTTTTGTATACTGCAAACCCATATACGGTATATGTGCTATGTGTATTTCAAAGTATAGTATGCATGTACCCAAACGTAAACAGTCAAATTAAATTCCTCTAATATTTCTGTATGTATTAAATGATTTTTTGTAAAAAAAAAAAAAAAAAAAGAAACTATCTGCTAAGAAATTCTCCCCTGACAATGCTACTCAGGGCAGAATGATGTTATTTTAAATTCTTCTCTCATTAAAAGAAAAAAGAGTTTGCTTCTTCAGAGTTTGTGTGTATTTATACCAGAGCTTAACTGGCATTTTCATTGTGGTGTTTATGAATCGTGATGCAGTTCCACTGCAGCTCCTGACACACTCATTAATTTGTTCCCAGCGGCAGTTCATTACCAACATCACAAGCAAAACATGCGCTCTCCCTGGGCATTGAAGGTCCACCGGAAATTAAGCAGACGGGGCTGCAAAGCACCTCAGAGTGAAGCCAGCCAGCTTCATCTGCTGCAGCAGGCTGGAGGCAAGCACAAGGAGCGGCAGGAATGAAAGGCTTCAGCGCCTTCCCTGGTGTCTCTGTGCCTTCTGAGTTTTCAGCTGACATGGAGCAGTGATTCCCTGAAAAGGATGGGATCTTGCTCCCTCAAAGATCAGCCTTCTTTGATGAGCCTGCTCCAGGTGGAGTGGAGCAACCACTTTAGCTTTTTAGTGCAGAGAAGACTTAGGAAGTTTCATTTTCCTTGACTGGGGTTCTGCTTTCTGTACTGACCCTTCCTGGTCAGTGGGGAGCTCGGAGCTCTGAGTTGGAGCACCTTACCAAAATCTTCTCTGAGTGGGGTTAAGTAAGCCAGCAGACTCTGCAAGAACAGAGCCTTGCTGAATTTAGCTTTCCAGAAAGCCCTATTTTAAGGGAACTCAGTATTTCAGCAAGATGCTGGATTAGGGGGAGAAAACAAGTAGTCTGTTAATTCTTTGTTGTTGTCAGCAGCCTTGCAGGTTCCTGGACCATGACACATCAGCACAGTCCTAAGTAACAGAAGACTCAGGTCCTCACCATGACCTCAAACAGCATGATCTCTGTGAATCTCAGTAAATCATTCTGAGCTTCACTTTCCTTGTTCACACCATATAGCTATTTATATCTGCTCCACATGATGGGCAAGGTCACTGGGAAGTGTAGATTATATAAGGCATGGGAATGGCTTCACAGGTTCATGTGGGACATCACATGGTGAGGCACAGAGATCAGAAGGTTTGGGTTCAAATCAGCTCTGCCGAGCTGGAGAAACCATGTTAGTACTTGACCCTGGTGTTTCAAACTCAAAATCAGAATAAGATTAGGGATAGGAAAAAGACCACACGAGATACTTCTGAGTTTTAAATGATTTATTTGAATGAGGTCAACTTTCGTTCACTTCTAAAGGAAGATAGAAGTGTGAGTTTTGTAATTAGCCTAGAGAACCGGGGGAGCAAGACCCTACTGAACAAGCCTCCTCCAGAGCTCGCCCCAAAGTCTGGAGTGCAAAATGTCCACCTCGTTATGATTAATGAAGCCTCTGGATATAGATCAGAAGACTAGAAATGTCTGTGAAAGGAGCTCTTCCAGGGGCTCAGCCAAAACCAGGAGAATTGCCCTCGACTCCTCTCTTTCCTTGTTTCTAAGCCATCGGCAATTTTGCTCAGCTCCATCGTCAGGAAGTCCCAAATCAGACCACTGCTCCCTGATTCCACAGCTTCCGTCCTGGTCCAGGCTCCATAATCTCCCCCTGAACCTCTGAAAGAGCCTCTTAAGCAGACTCCTGCCGCTCCCCACCCTTGCTTCTCTTGTCTGTTTCTTCAAGCAGCCAAAGGGATCCCTGTTAAAATGTTAAGTGCAATCTCATCAGCCTCTGTTCAAAACCCTCAGATGGCTTTAAGCAGAGTAAAATCCATAATTCTCACCACAGCCAGGGGGACCTTGGTGACCTCATTCCTCCATGAGGGTATCTCCCTCCACTCTCCTCATCCCGTTTTCTGTTCCAGATGCACTGACCATCTAGTCCTACCTGGGAACATGAACACCAGGAATGCTGCTGCCTGGGAAGACTTTCACTTTCTGTTCTTTCTGCCTGAAACACTCCTTCCTGGGAATCCACATTAATCCATATTCTTTCTTTGCTAGAGTCTGACTGAAATATCATCTGTGCAGAGAGGCCTATCTTACCACCCTATTTTAAATAATACATGTATGTGTACGCACACCCATGTGTATGCACTCTCCATCTCCTTACTTGCTTTATTTTTCTTTATTCACTCATCATCTTCTTCTATACATCCATTCATTTACTCTTCTATCGTCTGTTTTATACTCCTGCCCTTGATTAGAATATAAATTTCCTAAGAGTACAGACTTGGTCTGTTTGATTCACTCTTCCAGTGCCCAAAATAGTGTCTGACACATATCAATTATTTAATAATTATTTGCAGATATGACAGCATGAATGAATTAGATCAGATAATCTAAGAACTGTTTTGCAGTCATCACAGGGCACTGTAATAAAGCCATTAGAAAAATAATTAATTGAGCTTGATGATGTAGCAGGTAGTCATGACTGTAGCTGGCAGGTCCCAGAAGATAGTCACATTAACTATGTTGTCATGAGAACAAGCCTAGGTTGTAAGGCTAAATCTTCTACGATGTTGTAGAGAGGCAACCTCCCCCACAGCAGGAAAAGCCACCCCTTTAATATTCATTATGAAGCAAAGAGACTAAGTGAATAATTTACATGCTACCTGTGTTCTCCTCCATGCTAGCCCTGATATATTTTCAATATTCCATTCCTCTTGCTCCCTCAGCTCTGTTTCAGGCAGCAATTTCATGCCACGCAGAATATGAATCTAACAGGTGAATTTCCATCCAGGGTCCAATTCTCTTACTACTGATGTGGAGAAAACCGTAAACAAAGCCACAGTAAAGCCTCCTTTTTGAGGCTGAGTAAAGCCAGATGAAAGGCAAGAGAGACTCAGCAAAACATATTTAGGAGATGGGAAAATAAATAAATTCCTTTAAAAGTTGCATAATGTTCAATAGCATGTATCCACTGTTACGTATTCAATCTTTACCTTGTTGATGCATTTTCCAGCTTACTTTTCATTTTCTTCCTCGGCAAAGCTGCAATAAACATTCTCCTATATATATCATTACCTTCTTGTGTTTTGATTTCTGTAGGCAACATTCCGTAAAGTGGGATGGCATGGACAAAGGGTATCAATATATTTAATTTTAAGCCATATTTCTAGGTAATTTTCCCAAATGGGTTAGCAACTTACTCTCCCACCAGAAATGTATGGCAGTGGCTCCTTGCCTTGCTACACTCCCCCTACAAGAAAAGCTAATCTCATCCCATTGGATTGTAATTATGATGACTGAAAAAATGGTAATTCATTTGTAATTTGCAATTTCCTGCATATGGTTAAGCATCTTATTGGACTCATGTATATTATTTTTAATTTTAACAATTGAAGGAGTTATTTGAACAGCAGTACCAGTAACCTTTATCATGTCATTTCTGTTGTAGTTATGTTAACAATCTATACGGTTTACATTTCCACTTTACTAATGATACATTCGACATATTACTTTGGTATTTAGATAGTCAAATATTTCCATTTCGTGATGGTTTCTGAGATTCCTGCCCTGGTTAAGAATGCCCCATGACCTCAAGGTTATGAAAGTATTCCCCTGTAATTTGTTCCAAGATTATTATTTTTGTTTTTATTTAGGTCTTTTATCTATCTGAAATTTACATATGTATGTGGAGTGAGGAAAGGACCTCATGTTTTCTTCCATATAGGTAGCAATTATTTCAGCATGGTATTATTTCTTCCATATAAGTAGCAATTATTTCAGCAATCATTTCAGCATATAGACAGGAAACTATTCTGAGTAAAAATGCACTCTTGGTCAAATAATAAATTCCCTATACACCTGGATGTAATTTTCCAAGTGCTCTGACAGAAGCAGCTTCCCAGAGAGCCATTAAGATTACCTGAAATAAAATGTAATTTGCTGGCAGAATCTGACCAGATGGTGGTCCATACACTTTGTCAAACTTCTAAGCAGAAAGTTCTCCATCTTAGCTTTAATGTAATCCAGGATCCTTGATCAGACACACCCATTGGGCCCACACTATGCATCAGAAACTTTTCTAAATACTTTTTACAGATTACTTCTTTTATGCCTTAAATAAATCCTATAAGGCAAGTATTACTTTTATCCCCATTTTCTGTATTTTAAGTACAGAAAATTAGGCCAAGGCTGGATGGCTTGTGCCTGTAATCCCAGCACTTTGAGAGGCTGAAGTGGGTGGATCACTTGAGATAGGAGTTCGAGACCAGCCTGGCCAACATGGTGAAACCCCGTCCTTACTAAAAACACAAAAATTAGCTGGATGTGGTGGGGTGTGACTGTAGTCCCAGCTACTCAGGAGGCAGAGGTGGAGGTGAGACAATCGCTTGAACCTCGGAGGCGGAGGTTGCAGTGAGTGCAGTGAGCCAAATGGCACCACTGCACTCCAGCCTGGGAGACAGAGTGAGATTCCATCTAAAACAACAACAACAACAACAACAACAAACTTAACAAACTTAAAATTAGTTGCCTAAGATCACAAAACATGGTCAATGTTGGGGCTGAGATTTATAGCTTCCAGTGTAACCAGGGTGACCCCAGGAGCTGGATTCTGTTGAGGATGCTTTTTTGTTTTTGTATCTTAAACATTCCACTTATCACAACACAGAAGGTACACAGATAGACCTGGAAAAAAACACTTTTTATACTATAGAATCTTATTAGAAAATAATGACTTGAAATGAGTTTGCTTCTTGAAAACCTTGAGTAATTTCAAAATAGTGTAATTTCAGTAACTGCAAAGGAACAGCTCTAATGAGTTCTGCTCCAGAATCTTCTTCTCACCAGGAAATGATTGAAGACAAGGAGATAACCTCTCATTAAATCCTTATTAACTATTTTAATCAGGATTACATCACTGTCTCACTCCAAGCACGGACAATTGCCAGCAGGCTATGGCGCTGAAATTTATTAAACTGACAAGGTGGAAAGGTCTGGACAGCCGGAGGGGTCGTCTCTGTGCCCCGGGGAGTCTCATTTGGTGAAGATCTGACTCCCTCATTTCTCAATAGCGATCTACACTTTTGGTTTCTTGCCACACGTCCCTCAAAAGCCCAGCAGAAATGGCTTCCATCAATGAGTTCTCAAATGTCTGCGCTGTGGCTGGGAGCTGAAAGCCTTATAGGGAGAGAAGGCCTGCTGATCCAAGCAAGCAGTCAATCAGCTCCTACAATGGGATGGAGCCCCCACGCAGCATGGCACATGGAGTCTTCCCCACTTCCCAAGGTCACAGAGGATTCAGCCTGTTCAGGCCCATCACTCTGCCAGAGGGACTGACTTTCCCCCACCGCCTCAAGGTTCAGGGAACCTGCGGCATATCTGTAGGGGAGTCCATCCCACCCCAGTGACAATCGCCAAGCCCTGCAACTTGAGAGTCCTCTGTAGTGAACATTACAGCTTTCACTCTACTTAAGAGCTCTAGGAGGAAGTCCTGGCTGCTATTTTTGTCCATGCAATGTGGACAGGGAAGGATACAGCAACTTTTTTTTTTTTTCTTTTTTGAGACAAAGTCTCACTCTGTCACCCAAGCTGGAGTGCAGTGGCGCGATCTAGGCTCACTGCAACCTCCGCCTCCCGGGTTCAAGCGATTCTCCTGCCTCAGCCTCCTGAGTAGCTAGGATTACAGGTGCCCGTCACCACGCCGGGCTAATTTTTGTATTTTTAGTAGAGACGCAGTTTCACCATGTTGACCACGCTGGTCTCAAACTCCTGACCTCAGGTGATCCACCCGCCTTGGCCTCCCAAAGTGCTGGGATTACAGGCGTGAGCCACCCACCCGGCCAGTATACTGCAACTTTGGGATGCCTCTCTGGACTCAGGCCTGAGCAGCCCAGCCCACGGCCACAGGCATTGGTTCACTAATTGATGCACATGGGCCAATCAGAGCCAATGAGATGCAAAAGGCCTTCTGGATGATCACGTGAGGTAGTAGATCACGTGGGAGATCATGTGAGCATAGCCTGGAGAGCCTCAGCTTGAACTGAGGTCCCTTCTCTCCCACTTACTAGGCCTGTAGCCTTAGAATGTTATTTAGCCTATTTATCACATTTGCCAATTTCCATGGTGTGACTACACCCGCCATGGTCAGTTTCAACTTACCAACATAAGTGAACGCAGATTTGGTAAAAAGATGTGCAGTAGTACAACATTATGTAGAATTTTTAATCTCCAGATACAATAGGTGAAAATTACCACAAGCACACAGATAAGAATAAAATGTAATAAAGCAATTAGAAAGTGATGAGGATTGAGTATTGCACTTGTTTTCAATATGATGAATTTAATTATAAGTTTATATAATTTAATTAGTGCCTGTTTCCTTTTAAGACCATTTCTCAAAATTTTTGGAAATTTAAGAGTTGGCTCTCATTCCTATACAGCAACAACAGTCAACCTGAGAGCCAAGTCAGGAATGCAATACCATTCACAATTGCCACAACAAAAATAAAATAAAATACCTAGGAATACAGCTAACCAGGGAGGTGAGAGATCTCTACAATGAGAACAACAAAACACTGCTTGGAGAAATTAGAGATGACAAAAACAAATGAGAAAACATCCCACACTCATGGAGAGGAAGAATCAATGTCATTAAAATGGCCATACTTCCCAAAACAGTTTATAGATTCAATGCTATTCCTATCAAACTACCAATGACATTCTTTACAGAACTAGAAAAAAACTATTTAAAATTCATATGGAATGAAAAAAGAGCCCAAACAGCCAAGGTGATCTTAAGCAAAAAGAATAAAGCTGGAAACATCATGCTACTGGACTTCAAACTATACTGCAGGGCTGCAGTAACCAAAACAACAGAATACTGGTACAAAAACAGATACATACACCAATGGAACAGAATAGAGAACCCAGAAATAAGACTGCACGCCTACAACTATCTGATCTTCAACAAAGCTGACAGAAACAAGCAATAGGGGAAGGATTCCCTACTTAATAAATGTTGCTGGGATATCTGGCTAGTCATATGCAGAAGATTGAAACTGGACCCCTTTCTTTTAATACATACGTAAATCAACTCAAGATGGATTTAAAACTTAAATGTAAAACTCAAAACTGTAAAAACCCTGGAAAACAGCCTAGTCAATACCATTATGGACAAAAGAATAACCAAAGATTTCATGATGAAGACTCCAAAAGCAATTGCAATGGAAGCAAAAATTGACAAATGGGATCTAATTAAAACAAAGAGCTTCTGCACAGCAAATGAAACCATCAACAGAGTACATAGACAACCTACAGAATGGGAGAAAATTTTTGCAAACTATGCATCTAACGAAGGTCTGACATACAGCATCTTTAAGAAACAAACAAATTTACAAGAAAAAAACATTATGAAGTGGGCAAATGACATTAACAGACACTTCTCAAAAGAAGACATACATGCAACCAAGAAGCATATGAAAAAAGGCTCAATATCACTTATCATTAGAGGAATGCAAATTGAAACTACAGTGAGATACCATCTCACACCAGTCAGAAAGACTACGATTAAAAAGTCAAAAAATAACAGGTGCTAGCAAGGTGGCAGAGAAAAAAGAATGCTTATACGCTGTTGGTGGGAGTGTAAATTAGTTCAACCATTATGGAAAAAGATGTGGTGATTCTTCAAAGACCTGAAGACAGAACTACCATTCGACCCAGCAATACCATTACTGGGTATATACCCAAGCCAATATAAATCATTCTATCATAAAGACACATGTACGCATATGTTCATTGCAGCACTATTCACAATAGCAAAGACATGAAATCAACCTAAATGCCCATTAATGGTAGAAAGGATAAAGAAAATGTGGTATGTATACAGTATGGAATACTATGCAGCCATAAAAAGAGTGAGATAATGTCATTTGCAGGAACATTGATGGAGCTGGAGGCCATTATCCTTAGCAAGCTAATGCAAGAACAGAAAATCAAATACCACATGTTTTCACTTATAAGTGAGAGCTAAATGCTGAGAACACATGGATATATAGAGGAGAAAAACAGACACTGGAGTCTACAAGAGGGTGGAGAGTGGAAGGAGGGAGAGGATCAGATCAAATAACTAATCGGTACTAGGCTTAATATGTGGGTGACAAAATAATCTGTGCAACGAACTCCCATGACATGAGTTTAGCTATATAACAAATCTGCACATGTATCCCCTAACGAAAATTAAAGTTTTTTTTTTTTTTAAATGAGAGTTGGTTCTTGCAACCTAGTGTAAGCTGGATACAGCTTACCAGTCCCTTCTCTAATGG
The DNA here is from genome assembly GCF_000001405.40 of Homo sapiens. Lineage (NCBI taxonomy): Eukaryota > Metazoa > Chordata > Mammalia > Primates > Hominidae > Homo > Homo sapiens. The sequence goes on from NC_000020.11 coordinate 12,770,886, forward strand.
CACTTACATTCTAGAAGAAGATAATGAAAATAAACATATAAACAAAACACTAAACAATAAGTAAAGCAACAAAAAATGTAACACAAATGTTTAATAAAATGTCTGATGGCAATCAGTATCATAAAGAAAAGCAAGGCAGAATTAAGGGTATATTGAGCATCAGAAATAATTGGGTTTATTTTAGGTAATGTGAATAAGAAAGTCTTCTCACAGGAGTGGCTATCTCTCACATAAATTAAATAAGGAAGCAATAGATTAAATAAGGAAGCAAAGTCATTGGGACGCAAATAAATTTTTGAAGGCAGAGACTTGCTAACAACTTAGGTTTAAACTGGAAGGTTGTAGAAAAGAGAAAAATAAAGAATGACTCATAGATTTTTGGCTTAAGCAAATTAGTGAATGTTGATGTCACTTACCAACATAATAAAGATGGAGGAAGAGCAATTTTGGGGAGTAGACATGGGAGAAACTGAATTTTAAATCACAAACAATTTATGTTTATCCATTAGACATATACCTGGAGGTGTTAAGTTGGCAGTTGCAGTCAGAAGAGAGAACAGACCTGGAAATTTAAATTTGGATATTATTAGCATACACGTGGTATTTAAGGTGATAGAACTGATAAAACCATGTAGAGAGTGAATAAAAGCAAAGACAAAAAGAAAGTGCTATGGGACTCCAATATTTAGAGGTCTGAAAAAGGAGGAGTATCCCCACATAAATTTTGTAAAGAGTGGCCAAAGAGGTAGGAGGAAAACAAGCAAAGAGTGTTATCCTGGAATCCAAGGGTAGAAAAGTACATCTAGAAAAGGGAATGTGCAACTGTGTCAAAAGCTAATGAGAAGCTAAATAGAATAAGGATTGAAAATTTACCATTGGGTTGCAAGATGGTGGTGGGTATTGACCTTTGCAAGAACAGTTTCTGCGGAGTGGTGGGAATGAAGGGCTAATGGGTGTGGGCTGAGGAGAGAACAGAAAGCTGAGGATGTGGAAACAGTAAATTTATTTTTTTTTTAAATTTTCTATTTCAATAGGTTTTTGGGAAACAGGTGGTGTTTGGTTACATGAATAAGTTCTTTAGTGGTGATTCTGAGATTTTGTGGCACCCATCACGAGCAGTGTACACTGTACTCAAAGTGTAGTCTTTTATCCCTCGCCACCCTCCACCGTTTCCCTCGAGTCTCCAAAGTCCCAAAGTCCACTATATATATATATATATATATATTTTTTTTTTTTTTTTTTGAGACGGAGTCTCGCTCTGTCGTTCAGGCTGGAGTGCAGTGGCGCGATCTCCGCTCACTGAAAGCTCCGCCCCCACGGGGTTCACACCATTCTCCTGCCTCAGCCCCGCGGAATAGCTGGGACTACAGGCGCCCGCCACCACGCCCTGCTAATTTTTTGTATTTTTAGTGGAGACGGGGTTTCACTGTGTTCGCCGGGATGGTCTGTCTCCTAACCTCGTGATCTGCCCGCCTTGGCCTCCCAAAGTGCTAGGATTACAGGCACTTTATCAGTCTTATGTCTTTGCGTCCTCATAGCTTAGCTCCCACAAATGAGTGAGAGCATACAATGTTTGGTCTTCCATTCCTTAATTACTTTACTTAGAATAATTGTCTCCAATTACATCCAGGTTGCTGAAAATGCCATTATTTTGTTCTTTTTTATGGCTGATTAGTATTCCATAGTGTATATATATGTATACTATATATATATTACATATATATCACATATATGTTATATATATAGTATAGTGTATCTGTAGTATAGTGTACATATAGGATATATGTACACTATATAATACTGTGTATATATAGTATAAATATATCATATATTTATATATCACATTTTCTTTATCCATTCGTTGATTGATGGGCATTTGGGCTGGTTCCATATTTTTGTAGTTGCAAATTGTGCTGCTATAAACATGTGTGTGCAAGTGTCTTTCCTGTATGACTTCTTTTCCTCTGGGTAGATGCCTAATACGGGGATTGCTGGATAAAACTGAAGGTCTACTTTTAGTTATTTACAGAATCTCCGCCCTTTTTTCCATAGTGATTGTACTACTTTACATTCCCACCAACAGTGTGAAAGTGTTCCCTTTTCACCACATCCGTGCCAACATCTATTATTTTTTGATTTTTTGATTATGGCCATTCTTGCAGGAGTGGGGTGGTATCACATTGTGGTTTTGATTTGCGTTTTCCTGATCGTTAGTGATGTTGAGCATTTTTCCATATGCTTGTTGGCCATTTGTATATCTTCTTTTGAGAATTGTCTGTTTGTGTCCTTAGTCCACTTTTTGATGGGATTGGTTTTTTTCTTGCTGATTTGTTTGAGTCCTTTGTAGATTCTGGATATTAGTCATTTGTCGGATACATAGATTGTGAAGATTTTATCCCACTCTGTGAGTTGTCTGTTAACTCTGCTGATTATTTCTTTTGCTCTGTAGAAGCTTTTTAGTTTAATTAAGTTTCATCTATTTATCTTTGTTTTTGGGAAACAGTAAATTTAAATAGCTCTTCGGGGACTGTTGCTCCAAAGAGAAGGTTGGGAGGAAGGGACTATTTGTGGTTTAGGGGAAAGTGTTTTTTGTTTGTTTGTTTTTTAAGATGCTTAAAGTAAAATGATTGGGGATAGGAATCATCCAAGAAAAGGAGAAACTAATGTTGGAGAAGAGAGAGATTTTTAAGGATGAAGTTCTTAAGTAAGCAAGAGAACACAGGAGCCAGTACAGAAGAGGAAGTTCCATCCTAAAATAAGAAAGGAACAGTTCATCCATTGGAGCAGGAGGGAAGGTAGGGTACAGCGGTATAGATGTATGTGGGCTGATAGATTTCCTGGTGGACAGATGAGATTGTTCTCTTATAACTTTTGTCAATGAAATAAGATAAGAGATTAACTGTGAAATAAGAGGCAAAATCTCGGGATGCCTTAAGTGGTAGAATAGAGGGACCTGAGTTTCAACCTTGGCTCTGTGGTTTTCTTTCCTCAGTTTTTCCACTGGCCCTTGGCTTTGAAAGGACATTGTATCTTCATTAATTTCCAAACATAGAGCATCCATTTCTGATTCTTTTTTAAAAAACATGGTCCGATAGCCTGGCGTTCCAGAAATTCTCAAAATTGTTTATCATAGTTCTGTCTCTGCTGTGACTGAGATTCAAGTTCCTGAAATTGCAATATTTTTCAACAGTCACTGAATATACATAGCAGGGGATATTTCTACAATGTGTTTGACACCTCATGGAAAATAAAGACAGGGCCCCTTGCCCTGTCATACTCCAAGTCCAGTGGGAGGAGGAAATGAGAAAAGATCATAAATAATTATTGCAACATATAGCAGAAAAGGCAGAGTACAAAACAGCTGGTCAAAACACAGTGGACTCTTCTATAAGAATAGCTAAAATTAAAAAGGCTAATGATATCAAGAAGAAAAGCAGATGTAAACCATATGTAAACAAATAAGTGTGGTTGTGTTTCAATAAAGCTTCATTTATAAAAATAGGCTGCAGGCCAGATATGGCTCGTTAGCCAGCTTGCCAACCCCTGCTCCTGAGCAAGATTGTCCATTAGAAATACAATGCGGGCCACAAACGTAATTTTAACTTTTCTAGTAGCCACATGAAAATAGTAAAAAGAAGTGGATAAAATTAATTTTATTCATATTTAATCCAATATTTCCAAAATATTATTACTTCAACATTATTATGATATTTGGCCTTGTCAACTTTTAACGTGCACTTGAAAGAGAATTGGCCCTTTAGCTATTTCATAAATGATACTCTTTTTATTTCATGTTTTATGCGGGGGATTTCAACGTTAGCAGTTAATTCTAATTGAGAAATCTCTATGGGTTTTATTCAATATATTCCTATGTCCAGATTATGAGAAACTTTAGAGACATCATCTTCTACCCATATTGTTTCAAAATATCACAGTTTGTAGCAATAAAACTCTATCAAAGGGAACACAAAGTCATTAGGCACTTTCAGCCCCTATGGTGAAATAACCAATAATGGGCATTTAGATGTCCCTCTCCCTCAGCTTGGAATGTCTCTCTTCCTCAGGGTCTCATTGGAATGTGGCTCATACACAGGAGGCTTTTATGGTGCATGAAAGTAAATTCTTAAACAGCTTCTTCTTTCCCTTCTTTATAAAAATACAGTCTTGGCACCCATCTTTCTATTGAATTGCTGTCAGGGAAGGCTTTGCTCAAGGTCAACATAACAAGCCTCTCTGCCAGGTACTATGGCTGACTTTAATACATTCAGAGGATTTATGTCAGATTCCAGCCACTAAAGATTGAGCTGATAATCGTAGGTATTTGGCAGAGGCATTAGCATTTCTGTCTGTGCAGATTTCAACGCCCTATTAACTATTCTGAAGAATCATTTACCCAGTGGGGAAAAGTACTGAGTTGAGTTAGGGATTCCTCGCTACCCAACACAGGCAATATCATAGGAATTTCTATTGCTGTCGGCATGGGGAAATTAACCAGGGCGGCAGATTGCTTTGACTCCTAATGAATATGAATGCACAAACACAAAGATTTCAAAAAACAACAGGAGCACAGAGACGAAAAAAAAATGAGCTTTGATGTGAGATCTCTCTGTGAAGGCCCCTATGAGTAATTTTCTTGGAACAGAGTGAATGATTTGCTGCTCTTTGAGAGAACATAATCTCTGTGCTATCATCCAGGACGCCTCCCAATAGTACCTGTAGTATAGACCTCCTTTACAAAAGTTGTTTTCTGTTTAAGTGCAAATGCTACAAAAAATGATAAATAATAATTCAGAAGAAGACATGGAGCAAAATGAGAAGAAGAGCAGAGGCTCTATTTTCAAGAAAAAGTATCCAATTTAACTATTTTTAACGGAAATAAAGTGCTTTCTTAAGTGCCAGAAATGAACATTGATCTTGATCATGCTTGGTTTGTTGACTCCATATGTGCTTTATGATTGGCACGTGATAAGACTAATATTTAATTCTAGCAACTGAATTCTGTGGGAGAAATAGATGCAGCTACTACAGTAGTAATTTTATGATCAATAATATAACTCTTTAAAAATGTAGTTCACTCTTTCCTTAATAATGTCAAATAATCACCCATTACATGAAGAAAGAACTAACATACTCTGGATTGGCACCTTTTGGAAGGTTAATCAGTTCTTGTGAGTCATCAAGCTGACCCCAACATATTACTGTGTGCTCTTCAATGACATTTTCACCCCATAAGACACTAAGTTCCTGGAAGACAAACACAGGAACTATTTACTGTGTTTTTGTATCTTCCATACATTCCAGCACATTGCTATGCACAAAGCTGATCCTCCCAAATAAGTCAAACACAGAATTATTATTATTATGGAAGTTTCTAATAGGAATTGTAGGAAATGCAGATCTGATTCTTCATGGTTGAGCACTTATTGAGGCCTGTTTTTCTTTACCTACTCACAGTCTTAACTCAAAATTTCTATTTATGATACTGTCTCTGACCATGAACTTTGTCTATTCATGTTGTTATTGGGGATTCTAAAAGCTGTAAGGAGCTTTGCCAGTATGCAGCCAGAAATTGCTTTCTCCCATAAAATGTACCCACTCTGAGGATGCTCCCAAGAGTGTACCCAGTTCCCTGCTTTGCAAAATGAGAAAAGACAACTGGGAAAATCAGATATTTGTTACATACTTCTCACAGAATGTAGAAACTTAAGAACATTTGCTCTTCTTTTAACTTCAATCCAAGATAGCGCAACACAGGAAGTGTGCTTCTTCTAATATTTTGGATTCTTTTAAGCACTCTGCTTTCTACTTCAGCAAATGGGTATGGATTCCCTATTACAAATAAGGCAGGATGCTTGATACTACAGTGTATTTAGAGATGTGCATTGCAAAGTCCGACCTCATAGAGTTAGCCACACAGTAGGAGGCATAAGACATGAATACATGTTACTCCTATATGAGACGATTTGAGAAAGCATTTTTATGAACAAAGGAAGGCTGACTCAGAAGTGTTATATAATAACAAAATACAAAATGTATATTCAGGATATATATATTCAAAAAGTATATAACATATAACCATTCTAATCATTTATATGATGTTCTGGAATGGGCAAAATTAATCTATGGTGAAAAAAATGAGAATAGTGGCTTCTGGGACATGGTCACGGCTGAGAACAGATTTGATGGCACTTTCTATTTTCTATCTTGGTAGGGGTTTGGATTACACAGTTACATGCATTTGTCAAACTCATCACATGATATACTTTGCATGTGTGTGTTTCAGTGCATGCAAATCTTACCTCTATAGGAAACTACAGATGGTCCACAACGTACGATGTTTCAACTTAAGATTTTTTGACTTTATGATGGTGCGAAAGCAATATGCATTCAGTAGAAACTGTATTTCCAGTTCCCACACAACAAATCTGTTTTTCACTTTCAGTATTCAATACAAAACATGAGATATCTCAAAACCTGAGATATCTCAAAACACGACATAGCCAATACTGTTATAAAATAGGCTTTTTGTTAAACGATTTTACACAATTGTAGCTAATGTAAGTGTTCTGAACTCATTAAAGGTAGAGTAGGCTAAGTTACAATGTTCACTAGGTTAGGTATATTAAATGCATTTCCAACTTATGATGATATTTTTAACTTACACTGGGTTTATTGGGATGTAGCCCCATCATAATTTGAAGAGCAGCTGTATAAATATTGAATTCTGGTTAATGATATGCGACTACACTATTTAGGAAGAAATGTATAAAATTCACAATTTACTTTGAAATACATAAAAAAGAAGACAGATTGATAAAATGATAAAAGATGGATGGATGGTCAGATACATGATAAAGCAAACATAGTAAAGTGTTAATGGTAGAAACTAGGTGGGATATATGAGCATTCACTATACAATTCCTTCAATTTTTCTGTATGTTAGAAAGTTTTAATAATAAATTGTGGGAAAAAGCAACCTCCTATATGAGGAGGAATTTTGAAATGTTCTTTGAAAATACAAGGATTTTGAGTGGTAGAAACAGAAATAATGGGCATTCACTACTTAGGCATTAACAAAATCAGAGGCCTAAGAAAGTGAGAGGGTGCTCTGGGAAGTAGAAACATTTCTGCGTGGTAAAACATTAAAGGGAAAGGGTGGGAGAGAAGGCAGCTGGGGTCACACCATGGAGACTTCAAGGCCAATCAGCCCGGCAAACTATGTGTCTCTGGATACACAGGGCAGCCACTGTTGAGGCTTCCTAAGCATAGGATCAGTAAGAGTAGAATTCCCATTTAAGAAGGGGACTTGGATGGTAGGAGAGGACTGAGGGGCAGTGAGAACCACTAGGATGTGAGTAACTGGGGTCTGAATTGGAGGGCAGCAGAGGAGCTAGAAAGGAGCAACACCTGGAGATACAGCACGCTCAGGGTGGGGGATGGACAGATCATGGGCGTTAACAGGGAAGGAGGCGTGAAACATGAGTCCAGGCTTCAGCCCTGTGATACTGGGGGATTCCCTTATCATCTGCTTCACTTCAAAAGAGCATTAAAAGCAGCTGATTTACACAGTAGAACTTGATGAACTTGAAATGGACAATTTATGAAAGATTCGCCAAGGGGCAGTAACAATAGAAAAAGATGCTCAATCTCAATAGTAACCAGGGGAATCCAAACTCAAATAAGAAGAAAACATTTTCATCCATCAACCTGGCAAAAAATAACAAGAATAATAATAGCCAGGTCTCAGGAAGGTGAAGGAAGAGGCAAAGGACAGACTAATATGCAGTTCACAGGAGTGTAAACTGGTAATGACATTTATGAGAAAATGTGGTAATCTTAGCAAAACCTCTAACTGTTTCTATTCTCTGATAAAAAAGTTTCATTATGGAGGAATGTATTCTAACCAATTACTGGCACATATGCCTAAAGATGAATGGAGAAGCAAGTTCATTTTCAGCATTGTAATAGAAGAAAATTGGAAATAACTTTATTGTCTATCAATAGAAGGGATACATTACAGCTTACCATCTGTATTAGTTTTCTATTGCTGCCATACAAAGTACTACAAACTTAGAGACTTAAAACAACACAAAGTTATTATCTTACACTTGTATAGATCAGAAAAGTCCTATATGGTCTCAAGGCCAAAATTTAGATGGCAGCAAGTTATGTTCCTTTATGGTGGTTTTAGAAGACAATCGATTTTCTGCTCTTTTCATTTGTGGGCAGAATTCGATTCCTTTAAATTGTAGGACTGAGGTCCTTATTTTTCTGCCAGCTGTATGCTGAAGGCTCTTCCCAGCTTCCAGAGGCTGACACATTCCTTGGCTTCTAGCCTCTTTTCCATCTTTACAGCCAGCAGTGGGGAGGTGGGGTCCTTCTTGTGTCACAACTCTCTGACCCATCTATGTCCCTTCCTCTTCCACTAATAAAGACTCCTGTGCTTAAATTGGGCCCAGCCACATAATCCAGGATAACCTTCCCATCTCAAGCCCCAAGATGATTTATATTCCTTTGTTTACTCAAAGGAATATAAATCATTCCTTAATCACATCTTCAAAGTCCTTTTTGCCACATAAGGTAACATTTTCACAGATTCAGGGACATTGTTGGGGTCCATTATGCCACCTACCACACCATCATTACTGTGGAAAACTCTGTAGTCATTGAAAACAAAAATATAAACCTAAATTACTGATGCTGAAAGATCTCTAACACATGTAAAGTGAAAACAAGAATTCAATTGTTATGATATTGCCTTATACTAATATTTTGTACTATATTACACTATATTATGACCTTATTTAAAAATATAAAAATTATTATAAATTAAAAACAGTATATATATGTAAATATTTAAAAATGGAAGTAATGGAGGAATACCAGTGGACAGAGAATACATCTGAGAAGAGGTCTGGCTTATTAAAGGACTTATGGGGCTTTTTGTAGTTAATTCCATATGCTTATATATTTTTAATTGACTAGGAAAGTATGCTGGTATATTAATTATACTCTTTCAAAAGTGCAAAACCATTGTTACTGCAAAAAGGAAACATAGGTGAAGTAAAGCTGCTCTTATGATAGTTGGAATAAGAAGCTTAAAGTCCTGTTGACTAGGGCCCCTCATGCCCTGATGCCCTTCTAAGTATGGTAACCATATAATTTGTCATTTCACTGGGACCCTGCTGGGAGTAAAGATGGACACTATCAATAATCATGCCAGAACAATAAGCATAGACTGGGACTCCTTGGTCACCTACTTCTAAGGAAGTAATTGCTCATCTTCCCCAGCAGAATGTCAGCTCTAAAAGAGCAGGGCCTTGATCTGGGATGCTCACTGCCTGAAAAGAGTGAGTGGAAAATAGGACTGAACTAGTAGACTTACCCAGTTTTTAGATTGAAATGTTGCCTTTGTCTTACTGATTTTTAAGAAGTTTTTCCCAACTTACAACTATAAAAACATTCTTTTGTATTTATCTTTTAATTATTTTTATGTTTTTTTTTAACTTTTATTTGAAATTCAGGGGTACAAGTATAAGTTTGTTACATAAGTAAATTCGTGTCTTGGGGGTTTGTTGTACAGATTATTTCATCACCCAGGTATTAAGCCTAGCGCCCATTAGTTATTTTTGCTGATCTTCTCGCTTCTCTCACCGTCCACCCTCAAGTAGGTCCCAGTGTGTGTTGTTCCCCTCTATGTGTCCGTGTATTCTCATCATGTATCTCCCACTTATAAGTGAGAACATGTAGTATTTGGTTTTCTGTTCCTGCATAAGGATGATGGCCTCCAGCTCCACCCATGTTCCTGCAAATGGCATTATCTCATTATTTTTATGGCTGTATATTATCCCATGGTGTATATGTACCACATTTTCTTTATCCAGTCTATCACTGATGGGTGTTTAGGTTGATTCCATATCTTTGTTATTGTGAAAAGTGCTGTAATGAACATACATGTGCATGTGTCTTTATAACAGAATGATTTCTGTTCCTTTGAGTATACACCCAGTAATGGGATTGCTGGGTCGAATGGTAGTTCAGCATTTAGGTCTTTAAGGAATTGCCACGTTGCTTTCCAAAATGGTTGAGCTAATTTACCCTCCCACCAGCAGCATATAAGTGTTCCTTTTTCTCTGCAATCTTGCCAGCACCTGTTATTTTTTTACTTTTTAATTACAGCTATTCTAACTGGTGTGAGATGGTATCTCATTGTGGTTTTGATTTGAATTTCTCTAATGATCAGTGATGTTGAGCTTTTTTTTCCTATACCTGTTGGTTGCATATATGCCTTCTTTTGAAAAGTGTCTGTTTATGTTCTTTACCCACTTTTTAATGGAGTTGTTTGTTGGGTTATTTTTCTTGTAAATTTGTTTAAGTTCCTTATAGATGTTGGATACCAGACCTTTTTGGATATATAGTTTGCAAAAATTTTCTCCCATTCTGTAGGTTGTCTGTTTACTCTGTTAATACTTTCTTTTGCTGTACAGAATCTCTTTAGTTTAATTAGATTCCATTTGTCAATTTTTGCTTCTGTTGCAATTGCTTTTGGCACCTTCATCATGACATCTTTGCCTGTGCCTATGTGCTGAATGGTATTACCTAGGTTGTCTTCCAGGGTTTCTATAGTTTTGGGTTTTACATTTAAGTCTTTAATTTTTATTTATCTATCTATTAAGTCAATCTGAAGTTTACTATGTGTAATTTGAAATTAGATGATTTTTTTTTACTAAAGGGATAGCCCAGTTGTCTTAATACTATTTATATTGTTCCTACTGTTCTGAAATACTACCTTTGTCATATACCAAATTTCTATATAGTTATGAGTCTTTTCCAAACTTCAATTCCTTCAATTTGTTTCATTGTTACTGCTCAAGTACCTTACCTCTTTAATAACCATAGCTTTAGAAGGTATTTTGATATATTTTAGGGCAAATCTTTTTTATTGTTCCTATGTAATTGTTTTTAGGTTTTTATTATACATTTACGTTTTATATGTGGGGCTTCTGTGCAAATTCCATTTGAATAATTAAAAAATGAATTGATCTATCTTCTTATTTTACCAATGAGAAAATTGAGAATTAAAGAGATAAAATTATAAAAAGACATACCCATAAGGCAACTAGAACTGTGAAGAACTGTGCTGTCTGATAAGGTAGCCGCATGTGACTATTTAGATATAAATTAAAGTTAAATAATTTAAAAAGTCAATGCCTTCACCTTGTTAGCTACATTTCAAGTGCTCAATAGCCATATGTGGCTACTGTCTACCATTTAACAGCACAGATCTGAGACTTTTTCATCATTGCAAGTATTTTTATTGAGCAGCACTGAGCTAGAAATTTGGGATTGTGATTTGGGAGAGACCTCGGACTTCTCAGACCTGAGGTCAGTAACAAATTCGGGGTTCATCCAGATAGATATGGTAGTAAAAGTTAATTAAAACCTAAGGCCATCAAGGGAGAAAGTAAAGAGAGATGAAAAGCAAATGACAACCCATTCCTGGAGGGCTGCCTGCATTAAAGAAGCAAGTAACAAAAAGAAGATTTAAAGTGAGAGATCAGATACTTGCTACAAGAATTGAGGTCATATCCCAGTAGCTCAGAGAAAGTAGTCCAACAGGAGAAAAGGTCAGCCACGTCACAAGCCTCAGATGTTTACATAGAATGTGACCAATGTGTAACTTTTGAGTTTGGCAGCTGGATGACCAGAGAAAGTCTGCAAGTGGTTGTTGTGCTCTTTTGCAGACCTGAGACAGTGATTTGGGTGAAAGAGGTATACTATGGATGCAATTCCAGGAAGTACAGCAAAAGAGAAGTATAGAGAAATAGGGAAAGAGAGAACGCGAATACAGGATGATTAATGAGGAGGTTACCACTCTGGGAAACTGATGCTCTGAGATGCCCTGATCTTCTGGAGACACCCTGAGGAAGTGCATAGAACACACTTCCCAGGTGTTCCAACTAAGGGAAGAGAAGGTTTAAGCAATTGCCCACTACTTTTTATTAATAGTTCTCTTTTAATGAGGGTTGTTTCTTGGGGTGTCAACTCCCCAACAACTGTGGCCTGCCTCTTTGTATGAAGCAAGCCTGCATAGCCACAGAAAGCCTTCAGGCAGATCAACTCAGGAGCTTCAAGTAGCAAGAAAGTGTGCAGGAACTATCCCCCAAGGCTGTGATGACATACAAAGTTGACTGAGAGGATTATGGGGGACACTGACAGCATCTACTACTGCTAGGTTTAGGTGCATGGCAATAGAAACTGAGTTTCCCTCCTTGTTGCAAAAGGAGAGTTGCAACAAGAGAAATAATCTAATTTTATCAGCCATGGCCACCAGCTGTTTAGACAGAAAAACATCGAGATGCCTCAGAGTCTATCCCAGGCATGTGATGGATACATCCTCATTCTACCAGATTCCACTGGTACATCTGCTGGCAGCTGCCACATCTTCTTTGGCACCAAAGGTCTGTACCTCTCTTCAATGTTGAAGAAATTTCAGTTTTTGTTTAAGTTACCCATTCCCCTCATGGAACCTATTTTAATGAAGCCTGAGCAGAAGACAAATTGAAAGTCACACACTATGTATCACCACATGTATAGATAGTGTCACTCCATGACCCTATGTCAAGGTCACTGAGTCAGGATCACCTACCAGATTCTCTTCTCTGTAGAAAGAGAAGTTATCTGAGCCTGCTTACAGCTAGACTTCTAGAAAACCTGTCTTGTCAGTTTACCATACCCCTCTGAGTTCCAGCAACAAAGCATTTTCCCCTTCACTTTCAATCTAAAGATATGATTATCAATCATTCTCACTAGGTTTCTCATTCTGCTAAAGAAAGAACTTTTTAACTTCAACGGCCAAACCTGCTAATAGGAAGAAGAAAGAGACACCATGTGCACCGTTGCCTTTGCACACCACCAACGCTGTGCCATAGTACCAGAAGAGGACCTCAGTCTTAACCCAAACACAAGGGCCTGGCACAGCTTGGGACATTGAGTTGGCCATGCCTTTGGCTCTGATAGCCCAAAGGACATTTAACCAGTCCCCCAATTTCACTTCTTTGGTGACTTGATTAAAAAATTATCCCAAAGTTCCCATCTCTCCCTATATTCACATCCTTGCCAATGTGGCCTTTCTGCTTGGTCATCAAGAGTTAATGTTTGTTCTCTTCCATTTAAATCTAGTTTGGCCTCGTAATTTGAGTTTTCAACAGAACACAGTAGACATGAGGGCCTCCAGAGACCTTGTACACATTTACTCTCTGTGATCAAGCCCAGGAGAACCTGCTAGCTAAAGGATCACCCCAGCCTTCAGCCAGCCACGGGTGTGAGGCCATCCTAGATCAGCCCACCACCACTGACTCACCAGATGGCCATTATACACATGAATGAATCCAGAACCCAGCTCTGAATTAAATCAGAAGAATTCCCCTATGGACTCAAAAGTGTAAAACACAGTTCACATTTTAAGCTATGGAGTTTGGAGTGTTTTATTAGGCAACAAAAGATAACTGATAACAACATATCTGGGCCTCAAACTTGTCATCTGCAGAGAAGAAGACTAAATAAAATAACACTTAAGGTTTTTATTGTTTTGTATATTTTTCCTCCTAGCTTCATTTTTCTATGGTTTTTAGCTGAAATGAAACACTTCAAAGTGGATATATTAATTTGCTGGACACTAGAAAGCTGATGGGCATTAGTTGCACCATAAACACTCAGGTACTTGGCAACACAGGCAGCAGCACACAGATGGGCTTGAAGTAGGGTAGCAGAGAGCACGCTCAGTAGTGCAGGATTCAGAGTACCTGGTTACCTGCATACCAGAATCAGCCATCACTCTGGCCACCCCAACCCTCTCCTCCCGGCAGGTCCTCCCAGATCTTATGCGTGAAGTGCGTTTTGATTGCTTATATTGATTTTATACCCAAACCTCTCCTTTTTAGATATTGGCAAGACTATTTTCAGCCTTAACAATTGCCTAGGATTTATATGGCCAAATGGATTAAGCCTGTAGAGAAATCTTTTGGCTTTCTTTAAAAACAAAGTGAAAATGTCCTACTGTTTGCTTAATGGAACAAAATGGCTTCCACTCAAAAGATCTCTCAGGGACCAAATGATTCATGTAATAGCATGGGAGTTCTATTGACCCAGCTGAACACATCTATACATGCTAAGCCTGCCTCCTTTCTTTTACTGAGAGGAGCCATTTAAAGGCACCAAAGTATTAGGTTCTAATTTTGGTTACTTACCAACTGTGTGAGTCAGAACAAATTACTTAGCCTCTCTGAATACTGGATAGGGATAAATAAAATGGGAATCATATGAACAGTATTACAGGGTTATTGTGACAATTAAATGAGGTGCACACGCAAACAGCTTGAGACATTCTCATTTGCTCAGTTAGTATTCATTTTCCTTACGTTGTGCACTGATTCATTTCCTATGCATCATTCAAAGCCTGACTTAGACGATGTCCCTCTGTAAAGTCTTTATTCACAAAGTCAGCTCATGTTAAACTCTTTTTTTTTCCACTCTTATTTATTCAGAAAAATGTTCTAAGTATGACTTAGGCCCAGGGATAAAGCCATTAGCAAAACTGTTCCTGCCACATGGAGAGAGGTACAATAAACTAAATAGCATAAGATTAATTCAACTCATCATGATGCAGGCAACCCAGCATTATTTTCGAACATTATGGGAGTATAGAACAGGGGCAAATCAGGGAAGGTTTCCCAAAGAGTGCCATTGAAACTTGGACAGAAGTGGAAGCAGGTGTTAACCCTGAGCTGGGAAAAAGAGCTTATGTTAGCCAATCTGAACTCCTGACTTAATTTTTTTCCCTTGTATACTAATTGGTGCTCCAACTCTACATTAACCTAAGAAATTTTCTAATAGATTAATTTGGTTTATCCCACCAATTAGATTTTACACTCACCTGGAGCAAGGCCCATATATTCTACTTTTTAGTTTTTTTATTTCTCTCTAAAGCTTAACACAGTGCCAGGCAAAGGTTGGTGCTCAGTAAATTGTTGATTGGTTGAGAACAAAAAACACTTAAGTGATTTATACCGACTGCTCTTGCTTTGCAAAACATCTCACAGTGGCCTATGGATTCATGATCACTTTTTAATTATTTTTTTCTAAATATAACAAATGTACAGGAAAGAGTACAAATCATAAGCATGCAACTCTATGAATTTTCATGAAGTGAATATAGCCATGTAATTATTAGGTTGGGGCAAAAGTAATTGTGGTTTTGTAATTAAAAGTAATGGCAAAAACCACACCAACCTAATAGCACCCATTTTCAGAAAAGCAACATTGCTGTTCCCCAAAATGTCCCCTAGTGTGCCTTTGCAACTACCACCTCCCCAAAGGTAACCACTACCCTGACACCTAGCAACATATTTTTGCTTGTATTTTGAAGTGTATATACAGTGCGAACTCTGTGTCTTGCTTCCCTACTCAACATTATGTCTTTGGGACCCATCCATGTTGTTACATGTAGCTGTGGTTTGTTTACTTCTGTTGCCATATAGCATTTCATTGTGAGAATAAACACTATCCATTGGCTCTTTTTGGTCCTTGAGCATGTTGCTCTGAACATTCTGGTATGCATCTTTTTGTAAATATATGCGTTTATTGCTGTTGGATATATTCCCGGGTGGAAATTTTCTGGAGCGTATGGTCATATATATTTATCCTGACTTTAGTAGATACTGTCAAAAATTTTCCAAACTAATTGTACTAAATTTTGCTTTCGCCAGCAACATGCCTACTCATTTTTAAAATAATGGCCATTTTGAAAGTCAAAAGTTTCTTGGATCTACCTGCTTTATAGAGCCTAGAGGTTATGCTGTTGGCACCAAGTGATGGGAAGGATACCAGCTCACATACAGATGTGTGGACTTCTCACAACCAAATGCTCAGTTTCCTCAGCCACACCCACATTGGTGGGGAAATGCAGTAAAGTTTTATAGTAGTGTGTGTTTTCCAAGATAAAATGGGTTTTAAAAGGAGTCACTGTTTTTTGGTGTGATTTGTAAAGACAGGCTGTTTCTCTATCATCTCTCCTCCATACTCTGTTAACAGGAAAAATATTTGTTTCTAGAAAGTGGAAAGATAACAAAATAACTACAATCTTGGAAATTAAAGGCAAATACATCTGTAATGTTTCCTGCAACTGTGGAATTTTCTTTGTTCTGTCTCTTCTTCCGCATTTTCTTCTATGCCAGAAACTTTGATGTAACTTCTCTAAGCTGGGGCCAGGGCAATCTGTGTTGCAGCATGGCCTCCTTTTCCCTTACCAGGCTGAGAATAAACAAGTCTCTGCCTCAGGATGATGTTCACTGCCATTACCAGAAATATCTTGTTGCTGGTGCCCATGTCAGTTGAGTTAACACACCCTTTGATAAGGTTTGGCTGTGTCCCCACCCAAAATCTCATCTTGAATTGTAATCCCCATAATCTCCACATGTCAAGGGTGGGACCAGGTGGAGGTAATTGGATCATGGAGGTGGTTTCCTCATGCTGTTCTCCTGATAGTGAGTCTCAGGAGATCCAATGGTTTTATAAGCATCTGGCATTTTCCCTGCTTGCACTCACTCCATCCTACTGCCCTGTGAAGAAGGTGCCTGTTTCTCCTTTGCCTTCTGCCATGATTGTAAGTTTCCTAAGGTCTCCCCAGCAACGTGGAACTGTGAGTCGATTAAACCTCTTTCCTTTATAAATTACCCAGTCTTGGGTATTTCTTCATAGCAGTGTGAGAACTGACTAATATGCCCTTATTAAGGAAAATGCTGAAGTTCTGTTGAGAACAGAACAGATTGTGAGTGCTGGCTCTGTGGCCCTTGGATTTTATAAGCATCTACTTAACATTCATATGCTTTCATGGTTCCTTGAACACAGTAGGATCTCAGGAAGGAGTCAATGCATCCAAGTCTTGCCCTTCAGACCTCAGGTTTATAACATAACAGTTTAACAAAGATGCCCCACATTTTCCCCACATTCAGCCCTCTAAGGGCAATGCTTCCATAATATTCCTGGCATGTAGCAGAGTGGCCAGCACAGAGACTCTTTTGATACATGTCAAATCTTTAATAATTGATGTAATTAGTGCCAATGAAGAGGAGAGAAAACATAAAATGGTTTAGATAACTGACAGCCAAACAGAAACTCAATCGATGAGTTGCTTAAATGTTCTTTCTTTATCTAAGATGTTAGCTAACATTCAGCCATGGTTCTCACAGACACAGGGCATATCTCCATGTACATGTTTTGAAGTAGGACAGCAACACAGCAAGAACTGTATCTATTATAAAAGCTGCTTCTTACAATAGTATTGTGCCAGGCATGCTTTTTTGAGTAGCATATATACCAATTAGACAGGCTTATAGAAGTCTTTGAAGGAATGGATTTTCCTTTCCCCAATTAACTTCCTCCCAGTATCCAATAGAACCAGCTTACTGATATTCCAAAATGATCCTAAATGAAATTGCAAGGGTCCCTTGACATATTTTAGGATGATAATATAATCATATATGATTTAATCAAGTTCATTTCAAGTTTATTGCTAAGGGATATGAGGACTGGCCGTGCTCCCCACATACATTCTAAAGATGTCTTGGTTTTGGTTTGAGGAAAAGGAAAGCAAAATGCAAAGACTGCCTGAGATGTCATCTCTGGGAAAGTAAAAATAAAAACGTGCCTTAATTTGGATTCCTCTCTTTCAACATCCTATTTGGGATCATCATTTTTCACCACCAAGAGGTTCTGTAAGTGAAAAGCAACAGTACTTGTTTAAATGAGGCCCAGAAGCATTTTCCCTTTGAATGATTCTAGGTTGTGTTGCTAAAACTGTTAAATCTGCAGAGCTTCAGAATAAGGACAGTTGTAAGAACACTGCTCTGCAAGAGAACATGGGGACTTGTATCCCCATGCTTCCTTATTAATTTGCTATGAGTCATCGACCACCTATCGCCTCTTTTCCTAACCTTGTTTTGCAACATGATTTGTCCACACTTATTTATTAAGAACATTACATTATTTACAGCTTGTTCATTGACAGCATGTCTCTGAAAGTGACAGAAAAACGATATAATTTGTTGTCCTTCCTAAGTACTTAAGGGGAAAAAAGAAGATATTACGCAAAGCTTTTTGAAATTCACAAATGAGGCGGGATAAAATCTCTGCAGAATTTATAAAGTCTGCACGATGCCTTTGATCTTGATGTATTACATTCCCCACCCCCGCTCTCCCTTCTACAGTGATGCCTTCAATATTTTACCGAGCTGGGCTAACACACAGCTCACAATTTTAAACTGACAAATCTAAGTGCATAAATTTTAGATGCTTTTTGCAAAACAGCAAGACTGAGGACAAACTGTACATTCAGAGTATTATAGCCTGTCCTAATTCAAGCCATTTCCAAACACACATTTTTACCCTTTGCAGGGTTTGGGGGCATATTTCAAACAAATATCAGTGCTTTGTGTTTATGCCATGTAATAAAGAATATCTGGGGCCCGTCTGTAGGAGAATATCTGTTTTCCAAATTGTCTTGGTTATGGGGAGAAAATGGATTCTACTGTGAACACAAATATAAGAGTAACCTCACAAGGAAACATTTAAAATCTGCTCATTGGGGACTTGCTAGGACCTTTAATATTGTGAACCCCAAATACCTGAGACAAATCTCAGTTAATTTAGAAAGTTTATTTGCCAAGGTGGAGCACACGCACCCGTGACACAGCCTCAGGTAGTCTGGACGGCATGTCCCCAAGGTGGTCAGGGCACAGCTTGGTTTTATGCATTTTAGGGAGACATGAGACATCAATCCATGCATATAAGATGTACATTGGCTCCGTCCAGAAAAATGAGACAAGTCAAAGCAGGGAGGGGACTTCCAGGTCACAGGTAGGTGAGAGAAAAACAGTTGCATTCTTTTGAGTTTCTGATTGGCCTTTCCAAACGAGGCAATCAGACATGCATTTATCTCAGTCAGCAGAGGGATGACTTTGAATAGAATGGAAAGCAGGTTTGCCCTAAGCAGTTCCCAACTTGAGATTTCCCTTAAGCTTAGTGAATTTAGGGCCCAAAGATTTATTTTCCTTTCACAATCTATTTATTACTAAAGTGAGCTTCACCCACAGGTGGGTGCCATGTGATGGGAGACACAAGGAAAGGATGGCTGTATGCAAACACGTCCCTTTGTCCTCATCACCTTCTTGCTTCCCCAAGTCCTACGGGAGTACATGGCAATTAATGACTAGAAAAGGCGATTAGGGAAGAATATCTCTGGAGTTAATTCAGTACAATAGTTTCTGTCCCTGAGAGTCATGACTACTGTTCATGGGGAGGCTTAAATTAGTTGAAAACTAGCTTTCTTGGAAAGAATACAAGAAGGATCTGGTCAGTGGGATGACAGACGCAGCAGTTAGACACCTCTGAGCAATGGGAGTATAGAGAGTGGGAAAGCAGAGATGACAACATTGTGCGATGTTGCCCCACTTATCCCGTCCTTCCCCGGAAGCCGTTTTGACCAATCATGGCCTTGCTGTCCTGTAAGTCGGATGTGCCCCTGGACTCCTCATCAACACTCCCAACTGACCAGTGGGAGCTGGCAAGTGGATGAAATTATGCACCATCTCCTGTCTACTAAAGGAGTCATCAAAAAGGGCAGGAGGAATAACAAGAGTGGGCTTGAAGGTAAAAGGGACAGAAAAACAAGATGAGAACTTGGCTTCAAAGCTACACTATTAAGAACAGTGACCACAATAGTACTAAAAGCTACCGTTTATTAAGTCTCTATGGTGTTCCTGGCATTCTGCTGGATGCTTTCCTTGGTGCAGTAGAGAGCACGGTTATTAAATCTGTAGTCAGACTGTCAATAGTTTGAATCTTAGCAGAAAAGGGTACTATCTTAATTTGTTTTCTTTGCTTCTAACAGAATACCTGAAACTGAGTAATTTATAAAGCAAAGGAATTTATTTCTTACAGTTAGGGAGGCTGAGAAGGCCAAGGTCAAGAAGCCACATCTGGTGAGAAACTTCTTGCTGGTAGAGACTCTCTCGAGAGTTCTGAGGCAACTCAGGGCATCACATGAACAAAGGCCTCTCTTCTTCTAATAAAGCCCCCAGTCCCATTCTCATAGCCCATTAATCTCTTAACCTATTCATTCATTCATGCATGGATGGATTAATTCCCTCATGAGGGCTCTGCCCATTCAACCCCCTCTTAAAAACTCCACCTCTCAATACTGCCACACTGGGAATTAAGTTTCAACCTCAGTTTTGAAGAGGACAAACACTGAAACCATAGCTGGTACCTAGAGATTTAAAGCCTTAGTCTCTTATCTGTAAAATGGTGATACTAATGGTATATAGCCTCATTGGTTGGTTTCAAGGATTAATGAGATAATGTATTGAATGTCTTTGGCATATTGCCTGGCTATCAATCACTGTTAGCTTACTTCTAAAATATGATCAGTGCTCTATAAAAGATTGCTATGCAGCAACATTATTTCTTAAACCATAAATCAGAGTGTTTTGTGAATTTTTTTCCTTTCCCTCTTCTCTCATGCGTACTTCCAGAGAGCAGAGTTTCCTTTCCTACCCAAACCAAACAGGGGCAAGCATTTAAAGATTTAAGTGCCTAGTGAATATATCCTATTTGCCAGCTTTTCCCCTCCTAGAAACAAAAAAGCCTGGGACTTCTAGAAAGGCAGGGAAGCATCTGAGGGTCCACTTGAACTCCAGTGAAAATGGCTCCAGGATTAGATGCACTCAAAGTGTGAAATAGAAAGCAAATCTTCCCGAACGGGGCCTAGGCCCAGGAGTAGAAGAGATAATGAGGAAGGACTTCCCATGATTCACATAAGTGCCCCTGAAGAAAAGGTGGGAAACTTGGAATCTTTTTGTGGGAGACGGTAGAGTGAAGAGAGAGTTTTGCTTGCCTCCTTTTCCTCTGTTTGTGTGTATGTGTGTGTGTGTGTGTGTATGTGTTCCAATATAATGGAAGAAGCAGAATCTGCCATTGTAAGTGAGATAGTGTTGATCTCGCAGACATGGATATAGCTATTATAAGCCATAACCTGTAAGAATGCTTTCCAATAGAAATATAAGCCACATATATAATTTAAAATCCTTAATAGCAATATTTAAAACAGTAAAAAGAAACAGGTGAAATTAAATGTAATAACATATTCTAATGTAACCCAATATATTCCAAATGTTATCATTGTAATATGTAAGGAAGATGAAGTCAATTGTATCAAGTCTTTGGCATCTAATATGTATGTTAAAGCTAAAGCACATCTCAATTTGAACAAGCCATATTTCAAGTGTTCAATGGCCATATGTGGCTATTGGCTACTGCATCAGACAGTGCAGGTTTATATTCTTCAGAGCTCCGCAGAAAGGCTGACAGCATCATTTCTATTTTACAAATAAGAAAAATACAAAACAGAGAAGTACATAACTGGTCAAGAATTCATATATTAAACCAATTCTATCTCACTCCAGCCTCTGTATGATTTTGCCAACCTACACTGATTCTTGGGGCTTCTTCATGAGAAAACAGAAATAATACATACCTCTCTCAAAAAGACAAAATGAGACCAACAAAATTAAGAAAGCAAAATTCCACCAAATATTCTACCACAATCTCCACATCAGTTTCAATTTTTGCCAAGAATCTTCTTTGCTCGTTTAAAAACAATCTATTAAGCATCAGTATTATGGCAGATGCTTATTTTGGGGACAAGACAGCAGGAGTCTGTTTCTTCAAGCCAAGCAGGAGATGTCCTAGGCCACAGAGTGGAACATTTAGTAGAGTGAGACTCTAGTGAAGAAGAACTTGGAAGTGGCCCATTATTATCCTAATGGGAAGTAAATTTTCTTTAGCAGGAATTATTTCAGTTGCATAGAACTTTCAAGTTACTTCCTAAATGGCTAGAGATTTGGGGGTGGAGATAAAAGGCTGGATATGTCCTTGCAATGTCACCTGATCCCCAGCCCAATACTTAACACAGCTCCTTTGCTCACCCTTCTTCTACTTCAAACCAGTTGATGGGAGCCCAAAACTGTGATTTAGAATCTCACTCAACTTTTGTAAAAGTACATATGTAATTGTATTAGTCTCTTCTCACATTGCTATAATGAAATTCCTGAGACTGGGTCATTTATAAAGAAAAGAGGTTTAACTGGCTCATGACTCTGCAGGCTATACAGGAAGCATACCAGCATCTGCTCACCTTCTGGGGAAGCCTCAGAAAGCTCACAATCATGACAGAACGTGAAGGAGAAGCAGGCATGTCTTACAGGGCTGGAGCAGGAGGAAGAGGGAGATTGAGGTGCCACACGCTGTTAAACAACCACTTCTCACAATAATTCACTCACTATACAGTACCAAAGGGGTATGGTTCTAAACAATTCATAAAAGATTCACCCCCATGATCCAATCACATCCCACCAGGCCCCACTTCCAACATCAGCAATTACAATTGAAAATGAGATTTGAGTGGGGAAACAGATCCAAACCATATCAGTAAAATAATACAGGCTCAAGAGAAAATTTAAGAAATTAAGATAATAAAGTTTCATTTTACTGAGAAAGGTTTCATTTAGAGAGAATAGGTGAATACCCAAAGATCACGCCTGTAAGCATTGAGAGAAAGATTCAAAATCTCTTGGTTTTCAAAAAAAAAAATTATTAACATAAGGAATGGGAGAAGTTATTTGCAATACATATGTTTGATATGGAACTCCCATCCAGATTATATAACAATGCCAACAAATCAATAAAAAAAGACAGGAAACCCAATAAAAAGAAAAAATGGACAAAAGACTTGAACAGACACATCGTGAAAGAGAATATACAAATAGCCAGTAAACATTTTGGTGGGCTATGCTCACCAAACCCATGTAAAAAATTTTTATCAAGATTTCATGATAATGGCTAAAACCTGGAAATAACTCAAATGTCCATCAATAACAGAATAGATTAAAGGTAATTGCAGTGTGTTTAGAGAACGAAATGAAAAGCAATGAGAATGAACGAATTGCCATCATTTGCAACAGAGATGAATCTCATAAACATGATATTGAGCAAAAGAAGCCAGAAATAAGAAACTTGTATAAGTCTTCCTATATAAAGTTCTAAAATAGGCAAAACTAACCTATAGTGTTAGAAGTCAGGTTTGTGATTAGCCAATCGAATGGGTAGGAAGTGACTAGAAGTGGGCATGTAAAGAGGGAGTGTCTAGAGGGCTGAAAATGTTTCTTGATCTCACTGAATGTTACATGGGTGAGCTTTATTTCTCAAAAATGTACCACCATGTACACTCATGATACATACACTTTTCTCTATGTCTGGCATTATGTCAACGAGGGAAAAGAGAGACCTCAAGCCAGTGAATCAGAGATAGGGTTTACTGAGGACTTACATACAAGGGCGGTCCAGTGGTGGTGGGATGGAAAGGAGAACCACTACCATTTGTAAAAAGCACGCAGTTTATATAGCATTTTTGCTTAGCACCCTCCACCTACCAACCTCCATTTAACCCAACACAAAGGGACTTGGTCCCTTGTACAGCCTGCATTCCAAGGAATGGGCTGGGGGTTCAGATGTTCTTCGTAGATAAGGAGTGAATCTCTGTATTGGCCATTCCTGGATTCTTCAGCTGGGAACACCAAACACACATTCTTCTTAAACCACAGGGTCATTCTCAAGCTATGCTTAAGTTATTGCTGTCAAATGTGTCTGCCATACACTGTTATATTTCAATGAAAGACTTTACAAAAAGGAAAGAAAATGCCAGAATTCTTCCCAAGCTAGGTGCTTGTCTTGGTTAGTAGATTTGGAAATTTGAGCCCTGCCCTACTTCCTACCCTTCACCCACAAAGCATTTCTGACCCTTCCACTTAAGGATTCCAAACAATCTAATGCCTCTGTTGGTCATGACCATCACTCAAGAAAATGTCTTTTGGTGATTAGAAGTTCAATTTAATAAAATCCCTTGCTGAATATTTTAGAGCAGGAATTACATTAAGATTATCCAAGCCCAAAAGTTCAGGTGAATTATCAGAGTGATGGTCATATTCACAATGTTTCTTCCTTCCTCTCTCATAACCCAGAGTCTCCCTGAGGTTCCCAAGCAAAAGCTTACACCAGACATTTTGTACAAATAAAGAAAAAAGGGGAGCTTTTTCACCCCATTTCCTGTGTCCTATCTATAGACCAATGCCAAAATGGCATTGAGAAAAGACATTGACTTTAGCGTTAGAGTTCTATAGTCATACCAAATTCCCCACAATCTTGTAAACACAAACTGTCCTGTTAACAATATTTTGGAGAATGTCCATGCCAGGGGAAGTCTCTACAGTGGCAAAACAGTCATCCAGGACATAGTTATGGAGGCTTCCAGCTGTGACAGGTCCTTGATAAATTTATCAAGGAAGGTCTAGGTCATGGTCCTCAACCTTGCAAGTATAAAATCTACAGTAGTGGTATAATACTGTAGGGAATGACCTGACTCCCACAGCCCTCCTTCTCCTTTTTCCCATGGTCTTTTCTCCCATCTTTGGCAGTTAGATTACTTCTTCTTCAGTGTTATCACTGAAAAGTACAGAAAGAGAGAGACAACAATTTAATGTGCAGCCCTCACATTCAACATAGAGCTTGGAGGAGATGGCAGAATGACACCAGTGAGTGGCCTTTACCTGTACATCAACCTAGAGCTGCTGGAAGATGTCTACCAGGTATCTGCCATGCTCCTGGGGGTCCCCAACATGTGACAAGCTAGTCCATCTCCAGCTGTGGATAAAAGGGCAGAGGCTCCCCCTTGGCCCTCTGACTCAAAAACGGAATATGTCATTGCGGCCTTTAAAGGCCATTAAGATGGGTGGCTGGAAAACCTACCCAAGCTGCTTTCATCAACAAGGTGGAAATGTGAGACCTGTTCTTCAACGCTGTGCTGGTCAAGTGTGCATGGTGAGTGCCTGCATAATTACTTGTTCCCTTACAGCAGAGCCTATGATCCAGCAGCATGGAAATGCTTTCTGTCCTCTCAGCAGTCCAATTATCAAGATAATCATGCATAAGGAGCAAATGGCCTGGACCAGTTGTCACTGATGGTGGTGATGCACCCACCATACTGAGCCGCAACCCTGCAGAACCTGGCCCTGCAGCTGGCAGAAAGGAGAAAATGAGTTAGTGATTGCTCACAAGCAGGTCACTTCTATGGGAGTGCTTTGTCTAAGACCGGAGGACTGGCTCTGCAAAAACACAGGCTACGCACATAGAGGTGGTGGCTGACAGCAGCAACTTCAGACACCCTGTTGATCACTCCACCTATATTGCCATGACTCAGACTGCTCAACTTGTAAGGGATAAACCGTGATGCTCTTCATCTTCCTATAGTCCAGGCACTGAAGTTCTATGTAAAGCTTAAAAAACTTAAAAAAAAAAAAAAAAAAAGCTTTTCTCCCATGGAGTCATTACAGATGGACTAGAGCTATGAGATGTAGACAGCAAAGTGACATGGCTTCAGCTGCTCATACACTACTGCTTATAACAACACAGGTGCCCTAAGAACCTGTCTTTTAAGTATTCTTTTTTTTTTTTTTTTTTTTTTTGAGATGGAGTTTCGCTCTGTTGCCCTGGCTGTTGTGATCTCAACTCACCGCAACCTCTGCCTCCTGGGCTCAAGAGATTCTCCTGCCTCAGCCTCCAGAGTAGCTGGGATTACAGCCATGCACCACCACATCTGGCTAATTTTGTATTTTTATTAGAGACGTGGTTTCACCATGTTGATCAGGCTGGTCTCGAACTCCAGACCTCAGGTGATCCGCCCAGCCTCGGCCTCCCAAACTGCTGGGATTACAGGCATGACCCACCATGCCCAGCTGAAGTATTCTTTTTTAACAGCTTTATTGAGTTATAATTGACATATGGATACTGAATATATTTAAAATATGCAATTTGATGATTTGGCATATGCAGACTACTGTGAAACTATTACCACAATCATAAAAATAAACTTAACTCTTCACCCCCAAAATCTTCCTCATGACCTTTTAAAATCTCTCCCTTTCTGCCTCATTCCTAAACAAACACTGATCTGCTTTCTGTTCTATTGATTTGCTTTTAGTGTCTAGAATTTTAGACAAATGTTGCTTTATTTAGCCATAGTTGATTTCTTTTCATTATAGATATGCTCACCCCCACCCCCTACCACATACACAAACCTTTGAAGCCCATGGCAGAGACAACTTTGAGAGAAAGACTCTGAGACTTGTGAGACTAAATCCTTGGAGAATCTAGATGAGAAAATCTCATCTCAAGCTGCTCCTCATTTCAGAGATTGACATGGGAGAAGACATCAAAATGGACAAAAGCTTCCTTCCCTTCTTTCACCAGCCTTGGGAAGAATTCCACAGCCAGTGGAGAGTAAAATTTTCCAGGAAAATCAAGAGAACTAGACTGCTGGCTGCTAACGTGGGAGAAGATGGGAAAAGCCTTAGGGAAGTTTAAGGAGCCCAGAATGCAGGGGACCAATACTCAAAGTCCAGTTAGAAACACAGTTGTCTCAGTGATACTAACCTAAGGCATCAATGACAACAAAGTGCACCCATGTTAACGGAGGGAGAGAGGCCGCATAAAATACCGACCGTGAGAAGAAGCAGGAGAAATCCTGGAACTGAATGAGAAATCCCAGAAATTCCTTAGAAAAAGTGGCATGATTATATGTGCCTGGAACTAACTGGAATTAATGGCTCTCTAACTAGAAATTTAATTTCGTTATCCAAAAAAATAAGTTACATTTTACACACCTGAGCACTTAGCTTGTGAAAGTCACACCTATTACATGATCCTATGAGTGTGTCTAAGTGATTATGTCCATTTCTAACAATAAGCTTCATGAGATACTGATAAAGAACATTTTTAAAAAAATAGAAACAATTTAAAAATCTGTGCTGAGCTGCCTCCCTCCTGTATCCTCTTTGCTCTGCTACAGGCCCTACCTGATCTGCCCACCTGTTCCTTGTGCTCACCCTTCCTCAAGCTGCTCCAGCCACCACCTCTGCTGCCTCACTTTTCCCAGACTAGTGGTTCCCTCTGCTTGGAATCCCTTCCCAGAATCTCCCCACCAGGTACTACTTCACTTCCTACAGGCATTTAATCAAAAGGCTTCTCAAACAAAAAAAAAAAAACTTTTTAAAAATTTCAACCTCCAGGGCTTTTCTGCCCCCCACCCCACAAACTATATACTGTATATGGCTTATTGCCTGACTCTATGGCTAGGATAAGTGCCCTGCCAGGCTATGGATTAGTTTTTGTTTTAGTCACATTTTATCTTCAGCAGGTCAAACAGGGCAAGATATTGATTGGACCCTCAGTAATCACTCCACGAAAGGATATAATCCACTGGCCACTGCCTTCCCTTCCTCTAGGTAGCATTCACAGGTAGATGAATTACAATAGGTAGAAGGCGTTTTCTCCTTGAGTCTACAATCGGATTCAAAGGTGGATTGGCAACCAGGCTCTGACAGCCACAGCATCTGCCCCCACCATAGCATTTGGCCTGCCTTCTCTGATCACACCATCAGAGGCAGCCTGCCTCTGAGACGGTCCTAAGCAGGTACCACCCACACCACTCTCTGTATTTCATCCCCAGCCCCTACCTACCAGAGGGAGCAATTTTCAAAGAGGAAGACACATTATGCTTACAACAGTCAAGATCCTGTGCCTGGTGTATTTTGTTTAATTGAGCTCTCCTTTTCCAATGCTTCAAAGATAAACCAGCTCCCCTCCAGTGGATAAAGTCTCCCTTTGGGTTTATCATGTGTTTAATCAAGCTTCAGTCAATCTTGGGGCTCTGGACACAATTACAATGCCTGCACATCTCTATTCCAGGCCATTATAGTTAGAGCTTGATTTTGCAATGGCCTTATTAATTTTAAGCCTTTTGGGTAACATCAGTGTAGCTCTAGAGAGCATGTTCTCTAACTACCAGGGCAACTACTTACAAATATAGAGAAGCATGTATCAGTGAAAATAATAATAATAACAATAATAATAATAGAATTTACTCAACTCACATCATGTGCCAGAAAGTGCTCCAGCCCTTTACATGTAGTAAGTTATTTAATATAATAATCCTATGAGGTAGGTGCTGTTATCTATTCCATTTTATAGACAAGGAAACTGAGGCATAGAGAAATTAAGTAACTTAATAACATTGCATAGTAGTGAGTGGCAGACCTATTGTTGCACAGTATATAATCACAGTAATAAATTAGATAAAAATCAAAGACAGGCCGGGCGCGGTGGCTCACGCCTGTAATTCCAACACTTTGGGAGGCCAAGGCGGGCGGATCACGAGGTCAGGAGATCGAGACCATCCTGGCTAACGCGGTGAAACCCCGTCTCTACTAAAAATACAAAAAATTAGCCGGGTGTAATGGTGGGCGCCTGTAGTCCCAGCTACCTGGGAGGCTGAGGCAGGCGAATGGCATGAACCTTGGAGGCGGAGGTTGCAGTGAGCGGAGATCGTGCCACTGCACTCCTCCAGCCTGGGGGACAAAGCAAGACTCCATCTCAAAAAAAAAAAAAAAAAAAAACAAAGACAATATTAAAATTATTTAACAACCAGAACATGAACCCTCATCATGATCCAGTCACCTCTGAAAGGCCTCACATCTCAGAACTGCCACATTGGGTATTAAGTTTTAACATGAATTTTGGAGGGGACCTTCAATTCAGAGCAATGCACATAAAACTTCATAATAGTCTAACAACATCCCCAGACATTAAAGGAGGTAGACAAAAAAAATTCAAGTTCATCTGAAAACACTTGATTTTATTTATTAATCAAGCAGATATTTTCATGTGTTACTTTCATAAAGTTTCATAAAAATATTTCATAAATTAAAAATTTAATAAAAATTACTTAAAGCTGTATAGTTAGCTAGAGAAAAAAATGATTAAAAAATAAATAACCTCTGTTTTTAACACTAAATTCTTTTTATGGATCCATATATTCCTCCTCTAATCTAATATTCTGTGCTGCTATTGTAGTGGCTATGTTGTCTGTCTGGGGTATATACCCCTGGGGTTCCTCGTCGCCTGCCAGGAAAATTTAGGACACGGACACGCACGAGGAGTTTAAGAGCGGAGGTTCAATAGGTGGAAGAGAAGAGAAAGAGAAACAGCTACCTCTATAGAGTAAGGGGTCTCTGAGGGGAAAGTACTGGCTGGCCGTGAATGCACCAAGTTTTATAGTCCAGTTTGAGGAGGCGGTGTCTGATTTACATAGGGCTCATAGATTGGTTCGATCACGTATGACGTTTACATAGTGCCTGGGGAAGGCTTGTTGCCCCACCCTAATCTTCTTATGCAAATGAGCTTTCCAGTTGATCGAGGCCATCTTGTCTATTTCTTACTGTACACTTGGCTGGCAGAGAAGGGAAGATGGAACTGCCATCTTGAACATGTCTAGTCCTTAGTTCCTGCCAGCATTCACTGTGCAAGCTACCAGCTTGCTTGTGTGTATCTGCAGCTCGACATTACAGGCTGCTCTTTGTTAGAAAATGATTTGGGGCTGCTTTTCACTAAAGAGAGAAGACTTACTGAGGACTCCCATGCCCTTACTATCTGCCTAAGTAATTTCTTCTTAACTTCTATATCACTATCATCTGGATAATTATTTAACTTCAGTTCACATTATTAACATGGTAGACTGTTTTACTCGGTTACTGAATTATTTTAAAATATTTGTAATGAGCATCTGCTATGTACCAGGCACAGTGCTAGACTATGTATTTAAGGAGTGAACACAGCAGACACCACCTCTGCTCACAGCACCAAGAATGCAAGTGAGAATTTTAGCAGTGGAAAAGAAAATATGTGTATTTCTTCACATGCAGCCCTTATAAGCCAGGCTAATTGTAAAGGGTAGGAATGTGGGGACAAAGGGCAGGGATGCTTCTGGCAGGTTGAGGATTCTGACCTTATTCTAACAGCAATGGGAAGCTGCTGATGAGTTTCCAACCATCGAGCCGTCCAGTCAGATTTGTGTTTAAAAAACAAGACAAAATAAAACCACTAGGGTCACTGGATTTATTTTATTTATTTATTTTTTTATTATACTCTAAGTTTTAGGGTACATGTGCACATTGTGCAGGTTAGTTACATATGTATACATGTGCCATGCTGGTGCGCTGCACCCACTAATGTGTCATCTAGCATTAGGTATATCTCCCAATGCTATCCCTCCCCCCTCCCCCGACCCCACCACAGTCCCCAGAGTGTGATATTCCCCTTCCTGTGTCCATGTGATCTCATTGTTCAATTCCCACCTATGAGTGAGAATATGCGGTGTTTGGTTTTTTCTTCTTGCGATAGTTTACTGAGAATGATGGTTTCCAATTTCATCCATGTCCCTACAAAGGATATGAACTCATCATTTTTTATGGCTGCATAGTATTCCATGGTGTATATGTGCCACATTTTCTTAATCCAGTCTATCATTGTTGGACATTTGGGTTGGTTCCAAGTCTTTGCTATTGTGAATAGTGCCGCAATAAACATACGTGTGCATGTGTCTTTATAGCAGCATGATTTATAGTCCTTTGGGTATATACCCAGTAATGGGATGTCTGGGTCAAATGGTATTTCTAGTTCTAGATCCCTGAGGAATCGCCACACTGACTTCCACAATGGTTGAACTAGTTTACAGTCCCACCAACAGTGTAAAAGTGTTCCTATTTCTCCACATCCTCTCCAGCACCTGTTGTTTCCTGACTTTTTAATGATTGCCATTCTAACTGGTGTGAGATGATATCTCATAGTGGTTTTGATTTGCATTTCTCTGATGGCCAGTGATGATGAGCATTTCTTCATGTGTTTTTTGGCTGCATAAATGTCTTCTTTTGAGAAGTGTCTGTTCATGTCCTTCACCCACTTTTTGATGGGGTTGTTTGTTTTTTTCTTGTAAATTTGTTTGAGTTCATTGTAGATTCTGGATATTAGCCCTTTGTCAGATGAGTAGGTTGCGAAAATTTTCTCCCATGTTGTACGTTGCCTGTTCACTCTGATGGTAGTTTCTTTTGCTGTGCAGAAGCTCTTTAGTTTAATTAGATCCCATTTGTCAATTTTGGCTTTTGTTGCCATTGTTTTTGGTGTTTTGGACATGAAGTCCTTGCCCACGCCTATGTCCTGAATGGTAATGCCTAGGTTTTCTTCTAGGGTTTTTATGGTTTTAGGTCTAACGTTTAAATCTTTAATCCATCTTGAATTGATTTTTGTATAAGGTGTAAGGAAGGGATCCAGTTTCAGCTTTCTACATATGGCTAGCCAGTTTTCCCAGCACCATTTATTAAATAGGGAATCCTTTCCCCATTGCTTGTTTTTCTCAGGTTTGTCAAAGATCAGATAGTTGTAGATATGCGGCGTTATTTCTGAGGGCTCTGTTCTGTTCCATTGATCTATATCTCTGTTTTGGTACCAGTACCATGCTGTTTTGGTTACTGTAGCCTTGTAGTATAGTTTGAAGTCAGGTAGTGTGATGCCTCCAGCTTTGTTCTTTTGGCTTAGGATTGACTTGGCGATGCGGGCTCTTTTTTGGTTCCATATGAACTTTAAAGTAGTTTTTTCCAATTCTGTGAAGAAAGTCATTGGTAGCTTGATGGGGATGGCATTGAATCTGTAAATTACCTTGGGCAGTATGGCCATTTTCACGATATTGATTCTTCCTACCCATGAGCATGGAATGTTCTTCCATTTGTTTGTCTCCTCTTTTATTTCCTTGAGCAGTGGTTTGTAGTTCTCCTTGAAGAGGTCCTTCACATCCCTTGTAAGTTGGATTCCTAGGTATTTTATTCTCTTTGAAGCAATTATGAATGGGAGTTCACCCATGATTTGGCTCTCTGTTTGTCTGTTGTTGGTGTATAAGAATGCTTGTGACTTTTGTACATTGATTTTGTATCCTGAGACTTTGCTGAAGTTGCTTATCAGCTTAAGGAGATTTTGGGCTGAGACGATGGGGTTTTCTAGATAAACAATCATGTCGTCTGCAAACAGGGACAATTTGACTTCCTCTTTTCCTAATTGAATACCCTTTATTTCCTTCTCCTGCCTGATTGCCCTGGCCAGAACTTCCAACACTATGTTGAATAGGAGCGGTGAGAGAGGGCATCCCTGTCTTGTGCCAGTTTTCAAAGGGAATGCTTCCAGTTTTTGCCCATTCAGTATGATATTGGCTGTGGGTTTGTCATAGATAGCTCTTATTATTTTGAAATACGTCCCATCAATACCTAATTTATTGAGAGTTTTTAGCATGAAGGGTTGTTGAATTTTGTCAAAGGCTTTTTCTGCATCTATTGAGATAATCATGTGGCTTTTGTCTTTGGCTCTGTTTATATGCTGGATTACATTTATCGATTTGCGTATATTGAACCAGCCTTGCATCCCAGGGATGAAGCCCACTTGATCATGGTGGATAAGCTTTTTGATGTGCTGCTGGATTCGGTTTGCCAGTATTTTATTGAGGATTTTTGCATCAATGTTCATCAAGGATATTGGTCTAAAATTCTCTTTTTTGGTTGTGTCTCTGCCCGGCTTTGGTATCAGAATGATGCTGGCCTCATAAAATGAGTTAGGGAGGATTCCCTCTTTTTCTATTGATTGGAATAGTTTCAGAAGGAATGGTACCAGTTCCTCCTTGTACCTCTGGTAGAATTCGGCTGTGAATCCATCTGGTCCTGGACTCTTTTTGGTTAGTAAACTATTGATTATTGCCACAATTTCAGAGCCTGTTATTGGTCTATTCAGAGATTCAACTTCTTCCTGGTTTAGTCTTGGGAGAGTGTATGTGTCGAGGAATGTATCCATTTCTTCTAGATTTTCTAGTTTATTTGCATAGAGGTGTTTGTAGTATTCTCTGATGGTAGTTTGTATTTCTGTGGGATCGGTGGTGATATCCCCTTTATCATTTTTTATTGTGTCTATTTGATTCTTCTCTCTTTTTTTCTTTATTAGTCTTGCTAGTGGTCTATCAATTTTGTTGATCCTTTCAAAAAACCAGCTCCTGGATTCATTGATTTTTTGAAGGGTTTTTTGTGTCTCTATTTCCTTCAGTTCTGCTCTGATTTTAGTTATTTCTTGCCTTCTGCTAGCTTTTGAATGTGTTTGCTCTTGCTTTTCTAGTTCTTTTAATTGTGATGTTAGGGTGTCAATTTTGGATCTTTCCTGCTTTCTCTTGTAGACGTTTAGTGCTATAAATTTCCCTCTACACACTGCTTTGAATGCGTCCCAGAGATTCTGGTATGTGGTGTCTTTGTTCTCGTTGGTTTCAAAGAACATCTTTATTTCTGCCTTCATTTCGTTATGTACCCAGTAGTCATTCAGGAGCAGGTTGTTCAGTTTCCATGTAGTTGAGCGGCTTTGAGTGAGATTCTTAATCCTGAGTTCTAGTTTGATTGCACTGTGGTCTGAGAGATAGTTTGTTATAATTTCTGTTCTTTTACATTTGCTGAGGAGAGCTTTACTTCCAACTATGTGGTCAATTTTGGAATAGGTGTGGTGTGGTGCTGAAAAAAATGTATATTCTGTTGATTTGGGGTGAAGAGTTCTGTAGATGTCTATTAGGTCTGCTTGGTGCAGAGCTGAGTTCAATTCCTGGGTATCCTTGTTGACTTTCTGTCTCGTTGATCTGTCTAATGTTGACAGTGGGGTGTTAAAGTCTCCCATTATTAATGTGTGGGAGTCTAAGTCTCTTTGTAGGTCACTGAGGACTTGCTTTATGAATCTGGGTGCTCCTGTATTGGGTGCATAAATATTTAGGATAGTTAGCTCCTCTTGTTGAATTGATCCCTTTACCATTATGTAATGGCCTTCTTTGTCTCTTTTGATCTTTGTTGGTTTAAAGTCTGTTTTATCAGAGACTAGGATTGCAACCCCTGCCTTTTTTTGTTTTCCATTGGCTTGGTAGATCTTCCTCCATCCTTTTATTTTGAGCCTATGTGTGTCTCTGGACGTGAGATGGGTTTCCTGAACACAGCACACTGATGGGTCTTGACTCTTTATCCAACTTGCCAGTCTGTGTCTTTTAATTGCAGAATTTAGTCCATTTATATTTAAAGTTAACATTGTTATGTGTGAATTTGATCCTGTCATTATGATGTTAGCTGGTGATTTTGCTCATTAGTTGATGCAGTTTCTTCCTAGTCTCGATGGTCTTTACATTTTGGCATGATTTTGCAGCGGCTGGTACCGGTTGTTCCTTTCCATGTTTAGCGCTTCCTTCAGGAGCTCTTTTAGGGCAGGCCTGGTGGTGACAAAATCTCTCAGCATTTGCTTGTCTGTAAAGTATTTTATTTCTCCTTCACTTATGAAGCTTAGTTTGGCTGGATATGAAATTCTGGGTTGAAAATTCTTTTCTTTAAGAATGTTGAATATTGGCCCCCACTCTCTTCTGGCTTGTAGGGTTTCTGCCGAGAGATCCGCTGTTAGTCTGATGGGCTTTCCTTTGAGGGTAACCCGACCTTTCTCTCTGGCTGCCCTTAACATTTTTTCCTTCATTTCAACTTTGGTGAATCTGACAATTATGTGTCTTGGAGTTGCTCTTCTCGAGGAGTATCTTTGTGGCGTTCTCTGTATTTCCTGAATCTGAACGTTGGCCTGCCTTGCTAGATTGGGGAAGTTCTCCTGGATAATATCCTGCAGAGTGTTTTCCAACTTGGTTCCATTCTCCACATCACTTTCAGGTACACCAATCAGACGTAGATTTGGTCTTTTCACATAGTCCCATATTTCTTGGAGGCTTTGCTCATTTCTTTTTATTCTTTTTTCTCTAAACTTCCCTTCTCGCTTCATTTCATTCATTTCATCTTCCATTGCTGATACCCTTTCTTCCAGTTGATCGCATCGGCTCCTGAGGCTTCTGCATTCTTCACGTAGTTCTCGAGCCTTGGTTTTCAGCTCCATCAGCTCCTTTAAGCACTTCTCTGTATTGGTTATTCTAGTTATACATTCTTCTAAATTTTTTTCAAAGTTTTCAACTTCTTTGCCTTTGGTTTGAATGTCCTCCCGTAGCTCAGAGTAATTTGATCGTCTGAAGCCTTCTTCTCTCAGCTCGTCAAAATCATTCTCCATCCAGCTTTGTTCTGTTGCTGGTGAGGAACTGCGTTCCTTTGGAGGAGGAGAGGCGCTCTGCGTTTTAGAGTTTCCAGTTTTTCTGTTCTGTTTTTTTCCCATCTTTGTGGTTTTATCTACTTTTGGTCTTTGATGATGGTGATGTACAGATGGGTTTTCGGTGTAGATGTCCTTTCTGGTTGTTAGTTTTCCTTCTAACAGACAGGACCCTCAGCTGCAGGTCTGTTGGAATACCCTGCCGTGTGAGGTGTCAGTGTGCCCCTGCTGGGGGGTGCCTCCCAGTTAGGCTGCTCGGGGGTCAGGGGTCAGGGACCCACTTGAGGAGGCAGTCTGCCCGTTCTCAGATCTCCAGCTGCGTGCTGGGAGAACCGCTGCTCTCTTCAAAGCTGTCAGACAGGGACACTTAAGTCTGCAGAGGTTACTGCTGTCTTTTTGTTTGTCTGTGCCCTGCCCCCAGAGGTGGAGCCTACAGAGGCAGGCAGGCCTCCTTGAGCTGTGGTGGGCTCCACCCAGTTCGAGCTTCCCGGCTGCTTTGTTTACCTAAGCAAGCCTGGGCAATGGCGGGCGCCCCTCCCCCAGCCTCGTTGCCGCCTTGCAGTTTGATCTCAGACTGCTGTGCTAGCAATCAGCGAGATTCCGTGGGCGTAGGACCCTCTGAGCCAGGTGTGGGATATAGTCTCGTGGTGCGCCGTTTCTTAAGCCGGTCTGAAAAGCGCAATATTCGGGTGGGAGTGACCCGATTTTCCAGGTGCATCCGTCACCCCTTTCTTTGACTCGGAAAGGGAACTCCCTGACCCCTTGCGCTTCCCAGGTGAGGCAATGCCTCGCCCTGCTTCGGCTCGCGCACGGTGCGCACACACACTGGCCTGCGCCCACTGTCTGGCACTCCCTAGTGAGATGAACCCGGTACCTCAGATGGAAATGCAGAAATCACCCGTCTTCTGCGTCGCTCACGCTGGGAGCTGTAGACCGGAGCTGTTCCTATTCGGCCATCTTGGCTCCTCCGGGTCACTGGATTTAAAGACAGCAACCTACACCAACCACATGTGGCTTCTTAATATTCCTAGGATTAAAATGTAATAAAACACAATCAACACCAACAGTCAACTGGAAATGATGTAATCCTTAATAATTAGAAAATAATGAACAAGGGACAATTCTTACCCATAAAGAGCTAGGTTACAGAGTTCTGCATGAAGGTCTAACATGGAATCATAGCAGCAGCGCTCCTTGCAAGTCTTCCTTTTATAACTAAAAGATAATTTTAGAAAAAGATTGATCCCATTTTGCGGATCACGAGGTCAGGAGATCAAGACCATCCTGGCTAACACGGTGAAACCCCGTCTCTACTAAAAATACAAAAAAATTAACTGGGCGTGGTGGCGGGCGCCTGTAATCCCAGCTACTTCAGAGGCTGAGGCAGGAGAACGGCGAGAACCCGGGAGGCAGTGGTTGCAGTGAGCGGAGATCGTGCCACTGCACTCCAGTCTGGGGGACAGAGCAAGACTCCATCTCAAAAAAAAAAAAAAAAGAAAGAAAGAAAAGAAAAAGATTGATCCCATTTTAACTTACCTTTTATTATTTGTGGGGATATTGCTAATTGCCTCCCTGTGACCCCAAACTTCCTCAACTAGCAAATTCTCCGCATCTTTGCCTGTCTCCTATGGCACGGGAGACCCGTGTTCTACATGCTCTTGCAGGTGCTAGTCTCTGGGGTTTTGTTGACAAAGCAAATTAACATGATCTTTATTAGCAAATGTTTCCTTACCATAAGCTTCTGGTTCTTTGGGTGTTAACATTAAATATCTTTATTTTCAATTCAGTAACTCAGCCAGATGTGCTGTCTCCCCTATTTAGATCTATGGGTACTCTGAGAAAGATCTCCGAAGACAATGACCTCATGATACTTGAATTGTTCCACATCAGGCTTCTGGTCAGGAAGTGTTAACCTAGTGAGGCAGAAATAATGTGCTTTTGTTATGGAGCTGGCAGATGAAATATTGTGCTTGTTTTATAAGAAATTATATACTTAAAACTGGAGGCATTTGCAGATGTTAGGGCCAATAAGTTCTATTCAATTACCTAAACAGGTATGTTCATCTCACATGTTCCACTTTAATCAGGGTATCTAGAATCAGAGCTTCAAGATGACTCACTAGCGGCACCCAGCGCTAGCCTCCTCCACAAAGAAAGATAAAAATGGTGAGTAGATAATGATACATAAAACAGAGCATCTAGGAGAGAATACTGACATGCAGCAGGAAAGCAACAGGGAATCTCTGAGGCACAGAGGGAGAGGTAAGCAAAGAAGCCAACTGGCCAAAATTGGCTCAGAGCCAGGACAAACTTCCCATTGCATGGTAAAGATAAGGAAGAGGTCTCCAGTGGTACACATCCCATCACAGACTCCTGCCCTCATTGGCCCAGAGAGTAGTATAGTGAGCTGCCTGGAGTCCATGCAATAGCACTGTTTCAGAAAGGGAGTTCACACTAGGTCCCCAACACCTCCCAAGATCCAAGCAGCTGCAGCACACTGCCATTTTGAGAGCCTACCTCCCACTAGACTACATCCTGCTTGAGGATCAACGGCTCCTCCATTCCCACAATATTGAAGCCTTGTTGATATACCCTTATGTACACCCAGAAGGCAACAGCATCATAACACTGGCTGAACCCAGCAGTGTGGCTGGGTTCCCTGCATTCTACCCCATGCAGCGGAATGAGGAATTTTGAGTAAAAAGAAGTTGCAGCACACTAGGGAGGCTGTCCCATGGACAAAAGAAACCAAAGCCTGCATTCTCCAGAGCCTGAGAGCTGCCTGCCTGAGGCCACTTCCCCTGATAGCAAATCCCTCCTTCTCCAGCAGCAGGTCCACTACACATCTTAATATACCTTCAGAAGGCCCAGGGACTGGCCTGCCCATGTGCCATCCAGGGTCCTGGGGATTGACCCACCCCACACACTGCAGCCAGCATCTGAGTGCATCATTAGGGGCCCAGAGGACAGATTTGCCTCAGGTGTAGCCCTCCAACAGTGGTGCCCATATGTATCATCCAGGAACCTAAGGATTGGCTTGCTTGGACCCAATAACACTGCTGCTTGTGCACACTGCCCAGATGCCCAAGGATAGGCATGTTCAGCCCACCATCACCACCACTGGGGCTTGCAGTCTAGTCCACCTGGCATCCTTGTCTCCAGCAAAGCCTCACTACTGCTTCTATTAGCAACTGCCATGTAGGCCACTGAAAAAACTCACAGATGGCACTGACTCTTATAGCCAAAGATTATGCAGAGACTACATTACAATGCCCATCCAGAATCAAAACCAAAACACCCTACTCAACTGACACTCTAGACATATCAGTAGGAAAAAAATCTTTCCCTATGAAGGCCAATCCATAAAATTGGAAGAAGTGACTATTAAATAGACATGTAGATATCAACGTAAGGACACAAGAAACATGAGAAAGTAAGAAAACATGATACTTCCAAAGAAATACATCAATATTTCAATAATATATCCCAACAAAAGGAAATTTGTAAGATGCCTGAAGAAATATTCAAAATGATGATCTTAAAGAAACTCTGTGAGATACAAGAGAACACAGATAAATAATGCAAATTAATCAGTAAGACAACTCATAATCTGAATTTCAACAAAGAGATACATGTTATAATCAAACAGAAGCCTTGGAACTGAAGAATTCAATGAATGAAACAAAAAAATACAACTGAGAGCTTCAATAGTAGACTGTATTAGGGAGAAGAAAGAGTTTCTCAACTTGAAGACAAATCTTTAATAATAACCTCATCAGATGAAGGAAGAAGGAAGAAGAGAAGAAGAGAAGGAGAAGAGAAGGAAGATAAAAGAAGAAGAAGAGGAGGAGGAGAAGGAAGAAAAGAAGAAGAAGAGGAAGAAGAAGAAGAGAAGAAGAGAAGGAGAAGAGAAGGAAGAGAAAAGAAGAAGAGGAGGAGGAGGAGAAGGAAGAAAAGAAGAAGAAGAGGAGGAAGAGGAGGAGACAATGGCTTATGTGACTTATGAGACAGCATAGAGCAACCAAACTTTCAAATTTTTAGAGTTCCAGAAGGAGAAGAGATGAGCAAAGACATGGAAAAACTACCTAATACAATAATAGCTGAAAACTTCTCAAGTCTTACGAGAGATATACACATCTAGATACAGGAAGTGCAAAGATTCCCGAATAGATTCAACCTGAAAAGATCATCTCCAAAGTATATTATAATCCAAATGTCAAAAGTCAAAGACAAATAAAGAATTCTAAAAACAGCAAGAGAAAATCATCAAGTCACATATAAGACTAATTAGTTTGACTCTATAAGACTAATAGCATGTCTCTCAACACTAACTTTACAGGCCAAGAGAGAGTGAAATGATACATTCAAAGTGAAGAAATGAAAAAAAAAAAAAAAACTATCAGGAAAATACACCATGCCCATAAAAACTATCCTTTAAAAATGAAGTGACTTCCCAGACAAGCAAAAACTTAGGAAATTCATTACCACTAGACTGACTGCACAAAAAATTTATTTAATGACTTCTACATCCGGAAGAAAAAGATGATATGTATTATCAGAAAAACACAAAAATATAAACCTCACTGGTAGAGTAGATACACAAGTGAGAAAGAAAAAAACTTAAATATTAGCACTACAGAAAATCAGCAAACCGCAATGATAAGAGAGAAAGAGGAGTTTGGGACCAGCCTGACCAACATGGTAAAACCCCATCTCTACTAAAAATACAAAAAAATTAGCTGGATGTGGTGGTGCACACCTGTAATCCCAGCTACTTGGGAGGATGACACAGGAGAATCACTTGAAACCAGGAGGTGGAGTTTGCAGTGAGCCAAGATCTCACCACTGCACTCTAGCCTGGGTGACAGATTGAGACTCCATCTCAAAAAACAAGTCTCAGCAAATTTAAAAAGAATGAAATCATATCAAATGTCTTCTTAGATCACTGTGGACAAAAACTAGAAATTGATCATAAGAGGAGCTTAGAAAATGTTACAAATATATGACAACTAAACAGATTACTCTCCTGAATAACCCCTGGGTCAATGCAGAAATTAACAAGACAGGAAAAAAAAGTATTAAAACAAAAATGGAAACACAACATACCAAAACTCACGAGATATAGCCAAAACAGTGCTAAAAGGAAAATTTATAGCAATAAATGCCTACATCAAAAAAGTAGGGAAAGATTGTAAATAAACAACTTAATCATGCACATCACGGAACTGGAAAAAAAAGAACAAACCTAATCCAAATCAGAGAAAGCGGAACTAAATGAAATGGAGACTAAAAAAATAAGGCTAAGGATTGAAAAATGAAAAGTTGGTTTCTTGAAAAGATAAATGAAATGGATAGTTAGCTAGACTGACCACAAAAAAAAAGAGATGACCCAAATAAATAAAATCAAAACCAGAAAAAGGAATCATTCAAATTGTTGTCACAGAAATAAAAAGTATCATTAGAAGCTATTAGGAACACCAACAAATAAAAAAACCTAAAGAAATAGATAAATTTCTGGCCATATACAACTTTCCAAGATTGAACCAGAAAGAAATAGAAAAGCTGAATAGAGAAATAACGAGTAATGAGATTGAATAGGCAATGAAACCACCCCGCTTCAACAAAGAAAAGCCCAGGACCAGATGATGTCTTTACTGCTGAATTCTACAAAACTTACAAAGAAGTACTAAGATCAAATTTTTCTCAATGAATTTCAAAAACTAAAAGAGGAGGGAATTTTTCCTAACTCATTCAACAAGGCTAAACCCTGAGAAACATAAATACAAAACTCCTTAACAAACTACTAGCAAGTGAAATCCAACAACACATCAAAAAGATAATATATCATAAGTACGCAAGATTTATCCCAGGGATGAAACGATGTTTCAGCACACACAAATCAATATATATATTATACATCACATCAACAGAATAAAAGACAAATACCATACAATCATCTCAAGATGCAGTAAAATCATTGGATAAAATTTAGTATCCCTTAATGATAAAAACTCTCAAGCAACCCAGGCATAGAAGGAATATATCTCAACATGATAAAGTCCATATATGAAAACCCACAGTTAGCATCATACTGAATGGGGGAAAGCTTTCAGCTTTTTCTCAAAGAACTGGAAAAAGACAAAGATTTACCATTTCTCAAGGGAAAGAAATAAAAGGCATCCAAATTAGAAAAGAGAAAGTCAAATTATCTCTTTGCAGGCAACATGATTTTATATATAAATAAACCTAAAGACTCCACCAGAAAATTATTAGAACTGATAAATTCTGTAAAGTTGCAGGATATAAAATCAGCATACAACAATGAGTACCATTTCTCTACACCAATAATGAACTAGCAGAAAAAAAAAAATCAAGAAGGCAATCCTGCCAGGCACGGTGGCTCACGCCTGTAATCCCAGCACTTTGGGAGGCCAAGGCGGGTGGATCACGAGGTCAGGAGATCGAGACCATCCTGTCTAACACGGTGAAACCCTGTCTCTACTAAAAATACAAAAAATTAGCCGGGCGCAGTGGCAGGCGCCTGTAGTCCCAGCTACTCGGGAGGCTGAGGCAGGAGAATGGCATGAACCCGGGAGGTGGAGCTTGCAGTGAGCCTAGATAGCGCCACTGCACGCAAGACTCTGTCTCAAAAAAAAAAAAAAAAGAAGGCAATCCTAGTTACTATAGCTACAAAAAAAAGGAATAAATTTAACTAAGGAGGTGAAAGACAAGGAAAGCTACAAAACACTAATGAAAGAAATTGAAGTGGACATATAAAAAATGATGACCATCCTATGTTAATGGATTGTAAGAATTAACATTGCCAAAATAACCATACTGCCCAAAGCAATTTACAGATTCAGTGCAATCCTTATCAAAACACCAGTGTCATTTATCACAGAAATAGAAAAAACAATCCGAAAATTCATATGGAACCAAAAACAATTCAAGCAGCCAAAGCAACCTTAAGTAAAAAGAACAAAGCTAGAGACATCAGACCACCCAACTTCAAAATATCTTATAAAGCTATAGTAACCAAAACAGCATGGTATTGATATAAAAACACACATCTAAACCAGAGGAATACAATAGAGAACCCAGAAATAAATTCACATATTTATAGCCAACTGATTTTTGAGTAAGGTACCAAGATCATACATTGGAAAAAGAACACCCTCTCTAATAAATGGTACTGGAAAAACTGGATATCCATACACAGAAGAATGAAACTAGATCCCTATTTCTCAGTGTATTAAAAATGTCCACTCAAAATTAATTAAAGACTTAAGTGCAAGACCCAAAATTATAAAGCTACTAGAAGGAAACATAGAAGAAACACAGCAGAACATTGGTCTAGGCAAAGATTTTATGGCTAAGACCTCAAAAGCATGGACAACAAAAACAAAAGTAGACAAATGGGACTATATTAAACTAAAAAGTTTCAACACCACAAAGGAAACAATTGGTAAGGAAAACACCTGTTGAATGGGAGAAAATATTTGCAAACAATTAAACCCACAAGGCAGTAACATTCAGGATATAAAAGCAACTCAAACTCAATAGAAAAGCAATGAAATATTCTCATTAAAGAGTTAAGAAAAGTATCTAAATAAAAAATTTCACTAAAACAGACATATAAATGACCAACAGGTGTATTTTTTAAAAAGCTCAACATTATCTTTTGCATCAGATTAATGCAAATCATCATACCCCAGATAAAATGGCTATTATCAAGAAGACAAAAAATAACAGATGCTGGTGATGATGTGGAGAAAAGGAAATTCTCATACACTGTTAATGAGAATGTAGATTAGTATAGCCATTATATAAATCAAAATGGAAATTTCTCAAAAAACTAAAATAGAACTACCATATGATCCAGCTATTCCACTACTCAGTCATTATCCAAAAGAACAGAAATCAGTATATCAAAGGGATAACTGCACCTCTATGTTTATCACAGCACTATTCATGACAGCAGAGATATGAAATCAATCTAAAGTGTCTATCAACAGATGAATGAATAAAGAAAATGTGACATATGAACGCAAATTTAATACTATTCAGCCATAAAATGAATTAATTTCTGTCATTTGCACCAACATGGATGGAACTGGAGGTCATTGCATTAAGTGAAATAAGTCTGGCACAGGAAGACAGATATTGCATGTTCTCACTCAAATGTGGGAGCTGAAAAGTTGATCTAATGGAAATAGTGAGGATAATGCTAGTTATCAGTGACTGGGCTGGGTTTGCGTTTGGTGGGGTGGGAATAAAGAGAGATTAGTTAATGGGTACAAACATAAAATTAGATAGAAGGAATAAGTTCTAGTGTTCAATTGCACAGTAGGATTACTATAGTTTACAATAATTTGTTTTACATTTCAAAAGAGCTAGAAGAGATTTAAAATATTCTCAATACAAAGAAAGTATCAATGTTTGAGGAGATGTACAACCTAAATACCCTGACTTGATCATTACACATGCTATACTTGTATCGAAATGTCACATGTATCCCATAAAAATGTACAATTATTATGTGTCAATAAAAAAGGAAGTTTATCAAGAGCTGCACCGTCTAGCTAAATCTACCACAACCAGAAAGCTAGCATGAATGAACATATGTTTGTATTTTGTTACTTATCCCCATTTTCATTTTCTAAAGTTTAGGAGAGACGAAAGTAATGTAAACATGGTGGGCACTGAGTAACCACTGAGGACCCTCCTGTTTCCTCACTAGAGTTTCTAGTAAAAGTGAATTTGAGTCTGATCTCAGCATTGTCTTAGTGGAGAATACAGTGGCACTAGAAGGTGCTTACAACAGTAGTAGGTGTTAACAGCAGGGCTGGG
The DNA here is from genome assembly GCF_000001405.40 of Homo sapiens. Lineage (NCBI taxonomy): Eukaryota > Metazoa > Chordata > Mammalia > Primates > Hominidae > Homo > Homo sapiens. Next base: position 12,814,926 of record NC_000020.11, read on the forward strand.
TACATGGGGCTGGGGGAGGTGGGCAGTGCAAAATGAAAATACAGGGGCTCTTGTTCAATAATGATTAAGAATTTCAAGACAGAAACAGAAAAACATTAAATCAAGCATAGGATCCTTCTAAGCATAGAGTCCCATGTGAGAAGCCAGCCCTGCCTGGAATTTCAGACCCAAGGACAGCATTGTGCAGGTCAGCTCTGCACAGTTTCTGAAGGCAGGAGGCTGAGAATGATCCAACTGTTGAAGGAGTTTTACTCTGAGCTTCTTTAAAAAGCCTGGTCAGACTCAAAGCCTTTATTTATTTATTATCTTATTTTTCTTTTACAAACTTGAGAGGAAAGATCAGGAATACATTAAAATATCAACAGGGTTATAGTCTGAAGCTAATTATTTATTTTGTGTAAATACTAGAGAAGATTCAGCCAAATGGCTGAAATCAACCCATCGGGAGTAGGAGGGGGAGGGAAGAGGGTGTAAACTGCAGATTTTCTATTGCGACTAGGAAGGAGGATAAATCTTCTCCAGAAACAGCTGGTTGCCATGGTAAAATGGTAAAGAGAGATTTTCTTCAGCTTTTCTCTTCTGATTCTGAAAAACAAAACTGAGAATGAAGCCAAAGAAGAAACTTCAAGTGAAATGATTGAGCTTGGACCCCAAGCAAAACAGCAAGAAATGATCTCAGAGGAGGGATTAACTCAGGTGTCAAGGCTGGTAGATGGAACAGGCAAGAATGCATTGCTCTGGTAAGCCTCCAAAGTCTGGGATAGCCAAATAATCACTGATTGCTGGGCACAGAACTTGTGTCCAGAGCTGTGCTAGGCACCTTCAATACATTATTTCATTTAATTTGTATAGCTTCACAGCAAGCTTAGCATAACACATATTATCATGCTCATTGTACAGAGGAACAAACTAAGGTTAAAAAGGTTTCATAATTTGGCCAAAGTCATATTGCTCTAAAGTGTCAAACTCTACCTCTAAATCTTGGAAAGACATGGCCCATAAAGAAAACGAGCAAGTGGAACAAGATGAGGAATATGTTAAAGAAATTGAGGACTTTGCAGAAATAATGAAGGTTAAGAGGAATAAACTAGAAGATTAAAAGTCCAATTAGAGATAATGGTTTGACATTAGTACTCATGCCTTAAATGTTTTTTGAATTGATATTTATGTTTTCTTGTATCTGTTAGAAATTAGCTTTATTAAGTATTTGCTAAAGGCTCAGATCTCAAGTTTTTCATCAAAAGAGAAAGTATTCACTTGCTCGCATGATAGGGGAGGCAAATGCTCCATCTAATGGCAATTCAAGAACATTCTAAAGCTGTGTCATATTTTAACCCACAAGAAGCAAACCAAGGAGGTGTCTAAGTGGGCTAAGTATTATTCAATACTTATATTCAACAAACTATATATTCAATAAAAACCTATTGAACGAATGACTACAAAATGGGAGAACTAATAAGTATACAAGTACACATGGTAAAAGGGTCACAAGCTTCTTGTTTCTGCCAAACTTGTTAGTAAATAACTTTAATAAAGACAATATAGACTTCAAAACAGGTTTCTCTACACTAAATATTAATTATCAGCCTTCAAACAAGAATATCTCCTCTTCAACCAAGAATATATCTGCATACCTACCATTGTCATAAAACTTGTATCTTGTGGTAGAAAGAAATTGGGTAACTCTCAACACTCATCGCAACATCTTTATTTCTACGAGGAATTTCCATGCACATTGGTTAAGAATTCTGTGTGCCAACAGAATCTCTATTTTGTCATATTCTAGGTTTCTCTCCCATTTCAAAAGTGAATCAAAGGCGGTGATATAGTTTGTATATTTGTCCCTTCCAAATCTCATGTTGAAATGTGACCCCTAATTTTGGAAGTGGGGCCTGGTGTTTGTGTCATGGGGATGGATCTCTCACGAATGGCTTGGTGCCCTCTCTGCAGTAACAAGTGTGTTTTTGGAGTCAGTTTTTGCTCTATTAGTTGACATGAGAGCTGGTTGTTTAAAAAAGCCTGTCATCTCTCTTGCTTCCTCACTTGCCATGTGATGCACCTGCTCCCCCTTTGCCTTCTGCCATCAATGAAAGATTCCTGAGTCCTCACCAGAAGCCACGCAGGTGCTGATGCCATGCTTATGTAGCCTGTAGAACTGTGAGCCAAATAAGCCTCTTTTGTTTATAAATTATCCAGTCTCAGATATTTCTTTATAGCAAACAAAATGAACTAACAGAAGAGGTAACTATTCATTCTTTCTCATTGCAATCCAATGAGGGGTCTCAGAAACACCCATTACAATGGCTTCCCAGGCTCCCCTCAGAACAGTCACATGACACCTGGAATGATGCCTTCATGGAGTCATGCAGTGTCTGCTCAACAACTGTTGCTTTCCATTCCTCAGTAATGACAAGTACACTGGCTTCTCTCTCTACCATGTCCCTATCTAAAACTAAAATTTTGTATATTATTCCCTTGGGGCCATGTTCTCAGGCAGCTATCATAGCTGAAAAAGGATCTGTCAAAGAAGGCTCCACTGAAATGTTAATTACTGACAATGGCATAACGCTTTTCCTGCTCAGGGATGTTTGCATTTTGTGAGGGTCTTAGAAATAGCTAAATCTCAGCTAGTATATAGCCCAGCGACTGTTTCATGGATAATATTTAATACAATGTTTGAACTAAACTCAACAAAATAATGAATCTCTAGTAGTGGAAATACAAGCTGAGTATAGAAGACTTACTTGGACAAAGAAGTTGTCCAAGTGTAACTCAATCTCCAGAATTGAGTTTGAGCTAACTTTAATTCTGACTCTCCACATTTGTCAGAAATTCTCACAGGCACATGTAGATCAATGGAAGAGGACAGAGATCTCAGAAATCAACCCATGCATATATACATGGTCAACTCATCTTTGACAACGGTGCTAAGAACACACATGTGAAAAAGATGGTCTCTTCAATGAACAGTGTGGGAAAGACTAGATATCCACATGCAACAAAATAAAATTGAATCCTTATCTTACATCATACTCAAAAATAGAGTAAGCTTGAAATTGAATAAAAACTTAAATGTAAGACCTAAAACTATAAAATTTCTTTTTTTTAATTATACTTTAAGTTCTAGGGTACATGTGCACAATGCGCAGGTTAGTTACATATGTATACATGTGCCATGTTGGTGTGCTGCACCCAGCAGCTCGTCATTTAACATTAGGTATATCTCCAAATGCTATCCCTCCCTCCTCCCCAACCCCACGACAGGCCCCAGTGTGTGATGTTCCCCTTCCTGTGTCCATGTGTTCTCATTGTTCAGTTCCCACCTACGAGTGAGAACATATGGTGTTTGGTTATTTGTCCTTGCAATAGTTTGCTGAGAATGATGGTTTCCAGCTTCATCCACATCCCTACAAATGACATGAACTCATCATTTTTTATGGCTGCATAGTATTCCATGGTGTATATGTGCCACATTTTCTTAATCCAGTCTATCATTGTTGGACATTTGGGTTGGTTCCAAGTCTTTGCTATTGTGAATAGTGCTGCGATAAACATACGTGTGCATGTGTCTTTATAGCAGCATGATTTATAAGCCTTTGGGTATATACCCAGTAATGGGATGGCTGGGTCAAATGGTATTTCTAGTTCTAGATCCCTGAGGAATCGTCACACTGACTTCCACAATGGTTGAACTAGTTTACAGTCCCACCAACAGTGTAAAAGTGTTCCTATTTCTCCACATCCTCTCCAGCACCTGTTGTTTCCTGACTTTTTAACGATTGCCATTCTAACTGGTGTGAGATGGTATCTCATTGTGGTTTTGATTTGCATTTCTCTGATGGCCAGTGATGATGGGCATTTTTTCATGTGTCTTTTGGCTGCATAAATGTCTTCTTTTGAGAAGTGTCTGCTCATATCGTTTGCCCACTTTTTGATGGGGTTGTTTGTTTTTTTCTTGTAAATTTATTGGAGTTCATTGTAGATTCTGGATATTAGCCCTTTGTCAGATGAGTAGATTGCAAAAATTTTCTCCCATTCTGTAGATTGCCTGTTCACTCTGATGGTAGTTTCTTTTGCTGTGCAGAAGCTCTTTAGTTTAATTAGATCCCATTTGTCAATTTTGGCTTTTGTTGCCATTGCTTTTGGTGTTTTAGACATGAAGTCCTTGCCCATGTCTATTAAAAAAAAAGAATGAAAGCTCCTTGATGTTGGTCTTGGCAATGATGTTTTTATATGACACCAAAAGCACAGATACCAGAAACAAAAATAAACGAGTAGGATTACATCAAGCTAAAATGCTTCTGCATGTAATCCTACCACTTTGGGAGGCCGAGGCAGGTGGATTTCCTGAGCTCAGGAGTTCAAGACCACCCTGGTCTTGAACCCCCATCTCTACTAAAAATACAAAAAGCCAGGTGTGGTGATGCACACCTGTAGTCCCAGCTATTCAGGAGGCTGAGGCATGAGAACTCCTTGATCCTGGGAGGTAGAGGTTGCAGTGAGCTAAGATCATGCCACTGAACTCCAGCCGGGTCAACAGAGCAAGACTCTGTCTCAAAAACAAACAAACAAAAAAATGCTTCTGCAGAGCAAAGCAAACAGTCAACAAAATGAAAGGGCAACCTACAGACTTGGAGAAAATATTTGCAAACCATATATTTAATAAAGAGTTAACCTCCAAAATATATAAGAAACCCCAACTGCTCATTAGCCAAAAAATAAGTAACCTGATCAAAAGAAGGGCAAAGAACCTAAATAGATATTTCTCCAAAGAAGAAGTACAAATGGGTAACACGTACATGAGAAGCTACTTAACGTCATTAATCATCAGGTAAATGTAAATCAAAACCACAATGAGATATCACCTTACACATTGGGATGGCTATTACCAAAAAGGTGAGCGATAACAAGTATTGTCAAGTGAGTAGAGAAAAGGGAACCCTTGTACACTGCTGGTGGGAATGTAAATTGTTACAGCCATTATGTAAAGCAGTATGGACATCCCTTAAAAAATTACAACTACCACATGATCCAGCAATCTCCCTTCTAGTTATACATCCAAAGGAAATGAAAGCAACATCTCAAAAAATATTTGCATTCCATATTTATTGCAGCATGTTTCACAATAGCCAAGATATGGAAACAACCTAAGTGTCCATCAATGGGAAAATATGGATAAAGAAAACTCTTATCTAGCCATAATAAGGAAGAAAATACTACCATTTTTGTTAACGTGGATAAACCTGGAGGACATTATGCTAAGTGAAATAAGCCAGACACAGAAAAACCAATATTGCATGAGCTCACTTATATATGAAACTCAACAGAGCTCAGAAAGTCAAACTCATAGAAGCAGAGAGCCAAATGGTGGTTGCCAGCAGCTAGGGGAGTGGAGGAAATGGGGAGATGTTGATCAAAGGGTACAAACTTCCAGTTAGTCACAATATGAGTAAGTTATGGGGAATCTAATGCACAGCAGGGTGACTATAATTCAACAATACTGTATCATTTACTAAAAATTTGCTAAAAGAGTAGATCTCAAGTGTCCACAACCCCCCCACCACACACACACATACACACACATACAATAGTAACAATGTGAGATGATGGATGAGCTAATTCATTGTGGTAACCATTTCATTATATACATATATATATATAATATATATATATAACATCATCACATTTACACCTTAAATATATATACAATTTTTGCCAATTTTACATCAATGCAGTGGAAGATAAAAATAAAATGAAATTTCTGCCCGACATCTGAATGAAATTCCTTCCAGCAAAATTTAACCTAAATCCTTTCCTACACTGCTTCATAGAAAATGAGCAAAGGGCACTGCTTTCCTATATACAAAACTTGTCTTATATTTGAATATTGCAGTACTGGAGGGAGAGAGAGATTGGTTTATTATCCAAATGAAATATTTACCCACAAGAAGTTCTTCTATATATAAGAGTATGAAGCGATCCAAATATATAAAGCTAATATTGTTTCAAATTAGCTTCTATCACATATTTGATTGCTTATGGCTTTTCACTAATTAGTTGGTAGTAATTATACAAAAAAAAAACCTTTCACTCTTTATTAAGGAATATGTTTCAAGAACACATGGACACATGGATTCAGTTTTCTTGGGTGAAACGTAACAAAAATCACACTCTACTTGGGTTCCAAAGAGCTGCTTTTGTGTTCTGGAGTGTCTTAGTTGTATGACCTCAATCAGTGAATTTGACTTCTCTGATCTTCAGTGTTTTTGTTTTTGTTGGCAAGATGGGGCATTTTATTATTTTAAATGATGTAGCACCTACTTTAGGACAGGTACCGGTTAGACTTCTTGCAAATGTGAATCTATTTAATCCCAGGGTACAGTACTATTATCAGACTTGTTTTGCAGATTAAAAAAACAGGGAACAGAAAGGTTAAGTAACATGCCCAAGGTCACATAGCTGACGAGAAACAGTCTGGGCTTGAATCCATCTGAAGCAGTCTGGCTCCCGTGTCAGGCTCCAATCTGGAATGTTAACCATTGCACATGGCACAGCTTCTCACAAACTGGAATCCTGGGTCATGGGAGTATGAAGGAATCCACATTCCCAACCAAGGCTTAAATTGCAGGGGGAATGTGATCTGCCTGACAGGCAGAGGTCCTGAACAATGCCTGAGGGATGAGGAGGGTCTTTATTACATGATTACAAAAATTTGAGTTCAGTCAGAAGCAGTCCATGAGACAAGATGTAATTTATTCACGAGGTGACCATAGAAAATCCAGGTAGAGAAGGGGAGTGGGGAAGTGAGACAGGGAAGGGATAGATGTCAAACCAGCATATGGTCATGAATGTGTCACCACCTGGGCAACAGGGGCTCTATCCTACTGCAGACCTTTGGGACACAGGTTAGCATACATAAAAACAGTCCCACCTAAGGGGCAAGGAAGCTGAGAGGTTTAGCAACCACCTCGCACTCCTCCTCATTGGAGGATATTTCTAGGGGCATTAACTCCCTGGCACTGTGGGTGATGCCTTCTCAAAGACCCACGCAGGCTTCTATGAGCAGAGACACAGGTGCTGCAACAGGAGAAACTGTAAATGCCAGGGCCCAGAGGAAGGACTCTGACAGCATGCATGACAAAGCACAGGGAGCAGATACAAATTAGTACACCCATCGGCTTAGGAATAATTACGAAGTCTTCTGGGTGCAAAAATGCTGTTGGCCTTCCCTACCCTAGCAGGGCATTCTCTCTCCCCTGACCTTCACCGCTGCTGGTTATCAGCATCGCTTGCCTGTAGAGCGTGACGAGTAATAAGTTAAGAGTTTCAAGGATTAGCTCATTCATTCAACAAGCTGTTATTTTTTTAGTTTTCTTTTTTTATTCTTAAAAAAAATGGTGGGGGGGATACATGTGCGGAACGTGTGGGTTTGTTACATAGGTATACATGTGCCGTGGTGGTTTGCTGCACTTATTAACCCGTCCTCTAAGTTCCCTCCCTTCACCCTCCACCGCCCAGCAACAGGCCCTGGTGTGTGTTGTTCTCTGTGTCTATGTGTTCTCAATGTTCAACTCCCACTTACGGGTGAGAACGTGTGGTATTTGGTTTTCTGTTAGTGTGTTGGTTTGCTGAAGATGATGGCTTCCAGCTTCATCCATGTCCCTGCAAAGCAAGGTTTTATTAGGCACCTCTACGCACCAGGAAGTCTTTAGGTACTGGTGACACAATAATAAAAATAAAATAAAATAAAAAACAGGCAAAAGTCATTGCCCACATGGAGCCTACATTCTGGTAGAGGAAACAAGAATCAAATATGTAATTAATATGTGTTTATGAAATGCTGGACAGTCAGTGTTTGGGGAAATAAGAAGCAGAATAAGGGGATTGGAAAGTGCCCTTTGTTCAACGTATTAAGTGTAATGGCCACAGAGGACCTCATCGAGGACAGGAGGGGACGTTTAAGTTGAAATTTGAAAGAGGGGAGAGAGTCAACCATGCAGGTAACTGGGGGAGGGGAGTTCGGGAAAGAGGACAGGAGGGGCATTCCAGCCAAGGGACCACCTGAGGCCTGTAGATGAATCGAGGAGTAGGGAAGGATGTGGCTATGTGGCTCTATGGAAATAATACATGGAAGAAGGTAGGAGCTGAGATTGGAGAGATAAGCCTGAGTCAGTTCTCAGGCTCTATGGGACTCTACATGGACAGGGAGAAAAGGAGAGCTACTAGGGGGATGGCATGGCAGGAATTTAAAGAGCTCACTGTCTGCTGGGTTGAGAACAGACTGTGAAGGGCAGAGGATGAAGTAGTGAGTTCAGTTCAGAGGCTGTTGTGGTGATCCAAGTGAAAAATGAGAAGATTGTGCCAGGGGGTGGCAGTGGAGATGTCGAACAGAATCTGGCTGTATGGTGATTATTGACACGACTTCCCAAAAGTCTAGATACGGGATAAGAGAATCATAGAGCATCATAGAACATAACGCCTTAGGGCTGCTACTCTAGTCCCAAACTCTCATGTTATGGTTGAGGAACCTGAGCCCAGAAAAACGGAGACTTTCAGTTACTTGCCCAAAGAGTTAGAGTTACTTGCCCAGTCGAGCTGGGAGTAGATGCCAGGGCTTCTAGTTTCAGTGACCACTGACAACAACTGACTACTTCCAGTAATGGGGGACAGCCACTTCCCTGGACCTGAGTAAAAATCTAACCAGGTACAGACCTGGCCACGAATAAGGACCTAAAACATACATGCACCCCTGTTGGGCCTAGTCCTGCCACAAAAGGCCCATTCTCTGTTTAGAGCAGTGACATTTTCCTTGGTAGCAGTACTCAGTCCCAGCTCATAGCCATGTTCTCATGAATGATATAAACAGCAGGCTTCCCTTTTAATTTATTGATAAATAATAAAGTCTCTGTAAAATCTTGGCGTCTTCTCATGACAGTAATGGTGCATGTACTGATGGGAAAGTCCCCAGCACCAAGAATAATGCATTCTATTCCCCTCTCCTCAGTTATCACTTTGACATTTCTCACAAATGTACCTTCCGCTCCTCTAATAATGTCTATAGAGCTATTTGGCTGTCAGCAGCAAAGCCCCCTTGGGTAATCTCAAAACTCTGAAGAAAAGAAGACTTGGTTCCCCCATGATCATCAAAATCTATTTGATCTAAGTCTGGACGCTTTGCCAACAACACATCTATTTATGTATAAGAAAAGAAACCTCACAACAAATATCTACAGACTGATAAAGTGTTTTTCCACTCACAAGGGGCTAAATTAAGGGTGCTGGCTCTGGAATGAAGCCAAAGTCATTTGGAGGAAAGGCCATTTTCTCTCCCCCACTCCTTGGCACTGCCGTGTGTCTCTTCTTTCTTCTTATGAGGCATATTTAATTGATAGGAACACCAATTCATCAAATATAACTTACAGTTGTGTAGAAGATGAGATGTGTGTAGTTGTTTTACAAAATATCTAATTTCCTGTTTGGCTTTTTCTTAATCTAGTAAAAGAATCAGTTTGCATTCTGTGAGCATCCACACATCAGCTAGCAGAAGAAGCCTCCAAAAAGCCTGCTGAGAGACAGGAACAAGTTTTTCTTGACTCAAAGCCAGCTTTATTCATTCCATGAAGCTGCTCACTCTGCTTTCACGGTGACTTTAATACAGGGTTCCTCTTTGCCAAATAGTATTTTGAATATCACATTTTATTCCAAAGACTAAGTTCAAGCTCTCTCTCTCTCCCAATACTGATACAGAAAAACAAACTTGAGTCTAACAGATTTTTCTAATTATTCTCTCCTCTTGCTTCCCCTAGCTCTGACACCCTTGCCAACACATTCTTTTTTTGGCAGGTAAGAACTAACCAAACGGTATGTATCTCAAGTTATGGGACACTGAATCCAACGCTCCTGAAATCTGAAGTCACATTTGTTTCTGAAAACATAAACAACAAGCTTCCTTCCTTATCTTGTACTCTTCAGTTACTCAAGATACTTGAGAAGGGGTTCAAGGAGGATTCTGTGTCTCACGTTTACCTCTGCTGATAAGAGGTGCTCTTGGGACCAAGTAATGCTGTCTCTGCTTAACTGACTCTTAATTTGGAGAAAGAAAACCACAGAAACTCAGAGAGGATGTGCTAGAAATTGGGAGACATGCCCAGTCTCAACAAGTAAAGTGATTTCTATGAGAGGAGTTTACGAATACGTGGGAGCAGAATCTGGATTTGAAAGTGACATGTTTACAGGGAGATGAGATGCTCATGCCTGCTTAAATACTTCTGTGTGGTTATTAATAATCCCCAAACATAACTAACTCACAAGGCATATGTTTCTGTTACAGTGAAATCAACTCACCGTATCATCAGGCAGGATAACATGCAAAGATTATCCGGAGCCACCCGGCATTGTCAGTAAGCGGCCAACTTTAGATATGGGTGAGCAATGGTGCTGCTTCAGTTCCTAGTGCCAGCACCCAGGAATCTGGCACTGAGGAAAGGAAATAAATTAGATCACAGCCCAGGTGGAATAGTTGTTCTGCTGGGCAGCCGGATGGGTCCCAGAAGAAAGCATGTGCCATAATTCTGCTGAGTCCTAGCAGAGACAGGCTATGTTGCAGTAAATGCTTCCAATACGACAAATCTGTGATTCAGGAATGGGGGAAGACAGGATTTTAAAATGTTCCTGTGTATCTGTAGCATTTTAAGCAAGTCATTCCACTTGCCCTTGCACTGGCTTCGCAAACTGCTCACTCGTCCTCCCATGCATAATCCTGCTTTTGGCTCCATTTCTTTTTCTTCAGAAAATCAGCTTAAAAGTAAGGAAGTTATCTGGGAAGAGTGGCATAGTCACCCATCACCACTTTAAGCCAACAGTGACATGCCAGAGGTAATTGAAGCTGGACAGGAGGACCTAGGTGCTAATGATGACCCTTGACAATGAGGCACCCTGGGACCCTGCCACACAAAGTGTTATTTATTGGCAGCACCGTCACCATCCCTCACAGTTTACTAGAAATGCAGGATGTCAGGGGCACCCCAAACCTGTTGGATCAAAATCTTCATTTTAACAGGTTGCGCAGGGGATTTGTGTGTATATTCAAGTTGAAGAAGCAGTGTTCTAAGTTACACGGGATCATTAGAATCCAGGAAAACAACTTCAGAAATATGATATTGGAAGTTGCAGAAAACAAACTTTTTCTACTTGATCTTTTCTCCTTAGGGGACATATATCTGCTTATTTCTATTATTTCTCTAAATGACTATATCTGCCAGAAATCTTTCAGATGTAAAGAACAAAAATAAATGAAAGAATGAAGAGAAAAAGAATAACAGATAAAAATTAAACAGGTCAAAGGAAAACTAGGAATACACTGGGCTATACGACAAAATGGTCATGGGCACGTAACTTCAGGCATGATTGAAACCAAACCTGTCATTTGGAATTTGGTCTTTGACTCTTGGCTCTTTTCTTAACATAAGCATCTTATAAAAGCAAACTCTCTCAACAGGTACCCCTTAACGTGGCCAATAGCTTTACTACAATAGCAAAGGAACAAACTTCTTTTCCAATAATTTAAGCAAAAACATCTGAGGTTCACTTTAATAAGCCCGATTAAGCCAAGTATTCATCCCTGGAGCAATCACTATGTATCTGATTGGGCAGGTCGGGTCACATGTACATCTCTTCGTCAATGGGATAAGGTCAGTGTCCAATTACCTGTGATTTTTTTAAAAAAATATAATTTCCAGAGGAAAAGGCAGATGCTCTTACTTGAAAGAGAGGGAATGGGGGTTAGGCAGGCCAGAACAGCAGATGACTAGTACTTTGTTGTCTTTGATGTTTATATTTCTAGCAGAATTTGTTGCAATCCCACTTTGTGATTGGGTTGCTCCAAGATGAATAGTGCCAGTCCTCACAAGAGAGAGACACTAGACCTCTAATTATTGTGCAAGGCCAAGTGAATGCACAAGCTGCCTGCTATGGATTCCAGAACAGGGAGCCCAAAGGAAAGCAAGGGCTAAGATTTGGAGACATGTGACCAAATCTTAGAGTTTGGGATGTAAACCAATAATGAATTGAAGCTAGCTTGCAAAGGGCATCTGTGAGTGTGAACTTGCTAATGAGGGGGATGACATCCAGGGAGAGTTTTAAGAAGTTAAGTTTGACAGCAAATGTGGGAGAATTACAATGGTGGATGAGGAATAAATCTTATATTTTAATCACCCTTCAGGTGAAAAAATTAAGATTCTTCACCTAAGTACTTGCATCTAAACTGACTTCAGCTGGCCATAAGAGTCCCTAAACAATAAGAGAATAGTTATTGGTTAAAGACAGTTCTCTATTGAGAAAGAGTTATGAGAACTGGTTAAAAGTCAATACTCAATACCTGTTCATTGATTAAATAAATTTTATAACAAATTTTGAAACAATCCTGCTTTAACAACTGGACATTCAGTTGATGTAGATTATATTTAAGTAGAGGGCTGCCCTTTTTCATGGAACATAATGCAATAACATTCTTTGGTCTCAATAAAAATAGTAAAGACTACAGAAGGAAAAAAAGAAGGAAGGAAAAAAGGAAGATAGAGGAAAAAAGAAGAAAGGAAGGGAGGGAGGGAGGGAGGAAGGAAAAAAGAGCAAGCGGGTTGGGAAGAAATGGAAAGAAAAAAAGGAGAGACAGGGACAAAGCTGTGCAAAAAAGTTATTTAAAAAGTCTGATAGGGTTCACAGCATTTTCTGTGAATCGATTTCCCATCAGAGCTCTTTAGACAGTCCTTAAACTTGTGAAGTCAGATGTCACTCTAAGTTCAGGCCTCCTCTGCATTTGAGCTTCACACTTACAGTTCTGACAGCCATCTGCAGTGTGTTCAGAACATTTTCTGAAGGTGACACTGGGAAAAGGACAGTTTCCTAACAGGACATGAGATTATGTGCTGTGGATCCTGATGGGAGGCCTGTCCTTCTGCTGAGAAAGGCCTTTAGTGTGTTGACATGTCTTTGAGCTTTCATGGGCACTGGGCTGGTCTCTATCTTCCTGAGGGAACCACTGACCACTCCCAGGAGTGAAGGCTGTCAGCCTCCCACTGAGCAGTACTCCAGGCAGCACTGGGCCTCTCAAGTCTTCAGTTTTCAGGAAGCTAGAAATAAATACTGCAAAACAAAGGAGCCCGAGATTGATAGGCCTATTTATTCTGGGGGGGGTGGGGGATTTCCAAGCTGGACTACCTCATCCTTCCCAGTGATGAACAACCACATCCTCAGAGAAACCCCTTTCTTTTCATCACACATGGTATATTCCTAGTACATTCTGCAATCAGTGCTGCTCTTCACCATCTGTCCATGGCTATTGATGTGTGTATGTGTGTGTTGGTCAGATGCCCTGATTTCGTTCTTGAATCTTTGGCTTTGACCTTTCATTTCCACTCAGGAGGAATGGGTCTGAGTTTTCACAGACAGGACATGATCAATAAATGAAAACTATTCACTTGGCCCCAAAAATCTGACTTTCTGGAAAGTTACTAAAATACGTGCAACAATCTGAAGATTCATTCTAAAATACTTCCCAATACATATTTTACAGTGTACACTTTTACTTGTTTTTATGTATAAATTTTTTCACCATCATTCTTGACAGATTAATATTTTTATTTATCGTGCCACCACAGACTAGTCGTCTGTGTCTGTGTGTGTGTTTGTAGTTTGTGTATATGTGGATCATATGTTTATGTGCATGAATGGTGTGTGTGTGTCTGTGTGTGTGTGTGTGTGTGTATATGCTGTGTTTGGGGCAGGATGGGATGTGTGTAATTTTGGTGTGCCTGTTTAAGGTTGTGTGTATATATGTAGTATGTATGTGTTTGTGTGTATTAATATATGTGTAGTATATATGTGTGTGATACATGTATGTGTTTGTGTTTGTAGGACTATGGAATGTGTGTATATATAGAGTGTGGGAGAGTTTACACATATGGTGTGTGTGTGTCCACTGTGTGTGTGTACTGTGTTTGAGGAGTATGCGGTATATATATCAGAATTTTGTGTATATGCATTTGTGACTTCCTTAATCATGTTTTGATCTAATAAAGAGACATCTTAAGAATATAAGAGGACATTGCTCTATTTCATATTTTAAAAATCTGTGTTTGAAGTAGGTTTTGAATATTTGTTTTCATACACAAAGTAATTATTCTGGTGCATAGCCAAAGGCAGCCATCTTGAACTTTTGGGAAAATGTCCAAAATAATACTTCCTAAAAGCTATTTAAAATTGGAATGGACATGCCATTTTTAGCTGTCCAAAGGGATGATAGAAAATAGTTGATGGTGTGTTATTTTAGAGGGAGAAAAACTATTAAAATGTTTCTGACGGTAGCAACAATAAAATACTAATGAGCCAGAGGAACAGATGGAAATTGAAAAGCATGTGCAATGTCAAAACCCAAAATACAGTGATTTGTTAAATTACAGGGCTTCTTCCCCCGGGAGAGGAGCTGCAGTTTGCTGATAAGTCAACGACAACCAGGATTATTACTGTAACACAGCAACGCCATTTTCCGCCTGAAACCTGCAAGAACTAATTAATTATATAGCTTTGGTTACTAGGTTAGAACCAAGCTTTTCTGTCTGGTTTCCAAAGACTGAACTTTATAAATTGTCAGAAGAACAGCATTCTCCTAATTTTCTGCTAACTATCGTAGATAGTTACAAAGACTACTATCAATTGCTAGGAGGGAAATATCCCATGATAGATTCTGTTTGCTCTTTTGACCATTTGGAAAGACTCTTTTTTCCCACAGCTTTTTACATACTGAAGATACCCAGACGTCTTTAGTGAGCAGAAATTTATAGTGCTGAATTGCAACTCTAAATATAATGTGAGCATCAGGAGGTGAGTGGCTACTAAGAAGGGTTTTCTAATAATGCCAGCTGGGCTTACTAGGCTTACTTGGGTAATGGAAAGAATATTGCTCTCTCTACTCAAAACAAAAGACCCCAATCTACTCCTTAATAAAGACGCGCGATGTCTCACGCCTGTAATCCCAGCAATTTGGGAGGCCGAGGTGGGCGGATCACAAGGTCAGGAGATCAAGACCATCCTGGCTAACACGGTGAAACTCTGTCTCTACTAAAAATACAAAAAATTAGTCGGGCTTGGTGGTGGGCGCCTGTAGTCCCAGCTACTCGGGAGGCTGAGGCAGGAGAATGGCGTGAACCCGGGAGGCGGAGCTTGCAGTGAGCCGAGATTGCGCCACTGCACTCCAGCGTTGGCGACAGAGCGAGACTCCGTCTCAAAAAAAAAAAAAAAAAAAAAAGTGAAATTTTAGACGCTTCCTGAGTACAGGCAAATAGGAAATTATATTCTATCCATTATAAAAGAGAAGAATCTCCATTGTTTTGTTTTTTACCCCAGAAGTAGTTGGGAATCAGAAACCAAACTGAATCCTGTAGATGCAATGAAAGCTTAGGAGAAGCAGACACTGGCTTGGAGCCTCCTGTGGTTCCTGGAGTCTTTCCTCTCTCCCTATACATTTCCTTTCTACTCAAGACTTGTTTTCTTAGTGCCAGAGAAACAAACCCCCTTCATTGCCCATGGGAGAGTGAACTCCCAGAGCCACACTGAAGAGAAGCTTGCTAAGATTCCCTAAAATTGTAACTGTGTACATTTATGGCCCAGCAAGTGTACTTCTCGAAATCTTACCCAGAGAAACACACATCTATCACACCAGGGGGCTTGTACTAGGGTAGCCAATACAGTATTGTTAGTAATAGATATGTGTTTACCAAGAGTGGAAGGGCTGAATAATGTAAGAGTATATTTAGGCCATTAAATTATTTGGGAAACTTTATATAAGATAGATTTATTTTAGTAACACCAGAAAACTTCTAAAATATAGTGTTGAGTTGAATGAATGCAAGTAATGGAATATATGAATATAATATAGCATGTTTTAAAAGGAAATCTGCACATATATACAAAACAATATCATACTTTTACAAATGTAAAGATAAATACACATAAAATGGTCTGGAATTAGTTCTATTGAATAATAAAAATAATTATTCTCTATGATGGAACTGGGTGTGGAGATGGTGGTCAAGTTGGATTTAGACTTATCTCACTAGGTATGAAATCCTGGAAAAGCTACTTACTCTGACTTGGATTCTTTATCTGTAAGATGATAATTGTTTTTAAAATGCCTACGTAATAGAGTTGCCATGAGGATTAACTGAGTTAATAATAACAATACATACGGAACACTTACTTAGAGTTCAGAAATGCTCTAAGAGCTTTACCTGTATTACCTTGTTTAGTATAAAGCAGGTAGAATTATTATGTACATTTTACAGGTCAAGACACTAAGGGACAGTGAAGTTAAAGTAACTTCCCAAAAGCCTCATAACTCCTAAGTTATGAGAAACCTTCCTAAAGCCAGAGGGTCTCAGACAATGAAAGTCTTCAAAATGAAGCAGTTAAATAAAGAATGAAAGGTCTTGAAGCCTAAAGGTATTTCCTGAAGTCCATGAGCCTTCTTTCATTGGAGGAAAATAAGTTTGGATCTATTTCCCAGCTGAAGAAAGACTAAGAAACCCGATCTATAATAGCATATTGCTCTAGCAACTAATTAAACAGAAGACAGACAGTCTTCCACTCAATCAGGTCCAAAATTTTGGGGTGAGTTTGATCTCTCCTTTTCCTGTATCCACTGGGACAGATTCAACAATTGATTTCAATGCGTCACCCCTCTGTGGCCTCATGTTGGGCTGAGTGCGCCTCCTCACCTTTTAACTTTGGGCTTATTCATGTGAATTACTTTGTTCAATAGGATGTGAATAGTCTTAATGTGAACAAAGGCTTAAAATGTGCTTGTGAAGTTTGGTTTGTCCTTTTGCACTTGTGCGCTGTTATGAAAAAAAATATAGTCTGGATATCCACTGTTCCTCCAGCCTAGGCTTGGAATGAGACAGGTAGAACAAACATGAACTTAACCGATAGCCTAGAGACAAATCCTGCTGAATCCAACCAGGATCAGCCAAACTCTAACTAACTGAAAGTCTCATGAGTGAAAAAAAGTGTGGCTATACGCTACTGAATTTCTGATCATTTATTGTTTTCATTATTGTTGTTACACAGCATTATTATAGCTTTGCTGACAGATATGCTCGACAAATATAATGCCTTCTTTTTTCAGTGACTCTGAAAGCTGTCTCTCCCCTTGCCCTGGAATAGATGCTTTAATTCTGCAAGTAGACAGTTTGAGAAGATAGCCTTCAACTGCTTTTCTTGCTTATATTATCCATCTGTTCCAATCACAGATCAGTGTTGATGATTGACTAATCTTTCTAGAGCCTAGTTTTGCTACTGTCATTTCTCTATTCCAAAATCTTCACTGACTGCCTAGTATGAGATACTGTCCCCACACTGCTCTAGCCCTTGCCAGTACCTGCTTTCTTATGCTTCTATACATTTTCACATGCAGTTTCCCCTGCCTAGAATGTTCTTCCATCAGCCCACCATTTCCATGTCTCTTATTCACATGGCTAGATTTTACTAATGATTGAAAGACTTCCTCTAATTTCTTTGAGTCTGCCCCTTCTTGAGGCACTCCTGTTCAGCATAAACCTTACCCCTTCCCCAAGTATATATGCACACATGCAGCAATCACACCTGGGTCTCTTGAAATAGAATATTCTTTTTTAAGCTCTTACAAGCTCACCATCCTATATAACTATATATATAGTTATCCTATATAACTATCCTAATTGTTTGCCCCCAGTGAAGGCCACAGGTCCATGGGCCTGTAAGTACTTGTCAGACAACACTTGGTTAAACTACGGAAACAAATTAATCCCTGAATTTCTGAATCTGTTCTATGATACAAATCTCCCATTGCACATTTCAGGTTTAGAGTATTTTCAGTGCACAATACGGGTTCATTTCACACTCATGTTATAAAATGAGTCAGTTGGAGTTCTACTCCATGTGATCACTCCAGGACCCAGGATAGAGGAGACCTTCATCTCACCACTTGTTCCCACAATTTCACTGTGGGTAACCAATGGAGCTGGGATTTGAACAAGGCAAATGACTCCCAAATCTGTTCTTTTACCCACTGCTTTATATGCCTCTCTAATCAAACACATTCCCATGAGGATACAGAGAAGGAATTCTCATGTAATCAACAATTTGCAAAGCATTTTAAATTTATTTTTTAACTCTTACTGTGGTACTAGGAAAGAAGTATTATTATTATATACATTTGGCTATAAGGAAATAAAATTTCTTAAGGTTAAGTAGTTTGCCAATGGTCACATAACTAAAAATATGCCAGAAACAGAATTCAGAACCATAGCTAAATACATGCCAGAATCAGAATTCAGAACCAAGATTGTTTGACAGGTTTCCAAGATATTACCTAGAATATAGCACTCAAGGATGAGAACAAAAATTTATTCTAAAAGCCAAGGGAGATAAGGGAATGCCAACTTGGAGATAATCAATAAGGGAAGCCACTCACACACACACACACAAAAAACACCCCACTATTTCAAGAATTTTCCCTTCAAAAGAATTAAAAATACTAATAAAAATGTTATTCTAATTACCCATATCTGATGAACTATGCATCAAGTAGCAATAATATATGCTTGATCCTCATTATTTGTGGATTTGGTATGTGCTAATACATCTACTCACTAAGACTCATTAGTAAGCCCCAAATCAATGTCCATGAAGCTTTCACAGTCATTCATGGACATGAAAAGAGTGATGAAAAATTTGAGTTACCAGACATGCATGTTTCCAA
Source organism: Homo sapiens (assembly GCF_000001405.40). NCBI lineage: Eukaryota > Metazoa > Chordata > Mammalia > Primates > Hominidae > Homo > Homo sapiens. The sequence continues at coordinate 12,833,719 of NC_000020.11, forward strand.
CTCCAGCCAAATAAGGTAACTTCATGCTTTCTTATCTCAGCTCTAATACTGCAAACAAGAGTTTCTTTGGCAATCTACTTAATGCCATGTTTTTCACGCCGTTGTGCTTTTAGTTGCTGATGATGCTGTTTAAAAGGACCCCAAGCATAGTGCTGAAGTGCTGTCTAACTGCAAGAAGTGTTTCTACATGCAAGAAGACTGAATGTGCCTTATGGAAAACATACATGTACTAGATAAGTTTAGTTCAGGCATGATGTATAGTGCTATTGACTGTGTTCAATGTTAATAAATCAACAATATCATACATTTAAGAAAAAACAAGAAACTTGCTGCTTCAGCAAATGCTAAAGTAACATCTGCAGTGTATGACAAAGTTATGGAAAAGATGAAAAAGCAGCTAATTTGTGAATTTAGAAGATTACATGTGATAAAAATGCATAATGGACAGTATTGTCATGAGGCTAGAAACCAAAGAAATTTATGGTCATGTTACTCCGGGCCAGGAAAATTTCAAATTCTTCTCAGCTATTGCTGGCTGGCTTACATGCTTCAAAAAGTAGTATTGCATGAAAAATTTTAAATATGCAGTTTCTGCAGGTCAAGAGGCTGCAAAAAAATTTGTTTAAATAGTTACTAAGTGCTATGTGGAAGAGTAGATTTTCAATGATGATAAGTCTGTCTTGTCTTAGAAGGATGTTATCAAATGAATCTATATAACATAAAAGACCAATCAATGTTTGATTGATGAAAGCATTGTGATCAGAGGCTCTGGGGAACTTAACCCTGCATTTCCTCTAGGAGCAATAGTTCAATATTAGCTAATTCAGTGTCCATGGTAACTTTGTAGAACATAACTATTGTGAATAATGAAAACCAACTCTGCGTGTGTGTGTGTGTGTGTGTATGTGTGTGATGTATTAGATTGTTGCGCAGCACTTTAAACAGTATTAAGAGTTTCCTGGAGATGGGAAATCTGTATGGAGGTAAGGTCGAAATTATATTTCCTTTTATTGCTCTTCAATTTTTAATTCATATTCTAAGGTGATTTCTAAATTTTAAAAAAGAGTTCTTAGATTCTTAGAAGAGAATAGCAATAAAAATACAGGTGTGTATGTGTATATACACATATTATGTTATATAGATTCATTTGATAACATCCTTCTAAGACAAGACAGACTTATCATCATATGTGCACACAAATATATTGCTTGTGTGTGTCTAGTATTAACTGAAATTTTTTTCTAGTTTCTGCATGTAGGAATTTAATACTTCCAGGTTAAACTCTCTCATTGCATATGTTAACCATGCGGTATTTTCACAAAGTTCTCTTTTTTTTTTTAATCTTTTAATCTTATGTCATTTCCAAATAAATTTTTTAAATTAGCTAACAAGGAAATTGTGGCCAATAGTATTTTTTAAATTACTTTAGACATTTTGGGGGGTTTTGGAGTGTTTGTTTTTAAGACCTTAGCTGTTTTTAAATGAAAATGAAAGTGATTTGGCACTGACTGTATTCCTCTAAGAATTATTGTGATTGGAATAGATGCACTTAAGTCTCAGTGGGTGGCTAAATATTTGTTATTTTTTGAATAAGTTAGACTTTTCCATCTTTTGCAAAAATATCCCATAGGGTTCTTTATCAAAGGGACCATTTGCAGCCTTATTTTTTTCTTTTTTTGCAGTGTGTGTTATTAACACAAAATCTGATAAATAAGTAGGCTTCCTCTTATTCACATGGATCCTATTCTCTTCTATGAATCTAATAATTTTTTTAAATAAAAAATCACCTTAGAATATAAATTGAAAATTGAAGAGCAATAAAAAAGAAATATAATTTCTGCTTTATCTCCATACAGACTTCCCATCTCCAGGAAACTCTTAACTGCAGTTTAAAAGTCTGTGCAACAATCTAATTGTTCTACTTGATTGCAAATCATAGGATATGCAAACATAAAATGAACCTATCCCAGTAAATGTATTATCAAAATATTTTAAATATGCTTGCACAGAGGTGATGGAGATGTTATGTACCTGGATAGAAAGAAAACAAGGAAAGAAAGGCTTTCGGCAGAGACCTTGGATACTCTAGATTGTAATAGGAATAAAACTGCCATGAGTCTGTAGATATCTGGCCATGCCTAATAAGGGGATGGTAGAGGAGGGGGGGTTGATGGACCTTCGGAAATGGGAGCAGAAATTTCATATGCATAAGTGAAAGCAACACATGTCCAGCTCTATGTATTGAGGCTGTAAGAACCAGGCTTCTAGGATCTAGATTCTAGGGGCAGGAGACCTGAGAGAAAACATGGAATATATTGACATAGCAGCCAGTTATTGCCTCACTTGTATTCCTGTCTTATCATGTCAGTCCTTGCCTTCCAAATGCCAGCAAGCATCTGCTTTTGTTTGCCTGAGAAATCCTCAGACCTCCAGAGCCCACTTTGCACACAAGTACACCAGGTCTGAATTCTTGGGGAATGAGCAACACTCTCCCAGCAGTCTTCAACAAATGAATGAGGCCTGCTCACCTCAAGAAAGTATTGAAGCAGACTGGTTGGGGACTGTGAATGAAGCAACTGCTTGGGGACTGTGGTGAGCTCCCTCGCTGAAGTAGCCAGCTACAACTAGCTACAGCCTGTTTGATTTCATTTGGCAGTGTGGCCTTTGATTTGTCCAATTCTCTTGTGGGAAATCTGATTTTTAAATATTTATAATTAATTTAAACTTCTTTTTTTAAAAACAAATCATATTTGTTTATTTGATTTTTTTGGAAATAGAGTCTCACTCTTTCTCCCAGTCTTGAATGCAGTGGTGCAATAACAGCTCACTATAGCCTCAACCTTCCAAACTCAAGGGATCCTCCCATCTCAGCCTCCCAAGTAGCCAGGACTGCAGGCATGCACCGCCATGCCTGGATATATATATTATATATATTATATATATATATATATTATATATATTATATATATATATTATATATATAATATATGTCATATATATGTCATATATATGACATATATATGAGTCAGGGGTCTCCCTATGTTGCCCAGGCTGGTCTTGAACTCCAAGGCATGAGCAATCCTCCCTCCTCGGGCTCCCAAATGCTGAGATTATAGGCATGAGCCACTGTGCCCTGCCCAAACTTCTAAAACATACAAAACACACTACACAAAACATCAAAAAACCTTAGGTGGCATCTACTAAAACATATGTGTATAAACCTTATGACCAAGCAATTCTAATTCAGGTGGATACTCAAGAACACTACGTAATTAGAGCATCAAAACACACACATACTGTAATGTTCACAGAAGCACTATTCCTATCTCCAAAGCTGAAAGGGTCCAAATGCTTATAAACAGAAGGTTGGATAGATACATTTTGCATTTCCATACTATGGGATACTATGCAGCAGGGAGAATAAGTCAATCAGTGCTACCCACCACAAAATAAATGATGCTCTCAAACATCATGTTGAACAAAAGAAGCCACAACCAAGTATACCCTCTCTGTGAATTCATTCATATAAAATACACAAGCAGGCAAAATTAATATATGTTGTTGAGCATCAAAACAGGAGTTCCTATTCCAAGTCAGATCTTCCACTAGGATTTCATAAGTAATGATATATGCTTTGGGGTTAAATTATTTCTGTCTCTTTTAAGCTGTAATTATTCCTGGGAGGTTGATAACATGATTCTATAATTCATTATTACTTTAATATGGATTAGGTACCAACATTGACAGAAGGCCTCCTATTAGAGCTCCTAGCTCTGCTAGGAACTATAGATACAGAAGCGAACAAGTCAGAATCCCTGTCCCGCTGATTGGACAATGCCTAAAGCAAACCTTGAAATCATATATTAATTTATATAGATTTTGATTGCTGCCCATTCACTTCTGAACCAGTTGCAGAGGGCTGGACATATGAGATTATACTCATTTGCTTATGCTCAAACCTTAGGAGTAATACTCCCTTACTTTGAGTTTCCCAAAAACCTACCCTGAAAACAAAGAGTTAAGTGAAAGTAGCTTATCGTGGAGACAATTCTGGAAAACACTAGTGCAGGAGTGAGGTATGAGGGAGGAAAGACAAGTCTGAGGGGTGAGGGAGCTGGAGTGTTTATCCAACTACTCCTCTGAGTCATTAGTTTCAGACTGGTATTACAGAACATTACTTCTCTCCAATTACCTATGTGACAAAGAAAAGTCAAAGGAAACTCTCAGAAAAAGAAATGCAAAAACTGCCAGCTGGAAGTCAGGCCAAATACAATTTTCAGCAAAAGGACCAGAACCCAGAGTACATACTATAAGCATAGAGATCGGGTTTCGGTATCCTCCATCGGCTACAACTACCCAAAAAGAGGCAGTTCCTCAAATAAACGCATAGGTCCAGGTGAGAAGGGAAAAGAGACAAAATGAATTTCAGGTAGGCACTCAAACCAGTGTCTACTGCACACTCAAACCAGGAGTCAGACATCAAACAATGAAATAATCAAAAGTGAAAACAACATACTGTTGCTTATCTCTGGGTCCTCTCCAAGGATGGCCAACCTGGGTGTCTACACTCATCTCTGGACAGCTCACTTTCCAATTCCCTGGTTAATGCTTAGAAAGAAAGTAACCCTACAATCTTCCCCACTGGGCGATTTGAACCCGAAATAATTTCCTTGAGTGCAGAAATCCAAACTTCATCTTGCCCGACAGGTGTCCCTGCAGCCTGTGTGATTCTTCCACCAGTAGGGGGCACACTCTCTCACAAGGCAGCCTCTTCCATCACCAGAAAGTCTTCCTTATTCTGTAGCTCTGGCATGATCATAAAATCTGCATCCCCATGACTTCCATCATGCTCCCCTCTGTTGCCCTCTGGCCCATTGCTCCCTCCTGGGCCTGTCCTAGACTCCAGTTCCACCTCTGTAGTGTCACTCAGCCATATCCACAAGTGCCTTGGACCAGACATTGTTTTCACAGCATGGTAGGGGATGGGTAGATTTTTCTTTCATTCAGTCTCTACAGATGCTTTACAGATGAGCTCAATGAGGCTCAGAAAGGTTAAGTAACTGGGCCAGGATCATAGACTGACTAGTGAGAGAAGTGAGGTTCAAACACAGATTATCTGACTCCAATATAACCCACTGAGTATCTGGGGTGGGGGTGTGGTGTGGGTGGTGTGCATGTGTATGTATGAGTGTGAGTGTGCATGCATGCATAGTGTGCATGTGTGTGTATGTGTATGTGTGTATGTGGCTTCTCACTATCCCCCACACTACCACCCCCAAGTCCATTGAGTATCTCTCCATTTTCCACACCTATCCCTGACTACCTCATGCAATGAGATTAACCTCCACATCGGCAGCCCTTGAATCTTTCACCTTCCCCCAGCATCAAAATACACTTCTTTGGGGTCTCAGCCTCCAGAGTCTGTGCCTGCCCACCAAAAGGGCAATGGGTTCTCCCAATGAAGCAATGAAGGCCTGTGTGATAAATGACTGTGATTTCTCTCCAGGTTTTAACTTACCCTCAGATAATGCCTTCATGCAGAGACACAGCTGGGGTGGGAATTTCTGTCACTGGAGTAGGTGTAGGAGAATTGGGGGTTCCTTTGGAGATTTGTGGTGCAACCCAAATAACATCATATAACACATCCCACCTACTCAACCTATAGGCTGAGATCCCACTTAAAGGGATGGTAGTTTGCCCTAAGGAGCCACAGCTACCAGGCTGCAATGAAGCCCTGAATGCCCTCAGTGCACTGGGGTATACATTAGAGCCCCCCTGCCATGATGTTTGGGATTCAGTGTGCCCCTTCTTTTTAAGTCACAAAACAGTCCCATCCCTGCTCTTGTAGATTCCCCAGACAGATATCACAGACCAGTTGTTTCCTGACAGAATTTTCCTCCTCCTTGGAAATCAGTGCAGAAGGGAAGAAGCAGAGCTATTTCCATAAGACAGTGCTTGTTTTTGTGAAAAAGAGTAAGGAGTTTTAGTCACACAGGGGCCTGTTCAAAGCTGGGCTCTGTCTTAAACTAATGGGACAATGTGCTAGTTTCTCAAACTCTGAGTCTAAAGTCCCATGTATAAAAGAGAATAACCCTCACCAGCTCACAGGTTGCTATGAGGATTAAATGTTATGATACCTATGGATGTTCCATGCATGCTGTAATACTCAAAGTTGCTTTTCTTTTCCTGTTATAAAAGCAAGTCCCCACTTTCCTTCTGGTACAGAAAGAAAGGGCATTTCAAAATTAAGGGTTCTCTCTCTCTCTCTCTCATATTTTTAAAAGTAATGTATGAGACAGGAATACAGTCCTTCCTTGGCAGAGACAGCTAGTGACAGCCATGTGTTTTATCAGGGCAAAGAACTCCCCAGTTTCCCAGGCATGTTCTTTACATTGTTCTTAACTGTTGTTCATTTTTGTGCTGTATCTTCCAGTTCACAATCTACCAGACTCCATGGCAAAATCTGCCTTCACTCCTGCCAAAAATGATCATTTTCTCCTTCTTTGCTTCCCAATCGACTTTCCTATTCATTCCTGATGTCACTTGAAAACTTAGCTGCCCTCCCTCATCTATGAGTCTTAAGTTCAGCCTCCTACTGCTATGATTTTTCTTCAGCATCTGGGTTGCTTAACTTACTGCTGCCAGGGGGGATACAGATGTGCAGCAGATGCCAGGCTAAGTGGAAAGAGTGTGTCAAATGGAAAATGTATTCAGGTTGCCGTATGGATGGTAGAATGCTGGTTTTTTTCCAGACCTCTGGCTCTGGAACTTTGCAGAAAGTTAAGATTTTTTGAACATCTTATTGAAGCATAACATACAAGCAGAAAAAAATATGTATATATCACAAATGTGATATATATCATATATGATATATATCATAGCTTGATGAATTTTCAGTCTAAGCACACGTGTGTAACCACTATCCAAACCAAGTAAGAAAACATGACTAGAGCTCTATTCACCCACCACTGTCATTTCCCCAAGGATAAGCACTATTCTGACTTCTTAACAAAATACTTTCCATCATCAGTATATGCAGGGAATTGGCTCCAGGACTCCAGGGAATATCAAACTCCACATGTACCCAAGTCCTGCAGTCAGCTTTGCAGAACACACCTATACAAAAAGTTGACCTTCTGTACACATGGGGTTGGCATCCCAGGAATACCGTATTTTTATCTGCATTTGTTTGAAAAAAAAATCTATTGTATAAGTTGACCCATGCAGTTCAAACCTGTGTTGTTTAAGGGTAAACTGTAAATTTGTTTTTGAATTTTGTATGAATAAAATTCTCCATGATATACTCTGTTCTGTCTGGCTTCTTTCACTGAATATTATGTTTGTAAGATATAGTCATACTGCTGCATGTCATAGTTGTTCATATTTTCTCATTGCTGCGTGTAGTTCTATTGTATAAATATGCCACTATCCATTTCATCGTTAAAAAACATTTGGAATATCTCCAGAGTGAGGCTTTTAAGAAAAGCTCTGCTACGAAGATTCTTGTGCACGTCTTATATTGCATATGTGTGTTCTCTTGGGTACATACCTAGAAGTAGAATTGCTGGATTATAGGGTATCCATATACTAAACTTTAGTAAACTACCAGTTTCCAAAATGGTTAGACCATTTTATGCTCCCACCATCATAGGATGAGAGTTTCAGATGCTCTGTGTCCTCATCAACACCTGGTATTGTCTATGGTGTTTTGATTTTGCCTTATCTTCTTATTTGTTTTTTGGCATTCTAGTGGATGTGTAATTGTACCTCGTTATGGTTTTATTTGGCATTTTCCAAATGATGAATGAAGTTGAGCACATTTTACACATATTTATTGGCCATTTGTGTATCCCTTTTGTAAAGTGCCTATTAAAGTGTTTCATATATTTTTAAACTTTTTAATACTGTATTTTTAAAGTTTTTTATTAATTAAAAGATTTAAGTTTTTATGTAAGACTAGAATTGGAGAGTTGGTCACACTTTAATGGACTTTTCTATCACTTGTCCTGATTTTATAATAACTATAAATGTCTCCAGTTATCCCTAATGGCATCTCAAATTGTCAGAAATTTCTCCAAGCAATTTACTTTTATTCAAATGTGCACTCTATAGCACTTTTAGAAACCATGGATGGATATTCAGAAACCTAGTTTTTGTTATTTTATTTTACTGAATAGCTCTGTGACCACAGGCAAAGATTTCATTCTTCTTTAGTCTTAGTATCCCCACCTGAAAAATGAAAAGGCTGAATTTGAGATCGTCCATCTCTAATATTCTATAACATACTAATAAGTACGTTACTTGGAAGGGCAAGGAACAGGGTAAAAGAGATACTATGAAACTTAAAGAATTCCCATAAGCTTGGTAACCCTTGCTCTTGAATGAAAAATCTGCAAAACATTCTAAACCTCAATTTCAAAATTTCTTCCATCTTCTTTCATGTCTTAAATTTTACCCAAATTGTGTTTTCCACGCTAGGAGAAATATTGTATCAAAGCTCTAGTTATCCTTCTCTTCTTCAAAATTTTTTTCTTTACTGCAAACAGTAACTGGATCAGAATTGCCACTCTCCTCAAAATAAAGCAGCTCAGTATGGTTTGGTTTTGTTTTGGGGTGTGTGTGTGTGTGTGTGTGTGTGTGTGCGCGCCTGAAATGGAGGCAAAGAAAAAAAAATAAAACACTTATCTTGCATGACCTAACCATAGAACCCTGGACCAGCCTACTGCACCTATCCTACTTTCTATATACTTTTGCTTCCTTGAACAGATCCTTCTAAGCACTCAAAAGTAAAATGGGTGTCACTAACCTGAAATCCACAGTCCACATTTTCTCTCTCCCCTTCCTCAATAGTGGCTTAACTTCAGCTGCCCGATGGTGAACTGTTGTATCCCCACCTTAACTGGAAGATTTTACAAAATAGCATTTAAAAAGTCTTTACAACTTCAGTGAAATGAAAGATTTCATATAACAAGACACAAAATGCCATAAGCATAGGGGAAGTGATTAATAAATTAGACAATGTTTAAAAGAAGAAGCACGTTCATCAAAAGACACCATCAGAGAAAGAAAAGGCAAAGCATAGAGGGAAAAGGATATTTGATACATGGATAACCAACAAAGGACTTGTGGCTAGATTATTGTTTTCTAAAACCTTACAAATCAGTGAGAAAAGATAGACAACCCAATAGAGAATAAGCAGGACCTGTGAACAAACACTTTAAAAAGAAGATAAATAAACTTATAAACAGATGCACCCTCGGTAGTAATCAGGGAAATGCATATTAATACCTCCGTGAGATGCTACTATATGGACACCAGACTCATCATTACTTAAACATGCAAAAATATTGAATGTTGGAGAGGGTATGGAACAATGTAAATTCTTATACTTGCTAGTGGGAGTGTAAATTGGGACATCTACCTTTTTACGGGCAGTAAGACACAGTCTAATAGAATTAAAGATATATATAATCTGTGTGTGACTCAGTAATTGTACTGCTAACGCATAGCCTACAGAATTGCATACATATGTGCATCAAGATACATGTACTAATTTATAAGTGCATCATTCACAAGAGCAAAAAGCAAGAAACAATCTAAATATCAATCAATGGTATGAGGTTTAGATAAATTATTATATATTCATCCAGTAGAATACTGTAAGTAATGAAAATGAATGACTACAGCTATACAGAATGAGTTGAATGAACCTTCAAAACCCCATGTCAATAAAGGAAACCAAATGCAAAACAATACATGCCATTTGATTCAATCAATATAAAGTTCAAAAAAAGGCAAAACTTCTGGGCATAGTGTCTCATGCCTGGAATTCCAGCACTTTGGGAGGCCAAGCCAGGCAGATCACCTTAGGTCAGGAGTTCAGTTGGAGACCAGCCTGGCCAACAAGGTGAAACCCCATCTTTACTAAAAATACAAAAATTAGCTGGGCGTAGTGGCAGGTGCCTGTAATCCCAGCTACTCAGGGGGCTGAGGCAGGAGAATCTCTTGTAGCTGGGCATAGTGGCAGGTGCCTGTAATCCCAGCTACTCAGGGGGCTGAGGCAGGAGAATCTCTTGTAGCTGGGCATAGTGGCAGGTGCCTGTAATCCCAGCTACTCAAGAGGCTGAGGCAGGAGAATCTCTTGAATCTGGGAGGCGGAGGTAGCAGTGAGCTGAGATTGCACCAGTGTACTCCAGCATGGGCAACAGAGCAAGACTCTGTCAAAAAAAAAAAAAGGCAAAACTAAACTATATTATTTGTGGATTATTAAAAATATAAAGAAAAGCATATAAATGATTGCTTTAACCCTAGAATAGAGGTTACCTCTAGGGGAAGGAGGAAGAGAGATGTGTACTCACAGTTTCTGGTTTGCTGATAGCATTCTGATTCTTGATGTGGTGGTAGTTCACAGATGTAACCTTCACAACAAATTCTTACACAATATAATGATGTTTTAGGAAATTTTTGATATATGCTTTATTTTACAATATAAAAATAAAATAATGTGTGTCAATACCTGGCACATAGTAAATGCTCAATACATAATCAATTATTATCATAAATATATAATAATTGTATTTTTAAAGTACTTTGCATTTTACAAAGTGTTTTTCATGAAAAACAGGCATTGTTATTATTCCTGTTTCACAGATGAAAAACTAAGGCTTATTCTTGCCACAACGCAGCTAACCAAGAAGGAACACAGCTGGAAGCACAGCTCGGGTCTGCTGCTTTCAAATCCCATCTCTCTTCTAGGCTTTCCTACCTGCCATGTTGTTTAACCAAGGAAAATGAGCCAACAGCCTGATATGCAAAATCTCATTCATAACAGTGTTTGTTTAGCTGTGTGACTTGAGTCAAATGTCCGTGTGTGTGTGTGTGTAAGCCTTGGTTTTCCCTTGGGTCAAAGGTGTATGCAGGCTTCCTATTTGCTATAGAACCCAAAGTGACAGAAACAAACACATGTTGTGAGGTATAAAATGCTAAACATACTCAGTGAGTGCTGCTTTGATGTGCTTTTATCTATACTTTGAGTCTGAGCTTATTTTAATACTCAGTGTAAAACCAACATTGATGTTAACAGTTTCTCACTCTTCCTCCCAATGCTCCCACCTATCCACCACCAAAAGAAATAAATAATAAGGAGCCTGGTCTAATTGATGAGTTGAACATCAGGACCAATTATAACCAGACTGCACAGGACCAACACAGCCAAGTGTAACTGTAAACAATAGAAAGCATACATCTTTTCCTCACTGAAAGTTGATAAAAAGCATTTTCCCATTACATCCGTTGGAGAGAAGTTAAAGTGCACAAACTGGGAAATTAAGCTTATTTTCAGGCTGTTTTAACCGAAAACAATCTCTAGGCCTATCTCACATGTCTTCTGACAGGAGGGCATCCACTAGGAAGATTACGTCTATTATCAAGGTGAGCAATGAACTTTCCATTTACATTAGACTTTTATAATCTGATGAAAGAAAGGTACATTTATCTAGTCTTTTAAAAAGGAAAAGGAAACCCTACAAATCTGTCCATTATACCTGCCGAGAATCTAAAGTGAGGTCAAGACAAAAGCAGATTACTTTTGATAGTGTTAATAAGAGTTTATTGCAAGGCCTGTGAGCCAGATCTCCCTCTGTGGATTTCTGAATGGCTTTAGGAGCTGGGCTATTCTTAGAGTAATGAGAAAGAGCCTTATCTCACTCTATAGGAAATTCAAAGATCCCCATGGCTTCAGAAGCCTTACTGATGCACTTTAGCAAAACTGAAAGCTAGGGTGGTTACTATCACAAATTCATGTACAATATTAGGGATATAAAAAACCCTAAGAGGCATAGGCATGCAGTTCCCAATATGGTATATTAATAACAGCACCCCATAAAACCCTAATGGGACTGTGGCTGTTGCTATGACTAAATTTCGTTTTGAGGCAGTATTAGCAGTAGTATTATTAGTAAGTTAGGGTTATTGGTTTTCAGTATCAGACACTGACTCTAATTTAGATAACAGGGAATATATTGGAAAATTATTGAGGGCTCAAAGAATTAGTGAGTGGTTGGGTTTGGGAAGAAGTGGGAACCAAGAGAGTGACAGAGAACAGGACTCAGGCAGCAAAGCAACAGTCTCCTTGTCTATTGCAATAAGAAAACCCTAGTCAGGTAGGGTACCATCTTTATTATGTACGACCTATAGTCACTGTGTTCTTGGGTGACTGGATCAAGGTGTGAAGTTCTAGGAAAGATCATCTGATTGGCTAAGCTCAGATCATAGGTAACCTCCCTTCCCACAAAATAAACTTATATAGGGGACAAAAGCAGATGGAATATGACCCATTTCAGCTTCAGCAGTGGGCATGGAGTACCTGAAAATTTCTCTGCCACCAAGGCTACATAAGACGTCTCACTGAAAGTTCACTAAAGCCTCGATTTTTTGTCTGACTCAAATCCTCAGATAAAAAAGTCTTGAAAAAGACCTTGATTGCCGTTCCTGGAAGAGACACACTAACTGTCCCTATGTCTGTCCCTCAGTTCCCAGTCTCACATTCTTCACTAAATATAAACATACTTTATTTTTACTCTTAGATAATGAATGTTTTGAGGGCAGAGCATGCATCTTCATAAGAAGCCCAGGAGATGCTTGGCTTGTGAATGTTTTCTCTGAATTGCTGGTGAGTGGAAACAGTGGGTCCCCACTGGACTTTTGCCAGGCACTGCTTCAGAAGGCTTCCCCAGACTGATGAAAGGATGCACATGGATGGCCCGGGGCCCAGCCCGTGGTTGGGATCACGGGTTGTTTAGTGTTAAAATCCAGTTTTTATGCACTGGCGCATGAAGGAAAAATGAATCATTTAACCCCCTCAACCCCTCTTTGTCCCCTCAGCTCGTGACTCCATCCACCACCATCAAGATTGAGAGCACTACATAATGATGGGAGTGCCTGAAGCCACGTCTAAGGGTTTGCTTTAGGCTTCATCCTCTTTGTACTTCTGTCCCATTATCATCATCATCATCATCATCATCACTAAATGGTTTTCTTCTTCTTAAAGACATGCAGCAAGCACTCAATTAATGTCCACTATGAACAACATTCTATGCCAGATACTAGGCTAAGCATTTTAACATGAATTATCCAATTTAATCCTCATAATGACTACATTAGGCAAGAACTCCTACCATTTGTGACTGGTTTGACAGAGGAGCCCAGCTTTTTCTTGTTTTTCACTATCTGCTTTTTTGGAGAGGTATGGCAGAGTGAGGATAGAAAGTGCAAATTCAGGAGCCAGCTTGAGTTCCAATCTCACTCCCAGTGCTTACTCTCTATGTGACCTTGGATCAGATACTTAACTTCTCTGTGCTTCAGCTTGTTCTTCTATAAATGGAGATAGTAATAGTTCATACTTTATAACAGTATGTGTTAAATGAGCAAAAGCACTCAGAAAATTCCCAGTGTATTACAAGTATTCAATAAATGTTTAGAGTGGCCATGTCAACCTTCCTCACATCTACTTAACTCCACACCTCATGCCCCAGTCTCCCCTATCCTGAAAAGATTCCGATGGCCTGTAACTGCAACCCAGTTCTGGCCAGTAGAGACCAAAATGGGTTTGTGAAGTAGCCCATCTCATCAGGAAAGCCCGTATTCACTTTCACCTTCACAAAAAGCACAAGGAAATCCCTTAGGATGTTTCAGATGTCCTCTCCATAACATTACAGTATTTTTGTTCATTCTCCCTCGTCAGCACCTGTCTAGAGAATGGCTATTTTCGATTACAGATTTGATGTCTTAAGCTTGCTTTATTTACTTTTTATTATAAATTTGACTGCTTAGGATTTTCTGTTCTTAATTTCAGACATTTATATCTCATTTTCTTTATGAGAAAATCTAGGAATTATAGGTTTAATGCCATGGTAAGTAATATTAAAATAAATAGCAAGGCATGAATTGGTAAATTAAAACATCTAATAATTGGATTGGAGAAATACAAAAACTCTGGATTCAGTGAACCAGCACCAGTCTAATTTAAATGTCTAATTAAAAGTTATTTGGAGGCACAGCATACACGAACTGCATTGCTGTCTTCAATGACTGGGAATGAAGCTTGGTAACCAGAAGAAAAATTGGAATTGCATGAAGAAATGGGAATGGAGTGTAATATTTAATCAGAGTACTCCATTTTTATCAAGGCCTGTCCGACTCTACATTCCATTACCACTTCATTAAAAAATATGCTGTCCCCGGTGCTGAAACTGCTGTACTTGTTTAACAGCAGAGCAACCAAGCTTCAAGCCAGAAAAGGAAGTAGCAATGCCCCAGATGGAGGCAGGAGCTTTTGTTAGCTAAAGCACTATTTATCCAAAGTTGCTGGAGAGCTATGGAAGAAGAAAAAGAAGAAGGTTTGTGATTAGGCAAGTCTAGATTGGAAGTGATTTGACAAGAACAAGCCTGCCAGTCTGCAAGCTGATTCATACAGAGGGCTATTCATAGCACAGGGCTATTTAACACATTGTCAAATATGACATTCTAGAAATATAGCATGATCATTTGTACAAATAGCTAATGAACAGTGACATATTTAGATTGCCTACATAGAGGTGGCAGAGTACATGCAGCTAGGCAAAAAGAACTCCATCATCGTATAGCAAAAACAGAAAATGTCCAAAATAAAACTCTAAAATTAGATTTGTCTCCAGAGACTTACCAATTCTGGCACTACCAATTTGTCACTGCTACCTTTATCTCTCTGCTTTATTGTCTATAATATGGGATAACAACTGTGTCTACTTTTTGGCCTTGTGTGAAAATCAAATTGATATTAAGTAGGTTAAGATATATAATGCAATTAGGACAGTAACCAAGAAAGAACTAAGTCCTTAATAAACATATATTGCTATAAGTATTGGTAATATATCAATGACAGGTATTTTTCCCAACTAACAGCATGTGAAGTATAAGCGTTTGTATAAATATTACCAAAGCAAAACCTGAATGCTAAGCTGAACTTTTATTTACAGTGTTAATTACACGATGCTTTTATTTCTGTAGAATGGACAATAGAGTTTCTTCCCCTAAAGATGTTTCCCATTTTTAAGAGGTCAAAAGTTGGCTCCATTTTTTCAAAAACCTCTTACTTTTCTTTCCTTCTACTTTCTTAATGTCCTCAATTTAGTTCATTCATTCATTCCTTTATTTTAAAAATCTCCTATATCAAGCCCCCTTAATAAACTAGGCACTGTGCTAGACTAGATTTCTAAAAGAAGCCAATCAAGGAACTTGAAGGTCCTCTGTCATTAATAACAAGAGCTACTGTAAACACACAACCTATAGTACATTTGTACATTAGCAAACACCCACCCCACTCCCCACATACACACATTAAACAGGTTTTCATTATTATCCCATGTTACAGGTGAGGAAACTGAGGCTTAAAAGAGGGAGGATCTGCCTTAGGCACTGTGCCATAAGGGCTGGGGGCAATGACTAATCTGTACTCACACCTCACTGTTGAGTAGCCCACGTTTACCGAGGTGCTGACCTCTTCCTACCTCCCCTTTATCAGGACTGTGTAAAGAAAACAATTCGGGATAATTTAGAGACTAAGATCTCCTAGTGAAATACAAAGTTCCATCTTCTCCCCACTTCCTGCAGACACTGTCAATAGAGCATGAACTAAGAAAAATCTCTGCAGTCAAAATGCGGTGAGCGCAGCAGATGAATTACCTCTTATCTTTAGTTCTGCTTCCCTTCCTAGTGAATAAATGAGTAAATCAATATATCCCTAGGTCATATGCACCTCCTTTTACTCCAAGCAAGTGTTTGTGTTTTGTTTTGTTAAAAAAAAAAAAAACTAAGCCACCTAAAGCCATTTTCACAGTTTACCATCTAACAAAACACAGCAGTGGTAATTAAAACAATCTGGGGCTAGGGAAAGATGGAAGGAAAATCTGTCACCACCGAGACTATCAAGGAGAAAAAAGAGTCCTGGGGAGCGAAGCAGAAACATTGACAATTTGTTAGATCTAACCCCAGAGTGACGCACAGTGAAAGGATGAGGCAGAGATTGTTGCTACAGGAAATGTCAGCTTTATGTGAGAAGCCCGTGGAAGAACACTGAATAGGTACTCATAGTTTTCATCTTCTGCCAAGTCCAGGAAAGGACTGGGTTTTCTTTGTACAAATAGGAATTAACTCTCTGTCTTTATTTTCGTAGACTAGTTTTGGAAAGGAATAACCATTCTAGTATACTCACGCTGTGTCAGCTTAAAGTCAAGTGTTAAAGAGAAAGTCAACCCATATCCTAACTTTAAATTATTTTAAGTTTTGGTTTAACTTAATTTTAAGAATGCTGTCTTTCAAGTTCACAGTTAGTTTCCTTTTTCTTGTTCTGAGATAGTTCACCAAACTCCCCACCCCACTGGCTGAATTCACTCAGACCTCTCTCTGGGGTAAAATTGTTCAGTAGCTTTCAGCCTCCAACCCGTACCTGCTAGAGTAAAACCAGCAAGAACAACCCTGAAAAACTTCTGACCCCCACTCTTGTTATTCTGAATCTATTTTATAGGAAAAGTTTTCCTACTGGAGGTTTTGAGTACTCTACATCTTACACAGTTGCTGTCTTAAGGGGAAACTATTTGCCAGAAATTTGTGAATTCTCACACAGTAAGAAAAATAATCATTGGATTTGGAACAATTTTACTAACCTCATTTCTCTTACTATGTTGGTTAAAGGACATTGATTGGATGATGTAATAACAATAGCAACATCAACAATAGTAATCACAAACTCCTGTGTGATCGTATTCTTTATGGTAAATGTTATCATTATTTTAGTCTTCAAAGCAACTCTATGAAGTAAGGGTAATTGTTATCCCTACTCTACAAACAGGAAAACACCCACATTAGTTAGAAATGATTGATCTACATCAATGTTAAAAAAAAAAAAACTAAAGCTTTGTTATTGCTGCCTCCCAAAAATGTGAATCATTTAATTTACCATAACAAAATATAAGAATAACATGAAATGTAGGCTTCTTCATATCAACCAGAGATTTCTCAGGGGTTTTACATTATTTAGAAATTTATTGGTTTTTAGCTAGTCAGTCAGATAAGAGTGGAACAATAAATTACAATTTTCTATATTATCTTTGTCTAGATTCATTTTGAATTGTCTTTAAACAACAATTCTAGTCCCCCCAAAACTTATCCACAACATTAATATGTAGAAGTTGAAGAACAGAAAATATTAAGGGATGGAGACGGAAGAATATACATTCAAGAAATAAAAGAAGTAATCCCTCAGGGAGTGAGGGGAGTGAGATTACACAAGCTTTTTCCCCTAAACTGTTCCCAAATTGTTTGTTATAAAAAGAAAAACTAAAGAAAAATGCAGGGGTGTGTTATCTTCTCAAAGGAATTATATCTACTTCTGAGATGAGGAGTTTATACCTATAAGGACTAGAATCTGGAGTAAGAGGCACCTCTTGGATCCCTGCTTCCTCTCCTTCAGGTTGTCACTGGTGATTTGGAAGTGATCCTTTGTTACCATTGGCATTACCCGAACTTTAGCCATTCATTCCAGCACCAAGGTGAGAGACACATCCAAAGAACACCAGGCAGTGCTGGGCACAACAACATTGAAACGTATATTGCAGAGAGAGGGGGCCCAGCCAGAGAGAGTGAGAATAATCCAAGGAGGAAGAGGCAAATCATGAAACAGAGAGAAAACAATAAAAACCAGGCACGTAATGAGGCAAGAGCAAAAGGCTGGGGGATGCAACTGTGGAATAAAATTTGCAGTTCAGGAGCAAATTTTGCAATTATGAGAGTCCAGTCACCAACTGGGCTTGGGTGTCCTTGAACATATCATAGTCTTTGACCAAAGGAGCAAGAAATTCTAACATCTTTACCATTACCCTCATTTCTCAAAGGGGATTAACCTGACCTCCCCGTTGATTGTTATTTCAAGAAACCAGGCTCTAAGAGGTAAATCACTGAAAACATTTTGTGCTCACAGAAAGAATGAAAAGGAAGTGTTTGTAAGTAGTAAGAGTTGTAGTAATAATGGCAACAATTGCAACAGTAATGATGATAGTAATAATAGTTGAAATAATTATAAAAATTACATTTAATGAGAGCTTACCATATGCTTTCGCTGTGTTGCATGCTTATTTTAGACAATTCACTTCATCTTCACAACTCTGCTTCACTCATTTTGCAGAAGAAGAAAGTAAGTCTCAGAGGTAAGTCATTTGTTGAAAGACATAGAATTAGCAGGGGCTGGAGCCAAGATTGGAATCAAAGTCTGTCTGAATATGGAGCTTAAGTTAACTTATATATCCAGAAAGATGGATTAGACATACTGTTCTCTATTTCTTCTCTAAGTAAACTAAAAATCCTGGATGTGACGTATAAAACAAACAAAGGAGAACTCTGAAAGGTGAATAAAATAAGGCAGATAAACTAGGGGCCTTAGAACCCATGGAACAATGTGGTGGTGTGTTCTCTGGACTTGGATATGAAAAAGGAAGCAACCTGAAAATGTCAATGGACATAGAAAACAAGCAAACAAAGCATTTTTCACTAGCCAAAGGACCAGGAAGGGGAATCTTAGAAAGAAAGAAAATTCCTAGACCATAATTATACTATTATAGCCAAAGAACAAAGAACAAACTGTAAACCCACTCATGGCAGTAAGTATATTAAATGTAAATTGTCCAAATATACCAATTAAAAGACAAGGATGGGAAGAGTGGATTCAAAATGTAACTCAACTATATGCGGTCTACAAAAAAAAAGCACTTCAAATATAACAATATAGGTAGGTTAAAAGTAAAAGAATGAGAAAGATATATAAATATTAATTAAAAGAATACAAGAATGTCTATATTAATATCAGATAACATTATGTAATAGAAGAGTCAATCTGTCAAGAAGACATAGGAATCTTAATGTGTATGCATCAAGCAACAGAATTGCAAAATATGTGAAGCATAAACTGATAGAACTGAAAGGAAACAGAGATGTCCCATGATTATAGTTGGTGACTTCAACATCCCTCTCTCAACAATTGATATTTCTGTTCTAGAGAGAAAATCAGCAAGGATGTAGAAAACCTCAACACCACCATTAAACAGCAGGATCTAATTGACATTTATAGAACAACTCACTCAACATAGATAAAATTCTGGACCATAAAACACACTTGAGCACATTTGAAAGAAATAAAATCACACAGAATAGATTCTTATACCTTAAGGAATCAAATACACATTGATAACAAAAAGATAAGAATACCTTCAAATATCTGGAAACTAAACAACACACTTCTAAATAATTCAAGAATTGGAGAGAAACTCTCAAAGGAAATTAAAAAATACATTGAACTAAATAAAGAAATGGAACATATCAAAATCTATGGGCTATTTTTAAGGCAGTTCTGAGAGAGAAATTTACAGCACTAAATGTATATATTCAAAAAGATGAAAAAGTCTCAAACTAATAACCCAAGCCACATCAATAAACTAGAAAAAGGATAACAAAATAAATCCAACATAAGCAGAAGAAAGTAGTTAATAAAGATTAGAGCAGAAAACAATGGAATTGAATTGAAAACAGAGAAACAATACAGGAAGGTGAATGAAACAAAGAGCAGGTTATTCGAAAAGATCAATAAAATTGCCAAACCTCTATCAGGACTGTATCAGGGTTCTCCAGAGGGACAGAACAAGTAGGATATATGGAGGGGGATTTGTTAAGGGGAAGTGGCTCATAGGATCACAGAGGCAGAGAAGTTTTCCAATAGGCTGACTGTAGGCTGGAGAACCTGAAAAGCTGGTTGTGTGGCTCAAAACTGGTAGCATGGCTCAGCCCAAGTCCAAAACCTCAGAACCAAAGAAGCTGACAGTGCAACCTCCAGTCAGGCCCAAAAGCCCCTGAGAGGCCACTGGGAAAAGTCTCAGAGTCAAAACCTGAAGACGTAGAGTCTGATGTCCAAAGGCAGGAGTAGGAAAAGCCTTCTCTCTGGAAAGGAGAGAGAAGGCAGAGGGAGCAAATCCGCATTCTCTGCCTGTCTGTTCCAAATGGGCCTTCAGCTAATTGGATGGTGCCTGACCATAGTGAAGGTGAGTTTGTTTCTCTTAATCCACTGACTCAAAGATCAATGTCTACCAAAAACACTTGTACAGACACATGAAAAACAGTGCCTCATCACCCATGTAGGCATCCCTCAGTCCAGTCAAATTGACACCTGAAATTAACCATCACAAAAACTGAAAAGAAAAAGAGAAGACACAAGCATATCAGAAATAACACAGGGAATATGAATACAACCCAATTCTTTGAAAAAAAAAACTATTACAAATAACTAAATATAAAATGATAATTTGGATAGCCCTGTAACTGTTAAGTTAGCTAAATTCATAATTTTTAAAACTTTCAAAAAATAAATTTCCAGGCTCAGAAAGATATTTTCACTTTAACAATTCTTCCAAATCATTAATGAACAAATAGCATCAATTTTACATAATCTCTTCCAAAAAAAGATTTTAAGTGAGTTTAACAAGGCCACATAACAAAAGATAAATAGACAAAAATCTATTGTACTTCCATACACTACCAATAAGCACATGGACACTGACATATGTAATACCACTTCAATTTCTCAAAAATGAAATATCTAAGTATAAATCTAGCAACACATGTAAGGAACTCATTTTCTGTAAACTCCAAAATACTGATTACATACAACAAATAACTATAAAATGGTGATACATACAATGTACTGGGTGAGTCAACACAGTAAAGATGCCAGTTCTCTCCAAACTGGTGTACATCTTTAACACAACTACTATTAAAATCCAAGCAAAAATTTTGTAGATATGGACAAGATAATTCTAACATCCACATGGAAAGGTAAAATAACTAGAAATAGCTTAAACAATTTTTAAAAAGAAGAATATAGTGCAAGGAGTCAGTTTTCCTAATTTCAGGACGACTACACACACCCACACTAATCAACACTGTGTAGTATTGGTAAAGGGATAGACACATATGCCAATGGAACAGAACAGAGAACCCGAAAATAGAACCACACAAGCATGTTCAATTGATTTTTTGACAAAGATACAAAAGTTATTCAATTACTCAATGGAGGAAAGATAGTCTTTTAAACAAATGGTGATGGAGTAAATGGACACACATAGGCAAGAAAAAGTAAACAAGCATGCCCCTTAAAAACCCACACAAGACAAGGATGCCATCTCTCACAACTCATAGTCAACACAGTATTGGAATTTCGGCAAGGGTAATCAGGCAACAGTGAGAAATAAAGGGTATCCAAATAGGAAGAGATGAAGTCAAACTATCCCTGTTTGCAGATGACATGATCCTATATCTAGAAGATCCCATTGTCTTAGCCCAAAACATTCTTAAGCTGATAAACAACTTCAGCAAAGTATCATGATACAAAATTAGTGGACAAAAATCACTAACATTTCTATACACCAACAACAGGCCAACCAAGAGCCAAATCATGAGTAAACTCCTATTCACAATTGCCACAAAAAGAATAAAATACCTAGGAATATAACTGAAAAGGGAGGTGAAAGATCTCTACAAGGAGAAGTACAAACCACTGCTCAAATAAATCAGAGATGAAACAAACAAATGGAAAAACATTTCATGCTCATGGATAGGAAGACTCATTATCATTAAAATGTCCATACTGCCCAAAGCAATTTATAGATTCAACACTATTCCCATTGAACTACCATTTACATTCTTCACAGAACTACAGAAAACTATTTTAAAATGTATGTGGAACCAAAAAAAGGCCTGGATAGCCAAGGCAATCCCAAACAAAAAGAAGAAAGCTGAAGGCATCATTCTACCCCACTTTAAACTATACTGCAAGGCTACAGTAACCAAAACAGCATGGTACTTCTGCAAGAACAGACACATAGACCAATGGAACCGAATAGAGGACCAGAAATAAGACGGTACATCTACAACCATCTCATCTTTGAGAAACCTGACAAAAACAAACAATAGGGAAATGATTCTCTCTTCAATCAATGGTGTTAGGAATAAATGGCTAGCCATATGCAGAAAATTGAAAGTGAAACCTTTCCTTATACCATATACCAAAATTAAATCATGATGGATTAAAGACTTAAATGTAAAACCCCAAATTATAAAATCCTTGGAAGACAACCTAGGCAATACCATTCAGGACACAGGTATGAGCAAAGATTTCATGACAAAGACACCCAAGGTAATTGGAACAAAAAACAAAAATTGACAAGTGGGATCTAATTAAACTAAAGACTCTCTGCACAGTAAAAGAAACTATCAACAGAGTAAACAGACAACCTCCAGGATGGAAGGAAAATTTTCCAAACTATGTATCTGGAAAAGGTCTAATATCCAGCATCTATAAGGAATGTAAACAAAGTTACAAGGAAAAAAAAACATTAAAACGTGGGCAGGACATGAAGAGACACTTCTCAAAAGAAGACACACATGTTGCCAACAACCATGAAGAAAAGCTCAGCATCACTGATCATTAGAGAAATGCAAGTCAAAACCACAATGAGATACCATCTCATACCAGTCAGAATGTCTATTATTTAAAAGTCAAAAAATAACAGATGCTAGCAATGTTGTAAAGAAAAAGGAATGCTTATACACTGTTGGTGGAAGTGTAAATTAGTTCAACCACTGTCAAAGACAGTATGGTGATTCCTCAACGACCTGAAGACAGAAATACCATTTGACCTAGTGTCCCATTACTGGGTATATATCCAAAGTAATATAAACCATTCTATTATAAATACACATGCATACATATGTTCATTGTAGCACTGTTCACAACAACAAAGAAATGGAATCAACATAAATGCTCATAAATTATAGACTGGATAAAGAAAATATGGTACATGGACACCATGGAATACAATGCAACCATAAAAAGAATGAGATTATGTCCTTTGCAGTAACATAGATGGAGCTGGAAGCCATTATCCTTAGCAAACTAATGCAGGAACAGAAAACCCAATCTCGCATGTTCTTATAAATGGGAGCTAAATATTGGACACATAGAGGGGAAACAATACACACAGGGGCCTCTCAGAAGGTAGAGGGTGGAAGGAGAGAGAAGATCAGGAAAAATAACTAATGGGCACTATGCTTAATACTTGGGTGATTAAATAATCTGCATAACAAACCCCATGGCACATGTTTCCCTATGTAGCAAACCTGCACATGTGCCCCTGAATTTAAAATAAAAGTTTAAAAATAAAAAATAAATTAAAAATTTACAAAACAAAAAAAGAACAAATAAAAAAATAAAACCTGGCACATGTTTCACACTATGTACAAAAAGTAACTCAAAACGTGTCATGAGTTTAAATGCAAAACATAAAAAGGTAAAATTTAGAAAAAAATAAAATAAAATATTTCCAATCTAGAACTAGGCAAAAAGTTCTTACAATTAACATCACAAGCATAATCAATAAAAGAAAAACTTGACAAATTGAACTTTATCAAAATTAAAAACTGCTGATCTGTAAAAGACTGTAAAATAAAAAGACAAGCTATAGATTATTAGAAGAAAATATTTTCAATTCACATATCTGGCAAATAACTTTTATCTAAAATGTATACAGAATGCATAAAACTCAGCAGACAAAAAGTTAGATAATTGGGAAAAGACATAAAGAGGTATTTTACTAAGGAAGATTTGTAGATGGTAAATAAGCACATATAAAGATGGTCAATATATTAGCCATTGGGGAAATGCAAACTAAAGCCACAATAAGATATTACCACACACTATCAGAATGATTTTTTGTTCTTGTTTTGTTTAAGTGACAATGAGAGGTGAAGCTGGCTGGGCTTCTGGGTCAGGTGAGGACTTGGAGAACTTTTCTGTCTAGCCAAAGGATTGTAAATGCACCAATCAGCACTCTGTGTCTAGCTAAAGGATTGTAAACACACCAATCAGCACTCTGTAAAAACGCACCAATCAGCGCTCTGTGTCTAGCTAAAGTTTTGTAAACACACCAATCAGCACTCGGTAAAAACGGACCAATCAGCACCCTGTAAAATGGACCAATCAGCTATCTGTAAAATGGACCAATCAGCTCTCTTTAAAATGGACCAATCAGCAGGATGTGGGTGGGGCCAAATAAGGGAATGAAAGCTGGCCACGCCACTGGCTGGGGTCCTCTTCCGACGTGTGGAAGCTTTGATGTTTTGTTCTTGCAATAAATCTTACTGCTGCTCACTCTTTGGGTCCGCAGCATTTATGAGCTGTAACACTGACCGCAAAGGTCTGCAGCTTCACTCCTGAAGTCAGCAAGACCACGACTCCACTGGGAGGAACGAGTGGAACGAACAACTCTGGACGTACTGCCTTTAAGAGCTGTAATACTGACCGGGAAGGTCTGCAGCTTCATTCCTGAAATCAGCGAGGCCACAAACCCACCAGAAGGAAGAAACTCCGGACACGTCCGAATATCAGAAGGAACAAACTCCGGACGCACCATCTTTAAGAATTGTAACACTCACCGCGAGGGTCCGCAGCTTCATTCTTGAAGTCAGCAAGACCAAGGACCCACCAATTCCAGACACACCGCCACCACATGCTGGCAAAGATGTGCGGAAACTGGATCACTCATACATTGCTTATGCGTATGTAAAATAGTACAACCACACTGGAAAACAGTTGTCGATGTCTTTAAAAACTAAATATGCAATTACCATATAACCCAGCAATTTCTCTCCTGGACATTTATTCCACAGAAATGAAAATGTGTTTATACAAAAACCTGAAAGTGAATGTTGATAGCAGCTTTATTCATAACAGCCAAAACAGGGAAACAGCTCAGATGTCCTCCAGTGGGTCAATGGTAAAACAAACTGTGCTACATGTGCATAATTATTATTACTCTCTAATAAAAGGGAGAAGGCTGCTGATGCACACAGCAACCTGAATGAATCTCCAGAGTAAAAAAGCAAATCCCAAAAGTTGCATATGGTATGATTCTATTTATTCGACATACCTGAAGTTACATAATGCTAGAGATGGAAAACAGAATAACCATTGCCCAGAGTTAAGGGAGTGGTGAGACAGGAGAGAAGTGGGTGTGGCTATGTAAGGGCACACAGGAGGGAGCCTTTAGTGATGGAAATACCCTATATCTAAACTGTATCAATGTCAATATCTTGTTATTTCTTACAAGATGTTGTAAAATTCAATTTCATTGTAAGATACATATGCTTCCACACTAATCTCAGAGTAAAAGGTTTAATTTATTTATTTATTTATTTATTTATTTATTTTTGAGATGGAGTCTTGGTCTGTTGCCCAGGCTGAAGTGCAGTGGCACAATCCCGGCTCACTGCAAGCTCTGCCTCCCGGGTTCACTCCATTCTCCTGCCTCAGCCTCCAGAGTAGCTGGGACTACAGGTGCCCCCCACCACCCCTGGCTAATTTTTTATATTTTTAGTAGAGACGAGGTTTCACCGTGTTAGCCAGGATGGTCTTGATCTCCTGACCTCGTGATCTGCCTGCCTCAGCCTCCCAAAGTGCTGGGATTACAGGCGTGAGCCACCGCACCTGGCCAAAGGTTTAATTTTTTTAAGTCAAACATAGGCTTGTTGGTTACAGCTAGTCTTAGAATTGTACATGCTCAGTTCCACCATACGCTGTAGGGGAAAGATGTGCCTCTGTAGGCTTACTTGGCATAGGAAACAGATGTTCCACCATCTGTACAGAGACCATCCTTCAGGCTGCCTACACTCTAGTATTCCTTCCAGACCCAGAAGGTTTTGACTCACGACTGTATTTTGATCTTTCACTCACCCTAAATGTACATACAAATTCTAAGTCATGTATACATACATACAAGTGCTAAATCATCATAATTCCTATTTTCCTCTCAAATAAAGTTTTAAATCAGGAGTATGACACTGCCAAACACTGAGTGACTATAGCAGCACATATGCCACAACAGCCACAACAGATGGCTTACATGTCATGGTTTCTATCCCCAAGTTCTTCTGCCTAGTAAACCTATTAGTAAGCATGTTACAAAGAAGTATTATGGAATCGGGAGGAAAAGAAAGCAGGTTTTGTTGGCTAATGAGATCTCAGAGAATGAAAAAGTAGCATTCCACAAGGGTACATATCAGGTCCAATATTATAGCATCTAGATCCAAGGACTAAGAATCCTTTGTGGACATTTTGTTACTTTGTTTTTGTTTTGGTTTGTTTGGTTTGGTTTGGTTTCATTTGGTTTTGTTTGGCTTGATAAGAGGGATAAAGAAGGCCACAAATGCTTTTGAGAATCCAGTGAAAGTCTGGACCCACTTCCAACCTCCAAAAAAAATACACACATACACATTTTTCAGTTGATTGAAACTGTATAATCACTGCTGGAACCATTTTCTCTGACCTGTTTTAGAGAAATGCTCATTCAAGATATGATAATGTTCAAATGTCCAGATAACAAATATCAAACACATCTCTAAAATCCTTGAGCTGATGATAGCCAGATTTGTTCCCAGAATCTTTGGAGACTGTTATTAATTATAAATATCTCCACGTTATTGCATTGTTTTCTTCCCATATTCAAAGTGCTGATCTTCCTTACCTGTTCAGGTCCACCGAACATGCAGACTTAATAAATGATGTCTTGTCAATGCCATGCATTAATTGGCTATTGCCATAATAATGCTGTATAATCAACCATCTCAAAACTGGGTGTCTTACAACAACTAGCATTTCCCAAGTCTGCAGGTCTGTATCTGGGGTGGCTTTGGCTGGGCTCAGCAGGCAGTTCTGCTTTAAGCTAAACATCAGGTAGACTTGACATGGCTTGGGTTTGAGCATGATCCAAGTGTCTCTTGTATCCTTGGGCCAAAGGCTGCTTAGAGAAGGTTCTAATAGTAAATGTCAGAATAGTGAAAGACAAACCAAGCCACACAGATCCAGTTAAAGCTTCCACTTGCATCACATCTGTTAACATTGCATTGGCCAAAGCCAAGTCATATGACTGAACCCAGCATCAATTAAGTGGCCAAAAATGTCTACAGTGGAATAGGAGAATGGATGTTTGCTGAGCACTAATATAATACTTCACAAATCACAAACAACTTTCTAGTATTTCCCAAGGCTCTCATGATGCCAGGTGCTCTAGTGAAATTTCACCATACTCAAATGACTAAAACAAGAAATCAAAAAATATAATTACAGCTGAGAACATTTTGTATGACTCAACTATGTTTTAGAGCAGGGCTTCTTAACCTTGGCACTATTAACATTTAGGAATGCATACTTCTTTGTTTCTGGGAGTAAGGTGGTGCAGGGGGTGGCTGTGTGGTTCACTGAAGAATAGTTAGCCACATTCCTGGCATCTACCTACTAGATGCCAATAGTTCTCTCAAGTGATACTAACCAAAAATGTCTTCAGGCATTGTCAAGTGATCCCTGGGGGTCAAAATTGTCAGTGTTTGAGAACCACAATTTAAGAAAAATAGTCAACATCCAAGATACAATAAATATTGTCAATTGCCAAATAGAAAACATCAGTAATAAAATATATATTCTTGGTATCAGTATAAAAAAGTTTGCATTCAAATAAAATTGACCAGGTATTTTTATATGGTAGGCATTGGCAAATCCTTCTTAAATCCTTATTAACTACTCTGCCAGATGGGTAGCATTATTTCATGCTATTAAAGTTGAAAACAAGCTATAGTTAAATGAATTGTTCAAAGCCACAAAGATAAAAAGAGTAAAACTTGGATTTGAAATTTGATGTCTTCAACTTAAAATCCGCTTTGAGTAATAACACATGCTCTTATAGCATTTATAAAGGCTCCTGATTATTATAACCATTTCCACTCTGCTTTATTGGGTGTCCCTTTTCTATAAAGATGTGTGAGAACCAAAGAGTTCATAGAAAATAAGCCAATGTTTTATGTAATAAATAATTTAACAATTTATGTAATATTATGTAATGTAATAATTAATTATAAAAAGTTCATAGAAAACAAGGTAAGGTAAGAACCTCGAGCAGAACCTAAAAACAGATCTTGGAAAGAGCATACTAGGTGAATGGCCAGTGAAATGGCAAGAACAGAGGGCCTGAGTTGGGAGTTTGCTTGTTGGCTTATAAAAATAAGCCAAAGTTTTATGTAATATTTTAATTGAGTGCTCTTTATTACTGACATCACAAACACTAAATGATAAATTATTTATAAAGTCTTCAACCACTAAGAATAGTAGTTACATCATATGTACATTATAAAGAGTACTTGTTTTCTTATCAACTAAACCCACGATCATCATCATCATCATTAAAAGCATAATTTTAAAGTGGAAATAGTACCAATTTACCTTTTTTAGCTGGTTTATAGAAAGCATCTCAAAAATCAAAACTTCTACCCATGTGATTCTCATTGTTTGGAATATAACCTCTGGGGAGCTGTAGAACTATCTTCGATGTCTAAGTTTTTGCCACAACTCACTTTGAATTTATACAACTCCTTCAAATCCATAAGTGGATTATTGGATAATCCTTCACAATATACTGTTGGTCAGACAATATTTCACTGCTCCAACAACCCCTGCCTTAGTTGAGGCCACACTCTTCTTTCTCCTAGATAATTACAGTAGACCTAACTAATCTCCTTCCACCTTTGCCTGCTACAGACTATTCCCCGTGCAGCAGCCAGAGTGAGCTTTTGTAAATATAAATCAGGAAATGTTCATCACACTCCTACTTTGAGCATTCCAATGGGTTCCCACCACATTTAGAATAAAACTCAAATTCCTTTCCAAAGTTTGAAAGACCTAATAAGCTGGCCAACAGTAACATTTCTGCACTCATTCACAGCTTTT
This sequence comes from Homo sapiens, assembly GCF_000001405.40. NCBI lineage: Eukaryota > Metazoa > Chordata > Mammalia > Primates > Hominidae > Homo > Homo sapiens. The sequence continues at coordinate 12,862,625 of NC_000020.11, forward strand.
TTCCCCTTCATTCAGTGTTCTGCAGCCACTCTGACCCTGCTATTCCTCAGGCAAAACAAGCAAACTCCCAACTCAGGCCCTCTGTTCTTGCCATTTCACTGGCCATTCACCTAGTATGCTCTTTCCAAGATCTGTTTTTAGGTTCTGCTCAAGGTTCTTACCTTACCTTGTTTTCTCTGCAAAGCCTTTCCTGACCTTTGTGAAGAAGCATCTCTCGACTCTACCCACCCCCTCACTTTGTTCTTTTATAGCACCTCTTACTAACTGGCATCATATTGCACATGTTTTCTGCTCTTTTATTTATTAACTGTCTTTCCTATTAGAAGGTAAGCCTTACATAGGCAGGAACTATGTTTTGTTCATTATTCTATCTCCAGGACCTAGGAGCATACCTGGTATGTTGTAGGTCTTCAATAAGTATATGATGAGTAAATGATGAATGAAAGCTAAATATTAGCTGGAGACTCACAATATTTGGAAATTGAGGTAAGGTTTTCTTAAGTGGCTCTGCCACCCTACCACTACCATCCCCTACACACCTATAGATTCCAGAACGCTTCCCAAGGCTTCTGAGATTCTCTAAAGCTTTATGTTTTCAGGGCATCTCTAGTTCTGACTTCCTGATTTCTTAGTTTGTGAATCATCTTGTCATCCTCTCCATGCCGTCTTTGCCTCACACAAAAAAATAACCTTCTCATATAAGGCAACTTGTGTTTTTGGTAAACTTTACCAAAGACTTATAGACAATCTAAGGTAGGTTTATACTGAGACATTGTAAAGAAAACCTTTAGAGTAAACAGGAAACATTCTTCTTCTTATGAAGACTTTAGCCTCCACCCTATAGAAGACATCACTCATGGGTTCTCCTAAGCCCACAGCAAACTTCTGGCCCCCGCTTTACCCCACCCCCCGCACCCATCCTCTCCAGAGTTAAAACAAATTTCTCTCTTCACCTCACACAGAGCAATTCAGTCTTCTCTTTTATTGCCTTTGATCTTTCTGTCATCATGCTTCAGGGTCTCTCTCTTCCCATTCCAAGAAGCTCTTCAAGACATTCTTGAAGACATTCAAGACATTCAAGAAGACATTCAAGACATTCAAGAAGACATTCAAGACATTCTTGATAGACCTATTGCTTCTGTGACTATAAGAGGCTCTAATATTCCACATGGCCACAAAATACTGCCATCTGAATAAATATAATATCTAACCATTCTTCATTCTTCTTTTTCACGTGTAAATATATGCAAACACCCACACATACACACAGATGCACATATATATGTTATTGTGATTCATAAAAGAAAAATAATCAGGAAGCATCACTGAACTCACATGAACTCACAGTAAGTGTTGGTCATGGAGTATTTTGTCAATTAATCAGTTCTGAAAGATCAATTTTAATCAGGCAGATATCTATAAGACTTCCTGATGTTAAAAGCAGTTTTCTCATATTTGAAAAGACTAATAGCTTACTGCCTGTACAGTATCTATTTTCTCAAATAGAACCTGAAAATTAAGAATGGAAAGGGACAAAGATAGCCATCCTTGTAGATTCTTTTTATGCTTGTCCAATATTTTCACCTCTGAAATTCCTACAGGGATGAAGAAAATATAGGGACTGTCTGTTTACCTAAATGACATGGGCATATTGTTAATGAATAAAGTTATATGCAGATCAATATTTAGTGTTTCATCTAAAAATAAGAATATGTTTATATTATCATTTGCTTGTGAGACATAAGGTCTTGCTTACCCTGCCCACTGCCTGGTAGTACAGGGATACCTAAAACTTCAGGAAGTCGCAGTCATGGTGGTGGTGGGAGGGCTAATGCCTAACATTACCTTGCACCTAAATTGCTCCAGCAGGATTGTCACCCAGGCCATCCTGCATTCTTTGCTCTATTCTAAATAGTTGAGGGCCTCTCACTGTTTGCTGTTGCATCTGCCATACTATGTTGGATCTTTGGGAAGAGTTGACAGCTATTCCCACATCTTCTAAAATACTGTTTCCAGTATCTCCCATGTTCTGAAATATTCTATTGAGGCACATCACTCATTACTTGCCAGTAAATTCAATTGTCTAATAAGCATCTTAGATCCCAAGGCCAAGCATATATGCCAATGAAATCTCCCCTCCTTCTAGTATGACACGGTATCCCTAATAAGTAAAAAAGGCTAAGACCAATTCTGAATACCTGAATTCAATAGTCTTAACCTCTGGTTTGTAGCTTCAGACACTGACTATGGCCAACTCCACTCACTGCTTAGGTTCACCAATGAGGAAAAGGGCCACTGACTTGATTGATCCTTATGACTATACATGACACTTTTCAGGCTGGGAAATGTAGTTCCCCTGAGCTGTTATCCCCCCATGGATCAACAGCCTATCCTTTTCTACCTGAGTTGAACAAAATCTGAGCCCAGGGTTCAGACGGTCAACTAGTCATTTCAAATTTTCCTACAACGTCTTCTAGGACCCTATGCATCCCTCTGGCCCAAGTGTGAAAGAATAATCCTCCTGGTATATGCTTGCCAATTAAGGACCTTCAGAAAGAAGACACGAAAACAGGAGTAGAAGCTTCAGGGATTTATTGAGGTAAAAACTGTGAAATATAAAAGGGTGAGAGAAAGCCTTTGGACCATTATTCAGGCCTGATGCCATGAATGGAGAAGGGAGAGAAAGGAGGATAACACAGAAAGAGGCTACAACTGTGATGCAGCTCTGAGAAAGTCTTAGGCATCGCAGTGGGGAGCTCCAATGCAAAGAATGACTGTAGAAGAGTCTCTCAATAAATAGAAAAGCCCAGACCCTAGTCCCTCCGCAGCATGTAGACAATGACTGGAGGCAGCTTGGGAACAGTGTGCTCTCAGCTCAGATGCTGCAGGAGATCTTGAAGGTGCTACAGTAGGCTGTTAGCTATTTGCATTCCTTTCAGCAGTTTTTTCTTGTAGAGATATCTGAGCAATGTACATTCATGGTTGTCCCAGTAGGCAACATAGCACTCTATAATCTTGGTTGTGGCCTAATTCCGAGATGGGGGATAATTGTGCTGATGACATAATATAGGATCTGTCAGACACCAAGGCCAAGTAGCCAACAAGATCCCCCATGCCTCAAAGATCCAGAAAATTAACCTAAATTCTAGGCTCATCTTAAACAACATAATTTAATTATCTTTTGGCCAGATAGGGAGCATCTTAGCCTGGACCAATGCACCACCTGCATCTGCATCAGCACCAGTGGGGAGCTGGAACATTCAGTGCCCCATACATGGGAGCAGGAAGAAGGATTGTCTAGAGCTCTCAGCAACCTGGAACCTGTCCTCTGGGCTTGGGTTGGGCTTTCTGAGCCTCTCTGTTGGGAGAGGGCCTCAGGTGTTACTCATGGCTCCCATTTTCTTATTTACATCATAACCATAGTCCAGTATCTCCTATAGCAATACTAGAGACTAGCCTCATGATCTTACAGATTAAAATGATATGGGTTCCTGACTGAGAGGGTAATTATGCAAAGCATCTGTCCCTGTGATAAGGGGTGAGCTGAGATATAACGTTTAATTCTATTGATTCCCTGTGGGCTGGCTCCTCAGAAAAGGTAATAACCTCTGTAGGGCTCCATGAAAATTGTCCGCTTAAGGCAATTAATCCTGGAAAGGACTGAGGTAGAACACTTGGTCCTGATGTAGAGCAATTAACTATTGTCACATAGCTTCAGCCACAAGATTTGGACCCTAGCCCTCTGATGGTGTCAGTGGAGGGGATCCATGTACCCCACCACCTACTGGCTGGAGACCTAATCCCGAAATCTGACAACTGACCTTTCAGGATCCTTGTCTGCTATCCCACAGAATAATGGGGGACCACACAGGCACTAACCTGTTATGTCTCTGTAAGTTTCTCTCCCAATAAGTGTTTTTCCAGATCACCTGTTGTGTTTGCTATCAGGTCATTCACCCTTGGTTGCTATGCAGCTTCCCCCTGCATATAAATAAACCAGCGTATGGCACATGAGAAATCCACAAAAGTGGTAGACCATTGTGGAAAAGGAGTAGTGGGTTGATCTGAACAGAGGTAAAAAAAAGATTTCTCAATGTGTATATTTGATGTTTGAATGATAAGGATATGCCATCTATTTTTTAAAAATATATATAATTAAAAGGAGAAAAGGTTAAATCAATAACTGCTGGGAAACAATTATTAAAGTAAATAATTTAAATAAATGTCATACCGTTTTCTGCTCCAAATTTCTTAGCATGGATTTGAAAAGGACATTAACAACCACAAAAATAAAACATACCATGTGCAACAAGACAACCATCCCAACAGTGAAAGAGCATCACAATGGCGAAGGAGTGGTGCATATGTTTTCTTAAATAACACATTAGGATGCAATTTTCACTGAATCTGAAAAAGTTTTTAAACTCAGAGAGAAAAACTAACTAAAAGTAAGAAAAAGTTCTACTGCTTAAGAGTGGCAGAAACCTAAACATCACACAGATATTTCCCCCTGTTGGAGGTTAGGAAGCTGCAATTCACATTCTTCCTCCTAGCTCTTTACAGCCTAGTTGGAGAGACAGGCAACTAACAGGTAAGTAAAATGCAGCGGGATATACATGAAAAACAATTCCTGATAGATTGTTGATATATGTGCGAAAGAGAAAAAAAAAAGTCTCTAGAAAAATGTGTCCAAAACTATCTTGTCTACTTCCAACTAGAGATAGTTTTCTTAAACAAAGCGAAAGAGTAATGACCATAGAGGAAACAGCTAATCAATTGGATAACATTAAAAATAAGAACTTCTGTTCACCAAAAGACACAATTAAAAGAGTAAGAAAGTAAGCCACACAGTGGGAAACTATATTTTTATTACATGTACCTGACAAATCACTCCTACAAATTAATAAGAATAAAAAAGATGCTCCAATAGATAAATGAGCAAAAGACTTCAACTGGTATTTACAAAACAGGACAACTATATGACCAATAAACATTTGTAAAGCACAAAAAGGAAATGATAACCACAGTGAAGACACCACTATACAACCACCAGAATGACTCACTACTGGCAATGCCCATTGTTGACAATAATGGGAAACAATTATAATCTACGTACACTGTCAGAGAGAGCAAATTAGCAAGATCATTTTGGAAATTTGGGGTAGTATATACTTAAAGCCAGATTCATGCCTACTGTACATTTCTCAAATATGTACCCAAGAGAAATGAGTGTATATTTTCACCAAAAGGCAGGAGCATAAAAATGTTCAGAGCACTATTATTTGCAAAAACCAAAATCCAGAAACAACACAAATGTCTAACCACAGGGGAATGAATGGACACATAGTACTTTACTCATACAATGGAATACTATGCAATAATGAAAATAAAAGAGCTACAGCTACACACAACATGGAAAAAATTCACAGACACACTATTGAGTAAGAGAAATCAGAAATAAAAGTATTTATAGTGCCCAATTCCATTTGTACGAAGTTCTAAAGCAGACAAATGTAACTATAATATTAGAAGTCAAGATTGATGATTACTTTTGGGAAAGAGGAATTGTATGGATTGGAAGAAAGCCTTAAGAGGTCTTCTGAGGTCCTGGTTATGTTCAGCTTCTTGGCCTGAGTGGTGATCATACGGGTAGCTTCACTTCAGGATAAGTAAGCCATGCACTATGAGTTATGCACTTTTCTGCATGAATGCTACATTTAAATGAGAGAGTTTGAAAGCAAATAAAGTGTAATGAGTGCTTTGATAGATTTTACTGAGGACTCATGTGGGAGGAAACCCTGACACTGATTTAGATGACTGGGGAAAAGTTCCTGGACAGCTACACTGAATCCTGGAAGACTGATAGGAGTGAGCTCTGTCAATGGCAGTAAAGAGTACTCCAAGAAAAAAAAAAAAAGCTGGAGGTGAGAGAGATTGTAGTGCCTTCCAGGTACTGCAGCTATTTCTTGTGGCTGAAACACAGGGCTTTGGCGTTATGAGACAGGAGTAAGAAGAGAAGAAATGGGAGGGCTAAGGGAGTTGAGATTATAAAGGGCCTCCTAAGCCTTGTTAGGAAGTTTGGGTTTGCTCTTTGAGCAATCAAGAGTTGGTGTTGAATAGGGAGAAATATGATTAGGTGTGCATGTAAAGTCATCAGTGTAGCTATAATAGAGTATTGAGGATAGAGATGAGAGCTTCTGGAAAAAAATCTAAGCTAAAGGAAATAAAATCAGAGAGATAGAAAGGAGTGGAGGCTAATAAGGGCATATTTTACAGTAGGCTTTGGTATGTGATTGACTATGTGGCATATTCCATATTTTAGCCTGAGGTAGATGGATAGGTCTAGGACAATTTCCATATTTTAGCCTGTGCCATCTTCTGAGAGGAGAACACAAAAGGACAAACGGTTTGGGTGAAAATATGGGGTTAATTGACCAGCTATAACTGGTACTTCTGCATGTTAACACCACAGTGAGATTCTAAACACCCCAAACAGACTCTTATTCTTTATTGCACTTTTCTAAATCTCTTAGCAGTTTTTATAAGTCATTTCATTTCAGTCCCTCAATAGGCTCTAACATGGTCAGCCAGGCATTATTGTTCCACAGACAATGACTTCAGCTTGTAGACTTGTGCGGCCATTTAGAGTTGGCAAGCCATGATGCAGGACATGGAAGGGTGAAGTTGAAGCTCTACTATTATTCCTTCAGGGCCACATTGAGGAACCCCAGGGAAAGCCACTCTTCAACACCATACCTCTCGCTCTGTGGCTCTTGCCTGCACCAACATAAAGGTCAACCAAAGCAATGCATTTTATCATGTTCAAATATTAAAAAAAAAAAAAAAGCTCAAGAAGGCTTTATTATTGTTGCATCTGAGAAGCATCTGTAACTTATAGAAAACCCCAAAAGAACCACCAGTCAACTTCCTGGACTAACCCAGCCCTTGCTTGCTCTCCTCTCTAGTTGTCTAAGCTAATCTGAGATGATCCTTGGCCCTAGCTTGTGGAGCTATGCTAATTTTCGTGGCTACTGAGGCCCAGTTCATTGATTTTCCATGAGGGTAGCTGTGTTCAGACAGGTAGGTGGTGTGGCTATTTGTCCAATAGCATTAAAACAAACTGATTGACAGCTTCATCTCTTTGTCATGGACACCCACATGCCAAGTATTGTCAAACACTGGGAACACTTTGGCATCTCATGCTTAATGTCTCCCATTAACCCACAGATACAGATTAAGGTGATGAATTTCATGTCAACTCATTTTATTTATCACCTCTAAGATGGGCTGTTAAAGAACCACAGTGGTCAAATTGCTCATATATCTGCCACAAGCCAAATAGTCAGGAAAACTCCGCAAAGACCTGACATTTGAACATTTTCTTTCCAGAGAAGAAATAGCTGAACAATGCCATGTCTCTGAGTTTAATACAAAATCAAATTTAAAACTAAACATTTTTCTACTAATAAACAGAAAAGAATATATTAAGTGGGAAACGTTAATATCATTGGACTATTTGTTTACTGGGTGATGGTGTGGAATGAGAGAAGACGTATAATTATGGGTCATTTTGTCTAAAAGAAAATTCAAAATGAATAAGATTCAAAGACTTAAATGGAAAATTAAAATGTCTAAGTGCAGACATTGAAGCCTTAGGAAGCTTACTATCTATGAACATGTCCTCCAAAACAAATAATTCAAGGCTTGCCGCCAAAATCCATGCTATTTCTACATTTCTACTCGTTGTTTGAATAGGCATATGGTACATGAGTGAACCTAAGGGAATTAATTTTGTATCATCTGTCACCCATAAACTTATAGTAGAAACAAAATTGGAAGCCGGGAAACAGTTTCATCTGAGACTCGGCAAGTGATAACTGGATCATTGCCCAGTGGATCATTGCAGGAGACTCGAGGCAGGACATGGAAAGAGACTGTCACCAAGAAGCCATTGATCAGAGGGTGGATGTACCCAAGGGAGAGGCATTAGATTCCAAAGAGTAATTTAACTCTCCACTTTCATTTGAAGATGTCCAAGCACAGAATGTACCTCTACATCACTGTCTAGCTGGAAATGACCCTGCTTATTATCTAGCCTCATCCTTTCATTTTACAGAGGAAGCATCTAAGGACAGAGACACTGAGAAATGGAGCCAAGGTCATATAGCCGTTCAGGGGGCTGTGCTATGAATAGAACTCAGGACATCTTGAGTTTGTATTTGCCAATCTTTCTAGTACCTGTGCCTTATGCATTACAGTCACTGACCCCATAAATCTTTACTGAACATCATGTGTGATTAAGGTGCTGTGCTAGATGCCACGAGAATGATTTAACACTGCCTGTCCTCATTTGGATCAAATAAATTAACTGGTCTTTACCAACCAGTGTGTGGTCCACTGGGAATTTAACATCACTGAGACTTATTCATTCATGGCATTCCTCTCCAAAGATGACACTTCTCTAAATGCACAAACATGTTTGGGTGAGTGTCCCTTCCATGACACAGATCTGTACCTTCTAGGATACAAAGTGGGCAAAGTTTATCTGCACTGGCACCTCCTATTTGATAAAAACACAACAGGCCGGCTCTCTTTTCATTTGGGGAAACAGAGCTGCTTCCTAGCAGGCTTCATGAGGTCATGATGTTCTAGAGTGTTTATTGCCAAATAAATTTTTCTGACCTCAATACTCATGCTTGGCCATATTTATGTAGCAGCATCTCAACCCTTGGGCCATACTGCTTCAGCTTACCTATAAGGAGGACATGAAGGAATGTGTGAAACAAACACTGGGTCAAGGGTAAGACCTGAAAGAGCACAGTAAGCCTGATCACCTCGACATATCACAGCTATTAAATCCTTCTATTACACTATTAAATATTTAGGGAATCTTGTCATTACATTGTTAAATATGCTTCCATTTTTTTAAGCACTGCCCTCTCCGTTTAAATGCAAATACCTCTGAAAGGGTTAGTACACCAAACTTTTAATTTAGATCATTAGAATTTGCTTCTCCTCAATAGGAGGGAGCAGTGAATTAAGGACCAAGGACACCCGTGGCAGGGATGGAGTAGTCACTGTGATAACCTCAGACGTGTCTAATTCTGTAAAACTAGGATTCGGATCTCAAGGAGCAGCAATTCTGTACTAAGAAATTGGTTCTGTGCAGCCTTCTCTGGGGGTGATAATAACCATAATCATCATCATAATCATTAAGGCAACTGATATTTATTGGGGGCTTATTATGTTCCAGACACTTAGCTGAGAGCATGATACTATTGAGGCCACAGACAGGTTCGTTTGAGAATCTTAAATCTTCACTTATGACCCCTGCCAGCCTGCCAAAAGACTATGAGCAGATCTTAGTATACACCTCTTTCTTTTACCTGTAGACCAGGAGTACTCATTTTCTCTTTTGTGGAATTACCGAGATAAAATATATTCATTGTAAATATTGGTTACTCATTTAGCTGGTATGAGGTTATGCCTGGACAAGAAATACCACTTTCCTTGACTATCACAATTCAAGCATGGATCTTAGAGCCAAACTGCTCAGGTTAGAATCCTGGCTGTGTGTCCTCAGCTTCCCCATCTGTAAATTGGGGTGTAAAATGCCACTGCATAAGGTTTTCATGACAATTAAATGAGTTAACATATGTAAAGTGGCTGGCACATAGTATGTGAGCCTAAGGGCTAGCTCTTATTATTACATTATCATTATGCCAAAATATTGACTATGTAGAGTCTTGGCATAATGAAGGATGCAGAGCTGTGGACAGAGAGGATGTCTTTGCTCTCAGGCTTTAGATCTTCCCCTTAGTCAATGAGACTTTTCAAGCCAAATGGCCTCAATTGTCTATCAGCCACACGGTGGATCCAGGAACCCCCCTGCAAGGCTGTCCAGGACCTCTCCAAACTGTGCAGCATGGCCACTTTCTCTTCAAGGCTTTGCCAGTTTTCAGAAGCATTTCTGGGAGGGCAGCTACAGACCCTCCTCACTATTTTTCCCTGTTCTCATTCATGAAAAAAGGAAAATGCTTTTCTAGTCTAAAGATGGAAGAAAGATCTGGTCATCTGTATTTTTCTTAACTGTGAATGTTTAATTTTTCCTAGAAGTCTAGGGTTTAGGACACAAAAGCCTGGGAGATCTGCAGGCTATTTCTGGTTTCCAGGCCCTGCCTTAGGCATCCCTCCTCTGAAGCAACTGCCACCCGCATGATGGGGGAAAATTCAGTGAAAAAAGAAAAGAAGAAAGGTGAATATCTCCATACATTATTCTACCCTACTTAAACAAGAGGCTGTTTCTTAAATATGTAATTGCGAGTATCAGCACCTCAGTAGAAAGTCAGGTTCCCACTGCTTGTTCAGTCCTGAGAGCCCCTGAACACTGCCCTCTTGCCATTGCTGTCTTTTATTCTGTGTCCAGCATTGGACCCTGAAGTCTGTCCAGAATAGGAAATCAGAGTCCGGTGTGTTGCAGGTGCTGAGGGGACACATGCATCCGTTTCCATCCCTGGTAAGTGCCTGGTAAGTTTCTGCAGACCCGGGAATCCCACTTCTCAAATTGGCCCCCGACTGCTCAGCCACATTATCAATCCCTCCTGCTACCATCAGCAAATGAGGACGGGGAATGATTCCAGCTATGAACTGGACTCCTGGCAGGTTTGAATTCTAGGAAGGTCTGGTTGCTGCTGACTCCAACTTTGGTAGAAGTCAAGAGACCATTCCTTGCTTCAGCCAAGAAACAGAGTTCAAGTAAACCTGAAGCCCCACTCTTTATTTCCTGTCGAGACACTCCCTCTATCAGGGGTGTGTGTGTGTGTGTGTGTGTGTGTGTGTGTGTGTGTGTGTTACAGGTCTGAGTCTGATGTTGAAGGTTGAAATCCACAGAACATCTGGCTGCTGGGGAGGGAGGATGGCTAGAAGGTGAGGGAGGACAAGAACAAACTGGAAACTCACAAACGTGAGCTGGAGACCACAGAAATGGACTGAAACCAACCTCAGTTCTCATTTCTTCTGACCTTGGTCAGCTTCCTAAGACAAAGGAAGGACAGGGAATGGATCTGAAGGGACAAAGGGAAATCACTGGGCTTCTTAAATCGGTTAATTCTTTTTAGGAATCATCAGATATAAACGACTGAAGGGTACATAGTGGCCGGAGCAGCAAAGCTGCAGAAATATCTGAAGCTGTCACAGCAGCAAAAAGCAGGAGGTAAGGACACAGTTCAGTCTGACATAACTGCCCCTATCCTCAGCAGTATTGCAAGATACCTTACAATGCAGAAAAAGGCTAGGGCCATATCTAAATTTTAGGTAGAAATTGATGATGGATGTTTCCTGCAAGCTGACATAAATGTTATTACTCTTTTGCTCTAACGCTTTGGAAGCCACAGGGAAATTGCAGAATAAAACAAGTTTTAGGCTCTTGAGTCATCTGCCAATCTCCTGGCAGATATCTTTACATCTCAGAGCTGCCCCAAAGCAGTAGCATTATTTTTATGTATGCACATATAAAGAGGCATAAAAATAACACAAACATAAAAATAGTGCTGTGGCCCATCAGCCATGTGGCTCATCTTTGGGGTTATTCTAACCATGCTGTTCATCCGCATTGACTCACGCTTCAGAGAGAATATCTGGAAAAGGAGTGGGCAGAGCAGCCTGAGATCCTTAGACTTTACAGAGTGGCTGTGACCCACCCAGAAAATAAGCCATTTCCCTCAAATAAATTGAGTGCTGTAAAAGAAAGAAAATAACCCTTCCAGACCCATGAAGGCAAATCAGGATGATAGGAGAGAATAAAACAAAACAGAAAAGCATATCAGGTGCTAATGTGTGTGTGTGCGTGTGTGTGTGTATATATATATATATATATATACACATACGCACATGCATACATATACATACATGTATATATATACATACACACACGCATATATATACACACACACACGCATATATATACACACATGTATATATATATGCACACACGTACACACACACATACATAGAGAGACAGTGAGAGAGAGAGGACAGAGAGAAAGAGATACAGTATGATAAACGCTAAGAAAAAAGAGGAAGTACAGTAGTGCTGGGGTATAGGGACCACCAATTCTGCCTTGGAGAAATATATATATATATATATGTTCCTGAAATATAATAGGCTGAAACATATATATAAGCCTGAAACATAACGGGCTTTCAATAAATATTTGCTGAATTTTTCATTTTTGTTGTTATATACACTAAGTATAAAATAGAGTGCTAAACTGAAAATTCTCAGGCGTCAAACCCTCAGAGTGGGAAAAGCCTGTTGCCTGCAGTCCCTGAACAAGAATCCAGGTAGAGGTGGCCTAGTAAGGTTTGCCCAGCACTTTCCTAGAGACCGCTGATGGAAATAAATGGTGACCTTTCCCAGACAACATTGCCATATGAGATGACTAGATGGTGACCTTTCCCCGACAACATTGCCATATAAGATGACTAGAAACGTGCTAGGCCCCTGCCACAGATCAGGGTCCATCCAATCCAGAGCTATGCCCTGCTATGATGACAGTGCTTTGTTCCTGGAAGAATATGAAAGCCTCTGCCACCTTGATTTCACCCTGTGACACTGATCACTCTGAGCTGCAGGTGCTCAATGTTTGGTTGGAACATGTCACTTTTCGTATTTATTTCTCTTTCTGTCTCCTGTGCAAACCCTTTTTTGTTTATGGAAATCAGGCCTGGACTGAGAGAATAAAGGAAGACTGACTTTTCATTCTATATCTATCCTTTTTTTTTAAGTTGTTTTAAAACTTTTTCCTGTGAATTGTATAACATTTTCAATTAAAAAATGAGTTTAAAAGACCAAAAATCTACATGTTGCTTTCCACCAGTCTTCCTACCAATATTATTAGCAAGCGCTAGACCCAAGCACGACTTGCAGCCGGCTGGGAAGATTTGCTTTGATTCCAGCCTCTGACTCAATCCCATTTTTGCTACAAAGTAGGGCAACGAGATATAGCAGCAGGACTGGCCTCCTTTGCTGCATTTATTCCAGAGCTGCATGACTGTGAGTTTCTTTAACTGCAGAAGGCCTAGTGCACAGGACACAGCTCTGTGTGGCCCCCCTGTGGAGTTATTCTCTGACCCCCTGTCCGAGGTTGGGTAAGAGGAATGGATATGAAAGGCTAAACTTATTTGGCCTGTGCTTTCAACACCTGTGTAGCAATCCTCTTACCCAATATATTGAGTAGACAGAAGCAAAAGGATAGTCAATTATAATACGACAGCCCATTCTTTCATCAGATCCAGAATTCTCACAGCTTTCTATTTCAACTGACATTTGTTCCTTTTTAAATAAAGACCTTGTGCAAGCTTTATGAATATTTTTAATTAATAGATGCCTTCATCAAACACAAGAATAATTAACTGTTAAACTCACCAGAGAGCCCCCTAAAATTAGACTGATTATCTGGACCATAATTTGCTTTTTCAACACCACAGGGCACCCCCAGGACTCCAAATGCTTCGGTAACTCCCCCACATGCCTTTGCTCAGGGCATCTGAATCCTGCTCTGCTCCCTCCCTTCTAGAAGTGCACCTTCCTTTCTCCTAGCTTGTGACTTCTCTGCTTATTTGACCTCTCTCCTTCTCCAAAAATTGTAATGAACACAGCTCTCTTCTCTGCTTTGGTGCTCAGCTGCAACCTCTGCATGGAGAGCAATTATGGAGTAGAAGGAAGCAGGATGGATCATTTGGAGTTGGTCACAAGAAGCCAGAAGAGAAAGTGGAGAAACAAAAAGTGAAGGAAAGTGAAGGCAAATGTTTTCTCCAGCTGGCAAAAATACTTTAGGAAAATTGGCCCTGATTTAGACTGTGTGAAGGCAGGTCTTGCCTTTCATAACAAAAATCAAGGCCATCTTCTGAGAGTCAAATCAATTGAAGTTGGTTCTTCTTGAAATAAAGACCTTATGCAGGCTCATTTTTATGTAAATATTTTTAATTAATAGATGCCTTCATCAAACACAAGAAGAATTAAGCATTAACACTCACCAGAGACTCTGAAATTAGATTGATTATCTGCATCTTAATTTGCTTTTTTGACATTACTAATTTATTTTTAATAGTTCTGTAATTTAGCTTTATCTATTTCTTATTCTGCTTGACAGATCCAAGTGCCTGCAGCTCACCAGTCAGCCTCTATAATCTTTAGGTACTGCTGTCAGCACAGTATATTAATTTTTAAATTATCCAGCCAGTGTGAGGAAGAACATCAATTAATTTCCATATGGGAATCAAGCTAACATCTCTTTCCCCTCCCCAGTAATGGTGAAATTTAAATGAAGGAGAGGGCCAACTGCAAGGATAATCTAGATAAAGATAGGAAATTCTCACTCTTATATTACAGAATCTGCTGCCCTTGAAATGCCTTCCATTTGAATCAGTGCCTTAAAATCATTATTGTAGTGAAAATAAATGTTCCTTTGCTGCTACCTGTTATCCATAGAGTAAGTCATGGAAAAGCAGGGGATGGAGGGCAGGGACCTGTAATATTATGTTCATGGAAATATCCCAGGCACCTAGAACGATGTCTAGATGCAGTAGGCATCCAATAAATACTTGTTACAATACATTTACAAAAACACTAGATTGTGTATCTAGCAAACACTGCTGATGCTCTCTGAAGCTGAAACAAACTTGATTCATAACATGTAAAGTGGAGACAGTAGACACAGGATGGTTTTCAGCAACAAGCAAGGACAAGCAAAATCAGACAAAAGAGAATCACCTAAATTGCCATGACAAATGAATGAAAAGCAGGGAATGTTTACTTCTTTGCAAGGGATCATTTAGAACCATCATTTGTTTTCACGGACATGATAGATGATAGATAGATAGATAGATAGATAGATAGATAGATAGATAGATAGATAGATAGACAGACAGACAGATAGATAGATAGATAACACATTGAATGAGGTGAGCAGAGATTTGATATGACTTATTTGGAGAGAGTAATTGTGAGAGTCTATGGTAGGCAAACCACATGTAAGAAATTGGCTTAATTCTGACCCTGAAATTTAGACAGGGCATTGATAAACAGGTGGCCTCCAGAGGGGCAGATGAAAATGGGAGGGCATATGGAGAAAGGCTGCAGTATCTGGCAATGTTTAGTGTAAAGGAAAGATCTAAAGGGCCAATGGCATCTATATTGAACAAGAGGGAAGAACTGGATCAATGAAAACAGATATTTATTCCAGCATAAAAATATTTAAAGCAAATGAAAGTGACCCAAGGCTGCCATTCCAGCATAGACTCTCAATGCTTCTCATCTGCACAGCTGGATTAGACTCTTTCTTCGCCTTCCTACCTTCTGACTCCCTGATCCCAATCCATCCCAGTCCATCCCTGCCACTAGTGTCAGCCTGGTATTTCTAAAGCACGACATCCACTGCATCCCATCCAAGCTCAAAATCTCTTCAGTGGCTTCCAACTTCTTGTGTTGAACCAGATTCAAATTTCTGAGTCAGGCATTGAAGGATAGCTGCAGTAGGGCCTCAATTTACCTTTCCAGGGATCCTCCACATACCACACATGCACATCTTTCCCCCAGCTAAGCCAAAGAAACTCACTTGTCTTCAAACCAACATTATGACCCCTGCAAACATCAGCCCTGTGTTTCATGTGTAATCTCTCTGTGTGTCGTGATCCCTGAGCATCTCAGGTTGTCAAAAATCTCTCCACTTTTCAAAGGACCTTTTCCATTTGTTTCCATTTCTGATGAGATGAACACTTTATTAGTCAAAAAAAATTTACCAGAATTTCTCTCTAAAAGGAAGCTCCCTTTGTTTTTGGAAAACCCCTTAGAAACCTCATGGGGTCAGAAGCAAGAGCAGAAAAGCAGAATCCCAAATCAAAAAGTGGAATGACTGAGTGTCTGTGCATGGAAAAAAAGGTAAACAACAGAGTTATTTATGCAGGGTAAATTAGAACTGTAAGATTTGCATGCTGAAATCACGGCTGCTATGTGGCCCTTAGATTGGAGTATGAATAGAGAGGGCAGTTGCATTAATCCAGATGAATATCATGAAGGCACAGCCATGGGCATGCTAGTAGAGAGGGTGAGAAATGGTCAGGTTGAAGGCATTTATTAGACAGATCCATCAGGTTCACTGATGATCATATGTGGGAAGGGGATGAATTATGGCTAAACACCTCAATCTCTGTCTTGAGAAATGGGGTGGTTGGTTGTTAGAGCCAAAACTGAGATCAGCAACAATGGGCTTGGGGGAGGTGGAAATCAAACATTGCATTTTGGATGGTTGTCTCAGATGTCTGTGAAACATCTACATGGAAATATGAAACAGGCAATTGGATAAGTAAGATAAAAGTCTAAAGGAAAGATGTAGTTTAGATAAACACAATTAGGAGCTATTATTATAAGACTACGTAAAATTATAAAAATGGATTAGATGACATAGGGAAGGGAAGAAAAGAAAGAAAAAAGATTCTAGCTCAGTTCTTAGTCTTTAGAAATCCTAGAATTGGGGTTGAATGAAAGCAAGGGAATCTTTAATGGGGACAGAGGAAATGCAGCCCAAAAGGAAGTGGGCATTCAGGAGGCGTAATGTCCACAGGCAGGAAAATGGGAGACTCTCCCAGGAGAAGTGAGTGCTAACCATCTCAAGTATTACTAAGAAACCAAATAGCATGTGAACATAAAGTCAGTCTTACCTCAATAAAGCTTCTAATTTACTTAAATATTTTTGAAAGCACGAGGAGATTGAATGCTGAACTTCGAGGGCAGGACTTAGCCTTTGATAGGAGTATGAACTCTTTTTCCAAGATGATAAGAGAGAGAAGATGGATACACTTAGAGATCCATAAGTCTCCACAGAGCATGATGTCCCTGCAAGCAGCAGCTCTCTGAGATAGGAAGCAGTTAGTGATCTCATTGCCACATGAGTCCAACACCTGCAGTCCCCTTGACTCTGAACTCCAGCAACAGTACATTGGCATGCCTTTCATGGCAGCAATTTTTGAATTTGTCTACAAGAATGTACATTCCTTGAGGGAATAAACAGCACTTCTCTACATTTTGTGCAGCACCTAACATTGTATCTAGCTTGGAAGTCTTTAATTTGTGCTTTCCACTTGAGATCCTGATTTTTTTTTTGAAACATTGCTGAAAATTTCCTAGCATCATCAATATGTTATAAAAGATAGAAGAACCTGACCCAGAAATTAGTAAAATCACAAATGAGTTAGTCTATAAATATATTACTTTTCTAATTTAATTAGTAAAATCACAAATGAGTTAGTCTATAAATATGTTACTTTTCTAATTTAAGGTGAAAATCCTCACACAAGCTAAAGAAAAATTAAAGGGATTAGTTACACAAGGGATGGGACTATTTGATAGTGGAGTAGGGATTGGTTAAGAGAAAAGCTCAAAGCTGATCTCAGTCTTTCCTCTGAACTGAAGATTATAAGAGGAGCATGCCAGAAACCAAAGCCATAGTGTTTACAGAAAATGTATTTTAAAATAATTTACTCCAGGGCTTGAAATGGAAATGCTCATTTGCAACACAAAGATCTGGAGTTCCAGGAGCAGTTTGTGTCAGATGATGTTGCATTTACATCTCATGCAGAGTAACTTACCATAGCCTTTCATTCAGAGCATATTAACCAGTTTACAGTCTTAAGAGTGGCAAAGTAATCTTGGGATTTATAGGAGAGTCTTATCCAAAATAAATGAGGCCGGAGGTAAGAGGAAGACTTAGCAAGAAGGCTAGAAAGAACTAAAAAAATGGAGACATCAAGCAAGCAAGTCTAAGCTATTTTAACATAGTCTTGAATGTAGAAGGATGTGGCAGTCAGACCAAGTAGGAAGGGGCACCAGAGACATTTGAGAAGTGACCAAGGGGTTACTTCAGTTTCTGATCACAAATCTCACACCTTGTGTTTTCCTTGCAAGGTAACTTGCAATTCCTTAACTCATCACTTTAAAAAAACAAACAAACAAACCAACAAAAAAAGCGGTCATCTGAGCCCTCACTTCCTCCATCCAGAAAAGTCTCTTTTGCCATGTTTCCCTCAGTTCTTAACAATGGAGGTTTCAGATAATGCTTTTGGTTTTCCAGTGCACTGGGGACCACTAATGCCTGCTCTGCCAGATGAGTTTGCAGACTCTGTGGAACACGGGAGCCACCTAAATTATCCCTCTTGGAAGAGATCACAGAACTCACAGAAAATACTTGGAATATTAGAATCCAGAACCTTCCTTCCAGAATACACAAAGCCCTAGTCCAACTCACTCATTTTTCAAAGGAGAAAAATTGAGATACTATGTGAGTTGCACAGCTAGCTATGTGCAAAACCAAGACAAGAATGAGTAATCCAGCATGATGCCATGGATCAATTTCTCACCCTGAGCCTCAACTTCTCCATTGGTAAGTAGAGATAATAATGATCATTTTGCTGGGTGGCAGGGAACAAAATAATTGATGTATGTAAAATACCTACCACAGTGATTGGCTTGATTGACACGTAGCAGAAGTTCAAAAAATTGGTCTCTTCTCTTTCTCCCTTTCTTGTACCCACAACACAATGCATTACTTAATGCTATGAGAAACAACAGATTAAAGAACACACAAACCTTTTGCCAGTTTCAAGAACACCTAGAGAAGGAAATTTTCAGCATCCACTACATCTCAAATCAGTATGTTTCTGTATGTTCTATCCACAGTTAGACTGTTAAATAGCTTAGAAGTGTTTTATGTTGCTTCTTACATATGCTTCACCTTTCCTAGCATCTTCTCTCACAGCTGTGATACCCTAGGAGGCTCAGGAGGCATGGGATAAGAGCTTGTGTCTCTCAGGCTTTCATCAGCACCCTCAATGTGACCCATTCTCTCTACAGCAAGAGAAGAAAGGTTGTTCCTCTTCAGATGAGAACTGAATTTGCTTGTCTCTGCAGCTCCTCAGGATTTAGAAGAATGAATGTTCAGTGGCAATCAGCAGCCCATATAGACCCACTAGAAACTTAGATATTTCTATATGGTCAATTGAAATAGCAGCAAAGTGAGAGATGTTTTCTATCTATATGTTTTGGCGGAAAAAAATGAAGAAAAGAGAAGTGGATGGGCAAGAACTAGGAAAATGGGGATCCTGAAGTATGCACAAGGTACAGAAAGTCAATTTTGTCTCTCTCCACCTAATCAGTCGTTTCACATCTTGAATAGATAGTTCCCAAAATGTTAATCATCACATTAGCTTCCCTCTAAATCCTGGCTACTACCATCCTATCTTTTTTAATCCTGAAAAATATAAAAGCATTAATATTCCAGAGAAAAAATATTAATAATTGCTTATATAGTTTAATTCAGGTTAAGCTTGTTTTCTATGAGGAATCACAAAAGTTCTACTGCGAGGATCCAAGCACACACACAAAAAAACTCTAAGAGACAAGAGTTAAAATCTCTCATTTCAGCTGAGTTGTAATTTAAAAAAAAAAAAGAAAAAGAAGGAGAAGAAGAAAAGAAAGTTTTACAAAGATTATTTAAGTTTCACGGAAGGCATATTGGCATCAGGTATGTCTGGTTTTCATCTAACTTGAAAAAGCCTTCGATTTCAAAAATGAAACTATGCAAATGATTAGTTAGTCATTTTGTGTAAATGCTTTAGGATTTAGATGTTACTGTGGAAAATAAAGTAAAACAAAACAGCTTTAGTACAGCCCCAGTAAGCTTAGTCCATGGACAGCACATTAAATCCTGAATTAAACACTCCACCAAACTCTTCCTAATGAGCCATCCAAGTCTCTGATGTATATAATATACCTTTTTAAAAATGCATGAATACATATTCCACCCAGAGTTTTGGATGGCTCCTTTGGGTTATTTAAGTTTCAAAGGAGTCCATCAGTATCCCAGGTATAACATTCTATAAATGCCTTAAAAATGAAAATTCAGAAATTAGAAGCTCAAAATACCTTGAAGGGGAGCAATGTATTAGGAAAAAAAAAAACAGGCCATTCAAAGGCAAGGTTGATGAGGCATCTGCCTCCCAGAATTTCCTATCTCTGTCAGTTTGGGTCACAACCCTTAAAACAGCTGTAACTGTGTTCCTTCCAATCTAATTATACAACTCTTGGATAGCTTTGTTTATAATTCGAATCCAATAACCTCCCCTGACTCTTCTCTGGGCTGCTGTTACATGGCTACTCTTGGATGCTAGCATGCAATTGTAGAGACTGAGCAAGGAGGGATAGGCTGCTCAAAGCACTGGGATGGAGTCCCCACAGGCTCTTCTTCAAAGAATGTGAAGGTTGGTGCATCCCAGCCTAAGGAAGTTGGTGAGTCCAGAAAGGAAATACTTGTGGGTAGAGAAGAGTGAAGAAATCACAACAGAGGCTTACAGACAAGAAGCAGATGTCATCTTTCTTCCAGGGAGGCACAAGAAATAAACAGTGGATGACTTAGCAAGCAAGATGAGTCAGGAGGGAGAAGAGAGGGCATTTGGGAGAATGAAGGAACAAGTAGGAGTAGATCAGCATTAGCTGGGCAAATTCATTGTGCCTATGAATTCATTTAGCCTCATTGCAACTCTGACGGATAGCTGGGATTAGTTTTATTCTACAGAGGAGGTAACTGCATTCCAGGGAGATTTGGAAATCTCCATGAAATCACACAGCTAACAAGGGATAGAGCCAGAACTCACCCCCAGGACAAGATGACTCCAGAGCCTGTAGGCTGTGGTCCTGCTGTCTAGTGAAGGATGTATACTGAAACTGATTCCAGGGACTGTGGAAATGGGAAGGGGTGTCTGGAGGAACCTAGAAGAGCTATACCAAAATCTGTCCAACACAATCTGACTGCCCACCTGCAGTGTGTTTCCTCAAGTGTAAAAATATAAATCCCACTTCCTAGGGTTGTGGTAAGGATTTAAAAAGTTAGCATATGCAATGCACATGGCACATATACCTGGCACATTGAAAGTATCCAATGAGTGGGAGCTGTTTATTTTTATGTTGCTTGCCTAATGATTCATTTTACCACATCTGCTTGTAGAGAGATTTATGTTATGGTTCCATAGCTGTCTGTACATGAGAGCAAGTATTTGATAGTGTTTCAAGATTCTATAAATCCTACTCAGAATTTTTTCCAGTAGTAGAGAAATAAGTGATGATGAGCTAAGTGTGACTTGAACAGATCAACCTGGAGAGAACATTGTGGATCATGACCTAAGTTTAACAAAGTAAGACCTGGAAAGCTAGTTAATTCCAAAGGTTGAAGTTGAACATAGAAGCACATTTGTCATTGCTGTGTAATTTAGATCTTTAAATAACTGATAAAAAGTAAATCTCAACTTTCATACAAGGACAAAGGAAGGAATAGCTCACTGAATCTGATGATGCCACCATTTAGCACAAGTGGACTTGGTGGCTTGGAAGAGTCAGCTGACTTGTCCCACACGTCAGAACCAAGTCTGGACTTCCCACATCTAGTATCTGGATGCATTGTTCATTCAACTATGCCAGAGTCCTAGCAGTGTTGATGGTCATGCTAAAACACATCTAGACCTGACACATTCTCCTTGTAGTCAATGATGCGGTAAGATGATGCAGATTTTTCATGGCACCAGTAAGTGAACCAGATGGTCAGTCAAAAATGACATGCCCAGCCTCCAGAATCATCATTTCCAAAATTACGGGGATACTGATTGGCAAAGAAACTAAACACTTATCATGTCCTCTTAGAACTCTTGCTCCCACAAGTACAGAAGAAAAGTTAAGAGGTGACTTCCTGCCACAGCATAATTCCTGGGTGGAGAGATGATGGGAGGAGTGGGGAGAGTGGTCACACATCTTTTGTCAGTTGCAAGCCTGATCCCTGCTAGGATGCAAACCCCTACAGAATGAACCTCTGTGAACTCCACTCATTCCCCCTTTTACTTCCCCTCAATTTTTCTCCGCTCTTTTTCAAGACTCTTCTCCTCTCTCTAAAGAAGATGTTTTATTTGCAACAACATGGATGGAACTAGAGATCACTATGTTAAGTGAAATAAGCCAGGCACAGAAAGACAAAACATCCTATGGTCTCATTTATTTGTGAAATCTAAAAATCAAAACAATTATATTCATGGAGATAGAGAGTAAAAGAATGGTTACTAGAGGCTGGGAAGTGTAGTGGGGGTATGGGGTAAAGGTGGGGATGATTAATAAGTATTAAAAACAGAAAGAAGTAAAACCTACTATTTGATAGCACAACAGTGTGACTACAGTCAGTAATAACTTAATTATACATTTTAAAATAACTAAAAGAGTATAATTAGATTGTAATGTGAAGTATAAATGCTTGAGGGGATGGATACCCCATTCTCCATGGTGTGATTATTACACATTGCATGCCTGTATCAAAACATCTCATGTACCCCCAAAATATATACACCTACTATGTACCCACAAAAATTAAAAATTAAAAAAAAGATTTTAGGTTAAGATTTAAAGATAAGAAGGAAAGTAAAAAAGGAGTCTTCTATTTTATGTTTATTTGTTTTTTCAAATCCTAAGCCTGGACAAAGGCTAGGTACCATTTCTTCAAGTTACACTCACTATCTCAGATAGTCCCAGCAAGAAGGGGTGGGCTTTTCATGCATCTCAGAGGTATGCAGTTATCCAACCACTGTGTGCTGGCACTGCAGTGGGTATAATGGGTAACAAGAGAAGGCCAAGACATAGTCACAGCCAGGTTGGGAGAAAAGGAAAAGTAACTATGAAGGTTTTTCTTGTAAGGCTGATCTGATCTAATTATAAAATTCTGACACAAAGAAGCCCAGGCTACAAGTGCTATACTAAAAAAAAAAAAAATAGTGGGGAAGGGGTTAGGGGTTCTTTCCTTTAAATGTATTCCCTAATGTCAATGGAATTAGTTGAAATTCCTAATAACTGCAGATGTCAACCTCTTTCCCCAGAGACTGTGCTCTTCATTTGGGCTTATGTCTCTGTTGGCCCTGCCTTACCCTTCTGGGTTGTAAGGTGCTTTACTAAGCTCTTGGTACTAGCCCAACCAGAATGGTTCCCTGGGTTCTGAGAAGTCCTGCCCCAAGTGTCCCCCTGATGCTTGAAATCCTATCAGGGAGGATGGAGAAATTTTACACACAAATGTCCTCATGAGTGGCAGTTCAGTGACTTCAATCCATACAGTCCAAATGACAGAGAGAAAAGATACCTGCCAGATGCAGAGTTTTAAGGAAATCAAAGAAAGTCGGTATGTGGGAGAAAGATACAAAAGGAGAGGGCAGAGCCATTCAGAGAAACGTCATCTCGTGGCTAAGGTGACACTTGACTTTCCTCAGGATGCTGACTAGTTCTCCCACCTGCTTTGCCTATCCAGATTTTGTTCTGGGTGAAACTGACTTACCCATTTCCTCCAATTGGATCATCTCAGCCACAATCCCAGCACCAGCCTCCACTATGAGAGTGGGAATGGGTAGGTCTTTAGAAAAAAGGGAACTCAGGCTGAGTTGTTTGTCAGTCTTCTTGGCTTTGTTGTTTGTGTGGTCTCAACTTTAATTTGGATTGAGTTTTCTTTCTCTTTCTCTTTTGGGCATAAGGCTTTCTGCCCAAAATGAAGTGTTTTGAAGCACATCCCAGCCTGTTCTGAATTATAAAAGATTGAGTTAATTAACCTTCCCCCAGTTGATTACTTTCAACCTTTTTGTTGGCACATTGGGAAAATGTATTAGCGGTTACTAATTAAAGGTATTGAATATACCTTTATACTTCTTCAAATTCTTGGACTCCTGAGCTAAGTTGATTAAGAAGAAAGGGGAAAAGTTTATGTTGAATTTATCTTTGAAAATAGCTAGAAGAGACTACAAATAAACCAAGAAAAGGGAAGTTGTGACCTTATTTTTAACCTCTTCGTCCCTATAGTTTTGGGACTATTTTTAAGAATAATAGCTAATGATTTTTAAGTGCTTATCACACACAAGAACCATAATAAAAGCTTGCATGTAACATCTCATTTAAATTTCTCTATTCTCTGAGATAGATATGAATTCCAGTCCCATATTACAGATGAGTAAATTAGTTTAGAAGTCAAGCAAATTGCCCAAGATCACAAAGGTAGTACACGCCAGAGGCATAATGTAATGTTGGTGGTTTGTCTCTAAAGACAACGCATTTAATCTCAACAGCGTTGACCTAAATGATGATGTAATCATAGTTTTTGGAGTTGGAAACCTAAATGCCTGCTTGTAATTTCGAAGTTCATCATATTTTCTTATAACTCCTTTCTGCATTGGTTATTTAGTGTTGCATAACAAATTATCCCAAACATTTATTATCCCACACAGCTACAGCACTCAGGAATCCAGGAGCAGCTCAGCTGGGTGGGTCTGGTTCAGGGTCCCCGTGAGGTTGAAGTCAAGCTGGTAGCCAGGGCTGCAGGCATCTTTAGGCTCCACTGTGGCTGGAGTATCTGCTTCCAGGCTCACTCATGCAGTTGTTGACAGGTGTCAGCTCTTCACTGACTTTTGGCCAGAGACTCAAATTCTTCACCATGTGGGCCTCACCATAGGCAGCCTGAATGTCCTCATGACATGATAGCTGCATTCTCCCAGATCAAGTGACCCAAGAGGTATAAAGGTCATGATGGAAGCTGAAGTTCTTCACAGCTTAATCTCAAAGCTAAGACAGGGAATTTATTTTGAAAAGTGATTTCAGGTAACAGGAGTGGAGGACTGGGAAGAATAAAATATGAGAGGAGGGAAAGTCATCCAAGCGGTAATTATTGAGCTGGGCAACTGGGCTTCATCAACTGGGGATGGAGTCCTCTGGGAGTCTGTGTAAAGTATGCCTAGAATTATCCACCTAAAAACAGAAGAGTATGTATTTATCCAAAAGATCCTGTCCCCCAGTGATCAAGGGTGGGCTCAGGGAGTAGTGACAATCAGGCAGACAGCAAGAGATGTGGTGAGTTGCCAAGTGTACTTGGGTTGTGTTTGAATGCAGCATGTGTCCACAGCAATGACCAGAGCAAAAAGTTGGGATGGGACAATGTACATGTCTAATATATATGCATTAATCCCAATTAAGGCTAGAGACAAGGCCTCATTTATTTTTGTACCTTAGTGCATAAACTAGAGTCTAGTAGCTGGCAAATCTGTGCCATCCCATGTAATCAGTCTGGAGGCCCTTAATTTATTCAACACATAGGTACTGTACACATACTATGAGATAGACACCATGCAATACACTGATAGTCCTGTTGGAGCAATTTACAAAAATATTTAATAACCAGTATTACACAGATAATAAAATGCACACCAACCCTTCCCAGGCAGTAGGGTTACCCTGGAATATGCTTTCTTAATTCAAATCCGGAGATAGTTGAGTAATGAGCCATAAACTTCATTTTTACCGCGTGTCAAAGAGATAGGTCTGTTTGGATTTGGGGATGGAGTATGAAGGAAGGAGATGTTTTAGGGTGACTTCAAGAGAGGGGAGTGAGAATGATCGTTGAATAAAGAAGGAAAAGGCATTTCCAGGGTGGGAGGAAGGATGGGGAGAAAATGCACATGAAAGCACAGATCAACCATGTAAAAATGAATGGACCTCCCTTTATGTAGCTGAGAGTCAAGCTGGGAAACAAATACTAAATTAAAAAGTGTCAGAATCACCAAGTATCAATGTAAAGAAGTGCAAAGTATTTTTAAAAAAAAGCATATAAAAGTAGGGTATTTGGGGCCATATTAAAAATGTAAACTTCAATCTAAGGAGTCATAGAAAGAA
The DNA here is from genome assembly GCF_000001405.40 of Homo sapiens. NCBI lineage: Eukaryota > Metazoa > Chordata > Mammalia > Primates > Hominidae > Homo > Homo sapiens. The sequence goes on from NC_000020.11 coordinate 12,888,408, forward strand.
AAGCTTTATTCTTTGCTATAGTCTGGATGCTGAGCTTCTGGAAGAGCTGTTCAGAAATGTTTATTGATCAAATAAATAAATAGAATCTAAACTGCTCATCTTAAAAAGAGGAAACTGGCCAGGCGCTGTGGCTCATGCCTGTAATCCCAGCACTTTGAGAGGCCGAGGCAGGCGGATCACTTGAGGTCAGGAGTTCAAGACTAGCCTGGCCAACATGGTGAAACCTTGTCTCTAATAAAATAAAAATAATTAGCTGGGCATGATGGCGGGTGCCTGTAATCCCAGCTACTCAGGAAGCTGAGACAGGAGAATCGCTTGAACCTGGGAGATGGTGGTTGTGGTGAGCCGAGATCGCACCACTCCAGCCAGGGAGGCTGAGTGAGACTCTGTCTCAAAAAACAAACAAACAAACAAACAAAAAAGAGGAAACTAAATCTTGGACTTTCGTTCTGATTCAGGAAGTTGCCAGACACTCTCACTGCCACCCACCCTAGCCAAAAAAGCAAAAAGTAAGCTCTAAATCATTTTACAACCCATTAGAGAGCTGACGACACTAAGAAACCTAAATGAAATAAAATCTAGAAATTAACAAACACTTCCAAGGAGAGAAGACACTCAAGATTGCTGTGTCCCCAGCAGAGTGATGGGAAGAAAAGGACTCCTCTATAGACAGAAACCTGAACTACGAGAAACGCTAAAAGACATGTTACCGGCTGAAGGAAAGTATTAGACAGAAACTCAGATTAATAGTAATGAACAAGGAGTACCAAAAAGGGTAAACATAAAATACTTTTAAATTATCTGTATTATATTATAGGAAATTTATTTAAAAGGCTATTGACCAAAACAAAAAATTTAATGAAAGTATACTGTAGGGTTTATAGCATATAATGGTAAAATAAATGACAACAAGTGCATAAAGGCTAGAAGAGAAGCAAATTTAGTGGTACTCTTACAAATCATTACAGGCATGGGAAGGCATATAACTGTGACAATTAAAATTTTTTATTATTACACAGAACAACTATTTTTAAATTATGTAAATATGTAGAGCTAAGAAAAATAAGGAGACTAGGTAAAATGGAATAGTGGGGGGAAAAAACTTCATTTATCCAAAAGATGACAGGAAATGAGAAGCAAAGCAAAAAGCAAAAAAGGTGAGAGAATAAAAATGAATATCAAGGCAATAGACATAAACTCAACAACAATAATAATTACATTAAATTTAAGTGGGAAGAAAAGACCATTGAAAGGCAGAGACTGACAAAACAAAAAGTAAGATCCAACTATTTAATATTTGTGGTCTAAGAGAATCCTCTAAATATAAAGACACAAACAGATTGAAAATGTAAGGTGGGAAAAGGATCTAACAAGTAAACTTAAAGCAAAGGAAAGCTGGCTATAATATTAGTATCAGATAAAGTAAATTTTAAAGCAGAAAGTATCACAAGAGATAAGAAAGGACGTTTCACAATGATGAAAGAAGAAATTCATCCAGAAGACATAATCTCAAATTATGCATCAAATAACAGTTCTTCAAAATACATTAGTTTATTAAGCAAAAACTAACACAACTGAAGGAAGAAATAGTCAAATCTACAATCCTAATCAGAGATCTAGGCAAAAAGATTTACAAGGTTTATACGTGATAAAGGACTTATATAGAAAACATATCAAAATCTCTTACAACTCAATAAGAAAACAGAAAAAAATCCAATTTAAGATATGCACAAAAGACTTAAATAGACACATCATAAAGGAAGATACAACAATGCCCAATAAACACATGAAAAGATTCTCACCACCATTACTCATCAGGGAAATGAAAATTAAAAACGCAGTGAAATGTCACTCTACACCTACTGGAAGAGCTAAAATCCACAAGGCAAGGATGTGAAGGAACTGAAACTCTAATAAATTGTTGATTGGAGGTAATATATCATAACCAGTTTGGAAAACAATTTGCCTTATAACCCAATAATACCATTTTCAGGTATTTACCAAGGAGGAAAGAAAACATCTGCTGAAAACAAAGCAGCTTTATTCATAGTAGCCAAAATCTGGAAACAACCCAAACGTCTATCACCAGGTAAACATGTAAACAAATTGTGGATGTTCATGCAATGGAATGCTAGTCAGCAATAAAAAGAACAAACTACTGAGACACACAACATGAATGAATCTCAAAAAACATCACATTGATCAAAAGAAGCCAAATGCAAAGAGATTGCATTGTGTGATGCCATTTATAGGAAACTCAAGAATGGGCAAACTAAGCTAGTGATAGAAATTAAAAAACAGTTGCCTCTAGAGAGGGGGAGGTAGAATTGCTAGAAAGGGGCATGAAGGGATTTGCTGGAGTGATAGAAAATGGTCAATAGCTTGTTGGGGATGGTGGTCATGAATGTGGAACCTTGTCAAAACTCATCAAACAGTAAGAATAGTAAAATTTCTTCATTTTACTTTATAGTATGCAAATCATACCTCAGATCAAAAATAGAAAAATTCAAACATTAAGGAACTTGAAATCTTTACGTCAATCAAATATTGCTTCAATAATGTTGATGTGGTTTGGCTGTGTCCCCACCTAAATCTCAACTTGAATTGTATCTCCCAGAATTCCCACATGTTGTGGGAGGCACCCAGGGGGAGGTAATTGAATCATGGGGGCTGGTCTTTCCCATGCTATTCTCTTGATAGTGAATAAATCTCATGAGATCCGATGGGTTTATCAGGGGTTTCCGCTTTTCCATCTCTCTCATTTTCTCTTGCCGCTACCATGTAAAAAGTGCCTTTCATCTCCTGCCATGATTCTGAGGCCTCCCCAGCCATGTGGAACTGTAAGACCAATTAAACCTCTTTTTCTTCCCAGTCTCAGGTATGTCTTTATCAGCAACATGAAAATGAACTAATACAAATGTCAAGTACCAAACAATTCCAAAACTTAGTGGTTTACAACAGCAAACATTTGCTTCTGCTCACAAGTGTGCAGGTTGACCAGTAGTACTTGGGGACTCATCTTATCTGGAGGCTACAGCAGCCACCCAGGGCAAGTTCTTCTCATGGCACTGGCAAAAGCAGAAGAGAAATAAGCAGTGACAGCCCTTAGAGCCTCAGCTTGTAACTAGCAACCTGTCATATCCACCTTCCATTGGCCAAAGCAAGTCAACTGACCAAGGCCAAAGCCAATGGACCAGAAAAGATACCTTACCCCCAGTGAACAATGGCAAGAGTGGAGAGGGAGGAAAAACTTAGGACATACAATACAATCTCATTAATCCAAATTAGTGTGAGAGGTGAAACAGAAACTGGGTCTCCGGACAACAAGCTCAGTGCCTCTGCCTCAGGCCACGCTGTCTCCACATTGTCTGGAAGCCAACAAGCTGGACTCCAGCTGTGTTCCAGGGGAAAGTTCCAGCACATCTTCCCACTCCCTGACAGGGAAGGGTGATAAGCCCAGAATACCACAGTGCTCCATACAGATATAAGATAGAAAGCCTCACTTTGGTTTTCCTAATGTTTGTTCCCCACACAGTCTAGAGGCTGACTCTGGGGAGCAACGGAGCTCACCCCTTGCATTGGGAGAAGAAACATTTGTTAATGGAAAGAAATGCAATACAGCCATCTAATGGATCCCAGATATCATAGGCCTACCTACTGCTTCCCTGCGAACATCTGAAGTAAATCACAACATAAAGGGCTGTTGTGTTTGTTTCACCTGGGTAGTTTCAATTTGAGCAAAGATGGGCACCCTCAAGGGTGGGGAGCAGCAGGTGCATGAGTTCTGTCACTGGATGTGGTTAATGGCTTGCAGCAGGTGCTTTTCACCTTTTGGGGGATAAATATTGAGCCCATCCCCAGCTTAAACAGCCAAGGAGATGAGATGTAATTCTGTTCCAAGAAATGAGTAGAAACTAAGGCCAATTTTTGCCCACCTACAAGGGGAAAGACTGTGATGGTCATTTCTTCTGCACATACTTATATAAATCAACCAGAAATTCCAGTCTCAATGTTCCTTTTGCTCATGTCAAACCATTTTCTCCTTGTGAACACAAAGTAAGCATAGCAAAGGCCTCCAGGGTCAAGCTCCCTTCCCACAAAATTATGGTCTGACCCTGGCAAGTGACCTGAGCTTCCTCAAGTTCTCCTGACTTGAGACATTTGTCCACATTCCAGTCAACTGAAGAAGTAATTTGATCTCATTCACTCTTCCAACAATCAACAATTGCTCACCTGCCAGGTGTCAGGAACTCTGCTGAGCTCTGGGGACAAAGATGTAAATAAGAAAACCATGGTCCCTTCCTTCCCAGAGCTTGTACAGGAGGAGACAAGACCGACAGAGACTAAACAGCTCCGGTGTGGTAGGAGTTAGGAAGCTGAACTGCACAGGTGCCTTCTGAGCCTCCTGAGCCACCTTAAGGACTCACACATTAACCCTAAGGCAGAGGGGAGTCATTTAAGAAGCAGCAGTCTGCGGCCACCGGCTGAGGCTGCAGTATTTTTTCCAAGAACCGCTGTGTATCAAAATGACGCTGCAGCTTCCACAGCCCTCAGGGAGCTTCATCCCGCTCTGCAGGGTTTCAAGCTGGAGAGCCTTCAGATGCACTTAAATTTTTACAAATGCCGTAAGTGGTGAAGTTGAGGGTGGATGCATTCTCTCTGGCCACACCCCACAGAGATTGGAAACAGCCTTTAGGGGTCTCAGGAGCGTCTGACTGAGGGGGGTAGTGGTCCCAGAGACCGCACACAGGCCCCTCTTACACTCTCACACCTCTCAAAGACTGAGAAGAAAAAAACCACCCTCACATTGTGATGCAGCGTCTTCCTTGCCAGGCCAGGTGTTTCTTGAAAAATCACCAGAGGGATTCTTGGTTAACACCCAGGCTCTACACTCAGCCCGCTGTGTGGCTTTGGGAAAATGACTTAAATCTTCATCTCCTTTTCAGTTTTCCATTAAATGAGTAAAGCAAACTTGAAAGTCTGGGGCCTCTCTGACATTCATGAACTATCATGGGAACTCTGGTAATACAAAATAAAATAAAATAAAAGTGAACTTCGCTTGGAAAATGTGGCTGGAAAGATATCTTATAGTTTCAATCAGTTATTCCTCAGAAGGCTTGTCTATGTAATAGCTTAGGACCAGGACCACACAAAAACAGTAACAGTGGTGTGTTTTTTTGGGGGGTGGAGGGAGGTCAGAGAGTTAGGGTTTGTCCCTTGCCTAGAATGTTATATTTAGAAGAAACTATTATTAGCCAAAATTTGGTATTTGGAATTATATTTATAAACCAACACACACAGTTCGGGCATGTTTCATTTAGCTCCCTAAGTATGAACAGGATTGCCCGGGTCAGATATGGAAAGTGATTTATGGTAATGTGTGCAGAGAACGAGGAGGCAGGCGGTATTGGAGCCTCAGAGGGGCTTAGGAGCTTGACACCAAACCAGTGGAATTGATTAAGGGAGATTTCATTTCCTCTGACTGTGTGGGAACTCTATCAGAGAGGGCATTTGGGGAAATGATTCTTATAATTTGTTCCCAGAGTAACCCGGAATAACAGTTTTGCCTTGCAGCTGAAACAGCCCTTCAGGGAAAGGCCCATCATGCCAAGGCAGTGTCAGAATTTTCCTCCAAGCCGGCTCTGCTCATACCTCAGGCTGGGAGCGAGGTCTACACCAAAGTGTGGGATGGGTCAGGGGCTCGGACTCCTTGGCCCCCACTTCCCACCCTCAGCACTCTGCATATCAGCAACATGGGAAAAGCACCAGAGGTGATTCATTACATCTGCCAAGAGTTGATCCAGAATAAAGGACCATACCCTCACTTCTGTTTAAAGGCTCCAGGCCAGCCTCGCCTCTGGGTTTATGCACAGGGTTTTACTCTGATGTCAGAGGACCTGAATGTGAGTACACGCACGTGTGCATGCGCGCATACATACTCTCCATTAGCATCTGAATTCTCCTCTTCCCTTTCTTCTTCTACCAAATATTAGGCAGCTTCTGTTACATTCTGGACACTTGATCTCGTAGTCAAGGTATCAGTTTGGAGATGGTGTTTGAAATGGGTGTAAACCAGCTCTCAGTGGGAAGTGACCTGGATAAGGAGAAGAGGGTGTGAGTATTTGAAGTTCTCTCAGTTGAGGGGGAATCAATGGGAACCTTGTGAAATCATTAGCGGAAATCCCAAAGGCACTCAGGACTGGGTCACTAATCATTTCATATCTGGGATCAAAGATTCAAAGTCTTTTATTTTTCTTCATCTGCCTTTGTTTTTAAACCAAGTAGAGAGAATAGGGAGGACAACTTACTCTATGACAAAAGAAGAAAATGTTTTTCTGTAAAAGAAATGTGTTATTTCTTGAATGGTCAGCAAGATTATACACAGTGGCCTCCTCCTGTCCAGGGGAAAAGCCAGCCAGCCTCAGGCCTTACCACGTGTAGAAGGAGGAACAGCAGTCCTTCAAAGATGACCACATCCTAATCCCTGGAACCTGTGACTATGTTGCTTTACACAGGTAGAGACTTTGAAGATGTGGTAAAGTCAAGCATCTTGAGAACAGAAGATTCCTCTGGGTTATCTGGGTGGACCCAATATCATCACAAGAGTATTCATAAGGAGGCAAGAGGGGTAAGAGTCAGAAGAGGAGAAGGCTGTGTCATGATGGAAGAAGAGGTGTACAGAGCCAGAGGGAGGAGATGCTAAGAGGCCATGAGCCAAGGAATCTAGGTGACTTCTAGAAGCTGGAAAAGGCAAGGCAATAGATTCTCCCCTAGAGCCTCTAGGTGGAATTCAGCCCTTCAGCATTTTGATTTTAGACTTCTGACCTACAGACTGTAAATGAAATTTTTGTCTTAAGCCACTGCATTTGTGATAATTAGAACATTAATAGGAAAATGATAGAAACTGATAAGAAACTAAGATACTATGTTACTATAAGACCATTTGGCTTCCAGCTACCAGCCTCTGCTTTGCTTTCTGAGACCACTCGTGCCTGTGGCATGCCAGAAGTGCTTGTAGAGTGACTGTCACCACCTCCTCCCAAGGGCTATCAAACAATGACTGATGGGAGCTGGTGAATACAAATCCCAGCTCCCTTGCCCTTGGGTGGAATAACTTTGCAGTGTGGGTTCTACACAAGCTCTCCAAGTTCCCCAATGGGATTAAGCTCCAGGTGCCCAGTGGCAGCGGGGTTGGTTAGCCTGGTTACCAGCTGCCTTCTCTTCCCTGTCTCAGTTTCCCAGTGCCCTCCAGGTGCCTCCTGGGATCATCTTCCAAATATACTACTTGTGCTTGAATCCTTGTCTCATGGTCTTCTTCTCAGGGAACTCTAAGTTGGAATATGACCAGAGCCCTGCTCTCCTTAGCTGGAATCACTCACTTGAGTCAAATGACTCAAGCAAGAACCACCAGACAGCCATAGCATGGAACATAAAACCCAAATAGACAGACAAGTGGCCTTAAACAAAAGAGTGCTCAGTCCTGTGGCAGCCTCCTGACCAAGCTGCTCCCACCTGGTTTCTCTCAGTCTCCACCTGTCTTACGTTCTGTGAGCTTCCCAATGAACCACGTTCTCTTAAGTTACCCAAAGTTAATTCCTGTAACCAACTTTGTGATCAAAAAACCTTATCAGACAGAGAATTATGGAAGGAGTGAAGGGAGAAGGTACACTTTTGGAAAAACAGAATGGGAACTGTGCCCCAAGAGTAGAAGACACATAATCAGACTTAATACCGAGCAGACTGGAATAAACATCGGCTTTCAGTGTTTCTCAAATGGAAGACTCCAAGGCATCCATTCTGCCCTTTCTCTGCCAGTGTCAGCCCCTCCCTCAGGAAGGACAATATCTAGGTGAGGCCACATGATTTTTCTATGAGGATTGACTGAACATGGGATTTTGGTCATTTAAATCTTGGGTGAATTATTTAACGAGCAGAAATGCAGGTGCCCAGGAGATCTTCCCTTTCTATTACGCAATGAGTGGAGGTGATGGGAACCCCTTTTTCTGTTGTTTTGGGTAGACCCATGATAGACTGAGCTCATGATATGTAGGGCTTGATCCTTGGTATCAGAAAAAAATAATAGGGGAGAGAAGCACAGCTGTTATCATCAAGAAACCTGTACAAGACTCATTCATTAGTTTATGGACAACAATGAAATATGTTGAAATAATGCAAATGACACTTAGATTCTAGAGACCTGATTTCTAGTTCAGCTAGTAACAGTAAACTTTGGCAAGCAACTTCACCTCTCTGTAGTCTCCATTTTCTTCAATTGTCAAGTGATTGGACAATGTGATTACTCCATGGCCTTATGACTATAGAAGAACATCATATTGGGGTGATCCAGTGCCAGCAAACCTATCACGGCCAACTGTTATGGTCATGAAATTAAGTAAGCGTATTTCCTCCAATGGCCTGCATGGTTGCTTCCTCATCATACCCAGCCTCCAGTAACCTGGGAGTTTAAAACTAGGAATCTAATTATTTTCTTTCAACATGAAATAGAGGCCGAAGAAATGGAGGTACAGCTCTAAGCTTAATTTCAATTCCAAATAACATAGACCAGTGTTGTAGGTGAATGTATCAGCTTTGAAAGAGAAAAAAAGTTTAAAAAATCTTATTCTTCATTAGGTATAGAATGAAAACATTTCTATTCCCTCCAGAAAGCAAGGGCATTTGGCTTCTAAAGCTGCTTTAAAAGAAATATGTTCATTTTGGAGAGACATAAGCTAACTACTTTCCATAAAATTGCTACTTCTTAGGACTGTAGCTAAAACCTGTAATCTGCTGAACCAATTCATTTAGCAAACATTTTGAGCACTTGCTATACCCCAGACACAGTCAAGTAGTGGAATACAAAGCTATATAATATTTAAAGTTCTTTCCTTATCTTGGGAGTATACGTTCTAAGATCCCCAATGGATGCCAGAAACCGTGAATAATATTGGACCCTAAAGATCATATAATTTTTTCCTACACATACATACCTATAATAAACTTTAATTCATAAATTAGGCAGAGCAAGAGATTAACAACAATAACTAATAATAAAATAAAACAATTGTAACAATATACTGTAATAAAAGTTACGTGAATGTGGTCTCCACGATCTCTTTCAAAATATCTTATTGTACTGTACTGCACATAACTAAAATCATAGAAAATAAAACCATGAAGAAGGAGGTACTAGTGTAATCTCTTTTATCTGAAAACTCACATCTATTTATTTAGTGCACAACTACATTCTGGGAACTTATTATGTCCTAGAAACAAATAAAACATAATGAACAAGGCACAGTCTCTGCCTTCAGGTGGCTCCCATGCCAGTGGCCAAAAGGGTCAAGAATAATGGGCTATTCTTATACTTTAGAGAGACAGATGTATACGCACAAGATTCTGGTCTAAATTCCTGCATAATTTTACTTTTATTTTCATTTAAATTTCACCAAAATGAAGAACATTGATATCAATTTCTCCTTCCCAAATGACAGTACTTCTTGTGTTCAAATTCCATTTAAGTCCCAGCAAGGTTCAAAAAATTACTTTGTGATCTGTGTAATTTTAGATTGATGGAGCAATATTTGTATGTGATTTGTTAACTCCTCATCTCCCATTTACTAGCTGTGCAACATCAAGCAAGTTGCCTCACTTCTCTGTGCTTCCTTTTTACACCTATTTCACATTGAGGTGAGGAGTTGCTACAGCAACTAAATGAGTTAATTTATGCAAAGCACTTAAAACAGAGCCTGCTGGATATATCCCAAGTTTACAACAAAAGTTAAATATTATTTTTGAATGTTTGAATTTCAGACATTCAACCAAAATGGGCAGTAAACTAATTTCTAAGGACTACATGTCTATTGACTATGAAACTTTCTGTATTAGTTATCCATTGCTACGTAACAAGCCACCCCAAAACTCTGTGGCTTAAAACAATAATCACGGATTACTTCATGATTTCTGTGAGACAGAAATTTAGGAGCAGCTTAGCTGGGCAGTTCTGCCTCAGGGTCTCTCACGACATCGCAGTCAGGTGGTGACTGAGACTGGGGTCATCTCAAACAGGTGTGGGCTGGAACAACTCGCCCTGTCTCCATGCAGTCCCCCCACAAGGCCTGACAAGCATGGGAGTTGCAGGTAGCCAGACTTCTCACACAGTGGTTCAGAGCTCCCAAGTCTCATGGACAGAGAAAGAGAGAGAGAGAAAGTAAGAGCTATATCACTTTTGAGAATCAAACCACAGAAGTCACATAGCATCACTTCCACCATAATCTGTGGTGGTAACAAGCCCTCCCCCGATCCCTACCCAGATTCAAGAGGAGGGAATGTAGTTCCACCTTTCAGTGGGAGGAGTGGTTGTCACATTATGAGAAGAGCATGTAAGACGGGAGAGAGATGATAGGTAGATAGGTAATAGATCGATAGAGAGAGAGAGAGAGAGATGGATGATAGAACTTTGTTAGCTTTATTGATGTATAATTGAGAAATAAAAAATATACACTTAAAATATACAACTTGATGTTTTGAAAAGTGGACACATTGTGAAATGATAACCACATCATATTTATCACCTCATATAGTTAACATATTCTTTTCTTTTTCTCCTTTTTGTGGTGAAAACACTTAAGACTTACAGTCTTTGCAAATTTCAAGTATACAATACAGTATTGCTATGGTCACCACGCTATACATTTGATCTTCAGAACATATTCATCTTGAATAACTGAAATGCTGTACCCTTTGACCAACATCATCCCATTTACCTCTCCCTCCCAGCCCCTGACAACCATTAGTCTATTCTCTACTTCTATAAATTTGACTATTTTAGATTCCACATATAAATGAGGTCATGTGGTATTTGTCTTTCTGGGCCTGGCTTACTTTACCTGGCATAATGTCCTCCAGTTTCACCCATGTTTTTGCAAATAGCACAATTTCCTTCTTCATAAAGCTGAATAATATTTCCTTGTGTATGTATACATATGCAACATTTTATTTATAAATTCATCCATCAATAGACACTTAGGCTGATTCCTTTGCTTAGCTATTGTGAATAATCCTGCAATGACATGGGAGTATAGATGTCGCTTTGACATACTGATTTCCTTTCCTATGGATGTATACCCAGAAGTGGGATTGCTGGACCTTATGGCAGTTTGTCTCTAATTTTTTAAGAAATCTCCACATTGTTTTCCATAATGGCTGTAGCAGTTGACATTCCCACCAATAGTGTACAAGGGTTGCCTTTTCTGCACATCTTCACCAACACCTGTTATCTTATAGCTTTTTGATAATAGTCATCCTAACAGGTATGAAGTGGCATCTCATTGTGGTTCTGATTTGCATTTTCCTGATGATTTGTGATATTGAGCACTTTTTTTATATTGCTGTTGACCATTAGTATAGCTTCTTTTGAGAAATGTCTGCTCACATTCTTGGTCCTTTTTTTTTTGAAATGATGTCTTGCTCTGTCACCCAGGCTGGAGTGCAGTGGCATGATCTTGGCTCATTATAACCTCCGCCTCCTGGGTTCAAGCAATTCTCCTACCTCAGCCTCCTGTGTAGCTGGGATTACAGGCGCCTGCCACCATGCCCAGCTAATTTTTGTATTTTAGTAGAGACGGGTTTTCACCATGTTGGCCAGGCTGCTCTCGAACTGCAGACCTCAGGTGATCCACCTGCCTGAGCCTCCCAAAGTGCAGGGATTACAGGAGTGAGCCACCGCGCCTAGCCTCTTGAACCATTTTTTTAAATTAGGTTTTTTGTTTTTAGACAGACATCAACTCCGACGATGAAAAATTAACAGGAGATCTATGAAACTCGGTACCAAGCTGTCCTCCACAACCTACCAAAGCCAGAGGGTGGAAGAAGGGACAAATGTCAGCTGCAGCAGGTGTCCTGGTGAAGCCCCTGATACCTGGGCATGGGGCACCTTCATCTGCACTGCCCTGAGGAACTGTGAGCTGTTGGAGATGCCAGCAAGCTTGGCTGTGTGCTGTGGTGAACATGAATGTGTACCGGACCCTGAGCAAGGCAGGCATGGCCCTGATTTCACAGTACTAGGGAATCAGTCTGTGACAATGGTCACTGTTTCCTTCTGGGTGAGTCTTAATACATCTAATGGCCAAAATGCAGGTGCCAGGAGCAAGAGAGCTTTGTTTTGTTTGCTGATGAATACCCTGATGGGCCTAGATAAGTTACTGGCCCATAATGTGCCCTCAATAAATATTTGTTGAATGAATGTATACTTCAAAGTCCCAATATAAACCATTGATCCTTACAAGGGGCTTCCCTGTTCTCCTCCCTACGTGTGAAGAAAGAAGGATCTACTTCCACAGCTTGCAATAATGATAAAAGTCATTTAAAGACTTCTTTAAAAATAACTCATTTGAAAAAAAGAAATCAAGACTCAATTGGCATCTTGTCCCTCAGAGCAGAGCAATCAAGCTAGGGCTGCCCTCTGTGGCTGCAGAGGGACTCCCTTCAATCCAGAGCCACCAGAGCAATGGAAAAGAAACAGGATAATTGAATGCCTGGCCCAGGCTTCATTGCAGTGTTTGGTCTCTGTCGAGCCACCGAGGAGAACTCTGAAGGCCAATTTGCAGGTTGATGCTTGGGGTCAGGTGTGGGGCTTTTCTGCCAGGAACGAAACTCAGCGATAATTTGGGGCCTGACTCAGGACCTGATTCTGATCCTATCTTGCTTCTCTTCCTCCTAAGAAGTCTGCCCTGTGCAGGGGACCTGAGGAGAATAGCTGCTAATGAGCCCAGTGCCATTTTGGGGGCTTTGCGTTCTTTATTGCAAGGTCACCCAGTGGTACTCTATATTCTAGAGCCCAGCCACAGCACCGTGAAAAAGAGCCAGAGAAGAAGCCCATTGGTTGTTGCAGGGCGAACCGCGAGAGTGCCAAGCATCCAAATACGGAAGAGGAATAAAATGAATCCTGCCATTGGTGGCACATATAGCCAGGCCTGCTGTTGTCAGGTTAAAGTCAGGCCATGTGCCATATAATGTCAACCAAACATTTCCAGCACCTGGTTGACCTCACATTCATAGCCACGCACACGAAAACACATCTACACACAGAGAGGGGAACACCGTGCTCACTCAAAGCTGAGATGTTTGTGTCAGCCCTGAGCAAGTGAGCTGAGGGTAGCTATAATCAGACCACTGGGACTTATCTCAGCAGTTTTCAAGGCAATGCCTTGACCTTTTTAAAAGATTTTTTTTCTTTTTTTTTTTTTTAAATAGAGACAAGGTCTCTGTATGTTACCAAGTTTGGTCTCAAACTCTTGGGCTCAAATGCTCCTCCTGCCTCGGCCTCCCAAAGTCCTGAGTTTACAAGTGTGGGTCACCACACCTGGCCTGCCTTCACCTTTTAAAAAAAAGCAGAAGACATTTTGCTACATGCAAATAAATAAATAAAAGCAGAGTAAGAACTGGGAAACCAGCCTGACATCCTAAGCCATGTGAAAATTATATTTTCACACCGTGAATTCAAGTCTTTCAGAGAAGTAGAACATTACAGAAAGATCTCTACAACTCATATGATACCTCCTCAGCCTTAATAAAGTACCTAAGGAATGTACTACAGGGTGCTGATTTCTTCTTAGTTTATTGCAAAAACTCCCCATCCAAATTATTTGAGGAGAATGAACTTTTTTAGTGTTTGTCTTAAAGGACAAGATCACTTGAGGGAAATCCGAAATGTCAGATTTGTTCAAGCAATATATACTTGAGGCTGGGCACAGTGGCTCACACCCGTAATCCCAACATTTTGGGGGGCCAAGGTGGGCCGATCGCTTGAGCCCAGTCATTCAAGCCCAGCCTGGGCAACGACATAGTAAGACCCTGACTCTACAAAATAATACAAAAATTAGCTGGGTGTGGTAGTACGCACCTGTAGTCCCAGCTACTTGGGAGGCTGAGGTGAGAGGATCACTTGAGTCCAGAAGGAAGAAGTTGAGCCTAGATCATGCCACTGCACTCCAGCCTGGGTGACAGAGTGAGACCCTGTCTCAGAAAAAAAAAGATATAGATATATATACTTGATTTGGGCACATTTTTGAATTTAGGGATGAATATAGATATTTTGGATGCTAAGAATTCATACCTTAGAGAAGAAAAAGAAAGAAACTAACTGAAACCCAATGGTGAAAGGGCAGCCTACCCTGCTTCCTCCACCTTTCAATGACTAGGAACAAATCTCTTTCTCTTTCTTTCTCAAAAAAACAAAAAAAAAACAAAAACAAACAAACAAAAAAAAAACTTATGGAGTCAGGAGTACAAGGGCAATTTTACTACATGGATACCTTGCATAGTGGTAAAGTCTGAGCTTTTAGTGTACCCATTACCCAAATAATGTACATTGTATTGTGCTCAACAGGTAATTTCTCATCCCTCATCTCTCTCCCACCCTCCCACATTTTCAAGTCTCCAGTGTCTATCATTCCACTCTCTACATCCATATGTATATGTTATTTAGCTCCCACTTATAAGTGAGAACATGTGATATTTGATTTTCTGTTTCTGAGTTATTTCAGAAAAATAGGGCCTCAAATTTCATCTATGTTGCTGGAAAAGAGACGTGATTTCATCCTTTTTTATGGCCACATAGTATGTCATGGTGTATAGGTACCACATTCTCTTTACCTAATCATCCATTGATGGACATTTGATTCCATGATTTTTGCTATTGTAAACAGTGCTGTGATAATCATGAGTGCAGGTGTCTTTATATAAAGCTTTCTTTTCCTTTGGGTCGATGCCCAGTATTGAGATTGCTGGATCCAATGGCAAGTCTATTTTTAGCTCTTTGCAAATCTCTTTCTCTTAACACTTTCATACCTCAGTGGCTTCCAAACTCTGTGAATAGTGGAATCCCTTTTTCAAATGAAAGTTTACATAGAGCCCCAAATACAAAGAAGTTCAAGGAGAGTGGCCGTGGGAAGCAGATGAGGACTTACGAGTCTGCATGTATCCCAGCTCCTTTCTGCTGTCACCCCCAAAACCCCTCATACATGTCCTGGATACTCCATGGAACATAGTTTTAGTGTCTCTGCACAAATATACAAAAGTAATCTCGGTGGAGGGAAAAAACATTTTTTAAGTTAGTTTTACACTTTTTTTTCAAACTTATTTTTAAAAAATAGCAATGTGTCTTTCCCAAATTTAGTATCCATTAGGAAAGAAAGAGTCTAAATTTTAAGTGTATATGTGAATTTCACAGGGAGTCAGACTTAATATTCTCAAAACCAACATCTCTGGGGAAAGCATAAGCCATGGTAAGAGGTATATTTGAGGATCCATAGATAGTTCATGATAGATAGTGATAATCATTCTTTCTATTTTGGACACTACGTTGTGTTAACCTTTATCCATGAGGTAAACGGGTGGATGGAAAAATCTATAGAGTCATTTAAGTTTGAAAAAGGAAAGAAACTTCAAGTTGCAGCTTCCCTATTTAGTATTAGTAGACATGATAGGTAATTTTTTGAGTGTCAACTTGACTGAGTCATGGGATACCCAGATAACAGGTTAAGAATTATTTTCCACTGTGTCTGTGAAGTTATTTCCAGAAGAGACTGGCATTCAAATTGGTGGGCTGAGTAAAGCAGATTGCCCTCTCCAGTGTGGGTAGGCTTTATCTATTCCATTAAGGGCCTGAATGGAACAAAAAGGCAGAGGAAGATTGAACTCACTCTCTCTCGGCCTGATTGCTTGAGATGGGACTTGGTCTTTCCCTGCCCTTAGCTCTCTGGTTCCCGGGCCTTCGGAATGGAACTGGAACCTACATCATTGGCTCTCTGGTTCTCAGGTCTATGAATGACCATCAGCTTTCCTGAGCCTCCAGCTATCAGACAGCAGATGTGAAACTTTCCAGCTCCATAATTGCATAAGTCAATATCATATATATATATATATAGTCATGTGCCACTTAATGACGTTTTGGTCAATGACAAACCGCATTTACAACAGTGGTCCCATAAGATTATAATGGAACTGAAAAATTTCTATCATCTAATAACATCAGAGCTATTCTAACATCATAGCATAATGCATTACTCGTTTGTGATGATGCTGATGTAAACAAACATACTGAGCTGCCAGTCATACAAAAATCTAGCACATGCAATTATTTACAGTACATAATACTTGATTGTGATGATAAATGACTGTTATTAGTTTAGGTATTTATTAAACTATACTTGTACTGTTATTTTAGAGTGTACTCCTTCTATTTATTATTTAAAAAGTTAACTATAAAACACCCTCAGGCATGTCCTTCAGGAGTTTCCAGAAGAAGGCATTATCATCATAAGAAATGACAACTCCGTGAGTATTATTGCCCCTGAAGACCTTCCAGCAGGACAAAATGAGGAGGTAAAAGACAGTGATATTGGTGATTCTGATCCTGTGTACGCCTAGGTTAATGTACAGATGTGTGTCGTTTTAACAAAGAGTCTAATAAATAAATAATTAATTAATCAATTAAAGCTCACTTTGGGAGGCCGAGATGGGTGGATCACTTGAGGTCAGGAGTTCAAGACCAGCCTCGTCAACATGGTGAAAGTCTGTCTCCACTAAAAATACAAAATTAGCTGGGCGTGGTGGTGCACGCCTGTAGTCCCAGTTACTCAGAAGCCTGAAGCATGAGAATCATTTGAACCCAGGAGGCAGAAGTTACAGTGAGCCAAGATTGCACCACTGCACTCCAGCCTGGGTGACAGAGCAAGACTCTGTCTCAGAAAAAATAAATAAATAAGTAAATAAATAAAGTTTATTGAATAAGGATATAAAGAAGATATTTGTGTATAGTTGTACAATATCTTTGTGTTTTAAGCTAATGTTACAAAATACTCAAAAAGTTAAAAAAATTAAAAGTTTGAAAAGTAAAAAGTTACAGTAAGTTAAAGTTAATTTATTATTGAATAAAAATTTAACATATTTAATGTGTCCTAAAGTTTATAGCATATAGTAATGTCTTCGGATTTCTCATACACTCACCACTTATTCACTGACTTATCCAGAGCAACTTATAGTCCTGCAAGCTCCGTTCATGGTAAGTGCCCTACACAGGTGCACCATTTTTTTTTTTTTTTT
Organism: Homo sapiens; assembly: GCF_000001405.40. NCBI lineage: Eukaryota > Metazoa > Chordata > Mammalia > Primates > Hominidae > Homo > Homo sapiens. Next base: position 12,905,511 of record NC_000020.11, read on the forward strand.
TTTTTGAGACAGAGTTTAACTCTTGTTGCCCAGGCTGGAGTGCAATGGCACAATCTTGGCTCACCACAACCTCTACCTCCCAGGTTCAAGCGATTCTCCTGCCTCAGCCTCCCTAGTAGCTGAGATTACAGGCATGCACATGCACCACCACGCCTGGCTAATTTTGTATTTTCAGTAGAGACAGGGTTTCTCCATGTTGATCAGGCTGGTCTCGAGCTCCTGACCTCAGGTGATCTGCCTGCCTCGGCCTCCCAAAGCGCTGGGATTATAGGCGTGAGCCACTGCGCCCGGCCAGGTGCATCATTTTTTATCTTTTGTAGTATATCTTTTTATCTTTTCCTGAACTCTCTCGATGATTAGATATGTTTAGATATACACACACTTAGCATTGTGTTACAATTGCCTACAGTATTCAGTACAGTAACAGGACGTACAGGTTTGTATCCCAGGAGCAACAGACTATGCCATATAGCCTAAGTGTGTAGTAGGCTGCACCATGTAGGTTTGTGTAAGGGCACTCTATGGTGTTCACACAACAACAAAACTGCCTAATGATGCCTTTATCAGAATGTAGCAACATCATTAAATGACACATGACTGTATAGGCATCCTATTTGTTCTGTTTCCCTACAGAACCCTAATACAGTAGATAAAACAAAGAAGGTCAGGAAAATTGGGGGATGAGTCAAAGTACAGGAACTAGTTAGAGATACTAGAGGAGACTGATCAAATCAGACCACAAAGTTATCAGTTAAGACCCCTTCTGACTACGAGCCCCCAGATGTGGAGATGGAGTCTTAAATCCCCAGGAATCAGTGCAGGGCGGCTGCATTTCTTGAAAGATCAGTATTCCTAACTTGATTCATGCAGAACTCACATAAGATTAACTCTGACACAGTGCAGCTGTTGTGTTTTGTTTTCTCTCTCAAAGGGGTGCACGGTGTGGCAATCACTTTGTTCATATTTTTGAATTTCTTGTGAGTAAAATGAATTCAGGGCACTTCATTAACTTTCTTAGCAGAAGAAGTCAATATGGTTACCTGTAAGTAATTAGTCAACCTGGAGAACAGTTCACGGCTGATTGACCAGCAAGTGAAAGATTTAACATAATGGGCAAAAAGAGTACTAGGGCAGCAGTCCTGGGGGCCTGGGCTCAGATTTCACCTCTGTCACTCACTCTGTGTCTCAGTACAGATCCCAACCATATACCTCCACTGCTCTGAGCTTCAGTTTCCTCACCTACAAAATTCAAGGCTGGGAGAATAATATTTATGTCATGAGCTTATAAGGGTTTTTTGAGAAATAAATTTAAAATATATATAAAACTGGCCCGGCGCAGTGGCTCATGCCTGTAATCCCAGCACTCTGGGAGGCCGAGGCACGCGGATTACGAGGTCAGGAGTTCGAGACCAGCCTGGCCAACATGATGAAACCCCGTGTCCACCAAAAAGTTTAAAAAATTAGCTGGGTAGGGAGGCGCGCACCTGTAGTCCCAGCTATCCGCGAGGCTGAGACAGGAGAATCGGTTGAACGTGGGAGGCAGAGGTTGCAGTGAGCCGAGATCGTGCCATTGCACTCCAGCCTGGGCGACAGGGTGAGACTCCATCTCAAAAAAAATAAAATAAAATAAAATAAACAAACAACAACAAAAAATATATATATATGTAAAACTTTCTTACATAGAGCCTAGAACATACTAGGAGCTCAATAAATTATACCCATCATAACTAATTAAAAATAAAGAGTATTTTTCCCCCATTAACCAGTAGTGGGAATAAATGACAACTAAGAGTGAAGAAGAGATAAGACCAAGAAAGACCAAGTAAAATGAAGCAGCAAGCTAAGATCCTTTAAAGCAGGGCCCTCCTTGTCAAAAAGATGCCTCCCACATGACTTCATGGCTGTAGTGGGCATGTGCCATGTATGTGACTACCCAGCTTGTTTGACGTGGCCTTTCTATTTTTTGGATAATTTCTCCTCTTTTAAGTCTGCCACCCTTAGGTAGGAGCTATAATCATTTATTTGCTTGTAATTATGGCATGGACATGTGACCTCAACCCCATTCCATCACACATTCCCAACTTGGACTTGGAAGAGAAAGCAGTTGCCATGGGGAACCCATTCTCTGCTGAGGGTGAATAATTGTGGCAGAGAGAATGCCTGCTTCAGAGGAAACAGTAGCTGAGATAGCACCCCACAGAGAGTAAAACCTGTAGGGTTGGTGCCTGATGGTGGCAGAACTTTGGTCTCTCTTAGGGCAGCCATTGGTGTCATTTGGCCATCATTCCGGACTGCATAGGCTCCATGTCTAATTCTCTTACATTCTATAATGCTACAAGCTATTTAGTATCTTGGCATAAGTGTATTTTATTATTTAACTGGTAGAGTGGATTCTGCTATTTGAAACCAAGAATGCCGCCAACTACTTGCACTCAAGACCACCATTGCATCGCAGCCCAGAAAGGAGTGCTCAGTAAATATTTGGCCAGTCAATGAGAGTTCATAAAAATGAATTACTGAAAACAAAGAAAGAGTTTAATAGGTTCAGAAAACTGGGACTTAAAAGTTATGATACATTATAAAAAGTTTTCCATTTTGGAAAATGGTTAATGCAAAAATTTAGGAGAGGTCATGAAAGACTTTGTGCTTTCCGTTTTACATGCATTATGTCTTCAAATCAACTTCAGTTATCTAGAACTTGATGACTCAAGTACCACCAACTTGTTGCTTTTAGTCACAACACAGGCACCAGGTGCTATTGTCATAGACAGGAGGGGACTAGCAACCATCTGTAGTCTATACTCTAACCCAGAAGATAAAGATGTAAACAGTGTGAGGGTGGGAAAGAATTTTCTCATTGCCTATAAGCATATCAGAATGAAATAATTAATTTATTTCTGTCCCTTAATCATTATGGTTTAAAAATAACCAGTCATTAATGTCTTCATTATTTTTATTCAACAAATATTTATTTATTCTAGGACTACCAAGTACCTGATACTATGCTAGAAATAATTAGAAATAATTAACAGTTAATAATATATCACCTGCTACTGGTTTGATTAAATTCAACTCAGAGTGTTCTCTCTGAAATTGCTTAACGGAAATCCAACTTGGGTGTTAACTAAAGTCTTCTAGCTCCTTAAGGCTTTGGTGAGATTGACTCAAATCTCTGTGCATGTTCTGGAAAGTTACAAATCCTCACCCAACCAAAAAGAATTGTAAATTCTATTTCCCTCTGGCTTCTACTTTCAACCTTGTGTGAATTATACACTTTCCATTACATATTTTGGAACTTTTTTTTAACCAAAAGTGAAACTCATAGTTTTCCCCTGACTGCCACCTCCGCTACCAAAGAATCACATTTACATAAGACCTTTATATGTATAGCGATTTGGGGAGAGAGGGATGTTTATATTACAGCAATGCAAATAACTTTGAAATGAATATTTGCCATTTGAGCTTCAAAATCCTTCTATTCTCTTGCAATAAGGCTCAGCCAGCCCATCACCTCTATTTCTCTTTCCCTTCTTTTTGTCCCTGTGTCCTCTAATTCTCATATATTTCTATATAGCAAAATAGCTAAGATATCAGGCTTTGGAACCAGGCCTCTGGGGTATGGATTCCAGCTCTATCCATTACAATTCGTGTGCCCTTGGGCAAGGTACTTTAGACCTGTGGGCCACACTTTCCGTGTCTGTGAAATAGGAACCACCCTAGTTCACAAGTGATTTGTAAAGTGAGTTAACATATATAATGTTTTTTAAAGTGAGTTAATACACATATGTAGCCCCTAGCACGTATGAGTGCATGCAAGCATTAGGACTTTCATTATTGTTAATATGGAGGGTTCAATTATCTTCTTTATTGGTGCTATCACATGGACTAACCCATCTCACATTCTGGCCTGAAAAATGTTTGTAAATAATTTTTCTTCCCTAAGAGGAATTTTCTTTCCATTTGCTAAGGTACTATCTGTTACTGGCCTGTGTGTAAGGGCTCAATTAGTAGTCCACCCAAGTACTTGGTTTCGAAAGCAGATGGCCTGAGTTGAAGCCTGGTACCACTCCTTACGACCTCCCTCTTGCCCCTTAAGCAACTTATCACTCCTGATGCTTCAGTTTCTTCATCTATAAAAAGGGGAATGATAATATCACCTATTCCAAAGTATTGTTTTGAAGATTAAATAAGTTAATACTTTGAGAAAGTAAACATTAGCTTGGACTGAGAAAGTAAAAATGTCTGGCCATTCATCAGGCTTGGATAACAGACAAAAGATGAAAACAGCTGCAAAGTTAACAGCTAATGATATTTCTTGCAAGGACACACCACTCTTGTAAAGTGTCATAAAACCCTCTTCGTTGGGTGACATCTGCTTTCTTATTTAGTGAGAAACTTTGTTCTTCAAAGTCATAGACTATCAGAAATGTGATGTTGAAATCACATCAGTATGCATGAAACATCTCTCTCTTGGATTGCTTGGTTGCTTGGTTTGGGCTTCAGTTTTTTTAAACACACATTTATTATCCCACAGTTTCTGTAGGTCAGAAGTCTGGGTGGGCTCCCTTGGCTCTTCTGCTAAGGGTCTCATAATGGTAAAATCAGAGTATTGGCCAGGCTGCATTCTTTTCTGGAGGCTCTGGGGAAGAATGTTTCCAAGATCATTCAGGTTGTTGCCCAAATTCAGTTCCTTGCAGTTGTAGGACTAGGGTCCCATTTCCTTGCTGGCCGTGTGAGCCTACTGGTCTCTGTTCTTGGAGGTTTCCCATAAAAACATCCCCCTCTTACCTGGAAGATTTCAGCTATTTTAACATTAAAAAAAAAAAAAAAAAAAGCAGCCCAGAGTTAACAACTCATGTGCAAACCTTCAAATAAGAGGTTTCTGGCTGCAATATTTTACATCTACCTTAACTTTGGTATTTCAAAGTAATTAACAGGACCTTAACAGGACCAACCCTGGGTCTACTTTGTGTCCAGATATAATGTTGATCCATTAAATATGGCACTGCTTTGCTTTGAGCCCATCAGAATACTACTTTAGTTTAATCTTGCCTAAAACTCCACCTTTCTCCAAAATCCTGTAATAACTGCATTGGTTCCTTTATTTGGTAAGATGCCCCACACTTCCTCTGATGTGTGCTCTCCCTCATTGCAATGAATCAGCAACCCAACTTAGTGGGACTAGGAGCTTGTCCCTGGTGGTCTTAGACTGATTGAGCTGGAAGAACTTAAATTGCTTTGAACAGAGACTGCCAAGTGGCAATACTCAATTTAATCTTCTCTATAACAACAAATACAATGATAATAACTATTACTAGTAGTATAAACTCTGTGGGTAAATACAAATAAAAGGACAATGATGCTGTGCCAAGGATGGAAGCTGCAGATAAGGCAGTTGGAGAAAACAAACAAACCACCATGTACTGTGTCTACAGAAATCCCTCAAACTGCAAAGATTTTCCCAAGGCAAATTTCCACTTCAGAAACCTCACTCGGTGTCATGTGACAATACCCTCGGTGCTGGTGGAAGAGGTTCGCTCCTTTGAAATGCTTTTTCAACATGCAACGTGGTTTTATGTTAACACTTCTGGACTATGAGCTGGAACAGTGAAGCCACAGTAAGACTTTAAAATGGATTTAAAAATCGGCCCCAAGATTAAGTAGAAAGATAAATTAATCTTAGAACTGTCTCTCACCCTTTCTTACTGAAAATGTGATTTTAAAAATATTTTTAGTAATAATTATTGATAATCCTAGCATAATGTAAAAGGGCCTGGGCTTTGGGGGATATTTTAAAAACATGCCAGAGGTTGCTCAGAGCATCCTCCCTCCCCATCTTTCTGGCCCATTTAGGTCGTATCTCTCTCATTTGGACAGTTAATCTTCAGTGTTTTCCAAACACTCAGTTTACAAAGATTGGGTCAATGTCTCGCAACGTTTGGAATCTTAATAGACTCTTAATAAATATCTGTTTGAAAAAATGAGTGGACTCTGATATGTGCTTCAAATGGTATACCACCCCCTAGAAATGTAAGTATGAGAGAAAATGCTGACCTGGAAATTATAAAAGGCAACCAGAGAGTAGTGTAAAAGTCGTTCAGACATAAGTAGATAAGACTTGCCCTAGGGCCACAGAACAACAAAACGTTTCTTATTGTTTGTCTGGTTTTTGTTTTGTTTTGTTTTGTTTTTGCTGTTGTTGTTTGTTAACTCAGTGTAGACAGAGCAATTCAGCTCACTTTAATTGGCTAAGTCGATCACTCTGTTAGTTTTCAGGTCAACTATCCTGCCTTCCTTAACTTTATGGGTATCTACCAGTAAATGCTTGATGGATGAATTTCCACAGTGTGTTCGGTTTGCTTTCAACCAAGCTCTATTCAGACTTATATGTATGTACACTTCTAATATTCAATTTTTAATTTTCTTAAGCTAACAAATAACTATTATTCACAGCAAATACTTAAGCAAATATCTGATTCACCAGTATGCTATTTAGTCTTTTCTGTTGCTGTTTGATCATTTATTTAAGGGGGAAACATTTAGGATATAACAAAATATACAAAGAACAGTACAGTGAACACCCAACTTAAGTAATAAAACAACAATCCGATTGAAATCTCCATCTCTGATTACAGACCCATCTATCCCAAGAGGTATCAATAATATTTAATTTGGGGATTATTGTTTCCATATATTTTTCTAAAACATTTGTAATTATCCATTTAAAAGTATATACAGTTTGTTTGCTTATTTTAGTCTAACTGGTATAATAATTTATTTCCTCCCCCAAAAAATGTTTAATCAATAATATCGTTTTGAGGTTTATCCCTCATGATATGTGTAACTCCTATACAGTATTCTATTATATGACGTTATCTGAATATACCAACAGTTTATTCCCTCTTAAATGAGTAAGTTGTTTTCTTTTTCCTTTTTCCTTTATTTATTTATTTATTTTTTGCTATTGTAAACAGTAATGTTACGAGAATTCTCATTCAGGCCTTCCAGGGGCTATGTGCAAGTTTTCTATGGTACACAGTTAAAAAGGGTAATAAAGATACTATTACAGTTACTACAACAACTACTACTAGTGATAACAAGGCTAACTTTTATTAGCCTATTTGTTTTAAAGTTATTAACTCATTTAATCCTAAGATTTCTATGAAGTAGATACAATTATTAACTCCAATTTACCAATAAGGAAAACATTTTGGGGAATTATTAGTTGTAGAATGAACATTCTCTTTTTTTTTTTTTTTTTTCTTTTTTGAAACAGAGTTTTGCTCTTGTTGCCTAGGCTGAAGTGCAATGGTGGAATCTCGACTCACTGCAACCTCCGCCTCCTGGGTTCAAGCGATTCTCCTGTCTCAGCCTCCCGAGTAGCTGGGATTGAATGAACATTTTCTGTCTTACAGAAATATTACCAAATTGTTTTCCTGGCTTCTTACAAAAATGTATATTCCCATCAGGAATATATACAACTTCCTGTTGCTCTACATTCTCACAAAAACTTAGTATTGGCAGACTTAAAATTTGTCTTCAAATGTGTACGTAGAGATAGATGTAAAGAGATATAGTCACTGAGTGTTTGAAACACAGATCAAGAAAGACTAAAGAGGTAGACTGAGATTGACATAGGAACAAATCAAAAGGAAGGCAAGCCTATGGAAGGAAACTGGAATATTTCACCCCCAAATATACTTTTTTAGCATATTTCAAGATGGATACTCAGAAGGGCTGCAAACCACAGAAATATCTTGAAATGCTGTCTTTTTGGGGCGGAGTTTTGCATCTGGAAAGGGAATCTGCACTAACGAAGTGAACAGCAGATACAAACAGGTTTTCCCTGAGGCCCTCCTTGTCTCCTTGTCCCAACCTAGGAATGATTAGCTCACAGAAAAAAAGAGACTAAAAGTCTGAAACATTTAAGGGTCTGCCAGAGAAACTTCTACCACAGGCTCCCATCTATTCTTTCTGAGGGCAGCTCTGAGATTTGTCATCTCCATAGCAAAGCAGCCATGGCTTCCTCCCTTACTCTCATCCCACCTCCCTCCCAAGAAACAATAAGTCTCTACTCTTGCTGTAACCTTCCAATGTAACCTCCAAACTCAGCCATCTGGCTTTTCTTTGAATCTCATACTTCGTGTCTGGCCCCTGTGTCAATATGCACTTTAATATATTTGTGTTCCACTTTTTCCTATTAATCTGTCTATTGTTAATCTGTCAGTTTGTTTTGTAGACTCAATTTGTCAAGCCTGAAGAAAGAGAAGGAAAAAAATTTCTCCTCACCCCTACATTATTTCAGGAATTAGGAAAGGTGGGCAAAGTAGTCAAGAGTTAAAAACTCAACAAAAACACCTCATCTGAAGCTTGACACTTAATTGATAGTCTTAAACATGCCTGTCCAAGCAATAGAGTCATACACATGCTAATTCTTCATTTCCCCAGCACTCATTCAGCTGTCAAAGACTACAGGGGGATATCTGAATTAAAGATCAGAGAATAGAAAATTCCTTTATCTCTAACTCTCAATTCTTCCCTACTTTTAACATTATGACTTTTCAATAGATGCTGTGTCCCTAAGCACCTCTACTCTCTCCTTTTTGTTATGAATAATTCAAATAGCACAGAGCAAATCAATAACACTCTTTTAAACCTAAAGTTATCACTTTTTCAGCAGCATTCATTCATTTTCTTTTGTTTCCTCTAGGAGAAAGAAATGTTTGTTATGTATGCTTGATCGATGGGCAAACATTCCCAAACTATGAACACAAAGAGATTAAAGGCCTTAGTACAAATCGGACTACACCCCCTGCAAAAAAAAGTATATAACTTACTAGGCCATTAGAGACACTCATTTTCACTAGTTCATTAGCATTAACCCTCTAAGACCAAAGGAACCTTAAGGTAGCACCAACTGGAAAATCTCCAGAGTGTGGGAAGTAGGCTTCTCACTGTAGCTACTATAGATTCCTTCCTCATCAAAGTGCCTTCTGTATTCAGCAGATTGTAGAGAAAGGTATGAAAACATGCTGGACCTGATCAAAGGGTAAGACTTGTTTTACTAAAAAATAAATTCAGGCCATGAAATGTTAAGATAGGCTCTAACAACAAAATAAACTATGTTTTACTCATGCATCCTATGTTTTTGTGGCAAACTCCTTTACACACTGAAAGACTTGAAGATACTCTCACCTCCGTAAAACACTATGCCTTAATTCTCAAGGAGAGAATTTTAGAGCTCTGGAAATTCCGGGTTCCTACTAGAGTTGATTTAAAAATTGTTACTGTCTATGAACCACCTCCTCTGATCTTGCAACCCCAGAAAAAAGCATTGCAATAGCAACAACAACAGCAACAGAATCTCCCTTCTTTCATTTCTCAGTCCCATTCCATTTTGTTATCGCCTGAATTTCTAAAATACCAGCCAGGATCACCAGTGGAAAATACAAAGAATATTCAACATCTCTTTCTGGCACTCCAATTTCAAAGACAAGCCCTCGTTCGGTGTCACTGTTACTGATAAAACCACTTCAGCTCAGGGATGGAAGAATGCCTTGTTACTTCCTCTTCCTGAAGCAAAGTAAACATGTTTCATGGCAGATCGTTGGTAGTTGAAAAGATTTGCAAGCTACTTAATGATTACAAACCAGCTTTTATTCTTTCATAAGGTGGGCAGAATCTTCCACTGTAATTTTCAAACAAAAAACGAATACTAGTAATTTTAAAAGAAATTTCTCTCCATTTGATTCTTGATCAAACCATGATGTAACTATTCTCCATTAGAAAATTGATTCTGAATCCTTTTAAATTACCCCATGACTTATTCACAGCTATAATTGTGATTCCAAGAATACTCAACAACTTCTAAAGAATATTCCAATTAGTAGTAGTTGAATTTTTTCTCAGAAGACAATGTCTTTTAAAATAATTTAGTGTGAGGTTAAGATATCAGGAGGTATGTTGTTATGCAAAATGTGTTTATCCTGAGACAGATGTCTAGAGGAGCCATCTAGAGCTTGTCTTGGTTTTTGTTTTTGTTTTGTTTTGTTTTGAGATGGAGTCTCACTCTTGTCGCCCAGGCTGGAGTGCAATGGCGTGATCTCGGCTCACTGCAACCTCCACCTCCTGGGTTCAAACTATTCTCCTGCCTCAGCCTCCTAAGTAGCTGAGCTTACAGGCATGCACCACCATGCTGGGCTAATTTTTGTACTTTTTTAGTAGAAACAGGGTTTCACCATGTTGGCCAGGTTCATCTCGAACTCCTGACCTCAAGTGAACCACCCAGCCTTGGCCTCCCCAAGTGCTGGGATTACAGGCGTGAGCCACTGCGCCTGGCCTTGTCTTGTTTTTAAAGAGTTTGTGACGGGTGGGAGAGGTCCAGAGAAAGACCAAGGTTTGGGGGGTGGGAAGGAATGCAGAGTGACAAAAGAAAGGGAGAGGAAGCAAGGAGGAGAAAGAACAATGGAGAGAACGGAAAATAAAGTAGACTGCATTTCATCACAGCTCCTCCTGATTAATGAATATGATAAGAAACTGATAATTGTCCTTAAGGAAGCATACAATTTTCATTTCTTTAGCACATTTGAGATCTATTTCTTTGGAACTACACTAAACTCCAGAATATCAGTATAGATACATCAGTATCAGGAAAAGCTGCTGCACCCAAAAATGCTAACTAAATAATGATTTAATTTTAGAAAAAGAACTAGCTATACACACACACACACACACACACACACACACACACACACACATCTACCAAAATAAACTAAGACCTCTCTTGATCCTCAACTCTCTTCTGTGTGGTCCATTGGCTGTAGGACATAATCGTTGTAAGAACAAGCTGCTGGATTTCAGGTACAACTGTTAAATGAGATAATACATCCACAATTATCAGGAGCTGACAATGGGAAATTGATATTATTGGCCATTGGTGGATTACTCCAGAAACAGACCTGAGATAAGAATTTAAAAGGGGTATTTAGCTTATTGGGGCAATAAAGGAAACACCAGGAAGAGGAGTGGGGAAGAAGGACAGGGAGAACATCATCAATAAAGAATGTCTTGTCAAACCGGCTGTCACAGAGCATGCCTGGGGAAAGTCTGGGGACAAGTACAAAACACAGTCCTCAGAATTAGATTATCTAAGGAGGGATGGAGCTAGGGAATGCATACACTAAGTTCTATAAGTCATTGGTTGAGGGCTGCTTGGATGAGGGGAGGAGGTGCATTATATCCCAGTCATCTCCAATTGGCAAAAGAGGCTTCAATGGCTACAGAAAGCCTCAGGCAAAGCAATTCAGATACTGGCAGGGGAATGTGGGCCCTGGGCCCTGTGAACTGTGGCTGCAAGGGCAAAAGGGTACAGGAGCATGACACCATCTGCTGACTACTCATGCAGGAACTCAACACTGCTGAGTATAAGGAAAGAATTACCCCACATTCCACAGAGCACCTGACTGAAACATTGTGCGGGTCATCTCTTTCAAAGGCAGGCTATTAAGCCCCAGGAGTTGGAGGACAATTGAATTTGATGTGACCAACTCAGCTTGCTTTCCACTCTCTAGCAAGATGCCCAAAGAGAACATGATGAAGCTCCACTCAAGTTACAGAGTTTGGACGTGCTTTGTCTTTTCATTTCTCAAGATGGATCTAAAGTCATGAAAATGTGTCCTTTGTTCTATAATCCTCATCTCGCAGAATCCTCACATCACACTATGTGAGCAAACATCCAATTATAGGATACAGAATTTGGCTGGCCTTTCCCACTGGTTCCTGGGAGGAAACCTCTAAACCCTTGGAATTTCTTGAGTAATAGGTACGTCTGTGTTATTCATGAGGGGTGTACTGGACCACACTGAGTTTGCACTAAAGAGGTGATTCATGGAAGACCCTCAATATCGTTTCAGGATGGGGTATCATGCTGCAAAAACCAACCACATTATTAGAAGGCTGGGGTTTTGAGCCACGTGATATCAGTCCAATTTCTTTAGAGAGAATTGGAGCTGAAGATTGAGTGCAACTATGTAGACAATGATTCAATCAAATATGCCTACATAATGAGACCCTAATAAAAGAAATCTGGACACCCGAGGCTCAAATGAGCTTCCCTGGTTGGTAATTATACATTGATGTGTTAGCGGAGGACAATGAGTCCTGAGGACTTGTAAGTTTCCCACTTGGGACCCTACCAGACATCACTCTGTGCATCTCTTCATTTGACTATTACTCATTTGTTTCCTTTATAATAAAACTATGATAGTAAGCATAGTGATGTTCTTGGTTCTTAGTTCTAGCAAATTATCAGAAATGGCTCAGGAACTCCCAAGCTTGCAGCTGGTGTCTGAAGTGAATTTAGTCTTGTATAGAACTTTGTTCTTCACTTGAAAATTTGACCTAACTTCAGACAGTTACAGTCAGAATTACACTGCGTAGCCCAAAATGTTATGCAATTCTTTTAAGATCTTTTGAGTGCTAAAGGGAGCAGAAGTTAACACAGGTCTTCCTTGTTCAAATCACAAGTGCTTTTCACTTCACCTGGCTGAATTTTGGGCTATTTCAGGAAAGGTTCAGGCTAGGTTCAGGGAAAACTCCAATAAAAGCGGCTTAAGATGTCCAAGAATATGATGAAGTACGTAATGTTTCCAAAAAAAATAAACAAAATTTGTTTCAACAAATAATTATCTATAAAGACAGCATGCAGATACAATTATGCCTGAATCTGTTCTTAAGCTCCTGTAGCCTAAAAGTTAATCTAGAGAACTTTGCTGATACTTCTCTAAAATTAAATATTGAGCCAGCTTGAGTTTTTCCTTATAGCATCACTACCATTATGCTTTGACATTTTCACAGATTCACTGATTTTTGTTTCACTTTCTTTAGCAAAAGAGCATGAAGTACATCCTCTTGCTCACATTAATCTCAAATGTGCAGAACAATAATATGTTTTTATTTATCTATAATTGAATTCATGTTTCTCACAACTACCTGCCTTCTGGGGGTGTGTGTCGTGTGTGTGTGTGTGTGTGTAGCATTTTATTTTGTAGGGGAGAGTATAGATGATTTGTATAGATTTTTTAAGTCATCTTTTTGAAGTATATATATACAGAAATATGTACAAATCATATGTGTCTAGCTGGGTGATTTTTCCCAAAGTAAACACACCTGCATAACTGGCACCCAGATCAAGAAATAGAACATGAACAGCACCCCAGAGCTCCCATGGCACCCTATCTTGGTCAAGATGGTAGGGGGTGATATAAACTTTCATATCTGCCTTCAGAGTCCTTGGCAGTGGTCTCTGGGGCAGAGGTCATTCTTCTGCCATCAGCTGCTGACATCTGTGGCCAGCACAACTGAGTAGCACCCATCAGTGGTCTCTGCTGACTGGGCCCCACGTCAGCTCTGGTTGGTGCTGTGAGCCCCTCCCGCCCCAGGAATACTATGGTGATTCTCCTGTGATTCTGGCTCACGTGGTCACTTGGCAGCCCTCCAGGACAGAACCCACACTCCATCACAGTGACACCCTCTGGAAGTATCCTCCACTATTTTCCCAACTATTTCTCCTTTCCTTCTTTGAGAAGGGGAGTTAGGTGGGGTGGAAACACTTCATGTTTCAGCCATGCCATGCCCAAACTCAAGCCCTCGCTCCTTCTGCCTAACAATGCAGTACCATGAAAACTGCTTATATGGGACCACTCCAGATTGGGGGCAGGGCATTCTTGGAAGCAGCTCTTTGTCTTGAGATAGGATACTACCAGGACTCATTTTGTCTCCCAGTCCAAATTGGAAACCTGCCAAAACTGAAACTGCAAGTGGCAGGAAAGCAACCTTTCACTACTGCCAAGACACTACCCTACCGCCGTGCCATGACAGTTTACAAATGCCATGGCAATGCCCACAAGTTGCCACCCATTTCTATGGCAAAACCCAGAGGTTACTCCCCATTTTCTAGTGATTTCTGAATAACCTGTCCCTTAATTTGTATGTCATTAAAAGTGGGTATAAATACCACTGCCAGCATCCCATGTGGCTACTCTCTGTGCACTGCCTATGCGCTAACCCTGAAATCACAGAGTTGTAATACAGCTGCTTCAATATAGCTCCTTTCTTCCACCACCAGCTCTCTCTTGAATTCTTTTGGGAGTGAAGCCTGCTCTACATCAGTTTTAGAGCAACAATTAGATACTCCTGTCTACTTCCCTCTGTTCTTGCCTAACACCAAGTTGATGATGGCCATATGCAGAGACAGAGGCTTGCAGAGTCCATCCAGCGTAATGTGGAAGCATGCTGCATACCCAGCTGGATGAGCTTAGGAAAACCTGGCCCCTCCACAAGATCCAACCTCATCTCAGAACAGATCTCAGGCACCTGACCTATTACTCTCTCTGTTTCCTTTCCTTCTTTTAACCTTGATATTATGGGCCTAGAAGCATGAGTCTTCAAACTTTCCTTTATTCCATATCATATCCTTCTACTCCAGGACATTAACTCTCCTATCTGAGCTTCTTTTTCCTTCACTTGGTTTATCTGTCTCCCATCCTAGTGGCCATAAACAAAAAGAGTATCCTCACTACCTTGGAAAAATATTGATAAGAGTCCTCCAAAGTTAGGAAATACATTATGGCCCAGTAAAACCTGATTTTCAAGAGTCTGGCCTTATAGGAGGGATAAGAGAAACATTACATTTCATGTCAAGAGCTGAATATTACTTTTTTCTCCTTAAATATCTTCTGTAATAATCCTAATCCTAATTTCCTCACTCCATTTTTCTCCTCTGAAACCAAAGAAATAAAAAATAAAAATGCTTTAGAAAGAAAAGGGAAAAGCCATATACACAGAAACATACAATTGAAAAGCATACCCACATAGTTTAAAATATCAATCATATAAGAGAAAAAAATGCATTAATGTAAAATATACAGTGAGGGATTTCAGCCAATGTACCTGCATGTATATAGTACCACACTTGGTAACTAATTCATCAACTCTAGAAGCACTGGGTTAAGGAACTCTGAAAACAAAAGGGAGATAATAATGTCTCCCATTTATGTGGTTATACATAGTTTATAAACTGTAGTGTTTTGTAGTTTATAAGATGCTTTTGAACACTTGCCTTATTTTAACTTCACATGACCCCTGTGGGATATGTTTTACCATCTTCATTTGGAGGCCTAGAGCAGTTCAATTACTTGCGACCCACATACAGCTATAATGTGAGAACAAAAAAACAGTGTATTCAAAACATGTCTTGCTTGTGGTTCTAAAGGTAGAAATGAAATGGGTATTTGGGGCAAACTGTCTTGTTTTTCCAAAGAGATATTTTTGTCACGTTGTTTCAGTTGTTCAGGTGATAACAAGCACAAGCCCACTCCATGTGCCCTAGAAACACTCAACAGGGGAAGTAAGCTACATGCCAACTGTGCATGCCTGAAAGAAATGCCCTACTTAGGAAAACGTAAAAGGCCACCATCTTCCCAACTTCTCAGTAGAGTGCTCCCCTTGAAACTATTGTGATGTGCATTGACACTGTGTTTTCTAGACAGGGATCAGAGGCAGGGGTTGTACATTTCCCACTCTGAAGGCCATTAAAAGCTTCAACTCTCAGAGTGGGAAGCAGAGAGGTTCCGAGAGAAGAAACAAGTTCTAGGAAATTCCAGGAAAAGGGTATCCTGGTATTTTATCTTAATTTTCCCTTTTCTGCATTGAAATTCCCTTGTGTTATCAGGAGTCAGTGAGGTCTGTTGTGTTCAAAAGCTACGGGTTATTTGTTCTTGGGAAATCATCTTTTGTACAATGCTTTGGGAAAACAGACCAGAGATGATAATTATGAAGTAGAAAAGGGATCACAGGCTTCAGGAAGAGATAGAGGGAGGGGATTGAGCCTCAGCCTGGAGCAGGAGATACTGAAGGCGCAAGTGGACCCATGGAACCTTCCAGTATTCCTCAGGGTTCCCAGAAACCTGCTATCACCCATATGGGGCTCAGACTTGGGGCCCCTAGACAGTAAAGAAAAGGGGGCGATATTTTTGGATCTGCATCTCCAACAAATCTCATGTCAAATTGTAATCCCCAGTTTTGGAGGTGGGACCTAATAGGAGGTGATTGGATGATGGAGGCAGGGTTCTCATGAATGAGTTAGCACCATCCCTCTGATGATGTTCTTATGAAAGTGAGTGAGTTACCATGAGATCTGGTTGTTTAAAAGCATGTAGTACCGCTCCCCTTCTCTCTCTTGGCCCTGTTTCTGCCATGTAAAATATCTGCTCCCACTTTGCCTTCCACCATGAGTAAAAGCTCCCTGAGGCTTCCTCAGAAGCAGATGCCACTTTGCTTCCTGTATAGTCTGCAGAACTGTGAGCCAGTTAAGCCTCTTTTCTTTATAAATTGCCCAGTCTCAGGTATTTCTTTATAACAATGCGAGAACTTACTAATACAGAAAATTGGTACCAAGGAGTAGAGCATTGCTCTAAAGACACCTGAAAGTGTGGAAGCAGCTTTGGAACTGGGTAACCAGCAGAGGTTGGAAGAGTATGGAGAGCTCAGAAGAAAACAGGAAGATGAGAGAAAGTTTGGAACTTCCTAGAGACTTATACATTTGTTTTGATTACAATGCTAATAGTGATATGAACAATACAGTCCAGGTTGAGGAGGTCTCAGATGGAGATGAGGAACTTATTGGGAACTGGAGCAAGTCACTTTTGTTATGCATTAGCAAAGAGGTTGGCTGCATTGTGCCCCTGCCCTGGGGATCTGTGGAACTTTGAATTGAGAATGAGGATTTAGAATATCTAGTGGAAGAAATTTCTAAGCAGCAAAGTGTTCAAGGTTTGGCCTGGCTGCTTCTAACAACCTATCTCATATGCACGGGCAAAGAAATGACCTAAAACCAGAACTTATATGTTAAAGGAAAGTAAAGACTAAGTTTGGAAAATCTGTGGCCAGGACATGTGGTAGAAAAGAAAAGCCCGTTTTCAGGAGACAAAGTCAAGTGGGCTGCAGAAATTTGCATAAGAAAAAAGGAGCCACACAGAGTCCCCATGGGACACTTCCTAGTGGAGCTATGAGAAGAGGGCCACCATCCTCCAGACCCTGGAATGGTAGATCCAGCAGCAGCTTGCACCATGCATCTGGAAAAGGCACAGGCACTCAATGCCAACCCATGAGAGCAGCCACAGGGGCTGAACCCTGCAAAGCCGCAGGGGCGGAACCGCCCAAAGCCTTGAGACCCCTCCCCTTGCACCAGTGTGCCCTGGATGTGAGACATGGAGTTAAGGGAGATTATTTTGGAGCTTTAAGATTTAATGACTGCCCTGCTGGGTTTCAGATGTGTGGGGCCTGTAGCCCTTTTCTTTTGGCTGATTTCTCCCTTTGGGAACAGGAGTATACCAATGCTTATACCTTCATTATATCTTGGAAGTAACTAATTTGTTTTTTATTTTACAGGCTCATAGGCAGAAGTGACTTGCCTTGTCTCAGATGAGACTTTGGACTTTGAAGTTTTGATTTAATGCTGGAATGAGTTAAGACTTTGGGGAACTGTTGACAAGGGATGATTGTATTTTGCAATGTGAGAAGGACATGAGATTTGGATGGGGCAGGAGGTAGAATTCAGTGGTTTGGATCTGTGTCCCCACCAAATCTCATGTCAAATTGTAAACCCTTATGCTGGAGGTGGGGCCTGGTGGGAGGCAATTGGAACATGGGGGCAGAATTCTCATGGATACATTGACATTATCCCCTCAGTGCTGTTCTCATGAGAGTGGGTGAGTTTTCATGAGATCTGGTTGTTTAAAAGTTTATGGCACCTCCCCCTCTCTCTCTTGGTCCTGCTCCTTCCATGTAAGACACTTCCTCCCACTTTGCCTTTAACCATGAGTAAAAGCTCCCTGAGGCCTCCTAGAATAAGCTGCTGTGCTTCTGGTACAGTCTGTGGAACTGTGAGCCAATTAAACCTCTTTCCTTCATAAATTACCCAGTCTCGGGTATTTCTGTATAGCAATGCAAGAACTGACTCATACAAGGGGGCTCCTTTAATGCAGGGAACCTGGGTTATAACTACAAATAACAGAAAGGATTCCGGTGTCTGAGTCTGTGTCTCTATCTACCCTTCTTACCTGTGTGCCAAAGAGGCAGGAGGGTGATTCTGAAAGTAAAAAGCTCACCGCCAATATTTTATTTTAGTACAAGAAAAGAGATTAATACTATGGATGTAGAGAAAGCAAGAGCTTGGAATCTAGAAACGACTTAGATCCCACCATGCCCTTACCAGCTATGCAATCTCAGATGGGCCACTCAATCCCACTGACAGTCAATTCTCTCATCTGTGAAATGAGTGTACCAATGCTACTTTATAGGCAGCTTTGTCAGGATTAAATGAAGTAATTTAGAAAAAGTACTTAGCAGGGTGACTGGTTGCCTGGCCCTTAATAAGTATTTCATGAGTTCAATTCTGTGCCAAAGATAAAGTATTGCTCACCAGCTAATTGGCCATTGTTCAAATTTTTTTAAGCAAAATGAAAACTTCAAGCTTATTAGAATTAAAATGCTCTGACCCCTTGTATTTTGGAATTATAAAAGATATTGTTTCTCAAAATAATGGTGGTGGGAGGGGTGGGGGGAACCCTCTGTTTGCTTAGGGCCATCTTCCAGCTCTTATCAGGTGGCATTTGCATTAGTCTGGTGGTAAATCCGTCCAGGATGCTGAATAAACAACTGCTTGCCTTTAGTTGGATCTTCAATTACATCAGATATGTGACCTGATGTCTGGAAGCCCTGGGCTGCCAAGGACAGAACAGTCTCTGTGAGGTGATTTAAAGGAGATCTTTGTTCCCTGGCCCCCAAATGTCTTTGTCCCATTATTTCTTGCAGTCTGACATGCTCCCTTTAAACCCCAAAGGCTTTCTGTGTTCAAGAGCTCCTTATCTATTGTTATGCAAATGTCCCTGGGAAAAACAATAATAATTCTTCATCGGCTAATATTTCAAGGAGAACTATAGCAACAAATGCTAACAATTTCTTGGAAGCTCAGATGTAGGAGAGGTATGTGTAAGATAAGGAAGAAGGGGTTGGGGGAAGAGTGAGTTATCTCTAAAAGGGGAGGTAGATGAGAAGGATGGGTTTTAGAAGTAGATAAGCCAGCTTCAGTTTCCCAGGAGCCAATCTCTAGAGCCATGATTTCTGTTTCCTCATTCATAAGGCAGGAAAGACAAAATTTACCTCACTAGGGTGGTTTTAAAGATTAAATGAGACAACATGCAGACTGCTTGTTCCTATGCATTCAAAGGAAGTGGTGACCATTAACTCCGCCTCCAGGCTGTAGGTTCTGAGGGACTAGGATGCAAGATCCCATCTGCCATTTGCTCACTGTGACCCTGGCCATCACTTGGCTTCCACCTGTGTAAAATGGGAAAAAGGTGTTTTCCTAGTCATTAAAAATGTAATATATGAGGCACAGCTTATTAATTTCTAGGTAGAAAACTATACGATTACTCAAGTCAATTGCATGTCATTGCTAATTTAAAGAAAAAGATAATCAATTGATTTTGGGTGAACAGTTTTAATTTGAAGCAGGATTAGTCAAGATAACAATGTATTTTAGCCAGAAATAAATTTAAGTCTGTAGTCATTAGAGTTAAAATATTCTTTCTAATAGCTATACAGTACAGAAAAAGACTGCTGAAGAAATTTGACATGTAATAAAAAAGAGAATGAAGAAAAAGTGAGAGTGGATTTAAAAGGCTGCTGTTCCGTTTTCAGACTGCAGGCTGCCCCCCTGCTGAGCTGCCCAGCTGCTCAGTTCATTTCTTAGTGAAGTGCCTTTTTTGGGCTTAGCCACAAGATGTCAGCCTAAGCTTAGCCATTTGTGCATTTTTCCGCGCCTCCAACCCATTTCTTCCCTTCCATTTCATTTCCTCTTTCGGCTCTGAGCAAATGAATAATCTTTTGGATTGTGGGCACTAGATGAATAACAATGGAGTAACTGGAGCATTCAAAGGGCCTCTGCTGATAGCAGCTTCCACCAAGTCTCAGGAAGAGCCCCCTTTCCTTCCCATTGCAGTCCCCAAGCCTGGGAGGCCATTGTCCTCTCTCAGGCCAAGTGTATCTATGTGTTGGCGCTTCCTACACAGGGACAAAAAATCCAGGATCCGTGACCCCTAGGAGAGAATGCTGTTAACCTGTCTCCCAGGAAGGTGGATAAAGGCGATTTCAGGTTGGCTCAGCAGCCCTGGGAACTTTCAAGGGTGAATACTGCTTTCTCAGCTGCAACCTGTCTTCCCCAATGCATCGGCATTTGAGAACAAGATACCCCACCTGGGTACGAGATGCCTGCAGTACCTCTAAGAATCATGTTCTCACCACATTGGTGAAGGCAAAAAATGGGCAGATTTTCTTTCCCCATGGATTTTTGTAAAGGTGAAAATTTTCCAGACACCCCCCCTACACACACCAGCAAATGTACACTTACAACTGACTGGTCAGAAATCAGTCACCTGCCTGTCCCTGAAACCATCAGCAGTAAGAGGAGTAGGGATGCCATAACTGGTTTAGATTAGTGAGATCCATCTCCTGGGCCTAGGGAGGGTCCACCTTCCTTAAGCACATAGCTTTTGCCAGAGATCAGTACTCCCGGAGCTGAATTCCAGGGCCTGCCGTGATGACCCAGAACTCAGGACACAGCCCTGTCTCCCAGGGGCTCAGTGAACACACGTCCAGTCACGACTGCCCAGGGAGATTTGCAGTGGGCTAGAGTTTTGCTAAAGAGAGGCCAGGCAACCACCAACTAAACTACCTGCCCTTTGCTGGAGAAAGAGGAGGAGGAAAAAGAAATAAATGCTGCTGAGACTGACAGAGCAGGAGCACCGTCATCTCAGACAAACACCGCCACTTTAAGCTCCAGCTCCCCTTCTAGCCTCATGCATTTCAAGGAAATCACTTCTCTTCTAACTACAAGCAGCCAGAAAGAGCAGACAGTAAAACACAGATAAGACAGCTCGGGCACAGAGGAAAGTAGGGGGCAAGTCGCTTGGGTAACTGCCAAAGTTCACCCTCATACAACGGGCCCCAGTAAAACAGTGGGCCTTAATAAGCACATTCCTTTCCCTTCAGGTGCACTAAGATAGGGAAGCTAAAAGCAGACTCAGGGGGCTATGCCTGCAGCTGCAGAAAGATATATGAGAACAGACACACAACTCTCCTTCCCAGATAAGCACAACAAAGAGACACAGAAGCAATCCAAGCCTCTGATAAACTCTCCTATCCTGAATTCTTAAAAACTCTTGGTCATAAGAGAGTGTGGCTCTGACCTAGCTTGGCCAGCCGCCCCTCTCAGGTTTATTTAAAATAAACTTGTCCCTGTTGACTGTAAAGCCACCCTTGAAGTTTCTCTCCTCTTTCTTTAATTCTTGCAGTGACTATATTGTCTCTGGCATCAAGAGGACTGGGGTCAGTCCAGTAGCTCTGGGCTCTGGGACCTGCTCTGCTTAGACTGTCTGAGAACCCGAGAGCATGGTGCCTCTGTTCTCTGGGTCTGTTTCCTTCAGAGAAATGCAGTCTGTTCCAGGATGTACAGCATCAGAACCAGCCTGGGCTATAGGCCTCCTATGGAAACAGGCAGGCTCAGGCCCATGCTTATCTGTCTCTCACTGTGCCATTGAGCCACCAGAGTCATGGGAGCCAGTGTTTTCCAACCGAAGGGACTTCTGTGCCCACTTTCTAGAACCTCTCCTTGAGCCGACCTATGGGGATAAAACACACACACGAAAGCAGGACATCCTGAGGAAGGGACCCTGGGAGGAAGATGAACAGTGAGACCATTCCTGTTCATCCTTGTAGAATAGGAGATAAGTTGATTTATCATTCATTAGACAGAACTGTGTAATAAAGGTATTTATGTGTGCAAGGCTGTGGTATGCAACAACTCTGGGGGAAGGAGGAAGAGAAAGAAATGAGACTTGGCTTTGGGTTGGATGTGCGATGCTTTTTCTCAGAGAAATCAATTTTTTGCAGAAAGAAGCATGCTGTCTATTGGGATGTCGCTGCCCCACGAACAGTCACTACACCCTTGATGCATCCTCTGCGGGGGGCTCAGGGCCTCAGGAACACTAAACACCACAGGGGACCAGGCTTCATCCTGACACACACTGGGAATCAACCCAGCTGTCATTTCCATGGGTGTGGAAGAAAACTAATGACTCAAGGCTTGAATCATAAGTGGTCCAGCTTCCACTGGCAGAGGTAGATAAGTCAGTGAGAAACTCAGATACATTCACAGCAACTGCAGCCTCTGACCGGAATGGGTCGAACCTGCAAGCCACCCTTGGCTTCAGCCTGCTTTTAGTTCACAACTTTGTGCAAAAGAGAAATTAGCAGCAATGTGAAATGTCACAATTTGAAGGAGTCTCTGCCAGGGCTGGACAGTTCAATTTCCTTTTCAACTCACTGCCCCAACATTGTCCTGCTACTTTCAAGGAGAGAAATTCAAGCATAAGGGCTTTGTGAACCAGGCTGAGAGCTCTGGACATGGAAGGAGAGGGAAGGGCCAGGTTCTCACTGGGACACATACTGTGGTGTGTAAAGGCATGGACCCTGGACCAGAATAGCCCAGGCCAATGCACTGCATCATTTCTCCTATTTCTGGGACTTCTGGCAAGCTCCCTGGACACTTCTGTAGCTCAGTCTTACCCTTAGTAAATAAGGCTAAGAGTAGCACCTGCCCCTGAGTTTTTATAAGGTTAAAATCACAAAAGATTCAGAAGAATGCATGGTATAGTGAGGGCTCAGTAAATGTTTATTATTTTTTATTATGATTTACCAGTTATTCTAATTTTGAGCAAGAGGGTTTCTCTGAGCTCTAATGAGGAGTCTCACCCTACCTCAAAGCAATGCAGGACAGAAAAGCCCCCAAATTGGGGCTTAGCCTGGTTCTTGGCTTCACCCAGGAAAGAACGTAAGGGTAAGCTGGTGGTGTTAGACAGCAACTTTATTGAAGCAGTAGCCTATAGCAACAGAGGCACTGCTCCTTGCAGAGGAGGGTTAACCCATAGACAGTGTGCCCACAGTGGCATCTTACAGCAACATCACCAGAAACAGACCTGTGGCTGAACAAGTTGTTTCTCACTCATTGAAATAAGGGAAAACACTGTGGAGAACTGTGGTGTCTCTCAGTAAGAGCATGTTAAAAAAGACAGTATAGGATGTGGGACTTTAGTTAGATTCCTGTCTTCATCAGCTCTGGCTGCTATATAACGAAGTACTGTAGCCTGGGTGGCTTATAAACAACGGCAATTTATTTCTCACATTTCTGAAGTCTGGGAAGTCTAAGATCACAATGCCACCATGGTTGGGGTCCAGGGAGGATCCTTTTTTGAGTTGCAGAATGCCAATTCCTTGCTGTTTCCTCACATGGCAGAAAGAGGGTGAGAGAGCTCTCTGGAGTCCCTATTATAAAAACACTGATCCTATTTATAAGAGTTCTACCTTCACTCCTCAAACACCTCCCTAGGCCCCAGCTCCTACCACAGTCACCTTGGGGGTTAGAATTTCAACATATGAATTTGGAGAAATGTAAACATTCAGTGCTTACCAGTGCTTTAGGGGATGTTTTACAGAATCGGACTTTTGCTCTGAAGTGGAGGCCATCAGGAAGTGGTGTTAACACTATGATTGAATACTTTAAAAATGTGATCTACAATTTGGAAGGAAGTAAGGTTAAAGCTGTGGTTGGTGAATAAGCCACTGTTACACATATTAGCTGGGAATGAGGAGTGTTTGGTCATTTGTGTAGTTTAGATAAGGTTCACGTTTCTGTCTGCATTCAGACATGACTGGAGTGGTCTTCTTTTTGTCTTGATTCACCACCATCACAGAGTGGCCTTTTCTGATGCTGGTACTCAGTGAAATTGTTTATACTCAGCCAGAGAATATTATGACCTAGCTGTGAGTGCCTGTTCTACTCCTAGCAACACCAAGAACTAACAGTGCTAGACCAGTTCTCAAATATGAAGGGTTGCGTCTCTGTTTCTTTCTACCCTCTTTTGGCCAAAGCAAACTAGTCAGGCATCAGGATGTAGATCATTGATCCCTACCATTGCTGAGACATTGCTAATCTGATATTTATCCAGAGCGCACTGTCTGCAGGCAAATTAGGGTTTTAATTCACCATCTTGTATTAGTCAGGACATCTCTTTTCTTCTAAAGCATTTCAAAGTCATGAACTAACCTAAAAATCATACGTGCTATAACACCTTCTTTATCTCTGGGCAGCTGACATATCTGAGTGAGGGCAATTAAGTCAGCCCACTGGAATTATTCAATTTCTGAGAGAAGCTTGTATTGCAAGGCCAAATTTAAGTTTCTGATCACGTAAATGGCTTTATAATTTTTAGCTTTTCTTTTTCAGTATGAACCACATAAAATCAAAATAAAATCACATTTATCTTGGCTAGAAGGTTTGCATGATTGTGAATAGTTCCCAAAAGGCTGGAAATTATTGGGTCCTCTTTCATCAGATAAAAAATAAATCAATCAACAAAATAAAATACAAATTAAAATAAAAAAGATGATGCCTGGGTTCAGAGGGAAGCAGCAATGGATGTAGACCTTTGAAGGGTAAGGCGGTAATATTTCATAGATGTCACATGACTGTCAATAAAAGAATCTGTGTAAGATGAGAAATTGTTAAGTGTAGTAGAGATCCTAGAACTAAGTCAATGGAAGTTTTCATACATTTTGCTATTGCTGTTATAGATCTTAAACAAGGTCGATATAGCTTGGCTACTAGAGCTAACAAAAGACTAAAATAAGCAGTAGGTCCCTAATGATTCCCACATAATTGGGTCAACACTTACTGAGATTTTTTATAAACAAAAAGTAAAAAGGGATTTGTGAATCTAGAAACTTGGAGAAAATTCTTTTAATAGTTACTGTTTCTGTGTGTATGCTTAAAAAGGAACATACTTCTTTTAACTTGAAAAGTATATGATTACTAAAAGCTAATTCTAGTAATACTTTTTACTAATATAAAATTAACATCAGCTCTCTTCTGGATTTGACATGTTTGGAAAATCTTTTGTATGTTTTTAAATCCCAAAGTTGAAGGACTCTCATAACAGTTTTGAAGTATTTAAAACCTGAAGAGTTTCAACAAACCTAATTATTCCTATTTTCCTTTATTTTATAGGGTGAAAGAGCAAAATTATTCTGAATTTTGGAAGGGTAAAAAAAATCATTATAAAGGACATGATACAAAGTCAAATAATTTCAGGCAACATTATAAATATTTTGTAAGTAACTGTTCTAATTAAGAATCAATTAAGAAAACTAAACATGAAGTTTCTTGAAAACTGATTTAAGTGCGTACAAAAGGCACCAAAATTTAACAGAATAATTAAATCACAAAAAGAAACTTCTACAATCTAAGCATAAAATAGGCCAGTCATGTTACATAAAAATGACACTCATTTTTTTCTGTTTTACGTCATTTTTGTAATAATTTGGAGTAAAAATTGAATACATGTCTCTGCATGTATTCAGGCATGCAGAGACAAGTATAAAAATAAGTAATGTTAAAACTTTTACTCATAGCTTTAAAAAACAACTAACTTACCAGCATATTAAATAATACATACATATCATATTAACTTTGTCCCATGAATAAGCTATTAAACATTTCTTAAGCATAAAATTATATATTCATATTCATATTCATATTTCTCTAATTATCATACCTTGTGTAATTAAATATTTATATTAATTATCCTTATATTAAATTAAACAAATATATATTATAAAATGTAATATATAGTACTTCATATTATAAATATATAAAACATAATTATATTATAAATATATAAAATATATAATTTGTTATCAATATGCAATATGTGAATTACATTTATAATATATAATATAATATTTATATTACTTATCATCTCTAATCAAAATAACCAACTTCTTTTTGCAGACACACAAAAAGTTAGAGAATAAAAAAGGAATTGTTTTATTATTTTTCTCTAAGAACACATATTATTTTAACATTTCAAAGGGAGAACAACTTTTTGCTTCTTTCTTTTCACAGTTAACAGCTTAATTAAAATAAGATTTGCCTACTATAAAATGTGCCCACTGTAAGTGTACAATTCAAATTGACTAAATTTATAGTTGCACAAGCACCACCACAATCCTACCTTAGTACATTTTCATACTCCCCAAAAAAGGTCCTTCACATCCATTTGCAGTCAATCCTGTCTTCCATCCCCAGCTTTAGTTAGGCACAATCATCTGCTTTGTCTCTATAAACTTGTCTTTTCTAGACATTGCATATAAATGGAATTACACAATACATAGGCTATTTTCGTCTGGATTCTTTTACTTAGCACAGTGTTTTTAAGGTTCATTCATGTTCTAGTACATATATTAGTTGTGTGCTTTTAATTATAGAACAGTGTTCCATGGTATGGTATACCACATTTATTTAACCATTGGCCAATCGATGGGCATTTCAATTGTTTTCAGTTAGACCTATTAGGAATAACACTGCTAGAAACATTCACAGACATGTCTTTGTATCAACATGAGTTCATTTTTCTTAAATAGATTCCAAGAAGTGGAATTTCTGGGTTGCATGGTAAGTTTAACTTTTTAAGAAACTGCCAAACTTACTTCCAGTGGAGCTGCACCATTTTAAACTCATACCAGCAATGTGTGGGGATTCCAGTTTCTCTTCATCCTCACCAACACAAGCTACTGTCTTACTATAGCCATTGTAGTGGGTATTTAGTAGTATATCATTGTGGTTTTTATCTATTATATATGGACCTATGATCCACTTCAGTTAATTTTTTGTGCAGTATGAGACAAGAGTCTTACAGTTTTCGTTGCTCTATATACCTGAGCTTGTGGCAATACTAAGATGTCTTGATTACTGGAGCTACATGGCAAATTTTGATAACAAGTATGTAAGTCCTCCAACTTCATTCTTCTTTCCAAATATTCTTTTGAATATTTTAAGTTCTTTACATATCCATATAAATTTTAGCATCAACTTGTTCATTCTGACAAAAATGCCTCCTAAGATAATTACAGGATTGGTTTGAATTTGTAGATTAATTTGGGGAGAATTGTGATCTTGACAAGAATTAGTCTCTAATCAATGAATATGACATGTCTTTACACTTATGTATACCTTTTAAATTTCTCTCAGCAATGTTTTATAAATTTCAATGTATAGGTTTTGCAAATGTTTTGCTACATTTGTAACTTTTATTCTTTTTCATGCGATTATAAATGAAATTTTTATTTCATGTTTGATTTATTTATTGCTAGTATATGGAAACATAATTTTGGAGTTTGATTTACTATCCTACAAAGTTGTTAAGCTAATCTATAACTTATAACATTTTCTACAGGATCTTGACATCTGTGAATAAAAACAGTCTATTTCTTCCTTGACAAACTGGATGCTTTTATTTTCCTATTTATAATTTATGTTTGCTTTATTTCACTCAGTAAAAAACTCTACTATAATTTTGAATAGAAATGGCAAAAGTGGATATCTTGGACTTGTTCACAGACATAGGGGAAAAGTATCCAGTTCTGTACCATTATGTGTGATGTTATCCGTGAATTTTATATAGGTATTCTTTATTAGAATGATGAAGACTTGCTTTTTTTTTACAGTTTGTTGAAGTTTTATCATTTATGGGTTAGATTTTTTTTCAAATTCTTTTCCTCCATTTATTAAGATAATCATGTGGTTTGTGTTCCTTATTCTAATATGGCATATTGTTTTGATTTTTGAATGTTAAACATACTTTGTAATCCTGAACCAAATCCTATTTGGTGATTGTGTAGCCAAATTGAGAGGGTCTCAATGGACTGTGTAGGGGTGGGCATCCTGCAGTTGGTGGGATCATACTGGACATTTGTAAGGAAAACCCAGTGTCAGGGGCACCAATGTGGAAAGCATCTCTCTTCAATCTGGAAGAATCCACTGCTTAAGGTGACAGCTGTAGCCAAAAGAGGGCACAGCTCTGAGATCATTAATTTACTGAGCATTTTGATGATTCACTGGTACTACATGGAGTCTCTTCCTCAGGTATAAGCTCAAACCTTACATTTCCGGAAGAGAAAGAAATCACAAGTTGGGTCATTGTGGAGAGATGGTAGGAAATTCCTCCATTTCAATGTAAGGACCAAAGAGGCCCCCCAGCTGGAATGACCTCTTTGTGAAACTGTTTGGTGAATGTTTCTGGAGATGGCCATCAAAGCTGAGCTGATGGTTTACTTTCTAAGGACCTTACTCAGGTGGCCACTTTCATTCTCTCTGCATAAATTATTTCTGCTCCCCCCAGCCCCAGGCGACAATAAGAACTGCATCGGCTTTCTTATTAAGAGTACTAACAGGGAATTTCTAACGTGGAATTTATAAGACCACTCAGTTTTGTGTAATTTCCCTTCTAATTATTGATTTCTTTCCTTGTACTTTTTGTCTTTTCTGAAACTTTGATTATTTCATTTTTCTTTTTTTCTGTAGTTTTTTTTAAGTACCATGCAAGATTTAAATAAAATATAATCTGATAGTTTATTTAAAATTACCTAGATTTCTCTTGGGATGTTGTTTATATTCTTCTTGGTCTACTTTTGAGACACTTCATATCCTCTCTTTATAAAGAGCAGATATGTCAGGAATATAATAGCAATAATCATATGCCCAGAATTTTTTCACTGTAAGACGTCTGTGATGCTTCAAGGCCTTCTATTGAAACAATGTCCCAGAGAGTTCATAATGACTAACAGAAATTCTTGCTTTGAAGAATTGCAGATGAAAAAAAAAAAAAGAAAAAAATCCACTGAAACTCTCTTTGCTTATTTGATAAAAGAACTGGTTGATACCAAAATTATCTGGGCATGGTGGTGGGCACCTGTAGTCCCAGCTGCTCAGGAGGCTGAGGCAGGAGAATGGCGTGAACCCAGGAGGTGGAGCTTGCAGTGAGCCGAGATTGCACCACTGCACTCCAGCCTGGGCAACAAAGCAAGATGCCATCTCAAAAAAAAAAAAAACAAAAAAAACAAAAACTGGTTGATACCTGTTAGAACCAAGATGGCTGACTTTAACAAGCTTGCTGACATTGCAGCCTGAATTTGCAGCCTGAATTTTCACTGATTCTTTCACTCTCACTCCTCCCAAATTTGCACATATGACTCATGAGTAGCATGAAGAGATAACTGCACAGGCCTAAGGACTTTTCAGACTCTGCTTACCTTCTACAATCACCTGCTAATCCCAGTATCTACCCCATGAATCTTTCTAAATACTGCCTTGGAACCAACACAGGGACACAGATGAGATTGACTCCTGTCTCTTTAGGGGTTGAATCTCAATGCAAAGCTTTTATTTTCTCAAAAACCCATTGTCATAGTATTGGCCTCCAGCACATAGGGCAGTGAGCCCCTTTAGGTTGATACCACTGTTCCCTCCTATGGGCGATGTCATTTATCTTCATTGGGCTCTACTATCTTCAGAGGTTCTTCTTTTGTGGAATTGCTTTCTGATTTTTCAAAGTTCCATGGCATCAGTTTCTTCTAGTGGTTAAGAGTGGCCAGCAAGTCACCTTCTCATGAAGGCTGTTTGTACACCCTCCTGGGGGCCAGAGCAAACTCTGCCAAGACACCAGCCATGTTTTTGAGGCTTCTCTCCCAAGCAGACTCTGCAACCTCTCTGCAAGAATGTGCAGACTATAGCATGTTTGTGGCAGCCTCACATACTGATCCTAGAGCACTTATATCTTCCTCAGTGTCAACTTCAAAACAACCTTTCTGTGAAGCTTTGTTAGATCTAATAGGATGCATGTCTCATCGACAAAGTGATTCAGAAAATGCAAGCAGTCATCTTCATCACAGTCCTATGGACTTCCAGGCTGAGGTGACACGCAGGGCAGGACTGACAGGTAGGCCAAAGTTCTGGGTAGAGAAGGTGGCACCAGGCAAAAGGTTTGGAAATTGAGTGGAGGGCCTAGGACCATTGCAGCCAGGAACTGAGAAAGCTGGGGTTGGGACTCGGGGAGAGGGAAGATGTAGGCCATAGACTGTAGTCTGACCGTGAGACTCAGGGGAGGATGCGGTTGAGAGCATGGAGAGGGTGTCCTTGGGAGAGGACCTAGGAAATAAGCCTCCATGAAAGGGCCCTGGAGCAGGAGCTGAAGCCTAATTGACATATCATCACCCCATCCCTTCATGCCCAGCCTCTCTCTGCTGGGATCACTCCCTGGCAACCAGCTTTTTATCAATCCCCTCTACCTGGCTGGCAAATCCTGAGCTTCACTCCAGGTGGTCACAATCTGACCCTTGTGACCTCATGCTTCCCCACCCCCATTTGTGAAGTTCCATCACAGGAAGTTCTTCTCCAGTGGCCCCTGATCCAGGGAGACCCACCCTGCAACAGCCCTTGTCTCCCTCCGCCCTTGGTTCCTTCTCACCCATCTCACCACCATCTGCCCAGGGGAGCCACATGTCCCAAATTTTGGAGAGAAAATAATTGAGGCTCATTTCCAGGACAGAGGGGCAAGCTGGGTCTAAAGAGCCAAGCAGAAAGGCTTCCCAAAATCGCTAGGTTGGGAGGGGTCAGAGACGTGTGGCTGCCCCAGCTGTTCTGACTCTGCCCCAGCTTTTGGCTCCACCCCCTTAAAGCACCTTCAGAGGTTCCCATGGCGACAGTAAACAAGTCTCCACTGCCTTGGCCATGTGCTGTGTTCACCCCACTCCTGATCTTGTTGGCTGCTCAGGGGCTGACAGCCCAGATGTGCAGCTGTGATGAGCAGAAACAGGGAGGAATGGAGCCCCCAGGTGAGCGGCGAGGCTTGGATTTAGGGAAGAGCAGCCTGGGGATGTGGATATGGATGGAAGAGGCTCTGAGATTTGGGATCTGAACTTGGGCATCAAGGCAGCAGTTCTTTCTTTATAGGAACTTCCTATTAAAACACATTTTTTAAAAAAAAAATTTAAATAAAGAAAGGAAAGGGCCTTATAGGAAAGGCCACAGTAGCTCAAAAATTATCAGTATAAGTTAAGGTTTCTGTGTCTGTTTACTTTTCCGATTTTAATAAAATAAAATATCTGACTCACTAGAGAAAATACATAAAACGTGTACTCGAAGCAGAAAGAGAATTAAAGAATCCCAGCATGGCCATTACTCATCTTAAGAAACAGAGCAGTATTTACCTTAGCCTCCTTCTGTGGGCCACCACCCCCTTCACCAAACAACCACGTCCTCGGTAGCCACTCTCCTGAATTATATGTTCATTAGTCAACTGCCTTTCTTTGTAGCTTGACTTAAACTTTCTGTACTATTAAACTATATATTGAATAGTTTTGCATGTTCGTAAGTTTTAAATACAGCTTGACACTCTATTATCCTGTTGATCTTGATTTTGTGGTGCCATATCTTGCTCCTGCTGACCCACTTCCTGAATGTCTGTCATTCTCACCTGTGTCTCTCCCTTTCTACTCTTCTTCCAGCCATTGTCATCACTTCCTCAAGCTGTCTAAATTCTGCCCAGCAGTCTGTGAAAATGTTGTGCTGATGACATATGTAAGGACTCTAACTCCCCTCAAACAATCTGCTCACCTGAAAGGCTCACTCCTGTTGTAATAAATGACACATAAGGTCACAATTCAACCGGTACCCATCTTGGATACCACTTCTTATGTAAACATCAAATATACACCCTCTTCCCACACACTAATGTATCCTGTATATTTGAAATAAAAGTTAGAGATATACATACAGAGATTTAAAATCTAAAACTGTCCCCTCCCCAGTAAGTCATGTATCCGTTAAAAGAATATCTGGAAACCTCCAAAAGGAAGCCAAGCATAGACTATTTGGAAGAACTTGAAGGAGCGAGAGCTGACCCCATCTTTGTACACTGGCAGCACAAGGAGTAAGTGTTACCCTCCCTCATAAGTAAGTGCTACGCTTCCTTATAATTTGCTAGTGCTTAAGGTTTTCAGTCCGAAAACTTCTCCAGCTTGGTGATCTCTGTCTACCTGGTGGCTCCATCTAGAGGGTCAAGTAAAAAAAAATGAAACCCAATTGTTGGCATTTTTCAAGAGTTATGCAAGTAGTGAGTGGGGTCTTTCTTCTCTCTTTATGCCTTTGTAATTTACTCTTTACATTTACTATTACACTTATCATGATCTGTTGTTTATTCGTGTTATTTAGGCCAATGCTTCTAAAGCTAACTGCTTTAGGATCATTTTTGAAATTTCCATTCCTTTTCAAATAAATATTTTTGTAAAAGAAATTGTTTTAAAAAAGTTCCTGGAAAAATAAAATGCAAAATTTATACACATTAGAAGTAAAAAAATGTTTATTAATAAATTTAGCAAGTCAGAACAGCTATATAGAAAAAGAAAAGAATTTCAGAAACTGTACTTGGTGTTTGTTGATAGTGTGCACATGGGGGATAAGTGTGGAAAAGAGCAACTCAAGGTGTGTTTTTCCTCTGTTCTCTCAACAGCAACAATCAACACGGAAGACTTCTGTGACCAAATGTGTGCACGTTTCTCTCCATACACCAAGCAAGCAATCTATTCTGCAGCAGACACCAACTGGAAGTCCTCCAATTCAATTCAATTCTGACACTGTCTACCTGGAAATGGCCTCAGCAACCACAGGTTGAGAGCTCAGTCCCACAAGAACACCTCCTCCTTCCAACCAGTTGAAACTCCACACCTCCAGAACTTCTCACTGACTGGCTTCGAGTTGAGGTTTCCACAGTCCTCTGTTTGAGTTTGATTAATTTGCTAGAGAAGTTCACAGAACACAAGGAAACACTTACTTATGTTGATCAATTTATCACAAAGGATGTTTTAAAGGATCCAAATGGGGGCCAGGCACAGTGGCTCATGCCTGTAATCCCAGCACTTTGGGAGGCTGAGGCAGGCGGATCATGAGGTCAGGAGATCAAGACCACCCTGGCTAACACGGTGAAACCCCGTCTCTACTTAAAAAAAAAAAAAAAAATTAGCCGGGTGTGGTGGTGGGCACCTGTAGTCCCAGCTACTCAGGAGGCTGAGGCA
Organism: Homo sapiens; assembly: GCF_000001405.40. Classification (NCBI taxonomy): domain Eukaryota; kingdom Metazoa; phylum Chordata; class Mammalia; order Primates; family Hominidae; genus Homo; species Homo sapiens. The sequence continues at coordinate 12,938,595 of NC_000020.11, forward strand.
GGAGAATGGCATGAACCCAGGAGGCAGAGCTTGCAGTGAGCGGAGATTGCGCCTCTGCACTCCAGCCTGGGCAACAGACCAAGACTCTGTCTCAAAAAAAATAAATACATAAAATAAAAAATAAAAAATAAATAAATAAATAAATAAATAAAGGATCCAAATGAAAAGCCAGATGAAGAGATATATAGTGTGAGGCCTGGAAGAGCACAGGAGCTTCTGTCCCTGTGGAGTTGGGGTGTGTCATCCTCCTGGCACATGACAGGTTCTTCTTCTGCTTCCTGTCAGCCTCCACATGTTCAGCTCTCCAGAAGCTCTATACATCCTGTCCTTTCAGGCCTTTTATGAAGACTCCATTGGATAGGCAAGATAACAAACATGTAGAAATGTTATTAGACCAAAGGGTATGATCTATAATATCTATTATAATGCCAATAGACTGAGTGGGGAAACCCGGCAAGGCCTGTCTATTCAGATTCTTGTTAGCACCTCTGTGCAGCATTCCTTCCTCCAGGGTATGGCAGGACCTTTCTCAAATGAGGATCTTATGGCCCACAATCAGAAAGGCAGGGGAAGATTAGAGGAGGGCAGGGGAAGGTCAGAGAGAGAGATTATATTTTCTGAGGTCTGCTCCTGAGACTTAAAGCACTCCAACATTATAACAGAAGACTATGGGAGTTATGCCAACAACCATGGATGAAAACATGTTTTATATATAATATATATATTATATATAATTATATATTATGTATTATTATATATAATTATATATTATATATATTTTATATATACTCGCAAGAGGTTAATTCAGAAAATTGCTACTGTGGTTGCTACTTTTTGTCCTTTAACAACCAATTTAAAGTAAAATTTTGACTGAAATAGCAATTGATTTTTGAGAAATGTCAGCAATCGCAATGATAATAATTTTTTAGCCATTATCCCAAAGGAAACGAGTGATGTTTTCAAAATGTACTTCAATCCTTCAGCAATAATCAGATAAATAAATTTCCTGTAAAATTATAATTAAAAGTAAATGATACTTTTAATTTTTATGGATAAATAATATTTGTACATATTTATGAGATTCATGTGATATTTTGTTACATGCATACAATATATAATGGTCAAGACAGGGTATTTAGGGCAACTGCTACCTTGAGTATGTGTCATGTTCTGTGTTTATCATTTGAAATCTTCTTGCTATTTTGAAAGACAATACACTGTTGTTAACTATAATCACTCTACTATGATATTGAACAGTATAATTTATTCCTTTATCTAACTGTATGTTTGTACCCATTAACTAACCTCTGTCCATCTCCCGCACCCTTGCCATACACACTCTTTTCATCTTCTTGTATCTATTATTCTCTTCTCTACCTCCAGGAGATTAACATTTTTAGCTCCCACACATATGTGATGACTTGTAATATTTGTCTTTCTGTGCCTGGCTTTTTTCACTTATGTTAATGAACTCCAGTTCCATTCATGCTGCTGCAAATGACACGATTTCCTTATTTTTATTGCTGGATATTATTCCATTGTGTGTATACGCTGCATTTTTATCCATTGGTTTATTGACGAACACTTAGGTTGATTCCATATCTTTGCTATTGTTAGTAGTGCTACGATAAACATGGGAGTGCAGATATCTTTTTGAAATATTGATTTTGTTTTCTTTATATAAATACCCAGTAGTGGTATTTTTGAATCATATGGTAGTTCTATTTTTTGATTTTACTAATTTATATTCCCACCGGTAGTGTGTAAAAGTTCCCTTTTCTCCACATCCTCACCAGCATCTGTTATTTTTTGTCTTTTTAATAATAGTCATTCTAACTTAGGTAAGAGGATATCTAAATTATCTTTCAATGAAAGGAATGAGGGATACATTAATATTAGGCATTGATCTTCTTTTGACAGAAAAACATCAAAATGTTGTACAAATTTGTAAGGATTTGATAATAAATTTTGGCAGATGTCCAATATCAAGATCACCAACCACTTCATTAATAATTGTTGTTAAGTCATGGAACTTGTCTGCAGAAATTGTATTCTTCCAAGCTTCTAACTGAGGATTTTGCCCTTCAACCTTATCTGCTGTGAAAAGACATGTTTTTTTTTGCAAAGCAATATTAAGATAATTGAAATATCCAAAATACTAGACAAATGAGAAAGATTCGTTGTCCAATTTCATCTTAAAGTCAATATCAAATTGGTTGCTTACCTTGGAAACACTGAGATTGTTCTATAGTTCAACAGTTCTCCACCAAACTTTTACCCTCAATAAAGATGTACTTCCACATACATTAACAGTTGTTTTTAGTCAGCTTTCACATTATTGCCTATAAAAAAATTAAAGTTATTACCCTTATGGAATGATTACATTTTACAATTTCTCTAAGCATAATGTTTAGTTCAACAAGATTTTTTGCTTTTCTATATATAACAAAAATTTCTCAATGAAGCAAACATTACATTGATTTATAATCTATCGCAAGCTTCTTAATCTGACTAATTATTTCAGAACATGCCCCTACTGTGCTCAACAATTACATAGTTCCTGCCATTTGTGACTCATCATGTGAATTTGACCTGTTCTGTAACTCTTTCAATAAAGCAAGTCCACTTGCTTTGGCACAGTCAAATTGCACTAAAAGTGTTGAAACACTTACTCTCAACAACTGTCTTAATCCTCTCCCAGGACAGTAGTTGAATATTCACCATGCAGCAATGGTCCACAGACCACCACTTGAATTCCACTGAATAGGCATTGTTTTCTCCCCATCAACTGACAGGGAATTCCTAAAAGTGATGTTTAGCTTATTTTCTGTTTGCAAAGTCATACTATGGCACACTACATTTAGATTCATGCAACAAATATTTATTAGAATTAGAAATATTTAATAGAATTAAACAATGAGGCTATATCATTAGATACATGTTAAGTAGTGATCTTCCATGTCCAAAAAGTCTTTTCACACACTTGTCTTTCTTTGGGTTCAAATCAAGATAAAAAGTTTGTGTGTGTGTGTATGTGTGCTTTGTTTGTTTGGAGACAGAGTCTCGCACTGTTGCCCAGGCTGGAGTGCAGTGGTGCAATCTTGGCTCACTGCAAACTCCACTTCCCAGGTTCAAGTGATTCTTGTTGCCTCAGCCTCCCAAGTAGCGGGGATTGCAGAAGCCTGTAATCCACCACGCCTGGCTAATGTTTTGTGTTTTTTTTTGTTTTTTTTTTTTTTTTTTTGTATTTTTAGTAGAGATGGGGTTTCATTATGTTGGCCAGGCTGGTCTCAAACTGCTGACCTCATGATCCGCCCACTTCGGCCTACCAAAGTGCTGGGATTACAGGTGTGAGACACCGCGCCCGGCCGTGTGTGTGTTTTAAAATATTATTTTGAGTATGTCTTTTCTTGGTGGGGAAACTCAGCAGCAGAGGGCTGAGTTCAATAAAGGCTCCAATCAAAACATGATATACTCATTGATTCCCTCAAAGTTTACTCCCTTTGTGATTTATTTATTCCAATTTCTCACATTTTGTTTCTGCCTTTTTAGTTTAGCTCTTCCTCTAGACCACTCCAAGAGCATAGGCCTTGCTGGCATACTACTGTCTTTTTTCTTAAAAAATATATAGAGGGATCCTGTTAGATTAGTGTTCAGCAACTACTGCAGGCACGACATATCTGGCCCTGTACATTTTATGAAAATGAACTTACTGGAACACTGCTGTGCCTACTCATTTGTGTACTGTCTACGAAAGCTTTCATGCTACAACTTCCAAGTCCAGTGGTTGACACAGGAACCATATGACCTGCAAAACCAAGTATATTTACTATCTGACCCTTTACAGAAAGTCATGGAACCCAGAACTGGATGATCCATGGCAACTTCCATATTCTAGTTTTTCAAAATCCTTTTCTACTGCCATTCTTACTAAGGAGAATTTCAGCTGATAGCGGCAAACTAACAAGTAAATGTTTACCATGACTGAAGAGAGCTTCCTAAGGCAACCTTCCACCCCAGAAGCCTCATTTGTGGTTATGGGGCATGACCATAGTGCTGGCAGACCCCAGTCACTCAATAGATACAACATTCATTTATTCATGATTTTCTTTAAAAAATACGTTACACTAAAGGAACATGATTAAAAAAAAAAAAACACTACAGACTAATATCCCTGATTAACATAGATGCAAAAATCCTTAACAAAATACTAGCTAACCCATACAACAACATATCAAAAAGATAATCTACCATGATTAACTGGGTTTCATACCAGGGATGCAGGGATGGTTCAACACACACAGGCCAATAAATGAGATACACCACATAAACAGAATTAAAAACAAAAATCACATTATTATCTCAATAGACACAGATGTATTTGACAAAATACAGCATCCCTTTATGATTAAAACCCTCAGCAAAATCAGCATAGAAGGGGAATACTTTAATGGAATAAAAGGCATGTATAACAAACCCTCAATCAACATAATATTGAATGGGGAAAAGTTGAAAGCATTCCCCCTGAGAACTGGAGCAAGACAAGGAGGCCCATTCTCACCACTTCTATTCAGCGTAGTACTGGAAGTTCTAGCCAGAGCACTCAGACAAGAGAAGGAAATAAAGGACATCTAAATGGGTAAAGAGGAAGTCAAACTCTCACTGTTTGCTGATTATATGATCATATACCTAGAAAACCCTAAAGGCTCCCCCCAAACTTCCTAGAACTGATGAATGAATTTAGCAAAGTTTCAGGATACAAAATTAATGTACACAAATCCGTAGCTCTGCTATACACCATCAGCAACAAAGCTGAGAATCTAATCAAGAACTAAACCTCTTTTACAATAGCTGTAAAAAAAATAAATCAATAAAACCTTTAGGAACATACCCAACCAAGAAGGTGAAAGTATCCACAGAAAAAAACTACAAAACACTGCTGAAAGAAATCATAGACGACAAAAACAAATGGAAAAACATCCCATGCTTATGTATGGGCAGAATCAATATTGAGAAAATGACCATACTGGCAATGCAATCTACAAACTCAGTGCAATTCCCATCAAAATACCACCATCATTCCTCACAGAACTAGAAAAAACTATCCTAAATTTTATATGGAAACAATAAAGAGCTCACATAGCCAAAGCAAGATTAAGTAAAAAGAACAAATCTGGAGGCATCACATTACCTGATATCAAACTATACTATAAGGCCATAGTCACCAACATACCATGGTACTGATATAAAACTAGGCACATAGACCAATGGAACAGAATAGAGAACCCAGAATTAAACCCAAATACTTACAGCCAACTGATTTTAACAAGGCAAACAAAGACATAAAGTGGGGAAAGGACATCCTATTCAACAAATGATGCTGGGATAATTGGCAAGCCACACGTAGGAGAAAGAAACTGGATCATCAGCTCTTGCCTTATACAAAAATCAACTCAAGATGGATCAAGAACTTAAATCTAAGACCTGAAACTATAATAATTCTAGCAGACAATATCAAAAAAACTCTTCTAGACATTGGCTTAGTCAAGGATTTCATGACCAAGAACCAAAAACAAATGCAATATAAACAAAAATAAATAGCTGGAACTTAATTAAACTAAAGAGCTTTTGCACAGCCAAAGGTACAGTCAGCAGAGTGAACAGAAAACTGACAGAGTAGGAAAAATATTCACAATCAATACATCTGACAAAGGACTAATATCCAGAATCTAAAATGAACTCAAACAAATTGGCAAGAAAAAAACAAACAATCCCATCAAAAAGTGGGCTAAGGATAGGGATAGATAATTCTCAAAAGAAGATATTCAAATGGCCAACAAACATATGAAAAAAATGCTCAACATCACTAATGATCTCGGAAATGCAAATCAAACCCACAATGTGACACCACTTCACTCCTGCAAGAATGGCCACAATCAAAAAACAGTAGATGCTGGCGTGGATGCAATGAAAAGGGAACACTTCTATACTGCTGGTGGGAATAAAAACTAGTACAATCACTATGGAAAACAGTACGGAGATTTCTTAAGCAACTAAAATCGTAACTACCATTCGATCCAGCTATCCCACCACTGGGTATCTACCCAGAAGAAAATAAGTCATTATATGAAAAAGATACTTGCACATACATGTTTATAGCAGCACAATTCGCAACTGCAAAATTGTGGAACCAACCCAAATGCCCATCAATCAATGAGCAGATAAAGAAACTGTGGTGTATTTATATATGTATATGATGAAGTACTACTCAGCCATAAAAACGAATGAATTAATAGCATTTTCAGCAACCTGGAAGAGATTGGAGACTATTATTCTAAGTGAAGTAACTCAGGAATGGAAAACCAAACATCAGATATCCTCACTCATAAGTGGGAGCTAAGCTATGAGGATGCAAAGGCAGAAAAATAATGCAATGGACTTTGTGAACTCGGGAGAAAATGATGGGAAGGGGATGAAAGATAAAAGACCACAAATTGGGTTCCGTGTATACTGCTCAGGAGATGGGTGCATTAAAACCTCACAAATCACCATTAAAGAACTTGCTCATGTAATCCAATACCACCTGTTCCCCAACAACCTGTGGAAATAAAAAAAATTAATTAAAAATATATCCATTATTGTCATTTCATTTAGTTGAATACAGTTAATTCATACAACTTTGTATTTTAAGCAAGTTATGCAATCAGTGGTAACTTTTTAATAAGTTTATTTATAAACTTGCTTGTTTATAAGTCTAATATAGGAAATTTATAAAATTGAAACCATGAGAAATTTTATCCTCTTGCTGAACAAACAAAAATAGTTCGTGGCATTATGTGTATATTGTAAACTGATTTTTTAAAACCAGTTATATCAAAAACTCTTCTCATGTTGAACCCAAAGCCATTACTTCTTAGCTCATAACTATAGAAACAGAAGCTTACTATGTAAATATGCTTTTAACTGTCCACTAAAAGAAACATGACTTAATTACTTTTTCTTTAAGACAGGGTCTCACTCTGTCACCCAGGCTGGAGAATAACTTTCTGCTTCTTTCTTTTCATATTAAACAACTTAATTAGATATGATTTGCATACCATAAAATATATCCTCTGCAAGTGTACAATTCGAATTGTTTGGGTAAATTTATAGTTGTGCAAGCACCACCACAGTCCCGTTTTGGTACATTTTCATAACCCCCCAAATAGGTCCTTCACATCCATTTGCAGTCAATCCTGTCTTCCATCCCCAGCCTTAGTTAGACACACTGATCTGCTTTGTCTCTGTAAACCTGCCTTTTCTAGACATTGCATATAAATGCAATTATATAATACATAGGCTATTTTCCTCTGGCTGATTTCATTTAGCACCATATTTTTGAGGTTCATCCATATTTTAGCACATATGTTAGTAGTGTGCTTTTAATTATGGAACAGTATTCCATGGTATGGATATACCACATTTATTTCACCATTGATGGGTATTTGAATTGCTTCCAGTTAGACCTATTATGAATATCAATTCTAGAAACATTCACAGATGACTTTGTATCAACATGTTTTCATTTTTCTTAAACAGATTCCTGGGTTGCATGGCAGGTTTAACTTTTTAAGAAACTTCCAAACTTATTTCCAGTGCAGCTGCACCATTTTATACTAGTACCAGCAATGTGTGGGGATTCCAGTTTCTCTGCATCTTCACCAACGCTTGCTTCTGTCTGTCTTACTATAGCCATTTTAGTGGTACGCAGTAGTATATCACTGAGGTTTCAATCTGAATTGTCTAATGGCTCATAATATTATGATAATGTAGATCATTCATAGGCCCATAAGCCATTCTTATATCTTCCTTGGTGAAATATCTACCAAAATACTTTTGAACACTTTTGAATTGGTTTCTTATTGTTGAGTTTTAAGTGTTCTTTATATATTCTGGATTCAGGTCTATTATCCAATATACGATTTGCAAATGGTTTCTTCCTGTCTGTGGATTGTGTTTTTGTTTTCTTGAAAATAGTTTTTCTTCTTTCTCTCCTCTTTTCTCTCTCACTACGCATATATAGTTTCTATCAGCGTTGTCATACAGATTTCTAAAGTTCTGTTCACTTTTTAAAAATCAAAACTATGCAAATTTGTGCCCAAAGAAATTTCTTCTAATAGAAAAGCAACACACAAAACCCTAAACAAGCAGAAGGACCACAGAAGCTGGTGTTAGGACAGAAAACAAATTCACTGAGGGGAAAAAAAACAAAGCTGATCAGACAAACAAAAGTACCAGAGGACCTCATAATTAGGAAAATAAACAAAACACAGAAATGCTTAAATAAAATATTGGAGCTTAGTTGTACATTAACTTAGCAATCAGCCAAGGACAATTTGATACCTTAATATGTAAACACACAAGAGATCACAAATGTACACACTCTTACTGAGTCAAGGCTTCCAGCCCAAGACAGTAAATGTTTCATATGAATCCTGGTGAACCTGCATTTCTGTCAATTCCTTACAGGCAAAGACCCTAAAGAAAACAATGCAATATTAATAAGCAAGTATTAGAAAAGACTTATAGGATTTTGGCTTATGTAAAGTTTTTCAGAGATAATTCATAAAGCAAAGTTTTGCTTTGTATTGGATGCTATTAGGAAGTGGGGATAATTCCATGATTGGTTATCTTGATAAATCTTAAACAAAAAAAGCAATGGGATGGTGAGGCTAAAGCTGTGATTGTTAAACAAATGTCAGTTACTCATATTCTGACCAGGAGAGGAATATGTTTGGCCATTTTTTGCAGTTTTAGCAGTTTGTATGTTTTGTTTGCATTCAGACGTTATTACAGATTGGTCTTGGTTTTTGTTTTTGTTTTTCATCCACTAAAGCCACAGAGGTGCCTTGTCTAGTGCTCTTGTCTTTTTATGTTGAACAGGAGAACTTTACCACCTAGCTGTCAGTACTGGGCCAGATCCACCACACCTAACAGTAACAGCCCAGTTCTCAGATGCCAGGGGCTAGTGTCCTCTTTTTCAATGTGATAATCCAGGAATGCTACTATTAAGGATATGGGCTAGCAGGACTCTGAGGTGGGATGGAAGGCTCTCAGCTTCCCACAGGTGAGGAGAGAGGGTCTCAATGGACTACGTAGGGGTGGGCATCCTGCAGTTGGTGAGATCACATTGAACATTTGTAAGGAAAACCCAATGTCAGGGCACCAATGTGAAAAACATCACTCCTTACTCTGGAAGAATCCAGACTGCTTAAGGTGATAGCCGTGGCCAAAAGAGGGAACAGCTCTGAGGTCATTAATTTACCAAGCATTTTGATGATTCACTGTTACTACATTGTAGTCTCTTCCTCAGGTATAAGCCCAAATCTTCCATTTCCAGAAAAGAAACACATCACAAGTTGGGACATTGTTGAGCGATCACAGGAAACTTTCTCAATTTTTTTGTGAGGGCCAAAGGGGCCCCCAGCTTGAATAAAACCTCTTTATGGAAGTGTTTGGTGAAGGTTTTTGGAGATGGCCATCAAAGCTGAACTGATGGCTTATCTTCAAAGGACCTTCCTCAGGTGGCCACTTTCATTCTCTGTGCATGAATTCTTTCCGCAGCCCAAGCGACAATGAAAACTGCATAGGCTTTCTTATTAAGAGTGCTAATATGGAATTTCTAATGTGGAATTTGTAAAACCACTGAGTTTTGTGCAATTTCCCTTCTAATTATTAGTTTCTTTCTTTTACTTTTTATTTGTCCTGATACTTTAATTATTTCAAGTTTCTTTTTTTTCAATAGTCATTTTTAAGTACCATTCAGGATTTTATAAAAATATTAGTAATCGGGTAGTCTGTTTAAAATTCCTTAGATTTCTCTTGAGATGTTGTTTATATTCTTCTTAGTCTGCTTAGTAAACACTTCATATCCTCTCTTTAAAAAAAAGCAGATATGTCAGAAATATGATAGCAGTAATTACGTGCCCAGAACTTATTTTTTTTTTTTTGAGACCTTGCCCTGTCACCCAGGCTAGCATGCAATGGCGCAATCTCGGCTCACTTCAACCTCCACCTCCTGGGTTCAAGCAATTCTTCTGCCTCAGCCTCCCGAGTAGCTGAGATTACAGGTGCGCACCACCAAGTCCAGCTAATTTTTTGTATCTTTAGCAGAGGCGGGTTTCACCATGTTGGCCAGGCTGGTCTTGAACGCCTGGCCTCATGATCCACCCACCTTCGCCTCCCAAAGTGGTGCCCAGAACTCTTTCACTGTAAGATATGTCTGTGATGCTTCTGGGCCTGCTGTTGAAACCAGTCCCAAAGAGTTCATAATGACTAACAGAAAATCTTGATTTTGCAGAATGGCAGATGAAAAAAAACCAAGTCACTGAAACACTGAAACTCCCTCTGCTTTTGAGGTAAAAGAACTGCCTAACATTGGTTGGGACCAAGATGGCCTACTAGAACAAGCTTGCTGAAACTGCAGCCTGGATTTCCACTGCTTGTTTCATACTAACTTCTCCCAAATTTGCACATATGACTCATAAGGTAGCATGAAGAGATAACTGCACATGCCTGAGGACTTTTCAGACTCTGCTTACCTTCCACCAATCACCTGCTAACCCCAGTATCCACCCCATAAAACTTTTCTAAAAACTGCCTTGGAGCCAACACAGGAGACAGATGAGCTTGACTCCTGTCTTCTTGGTTGTTGAATTTCAGTGTAAGGCTTTTATTTTCTCAAAACCCATTGTCCTAGTATTGCCTTCTAGTGCATCAGGCAGTGAGCCCCTTTTGCTCCATAACACTGTTTCCTTCCTACGAGCAATGTCATTTACCCACATTGGGCTCTGCTGTCTTCAAAGGTTCTCCATTTGTACATTCACTTTCTGATTTTTCAAAGTTCCATGGCATCTGTTTCTTCTAATGGTTAAGAGTGGCCAGCAAGACACCTTGTCATGAAGATGTTTTGTACACCAGCCTGGGGGCCAGGGTAAATTCTGCCAAGACATCAGCCGTGTTTTTCAGGCTTCTCTCTGCAAGCCTCAAAGAATGTGCAAACCACAGCATGTTTGTGGTAGCCTCACATACTGATCCTACAGCACTTATGTCCTCCTCACTCTTCATTTTGAAGAAGGTTATCTTCAAAATGACCTTGCTGTGAAGCTCTGTTAGCTCTGATAGGGCGCATTTCTCATTGACATAGTGATTCAGAAAATGCAAGCAGCATATCAATGACTGTCATCTGGACTTCCATACCGATGGGACATATAGGGGAGGATTGACAGGTAGGCTAAAAATGCTGGGTAGAGAAGCTGGTGCCAGGAGAAATTTTTGGAAATTGAGTGGAGGATCTAAAATCCTTGCAGCCAGGAACTAAGAAAACTGGGGTTGGGACGTGGGGAGAGGGAAGCTGTAGACTATAGACTGTAGTCAGAGGCTGAGACTCAGGGCAGGATGCAGGTGAGAGTGGAGAGGCTTTCCTTAGGAGAGGACCATGGGAAATAAGTCTCCATGAAAGGGCCTTGGAGCAGGAGCCAGAACCCAATCATCACCATCCCTTCACCCCATCCCTTCAAGCCCAGCCCCTCTCTGCCGGGCTCACTCCCTGGTAACCTGGCTTTTATCAACCCCCTCTTCCTGGCTGGCCAATCCCCAGCTCCACTCCATGTGGGTCACAATCTGACCATTGTGACCTAATGCTCCCCCACCCCACTTGTGATTCCGTCACCGGAATTTCTTCTCAAGTGGTCTCTGATCCAGAGAGACACACCCAGCGGCAGCCGTTGACTCCCTCCACCCTTGCTTCCCTCTCAACCATCTCACCTCCATCTGTCCAGTGGAGCCAGATGTCCCACCTTCTTGGGAGAAATTAATTGAGGCTCATTTCCAGGACAGAGGGGCAAGCTGGGTCTGAGGAGCCAAGCAGAAAAACTTCCCAAAATCACTGGGTGGGGAGGGGTCAGAGACTTACTGCTGCCCCAGCTGTTCTGACTCTGCCCCCAGCTTTTGGCCCCACCCTTTTAAAGCACCTTCAGAGGTTCCCAATGGTGACAGTAAACAAGTCTCCACTGTCCTGGCCATCTCTGCTGTGTTCACCCTACTCCTGATCTTTCTGGCTGCTCAGGGACTGACAGCCAAGATGTGAGGCTGTGATGAGCAGGAACAGGGAGGCCTGGAGCCCCCAGGTGAGTGGAGTGGCTTGGCTTTAGGGAAGAGCAGCCTAGGTAAGTGGATATGGATGGAAGAGGCTCTGAAATTTGGGATCTGAACTTGGGGATCAAGGCAGCAGTTCTTTCTTTATAGGAACTTCCTATTAAAAAACATTTTTTTAATTTTTTTAATAAAAACAGGAAAGAGCCTTATAGGAAAGGGCTCAGTACTGTAGCCCAGGCTCTCAAAAATTATCAGTATAACTTAAGGTTTCTATGCCCAGTTACTTTTCCTATTTTAGTATAATAAAATAAAATATCTGACTCACTAGAGGAAATGCATAAAATGTGTACTCGAAGCACAAAGATAATTAATTAAAGAATCCCAGCATAGCCATCATTTGTCTTAAGAAACAGAGCAGTATTTACCTTAGCCTTCTTCTGTGGGCCCCCACCCCCTATATCAAAAAACCACCTCCTCGGTAGCCATTATGCTGAATTTTATGTTTATTTATCAATTGCTATTCTTTGTAGCTTGACTTCAACTTTCTGTACTCTTAAACAATATATTGAATAGATTTGCATGTCCATAAATTGTAAATATGGCTTTACAGTATATTATTCTCCGGGTCTTTTTTTGTGGTGCCGTATCTTGCTCCCACTGATGCACCTCCTGAATGTCTGTCATTCTCACCTATGTCTCTCCCTTTCTACCCTTCTTCTAGCCATTGTCATCACTTCCCTGATCTGCCTAAATTCTGCCCAGCAGTCCGTGAAAATGGTTTGCTGATGACATATGTAAGGACTTTAACTCCCCTCAAGCAATCTGCTCATCTCAAAGGGTAAAACATTGGCTCACTCCTAATGCAATAAATGACACATAAGGTCACAATTCAATGGTACTCTCCTTGGATACTGCTTCTTATGTGAACATCAAACTTACACTTGCTTCCTACACACTAACATATCTTGTATATTTGGAGTAAAAATTAGAGAAGTACATACAGGGATTTAAAATATAAAACATTTTTTTAGTTACCATTTCAATCTCGCTGCTTGTTATTGGTCTGTTCAGGGTATCTAATTCTTCCTGTTGTAAGATAGGAGGGTTATATCATTCCAAGGAGTTATCCACCTCCTCTAGGTTTTCTAGTTCATGCGCATGAAAGTGTTCATCGTAGCCTTGAATGATCTTTTGTATTTCTGTGGTGTCAGTTGTAATATCTCCCATTTCATTTCTGATTGAGTTTATTGGGATTTTCTGTCTTCTTGGTTAATTTTGCTAATGTTCAATCAGTTTTATTTATCTATTTTATTTATTAAGCTGGTTTCAAGAACAAGCTTTTTGTTTCATTTATCTTTTGTATTGTTTTTCGTTGTTATTTCAATTTCATTTAGTTCTGCACTGATCTTGTTTATTTCCTTTTTCTTGCTGGGTTTGGGTTTGGTTTGTTCTTGTTTCTCCAGTTCTTTGAGGTGTGAACTTAGGTTGTCCGTTTATGCTCTTTCAGATTTTTTGATGTTGGCATTTAGAGCTGTGAACTTTCCTCTTAGCACTGCCTTTGCTGTATTCCAGAGGTTTTGATAGGTTGTGTCACTATTTGCATTCAGTTTGAAGAATTCTTTAATTCCCATCTTGATTTCATACTTGACCCAGTGATCATTTAGGAGCAGGTTATTTAATTTCCATGTATTTTCATGGTTTTGAAGGTTCCTTTCGGAGTGGATTTCCAGTTTTATTCCACTGTGGTCTGATAGAGTACTTTATATAATTTCAATTCCCTTAAATTTACTGAGGCTCATTTTGTGGCCTATCATAAGGTCTATCTTAGAGAAAGTTCCATATGCTGATGATTATAATGTATATTCTGTAGTTGTTGGGTAGAATGTTCTGTAAATATCTGTTAAGTCCATTTGCTCTAGGGTATAGTTTAAATCCATTGTTTCTTTGCTAACTTTCTGTCTTGATGACCTGTCTAGTGTCGTCAGTGGAGTATTGAAGTCCCCCACTATTATTGTTTTGCTGTCTATTTCATTTGTTAGATCTAGTAGTAATTGTTTTATAAACTTGGGAGCTCCAGTATTAGGTGCATATATATTTAGGATTGTGATATTTTCCTGTTGAACAGGCCTTTTATCATTATATAATGTCTCCCTTTGTCTTTCTTAACTGCTGTTGCTTTAAAGTTTCTTTTGTCTGATATAAGAATAGCTACTCTTGCTCGCTTTTGGTCTCCATCTGCATGGAATCTCTTTTTCCACCCCTTTACCTTAAGTTAATGTGAGTCCTTAAGTGTTAGGTGAGTCTCTTTTTTTTTTAATTTTTAAATTATTATTATTATTATTATTATTATACTTTAAGTTTTAGGGTACATGTGCACAATGTGCAGGTTTGTTACATATGTATACATGTGCCATGCTGGTGTGCTGCACCCATTAACTCTTCATTTAGCATTAGGTATGTCTCCTAATGCTATCCCTCCCCCCTCCCCCCACCCCACAACAGTCCCCAGAGTGTGATGTTCCCCTTCCTGTGTCCATGTGTTCTCATTGTTCAATTCCCACCTATGAGTGAGAACATGTGGTGTTTGCTTTTTTGTCCTTGCAATACTTTACTGAGAATGATGATTTCCAATTTCATCCATGTCCCTACAAAGGACATGAACTCCTCGTTTTTTATGGCTGCATAGTATTCCATGGTGTATATGTGCCACATTTTCTTAATCCAGTCTATCATTGTTGGACATTTGGGTTGGTTCCAAGTCTTTGCTATTGTGAATAGTGCCTCAATAAACATACGTGTGCATGTGTCTTTATAGCAGCATGATTTATAGTCCTTTGGGTATATACCCAGTAATGGGATTGCTGGGTCAAATGGTATTTCTAGTTCTAGATCCCTGAGGAATTGCCACACTGACTTCCACAATGGTTGAACTAGTTTACAGTCCCACCAACAGTGTAAAAGTGTTCCTATTTCTCCACATCCTCTCCAGCACCTGTTGTTTCCTGACTTTTTAATGATTGCCATTCTAACTGGTGTGAGGTGGTATCTCATTGTGGTTTTGATTTGCATTTCTCTGATGAGGTGAGTCTCTTGAAGGCAGCAAATAGCTGGTGAATTCTTATCCATTCTGCAATTCTGTATCTTTTAAGTGGAGCATTTAGGCCATCTAAATTAAATATTAGTATTGAAATGTGAGATACTGTTCCATTCATAGTGCTATTTGTTGTACGTATATGCAATTCTCATCAAAATACCACCATCATTCTTCACAGAACTACAAAATCAATTCTAAAATTTATATGGAAGCAAAAAAGAGCCCGCATAACCAAAGCAAAAAGAACAAATCTGGAGGCATCACATTACCTGATTTCAAACTATACTATAAGGCCATAGTCACCAAAATATCATGGTACTGATATAAAGCTAGGCACATAGACCAATGGAACAGAACAGAGAACCCAGAAATAAACCCAAATACTTACAGCCAACTGATCTTTGACAAAGCAAAAAAAGACATAAAGTGGGGGAAAGGACACCCTATTCAACAAATGGTGCTGGGATAATTGGCAAGCCACATGTAGGAGAATGAAACTGGATCATCATCTCTTACCTTATACAAAAATCAACTCAAGATGGATCAAGGACTTAAATATAAGATGTGAAAAAATTCCAGCAGATGACATCAGAAAAACTCTTCTAGATATTAGCTTAGGCAAGGATTTCATGACCAAGAACCAAACAGCAAATGTAATATAAACAAAGATAAGCAACTGGGACTTGATTAAACTAAAGAGCTTTTGCATAGCAAAAGGAACAATCAGCAGAGTAAACAGAAAACTGACAGAGTGGGAGAAAATCTTCACAATCAATACATCTGGCAAAGGACTAATATCCAGAATCTAAAATGAACTCAAACAAATTAGCAAGAAGTAAACAAACAATCCCATCAAAAAGTGGGATAAGGACATGCATAGACAATTCTCAAAAGAAGACATACAAATGGCCAACAAACATATAAAAAATGCTCAACATCACTAATGATCAGGGAAATGCAAATCAAAACCACAAAGTGATACTACTTCACTCCTCCAAGAATGACCATCATCAAAAAATTTAAAAAAAAAAAAAAGATGTTGGCATGGATGCAATGAAAAGGGAACACTTCTACACTGCTTGTGGGAATGTAAACTAGTACAACCACTATGATAAAAACAGTATGGAGATTCCTTAAGGAACTAAAAGTAGAACTACTATTTGATATAGCTATCCCACTACTGAGTATCTACCCAGAAGAAAAGAAGCCATTATACAAAAAAGATACTTGCTCATGCATGTATATAATAGCACAATTCACAATTGTAAAAATGTGGGACCAACCCAAATGCCCATCAATCAATGAGTGAATAAAGAAACTGTGGTGCCTAGATATGTGTGTATATATATGTGTGTGTATATACATATATATATGCTACAGTTTCTGTGGCACATACACACACACAATGGAATACTACTCAGCCATAAAAAGAAATGAATTAATGGTATTTGAAGCAAACTGAAAGAGATTGGAGACTATTATTCTCAGTGAAGTAGGTCAGGAATGGAAAACCAAACATCGCATTTTCTCACTCATAAGTGGGAGCTAAGCTATGAGGATACAAAGGCATAAGAATGACACAATGGACTTTAGGAACTCAAGGGAAAAAGGTGGGAAGGGGGTGAGGGAGAAAAAACTACTAATTGGGTGCATTGTACACTGCTCTCACGTGATAGGTGCACCAAAATCTCAGAAATCACCAATAAAAAACTTACCCATGTAACCAAACATCACCTGTCCCCCAATAACCAACGGAAATAAAAAATTTTAAAAATAATAAATAAAACTGTCTGCTCTTCAGTAAGTTGTGTTTGCATTAAGAGAATATCTAGAAACCACCTACGGGAAGCAAGCATAGGCCACTTGGAAGAAGTTTCAAGAAGGAGAGCTGACCCCACCTTTGTACGCTGGCAGCACAAGGAGCCCTCAGTAAGTGTTACCCTTCCTTATCATGTGCTAAATGTTTAAGGCTTTGAGTCAGACAACTTCAAGATTGGTGATCTCTGTCAACCTCATGGCTTTGTCTAGAGGGTCAACTGAGAAAAGCAACAACGAGTTGGTGCATTTTTCAAGAGTCATGCAAGTAGTGTTGTCTTCCCTCTCTCTTTAGGCTTTGATGCTTTAGTCTTTACATTTACTGTAACACTGATCATGATCTGTTGTTTATTCAAGTTATTTAGGCTGATGCTGCTAAAGCTAACTGTATTAAGGACCATTTTTAAAATTTCCAGTCCTTTTCAAGTAAATATTTTTGTAAAAGAAAAATTTTTTAAAATTACTGAAAAGAGGAAATGCGAAAATTATACACATTAGAAGTCAAAAGTGTTTACTGATAAATTTAGAAAATGTAAAACTAAATTTAAATACATATATCAGGACAGATATATGGAAGAAAAATAATTTCAGAAACTGTACTTGGTGTTTGCTGAATGTGTGCATTGGGGAATGAGTGTGGAAAAGAGCAACTCAAGCTGTGTTTTTCCTCTCTTCTCTCAACAACAACAATCAACACAGAAGACTTCTGCCACCAAATATGTGCAGGTTTCTCTCCATACCCCAAGCTAGCAATTGATTCTGCAGTGGAAACCACCTGGGTGTCTCCAATTTAATTTAGTTCTGACACTATCTACCTGGGGATAGCCTCAGAAACCACAGGTTGAGGGCTCAGTCCCACAAGAACACCCCCTTCTTCTAACCAGTTGAAACTCCACACCTCCAGAACTTCTCACTGACTGGCTTCAAGCTGTGTTTCCCACAAACCCCTGTTTGAGTTTGACTAATTTGCTAGAGCAGTTCACAGAACACAAGGAAATACTCATGTTAATCAATGTATAACAAAGGATGTTTTAAAGGATCCAAATGAAAAATCAGATGAAGAGATATATACTGTGAGGCCTGGAAGAGCACAGGAGCTCCTGTCCCCATGGAGTTGGGGTGTGTCACCCTCCGGGCACATGGACAAGTTCTCCTTCACCTGCCTGTCAGCCTCCACATGTTCAGCTCTCCAGAAGCTCTACACACCCTGTCCTCTTAGGCATTTTATGAGGACTCCATTGGATAGGCATGACTGACATATGTGTAGAAATGTGATTGGATCAAAGGGTATGATCTATAATATCTATTATAATGCTGATAGACTAAGTGGGGAAACCCAGCAAGGCCTCTGTCTATTCAGATTCTTTTTGGCATCTCTGTGCAGCATTCCTACCTCCAGGGTATAGCAGGACCCTTTTTTTTTTTTTTTTTTTTTTTGAGACGGAGTCTCGCTCTGTCGCCCAGGCTGGAGTGCAGTGGCGCGATCTCGGCTCACTGCAAGCTCCGCCTCCCGGGTTCACGCCATTCTCCTGCCTCAGCCTCCCGAGTAGCTGGGACTACAGGCGCCCGCCACCTCGCCCGGCTAATTTCTTTTTGTGTTTTTTAGTAGAGAAGGACCCTTTCTTAAAGGAGGATCTTATGGCCCATAATCAGAGAGGTGGGGGAAGATTAGAGAGGACAGGGAAGGTCAGAAAGAGAGATGATATTTTCTGAGGCCTGCTCCTGAAACTTAAAATGCTCCAACATTACAACAGAAGACTATGAAAGTTATGAGCCAACAACCATGGATAAAAAAGTATGTATATGTATGTGTATATATATGTATATCTCACAAGTGGTTAATAGAGAAAATTGCTACTGTTATTGTCACTTTTGTCCTTCAATAACTATATTTGAAGTAAAATTTTGACTGAAATAAGAATTGAGTTTTTGAGCCATTTCAGCAATCTCATGACAATAATTTTTTTAGCCTTAATCCAAAATGAAACAAGTGATGTGTTTTCAAAATGTATCTTCAATCCTTCAGCAAGAATCAGTTACATAATTTTCCTGTACAATTACAATTAAAAATAAATATTTTTAAAACTGTAATTGGTAATTAATATTTAACGTATTTATGGAACAAGTGTGATATTTTCTTACATGCATAGAATATGTAATGGTCCAGTCAGGGTCTTTAGGGTAACCATTACCTCAAGTATTTGTGATATTCCATGTTTATCATTTCAAGTCTTCATGTGATTTTTGAAATATGCAATACATTGTTAACGATAATCACTCTACTCTGCTATTGAACATTAGAACCTATTCCTTTTATCTAACTGTATGTTTGTGCTCATTAACTAACTTCTGTTCATCTCCCTGCACCCTTGCCACACACACTCTTCTCAGCCTCTGATATCAATCAATCTATTCGCTACTTCCATGAGATTAATTTTTTTAGCTCCCACGTATATGTGATGACATGCAATATTTGTCTTTCTGTGCCTGGCCTACTTCACTTAACATAATGACCTCCAGTTCCATTCATGCTGCTGCAAATGACATGATTTATGCTTTTTATGGCTGAATTATATCCCTTTGTGTATAGACATTACATTTTCTTTATCCATTGGTTTATTGATGAACACTTAGGTTGATTCCATATCTTTGCTATTGTGAATAATGCTGCAATAAACATGGGGGTGCAGATATCTTATTGAAATATTGATTTTATTTCCTTTAGATAAGTACCAAGTAGTGCAATTTCTGCATAATATGGGTAGTTCTATTTTTAGTTTTACTCATTTATATTCCCAAAAATAGTGTATACAAGTTTTCTTTTCTCTACATCCTCAACGGCATCTGATATTTTTTGTCTTTTTAATAATAGTCATTCTAACCGAGGTTAAGATGATATCTAAATTATCTTTCAATGAAAGGAATGAGATCTGGATATATGAATATTAGTCATGGACCTTCTTTTGACAGAAAAACATCAAAGTGTTATATAAATTTGTAAGGCTTTTGATGATAAATTTTGGCAGATGTCCAATATCAAGACCACCAACTACTTTATTAATATGTGTCATTAAGTCATGGAATTTTCTGCAGAAACAGTATTATTCCAAGCTTCTAACTTGGGATTTTGCTCTTCGACCTCATCAGCCATGGAAAAAGATGTTGAATTTTTTCTTCCCAAAGCAATATTAAGACAATTGAAATGACTAAAAATATTAGACAAATGAGAAAGACTGGTTGTCCTATTCCATATTAGGTCAGTATCAAATTGGTTGCTTAACTTGGAAACACTGAGTTCACTCCATAGTTCAAATATTCTCCACCAAATCTTTCCCCTCAATGACAATGTACCTCCACATACATTAACAGTTGTTTTTAACCAGCTTCCACATTATTGTCTACGAAAAATTTTGAATTAAAATTATTACCATTTATGGGATGCATATGTTTTACTATGTCTGTAATCACAATGTTTAGTTCAACTAGATTTTTTGCTTTTATACAAATAACAAGAATTTCTCAAGCTTCTAAGTCTGGCTAATTATTCCAGAACATGGCCCTACTGTGCTCAACAATTACATAGCTCCTTCCATTTGTAACTCACCACATGAATTTGACAACATTCTCCTGCTCTGTATCCCATTCAATAAAGCAATTCCGTTTGCTGAGACACAGTCAAATTGCACTAAAAGTTTTGAAACACTTGATCTCAACCATTGTATTAATCATATCCCAGGCCAGTAGGTAAATATTCACCATGTATTAGTGGCCCACAGACCACATCAGAGTTCATGCTGGTCCTAGGACAAGAGTCAAGCACACCCTGCGTCCACCAGCTACTGGTAGCTGTCACTCAGGTAATGCACAGCTGAACAGAACCCAGTTCTCTCTCTTGCCTAGGTCCCCATCAATACATTAGTTCTGAATGATGCTGTGAATCTCTCTCAATACAAGGTCATAATCCTAACCCAGATGATTCCAAGATGGTGCTTCTTTCCCCACCATGATAACCTTTCTGCAACATCCTTGACCATTCCCACCATTATTTCTATTTCCCCTCTAAGAACATGTGGGTATATCTGGATCCCATTCATGTCATATGTGAACTGAGGACAGCTTGAGGACATTCAGTGTCAAGCCCTCTCTTCTTATGCCTTTATCACTGTGACATTTTCTCCTCCCAGGATCCCAAATGGGAAATAGGTCTTGAAAGGGATATCAGACACATGTCTGACCATGCGTCTCACCATTACATCAGTCTTTGGCCACTGTAGGAGCACCATTGCCCATCACCATATTAAAAGTGGCCACCTGCAGTCTTCCTTCCTTAGAGTGCATGCATACAAAAAAGATACTTGCTTATGCATGTTTATAGCAGCACAATTGCAATTTCAAAAATGTGGAACCAACCCAGGTGCCCATCAATCAACAAGCGGATAAAGATACTGTTATATATATATATATATATATATATATATATATATAATGGAATACTACTAAGCCATAAAAAGGAATGAATTAATGGCATTCACAGCAAACTGGATGAGATTGGAGACCATTATTCTAAGTGAAGTAACTCAGAAATGGAAAACCAAACATCAGTTATGAGCTCCCACTCATAAATGGAGCTAAGCTATGAGGATGCAAAGGCATAAGAATGATACAGTGGACTTTGGGGACACAGGGGGAAAGGATGGGACAGGGATGAGGGATAGGAGACTGCAGATTGGAAGATGCATGCACCAAAATCTCACAGATGACCACTAAAGAAATTACTTGTGTAACCAAATACCACCTTTTCCCCAAAAACCTGTGGAAATAAAAACTTTTAAAAAGACATCCATTATTGTCATTTCATTCAATTGAATACCATTTATACATATAATTTTGTATTTTAAGCAAGTTAGGGAATCAATGGTAACTTATTTATGTTTAGTTGTAAACTTGTTTATAAGTATATAAATACAATATTGGAAACTTGTAAGTATGTTTACTATCTGACCCTTCACAGAAAGTCATGGACCCCTGCACTGGATGGTCCATTACAACTTCCATATTCTAGTTTTTCAAAATCCTTTTCTGCTGCCATTCTTACTAAGGGAAATTTGAGTCGATGGCAGGAAAAAAAAAAAGTGAATTTTTACCATGACTGCAGAGATTTTCCTAAGGCAACTTTCCATTCCAGAAACTCCACCTGTGGTCATGGAAAAGGGCCTTTGCTCTGGCAGACCCCAGTCACTCATTGGAAATGCTCCTTCAACAAGCTCCACATTAGCTCCCCTGGATTTTACAGGCTCAAACAATTAAATCATAGTGTCTCTGACAGTAAGCCAGCTTTTAAAATCAGTCCCGTAACTAATGCTGAGTGGAAAGAGAAGCTGAGCTCAGTAAGTAGTATTTCTCACTCTTTGTTATGAACCATGTGTCCTTTCATTTTTTAATATTAATTATGTATGGCAATTGTTTTCTATATTATAGATTATTGTGAAAGGCTCCAGGCTTTTAAGAGAAACATTTGAACGTATAGCTGCCAAAAGCACTTTGAGATTAAAGTAGGGCTGGTGGAGATAGAGGTCCCTAAGCTCTCATTAAATGACAGCCTTTCAGAGAATTATCATTCTTCATCTTATGTCTTGGTCTAAGCAGCAGAGTCTCGTTACGGGGAAGTTTATAATAGATTAAATTTACAACTGTTACATCAGTGCCTAATATGGTGCTAGGCATATAGTAGACACTCATTAAATGTCTGTTGGATGAATGAGTGGTCTGTGATGGGTGCTTTCCATTGAATCTCAGCCCTCTGGAAACTTTAAATGTAAGAAAAAGTACTGCCGTGGGCATTTGGTAATGAGCGTCTGGACAGCAGCATGAAAAAGTCCAGACATAAATGAGCAGCGAGTTACCACACTTAGAGACCTGCACAGGGGCCACGGGGCGTGGGTCTGGAGGGCTTCAGGGGTGCACAACAAATAATGAATGACTAGCTTCACTGGAGTCTTATTTATGCTCAGTTGGTGACATTAGCTTCAGGTAAACTATCTTGTCTTCTTTAACCCTGTGGGCAGCCCTACTAAGTACTTGCTATAAGAATTTTCTCATGGCTTTTGGTTTTTGCTTATCTTCAATTCCCTAACAAGGATTTAAATAGAATCAAGACATCATTATATAAACCTTCTTGTATGGCAGTCAAAGGGACTTTCCAAGTTAACAAATAACTATTTTTTCCAAAAAATGCATACGTAAAAGCTGATTCATGAATTCGCTATTTATTCTTCATTCTTGATATTTGTTGCTTTCTTTTGTTGTGCAATATCTAATATTTACTGAAAGACATGAATGATACAATGAAAACATATTTACATATTATGCATCTTGAGAAATAAAACATTTTCAATCCATTCGAAGTCCCATGCGGTCTTACTCTTGATTATATAGCTCTTTCTCCCAGCTAGAGATAACAACTACCTTGACTTCCCTTAAAATATATAGTATTGTTTACAAACTTATGGTCTTTATGTGACTGGTATCATAATTTGGATATTCTTTTGCAAATTATTTCATTAATATTACATTTTTGAAGTTTAGCCTTACTGATACATGTGGCTGTTGTTTAGTATTTCATTGTATGAATATAACATGATATTTTTATTCATTTCACTTTTGATTAATATTTAGGTTCTTTGCACATTTTTATTCCTATTACAAACAACATTTTAATGAACATTCATATACAAGTCTCTTTGTGGACATTGCAAGAGTTTCTCTAAAGTTGGAAATTAATAATAACAACATTTATACTACTACTACTGATAAAATCTGCAACTTATTAAAAGCTAAAAATGTTACTTCTAAGTATTTTACATATATCACTTTATCCTTACATCAATGCTGTAAGAGAGATAAAATTATTGTCACCATTTTACAGATATAGAAAACATAAGTGGGCGATTGCTGGATGATATGCAAATTTTCAATTTTACCAAATATATCAAATAATTCTTCAATGGTTTCAAACAGTTTCCACTCTCATTAATGGTATATAAATATTAATATGTATTTTTGTAGCACTTGATCATGTCAGGTTTTCAAAATTTGTTTGAAAACATTTATAAAGATAAATAATATATATTCATGTATTATTTGTGTAAATGCTCAGAAAAGAGAGAAAGACAGAGATATCAAAATAAATTCTTTCTTAGACATGGTGGAAAAGGAAGGAGATCACAAAGTTTGGGAGATGAGAACACAGTAAAATGCCCTTAAGAGAGTCCAAAACATTATTAATCACCTGGCACATGCCTGTGCAAGGAGTGAAGGCATACAACTACAAAGTCTTTGTTTTCTCAATGCTTAAGGGGCTACTGAACACACTAACAGGAAAAGTCTGAATGAAAAATCCGAGGATAGAAAATCCCATCACCTCATTCAATGCTTTCCCAGCTTGAACATTGTAATTTCTCAGTGAGTGCTGTATGTGCTCTGAATACTTTCACGTTTTCCTTTTAGTTGTGGGTCATAAAGGAGCAGGTTTTACCTCCTTTAGTTGGGAAATAGCACAGAGAAAGCTCAGCACTTTTTTAAAACCTAAAATGTTCACTTTTCTCCAGCATGTATTAATTTTCTTGCATGTCCCATAAAAGGAAAGAATGTTTATTATGCATGCCTGATTGAGGGAGAGATATACTGAAATTATGAAGACAGGAGATTAAGGATCTTTACAACCATGGTCACATCAAATGAAAATAAAACTTTCCAGCCCATGGAGGCTGTGGGAAATGCCGTTTTCCACTAACCAATATTAACACTTGAAGCACATAGGGACCTTAAAGTCCCACCAAATGGAAATTCCCACAGTGCGGGAAGTGGGCTTTATACCACAGGGACAGCTGATTCCCTCCTCATCAAAGAGACCCTCTGTGTTCAGCAGATTTCAGAGACTCTGGCATTTTTGTAAGGGAGTTATGCAAACATGCTTGACTAAGTAAAAGGGTAAGACCGGTTTTGCAAAGAAATAAAAAATCAGGCCATAAAATTTTAAGATATGCTCACAACAACAAAACTATATTTTAGTCACACACCCTATGGTTTTATGGGAAATGCCTTTCCCTACTGAAAACTTAGAGGTACTATCACCTCTATAAACTACTACCCCCTAATCCTCAAAGGGAGAATTTAAGAACTCTGAAAGTTCTGATCCTCTGTTGAATTTTATAGAAGAAGCTTTACAAGGCCATGAACCACCCCTTCTGATTCTCTAATTCTGGAGAAAACATCAACAGCAGCAACAAAAGATTCCTTCTTTTGTTTCTCAGTCCCACTGAGTTTGAAAAGGTCTCTGAGTTCTTCAAACATCAATCTGGATTACTTAGTGGACAAAATTTAAAAGATAAATAAATAAATAACTCTTCCTGGCATTTGAGTTATAAAGAGACACCCAGGTTTGGTGTCACTGTTATTGGTTAAATCCCCTCAGCTCAGGGAGGGAATGTATTCTCTTCCTCTTTCCTGAAACAAAGGAAACATATTTCATGTTGGATGCTTGGTTATGGAGGGATCAGTTTCCAAGTGATTTAGTGATTATAAGCCAGTCCTTATTCCCCCATGAAACTACTCGAAAGTTGACATTTGCCATGATATTCAAATGAAAGAGAAGAAAAAAAAGAGTAGCTCATTTAGAAAATGCATTTCCCTTTGTCTATGTCTTAATAAAGCCATTGTGTCTATTCTCCATTAGGAGATCTGTGTCTGAGCTCTCCTAAATTACCTGAGAGCTTAGACTGTAACACGTGACTCGAGAAGAGCCTCTTCCATTAAAGACTATGCCAACTAACAGAACTTCAGCTCATGTTGTATTCAGAAGTGAATGTCTGAAGTCATTATATATTTTAGTTTCAAAAAAATGATTTTGAGAGGCATACTATTATTCAAGAGTGTGTTTATCCTGTGATAAGTTTCTGGAAGCATCATTTGATACTTGTCTTCTTTTTACATGGAGTGGGAGGTTGAGGTCCAGAGATACATAAAAGAATAGGGAAGGTATGTGAAGTGCTGAAAACAAGGGAGAGAAAAAAACAGAGAGAGAATCAATGAGAAAGACAGCAATTGAACAGGTCTTAAAATGTCTCATTCCTCCCTAATAAATTAGCATATATAGGAAATCTCAGTTTTTTTAAGGAGCATGAAGGGTAGGGCATGAAGGGTGGATGGCTTAGCTTAGTCCATTTTCTGCTGTTGTAAAACAGTACCAGACTGGGTAATTTATAAAGAACAGAAGCTTATTTGGCTCATGGTTCCAGAGGCTGGGAAATCCAACATCTAGGGGCTACACAGTGAGGGCCTTTTTGCTGTATCACAGCATGGCAGAAGGCAATACATGGTAAGGGACAGAGAGAGAAAAGGGAGATCAGACTGAGATAACTAACCCACTCCTGCAATAGTAAGCATTCACCCATTCATAGGGGCAAAGTTTTCATGATCTAGTCACCTCCTAATGGTCCCACCTGTTAATTGCATCACAATGTCAATTAAATTTCAACAGGAGTTTTGGAGGGGACATTCAAACCATAGCAGTGGGAAGGAAGAGTTCTGAACCTAAGGAAGCCCACAAGTGAGGCAACAAATCCAACTTCAAGAGTCAAAAATTAAAGCTAATATTGCTGGTTGTTGTCTTAGTTTGACATCCCATAGAGGCAGACCCTGATGCAGGGATTTGAGGACAATTAGCATATCTCTGAGGCAAAGGAAACACAAGTAGGACAGTGAGGAAGTGAGACACAGAAGGGAAATCAACCATAATGATAATAAAATCCAGCCAGCACTGGAGTGACTGGGACTCAGTCCCATCAGAGAATTCTGGGAGTTAGTGCAGAACAGATGCCTCAAAGGTCTTCCCTCTCTGGGGGTAAGAGAGCTGGGATACTCATTGACTGCTGCTTCTAGGGGTATTCATTTTGACACTTTCAGCACTGTCCATGAGCAGGCTCAGCCAGGCTTGCTCACCAGAGAAAGCTCCCAGGCACAGTGATATAGGCATTGGCAGCTGGAATCTATGAGTATACACTGAAGTGAGGGGAGGGAGGGTGGATGAGCACCAGCAGTGTCAGCTACATTTGTGCAGGGCTAAATATAAAGAAAGGGTTCTGCAACTCCCACTTTGTATCATACCCACAAAGCAGCTGACTTCCATGTTGCACAAGCTATTTTATAGATACATCACTTCATGTGACAGATTATGAAGCACAATTAATCAGGGGCCAATTGAATTTTAATACTGCCTCCTTTAATGACCTAGCAGGGCACAAAAGCTCTAGAAATACAAAGCTGCAGAGGATGGACGTGTTCTGCCTTTCATTTCTCAAGACAGATTTGCAATGATCAAGAGGCGTCCTGTGAATGCAGTTTGCAAAGGACTTAGGCACACAGCATCTCCTTTGTTCTCACCACAAGGCTGCCGGGTGTGCAGATGTGAGGATTATTTCAATGGTGAAGAAGCATCCTGAGAGGTTACGTAGTTCAACTAATGTCACACCAAGAGGTATGGACTTGACCCACTTTCTTCTTTCTGTTTTCTTCTTCCCACCATACCTTGCTGCATTATAAGACTACTGCCAGTTCAGGGAAGATTTTAGCTAAAGTTAATTTAAGGCCTCCAAGAATATTTGAAACTATGTGCTATATCTAAAAATATATAAAAATGATGATAAAATATAAAGTTGTGTTTCAATTTCTGACACACTGGTAGTTATAATATACAGATACAATAATGACTAAATCTCTAATTTCTGTCATCTGAAGTTGATTCTAGAGCACTTACTACTTGGAGAGTATTAAATATAAAATGAGCCTGAACTCTTCCTTATGGCATCATTGCCACTGCATTTGGAGAGTCTTCTAGGTTCACAGATTTTTGACCCACTTTCTTTAGCA
Organism: Homo sapiens; assembly: GCF_000001405.40. Taxonomy (NCBI): domain Eukaryota; kingdom Metazoa; phylum Chordata; class Mammalia; order Primates; family Hominidae; genus Homo; species Homo sapiens. Next base: position 12,966,565 of record NC_000020.11, read on the forward strand.
AAAGCTCAGGAAGTAAAGTCACACATTTACTCACATTGCACTCAAATGTGTGGAGAAAAGACAGCATCTTTATTTCTCTAAAATGGACTTTTGGCTTCTCATAAGTGCCATCTGCTGGGTTGTATGTGTATGTCCTTGTGAATGTACAAGTAGGTTCAGAGGCATTAGAATTCTCAAACCTTTTGGTTGAAGCCTAACATATTTAAAGGACTGTGCAAATGTCTTAAATATACATCTCCATGATTTTTCACAAAATAAAGACAGGGAGTCAGCTCTCAGAGCAAGAAATAGAACATCATCAGCACAGCAAAACCACCACGCCCCTGCCATCTCTGTTACTATATCTTAGAGTGGGAGTAATTGACATAATCCAGTCTAGTAACCTAGGTCTGATTTAATATCTTAATCATGCATAAACTATTCATTATGTAAAACACCCACTCTGTCAGACTGTGCCACTCTCTCCCTTCTCTGCCCTCAGCAGGAGAGCATCTGGGCATTTGGACATGGAAGGTGTGGGGCACAAGCATCTCATGGCCAGGGAACGGGGGAGGAGCATCTCAGAGCTGCATCAGAGTTCATGCTGGTCCTAGGACAAGAGTCAAGCACACCCTGCTTTCACCAGCTGCTGGTAGCTTTCACTCAGGTAATGCACAGCTGAACAGAACCCAGTTCTTTCTCTTGACTGGGCCCCCATCAATACATTAGCTCCGAATGATGCTGTGAACCTCTCTCAGTACAAGTTCCTAATCCTAACCCAGATGATTCCAAGATGGTGCTTCTTTCCCCACCATGATAACCTTTCTGCAACATCCTTGACCATTCTCACCATTATTTCTATTTCCCCTCTTTAAGAACATGTGGGTATATCTGGATCCCATTCATGTCATATGTGAACTAAGGATAGCTTGAGGACATTCAGTGTCAAGCCCTCTCGTCTTATGCCTTTATCACTGTGACATTTTCTCCTCCCAGGATCCCAAATGCGAAATAGGTCTTGAAAGGGATATCAGACACATGTCTGACCATGCGTCTCACCATTACATCAGTCTTTGGCCACTGTAGGAGCACCATTGCCCATCGCCATATTAAAAGTGGCCACCTGCAGAGTCTTCCTTCCTTAGAGTCTATGCAGAAGCCCAAGAAACAGGCTGCAGCCCCAGTAATCTGGGGCTACTCTATACCTCTCTGGATGAACTTAACCTGCCACATTCCTGGGGGTAAGAACTTCAAGAACTGACATGTTCACTCCCTCCAATATCTGCCTTCCTTCCTTTTCTGACTTTGGATATGTAAAGTGATGATCTTCAGGCTTGGCTCTCATCTTTATTGTATTATAGCCTATCCTATCCCACTGAGCTTTTCTTTCTTCCACTGCATATCCAACCACTCCTCTCTTAGTGGTCCTAGACAGGAGGGGTCTTCTTTGCTGTAGAAGAAAGCCTGTGATCTCAGCCTGTAGGTGCAACTCTTAGTCTGCTCAATGGGGCCTACAGGAACCTTAGAAAATCTTTTCTCTCATAATAGAGGCTGACTCTCAAGGTTCTTATTAAACAACAACAATTTTGCAAGTCATGTTGTTCTCTTTGGATTTCTGCTATAGCAATTCTAATGTCTCTTCATCCTCCCATCCCCTACTCTCCACTTCACCAATCTTCCCAAGGCAATGGATGCTTCAGGCTGACTATGGAGAAGGCAATATAGTTAAAAACAGAAAAGAGAAAAATGTGTCAATATGTCTCAAAATATTAATCCCAACATACACAAATAAAGTAGTAAGTTGCATGAAGAGTAATTTTAGCATTTCACCCAATATTCCTGCATTTATGCAGAACCATGCATTGTAACTAAAGAACTCTAATTTACTAGCTTCGGAAGCATTGAGTTAAGAAGATTTTTTTAAAAAGTCAGCAGACATTCATGTTTATATGATCCTTTATTGTTTAAAGATGTTTTCACATAAATGATCTCATTTGATCCTCACAAAATGAAGTAAGTTTTGCTGTCTTCATTTGGAGGCTGACAAAGGCTAAACTATTTGCCACCAGTGTATAGTGATACAGTGAGATCAAAAAATAATCTTTCATTTTGAAACATACCTTTCATGTAAGTCTGAAAGTAAAAACTGAAACTAGGAGTTTGAGCTAGACTCGCGGCTTTGAGAAGAACCTTCTTTGTGAACCACTTTCATCATGAGATGTAAATCAAATAGGAGCCCATTATCCTTTGGGAAACTCTGAATATTGTCAAAAATCTCTAAATTCAAATGCATCAGAATGTTCTTAAAATGCGTACGGCATGGTTGTGGATGGTGCATCCTTGCAGAGGTTAATAAAAAGTGCAAAGTGATGTTTTCCTTCCTCTGGCAATAACCAGAGGCAGGACTTGGGGCTCTTTCACTCTGGAGAACATTAAAAACTTGGACTCTTTTCGGGACACAAATGTGAAAACCAGCAGGTTTTCAGTGTTCTAGCAGCTGTGCCCAAAGAGAAATCAGAGATAAATGGCAGCTGAGGAATTCTTTTAACAAGGAGAAGCTGGGATTGTATCTGTGAGCTTCTGTTTTGCACATTGTACTTACATTCCTTACGTTATTTTCAAGTACCAGCAGTGTCTAATTCATAGCCATTTTGGAACTGAGCTTAAAGGAATCTTCTTATCCACATTCTTTGGCAAAACAGACCAGAGAGAATAATTGTAGGAGATTGGTCAGGGTGGTGGGAGAAACTGTAGGAAAAACGCAAACCTTCTTGGAAGGCCATGGGGGTTTTGCAAAGCTTCGGGGAAGAATGAGCAGTTCTTACCCTGGGGCAAAGGGCGAGAAGTAGGTACAAAGGAATGCAGGGGAGTTTATCAGAATAGGTTGTTTACTCATATCTCCAGAAACCGGGCCTTTAATCATCCACGCAATTACCCACAAGTGTATTGACTCAAGGCCTTTGTCATTAAATCTACACTGAATAAATGCCCGCAGTGCCAGCTGGTCAGGGCCACAGCTGCTGACTCTTTACAGTACCCTCTTTGGGGTCTGTGGGTGGCCCTGGTCTCCTAGCCCACTCTTTCACTAGATACCTGTGTCTGAGTGCATTTGTTCATCTGTCATTCAGCCAGGGTCTGTGGGTCAGACCTGGCAAATAATTATGGTGTGAAGAAGGGGTCAGAAGGCCCAGGAGCAGTGGCTCACACCTGTAATCCCAGCATTTTGGGAGGCCAAAGTGGGCAGATCACTTGAGGCCAGGAGTTCGAGACCAGCCTGGCCAACATGGTGAAACCCTGTCTCTACTAAAAATACAAAAATTAGCTGGTGAGGTGGTGCATGCCTGTAACCCCAGCTACTCAGGAGGCTGAGGCAGGAGAATTTCTTGAACCTGGGAGGCAGAGTGAGCCAAGATCATACCACTACACTCCAGCCTGGGTGATGGGAATCTATCTCAAAAAAAAAAAAAAAAAAAAAAAGGAGGGGTCACAGACCTGAAGAAGGAGATAGATGGCGCCTCAGTCTGGAGCATGATGTGTTGAGGGCACAGATGGGCACATGGAACATTCCAGCACTCCTCAGGGTTCTCAGAATACCTGCTGACATCACAGAGGGGTCAGCTTGTAGACCACTGGACAGCAAAGGAAAGGGGACCTCTCATGCTGGAAATGGATTGGAAGCAGAATAAGTCGTTTTTTCAGTAATTGTCTAGGCCATGTGTATTAGCCAAAAATAAATTTAAATCTGTAGTTAAATATTCTGTTTCTCACAGATATCCTTTAAAATACATTAAAGGATAGCATCATATTGTCCAAAATAATAAGTGGGTTTTGATGTCTTTTTCTCTGTTCGCAGGCCACCTCTCTTTGCCAGTCTTGACAAATAATTTCTTAGTGAAGCACCTATTTCAGGCTGAGCCACAAGATGTCAGCCTAAGCTTAGTCATTTTGAATTTTCCTGGCCCTTGAAACAACTACATTTTTTCACTTTTATGACCAAGAAAAAGTCTGAGAAGCTCACGACCCCTCAGGATTAGGTACAGAGACCACAGCAGCTGCTTGCCCTGGGAGCTCTTCATGCCTGTTCTCAGCCATCTTCAGTGAAGATTTCACAGGATAACCCAAACTGGCTCCTTTCTGTGACACCACCCAGGGAACTGCATTCCAAGTGTGGGTGTACACGGATCTCCACCATTGGTCCTTGCTCTCTCTCCTGTCCCATCCTTTCTCCCCTTCCTCAGTTATGCTCTGGGGCAGGTGAGTAATCCTGCATGCCTTCGGAGATGTCCATTTGGGAATGAGATCCTACCTTTCCTTTTCCCAGGCACCCCCAGCCTTATGAGGGATTCCCATCACGTGGCTTTAGAGATGAGAAGGCATCTTTGCCATGAACTCTTGCTTCATCAGGTTGAAACTCACTCTTCCTGTGAACCCCCCACTTCTCTCTATTCTTTCACATGCTGGGAAGGGGACTGCAGAGACCTTTAGGGATAGTACAGAGGATGTGTCTCCTCGTGGCCAGCCCAGGGCAGGGACTGGACCCAGTGGTTTGCAGCCCTTTTTAGAAGGTTGGCATTTAACTCACTTTGTCCTTAGGTTTGGTTCATTGTCATCAAGATGGAGCGATGATGAATGTCCTCCTCAACATCTTTTACATTTTACACTGATAACAGTTATTAGAAAGAACAAAGTTGGACTTGTGGATCAGTGTGCAGTACTAGAGAAAAGAGGAAAACTCTAACCTATTTTGAGTACTTACTTTTTTTCATCTAATTGTCACAAGACAGTGAAGTTGCTATCACCTTCACTTGATAAATGAGGAAAATTTGAGCTCAGAAAGTATTCAGAAACTCGTTCAGGGTCTTAGAATGAATGAGTGAGACAGAAACACAAGTCTGTCTGATTCTAGAGTCCTGTTTTTTTCTTTCATTCTTTCCTTTTGAAAAAATTCCCTTTACTACTTCTGCATTTGATACAAAGTGGTATCTGGTAAATGGGCCTGAAAACTTTCTAAATAACTAGTTTTAAATAATCTCTGTGGAAATTTATACAAACAAAAAACTTCCTTGAAAAAGTATAAACTCCCTCTTCCAGTAGGCTACGACAGACTCTCAAATCATCCGCTTCAATCATTTAGAGCTGCCATGTGCCTTTGGCCTCCTGGTTAAAACTACATAGTCAGAATTGGAAATACAGGTAGCTATTAGTAGGAACAAAGACAGTGAATGTCCAGGACAGAACTGAGCTGCATTTCTAGGTTTGAATGGAACCAGTAATAAAAGTCCAAAATAAATGATCACCTCCACCATTCACTCTTCTATGATGGGTGTAATGTATTATTTTTTCTTTTTTAAAAAAAATTTTATTTTAGGTTCAGGGGTACATGTGCATGTCTGTTATATAGGTAAACTTGTGTCATGGGGGTTTATTGTACAGGTTATTTCTTAGCCCAGGTACTAAACCTAGTACCCAATAGTTATATTTTTCTGCTCCTCTCCCTCCTCCAACCCTTCACCCTCAGGTAGGCCCCAGTGTCTATTTTTCCCCTCTTTGTGTCAATGTGTTCTCATCATTTAGCTCCCTCTTTTACATGAGAACATGCAGAATTTGGTTTTCTATTCCTGTTAGTTTGCTAAGGATAATGGCCTCCAGCTCCATCTATGTTCCTGTGAAAGACATGGTCTCATTCTCTTTATGGCTGCATCATATTCCATGGTGTATACATACCACATTTTCTTTATCCAGTCTATCATTGAAGGGTATTTAAGTTGATTCAATATCTTGGCTATTGTGAATACTGCTGCAGTGAAATATGCATGCATGTGTCTTTATAATGGAACAATTTATATTCCTCTGGGTATATACCCAATAATGAGATTGCTTGGCCGAATAGTGGTTCTGGTTTTAGCCCTTTGAGGAATTGCCACACTGCTTTCCACAATGGTTGGACCAATTTACACTTCCACCAACAGTGTGTAAGCATTTCCTTTTCTCTGCAACCTCCTCAGCATCTGTTATTTTTTGACTTTTTAATAATAGCCATTTTGCCTAGTGTGAGATGGTATCTCACTGTGGTTTTTTTTCTTTACTTCAATAGGTTTTTGGGGGACAAGTAGTGTTTGGTTACATAACTAAGTTTCTTTAGTGGTGATTTCTGAGATTTTGGTGCATCCATTACCCGAGCAGTGTACACTGTATCCAATGTGTAGTCTTTTATCCCTCACCCCCTCCCACCTTGTCCCCCAAGTCCCCAAAGTCTGTTGTATCATTCTTACGTGTTTGCAACCTCATAGCTTAGCTTCCACTTATGATTGAGAATATCTGATGTTTGGTTTTCCATTCCTGAGTTACTGCACTTAAAATAATGGTTTCCAGTTTCATCCAGGTTGCTGTGAATGCCATTATTTTGTTCAATTTTATGTCTGAGTAGTATTCCATGGTATATAGATAGGTACAGATATAGACATATCACAATTTCTTTATCCAATCATTGATTGATGGGCATTTGGGCTGGTTTTACATTTTTGCAATTGGGAATTGTGCTGCTATAAACATGCATGAGCAAATATCTTTTTCATATAATGACTCATTTTCCTTTGTGTAGATACCCTGTAGTGGGATTGCTGGTTCAAATGGTAACTCTGCTTTTTAGTTCTTTAAGGAATATTTACACTGTTTTCCATAGTGTTTGTACTAGTTTACATTCCCATCAGCAGTGTAAAAGTGTTCCTTTTTCACCACATTCCCTCCAACATCTATTATTTTTTGATTTTTTTATTATGGCCATTCTTGCAGGAATAAGGTGATATCGCATTGTGGTTTTGATTTGCATTTCCCTGATCATTAGTGATATTGAGCATTTTTCATATGTTTGTTGGGCACTTGCATATCTTCTTCTGAGAATTATCTATTCATGTCCTTAGCCCACTTTTTGATGGGATTGTTTGTTTTATTCTTGCTTATTTGTTTGAGTCCCTTGTAGATTCTGGATATTAGTCCTTTGTGGGATGTATAGATTGGGAAGATCTTCTCACATTCTGTGGGTTGTCTGTTTACTCTGCTGATTGTTTCTTTTGTTGTGCAGAAGTTTTTTAGTTCAATTAAGTCCAACTATTTATCTTTGTTTTTGTTGCATTTGCTTTGGGGTTCTTGGTCATGAAGTCTTTGAATAAGCCAATGTCCAGAAGGGTGTTTCCAATGTTATCTTCTAGAATTTTTATGGTTTAAGGTCTTAGATTTAAGTCTTTCATCCATCTTGAGTTGATCTTTATATCCCATGAGAGATGAGGATCCAGTTTCATTCTTCTACATGTGGCTTGTCAAGTATCTCAGTACCATTCGTTGACTAGGGTGTCCTTCCCCTACTTCATGTTTATATTTGCTTTGTCAAAGATGAGTTGGTTGTAAGTATTTGCCTTTATTTCTGGGTTATCTATTATGTTTCATTGGTCTATGTGCCTATTATACCAGTACCATGCTGTTTTGGTGACTATGGTCTTACAGTATAGTTTGAAGTCAGGTAATGTGATGACTCCAGATTTGTTCTTTTTGCTTAGTCTTGCTTTGGCTATGCAGGCTCCTTTTTGGTGCCATGTGAATTTTAGAATTTTTTTTTCCTAGTTCTGTGAAGAATGATGGTGGTATTTTGATGGGAATTGCATTGAATTTATAGATTGCTACTGGCAATATGGTCATTTTCACAATATTGATTCTATTCATCCATGACCATGGGATATATTTCCATTTGTTTGTGTTATCTAAAATTTCTTTCAAAAGTATGTTGTAGTTTTCCTTGTAGAGGTCTTTCACCTCCTTGGTTAGGTATATTCCTAAGTATTTTTTTTCTGCAGCTATTGTAAAGGGGGTTGAGTTATTGATTTGATTCTCAGCTTGGTCGCTGTCAGTGTATAGAAGAGCTACTGATTTATGTACATTAATTTTGTATCATGAAGCCTGCTGAATTAATTTATCAGTTCTAGGGGCTTTTGGAAGGAGCCTTTAGGGTTTTCTAGGTATATGATCATATCATCAGCAAACAGTGACAGTTTGATTTCCTCTTTACTGGTTGGATGCCCTTTCTTTCTCTTGTCTGATTGCTCTTGCTAGGACTTCCAGTAATATGTTGAATTGAAGCGGTGAGAGTGGGCATCCTTGTCTTGTCCGAGTTCTCAGGGGGTATGCTTTCAACTTTTCCCCATTCAGTATTATGTTGGCTGTGAGTCTGTCATAGATGGCTTTTATTACATTAAGGTATGCCCCTTCTATGCCGATTTTGCTGAGGGTTTTAATCATAGAGCAATGCTGGATTTTCTCAAATGCTTTTGCTGTGTCTATTGAGATGATCTTGTGATTTTAGTTTTTAATTCTGTTTATGTGGTATATCACATTTATTGGCTGTGTATGTTGAACATCTCTGCATCCCGGGTATGAAACCCACTTGATCATGGTGGATTATCTTTTTGGATATGCTGTTGGAGTCGGTTAGCTATTATTTTGTTAAGGATTCTTGCATCTGTACTCAACAGGTATATTAGTCTGTAGTTTTCTTTTTTTGTTATGTTCTTTCAGTATAATGTATTTTTTGAAGGAAAACATGAATAAACCAATGTTGTATCTACTGAAGTCATTATTGGTGCTCTCTCTCACTTGCAACCTGCCTTCACCTAAGGTCATACGAAGCTTCTAGGGTTCCCTCCTCAGTTTCCTCCTTCTAGGGTTCCCTATCAGATTCAGATTCACCACTTTTTTTGTACCAAACTTATTTTAATGTTCCCTACAATGTTGAAATAAAATTCATAGATCACATGACCTATCTAGACACAAAATCTTTAAAACCATCAATATATTAAACTATAATACAAATAAAACATAAGACAAATGTCTAATAAAAATAAATGTATATAAATTTGCAAATAATCAAGTATGATTAAATTTGAAGATATAATGCAATGATATGAGGGTTGTATCTGTACATATAATGCCACAGCTACAAAGGCAGATGAGTCCAGGTGTGTAGTAGTGGTGGCTCAATTACCATAAGTATTGCTGCCTTAATGTTATTTTCTAAAATGGTAAAATAATCTGGATAACATTCCAAACAAAACAAGTAGAATTTCCCATGATTCACATAATGATTTATTTCTGAAAAATTTAAGGTATATGAAAATTATGCCAAAAAATGCTTTTTTTTCATTTGTTATACAGAATTAGATTCCAAACCAGAAAGATTATAAGCAAGCTTTTTATCCTCATGAATGCCTGGGGCCACTGAAAATCTGTGGGACACTGATCTGTGCATTGGAGGTGTTTACCATCTTCAGTGCACAGAGCTAAATGGCTCAATGCCAGGAGCACACCCTTCCTAATTAACCAAAATTGCCTTCAAAAGTTTCAAAACTTTCTGGGAGGCCATACTCGGCTTCCTGAAAACTTAAATTTTGAGCACACTTGAAGAGGCCCTTCTAGTCAACATTGGTCACAAGTGAGATGCTCCTGGACCAAAGCCATCCTGCTTCCTGGAGCCTGACACCGCTGAGATTTCAGGCCTTAGTTAGGAGCTGGGAGGCTTTACCAAGGTTGATAACCAACCCCAACCTAGCCTTCTCAGATGGACCTCATGACCATACCCCATGAAGCACTGGCTGCTTCCCAGAATGTAGCCACCCAGAGGATGTAGGTCCCTTTCCAGTAAAGAAAAAGTTTACCCTTCTCTCTTCCTTAAAGGCATCTTCCCTTCCCCATTATACTCACTCCAGCCACGGACATCACAATCTCTTCAAATTAAGCCAGCAGTTCTCAGAACGTGATCCAAGAAGTCTTGAGGTCCCTGAGACCCTCTCAGAGAGTCTGAGAGATCAAAAATATTGATATTATAATGTTAGGCACCATTTGCCTTTTTTATTCTTTCAGGAGTGTACAGTGGAGTTTTCCAGAGACTACATAATGTGATACCAGGATAGAATGAATGAACACAGAGCAGACCTGAGAATCCAGCTGTCTTCTTTAAGCTATTAAAGAGATTCATAAAACAAACACAAAGCCACTGATAGATAAAAACCTGTGTGAATATATCCCCTTGGGATCCTCAGTTACTTCTAACAGTGTCAAGGGGTCCTGAGGCCAAAAAGTTTGAGAACCGCTGGTTTAGACTTTCTCAAAAGACAGAAAAGTATTTACTTTCAACAGCTACTATTTCCACAGACCCACTAGCCCCTGAAGCTGGGAAACTAAGATTCAGAGCTGATTCCTTTCCTACAGTGATGCGAAGAGAGGGGCTGGCAGACAGAGGGAAAAAAACAAACAAACCAAAAATGGAAACAACAAAGCTCAGACTTTCACCTCAGTAGATATCCTCGGCTCACATACTTATCAGGCAATGAACATGACAGGCTGGGAGGAGGGTAGGGTGTGTATTTCATTTTCCACACCCAGATAATAGCCATTTAAAAATAAGTGGCCACCACTGGTAATAAACAGCACTCGCCATTCCCACTTACAACTCACTCGGCTTATTCATTCCTTCAGTTAAGAGCTATTGAGGGCCTGCTATGAGCAGGGAAGAAATGGAGTGTTATCCTCACCAACTAGCTTACAGCTAGGAAGAGACCTAAAGGCATAGAGAAAATGAACTCTAATAAAAGTTGAAGGTGAAACGGCCTAACACAAAGGCAAAAATTCAGTTCTATAGGGATTCTGAAGCTTGATTTTTCTGTTTGGAGCAGTGAGCATCATAGCAAGTTACAATTTGAGCCGAGACTCTGGAGAAATAGGCTGCAGAGATTAGACATAGTAGGGAAGGACTTGATGGTGAAGAATAGCATGAAAAAAGCAGAGAGGCAAGAACTGGGGAACAGGTTAGGAAACAGTCAGCTATAGCTAGTTTGGCTGGAATGCAGGGTGTGTGGAATTTACATATGGGAGATTGGGAAATAAAATTAGAGATGTACGTAAGGATCAGATCACAGAGAAGTTTCACTGTCAGGCTAAGGTTGTGACTAGGAAACCATAAGAAGACTTTGAGCTATTACCTTACAAGAGCTGTGCCTTAGAACAGTGAGCCTTGGTGTACAGTGTAGGATCAATTAAAGTAGGAGAAACTGGAAAAGTATAAAATAAAAGACAGGAAGAAGAACCAGGAAATAACATTTATCATGGGATGCATTATAACAGCAAACATTGGCAAGGGTATAGAACAACTATGACTTTTGTACACCGCTGCTTGGAGTATAAAGTTGAAAAGTCACTTCTCAGCATTTTGGCAATTTCCTGCAATGTTTAACTTGACCTTATGACCCAGCAATTTCACTAAGTGTTTGCCCAAAACACAAAAAAACCTAAGTCCACAGAGAAACTTGTACAATAATATGTCCAGCAACTGTGTTCAAAATATCTAAAAACTGGAAATAACCCAAATGTCCATCAAAAAATATTAAATAAATTATAGAATATTCATATAATAGAATATTTAACAATAAAAAGAATGAACTATGATACACCACAACATGGTTGAGTATCAAAAATGTGTTAAGTAAATAAAGAGTATGTGCTCTGTGATTTCACTTACCGTGTTTGAAATCTAAATTCAGAGAAAGTTAATCTTTTATAGAAATTATAGAAATCAAATAGTGGCTGCCTGGGGAGAGATGAGAAGGGAAGGGTGGGGAATGGACTGGAAGGAGCATGAGGGAACTCCCTGGAGGAATACAAATGCTTTGCATATTATTTGGGGTAGTAGTACACATATTATACAATTGTCTGAAACTCACAATCTGAACATGTGATACCTGTGCGTCTTATTTTGTAATAGTTCTGTCTTAGTTAGAAAAAATTCTAGGTCACTGAAAATGTAGCATTCACTCACCCTTCCTGAAAATAAAACTTACAACTAAAAACACTTATTTCTATTATCTGTGGAATCAATCAAAATTAATACAATGGCTGAAATCGTGGTTGGAAAAAAGCTTATTAGTGAGCAATAAAAAAAACTATAGGTGAAAATAAATGTGCTTAGATTTTTAAATCAATTTACTAATTTCTGTAAAAGACAATTAATGTGATAACATTAATACTTAAATTGTGGCCAAAAATTCTGAAAACAGTGGTGAATTTAAAGAAAAGGACATTATTTTAGTCTTGCTGCAGACAAAGCCAATATTACTCTCAAATACCATATTTTTATATTTAAAGTATTTATTGTAGACTCTAGTGAATGTCTTTTTGATTAAGCTCATGGTTCATAAAATTGGCTTTGAAAATAAAACTGATGTGTTTGCACTTATTTCTCACACTGCAAAGTAATATAGTGCTCACTGAAACGTGTCTTTCTATCTATTGAGTAGATAAAGCTCAGGTTTAAAAAAAGGTAGCATATAGCTTTATGCAATTAGCTTAGGAAGCAAAATTAAATTACAATTCATCATCTCTCACTCAGGTAAGCTCTATGTATATACTTAAGGTTACCTGTTTGGAAGTCAGGATTGTATGTTATGTTTAAAAACAAGATAGAGATCTGTGGAGTTTGTCATTCTAGTCACTTGCTTGGGAAGTAAACATGAGTTAAAAGTAGTTGGAAGTCCAAGAGGGAAAATATATCCTTGCACTGTGTGTAACTCATGTACCTCTCTCTAGAGGGAAAGCTAAGCTGCTACCTCTGGAGGGTGTTTTCCAGCGATAAGCAAATACGCAGTGATAAGATCTATGTAGAAATGGGATATTGTGTAGAAATGGGATATTGTGTAGAAAGTTGATTGAGTGGAGAGGGTCATGCAGTGTAATCTCCTGAAATACACTATAATTATTTGGATCTTTCCAGGTTCCCACTTTGGCCACTTAATTCTCTGAACCTCTACTACATGAAGAGACTAGAACTTGATTAGAAAAAAATGGAATGACTCTTAATGAGCAAGTGGATGAATAAATTGTGGTAAATCCCTACAAGTGACTATTAGAAAGCGAATGAGTAGAGTTAATTAATTCCATATTGACATTGTGCACTGTTTATGATACATTATGTAAGAAAAAAAAGCAAGATTCAGTATAATGTTCATTATAATAATATATTTTGGCAAAAACAAACCACAAGGACAAAAATTCCAATACAGATCTAAAAACAGTCCAACAAACAAATGTCATACTAGAAGAACAAATAATATTGTTTGGATTTAAGAGGAAAAATTTGACAGATCTGTTTATAATGCACACAGCAACTGCTATAAGGAAACAGCTCAGGAATGCATAGACTATGAAAGAAAAACCAGGAAAGATGAGTTAGCATGGATAGATGGATGCATGGATGGATGCATGGATGGATGCATGGATGGATGGATGGATGGATGGATGGATACATGGATGGATGCATGGATGGATGGATGGAAACATGAATGGATGGATGGATGGACGGACGGATACATGAATGAATGGATGGATGAATGGGTGGATGGATGGATGGATGGGTGGATGGATGGATGGATGGATGGATGGATGGATGGATGGATAGACGTAAATGAGGAAAAAATAAAGGGAAGAAGGAAAATTATTTTTCTTCAACAATCCAAAGACACTGTTCCTTTATTTTCACAGTATCTTATGCTTTTAATAATAATTCTATTGCTGAAATAACTTTTTTTCCTCTTCATCCTTAGTGTTCTCATATTTCATAATCAGGATCTAGATATGAGTCTTTTCTATTTAAAAAAACTTTTCTTTCAGCTCTGAAAAATATTTTTATATTGCTTCTTAGATAATTTAGAACCCTCAACTCCCCGTGTTCTTTCTTTCTGGCATAACTACTTGCTCGCTGTTGTACCTTCTTGATATATCCTTTATGTCTCTTATTATTTCTTTACAACTTTCTGTCTTGTTTTCTTGTTGTTCTACATTTTAAGAATTTCTTCACTTTTTGTCTCTTTTACTTAAAATGATTCTTTCATACACTTTATTCCATTTTATAGCATCCTGTTCTTGCCTTATGGATACAATAGCTCTGTAAATTGGTATTTCCACGTTCTCTTCTGTGCCCTGAATTCTCTCTCTCTCTCTCTCACACACACACACACACACACACACACACACACACAGAGAGAGAGAGAGAGAGAGAGAGAGAGAGAGAGAGAGAGAGAGAGAGAGGGAGATTATATTATCCTAAAACAGGAGACTAGGAGTTGGAACTGTAGTTAGAAAATGAGAGATGTCCACAGATTTCTGGAAAATAGGTAACATTATTAGGTTGGTGCAAAAGTAATTGCAGTTTTTGCATTACTTTATTACAAAAATCACAGTTACTTTTGCACCAACCTAATAAAAAGTGGTGACGACCAAGGAATAGGTGAGGAAAAAGGAAGAAAAGTTCCATCTTAGAATGGATGCTGAGGAATGTATGTGGCAGAAGAAGCCTACTGACCTGGTGAAAATGGGTTGCAGTTCCAATACCGAGATGACTCCAGGTAATTCAGAACTTTCACTATTGTTTATGAGATCAAATATACAAGGGTATGTAATACATATAGTTTAAAGAATTGAGCGTGTTTCCATCACTCAGTTTTAAAATTACCCATATTTTAGAACCTTCCTTGTGTCTCTTTCAGATTACATCCCTCTCTCATTCCTGATGTTGATTTGTGTGTGAATCATTTTTCTCTTTCAGTTTTTAAAGGTTTTTCTATCTATGTATCTGTAAATACATATATCAGATATGATTTTTATATAATTTTATATGATATATGTTATGTGTGCATATAACTTAGTTTTGCTTGGTTTTGAACTTATATAAATAGAATTATGCTATAAGTATTCTTCTAAGACTTGCTTCTGCATTCAACATTGTGTTTTTGAGGTTCATCCATGTTGAGGCATTTAGCTGTTATGTATTTATTCATTTTTCACTGCTGAATTTTATTTCATTATGTGACTATATTACTATTTATTGATTCAGTTTACTTTAATCAAAATTACGTGGTTCTCAACTTGGGGCTAGTCTGAATCATGATGTTATGAACATTCTTATGCACATATTCTATTACATGAGTACTGTACACAATTCTCTCTTGAAATAGATTCTTGTATTACAGAAATGCATAGGTTCTGTACCATACTAGATGCTAAACTGGTTTCCAAAGTTCTTGTGCTGTTTATTACATCCCAACCAACAGTGGATGGAAGTTTTAGTTCCCCTACATCTTAATCATTTTCAAACATTTAAAATCTTACCAAAATGGTAGTATACAATGGTGATCCATTTTGGTTTTAATTTTAATTCTTATTACTACAAATACATTTTAGGATTATTTTGAGCCACCTGTATTTTTTTTGGCTGTGAAAATTTTTGTTTATGCCACCTGACCATTTCTCCCCAAGATTTCGAGTTTTTTCTTAAACTGCCTATAAAAGAGGCTATCAGTTTGCTCATGATCTTTGATACTCACTAACAGTCATATTTGTTATTTATGAAATTTCCATATGGTCCTCCACATTTCTCAGTTCCCTTAGAGTTATATGGAATCACATGGCTAATTTATGAGGAAAGGCCTATTACAAGTCACTTCTAAGCCAAAGAATTTACAAGCTGGCACATGACCCTCTCATTCTTGCTATCCGTGCCACAGTGACAAAACAAGCCACAGGGTTCTCAAAAGTACAACTACAAGGCCAGGACGGCTCTGTTTGCCTGGATCCCTGAGTGATTCTGAGGAGCAGAGCACATACCCACACCCACTCACTCCAGACAACTCACACTGGATTTGTACTCTGAGAAATGTGAGGAGTAATTTGTTACTACTGCATAGTCTAGTCTAACACTGACTATACTTGCTCTTCTATGAATCAAATTTCCAGGCAGGCAGAAGTTTGTTCTGAGCTCTGTATTATATTTCACAGGACCATTTGTCTATTCCAGCATGAACAGCATGCTATCTCAATTATTATAATAATAATATTTTTCAATTTCAGTAGAAAAAAAGTCTCTATAACTTGTTCTGTCTTCAGGGGTGTTTCGTCTATTTTTGCCTTTTTATTCTTTTAGATAATTTTAGAATCTTCTTTTCAAGCTTCATGCCTAAAAATCCCTACTGAGATTTTGCTTGCAATTGCATTAAATATACAGATCAATTTGGTGAGAATTTACATCTTTGGTATACTGAATCCTTCATTTAGGTATGTTGTATATTCTGCACTTTATTTAGATTTTTAAAAAATGTTTTTCAATATATTTTATTTTTCCATAAAGCATTTATACAACTTTTAGTATATCAATCCCTAAGTAATTTATATTTTTATGTTTCTTTTCCTAAATGGCATATGTTAAAATTGCTTCATACAATTAATCACTATCGGTTTATGACTATTCAATTAATTTTATATTTTGATTTGTATCCAGCTACCTTATTAATTCTATTATTATTTCTAATATTTAACTAAACTTTCTTTTAGGTGTATAATATAGACAATTGTATCATCTATGAATAATGAAGATTTTATTTTCGCCTTTCAGATATTCATCTTACCTGCTGATCCTTCAAAGATCTCTAGTATCATCATGAAAAGAAATTACTATAGCAGGCATTTTTTCTTGCTATTAATCTTACAAGAAATTCTTTCAATCTACCACCATTGCTAGTTTGCCGAGAGGTTGTTTTGTGTTTTGTTTTCATTAATGAATGGTAAATTTTGTCAGATGATTTTTCTGCATCTATTGAGATGATCAGATATTTTTCTCCTTTAATTTGCTAATGAAATAAATCACATTGATAAGTTATCTAATATCAGACTGAGATAAGCAAAC
The DNA here is from genome assembly GCF_000001405.40 of Homo sapiens. NCBI lineage: Eukaryota > Metazoa > Chordata > Mammalia > Primates > Hominidae > Homo > Homo sapiens. The sequence continues at coordinate 12,983,315 of NC_000020.11, forward strand.
CTGGCAATGATAAATATTATAATTTTTATATTTTGCTGGATTTGGTTCATTAATATCTAGTTGAGGGTATTCCTAACTGTGCTAGTAAGTAAAATTACCCTGTAATATTCATGGTTTTGTCAGAATTTGGTATCAAGGTAACTTCGTTTCATCCATGAGTAGGATAGCATTTCTGTTTTTAATATACTCTGGTATAGATTGTATAATACCTGAACTATTTTTCCTAAGAATGTCTAGTAGACCTCACTGAAAATGTGGGGTTAGTGCTTTCACTGAAAATTTGGGGCTAGTGCTTTCTGTGTGGGGAGTTTTTTAGCTTCAAATGTAAATCTTTTGAAGTTTCTAGCTATATCCAGGTTTTCCTTTGACAGTGGGTCCAGTTTGGATTACTTGCATTTCCTTGGAAATTACCAATTTCAGCTAAGTTTTCAAATTAATTGGCATATATTATTCTATATTCTATATCAGGCCATTTTTCTTCTATCTGCTGGTTTTCATCAGTGATATCACCTTTCCTTGTGCATTGTGAATTTTTGAACTGTGAGCTACTAATTTTTATTTGAAATTTAATCTCTGGGAATTTTTTAATGTCAGTTTGAATTCGAGGTTTTACAAAAGGATATACATTTTCATCTGCCAGGTGCCTAAGGGTATTACCAAATTGCTACCACTTACATTAGAAGATCTGAGTGACATTTTCTAGACTGCACAGGCAGTGTTAAAATGAACTAAAACCCACTTCAGAGCTGGTTTATGATTACATATTTTTAGAAGAGACTTCTTCATTCAACACTAAGGTTAAAAACCACAAGCTTTATTGATGTTCCTTTCTGCACAGAGAGATTTTCTTTCCTAGTTCACCTTACCTCCAGGGGCATAGCCCTTAAGGATCCAAGCATTGCGCAATCTCCTAAGAGACTTTCACTTTGAGTGGGCCCTAAAATTTACCTCCCATACCCTGTATCCAGAGAGCTAATCAAAAGCTCAAGTTCCCCCACGCTTCTTAGAATCCCTTAAGGAAGCTCCAGCTGCAGTGTTTACCTGAATTATAAGATTCTGCTTTCACTTCTATGTGGAGGCTGCAGCTTGCAGATTCTTTTTTTCCTAATGCCAGCTCAATGAAGCACTTACATAATTTTTTTAAAAAAAAATTCCATCCAACATTTTCATTGCTTCAGTTAGAAGAGTTATTTAGTGTATCTAATCTAATCTGGTAAATTGCCCAACCCACTTCTTTCATCCTTATTGAATAAATCAGTGCTGCCAAACAGAACTTTCTGTGATGATAACTGACCAATTCAGAAGCCACCAGCCACATGTGGTAATTGAGCAATTCTTTTATATGACTTTTTCCCTGGCTATGGCATTCTGAATTGTGTAGCCAAGCATCTCCTCTACTCTTCTATATGGAATTCTAAGTTTTACCTCATAGGAACATTATGTGTCAGCACCGTCAATGGGTGAATGAAGGTCTATTTCTGCACAGTTATAGAATGTAGCCACTAGCCACAAGTGGCTATTTAAATAAATTAAAATTAAGTGAAAATAAAAGTGCACTTTTAAAATCACGAGTCACATTTCAATTGCTCATTTTCTTTTTTGTAAGAGAAGAATTTCTGGATGTGTGGCATCTACCTGGACACATCACAACAAAGGATTTAGCATAGGTTGTGGGATTGCATAAGCCAAAAACAGAAACAGAGCATAGGAAATGGCAGGAGGCACTCCCCAAATGGCTTCATTAGAATGAATCTTATCTCTGCAGCCCTGGCCTTACCTACCAGCCCTAATGAGCCTGCTCTGACTCATACTGGCTTCCTTTCATGCCCAGACCCTTTCATGCCCGGACCCATAAACACTTATACCTGAGCTCTCATCATGGAGTCTCTCCTTGTTATCTCTGGCATCTAATCTCTCCTTGGAACCTCAGGGAATCAGCCATTCAGCAGTAGGCCCATTCATAGAGGGTCTCCTCCCAAAGCTGCTGCAACCGAACACACAAAATGTCTATTTCCTTAAGGAACATGGATGAGTGTTTAAACTGTATCTCTTTGTAGAGTTACATTCTGCATAGGATAGGCACAGTTGTATGAAAAGAGCCCTGGACTTAGGGTCAGGAGAAACCATTTCTAACCCCAGCTCTGCCATTAGCCAGTTGCTTGTCCAAGTCCCATGGCTGTCCTGGGTACAGTTTCTCCAACTGCAAAAGAAGAGTGTTCAACTCCATCAAAATAGAAATCCCTTTCCTGGAGTCTAAATGGGAAGATTGAGTTACTCAAAGCTCACATATATAAACAGGTAGGAGATTGGACATGTTAAGATTTTCTGTTTCTATGCTGCTGGGTCCTTGTAACGGGTCAATCTCATTAGAAGGAAAACCAACCTCAAACTGGTAACTGGGGACTTGATGATGAAAGTGGTATAAATGGGGACTTTGGGGACACAGTCTGGGGTCCATATTACACGATTATTCACAGTGCACCATAGGACCTTCCTCATTGACATGGAGAGAAAGGCAGCATTAACCTGGCAGGCCTGGTGGGGATTCCATGGGCCCAGGGCTCCTTCTCTTTTTGTTCCATCTGGAGCTTTTCAACCTGGCCATGGGGGGTGGTAGTTTTGAGCCCCCCAGTGTCACTATAGGACATTTCTTCCATAGCAATCATTATTATTCCTATTTCTCTTAGTTCCTCTACACTCCATCCTGAATGACCAGTTTTCTAGTTTAGGGAAAATTAAACACTTATTGTTTCCAAGAGTATTTCTGGGTCATTTCCTGGGATTTTTGTCCTCTCTTTAAGGATAATATTTTGTTTCCCATTAACATGCATGTCACTTCTATAAATGGAAACTTCTTCCACTTATTGACTGTCTGAAAAATTGGAAACCATAGGATAAACTTATTTTCAAATAACATGTCAGTAATATTTTCAAACAGTAGGCACTAAATTTAAAATTGTGTATTTGTTAGTTGGAAAAAAGTACAATAAACACACCATAGGGTACCCAAAAGTCTAGAAACATAGGTGAAATCATATACATACTATACATTATACAGATGGGGAAATTGAGTTTCAGGGTGGCTAAAAGCTCAGGGTTGGTAGGTAACAGATCAGATCCAGAATTCAAGCCCATATTGGTTTGCCTCCAAAGCTATGTAGCTCGTCCCACATTAGGTGTAAATATCTCAAATCAGAAACAGCCCCCTAACACGTGTATATAAGTTTTCTCATTGGGAGCTTATAAATAACAGTCCAACATACCAACCAATCACCTTGAGAGTGATTGAATGAAATTGAGATGCTTTCTTTAAATATATTTTACTGTATATATTTGAGGCTTACAAGATGATGTTATGGGATACATATAGATAATATGGTTACTTATTGAAGCAGACTAACCTATCTATCATCTCATAGTTATTTTTGTATGTGTGACAAGAGCAGCTAAAATCTACTTATTTAACAAGAATGCCTAATACAATACAATTTTATTAAGTTTAGTTCTCAGGTAGTATATGAGATCGCTAATTTGCTTGTCCTACATAGATGCTTTCAATGTACAATGGGAGAATTAAACTAAGCTTTGGCTACTTCAAGATGTAAAAAACAAATTATCTTTTCATTATCTTCTTTTTGTTTTGGTTTTTTTTTTTTTTCCTGAGATGGAGTCTGGCTCTGTTGCCCAGGCTGGAGGGCAATGGTGCAGTCTCAGCTTACTGCAACCTCCACCTCCCAGGTTCAAGCAATTCTCCTGGCTCAGCCTCCAGAGTAGCTGGGATCACAGGCGCTCACCACCACTCCTGGCTAATTTTTGCATTTTTTTTTTTTTTTTTTTTTTAGTAGAGATAGGGTTTCACCATGTTGGCCAAGCTGGTCTTGAACTCCTGACCTCAGGTGATCCACCCGCCTCAGCCTCACAAAGTGCTGGAATTACAGGCATGAGCCACCACGCCCAGCCTCTTTTCATTATCTTTTCTAAAGAATTTTCTGAAAACATTATCTTTTCTAAAGAATTTTCTGAAAACATTTGTTTACCTTTCAAAAGGAAACATTTTCATCCTAAAGCCAATTCTATGTACCATTAACTTGTCTTCATTCTATGACCTTACATGTATGTGTAATGTCCTCTATCAGAGGAAGAAATCTAGTCACAGGGTGCAGTCATGTCTAACTCGTTTATCCAATTTGTGGCACAGTCCCCTCAGCAGCTATGATGACATAGCCTTAAGGAATCATCAAATGTTTGAGCTGAACAAGACCTTATCATAGGCTATTCCAACCTCCCCACTTCACAGATTAGTAGATTGAGGCCCATTTATTCACTTGGCACTCACCTACCGTGTGCCTTCAATGGGTGAGAAAAAGATGAATTACCTCAAGACATCAAATGACACCCCATGCCAGAGTTGGAATAATCATATCAATAGTTGAGACAATGGTGATGAGAATGCTTAGGATTTAAATATAATAGCACACATTCGACATGAGTTATGAAGGTATTGAAGGCAAGAGGTTTTGTGAATACAAACTCAGTGAGTACAAGGGAAGGAAGCCTGGGGAATGTCTTTAAACATGAAGATCTGAGGACTTCAGAGAAATATTTCAAAGCTTATATAGCAATGCCGCTTAAGTTGGAGAAACATGACTTGATGGAATAGTTGAGCATTTAACAAAGTATTATCAAGATAAAGGCAAGCTGTGGGGCGGCCTGGTGCCCAAAAGGTACAAGGTGGAGCACATGAGGCTCTCCAGCCTTCAGACATCAAAAAGACATTTCTGCCCTGGGTGGAACCAGTTTCTCCAGACTCATATCTTTCTCTCCTCCATTCTGCTCTGCAGGTGAAATCTAAGGGCACTCTTACCTAAACAGATACTGAATTACAAATGAAATCAATTGTCCTTGGCAAATCAAGGAGGTTAAGGGGAAAGATAAACTCTGTTCTACATCACCTCCCTGACAAGGCAGCAAGCCCGCGGATAAGAGCAATGGAGCACTGACGAGTGTAATGAAAATTCACAAGTTTGTTCTAGAAATGACTGGAGGAGACACCACAGGCCCCGTGCTCCCAAGACATCACCAATTCTTCTAAGGGATGCTTGGCCTCTGGGCACGTCTAATTACCCTTCAAGCATAATGTGGTTATAAAGAGCCTAAGCTGCTGTTGTATATGCCTCCCAAGTCTCCCCCCATCACCTCTGGAGGTGGGGACTTAACCAGAGAACTCTCCCTTTGGAGTATTTATGGCCTCAAGGAGGCTGGCTTTAAAACTGAAATGTTTCTGACACCTGAGCATCTAGTACACGGAGATGGGTCCTCTTTGTGTCTAAACTGTATTTGTTCTAAGGACTCAAGTGTATCCACACAGGTTTGGAGGGCATGTGAGGTGGGACCACTAAGACAGATTTGATGGAGATCTGGAAGTCTAAGCCACAACATTGATTCAAGGATACTGGAGCAGTGTCACAGGTAGGGGAGTACCTTCCTTGAAGTAGCCCCTGAGTATGTTTGAGATGAAAGGGTGGATAGAGACTCTCATAGAAGAGCAAATGAAAAGGTAAAATTGCATTATTACACTCTCCAGGACACTTGGAGAGAACAATTAGCCAACAGCATTGGGGTCAGTAGAACCAGGAACTGGCACTCTCAGCACAAATGTCAGCAGCCTCCATATTACAGATCAGCTGATTTCGTGAGGACATTGGCAGGCTCCAGGCCCAAGGCAGTAGTGGCCATGCCCTAGGATAGTTAGGGATTGATTAGCACAAGGAGTCAAAGCAGAGCGATGCCTTTTTCCCTTCTTCACTGGGAAAGAAATGTAGAGTGTGTGTCCTCTTGTGTCCCCTTCGCTAAGACAATAGGATTTACTTGCAGAATGTATGTAAGAAACCTGCAGAGACATCCCAAAAAGATTCAGTAGGAATTTGAGAGAGGTTGTCCTTCTTGCAGAGCATTTGGTGCTGGTGCAACCTCTAAAATCCAGGTCAAGTTAAAAACAAAAAGGCCGGGTGCGGTGGCTTATGCCTGTAATCCCAGCACTTTGGGAGGCTGAGGCAGGTGGATCACAAGGTCAGGAGATGGAGACCATCCTGGCTAACACAGTGAAACCCCATCTCCACTTAAAAAAAAAAAAAATACAAAAACTTAGCCGGGCGTGGTGGGATGTGCCTGTATTCCCAGCTACTTGGGAGGCTGAGGCAGGAGAATCGCTTGAACCCGGGAGGCAGAGGTTGCAATGAGCCGAAATCGTGCCACAGCACTCCAGCCTGGGCGACAGAGTGAGACTCTGTCAAAAAAAAAAAAAAAGCCTGTTTCTTTTTTTTTATTATTGAATACAATGTCCTTGTGGAATTCAACTACTTGGTATATTATAAAATATGGTTTCCACCTTTCTAGCATTCTTGTGGGTCCTTCGGCATCTTCTTTGTGTACTGCCATGAGCATTTCCTCACAAAATAGCACCAGTCAAGATAAGAACAATAACTTCTTTGAAAGGAGCAATGTTAGTGGATTCCGAAAATAACATACAGCAATTTCTACTGCACTGAGCCAATTGCCAAGAAGAGGTTCTAGAAGACATAATTTATTCTATCTGTGGCTGTCAAAACACATCTGCTGCCCTTTACACATTTTGCTTAAAAGATCACCTCCATGAATACTGAATCCATTACATACTGATGAGGGTTGGCCTTTATATGACTATAAATATATGTATGTTTGGGTGAATATATGCCACATTTGTATTCTTGTTTATTTTGTTCTACAGTGAGTGTATTTATTCAGGCAGTTTCCAACACAAACAACTGATATACATATGAATAAGACACAGGGGAGTTTAGGTGTAGAATGCCACACCTTCTTGCTCCAATTCAGGACACCGATGGAGTTACCAAAGTAGGGAGGCTCTAAGCCTTACCTAGAGAGAATTAACAACTGATTAGTGTTCATTAGTATCATTCTCACCCATATGCTGTTGAGTAGGAGAGATTGCCTCTTATACTTTCAGATAAAACTGTGTGTGTGCTGCTTTTGTTCACTAGATGAGATCCTGGGCAAGTAGCTTCACCTCTCTGGGCTCAGTTTTCTGATTCATAAAATAAGAATAACAATATCTGCTTTTTTCTCCCTCATAGGATGATTGTAATATATCATTACATAAAGTGGAAAATTACAATGCAAAAATATTTCTTTTTTATTACAATTACCCTTTTTTTAACAAAAAAGTATCAATTGAAAACTAAATGGAACCCTTAAGAAGAGTCCCTCTCAAAAACTAAATTATTGTAATGCTGAATTCCAAAGTAATTTATTAACAGTCTTTAGGATCAAAGCTGTCTCAATAGCTACAGGCAGTCTGCGTGGGATATTTTGTGTCCTCAGGATGAGGAGCTTTGCTTTTGGGAATCTATCCCATGTTAGTAACAGAAGCAGGGCTGTTGGAGGTACAGTGTTCCCTGAGACCCAAGGCAGAGACTCTCTTTTTCTGTAATCTGGGCTTTTCATAATTCAGGGTGATACACACCATAATTTATTGTTCTATAGTTTGGAGGATAAAGAAGTGAAAATCACATGTCAGAGCTTTCTCATCTGAAAAGTAAACACTGAAAAAGAAGTGCAAGTGGAAAAAAATATTAACTAACTCATACACTTAATTTGTTTAGAGTGCAGATTTCATGTTCTATGTTTTTTACTAGAATTTAAAATGAAGTTAACCAAGTTTGTTCCCACAGGCACTGGTTTCACCAGCACATCAAAGATGCCCCTTGGCCCCTTAGCTGATTGCAAGAGGTCCTTCATCACGTGAGCTTTTGGCAACAGAAAAATAAAAATTTTAGGACGTTTACCTGTTATAGACCCCAGGGGCCAGACATCTAATTTCTATTCCTCTAAGTGTCTCCTCTGTTCTCTTTGTGGCTCTGGAAACCAAGAACTCTTATCTGTCACCATGAAGCAGGTGGTTGCTGGGGATGAGGCTGATGGGAGCCCCACCCCTTCCATGAAGCAAATTGAGCCCATGTGAACAGGGTTAAGGATGGGGAATGCCAGCAGTCACATCTGGGTACTAGTTCCTGCCCCACCCCATCCGAAGTAAACAGAGGAAGGGGTGGCAGCATTTTACTAACTGAAAGTGAGGCTCAAGTATTTGTAAATGTCAGAAATCTAAAGATTAACACTTAGGAAAATGTTATACTTGCCAAAAAAAAACTAAGGATGCTATACAATTTTACTTCTTAAAAAATCAACCAAAAATAGTTCTCATATGCACCAAAAATAAGCATTCAATAAAAATATTCTTCATGGGTTTTACGTTATTTTACTAGTGTTTGGATTGTTCATGAAGCTACGCAGGTGGAATCATATGTAGACTCTTACATGCATGCCATTTGGTATTAGATGAAAAATTCACATTAGTAATAATTCTATACTTAGAAATTCATGTCACATAATTTTTTTGTCCAATACCCAAGTATAAGTGCTTTGGAAAAATCAATGACTTTTAAAAAGTTTTGTTGTTGTTGTTGTTGTTGTTTGTTTTTGTTTTTGTTTTGAGACGGAGTTTTGCTCTTGTTGCCCAAGCTGAAGTGCAATGGCACGATCTCAGCTCACTGCAACCTCTCCCTCCCTGGTTCAAGCGATTCTTCTGTCTCAGCCTCCCAAGTAGCTGGGATTACAGGCACCCGCCACCATGCCCAGCTAATTTTTTGTTTTTTTAGTGGGAGACAGAGTTTTGCCATGTTAGCCAGGCTGGTCTCGAACTCCTGACCTCAGGTGATCCATCTGTCTCAGCCTTCCAAAGTGCTGGGATTACAGGCGTGAGCCACCATGCACAGCCAAAAGTTTCAACTTTTTAAAATTAAATTTCTCTTCAGAAATTACACAATAACATGTATTCAGGCTCACTGGTACAAAGACATATTAAGAAAAAGTTAATATGTAGATCCTTATTTCCAAGGTAGTCAGACATATTTCTCCATGACTCCACAAATGTGTATCATGTTTTGTAATATTTTTACAAAATGAGTTTGTATTATTTACATTACTCTTCAACCTTCTCATCTCACTTTAGCAATCATTCATGGGTATTCCTCCAAGTCAATCTTGAAGATCTAATTATTCCTTATTATACCTGCAAAATGTTTCATTCTATGGATGTACCACAATTTGGCCAATCCTTGCACAGCTGATGGGCATTCAGTCTGTGTCCAGGTATATTGTTTTGTTTTGTTTGTAACTGTTTATTTTTCTACTACAAACAGTTTTATGACACCTTGCTAAACTTGATACACATATCTTTGAGTCCTGCCACTGTTACTAACATGGGATCGATTTCCAAAAGCAAAATGGTTGGGTAAAAGGGCACATGCATTCTTAGTTTACCAATTATTGATTGTTTGTTTTCTAAATGCTGTAGCAATTTATACACTCACCATCTTCTCTTTATGAGAGAAACACTCAAATTATTCTCTTCTAGCTATTTTGAAACATACAATAGATTATTGTTAAAATATTCTATATTTTAAATAGAAAAGCTTGTACATGCTATTGCAAAGATTTTTTAAAAACTAAAAGTCAACCGACAGCTATCCAAATGACAAAAATGTTAAAGTACAGTAACATTCAAAATTGAGCTTGAGTCATTGCTTATTTTTCCCACCAGATTTTAATTACACTAACAATTTTGTAATAGAACAGATGTAGAAAGGAACCAGCATCCCTTCCTAAATATTTTCCTGATCTTGCTCATATGCATTTGAGTCTTACAGATATGGTTCTAGCACATTACAATTTTTCACTTTTAATTTTTACTAAACATTAATAAGATAAGTACTTTTCCATTAAAAGGCTACTTAATATTTTATGATTTGGATCTATAAACTACTTAATAATTCACCTATTTTTGATTGTCTAGGTTACCTCCTGGTTTAGTAATTAGAGGTAACTGTGAAGTGAAAATATTCATGAATGCAAAATAATTCTTTTTGAAATATTTTCTTTGGATACATTTCCAAAAACAGAATAGCATAAACATGTTAACAGGTGTTGAGACATATTGCCAAATTATTTTCCAAATGTGTTGCACCTACTTAGCTAGGCACAAGCAAAGAATTAGGTTTATGAATGGCATTTAAACACCTTTAAAGACCCAGAAATCATTATTTTTCATGAGTTTTTTGGCACTTTAAAACAATTTTATGCTTCTAGAAACCAGTGGCTATTTTGGGGGAGATAGTGACTAGAAGAGGGAGCAAGTGGGTTTCTAAGGCCCCTGTCATTTTCTGTTTTTGACTGAGGAACTGATTCCTGGGTGTGTTTAGTTCATGAAAACTAGAAGAGCAGGCAACTGAGGATTTGAGCACTTTCTCTATGTATGTTATACTTCCATGAATGTTCAAGGAATGCACTGCAGGAATTTCTTAGAAATGTCAGTCACATTACTGAAAGACACAGGAACAACCTGGAACATTTTGCCAAGCCTCTCTTTGGTCAGAATTAGATTTCTATTTATGCTCATACATTCATATAAACCATCAAGTATGTTCAAAAGCACCAACTATGTGGCTGTTAAAAAATTAACTGCAGTCCAAAGTGATGCAACATCCTTCATTTTCTAAACCTCAGGAGCAATCTGATTATGGCACCATTAGGAAAGCAAAATCTATCAACTTGGAGCTTACTGTTTCTCAGAATAAACTCAACTAGGGACAAGGCCTAGAGGGGTTAAATGACTGGTCTAAAATCCACAGCTAACTGGTGGCAGAACTAGAACTAGAACCAGGTCTCAAGGTCACCATCGCAGACTTTCTTCAATATAACAGATTGCCTTCTCTCCTGTCTGAGACAAGCATCAAAAAAATAGACACTGATTAAAGTCTTTCAGTGGCTTCCTATCAGGCTTGGTTTAAGTTCTCCAATTTAGACCTTCCCCAATTTAGTGTTCTCTGTCCTATGTTTTTGTTATTTCCCAACACACACTGTCATCCTTGGGAGAACTAGATACTTTTATGTTTTGTACCTGTTGCCTTTTTTACTTAAAAGATCCGCCAGTGCTCAGCCTTTGTACATATTACCTCATTTAAAATATCCACACAAGAGTCCTATAAGGTAGGTTTTACAGATAAGAACTTTTCTAAGAGCACATAGCTACCACATTACATCCAGTTCTTTTTGATTTCAAAACCCATGTTCTGAACCACTCTTGCCTGCTGCCTCTGTTCTTCTGTCTATAGCAACTGTGAGTCTTGACAGTTATATGCAAACTTGTAGACAGTGTCTCCCTCATTTGCTCTTTCTTACAGCCCAGCCCTTTGGCTAAACATTTTTACTTTCCCAATTTACAGTTGAATAAATGGCGGCTCAGAAAGGTGAAGTGACTTGCTCAAGGTCACACCACGCTTATAGTCTGTACTGTACAATTCCCTGATTCTATATGATATTTCAGTTAATTATCTAAGTATTTACTGAAGACTTACTTGAAGAGCATTAAACTGGATACTCTAGGAATTAAAAAGATTGTTCATGAATTGCTTCCTGTATGTTCATGAATTACTTCCTGTGTGCTCATGAACTGCTTCCTCGTGTGTCTCCTCCATCTAGTGTATGAAACCCTAAAGAGAACAGAGCTCATCCCGTATTGCTCATCAGACTCCCACAATGCTTAGTCCAACCTGGGACCCAGAATCAGTAAGTACACATTATTAGACAAATTACCCCCAGAACTTTTTTTGGCTGCCAAGATAATCAGATGCCAATTACCCACCAGACATTCTTATCCTGTAGTTGATTCCAAGGTCATTCATCCCTTGGGTACCATTACTTCCTTTCTTTAAAAAAAAATACTTTAGAAAAATAGTTTTTATTTAAACCAGCCTTAGGCAACAAATATGAATTTCAACCTGCAAAAACATGTATAAAAGCACTGTCTGATTCGCCATCAGAAATTCTTTCCTAAGATGATAGTAAACGTACAAGTTCCAGAAAAAAAATACAATGAAATTTAAGCATTAACAATTCAAAAATGCTTTGAAGTCATATTTAAGAATAAAGTTCAATAACACCAAAAGCACAAATGACAACAGAAAAATAGATAGGTCTTCATCATAAATAAAAACTTTTGTGCTTCAAAGGACACCACCAAGAAAGTAAAACCACAGCCTACACAATGTGAAATAAATATTTGCAAATCATGTATCTCATAAGGGAACTGTATATAAAATCTAGAATGTGTTCTAGTACCTAGAACTCCTACAACTTAATAATAAAAAGGCAAATTACCAAAGTTAAAAATGGGCAAAAGATCTAAATAAACATGTCTCCAAATAAGATATGCAAATGGCTAATAAGCACATGAAAAGATTCTCAACAGCATTAGCCACCAGGGAAATGCAAACCAAAATCATAATGAGATACCACTTAACACCCATTAGAATGGCTTTAAGCAAAAAAGACAGATAATAAATTTTAATGAAGATGTGGAGAAAATGGAACTCTCATACTTTGCAGGTGGGAATATGAAACAGTGCAGCCACTTTGGAGAACAGTCTGGCATTTCCTAAAAATGTTCAACATAAAGTTACCACATGACCAAAAATGCTATTTCTAGTTATATACCCAAGAAAATAAAAACATATTTTCACATGAAAACCTGTCAATATTCCTACTAGCCAAAGGCGGAAACAATCCAGATATTCATCAGTTGATAAATGGATAGACAAAATGTGGTATATCTATACAATGCAGTATTATTTGGCCATAAAAAGGAGTAACGTACAAATACATGCTACAGTGTGGATAAACCTTAAACACATTATGTTAAATGAAATATGCCATTTGCAAAAATACCACATATTCCCTGATTCCATTAAAGTAAAATATCCAGGATAGGCAAAACTATAGAAACAAAGTAGATTAGTGGTTGCTTAGGTAAGAGGAGGTTTGTGGGAGAGGTGGAGAGCAAATGGGGAGTGACTACTATACTAAAGAGTATAGGAGTCTTTTTAGGGGGTGATAAAAATTTTAAAACTTCATGGAGGCGGTGGTTGCACAACTCTGAATATACCAAAACCATCAAATTGTATACTTTAAATGAGTGAATTGTATGGTATGTGAATTATATATCAATAATCCTTTCATTAAAAAGTACAAATAATACAGTTTGAGAAACTTCATAAATATTACAAGAAAATATTTGATGACATATCTTTACATTCAAAACAAGCTAAAGTATAATCAATGCATATCTTACTTGTGATTCACTTCTGTGAGTTTTTCCATATGTCACGTACATGTGATTTCTTCATGATCATCATCACACGAATTGGCAAAAACTAGAAACCAATCGCTTGGAAATTAAAGGAGAGAAAGTTGTCAGGTTGCCAGAAGTGGAAAAACAGGTTGAATACAGATTTGATGTTACCAGCTAAAGTTATGTGCATTACTTCACTAATTGGAAGAAAACAATTTTCCATTTGGAAAAGAAGGTGATACGATTCAGTGTGTCACCAATATCGTCTAGAAATTTAACACATAATGGCTATTGGGCAACGGATAGCCTATTCAAAAGTCAAAACCCAGTTAATATACAGCCCTCCTTTTCCCACCACTATGCTGAGTAGAGTGAATTCATCACTGTGTGTGTGTGTGTGTGTGTGTGTGTGTGTATGTGTATGTGTGTTGAGAAAAGGGAAACTTACTATGATACCAGTAGTAACAACTTTAAGATTTTATAAAACGAGTGTTATCAAGCAATGAGAATAAACAAATTACAATTACACACAAAAATATGGAAAAATCTCACAATCATAATATTAAGCAAAAGAAGCCAGATTTCATGCATGATTTCATTAATATAAACTCAAAAGGAGGCCAAGCTTACCTATGCTATCAGAAGTCAGGATAGTGGGTATCCTTAGGAAAGCTGGGAGTGGAGAGGGCATCTGGGAACTTCTGGGGCACTAAGAACATTCTGTTTCTTGTTTCAGATGGGGTCTAGATTTTCATTTTGTGCCGTGTCTGCAAATTATGTAGTTCATCCTGCCCTTACTCTACTCCTTTAACACATTGACTGTGTCTGGAATTTAAGAAAACAGTGTTTATAGCAGCTGTGCAAAGTGTCATGAATCACACATTCAGGGCAGGAAAAAATAGTCAATGTAGTCAAGCCAGTCTGAAGAAAGCAAGAATTCTTATGCACGTAATGAGAAGAAGTGTCCCAGTGCTAGTATCATTCATCTTTGAATCACAGCTTCCTCACCATTTAGAGAGGGGAGAAAAAGGAAAATAAGATGAACTGACCATCTTTTAACCTGAATACCAAGCAGATATAAAACATTATCATCTATGCTTTTCTCTTTCCACCAAGGTGAGGCATAATACATTTGATCACCAATTACTAATTAATCACGATTCTTTATCCATTAATTTTCAAAAAAAAAATCCTGGCAGAATCTTTCAATCTTGTGAATATTTTTTATTTTACATGTGCCTACCTTGCCGCCAGCACTAGATTGTTGACTGTTAGGCCTCTTAAATACCATACATTCCTTCAAGCAATTGACGTCCATGTCCAATACCCTATAGCCTCTATGGTGGAGGGAGAAAAATGTTGCTTTGAATTTTTGTTGTTGTTTTGATTTTGTTACATTTTTGTGTGTTTTTGTTTTGTTTTGTTTTGCTTTGCTATTTGCTTTAAATTAAAATCTCCAAAGTTGGCTAGATGCGGTGGCTCAAGCCTGTAATCCCAGCACTTTGTGGGGGCCAAGGCAGGTGGATTGCTTGAGTCCGGGAGTTTGAGACTAGCCTGGGCAACATGGTGAAACCCCTGTGTCTACAAACAATACAATTCCAGGTGTGGTGGCATGTGCCTCTGGTCCCAGCTACTCAGGAGGCTGAGGTAAGAGGATCATTTAAGCCAGGGCAGTCGAGGCTGCAGTGAGCCAAGATCATACCAGCACACTTCAACCTGGGCAAAAGAGCAAGATCCTGTCCCTAAAAATACCCTCCAAAGTTAACAGTTTGCCTTTTCTTCAAAAGGCTTAAAAAGAGGAGCATAAGGTCTTGCGATACTTTTACTTTTACTGTAAGACTGTACAGTCCTCAGCAATTTTGGCCTTAAAATGATCCAGAGCAACAAATGAGAGGCACAAGGGCTTTGAAGTAAGCTCAATGTTTATTGGAAACCCCAACTCTACTACTAAATATTTTTTTATCTGCCTTGGAGCTACAACAAAACCATTCTCTGAGCCTCAGGTTTTAATGGGTAAAATGGAAATTTTATTACCTGTTATTGTGAAGATTACTGTGAAGGCTAAATGAAATGTGGAAAAACCCTGAGAAAGTTTCTTGGAATATAAGTCAAGGAGGGGAAGAGAATAGCAGTTTATACAAAGAAATGGCTTATATTGTAAATCACTAAAGTATAATTTTCAAAAAGTAAAATCTTGACTTTTATGTAAATATAAAATGAACACATTGAAGATTTTATTCAACTTAATTAATAAACAGCAATATATAAATACTGGATCAAACAAAAATGTGAGAAACAGAAAAATATAGGTAGATGTAGATATATTTATAAAGAGAGACAGGAATGCAGAAATGAACTTTCTAATAGATGCAAAACTAAATATTGTTCTCTAGGGAAATTATTATAATGATGCTTGGGGTTATCTTATCCAAGGAAGATTTTATTCAACTTAATAAACAGCAATATATAAATACTGGATCAAATGAAAATGTGAGAAACAGAAAAATATAGATAGATGTAGATATATTTATAAAGAGAGACAGGAATGCAGAAATGAACTTTCTAATAGATGCAAAACTAAATATTGTTCTCTGGGAAATTATTCTAATGATATTTAGGGTTATCTCATCCAACTGGCATAAATCAAATTGTATCTCTACTGGTGAAAAATCATTTGCATTGCTTTCCACATGAATAATTAACTTTGCTATCAGTTTTCTACACATTAACTTCTATCCCTACAGAATTGTAAAACAGTCAACAGAAAGTCAATAAAGAGGTGCAGATTCCTGTAGTATCTGATGATCCTCTGAAAGTTCACTATACTATGTTTTGCCCTCTACTAAAAGGGCACTTGGTAACTTATCTTGCCCATTTCCAAGGCCGGAGCATTTTTTTTTCTTACAAAATTACCTACTGTGTAACGCATATGTGTACATGTAGCTGAATGGAGACAATTTGAAATGCAAAGCTCACACACATCCATT
This sequence comes from Homo sapiens, assembly GCF_000001405.40. NCBI lineage: Eukaryota > Metazoa > Chordata > Mammalia > Primates > Hominidae > Homo > Homo sapiens. Next base: position 12,999,545 of record NC_000020.11, read on the forward strand.
TCAAGTGCTGTAATGGGACAATACATTTCCTTGCTTTTTTGTGTGTATGCGTTTTGTAAGGAAGGATGGATATGTAGGTAGGTGAATAATTGTTGTAGAATATTATTCTTTTCTTTCTTTCTTTTTTTTTTTTTTTGAGACAGAGTCTCGCTCTGTCACCCAGGCTGGAGTGCAGTGGTGCAATCTCACCTCACTGCGAGCTCCGCCTCTCGGGTTCACACCACTCTCCTGCCTCAGCCTCCCCAGTAGCTGGGACTACAGGCGCCCGCCACCACGCCGGGGTAATTTTTTGTATTTTTAGTAGAGATGGGGTTTCACCATGTTAGCCAGGATGGTCCGATCTCCTGACCTCGTGATCCACCCACCTCAGCCTCCCAAAGTGCTGGGATTACAGGCGTGAGCCACCACGCCCGACCAGAATATTATTCTACTATACCAACTGATGATCAGTCTCTCCTTCACTCCTCATCCTAGCTGTTGAGCTGCTTTATTCTCATTGTACCAGGAGGGGACGGTTGCAGAGTAAAATGCAGATGCATTTAAAAAAAAAAAAAAAAAAAAAAAGCTCTTTTGGAGTTTTGAAGTCTTTGGGGTAACACAGAGACACCCATGAGTGACAGCAGCAGGTTTCTGGAGAAAGGGATGTTCTTGAGGGACCAAAAGAGAGATGCTTCCAGATTGAGAGGAGAGTAGTCGGTAAAGAAGTAATGAGCGGAGGCACAGGTGGGTGGCAGGGAGGGGCTTGCTCTGCTTCCCACGCAGTTCCCCTGAAAGGAGGAAGGTCCCTGGAGAGAGAAAACTGCTGCAGAGGGAGTCTAGGTGGATGGAGCCATAGACGGACTTGCAGGGATCCCTGATCCCTGGTTCCTAGCCTGACAGGGAAGGAACAGAGCTGAATTATTCCCTTGCCTTCCCACATGATGCAGGGAAAGCAGAGAGAAAGCCACTAGAGCTTCAGGGTGCAGGAGGAAGAGGAAATGTGAGATGATGCTTAGGAGCATATGTCAGTGACCAAAGACATTGTCGTGCTTCAAACCTGCTCTTCCCAGAGCAACCTGATTTCATAAATGCTCCTTAGGACTGGGCCAATGGACTGAAATTATCTCAACCACCTGGTGGAAAGTGAAAAGCAGGGGGGGTCCTCAATATTAAAATTAAGTTCTAAGAAAAAGTTATATTTTTTCAACAGCTATGTTGTGAGCTGATTTATAGATGCTATCTCTATGATTGCTGTGCTTGGAGAGATTCAGCCCCCCAGAAGGCCCAGTGCTTTGCCACCTCTTAGGATCCACACTACTGTACCTCTTTTACTGTCAATATCAGAAGGGCTCAGCCACAAGCCCTTGGAAGCTTAGAAAATTTGTCCTTCCTAAGACCCCAGAATTGTCTCAGGATTTAACTCTTGAGGCAGGCCACCCTGGAACGGGTTCACTCTGCATGTGTCTATAACCAGGTGGACTTTTATAACCAGATCATGTCCAACAGGGGTATAAAAAGATCCAATCGCATTTAGGAGTCCAGATAAATTTCCTAGTAAATCAGGAGACAGGCTACATAAATGTCTCCCACAGAGTCTATGCATTTAAGATGTCTAGAAATAGATGTTAAGCGACAGGACTAAAAGCACTGGATGAATATTTTTCAAGAGCCTCTAATTCTTACCTACCTTGCTGCCTCACTATGGCTGCTACTATATTCCTATGAATATAAGAAAAGTTACCCTAGGTCAAGGTATAAACCATCTGTGGCTAAGACAGCTGATGGTCATCAAAATCCACATTCTCCTCTTCCTTCTGGACACAGGGTAGACTACATTTCCCAGCCTTCCTTGAAGTAAGTGTAGTCACATAACCGAGTTACAGCCAGTGGGACTGGGGGAAAGCAGTGTGTGCTGCTTCCAGGCCCAGCCTATAACCCTCCCATAGGCACTGCTCCATGCTCTTTGTCCTTTGCCAAGAAAAGAGTGGTGATCACAGTAGCTTTGGTTGCCATGATCTGAGGACAGCAGCACTTTAGGTCACATCGGTGACCAAAGACATCAGACTTTGAGTGATATGGTCCCTGCCAACGTCCAGGCCTCTTTCTGGTTTCTTGGGTATAAGTGTGAAGACTGTGAGAGAGATTGAGGGCCACAGTCCTGGCTGTTGACCCTTCTTACGGGAGACTTTCTATCAGCCAAACTTGTAGTATGTGGTCATTGAAACTTTCTTCTTAGGTCCAAGAATGTCATTATATTGTCAGTAACAATATTCCTGGACAAAGAGGAAGAGAGATGCTAAAGTTTTGTATCATATGATTTCTGAAGTTCTCTCCTATAATCCTTATGTTAGCCCTCAGAGGTCGTGATCCTCTTTTATAATAGAAATAAACAAGATTCAGATGAATGTGCCTGATCTTAGCAGAGCCAATTATCCATGACACCCAGCCTCCATGAGTGACTGACATATTACTGAAATGAAATTTGAGGGTGTTTCATTTGATGGAGAACATCCAGGTCACCATCTTTTTATAGGCCAGCTGTTTTTTCCATCTTCCTTACTTGCAGAGAAATTAAAACTGCATGATACATTTCCTGTAGTGAAGCTAAGCCTGAAGCCTCAGGACCTGTGTGCACAGGGGCATGGAAGAGAATGTGTTTTAGCCATGCCATAAATACCTTATCATACATGACTTTTACAGAAATGTGACAAGAGCAACAAAAAGAAAGAAAGAGGCAACTTTGAAATCTCAATGCTCTTGGATTCATTCTTATCACATACTTGTGTCCTGGCACCCCCAGAAAGACCTTGGGGCAGAACAGGCAGACTCTCTGAGGCTGGGTCACTATGCAACGTTTCTAACACTCAAAAGCCACCGCTTCGCCTTTTTCCTTTTCCACACCATTGCCCCTCAGGTCAGTAGGTAAATGCCCTCTGCGGTAGGTAATATACTAACAACATAAACCAGCAGTCCACAGACCCTGACTACTCACCCATGCCTGTCACTGGAAGAAGGGGGTGGGAGCACAAGGTAAATACAATTTTCCCTCTTTAGCCACAAAGGATTTAATTCCCCCAAGCCCTCTTGATAGGAAAATTCACAATTATACGACTTGGAACACTAAGGTTCAAACAAGTTTAGATTTGACAAAATTCACTGAATTGTACCTTAGGATTTGTGCATTTCCTCATATGTAAATTCTACCTTAAAAACAACAATAAAAAAAAAAACACCTGACTACACTCTCACCAGGCTGGTTACAATTTTAAAAAGACTGACTATACCAAGTGTCAGTGAGGATGTGGATCAACTGGGATGTTCATTAGTGGTTGGTGCATAAACTTGTGCAAACACTTGGAAAGCCATGGATCCATGTATTAGTCCGTTCTCACACTGCTACAAAGATATTGCCTGAGACTGGGTAATTTATAAACAAAAGAGGGTTATTGAATCACAGCTCCACATGGCAAGAGAGGCTTCAGAGAACTTTCAATCATGGCAGAAGGTGAAGGGGAAGCAAGACGCATCTTACATGGTGGCAGGAAAGAGAGAGAGAGCAGGGGATACTGCCACTTTTAAAACCATCAGATCTCATGAGAACTCCCTCACTATCTGGAGAACAGCATAGGGAAACTGCCCCCATGATCCAATCTCCTCCCACCAAGTCCCTCTCTCGACACATGGGGACTACAATTTGAGACAAGATTTGGGTGGGGTCACAGAGCCAAACCATATCAATCAGTATCTTCCAAAGTTGAACAGATACACACGTTATGTTCCAATGATTCCACTTCTAGGTATGTACCCAACAGAAATGTACGTATATGGCTACCAAAGGCTATACTAGAACATTCACAGTAGCAATTGCTTTAATAGCTAAAAACTAGAAACAACCCAAATGTCCACAATAGAATGATTAAATAAATTACAGTATGCTCCTAAAATGGAATACTATGTAACACTGAGAATGAACAAGTTATTGCTAAGCACTACAAAGTGGAAAACTCTCTCAAACGTAATAATTGAGTGCAAGAAGCCAGACACAAAAGAATATGAACTGAATGACTCTTTTATATAAAATAATGAGGCAGAACTGATCCATGGTGATAGAACTTAAAATAGTGGTTTCTTTGTGTGATTAAGGAGTGAAGAGTAGGGCAGGGCCTGAAGAGGGCTTCTGGATACGAGAAATGTCCTATTTCTTCAGCTGGGTACAGTTCCCATGTGTGCTCACTTTATGAAAATTCACTGAGCTGTGCAATTAGTCTGTGTATCCTTGTCTATGTAAATTAGCCTGCAATTTTTAAAACTGCTAAAAAAAGATTTCAGATGCTCAACTTGAAAATTAACCTATGAGAGTCTTTAAAAATATACATTTTCTACATTTCTTGGAAGAAAACAATTAGAAGAAAACTCTTAGAGCAGTAAACTAAATAATGAGATCCTCTGACTAGCTGCAAAATTTTAATTAGTAGTAATAAGTACTGCAGTAGGCAGAGTAATGATCCTCCAAAGATGTCCACACCCTATCCCTGCATCCTGTGAACATGTTACCTTACATAGCAAAAGAGACTTTGCAAGATATTGGTCAAATAATGAAAAATTTCTGTTAGAGGGGAGGAACAACTTCAAGACATCTATTATACAACATGATGAGTATAATTCATAACAATATATTGTATACTTGAAAATTGCTAAAAGGGTGAATTTTAAGTGTTTTCACCACACAAAAAATAATTATGGAGAGGTAATGCATATGTTAATTAGTGTGATTTGGCCATTCCACAATGTATACACGTATCAAAACCCATCATGCTGCACAACATTAATGTATACAATTTTTATTTGTCAACTTAAATTAATTACTTTTAAAAGGGACTTTATAGATGTAATTGAAGTTATTCCAAGATTATCCTGGATTTCAGGATGGTCACAATCTATCATATGATTTCTTAAAATCAGAGAACATTTCCTGGCCGTAGTCCCATATATATACAGAGATGTATGATGGAAGAAAGGTCACAGGCATTCAGCATTGCTGACTTTGAAGATGGGGGAAGGGGGCATTAATAAAGGAATGTGGACACCTCTAGTATCTGGAAAAGCCAAGGAAAGAGGTTCTCCCCTACAGCCTCCAAAGAGAAATCAGCACTGCTGACACCTTGATTTTAGCCTAGTGAGACCCACGTCAGACTCCTGATCTGCAGAACTCTAATATGATACATTTGTGTTGTTTCAGCCACTAAGTCTGTGATAATTTCTTACAGTAGCAATAGAAAATGAATAAGAATGCTAAGCATTTAATTTCCGTTTATCATCCCATGCTAGCTAGAAACATAAAAGTGTTCTTTGCATCAAAGCATTAACTAAAGAATAAGCTAGTTTTAATTTTTCTGCAGATAAAGCACATTCTAAAAGACTTTCTAGAGCCTGTTTCTCATTCAAAATATGTGGTGTTTTTATGATATTATAACTCAAAGTTAATGACTTTTCTTCCCCAACTAAATTGTAGACACCCTCTTCTTATATAAATTCCACAAATCTTCCCTATGGGAGACACAAGAGTACACATTTTCTGTCTGTCTCTAGAATTTATGAGGTTTTACCCAAATGAATGTATTAAGTTTTTCTACATGATATCTCTCTCAATCTTCAGAACAGTCTAATATTGATCATTCAAAAGATCCAATTTGATCTCTGATCAATAAGATCTGATGGGCTAATATGGACTTGGTTGCCCTAATTTGGGTTCCCACAAACAGACTCTGAGACAAGGATTTAGGTGCAAGTAGTTTATTGGGGGGTATTTTCAGGAAGCATGGATAAGTAAAACCAGGAAGGGAGGAAAACTTAATAATGGGTGTTTTTATAAGAGGGTTACTACTGAGGGCAACAGAGCCACAGTCCCATTGGGATCTCTCCAGAGGCTGTGAACATGCCTCAGAATTGTCCCATAAAGAAGAAAATAACATGGGGTGTTTATGCACCAACTTCTGTCCCTTGTTGGCTGAGAGTTGCTCTCAAGGATGTGAATTTCCCAGCACACCTGGCCCACACTGCAGAAGCAGAGAATACCCCATGGTCAGAGAACCTGCTTGGGCATAGAAACACAGAAAACAGCTGACACCGTGTATCAGGGACCTCCAAGCTAAGTCAAAAGGATATGAATGAGGGACTGACTGTGTCAGTATGATCTATTTCAGGGCAAAGATATGTGATGTTAAATATGTGCTATGCATGGATTTTCCAATCACAACAGTGTGCAAAACCCAAAAGTGTGAAAACTAAAATTAACTTGATCTTGATTAAGAGTTATAATTTCCACCTGATATCAGATAAATTGACATGATCACTTTCTGGGTTTTCTCAGATAATTTTCATGACTTATTGGTCAGTTCAAATTTAATATTAACTCACATGCGGCTGGCCTTCTTAGGTCATCACGTTTACAACCTATTCATGGGGAAATCTATGGAAATGAATGGTCTCTACGATGAGAATTTTTCCAGATTGAACTCTTCGGGAAATTTAAGTACTTCCACGTAGACTTATTAGTAGATATTGACATGTCATTAGTCATTTGTAAAAAAATTTAATATATTGCAAATTTTTAAACATCAAAAAGCAAATAAAGCATTTTTATTCATTATTTGGCCAATCCAATGAAATCTCCCAAATAATAACAGATTCTGTTATTTCTTTTCTTGGTGGTTGATGGTTCTCAAGTCAACAGCTGAAGGAGAGGTGTCATGGTGTAAGGAAAACGGCACTCACTTAGACCCAGACATTCTTGAGTTCATGACCCACTTCTACCACATATTATTCTGTGGCTTTGGAAAAGTCACTTAACCTGTTGAAAATTTAGTTTTGCATGAGCATCACTCTCCATTACATGGGTAAAACTTGAGTCACTGAGAATGAACAGATTTCTGTACACTGTACAATTCTGACAGTTCATTCTGCTCATATCCTCCCATTTTTGCCAACTCTCTATCCCCAAGTTGTTCCAAGAGCGTTTTCACAACACATTGCCAAGCCTCTGTCCTTCCCTTTCTTGCCTATCCTCATTCTGTTATCTCCCTTTTTGGCTGCTTCATTAAGAGAGGAGCTGAGAATCTGGCATCTGGGCAAAACCATTACTTTGGAGAACACCACAAGGCCATTGCTAATTTTATCATCTTTGCCTTTAATGTACTAGTGGGAAGATTTATTTCTACCTTTAATAGTAAGATATCCTAAGTAGAAGGCATGTGGGTACTGCTGAGTCTTAGTTCTGTGAAGGTGGAGACTGTGTATGTTTTATTCCTTGTGAGAACCAAGGACTCAGCAAATACAGAGTACTTATTCAAACATTTTCTGAGGTTACTAGTTGATCCAAAATGTATTTAGTTGTTCAGAGATGCCAAATCTTGCTCAATATTTAGTCTGTGTTTTAGTATTGCTCCAAACCTTAAACCTAAACCTACCACTGACTTCAACAGAACTCTTCGCTTATTTTAACTGGAGATGGTATGAAGCAATGAGTCACCACTGACTATACATACCAGCAGTGCCTGATGCCAAATGGTTGGTGTGTTAATATAATTTTGTACACACAACAATGCACACATTCCAATACGGTAAGTAAAATAGAAAAGTTTCAAGAGTGAGAGCACGTAGTAGATATTTCTCAGAAATCTATGTGTGATTACCTAACCTTAGCAATTGCAATTAGGGGAAGGAAACGGAGAAAGCAGAATTCAGCTGTGTTTTAAGATTTATTTTATATATACCTTTTGTCCCTTGTAAAAAGAAAATTTGAAAAAGAAGAAGAAAAAGAAGAGGAGGGTGGGGGAGGAAAGGGAAAAGGACAAATGTGAAAAGAGGAAAGAGATGGAGAAGAAGAAAAGAAGAAAGAAAAGAGACATCTAATGTTAAAAAAGTTTTATTTCAAAATCTTTATTAAAAAAATGCTTTGCACTGAGCAATAGAGCTCAGGGAAAATAACGCCCTCTCTTCAACTTGTCTTTCTAAGTAACGTGAGGCAGTTGGGCCAACAATAGTGCTCCCCTCTACCTCTTCATCTCTCCATTTCCTAAATCTTAGAAGAAAATAAACCTACAAGAGTTTAGCCCCCAAATCTCAGTGAAACAGCCATGGAAGGGAGAGACCAGTGAAAATCTACTTCTACTTTGATGATAAAGGTTGAGAGAAATGCGATAAAATTTTTGAACTTGAGACACAAACTGGGCTGAACACACTTGGTATTAACTCCGTCTTTCACCTTGGCCTCAGGCCTTATCTTATTCCTCCAGCATTCCTTGGGATGGTAAAGGCAGGTACCCTCATATGCAAGTCATAGTTAGGAGAAGCGTTAGCATGTCCACCTCCAAAAGCTACATTAATCTGGAGTAGAACTGAACCCTGTCCAAGGGAGCTGAGTTACAGGACATGAGGCTCTGGAAACAGGGGCCATTTCTTTCTTTTTGTTTGTGTGTGTGTGTTTGATTGTTTGTTTTTGTCTACTGCCCCAATAAATTGGTTTCTTTTCTTAGAGTCTGATGCTAAAGAAGTCTCGACTCAGGAAAACCACAAGGGTGGACTTGGGAAGACTCAACAGGTTGTAATGACTCTCCAGCAAATCATGTCACCATGCCATTTGATGATGGTAGGAAGAAACAAAGCCTTGAAGATTCATGCATTGAGAGAATAAGAGTTAGTGAGTAAACCAGATGTGTTTCAGGACTGGGACCCTGCAGTCATCAACCACCTCACACCTGCGTCAGTAACAAACCCAAGCTACAGCATGATTTTTGTTCTACCTCAGCAGATATTTTATAGATGGAAAAACTGAGGCATAAAGTGGGTAAATACCTCCCCCAAGGTCACGAGATAAAGATAACGCAGTCATCAAATATTCTGTCTCCTCAACATCTGTCTTACTGGAATTCTTGATGGATTGGTACCCCCTTATTATAGTACTGATTTTAACATAGGTTGGTTTTGAATACTGGGTTTTTAAAAATCTTTTCAAATCATTTGTAAATTATGGAAATGTATACATCACATGAAACTTACCATTTTAATCATTTTTAAGTGCACAGTTTAGTTTAAGTACATTCACATTGTTGTGCACTGATCCATCACTATACCTTTTTCATCTGCTCCAGCTCAAACTCTGTACCCATTAAACAATAACTTCCCTTTGCCTCATCCCTCCAGGCCCTGGCAACCACCTCTGAATGCTATTTTATAGCAAAAAGAAATATTAACTTTTGAGCTTGGTTTACAACCAAAAACCACAATTACATGCAGGAGAGAGGGGGTGGGAAAAAGAGGTTAACTCAGAACTCAGTTACTTAGAAGACTCTGTGAGTGTGCTGTGTGTGTGTGTCTTTAAAAGACTCTCCACCTCCCAGCCCGCCTCCTCACACTTTGCCACTGGGTTGTTCAGTCCCCAGGTTCCCTCAGTCCCCAGAAGGAGCCAGCATGGACAATCTCCTTTACAGTTTCGGAAGCAGGTTTGTTGCCATGGAGTTCACATTTTGACGGGAGTTGAGAAGTATAAAGGTAACCATTTGTTTTAGTTTCAACGATCTGACAAAAAGATAGGCTGTTGCTCTTCTTCTGGAAAAGCCTGATTGGTAAGATTCCTTTAAGGGCTCAGCCCCAAAGAGCTTTATCCCATCCCCTCGCAGACTGAAAACTAAAGCCTGCAGAGACCTCTGAAGGAAAACCTGTCCCGGGCTCTGTCACTTCACACCCATGGCTAACCCTGGAGGTGGTGCTGTTTGCAACGGGAAACTTCACAATCACAAGAAACAGAGCAATGGCTCACAAAGCAGAAACTGCACAAAGAATGGAATAGTGAAGGAAGCCCAGGTAAGAGGCACTCTCCCCTACTCTTCTCTGAATTACCTGAACGTTTCAATATTTCTCTGTGAAGATATTTGAGGCTGTCCTAACTTAGAGTTCATCTTATGAAGGGTTTTTACATGTTTTGACTGTTGACTCTGTTAATAGAAAGTGCTTGGCTACCAAAAAGTTTAGGTGTGGATTAAGGAGAAAATGTCTTCTGTATGCAAAAGAGGATACACACAGACTCACACAGCTTCAGGCTCCCTAAAATACAAATGTACCTACTAGACTTTTGTCTCAAGCATTTTGCGGGGAGGGAAGAATTAAGAAAGTTCCAACTCTTTGCATATATTTTTGTCCAAGAGACCTGCTACAACCGTCATGCTTCAGAAGAAAAAGAGGAAGTGAAAGTACATTTTGCTGACATTATGTGGTGGAGATGGCATTCTTCCCAGGTCCATGAGAAATGCATCACTGTTTGAAAGGCGAGTTATTATTGGTGTGTAGTGGAGCATTGTTTTAGCTCACTACTTGATTTGAGGCCACAGTATTTCTTTGAAATGTGACGTCACAGACATTCTTTTCCAAAACACTTCAGAAAGCAGGGCTGATTGTGACACACTGCTCTCAGAAAACAGAACAGCATCTTTAAAACAAACTTGTATTTTCCAACTTGACACTTTTTTTTTTTTTCACTCTTATTGCACCGGGATGTTTGCAGAGTGTCCTAGGCAGGAGGAACTCGAGGAAAGTTGTCAGCTTGTTTTAAGAGAGAGCCTGGGTCTGTGAGGTCCTTATGTAAGGCAGTTCCCCACTCCCCACAGGACATCCCGTGTCACTCTGCTCTGAGCAGCAGAAGTGAGCTCATCTGCCTGAGGAGCAAGCCCAAGTAGTCAAACAGGTAGCCTCCTGTTTGGAAAGAGAAGTGGCACAGGGAGCCCCATGCAATCTTCCATCATTTGATCATCCAGAGAGCAAGTATCCACCCACAGGAAAGGCAGATTGTTCTAAGATCACAGGACAGGTGGGTCTGGCTGGGGCCAGTCCTCCTCTCAGTGAATTACATTCGTGTGTGCAATTGGAAGAGGCTAAAGGAGCTCTAGAGCCTGAGTTGTGTGTAAACAGGCTGTGGTCCCCAAAAGCATTCCCCTCTTAACAAAAGGCACTGTCCAACGCTGGGAGGTGTCTATCAGAAACCTCAGAACTGGCCTGTCCCACCTGAGGATCTGAAACCTGGAGCAATGTGAAGAGAAGGTGCTCAACTCCTGTCAGTTGTATGAAGGAAATTGCAGTAATATCCACCACTTATGCATCACTAAATATCAATTCAGGCCACTACTCAAGACGATCCTTGCCTCTGGAATGCCTGTAACTCACAAGCTATTCATCTACTTACCCTTGTGATTATTCTGACCCTGAGGGATCTCATCTGGGAAGAGATTCCTTCTTAACTTTTCTCCCTTTTATTTATTTTATCTTGGTTTTATAATCACATTCGAGGTATGAGATTAGAAACTTAGACAGTTATAACCACTCCTAAGTAAGGATAAAACCCAGGATTCTAAAGGTTCATTATGAAGTGCAGCTGCAAGACTGTAAATATCCTTGGACACTGAGGCTTCCCTAAGAACGGTCGAAAACATCAGGGCTGCTGTTGCCTTCCTGAAGGGCCATCCAGAGCCTCTTGTCTCAGACATATTTAGGTGTCACTAAGCTACAATTGGCTTTCATTGAGAGCCTCAATTATGGCTTAAAAAATATTTTTCAGAAAAACAAACGAACAAAAAAAACCCGGCTGAGATCATAGTGTAATAGGGCAAACGAGGGCTTATTGTCCCCTCCATGATGGGAACGAAGTTGTCTTTACTCTCAAGTTCCTTTGCCACCAGTTTTGATCCTTGGGACCCTTTAACAAACTAGGCCTAGACCAAAAGCCTTGCCTGTGGATAGAAGCAGTCTGCAAAGGCTTACAGAATCCTAGGCTGCTGGTCTCCCAAACACGTTCTGCCTGGCCTAACGTCTTCTGCCGCAGCATCTAAGATCCTACCAGCCCCTCCAATGATCCTCCCACCCTTTCTCTTCCCACTTATTTGCAACCACACAGCAACACAGTTATCTCTTTTATACATTAGGGGACCCTACAAGATTCTGTTGACAAAGGGTTCCCTGGCATAACAAACATATGAAAATTACTATTAGGCGGTGCTCATGAGTCCTCCTTCCCCCTGGTCCAGCGTAGGCTGCCATCCCTGCTCCAGCCTGCAGCAGGCTTGCTGCCCCAGTCTCAAGGCTGGCAAGGACCAGAGCCTTTCCATTCTTAGAAACCTTCTAGAGTTCCTTTCTGGAGCTTTTATGGAGCCTGACTATTTTTCCTGTTTTTTTTTTTTCTTTAAACCTCATATGTCCTGAGAATGCACAAAAACTGGTTTTCATCACTGACTAAGTCCATTTATTTGTTTATTCCCAACATGGCCTCCTACCTTTTACTTGTAACAGGACACTATCATACTAGAGGATTTGTTCTCCCTCTTCATGAGCATATCCACACTACAGACAGATGGGTGCTTAAAGTCTTAATCTATAAACTTGATATTTCTTATAATTTTTATTGAATTAAAATTCTTCCTAATGAATAGGAATTTCCTATTCCTTACTTAATTCTATATAATTACTTTGCAACTATTATCCACATAATTGCTTTTTAATTCCCAGCAATTATTTTTGACCTGACCATAAACTTTTATTTGGAAAACCAAAACCTAGGAAGGTAGACCTTGTGTCTCCATTGCATTTTCCCAGAAGTAGTTTCTTAAGAGGATAGAGTCTGCATTTTCTTCTCTTAAACGAAACCTGCAGGATGAAAAAAAAATTGTAAAGTTTTCCTAATCATCCCTTTCCTGGAAAACAAAAATGTTTGGGGATTAGAGTTACTCTAATTCAAGGTTTATTGAGTTCTTGACCTGAATGTTGTAATATTACCAGGTATAGGTTATGAGCCCTAACAGGTGGTTGCTTTTTTTTCACCAATACTTATTAAGCATCTGTTATTCTTAGGACCTATAAAGATAAATAAGAAGTTTACAATTTATCTGTTAGGAGAAAGCTTATATCAACATTAAAATAATCACATCAAAGTTAAATGCTAGTGCAAGGACAAGAGCTGCCATAAAGCAGACATAACTTGAGTACAAATGAGTGGTATAGATACTAGTACTAGAAGTTGGAGAAGAGCAAAAATAATAATAAATATCAATATTCTGCTATGTATCAGGAAGGGCTAAGCACTTCAGGCAGGCATCTCCTGTACCTTCAAAACAGCCCCATGAAGTGGTAGTATACTGTCCATTATACAGATGGGGAAAGATAAATCACTAAGGAACTTCTGAAGAATCACAATCAGCATGGCCAGGATTTGAGCCCAAATCCAAGTTGCTCCAAAGCCAGTTCCTTTTTCAGTATGTTCTAGGAAATCACAAGTTGGGGTGGTCAGTGACAGCTTCTCAGAGCAGAGAAGACTCAAATTGAACCTTGAGACATTATAATTGCAGAAAAAATAGGGAGCTTATTCCTGAGGGGCAAATGAGGAAAAGACAGGAAAGGAACTCCAGAGATGAATGTAGGAGTTGCTAGTAAAGGGCATAAGAAAGGTCATGAAGCATTCCAGGAAGCTGTGAGGCACAATAGGTCATGTGACTTTTGAGAGACTTTTCTCAATTCAGTGAGCCTTCATCGCAGACAGTGAGAAGCAGTGCTGTGGCTGAGGTGGTGCTCAGCAGATGCTGGAAGAAGAGAAAGGATTAAGCCACATTATTATGGAAATCATTTCCAGTTTTAGAACCATTTAAGCTGAACTTCTATTCTCCCCACCTTTCTATATCCTCTTGAAGTCTGCAATATCCTGGTAGAGCTACTCTTCTGCTGTAGTATAAACTTCTTCTAGAGAATAAGAGCAATGACTGATTGATAGTTTAATTGCAAACAGTGGTAGCTGCCTGACAGCCGTGGTAAGTACCTGTGTCTGTGGGGCTCACCTAGGCTACCCCCTGATTGAAATAGAGGTCAATATTCTCTCCAATTACTAGGAGAATTCATAAACTAAAAGTTTTGGAAATCCCTTTCAACTGCTCTGAGTCTTCATCTTAGTCTTGTCTTTGGTGTTCATTTTCTAATGCCTTTGTTTCTTGGCTCCTATTTCCTTAAAACAATCCCCAATGTGGCAAGGCTTCTCCATGAACTCCTTAAGGAATCCGCAGTTTTTCATGAGCTCATCATTTATAAAGCATTCTTGTGTGTCAGGTGCTGCAGTCATTAAGATGAAAATATTCTCCCTCCATTTATAAATAGCTCACAGTATAAATGAGAAAGACAAGCAATTATAGTATTTAATGGTAAGTACTATAGCAAATGTTACAGTTATCTATTCCTATGTAACAGCCAGTCCAAAACCCAATGGCTTGAAACAATAACTATTGGATTGTTCATGATTCAGGCAGGGGCTGCTAGGGATTGCCTTTCTCTGCTCCACGTGGTGTTTGCTGCAGATCAACTTGCCTGAGCATCCAAGATCACCCCATTCACATGTCCCAGACCTTGGTACCAGCTGTTGTCCAAAGCACCTTGTGTCTACTTCACCAGGACACCCTCTGCATGTGGTCTCATTATTCTGCAGAGTAGCCCAGGCTTTTTTACAGGATGACTGGCTTCTAAGAGAGTAAAAATAGAAACTACAAGACCTCTTTTATGTCCTAGGGACATTTCTGCTACATTCTGTAGACAAAGCCAGTCATAGTCCAGCTGAGATGCAAGGCGAGGAGAAACAGATGCTGCTTTTTTCATGACAGAGGCTGCAAAGTCACATTGAAAAAGGTTGTAAGGGATTGGAGAGATTATTGTGACCATCTTTGGAAATAGTCCACCACAATAGAAATATATGGACCTTGCATGGGAACACAGAAGAATGTGTATCTGACCTAGGCTGGGAAGACAACTTGCTTCAGAGAGGCATTTGACCCAAGTCTTGAAAGCAGAGTAGCCAGTTGTACAGGCATAGAAAGGCATTCCAGCAGAGGGAAAGGCTGTTAGAAGGATATAAAATATCAGAGCATTATGCCTTTGGCCAATGAAAGATGAGTTCATGGTAGGAGGTTCAGGATGCTTAATGGAAAGAACCAGGTGGGAAAAGATTGTAAAATGCCTTTGTCTTAGTTTACATTCCCCAAGAAACAGACCCAGAGATAAAGATTTGAGTGCAAGAAATTTATTAGGGAGGTGAACCCAGGAAGCACAGAGGAAAAATAGTGAAGTGAGGCACAGAAGGGAAGGAAGCCGATACGCTCATGAGCAAGTTACCATTGTTGGCAACTGGGACTGAGACTTGTCGGGGACATCTGGGAGATGGCGTACAACACATCTCAAAGCTGTCTAAATTTAAAAAAAAAAAAAAAAGATAAATGTCAACCAATTCCGGTCCATAATCAGTTGAGGGATGCTCAGCACTTGTAGACTTTCCACACATGGGCTGAGCACACTCCTATGGCAGAGAAAGCCCTCAAGCTGAGCTACAGGTGCTTGCAGTAAGAAATCACCAGAATGGAAGAAGGTCTGGATGCGCCAAGAGTGTCTTTTATAACCATTTATATGTGCAAGTGATGGAGGTTTGAGAAGGGAATTAGCATGATCAGATACGGTTTCTCCCAAACTGTGTAAGCTTTATTTATGGTGACTCTTAGAGCATGGTTTATGAATTAGCCCTGATCTAATGGGCTAATCATCATACAAGACAGGATTATGCTGTTAAGCAACATAAACAGAGCTTACCCACTGTGTTTGGCAAAGGAGAAAAGGGATATATCAAGGGTAAATATTATTGCCATAATTTGTTCCCTTTGCACTCAAGCAAGATGAAAAACCAGAAACCATGAACAGCTTAGCAAATTTTAACTATATAAAAAAACTAAAACTTAATATGGCAAGAAGCATCATAAAGGGTAATGCATAAAAAGCAATTGGAAAGCATGACTGAAGTAAAAACTCCTTTACAATAGCACCAGAAACATGAAGGACCTGGAAATAGATTTAAATAAAATGAAAATCAATTGGAAGGGAGTATGAAAATGCTACTGAGGGACATGAAAGGAAACTGAAAATAAGTGGAAAGGCATACAACACATGTAGAGGAAGACTCAGGATGAAAAATGCATTAATTCTGCCTAAGTTAACCTATCAGTTTCTGTGTAAGTCCAGTAAATAAATCAACATATTTTTGAGCCAGACAAATGACATTGAAGTTTATGTGTAAAATTAATAAGGAAGAATAATTGGAAAGACTATGATAAATAATAATAATGAGGGTGACTAGCACTACCAACTAGTAAATCATGTTGCTCACCAAAAGAATTAGAATGGTTTTCTATTAGTACATGAACAGATAGATAAATATTATAGGTAATTGTTAATCTATTAAAGTATAAGAAAATATCAATTTTAAAATAATATTTACATGGGAAAAGTCTTTATAACTATGATATAATACCCAGGAGCCATAAAACAGGAGGTCAACAATCTGACTACATAAAAATCAAATATTTATTTCTGCATGGCAAAAACAAAACAAGAATAACACCGTGAAATAACCAAAAGGCAAATTACAGACCAGGAAAATGTTTAAAATTTATATCATAAAATGCAATTTTCTGATTATATAAATAACTTTTAGAAATGAATACAAAAAGAGGCCAAACACCAGAAAGAAAAGAATGGACAAAAGCTATGATGAGGGAAATACAATTTGAAATACAAAAGGTAAGGAAAGGAAGAGAAAGAAGGGAAGAGAAGTCAGAAAAGGGAAGGAAAGGAATATGCTAGAATCAGTTTCCATGAGAAAAGAAAGAAAAGTCCATTTTCTCAGTTTGTGTGCATTAAGTGCAAAGTCAAGTTGAAACTTAGTTTGAATAATCTAGTTATTTTGATCAGTTTAATAATGATAATAGTAAAGCTAATAAATCAATTGTTGATGGGTGCTACATGCCAGGTCCTACTATGTAATTTGCCTCATTGAATTCTTATAGCAGTAATGCAAAGTGGATATTATTAGCCACATTCATACAGATGAGGAAACTGATGCTCTGAAAACATAAATAACTTACCCCAAGGTCACACAACTAGAACAAAACTGGGACATAAACTCTAGGCTATCTACCTTATCCTAACTTCTTACTTCAACAACTGTCGAAGACCCCATGATATTATCTACTTTCTATGATAATAGGCTTAGAGACCTTTATTTAACAACTGAACATAATACCAGTTGTCTAAGGTATCAATAATATACTTTTAAAAAGAAAGGTGCTTATGCTTTCACTGTGACTAAAGATATTGAAAGACATCAAGCTCCAATAGCTAATGCATGTTGGCCTATAGTTAAATCTTTGGGAGGTAATCAAGAACATAATAATTATAATAATCTTTAACATGTCTTGAGATCTTCAAAGTGCCAGGCATTCCCAGTGCTTTATGTTCATCATCTCACAGCATTCCTATGAGGTATTATTTTTGGACCCATTTTATAGGTGAGGAAACAGAAAGCTTTAGTAACTCAACCAAGGTCACCAACTTATAAGTATCAAAACCAGGTATGGAAACCAAGTTTGTTCAATCCTAGAACCTAAGTTCTTATCCTTTAGTCCACGCTTCCCCTGTAAACACAAGATAATGTTAGGCATGGGATTCATACCCACTTCCAGAGAGAAGGGGCCAGCAGACACAGCCTTAAAGGGCAGAGTCAGTGTGAGTTAAAAGAATGGTGAGTTGTTTTGTTTTCCTGATTTTTCATTCTTAATAAAAATTTTAGCTTATCACAAATGACACCAAACTGTCATATATCTGTGCTTTCAATAGGCAATGTTATTCACTCAGAGACATACCACATTAGTGAACCTGTCACCTCCATGCCTCACTTTGAACAACTCTAAGCTAAAGAAAATTGACCTCATGTGACTCTGAGTCATGTGGACTCACACTTAGCCCCAGTCAGAGCTTGAGAGATAGTCTGGCTTTCAGGAGCTTTTTTCAAGAGTACATGGCCTCCCTGAATAGAAACTTCACTTAGTACAATATTTTCTGGCAATACTGATATCTTAGACATGATGCAATAGATCAAGCTTGTCGACATGTGGCCTGCAGGCTGCATTTGGCCCAGGACATCTTTGGATGCAGACCAACATAGATTCATAAACTTTCTTAAAACATTATGAGATCTTTTTTGTGATTTTTTTTAGCTTATCAGCTATCATTAGTGTTAGTGTATTTTATGTGTGGCTCAAGACAATTCTTCTTCCAATGTGGCCCTGGAAAGCCAAAAGATTGGACACTCCTGCAGCAGATGAAAGATAGTTACAAATTCTTTGGAGTATTTCCCATTGAGAGGTAGAATCTAATTCTAATCCACTTGAACCTGGGCTAGACCTAATGACTTACTTGACCAAAAACGTGATGGAAGGGACAATCTGGGACTCCTGAGAGTCAGTTACAAGAAGACTCGCAGCTTGAACCCAGTCCTTGTAGAGTGCCCATTCTTGGAATCCAGCCACCATGCTTTAAGGAAGCCCAAGCAGCCCAAGAAGTTCAAGGAGAGAAACCAAGTATCCTTGCTCTGTTTCTAGCTGAGATGCAGTACCAACTTCTAAACTGTGTGAGTGATGTATCTTGGAAGTGAATCCTCCAGCCCCAGGGTGTGTTTGCTCCAATTGATACTTCATGGATCATAGACCAGCTGTCCCTGTTGGGCTCTGCCCATATTAAAAATTCTTGAGCAAATAAATAATTGCTGTTTTAAGTTTGCTGGTGGCTTATTAAGCAGCAATAAAAACTGAATACATGGATATTATATTTCCTTAAAATGACTAGAAAAGTCATTGTGCAATCTCAGTACCATTTTCAATGCTTTCATTTATATTTACATTTACAGAGTTTGCTTTGACCATGAATTTGCTATTAATCATTGGCAAAGACACATTTTCATAAGTTATAAATTTCTGTTTTGTTTGGCATAAGGACTGTATGCTTAAGCCCTTAACCAGAGATGAGTGTCCGGCTGTAAAAGCCAAACACAATGAACCTAAACCAATGCAAAAGCACACCCATTTGAAAATTGCCAAATCTGAAGTGTAATTATTAACCCTTAGGAGGTCTGTAATTTATTACATTGTCTATGAAGAAATAGTTGACTCAATAAAGTGTGTGTGCTCAGGTGTTTCATTGGCTTAATTAACATATTTTAAGTATTTTTAATATCTGCCAATTACAAATTAATTTTATCTATTGGTTAAAGCTTCCTGGAAAAATTTTCTCTCACTGTTGAGGTAAATTGATATTAACCTAATTAATTGCAAGAAGTCAACTATGCTGATTTTGAAATATATTTAATGTTTTTAGTAAATATGGCTACCTTTGTCTCAGTTGGCCTGTACTAATGTAGTTTTACTGGAATTCTAAGGTATTACAATCTATAAATTTACGACAGAAAGATCTATTGCCACCATATTAGAAATATTTTCCGGTGATTTGGAGTTCAAATTAACTATTTTGGGGGAAAAACACTACAAGCATAGCTCAGAGAAATACTCAAAATTATCCTCCACAATCTACTTCATCTATCTATCACAGTGCCATCTGAATCCTGCTCTCCTGAAGAGTTTTGACATATTGAAGATCATCTGAGCCCAGCGGAGTTTCAGATTGCAAATGCCTAGAGGAGCTAGCAGGGCCTTGTGTAGGACAGTAGGAGATGGTAAGAATGGGTTTAAATGAACAAGGCCTGGTGTTTCCAAGAGACAGAACAGGCTCCATCTTGATAGTTTTTCCAACTTTTAAAAGAAGCTGGAAATCCAAATTGAGGAAAGGAGGTCTCATGATTTCTAAATGTTGGCATCTAATTTTTAAAAATTCAAATCCTGTGGATTTAAAGAAAACATTGCTAACAAACACCAATTTGTAACCTCTAAACTATAGGCAAACAGAGTGTAGGAAATAGGCTAAAAAGTCCTAAGTACAGTGCTATTTTCTCATTTGTTTAGGAAAAATGGCTCAGAGAATTTGGCTCGCCTCGATTTAATTTACTTTATATTTCAAAAAGTGATAGATGAGTCTTCCACCTTCACTTTCCTGAGTTGATATATTAACAATTACCCTAGACTCTGCAGGTTTGAGGAACTCTTATGACCAGCTACATACACTAGATTTCCTTGACTAACCCAAATCTAAAATATTAAGTCCCAAAGTGTTCATCAAAGTGTTAGAGACCTGGTGATATTTATTGACCAAACCACAACTCTCAGATTTCATAGTCAGTGGTGCACAAACCTTCGTTAGATGATGTATTCATGAAGTCTAGTCACCAAGATTGTTCTCTAAATCTGGTCTAACTGGACCTTCAAAAGTTTCCCAAGCAAAAGGCTATGTGCAAGTCTTAATTATTCTCTTACCTATGGGTTATACACAGCTCTTATTTGTCTGTCTTGTGGTTGTGAGTCTTTTGGAGTTCAAGGATTCCTTTGAGAAGCTGTTATATACTTTCTAATGAAAATTAATATGTCCATAACTGCAAAATTTTTTACATAGAGAATGTGTGTATTCCCTGACTTCCTCAGATCCCCAGATTAGAAACTTTGGCTCTGAAATTTTGTATAAAACTAGGCTATTTCTGCACTTACAATCCAACTAGAAAAAAACAGCAAATCAACTGTTCCAGAGAAGACAGGGTAAAGGATTCACAAATTGATCCACCAAAAAAGAGAATATCACACATAACACAAAGTGATTGAGGCAGCAAGCCCCATGTGTGTTAGACATTTATTTAAAAATTGGATTAGAGGGTGGGTGTGGTGGCTCATGCCTATAGTTCTAAAGCTTTTGGAGGACAAGGAAGGAGGGTCAGTTGAGACTAGGAGTTTGAAACCAGTCTGGGAAACATGGCAAGACCCCATTTCTTAAAAAAAAAAAAGAAAAAAAAGAAAATTAATTAGCTGGACGTGGTGGCATGCATCTGTAGCCTTAGCTATCCCAGGAGGTTGAAGTGGGAGGACCACTTGAGCCCAGTAATTCAAGGTTACCGTGAGCTGTGATTGCTCCACTGCACTCCAGCCTAGGCAACAGAGTGAGACCCTTTCTCTATATTTTGTCATTTATATTAGAAGTTTGCATTTTATTACATAATATATTAATATTTATTTTGCTGTAAAACTATTTTTATATACTCTTTTAAAACTTTGAAGAAAACTGAACTCCGCAGAAAGATGTTTATGTGGTAGCTTTTCGCACTCCCGCACCCCTTAGGATGTCCCAGGAAAATGTGAACTCCTTAAGGAGGAATGATAGTAGAAAGACCACTAGCTTTGATATCAGATGTAACTGGGTTTGAATCTCGGTTCTGCCACTTACTAATTGGGCCATATTAGGAAGGTAACTTTATGTCTCTGATCCATTCTTTATGAGGCTATGGTAAAGAATAAATGAGATAGCACATGTAAGACTCCCAATAACTATCAGGCATACAGTAGATAGTCAATAAATGATTATTATCTATTAACATTAGCCTGCAGTCACCTCTTTCTTCTCTACTGCTATCATAAGACTAATCAGTACGATGCCCAGCATATAGTAGATGTTCAATAAATGACAGCCATAAACCCTTGAAATCCTTCATCCCATAATGACTTCTCAATCTTCATTTTACTTGACCTGTCTGCAGCATTAGTGAAAAATAATCACTCTCTCTTTCTCAAAGCACATTCTTCTCTTGACTTCCAGGGTATTACACTCTTGATTTTCCTCTTTATCACTAGCTTTTCCTATGCATTTTCTATTCTTGGTTCCTCCTCCTCTCTTTGACCTTTAAACAATGGAATGACCCAAGGCTTAGTCTATGCCCCTCTATTCTTTTCTAACTGCATATCTCTCATGAAGATCTGATCTTGTTTCATCATGTTAAATACAGTAAGACATTCTTCTTCAAAGGGTTAACTTGTTTAAGTTTGCTTGCCCTTTTTTCCCTGCTTTCAAGGCCAGACTCCCTTACTCTCTGTGTTCCCTTGCCCTGGGAAACAACCTTCCTCTCAGTCTTATCTATAGAGCCTACATTCCACATCTGCTACTCACTCTGTAAATCACCTCCCCCCACCACAACAGCCCCCCCACCAATCCCCCGCCACCATCCCCACCTCCACCAAAACTGTTTTCTTGTCAGTGTAACTGCATCCCTGCACGTCTCAAGTTAGCCAACTGGGTTCAGCTTAGATTGTGTGGTCCAACTCTAACCAATGGAGACTGCACACAGCAGTAGGAGCCCAGTGTGTTAGGGATAAATCTGCTGCTTTCCTTTGTTTGATGTGCTCTCGTGGTGACCAAACTAACGAGCAGCACCCTTCTGCAGAAGTAAACTTTGCCTTGCTGAGAAATCAACTATCAGAGTGTCATTTCCTTTGCGACTTCAAGCTTTATTTCTAACACATCATGATAGATAGATTAGATGGATGATAGATAGATATAGATAAGTAGATAGATGTATAAAATAGGCATTTCCAACTGACTACTTGATGTATAGAGATATGTAAATGTATATGCATAAATAGGCATTTCTGACTGCCTACTTGATCTTTCCACTTGGATAATCAAAAGTCGTCTCAAACTTAATATGTACCAAACTGTGCTCCTCATGTTTCCTCCTCCCGCTCTCTAAAACTATTTCCCTTACAGTCTTCCCCATCTCAATAAATGGCAACTCTATCCTTCTTGTGGCTCAAGCCATAAACCCTGGTGCCATTCGTGACTTTTCTCCTTCATTCTATTCTGCATTCTATCTCTCAGTAAAACATGAGCTGACCTTCACAGCACATCTAGAATCTGACCACTTCTCACCTTTCCCTCAGCAACTCCCTGGTCTTAGCCCCCTTTATCTCTCACCTAAAGTATTACAGAGCTCCAACTCTTTTATCTGTGTTCCACTGTCTATTGCTGCATAACAATGCAGCCCAACACACAGTGGCATAAAAAAATGATTTTATTATGCTTGTGGATTCTGCTGGTCAGGAATTCAGAAAAGGAACAGTGAGGACAGCTCTCCCCTGCTCCATGGTGTCTAGGGTCTCAGCTAGGATGACTCAACTGGCTGGGCTGGAGAAGCTGGGCCAGGAGGGTCCACTTTCCAGACTGCCTCCTCAGTGTCACACCTGGCACCTGGGCTGGGAAGGCCAAAGGGTGAGACAAGCCAGGACTGTGAACTGGATCGATGCAGCCATAAACAAGCCCACCAGGTTCAAGGGGAGGAGATTAGCCTGTCTCTTAATGGGAAGAGTAGCAAAGAATTCATGAGCATGTTTTAAAAACCACCATGTCCTGTTTCCACCCTCCCCTCCCCTCTGCCACAATCCACTAGACTTTCTCTATACAGCAGCCAGTGCTGCTGAAATAAAATCCAGAGATGTCATTCTTCTGCCCAAATCCTTCCCATGGCTCCCATTTCACTCACAGCAAAAAACAAAATACTTACCACGACCATAAGGCCCCACAGCCTGGCCAGATCATCTGTGACTCATCTCCTGCTACTTTCCCTGAGCTCACTCTAACCCCAGATGCTGCACAGCCTCTTCACTGTTCCTGGAGCCAGCCACCCATGGCGTCCTCCCACCTGCAACATTTGCATTTGCACTCCTCATCCCCCGTCCTGGAACACCCTTTACCCAGACATCCACAGGGCTCACCCTTCTCCTACTTGAAGTCTTCACTCACATAGCACCTTCTCTGTGGGACTCAGGCTCACATGCTTTCTAAAATTGCAACCCACCCCCCAACTTCCTGGCCCCTTTCCTGCTTAATTGTTCTCTTTAGCATTTAAAAACATCTGCACATGTGCACACACACACACACACACACAGAGTCACACATATACCTACACACATAAACACACATGCATGCACACATTAATTTATTTCCTATCTGTTGCCTGTCTCCACATTTAGACTGTGAGGTCCACCTGGGCAGGAATTTCTATCTTTTTCACTGCTGAATCTCTAGTACCTAGACCAGAGCCTATATGTAATAGGAGCTGAAAAATATTTATGGAATGAATAAAGACTATCTGTTTTTACAAATCTGTTCTTTGCAAGAACTCCCATTTAACATACCTAGATCTCTAAAAGACTAAGAAAGCTCTGCTCATATGATCCACAGACTTCTTTGTAAACTTCAAAGTATATAACCTCTTATTAATTAATTCACAGGTTTCTTAAGCTTTGTTGGACAGCATGGCTACTATTTACTACCACCTTTTTAAAAATCACAAAGTCATTAGATTACTTTGGTGACCAGGTAACAACATGCTTCTCTATTGCTATCCAGATATGATATACTCCAAGCTTGGAGGTAGGGAGCATGCTTTAAGCAGTGGAACTTTTTGAAGAGAATGAAAATAGAAATAAAATATTATTAATTCATCTTGATCATTCCTGCTGCATCTTAGCAGGAGATGAAATATGCCTGGATTAGAGGGAAAATGACTAATCTCCCAAGGTGTGTAGGGCTGTCATCAGCTTCTAATAAAATACTGCATTCTCAGAGTCGAGTGTCCAAGAAAGTAAATGCGATCTGTTTTCCTATGAATGACCCATATATGAGACGACTTTTAAAACTTTTATTTAACAAACTTTTACATTGCACTACATGCTAAGAACTTTACAAAAACCAACTCCGTTGACCCTCACAACAACCACGTGAGGTTGATACTGTTACTATCGTCATTTTTTAGATGACTAAACTTAGTCATGCAAAAGTTAACTAAATTTGCCTGAGATAAAACATATAGTTAGCAGTGCAATCTAGTCACAGGACCTGTCTTTTTATCATTAGATGAAATGCCCTTTCCTCCACCATTTTATTGTAAACATTTGCAAATTTATAGAAAACCTTATATAATTCTAAATAAATATTCATATATCTACTACCTAGATTCTAGTTAGCATTTTGCTATACGTTTACTACTTGTCTACCTATCTATCTATCTATCCATCCATATGTTTTATGCATCTCAAACGAAGTTGTAGAATAAATACACTTCACTTCTAAACCCTTCAGCATGCATACCATTAACTTCAATATTTTTCTATAGTTTTTTTTCTTTTGAGGTAAAATTTACATACAATGGAATGCACAAATCTGAAGTATATCATTCAATGAGTTTTGACCTGCATTGGCTTTTGATTCCTTTTTTGGAGAAAGTTTCCTAATGTAGTTTTGACTGTGGAAAGATGAACTAAAACTGCTCACTTAAAATTAAAGAGTTTAATCTCTGGAGAAGAGAACTGGCTAATGTGTAAATCATCATCTAATGACGTAAAGGAAGAGCTCACCAGAAGGCTGTCTTCTAGAGAAATTCCCCTGCTACACACTCATAATTCCACAGCGATCAGCAGCTATTTTCCTCTTTGTCTTTAGTGTAATCTCTCCAGCAGGAAAGGAACTTAGTTCAGTAATCTTTACAATTCCACTCCATCCCCTGTCTTCTTGAACACATGAAGAAAGCAAAGGCCAGGAATTATAATAGTTTGATGATCCTTAAAATAATGTCTGCTATTGCAAATTTCTTTAGTATCAATTTCAAAATTGATATTGTGAACTTGTATTTGTCTCATGTTACAAGCAAAGGCACTCCTTTCCTATGGCCCAAAATAAGAGCCACATGTAGAAAACTTCCTTTTCTGCGTGTCACAGATCACCACGTCAGAGAAAATAATTATACAGGTAATAACTGCTACCATACATGAGGACACTACTATATGTTCACCCTTTTATAAATATTGTCAATCCTTACAATAGACTTTCAAATTTCACATATAATGAACCAAGATTTGAAGAAATCAGATGATCACCCACACAGCTGGCAGGTAGTGGAAGCAGGATCTTCTGACTCCTAATATCACGTAACCTCACCCTACAGCCTTATCACCCTAGTAACCTGAATCATTATGTAAAACTTGGAAGCAGGATTTGACTTTCACACTTCCTGAGCTTGAATCCCAGCTTCATGGTGGTGTGACCTTGCATAAGCAGTTTAATCTCTCTGTGCCTCAGTTTTCTCACCTGGTAAATGAGGTGAATAGTAGTGCCTACCCTATTGGATGGTGGTGAGAAATTAATAAGATAATGCATGCAAAGCCTTAGAACAGTGCAGGCACCAGAGGAAATTCTCTACAAATGTGCACTATTACTAATATTGACCCTTGCAAGAATCTGCCTTATGTCCCTCTCTGCCCCTTCTTTGGTGAAACAGTGCCAGAATATGACAAGAGGTTGCATATTGGTTGACCTGCAGAAACCTTTTTTTAAAACTTCTATTTTAGGTTCAGGGGTACATGCACAGGCCTGTTATATAGGTAAACTTGTGTCACAGCAGTTTGTTGTACTTATTATTTCATCATCCAGGTACTAAGTCAAGCACCCATTAGTTATTTTTCCAGATCTTCTCCCTCCTCCCACCCTCCACCCTCCATTAGGTCCCAGTGTGTGTTGTTCCTCTATACCTGTCCATGTGTTCTAGGCATTTAGCTCCCACTTCTGAGAACATATGGTATTTGGTTTTCTCTTCCTGCATTAGTTTGCTAAGGATGATGGCCCCCACCTCCATCCCTGCTCCTGCAAAGGACATACTCTCGTTCTTTTTTATGGCTTCATAGTGTTCCATGGTGTATGTGTAACACATTTTCTTTATCCAGTTTGTCACTGATAAGGATTTAGGTTGATTCCATGTCTTTGCTGTTGTGAATAGTGCTAAAATGAACATATATGTGCATGTTTCTTTATGGTAGAACAATTTATATCCCTTTGGGCAGGTACCTGGTAATGGGATTGCTGCGTTGAGTGGTAGTTCTGTTTTTAGCTCTTTGAGGAATCATTGCACTGTCATCCACAATGGTTGAACTAATTTACACTCCCACCAACAGTGTGTAAGTGTTCCCTTTTTTTTGCAACCTTGCCAGCATCTGTTATTTCTCAACTTTTTAGTAATACCCGTACTGACTGGTGTGAGATGGTATGTCATTGTGGTTTTGATTTGCATTTCTCTAATCAGTGATATTGAGGTTTTTTCATATGCTTTTTGGCCACGTGTATGTCTTCTTTTGAGAAGTGTCTGTTCGTGTCCTCGGCCTGCAGAATCCTTTAACACACAGTGACAGAAATATACTTGAATAAAGCATCAATACGTCTTCAAATAAAAACAAACTGAATAGTAGAGTATAATAATATTAAGAAATTAAGGTTAGGTGCGAACAAAGTGCAGTGTTGAAACTCGGATGACCATAGCAGACCCTGCTGGTGCCATGTCCACTTCTGCTCTTGGCGGTTACCATTTCCATGTGCACAGCCTCCTCTCCAATGGCCAATTCCCATGCCCTTTTTCTGAGAACTTTCTGAAAAACTGTTACATGTCAGACACTGTTCTAGGAACTGGAGCCCGTTCTTCCCTAGTGGGCATCAGGCCAAAAGCACCGGAGATTCAACACCCCCTAGAAGCAGTGCTCAACCTTTGACTGATGGGAGCTGGATGATAAATACCCCAGCAGCCTCATCCTTCGGGAAAGATAATTCTTAGGTGTGTTCTACACTGTCTTCTGCAGACCCCGGTGGAAGCGAGCTCCAGCTGCCCACACTGGTAACTGCCTTAAAAGCACACCGTTCATTGGTTTCCTTCCCTTTTCTGGCTGGCTCATCTCTCCTCCTCTAACAGTGCTTCCTGGGATAACCTTCCAAATAAACAGGTTGTATTTGAATCTTTTATACAGGTTTGCTTCTGGAGAACCCAAAATTAAGACAGTGATTTTTATAAAACACGGCCAATTTTTACCCCTTTAACCTTCAGCATCAACTACAATGATCCTTACGTCTGTACGTCCCTTTCACATCCAGGATCTCATTGTACCCTCAGTCATCCAGGAAGTGATCCAGTGCTGTGAAGCAGATAAACAAATGCTACTGACCTGTTTTAGGATGAGAAAATGGGGCTCAGAAAAGTGAGATCAAAACCACATAGATAATAGAGACAGAGCTGGATAATATTATAATGCCAGACACAGACACGCCGACTCTACATTCAGGAATGCCTTCAAGGGCTGGGTGCAGCAGACACCTGTCAGGCCCTTATTCAGTGCATACAACTCCGTCCACTTCCCCTCATAAGAACAGGAAGGAAGGAAAAAAATCAGAGCCTCTGTTCTTCAGTAATCTATTTCAGCACGCACACACACACACACACACACACACACACACACACACACGCAAAAGTGTCAATTTAGTTATTAAACTGCCCAGAGGAACAGCTTTGGGAATCAGTCTTACTAAAATTTTAAAAATCCATGCGATTCTAAAAGCCTCAAAGAATAATACTGATTTCTACCTAAGACTTTTATAGCTAGGCAGCAAAGTGATTTTACATGGCATATCAGATAGCAAAATTTTCTACAAATCTCTCTTAAACAATTATTTACCTTTGTCATCACATCTCTATGTTTTATATGATGTATATTTCTTAGAATACCTTCTTTGGAGTCTTTGACCAGCCTCAGCTCTATTCTTAAAATCTTGACATTACGAATGGTTAATTCTAGACCCAGCAAGGGCACACGAGTCAATTCACGCCTTGGTTCCTTTGTTGAGTTTGCCCAAGGCAGAGGCATTGATGACACGGTTGGAACTCTTGGGTTCTTGCAACATAACATGCTTTTCAACCACCTACTTTGATAATTAGTCCTAAGGAAACTTGGCTCCAGAACTTCTTACATATTAGAATAATAATGGCAGAACGGATATCAGATCTCAGAGAACCATGTTATATGATTTTTTTTAAGATCTTAGTAATACATTTCTCAACAGGACCAGAAGTTTCTGTTCACAAAGTGTGAAAGCTCAGGGGGCTGATGTCTGGTGATTCAGTCCAGTGGAATCAGACTTCAGAATTTCATAGACCTGTGAGTTTTTTTTAAGTGAATTATATTGTACCAAAGTTTTTATTCTGCCATGATTCAAAAGATCTAATAACCCCTTATCCACTATCACTATCGTCCATAAATTCACCCTAAAAGATATTATGGACATGATGTCTGATTAAGAGACAGTCCCTAGGAAGATGTCCATATATGTATATACTTGCAAGCATAATATACTTATATGTTACACATATATATCATTTTTAAATTTTACCATACATCAGTGAAAATTTTCATACATGTCTTTAAAGTGTTATAGACTAGTATTTAGGAACTATTAGACTAACCAACAAGTAGATACAAGATAAGAATGGACTATTCTTCTCTGCTGGTTTTGCATTTTGTCAAAACCAGGATCAAAGCCAACAACAGTAACTAGCTTCCACTTCCTTTAAGGCTGAATTATTTATGCTTTGTTCTCTCACAAGAGTGTGATATTCAGACCTGGAACACAGCCTTGGGACACTCGTATCCTTTACTGCTGATGAAGCTATTTGGCTATTATTTTAAAATAGGAAGCAACAGAGACTCAAACAGGTATAGTCACTTGCCCAAGATCTCAAAACGGCCAATCCAGGGCAAGACATGCCTGTGCCCTTTGCCTGTAACACTGTACTCCCTTACACATCACAAAACCAGAAACAAACTCCGAAGGAGCCCTTGACAGTAACACTATTTGTCCACCCATGCAAATGATTTGGGGCACCTGGAGATATCCCACAGCTGAAGTACATCTCGGGTTAGTTTGTTAGCTTATGACAGGAGGGGCTGGCCTTTTCTTTAAGAATCCATCCTTTCCCATTGGTTCATTCTTAGCAAGACAACTGAATCACGTCCCTACAGACTGAGTATAGTACTCAGAAATAAAAGTGCTCCACATGGTGACCTGCGAAAATGATTCAATGGTTGAATTAAACAAGTCACAGACATCAGTTCGCTTTTGTTAAGTATAATGTCAATCTTAATATTCCAGTCAGATAACTCATGCTTTTCACCTATTCACTTCTTTCGGCTCAGGAGCTATGATGGCTAAAACATGCCTGGTTATACAAAGCTGGTTGATTCAGGAGTATTGCTAGTCAAGATTAGCCTTGCTCTGGGAGAGGTTATTTTTTCCTATATTATATGGCACTTGAAAACAATTAATCAGATAATTATAATTATGATCATGGATATTATTAGACTTTTTGGAAGCAAATTAATAAATTGTTGTGGTGCCATTTTCTTAGCGAATTACTTGTTTGGAGACAATATACTTATTTTTCATGGAAGCAAAAGGCTTTCATGAAAAGTAAAATAACATGTGCTGCTTTCAGTGCAAACAAAAGATCTCAGCCAGGGAATCCGTATATTTCAACTAAGTGTAATCTGTAAGGATACATTCTGTCTTCAAAGGAAACCAAAAGATGAACCAAGTTATATGGGGTAATAGGCTATGTGCAGCCACACACCAATTCCTAATAAACACACAGAGAAGGGAACAGCTGCTGAATCCTTGGCAAGTTTCTCTCTTTCTAGGTCAGAGAGCCTTCTGCTTCTACATGTGGCTGAATAGCAGTCCCTGTTTGGTCTAGCATCAGGGGACAGGAAATTTTGGGTGGGACCTAGGTATAGTAGCTCAGCAAGGAGGTGCAAGAAGAAATTGGTTTATTTTGATTCAAAAAGAAAAACTGTGGTTTGTAATCCAAGTTCAGTCCACGGAGCTCAGCCAAATGACTGTCAGAACCACATTGCATGTGCCTCCAGGAGCCCCACCCTCATAATAACTCATCCATGAGTCACTGGCTGCCCCTACTGTGAAGAAATGCCACAGGGCACACCACACTGTGATGTCAAAACACACCTCTGTTGTTGGTTCATTCCTGTGGAATTTAGGAGACTAGCCTTTTGAATTTTGGTCAGAGACTTGAAATTTCAGAACCAACTAAGTAAGCTGGACTCATCAAATTTTCTTCCACCACGAATATAAAAGAGATTTTAAAATGACTAACCACAAATCACTGTGAACCACTGAATACGGGGGCTCCCTGGAGATCTATTTACCACATCATCTTCCAATGGCCCTTTCAAGAACCATGCCTGATCAGGCTACCATTTGTTTAAACTCATCAGTAGCTTCCCGTGTTAAGATCAAAGCTGCAATCCTTAACACAATTTGCCAGCCCTGCATCACCTCCTCAGCCTATTCATTCTTACATTTGTTCCTTCATTCATTAAATATTTACTGGACCCCTGTTACATGTCAGACACTGTTCTAGGAACTGGGGTACTACTAGCAATGGACAAAGTGGATGGAGGTCCTCCTCCTGGAACTGACATTCAGCCATGCCTGCCCCTCCCTATCCATGAGCTACCCCAACCGCACACCCTCCTTACCATTCCTCAAGCACTTCCTTCTGCCTGGAAGACTTTTTATTCCTGGTAAACTCCTACTGATTATTCAGATTTTATTTAAAACTTCATTTTCTTTGGGGAGGACCTTCTCTTTTTCTGAACTAGGTCAGATCCCATCCTATAACCACTCCACAGCACTCTTAATTACTTATAATTTTCCTTTTTCTAAATATTGTTCATCCGTATTTCCTTCCAGACCAAGGGTTGGCAGCCTTTGATAGATAGTAAATATTTTCAGCTCTGTAAGCTATTCAGTCTCTGTTACAACTACTCAACTCTGCCACTGCACCGGAAATGCAGCCATAGGCAATACATGAACAAATGGATACAGCTGGGTTTCAATAAAACTTTATTACAAAATTAGGCTGCGGGCCATAATTTGCCAACTTCTGGACAATAGAACTTCCTATGATGATGGAAATGCTCTATAAATGTCCTGTCCAGTAAGGTAGCCACCAACTACATGAGAATATTGAGCACTTGAAATGTGGCTAGTGCAATCGAAGATCTCAATCTCTAAACTTAATTTAAACTATTGAAATTTAAATGTAACTAACGACATATGGCTAGCAACAATTGTATTGAACAGCATAGATCTAAACCGTGAGAGCAGGGCCTCTGTCCCTCTTGCTCACACCATTTCACCTGAACCTAGCACACTAGCTGGCACAGAGTTGGTGCTCAATATATAATTTTGGAATGAATGAATGAACAGATGTATAAACATGAAATAAATTATCAAACTCCTTGTCTCCTTTTCACCACTGCTATGGCACTTGGCTAGACTTCTTGCTCTCTAGTCTTAAAAGGTTCTATTTTTGTTCTATTTTGCACATGGTTTCTCTCCACTAGCCCATGACCTCCATGAGGCTGGGTGCTGTAAGACACTACCCAAGTGATCTTTCCCATGCCCAACACAGGTACACGCACGTGGAAGTCAAGCTTTGCACAGTGTTTGCAGCTACTAGTATTCACCTGAGATGGAAAAAGACTAAGTCCCATGGGTACTCTATTTCTGAAATATGTTCCAGTTTGTCATGTCTTAAAGATCTAACTTTTATGTTTCTTTCGGGCTTTAACCCTGGTATGTGGATTTGAGAGGATCAACTTAGTCCTGTCTTTTCCCGCTTCATAACCTTAGGCAAGTTGCTTAATGTCCTTGTGTCTCTCTTATTACGTGAAGATGATTCTAATTCCATTGCAGTGATCCACCACCTACTTCTTTGGAATAGCATGTAAGTAAATAAGAGCATGTCCATAAAAGCTTTTGAGCACCTGAGAGATAAACATTGTTCTCACATGGCATTTTATAATTGGTCAAGAACGTGGTAGTTATTCTCAGAGATATAAAACCAATAGTACATTGTTTTCTCTGATTTATCAGAATAACTCAATAAAAGCTCTGTGTTCCTCAAGTGAGCCAGCCAGTTATAAACAAGATCAGAATAATGCAGCCATTGCAGGATGGTGAAGGATAGCCACTTAGCTCTAAAGCTGAAGTAAGTCCAATTGACTTAGAACCTTCACCCTAGCTGTCATTCCAAGTGGGGTCCAGTTTACAAATATTTCTGCCCTGCATTTCTTCTGCAGTTCTGATAGGGGAACATCCCAATGAAAGCACACCTTTCTTTCACAACTACCTGAAAGACAAAGTCTGGCTTACCCTGCTATCAAAGGCGTTCCATTATTCAATTCCAGTGGACTCTATACAGCTTATCACCAAGTATATACCATTCAAGGCCCAGCCAGAGGCCCATGCAAGGCCATGTTCCCTCATTTCCACCCACCAATGGGTGCCCACACTGGTCCTCCTATCCTGGAAGGTCTTTACCACCTCTCTTAACTTTCCCAGTCTTGGCTCTCCCTCATTCACTCATTTCTTCAGCAGATATTCACTAAACACTCTGCTGGGGACTCAATTTAGACCCCTCCATGCAATCCTGCCTTTTGTGGGAATCCTTCATCCTTCACTCACCACTCTGGCTGCACCTTGCTGAAGCCTTGGCCCTCCTCAGATCCTCACTGTTTTGTTGGCTGACTTCTCAGGTGGTGAATGGGAAACTCAAGATGATGGGAAATTAAATTAACCTCTTATGAACTGACCTGATTAATCAATAGAAAGAAAGGGCTGGAGTAGCTAATATAGGAAAACTTGACCCCTCAAAGTTTCCATATTTGTAACTTATCACTCTCTTTGACTTCTGGGGTCAGTGAAGCCTAACACTTACAAAGACATGCTCAATCAATCAAGAACTAAGACTTGGGTCTTCTACAGAGTTAATTTTATACTTAAACTTCCTCAGACCTTGATTTGAATTTTGATCAGACCAGGTGTTTCCTAATACAGACATTTCCTTGAGGAGGTAATTTGGTTCTCAGACTTCCACCAAACCCTTCTAAGCAAAGGTTAGAAAGGAAAGAATTTAACAATATTCTGATAGTATGTGTGTATTAAGGTAATACTTGGTGTCATAATACATAAGCCACCAAATCCCAATGGCATAACCCAACAGAAATTTATTTCTATTCATAATAAATCTAATTGGTAGTGATAAGAAGTAGGGTTGGGAGGCGGTAAGGACTCTGTTCCTCACATTTCTTCAGAAAACCAGGCTAACAAAGGTTCTGGAATCTTTAATGTGTAGCTTCCAAGGTCATCTTGGCCATCAACATTCAGATGGCAACAGTGAAGAGAGGCTTTTATGAGCTAGTCATAGAAGTAACACACTTTTCTTCTATTCACTTCACGTTGCTCAGAACTCAGTCTTATGGCCACATTTGTCTTCAAGGGATGTCAGAAATGTAGCCTAGCTGTGAGGAGGAGAGGTAAATGGGTTTGGTGAATAGCCAGTCTTTGTCACACCAGACAATAGTGTTGAAATATTTAAAAGATAATAAGAGATAATGGAAGCTATTATTTTTGCAAGTGATCTTTTATTTTCTGTTCTTTCATTAATGAACAGAAAATATTTATTAAGTGACTTGCCTATTAAAAAATCTTTAAAATATTATTGTTATACAAGGTGGTGAGTGTAATGATGGTGTTATGCAGTGAGAACATCCAGCCTGGTGCTTTTTAGGAAGTGAAGCCAGAGCTGTGTCTTAAGGCAGGCAGAGTGTCTGTATGTGAGGTGGAGGTGAGGGAGAGGTGAAAGGGGAGAACAGTTGGGAAGAAACAGAAGAAACTGAAGAAATTACGAAAAGTGACGATATGAAGAAAGGCTAGGAAGGAATAAAAAGCAGGGTGTGAAGTGAGAGCCATTTGATACTGCTTAGGCAATAAATGGAAGGTGGAACATCAGAGATCAGGCAGATTATTGTCTTCTGTACCAAATAACTAAGCTCTATACTGAAAACCAACAATTCCCAAAGAGTTTTTCTCATGACATAGGTAGATGTCATGAAAGATAAAAGAAAAAAAAAATGTATTTGATATATGTACTGAGTTTCCCAAGTTAAATGGTTTTTCACTTCAGTATTGCTCACAGCACTTAACAAGTTGATTCAATCAGCAAATATTTATCCCACATCATGTGTGAGGCCATGTGTAGACACTGGGGACACAGTGAGGAATAAGAAAGATATTGCCACTGACTGCTACATCCTAGCTTTTGACATGAAAATCCCCAGCACAGGGCAAAGGTACATACTTTTTTTTCCCAAACTCTTTTTGTTGATGGCCATCTCTAGGGAGCAGATTAGAGTTAGACCTCCTGATGGTGTCCCATAATTCTTGTGGTCTTTCTTTATTATTCTTAATTATCTTTTCTCCTCTAACTGGAAAATTTATTTTCCAGAAATTATATTTGCAGAGAGTGGCTGAAAACATCTACATCTGGGGAAAGATGCCAACACACAGACATAGGAAGTACAGAGACCTTCAGTAAAATTTAACCCAACGAGAAACTTTACCATCACACATAAAATTAAACTACCCCAAATCAAGAACTAAATAGTGTATCATTTGCGTCAGTTCTACATGTAAAAACATACTTTTTGTTATTCACCAAAAAAAAAATGCTGTTATAGATGATGGTTGGATGTTAGAGCTAGAGAAAGAGTTGTCTAGCACCTGCAGAGTTGAGGAGTCAAAATCAAATAAAGAGACCACCCAGGAGGTAATTGCAGTGGTCCAGGAGAAAGGTGATGGGTATCTATCCTGATGTTCTCAATTCTATCTTGGGGATCTTTCTCTCTATTCATTGCTACTGTGCCTATCCTTCCACTGCTCAGCAGTCAAACCTTTGATCAATTCTTCCCTCATTCATGAAACCTCCCCTGCCTTTTCCAGCCAGTGTTAGCTTCATGTTCCTCCCAGTTCTCACAGCTGTTCCCTGAACATCTCTCTATGTACCATTTGTCAGCTTTCAGTCTCTCTGTGGACATTTCCTGTCTTCTGGCAGAACAGTTGGTAACATGGACACTCAATGAGACTTGGTTTAGTGTTGAACTGGTAAGAAAATAATGACAATAACAAAATATTTCAAATAGAATTGGTGCTGGAGTTTTGATGCTGTCGAAAAAGTAAATTTTACTATAAGTTGTCCTACATATTGGTAGATTTCAGCGGCCTGAACAACTTGAGTTGACTGAGCAACTAGATTTCTTCTACTCCAGCTATCCTACTTGGTTCTGCTAAATAGGAGCTTTCTTGAAGCTTGGATTTTATCATGTGAAACATTGTTTTATTACAGAGTCTGCTAATAAACTGCCAAGAGGTCAATGATTAATTACACCAGGTGCCTTCCGAAACAAAAATAAAATTATCAGGAAGGTGCTGTGTCCAAATAAACGTATCAACCAATAAACTGCTAACTGGTCAATGATTAATTGCACCTTGTGCCTTCCAAAACAAAAATACAATTATCAGGAAGGTGCTGTGTGCAAATAGATTTATCATACATGACTATACACATGTAGAATCAAGTGACACACTCTAAAAGAAGCAACTCTCCTATTTGTAAACAAATGATCTGGGCTGAGACTTGAGTTTTATAAAGCATTTCTAAACATTTGTATTTATAAAATACATGTCATAAAGCTATTGTTAAAATACTCATTTCTTAAAATCTCCAGACAATTTAGAGAAATTAATTCACCCTAATTAAGTAAGGCAAATTAAGTTGTATTATATGCCCTTCCAAGTAAGGTAGAACTGTACTCTCATCATTCTTGCATCATTCCATTTTCATGATCTTTGGTGCTATATCACTTGCATAACTTCAGTCATATCTAATTGACATTCCAAAGTATTTTGAAGAGAAATAAATGGCAGCTTTGAAATCAATCAGACATTCAAATGTTTTAGACTAAAAGCAGAGTTTTCTACTGAGGAAAGAACTGAATTTTACCAAACATTAGGTGATGATTTAAAAAAAAATACATGCTAAAAGTGCATAATCTATACAGTTGACCCTTGAATAACACAACTTTGAACTGTTAGGATCTATTTATACACTGATTTTTTTTCAATAGAAGTTACACTGGGTGCACCTCTCCTTCCTTCCTTTCCA
This sequence comes from Homo sapiens, assembly GCF_000001405.40. Classification (NCBI taxonomy): domain Eukaryota; kingdom Metazoa; phylum Chordata; class Mammalia; order Primates; family Hominidae; genus Homo; species Homo sapiens. Next base: position 13,036,296 of record NC_000020.11, read on the forward strand.
CCTCATCCACCTCTTTCATCTCTGCCACCCCTGAGATAGCAAGACCAACCTCTTCTCTTCCTCCTCCTCCTCCTCCTCAGCCTACTTAGTGTGAAGTCAGTGAGGATTAAGAACTTTATGATGATCCACTTCCACTTAATGAAAAGAAAATACATGTCCTCTCCCTTATGATTTTCTTAATAACATATTTTTCTCTAGCTTACTTTATAAGGATATAGTATATAATATAAATAACATACAAAATATGTGATAATCTGCTATTCATCAGTAAGGCTTCCCATCAACAGTAGGCTATTAGCAGTTAAGTTTTTGGAAAGTTTAAAGTTACACATAGATTTTTGACTGCACAGAAGGCCAGCACCCTTAACCCCCATGTTGTTCAAGGGTCAATGGTACTACCAATCAGGTTAGGGCATTCATTAACCAATCAGAGTTGATTTGGGACATAAACAACTGAGATGAGTATATCAGTGTGTACTAGATAGCCATCAGTCCTGCCCCCTCCACTGAGACCCATCAGTTAGTCCCATATTTAGTTTACAATTTTTGTTACTCTGATGGGAACTGACTGATGGATCCTTTCCACTGCAAGTAATGGAAGCCTCAAACGTGGGTAGATTGAAATGAGGCTTTTGTTATTCTCTCATAGCAAGTCTAGTATTGGGTAGTCCTTGGCTTTGTTGATTCAGTAACTCAACAATGTAATCGAAAACCAGTATTTTCCATCTCTTCATTCTACCATCTTTTGTGCATTAAAAAATGCCTTCCCCTTATGCCACAGGAAGGTTGCTGTAATTCCAGAAATCCCAATCAGACACAACAATGTCTGGAGAAAAACAGAGACATTTTCCATTTTTTACCAACTATTTTTATTCTTACATAAAGCCTTTCTCAGAAGTCACCCAATGGACGTTCCCTCACTTCCCATTGGCCAAGACTGGTCTTCATGCCCATGTCTAAACCAGTCACTGGCAAGACTACTATGGCTATCTTGGACTAATTATGCTTTACCCCCTGAGGCTAGAGAAAGGTCACCTTCAACTGAACATCAAGGTTCTTCTTGCAATAAATAAAGAATATGACCATAAGGTAGACAATCAACAGTCTGCATCGCATAACAAACCCCACCAGATGATCTGTTTGAAAGGAGAATTTGTGATCTTGTAAAGCCACACTTGCACTCAAGTCTCAGTGCTATGCTCATGAAACTCAAATTGAGCCCCATTTTTATGTTTCATTTCTTCTGTAGTAATGACAGTTGGACCACAGGGCTTGTTCAGAGTCTGAGGGAGAAGTGCTCCTATATAACTATGAATGAAATGTGAATCTCTTACAATCTTTGAAGGCTCATCTCCTACAACAGAACATTCCTTCAGGTTATCAAGAATAAAATGAGTCTTAGAGATGCGGAAATATTTTAGATGGGTGGATTAATCAGGATAAATAATGCTAACTGCTGCAACAGAAAAGCCATAAGTCTCACTAGCTTAACCATGAGTTTTATTCGTCAAACATGTAAAGTTCATTGAAGATCAGGCACCACTTTCACCCTGTAGCTTTTCCTTCTGGATCTGGTGGTTTGCAAGATTCAACGGTAGAGGAAGAGAGAGATGGATGAGACATACCAGCTCGTGACTGCCTCAGCCCAGAAGTGACACATGACATTTCCACTCAGAGTCCATCAGCCAGAATGAGTCACATGGCCTACCACAATTGCAAGAAAGGCTGGAAAATACAGAGAAAATCATGAATATATATATATATAATATATCTTCATTATTAGCTGTATTCTGTCTGCCATATGGTGTGTAAAAATCATTTTCACCATTGATATATTATTGGTCTGTAGTTTTCTTTATCTGTGATGTCTTTGTATAATTTTGATCACCAAGGTAATATAAGGCTCATATAATGCATTCAGAAGTGTTTTTTCCTTCTGAATATTTTAGAAGACTTTGTAAAGAATAGGCATTAATTCTTTAAATGTTTGGCAGAATTCACCAGCAAAGACATCTGGGATTGGGCTTTTTCTGTGGGAAGTTTCAAATTATTAATTCAATGCCTTCATTTTTACGGGTCTATTCAGATTTTCCACTTCTTATTGAGTTGGTTTTTTGTATTATGTGTCTTTCTTAGAGTGTCCATTTCATCTTAATTCTAATATGTTGACATATAATTATTCATCGCATTCCCTTATAATCAGTGTTATTTCTGTAAGAACAGCAGCAATGTCCCTCTTTCTTGATTTTAGTAATTTTGCTGGTTTCTCTTTTTGATTGATCCATCCAAGCAAAGCTTTGTTAATTTTGTTGATTTATTTGAAGAGCCACCTTATTTCTGTTATCTATTTCATTAATTTCCACTCTAATTTTTGTGATTGTTTTCTGTTTGCTTTAGCTTTAGTTTGTTTTACTTTTTCCATGGTCTTAAGATAAGGTGATAAGTTATTGATTTAGATCTTTCTTTTTAAAATAGAGGCATTAGAGCTATAAATGTCCTGTTAAGCACTGCTTTAGCTATATCTAATAAGTTTAGGTATACATGTCTTCATTTTTATTTATCTCAAAGTGTCTTCTAATTTCACTTGATGTCTTCTTTGACTCATTTACTATTTAGGAAAATGTTGTTTAATTTCCACATATTTGTAAATTTTCCCATTTTTTCTGTTATTGATTTCTAATTCCATTGCCGTTGGAAAGAACATACTTTGCATAATTTCAAGCTTTTTACATTTATTGAGGCTTATTTTATGACTAGCTGCAGAATGTTCCATATGCGCTTTAGAAAAATGTGTATTTTGCTGTTTTGGGGAGACGTGTTCCATAGATATCTCTTAAGTCTAGTTGGTTTATACTATTGTTCAAGTCTTCTATTTTCTTGTTGGTCTTCTGCCTACTTATTTTATTCATTATTGAAAGCAACATATTAAAGACTCTAATATTATTATGAAATTTTCTACTCTATTTCTATCAGTTTTTACTTTGCACTTTTTGGGATTTTGATGGTAGATGCATACATGTTTATTATTGTTACATCTTCCTAATGAATTAATCATTTTATTATTATAAAGTATCCATCTCTCCAGCAACAGTTTTGTTTTAAAATCTATTTTGTCTGATACTACTATAGCAATTTCAGCTTTCTTACGGGTGCTGTTTTCATGATATATCTTTTTCCATTCTTTTACTTTTAACTTGTTTGCATCTCTGAATCAAAAGTGTATCTACTCTAGACATTTTAGAGTTAGATTTGATTTTGTTTTCATCCAGTTTGACAATCTGTACTTGATTGGGTCATTTCATCCATTCACATCTTCTGTTATAACTGAGATAGTTTCATTTATGTATTTTTGCTTTTTGCCTTCTGTATATCTCATGTCCTTTTTGTTTATCCATTCCTAGTTTAGTGCTTTATTCTATATTTTAAGTGAATATTTTCTAGTATGATATTTTCATTATTTTAATAATTTTTCACTTTTTTTGAGTTTTCTTAGTTGCTCTACGGCTTGCCATACATATGTTAATGTACCAAAATCAACCGCAAATTTATACAAACTTAAATCCAGTGATATATAGAAATGTTACTTCTATATAGCCTACCTTCCCTTTTATGCTATTACTGTTATAATATGACATCTATATATTTATAAAATCAACAGTACAATCTTATAAATACTATGTTGTACAATTTTATGTCTTTTTTAAGAAGCTGGAAAGGAAAGGATGCCAAATATATAGGTGTATGCATGTACGTGTGTGTGTGTGTGTGTGTGTGTGTGTGTGTATGTATACATATTGAGAAAGAAAGAGTTTGTTACATCAACTTTCTTATTTATCTTCTTATTTAACATTTCTGGTTTTATTCATTAGTTGCTGTGGACTCTAATTGCCATGTTGTATAATTTCCTTAATTCAATATAGTTTTGCTCACATCCAATTTCTTTGTGCTGTTATTGCATAATATATGTCTATATATGTAAGTTCAACAATGAATTTATACATATTGTTTTATACAATTTCTTTTAAAATTATTTAATAGTAGTAAAGGGAAGGGAAGAAACGTGTATTTATACTTTTTTTTTTTTGACGGAGTCTTGCTGTGTCTCCAGGCTGGAGTGCAGTGGCGCAATCTCGGCTCACTGCAACCTCCACCTCCTGGGTTCAAGCAACTCCCCTGCCTCAGCCTCCCAAGTAGCTGGGACCATAGGCGCAAGCCACCACACCTGGCTAATATTTTTGTATTTTAGTAGAGACAGGGTTTCACCATGTTGGCCAGGATGGTCTCGATCTCCTAACCTCGTGATCCACCTGCCTTGGCCTCCCAAAGTGTTAGGATTACAGGCATGAGCCACTTTAATAATTTCATAATCACCTTTGCCTGTGCCCCCTTTTTTTTTTTTGGTTGGATTTGAATCATTGTCTGAAGTCACTTGCTTTCAGTCTGAAGACCTCCCTTTAGTACTTCTTGAAAGGTGGGTCTGCTATTAACAGATTCTTTCAGTTTTTGTTTATCCTGAAGTGTCTTTATTTTGCCTTCATTTTTGAAGGCTAGTTTTGCCAACATAAGATTATTGGTTGACTTCTTAAAATATTTGTGCATTTTGAATATGTCATCCCACTGCCTTTTGGCTTCCATTTTTTTCTACTCCAAAGAAAGCTGTTCACCTTATTGGGGTTCATTTTTATGTGATCAATTGTTTGGCTCTTGCTGCTTTTAAGATTTTCTCTTTGTCTCTTAACATTTTTACTATAATATGTCTGATAACAGATCTCTTTGCCTTTATTCAAATGGATATCATTAAGCTTCCATAGGTATGATTAATGTTTTTCATCAAATTTAGGGAGTTTTCAGCCAATATTTATTGAAATGTTTGTTCTGTTCCTTTTTCTCTCCTCTCTTTCTAACACTCATATTGTGTATATGTTGGTGTACTCAACGGTATCCCACATGTTTCAGAGGCCTTGTTCATTTGTCTTTATTTTTTTCCTCTGGTTTTTTTGTTTGTTTGTATTTTGTATTGCACAAATTCCCCTTCTCTATCTTAAAGTTTTCTAATTTTTTGGTCTTCCAGTTTAAATCTGCTATTGAGCCCCTCTAGTAAGTTTTTGTTTCTGTTATTACACTTTTCGATTTCAGAATTCCCACTTGGTTCTTTTTATTGTAATTTCTATTCTTTATAAATATTTTCTATTTGATAAGACATTGCCATCATACCTTCTTTTACTCCTTTAACATGGTTTCCTTTAGTTCTTTATATATATTTGTAATAGCCACGTGGCTGTATTTACTAAGTCCAACATCTTGGTCCTTCTCATAAGCAATATCTGTTGTTCTTATGTAGATCACATTTTTCTGTTTCTTTACATGACTCATATTTTTGGCTTAAAACTGAACATTTTAAATAAATTGTACAACTCTGAATACTAATCACTGCCCTCCCCCGCCCCCACTAGAGGATTGTCTTTGTTGTGTTTGCTTATTTTTTTAGTGACTTAGATGAGCTATTTTCATAAAGTATATTTACCTCACAGTGTAAAACCTCTAAGGTTGCCACTTAGAGAGTGCAGACTTCAGCATGTCATTGAAGTGACAGTGGTTTTAGGAAGCTTCTATATGACTGTGCCTTCCCAAATCATTCTGTAAAGCTATCTTCCTCTGTTGGTATCACTCCCAACTGTGAGTCTCCACTCCACTACTTGCTGCCGGATTGCTCTATTGGTTTTGACAGTGCCCTGCGGCATAAATTGCTTCACAATCTAATCCAATTAAATTCATGATCCTTGGTATGTTTAGCCTTTGAGGTTTATTCTGATCTTAAGAGGGCTCTTCATAGCTATCAATTTCCCTGATTCTCTCTGGCTGAACTACCTACATGAAGATTAGCTTGTTGCTTTTACCGAGTTACCAGTCTCTTCTAAAGTGCTTGCCACCAGAATCTCCACTGTTTTCCAGAGCACCCTTTAATCTTGAACTTCCCTACTCTTTGTGCCAAATAAAATAAGTTATCTTGGGGAATGCTCTGGAGCTCTCTCTCCCACTGGGCAAAGCCAATGAATCACTGCTTCAGAGCTAGGGAAAGGATAGTAGCTCTAGGTGGGGCAATACCTTCTGGTTTTCTTGGCTTTCCTCTTCCACCATGGAACCTCTATCCTGCTAGTGTGCTGGAGTAAGGGTAATTGGGGCCCCAGTATTCTCAGCATGCCATGTCTGATATAGAGTCTCTACCCTACCAGTGGGTGTTCATTAGAGGAAGTAAACCCTCAACCTCTCAGCCACACTTGCACAGAATTTAGCCTCTGCAAAACAGAACTGAGAGTGATAAGAAATGATGGTAGCTTGCCCCTCTCAAAGAAATACCATAACCCTTGCCTGAAGCAGGGGACAGGAAGCCTCATCTTGGCCACCTGCTCAAAGTAGAATGTTTCTACTTGCTGAACTGGGAGACAAAGGGAGAGAATAGGTCATGGCTCAATGCCACAGACTCTCAGTGTTCTTTTTTGATATTTAGTGTATTTCCTTCAATAAATATTTCTTCATTTGTTATATGCCCTTAAGACAATGTCCAAATACTTTAAAAAGTTATATTTTTATAATTTTTACCAGTTATGCTTTATTTCTACTGTGAAGATGATCTCTGAGGCTCTTTATGCCACCAGCAGGGAAATAGTCTACCTTCCATAGATTTTTAACCAGGCTCCTATGTTTGAACACCATATAATGTTTAAAGTAAATCTCTTATTCTATAACACTCACAGTGGTTCTGTTTCCCTACGCAAAACCTAACTGCTACAATGTAGGCAGAGACTTATTCTTAAACACCAGTATCCTTGGAAGTTTGTGTTCTCCCTCAGAGAAGGATCTATGCCAATCTTGATCATGATGTGGAAAACCCCAAATACGTTCCATTTCAGAAAGGAACATGGCCCTCTCGTTAGCTCCAGTGCTCTAGATTTCCTTTGCCATTTCATCCTCCCTGAGCCAATCTTATCCCCAACCTTCCTGCCCTTGTAGATCAACTAAGGCCTGAAAGCCTCCTCTTCCTCCTCATTCTCACCCTGACTTTTCTTTTCAAGGACTAACCTAGCAGTGTAATGGAATGTGTCATGTTGCATGGGCTGCCTCACTCTGAAAACAAAAGTCTGTTTGTGAATGGATGGTGAATTGGCAGCATTAAGTTGGTTTTAGATTTGCTCATCCTTTTGTATCATACCCTAAAAAGCTAGAGCACAAGAAGTGACTGCATCACACATTTTTCAAAGTGCTACTGAGATAGTCTGCGTCCCTGTGGCCAGGACAGTCACATGTGCTCTTCATCCTGTCTCCCTCAAGGGGTCGTGTTCCAGGAATTATACTGTCTCTTACCTTTATCTACAATTATGCTTAATCTATTAAATATTTTTCTAAGCTCCTATATACACTCAGTCTTTATTGCAAAATAAGCAACTCCCCTCACTATTAGTAACCGAAGTCACCACCTTCTCTCTGTCCTCTTCCCTACCACTATACTTCTTTAATAAGTCATCTCAGCTCCCTGTCCCATTGCCTTCACATTCTCTCTCTCCTTAAGTCCCTGCAGTCTGATAAAATTGCAGGGATAACAGGTTGATAAGATTACTTACTCAAGTTTTCTTGTGAGAGTCCCCATATACAATGGTCTTGTTGAACTTCTATATCTCAACTTAGTGTCACTCTTCAGTCCCTCACCTCTTCCTCCCTCTCCCACTTGCTGTCTCCTTAGAGGACCCTCATTCTCCCTCTTCTCCCTAGGTATTGATACATTATATTCTTTTGTCTTGTTTCTTTTTTTTCTTTTTTTTTTTTTGAGATGGAGTCTTGCTCTGTCACCCAGACTGGAGTGCAGTGATGCAATCTTGGCTCACTTCAACCTCTGCCTCCTGGGTTCAAGCAATTCCCCCTGCCTCAGCCTCCTGAGTAGCTGGGATTACAGGTGCCTGCCACCACACCTGGCTAATTTTTGTATTTTTTAGTAGAGACAGAGTTTCACCATGTTGGCCAGGCTGGTCTTGAACTCCTGACCTCAGGTGATCCACCCACCTCGGCCTCCCAAAGTGCTGGGATTACAGGCATGAGCCACAGCGCCCAGCTGATACATTATATTCTTGATCAATATATCCTAGGTCAATGTATATCCTTGGTCTCCTGTCTTTCTTCGTGAGACTCTCAGTCCCTTTTGCTAGAGTCTGGACAAATCCAGCAAGGAAGCCATATATATCCTTGGTCAATATATATGACCGAGAGAAAATATTGTCTTTCTCTTTTTTCTCAAATATGTCTCTAAAAGCAGCATTATCCATTCTAATAGTTTTCATCTATCATCTCTATTCAGAATATTTAACAAAAATCGTAACATTTAATGAGTTTTTGTATTGTAGCAGGTAACCTGCATATACTATCTCACTTAATTTTCAAAAGTGACCTTTACTAGCCCCACTTAGCACTGGAGACATTTGAGGCCTCGAAAAATTAAGTGACTTTCACAAGGTCACACAGGCAGCAAAGGAAAGTCTGACCCCTGAGCAAATCATCTTCATTGTTATGCTCGACAACCCAGCAACACCAGACTCCAGTTCAACCTCCTCAAGAATCACTCCTGATCACCCAGTGTGATGTGGTCCCTTCATTTGCATCATCCTTTGACATTCACATTTTGCTCTACATTATGGTCATTTGTGTCCCCACCACACACACACACACACACACACACACACACACACACACACCCTACTGCACTATCAATTCTGGGGAAAACATACTGTATTTATTGATTTCATATCTCCTCTAATGTTAGCCTAGGACAGCCAGTAAAAGAGCTACCTATTGAACAGAAGAGTAATTGTCTGTAAAGGGCTCCCTGCATATTCCAGCACCCAGTTTATTTCCAGATATGACAGAAGCGCAGGAAGTAAACAAACCCCAGGATGTCACATCATCCCAAACGACTAGATACTGTAGGCAATGTGGCTCAGGGTCTGTTTATTTTTAAGGCTGCGAAAGAAAAGGTAGAACAAGCCAAAGTGTATTACAAATAACAATGCTTATCTGCAGTAATAACAAGTGCTTAATAAATGCAAACTTATTAAGCAAGATTTTATGCTTCATTTACTTTGATAGGATGAAATTTTATATTTCAAAATAACTATCCAACAACAGATTGAGGAATTCCTCCTGGGAGGTGTGACTGACTTCAATTATAAGTAAAAGAATATAGTAAGTGAGTCACTAGCTATCTCTTAAGGAGACCAATACATTTCCAGATAGCTTTTTTCTCTGTGAAGATATCTCATTTTTCCTCTGCCAAATAAAATTAATTAAGTGACATTAAATTTAAAATGTATCTATTTATATGAGAGGAAAATAGATCCTGGTTTGGGCTGATGGACATTTTTGAAATTTTCTCCTTTGTGTTATTACTTGCTTCCAGAACAAGTCACAGGGGCAAGTAAATAGTTACATATAGGCCCAGTCTGTGCAACCAACTGAGGGTTTTATTTGCATCTAGGTAGACCATCTGTGATGTACAGTGCAGGGTTGCCTCAGAGCCAATTCAAGCAGAAACTGCCTATGGATTTCAAGAGAAAAGCACCACTTGATTTGGTTACAGGTGAAGCTCAGAAATGAAGATGGGGCCAGGAAAGGAAGAAGAGAAAACCTGCTGATTGCCATGGGTTGGACTTGAATGTCCTCACATTTTCTGTCTTTATGTACACCCACATAACTTAGCCATTCTCTAAGTCAGCCAAAGGGGTTAATTTGCAAGCAGGTTAAATTAAGGTTCTGAGGTCACCCACACTGGGTTCCCTTTATTCACCCTTTTTCTTCTGTGGTACCGGAAAAAGCACTGTATCCACAAATTCTGTCCCAAGCCTACTGCTCTTCCCTCTTTATGATTTGTACCTTATCGCATTCACCTTCAACCATGACTTAAACTGTGGCCCGTAGTAATTGACTCAGTCAGGGTCTTCCTTTTCTCCTACATTCCTCAGTGCTCTGGGAATTTATGCAGGCAATCACCACCCCCAAATTAGCATGTTCTGTACAGACTCATGTCTTCTCTCCAAAAAGCAGCCCTCCTTCCAAGTCCTTCTTTCTTCTTATCAACAATACTATACTGCTCCTTGCAGATAGTTTTCTTTTTCCTCTTCCTTGACTTCATATCTAATCAGTAGAAGTTCCAACATGTCTTCCTTCATGAGACTCTGAGTCCCTTTTGCTAGAGTCTGGACAAATCCAGCAAGGAAGCCAATTTTGTGTCCCTGTGATGCAGAAGGATGTGGGAGGTGGGTCTTAACTGGGCCAGGAAGTCACCTGGAATTGTGGAGATCGATGTAGTCTAAAGTTCAAGTGCAGAACAGAGCCAAGGAAAGGAGCCAAAGGTTTGTACTAAAATAGCATAGCAAGATCAGCCATCCATCAGACCTACATGACTGGGGTAAGGACATAGTTAGAGGGAGGAGTAGGAATGGGGTCTGTCTTGTTCATCTTTGAATCCCCAGTGCTGAACATGTTGCTTGCTCAGGGAAGGCATGCAACAAATGCCCTATATACAAGCCAAGAGTATAACCTTTCATTTACCTTTTACTCAAGACTGCCTATTAACCAATGCTCTTTCATTTTCATTAGCTTATGCCATGAAGTAGTGTTTGGGATGACACACTAGACAGGAATATCCACCTATGTTAGTTTGGGGTACCTATAGAAGTAACCTGAAATAATAAATAAATAAGGAGGCAAGCCATTTTAATAATATTTTGTGATGTTTTGACTTAAGAATTCAAATTTTAGATATCACTATAAAAAGGCTTTTAAAATTTCTTTAAGAATAATAATGTAGAGATTTAAAATATTCATCTACCAGACTGATTTGCTTTTCATCTATTTTTGTGGCTTGGGATAAAACTTCCAGTGACTAAATCACAGAGATTCCAAAAATTCTGCTTCTCATATAATGTAGAGGGAATGAAGATAATATGCTCTGGAAAACTGTGTTGATTACAATGACAAAGACTAGGAGAATCGTCAAAACAGTATTTCAAATGTACACGATTTAATATCATAAATCATTCTAAATACATCTAAATACATATATATGTATAAGCTAAATTAGTACCTTAAATATTAGTAGAGATCTGACAATTTTTGTAAATCACTAAAAGTTATGTATTCCAAGTATTCAAAACATTTTTTGTGTGTCATCTCTTTAAGAAATGGGAAATCTGCAGATTGATTTGTATTTATTGAATGAAATAATAAATGAATGTATAAATATTTATTAAGGACTAAAACAATTAAATATTAGCATTAGAGATACGTATTTACTAATCAATTGAGCAGATGTTGTTTGAGCTACTCTGTGCAAATCAATTAAACAGTCATCAGAATGGTTTGGTGTTAAAAGTCCACTTTCTACTGAAAAGTGAAATAAAACAGAAAATTTTTTAAACTTTTTACTATGAAAAATTTCAGACATACAGAAGAGTAGAAAAAAATAATATCATGAACACCTATATACTCTCCATCCAGATTCAAGAGTTAACGTTTCTCAAAGTTGCTTTATGTTTTTATGCAATTTTGACAAACCACCTTAAAGAGAACTACAGCTATTATAATGCTTTGCCCCTTAATACTTCAGCATGCATCACAAAGATTAAAACATTATGTGATGTAACTAAAAATATCTCTATCTTTCCTACTACAATTAATAATTCTTTAATAAGAATTTAATAAGAATAACAGGCTTTAACTGACAAAGATCAAAAAAGACAAAGAAGGGCATTACATAATTGTAAAGGGATCAGTGCAACAAGAAGAGCTAACTATCCTAAATATATATGCACCCAATACAGGAGCACCCAGATTAAAGCATAAAGCAAGTTCTTTGAGACCTACAAATACATATGGTCCACATTTGGATTTCCACAGTTGCTCAAAATTTGTCTTTCACCTGGTTTTTCACACAAAAATTAAAGAAAGAAAACAATTTGATGAAGGAACACACACTGGATTTACTTGTTTCCCTTAAGTCCTCTCTTCCACACTTCTTTTCTTTTATCAGACTTTTTTAAAAGACCAGGACAGTTGTCCTATAGAAAGTTCTACATTCTGGATTATCTGATTGTTTTCACATAAGGTCGTTTACCATGTTCCTTTAGTCTAGTATTTCTTGTAAAATGGAAGTTAAACATAAGAGCTTGACTAAGTTCAGGTTAAATATTTCATAGGTTTGCTGTGTATTGAATATTACACATAACAGGAGTGTAGAGTGGCTGCTTATTCCAACATTTGTGATATAATTTGATCACCTGGTTAAAGTAACGACCCCAAGTTTGTGATTAGGAAGTAAGCTGTGGGGTCATACTTTAGCAACTTGCAAACACTCTGTTCCTCATTAACTCTTCACCCAATGGTTTGAGTTTCTGTTGAGAACTTTTGCTTGAATCAATTATGTTACTATGGCTTGTAAAATAAAGTTTGCATTTTTGATTACCCTCTTCAATGGTCAGTTTCTAATTTATTTACAATCTTAAATATGGCCTTTGGAATTCAAAGGGTTGAAAGTTCACAATTTTAGGTATCATAGTATATCTGTAACAGGAGAATGCTAACCTTGGATTTTCTTTTGTGTTTTCAGCAAAATGGGAAGCCACATTTTTATGATAAGCTCATTGTTGAATCGTTTGAGGAAGCACCCCTTCATGTTATGGTTTTCACTTACATGGGATATGGAATTGGAACCCTGTTTGGCTATCTCAGAGACTTTTTAAGAAACTGGGGAATAGAAAAATGCAACGCAGCTGTGGAAAGAAAAGAACAAAAAGTACGTATGCGCACCTCCCTGGATCTTTGTCAATGCCTACTCCTCTCTAAAGTGTTCTCAGAAGTGGTGATGCAGGTGCAGATCCTAGAAAGCATGAGGTGCTCAGGAACTATTCAGGGCAAATTTCATTCATCTCCACCTCCTAAACCCCATTACCCATGGGCTTATGGACCTGTTTTTACAAACATCTCATGGGCAACTACTATTTGCCACATACCAAACTAAGGCTTTTCCCATACCTTGTAATATTTAATTTTTGTAACAACCCCATGATATAGATATTAAACTATAATTTTGAAGATAAAAACATCAAAATATAAAAGCAAGTGCTCCTGGGTGGGACTGTACTTTGGTCTTCTAGTTGTAAGTTGGGTATTATTTATGCTCTATCCTGAAAAGGAAAGTGCATTTGAGTGAACTGGGACTTTTTTATTTCATCTAAATCTGATTTCTCACCTTTGACACTATTAATATTTTGAACCAATTTTTTTGGGCATTGTAAGAATTTTAACAGCATCTGAAAAATATAGCATTAAACCACTAAAGCTAAGGACCCTGATGAAGTCACTGCACCCTCCACTACCTCTACTGGAACAGGCACTGGTATCCACTGCTGAGAGACCCATAGACAGTTCACATCACAGGACTCTGTGGAGACAATCCCCAGTACCAACTTGGAGCCGGGTAGACTCGGTGGGTGGTGAGACCCAGAAGAGAGACAACAATCACTGCAGTTCAGCTCACAGGAAGCCACATCCATAGGAAAAGGGGGAGAGTAATACATCAAGGGAACACCCCGAGGGACAAAAGAATCTGAACAACAGTCTTCAGCCCTAGACTTTCCCAAATGAGAAGGAACCAGAAAACCAACCTTGGTAATATGACAAAACAAGGCTCTTCAACACCCCCCAAAATATAATACTAGTTCACCAGCAATGGATCCAAACCAAGAAGAAATCCCTGATTTACCTGAAAAAGAATTCAGGAGGTTATTAAGCTAATCAGGGAGAGGCCAGAGAAAGGCAAAGCCCAATGCAAGAAAATCCAAAAAATGTTACAAGAAGTGAAGAGAGAAATATTCAAGGAAATAGATGGCTTAAAGTAAAAACAATCAAAAATTCAAGAAACTTTGGACACACTTTTAGAAATGCAAAATGCTCTGGAAAGTCTCAGCAATAGAATTGAACTAGTAGAAGAAAAAAATTCAGAGCTTAAAGACAAGGTCTTCGAATTAACCCAATTCAACAAAGACAAAGAAAAAATAATAAGAAAATATGAACAAAGCCTCCAAGAAGTCTGGGATTATGTTAAACAACCAAACCTAAGAATAATCAATGTTCCTGAGGAAGAAGAGAATTCTAAAAGCCTGGAAAACATATTTGGGGGAATAATTGAGGAAAACTTCCCTGGCCTTGCTAGAGACCTAGACATCCAAATACAAGAAGCACAAAGATCACCCAGGAAATTCATCACCAAAAGATCTTCACCTAGGTACACTGTCATCAGGTTATCCAAAGGAAACCATTTTAAGAGCTGTGAGACAGAAGCACCAGGTAACTTACAAAGGAAAAATCTATCAGATTAACAGCAGATTTCTCAGCAGAAACCCTACAAGCTAAGACAGAATTGGGGCCCTATCTTCAGCCCCCTCAAACAAAACAATTATCAGCCAAGAATTTTGTATACAGCGAAACTAAGCATCATATTTGAAGGAAAGATACAGTCATCTTCAGACAAACAAATGCCGAGATAATTCACACCAAGCCACCACTACAAGAACTGATAAAAGGAGCTCTAAATATTGAAACAAATCCTGGAAAACAGAGCTTCTTTAAAGCATAAATCACGTGGGACCTATTAAAAAACACACACACACAAGTTAAAAAGCAAAAACAAAAAAGAAAAAACCCAAAGTACACAGACAACAATGAGCATGACGAATGTAATGATACCTCACATTTCAATACTAACATTGAATGTAAATGGCCTAAATGATCCACTTAAAAGATACAGAACCACAGAATGGGTAAGAACTCACCAACCAACTATCTGCTGCCTTCAGGAGACTCACTTAACACATAAGGACTCACATAAACTTAAAGTAAACGGGTGGAAAGAGGCATTTCATGCAAATAGACACCAAAAGATAGCAGGGGTAGCTATTCTAATATCAGACAACTGTAAAGCAACAGTGGTTAAAAGGAACAAAGAGGGACATTATGTAATGGTAAAAGGCCTTGTCCAACAGGAAAATATCACAATCCTAAACATATATGCACCTAACACTGGAGATCCTAAATTTATAAAACGATTACTAACAGACCTAAGAAATGAGACAGACAGCAACACGATAATAGTGAGGGACTTCAGTACTCCACTGACAGCACTAGACAGGTCATCAAGAGAGAAAGTCAACAAAGAAACAATGGATTTAAACTATACCTTGGAACAAATGGACTTAACAGATATATACAGAACATTTCATCCAACAACCGCAGAATACACATTCTATTCAACAGCACATGGAACTTTCTCCAAGATAGACCATATGACAGGCCATAAAATGAGACTCAATAAATTTAGGAAAATTGAAATAATATCAAGCACTCTCTCAGGCCACAGTGGAATAAAACTGGAAATCAACTCCAAAAGGAACCTTCAAAACCATGCAAATACATGGAAATTAAATAACCTGCTCCTGAATGAGCACTGGGTCAAAAATGAAATCAACATGGAAATTAAAAAGTTCTTTGAAGTGACTGACAATAATGACATAACTTATCAAAACCTAAGGCAGTGCTAAGAGAAAGTTCATAGCCCTAAACTCCTACATCAGAATGTCTGAAAGAGCACAAATAGACACTGTAAGGCCACACCTCAAGGAACTAGAGAAACTTGAACAAACCAAACGCAAACCCAGCAGAAGAAAGGAAATAACCAGTGTGGCTGGCAAGATGGCCGAACAGGAACAGCTGTGCTCTGCAGCTCCCAGCAAGATCAATGTAGAAGGCATTTGATTTCTGCATTTCCAACTGAGGTACGGGGCTCATCTCACTGGGACTGGTTAGACGGTTGGTGCAGACCACAGAGGGCAAGCCGAAGCAGGGTGCGGCACTGCCTCACCTGGGAAGCGCAAGGGGTTGGGGAACTCCCTCCCCTAGCCAAGGGAAGCCCTGAGGGACTGTGCCACGAGGAACAGTGCATTCTGGTCCAGATACTACACTTTTCCCACAGTCTTCACAACCCGCAGACCAGGAGATTCCCTCAGGCGCCTACACCACCAGGACCCTGGGTTTCAAGCACAAAATTGGGCAGCTGTTTAGGCAGACACCAAGCTGGCTGCAGGAGTTTTTTTGTTGTTGTTTGGTTTTTTTCACACCCCAGTGGCACCTGGAACACCAGTGAGACAGAACCATTCACTCCCCTGGAAAGGGGGTTGAAGCCAGGGAACCAAGTGGTCTAATTCAGTGGATCCCACCCCCACGGAGCCCAGCAAGCTAAGATCCACTGGCTTGAAATTCTTGCTGCCAGCACAGCAGTCTGAAGTCAACCTGGGACACTCAAGCTCAGTAGCAGGAGGGGCATCCACCATTACTGAGGCTTGAGTAGGCTGTTTTCCCCTCACAGTGTAAACAAAGCAGTGGGGAAGTTCAAATTAGGTGGAGTACACCACAGCTCCTCAAAGCCGCTGTAGCCAGACTGCCACTCTAGATTCCTCCTCTCTGGGCCTGGCATCTCGGGAAAGAAAGGCAGCAGCCCCAGTCAGGGGTTTATAGATGGAACTCCCATCTCCCTGGGACAGAGCACCTGGGGGAAGGGGCAGCTGCAGGTGCAGCTTCAGCAGACTTAAACGTTCTTGCCTGCTGGCTCTGAAGAGAGCAGCATATCTCCCAGCACAGCACTCGAGCTCTGCTAAAGGACAGACTGGCTCCTCAAGTGGATCCCTGACCCCCAGGCCTCCTGACTGGGAGACACCTCCCAGCAGGGGTTGACAGACACCTCATACAGGAGAGCTCCGGCTGGCATCTGGTGGGTGGCCCTCTGGGATGAAGCTTCCAGAGGAAGGAACAGGCAGAATATTTCCTGTTCTGCAGCCTCCGCTGGTGATACCCAGGCAAACAGGGTCTGGAGTGGGCCTCCAGCAAACTCCAGCAGACCTGCAGCAGAGGGGCCTGACTGTTAGAAGGAAAACTAACAAAACAGAAAGGAATAGCGTCAACATCAACAAAAAGGACGTCCACACAAAAACCCCATTCGAAGGTCACCAACATAGAAGACCAAAGGTCGATAAATCCATGAGGATGAGGAAAAACCAGCACAAAAAAAGGCTGAAAACCAGAATGCCTCTTCTCCTCCAAAGGATCACAACTCCTCGCCAGCAAGGGAACAAAACTGGACGGAGAATGAGTTTGACGAATTGACAGAAGTAGGTTTCAGAAGGTGGGAAATAACAAACTCCTCCAAGCTAAAGAAGCATGTTCTAACCCAATGCAAGGAAGCTAAGAACCTTGAAAAAGGTTAGACGAATTGCTAACTAGAATAACCAGTTTAGAGAAGAACATAAATGACCTGATGGAGCTGAAAAACACAGCACAAAAACTTCGTGAAGCATACACAAGTATCAATAGCCAAATTGATCAAGCGGAAGAAAGGATATCAGAGATTGAAGATCAACTTAATGAAATAAAGCGTGAAAACAAGATTAGGGAAAGAAGAATAAAAAGGAACGAACAAAGCCTCCAAGAAATATGGGACTATGTGAAAAGACCAAACCTACATTTGATTGATGTACCTGAAAGTGACAGGGAGAATGGAACCAAGTTGGAAAACACTCTTCAGGATATTATCCAGGAGAAAAATGTTTAACCTGATTTGGTGTTTAATGAAAACTTCTGGGTAAAAGAGAAAGTTAAATTGGGATCTAGACGCTGATGAATAAATAGTAAGGCAAAGGGTGAATCAAGAGAGAAAAGGAATCTCTAAGAAGAGAGAATATGGTGCAAGATGGTCCAGAGGTTAGAGAAAGCATTGTACATTCAAGGAACCACGGAATTCCAATGACCGAGTGTTGTGAATGAGAGTGGGAGTATGTGGGCAGAAAGACTGCTGAGAGGCAAGCAGGGGCCAGACTATAATGGGTTCTTTTAGTAAGCCATGGACATGTATTATAAGAACAATGGGAAAGTATTGAAGGACTTCAGGCAAAGGAATGCATATTTGTAGACAGAAAGATAATTCTGTCTACCCTGTGAGAAATGGATTGCAGAAAGACAACAGAGAGATCAAAAAAGACATTAAGAGGTTGATGCAGATATACAGGTTTAAAAAAATCTAGGTGAGATGGTTGGCCTGGGACCAAGGTAGTGACAATAGGGTTGGTGACAAGAGAAAAGGCCAGGAGATGTTTAAGAGGTAGAGTTAGAGATGGTTGATTTGACCTAGGAAAATAGGAAGAAGGACAAATCAAAGACCACATCCAGGTTTATGAGAGGTAGCAGAAGGTGGTGTCATTCACTGAGATGGGTAATAGAGAAGCAAGATCCAGTTGGAGGGAGAAAGTAGTCAACTCATTTTTTGACAAGTTGAGTTTGAAGAACTGGCAGCTAAACTTAAAGATCTGGACTTCTGGAAAAAGTCTCAGTGGGATACTGTAACATCTTCAGTTTATCTTCAGCATGTCGACAGGAATCAAAGCCAGGGAAGTAGACAAGATCTTCCAGGGTAAGTTCATGGAGAAAAAAGAGAAAGGATGAAAAGAAAGTGAAGAACTTCAGAAAATTTAATAGATTTCAGAGACAGAGTCCCAATTCAAGACGAAAAGCAAAGTGACAAGAAAAAAAGTTAACAGTAGTTTAGAAACGAGGTTATTTGTGCTTGAACTAGGAAAGAGGCAGGTGGAAGGAAAAGGAAATTAATTATAGAGAATATTTAGGAGGTATCAATAAGTCTTGGTGGCTGAGTGTACAGAAGATAAGATAGAAGGAGGAAAATAGGGGAATCTCAAGTTCTAGTTTGGGCAGATACATGGATAGCAACATCACATCCATTACAATGAAATGGTTCTGTTGGCAAAATGGTGGCCACAGACAGCTTTGAGGACATAAAGGTTCTTGAGTTATAAAGGATAAAGAAACAGTTAAATCAAGCAGGAGACAACTCAGCATGCTTCCAGAGACGCAGGTTTCTCTGGTCCTAGTAGAGCTGACAATGTAACTGGGAAAATGGGATTTGAAGGGGAATTCTCCTTGGGCATTCTCACAGTGATCTCCATGGCCCCTAACCCCACCAGCTGCACTGTTCTAGAGGCTCTTATCACCAGTCGGCCTGCTCCCCAGGTACAAGTAACTAATGCATAATAAATCAGCACATTTCAGAGCACAGGGACAAAGGCTGAACCAAATGTAAATTTCTCAGGTGTGGCATTTCTTGGAAGGCTTAGGCTTCAAATCTACAATCTATTTTCTAACCTTTCAGTGTATTTGCTCTATTAAACTAGCAGGTCTAATCTTCTTGTTTATCTAAAGCAATTTCTTACATTTTATCAGGAAAAAAAATACACATGAAGAGTTGTTTCCTAGAAAGCCTACTCTGGGATGGGGGCCTGAATGCAGGAAGGTTATTGGGGTGTGCTCCTGGGATCAGCACCTGTGAGGCAGAGAAGGAAATGGCATGGCTCAGGAGGGAGGGGAGTTGGAGAGGAAAGAGGGGATGGAGTGAGTTGTGATGATGCAGACCCAGCAAAGGCCTCAACGAATCCCACAAGGAGTTCCGGAGATGAGAGGGCCTTTCAAGAGTCATCTGAGCTGAGGGAAGGGGGCTAGATCTTTTTACTCCTGCATTGATAGAAGCTGCCACCAGGGATCTTGGTGGAGGAAGATCCCTTCAGACCCAGGCAATCCTCATGGAGCTGTAAGCCTCCAATGCTCCTAGCAACTAGGGGAATGGATGCATCAGTTCTGAACGATGGGCTATGGACATCAAATGGCAGCCTGCACTTCAACACTTGCCCCTGTTGCTACAAGAACTGCTCGAACCGCCCCACAGGAGAAATGCATTGCATTAAATAAATTAATGATTTACCTTTCTTTACAAAATAAATGGTTTCCATCCTATCTGATCTCTGTGAGGTCCAGAGCAATAGTCAATAGACTCATGTAGATAAATGTGCCTTTCACATGGCATACCTTTTATTATTTGTTCAATTTGAGTCCCGTTAGAGACTTACAGCATTTCAGAGTGACAGGTTCTAATTAACTGCAGTCACTATCTTTCTGATGGGACTTGATCTCCCAACCCTGTCCATAGACTGACGCTTTAACTTTTTTTCTTTTTTTTTTTTTTGAGACGGAGTCTCACTCTGTCACCCAGGCAGACTAATGCAATCTCGGCTCACTGCAAACCTCCACCACCTGGGCTCAAGTGATCCTCCCACCTCAGCTTCCCGAGTGGCTGGGACCACAGGCATGTGCCACCACGCCTGGCTAATTTTTTATATTTTTGGTAAAGACAGGGTTTTGCCATGTTGCCTAGGCTGGTCTCAAACTGCTGACCTCAAGTGATCCATCCACTTTGGCCTCCCAAAGTGCCACCGCACCCAGCCCATCCTTAATCTTTTTTTTTTTTTTTTTTAAGAGAGAGTCTCACTCTGTCAAACAGGATGGAGTGCAGTGGTGCAATCTTGGCTCACTGCAACCTCCACCTCCCAGGTTCAAGTGATTCTCCTGCCTCAGCCTCTCAAGTAGATGGGACTACAGGCGTGCAACACCATGCCTGGCTAATTTTTGTATTTTTAGTACAGACAGCGTTTCACTATGTTGGCCAGGCTGGTCTTGAACTCCTGACCTCATTATCTGCCTGCCTCAGCCTCCCAAAGTGCTGGGATTACAGGCATGAGCCACCGCACCTGGCTCCCTTTAATCTTTTAATACCATCCCCAGTCCTTTACATCTGATAGTATTCTTGCTTTCTGTAAATAAGCTGTCTGATGCACATTTTGAATTCTCTTGCTCAAAACATGAAACATCCTATTTCCAGTGACACTTCATTCTTTTCAGCAGAAATGAGCATTATTCTATTCTAAAAGCTGGTTCCTAGGAGTGCAGAATACACTGCCCCACATGACAAGCCAGCCATGGGCAAAATGACACCAGAAAAGAGAATGCATTCATGAAGTGATGGTGGAAAATAAAAATTATGATTTTTTAAAAGATCATAAGTGAATGTTCTTATATCCACCTTTACTCATTTACTCTTCTTTCCTTTTCTTAATCAAATATAAGAATTTATTAATCCAATTTCACTATTTTCTCTTTCTCTGTGATGACTTGTCTCATACAGCCTTCCATTCAAATTAACGTGTTGTCCAAACTTATCTCTATTTATTTCTCCTTCTTTTTATTTCTAACTCAAATATTCTGAAATTGGTTCCCAAACATAAAGGCTCTGATCATCCTCTTTATCTGAATCACTTGAGTATTAACTGAAAAGAATAGAAAAATCAAAACCTCCTTCCAAGACAGCACTAAAAAGCTCAAGTTAGACTCCACTAACAATCAGTAGATCTTAACAAAAAGGACAAGATGCAAAGTTAATATTTTGCTTAAATGCGACTCTTTAGTTTTGGGCCAAGAATATCTCTTTGTTTTAATAAAAGACAACTTTAGAGTTGAACCACAAGTTCTCAAAAGTCCCTAGATAATTTATTTTTGCAATGATGTAACAGTCCAACTTTGCAAAATCCAGAAGAGAATGTCAGCAAATATAATCAATTAATGTCGAGCATCATCAGAGATTAGAAAATACTTCAAGTGCAGCCAATTCTACAGGTCCGCATTTCTCAAGTCGCTATGGTCCCAATATCAAACAAGTTCTGCAAAATCCGATATAACATGGCACCAATGGTAATTCTGTGTTCACATTAAATCCAGGTATTTCCTAGTACCCACACAAGTAAATCACAGACATTTCTGGCCCATCTTCAGAGATTTTTACTCCCACCGAAAACAAAGTGGGTTCAGCAAGCTGCAGCTGTAGAAAATTTTAGGACAAATATCTAAATGTTTGCATAAATTATAAATTGTTATTTTGCATCCACATTTTGCATCCTGATACATTAACAGTATTAGCCCAGAGAAACTTTCTTCTGAAGGATGAGGTCCATTAAGGTGACTGGGTATGAGATATGGTCTTGTCCAAAACAGACAGCCCAGGCACTGGTCTTCCTGTTTGGACCTGCATAGATCCGAACCCAAAGTTTCATTGGGGTATCTCTAGGAACGTAATATACTAATAAGTATGCAGCTT
This sequence comes from Homo sapiens, assembly GCF_000001405.40. Classification (NCBI taxonomy): domain Eukaryota; kingdom Metazoa; phylum Chordata; class Mammalia; order Primates; family Hominidae; genus Homo; species Homo sapiens. Next base: position 13,058,434 of record NC_000020.11, read on the forward strand.
ATGGGATAGAAATATTAGACCAGTGCTTTGCAGACTTGGCTACCCATTGGAATCACTGAGAACCTTTAAAAGATACAAATACCTAGGCTTTTCTCACAGATATCCTGATTTAATTGCTTTGTGATGCAGCCTTGGTAGTGGGGGGTGAGGCAGAGGGGAGGGCTGGTCAAACAAGCTTCCCAAGTGATTCTCATCCGCATACAAAATTGCAAATCAGTGTTTTAGAGCAATGCTTCTCAAACTTCATCATGCACACAGATTATCTGGGGATCATGTTAAAATGCAGATTCTGCTTCAATGGTTTTGGGTGGGGCCAAGATTCTGTAGCTATAAACAAGCTCCCAGGTGAAGCCAATGCTGCTAGTCTAAGACCACATGTTGATCCTTCCGTAACCGAGCCCAGATTCATTCTGCTCATCACACGACACCCAATAAGTTGACAGACATGGAGTTGGAGCAAGGAAGGTGACCTTATTTCGAAGACCCAGCAGACCAAGAAGATGGTAAACTAATGTCCCAAAGAACCAACCGTCAACACAAATTTCAGTCTCTATGTTAAGGGCAGAGGGAAGACAATGGGGCTCTGTTCAAGAGGTGACCAAAGACCATGGACATCTGGGCACCAGCAAGGTTCTGTGGAGGTTTGGAACATTTTGGCCTTGACCAGGTCACAATGCTCCTATAAATCTTTAACAAAACATAGTTGTTTACATATCTCCCCTTTAATCTCAGAGTTAAATTCAAAAAACTACATGACTGCTGTTTTTATGTTTTATTTCAGTGCCCTAAAATTATCCTAGCCTGTGTGCAGGAATGGGTAAAGGCTGCTTAAACAAAAATGGAATTTGCTGTGTTAGTTCTTTCGCTGTTTCACTGTTACGTCGCTAGTATCGCCTGAGAGCTTGCTAGAACTCTCAGACCCAGCCCAGCATCTTTAGTTTATCATGATCCTCAGGTGATACAGATACACATTAAAGTTTGAGAAGCACTGCTATTCTAAAGGTTCTCAATTTGCAATTCGGCTACCACCTGCATTCAGGTGCAGGCAGCGCCATCCCTTGAAACCTCCAGGTGTCTATCCCCTTTCACATGCACAGCTATCCTACTATCCCTTACAGGAAAGATGGTCTTAGCCCATCTGTGCTTTATTGTGGTAGACTTTGGCAATTAACGGTTACAGATCAACAGCTGATAATACCAGATCAATGCTTTACAACCTTGGCTGCACATTGTAGCTGTTCTGCCCCACACATTCATCATTACTAGCTTTCTGTCTCCGGTACTGCCTCCAATATCTCTTTTACCACCCCCACAAACTCCACCCTTGGAGCCCTCAAGCCCTTGATTTTAAGATCTTTTCATTCTCCTGTTATATTTCAGGTTCTCTTTTCCTTTCTTCTAACCATCTTAAATTCCATGGGCTTTGAAACGACCTCATCTTGATACCCACCCCCATGCTGACTGGTCGCCCTTCAAATTCAGCACCACTAGCCTCAAGATAGCCCTTGGTGCTGCCTGCCTATCACTCTGTTACTTAGGGCCTCTAGTCACTGACTGTTCTAAGTGGCAACTTCGTACTTTCCCCTTTCCCCTCAAACCTGCAACATTTCTTGTACCTCCTGACTTTCAGCTAATAATCTTGCTTCTATCAACTACAGAAAAAAAATAAGCTTTTAAAGAATTAAAATTACTTTTATTTAGCAGTCTTCCTGAGGACTGTAGACTGAAGCCTAGAGCCTCAGAGTAGCCCTTTAGACAGATCCTATCAGACTGCTCCAATGCAGCATTTCAGTTCACAGTTTATATACAGGTAGCAAAGATTCAGTATACGCAAAATCGCATCTAAGTTTGGGTGCAAGAGTACATCTGATTATAGTTTACAGAAGCATAACCACTAACCCCATCAGACATTAACTTATGTGTAGGAGAAGGCAAGAGCTAAAGTTATTTATTTATTTATTTATTTATTTATTTATTTATTTATCTGGGGGATTGTCCTACTTTATTTATTTTTTAATTTTTTTTATTTGTATGAATTTAAGGGGTAAGAATGCAGTTTTGTTACATAGATATATTGTGTAGTGGTGAAGTATAGGCTTTTTGTATAACCATCACCTGAATAATGTGCATTGTACCCATTAAGTAATTTCTCATTCCCCTACCTCCTCCCACCCTCCCACCCTTCCAACTTTCCAGTGTCTCTTATTTTACTCTCTACATCCATGTGTGTGCATTATTCAGCTCCCACTTAGAAGTGAGAACATGTAGTATTTGACTTTCTGTGTGTGAGTTGTTTCACTTAAGATAACAGCCTACCATTGCATCCCTGTTGCTGCAAAAGACATAATTTTATTCTTTTTTGTGGCTGAATGGTATTCCATTGTGTGTGTGTGTGTGTGTGTATGCACACACCACATTTGCTTTATCCAATTGTTGATGGACTGTTAGGTTGATTTCACATCTTTGCTGTTTTCAACGGTGCTACAATAAATACATATCTTTCTGATATAATAATTCCTTTTCCTTTGAGTAAATACCCAGTAGTGGGATTGCTGGATCAAATGGTAATTCTATTTTTAGTTCTTTGAGAAATCTCCATACTGTTTTCCATAGAAGTTGTACTAATTTAATTCCCACCAACAGTGTATAAACATCCTTTTTTCTCCACAATCTTGCCAACATCTGTTATTGTTTTGGCTTTTTAATAATAGACATTCTGAAGTAATTTATCTTTTGAGGAATACCGTGACTCAGGGAAGAGACATGGGGGTGCATATGCTCTACCTTGTTTTGTCTTCGAAGCATCTTTCTAGAAAGCTGCATATCATCACAGAGTCAGGGGCCTTGTGAAATTATGCAGGCAAGCAGAAATGAGGAAAAAACAGCTTCTAACATTTGTTACTTTGTCTCACACTTCCTATTTCATTGAGAAAATAGAAAAAGGTCAGCCCATCCACCTGCCCCCTCCACCACCTACCTGCTATTGTGCTCATATACTTGGCCTTCCACCTGCCACCACGGGACAGGTGTCTGGGTTCCTATCGAGGCCACCTGTGCGCTAGCTCACAGTCATCAGCAGTCATTCAGCCTTGACACATCCAAAACTGTGGGTTGAGTTTCCCCTCCAAACCTGTTCTTTTCACAATCTCCAGGTAAGTAAATGGCAACTCCACCAGTCCAGGTGCTCTGGACAAAACCTGTGAGTCAGCTTTGACTCAGCTCTTTCCTTTGTACCCAAAGTCAAATCTGTAGGCCAATACTGTCAGTTGTATGTTCCAAATACACTGTATTTGTTATCAGACTACTTCTTACCACCCCTGCTGCTACAAGCTTTGTCCAAACCACCATCTCCTCTCACCTCAGATGTACCCTGCTTCCACCCTTGAACCCAACAGTCTCTTCTCCACTAACAAGCAATGTGATGTTTAAAATCCTAAGTCAGGTCACAGCACATGTCTGGCCAGAACCCTTTAACATCTTCCCATCTCCTTCCAAGCAGAGCTGCCAGAGACTCTGCAGAACGCAGCCTCTCTTATGTCTCTAACTTCATCCCTTCTCCTCCTCTTCACTCCCAAGCACTGCTTCAGACACTAGGACCTCCTTGCTCTTCCTCAGACACTACCCACACGTGCCTGCCTCAGGTAATTTCCACTTACATAGCCCTCTGCCTGGAATGGCCCTCCCTAGGGTATCTGCATATCTCACTCTTTGACTCAGCTATCACCAAGAAACCAATAGCTTTAAATGCAGCCAGAATCACTGGCCAACACAATCCCCCATCTCCCCCACCAGGCTTGGATCTAAATATCTTCTGGCTAAAAAGCAAGAAGGGGCGAAAGTTGTCCACAGTTGTATCTGGCAGAGCATGTGCCATAGGCTAAGAAGGCAACCCCAAAATACCAAAGGCCGAGAAATATTTTGCTAAATAAGATAACTGGTAAAATCAGATCATAGTCTCCCACAGTGAATACTCAACAGAGACCAACATCTCTTTGTAGATATATATGTACAAGATATATATTTTTATTTGTATAATACAGAAACATATATATTTACACACACACATATCACTTGCACAAAGCCAGTATGTGAATGAGCGGGTTAAGACAAGCCCGAATGAAAAGCCACTTCTTAAACTAATGTTTTCTTCTTTTTCCTTTTTATTATGGAATTAGTGCACCAAAGCAAGCATTATTTTATCTTTGTGCATGCATTTTTTCTGTCTCTTCTGTGCACTTAACTACACTTAACGTTCGTGTGTACTTACTCTGTCCTTTATGGGATCACATCATACATCTTGTGTGACTTGTTTTTTTCCCCTAACTCTGGCTTTGAAGATATTTATATGCCAATACAGAACTACTTCATTCCTTTTAATAGCTGCACGATATTCCATAATATTCCATGATACTCCATATATGGGAATGCCATAATATACTTATTCCCATTTTTATTTTCATAAATAACTTGTCCATGATCAGTATATGCATTTATTCTAGGATAATTCCTGGAAGTGGCTTTCTGAGTCCAAGGCATGCACATTTTAACTTCTGAGACATACTGCCAATTTGCCTTTCAAAAATGCTTGCCTAGACCGACTCCAGTGAACAGTATCTAACAATGCATGCTTCCTTGCCAGCACTTGGTAGATTGATTATTATCAACATTTAAAAATTGTTTGGCTAATCTGATGGGTGAACATTATTTATTTTTGTCTTAATTTGCATTTTCCTGATTAATAGTATGACTGCACTTCTTTAAATATACTTTTTAGTTCTTCACACTTAACTCTTCTCAGACTGGCAGTTCCTATCCTTTGCTCATAATTTTATTAAACTTTTTGAAAATTGATTTAGAGGAACTCTATGTGCTCTTATATCAATAATTTTTCCATTAAATGTGTTTTAAATATTTCTCCAATTCTGTTTCTTGGCTCTTAACTTTATTTGCATTATATTTAGCCGCACATAAATGTGGAAACATTTATGTTTTCATTGTTGTTATTAGTTTTGATGTTAGTTTTCTTTTTTTCTCTTTGGGAAGGGGTGTTAGTCGTGTTTATAAAATGTTCCTACAGTTTCATTCAGAACTTTTGTGATTTGGGCTTTTATTTTAAACATTTGGTCCATAAATCTATTCATCCATCTAGTTTATTTCTATGTGCTGTCTGAGGTAAAGGACTATTTTTTAAATTTTTTTTAAATTTTATTTATTTATTTATTTATTTATTTATTTTTTGAGACAGGGTCTCACTCTGTCTCCCAGGCTGGAGTGCAGTGGCGTGGTGTCAGCTCACTGCAAACCTTCTCCCCATGGGTTCAAGTGATTCTAGTGCCTCAGCCACCAGAGTAGCTGGGATTACAGGCGCCCGCCACCACACCCACTTAATTTGTGTATGTTTAGTGGAGATGGAGTTTTCTCCATGTTGACCAGGCTGGTTTTGAACTCCTGGCCTCAAGTGATACGCCCGCCTCGGCCTCCCAAAATGCTGGGATTACAGGCATGAGCCACTGCACCTGATCAATTTTTTTAAAGATATTTCTAATAATTTCCCCAGTATCATTAATTAAATAGTTCTTTTCTTTTCTTTTCTTTTTCTTTTTCTTCTTTTTTTTTGATGGAGTCTTGCTCTTTCGCCCAGGCTGGAGTGCAGTGGTGTGATTTTGGCTCACTGCAACCTCTGCCTTCTGGGTTCAAGTGATTCTCCTGCCTCAGCCTTCCGAGTAGCTGGGATTACAGGCATGAGCCACCGCACCTGGCCAATTTTTTTTAACGATATTTCTAATAATTTCCCCAGTATCATTAATTAAATAGTTCTTTTTTTTCTTTTTCCTTTTCTTTTTTTTTTTTGTTTTGTTTTTGTTTTTGTTTTTGTTTTTGTTTTTGTTTTTGTTTTAGACAGTGTCTTGCTCTGTCGCCCAGGCTGGAGTACAGTTGCACGATCTTGTCTCCTAGGTTGGAACGATTCTCCTGCCTCAACCCCCCGAGTAGCTGAAATTACAGGCATGCGCGCCACCGCGCCCGGCTAATTTTTGTATTTTAGTATAGACGAGGTTTCACCGTCTTGGCCAGGCTAGTCTCAAACTCCTGACCTCAAGCGATCCGCCTGCCTCAGCCTCTCCAAGTGCTGGGATTACAGGCCAGGTGTGAGCCACAGAGCACGGCTAAATGGTTCATTTTTAACTCAGTTATATGAAATGTTGACCTATTTTCCTATTATTTGGGTAACTCTACAAGTTTTTAGATAATTCTTTAAGATTTTCTTTCTGTGTATACTTTAGAATTAGCTTGCGAGGTATAGAATTTGGAAAAAACTGGCCATTTTCATTAAATCTATAGGTTATCTTTGGAAAATATGATGTCTTCATAGCAGTCTTCCTGTTCAGAAATCTGTCTCTCCATTTCTTTACGTATTTCTTATGTTCTTTAGTAACAATTTATAATTTTCTTTATAAAAGTCTTACCATTTTCTCTTATGGGACACAATTTTTAATCATGACATAATTTGAATATTATCTTTTTCCCATACCATTTTCTAGTTAGCTATTGATAACATATAGCAAAGCAATTGTTATTTTTATATTCTAACCTCAAATGCTACCACCTTAATAAATTCACTCCTTCACAGTGTCTCAGATAGTTGCATTGGAATTTCTTGGAATTTTTCATGGGTGACATGAAAAATTGTACATATATTATCTTTGGGGTTTGATATTACAATAAACTTATTAATTGTCATATTTAACTCCTCTAAACTTACTTTTTTCTCTACTGAACTTTTTAAAATAAATGTATATTAATGCCTTTCACTGTGATTGTAAATTTGTTAGAGTTTTTTTTTTTTTTTTCTAAAGTGTTTCTGTGTAACTATCAGATACATAAAAGTCCTTGGCTCTAATAGTTCTTGGTGAATTTTTCCTTTTATTATGCTTTTTACCTTATATTCTAGTTTACCTTCTATTATTATTTATGTACCTTTTTTCCTTCAATAGCCATCTCTTTCTTTTATCTTCAGCATTTCCGGAAAATGTATGTCTCTTATAAGCAACAAATAGATTGAAATACAAAAAAAGTTGTATTTTAATAATGTATTCTATTAACACTTATTTAAACCATATGAAATTGCTGTTTTGATAGGTTAAAAATGGTCAAACATTGGCAATTCCATATGGTTAAACGTATTATAATACTGTAATTACATATTTATACTGATTCCTGCCATATTTTTTACATTCATATCTTCTTTTATTTTTATTTTTTATTTTAAATACTTCTCCTTTTATACTTAGTACAGTTGTTTTTCTTTTAACATATATGCATTTTTTTACTTCTCCTTTTTTAAAAACTTCAAGCTTTTTAAAAATTCTAAATATTTATAGTGTACAATATGATGCTTTGATATATATATACATTGTGAAATAATTATAACTGTCAAGCTAATAACATATCCATCATTTCACATAGTTACCATTTTCTTCCTTTTTTTGGTGAGAACATTTAGGATCTACTTTCTTATTAATTTCAAGTATACAATATATTATTAACTATAGTCACCATGCTGTACATTAGGTCTCCACAACTTATGCGTACAACATAATTGAAACGTTGTACCCTTTGACCAGTATCCCCCTATTTTCACCATGCCCCCAGGCCTGGCAACCACCATTCTACTCTCTGCTCCTATGATTTCAATGTTTTTAGATTTCACACGTAAGTGAGATCATATGCAGTAGTGTTTCTTTCTAATAGTGTTACAGTTTCAGGTCTTACATTTAAGTATTTAATCCATTTTGACTGCATTTTTATATATAGTATGAGAAAAGAATCCAATTTCATTATTCTGCATATGTATATCCAATTTTTCCAACACCATGTATTGAAAAGGGTCTCCTTTCCCCATTGTGTGTTTTTGGCTCCTTTGTCGAAGATCCATTACTGTGAATGCATGAATTTATTCCTGGGCTCTCTATTCTGTTCCATTGGCCTATGTGTCTGTTTCTATGCCAGTACCATGCTGTTTTGATTACTGTACCTTTGTAGTATATTTCAAAATCAGGTAGTGCATTCTCAATTATTACAGAAAAAGCCTGTGGGTGTTAACCTTATGACTCCTTGCATATACTGAAAAATGTGTGTATTTGTTTTTATTTGGTTGCTGACTTGGAAGAGTACAGAATTTTAAGTTTTAAGCAATCTGATAATTTTCTTCTGTGAAGTGTGAAACTTTATTTGCTTTAATAAGTACCTGATGAACTCTTTATATCTTAAAATTCAAATCTTTCCTCATCTCTAGAAATTTCTCCCTTCTCTTCCTTCTTACACTTTGCCTTCTTTCCCTCCTCCTTCTCTTCCTTTCCTCCTTAGTCTCCTTATTTCAATCTTGCCATGTCTATTAGAGAGATGTTTGTTCTTCTGAATCTGCCCTATATATATCTCTTGACTTTCCCTTTATATTTTCTTTATCCTTTTCACTGTCTTATGAAAAAAAATCATCAATATAATATTCTAGCTTATTAATTTGCCTTTTTGTCATGGTCATTATTTTTTGAACTGTTTATCCTTTAAATGGGTGCATTGTTCTGTTATGTTTATATAAAAATGTCACTTCTACATATATATATATATATATATATATATATATATATATATATATATATATATATATATATGTATTCATGTTCACCTATCTTGAGTGACTGTAGAAGTGGAACAGGATGAGTTTTCCAGGGCCAGTAGATTGTCTTCTTGTTATGTGGACTCTGCATTTCTCTACATTGGGGCATTGCTTTTCCCTCTTCTTCCTGTTGCCCACCACAAAGCTTTGTCCTGTGGCCAATATTATCACTTCTTATTTATTAGCCCAATAGAAAGAGGATGAAGGGATCTACCCTCACCTTGAATGTCAGCTTGTTATAGCTCTTCACTCTCAACTTGAAGCTGGCTTTATTAGCTTACATCCATGCCAGTCTTCTCTGCAAATATTTGGACCCATGGTTTCCTGTGGTTTAATTTCCCCAGTGATCAGATCTTACTTATGTCTGTCTTTGTGATTCTTCTGCATTTCTGATTCATTGATGACACTCTTGATGGTCTTTCGAGGCATTTACAACTTTATTTTGTTTCTTAAATATCTATTTTTTATTGTTTTTCCATGGAACTTTTAGAAGAGTGGTAGGATTCATATAAGTACTGAGTCTGCCATCTTTATTCAATATCTCTATCTAATTCTTTAAGAATAAAATTTAAATTTAGCCATCTTTAAGTTAGGTTCTTATACTTCAAAGAACTACTGTAAATACAGTTACCCTTATCAACCAAAAGGAAAATATAAGCATATTTTGTTATTATCCCAAGTTCTGCCTTAGAAACAGCTGGCTCTCAAAAGGACAATTATATAAAATACAGTATTCGGTGAGAACTGAAGTGTCAATGTAGACGCAAATGAATAACATTGTGTTTGATAAAGATTCTTTCTCACTCTACAAGAGATATGCTTCCAAATTTGGTAATAGTTTTAACAATGAGCTATGGATATGCTCTTTTCACTTTCATACAAGCATCAAGCCTTGTAGCAGGGTTTTTTGGAAAGAGCATGGTTTGGGAACTGGAAATATTAATAATTCCCATTTTGTCCAATCAAGTTTTCTGACTTTCCATCAACTTATCTATAAAAGTTTGATAGAAATATCTATAACACTTGGAAAATTATAAATTATCGTACAAATATAAAGATTGAAAAATAAAGATTATGACATTGCAGAAGAAACAATGCTATTTTTGTGGGTCTTTTTAGGTTTAACTCACTTCTTTCTACACTCCATTCTCCAAAATGATTGTGTCCTTATGGCCTGGTATTTTCTATCATATCTAGCCATTTGTATAGAAAGCAAAATAAAGATGGTAAGCCAAATGACAAATTAAGTCTATAGATAAATAAAGATATATCCTATTGCAATGCTTTTGTTTTTGAAATATCAAGTCCAGCTTCATTTTCTGGTTTAGTTAAAATGCTGTGGGAAGCTTCTCTGGGACTAGAGGACATTGACCTTTGGAAGGCGTTGGCTGCTCCTGAAGAAAGCTCCTGGCTGTTTAAAGGAATGGGGTGGAGTGGAAATACACACAGACAGGAAACCTCACAGGTGGGGAGAAGAGGGCCACGCCCAAAAGCAAGTCAGTTCATTCACCGATCAGATCTTTAATTCTAAGTAGGTCTCCAAACTCAATTGGCCCTCTCAGAAACATGTAGGTTACTGACCTTGTGTATCAGATCTGGGTTAATGTTTATGTCATGCACAAAGAAATAACTCTGAGTACTTTAAAAAAAAAAAAACAACAACAACAACACTAGCCCTTCCTTTTTGCAGGGGAGTTGCAAGTACTTAATTTATACAATTTCCATTAAGCATGAAGATTATTCCCTAGAAGGAAGTCTTTTCTGACCCTGCAGAATATATTAGAATCCCTGTATCTTGCCCTCAAAGCATTTATCTCAGTGAAGAGCCAGCTGTCCATTTCTACATAGGTACAAATTCTGAATCCCTGAGTCAGGAGGCAGAGAGGTTAGACAGGATGAAGTATTTTCCGACCTTCTCTTAGGTGGCCATGACAATGCATCTTCATGTGGCATGGGCTGGGAAGCCATGGGCTGTTTTTTCAAGCCAACGCCAAGTTCCCTATGACTAAAGGACACTCCTACTATATATAGTCTGGCAACCTGCTGGCCCTAGTTTTCCATATCACGGGCCAGGGTTTTTGTCATCACTGGTGTTTTGGAGGGAAGCTAGGTATGACCGAAATCACTCTGAAGTCACTGTCTAGGGGAGTGGGTGAGGTCCGAGGCTGACCAGAGTTCAAGTCACGCACCTTTCTGGGCCTGATTCTCCTCATGGGCCGAGTGGGTGTTTGAGCTCTAAAACAGCAGTCCCCGATCTTTTTGGCACCAGGGACTGCTTTTGAGGAAGACAATTTTTCCACCAAAAGCCAGGTGGGGTGAAGGGGTATAGTTTCAGGATGAAACTGTTCCACCTCAGATCATTAGGCATTAGATTCTCATAAGGATCACAAAACCTAGACCCCTCGCATGCGCAGTTCACAATAGGATTTGCACTCCTATGAGAATCTCATGCCACTGCTGATCTGACAGGAGGTGGAGCTCGGAGCCCAGGTGGTAATGCTCGCTCACCCGCTGCTCACCTCCTGCTGTGTGGCCTGGTTCCTAACAGGCCACAGACTGGTACCTGTCTGCAGCCCAGGGCTTGGGGACCCCTGCTCTGTGATTGTTGTGGCCCCTCTAGCCCTGGTGCCCTGTGCATCTTGTAGTTCCAAATCTGAAATTAATTTTAATTTTATAGACAGAATACTTTGATTCTTGTCTCCTCTCCAAAACCAACTGATACTTTATTTTGGGTAAGATTCCTCATAAAACCTAAAATTATAATTCTCTTCAGAGTCCAGAAATATTACTTACACACCTACTGCTCTCTTTTCTCATGATAGGATGAGTTTATAGATTATTATTTCAAATAAGACTTTTAAAATTATAAATAGAGAAACACAACATTTGGGGATATAGAATAATCCACAAAGCAGTAAACAGTCTGAAAAAAATGTATTGAATCAAAGAAGAAATAGTTTGAGAATGAGTTTTCTAGAATTATATAATCTTGTAGCCTCAAAAAATATGTCTCTTTCCCTGTGAGAAAGACATATAAAGAGTATAATTGATTATCAGAAACTTGGAGCTTTAAATCATAACAAAACCTACATCACAGCTACTTAAAGAAAATGCATTCAAGGTGAGACTTTTAAATGTAGAATTGCCCGACCATCCTTCAAATTTAAACAGTATATGCTTATGAACATTCTTTCCTACAAAAGAAAAGTATACTTTTTCCCCAAGAAATGATGCTGTTGTCACCAAGGACCAAAGGATGAAGTGACAGAACGATCTGTGGCTTGGGTGTAGCCATCTGCCATCAAAACCTGCCTATTCTCCATATTATATTCTGCAATGAACCAGTGCAGAGAATGAGTGGGCAAAGCGGTAGCATACGGTCATCCACAAAGGCACTCCCCATGGTCTCCTTGTTCCTTGAGGAAATCAGCTTCATTTAATAAGGGAAAGGAGAGCCAAGTGCTCCAAAGCATAGGCGGGAGAATGAGAAGGCTCACTCCCAATTATTCAGTGACCCCTCATTACCTGCAGGATAAAGGATGAGCTCTTCCTGCAAATGCTTCGGGTCCTCAAGCTTCCCACTGTCTGTGCCCAGCTGACATTGCAGCCTCACCCACGCTGTAGGGAGTCATTAGGGGATGGGGTCAGAGAGGTAACCAGAAGCTATATGAGTCAGGATGTCTAATCAGGAGTGAGGTGGGAGCCATTATAAGTTCTGAGCAAAGAGTGACAGCGTGTGCATTATATTTTATTCTTATCAATTCTTCCCAAATGCACTCCACATTCCCAGCATACAAACCCACTCCCCTGAGAACTCCCCAAGCATCCCTGCCCATAAAAATCTCATTCTGCTTTGGTGTCCATCTCCAAGGACTCTCCCACATAAAGCTTCCTTGATTCCTCCAACAAGGTAGGACTCTCCCTCCTACTGTAATCCCACGAATGTCCAAAGTGCTTGGCTTAGACGACAGTTACCATTATTGCATTTTCTGCCTTGGATTAATTTTCTTCTTGTTTGCTCCAAGAATACTCGCAGGAGAATCTTGAGGCTGCAGCATTCATCCTAAGAAAACCTTGCCATGAACTATTAATATCTCACTTGTATTATTTTCGCATTACTCCAGTATATCAACTTTGAAAACAAAAGACATCATTCTATTTACAGCATTCTGGTTTTAGTAATGGTATTTCCACTTACATAATATAGTAACTCTCTAGCTCACGGAAAATGTCAAATCCTAGAAAACGTAGCATTCCTACGCGTGATGTTAGCATCATTCTTTAACAGTTGTTAGCCAAAAATTAATTTGATGAATCTGATTTTTCCTAAATAGATTATTCTGATGCAGATGATTTTGATGTTAGTTCTATTTAGAACTAACTCCAAGAACAGTTTGTATATTTTATTTTCACATTGAAAATCAGTCAGATTTGCTTCAGCCTCAAAGAGCATGTTTATGTAAAATCAAATGAGCGCCGGCAATGAGCTATACTTTTTTTTCTAAACGGGAAGAGGGAACTATTAAGAGTCAAATGATGACATTAGACATGTCTTGCTTTAAGCCTCAGCTAGATTGCAGATCCCTTTGGTCATGGATTACACTTTATACAGCAACTCAGCGTTCTTACCTCAGCTGTGAGAGAGGCCCGCTGCCTCCACGAGCTCCTCTGATTAGTTTCCATTGGCCATGTAACAGCTAGCCACCCTCGAGTAGCAGTTTTGCCAGCAGGTCCGATAGTTCAAGTTCATCCCCACTTCTAATCACACGGTGAGTGATATATTCATGTTCAAAAAAGTTGAAATCACATGATCATCTCAACCATTTTTTTCCAACGAAACTGCTTTGGACATAGACACCTGTGTTACCCTTAGAGAAACTGCAGGGACGTGTTGTCTCCACTTGCTTTCGGGCTTGTATTGCACTGACATCTTTGTTACCCCTGTTCATCACATGTTTTCATTCCCCCACTAAAAGGCATGTTCTTTAGCCTCACAGATTTACTTCCCTCACCTACTGACCTTTGCTCAAAATATATCTGTAGATGTGTTATTTCCACAGCTCTTCCAGGTCTTCTTCCCTGCTTCAATTGTAAGTGAAATCCAGAAAGCAAAGAACCAGAGATAACCTTCTACCTCTGTTCTAACAGGATTTTGTGCCACTGTATCAAGACTTTGAAAATTTTTATACAAGAAACCTTTACATGCGAATCAGAGACAACTGGAACCGGCCCATCTGCAGTGCCCCAGGGCCTCTGTTTGATTTGATGGAGAGGGTATCAGACGACTATAACTGGACGTTTAGGTGAGAGAACTTCTTGGAGGGGATTGGTGAAAAGAAAAACCTTTCAAGGAAATCCTAGCATGGCCACTAGATGACAAATCCAAAAAAACAAGGCATGGAAGCCATTGGTTTTGTATCATTTATGCCTTTGCAAGCCCTCCTGATGCCAGGGGAGGAAGGCACAGTAAAGTAATCAAGCAGCTGCCAGAGTGGCTTTTTTGTATTGTAATTAACCTAAGACCTGGGTCAGAAGGTGCAGGACACACCAAGCCAGCCAGGAAGACACCTTTCAGCTTTATTGACAAATTCTACTCTCCTACTTACAGCTGAATGAGACAGTGATGACCATGGTTCTTGTTCTTCTGGAAGGCTCTTGCTAGAATTTAAACCAGAGCATGAGTGTCATAGAAATAAGTGCCCAAGGAAAATCAGGTCTAAGTAACAATCCATGGGTCAAGATGTCTTTCTCAAATGCTCTGCCCAACTTCATCATGGGTTTACCTTTCTCTTAGGGAAAACCATTTTTTGGTAACAACTTTGTTGATGCATAATACATGTACATTATTTTGGAGTACATGTAATAATTTAATACATTCATATAAATTGTAAAGATCAAATCAGTGTACTTGGGGCATCCATCATCTTAAATATTTGTCTTTTTTTATGCCAGAATCATTTAAATTATTTTCTTCTAGCTATTTTGAAATAGACCATACATTATTTTATAAACCACAGTCACCCTACTGATCTGAGTTTTATTTCTTCTATCACACCATATCTTTGTACCTGTTAGTCAATTTCTCTTTATCTCCCCCTCCTCCCTACCTTTTCTAGCCTCTGGTAACAACCAATCTACTCTCCCTTCATGAGATCTGCCTTTTTAGCTCCCACGTTATAGGTAAAAAGAAATGTGATATTTGACTGCTGTGCCTTGCTTATTTCACTTAATATAAAGGCCTCTAGTTCCATCCAAATTGCTTCAAATTACAAGGTTTTCTTTCTTTTTCTTTCTTTATGTTGAAAACAATGCAAGTTAATAAGAAAGAAAATATATGATTTGGGCCAGACCTAAGGCCCCTCCAGCACTAGGATAATTTTTTTTTTTTTACATTTGGGAAAATAAAACTTTATTAAATCAAATGAATGGGCATGTCTGTTTCCTAAGAAAGACAATGATAATGAACTTGGTGGAAGGAATAATAGTGGGTAGGAGTTTGTTGACTTTGCTTTTAGCCTCACGGTAGTTGGTAGAGCATCAGGGAATGATTAACATTTTTTTTTAATGTGACTGCTTATCTGCTTGTTCATTGCTGCAGCTTCAGTTCTGAGTTGACGCCTGAACTGCCAACAGTATCCATTATTCCAGACACGGTCCAAAGAGGGCAGCCAGCCTGCACTGGTCCTGGAGCTGTGATTAAAGTTGGCCCCAACTCAGTTTGGGGAAAGTTCCTTCAACTTCTCTTTTTCCTTTTCTTTAATAAATTCTTTATAGGACGGTCCTGTTTGTTGGTTCCCAGAGATGCATTCTTCATCCTGGATCATCCAGGGAGGTGTGGCACCTGAGTGGATGTTACCAACTCCTGGTATATCCTGATGACCAATGAATATCGGAGATAGTCCTGTCTCCATCCAGTCAAGCTCTGGAGCTGTGGCAGGTCCAAGTTGGAGGCCTGCTGTGGGCTGGAAGCTACCTGGCTGTTCATCCTTTTCCAGCTTCCAGGGACTAAAGTGCCCGGCACTGGCTGAGGGGGTCTGGATCCTCCGAGGGAAACCAACCTCTAGGACAGACTGAACCACCTCCTGCCAGCTCTGTTCCACCTCACAGATCTGAGCTGCCATCTCCTTGGTCACCTCATCCTCTTTTTCTTCATAGGAACCCAAGTCTTCCACCAGGGATTTTTTGAATCGTGCATAATCCTGGGGAGGGGATTATGTGCTCATTTACATGTTTCCCCACAGGTTTACTGGAAGAGTCATCAAAGATGTCATCAACATGGGCTCCTATAACTTCCTTGGTCTTGCAGCCAAGTATGATGAGTCTATGAGGACAATAAAGGATGTTTTAGAGGTGTATGGCACAGGCGTGGCCAGCACCAGGCATGAAATGGGTATGTACATTCACTGTTTTGAAACTTTTTGCTGTTAGGTCTCAGATTCCTTGTGTCTGTCTCTCAAATCTAGATCATATTTGGACTGTGTCCCTTAAAAAGGTGTTATAAACTGCAGAAAGAAAAAAAAGAGATATTTTGGGAAATTTCAAGCATTAGGCTGTTGCCAGGCAGTTTATTAATTGCATGTTTCAATTCTCCAGAATAGACAAAAATGGATCTTTCCTGCCCATATTATCTAAAATAGCAACACTGTGCCTCCTCTAGCTGGTCCTTTTCTGCCCTTTCTTCCACTTTTCTTAACGATGTTCATCACCAGTTAAAATGATCTTGCATTTGTATTTGTTTATGGCCTGTCTCTGCTCCTAAAACATAAGCTTTGTGAGAAGAGGGATTGGACTTGTGGAATGTTGCACTGAATAAATGAATGAATGGACCAGGTGAAGCAGACGAGCAGCCTGCCTCTTTATTTTCCTTTTAGTGAAAATGTTTTTCTCTTACTCAAAGTAGTAACATCTGTGAGAAGGAAACCCACTCATCTTCAATTCAGGAAGAAAGAATAATGCAAGCTTGTTCTTATAGAGTGCTTTTCAATTCTTGGCATGAGGATAGAGAGAGGGAGAGCGTTCATTTATTCAAAAAAAAAAAAAAAACCTGTGTAGGCAACACAGGTGGTGTTATTCTCATCTTCTGGGGGAAGAATCTGAGATCATGGCACCTAAGTGATGTACTCAAGGAAGTTAAATAACCAACCTAATTCCCAGTCTAGCTCAGCTTTCTCTACTACAGCCCTTCTCCCTCCTAGTGACACATGCAAGGTTCACCAGGTCAGTTAGGTCTGCCTAAGAATTGGAGGCAAATGTGATTAAAAAGGGATTTACTATCATGTTAATGAATTATGAACCACATGTCCCTCTTAGGTAACCAATTAGTAGAGAGTTTTAGAAACTATTTAATTATTCAGACTTGTGCAGCAAATAATTCACATTGAACAAAGTAGGTACCTTTTTAATCCTAACATTCATTGGCTAAAGCTCTAGAGTTAATAGTGGGTGCACAGATTTCTTAAGAAAAACATCTTACTTATCTTCATTTTGAGGCATAAGGGCTGGAGATGTTAACAGGGTGGAGATGAAAACAGGAGGCTTTACTCCACTTAGAAGGACTGGGTCACCGGTGATGCCCCATTTGGAGATGGGGCAGAGACTGGAGGAGTACCCCCAGCCATAAGGAGCACAGAGTCAGTAACCATTTGAGATATTTCCTCTGGTGCTGGTGACACCCAATACCAGGGTTGTTAATGACCAGCCAGAAGACACATTCCTGATAACAACCCCCCAACTCAGTGAGACAGAATGCTGCCTACACAGGCAGTAGAGGCTGAAGGAAAGCTGCTTGATACAGGCAGTGGTTCACTTACAGGGGAAGCCAGATATGGAACATGGGTCCCCGACTCCATAGGTTTAGCAAACCTTAAGAAACTAGGCAGAAATGAAGGTCCCATTTGGGACTTTCACTCAGCCCAAGTTCTTTCTCCTTCTGAATTGCCCAGTTTTTAATATTTCTCCATTTCATTTAGCTCTCCATGTCAAGTTCTAAGAAAAGGACTTTAACATTTTTCAAGTAAATAGTGAAAGACTCAAAGAGAAGCCACCGTCACTAATTTTAGGCAAATAGAATGACTGAAACATGAATATAAGGAGCCAGTCAGGAAATGAATAAATAAAGAGAGGATATTTAAAGTATTCCGCAACATTAACAATAATCTTAACATGGCATGCAAGAATTAGGAGTAGCGTGATTCTGAAAGCCATTTATTCTAATGAACACAGGTAACTTCTGGAAAACGTGTCTTAAGAGAATATTTAACAGTACAAATGGGTTAACAATGAAAATTGGAAAGCTAGAAGTTCAACAATTTTTAGTAACCAAAATACCTTCTTGAGAACCTACAAGTTCATGAATATTTAATCACTAAAAAATAACTCCTCAGAGCTTTTAAAAATAGTTTTCAATGTTCCAGGGGAAAAAGGAAAATAAAATCCATGTAACAAAAGAGGAAAGATAGAAAACGAAATAACAAGGAATCACTTAAAACTTAGATGACAGATATTATTTTGACAAAAAAAAAATGTACCTAAAACAGATTTGTCCATTAAAAGAAAAAGACTGAGATTTGGCCAAAAACCTAAGTTCAACTATGTGCTGCAATTTAAAAATATACGATATTAAGTTAAAATTATTTCAAAGGGTGAAAAATAGAAAGATAGGTCCCACCGGGTACCTAGAGCCCACCTCCCTGCTGCAACCACCAAAGGGGCTCAAAAGGGAGGTCATGTCAGTAGAAGGAGCAGCAAAGGAAGAGCCCAGGAGGCAGGTTCCCGGAGGAAGATTGTTTGCAAAACCTGCACCTGTAAATGTTAAAACTGAGCCCAAAAATACAGCTGGAAATGATATATTTCCAGACACATCTGTACAGAAGTGCAAAGGCTATTTTTAAGATGTGAAATTATGTACTACTGCTTATTTTAGAGTACAACTAGAAAATAGTGGAATACAAAATTAAGGGAGACTTTGACTCCTTTATGGGTCAATTTACATTCCACATAAATGAAGCAGCAAAGAACAAAAAAATGATATGGTAATAGGAGACAATAAGGTGTCTCCCACAGTTGACAACCATCGAGCCAGCATAACCTTGATCTCCAAATCTGACAAACAAGCATTTAATAAAGGGAAAACTATAAGTTACTATTACTTTATGTATTTTATATATAAAATACAAATAATATTATTACTTATAAAGTAATAAAGTAAGAAGCCAAAAATAAATAAATGATATAGAAGACATTAACAATGTAATCATTAATGATTGCTAATTTAATAGTTATCAATTGAATGCTAAACCTTAAAACATATTACCACTAGACTTCACCTTTTTAAATCCTCATTGAATTTACATAAAAATCTACTATATATTATGCCACAAAGAAAACCACATGAAATTCTAAAAAGTAGAACCTACATAAGTCACATTCTTGAATCCTGTGAATAAAGCTAAAAATTAATAAGAAACTAACAAGTATGAGATTATGGGAAGCAGCTAGTTGTGTACATAGAGGAAAATATAAGTCTTACTTTACTAAGCAGGAAAGATGAAAGCTAGTAAACTGGGCAACCAACATAGCAAGGAATAAAAGAAAAGCAAAAGTATTGAATTATTAAAGTTAAAAACAGAAACTTAGGAATTTGAAATAGTAATTTCTATTGAGCCAAGCTATCTGTACTTTTTTTTTTTTAAAGAGTTAGAGTTTCATTCTGTTACCCAAGCTGGAATGCAGTGGTGTAATCACAGCTCACTGTAACCTCAAACTCTTGGCCTCTAGTGATCCTCCTGCCTCAGCCCCCAAAATGCTGGGATTATAGGGAGGAGCCACCAGCCCAAGCCCAACATCTGTATTTTTAATAAGTCACTGGAGGTGATTCTGATAAGCAGCCACAGGTGACAATGATTGAGCTAGCATAACCTTGATTTCCAAATCTAACAAACATGCATTTAATAAAGGGAAAAGAATACATTACTATTACTTTATATATTTTATATATAAAATATAAATAATATTATTACTTATAAAACTATTACATATTTTTGTAAGTAACATGTATTTTGTAAATATGTAAAAAGAAAATATAAATATAAATATTTTATAAGTAATAATATAATATTATACATAGTATATATAAAAATTGGCATTGAGACTAACAGTACCTTCAAATAACAGAATAACATAATCAAGTAATTCTATTCAGGGATCAAAATAATAGTTCAATAAGGAGATAATTTAAAATATTGAAATAGCTAAGAAGTAAACTGATTATCTTCATAGATGCTGCTAAGCATTTATAAAATTCATTATCCATTTCTCTAAAATTTTAAATAGAACATAAACAAGAAATTCCTGAATAGAATAAAAAATATCTACCTCAAAGAGATTGTACTATGATTCTTGGTTAAATACTAGAAGTATTTATTTTAAAGTCAAGAAAAAGATGAAGATGCCTGTTTTACTATCATTTTTAACAAGCTTTGCAAGTACTAAACAATATAATTAATTATTCATTCTCTAAGTTAATGAATATTTATTGAAAGACTATTGTACAACAGAATAAGAAGTATATATATTACAAAGGAAGAGGTAAAATAGCCATTATTTGTAGATGAGTTTATTGTTCACCTTCTGGGTTTCAAGCTGTGACCTATGGAGGGCAAGTGAGACTTGTGGAGGGGCTGTTCTTGGGGCTACCAGAGAGAGAGGGAATTGAGCAAGTAGGACAGTGAGCCCATCCCTCCACTCGAAATAGAGTTTTGGTCCATTTTCCTCCACTTTACATATTTAAGTAATCAAAAATTTATTAGACATAAAAAGATTCAATAAAGAACAATTTTTTAATTCATACAGTAAAGTTAATAATCAACTATAAACGGTAAGAGATATATTAGGGAAATAATATTACTACTAAATATAACCAAAAATGGCAAACACCTAGGGAATAAACTTATTTTGAAGATGTTTGGAACCTATTGAAAGAAAACTACAAAACTTTTATAAAAGACTTAACAGAAGACATTTATAAAAAAAGACGGAGATACCATATCCTTGAAGGGGAAAATTCAGTATTGTAATTATATTAATTCTTCCCCAAACAAATACGTAAATTGAACACAAGCTCAACAGGCAGGGTAGAGGTGGGTGGGTAGAAACTAAAAGCCTGGAAACAGATAGCAACATTGCACTCTCATTTGTATACGATAAGAAGAGTATTTCAGATCAGGTGAGAAAAGGATCAATGATTTCATGATTAGTGTTATAACTGGTTGGTCATATAAGAGAAGAAGTTATATTCCCACCTCACATATTACATGTAGGTAAATTACACCCAGATAAATTGCAAATACATTTGAGATTGACATGGAAAAAACAAAAACCACCACCACCACCACCACCAAAAACACTTTCAAAATAAATGAGTGAATGAATAAATGAATTGATGAAAAATATCAAATGAGTAAAATGAAACTACTGAGACAATTCAAATATGAAATGCACTTGTGTGTGTTCCCAGGGAGGACCCTGTTAGGAATGTCAGACTGTTGTTTCCTTGATGTGCGCAATGCTTCTTTTCTGGTTTGTTGCTTATGACCAAACCCTGCTCAGTTCTACAACCTGTGTTGGCCTCCCATCTTTTCCAGGTGAATTCACCTCATCCTGGCAGAATGCCCTCTGTGTGGGAGGGGTCTTGCAAGCTGACTCAGTGCCACAGGGGCCACCCTGGTCATGGAAAATGGGCAGGCACTCTTCCCTGTTGGAGGTGAGGCAGCCTGCTCCCAACCCAACCACCTGCCACAGCTGTTTGCCCTTCAGGCTTCTCAAGCCTGATTCTGACAGTAGTCTATTTTGTCCTAATACCCCAGGGAACCAGAGAAAACACCCACAGAAACCTGAAGGGAAAAGATTCGGCAAAGTGAAACATTTAAACTTCTGTACATAGAAAACAAGGTTAACAAAGGTAAAAGTCAAAGAACACAATTGGAAAAAGTTATTCCCAATATATATGACAACATGTTAATATTCTTAACACTTAGAGACTCTCACAAACCACCAAAAAAAAGAATATCCCAATTTAAGAAATAGGATACGTTTTTGATAAGGTTCAAAACAGGCAAAACTTGGCCAGGTGCGGTGACTCATGCCTGTAATCCAGACACTTTGGGAGGCCTAGGCAGGCGGATCACGAGGTCAAGAGATCAAGACCATCCTGGCCAACATGGTGAAACCCCGTCTCTACTAAAAATACAAAAATTAGCTGGATGTGGTGGCATGCGCCTGTACTCCCTGCTACTTGGGAGGCTGAGGCAGGAAAATCGCTTGAACCCGGGAGTCAGAGGTTGCAGTGAGCCGAGATTGCGCCACTGTACTCCAGCCTCATGACCGAGTGAAAATCCATCCATCTCCAAAAAAAAAACAGGCAAAACTGCACAGCCAGGATAGTGTGACATTTCTCAACCCTTTTGTCATTATCACATCACCCCAAAGAATGATTAAGATATTGAGATATCCTTTTTCCCTAACTGACAAAAGTTAAAAAAAAATAATAACCCGTAGTTTCAAAGGAGTGAAGAAAAGAGCACTCTCATATACCATTGACAGAGAAAATTAGAGAGCAATTTGAAAAGGTATCAAAAGCAGCCATTTAACTTTGTAACTCTATTTTGAGCAATTTTGTCTTTAAAAAATGAATAAGTATTTAAACTTGAATAAAGTATTTAAATATGTTCAAGAATAATCATTGCAGTGAGACTAATAATGATAAAGTTAGGGAAACAAGTATGTTTCTAACATTCAGAAATTGATTAAATATATTTGGTGGATCTGTTTAGCATAATATTATTTAGCCATTTGAAATTATAATGAAATTCTTTAGCACCATGGTCAAGAACAAAAGCTCTGGGATTAAGTTGCTTAAACTCAAATCCTAGTTCCTCCTGTCGACCTAAAGAAAGAAACTGAAGCAAAATTAATATAGAGAGTTTATTTGGGCCGAAGTTGAGGACAGCTTCCCAGGACACACTTCCAAGTTGCTTTGGGAAGTGCTCCCTCCCGCCTTTGCCACAAGCAGGTTTTTAAAGGCAAAGAGGAACAAGGAGTGGGCTGATGCAAACTTACCTGATGGCAATTGTCACTGATATACAGAAATAACATTGGTTAATAATTGGCTATACATTGCTGAACTATAGGTTATGAACTATAGGATGCCCAGCATATTGTTCTTAATCATTAGAGAATTTGTAAAGCCCTCCTCCCAACCATTTATCTTCCTAACAAATTATCTGCTATCATTTAATTCAAATTATCAAGGCTCTTCCTGTGTTTCTTTCTCAAAGATTTGTAGCTAGGTCTAAGAAATGTAGTTTTGTTAACCTGAGCTTTTGAAGAAGGGACCAGCCTAAATATGCAATATGCCTAAAGTATATTTTAAATAAATATATTCTTATGGCCTTTTAAGTTGCCTTAAGAACGAGCAGTTTCTAAAAAATTGCTACCAAGTAGAGATCTTAACTTTCTTTTAAAAAGAAATTTTAATTAACATATTTTTACGTAAATCAATGTAACAAACACATTTTCAAGCAGTGGATTTGATTAAATTAGCAATGAACGTCCCAACTCCAATTGGTTAATAGACACCACAAAACCTTTCTTCATGAATAGTGCCAATTCCTCTCAAACCAAATTATTATAGATTCCAATTAATGAGATTTTATTGCATTTCTCTCAAGCCTTTTAATTTTCTTTTAAGAGTATGTTTCAGGAGAATGGGACTCTTGGAGGAATTGTTTGGGAGGAGAAAAATGAAAGCATATCTTTGTTTCTTAAAGCCTTTTGGCAATTTCCTGAGACCTAGTAGAGTTCTGACAACATAATTGCCCTTCTCCTGACCGTGATAGAAATTATAGCACAGCTCAATTTCAACTAGCAGGCATATTTCTGCAAGTGTAGAATTTAGTCCTATAGGTTCAACAAAGCCAAGCACAATTCAACAAGATATGACAGTAATTTTACATAAGTATAATACTTGCCAGCAAAGTGATATCTGGGATGATCAAACAATGTTGAAACTCATAGAATTTCAGAATTTGTAGATCTACCACCTTCCATCTTCCCACATAAATACCATAAGATGAGACACATGAAGCCCCAGAGATTTTTAATGACTTGCCAGTCAATGTTTCCACAGTCTGTAGGTCGAGAAGACTAGACATCAGTTCTCTTGAGTCCCACTGGAGAGCCATTTGTACTGCCCTATACTGCTCATAGCAAAAACTGAAAACCATCAAGATCAGAGGTCACTAAACCAATACAGCTGCCCCCTGTTTTTGTACAGTTTTAAATAATTGGAATAATAAAAATAAGAATAAGACTTGTGACACATGAATATTATATGAAGTTCAAATTTCAGTGTCCATAAATCTTTGTTGGATCACAGCCACACCCACTATTTTGTGTATTGTCTGACTGCTTTCACTTTACAATAGCAGAGTTGAATAGTTGCAACAACAACCATATGGCCTGCAAAGCCCAAAACATTTATTCTCTAGATCTCTATCAAAAGTTTGCTGATCTAGACAAGTACTTGACATCACAATGATTTAGAGAAAATAAATCCTCCAGATTTATAGCACTGAGCCACATTTCCAAATCTCAGTTCACATCAGCCAAACACCAAGCTCCTTCCTTTAGACTAAAAAACTCTCACTAGAGCCAAATATATTAAGAATACAAACTTCATTGACATCGGCACCTGTGTATATCTTTTAAGGCCAGTGATATCAACTTGAAGAAGACCAAGGACATCATCAATGTCTGCTCCTAATTTCTCATGTCCAGGTGATTATCTTTGGGAAGAGGGGCATTGAGGGTGGCAAAAGAACCATGTGACAGAAATGTAATACCAATCCATTTATTCTGTACTCTTCCTGATAATGCAAAAGAGTTAGACCTGGTAGTACAATGGAAGTCATTTCTGATCATCTTGACACCTGTGTTTCTTCTCATAGACAGGACATAACCTAAATACGTGACCTGACTTTTCACCTAGTGTTAAGTAGCCCAGGGTTGAAAAGACTTAAGTTGCAGGGTCCAGGAGTTTATCCAGACTTTCCCTATTTTTCATCTACCTATTTTATGTTTCTATTATCATCCTTCAGGGTAAAGATGTGTATATTCCTCTGAACTATTCACCAGCCTGGAGCCCCTATATAATTTGAGTTTATTTTAGTGAGCCCAGAAGGAGTAGAATAAACTCTCCTAATGAAGAGCTAGAACTGAAAGACCACATAGGGGCCTATGTATTAATCTTCATCAAAGGTACAATATAGAGCCTCTCATCTTATCATATACTACTTTCAGACTTAATTCTCTGCCATTTAGTCAAAGTAAAATACAGAAGGAGTAATGAAATCACAGAACTGAGGTTCAGCAAGGTCCCTAGAGTTTAGTCTAACTTACTTTTATGAAAGCTCATGCCAAAGTCCAGAAAGTCTCAATAACTTTCCCAAGGTCACATAGTTAATGAATGGAAAGGCCATGTGTATCACAAACTCGAGAGTGCAAGAATTATTCAAGTTCCTTTTTTTTATTACCAAGTTAATGTTGGCCCCAATTCCCAACCTGGATTTCTATTTTTAGTCCATATTGAGGCTCCCATTCTTCAAGATGGAGCAAAGCTTTTAGATTATTATGCAGCTCCCAACATCAGGGCTGTCTCCTGGTCCTTGGTCCCACAACCACACTGGTCAACACTGTTGGCCCACTGTTTAAATACAAGCCCTGTGGTCCAGCAACCTAGTGTCTCTGTCCTATGTTGGAGACTGAGGAGTCTATGTTGAGGATAGAAACTCCAGTATCTAGCGTTCAAGCCATGTTCATGCAACTTGCAACGGTCCCCAGGCAGCTACCATCAAGAGATATGAATGGATCCGTTGACCCCAGTCTTGATCAAATCCTCTTTACCCTCTCTGCTTCGCATACCTTGATTCCTCTCCTTTGAGTACTCCTAATGGAATCCCTTCAATTTGTGTAAGCTTCTATAAAGACTGGCAGGAAATAATTCCTGCTTTGGACCCTGTATCATGAACCTCTCTACGAACAAAAGACTAAACCCAACCTGGTTACTTACTAAACATGGAAGGAGGGGAATAAAAAGTTTTTAAGGAGAACGTGCATACATTAATATTTCAATAAATTGTCCTATGATGTTTATAACAACAAAGCTTTATATATTTAAGAACATACAGATGCTTAGCATCCCTTGGGCTAAGAGCTGCCAAAATTTCCTGCTTTGGAAAAAGCCACGGAATTGTGATGAAGTGTTTCATCTCTGGAGTCAGACATGCTGATTTGAATCTTGGCTCTAAACTTACTAACTGTGTGACCGTGGAACCTCCAAGGGGTCTTGAGGGTAAACTAAACTCTCAAGGTTCTTTTTTCCCTCATCTATAAAATGAAGATAATAATAGTACCAACCTCAAAAACTTGGATGACAATTAAGATAAGGTTTAAAATATTTCAGTACGTTAGGTTGGCACATTGTTAAGCAGATGGTCTGCATTTATCAGTTCTGTCTCCTTTAAGTAGCATCACGTTGGTACCTGTGTCCTCATTAGTAAAATAAGGATACAGTTGCTTACTTTATAGAATATGTGTAGGTGTGAGGATTAGAGAGGATATAGAGCATGAGGATTAAATTAAGCAATCATGGTACATTGCTGAACACTCATTACACATTATTTATAAAAATAAATAAAACTTTACAAAAAGGAAATTGAGACCAGGGGATGAGAGAGAAGTTATTATTCTGTCTACTTAGAAAATCTTCTCTCATCAGAATTGTTTGATGTGAAAGACCATCATAATTATATATCTGTGCCCCACTTAAGGTTTTTATTTACATCTGATCTAATATTTGCTAATGCTTCAACCTGCCAAAAAGCAGGTTGATTTGTGGTTTCTTTAAAATGAAGGCCTGAGTGAGTGGGCAGTTGAAAGTTACTTCCACCATTTTTCCAGACTTCACCATGATGGAGGGTCTTTAACCCAGCAGCAGTGGTGTATGCTTCGTAACTGTATGACCTAGACCCATTTCAGATACTACATCTGGCTTCTTCCAGACTATCTCGGAATATTGGCCAGAAAAACAAACTCACTCAAAAAGCAATATTGCTCCATAACCTCCATTAGACTGGATGGAAGTGGATCAAAGAGGACAGCAGAGTACCCCAAATGCTTTTGAAGCATGAACTCCAAGATGGAATTCTTTAAGCAGAATGTGAATGCTGGCTTTAATGCAAGAATTACCAGTTCAAGCAAAGTGGCACAGATGTGAACTCATAGCTCTGACTCACAGTGTGAATGGCAAGATGGGACAGCTGGCAGTTCCCCATAATAAACCGCCTGCTCTTAGGCCAGGTCTAAGGAACAGTTTATGAACAGGACATTCTGGACCAAAAGTGGCTACGGTTACAATTTGGAAAATAGTCTTCACGTGGGCTACAAAAGAAGAATTGGTAGTTGTGAAACAGGCTTGTTAATAACACCCACACTCTTTGTTATTAACAAATGTCAATATGTAGGCCAGTAATCTCTGACTAAAGAGTATGAGCCAGTCAGTATCAATAAAAATTCAGTAGACATGCATACAGTCCATAGATAGAATATTGGTACTTTATCTTGAATCTAATTTTTGATTTGACTGATGGCAGCAAATGTGGCACTTGGCACATGAAAATACCACTTAGAGAGCTGACAAGAGGATACTTCCAGTTTATGTTTATTACTTTATTCATAAGGCAGGTTTTGAGCATAACACTGAATAAATGGACCACCAGGACAAAAATAAGATTCATTTTATGCATAACATAGCAATTTGGAGATCCACTGTCAATAGCCAATCTATGGCTGTTATTGACTTTCAGAGACTAAAATGTCACAGAGAAACAGAAAAAAAAATTGTGGATTTATTTATACCTTCAGATAGCATTATAACTACGCTTTCTTAGGAGTTAAAAAATGCCAATATTTATATACCAAAGACAAAATGTTGTACTTGATTTCTAGAATTACCTAAGTATTTGCACCACCAACTGCAAGTTGACACCTTTACTCAATCAGGGTATGGCCTGAATCAATGTTTGTAGAAAGCAAAGCTTCTAGTGACTACTTTATTTCCCCAAGCTCTTCCTACATTTTTATTTTTTGAATATGAAGAGCAGGAAGAGAAAAGCAGCCCTTGATTAAAAGGAAGATTTTTCATTATTCCTTTAAAAATCCACCTCACCCTAGACCAGTCCAATCTGACTTTCAAAGGCATGACTTCCTGAAGTAGAAGTGGTGAAAGATCCTCAGCCATCCTAGGAATCTTTCAGGTTTGTTAATAAAATCTGAGCTATGAACACCAAACAGAGAAATTCCATGGTAATGGAGTTTGGGGCTTATTGTTTTCTATATAAATGAAGGTAAGCCCCTGGATGCAAAACCACTCTTAACTTGTAACTCAGCTGTGAGACATCTGGTCATAGAAATTGGTCTTGCATCTAGGAGATACAAATCACTTTGCTAACCATGTGCCCACTGGAAATCCTGAAAAAGGACTGTGTCTGGGGACTTCAGACCTCAGATGGACACCTACATTTCCTTTTTCTTCTCTCTTCCCTTGTTTTCTTTTTCCTTTTCCTTCTTTTCTTTTCTTCTTTTTTTCCCCTAATGAGATCTTGCTTTGTCACCCAGGCTGGCATGCAGTGGTGTGATCATAGCTCACTTCAGCCTCAACCTCCTAAGCTCAATCCTCTCACCTCAGCCTCCCAGATAGCTAGGACTATAGGTGCATACCACCATGCCCAGCTACTTTACTTTTTATTTATTTTTTAGAGATGGGGTTCTCACTGTATTGGCCAGGCTGGTCTCAGACTCCTGACTTCAAGTAATCCTCCTGCCTCGGCCTCCCAAAGTGCTGGGATTATAGGCATGAGCCACTGTGCCTAGCCTCCTCCCCGTCTTTAAGCCAGGTCTAATGGAAAGGATCTTGTAGGGAGCAATTTCTCAGACTGGTCTTAGACATACCCACTTCTCATGAGTCGGCTGGCTGTTTTATTGCGTGACAACACATCCCATATCATCCTCACAACTTTTAGTGATGCAATTGTTGTAGATACGCTCCTGAGATAGCAGGTTTTGGAAAGATTAACGGTGGAGAAAGACACATGGAGATGCATCATGAACTTCTGCTCATGCACTTCTGGGTGACTGGGCCAGTTTCCTGACCCTCTGGGCAGGAAAGGGGAAATATATCAAGTTGGCAAAGTGTGGGCACCCTGTGTCTTTACTAGAAGACTTCTCTAGGAATCAGTGTCTTCAAGCTGGTATTCACTGGCTAGTCACCTTGTTGCCTAGGCATTGAATGGCCATTTGATCTTCTTCCCTGTGCCACCTCCTACTCTAAGCTCAGCCCTGTCTTCATTATTCATCAAAAGGCCCCATATAACTCTACAAGTACCTACTATGTGTCGGCACTGTGGCAGACACTGTGGTTGCCAAGACAAACATCTATGACACCATCATAGAATGTCTGACACTATGGCCATCTATGATACTATTGTCAGTATCTATGGAAGTCATGGCATCTCACACACAGTATCTGCACCCCAAGGACTCTTTCTGTACTAGAGAAGATTGCCCTGGGAACATTCTCAGTTCAACTTAATAAGTGCTATAATCATCATATGATAAATGTTATTCAATCTTGGAAGAGAAAAATGACCAGTTTTCCCTGGGGAAGCTGAGAAAGGCATTAGAGAAAAGATGAAGGGCAAAAAATGGTTTTATGTGGAGGAAATAGTACGTGCAACATCGGGAAAGCCTAAAATGGCATTTTTCTCAATCCCTCTGCAAACTTTCAGGAAAGGTAGCCAGAGTCCACACAGCTGGTAATAGAAGACCTAAAGCCAGAACCTAGTCTCCTCATGCCCAGGCTGTTGGCCTTTTCACTGTCTGTTCTTGGAACCATTCCCATTGGGAAGAAGCCTCTTTTAGGTAAACGCGTATCTGGCAAATGATATGCCCATGTTTTATTCCCAAATATCAGTTTCTCTTTCTGTTCCATAATATATCTTTGATAATACAAAGTTTGAAATTACAATGTAAACTTTTAACATTGCACCAAATCTTGAGTCAGATTGACTACTAGAACACTTGTTTTTTGTTGTTGTTGTTGTTGTTTGTTTTTGTCTTTGTTTTTGTTTTTTGAGATGGAGTCTTGCTCTGTCGCCCAGGCTGGAGTGCAGTGGCACCATCTCAGCTCACTACAAGCTCCGCCTCCCGGGTTCACATCATTCTCCTGCCTCAGCCTCCCGAGTAGCTGGGACTACAGGCGCCCGCCACCACGCCCAGCTAATTTTTCGTATTTTTAGTTTCACCGTGTTAGCCAGGATGGTCTCGATCTCCTGACCTCGTGATCTGCCTGCCTTGGCCTCCCAAAGTGCTGGGATTATAGGCTTGAGCCATCGTGCCTGGCCTTTGTTTTTGTTTTAAGATGAAGTCTCTCTCTGTCGCCCAGGGTAGAGTGCAGTGGCTCGATCTCAGCTCACCGCAACCTCTGCCTCCCAAGTTCAAGCAATTCTCCTGCCTCAGCCTCCCAAGTAGATGGGATTATAGGCACCCGCCACTGCACCCGGCTATTTTTTTTTTTTTTTTTTGTATTTTTAGTAGAGATGAGGTTTCCCCATGTTGGCCAGGCTGGTCTTGAACTCCTGACCTTAGGTAATCTGCCCGCCTCAGTCTCCCAAAGTGCTGGGATTACAGGCGTGGGCCACGCGCCCAGCCTAGAACACTTGTTTTACTATGCCTTCTAATAACTTTGGGGATAAACAAATTCTAGTTTGAAAAGCAAGGCCCTTCAGTGTGACCTCTCATGAAGGCCACAGATCACCAAGTGCCTCTTCAACATGAAATGCAATATAAATGTTAGAACTGACCATTCAATACCTTCTTACCATTTTAGCACAGTAAGAAAATTAACGTACAGATTTAAATAAATTCTTATATCATACTTTGTATAGTAAACTATGTTGATCCTTAGGCAGAAGAAAGTATGTTTATAGCGGCCCTAAACATGCTAACAATACTTCCGTAACTTAAATCTGCGCAACAGCTCCTACGTTCTGTGTGTGCAAATTACAGCATCTCTCCACTTGTACATTTATCTGTTATGTTATATCATTCAGAAAGCACTGCTCAATAAAAACATGAGGCAAGACGCATGTGTAATTTAAATTTTCTAATAGCCATATTTAATAAGTAATAAAACAGGTAAAATCAATTTAATTATACATTTTCTTTAACACAGTATATGCAGACTATTGCCATTTAAATGTGTAATCACTATAAAAAAATATCGGGCCA
Organism: Homo sapiens; assembly: GCF_000001405.40. NCBI lineage: Eukaryota > Metazoa > Chordata > Mammalia > Primates > Hominidae > Homo > Homo sapiens. Next base: position 13,089,509 of record NC_000020.11, read on the forward strand.
GGTGCAGTGGCTCACGCCTGTAATCCCAGCACTTTGGGAGGCCACAGCGGGTGGATTGACTGAGCTCAGGAGTTCGAGACCAGCCTGCGCAACAAGGTGAAACCTCGTCTCTACTAAAATACAAAAAATTAGCTGGGCATGGGGGCATGCACCTGCAGTCCCAGCTACTTGGGAGGCTGAGGCAGGAGAATTGATTGAACCCGAGAGGCTGAGGTTGCAGTGAGTCAAGATCACACTACTGCATTCCAGCCTGGATGACAGAGCGAGATTCTATCTCAAAAAAAAAAAAAAAAAAACAAAACAATGTGCTATTTTACATTCTTTTTGTCATCGTACTATGGCTTCAGAAAATGGTACATATTTTACACTTACAGCACATCTTCATAAAGACATTAAATTTCCAATAATTAATATGAAATGTAATGCTATCAAAAAATAAATTTGCAGTTGGTGAAATGCAGTTTACTATGCTTTAGCTTTACATTTTAAGTTACTTAAAATAAAATAAAATTTGAAATTCAGTTTCTCAATTGCACTAACCACATGTAGCTGGTGGCTACCATATAGGACTGTGCAGACCTAGGAGTTCAAGTGAAAGCAAACAGAAAATACGGGCAGCATCAACATTTGCTGTAGCAAAGCATAAGGGGATTATGTTTAAGAAGGGATCAAAGGGCAAGTATGTAAGAGATTGTAAAGAGATAAAAACTAAACTTTGGAGTTAAACTAGATTATCTCTGTTGCTTTTTATTGGTAACCTCTTAAGCCTCAGTTTTCTTATCTGTGAAGTAAAAATACCTGCATTATTGGGCTTCTAAGATTAAATGAGAGAACCTAAACAGTGAGCTTAACACAGTATCTAGTACATTCCAAAGGTTCAATAAATTATAACTAGTTTTATTGGTATCTATGGAAATCATGGGATCTGTTTTGCATTTAGGTGTGGGAAAACTCTGATGGGGTTATAATTTAATTAATTACTTGTGAGATGTAGAGTAAAAAGAGAGAAGAATTGTGGGGTTTTTTTGTAAATTATATTTCATTTACAGCATGGTGAAAAGTGCACCAGTCATAGGTATACAGCTCAATGGATCTCCACAAAGCAAACATACCTATGTAACAAATGCAGAAATAGAACATTCAGAGAATCTAAAAACCATCCTCATGCTCCTAACAAAAGTAACTACTATCCTGACTTCTAACACTGCAGATCTGTTTTGTCTGGTTGCATATTTTATGTAAACGAAATGATACAGCCTGTACTTTTTTAGATGTCTGACTTTTTTCACTCAACAACAGATTTGTGAGATTTATCCACAATGTTGTGTGGAGCAGTAGTTCATTCTTTCTCATTGCTGTATTGAATTCCACTGTATAAATACCCCACATTGTATTTTTCCATTCTACAATAGTTGAATATTTGGGCTGTTTCTAGATTAGGGCAATGGCAAATCTTCCTGCTACAAGCACTCTTGTATAGGTCTTTTGGTGATGTGTACGTACTGGAATTTGAGTTTTCAATCTTGGCCTTGTTGAAAAGAGAAGGCTCACTTCTCATGTAATTTTATGTGCAGGCACCTTGGATAAGCACAAGGAGTTGGAGGACCTTGTGGCTAAGTTCCTGAATGTGGAAGCAGCTATGGTCTTTGGGATGGGATTCGCAACTAACTCAATGAATATCCCAGCATTAGTTGGAAAGGTGAGAATTGTTAACCTAATTGTCTTCTACTGTATTACTCCTAAGAACTGTAACTCTGAGTAGGTCCTTGTTAGAAGTATGGCTGAGATGGGCACGGTGGTTCACGCCTGTAATCCTAGCACTTTGGGAGCCCAAGGCGGGCGGATCACGAGGTCAAGAGACCTAGATCATCCTGGCCAACATAGTGAAACCCCGTCTCTACTAAAAATAAAAAAGTTACCTGGGCATGGTGGCACGCACCTGTAGTCCCAGCTACTTGGGAGGCTAAGGCAGGAGAATTGCTTGAACCCAGGAAGTGGAGGTTGCAATGAGCCGAGATCGGGCCACTGCACTCTAGCCTGGTGACAGAGTGAGACTCTGTCTCAAAAAAAAAAAAAGAAAAAAAGAAGAAGTATGGCTGAGAAGGTTCTTTTCGTAGGAGAAACTGATTGGATATTGGTATTTTTGAATAAGTATGCCAGCTTAGTCCAGCAAATCTTGTCATGATATTGCTGATTATATAATTGCAGCCCTAGACATGGGTCAGAATTCATCTTCAATGACAGTTTAACAAAGCAGTCATAATTTTGGGCTCCTGAGTTCCCATCTGCAACTTCTCAGAGCTAATATTTATTAAGCATTTATTTGGACAAAATATTTGTCCTACATTACCCATTTATTTTTTCATTCAATAAACCAATTATTGAGAACCTACTATGTCCTCATATAAGGGAAGATACAAGACATACAAAGATGAACAAGACCTATGTATTTTAAATTTATGTAGTTTAGAGTCTAATGGGGGAAACAATATGCTGAATAAAATAGGACAAATACCATAGAAAAGGCATGCCCATATACGAGGAAGGACAAAGAGCTGCCCAAAACCCTTCCTGAGAAAGTCTGCAATGTCTGTGCAAAAGTGGTGAGAGGAGAACAGAATTTTAACAGATAAATAAGTTGAATTATTTAGGACACGAAGAGGGAACAGCATGTGTAAAATACATAGGTTTGGAGGAACTAGAATATGGAATGGTGGTCAAAGAAAAGACCAGAGATGAAAGCAGGTGCCAAATGGCAATGAGCCATGTAATGACAATCATGCTGGTGTTTGAAATTGTTCCTCAGAAAAAAATGGGAAGTTGGCTGGTTCATTGCAAGTAAGCAAGTACATTAATCAAATTTATGCCTTTGAAAATGTGTCTCATCACAACTACATGCAATGTATGGTCTTAGACTGGATTTTGCACCAAACAACATCAAACGAATGATAATGTCTATAAAAAGCTTAAGACATCATTAGAAAAGTTGGGGAAATTTAAATTTGAACTGTCTATCAAATGATAGTATTGTAGAAGCATTGAACTTCTTGGATGTGATCACTGAATTGTGATTTTTTATAGGAGAATGTCCTGTTCTTAGGGAAGGTGAGGTAGAGGCTTATAGATAACTCCTAAATGTTCCGCCAGAAAAATTACAAATATGCATATATCTAGAGTACAAATATATGGGAATTTTTGTGGCTTTTGCCTCAAAAAAACTCAAAGCATGCTGTATGTGAAACTACAGAAATATAATGGAGTATTCAAAGATTCTGGAAGACCACAAAAGACAAAGGTCCACCATAATTTGCCTGCATTTTTGGTATGCTTAAGAAGTTTTACAATTTAGAAATGTTTAGTTTAAAAAGAAGAATACTTTTACAAAGGGTAATTTACAAGCAGTAAGTTAGGCTGACTTTATCCACATACCTCAGACTGAATTGCCATCCATACTTCTCCAAATTCAAAGTTTTTGACTGTAAAACTGAAGTTTTTGCATACATGGGATGTTAATACAGTGGAAAATAAGAATCAGAAGTAAGAGCTTGAATTGTCCTGCACAAAAGACCCTTGCCTTTCAGGAAGAATAACTAAAACTGTTCCAAATAATCTCTCATGGAAGTGCCCCTACAAGTTCATAACCCACCCAAAAATCTACCAGTCTTCCTGTCAGAGATCAACACTTTAGGCTCTACCTGGTGCTTAACAAGGATCTTGGATGAACTTCTCTACTGAAAACTATATGCAAATGTCGCAGTGAACATGTAATCTCTTAAAACAATTCCCATCTCCATCAGCTAACTGCTATACATGATTTTGTCCACATAGACACCAGGTTAAACTCTTGGCCTTTTAAAATTAAAGTGAGTTTTAGAAATTGTGTTATAGGTTTTAGAGTGTCTTCCTGTCCCCACAAGTTGTTTTTCCTTGGTTTTATTTATTGGCTTGTGTTTTGTGTGCTTGTTTTCTGCACAGGGATGCCTCATTTTAAGTGATGAGTTAAACCACACATCGCTTGTGCTTGGGGCCCGACTCTCAGGTGCAACCATAAGAATCTTCAAACACAACAGTGAGTATCAGTGTATTTTCTCAACATGTACTGGATTGCTCCTAGAAGAAAGTAAAGATTATTGATGAGGCTTTGTTCTGCTCTTCAAGGTGACAACGTAGCCTCATGAAACACAATTATGTTTATATTCACTCCTGGCTTGTTAACCTCTGGTGACCTGGAACAAATGGTTGAAATGCATTAAACATCCAAATTGTTAAGTGTAACCCAAACACATTAATGTCACTGTTAGTGGTTTTGCAATGTGGCCTCTAAATACATGATTGATCTCTCAGGACTGCCATTTAATTATCAGAAGTGTTATTACTCTTCCCTTTCTACAGCTCTGCCTTGGGAAAGTTTGAAGACTTAAGTTTTGTGTTAAGGTCAGGTAAAAAATTAGCCTGTTCCTTAGAAGAATGCCTCCTTTCACTTTGCCCACCCACAGATGCTCAGATCCCCACCCAACAAAACCATCTATTCGACTTCATTGAAATGTCCTTTCAGGGTCTGGTTTGTGTGGCTGGGTGGTGAGGAGCAGGCAGAAGGCTATTTCTTCTTTTAGGGTCTTGATGAGGCAGCATGGAAATTATCAGGAAACACTTTGAAGGAGGTGGATGGTGGTGGACATCTGAGTTCTCTCGTCCAGCTCTGCTCCTGACTTACTGTGTCACTTTGTATAAATCCTTTCATCTTTCTTGCATTCATTTTCCTCATCTGTAAAATGAGGTGTCGAACTCTGTGATAGGTAAGGATCCTCCTGGTTGAAAGGTTTTGATTCTAATTTGTTATTGTCGTTGGAAAATTCCCTTCTTTCTGTGCATGTGTACATGCATGCACACACATGCACTCACACACATGCACACACGTGTACACACACAAATTTGTTTTCTCTTTCTTCCTTACCACCTTTCTCTCCTGCCTTCCCTTCCCCTTCATTTTTCCCTGTTCCTCTTTCCTAGCTCTCCCCTCCATCCTCCAAGAAGGTAACAAAGTTTGAAGTGACAAGAAGAAGGCTGACGGAGAACTGAGGAAGAATTGTTTCAATTCTGTTCTGCCCACCTCGCAGCAATCTTAAACCAAAGAACAATTGTCCCATGGGGGAGGAAAGAAAATGCATGGGAGTATTCTCAAGTGAACCCCCTTGTCTAACTCGTAGAGTTGTTCAAATGAAAAATCTATGGCTCTCACTGAGTGGGGTGAGGTCTGGCTATGCCTTACTGAGCCGCTTTCAGTAGCTATGTGAAGATGAACAGTTAGAGTGCAGTTCAGGACCAGACCTTCCAGAAGAGCCAAACTATGGCCCCCTCAGACTTATAGGGTGGCTATAACATCTGGCTTAATGTCATTCAAAATACACTGACCTCATTTGTCCATTTTGCATCAAACACTCAATTTCGGCTTTAGACTTGGATAAGCCAAGTTAAATTCTTTCAGTTCTGCCTGAAATATCATGGATTGTCACATCTAGACTCAAATCTTTGGCAGTGTTGGGAATTCATGTTTGGAGTAGACGTCTTTCAAGGCTCCAAGTAAGTTTATTAAGAGACTACAAGGAATGCCTTTGGTATTAGCACAAGTGTGTTGTGCCCTTTGATTCTTCAGCATGACAGATGATTGCTGATCAAAGGCTCTGCCTACTTGGCAAAGGATAAAGGGGATAGCTAGGCAGTCATTCAACTGTAGTTCCATCTATGTATGTGGTTAAACGTGATAATCTCACTTCCAGAGAGACGTAGTCGGGGTGTTATCTCTTTGGAACAGATCAACATGATCATCATCAATGTAAACCCCTTGTTTCTTCACTCCATTCTACTGCGTCAGTGCTCATAATGCTAGCTGCACAATAGTGGCATCTAGGGAACATCCATAAAAGATCAATGACTGTGCCCACCTCAGATCAACTCAGTCCAAATATCTGTCATATAGATAGATAGGTAGGTAAGCATACATACATATATAAATGACCAACTGGGAGACTAAACGTAAGCTTCATTAATCATTGACCAAGCATTCCCTATTCTCCAGCTTAAGGCTTTTAGGGTAGAAATCCTCCAAGATGACCATCACTGGGTTGGGGCCAAAACACCTGCATTTTTTTCTGAGTTCCCCAGATGATTATAATGTATACTGAGAGATATAAGACCTAGAATCTTATTTTTTGAACCTCCTTTAATCTAAGCTGTCCCCAGACCTTGCCAGTGTGCCCTGGGATATATCACCAGACACCTGCCATATTAATTATCCTCACTCTTCCTCTCTCTACTCTTTTACACTCTTGATCGAAAGTTGGCAGAGAATGTGTTCCAAGCCAACATTTATTAAGTGTTTATTATCTATTCTGATTCAGGCACTATGTTAGCCCTTTGAAGGACTATAAAAGTGATAAGTAATATCTTAGCTATCTGAGGGCTTGGAATCTAGTAGGAAAGGTAGATATGCATGCAAGTTACTGTATAAAGTGAAAAGGGCCATGATGACATCAAGCAGTGGTTAAGAGTATAGGCTTTGGCTACGGTGCTTTCTCACACCCACTAAAATAGCTAAAATTTAAAAGATGACAACACCAAATGTTAGCAAGGCTATGGAGCCACCACTAGAATGCTCACCCATTGCCTGTGGAGTATAAAATGGCACAACTTCTTTGGAAAGTTATTTGGCAAGGTTTTATAAAGCTAAACATACTCCTTTACTATGACCCAGAAATTCTATACCTAGATATTTACCCAAGAGGAATGAAAGTGTGTGTCCATTAAAAGTCTTGTACAAGAATGTTCGTAGCATCTTTATTCATAATAGCCAAAATCTGGAAACAATCCGAATGTCTACCAACAGGATAGTAGAAAAAACTATTATTTATTTATACAATAGAACACTACTCCACAATTAAAAAAAAAAAGCAACAAGCTACTGCTACACATAACATGGCTGACTCTCAAGAAAAATTATTTTAATTATTTTGAGTGAAATAAACCAGACACAAACGTGTATACATACTGTCTGAGTTCATTTGTAGTCAATTCAAAAATAGACAAAACTAATCTATGATGATAGAAATTATAACAATGCTTGTCTCTGGTTTGGAGGGAGGGAATTGGTGAGAAGAGGCATAAAAGAACTTTCTGGGGCAATCTTTTGATGGGGTGATGGTTACATTCTTATTTAAATTCATCGAATTGTACACTTAATATTTGTATGTTTCCCTGTAAGTAAATTTAAGCTAACAATATTATTATAATCATACAACATATATAAAATTAAAACCATTGCTCCAATATTTTAAAACAAAGTACAGGCTTTGACCCATGCATTTGTGTCCTCATCCTACAGCTTATTAGACTGTGAAACTGTGGTCCTAGACACACTACTTTACCTTCTGGATCTCAATTTTTCTATTCCAAAAATGAGGATAATTATGATACACAAATAATACTGTGGTTGGAAAAGGCATATAAGTGCTTAGCACAATGCCTGGCAATGGGAACTACTGAATTATTTGTAGCTGCTATGTTATTACTATTATTACCCTCGTCATTGTCATCAGTGTCACTAAGGGACAGTAGAAAACATTATGGAAAAATGAAGAGTCTATTTCTCCTTGGGAATTGCATAAAATGGATGGCATTTGCAGTAGATGCTGAAGGATTAAGATAATTCTAATCAGGGAAGAAGAAAAGATTATTTCAAGCAGAAAACTAATCTGGAGCATGCAGAGAGCAGCAGGACTTTCAGCATGACCTGAACAATCATGCTAAGAATGTATGTACTTCAAAAAGCAACAAAAGGCACCTGGGAGTTCTGCTTCTTACCATGCTGTTCCCCAGCTAAACTGGTTTTTCTCAAAACATTTAGTTGCCTTCTCCATATGTCTAGTAGAGATGGAAACAGAGACACAAGCTTTAAGTTAAAGCTTTGAACAGCACTGGATGAAAAAAAAATAATAATTCTGAAGATCGTCTGTCTCTACAGCAGTGTTCTCTTAGAATTTCTCTATTCTCTGTTTTTGTGTTGTTTTGTTTTGTTGTTGTTTTTCCATTTGCTATTACCTGGAAGTCATCAGTGAGGGGCAGATGGACCCTGTGTGTCTCCAGATATGATACCCTAAAAAGCCTTTGACATCATTTATATGGGATGCAGGTTAGAGCACTGAATCCTGTCACCAGACAACCCCAAATTAGGAATGTTCTATTTTTAAAAAGGGAATTGTATTCTCTAAACATGTCAATACCATAAGAGACAGTGAAAGGCTGAGGAAATGGCCCAGATTAAAGGATAAGAAAGAACAGTATCAGCCAAGTGCAATGGCGGGTCCTAGACTAGATTCCAAAAGAGACAGGAAAATGCATAAAGGAAATTACTAGGCCAGTTTGAAAAATTGGAAGATGCATGGTAAATTAGATAATATTAGATAAGAATAGTGTATCAACATTAAAAATACTGAAGTGGATCATTTCACCATAGTCCAGGGGTAGACAACTTATGACCTGTGAACTAAGAACACTTTTACATATTTAAAGCGTCGTATAAAGAAAAAGAAGACTACGCAACAGAGACTGTATGTGGTCCACAAAGCCTAAAGTAAAACTATCTGGCTTTTTTATAGAAAAGGTTTGCTGAATCCTGCTGTAATTGTATGAGAATACCCTATTCTTAAAGGGGAGAATACCCTATTCTTAAAGAAGACACATTGAATTATTTAGGGGTAAAGACCATGATATATGCAACTTTGTCTTAATTCAGGGAAACAATTGTGTGTGTGTGTACACACACATTTAAACACAGGTGGACAGACATAGCTATAAATATGCATAGACGAGATGATTAAGCAAATGGGATAAAGTGTTAATAGGTGAATCTAGGTTAAAGTAAGTGGGTGTTCTTTGCAGTACTCTTATTCTTGGAATTTTTCTATTACGTTTCAAATTATTTCCAATAAAATTTTCCCTTAAATTCTTAACTTTTTGCTGAAATTACAATTTAAGGGTTAAATTTTATCTCCCAATTTTACAAAGCTCTCAAAACATTCAGTAACTTATTCTTCATGCCCTCCCTTTGTACTCATGAAAAATAGATAATAGTTACTATCTCTATCCTAACAATGAATGTTAGCTGTTGTTATTTAGACTAGCAACTAACATTTATTGAGAAAGTCCTCTGTGCCAGATGCTGAGGTAATGGCCTTCTCTAATTTATTTAGCCCTGTGAAGAATTCCATGAGGTAGGAACTGCTTTACAAATGAGAAGATTCAGGCTTAGAGTTATTAAGCAACTTGTCCAAGATCATACAACTGATTAATAGTGAAGCCTGGAGCTATCTGGGTAAATACTGCCCTTCCCAACTAATTGAGAATTGGGTGCAGCTAGGGTCAGAGTCTGTCCTCTAACCCATGGGAGTCTATTATGCCTGAGCTGCTGTTGCTCTTCTGCTCTCTTTGGTAGGAAAAATAATGCTCACCCTCCAAAGACGTCCATGCCCTCATCCCCAGAACCTACAAACATTATGTTGCCTGGCAAAGGGAATTCAGGTTGCAGATGGAATTCAGGCCGCAAAACAGCTAACCTTAAAGAGACTATCCACGTAGGTCTAGTGCAATCATAGGGTTGTTAAATGTGGAAAAGAGTGGCAAAAGAGTGAGGATCAGGGCAATGCAATGTGAGAAAGACTTAAAGAGCCCTTGCTGGCTTTGAAGATGAAAGAAGACCACAAGCTAAGGAATGCAGGAAGCATTTCCCTAGAAGCCGGAAAAACCAAGGACATGGATTCTCCCCTAGAGCTTCCAGACAGAAATACAGCCCTGCCAATATCTTGATTTTCACCCAGTCGAACCCATTTCAGACTTCTGACCTCTAGAACTGTAAGATAAGTTTGTGTTGTCTTAAAGTCACTAAGTGTATTCTAACTTCTTACAGCAGCAATAGGAAACCACTAGGCTTTCATTCACAGGTGCACAGAACCCTTGTTCCCACACACCCACATGTTTAATACAACTTTGAAACACGAGCATATTCTGCTGCTGTTGTATTTACATCACAAAAACAGACCCCTTGAGAGCAGTTATTTCCAGGGTCCTCTGAATGACTTCTTTCTTGAGAGGTGAGGGAAGCAAGAAGTATAAGGACAGGGAAAGAACTGAATGGAGTTATAATATGTACAGCATCAGATGCTGCTGGCTCTGTTTCTTGCTCTGCTATTCCCAAGATAATACTAACTGCTTTAGTATGCAGTGATGTCTTAATCCTTCATATGCATCCACACAGATTGGACTGATAATACAGGGATTGTTTAGGATCTGCAGAAACTGTATGTGCATGACACACACAACCAGTCCAGATAGAAGCTAATAACTTGTGAGACAGGTTTTAAGAATGGCCACCTGCACCAGAGCATTCTTAAACAATGGGATTGTGGAATTTCATGCAACTCTAAACTTGTTCTGCTCTCACAGACTGTCCTCTGCTTCATGTCCTCTCCTTACACCTTAACAATACTCTTCTGCCTGTTGGAGAGGAGGAGGTTCTATTTTTTAGCAGTACCAATGGAAGTGGACATCCTTTGTTATTTAAGCCAACTATAAATGAATCAGAATTCTGGGCCCTTGGATTTTTTAATTCTCTGTAGGAAAAAATACCTAAGATATACTTAAACCTACTCAGACCATCATAATAAACTTTTAAGCCTGTGTAAATAGGCTTGACCATTAACTCCAAAGCTATTCATTATTATTCTCTCTCCATTTCCCACAAAGCCAGAATGAATACCTGAGAAGACTAAATAGAAGGAAAGTTCTGCAAGGGAGCAAAATCAGAACACCGAAAGTCTATTTCCTAAAAAAACAGGAAAAGACTCAGAAGTGCATTTTTAGTGATGCTAAATTCAAAACTGGGTACTAGAGCCAGGCCTGGTGGCTCATATCTGTAAGCCCAACTACTCGGTTAGCTAAGATGAAAGGCTCACTTAAGGCCAGGAGTTCAAGACCAGCCTGGGCAACATAGCAAGACCTCATTTCTTAAACAATAACAACAACAACAAAAAAAACACCTGAGTACCAGAATCTTTTATCACCATAGATTAGTTCTTCTATAATAGTACATGTGGATAATAGCTGAGTCATAACTACTCTATCATTTATTCAGCTTTCACTGGTATTAAGTTCTTAGCTAACTGGTTCATTTAATTTTAACAGCAACCCAGATACAGAGTTCTTTTCATTATCCTCATTTTATTAAAGAGAAAACTAATCCTCAAAGTGATTATATGACCTGCCTAAGGTCAGGCAAATGATAAATCACAGGGGTCAAAATGCAGACCCAAGTCTGTTGCTTTTGTCTTGGTTTGCTTCCCCCAGCAGCAGACCTTGAGACACGGATGTAATCACAAGTCACTTATTCAGAAAGTGATGCCAGGAAGCACCAGTAGGTGAGCAGGGCACAGGAAGCACCAGTAGGTGACCAGGGCACAGGAAGGCAGCCAACATGGTGCATTGTCAAGCAAGTGACCAGAGTGGACAACAGGACCTCGATTCTACTAGGAAACTCTGGGTGCCAGGATAGATAACTCACTGTTATCCCTACCTGTGGGCTGAGGGAGCTGAAGTATTTACCCACAAATTCCCATTTGTGACTGATTGAAGGCTGCTCCCTAATCAGGCTATGTTCCCACAGCCAGAAAAAGAGCTCTTAGGCAAAGAATGGCCTGTGTTTGCATGAAGAAGCTGGGCTGAGAGGGTATAGGCAGGATGTGCACAGCACTTGTTAACACTCTTAACCACTAGCTGAGTCCAGCTATTTGCTGCCAGGCCATATGTAGGAGTCAGAAAGCTATGGTCCCTTGTGTAAAACTCAGTCCAGTGTGATGGCTAATGGAGCCCTATCCTGTTAGTAGCCTCAATTTCAATTCAGAATGCTGAAGTTTGGCCTCTGCATTCTTGCTCGCTGAGTATTAAAAAGATCTCTTTGCATTTTCTACTGTGGGCAGCTTCAGGGACATAGCCAACCCTCAGGCTGCCCTTGTGCTATCCAGCCATTCTCCAGCCATTTCACGGCCTCAGCTACAGAGTCAGCTGCAACCAGGAACCAACACATTTGTTCTCCATGGTGTTTCTGGTGCATTTTGAGGAAATGAGCAAATAATGAAATTATTTTTCCCCAATATTTCTCAGGCTTTCATATGCACACGAGGTACTTGGGGGCTCTTGTTAAAATGCAGACTCTGAGTGAGCAGGTCTGGGTGGGGGCCTGAGATCCTGCATTCTGACAAGCTCCTGGGTGCCGCTGCTGCTACTGCTGCTGCTGCTGTCATGCAGAACCACACTCAGAGCAGCGAGACTGCAGGCAACCTCGGTCCTCAAGTGAGTCACTAAGACTTTCTTAAGCTAGCCTCGGAGAAAAGCTGTTTCTTCAGCTTAGAGAGTTGTCATGAGGTCAGAGGTCCAGGCAGGTCAAGAATTTGGAGTAGTTTAAAAGAAAAAGTGGAAAGGAAGAACCAAAACTCTGCCTACTAAAGACCAAGAGGAGGAAGAAAAAGAAGGCCAGTGTTTGCCAGAAAACTCTGAGCACTACCTAGTCTGCAGAACAAGGGCTCGAGAGGTTGTTTAAGTAAAAAGTTAAACCCGTAAACATGGCTTAGACTACTTTGCAAGCCATGATCTTTTATATTTCAATGTCCAACTTGGATTTCTAAACTAGGTTGCTTAATAAAGCCAGCAATTGCCTCCCTATCTTTTAATGATAATTAAAAGGTATTGAGCCTTCATTGTAATGAGCCATTTACATTCACCAACTCATTTTAGCCTCATAACTACAAAATGAATCACCTGCTACTCTTATCTCCTTTTTGACAGATGAAGAAGAAACATCTATAAAGTGGTGAAGTGACTTAGATACACAGAGCTAGTAAGAGTCAGAGCTGGTAAACCTAGGAAGTCTGACTCCAGAGTCTCCGTTTTTAAGCATGACACGCTACCTCCTTTCCTGGCCTTTTCTACCCTCTGTTTGCCCCTGGATGGCAGAGTGATGAATGTAATACTTGGTAGCCTCCATCTCCCGTACACCTCTCCCAGGGCCAAGGCAGTTTTGGTTAGGTAGATGCTGCCAGCACCCACCTGACTGAGAATCCTAACCACTGGGCTCCTACACTGTTCCCTGAATCATGTCTCACCTTGGTGCATTGAGCCCCCTCATTTAGAGATCCCATCTCAGTACTTTGTCTCATTCCACAATCTCCTTCCTGAGGATCAGAATCCTATGCATTACATCAAGCCCAGAGCCCAAGCCTATTGGACACCCTGTCCCTGGTTTCTAGGTTCTGCCTGTCCTTCATCTCATGCCTACAGAGTCAAAAGTTGCTGCAATTACCCCCTCCCCCTGCAGGGTAAACAGGCCCTGTCCCTAGCACCTGCCTCATCCATAAGCCCAACCCAGGTCACCTGCTCTCAGCTGTCTTTTGCACTCTTCCAAGAAGATCCCTTTGCTTCTTTCAACTGCCTAAGGCTGTGCGACATCTATCCACATGTTTAAAGAGCCATCCAGAAAACCTGAGCCAAAGTCCTTGCACAATCTGCTTTATAAAACTTAAAGGCACCAGATTTTCAGTCAAAAATGCCCTCTGTGATCTCATGGAGAACAGACCCCATAAATGTGACTTTCAAAAAATAATTGTTTTGCTTGACAAAATTGGTCATTGTGATTTTGTTTCCGCCGAAAGGCTAAAAAAGGGGGACAGTCCTCCCCACCACCATCTTAAAAGTAAGAATAATTTCTTTGTCATCATTCATAGCTATTTAAATACCCGCTACTTACTATTTCACATTTGGGCTGAATCTTGAAGGATGAAACTGCATGTCCAAAGGAATAAGAGGAGTGGATATAGAGATGGGGGGTAAGGGACTAGGAACAGTAAAAAGTGACATTCATTCATCATCCATCCATCTTTTCATTTACAAAATATGAGTGCCGCTGATAGGCAGACACAAAAATATTTTTGCTGAGCAACCCAGAGAGTAGGGAACCAAAGGGTGTCTCTAAATGCAGATGAAAGTAGTTTTTGTGGGGTCATGGATGACAAAGAATAAACCACCAACCACACCAGGAGCATATGGAAAGTGGAGGCTGAGTTTCAGCCCCAATCTCGCATTCCTGGATCCATAGGAGAGGGAGCAGGGGCACTGAGAAATGGGCAGTGAGTGAAGATCTCACAGTAGATCTAGGCCTTTGGAAAACCCACAGCTGCACAAGAGAAGAGAAAGGAGGAAGCCCTGATGTATGCAACAGTGTTGCCATTTGACAGTGAAATAAGAGGAAAGCTAAATGTCTGGGTTTTTTCTTCCGGAAGACACACTATGAACTATGCCCTACCTTCTTGGAAGATTCTGGGTCCCTTGCTGCCTTGTGCTTTCTTTTCACAAAACTGCATCTTCAGCTTTTCCAGATCCAGGAGGCTTGCTATTATTAGGGTTTTGAATGTAAGAACAGGCACAGGCTCAGGCTGGCTAAGAGCATTTGTCACCTAAGCCTGATTGTAGCTTTGGACACATAGTTGGATTATTCCAAGTATTTAGTAATTCAGTAATCCAGTTAACTATGCTGGCAAAAGGCTAGGACTGTTTTGCACTAGGCACCAGAACATGGTCTCCACATTTTCATTTCTTATAGCTAGATATTTATAACCATCTGATAGGGTTTGGCTGTGTCCCCACCCAAATCTCATCTTGAATTGTAGCTCCCATAATTCCCATGTGTTGTGAGAGGGACCCAGTGGGAGATAATTGAATTATGGGGGCGGTTCCCCCTATACTGTTCTCGTGGTAGTGAATAAGTCTCACGAGATCTAATGGTGTTATAAAGGTTTTCCCCTTTCACTTGGCTCCCACTCTCTCGTCTGCCATCACGTAAGATGTGCCTTTCCCCTTCCGCCATGATTGTGAGGCTTCCCCAGCCACGTGGAGCTGTAAGTCCATTAAACCTCATTTTCTTTATAAATTACCCAGTCTCAGGTATGTCTTTATCAGTAGCGTGAAAATGGACTAATACACCACCAAACCAGCTCAATCCTTTTAGTCCTCTACAAACCAAAAGAAACCTCCTTAGTGAGTCAAATTTTGTGCTGAGTAACACCAAGGCATTATTAATGCTCAAATAGTGGTCATTTTAAGTCCGTGGTGTGTCATTGTGACTCAAGAACCACACTGTACCATAGCACCGTGTGTGTGTGCCTAGATGGTGTCAAAATTATACTTTTATTTTAATTTCCGTATCTCAGAATTTTCTTATTAAATCAACAAGAACAGGTTTGTTTGGAGGGCTTTTGTTTGGGGAACTTTTTTTAACAAAACTTCTGGCATTGTTTTTTTCATCTGCAAAAAACAAAAACCTAACAGTCCTTCCCTACTTCTCAGAGGTGTCATGGGGATTAACATAATGCAAGTGTAAGTGCCTTAATAAGCATCATTATTTTAAAAAAAATCCCTTGCAGATGTAAGCATGCAGCTTGCTGAAACGGTAGAATCCCATAAGGCCTACAGAACATAAATCACAATCCCTTAAATCTGCGGGTTTGTAACCCACGCACTGTAGCCTTGTAGAACGACAGAGAACCAGAGAGGAACATGCCAGGGGCTAAGGTGGGGCCAGAATCCAGGCCGAGCGCAGTCTTCCCTTTTCCTGTGTAGCTTCTGTGATTCTAAGAGGTCGGAGAGTTCATCCCCTGCAGGAGGAAAAAAAAAATGGCTAATTGATTTTCCTTCTGCTCAAGAATCCTGGTGTGTTGACCCTGGGGGGCTGTGAACTCCACCAAAAGCCACTCCCATGGCTATCTCCATTCAAGTCAAACACAACGAAGTCCCTGACTTGGAAAAGACTGGGATTCCTCTTGCTTCCCTCCGCAAAATGTATAAAACACAGCGCGGCCACCGAAAGTCTTGTTTTCATGTCTTGCGTGTTATTTTTAAAAATGGAGAAAAGCTTCTCTTTAGGACTCGTGGTGTTCATTTTAAAATTCTGGATTAATCCATCGTGTTTATGTGACCTTTTTGGTGCAAAAACAACACAGTGGCCTCTGAATTTACATATTTTTTCCAAATCTTAGAATATTCATTTTAAAATGACTACTAATTTAGTTCACTTGGGTTTAGTTTTTATTCCAGTGTCGTCGGAGCCACATTTACCATCTATCATTTCTGCACAAAAACTTATAAATTCCAAGTCCCAAAGGGAAAACATTCTTAACAGGAATGCTTTTATTCACCATCTCTTTATTCCATTCAGAGGATTTGGTTATAGAAGATGAATAATAGTATAAAATATTATAGACATAATAAATAAAAGATTATAGGAAAGGAAGACTGGTTCTCCAAGTCGCAAGGTTTTCTTCAATATTTTAGGAACTCTGCCTAAAGCAAAAGTGAAAAGAAGATACCCAAATAGGTGAAAGTTTATTAACTGAAAATTTCAAAACAAGAAAGCCGCTTTTTGTTTCCTTGGCTGCCATCTAGTGGTTAATAATGTACGCTAAAACACGCTCTTGGGAACGTTCAAAAAATATCTATCTGCTCGTTTTAAAACAAAACAAAAGATACCATCAATTTTTGAAAATATATTGCAGGTAGGAGATATTTATCTTTTCTAATAATTCTTATTTCTATCCACAAGTGGCATTTCCTTGCCTGTCTCCTAGTCTACGTTCTTTCTCCAGGAAAAGAACATTGATGCAATTATTAGGTAATGATTGAGCCTAGTACTGTGTACTAAGACTAGGGCGAGAAGGATGAGGACGAGGTCCCTGACTTCATGGAAGAGAGACATGAAAGCAAAAAACGAACATCGCGATGAGTGCTTAAAAAATAATAGACAAGTCGGGAGGGACACCAAGGAGGAAGCCCTTAACTCTGTTCTGTATTATTGACGAGAAGAGTTTGGGTTAAGACTTCAGTGATGAGTGAGCATTCTCCAGACAGACAAGAGGAAAAAAAGCATGGAGGAGAATCAGGAGGCTGTGTGTTGGGGGATGTTGACAAACTATGTCAGAAAGACAGGCAGAGGCTATATCAGGAAGGGCCATTCGAGATTGTATTAGGCAACTATTACTGGAACAAACCTCAGTTGCCAATAATAATCAGCAAGTATTTCTCACTGGAGGCTGCAGGTGAGCTGGGGTAACCGTGCCCTACGTGCCATTAATCCTCTCCCAGGGCCAACCTGAGACCAGGGGGCTAGCCTGGGCATTTTCTTTTCCTGTCACTAGCAGAAGCACAAGAGAAAGAGTAGAAATGCATAAGACCTCTTCAGATCTAGGTTTGGAACTAGCAAACTGTCTCTTCTCTGTATTCCGTTAGCCAAAGCAAGTCACTTGGCTGAACCCAAGCCAAGGGGCAGGGAAACGTTCTCCACTGGTGAGAGGAAAGGACTGCAAAGTCACAGAAGAAGGAACTCAAATGAGGTGGAAAATGGGCCAGTAATGTAGTCTGCAGCAAGTTCCATCTTGGAAATGGGTTTGAGGTTCCCATATTTGTCTAAAAAATGGTAAGAAAAACATTATATCGATCAAAGTAGAGGTCTCGCTTTGCGTTATGGGTTCCAGACCCCAGGGATACTGAGCATACAAACGTCTGGGCCCTGACCCACACCAACTGATTCAAAATCTCTGAGTAGAAATTTCGAGAATCTGCATTTTAACTGGTTACCCAGATGATTATTTCTATTCATCCTGAAGGTTGAGAACCACTGGAAGATTAATGAGAAAATAGAAAAAAAAGTCAAGGAGAAAACATAAAAGGAAAATGGGTTAAAAGAGGAAATAGTGCTCACAAAGAATACTAGAAATAGTGGGAAAAGGAATAAGAAAAACTAATGAAAAATGGTGTCCAGATGGCAGAGGGAAGAAGCTTAAAAGATAAGTGTGTGTTGAATTGTGTCAAATGCTGCCCACGGTCAAGTAGAACAAGAACTGAAGAAAGCTCTGTAAATTTGTCAATTAGGTAATATTATGTGAAAAGAACACAATAGTGATGCCAGGATATCAGGAGGCCTGTTTTGCAGATAAAAAGAGAAAAAAACAAAGAAAAGGAAAGTGGCATGAAATAAAACAAAGATCCACCATTCTTCCAATTCTTCTTTCACGGGTCCTTACGATCTTGGTGAAATTGATTAATTCCACATTTAAACTGACAAAGCACCTAAAGAGTTAGTTTCTGGCTAGTGATTAAAGAAAGGAAAGGAAAATGACCTTTTTTTTTTTTTTGTATCTGTTGGTTCTGATAACATGCCAGATATTATTGGTAGCATACAGGTAGCATACTATATCTAATACCTAAGGCTTTATATATTTGAATAAAGAATTATTCCCTTAATTCTTCATTATTTCATTATATATTTCCTTTATTTTTTCATTATTTATGTGATGTTTTCTTAAGGATGTTAAAGGAAGTCAAATAGTGTATTAACACTACTGTTTGGATTTCCAAGAGATCTTGCTAGTATGCAGCATCTTATTCATGTCACATGCTTTTTCTGAATTTCAGGACCCGATACCCAGTCTCTAGTGGGTGGATGCTGAGGACAGCTTGGAAGGTGCCATGCTAACAGGGGCCTCTCAGAGATGAGGTTCTGATATTGCACTATCAAATTCTGACTTGTCCTATCCCACTCCAAGTCATAGGAAGTCACCTTTATTTAAATGTGGTTTGCTTAAATGTACTTGATAATTAAAAAGAAACACACACACACAAATATATTCACAACTCTATTTCAAAGAACTATCTTGTGGCCTCATTGAATGTGGCAGAG
Organism: Homo sapiens; assembly: GCF_000001405.40. NCBI lineage: Eukaryota > Metazoa > Chordata > Mammalia > Primates > Hominidae > Homo > Homo sapiens. The sequence continues at coordinate 13,108,335 of NC_000020.11, forward strand.
TTGCAGTGTGGAAAAGTTAATGCAGCCACTAATGCATTCACTCAGCTTTGGGGGAAGCCCTAAAACAGATCTGAGCACAGACTGGAGACTCAAAGACAAAGTTGAAGGGCTCTCCATTGAGACCAAGAACTGCAGCTAATTTGAGCCTAGACCAGTGAGTGATAAGCCAATGCACATACGCTTCTTGAGAGCTTTGTCTGTAGTGGTCAAAACCAGTACTGACTATGCAGCTTTAGATTTATCTTTTTTTTTCACTTTGAGACAGAGTCTCGTTCTGTCACCCAGGCTGAAGTGCAGTGGTGTGATCTCGGCTCACTGCAACATCCGTCTCCTGGGTTCAAGCAATTCTCCTGTCTCAGCCTCCCAAGTAGCTGGGATTAGAGGTGCCTACCACCATACCCACTTAATTTTTTGTATTTTTAGTAGAGACTGGGTTTCACCATGTTGGTCCCGAACTCCTGACCTCAAAGATTTAGCTTTGCTAGATGTCACCTTTTGTGAGCATTTTAAATGGTGTTTCTAATGCCTGGTGAACATTGCATAACAGTCAAGCCAGCAGTTAAGTAGCATCTCCATCTTTTAAAATTAAGATTGGATTCTGGACCTAAGTATTTCAGTTTCATCTTCTCAAAAAAGGGAAAGCTTAGGAAATGCAAAAAATACACAGTACAAATATAATCAGTCTAAAAAATATGCCCATAAACCTCGGCCATTTTTTTCTTGCTAGGCTTAAATGTTAAAAACAAAATAATACACACACATGTACATATATACCAAACAGCTAGGTTGGTAGGCAAGTTCTTCTAAATGACCTCTCAACCCAAGCCCAGTCATCAACCTCTGATAGCAGATAAATGAATTGTCACTATTGATTATATTTGACATTAGAAGTTAACAAGATTATTCTGCCAGACATTCATCCTCCCTTGTTCTACATCACCATTTCATTTGAGAAGAAGGGACAATGGCTTTCACATAAGGCAGCAAAGGGTAGTGTTACAAATGTGGATTACAGTACAGACTACATGGGTTCAAATCCTGATTCTGTTGCTTATGATAGACCTCAGGCAGTTTACTCAACTCCTCTGTGTCTCAGTTTCCTGAACCACAGAATGGAAATGCTACTAGTACTTCCTCCAGATGGTTCTTATGAGGATTAAATGAGGTATGACAAAAACTGAGCTTAGAAGGGTGCCTGGCACACAGATAGGGCTCAATAACTGTGAGCTATTATTGTGTTCAGAGATCCCCAAATATTTTGAAAAAGAGGCTTAATTGTCCCACTGCTTTAAAGTTTTGAAACTTCTAAGACTGGGGGATGTCAGAAATCAAGGCTCAAAGTGTAGGAAGTGAGATCCGTGCAAACTCAGCTAAACTCTAACATGCTCATGTCTACACGATTGATGAGTGGTATTAATTATGTCTCTCAGAGTTCATTTCAGCCTGCAACAAAGCTTAGACCTAAGAGATGCATTTAACGTAGAATTTCAATCTCTCTAAGGCAGGCGGGGAGAGCCTTTAAGAGCCTAGGAAACCATGCCCCACTGGTGAGAGTTTACTCTGCCTACTTGTACAAATCCAACTATTTGTCTTGTCAGAGTTAAGTTCTACTGAAAAATAGACCTCTGTCTCTCTCTCCCTAAGGGTTCTCTGATTCTGAATTTGTTCTCTGAAAGTTTAGGTCTGAGTGTGAACATAAAACATCTGGAAAAAGAAAGTGGAAAAGGAAAAGTAAACCCTTTCATGACTCAATTTTTTTTTTTGGTATTATTTAAAGACACACAAAGCCTAGAGAAGCTCCTGAGAGATGCTGTCATCTATGGCCAGCCTCGAACCCGCAGAGCTTGGAAAAAGATTCTCATCCTGGTGGAGGGTGTCTACAGGTATGTAAATAACAGGACACATTTTACGACTCGGAGGCCTGCAGCAAGCTGACCAGTGCGGAAAGGCTCACCTTTCCTAGCTAAACAGAGAAATGACTTAGAATTGGTTATATGACACAGGGACCTGAGACAGAGCCACCAATGGGAGCTGTCAGACGTGGGTTATCTGTCTTTTTGATGACTCTATATATGGCACAGCAGCTTGGAGGCTGGCCGGCTTGTGAAGGCTTCCTCAGAAATATCCTCTCAAGGCATTGCTAACTTGAGTTGATCTTTCCACTACCTTTGACTGCCCCAGAGTTTCAAAGGCGTTTCGCAGCTGGGTTATTCAAGATCAAAACACTCCTTGCCTTTATGACTGGTAGAAATTGTTGATGGGTGGCCCGGATGCCCCTACCTGGACAGCACGCCCAACCCCCAGCTGCTTGCTGAACTTTGTTAGTGATTGCCATCAATACAAAAGATCTGCCTGTTTTCCCCAAGGTAGGAGTAACCTGGGGTGCAATTCTTGTTCCAGAGCCAGCGGGTAGGAATGGGCTGATGTCTAGTCCATAAGCCAAGGAGACATTATTTCAGAGTGCCCAATCCTGAATCAATTCTCAAACAATCCTGACGTTAGGCAAATTGAGGGGGATATCTCCTATAATGATAGAAAAGTGAAAAATATTAAAAGGAAGGAAGTGAAGGCTGTTCAACTTTAAGACAAGGAGGAGTGTGGCTACAAAGGAGACTTGAGGATAGACATAGGATTTCTTTCAGCCCGCTAATCTCATTAGTCCCTGAGTGCACATTTTTTCTGCTGCATGAGTGGATAATGAGCAGCAGCAGAAGTGTGCCTTTATTCCTTTTAAGAAAAAAAAAGTGAATTCTCCCAACTCTAAAATAATAATAATAAGAAGCTTGGTTTCATTTTATTTTTAACATTTTTAACTCCAGTACTTCTGCCCCCATGGTTAGGGTTCTGGATGTTCCCAGTCCTACTGTGGGAAATGCAAAGTTTGCATTTCCAGTTTCTACCAGCTCACTTTCTGCATCACCTACCATTACCTCCTCCAGCCAGCCCAGAGAGTATGTACTGTTGATGAAGTCTTTGGGAGCACTCTAGACATAGTAGTTCTCCAGGGTGAGCTTGTCCTTGCCCCAGCCTAGGCACATTTGGCGATTTTCAGTCATTATAACTGCAGTAGTGTGTGACTGGCATATGGTGGACAGAGGCCAGGGATGCTGCCAAGCATCCTACGATGCATGGGACAGCCCCTACAACACAGAGTTATCTAGCTCAAAATGTCGATAGTGCTAAGGCTGAGAAAACCTGTTCTGGTATAACTGACAACTCGTAGGCCTTAACTTGCAATTTTAAGAAATAATCTCATATTGACTCTGGGCTGTCATAACCTCAAGCATGGATCTTTTTCCCTGTGTGATTTGTGCCTGCTGCCAGCCTGGGAGGGGAGCAAATAGCCCTTATCTAAACACCTGTCATTCAGGCCTAGATTCGTGGGAACACAGATCAGCTGAGAGAGAGCAGACTGGGCATCTCCTTTAAGCAGAGTAAACAAAACCCAACTGCAAATAAATAGAACTTGGCTCCAGTAAATGAAAGTTAGGTCTTAACCATTTTGATCATGGCTGAAATTAAGTAGACAACTGGCATTTTACTGGCAAATATTCCCATCAGCTACACAGAGAAACAACTCCAGCAGCAGGGCTTCTTAGTGGCCATGCCAGGCGCCTGCATCCCACCACTTCAGAAGGACAAGGGACCCAGGTGTGGACTTCCAGCTCCAAGCCAGAGTGGTACCAAACCACAATTTTGGTTGCACTAGCAATAGTGACTGCTCAGTTACCTATTGCCATGTAACAAACCACCCAAAGCATAATGGCTTACACAGCAATGATTTATTATTTCCCACGCTACCGTGGGTTGTGTGGACCAACTGGGCAGTTCTTCTACTCCACATGGCATTGGTTGGAGGCCTCTCATGGAGGCCACTTCATTCAGCTGACACTTTGTCTGGGGCTGGAACATCCAAAATTACCCCACTTGCACATCTGGCCCTCGGTACTGGCTCTCACCTGGAGTGCCATGCTCTCTTCCACACAGCTTTCTCTATAGATAGTCTCTTCTCATTCTGTAGTCTAGCCAGAACTCCCTTACAACGTGGTGCTGGCTTCCAACAGAGCAAAAGCAAAGGCTGCCGGCACTGAGACATTATCACTTCTGCCCTGACCCATTGGCTCAAGTACATCATGAGGCCAGCCCCGATTCAAAAGAAGGTGAAATAGACCCTACCCCCTGATGGAGGATCCACTTGTATGTATAAGGATGGGAAGCTTTGCAGGCAGCCATCTTTGGAAGCCATCCACCACAGTGGCTCAATCAACCTGGTGATGACACAGAGTGAAGTCCCCACTTTCCAAGAATTTTCCTTCACAAGAAAGTTCCTTTCATTTCACCCACACAGGAATGTTGACTTTAAATGAGACCAAGACCTAAAAGGCCACATTCACAGATAGGTAACAGGGCATCTCTTTGACAAGCCTCAATCGCTCTTGGGGGCTTCAATTTCCTCATCTGTAAAATAAAGATAGCCTAGAGTTGAGTTCTACAGCCTTAAACCTCAAAGGAAAAGCCTTTATACAGGTGTTCTAATTTGCAACTATCACCAGATATTTCCCATAAGGCCAGGTGCAGTGGCTCATGCCTGTAATCCTATCACTTCGGGAGACCAAGGCAGGTGGATTACTTGAGGTTAGGAGTTCGAGACCAGCCTAGCCAACAGGGTGAAACCCCACCTCTACTAAAAAGACAAAAATTAGCCAGGTGTGGTGGTGCACTCCCATAATCCCAGTTACTGAGGAGGCTAAGGCACAAGAATCACTTGAACCTGGGAGGCAGAGGTTGCAGTGAGCCAAGATCATGCCACTGCACTCCAGCCTGGGAGACAGAGAGAGACTCTGTCTCAACAACAACAACAACAAAAAATTATTTCCCGTAGGATTTTCCAAAGGAGGGTTAGGAATGTGAAGTCAATAGTTCACAAATGCACTCCTACTTTTCGGAGGTATATTAGGAATGCATATCTTGTTGGTACCTACACAAAGCCTCCTTTGAATTTTAACTTCCAGATTTTTTCTCTTGCTTATGGTCTGCCACCATGGGTAAAGCACCCCCACATACATCAGCACAGAGCCCACATACATCAATTTTTTCATAACCCCCAAAGAGAGCAGTCAGCCAAATCAGAAAGTTTCAGGGAGATATCAAGATAGAAAAGGCTAGATACCCAGTCTGAGAAGTCAGACAACTCCACAAAACTAATAATAATAATGTCACCATTCATAGGTATTATTATTCATATGTAGAATATAGAGGAGTCAGGATTTGGAGGCAGGCCTGGGACCTAGGTTCAAATCCTGGCATCACCACCTACATCTGTGTGGCCTCCATAGGGTACTTTGGTAATAATAAATATTCAATGAGGTCATATAAGCTAGTGTTGGCAGAGGCCCAGCCCATAGAAAGCTCACAACCAAGAGTGGCTGTCTTTATTGTCACATTGATTTTCAGTCTAAGAAGTTGCAACTCAGAAAACAATAAGTCATCTATGTTGCAAGGCTGTTTGCTCTTCTTCCATCCAGAAAGTGGCTGTTAGAGAAAGAAACTCACACTGACCATGTGTCTACTCCTTGCTAAACATTTCCCATGTGCAGCCTTGAGTAAGCCTCCAAGTATTCCTGAAGTTATTGTGAATATGAAGAAATTGAGGCTCCGAGGCTTAGATTACTTGCCCCAGGACAGATAACCGAGATGAGGCAGAGCGGGGATTAAAACCAGGTGGCCCTGATGGGACAAAGGCTCAATGTAAATAGAAGAGTCAGCCCATGTGTCCACATCCAATGAAGTAAACATGGAAAATGCAAGATCACCCATTTGACCTTTACCATTAACCTATCTAGGCCTCAGTTTCTTCATCTGTAACACAGGGGCATTGAAACGTAAAACCCAAAGTTTCATGAATGCATGATTTGGGGTTTAAAACTAAAATAGTATTATTTCAGTGTTCTGAACTGTATGTTTTCATTAAGTATCATTTTAAAATCACATTTTCTAATTTCATGTCTCTGAGAAGTCTAGATCCCTTATCAACTCATAGTGGTTGAGAATCTCAAAATTATTCAAAAATATCCTTGAGGTGTGGTGTCCCAAATAACCTGGGACATAAACTAGCATAGCTGGAGCACTAACTTTCAAAATAAAATTAATCAAGGAATAATAGTCAGCTCTTCTAAAACAAATACATATATAAACATATGCACATATGCTGTAGCCTCAGAATACCATTTACTCTAAGAATGTAAGCTATTCTCCTATGCTCAAAATAATGTAAATTTAAGGATTGAGAACTTCAGTGGTAAACTGTCACCTGTATCTCTATGGTTTAAACAAATAAAGAAAAGAATAAGAAAACATTTGTTACTTTACTTTTAATTGACCTTAACTTTCTTTTTCTCTCTTTCCACCTTGCTTTCTTGTTTTGAGTTACACTTTGGGCCCACCAAGGAGATTTTTCCACCATGTGAGTTAGCTAGCCGGTGGTTTAATTCTCCATCTGCCAGTGGCTAATATGGTTTATATGTGGAGGGAAAAGTGGTGAGAGGGAGATTTCAAAAAGGAGGCTTTTCACTTAGCTAAGACATTATGTAATAGAAAAGATATAAAGGAATTATTCACTGGCTTGCTGGTTTAAGAATAATTCAAGTCCCTGCACAGAGCTTCAAATTAACTCGTGGAATTATCTTTACCTACAGTCGTGTTTTAGTTGTTTTTCTTCTATTGAAGTCAAAAGAAAAACACAACCTTCCATTCAGGAAGAAAGAATAAATTGCTGTTCTTGTTTTCTGTATCATTTTTGGCACTGTTTTTTGACAGCAATTCATGGGAATAACATAGATAGCCTTTTTATGCATGCGCTAGACTCAATATCCCACTGTGGGAAAAGGCTCAATTCAAATTTGATCACATTGTGAAAATGAAAACTTAGTGTGGGTGAATATAACTCTATAAAAGCTGAGTTCTCCCTAGGACTCTGTGTGTGCCCTGCATTAACTCCAAAAGTCAGCAGTATTGTAGAGTCATTAATCTTAGAGGAAGAAATATAAACCAGGTGGGCAGGCTCCTAACATCAGCTAGACCAGCCCCATGGAAGGATGGTTAATTAGCTGCCCGCAGTGTCTACAAACACTGTGGGCCATTAACTTTGGCTTCTGTCAAATTCAGTTCCAGAACAAAAAAATGGCTATTTGTGGCATGTCAGGTTTTTTGGCATATTTGTGTTACCAACTTATAACATTTTAAAGAGAAGAAAATTCTAGATTTCTGAGGACCTGCAGCCATTTATTATGTATGACATCCAGCATGACACCCACATGCCTCGCTCCTATAAGATTCAACACAGAACATTGTCAAGGGCTCCCACTTTCCCAAGTTAGGACTCGTTGCAACCATTTCCTCCTAAGCTCCTCCTCCTGAGGGCCGTAACGATTCACTAAATGCCCATCATGGATCAGGTAGTTTACAAGCATGATTTCAAGTGATTGTTATAAAGACCCTGTGAAGAGGGGCCCATCATCCTGTTTGTATTGCATATGAGGAAACTGAAGCAGAGAACATCACGCAAATTGCCCAAGCTCACAGTTAGTAAGCTTAGGCAGCCAGATGGCCAGACTGTCTTCCCCTCAATGGAAACAATTTTAACAAGCAATTAATTTAAGAACATGTTGGAATTAACTCACAAACTTACATAAGAAAAGACAACTGTATTTGGCCTTTATTTCATTAAAATCTGAACTCGGCCATCCAAAACTACCTCGTGGAACACACAAATGCTGCACCCAGTGATCATGATACTCTCTCCAAACCAACACCCGTTGGTCTGGGTGACTGTGCACACAGCCAGCTGGACTGTTTTGACTGAATCGACCTAACACTTAAGCTTATTTTTTAATACATTAAATTTAATCTAATAAATAATTAGGGGAAAAAGGAGACGTTCAACTCTGTTTGATTCAATGAATTAGCTCTTGAACTAACCTAAACGGTTGTTTGAATTGTTTGACAAGTTCCTTTGTGTGGTGAGTGTGTCTGTGTGTTTTCGTACAACTTGCCTGTCAATGCAGTCAAAACTGTGTGCAACATAGACACAGCTTGCAAAGTGTTCTGAGAACTGATTACTGTCAGATTTTTTTAATCCATTGAGTCCCAGAGGTGCCATGTAAATAGAAATTTTAATTTTATTTATTCATAGACTACATTTTTTTCCCTTTGTGCCGGAGGATGTACCAAAGCTTCCCAGGAGGATCTTTGTTAATTTAGAGCATTTCTGTCTCTGCCCTAGCATGGAAGGTTCTATCGTGTATCTGTCCCAGATCACAGGACTTGAAGTGCTTTTGCAACTTACAATATCATGAAAAATAAAACAGTTAGGGCTAAAACAAAAGAGTTCATCTACAGCAGTGGCCCTCTATATGTGGTCCGCAACCATTGGTGGCAGCATCTCCTGGGAGCTTGGCAAAAATGCACGTTCTCAGCCCACCCAATACCGACTGAATCAGAAACTCTGGGGTAGGAGTCTAGCAATCTGTGTTTTAACAAATCCTTCAGAGGATTCTGATGTTCACTCAACTTTCTGTTCCTCTGCCCTAAAGGAACAGAAAGAGGAGACACCTCGGTCTTTGACTTGAAGTGGGTATTGAACAAGAGGTCTCAAAGACTTCCTATTTTACTTTAATTAACACTATGATGTCTTAAATAAAGTTCTGTGTCTTTTTAATTCCCTCTTTTAATCTATGGCAATTCAAGCACCAAATTTAAGTCAAACAGACCTGGCCAAAAAGGCAATGCCAGGCTGATAAAGGGAATGACTATAGGGTAATTTAATCAATTCTAGCAGAATATCTAGAATCCAGAATGGTCAGTCTAGTTACACCAGTTGGCTTTACAAATAAATTGGATCAATAATGCAGTGAGCTGATTGTTTGCTTGAGAATTAGCTGAAACCAAAAGCACTTAAATCCATTGAATGTAAATTATTTTATCCAAGTAGCATAGAAATGCCCAAGTGGCCTTACAAGATTGAAAGGGTTGTCTCAGCCAAATAAAACATGCCTTCAGAACAAAGGAATGGCGTGTGTCAGGGAAGACTGTCTAGGATGTATTGATGGGGAAACTGACAGAGCTTCCCAGGAGGGTATTTGTTAGTTATGAGCATTTCTCCTTCTGCCCTAGCATGGAAGGTTCCATCGTGCATCTGCCCCAGATCATAGCTCTAAAGAAGAAATACAAGGCTTACCTCTACATAGATGAAGCTCACAGTATTGGGGCCGTGGGCCCAACCGGCCGGGGTGTCACGGAGTTCTTTGGACTAGACCCTCATGAAGTTGATGTGCTCATGGGCACATTCACCAAAAGTTTTGGAGCTTCAGGAGGTTACATAGCTGGAAGGAAGGTAAGAGAGGGCCTGCTTGTGTCTGTTTAAAACCTGAGCGCCCTGGGGATGCCGTGTGTAGGGCTTCTCTGAATTTCATGAAAGCTTCAATTCAGTTCACCACACCTCAGCTGATCACTCCAGCCTGGCTACAGTGGGTTCACAGCCAGATAAGGCCCAGAATATCGAGGAGCTCTCCCTCGAATAGTGAAGAGGAGCATGTGATGAGTGATCACACTATAATGAAATGGCAACACTGGCCGTGTACATAAGATGCAAAGTACCAGGCAGAGGAATAATTAACTCTGTTAAGTAGTATCTAGGACATGGTTTAGAATGAATATCCATCTGGTAGACAAATAATGGGGGGCCATATTTAACACACAGAGAGAATAATGTATACCAAGCCAGAAGTGATAAGGGATGTTCTGAAAACTATAAGCATTAAAAAACACAAAGAAGATAATAGCAACAGTAGGCAATGTTAGTTATTAGGGAGGCTGACCCTATGCTACAAGTTGTGGGTTTTAAGAGTTTTAATCAAAACGGTGGCAGGAATGTACTTTTAAGAAATATTCTCTGCAAAAAAAATTCTTTCCATAATGTTGCATACACCATAGGTCAAATCCTGCCATTCTCCAATATCTTATCAATATGCCTTAAAAATTCTGATCTGCTGGGATTAGACTGTTAAGTGAGTGTTGGCCCTGTCATTCTAGTGCCAATATCACCAAGAGGTTTGTGGAAAAAAAAAACAAAAAAAAACAATAAATATTTGAGAGAAATTTAAAAGGAGGGAAAGGAAAGGGACAAAGAAAATCCAATATTCAAACCTGGGTTTGAGAGATAAAGGAGCCAGTTATCTGAACAATGAGAGGATAGCCTTGTCCAAATTCTGACACCTATCTCAGACAAACCTACACCTGTCCCAAAGAGCAGATGTGACAGTGATGTTGGCTCAGCCTAGGATGCCACACCAGGCCCAAAACCAGTGCATGCAAGTGGTATCAACAAAAATCCCCACTTTCTTACCTATTGTGATGAACAGGAACAAGAGTTCAGACTTCTGGTAAACCAGTTAGACAAACCAAGAAGTGCAGCAGAAAACAGTCCTCTCATTGAAAGCTCATGATTTAAAACAACAGATTTAATTCTGGCCACTGGCCCTGCCATGAAATGCACAGATGCTTAAAATGTTCAGAGTTTTAAGTGGCCTTTACCCTTCAATAAGCACTGCTTTCTTTCGGGCTCAAAGCATTGTTTTTCATCCCCTCTTCACTGGCCTGTGGGAATCAGCTGGGTAATGCTAAAACCATTGGGAAAGCCCAGGATCTTACAAAATTCAGCTAAATCTGGTGAAAGGTTAAATGTTCCCTTCCTAGACTGTCGAAGCAGTAGGAGCAGAGGGTCTCAAATTTAGGAGCTCCCTGATCCTGGCTACATTGCTCTGTGAGCTTGTGGTTTTGTGATTACTTTAGCAGCAGTTCTGAACTACAAAATTTTTAACGAAGCATAACTCTACTTCCTGAACCAAAGGCACCTGAATAAACCGAAGCAAGCCAATTCTTGAAATGTTGTCAAATTTGGTGGATGTCACATTTTTCCCCCTAGAGTAGCTTCATTTGATACCCACTTTAAACAAAGGCTCGCGACTAGCAGAAGTAAACACCAGTTCACCATGATTCTCTCTCATGCTCTCCATTCTGATGTCAGCTAGAGTATTTTTAAGATGTAGGCGTTCTTGTCCACACAATTTCTATTCATTTGGCATAGATACTGAGCAATTGTGAAAATTACCATTATTTACATTAATCGGGATGCAGAAAAAGTATGTACATCTGTTCATTTTCTTATCTCTTAAAATGCTCATTTTATGCATATTTGGATACAGAGGGTCGCATTGTTCATTCCCTCTCCTCTCCCTCCTTTTTCCTCCCCACCTTTCTCTGTCTTCTCTTCCCTTCATGTTACACTGCAGTGTCTAAATTTACCACTAGATGGCAGCAAGAATTAGAGCGTGTCTGGCAGAGATTCGTTAGCCTACGCTGAGATCTGCCCTAAAACAGCAAGATGCAAAACCTTGAAAACATAGGGGCTGTTTCCAAGACCTGGGCGGTGAGCAGGAGGGCATTTGAGAAAATGCCTGTATCCCTGATGACTTAAAAATCAGTCAGATACACACCTGTGTGGAATGATTTTGGTCAGACTGTGATAAACCTGGGTAAACTGGCTTCCTTTCGGCTTAATGAGCCCATGATTTGATGGAACTTATGTATCCGTTCCTTTGTACCTTTAATTCTTTTTAATTATGTTAAGTTTCATTATGTATAATTTCAAGTCAAACATATATTTTATTCCTATGAACTTCAGATAATTTTGTGAAGAATTTTTACTTTGAGTCTGTTTAAATTAGGATTCGGCAAATACTAAAGATTTTTGTTTGAAAAAACTACTTCTACTAGTATGTTTAAATAATTAAGAGTAGAGTTTTCAAACTCTGATAACTGTACTGTAAGACAGATAGATAGGTAGATAGATAGTTGATAGACAGATGAATAATCTCCCAGATACTTCCCGTATATCTCAAATTCGGGGATTATTGCAAAATAGCTAGGATTCCAAACCAATGTATACAAAAGCAACAAAATTGAACATAAAAAAAGTTAAAGTACACACATTCAGACTTGCTGTTTTTCTGAAACTGTGTATAATTTCAATTTCACTGTTCTCATAGGGTTCTCAGTAAACCCTGAAATTTGAAAATAATCAGTTAGCTCCAAAAATCTAGAAAAAAGAGATAAAAACATCTGGCTCTTAACTCTCTTTTTAAGTGATGTTAATATTGGTATAGAGGGGCTGCATTCCCAGTAACAGTGTCTAGGAGGTTCTGGAAATCTTTATGGAATGGGTCAAGGTCAGAGTTTTATATATTAGCAACCAGATGAGACATGTAATGAAACACATTTGAAAACAAGGAGAAAAAAATGGTTTAGTATGACGATACTACTAGAGGAAACAGAGGTTTTGTTTTTATCTCAGAGCCTTTTCCTCACAAAGTGTCCTACAAATTCCCCTCTGCTAATTGGAAGTTGCTGCCAGGCTGTGATCCCCACTTTCCACCTCAAGGAAACTGCTAACAGTCTGTCCAGAGCCAGCAGAGTTTTGCTGTTTTGCTCACTTTGGGTTTGGAGCCGCTATAGATGCACAGTGAACAGCCTAACATGGAGGAGTCTGTCCTTTCAAGACCTTCCTGATGAAATTCCAGATCACTACTTCTCTCCACCTGTCAGAGCTCCGTGCCATGAATGGCTTCTTTGAAGGAAAGCCTAAGCTGATGGGACTAGGTTTCTTATTTTTATTCTTTCACATTTGTATTGATCCTGTTGCTGGGAAATGTGGTCAATGCCGAAGACCCCAAACTTTTCCCCAGGCAAGGATCTTGAGTCCACCTGCATGCCTGGTGCCGAACACTGGCTCCCACAGCCTCCACAGGCTGACCAGAGACTTGCAAATGAATGAAGCGATGGTAGCCCTTGTAACTGATAGGTTGCAGGGCTGGAATTCTGGAGAAGGGAACTGGGACAGGGCAGACAAATTTGGGGTGAGCATTAGCCCCAGAAGCCTGCATGCCAGCCAAAGCCAGGTCACTCTAAAAAGTGAGCTCTGCCCTGCACACTAGGCCCTGGCTGTATTTAACATCCCTTTGAAGTAAGCAGGGGTCAGGGAGTGAGCTCTAAGATGTTTATTCTAAGAGTCTCCTGTCTGATTTCCTCCCAAAAGGCCACCCTTGCCCTTGAACTTCAGGCCTGTGTGTAGAGAAAACAATCAGGGTTTTGAACTTCCAAATGGACGTGGAAACCTCGATACGAGGAGACCTCTAACCCACCCTGAAGAAGACACGACCCAGACTCGCCTTGCAAAAGACCAAAGCCACCTCTTAACTCATGGCTCATAGCACCCAATGGGGGAACGAGAGGGGGAATTAGTAGCCAGGAATCAAGGCTCTCCCTGACACTCTCCAGAAGTTACTCAAAGAGCTCCATTTTTTGAAACACACAAGCAAATAAACTTCCATCCAGAAACTCAGACCCTGAGAGAAAGCAAACTCAGTCCAAAAAAAATAAAATTTTGGGCAAGATAGTCTTAACATTAAAAAGAACCAGTGCTGCACCGATGAGGTATTTATTCAAACTAAGAAGGCTCATGACCTTGACTTTAAAAAATGTCTCAATCTGTGAATTAGGGTTGGGGACATTGGGAAGAGCCCTTTTCAAGATCAAAGGAAGTTTTGTTTTACTTCCTTGTCTGATCTTTGTCAGTGATGGTCCCCAAGCTAAGAGACAATTGCTACACTTGTCCCTGAGAATGCAGTTGAGTAATACCCTATATGCTTTGAGGCCCCTGGCCACCTTTCCTCCATCTCTAAAACCCGTCTGTTTTCCATTAGACGGTCAATATTTAGCAGGCCACCACTAGGTATCCACCACTATGGATTTTAAAAGAAGTGTAAAGCTCCATCCCTGCTCTCAAGGAAGTTTCAGTCCCTTTTGGAGAAACAAGAGAGATAGACATGAAACATTTGGAGACCAATGTGACTCAATCTGTGATTTAGTACCATATAGATGAGTAGATCAGGAACTCCCCACCTGCTCCAAAAAGAGGAACAGTCTCTGGGTTAGGGAAAGTACCGCAGGGTAAGGAGAGTGGAATTGGGGTCTGTGTTCTCCTGGACCCCCTCACACCACACCAAGCTTACTCTTCTGGGGAGAAGTCTGGAGAAGTCGAGTGTGGCCTAAGGGTGGGGCTCCAGAGCCAGCTTCTTTAGGTCCAAATCCTTGTTCTACCACCTTTTGGGAATAATTGTGTAAACTTTTCTGTGATTCAGTTGTTCTGTCTATAAAATGGGAATTAAAACAGTACCTACCTTAAAGAGTTATTGTGAAATTTAAATGTATTAATGCATACAAAGTTCTTAAAATGGAACCTCAGGCCACCAGGGAATATCAGCTATGCTGTTAGCTTCTAGCCTTATTATCTCTTCAGGGTCATTCAACCTGTCATCAAGCCTGGGTACTCCCTTATTGAAAATGTCTCTCTTTTCCTTTCTTTTCACTCCTACTGCCACCCCTCCCCATAAGGATGGAGGAAGAGTTAGGCTGAAAATCCTTGGTTTGATGTATGGGTCTACCAATGCGTAGTCACACAACCTTAGAATGTAACCCTGTGCAAAATGAGAGAGTTGAAACAGAGACACTCCAAGAAGCTTTTATATTTTGGTCCCTTCCTCCCGCCCCATGCTCCCAGTTCTAAGAATCTTTCAATTGGCCATTGATTAACAATACTCGGCCAGGCGTGGTGGCTCATGCCTGTAATCACAGCACTTTGGGAGGCCAAGGCCGGCGGATTACCAGAGGTCAGGAGTTCGAGACCAGCCTGGCCAACATGGTGAAACCCCATCTCTACTAAAAATACAAAAATTAGCCAGGAGTGGTGGCACACGCCTGTATTCCCAGCTACTCGGGAGGCTGAAGCAGGAGAATTGCTGGAGCCCAGGAGACGAAGGTTGCAGTGAGCCAAGGTCATGCCACTGCACTCCAGCCTGGCCGACAGAGCAAGACTCTGTCTAAAAAAAAAAAAAGTCACCAACTGCATCAGGTATTCACTGTTTCACTGTGTACCAGATGCTTTTCTAAGCATCCCATATATGTATTCACCCATTTCATCCTCATAAACTCCGAGGTAAGTATTACTATGATCTAATTTTTCAGAGAAGCCAACTAAGGCACAGAGAGATTTAGTAACTGGCCCATGGTCACACGGCAGTAAGTGGCAAAGCCAGGATTTGAATCTAAGCTATTGGGCATCAGAGGCTGCACTGTAACTCCTGCGTTATATTCCCTCCAAGGGGACAGTTCCTCATCCCCTTGTCTCAGAAGCACTGGCTTCTCCCTCTCTTCCCAATTGACACCTCCATTCTATGCCCATAAGATGCCATCCTTATTCCTAATTTTAGGACAGGCCCATGCCTTTTTGCTCCTCTGCATCTATCCAAATCTCCCCATCCCTCATGGCCAGATCACACCCTTGAAACACCTTGTTCCTGACACAGGTCCACGTAAGCCTCCATCATCCAATTCCCAGGACCCACCCACCCACTCCTCATTGGCTTCCCCAGCATCCTGTAGGGAGATATTCACTCTCAATAGAGAAAGGCAATCCCTGCTGCTGCTCCTCAGGAGCACGGAACATGCCACTGTGAAGGACAGCCCTGGCTGTGGCTACTCTGGCAAATGACTGCTGCTGTCTCTTTGAGGCACCTCAGATACTCCAAAGTGAACTTTCCGGATACCCTGTGGCTGATGAATTCAGTCAGGCCAGCATCATGCACATACTCTTCAGATATGGGGAAAACCCACCCAGCTTTTTTCATGAGGCTCACCAAATAAAAGAATCATCAGAAACTTAATTTCATTTATATAAATGGATAATGGATGCCAGGGACTAGCCTTATGGTCCCTTTCTATCCTCCCTCCCCTCCTGGACTCCCACACATGTCTAGGACAGAGAAGGTTATTGGTATATACTTGCTGGAAGGAAAGATGGAAGGGGGGAGGGGGAGAAGAAAAGAGGAAAGAAGGAAGGAAGGGAGGAAGGGAAGAAGGGAGGGAGGAAGGAAGGAAGGAAATACTTTGAAATACAGAGAAGAAACAGATTTAAATAAAGAATTTGAAATGAAAAGAGAGAGAACTAGAGTAGAAGGGAAGGGGAAGGAAGGAAGCTAGAAGGAAAGGAAGAAACAAAAAAACAAAGGGAATAGTTTGAAGTGAAGGAGAAGATGGAAAAAGGAAGTCATAGAAGAAGGACGGGTGAAAGGGGGGGATTCAGAATGAAAGACATATTGAAGACAGCAGGAAGAACAGAACACATCCCTTGGTTCCCCTCATGGACCAGGCAGAGTCATCACATCATTAATCTAACCTTCACCGACCACTGTAAGGCAGGCCACACACTGTGCTGAGGAAGAGAAACTGTGAATGTTGAAAATGCTTGTGAGCAACAATGCCCACACATACCTAAGAGAGATGGAAAAGTGATGGGCAGGGACCAGGCCCAGGCTCGGAAGTGGGAATGAATGTGACTAATGAAGGAGGGTGAGGAGGACATGAACCTACCCCAAAGCAGAGGATCTCGATTCCCAAGAGCTCTTTCCAAATCACCTTCATGAGGAAGGAAGACATAGCGAAGACACCTGCCTAAGTGGGATTCTGAGCTGTGCCGTTATTCTAAAGAGAAGGCATCTGATCCTTTAAAGACCCCACTGCTAATGCAGAGGCCTGTCATCAGCCCATTAGCTTTTCTGCAGGACACTTGGAGAGTCCCAGGCCATGAGACACTGTATAGGTGGGCTGATGGAGGGTCTCTGCCACCCAACTGAGCACCTGCAGATGCCAGCTCTGAGGCCCTCACCACTGCGGCATTAGATTACTGGAGCTTCTTAGGGCTTTCAGCAAGCTTACTTGGGACCTTATATTTGGCCTCAGGAGTCAGGCATACAGGTGAAAAATGGCTCCTACCACTGAAAACCAGCATTCTGGAGTGGCTCAGCATTCCAAAGAGTGTTACACAAAACACAAAATTCCAATAGTTCTCTGCTGCCAAAGGCATAACCAGAGTTTATCTGGTCCTAATATTCTGGTTTAATTTCCCACAAGCCTCTACTCAAACTGTCCTTTGCTGTCCTCCAAACATGCTGCCTCCATTCGTTTTTGCTGTGTAACAAACCACCCCCAAATTTGGTGTCTAAAAACACCACCATTTATTTAGCTTAAAACTCTGCCCATCAACAATGTGGGCTGGGCTCAGCTAAGGAGTTCTTTTGGTCTCATCTGGGCTTGCTTCTGTACAACAGTCCATTGTTGAGTCAGCAGGGCACTGCTTGGCCTGGGGTAGCTTCAGCTGGAATGGTCCTTCTCTGTTCCACATGGTTGTCATCCTCCAGCAAGCTAGCTCAGGCTTATTCACATAGCAGCTGGAGAGAGTTCTGAGAGGACAAAAGCACTCAAGGCATTTTGAGGCATAGACCCAGAACCACCACACCATCACCTCTGCCATATATTACTGAACAAAGAAAATCACAAGGCCAGCCCAGATTAATCCGCCTTTTGATGGAAGCAACTGCGAAGTTGGATTGCAAAGATGCATGGGTACAGACAGTGAGAGAATTACAGCTATTTTTGTAAACACTGCTATACATGCCTTCTGCTTTCTTGCTTCTGTTCCTTTGTTCAACTTCTCTCTTCTGCCACCCTCCCTCCACGTTTTCTTTTCCCCCTTAATTATCTTCATTCTTCAAGGCCTAATCATATCTCCTCATTGGAACCTTCTCTAACTACTTCAGCTAGAAGGACCCTCTCTCTTTCCTCTGCATCTTGCAGGCCTGTTGCATGTCCTAGTTTGCATGGACTGTGACTTATTCTACCATGCTTGTTCATGGGCACAATCATATGTAATATTCTCAAGGGCAAGGACCACATCCTGTATTCTTTGGGCACTGAACACAAAGTCAGTGCTCACACATAGTAGGTACTCAACAAATGCTTCAGGAATCATTTTTTCTTCACACATCTGGTTTTGCCTTAAAGTTCAACTCCAAACCTGCAGCATCCTGCTTTGCTGTAGATTCTAGGTTTTTGAGGGAGAGACTATGAAGGAAATAGAAAAAATAAATAGTTTGATGAAAACCATTGAAAGTTGGACCCCATTCATCTTTTGAGCATGAGATCAAATGTCTTTTGCTATGAGGATAGGGATGGGACTAGATGTAATTCCCACCACCAGTGTTGAGATTTATTTGCCTTCTTTTTGGGTTTCCCCTCTTTATTTAAGGACCTCGTGGATTATTTACGGGTTCACTCGCATAGTGCTGTTTATGCTTCATCCATGAGCCCACCGATAGCAGAGCAAATCATCAGATCACTAAAACTTATCATGGGACTGGATGGGACCACTCAAGGTAAGAGGATCTGCAGAGAGCACAGCTCCTGGACCTCTCTGTCTCCCTTCTGCCTCATTAATCTCCCCGCTTCTCAAATACACACCTTTATCTTATAGAACCCTATTTGTAAATCAAGCCATGTGATAAATGCACAAAACTGCCGTTAGCACACCATACAAAAACCCTTTGTTAAAGCAAAGAAAACTTTCTAATTTACCTCATTGTGAACAGCAAATTTCGATAATTTTGTGTGATCAATTCTGTTGAAATTAAGCAAATATTGTTTGTGTGCGTGTGTGTGCGCGCACGTGAGCGTGCACATGTTTGCCTGTGCTTGCTTGGGGCTGTCACTTGTGTTTCCCTAAGACCAAAGTAGCCAATTTAATATCCAATTTTTCAATCCTTTTATTTTTTATAGCCAGAGGTTGGACAGTGGAAGGCCACCACTGGCCATTGAGGATATATAGACAAAACACACACAATAAGCTTCCAGCCATTTCTTTGTCAGTGGGACCAGAGCTAAACTGTGCTACTTTGCTCAACCCAAATTAATCCTCTTTTTGAAAAATTGTTTCATAAAAGCCTCTTGGAACTCTCCCTCCATCTTGCAGAGATGGTTTATACAGATTCTACCACATGTCACACACCAGAGGGGATACGGTGCTGAATAAGGCAGTTCTTGCTGCCAGGCAAACTGGTGAGCACATTTATGGAAGTAGCAATTTATCCTGGCCACTGGACTGTACAATCTATGTGCCTCACCCCACCTCCCAGCTGACCTGAAGTCCTACATTGTTTAATGCAATGCTTCAAGCCTGCTATTTCAGTAGAAGTATGGGGTACTCCATCAGTTTTCAATATTATTAAAGCAGCAGAATATTCACATACAAATTTTGCTAGAAGCCTACTATATAAAACAGATAAGAACAAGGCTGATCTAGTTAAAGTAGTGTCTTCACTTACCCCCATACTGATACCCCCTGGGGCCCTTCTACTGAGCCCTAGTGCTCCCCAAGACACTTGTTTGAAAGACAAGACTTTTTCTTTTTCACTAAAGCAGGGTAAAGGCCTGCAGGAGGATATTTTTTCCTCCATATGAAATGCGGTGATTGGCTGATCTCTAGGATCCCTTCCAGGCTTGCCTTTTCGGTGTTATGACTCTGCATCCTATTGGTTGGTCTTTGTGAAAAGAAAACGACAGTCCAGTCTAGGAAGCCCTTATGGTATGAGACTGAAGGTAGCTGCCTGAATCTGCTCCTGTGATACTATTCACTCGTATGTGGCCTTAGATGAGTGACTTATCTATTCAACCCTGAGCAAGTTACTCAACTTCTCTGTACTTCAATTCATCCAGTTATGAAGTGAGAAAAACAATATTTATGAGCCAAGGTTTTTGTGAGAAGTAGGCAAATTAATCTGTACAAAATATTTAACATTGTGTCTGGAGACAAGTATCAGTAAGCATTGTATAATTGCTTGCTACTATTATTTGCTGTTGTTTCTGAGGTGATCGACAAGTATTTGAAGCATTTCTCAGAGATGCTGTAGGAAGCATCCTTATGACAGAAGTGAAGTAGGACTAGATGTCCTCTAAGATCCTGGATTAGTCAGGATAAGGGAGGTTTTGCCACCATAACAAATAAACCCTGTAGATCTCAGTGGCTTAACAGAACCAAGGTATTTCTTGTTTGCATCACATCTAATACCAATCAGTCAACTCTCTACACAGTGCTTGTCCTTGAAGACAGTGACTCAGGCTGCTTTCACCTTAAGGGTTCATCATCTCAACACATGGCCCCCATGGTTACCAAGGTAAAAAGAAAGAGAGGGTCAGCCTAGAGGTGACTCTTATCACCTTGCTTACAATTATTGGCTAAAACTAGTCATATGGCCACACCCCTGAAAAGAGGTAGGGGTAAATTAAGGGATACAGACATTGGATAAACAGGTACCTTTTATTTTGGAGGGGGAGGAGGTTCTTTTTTGTTTTTTGGGTTTTTTTAAAATTTGAGACAGAGTCTTGCTCTGTCACCCAGGCTGAAGGGCAGTGACATGATCTTGGCTCACTACAACCTCCACCTCCCAGACTCAAGTGATTCTCCTGCCTTAGCCTCCTGAGTAGTCAGGACTACAGGTGTGCACCAACAGGCATGCACCACCATGCCCAGCTAATTTTTTTTTTTTTTTTTTTTTGGAGACAGAGTTTCGCTCTTGTCACCCAAGCTGGAGTACAATGGTGCGATCTCAGCTCACTGCAACCTCCGCCTCCTGGGTTCAAGCAATACTCCTGCCTCAGCCTCCCGAGTAGCTGGGATTACAGGTGTCCCCCACCATGCCTGGCTATTTTTGTATTTTTAGTAGAGATGGGGTCTCGCCAGATTGGTCTCAAACTCCTGACCTCGGGTGATCTGCCTGCCTCGGCCTCCCAAAGCACTGGGATTACAGGCACGAGCCACCACACCTGGCCAATTTTTGTATTTGTAGTCGAGACGGGGTTTCACCACGTTGGCCATGCTGGTCGGGAACACCTGGCCTCAAGTGATTTGCCCACCCCAGGCTCCTAAAGTGCTGGGATTACAGGCGTGAGCCACTGTGCCTGTCTTAAACAGGTATCTTTTAACCTTTTAACATTGAAGCGAGATAGAGTGGCATCTTTTCCTCCACAAGCTTTCTGCTGTATGAAAAACTGTTCTGGAACTACTGGCTTCCCACAAAGCCATATTAATTCTCTTCTTAAACTTCAAGTGTTTCTTAATGGAAAATCAATTATTTGAGATTTAAGCAAAAATGCAAGTTAACTGAATTGTCTCAGAATGACTAGAATTATTCTTTGGTCTTGTTTTAAAGACAAGTGACTAGGAAAAAGTTATTCTAGAAATTAGCTTGTGTCTCAACAAAAATTTTCACTCATTTCCGGAGTCCTTTGGTCTATATGTCATCCGAATCAGTTGCTTTACATGTATGCAACTTTGCAATCATGTCCTTCCCTCCTCCGATTGGTTCATCACAGACAAAACTTGCTCTATTGATCTGATCACAGTGGAAGATCTGCAGAAAGATTACATTAAAGACATGAGCATTTGCTCCTCAGTAATCATCTGCCATCAATTTTTCTTCCCCTGAGGTAGTAGATATTTCCCTTGCTTCTCTCTCTTAGCCTTATACCTAAAGAATTCTTTGGTTACTTTTTTAACCTCAGTTTTAAAGCTTCTCACTTTACTCCTCTTGTCATCTTAAGAGAGAAAAAAAAAACAGAGAATGCTATGTGTATGGTCTGGTTTTTTTAGAGGCAAAATAGGAGAATGAGGGAGAAATATAGGACAGTTTATTTTCAAAGAAACAAAGGAAAGTAGAAGAAAAAGAAAATTGACAGAATTATCAGCCAAGTTTCAGGTAGTTCTGCCTGACACATCTTTTGAAGCAGTGAAAGTCATACAGTGAATGATCACACTGGCCTCATTTGCAACAATGGCTGCTTTAAATCAAATGAGCAGGACAGGTTAGGAATATTGCATTAGCTCACCCCTTTCTGCAGAGATAGACTCACTCTCAGGGTAAAGTTGCCCAGAGCTCAAAGGATGCACTGTTTCATGCAAGAGCTGCCTTACAGGATCTGAGAAAGAGAAGCCGGGCTCTGAGCCTTCATCTTCAGCCCACTCCACTACAACTGTGATTGGAGCCTTTCAAGGCTTTGTTTCAGGTTGAGTTTGGGGAGCAGTTGGCCAGATCTGTTCCTTGATGAATGTCTTCACTTTAATCTGCAATGCAAAGCCATACGCTTCAAAGAAAGGCAAGCTACAGGAATAAGGTCAGTGTTCCTTTGATGCCAAGGTTCAAAGATGAAATAGCAGTCCCAGTGAAATGACAATGTTTATGCACAAACAGCCACCTTCACTCTGCAGCCAGGCTGCTTGTGGAGTTAATGCACACAGGCTGAGGGGCTGCAGGCCGTGCATGCATTCCATATGCACCAAGACCCTTTTAATCTCCTGGTCTGTCACTCTGAGGAGTGCAGTGAGCCCAAAAGTGGAGATTTGATTTCTCCATCCTAATGGATGCTGGGTGGTCTTCCAGCCAAGCCAATGTTGTAAGCCCCTTAAGGGCAAGAAATGTGTCTTGAATTATTCTGGTGTTCCTCTGAGTGTCAAACTCAGTGCTCAGCTTAATAAATATGTCATGACTCAACTTCCCTCTTGCCAGCCTGCTCCATTTCAGGCCAATGTTTATGCTAAATAAGATCATGAGGATGTTTATCTCATAGGACTGGGAGCTGGGAATTGGTTCCACACCAGTTGTGGCAGCGGAAGGGATCACTCAGTGATTGAAGTTACTTTTGGAAAGGTCTAGAAAGATCGCAGCTCAGTCGTTTTCTTATCTAGACATAGCACACATAGCCTCAGGAAGGTGAGCCCCAAACCACACCGACTCCCCTGAGAAAGCATTGTCAAAAATCATCTTATTACTCATGTTTAAATCTTCGATGTATATTTTTCAAGTAATCAATCAACATTTTTTGAACTCCCAGTCTTGATCTTACCTTACTACACCTTCTTTCCCCAACTCTGGGTAAAATTCCATTTCTCAGAGAAGATAGAGTTTGTATGATGTGGCTAATTCACAGTGTGCTCTGCAGTGGTGCCCGGCCTGACATCTGCTCCATGAATGGCAAGTCACTTTCCCTCTCTTGGCCTTAGTTCCTTCATTGCAAATTAAAGGTTGTCAGAAGAATTAAGTGATGTGATACAGATAAGGAACTTAGCATGATGCTTGATACACACTAAACACTCAATAAAGTCATAGTACTTTCAACACATCTGCTTTATTCCCTTACTTCTGCAAATTTTCCAATAGCTTTACCCACCCTGGAGTTCTCCCTTTTTCCCCAAACTCACATCTTCCTACTCTATTAGCAACTCCCACACACTCTACTTGACATATATTCAGAATCAGGTCACTTCTCACACAGCCAACACTCTCTCTATCACCTCTCACCTGGATTCCTGGAGTAGCCTCCTGAATATTCTCCCCACTTTTGCTCTTGCCTTTTTATGGCTTCTTCTCCATGCAGAAGCCAAAATTATCTTTTTTAAAAAGGAGAAGAAAAACTAACTCATACCATGTCACTTCCCCACTGAGAACTTTCTGTCGTCTTTTCAGCTTACTCAGCAGAGTCCAGACTGTGGTCTTCACAGCTTCTCAGGATGTGGTCCTCCATATACCCTGCCACCCCTCCCCTCGCTCAGCCTACTACAGGCAGCTGGCATCCTTGCTTTTCCTAAAACACAGAGAGCAGCTCCCACAGAAGGGTCTTTGCACTTGCTGGTCCCTCTAAAACTGCTCTTCTGACCTATCGGCATAGCCCACTCCCTCCCTGCCATCCCCTTTCTGCTGAAAATCTGCCTTATTAGGGAATTGGCCCTATCCTAAATAGCAAATCCTCCTGTCCCTCTAATTCTCCTCACCTTGCTTTAATTTTTTTTTTTTTTTTTTTTTTTGACATGGAGTCTCACTCTGTCACCCAGGCTGGAGTGCAGTGGTGCCATCTCGGCTCACTGCAACCTCCACCTCTCGGGCTCAAGTGACTCTTGTGCCTCAGCCTCCTGAGTAGCTGGGACTACAGGAACCCACCGCCACGCCCAGCTAATTTTTGTATTTTTAGTAGAGACAGGGTTTCACCATGTTGGCCGGGCTGATCTTGAGCTCCCGACCTCAAGTAGTCCACCCACCTCGGCCTCCCAAAGTACTGGGATTACAGGCGTGAGGACCGCACCCAGCCGCTTTAATCTTTACAGCATTTATGAATACCTGAGAAATTGTATATGTATCTGCTTATTATCTGTTTGCCCTCACTAAAAGGTAAACTCCAGGAGAACAAGCACTTTGCCTATTTTATTTATTACACTGAAAACAGTGTCTGGCAAGTATAGGTTTCCAAAAATATTTATTGAAAGAATTCTTCTCGCTATCCCTCTTACCTCAGCAAATAAACAGCTCTGATCTCTTTTACATCTCTGTGCTTGATTCTTTCCCTTTCCATCTTCTAAAGACACCAGCCTCTTTTCACAAACTTGCACTTGTTGGTTTCTCTCATCCTAAAAAGACTTTCCTTGCCCCTTCTTTTTCCAACAGCCACCGAGCCTCAACCCATCCATTGCAGCAGATCTCAAAAGAGTGAGCTATTCCGCTGGCTTCCCATCTACCCTTCTCATGAAGTTTCCAGCCCCTGCAGCCTGTCCCCCGCCTGTCCTCTGCCTCCTTGCTCCATGGATCCTGCTCCCTCTAAAGCCACTCCTGTAAGCACACTCCCCTGCTTCTCTGCCAGATTAAACTTGATCTCTCTGCATCATTCTCTCTCTTTGAAAACAGCCTTCAAAGACTGTCTTCGTTGTAGAGATGCTCTTCTCTTCTGGTTTTTCTCTTATTTTTCTATTTGTTCTTCCTCTCTTTTCTGCCAGGCCTCTTTCCCTATCACTATTTGCCCTAATCCCACACTCTGTTCTTTTTATAGTTCCCGCTGCACAAGTACCCTCACCTGTTTCCTTTCCAAAACAGCTTGCGGACCCTCTACCCCCAGAGATTTCTGCATGACATGCTTGCTGCATTCTAACAAGCCCCAGGTGCTGCTGCTAGTCCAGGGACCAGCCTTTGAGAATCACTGCTGCATAATGACCCTGTAGTCACTCTTTCCCTCCCATCAGACATTAATGGCTTGTGGATTTCTTGTAGATAGAAACCATTAAATCTCCATAACAGGTCGGGCATGGTGGCTCACACCTGTAATCCCAGCACTTTGGGAGGCTGTGGTGAGTGGATCACTTGAGGTCAGGAGTTCGAGACCAACCTGGCCAACAAGGCAAAACCCCGTCTCTACTAAAAATACAAAAATTAGCTGGGCATGGTGGCACAAACCTGTAATCCCAGCTACTCTGGAGACTGAGGCAAGAGAATCGCTTGAGCCCAGGAGGCGGAGGCTGCAGTGAGCTGAGTTAAGGGGTAGCACCAGAGCTGAGAGGCCAAAGAAGAGACCCTGAGCCAGCAGACGAGATATGGGGTTTATTTAGGGGAACTTACGTACAGGGATGGTCCAGTGATTGTAGGCTGGACAGGAGAACTGCCACCACTTGTAAAAAGCATGTAGTTCATGTAGCATTTTCACTTAACATCCTTTCCCTAACAACCCCCACCTGGCAACCTTTATTCAACCTTTACTCAGCCTTTATTCAAAGGGCCTCAATCCCCTGTATGACAAGCATCCCACTGGACAAGCTGGGTACTCAGATGTTCCTCATAGGTAAGGAATGAATCTCCAGGTTGGCCACGCTCAAACTGTGAACACACATTCAGGTGTGTCTGCCATACAGGGTCATTCTCAGGAAATGCTTAAACTGTCACGGTCAGGTGTACGTACCATGCACAGGTGCAGCTACCATATAACAATCCACACAGTTCCTGACACATCATAGGCCTTCAATACATACTTTCCAGTTGAATTGGAAAGAAATGTGTTAAGTCTCAGTTATGTCGTGATGCAGATGCTCACAAAATATCTGTTTAGGGCCATCTTTTCATCAAAAGAATTGTATCTCCGAATACTTAACATCAGCAATCTGAGTAAATAAACTTGCTCATCAAGGACAACTTCTTTCTTATAATTCTTGTCTGCAGGCATGTCTAATTTTACTCATTATGCCTATCTGCTTATGATAGAGTCACTGATGTTGGGGAAAGTTCCCCCGCATGTCCCCAGTCATCATTTCATATTTCATGATGATGGGAGTGCCAGACAGAAGGGAGAGAGTGATTACAAGGTCATCATACAGCAGTGGTTCTCAAAGAGTGGTCCCTGGACCACCAGCAGCAATGTTACCTGGGGCTTGTTAGAACTGCAACAAAGCATTTCTGAATCAGCTGTTTTAACCATTCCTCCAGGAGATTCTGGTGCAGGCTCAAATTTGATAACCATGTTTCTACGTAACAGAAAAGAAACAGATCTGTGCAGTGGGAGAAGTAAAGTGAACAGAGGATGGAATTCTGGCAGATGCAAACAAAGGTAAAGGACCTAGCAAAAAAAAAGAAAAAAGGAGGAAGAAGAGCAGGCAGAAGAATAAGAAAAAGCCCGAAAGAGAAAAGCATGAAATGTGTTTGGATCCATTTCTTTAAATCTGTGTTTAAACCAAAACATCAACGCTGCCCTCTCAGTTACTACTAGCACCTTGCCTGTCCTTCAGTCCCCATGACCACTTTGGCATCAGGAATAGGAAAGGGAGTTTTGCTTATGAAATGCATGTGCCTCACAACAGTCACTCCCTAAGCCTGTGCTTTCACATAACTTTTTGAAGTATGTAAAGTCATTAAGAGTTCATGGTCACAACATTCATTTTATTGTTTGATTTGATAGTAGACATCTGACAGAGATACTGCCATTTCTCCAATAACTGCTATCCCTTAGGATAAATAGGGTAGCATTTATAATAATTATTTAAATTGTCTCTTCAGTGTATCTTCAATGGGTAGGATCAATTTGATGAAAGGAAATCCACAATGGGCAACACTGCTAGGTGTTGATTTATCATAGGATGACTCATGACAAAATATTCCATATTCCTAACTCAGAAAGAATGGTCTCTCCTATAATTATGTGGGATCTACTTAACTCATGCTATAACAGTCACCCTCCATTTGACTGCTGATCTTCCTCCCATGATCGTTACAATTTTGATGACATGGTGTTGAAATGAAATTGGCACTTTTTTGAAAAAAGATGATCTGCTTAACCTGATGCATCTAGTGAATATTAGATATTAAGATTCTTGTTATATTTTCAATTTCATGTCAGCTGTTTCATGAAACAGCAACTATATATCTTACCAAGCACTTACTTTGCCTACTGGCTACTGTGTAGTTTTTAGATCTACGGGCCCACTTATCTGAAGATCTAAACGTTTAAATATTTTAGAATTTTTGTGTAACATTAAGTCTTTCAAAATACAACACTTAACCAGAGACAGGAAAGTTGGAACGATTCTAGCTATATGAACAGGCCAGTACTTAAATTTGGATTACTCCATTGACGAGTTCATTTCTAATTTCACCAAAATGGCTATAAGAAAAATCATAATGTCTCTGACTTAATCAATTCTCTCTCAGCTATTACCTCAGTGCCAGGCTGGTGGGATAATCACCAACTTTCTGAATCACAAAACCACATTTTGTATCACATGGATGAAAACGTGATTCATTTATAATCAAGTGACCAGTAATGTCGGAAAGGGAAACAGTAATGGAAATTTACTTACAAGAGAAAAGGTATACAGAATTTCAATTACTAATGTGTAATATCTGATTTCAGTAGAATACACCTGCATCATTGTTAATAACACCTAAACTTAAATGATAAATTTAGGAAAAATGAAATTCTCTATTTTTCTTCAAAGTCACACATGTCCCTCTCTGCCCTTAAACTGAAGGAGTTTCTGGGTGGTAAGGCAGGGGAGGGGACAATGTGTCTGGAAGAAAAGGAAGGAGAAAACTAAAGATAAAATTAAGATGGAATAATGACTTGTGTTCTTCCTGGAAAACAATAGCTATTTAAGATCCTCAGAAATAGAGGAATTTGGCCAGGTGTGGTGGCTCACACCTGTAATTCCAGCACTTTGCGAGGCCAAGGCAGGTGGATCACCCGAGCTCAGAAATTCGAGACCAGCCTGGGCAACATGGCAAAACCCTGTCTCTACCAAAACATACAAAAAAATTAGATGGCGGTGGTGGCAGACACCTGTGGTCCCAGCTACTCGGGAGGAAGTGGTGGGAGGATCACTTGACCCTAGGAGGCAGAAGTTGCAGTGAGATTAAATCGAACCACTGCACTCCAGCCTGGGCAACAGAGTGAGACCTCATCTAAAAACATATATATATATATAATATACATATAAAAATTATATACATGTATATATAAATAAAAGTTATATATTATATACTTATATAGTATATAAATAAAAGTTATATATATTTATATATAATATATAAATAAAAGTTATATATATAATATATAGGGAGAGAGGAATTTGGCAGGAAGAAATAACAATGCAATATTTTCTCTTTTTAATGTTATGTTTTCTCAATATAGTATTCAGGGATTATTGCTGCAAAAAAGGTCATAAATAGTTACTCTGTTACTATTATCCTTCTTTAATTATCTTAGATATTATCAATTAAACAGATACTATCCAGATAACTACTTCAATTCTCTACTTTCCATAGGAAGAAAAAGCTTAACAAGCCTATCATAGAATGGAAATCCAGGTTTTGATGAGCTTTTTTAAGAAAGCCAATAAGAGAAGGATGGGGAAATTGAGTCTGCAAATTAGAGCTAAGTCCCCCAATCATTGTGCTGGTACAAGAAGTTCCTCTTCAATCTGGGCTTCCTTTACCCTTTAAAAACTAATTGCTATCAGACCAAGACCTGAGGAGGAAATATTCAATAGAAATGCTCCCTAGCAGAGGGCCTCCTCACAATAAATCTTTCTGAGGTTTTAGTTCTTGGATGAGTTGGGAAGTACTCAAAGCTTTCCATCTGTGGGGAAGTTGTTGCCTTGGCTGTAGAATTCTACTTGCACGTTACACACTGCCTTTAGCAGGGTTGGGGAATGAAGGCTTTCAGCTAATGGGATGCTCCTCTTTTCCTTTGGGTTTTGGCCTCTGGGAGAAGGCTCTCCATTCTTGAACTGCAGAAGTGATGGATTTTTTATTCATATTTGGTTAAATTATGGTGTTATAATATATATATTAATATATTTGGCTATATAGTGTTATATTTTATGATGATATTCCCTATTCTAAAATTAAAACTGAGTGTTCTGTTCCTTCATTGTGAAGTCCCTGTTTCTGCTGAGAACATCAGAGAGGCTAAAGATGACAATTTGGTTTCTATGCCCTGGGAAAGAAAGCATATATTCTGTTCATTGAAGTAGTTCAGATCATGTTTAAAAACATAGATAAGTAAACAGCTGTTGCTGATTAAATTGTTCTTATCCTCACAAACGAAGGGAATCTCTCTACAAAATTAAAGAAAGCAATCCAGGCCTTCCGTGATTTCCCAGAGACTTGCAGACTGGGCAACAGCTAATCCTCTCATATTTCCCTCATATTTGCCCCTTCACCACACAGACCTTCCTGGCTCCTGACTCCAAACATAGGTCCCCCTGAGCTTTCTGCTACTCAAGCTCATCTCCCAGAACAGGTGCAGAGCCAAAACTTGAGACAAAGGAAATCTGGACTCAGAACAGCTTGGGGATTCAGGCTGGAGTGACCCTTCTAGTTCTTGCCACCAACCCAGGGAGACCTTCCCTAAACATCCTTTCTAAAATATTGTCCCCTTTCCTGTGAGTTACTCAGTCCACCCCCACAGTCAGTATCATTTTCTTCATAGCACTTATTACCTCCTTGAATATGAATTTTCTTTCTGGGTTGATACCTGTTTTTGCCAGGAGAATACAAGTGCCATGAGGGCAGAGACACTGTCCCCAAACTGAAGTAGTACATGTTGGCTGAATAAATGACCCATTCAGCATCAGCTTTGGCCACATCTCCTCAACTATTCTGCAGGCAGCTTTTCCTCTATCTGGAAGGCTCTCATCCCTCCCCACAATACACTACCCCCATTCATTATCTCCTGAGCCCCTGGCCATCCTTCTAAGCCCTATCTTGATGGCCCCAGTCAGAAAATTATTCTTCCTTCCTTCAGTCCCTTGCGGTTTTTACTTCTATTATGTTAGTCACACACACCCCTAACCCAGCCCTCCAAATAGGTAGTGATTAGTTATTTAATTGCACCTTAAGCATCAAATACGTGAGTGAATGGGCACCGAACACTATACTTGGGACTAAGCAGATTTTCTGACAAGCTTGGGATCTAGTCACCATTTATAAACAATTAGAATGTTATTTCTTTGGAGGTTACTTATAGAATTATTTTAGTTCAAATACTGCTGTCATAACTACTTCATGGATGGGTGCATGCATAGGTCAAACTCTATAGCCTCTTTCCCATTCTTTTGATAAATGCATGGTTTTATATAACATACACTAGGGATTTGTCTAGACACCATCAGATATGGAGGTGAGCTGAGCATGCTGGATAATTCAAGCCAATGCTACTTAAATAGCAGAAGCAAAAATGGAGTTTTTCCTTTAATTATCAAGCAGTTAGTTGAATCTCTCACTTAAAGTTTCCTATAGGAGACACAATCTGAAACTCAAAAGTGTATTTGACTTTTTCATACACAGTAATCAGCAGGCACTGGGCAACAGCTAATCCTCTCTATCCAAGTTGAGTACATTTCTAAAATAGAGGAGGGTAGCGTGATTCTTAAGCATCCAAAATGACATTTTCCATCCTCCCTCCTTCTCCTCCTCCATCTTAATAATGATTTGCACTTAGGATGTTTTTCAATCAAGAAACTATGTTTTTGTGACATTACTTGGTGACTAGTAACAAGAGGTTGAGAAACTAAAACTCCCACAGAAAAATTTGGGTTTCTTTTTACAGACAATGAAAGATAAAGGGGTATTGGGATTTTGAGTCTTTGAAAATTTTCCATAGTATCCTTCTTTGTGGGGTTGGTATTAGTTAAGTTATGTTACTTGTTGTAACAGACAAATGCCAACAAAACTGTGGCTTAACACAATAGAAATTCATTTTTTCCTAACATAAAGTCCAAAATTGGTGTTTCTGTTGGGCAAGACAGTTCTCTTCCAAGAACCCAGCCTCCTTCCATTTTGTAGCTCCTCCAGCTTCAATGTACGGTTTCCAAAGTTGCTGACAAAGGGGTAAGAAGCATGAAGGATTGTGCCTTTTTCAGGCACATTTTCAAGGGCCATGGCTGGAAAGGCACATTGCATTTCTGCCCACATTCCATTGTTTGTAACTCAGTCACATGACTTTGCCTAACCACAAAGGAACCTGGGTAATGGAGTTAACTATGTGCCTAGGAGAGGAAATGAGTTTGGTGAGTAAGAACCAGACTTTGCCACAGTACTTAACCTCCACCCAGGACATTCTTTCCTCCGACTTTCTGATTCTTTCCAAATGCTCTCCTATTTTCTTCATAAATAAACTCTTGACCCGGAATAGAATAAAAGTATCTAAGAACAAAAGAAAAATAAAGTCTAAAGGACTGAATATGGATCTCTCCTCCTTTTTTAGGGACTCTCGGGTCTACTAGTCTGGCTTTTACCACAACTACTTCTAGTTTCTTTTTCACAGAACTCATTCCTAGCACATGGCAGGTGTTGCTATCATTGCTGTGATTCTGTTGCTCAGTTCCCAAAGCTGTGTACTTTCTGGAAGCAGAAAATAGACCCTGAAGATAATAATTCCTCAGAAGAAATTAAAATGACATAAAATTGGAGTAGCTCTGGAAGTCATGCCAGAGGAGGGGAGAATGTATATTTTGGAAATAGTAGCATACAGACATTAAGGACTTTTTTTCTTTGAAGAGGGGATGTGATGAGACAGAAAATGGCATCATTATCAGAAAATTAAAAATTGCAATTTAAAAACATGAACTGATTAGGCTAATTCTTTGAATTGAATGAGTTTGAGTGCACCCCAGTCACTCACTCAGCTCTCCTTGGGTACTTTTGGGACCATAGACGAAAAGGAAGCTAATAAATTTGAACAGGCAGCAAACCTCTGATGTTCATCACATTGGCACCCAGCCCTTGAGTAACTAAGGTAACCAGGCACGAGACTGAATTCTGAGCCCAGGTAGAGAAATAAAACTAGAGACTTCCTATCAGGATGGAGCTAATATTAGAATATGATTCCGATTAACATCACTTGCATTTTATCTACTTTTGAAAGCCCTAAAATCTGTTTGCTTCTGTTATGTCTAGATGGGCAAGTTCACACCAGATAATTCATTCTACAGCATATCTACAGGATTAAAAAAACAGCTCTAAAGCTTAAATTTCTATTTTTTATTCAGTTATTAGGAGAAAAAAGTTGATTAAAATGTCAAGGTCTTTTAAGTAACTATTAATTTTTGAATTTCAATCATTTTTATTTACCTTCTGCAGAGAAAAGATAAAGGAAAAAAGAGTGACACTTATAATGTATGTGCACTGAAAATACAACCATGCCTCTTTGTTAAATCACTTTGTGCGAATTATTTCATTTACTCTGATTATTTGTGAAATTTTATCATGAGATTGCCAGGTGAGGTACTGACCCTGCCTCTAACCCAATGTGGACTGGGAGAAAGTGGCACCAGCCCCTTCCAGCTGTGACCTACAACCTTTGCTCTGGTCCCTGCAACAAGGCACACATATTTTTACACTTGAGTTTGATAGGTTTAAAAAAAACAGGGACTAAGTGGGAAGATTTAGGGCATTGAGGGGGGAAAGAAAGGAGTACACTGGGTGATAGAAATTAGCTCTTAAGAGAGGAATTTTCTCTTTCCTACTGTTTATTTTTGACATGAGATACATTCACAAACTTCTCTCATAAGACATTGATTGTCTTCAGTGCAAACTGTTGGGAGCTGCAAGCTACACTATCCATTCACATCCTCAAACTTATCTTGTGGCTGTTATTGCAGATTTACTCCTCACTCAAATTCTGTCTCTTCTCTAGGGAAGAGGGAATGAAAAGCAAAGAGGAAAAGGACTGTGGTGCGGGTGATAAAACCATGATAATTCACACTTGGTTTAAAAAAAATCTTCTCACATTTCTCAGTGTCTACCTTGGAAGAGTGTTCACTGAATACAAAACTGGTTTCCTACAGCCTTTTTTCTCTCCATCCAACTCAGCCAGGACATGGTGTTTGCTCCATTTTTCTAAGGTCCCTCAATGAAAACAAGAGGCATCTACAAAAAATTCCGCCCAAAATGTACTGTCTGAGGGCCCCGGCATTCAAGGCCCTTGGCATTGTTGACAGAGGAGCTAGCTTCTGATTTCTAAATACATTTGCCACTTGGTTGCCAGCTGGAGAGACCGAAAGAGGCTGAGGGCATGGAGAGCTGCATTTTCTAAATGGTTTCAGGCCCCTGGCATTTCAGCAATAGGTAATACAAAACAGATGTTGGTGCTATGCTCCACTGGCTTTCAACTGAGGGCCTGCCTCAGTCCATGATTAATCACCTGTGCTGGGGGGCAAAAAAGTTCTACCTGGTCTTTTTGTGTGTGTGGACCTAAGGTCAGGGTTAGCAATCAAGGTGACAGACATTGCCTCTCTGCCTTGCTGTTGCTGCTTACCTACATGTGTGACAACTTGGGTTTGTCCAATAAATGCAAAATTAGCCAACAAACTGAACTCTAGTTAAGAGGGAAAGTTTGCCTGGTTGTGCAGAAATAGCTAGCAAACTGTTCCAGAACCTTCTGCCCCTTCATTTACTTTATCCAAAGAGTTAGCCAAGGGTAGACTTTTATGAAAGCTCAGTAAATTCTGCAGTTGATTTGAGTCTTTAAAAAATTTCCCTAGAAAGAATGTAAAGAGAATCTGTGTGTCTTTTAGATGGCACTGGGGCAAAAGATAGTGCAGCCACTTCCTTCCAGCCGTCCCACAAACAAGATATCCTTTTACATGAGCCCTACTGGAGCATCCTCTTCACATTTGCTTCCTCTGTGTGGTTGGACCCTGAGATGGGGGAGTGGTGATGTAATACATATGGAATTCCATGTTGGTTCAGTACAAGTGGGAAAGGAAAGAACATTATTCCATCTGTAGCATCTTCCAGGGTAAAGGGGAACTGGTATTCCACACTGGCCTTTGTTTTTCCTTCCTACAGCTGGGGAGGATTAGGCAGGTGGATTTGTGCCTGAGGAATCCCAGTGTGTGGGTCTGGGCTAGAGAGATTGTATTTGCTTTCTATTTCTACATTACGAATTACCACAAACTTAGTGACCATTGAATATATCAGTTTCCTTGGGTCAGGAGTCTGGGCACAGTGTATTCTCTGCTCAGGTTCTCATAATGCTGAAATCAAGGTGTCAGCAGCTGCTGTTTTATCTGGAGCTCAGGCACCTCCTCCAAGCTCACATGGCTGTGCCAGAATCCAGTCTTTTGGGGCTGTAGGACTGAGATCCCATTTCCTCTCTGGCTGTCAATGGGAACACTCTCAGCTTCTGGTGGCTGTTTCCGTCTCATGAGGGCCCCTCCATCTTCAAAGCCAGCAACGGAGAGTCTCCCTCACATCAAATACCCCGCCTCTCTCTCTCTCTTTGAATCTCTTTTAAAACTTCAGAGATGTTCACCTGTAGCTAAGACCTAATCAGGGCTCTCTTAATTAGGACTTCATTACTGGTGAACATCTCTGAAGTTTTGTGCCCTTTGTAAAATAGGAGGACTTTATGTAGTTAAATTCTCTGTGATCATCTGCTTCAACTTGAGCACTGAGAATGAAATTATTCTGATAAACATGTAATTCTTAAAAATAGGAATATATGGAGGACATGTCTTGGGCACCAAAAAGACCAAGAAGGAGACCGGGATGGCCAGGTTGGCTGTAGGTGCCGCAGGTCAGTTATGTAGACAAGAGGGACCCAGTTTTAGAGAGCAAATCCAAGTCAGTGAGTCCAGTCTTTGGTTCAAATTAATAGTTTTCAATATTTGTGAACCATAGAATTTTTCAAATAAATGTGTATGAAAGTATATATATATATTCTGTAGCACTCAAGTTATGTCAGACACCCTACTAACTGCTTAATATTTAATCCTCATAACAGTATGCAGTGGGCATTATTATTATTATCCTTGTCATGATTCCCATTTTACAATGAAGAATCCAGGTCTCAGAAAGAGGAAGTACCTTGCCCAAGATGGTAGAGTTTACTTTGAACCCAGCAAATTGGCTTCATACTGTTTGAGTGCTTGGCTGAGAAGTCATTGTCCTGGGCACAAGGCAAAAGTCTGGGGGGCTTCCCCATCAATTTTTCCCCATACCCTCCTCCCTGAGGCCTGTTCAGTGCATCCTACCCTAGCAAAGCTCTGGAAACCAAAAGGTTTTAATTCTGCAGGCAGCTGCCTTGGATGGGGCTTCCTGGTGGCCACCTTCATTTGCACGGTTTCTCAGAGCCCTTTCAAGGAACCACATTAACACAATTACTCAGCCTAGTATCTGTCTTTTGCCAATTCCTTTGTCTTCTTGCCACAAATTGGAACAGTTGTCGACACAGCTCCTCGCCCATTTCAGACATTTGCTGCCACCTTGGCTTCCTGACTAGTCTTGCTACCTCCAGCTTTTCCCTCATCCTGATCCATGCACTATACACTATGAGCTTTGTCTTCCTAACCCCCTCAGAGCATGTCATGTTTACTTACAATGCTTCCAGGGCTCTCTAATACCCATCAAAAAATTGTGACTCTCAAGGTGGCATTTTTAGCTTATGATGATCTAACTCTACTGATCTTTCCCATGACTGGAATCCAAACATTCTAGGCAAGTACTCATCCCTTTCCTCCCCATCCCCAAACTTGTGTCCACAAGATGTTAAGTTACCATCTCTAGGTCTCCTTCAAACTCTCAGAGCACTTCTTTTATTGGGCACTTGATTTTCTATCTTGTTGTGATTAATTTTTCTAGTTTATAAGACCCTTGAAAATAGTGGACACACTGATATTTTAATCTTCCACTGAACACAACAGCCACTTACAAATAATAGGTACTAAGTAAGTAGATGCTGAATCAATCATCCTCCCAGAAGTCCTGAGAAATAGATGTAGTAGCTATTACTATCATCCCCATTTAACAGATCAGTAAATTGAGGCTCAGAGATGATGAGTGACTTGCTCATCTCTATAGATATAGAGGCAGATAGAACCTAACGCACAAATCTATTGACTGAGGACAAAAATTTCTTGAGGCTGAATTATTCTCTGGTGTCTTCAGTTATTATCAATCATTATTTTTAGAGAATCAACAAACACTATATAATTTGTTACTTTCAGCAGTGGTTCTTAACTGGAGGTACACACCACAGTTACCCAGTGAGTTTTTCTGAAAGGTCCAACCTAGTCCTTCTGGAGCAGAATGTCTGCAGAGGGAGGTCTACTATGTGTGTGTGTGTGTATATATATATACACAGATTTTTTTGAGACGGAGTCTCGCTCTGTCGCCCAGGCTGGAGTGCAGTGGCGCAATCTTGGCTCACTGCAAGCTCCGCCTCCCAGGTTCACACCATTCTCCTGCCTCAGCCTCCCAAGTAGCTGGGACTACAGGCACCCGCCACCACGCCCAGCTAATTTTTTTGTATTTTTAGTAGACACAGGGTTTCACCATGTTAGCCAGGATGGTCTTGAGCTCCTGACCTTGTGATCCACCTGCCTCAGCCTCCCAAAGTGCTGGGATTACAGGTGTGAGCCACCGCACCTGGCCTACTATGTGTATTCTTGAAAAAAAAATTCTAGAAACCCTGATGTGTTTCTCTGGTTAAGAATCACTGATTTTGAGGCAAGAGAAAGAAATAAAGGGCACCCAAATAGGAAGAGAGGAAGTCAAACTATCTCTGCAGACAACATGATTATATATATCTAGAAAACCCCATAGTACTGGCCCCAAAGCCCCTCAGCTGATAAACGACTTCAGCAAAGTTGCAGGAAACAAAATCAATGTACTAAAATCACTAGCATTTCTATACACCAACAACAGCAAAACTGAGAGCCAAATTAGAAAAGAATCCCATTCACAATTGCCACAAAAAGAATAAAATACCTTGGAATAGAGCTAACCAGAGAGGTGAAAGATCTCTACAATGAAAATTACAAAACACTGTTCAAAGAAACCAGAGAAGACACAAACAAATGGAAAAATATTCCATGTTCATGGATAGGAAGAATCAACATCATTAAAATGGCTATACTGCCCAAAGCAATTTACAGATTCAGTTCTATGCCCATCAAACTACCAATGACATTCTTTACAAAACTAGAAAAAAAAAGATTTTAAAATTCATATGGAACCAAAAAAGAGCACAAATAGCCAAGGCAATCCTAAGTAAAAAGAACAAAGCTGGAGGCATCATGTTACCCAACTTCACACTATACTACAAGGCTACAGCAACCAAAACAGCATGATACTGGTAAGAAAACAGGCACATAGACCAATGGAACAGAATAGAGTGCTCAGAAATAAGACTGCATATCTTCAACCATCTGATCTTCAACAAACTTGACAAAAACAAGTAATGGGGAAAGGACTCCCTATTTAATAAATAATCAGCATCATTTATTAAATAGGGACAAATATAAATAATTCTGCCATAAAGCCACATGCATGCGAATGTTCCTTGCAGCACTATTCACAATAGCAAAGACATGGAATCAACCTAAATCCTTATCAATGACAGACTGAATAAAGAAAATTTGGTACATATACACCATGGAATACTATGCAGCCATAAGAAAGAACAAGATCATGTCTTTTGCAGGAACATGGATGGAGCTGGAGGCTATTCTCCTTAGCAAACTAACACAGGAACATAAAACCAAATACCACATGTTCTTACTTATAGGTGGGAGGTAAATGATAAGAACTTATGAACACAAAGAAGGAAACAACAGACACTGGGATCTGCTTGAGGGAGGAGGGTGGGAGGAGGGAGAGGAGCAGAAGAGAGAACTATTGTACTGGGCTTAACACCTGGCTGATGAGATAATATGTACAACAAACCCCCACGACACGTGTTTACCTATGTAACAAATCTTCACATGTACCCCGAAACCTAAAATTAAAATTAAAAAAAAGAATCACTGATTTACAAGGGTTCCCAGAAGGCCCTCAGCTTCCCATATTAGCTCATTTAATGTGTAAAATTACATAATTAATGGCTTGCTAAAATATTACTCTCTATTTAAATGCAAAGTAATATTATATCTTATCATTCATTTTATAAGTATTCAGGAAGCAATAATACTATGCAAATGTCTACATCTGTCTCATGGCACCTATTTTTGGTTATATATTATTTGATATCTGCCTTGCCTCCTGTTAGATCATTTGTTCCAAACAGTGTCAGAAATTTTTCATCTTCTATTGCCACCTCAGCAGCTGGCCTTGCTCCTGTACATAGTGAGTACTTTTCATTTGTGAAGTGTATAACTCCGTGAATGATGGAATTCACGCCTCATCATGAGCGAGTTTACCAGTTTTTCCAAAGAGCCAACTTTGATAATCTCCTAGGCACTGCCAATTTCCAGGTCAGCTGCGTAATGCCTTCATGATCTCCAAGCCTCTGTTTCCTCATCTGTGAAGTGGGCCCAAAAAGCCAGTTCCTGGCTCACAGTAGGTGCACAAGAAATGTCCATTCTCATCCTTGCTTGGGGATTAAATAGCTAACAGTGTATCTGAGCAGCTGGTGGGAGGTGGAGGCAGGGTGTTTTCCCAGAGCCCTCGAAATCAGGCCATGCCGACGGCTGCCCACCCCTGATGTCCAGCCTGCTCCTGCGTGCATTCCACAGGGGCAAGACTGAGCAGCCTGGAGAGCCCTTGGAACATGTGTATGTGACTATAAAACATGCTGTAGCCCTGGAATCCCGACATCAAAAGGGAGAGCTTCAGTGCCTGATAAAAATGTGCATTCCTCTTAGCAAACCACTCCAAATGTTCTTTTCTCCACCCCACTGGGAAGCTTGTCAGTGCTAATGTGATTCTTATGATTCTTGCTGCTCTGTAGCCTCTTGATCTTTACCGAGATCTCTCTGCCCCTGAGTGTGTTGGAAACAAAATGTCCTGTCTAGTGTTCAGTGCTTAAAATAACAGACGCTGGCTTCCTGCTGTCCATTGAAACTTTACTCCAAGGTCTCTCCCCATCACCCTCTGCCCCCTTGCCAAGCCAGGGGAAAAAGTCCAGGGTAAACTGGCAGATAGAGAAGCAGGGAGGGGCAGGGGAAATTAGGCATTCTTAGACCACTGCAGGCATTCTTTAATATCAATTTGATTTTCCCTGGGTTAATTTTTCAGAAATATCAACTTCTTGAGATGTGAGAAATGTTTTATGGAATGTGACTTCCCATCTCTAAAGACAAGGACCTCATTTTCCAAGCAATGCTGCCTAGGAGCATGTATGAGGTCATGCAGTCTGTATTCTGGACAGTGGTCATATGCTAAATAATTGAAGGAGGGAATGAGCTGGGTATATTTCTGAACATATATTTTCAAGCCTGGGAAATAGTAAAATAAGTCATCCCATGGTATCTGGGCATATTCATGTTTTCTGTTAGAAAACGAGATTGCAAAGTCTGCAGAAAATAGACCATGACAATGGTATTGGCTCACAAACTCACAAACTCGTCAACCCCATCTCTTTTGCTTAGGATTACGGGGGAAATGCATTCTCTTTTTTTGCATGCCAATGGTTTAACAGAGAAGAAATTTTCCTTCTTTAAGACAGGTCATTCTGGTAGTTTCAGCCATCTGTAATTCCTTCTGGGCCTCTGGGAGACTGAGTTGTCCTAAACATATTTTTGGAAATGCCACTGATCATTGTTTTTATTAGGCAACTGCAAAGCTTTGTAGTAAGAGGATTTGTGTTTTATTTGTTTTTCTTCCCCTGACCCAGCTGGTTTTGTTTTAACAGCATTGGAGGGGAGGTTAAAGTATTTGTGGCCTCCGTTAACCTAGCCTGTCTCTCAAAGCCAGCAAAGCCAGAAATCAGAAGAGATAGAACAGGAACAGACAGGTCATCAGCCAAGATAGGTACACCCTTGATTTAACCACCCTCAGGGGTGGGGTCGACAGGGAGGTTGATCTTAAGATGAGTGAAAGCTTCGGAGCATGTAGCTGTCGGGAGAGCAGGTCACCCCCACGAAAAGGTATCTCAGGAACCTGAGCACTCAGGAACTGCTGGGAAGTAATCATGCCAAACAAGAGGCTACCACATATGCCCATTTTTATTTGCCACACCCAGTGAAGGAGCATAGCTCAGCCAGGCTGCAATCAGATACCCAGAAAAGGCCATGCATGGCCCTAGGGGTGGACCAGAAATGGCAGCTATTTCTGAGACATCCCAGTCTGCTTGGCTGAACCTTGTTAAAACCAAAACTTATGCCAGGTCCCATCCCCAGAGATCCTGATTTAATGGGTCTGGGGTGCAGCCTGGACATAAGGTTTGCCAAGCTCTCCAGATGACTGTGAGGTGGCACTGAGGCTGCAGAGAACTATTGCCCAGCAGAAAATGGCAATTCCCCTTTCAACGACCTACTAAATGCCAGATGCAGTAGTAAACACTTTTCCCACATTAATTTCTTGATTTCTCCCAATTTTCCTGTAAGATAAGCTTATCTCTAATTTACAGCTAAAACTGAGATTTTTAGATTTTTAGGCTGTTCAGGTGGAGTTTGATTCCCATTCCACTTAACTCCAAAGCCTATTCCTTTTCCACTCAACAGCCTCCTCAGAGAATCCAAAATATGACAAAATAAATACTTACGGAAACTCTCCAGAGGGCTACATAAGAGATTATTTCATTCACTTATTTATGTGAGTAGGGACTTTCCCTGACTTCTGTGTAATATGTAGAAGAAAGATCAGAAACTACTTAATTGGAGACTCTGAGTGTCTTGAAGGGGATGTGGCCGCAGTGCCCAATCTCCAAAGCTTCCCTTTGCCATCCTAGCATGGCTGTCCCTGTACAAAAGGACATGCACCAAATATTGCTTCTGCTTTTGCAAATCACTCTTCAAGCAAGAATCTCAAAGCCCAACATAATTAATAAAATCATTTGCATCCTGTTTAGATGAGTAGCGTTTTATAGGTACAAATTCCACCTCTGTCCCCAGGCCTTCCAAGAGTATGAGAATGTTTTCAATTTTAAAGAATGAGCAATAGAGTAATTGAAAGGAGCTGTATCTTGGCAAACGCAAAAGACCTCAAAGGCATTTGTAGTAACCTATATGAGAAAGCGTGGCAACCACAAAGTGTGTCATAATGGCTTGTCAGCCATGCTGTGCTAAATGGTTTAAAGATAGGAAAGATAGGGAAGAATAAAACATTTAGTTCTTAGGAGTCAGATACCCCTGGATATCATCTGTTTGGTCAAGTCTCTGAAGGATCTGGAAGCAGGGAAATGGTGACATTAGCTGATGATCCAGTTTCTTGGGTTAATCAAGGAAGTAGGGACAGCCGGGGCCAATTAAGTAGCTAGGCAGCCAATGATAGATGAATCTTTATAGGCAAGCGCAAAGATAATGCCGTTGGGAAAAGCAATTGAAGTCATTCAGGCACTTCCAGGCCAGGAAATCCTCCTAGTCTTCAAGGGGGAACATGTAGGAATCATCAGGACCAGCCTGATGAAGTCATCTGTTCATTGTGTAGCTAATGATCCGCAAAAGTGCTGAATGCACACGGGGACAGGCCATATGGAATACATTTTGGTGGCTGAGATGTATCTGTGTGCCTTGATTTCCATCACCTTTAAAATAATCCTTACCATAGCCCTCTTTTCCTTTCCTTCTGTCCACAATCTCCCCCTACTCTTTATGTTCTTAACTCTCTAAACACAGTTTCAATGTATGGGTGATTTTTCTTAAGTAAGGCAAATATTCTCCTTCTTAATTTCTAGTTCTGCACTTCCAATAGGCTCTGTAAACATACAAGTTTCCAAGGGACACATCAGCATGTTATAAAATTCCTTTTGTTTTTTTAGCACAAAGGAGACTGTGTCTAAGCATATATATATACACAGATGTTTCTACACATCTCTGGATTCCTTACTTGTGTTCACATTGCAGATTTAGAATTGGGGATTTTGAAAGGAATATGAACTAAGAAACCATACTTGGAACTGCCTATCTCTTTCTTTAAAACCAGAGTTCCATCCAGGGACTCCAAAGTAAAGGTTTTCAATGAGTTGTCATGTTGATAAAACCAAGGAACACTATTCTATGTCCGGCTTTGTTTTCTCCCTCTCTGGTTGCTGCTATTTTGTCTCCCTTTCAGATTCATCCTACTCCTACTCCTTCCAATCATTAAATGTGGGATTCTTCAATTCCTGTAGTCTCACCTCATTTTTTCTTTTTTAGACAATCCATTCATCTTTCCAGCCTCATCTTGTCCCAGCTTCAACCACATCTTGCCTTGTTCACAACTTCTGTGTTCTTCCACAAATCACAAGACCATTGCACCTGTTTCCTAAGCCTGGAATACTCTCCTCTAGCTTTTTGTGTGGTTAGTACTTGCTTATCCT
The DNA here is from genome assembly GCF_000001405.40 of Homo sapiens. Classification (NCBI taxonomy): domain Eukaryota; kingdom Metazoa; phylum Chordata; class Mammalia; order Primates; family Hominidae; genus Homo; species Homo sapiens. The sequence continues at coordinate 13,150,881 of NC_000020.11, forward strand.
TCGGATCTTTGTTCATTCATCATTTATTGATTTTTTTCAGATTTGGTCCAGTCTCCCTCTTATGAGCTCTCATAACACCAGATAACATTTCTCTACACTGTGCATCCCAGTTGCAATTTTACATCCATTTGTGTGATTATTTTATTAATGTCTGTTTCTCTCACTAGACTATAAGCTCTTCTGTTTTTATATCTTACTGTTCCTATTGTTACTGACTCACCTTGCACTGCCCACCTCTCTTCTTTATAGGTTGCCACAGCTTCTACCAACCAATGGCTTACTCTGTCTCACAGATTCTGCTAATAAGCTTTTTTTCTGTGTCTTTCAATTTCTACTCTTACTACCAACTAAAGTTTACTACCATCCTCTCTAAATTTTTCACATCCACACTCTAATATCAAGAAGATCTGGTTTGTTTAATTTATATTTATTGTCTCTTTTTCAAAGCTCCTATGATAGACCAGTGTATGGCTTCCTTGCTAACACCCAAGTGGACTGCCTTTGGGTCAAGGGCATGCTCCATTCATTGTCTGTGGTCAGGATAGAGGGGCTGAGATGTCAGCATCCCTAAGAAAGAACAATAAGCCGGATGCTCTCTCCATCACAACCTGCCTGCTGGGAGCTGGCAGAGTTGGGGAGGGATCATCCTTGAGAACTGGAGTTGGGAAAAAGAAAGTAACAGAAAACAAGCATGGACAATTGGGGCATTTAGCATCCTCCTCCTTGGTCTGTGTTCCACTCAACTAAATCTCCATTTCTCTGCATATACCATATTGTTAACACAATTAAGGTGTCACAGAAGTGAAGTTCATTTAGGCCTGATGAGCAAAGGAAAACTTAAAGGAATATTTGAAGTATTTTGGGAGTGATAGAGCCTAGTGAAAAAATGTTAGATGTCTGGGTAAAGAAAGTGCCCTTTGGGTGCTTGTCTACACCTGGTTCACCTTCACTCCTTGGACACAGCCCTTCAGGACCTCTACCTAAAGTGAAGGGGGCCCTAGACTCCAACCTAGCGATATCCTATGCTAGTGATACCTTACCTAACCGCTCACAACATGAGGCTGTCAAACACTTGCTCAGCCTTCAACTCTCAACTGCCTCTACTAAAAAAAAAAGATATAATCATAATCCAAACAGCTGGCAGAAATGAGAGTTTTATTGATCTTCAGAAGAACCAATGACCACCATCCCTTACCTGGGTAGAGCATTATAGTGGAGGGGCTAACAACACAGATTCTGGAATCTAGGATTCTAGAATCCAATTCTGGCTTGGCCACCTACCAACTATGTAAATTTGTGTAAGTTACTTGGCTTCTCCTTGCGTATAACATAGGATTACAGTTCTTACACTAATTTGGTTGTTGTGATGACTAAATCAATAAATGTCAAGAGCTTATAACAGTGGTGACATTACATATGGGTGAGCTATAATTATTGTCGTTATTACTATTGTCCTTTAGAGGCTACCTGATCCAATTAGTAGCCACCACCTGAATTACTCATGACACATTTGGTTATAAGAGGCAGAAGAGGAAATGTATTGGCTGACACAGCAGGGACGTCCAAAAAAATGGTCTGGCACAGCTGGACCCAAAGGTTCAGATGATCCATCAGGACTCTCAGTGTCCTGCGCAGTGGCTTCTATGTGAGTCAATATCATTCTCAAGCAGGCTTCCTCCAGGTTAGGACAAAGATGTAGCTTGATAATTATCCCATGCTTAGACTTCTTCCTCAGTGGATCTAAAAGAAAGACTCAAATAGTCCCTAGTTGTGCTCCATCATCAAACCAATAATCAGGGGGATGAATTATTCCAACTGATTAAGACTGGCCCTCATACCACCTTGTAGAAAAGAGGAAGGGCAGGGCCAACCCTACTCAAACAGTATGGTTCTCTGGAGGAGGATGCTGAACACAAGATGCCCCCTGTTCAACCCTTTGAAAAGGCACAATCTGGGGCCATTTCTCTAAGAAGGGACCAGATGACTATGATTGACATGTTTACTGAAATGTTTACCCTATTTCCATCTGAAGAGTTACAAACACCCATGAGTGATGTTCAAAATATTGTATAACCTCTAGAGCAGAATCTCTGACCAGTTCGTCTGAACATCTCACCACTCAGAATGGAGGTCTGCTAAAGACAACCAATAAGACGAAAGACTGTAGTGGCACATTCCTGCCGAACAGCAATCCTGCATCAAATGCAAACTTTGGGCTGATTTCTAGGGGACTTCAATGTTTAATCCTATTCATTCTTATTGAGCAAACACTATCTAGCTTTGGCTGGCTTACTTACCCACCTGTTTTGAAGCAGGACCCGAGTAGACAGGCATCTTCAGGATGGGACTTTCTGCTCTTTCATCACTTTTTCATCTCACATGCGTGAACTCTGCACTGGGACACACACTTAGGACACAGGCTATAAGAGCTGAAGCACCAATAACCTTGACATGGACCCATGTATGTACTTTGCTTGTCTTTCTGTTCTGGGCCAATGTTGTCCTTTTTTCTGGCTTGGGAAAGCAGGGGTCCCCCTCTTTCCTCCCTTCTATTAGTCTACCACCAAATGCCTCAAAAAACAGCCCTAATCTCAGCAGGACTTATCTTTGTCTATGAATATGCTATCCCTACAAATTCAGATTGGATGAAGGATCCTTTGATTAGAGATTTAAATGAGGGACAATTTAATGAGCCAATTCAGCTTAGCTAAAAAGCATCTACCAATATCTGCTATGAAGTGTGGGGGGTGGGGGAAGTGGTTATGTTCCTTCTTATCACACTCCCTTCTCTTGAGTTGATGTTTTTAAGGTACTTTGCACAGAGTCTATACAAAATAGATACCTCCCCTGCCTCCCACCAGCCCTCTAGCGTATCCTGGCTTCAGTTGCTTGCAGCACCTCGTAGAACCCTCCACCTCCCTTCCTGCCTTCCAGGTGCAAGGTAGTACCTGGGCATCAGTGCCCACACCTGCTCCCCAGGAGATATCTCCCTTCCCTACTTCCTCCTCCCAGCTAGTGCTGCTGGCCTGCAGAAAGACTTAAAGATGCTTGCCAAGTTGACCGGACCTTTACTTCCCTCTTTCTAGTGGGAATTGATGGATTTCACGCCTGTCTCTTTTCAGGGCTGCAGAGAGTACAGCAACTTGCGAAAAACACAAGATACTTCAGACAAAGACTGCAGGAAATGGGATTCATTATCTATGGCAATGAGAATGCTTCTGTTGTTCCTCTGCTTCTTTATATGCCTGGTAAAGTAGCGTAAGTATCCAAGGCATCTCATAATCACACCTAAACCCCAAGGTGACCTAAGATGGCTTTTTGGCACAGGCGTTAGATTATGCATCTGGAATGGGGTGAGTGAGTTCAGAATTCACTCGTACGGCTTCTCGGAAGCCACCTGTCACTCTATCAGCTAGACCCTTCCCACAGGTCTTATAGAAAGGGAACCAAAGGTGCTGAGACTGAGCTCTCTCCCTAAATTCAAGTTCTGTGAATTTAGGGAAATCACTTATCTCCCTCAGCCTCACCTGTAAATTAAGCACAATCCTGAGCCTCCTTCTGACCCAAGATCGTTCTCAGGGAGAACTTCTGAAGATCATCTCTCCCCATATTACCATAAAAACAATGTGATCAGGCTCTGTGCTTTCTCCCATTGAACTCTGCAGCCGTCCTCAGAAGAGGACATTCTCATTTCAAGCGTGGGGAAGCTGAGGCTGAGAGCAGTTAAGCAACCTGCCCAAAGTCACACAAGTCAAACAGCAGTAAAACTAAGATGCAAAAACCCAAACTGAGGCTCACATTGAAGCTCATGCTCAGTTTCTCATGCCCTTACTGTGAACCTGTTTGGGGGTTGTTTACTTGATTGCAACTTTGAAACAGCATTAGCAACAACTGCATAAAGAGGAAAACATGACTTTTTGTCAGTTTGGCAGGGACAATTTTATACATGAGCCCTTCTCCAACCTGCTGGAGACTAATGTAATTATACTAATTACATGTTGTTAAAAGGAAGTTAACTGGCAGGGCACAGTGGCTCATGCCTGTAATCCCAGCACTTTGGGAGGCTGAGGCAGGTGGATCACCTGAGGTCAGGAGTTCGAGACCAGCCTGGCCAACATGGTGAGACCCTGTCTCTACTAAAAATACAAAAATTAGGTGGGCATGGTGGTGCATGCCTGTAGTCCTAGCTACTAGGGAGGCCGAGGCAGGAGGATCACTTGACACCAGGAGGCAGAGGTTGCATGAGCAGAGATTGTGCCACTGCACTCCAGCCTAGGTGACTGGGTGACAGAATGAGACCCTGTCAAAAAAAAAAAGGAAGTTAACTAAGCTCCTTTCTCAAGGTAAAATGTTTATTTTTATCTCTGACCAAGCACATGATAGAAATTCATATTCAACATACTACGCATCAGATTCTAGAGGTCCTAACTCCCCTCCAATGTAACCCATTGCTGGAACTTTCTGTTTGACTCTCTAATAGCCTGACTAGATTGGCAGAGTACTTGAAGTATTGAAAAGTACCAATAAAAGAGGTTTGGGTCTTACTTGTGAAAACTCATGGAGGGCAAGACTGAGTTATAAGTTCCTAAAAGACAGATTCTTCAGAGTATGCTCTTGGGTCATTTTACCACAGCAAAATCACAAGCAGTTAAAACACACATGAAGGCTGGGCGCGGTGGCTCATGCCTGTAATCCCATCACTTTGGGAGGCCCAGGCAGGCAGATCATGAGGTCAGGAGATCGAAACCATCCTGGCCAACATGGTGAAACCCCGTGTCTACAAAAAATACAAAAAACTAGCCGGGCGTGGTGGTGGGTGCCTGTAGTCCCAGCTACTCGGGAGGCTGAGGCAGGAAAGTGGCATGAACCTGGGAGGTGGAGCTTGCAGTGAGCCGAGATTGCACCACTGCACTCTAGCCAGGGCAACAGAGCAAGACTCCGTCTAAAAAAATAATAATAATAATAAGTTTTTTAGCATGCCACATCATTCCCACCAGTTGGCCCTTTGTTCACAGATCTGGGTCAGGAAAACATTGCATGAAGTATCTGAGGACATAATGTGCTACAGACATGTTATATATCATACTGCTCTGTGATAATGTTAAGGAGGGTTGACAACAGTGATTGAAAGTAGCAGACAATTCAAAGATCTTTAACCATCTGATTTTTGAAGACACATACAAACACACACACACACACAGACACACATACATTTATTCAAAATGATTGGGGAAATGATGTGTGTTGGAAGAAATATTCCAAACTTGGCTCAGGTTTATCTAATATTTTATCATTAGCTCAAAAGAAGGCACTGAAAATAAACTTGTCCAAGGTATAAAACACATAATTCTGGAGTGTTACAATGACAGTAGGGAGTGTTCTGGATAGTTCCAACTTTAATAATAAAAGCCAGAAGTAGAATCCCAACAGGTTGGAAAAATGAACCAACCCAATGAGAAGAGTCCGTAAGTAGTGAAAACAAATGCATGTAACTTCAAGAATTCACACAATATGCTATGAACGATATGCTTCATATAAAAGTTATGCTCTATGGTGTGATGAAAGGTTTGGAATCAAAAAGAAATTTGATTCTTCCTCTTCCTAGCTGGGGATTCTTGGACAAGTTACTCAGCTTTCTGAAGCTCCAGTTTTCTCATTTATAAAACGGGATATGATAGTATCTTATTTCATAAGGTTACTGTGAAGATTAAACAAAATGATGTCCATACAGCATTTGGCATGTTACCTCTTATATAAGAGCTATTCAGTGTTAGCTTTCATTATTAATAGCATCAATTAATAAAGTCATTAATAATGTCATTTTTAGTAATGTGTACAAAGCACTTAATATAGTAGTTGGCATGCCATAAGCATTCAATCAGTGGTAGCCATTTCACTACTACTCTGCAACAATGATGATCATTATCAGTTTCAACTGAGCGCAAGGTTGAATCACCACGGTTGCATGGCTCTCCAAAATAATTATTACAATTTTTGGTTGCATTACTCAAAATAAAATGTCCAGAAAAAATAGTAGGTAAAGATCCTGCTACACTCTGCTTCCATATTGCTATATTAGATGCTGGATAATATGTCAAACAATCTTGTTTCTTTCAACTTAAGATTGTTTTTTAAGAAGAGCTAATATCACAGAGTACTAAATATATGCTAAGTAAGGCTATTAGACCTCAGCGATTACCCACGGAGGGTAGGATGTTTAGCCCTAGTTTATAAATGAAGATGCTAAGACTTAGAAAGGTCAAATTACTTTCTAAAGCCGGGTACGGTAGCTCATGCCTGTAATCCCAACACTTTAGGAGGCTGAGGCAGATGGATCACCTGAGGTCAGGAGTTTGAAACCAGCCTGGCCAACCCTGTTTCTACTAAAAGTACAAAAAAAAAAAAAATTAGCTGGGCATGGTGGCAGGCACCTGTACTCTCAGCTACTTGGGAGATTGAGGCAGGATAATCGCTGGAACCCGGGAGGTGGAGGTTGCAGTGAGCCAAGATCATACCACTGCACTCCAGCCTGGGCAACAAGAGTGAAACTCCATGTCAAAAAAAAAATTACTCTCTAAGACTCACACAGGTTGTAGGCAGCAGAGCCCAGAATTCAAAGCCAGTTCCATTTGCTTCATAAACTAGAGCTCTTTTGAACACACAGCACAACCTCTCAAGCTTTAGTCCATAGGAAAAAAATGCACATCTCATTAAAGCAACACAGAGTCTAATTATTTTTAATGTCATCATTGGTGATTCAAAAGGCAACAATCACTACAAACAGAAAAAAAAAAAATCTGGGTCACCTAAGGAAACAGAACAGGTTAGTTACAAAAGGTAATATTATCTATTACAGGTAGGAGTTGCTGGCAAGAGTTTGCCCTGCTGTCTGGCTGTGTTTCCTTCTGTGATATTTCTTTGTTGGAAGTTTATATGTAGAGACATTTTTTGAAATAGGGCGTTAATTGTATAAGCCACTGTGGAAGCACTTCTTCCATTTGGTCATTTAAAAACCTTTGATTTTATTAAAGAATGGTGATCTCTCCACATTTCCTACTATGCAGAATGAAAATATAGTCTGTAGCCAGTTATCCTTTTGAACAAAGCCTTGTTATAACTCTACCACTGGAATCTTCTATAGAGCTGTGCAATGTGGTTTTACCCATAAAACATACACTTAAACAATCAAGAATATATTGTATTTGGTACTTGGTAAAGGGTTTGCATTTTTTCCCCTGTTCATGTAATACACTTGGAAGATGGTGTTATACAAGAGGTAGTGATTCTGCATACAATGCAATGCTAATGTTTATTATCATTATTATTATTTCACAAAGTTTAGTTTCTTTTAGCCTATTGCCAATTGCTTTGGGGAGTACAAACACAGAGGCTCATTATATAAAATTTCCAGTGCAATCATATATATTAACTTAAGAACACTAGCTTTAGTAGTGTAAGGTTTAAATTCAAAAATGCTCCAGGGAGACGCCAGGTTAGACTAATGAATCAACAGAGTCATATATTTTGCCCTGCATTCTTTGGCAAAACGTGCTTCCTTTGGCACAAAGAGAAACATGCAGACAGTGAAAGCGGTCTTCTGGGAGTCCTGAAAACTGGCCTGAGATCATGGGTCAGGTGGTTTGTACTCTAGCAATAAAAGCACTTGACTTGTTTCTCAGACAATTATGAGCTCTCATTCTGTGCAGTTCCGTGGGCAGCCTTCCATAGGGTGATCAAGAAAGAGAAAGAACAGCCTCTGTTTTCAAGCTTTCTCAGCTAGAAAGCTTCATCTCCTTCTAACCTTCCTAGTTGAAATCAAAGGGCTAATGTTGCCTCGCCCAAGCCAGGGAGCCAGAGAGGCTGTGTGTCTTGTGGGTCCTGCAGTCTCCATTGCTTCATCTGATAACCTATGTTCTATCTGAAACAACCAAAAGGCAGACTGCTCAACAGCAAAACAAGTGAATGGAAGAGCAGGCTTATTCTCCACGTCTGGTTCAAGAATTCTTCCTGAGCTGTGATTGGAATGTTTCTCTGGTGCTGTCAGCTTCCAGCCTAAAATAATACACCAGCAATCTCTTAATGCTAAGAACAGATCTGAGGCATTTACCTCACTTATGGGTAAAGTCACTCAGTAGTTAAGTTTTCCTGCAAAGACTAACAGAGCCCAAAGGGGAAAAAGAGTCACTTGGGAGTACATGCCTTTTTGTCTGACCTTGGCTCTCAGCACAAGATATTTACAGCCTTTGAGCTTGATATTCTAGAATTGTTACAGAGATTAGCTCTGGAAAAGAAATAGACTAGAAGGATAAAGGGAAGGAATCATAGCTTATGAAGGTTTTACTCTGCATCAGACCGCTTTCTAGTTCTATGACTTAACGTCCTATAGGCTGTAAGGTTCTCTGCGTGAACACTTCTTTCCTGGCCTCCTTTCTGCCCCATTCCTCTTAAACTCAGTTGCTGAGTTTATTATCCCTGTGCATCCCTGGGCATGTTCATTCACATATGAAACAATCAGGAGACCTTGCTATTTCTTATCTCTGATTTGATGGAAAATATAATCTTTGGCGCTGCAGTGGGAATATTGGCTTGGGGTTGGATACTACAGACCCTCTGATCTTGGTCTTCAAATTATACTCATTAAGTATAGGCTCATTGAAATTTCCACATTGTATTATTGGTATTAAGTTTATAAAACATATAGGTTTACAATTAATATAGATTCTTTCTTTATGGAATTGCATTATAGGAACTATTTGGTTTTTATACCTAGGGACCCTGCAGATGGATTTTATATCACTGCAGATTTGTTAAACCAGAGTCATAAACATCAGCATTTTCTGCTTGGTGTCAAAGACTCAATATCCACAATTATCTAATGAGTGTGTCAGACCCATAATACCACACACACACCATCATGAGTGGCACCAAGTGACTGACTGCCTGTTTATTTGTCAATTTTATTTGACAGAAGTTTAAAAACTTCAATCATCTTCCACTTATTATCATAAAAAAGAAAAAAGAAAAAAGAAAAAATCAATTAGCCATATTCCTTTTTTGTCAGGATAATTTTGTCTTTTCCCAACTAACCACTTTTTTTTTTTCTTTTTTTGCTTTTCCTTAAGGGCTTTTGCAAGGCATATGCTAGAGAAAAAAATTGGAGTGGTGGTCGTGGGATTTCCAGCCACTCCCCTCGCAGAAGCTCGGGCTCGGTTTTGTGTTTCAGCGGCACATACCCGGGAGATGTTAGACACGGTGAGTACACCACAGGCCAACGGGATCTCAGTACCAGTACCTTGGATTCAAAGCAAGTCCTTTTGTTGAGACAGCTTGGGGTTCTCTGGGTTTCTCTTGGGTTATTTAGGAAAACAACACTGACAAAAGTCACTGCCAAAAAACAAGAGCTCGTCAACAACAGCCAACACTGTGACCACTCAGTAGATAGAAATGAAAATCAGTTTAGTGAAGATTTCAATCAGTGTTTTGGTTTCCTACAAAAGACTGACTGAGTAGCCAAATGTTCTTCTATTTACTTGATCTTAAATGCAAAAGCTGGTCTAAAATGCTGTTTTAGACTTAATTACATGCATCCTGACATTTTTCATAGCCACTAAATCTGCCATAATAAAATATGACCCAACTAAGCAACATGTTGGAAAACCAACAAGAACAAATCTACATTACAGCAGCACCTAAGTGAGGTGGAAATGATTTTAAAATTGCCTTTTATTGTCCCTCGATTTCCATTGTTATGTGAATGAGTAATATCAGAGAACTAAGCCATCTACTCAGTTTGGAGTTAATGGGAAGAGTCACATAACATAAATGCAGTTTTGCAAACACTATTGAGAGTCAACTATGTGCAAACTTGGGGCAAAAAGTCTAGGAGAAGATGCTAATAAACAAGCAACACATATAATACCAGACAGAATGAATGAATCTTGAAGAAGAAATATAGAAAACTGTGGGATCATGAAGGTGGGGTGAATTATTAGAGTGGAGAAGATTCACAGGGGAGGTGGCTTTTGAGCCAGGCCTTTTTAATAAAGCTTATCGAGCATCATTCAAGACTTCCAATCAGTGGAGTGACACAATCATGTCATTATGAAATAAACGTGACAAATGAACTGGAGAGGAAAGGGGCAAAAGGAAAGGATCTAAGATGTAGCTATTTAAACAAAACAAGAGATGACAAGGCTAATGGTAGTGGAAACAAAAGAAACTAATCCATGAACAAATATTACAAATGAATGGAACTGCCATGACTTGACAAATGATTGGATGTGGTGCATATGTGGGAAGAGAGAATCAAAGACAATTTGAGGTCTTTAGCCCTGATGAATAGAAGGATGGTGAAGCACTTAAATGAGATAAGGTATACAGTAAGGAACAGCAAATTTTCAATGGGAGTGGGGGAATAGAATGAGCTCAGTCCTAGACATGTTGAGACTATGTGTCCATGGTCCACCTATAGAAGAAAAATAAGGTTCTAGAGCTTAGGAGAGTATGCAAAGCTGGAACTGCTATAGTTTAGGGAACTGAGGGATCCTTACAGCCAACAGTAGAAGATGTAATTGTCCAGATATGAGCAAGAGTGAACAGGGCAGACTCCTGGGGAGTGCCTACATTCCAGGGTAGATACAGGAATCGCAGGTGGGGACCCAGACTTACATGGAACTAGAGCAGTCAGGAAAGACATGTTCAGTGTAGTATTAAACTCCATACAGAGGAGAAAGTTTCAAGAAGGAGGAGGGTCAAAATGCCCCTCAAAACTGCAGGAAGTTTAAATGCAGTGAGTGATGAGAAGAAACTATTGGATTAGCAATTAGTAGGAACTTGATGTTCCATAGAGTAGGCATTTTAAGGGAATGAAGGGAACAGAAATAATAAAAAAATAAAAGAGTAAAGAGGATAACTTGAGTTTGAAATTATACACGTACACATGTGCACACACACGCACACACACACAGAGTTGCCATGTCCTTCGTCTTCACCAGTATAGCCTCAAAACATAAACCATTGTATTGTACACAGTAGGTACACAGTACAAATTATTGAGTAGCATGTTAACAACTGAGCTAACCAGATTTTGAGATGAGTGAACTTTGTTTTCTTTACACCCTTCTATATTTCCCAGATTCTCTAAAATGAGTATGTATTTCCAGAATGTGAATTTTAACAAATTGTTTCTTTTAAATGAAATGAGTTGGTGTTAAGAAAAGACAGGCAAAACTTTCAAGAAGTCTGACTGTAGAAAGAAAAATAGGTTTAGAAAATACCCTTGAAAATGTAGAAGGCTTGAGCATGTTTACACATTAAGGGAAGAAGACAGTGAAGAGGGGACCTTGCACAGAAGGGAGAGAAGAGAGCATGGCCGGGAAGCAAGTTCCCTGAGATGGCAGGAGGGACACACAGCATGGATGAATTTGTAATTTTGTGCTCCAAGCAGCACTGAGGTATTCATGTATGTGATTCTCTTCACAACTTCTTAATTGCTGCAAAACACCTGCTTTGAAAGGATACTGAGACATCAGTCATCTAGACAAATGCCTCTAAACTGTTGAGATCATGTGCCCATCTCAACAGAAAATTTTGAGCAGTTCCTTAATGTACATGTAAGAGAAAATGGAAAATGACCCTGATGAACAGCCAGTACATTAAGGTAGCAATTGAACCTAAAGGCTCATAGACTAGAAATAATATTAGACAAATGCACTCTGCGACCACATTTGGACAAGACAGAGACAAGGCCACAATACTTAATGTCTCCCTCTTCTGACTGACATGTGTGACAGTTGCTCATTCACCAATAACAACTCTAGCCTCGCTTTCATTCTCTCGCCTTTCAGATAGAAATTATAAATATATAGCCAGCCAGTGAACTGCTCCCACTTCTTAACAGCATCCAACCCAGAACTGGTCCCTGCTTCCTTAGAGTCATCTCAGGCACAAGCTCAAATGCAGTGAGAAGCCACTCCCATCTTCCTGTCACTAAGATGCCCACGGTTCTTCTGCAGTGTCCTCCCTCTCCCATCTCAGCAAGCTAAAGAAACCTAACTCTGAGCACGAGTGTGTTCTGGGTGGTCTTGGATCAGCAGACATTAACATAAATTCTTTATAAATGATCTATGCAATACCAATATATTACGTACATTATATAAGAGACACACAAATAAAAGTTTAAAAGGTTGAGATAAAAATGAATAGAGGTCGGGCGCAGTGGCTCACGCCTATAATCCCAGCACTTTGGGAGGTTGAGGTGGGCGGATGACCTGAGGTCAGGAGTTCGAGACCAGCCTGGCCAACATGGTGAAACCCCATCTCTACTAAAAATACAAAAATTAGCCAGGCGTAGTAGCATGTGCCTGTAATCCCAGCTACTCGAACTGCTGAGGCAGGAGAATCACTTGAACCCGGGAGGCGGAGGTTGCAGTGAGCCGAGATCATGCCACTGCACTCCAGCCTGGGCAACAGAGTGAGACGCTGTCTCAAAAAAAAAAAAAAAAAAAAAAATAGAAATCCTAATGTTTTCCTCCTGCATCCTCCATAAATTATCTCACAGATGCCCCAAATGTGCAGATCCTTCACTTTGGATACCACTGAACTAGTCCATCCCCCACCTTCAGCAAAGATTGCTAGAAACTATCCCAGAGAGGTGTCATTTTAAAGATAACTTTGGTTACTTTTTCTTAGTACTGAGATTTGATGTAGGAAATTTAGAAAAACAGGGAAGAACATTTTAAATACTCATACTCCTACCACCAAGAAATCAATTACTGTTAACAAGTTGGAGGAAATCTTAATTAATGTCAGTTTGAAAGATTTCCCAAAGAGGAAAGTCCATAAGATCTATTAGTCACCCATTCTAACATTAACAACCCTCACCTTACCTTTTCAAAGCATTAGACCCTAATATTATCTTCCTCCTCATTTGGCAGGTTAAGAAAAACAGGCTCAGAAAGGTTAAAAAGGCATGACCAATACCACAGGATTGGTGATATACTAGAATTGAAAATGACCTTTTTTTTATTTTATTATTAATATACTTTAAGTTTTAGGGTACATGTGCACAACGTGCAGGTTTGTTACATATGTATACATGTGCCATGTTGGTGTGCTGCACCCATTAACTCGTCATTTAGCATTAGGTATATCTCCTAATGCTATCCCTCCCCACTCCCCCCATCCCACAACAGTCCCTGGTGTGTGATGTTCCCCTTCCTGTGTCCATGTGTTCTCAGAAAATGACCTTTTTTTACTTCCTGGATCTCATTTGTTTCATGTGCAAAATGGGGGATACATGTACCCACCTAAAGTAAGAGAGTTGAAACAGACAAGTTCTCAGTCCCTGTGAGTTAAGTTCTAGTATTTTCTGGGACACAGAGATGAGTATTTAAAAGCAGGAGGCCTGGGGTAGCATGAGAGGACAGAGGATGATGTTAATCAGCTCCCGCAACATTCCTCTTTGTTCTTGGCCAGGTGATTTGCTGTGTCATGAAGATATAACTTCAAATGCATTCTGCAACCTTATCTTTTTCTTCCACAAGACTACATATAAGTCACTACATTTTAAAATAAAACCTTTTAAGGGTAAGCATGGGTCACATGTTTTTATTCTTCTCTTCACACTCTCAAAATAAAATAAACATTCATAGTATGGAGTTAGACCACTAAATAAAATTAATTAGCATCTAACATTCCTCTAGGGTCTTAAACCACAACCTAATGGTACGGATCTTGCTTCTTTTCTTTAAAATCAAAGAAGCTAGCAAACTAAGACTGTGTGTCTTTGTGAGGCTTGCTATTAATCTGGGCTCTGCAAAGCAGGGCTACTTAGGTGTTCAATGATAGCTATTGGAAAGCAATCTCATTGCAGGTTTTAGAAGCTCTTGATGAAATGGGTGATCTCTTGCAACTGAAATATTCCCGGCACAAGAAGTCAGCACGTCCTGAGCTCTATGATGAGACGAGCTTTGAACTCGAAGATTAAGTTTCCTGGTCCTGAATGACACATAAAGACTTTGCGAGAAAGACCTCCCTCCTTGCCTCACAAGGAATATAAATGGATTTCTCCCCCTTCCTCAGGACAATTTTGGTTCCCAGACCAGCTTGATTGAACTGAGGGAGACGTTGTTGTTTTTAATGTCTCCAGCTTGGACTGCAGAGACAAAAACATGATTCCAGATTTAAGTCTCTCTTCTTCCAAGTATTCTACTAGAAATACACACACACACACACACACACTTCTGAGAATATTTTTAATGGCAATAAGCCTGTGTTTTAGCTGCTACTGTGCAGACCCTTTCAGGGATTCCAACCAAATGCAAATGAGAGAATTTAAAATTTTTATTCAGTAAGTTCACTATGTGTTTACTTATTCCATCTGCAGATGTAAGTGAGTGTGGTGGACAGTAGCCACCTTCCTTGTTCCACTCATAAAAGCATCAGCTAGATCTCATCTGTATCATGGGAAGTTCCAGGCAGGAGGGTAAAGAAATGTTGTTTCTACCATTTGTCACATTTGGACGTTTTTCACAGACAAGTGTCAAAAGACATAGTTAATGTTTCGAGGGGGAAAGCAGAACTGATCAACTGCGACTAGAGACGTCTTTGAAGGAAATTTTCCTTTTCCTCTTGCTGGTCTCCTACAGTTTTACAGCTGAGCTTTTGAGGTTTGGAAAATTCAAGATGTTTGTTTCATAAGAAAAGGGGCAGAAAGCAAGCACAAGACACTTTTAGGTCTAGACTAAAATGGTAGTTACAACAATTTGAACCTTGTTGGTGCAGTGCACGGTGAATGCTTACCCTGCACAGCCTCTATTACCTTAAGGAATTAGTTGTCATTTTCCTATTGAATTTTGAGTAAATGGTGAAATTCAGTGTCCTTTAGAATCGACTCCCAAGACTATATTTGAAGAATGCATTGATTCAAGAAGGACATTTAAAAGCAAATTCTGACTTTTTCAAGACCAACACACTTGTTTAGGCCTATTAAATTGTACTATCACTTGTTACATGCCCTCTGAATTGGGAGAAAGTGGGCTTGCACACTTTGAGGTAACTAACTGTAATTTACTTGTGTTCTCTCTTTCTTGCTCTCCTTCTCAACATGAACACAAACCTCTATGGAAAAGTAGCC
This sequence comes from Homo sapiens, assembly GCF_000001405.40. NCBI lineage: Eukaryota > Metazoa > Chordata > Mammalia > Primates > Hominidae > Homo > Homo sapiens. The sequence goes on from NC_000020.11 coordinate 13,166,017, forward strand.
TCTTGTTAATCTGATCTAGTTTGTATGGAAAAAGCCCATGGAGAACCTTATCTTTAACAAGCTCCCAGAGGGTGCCCAGATTTGGAAATTCTAGAGAGCAGTGGTGACCTTTTAGCAAAGCTTCTGTAACAGTTCGAATGAGTTGCAGAACATTCCACTCCATCAAATGACACTGTAAACAAATCACTTCAAGAGAGGCTTGGTTTTGTGTGGCACAGATGGACCCAAGCTTTCATGCTGTGCACTGAGATAGAAACTCCACCCGCAGCGCCTGCGATGGATGGAGCAGTGTGCCCTGATGCTCAAAGCGTATTAAAGGAAAAAAAGTGATCAGCATGGAAAGTTTTTATGGGGAAATTATAACTCCAAGTGGGTGCATTGGTTTAAAAATGGATCACAATGATAGAGTTCTTCATGAATGTTTACAAGTTGTAAGGAATACCGTTAGTGAAAGAGGAAAAGAAGTGGGTTCTGAAAATGCAGTTTCCCATCCAATGATTTTGATAACAAAATTCCAACTTTTCTCAATGAAACTGATGCAGTATTATTTGTGCAAATAAAATGTGTCATAAATATGCAAAGAAAGGGAGACATACTGTTCTTATCTTGAATATGTGCATTTAAATGAATTGTCCAAAATGCATAAATGCCTTGCGTTCTATAAAGGAAACAGGAGGTCAAAAAGACAGCGAGATATCTAGTCCTTCCACAAGGTATGGAAAGCAATAAACATCTTCCTTTCTTTCTGGATCTGTCTGTGATGTTTACACACACCTTCACATCTACACTTCAAGTTTTAAGCCCCTAGACATGTGTCTTCATGAGCAGGAATGTCCACTATTATTACTTTCATGGAGGATATTGGGTCTAATTCATTGTGGGAAACTACTTACCTACCCAGCATGGAAGGCAGGGAGGAAGTTAGTCTCTTTTCATCAAGATTCAAGAGTACAGGGGCAATTTATTACACTGCAATGTACAAAACAAAAGGACCTGTTTCTGTTAGAGAGTCCATGTTGAATATACAGGTATGAGAACAACTGTTGATATACAGGTATAATCCAAGTAGAATGCTTCCACAGTGCATTAGAAGGTGCCCAAGCTCCACAGGGCCAATAATATTAGAGTATATGTCATATAGAATAAGGTTAATTAGGAGGGTGATTGTGAATAATGAGATTTTTAATTTTTTTAAGAAAAAGCTCTCAAATGCTAGGCTAATAAGTTCATGATTTTAATTCATGATTTTAATTCATGATTAAAATTATTTGATTATTGAGTCTTGATAATTATATCATCAACCATTACCCTCTACATCACCGCCCCGACCTTAGCTCTAATTATATCAGAGCCAAAAATGTGTCTTTGGTTAGATCTGTTGGAAAAGAGAATTTTCTATAATGTTATGCGCACTCAGCCCTTCTGTTCACATTTACACACATGCACACACACATACACATATGCATTTTTCCTTTACGGAGTAAGCAACTATGAAAATCTGGTTGGTTGAGAAATAAATGGAAGATGTTCTTGAAAATGACCTCAGGAAAGCAGAAGATAAAGGTTCCAGATGATATTTGTAAGGAGGCTATCTCTGTATAATAAGGAAATGGCATAGACTTATTCCTAATCTCATTATGAAACGATGGTGTCATGGACGTTTAACCATATTGCCTTTCAGCATGCTTTGATTTTACAGAGACGACAGGCTTTGGAATTTACTAGGAAGCTGGCTAAAATCCATACCCCTAGGCCCTACACCAGACCTTTACTGAAACATAATAGTTGTAGTGCCCAGGAATCTACATTTTTAACCAGCCTTCCTGCGTGATTCTAATCTATGCCAAAATTTAAGAACATTATTCAAACTCTAATTTGATAAACCAATTGACTCTAATAGCAGGAACCTTGTTCTGATTCTCTTGTTCATAATTAAGTGTATATATACTGGTAAAATTAATTTATTCCACAGTCAACCTTCTCTTCTCATTGGGACATTTTGTTCCCATTTTCCAAGTAACTTCTCTTTCTACAAAAATTGATCCAATATTGAAGAACCATCTGCGATTCATTTGGGTAAAATTATGCCTTCTTCAGTTTTCTGTATCATTCCCTATAAGATGCCCATTTGCTTTGAATGTGGTATCTTTCTTTTCTTTCTTTCTTTTTTTTTTTTTTTTTGAGACAGAGTTTTGTTCTTCTTGTTGCCCAGGCTATAGTGCAATGGCAAGATCTCGGCTCATTGCAACCTCCACCTCCCGGGTTCAAGCGATTCTCCTGCCTCAGCCTCCTGAGGAGCTGAGTTTACAGGCATGTGCCACCAAGCATGGCTAATTTTCTATTTTTAGTAGAGACAAGGTTTTTCCCTGTTGGTCAGGCTGGTCTCGAACTCCTGACCTTAGGTGATCCTCCCACCTCGGCCTCCCAAAGTGCTGGGATTACAGGCGTGAGCCACCGTGCCCGGCCTGAATGTAGTATCTTTCTTCTGTTTTCTTTTCCTGCTCTTTAAAAAACAACCTTCAACCTCTGATTATTTATTCCAACAACAGCTCTTCAGTAGGGTAAAAGTCTTAACAGTTCTTCAAACGAACAATATTCTTTTGTATTTTTCTTCAGAGATAGCAAATGTTATAAATGGCCTACTCTGATTTAAAAACCTAAGTTCCGATGATGATGAAACATTAACTCTTAAATATACATTTTGATTTATAGCAATAATAACAATTGTAACAACAGCAATTAAGAACAGCATCTGGTGAATTCTTGGCAATGTTTCCTGGTCTCAAAACAGTAAGAACAATTTGAAGTCTGTTCTTTAGAATGCCCTACTCAGCTGCATAATGTTTAGAAAATTAAAGAGTCTGTATTTTAAATATTTTTAGGTAATTATTGCGGGACATTGTCTTATGGTGTCCTGATGTACGTGGGGTGTGCATGTGTGTGTGTGTGTGTGTGCATGTGTCTTTGTGTGTGTGAGAAGGACAGAGAGAAATGTATGTTTCACTGAAACATTTGAAACGACCAATTTCACTTTATTGTGCCTGTAAAATGTTAGTTTTAAAATAAATAAAAATAATATGAAAATAATTGATGGTTTTCTGTTGATTTAGTTTAGGTTACCCTGAAAAAAGACTGAGGTAGAGATTTGTATTTAGGAATTCCACTGGGAAAATTGGTAGGGGTGGCTGGAGCTGGCTTGCACTGTGATAAGAACTAATTGTGCACATTTCTTTCTAATTCCTCATTCAGTGACATCAGATTGGTAGCTTGAAATTGGCCACAATGGGAGTATTTACACCATGGAAATTGGCAGACACTACAAGTCAGGGCTCTAGAGAGCTGTCTGTTAAACATTTACTAGCACACCACTGAGACCACCTACAATGGTACAATACAAACGTAAGAGTAAAGGAACAGGATTGGAAAGAGGAAGAATTTGAACTATGATGTTATCATAGCAAAGGCCTCAGCCAATTCCATGGAAACTGGGCAACTGAGATGGTCCTTTAGGGTCAAGTCAAAATGACAAGGATGCCAGATGCAAGCTATCAGTAGAGGTGTGGGGCCAGGCATTACCTTGGGCAGGTCTGTTGAGCTGACAACAATGCCTGGGAAGGGACTCAGCTGTGATTTATTATTTTTTAAATGATTTCTAATTGATCCATTTTTTTTAAAGTTTTATATCAGAAAATGTTAAACATACGTAAAATCGAATAGTATAATGAGCCCACATGCACCTATTACCCAGCTTCAAACATTACCAATTTATGGCCAGTCTTTTCTTCTATTCCCCAACCCATTTCACTCCCTCTCTCACCAGATTGCTTTGAAGCACATCCCAGAAATCATATTATCAGTAAACATTTTACTGAGTATCTCTAAAAGGAAGGGGTGTCTTAATTTATTCTTCTTTTCAACCTCATTAAAAGATAAGTCTTCAGGATAACAAAGGCATCAAAAGGAGTCAAATGTTAACCTTTTCTTTCCCTATTGTATAGCCTGCATGTAAATTCCCTGGATTAAAACTAGAAATTATTTCTAAAGTCAATACGTGGTGTCTTGAAGGACAATAAAGCAATCATTTTTAGACACTTACCACATGCCAGACACGATATTAAGAACTGCAACATTATCTTCCAAGTACTCTTGTAGAGATTAATAATGGCTTCATCTTGGAAGGCAAGTATATTCAAGTTATGAGGGGATTAACAGTGCATAAAGAGGACTTCCAAGACTTTGATGGTAGATTGTTTTTTCTTAGAATGTTTATCCTCTTCCTTATCAAATCAATTTTCTTAAAAAGTTATTTTAGCTAAACGTTATATATTAGCAGGAGTAATTCAATCAAGAATAAGGGAACAAGTGAAACCAGTTTCATTTGGAAAAGGTTGATTCCCATGCCAATCTGGGTTTAATGTAGGGACTGGTTATTCTAATTTTCATTGCATCCTGTGGTCCAAATGGGAGGCTGAATTCTGACATTTGCAAGTCAACTGCTCTGAGAAGTTATCACAGATACAAACCAATAAAATATCCAACAACAGAAGTTCAGAATAGGAGCAAAAGGAGACTTTGTTTTGCTGTGGCATATAACAGCGCTCCCTTTTATTCAGCCCAGCTGCTAATTTTTATATCAAAAGTATTGATTGAAGGGGCTAGTGGTTTTGGCCCTCACCCAAGTTTATTCAAGATCTTTCTTAATTAGGTTTGGGTCGGCTGCAGTGCCCATGGCCAGGGATAGGTCTGGCTCCAATCATCACATCGTGCTCTTACTTCATTATGGGCCAAGAACTAAGGCAAGGAAATGGCTGCTGCTTTGTTTCTCCAGCCCAAATGTGTGGGGTTTTTTCCCAGATCTGAAGCATGCGTGGACTAAAGGCATAAGGAAGACCAAAGGATGTGTAATGGCTTCGCTGTGATGAAATCAATCTACCCTACAACTTAACTATGACCCCAGCATGAATAAGGCTCTGTGTGTGAAAAGTGAATGGGTAGCAATGTGGGGTCATGGAAAATGCTCCTGGCATCATTTGAATAAAAACTTTTCAACAGGCTGATGCAGCCAATCAGTCTATCAGTTTTTTTGCCCTTTTAAGGGCAAAATAATCTCTGCCAACAATACATGATTTCCCCTTAATGTGTCTGTTTTGTAAATAATTGTGGTTGTCATACAACTATTTTTATAGTGTCCATCTCAATTTTATATAATTTACACCAGTCTTTTAAAAAAACGTTATACATGTAAAGCTTCAATTAATCATAGCCACAAATTATAAGCACCTGTAACAAAATAGGTTTCTTTCATATATAAAAATGTGTTAATATTTTAAAATGAAATTCAGTTCCCTCTAAAATATTTTCAACAAAATATCCATGAAGAGTTTTTAACTCTAAAAAAATTATCAAATAAAACTTCAAAATATAGATTTTTAAGCGATGTATTAATGAGACAATTCTAAGTGGGACCAATCAAAGTTAAAGATTTCCTATATAGATGAGGCTATAACTGCTATATACAGTCAATGTAACAGGTACATAATATAGAAAAATGAAAATATTTTATTAAAGTGGGTCCATTTCTAGTAAGATGAAAACTAACATTTTCAAAAGTTACACTGATTATTTGAGCATCTATTGTTTCTAATAGCGAATTAGAGAGGAAGTATGACTGGTATTGACATCAGTCAACATGGCTCTCGATTGTGAATAGAAATAGAAAGCCAGAGATTACCAGTTATTTGATGAAAACCAGCAATACCAAAGTGGGTAGCCAAGGAGAAAAAAATGAGAAATATCTTACTGACTGAAACAGACAATTCCTGGAAAAGTTAACTTTTTAAAAGTTCTAATTATGATCTTTGTAGGTCAACCTGATTGTATAAAGAAATTACATCCACAAAACAAGAATAGGCTGATATGTAAAGGAACCCAGAGTTTATAAAAATTAAAAATATGTAATATTAAAGTGGTGAAAATCAATAGAAAGCAAAGAAGAAAAAATCTTTGAATCTCAGAATATAAAGCAAAGGCCAGAAAAAAATAGAAAACATGAGAAAAAATGTAAAACGACAAAGAGGATACATACAGGAGGAACAATATCCATCTAATAAAAACTTGAGAAAGCATTATAATCCCTGAGGCTGAAACAAAATGGAAGATGAAAATGGACTAGCAAGTGCTAAGCGGATGAATATAAAAAGATTTTTATCTAAATACACCTTCATAAAATTTTTACTATCCCAAGGATAAAGGGAAGAACTTAAAATTGTTTTCAGCTAGAAAAAAAATTTTCACCTAAAAAGGTAAAAGTAATTGCTTTTACTACTGAATATTATAAACATGGAAAGTTCATACCAATTTTCACATCTGTTAACAGTGTATAAGTTATCCATTTCTCCAATCTGCACCAATACTATTATTATTTTTATAACATTTGTCAATCTTATAGGATAAAAAGGGGTTCTCTTTCATAAATGATGTCCATTTATAGTGATTTCTTTTCATATATATATACTGGCTGCTTGTATTTGTCTTTTGCACATTTGTTTGAATCCCCTGCTACTATTTCTATTGTAAATACCTCATCAGCAATACCAGATACTAGAAGACAACAAAGCACTGCCTTCAGAATTCATAGGGAAAATACTTTTGAATCTAAAATCCTATGTCCAGAAAAGTCTGTCTAATAAAGGGAGAGTAAAACGGGGATTTTTTTAAATGAAAGATTCAGAAAGTTTACTTCAGTACCCTTCCTTTAAAAAATTACTTGATGAATACTTCAATAAACACTTCCAAGTAAAAGAAAGACATAGTATCCAGGAAAGAGTGAAATTAATATAATAGTATAATGAAAAGAAATTTTGGAATGATAATTAAGGTAGATTAAATCAAAAGGTGATGGGTAATTTTTTGCTCAAGTCCCACTGGGTGTCCCTGGTTGCCAAGCAATCTCCTCCACATGGTGTTTCAGGGACCCAGGCTATTTCCAGCCTGTGGCTCCACCAACCCCTAGGACTTTGCCATTGCATGTGTGGTTATGGCTCCAGGTTTCAGCCTGGGGAAAAGAAAAAGTGATCATGGAAGAGGGCTCCCTTTACCCTGTATGATGATTGACTTAACTCTGACTCTTTAGACACATTGAGAGTGCTGGCAAGCCCTATTTCCAAGATCTCAGGGGAGCATCCAGAGATCTATAAAAAGCAGAATTGCTGCAGAGAATGCCCTAATATCTTAGTTCCTAGAGATGTAACCCTCCTATCCCAAAGCTGCTCCAACACCAACTTCATTTACTCACATCAGACAGATGAAATCTTATAAGCTTCATCCATTCTCCAGCTACAGAACCCAGAGTCATGACCACACAGCCAGTTGGTCAGCAGGTTAGACCAGTTACTTCTTGCGTCATGTCTCATTCTTATCAAGTATGGATGCACTCACCTAGTTCCTCAGGAAAGATATGCTTACTTCTGTTCACAGTGTACAAGGTGGCTGTAAGATGTGAATGCTCTCAGCAAAGGCACCTTTGAAATGGATGGGCTAGGCTGGAGGAGGGGGCGTTACAGCAGTGGTTGTCCATCTGCTGTCCTGGCCACAAGAACCATGGGCATGCTAAGTCTGGCCCATATGCTCCTCAGGATATGAAAACAGAGGTGATAGGTTTCTCACCTCTGTGATCTTTGCTCTGCCTCTCACATTGTCACACCTCACTTCAAGACCCTCCTGGGTTTCATTAGTGATGGTGAAAGTGAGCCAACTGGGGATTGGTGTAGGTTTGTTTGGAATTGCCTCTTTTAAAATTTCACTTTCACAGGGTAATAGCCTGGAGTCAACTCTTTGGTGAAATGCTGGAAAAGAAAAAATATGGTGCACTTTATGGCTTGTTTATCCATCTGCACCTTCCCTGATGCATGTTCCTGGAGTCTCTGCCTTCCTGGGTTGTGACCTTTCAGAATTTTGTAGCTTGTTCAAAGCTATTCTTCTGTGACAGTTTAAGGACTAGAAGAGAGAGCCACTAAAAATAACAGTGTGCACAACAATTCATTCCTGCCCCATCCCCAGTGCCGTTCTTCATTTCCACGTCCAGCCTTCAATGTGTATATATGTGAATGATGTGAAAATGAAATTTACATATGGTAGGTTCTCACCTTGTAGAAGTACGAATTTACAGGTCTGATTTTAGAAAATTATTGTTCATCACATCCCATGGGCATGTTCAGGTCTTTTAAATTTATACTTCTGAAGTTCATGATTAAATAGATGTTATACATTAAAGAAGAAAAGTTCAAAATGAGAGAGAGGCAACTTGAACATACATTTAGTTAACCAAAGCTTAAAAAATAATTTGAAAATTGTCTTAGGCTCATTATAATGATCTTGAATTATACTCTTAAGATATTCCAGGCAGGGTGTGGTGGCGCATGCCTGTAATTCCAGCACTTTGGGAGGCTGAGGTGGATAGATCGCTTGAGCCCAGGAGTTCAAGACCAGCCTGGGCAACGTGGTAAAACCCCATATCTACAAAAAATTTAAAAAATTAGCCAGGCATAGTGGCATGCGCCTCTAGTTTCAGTTCCTCAGAAGACTGAGGCGGTAGAATCACTTGAGCCTGGGAAGTCGAAGCTGCAGTGAGCCGTAATGCAGCCACTGTACTCCAGCCTGGGTGACAGAGTGAAACCTTGTCACGAAAAAAAAAAAAAAGAGATATTCCATAGAAGATGAACTTCTTTCATTACGTCTCAAATTTTCATCTACAAGATGCATTAAAAATGTACAGGTCTCTTTGATATGGTTTGGCTGTGTCCCTACCCAAATATCACCTTAAACTGTAATAATCCCCACATGTCATGGGCAGGGTCAGGTGGAGATAATTGAATCATGGGGGCAGTACCCCCATATGGTTCTCATAGTAGTGAATAAGTCTCACGAGATCTAATGGTTTTATAAATGCAAATTCCCCTGCATAAGCTGTCTTGCCTGCCGCCGTGTAATATGTGACTTTGCTCTTCATTCGCTTTCTGCCATGATTATAAGGCCTCCCCAGTCATGTGGAACTGTGAGTCAATTATACTCTTTCCTTTATAAATTACCCAGTCTCAGGTATGTCTTTATTAGAAGTGTGAGAACAGACTAATACACTCCTAAACTTGCAATTCTACCTCTGAGAATTTACACTAGAGAAATACTTAAGAACTTTAGTTTCTGGAAACATGATGATCTCACCAGAAATCCTCTCATTGCAAAGTGGAAATACTGGATAAAATGTAAGATTCTTTAAATGTAGGACTGAGCCCACAAGAAAGGAAAATCCCCAGGGATAAAATATGAAGAGGAACCTGAAATCATAAGCTGTAATAGCTAAGCTGAAATTCTGGAGGTCTTATGGGTATTTTCTGGTCTTAGTAACAGAGGTTTTTCCCTCTTTGTTCCAGTTTCCTTCCCACATAGGGAAAAAAGATGAAGACTTAGGCAACAAAGATAAAGACTTAGGCCAGTGAGAGGTGGGAAGTTAGACTACAAAAATCCACCCAAAGGCATAGAGCAATGACAAAGAAGCTTTTCTGTCTAGGCTCTAGATGAAAAAAAAATTGAAGTACTCTGAGAAATCATAACCACAGGCCTGACCTCACGAGTTTGGCACTTAGATTTACACTAGAATTTTCATGGGAAGAGATTAACTTAAACATGTTCTGTGCTGGTAATATCCATTGTGTACCTGGCAGAAGCCATTAGAAAATATCTCTGAAAGGTCATATTCTTCCACTGGGTTCCCCACTGAGATTCTACAGAAGATGAGCTTAGATCCAAAATTATAAAATGCATGGGGAACAAATGCACTATGAGAAACAGTAGTAGAAGTAGATCCCAGAAACCATAACAATAGATATCCTCTGATAGACATGAGAAAACATCATGTGTTAATGATTAAAGATATAAAGAATGAACTGAAAATATAGGAAAAGATGAGACTGGTTTGGAAAACAGAACTTTTAGAAATGTCAAAATATAATAATTAATAGTAAAAATCAATAGATGGGTTAAACAGGAACTTAGACTCACCTTAAGAGAAAATTAGTGAACCATATAAAAGAAAATTATTGAGAATGCAGTCTAAAGAAATAAGGAGATAGGAAATATATAGGAGAGTTTAACTGTACATAAGATCAGGTCATCTGCAAACAGGAAAATTTGACTTCCTCCTTTCCCATTTGGATGCCCTTTATTTCTTTCTCTGGCCTCATTACTGTGGTTAAGACTTCCAGAACTGTGTTGAATAAGAGTGGTGAGAGTGGGCATCTTTGCCTTCTTCCAGTTCCATTCAGTAAGATGTTAGCTGGATTTGTCATATGTGGCCTTTATTATGTTGAGGTTTCCATACCTAATTTATTAAGAGTGTATATCATGAAGGATTGTTGAATTTTATCAAAAGCTTTTTCTGCATCTATCAAGGTGATCATATGATTTTGTCCTTCAGTCTATTTATGTGATGTACAATGTTTATTGAATTGCATATGCTGAACCATCTTTGCATTCCTGGGATACATTTCACTTGATCATGGTGTATTTTTTTTTGATCTGTTGTTGGATTCAGTTAGCTAGTATTATGTTAAGGATTTTTGCATCTATGTTCAGAGATATTGTCCTGTAGCTTTTTTGTTGTGTCCTTGTCTGATTTTGATATCAGGGTTTTATAGAAAAATCTAGGCTCTACCAGAAAACTCTTAGAACTGATAAACAAATTCAATAAAATTGCAGGATACAAAATTAATATACAAAAATCAGTAGTGTTTCTGTATATGAACAACAAACTAGCTGAAAAGAAATTAATAAGTTTATCCCACGTACAATCGCTACCAAAAACAATAGAATACCAAGAAATAAGTTTAACCAAGGAGGTAAAGGACCTCTATAAGGAAAACTACAAAACAATGATGAGAGAAATTGGGCTGGGCACGATGGCTCATGCCTGTAATCCCAGCACTTTGGGAGGCTGAGGCAGGTGAATCACTTGAGGTCAGGAATTTGAGACCAGGCTGGCCAACATGGTGAAACCCCATCTCTGCTAAAAATAGAAAAAGTTAGCCATGCATGGTGGCACACACCTGTAATCCCAGCTACTGGGGAGGCTGAGGCAGGAGAATCGCTTGAACCCAGGAGGCAGAGATTGAAGTGAGCTGAGATCATGCCACTGCACTCCAGCCTGGGTGACAGAGTGAGACTCTGTCTCAAAAAGAAAAAAAAAAGGAAAGAAATTGAAGGGGATACAAATAGACATCCCATGCTCATGGATTGGAAGAATTAATATTGTTAAAATGAACATACTACTCAAAGGAATCTACAGAGTCAATGCAATCTCTATCAAAACACTAGACATTTTTCAAAGAAACAGAAAAAAAATTCTAAAATCTGTATGGAACCATAGAAGATCCCAAATAGTGAAAACAATCCTGAGCAAAAAGAACAAAGCTAGAAGTATCACACTGCCAGACATCAAAATATACTACAAAGCTGTAGTAACCAAAACATCATGGTGCTGGCATAAAAACAGACACATAGACCAATGAAATAGAAAGGAGAACCCAGATATTAATCCATATATCTACAGCCAACTGATTTTTGATGAAGATGCCAAGAACACTATTTAGGGAAAGGACTGTCTCTTCAATAAATGGTGCTGGGAAAACTGGATATCCATATGCAGAAGAATAAAATTAGACCCCCACCTCTCATTGTATAAAAAAATCAATTCAGAATTAATGAAAGACCTAAATGTAAACCTGAAACAACAAAACTGCTAGAAGAAAACATAGCAGAAATGCTTCAGGACATTGGTCTGGGGAAAGATTTTATGTATAAGTCCTCAAAAGCACAGGCAACAAAAGAAAACATAGGACTGAATCAAACTAAAAAGCTTCCACACAACAAAGAAAACAATCAACAGAGTGAGAGGACAACCTATAGAATGGGAGAATATATTTGCAAACTACTTACCTGACAGAGAATTAATATCCAGAATATACAAGGAACTCAGACATTTCAACAACAACAACAACAAAAACAATGTAAAAATGGGCAAATGATCTGAGCAGACATTTCTCAAAAGACATACATACAAAGGGTCAACAAATACATGAAAAAAATGCTCAGCATCACTTATCATCAGGGAAACGCAAATAAAAACCACAGTGAGGTAATATCTCACCCCAGTTAAGATGACTGTTATCAAAAAAACAGAAAATAACAAATGCTGGCAAGGATATAAAGAAAAGGGAACTCTTACAGACTGTTCGTGGGAATGTAAACTGGTACAGCCACTATGAACAACAGTGTGAAGGTTCCCCAAAAAACCTCAAATAGAACTAACATAAAAGGAATCCCACTACTAGGTATATATCCAAAAGAAGGTAAATCATTATACGGAAGAGACATATGCACTCCCATGTTTATTTCAGCACTACTCGCAATAGCCAAAATAGGTGATCTACCTAGGTATCCAACAACAGATGAATGAAGAAAATGTGGTATATATACACAATGGAATATTACTCAACCATCAAAAAGAATGAAATCCTGTCATTTGGGGCAACATAGAGGGAACTCAAGGACATTATGTTAAGTGAAATAAGCCAGGAACAGAAAGTTAAACACCACGTGTTCTCACTCATATATGGAAGCTAAAAAAAAAAAAAAAGTTGATCTTATAGAAGTAAAAAGTAAAACAAAAGATACCAGAGGCTTGTAAAGGTAGGGGAAAGGGAGGAATGGGGAGAGACTTATTGAAGGATACAAAATTACAGCTAGATACAAAATTACAGCTAGATAGGAGAAATAGGTTCTAGTGTTCTATACCACTGTAGGATGACTATAGTTAATAATAATACATCATTTCAAACAGCTAGAAGGAGGATTCTGAATGTCCCCAACACAAAGAAATGATATGTATTTAAGATGATGAATATGCTAGTTACCCTAATTTGATTACTATACTTTATATGTATCCAAACATCACTATGTACCCCATGAATATGTACAATTATTTTTGTCAACTAAAAAAATAAAATTAAAAACAAGGAAACTGTGAAGGAGTTTAAGAATGAATTGAGGATACTACAAAGATTGAGCAACAGGGATAACAACATTGTTTCCGAAATCTAAATGTTGGAAATAATGTAACCACTTACAAATAGAATTTTTGTTTAATTTTAGTATTTTTATAATTTTTATTTGACAAGTTTAATTAACTCAAGGTAAATACCTGTAAAAATGTATCTATTGACATTGAGAGTATAAATTTGTAAGCCTAAATATTTAAAACATGTATTCGTATAAATGCATAGGAAAATATCTTTAAAAAACTATACTAGATTTTCTTTGGATAAGTAGAATTATGTGCGTGTGTGTGTGTGTGTGTGTGTGTGTGTGTGTGTATAATCTTCCAGAATTAGAAAATAAACAATTTGGAGAAAAAATACCAACATACTGGAATAACTCAGAACATCACTCTTGGATTAATAATTCATTCTTGTTTAATGCCTTTATTTGAAGTCCCCACTGCTGGGTACTGGACCCTGAAGATAATGGTCAAGACTGCTTAGAGGTTTGTGGCTTTGTATTCCAAGACAAAAGTGTGAGAGGCCTCTTGAGAGTCCTCCTGACCCATGCAGAGTGAACCTGGATCTCAGACATGGAGTGCCCGTCACACAGGGTCAATATCTGGATTTTACAGAAACACCTGGCCTTATCCTCCACAGCTGTTTACCCCGGAGAGTCTGCTCCATTCAGAGAGCTGTCCACTCTGGAGAGTCTCCAGATACGGTTTTTAGGACACCCAGCTTCCGTGAGGATAATGAGAGAGCTAGACCCCATGTCATTCTGTAGGATGAATCTGTTGATTTCCCCCAATACCACCCACTCACCAAGCCCCTCCCATACTGGAGAGTTTGTAGTCTATGGACACAGCGTTGGCCATTCTGTATTCAGAATAAACAGCCTGCCCTTCTCTGAAGTCATCACTCATCCAGACTGTAGGTTGGCCTCCCCACCTCATTCTGAATCCTGATTCTAGGGGTCAACAGTCATTCATGAGGACCTGGACACTCATAAGAGAAAAATCTAGTAATGATTTCAAGAATAAATTCTGCCTTGGACTGTAAGCTTCCTGCTTCAGGAATCATGACACTCTATTGCAAAAGCAATTACATATCACAAGATACAAACACTGTCAATATGCTATTAACACCACATTTCCAAACTGGAGTAATTTCATACACCCCAGCCAGACAATAACACTTAGCTTTGATTAAATGCCTGTAACCTACCAAGCCCTATTCTAGGTACCTAAGCAACACAGTTGCGGCACAAAAGCCATGTTCTGAGGTCTTCTTTAGCTTCCCCATCATGTCCACCAGCGCTTGCAAAATTAATATTTTCTTAATCTTCTGGGCAAAAATTAAGGGCAAAATACTGCCCAGCTTCTGCTTTCCCTTCCCTTCAGACTGCTGTCTCCTCTAAGTTCTCCCAATATAGAAAGTCTAGAGCAGCCACTGAACATTTGTTAATTTGTTTGCTTCTTACCATCATTTTTGAGTCTGGCATAGCTCTTCAATGTTAAAGATGAGGAAGTAGACTAAGAGGGAAAAGTAACATTGGAATACAAAGGCATAAATCGCCAGGCCGTGAGAAACTGTTCAGTCTGTCCTATCCCAAGGACTAAGCTCTCCCTACTCTCCTAAACTGCCTCCCTACACAAATACTTAATGAGTAACAAATGTGTCAGGAGATAATAGGGAAGGAAGATAAAAGCCACTTCTGTCCCTACCTGTGAGATGCTCATGTTCTGGCAAATGAACCCAATGATCTGGTTAAAAGATCAAGTGTTTATGGAAGGCCAGCTGAGTTCACAGCAAGATTTAATAAAAAGAGTCATGACATCCTTGGGCTTACTTTATTCTCTGCATGCTGGTGTCTTCTTAGAGCAGATGCTCATATCCTCTTAGCCCACCTTGGAGGTTACCTGTAGGTTAGTGAACAAACACTCTGACAGCTCCCTATCCCAAGCACCTGCATCCCTCTGGTTAAAGATTCTCTCTTGACTCAGGAGTCCCTGGTTCACATAGGCAGGAGTGGATGTCTCAGGAGCAACTCTCTCCCATGAGCCATTGGAACTGGCAGATAAGCACCTTGGCCTCTTTGCCACCAGGGGTGATAATCTGAAAGTATGTTCTGCACAGCATCTCAGAATGTCCTTAGCAAGATAGTGCTCCAGCTGCCCACAGGGGCAACAGGCTCATCAATGAACCCTTTACGGCAGTCTTTCCTTCCCTGGCCCCCTTTTCCACTCTCTCATCATGCTTCTGGAATCTCCTCCCACGTAAACTCCTGGCACCCAAATCCTTGTCCCTGGGTCTGATTTTAGGTGAGCCCAAGCAAGAAGACAGCTCTTTTCTTTTCACCCACAAACATCTAATCTTGAGGTCTATGGTCTTATAGGAGTCACGAGAGCTTGCTCAGTAACTATGATAAAGTTATAACCTTCTCTAAGGAACCAAATATTGACCTTTCCACTGGAATGTCTTGACAAAGAAACTACTGACTATATGGAAAGTGTCCGGTGTCTTTTAAACGTGATGACGATGAGACATATTACCCACTTGCTCTGATGTGGTGGTAAAATGCAAGATCAGAGGTCAAGTAGACCTAGATTAAAACCCCAGCTCCACCTCTTTTTAGATGAGTTGCCTCAGAGGAGTTACTCAATATCTCTGAGACGCAGTTCCTTCATCTGTAAAATCAGATCTTAAATTTTACCTTATAATGACTTAATGTGTTAAGAAATGTAAAATATCAAGCACATTACCAGGCATAGTGTATGTGCTCAATAATGTGAAGTAGTATAGAATTCAGAGATTGCAAACACAAAAACCTAAGTAGTAAGGATAAAAGAGAAGCCAGCTGAGTGCTACATTAGGCTGTAGTGGGAATTGTGGCAAAGAGATTAATTCAAGCTCTTTCCAAAAGCATTAAAGTTCACATTTAAAGCCCACATCAACCAAACAAAATACCCCATGAGCCAGATCTCACCTGTGGGCTTCCCTCTTTGTGACTTCTGTTAGGAAACCAGACTAAGCCCTGCCTTTTCACATGCTGTTTCTTCTTCTTAAAATATTCCGTCTTTCCTTCATTGCCTGTCAAACTCCTATTCATCTTAAAAATCCCCACTTCCATGTAATCAAATATATAGATATGCTTCCACTTTTCTTTACAAGAGTAATTTCACCATTCTCCAGGCTCCTACCTGGCATGTAGTAATTAATGCATTGCATTTCATTATCTGCTCTCATATATTTTATTATCATTGTATTTAGTTATCTGCTGTCACATATTTCATCATCTGCTCTCTGATATAGTGTTAGATGCACAGTTGCAACTGACCTGATTATTTCCATGAGGGGTAACCAGCCACTGTCCTACATCCTCTGTTTTTACTCTTCTGTCATCCCAATTTCTATCCTGGAATACCCTCAACCTCCTCATGATCCAGAAGCCTTAGGACCCTCCTCCTGCCCAAGCTGCTATATATTATGATTGGTGAAATCCAATGCCAATCAATTGTTAAACATGTAAAATTTCTTCCTGATTCTCTCCACATCTTCCATGAGCTTCTTAAAGGCAAAGACCTTATTCTCTTCCCCTTTTATTCACAGCACCAAGAACAGTCCCTAACCCACAGCAGAAATTAATAAATGAATGAGTGAAGGAACAAATAAATAATTCAAACAAGTAGCGAATTATCTTTCTTAGGCATTTAGCACTCAGTGTTTCATATCAGTGATTTACATGACGATAAAGTAGACATCGATTGACAACAGTTCATTTAAGGAATTTGATTCTTCTTTCAAAATATTTCATCTGAGGAACATAGCAAAATAGCTAAAAATCTCCACGATCCCTGTATCCAAGTTCATATGGACTGTAACTTTGCCACTGTTCCTAACAAGATGTGGAGTTTATTTCTCCATCCTTTGAATCTGGGTTGGGCCATGTCCCTTGCTTCAGTCCATAGGACAATAGCAAACATGATGCAAGCTGAGGCTTAAAAAATGTTTATACAATAGGGTTTGCCCTCTTGCTATTAGCAACCCTGAGACCACCATGTGAAGTCATCCAAGCCAGAAGGCTGGATAATGAGAGACCACACAAAACAGAAGTGGACTGACTCATCTAAGGCTTCCTAGATTAATCAGCCTGCCAACTGCCTGCCAGACGTGTGGGTGAATCCATCCTAGACCATCCATCCTTAGCTGAGATATTAAGACCAGAAGATCTGCAGCCAACTTACAGAATTGTAAGAAGGATTAAATGCTTGTTGCTTTAAGCTATTAATGTTTGGGTTGATTTGTTAGGTAGCAAAAGCTAACTGATACAAGTATATTTTAATAAGTCTCTAGTCAAAATTTGCATTTACAAAGCAACATAAAAAGTAAATTTCTTGGAAATTAAAGAGAAACACACATGGATTATCTACTAAAAACATATAATATTAAGAATTTTTACCAAAAAATTTAATAGGTTGAGAGTAAAATATTCTTAGATAGGAAATGAGAATTTTACAAATAATTCTCTCCAAATTATAAACTTAATAAAAACAAAACTATTTTGAAAAATAACAATGAACAATGGCAGATTATCAAGCAATAGCACAAGCAGTTTTCTTTTATAAGAAAGTAAAATAGTGGACCGGGCGTGGTGGCTCACGCCTGTAATCCCAGCACTTTGGGAGGCTGAGGTGGGCGGATCACGAGGTCAGGAGATTGAGACCAACCTGGCTAACATGGTGAAACGCTGTCTCTACTAAAAATACAAAAAATTAGCCGGGCATGGTGGCACATGCCTGTAATCGCAGCTACTCAGGAGGCTGAGGCGGGAGAATGGTGTGAACCCAGGAGGCAGAGCTTGCAGTGAGTCGAGATCACGCCACTGCACTCCAGCCTAGGTGACAGAGTGAGACTCTGTCTCAAAAAAAAAAAAAAAAAGAAAGAAAGAAAGTAAAATAGTGTGGTAGTGTGGTACTGTATAAATTTGTATTCAACATTTATTCAAGAAATATTTATTAAGTATTCACTAGGTGCCAAGCACTGTTCTAGCTATTAGGATACAGCAATAAATAAGACAGATCAAGTGACAGTAACCTCATAAAGGTTATAAATCAAGCAATAGATTATAGAACAAAAGAGAAGAATACAAATAAGCCCAGGTACCTATGAAATCTTACATGATGATGAACTAACCAAAACAATGAAGATGTGAAAAGTGATTTAATTGTATTGTAATAGTACATAAGTACTTTAAGAAATTTAATTTTTTAATATTGCTTATCAGTAGTATAATATATTCATTCTTCAATTGTCCATAAGCTATAAATAATACTATTCTAAGCCCTTCAGGTTGAATGAATTAATACATTGCACTTCAGGTTTTTATAAGACCTGATTAAAACCTTTAATCTTTCACAATCACAAGCTCAAGTAGTAGACTTAATTGTTAGTCTTAATTATTTCTGCCACTGTGGTATTATGATAATCCACATTGTTGTCATGGACTTATGGGCATAGTATTCTTTCCCTTCCTTTGACTTTGGGCTTGGGTATGTGACATGCTTTGGCCAATAGGAGCAGGGCTTTAAATTCTGCTTGTATGATTGGCCATGTCTTCCCACACTTCTGCTTTTTGCCATGAAAAATACATATTTAAGAAGTTTTTGGTCTGAGGAGGATAAGAGACATATGGGGTAAACAATCCACAGCTGGAATCAAGCCCAACTAAGCCCAGTCTAGGTCAGCTGAACCTAAGCTGACCCACAGACACGAGTGAGAAATAAATGCTTACTGTTATAAGCTACTGAGTTACCATACCAACACATAGGAAGATCTATACATTTTAAATAACTGAATGCTTAAAAACTAAAAGAAAATATTAGGGAAGATTTTTTTTCCCTCAAATATGGAAGATTAAAAAAATAACATATAATGACTTTATTTAAAAATCAGTACTATCAAAAAGAACCAATAAATAAATGGGCAAAAGACATGAGAAGACAATAATTTCATATAATAAATACATAAAGAAAAATGTTAAATTTGAACAGCAATAAAAAATGCAGAGTAAATCCATAATAAAGCACCATTTCCAATGCTCTACTTATTAAAAATATGAATAATATAAGTTGTGTTTTGGGGAAACTAGGCCACTGCTCTTAAGACAGAGTCCAAGCACTTCACAATGATCACTAAACCCCACTCCAATGTCATCTCCCACCCCTCCCCCAAATCCAGCTCCACTGCCATCTTTCTGAAATGTTCTTAGGTTCCGCCTTCCTCAGGTACCTCTCATACATTATTCCTGAAGATATTCCTTCTTCCTCCTTGTCACCCTCACTTCCCAGCTCACCACTACCTCTTTCTCCTAGTTGACAGCATATAATTTTACTATATCATGTTTACCCTAGGAGATATGGTCACTACATGGAATAATGGCAGAATTGTCCCTATTATTGAAATTGTTTATTTTCTGTATCCTTAATTTTTGTTGCACACCTGTACTTGATTCCATGTGACTCCATTGACTTTATGACAATGGAATTCTCTCTAAAATTTCAGTACAGAATCCCACTTTATTGGTGACCTGCTAAGGGCCTTACATTACCTTCTCATAGATTATTGTCTCATAAAAGTCATGGCAACAACATTGCAAAGTAACTATAAACATACTCATTTTTATAGAAAAATAAAGTCTCAAAGAGGAGGTTAAGGACACTTCCAATCTCAGCTCTCACATGTAATGAGCTTGGAAGTCATCACTCCCATCCTTATAGCAAGAAATGTCTGAACAAACTGAAAATCCATCACTTTTCTTGGGCTCATCAGAAAACTGACATGGCAGGGCAAACTGTGACTCCAAAATCTGGGCATCCAGGGGCATCCAGGAAGTCACAGTTAAGATCTACTTACCTGGAGCAAAAGCTGTTGAAGCCTAAAGTAGTAAGAACTCTCAAATAGTAATTTTGGTGAATTTGTGGAGGCTCAGTGTACACTAGCATGATAGTGAGAAACTCCTGGGATCCCCAGTCTTAGAAGGGGGCCAGATTTTCATAAGGCTTACCTCCAGGAATGCCACAAGGTCTCACAATGAAGATCCAAGAAAGATTCCCTCCTGGCTCTGGCTGGGTATAGGAAAAGTAATCCTTGTTAAATATGTACATAACACTTTCCATAACAAAGACCTACTTTCCCGGGGGGAAAAATGTTGCCAGAGCCGTATTCTTTCTGGGAAAGGGATATTTCTCTTACGTTAGTCTCCAGTCTTCTTATTTTACCTAAAGAGGCTGCAGGGGAAGAAAACATAGCCAACAGTGGACATGACCCTAAGGAAATAGACTGGGAATGCTGAAACCAGGGAAGAATGTAGGTGGAAGAGGGGAAAATAGCTACATTACCAGTAGAACAGTTGTGAAGGTCACAGCCCAAAGACATAGGCTAAATAGAACACTGAGATTTAATTGAAAGATTACAAAACACTCCCCTTCCCCAACACCTTATACCAAGAGAGCTCCATTATAATGACAATATATTACAGCTGACAGAGTCTTTCTAAAGAGGAATCTGCAGGGAAGGCCAAAATCAAGATAAAAACAAGGATACTAGAAGAATTTGAAACTTCTTGCACTTATAGCTAAGCCTTAAACAAAGTCATATTTCTAGCCAGACTAATAAAAATCCTCACACTAAAGACCTATTTTCAGCCAATACAATGTGTTCAACTTTCAACAAAAAGGTACAAGGCATGCCAAAAGAAGAAACAATCTGAAAAATAAACCAATCTTCATAACTAGACTTAGATGTGATACAGATGTTTGAATTATCAGACAGGAAATTAAAATAACTCTGAAAAATGTGTTAAAGCCTCAAATGTAAAAAGTAACATGCAAGAAGAGATGGGTAATGTAAGAAGAGAGATAAAACTCTAAGAGAATCAAGTGGAAACTTTAGAAATAAAAAACACTGTAACAGAAATAAAGAATGCCTTTGATGGGGCTCATCAGGAGATTTGATGTGATTGAGAAAAGAATCAGCGCGCTTGGAGATAAGTTAACAGAAACTTCCCAAACTGAAATGCAAACAGAAAAATAAGTGAAAAATGCAGAAAAGAACATAGAAGTACTTAAGAAAAATTTCAAAAGGTAGAACATATGAGTAATGGAATACCAGAAGGAAAAGAAATGAAGCAGAAGAAATATTTTAAGTAGTAATGGCTGAGAACTTACCAAAACTAATTACAGACACTAAACCATAGATCTAGGAAGCTCAGAGAACACTATAAAGATAAATACAAACAACAACAACAATTAAAAAAAAAACCTGAGGCCAATCACATTCCAACTGTATAAAAAGACAAAGAAGGCCGGGCGCAGTGGCTCACTTCCATAATCCCAGCACTTTGGGAGGCCGAGGTGGGTGGATCACAAGGTCAAGAGATCAAGACCATCCTGGCCAATATGATAAAACCCTGTCTCTACTAAAAATACAAAAATTAGCTGGGCGTGGTAGCGCACACCTGTAGTCCCAGCTACTCTGAATGCTGAGGCAGGAGAATCACTTGAACCTGGGAGGCGGAGGTTGCAGACCACTGCACTCCAGCCTGGCGACAGAGTGAGACTCCATCTCAAAAAAAAAAAAAAAAAAAAAAAAAGACAAGGAAAATCTTGAAAGAAACCAAAGGAAAAAGCACCTTACCTAAAGAAGAACAAGGATAAGGATTACAGTGGACTTCTCATCAGAACCATAAAAGCAAAAAGAGAATGAAATTGCTATGATTTGAGTATGTCCACTCCAAAATTTATACGTTGCCAGTGTGAGATATGTGTGTGTATATACATATATATATATGAGGGCATTAAGAGTAATTAGGCCACTGAGGGCTGCTCCCTTGTTAATAGGGTTAAGGTCCTTTTAAAAGAGGCTTCCCTCAGGTTCAGCTAGCTTGCCCTATTTCCTTTTGCCACGTGAAGATGTAGCAAGAAGCTCATCAGATCAAAGGAGGAAAAATTGAAAGCCTTTCCTCTAAGATTAAGAAGAAGATAAGGATGCCCACTTTTACCACTTTGCTCAACACAGCACTGGAAGTCCTAGCCAGAGCATTAGTAAGAAAAATTAAAAGCACCCAAATTTGAAAGGAAGAAGCCAAACTGTTCCTGCTTGCTGATGGCATGATCTTATATTTAGAAAAACACAGTCCACTAAAAAATTCCTAAACTAATAAATAAATTGAGTAAAGTTGCAGGATACAAAATCAACATACAAAAATCAATAGCATTTCTATATCCCAATAGCAAACAATCTGAAAAAGAAATCAAGAAAGCAATTCCATTTATAATAGCTACAAAAATATACTATCAATAAATTTAACCAAAGAGGTGAAATATCTCTACAATAAAAACTATAAAACACAGATGAAAGAAATCAAAGAGGACATAAACAAATGGAAAGATATCTCATGTTCATAGATTGAAAGATTATTGTTGTTAAAATAACCATACTATCCAAAGCAATCTACAGATTCAATGTAATCCCCATCAAATAACCACCAGTAACATTCTCCACAGAAATAGAAAGAACAATCCTAATATTCATACAGAACCACAAAAGACCCTGAATACCCAAAGCAAGCCTGAGCAAAAAGAACAAAGCTAACTATGTTAAAGCAAACTAAATATGGCTGAGAAAGACTCCATACTTCTGCATTTGAGTCCTCATGGATGAACTGTAACCTAGCTTAACAGTCAGAAAAATTGAAAACCTAACTTAATAGTATGCACCTGTAACAATAGCTGAGCATTGGCCAATCCCAGCGACCATTCTTCAACCACTCATAGACTGCTAAATGGTCACTGCATTCAAATAAGGCAAATTCCAGGCTGTAACCAATCTCACTGTTTCTGTACCTCACTTCTGATTCCTGTATGTCACTTTACGTTTTTTGTCTATAAATTTGTTCTGACCACAAGGCACCCCTGGAGTCTCTGTAAATCTGCTGGGATTCTGGGGACTGCCAGATTTGCGAATCGCTTATTGCTCAATCAAACTCCTTTAAATTTAATTTGGCTGAAGTTTTTCTTTTATCAACTATAAGAATCCTAAAAGAAAATCTAGAAAATACTCTTCTGAACATTGATCTAGGCAAAGAATTTATGACTAAGTCCTCAAAAGCAAATGCAACAAAAACAAAAATTGACAATTGGGACCTAATTAAACTAAAGACCTTCTGCATAGCAGAAGAAACTGTCAACAGAGTAAACATACAACCTACAGAATAGGAGAAAATATTTGCAAACTGTGCATCTGACAAAGAGCTAATATCCAGCATCTATAAGGAACTTAACCAAATTTACAAGAGAAAAACATCACCATTAAAAAGTGGGCGAAGGACATAAATAGACACTTCTCAAAAGAAGACATCTCAAAGTGGCCAACAAACATATGAAAAAACGCTCAACATCACTAATCATCAGAGAAATGCAAAACAAAACCACAATGAGATACCATTTCATACCAATCAGAATGGCTATTATTAAATAAAAAAAATAGCAGATGTTGGCAAGGTTGTAGAGAAAAGGGAATGCTTATACACTGTCAATGGGATTGTAAATTAGTTCAGCCCCTGTGGAAAAGTTTGGACATTTCTCAAAGAACTAAAAATAGAGTTACCATTCAACTCAGCAATCCCATTATTAGATAGGAACCCAAAGGAAAATAAATCATTGTACCAAAAAGATACCTGCACTCACATGTTTATCACAGCACTATTCATAATAGCAAAGACATAAAATCAACATAGGTGCCCATCAGTGGTGGAATGTATAAAGAAAATGTGTTACATATACACCATGCAATACTATGCAGCCATAAATAAGAATAAAATTATGTGCTTTGCAACAACATGGATGCAGCTGGAGGCCATTATTCTACATGAATTAACACAGAAATAGAAAACCAAATACTGCACATTCTCACTTACAAGTGGGAGCTAAACATTAGGTGCACATGGACATAAAGATAGGAACAATACACAGTGGGGACTCCAAAAGAGGGTAGGGAGCAAGGGTTGAGAAACTACTTATTGGGTCCTATGGTTACTATTTGGGTGATGGGTTTAATAGAAATCAGCATCACACAATATATCCATGTAATAAACCTGCATGTGTATCCCTTGCATGTAAAAGAAAAGAACAAAGGTGAAGGCAACAGACCACCTGACTTCAAAATATACTGTAAAGCTATAGTAACCAAAATACCATGGTACTGGCATAAAAACAGACACATAGACCAATGGAACCAAATCAATAACCCATAAATAAAACCATGTATTAACAGCCAACCAATTTCCAACAAAGGTACCAAAAACAAACATTAGGGAAGGGACAGTCTCCTCAGTGAGTGGTGCTGGGAAAACTGAATGTTTCATATACACAAGAATGAAATTAGACCGCTATCTTCACCATATACAAAAATCAACTCAAAATGGATTGAAGACTTAAATGTAAGACCTGAAAATGATAAAACTACTAGAAGAAAACATTGGGTAAACACTTTAGGACACTGGTCTGGGGAAAGATGTTTTGGGTAAGAACTTAAAAGCATAGGCAACAAAAGCAAAAATAGACAAATGGAATTATATCAAACTAAAAAACTTCCGCATGGCAAAGGAACCAACCAACAGGGTGAAGCTACAACCTACAGAATAGGAGAAAATACTTGCAATATATCTCTTCTGCAAGGGATTAATATTCAGAATATATAAGGAACTCAAATAACAGCTAAAAAAGAAAAAATACAAATAATCAAATTTTAAAATGAGCAAATTATCCAAACAGACTTATCTCAAAAAAAAGAAAAAATACATACAAATGGCCAAAAGGTGGATGAAAAATGTTCAGTATCACTAATCATCAAGGAAAAGCAAATTAAAACCACAGTGAAATATTATTTTGCCCCTGTTAAATTATGAAAATTACAAAAAATAACAAATGCTTGCAAGGATATGGAGAAAGGCGAACTCTTATATACTGTTAGCGGGAATATAAGTTAGTACAGCCATTAAAACAAAACAGTATAAAACTTTCTCAAAAAACTAAAAATAGAAATACCATTTGATCCAGCAATACCATTACTGAGTATAGATCCAAAGGAAAGGAAATCAGCTCTCGGACGAGGTATCTGCATTCCCATGTTTATTGCAGCACTATTCACAATAGCAAAACTATGAAACAAACTAAGTGTCCATTAACACATGAATGGATGAGGAAAATGTAGTATATATACACAATAGAATAGTATTCATCTATTAAAAATTATAATTTCTGCATTTTGCAGTAACATACATGAGTGTGGAGGATATCATGTTAAGTGAAATAAATCAAGCACAGAAAGACAAATACTGCGTGTTCTCATTCATATGTGGAAGCTAAAAACGTTGGTTACATAGAAGTAGAGAGTAGAATACTGGTTTCCAGAGGCTGATAAGGACCAGAGGAGAGGAGATAGGCAGAGCTTGGTTAATGGGTACAAAATTACAGTTAGATGAGAGGAATAAGTTCTGGGGTTCTATAGTGCAATTAGGTGACTACAGTTAACAACAATTTATTGTATATTTCAAAACAGCTAGAAGAAAGAAATTTGAATGTTCCAAATACAAAGAAATGATAAATGTTTGGGGTGATGGATATTTGAATTGCCTTGATTTGATCACCACAGGTTGCATATGTGTATTGAAATATCACCTGTGCCTCATAAATATGTACAATTATTATGTATCAATTAAAATTGTTAATTATATTTCTAAAAAGAAGCCTAATAAGACCAAATACTGGCACCTTTGTCTTGGATTTCTCAGCCTCCAGAATTGTGAGAAATAAGTTTCTGTTCTTTGTCAATTACCCAGTCTGTGGTATTCTGTTATAGCAGCATGAAGACAGAAGTAAAATGTCTGAAGTGTTGAAAGAAAAAAATCAACAACCTAGAATTCTGTATCCAAAGAAATTATTTCATAAGTGAAAGAAAAATCTTTCTCAGGCAGACAAAAGCTGAGGGA
Organism: Homo sapiens; assembly: GCF_000001405.40. Lineage (NCBI taxonomy): Eukaryota > Metazoa > Chordata > Mammalia > Primates > Hominidae > Homo > Homo sapiens. The sequence continues at coordinate 13,192,156 of NC_000020.11, forward strand.
ATTCACTGGGAGCAGATCTGCCCTGTAAGAAATGTTAAAAGTTTTCGAGGCAGAAGGAAAATAACATGGATCTGAAATTTGGAGGTACATAAAGAACAGGGCCGGGAATGGCAGCTCATTCCTGTAATCCCAGCAATTTGGGAGGCCAGAGAGGGTGGATAGCTTGAGCCCAGGAGTTCAAGACCAGCTGGGGCAATGTGGTAAGACCCCATGTCAAAAGTGTTTTTAAAAAACATTAGCCCAGTACGGTGGCAGGTGCCTGTGGTCCCAGCTACTCAGGAGGCTGAGGTGGCAGGATCACTTGAACCCAAGTGATCAAGGCTGCAGTGAGCTCTGATCAATGCACTCTACGTTGGGCAACAGAGCAAGACCCTATCTCAAAACACACAAACACACACACACAGGCACACATGACACACAATGCTGGGAGTTCAGTGGTGCAATCACAGCTCACTGCAGCCTGGACCTGCTAGGCTCAAGGGATTCACTCACCTCACCCTCCCACATAGCCAAGACTACAGGCACGCACCACCACGCTTGATTCATTTGACGACTTTATTTAAAGTTTTGTTTTTGTTTTTTTTTTTTGTAGAGAAAGGGTCTCACTATGTTGGTCACAAACTTCTGGGTTCAAGCCGTCCTCCCACCTCAGCCTCCCAAACTGCTAGAATTAAAGGTGTGAGCCACTACACAGGGCCTAAATAATAACTTTTCAGAAGTAACAAAAGTAACAATGTATTGGAGTGATTATAGCATATGGTTAAGTAAGATAAATGACAGCAATGTCACAAGGTACAGGAGAGAAAAATTAGAAATATTCTGTTCAATGACACCTGTACTTCATATGAAGTGTGTTATAATGTTATTTAAACACAGACTGAGATTAGCTTTCCAGAAAATGTATATTGTACACTCTAGGGAAACCACTAATAAAATTTTTTCGGTATAATTAATATGCTAAGTGGGGAGATAAAATGGAATCATAGAAAATGCTTAATTAAAACCAAAAAAAGCAAAAGTGCAAGAAGGCAAAGAAGCAAAGAGAAATACACTGAGAAGAAAACAATTACAAACATGACAGCTGTTAATGTGACTATTATATCAATAATCACTTAAATCAGAATAGTCTAAATACACCAATTAAAAAGCAAAGATTATCAGTGTGGGTGAAAAAAAATCAAAGATGTGGTAAGTGGAAACACCCAGATATGGTTTCCAGATGGTCTCAATATACAATAAAGGCACAATAGAATGACTGGGCATCTCTTTTACAGAAAAAAAAGGACTAAGTCACTGACCTGAGTCAAGCTACGTCCATCAAAACATACAAAAACACATAGAGCAAAAACATGAAATAGCTCTAGATATTCAAAGAGTTGTTAAGGTAGTTGCATATACTAGTTAGAAATGCATTCGGTTGCAAGTAAGAAAATACTGTATAAACACTGGTTTAAACAAATAAGGGTTTAGATTTCTCACCTAAGAGAAAGGCCAGAGACAGGCAGTTTCTCGTATGGGTTCAGCTGCTCAACAGTGTCATCAAGGAGCCAGACTACCTCTCTCTTTTCATTCCATTTCCTTTGGCATTTGTCCTTATGTCTGTTGCCTCATTATCCCAAAGTGGCCACCATCGTTTTGGACCTCATGTCCTTATTCAAGACAAGAAAATAGGAAAGCGGCATGCTAATAGTATCTGTCCCACCTTAAGAGGAAAGTAGGTGCTTTCCCTGCAATTCCCTCAGAAGACTTCTGTTTACATCTTATTGGCCAGAACTATGTTACATAACCACCTGTAGATGCAAGGTAGGCTAGGAAAATTTGTATTTTGCTTTTTCAATCTATGTAATTTATGTAGGTGATACAGAAAAAGGTAGACCAACTTCCTTTTAGTGGCTACCGTTGTATATCCAAATGAAAACAGAAAAATGTAATTGTCCAGCTATCATTAGTTTTGTTTTTTCTTCTTTTGTTGTCTAAGTTTTTGATTTCTCAAAAAACAGCAAAAAATGTTTCTATTGAAGATTATCTAGGTAAGCCATAAATTCACCTAAAACTTGATCTACTTTTTTCCTTCTCTGAGCTATATCTGGAGTATATGTTTCCATGGATTAGGACAATATGGCTCAAGGGAAAAAACATAATTTAGGTGAATACATTGTGCAAAAGACATGCAAAATCCCTCTAGGTTTTGCATACAAGAGGTTTAAGTTATATCATTCTAGGATGACTTAGGGCATTTGGTGTAGAGTACCAAGCCAGGAGTCCAGTAGAACATTCTCAATTGCAAATGGTTGAATATCCAACTCCAGATGGCTTCCTTAAGCAACAAAAGGAGTTTCTTAGTTTGAGCAGAGGTTGATCCAGTGAGTCAATAATGTCACCAAGAAATGTGTGTGTGTGTGTGTGTGTGTGTGTGTGTGTGTGTGTGTGTATGTGTGTTTCCATGTGTCTTTTCTGCCATCTATATCAGTTTCACCCTAAGGTTGGAGAGTGACTCATGCTCACATGATGGCTGCCAACAATTACAAAGTTAATCTTTTTCTCATATACATTTAAAATTTGACAAAGAGATAAAGAGATATCTTGTTCTTATCTCAGCCATTTAGTTTGCTACCATGTTTCACCCTGTTCTGACTGAATCCTAATTGATCGATCACATGCTTACCCTGGAATCAATCACTGTGACAATAAGAGCACAATGATCTGACTGGCTTCTACCAACTAAGGCTCATCCCTGTAACCAGTGATGGGATGAATTTCATCTAAAATGTAAAATGCATAGCTACATAGAGAGAGGGGGTGCGCCTGGGGTGCCTTGCAGCAACCACAATTTCTACTAGATCAAGATTCCTGCATTGCTTCTCTACCATTTGTGAGGACAGGACCCCATGAAACTTGGATTCTTCTTCTATAACATACGAATGGTAAAACCTACTCAATCCATGCCTTGGCGCCCTTAAAAGGATTAAATATTAGGTGACTATTACTTTTAATGGCAAAAACCACAATTACTTTTGCACCAACTTAACAATATAAATAAAGATACTTTGTAAACTAAAATTTTTGGCAATGAAATTTAAGTTTCTGGATGAATTTCCATTATACACACTGGGCAGCTGCTGCATAACCACCTAGATTTACTTGGCCTTCCCATTCCTGTTTGCACCACACAACTTCCAGTGGCAGGCATCTATGTCCCTTTGCCCTGAGTGTTTTCTCTAGGCACCGGCCCTCTCTGCCCGTGTGGAAGTCAAGTCACAAGGGCGAGGGAATTAGCATCCTTTTCCATAGCCCTCAATCAGGCTAGCCTGTGAGTGACAGAATCAAGGAATCATTCCTTGCTTCCGAGATGGGATCATTCTGGCGTGTTTTTCACAGATCACAGAGTGGCACAGCATGATTAAACTCTGGGTGCCCACTACGGTAACTGGCTTGCTATCACATCTTATGTTGGCTTCCTTCCCTCCCAGTCTTAGTCCCACCCCTGCTTACTGGGACCACCTCCCAGATAAAGTTCTTGCGCTCATATCCTTGTCTCAGGATCAGCTTCTGGAGGAGCCCAAATGAAGACATAGAACAAACTAGAATCACATGACTATGAGAATGCTAATTTGACATGAAAAGTATATTCCAGACATTTTATTTTAAAACACACACAGTGATTCTTTTTAAGTTCTTTCTGTGTGTTTTCATTTTCTATGCATAGTATACCTTTGTTTCTAGTTAATTTATCATGCTGCCGGGCTAACTAAGGGGTCAAGCATGGCCTGCCTCCAGAAAAGATAAAACACACGCAATGATACCCAAGTGTATTTTTCACAAAGTCCTGCCCTGAGGATATATTATGCTATTAGAATATAGAACCTACAATTAGTATATTTATCAGTAAAATACACACTAGGCCATGATAAATTTGTGGGTTTGAAAGCAAAAGAAAAGAAACACATTCAAGATGCATTCACTTAGCCATTATCTTTTTTCCTAAGTTTTGTTGTGTACTGAGTTCATTTCTATTGCAACCAAGCTATTAAACTGACCATTTCAAGCTAGTAAACTGACCAAGCTATTAAACTAACCATCAAACTGAACTGGCCATTTCATCTAGGCCCAGAAGAAATGATGGCCTATTATGCGAGTATTTTAAAAGAATAATTTAGTTTTAAACCATCTAGTAGTGTTGCATACAAATATTAAAAAGTGAACTGTTAGCTATATTTGTTTTCTTATTTTACAATTAAATTCAAATTTGGTTAATAACAACCCTGCCTCAGGGCCTTTGTACCAGCTGGTCCCTCTATCTGGAGTGCATATCTCTGCATGGCTGGCTCTTTCTCATTATTTGGGTAGTAGAAAGAACTTCATGTAAAACTGCACTGTCCAGCATAGTAGCCGCCAGCCACATAAGGATGTTCAGCACTTCATATGTGCCATCTATGTGAAATATAGGCTGGATTTTGAAGGCTTAATATGAAAAAATATATTTTATTAATCATTTTAATATTGATTATAAGTTGAAGTGATCTTTTGTATACTTTGAGTTAAAACATGTATTATTAAAAGTAATTTTACTTATTTCTTTTTACTTTTCTCAATATACTCACAGAAAATTTTAAAATACATACATGGCCCATGTTTATAGCCCACATCATATCTCCATTACTCAGTGTAGACCTAATATAATCCCCATATCAACTTCATAGCACTGTTTGTCATCAAAGCACTTTGTCACCACTGCAATTGTACAAGTAAATTACCAATTGTTTACTTGTATATTGTAAGTTCCAGGCATCTTTTCAGCCAAGTTTACTCTGGCATATAGTAGATTGAAAACATACTTGATGAAATAAATAGATGAAGGAATAAAGGAATGAGGGACTATAAGGTCTGTTTTCCTGAGAGCTCCCCTGTCTATAGTAACTCCACCTCATTTGAGTGTCACCAGGTTAATGAGCTAGACTACATCCCCCTGGAGGCAGGGGTGCAACACACAAAAGAAACAGAACTTGTTCACTGGCCATTACTGAATTACGTTTTGTGGTTCTCTTTATGATAGTACCATCAGAAAGGTAAGACTATTTGTTTCATCTGGTAAGAGTGACCAACCCACCTAACACAGACCTAGCTCACGAGAGGATTTGCTGGTTATTAGGAAACTAATGACTCAGTAACTAAGGTGATTGACTGGGACCAAAAAGACTCTAGCTGACCTTCTGCTTAGGCAAGAGTCATTACAGCAATAAAGAAACTAGAGGGACTGTGCTGGGCTAGAAGTCACCTCTAATTGCTGGCCTCTGAATCCCATAACTGCCACTAAATGGCTAGCAGTGTTATATAAGTGATATAATTAAGCTTCATAGCTAACAACCCCATTAAGATGAATAGGGAAGTTCACTCTTCACTCACAACAATTACTTTTAGATTTGCCTGTCTGAATACTCAAAGACTTTGTCCAGACTGAATCAAAACCTACTTATACTTTGCCCTGAATTGACTCTGTCCTGTACAGAAAGCCAGCAGCCAGGGGTTGGGCAACTGTAGTGCTCTATAAGTTATGAGAGAAATTGTCATTTTCTCCTTTCTTATCTTAGATTTTTTATATTCAAGGAACAGAGAAGGTGTAGAATTTTGAACTCACATCCAGATTGCCTAGAGTTCAAATTCTACCCTGGCTAGCGATTTATAAAAAGGCTTTAAATAATGGTTTAACCTTTATCTGTTTATGTTTCCTGGTTTTGGATATCCTCACTGCAAAATACTTTGTTAAAATGAATAAAAAAGAAGAGTGTCATTTTTATGTATATACTATAATAATTAGGCCTTTCCTAAGACAGAAATTACTTGTAAGAATACATTTAAAACTTACCATCTATCTTGAATATAAACAGAAAAACCTCTCTAAAGTTTCCGCCAGTCTTTGTCAAATGCCTGTAAAATTTTAGCCTAATATTTTAATATTACTCTTCATATATAACAAATGTTTTGGAATATCTAGATTTTTTTTATTGTGATAAGAAATGTGTCTTAATTTAGGCTATAATCACAAAGTACCATATAAATAAATAATGGGAATTATTTTTCATCTTCTAAATATTAGGAATTTATTTTTCACTGTTCTGGAGACTGGAAGTCTGAGATTGAGGTGCCAATGTGGTCGGGTTCTGATGAGGGCCCAGTTCCCAGCTGCAGATGGCTGACTTCTCGTTGTATCCCAACATGGTAGGGAAAAGAGCAAGGGAGTTCTCTGGGGTCCCTTTTATGAGGGCACTAATCTCATCTTGAGGGCTCCATCTTCATGACCTAATTACCTGCAAAGTCCCCACCTCCTAATACTATCACATTGAGGGTTAGGATTTCAGCATAAATTTTGAAGGGACACAAACATTCAGTCCACTGCAAATATTTAACATGAGATCTACCCTCTTAACAAATCTTGAAGTGAACAATACAATATTGTTACTATAGGCAAGGCAATATCTGGATTATTAACTATGTTTTTCAGTTTTAAATTATGTGGACATGATCTGATAAAGGGTAACTTTGTTTTTCTACCTCATGTCTAAATGCCTGTAACTGGCCCCACTGCTCTGTTCATTGTTTTTTCTGGGCTTTTTTTCTTTTCTTTTTCTTTCTTTCTTTGTCTTTCTTTCTTTCTTTCTTTCTTTCTTTCTTTCTTTCTTTCTTTCTTTCTTTCTTTCTTTCTTTCCTTCCTTCCTTCCTTCTTTCCTTCCTTCCTTCCTTCCCTCCTTCCTTCCTTCCTTTTTTTATTTTGAGACAAGATCTTGCTCTGTCACCCAGGCTGCACTGCAGTAGTGAGATCACAACTCACTGCAGCCTCCAACTCCTGGGCTCAAACAATCCTCCCCTCTCAGCCTCCCAAGTAGCTAGGACCACAGGCATGTGCCACCATACCTGGCTAAATTTTTTTTTTTTGGAGTTGGGGTCTTGCTCCATTGCCCAGGCTGGTCTAGAATTTCTGGGTTCAAACCATTCTCCCACCTCGGTCTCCCAAAGTTCTGGGATTATAGGCATAAGCCACCACATTTGGCCCTCTTGTTTTCCTTTTTTTTGTTTTGTTTTGCCATTAATTTTTACCTAATTTCACAAAGGCACATGCTCATTATTCTCCTTATTCTTATTATTTATAACTGGCTTATATTTGAATAATAACATGCATCATTTATTTCATTGCCTGTCTTCCTCCCTTCCTTTCTCCCTCCTTCCTTTCTCCCTCTTTCCGTCCTCCTTCCCTCCCTCCATGCATTCAAAAAATACACTCTGTGCTTCTACTACCCAACAGTGAGTGAAACATGAGACCCACCTCTGGCCCTCATAAAGCTCCTCTAGTGGAAAAGACATACATAAACCTGTTTATCTTGTTTTTACATTTAATTTGCAAGCCTCTTGAAGGAAAGGACCACTTTTCATCCTGCGGTACAAGAGAGATTCCCAGGAATGCCTCTTAACATGACCAATGCCCTGTATCTTTATTTATATTTATGTTTAAAACTGACTGTGTATTTGCTTCTAGGACTCTTAAGATTTTCAGTGAACAGTTGAATCTTAAACCCTTCTTGGGGGATACAAAGGAAATGAAGAGGGTGAAGCCTGTGTTCAAGAAGCGGCCAGGATGGTGCCCAAATCTAGGGATTTACAGGTCAAGTCATGGCTTGCACTTTATTTCAATTATTCTGTAGAGTCACTCCTTCAACCAGCCGTGCTGACTTCACACCTTTTGCACTAGTGCCAAGGCCAGACTCAATAACTTTTCCACTTACGTAGCTTTATCTAGCAGTTAACAAACATGGATTTATCCTTGGAAAATCATTTCAGATGAAAGTTTCTCTGTTTAAAATTATTCCAAATAGATAAAGTCACAAGTTTCTCCTAATACACATAAATATAACTTGATTTCCCAAAACAAAAAAATAGAACACTTTAAATTCACAAAGGTACTATGGCTACTGCATTGACTTTCCACATCTGATTCCTTCATCATCTCAGAAATCAGGTTAACAACAATCCGAGACATAACCCATAGTGATTAATAAATAGTGATGTGAAATTGTCAATGCCAAGTGTCAGTTGTACCATCACCTGCATCAAATGAATGGGTCTCCCTTTGAGCACCATCAGGTGTTGAGTGCTCACCATTTGGAAAGGGACCTGTCCCTTTGAATTGCAATTATGCTAGAGCAGAGAACCTGCAAAGGGTGTCATCTCTACTGCAGGTAGCTCAGACTGTGATCCTGGAAGCTGGTCAACCCCACACCTACAAAATAAACCTCAACAGCATTAAAACCATCACTGTAAACCTCCAACTCACCTTCTAGTGAAGTTTCTCTCTCTCTCTCTCTGAGGCTGAATACCAGTTCCCAACAAAGGAAACAATGGGAATGTGATATCTGTGGTTGGAAAAAGCACTGCCTTTAAAATATGGTTTATTTTCTCATAAATCCACTTGACTTAATTTATCTAAATCCCATTTGTAATTTAAAAAATGAAATAAAACAAAATAAAATAAGACAAAGAGAAATAAAACAAAATTGAAAACACCAACGGAGTGGCCAAAGAAGAAAACTAACATTGGAGGTAAATTTCCACCTAATCTGGATTATGTTACCAAAGGCAGCTTCCTGCCTTCCCAGTGAGGGGGAGGAGTTAAGACCAAGCTTCATTAGCCATAATGATAATTACATGCATTTTCAAAGAGGCTATTATGCCGAGGCTTGAAGTGCTCTATAAACATTAATTAATTTAAGCTCTGGGTAGCCCAGCACCATTATGTCTTTTGTAAAGAAAAGTAAACAGAAGTGCTTAGAAGCTAAGTGGCTTCACTAGGCTCATTTAGCCAGCTGGCAGCATAGTTGTGAACAAAACTGAGTCTGAATGACAGTCTCCAATGCCAGTCACAGGCACAGAGGACTGCAAGGGACAAAGGGAAGGAGGGATACTGCAAAGTGGGATTAGTAAGGAAACGGCACAATCCTAAATGGGTTTCAAAGTGGGAGTGATGTGGCCTGATTTGCATGTTTAAAAGACCATTCGCACAACTGCGGGGAGAATGGGATTGGAGAAAGGCAAGAGTAAAATTAAGAAGGTCAGGAGTGTTGAAGGAGCCCTGGAAAAGAGATGATAGAGACCTGGCTGAGAGGGCTAGCCCTGAGGATGAGAAGTGGGTGGATTTCAGATGCGCTTTGGTGGTAGAAAATCAGCAGGGCTTGCTGTTGGATAGGCTGTGGAGGGGAAGGGAGGGGAGAAATTTGAATAACTGGGTGGATGATGGCACTTAATTTGCTGCCATTTTGCATTATGCCTATCATAACTATCTGTATTATCACAAATCTTTAGACATTGTCAATCAACTAAAAAAGAAAGAAAAATAGCACTTAATTATCATAGGAATTTCTATTTAAATATTAATGTGCAAAAAAAAAAAAGGCAATGAGAAGAGGAAATACATCCAGATTTTTACTCTGGGTGATCAGAACTATCATAAATATAGGTTTAGTTTTCCCTGATGTAATGGCCTGTGAAAATTTAAAAATGAAGAAAAGTTTGGGATGAAGCAGTAAAAAATTGTGGGCTCTGAGATGGTAAACTTTTTTTTTTTTTTTTTGAGATGGAGTCTCGCTCTGTTGCCCAGGCTGGAGTGCAGTGGTGCCATCTCGGCTCACTGCAACCTCCGCCTCCTGGGTTCAAGTGATTCTCTTGCCTCAGCCTCCCTAGTAGCTGGTATTACAGGCCTGCGCCACCATGCCCGGCTAATTTTTTATATTTGTAGTAGAGATGGGGTTTCACCATGCTGGCCAGGCTGGTCTCGAACTCCTGACCTCATGATCTGCCTGTGTCGGCCTTCCACAGTGCTGGGATTACAGGCATGAGCCACCGCGCCTGGCAGATGGTAAACTTTTTGAAGGTATCCACCCCTCCATACGCACTACCCATCTCCAGGCCTAGCACAGTCAGTGATGTGATGATAAATATTTAGCAACCAGCTTTGCAGGGAGAAAGGAATCAAGTTAGGGGAGCCCTGATTGGTAACATTTGCTGATTTCAATGGCACAAATATTCCCTCCATGGCTGAGTTCAAGCTACCAACATGATGTCATTCAATGGAGTTGGAAAGCAACGTACAGAAGCACATGGTTATACAGTGCATCCACCACACAGATGCAGCAAATGTGAGTAAATTCAAGGTCATTGTAAAATGTAAAGAGGAAATAAGTTTTGAGTATTACTTTTGCTTGTAATATCATATCTTTAATTGTACATTTATGTAATTTAATTCTGAATAATGGCCATGATTAAAAGCAGCTCACAACGTTTCTGAAATTTTAACATTCAGCTCTCACAAGTCACTATGTCCATCTTTAGCACACCATTCATGATTCACTGTAAGACATGCTAGATACCAATTGTTAAAAGAAAAACTCTAAACAAATTAAATTTAACAAAGTCTAATTGAACAAAGAACAATTCACCATTAGGGTAGCCTCCCAAACCAGAATAGGTTGAGAGCAAGGCTGGCTCTGCCGTGTAGTCAAAGAGGATTTATGGATAGAAAGAGGAAAGTGACGTACAGAAAACGGAAGTGAGGTACGGAAACAGCTGAGTTGGTTACAGCTGGGCATTTGCCTTATTTGAACAGAGTTCGAACAGTTGGCCACCTGTGAGTGGTTGAATTATGGCTGCTGTGATTGGCTGAGAATGAACTATTTGTTATGAGAAGATTATAGTCGGCTTCTACATCCAGTTAAGCTATAGTTCACTATGTACACAGAAGCCTGCAAGCAGAACTTAACATATGTAAGGAGGCAGCTTTAGGCTAAACTTAATTTAACACAATGAATGTTTGTGGAATGAGCTTCACTGGACTCCCTAAACTGATGAAAACATCTGTTTTATCATTCAAATTCTAGAAGGGTTTTTTTTAACCAAAATAATTAATAAGCAGTTACTAAGCATTAACTACATGCACAAAAGCTGAGTGCTAGGGGTTGGGGAAAATAAGTAACATGTATTAAATGTTACTGTGTGCCAGTCACTATTCTAGATTCTTTAATAAGTGAATTAATGCATGCAACAGCTTTATAAGGAGCTAGTATTATTATTCCCATGTTATGAGGGAAATTGCAGCACAGAGAAGATTATAAGCTCGATAATGCCACTACTTGAACTCTCTAATGTCAGGATAAATAAATTAAAATGAAGTAAAATCTCTGCTTTCAGCAGTCTCATAAAGAGACATGTACATAGGTATCTATTTCACATGCAAACACTCAATTTAGTTCATGGATCAAACTTTAGGATCTTGTTCAGATTTTAAACTACTGAAAGATTTTATAGTTTCAACAGTCACAGTGCACTTGAAATTATGGTCTATTTTAATAAAATGTGCCTTTATGGATAAATAAATTAATGGATAAATTAATTAATTAAATGACAATTCGGAAAAGCAATTAATTAGTTTGGTTAACATGGTCAATAGCTGCATTTTTAATTAGCAGTGATTTAGCATACATTTTTTATAGCCACTGCCTATTTCTCTTCATGCCACAACTTGCAGAGAATTAAGTTATAAAACTAGTTTATATGCCTATAAAAACCACAAGCTCTGCTAAATGGAAAACAAAGAAGGTAATTTGTACTGTCAAATCATCTTTTTAAACTTAGGAGGAGGGATTAGGGGCTGGCTGATTCAGAGTAAGAAATGCAAAACCTGTAAGGATAAACTCACCCTTTAAAATAATGTCTGACCCAACTTTTTAAATCTATTTTCAAACTACAACAAACTTGTGACTCTGAGGGACAAAAGTGTTTGTCCAAATGCTTGTCACATTGGTTCACACTGAAAACAGCTTTAAAATCACCTCGCATAAAATGTAGTAATGTCATAAGACTTCTCAGAATCCTATGAATATAACTTCAATAATATTACTCAAGCATCTATATGTTTAAAGACAGACTTAATCAGTCTTTTGAGTACTGATTGGTTTTGGATTTCCATACTTTTATTTTAATTTTGAGACGTCTTAGTTCCAAGGCTGAAACAACTTAATTGCTTTTGCAACAGAATTCCCTACCTTTGATGGGAAGCCAATGACAGAGACTCCTCAGAGGGCTGAGTTGTTCTGCCTGTCTGAGCCACTTTTATTCAATTATTTTACATCTAGAGCTCACAATTTTCCTCTGCCATTTCCGGGATCCCTTGTTGGAGTTGTGTCCACCTTTGTAATAGAATTCTTCCCCTGGGCATGGAAATATTACTGAGGCCTCCTTTAATAATTTTAACAAGGTGTTGTGCAAAAAGACATTTATTTCATGTGGGCGATGTGTGGGAAAAATATCTTTTTAATCCTGGATTTATATATTCATATATATATATATATATGTATATTTTTTGAGACGGAGTCTCGCCCTGTTGCCCAGGCTGGAGTGCAGTGGCGCGATCTGGGCTCACTGCAACATCTGCCTTCTGGGTTCAAGCAACTCTCATGACTCAGCCTCCCAAGTAGCTGGGATTACAGGTGCACGCCACCAGTGGATTTATATTTTCTTCCCATTTGAACCCACTTTGGATTTGGTATGAAGTAACTGCCAATTTTAAAGGTCTTAAGACAGAATTGGGGCCAAGATATATTTTGTAAGTAGTGAGAGTATCTTTATCCAGCTAGGGCCACGTGCACCAGCCCCTTCTGACTGGAAGGAGGAACACAACAGACCACGGTGGAAATTGTCTGCAGAGGGCTGGTGGCTCTGCACAATGCATGGAAGCACTGAGTCCCCTCAGGCCCAGACTCCCCTCCAAGAGAGACCTCTTGGAGGATACCTAGGACCTTGTGGGGTACCTATGTTGCCTCTTACCAAAAGGGGCTGCCTTGGCTTCTGCATTTTCTGGAAAGGTCTGCTACTGAGCTCTGGAACCATAAATCAGGTCAAATTGCTCCTCTGCTTGGGACCTTTTGCTGTTTTTCCGTAATTCTCAGAATAAATCCATGCCTCTCCATAGGGATCTGACCCATGCCCACCTCTCCAAGCACTTCTTCCTCCACTCCCCTCTCACTGTAGCCATACAAGCCCCATTTCTATGCCTTGGAGATGCCAAGCCCTTTCCCACCTCCAGGACTGTTTTAAGTGGTGGATCTTTTGCCCGGAAATCTCTTCTAGTATGTCCCTTCTCAAAATCAAGTGTCTGTTCAAATGTCGCCTCCCCAGAGATGGCCTCCCTCAGACTCTGTCATGTTCTACTTGAGCTTCTATGAAGGAATACCACAAACTGGGTGGCTTCAACTACTGACATTTATTTCTTACAGTTCTAAAAGCCGAAGAGTTCAAGATCAAGACCCTAGCTGATTTAGTGTCTGATGTGGGCCCACTTCGTGGTTTACAAACTTGCAAACAGTCATCTCCTTGTCTATCCTCACGTGGTGGACAGCAGAGAGAGGAGGCAAGTGCTGTCATGCCTCTTCCTGTAAGAGCACTAATCCCATTCATGAGGGCTTCACCCTCATGACCCAACTACTTCCCAACAGCCCCACCTCCGAATGCCATCACATTGGGGATTAGGGCTTCAATGCATGAATTTGGAAGGACAGTCCATAACACACTCTCTGCCTTGTCATCAAGTAGGGGAAGTGAGAGTGAGAGGGAAGGAGCCAGGACTGAGAGTGCCAATGAGCAGGTCAGCTCTGCAGGCAACTGGAGCTCATCCCCTCTGAGGACCCTCTAGATCTGCATAGAACAGTCCCCCAAGTTACACCCACATGGGAAGGAAATCAGAGTATTTACCCTCTCCTCCTGTCTGTCATTGTTTGAGGACTGCTCTCAGGACCTCCATCACCGGGTGCAGGTCAGACAGAGACGCACTCCTGTGGTCAGAGAACACCCTCAGGCAGAGTTACAAGTCATCAGAGCAGGGAGTCCTTGGCATCTATCCATATTGCCCAGGTGATACGGGACATTGGCAGTGTCTGCAACAAGCTACTTCAGAATCCTGAGGGGAGCTGGCCCTGTGGGTCTTGGTGGACTGGATGCATGGACAGCATTCCTGGAGGTATCGCCAGCTCCTGCTTTAACTCACTACACACACTTGGTGGCATCTTCCCTCTCTGATGCTCAGTTTCCCTGACTGTATATCAGGGATCTGGATCACAGTAGTGTTTTTTCTAAGTGTGGCATATGGATCACAGGTGGTACAAAAGGTAAGTTCAGGTAATAAGTGGATGGATATATTTTAATTTTAAGGATTACGCTTTTTATTACACAGGGTAACTAAATGCTGACACAAATACCCCCAAGTTCTCAGTGGCTTAACATAATAAACATTGATATCTTAAAAATAATAAAATAATAGATAAATTTTTAAAATAACATTAATTTCTTGCTCATGGAGAGTCCAGTGCAGGTTGGTGAGACAGGAGGGAGGAAGGCCTGCACAAGGTCATTCAAAACCCAAGATTCCTTCCGTCTATTGAGGCTGCCATTTTCTAGAACTCTGGAGTCCTTAACTATATTCTTTGCATCCAGACAGTAGACAAGGGGAGAGAGAAAGAAAGGGAAAGAGAGAAAGAATAGTGCAGATTTCAGGAATCAGTTCTAGAAATGAGTGAATCAGTACCATTTCTCGGCCAGAATTCGGCCATATGACCCCACCGGGGTGGAAAATGTAATTCTTCTGTGTGCCCAGGGTAAGAACAAATGGGGTTGGTGAATGCACACATAGAATTTTCAAATTTGAAATTAGAAAAATATTAGGTTAATAATAATGGAGGGGTTATATAGATGTGGCAAATTGTGAAGGTAGGAGATGAGTGGTCTCCCAACTGCAAGATTTTATATAGAATTTGTTTATCCAAGCTTTGTGTCAGTAAATAGGAACCTGCATCATGGAGAGACAATTCAGCTCATTTTTCTGGAAACTTTAGGAATCAGTTAACTAGTTACACAATAATGCTGCATAACAATCACTCTATAACTTAGTGGCATATCTGCAGAACAGGTGGGGTTGGTGACCTAAGCTGGGCTCAGCTGGCCTTGGCTTTAGGCTTCAAGTCAGGTCAAGGTCTGCTCCACATGTCTCTCATTTTTCTTAGAACAGTGGCTGCCCCAGGGCAGAAGCACAAGAAATATACAAAGTCTCTTAAGGCCTTCCCTCAAAACTGACATACTGTTGCTTTTACCCACAAGCCACTAGCCAAAGTAAGTCACACGGTGTATTAATCGGGTCCTCCAGTGAAACAGAACCAATAAGACATAGGTATAGATAGATAGACATAGACAGACACAGTCACAGACACAGACATAGATGTGAAACTTATTATAAGGAATTGGCTTATGCAATTATGCAGGCTGGGACGTCCTGCAATCTGCCATGTGCAAGCCAGAGACCAGGAAAGTTGGTGGTGCAGTTCTGAGAACTGGAGAGCTGATGGTGTACGTCCCAGTTAAGGGTAGGAGAAGACTGATATCCCAAGTCAATCAATCAGGCAGAGAGAGCAAATTCTTCCTTCGGTTTTTTGCTCTATTCTGGCCCTCAAGGGATTGGCTGATGCCTACCTACATTGGGGAAGAATCTGTTTTACTCAGTCCACCAATTCAAATGCTAATCTCATAGAGAAACACCCTCACAGACACATTCAGAATGAATGTTTAATCTGGGCACCCCATATCTCAGTCACGTTGACACATAAAATCAATCATCACATATCACTAAGCCTAATATCGATATATCAGTTGGGCAGAGAAACACTCCACGGGAAAACAATCCAATTTACCACAGGATTCCTGGAAGATATCCAAGGCAGAAGTGAGAAATCTTGAAGGGAAAAAAAAAATCAGGGAAAATGAGAATAAAACTTATACCCTATTTATATAGTTTTATTCATTACCAAAACTTTAGACTATAGTATCATTTTTCTTTGATCATGCAGTCTCTCACTACGATTAACTGAATGATGCATACTAAAATTATAGAGACAAGTTAGACAAAGTATTATGCGTCAACTTCCTATGCCATAAGACGACACTAGTAAACAACTTCCTTATGGGCTCAGGATGAAACTGAGTAATGTATTAAGTAGGCAAAACAGCATCATCTGGTGATAACTTAATGATTTTAGAAAACACACAGTAGGATCCTAATATAAGATAAACAACCCAGTTTTTCTTTTTTCCTTTAGTAGCATCCCTGTTATAGGAAAACTAAGCTGAAATTGAATTAACTAAGTTGAAATTTGTTTAATGCTTTTTAGAATCTAGATGTTGCCTTCCTCACCACACTTACCAAACTATACTGCAGTCAGTATGGTAGATTACAAAACCAGCCACACTTCCCTACTCTTCCCTTTATCTATACCCTCTGCAATGCACCTGTATAAGTCTTCCTATCAGGAGGTGGAATTAGCTCACACTTTAAGTCTAGGCCAGTTTTGTGACTTGCTTTAGACAGTAGAATTCAGCATAAGTGACATCCTACAACATCTGAGTATAGGCTCGCATCTCACAAACTTCCATTCTCTCTTGGACCTTGTCATCATTATGAGAACAAGTCCAAGCTAGTCTGCTGGTAAATGAGACACCACATGGAACAGAGCTGTTTTGTCCCAGCTGAGATTATCCTTGATGAACCAGGTCCTGGGCCACAGGCCTCCTCACACAGATGCACAACTGGGATTAGCCCAGATTGGCAAAACCACCCAACAAACTCATAGACTTGTGAGAAATAATAAATTGGTTTTTGCTCTTTTAAGACACTAAGTTTTGGGGTTGTTATGCATCGGTAGTTACTGACACACGTGGAGTGTACTCAGCCCAGTCTTCTACCTCACCAATGATGTTGGGTATGGCCATGGTGCTTTGGCCAATGGCATGTAAAAGGCTGCAATGTGAACGTAAACCTTATATGTGCTTGTGTGGGTGGGCTAGGCCTCTTGGAGTGTCCACTGTCTATGAAGCCCCATGAAGTTGTTGTTCTTTCAGCTTGAGTTCTGAAATGCAAACATGAAAACTTGAAATTGACCTGAAACCTGTACTCCATCCTAGACCACCCAAGATCGATCAAACCACAGCTGACCTGCAGATTTGTAAGTGTGAATTAAAATGTTTTTTGTTATAATCCACTGAGATTTTGGTGTTTTTGTTAAGTAGCATTATCACAGCAAAAACCAAGCTAATATACACAGTCTTCACATGTAAAGTTAATGTACTGTAGGTTGCATATTTCCTTGCTCCATAAACTAGCAGCACCCTTGAAAACATAATGCAATTGTTTATTGATTATATCATAATTGAATTGTACTGGGAAATTTTACAAATTAAAGAATTCTTTTATGAATTCTTTCTGTAAACCTCAGTTAATGGAGAAAGACCTTCCATTATATTGACTTCTTATTCCAGATTCAATATATTCAGTGCTAGATTAAATTGAAATTTATCTGAAGCCCAAAGAAGAAGGCAAGAGTCCTAGTCATGACACCCCCGTGGATTTATTCTCCTTCGACAAATCTAAATATTACTAACATTATCTAAAAAAAATCTGCCATTTATCTAGCTTATGAAAGTTCTATAACAGAAAAGAGATCATAGATGTTCTGAAGATTCAAAATAGCATTTTTTAGAATGTATGAGATTATGCTAAGGCACTTATAACAAATATAGTCAAACCCTATATTCAAAGATGTATCACAGACTATTATGCTTATTTCTGTTTATTGAAGTACAGTTTACATAGAGTGCACAAGTCTGAAATATACAGCTCAATTAACTTTTACATACATGCACAAGCATCCAGATCAAGATGGAGAACACTTGCAGTACTCTGAAGGAAAGTTTCCTTGCAACCCATCCCTGTCTATACCCTTCCCATAAGCAATATGCCGAACTCTCATCACCTTAGATTAGTTGTGCCTGTTCTTGAATTTCATATAAATGGAATGATACAGAATGTATTGTTTTGCATCTAGTTATTTTTTTCCATTAAATATTATGTCTCTGAGAATCATTCACATTGTTACATGTAGCCGCCAACCATTAATTCTTTTCCATTGGTGATTAGTGTTCCCTTGTATAGATACAGTAAAATTTGTTTATCCATTCTAAAATTGATACATGTTTGGATTGTTTCCAGCTGTGAACTATTAGGACTAAGGTTCTATGAATATTTGTACACGTCTTTTTGTTGATATAAGCACTCATTTGGCTGTCTGTATACTTCTTAATGGTATTTTAATGAAGGAAATTTTGTATAATGCAAATGTCCAAAAATAGAGCTTAGGCTAATTATTATATATTCATACAGGAACATATGCTGCAGCCATTAAAAGTGTTCTTTTGGAAGATTTTTTAATGGCCGTATGGTTTCAGTTATATCCCCAAATTATGTACAAATGTCTATATACATAGTGCAGTCTATGTATATTTGCATGTGCAGATAAATGGGTTGTTGTGTGTTTACATGTGCACACGTGTGTGTGTGTGTGTGTGTGTGTGTGTGTGTAAACAGAAAAGAACTATACCAGAGGTAAACAATAATCATCTTTAGGTAATATAAATATGTATAAATTCAATTTCATTTTAAATAATTCCCCATATTTTCAAGAGGAAAAATATTGTTTATAATAATAAAAATACTTTAAAAATTATAAGTAACCGAAATCTTCTATTCATCAGTAAAATCTTACATGACAAACCACATTTTTGTAATGCTTTCTTTTATTTACTATTTTATTTAACCTAAGTAATAGATCAAATCCTACTCCTCTTACCACAGAGCCAATGAGTCAGGATTGGTATAGTTAGGCCAAGCCGACATTCTCCTATGTGGCTCTGCCTGGACCATTTAATAATTCCAGTTTCTCATTAAGATTATTATCTAATTATACAATATGTAAAACAAGGAAAGAGGAGCAAGGAGAAAGGCAACACCTGAGTGCTTAATTGAGATAACAGAAGTACTGAACGAATCTCAGTAATTAGAGCCATCACAAATGAGATGCCTAGAAAATATTAAATAGCATGGTCTAACAGTGTATTATATTGCAGGAATGAACCCTGCTATAATGACGTATAGGTTTATCACATTTTGAAACATAACCTAATTTTTGCTGTTTATTTTCAGTTTACAGTAAACATTTTTATTTTAAATGCAATATTCTGAGACTATAACTTGTTTTATTCTGCATAATCATCATAACCTCAATTAAGACTCTATTTTCAAATTTAATTTGCCATAAATGGTCATCTGAAAGTCTCAACCAAAATCAAAGTCATTTTAGGAAGGAGTCTGAGAACAAGGCAATCCTGCAGCACTAAACATTTCCTTCTAGGATTTCTCTAGTCTAGGGATTAGTAAAATAGGCAAAATTGAAATTATACCATTATTCAATTCACTCAGTACTTCTGTTATCTCAGTTAAGCACTCAGATGTTACCGTTATCCCTACTCTTCTTTCTCTCTCTGTTTTAGAATAGTTACTTTTCCTAGATATTGTACAATTAGATAATAATCATAATGAGAGAGCCACATAGGAGGCTGTTGGCTTGGCCTGACCATACCAATCCTGACTCATTGGCACTATGGTAAGAGACAGGATTTTATATATTGCTCAGGTTAAATAAAATAGTATGTCAAGTAAACAGGCCAAATCCTACCCACAGTTTCTTTTTGTAAGTTCCATGAGCAAAGAATGGTTTTTACATTTTTATATGGTCATATTTTAAATGGTTATATAAGTACATAAGTAACGCCCTTGATTTTTTCTTCTTGTGGCACGAAGTTGAAAATGGTTACTATCCAGTGCTTAATAGGAAAGAAATTGCTGACCCTCACTCTAGTCCCCCTATGACACTACGATCTTCATTCATACTAATGAAATGGAGTGGGGTTTTTGGCAGAGATAATTCTATGTGGAAACAGCATTGTGCATTCAACATACCCATTTCCTTTGCCTCCTAAGCATTATAGGAATTCTTTATTTCCCAACTGTTCTTGCAGTTGGGTGGGGTCGGTGTAACTAAGTTCTGGTCAATGGCAAGTGATCTGGCCCTTAAAGCATGCTGAGCCTCCATATACTTTTTCTCTCTTCACTTGTGTGCTATATGAATGTTCTACAAAATGTACAGCCACTAATTAGGAGCCTGGGTCCCCTCATCAAAGGAAGACTGCCCTTTGGATACCAAAGTATGAAGAGTATTGCAGCATAAACAAAAAGCAAACTTTTATTATGCTAAGCCATTGGGCTTTGGAGGGATTGTTTGTTATAGCAACCAATGTTACTTTCCCTGACTACTACAAGTATAACTGGTTTTTCAATATTACCATGCCTGATATTACCATCACGTTGTTAACTCACAGAAACACACACACACACAAAAGTGTGAGAACAGTATATCTTTCAATCTTTGTGAGTAACCAAAACATCCCTTTAAAGTTTTAATTATTTGGCTTTCATGGCCCCGACAAATAAAACCTTTATTCCAAAACACTACTTTTTGTTTATCACTTATTATGGATAAAAGTTGATGGTTATTTACTAAACTACAATTTCAGAATCAAGTTAGACCCCAGGTAAATAAAGGAAAATCTCAACCTTTATAAAATAACAACCACGCTAAATTTGCATTCCAAAACGTGTAAACAGCTCTTTCATGCTTATTCCTCTACAAAGCTATTTCTCATTTAACTTTCATCATCCTGTTTAGAGTTTACAAGTGAGAATCTTCAGATTTCAGTTTAGACACATCTGGCTCACAAATGAGGCACTACACCCTGAGTCATTGTGAAATCCTCGCCACAAGCATTGATGATGAGATCTTGTGTTTATTAGTAAAGACGTTAGAACCAGCCAGTCGCAAAGCTATTTTAAGTGGAGACATCTCTGATGTGGCATCTTAGAGGTGTCAGTTTGATCTTTCTCTGCTGAGGAATGGCTGGATTAAATTCCACTTCTAAATGCAAATTAATCAGTTTTAGCTTTCTTTCAGATATAATCTGAACTGAAGTTGTTGAAAGATTATTTCAACTACTCTTTAGTTATTAAAAAAAAAGAGTTAAAACTTCTAGCCTGTTGGATTTTTTCTTTATTTCACTGAGCTCTTTTGACTTCCCTAGGGTATAATTATATTCCTTGTGCTTTTTAAAAAATGCAACATAAAGCTAAGGTATTTATTATTTTTAAATCACTAAAAACAATTTTCATTAACAACAAATTTATTTCTCCTTTGTCTTACACCAAGCCTGACTTGCTCCCCAAAACAAAGTGAACAAAAAAAAGAATTTAAGGCTAAGCTTTTAAGAATGGATTGATAATGACTTTTGATTGCAGCAGACAAAATTACTGATTCATAGAGTTCACCCTGAGGACAGCCCTCCTCTAATATGGTCACAGCCCACTGCCCTGAGGGAGTTGGATGATGTTGACAAACAACTTGGAACAAAGTGAAGTAAATTCCCAGGAAATTAGATGAACTCATGTTTCCCCTTTCTCCACACATAAGAAAAAGATAGCCAACACACCAACATATTCTCAATCAAGAATTTTTCCCATTTAACCTCACAAAAATGACTTAGCATCTCCGTATCTTGAAATAGATTTACCCACAATTGGGAAAAATCTCATCAGGGACTCCCTGATGTGATGCACTGAGAAGAACATAACATTATCCAGGCAGTATCCCTAGCCCAAACACATAATCCGAAATTAATCCTAGAGAAACAAACATACAAATACAAACTGAAGGGCATTCTGCAAAATCAGCTGACCTAGGCTTTCAAAGAATGTTAATGGCACAAAAGACCAAAAGAAAAAGGAGGACTGGGAGATGTGGACTGTTGAAGACCGAAGGTGATAAACAGACATGACAATGACAATAAAATGCAGAGTGATTCTCACCTGAATCCTGGACAGAAAAGAGTCGCTGTAAAGAATATTATAGGGACAATTTGAACCATTTGAATGTGGTTTATAAGTTAGATCATATTATTGTGTTGATGTTAAACGTCCTGAGAATTATGCTGTGATGATGTAGGAGGATCTCCTTACTCTTAAGAAATACCTACTGTAGTATTTGAGGTGAAAGGTTGTATTTAGCAGGTTTCTCTGTGTGATGAACTACCCTATTCACAAGAGCAACCATTTATTTTGCCCCTTATTCTATTTAGGCTCAGCTTACCTGGGTGCTTTCTCTGGTTTCAGCTGTGTTCTCTTAAGCTCTCTTATGTGTCTGCGATGAACTGTAGGTCTACTAGGTGGCTCTGCTTCTGAGAATAGGCAGGTGTCAGCTGGGGCAACAGTGGTGACTAGGATCACTCCAGCAGGCTAGTCCTGGATTACCAACATAGCAGTGGGAAAGTTCCAATACAGAGACAGGCACACACACACACACACACACACACACACACACACACACACACAGAGAGAGAGAGAGAGAGAGAGAGAGACAGAAAGACAGAGACAGAGAGAGAGATTGAGAGAGAAAGGAGGCATGTAAAGCTTATTGAAACCTAACCACAGAACTGGTACAACATCACCTCTGCTGCGTTTTGCTAGTGAAAGTAAATCACAAGGATTCCACGGGTACAAAGCCAGCTTGTAAAAAGCCTGGAGACAATGGTGAGAAAACTGTGGTCATTTTAAACAGTCTACCACAAGGAACTACAGATGTTCATTCAATTATGCTTGCAACTTTTCTATAGCTTTCCATTTATTTTAAAGCAAAAAGTAATAGAGGATGGCGCAAGGAGCCAGACACAAAAGAGTATATACTGTAAAATTCAATTATATTAATTTTCAAAGGCAAATCAAATGTATGGTGAGAGAAGTCAGAATATTGGTAACTTTCAGGTAATTGGCTTCTGGGGTACTGGTAACATTCTGTTTCTTGATCGGAGTAGCAAAAATTCCATTTGGATATGCACCCAGGATACATGCTGTTTTCTATATGTACAGCATACTTTAATTTTTGAAAGTTTACTTTGAGAAATACAAAGCACGTTGGTCTTGGAAGTTAGGAAACCTGGGCTCTTGTCCTGATGCTGCTACCAAGTCCCTGTGCAATATTGAGAATGTCTATTTAATTCTCTGGGCCTGTTGCCTCAACTGTAAAGGAAGCTAAATGAACTCTGTGGGCCCTTCCCAACATGTAGACCCCAAGATTTAATTCTGACCAAATAGTTTGTTCTCTTTTTTGCCTGGAAATTACATAACCTTGTAATTATGATGCACTTTTCTCCCCCAGTTATAACATGTGCCTGAGATTCTATTTTGCTTTCCAGAATTTGCACGGAAATAATAACAACAAAGCAAATGCAATAAAGGGGTCTCTTTTCAATGCAGATAGGAACTATAAGGGTTGGCTATTTGCAGAAGAGGTCACTGGAGGAGCAGGTCATTATGTTTTAATATCACACAGAAATGCAGTAAAGGAGTCTGGCATGTCAGGGAGAATCATCAGGAATGCTTCCAAGAAGCCGGTCCTATTTCACCACCGCTCCAGCCTTGTTCTGGGGAAGAATAGCACTCCCTCTGGAATAGTTTCTTGACCTCCTCAGAAACTCACCTATTTGGTGGTCTCTTGCATTCTCTGTACAGCTAGGGGCTTTTAGCATGAAGTGAAAAGAGCTACAGGTGAACCCCAGTCTTCATAGGTTTTGTGTGTGTTGGAGCATAGGGAAGTGGAATGTTGCTGGCGATCCAGGTGTCCCACAAGCCTGGCAGCTGCTTTCAGGGGTGGAGACCCTGGGAGCACCTCTGATTGTGGTGATTTTCTCATTTCTGAGCACTGTGACCCCTTCGTAGTTCAAAGGAGAGGCTCTAATGGAACAACACTTCAGGCTTTCTGTTCGTTTGTGTTTCCTTGAGGGCTTCCAGTTTACCTCTAAGGCTCCTTGGAGCTCCAAATTTCAGCAGTTTTCTAAAAGTTTCATTCATTGAATAGATATTTATGGAGCATTTACTATGTGAATTCAGAAGTGAATGAGGCAAACAAGCACACTGCCCTCATGGACAGAATGTGGAGTCCTGTATCGATCAGACAGAGACCTAGAATGACTTGCTTTTTCCTCCATGTGAGAGTGATAGTTGAACTTCACAACAGCCTGAGAGTAGACATTCTTAGCCCCAACTTACAGATGAGGCAGACGAGGAAACTGAGACTAGGGAGATAAAATAGTAAGTGAAGTCCATCTGACTAATTCCTTCATATACAGCCTCTAAAACAAGGTGGTGAGGTTGTGCCCAGTCCCTTAGGACAGCGGTTGACAAACTAAGTCATGTGGTCCAGCTGCCTAGCTGTATACACGAAATTTTATTAAAACACAGCTATACCCATTCCTTCATGTATTTTCTATGACTGGTTTCCCACTGCAACACCAGAGTTGATTAATTGCCAAAGG
Organism: Homo sapiens; assembly: GCF_000001405.40. NCBI lineage: Eukaryota > Metazoa > Chordata > Mammalia > Primates > Hominidae > Homo > Homo sapiens. The sequence continues at coordinate 13,216,543 of NC_000020.11, forward strand.
GACCTTACAGCCCACAAAGACAAAAAATATTTAACATCTTGCCCTCTAAAGAAAAAGTTTGCCATCCCTCCAGCCTCAGAACATTGCCCCCTAGTTAGGGTAATGAAAGTTCCTGGAACAAACCACAAAAGTTTAATGGCTTCACACATTTTTTAAAAAAGTTTATTTCTCAATTACACAATAGCCCAGCCAGGGTGTTCTTGGGCAAACGTAGGGGTCAGGTAGGGACTCTGCTCCAGAGACCCAGACTGATCATTGCTCTAAGGTTACCCTGGGCAAAAACATCCAGCCAGCAGACAGGGGTAAAAAAGAAAAGATCATGAACAGGAAGTTTTTATGGGCTAGATCTGAAAGGGACACACATTAATCCACCCATATTCTATTGGCCAGAATTCAGTCACGAGCATAGGATACTGAGAAATGAAGTGTACTAGAATGCCCAGGAAGAAACAGGTTTTGGGGAACACAGAACAGCCTCCACCACAATCCCTAAATACTAATCATTCTCACACCCAGAAAACGTCTCTGGCTGTGACTTCTCAAATCTGTTTTAAAGCTCAGATTCAATATGCATGTGTTTAAAAAACATTGCTTAATTGAGCCCTTACCTTTTTGAGATGCATACTGAAATATGTACATATGAAATGACATATCATGAATTTGCTTAAAATAATCTGAAACGGAGGAAATTTTTGAAAATACTGAGAATGCAGGTAAGACAAGATTGGCCATAAGTTTTGTTGAAGCTGGCTTATGAGTAAGGATTTAGTATATTATTCTCTTTACTTTTGTATATATTAAAAACTTTCCATAGTAAAAAAAATTAAGGATTACATTGAAACTACTCTTTGCTATGTTGTACCACTCTTTGGCAAAATAAAATAAAAACAATAAAATCCTAGTCATAATAGGCCACAAGGTTCTCTGCAATGATAGTAACTACAGGTGTTCTGGCTTATTAATTTCTCTTACTTCCTTAAAATATTCCAGTCAAATAAGCCTGCCTGTAAGATAAATGGGACCAATAATGAAAGACAAAATCTACGTGAGAATAGTACAATCAAGAGGCAGAATGGTTATAAAAGTTAATGTCAGACACCTATAGTACAAGCACTCCTAGGAAAGGTAATCTATTACTTGGGGTATAAACAAATACCAGATTTGTTACATGCATTTTAAAAACACTAATTGAGAATTACTCTGTGCAAGGCATTGTCTCAAAGATTATACTTGTCAGGATGTATATACTATTATACCAGCTGCTGTGCAAACATCCCTACATCACAATGTCTATGAACAAAGTTTTATCTCACTTGCTCAAGGTTCAATGCAGATATTCCTGGTCCAATTTTTCTCTTTTGAGCAGTAACTCAATTTGAGTTCCTTTCACCTCAGAGTCCTTTGCCATGTAGAAAGGAAAGAGAGGGCTGGGCACGTTGGCTCATGCCTGTAATCCCAGCACTTTGGGAGGCCGAAGCGGGTGGATCATTTGAGGTCAGGAGTTTGAGACCAGCCTGGCCAATACGGTGAAAATCTCTCTCTACTAAAGAGTACAAAAATCAGCCAGGCGTGGGGGCAGGATTCTGTAATCCCAGCTACTCCGTAAGCTGAGGAAGGAGAATTGCTTGAACCTGGGAAGCAGAGGCTGCAGTGAGCTGAGATCGCACCACTACACTCCAGCCTGGGTGACAGAGTGACTCTGTCAAAAAAAAAAAAAGAATGAATGAATGAAAAAGAAAAAAAAAAGGAAAGAGAGAGTGTGTGCAGATAATCACTCAGGATGTTTTATGGTCAACCTGGAAGGAAAAAAGCTCTTCACAGCCCAAACCTAGATCCAAGTATACCTAGAAAATGTCTCATAGCCATGAACCCAGAAAGAAAACTAGATACTGGGATGGAGGTGGGGAGTGGGGCGATGCTCTGAAATGTTCTACCACAAAGGTGATCCCAATCAAGGTCTAGTGGGAAAACAGACATGCAAACAGACACAAGTGCCCCAAGTGTCATAAAATCAGTAATAACGATATGAATAGGGTGCTCTGGACGCTCTGCTGAAGGAGGTAGGATTTTAAACATTTTTATCAGCTATTGGTACAATTTCATAAATGTGCTTGAAACTTAATTGGTTTAGTCTATTAAATTTGTAATTGTTTTTCCACAAAAATTGTAAGCCCGTGTTCCCTAACTCAAAAACAGAGCCCTGCTGGCAAGCCTGGTTCGGCAACTGGAATCAGAGCGTGGGTGTTTATCAATACTCGTTATATGTGCTTACTGGAACATAAATTCACCTGGAATGGGGATCTCTCAGCGTGAAGGGATTTTAATAGGATTCATTCATACATTTGTTCAACATTTTATAAAGACATCTGTCCCCAAAATTCAATTTACAATTTTTACAACATTTTACAAAGACTTTGATCTCCAAATCTCCATTTACAAATTATTTTACAAGAATTTACATTCATTGCAAAGGTTTCTTTCCAGAGTTTTTTAAAGGTCATTTTTGCCTTGGGTCCAAAACTGTTACTTTTAGATGAGAGGAGAAGCAGCTGAGGTTTACATGTGGAGACTGTGTGTGATGAAAGGGCAGGACACAGCGGCCCCTGGATCCTAATTCAGACCAGCCTGCCTCTGGCAATAGGAAAGTCATTTGTTCCTGCGAGCCCGTATCATAATCTGGCACAACTGGAGGTTAGAACAATCCTTAAAACTCTTTGGCTGTGGGATTCTAGTTTGCCATCTTAATTTATACATTCTATTTCGGCGCTGATTCTCCAGCCCTTTCCCTTTTAAGTGATCCTAATTAGAAAACACACAGGAGGATCCTTCCAGGATTTAAAAGCTGCTGGGATCCCCTCTTTGATCTCCCATCTGAAATACGGACGGTTATTGTTTCGCGTTTCCCCCCACTCCCCCCGACCCGCACTCCAGTGACAATTATTGGCATTTTAGAGCCTAGAGATAGAAATAAGATGTCTGACAGGCCCGGCTGCCTAAAAATCCAAAGCAAGCACCCCTCCAAACATCTCCCCTCCTCCCTCGCACCGTTCCCCACCCAAAAAAAAATAATGAAAAGGAAAAAATATAGCAGACTCTATAAACAGCTGCCAATTTATTAATAAGATGCTGGAGTTAGTTAGAATTTTAAAGATGCTTCAGGCATCTTTAAGGAGGCAGCAAGCCCTTCCTCTCCCGGGCACAAATAAGCCCAACCAGCAGACCCTACCTTAACTACCGCTATTTAAATTCTGCAAAGTACCGCGGTGACCGGAGGAACCTTCGCAAAGGCGCAAGGGTTTGCCTTAATTTGGTTAATACTTGGTTGAGATGCCTTGCGAGAACTCGAAAGCAGTTGAATTAAGAATCTTAAATCTTTCTAGGACGCGGAGAAGGAAGGTAGGAAATTGGGGAGGGGGAAAGGGAGGCGTGCCGTCAAGAAAGAGTTGATTATTTATTTAATTTCATTCACCAAGGGAGAATTCGGAGGCTCCATCCCGGAGGCACTGGGGTCCGGGACGCGGGAAAGGCTTGGAAATGTGCGACGCGGCTGTGTGCGAACGCGTGGACTAGGTCTTGGCTCGCTGGGAGGGAAGGGCTGGGCCGGCGCTGGGGAGGAGGAAGGGAGGGAACGGGTAGGAGGAGGGGAAGCGCAGTATAAAAGTCCCGGCCGGACTGAGCGTCCGCTACTCCGAGTCACTTCGGTAAGGCGGGAGCCCGAGCAAGGTCAAGGAGGGAAGTGCGCGGTGCCACGGACCGACACAGTTCGCTCTAGCATCTGACGCTCGGACTCCGCGCCCTCAGCCGGATCCCAGAGCCCTTCCATTCGCCAACCGCCCACTGCAAGGCATGAGCCGCACGCGGGAGCCCGAGGCTGCAGCGCGGTCATGAGGCGGTGGCCCGGGATCGACAGCTGCGCGACGCCAGCCCCCAAATCCCCTCTGGGCGCGGCACCCCCGGGATGAGCCCCCCACAGAGGCAAGCCCACTAGAGCTGAGATTCACTCCGAGTTCCTGAGCGCCTGAGCCGCGGGCACTGCGTCTCTGCAGCTTCCAGCCAACACCTGCGCCCGTGACCAGACGAACGCCTAGAGAGTCGGACTCCCCTCCCTTCCCAGGCTCTACGGGGCGCCGCGGATCCGCGAACAGCCGTGCCCGGCTAGCGGGCGGCCCAGCAAGTGTCAAGACCCTTCGGAACGACACTTTGGCACTCCTCCTCTCCCCCGACTGCTTCAGGCAGGGGTCGCAGGCAGACGCATGGCTTGTCCGGCGCCCCCTCCGTTTTCCATCACTGCAACTCCAGCTCCAGTTTGCCAATAAAGGTTTCTAAAGCAGCCCAGGCACCACCCCACCCACCCACAGCCCCGAGCCTCAGTGTGCACAAGGGCTCTACCCGCGCCCGTCACAGCGACCTCGGCAGCGGGCACTTGGTACAGCCCGGCAGGCTGACGCTGCCGCCGAGGGCGCCCCGGCTACCGCCAAACCGTGACAACCTCGGTGTGCCCGGGGCCCCCATCTGGAACCGGCCCTCCCCGGGACTCCGAGTGCGGGGCGGCGCGGCAGGCGGCCCCGAGGAGCGCGGAGAGTAGTGGAGGTGGCTTGCCGGGTGAGTGGCTCGGGGCGGCGAGGGCGGGGGCGCCAAGCGTGGAGGTAACTCCCGGCCGCAGCTGAAGCCCTCCTACTCCTCCTCCTCCTCCTCCTCCTCCTCCTCCTCCTCCTCCTCCTTCTCCTTCTCCTCCTCCTCCTCCCCGCGCTTCTCTGGCGGCCGCTCCCGCTCCAGCTGCGGCGCCGCGGCCACATCTGGGGCGCCCATGTGCGCTCGGGGGCTCGGCTGCGCCCGCCCCGCCGCCGACCCCGCAGCCCCCTGCCAGCAGGGTGGCCTCCGGCCCGGCCCGGGTCCCGGGCTGTCCCGGGACCCAGTCTCCGTCTCCGCCGCCGCCGCCGCCAGGCAGCGCCGGGGCTTGCTCCGCAGCCGGCTTGGACACCCCCGGCCTCGCGGTGGCTCCGCCGTGGTGCGGCGGCGGCGGCGGCGGCGGCGCCGGCAGCTCCTGCTCCCCCGGCCCCGCACACCCCGCCGCGCCCAGCGCCAGCCCCGCGGGCCCGGGAAGCGGAGCCCTGGCGGGAGCCGAGGCGGGAGCCGCGCTGCCGGGCTCCCGGGCTCCTACTCCTCCTCCCCCGGCGTCACCGCCGCCGCCGCCGGCCGCCGCGCCGGGTCCTAAAGCCGCGCGTCTCAAAAGGATGGTGCGCCTGGCGGCCGAGCTGCTGCTGCTGCTGGGGCTGCTGCTGCTCACGCTGCACATCACCGTGCTGCGCGGCTCGGGAGCCGCCGACGGGCCCGACGCGGCCGCGGGCAACGCCAGCCAAGCCCAGCTGCAGGTGAGTGCGCCGCCGGAGAGGGCCGTGCGCGGCTGCGGGGACGGTTTGTGGGGCGGGGGTGCTGAGCTAGTGCCGGGTGGATGCAGGGAGGCAGGTCCCCTGCCCCACCTAAGAGCAACTGTTTTGGCAGTAGTTTTGCCCGGGCCACTTGACTTAGGCAGAGGCGGAGCGGGGGCACGTGCCTGGAGGCTGCACCCGGCTTCCAGGTCTGCGGGCTGCGCTCCTTCAGTTCTGTCTGTCACGGGTCAGGTGCGGGGTTGGTGGGGAGGTGGGAAGGAGCGAGGTTTGGGATGAGCAGAGGAAGTGTGGAGAATGTGCTTGCTTGGGGGTGCTACCAGTCTTTCGTTGCCCTTCGGAGGCTGAGTAATGTTACTCGAGGCTGGAGGGACGCAAGGAGACTTTATAGGATGATATCCCTGAAGTCTTTGGGAGAAAGAACTCCGGGAGTCTACCCCTTTAGGAAGCAATGCCAAAGGTCAGGACATAATTTCCCAAGGAGAATAGCCAGGCATCCCCTCCTCACCCTCAGGGTTCCCTTGCTTCCAGTGTTCCTCTTCCTCCGGGAGCCTCGCCTGAGGTTCCCCCCTCCCCCCTTGTGCCCCCTTGGTCATGGGGAAGGTGCAGAGTGAAGGCACCGGTAGTGATTTGGGCCAGGGTTACCTGGGGCTTTTAAACTTGTAGCAAAGTCTTTCTCCCAAGGATCTTCCCCGTTGAAGGTCGCTTTAGCAATGGGATTCTGTTTATCCATTTCAACTTCAGGGCAAGGAGAGGGCGTAGTGGACGGTCAGACATAATGTGAGTTCTGACTTAGGAATAGAATTGCCCAGCTAGGCATTTCCTGCCGCTATGTTAGCGCCTTTCCTTGAGTCTAGGGGTGGGACAACTGTAAACTTGGAGCATAGGCAAAAGCAAGCAGGGATTTTCCCAGGAGGCAGAGGGGATTCTCTGGCTCCTAAAATCTGCTCAAACCAGGCGCGGTGGCTCACGCCTGTGATCCCAGCACTTTAGCAGGCAGAGGCGGGTGGATCACCTCAGGCCAGGTGTTGGAGACTATCCTGGCCGACATGGTGAAACCCCGTCTCTACTAAAAATACAAAAATTAGCTGGGCGTGGTGGCGCACGCCTGTAGTCCCAGTTACTCGGGAGGCTGAGGCAGGAGAATTGCTTGAACCCGGGAGGTTGTAGTGAGCTGAGATCGCGCCACTGCACTCCAGCCTGGGCGACAGAGCGAGACTCCGTCTCAAAAAAAAAATAAAATAAAATAAAATAAAATAAAATAAATAAATAAATAAATAAAATGAAATAAGCATTATTCATTGTTCCCAAAGGCCTTTATATTCATTGTCTTTGATAATTCACTTTTTACATCTTTATACAATTTATTGCGAAAAACTTTACCGTAAAGAGAAAACTAATAAAACACTTCCATTGTGTTTACTACGTGCCACCGTTTTAAGTACTTTACAGAATTTAACTCACTTAATTTAACCATAATCTTACAAGACATGGTACTGTTAATATAGCCTCATTTACAGATGCAAAAACTGAGGTACAGAGAGGTTAAAAAACTTGTCAAAGTTCAGACATTCCAAACTCTTGATTACACCAAATTTTGTCTCTACCAGGATAGACTAAAGCAAGGTGATTATTGCACGCAATTACAAAACAGTAGAAAAGTACACACCCCAAAGCTTAAAGTTGTTTTAACTTTGAGACATTTCTAAAAATGTCCTAACTTTGTGGGTTCTCTCACCTTCTCCCGTGGGTAGATAAGTACAGTGACAGACTGAGGGAATTTCTATGCGGAAGTTGAAGATGCCACCATCCTATAGACTGGGGCACCCACCAATCTAACACTGCGGAGATAATTCTTAATATCTTCAAGATTTCTGGAAGTTATATTTTATACATGATGCTTTCTTTCCTCATGGACTCATGAAAAGCCATAAAAATGATGTTCTGTGGAAAAGTAAATTTGGCAGATTACTTTATGAGGTGTTTGCTATCATTAGAATAACCCGGGGTTGGCCTTTTCCGCTTGAACAGTAAGGTAATGAGAGAAGCAGCTGGTGGAAGTGGCAGTTCTAAAAGGGAAGTGGACTGAATTCTCAAAAGGGGCTTTGGCTGAAGAACTGCCCCAAGAGGACACAACAAATGGGGGATTTAGAAAGAGTTATGCTCCTAGAAATATCTTGAGTCCCAAGTAGCTGCTAATCCACCAGCTTCAGCTTATCTTGTAATAGTGTTCGGTGAGACTGTCCACTCAATGCACACACTTTTCCAAGCAGAATGATGAGTTTAGCAGTTTAGTTCATAATTTTGCTGTTTTGTAATTTGTTATTATAAAAGTTTTATACTCTTCCTGACCAAAGTTATTTCTTTGGCCCTCTGACTCTCTGAAGGTATTATAAGTCAAAAGAAGAATGTTCTGCCAAATGAGGAGGTCTGCAAAAGACATTTATTAGTCCATCGTTTTCAGGCCCCAGAAAGTGAATTTGCTAGTAGCAGGTGTATTTGAAGACAAAACTGTGGACACTGTATTCTTTCTTTTTACCAGACATTTTAAACCCAAGTCTTAAACATCATCTAAATTTGTTGGTTCTGTGCTATCCTGAGCTACTAAAATCCTTCTTCACAATCAGAAAATTAATCAATCCATATACATCATTTTTATTGTTTTTATCTCTGTGTACAACCTTCTAAAATATAAGGTTGTCTTAGTCAGAAATATGCAATGGTGAGTTTATTTACCTGAATTGTAGTATGTTTGTATTCACTTAAAAAGGGACACATTCTTATTTAAGGATATATCAAGGACGCCCAATAAAGTAGTAGTAAGAAAAGCAACAATAATAGTTAAGATTTATTAAGTGCCTTTTATGTGGCAGGCACTGTTCTTAGCACTTTACACATACTAGCTTTCTTTCTTTTTTTTTTTTTTTTTTTTTTGAGACGCAGTCTTGCTCTGTCGCCCAGGCTGGAGTGCAGTGGCGCGATCTCTGCTCACTGCAACCTCCACTTCCCGGGTTCATGCCATTCTCCTGCCTCAGCCTCCCAAGTAGCTGGGACTACAGGCGCCTGCCACCACGCCCGGCTAATTTTTTTTTTTTTTGTATTTTTAGTAGAGACGGGGTTTCACCGTGTTAGCCAGGATGGTCTCACTCTCCTGACCTCATGATCCGCCCGCCTTGGCCTCCCAAAGTGCTGGGATTACAGGCGTGAGCCACCGCGCCCGGCCCATACTAGCTTTCTTAATCCTCACAAAAATCCCGGGAATTAGGTGCTATCATTATCCCTGTTTCAAAAGGAGAAACTGAGGTTAGGTAATTTGCCCAAGGTTGCACAGCTAGAAGCTTCTTCATTTATTTTCGTTATTTTATAGTGGGGAGCTATTTGAAGCATATTTCTACTGCAAGTTCTTGATAAAGTCATACACTCAAGAGAGAGAAAGGCTTTTAACAATTTACATTTTCAAATGTATCTTGACAGTCTTACTGTGTTAACTATGACATATATGTATATATACACATACATTATATATACATAATACACATATATGTATAAATGTTATCTAACTTTTTTTGTAGTTTCAGCGCACTAGGGGTTACATTTTTGACTCTTTGTATGACTGTCTCCCCTAGTATGCCCTAGTGTGCTCAAAACATTAATAGGTACGATGTTACAAGGTGGCAGTAAAAAGTTTTGAGTACACTCTCCATATTGGGTAACTGGCTGATGAAAATAAAAATGTTAGTCTTTGAATGGTTGTCAGTATTTTTAAAATATCTAGTAAGAAATGAGAAAACTATCTGCAGTAGCTGCATTAAAATGCATGGAAACATCAACTTTTTCTTGCTTTTGAATCTTAGTTCATTAGAATAAGTTTGTCTCATATTAATCAGATACTCAGATTAGTTCTTTCACATATATTTAATTAATGTTAATGATAAAACATACATAGATATGGATATAGATATAGATATATAATAAAAGTCATCTGGAAGACAAAATATAGAATCCATAGGCAATAATAGTACTAATAAAGGTATCTCCTTTGTCTGAAATTCAAATGATTGCCTTTCCACTAAATCTCAGTCAGTTTTAGAATCATGAATTTCTATATATTTTTAGTAGTAAGTCAGAACTCATTAAGGCAGTGAGATTTAAGCAAGTATTATAAAACACCAATTTGATTATTTTTACAATAACATTAAAGCAAACCAAACTCTCGAATGTAGTAAAATGTCTTTGTTCTCTGTTTCCTAACTATCATCTTTATGAACACTTTCCATCTTTTATCCCTTTATTGCCTTCAGTAAAACAGCTTAGCTTCTTGTATTCACTGCTTTGGATTTAGGAGTTCATCCAAGCCACTTATAGCAGTAGAAGCAAAAGCATAATTTATCTGTACTTAATACAAGAAAGTCAATAGCCATTTGTGTTTCTTATTTTGTGACTTACCTGCTCGTTTTCCAGTCAGGCTGATTACTTTTACTGGAATTTTTTTTTTTAATGATTGACAATTGTTTCACTTAGCTATTGCTGCAGAACAAACCACCCTAAAATTTAGTGGCTTAACACAACCACCATTTTATTTCTTCATGAATTTGTATGACAGCACCTTGCTTGGGCTCAGCTGAGTGGTTCTTCTGGTGATTTCACCTGATATTACTCATGTAGCTGTGGCCATCTGTTGGCTTCATGTGGGCTAGGTGGTCCAAAAATACCTCACTCATTTGTCTGATAGTTGGTGCTTGCTGTCACTTAGGTTTGCTCTCCATATAATCTCTCATCCTTAAGGAGTCTAGCTCATATATCTTTACATGGTGGACTCAGAGCAGCAAGAGAATAAAAGCAGAAATTGCAAGACCTATTGATGAGTTTGCACAACTTCATTTCAGCTGTATTCTATTAGCCAAACCATGTGGTTGCTTAGATTCTAGTGGACAAGAAATAGTTTCCACTTCTTGATGGGAGGAGCAGCAAAGTCACATTAAAGAAGAGCATGCGTACAGGGAGGAATCATAGGCATCTTTTTATCTTTGTTCTCCTAATTTTTGATTTACATTTTTAGAACCCATAGTGCAAGGACATAAAGTGTCCTTTTAGGTGACTGTATTTTTATCAAGGTGAAACTCTTTATCTCTTTTATTGCCTTTTGTCTTGAATACTTTTTTGTGTCATATTAATATTGCAACTTCTGCTCTTTCTTCCTTTTAGAATTTGTTTGGGTGTCTTTTCCAACCTTTATTTTCAAACTTTTTTTGACTTTTTAATTTACTTTTTTCAAATTTATTCATTTATTTTGAGATGGAGTCTCACTCTATCTCCCAGGCTGGAGTGCAGTGGCGCTATCTTGGCTCACTGCAAGCTCCACCTCCTGGGTTCACACCATTCTCCTGCCTCAGCCTCCCGAGTAGCTGGGACTACAGGCACATGCCACCATGCCTAGCTATTTTTTTGTATTTTTAGTGGAGACAGGGTTTCACCGTGTTAGCTAGGATGGTCTCAATCTCCTGACCTCATGATCTGCCCGCCTCGACCTCCCAAAGTGCTGGGATTACAGGTGTGAGCCACCATGCCCAGCCCAACTTTTTTCTTTTTTTTTTTTTGAGACGGAGTCTTGCTCTGTCACCCAGGCTGGAGTGCAGTGGCGCGATCTTGGCTCACTTCAAACTCTGCCTCCTGGCTTCACGCCATTCTCCTGCTTCAGCCTCCCGGGTAGCTGGGACTACAGGCGCCCGCCACCATGCCTGGCTAATTTTTTGTATTTTTAGTAGAGACGGGGTTTCACCCTGTTAGCCAGGATGGTCTCGATCTCCTGACCTCATGATCCTCTCGCCTCTGCCTCCCAAAGTGCTGGGATTACAGGTGTGAGCCACCGCGCCCGGCCCCAACTTTTTAATTTAAATATCTTTCTTATTAATAAGCTATATTAATAATGTCTATCTTAGGAATCAATTCTTACCAGTTTTATTATACTACCAATAATTATTTAGACTTAATTCTAAGATTTACTTATTTCTTTATCTAGCTGCTGCTGCCTTTTTTTTTTTTTTTTTCTTTTTGAGATGGAGTCTAGCTCTGTTGCCCAGGCTGGAGTCCAGGAGTGCAGTGGTGTGATCTCAGCTCACTGCAACCTCCCTCTCCCGGGTTCAAGCGATTCTCGTGCCTCAGCCTCCCAAATAGCTGGGATTACAGGTACCCACCACCATGCCCGGCTAATTTTTGTATTTTTAGTAGAGATGGAGTTTCACCATGTTGGCCAGGCTGGTCTCGAACTCTTCATCTCAGGTGATCTGCCCGTCCTGGCCTCCCAAAATGCTGGGATTACAGGTGTGAGCCACTGTGCCTGGCCTGCTGCTGCTGCTTCAATCTCATACTTTCATCTTTTATTTTGCTAGAACACAGTTTCAAAAATTTTTTCAGAGAGAATTTATTAATTATAAACTCTATAAGAACCTATATCTTTAGACATATCTTTATTTGATTCTCAGAATTAAATGCTAATTTGGCAGTTGGCTGTCTTCTATCTTATTTCCCCCCTAAGAATTTTAAGAATAGAATTTAATTTTTGATACCATCTCATATTTCAGATGAGAAGTCTAATACCATTTCTTTGTAGGTGATTTTTTTAAAAACTTGATGCTTTTATGATTTTTTTCCTTTATTTTAATGTTCGGAAATTTTACCAGGTTGTGTTTAGATTCAGGGCTTTAGCTGTTAGTCCTGTTCAGCATATGGTGGACCCTTTCATTCTGAAGTCTAAACTTTGTCTCCAGCTTGAAAAAATTTCTTTAGTTATATCTTTGGTATTTCCAATATCCCTGTACTCTTTTTCTGGAACTCCTGTTAGAGATTGAAACTAACATTGAGATTTCAAGATCTATCTTTCATGTCTCTGAATTTTTCTTCTCATACTTTTATTTCTGTTGTTTAATTGTGTCTTATGTCTCGAGGCATTCTTCTGGCTATTTCAACCCCAGTGTCTTGTTTAGGAAATATTTCATAACTGAACGCTCATAGTAAATATCAGATGCAAATGTCAAACTCAACCACTCTGAAACCCAGGACTGAATGAAATAGCTCTACCACTTCCTGCCCTCAGCCTTTTCTCCTAAATTCTATAGCCTCTTTTCTCCCCTTCTTTTTCTTTCCCTTTCTTTCCTTTTTCTTCCTTTTTTATCTTCCTTTCCTTTCTTTTTCCTTATCTTTCTTCTCTTCTCTCTCTCTCTCTTTCTGCATTTTTTAAAGTTTTTTAAAACTACATATAAATTACATGCAATAAAATGGATGAATCTTAAGGGTTCAGTTTCATTTTTGACAGTTGTATATGCCTATATAGTTACCACCAAAATTAGGATATAGAACATTCCCCATCACCCCAGAAAGTCTTCTAGTGCACAATTGTAGGCAATTTGCTCCTTCCAGAGGCAACCAATTTCTGGCTTCCATTACCGTAGATTAGTTTTGCCTGTTCCAGAGTTTCACATAAATGGAAATGTACTTTTTGCATTTTTCCATGTGCCTGGCTTCTCTCATTAAACTAAGTTTTTGAGATTCATTTATTTTGTGTGTATCAGTAGATTTCTCTCTTTTATTGCTAAATGATAGTCCACTGTGTAACTCTATCACAATTTGTATATCCCCATCAATGGACATTTGGTTTGTTTCCATTGCTTTGCATATTATGAGTAAGACCATGTTAGTATTCTTACACAAGCCTTTCTGTGGACCTATGTTTTCATTTCTTGTGAGTAAATTTCTAGTAGTAAGGCTGACATAGTCTCTGTTCTTGATAGTATTGTGGTAATTCTTCTAGGGAAACTGACTTTTTAGAGATCTCACTTTCCTTTTCTCACCTCTGTAGTGCTTCACTTTCAATTGGTTGCCACTTGTTTCATATCTACCAGAAATCCCTCTCTCTCTTCTGTTGGCCCTTCTTTCAGCTTTCCAATTCTGTTGTGGATTGACTCATATTTCTTCTACCTCCTCCATAGAATTAATAAATAGAAAAGAGGTAAACGCCACCTTGGTCGGCCACCTTGAGCTCAAGCACTATAATTCTATTTCTTAATTTTATTTTCCTTTATATAAACCAAAATAAAGTTCTATCATTTGTGCTGTTCCTTCATTTATTCACTTCTACTCATAGTTTAAAAGGCATTAATCTTTGAGGTTTGGGGGCATCCTCAGATGTCTATTCATTTGGTCAAGAAGAATCTGTTTTGGTTTTAATGCCTCCAAAGCAAATAATCTCAATAACATTTTCCATATGTCATACAAGTGTTTTTTAACAACTCTTAATATCAGAACATTTTTCCTCTGATATGCCCATTAAATCTTTTACGCTACATGTTAATTTCATGTTCACTTTGTTCACTTTTTTTTCTTCCCAGAGTTCATGAACAGGTGGCTGCTCTCTTTTCAAGAAACTTCTCCTGTAGAACTTGAAGATTATTATGTAATAGTTCCTTTGTCGTCTCCAAATTCCATTATCTCAGTTTCTTTAACTTGTCTTCATTAGTCTTATTGTAAAACATTTTAGTGCTTTCTGTGGTTCTATTATTTCTCTCTCATCTTCTGAGAGCATCTTTCTTTTGCAACCCTTGGCTTAGGGTTTACAAATTTTACCCTTTACAAATTTTATGATTTGTAAAGAAAAGAATGACAATGAAGCCCCTTAGGTCCTCAATGACAGCTAAGAGTGTCCCTCTGTCTCTACTCATCCCCCAAAGACAGGAGATAATTTAGAGATGGGATGGGGGTGTCGGTTTAGTGCCCAGATTATATGTAGTGAGTTCAAACAAACAGCAAGGGAATGTGTTGTAGAAAAAAAAAGAAAAGAAAAGAAAAAAAAACCTCACTTTGCATTTTATTTAAACCTTATACAATTCCTTTTTATAAGAATTATAAGAAACTGTGAACATAAATACGTAAAACCTAATTTCTTTCTTTCTGTGGCTTATCAGTCAAGAGGTTAGATCAAGTCCAGTGCTGACAAAACCAATATGCTTATTATGCCCAGTGTTTCTCTTGGGACTAAGCACTCACTGCCCATTGTGGTCCCTGACTTGATAATGTACCCTTCTGGCTCTTTCTCTTCCCTGCCTTCCTCCCTCTTCGCCTACCAGAGATTTCTGGGGTCATCTCTCAAATAAATTACTTGTTCTTTGTCTCAGGGCCTGCTTCTAGGAAAACCCACACTAAGTGAACCACACCCAAATGGTAGTCATGGTAATAATGGATACTCCTCTAGGTAGCAACAATACAGGAAGTCTCCAGAAGGGTAACAGAGCAGAGTTTCCATGAGGCCCCTGCTTGTTGTTGTCATTAACAGCGAGGAAGTCTGTTAGCCTCAGAGAGATGTGCTGCAGGCAGCAAAAGAACCAGGCTACCCCATGCCCTCCCGGAGCAGTCAGGAAGAGGGAAATTCCAAAATTACAGAGATGGGCTGCAAAGGTCACGCCTAGGCAAAGCCTACAAATTCCTGGTGTTTAGAGATCTAATGGGTCCTTTTTCTCCTGAGATGCTGATCCCATGGTCCTTTACTATCTTAGGTGGGAGGATGAGTAACAATGGGGAGGCCTCAGAGGCGTGTGGGATTGTCATCTACTCCCTGTGAGGCATCAACTCCCTGAGCACAGACCAGCACGTGTCCCTGGAAAGTTATTTTTGTAAACCGAGTAGAAGTAAAAACAGTAGGTTAACTACCCCTTCTTCCTGTTGGCCTGACTCATGCACATTTTAGTAAACCCAATCATCTTGCACAGAGCACTCTCTATGGCTGACACACATCCATTAGACAGCAACACCCACATTCCCCATGGAAGAGATAGTACTGCGAGGTTCATGGAATAGAAGAGTTCTGTCTTCAAGTTTGGGTCTCTGAGCTGCCTGATTTGCAGTTTTGAGTACCCCAATCACCAAATATTCAAGAGCAGTGACCTGGAAAAGGTCAGGTAGGCTTTGAATGCGATGGGCCATTGATGTCATCTGGACACCACTTATCTATTTTCAAAAATAACAAAGTATGTCCAAAATCTGTATGAAGAATGCAGAGAAGGTGGAAATGGTCATAGCCTGCCCCAGTGTTAACTTCCTCCCATAAGCATCCAGGTAGAATATTTTCACCAAGGACAAAGAAACAAATAACAGACATGCCTTGCCTCACAGGTAACCCTGGGAGATGGCAGTGAGGACAGGAGGAGAAGAGTGGCAGTCATTTTATTATTATTTTTTTAAATACAGCTTTGTTGAAGTGCAATTGACAACTAATAAACTGTACATATTTAAATGAAAAATTTGACAATACTGACACCTGTAAAACCATCACCATAGTCAAGATGATGAATAAATCTACCATCTGAAAAGTTTCCTTGTGCTCCTCTGTGAGCTTCAGCAATCTCCAAGCAACCACTGATCTGCCTTCTCTCACTGTAGATTAGTGTTGGATTTCCTAGACTTTTATATAAGTGGAATACAGAATGCATAGCATTGCATGATATGGCTTTTTGCTCATGTTGAGATTCATTCATGTTGTTCTGTGCATAGATAATTTGTTCCTTTTTATTACCAATTAATATTCTATTGTGTGGATATACCACCATATGTTTACCCATTGACCCATTTAGGTTATTTCCTATTTGGCAACTATTAAAGATGCTGTGAACATTCAGGTATAAGCCTTTGTGTGAACATTTGCTTTCATTTCTCTTGGGTGAATACTTTGGAGCAGAATGGTTGGATCATATAGCAGTTGTATGTTTAGCTTATTAAGAAATTCTGGAAATCTTTTTGGTGCACTCACATAAAGTGTTTAGGATCTACAACAATCCAGGTACTCCCTTGGAAAACTTCACAGCATTTGAAGGTTGAATCCCAGGATGATATTTTTCTTGGTTAAAATGTAAGTGTATGAACTACAGTATATTATGAAATACTGAAAGAAGGAGAGAAGATACTGTCTCCTTAGAAGGAATTCTCCTTTCTTTTCAGAATGCCCAAAGTAGTCTCATGGGTCTCGATTCTCCAAGTGATGGTGGTGACAGACATTGATTGTAGTGACCATCATGGTGGGGGTTGTGAAAAGAAAATTCGATGCTGGACCAAAAAAAAAAAAGAAAACAGGCCGGAAAAGTGTCCCAGAAGAAAACTCTACTTCTCCCGTGTCCTGCTGTCCAATATTCCTTGATTCTCTTGCCCCATTCCTTGTCCCCATGAGTGGAAATTAAGAAAACCAGAAATAGATTTCGTATCTCCTGCCTGGGGCCTCAATTACATTGTGACATAGAAACCTGGTATGGATTTTGAGCTCAACATGAATTGGAAGCCAAGTTTATTGCTGGGAATCTTCAAATTTCAGGGAGTAGGAAGAGCAAAAATAAAAATGGAGATCCTGCCGGGCGCGGTGGCTCATGCCTGTAATCCTAGCACTTTGAGAGGCCAAGGCGGGTGGATCACCTGAGGTCGGGAGTTCGAGACCAGCCTGACCAACATGGAGAAACCCCATCTCTACTGACAATACAAAATTAGCCGGGCGTGGTGGTGCATTCCTGTAATCCCAGCTACTCGGGAGGCTGAGGCAGGAAAATTGCTTGAACCAGGGAGCTAGAGGTTGCAATGAGCCAAGACTGTGCTATTGCATTCCTGCCTGGGCAACAAGAGCGAAACTCCATCTCAAAAAAAAAAAAAAAAAAAGGAGATCCCATTAGATGTTCCTAATTCTTAGCCCAAGAAATGAATTGAGGAAATTCTGACCTTCTGGGCACATGGGACATAGGAAAATACAGATTGTTAGTGACTCACATAGGATTCTCATTATGAGGGAAAATACTGTCCTTCTCTTACACATAAGGTAACCCATCCATTGCCCAAATGTTCACTAGGTGCATTCATGGCCCAGAGATAGACAAGAAGCTCAGAATGGCTTCTCAGCCCTTGCGCCCAGAATGCGATCTACAGACCACCAGTATTAGCATCTCCTGAAAGCTTGTTATAAAATAAGAGTTTTAAGCCATGCCCAGAACTACTGAATCAGAATCTGCATTTTAAAAATGTTTACTTATATATATTTTGGGGGTACAGGTGCAGGTTTCTTAGGTGCGTATATTGTGTAGTAGTGAAGTCTGGGCTTTTAGTGTACTCATCACCTGAGTAGTGAATATTGTACCCAGTGAGTAATTTTTCAGCCCTCATCCCCTCCACCTCCCACCTTTTGGAGTCCCCAGTGTCTGATTACTCTTTGTATGTCCGTGTATGCCCATTGTTTAGCCCCCACTTATAAGGGAGAACGTGGTATTCGACTTTCTGTTTCTGAGTTATTTTGCTTAGCATAATGGCCTCCGGTACCAGCCATGTTGCTGCGAGAGACATGACTTCATTCTTTTTTATGTCTAAGTAGTATTCCATGGTATATTTCTTTACCCAGTCTTCCACTGATGGACATTTAGGTTGATTCCATGTCTTTGCTGTTGTGAATAGTGCTGTGATATAAACAGATGAGTGCGGGTATCTTTTTGATGTATTGATTTCTTTCCCTTTGGGTATATACTCAGGAGTGGGATTGCTGGATTGAATGGTAGTTCTCTTTTTGGTACTTTGAGAAATCTCCATACTGTTTTCTATAAAGGTTGTGCTTATTTACATTCCCACCAACAGTGTATAAGTGTGCCCTTTTAGCCATGTCCTCGCCAACATATGTTGCTTTTAGATTTTTTAACAATAGCTATTCTGACTTGTGTAAAATGGTATCTCATTGTGGTTTTAATTTTTATTTCTCTGATAATTAGTTATGTAAAGCATTTTTTCATATGTTTGTTGTCCTCTTGTATGTCTTCTTTTGAAAAATGCCTGTTCATGTCCTTTGTCGACTTTTTAACGAGGTCATTTGGTTTTTTCTTGCTGAGTTGTTTGAGTTCCTTGTGGATTCTGTATGTTAGCCCTTTATCAGATGCAAATATTTTTTGCATCTGATAGTTTGCAAATATTTTTTCCTACAGAATCTGTATTTTGACAAGGTCCCCAGATTAATCATATGCAGGTCATGGTTTGAGAAACACTGGTCTACATGCATGTTTTTCTTGCAAGTTGCAGGTCCCAGAAAGCACTTAATACAGGTCCTGTGTTATCCAGCTATTGCCTAATAATAATGCTGTAGGACAACTACTCCAAATCTCAACGGTCTGCAATTATAAGCATGTACTCTCACACTCATGGGTCCATGGGTCAGCTGAGGTTCAGTAGATCTAGGCAGGGCATGGCTTTAAGCTATGGATTGGGTCTAGGTTTACACTATGGGTCTCCCATTCTTTTGTGACCAGCAGGTTACCTGCCACACATTTCTCTCATGGTGATGGGATTACACATCAGTCATATCTGTTACCATTTCATCAGCCAAAGCAAGTCACAAGATCCAACAGACTAGCCAAAAAGTGGTCATGGGCTTTGGAGTTGTTTTGATTCCAGTTCTGCTCCTCAGTTAAGTCTCTGCCCCTAAGCAAAATCCTTACACTTCTCTACATCTCTGTGTCCCATTCAGTAAAATGGGATAAGAATAGTTAACATCACCAGGGCTGTGTTGAGAAGCTGCTCAGCCTGGCTGTGTGGCCAGAGTCAGGCCAAGAGAAAGGGTGAGTCCCAGAGGGCCCTGCCACTGAGAAGTTAGAGCTGGAGAAAGCTCTCACATGTCATCCTATGGGTTGCTCTGGCAGCACATGATTCGGCCCCCACCAAGGGTTGTTTCTGAGTCAAGAAACACATGCCCATCACTTTCCATCTTTTTTCAGAATGGTTGTCCTTTCACTGCTTACAAATTGTGTGCTACATGGTAGGAACTGTGCCTGCAAATACGTTATTCATCACTCACGGGGCTTGGACAATATAAGCCTGCGACCACTTTCCCTGATGAAAGGGCACCGTTTCCTACCTTCCTTCCCCAGATGCAACAAGAGAAACAGAACATGCCTGGGGACAGGAGTTCCAAAGCTCTGTGCATAGTATATTGTACTTCCCTTTTTTCTTTTTTTTGAAATGGAGTCTCATTGTGTCACCCAGGCTGGAGTGCAGTGATGCAATCTTGGCTCACTGCAACCTCCACCTCCTGGGTTCAAGCAAGTCTACTGCCTCAGCCTCCTGAGTAGCTGGGATTACAGGCACCCACCACCACGCACGGCTAATTTTTATATTTTTAGTAGAGACGGGGTTTCACCATGTTGGCCAGAATGGTCTCGATCTCTTAACCTTGTGATCCACCCACCTCGGCCTCCCAAAGTGCTGGGATTACAGTCGTGAGCCAATGTGCCCGTCTCGGCCATCCTTCTAACAAGGACCTGCTCAGAGTTACAATTCTTAGGAGTAATACAGTAGAAGACAATTATGTTAACAAACTTCTCACCTTTCCAACTAATGCTGGGATATTCATTGAGTTAGCATGGGAAAGACTGGCACCCATGATTCAATTGCCTCCACCTGGGTCCTTCCCACAACACATGGGAATTCTGGGAGAAACAATTCGGTTGAGATTTGATTGGGGACACAACCAAGTCATATCATTCCACCCCGGCCCCTCCAAATTTCATGTCCTAACATTTCAAAACCAATCATGCCTTCCCAACAGTCCCCCAAAGGCTTAATTTATTTCAGAATTAACCCAAAAGTCCACAGTCCAAAGTCTCATCTGAGACAAGGCAAGTACCTTCTGCCTATGAGCCTGTAAAATCAAAAGCAAGCTAGTTACTTCCTAGATACAATGGGGGTACAGGTATTGGGTAAATACAGTCATTCCAAATGGGAGAAACTGGCCAAAACAGAGGGATTACAGGGCCCAGGCAAGTCTGAAATCCAGCAGGGCAGTTAAATTTTAAAGCTCCAAAATGATCTTCTTTGACTCCAGGTCTCACATCAAGGTGACACTGATGCAAGAGGTGGGTTCCCATGGTCTTGGGCAGCTCTGCCCCCGGGGCTTTGCAGGGTACAGCCTCCCTCCAGCTGCTTTCAGGGGCTGGCATTGAGTGTCTGCAGCTTTTCCAGGCACATGGTGCAAGCTGTCGGTAGATCTACCATTCTGGGATCTGGAGGACAGTGGCCCTCTTCTCACAGCTCCACTAGGCAGTGCCCAAGTAGGGACTCTGTGTGGGGGCTCCGGTCCCACATTTCCCTTCTGCACTGCCCTAGAAGAGGTTCTTCATGAGGACCCTGCCCCTGCAGCACACATGAAGTCCCTCCCACAACACATGAGAATTCTGGGAGATACAATTCAATTGAGATTTGAATGGGGACACAGCCAACATATCAACATGCCCTTGGCCCAGCAATTCCACCTGAGTATGTGCCCAACAGAAATCTATTCACTAATGCACTCAAAGACCTAAAAAATAATGTTCATAGCAGCACTGTTTAAAATGGCCCCAACCTTGAAACAACCCCAATGCCATCAACAGAATGGATAATAAGGTAGTTAAGTGTACACAGTGGGAATGAACAAATGACAACTATATGCAACATGCACAATTTCACAAATGTAATGTTGAGTGAAGGAAACCAGGCACAGTAAAGTACATGCTGGATAATTCTGTTTAGGTAAAGTTCAAAACCAGGAAAAAGGAACCTGTGCTGTTGGAAGAGAGTTACCTTTGTCAGGGAAGTGATGAAAAGGGAGTCCAAGGAGGGCAGCTAGGGTGCTGGTAATGTTTTGCCTCTTGATCTAGGCATTGGTTGCCTAGGTGTCTTCAGTTTGTGAAATCTCATTGAGTTGTAGAGTTATATATGTGTATATTTCTGTAGGAATATCATACTTCAATTTTAATAAAAGAGTAAAGAATGCAGCAGGCAGGGTACATGGTGTAGAAGAGATGGCTGATTTTCACTGGGAAAGATTACCCACAGCCCTGGAGTTCACTCTCTGGGCTCCCTGATGTGCGTACTATCCCACAGATTGTTCTCCAAATTAGAATGAATGCAGGCTGGTTTCAGTATTATGGGGGTGCTCCTCTGCCTCAGGTCCCAGTGCCATTGTTACAACATCAAAGACCAACTGCTGGCTGAGATGCGGTCCATATGAAAAGAGTGACCAGCAAATTTACTGCTTGACTTCATTCCCCTTAAAAGGAACTGGCTCCATGGTCCTCCTTCAAAGCTCAATTGTAGACATATATCTTCTTTATAGGACATCGTTTACAATAAAGAGGAGCAATAACTTAAAATTTAAAAAAAAGAATACTTTTGAGAGCACTGTGAGGTGGACATTCCATTTAATAAACATCACTGTGGTTACATTGCCCAAACATTCCCAGAAGTCCAGCCATGGGCCTGAGAGACTTCTACTGGACATGGTGACTTTTGGGGACTAATTTGAATTATATTTTTATGCTCTAGCCCTCTCCCTAGGCTCTGAAAGTTCTTGAGAAGGTCATTAATGAGAGGCAATCTACTTCAAACCAGAGGGCCACCTCACTAAAATCAGGCAAAATGGCAAAATTCATAGCCCATTACTCATTAACTTATTTGGAGCTGCCCTTCAGTAGGGTAAACATTTTTTTAAGGGTTGGGGCCAAATTAAACTCCTGGATCGATTATACATAGTTCCCCAATACCCACATGGACATCACTCCACATAATTCCAGTGTGAAAATCTCACAGACTTATTAGCATTTCCAGATACTAGAACTCAACTAGAAAACAACAAAGTTGTTTTTATGCCTATCAGAAAATGAAGAATGTTATTAACTTTCCAAGAAGGAAAAAAGTAAAATTATTTATAATATACAGGATGTTTTTGGCTTCACATGGAGTCTGACCCAGGTGGTGGAGAAAGTCACATCTACGATCAAAATGACCAGCCTCCTGAAAACTGACCAATCCAGAATAATCCTTTCAGGTTCACTCATGATAGCAGTTGATCAGCCCATAGAGGATACAACGTTCTAAAGAGTGGGCAAGTCATCCACTTCTGTTTAACCCATTACTCCTGAAAAGGTTCAGCTCTCCATACTTTGCTGGAAAAAGGCTAACAACTCAGTGCATCCTTCCCTCTCTGCTCCCCTCACTGGTACATTCAGGAAGACACGAACCAGGTGAGACAACTGAGAGCTCCTTACTGAGAGTGTGAAGTGTGATGGTGGCACAACATGCAATTCCGAAGACATCATGAAATGAGATAAATCTGGGGAATCCACATCAACTAGAAAAAAACTGGAAACATTTGAAGAGGCATTGGGATCACAAAGAGAGTGAATCTAAACATTGAACAGCAGGTATTAAATAGAAATAATGAAAGGCAAGTTCTCAGGAAAAAATCTGTGGCAGACTAGGTATTCGAAGTTCTGTTCCAGGTTCTCCCCAGGGACTCATTGCCCTGAAACTCTGTCTGGTGTGGTTCTCTCATGCCCCACAATGGTTCTTTCACTTCTTATTCACCAAGGCCAGGATTAATGCTAAGGTCTGGACGAACCCAATAATGGGCATGAATGGCCTTGGCCTTAAGTTTTCAGGGATCCATCTGCAGGGTCCTCCCTGAGATCTGAGAAGGGTTTTACTTACTTCTTTCATCTTAAGGTGAATGCTAGTGGGGGAATTATTGTGGTGTGCCCCAAGAACGTTCTGTGTCTTGGTCCTGACAATCTACATGAAGTACCTTTTGTGCCACCAGGATACGTGGGCACATGACAGGTACTCACATACACAAGGGTCACTGCACATGGCTGCAGGAATGCCCAGGTTGGACCGGGGCTTCATCTGTGCTCCAACCCACCTGCACTCCATGGTGAGGCACTCTGTTTAGAAGGCAGGTTGCAGACACTCACCAAATTCTAGAATGTTGTTGTAGGCAAGAAAGCCAAGCCCCAATGTCTCATTTCATTGACAAAGAATCTAAAACCTGGAGAAATTAAAAGATTTGGCTAAGACCATACCATTCATTTATCCTACAGCCAGTACCAGACTCCAAAGCAAGTCATCTTTCATGAAGCCACACAATCCCCCATTTCTGAACATCTGTAAAAGTTTTTATAGCCCCACTTAGCTAAAGAGAATTAGAGTAAGTGTACATCTAAAGTGCTGGGATCCTGCTACATGGTGGTTGCTCTTAGGTTGTTACAGGAGCAGAAAGGTAATTAAATGGACATGAATTGTCTCTTTTATTTAATATACAACCAAACTGCAGTAAGGCAAATGAAATAATGTACATATAAGCATTGAGCACTGCCCAGCCACATGGCATTCTACAATTCCATTCATTCATTCAGCACTTTCATATCGCGTGGCTGTGATCAGCAGATATTGTGCTAGGCACTGGAGATTCAATAGAGAACAAGCTTATGTTCTAGAAAGAAAACTGACAATAATTGATTCAGAATAAAGGAATTATTATAGATTGTGATAGGTGCTTAGCAGGACATAAACAGGGAGCAAAAGATAGGGAATAACTGGGAGTTCCTACTAAAAGAGGGTGGTCAAGGAAGGACTTGATGGAAAAGTGACACTTGAGTCCTGAGCTGGGGGAATAAAAGGACCAGCTCTGCAAAGAACTCAGGAGAGCCAGTCAGGCAGACGGAATCACAAACACCAAAGCCTTGAGATAGGAAGGACTTTGGCATGACTAAGGGATGGAAAAGAGACTGGAGAACAGTGTGTAAGGAAGAAAGTGGCACATGAACTTGCAGAAAAAAGCAAGGATTTTGCAGGTCATGATAAAGAATATGGCTGTTCTAGGATTGGTGAGGAAGCAGCCATTGAAGAGCTTCTAAATGATGGCTCCATCTGATCAGTGGATAATGAGAGGGAAGAACATAGATATGTTAGAAAATTTCACAATAATTCAGGTAAGAGGTGATGGGATGTGGACCAGGGTAGAGAAGAGTGGATGGATGCAAGGCACAGTTCTGAGACAGAGCCAACAGGATATGCTGTTGGATTGCATTTCAGAGTTAAGAAGTGAAGAGTCAAAGACAGCTTCCAGTTTCACAAGGGTAGAGTTCATGTCAGTGGATTTATATGGGACATGTGGAATATGAGATGCCTCTGGGACATGTAAGTGAAGATAATAGCAGGGAGGCTGTGAAGTGGACAGGGAGCTGAGAGTGAGGTGTCATGATGAAAGTGGTAAAAGGAGAACCAAGAGGTGTGTCACAGAAGCCAGGGGAGAAGAATGCCTTAAGGAGAGAGGACTTCTATCGAATGCTGCTGTGAGAACAAAAAAGATGAGGCCAGAGAAGTGCTCATTCAACTGGGCAACGCAGCCATGACTGGTGACCTGAATGAGGTCACCAACTGCTCTGCAGTTGCAGAGGCATCATGGGAACAGACTCCAGTGTCTATTGGGTAAAGGAACAAATGGAAGGTGAGGAAATGGAGACAGAATATACAAATAAGTCTTGCAAAAGTTTTACTATAAAAAGGGGAGATATATGAACATGTGGTCAAAAAAGAGTTTTTGGTTCATGTAAGATCAGAGATACCAGGGCATCTGTGAGGCTGATGAGAACGATCCAATAGAAAGGGAGAGATTGATGATGCAAAACTGAGAGAGGAGAAATGAGGAGTGAATTCTTCAAGAAGGCAAGGGGCTATGTGTGAGCATTGGCCTTTCACAGAAGCAGGAAAGCTTGTTCTGTGTAACAATTGGGAAGAGAAAGAAAATGAGCTATGCAGACAGGAGTATAAATAGAGTGATGGTAATAAAAGAGTTACCATCTCATGACTCCTGTTCCATCAGTGAAATATGAAGTGAGGGCAGGAGCACAAGTAGGACGTTTGAGGAGAGAAGATATAAAATGGTCATCTTGGATACTGGAGCAAGTAAGGTTGTGAAGGAAGGGCAGTTGGATTTTGGAACAGTGCTTAGTATTCATTTGAGGGTTTGAGGACATGAATCTAAAATAAAGCAAGTTTGTCAAGTTGGATGCTTTTATTGTTCCCATCACCCACCTGCTTGGCTACTAACCTACAGAAGTTGGATCACTGAGTTCAACCAAAATGGAGGTGTTGCCAGTCAAATATATAAGGAGAAGAGAAAGGGGCAAGCAGAGTTGAGGGCCGTTGCAAGGAAATGATTAAAATAAAAGAACACTTGTTGAAGAAGGAAAGTAAAAACAAGAGAAGGCTGAAGGGAGGTGAGAAAATGGCAGTGGCTTGGAGATCTCAATGAGTTTTAAAACTGGAAAAATGAGTTAAAAGAATGGAAAGTGTCTTTATGTAGAAGGTTTACTGACAAAAGGT
Organism: Homo sapiens; assembly: GCF_000001405.40. NCBI lineage: Eukaryota > Metazoa > Chordata > Mammalia > Primates > Hominidae > Homo > Homo sapiens. The sequence goes on from NC_000020.11 coordinate 13,242,129, forward strand.
CTAGGGAAGAGGGTGGTTGAGATGCAGTAGAGGGAAAGGGTATGGGAGGTGAGGAGGTCCAAGAACTGGGGAGGTCATCTACATGGATGTTGAAGTCACCAAAAAGGACAACAGGAGGTCAATGGTAAAGAAGACTAAGCCAGAAGCTGGGCTTTTAGATGAACGGAGAATGACCAGAAACTCCACAGAGCAGTTGGAACATCCAGCATCTTGAAAGGAGCAGGATTTGTTTGTTCAGTTTTTGTTTTTATTTTTCAGGAGGAAGGGGAAGAAAAAGTCAGGAGTTAGCCATGGAACCAAGAAGATCCAGGAGAAGGTTGAGGGGATGTTCAGAGAAGTGGAAAATGAGAGATTGATTATCATGGAGGAAAAGCCCGAGAAGGTCCAGTAAAAGGTTTGGGAAGGTGAAGGAGGACAGGCTGAGTCCAATTAAGTGTTCAGAGATGTGTAGAATGGAGAGCCTGGTCTCTTGATGGCAGCTGGGGGAGCCATGATGGGAATGGTCCTGCACTTCTCTTGAATGGAGGTGAGACTCTTTGCTCATTGGCATGATGGCTTCTAGGCTGTTGTTTCTATGCTTATTAAGGTTGGTATAAAAGCATCAGATGAGGGGTAGGAATTACTTGAGCCTTGATAGGTGAGGTTGGCAGCCATAGCTTAAGACATCGGGTTCCTTACTGTTCATGTGTGAAGTAGTGGGAGCTGGTAGTTATACAGATTTCACCTGATTTTATCTACTTGTTTTTGTCATATACTTAAATAGTCCCTACTGTGGGCCAGACACTTTTTTAAGCATTTGATTAATATTGACTTATTTAACCGTCAAAACAACACCTTGAGGTAGGCATTATTGTTATCCTCATTTTACACAATAAGGTTAAGTACCTTGTCCAAGTCACACAGATAGCAGAGGTAGAGGCAAGATTTGAACTTTGGCTGTCTGGACACCAGAGTCCATGCTTTTAATCACTGTGACTGCGTGGCTTGGGGAAGAAGTTCCTTGTCTATTACCAAAAAAGAACTCTTGCCTTGGAATTCAGAAGACATAACTTTGAGTCCCTACTCTGTCACTAACTGGCTGTGACCATGGGCACAACATTTAACATCTTTCACCCTCAGCTTTCTTAGTGGTCAGTTCCATGCAGTCATTCAGGGACCCAGGATGATGGAGGCCCTGATGTCTTCTTAGCAGTCCCAGCTCAGAAGTGACACACATCACTTCTGCTCACATAGATCATCCTTTGATGCGGGATGACTTGGAAATGTATTCCCTGATAAGGGTTGCCTCCAGCTTGGCACAAAGACACGTATTTTTGGTAGAAAGCTAGCCCTCTCTGCCTCATTACTCAATATGGCTTATGCTTTTAAGATTCTGCAGTGTTCCACACTTAGGGCTGTCCTCTTAGCTGTTTGTCTTATTCCTGCTTGACCTCTAGGTCTCTCTTATTATAAAAGCAGTAAAACGACCATCTGAATGCCATTGACTGCCATGCATCCCCTCACTTTTCAAATATAAGCTATGAATAAAAAAAAATTAGCCCTTCACTAATGCCAAAACCTAGGGAAGAAATTAAGCATGCCCAATATTTTAAGCTATATCCATCACCGTTAAGCATCTGTTTGCACTATGTCTATCCATTAACTAATCAGCAAAACATGGTTTCAGTAGGAATTGTTACAACCCATTTGATATGGAATGACAAGACTTAGAGGTTCAGAGTATTTCTGCAGTTAGAATAGCAGGCACAGTTTTCCTGAAATAGATATTTGAAGGGAAGATGGAATTGTTTCTCAATTTTCCACATAATATGTTTGCTTAGTGGAATGAGGATAGACCTCAATGCTCATGGTATTTGCAGAAGGGAGTGTTTGTCTATTACCACATCTCCAGTGTAGGCACTGGTGATTCATCTGCAGGTCAGAAAGAGAGCCCTGTTAGCCAGTTTAGGAAGGTCACATTTATAGACAAATCCAAACAAGGTACTTTGCTATCCTCTCTTTTGTTCACAGACAGACAAGATAAACCTAGGCAGAGAGAAAACTTGCCTCAATCTTGGATTAAATGCAGAGGTCTGCTTGAACATTCCAAGGTCAAACTAAAAGTCTACAAGAGCAGGAGACTTGATTCAAAACAGCTCGTCTCTGACTGGTTTTCATGTGGGCAGAGGGGACTCTCTCGACACTAAGATGACCACAGCTCACATAGAGGTGTCAGCTGAAATATGGAGGATTACCACTACTGTAGAAGATGTCCTATGCAAAAAAAAAAAAAACCAGCATAAGCTAATGAAAATATATAGTGGTCACTTATTCGGACATTACATGTCCTCAAGTCCTACAAATTATTTGGTAAGGCAGCTTTGTGATTTGTTTTCACACAGCAAGATGACTAGTGAAAAGAATTTAATGATAAGCAAACACATTGCATATAAAAACATATTAAAGATACTTATTTAGCATGAAGGCTTATTCCAGTTCACAGGCATGGTATTACCTTTACTATATACTTCCATAATTTAAACACAGATAAGGAGATAATGTGGTTTCTTCAAAATCCCTGGCCAGGTTTTGACCACATTTTCTATTGAGAAGACATGTCCCCCTTTTCATTCCCCTAGAAGCAAACTACCTATGCACAAGTCAAAAGTGAGTAAAATGTGTAAAAGGGAAAGGTGTGTTTCACCTAAGTGTCATATTCAGAAACATCTGCTTTGCCTGGTGTATATGGCATTAATTTCCTGCCAGTTTTCTATTGGAAGGCCCTTCTGAGTCTTCTGAAATTGAACATCAGGTCATGTTTCTTTAATCAACCTTGGAAACAATGAAAGAAAGGAGTGGTGGAGAGGTTTCTTTTTATAAAATGTTCCTAAAGTCAAAAAAGTCTAGAAGAAAGAACATGCACAACTTTGGACCATGAGTCTGGGATTTTAATACCAAAAAGCACTTATTCCCTGCCACCCCATGTTGGTTAAATATCTTCCTTCCTTCTTGTATTGGTTATCTATTGCTGTATAACAAATTACCCTATACTTATGCTACCCCGTAGCTGCTCAAAAGAACACACGTTTATTATCTCAGAACTTCCATGGGTCCGGAATTCAGACACAGCTTACCTGGATCCCTTGGCCCATGGTCTCTCACAGGCTACAGTAAAGGTAGCCCTCAGTTCCTTGCCATGTGGGCCTCTCCGTGGTGCAGCTCTCAGGATGGCAGCAGAATTTATCAGAGCAGGTAAGTGAATAAAGCCAGAAAAAGAGTATGAGCAAGACAAAATCCACAGTCTTTGTCACCTAATCTCAGTGACATTCCATCATGTTTGCCATACCCTATTTGTCAGAAGCAAGTCGTTTGCTCCATCCCACACTCAAAGGGAGGGGATTGCACAAGGCTGTGTATTCCAGGAGATGGGGTCATTGAGGGCCATTTCAGAAGCTGCCTGCCATACTCCCCTCCACATGTACCTGCCCATTCCTGTGTGTCCCAATAGTGATAGTTCCCCTGCACACTCTAGTGTAGTTACATGGGTCCTTACTTTTCCAGATTTCCTTAATTCCTTCATTTTATTTCATTTCTCATTTCTCTCCTTTCATGTCAATTCAAAATAATACTTAGTTTCATCTTCTAAACTGTTGCTCTCCTCTGCTCACAAACTTCCAATCATTCCCCTTTCCATGACTCAAAACAGATACTGAGGAACTCCATATCTGGAACTGACCCACCTTTCCTGCTCCTCAATTTATAGGCTGCATTTTCAGCCAAATTAGACTCTCACTATTCCTTGTACCCGCCCACTCCGATGTTCTTTGCCCTCTTTCCGGTTGCAAAAATTCTGGACAGGCCACAAAAGCTTTTCTGTGGGCTGGGCGCTGTGGCTCACGCCTATAATCCCAGCACTTTGAGAGACTGAGGTGGGCAGATCACTTGAAGTCAGGCGTTCAAGACCAGCTGGCCAACATGGTGAAACCCCGTCTCTACTGAAAATACACAAAAAAGAATTAGTCGGGCATGGTGGCACACACCTGTAATCCCAGCTACTCGGGAGGCTGAGGCAGCAGAATCACTTGAACCCAGGAGGCGGAGGTTGCAGTGAGCCAAGATCATGCCACTGCACTTTAGCCTGGGCAACACAGCGAGACTCCATCTCAAAAAAAAAAAAAAAGCTTTTCTGTGAACTGTCGAGGTAGAAATGGGCCCACTTCTGAACCCTCACAGCATGGTTCATCCACTGAGTGAATATTGCATTCTTCCTGCTCCCTGCCTATCTGTGGGTACGAAGCATCCCTACTGCCCACTCTGCCTGCCAGGACAGAGGAAGGGCCATGTGACCAGCAACTGTAGCTTACTCCTCTGTTATACCCATGGCATGCAGTGTAGCTACTTGCATATGGAAAGTGCCCAAGAAAGTCTGGAAGGTCAGGGAGTGTCGTGCTTTCCAAAATGCCTTCACCACATTTAAGGAGGCAGAGCAGATACGTGTTTTTTCATTTTATAGATGAGAAACCTGAGACCCGGAAAGTTTACCTACTTGCCTGAAATGGACAATGGCAAAGCCATGATTAAATTCCCAAGTTCTAAGACCTTGTCCAATCCCCCAGTGCCCTGGCCTTATAAGAAGAAAGTAACTGATTTGGGATTCTCCATTCATACCTTTTCTTTTTTCTTTTCAATGTAAAACCACCTGACTGAACTTGGTTTTTAATAAAGCAATTTAGAGTCACTTGATAACTCCTGCATTGTAATTAATATCCTTCTCTCTTTTTTTTTTAAACCATTCCAGGGGAAAGAAGGGAGCAAGACAGAGATTTAAAAATATATATATGTATAGTGCCGGGCCCAGTGGCTCAGGCCTGTAATCCCAGCACTTTGGGAGGCTGAGGCGGGTGGATCACCTGAGATCAGGAGTTAGAGACCAGTCTGGCCAACATGGTGAAACCCCGTCTCTACTGAAAATACAAAGCCAGGTGTGGTGGCACATGCTTGTAATCCCAGCTACTTGGGAGGCTGAGGCAGGAGAATCACTTGAACCTGGGAGGCAGAGGTTTCAGTGAGCCGAGATCGCACCATTGCACTCCAGCCTGGGCAAAAAAATGTGAATCTCCGTCTCAAAAAAAAAATAAGAAGAGATTTAGAGACAGAAAGAGGGCCTGGGTCTGCAATTTCTTGTTCTTCTGTGAAGTAAACTTTTCAACTTACCAAAAACACAGCATCAGGAAATGTTGTGTCTTTAAGTGTCAGCGTGTCCCTTCCTGACCCCTGATTCATGTCTGCCCATCTGATGAAGTTATCAGTGGCTTGCAGCCTGTACAGGTCAGGAGGGTTCCAATGACCCAGGACACCTTCGCCGGATGCTGTGGCTGAAACCACAGCATTTCTGGCAGCAAAGTGAGGGGTGTGTGTGTGTGTGTGTGTGTGTGTGTGTGTGTGTGTGTGTAGGTAGGTAGGAGGAGCAACTTAAAAGAGAGACTTTAGCATGAGGGATGATTATTTCTCAAAACCCACCATCTAGGCCTCTGTAGGCAATATTCTGAATTCAAAATGACTTTCAGCCAAGTCGTGTTTGCACCTGGGAACTGTGAGAAGTATTGAAAGCTTCATAAAGGAGAGGAAACCTGACCACGACAGGAAGTGACTTACAGCCCCTGAGGCTCAGATGTATTGACATAAGGTAGTGAAGTAGGAAAGAATTACGGTTTTCAAAAAGAAGTAGGATCTTGGTTTCTCTTTTATCCCAGTGTGATGTGTGTGTCCTAGAACAAAATCCTCTAACCACAGTGCAAAAGTGACATTCATGCAACAGGAGTGGTCTAAATCCCTTGCCTTTGTGGGTCTGATACAGAGGAAAGTCAGAATTTCCTCTATGACTTGTTCATCGTGTGTCAGTGTTGTGGTTTCCAAGTGCTGTGCAAACCTGATTTTCCAAGTTCCAGGTGGGCTATGTGGGTGATGGCAGCGTCCAAAAGTGCGGAAGAAATGAGCTAAAGCCAGCAAGTTACTTGGAGACTGAGGTTGTGGCTGCCCGATTCATAGTAGTACATTTCTTTGTGTGCACAAATTGTCAGATATTCTTATTCTCTAGCATTTCTTGTTGCTTGATTCTTCTTTATGAACATTTCTTGTTGCTCCACTTGAAGCAACAAGGGATCTGATATCCAGCAGCAGGTGAGTATACAAAAAGCTGAGTATGAACTGCATTGCTGGTGTGTGAACTGTCTTGGAAGAACCATGTCACTGGAAAATTTGATATTCTTTTGAAAAGATGATGGGCCTTACCAGTGAGATGTCTCCACTCCAGAGGAAGCTATTTTTTTAATGCAACACCTTGCCTGACATACTGCTTCAAGATCAATCTCAGGAGAATCTTGAGTGTAGCAAAAGCATTCTGCACCATTTCCCAGCAAGTGATTTCATAATAAATAAGACCATTGAACTTTACCTCTTGAGCCAGGCCTCATAATACTAATTTCTACCAGTGTTCTTCACATGTAGCTGGGGTGAAATGTGCTCAGTTTGTTTTCCCCTTTCAGTTCACTTCTTTTCGTCTCCTTCATCCAAAACCCAGTGTTAGAGGGACAGTTTGAAACAACCTGAAGGGATGGCATATGATGACTTTTGAGGCCGTTCCCTTGATCCCCAGATGTTTCCCTGTTCTGCATGACCTGCCATTTGGGGGTGAGCGGGGGAAGCCAGTGGAATAAATATATTTCTATCTGCAAAACCGAGCACTGGCTTTGAATTAACATGAAGGGACAAATGGAAAGCAAGGTGAAAGTATATGATGTAAGAGAGTTGATCAACATGAAAATACTGGTAGAAAGTGCTGTAACTTCTTAAGCGGCTTGTACAGGAGAAAAAGCTGTTTATCTTTAGGTAAGATTGGCTAAACATCGTGGGCCAAGTTCAGGCCCCACGTACATGTGGTCAGGTCAGGAGCCCTGCAAAGAACCTGTTGCCTTTATCCAAATATTACTCATTGTTGGGTGGAATTTTTTAGGATGATTTTTGAAAAGATAAATAAAATAAGGACACAAAGATCTGGGGGGAAAAAGCCAAATCTCACGGGAATCAGGGTTCCTAATGATCTTCTGTTCTCCCCACCACTGAAAGGTACTGAAAACAGGCAGAAGGGAGATCAGCTGCGAGCCTGCCCATTTCACAGATGGAACAGGGCTGAGGAGCTGGTGCAGCCATTCCAGGCCAGCATCCCCTGCCTCCCACCCCTAGTTCTGCCAGCAGACCACTGCCGCCAGACATGAAACACGGGCAGGCCAACTGGAACCCTTCCGTGCCCCAGGTGGACAGACATGGCAGGACCACACGGAGTCCATTCTTCTCCAGCAAAGTAGTGATGTGTTCCAGGCAAAAGCCCAATCGAGGATGTTTTGGCCCAAAGGAAACATTTACAACCAAATTATACACCTCGGAAAATAAACGAGCTTTCATTTTGGAAGGAAACCCCGCCAGGCTCTTTATTATTTACACCACAGTCATAAAGTTGGTTTTAATCTCTGTAGTGGAATGCTGCTGAATTGGCCAACTGGCAGGCTCTGGTGGTTCGAGTGGGGACCACTTTGCCTTTCGGAACACACAATGGGAAGCCAAAGGAAGTACTTCTCCTGAACCATTTTTCTCAGCCTCCATCATTTTTTGTTGCGTTTTGTTTTGTTTTGTTTTGTTTTGTTTTGTTTTGTTTTGTTTTGTTTTGTTTTGTTTCCTGGCATGTTCATTACAACTTTAAAGCAGACTCCTTTCTGCACTCTCTTTTCCTTTTTTCTCATTTGCAAAAATTGCTGGGGCCTTCCAGAAAAAGGCTTAATGTAATGTTTCCTTTCCAAATTGATGAAAATCCAGGAGGAGGCCCAAGAAAGTCTATAATGGATTTCCATCGATCGCTTCCAGGGGAACTGGATATAAAAGCTCACAGTGAACAGAAGGGAAGAGCTATCATGCATGTTCTCTTTTTCTACCTTAACAAAGAAATCTGGAGATGGAAAACTGCTGGTAGTCTGCTCCCAGGGTTCATGCCATGAAACGACCACGTTGATAGGGTAGCCAGGAGGCTTAGGATTTCTGGGATGGCCTAGGTTTCAAATATTTTATACCATTATCAGATTATACACTGGGTACTGTGTCCAATTTTAGGTTTGGAATAAAGAGGGCCCCTACTAGCTTTCAAGGATGTGGCTGGGTGCTTTCAGTTAGGAAACTCCTTTGATAAGGCTCAGAGTCGATTCAGCTTGCGGAGAATTTCACACGTACTGAAGACGTGAGAATGAAGTCCTTGGGGGCATATGGAGTTTTAGCAAACAGAGCAGGAAAAGAGCGAGTAATGGGCAAGGCTTTTGTCCTCATTGATTGGGCAAACCATGGCAACACAGTTAAGCATGCCAGGCAGCTTCCAAAACTTGCTGCACATTGGAATCGCCTGGGGATCTTTTTAAGGTCCTGGTGCCTGGACCCTTCCCCAGACTCCCTGTCTGATTTATATGGTTTGGGATGTGACTGAGGCATCAGGATGTACATTTGGGAACCCCTGCTGTGGATTGTAAGCTCCATGAGGGTAAGATTCGTGTCTATCTTGCTCCCTATTGTATTTCCAGTCTTTGGAACGGAGTAATTGGCTCTCAGTAATTACATATTGAATGAGTAAATGGATACATGCCCTGCAGCTCATCTGCCCACACACCATCAAAATGAATCCCAGCTAATTAGGTGATTTCAGCTTTTAAGTATGTTGGGTGGTTTGGGATGAGTGTGGCTTACATTCTAGGTCTCCTTTGCCCCCATCTATTTTACCCTCTGCTTCTCCCTACTGAAAACATCCTGAGAATTATTTTATCATCTCTTCTTAGGCCACTTTTAATATTCATGACCTGGAAATTTTATAACTTATGACCATTGATTGCTTTGTATTTTCCATAAGTCAGGAATTTATACCTTAGCTGTTCTGCTCCTTGGATTTCTGCCTCCCTCCCTATAATACTTTAATTATTCAGAGATCAATCCAGTCATTTTTGGCCTGCAAAGCCCTGGGGATTTCTTTCACCCAGTAGTTGAATGGTGAGCACTTGTCCTCTCCTTCTGATGTTGAAGGTTTTCACTTCCCGCTCCCTGCTTCCATTCCATCTCACCCCCCTTCCACAGGCATTGAATTCTGGCAGTGGATAAGTCAGCTTTTATTGTAAAAATGTTTATGGAGACTGTCAGTTCTTAACCTTCAAACTGAACCATGCTGTTTGTATTTTTCCAAGTGATGGAGAGTGTGAAGGACTAATGAAAATGGAGCGTGAAGAGATCAAACATGCGTCGTGGAATCTCTGTTCAAAACCCAGAATGGGAGAAAGTCCACTTTGCAGGGGAAGGCAGAATTCTGGGGATGGATCCTCTGTGAGTCAGGCTCAGGGCCTGAGATCATGATCTGGCATGAGAGAAAGTGAGGTGCAGGGAGCAAGGGGACCAGCGTGGTATGTGGGAGGTAGAGATCATAAGACTTTCTCTTTGGAGAAGCTAGAGCTAGAAATATATTTCCTTTGGTCAGAGAGCAAGCAAGAGTTGCAACAGACTCTATCTTCTGACCTTCTCAAGCCTGCTTTCAAAAGTCAGGATGTTGAAAGAAGCCATTCATAAGTTTGTATAGCATGCCATGTTGGAGAACTTTTTGCTTACCGTGTGACTTTTCTGTACGCCACTGGGGAGGGTGAGCACTTAGAACTTGGAGCCGAACTCTTAGTAACTGAATACCCAGGACTCTGGTTAAAAATGGGTTTGGCTCTACCTTAAAAGTCAATCTGTATATCTGCAGACTTGGGGAGTAAGTGAGAGAGTCCAAGCTGAAGCAAGCAAGCAAATGACATTTTCACAGGCTGAGGTATAAATTTGCTGGAGGAAAGCAAAGCTCTGGTTGCTACATGAGCTTTCCAGTTGGGGGCTGTGAGATTTATCTGAAAAGAGCATTTTCTTGGGTTGGATTCTTGGCAGCAGTTGGCCCTGTCTACGGAGCCTTAAGACACAAGAGTGTGAATGGATCCCTCAGGCCTCTTTTCTGGAAGATGTCCCTGGAAGAGCAACGAGCAAGTGCACAAGGGAGATGGTGAATGAATGCAGCTCAGGAAGTTATGCTTTTTCCTTGGAGTAGGGACCATTTGGCTTTGATGATGGCTGCTGTGTACATGCTGGGAACAATTAGATTGTCCTTCTTCACCTTCATACATGAATCATTGCTTTAATCAGGAAAAGTAAAAGTTAGGTGTTGGATGGTCTGAGATTTATCCTTGCTGATGGGTTCATCGTGGGGAGGCTTTTGCAGCATCAGAGAGCTTTTCAGTATAAAGGGGCGCCATCTTGGCTGGGCACAGTGGCTCACACCTGTAATCCCAGCACTTTGGGAGGCCAAGGCAGGCGGATCATTTGAGGTCTGGAGTTCAAGACCAGCCTGACCAACATGGTGAAACCCCGTCTCTACTAAAAATACAAAAATACATTAGCTGGGTGTGGTGGCGTGCACCTGTAGTCCCAGATACTCAGGAGGCTGAGGCAGGAGAATCGCTTGAACACGGGAGACAGAGGTTACAGTGGGCCAAGACTGCACCACTTGCACTCCAGCTTGGGCAACAGAGCGAGACTCTGTCTCAAAAAAAAAAAGAGGAGCCATCTTAAAACCATGATGATAGTAACTTGGCCTTTGGGGCAACTGAAGGAAACTGTTTTTCTCCACTCTCTCTTGTCTCTCACCTTCTGTCTTCCCACTTCTCTCATTTACTGACAGATAATTTCTCCTCTCTCTTAGGCCCACCTGGGGTCCCCAGCCCCCCCTCTCAGATCTCACTTAATCTTCTGCCAGACCTCTGAGCTAGAAAAGTTTATCTCATCCATTAGCCAATCTGGAACCAACCTGTCCTTCCCCATGGACCTGTGTGGCTTAATTAGAGACAGACACACAGCGAGGGAGAAATCAGTTGGAGGCCTGTTGCTGCTCCATTTGGGGTACTTGCTACCCAAGCAGACCTGGCAAAGCTAGCATTTATTGGCACAGGGAAAAGCAGGAAGGAACCAAGTCTCACAGTTCATCCTCCACCTTCAGGGTTTTTGATCTTCTCACCCTGCGTGTTGATCTCTTATGTCACTTGCTCAGTGTGCAGCTTCCTTCACCCAGGGACCCAGAGGGTGAGGAGCTCTGCCTTCCCTCACGGTGTTATCATAGGGGCATTCCTGAGGAGTGGGTGACCACTCAGAGGGTCTCCCCATGCTGGATGGGAGGCCTTGGAGCTCATTCGCTGTTGATCTGATTGTGCTTTTCCAAGATAAAAGTGCACTCTTTGAGAGCGCTGTGTTTCCTGGAAAGCATCTCCCATTGCCAAAGTACCATTCAGAATGATAGCTCCTTACCGACTATCAGCCACTGTTCCTCACCTTCTCTTGGTGAGAGCAGAGGTTCTCAGATGTGAGCCTGCAGAGAATCGCCAGGAGGCCTTGCTCAAACACCTGCTGCTGGGCCCCACCCCAGAAGCTCTGATTCCACAGGGGATAGGACCCGAGAATCAGCATTTTAAACACATTTCCAGGCGATTCCAACACTGCTGGCCTGGGGCCCCCATTTTGAGAACACATGAATTAAATTAATAACTCAGTATCATTATCAGTTTTTCTGTGAGCTCAGCTAGGAAACAATGGGCTAGTTCAGATATCTTAAAATTTAAAAAAAAGCTAAAATTAAAATAACACATACACATCCATATCCATATATATATATATATGTGTGTGTGTATGTTTATACACACACATAAAAACACACTTATAAATGTGTATTTATGGGCCAGGCACAGTGGCTCATGCCTATAATCCCAGCACCTTGGGAGGCCGAGGTGAGCGGATCACTTGAGGTCAGGAGTTCAAGACCAGCCTGGCCAACATGGCAAAACCCCATCATCTCTACTAAAAAAAAAAAAAAAAAAAAATACAAACATTAGGCATGGTGGTACATGCCTGTAATCCCAGCTACTTGGGAGACTGAGGCAGGAGAATCACTTGAGCCCAGGAGGGGGAGGTTGCAGTGAGCCAAGATCACGTCACTGCACCCCAGCCTGGGCGACAGAGCAAAACTCCATCTCAAAAATAAATAAATAAATAAATAAAGCAAATGTGTATTTATATCTGCAAATATATATTTATATTTATATAACCATATACATATACTTTAAATATGTGTATATATAAGTATAAACAGATGTATATACAAATAGAAAATATTTGAATTCATATTTGACTTTGAAGAAAAGCAAGCAGATTCAGAAAATGTTCAGAATCAGAATTGAATTCAAGAGAGCAAAATACCTGCCCCCCGCATCTCCTGCTGAGCCTCATTTCTGCACCTGCTTCCTAAACCCCTGCTGCTCTCTGTTGCTTTGCCAGGGCTGCTCCTTGGTGCACTTGCTGGGTGCTCAGTGGTGACTTGGTCACAGGCAGGTGGCAAGAGCTGTTGGTACCTCCAGCACAGTCTCTATATTCTCTCTCTGGGCAAAGGGAGAAGCTGGGCACTACCCATGATATCACTCAGAGGCAGATGACTGTGCCATCCTGTGCCAGGACTCGGGGTCACCACACAGGTAAGGGCCAACACAGGAACAGAGCCAGGGAGAACTTTTCCACCTCTGCCAGAGCTTCTTCTCATCCTTCCACATCCCAGAATCCACACATGGTTCGAGAGATGTAGGAGGAGTCAACTGTGGCCACACTTATTGGGCATTGAAATCCTGTTTGTCATTCCTTCCTTTTCCATCTATTCATTGTCCCTTCCATTCATTCAGAGAGCATTTAGTGAGGTCCTACTCTGTACTGGGCTCTAGGCCAAGTGCTGAGGCACAGAAGTGACAGAACAGACACGGTCCCTGCCTCATGGTTCTGACATCCTGGTAGGGGCCACAACACAGAAGAAAGCCCATAAATAGAATAATTTCAGCTAACAAATACTACAAATTAAATAAGCAGAATGATAGAGGGGAGCTTTTAAAGGGTGGGAAAGAACACTGGTTATATAAGATGATCAGGGAAGTCCTCTCTCTCTGGAGGTGACATTTAAGCTGAGACTTGAAGGATAGAAGAGAGAATGATGGCAACCTGGACTAGGACAGTGGCAGAGGAATTTGAAAAAATGGATAAAATGCTCTTTTTGTTGTTAGCAAGTAATAAGGGACTTGAAGATGTTAACATGGCTAATGTAATTTACCCCATTGTACAGTTGAGTTTACAGTTCAGTCATTATTTGTGTGTGTGTTTTTAGCCAGAAACTGGACAAAAATAAGTAAATGTCTAATAATTTATAGAAAAAGAAAAGAAGTATATATATGGTAGAGAAGTAATGAGGAGCAAGGAGGGATTAACTCTGCTGAAGATCAGGGAAGGTTTACAGAGAAGGCAGTATCTAAATAAGGTTTTAAAGGATGCATAGGAGTTTTCTATGTGGATAAGGGAAGGAAAGACTTTGCAGGTAGAGTAGACAGAAAGAAGTGCGACACTAGGGCATCTATTAGCACTTATAAGCCTCTATATGAATTACAACAAGTCATTCCCTCTGGGAAGACAATATCACTTCCTTCATTCTCAACTTCAGCCATTACTTGCCCCCTCATCAGACATCTTTGCACCATGCACAAATTGTACAATGTACATGGCATGGTAGACCTAAGTGAAACTACAAGGGGTCCGCTGTGCCCCTGCCTATCAGGCTTTGAAATCCTGTTTGTTCATTCAGCCCACCAACCAGCCATTCATTCATTCAGAGGATATTTAGTAAAGTTCCTGGGGTTTTTTTTTTTGGTGTGACTGCAGTTATAAAGAGGGAAAGACCATTTGTAATTTAGTCATGGAAAACCGTGAAGATCCACCAGGCAGTGATACCCAAGCAGCCAGTAGGAGAGCATCAGGCTGGGAGTTCGAAACCCTGTGTCCTGGGCCCTGGCTTGTGCCACCTTCCTCTTCAAAGATCCTCTAGAGGACAGGCGTGGTGGCTCATGCCTGTTATCCCAGCACTTTGGGAGGCTGAGGTGGGCAGATCACCTGAGGTCAGGAGTTTGAGACCAGCCTGGCCAACATGGTGAAACCCCATTTTTACTAAAAACACAAAAATTAGCCAGGCGTGGTGGCGGGTGCCTGTAATCCCAGCTATTCAGGAGGCTGAGACAGGAGAATCACTTGAATCCAGGAGGTGGAGGTTACACTGAGCCTAGATTGCACTATCATACTCCAGCCTGGGCAACAGAGTGAGACCCCGTCTCAAAAAAAAAAAAAAAAAAAAAAAGATCCTCTAGATTATGCTTTGTAAAAATGGAGAGTTGAATCCCAAAACCCATCTTGTGCCCTGCCCCCACCAGGCAGGTCCAGCATGACTATTCTCAGGACTAGTTGTATTTTAATAGGGGATCATGGGATCATGGAGATAAAATGGCTTTAAAATCAAATGACTGAAACACTGACCACGTCTTCCATCCTCAAGGTGGACCTTTTTGGAGAGGCTGGCAATGGTGGTGTTGGTCCTTTCTCTGTATTCTGAGCACTCTCTTTACACTGAGATTGTTGGAAGAGGTATTCACTCTCCCCGACAGCTGTTTACACCCCTAGTAAGTATGAGCCAGGTGACTTTGGCAGGATTCCAAACCTCAGTTTTCTCATCTGTACAATGGGGGTGATGATAATTATATCCACCCAGTGGGAAGCTTTGAAAGCCAATCGGTAGAAGTGATACGTAAAAGTGTTTGAGCAAGGCTGGCATGGAGAGGACATTTGAAAAAGGTGGAGGAGGTGGAGGTGTGGCTGTCACTAGGGAAGATAGGAGCTGGGCCTGAGGGGAAAAAACAGTGAAGAGAAAATGTAACAATGTGAAAGTGAGTGCTAGAAAAGTCTAATGAGAGAAGAGAATAATAAAGAGGAGAAAAGAAGTGTTTTTACCACACAGATGCTACCCATTTTACTGGTGAGAAAGCTCGAGCCACAGGGAAATAACATGCTCAACATGAAGCTCCTCTTTTTTCAAACACTATATTTTCCTGTATGTCTTATTGGCTGGAAAATAAAATAACAGTAACAGAGAAGCTTGGCTTCTTTAAGAGAGTATCGGCCAGGCTCGATGGCTCATGCCTGTAATCCCAGCATTTTGGGAGACCAAAGTGGGAGGATCATCTGAGGTCAGGAGTTTGAGACCAGCCTGGCCAACATGGTGAAAACCTGTCTCTACTAAAAATACAAAAAAATTAGCCAAGCGTGGTGGTGGATGCCTGTAATCTCAGCTACTAGGGAGGCTGAGGTGGGAGAATCACTTGAACCTGGGAGGTGAAGGTTGCAGGGCCTGGTTCTCTGCGTCTTCCTCAGTTCTCTGCCTCATCTGACCCACTGAATAGCTCTCATGTTTACATAGTGTACTATGTGCCATTTCATTCCTAACTTCTCCCCTCTCGAATCAGTGATAATCCATTGTTTTTATCATCACTATATCTATGGGTTTTGTTGACGAGACCTGATTAACCCTAAAAAGTCATTACACTGCACAAGTAAAGCAGTGTTGGGGTGGACTGTTATCTAGATGTGTATTTTCCTTAAAAAAAAAAAAAATGAGGCCAGGACTTCCCCTACCAAACCAAGTCAGGGAGCAGAGTTGAGAATTAAATCCACAGTGTACTGTGGGCCAGTGTTCTTGAGCCAGTCCTCTGAGAACTGTTATTCTGGAGCCGAGCAGCATTTAGGGGAGGCCAGGGAATTCAAAGTGGCTGCAGACTCTCTTGTTCTAACCAGCTCCAGGGTAGAAATTAGGACAGCACCGTACAGTGAAAGGAGCAAGGATTTCATAGCCTACTTACTATCTAGGGGCCTCTCAGCCTTAATTTCCTTATCTGTGGAAGAGGGGCACTCATGTCTACCTCACATGGATGTCATGAGACCAGATTTAATGTATAGTGCCTGGAACGGGTGGTATTATAGCTGCTATTTCTCCCAAGCATACCTGTGTCCCCCAAACATTCCGTTTACCTCTCTCAATCCATGTTCCACCTTTCTCCATCCTATTTATTTCTTGGGCACATGATCTGCATGTATTACATCAACAGGCTCCCTTGCTGTCTAGCTTCTGATTGGGTTTGGCCAATGTTAGGCATGGCAGGAAATGAACGCCCACCTTACTTCCAACCCCACAGCTCTCTCTTTCCCTTTGGTTAACAGTAGCCTCTCCCTGTCCTTGCATCTTCAGGCCTGGAGATGTGAGCTCTCCCTGGCTTTACTGGCCCTGGATACTAGAGCATCCTTGGTGGTTTCTGGGCACTTTGTCCAGATATGTTAAATTGTTCCTTTATTAAGCTCTCCTTAGTTACCCACTTGGAGGGTGCCATTCATTCCCTGCTCAGACTCAAACTGATACATCCTAATATTATGAGGTTTATATTGAGGAGAATAGTAAACATGTTCTCTGTTGAACATCTCCCCCTTCATGACCACATCCCAAAAGAAAGCCTCTGAGAACTTGTGATTCTCTTTTCTCGAACCTCAGTTAACTGAGGTTCTCATGGTAGAATTCTCGTTGGTGAGAACAACACTGGGAGGAGCTGTTTCTCTAGGATCAGAATAGGGAATTGTATCGGGGAAAAATGAAGTGTTCGAAAGGAGTTTGGGTGCCTTCTGGTGCATGGCCTTCTGTTCTCCCCATAAGGACCCTCACAGGAGGACAAACCCAAGGGAAGTCCTGCTCACAAGCCGTGGTTCTCCATACTGGTTCCGGCTTGTCAGTGCATTAGACCAACATCCGGATAGGGGCCTCTTAAAGAAGGTGAGAGAGCATAACATGGTGATGTTAAAACCTTACAGATGGCGAGCTGTGGTATCATAATTAGGAATCTGGGCCGGGCGCAATGGCTCATGCCTGTAATCCCAACACTTTGGGAGGCCGAGGCGGGTGGATCACCTGAGGTCAGGAGTTCAAGACCAGCCTGGCCAACATGGTGAAACCCCGTCTCTACTAAAAATACAAAAATTAGCCAGGCATGGTGGTATGCGCCTGTAGTCCCAGTCTTGGGAGGCTGAGGCAGGAGAATCGCTTGAACCCAGGAGGCGGAGGTTGCAGTGAGCCGAGATCGTACCACTGCACTCCAGCCTGGGCGACAGAGTGAGACTCTGTCTCAAAAAAAAAAAAACAAAAACAAAAGGAGTCTAGATAATTTTACTTCCTTACATTGAAAACTTCCACTCCTTCAGAATTTCCCACTTTCTACTTTGCATTTTATATGGATACAAGCATTTCTTAACTTCCCCTCTGTAATCTAAATTTGAAGACAAAAACTGTCCAAATAAAATTTTCATAATATTAAAAATGTGAATCTCATACAAATAAAGAAAAAGCACATGTCAACTACTTAACTAAATGAATGAAAGAAAAGGAAGATGCTAATGACATCTCAGAGCATTTGAGAAACAGATGTTTATAAAGTTAGTGGGGAAAATGATGATGAAGTAAGTGTGTAAACATAAATAAGACTGATTAATGTCCTGTAGAGCCATAAAACAGTTAGCACTGAGTTATTGTTTCTACTAGACAAAAACATTTCTATATCTACAGAATGAAAATCTATAAGTTAACATGTAACTTTTAGTCTGGGCCCTAATCAATAGGAAATAATAAGCCAAGTGAAGATACATGCTCCTACAGAATTAAATACTTTGGGGCAGGCCTGTGCCCCAATACTAAGTGATAAACTTGCAGTCATCCTTTTGCTTCATTTCCAAGTTTTGGAAAAGTTGTCTTAACAAGCCATGTGCTATTGGCACTGTCTCACCCTAGCACAGTACCTGATACATAATAAATATCGATGGAGTGTTTGTTGAATGAATCCATGAATAGAGCTAACAGCCCAGCTTCCTATAGAGAAAGGTTAGCTAAGCTAAGTCAAGAGCCCACAATTGCATCAGCTGCCAGTTTTCCAAGCAGGAATCACACCATTTCCCTAGAGAATAACAGAACAGCAGTCCAAACAGGAACAATCTGTACAGGCAGGTGGCAAAGGGAACAGGTGCCGGTGGCAGGAGCTTTCTCTTCACCTCTGGCCATATGTGGCCTATGACAGCTCTATAATTGTTTTACAGTGTCGGGGGGTCCTGTTAATAAATGGGCATTACTAGTTTCTAGTAGCACACAGAGCTGTACAGGTGCATCATGAAAGCACAAAGGAGAACTGTTAAGTCTCAGCTTCGAGTCTTTGAAAAACTGGCAATGAAGCTATTACCAAAAAAGCACCTGTCAGTGAAGAAAGTCGTTGGCAGGGCTTTGGAATTTTCCAACAGGTTTTACCCAGCTTTGAGCTAACAGGTAGAAGGATAGAGAGAAAGGAGAAGATGTTCTAGTCATTGCAGATAGAATCTACATTTCATGCATTTGTGAACCACTGGATTTTTATTTAATCTCCCCACCCTCAATTTGATGTTTTCAGCATTTGGAATAAAGTGGAGTTTTTTTTTTTTTTGAAGTTAGTGTGAAATAATTTCTCCAGAACAAGTGTCTCTTTAGGATTCCATTCCGAGGAAGTCAGAGCTGAATAGAGTGAGAGGCTTTCTGCAACTCTCATTCTACCTCACCATGGTCATTTCACAGAATAAATAACCAAGGTCCTATATCAGTCAGCTTTTGTTGTGTAACAAACCACACTGGGTTCACTAGCTTAAACCCGCAAGGATTTATTATTTCTCATGACTCTCTGGGTCAGCAGGGTGGCTCTCATAGCCTGGGGAGGCTCAGCCAGGGCTGGATGGTCTAGGACAGTCTCCATCTGAGTGACTGGCCATTGGCAGGCTGGTGAATCTGGTATAAATTATCTCTGCTGCACACGTCTCTCACCATTCAACAGGCTAGCTTGGCCTTCTTCACCGAGTGTTCTCAGCATTCCAAAGAGCAAAAAAAAATAGGCAATCCTAAGGCACAAGTGCTTTTCAAGTCTCTGTTAACTGTTGTCCCTTTGGCCGCAGTAAGAAGCTCAAAGAAGGCCAGGCACAGTGGCTCATGCCCGTAATCCCAGCACTTTGAGAGGCTGAGTTGGGTGGATCACCTGAGGTCAGGAATTCAAGACCAGCCTGGCCAACATAGTAAAACCCCGTCTCTACTAAAAATATAAAAAATTAGCCAGGTGTGGTGGTGGTGGGCACCTGTAATCCCAGCTACTCTGGAGGCTGAGGCAGGAGAATCGCCTGAACCCAGAAGGCAGAGGTTGCAGTGAGCCGAGATCGCGCCATTGCCCTTCAGCCTGGGCAACAAGAGGGAAGAGTGAAACTCTGTCTCAAAAAAAAAAAAAAGAAAAAAGAAGCTCAAAGAGTGTGGAAGCAACTACCTGAGGCGTGGATCTTTAGAGAAAAGAAGAATTTGTGGACATTTTTGCCAACCAGTCTACCATAAGTGCAGAGGTGCAATAACTTACCAAAGCTCACAAAACAGGAAGAGGCAATGCTGGGACCCAGACCCAGACCTTGAAACTCCTGGCCCCAGTCCTTTCCACAGTACCCTGAACCCTTTTCAGGATTCCAAGGTTAACGTCCAATGACCTTTGAAACCCATTTTAGAAGTACTTGGAGCAGAGAGATTAGCAATAGGTTTCAATGAGGGTTCTTAACTTTAGTGTTGAGAAGAATCCATCTCCTTAATTAGGATAATAACTTGGCAAGGGTCCCTAGGCCACCCCTACCCCAGACCTCAGCTTCTGAACTCTGCCATCCATGTCCTTTGGCTTAATTTCCAGGTTCTCCCTCTCACCAACAGAACACCAGCCTTGGCCTGGGCCTTATATCCCCTCATTCTATGCAGGGAGACACAGAATCACTGCAGGAGATGTTCGCCTTCTGGTGTCCTGTTCGACACCCGTTCCCTCTGGTCGTAGGAGGACTTAGATACTTGGGCCTTTTAGGTGCACTAATGATCTGGTGCCTCTTCAAATTGGGTCCTGGAAACCGAGTCCTAGACAGTTACCACTCTGTTTTCTTTGCCGGTAATGGAGAAAGCACAACTTGGAAAATCACCAATAATCCACACTCATTAAATATTTGCTCAAAGTTTGACTTAAAGGGGTGGCTGAACTCTAACAGGGCTGAAGAGGAGGGATGGAAGCCCCCTGGTGGCCACTGGTGGCCTGGCCTTTATAGCCCTGAGCTGGTTAGCTGCAGCCTGGAAGGCTGATAGAAAGCCTTGCCCTTAACTGGATGCTGAGGATGGCTGGCCTCACACCACAAGGGCTTTATCAAAGTGGTTCTGGAAAGTATGATTTCTCCATCTCTCTACATTTGCAGGGATGTTTTAGGTGATGTGTGAAGGGTTTGTTTTTCTTTTTCTTTTTTTTTTTGGCCTAACTCACTTTCCACTCGTGTACTCTGCTTCTTACATGTTTTCTTACACTTGAAAGAATAATTTATCCTTCATTTCAGTTCATTCTTTAGCCTAACAGGACATAAAAGAAATCGGTCCTGGAAAAGCTACCACTCTGTTTTCTTTGCCAGCAATGGAGAAAGCACAACTTGAAAAAATTCACCAATAATCTGCACATTTTCAAGATCAAAGCAGTTTACAGAAGTATTCAAGACACACCAGTGAAGTGTTGATCTCCATTTTGTCAGCCGGCCCCAAGAACCTTCAATGAGGAGAGATACACAGGGATGGGTGGCCCCTCCACCTCAAAGCCAGCTCCCTACCCAAATGCAAAGAGTTGCCCATTCTTCATTTCTTCTAAAGCCTGAGATAATAAACGAGGTCACTGCCAAGCCCTAAAGTAAACATCGTTATGATACATTCTGCCGCCATAACTAGGGATTCCTCAGCTATTAGTCAGACCGTGACAGCAGGCTCCATTCCCAAACCAGGACTGAGACCCTCCTGAATTCTTGAGCCCATGATGTACCTGTGTCACTGGCTCTCAGGGCTGTCGTCAGAGTGCCCAGCAAAGACTGAAGCATACGTATGGCCGTTTCCCCTCTGCCAGCAATAGTTCCTAAAGGGGCATTGCACTGTCATGCTTGCTATAAAATACGGCCATTGACATTTGCTCTGTTCCTGCTGCCTGAAGGGGAATGATTGCCATCATACACAGGCTTCATGAGAGCAGCAGCTGGTCAGCCTTGTCATCTGTGTCTTCACAGTGCAGTTTTTCCCCAGTGCATCCTGGCTGCCTCTTTCCAACACTTCTCAGAATAAGTCCCAACAAGCCCCCCACCACCCCCTGCTTCCACTCCTAGGATCGTGGTCTCCATCCATCTTCCTGAGCACTAAGAACAAGTGTGCCCCTTCTAGAAAGCCGATTTTATGGTCTAAAACTCACTTTATTCATTCTCCTGGTTTTCTCATCTTAGGAGTGCTTGCTCCTCAATCATGTTAAAGATAATCAGTGTGCCATTTTCTTCTTTTATCTCTTCAAATGGCAAAACTTTTGCTCTTCCCTTTGAAATACCACTAGTGGCATTCTTGAACTTATTTTTAGATGTGTGGAACTGTTCCAGACAAAATCGATGCTCGGCACAGATAAAGCCCCGAGTGTGTTTATTGTGGGTAGAAGAAAATGGAGTGTTTGAATGTGGAAGGCGCACAGCCATGTGCCTGGGTGCAGTATGGCTTCCTTTCATCTGGAAAAAGGAAACAAGCATTGTCGATAATAATATGCAGATGTCCAGCCCCAAATGAGGATATATTGCTAATTAACTATATTGTTAGTTTGTTTTAAGGAGAGAGGCTGTAGTGACATTAATTATAATCTCTGTTGTTTGTTGTTCAAAGTCTATGAGACCAAATGCATTGCTAATAATATCTTCTTTAATATCTTCAGTAGAAGATTCCTAGGGTTTTTTTGTTTTTCTTTAGAATCCCACATAAAAGCCACATTAGGGGTAATGAGGCCTGTAGCCTGAGCCTAATTAAAATAAAATCTAACTAGGCCCTCGTTACCCAATGATAACTTTAGCCATCATTATCATCAACTAGTACTTATTTGTTGCCCCCTGAGCTTGTGAAACTGGGGGAAGGAGGAGGGAGTTTGGAGACTGAAGACAGGGCCTGTTCTTTGCCTTTCAGAAATTTGCCAGCCAGTCTGCCTTCAAGAAGTCTGCCTGATTGTGTTAATCTGGGGAATAGTTACCAGTTTTTGCCTTAAAGAGAAAAAGTACTAAACTTTCCTAGACAGCCACAATTTGTTACTGATTTGTGCCTCTTCTGGAGGTTCTGAAAGTGGTGAAATCAACCCTGTTCTTCAGATTCCAGTCCTTGGTTGGTGTTTGCAGAATAGGGCAGGTGGCTATTTGCAGACTGGGACAATGATGCTTAGCACATTTTTTCCAAAAGAGGATGCATCACTCATTTCCATAGCTTTATCTTCCTCCTATTGTAGTGCTCATCCTAATTTGCCCTGTGGCTTGGTTGTCCAAAAAACCTCACTCCCTCTCTTTTGTATTCATCTGCCTGTGTCAAATGACCAGCTGGGGGACTCTGGCCATTCTGACCACTCTGACCCTAGATGTGGCTATGGCCATCCACCTTGGTCACAAACACAGCCACGATGAGCAACGCCAGCTATGCAGTGGCTGGAGGCAGTGATTGGACATTCTTGGTGTTGGACCAGGATGTACTCAGTATAAAGGACACAAGTGATTAAAACGTGTGGATTTGTCATCTGAGAAAAACTGCACCCAGCCTAAAGATGAGAGGTTTTCTCTTCTTGATTCATCTCAGCAGAGCTTTCCCAAGGGCATCCAGGGCCAGCTGATGAGAATGAGGAAGGAGGGATGAGATCCCAGCACCATGTAGCTTCAGCAAACCTCCAAGTGCCCCAGAGGATGCTACCAGAGAAGTGGTAGCCTAGTGGACAAGTCACAGCGCAGTGTGATAGAAGGCTGTCAGACCAAAGGCTGGTGGGCTAAGACTGTGCGTTGGGCCCGATGTGTATAATATTTAACTCTGTTATTTCATATGAAAACAGCAGGTGTCTCTGATCGTTACTCTCACCACATTTCAGCTCTGAAACCCTTTGGATCTATAAACCACAGCTCTGTCAGACCTGAGAGACTCCTTCACCAAGATTGCAAAGCTCCTGAACCCCTCCCCAGCTCCCTGTTCTCTTAACCTGATGCATCTGCTGTACGTTTACAAGCCTTTTTTATTTCAGTTCAAACATTGCTTCCTCTGAAAACCTTTCTTTCTTTTTAATACCAATTTGCAAAGGAAGGAGTTTTATAATACCTACCTCAAATGGTAACAGTAGGTTTTCTGGATTTCTCTCCTTCATGAGTATCCTTATGGATTTTGATAGATTCAGTGTACATCAGTCAAGTACAATCTTTTTGTCCAAATTCTCTGATCTGTGAGCAATGGGGGCCTGTCAAGCTGACTCCTGTGTTCTTTCAAGAGTACCCTGTTAATCATCGAAAGCTTCCTTGCTTCTTGTTGCAGGAAAGTATCCCAAATTCATCTGTGCCTTCCCCGCCCAAGCTCTGCACTCAATCCATTTGTCCAAGGAATGCTGGTTCCTTTTGGTGAGGAAAAACCTCTTGCAATTGTGATAGTATTTGGTTGGTGCAAAAGTAATGGCGGTTTTTGCCATTACTTTCAATGGCAAAACCTTTATAATTTTCTGGGTCATCACAACTCAGAAATTAAAATCCCAAGAGGGCACATTGCTACTGGTACTGCAGCATTGTCAATGTTAACATTAAGATTAATGATAACAGTAAAAGACATATGGAGGTCACCATTCCAGGACCAGCGTGATAGCTCCATAATACTATCAGGGACCTAAGCCCACCATCTGTCCAGTCAGCCACGCTTAGACTACAGCCTCCATCCTCAGGCCTGCCAGCCGCCTCATTTCACGTCAAGCCTTGTTTCCTCATTTCAGGCAGGACAAAGTGGAAGAGAGAAAGGCAAATGGCAAAACCGAATCTGAAAACTCCTTTGCAGCAGTTCTGTCCAGAACCTTCCACTTACTCCTCATGGGGCAGAATTGTGTCATATGGTCGCACTCAGATGAAGTGGATGCTGGGAAATGTAGTTTTTGCCAGGTCCACAGCCACCTGAAACAAACACCAAGTAAGAAAAAGAGGGGACTAGACATTGGGCAGGCAATTGCAATGTCTGCCACAGTACTGCCATGTAAGGCAAAATGCTAGGCTGTAAGAAGAGGATATTTTTATTACTATTCCTGTTTTTGATAAGTTCTAAAATAATAGAAGGAGAGGAGCACCAAGCAGTAGCTAAATAATTTGACCAATGAAGATCACCTGCCTCAGCAATGGAAGAGTTCATGTGCATAAGCCGTTTAATAGCTGCATTTCTTCTGTTTTCCTTCTCAGTGGTAGTCACAGCTCTGAAATTATAGTCACAAGAGGAAACATTGCTGCTGGTGCTGCAGCATTGTCAATGTTAACTCATAGATAGTTAACTCAATGTTAACTCATTGTCGATGTTAACTCATAGATTGATGTTCAACTCAAAGACACATTGTGGGTAAAGCAATATTTTCCCAAACTGAGCAGGCCCCCTTGTGTCACTTTAACTGGGGCAGAATGAATTCAATGGCATTTTGGAAAGAATGGTCATGATGCTTTCCTTAAATTCCCAGACTTTCCTAAGGTATCATTTTCAGAGAAGAATGTTTGCTTGCCTGAATAAAACACAAAATATTTTACTTTTAACCTTGAGATCCACCCCTCTTGAAAATCTTTACTCTGCTGGAATAATTCACGTGGAATACTCAGTGAGTGAACTTGGTAATAGCTGGACTGATGTCCTCAACCAGGACCTCCAAGGGGGGCTCTGCAAGGAGGATGTGCAGTAAGTCCCTTTGAGAAGAGATAAAGAAAGGTTTTCTTCTGCATTACTAGGATATTCTGTCTGTTGTCTCCTACCCTAGATTTAAAGTCTAGATGACTAAAATAATGGCTACTCTCAAATCTTGTTATTGATTGAATAAAACAGGGTTTCATTCTATATGAGCCATCCTTAGCCACACTTCCCCTATCCTAGGATTTCCAATTTCTTAACAGCTTGGGGGCATGCCATTGCAAGGAGGCAAGGTGTCCAGTTAAATATGTTTTGAAAGAGGTGCAAGAGTAACTCAGATGTTCAGAGATTGTGATTAGCATTTCTTTATTACTTCCCATCTTCCAAATACTTTACAAACACCAAGCCTGTGTCTGGGGGGCAGGGCGGTTCGGAGAGATGGAGAAATGCCACAGTTGTGTGCATAACTGAAGCCAAAACATACTTCAGCCCCAGTTGTCTGACTATTCCCGGCAGAGGTACTTGTGGCCTGAACTGCCCAGCCAGTGACCCTAACGCGACACTTCCCTTTCCATGTGTAGACACAACCCAACCCAAGTATCTTGACTAATCCTGCGGGGAGGGTACAGGGCTCTTCTTATTATCTAATCTGCTTTACATGCAAAGTCCTCGAGTCCTAGAGAGTTTAAGGGGTTTGCTTGGTCTGGGGCTAAGCCAGAAGCACTCTGTGGTGGTGAATTTCCTACCAGGAAAAATTCAAGAGTCACATCAATCAATCAATCAGACTTAGTCCCTGTTTTTTCAGACATCTAGGCAAAATGTTAAAGAGTAGCAAAAACACATTTTCTACTTCTTCTAAAATGTAAGTGTTCATAGTAGGAAGAGTACTCCATTCACAGGGGAAAGGAAAGAGAGCCTCATTTTTAACCTAATTAAACAGTATACCTCCATTGTGGCTATGAAGTTAGGGCTTGATTTACAAGAAGTACTAAAGCAATTGGGAAGCAAATTCTGGGCCCCTTCCAAGATTTGTAATCCTAAATCCTGCACAAGAAATTCTCCATGACAATCTAACTGTCCTCCCTAATGTTGTTGGAGAAGTTTTAGGGTTGGAGATTAAGGGAAAAAAGCAAGGGAACAAATGCATTCAGCTATCTCCCCTTTGGGATGTCATCGAGAAATCTTATGTTGAGAAAAGATAGCATGCTCTCTCTCCTCTCCTGTCTTCTCTTCTCTTCTCTTCTCTTCTCTTCTCTTCTCTTCCCTTCCCTTCTCTCCTCTCCTCTCCTCTTCTCTTCACTTCGCTTCTCTTCTCTCTTGCTCCTTCTCTTTCTCTCTTCTATTCTTTCTCTTCTCTTCACTCCTCTTCTCTTCTCTCTCGCTCCTTCTCTTTCTTTCTTCTCTTCCTTCTCTTCTCTTTTCTCTTCTCTTCTCTTTCTCCTTCTCCTTCTTCTTCCTCTCTCTCTCTCTCTCTCTCTCTCTCTCTCTCTCTCTCTCTCTCTCTCTCTCTCTCCATGCTAGGTTCAAACAATAATACATTTGGCCTCTGTTGCATTGAGTAATGTCTCAAAATGTCAGGGCAACTCCCTCTACCAGGATGTGCCAGGAGACGAAAACCATGGCAGAGAGGTGGCTGGAAAGGTGAACAAAGACACTGCCCCCGGCCACATCTTCTGAGCTGTGGAAAGGCGAGCAAAAACATGCTGCAGAGCAGCCAGCTTTCCCCGGTCACTGCATGTTTTAAAGAGGTGACAGACGAGGTCTCTATCTCCACCCTCCCCTTGGCTTCTTCGAACATTCAGAGGCGGTCTCTGAACCAGTGAGTTTGTTCCTGAGCCCCATTCCTATTTAAACAGATTTATAAAAATCCATTCGCAGCTGGGCTTGGTGGAACGTGCCTGTAATCTCAGCTACTTGGGAGGCTGAGGTGGGAGGATTACTTGAGCCCAGGAGTCTGAGGTTGTAGTGAGCTCAGTTGTGCCACTGCACTCCAGCCTGGGCAACAGAGCAAGACCCTGTCTCTAAAAAATGACACATAAATAAAAGTAAAAATAATAATCCCTTCCCTAAGGTTAGCTCTCCAAGAAGATATGTATCTGCTAGTGTGTTTCAGCCTCAGTGCTCTTGACCTTGGGCGCTCAGAGTCATGAGTGTTTTTATACCAGATGTAACCCTTTGGCTGGGTCAGAGGCACTGTGGTGGGGGGCAAAGAGGGCGTGTGGAGACAGTGTGCTGAAATATACACTCCCAAACCCCAAAACATGCCCAAGAAAAACAAGAACATTAACCACTGACCCAAAGCCTGGTGAAATTCTATCTCCTTGTCTCTCTCCACCAGTAAACATGAAAATGCTATCCCTGAAGGCTGGAGTAAATCTTCTGTGAGAGGAGAGAGGGAGAAAAAGAAAGGCTGGTTTGGAAAAGGAGTCCAGCAACTTCTCAATCACTAGAGAAATTTCCCCATAGTGATAAAGAAATGGTGACATTTTTCACAGCTGGGAAAAACAGTGGGCTTGCACTTTTCAGTATAAAACCATTAGATTTCAGAATGCCTTTTCGTGACTTTTTCTTTGGCTATTCCTGTCTCTTCATCCTCATCACCTATGGTTCTTCCCTCCTTCTCTCTACAACAGCTTCGCTGGCCATTCTGTTTCTCAAACCAGCCAAGCTCATTCCCATCCTGGACTTGAGTGCTTCCTTTGCTGTTCCTTTTGCTAAAATGTCCTTCCCCCAGATTATGGCAGGGTGCCACCTTCTCTTGTTAAGATCTTGCCTCAAGTGTCACCTTCTCTGAGGGGTTCTCCCTGACCACCTATCTAAGGTTTTCCCCAGCCACTCTCCATCATCTTCTTTCTTTTCTTCTTGGCAGTCACCGTTCTTTGATCTGATCTTATTTATTTATCTATGGATTTATTGTTTATTTCCCTCACCTTGTTGTACATTTCAAAATAATAGGTCTCATGTCTATCCTGTTTATTGCTGTATCTCCTGTGCCTAGAATGGTTGGCATTTGATGATTGGATGGATGGGTGTGTGGGTGGAAGGATGGATGGATGGATGGATGGATGGATGGATAGATGGATATGTGAATGGAGTATGGATGGGTTGATAGACAAATGGACAGACAAATGGATGAATGTATGTAATGAATAATATGGCCCAAGAACTATATCCAGCTTGGTCAGATCTTTTGCTCCATAGCCTACACAAAAGAAACCAACTCTGGACACTAGAGCTATAACTAAAGCCAAGGTGGTTAATCAGTTGAAGCTGTGAGAAGAGAAACATAATTTGGTTCCAGCTCTAAATGAACACCTGTTCTTCCTCAAAATAGTGTTTTCATTTTTAAAGTACTTTGAAGCTTAATAAATAGCCCATAACTCATTAACACTCAGAAAATTCCCAAGTAGCAGGCTAGAAGTTTTCTGATGATCTGGCTTTTAAGACATGAAGAAACTAAACCATGGGTTTGCAAAACAAGTTTGGAATGCCCTACTGGCTTAATTTCAGCCACTGGAATTGTCCTTGCTCCTGAATATAATGGACTGTTAAGGGTGACATTTTTTAATCATGTGTCTCCTTAACAGGTGTTTGCTTGTTTGTTTGTTTTAGAATAACCTCAACGTGGGAAGTGACACCACATCAGAAACCAGCTTTTCTCTCTCCAAAGAAGCACCAAGGGAGCATCTGGACCACCAGGCTGCACACCAACCCTTCCCCAGACCGCGATTCCGACAAGAGACGGGGCACCCTTCATTGCAAAGAGATTTCCCCAGATCCTTTCTCCTTGATCTACCAAACTTTCCAGATCTTTCCAAAGCTGATATCAATGGGCAGAATCCAAATATCCAGGTAATTCTTGGCACCTGGAAGATGGGAGATAACAAAACAGTCCATCTTTTGTTTTCTGATGATTCCAGTGGAAACTGCTGCCTTACCTCACTTTTCTTCTTAACCCCTTAATGATTCCTGCTTAAGATCATGTTATCTCCATAAGAACAGTGCTGCATTTCATTAAGTGACACCCTTGATTGTGAGATGCACAATTATTTTGTGAACCACTCAAAAGAAGAAAACACTACCAATTAAAGTATGACACACCAAGGATTACAAGATACATACTAATTTAAGAGACAGTGAAATATAAAAGCAAAACAAAACAAAATAGTCTGAAATATAAAAACAAAACAAAACAAAATTGATGAAATGTGGCCGTTATAGGAAAAGGCCAATCTGACCTGTGAATAGATTGGGCAAATGTTTTCAAATATGAGTTCAAAGCACTCAGGAAAGCTGTTTCTCTTAGTGCCCCTCTAAACTTGCCTTGGACACCAGAAATTCCTTCACAAAGAGACAAGCTTCCGTTACTCTAAAGTATACATGACTTACAAAACAATAAGAGGAAGGAAGTTGAGAACAGGAGTTCCTAGGAGAGAGATGACTATCTTCCACTAAGTTGGGATCTGATGAAGCAGTGGGAAATGGGAGGTTAGGGAAAGGGTGACTGGGGTTAAAAATAATAACTCTCACCTACACTGAAATAGCTCAGTATACTTTACAAAGCAAATGTTGATCGGATTTGACCCTCCCAACACCCTCATGAAGGAGACAAAGCCCGTGTCATTTTTCTAATACTATTGGTAATGCACCAGATACTCAGGAAGTTACTGTTTGGTTTACCCAAAGTCACATGGCAGTAAATAGTAGTTATAGGGCTCAAATCCAGGCTCTCAGACTCCCAACCCACATTCAGAGGCAAACTCCTAATTTTGAATGTTGTTTGTACCTTTCTCTGTTTCCTCCCAAAGATGGTCCCCATGATGGTTGAGAGAGGCTCATCCCCCGGGCAACCCAGCCCCTATCCAACTCTCGTCCTCATATGCCTGCTTCCATATTTTTTTTAAAGATGGCCTCACTCAGTCACCCAGGTTAGAATACAATGGCACGATCATAGCTTACTGCATGCAGCCCCTACCTCCCAGGCTCAAGCGATCCTCCCACCTCAGCCTCCCGAGTAGCTGGAACTTCAAGTGTGTGCCCCCACATCCAGCTCATTTTTTAATTTTTTGTAGAAACAGGGTTTTGCCATATCGCTCAGGCTGGGCTCAAACTCCTGGGCTCAAGCGATCCCCCTGCCTCAGCCTGCCAAAGTGCTGGGATTACAAGTATGAGCCACCACAGCCAGCCCATACTTGTAAGCTTTGCTTCCAATTCTTTCTATTTGTATAGGTGCACCTTTTCTGTACTTTTTCCTCTCTGGACCAAATGCCAATTTGCTTACATAGCAGAAAGTTCCTGAACTTGGACTCAGACCAATTGATCCTTCATTAACTGCCTCTCTCTCCACAGACTAACACCCTCTGCATGATACGGTTTTAGATCAGGTTTCGTTGACCTGAGTTGTTTTGCTCTTAACACCAGCATCATGGGAGCACGCAAATCTCACTGAGAACACTTGGAATACCAACCCCCGCTGTATATAAAATGCTGCATTAGGTTATAGGAAATTGAAAAATGTAAGACCTGTTCCCTCCAATAAATTAGATCTGTGTGAAGATCCCAGCTACCACATAAAACAGTGCTGGAGGGATCATGAAGACAGAGGAGGAAAAGCACTGTGTCCCAAGGGGGTGGATCTCAATAGGTGGAAAGAAGTCGGACAGGCTCTATTGATGGCACAGAGTGACAAATATTTTGGAGGTCACTCTTTGACAACCCATGCACAGAAATCACTACAAGCCCCAGTTAAAATTTCTGGTGAGTCTTGTATTGTTTTAATTGATAAATTGGAAAAACAGGCCTTTGGCTCCAATGGCCCCTCTCCAGGGACTGGCCACGTGGTGTGATAAAGAGCAATGGAACCCTTTGGAATAGGTGCAGATTGGCAAGGAAGGCACTGACTTCATACCGTTGCTCAACCTTGTTTCCTATCATGGCTCATCCATGTGTTTATAGATGTTCTGGTTCCAGAATCAGGCAGTTCTCATCCCAAGGGTGTTTAGGCCATGCCCAAAACAATCTGAAGCCTGCTGTGGCTAGCGCTTTTTCCCAGAGGTGGGAATGTCACTTGGGGCATAATGCTGAGGACTGAGCTATAATATCAGTGTAATTGATTTAAGAATTACTAACGCAAAGTCATAGGAAAATGCCTGGATGCGGGAGAACGGAAGGCTGCCGGGGACTGTTCCTTCATTGGAAAGTTATTGGCTGCTTTGTGCTTGAACCCAATTTCAGACAGAACTTCTTGGGATCCCCTTTCTGTCTTCTAGATAAATCCATCTGTCTGAAAATTCCCATTCCCTACCTAGACCTCACTTGGGTCTTTTTTATTTTATTTTATTTTATTTTATTTTATTTTATTTTGACAAGGTCTTTCTTTGTCACCTATGCTACGGTACAGTTGTGCAATCATGGCTTGTTGAGGCCTTGAACTCCTGGGCTCAAGTGATCCTCCTACCTCAGCCTCCTGAGTAGCTGGGACTACAGGTGTGAGCCACCATGCCTAGCTAATCTTTTTTATTTTTTGAAGAGACCAGGCCTCACTGTGTTGCCCAGGCTGGTCTCAAACTCCTGGCCTCAAGTAATTTTCCTGCCTCAGCCTCTCAAAATGCGGGGATTATAGACATGAGTCACTGCAACTGACCTGTCTTTTAAAAATATTACTTAAATATTAGGGAAAAGCTATAGCGTAAAGGCTGAAAGGCAGTTGGGACTCCCAGAGCTGGGAACCCCAGTTACCCTTTGTACAGCAAAGATCACCGTAACTCCCAAGAATAAAGGTTTACCATAGCTCCAGATGTGAATGTTATTGGCCAAATGGATTAAAAATTAATGCGGCTCCAGCCTAGCTACTGTCAAAGTCAACAAATCAAAAAGAGTAAGCCAACAATACATTTTTGCCTACTGCCCAGTCAAGTTATTCTATTTCTGCTCTATACAATCCCTATCGGTTAATTTTCTGTGAGCAATACAGAGGGGTGGAGGGTGGCCAGCATTTTATTGATCTGATGACGTTTTGGCCCTGAAGAAAATAAAATTGTGGTGCGTTTCTGGCCTTCTGTTTGTGGAAGACCACAAAATGTTAGTATTGGTCACTCAGAAAGATGTTCAAAGAAAGAATAAAACAACTGCTACCCCTGGGAGCCCCCGCCTTCTGTTGGCGTGTAATTGTGTGTGTGTGTGTGTGTAT
Organism: Homo sapiens; assembly: GCF_000001405.40. Taxonomy (NCBI): domain Eukaryota; kingdom Metazoa; phylum Chordata; class Mammalia; order Primates; family Hominidae; genus Homo; species Homo sapiens. Next base: position 13,274,081 of record NC_000020.11, read on the forward strand.
GTGTGCATGTGCATGCACACAAACACACCCACACACCACACAGCACTAGCTGCTGCAGCCCCATGCACCACTGCACTTGTGTAAACCAGTTCCCTGGTGGTCCTTTAAAACATGAGGTGCTTTCTACAAGGAGGTGATGGTTTCCGTGTTGGCAGCCCTCACCCCTTCCTCAGAGCACTGTTCTTTTGTTGAAATCCACTGGTTTGACACAGGGCCGATTCAGCCCAGCAGACAGCCCTGCTGGTCCCTGACGGTCCCTGCCGGCCCCGTCAAAGCATTCCCTCTCCCTGGGTAGCAGAGTGAAGTCAGGTGAGGGGCCCTTCAGTAGGTCAGCTTCCGCTGCCAGGGCTCCTGGCCTCATCTGCCCCTTCCCCTGGCAACCTGCCTTTGCCCCCATCTGGTTCTCCCTAGCTGGAGCCTGGGAGCTGAATGGGAACTTGATACCCGCCTTCCCCTCCGCACCTCCCCACCCCTTCAGGCTCTGGAAGTGTTTCCCACGCTCCAGGGCTAAGGAAACAGCCTGCACCTTTCCAAAGTGACATCGCTAAGCCCATGCAAGAGTCCACGTCCCGCCCCCTCTCCACTCCCCGCCCCCCCCGCGCCCGGCCCCCGGGCCTCTTGACTTTCAGGATAGGAAATCCTTCTAAAAGCCCCAACACCTGCTTCTGCAGAGCATTTTAACTCCCAGAAGTCAGGCAGCCTCGGTCCCAAGTGAATCAGACAATTCTATTTTAAGACTGGCTTCAAGCTGTGGAAGTGAGGAGGGGAAGAAAATGCGCAAAATAGAACAAAAATGGTCTCAGACTACTAAACTGAGTCTCCATATGAAATTTAAAACAATATAAGAGGTTGGGTTTTATCAAAAACAAAAATCATTCAGGAAAGAAAGTAAATCCCCCAGAACAAGTTAGACTTTGGTATCCTTGGCTGGGTTTTCAGTCTGCAGCTGATAGTCAGATATCAGAGACAAAAATCTCTGAAATAAATGCACTGTTAGGCTTACTACATTGGTTCATTACTACACTAGCTATTCACAACCAAAATATTCTCTTTTCTGGATCAAGTTGAGATTAGTATTCATTTCAACCCATATATTTATTTCTTTTCTCCCATTAAGACGGACTTAAAAATAGTCATGTAAAGGCCTTTTTTTCCTTGCACAGACATATTAACATGGCCACAGGCCTCTTGAGCGCCACAAGATACAATCAGATGAGTTGGCCAGGGTTACAGTTGTACGTGCTTCTACTTTTGATTTTGCCTCCTCCTTTTTCTCTAAAATACTTTTAGAGGAATGGCAGGTCTGGCTGGATAAGAATCAAGAAATTTCTCTGCCCAAGACATGGACCCATGCCCCTATAGAGACAAGCCTGTTCGGCTCAGATTCTCATGGGGTACTGCTGCCAATATATGGAGGCAGATTGGCTTGTGTTTGGGATCAGGCACCACCATTTAGTCAGCCAGACTTGACCTCCGTAGCCCCATGCGGGTTACTGGATGTCTTTGTGCCTCAGTTTCCTTGTCTATAAAATTGGAATGACAATACTACATATGAGCAGCTATGTAGTATAATACTATATATAAGTGTGATTATCTGTGAGGATTCAATGAGATCATCCATATGAAGTGCTTAGCACAGGGCCCAGTATAGGATAAGCTTCCTAGAACGGATAGATGCTCGTTGGTGATGATATTGGAGATGAAGATGACAAAGGAAATGTACAAAAAATTAATTGGGAATCAGAAGAACTGGTTCAGAGACCAACACTACATCTTCCTTGCTGTTTACCTCGGGACCTTGAATTCTCCAAGCCAGTTTCCGTCCCTGAAAATTGAGTCTAAGTTGTGTAGAAGGGACAGTAATGCCTAGATTGGCGTGCTGCAAGTCTCAAAGCAGTAACTACAGTTAGCTGGGGTTGCCACCCTTGTTCTTAGAGCATCAGCAGGTGTGAGAAGAGGGAATTAGATATCTTCCTAGTCCATTTTGTGTTCTTTCCATGGCAGTTATCGAGGAAGAAGGGGTAGAATAATCTGGATTTAAAACCCTTGTTGGAGACAGGTCCTTCAATGCTCTGTGCTCCTGAGGAAATCCTTTTCCTCTCTGGAAAATACCTGCCCACTCCCACCAGTTTCCACAGCTCACAAGGCTTAGAGGACCAACAAGCAAGAAGGCTTTCCTGAGTTTGAAGAGCATGGCCTCTGTATTCTCAGTGGCGTTGGTTTATTATCACCTAGACTGAGAATGGTGTGGGTTTCCCTATGGGAAGTGCATTTCCGAGCAAGAATCAAGAGTTTGCTTCTAGTCAATGTATTAATTTTCAAGAGAAGGAAAGCTGATCAAGGTGCATTGGAACTTTTCCTCGTTTCCTAAGACAGAATTATCGAAATGGGCACTTCTTTTGGACTCTCTTTCTTGGAGCTGGGGAGATTGTGCCAGAAATTGAACTTGAGGCTTTTGAAAGAGTTCCCTTTCTTTTATCATCATGACTTGAGTGTGAAAAAGTCCAGAAGAAAAAAATATACTAAGACACTTCAATTATGTGTGTTAAGGATGAGAAAGGACGGTAAGATCTAGAGACTTTGTCAGTTTGGAAATCTGTGCTCACTCCACACCTACAGTTCATCACATTGATCATTGTTCAAGACATCTTTATCAACGGATTCTTTGATGCTAAAAAGCATGTAAATAGAATGAGAGCAATAGGAAACATAAAACGAGCCCTCGCCATTGGAGAAGTCATTGATCACACTCATTAAGTCTTTTTAATTGGATGCCTATGAAACCTCAGGCTCAAGATTAGATTTCTTCTTTTGATATCAGCATGAGGTTTTCACTTTGTTAACTGTAGGGAAGGGTGCGGTGGATCCTAAGATTTGTTGTTTTGTGTTTTGTTTTTGTTTTAGTTCAGTTGAGGCAGTGGCTAGCAATTAAGGGGAAAAATAAACCTCTAAGTGTTGAGATTTAGTCATCGATATAGCTTTTGGAGTAAATTTGTATTTTGCTACTCATTGCCTGGCCAGGCAACAAGTCTATTTTGTTTGGATCTGAGCAGCAGTTTGGAGAAAAAAAAAATCATATTGACGGTAATAGCTTGAAACATGAAATTGTTTTTATTCCCAGCTTGGAGAAATTGCAGGGCACGTTTTGTTTAAGCAATCCCTTTGACTCCAGTCTGAATACAAATGGAATACCAAAAGTGTTGGGCACATTCCCTCTTATCTCCTACCCAGAGACTGATTTCATTACCATAATTGTGGGCTTGCCTGGCTCTTGGCAGCCTCTCCCCTCCAAGACCCTTAATAGCCTTGCAGACGATTGTTGCAGCTCAGTTCCCTCAGATGGGGCTGCAGAGAAGAAAGGTTATGTCTCCAAAGGCTCAGCATCGCCCTGTCACTGCCCAGCTTGGCTCGGCTCTACCCAGCTGTGTGCTCCTTCTCCACTTGTCTTTCTGAGCTTCTGTGTGGGTCCCTGTTACCATTACTCTCCCACGACCATTCATTCCAGCAAATAGCAATGATACAAGATGTATGATGTATTCCTTTTCTTTTCTTCCCCCCTACCCTTTTTTTTTTTTTTACTTTTGGGATTACTGAAAAGCTCCACAATTATTTACAAATATGCAAAGGGTGCCTACAAGACTGGAGTAAGGGTGGTGGCATGGGGTAAAGCTAGTAGTGCCCTTCTAGGTGTCCCGTGACAGAGGAGAAGGGTGCACTTGGCCTGCTGCAGCCTGAGTAGACTCTGGGGTTGAAAGTCACCCTCTTGACCATGTGTCCAGACTCCACAAAACCACAGCCCGGGCCCATTGGCTGGGCAACATCATTTGAAGTGAGCAGAATAATTCAAACCTCCCCATTCGTAACACAAAAGGAAGGGGTTATTTGTCTCAGGGATGGGCACGCCCTGGTGCAATTTGGCAGAGCATCTCAGCAACTCTATCAGATGTCAGGTTAGGGCAAAAGTGGAAATGCGTCTGCCCAGTACATCTTGGGTTGATTACTTGGAGTGCATGTTTCTGATTCATTTGCACATAACTCATCCAGGGGGTGTTGCAAGAGCTATGCGATGGCCAAAGGAACCCAATGCGTCTTTTATTATGTTTTTTAAACAAGTCTCTCTACGTTGATTGTCTCTTGGAACCAAGAAGCTTCATTCTTCCAGCCCCGTGACAGACTTCAAAATGAGACTTTCATAAATCTGAGAACAAGTTCTAGCTTTGGCTCCAGGACTATCTGCTCTGACCCTAAGGGTTAGTTGAGGAGTGTGAAGGCTAGGATGAGCCATGGGGTGAGTGAAAATTGTAGCTGGGAAAGCCTCGTCTTGAGGAGCTTGTACTTATGTCTCTATACACCCTGAAGCAACCAGCCCCCACCTGCACCTGTGGTCTTTTTGTTTCTTTGGTCTCATGAGGAGACAGTAGCTCTGTCACTTACTTTTTGAGAGACAGTGTGGCAAAGTTAGGGACAGCATGGGCTCTAGAACCAGACTCCCCATGTCTGCCACTTACTAGCCCTGTGACTTTAGGCAAGTTGTTGATGTCTCTGTGCACCAGTTTTCCTTGGTGGTAAAAGTTATCTGGCAATCATCTCAAAACTTAATAGTTTGAGACAATGACCACGGGATTGCTGTGGGTCAGGAATTTGACTGGGACTCAGCTGGGAGAGCTTGTCTCTGCTCCATGTGATGTTGGCTAGAGTGACCCAATTGAGGCTGGAAGATCCACGATGGCCCTACTCACATGACTGAGGCCTCAGAGCTAGACGTGGGCTGAGGGACCTTGGTTCTCCTCCATGCAGCCTCTCTCTTTACATGGTCTCTACACATGTAGTGGTCTAGGCTAAGCTTCCTTACATAGCGGTTAGAACATTCCAAGAGAATGAAAATGAAAGCTGTAAGGCCTCTGTTAATACCTGTCACCATTCCACTCCTACCCATTCTGCTGGACAGAGTGAATCACATGGCTAATGCAGATCTCCAGGGAGGAGAAATGGGCTCCACCTCTCTCAATGGGAGATGTGGCACACAAAAACACAGATGGGAGGTCTTTACAAGAGTTAAATAATACAGGTGGAGCATTTAGGATAGTGCCTGGTACAGAGTTTGTGTTCATAAATGTTATGTTTTATTATAATATGATTATTCTGGTATCACTTCAGGAACAAATATAGTACATGTTTACTTCCTGAGTGAAAGGCTTCTCAATACCACATGGAGGAGAGACAAACTCTCCAGGCTCAGCCCTACTCAAATTCCTAACCCACAGCAATCCAACAGTCATTGTTTCCAGCTATTAAGTTTTTAGTCATCAGTAAATCAGGGACTCTAGTGATGAATTTTCCCCTCCCAACCCAAAGCCATGTTCCATCTAGCCGTGGAATTCTTGTGGACCATCCCTGGAGGTTTTCCATTGTGTATCGCCATGCAATCTCAGCTTTCCTTCACAACGGATGCATCCATCATTTCCCTCTGCCCTCTCAGACTTTCTTCCAAGGGTCATGTAGCTTGGAGGCTGTTGACTCCACACTGACCCCAGCCTGTTCTGAATTCTTCAGGTCACCATAGAGGTGGTCGACGGTCCTGACTCTGAAGCAGATAAAGATCAGCATCCGGAGAATAAGCCCAGCTGGTCAGTCCCATCCCCCGACTGGCGGGCCTGGTGGCAGAGGTCCCTGTCCTTGGCCAGGGCAAACAGCGGGGACCAGGACTACAAGTACGACAGTACCTCAGACGACAGCAACTTCCTCAACCCCCCCAGGGGGTGGGACCATACAGCCCCAGGCCACCGGACTTTTGAAACCAAAGATCAGCCAGAATATGGTGAGTTTACCACCTAGTAATATAAAATTGGTGGGAAGAATAAACGAGGATGATGCCTTGGACATGGAGCCAAGCAAAACCCTGCTTAGAGCATGTGGCTTTTGGTCTTCTGTGAGGCAAACCTCACAAAGGCTGTCTTCCGCAGAAGCCCAAAGGAGGCACCAGCAGCCACATTTTTCTGGAAAGACTATAATTTTAAATCAAATCATAATCACTATACCAATTATCCGAAGAGATAATTTTTTTAGGATCTTTGGGGTTCTTTCTGCCTCCCCCGCCCCTCAAATTTCAGTTTTATTTCTAAAAATGAAGAAATTCTCCAATTAACTTCCTTGTATTTTTTACTGTAAAAATTCATCCTGAAAATCAGTGTAGTAAAAGAGATACGTACGGCTGCTTCCTTTGACCAGGCAACTGTGTTATGTTTGATACTGGCAGTGGAGTGGTCCTTGGGAACCCACATGAACGTGTGTGTCTCAGGTCTTCAAAGTAACCCCCCCCCCCCAATACATTTCAAAACTCCAAGTTGAGAGATCTGGTTTCCTGTGTTTTGGGAGTAGGATAAGTGAGGTAACACCTTCCAAATTCAGTGAGTTAAAATAATAAAAGTTCATTTCTCACTTGAGTTGGGTAGGAGAACTCAGCTCCACTCAGTCATTCAGGGATCCAGCCTCCTCCCATTTTGGAGTTCCACCAACTGTTAGGGCCTGAGAGTTATCCCCTGGATATTCTGTGTCCAGCTGGTGTCCAGGGAAAGAAAGGGAGCCTGGAGAAGGAACACACACTCGTAAGGCCCTCAGCCTGGAGGTGACACACATCAGATCTACTGAAATTCTGTTGGGAAGACCTGGTCACATGGCCCCACCTTGGTGCAAGGGAGGCTGGGAAATGTATTCTCTGTGTGTCCAAGAAAAAGAGGAACCCAATTTGGCAAGCATCTGGCCAGATTTTGTGGGGAATCAGGCAGTTTGTTATAAGGATATTTAATGTCTTACAAATGCACCCATCGTCATGATTTTCTTGTGGCTTCACCATCAGTGGACTTTGGAATGAGCAGTATATGAAGGGGATGACTTGTCTTACACCATTTGCATGCTAACCTTAATCCCCATTTTTCAACAGATAGACCAATTGTATATTAGACAGTCATTTCTTCTCATTAATAGAGAATTCTAAGCAACTTGCAAAAGAACAAGACAAAAATATTTTTTTGCCACATCATCAGTTGTTCAACCAACATTTATTAAGAGCAAATGCTGTGTCCAGCACTATGCTGGGTACAAAAATGAGCAAGGCATAGTCTGTCCCCAGAACAGATCTCACCAATCTGTGGACCAAGGGAGAAAATTAACCAACAGAGCAAAATAGTGCCATGGTAGAGATGTACATCAAATGCCAGGGGAACTGAAAGAGAACTCTAGAAGGGATGTCTCTTCTAGCCAGCAGGCTCATGAAACCTTCACCTTTCCCAAAGGAAGTCAAGTTATCTGCTTTCCAAGAGGAAAGACGGGATAATAGCCAACATTTAAATAGTACTTACCATGCACTAGTCCCTGTTCATGGCGTTTCACATATACTATTTCATTAAATCAGCTCTCTGAAGCAGATACTGCACTTTACAGATGGGAAAACTAAAGCCTGGAAAACTTAAGCAATTTAACCTGGAGGGCTAAGACCTGAGATTCACCCCAGGCAGTCTGGGTCCAGAATCTGTCCTCTTGACCACTATACAATTCTGCCTTTCTGGGGAAAAAAGTAGCACACCACTTAGGACAGTAGAAGGATCTAGAAATGAGTGCTTAGGTTGGAAGATAGGAATGGGAGGAAAAGATCAGCGCCACTGAGTGAGAGAAGCACAGAGGACCGCTTGATGCCAGCCTGAGATTGCACAGCGTTTGTGGCTTCACCTGTTTGCCCAGCCCACACAGAACGTTGTTTCTATGAGTAGAGCTCAGACACCTGGCATCAGAATCATTCAGTTGCATGTTTAAAAATGCCAATTCTGGGCTGCAGCCCCTTCCTTATGTACCAGTAGTCCTCAAAGTGTGGCCCCCAGAACCAGCACCACTAGCATCACGTGGAAATGCAAATGTTTCAAGCCTGACTCCAGACCTACTGAGTCAGAAACTCTGGAGTGGGACCCAGAAATCCGTTTGAACAAGCCCTCCAGGCACTCTGCTGCATTGCGCACCTCTGTTTGAGATGAATGGTTCTCCACCTTGATTGCTCATTATACTCACCTGGGGAATTTTTTTTTCAATCCCGATGCCTAGACTTCTCCCCAGACCAGTTGAATTGGGATCTCTGAATATGGGTCCCAGGCATCGTTGTCTTTTAAAGCTCCGAGGATGACTTCATTGTTCAGCCCGGGTTGAAGGCCACTGCTCTCCATCTCCTGAATGAGAAGGTCTAGAAGTGAGACCTGGAGTCTGTTGTTTGCATCTTTGTTTCTTTCCTTTTTCAATCAAGGTCACCAGATGATTCTCTTGCACACTGAAGTTTGAAGACCACCACTAGAAACAACTTTTTCATCTAAAGCCTTTACAGAGTACAGTTTGCTGAATTTATGAGCATTAAGAACACCCCCTCTATTTCCATCTTGAGGCTAGAATTTGCCCTGGGGCAGTTACTGTGGCTACCTCAGCCACCCTCACCCCCAGCCTCCTAGACCTAGAGTACCATTGAGCTCCTCACATCAGGAGCTCGTAGCATGCCTGGGCCATGGAGAAGCTCCATCCTGTATTATTTCAAAGTACCTCCTAGTATCTTCCCCATCATTAGACTGGACATCGGGATTGCTACTTTATAAATAAAGTCGTGTTCTGTGCAGTACCTCTAAAGCAGTGCTTCTCAGACTTTCATGTGCACATGAATAGCCCCGGGCCTTGTTAAAATGCACCTTCGATGCAATAGGTATAAGAAAAGGGCAGAAGCCTGGGCGAAGCTGAGACTGCTAGCCCTCCGACCACACTTTGAGTAGCAAAACTCTACGCCCATTGTAGGTGCTCAGTAGCATTTGGCAGAATGAATGAATGAGTGATCATTGCTTCCCAGGATAGCCCACATTCTGGAATTCATCTTTTCCGGAATTCCATACAGCATCAGATAAACTGAGAATTCCCCTTTTCTTTCTGTTTTTTTATTTATTTAATTTTTTTAAGACATGGAGTCTTGCCCTGTTGCCCAGGCTGGAGTGCAGTGGTGCGATCATAGCTCACTGAAGCCTCCAACTCCTGGGCTCAAGCAGTCCTCCCACCTCAGCCTCCAAAAGTGCTGGGATTTTAATCCCACAGACCCACTTTTATTGCAGTCAACAGGAAACTTCAAGCAATTTCTAAGTATTTATCCCTATATTGTGTGCTGTTGTGGAGGAAACAGAAAGAGAACATTTCACCCAGGAAGGAGAGGTTCATGCAATAGCAAAGCAGTGCAAGTCACTGTATCTCGGGGCGTGCAGCCTCGTCTGAGACAGGCTAAAATTGCCACAGGAGCTAGCCTTTGTGGAGGAGGTAGATCTCAGAGTTTTGAAGGTAGAATTTTTAGTAAGAATTTATATATTTGTCCGCAAGGATTATTTCTAAAAATCCTAGGTGAAATACATGTAGGATACAATGGCATCTGTAGAATGAATTACAAAATACACAACAGAAGACAGACCCCACTTGTGATGATGAAAACACAGATGAGATGATGCTGTGAGTCAGCTCAACTGTGGAAAGTATGTGTTTGAGATGCTGCATTTTAAATCTCTTCTGTGTAGATACTTGGGGTATCCAGGGCAAAGGGAGAGTTCCAAATAAATATGTTTTGGTCTAACAGTAGTATACCATTTCCAGAATTGTTTAGAATAGCCCACATAATGAAATTACATAGGTACTGCTTATTGTTACTTGGGTTAGGACCCAGTTGAAATTCTCTAACTGGTCATAACCCTATTTTAATAGATTTCACAGTGATTTTTTTTCAGTGGTTTTCCTTTATAATGTTTAATTATGGCCACGTAAGAGCGTATCTTAAAGCCAGAGCAACGTGGGCCAGAATCAAAACTGCTAGAATACCAAGCTATGGAACAGGATACGGTGGGAGCAGACAGATCTTAGATCTAATTCCAGCTCAGCCAAGCTTCACCTGTGTGACCTTAGGCAAGTACCTTAACCTCTCTGAGCCTCAGTCTCCCTGCCCATAAAAAGAGGATGTTTCCACCTACCTCACAGGGTTGTTGTAGGAGTTAAATCAGTAGATCGACAGGGCAGCTGGTTAAAGCAAGCCCTCAGTAATCGGTAGACACTGTCATCTAGGATTAGTGGTGCAGGTTTACTAGTGGCCAAGTCAAGACCCAAGTCACTTCAGTTGCCCCACCACTATGACTGGCCCACAGGACGCTAGTGCCCTGAAACTAAGAAAGGACTACTTTAAAACTCCAGCGGCATCCTTGAAACCCAGCTCTCAGCCCACTGCACTCGGGATAGTTTTATTTCCTCCTTGAGTTATTTGATGTCACAGCCAGGGGCTGTCAAAGCACCATATAGATGCTCCCAGGAACTGTTTTTTCCTGCCGTTGTCATTATCTTTGTGATTATAGCTGCTCACATTCATTTTCTGCTCTGGGCAGTGGCCCCTGGTAGGTGAGCAACTGAGAACAGGCTTGTTTTATTATAGCAGAAAGGAGCACTGCCCTCAATGATTTGTCCCTGTCAGAAATGCCCGTTCTGTTCTTTGAAGACATTAAACAAATAGAAATCCCCAAGAGGAGGGTCTTTGCCGGGACATTGATGGGGGCCCGTGTGCTGTGAAAGCTTCAGGGGAGTGAGCTCACATACATACTTCTTCCTAGGAGGCAGTTTCACTTCACTGTCAGCCTCAATAGAAATAATTAGCCACATGGCGAGTTCTATGCCTAACTTTGGGGGACCCATATGAAAAAAATGTTTGGAAATAAAATGGCTTTGTGAGCATTTAAAATAAAGATGTGGAGAAAGCCACTTACTGCAATAATAAATCCTTGATGGCTTCAGAGTCTGGCAGCTGTCTAGAGAGTATATTTTAGGGAGGATTTTATGGGGTATTTGTAATAGTTAGCTTTTGCTGCTTAGAAAACCACCCCCAGGCCAGGCATGGTGACGTATGTCTGTAATCCCAGCACTTTGGGAGGCCAAGGCAGGAGGATTGCCTGAAGCCAGGATTTCAAGGCTAGCCTGGGCAACATAGTGAAACCTCATCTCTATAAAATTTTTTTGAAAACTTTGGCCAGGCATGTTGGCACATGCCTGTAGTCCCAGCTACTCAGGAGGCTGAGGCAAGAGGATTGCTTGAGCCCAGGAATTCAGGGCTGCAATGAGCCATGATGGTGCCACTGCACTCCAGCCTAGGTGACAGAGTGAAACCTCGAAACAGCTTAAAAAATAAAAAAGAAAGGAAAAAAAAAGCCAACCGCAAAATTAAAGGAATGAAAGAGTTCTCTCCCTCACAAGTCCGTGGGTTGTCTGGACTCTTCTGGTCTGGTCTGGACTGGCTTGGCTGGGGCTGGATGGTTTAGGCTGGCCTCACTCACAATGAGGGGTGCCCAGCTGTGTAGATGCTGTATTGAGATGGCTGGGGCCTCTCTCCACTGGTCCCTCCCCCTCCAGGAGGCTAGCCTAGGCACTTCACGCTTGGGGGAAGAGTTCCCTGCAGCAAGACGGAATGCACGGGCACTTTGTATACCTCAGCTGGCATCCTATTTGCTATTATCCCATTGGCCAAAGCAAGTCATGTGGCCCATCCTGGAATCAGCCCGAGAGGGGAGTAGCCAAGGGCGTGGATTTGGAAAGAGGAATTATGGGCATGATTTTTCACATAATCGGACACAATATTAACATTTAATAATTTAGATCCAAGAAACTATAACAAGAAAGTGCCTCATGCAGGGATTCCAACACAAGAGAGTTTAATGCTAAAATACATAGTTTAATGCTAAAATCTCAAAGTTCAGGGGTGATGTCTCTCCAAATTTGCTCTCTACATTGCGATAATGGAGAGGCCAGGCTGCATGAGATTTCTGGATAGTGGAGGTCCCTTTGCTTTTGCAAAGCCAAGAACACCATTTGGCATCATTGGGTTATGTCTTATGCTGGTACCCACCCCACAGGTGATGCAAACTCTACCTAGGGGATTTAATAAGATTTCTTCTGACTTACTCATTCCCCCTTTTTATGAGTATAAAAACATTATAATCTTTACTTTTGACCTTTTTTTAGCTGTTATTCCCTTTAACAAAATCTGGCCTCGGTGGTGTGTGCAGGATGTGACTGGGTGAGTGCTCATGTGCGTATGACCCGCTGCACCTGGATGCTTCTCTGACAAGTGTGCAATTGTGTGCTTGTTCCAGGCACCTCTCTGGTGCCCTTGGGGAGGTGACTGAGAGACACCAGACTGCAAAGTTCTCGGTGGGAGCAGCGACTGCTCCTACCTGAGTGGTTTCTCCATCCAGAAGCAACTTGTTTCTCCAGTCCTACTGTGTGATACCCAATAAGAGATGGTAGAGAGGAAAGAAGCTAATGCCAGGGAAGGCAGCCGAATTTCCTGACACAGAGCATTAGTTTCAAGCATCTGCTTAGCTGAGTGGTTGGAAAACCATTTCTTAGGAGAAAAATCAAAGTTCAGAAAAATTCTTTTTGGGGGATTGGGAGGAAAATAGATGGGGCCTCGGGGGGCAGATAAGATGGGAGCAAGCTCTCCACTCAGAGTTAGGGAGGAGGACACAACCATGAAATCCACCCCCCACCACCCCGCTCCTCCAATTCCACTTAGTGGACTGAGGAGGCTCCACAGCCCTGTGTTTGCCTGAGGCATGTTCAGAGTGAATGCCATGTAAACAACAGCCTGGAAGGCTGGCACGGGCCCACATTTCAGGTAGAAACATGTGTGGACTACATTCCTGCTGGGCCTATGTAATAACAATCGCCACGACCTGTTATGAACAGAGGGTACTCCCTCCCGGCAAGGGGCATGCCTTTAGCTCCACGCTTGGCAGCAGCAGAGGGCCCAAGGCCATAGGAAGATCTGGGTAAACCAGGAGAAACTGTCACAGAGCAGAGGTACTGCAGAAAGAATCACGCTTTAGAGAGAAAGGGCGTGGTACCAGAGCCCTGCTTTCCTTTCTGTTAACCCAGTGACCTTGAACCAGGCATCCTACCACTCCAAGACTTTACTTTTGATAAGAGGAACTCAGTTTGATAGGTGTATTAGTCTATTCTCATACTGCTCATGAAGACATACCCGAGACTGGGTAATTTATAAAGGAAAGAGATTTAATGGACTCACAGTTCCACATGGCTGGGGAGGCCTCACAATCATGGTGGAAGGCAAAGGAAGAGCAAAGGGACATCTTACATGGTGTCAGGCCAGGGAGAGTTTGTGCAGGGGAACTCCCATTTATAAAACCATCAGATCTCGTGAGACTTATTCACTGCCACGAAAACAACATGGGGAAACTGCCCCCATGATTCAGTTATCTCCAGCTGGCCCCACTCTTGACACATAGGAATTATTACAATTCAAGGTAAGATGTGGGTGGGGAGACAGAGCCAAACCATATCAATAGGGTACCACCCTCTCCCACACCTCTCACCTCCAAGCCCCCCTATTTCCTGGCCTACTTTTCCTTTTTGCACACCACTCATCAATTTCTAACATGCCATCTAATTCACTTGTTTTTTGTGTTTATTGATGATTGTTTCTCTTTTCTCACTAAAATATTAGTTCCTCCAAGGCAAGGATCTTTGAAAGTTGTACTTAATAGTGTATCTCATGTACCAAGAATTGTGCCTGACATACAAAAAGGGTTCAATAGGTATTCACTGGATGGATGTTGAATAATGACCTTGAGGGATCATCTCTAGCTTCACCATTAATGTATCGGTAATCTATTGCTACACGTAACAAAATATCCCAAAGTTGGTGGCTTAAAACAACAACCGTTTATTATTTCTCATGATCCTGTGGCTCAGGAGTTCAGGCAGGGCCACTGGGTAGGTACTCTGCTCCTGATGGCAACAGCTGCATTCAGCTGTCCACTGGGAATGGCTAGAAGGCTTGAGAAGGCTTTGCTCACATGTCTGGTGTCTGTAGTCCATGTGGCTCCTCTCTGTCCATGTGATGTCCCATAATTCACAGGTCTAGCATGGACATCTTTCACAGTAACTGGATTCCCCAAAGCAAAAGTCAGAAGCTGCCAGGCCTTAAGGTCAAGGCCAGCCCAGATTCTAGAGAAAATAGATTCTCCTCTCTCTCTCTTTCTCTCTGTATGTCAATGAGAGGCTATAAGCACAGAGAGGGAAGGAACTGAGGGTGGTTACCTTTGGAAACTGCCTAGCATATTACCCCATGCTGTGCAAATGTATGCATTCTCAGTAAGTGTTTTCTGGGCACCTTCTAGGGATGTACAGACCACCACAGTGCCCAAAACCTCCTTGCTGTCACAAAGCTGATCCCTAAATGAGCCCTGGAGCTGTAAACCTTTTAGCTCCAGCTGAAAAGTCCTCTCCAGCAATCCCCTCCCACAGCGAGAAGGATAGAAGTGAATAATTGACAGGCTGCTTGATGGGGAGATTGGGAGACTCTTTGGCCAAAGTTGATGACCATCTCCCTGGCTGTCTTCCAGATTCCACAGATGGCGAGGGTGACTGGAGTCTCTGGTCTGTCTGCAGCGTCACCTGCGGGAACGGCAACCAGAAACGGACCCGGTCTTGTGGCTACGCGTGCACTGCAACAGAATCGAGGACCTGTGACCGTCCAAACTGCCCAGGTGCGTTTACCTGAGTGTGTAGCTCCAAGTTCAAGGGGAAAGCTTTTTAATTTATCATTAAAAACTTAGTGACATTGTCTTTTTAAAAGATGCACTACTTTTCTTTTCTTTTTTTTTTTGAGACGGAGTCTCTCCCTGTCGCCCAGGCTGGAGTGCAGTGGCACAATCTCAGCTCACTGCAATCTCCACCTCCTGGGTTCAAGCAATTCTCCTGCCTCAGCCTCCTGAGTAGCTGGGATTACAGGCACATGCCACCATGCCTGGCTAATTTTTGTAGTTTTTTAAGTAGAGAAGGGGTTTCACCATGTTGGCCAGGTTGGTCTCAAATTCCTGACCTTGTGATCCGCCCGCCTCAGCCTCCCAAGGTGCTGGGATTACAGGCATGAGGCAAGATGTAACTACTTTTCTAATAAGACTTCTGACCAGAGTGAGTCAGGAGATAATTGATGAGCTGAATGGATTTTCTGAGTCTTATGCACAATTGCAGTGGCCGTGACCTAAAAGACAATGTCGCATTGTACTTATTTAATTTAGAGGAGGGACTCTGGTTAGATTGGGTTTTTGATGTGGGATTTGTTGTCCCTTGAAGAGAAACAGAAGGCAGACACTCATGGTCTGATGAGGAAGCCAGGATGAGAGGCTTGACAACCATCTGCAGGAAAAAGACAGCCCCACCGGTAATACCAGAGAGTTGCCAAAGGCTCCCAGGAGCGCAACCTGGGGCGTCTTGGTAGTTAACTGTCACTTTATACTGCATTGTCAGTGCTTCAAAAACTAAACTAATTGCACACTTGGTGAGAGGTCATGTTGAGAGTCAACAATAATTGTGATTGACTATAGCAGTGGTTGTCAAACTATGGCCAGGTCTGGCTCGAGACCTGTTTTTGTGTGTCCCATACATTTTTAAACTGTTGTGAAGAGAAGAAGAAAGAGAAGGAGGAGGAAGAAGAGAAGGGGAAGGGCATGGAGGAAGAGAAGGAGGAGGAGGAGGGGGAGGAGGAGGAAGAGGAGGAGGAAGCTGCAACCAAGACCATATGTGACCCACAAAACCTAAAATATGTACCCTCTGACCCTTTAAAAAAGGCTTAGTAACTCCTGGTGTATAGTCTTACTGTGTATTTCCCATTGCCAGGTAGAATACCAGCCTAAAATAATATCTTAGAGCCTTTCAAGAAACCACACATTCCAAATGGCTTTGGCTGAAAAAAATTTCAGAGACAGAAAATCTGATCCTTACACCCCAGACTTCCTTTTTCTACCTTAGACACTCAGTTCTCCAACCAGAGACATTTGGAACAAAGGAGAAATGAAAGCACAAAGGCGTTTCTGAGGAGAGGGAGGAAGAATCAGATTGGAATGAATGTGTATGTTAGCAAAAGGGGACACGTAGAAAACAGGGCTGAAATGCAAGAAGTGGCGGTTCTGGCTCCATGTCAGCCATGCAGATGGATTTCAAAACAGTGGAGCAACCATTACGGTGCTTTTCCTGACTTTCCCATGCTCATTAGGATGAGCTGAGTTGGAAGCCTGGTGGGTGGAATCTGGATGTGTAGAAATAAGCAATAAATAATAACAATATGAGGAGGAGGAAGAGGGAAACAGGAAGGAAATGAAAAAGAGAAGAATATGAAGTAAACGAAAATAATGATGAAGGTAAAAAGATGAGGCAAAAGAAAATGAAGATTGCCTGGTGCGGTGGCTCATGCCTGTAATCCCAGCACTTTGGGAGGCCGAGGCGGGCAGATCACAAGGTCAGGAGATCGAGACCATCCTGGCTAACACGGTGAAATGCCGTCTCTACTAAAAATACAAAATATTAGTCGGGCATGGTGGCGGGCGCCTGTAGTCCCAGCTACTCGGGAGGCTGAGGCAGGAGAATGGCAGGAACCCGGGAGGCGGAGCTTGCAGTGAGCCAAGTGAGCCGAGATCGGGCCACTGCACTCCAGCCCGGGCGACAGAGCAAGACTCCGTCTCAAAACAAAAAAAGAAAGAAAGAAAATGAAGATAAAGGTGAAGAAGAAAAAATAAAATAGATGATGATGAAGAAGATTTTTTGAGTACTTAAGTGTCAAGCAAATGGCTAAAGTCCTTACAGGTATTATTTTGTTTAATGTTCACAATAACTTTATGAAATAGGTATTTATGATTGTACTCATTCGACAGCTATAGTAACTGAGGCATAGAGGATTAACTTGCCTAGAGTCACACAGAAAGCAAGTGATCAACCTGGAATTTGAATCCGGACAGTCTGATTACAGAGTTCATATTCTTAATCATTAAACTCTTTGGTCTTTACCAAGAGAAGGGTATTGGAATCAGCCACACAGGGACACAGATAGCATTTGAAGTCAAGGTTTGGGGGCTTTCCTGTTGTTTTCTCTTCCAGAGCTCACATCCAGACTCAAGGTGGTAGATTTAAGTGCCTTGTCAGGGGAAGGCTCCCCTCTGCCTCCATTTACAAATGTTTCCTTCTTGTTTTCTGTCACCGCGGAGAGCAGTGTGGCCAGGAGCCCTCTTCATACCTTTTCTTCTCGTGTGTCCTCACCCTCCTTGCATCCTTTCTGCCTCTCAGTTCCTGGCTATTGCAGCTTTTCTGGGCTCCCTTGTAACATGAAGGATTTCGTTTTTAAGGATCTCTTTACTTGTTTGATTCGTTGATTCCCAGCTTTCCTGGAAAGACTCATGGGGCAAAGTCTCCCTGGCCTGGCAGTTATTACACTGTAAAAGTTTGTCCTGTAGGTCAACCCTGCAAATAAGTTTGAGGTGCCTCACATAAAATCAGAGAGAGCCCCTTAAAGGAAATCAAGTCAGGGAAACCAGCAGGGAAGGCCAAGGCTCACCAGCAAATGTTACCACAGTGCCTCACTCCCTCCTCCTCTTATTGCTTTAGCTTGCACCGGATTCCTGATTGTAAAGGAAGCTTGGTTAGGGGTGGTAGTTTGGGTGAGCCAGTAAGTTTGAGTAGAGCTGGGTTCAGTTCCTCAGAGCAAATTATGAGAAGCCCAACTTTTTCTTTCTGAAGCATCACCAACAATGCTAAGTGTCCTAGAATATGAGATAACTCTTCTTGGCTATGCATTGTAGCATCCTCAGTGAGCTAGACAAAGAATGAGCTAGACAAATATTCAAGGGAAAACTACCACCTAACACTTCCCACTTGCTGCTCTAAGTACTTTCTTTACACCAACTCATTTCATTATTTCAACTCTAGGAGGTAGGGCAATTTGTTCTTCCCATTTACAGATGTAAAAACTGAGGCACACAAAAGTTCACTGGCTACCCCAAGGTCACGTGGCTAGTAATGATTTCAACGCACACAGTCAGTCATTAAGAACAAGATATTAAACACTACGTTCTACTGCCTCTGGTTTAGTTTGTCACCCTGACACCATCCTGACATGTGTCCCCCACTGCCCAAAACCCCATCCCTGGGCTCAGTGAGTGAGTTCCTAGGACTTATTCAGGCACATTTGGATCTGATTTCACGTTGCCAATGTATCTGGGGTTTTAATATAGTTTCTGCACTACGACCTGCTTTTTACTGTTTCCTCTGTTGGCAAGTTTCTGCCCGTGAGTAGTAATGAATACAAAAAAGGCTTTGTTCAGGTGTATTTATTTTTTTATTGTTGGGGTGGGGGAGATAACTTTTTCCATGTAATGATGGAAAAATGAGCTCTTGTCTGTGTTTAGGAATTGAAGACACTTTTAGGACAGCTGCCACCGAAGTGAGTCTGCTTGCGGGAAGCGAGGAGTTTAATGCCACCAAACTGTTTGAAGTTGGTAAGATTTTTTTCTTTTTTAATCCAAATATTGACTTAGTGCCTCGGAGATTCCTTTTGCTTTTGCAATGCCATCCTTGGATCCACGTAAATGTTTCATTTTCCTTTTCTGGGGTCCAGTGCTCCCAGCATGTGTCTTGCTTGCTGAATATACTTCAAGCAAGAGAAAACAGTCCTAAGCCTCCTCCACCGGACCGAGCGCTTCTGTGTTCACTCTGCTCTCTATGCAGCCTTCACAGCCAGAGGCAGATGGGGACCTGTCTCTCAGCACAGAATAAGCCCATAGCAGGGGCTCAAGTCACATGGAATCTGTTCTTACTCAGCCTTCATTGAGCGTCCTCAAGAAAATCAAGAAATGGTGCCCTCAGTTCTCCAGCAGAGGGAGGGAGGGAAAGAGGAGATTTTCTCAAAATATTGCACCTCCATCCCCTGCAAAAATTTTTTATACACCGGGCCAGGCGCGGTGGGTCATGCCTATAATCCTAGCACTTTGGGAGGCTGAGGCGGGCAGATCACGAGGTCAGGAGATCAAGACCATCCTGACTAACATGGTGAAACCCCCCCGTCTCTACTAAAAATACAAAAAAATTAGCTGGGCATGGTGGCAGGCGCCTGTAGTCCCAGCTACTCGGGAGGCTGAGGCAGGAGAATGGTGTGAACCCAGGAGGCGGAGGTTGCAGTGAGCTGAGATCGCGCCACTGCACTCCAGCACTCCAGCCTGGGTGACAGAGCGAGACTCCGTCTCAAAAAAAAAAAAAAAAAAGAATTCTTCATAAACCTTTGGTACAGTTTGCTACTTGTCCACTAGAAAATGGTAGAGCAAATGCAATAAATGTAAACCAAACAAAATGGAAAGTGACTCTTCAGGTGCAAGGTGCAAGCTTACTTTTTTGAAATAGCTTTATGTGCTTCTCTATATACTTAAGGATTGTAGAAGGGTAAAATTCCTTCTGTCCCATATCTTTTAGCTACCCAAAAGTTCTTACTTAGCCTCTTCACCTCTGCCCTGCCTCCTCAGTCAAAATTTAGCAGTCCTGAGTCTTTTTTTTTTTCATAGCCCTGCAATTTGGGAGCTAATTTGGTGAACAAAAATGTTCCTCAAATGCCTATTGGGGTCAGGTAATGGGGTCAGGTAAGCATCTCAGTAGAACAAGTCTCGAATAAAAGGAAAGACAAATAAGAAAGTCTGGAGGAAAATAATGGTCCAGCACTGTGATGAAAAGAAAATGGTCTGGGCACAGTGACTCACATCTGTAATCCCAGCACTTTGGGAGGCTGAGGCGGGTGGATCACCTGAGGCCAGGAGTTTGAGACCAGCCTGGCCAACATGGGGAAACCCCATCTCTACTGAAAATACAAAAATTAGCTGGGCTTGGTGGCAGGCGCCTGTAATCCCAGCTACTCTGGAGGCTGAGGCAGGAGAATCACTGGAACCCAGGAGGTGGAGGTTGCAGTGAGTCGAGATCACACCATTGCACTCCAGCTTGGGCAACAAGAGTGAAACTCCATCTCAAAAAAAAAAGAAAGAAAAAGAAAAAAAAGAAAAGAAACAGCTACAGTGTCGGGGGCAGTAGAGAATGGTAGGGTCTGTGACAAAATGAAAAGCTTTATCCAAAGGGTCGGCCATGATGTGGCCGCCATGGAATGAATACCCACCCAGTATTGCCAGATGTTCTGGGTTTCTAAGAGAGGCCTGAAATCTTGATTTTGCCAGATTATATCTTAATTTTTTAAATGCTTGATAGAAATTTATTTTAAAAACAAATCCAATCAGAAATGTCTATGAGCCAAATTGGATGCAGTTTGGAAATTCAGTGTCGCTAGGGCCTCTACCTCATCCCTCCAATCCCTTCACACACATATGATCAAATTGCATTTAACAGGAACCGTCTGCAAATACAATGCATTTGACTGAAAAATAGAAATGACTTTAAAGGCAAGACTTTGACATAAAGTGGTAGAACCTTAAAGGCATTCTTCTGAGACAGAAAGTTTCTCAGGACTCTTCATATCACACCCCACAGGCAGGCAGCATCTAGCTGCTTTGCAGAACACAGCCCAGATGCACAAAGCCACATTGGCATGTGGCTAAGGACACCAGAGCTGAGTAGACATGGTGTCTCAGTCAGGGTCCAGGCAGGAAAGAACATGGCACACTCAAGTTAGGTAACTGAGGAGCCTTTGGTGAGGGACTGCTTGCAAAGGTACAAGCAGAGTGGAAGGATTGAACTTTCATTCTCTCAATGACTACTCAGAGAGGAGGCCACAGCCACAGCCTATCCCAGCTGGCAGCACCTCGACACTCTTGGGTGCACCCTCTAGGTTCCCTCCCACTTAATCCTCTTTGCAACTTTATGAGAGAAGTGCTATTTTTATGCCCAAATTACAGATGAGAAAACTGAAGCACAGCAAGGTAAAATACCTCACTCAAGTCACAGAGCTCCTGAAAGTTGCGTTGCAATTCAATCCCAGGCTGTTTAGCATGCGATCCCACACTTTGCCTTTCGCCAGGCCTTTCTGAGTTCATAAGACATGCCCAATTTTTCTCTTCCTCGTTCTATTGATGAGTGCCCAAAGCCCTCTTGCCAGCTGCCCCTCACCCTGACCGTGTGATTTCCACCCACACCACCACCAGCCTCCCAGGCTCCTGGGTCAGAGCTGGAGTCACTGCTGATGTCTTCCTCTCTTTACTCCAAAGTCCACCAGCCACCAAGGCCTGGCAGCTGTAACTCTCTGATCTCTTCTGATCCCACCTGCTGTTTCCTCCCAGAGTATCTCACCTGGACCCTCCCCATCATTATCGGCTCTGAATTCATTTTCTTACTGCACAGCTCAGTTAATAGCTCACTATCACTCACAAACTTTCCATGGCTCCCTAGTACCCGCTGAACCAGCCTAAACTGAACAAGATTGCCATGATCTGACACCAACAATCTTATATTCCTATACCTTCTGCTCCCATGAAACTGAACATGTCATGCCCCAGCCCCAGACATCCCCAGCAGATTTTTTCCTGCATAACCTTAGTTTGCACAATGAATGCTACCTGGAGAGCCTTCCCTTGTCCTTCCCCCATCGATGCTATTGCAGTCTGTGTCCATTAGACACCTCCAAGACCCAGACACCAAGATGGGATTAGGCATGCAAGAGATTTTTTGAGGAAACACCCAGGAAAGATAAAGAGGAAGGCAGCAGGACTAGGCAGGGACAGCTTTCAGATCGAGGTGCATGCCTGACTCCTACAAAAGAAGAAAGGAAGGCAGGCTCAGCCATGCTGACTGGGAATCCCAGCAAAAGTTGCCTGTTGGAGGAGTCGCTTGTCGGGCGGTTCCCCTACCACGCTCAGTCATTGGCTGAGAGCAGCCAGGGGGTGGATGTTAAAATCACGATAGATCCAAAGGTGCAACCTGGAGGCTGCTGGTCAGCAAAGCATCCACAGCAGGTTCCCTTGTAGGAGCTCTGAGCAGGACACTTGTGGCTGTCACACGGCCCTGACATGGCTCAGGAGCAACCTGGTGTCACGTGCTCCTTGAAGCAACCCTGACTTCCCCTGCTAGAAATGACCTTGCATTTTTGGACACCCCTGGGGCTTTTTGCCTTTGCCTCCCTTAATGCACCCCACATTCCACCACAGTTGGCTTCCTTAGATATGCCTCATCTTACCCACCGCAGCTCACTGGGGCAGATGACCCACCCACTCACTGGGCTGTTGGTGACCAGCCCACATTTCCTCCACCCATAGCATGTCCCTGCACCTCCAACTGGCAACCCCTCTGTGCCTTTGCCTGAGGTCTTTCTCTGGACCCGAGCCCAGCTGCGCATGAATGCACAGGGCATTCCTAGCTGGAAATCCAGGACCAGTCCCCTGTCAGTGATGAATGGGAGCTGGTGGATAAAAACTCAGATCCCCATCAATAAAAACAAATCCGGACTCAGTAAGGAGAGGATTTATTCAAAGGATTATTGCAGGGAGGCAAGGGATGTTATCTCCCTATTATTGCAATGGGATGAACGCTGTGACCATAAGATCTGCAAGCATCTCAAGGTTAGGCAAGGAGAGTTTCCTTTTATAGAGAAGTAAATAAGGGAAAGTGAGATGAAAGAGTGGCATGATCAGATAGTAGATTGGAGAATGCTCTACCCTGAAGCCAGTCTCTTTCCAAAAGGGACCCTTAAGGAGGGGCTGTGCTGGTTTAGGCTGAGGGTGGGCCAAAGTCCAGGGACCTGGGTGAAGGAGAGAAGCTTAATCAAAGTTTGGTTAAGATGCATTTTGTCAGCCAGGCGTGGTGGCTTACACCTGTAATCCCAGCACTTTGGGAGTCCGAGGTGGGTGGATCTTGAAGTCAGGAGTTCAAGACCAACCTGGCCAATGTGGTGAAACCCCGTCTCTACTAAAAATACAAAAATTAGTCGGGCAGAGTGGCAGGTGCCAGTATTCCCAGCTACTCGGGAGACTGAGGCAGGAGAATTGCTTGAACCCGGGCAGCAGAGGTTGCAGTGAGCTGAGATCATGCCACTGCATTCTAGCCTGGGTGACATAGTGAGACTCCATCCACTCACTGCCTCACCCCCCGCCAAAAAAAAAGATGTATTTTGTCCTGATCAATCAGTGAGGACAAGCAGTTTTTGAGGCAAAGAAGGGAATTTGTGCTTCTGGCCTTGTCACAGGTGAACAAAGCAGACCTCTGTGAGTCTTTTCTAAGTCCTATGGGGAAAGGGCGTTCTTTGCAATAAGCTGTTTTCCAGAATGCAGAAGGGCTGGGGGACTCCTAACCTTCACTGTTTTCCAGGATCACAGGGCTTGGGTAAAGTTTAACATTGTCTCAGATAGGAAAATGCTGAGGCATGTTCTCTATGCGGTTTCCCAGATCCCAGTGGGAGTTACCAGTTCCTTACAGTGGTTACTCGTTTGCTCCACACCCTGTATTAGCTGCCCTCCCTTCTCTAATTCCCCTGCTCCCCTGCCTCTGTTTCCTGAAATCACTTCCCAAAAAATCATTTTCACTGGAATCTTTTTGTCTCAGGGTCTGGGGTAACCCAAACTAAGACATTCACTAAACCTGAGACTCACTAAACCTGAAGTCCTGGACTCAGATGACTGAGGGACCAAGAGATCACCCATAAATGAAAGGATCAAGTAGGAGCTGTGCTGAGCTGGGGACCTTCGGCCCTGTCCATGGAGGGGTCACCATTCACCTGTTCACAGGATCAGTTGTTCCCATGGGAGAATGCAGGATCAGCATAATTCGATCTTTTGGTTTTTCAAATAAAGCCAGGAATCCACATTTATAATTGGAATAACCTAATTCTTAAATATAGGCAACTAATCAATTATTTTTAATACTGAAAGAACCAAACACAACCCTTCTGGGGGTAGATTTTGACCCAGGCCTACAGGTCACTGGCCTGTGACCCAAATCTTAAGCTCCCTAAAAGTAAGTGCCCCGGGCTCCTTCCTCTTTGAGGCGCCTTGCCATGTGAATTTGCAGACAGCGATGGTTACATGCCTAAGGTTAAGAGGCTGGGGGAACCAGTCCATATGTGGCAAAATCAAAACTGAGTCCTATAAATCTTCCTTTGGGGCCTTTTCCATCATATCATCACTTATTTCTTTATATTTTTATTTTTTATTTTTATTATTGATTTATTTATTTGTTTATTGAGACAGAGTCTTGCTGTGTTGCTCAGGCTGGAGTGCAGTGGTGCAATCTCAGCTCACTGCAACCTCTGCCTCCCAGGTTCAAGCGATTCTCCTGCCTCAGCCTCCTGAGTAGCTGGGATTACAGGCGCATGCCACAACACCTGGCTAATATTGTGTATTTTTAGTAGAGACGGGGTTTCACCTTGTTGGCCAGGCTGGTCTTAAACTCCTGACCTCAGTGTTTTAAGATGATCCGCCCGCCTCAGCCTCCCAAAGTGCTGGGATTACAGGCATATGCCACCGTGCCTGGCCTCATCACTTATTTAGAGGGGAGATTCAAATAATTCTGAATTCTTAAGTTTGTTAGGAGTGATAATCGGATCACGGTTATCTAGGAAAATATCCTCTTTTTTGTAGATGCTTACTAAAATTTAGGGGTGACATTATATATTTCCACAACATTTTTTAAAAGATAAAACAAATATAATAATAGTTAAATCCAGGTGATGAAATATGGGTAGTCATTGTATAAGAATATTCTCTACTTTTCTGTGTGTCTGAAAATTTCATAATATAAAGTGGGGCATTTGGAGGAAGTCTTGTGAATAATGAAGTTCCCAAGTTCAAGGGACGTGAGAACGGCCATCCACTTCTGATGGTGCCAGGGGGCTGCAGGGGTGTCTGGCTCTAGGACAGGAGTTGTTGACTTCAGGGAGTTGTTGACTTTAGTGTCCTCCTGCGGGCCCTCAGGAGCAGCCTGGTGTCACATGCTCCTTGAAGCACCTCCTGTGGGCCGGTTGTACACGCGGTGAGAGGGTTTCTCTTTGGCCTTTTCCAGACACAGACAGCTGTGAGCGCTGGATGAGCTGCAAAAGCGAGTTCTTAAAGAAGTACATGCACAAGGTGATGAATGACCTGCCCAGCTGCCCCTGCTCCTACCCCACTGAGGTGGCCTACAGCACGGCCGACATCTTCGACCGCATCAAGCGCAAGGACTTCCGCTGGAAGGACGCCAGCGGGCCCAAGGAGAAGCTGGAGATCTACAAGCCCACTGCCCGGTACTGCATCCGCTCCATGCTGTCCCTGGAGAGCACCACGCTGGCGGCACAGCACTGCTGCTACGGCGACAACATGCAGCTCATCACCAGGGGCAAGGGGGCGGGCACGCCCAACCTCATCAGCACCGAGTTCTCCGCGGAGCTCCACTACAAGGTGGACGTCCTGCCCTGGATTATCTGCAAGGGTGACTGGAGCAGGTATAACGAGGCCCGGCCTCCCAACAACGGACAGAAGTGCACAGAGAGCCCCTCGGACGAGGACTACATCAAGCAGTTCCAAGAGGCCAGGGAATATTAAAGAGACTGGGATGAGGTGGAGGACGCTGCCTCTGGTTCTGGAGCACACACGTGCTGCACTGACGTGCCGACTGGCGCCGAGACCTTCATAGCTGCGGTCGTGTATATTTGTATATACCACATGAGTATTTCTCATACATTACGCTAGGGGCGTGTGCCACGCCCAGGGGACTGCCTTGTGAAGCCGCCCTCGCCATCTGCAGAGCTCCTTGAAAGTGCCCCTGGGGAGCGATGTGGGCAGAAGGATGGGGACAACTTGGAAGCCAGAAGAAGAACCTGGAAGCCACAGTGGGTGCGACTCAATTCACACCCGGATCCAGAGTTTCAAAGAGAGGCAAAGGGGGAAAGAGACTGAGGTTGTAAACGTTATAAGCAGTTTTTATATATAACTTATTTAATACAAATGTGACTTAATTAAGCGTAACCTTTTCTCTGGAGTTGTGGTGAAACTAATCACGTCTGTGAGAGATCAGAAAGAAAGAGACTTAGGGAAGTGGAAGAGAAAGGGAATTTTGGAATTTATTTCTTTAAAAATAATGCAATGGAAATATATCAAAACATGTAAACGCCCACCTTAAACCAAATGTTATTTGGTCATGAGGCACCTTGCTGGAGTCTCAGATTCCAAAAGTCTCTTCTTCAGACTGGGTAGGGAATATGATATTTTAGGGACAAAGCTGAGGACTGGTTTTAAATAGGCTTTAAAATAAAAGATCAATATTATCATAATGCTATCATTCTGCTAAACGGCCCCAAAACAGTAGAATTTCTGCTCATGTCCTAGCAGGTTCAGAAGACTGCAGCCAAGTTCAGATGTAAAAACAAGAAGTAGCACTTTTCCAAAGGAAAACAACAAAACAAATGGGAAAAAGATAATGGACCGCATTTCACCTATTTTAATACTATTTTAACAATTTTTTCATCTACCAATATATCCCCAATAAATAAATATAAAAGGGGGGGAGGGTCAATCTGGGGAATCTTAGTTTTTTATGTTTTAAGAAAACAAAAAAAACTGCATTATTTTTGTAAAGTATTTATTGAGTCACGGATTATTGTGCATCAAGCAATTGTTAATATGACCTGGTCCTATGGGGTAGAACTTAGGAAAAATAAAGTTGGTTCTTATTCAATATTTTACTTTGCAAAATTCTAGTAAAAGAGAGTATATAATAAAATCATAATAAAAGGTGTTACCTGCATCCTTCATTTATGATACAAATGCCATAAATAGCCCGTGTGAAGCAAGACTTCAAGGCAGGGGAAAGAAAATTTCAACCCAGGTGGGAATAAAAGGCTCATTCATTGATTGACATGATTGTGGGTGGTGTAAGTCATGGCATCCTTGGCACCAAAATCGTCTACCCAACCCCCAGGAGGCTGAGGCCCATTGACACATGTGTGACTTTTTGCCCGCCCAGACCTAAGGAAGCCAAACCAGAGCAAAGGCTTAAGACAGCCCAGATGAGCAGGGCCACTTCCACAGAAAATTCTGCAATTACAATTATAAGTAGAACTACTCATCATGAAAAGTATTCCTTTTCCCGATGAGAAAATCAAAGCTCAGAAAACATAAAGACATTGGACCCATCTTTCATTTCCTAGCCTAGTATTCTCTCTACTGTAGCACATTTTTGAAGTCCTTATATTCCCGGTACCTTTGGCATTCCTAACCCCACCCTTAAGTTATCCTGACACAATTCTATTCTTATGGAAAACTTTTTACCAGTCATTTACACATTTTTTTTTTGAGACAGTCTCACTCTGTCCCCCAAGCTGGAGTGCAGTGACGTGATCTTGACTCACCACAACTTCCGCCTCCTGAGTTCAAGCGATTCTCGTGCCTCAGCCTCCCGAGTAGCTGGGATTACAGGCATGTGCCACCACGCCTGGCTAACTCTTGTATTTTTAGGAGAGATAAGGTTTCACCATGTTGGCCAGGCTGGTCTTGAACTCCTGGCCTCAAGTGTTCTGCCTGCCTTGGCCTCCCAAAGCACTGGGATTACAAGCATGAAACACCATGCCCAGACATTTACACCTTACAATGAATTATTTACACCTTAGAAGGTATTGCCCATTCTCAGAATATTTATATTTAAGATCTGTGTCTAATCACGGAATGAGAAGACTTATTCACATCTGAAGCAATTTTTTGCTACAGATGAACTGAACTAGTAGGAAGAGAATCAATGCGTCCGTGTATCAGGCATATAGATTTGGTTTATAATAATGAGGAAATTTTTTTTGCAAAGAGAATTGGCTGGCAATGGAATGCATTGCCTTTGAGGTGGTGAGTATCCTGTCAGGACAGGTATTCAAGCAGAGGCTGGAGATTAGTCACATGAACAGCTCAACTGGGTGATCAGGAGAGACAAAAATGTATAGGACAAAACCCTCTGATGTGTTTGTTAAGTGTAAGCACAAAGTACTATGAAGAAATAGAGGCAGAAATCAGGGAAGTATCTGTTGGTTCTAATGAAGGAGTGGGATTTTATAAAGCATAAAAGAGCAAGGGGAAGTGGGTGTATTTGTAATAAGAAAATAGTATGGAGAAAAGCAAAGAAATAGGTAAGTACTTGGTGTTTTCTGAAAACCGGGAGTTTAAGGTGATGAGCAGAGGAACAAGAGTGGCAAGTTATGGAGCCATGTCTAAGGTATTTTTGTTAAGGATTTAGAGTGAAATCTCAAAGAGAACAGAGAGCTTTCTTACTACGGTGAAAATGACTAATGTGAGCCATGCTGTCCATGAGCTATTTGCCTTTTAATATCAGACCTTGCTGACCTAATGAACTGAGAGTTGGAAGGTGGGGTAAATTGGAGGGGAGGGCTCCAGGACTCTGCCTACTGAGAACACCCTGGTCTCCCATGCATCATCAGATGGTTCCAAACCTCTGGAAATTTGCTGAACTATAATCCACCTCTATTAGGATGAGCTAATTTTCAGTCCCAATGCTTTAGTGGGCCAATGAGTGATCTTCGGAAATCAAGACCTCATGCCTAGGTTGTCTAATAAGACTAGGAGACCCTTATCTCATTCAACACAGGGCCCCAAGCTGGTGCCAGGGCAACCCCAGGCAGTTCACTCAGTGGGCAGTAGATCATCTGCTCAAGGGCCAGCTTTGCCTGCAGCAGAGTAAGGAATGAGCAAGGCCACTTCCACAGAAAATTCTGTGGAATTCTAAGGAATGTCTGCAGTCTCGTTGCAGTCCTTGTAAATATGACCCCGCAGTAGCTGCTCAAATTTTTCTCTTTGAGTGCACTGCTCTTTTGCCTTCCCCTGGAAAGAGAGTTCTAGTAATTCAGTGGGCATCCTGGGTGCCACATCTGAACACAACAGTGGTAAACAGAGATGCCCACGGCCCTCTAGTGGCTGCACATGGGAAGGGTAAAGGAGAGGCCAGGGCAGCCTATAGCTTTCTCTTCGGACCCAGTTCATGTAACCGCCATGATTATAGTCTCCCAAGCACCTCAGTCTTTATGTCTTAGTGGCCAAGAGGGTAGAGTTCTCTGTCTTAACGCCGGGGATTAAAGAACAGCTACTATACAAGCCACCATCTTCTGAGCCCACACTTTGTGTCTCTGTGTTAATCATTTTACCACAGGAGACCGGCATTATTACATCCAGTCTATAGATAAGGAAAAGAAGCCCAACAAGGTTAGCTAACTTGTTCAAGGTCAGACCACTTGGTAAATGACAGAGCTCCTTGAAGCCAGCAGTGTCTGATCACCAAAGCCCAGGCTCTTAAACCTAACGCCTGTGCTCTCCTCTCCTCCTAACTCATCCCAAGGTCTGCTGGATCCATGCTTTTCTGTGACTCACTGCCTTTGCTTAGATTGTTCAAAGAGGATCTGGCTTTATCTCTATGTATTTTGCCCAGTTATCTCATAGTCCATAAAAGGATTTTGTGGTTCTATAGCTGAGCCCTTGCTCAGGTTGGGTAAGTCACAAAGCTCAACATTTCTAAAAGATAGCCTGATCCATGGGTGAAAACAAAGATGGGTCTGCTTTTCCCACCACACATAAGCCCTGTGCTAACTGCTGCCTGTTAGGTAGAGCTCAGGGGCAACATAACAGGCACCTAACCTTCCTACATGCCCAGGTTCCAGCACTGCACCTGGCATGCATAGTCAGGCAATGTGCAGAGGGCTTAAGAGTTTGAGGGTTCAGTGGGCCTGGACTCCAATCCTGACTCTCTCACTTGCCTGCTGGGAGTTGTCAGACAAGTTAATACATTGGCATTTAGTCATTTGCCAAATATTTATTGAGCATATACATACGCCAGATACCAGGGATACAGCGGTGTACAAATCAAAGTCCCTCCTCTTGGAGGGGAGATAGTGGATAAGTAAATAAGTGCAGAATCTGAGATTATGGTAAGTGATATAAAGTCAAGTTTTTGATCACACATGTATGATGTTACATTATTTAAGGTGATGCTGGTTGCTGTAACAAATAATCCTCAAAATCACAGTGGCTTAACCCAAAAAAACTCTAAAGAGTATGTTTCTAGCCAAGTGGCCCACCTCTAAGTGACAACCCAGGGACCCAGACTCCTTCCATCTTGTGGCTCTGCCACCATCAAGGTATGACTTTCTAGGATGCCCTGGGGTCATCTCAATCCCAGTCTGTTCAAAAGGTAGAAAGCAGGGAGAAAACTTGTAAAGTTTTTTGTAGGTTCAGCAGTGAAGTACTGTCCAATGCTTCCAGTCACTCTCCTCAGCTCTGCTACATGACACATCCTTCTGCAAGGGAGACTGGGAAATGAAGTCCAGATGAGGGGTCCAGGAAGCAGAGATGGCTGCATGAGCACCCAGTCAGTCTCTGCCAACTACCCAATCCACAAGACAGGAAAGAAAGGCAGCAGAAGAGGCTCTGGGTGGAATCAAAGTGGGCGGTCATGGGGAGAGGTCCTTCTCACTCCCCCACTGTCTTCCACATTGTACTATAGTGCTAAGCTGGACCCCATTTTCCTTGTCTATAAATTGGGGTAAGTCCACCTGTCCAAACTACCCATTGTCCAGTGCTTTTGCTGTCCCAAGCATCCCCTCAGCACTTTCCATATCTGTTCAAACCAGCCCAACTTTCAAGCAGCAGCTCCCACATGTCTTTGCCTGATGGCTTTTTCCATCATCGTGGAGCCCAGTGAGCTTGCACAGAAGACTGGAAGTGCTGGGAGTCAACAGACTGAGTGCCTGTCAGTCAACTGTTTGGTGATCTTGGGGGAATCAGTAAACCCATAAGACTCCACTCATTGGTCAATGAATACCCCAACTCCCTCACCCCTCGAGTGGGGCCATTGTGAAGTGTGTTTTATACCAGTCCACGAGCTCCCAGTGGGATTGAGTTCCAGTTGCCTATAGCAGTCACCTACTTGAAAACACACACTTTATTAGCTTCCTTGCCTTCCCCATCTCTCTTCCCCACTTCCCTACTAGTACTCGCTGGAATCTTCTACCAAATAAGCAGCTTGCTCAGCGCCATCTCTCAGAGTGTGCTTCCAGGGGACCCCAAACCAAGACATCACTTCACGCTTAAATACTTATTAAGTGCTATTCAAATATTATTGTTAATATTTGATATTTAATATTTGATAATAACATAGTATTATTTGAATAGCACTTATTTCATTGTGCACATCTGAAGATGGTTTTGCTATGGGTGATAAATCTACCAAAGAAGAGTCAATCTCATTCTGGCCAGAGACAGGAACTCTACTAGATTTTAATACCGTTGAGTTGTTAAAAAAAAAAAAAAAAAAAACCCTTAATTTTTATTATTAGATTCAACAGACAGAAAATTAATCTGCCAAATGCCTCTAACATTTTTAAGTACTTTTCCATAATTTTAGAATTAATTTCCTTGCTGACTACAGACCCGTACTACTCTGAGGACCACACTTGGAGTGGGACTGCTCAAATCAAGTGAGCAATAGTGATCAAAACCCCTGTGAGTGTCAATTCCATCCCGACACACAAAGAGTTATGAATAAGCTTCCCAGGAAGTGTTGTGGGGCGGGGATTAGGGCGGAGTTCTCTGTTTGTCATTCATTTACAATTTCCAATGGAAAAATGTGTGGGTCGTCCCATTATGCCTGCACAATTTCGGACAAATTAAAGGCTTGCCTCAGTAATTACTGGGTGGGTATATACAGAAACATACATCCATGTCTACAGGTCCTGCATACAGTAGTGTAAATTAAGGCAGAAAGTTTACAGCCAGTTGTTTTTCTGAGGCTTAGTATTGGTTTACCATATGAGAGTAGAAGGAGAGGGACATATTCCAGGATCAGAAGGTAAGATTTTTAAGGAACGAATTTATGAGACTAGCAATTCTTGGTTGAATCCCACCAAAAGAACAAAGTTTAAATGCATACCTTTTTTCTTTTTAATTTCTGTGTAGAGATTTAAAAAACCAAGCTAAAAAGACCAGTGCCTTGCCTGTAATGGCAAAAATAACATCATCCTCAACCATTTTAGTGGCAGGGGAATGAGTGGGGCACTGGATTGAGACACAGCTGCAATAGCAAAGCTGGGTAAGAATTTTATGACTTTGCTAATTTTCTATCTGTTCTGGGAGTAATAAATGTGCCCTTATAGATATTCACGATTGCCCTCAAAATGAAAAAAACCTTTTAAATGGCACAGAAAAGCCTTTCATTCTTGAGGCATGTAATTCATGGATGATTTTCAAAATGTCATATTTGAATTGGGAAAGTAACATTTCTTGAATTAATCAGCCAATTGCTTCAAGAATATGACTCAAAGGATATAAAAATTTCAAGCCTGACTTTTAAAAAAGAAAAAGGAATTTTTTTTCTATGTTGTTTAGTTTATTTTTCACAAAGGTCATAGCTAAATCAGGTTTATTTGCCATGGAAGAGAACAGTCTAAATGAAGTACACTTTTAGTTCTTTAGTAAAAGGGAATGTTAGCAAATTTTAACAAGCACCACTTTAAATTTTTACACCATTAGACATGCGGTTTTGCTTTGTCTAGTTATACCCTTCTTTATTTCCCTCTCTACCAGATTTTGGTGGTGTTTTTTGTTTGTTTGTTTGTCTGTTTTCACCTTTGGAGAGCTCAGCAAATGGAGAAGGAGAAAGGACAAAAAAAAAAAAAAAAAAAAAAGCAAAGAAAATAAAACAAAGACTTCCAGGACAAAATTCTCTAAGGGGCCTCTAAAGTCACTCACTCTCTGTGTTATCAACATAAGTAAAGGGAGGTCTTTGCAAAGGGAAGACAAGAGAGACTCATACCACTGACTTGACTTTTCCCAAAGAACCTTCAAAAATCCTCCCTTAGAGCTGTCAGGACCCAGCAGAGACCAGGAAGGGATTCCTAAAGGTTTGAAGTCTCAGAGCCAAGGGATGGGGACTCTGGTCAAGAAAGAACGAGGTGTCCCATGCTGGTGGCTACAGAGGACAGAATCTCCTGTCAAGAACATGTCAGGATCCTCACCTGGGGATCCTAGAGAGTGGAGCCCAAGGCCACCTGCTCTGTGTTTCAGGAAAAAGACCACATTTGAATCCCTCTTGAGGGCTCCCTCCTGCTATTACAGGATATTGGAGGGAGAGAGAAAGAACAAAAGCAGCTGATCCAGTGCCAGAAAGATAAAGGCTTGTTCACACTACTCACCAGCAGCAAATGTATAAAGCTGAAGCTTAACATCAAACTCACTTTCTGTTCCACTCTTCACTATGTCTACACAGCACCATTCCAGTCAACCTCCCCACAGCATTCCTCCCATCCCCTCGGCCACACATTTGACCCTCTTATAGCCAATTGGCCATCCTTTGGGCCAGTCTTTTTCAAAATACTTTTGGAACATTTTATGGAAGTAGTACATACATTCAGAAAAGCACACACGTATCATAAGTTCACGGCTCAATGAATTTTCACAAAGTGAATACACCCATGTCACCAACATCCATACCAACACCAAGAAAAAACAGAATATAAGGCTCATGAAGGAGCTCTCTGGGGCTACAGAAATGTTCTATATATTGTGTGGTTTGATTGTCAAAACTCACTGAAGTGTACACTTTTTAAAAACTGAATTTCTTTGTATGTAAATTTTACCACAACACAAAATAAATAAGGCAAAACCAGCACTCCCATGCCCCCGTCCAGTAACGGGCACTCACTCCTCACCAAGAATAATCAGTATCATGAATTTTACACCAGATTAGTTTTGTCTGATTTTGACCTTCGGGTAAATGGAATCGTACAGCACCCGCTCTGTGAGGTCTGGCATATTTTGCTCAATATTGGATTGTGAAATTCTTCCATATCGCTGCTTGCAGCTAAAGGTCATTCATGCTTATCACATTTCCAATGTGTGAATATATCACAATTTTATTTAACAGTTCTACCATGGAGGAACATTTGGATTGTTTCTAGATTGGGGCTTTCACAAAGAGTGCTACTATGGACAGTCCAGGGTGTGCTTTTGGGTGTGCGTATTCACACATTTCCATGGGGAGTGGAATTAGAAGGTCATAGGGCATGCACAGCTTTAGTTGATACTGCCCAGTAGTTTTCCAAAGTGGTTGTCCTGGTGGACACTCCGTTTAGGAGTGTTTGAAAGTTCCCATTCTTTAGCCAATCTCAATTTCACCCCCTTCACTGTCTTTCCTGACTACTCCACTCTGTGATCTCTTAATTATTTATGTTTAACTCAATACGTGCATACTGAGCCCCATTCACTGTGCTGCGTGCTGGGGACACAAAAAGGAATAGACAGGAATCCATCATCAATGAATGAATGGCCCAGTGGGGGTGTCTGTAACACAGTGTGAATCTGATGTAACTCAGATGCTTGTAATACAATGTAAATGGTACCATGGGACCAAATGAGGGTGTGATTAATTATGGCAGTAATAACTAGTGAGCCAGAATTTATACATTATTATTTAGGAAAATAAACCCAATGATTCCAAGTCTTGGCAAGGCGATGAGGAAACAGAAACTCTTACCATCACCGCTTATGGTGTTATGAATTGAACAGTACTTTGCCTATATCTAGTAAGTTGAATCTGCCACATAGCTGGATGCATCAGTTTCACTCCTGAGGGCCTGTTTTTGTATTGTCAAAAAGTGGAAACAGTTTAAATTGTCCACCAACAGAGGAACAGACAAATCAACCATGTTAAGTTCATAATAGAGAATACAATCCAGCTGTTAAATGATCTAGGCTATTCGTATTGTCAAAAATGTGTCTATACTGTCTGAAAAAGAAAATTACAGATGGATGCATGTTAGGTACAGAACATTTGTGTTCCCCCAAAATTTAAATGTTGAAATCCTAACCCCCAAAGTTATGATATTCGGAGGTGCAGCTTATGGGAGGTTATTAGGTCATGAGGGTGGAACCCACATGAATGAGATTAGCATCCTTACAAAAGGGACCCCGAGAGAGCTCTCTTGCCCTCTTTCCACCATGTAAGCACAAAATGAGAGGTCAGCAGTCTATAAACCAGAAGAGGACTCTCAGCAAAATCTGGCCATGCTAGCACCTTGATCTCAGACTTCCAGCCTCCAGAAATGTGAGAAATACATTTCTGTTGTTTATAGGCCACTCAGTCTATGGTAGTTTGTTGTATCAGCCTGAACTGACTAAGACAGTATATGAAAGTAGTATACAATTTTAATAATTTAAAACTCACAATGCAAGGCTACATTATATCTGGACACCAACATACATAATAAAAATACTAAACTATGCATGGGAAGACTAAGCACCAACTTCAAGACAATAGTTACCTCTGAGATGAATGACAGTGAGTGGGTGGAGGAGGGGATACTTTAGAGGTAACATTTTATTTCTTTAAAAAAAAAAAGCCTAACAGAATAAAGGACAAAACATTTTATGCTCATCTCAAGAGATGAAGAGAGTATTTGACAAAATTGAATATTATTTCATAATAAAAACTCTCAATGAATTAGGTGTAGAAGAAATGCACCTCAACACAATCAAGACCATATAGCACAAGCCCACAGCTAACATCATACTCATCAGTGAAAAGTTCATTAAAGCTTTTAACCATCAGTGAAAAGCTTTTCCTCCAAGATCAGGAACAAGACAAGCATGCTCACTCTTACTGCTTATATTCAGCACAGTTCTGGAAATCTTAGCCAGAACAAGTAGGCAAGAAAAAGAAATAAAAGGCATCTAAATCAGAAGACAGGAAGTGAATTTATCTCTGTTTGCAGATGGTATTATCTTATATTCAGAAAATCCTAAAGGCTCCACCAAAAAGCTGATAGAATTAATAAACAAATTCAGTAAAGTCATAGGATACAAAATTAACATAAAAAAATCAGCAATGTTTCTATAAGCAAAAAAACTATCCAAAAAAGAAATCAAGAAAACATTCTCATTTACAACAGCATCAAAAAAAACTAAGGATGAATACATTTAACCAAATGGATGAAAGATCTGTACACTGAAAAGTATAAAACATCAATGAAAGAAACTGAATAAAAAATAAACACTTGAAAAAATACTCTGTGTTTACGGATTGGAAGAATTTATATCACAAAAATGTCCATATTACCCAAAGCAATCTACAAATTCGATGCAATCCCTAACAAAATTCTGATGATATTTTTCATAGAAACATAAAAAACAATTCCAAAATTCATATGGAAGCACAAAAAATACTAAATAGCCAAAGCAATCTTGAGCAAAAGGAACAAAGCTGGAAGTATAACACTATATGTCAAAATATACTACAAAGGTGTAGTAATCAAAACAACATGATACTAACATATAAATCAATGGAGCAGAATAGAGAGCTCCAAAGTAAATCTACAAATTTGTGGTCAACTGATCTTTGACACATTTGCAAGAACACACAATGGGGAAAGGGTGGTCTCTTCAATAAATGGTGCTGAGAAAACTGGATATCCACCTGCAGAAGAATGAAATTGGACTCTTATCTCACCCCACATATAATAGTCAACTCAAAATGGATTAAAGACTTAAATATAAGACCTAAAACTGTAAAACAACTGGAAGGAAACAGGAAAAAAAATGTATTGACATTGGTCTTGGCAGAGATTTGTCTCCTGCCCAAATATGTAGGCAACAAAAGCAAAAATAGGCAAACGGGTTTGCATCAAAGGAAAAAGGTTCTGCACAGCTAAGGAAGCAATCAACAGAGTAAAGAGAAAAATTATGGGCTGAGAGAAAATACTTGCAAACCGTACATCTGATATGGGGTTAATCCGAAATACATAAAAAACTCAAACAACTTAACAGCAAGAAAACAACTTGATTAAAAAGTGAGCAAAGGACCTGAATAGACATTTCTCAAAAGAAGACATACAGAAGGCCAATGGATATATGTAAAGTTGCTCAATGTCACTAACCGCAGGAAAATGCAAATTAAAACTACAATAGGATATTACTTCATACCTGTAAGGAAGATGTTTATCAAAAAATATAAAGAGGCCAGGCACGGTGGCTCACGCCTGTAATCCCAGCACTTTGGGAGGCTGAGGCGAGTGGATCACCTGAGGTCAGGAGTTTGAGACCAACCTGGCCATCATGGTGAAACCCCATCTCTACTGAAAATACAAAAATTAGCTGGGCATGGTGGCGGGTGCCTGTAATCCCAGCTACTCTGGAGGCTGAGGTGGGAGAATCACTTGAACCCGGGAAGCGGAGGTTGCAGTGAGCTGAGATCATGCCATTGCACTCCAGCCTGGGCAACAAGAGTGAAACTCCATCTCAAAAAAATAGATATAGATAGATGATAGATAGATAGATAGATAGATAGATGATAGATAGATAGATAGATAGATAGATAGATAGATAGATAATAAAATATTTGTAAGAATGTGGAAAAGGAGAACTCTTGTACACTGCTGGTGGGAATGTAAATTGCTACAGCCATTATGGGAAACAGCATGAAAGCTCCTCAAAAAATTAAATATAGAACTACCATGTAATCTAGCAATCCCACTCCTGGGTATATATCCAAAGAAAATTAAATCAGTATGTGAAAGAGATATCTGCATCTTCATGTTCATTGCATGATTATACTCAATAGCTGAGATATGAAATCAACATAAGTGTTCATATACAGATAAACAAGTAAGGGAAATGTGGTATGTTCACATTATGAGATGCTAGTCAGCTTTTAAAAAGGAAGAAATTCTTTCATTTATGAGAACATGGATGAACTTGGAGGACATTATGTTTAGTGATATAAGTCAGGCACAGAAAGACAAATTCTGCGTGATCTCACTTATATGTGGAATCTAAAAAAATCAAACTCATACCAGCAGAGAGTAGAATGGTAGTAACCAGGGGCTTGGGAGGCGTAAAGGGGTGTGGAAAGGGGAAATGTTAGTTAAAGTGTACAAAGTTTCAGTTAGGAGAAACAAGTTCTGGAGATTTATTGTACAGCATGATGACTGTAGTTAATAATCTATTACATACTTGAAAATTGCTGAGAGTCTATTTTAAATATTCTCAAAAAAAATGAATGTGGTGATTGATATGTTAACTAGCTTAATTTTCCCACAATGTATACACATATCAAAACATCACATTGTACACCATAAATATAGACAATTAATCATTTGTCAGTTAAGAATTAATTAACTTTTTTAAAAGAACATATATATATCTTAAAGTGTTGATACGAGTTAAATCTGAGTATTGGGTAGGGTACAACTGCTACGTTATCTTCTGTATATGTGATATATTTTAAACCAAGTACCAAAAGTAAGCAAAACTAAAAGGGAAAATGCAATTATGCTGTGAGTTTAGATGGGATCCTACAAAGCCATGCACATGTGAGTTCACAGCCGGCATATGTGAGTTCACAGTCGGCATGTGTGGCCAGTGTATGTGGCCGTGATGGGTTGAATATGGAAATGTCGTGGGTGAGACATCCTTACTCACTCACTCACAGGTAATGAAGCCACTCCTACCAGCCTTGCTGGTTCCTCCAAGAGATGCAGAGAGGCACATCCTGCACAACGCCCTGCAACTTCTCCCTTCCTCTCCCTCATGCACAGTCTGAGATAAACAGAGCACTAGACTCGGAACCATGTTCTAAATTCAGCATTTACTGGACAGGAGGCCTCAAACAAGTTTCACAGCCCTAATGAGTCGCAGCCTGCTGAATCACACCTTCCACTCTCTCCTGCTCTCCTGCCTCTGGGGCCATGACAGTGGACTGAAGGGAGCCAAGGAGACATAATAAGAAAGCAAACTATGGGGCCCCTGGCTCCCACCTCCAGCTGAAACACCTACTTTGTGCTACTCTGGGAAATCATCACACTTAGTCATCTTTACAATTTTTACAAATGAGGACCCTGAAGCTCAGGGAGTGGGCTTGCCATGATCACAAGAGTAGATCCGTATTTAAACCTGGGTATGTCTGACTCTAAATCCATTTCTTCTTTTCCC
The DNA here is from genome assembly GCF_000001405.40 of Homo sapiens. NCBI lineage: Eukaryota > Metazoa > Chordata > Mammalia > Primates > Hominidae > Homo > Homo sapiens. The sequence continues at coordinate 13,312,885 of NC_000020.11, forward strand.
CACTTTTTATTCAAATGTGGAAATGGTATCTTTGATTTCTTTTGTTCCCTCTGCTTCACCTTACCTACACCAAAGGAGCATCTGGGTGGGGTGTGGAGGAAGTAAAATTTGAGCCTCATCTGCGCATCTTCCAAATTCTAGCAGGTCCCCCTCGAGCTAAAAGGCATTTTTTCCTGATCTTCACCAGTCAGTTCTTCTTTGGGCCCCATCCCACCACCTTAACCAATGACTCCCGCATCCAGGTCTGCCCACAGATCCCTTCTACAGCCTCCCCCTGAAAACTAATTGCAGATTATTAGAACTTTGGCTTCCATTCCAGTGTGGAAGAAGCCAGAATTTAACACTCCATCCTAACAATTTCCCCCCACACGCACCTGTTAAGTTTAGCCTAAGGCTGCCTCCTTACACATTTTAAGTTCAACCTAAAGGTTTCTCTGCAAATAGTGAAGTGTAACCTAACTGGATGTGTAAACAGACTGTAGCTTACTCTTGTGTCAATCACAGAATTTTGGCCAATCACAGGCAGCCAACTATTCAAACCCTGTTCAAATAAGGTAAACACGGAGCCGTAGTCAATTGGGCTGTTTCTGCACCTCACTTCCATTTTCTGTACAACACTTTCCTTTTTCTTCCACCACACAGCAGGGCTGGAGTGTTGCTGGAGTGTCTCTGAGCCTATTCGGGCTCGGGAGACTGCCTGATTTTGCAAATCATTCTTTGCTCAATTAAACTCTGCTAAATTTAATTTGTCTACATTTCTTCTTTTAACACACCTTACCACATCACTAAAGTCCTATTTTAAACAGCTCCTTTTACCAATATATCATGTCCAGCTATCAAGAAAAAATTATAAGACATAGTAAAAGGCAAAAACTACAGTTTAAAGAAACAGAGCAAGCCATCAGAGCCAGACTCAGATATGGCAGGGATGCTGGAATTGTTAGGCCAGGAATTTAAAACAACAAGGATTAGGGTGCTAAGGGCTCTAATGAATAAAGTTGGCAACATGCAAAAATAAACTGGCAATGTAAGCAGAGAGATAAAAAATTCTAAGAAAGAAACATAAAATGAGATGCTAAAGATCAAAAACATAACAGAAATGAAGGATGCTTTTGATGGGCTTTTTGGCAGACTGGACTTGACTGAAGAAAGAATCTCTGAACTTGAAGACATCTCAATAGAAACCACCAAAACTGAAAAGCAAAGAGAAAAAAAGACTGAAAGAAACAAAACAGAACAGTCAAGACTTAGAGACAACTATGAAAATTGTAACATACACATAATGGGAATACAAGAAGGAGAAGAAAGAGCAGAAGAAATATTTGAAATAATAATAACAGAATTTCCCTCAAATTAATGGCAAACATAAAACTATAAATCCAGGAAGTTCAGAGAATAATGAGTGGGATAATGCCAAAAAGAAAAACCCCTACACCTAGGCATATGATTTTTAAACTACAGAAAAACAAAGAAAAAATTCCAAAAGAAGCCAAAGGGAAAAAACACCTTATCTATAAAGGAGCAAAGATAAGAATTACATCCACCTTCTCCTCAGAAACCACATAAGCAATAAAAGAGTGGAGTGAAACATTTAAAGTATTGAGAGAGAGAAAAAAAACCACCTAGATCCTGTGCCCTGTGAAATTAGACTTCAAAAGTAAAGGAGAAATAAACCTTTTCTCAGACAAACAAAAATGGATGGAATTTGTTACCAGTAGAAGTGCCTTGCAAGAAATGCTAAAAGAAATTCTTTAAGAAAAAAGGAAAATGATAAAGGTCAGAAACTCAGATCTTCATAAAAAAGGAGGAGAATCAGAAAAGGAATAGTGAAGGTAAAACAAAGTCTGTTATTTTTCTCTTTCTTGATTGATCTAACAGATAACAGTGTGTTCAAAATAATAACAGCAATAATTTATTCAATTATGCACATATCTATATCTATCTATATGTTTATACATGCATGTATGCTTATGTATAAGTGAAATGAATTCCAGCAATAATACAAGGGATGAGATGGAAGAATTAGAATTATTATAAGGTTCTCACACTATCCATGAAGTGGTACAGTGTTATTTGAAAGTGGACTTGGATTAGTTGTAAATGTACATTGCAAAATCTAGAGCAACTGCTAAAAAAAAGTTTAAAAGGAAGTATAACTAATATGCTAATAAAGGAGAGAAAATAGAATCACATAAAATGCTCAGTGAAAACCACGAAAGGCAGAAAAAGAATGGAAGACAAAAACAGCAAAAAACAACAAGGACAACAAATAAAAAATAGTAATAAATATGATAGGTATTGATGTAACTATATCAACAATCACTTTGAACATCAATGACCTAAATATACCAATTGAAAAACAGAGGTTCTCCTAGTGGATCAGGAAACAAGACTCAACTATATGCTGTCTACAAGGAATCCACTTTAAATATAAGGCCACGTAGAAAGGTAAGTGTTTGCAGAAACATGTTATGCTTGCACCAATCAAAGGAAAGTAGCAGTAGCTATCTCAAACAGAGTAGACTTAAGACCAAGGAAAGTTATCAGGGATAAAACGAGTTGTTACGTGATGATAAAAGGATCAAGTCTCCAAGAAGACATAACAATCCTTAATATGTATTCACCTAATAACAGAACATCAAAATACATGAGAAAGAAACTAATAGACTGCAAAAAGACATAGATGAATCCATTATCATAGTTACAGATTTCAATACCCCAACATCCCTCATAGTTGAACTCAACAACACAATTAATCAACTGGACATAATGGACATCTATAGCCTACTTCATCCAACAACAGCAGAATACACTTTCTTCTCAAGCTTATATGAAATATTCACCAGGACAGACCACATACTGGACCATAAAATACACCTTAAAAAATATAAAAGAATAGAAATCATACAATGTCCACTCTCAGACCACAATGGAATTGAACTAGAAAACAATAACAGAAAGCTGAAAAATCCCAAAAGCTTACAGATTACACAACATACTTCTAAATAACACATGGGTCAAAGAAAACATCTCAAGACAAACTTTTAAACACTTTGAACTAAATGAAAATGAAAACACAACTTACCAAAATTTGTAGGATGAGGCAAAAGTAGTGCTTAAAGGGAAACTCTGAAAAGGTAAATAAATTCAATAAGCTTCTGCGCTGGCCAACTGTGAATAAAAGAGAAAGGGTACAAATTACTAATATCAGAAATGAAAGAGTGGATATCACTACAGATATCATGGACATTAAAAGGATAATAAAGGAATACCATGAATAACTCTATGCCCACAAATTGATAACCTAAATGAAATGGATCAATTCCTGGAAAAACACAATCTGCCAAAATTCACACAAGAAGGAACAGACAATCTGAAAAGGTCTATATCTATTAAGGAAATTGAATTGATAATTAATAACCTGTCAAAACAGAAAGCACTAGCCCAGGTAGGTTCAATGTTGAATTATACCAAACATTTTAAAAAGAAATTATTTCAATTCTCTACAATATCTTTCAGAAAATAGAAGTAGAGGGAATTATTATTAACTCATCCTATGAGAGCAGCATTATCCTATTACCAAAACCAGACAAAGCTATTACAAAAAAAGTACTGACCAACATATCTCATGAATATTCGTGCAAAAATCCTCAACACAACATTAGCAAATCAAATCCAGTAATGGACAAAAATAATTATGCCCCATGACCAAGTGGGATTTATCCTAGATATGCAAAGGTGGCTCAACATGTGAAAATTAATTAATGTAACATATCAACTGCTAAAAAAGAAAGATCACATGATCATAGAAACAGATGCAGAAAAATCATCTGACAAAATTCAACACCCATTCATTATAAAAAAAAAAAACTTTCAATGAACTAGGAATAGATGGGAACTTCCTCAACTTGATAAAGAAAACCTACAAAACACCCGATAGTTAATACTTAGCGGTAAGAAACTCAAAGCTTTCCCACTAAGATTAGGTACAAAGCAAAAACATCCCTTCTCACCATTCCTTTTCAACATCATACTACAAGTCCTATCTAATGCAATAAGACAAGAAAAAGAAATAAAAGCCATATAGATTGAGAAGGAAAAAAAGGAAGAAATAAAACTGTCTGTTCATGGATGACATGATTTTCTATGTAAAAAATCCAAAACAATCAACAAAAAATCTGGAATTAATAAGCAATTATAGCGGCATTGCAGGATACAAAGTTAATACACAAATGTTCATTGCTGTATACCAACAATGAACAAGTGGAATTTGAAATTCAAAACACAATACCATTTACATTAACACCTCAAAATTGAAATCCTTAGGTATAAACCTAATAAAATACATACAAGATCTACACCAAAAAAACAAAACAAAACAAAAAAGCTACAAATCTCTGATGAGAGAAATCAAAGAAGTAAATAAATTGAGAGATACTCCATGTTAGGGAGGCTCAATTTTGTCAAGATGTCAGTTCTTCCCAACTTGATCTATAGATTCAAGGCAATCTTATTCAAAATCCCAACAAGTTATTTCATAGATATCAATAAATTGGTTCTAAAGTGTATAGGGAGAGATAAAAGACCCAGAATAGCCAACAAAATATTGAAGGAGAAGAACAAAGGTAAACGACTCATACTACCTGACTCTAAGACATAATATAAAGCTACAGTAATCAAGACAGTGTAGTACTGACAAAAGAATAGGCAAATAGATCAATGGAACAGACTAGAGAGCCAGAGAATAGACCTACACCAATAGAGTCAGTTGACCTTTGACAAGGGATGAAAGACAACACAGTGGAGAAAGGAGTTTCTTTAATAAGTGTTATTGGAAAAAGTGAGCATTCACATGCAAAACAAATGAATCTAGTCACAGACTTTATACCCTTCACAAAAATTAACTCAAAATGAATCATAGACCTAAATGTGAAACATAAGATTATCTAAAAGTCCTAGAAGATAACATAGGAGAAAATCTAGATGACCTTGTGTTAGGCAATGACTTTTTAGGTACAATACCAAAGGCACTATCCGTGGAAAAAAAAGTGTTGGTAAGCTGGACTTCATTAAAATTAAACTTTTTTGTTCTGTGAAAGACACTGTCTGCATGAAAAAACAAGCCAAAGACTGGGAGAAAATATTTTCAAAAGACCTAACAGATAAATATCCAAATATACAGAGAACCCTAAAACTCAACAATAAGAACACAAACAACCCGATTCTTTAAATGTTTCTGAGGACACTTGAAAAAATAAATAAATAAATAAATAAATAAAAATGAGCCAAAGACTCTAACAGACACTTCACCAAAGAAGATATACAGATGGCAAATAAGCATATAAAAAGATATTTCACATCATATGTCATCAGGGAAATGCAAATTAACACAACAACAAGATACCATTAGAATGGCCAAAATCCAAAACATTGACAACATCAGATGCTGACAAGGATGTGGAGCAACAGGAATTCTTATTCATTGAGAATAGTGAGAATTCAAAATGGCGTGACCACTTTGGAAGACAGTTTGATGTTTGCTTATGAAATTAAACGTACGCTTACCATAGGATCCAACAATTGTGCTGCTTGGTATTTACCCAAAAAACTTGAAAAATTGTGTCCACACAAAAACAAAAAAACCTGCACACAGGTGTTTATAGCAGCTTTATTCATAATTGACAAAACTTGGAATCAGCCAAGATGTCCTTCAGTAGGTGAAGGGATAAACTATATCTTATTAGCACTGAATAATATTCCATTGTCTGGCTATCCAGTGCTAATAAGTGCTGGCTATCCAGTGCTATTCAGTGCTAATAAGAAATGAGCCGTCAAGCCATGAGAAAATATTTTTTGAAACTCAGTGAAAAAAGTTAAAGAAGCCAATCTAAAGAGGCTACCTACACTATGATTCCAACTACATAGCCTTCTAGAAAAGGCAAAACTATGAAGACAGGAAAAAGATCAATGGTTGCCAGGGGTTGAGAAGAGGAAGGGATAAATAGGCAGAGCACAGAACACTTTCAGGACAGTGAAACTATGCTATGTGTTACTATAATGGTTAATACAGGTCATTATACATTTGTCCAAACTCATATAACTGTACAACAGCACGAGTGAACCCTAATGAACTCTGGGTGATAATGATGTGTCAATGTAGGTTCATCAGTTGTAACAAATGCATGACTCTAGTGGAAGATGTCGATAGTCAGAGAGAGTATGTCTCTATGGGGGCAGGGGATATTTGGGAAATCTCTGTTCCTTCTGTTCAATTTCGTTATGAAACTAAAAATGCTCTGAAACAATAGTCTATTTTTTAAGTGACTATTAGGTAGAAGAAAAAAAAAAACACTAATTGCAGAAAACCAAACAAGGCAAGGCCAACTAGACTATGAGCAACTGCTGGCTCCTGCTGCATGAACTAGACACTTATCTGGTCACATGTGCCTGGCAGCCCGGGTATTTCTACTGCTAATCAGAAACTGGAAGTTATTGAAAACAGAGCTCAGAGACACAGGACCCACTGAGTCACATTGCATCTGAGTTTCACAGAGGTCAAGGGTTGAGGAATGATCCTGACTTAATCCTAACAGGTAACAGTCACTCGGAGAGTGAGAGAAGGGAGCTAGATAGGATATAGATCAGAGAAAAGAGAGAATGAAAGGAAAGAAAGACAGGCAAAATGGCAGCTCGTAGAAGTATATCCCACATTCTATCTCCTTTATTTGTCAAAACAAACAACAAAAAGGATTGGTTTCCAGAGTTCTAAGGTTGCTATAATGCCTAAAGAAACATGGGTTAAGTTTTGGCTACAGGAAAATGTTTGTATCTATTTGAAGATTAACCCCCTCCCCCCTGCACACACACACTCTAGAGGGTGAGAGAGACGTGGGGACAGCCAGCCAACCTTCTTGTCCCTGGGCCTGCAGCAGCATCAGGGCACCTGGTGTGGAGCTGTGGCTGGAGGCTGATTAGAGGAAGGAGGCTCTCTAACCAGCTCAGGTCCTGCAGAGATTGTGAGGGCTCTTCTGGGAAACAGGGACAGGGCAGCACCACCAGCATGACACAGAAGGAAGAAAGCACAGGCAGTTCTGAAAACTCCACCGAAGGGTTGGGGGCTGGAGAGTCTGCACTGCCTGCTTTCAGGAAGTGACCCAACACCCCAAAGTCAGAAACTGGGGTACACCAGGTGAAGTTGTAGAGAAAGCAACACCAGGGTCCCCTCCTGTGAGAAGCAATCTATACCTCTGCTGGTTATAAGTAAGCAATAACCCTGCTGAGGGGCTCATGGGTCCTGGAAGAGCACAGGATGTTGTCTTTTTCCCTGGAACTAAGACTTGTATTCATGGAATAGGTGGTAGAGTGTGAGTTGAGCAAAAATACTTCCTAAATTCCCAAATGAGTTCAGACCTCATTAGCAGAGTTCTGTGTGATACATTAGCTTTGTACTAGAGGAGGGATGTTAACCCTAAAAGCATTGACTTCACACTGTGCTTGCAAACCAAAGGACAGAACTTAGAGACAAATGGTACCAAAGTGCTCAAAGCTGAAAACAAGAGAACCGAACTCTGGTTAATTTAAAAAGAAAAGAAGTATAGGACAGATATTAGGTGGCTTTAGAAAGACCCAAATATATAAAACCACATCAAATATTAAGGGAGGATGCTATGTCAATTAGGATAAGGCTTGACAGCAGGTGAGAGAAAAACAAAGTAACCATGGCTCAAATAAGGTAGAAGCTTATTGCTCTCTCATTAAAAAACAGAAGTTGATAGTCCCAGGTAAGTACAAGTTCTGGGTTTCCTCAGTCTCACTGCTCCATATTTCTCTTGAAGCAGTTTCCATTTCATGGTCTAAGATGACTGTCCAAGCTCTAGCCATCACATTCTTATTTCAGCTAGCAAAAAAAGAGGGAGTGGGAAAGGGCTTCCCAGAAGTTAAAGATACCATTTCTTTTTACATCCCATTGACTAGAACGTAGTCATATGGCCACAGTGAGTTGCATGAGGTGATGGTGGAAATCATCTTTATTGGCAGAGCACAGTGGCTCATACCTGTAATCCCAGTACTTTGGGAGGCCGAGGCTGGTGGATCAGTTGGGGTCAGGATTTCGAGACCAGCCTGTCCAACATGGTGGAACCCTGTCTCTACTGAAAACACAAAAATTAGCCAGGCATGGTGGTACGTGCCTGTAATCCCAGCAACTCAGGAGGCTGAGGCATGAGAATCGTTTGAACCCAGGAGGAGGTGAAGGTTTCCGTGAGCTGAGATCATGCCACTACACTGCAGCCTAGGTGACAGAATGAGACCCTGTCTCCAAAACAATAAAAAGAGATCGTCTTTATCTAGAATAGTCATGTGCCCCACATAAAAAAAAAAAAAAAAAAAAAAAGATTTTATGACAAATAAAGAAGATGCTGAAAAGAAAATTAGCAGTTTTGTCCACAGGGGCCTAAACCACATGAATACTGATGACAATTGTCAAAATTCTTACAGCTAGTGTGGTAGACCAGAAACCCTCTGAAGCCTGCTGCCTTTCTAGGTAAGAGGGGATTGTCGCTTGGATCCAAGGGGAGAAACGCTCTAGGACGTTCCAGAATTCTGGCCCCAGAAGCATCTAAAACCCTCATTAGCACTGCAAGGTAAACATAATCCTTCCTCTGTCTGCCTAGGCCTGGTGCCTTGAAGCCTCAGCCTGAGCACAGGGACGTGGTGTGTTTTCTTCACCACTTGATCCTCGGCTTCTAGCCCAGGGCCTGGCACACACAGTGAGCTCTCAAAGACATGCTTGTGAAGCTGATGAATGACTGCTACATTCAACTCCCTCCCATATAAATACATAACTATTTTTCACATGTATGTACATATTAAAAAGTAGCGTTGAATTCACATCTTTTCTTTTCATGTGTATTTTACTAGGGAATGTCGAAGTGTGTGTAGAGACAGGAGAGGCAGCACTCAGATTCTTGGGCTAGACTGCTCAGGTTTGACTCCCTAATTGGCTGCATGCTAGCTATGTGACCTTGAGCAAGGTACTTAACTTCTCCATGCCTTCGTTTCTTCATTGTAAAATATGATCATAACGATACTGTTGCTCACAGGGTTGCCATGAAGAATTAATGAGTCAACATTTATATTATGGAAATTGTGCATGTGTATCGCTTAAAATAGTGATTGGCACAGAGTGTTCAATAAAACAAAATATTAAAAGTACAAGTACCGTTTTGCAAAGTCATTTTTTAATGTCGTAAAGAGATTCTCCTCCTGAACAGAGCTGAAAAGCTGCAACCTAGCCTAGATGACTTCCAATTTGACAGCTTTTTAGGTCCAAGCATTTCTTAAAAGTGCTGTACTCCCAAGAGTGAGGCAGTTCGTCATCTTCAAAGGCAGTTTGTGCTGCATCTCCTGGGTGTCCAGACCTAGCTTAAAGAGATACGGGTTGTTCTAAGAGAAAAGACACACTCCCACCCTCTTTTCTTGGCTAAGGAACCCAGTGCAGCCACTGACTGTATTTCTCTCTCCAACTCTTCCACCTGCCAACTCGCTTGCTTCATAGCATCTCAGCAGCTGACCATATTGCAAACAGATCAGTTTCCTTTGATGCCCTGGACCAGACGAGGTCCATATGAGGTTCTCAAACAAAGCTTTTGCTTTGTTTCTAAACAACTTAAGAAGATTTCAAAGAGGAAGACGTGCTCTATTTTCTCAGGATCCCTTTTCCTGCTCAAACAGAAAGAAAAGCCCAAGACCCAGGGAGGGACCCAGTGATACAGACAGACAGACTTTGAGAAGGAGACAGGATAAGGAATAGCTGCAAAGCTTAGATTACTTCCTAAAGGATGGGGGTGGAATATGTGATCTTTATCTAATCAGACAGTCTACTCAGGAAGTCCCCGAGATCAAAGCAAGGGGCTTTTTATTTAGCACTGTGTCAACTTGAAAACAGTCCTGGCAAAGCCACAGATCTGGATAAGCTCACACCTCTCCCCACCCCCGCTGCCCTGACCTGTCTCTCAGCATCTGAACTCTCTTAACATTCCATTTAGAATAAAATCCTGGGTTAAAAAGAGTCCCTGGGATTACTGTAGGAAGAGACAACATTTGACAAAGCAAGGCAGAAAACGCCACAGTCCTTCCTGACTTCCAGAACAATTGGGTGCATACTCTGGGGGAAGACACCACCCAGGCATTGTGTCACAGCGTCTCGGAGGAAAAATAGGAACTAAGAGCAATCAGACCACAACATGGAATAGGGAGGGCAAGAGAACAGAGCTACAGTCCCCAAATATTACTTGCTACAAAGAATAAGAGAGTCGGTAGGGTTGGGGTATGTCCTTGTAAAGCAGGAGAAACACATTGAAGAAATGTGTTGAAGAAAAGACAGGGGCTTGAGAAGACTAGGGACTGGTCCAAAGGAAGGGAGGTCACTTACTGGAAACACAATGACTCAGGCGGAGCAAGGCAAGAAAGTTGGAATCACACTGCAAAGGTAGAAAGAGCTCATCTTCCTGGATGAAAGACTATTGAACCGTGGTTCCCATAACCCAGTGTGTTACCAAAGAGAAAGAACTCAGCCCTATTCCTTTCCCAATGTAACTTATATCCTACCAAATCCAGTATCTACCAAAAAACAGATAAATGCTTCAGTATGATACTATTCATATGAAACTACGTTTTCTTGGCCATTTACTTTGTTAGGCAACATATAGTATCTCATTTAATCTTTATAACTACCATACGACTATAATTCTCATTTGATAACCTGCATTTATTCCTTTAGACCTGATTTTTCTTATACATGTCATGGACTACTCCCAGAGTTAATTACTAAAAGAATGTTCTTAAATGAGAGTATTTAGTATTTATCTTGGAAAAAAAGCCTTCTTCTTCAATCCCAGAATTTTGAAATGAAGGCTTCTTTATGGAAGAATAAACTAACCAACAGAAAATCATTGGTTTATTCTTTCATAAATAGATGGGCCAAAATATTTTTGGTCTCCTCTGACCAAAAAAATTGTTAATAGCCTGAATGATAAGAAATGCATTCTTTCTTGTGAGTCTTTCTGAGTTTCTATTTAGTTAGCTGCTTTTAGGGTGTGTGCTTCTCTAAGAAATGTTATCTATCTCCCTTCCTATAAGGACAACAACTTGCAGTGGTGTGAAATTATTATAAGTCGAGAAGTATTTGCAGTAATTGCTTGGTGCCCTATAAAAACATACTGTAACTTTCAGGTACTATCCCTGGGACCTAGCTGTGAAATCAACTTTCATAACCCTCACGAATGCTTGTGTACCTGTTTACAACAAGTGGCTGTTTACAAAGCATGTCCCCATGGGTTGTCTCTGACTTTCACAGCCCCACCTCACAGGTAAGGGAACAGAAGATGACAGCAAGGAATCAATTAGCTTAAAAATTCACAGAGAGTTGTAGGGAACAATTGCCTTGCTAGCTGCAAGATATAACTAAATGTGAGGTGTGTTTTTTAAATATGACTTCTAGCTCCAGAACTTGTGCAGCTTAAAAGTGATAGGCAGTACCCAAAGATGCAGAAAAGAGGATCTTGTCCACATTTTAGGCAGGGGTGTAGAATTTAAATTTACATCCTTACTTCTCACTGAAAACTAACAGGTCTTAATTGTGATTAGATGAGAGACTTTTGGAAGAAACTAAGTTTCAGTTGGCTTTAATTATGCCTTAATCATGCTCATCTATTTCAAATATTAAGGAAGCTTGCACTGGAATGGGTAGAAAGGGCTAGAAAATGAAAAACAAAATGATGCCTACAAAGTGTCTTCACACCGCTTTCAATTTTCCAGGCATAATCTCTTCTTGAGGTTGGTGTCAAGCCAGGTGTCAGGAACAGCACCTAGCACCACTACAGAAAGCACCTACTAAACAAATTATTAGATATTACATACATTTGAAGCTGGAAGCACGCTTAGAAATAACCTAGTTTAAGTTTCTTATTTTCTGGATGAGAAAATTAAACCCCAGGAAGGCAAAGAGACTTGCTCATGCAGCTGAAGAAAAATACAAGGATCCCTAGCTTTGATGACCACATTTTAACACCATCTGAATAGAAAATATTTGTTTCTTTTCGGCTTCTTATCCTGTTAGTGCAGCTATTTCTCTATTGCTGCCTCAAAGAAACAAATCAGAATGTTTCTGTTTATTTTATAGGTAGTGTTCCAACCAGGGAGCTCCTGGATGCAAGGAACAGAGAGCCACTCGACCTAAGTGACCACCAGAGGGTGCCCACAGGACAGCCCGACAAATGGGGTGAGGTGGGGGGATGGCCCTGGAGTGTCTCCCTTCTCACGAGAAACGCATGTGGTATCACAACTGAGACTTATCTTTTGTTCCCATCAAGAAGTTAGAGGTCTCAGGTCTCTTCTGAAATGCGAGGTTGCACATCTGTATTGGGGAAGAAAATCTGCAACACGTGCCAACCTCGTGCTTAAGATGTATTTGTTTCGAACTCCTGCATGCTTGCTCTTCTGGTATCTGTCTCCATAAATAAAATGGGAAGAAATATGTCACTTTGATTTCCACACAGGCAGAAGAGAGTTGTGATTAGATGTCATGAGAGGGTCCACAGTTTCTGCTACAGGAAAGGTGATAGGGGGATTATAATATTCACCTTTCCCCAACTTGTTTCCTGGAACAGTTACCTAGTTGTCCCCAGAGAATCGATAATGGGTTTAGACAAAAACCCTGTGTTCCCTTCGGAAGACGAAATTCCTTTCAGAAGAAAGCCAGATCCAGAATAATCAATTAATTCCACCTGTATCAAAACTGTGACATGTGGGTAATATCCATTCATTCCTTCCCTTTGATAAACTAGGTTCATCCATTTGAACCTGATTTTTCTTACATGCCAGTAATTACTCCGAGAACTGACTCTTAACAGAAAATTTTTCAAGTATAATATTTGACATACACTTTAAAAGAAAACATTGTTCTTTAATCCCAGCATTTCAAAATGGAGGTTTCCTTATGAATATAGAACACCAATACACACGTCGACCATCAAAAAAGTGGTACCTACAAAGAGGTAGTCCTATCTTACCACCTCTTTATAGTCACATCTTCCACCCAACCCTCCCAACTCCGGGTAACCACTGATCTGTTTTCCATCACTACAGTTTTTGAAATGTCATGTAACCAGAAACATGCAGTGTGTTACCTTTTTGTGAGTGGTTTCTTTCGCTCAGCATAAGGCCTTTGAGATTCATCCAAGTTATCATATGTGTCAGCAGTTTATTCTTTTTTATTGCTGAGTAGCATTCCATGTATGGATGCACCAGAGCTTGTTTATCCACTCGCCTACTAAAGGATATTTAAGTTGTTTGTAAGTTTTGGGAAATTATGAAAATAATTGCTATAAACATTTATGTACAGATTTTTATGTGCACCTAAGATTTCATTTCTCTAGGGTAAATACTTAGGAGTGGGACCGTTGGGTCATGTAGTATGTATATGTATATATTCGATTTAAGTATATGTATATATTCAATTTAGTAAGTATATGTATATATTCGATTTTTCAGAGTGGCTGTACCATTTCCATCTCCAGCATCAATATGTGAGTGTTCCATACATACACATACTCAGTTGCTACACATCCTCACCAACACTTGGTATGAATTTTTTTTATTTTAGCCATTCTAATAGGTATATAGTGGTATCTCAACATGTTGTTAGTTTGATTTCCTTAGCGTTTCATGATGTTGAGCATTTTTCATGTGTTTCTTTGCCTTTCATAAATCCTTTTTGATGGTATGCCCAGTCAGGTCTTTTGTTCATTTTTTAAATTGGGTTGTTTACACATGATTATCTCAATAGATGAAGAAGAGGCCTTCAATAAAATTCAACACCCCTTCATGTTAAAAACTCTCAATAAACTAGGTATTGCTGAAACATACCTCAAAATAATAAGAGCCATATATGGCAAACCCACAGCCAATATCATACTGAATGGGCAAAAGCTGGAAGCATTTCCCTTGAAAATTGGCACAAGACAAGGATGCCCTCTCTCACCGCTCCTATTTAACACAGTATTGGAAGTTCTGGCCAGGACAATCAGGAAGAGAAAGAAATAAAGCATATGCGAATAGGAAGAGGGGAAGTCAAATTATCTTTGTTTGCAGATGACATGATCCTATATCTAGAAAACCCCATTATCTCAGCCCAAAAGCTTCTTAAGCTGATAAGCAACTTCAGCAAAGTCTCAGGATAGAAAATCAACGTGCAAAAATCACCAGCATTCCTATAACAAACAACAGGCAACCAGAGAGCCAAATCATGAATGAACTCCCATTGACAATTGCTACAAAAAGAATAAAATACCCAGGAATAGAGCTAATAAGGGAAGTGAAGAACCTCTTCAAGGAGAACTACAAACCACTGCTCAAGAAAATCAGAGAAGACACAATGGAGCAACATTTCATGCACAAGGATAGGAAGAATCAATATCATGAAAATGGCCATACTGCCCAAAGTAATTTGTAGATTCAGTGCTATCCCATTAAACTACCATCGACATTCTTCACAAATTAGAAAAAAAAACTATTCTAAAATTCATATGGGACCAAAAAGAGCCTGAATAGCCAAGACAATCCTAAGCAAAAAGAACAAAGCTGGAGGCATCACACTATTTGACTTCAAACTATACTACAAGGTCACAGTAACCAAAACAGCATGGTACTGGTACAAGAACAGACACATAGACCAGTGGAACAGAACAGAGAACTCAGAAATAAGACCGCACACCTACAACTATCTGACCTTTGACAAACTTGACAAAAACAAGCAATGGGGAAATGACTCCCTATTTATAAATGGTGCTGGGAGTGCTGGCTAGCCATATGCAGAAAATCGAAACTGGACCCCTTCACTACGCCATATACAAAAATTAACTCAAAATGGATTAAAGACTTAAATGTAAAACCCAAAACTATAAAAATCCTAGAAGAAAATCTAGGCAATCCCATTCAGGACATAGGCATGGGCATAGATTTCATGATGAAAATGTCAAAAGCAATCTCAACAAAAGCAAAAATTGACAAACAGGATCTAATTAAACTAAAGAGCGACTGCACAGCAAAAGAAACTATCATTAGAGTGAACAGACAACCTACAGAATGGGAGAAAATTTTTGCAATCTATCCACCTGACAAAGGTCTAATATTCAGAGTCTACGAGGAACTTAAACAAATTTACAAGAAAAAAAACCAAACAACCCCATTAAAAAGTGAGCAAAGGACATGAACAGACACTTCTCAACAGAAGACATACATGTGGCCAACAAACATGAAGAAAAGCTCAACATCCCTGATCATTAGAGAACTGCAAATTAAAACCACAATGAGATACCATCTCACGCCCGTCAGAATGGTGATTATTAAAAAGTCAAGAAACAATGGATGCTGGTGAGGTTGCAGAGAAAAAGGAACCCTGTTACATTGTTGGTGGGAGTGTAAATTAGTTCAACCATTGTGGAAGACAGTGTGGTGATTCCTCAAATATGTAGAGGCAGAAATATCATTTGACCAGCAATCCCATTACTGGGTATATACCCCCCAAAATATAAATCATTTTATTATGAAGACACATGCACACATATGTTCACTGCAGCACTATTCACAATAGCAAAGACATGGAATCAACCTAAATGCCCATCAATGATAGACTGGATAAAGAAAATGTGGTACATATACAACATGGAATACTATGCTGCTATAAAAAGGAATGAGATCGTGCCTTTGCAGGGACATGCATGGAGTGGGAAGCCATTATCCTCAGCAAACTAACACAGGAACAGATAACCAAACACCATGTGTTCTCACTTATAAGTGGGAGCTGAATGATGAGAACACATGGTCACATTGTGGGGAACAACACACACTGGGACCTGTAGGAGGGTGGGGGGAGGGAGAGCATCAGGAAGAATATCTAATGAATGCTGGGCTTAATACCTGGGTGATGGGATAATCCGTGCAGCAAACCATGGCAAACATTTACCTATGTAACAAATCTGCACATCCTGCACATGCACCACTGAACTTAAAATAAAAATTGAATTTAAAAAGTTTAAAAAATTAAATAAAACCTAATTTTAAAAAGTAAAATAAAATAAAATTGGGTTGTTTTCTTACTGTTGATTTCTTTCTTCAGCATTTGTAGCCTTTGGCATAAGGATCCTGCATGTTATATTGGATTTGTAACTTAAACATTTCATTTTTTGAAGCTATTGTTAATAATTGAGATAGAATGAATTGTGTCCCTGCCACCTCCCTGCCAAAAAAATTTATATGTTGAGATCCTAACTCCCAGTACTTCAGAATGTGACTATATTTGGAGATAGGGTTTTTAAGGAGGTAAGTCAGGTAAAATGAGGTAATTAGAATGGTGTAATGCAATATGACTGGTGTAAGAAGAAATTAGGACACAAACAGGCACAGAGAAGACCAGGTGAAGACAAAGGGAGAAGACAGCCATCTACGAATCAAAGAAAAAGCCCTCAGAAGAAGTCAACACCACTAAAACCTTGATCTCACCTTTCTAGCTTCCTGAACTGTGAGAAAATAGATTTCTATTGGTCAAGCCACTCAGTCTGTGGCACTTTGTTACAGCCCCAGCAAATAAATATAGTAATATGCTTTTGTTTTTTTTCATTTCAGTTTCAATTGTTCATTGCTTACAAATACAAACAACTTGTTTTTGTGTTTACTTTGTATCCTTGCCACCCTGTTATATTCACTATTAGTCCTAGGAGTTTATTCTTAAAGATTCTTGGGGATTTTCTACATAAACAATCATGTCATCTGCAAATAGAGACAGTTTTTTTTTTCTTCCAATTGACATGTCTTTTATTTCTTATTTTTGCAATTACAACAGTTAGGACTTCCAGTATAATGGAGAATAAGAGGGATAAGAGTGGACATCCATTTTTCACCATTAAGTATAATTTTAGCTGCGGAGATTTTCGTAAATATCATTCTCAACTTGAGAATGTTCATCTTGTTCGTTGAGAGCTTCTATCATGAATGGATGTTATGTTTGTCAAATTCCTTTTTTTTTTTTAATCAAGTCATAGTCTTGCTCTGTCACCCAGACCAGAGTGCAGTGACACAATCTCAACTCACTGCAACCTCTGCCTCCTAAATTCAAGCAATTCTCCTGCCTCAGCCTCCCGAGTAGCTGGGATTACAGGTGCCTGCCACCACACATGGCTAATTTTTGTATTTTTAATGGAGATGGAGTTTCATCATGTTGGCCAGGCTGTCTGAACTCCTGACCTCAAGTGATCTACCCGCCTCAGCCTCTTAAAGTGCTGGGATTACAGGCATGAGCCACCACGCCTGGCTGTGTTTGTCAAATTATTTTTCTGTATCTATTGATATAGTCATGTGGTTTTCTTCTCTCAATTGTTAACATGTGGAATTACATTGATTGATTTTTGAATACTGAATTAGTCTTACATTTCCTAGCTAAGCCTCAGTTGATTTTCTACATTGCTATATTTAATTTTCTAATATTATGATGTGGACTTTTGCATCTATATTTATGAGAGATATTAGTCTGTAGTTTTAATTTCTTGTAGTGGCGTTAATTTTGGTATCAGGAAAATACTGGCCCCATAAAAAATTGGAAAGCTTTGGCTCTTCCTTTATCTCCTAGAGGAGATCATGTAGAACTGTTATTATGTCTTCTTTAAATGTTTAGTAGAATATGTCAGTGAAACTACCTGAGCTTGAGATTTCCTTTTGTGGAAGATTTTAAACTATGGATTCAATGTATTTAATATTTATAGAACTATTCAGGTATCTATTTTATCTTGGGTGAGTTTAGATAGTTTGTGGCTTTTGAGAAATTGCTTTATTTCATCTGGATTGTAGAATTTATATGCACTGAGGTGTTCATAGTATTTCTTTTTTATCTGTCTAATGTTTGCAGAGTCTGTATCTTTTATTCCTGACATTAGTAATGTTTGTCTTCTCTCCCTTTTTTCTTTATCAGTCTTGCTAGAGTTCATAAATTTTACTGATCTTCTCAAAGAACCAGCTTTTGGTTTAATGGATTTGTTGTATTGTTTTTGTTTGTTTGTTTTCAACTTTACCAAGTTTTTACTATATCTGCATGATTTTCTTCTGTCTGCTTTCAGTTTGTTTTGCTCTTTTTTTCTTGTTTTAAGGTTGGAGCTTAGATTGAGTTGAGCCCTTTCTTATTTTCTAGTATAAGCATTTAATGCTCTAAATTTCCTTCTAAACACTGCTTTATCTGCATCCCACAATTTTGATATGTTGTATTTTTATTTATGTTTGTTCCCTCTGTTTTCTCAATCCTCTGATTCCACTTTCCTGCCTTTTAGGGAGGTTATTAAACATATTTTAGTGTTCTAAGACATTTTACGTAAGTCTCAGACAGACATTCCCAACAAACTATAGACGGTGTCCTCCAGATTCAAGACATAGCTCAAATTAATGAGAAAATTCAGGAGTTTCCTGCTTTAAGAAAAGTTATTACATCAAAAATTTTAAGTGCATTTCCAATAGAATAGAGGTGATTCTTTACATCATCAAAATATTTATTAAACAATTCTATACTGAAGCACCACCCAGTTCCCCATTTCTGATAAAGAAAAGTCTCAGCTTTGCCTTGGAGAAGGAGAATCACCTCTGTTCCATACATAATTCCTGTGATTTGTGCTATATAAACTTGTACTTCATTTTTGCTGAAGCTAGTTAGAGGTGTTACTGTGTGTGTTTTGGGGGTTTTTTTGTGGCTTTTTTTTTTTTTTTCTGTCACTTGCACTGAAAGAGTCCTGGTGACTAATACAAATTCCTCTAACAGGAAATTCCACAGTGCTTTTTTAAGTATTTTTTTAACTTTACTCCCTTCTTTATTTTCCGTGACACTGGTCAGCAAATTTCACAAAGACAAGGACTGTGACCATCTTGCTCACCATGCAATATTCTGTGACCAATACCTATTTTTGAATAAATGACAGGTCTCTGGTTTTCAGTTGGGATTTGTTTGGGTCAGGATGCAAATGGATTAATTGACCCATTTAATATAATGATGCTGGAGCACGTTTTAATGTTCGGTCTCATTGAAGAAATGACCGTAAGTGGTCTGATCCTCAAGTAATTTCCAGTATGACTTCTTTCCTTGGGCCATGGCATGCATTTACTGTGTCCCTGTAGACCACAAAAAGATTTTCCTCCCATGGACAATTTCTGACAATGTTCTTTGTGGTTTTGGAAATAGAGATTACTTACTTCAAAATTGTGTTAACATGAATTTTGTCTATTAAGATCCATACATGTGTGTTGGGCCAACTATGTATGTTGTGGGGCCCAGTGCAAAATGAAAATGTGGGGCCCCTGTCAAAAAGCAGGGGGTAAATGCCATGAAAGGTACTGAAATATAAAGCTGTTTTCTCTCTTCCACAGTCTCCCTCTTGACTTGTCATCATGTTGTTTATTTGCTATTTAATGTTGCTCTAAGTAAACTTAAATTATAATTTTAAGTTCTTAGCATGAATTTTATCATTCATCTTTATATTGTGCAATGCCAGTTTTAAATGCAAATAAAGAGCTTTTAATGTGTGTGAAGAATCACCAAAATTAAAAAATTTGGATCTATAGCTCATACATGTGTATGTATTTAATTCTTACCAGACCAATGAAAATGCTGCACAAAACTAACTTGACTGTTTTTGTTTTACTTATTCATATACTCAACTTCTACCAACATTCCCTAACTGGGGATTAGTGATGAATAAGGAAGGACTGAAAAGAAAAGAAAATATAGATTATCCTACCTTTTCCACTCTATGTCATTTTCAGCATATGTGGTTGGCTAACATAGGCTATGATAAGGTTTTTTGTTCATTCATGATTCATTCAATGCCATTTTCTTCTTTCTGCATTCAAAGCAAATTCTGGTGTGAACGGAAAGTTTGGCCTTTGGGGCTGTCAGGGCTGTTGCTTGATTTGTATGTTGTGGGTATAACATGCTTCGAGTCTTCCTGAACTCCTGTGCATCGCCAGAATTCCGTGCTCATGGGCCATCATAACACTATACGCAAATGTGCAGCAAAGGAGAGCAGACACACAAATTCACATTTTGTACAGAACTCTTCTGCTTATGTGCATGCTCCGTGGCTCCATCAGACTTCACTTACACAATACAACTTAAAATTATTAACAGCAGAACATCCCACCAAGTGTGGGGCCCTTCTGAGCATGGTCCCTGTGCCACTGCCCATGGATCACATGCCCATGCAGCCAGCCTGGCATGTACGTGGAGAAAGTAACAATAAAGTGATTCTGCACTTTTCATTTGTTTTGTTATTCTACCCACACTTGACTCCCTGGGAAATCTGTGGAATCAAGTGTGACATTTTGAGATCATTAACTACTTGACAGGGGAGGAGAGAGAAATTTAAAGCAAATGTGTCAGAAGTCATACCTGATTAAAGATCAATCCAGAACAAAGATAAAGGCACCTTAGAAATTGCAACATCAGTCAAGAGCAAGATGAGATTTGAGCCCAAATATTTTAGGGAAAGGTCAGTTATGTCAAGGAACACAGAGCTGCTCTCTCCAAAGCATATTTAAATAAAAATATTCACGTTTTTTCCACCTGCCACAAACTCTTTACACTGCCTTCTTTTAAAATGATATAGTTGATGTTTCATACCTAAGCTACGATGTTCAAACTTAAACAGCTTGGTGCCACAATGGGGTTGTTGTTCATGTGAAAAATAATGCCTCGTTGTTCTATCAACAAAAAAGTACATATTATAATGAGTTAAATGTAACATGCCCTTTACACAACATAAAAAGTATTTCTTGCTTCGTTTTTATTACTTTTTTATTTTTGAATCTTTTAAAATGCATCACACACTTACTTTCCTCCTCAACAGTATCCAATTTAGCCTTTCGTTGAAGACTAAAGATTGTCAGGTTAAACATCAATTATGATACTTCCAACTGGATTCAACACGTATTTACTCAGGGAGCACTCACAGGGAGGCATTATGCCAAGAGAAATGGCAATGCTATTCAGTGTTTATGATCCCAACTGGAGAGGAAAGGCAGATGCATAATTTCAAAATTCCTGGCAGAACACAGCAAGTTCCATTATATAAACCTAAACAAGTACCATGGGAACACGTAAGGATGGGGGAGGGAGAGTACATCATGGGAATTTGAGTGGGTCTTGAAGGATAACCTGTGATGGTAAGAAAGGGTGTGCCAAGCTATGGAAGTCACAGGTTTGAGGCAGAAATCCATGGGTGTGAAATAGAGCAGGGTGTTTCACTAGAACCACAGGTCATATATTTGGCAATATATAGAACAGTGAGAGAGAGTGGAACTAATATCTACAAACCACAGGGAGCTGTAGAAGGCTTGGTAAGGGAAGATGGCACCTGAATTACACTTTAATGCAATAATGCATTTTGAAATGTGTAGGACTGTTTGAAACTGTCGTAGTATAGAAACTGTTGTACTATTTAATGTGTTCTTTTAACTGGTTATTCTGTCACCTTTCTCTTTTGGTCTGCCAACTATCTCTTCTTAACGCTATCAAGGTATATGACTCTAGTAGCATCTACATCTAACTTTCTACTAAAATTCTGCTTCTAGTCTACTAAAAGCTTGGATACTAAATAACCAAGATTATTAGTATTATATTTAAATAAGTACACATAGGCTATGAGAAATAGACTGAAATTTACTATTTTTCTAGACTGCTTACTATTTCACTTAGTGAAAAACAAGGATTTGCCTAAGACTAAAGCACATGGGTCTAGTATCCAAAAAAGATTAAAATTTCTAAAGGAAACTTCTGGTTAAAAGTAGAATTGACTGTGACTATTTCTTCTTCCTACCCAAATCTCATTAAAATGACAGTCAAATAATTTTAAGAAACAAATTCATAGACAAGGTCAAAAAGAATGAGAGACCATTTGTCATAAATGTTTTCAACACATTTTTGGAAGGTGAGAAATGGATGGAAGAATGGTAATTACCTTGGCAGAATAAAGCAAAGGGAAAACCAAATGCTTTCAGACAAGCAAGAACAGAGCAGCTTCACTCTGCAGGAGCTCTAAATTGCTCAGTGCTTATAAGCAGTGAGTATTTCAAGAGGAAGATGAGAGCAAGGCCCACTGTGGAAAAAGACATTTGTTGAAAGTCTACCACAGCACAGCTGAGCCCATTAAGTCTCCTCTCTCATTGTGTGCATCCACACAACTCTTTACCAGCTTCCTGGAAGAAAGTTGAAGGTTTATTCTTTGGAGTAAATGTATTTGGGGAGCATGACCAGAGAAGAGCATAGATAAAGCAAAGGTGAAGTAAAAGTCTACTATGGACACCCCCCATTCCCTTCCCTATGCTCCTTCCAGAACTCTCCCCTCACCTATGCACACACACACACACACACACACACACACACACACACAAACACACACCCTGGCAGGAGATTTAGATTTCTCTCCAAATAGTACAAAGAAAAGGCCTATAGATAATGACATTTACTTCCTGATAACCCTATGATGAAGTTTGGAGAAAAGCCCCATCCGTGATTTTAGAGTACCCAATCATAGTGTCTTACTCTTGAATATAAACATACCACCAGCGATCTGCAGAGTCTCCAGCATGAATGAATGAAATCAAAAAGAAAAAAAGAGTAAATGTAGGAATTAATAAAAAATGTTAAAAATAGTATTCATGTTCTCAGATAAGAAAAGATATTGTATCATGCTGTTGTGAGTAATGAACACAGAGGAAAAAAAAAGAGCTCTTGAAAATAAAAAAATATAATTACTGAAATACTTTTAAATGTAATAGAAAGTTGACAAGGTTGAAAAAATGTCCAGAGAGAAGAGGCAAACAGCAAAAGCAAAAAGAAACTAAGGAAAACAAATTAGAGGATCAATCCAACCACCTCCAAGAGAAGTTGGAGGCAGACAGAACAGGGAGACAAACAGAGAGAGGAGAGAAAATTGTCAAAGAACTCATGCAAGAAAATTTTCCCGGAACTAAAAGAATAAATTTCCAAACTGAAAGAGTTCTCTGAGAGTCTAAGACAATAAAAGATGAAAAATTTACACCAAGGTGCATCACTGAGAAATCTCAGAACACAGTTAAAAAGAAGATCTTAAACGCTTCCAGGAAGGAAAAAAACACATTACATAGAAAAGAATACAAATCCAAAAGGCTTCTCAATAACAGTAAGTTTCCAGGGGGCCCAAAGGAGAATGAGTTTCAACCAGGGCTGCTTCCTGGGTGTGCTACCACTGACATCACATAGGGCCCCGCATTCAGAAGGGGGCCTCACACTTGGCTTTAATGGTGTGGCTGCCATTTTGAAATTCTTAATACTTTTATCTTTGAATTTGTTTTGTAAGTAAAGACCAATAGCACAGTAGTGCATGCCCTGAGCAGTCTTGGCTCATGCCCCGTCCTGCCCCCTGCCTCCTCTTATCTCCCAGGGATGGGTTCTTGGCTACCTCCTCCCCTAACGCCACCCAGAGATCACTGCTGCCCTGTGCCCGCAGTGGAAGAATTGAGGTTGGGCCAGCACATCCTACACACTTAGCTGCAAGTCAGGACTCTGATGCCTATGAAGGTCTACACTCACCCCTCAAGTATGCCAGAGCCTGAGGCAGTATAACATTAACTAGGAAATTAGACACATCATGAAAGTTTGAGAGAGACCATCCTAGAAAGGAAAAAGCTTTTTTCCTGTTCTTTGTAAAAAAGACTTTTAAGTATTTATTTTGCATTGGGCTCTACAAATTATGTACCCAGCCCTGATGTCAATGTTTTCTGCCTAAAAAGTGAGATTTTTTTTTTGTATCTCAAAAATCTCAACTATGAGTATCACTAAAGATAAAAAGAGCAGGTACTCCTAACATTGGTTGATGTATAACTACACCAGAATGGTTCCAGTGTGAACCCTGGGCCTCCCAGTTGGGGGATTCCCAGTTTCAATGAGTCTCTTCTGAGCCACACTCTGTCTACTGGATTTGAATGCTGGCATCAGGCATCCAGCCAGCAATGATTTCTGATGAAATAAAACAGTTTCAGATAGGACTAGATGTTTCCAAGGGAATCCATGAGAAGATTTCCAGGTTCGATGTTTTTGATGTATGAATAGAGGCACCAGAATTCAGAGGGATTCTGGGGTTTTGTAACCTCAAGTTAAAGCAAAACCATCTCAAGTGGGGTTTGAGACCCTGAAAATGGCTTCCAGGAACGAGGAGGATTTCCTTCTCTGGGGAATTTTAAGAGGAATATTCTGGCTCACCTGGAAGGACACAGTTTTGACCAGAGGCAACAAGGTGGGGAGACCCAGACAGACTCTCTAAGCCCCTCCCATCTTGTGAGTCTCTGATTTTCAGTTTTTTAGACGCCGAGGTCATTGCCAGCTATGAGAAGAGCCAAGTCTAGACCTTGCCCTTTGAAGTAAGCACTGCTACTTGCTTCACACAGCTCCTCATTCCCAAAGCATTTTATTCTTCCCTGACACCTTCCCCCTCACTGCCACCCCCAAATCTCAGACCTCACTGGATATGGTGACCTGACAACTGCCCTTTACATGGGGATTTGTATGGTAAATTGCCACTAAGAGGCCCCTGATCCACACCTTCCTCACCAATTTATGCTGTCGTGGCTTTCAGACAGAAACTGGGGAATTCACATGTGGCAGGCTTGGCGGTTCATCAGACAGGTTCTATTAACTTGGTCACCAGGTGGTAACCATATTATTTCATGCTTCTTGGTAACTTTTGTGCAACACAATTACCTTTGACAGTTCTTGAGTGGGACAGCAATTTTCAGCAAATGTTTTCGGTAACCAGAGGCCAGAAGGAAAGGAAATGTGAGTGCTTCAGTTAAGCTTTGAGTGTGGCTCTGACAGCTCTTCAGCACCTCTGTCGTGTTATAAATAGGAATTTGGTGGAAATTTAGTACACATGGAACTTACAAAAGGGGGTTGAGCAAGGCTGATGATGGCTTCTACTGCATTTAAGAAAGCATTTGTCCTTACGTTACCAGAAAAGGGTCCTGATCGAGACCCCAAGAGAGGGTTCTTGGATCTTGTGCAAAGAAGAATTCGAGGCAAGTACATAAAGTGAGAGCAAGTTTATTAAGAAAGTAAAGGAATAAAAGAATGGCTACTCTGTAGGCAGAGCAGCCCTTAGGGTTGCTGGTTGGCTATTTTTAGAGTTATTTCTTGATTATACATGAAACAAGGGTGGATTATTTGTGAGTTTTCTGAGAAAGAGACAGGCAATTCCTGGAACTGAGGGTTTCTCCCCTTTTTAGACCACATAGGGTAATTTTCTGACCTGCCATGGCATTTGTAAACTGTCATGGTGCTGGTGGGAGTGTAATTAGCATATAATGAGCAGTGAGGAAGACCAGATGTCACTTTCATCGCCATCTTGGTTTTGGTGAGTTTTGGCCAGCTTCTTCACCACATCATTTTCTCAGCAAAGTCTTTATGACCTGTACCTTTTGCCAACCTCCTAGCCCATCCTGTGACTTAGAATGCCTGACCTCCTGGGAATGCAGCCCAGTAGGTCTCAGTCTTATTTTACCAGCCCCTGTTCAAGATGGACTTGCTCTGGTTCAAACGCCTCTGACATACAGTATAATAAGTCCTACCATGATGAAATTCTTCTGAGCTCCAAAATACAGTAGGTTGCAAGGATTTTCTTTCAGTAGGGTTTCATGCTAAAGATGTTTTGACATCCTTCACACCAATTCCTCATTGCAAAGAATGTGACATTCACGTCTTGGACTTGCTTGAATTTACAGTGCCTTCAGCATTCCTTGAAGATATCCAAGAAAGATGCAGTCCACCCTCCAAGTATTGATTTCTAATCTCAGGAAAAAGGTAAGCAGTCATCACAGATGGGCTGTTCCAAATCTGGTCTTACAGAGTAAGCAATTGAATTGCTTCTCCACACTCCTCACCATCACCACCATCACCAATACACCTACACACAAACACACATGCACACACAAATACACACACCCATGCATGCACACATATACATGCAATAGCCACTTTCTAAGCACAAAACAAAATACCTGCAGTCTCTAATCATACATCATAGGAAAGGAAAAGAGCGATTTGCCCACCAAATCATCAGGTATTAAAGGGATTGATCACACACAATTGGTAAATCTGCTGAGTTTAGGACTGGCAGAGTTGAACACGAGGTCACATGGCCACAAATACATCCTGGAGCATATGCTGTGACTTGAATCCCATTGGCCTGGTACACAGCAAAACTTCCCTTTGACACACCCAAGAGAAGAGTCTGGACTTTGCTCCCATTTCATGAACAATGTTTCACAGGCAAGCTTTCTTTTGATCTCCAGTGACTAGACACATGATATCATCAGCTCTAAATCAAGCCACATTTTTACCCTCTGCCTGAAATGGTGAGGACAACGCCAGCTAATCTGTAACATGTTGCAGATAGCAACATCTCCTGGGACCATCATTTTTCACCTTCTTTATTTGTTTAGCAGCCACTTTGTCAATTAAAGCTGGTGATATTTTCCCCAGACTCAGAGAACAGAATTTTGATTATAAACTTTTCCTTCATATCTCATCCTTACCAAAGTTTGACATTTAGCCATTACTGATTTTGAACGAATTTTCTACATGTCTGGGGGCTTTGTTCTTGCCTTACATGTGATTTTTTTTTGTAGACACCAATAATACAAAAAGTGATCTGCATAGGATATGATACAGAATAACTCAAGTAGACATGGCCTTTCTTCCCCCAAATGAAACAAGTGACAGTATGTCAACCTTTCATAAGTGTTGAACATTCATCTTCTGCTTGGTTTAGATGATGAGAGGAGGGACACAAAAGCCAGGGATTATGTATGTAACCAAGTAGTCCCAGCTCACGCTCAATATGAAAACAGTTAGGTTGAAGTCTTTTGCTTGATTCCTTTAAAAATATTAATAGCAGTCTGGAGTCCTTTTTTCTCTTATTATAGAAACACAAAGTATGTCTGTTACACAAGCATGTCAGGAAGCACAAGCAAGCACAAAGGAGAACAAGAACAAACAACCCATAAATACTCCAATTTTTTCACCTGGCTGTCTCTACTACAGAGTCTGAAAAAGGCCAATACTATCCAGCCTCCTTGCAGCTTAGGTGGGCATATGACACATTTCTAGCTAATGAGACCTCAACAGGGAAAAACAGGAACAAACACAAAAAAACATCTGGGGAGATTCCAGATTCTCCCATCTTCCTTCCTTGATATAAGCTTCAGCTGCTGTCTTGAGACCATGAGACAGTTAGCCAGCCTAGCATGAGGAAGACAGCCAATATATTAAGGATGACAGAGTGGGCCTGCAGGCATCATTGCAACACCGAACCAATGCCAGCAACCTCCTACCTCCAGATGTTTTATCAAGTAAGACAATCACTGCCTACTTATTTCAACGACTACTGATTGGGTTTTCTGTTATATGCAGCATTCTAACTGATACTCCCAACTATCTAACAAAAACTCCATCATACCAGTATACATTATTCAAGTGTGTTTGCTTTTTTTTTTTGCTTAGATTTACCTTTTGGTTATTTTTTTATTTTTATGGATATATAATAGATGTGCATATCTGTGAGGAGTAGCTGATATTTTGACACAAGCATACAATGTGTAATTATCAAATCAGGGTAATTAGGTTAACCATCACCTTAAATATTTATCATGTTTTAGGGGTTATAAGCCTTCCAATTCCACTCTCTTAGTGATTTTGAAATATACAATAAATTATTGCGAAGTCTTTTGCTTTTGCAGAAGATCAAATACATGTCTTTTTGCTTAAGCTGAAACATTACAAATTTACCACTGAAATCAACTTCAGTAATGATTTTACTCTTATAATGATAATAATACATTATATTCTCATGGCACCTTAGCTTTCATTATCTCATTAATTGAATTCTCATTTTGGAAGTAAGAAAAATGTAGCACAGAGAGATTAAGTTGCCCAGGAAGTAGCTGGGGCTTAAATTCAAGTATTGTGACTACAAATACTTTCCTCTTTCAGTAATATTATGTGCTGAGTCTTCTTCAGTGAGTTCTAGCAAATCTGCAGACCTACAGCTTGGGGAATGAGTAAACAGGAGCTGTCAGTTCTAAAGTCAGCCTAGCTATCAACCACATTGAGAGCAAAATTCATTTCTCAAGCAGGTCACCAAGACTGAGCATAGAGTTCTTCCAGAGGTAGCACTTGAATAATCATGTCATCAAATGTCATCGTGGTAGCAGAGAATAAGCATGCTAACTTTTCCCAGTCCTCCAGAAAAAGGATACTTTTGTCTTTCCTTTTCCAATTTCTTTTACCCATTTGGGAGAGTATGCCACAAATGTGGTTTTTAAATATATGAACCGATGCTTTTATCCTAATAGTTAAGAACATGGCCTTTAGAATCACACAGAGCTGAATTCACATCTAGCTTCACCACTTACTAGGCATGACCGTTGGCAAGTTAACTTCTTGGGATTCAGCCCTCTTTTCCGTAACATGAGGGTAACGTAGTCACAATATTTCAAGGAAGTTTTGGGGACTAAATGAGAAAACGTGAGCTTGAAAAAGTGGGGCATATTTTTTATGTTCTCTGTGGTCTCTTCCAATTCTGTAACTCTGTAATAGGATTCAACAAACATTTCTTGTGGACTTGTAATGTGGCCTTATCTTGCATGATCCTCAGAGTAACCCTATGGAGTTAAACCATCCCAAACCTTAGCAACTTGAAACAACAAACTTCTATCATTTTTCAAAATTCTGCAGATGAGTTGGTTGGTTCTTCTCATCTGAGCTGGCTTGGCCAGGCTCTCTCATGCATCTGTGATGAAACGGAGGAACAGCTGTTGGCTGGCTGTTCTAGGATGGCCACAATCACACATCTGGTAGTTGGATGGCTATCAGTGCTGCAGGATGACTAGCAGGTGTTCTCCTCCTCCCGCAGGCTAGCCTGGGCTGGTGGTTCACTTTGTGGTCACAAGAGAGTGAGAAAAAGTGTGCAACACCCCTTGAAGCCTAAGTTCAGAACTGACACATGTTCATTTCTGCCACATTTGATTAGTCAAAGCAAGTCCCAGGCCAGCCCAGGTATAGCAGGCGAGGAACTAGACTCCACCCCTTGATGAGAGGAGCTGTAAAGTCATGTGCAAGCCTAGGAAGACTCCGTGGCCATTTTAGCAGTCGATTAGGCTACTCAGCCAGTTTTCTGGAGCCACACATGTGGGCTGGCCTTCCCAAGTCTTCTCCGCCCAAAAAGCCAGACAGAGTTTGTTTTTCCAGCAGGGCGCATATCGCAGGCCTGGGTGGGTTGTTTGTTTTTGTGTTTGTTTTGACTTTTAGCTATTTCCAGGATGTTTCTTTCATGGAGGAGAACGACTCAGTTCTGTCTGCCATGTGTATTAAGATGAGCTACAAGAGAGCATTGCTTTCTTGTAATGCAAGAAATGCAATGTAGTCAGAGGCTCTGAAATCTGGTGGGGACAGCGGCAGCAGAGACTGTGACAGCCTCGGGACACAGGAGGCCACCTTGGTCTTCAGTCTTAGGTGCCTGGAGCTACCAGACAGCCAAAGTTGCACAAGGCACAGGCATGACCTGCCAGGTTGCCCAGCCAGGCCAGGGATGACAGGGCACGTTCACCTCACCAGCTAATCAGAGACAATCCCCGCCTGAGGAATGAGCGGAACTCCCAGCCCTCAGATGACGCTGGGCTTGAGTTTTCTCTGCTAGCACATTTGGAGATTTCACAAGAGCCATAAAAGTTTGCAAAGGGCCTTGGAGTGCCTCATTCAATGAAATCACACCCTCCCTTCTGGACTGGGTTAAGGAGGGGTCACACACACCCGACAGGGTGCCTCCAGATGGGGGTGTGTAGAGGATGGGTCCTTATCCAGCTCCGGTCACTTCTCACCCCTTCCAAAAACCCACTGTGGGCCAGGACAAGGAGAAACAAGAGATCGTGACTGGCAGAGATATAGGAAGGAATGTCCCAAAAAGAGCAAAAAACTTGCTCTCATGTACTTTGCTGACTGAGCCTCTGGGAATGGAGCCTTCTCCTGAGGAAATACCACAACATGGCTCAGAGGCGGAAGGCTCCGAGAAGGGTCCTGGCAAGTAGGGGAAAATGTCCCTTCAACGGCCTCTCTGACCTCAGGCAGAGCCCCACTCAGTGACATTCCTGGGTGAGTGGGCAAAATGAGAAATTCCTCCTACAATTCTCTCTGCCCACAGAAGGTATTAAATGAGGTCCGGCAAGAGGCCAGGATCAGGTAAGTCTAGAGGCCAGAAACCTCAGCCAGGCCTACCCAGCACTCAGGAAGAGCAGAGGCTCAGCAGCCCCTGAGGGAGGCACAGCTTGGCTCTTGGAAAATGGCCCTACTGGGCCTCATTCTCCAGGTACTTGGTTTTTGGCTCTAGAGACAATGCTGAGTTCAGTTCTCACCCATGTGAAAGTTTTCAAATCCAAAAGCCAGGGAGACGCCTCACACCATACCCAGACAGAGGGACAAGGAATAAAACTCACCCACTTCCTTTCTATGCGTTTCTCCCTGCAGGCTGCGGTTCCACCGCTTCCAGGCGGCTGGATGGGGCCGCCCCACCCCCGCCCCGCCGCCCCCGCCCCCGCCCCCACTGTGGTTCCTGCTTTCCTCAGTAGCAAAGTGCTTCAGATGTGAAGATGGCCCACCCGTGTCCTGTGATGTGGAGCTCCCCCTCGGGACTCAGGGAATTGGGCGTCCACCTCCTCACAGCATCACACCCCTTTCTTTCACCTGCAATTCCCATTCGCCAAGCATTGGCTGCGGGTCTCCCAGCAGACGGTTGCATCCTGACTATAGAAAGAAAGACATTAGGGATCCCAACAAGTGGAATCTATTCCTGCAGAATCCAGGACTTGGGAGGATTCCCAAACCTGACTGGGCAGCCAGCCCAGTTTCCAAGGTCATCACTAGGGCCAGCAAGCCCCTCTGTGGGTCCTCCCAGCCCACCGGGCTTCTGCGCACTTCCTGTCACTCCCCACTGAGGAATGCTCTCACTGGTAGTCCCTCTGCTTGTGGATGTCCTACCTTCTCCCTTTTCTCAATTGCTCCACCCAGACCGATTCCATCGTTCCTTCATTTTTTTAGAGAGCATTCTCTTTTCTAGTATTTAATTGACTTTTTGATTGTGTGACACCAATAGGACTCTCATCCTGATATGGGGAGAAGCATGACCTCTAGACGGCCAGGAAGTACCCTTGATCTTGACCTGCAAGCTCTAGGGGACAGTCTTAGGGACGACCTCAAGATTACAGAATATCTATATTTGCGCACACACACACGCACACACACACCCTCCTGCCTGGATTGGATTCCCAAGCCCAAGTTTTCCTTCAACACAACATTTGGAATTAGACT
Source organism: Homo sapiens (assembly GCF_000001405.40). Taxonomy (NCBI): domain Eukaryota; kingdom Metazoa; phylum Chordata; class Mammalia; order Primates; family Hominidae; genus Homo; species Homo sapiens. The sequence continues at coordinate 13,344,365 of NC_000020.11, forward strand.
TTTCAGATCCTGGTAAAAGCATGCAATTAATTTAAGTAAATGGAGGCAAAGGGGAGGGAGGGTGTCTACATAATGGGATGGAAAGTTGGTAGGGAACAGGTAGGGAGAGAGACTCTTCATGGGAAAGAGAGCTAAAATCAGAGATTCTCAGGAGTTAACAGAAAGATCTGCCTGTACAGATATCTGTACCCAGGAGAGGTTTTCTGGAATGCTGTCTTTATTCTCTCAAAGATCTCCTAGCCTCATTTGATAACATCCTATCTCCTGGGAAGAAAATGTGAGATTAGCCCATGGGGTCAATATGAAGCGTGAGGCAGAAGTTCCCTGAAGCCAAGTTCCCCGGCATCCTTTGCCTTCCTCATGTTCCCCGAGGGCCTTGTATTCCCAACGTGCCTTTCCCCTTGCCCACAGTGCTCGCGCCTCTCCATCTGTGTGGGCTATGTGTTCACTCCACACTGAGCACACTCAGCGGCTGGCATGATTCATGGCCACAGCAGGCCCAGAAATTGGTCCCAGTGGTCTCCAAGGTTTCTCTGGCTTGAAGCACATCGAAGGCCCTCAGGCTCCCCGGATTCTGCTGAGCTCAGATCCCAGTAAGGAAATCCAGCCTCACACAGGCAAGCATGTCCAGTTAAACTGCTCCCTCCCCCACCTCCCCAGCCTCCTCATGCACATTTACACACATTCACTAGGCTGGATGCCTAGAAACATCAACCTGCCTGATTCTGCCTCTTAAAACTGGTGTTTATTTTCGTTCAAAAAAAATTGGAAGGACAGTGTAACCACATTGTAGGTAATGAAGAAAAGAGTTAAAAATCATCATTCTCAGTCCATCTACCCTGACCCAATTATTTTTACTTCTGTTTAGTCCTGATTTGTATGCATATTGATTTTTAAAAATAGCAGTCATCAGAACGTGGGGAATTTGTTGGCTTTTTTCTCCAAGTCAGTTGCATTTTCTGACCTGTAAGGCCTTTGGGTGCTGGAGTTCACCAATGGCTGGCTGGCAGGACCACACCCAAACGCCAAGCCCCTGGAACCAGCTCGCAAGGCAATGGAGAAGGGCAAATACTGTAGTGCCTCCATCCCTCCTGGAGCCAATCTAAGCATCCTTAACCTCCATGGGGGACTGGGGGGAAATTGAGTTGTCTCCCTGAGTTGAACACCTTTGGGTGTATCCAATGCCATGGCTCCAGCCCTGTTCCCTGGCATATCTACACTGGGGGAGGGAGGGAGGTCTAGCACACACCTTTTCCCAGCTGAGTGATGCAAGGCTGGTACCCTGTAGAACAGAGCCATCAGTGTCTCTGGAGAATGGCCCCTGGCACTGGAATCAGAGTGAGTGGAACACCAGATGCTTGTTCGCTGAGCCAACCCCATCAGTTCCACTGATTCCCCAAACCTACTGGGTTTTCCTAACTCAGCTTGAGGTTACAGGGGGGCAGCTGAGGATGGTGAGCAGGACCCAGTGGACTGACCCCACTGCTGTCCCAGCCTCCTCACATACAGTTGGTCTCTTTGGTGATAACACTTAGCTTCCTCTCAGTAGGTTAAAAAAAAAAAAAAAAAAAAAAAAAGAATGAAGAACAGGACTACTTGGCCGACATACTAGCTAAGAGAAACCTTGGAGGCAGCTGGAGGGCTACTGCCCATTTGACAGGGGCCATGCTTCCAAACACAAATATTAACCTTGGCAATCTGACTGTCTTCTGCTTCATGACTTACACAGTGCTTTTTGGGGTCATGTTTAAGTTGGGAAAGAGAGAGGTGAAGGAAAAAAGATACAAAGTCTCCTGGAACAACTGAGCTTTTGATTTCTAGAGAGTATTTAACTGGTACCAGTGTTCAAAATCCACCCTGGTTAAAGGCCACTACTTTTCTGCTTTTCTTGGGCAGAATGGATTGTGTAGATAAATCCAAGTATCTCCTCCTCCTGGGGTCCTGAGGCTGGAGATAACAAAAAATAAAAATGTCAACACCTGGATTTTTGGTAAAGATGGCAAAAGCACTCAAGTGATGACTAATCCCCATGACTTGAAACTGGGAACCTTGGGAATCAGCTTCACAAAGCAGGAAGATGTTTTTCTGCACCATAATCTTCCCCAGTTGAGCCCACAGCCAATGAGCCTGCATCTAACCCATTAGCGAAGCCAAATCCAGAAGATGGCAGAGATTCCGCCCACAGCACTATGCTAGCAGCACTGCCCTATAGGGTGTGTCAGGAGTTCAGCGCATCCAGCGATGGAAGGGGAGAGTCCTCCTGACAACTTCAAGGTTGTCGAGGACAGCAAAACTCAACATTAGTGCTGGAGGCTTTGAAACTGGCGGCCCCAGACCTCAGCAGTCATCAGGGCTTCAGAGAAGCCAGAAAAATATGTGTTGCATCTGTTAAGTCATTGTTTAGTGGTTTATGACACAGTTACCTTAGTTCCTCAAGATACATATAATTTGGGGCCCCTTTCCAGGAGGGCATTTCAATACACCATTTGAACCAATGATTCCACTTTTATTAATTTGCCTTTAGGCAATAATCAGGGCTGCCTGTGCAATCTTAACCACTTAGAAGTTTGACTGTGTTCATAAGAGTGAAACATGAATTAGCTAAATACATTATGTACCGACAAGCAATATGTAGTCATTTAAAATTATGTCCTAAATAATTTAATGTGAAAAGTGTTGATATGGTAACTGAAAAGGTGTTATGAAACAGTATGCATAGCATGATCCTGAAATGACTGCAAAACACTGTGTACAGTACGATGCTGTTTTTGTTTAAAATGCCTATATGTGTTTATACAGTCACAGAAAAGAACTCTGTGAGGGGAGTCCTTCTTTGCTTCCCACATTCCTGCCTCTACTCACAAAACAGGAGCTTCCTCCAACTCTCTGGCTTTTTCAAGTACTAAGGAGGAAGTGCCCACTGGGGAGCAGACCCTCCACTTTAGACAGAATGGCCTATTGGTCACATTAACACACAAGTAGATGGGAGTCATTGTGCCTGAAAACCTAAAACAGGAACTCCTCCTTTCCTGGGCTCTCCAACCCACTCCCTGAAGGCCATAGGTCCTTTTCCTGCCCAACCACGTCTCTTCTTTCTGGTTCTAGAGTCTCAGATTGTCTTGGGTAAGTGAAAACACTCATGCTCTCCCTGAGCCCCAGTTGCCTCAATTTGAGCAATTAGCAAAGTTTATTGGCCAGGCACGGTGGCTCACACCTGTAATCCCAGCACTTCGGGAGGCCGAGGCAGGTGGATCACTTGAGGTCAGGAGTTCGAGACCAGCCTGGCCAACAGGGTGAAACCCCGTCTCTACTAAAAATACAAAAAATTAGCTGGGTGTTTTGTGGCACTTGCCTGTAATCCCAGCTACTCGAGAGGCTGAGGCAGGAAAATCGCTTGAATCCGGGGGGCAGAGGTTTTAGTAAGCCAAGATCTCGCCATTGCACTCCAGCCTGGGCGACATAGCGAGACTTTGTCTCAAAAAAAAAAAAAAAATGGATAATTTTTATTCCATTTGCCTCAATTCCTCATAAGTGCCAGTTAGACTCCTGGAGGGGAAAAGAAATGAGTGGTAGAATTCAGTCAACAATTCAGTCACCTGAATTCAGAATGGCATAAGGCAGTGGTTTTAAGAGATATTTGCGCCCCCAGGAGACATTTGGCAATATCTAGAGGCATTTTTTGTTGTACCAACAGGATTAGGGATTGAGGAGGGTGTTGTTACCAGCATCTAGTGGGAAAAGACCAGAAAGACTACAAAATACCCTACAATGCATCATCCAACCCAAAATGTTGAGGTAATGACAATGTTGGGAAACCCTAGTTTTAAAGATCTATGCCAAAGTGTTAACAGCAGCTTGTCTTCTATTTTCTATATTTGTAATTTTTCTACAATATTTGTGTGTTGCTTTACTAAAAAGGAAAACAATAAAAGCTACTTTTACTTTTAAGACAAAGTGGCCATAGCATGTCAGAAGTTCAGATGTGGCCAAATGTTGGTGACTGTTGATAAAGAAAATAATAAACCTGGTTCTTACCAACAGCCCTTGGCACTCTTTGGAACCCCCCGTGGAATGAAAATAGTGACTAAGAGGAAGAGAGATTGGATTTGATAGAGTCTACTCATAGACATGCATTATTAAAAAAGAAACTTAGCAAGGCAACCCGTGCCTAGAGACCTAGCCTAGTGGATTTCACGTTGGCTGACTTTTTTTCTGTTCACTCAAATGGTATGAATTTTTAGCTGCTGACACCACTGTATGGGTGGTGTGGGGCATGCCAGGGAGCATCTAGTTCTGGCTCCATAGGTTTATTATGGCTGGCCAGTCCTAATTAAAAGACTCCCTTTGTCTTGTCTTCAGGACTTCCAGACATGGAACTGGGGCTTTATTTTTGGCTCTGGGCATCTATGCTGCTTCCTGTTATGTTGCCAGATTCATACGTAAGCTAAGGCAGCCCTAGAGGAATATTTCCCTCCCTTTATTCTTATTCCTTAGTACAGTTCTGGATCCACAGCCAATCAAGCGTATCATAGAAGAGCCAGCAACTCTGACGTGCAAAACGCCCATGTCCTGCCACCCCCAACATGCTGGTATTTTTGACAGTCCTCAATTAGAGCAGTACGGTTAACTTCAGCCTGTCATTTGTGTGGGTTAAGCTGTTTGAAAAATCCTTGAGGGATCAGCCAGTGGTGGGAGGATGATTTTCCTATAAACAAATGATGGAACCTCGATGTCTGGAAGATACTAGCTGTGGTTTGGTTCCTGGGGCCTTTTGAGGGGACAGAAATGTCAGCTCCCTTCTTCCTTGGCTCTCTGGGCTGTCTCACAGCTGGGACTGATGCTCTCCATTCCAGCATTGGAAGACCCTCAGGAGGCCTCCGGACCACAGAGATATCTGGTTCCAGTTTCATTTTATCATTGCTAGTGCTAAAGGTGTAACATTTATCCCCAAGTGACTATATAAAATAATTTCTTCAAGGGAGATCCTGGGTATGAAGTTCATATAAACACTTCAGAATAGCTAGAAAAGTTTATTTTGATTTTAGAATAATGTTTCACAAGGACTGAGTCACCAAAACCACTCTTCCCATAAGTCCATTTCACTGGGAGAATATTTATACAAAAATCCTTAATATTGGGGTCGTGGGAGGGAAAGTGTGCAGATAATGTAAAAGGATTTTAATTCCGAAAGAAACAAAGAAAAAAAGAAGAGGACCAGCATATCCAGTTTTGTTTTACGTGATCTGAAATTTTATCTGATCTCTCAGTAGATTGTTACCAAAATCCTGATATTAGAAAGAAGTCTCTATCCATTCACATATAACATGATAGTCTATGTAGAAATTTGCAAGAAATCTACAAAAAAGCACCAGAATTAATACATGAGTTTATCAAGGTCACGGGATACAAGATCAGCATTTAAAAATCAATCATATGTCTATACATTAGCAATCAACTACTGGAAATCAAAATTTTAAAAAATAATACGGTTTAAAAATTACATAGTCTGGACATGGTAGCTCACACCTGTAATCCTAGTACTTTCAGAGGCAAAGGCAGGAAGATCTCTTGAGCCCAGGAGTTTGAGACCTGACTGGGCAACATAGGGAGACCCTGTCTCTATAAGAAATTTAAACATTAGCCAGGTATGGTGGCATGCACCTATAGTTCCAGCTACTCAGGAGGCAGAGCCCAGGAGGCTGAGGCTGCAGTGAGCCGTAATGGTGCCTCTGCACTTCAGCCTGGGTGACAGAGCAAAGTCCTGTCTCAAAAAAACAAAACAAAAACAAAAACAAGATGTAATTATGTATACATTTTAAAATATATGCAGAATCTGTATAATAAAAACTCCAAAAACTAATGAAAGAAAGAAGATCTAAATAAACGGAGAGACATACTGCATCCATGGACTGGAAGACTCAACAATATTAAGGTGTTAATTTTCCCACAAGATGATTTAAGGATTTAACTAAATTTCAATTGCCATCCCAGTTAACAATCTTTTGTACACATAGTAACACTGACTCTGACTCTAAAATTTACGTGGAAAAGCAAAGAAACTTAAAAGAGGCGAAAAATGTTGAAAAAAATAAACTTGAAGAAATCACATTATACAATTTTAAGGCTTACTTTAAAGCAATAATAATGAGAACCATCACAATTTAAAACTTACGCTCTATGAAAAAAGAATGAAAGGCAAGCTACAGACTGAGATAAATATTTGCAAATCACATATCTGACAACTTATCATCATAATATATAAAGAATTCTCAAAAATTCAATAGTACATAAACAAAAAGACTAACCTTTAGATTTTTATTTTTATATATATATACATTTTTAGAGACAGAGTCTCACTCTGTTTGTTACCCAGAATGAGTGCAGTGGTGTGATCATAGCTCACTACAGCCTTGAACTGCTAGGCACATGAGATTCTCCTGCCTTAGCCTCCCAAGTAGCTGAGACTATAGGACTACAGGTGCATACCACCACATCCAGCTAATTTATTTTATTTTTTGTAGAGATGAGGTCTCACTATGTTACCCAGGCTGATCTTGAGCTCCTGGGCTCAAGTAATCCTTGCACCTTGGCTTCCAAAAGTGAAAAAAAAAAAAACAAAACCTAATTTTTAAATTTTTAAAACCTAAATTTTAAAAGAGTTGAACAGGCACTTCTCCAAAGAAGATATAAGGATGGCAAATAAACATATGAAAAGAAGCTAAACATCATTACCTATTAAGGAATAGGAAACTAAGTCCACAATAAGATACCACTAGACACACATTAGAATGGCTTAAAAAAATTGACAACACCAAGTTTTGACAAACATGCAGAGCTACTGGAACTCACATGCATTGCCAGTGGGGATGCAAAATAGTATAACCAGTCTGGAAAACTACTTGGAACTTTCTTAATTAATTAAACATATACTTACCATATGACCCAAAAACCCCATCCCTGGATATTTATCCTGGAGAAATGAAAGCCTCTCCTCACACAGATACCTGGTCACGAATGTTTTAGCATCTGTATTAATAAATTTCCAAAATTGGGAAAAACCAACACATCCTTCAGTGAGTGAATTTGGGATACTATTCAGCAATAAAGATGGTCCAAGAAACAAATCAGACAGATCTTAAAGGCATTCGCTGCATAAAAGAAGCCATTCTCAAATAGTTACATATTATATGATTCCATTTATACAACGTTCTTGAAAAGGTAAAACTATAGGAACTGAGAATAGATTAGTGGTTGCTTGGGGTGAGGAGAGAATTTGCCTCTAAAGGAGTAGCATTGTGGAATTTGGGGGGCTGTTGGAACTGTCTGTACTATAATTGTGGTGGTGGTGGTTACTTATATCTATACTTGTAGCATACTGTATACACATGAAAATGTCAATTTTGCTCTATATAAATTGAAATTTTTTCAAATTTAAAAGTAAGCTTTGTGTCACCATAGAACAGTGCTATTTTTAATAGAACATTTGATGATGGAAATGTTCCATATTTTGTATCCAATTCTGTAGCCACTAGTCTCATATAACTAGTAAGCACTTGAAATCTGGCAAGCATGACAGAAGAACTGAATTTTTCATTTCATTTAATTTTACTGAATTTAACTGTAAGTAGCCACATATAGCTACTAGCTACTGTATTGGGCAGCGCACCCACAGAAGACTGAAATTTCTATATTGTGTTCCAGAGCTTATCCAACTTGTGCTGATGCAGAAAACAGGAATATCTAGAATAATGAGAAATCAAAAATTCATTACATGTATGCTCATTAAGAATGCACTAACTTTTAGGCCGGGCACAGTGGCTCAAGCCTGTAATCTCAGCACTTTGGGAGGCCAAGGTGGGTGGATCACTTGAAGTCAGGAGTTCAACACCAGCCTGGACAACATGGCGAAACCCCATCTTTACAAAAAATACAAAAAGTAGCCAGGCGTGGTGGAGCACGCCTGTAATCCCAGATACTTGGGAGGCTGCGGCATAAGAATCGCTTGAACCCCAGAGGCAGAGGTAGCAGTAAGCCAAGAATGCACCACTGAACTCCAGCCTGGGTGACAGAGCAAGACTGTCTCAAAAAAAAAAAAAAAAAATGCATTAACTTTTAGATTTTATAGCAGATGTTGCTTGCAGGTTAAAGTTTTCTGAAATTTGGGCTCAAGTAAATTTATATTCCTTCAGCATATTACATTCAATGAAGTGATGGGCCTGTGTGCTGGAGCAGTCAGAAGACACACCACTAGCCTGTTGGGTGGCTTTAGAAGCCAGTCTGTGGCCTTTTTTAATTGTCATAAGTAATTCAAAAGCAAACCGTGGCATGTTGACTAGCTTGGGTCAACCATAACAAGTAATGATGCTGTCTCTCAGACATTGCAGAACCATTGAACCAGTGTTTTAAGATAATACACAAGAAAATACAAGATTCTTTACAATCCAGTCCTGATCACATCTCACCACTCTCTATATCTACAGAGGAATTTGTAATTTCTCCATCATGCACCTCTGTTGTTTGCTTTAGCTGTCAATTCCACATGGAGTTCCTTTTCTACTCTCTTTTAGTGTGATAAAAGGTGCCTTCCCTGGAGCGGGCAAGGTGGTTCACATCTGTAATCCCAGTGCTTTGGGAGGCCAAGATGGGAGGATTGCTTGAGACCAGGAGTTGAAGACCAACCTGAGCAACATAGCAAGATGCTGTATATACAAAAGAAATTAAAATAGTAGCCAGGCTTACTGGGCACCTGTAGTCCCAACTACTCAGGAGGCTGAGGCAGGAGGATCTCTTGAGCCCATGAGCTCAAGGCTGCAGTGAGCTATGATGGCACTACTATGCTCCAGCCTAAGTTACATATTAGGTGACAGAGCAAGATTTTGTCTCAAAAAAAAAAAAAAAAAAATGCCTTCCCTGTCTCTGTTGTAGTGTTCCCAAACATTTGAGTATCTCCCAGTCATTTGAGTATCTTCCTGATCTTGTGCCTTGTCTCCATCCTTCCTATACTATTACTCACCTTCATATTTTTAATTTGGCTCACCTTCATTTACTTAAGTTTGTCTTAAGCAATACTATCTGTGACATCATGGGTTTCACATGCTAGTTATATTTTTGCTAACACACATTAAGTAAATAAATGTATGTATAAGGAAAGCTATTTCGCCATTCATGCCCTAACATAAACTCACATGCCAATGTGGGACACATTCATCAGCTTGGTAACAACTTCCATAGTTAGCTGGAGTATCTACACCTCCAGGAAGTGGGTGATTTGCCCCCTACTGCTGCAGCAATAAGGCACAAGTCCTGTTCAGGGGATTGGAAGACTGTTTGTTGGGTAAATCAACTGCCCAGGCTCTGACATTTGAAAGTCCTCCCACAGAGCATCTGGCCCACTGCCTGATTCTACTGGGAAGCTCCCTTACATATAAAGCTTTCAATCCTATTTTAAGTACTTTATTATAAATAGTAACAGAGATCCAAAGACCACCAGACATTTGAGGAATGCCTCCCACATAAAAGACAGAAACTAAAATAAAGAAAGAGGAAAAAAAGTAATACGAAAGACACAGAAATCATGTGGGGTTCAGAAGAAAACTTCAAAAAGTCTCACAAAACTTAACATCCTTAGATTTAAATGAGAAGGTGATGCATCTATGAGACAAGAACAAAGTACTGTCAAAATAATGAATAAGGTAATAAGAAAAAAACTCATCAATTTTTAAAAGGATAGCTCATTTTTTTGAAATCAATAGAAAGCTTGGAAAATAAAGTAGATGAAAGCTCCCAGAAAGCAGAACAAATAAACAGCAATTTTTTAAAAGAGTGATAAGATGAGAGTCTTGGAGAAATAATCTAAAAGATTCAAGATCCAAATAATAGTTATTCCAGAGATGTAGAGAAAAGAAAGAGAAGGAAATTATCAAATAAATAACTAAAGAAAAATTCCATGTTGAAGAACATGTCTTGAGGTCAAAACAGTCCACCAAGTGACCCCCACTCTGAGACTCATTGAAGTAAAGAGAAGATCCTAAACACTACCCCACAGAAAGAGAAATGTCACTTACAAAGGATTGGAAATGAGATTTCCATTGCGCTAGTCACAGCAACCTGTGCTAGAAGACAATGAAACAATTGAGTTTTAACCAGAAATCTACAAACAGACAAATTACAAATAATTGTGAGGGGAAGAAAAAAGACATTTCCAGACACATTCCTAAACTAAAAAATAATTGCCTCTCATGTGATCTTTCTTAGGAAACCATTAAAGAACATAATCCTACAAAAGGAAAAAGTGCGCCAAGAAAAGTGAAGGATGTGGAAATCCAGAAATGGAGATCATAAGGTGATGGTGAAGAAATATTTCAGGATGTCAACTGCACAGCAGCCCTAAAGACCGCATCAAAACAGGGTGATGGAGGGATCCGGCAGGAAGGTCTTTAGAGAAAAAAAAAACGGAACAAAGAAATTATATGTTTGAGTTTTGGAAAAGCTGTCAGTGGGCACTGGCAGATCTAATGGATAAAATTAAGGTGAGACTCAAAAACTGCAGCTGAAAAACAACAACCAAATAAAACATTGTATGAGAAAGAGAATCACAGTTCCCTACTTGGTTCTAAAATAAACCATGTTTATCAATCATAATAATATGAAGAGTGACAATTTAGCTCAAGATTGTGATGTTATAATGTTAGGAAAATAGAGGGAAAGGAAAAGGGGAGCAGGCATATGGCGGTATTATGGTCTTAACACAGCAGGAAGTTAGCACACAGGGTCTAAAATGGATAAATCCAGAAAGAATATAAGCAAATAATTTTGAGCAGTAAGACTTGAGCATAGGAAGGGGTAAGGCCCTTGCTACTATGGGGCATTTATTTAATGTTTGAGTTATATCCACATATGTTATTTTAAAAAAACTTCTAAAATTAGAGAGAGAAATTATGGTTCCTGGGATATAGATCAGAGAGCAAAGATTTAGTTGCTGAGAGGACTCATAAATTGCAGCAAAACCATCTTTCTAAAGGCTCCTTTCTGCAACACTACCTCCAGATGATAGGACAATATTACACAAGGGAAGAGAGGGAAAACCGTGCCCAAGCTCCACCCTCTCCTTTGGGAAATTCTTGGCTCAGCTCGCAATACTAAATCTTTGTTCCATGGTGTTTTAGGACTGCACTCTTTGAAGGTGAGATGTTTATTTTCCATGGCTGGAAAGTTTCCTACATCCCTACCCACTACACATGACTGAGGAATTGCACAAGCCTCAGCGTGCTTTCTCCAACACTGGTATGTCAAGCCCTGGCTGCAAATTATGTGTAATGTGATGGCAAAGGTGCCTTTGGAGTGCTCCATGGACTGGCTCTGTCTTTCATTTCAGCCAGGTGAATGGCTCAACATATAGCTAGGGATCTGATGGTGGGGGAATGACAACTTAATTTAACTGCACTTAACTGCCACTGTGTAATTCTTTCTGCTCTCCCAAGCCCCTAGTCCTGTATTATCTTGGTCAAGGAGATCCCCCAGTTCTAAAGAGTCCTATGGAGATTTCATAGGACTCCTCATATTGGCCAAAAAATAGCTATGTTGATACCATGTGCAAACTTTCTTGTAACTCAACCACTGTTGCTTCCTAAATGGTGACAGCTCATTACAGTCATCTGCTATTACACTAAAATGCTGTTGGGATTTCATCTCACTCTTTATTCCCACTGGATATTTGGCAGGAGAGCTAAGGTTTTGTCTAGTAAAGCACTCTTAACAAAAAAATAGAGAAAGGACAAGAAGAGAGAAGCATCACAATTCCATATCTTGATTTGAGGATGTGCCATTGAGATGTTAATGTCTTACATAATAAGAGGTTTTATGGCTTAAATTCAAGAGTTGGGAATGCAGCAGCTGTTATCCCAGTCAGGTCTACAGTTTTCCCAGATTTCACAATGAACAATAGGAGCAATTGTTGTAAAGCACAGTCTCTTCATTCAGCATGGCAATGTCAGGGAAGTAATATACCTTTCTATACTCAGTTTTAGGGAACTGGGTTTTGGAATTGAGGAGCTGCCTGCAGCCCAGCCTCATAACTTACCTATCAAAACTAAGCCTAGCTCAACATGACTTTACTGTTTATTCCAGAAAATTCTTGCCCAGTAAGTAACTTGAATGTTGGCCCCAAGAGCTTCCAGAAAATCTATTTTTTTCAAACAATGAGCTACCAATCAGCCTCCTTTCTCAGGCCAACAGATTGCTCCATGGAGCAGACCTTCTTGCTTATCAAAGCATGAGATGCTCTAGATAACACTTAACTTTTCTGGGTCCTTCAGGCCCAAGCTATTAAATCATGAACTTTGCCCAGATGAAATCCCCACATTGAAAGGCCTGCCTTAAACCACTCAAAACCAGATCTGAAACTCTATCCATATCTGCCCTTGACCTCTTCCTTCCACAATACCACCAAGAGTCTGTCAAGGTGGTGCTCTCCCTCATGGCAGTAAGTAATAAACCCAGCTTGAATTGATCAATGGGGTATTTCTGTGGTCTTTTTGTAGAGTTGGCAGTTGACAAACACATGCAGATTTCCACCCTTGTTTGTAGAGTCACAACTGTTAGCTTGGCAGTCTTGCTCTGTTAGCCCCTTTTCCAGTTCTTTCAATTATTTACTCTTTCATTCAAATGTTTATTGAATGCTACTGTGAGCCAAGGGATATAAGAAGCTTGGTTCCTCATTCCATGGAGTAGGGAAGGAAGACACAAATCAACAAATCATATAAATATAGATGATACTAAATTGTGCTAAATGCTATAAAGGAAGAGTATGGGATGGCAGAAAAACATTTAATAGGCTTACAAAGATCTGCAAAGGATTAGACCATTGGGGCTGAGATAGGAAGAATTAGTAATCTTCAGATAAGTCTCTGAAAAGGAAGAAGGAAGACCTGTTCCAACCCAAAGGAACAACCCCCCACCCACCCCAATTAGGCTACGAATTCATTATCATGCTCTTCAATTCCTTTATCTTCAGGATCAGATAACTATTTTGTTGCTTTTGGCTACTTGTTTTTCACAACAATGAAAAAGAAAGATAAATGTGCTTCAAATAACTGAAGAGAAAAGACAACAAATACATGTTTTCTCACTGTTAAATTCCCTTTTCTCTGAGATTCTTTAAACCCCTGATAAGAAGGGGACGTGATAAAAATGGAAGATCAATTACTCTGCAAAAAAGTCTGGAGATTGCTTATAGTCTTATATACACGTAAAATACCATATAGCCCAGAATTTTCATTCCTAGGTATTTACCCAAGAGAAATGAAAATATATACCCACGCAAAGACTTACACATGAATATCTACAGCCCTGCTAATCTTAATAGCCCCAATCTGAAAACAACCCAGTGCTCAACAGTAGAATGGATTAACATTCAATGCAATACTATACAGCAAAGAAAATTAATGATCTACTACTACATGCAACAACATGGATGCATCTCACAAACACAAGAAAAAAGTCAGACTAGAATGAATATGTCAGGCCTCTGAGCCCAAGCCAAGCCATCGCATCCCCTGTGACTTGCACGTATATGCCCAGATGGCCTGAAGTAACTGAAGAATCACAAAAGAAGTGAATAGGCCCTGCCGCACCTTAACTGATGAAATTCCCCCACAAAAGAAGTGTAAATGGCCGGTCCTTGCCTTAACTGATGACATTACCTTGTGAAAGTCCTTTGCCTGGCTCATCCTGGCTCAAAAAGCACCCCCACTGAGCACCTTGCGACCCTCACTCCTGCCCGCCAGAGAACAAACCCCCTTTGACTGTAATTTTCCTTTACCTACCCAAATCCTATAAAACGGCCCCACCCTTATCTCCCTTCGCTGACTTTCTTTTCGGACTCAGCCCGCCTGCACCCAGGTGAAATAAACAGCCATGTTGCTCACACAAAGCCTGTTTGGTGGTCTCTTCACACGGACGCGCATGAAATTTGGTGCCGTGACTTGGATGGGGGGACCTCCCTTGGGAGATCAATCCCCCGTCCTCCTGCTCTTTGCTCCGTGAGAAAGATCCACCTATGACCTCAGGTCCTCAGACCGACCAGCCCAAGGAACATCTCACCAATTTTAAATCAGGTAGGCGGCCTCTTCTTACTCTCTTCTCCAACCTCTCTCACTGTCCCTCAACCACTTTCTCCTTTCCACTCTTCAATCTCTCCCTTCTCTTAATTTCAATTCCTTTCATTTTCTGGGAGAGACAAAGGACACACGTTTTATCCGTGGACACAAAACTTCGGCGCCAGTCACGGACTGGGAAGGCAGCCTTCCCTTGGTGTTTAATCATGGCAGGGATGCCTGATTATTCATCCATGTTTCAAAGGTGTCAGACCACACAGGGACGCTTACTCACTGCAGGGACGCCTCTCTGATCATTCACCCACGTTTCAAGGGTGTCAGACCACGCAGGGACGCCTGCCTTGGTCCTTCACCCTTAGCGGCAAGTCCCGCTTTTCTGGGGAAGGGGCAAGTACCCCAACCCCTTCTCTCCTTGTCTCTACCCCTTCTCTGCTTTTCTGGGAGAGGGGCAAGTACCCCTCAACCCCTTCTCTCCTTGTCTCTACCCCTTCTCTGCTTTCCTGGGGCAGGGTCAAGTACCCCTCAACCCCTTCTCCTTCACCCTTAGCGGCAAGTCCCGCTTTCCTAGGGGGCAAGAACCCCCCAATCGCTTATTTCCACACCCCAACCTCTTATCTCTGCACCCCAATCGCTTATTTCCATGCCCCAACCTCTTATCTCTGCGCCCCAGCCACATCTCCGGCACACAAGAACTTCCAAACACCTGAACCGCAGTGGCCAGGCATTCCTCCAGAACCTCCTCCCACAGGAGCTTGCTACACGTGCCGGAAATCTGGCCACTGGGCCAAGGAATGCCCGCAGGCCAGGATTCCTCCTAAGCCGCATCCCATCTGTGTGGGACCCCACTGAAAATCGGACTGTTCAACTCACCTGGCAGCCACTCCCAGAGCCCCTGGAACTCTGGCCCAAGGCTCTCTGACTCCTTCCCAGATCTTCTCGGCTTAGCAGCTGAAGACTGACACTGCCCGATGGCCTCAGAAGCCCCCTAGACCATCACGGATGCCGAGCTTCGGGTAACTCTCACAGTGGAAGGTAAGCCCGTCCCCTTCTTAATCAATACGGAGGCTACACACTCCACATTACCTTCTTTTCAAGGACCTGTTTCCCTTGCCTCCATAACTGTTGTGGGTATTGACGGCCAGGCTTCTAAACCTCTTAAAACTCCCCAACTCTGGTGCCAACTTAGACAATACTCTTTTAAGCACTCCTTTTTAGTTATCCCCACCTGCCCAGTTCCCTTATTAGGCCGAGACACTTTAACTAAATTATCTGCTTCCCTGACTATTCCTGGACTACAGCTATATCTCATTGCCGCCCTTCTTCCCAATCCAAAGCCTCCTTTGCATCCTCCTCTTCTATCCCCCACCTTAACCCACAAGTATAAGATACCTCTACTCCCTCCTTGGCGGCCGATCATGCACCCCTTACCATCTCATTAAAACCTAATCACCCTTACCCCACTCAATGCCAATATCCCATCCTGCAGCACACTTGCCTGTTATCACTCGCCTGCTACAGCACGGCCTTTTAAAGCCTATAAACTCTCCTTACAATTCCCCCATTTTACCTGTGCTAAAACCAGACAAGCCTTACAACTTAGTTCAGGATCTGCGCCTTATCGACCAAATTGTTTTGCCTATCCACCCCGTGGTGCCAAACCCATATACTCTCCTATCCTCAATACCTGCCTCTACAACCCATTATTCTGTTCTAGATCTCAAACATGCTTTCTTTACTATTCCTTTGCACCCTTAATCCCAGCCTCTCTTCGCTTTCACTTGGACTGACCCTGACACCCATCAAGCTCAGCAAATTACCTAGGCTGTACTGCCGCAAAGCTTCACAGACAGCCCCCATTACTTCAATCAAGCCCAAATTTCTTCCTCATCTGTTACCTATCTCGGCATAATTCTCATAAAAATACATGTGCTCTCCCTGCCAATCGTGTCCAACTGATCTCTCAAACCCAAGCACCTTCTACAAAACAACAACTCCTTTCCTTCCTAGGCATGGTTAGCGCGGTCAGAATTCTTACACAAGAGCCAGGACCACACCCTGTAGCCTTTCTGTCCAAACAACTTGACCTTACTGTTTAAGCCTAGCCCTCATGTCTGCGTGCAGCAGCTGCCGCTGCTTTAATACTTTCAGAGGCCCTCAAAATCACAAACTGTGCTCAACTCACTCTCTAAAGTTCTCATAACTTCCAAAATCTATTTTCTTCCTCATACCTGACGCATATACTTTCTGCTTCCCAGCTCCTTCAGCTGTACTCACTCCTTGTTGAGTCTCCCACAACTACCACTGTTCCTGGCCCAGACTTCAATCCGGCCTCCCACATTATTCCTGATACCACACCTGACCCCCATGACTGTATCTCTCTGATCCACCTGACATTCACATTTCCCCAAATTTCCTTCTTTCCTGTTCCTCACCCAGATCACGCTTGATTTATTGATGGCGGTTCCACCAGGCCTAATCGCCACACACCAGCAAAGGCAGGTTATGCTATAGTACAAGCCACTAGCCCGCCTCTTAGAACCTCTCATTTCCTTTCCATCGTGGAAATCTATCCTCAAGGAAATAACTTCTCAGTGTTCCATCTGCTATTCTACTACTCCTCAGGGATTATTCAGGCCCCCTCCCTTCCCTACACATCAAGCTCGAGGATTTGCCCCACCCAGGACTGGCAAATTAGCTTTACTCAACATGCCCTGAGTCAGATAACTAAAATACCTCTTAGTCTAGGTAGACGCTTTTCACTGGATAGGTACAGGCCTTCCCTATAGGGTCTGAGAAGGCCACCGCAGTCATTTCTTCCGTTCTGTTAGACATAATTCCTCAGTTTAGCCCTCCCACCTCAATACAGTCTGATAACACATAAGCCTTTATTAGTCAAATCAGCCGAGCAGTTTTTCAGGCTCTTAGTTTTCAGTGAAACCTTTATATCCCTTACGGTCCTCCATCTTCAAGAAAAGTAGAATGGACTAAAGGTCTTTTAAAAACACACCTCACCAAGCTCAGCCACCAACTTCAAAAGGACTGGACAATACTTTTACCACTTTCCCTTCTCAGAATTCAGGCCTGTCCTCAGGGTACAGCCCATTTAAGCTCCTGTATAGACGCCTTTTTATTAGGCCCCAGTCTCATTCCAGACACCAGACCAACTTGGACTGTGCCCCCCAAAAAAACTTGTCATCCCTACTATCTTCTGTCTAGTCATACTCCTATTCACCTTTCTCAACTACCCATACATGCCCTGCTCTTGTTTACACTGCCAGTTTACACTGTTTTTCCAAGCCATCACAGCTGATATCTCCTGGTGCTATCCCCAAACTGCCACTCTTAACTCTTGAAGTAAATAAATAATCTTTGCTGGCAGGACTATGCTGAATCTCCTTAGGCATTCTCTAATCAGATATCCTGAGTCATCCCAGTTCTTAGACCTTTTACACCTGTTTTTCTCCTTCTGTTTTTCCATTTAGTTTCTCAATTCATCCAAAACCGTATCCAGGCCATCACCAATCATTCTATACCACAAATGTTTCTTCTAACATCCCCACAATATCACCCCTTGCCACAAGACCTCCCTTCAGCTTAATCTCTCCCACTCTAGGTTCCCACGCCGCCCCTAATCCCGCTTGAAGCAGCCCTGAGAAACATCGCCCATTCTCTCTCCGCACCACCCCCCAAAAATTTTCGCCGCCCCAACACTTCAACACTATTTTGTTTTATTTTTCTTATTAATATAAGAAGGCAGGAATGTCAGGCCTCTGAGCCCAAGCCAAGCCATCGCATCCCCTGTGACTTGCACGTATATGCCCAGATGGCCTGAAGTAACTGAAGAATCACAAAAGGAGTGAATATGCCCTGCCCCATCTTAACTGATGAAATTCCACAACAAAAGAAGTGCAAATGGCCGGTCCTTGCCTTAACTGATGACATTACCTTGTGAAAGTCCTTTTCCTGGCTCATCCTGGCTCAAAAAGCTCCCCCACTGAGCACCTTGAGACCCCCACTCCTGCCCACCTGAGAACAAATCCCCTTTGACTGTAATTTTCCTTTACCTACCCAAATCCTATAAAACAGCCCCACCCTTATCTCCCTTTGCTGACTCTCTTTTCGGACTCAGCCTGCCTGCACCCAGGTGAAATAAACAGCCATGTTGCTCACACAAAGCCTGTTTGGTGGTCTCTTCACATGGACGCGCATGAAAGAATACATACTGCATGATTCTGTTTATATGAAATTCTAGAAAAAGCAAAAACATCAGTGGTTGCCTAGAATTAGCAGTAAAGGGAGATTGACTGCAAAGGGTGTGAAATAGCAAGAAATATATATATATATATATATATATATATATTTGTCTCTCCCCCTGTTTCTTGCACAGAGCTCCTAAAACCTTTATAACTTCCTGAGAGATAGTGGTAGGGTGCTAAGAGAATCTTTTGTTCTAATATTTGGTCTCTGTCCTGGTTCCTGAGACAGGGACCCTAATACCCTTGTAGATTGGGGTGATCTAGGGGAATCTTTTGTTCTAATATTTGGTCTTTGACACCAGATCCTAACATACTGCTCTTTAGATTTTTGTGAACCTGAGTGATAGGAGTAGCTGGCACAGAGCTCCCAAATCTCTCAGAATTTCCTGGGTGATAGAAGCATCTTTTGTTCCAATGAGACAACTCTTGTTGGGCTCCTACATTGGGGGTGGTCACCAGAAAGACCAAATCTTGATTACAAGCTTGGAACTTTCAGCTCCACCCACACTCTTTGGAGAAGAAAGAGAGGCTGGAAATGGACTTAATAATCAATCATGCATACATGATGAAGTCACCATAAAATTCCCCAAACTATGGGGTTCAGAAAGCTTCCAGTGGGGTCAATTTATTCATATGCTAGGAGTGTGGTGCACCCTAACTCCACAGGGACAGAAGCTCCTGTGCTCTGAAATCTTTGCCCTGTATATAGCTGTTCATCTGCAGTTTTTGTTATACCCTTTATTAATGAACCCATAAACATAAGTAAATTGCTTTCCTGAGTTCTGTGACTCTAGCAAATTAATCAAAACAAAAGAAGGAGTCATGAAAACCCCCAATGTTTTCTGGCCAATTGGTCAGAAGTCTAAGTGACAACCTACTACTGTATTTGCAATTTTCAGTTAGCATCAGAAGTCAGGGTTGGGGAAGGGTTTGTGGAACTGAGCCTTCAACCTGTGGGATCTGATCTAGCTCTAGGTCATAGTGTGAGAATTGAGTTAAATTACAGGACACCTAGTTAATGTCCAATGCAGAATTGCTTGTTAGTGGCAGTGCAGGGAGGGGGAACCCACACATATCTGATGTCAGAAGTGTTGCATTGAGTAGTGTGTGTGAGTGGAAAGAAACAGTTTTGTTTTTTCCTCAGAAATGAGCATTAAGGAATTTTGGGGGTGATGGAAATGTCTCCAGCCCATCAGAATCCATCAGAAAACTACTTACGCAATTTATCAAGAATGCCAATTTCTTCCTATGAGGAGATTTGTATATAATAACTCACAAAAAAGGTTTAATCCCAGATAAGGTTTGGGATATTTTTTCTTCCAAATATGCATGCACTAAAAAAGAGGGATTTAAAAAAAAAACAAACATTTTAAATGTTATCTGTTGTGATTATTTGTCAGTGATGGGGTTGTAAAGGAATTTTATTTTCTTCCTTGTCTGCAGATTAACATTTTTCTGGTATATGGATGTCCTGCTTTTGGAGTTCTAATAATAAGAAATAAAAGTTTTTACCTTTATTTAAATAAAGAATTCCCATTTTGCATTATAAAATGTTTGATGATGAGAAATGAAGTAAGAAGTATGAATGTGCTGGTGTGGGAGCCTGTGGAAGAGAGGACCATGTCATCTCAACTGTCCTGAGCTGAGCAGTGAATTGCGGTCAGGAAGGGGAGGTAATTCCTTAGGGAAGGAAGGGTATGGAGAGTCAGAGATTAATGGCCCCATGGCCATGGCAGGAGTGGCAGAGGCTGATTAGGTCTTGTCAGTTCTCCCCACATCTTTTGTCCCCATAGTGACCAAAGATAGACAGATAGTCAAGGTCCACCTGATATATAGCAGCCTGCCCTGTGTGCCTGCCCGTAGGCCTAAGATAGCTGGACTGAAGCTAAGTCTACATATCTGACCCCCGAGATGGGTCAACTTGGTATCTCCCCAACTTGGTATCAACTTGGTCAATAGACACCTGTGTCCATTGAAAGAAAAGAGAACTTGAAGTGACCTGGGGTAGTTTGCTGTTCGTTAGATTGCTGTACCTACTGCATTTCCCAAGGCCAAGTTAGAATGCCCCTTTCTAAGTAAGTGTATTCCTCATGTCTTGGCCCCACAGCAGGTTTCTGTGCATGTGCACTAGAACTTTCTCCTGTTTGCCACTCTGGCTACAGCCACGAATATGCTCCATTGAACTATTTTTTTTTTTCTGAGCCAAGTTGAAATGGTTGCATGCCTAAATATTATGAGTCAGCAAATGAAAAGATGGATTTTGACTGATAATTTTCAGAACAAACAGATCAATTTAACTTGAATAAATATAATTGATGATGGAAAATTCAATTGGACCAAAGAATATCTTTGTCTCTTATTTTCATATAATGTTTGGCTATAAAGTCTTCCATTGGCTCTATCTGGCCAACAACCTACACGTGATTTCAAATTCAAGTTTCTTATTTTCTTAACTTTTCATATTCAACTTGGATCTTTTATACTTATCTATTTGTTCTTTATTCATTTGATAAATATTTGTTGATTGCCTATTCTGTGCCAGGAATTATCCTAGACATTAGGAATTGAGCAATGAATGAGACAGGTTTGGTCTCTAGATTCACGGAGCATATACTCTAATGTAAAAGATGGACAATGAGCACCAAAAAAAGATAATAATTTGAGAGAGTTGTGAGTGCCATAATAAAAAGTAAAACAGGATAACAAAATAGAGAGTAACTGGAATGTACACTGAGTATATTTCAGCTTGATGTGTCATCAAAGGCCTGTCTGAGGTGGTGATAGTTGAGCATAGGCCTGAATGATTGAAAGAAAAGGAGAGCATCAGGACAGTCACAGGGAGTGACAGGTGTGAAAACTCCAATGCAGGAACAAACTTGGTGTGTTGAGGGGGCCTAGGAAAGGCCGCAGTGGCGAGGGGAGAGCTGACAAAAAAGAGAGGGGAGAGGTGGGTTTGAAGAGGCACAGGGCCCCGGGCCATGGAAGATCTTGTAGGGTATGGTAAGAAGTTTTGGGTTTATTTCGACTGAATGGAAAACCACTGGAAACAAGTAGGGAAGAGATGTGATGATTTATGTGTCTTACGAAGTCTGGCTGTGGGGAGGAGAACGGCCTGGGGATAGGAAAGGAATGGAGGCAGGGAGTCTAGTTAGAAGGCAGAAGATGAGACAACACAAGATGATAGCTTGAACTGAAATGGCAGTGGAGGGGATACTGAGGAAGACAGAGATTCAGGATATGTTTGCAGAGATGAGGAAAAGACGGGATTCAAAGACAACATTTAGATTTTTTTACCTGAGCAACTGGGCAAGCGAGAACAACATCAGCTGAAATGATGAATTCTGGGGAGAGAACAGTTTGTGGACAGAAGGGAAATAGAAGACTTGGAATATGTTTTGGACATATTTGGAAATGCTTTATTAGGTGTCACAGTAGAGATGTCAAGTAGGTAATCTGGAGTTTGGATGCAGTTCAGGCTGGACATTTGGGAGGCGTGATATTTGATAAAGCTGTAAGATTTGATAAGATCATCTGTGAAGAAAAGAGGGCTGAGAACCAAGCCCTGAGACCACCAATGTTCAGAGGTCAGGAAGAGAACAGAAACCATCAAAGGATACTGAGAAGGAGAAACCAGGGAGGGATGAGGAAACCCAGAAGAATGAAGTGTCTAAGAACCCAAGTGAAGAAAGCCTATAATTCTAAACCTTCTACTGCTTCCTACTTATTTCTAATTTCTACCTTTTATCTATAAACAATCCTGTAAGCAGTGTTTGCACTATTTCAGCCCCAAAACACACCACACCCAGACCTACTGAAAAGATATTTATTGTGATTAAGTCTTTGGACCATAGCCCAACATCTTCCTAGCCGCCTATGTGGTTGATTTTTCTTTCTCCTGCCCAGGGAAAGGTCAGCCAAACACAAGTCCCTGCATAATGTGACACAGGTCTTCTTCATTTCACCCAGCATTGACTTCCCTGTACTAAGAAAATGAGCATTTAATAGATACACTCTCTCCGACAAAAGATGGGATCCAGAGAACATTCTTATAGTTGCATACCAAAAAGCATTTCCCCTTTCCTTGCAGAGTCTACGCTTCTCTTGGTACCAAGAGGGTTTTGCCTGATTTGACTACACACACACACACACACTCTCTCTCACACACACACTAACTCAGGTCAGGAATTAAAAACTTTGAGCAGCTCAGTAATTGGTTTTAGGAGTGGAAGTACCAAATGCTACCACCATTCAGCTCTTGCTAAGCCTTGGGCATTGTAGCTAATCATTTAGTAACATTGAAAGGCTCCTTTTATGGAGGCTTCCCCATCATCAATGAACTCATTTTATATAAATATTTAGCTAGGCAATAAACTGGACAGCCTATATTACTCAACATCAGCCTCAAAAGACCCTCCCGATTTTATATACACAGCATCCTGGTAGAGTAATAGATTTTACACGCATGACATGGTTAGCGGTAAATACACCAGGGTAGGTCAAACCCTGTTTGGTTCTCTGCTTTTAACTGTCTTGGGCTTTGTGTGTTTCTTTAATCAGTTGGATGATTTAGATAAACAAAATGTATTAGTCTTTGTAAGTATAACATGCCTTGAACTTTTTCCAGATATTCATTCCCATTCATCATCATAATAGTTGCTCCCCCTTGGCCATCATTAAGATTAGAAATGTCCTTGAACCATTTAATGATATTCCACAAGACTGGACAGACTTTTCATGCCTTGATGAATTGCGATCACTCAGCTTAGACCAATGAAATTGGATATCCTTTAATGTGCCTGATGACTTTAAGGAATTTAGGAAAAGCAGTGCTGCAGCATCAAAATGGCTTCACAGAATAACCATCCATTTGGGGAAAGATGCATGGCTTATGTAAAAATTGATGAATGAGTTAGATCTAATCTAATAGCTAACTGCAATGAGTATTATTTATTTGTTCATATTGCTAAATATGGTTTTATCTACAAGTGACTATTTATTAGAGCACTCATTAGAATCCTTAATGAAGGTATGAACTGATTTTTTTAAAGCCCAAGTTAGAATGCTGAAGGAAGATTCCTCCAAGTAAATTGACTTTTAGCTGTTCACACCACAGATGATGGGAAAAAAATGAAAAACTTAAAAACAAGGCTGGGCCAGGATATGTTCCAGCTACCCCGGAGCTATGAAAAACTGGTTGCTTCTATTTTATGGGGTCCTGCATCTCCAAATGGCCACTGATTGACCCCCAAAGTTCTGCAATACATAAGCAAGCAGACTTGACAATTTGTGCCATAAATATCTTTAATATTTTCACAAATATTTTGATTCCATAGGCTCTGAAACCATTGACATTCCCATGGTGTAGAGCTGCCTATTATATTGGCATATTTAAATCATCTTTAAGTTTCTTCCTAAACCATGGTTTGAGACCACAGGATTAAGAACAGAAACTCCCAGGTGTATAGTAGAGAGCACTGTGCTTGGAGTAAAAAGATCAGCCTTCAAGTCCTGGTGTTATCATAGGCAATTTAATTAAATTACTCACAGAAGCATCAGTTTCTTCCTTTATTCATCAATTATTTATTGAGCATCTATAATTTTCTGAGCAGTATTCTTGGGATAGATGAGAGAACAAAAAAGAATACAGGGATTACACTCCACTGTTGGCCTTGTTTAATATAACTTTCTTCCTTCCAGAATTGTTGTATAGGTCAAATGAGACATCAAAAATAAAACCACTTTATAGAGAGCTTTGGGGCAATTTATACACTAACTCCTGGCAGCCATGAGTTGAGGGCTGCTCCAGGGAATGTCACTTCTGTCCTGCCACAGGCAGAGCAGTCTTCTGCATTTTGGAGCGAACCCTGAGGTAGGCACAGATGCAGATAGTGGTGGTTGCAAATTAGCTGATCCACACTGGAAACAGTAGGGACCAGGGGATATGGAAGGGAACTGTCAGTGAATGATGCAGACATGAAAAGATAAACCCATTTTTGTCATTACTCTGCTGGTTAGGTGGTGCCTGCCTGTCCCCTTCCCCAACCCCTGTACCCTAATACACACCAGCCACCTGCAGGATGGCTTGCAATGCATTAGTAACTCTTCTCATGAATCAGCTGGACCTGAAATACTCTAGACTTGAGTTTCTCACACTGGAGTTTGTGGCTCCTGTGGGTCTATGGATGTAGCCTCCAAAACCATGAATTCAATGACAATACTACAATTTTTAAAATTTTCATTTTGATGACAAACTAAAATAAATTAATACAGATATATTCAGGGTGACCTTGTGACTAGTCATAGTAGGCAATTTCATTTTCTGCATTTGTATTTGAGGTTGAAGTAATGGTGATGCCAAATGAAGATTTCAGGTAGCTGGAAAAGAAAAAAATGGAAAAATTGAGAGATGACCAATAATGTATATTTAAGGGCTAGGTGCAATGGCTCAAGCCTGTAATCCCAGCACTTTGGGAGGCTGAGGCAGGTGGATCACTTGAGGTCAGGAGTTCGAGACCAGCCTGGCCAACATGGTGGAACCTCGTCTCTATCAAAAATACAAAAATTAGCTGGGCGTGGTGGCACATGCCTATAATTCCAGCTACTCAGGAGGCTGAGGCAGAAGAATCACTTGAACCCAGGAGGTGGAGGTTGCAGTGAGCCAAGATTGCATCATTGCACTCCAGCCCATACAACAGAGCAAGACCCTGTCTCAAAAATAAATAAATAATGTATGTTTAAATGTATGTTGAACATTTTAAAAGCCTAGGTGGGCTTATCTGTATGTTCATGTTCTGAGCAGAGATGGTGCATGGGTCACATCTACGTATATATCAAACTTGGTTGGCAATAAATGTAGTAGTCAACTCTCAGTAATTTTTCATGAAATGGCTGTGTCGCAATTTCCCAGGGTGTTTATTAAGTGGATTGGCTGAGAATAAATAATGGATAGGTAGTTTAAAACAAATGTATTGTCCAAAAGGAAGTGCAATGCAAATCATAATGTTGACAACTCAGATGATGGCTATCAAGTTTAAAATCAACAGGATCAAGTCAACTAATGAAATATTGTTTCCAAATAAATGCTTCTATAATAAAAGCAGTACTTCTGCTTCTGGAAAGATGAAATGCAGGTACTTTTCCCTATTCTCTCCATTAAGTGTAGCTAAAACACTGGGCATTATATATAAAACAAATATGAGTAGAGTTGGAAAGGTGGAGAAAAGAAGGTGGACTAACTAGCGACCCTGGGACCTGAGGAACAGTACGGTGGTGAGTTCTGTTTTTATTCTGCCTCATCTATCCCATCAAATACTACTCATACTGAGAACCAGGAGGATTGCAATATGAATGACAAAAGACAATCAACAGATGTCAACACAAAGATAAGAGAATTATTTGACAAGGATTTTAAAGCAGCCATTATAAAAATTCTTCAACAAGCAAGTTTGAACATGCTTGAAACAAATGGAATATATTAAATCTCAGCAAAGAAATATAAGATACAAAGAAAAAACACATGGAAATTATAGAGTTGAAAACACAATAACCCAAATTAAATTATATAATAATTTAAGGTAAACCAATAAAAACAAAACATAATGTAACGTAATTTATTATATCATTATTAACATGAACTTTATTGGTCTGGAATCTTATATTCACTTGGAAATCTACTTAGATGTATAATTGTACAACAGCTATATACATAAAAAGCTTATACCTTTCTATGTTTGTACATTTTGAAGTGGCATTATTTTAAAATAATTTATGTTAATACTAAGGAAACTGAAAATTTTTTCTTTTATAAAGGTTTCTCATTAAAACAAACATTTTAAAATGACATTTATAATGTATTATGAGCTAAATTATGTTCCCCCAAAATCCATGTTGATGTCCTAAGCCCCGGGGCCTCAGAATGTGACTTTATTTGAAGACACAGCCTTTACAAAAAAAGTAATTAAGGTAAAATGAGGTCATTAGAGTGGACCCTAATCCATTACGACTGATGTCCTTATAAGAAGAGGAGATTAGGACAGAATTCACCAGTGTAACCATCTAGTACTAGGCTTTCTTCCTGGGAGATTTTTTGATTACTACTTTAATATCAGTACTTGTTATAGGTCTATTTAGATTTTCTATTTCTTTTTAAGTCCGTTTTGGTAGTTGCTGTTTTCTGTAAGAATTTGTCAATTTCATCTAAGTTGTCTGATTAGTTGGTATACAGTTATCCATGCCATTTCCTTTATATTCTTTTCATTTCTGTAAGGTCAAGCAGTATCATCCCCTCTTCTATTTCTGATTTTAGGCATTTGAGTCTTCTCTCTTTTTTCTTGGCCGTTCTAGCTAACAGTTTGTCAGTATTATTGATCTTTTTGACAAACCAACTTTTGGATTCATTTTCTCTATTGTTTTTCAATTCGTTATTTCATTAATTCCCTCTCTAATCCTTATTATTTCCTCTTTCTACTTGCTTTGAGCTTCGTTTGCTCTTCTTTCTCCATTGTCTTAAGGTAGAATGTTTGGTTGTTGATATGGGATCTTTCTTCTTTTTTAGCGTAGGCATTTAAACTTCCCTGTGAGCACTGCTTTCACCGCATCCCCTAAGTTTTGGTATGTTGTGTCTTTGTTTTCATTCATCTCAAAATATTTTCTTATTTTCCTCTGCTTTTATCTTAGACCTGTTGGTTATTTAGTAGTGCGCTGTTAAATTTACACATGTTCGTGAATTTCCCAAATCTTTCTGTTACTTTTAATTTTATTCTCTTGTGATCAGAGGACGTATATTGTATGATTTCAATCCTTTTAAATTTATTAAGGCTTGTTGTATAGCCTGACATACAGTCTATTCTGGTGAATGTTCCTTGTGCACTTGAGAAGAATGTTTATTCTGTTATTGGGTACAGTGTTCTATTGATGTCTATTAGGTCTGCTTTGTGTATACTGTTGTTCAAGTCTTGTATTTCCTTGTTGATCTTATGCCTCATTATTCTATCCAATATTTAAAGTGGAATATTTAAGTATCTGAATATTAATGTTGAATTGTCTGTTTTTCCCCTCGATCATGTCAGTCATGTATTTTGGGATTCTGCTGTTAGGTGCATATATGTTTATAATATTTATAAATTCCTAATGAATTGATCCTCTCATCATTACATTGTATGCCCTTTTTATCTCTAGTAATATATTTTGTTTTAAAATCTATTTTGTCTGATATTTGTTTAGCCATTACAACTTCCATGTGATTACTGTTTGCATGATACATCTTCTTCCACCTTTTTACATTCAACTAACTTATATATTTGAATATAAAGTATAACTTCTGTAGAGAGCATATAATTGCATCTTGTTTTTCAGTCTCGTCTGATACCCTCTCAGCTTTTGACTGGATTACTTAATCCACTCACATCTGTGATGATTAATTTTATGTGTCAACTTGGAGGGTGTTTTAACATGAAATTAGTATTTAAATCAGTGAACACTGAGTAAAGCAGATTGCCCTATTCTGTGGGTGCCTCGTTCAATGAATTGACAGCTTGAATGAATAAAAAGACTGGCCTCCCTAAGCAAGAGGGAATTCTCCAGCAGATCACCTTCAGACATCATTGGCACTATCGGCTTTCCTGGGTCTCTGTCTGCTGATCTTCAGACTATAACCGTATCCTGGGCTCTCCTGAGTCTCAAGTCTGCTGGCTCACACTACAGATTTTTATTTGCTAGGTTTTATATTCATTTGAGCCAAATCCTTATTTTATATATATATGTAAAACTTATTTTATAAAACTATATCATGTTATATATGTATACACATATATGTAATTTTATATATATACATATATATGTATGTATGCATATGCTACTGCTTTTTTTCTGGAGAACACTAATACAACATCTAATGTTATTATTGATATAGTTAGATTTATATTGCCATTTAATTGTTTTCTATATGTCTCATGTGTCTATTGTGTTCCTCTATTCCTATTTTACTGCTTTATTTTGCATTGTCAGTATCTCTAGTGTAACATTTTAATTTATTTAATGGTTTTTTATAACTTATTTAGTTTGTTTTCTCTCAGTGGTTGCTCTAGGGCTTACCATATACATCAGAATTCATCAGAATTTACTTCAGATTTATACTAACTTAATTCCATCAAGAAACAGAAATGTTCCTCCTGTATAGCTCTATTACCCATTCTTCCTTTCTGTGTTATCATTGTCACACATATTACATCTATAGATGCCATAAACCTAACAATACATCATTATAATGAGTACTTAATGTAATTTTTGTCTATTAAAGAGAGATAACAAAGAAGAGTAGGTATTTATTTGTAGCATTTGTTCTATGTGCTTTCTTATTTATCATTTCTAGTTCTCTTTATTTGTTCCCATGTGTTCAAGTTATCATCTAGTATCATTTCCTCACTCCAGTACAACTCTGCCTCCACCCATCTCCTTTAAGTGGTTGTTGTCAAGTACATTGCATTTCCATCTATTATAGCCCCAACAATACAATGATACATGTAGTGTTTTATACACTTGATTTATAAAATTAATTAAGACAAGAAAGAAAAATATATATACTGTCTTTCATAATTGCAATTATCAGTGCTCTTTGTTTTTTCTCTATGGACTCAATTTCCATCTGGGTTTACTTGCTTTCAGCCTAAAAATTTCCTTTAGTATTTATGATAAGGCAGGTCTGATAGCAGCAAATTCTTTCAGTTTTTTTTTTTTTTCTGGATATGTCTTGATTTTTTTCTTCATTTTTGAAAGACAGTCTTTTAAGATATAAGATTCTTGGTTGATTGTTGTTGTTTATTTCAGCACTTTGAATGTGTTGCTCCATTGCCTTCTGACAGCCATGATTTCTTATAAAAAGTCAGTTGTTCATTTTATTGGGGTTCCCTTATAAATGACATTTTTCTCTTGCTGCTTTCAAAATTTTCTCCTTGTCTTTGAATTTCAGTATTTTTTCTATGATATGTTAAACAGAAAATAATGGATCTCTCTGTTTCCTACTTGAGTTTATTGAGCTTCCTGAGTGTGTTTTCCAGCAAATTTGGGGAGCTTTCAGCTGCTATTTCTTCAAATACTTTTTCTTCTCCTTTCTCTTTCTTTTCTTCTTCTAGTACTTCCATTATGCATATTTCAGTTTATTTACGGGTGTTCCACAGTTTCTCAAGGCTCTTTTTTCTTCATTTTATTTTCTCACTGTTCTCCAGATGGTATAATCCCTATCAGTCTATCAAATTTGCTTATTCTTTATTCTGCCAGTAAAAAATCTCCTGTTGAGCCCCTTTAATAAAGTTGTTTAGTTCAGTTGTACTTCTTGACACCAGAATTACCATTTGGTTCTATTTTTATGTCTATCTCTTTATTGATATTCTATATTTGATGAGATATTGTCTTCATACTGTACTTCTTTAAGCATTTTTAAAAATTCTTTGAGCATATTTATAATGGCTACTTTAAAGTCTTTATAAAATCTGACATTTGGTCCCTCTCTGAGGAAGTTTCTGTTGACTATTTTGTGTGTGTGAGCATCCGTGTGTGTGTGAGAGAGAAACAGAGAGAAATAACAAGTCACTGTTCCTGTTTCTTTTGCTGTCTCGTAATTTTTTTTTTTTTTTTGAGACAGAGTCTTGCTCTTTCGCCCAGGCTGGAGTGCAGTGGTGCCATCTCAGCTCACTGCAAGCTCTGCCTCCCGGGGTTCACACCATTCTCCTGCCTCAGCCTCCCGAGTAACTGGGACTACAGGCGCCCGCCACCGCGCCCGGCTAATTTTTTGTATTTTTAGTAGAGATGGGGTTTCACCGTGTTAGCCAGGATTGTCTCGATCTCCTGACCTTGTGATCTGCCCGCCTCAGCCTCCCAAAGTGCTGGGATTACAGACATGAGCCACCACACCTGGCCTCTTTCGTAATTTTTTTAAAAGTGGACATTTTAGGTAACATTTTGTAGCAACTCTGGTTATTAGTTCATCTCTTCCCTTTCTGGGTCTTGTTTTTGTTGCTGTTTCTTTGCTCATTTGTTTGGTGACTTAGCTAGTCCATTTTGATAAAACCATTTCTCTCACAGTGTAAAGCCTTGGCTGTCACTCCTCACAGGATGCAGCCTTGGGCATGCACCTGCTCACCCTGGAATTAAAATAATTTTAGCAGTTTTCTTTGATTGTCTCTTTCCCCTCATATCTTCATTAAAATGTCTGTCCTTTTCATATTATACCCAGCAATTAGGCTCCACTAATTACCACTAATTGTTCTATTGTTTTGGAAAATGCCCTCTGATATAAATTACTCAGCAGTATAATTGGGCTGGGGTAGTTTTTAAAGATAGGTGTGTTGTGTTTTGTTTTGTTTTGTTTTTTACTTTAAGTTCTGGGATACATGTGCAGAATGTGCAGGTTTGTTACATAGGTATATATGTGCCATGGTGGTTTGCTGCACCCATCAACCCATCATCTACATTAGGTATTTCTCCTAATGCTATCCCTCCCCGAGCCCCCCACCCCCCAACAGGCTCTGGTATGTGATGTTCCCCTCCCTGTGTTCATGCATTCTCATTGTTCAACTCCCACCTATACATGAGAAAATGCGGTGTTTGGTTTTCTGTTCCTGTGTTAGCTTGCTGAGAATGATGATTTCCAGCTTCATCCATATCCCTGCAAAGGATATAAACTCATTCTTTTTTATGGCTGCACAGTATTCCATGGTGTATATGTGCCACATTTTCTTTATCCAGTCTATCATTGATGGGCATCTGAGTTGGTTCCAAGTCTTTGCTGTTGTGAATAGTGCTGCAATAAACATATGTGTGCATATGTCTTTATAGTAGAATAATTTATAATCCTTTGGGTATATACCCAGTAATTAGATTGCTGAGTCAAATGGTATTTCTGGTTCTAGATCCTTGAGGAATCACCACACTGTATTCCACAATGTTTGAACTAATTTACACTCCAACCAACAGTGTAAAAGCGTTCCTAATTCTCCACATTTTCTCCAGCATCTGTTGTTTCCTGACTTCTTAATGATTGCCATTCTAACTGGCATGAGACAGTATCTCATTGTGGTTTTGATTTGCATTTCTCTAGTAACTAGTGATGATGAATTTTTCATGTTTGCTGGCTGCATAAATGTCTTCTTTTAAGAAGTGTCTGTTCATATCCTTCACCCACTTTTTGATGGGGTTGTTTTTTTTTTGTAAATTTGTTTAAGTTCCTTGTAGATTCTGGATATTAGCCCTTTGTCAGATGGGTAGATTGAAAAAATTTTCTCCCATTCTGTAGGTTGCCTGTTCACTCTGATGATCATTTATTTTGCTGCGCAAAAGCTCTTTAGTTTAATTAGATCCCATTTGTCAATTTTGGCTTTTGTTGTCTTTGCTTTTGGTGTTTTCATCATGAACTCTTTGCCCATGCCTGTGTCCTGAATAGTATTGCCTAGGTTTTCTTCTAGGGTTTTTATGGTTTTAGGTCTTATGTTTAAGTGTATAATCCATCTTGAGTTAATTTTTTATAAGGTGTAAGGAAGGGGTCCAGTTTCAGTTTTCTGTATATGACCAGCCAGTTTTCCCAACACCATTTATTAAATAGGGAATCCTTTCCCCATTGCTTGTTTTTGTCAGGTTTGTCAAAGATCAGATGGTTGTAGATGTGTGGCATTATTTCTGAGGCCTCTGTTCTGTTCCATTGGTCTATATATCTGTTTTGGTACCAGTACCATGCTGTTTTGGCTACTGTAGCCTTGTAGTATAGTTTGAAGTCAGGAAGCGTGATGCCTCCAGCTTTGTTCTTTTTGCTTATGATTGTCTTGGCTATATGGGCTCTTTTTCTGGTTCCATATGAAATTTAAAATAGTTTTTTTTCTAATTCTGTGAATAAAGTCAATGGTAGCTTGATGGGGATAGCATAGAATCTATAAATTACTTTGGGCAGTATGACCATTTTCACAATTTTGATTCTTCCTATCCATGAGCATGGAATGTTTTTCCATTTGTTTGTGTCCTCTCTTATTTCCTTGAGCAGTGGCTTGTAGTTTTCCTTGAAGAGGTCCTTCACAACCCTTGTAAGTTGTATTTCTATGTATTTTATTCTCTTTGTAGCAGTTGTGAATGGGAGTTCACTCATGATTTGGCTGTTTGCTTATTATTGGTGTATAGGAATGCTTGTGATTTTTGCACATTGGTTTTGTATCCTGAGACTTTGCAGAAGTTGCTTATCAGCTTAAGGAGATTTTGGGCTGAGACAATGGGGTTTTCTAAATATACAATCATGTCATCTGCAAACAGAGATTATTTGACTTCCTCTCTTCCTATTTGAATACCCTTTATTTCTTTCTCTTGTCTGATTGCCCTGGCCAGAACTTCCAACCCTGTGTTGAAAAGGAGTGGTGAGAGCGGGCATGCTTGTCTTGTGCCAGTTTTCAGGGAATGTGTCCAGCTATTGCCCATCCAATATGATATTGGCTGTGGGTTTGCCATAAATAGCTCTTATTATTTTGAGATACATTCCATCGATACCTAGTTTATTGAGGGTTTTTAGCACGAAGGGCTGTTGAATTTTGTCAAAGGCCTTTTCTGCATCTGTTGAGACAATCATGTGGTTTTTGCCATTGGTTCTGTTTATGTGATGGATTACGTTTATTGATTTGTGTATGTTGAATCAGCCTTGCATCCCAGGAATGAACCCAACTTGATCATGGTGGATAACCTTTTTGATATGCTGCTGGATTCGGTTTGCCAGTATTTTATTGAGGATTTTTGCATCAGTGTTCATCAGGGATATTGGACTGAAATTTTCTTTTTTTGTGGTGTCTCCACCAGGTTTTGGTATCAGGATGATGCTGGCCTCATAAAATGAGTTAGGGAGGATTCCCTCTTTTTCTATTGTTTGGAATAGTTTCAGAAGGAATGGTACCAGCTCTTTTTTATATCTCTGGTAGAATTCAGCTGTGAATCCATCTGGTCCTAGGTTTTTTTTGGTTGGTAGGCTATTAATTACTGCCTCAATTTCAGAACTTGTTATTGGCCTATTCAGGGATTTGACTTCTTCCTGGTGTAGTCTTGGGAGGGTGTATATGTCCAGGAATTTATTCATTTCTTCTAGATTTGCTAGTTTATTTGCATAGAGGTGTTTATAGTATTCTCTGATGGTAGTTTGTATTTCTGTGGGATCAGTGATGATATCCCCTTTATCATTTTTTATTGTGTCTATTTGATTCTTCTCTCTTTTCTTCTTTATTATTCTGGCTAGCAGTCTATATATTTTGTTAATTTTTTCAAATAACCCGCTCCTGGATTCATTGATTTTTTTGAAGGATTTTTCGTGTCTCTATCTCCTTCAGTTCTACTCTGATCTTAGTTATTTCTTTTCTTCTGCTAACTTTGAATTTGTTTGCTGTTGCTTCTCTAGTTCTTTTAATGGTGACATTAGGGTGTCGATTTTAGATCTTTCCTGCTTTTTCCTGTGGGCATTTAGTGCTATAAATTTCCCTCTTAACACTGCTTTAACTGTGTCCCAGAGATTCTGTTACATTGTGTCTTTGTTCTTATTGGTTTCAAAGAACTTATTTATTACTGCCTTAATTTTGTTATTTACCCAGTAGTCATTCAGGAGCAGGTTGTTCAGCTTCCATGTAGTTGTGCAGTTTTGAGTGAGTTTCTTAATCCTGAGTTCTAATTTGATTGTACTGTGGTCTGAGAGACTGTTTGTTATGATTTCCATTGTTTTGCATTTGCTGAGGAGTGTTTTACTTCCAATTATGTGGTCAATTTTAAAATAAGTGTGATGTGATGTTGCGAAGATTGTCTATTCTGTTGATTTGGGGTGGAGAGTTCTATAAATGTCTATTAGGTCTGCTTGGTCCAGAGCTGAGTTCGAGTCCTGAATATCCTTGTTAATTTTCTGTCTCGTTGATCTGTCTGATATTGACAGTGGGGTGTTAAAGTCTCCCACTATTATTCTGTGGGAGTCTAAGTCTCTTTGTAGGTCTCTAGAACTTACTTTATGAATCTGGGTGCTCCTGTATTGTGTGCATATATATTTAGGATAGTTAGCTCTTCTTGTTGCATTGATCCCTTTACCATTATGTAATGCCTTTCTTTGTCTTTTTTGATCTTTGTTGGTTTAAAGTCTATTTTATCAAATACTAAGATTGCCACCCCTGCTTTATTTTTGCTTTCAGTTTGCTTGGTAAATATTCCTCCATCCCTTTATTTTGAGCCTATGTGTGTCTTTGCATGTGAGATGGGTCTCCTGAATACAGCACACTGATAGGTCTTGACTCTTTATCCAATTTGCCTCTCCGTGTCTTTTAATTGGGGCATTTAGCCCATTTACATTTAAGGTTAATATTGTTATATGTTAATTTGATCCTGTCATCATGATGATAGCTGGTTATTTTGCCCATTAGTTGATGCAGTTTCTTCATAGGGTCAATGGTCTTTACAATTTGATATGTTTTTGCAGTGGCTGGTATTGGTTTTACCTTTCCATATTTAGTGCTTGCTTCAGGAGCTCTTGTAAGGCAGGCCTGGTGGTGACAAAATCTCTCAGCATTTGCTTGTCTGTAAAGGATTTTATTTCTCTTTTGCTTATGAAGCTTAGTTTGGCTGGATATGAAATTCTGGGTTGAAAATTCTTTTCTTTAAGAATGTTGAATATTGGCCCCCATTCTCTTCTGGCTTATAGGGTTTCTGCAGAGAGATCCACTGTTAGTCTGATGGGCTTCTCTTTGTGGGTAACCCGACATTTCTCTCTGGCTACCCTTAATATTTTTTCCTTCATTTCAACCTTGGTAAATCTGACAAACATGCGTCTCGTGGTTCCTCTTCTCAAGGAGTATCTTTGTGGTGTTCTCTATATTTCCTACATTTGAATGTTGGCCTGTCTTGGTGGGTTGGGGAAGTTCTCCTGGATGATATCCTGAAGAGCGTTTTCCAACTTGGTTCCATTCTCCCTGTCACTTCCAGGTACACCAATCAAACATAGGTTTGGTCTTTTCACATAGTCTCATATTTCTTGGAGGCTTTGTTTGTTCCTTTTCATTCTTTTTTCTCTAATCTTGTCTTCACATTTTATTTAAGTTGATCTTCAAACTCTGATATCCTTTCTTCCATTTGATCGATTTGGCTGTTGACACTTGTGTATGCTTCACAAAGTTCTTGTGCTGGGTTTTTCAGCTCCATCCGGTCATTTATGTTCTTCTCTAGACTGGTTATTCTAGTTAGCACTCCTCTAATCTTTTTTCAAGGTTCTTAGCTTCCTATCATTGGGTTAGAACATGCTCCTTTAGCTTGGAGGAGTTTGTTATTACCCACCTTCTGAAGCCTATTTCTGTCAATTCATCAAACTCATTCTCCATCCAGTTTTGTTCCCTTGCTGGTAAGGAGTTGTGATCCTTGGGAGGAGAAGAGGCATTCTGGTTTTTGGAATTTTCAGCCTTTTTGTGCTGGTTTTTCCTCATCTTTGTGGATTTATCTACCTTTGGTCTTTGATGTTGGTGACCTTCACATGGAGTTTTTGTGTGGGCGTCCTTTTTGTTGGTGTTAATGCTATTCCTTTTTGTTTGTTAGTTTTCCTTCTAACAGTCAGGCCTCTCTGCTGCAGGTCTGCTGGAGTTTGCTGGAGGTCCACTCCAGACCCTGTTTGCCTGGGTATCACCAGCAGAGGCTGCAGAACAGCAAAGACTACAGCCTGTTCCTTCCTCTGGAAGCTTCGTCCCAGAGGGGCACCCGCCAGATGCCAGCTGGAGCTCTCCTGTATGAGGTGTCTGTCAACCCCTGCTTGGTGGTGTCTCCCAGTCAGGAGGCATGGAGGCCAGGGATCCACTTGAGGAGGCAGTCTGTCCCTTAGCAGAGCTCAAGCACTGTGCTGGGGGATCCACTGTTCTCTTCAGAGCTGGCAGGCAGGAACATTTAAGTCTCCTGAAGCTGCGCCCACAGCTGCCCCTTCTCCCAGGTGCTCTGTCCCAGGGAGATGGGAGTTTTATCTATAAGCCCCTGACTGGGGCTGCTGCCTTTCTTTCAGAGATGCCCTGCCCAGAGAGGAGGAATCTAGAGAGGCAGTTTGGCTACAGCAGCTTTGCAGAGCTGCGGTGGACCCTGCCCAGTTCAAACTTCCTGGTGGCTTTGTTTACACTGTGAGGGGAAAACCGCCTACTCAAGCCTCAGCAATGGCGGACGCCCCTCCCCCCTCCAAGCTCAAGCATCCCAGGTCGACTTCAGACTGCTGTGCTGGCAGTGAGAATTTCAAACCAGTGGTCTTAGCTTGCTGGGCTCCATGGGGGTGGGATCTGCCGAGCTAGACCACTTGGCTCCCTGGCTTCAGCCCCCTTTCCAGGGGAGTGAACGGTTCTGTCTCGCTGGCATTCCAGGCACCACTGGGGTGTGGAAAAAAACTCCTGCAGCTAGCTCGGTGTCTGCCCAAACAGCCGCCCAGTTTTGTGCTTGAAACTCAGGGCCCTGGTGGTATAGGCACCCAAGGGAATCTCCTGGTCTGTGGGTTGCGAAGACTGTGGGAAAAGCATAGTATCTGAGCCAGAATGCACCATCCCTCACGGCACAGGTCCTCACAGCTTCCCTTGGCTAGGGAAGGGAGTTCTCCAACCCTTTGCACTTCCCAGGTGAGGCTACGTGCCACCCTGCTTCTAACCCTTCATGGGCCATGCCCACTGTCTAACCAGTCCCAATGAGATAAGCCAGGTACCTCAGATGGAAATGCAGAAATCACTTCCCTTCTGCATTGATCTCACTGGGAGCTGCAGACTGGAGCTGTTCCTATTTGGCCATCTTGAGAAGTCTGTTAAGGATAGTTTTAAGGTTTATTCTGATGCCACAGGACTCTTCTTAGATTCCTCTTTTTTGCTTCTTTTTGGTGAACTAGCTAGGGTATTGTTTAGCTTGTTGTTCTTAGTACCAGGAGCACCCTTATGCTTGCACTTCTCCACACTCTGTTTTAGATAAATTCAGTTTCTTTGGAGAGGGCATCAGTGCTCTTTTCTTATAGTCTGCCTCTCCCTCAGCAAACTCTCTAAGCCATTATTCTGGGTGCTGGGCAGGGCGGTAGCCTCTGGTCTTCTTTGTTTGCCCATCCCAGAATGAAATATCTGATTTATACATGATTTGCGGGGCAAGGGTGATTGGGACCTCAGTTTTCTTGGGAAAAGAAACTTCTTTCCTGGGGTTGAGTCTCTGTCTATGAATAAGTGATGGCTATAGGAAAGTAGCCTCCAGCCTCTCAGATGTGCACACCAGGATCCAGCCTCTTCAACTTGGAGTTGGAGGGGATGAGAAATGCCGGCAGCCTGCTCCTCCTGGTGAGATAGAGTAGGACTTGGTTGGGAGCTGAAAGGAGAGGCAGCCCCAGTCTTCTTGGCCACACTCAACCAGAGTGAATCTTCTATCAGTATGAGCTGGAAGTTGGGGGGCAGGGAGTGGGTCATGGCCCAAATGCCACAAACTAGCTGTTTTTAGCCAGTTTCAGTAAATTTTTCTTGAAAACATATTCTTAATTTGTTTTATGCTCTTAGAACATTTTCCAAATACTCTGGGAAGTTGGAGTCTGTGGAGCTTCTCGTGCTGTCATCCCAGAAGTAGAACATCCCCAAACTATCTTCTAAAGGTTTGTTTTGGCCAGGTGCGGTGGCTCACACCTGTAATCCTAGCACTTTGGGAGGCCAAGGTGGGAGGATTGCTTAAGCCTAGGAGTTCAAGACCAAGCTGGGCAACATGGCAAGACCCTGTCTCTACAAAATATAAAAAATTATCTGGGTATCATGGTGTACACCTGTAGTCCCAGCTAGTTGGGAGGCTGATGTGGGAGGATTGCTTGAGCCTGGGAAGTTGAGGCTGTGGTGAGCCATGATCGTGCCACTGTGCTCCAGCCTGGGCAACAGAGGGAGACCTTGTCTCAAAAATTAATAAATAACTGTGTTTTGTCTTTTATATTTAGATTTACAGTTTATCTGTAATTTATTTCTGTGTATGGCATGAGATATAATTCACATTTTTTTCACTTGTGTATCTACTTGCTCCAGGAACATTTAAAAATACACTTTCCCTACTGCTTTGCTATGCCATAATTGTTGAAAATTAAGTGTCCATATATTTGTGGAAAGTGAAACGTGACAGAAAAATAAAGCAAAAAAGGAATGCAAAATGCTGGAGGGGGTGTGGTTAGGAGCTTGCTCAGGGACGACCTTGCCAAGAAGGTAACATTCCAGCAGAGCTGAAGGAGATGAGGGAAGAGCAAGCCATGTGAAGCCATCTGGAAAGTGCTTTCCAAGCAGGGGGTACAAGCATGTGCAATGCTTCTGAGATGGGAGGGTGTGTGGGCTGCTCAAAGAACAGCAAGGAGGCCAGAGAAATAGTATGGGGTCGGAGAACAAGAAGGAGCAGATCCCAGGGCCTTGTAGGAACTCTGGGACAAGGTGTACTGGAAGGTTTTGAGCAGACAGGTGCCATGATCTTACTCCTTTTGGCTGCCAGTGCACAGGTGACTGTCAGGACAAGAGTGGAAGCAGGGAGACCAGTGCAGAACCTATTGTAATAACTCAGGCAAAAGACAATCTGATTGTAGCAGTGGAGGTGGTAAGGAGCAGTTAGATTCAGCCTACACTTTAAAGGAAAGCCAACAGGATTTGTGAATGGATTGGTTGTAGAATCACAGAAGGAAAGTAAAAATTCAAGGATGTCAGGTGGTGGCCCTCAGTGAATCTAGCCTCTGCTACAAATGCCCTTAGGCTGTCCCTCCCTCTTGAATCTGGGCTGAACCAGGTGATTTAATATAAGCAATAAATGTGGCAAAAGTGATGCTGGGCCATTATGGACCTAAACCTGTAGAAGGCCTGGTAGTTTCTGCTTTTGTGCTCCTGGGAAGCTTGACCTGCCGTGTCTTTTTGGCATGTGGTGTGGAAAGATGCTGTAGAGAGGCTCTGAGCCTGCATGGAGTAAGAAGGACACTCAGCCATCCAGCATCCCAGCTCGGCCTATCTCCTAGCTCACCTTCCAGCTAAATGCAGCACACTAGTGACTAGCAGCAAGAGCAGCAGAAAAACCACTGAGTTACGTTAAGCTCAATTTACAGAATTGTGGGCAAATAAAACAGTTGTTGTTTAAGCCATTAAGGCTTGGGGTGATTTGTTATTCAGCCATAGAACATGAAACAGATGACCCCCAGAGTTTTGGCCTGAGTGCACAGAAGGATGGAGCTACCATTTACCAGGTGGGAAAGACTGCTAGTTAACAGGTTTGGGGGAAGAACCTGGGTGGAAAGATTAAAATCTTACTACTTGTACATGGAAAAGAACACATGTTTTTCTTAATATATTGGAAGATATCCTCTACCTCTTAAGCATTACTGGATTTTCCAAGGCCAGGAAAGATCATTTTAGGAGTAACTCTTTGGATCTCCATCATAATAGCGACAGTAAAGGTTAAAGGAATTGTTTTGAATTTTTTTCTTTTAGGCTTCTGACACTCTGTTGACAAAGAAATCCCCATGGCAATTCAAGGCAAAGAAACTCCCACCCACAAAGTTTTTCTGCATTGCCACTTGTGGTTTCAGGGCTTCAGTAACTGCACCATGTAAAGGAGAAACCACTGGACTCACTTTCTCTCCCAGCTTTCCACAACTGGTCATAATGAACCACCTTGGGCTTGGCTGATGGTCTTCTGGAAGCTGAGTGTGCCGCCTTGGAGGGAAGCCCTTGCCAGTTTTAGATTTAATCCTTCCTGTGGCCAAACACTTTAGAGACAGAAGCATGGGGGAAAAAAAAAAGATTGCCTGGTCAATTTGGTCAGCCTGTGAGTTTCTGATCATAGACATCTGGCTAATACCTTGCGGACTTGAATGCAAATTAAGTGCTGGGGAGGGGTGGTGTGTTCCTTAAGAATTCTTAAGGCCCCAGAACAAATATTAATGTGATATTATTAACTTTATGTTTCCAACCTCCCATTCACTCCCCCTATAGCCCACTACATTTACCTACTCATACTTCCTTCCCCTGGTTAATCGGCTTCTGGGAAAGGTTTAGAATACAACTAAATGAAAACAACTTAATCATACACATTAATCATATACACAGGGATTCATTGCTGCTGGGCTCAGCCTTGTCTTGGGCCAGCGTTCCTGGGAGGGGGAGTGGCTTCCACCTCTGTTCCCTCTGAAGGTCACCAGCCACTGCAACCTTAAGGTGAACAGGAAGACTGGGTTTTGCGGGCAGAGGGGACTCCCAGTGTTGAGCGTTTATAGGATTTATGTCAGAACAATGCTGATGTGCCTTAAACATTTAGTTTTAAGAAAAATTTTGGAAGACATTAAGAAAAATTTACCATGAAATTATGTTATGAACAGCCAGACTTGAGAGATGCCCTTTTGGAAATGGGTGTTGTGTGAGGCCCCCATGGCATGCACGTCGTGAAAATGTGTTCGTGACACAGGACACTGTTCTGGCCTCTGCAAATTTCTTAAAGTCATGAAACGCCTTTAGCTAAAGCTTCTTCCAACTACCGTTAACACCATTCCAGGTCATTTCCTTGAAGGCATCCACCAGTCCTTGATGAACTGTTGCTCTTCAGCTTCTGTTTACTTCACCATATCCTTAAAAGTGTTTGTCTGTCTCCAGCAGTCTGGTGCCTGTTAACACTGACTTAGTTGCGAACTTCACAAACTTTTGTGGCATATCCAGCCTTATCACTCGGAGAATGTCCCTCCGATGTTACGGATGAAAATGGCTGAGCAGGTGCACATGTCAGGAGGAGAGCCCCAGTGAGGGGCATAAGCAGACTGGTGAGTCCACCCTCAGTGGAGGGCCTAAAAACCCTAGTGGCCAAGAATACATGTGGAGTGGAATGTGTTTCAGTGTGAAGTCCTCCAGAAGCAACCCTGAGATAAGGAGTTGACTCCAAGT
Organism: Homo sapiens; assembly: GCF_000001405.40. NCBI lineage: Eukaryota > Metazoa > Chordata > Mammalia > Primates > Hominidae > Homo > Homo sapiens. The sequence goes on from NC_000020.11 coordinate 13,385,645, forward strand.
AGTTCATCTGGGAGATGATTTCAGTAAACACAGGTAGGAGAGTCAAGAAGGAACCAGAAAAGGGGAGAAAGCCAACACAAGGTGTACTAAGTCAACTACCAGAGGGGGAAACTGAAGCTTAATTCCTGTAGGAACTCTCTCAAAAACTGCGAAACACATATTCGGTATTATCGCACCCAAGTAGCAAAGGAGCTAGCCAATTTATACACCAACTTCTAGGGAGTGCTGATTCCCTGGCACTTGTGGCCTACAGCACCCAGAGACAGAATAGCTTTCCATCGTTCTGGAAAAAGCCTGTCAAAGTTGTGTGGGGGATACTAAAACAGTGAGGTTCAAGAGCAATGACCATGGCCTGCTCTAGGATGCCTTCCAGGCTGGCTTTCATTGGCTGAGACCTTACCACAGTGCTTGTTGTATGCACCTGCAGCCTGAAAATATGGATATCAGCTATTCTGCTCAGCATTGTCATAGATTTCCCCAGAAGTTTAAGGAACAAATATATGTACTGGGCATCATTAGGCTGAGCCAGCATTGTATGGGAAAGCAGTAAATGAGGGATTGTGTAAACCTATAGGTCTGGTCATCTTTTTGTGATATTATTAAATGAAAACTGCAGGCTATAGAACCCCATTTTGGGAGTTCAATATAGCACCATTTTTTGTGTTAAAAACACACAGAAAATTCATGCATAAAGAGTCTGTAGGGTGTTTATTAAGGGTTGCCTCTAGGGAAGTAGGATTATGAGCTAAATTTTTATTTAAAATTTACATTTTTAAAATTTTCCTTATCTATTTTCTAATTTTTTTCCTAATAAGCAGACTACCTTTGTAATAAAAATGGCCAAATCAAAAAATAAAAGATCCCACAATTATTAATACAATCTCAAGATTCAAGAATGATGCTCTTTTCTAAATCTTCTCTTCTTCATTCCCTCCCTTCCTTCTTCCCTCCTTCCATCCAGTGTCAAAACAGAGTGACCTCACTTGTCTGCAGGTCACTGGTATGCAATATTACCACTCTCAAATGTGGGAGAAAACTGGAAATTATGCAAAAAAGGCTTTTGAGTAGCCCCGAGAGATGTCCTCATACCCGTAAACCAAAATTCATTCACTTTGCTCACAGACAAGCCCCTCAGACTAGCATCTAGGACTTATTTATACATACTTTGTAAAAAAAATTCTAACATATTGATATCCAAATTCAATTTCACATTAATTTTCTGTCTTTCCAACTTCTATTTTAGGTTCAGGGGGTACGTGTGCAGGTTTGTTACATGGGTAGAATGTTGTGGGGGTTTGGTTTACGGATAATTGTATCACCCAGTTAATCAGCATAGGACCCGATAGGTGGTTTTTCAATTCTTACCTTCCTCTCACCCTCCACTCTCAAGTAGGTCTTGGTATCGATTGTTCCCTTCTTTGTGTCCGTGTGAACTCAGTGTTTAGCTCCCACTTATAATTGAGAACATGCATTATTTGATTTTCTGCTTAGGATAATGGCCTCCAGTTCCATTCATGTTGCCAGAGAGGACATGATTTCATTTTTTTTTTTTTTTTTTTTTTTTTTGAGATGGAGTTTCACTCTCGTCACCTAGGCTGGAGTGCAATGGCGTGATCTCGGCTCACTGCAACCTCCGCCTCCCTGGTTCAAGTGATTCTCTTGCCTCAGCCTCCCAATTAGTTGGGATTACAGGCACCCACCACCACGCCCAGCTTAATTTTTGTATTTTTTAGTAGAGATGGGGTTTCACCATGTTGGCCAGGCCAACTCCTGACCTCAGGTGATCCACCCACCTTGGTCTCCCAAAGTGCTGGGATTACAGGTGTGAGCCAATGTGCCTGGCTGATTTCATTCTTTTTTATGGCTGCATAGTATTCCATGGTGTATATGTACCACATTTTCTTTATCTAGTTCACTGCTGATGGGCATCTAGGTTGATTCCATGTCTTTGCTATTGTGAATAGTGCTGCAGTAAACATATGCATGCATGTGTCTTTACAGTAGAATGCCTTGTATTTCTTTAGGTATATACCTAGTAATGGGATTATTGGGTTGAATGGTAGTTCCATTTTAAGTTCTTTGAGAAATCTCCAGGCTGCTTTCCACAGTGGCTGACGTAATTTACATTGCCACCAGCAGAGTATAATTGTTTTCCTTTCTCCACATCAAGTTCACATTTAGACATGGTAATTAGAAGGTAAGAAAGGGCCTGCCATAGGCAGACATACTGAAGGCAGAGAAAACAGTGGCAGAGCTGACAAGACAGTCCAATCAGCACAGGCACTCCAGGTGCCTTAAGCAAAATCACATGCTCTTGTCTCCTCACCAAGCCCTGAAGATGCCCCTGTTTCCAAATCCAGAGCTAGGTCACAGTGACCACCTTGAGGAATCCAGACCAGGCTTAATTCTACTCAAGAGAACCAGATATCCAACACTCAGACCTTACAAAGAAATCAAATATAGGCACACAGTTAAAAGCATCCATGTTAAAAGTGGGCACCTTAAAATACAGCTTCAGATTCTTGGTGATATAAGCCAGATTAGAGAATGAGGTTATTTTCTCATCTGTTTCTACTTTTTCTACTTTAGTGTGAAATGAAGTTGATTTTACATCTCTCAGTATTCTCTGGTTCCAGTAGCTGATCTTTAATATCCGATCTGATAAGGAAGGAACTTATATTACCTGTTACATTTTTGCCTCCATGATTCTGAATATCACTATGTTCCCCCTCTTGGCTTCACAATATTCCTTAAAAAAAAAATGTAGAAAATTGAAGAGTAAAGTCTTGACAAACTGTTCTTGGAGACGCTGTGCTCTTTTATACTGGCCAGTTTTTGAACTCTTAATAAAAGGGGTCCTTAACAAGCTCAAATGTTTAAATATAAATGGAAAAAGGGCAAAAGGAGATGAAAGAAGTGGCATTCCTGGTGAAACTGGTCAGACGATTTTCAGACTCCAAAGTGTCCTGATAGTTTTATGTGATCCAATCCAGTTCCTGAAAAATCTCTGCCAACAGGTAACAGGTCTTCAAAAGCTTTTGAAGCCAAAGGCTCCCCACCAGCCAGCCCATCTCTCACTAAGTTCTCAGCCTCATTAAGAATGAGAAACAGATACCACGGCACCAACCTGTCTATGAGAGCACAGCAAGACAAATGTAATTGCCTGTACCAGGAATACAAATCAGCAACTCTCAAATTATTCATATTTACACCCACTATATTTTGGTTGTCTTTCCTTTATAATTTGGCCATACATTGATGTCAAGTGTATAATTTTATCTGGGATTTATCAGTTACCGCCCAGAGCCATGATTACATGGTGCAGGGCACTTCCTCCCCCTGAGCAAGTCTATCTTTAGTATCTTCTTGATAACCACTTCTTACATAAAAAAAAAAGAAAAAATCAAAAGGAAAATCTTGGTTTTCTTATGTGGCTCCAGAATCCCTGAATATAACACTTAGAAGTAATTTATCAACTGAAACTATCGAGCTTTTAGCTGCCACTACAATTTTTCAAAGCAAAGTGTTCTTATTCTTTCTCTTTGTTATTTTTATCAAATTGCAAGAGAAATTTTAGGGACTTCCATATTGAGCATTCAATCATGTACTAAGTTCAACTTGCATCTTGCCAGTGTCTTCTTTAACTGCGTAACACTGGCCTTGGAACAATCAGAACAACAGCAAGATGGATAATGGTATGATTTCTGGGAGAACATTTTATAAACAAAATAAATAATAGCTCTCTAACCAAGGATTCAAAAGATAATTTATTAGTCTGAGAAGAGGAGTCACATACTATACCCAGTAATACGCTTCTTTTATTTTTGTGCCTTTATCTTAAAAATATATTTAAACAAAAACAAAGATAATATTGAATTTTCCCATAAACTTTGCTTTCTTATTTACAGTGTTATATTGTAAATAACTTTCCATTATACACAAATTAAGGACTGTGCATTACTGTATGTTCTCTTTACATATTCTTTCATAATATAGTCCATACAGCTCGAAGCTATGCAATATTTAAGCTTAGAAAAGCTTGATGAAATAAGTACAAACTGTATCAATCAGACTATTATTTAAAAAGGTTCTGACATTAATTCTCTGCTAGATTGTTTCACTGAAACCATTCTTTGTTAAAGAAAAATGCCCCATATAAGGGATGAGAACAACAGTTTAAGTTACCACAGGATCCACTTAAACTGGTTAACAAATAAAAACACTTTATTACTTATTACTGTTATTAAATGGAGCACTACCACTGTCAAGTCATTTAAACAAGTAGATTTACTCTTCAGTTCTGACATATCACATCAGCGACAGTTGGTACCTCTTTACGAAATAAAAAATGTTTCCTGCAACTTTAGGTTTTACTTGTAAACAGTTAAAGCACACATTTTGTAAAGATGATTTAACCATTCCTGGTCACACAATGAGGAGTTTCTATTTCATCCACGGAGAAGCAAACACACATACTCCACACATACACATATGTGCGCACATACGCGCACACACTCACACACAGTCCCGCTCACCCACCAAAGGCCCGCGTGTCACTAAGCGCTAACTACAGCAGCACTTGTGTCTCGAGCAGTGCACGAGGTTGCAATAGGAATTATAAAACAAGAAAGATAAAACAACCAACTTCAGTTAAAAACCCCCAAAAGCTCAGGTTCTGAAATGCCTCTGAGACGCTTCACACTCAGCCTGAAGGGTCAGTTCACTGGGCTCTCCAGGCGGCACACCCCACCTTCGATTGCCACAGACTGTCCTGCCACCGCACCAGGAGGAAGTCTTGAAATGTGAGTCTGCAGAGAGAGAGAGACAGCAGAGCATCAGAGGGGTCAGCGGTGTCCCTTGCCACACCCCTACCCGTGTCCAAAAAAGGTGGAGGAAACACCAGAGCATTAGGCCTTCATTTTGCTTCTGAGCATCCACAGACTGTACCACTGGTAAACTTTAGTTACTGAAAGATCGTTTGTTCAAATCGCTCAGGAAATATTTACTGAGCATCTGCTACATGCCAAGCACAGCACTAGCAACTTGAGATACAGAGGTGACCAAGTTAGCCAAGACCCCTGACCGCACAGAATGTATAGTTTAATTATATTCACAAGAGTAGCAGTTTTAATGCCAGCTCTATTGAGTATAGTCATTATGTGAAAACTAGTAATTTGTATATGTTTTGTCTTCTAAACAGAGTAACTAAGGATACTTAATTCATGTTTATATCCCAAATTTATTCCTTAAAGAATTTCAGTAGCTTACAAAAACTCAGATAATTCAATAGCCTAAAGTAGGAGAGGAAATGAGAAGAAAAATAAGAGCTTACAAAATAAGGTAAAGACGGAAGTGGGGCCAACGAAGAAATCTAAGCTGAGGAGTTTGGTACCCGTGCCAGAGGCAAGCCTGCTGCCCTGTCTCTCAGTTTCCTAGCAGCAGAGATCAGGTAGGTGGTTCATGTAGCATAAAGATCACAGCAAACCCACTGCTTGGATGAGAACAATTGTTCCTGGCACTGAGACCAAGGAGCCATTTCTCCTATAGTCTTTGTAAAGAGGGCACTGTGTTTAGTGACTGAGTGAAGACATCAGCTATACAACAGGGAGTTTTGTAGGGCTGAGTGTTACAACATCACTCAGAGGAGGCTGGGGCTGGAGGCTCCGGTAGAAGACAGTAAGCACTTCACTCTGTTTCATGAGGGGTCAGGATGAGGTCAGCCAAGAATTCCTCTTTTTGGTGATCTGGCTTAATCCAAGGATAGATAAATGTCTGGAATTTCTAAGAAGAAAGAGGGGCTGCATAAACTTCACGCAATCCTCTCTACTTGTTCTCTAAACGAGCTTTTCCTAAGTACTGAAACATGGTGAGTCTCATCAGAAGACAAGAACCTTGGTCTGAAAAAGTGTGAGCCAAGATGTGTTTGAAGCTTCCTGTGGAGATCTCAATGGGGCATCAAATCATATAAACAGTGGGAGCCGTTTAAGAAAATGTTTTATATGAGCTTATCTCCAGAGTTCTTTTTGAAAGAAGTGAGCTTAGGCCGGGCGTGGTGGCTCACGCTTGTAATCCCAGCACTTTGGGAGGCCGAGGCGGGCAGATCACGAGGTCAGGAGATAGAGACCATCCTGGCCAACATGGTGAAACCCTGTCTCTACTAAAAATGCAAAAAAATTAGCCAGGCGTGGTGGCAGGCGCCTGTAGTCCCAGCTACTTGGGAGGCTGAGGCAGGAGAATGGCATGAACCTGGGAGGTGGAGCTTGAAGTGAGCCGAGATCACGCCACTGCACTCGAGCCTGGGCGACAGAGCGAGACTCCGTCTCAAAAAAAAAAAAAAAAAGAAAGAAAGAAGTGAGCTTAAATTTCTCTTTAGCCTAAAAACAGACCACTTTCTGCAACAAACTTGGATGTCAGCATAAAAAATGCAATAAACTGTTTTACACTGAGCAAGTGTCCAAGGACTGTGTAGACTCTAGAGTATCCTACAAGCAGAAGAACTTAACAAAGTACCTTTACAATATTTAAATAGCAATGCATTTTTATTGGAATTTGGAACTAATGGGAAATAACACATTAAAATGATACATGAAAAAGCAGCAGACATCTATTTTGGGTCATCTCCCTCCACTCCTTGCTACATGCCCTGCTCATACATCTCTCTGTGATACCATGTCTCTGGCTTTTTCTCAAGGGAAGCCTTGACCAGGCACCCAACTCAACTTAGAAGTTCTTCTTTTAGCTCCTATAGCACCCATATGAGCATTTCTCATCCAGTCTTGGTTTTGAATCTTTAGGTTTCTGTAATTGAAAGTCGGTTTTGGGCAGAAGCTTTGTTACATACATCTCAGTTTCCCTGTACCTGACCATGTGTTTCACACAGAAGCATACTACTCCGGAAATGCTGAGTGGGTAAATGACTGAAATAGACCATTCTAGGGCTATGTTTATGTAAACATGCAGAATCTTAAGGCACCCTGCTCCTGCCATTCAAGAGACAGCCGCATCTTCTCATGCAGTGCTAGCCACATCCCTGGTGAAGGTGAAGGCCAAAGTAAAAAGATTTGGCAGTATCGGGCGCTGGTCACCAGGGCTGCTTTTAACTCTGGTAAAGCAGATGTTCTCACCATCAGTGACCCCTTCCTTGACCTCAACTACATAGTCTACATGTTCCCATATGATTCCACCCATGGCAAATCCCATGGCACCATCAAGGCTGAGAATGGGAAGCTTGTCATCAATGGAAATCCCATCAGCATCTTTCAGGAGTGAGATCCCACCAAAATCAAATGGGGCCATGCTGGTGCTGAGTACATTATGGAGCCCACCAGTATCTTCACGACCATGGAGAAGGCTGGAGCTCACTTGCAGCAGGGAGCCAAAAGGGTCATCATCTCTGCTGCCTCTGCTGAGGCCCCCATGTTTATATAGGCATGAACCATGAGAAGTATGACAACAGTCTCAAGATCGTCAGCAATGCCTCCTGTACCACCAACTGCTTAGCACCCCTGGCCAAAGCCATCTATGACAACTTTGGTATCATGGAAGGATTCATGACCACAGTCCACGCTATCACTGCCACCCAGAAGACTGTGGATGGCCCCTCCGGGAAACTGTGGCATGAGGGCTGTGTGGCTCTCCAGAACATCATCCCTGCATCTACTGGCACTGCCAAGGCTGTGGGCAAGGTCATCCCCGAGCTGAACAGGAAGCTCAATGGCATGGCCTTCCATGTCCCCATTGCCAATGTGTCAGTTATGGACCTGACCTACCGTCTGGAGAAACCTGCCAAATATGATGATATCAAGAAGGTGGTGAAGCAGGTGTCAGAGGGCCCCCTCAAGGGCATCCTGGACTACACTGAGCACCAGATTGTCTCCTCCAACAGTGATACCCACTCTTCCATCTTCCATGCTGGGGCTGGCAATGCCCTCAACAACCACCTTGTCAAGCTCATTTCCTGGTGTGACAACGAATTTGGCTACAGCAATATGGTGGTGGACCTCATGGCCCACATGGCCTCCAAGGAATAAGACCCCTGGACCACCAGCCCCAGCGACAGCATGAAAGGAAGAGAGAGGCCCTCAGCTGCTGGGAGTCCCTGCCCACACTCAGTCCCCTACCACACTGAGAATCTCCCCTCCTCACAATGTCCATGCAGACACCCTGAAGAGGGAGGGGCCTAGGGAGCCCCACCCTGTTGTATACCATGAATAAAGTCCCCTGCGCTCAGCCAAAAAAAAAAAGGTGTGGGGGGGAAAAGAATTTTAAGTGTTTTAACTGATATGACCAATCTGTTTGGCTGAAAAGTGAATCATACTAGTTTGCCATAGTAAAGATTAATCTTAGATTTTTTTGGACGGGCGTGGTGGCTCACGCCTGTAATCCTAGCACTTTGGGAGGCTGAGGCAGGCGGATCCCCCGAGGTCAGGAGTTCGAGACCAGCCTGGCCAACAGGGCGAAACCCCACCTCTACTAAAAATACAAAAAAAATTAGCTGGGTGTGGTGGTGCATGCCTGTAATCCCAGCTACTCCGGAGGCTGAGGCAGGAGAATCGCTTGAACCCAGGAGGCAGAGGTTGCAGTGAGCCAACCTCTCACTGCACTCCACTGCACTCCAGTGCAGTGAGCCAACCTCGTGCCACTGCACTACAGCACTCCCTCTCAAAAAAAAAAAAAAAAAAAAAGGCCTGGTGCGGTAGCTCACGCCTGTAATCCCAGCACTTTGGGAGGCCAAGGCGGGCGGATCACGAGGTCAGGAGTTTGAGACCATCCTGGCTAACATGGTGAAACCCCGTCTCTACTAAAAATACAAAAAAAATTAGCCGGACGTGGTGGCAGGCACCTGTAGTCCCAGCTATTCGGGAGGCTGAGGCTGGAGAATGGTGTGAACCCTGGAGGCGGAGCTTGCAGTAAGCCAAGATCGCGCCACTGCATTCCAGCCTGGGCGACAGAGCGAGACTCTATCTCAAAAAAAAAAGAAACTTTGTTTTTTTTTTAAAGTATAGACTAACTAAAATTTTCCACTTTCCAGTTGATGGCACTGTTAGAATAGAGATGGAGCTTTAGATTCTCAGATGCAAACAGCTCCACACCAATGGGATCCACTGGCCGTGTAGTTATAATTTGCCGCTTTCTTGCTAATTCCCTAAGAAGCACAGACAGATTCTTGAGGTTAACACCCCTTGAAAAACTATCAACTTATAAATTAAACTGACTGTTCAAAGCCAATATTAGGGCTATATCTTTTTATAAAACCAAATACAATGGATTAACAAATTTAGCTCGAAGATTTTAAAATAAGAAAATTAAGAGAAAAGTAATATAGAAAGTATATAATTGCCTGATAACCTAATCACAATCTAAGTAGTAGCTAAAATTTCCTGTCATTCATACTCAATGTTAAGATCTTCCAAGACCACCTTAGAAACTGCTCTTGTATGGTTTCTAGGAAAACTGCACACAACTTAATTTTAAAAGTCCTCTTCCAGAGAGAGATCATTGGAGGCATGAGCAACTTAAACAGCAGTCAAATGGGGGCCCTTGAGTCTTGTCCATTTGTTGTATAGTGCTGCATTAATAACATTCTGACAAATCCAGCACAAGGAGGAACATGAAAAACACTAGGGTAAAGTTGTTTGCATGGGCATTTTCCTTCCTGGAAAGCAGGACTCTAGCCTCCTGAGACAAGTGTGTTCAGCTCAATTTTATGTTACCACGTGCTTTTGAAGAAACAGATATCTGTTTCCACCACTTTCCCTTCTCCTGTTAATTCTTACTTATTTTTCAAATTGCTGAGTCATAGAAAACATCTAATTTTTCATGCACTAACAATGTCACATGAACTTTAATATAATCTGGAATACTGTGTATAGTTTATAGAATAAAAATCCATTTAACAACAAGTTAAGCTTCTCTTCTGTATTTATCACTACTTGGGCAATGTAAATATGGTATATGGTACTGTGAGACTGTATTGTGAACTGGGTAGTACCTTACATCCTTGCATTGTGAATTCTTGCCTGACATGATAATAGTCACCCTCAGCTTTCTTTTTTTTTTTTTTTTCTTTTTTCTTGAGACGCAGTCTCACTCTGTCACCCAGGCTGGAGTGCAGTGGCGCGATCTCAGCTCACTGCAACCTCCACCCACCAGGTTCAAGAGATTCTCCTGCCTCAGTCTCCTGGGTAGCTGGGACTATAGGCGCGTGCCACTACACCTGGCTAATTTTTTTTTTTTTTAGTAGAGATGGGGTTTCACCATGTTAGCCAGGATGGTCTCGATCTCCTGACCTCATGATCCGCCTGCCTTGGCCTCCCAAAGTGCTGATTACAGGCATGAGCCACTGCGCCCGGCCACCCTCAGCTGTCTTTTAGTGCCACAAACGTGATACACCTTAAATGACTAAGTCCAGAGAGAAAGGCAAGAGAAGGGCTGGGGAAGTGTGTCTGGTTGGTTTTTATTGCCTTGTTTCTATTGTGGGCTTTTACATTTTTTTCTCTCTTAATGAGTTGACTCAGGAGACACTGCCACCCACCCCTATCCTTTTCCCAGAAGTTCCCTACCCATCGCTTTTTAAGAGCTGTCTTTCAAAAAGACACAATTTGTGAATAACTATATTCTAAGCATTCTTTGTGTGCAGCATTAAACCTTGGAATGTAGTTAACTGCTCTAAAAATAGAGTTTGGTCGTCAGACTTCATCCTGAAAGCAGATGTACTCAACTAGCTGACAGTTTCACATGAACCTTCTTAATATAGTCTAGAATAATGTGTATATTTTATAGAATAAAAATCCATTAACTATGGGTGAAAAGATCTGGGTGCCCACTTACTAAGCCTGTGTGATATTGGACAACGGAAAATGAAGACTGGGTTAGATGGTCTCTAGAGCATCCTTTCAGAGTTTGGACAATCTCTGATGCTGACTTCATTTAGCTTGTGTATACATTGTTAATGAATCAAAAAAAAGTATTTACTTCTATTTTCTCATTGTCTTAAATTAAAAGTATTAAATAGGCCAGAGCAATTTGAAGATACAATTCCCGAGTTCAGCCAACCAATCAGAAATATCAACAGAATGAGAAAGGAATGCCATATGTTATTTATCTTACTGTGTGTCGCTCATACCTCATTCTCCACGTTGAAAACAAGGATGCCAGATGAAACACAAAGATGACATTCGGGTAAATTTCATTGTTAGCACTGAAACAGGGATATATACAGGGCAAAAAGTTCTATTGTTCTCACATACAAATATCATGTCTAAGGAGCCTTAAAATAAGATTAAAATGCTGTCTGATGAGAACAGCATATTCTTCCAGCCTACAGGCCACTTTGGTTCTTACTATCACCAGGCTCACTGACACCACACTTCAGTCAGAGGCAACATCAGACAAGAGTTCCCTCCTATTTTTAGGTTAAAAGCCCAGTGAAGATACTCACATAAACATGGCAAGCCCCACAGTAACTATTATTTCACCACTCACATGGAGAATTATCATGAATATTCCCTCTTGCTACAGGTGATAAAAGTGCTCCATTATTTAACAAATATTTATTCTGCAAGTTATTATGGGGGAACAGAAGAATGAAACATGGATCTCGCTCTAAGTGCAATTATGTCTTTGCAGGATGCAGAAACTAGTTCTTTGTGAAATCTTAACAATAAGTCCCTATATTTGCATAATGCTTTAGTTTCCATAGCACTTTTGCATCAATGAGATCCCTCAAAATACCATGTCAGACAGAAAGATGTATACTATACCTATTTTTTTCAGATGAAAAAAAAAATGAGACAGAATGATAATGTGGTTTGCTTATGGTCAGAGAGGAAGTGGAAAAATTGAGATGTGAATGAAAGCCTCTGAACTCCAAATTTAGGGCTATCTTGACTCCCCCTGAAGACTTACCATGAAGGAGGATTCTAAATCTGGCTCTGTTAAGAGACATGCCTTTAACTGCAGGAGGTTTTCAGGGTGAATCAGAGCTTGCTCAGGAAAGCTACTGGAACAAATCTTACCAACAAATTTCAAGATGATTCTGGGACTCAGAGAAATCGGTTTGAGCCTCAACTCTGCTGTTGATAGATTGGATAGTTTCTGGATCGGGAAATCACTGGCTCTCTGGGTTTCAATGTCTTTTTCGGTAAAAGTGAAAAACTTCAACTCAATTATATTCAGAGTTCTTTCTGATTTTGACATTCTACGGAGTTTTACTACTGAGGGTTTCCCTTCAGGTCTGTAAGGGGAGGCTATGGGTCACCATTTCCTTGGTCAAGACAGCCCAAGGGAACTGTCTTTTCCTCTTCATAGGGAACCTGGCCTCAACATCCTGATGATTTGTACTAGGTGAAACCCAAAATGTCATTTATGGTCTTCTGGTTGGTAAGCTGCCAGATAACATGAATCTTACTATAGTTTGAAAAGAGCATCTTCTATTTGAAAAGAAATGAAAGGCTAACACTTAAACTATCATTAAGAATGAGGCTACTCTCCATTTGTGTAATGGACAATTTCCTGAGAATCTCAGTTAATCTGTCAGTGAGGAATTTTGGAGGGGAAAAATACAAACCACCAACAACTGATTTGAAGAAAGTTCTCTTTGTCAAAATCTTGTGCTTCCTGACTTACTGATCCGACCCATGCCCCCAAAGAACTGTTAAGGCACGGAGACCCAGAAAGCAGCATTTCTCAAGCTGACTTCTGCTGGGTCCTGGCAGGTGCTCTCTCTTTAAAAAAAAAAAAGCGGGGGGCAGTGCGGGAGCATGGGCAAAAGCTGCAAGTGTATTGCTCCACCTTGTTCTACCCTTCTTAGAGCCAGACAGGCACATGAGCACAGAAAGGTTCAGACATCCTGCATTCAAAAGACCTGTGTGACTCTGTCAAAGTTAGTTCATCCCAAATGTCAAGGAATGCCTTCCTTTAATACTAGCTGTACCTGGAACTACTACAAAAAATATGCTGAAACTTTCCTTTTATTTTACTCCAAAACGTAACCTCACTTTCCTTTGCTGATTCTTCCTCATCTCCCCAGCAACTAAATGTTGGAATGTCCAAAGACTCAACAGTTAGACTACTTTTCTTCCACTCATTTTAAAGAAAAATGTCTATGAAGTGTTTTGGATATAAAGTGAAGCAGCTGGTTGCACTGGAAATTGAGGTAAGAATAATAACTCCATAGATCAACCTCCTCCTCCAGTCGCCACTCCATTTCTTTACTTCCATTTACAGCAAAGTTATTTGAAAGAGTTCTCTACACCTATTACCTCAAATTCTTTCCTTCCATTTTCTCTTTAAGCCCTCTATAATCAGCTTTTTGCTTTCACCTCTCCACCAAAACCCCTCTTTATCAAAATAAGAAATGACTTCCAATGCCAAATCCAATAGCCTGTCCTCAAATCTAATTTCACAAGGCCCAGCAGCAGCATCTGATAAAGTTGATCACCTGCTTCTCCTTGAAACACCCTTTTCCCTTGTTTTTTAGGACACCACTCTCACCTGGTTCTCCTCTGACCTCTATGATTATAACTTTTCAGTCTCCCTGGTTGCTTCCCCAACTTATAAGTACAAAATTTCCCCAGGAATCTTTTCTCCTGTCTGTGTTCACCTCCTTGGTGATCTCATCCAAATGTTTTTTAAAAAAATGTTTATATGCTGAGATTCCCTAATATGTATCTCCATCTTAGTCCTTTCTCCTAAACTCCAGACACACATATCCAGCTACCTTTTGGGCCTCCCCATTTGATGCCTAACAGGCATCTTGAAATTAACATGTCCAGAACTGAGTTTCTGCTACTTCCCCTCAAGTCTTTTCCCCCAACTTCACCTTCTTCCTCACCCTAGTAAATGGCAATTCTATTCTTCTGTTTAGGCCAAAATCTTAAGAGTCATCATTGCCTTTTCTATTTCCCTCATATCTCTATCCAACCCAACAGCAAATCCCATTGGCTCTATCTTAAAATACACACAGAAGCCAACTACTTCTCACCACCTGTGTGGATAATGCTCTAGTCCAAGTCATTATTATCACTCACCTCTATGGCAACAACCTTCCACCCGGCCTCCCTTTCAGCAGCTGGAGTCACCTCTTAAGATGTAAGTCAGTTCATATCATTCCACTGCTCATTACTCCCCAGTGGCTCCCATTTCAGGGGAAAAGCCCAAATACTGACCATGGATAAAAAACTATGTAATCTATCTGACCTTCCATTGCCTACTCTGACCCACTAAGACCGGCCTTCTCACTGTCCCTCCAACACACCAGGCACACTCCTACTTGAGAGTGTTTGCACCTGCTATTCCCTATGCCTGGAATGTTCTTGCCTTGCTCCCATAAATCCTCCAAGACTTTACTCGAATGACACCTTTGAAGTGAAACCTACCTAACGCTGGAATCCCTGTACCTCCTAACCCCTTCCCTAGCTTCACATCTCTTTTTAGCACTTATCACAAACATAGTATAGGCCTTACTTATCTTGTTCGTTATTTCCCCCACCAGTATGTAAGTCCTCAAGTACAGGGATTCTTGTCGCTTGGTTCACTATGATGTCCCCAGAAAAGTACCTCAATATAGAAGGCACTCAATGGTATTTAATAAATAATTCATTCAAAAAATGAGATACTGTGTTTTATCAAACTTTTACTCCTAAGTAAACTGAGGTTTTTTAATAGCTGAAATCTCAAGCCAAGTAATAAGGCTTCCGTCTTAGTCAGTCATTATTAGCTACTGTAATAACCCTAACTCTTAACTGTTCAAAATTTTACCATGATATTCACAAAAGCCATCAATGGAAGAAATCAAAGAATTATTGGGGTTCTAATCTGTTTTAGGAAGCACATTTAAAATAACATTAATTTTCTATTTCAAATGAAGAAAGATCTATTTCCAAGTACTCTGAGCATCTCCTACTAGTGAATTGTTAATATAACCCTCATCCTAAATTAAGTTTCATTTTATCGCTTCAACATTGCAGCAGACAGTGCAGTCCAAACATGTACAGTACAGTGATGACAGCTCAAGAGCATAAAAGCAAACTGTCAGTACCTACCACTTACTGCATCCAGAAGTATTTGAAAGAAATGTAAATAGAGAGAACAGCGCAACCATAGCCAAATGTCTCAATTAGTGAATACTAAAATGTTAAGTTTTCACAAATTTTCAGTATTGCTTTACTTACAGAACATAAAAGTCATACATTGTAACTATCACAAACAAATTCTAATCCTTAGGATTAAACAGAACAAGCACTCCAAGATGAAGACTTTTAAAAAAACATAAACTATATTATTTGGATGAATCATACTGGAATAAAAATGTATTCTAACAGATAGACTTGATTAGGGTTCAAAATCTACAACACGGGTTAGTCTCAAATGCCTGTGAAGCAGGTCAGGTGTAGGACTGTGGAAGTGAAGCGCCCAGGCTTCACCAAACAGGGCGGCTACCACCTGGCTCTAACCAATCACTGCCACATAGGAAGTGGGTCCCAGTGTTGCCAAATCATCTGCTCTTATAGGAGAAAACAATCCAGAACTTAAAAATCATATTTTAACATAAAATTTTAAATGTTTAAATCTGTGTAAAATTTTTCCATATAATTTGTATTTTATATATATTTAATTTTTTTCAAAGCTGCTATGATGAATACAGCTTTTGATCTTAAATCTGGAGATTACTGGGAAGAAAGGACAGTGGGAACAAAATGTTATATCTACGCACCATCCTAACTCAAAGTTCTACCCTAAAGCTCAACATGCAGTCACTCATTAAAGAGCTGTCCACCAAATGCCTACTATGTGTTGGGCCCTGTGTTGTCATTAGTACCTGCACATATAAGATATACCTAGTAGATTCCACATCTGTAACTCACCCATTTAATAAAATAATGTAATAAAAGTTGTTACATCATAAAATCAATGGGGGATTCTCAATATTTATAATCATAGAAACCAATATCTTTTCTCAAGTTAGTAAGTTAACATGAAATAACAATGACATGACCAAGATTATAGTTTTTGTCTTGAGACTGAAAAAACAAGAGAAAATTCCTTTCATCATTTGGCTACTGCTTCCCAACCAAAAAACAAAAACACCATAGATAATCATTACTCATTTCCTGTTCATAATAAAGTCAATCATTTTTAAGTACATTTGTCTCATTTACATGTCATGGTTATATGTCCTGTGAGCAAACAGCAGGCATGAGTCTGGCTGGGAAGATACATATTTATCTAAAATGTTGGGTACTAGAAGGTAACAAGGTGATATTCTAAGTTAGGTTCACATCTGTGACTGATAACTACATACGTATGTGGAGATAGAGAAATTAATGTTTTCATTACTTTTCATGTTGCTAAAATAAAGAAGTTCATCCACTTCATTTCTACTAACATGGAGGGTCTACAAGTCAAGTAATAGATTAAAATAGACATTTATCTTTGCAAAGATCTTACCCTACACCATGATTAAAATGAGAATAATTTGAATACATATTATTCGCACCTCTGGGAAGACTTATACTCTTAACAACACAGTAAATTCCCTCTTTGTTTTTCTATTTATTGCTTTGGAGCAATGTTGAATGAATCATTTGGAAGAAATTAATGATGTAAGACTAATTAGGCAAAAATAAAATTACCAACGACTGTTAGAAATTAACTTGAGGCTGAGGAAACTGTTTTTCATACATTCAATCTTCTGCAGTCTTTTCCTGTTTGTGCAAATGACTTTCTAAATAGACCCAATGGGATCATCCTGGCAGCCCTAAGAGCATGAAAAAGAAACACAAGTTTCTACATTTCAAATTCTGGGCAAACTTAAAAGGTACAAGTAAAATCAGTGATTAGCCACTTTTCCTGTGGTTTATAAGTGCACTTGCCAAACTTGGCTGTCTCGGATGTTTTCTTAGTATATAGGTTTATTGGTGGCGCCTCAACTACCATCCCGAGGCAGTTGGCTTCCCGCCAGGGATCAGATGCCTTTAGTTGTTGGATAATATAAGAACTAGATTATCAAAAGCAGTTAAAATTTGGTTAAGACTAAGGCCAATTTGTATCTAGGTGTTTCCTGTCAAATCTAAAATATGGTCCAATAAATCTATTTAGCTGGATACATCCATTCAATGACTAAATGCCATTGGCCACTATTGTGAAATGGAAGTCTCTTTTAAGGGATTCATGGTCAATACATCCTGTAGGTGTTCCACTGCCCAGTGCTCAGTGGAATACAAGAAGATTGCCTGTAATCAAGGTTCACACAAGAGAAATTTAACACAGCTAGTAAGGAATATTCTCCCTTCTTCTTTCAAAAGGAAAATTACCTGGATGGGTGAGCTTAAAAGAAATGCTGAAGGCACACCTTAGGTTTGATTTAAAAACCTAAGTTGTGGCGCTGTCAAAGTGGTAGACCTCTATCAGATAGTTTTTAGAAAGAGCTCCTTTGCCACCATTTTGGCTTGAATTGCAGGGTTCAGGGAGGAGTGTCTTTTCTTGTAGCTTCCAACAATTTTTTTTTCCTGTTCTGGGAACTCTGAATTCACTTACCAGCTGGCTTATTAACTTATTAACATTAACTTATTAACTTATTAACATTAACTTGCAAGTTAGAGTTGCATTTTGTCAAAATGTAATAACCATTACCATTTCCACCAAAGGAGCACGGTGAAAATTCAGGTGGCATCACTCTTGTCATAGTCAATATAAATGCCACCTTTGGGAGCATAACTGCAGTGTAAATGGGGCCTGTGGAGCTGTGGTGTGATGGTCCTGAGAAATTCCCTGCAACTTCCACCATCACCTCCTTCCTCCACCACTACTGCTGCCACCACCACCCATCATAACAAATGCAGCATCTATTACATGCACTTCATTTTTATTATTCAACTAATTTTCAGAATTCTATCAAAGCATCAATAGATGAGGAAACTAAGGATCAAAGTTGTAACTTGCCCCGGCTTATAAAGCAGGGACTCCAGGATTGAAATCCAAGTCTGACTAATTCTAAAGCCCATGCTGTCAATCATTACATGCCTCTTTAAAGACAATCTTACCTGGGGAACATAGCAAGACCCTGTCTTGACAAGAAATAAAATAAAAATTAGCCAGGTGAGGTGTGCCCCTGCAGTCCTAGTTACTAGGGAGGCTGAGGCTGGAGGATCTCTTGAACCCAGGAATTTGAGGTTACAGTGAGCCATAATCGGGTCACTGCACTCCAGCCTGGATGACAGAGCAAGAGCCTATCTCGTAAAAAACAAAAACAAAAACCCAGATAGTCTAGCTAATATCATTTTTAAGACTTTCAAAAAACAGAGGTATGATTTTACACACAATAAAGTGCATAGATGTTCAGTAAAGGGTTTGATGATTTTTAATGATTTGTATCCCCATGAAACCAAATCCTAAGGAGAATATTTTCCACACAGGACATTTCTATTACTGCCCCCAAATTCCCTCATGCCCTTTTCCTGAAGCAATCACTTTCTGATTTCTATCACCATAGCTTAGTTGGGCCAGTTATTAAACTTCATATAAATAGAATAATTCACTTAGTACTCTTTCATGTCTGGCTTTGTTCACTCAACATAACTTTGTGAACAAAGTTAAAGTTATGTAGGAAAATTATTTAGCTTTGTGAGGGTTTACCCTTGGCCCAAGAAGATCTTATTAAAGTTTTATAAAAAGGCCAGGTGTGCAGTGGCTCACACTTGTAATCTCAGTGCTTTGGGAGGCCGAGGCGGGAGTATTGCTTGAGGCCAACAGTTTGAGATTACGCCAGCCTGGGCAACATAGCAAGACCTCATCTCTACAAAACATTTAAAAATTAGCCAGGCCTGGTGGTGTACCTATAGTCTTAGCTACTTGGGGAGCTGATGCAAGAGGATCGTTTGAGCCCAGGAATTTGAGGTTACAGTGAGCTATGATTGTGCCACTGCACTCCAAGTGGGTGATACAGTGAGATCCTGTCTCTAAAGTAAGTAAGTAAATAAATAAATTGCATTATTTAGGTAAATAGGATGATTTTATGAGGTTTTCAGACATTAAAGCTGACAAAAGTTAATAGTCATCACATCAAGATTTACATACATAATCACATTCAAAATGATTAAGAATAAAAGAAAAATATCTCAAATAAATTGCAATTTCTAGTCAAACACCTATTTCTATATCAATTTTGATTTCTTAATTTATCTTTCATTTACATTTTTTTCTGAATCTCTGTTCAGAAATAATCCTTTGTTACACATAAAAAATATTTTTAGCACAAATAATCCTTTGTGTTATTGCCCTAGTCTTAATACCACAAAGCCACCTGTTTTACCTTGGTTATATTTTTATCTTTAAGAGCCAGATACACTTATTTAGTCAGTTATACCCCAATAACCTTGTGAATAAAAAATTTGAGAATTAAAAACAAATAAGGGTGTTCTTATTTCACCAATCCTCACCTAATTTTAGAAAAATCACTTCCCTAAAGCAGCAACTTCGCCTGAAAAATTCTTTATATCCCTAAACAGACTGAAAGAAAAGTGAGATTATGAGAAACCTATGACAGTTTACTAGATATTGTGTGCTTTTAGTAGTTTAACACTGGTAATACTTGAAGGCCAAGAGTAAATAGGATAACATTTTAAAATGTATACTTAATTAAAGTTTAAAGTACGTAAGCAGTTAGGTAAGCTTGTGAAGAAGCTGACCAAAATACATACATCAGGAGATACAAGTGTCCATTTAAATTTCCTCTTTCATTTTTTTAAAAGAATATTTTATTAAGGTTGTTGAATGTATAATTTCTCATTTTAGAAATCTTTCTTGTAAAGACAATTCTTTCATCTGACGACAAACAGCATCCACACTGCTGGTGATTATTCTGGCCCTCCACATTGAATAAAATTTGGTTTATTTAATTTAATTAATTAAGTTATTTTTGAGATGGAGTCTCCCTCTGTTGCCCAGGCTGGGGTGCAGTGGCGTGATCTCGGCTCACTGCAACCTCCGCCTCCTGGGTTCAAGTGATTCTCCTGCCTCAGCCTCCCGAGCAGCTGGGACTACAGGTGTGTGCCACCATGCCCAGCTAATTTTTTTTTTTTTTTTGTATTTTTAGTAGAGACGGGATTCCACCATGTTAGCCAGGATAGTCTTGATCTCCTGACCTTGTGATCTGCCCGCCTCAGCCTCCGAAAGTGCTGAGATTACAGGCATGAGCCACCATGCCCAGCCAGTTTCCTCCTGAGACACAAATTTCCGTCTATAATTCTGAGACAATATTTAATAATTTCTGCAGTGTCTGGTGGACCCTGCTGCATCAACCAATCTGGCAATTCCCTTCCCTCAGAATGCTGTGAAACTGCAGAGCTGGACGGTATTCCTGCTGATTCCAAAGCTGATTCATTGATTTTTAGGGTTGCCTCTTCTGTGGAGGAACACTGCCTTGATTATAGTAGCTTAACAGTAGGTCTTAAAGTCTGGTACTGTAAGTCCTCTAACTCTGATCTTTTTTAAAGTTGATTTTTGCAGTTCTAGGTCCTTTAAATTCCCACACAAATTATAAAACCAACTTGTCAATTTCTTATTTAAAAATGTCTGCTGGAATTTTTATTGAGATTGCTTTGAATCTATAGCTGAATGTGGAAAGAATGGCTATCTTACTGTGTTTTCCAATCCATGAATATGGCATGTTTCTCTATTTAGATTGTCTTTTATTTCTCTCAGCAAGGTTTTATAGTTTTCAGGGAACACGTCTTGCACATCATTCGTTAGATTCATTTCATGTCCTCTGAGAATAACTATGGCTTTTACTATTTCTTTTCCAAGTTTTATCTTTTATTTGCTTTATTGTACTAGTGGAGCATCCAATAAAATACTGAATAGAAGTGATGAGTGGATGCCCTCTTTGTCTGTTGTCAGTGTTAGAAAGAAAGTGTTCAGTGTTTCACCAATTAGTATGATTTTAGCTGTAGGTTTTTGATAGATGACGCCCTTAATCACATTGAGGAATTTTCCTTGGATATCTCATATTTTGAGGGTTTTTTCTTTTTTTTTTTTTTTTTTGAGACAGTCTCACTCTGTCACCCAGGCTGGAGTGCAGTGGTGTGATCTCTGCTCACTACAAGCTCTGCCTCCCAGGTTCACGCCATTCTCCTGCCTCAGCCTCCCGAGTAGCTGGGACTACAGGCGCCCGCCACCATGCCTGGCTAATTTTTTGTATTTTTAGTAGAGACAGGGTTTCACTATGTTAGCCAGGATGGTCTCGAGCTCCTGACCTGGTGATCTGCCCGCCTTGGCCTCCCAAAGTGCTGGGATTACAGGCATTAGCCACCGTGCCCGGCTATTTTGAGGTTTTTATCATTCATGCAAGTTGAGATGATCATATGGAATCAAGAGGAACATATGGGTTTTCTCCTTTATTTTGGTAACAGAGTAAATTATATCAATTAACATTTTTAACAGCTTTACTGAGATATAATTCATATATCAGAAAATTCATCCACTTAAATAACTTTTCAATTCAGTAGTTTTTAATATATTTGCAAAATGTGCAATGTTCTAATTCCAGAAAATTTTCGTCACCACTAAAAGAAACCCTGTGCCCATTAGCACTCACTCCCCATTCCCTTACCTCTACCACTAATCTACCTTATCTCTATGGATTTTCCTATTCTGGACATTTCATATAAACAAAATCATACACTATGTGGCCATTAGTGTCTGGCTTCTTTTACCTAGAATAATGTTTTCAAGGTTCATCCAAGCTACAGTATATATCTGCACTTCATTCCTTTTTACAGCTGAAAATATTCCATTGTATGAATATTTCACATTTTGCTGATCCATTCATCAGTTGATGGGCATTTGGATTGTTTCTTCTTTTTTTGCTGTTATGAATAATGCTGCTATAAGTATCTATGCACAAGTTTTCATGTGGACCTATCTTTTCATTTTCTTGGGCATATACCTAGAAATGGAATTGCTGGGTCACATGGTAACTCTATGTTTAACTTTTTGAGGAACTGCCAAACTGTTGTCCAAAGTAGCAGCACCATTTTTACATTCCTATCAGTGATATATGAGGGTTCCAATTTCTCCACATCCTCACCAAGACTTGTTAATATTCACAATTTTTATCATAGCCATCTTGTTGGATGTGAAGTGGTATCTACTTGTGGTTGTCATCTGCATTTCACTAATGACTACTGATGTTGAGCATCTTTTCCTGTACTTACTGGCTATTTGTATATCGTCTTTAGAAAAATGTCTACTCAGATCTCATGCCCATTTTATGCCTTCTTATTGTTCAGTTGTAAGAGTTCTATATATGTTCTGGTACAAGCTCCTCACCAATTACATGATTTGCAAATATTTTTTCCTATTTTGTGGGCTTTTTTTACTTTCTTGATGTTATCCTTTGAAGCATAAAAGTTTTAAATTTTTATGATGACCTATTTATTTTTTCTTTTGTTGCCTGTGCTTTTGGAATCATATCTAAGAAATAACTGCATAATCCAAGGACAGAAAGATTTACTCCTAAGTCCTCCTAAGAAATTCATAGTTTTAGCTCTTAATATTTTGGTTCCTGATAAATTTTGAGTTAGTTTTTATATATGGGATAAAGGGTCCAACTTCATTATTTTACATGTGGATATCCTTATGTTCCAGGATCATTTGTTGGCAATGACTGACTTTTGAAATGTTAAGTCAACTGTGCATTCCTTGGAAAAACCTTATTTGGTGTCCACGGGCAATAATACTGCTGGATTTTTCATTCCAAAGTAATAACTTATTAAGCATCTCCGCATATATATTCATGACAGCTATTGGTCTGTAGTTTTCCTTCCTTGTAACATCTTTGTCAAATACTGAGGTTACCCTTGTCTCATAAAATGGGTTGGAAAACAATCCCTCTGCTTTGTTTTTCTGAAAGAAATGGCATAAGATTAATGTTATTTCTTCCTGAAATGTCTGATATAAAATGCCAGTGATGCCATCTGGGCATAAAGTTTACTTTATGAGAATGTTTTGCTTATAGAAATTCAATTTCTTAAATATGTAAATGGTTATTTAAAATTTTTTGTGTTTAGTTTGTTAAGTTGGTTTTCTTCAACAAATTAATAAATTTCATCCAGTTGCTGCCTCTGTTGAAATAAAGTTAGCCACTTAATGCCTACAGAATCGGTGAATGCATTACTATTTCCTTTTCATTCTTGCTATTGGTAATTTGTGGGTTTCTTTCTTTCTTTCCTAATCATTCTTTCTAAAGTTTTATCAATTTCACTAATTTTTTTTCAAAGAACTTCGTCTAGCTTTGTTTTTCTCCATTTTAAAATTTCTTTTCTATGTTACTGCTTGCATTCTTATTTTGATTATTTTCTATCTATTCTTCTTAAAGCTTCTTAAGATGATAGCTTAACTCATTTATTTTAAACTTTCTTTTCTACCATAAGTATTTAAGGACATACTTTTCCTTTTAATGTTTTAATTGCATCCTATAAATTCTGATATATTGTTTTAATTATCATTCAGTTGAAAATAATTGTCAGCTTCTCTTGGTAAATACTCCTTATGAACTTGAAAATAATAACTTGTTGAATGTAATGTTCTATAAATACCACTTTGGTCAAGTTGGGTCTATTATTCATATCCTTACTAATTTTTATTCAAGTCATTTACTATTGTATGTCTTATTTCATACTGAGAGAAAGAAGGATGTTAAAGTTTCCAACTATGACTACAGATTTGTCTATTACTCCTTTTATTACTGTCAATTTTTGTTTCTTTTACTAGGCACATATACATTTAGACGTTTTATACCTTTTTAATTGAATGGACCACATTTTCAATATGAAATGTCCTGTTTTATCTCATATCTCCTATGTCTGACACTAATATAGCCATACCAGCTTTCATTTTTGAAAATTATTTTATTTCTAATTTTTATCTCATTTAACTTTTTCTATTATTTTTCATCCTTCCTGGGTTTGAAATTATCTTTTAAATGATGTGAATATACTCAATATCAGTTATTTTATGTTTTTATTTTTTTCAACTGACATACTAATCATTTTATTGACACATAATATTTTACATATGTATGGGATACATGTGATACTTTGTTTCATGCACAGA
The DNA here is from genome assembly GCF_000001405.40 of Homo sapiens. Lineage (NCBI taxonomy): Eukaryota > Metazoa > Chordata > Mammalia > Primates > Hominidae > Homo > Homo sapiens. The sequence continues at coordinate 13,409,759 of NC_000020.11, forward strand.
ATGTGTTATGATCAAGTCAGGGTATTTGGGGTATCCATCACCTTGAGTATTTATCATTTCTATACATATTGGGAAAATTTCAAGTTCTATCTTCTAGCTACTGGAAATATATAATACATTGTGGTTAACTATAGTCAACTTACTCTATCAAAAATTAGAACTCATACTTTCTATCTAACTGTACCCATTGACCGACCTCTCTTCATTCCCTCCTCCCACTCACACACCTTTCCAAGTCTCTGGTATTTATCACTGTACTCTCTATCTCCATGAGATCAGCATGTTTGAGCTCTCACACGTAAGTGAGAACATGCTAAAGTTGTCTTTCTGTGCCTGCCTTACTTCACTTAACATAATGACCTCCACTTCAATCCATGCTGTTGCAAATGACATGATTTCATTCTTTAATATGCCCAATAGTATTCCATTGTGTATACAGACTACATTTTCTTGATCCATTCATCTGTTCATATATTTTTAGGTTGATTCTATATACTTGCTATTGTGAGTAGTGCTGCAATGAACATGCAAGTACAGCACAGGTATCCCTTTGATGTACTGACGTCCTTTTCTTTGGATAAATACCCAGTAGTAGAAAGGTTGGATTGCATGGTAGTCCTATTTTCAGTTTTTTGAGAAATCTCCATATTGTTTCCCATAGTGGCTGTATGAATTTACATTTCTACCAACAGTGTATGAGTTTCGTTTTTTCTGCATCCTCACCAGGACCTGCTATATTTTGTCTTTTTAATAACTGCTATTCCAAGTGGGGTAAGATAATATCTCACTGTGTTTATGATTTGCATTTCCCTGATGATTACTGACGTTGAGCATTTTGTCACATGTCTGTTGGCCATTTGTATGTCTTCTTTTGAGAGGTATCTACTCATGTCTTTTGGCTACTTTTTAATGGGATCTTTTTTTTTAAACATTGAGTTGTTTGAGTTCTTGTATATTCTGATTATTAGTCCTCTGTCAGAAGAAAAGTTTGCAAATATTTTCTCCCATTCAACTGGTTGTCTGCTCATTCTGTCAATTGTTTCCATTCCTGTGAAGCAGCTCTTTAGTTTAATAAGAGTCCTATTTGTCTCTTTTGGGATTTTTTGTCTGTGCTTTTGAGGTCCTGGCCACAAAAATCTTTGCCTAAACCAATGTCCTGAAGTATTTTCCCTATGTTTTCTTCTAGTAGTTTTATAGTTTGGGGCCTTACATTTAAGATTTTAATCAATCTTGAATGGATTTTTATATATGAAGAGAGTCAGGCATTCAGTTTCATTCTTCTGCATATGAATATCTAATTTTCCCAGCAGCATTTATTGAAGAGGGCGTCCCTTCCCCAATGTACGTTCTTAGAGCCTTTGTGAAAAATCAGTTGGCTATAAAGGTATGGATTTCTGGATTCTCTACTCTGTTCTATTGGTCTATATGCCTGTTTTTATCATAATGTTTTGGTTACTATAGGTTTGCAAGGTATTCTGAAGTCAAGTAGTGTGAAGTATTCAGCTTTGTTCTTTTTGCCAAGGATTGCGTTGGCTATTTGGGCTCTTTTGGGGTTCCATATAAATGTTAGGATTGTCTTTTCTATTACTGTGGAAAATATCATTGGTATTTGGTCAATAGGATTGTTTTAAAGATACTAATTCTTCTGATCCATGAGCATGGGATGTCTTTCCATTTGTCTGTGTCCTCTTCAATTACTTTTATCAGTGTTTTGTAGCCTTCCTAGTACAGGTCTTTCATCTCCTTGGTTAAATTTATTACTAGGTATTTCTTTTTAGCTATTGTAAATGGTGTTGCCTTCTTGATTTCTTTCTCCAGGCAGTTCATCATTGGTGTATAAAAATGCTACTAATTTTTACGTGTTGATTTTGTATCCTGGATCAGGAATTTCCCTTAAGCAAGGTTTGGGATCTGAGCCCAGGTGAAACTCTAGAGAATTCTCCATTCTTATAGTCCAGGCACCAGCATTCTAACCACGGGAGACTTCTCTTTGTTTATAGGCAAGCCGTCAGCTTTCCATGTTGCTAAGGTGTTCGTTTTGCTCTTTGTAACCTCCTCCAGATTTCTGTGTCATGGAATATTTCTTCACTCTCTTACCCTGGCACTAGGCTTCTGTACAACACTGCCTGGCCCTTGATGAAGGCCCTGTACATGTTGGGAGCAGGAGAGGTTTTTTAAAATCTCTTTTGCTTTAATCCAGCCTTCTGTTGCAACTGTGTTGCACTTGATAAAGGACCACTATGCTTCCGAGTTGTCTTGCGGCTCTCTTGCTATGCCTCTAGTCTTTCTCTGGCCACTGCCATGTATTTGGTGAAAATCTTATGCACCTTAATGAATCACTCACAATTCTTTGCTCTGCTCCAAGCTTTGGTGTGTTGCCACTTGATGAAGGCCTCACAGAGAAAAACTGGCGGTGGGTATAAGCTCTCTGTGAATGGAGTGTCTCAGGATTTTAATCTGTCACACCAGCTCACACACGGCCATAAAGATTTCATTAAAAATTTGGCTGATTTGTCTTTATATACCTCTGTGTTGAGTTTGACTCCTCCTCCTGCTGCTCTGCCAGGGAATAAAGCAATCAGAGGTTTTTGTCTCCTAGGAAGGGCTTGTCTCTTTCTGGAATTTAGTTTACTTAGGTTTTTCTCTACCTAATAACTTCTCTGGATACTTTTTAAAAATTTATGATTCTATAGATTATGCAGCTCATTCACATAGTTGGGAGTAGAAGCAACAGTCTCTTGTAACTTTCTTCATTCTAATTAGAAGTGGAGTTTCTTTGCACTTCTTTTGATAACCCCCCCTTGTGTACATCATGTTTTATACTTAAGTCTCCCTCCTATGGCTTTATGTGAGAGGTAAGTTTTAAGCCTAGGAAAAAGCACTCAGAAATCTCATCTCTGCTATCCTTTGTAAATATACATTCACTAAGTTTTTTTTAAAGACCTGGAAACCATCTTCATGAAGATAAAACATGTTAGAACACAGTAGGTACTATATTGGTATTACAAAAATCCTACTGAAAATTAAGTGGCAACATATTTGTTTATGTAATCTGGAATGTTGAATTTGGAATTCTGCAGATTGGAAGCAACAACAAGGACTTAATGGGGTCTAGTCATCTGTATTGAGACAGATAAGGTTTTGCTTCCTCGTTCTTATCATATCATATCACAGGAAAGGCTTAAGGCAAGGTAAGGATTTCTTATTCTCATATTACAGATGAGGCCTCTGGGATCCAGAGGCAGAGTGATCAAACCACAGCTCACAGTGTGCATGGAGTGGGAGGGCAACCCAGGCTCCAACTTCCTGGCACTGCACCCATCCCAATACTTATTTATTTTAACTGCATGGCCCAAAGAACTAGTCAGATGTGCCAAGAACAGAAATCCTGGCACGACCTCATGAGGTTTCGAAGACTTCATGGCATTAAAATAGAAAATGTTAAAAACAAAATGTAAATATCATTGAGTTACCACCCAGTGCCCTGTGCTTTCCCTAGGTGAGGGAAATATGGTATGGGCAACATCTGTCCTGTTTCATTACCATGTGTCAGAGTATGACACAGGGTTTGTCACACAAGGCAGAGAAACATCACAAATAAATATTTGTTGAGTAAATTTTTTTTTTTAAGAAAAGCTGAGTAATATAACAAAAAACATCCCAAGAGGACAGCACCTTGATTATGAAAAAGCTTAGTCTCTCTTAGATCCCACTGGAAAACAAGGAACTATCATAGAAATATTTTGCAAAATATTTGTAATGGGATGTGTTATCTGAATTTTGGTCATTCTAGTCAGGAATTCAAAATGAGAAAAAGGCAATAGTTTGGGGGAATGTAATCATTCATCCAATGCAGACTTGGTTATAAACCAAGGGTGATATTTTTTGAACTGCATCATTTCAAGTACAAGACCCAAAGAACTAATCAAATGTGCCACAAGACCCAAGAGTGACATTTAAAAAATTTTTAATTTGAAAATAATTTAAGAATTACACAATCGTTCCGGGAAGATCTATACATCCTTTACCAAGGTTCACCTACTGTTAACATTTTGCTCCATTTGCTTTGCAATTTGCTGTTGCTCTATCCATCCATTCATCCACATAATATATTTTTCTGACCCACTGAGAAAATATTGTCCATATTATGGCCCTTTACCCCTAGATGCATTAGTGTGTATTTCATAAGAATAAAAATATTATACACCACAGTACAGTAATCAACTTCAGTAAGTTTAACCATGATAAAACACTTTTTACTAACCATATTCCAATTTTGTAAATTGACCTAATAATGCATTTATAGCATTTTTCTGATATAGGATCTAGTCTAGGACCAGTTACTGCATTTAGTTGTCACATCTCTTTAGAATTATTTCCTCTGGAACATTTCTGCAGCCTGTCTTTTATGACATTGACATTATTGAAGAACACGTTTCTTTCTTTCTTTCTTCACAGAATGTTCCTCATTTTAAATGTGTCTGATGTTTCTTCACAGTTAGGTTCAGGTTATACATTTCCAGATGGAATACTACACAAGTGATACTGTATCCTCAAGTTATCATAGCCAGAGGCACATATTGTCCATCTGCCCCTCATTGGTGGTATTAATTCTGATCACATGGTCAAGGTGTTGCCTGGTTTCTCCATTATATAGTTATTATTTTTCCCTGCAACTAATAAGAAGTCTGTGGAGAGACACTTAAAGACTATAAAATAGTCTGCTCCTCCTCAAGGAAATTTTTATAACAGTATTTTCACTGTGGTTATAAAAAGTGACCTCTACATAATAAAAGAAACCTAATTTCATGTATTATAGCTGAATAAGTTCCATGCCAGTTTTAACACCTGTTTCTATTACAGTAGTCCATGCACACTGGGTGTTTATTAAAAACTCTTCATTAACTGTCTGCTATCTGGGTAGGATACGGACAATCTGTTTTTAAAATCCAACTGGTACTGATGCCCTAATTTTGGCTCCTTAAAAATAAATCTTTATCTTATGTTATCAAAGCAGTTTAGAAATTAAATTAAATGATTTAATTGCAAGAACATTCTTTAAAAAAAAAAGACTTGTAAAAGAACCTACCTCTATTTATTCAAATTATACATGCATTCTGGTTACAATGATACTGATTATTATCCAGCCTTTTCTACGCAATATGATTTTTAGCTAAGCTTTAATTCAAGGCTTTAACTTGGGATTAAACACAACTAGCTCATATATGTTCAAATGGCCAGGTGGCCTCAGTTTCTGAGTTTGGTAACAAGCAGAAGGAAGACAATTTTTGAAAACAAGGGCACAAGTGTTTTAACTTTTAAAAATAGTTTTTAAATTTTAAATATTTTAAGATGCCTTCTTACTCATTTCGCTACCACGGCTCTCAACATTATGGAGGAACATGTTTCGGAAACCAGTCATGATGCTGAACAGGTATGCCACTAGTTAGTTCAACTATTCTTTTATAGAAGTCAGGAAACCAGAGGGAGAGGAAGGTCCAAAGCTTAAACAGAATACAAACATTGTTATAGCCCCTTTTCTCTTTTGAGCTCAGCCTCTCATCTATAACTTTGTCTTACTTGCAATACAAAAAAATTCTAGCATTTATAACAAAAGAGATAATTTTTCTTTTTGATCAATAAAATTCCGCAGCCAAATCATTAGTGTTTTTGTTTTGGGGTTTTCTTTTTTTTTTTTTTTTTCCTTGAAAGTATTTGTAGTCACAGGCTCAAAGGAGAAAGGAAGGAAGAGGGATTAACTCTCCTCAAGGAAGGTCAAAAACATAATTTACAAGAGAGGCAAGAGGACCAGCTGTATCTGCTGGCCCAATTGACTACCAGCTGGAGAATTTACCAGCAATAAGAAAACCATGTCTACCAGATGTCAAGCAATATAACTGGAGGCCAAATATCTTCGGGCTCATAGCAGGACTCTACACTCTTTCCTACCTATATTTCACATTAAATAGTAAGGTGTCTTTCACGGGCCACCAGCAAGGATAACAAAAAATTTCCACACAAGGGACTTAATAACATAATCATACCCCATCAGACTGGCTTCAGTGCTGACGTCCACCTCAAACATGCTCTTTTGTTAAAAAGCAATCTTAGTTCTGAATCAATATTAAGGGGACAGAGAAACTGAAATGGCTTCAAGCTACTGTTAGGCAAGGATTCTTGGGGTTTATCAGGCTTGTTTTATGTATGGGAACTGTTTTGTCACTGAGAAGAAATGAATCTGAAAATATGAATAATCATTTTCATACTTATTCATTAAACCTGTGCTGTTCAATATGGTAGCCACGAGCCACATGTGGCTATTTAAATTTAAATTAAGTAAAATTTAAAATTCAGCTCCTCCATCAAACTAGCCACATTTAAGTGCTCAATAACCACATGTGGCTAGTAGCTTCCCTGTTGGAAAACAGAGATATAAAATGTTTACATCACACAAAATTCTATTAGACAGTGCTGTTCTAAACCCTTAAATCACCTTTAAAATGGACAATTATATTTCCATTCTATATAAATTATGAAATAAAGCAATATTTTATGTATTCTCTTAGGAAACAGGTCTACTAACACAATAGGAATATTGTACCAGATGAAGGTGAAGCAAAGGGGGAGGGTGGATCTCAGCAAAATTTTCACAATATAAGTCAATCCTTGTCTGAATAAATGTTCTTTACACTACTCACAAAAGTTCTGTGGAGCTACAGGCTGGCTGGATAATATACAAAGGATAGTCAGGATAGGTATTACATGACAAATAAGCAATAAAGTGTTCTTTATTATATTTATCCTTTATGATTCAATCTGTAACAGACTGCTCATATCAGAAGTTTTCCTATTTTATATGTCAAAATGTGCAAAATAAATCATTTCTTTTAAAAACAATGCTGCACAACTTCACAGCTTTATAACTGAGGTACTTTAATGCCAAGTAAACATCACAGGCCACAGCTGTTTCTAAAAAATTTATGAACAAGAAGAACATGAGGCCAATATAAAATAAAATCCACAAATCATGTTGCTTATTCCCAGGCTCAACCATCATGAGTCCAGGGAAGCAAAGCAACTCCGGAGATAGTATGTGGATGCCTATGTGATTATTGCAACTCACTGAGCGACGAGTGCCACAGGCATGTGGGACATGGACAGAGACCTTTAATTCTGCCCATGAAGACACCAGGTCAGGGCATGACAGAACACACTGAAAGGTGAGACAGGTCATATTTGCAAGCATGTCAGCCACCTGTGCCATCAAACATGCAGGATGCTTTCTAGGGTTAAAGCTTGTTTGACTCAGTTTCCTTTATTCCAACACTTCTTGCAGAAACATCCATCTATGTCAGCTCATCAGCTTCACTCCCATTTTCTCTTCCCAAACCCCAGTTTCCTCTTCTCTACTTATTCACAATGGGCAAAAAGGAACAAGCTGGGGGCTGTGGGGGAAAGTGGGCAGGCTCCTCCTAATGCTCCCCTGCTGTGTCACCAAAAGCAAAATAGATATGCTGGTTTTCTCTGGAGCTGTTAGCATTGTTAACTGTTCTTATTCGGATGCTTATGAAGACCACAAAGCTACTGCCCAAAAAAAGCTGAAAAAATTCATCCACATCAACTTAGCTGGTTAGAGGTTTATGCGATGGCTACAAGGTTTTCAGGTTATGACCGTTTTTTCCCACTTACCTTGGCTTTCCCATCCTGGGCTGACATATATCCGACACACATGCTCTCCGTCGTGTGGCTCCACAGAAATTCCACTGCCATAAAAGAGAACACAAATAGGCACATTCAGATCACAGATGGAAAATAAATCTTTGCTTTTTAATAGAACAGTTAAAGATAGCTTTATATTTAACACACTCAGTTCCCCACTTTCCATTTGCTTGTTCATAAATGTCAAGATGATTTATCACTAAAACTGTGTAATGCCATTTACTGTGAAATGAAAAATGTATCTCTTTCCTGTCAAAAGTTATGATTATTACATGTAAAATAAATGCTCTTCTGTTTGACTCTTGTAACATTAAATGCACACACACACACTCGTACATACGGTACACAGTGATTTTGTAAATGTAATATTCCATAGTGTGTTTTATTTTAAAACACGTGCATGCACACACACACACATACACACACACCAGGTCTTAATTTCTTTCCTTATTGAGACGGAGTTTCACTCTTGTTGTCCAGGCTTGAGTGCAATGGCGCAATCCCAGCTCATTGCAGACTCTGCCTCGCAGGTTCAAGTGATTTTCCTGCCTCAGCCTCCTGAGTAGCTGGGATGACAGGCATGCACCACTACACCCAGCTAATTTTGTATTTTTAGTAGAGACGGGGTTTCACCATGTTGGCCAGGCTGGTCTCGAACTCCTGACCTCAGGTGATCCACCCGCCTTGGCCTCCCAAAGTGCTGAGATTACAGGTGTGAGCCACCGCACCCAGCCCTTAATTTCTAAATACCATTCTCTACGAAAAAGAACCAGGATTCTTTGGAGAAATGTCCATTCCAGAGCTGGGACAGAGAAAATATAAAATGAATCTGGAACATCTTGTTGTACCAGAAAAGTAAGGAAATGCTCAAAGAGTAAAGGGGACTTATCCAAAAGACCCAGGGGTCAACTTGAAGGGCTCTTACTGGCAAAAATCTGTGCCTATGAAAATAAATAATGAGAGTAATGAGTTATAACCACTGAACAAAGTCAGAACCAGTGAGCCCATACTGATCCAAACAAATAAATGGGGAAGAAGACAAAGCTCTTCCTTCAGCAGAATGCCAACTAATAAGTATAGAAAAAATAACAGAGTTAGAAAATAATGGTTGCTAAAACTAGTAGGTGGAAATTTGAAGAAGGATGGGCTATTTACATAGCTTCAAAGTATCTCTCCAAAAAATTCTTATAACAGGAAAAACTGTTTGTTCACTGTGGAAACACTTGATGGACTCCAACTTAACTCCATGAACAAAGCTAACACCACCAATTAAGGCACAAATCAGTACCATGTGCCTTTTGATAAGATACCTTGAGACACAACACTTCTGTGGTATTTGGTATTCCTGACAAAAATGCATAACCAGAATTGAATGAGGAAACATCAAACAGACTTGAAATAGCAACACTCTACTAAATAACTGGTTTGAACTCTTCAAAAATGCCAAAGTCAGAAAACACAAAGTTGAGAAACTTCCTGTTTAAAGAATACATGACAACTGAACACAATGTGTCATTCTGGATTGTACCCTGGACTTGGTGGTGGGGAGAGATGTTATAAAGGACATTATGGAAACAATTGATAAAGTTGGAAAAGGGACTCTGGGTTAGACAGTAGTGTTGTATCAATACTAAAAGCCATGACTTTGATAACTGTACTGTGATTATTTAGTAGAATGGCCTTGTTCTTAAGAAATACTCACCAAAGTATTAGGAATAAAGGAGCCTGATGTCTCCAATTCACTCTCAAATAGTTCAGGGAAAAAAATGCACTTATTTGTTTGTGTGTATGTGTGTGTGCATGTGCATGCTCGTGTGCATGTAGAGGGAGGAGGGCATGAGGATGGGAAAGCAAATGGAAGGAAAGGAAAACACTGGTTGAATCTGGGAAAAGGAATCATGGTTGTCCCTTGCACTATTCTTGCAACTTTTCTGTATGTATAAAATTATATCTAAATAAAAAGTTACAAAAAGAAAACTGCAAACATCCAGGGATGCCCACAAAGCTCTGTCACATTCCAGTACACAGCATCAAAATTCTGAGTTTTCGAAGGCATTTTTAAAGTTGTAATGTACTCCAATAAAAATTTCAAAAGTCCCTGATAATAAAACTGCATTGCTCAACACTAAACCCTGTCCCCCAGGCCATCCATCTGTTTATATCTCTAAGCTAGTTAAGCCTGGAGACAAGTGTTTGAGTTGAGACCCAACTGTGTGATCCATGATCCTAGCCTCTGAAGGCTTTGCCAGACATGTGGGGAAGAAAGAGGCAGTAAGGGGCAAAATGGAGTTCCTCAGATACATGGCTCATTCCCTTATCATTAATTAGTTATCAAACCTGCCAACCTGCTCAACAGACGCTCCACTGAAGAGTGAAGGAAAAGTGTCACGCAATGAAGCAAGTTCTCTTCACCAGATGTTTTTTCGTCCACACACATCTGCTTTAAACTTCAAAAATCTTGACATCCAGAGCAAGGTCTGGGATAGTCTAACTTGCCTAACAGAGGAAAGGCACTCAAGTCTTACTGAAGTTCTCTAGAGTAGTGACAATACATTTTATTCAAATACAAAGTTAAAGCATTTCTAAAATTGCACCTTTTCCTCATGCCCCGAATATTAAGGGGGCAACTGCTCAGGAATTAGCCAAGAAAAATCATAAAAATATAGCCAATATGACCATGAGAGCAAAGGATAAAGACATTACCCTTTATTTTTTAAATATCATTTTAATGATTTTTAAATGTATTATTCTCCCTATAAATGTAGTCTGCTTTCAAAAAATGGAATAAACACAAAAATTTAGACTTACAAAAGAGGATAAATTAGAATACACTGATGAACTTCATTAAATGACTATTTTTATATGAATGGTTTTCAATAAAATTTCTAGATCTAGTGTTTAGGAGTTTTTAAAGAAAATAACTCAATGTCTAAAATTTCATTCTTCACTGTTTTCACAAACATTTATCCCATCCCACAGTAAAAGGCAAAGCATTGTACTGACACATTTTTTAATAATGACAATTCAAATCAGTTTTCAGTTATTAATTCACGCTAGCTTGAAAATCTCAGAAGAAATTGTCTAGAATTTAAATTATAAAACACTTTTAAGAGAAATTATTTCATTACTTGTAGTACATGCATAATGCAAGTTAATTTAACAAATTATTTCTTAGTGGAAGACTTCAGGGAAGCAGGACAAGGAGCAGCTAACACTTAGAATCTAAGATGTGCCAGGCATTGTCTTTCATAGCAGAACTCAGCAAAGCAGAAATGGGGAACCTGAGGCTCAGAGAAGGGAAGCAGTACGGTTTAAGTCATTTTACTAGGCACACAGACTGGATTTCAAGCTGGACTCTGGGATCACAAAGCCTGTGGTATTTCATTGTTATATTACTCTGAAATCTACTCAGTATAGATAAGGATTTGTACTTGTTACACATTAAGAAGACCAAATTCCTTACAAACACCAAAAGACACGAAACATCAAACACAAACACCAAATAACTCTTAAAACATTTTAAATCTCTCTTAAGGAAAGCTTTTAAACCATAACGAAACCCAGAGACCACAAAAGATGGCCAAGATCAATATATTTGACTAGTTAAAAAGTATTTATAGCGTTTTCCTTCTTTTTTTTTTTTTTTTTTTTTTAAGACAGAGTTTTACTCTGTCACCTAGGCTGGAGTGCGGTGGCACAATCTCAGCTCACTACACCCTCCACCTCCCAGGTTCAAGCGATTCTCGATTCTCCTGCCTGGCTAATTTTTGTATTTTTAGTAGAGACAGGGTTTCACCATGTCAGCCAGGCTGGTTTCGAACTCTTGACCTCAGGTGATCCGCCCACCTCAGCTTTTCAAAGTGCTGGGATTACAGGAATGGGCCACCGCACCTGGCCTGTTTAGAGTGTTTGTTTTTGCCATTTGGAGAAAAATGAAAGTCAAGAGATGAATGACAAATTTGGGGAAATATTTGCAATTCATAGCATAAACAAAAGGCTAATTTTCTTAATATTTAAAGATCTCCTACAAATCAATGAGACAAATATCCAAAGAAAATGCAAAAAGGATATGAACAAAAGGGAATATGAATGGCTCTAAAACATATGAAAAGATAATTTACATTACTCATACTAAAATAAACGCAAATTAAAATCACAAGATACCATTATCAGGTTTCAGACTATTATCAGACTACCAGGTTTCAGATATCAAAAAGTTTGAAACAACATCGTGTTAGCTGGGAGTGGAGAAAAGAGCAGATTCATATAGCAGTGGTGGGAGTATGGCCATCTGCAAGAACATTCTCTTAATCCGTGGTAATTATGCTCTGTAATGCTGATGAACACTGAATTAGCAAATAATGAGCCACTACAGGTAGGGAAAATACAGGGCTAAGTTCCTGCAAATCTCTGGTCAAAACATTTTTAATAGCATATCAACAAATAACCTTATTTTATATGTGTTTCTGTTTAACCTTTTTTTTTTTTTTTTTTGACAGAGTCTCGCTCTGTCACCCAGGCTGGAGTGCAGTGGTGTGATCTCGGCTCACTGCAAGCTCTGCCTCCCGGGTTCACGCCATTCTCCTGCCTCAGCCTCCCTAGTAGCTCGGACTACAGGCGCCCACCACCACGCCCGGCTAATTTTTTGTGTTTTTAGTAGAGACGGGGTTTCACTGTGTTAGCCAGGATGGTCTCTCGTTCTCCTGACCTTGTTATCCGCGTGCCTCGGCCTCCCAATGTTTAATCTTTTAAAAATATTTATTTACTTATTTATTTAGAAATAATTATATGCATAAACACTAGCCAAGAAGGGTTTAACGTTTTCCTGATGCTGGGTAACATGCCCATAAATTTCTTTGGCTTTCAAGTTACACAATAATGCTGTCCTCTATGCTTTTTTTATTGGTCATCATTTCATGAATCTACTAATTTAGCTGCTTTTCCATCTTTTCCATTGCTGCATATATAGATGTTACTTTAGCACCTTCTGGAGCAGCCTCACATACAGATCAGTGAGTTTCCTCTTCTTTTATCTGGGTGTATCATATGGTTGATTCATTAACAATGAATTCACCACTAATAGCACTATAATTTCTGCCTAAATGAAGCTTATCCAAAATGCACATTTTTCCCCATGAGACACTACCATCTTCTCGCACTCTGAAACACCAGACAGCACTTCAGTACTATGCTTGGCGCAATTTTAAATGGCAAAATCACCATTAAAAAGTGCAAAAATGTGGAAAACATGGCACAAAATAGGCCACAAAATGGATACATTTGTAGTACCAGAGCTGAGACAGGAAGGCAGAACATCATCTTGTTTACCTCAGCTGGGAATGTGCACATGAGGTGACTCAAAATGTTTACCAGTTCATGCATGTCCACAAGTGACTATGAGAGTGCTGAAATGCTGATTCATGGATTACAAATAAATGTTAGCAAGTAGGCAAATTAACAAATACAGAATCCAGGAATAATGAGGATTGACTGTATTTATCAAAATTACACACTCTTTGACCTAGCAATTCTATTTCTAGATATTTATTCCACAGATATGCCTTTATATATATAAAATAACATATTTATAAGAATCTTCATCAAAGTAGCTTTAATCAGCAAGAAACTGGAAACCAATTAATTGCCTATTGGACATATGTATAACTATGATACTGTATACAATGAAATACTATGTAACAATTAAAAACAAATGAGGAAGCTCTACATGGATATGGAACCAACTACACTGTTTTTCAAACTTTTTGATCACAAGCCACAGTAAAATCCAAAACCAAATCAAAACAAACAACAACAAAAAAAACCCCACACATTGTCATTTACTACACACATCTATTTATAACTAAAATTTCACAAAGTAATAATTGCTCTTCTACTTAACAATGTATTGATCTCTTCTACTGGGTTCTTTATAGTCTACTTATTGCTTTTTAACAATTCTGCTTGTGATTTACTAAATTGATTTAGAACTTATTAATGTGACATGCTGCAGTTTAAAAAAAAACACTAGTCTACAAGATAGCTTGGCTAAAAAAAGAAAGGTAAGGTGGAGAATAATGTATAGATATGGTTCTGCCATTTTTGTGAAATAAAATAAAAGACGATCATGTATGAACATGCTTGTAAGTACATAGAGTCTCTCTGGAAGACTATCTTAGCAACTGGCAGCAACGGTTCCTCCTGTAGAGGGAACTAGTTGAGTAAGGAACTTGAGTGAAGGGCAACCTATTTTTCACCACCTTCTGAAACTTCTGAATTTGATCCTGTTTTCATATATTTCCTATTTTTTAATGCCTCTAAAAATCTTGATTACCCTGTTAACCTACAATATATATGAAGAATTTCTTCCCTGTTTAGATGAAGACATTCTGATTTTAGCATATATTTTAATTGTCCCTCATTAGAATGTATTATCATGATGTGAAACTAGTCTAAAACGTCCAATTTGTTTCTTGTCTCATGATTATCTAAAACATAAGCAAATCTTAGGATGGGGCATGAAGAAGCCTCTACTTCCATTTACACCAAACACATATACTTAAGGCAAAATCTGCTATGTTCAAAGGGCAATCAAAACAAACAGAACAAAACAAACACGCACTGTACCTGACAACTTCCTCAAGCTGCTTTTCCATCAGAAATTTTAAAAGGTCAAAATCATTATAAGTTTTTTTTAAAATAAATAGAGACATTTGTGAGTAAGTTTTATCTCACAAAAAAGCTTTCAAAATGTGTTATTAGTTAAGTCCTAATGTATAATTAAAACTCAGCAAAGAGTAGTACAAAGTTTGCTCAAATACGGTTACATAGAAAAATTTAAAATCTCAGTAAAAGAGTAGCATTTACCATCAGTGATATCTGGAAGTCTATAATGTGTCTCCTGATTTTGAGTACTTAATTGAAATTCTTCCATGTACTGAAAATTGAAGTTTATGGTAAGAGTATTAAAAGATAATTCTAATAACACAGCAAACCTGGGAAATGCTACTTCATAGCACTGGAATTTTTCCAGGTGTAATGATTACATGAGGAAGACCATGAACTCCAGCAACACGCAGGGTAAATGAGTGGCCTGAAGTGACACATCTGAGCCTGTGAAAGCGCTGGCTATAACAGTCTCGGTGTGGTCAAGCTCAAGCTTATTTCCATCTAGAGAAGCTTCTAGCCTTTCAGTAATGACCATTTTCCTTTGGTAGTGACTAGTAGCTGTTTATAACCTCAACTACTGATTGAAAAATGCTTATGTTCTTTAGAAGGCCAAAGCCCAGGGCTTTGTGGGACTTCTAGAAATGCCCAGACCACGAAAAGATTCTCATCAGAAAACATTAACAACACACTAAAATAAGATTCTGAGTAGGTTTAACATGTGAAACATAGACACAGAGATTTGGCACAATTCTTCTCCATCAAGTGGCTTCTTAACATATCATGTCATACAAATGCAATGTGAGAAAACGTACACACCATTGATCCTGTTCCAACATTGGAGAATGGCTTAGATAGGGATGAGCTGCACGTGTGCACTTCATAAATGATGGATTAATTGCATTATAAGAACCTTCAGGATGTATTTGTACTTAATCTTAGAGGCTAGGCTTTCCAGAAAGTTGTATTTAAGAATTTGGAACAAGTAAATTTATATGCCCAACACCGGTACTACTTCAGTTTTGGTGGAGCTCTGCTATATAAAGCAGCCCTTAATCCCCAATGCAAGGCTTTGCCTCCTAGTGGCATTTAAATCACCAGCTTTATGGGTTAAAAGAGCTACAAGCTACCTCTCTCATGATGTTTTCCCCAGGATACTTCTCTTTCAAAATCATCCACATATCATCCTGTTTAAATTAAGTCAGACAAAACCATTTCCTTACCAGGTTGCAAGTAAGTTTTTTCTATCCAAATGGATTCTTTTTTCTGACCAGAAAGAAGTCATCAGTCACTCTCCTCCTCTTTAAAAATATATATACATATATTGTCCTCCAATTGTTGTTAACAACCCCCAGCTGCACTGGCTCCCACACCCACTTAAAACCTCTCTGCTTAGCTTCACATCCCAGACTTGCTTGCAAGGAAAACAGAACTCCAAAATCAGAACCGTCTTGGGCTGGGCAGTTGCCAAGTTAGCTGCCACTCTTGAGCCTTAGGTCAAATGGCACGCCCTGGGACATTTTGCACAGTATTTAAGTTACTCCTTATTGAATAAAGAGAAATTCATTTTTTAAATGGGAAGAATGAGGCACTGTAAATAGAACAGCCTCCTCTTATCACTGTAGATTTTTGCCCCTGGTTGTTAGGGTCTTTATAACCAGCAGGGTGTTTATCTTTAGAAAAAAAAAATGCAAAGACGCTTTACTGTCTTGACATGGAATCCTTAAGACTCATATAATGCATGTCCCATTATGGCCATGAAGAAACTTTGACTTGGCATGCTTCCCTGAAAAACTTTCACCACTTAACTGTCTTGGGAGCAACGGGGATTGAGTTCTATAGAATCCTGGTTACACTAAGCCAAGAAAATAATCATTCCCTCTTTCTAAGGCTTGTTTAGATTTGTTCAAGACTAACTAACAAAGGATGCTGACTGAAAAGAGGAGGATGTGGGTCAAATAGTAACAAAAGTCCTGGAGGACACTTCAGTTATCTTCCTGTTTTATCCTTTTATTGTATTAGAAGCTGCTGGAAACAGGGCCACTTGGTTGGGACTTGGAAGTTCTCTGGTGAACAGAAAACCATTCAGTAAAACAAGTTTTATTAAAACGCAATTTTATTCATTCAACCAACACATTTTTAGGATTTATTTCATGGTAAACTCTATTATCCTTTGAGCAGATGAAACTGACTATAAAATTTCCTGAGTGTAATAAGAATTACATAGTCATTAGAATTCTATTCATAAATTTTTGTATTCTATATTTCAGATGGAAAACTTTGTGAGCCAAAAAATAATATTTCTTGGCAAGATAATCACTAGAACTATACTTCTCATGATGGAGAAGAAAATTACAGATGAAAATCTATTTCCAATATTCAGAGTATATTAGTGATACAATATATAGAGATATGTTCATGATTTAAAGGAAAGAAAGTCCTGGTATAAACAAAGTGTCAGATTATAGATACTTGCAATCAATATCTTTGTATTATAAAACCAAAACTAATTCTGAAAATATTAATCTCAGAGCACTACTTCATCAGATTAATGCTACTCTTCATTGTTGAAAAGTTTAAATATCATGTCTGCCTCATTCACCTTGCATCTAAGTTACTTACTGTTCTTCATTCCATCTGATCCTTAAATAAGAACTAAAATGTGGCTTATCTCTTAAGAGATATCTTCACTATAGTGAAGATGTAACAATTCCAAAACATTGCTGAGGCAACTAAAGAAATGAGCTTCCAACCATGACAATGGACTGTCACGTAGAACAAAGTTTTAATTCCATTCTTAAGATAAAGTTATTAACATCAGACAAACATCTATAAATACCTCTTTTCCCACTACCAGCCTAAAAGCTAATTTGTGTTCTCTTTGATGGTTATGTTTATGATCATGTGAGCCCAGCAGAAATGCCTAGTCATAAGTGCTCACTGTGGCATGTGCCATGTAATGGAAATAAGTGATATTGCTGGTGCCCTGAGAATGAAGCTCCTTTGAAGTACATGTGTTTATATGTGCTCGCCAAATTTTTAATACCAGTAAAACCAAAAGGCGGTTTGGAATTTTAACTTACAGTAAAATAACCTTTTATCTTTTTAATGTTCCAGGAAGCATCAATTCAATTTAACATTTTTTATTTTGAAACCACAGCATACTTTGGTAACAGCAACAAAACAAAGTACTCGATAAAGAACTTTGCCTATTCTGAAAAGAGGGAGGAAAATACTGCATTTGAGTTCTAATTGGCCACAGTAAAACAGTTTGATTTGATAGAGCTATGTCTACAATGATAAAATAACTCATTATCCTTTCAGGTAATTATGTGAGAACATGCGGAAATTTTCATATAATAAATCATATACCATTTATATAAAGTTTAAAATCAAGGAAAACTAAACAATGTACCATTTAGAGACATATAAAAGTGTGAAAAAGCTTTCAGGAAAAGCAGGGGGTAAACACAAAGTAAAGGAGGGAGAAAGCACAGTAGTAAGATCAGAGAGGCCCACATAGGGGCTTCAAACATATGGGTAATGGGCAATTTCTTAGGCTTGGTGGCAGGTCCACAGGTGTTCATTTTATTATTGTCCTTTATAACTTACAAATTTATTATGTCCTTCTTTTAAAAATATATTAAACATTTCATAGTAAAAGATGAAAAAAAGGATAAAAGGGTAGCTGGACAAATGGAAGCAGGATCATGTACAAAAGTTAATTATCAGCATTATGAACACATCTGTTGATAGGAAAGAATCTGAAGTTATTCTCTGCATAAGGTGGGGTTAACTTAATGGCAAGGTAACAATTACATGTGTGCTCATCGCATAATCAGGCTCTGGATGAACTGTGGGCCTCAAATCTGTTTAGGATGAAGAACTCCAACACAAGCTTGGCACAAAAGCCACTGGTTAAACACACAGCCTCTTTTTACTTCTAAGAGCCCATATGCCTCCTATCCTGAATTGCTTAAGATTTTTCTATATGGAATCTGTTTTTCATTGATCGCCACATTCACTGCTTCCTACTGACCACTCCCTGGCAGACACCCTTGAACTTCATAGGGTCTATCAGGCTCCCAACAACACATGTTTTGGTACAAGGTGCAAAACAGGAAATTAACCCATATACTAAGCTTGGCTGTTTATGCTATATATTTGCATATATTCTAATTACCTGTATCTAATTACAAGCTTAAAATGGTAAAGAACTCATTTTTTTCACCAGAAGACTTGGTTTGGTATGCCTGCCTTTGTTTATCCATTTATTAACCATACTATATACGGCAGCCTCAATAAAGCACTTCTGTAGAGGCCTGGAAAGCACATGTAATTGTACTTCAGCAGGTAAAAATACATTGGCTTATTTTTTCTCTAAAAGCAGAGAGAAAATTAATTCTTTTCAGCTGTTTCATTCCAGGGACAAGCATTTGCTTTGCGTTAAATCAGCGATTTGTAGGCTGGGCTTTGTCAGCATCTCATGATCTGGGGGTAGGAGGTGGCAGGATGGGTGTTGCAAACATGTTCACATCCAAATTGTCCCTTTACAAGGCTATTTGCAGAGACTTTCCTCTGTGATCCCTTTAAACTGCCTCAAAATCATCTAGTTCTTGGATGCTCCTCATTATCCAACATTTCCAACCAATATTGTTTGTTTTTTTGTGAGCATGAGAATATTTTCTGTGATATTTCATTTTTCTGGAACAAGAATCAACTTCTTTTAAAGTTTCTGCTAAATCATCAATAAAGAAACTCCATTTGGCACCTAAATCATCCATCCAATAATTATTGGGAACCTATTAAGTTCAATATGACATGGCTTCTGCCCTCAAATAGTTCACAATCTGGTGGTATGATTCTTAGAAGCAGTGGAATTTTCCAGCGCCTGGAAAGATATTTCAAACCTCTATAGCCCCTGTGTGTGTCACTGGAGCTCAAAGACCTATGATTTATTCCTCTCAAATAACTGAGTTCAGAAAAAAGATTAAGAAGTGCTGGCCTATGAGAAGGGGCTAGGATGTGTCACAGTCATTGTTAGAAGGAATGTCAACTGCATGGTGCTAACAGAGCACAAGGAAAGAGCAAATTACCTGGGGTGAGGACTTCCAGAGGATTCGAAGAAGATTCACATTTGATCAGGGTTTTAAAGACTTGTATTGGCCCAGAGCTTAGCACAGCAAGAGCATATGCAAGTTATTGCGGGAAAAAAATAACTCTTTGGAAGACCAAGTGATGTGGAGTGGCCAGAGTTGAGACATTGAGAATGAATGAAGAGAAAAACTAGTTGAACTCCATGAACATATACAATTATTACGATTATTTGTCAATTATTTTTTTTTTTTAAAAAGGACTAGTCAGAAATAACACTGAAAGCATATTCTGAGGTCAGATCAGGGGATGCCATTTCCCATCAAGTTAGGTAGCTCCCATTTGTGCTATAGGAAATTCACCAGCACAGGGTGTGTGTGAGTGTGTGTGTGTGTGTGTGTCTGTCTGTGTGTGTGCCTGTCTGTGTGTGTGCTGCCTGCTGAAAAATTAAAGGTAGAGAGCATTGAAGTAACAGTAAGAGATACATGTTTGTTTTTATTTTAGTATACATAAGAAGATTCAACATTTAGCTTAGACGTATAGTAAACTAATTACATATACTTATGTCACTCTTGGGTTGAACAGTGTCCTTCTGATCTTGGGATTGGTGTGGCTCTCTAGGTCAGGTTCTCATTTTTGCCCTTTCTTCTTTCGGGAAGTCTTCTCTCCTGCCCCTGGTTTGGGACCCATGGCTATGTTCTCTGGGCCAGCTGCAGAGTTGTTATATAGAAAGAACTCTGGGAGCAATAATGGAGACGGGACTGAGGGGACAAATAGAGGAAGAAAGGCTGGAGGTGAGGAGGCTAAGGAGGTGAGGGAAACTTGATTACAGACTGCAATGTAAAAGGACACGCATCATATTTGTCCTAGAGGGTCCCCAAAAAGAGAATCAGGATCTACTGATGAAAACCAAAACCCAACAGCTGCCTAAAGATGGCAACAGAGCATCTTGATTTGTCATTACAGCTCATTAGACGAAAGGGCTTAAAAAGTTTATTAGTTATCTACTGCTACGTAATAAATTCTCTCAAAATGCGGTGGTTTAAGACAGCAAACACTTATTATCTCAGTTTCTGTGGGTCAGAAATTCCACGGTGGCTTCATTGGGTGGTTCTTTAGCAGGCTCTCCGATGAGATTTCAGTCAAGATGTTGCCATAGACTGCTGTCACCTGAAGGCTCACTCAGATCTCTGAGGCCGTTGGCAGGAAGCCCCGGTTCCTCAGAAGCAGCTGTTGGGAGGAAGTCGCAGTTTTTTGCGAAGTGGGCTTCCCCACAGTGCTGCTTGAGTGTCCTCATGACATGGCAGTTGGTCTCACCCAGAGGGAGTGATTCAACAGAGAGCCCAAGGAGGAAGCCACAATGCCTTTTTGACCTAGTCTCAGAAATCAGACACTTTCACTTCTGCCATAAATTTATTGGTTGGAAGCGAGTCTCTAGTGTTTGGCTCACAGTCAAGGGCAGGGAAATTGAGTTCCACCTCTTGAAGGGAGGAGCATTCAACAAACTATGGACAAAGCACCTGTAACAAGGTCACACAAGTGGACTTTGAAAGTTCCTTCATACCTGAGATTCTCCGATTCTATTCATGAATCAGTAGACAAAGGGCAAACCTCAAAAGTGTCTGTTACTTGAGTCATATCACCTTGGAAGCAGCCCACTGGAGCTCTGATAACTAATGTATTTGTCAAGAGGAAAGTCTACATAACGGCTTCCAGGAAACTCCATCAAGTGGCAATGAGGTTCGACTGAAAACTGCTTGTGTGGTGTAATGAGAACATTATTTACAATTTTGAGAAAAGAAAGTGGACACAGAAAAGGCTACAGTAGGAGATTGTGTGATTATATTATTCTTGGGACCAAAAAAGTGATTAACAATACACAGCAGTTAAGTTTTTTTTTTTAATTTTGGAAATTGTTTTATTTGGATGTGTAGAAAAGAAAGACTTCTGAGCTTTCCTCGTTACTAGAAATTACTGAGCTCCAGAAGCCATGAGTTTATAGTTATACTCTTATGACAGTGAAAAAGTCATAAAGTCATGGGAAGTCATGGTCCAAACACGAAGCAAATTAATTTATAGCCTGATTTGGAGCAACTGATAGAAAGGAGAATCCACTTGATCTTGATGACTGAAATAGTCCCCTTTTACAGGCAGAGGTTTATGACAAACCCTGATCTTTATGGGTCCAATCTTCTGCTTCTAGGGTATGCAGTGAGCACTATTTATACTATAATCTTGATGCTGTTAATGCTGGTTACTGACATTATTTAGAATCAATCCCTGATCAAACTATAGAGATAAGTACAGATATAAGAAGGCAAATGTTAATAATCATAACAACAATGGTATTGTTGACAGAGGTTGAGGTGAGGTAGGAGAGTGAAGGAGGAAGAGAAAAGGAGAAAAGCGAATGCTATAGGGTCTGAATGTTTGTTTCCTCCAAAATCCATGTTGAAACCTATTCCCCAATACGGCAGTATTAAGATGTGGGACCCTGAAGAGGTGATTAGGTCTTAAGGACTCTGCCCTCATGAATGGATTAATATCTTCATAGATTAATGGGTTATCATGGGAGTGGAACTGGTGGTTTTATAAGAAGATGAAGAGAGACCTGAGCTAGCACACTTAGCCCCCTCACCATGTGACATCAGTGTGCCCCTATGGGACTCTACAGATAGTCCCCGCCAGCAAGAAGGCCCTCATCACATGCAGCCCCTTGGCCTTGGACTTCTAAGCCTCCATGACTGTAAGAAATAAATTAATTTTCTTTACAAACTACTCAGATATTCTGTTAGTTTTAGGTATTCTGTTATAAGCAATAGAAACAGACTAACAGAAAACAGTGCATGAACTTTCCTCAACTTATATAGTTGAAGTGGTGAGGAATGTTTGATAGACATTATATAAAGTTAATATATCAAGAAACAGTGTGCTAAAATACAATAAAATTAAACATATTATTTCAAGTTAGAGTAGAATTCCAACAAAAATCAAGAAGGAAGGGAAGTGGGACATGGTGTGAGCTAAGTTTTTAACTTTTTCACAGCAAGGGGTCACAAGTTACTGACTAATCAAGAAATAGATGTGTGAGCACATTCTACAGAGTGAGGGTGTTTCCCGTGAGAATAACCAGAACCAAAGACTGACTGGTGGCTCTGGAAATGGAGTGTAAAAGGTGACTTTCACATCTTTGATTCCTGTCCTTCTATACTGTTTGAATTTACTTTGTTTCCTATCCTTCTATACTGTTTGAATTTATTTTCTTACCAAATACTTCACATTCATAACTTTTATAGAAAGTTCACATAATTGGTAGCATCTATAAGTTGACATTAGCCTATGTTCGCCAGGTTTTAGTAGATAAGCTTCATAAGCATCAACGCCTCCAGTTAATGAACGGCAAGGTTTCACTTATTTCATAAACTGGCACTTCACACTTAATGCTTCCTCTTGAAATAAAGAGTAGGAACCAGTTTATAAATCACTACATTGGTAATAAAAACTATATAACGTGAGCTAAAATACTATGACTTATCCTTAAATATGCATTTCTGTACCACCAAAAATGAAAAGACAACCAAAAAGACATTACAGTTTTCAGGGTTAACACAAATGGGTAAGAGTCCAGGCTCAGCAAAGTACTGTGATACTCCTTTTTAGGAATAATCGATGAAACAATTTTAATGCCCCCCCCAACCCACCGCTGCCCAAACACTAGGGGTTATTCTTCTGAGGTTTTTTGTTTGTTTGTTTTACTATACTTTAAGTTCTGGGATACATGTGCAGAACGTGCAGGTCTGTTACATAGGTATACACGTGCCATGGAGGGCTTGCTACACCCATCAACCTGTCATCTACATTAAGTATTTCTCCTAATGCTATCCGTCACCTAGCCCCGCACCCCCTGACAAGCTCTGGTGTGTGATGTTCCCCTCTCTGTGTCGATGTGTTCTCACTGTTAAACTCCCAGTTATGAGTGAGAACATGTGGTGTTTGGTTTTCTGTTCCTGTGTTAAGTTTGCTGAGAATGATGGTTTCCAGCTTCATCCATGTCCCTGCAAAGGTTTTATGTAAACCCCATGTCCATCCTCTGCTTATGTTTAAAACCAACCAGGTTGGGTTTAACTATCTAACTGGAAGAATATTCAAAGGATTCAACAACGATTAAGACACCAAAGAAGAAAACTAGTATTTGTCTTGGTTTAACAAAACATGACTGTTAAAAAGCACATCTCCTTGGAGGAACCTAGGTACTATGTGCAGAGGGTAGAAGGAGACAGTATGGCAAAAAAAAAAAAAAAAAAAAATACAGCTGGTGGTTAGTGTCCAGGTGGAGAAAAAGGCCTTTTATATAAAGTGTAGTTTTTCTCTGAGGAATGAACAAAGAGATTTTATGAAAATGTTTTGGGCACCTATAGAAAAAGTATTTTTTATACCCATAAAAAACACACAGTCTTCTATTTTATAAACTATGAAGGGACGTGTACTATAGCAATCGACAACAATCACACAATATACATCAGGCACCACTCACGCTTTCTGTAAGGAAATTTATAGGAAGGGTTAAACTACCACAACCCCCGTGGATGACCTATAGTGTTTGTATTAAAAAAAAAAAAAAAAAAACAGAAGAATGGACTAATACACTGAGCTATCACCATACAGTAGAATATAACACAGCAATGAAAATGTACAAACTCCTACTGCATGTAACATTGTTGAATCTAACAAGCTTGAATGCTGACTGAAGATTAGACACAAGTGATACGTATTCCTGATTCTATTTATATAATAAATAAAACCAGGCAGAACTAACCATGGTGTTAAAAGTGAGCATACTGTTTAACTTTGGAGGGGATAAAGACCAGAAGGTGTCAAAAGGGGACTTCTGGGGTTGTGGCAAAGTTCTATTTTTTTTTTAATCTGCATGCTGGTTATAGGGGGTGGGTTCACTTTGTGATAATTCATCAAGCAGTTGCAGTTATGATTTGTAGACTTTTCTAAATGTATGTATGCTTCAGTTAAAAAGTTAACTTTAAAAAAATAACAAATAGTGCCCCTGCTAGTGCATGTGTCACCTTTATGCAGATTTTTTTAATGTGTCCCCTCTGGAGAGATGGATTAGAAAAAGGCAACCCTGTGGTCAGCGGCAGCCCCACAACTCTGTGCCTTCACAGAGGGTGGGCTGGGTTTCATCCCCACTGGTGCTTGGGTAGAAACAAAACCACACATCTGGATGGAAATCTGCAAATCTGCGAAAATACTCATTTGACCCTCCCTCACCACAGCTTTATCAGGAGGCCAGGGCAGATGTCCTTGTTTTACAGATGAGGAAGTAGCATGGAACAGCAAGACCAATGCACGAAGGTGTCATGGTTAACGAGCCACGGAGCCAGGACTGACCTCTAAGGCCAGTAGCTCTTCACATGCTTCTCATTCCTTTTGGGGAAGGGGAACAGGAAGAAGCCTCTCTATTACTGTGTGCCTTGTTATGGGTCACCTCAAATGCTTTGTGGAATAAGATAGGACATGAATACAGGGTCCAACATTCTTAATACTGGACTTTAGTAAAGGTCCTTGGTTCTAAGCTTATTTGAAATATATTCTCTAAGTGTATACTTAAAAATGAACATTCATCTTTTACATGCTTATCTACGGAAAAAGATCAGTAGAACAGGGATGTTCAGATATCAATAAAGCATGCTGACCCTCCCGCAGTTTAAAATTATTGACTTAAGGGTATAAATATTTTCATTTTTTCTTGGAAAAAAAAATAGAAAGACACACACAATGTATATGTCTCACTTACCTAGAAGTGTCTGCTTATTTTGGGAGGAGTCAGGCTCGGCAGAACATCTGCATGAACGGAGGACAATCACTCCGCCAAGCACGCCATCTTCACTGGCAAGGAAAGGTGAACCTAGGCAGAAAGGACTAGTAGTTATTTTTCAGTGAATTTTACTTTTTAAATTTTCAATTTTCATTTGATTATTAGAACAAAAATGTGGCATGAATAAGAAAATGCCCATTTTCTGATAATCACCATTGTTCATACCTCATTATATACTTGATGGCAAAGGCAGGTTTATGCCTGAATAGGGGCCATTTGGCAAAGAAAATGCCACATGCTGTCAAGAAGATGTAAGTGGGGGAGGGAATGTGCATTACTGTATTCAGAATGGAATTGGAAATGCTACCAGATTAAAGGACCAAAACACAAATACAGGAAAAAATGCTCAATGACTCCCTTTGATCAACTCTTAGGGATCACTTACCACAGGCTCTCCCTGCTGTCAGGGACACACCACCAAAAGCTTCAGTTTACTACCTTAAATGCAATTTGAAACAATAAGCCACAAACTTTATTATAAACATTTTTAAATGCTTCTGATGGTTCGCACAAATAAGGGTGAAACTGCATTTCTATGATGAGAGTCTGGTGGTTAGAAAGAGTTGGGCTTCCTTGAGATCTCACACACTGAACCATTGTGAACATTTCAAGAACATTATATTTTAAAACCCCTCATTTTTCTTGCCCAAGGACATCTTCTTCAAACATCTGGCATAGCAAGTGAGCACGTGGAAAATAAATGCAAAATTAACCCAAGAACTATCAAAGAGAGTAGTAAAAAATCAAAACCAATCAAATTGGATTTGGTGGGAGCTTCTGCTTAAACTTACTATATTAAATACATGTATTTTTCTCCCTCCCTCTCCAAATCCTAGTGAACTGATGGGAAAGGAAGAAAGAAGCCATAGCCCAATAAGGGCAGAGAAAGAGGCAGACAAGGAAAAAACTGACCTTTTGGAAAACGGTAAGAAGACAGACAAGTGGTTGCTCACCTAGCAAACCCATGAAAGCTGAAACCTAAGTTTTCATGAGGCAGGGGAAAACTGGAGTGGAGGATACCCACAGGAAACCAAACCAGTTTTGCTGTAAAATGCAAAAAGGTTCAGAAATTGTAGGCTTCAAGATCCTCTGAAGGCAGGGGTACAGGGTAGAGAGGATAAAAGATGGTAGGTTGACAGTGTCCAAAAGAATCCTCTAGACCAGAGGTTGTCCTGCTAAGAATGCCATTATTTTGTTTTGTTTTTAGTTTTTAAAGGGTTGTTTTAAAAAAAAAAAAAGGAGGAGGAGGAAGAGAAGGAAGACAACATGCCACAGAGACCGTGACACAGGCTGCAAGCCCATAATCTTTATTCTCTAGCTCTTTACAGAAAAACTTTGCCAACTCCTGATCTAGAACAGGAGATCAGAACTGCAATTCCTTTCCAAAAAGGAAGTGACTCCTCCCTAACGCTGAAGAAGCCAGGATATTTACTCTCTAAAGAAGGTGAACTAGAGAGTTGAGACTTGGGAGCATCAGGGTTAGCCCAGGGCAGGAAAGAGGCTACACACTGAAAACAGGGAGCTGAGGTGTAAGTCTTTATGCTAAACAGTGAAATAACCAGCTCCCAGGATGCAAGAAATCAAGCTGATATCCTCCAAGAAGAGACTGGATAATCCCTTTCCAGCAACGCAGCCAACTCAAGACTAACGACCTACTTGAGAGACACCCCCAAGAAAACGTGTCCTCGACTTAGGGTAAGAGCTTCAAGATGACAAGTATGACTCATACACTAAAGGTTTTTAGTTCGGCTTAGCGTTTAACTATTAAATAGTTAATACCAAACAGTTGGTATTTAACTATTAAAGAGTACAGACAATCTAGGATTATTAGTTGTTTTAGTTAGGCCTCTGTTTTAGGAAAGACAGAGACCAAAAGAAATAAAATAGTACAGCATCATCCTGATACCAAAGCCTGGCAGAGACACAACAAAAAAAGAGAATTTTAGACCAATATCCCTGATGAACATCGATGCAAAAATCCTCAATAAAATACTGGCAAACCGAATCCAGCAGCACATCAAAAAGCTTATCCACCATGATCAAGTGGGCTTCATCCCTGGGATGCAAGGCTGGTTCAACATACGAAAATCAATAAACATAGTCCAGCATATAAACAGAACCAATGACAAAAACCACATGATTATCTCAATAGATGCAGAAAAGGCCTTTGACAAAATTCAACAACGCTTCATGCTAAAAACTCTCAATAAATTAGGTATTGATGGGACGTATCTCAAAATAATAAGAGCTATCTATGACAAATCCACAGCCAATATTGTACTGAATGGGCAAAAACTGGAAGCATTCCCTTTGAAAACTGGCACAAGACAGGGATGCCCTCTCTCACCACTTCTATTCAACATAGTGTTGGAAGTTCTGGCCAGGGCAATCAGGCAGGAGAAGGAAATAAAGGGTATTCAATTACGAAAAGAGGAAATCAAATTGTCCCTGTTTGCAGATGACATGATTGTACATCTAGAAAACCCCATTGTCTCAGCCCAAAATCTCCTTAAGCTGATAGACAATTTCAGCAAAGTCTCAGGATACAAAATCAATGTGCAAAAATCACAAGCATTCTTATACACCAATAACAGACAAACAGAGAGCCAAATCATGAGTGAACTCCCATTCACAATTGCTTCAGAGAGAATAAAATACCTAGGAATACAACTTACAAGGGACGTGAAGGACCTCTTCAAGGAGAACTACAAACCACTGCTCAATGACATAAAAGAGGATACAAACAAATGGAAGAACACTCCACGCTCATGGGTAGGAAGAATCAATATCATGAAAATGGCCATACTGCCCAAGGTAATTTATAGATTCAATGCCATCCCCATCAAGCTACCAATGACTTTCTTCACAGAATTGGAAAAAACTACTTTAAAGTTCATATGGAACCAAAAAGGAGCCCGCATTGCCAAGTCAATCCTAATTTATAGATTCAATGCCCAAGGTAATTTATAGATTCAATGCCATCCCCATCAAGCTACCAATGACTTTCTTTACAGAATTGGAAAAAACTACTTTAAAGTTCATATGGAACCAAAAAGGAGCCCGCATTGCCAAGTCAATCCTAAGCCAAAAGAACAAAGCTGGAGGCATCACGCTACCTGACTTCAAACTATACTACAAGGCTACAGTAATCAAAACAGCATGGTACTGGTACCAAAACAGAGATATAGACCAATGGAACAGAACAGAGCCCTCAGAAATAATGCCACATATCTACAACCATCTGATCTTTGACAAACCTGACAAAAACAAGAAATGGGGAAATGATTCCCTATTTAATAAATGGTGCTGGGAAAACTGGCTAGCCATATGTAGAAAGCTGAAACTGGATCCCTTCCTTATACCTTATACAAAAATTAATTCAAGATGGATTAAAGACTTAAATGTTAGACCTAAAACCATAAAAACCCTAGAAGAAAACCTAGGCAATACCATTCAGGACATAGCCATGGGCAAGGACTTTATGTCTAAAACACCAAAAGCAATGGCAACAAAAGCCAAAATTGACAAATGGGATCTAATTAATCTAAAGAGCTTCTGCACAGCAAAAGAAACCACCATCA
This sequence comes from Homo sapiens, assembly GCF_000001405.40. Classification (NCBI taxonomy): domain Eukaryota; kingdom Metazoa; phylum Chordata; class Mammalia; order Primates; family Hominidae; genus Homo; species Homo sapiens. The sequence continues at coordinate 13,438,706 of NC_000020.11, forward strand.
GAGTGAACAGGCAACCTATAGAATGGGAGAAAATTTTTGCAATCTACTCATCTGACAAAGGGCGAATATCCAGAATCTACAATGAACTCAAACAAATTTACAAGAAAAAAACAAACAACCCCATCAAAAAGTGGGCAAAGGATATGAACAGACACTTCTCAAAAGAAGACATTTATGCAGCCAAAAGACACATGAAAAAATGCTCATCATCACTGGCCATTAGAGAAATGCATATCAAAACCACAATGAGACACCATCTCACATCAGTTAGAATGGCGATCATTAAAAAGTTAGGAAACGACTGGTGCTGGAGGGGATGTGGAGAAATAGGAAGACTTTTACACTGTTGGTGGGACTGTAAACTAGTTCAACCATTGTGGAAGTCAGTGTGGCGATTCCTCAGGGATCTAGAACTAGAAACACCATTTGACCCAGCCAGCCCATTACTGGGTATACACCCAAAGGATTATAGATCATGCTGCTATAAAGACACATGCACACGTATGTTTACTGCAGCACTATTCACAATAGCAAAGACTTGGAACCAACCCAAATGTCCATCAATGATAGACTGGATTAAGAAAATGTGGCACATATACACCATGGAATACTATGCAGCCATAAAAAAGGATGAGTTCATGTCCTTTGCAGGGACATGGATAAAGCTGGAAACCATCATTCTCAGCAAACTATCGCAAGGACAAAAAACCAAACACCACATGTTCTCACTCATAGATGGGAATTGAACAATGAGAACACATGGACACAGGAAGGGGAACATCACACACCGGGGCCTGTTGTGGGGTCGGGGGAGTGGGGAGGGATAGCATTTGGAGATATACCTAGTGTTAAGTGACGAGTTACTGGGTGTAGCACACCAACATGGCACATGTATACATATGTAACTAACCTGCATGTTGTGCACATGTACCCTAAAACTTAAAGTATAATTAAAAAAGAAAAAAGAAACAAAAGAGTAACACAGGGAAAATTTGGGCAAGTGTCCTGAGCAGAAGAAAAGTAAAACAAAACAAGAACAAAAAAATTAAAAAGATGAAAAATGAGTCAAAAATATAAGAAAATCATAAAGCTAGGCCAGAATTATCCAATATGTGAATAACAGGAGTTTTAGAAAGAGAGACTAGAAAAAATAAAAGGAGTAAAATTTCAAAGAAATAATTCAAAAACATTTCCAAGAATTGAAGATGAGTGTTCAAACTGAAAAGGTCCATCAACCTCCCCGTACAACTCATGAAAAAGGGGCCCCACGAAGATTTAACACTATGAAATATTAAAATACTAAGAAAGGAGAGAAGGGTCTAAAAACTTTCAAATGGGAAGAAAAGATCACATGGAAAGCAATGGTATTACAGTGGCATCAGATTTCTCAACAACAGCAACACCTGAAGCTAAAAGATGATGAGGCACTATCTTCAAAATGCTGAGGAAAAATTATTTCCAACCTAGAATTCTATATTCAGCCAAAAGGTCAATAAAGTATGAAAGTGGAATAAAGCTCTACAAAGTCTCAAAGAGATTACCTCCCATGCATTCTTTCTCAGAAAGCTACAGGATGAATGTTCCTTGACAGAATGAAGAAGGGAGGTAAATAATGAGGAAGAAAATAAGATCTGGATACAGAGGATCCAAAACAAGAGAAGATAATGGGATTCCAGATGACACAGCTATGCATCAAGCTGAGAGAGCAAACTGTCCAAATTGGAGCATGAAGCCAGAAGAGGCCAGGAAAGGTAATTCTAAGGGGAGGGAAAAATAAACTGACTGAATACATGTTGGTTTGAAATTATTGAGAGAAAATGTTTCAGATTTTGAGGAAAGTTTGGAGATGAAAGAGTGACTATTACCAAAAAAATAATAAGACTTGTACAAGAAATGAAATGGAATCACAGTATACTATGTAGTTAGGATGTGAATAGCTAGAGTAAACAAATATAAACTCTCATACTGATAAGCTAAAAAAAAAAAAAGAGGGAGAAATATAATACACTGAGAGAAGTTTAATTTTCAGAACCACCTGCCATGAGACATTTTATTATCATTTACAGATGAAGAACCTGAGTTTCAGAGAGGTTCAATGACTTGCTACAGCCATGCTATAGTTGAGTAGGAAATATGGCTTCCCCCAGCATCTTCTGTGCCATGATCCTTGCTTCATTTGTAGCAATGCCTCTCAGGTAACACAAAAATCTCTGAATAACCTCAAAATGCAACTGTGTGCTGGAAACCTCCATCCCAGCAGTACTCAAACATGGCACCTCTACAACTGTTCCTTTTACCACCAAATCCAGAAACTTCTTCTGGGCTCCTATAGCTCATCTAAGCTCAAAATCCTTTACCTCTTCCCTCTCCAACAAGTCAACACTTCAAACCATGTCAAATCTGTTAGTTCTCCCTATTACCTCATTTTTGCCTGCCCCCTCCCTTCATTCCCACTGACAAGACCCTCAATGTATTCTCATTGTCCAAGAAACCCTGCAACTAGCTCCAATATGGCCTCCTGCTCTAGTCATTCAAATCGCTAAATTAATTAATTCAATAAAAATGTACTAAGTGCCAGGACTCTTCCAGGCATTGGGGATACAGAAGTGAACAAAGCCCCTGCATACATCTAGTTGAGCAGCTTGGGGGACAAGTATTAAACTCACAAACCAATATGGAAATCCACCCAATAGCAGTAAGTGCTATGAAGAAAATGAACCAGGTAAATGATGGAGAGTGTCACTGGGGCTGAGCCTTGTCTACATTAAAGAGCAAGAAGGCCTCTTTTGGTAAGGAGCTAACCATGTGATAATCTGAGGAAAGACCATTCCAGGCAGATCAATCAGCAAATGCAGAGACTCTGAGGTGAGGGAGGGTCAGGGAAGAGAGGATAGAACATGCTTTCAAGAGAGAGGCAGGGCCAGGTCACAGACAGTGATAACATTTATCTGGACTTGTAAAAGTTACTTAGCTGTGCAGAATGTAGTGGCAAGGCAAGCATAAAAGCAACAAGCCACTAAAGAAGCTGCTGTGGCAGCCCAGTTGAGAGATGACAGTGGCTTGGGTGAGCCTTGTGACAGTGGAGGCTGTCTACAGAAGCTGGGTCTGCAATATATTCTGCAAGTAGAACTAATAGAGTTGTTGATGGAAGGGACATGAGAGGCATGGGAAACAGAGACTTCAAAGTTTACTGTAAAAAGAGATATGCATCCCAGCCATGGCCATATCATTAAACAACTGAAAAACCTGTAATAGCTCCCAACTGCCTGTAGAATGATGCCCAAATTCCTTAGTCTGGCGTAGCCTTTCTTATCCTTCCCAATCTTATCACCCTGTTTATTTTACACATCATTTGTACTTCCCAAACTCCACTCCCCTAAGATTTCCCCCTGGGCCCACTGTTGTGAACTGTCCTTCCTGGCTCCCTTTCCCCCCATAAACTGAGTCTGTTCTTTAACTCCAGTGCCTTTTATACAGATCCAGACTTTCTGGGGTAAAGGTATTTGATTTACCTTTAAAGCCCCCTAGTGATTAGCAAAACAATTCCACCACACACACACATACACAGACACACAGACACAGACACAGACACACACACACACACACACACCACACACATACTCCTGCCTACATCACTGAAGTGTGGCAAAGAGAATGGCAAGAAAGAAGAGAATGATCCCAGCACTTTGGGAGGCCAAGGTGGGTGGATCACAATGTCAGGAGTTCAAGACCGTCTTGGTCTTGAAGGCCAAGATAATGAAACCCTGTCTCTACTAAAAATACAAAAATTAGCCTGGCATGGTGGTGGGTGGCTGTAATCCCAGCTACTCAGGAAGCTGAGGCAGAGAATTGCTTGAACCCCGGAGGTGGAGGTTGCAGTGAGCCGATATCGTGCCCCCGCCCTCCAGCCTGGGCAACAGAGCAAGACTCTGTCTTTAAAAACAAACAAACAAACAAACAAAAAAACAGAGACAGAGAGAGAATGGCACTTTTACATAAGTGCTATGAAAGAGAGCAGGGGCCCCAGGCTACCATGCAAGCTTATATCAGTGTTGCATTTGGTATGAGTTCATCCAATTATTTAATGAAAGTATGGTTAGAGTGCATTTCAAGATTCCATATTTTTTGTGGAAAATACTCAGATTTTTATATGATCACCATGGTGCCGGAAAAACACTAACACAGACAGAAAACCATGTTTTAGTCTTGGGATAGCAACTATGTGTTATTAAGATATAATTTTTTAAATTGCACTCTTCAGTTTTTTCATTATAAATAACAGATATTAAAAGACATCTTTGAAGGCTGTTGTGAGGACTGAATTTGTATGTATGAACTTTTTAACTTCTAAGATGCTATTTAAACATTTGGTGGCAGTAACATTGATGGTAAGGACCCTTCAGCATTTTGCTGGTTTTCAAAGACTATCATGTGGAACAAGATCTATTACTATACTGGCCTAGTTAATCTTCTACAACAGCTGGAACCAGTGCTCAACTGACTAGATGGTGGTGGTGATAGGGTATCAATTTCCCTAGCTAAAAATGTTGAAGTGTCTATATAAAAGGAAACATTATTTATTCCTCTTACTAGTAAAGAAAACAAAAAGAAAGAAAAATTAACATGGAATGACATGTGGGGCACTGCTTAAGCGCTTTCTATATCCACAGAGGGAACTGGGGACAAAAATTAATAAATTAAGACAATCTTAAATTCCATTAACATATGTGCAAGCAGCTGCAAAAAACAAGTGGATTAGTAAAGAAGTAAGAAAGAAGATCAAACTTTATTCACTATAATAATCTCAACTAGATCCCTTAAATACCTAAGTCTGTAACTGCTATGGAATGAAACTGTAATTACAGATGGTGAGACACACTCACTGTGATTAAATGTATGTAATCTGGACATTCACTTAGGTTGTAAATCCAGACTATACACAAATTACAGACCCACTTATTGTATTTGTGCTATAATCTTTAAGGACGAAAACACTGAAGAAATTTGAGAGGAGAACCACAATGAATATTAAAACAGAGCAGTTAACAAGAATTTGAATGCATATTATTTTGGTTGCTAGTAACAGATTCCTAATTAGAAAAATCTAAAGCAGAAAGGGGAATTTGCCAGCTCATAAAATCTAAGAGGAAAAAAACCAAAGGGGTTAACCCTGGTATGATCAACTGGAACCACAAGGCCAGTGGAGTAGAGTTAGGATTAGACAAACAAATCCACAGATGTCCACAACACACAAATGGACAGAACAAAGAGCCAAGGAACCAGGAAATCAGAGTTCCAGATTTGGTGCTGTATTCTTGAACAAGACACTCTATCTCTCTGAACCGTGCTTTTTTTCCTTCATCTGAAAAATTAGACACTGGACTAGTAGTCTCTGATGTGCATGTATAGTGTTAGGAGTATTTTCAGTATTAGAGATTCATCTCTACCCACAAGCACAACCAGCATTACCTGACACTAGACAAGCCAAAACATCAGAGTTCCTTTTGCAAAACCGGACACACAGCTTCCTCTTCAACATGTGGGAATTTATCAAGAGAGGCATTCTGTAGCTAGAAGGTAGCTGCTAGTGTTCCACCTTCCCATTACATTTAATAAAGAATTTCTGTCCTTTCAATGAATTTCTGTGCATTGCTTTTTTCTTTTTAATTCCTATGCGCCAAATCACTTGAATGCCATTCTCTCTTTGAGGAATTACATATCTATGGAGAAAAATAAATATATTGACACACAGACAGTTTGGAGGTCAGGTGAGCGAGAAAATACTGGGGAAACGATGAATATTCTCTACTGAAAACACATACATTAACTCCAGAACAAAAGATTATAAATATATTATTTAAATACCAAAGTAGGATAACAATTTATACTTCCTGGAAGATCAAGGACTTTTTCTCTTAAGATGCACTTAAGTCTACAAGATTGTCTCCATCGTCCTATAAGATGTATATTAAGTTAACTGCATTCTACCATTTGCTGCTCCTACAAAAATCCCAATGGAATGATGTTCACTACACTCACTTTATAGAAGAGAAACCAAAGGAAACAAAGAAAGAACCTTAGGCATATGGAGGTAAATGAGCCTACAGAAACACAAGGAAGAAGTGGGAGCTGGGCATTAAACCACTGGTCCAGGTCTCTGTCTATAAACCCAGAGGACTACCTGTTCCTGAAGAATCCACCTCCAGCCCAGCTTATGGGTATCATCACTGTGTGCCATTTTCTGGTGATAAGCATAATATTAAGGTCTCCAAATTAACTTTTAAAGAGGAGAGGAGAGTTGAATTGAAAACAGAGTTAAGTTTGGCCAATAACCATTTTGAAATCCCTTATCTAACAAAATTTAAAAGATAGGAAGAGTCACCTTATTTCAGAACAGAAAATTCCAAACTTCCAAACCATAATCAAAACTATAATCCCATATACATATGGGAGAGATATTCAATCTTCGGATAAATTTACTGACTCTGCCACAAAGATTAGCAGTAATAAACCAAACCAAACTGAGAATTCAATTAAAGCCTCAGCTTCTTGATTTAATCAATCATATATGTACCTAATACTGTACTAGAAATGAGACAAGAGATTTCTTTGTTGCTTTTAAAAAGTTTAACACAGGGAGCTGTCCTCAAGGAAATAATTCAGTTGAGAAGAAAAAAACAACATATTTTGAAATTCATAAAGCAGTCTAAGAAGAATCAGAAGGCATCTTCTTTTTCTGAATATTCCATCCCAGCATTCTATCTGCAAGTGGAGGGACCTGGGATCCCACAAACCCATCATCCAGCAACAGTGATGAGTTGAGACAGGTGAACTGCTGACCAAGGGAGCAAGCGGGAATGTCCTACAGAGAACTGAAGACTCAGTGGAGGGGAAGCCAAATGGCCTAGGTTTTCAGCCCTAGTTCCAGCATTCTCCATGATTAACTTTTAGGTAAGAAGTTCTTCGCCTTCAGAATCTACTACCCTGCCAACCCCTAGATGCAGGAGAATGTAGTGAACACCTTCCTCCCTGTTTCCAGCTGCTAGACCTCCATCTCCAGGAGTATCACAAAGTAGAAGAGGGCAAAATAAAGCCAGATAGTGGCAGAAGGCAAACTGTCCTTTGTGGGAGCAGGTAGGGTGGTATAGATGCATATCTGCATATTAATACTAAACTAGAAGCCATGAATTTGAGAAGTACAACATTCATTCAACAAATATTTCATATTTTATAAAAGTTCACTTCACAATATTTAAGAATCAGTTCTGTACCAACCAATGTGTACATACTGAATAAGGTAAAATTGGTGGTCTCAAGTCATCTATGATATGATAATCAATAAACAATCAATGTTAGAAGGGAAAATCAAGCAGGATAAGAGAGACACAGTTGTATGACAGGTATGGAGGGAGACAGTATTTTAATCAGGATGGTCAAGCATCCTCTCTGAGAAAGCTAAAATTTAGAGAAAAACTCCAGCAAGTAAGAGAACAAACAACATAGGTACTGGAGGCTTGAGACAAAAATGTTTCCAGTGTAGTAAAGAAATACATCTCCACAGACAATTTATATAACACAGATACTAGGCCTAATGACCAGGTATGTTCATCATTTTACATCAAGAAAAGGAGGGGCTAGTTGGTATTCCGCTGATTGTTAACAGTTGGTATCCTTAATGGTTGTTAACTATCTTGACTATCCCATGACAAAAAGTAAATTTTCATTAAATTACTGTTCTTCTAAGAAATGTACTACAAAAACCACCCCTGTAGGTTTTAAATAACAACAATAATAACAAAAACCCCACAAAATAATACAAAATGAAAGTATCTGTCTTACTCCAAGGCCTATTCTATAGATGTAAGTACCATCAAGAGTTCCTTGTAGGCAAAAGCCACACCAAGGCAATTTTCAATGCCCTATATTCACTGTCACTTAGCCCTAAAAAAAATTCTTCTTATCAATAAAGTCACGAAAAAAAGTTTTTATCAGAAAAAACGGAGTTCTTTGTATATCCTTTCTGAAATTATCCATATGTAATCTGGGCATTTTTAAAACTTTTCATTCAATAGATCATGTCATATAAACTATTCTCAATCTGACTTTTTAAATTCAACAATATAACTCAGAGATCCTCCATCTCAGCACACACAAATTTAGCTTAGACTTTTCAACAATGAATATGCTCCTGGACATAGATGTTATCACTTCTTTATTTAGTATCCTATTGATGGACATTTAGATTGTTACCAATTTTGGTTTTTTGCCATTGCAAGTAATGCCACAGTGAACATCTGGACATATTTACCTTTCACACGTGTATGAATATATCTATAGGACATATTTCTAAACACAGAGTTGATGAATCAATCAGCATACTCATTTATTTGCTACAGATTCCTAAACTTTCCTCTAAAAACATTTATACCCACAAGAAACAGTGTTTGAGAGTACCTATTTTCCCTATGGGGAAATGCCAGCCTTACAAAAACTGGGTATTAGCAAACTTTTTGATTATTACTAATCTGATACATGAAAAATAGTAGTATCACACTACTGTCTTGATTTGTATTTATTTATGAATAAGGTAATTACCTATATGTTTACAAGCCATTTGTGTTTCTTTATCTGTGAGCTGCTTTCACATCTGTGGCATACACAACTGTTTGCCTACATATTATCCATTCTCCCTATCTTCCTTACAGTAAGGCAACCCCCAATTTTGTTTGGGGCAGAAAAGTGCCTAGCTTCCCAAACTCTTTTGTGGCTGGTTAGCTAAGTGGCAAAGTTTTCTAGCAGAGCTTATTAAAGGGCAGACTTCACTAGCACAAATTTTATTGGCTGCTGCCATCTGCTTCAGACTTTGTGCCTGAAAGTGGAACAGCTATCTTGTTCTCATGAAGAATAAAGCCACCTACTAAAGACAGCCAAACAGAAAGAGGCTAAGCCCCAAATGCACTATGAAGCCTGTGTGCCAGGCTGAAAGGCTGGATTGCTTTCAGATGTTTTATGTGAGAAAATAAAAGCCCTCATTTTGTTAAGCCCTTCTGTCTGGATTTGTCATATCAACATAATCCCAAACTGAAAATTTCCTTCATCCAGATCTTTATTGGGTACTTGTATTTTTTTCTTACTAATTTGCTATACTCTTTACTTATTAAGGCAGTAAGCCCTTGGCTATTATGTGTTGCAAATATTTTTCCCCAGTTGGTCATATATTTGTTAATTTTGTCTATGATCTTTTTTGTAATACAGAAGTTTTTAATGCTTATGTAATCAAAATATGTAGTCTCTTTCTTCTAAGGCTTCTGTGTTGGCAGTTTTACAAGAAAGGTCTTCCCTAATCAAAAATTATGAAAATAACTTATCCATGTTTTCTATTTGTGCTTTTACAATTACAATTTTTAATTTTAGAACTTCAGTTCTTCTGGACTTAATTTTGGTATAAAGACTACAGTGAAGATCTTGTTGCTGTTTTATATTCCTAAATGGTCAGCCAATTGCCCAACATAAATTTCTTGAAAAAGGCCTCTCTTACCCATTGACTTGAAATACATTTTTAATCACATAGTAAATTCCCATATGTATTTGCATCTGTACCTAGATTATCCTGTTCCATTGATGAAATTATTCCTATATAAATTTCGAGTGGCTTTATTTTCACAATATTCTTTGCTGCTTTCATATCATTTTTCCACATTATCTTAAACATCAGCTTGACAAATACTCTTGCCTTGACTTTAATTAGAATTTTCATATGGTCATAATTTAATTAACTGTGATTTTGCTTTAGGGTCAGAATGTCCTGATAATATTTTCCCAGGAAAGCCTAAAGACAGAGTCAATTATAGCCTTGTCACTCCAAAATTCTGGGATCATGTGTATTCTTACACAAAGAAACGTGGCGTGGTACCCTAAAATAAAATACGCAAGTAGACTTGTACATAATTTAAAAGGATCGCTTATGCCTTTGATCAAATAAGTATCTTTGTAGAATGTCTTCTGAGATGTACATAGTAGGAAATGCAACATTTTTTTCACAGTCAGTTCTTACTCTGCTATCTATTTTATTTGCCACAGGCTATAATCACCATCCATAATACTCCAAGAAAATAATTCTCAGCAACCCTCAGCCTACTCCCAAAAAACAGGACGAAAAGAACACAAAACAAACCAACCAACAAACAAAAAAAACCCTTAGTTCTAAGAGGGGTTAGATGGCAAGTTGTCTTCGAGTGAGGTAAAAACACCCAGGATTGGTATATTTTTAGGTCAATTAATCATGTGTATATGGAAGAATTCACTGATACAGTGTTTAAAACATGTATAGCATTAAAACTTTTTTTTCTGGGTGAATAGAGTGTTTGCTCATTAAATTCTAGATTCTATGTGTGCTAACTATCTTATGGTATCTACACTATAGTCCAAAGGCACCAGTGCTCCCGAGCAATGCCTTTTGCTTCAGGAGGACTATGCTGGTATCTTTTATGTGGACTTGGTAAACAAAGTTGATATGGCCAAATAATGCAGGTGAGCAACTTGGGGTACATGGGACTGTCTCCACCAATCACTGCCTGAAGACCTTCCAAAGGACATCGGACCTTAAAGAACATTATACATTTAGTTATTGTTGCTCATTGTGTTTCCTTCTCTGATTTATTTCCTTATATACCCAATTTTACCATGAGAGCAACTCTATTCACTTTTACTTTGTGTGGTCAGATCCCACTTACTGTGCAGAAGCACATAACATAGAGGCCTTCTAGCACGCTTTTAATTCCTATGTAAAATCAGTTTAATGTAGCTTTGTGTACTCTCATTAACTTTGTTTTTAAGTAAGTAAATAAATAAATCTATTTTATTGTGACAACAATGGCTTTGCACAGCTGCTGTGTGGGAAGCTTGATAAAATGGTGATTGCTGATATTCCAGTTTCTATTAAGTTTCTGGATTCTTCAATATTTTTCACTTTGATGATTGTACTGAGAGGTTATACAGTTACATAATTATAAATGCATACTGTTATACGTGAACTTACAACTCTAGGTCTAGAAATACTGCAATGTTTACATTGTGAACTTTAGATGAAACTGTCACATATCCCTATATAGTGAATCACTGTATCCTGAACCCTATAATAGGGAGTCACCCATTAATGCAGGAGGACTTTTACATAGAAAGCTATAATTCAATTGTACAACATATCAGTGCAATGATACACAGGGTGTTGCATCTCACTTGAATGTACTTCTCTATATAAAGGCATACCTTGAAGATACCGAAGGTTCATTTCCAAACAACTTCAATAGAGCAAATAACACAATAAATGGCAAATCACAATAAAGTGAGTCATGCAAGTTTTTTGGTTTCCCAGTGCATATGAAAGTTATGTTTACACTACTATACTATAATTTACTAACTGTATAGCAGTGCTATGTCTAAAAAATGTAAATAACTTAATTTAAAAGTACTTTTATTGCAAAAATGCTAATGATTATCTGAGACTTAGATGAGTCATATCCTTTTGCTGGTGGGCGGTCTTGCCTCGATGTTGAAGGCTGCTGTTGGATCAGAGTGATGGCTCATGAAGACTGAGGTGGCTGTGACAATTCCTTAAAATAAGATGGCAATGAAGTTTGCTGCATTAATTGACTTCCTTTCATGAAAGATTTCTTTGTAGCATGCAATGCTGTTTAATCACATTTTACTCACAGTAGAGCTTTCAAAATTAAAGTCAGTCCTCTCAAACCTTGAAGTTGCTTTATCAAATAAGTTATGCAATATCCTAATTCTTTGTCCTTATTTCAACAATGTTCACAGCTTCTTCACCAGGAGAAGATTTCATCTCAAGAAATCACTTTCTTTGCTCATCCACAGAAGCAACTCCTCATCCGTTAAAGTTTTATCATAAAATTGCAGCAATTCAGTCACATCTTCAGGCACCATTCTAATTCTAGTTTCTTGATATATCTACCAAGTCTACAGTTACTTCCTCCGATGAAGTCTTAAACTCCTCAAAGTCATCAATGAGGGTTAGAATATACTTCTTCCAAACTCTTGTGAATGTTATTTTGACCTCTTCCCATGAATCACAAATGTTCCCAATGGCATCTAGAAGGTTTTTAATTTACTTGACCCAGATTTCAAAAGCAACAAATCCTGATGGAGAAGGTTTTCTAAAGGTTTTTAATTTACTTGTCCCCGGTTCATCAGAAGAATCACTATCTATGGCAGCTATAGCCTTATAAAATGTATTCCTTAAATAATAAAGAGTTTCAGTATGGATATTATGTTAGCAGGCATGAAAACATTAATCTCCTTGTACATCTCCATCAGAACCCTTGGACGACCAGGTGCATTGTCATAGAACAAAACTATTTTGAAAGGAATATTTTTTCCTGAGCAGCAGCTCTCAACAGTGGGATTAAAGTATTCAGTAAACTGTGCTGTAAACAGATGTGCTGTCATCTAGACTTTGTTGTCCCATTTATAAGGCACAGGAAGAGTAGATTTAGCATAAGTCCTAAGGGCCATAGGATTTTTTGAATGATAAATAAGCATTGGCTTCAATTGAAAATCACCAGCTGCATTAGTTTCTAACAAGAGAGTCAGCATGTTCTCAGAAGCCAAGGCACTGACTTCTCCTGGCCAGCTATGAAAGTCCTAGATGGCATCATCTTCCAACAGAAGGCCATTTTTGTCTGCCTTCAAAATCTGTTGTTTAGTGTAGTCACCTTCTTCAGTGATCTTAGCTAGATCTTCTGGATAACTTGTGGCAGCTTCTCCATAAGGACTTGTTGCTTCTTCTTGCATTTTTATATTATGGAGGCAGCTTCTTTCCTTATACCTCATGAATGAATCTCTGCTAGATTCAACTTTTCTTCTGCAGCTTCCTCACCTCTCTCAGCCTTAACAGAATTAAAGAGAGTTAGGATCTTGCTCTGGATTGGGATCCTTAACACTGAGTGTTATATCAGATGTTCTATCCCCATACCAAGCTGTTTCACTTCCTTATCATCTGTGTGTTCACTAGAGTAGCACTTTTTAATTTCCTTCAAGAACTTTTCCTTTGCATTCACAACTTGGCTAACTGGTGTAGGAGGCTTACCTTTTGACCCATCTCAGCTTTTGACATGCCTTCCTCACTAACCTTAATCATTTCTAGCTTTTGACTTAAAGTGAGAGATTTGCAACTCTTCAATTCACCTGAAGATGCAGAGTCATTAATTGGCCTAATTTCAATATTTTTGTGTCTCAGTGAATAAGGAGGCCAAGGACAGCAAGAGAAACAGGGGAACAATTGGTTAGTGGAGGAATCAGAGCATACACATTTATTACACACAGGTTTACAGTCTTTTATGACCACAGTTTGTGGCACCCCAAAACATTACCATAGTAACATCAAAGATCACTGATGACAGACTATCAGCACAGATACAGTAACAATAAAAAAGCTTGAGATATTGCAAGAATTACCAAAATGTGACATAGAAATACAAAGTGAGCATACACTGTTGGAAAAATGGCATCAACAGATTTGTTCAATGCAGAGTTGCCATAGATCTTCAATTTGTTTTGAAAAATGCAGTATCTGCTAAGCATAATAAAATGAGGTATGCCTCTATTCCATTCTTAGTGAACTCGCTGAACATACTAAATACCTGCTCTGTACTCAATGCTCTCCCAAGCAGTGTGATACACATACATTAAAAAAAAAAAAAAATTCCTGAAAAACCTACAACTCTGTTGGCCAGACACAATTTACTTATATAAAGCTAGAAAACAGCATATAGTAATATTTTAAATTTTTATATATACAAATTCATATATATACATATTCCATACATACTATAAATATGTACATCTCACTAGAATCTACAGGCAACTAGACTATCTGTTCACCACTGACCACCCAGAACAGTGTCTGACACATAGTAGGTGATCAACAAATATTTCTTAAGTAAATAAATGAGAAGCTATTGAGCTATTGGAATCTGAGAAGGGCATACTCACTTTATTAGGGAAAGGCCTCAGGATGGAGAAAAGAAGGAAAATCCGCCCTTGGATAATGGGTTGAACTTGGTTCAACATCATGGTGCTGAGCAAACACTAGATAATCAGTCACAGCTCTTGACTATTTGGACAATGTGAACATTGATAAAGGTCACAAAGAAGAGTGCTCAGAATATGGCAGACACTTAGTATCCACTACATGATCTGGACCTAGAGAAAGGCTGAAGGCTGCGTGACCAGGACATGTGGAAAGATGATGTCCCTAACAGGCAGTGCTGGGAAAAGAGCCAACTGGGTTTAGACATGGAATAGTTTTGTCAAATCAAGGAACTAATGATTAACGAAAGGAGCCAAGAAGAGAAGGGACAGGAACAAAGTCTGGAAGTCCAAGGGACAATAATGTAGAGACCACTAGATCTATGGAGGAGGAGAAACAACATGAAAAGAAAATCAAATGGACTAAAATGGAAACATCAGAGAGGAATGGCAAGGAACTGATGGTGCAGACAGGGGAACTCACTGAAATCGGAACAGCAGGGGAAGAAACAGACCTGAGGGATCTTGTGGCAAAAGAGAAGAATGGATGAGGGAATTGCTATAAAAGACAGCAACTGGTGGCCAAGACGTTCAAGAGAGTGGTATTGTCTTCAGGATCTACTTAGCATGTTGATGACACAATGGTCACATTAATCAGGGAGTTAACTGTTTAATGGAATTCCAATATGATTTTTAGGTGTTTCAAAAAGTCAAGCAAGCACTGCTAGACCTGGAGATCTCATGGTGGAAGACTCGCATTGTAAACATTCTCTTCCCACTTGGGAATGGCATATACTTACATTGGGATTTAAGAGCCTAAACTGAAAGGGAGGGAGATCATAAAAAGGTGACTCATCACCTAGAAGAGTGCATGGATAGCATCATTAATTTTCCTTCATTTATTCTTTAGCTAGTTATTACGTACTATTCATTACATACTGAACCCCATTCTAGATGATGGGATTACATCAGTAAACAAGATACTGATGGTCCCAGGTCACAGGAAGGTTACATTCTGATGGCAGAAATGGCTAAGCAAGCAAATACACACATACACATCATTTACAACAGTAATAGTCCCACGGAGGAAACAAACAAGGGGCTGAGAGGGAGGCTGATAGGGCCAAGAGGAACCCACCACTGCATGGTCTTTCAGAGCAGGTGGTATTTCAATTCTGACTAAAAGATGAGGAAGAAGGAAGATTGGAAAAGATGAGGAAGATGAAGGTTGGAAAGAAGGATGTTCCAGATGAAGAAAATAAAACATGCCAAGGTCCTGAGAAGTAAAGAACCTAGGAATTGAGGGGGAAAAAAAAAAAAACAAGGAGGCCAGTGTCCTGAGCAAGAAAGTGACCTGGGATGATGTTGAGGAGACAGACAGTAATCACACTGGAAACCATGAAGTAGTGTCTGCATTTCATCCTCTTTTCAGTGGAGGGCCATCAAAGGGATAAGACAGTGAATTTATATCTTCAGAAATAAAATCTTTAGAGAATGAATTGAAACTTGCTGCTCTGTGGAGAATGATGGGGTGGGGATAGTTGTCAAGAGAAGAGGCAGGAAGACTGCTTAGGAAACGTCTGTGGTAGTTTCAGGGAGAGTTCCTTGGTGAGTCTGGAGAGACCTCCATGTCCCCTGGATGGCCTCCCTTCCCCTGTCCCAGGGAGGTATCCTAGCATGGCTGAATGAGCAAACCCTCACCACAGTACTTAGTATATGCCATAGCATATGCTGCTTAGAGTAGAAGTGGGACAAGAAGAAACATGACTGAGGACTGAAGCCAGGTGCTCTACCGAAGAGAGAATGTGAGTTACTGCTCCCCATCAGGGGGCCCACGTACCACAGCCAAATGTGCGCAAGTGGTTACTAACCTCGACCTGTCATTTCAACCAGATTATTTATATGTCCCCTTGTCATTACATGATATCAAGTGCAGTGCCCTAAGGACAGTTGTCAGAGAATTCTGGGCACAGCAAGGCCATTTCCTGTGAAATTCCTTCCCAAGTCTGAGGCTCTGAATTCCTTCCTTGTGTCAGTCCCTGGAGGCCTTGTTTATCCCTGGAAGCCCCCATCATCCTAATTCAGCAGAGCTCCAAATTGTTAACCTTAGGACACTGGGCAGGATCTACTTTATAGCTTGTCATTTTTTACTAAATAAAGCCCTGAAAATGCCTAGGAAGACTTCACCAGAAGTCTTCACTTTGTGGTGGAATTTAAGCTGACCTGTTTGATTTAATTGCATATTTTTACATTCTACACATGTCTAGGAGCCTTGGGCTGTGGAGAATCTTTTACTGTGTCTAATAAATAAAACAAAAATAAGGAACTGCAGGATCAAACAATAAATGCCTTCTTAAAAAAACAGGGAAAAATGAGAGCCATTAACTTTTAAAGTTTTTAAAAAACATTTTTGGAGAGTAAATCTTATAATTTAACACTGACAAAATGGCTAATAAGATAGCAAGGGTAACTGAAAATTATTAACTCCTTTCCTTCATTTGTATTGGTAAAAATATCTCTGCCAGAATTAATACAGGGGGTCTTCAAAAAATTCATAGAAACTGTGCATTATGAAACTATGCATGGATTTCAAAAAATGTTTGCATGAAAATAAACTCACACTAACTTGTTATAACATGTCTGAAAGAGATCTAGTTTGAAGCACTAAGAAATATAAGACATCAGTTTGAAAAGAGCCCCTCTCATAGTGACATCAATTCTACTAAAGTTGAAGAAAGAACAAACATCAAACTTATGGTGAAGGTTGGGTGGGAGAATGGTGGAATCACTGATGCTTTATGAAAAGTTCATGGGGACAATGCCCCAAATAAATCAGCAGTTTACAAATGCATTACTCATTCTAAGAAGAGACGAGACAATGTTGAAGATGAAGCCTGCAGCAGCAGACCATCCACATCAATTTGCAAGGAAAAAAATGTGTCTTGTTCATGCCCTGATTACAGAGGACTGACAATTAACAGCAGAAACCATAACCAACACCCTGGTCTGCTGCTGTGCATTTCATCTTCAACACTGTCTCATCCCTTCTTAAAATGAGTTATCCATTTGTAAACCGCTGATTTACATGGGGCATTGCCCCATAAACTTTTCACAAGGCAATAGATATCTCAATTGCTTCAGCTTACACAATACTGACTAAAAAATTTAAGTTGAACAAACTCTCCACTCGCCAGGTGCCAAAAGTGTTGCAACCAGATCAGCTGCAGACAAGAGCAGAGCTTTCAA
Source organism: Homo sapiens (assembly GCF_000001405.40). Lineage (NCBI taxonomy): Eukaryota > Metazoa > Chordata > Mammalia > Primates > Hominidae > Homo > Homo sapiens. The sequence goes on from NC_000020.11 coordinate 13,456,001, forward strand.
TGGGAATTTTAAACAAGCGGGATCAAGATCCTCAAGCACTTCTTCAAAGAACTATAACAGCAGATGAAACATGGCTTTACTAATAGGATCCAGAAGACAAAGCACAATCAAAGCAATGGCTACAAAGAGATGGAAGTAAACCCATCAGAGCAAAAACATACCAGTCAAGAGCAACGGTCATGGCAACAGTTTTTTGGGGATGCTAAAGACATTTTGCTTGCTGACTTTCTGGAGGGCCAAAGAATGATAAATCTGCTTATTATGAGAGTGTTCTGAGACCATCAGCCAAAGCTTTAGCAGAAAAATGCCTAGGAAGACTTCACCAGAGAGTCCTCTACCACAACAACATCCTGCTCACTCCTCTCATCAAACAAGGGCAATTTTGTGAAAGTTTTGATGGAAAATCATTAGCCCTCCACCATATAGTCCTGATTTGGCTCCTTCTTTTTGTTTGCTATCCTAAAGAAAAAAACCTGTAAAGGGTGCCAATTATTCTTCAATTAATGATGTAAAAAAGACTGCATTGACACTGTTATATACTCAGGACCCTCAGATCTTTCGGAATGGACTAAATGGCTGGTATCACTGCTTGCAAAAGTGTCTTTAACTGGCTGAAGCTTATGTTGAGAAATAAAGTTTATATTTTTAATTCCATTTTTCATGAACTTTTTGCAGTCCCTTCACGTGACATCAGTGGCATTGAAAGACCAAATTGATTTGTCAGTCACCTTTGTCTTAATTTATACAGGAGCAAGCACATGACAGCCAAACTTAAGTCACTCTAAGGAAAAATAAAATAATAAAATAAAATAAAAAGCTTGTAATGAGAAAAGAACTAAATACAAAAGCAAGTACCTACTAGGAAAAAAATGGTCAGAATAACCCACAAGCCAGACTTTTCTTTTTGTTCACAACATACAAGAAGGAAAAATGTTTTAAAATGGGATCCTATGAGTTCATGTCCTTTGCAGGGACATGGATGAAGCTGGAAACCATCATTCTCAGCAAACTATCACAAGGACAGAAAACCAAACACCGCATGTTCTCACTCATAGGTGGGAACTGAACAATGAGATCACTTGGACACAGGGCAGTGAACATCACACACTGGGGCCTGTTGGGGGATGGGGGACTGGGGGAGGGATAGCATTAGGAGAAATACCTAATGTAAATGAGGAGTTGATGGGTTCAGCAAACCAACATGGCACATGTATACCTGTGTATCAAACCTGCACGTTATGCACATGTACCCTAGAACTTAAAGTATAATAAAAAATAAAAAATAAAATGGGATCCTATAAATTATATACATTATTTTAAAACCCAAACATTCAGGTAAATAAAATGTAAAAAGCAGGATGGTATATATACGATAGGATGGCTTTAGGGAAGTCTAAATCAATAAATAATGCTTTATGCTCAAAAACAACTTTTACTTTATAGAATTTTTGTAAGAAAGAAATAAAACCACAAAACTTTATTGTAGTATACTTAAAGGATTTAAATTAACCTAAATTTACATGAAGAAAAATATTTTATAGATGTTTTTCTGTATATACACATATAGATAAACTCACAACTTTTTAATGCTTTTTTTCTTTTTAATTTTATTTTATTTTTCAACTTTTATTTTAGATTCAGGAAGTATACAGTTTCTTAAATAGTCATTAATCATCTGTGATAAGGCTGCAATGTCACTCTTAAGAATTCTGGGAACTCTACCTACAGAAGAACAAGTTTATCCAAATATGCAGAAACACAGACATTCACAATCTAATAGAGCTATGTTAATAAGCTGGAGTAAACACTGAATTATCACACTAATTTTAGTGATTCCATATAAGCAGGGTCTGTTATGGAACTATATCCCGGAAGGGGCTAATAACTAAAGGACAAAAAGACCCTACACCCACAGAATTGCCTGACAGTGTAAAAATCAAGTGAAGAATCACTGTGAAATTCATTTTTTTAAAAATCTAAATTTCAAGAAAGATGTTTTCATTTGTAAGTTTTCAATTATTGCATTGTCACCAAAAGAGTACTAAATATAGCCTAGTCATTGGTGGTACACAAAACCTTAACTGAGAGTACAAAATATAGTCAAGACAGTAGTGGTACACAAAACCTCAATCTAGTGTGTAAACAAAAAGGTCAACATTAGAAGTAATGGTCAATCCGAAATATTTCAAAACCGCACACTTATTTTAGAGCCATTTGTTAACAAGAGCAAGTTCTACACATTCAATTGAGTGAACAGTATTGTTTTGATGGTGAACACCCTAAAGGAAGAAAAAGAGTGCCAGTAATTCAAATTTTTAATTTCCACAGTTTTTGTTGTTGTTGTTTTCGTTTGTTTGTTTGTTTTAGATGGGGTTTCGCTCTTGTTGCCTAGGCTGGAATGCAATGGCACGATCTTGGCTCACTGCAACCTCTGCCTTCTGGGTTCAAATGATTCTCCTGCCTCAGCCTCCCGAGTAGCTGGGATTACAGGTGCCCCCCACCATGCCCAGCTAATTTTTAGTAGAGATGGGGTTTTACCATGTTGGCCAGGCTGGTCTCAAACTCCTGACCCTTGGATGATCCACCTGCCTCAGCCTCCCAAAGTGCTGAGATTACAGGCATGAGCCACCACTCCTGGCCCATAGTTAAGCTTAATTATCAATTTCTGGGATAAATAAAAAAAAGAATCATTCACTTTCTTGACCCATCCAGCTGGGCTCCATCCCAGGACTCCTAAGCCCTGTGGTTGTTGCATGTTCATGTTAGTTAACGCCACAGCTCAGCGAAAAAACAACTGATCTGGGGACAAGCAGGTCAACTTGCCAACATACAACATTAGTACATGTGGGTTCAGAGCACTCTGCATTTTTCTTTCATATTCTAATTGTGACAAACAAGGCTATATAAGGTTTAAAATTTTGGCAAATGTAAATGAGGTTTATGGAAACAATATTCATGTCATGCCTGAACAAGGATAGTGTCTTCTACTAAAACCAGATTGGGATTTCATGTCATGAGACAAGTTTGTGTAGCAGTTCATCTACTGGCCCCTAGAGGCCACTCTCCATCACCCCTCAAAGATTTATGCCCCTGGCTGATATCCGTCCTGTCATAATACCTAGTTGACTTCATGGTGCATGGAGACTATCCTTCCAACTCCATGACTTCTCAATTTTTTTACCTCTTACTTTATTTATGTTACCCACTCACTCCCTTTATCGTCCCCTAGTCTTTGTGATTTCCCAGTAACATCACCTCTTGCGTGAACCTCACTTGCAAGAATCTCACTAACCACCCCTAACTGCACAGTGCATACCTTCTGGTTCCCAGACTCCAACAACCTCCCTCCCAAGTCCTCATTTTGGCCCTAAGTAGCCAAAGTCCATAGTCCATCATTATAATTAATTCTCTGCAGAAACCATCAGCTAAATTGGTCTGCTCTTGCCCCATCATACTCACCTGACAAAATTCCAACCATAATTAAATCTTACTCCATGCCTGCACCCATAAACCAAACTTTGCTGAAGATAATTACACTACCATGCTGACCATGCCTTCTTTAAATTCATGGTCACTATCTTCAATTTGGACCCTTAATGCTGCCTGGCAATACATAGGCAAGTACTGACCTATACTTTCTTGTTTTTCCTCAAATTTCCAATATTTCCTCCTCCATGGGAACTCTGCTGCTGTCTTTCCCTGGGAGAGACAGAAGCAGAAAGAACTTTCATCAGCCCCCACCACATCTTGATTCAAGACTTGCCTCCTGTTACTACAGATGAATTGCTCATGCTCCTCCAAGGTCAATAGCTTCACCTGTTGACTAGGTCTACTGCTTCTTGCCTCCTCAGGGACCTTCACCTCTGCCCGAACACACACATCATTAATTTGTCTCTTTCATGAATCATTGTCCTGTATTATTTGCTCTAACTTCTCATCTATAGAAAAACATACACATTTGTCTTCTATATAGACAAGAAAAAAACACTTTCCTCTCCAGCTACCACCCCATTATCTTCTTCAAGAAAGGAAAAATTCCTTCAAAGATGTGTCTGTACTCACTGTTTCCTATTTATCTCCTCAGTCTCTTCCCTTACCCACTCACACTGGGATTTGTATCCCCTCCACTTCATCCAAACCTACTGTGAAAGGTCATCTATCACCACCACAGGGTGCTAGTCAGTGATCAGTTCCCCAGTCCTCCTCTTACTGCTCATCGGAAGAGTCTGACCTGCTGATCGTGCTTTGCTGCTTTCTAGCACTTACTTCACTTGACTTTCAGGACTTCACAAACTCCTGGATTTTCTCCAGAAGCACCAGCCACTCCTCCTCAATCTCATTGCTGGTTCCTCTTTATCTCTTTACTTTACCTTTGGAATGTTCCAGAGCTCTTCAAGGTCTTCTTTTATCTGCATCGATTTTCCTGATCTCATATCATGTATCACTTTAAAATATCATCTGCACACCATTGATTCTCAAATTTATTTTAGCTCAGGCCTTATCCCTGAACTTGACACTTATATATGCAATTGCCTAATTAACATTTCCACTTGTTCATTTTATAAGCATCTTTTGAAACTGCTGATCTTTCCCCACAAGACTTATTCTTCCTGGAGGCTTTCCTAGATCAGTAAACAGAAACCTCATTTCTCTTCTTTGCCCAGGCCCAAAATCCTCAAGTCATCGTGACTCTTCTCTTTATCTTTCACCCTATATTAATTAATTAGCAAATCCTGTTAGCTTTACCTTCAAAAACTATCCGGAATCCAATCACTTTCCCATCTACCTCCATTACCCTGGTCCAAGCCACTACTATCTCTTAACTGAATTAGCCTAATAGCCTCCTATCTAGTCCGTCAGGTTCTACTCTTGCCTCCCAAAATCTATTGTCAGCACCCAAGCCAGAATGGCTTCAATAAAATGTAATTCAGGCCAATTTATCTTCTCAAAACTCTTCAAGGCTCCCATCTTATGATGGCTTGCAAGGCCTTGCATGGCCCTTACTACTTCTTCCAGCTCATCCGTAACCATCCTTCCCCTTGCTCACACTGCTCCAGCCACACAGGCCTCCCTGCCATCCCTCAGCCAACTCTAGACACATTGCTAACTCCTTTGCACATGCTGTTCCCTCTGTCTGGTACGTTCTTCCCTCCACTGGCCACATGGCTCTCTCCATCACCTTTGGATTTCTGCTCAAATGTCACCTTCTAAGGGAAACTTACCCTGACCATGCTCAAAAACTGCAAGCTTCTCTCCTGCATTTTCTATCCACCTTTTGTACTTCATTTTTCTCTGTAGCTTTTATTACCATATGATAGACTAAGTTTTACCTATTTATTTATTGTCTGCCTGACTTGATAAAATGTAACTTCCATAACAATATAGACTTTGTTTTATTATTCACTGTTGTATTTCTAGTGCCTGGCCTGAAACATAGTGTATGCACGAATCCTTATTGAATAATAAGAAAATATATGTTTTGGAGCCACCCCGATGGAAGGGCTCTCCAGGATTATCTAGGCCAGGAATTGGCAAGCTTTTTCCATAAAGGGCCAGGCAGTAAAATTTTCAGCTTTGTAGGCAATATGGTCTATGTCACAACTACTCAACTCTGCCATTGTAGCACGAAAGCAGTTATGGACTGTATGTAAACAAGTGAGTGTAGCTATGTTTTAATAAAATTTTGTTTACAAAATCAGTTGGTAGGTGGGATTGAACCTGCAGGCCATAGTTTGCCAACCCCCAGTGTAGGTTATTTCACTACATGAGCATTAAAGCCTTAATCACCAATTCTCCCAGAGTTTATTAAACAAAGTTCCCAACTTCCAGAGCTAGGAAGAGTCGTCCAGATCAAGGATCATCTAGTCCAACCCCTGAGGCAGACAGCAGATGTTTATACAAGATTCATTCTTTCCATCGAAAAGAAGCCCCATTTTGTGGAGGAGACAATCATGTGTCCAGCTAAGAAATTGTTTCTCAGTGTCTCTGTAACTAGAGGGGATGATGGGACACAGTTCTAGCCAATAAGACACAAGGAGGCAGGACCATCAGAGACATTGTGGAGCTGGCACATAGGACCTCTGGACATCTTATTATGAGAAAAAAAATAAATCTCTCTGGTTAATCCATGATATGTGGCTTCCAAAGAGAGGTTTTTAAAGAGTGAAATTAAGTCTTTGATTAAGCCACATAAGTAGCTTTTAAAGAGAGAAATGAATCACTCAAGATTTTAAAAGCCACTGCACTTGTACATTTCATTATCCTGTAGTCATATGCAGCTATTTAGCATTTGAAATGTGGCTAGTACAACTGAGAAACTGAACTTCTAATTGTATTTAATTTTAGTTAATTTAAATTTAAATAGCCAGATGTGACTAATGACTGCTATATGGGACAGCATGGCTTTTGACTGTTAAAGAAAAGCGAAGTATAATAAGGCATGCACATTGATTTTGATAGTAGTTTGAAGGGCATGAACCCTTTTTTCCTAAGCATGGTAAAAAGGAATAGCTGCCTTTCCCACATATCTGCCAAGTTCTTGCCCCACACCCAGCAGTGACCAGTATTTTTGGTTTAAAGATTTTCCAGGCATCACAAGAGATGTTGAGCTTATACATTCCTGTTCTCAAAACTTTAAATTGAATTTCTACATACTAACAGTGAACAATCTGAAATGGAAATTAATGCATGCTTGTTCTTAAAACTTTGAACTCGATTTCTATATACTAATAATGAACAAGTTGAAAAGGAAATTAAGGGGAAAAATCCATTTACAATAGCATTAAAAAGAATAAAATACTTGTAAATAAACTTAACCAAAAAGGCAAAACACTTGTACACTGAAAACTATAAAATATTTTTAAAAATAAATTAAAGGTACAAAAAATGGAAAGGCATCTTGTGTTTATGGAGTACAATTAATATTGTTAAGATGTCAATACTACCCAGAATGATCTACAGATTTAATGCCATCTCTATCAAATTCCCAGTGGCAATTTTGGCAGAAATAAAAACACCCATCCAAAAATTTACATGGAATCTCAGGAGACCCCAAATAACCAAAACTATCCTAAAAAAGAACAAAATTGGAGGCTTCACACTTCCTGATTTCAAAACTTAGTATGATGCCACAGTAACCAAAAGAGTATGGTAATGGCATAAAGACAGACATATAGATCGATGGAATAGAATAGAGAGCCCAGAAATAAACACTCATATGTGTTTAATGATTTTTCAAGACGGGTGTCAAGACCATTCGATGGGGAAAGGATAGTCTTTTTCGATAATGATGCTAGGAAAAGTGGATATCCACATGCAAAGGAATTAAGTTGGACCCTTGCTTTACAACATATGCAAAAATAAACTCATAATGAATCAAAGATCTAAATGTAAGAGTAAAAACTATAAAACTCCTATAAGAAAACACAGGGGGCAAGCTTCATGACATTGGATTTGGCAATGACTTTTTGTATATGACACCAAAAGCACAGGCAACAAATAAAAAAACAGGCAAATTAGATCACATCAAAATTAAAATTAAAAAGTTATTCTGTGCATCAAAGGACATGATCTATGGAATAACAGAAAATATCTGTAAATCACATATCTAATAAGAGGTTAATATCCAGAATATACAAAGAACTTTTACAACTCAATAACAAATCAAAGAACTAATCAAAAAGTGGGCAAAGGACTTCATACACATCTTCTCCAAAGATATACAAATGGCCAATAAGCACATGAAAAGATGCTTAATGTCACTAATTAATAACAAAAAGCAAACCAAAACCACAAAGAGATACCAACACATACCCATTAGGATGGCTACTATCAAAAAAAGAAAAAACCCAGAAAATAACAAGTATTGGTGAGGATGTAAAGAAATGGGAAGGCACTGTTGGGAATATAAAATGTGCAGCTGCTAAGGAAAACAGTATAGCAGTTCCTCAAAAAACCAAAACCAGAATTACCATACAATCCAGGAATTCCATTTCTGGATATTTACCCAAAAGAACTGAAAGCAAATCTCAAAGAGATATTTGTACACCCATATTAATTGCAGCATTATTCACAACAGCCAAAGGTGTTATTCACAACGGCCACAGGCTAAATTGTATCTCCTGCTCCCCAAATGCATATTTTGAAGTCCTAATCCCCAGTATCTCAGAATATAGCTGTATTGGAGACAGAGTCTTTAAAGGCTTAATTAAGGTTAAATGAGGTCATTAGGATGGGCTCTAATCCAACATGGCTTGTGTCATTACAAGAGGAAATTAGGACACAGAAAACTCACAGAGGAAAGACCATGAGAAGACTCTGGGATAAGATGGTCATCTACAAGCCAAGGAGAAAGAGATCTCATTAGCAACCAATCATGCTGACATCTTGAACTTGGACTTCTAGCCTCCTTAACTGTGAGGAAATAAATTTCTGTTGTTTGAGCCACCCAGTCTATGGTACTTTGTTATGGTAGCCCCAGCACACTAATATAAGGAACAACCCAAATGTCCATTGACAGATGAATGGATAAACAAAATGTAGTATATACATGCAATAAGATATTTAGAAATAAAAAGGAATGAAATTCTGACACATGCTACAACTTGGATGAACCTTAAGGACATTATTCTAAGTGAAATAAGCCAGTTGCAAAAGGTCAAATACTACATGATTCCACTTACAAGAGGTACCCAGAGTAGCCAAATTCATTAGGATAAAAAGTAGAATGATAGTTGCCAGGAGCTGCAGAGAGGAGGGAAAGGGGAGTTGTTTAATGGATACAGAAGTTCAGTTTTACAACATGAAAAGAGTCTGAAGATTGGCTGCACAAGAATGTGAAGATGCTTAACCCTACAGAACTGTACACTTATGGTTAAAGCAAGGCACTCACAGTGACTCATGCCTGTAATCCCAACACTTGGGAAAGCCGAGACAGGAAGATTGCTTGAGGCCAGGAATTCAAGACCAGCCGGGGCAATATAGAGAGATTCCATCTCTAAAAAATAAATAATAAATAAAAAAGTAGCCAGGCATGGCTGCTCATGCCTGTAGTCCAAGTTACTTGGGAGGCTGGGGTGGGAGGATCGCTTAAGCCCAGGAGGTCAAAGCTGTAGTGAGCCATGATGGTGCCACTGCATTCCAGCCTAGGTGACAGAGCAAGACCCCCTTTCTCTCTCCCAAAAAAAAAAAAAAAAAAAAAGGAAAGGAAAAAAAAAGGTTAAAATGGTAAATTTCATGCCATGTGTATTTTACCACAATTTTTTTAAAAAGCAGATGACTAGGAACAAAAACAGTATCATTACAGATCTATCAGAATAGTTAAATAAGAAATAGTGACAAACCTAGCAAAGATGTGGAGAAACTGAATCACTCGTACCTTGCTACTGGGAATATGACTCCGGAAAACAACTCTGTGGTTCCTTAAACACCCAAAGACCCAGCAAACATACTTTTGGGCATTTATTGTCAAGAAATGAAAACTCATGCGAACACAAAAATCTGTACACTAGCACTCACAGTAATTAATTTATTTATAATACTGAAAATAAATTTATTTATAATACTAAAAAAATAGAAACAACCCAGATGTACTTCAGTGAGTAAAAGGTTCAACAAATTATGGTGTGTCCACACCAGGGAATACCACTCAGTAATAAAAAGAAATGAACTACTGATACACACCAAAACATGGATGAATCTCCACGGAATTTTGCTGAGTATAAAGAGACAATCCTAAAAGGTCACATACTGAATGATTCCATCTATATAACATTTTTGAAATGACAAAATTATAGAGACAGGAGACTATTGGTTGCCAGGGATTAAAGTCAGGGTGGGTGGGTGGGTGAGTGATAGTCAGGTGATGTGGTTATAAAGGGGGAACGTGAGGGATTCTTGTGATGATTAAGGGGTTCTGTATCATGACTTGTGGTGAATACATGAACTCACACATGATAAAACTGCATAGAACTAAATACACATACACACATGCACACACACAAACTACAAGTAAAGCTGGGGAAACTGAGTAACATTGGCAAGTTGTATCAATATCATATAGCCTAGTTGTGACATTCTATTATAATTCTGCAAGACATTAACATTAGGAGAAACTGGGTAACTGGTATATAGATTTCTCCATATTATTTCTTCCAACTGCATGTGAATCTACAGTTAAGTCAAAATTAAAAGTTTAATTAAAAAAAAACCTTCAAATTGGAAACCTGCACTGAATATTCTTCAGGTTAATATAAGGAAGAAAAATAAGCTAATAAAGTATATATTAAAAACTCACAAAAACGTGTGAAATCTTATTTTGAGCAGCTATATCACAAAATAAGACTTGCACGCCTTTATTTTGACATTGATGACAGCAAACATGCAAAGAATCAGTAAACTTCAGTTTTGATCACCTTACATAAATCCAGTTATGTAAGTCCTCTTTAAAATCAAAAAGCCACCTCTGGCTGGGCGTGGTGGCTTGTGCCTGTAATCCCAGCACTTTGGGAGGCCAAGGCAGGAAGATCACAAGGTCACGAGTTCAAGACCAGGATAGCCAACACAGTGAAACCCCGTCACCACTAAAAATACATTAGCCAGGCGTGGTGGCATGCGCCTGTAATCCCAGCCACAGGGGAGGCTGAGGCAGGAGAACTGCTTGAACTCTAGAGGTGGAAGTTGCACTGAGCTAAGATGGTACCACTGCACTCCAGCCTGGGCGACAAAGCAAGACTCCATCTTAAAAGATAGTAATAATAATAATAAAGCCACTTCCTTATTCTTCATCAGAGACTGAAATCAGGACATCATACTACTAAAATGTGGACATGACTATCTCATGAGGAACAGCAGTGGCAGCTCACATGTGTACAGAATTTTCTCAGTTTTTATAAACCTAATCTCATTGTATCAATGGTAACTTTGTGAGGTAGGCAAAGCAGACTTGTCTGTGCTTTTTTAAGCCACAAAAATGACTTCAAAAGAAAACTAAAAAATGTTCAACAAACATTGATACTACTTTTTCAAGTCAATTTTCCTATGGCTTTTTAAGGTTTCAAATCATCAGGGAAGCTGAAAAAGTAATACAATGAAGATTTATATATGCTTCACCTAGATTCTCATATTAACATTTTGCTACATTTGAGTTCTTTCATAGATATAGAGATGGAAATTAACACACATACAATACACACACACACACACACACACACACACACGACACACAAATACTTTTTTTTCCTAAGGCACTCGCAAGTAACTGTCAAATATTGCAACCCTTCATCCTAAATGAAGACATCACCTGAACAAGGACATTCTCCTACCTAAACCACTATAATATTATCATGCCTAAGACTACAAATAGTAATTCAAACTACCATCTATTAAAATTTCTTCAACCATCTTTAAAATGTCTTCCTAAAAAAAAAAAAAAAGCTAATTACTCCCAAATTATTTTGTTTAAAGTGTCATTGCTTCATAATTATTTGACCAAAGGAGCTAATTTTTACCTATAGCACTAGTTGTCAGTCAATTGGTACTTTGGTTGGATTCTTTAAATATTGGCTTCTATATTGATAACATAGTCATTTGTTTTGCGTATTTGTCTCTAAATATTACAGAATATAAGAAGTTCTTTGGAACATTGTACATATTTTACAAGAAAAAGAAGGGAAGGAAGACAAACAGGATTATACCTGACCTTTTAAAAAAAGGTGCCCTAAAAACACATACACACGGCCAGGTGCAGTGGCTCATGACTGTAATCCTAGTACTTTGGGAGACCAAGATGGGTAGATCAACTGAGGTCAGGAGTTCGAGACCAGTCTGGCCAACATGGTGAAACTTCATGTCTACTAAAAATACAAAGTTAGCCAGGCATGGTGGTGGGCACCTGTAATCCCAGCTACTCCAGAGGCTGAGGCAGGAGAATCGCTTGAACCCAGGAGGCGGAGGGTTCAGTGAGGCGAGGTTGCACCATTGCATTCCAGCCTGAGCAACAAAAGTAAAACTCCATCTCAAAAAAACAAAAACAAAAACAAAAACAAAAACAAAAAACAAAAAACAAAACCACATACACACATTTACAGCAAACACACTGAAAATTTTCCTAACAAATACAATTACAGAATTCCTAATCACAAATTCAAATAAAGCCTGCTACTTGATTTTAAGTGGTTTAAATGACTAGAAATCTTGCTACTTAAAACAAACAAAGATACTCTGAGCTTACCCAATTTGAAACTAAAAATCAACTCAGAAGTGTGGTAAAATACCAGAAAATCACCAATGTCATTATGCCTCAGATAGACTATTTGAGAAGTATGCCACATAAGCTGCTCCCTGTTGATGCTAATGAATGGACTGGATTTTACACATTCATAAAATGTTAAGAATAACATTGTTTAATACACTTCATTCTTCTCTCAAGAATGTGTGGTTTTCACAGGCTCAAAAGTCATAGTTATTTTCAAATATCTGGTAGGTTTTAAAAAGTGAGATTATAATGAGGGGAAGCAACTTCACAACTATAAAAATCATCCTAAATTATGTTATGAGCATTATAATAATTATGGATTTATTTATTCATCTAATCCACCAAATGCAGCTTAGGCCCTATTCAGACTAATTAGTCAATATACTGTGCAACTCAACCTTCAGTGTCATATGATTTAATTTCCCTTTGCTTCTTGCAACATTATAATTATGTGCTTTGAGTTTACCGTAACTAATATTAGTGGTTTTCCCCACATGCTCACAAACTAAAGGAAGAGACAAAAAGCTTTTTGATCACCTAATAAGTACCCTTAGGAGAAAAAAAATTTGCTAATATGGAGACAAGAATTTTTGGTTTTTTTATGTGTGTGTGTTTTTTTTTTTTGCATGAGATGAAACAAATTCCTTGTATGATTTTAATTACATCCTAATACTTCATAAACATCTTTTAAAACTCAATAAAATACCAATTGTGAATAGTTCAGCAGCTCCCAATGATGGGATGGCACTAACCTTTATAATCAAGTCCATGGTCCCCCAAACTGGCCACTTTTTAAAATCAAATAAATCAGTAGCAAAACAATAGCTCTTTTTAACGTAACGCAAGATTGTTTACAGAGTTTGGGAGTTTGGTTTTTTGTTTTGCCTTTGTTAGTACTATGCTTATTATTTGCTTTCCAACCAAAAAATATTACCAAATTATTTCCAGTTATCAAAATTTAGTAGCTATTTTAAATGGCTTTTTGGTTTGGTTCCCCAAAGGCCTGGGTGAAGAACACATCTGTGGTAGATACAATCATCTCTGCTACTTAAAAAGCTCCAAATGTACAAAATGTATGAAACTTCCAGGCTCTAGAAGGCTTTCTTGCAAACAGGAAACCTCAGCCACAGGGAGAAAACCAACTTCCATTTTGAGAGCCCAAAATCCAAGAAGTTATTCTCTTGCTGCCAGCTACCCATTTCCACTGATTCCAGTAAGTCCATCTTATTAGTCTGCTGCTGATCAATACTGTTAGTAATTTAATGCAGTAATAAAATTTTTTTCTTTTTCCTATTTGTAAGAAGAAAGGAAGAAGAGAAAAATAATTGAACTTCCCACACACACTGACTCAGTATCATCCCAAGATAAAAATGCATCCACCATGTCAAAGAAGGTTAACTTCTGGGTTCTTTGGAAATTGTGATGGTTGTTTCTCAGAATCAACATGTACTGAAAAAATCAAATTTAGTGTTAACTCAATATAACATACAGACGAACTATTTATTTTCAAATGACAGTTGTCCAGGTCAATAAATGTCCTTTTTTTTTTTTTTTTTTTTTTTTTTTTTTTTTTGAGAGAGTGTCTTGCTCTGTTGCCCAGGCTAGAATGCAGTGGCATGATCTTGGCTCACTGCAACCTCTGCTTCCTGGGTTCAAGCTGTTCTCCTGCCTCAGCCTCCCGAGTAGCAGGAACTATAGGCACCTGACACCATGCCTGGCTAATTCTTGTATTTTTAGTAGAGACGGGGTTTTCCCATGTTGGCCAGGCTGGTCTCGAACTCCTGACCTCAAATGATCTGCCTGCTTTGGTTTCTAAATGTGATTTTTAATCATCCATTGTATCCAAGGGAAAAAAGTCTCAAATGTCTATTACCTTCAATAATGCCATTGAGTATTATCTCTCTAATCACTCTTCCTATTCTTCAACCTCCTGACATTCTGATACAAGCTACAAGCTTTCTGCGTCTTGTTTTAAATGAATTATTTCTTAAGCCTCAATTTAAAAAGGGGTAGAGGGGGGCACTCTGAGAGGTATTTCAGAGCTCACCATAACAACACCCCAGAAAGGGGCAAGCAAAAGGCATTCAATTCTACCATGAGCTTCCTAATGAATATTCTTGAAGGCTCTTATAAAACCGCATTCATTTTCTAAGTGACTGATATCCTTATAGAAATTTCCCATCTTTTCTTTTTCCTTTTATTCCCAATCCACCTACCCACTTAAATGCATTCTATACATTTTATAAAACTTCTATACACTTAAAAATGTTCTGGAATTATACATATGTATCTTATGTCACAAGGAAAGAAAAATGATTTATTTTGCAACTTTGTGACCCTCTGTAAGATGTACTCTAGTTAAACAAAAAAGAAGATAAAAATGCAAGGTATACATTTGTGTACTAACTTGTACACATTTTAGAAGCAAAGTTGATGGATATCAGTCACCTATTGACAAGATGATTTGGAGTCTAAACCATCTAACTTGTCCCCTTCTTCATCATTTCTGATCCTCTCTCTCTCCCAGCCGCTCAACAGAGTTCTTTTCTCACCCTGCCACTACACAAACTTCAGAGTTGACTTGTACCCTCTTAATGCCTAACCCCAAAAGCTTTTTCTGCATATTTATTTACAACTGTAAATACATTGCAATCCTTTCAGTTATGAAACAAGATCCCTTCTATCTCTGGCTTCCAAATCACAAGTGTCCTTTTCTCTTCCCTCATTCTTTCTCTCTTTTCTATCCCCTTCAAAGGATACTCTTTTTCTAGCAATGGGGTTAAAAATAATAGTCAGAATCTCTGCTCTCCTAGAGTTTATGCCCTGCTTAAGGGAGACAAACAATAATAACAAGTAAATACAGAATAAATCAAGAAGGGTTAAATAGAAACATAAACCAGAGTAGGAGGGCAGGAAAAGGAGTAAAATTTTAGGTAGGGTGGACAGGGAAAGCTTCTTTGAGAAAATGACATGTGAGCAGATCTGGCCTTTTAGCTGAATCCTGCATATGGAAGTACCATAAATCATGGAAGACAACCCCAAGGTCTCAACTCCCCTCTCAAAGTCTAGTCCCACATACGGCTACTGACTATCATGTCTACAAATACCTCTATACCAACATGGTCAAAACCAATGCCATTCTCTCTACATGTCCAATGTTTCAAATATGACATTCCTATAATTTCTTATTGGCATGTAATTCCATGTCCTTCAGAATCTAAACTCCAGCTATTCAAATGCCTCTTTCCCCACATCTGTCACATTTTATCAGCTATAAAGCCCCAGAGATTCTCTTTGAGAGTCTTTAGTACATGACCCTCCTTTCTATCCAATCTAGTTCTATTTCTCTAATTGCCACTGCCTACAAATTAGTACCTCATCTCCAAGGTCTCCTTCCTCCAATCCATCCCACATCTTAGAATAAAACTGTATTTACTGAGTATAGCTCCGTTCCAAGATGGCCAAACAGGAACAGCTCTGGTATGCAGCTCCCAGCGTGATCTATGCAAAGACGGATGATTTCTGCATTTCCAACTGAGGAACCTGGTTCATCTCATTGGGACTACTCAGAAAGTGGGTGCAGACCACGGAGGGAGAGCCAAAGCAGGGTGCGGCATCGCCTCATCCAGGAAGCGCAAGGGGTCAGAGGATTTCCCTTTCCTAGCCAAGGGAAGCCATGACAGATGCCATCTCCATCAAGCTACCAATGACTTTCTTCACAGATTTGGAAAAGACTATTTTAAAGTTCATATGGAACCAAAAAAGAGCCTGCATTGCCAAGACAATCCTAAGCAAAAAGAACAAAGCTGGAGGCATCACACTACCTGACTTCAAACTATACTACAGTAACCAAAACAGCATGGTACTGGTGCCAAAACAGATATACCGACCAACGGAACAGAACAGGGGACTCAGAAATAACACCATGCATCTACAACCATCTCATCTTTGACAAACCTGACAAAAACAAGAAATGGGGAAAGGATTCCCTATTTAATAAACGGTGCTGGGAAAACTGGCTAGCCTTATGTAGAAAGCTGAAACTGGATCCCCTCTTTACACCTTATACAAAAATTAATTTGAGATGGATTAAAGACTTAAATGTTAGACCTGAAACCATAAAAACCCTAGAAGAAAACCTAGGCAATACCATTCAGGACATAGGCGTGGGCAAAGACTTCATGACTAAAACACCAAAAGCAATCGCAACAAAAGCCAAAATTGACAAATGGGATCTAATTCGACTAAAGAGCTTCTGCACAGCAAAAGAAACTACCATCAGAGTGAACAGGCAACCTACAGAATGGGAGAAAATTTTTGCAATCTATCCATCTAACAAAGGGCTAATATCCAGAATCTACAAAGAACTTAAACAAATTTACAAGAAAAAATCAAACAACCCCATCAAAAAGTGGGCAAAGAATATGAACAGACAGTTTTCAAAAGAAGACGTTTATGCAGCCAGCAGACACATGAAAAAATGCTCATCATCACTGCTCATCAGAGAAATACAAATCAAAACCACAATGAGATACCATCTCACACCAGTTAGAACAGCGATCATTAAAAAGTCAGGAAACAACAGTTGTTGGAGAGGATGTGGAGAAATAGGAACGCTTTTACACTGTTGGTGGGAGTGTAAATTAGTTCAACCATTGTGGAAGACAGTGTGGCGATTCCTCAAGGATCTAGAACTAGAAAGACCATTTGACCCAGCCATCCCATTACTGGGTATATAAACCAAAGGATTATAGAAACATGCTACTATAAAGACACATGCACACATACGTTTATTTCAGAACTATTCACAATAGCAAAGATTTGGAACCAACCCAAACATCCATCAATGATAGACTGGATTAAGAAAATGTGGCACATATACACCATGGAATACTATGCAGCCATAAAAAAGGATGAGTTCATGTCCTTTGT
Organism: Homo sapiens; assembly: GCF_000001405.40. Taxonomy (NCBI): domain Eukaryota; kingdom Metazoa; phylum Chordata; class Mammalia; order Primates; family Hominidae; genus Homo; species Homo sapiens. The sequence continues at coordinate 13,473,186 of NC_000020.11, forward strand.
AGTGACATGGATGAAGCTGGAAACCATCATTCTCAGCAAACTATTGCAAGGACAAAAAACCAAACACCGCATGTTCTCACTCATAGGTGGGAACTGAACAATGAGAACACATGGACACAGGAAGTGGAACATCACACACCGGGGCCTGTTGTGGGGTGGGGGGATGGGGGAGGGATAGCATTAGGAGAAATACCTCATGTAAATGACGAGTTAATGGGTGCAGCAAACCAACATGGCACATGTATACATATGTAACAAACCTGCACATTGTGCACATGTACCCTAGAACTTAAAGTATAATAATAATAATATATCTTAAAAAAACTCTATTGCCAAAAGCCTTATGTGGCTGTCCACTACATTAAGAAAAATTGCTTGTTTGTTTGTTTGTTTTTCCAGTTGTAATTATACCATTCTCTTGACTATATTCTGTCTACCTCTTAAATTAGATAACTTGCTGATCATAAAACAAACCCCAAGATTTTCCCTCCTGAAGACACTTCATTCATGACTCTTTCCTTAATCTACCAGATATGACACCTTCCTCTGCTTCTTTTGAACTCTTCAGCCCTTTCCTACTTCACCACATTAAGAGTTTAACTATGGGCCAGGCATGGTGGCTCACAACTGTAATCCCAGCATTTTGGGAGGTAAAAGCAGGAGGATTACTGGAGCCCAGGAGTTCAAGATCAGCCTGGGCAACATAGTGAGACCCTGTCTCCATAGAAAAATTAAAAATTTAGCTGGATGTGGTGGTAAGTGCCTGTAATCCTAGCTACTTAGGAGGCTGAGGCGCAAGGACCGCTAGAGCCCAGGGGGGTTGTAAGTTACAGGGAGCTATGATCGTGCTACTGCACTCCAGCCTGCATGACAGAGGGAGACTCAGTCTTGAAAAGAAATAAAAATAAAAAAGGATTTTAACTGTTAAGGTTTTGATATTTTTATTTCAATAGTTTTGGGGTTTGGAATGGTTTTGGGTTTCAATGGTTTTGAGTTACATGAATACATTCTTTAAGTGGTTATTTCTGATATTTTAGTGAACCTGTCACCTGAGCGGTATATACTGTGCCCAATATGTAGTCTTTTATCCCTCACTCCCCTCCCAATCTTCTCCTATGAGTCCTCAAAGTCCATTATATCACTCTTATGCCTTTGTGTCCTCACAGCTTAACTCCCACTTATAAGTGAGAACATATGATATTTGGTTTTCTATTCTTGAGTGACTTCACTTAGAATAATGGCCTCCAGCCCCATCCAAGTTTCTGTAAAAGACATTATTTCATTCCTTTTTATGGTTGAATAGTATTCCATGGTGTGTATATACCATATTTTCTTTATCCACTCGTTAGTCAATGGGTACTAAGGTTGGTTCCATATGTTTGCAATTATAAATTGTGCTCCTATAAACTTGTATGTGCATGTGTCTTTTTCTTATAATGACTTCATTTCCTTTGGGTAGCTACTCAGTAGTGGGACTGCTGGATCAAATGGTAGATCTATTTTTAGATCTTTAAGGAATCTTCATACTGTTTTCCATAATGATTGCACAAATTCACATTTCTACCAGCAGTGTAAAAGTGTTCTCTTTACATTACATCCATGCCAACATTTATTGTTTTTTGACTTTTAAATTATGGTCATTCTTGTAGGCATAGGGTGGTAACTCACTGTGGTTTTAATTTGCATTTCCCTAATGATTAGTGATATTGAGCATTTTTTTCATGTTTGTTGGCAGTATATCTTCTTTGGAGAAATGTCTACTCATGTTCTTGGTCTACTTTTTGATAGGATTTTTTTTTCTTGATTTGTTTGAAAAAGAATATATGTAACACATAATTTGTCAAACACATAAATAGAACAAACATCCATTAATTCACTAAACAACTTGGAAAAGTAATCCCTACCAACATTGTTGAGACTTCCCAAATCCTCCCTTCCAGAGAAAACTACTACCCTGAATTACTTCTTAATAACTTCTTTCTCTCCTTTATAGTTTTAATATATATGTATGTATAATTAATGTTTGATTTTGCTAAGATATCTTAATGGTGGCATACTGACTGCATTCCTTTGCAAACTGCATTTTCTAACTTAAGTATCATGATTTTAAGGTTCATTCATGCTGATGGGTACAGTTGCAAGGCATCCATTTTTACTGCCATATGGTATTCTGTTGGTGGACATTACAGTTCTTTCCATCATTTAAAATAAGTGCTATAGATATTCTTGTGCATGTCATCTGGTACATACATAGAAATACAGGACCAGAGTTTCTGGGTTTTGGGCAGGCACATGTTCCACTTTTCATGAAAATTGAAATGAATGAATATTTTTCCAAAATGATTGTCCCTATTTAAAAACATCAATATTTAAAACACACATTTCATATTTTCTATCTAGTAATTCTAATATCTAAAGTCTTTGGTAGGCCAGGCATGGTGGCTCATGCCTGTAATCCCAGCACTTTGGGAGGCCGAGGTTGGGGGATCACCTGAGGTCAGGAGTTTGAGACCAGCCTGGCCAACATGGTGAAACCCCATCTCTACCAAAAATATAAAAAATTAGCTGGGCATGGTGGCGGATGCTTGTAATCTCAGCTACTTGGGAGGCTGAGGCAGGAGAATCACTTGAACCCTGGAGGCGGAGACTGCAGTGTGCTGAGATCATGCCATTGCACTCCAGCCTGGGTGACAGAGCAAGACTCCATCTCAAAAACAAAACAAAACAAAAAAAACTATATTGACTAACACGGTGAAACCCCGTCTCTACTAAAAATACAAAAAATTAGCTGGGCAAGGTGGCAGACACTTGTAATCCCAGCTACTTGGGAGGCTGAGGGAGGAGAATCACTTGAATCCAGGAGGCGGAGACTGCAGTGTGCCGAGATCACGCCACTGTACTCCAGCCTGGGCAACAGGAGTGAAACTCCATCTCAAATAAATAAATAAACAAACAAACAAATAAATAAAGTCTTTGGTAGTCTGGTTAAAGTTTCTGTTGACCTACATGCTCTCTCTCATGGTAACTCTCTTTTACGTGTTTTACTTTATTTTATCCTTCTATTTTAGATTCATATATGAGATTTCTTTGAGATCTGAGCTGACAGTGTACTCCTTCAGAAAGGATCTTCACTTATTTCTCCCAAACTCCTGGGAGTTTCATACATCTAGGACTACCTTACACAAAAATTTTCATCCATTCATTTGAAAGTGTGATTTTTGCCTTTTTAAATATTTTGTCTAGCATTTTTAGATTATTTGTAGTCAGAAGATTCCAGGATCTCCATTTCACAAAATTGCCCAGAATGCAAGTTCCTATATTTCCTGAACTTTAGTACAGTGCTTATTCACCTTATATTTTATTTACTGTGCATTTGTTTTTTTCTTTTCCGCTGGAATGCAAGTTTTTTTGATAGCAAGGCTGTTTTATTTATCTGTGAATCTCTCATAGTAACCAGCAAAGTATCTTGTATATGCATAGCTGTCAATGAATAATTGTTAAATAAAAAGATAAATAAAATTCTGAAAATATAAAGCCTAGAGCCCAAGAATTAGTGGCAAATATTGCCCAAAGAGATACGCTTAATTTATATTTTCCTTATTTTGCAGTTTGGACATGTGAGTATAACCAGCTAAATATCACAGCATTTATAACAGTGAAGGAGAAACATCTTTGATTTTTCTAATAGACAAAAAAGAATACATTTTCTTAGGAATCCCTCAAGCTCCAGATGGCTACAAAGAAAAAAGATTTTAGTGTTTGAAAAAGAGAAATATGCTTATCAAATATGAAGCAAAGTCTTATAAAAACACAATGCCCTGGAAAAGAGAACATTATATTTTTTAAATATTCTAAATCATTAAGAAATTCATGAAATGATGATCACAGAGGCTAAATGTGTAATTACAGGGTACTTTTGTTCTTCCTATGACAGCTACTGTTCACATAAAATATTAATTGAATATAACTTCTCTATTTGGCAGAAAAGCATAAGAGGGGACTCCATCTCAATTGTCGACAGCACTCTACAATTGACAGTGATCCTCTAATGTCAATGACAGTGTAAGAACATCTCCCCAAAAGAATGAAGTAAAATATAGAGCAAAAATCACTTTTTAAAATCGTAATACTATATTCCACATGGAATTTTCCAACAATAGTCACAAAGATTGTAGGTTTATAAGACTAGTAGCTTAGTTCAGAAATTCAAAGAAAAAAAAGAAGTCATTTTCACAGATAACATTTTATCAATCATTATATTTAGTAATAAACAGAAACCAACTAAAAAAAAATGTACCATGATATTAGTCGTTAAGTACTGAGCAGGAATCTATAATGCTGCCCCACAGTTCACATACCACACATACAGCCAAGGTTTGCATCAAAAAGAATAATTCACAAAACCAAGTTGGTTTAAAAATAACCATGAAGAGGAAAAGTCACATCTGAATCACTGAAAGAGGTTTTATATGTGTATATGTGTGTAATCTTTTAAAAAGAACAACTAAAAAGGAAACTACTTATTTCTTCCCCCACTTAACTAAGCATTCAGTCTATAATCAGCTGGTTAGCATGAAGTATTATTAAGGCACTATTTTTACAGTACCCATTTTTATGAGTTTTGTATGTTACATGAAGAGTGGTTTTCAAAGAAATGTGCAGACTGGTTATTCTCTTTTATGCTTCCAATATTAAGTCAAACCAAAGCCCTGATCTTGGCATAAGGTAATGCAAGTGGAAACAAAAACATTTCAATCTCTGAAATGCCTTTCAATTTTCCTCCATTTGGTCTATCACATTAAAGTCTTGTTTATCAAAAATAGATTTAAACAAACCCTACACTTAAGATGGTGGCGGAGTTTTTTCAAATTGCAGTAAGAGAAAAAAATCTTTATTTTAGTAAGTTACTAGCTACTTTAGGAAAAATACATAAAAACAAATTATTAGACCCATAAGCAATAATGGTTGAGCCTAGTTATAATGATTTAAAATTCACAGTCTGGAACCGCAATTATTTTTGCACCAACCTAATAGGTGTCCACTCAAGGAAAATCATTACACAAAAAACTGCACTCGTATGTGTACCACAGCACTATTCACAATAGCAAAGACATGGAATCAACTGAAGTGTCCATCAACAGATGACTAAAGAAAATATGATACACACACACACACACACACACACACACGAATACTATTCAGCCACAAAAAAGAATGAAATCATGTCTTCTGAAGCAACATGGATGGAGCTGGAGGCCATTATCTTAACTGAAATAACTCACAAACAGGAAGTCAAATACCAAATGTTCTCACTTATAGATGGGAGCTAAATAATGTGTACACATGGACATAGAGTCTACAATAGTAGACAGTGGAGACTCAAAAGGGTGGGAGAGTCAGGGAATGAGGGATGAGAAATTACGTAATGGGTACAATGTACATTATTCAGGTGATGGTTACACTGAAAGCCCAGACTTCACCACTACACAATACATCCATGTAGCAAAACTGCACTTGAACCCCTTAAATTTTTACCAAAAAAAAGTGAACTTAGGTTAATTGTAAATGTATGTTCCAAACTCTAGAGCAACCACTAAAAAAAATAACTTACATGCTAAAAAAGAGAGGAAATGAAATCATATAAAATGTTTAGTTAAAAGAATATAGAGAAGTAAGCACTTATATGCAGTAAAATGATACAGACAAAAATTACAGACAAATCTCTTTCAGTAGAGGAATGAATAAATTATGGAACCATGAAATATTTGGCTATAAAACTATATATACTGATATATTAAGAGCATTAAGCTATGTTAAGTGGAAAGCATATTGCAAAACAATACATTAAAAATCTCTTCTATATAATTTTTAAAATGATGGAAGAAAGAAAGAAAAGGGAGGATGGCAGGAAAGGAGTGAGGGAAAGCCATAAATATACATACCAATCTGTTAGCAGTGGTTCTTTCTGGCAGGAGAAATGAGACTCAGAATGAATGAAAAGGGGTTATTGAACTTAATTGTCATATACAATTTTTCTACACATGCATTGTAATGAGAATCACTAGATATTTTATACAAATATTTTTTTAAAAAGAAAAAACAAAGGAAGCAAAAAGGGAAGAATATTGTGGTTTCCACAAAACCAAGAAAGTGGTTGCTAGCTTACCTCCATCATTGGCTGAAAGGATTTCAACCAAATCATTTCAAATAGAAACTTGAGATCCACCATTAATAGTTTTAATTTATAATTTCATTTAATGGCTAATTTGATTTACAACTTTTTTTTTTTTTTTTGAGACAGAGTTTTTGCTCTATTGCCCAGGCTGGAGTGCAGTAGCACAATATTGGCTCACTGCAATCTCTGCCTCCCATGTTCAAGCGATTCTCCTACCTCAGCCTCCCAAGTTCAAGAGATTCCCCTGCCTTAGCCTCCCAAGTAGCTGGGATTACAGGCGCTGGCCACCACGCCCAGCTAATATTTGTATTTTTAGTAGAGACAAGGTTTCACCATGTTGGCCAGGTTGATCTCGAACTCCGTGACCTCATGTGATCCACCCACCTCAGCCTCCCGAAGTGCTAGGATTACAGGCCACGGCATTCAGCCTACAACTATTCTTCATACAAGTAGTTTAGTTTGGCTTGTGAACTAAACCAAGGATCAAATATAATTTTGGAGCTGGAAGGAATTTTAGAAACCATCCGTATTTGCCCCCTCCTTTTACATATGAGGAAATTAAGAATAAAGAGATTTGTCCTAAAACAGACAACTAATTACACCACCAGTGTGTTAAAAGAGAAAAAAACTCAACCTCCTTGCTTCTAGTCTAGTCCTCTGGTAATTCAATTTATTTCCTTCCATTTACCTTGTAAATATCATCTGTGCTTCCTAAGTAGTTCCTGAAAATTTTCCTTTTTCAATCCCATTTCCAAATTATCTGCCTGAAAAGAATTTCACATTTATGTGCTGAATCCAGAAGATACGACATAGACAGTAGCATGGCAAAAGCATTTAGAAACTGCCTCTTATCTAGCATTTTTGCTTTTATTCTTAATAAAACTGCTGAAGCAACTTGTTTAACCAATGAGACGGACACAAAGTTGAGAGTGGAAACAACTGTCTTGACTCCCAGAACATTGTTCTTCTGTATTTCATACCATTTTACATTTTTTATTTTTTAAATAAAAGGCAGTGTTTTCTTGCACAACAAACACCCACTGGTTAACAAGATGACTTTTGGAAGTCACTGAACTCTTGCAAACTAAGTTTCAGCTATTAAAGGAACAGGGTCCATTAGGTGAGCTCAGACATTTCTTGCTCCTTTCCACGAGTCTGGAATTTCTAAGATGGGGCTCAATATGTATTAGGTAATGGATCCCAGTGGCAAGATGAAATACTGCAGATCAACTCCGTGAACAGTTTTATAGAGTTATACGAAGCAACAGAAAAGAGCAGAGTTCAGGAACTCCTTAGCATAAACCCAAACTTGGGGAAGTAGAACTAGCTAATCTGTAGTTTTAGACTCAGTAAAGTACTTGGGATCATTCTCAACAACCATAAAGTTACCATGTGCCATAATTACACATCCATCACAGGGTTCCTAGAAAGTGAATGTTTTTATTTTTTAACTTTTAATTTTTGTGGGTACACAGTAGGTATACGTATTTATGAGGTACCTGAGATGTTTTGATACAGGAATGCAATGTGAAATAATCACACCATCAACTATAGGGTATCCATCCCTCAAGCATTTGTCCTTTGTGTTTCAGATGATCCAATTACACTCTTTTAGTTATTTTAAAATGTATAATTAAATTATTATTGGCCATAGTCACCCTGTTGTGCCATCAAATAGTAGGGTCTTATTCATTCTTTCTTATTTTTTTGTACCTGTTAAGCATCCCCACCTCCCGCCAAGTCCTCCACTACCTTCCATGAGTTCAATTGTTTTGATTTTTAGATCCTACAAATAAGTGAGAACATGTGATATTTGTCTTTCTGTGCCTGGCTTATTTCACTTAACATAATGATCTCCCCCAGTTCCATCCATGTTGTTGCAAATGACAAGATCTCATTCTTTTTTATGTCTGCATAGTACTCCATTGTGTATATGTGCCACGTTTTCTTTATTCATTCATCTGCTGGACACTTAGGTTGCTTCCAAATCTTGGCTATTGTGAACGCTGCCACAACAAACATGGGAGTGCAAATATCTCTTCAATATACTGCTTCCCTTCTTTTGGGGATATACATAGCAGTGGGATTGCTGGATCACATGGTAGCTCTATTTTTAGATTTTTGAGGAACCTCCAAACTGTTCTCCATAGTGGTTGTACTAATTTACATTCCCACCAACAGTGTACCAGCATTCTCTTTTCTCTGCATCTTCACCAGAGTTTGCTATTGCCTATCTTTTGGATATAAGTCATTTTAACTGGGGTGAGATAACATCTCATTGTAGTTTTGATTTGCATTTCTCTGATAAGCAATAATGTTGAGCGCTTTTTCATATGCCTGTTTGCAATTTTTATGTCTTCATTTGAGAAATGTCTGTTCAAATCTTTTGCCCATTTTTTGATCAGATTATTAGATTTTTTCCTATAGGGTTGTTTGGGCTCCTTATATATTCTGGTTATTAATCCCTTGTCAGATGGATAGTTTGCAAATTATCTTCTCCCATTCTTTGGGTTGTCTCTTCACTTTGTTGTTCCCTTTGCTATGGAGAAGCTTTTTAACTTGATATAATCTCTTCTGTCCATTTTTGCTTTGGTTGCCTGCACTTGCAGGGTATTAGTCAAGAAATTTTTCCCAGACCAATGTCCTAGAGATTTTCCCCAGTGCTTTCTTGTAGTAGTTTCATAGATTGGGGTCTTAGATTTAAGTCTTTAGTCTGTTTTGATTTGATTTTTGTATATGGTGAGAGACAGGAGTCTAGTTTCATTCTTCTGCATATGGATATCCAGTTTTCCCAGCACCATTTGTTGAAGAGAGTTTTCCAGAGCGTATGTTCTTGACAACTTTGTGGAACGTGAGTTCATTGTAGGTGTGTGGATTTGTTTCTGGGTTCTATATTCTGTTCCATTGGTCTATGTGTCTGTTTTTATGCCAGTCCCATGCCATTTTGGTTACTATAATATAATCTGAAGTTATATAATGTGATTCCTCCATTTTTGTTCTTTTTGCTTAGGACAGCTTTGGCTATTCTGGGTCTTTTGCGAGTCCACATAAATTTTAGGGTTGTTTTTTCTATTTCAGAAGAATGTCATTTGTATTTTGATAGGGATTGCATTGAATCTTTGGACTGCTTTGGGTACTATGGACATTTTAACAATATTGATTCTTCCAATCCATACACATGAAGTATTTTTCCATTTTTTTGTTGTCCTCTTCAATTTTGTTTCATCAGTGTTTTATAGTTTTAGTTACAGAGATCTTTCTAAGTAGTGAACTTTTGATGAGCATCTAGTTTTCTACTCTTACTATTCCTTCTCATTAACATTCTGAGAATGCATCTAATAACTCATAACAATTACGTAAATCACATATGCTATTAAGCCGATGAATTTGGTTTTCTTTTAAAACAGCATTCAACAACAGTAATTGTTAAAACAAAATAACAATAAAACCTAAGTCTGATTCTAATACATTTGAGGAAATAGTACATGAATATAATCAACCTTTTTCTGAAAAATCACTAGAGATAGACCTTAAATGCCTATTCATGACTCATTTCTCAGCACACATTTTGCCACTGGTCAATTCTTATTAACATATTAACATATGGTTATGTATTTATTCTACTATATGAGAGCCTTGTCAGTGTCTTACAGCTTGGGGATTAGCTTAGTTATATGGAAGATTTCATGTGGTACTATCTACTGTGGTGGAATTTCTTTTCACAATCAGTATTAACTGTGGTTCTTTTCCTCTGCTAGACCCTAGAGGTAGGTCTAGAAATACAAATGGAGTACCTGACTCATAGTGCTTATAGAAGTGAAATAATCCATATTTAGAAGATGTAATCTTCTTAATGTTATACTTACTGATAAACTTGTTTTGCATAGTCTCCAACAGGGCTTGGTGAGCATCCTCAGCTTGTAAAGCATGTGAACATTCTCTAGCCAGTATGGTGCGCACAAGATGCTCTCCACATCCTAGAAATCCAAAGAAACCAACAGTTGAGGAAAAGCAGCACCGAACACCCTGCTTATTTCAATAGCATTAGAACACCCTTATGCATCATTTAAGAGAGTAGTTAGCTGGGAAAATAATTCCGTGAGGGATGAAATGACTTCCATGAGCAATCTGGTAATTTTAGTAAAGAGATTCAGCAGAAACTAAACACAAAGTTTATCAATCAAAAGCAAACCAATACAAATTAATATGATACGTAGTTCTCTGTTTAACTAGTATGTGTTGACTGGTGTTAGGCACTAACAAAAAAAATCCCCCTAAAAAATATTATGTGTAATTGTTAAACCACATTGGTACTTTTCAATATACACTCATTGCCACAAATACCATCAGTTCATAAAAGTGTGAATTTTTCAGGACATAGGCATGGGCAAGGACTTCATGTCTAAAACACCAAAAGCAATGGCAACAAAAGCCAAAATTGACAAATGGGATCTAATTAAACTAAAGAGCTTCTGCACAGCAAAAGAAACTACCATCAGAGTGAACAGGCAACCTACAGAATGGGAGAAAATTTTTGCAATGTACTCATCTGACAAAGGGCTAATATCCAGAATCTACAATGAACTCAAACAAATTTACAAGAAAAAAACAAACAACCCCATCAAAAAGTGGGCAAAGGATATGCAAGAACACTTCTCAAAAGAAGACATTTATGCAGCCAACAAACATGCAAAAATGCTTATCATCACTGGTCATCAGAGAAATGCAAATCAAAACCACAATGAGATACCATCTCACACCAGATAGAAATGCAATCATTAAAAAGTCAAGAAACAACAGATGCTGGAAAGGATGTGGAGAAACAGGAACACTTGTACACTGTTGGTGGGAGTGTAAATTAGTTCAACCATTATGGAAGATAGTCTGGTGATTCCTCAAGGATCTAGAACTGAAAATGCCATTTGACCCAGCAATCCCATTACTAGGTATATATTCCAAGGATTATAAATCATTCTACTATAAAGACACATGCACCCGTATGTTTCTAGCAGCACTCTTCACAATAGCAAAGACTTGGAACCAACCCAAACGTCCATCAATGACAGACTGGATAAAGAAAATGTGGCACATAGGCCGGGCACAGTGGCTCACGCCTGTAATCCCAACACTTTGGGAGGCCGAGGTGGGTGGACCCACCTGAGGTCAGGAGCTTGAGACCAGCCTGGCCAACATGGTGAAACCCCATCTCTACTAAAAAATACAAAAATTAGCCAGGTGTAGTGGCAGGTGCCTTAATCCCAGCTACTTGGGAGGGAGAGGCAAGAGAATCATTTGAACCTGGTAGGCGGAGTTTGCTGTGAGCTGAGATCGAGCCATTGCACTCAAGCCTGGGGGACAAGAACAAGATTTCTCAAAAAAAAAAAAAAAAAAGAAAGAAAGAAAATGTAGCATGTATACACCATGGAATACTACGCAGCCATAAAAACGGATGAGTTCATGTCCTTTGCAGGGACGTGGATGAAGCTGGAAACCATCATTCTCAGCAAACTAACACAGGAACAGAAAACTAAGCACTGCATGTTCTCACTCATAAGTGGGAGTTGAACAATGAGAACACATGGACACAGGGAGGGGAACATCACACACCAGGGCCTGTCAGGAGGTGGGGGGCAAAGGGAAGGATAGTATTAGGAGAAATACCTAATGTAAGTGATGGGTTGATGGGTGGAGCAAACCACCATGGCACATGTATACCTATGTAACAAAACTGCACGTTCTGCACATGTATCCCAAAACTTAAAGTATAATAAAAAATAATAGAATAAAAAGAACAGGAGCCATTAGGACCTTCAAGGAAAAAAATGCCCTCTTCAACCAGAAACAAATATGCTGAATAGGTAAAACACTGCCTTTGACTATTACATTAGTCATAGCAGATTAGAAATATGTCATATTATAAATAGTCAATTAGAAATAAGATTACATTCCTCTCCAGTGTTGGAAATGGATGTTTTAAGAAAATTATTCAGCAAGACTGGAAAATGAGAGGAAAGAAAAAGAATCAATAGAAGAATGGGAATTCTGAAGTAGTTGTTCACCTATTCAGTAAAAAAATAAACACAGGCCTTCTAAAAGAGAAAAAAAAGGATGAATTTTTTTTAGAAATTGCCAGATATTTCCCAGAAATGGCTTCCCTGTATTTTTGGTAAAGCGTAAATGCAAACATCCTTCAGGATCTAAATATCTCTTTGTGAATGAATACCTACACTTCAAGGAAGATCTAGATACATAAGTCAATGTGTAACTTTGTGGCATTCCCTATTCAGTAAATTTTTGCAATATTGTTTTTATAATCGGGAAAAAGATGACAATAAAGCTAACAGAAAGAAATCACGTTGGACACTTACTAAGAACAACCATTGTGCTTAGCTCATGAAACGCCATAAAGTTTAATTCCCTTTGTGTACATACTTGATGTTGAACAGTGAAATGTTACACTTTAGGACAATAATAACTGCTAGAAAATTGGCATATTATAAACTAAATGAATGTTCAGAAGGTTATATACACATGCCTGAAGTCAAAAAGCTAAACCACATGAAGTTAACATTACATGAAAACTACACAATGTATGTCAGAAAGACTTTGCTCTGCTGTTATACAGGAATATATATACAGAGCTTTCCAATGATTGATCTTTTTACCAAGAAACTTTTAAAATTATGACTTATACTCTCTGACATTGATCATCTTTAACAAAGAGCCATGAAACCAAAGCTTATTCTCCTGTAGGTTCCAATCAAAGAAAGTTTGACTTATGTGCTCTTACCTACAAAATTCCAAGGTTTCTTAGAATATGCTGCCATAGAGCTGAAGTGTGATTCAAAGGCAAACAGTTCCACTCTTTATTCACCAAAAAATAAGACTTTCACTATACCCTCTTTTTGTCCTTACTTTTCCAAGTAAGAGTATGTGTATGTTCTCACATCTTAGCAGAAAACATGGATTATAAAAGACCTGACAAGATTCCTAGAAGTAAAAAATACCAAGTTCTAAAAAAAGAAAAATTTAGCATCAATAAGTATGACAAATGAATGGATTAAAACACATAATAAATTCATAACTTATGTTTTTAAAAGCACTAATCACCTTTGGAGGATGCTATGAAACCAACTCACTATTCTGAAAATTGATAAAAGAAAACAAGCAAGCATGTTTCTGTCCTTCCAATAGGGACTACATACCAGAGTAACCCAACAATTTATGAAGGAATATTTTCTCTACAGAAGTATCCCAGATAATAAATGAAAAAGAAATTAATAGAATTGGAATATAACCATTTGTAACCCACAATGTAATAACTGATAGAGGCAATCATCAGTGGCTGCTAATACCACAGAAAGATACCAGACACTATGTATCTCTTGACAAAATCATACCGACGTAGTCTTGTCCACTGCCCAAAAAAAACTGTACTTGAATCCGATTAGGCCTCTAAATTCAGTTATCAATTTCCAGAAATAAAGAACATCTGCAAAAAGACCTACAGTTGCATCATACTTAATGATGAAACGCTGAATTGTTTCTCCCTAGGATCAGAAACAGGGCAATGATGTCTGCTTTCATCACTTCTCTTCAACAATGTACTGGAGATTTCAGCCATTGTAATAAGGCAAGGGGAAAAAAGGCATAAAGAACAGAAAGGAAGAAGTAAAACTGTCTCTATTCACAGATGATATAATTTTCTACGTAGAAAATCCCAAAGGATCTACAAAACAACTATTAGAGGTATCTCTCCATATTCTTCCTGTCTGGTTAGTCTAGGACAAAGGCTGGCAGAAGATACCTGCCTGGTACTTACCAGTCCTCAAAATATGGACCTGACCTTCATTTCTTTCCCCATTCATTCACTTGCCAGGCTGTTATTGAGTCCCTACTCTGTGGTAGGCCCAGCGTACACAGCAGTTGGCAGGGGTGCTACTACATATTGTCAGACCTCCCCAACAGTGTCAGGCCCCTGCCTGATGACTCAGTATTCACTTAACTGTCATTCTGGCCAGTCCAGATGTCAATGCCCTGATTGTGTATTCTACACACCAACCTCAAGGATTCATATAAAAACCCTGGATTCAGCAGCAGGAATCCTGGACATTCCCACGGCCCTAGGAGTGCCAGTCTCTACGGCCAGGTCATCTCACATTAATCCTAACCCTTACTCCAGCCCCAGCTCTCTCTTTCCCAGTATGTTTCCTGTTGCTGAGAATTCAGCATGTCCCATGCTCAAAGATAATACATGTCTTCTACTTGTGGGTATCCCGAAACTTTCAAAACCCACACTGAAGATGAACTACCAATAAAAAATTCCAACCCCCAACTTCAACACACATATACATACAACCAAAAGGAAGAATGAGCAATAGCAAAAAACAAAAAAATTATTTCAAGAAGTGAAAATAATTGGACAGCAGTTGAAAACAAATTTGTAAAAGGCCAAATAGTAAATATTTTAGGCTTTGAATGCTACATGTAATTTCTTTCTATAAAATCTTCTTAATGTTTTTTGCAACAAGTCTTAAAAACTAAAAAATCATTCTTAGCTTATGAGCTATACAAAAACAGGCCATGAACCAGATTTGGCCCACAGGTCATTGTTTGCCTATCCCTGAAATAGAGCAAACTGTAGTACAATAAGAAAAAGAAACAGAGCCTAGAATGATAAAGAGAAAGAAAATGAGGAGTTAAGAGTCCAAAAGTGTAAAATGATAATGTCCAATGCATTAATAGGCATTTTGAAAGAGAGGAAAGAAAGAAGAAAGCACTAATATTTGCATAAGGAATAAGAATTTTCTAGAATTTAAGTTATTAAACTGAAGATCCACAGAGTTCCAAAAAAGAGGAATAAAAATAGAAATCCATCCTTAATTGTAACAGTTTGAAGCTCTGGACCAAAGGCAACAAGAAAATATTAAAAACTCACCAAAAAGAAAAGGAAAAAAATTCACCTACAAAAAAATTCAAAAATTTTTAAATTAAACTGATAACTAAATATCTCCAAGCAACAAAAGAAGCCGCAAGACTAATATCTTAAAGATGCTATGGCAAAAAAAACAAGCAAACAGAAAAAAACACTGCCAACCTGGAATCAGTTAAACTACCATTCTACTAGAGTGAGGGTGAATAGAGACCGTTTCAGACATGTAACGACAAATTCATTTCTCAGAGATTTTAACTCCCAGCTCACTTTTACTCTGCCCAACACTACTCCTTGTCATCATTCTTGCTGAATTTAATATTTATCTAGATGATTCTCCCGATATCTTGGCTTTTGCTATTCTGATATCCTCTCCTCCAGTTATCCACACTACCTGATAAACTCACACCCATTTCAGCAGTAACGTGAACTCCTCAGTCACATCAATTGGAATCATCTCATTCCTATCTTTCCAGCTCCCTCCCTTGAGCACTCCAACTCCAACATTCCCTCCATCTCACCAAAAACTGCCATCCATTAATTCTGCTGCCTTTTAACTATTCCTCACCCCACTCAGGTCCTCACCTCTATTCTTAACTAACTAAAATTCCATGCTTCATCAACTTACATCCATCCCCTTACTCCCAAAAACCTCCCTGCTGCTCTCACTTCATCAAACATGCCTGGCAAAAGCCCACCCTGGAGTAACAGTCAGAATAGCTATACTGGGCTGCAAAAACAACGTCCAAATCTCAGTGACTTAAAATATAATTCTCACTAATGTTATAGGTCATACCTGCATCACCTGAAGATCTGCTTCACACACTCACTCAAACCTAGGTGAAAGGAACAAACCTAGGCAGATGGAGACTCCATCACCTGTAAATGCACTACCTGAATCACATACTTCCCCTCCACAAGAACGAGGCCACCCTGCTGTTCCAGAAGGCTGTTTTACCACCTTAGCCTGAAAGTGACAAATATCATTACCATTCCGGTCCCTGGCCAGAAAGAGCTACACATTCTTAGGCAACTACAAGGGGCCTGTGAAATATAGGGGAATATATGGATCTTCAGAGAGCATTAAGTTGAATGTCTCTGCCATATCTGACTAAATCCAACTTTCCATGCCTGCACTTGCATAGCTAAGCCTGAGGCACAGCAGCATGACTGAGGGGTGACATGCATGAGCATCAAGGACCATCCATGGCCACTGAGTGGGAAAAATTAAAAAAAAAGAGAAAAGAAAAGAAAAAAGAAAGAAAACACCATCTGCTGAGGACGGCAGGAGGGAAAGGACAGACCTGAAAACCAAAGGGTACTGCTAGGTAGCCCGACTAGACCCAGTCTCTTCCCAGGCATCTGTTACACGAGGTTTTCTAATTTAAGTTTAAATTTAAAAACCTGCCGCTTTAGCAACGCAATTCAGTTCTCTTTTTTAAGGCTACATCCATTCCTATCATAAATAATATAAAATTACCATTTAACCATTTTTAAAGTATGCAATTCAGTGGCATTAAGTACATTCACACTGTTGTACAACCATCAGCACCATCTAGCTCCAGAACTTTTTCATATTCCCAAATGGATACTCTATGTATGTATATACCATATGTTCTTTATTCATTCATCTGTCAATGAATATATGGGACCAAATGCATTCTTAAACTATATACGTGGCTCTTTGCTGGTGATTGAAAATGGCTCAGAAAACTTTACACTGAAAGAAGACGACTTCTAGCTACTTTTTCCAATTCAAACATGCAACTCTGTGTTGATTCAAACATAATTTCTGATAAGCTCATATACACATATTTATCAGATGCCATTAGCAGCAATACACGAAAAAGATCATTTGATCTGAGAATATTTATTTTAACTGACTTTTTTAGGGGGGAAACCCAGGATATATTTAATTACTTCCAACTACAGAATTTCGTTTTAGTTCATTTGAATAAAAAAAAAATACTTTAATACTTCATATTGTCTGAAAAATGGAGTCCTGCATATTTTAAAACCACCTTTTATCCATCTAAAGAATGACCACTTCCCTCAATCATGTGACACCACTTCAGTGAAGCCACCTTTAAATCATCTGTTTTTGAATTTGTCTGGAATCCAGAAAAAGTTGGCAAAACCCCAAGGAAACTAGAAGAGTTAATTAATAAAGTATCTTTATTTTCCTGTCATCTAAATCCTTCCAACAATGCCATTATTTCTCTAGTGGATACATTAGCTTACATTACAAAAAGCTTCTGTAACTTTACCCATAGGAGAAATCTGATATTTCTGTGTCAAGAAGCAGGGTCTTTTTTAAGAAGAGGACAGCTTGCACATTTTATTTACTCTATTCATTCATTCTCATTTTCTCTCCTCCTTCCCTCCCTCACCCCTCCCACCCTCTTACACACACACCCCTACCTTAAGGCCTATAGGGTAAGGGTTAGTATCTGTTCTGCAGTGAGACTCATGTTTGAATCCAGCAGGGTGACTTTGGGTTATTTAGGGCTCAGTTTCCATAGCTGTAAAATGGGGAATGGGATACCAACTACCTCACAGGGTTGTTTTGAGGACAAAATGAGAAAAATCACATAAAGCATTTAGCATGGAGTTGACCATAGAGTAAGCACTTAATAAATACTACTATGATGAAAATAACCATCTTAAGAAAAATTTTCTACTACTTTGCTGCCTCTCATCCTATTCTCTGTATGTTCCTTCTATTAAAGTGATTCTCAGCTAGCTTAACAATCATCACTGAGAGAGCCTAAAATAGAATTTAAAAGTTTATCCTTTGCCTTGTAATTCTAAATGAAGGCTACTGCTTCAAATCAAGCTAAGCCTTTACATAGGGTAAAAATGACCACCTAGGTAAACCTATCATTATCAAAACAAAACAAATAGTATGGTAAAGATTTCTCTTAGCCTGGCAGGAAACATTTTAACTTGATTATCTAGAGACTGTGGATCATGCTTGACTTTTCTTATTTATTCCTTTTATTTTCCCCAGTATCTAAAATAAAACCTATTTTTATTCTCCAACAGGTTTATTGCCCGACTTAAGATTACACTCCTGCGTTCACAATACTTTCTCTTAAGGCAAGTTAGTAAAGGGGAAAGCAAAGTTTCCCATGATGGGATTTGGCCCCATTCACTTCACTTCCCTGTATCTTGAGTACACGAGTTGATCAGAGTGAACATGAACAGATGCCATGGGTGTTTTATGTTGCCTGACCTTCATCACACATTTATAATTGTTTTTAACTTCAGCTCCAGTGATAGATGCAGCCTTTAAAACAAGATAATTAAATATAGGGATTGTGACAGCCCAACAAAATCATATTGTCAAATTAAGTTTTAGTTCCAAAAGGTAAAAGTAACAAACTGAAAAGCTTTTGCAATAAGAATAGAGAAACATCAAAATTTACCAATTCTTGGCTAACATGTAAGATATATCTTCATTGCATTTCTAGATTATTTTCAATCTTTTTTGTCTTCATCTAATGTAGTAGTAGCAGCAGTGGTGGGATGAGCCCCATTATTACAAAATGAAAATTAAAAGACCTTTATGTGTCCAGTTATTAATGTAGTGTTCTAATGGTTGAGGACAATAATATAATTGCTCCACAGGACCTCAAAATAAGATTAGGATTTTAAAATATAACTCATAATCTCACAGATCTTTCTTATCTGTGCAGACTTTTTGTCTTCTAAACCACTCCCACCTCAATTCTAATACAAAGAGCCCCAGAGGGGAAAAAGTGAAGTTGCATTCACAGCAGAGACACAACCCACATTCCTAGGCAGCCTCCTACAAAAGCACAGGCTCGACAGCAACAAAAGCTCACATTCAGTACCCCTGGCACACCACACGTCTCCAAGGATTACTGATGATTTTGAAGTATTTATGTCATCTTATAAATGCTGCCATTCACTCTCACTGTGGCTAGTGGGCATCTGAAAAATCTTTCAACACATCCCCTCTTAGAAGTCCACAGGGATAGATAACTAATAAGAAAGGGCCTTTCCAAATTTAAAAGGAAACATTTGGTACTTCAGTTTCCAGTATTGCAACATCTCTTTTTCAACAAAGGAATTTATTACACAGTACGTCACCTTTTCCCTGTCAAAGGATTTACTGCCAATTTTGGAGTTGGGTTACTTCTGGTTTTCAAGCCTGTCTTGTGAAATTAAAGAGAGAGCTACCTTAAAAGTGATAGGACACACATGATTTCAGTCTTCACAGTGTCCCTATGGTTATCAAACCTGGAACCTATTATATACAAGGGGAAAACATAAGGAGCTTCATAAAGAGATGGAATAAGTGGTGAAGATGTCTAATCCAGTCACATCTTAAGGTTATAGCTCACCGACACATATTTAGCGTTTCCCAAATATTCAGAGTTCTCTGTAATCCACAACTTGTCTCATACTTTGGTTATTTATTGTAATGTATCAAAAACAACTCAGGCTTTTCAATTTTTTCTGTGATAAATAATAACCAAAAGAAAAACCAATTTTATAATTATCTCCTAGAGATATCATCTCTTACAAAGTAGGGTGTGATTGATATATGCGTTAGCATTTCATAATTATTTTTAATATAGAGAAATATTATCACAGTTATGATTAAACACAGATATCTAGAGCACGGTGCTAGACATATAGTACATATACTAAGTGCTTTATACATATATTAGTTTTTATCACTACTGCCAATTTTATTGAGGATATAACCAAATCACACACTCATACGAAAAATCCCAACTGTCTAAATAAGTAGCTCCATAAATAGGAAAGGTTCCAGTTTTATGAACGCAAATACTTTCACAGATTAAAACCTTTTTGAAAAAAACTAAAACCAAAAAAACAAACAAACAAAAAAACCTTCAACAAACATGAGTAGTGAAAACGCTTCATCCCGTCTACCATGTCAGAGGAAGTGTGTAATTGACAAAGCTTCAGCCACTCTCTTTTCCTTGCTCTTCTGGGTGTGTCTGTGAGGGTGCTGCCAGAGGAGACTGACATTTGAGTCAGTGGATTAGGAGAGGAAGACCCACCCTCAATGTGGGTAGGTGCTATCCAACTGGCTGCCAGCACAGCAAAGACAAAGCAGGGGGAAGAAGGTGGGATAACTTTGTTTGCTGGGTCTTCTGGCTTTTCCCTTTCCTATACTGGATGCTTCCTCCTGCTCCTCCTGCCCTTGGACATCATACTTCAGGTTCTTCAGCCTTTGGATTCCTGCACTTACACCATTGGTTTGCTGGGGGCTCTTGGGCCTTTGGCCACAGACTGAAGGGTGCACTGTCAGCTTCCCTGGTTTTGAGGCTTTCGGACTCAGACTGAGCCACTACTGGATTCTTTCTTCCCCAGCTTGCAGATGGTCTATCCTGGGACTTCACCTTGTAATCAGGTAAGCCAGTTCTCCCTAATAAACTCCCTTTCATATACATAAATATCCTATAAGTTCTGTCCCTCTGGAGAACCCTAATACACATCTCAATGTAGAAATTTACCCAATATTCATTTTGAGTGTTAATACAGGAGATAAAGCAGAACCTTGCTTTCTGTTCTAAATTATTTAAATTTAGTTACCTAAATTATAACACTCTAATTAGAGCATCAGGGACAAATGAACCCAGGGAAGGAGGAAAAAAAATCAGAGGCAACCATCACCAGTAAAAGTGGTATTCTTATCTATGGTGGTGCTGCTAAGATTGTATCACTATATTGTATTTATCTGGGAAACAGAGTATATGTATAAGCATTAGATTTATCCACACCTGAGAACTTCATTAGGAAAGTAGCCATAAAAGAAGCAACACTGTTTGTAATGTTCAGTTGATGCTCTTGTCAATCTTCTATCTGGATTCCTGTTCCATCAGAGAGAAGGATCACATATGAGGAGAACCAGCTCTGGCTGTAGAACCTGAAATGAGTCACTTATGACATCTATGCTTCAGCTTCCTCATTTGAAAAACTAAATGGCTTAGCTTTAATAGTTTTATATTCCTCACAAGACAAAATATTTACCACTGAATGTAGTTTTAGAACTTTAATAACTTGCTGGTTAAAATATAGTTAAGAGGCTTGCAATAGGCAGATGACTTGAGAAAACCCTTTTTAAAAGCTGTTAATTAATGAAAAAATATACTTAGATTAAATTCAATTATAGAAAACTTAATTTTTTTAGGGAGAAAGGGTCACTGACTCACTGACTCACTGATTAAATAATCAACTACTGTATATCTGGGGCTTTAGAATTATCTTGCAAGGAAAGTACTATCATCTCATCTGACAAACAAGAAAAGTGATTTGGAAGAACTAAGATTCTAAGATCCAAGTATTGTGACTCCTAGTAACATGCTCATTCCATAACAGTCACTGCAGAAACCAGGCTAATATCATCACATGAATAAAGGAGATATAAACAAAGAAAATCCAAAGCCCCAAAAATCTGAGAATATGGACAAGATCATAGTAATAATTATCTGCAAATAAGGAGCACAACAGGTTCTGATACTAACACTTAGGACTGTAGATAGTCTCCAATTTTAACCAGAAAGTCCTATAAATAGTAAGTCACCAAGCACATCCCAACAAAATAAAATTAAAGATTTTATTTTGCCTCTAAGCCATGGTGTGCATTTCATGAGCCAGAAAAAAAAAACCAAAGCCAAAATGCAGTTATAAACATCTACAAATATGCAGATGTCATGTAAAATATTTCACTATACATATTGATTATATATGTGGTATAAAGTCCACAAACAGAAAGAACATAAGCAAGACAGTTATACTACACCATAAATCTAACCTATAACTACTGAGCCAGCCACATATATTAAATATTTAATTAATAATTTTCTTAATGACTTAAAATTTAGAAGTAATTTATTGGGGTCATTTTGATCTCTTTAAAAGCTGAAAAGGAAGTTTGAGCCAATGTTATTTCTCAATAAATTCCTCTGTACAAAGGAGAGGCAATATAAATCATTTCATCAGCTTTAAAGCTGTACGCAAAGTTTAAAAACAACATTCAGTATTTAGAGGCCAAATAAAGTACCATAGAAAAAAGTCTTAAATCTGCTCACCAGTCATTGCTTATCCCTTTCTCTATTCAATACAGTATCAAGGGAAGTTTTGAGGGCAGGGAAAGACACACTGCTCTGAAGGAGGAAGGAGAAAATAGTATTCATATTTTATTCTCTACATCTGGGTAGAATTTAAGGAATATCAATACAGAAATTGTCCAAAAGCTGTCTTACCACCAACTAGAAAAATTATCAGATGAAAGTAGCAGATAAAAGAAGAAAGGGGCAAAATACAGGAAGGCCACCTCAAATGAGTTAGGTAACAAAAGACAAATAGACAATATACAATTTGGGACTCTTCAAGGTTTTCATTTGACACTATTACTAAGAAATAATAACAGGAAAAGAAGGAACTACATCAACTTGTATTACTTGTTAAATTTATTTATTTAATTTATTTTAGCCAGCAAGTTAACTTACAGTTTTATTCAAAATTACCTAAGACTGTGCTTCCCAATCTCTCTCAGGTCATGAGAAAAAGATATATCTTGGACTAAAATGTTTCATATAGTCTCAGGAAATTCACAGAATGCCCCATAAAAACCAATACATAGATTCCATAGGGTCTACAAATCCCAAATTAAGAAACCACATGGCTATAATTTTATTTAAAAATCTATAAGCGTATGGTTTTAAACCTGTAGGCTAAGGTTTCAATTTGATTTTGATTTTTTTTTTCTTCCTTGAAACAGAGTCTTGCTCTGTCACCCAGGCTGGAGTGCCCTAGTGCGATCTCAGCTCACTGCAACCTCTGCTTCCCGGGTTCAAGCCATTCTCCTGCCTCAGCCTCCTGAGGAGCTGGGATTACAGGTGCCTGCCACCACACCTGGTTAATTTTTGTATTTTTTAGTAGAGACAGGGTTTTGCCATGTTGGCCAGGCTGGTCTCAAACTCCTGACCTCAGGTGATCCACCCGCCTTGGCCTCCCAAAGTGCTGGGATTACAGGAGTGAGCCACTGCGCCCGGTCTGATTTTGATTTTTAATACTGCTGCTGGACCCATGAACTACAGTGATACTATCATCGCCTAGAGGCTAACATGAAAATTGCAGTAAAAATTTGGAAACTAGATTATTATGTTAAAATCACATTTCCTACTTAAAAAAAAAAAAAGGAGGAGGAGGATCATTGGAGAAATGGCTGGTTCTGGGTCTCTGGGTCTCATAAAAGATGTATTCAAGAGGAGTCTGAGGCATCTTGTTCTACCCAAAAACAAGAAAATTACCAAAGATAGTAAAGTCAAAGATCACAGAAACCAACATAAAGGGGCTCCAGTGCCAAAAGATGGACAATTTTACCAGCTAAAATAATGGTTCTAAATCCTCTAATATGTCTCACAAGCCTCCAAAACAGATCCCTGAAATTTCCACTTCTAGTTAGGATGAAGAAACTTCCAAGAGTCCAGCACTCCCACTGTAATAACAATAGCAAGCCAGATAAGCTACAGTCATGGGTTTTTTAACGAAAATGCACAAATATCTCAATAAACCTAATTCCAAAAAAGATAAGCCTTTCCTATGAGAAAACAGAGCCATGGTCTCTTCTATTCCTAAGGAAGCAGTGGAAAAAGAATAAATGCTGTAGATGAGGACAAGAAATTAGTTGAACTTTAATAAACTTCAAATGACTACATGTGAGCTACCATGATGCATCAGAATCAAAAGAAACCCCATTCACTAAACAAGGCTGAATCCATTCATCAATTCTTTCCTACAGGTCTTCACTAATAGCTCCAAAAATGTAGGGTAGAGCAGGAGAGCTGAAAGATATCCACACCCTGAGGTGCATAAGTTCTTTGGCAAGTGAAAAGCAGCAGCATTTTGAAGTCTGGGGACACAACAAGAGAGCTGAAGGAGAAGAGCCAACCTGGATGCAGAGAGCCATCACTTACTGCAAGGCAGCAGCCACCAAGCAATGGGAAAAGTAAAAAAGAGCTGAAAGAAATCCCTCAGAAGCACACTGGATCTTCCCTAAGTGCACTGCAACTGTCCACCAAAGTGTGAGACCAGAGTGGTAAGACAAAGGAAGATCTCATAGGTGGGTGAAAGTAAAAATATCCCCAGTGACCCAATAAGCTGAAAGCTAGGCTGTAAAAGACAGAAGGCAAGAGAAAGAGAGAAATTCCCCCTTCCTAAAGCTGACAGCTGGTCTATAAATAGATAAATAGATAAAGAGATATCTGGAGTTTTGCTGGTGCTCGGATCCCAGCCTTTGCTGAATAGTAAGACTTGACACTACCATCAGAATATCTCAAGCCAGCATATGGAAACAAAAAAGAGCCCAAAGAGACAGGGCAATCCTAAGCAAAAAGAAGAAAGCTGGAGGCATCACACTATCTGACTTTAAATTATACTACAAAGCTACAATAACCAAAACAGTATGGTACTGGTAAAAAAACAGACACATAGACCAGTGGAACAGAATAGAAAACTCAGAAATAAAGCCATACACCTACAACCATCTGACCTTCAACAAAGCTGACAAAAATTAGCAATGAAGAAATGACTCTGTATTTAATAATTGGTGCTGGGATAACTGGTTAGCCATACACAGAAGAATGAAATTGGACCCCTACCTTTCACCATATACAAAAATTAACTCAAGGTGGATCTCAAACTATAAAAATCCTAGAAGAAAACCTAGGAAATACCATCCTGGACAACAGCCTTGGCAAAGAATATATGACTAAGACCTCAAAAGCAACTGCAATAAAAACAAAAATTGACAAGAGGGATCCAATTAAACTAAAGAGCTTTTGCACAGCAAAAGAACCCATCAACAGAGTAGACAGACAATCCACACAATGGGAGAAAATATTTGCAAACTATGTTTCTGACAAATGTCTAATATCCTGAATCTATAAGGAACTTAACTCAATAAACTAAAAACAAAAAATCCCATTAAAAAGTAGGCAAAGGACATGAACAAACACTTTTTCTTTTCTTTTGTGTGTGTGTGTGTGTGTGTGTGTGTGTGTGTGTGTGTGTGTGTGTGATGGAGTCTCATTTTGTCACACAGGCTGGAGTGCAGTGGTGCAATATTAGTTCACTGCAGCCTCTGCCTCCCAGGTTCAAGCGATTCTAATGCCTCAGCCTCCCAAGTAGCTGGTACTACAGGCACCCACCACCACGCCCAGCTAATTTTTGTATTTTTAGTAGACATAGGGTTTCACCATGTTGGCCAAGCTGGTCTTGAACTCCTGACCGCCTCGGCCTCTCAAAGTGCTAGGATTATAGGCGTGGGCCACCATGCCCAGCCTGAACAAACACTTTTCAAAAGAAGACATACAAATGGCCAACAAACATACCAAAAAAAAAAATGTTCAACATCGCTACTGATCAGAGAAACACAAATCAAATTCACAATGAGATACCATCTCACACCAGTTAGAATGGCTATTATAAAAAAGGCAAAAAAAAAAAAAAAAAGGTGTTGGCAAAGCTGTGGAGAAAAGAGAACACTTATACACTGTTGGTGGGAATATAAATTAGTTCAACCACTGTGGAAAGCAGTTTGGAGATTTCTTCTCAAAGAACTAAAAACAAAACTACCACATGACCCAGCAATCCCATTACCAAGTATATACCCAAAGGAAAATAAAGTATGCTACAAAAAAGGCACATGCACTCATATGTTCATCACAGGACTATTCACAATAGCAAAGACATAGAATCAACCGAGGTGCATATTAATGGTGGATTAAAGAAAATGTGGTACATATACGCCCTGGAAAATACGTAAATATAAAAAAGAATGAAAATATGTCCTTCGCAGCAACATAAATGTAGGTGGAAGTCATCATCCTAAGCAAACTAACACAAAAACAGAAAACCAAATACCACATGTTCACACCTATAAATGGGAGCTAAACATTGGGTATATATGGTCATAAATATGAAAACAATAGACACCAGGGACTACTACAGGGAAGATTGATGGAGGGGTGCAAGGGCTGAAAAACTACCTATTGGGTACTACACTCACTACCTGGGTGATGAGATCAGTGTCACACAATATACCCATGTAACAAACCTGCACACGTACCCCCTGAATCTAAAATAAAAGCTGAAATCTCTTTAAAAAAAAAAAAAGAAAGAAAGAGAAAAGAAAAGGCAACGCAAGGCAAAGCTGTTAGTTACTTCACCCAGTTTTTGAATTTTGTTGAACAGACTATGATACTTGGAGCATCTGCAGCCACCTTATGACCATAAAGGGGCAAGCCTGAGTACCAAAGTCAAGAGTTGAGGATGGTGGAGCAGAAAGACGGAAAGGAATGGAGTCTTTGATGCTGAATAAACCAACCACCAACCACCGAAGCACCTTTCTTGAGAATTTCTCCTGTGAAATAATAATGCTTGTTATTTAAGCCAAAAAAATGTAGTATATATAAACCATGGAATACTATGCAGCCATAAAAAATAATAAAAATCACACCTTTTACAGTAACATGGATGAAGCTCAATGCCATTATCCTAAATGAAATAACTCAAAAACAGAAAATCAAATACTATATGTTCTCTCTCATAAATGGGAGCTATACAATGAGTACACATGAACATACAGAAGGAAATAATAGACACTGAGGACTTCAAATGAGTGGAGGGTGAAAGGAGGATAAGGGTTGAAAAATTACCTACTGGGTAGAGTGTTCACAATTTGAGTGATGGATACACTAGAAGCCCAAACCTCACTATTATGTGACATATCCATGTAACAAACCTGCACACACACACCCTGGACCTATAAAAACAAAAATACATATATAAATGTTTTATATGTATAAAGGGCTGAAATGTTTTATATGTATAAAACATTTATATATGTTTATATGTATAAAGCATCTATATAAAAATGTGTGTGTGTGTCTGTGTATGTGTGTATATATATATATACACTCAATTTGTCATACTAGATGCATGGAATAAGAAAGACTGTACCCTTTTTCAGAGGCAAATATCTTCTGCAGTCTCTTCTGTTTTCAAATATAATGTTTAGTATACAATCAATAATTATAAGACATATGAAAAAGTAAGAAATAGTGTGACTGGGAAACAAGAGAAGGAACAGGCAACAGAAGTAGACTACTAATAGCCCAGATGTTGGAATTATCAGATAAGGTTTTTAAATGAAAAATAATTTATGTAAGTGAAAAAAATATTCCTAAAAGATGGGAAACTCCAACATAGAAAACCTATTAAAATAAATCAAAAAGAAATACACAAAATGAAAAAGTATCACAAGTGAAAATGCATTCAGTGGGCTTTAGAGCAAGCAAAAGACAGCAAACAAAAGGATCATTGAACTTGATATAGTCATGAGAAATTATCCAAACTGAAATACAAAGAGGAAAAGAATGAATAAATAGGAATGTGGTATCCAATGTCTGTAGAACAATATCGAATGCATATAACCGCAGCCCTAGAAGTAAAAGAGAGAACACGCCAGAATAAATAACTGAAAATATAATAGCTAAGAATTTTCCACACCTAACAACCCAATAACCTCAGAAAACTCCAAAATGGATAATGCAAATACTATCACATTTAAGGACACCATAGTAAAACTGCTGGAAAGCAAATATGAAATATTAAAAACACATGGGAAAAAAAGATACATTACATACAAAGAGACCACTACAGATACTTCTCACCAGAAACAATGGATGCAAAAAGATAGTGGGATGACATTTTTTAATTATTGAAAGAAAAAAGCCAACACAGAATTCTCTATGCAGAGAAAACATCCTTCAAAAGCAAAGGGGAAGTAAAGATATTTCTGATAAACAAAGCTGGGAAGACTCATCATCAGGAAACATGAAATATAAAAATACTAAAGGGCATTTGTTTAGGTTAAGGAAAACAATACCAGAGAGAACCCTGAGCTCTTTCTTTAAAAAGAAAGCATCAGAAAGTGGAACTCATTCAGTAAGTTTAAAAGTATATATATTTAGTGTGTGTGAGTACATGTGTAAATTTTTTAAAAGACAACTGAATATCTAACACAATAATATATTTTAGAATTTGTAACATAATATGCCAAGAGCTCAAAGGATGGGAAAGAAATAATGAACTTAACTTTTTAAGTTTCTTGCATTGTCATAAAGTAACATTATCCTAAGTGGACCATGGTAAATTAATGATGTATATTATAATTCCCTACAGCAACTACAGAAAACATAATACATAGAATGATGGCAAAATATTTACGGAGAAGAAAAGAACAATAAAACGAAAGAATAGAAAACAAAAAGCAAGGTGGTATATTTAGCCCAATTACATCAATACTTACATTAAACATAAATGGACTAAATACTCCATGTAAAAGGCACGGGTTATCAATCTAGAATAATCTTTTTATTAATAAATGGGAGACCCAATTGTTGTTTGTTTATAAGAAATATACTTTACTATACAGACAAAATAGGCTAAAAGTAAAACAGATAAAAAACATATAGCAGACAAGTACTAAGGATAAGAAAGTTGCTCTGACTATATTAATATTAAACAAAGTTACATAAAAACAAAGCAAATTATCCAGAGACAAAGAGAATATTTTATGATAAAAGTGTCAATTATGAAAGTGTCAATTAATAGAAGACATAACAATCTAAATGTGTGTACACTTAGTAACAAAGCATCTAAATAATGGGAAAAATATAATGGATATAACAGATTGAAATACATCAAATATATAAAAATCATAAATTAGTAATTTTATAAATGAGCAAATAAATAAATAGGAAATATTTTAATACATAAAATGAAACCTAATTGGATGTCTTAGGAGATTATCTGTGCATCATCTCTTTATTTTGAAAAATAATACATTAAAAAAAGATGTGAACATCTTTTCTGCCTTTACTTTATGAACTATTCCTCTGGGTAGCCAAATAGATAAGCAAAAGGTCGTCTTTTTAGAAGAACTACAGTTAATAAATGCAGGAGAATGTATAAAACTCTGGCCTATAGTCACACAATGGAATATTAAACAACAACTAAAATAAATGCACTAGAGTGACATGGCAACTATATGGACAATTATAAAAGTATACTTAGTAAAAGAAGTAAAACACAGAGGACTATACAACATATGATACCATAGACCTATAGGTCAATAAAAACCATAAAACTAACAATATATTATTTGGGGATGCATACATATATGATTAAACATTCTGCTTAAAGCAAGGGAATGATACACAAATTTCAAAATAGTGGTTACCCATGGAGAAGAATTTGTGACAAGGTAGGAGAGGGTGCAACAGTATTATTAATCAGAGAATTTGTGACAAGGTAGGAGAGGCTGCAACAGTGTTATTAATCAGAGTGACATAAGCAAGATGGTGGAATAGAAGTTTTCTATCATCAATCCCCTAAAGGAGCATCAATTTGACCACTACCTACAAAGGAAAATACATCTGTGGGAGTCCAGAGTCCAACAGAGAAGTTTTAGCACACAGTTGGAGCACAAGATCCAGAATAAATGCACTGAAGAGACTAAGAAGAGGATGGGTAAGAGGGATGACCCTTATCGCCCCTCCCCCAAGGTGGCACAGCTCAGTGCCAAAAGAGATACCCTCACCACAATTTCTCTCACAATGGAAAGTGAGAGTGCAGTGAGTAAGCTCCTGGGTACCCCAGCTGTGCAGGATGCTGTCCAGGAAGCCCACTTCTTTCTTGCCCCACCCAGAATACTGAAGTGATTGGCACAATTAAGTAGTTGAGGAGGTTAGGAGAAGGAAGGGGAGGGAGGCCCTGATGCTACTAACCACTCCATGACTCCTTCAGAAAGCCTGCACACAAGCCATGTGGGATGCCTTGCCTGTGTAACACCCCTAAACAGCCCCATGGGCACCCCAAATTCTCTATTCACAACACCTTCCCCCAGGCCAACTCCCCAAGCATGACCCCATGGATGGCAAATAGAAGTGTCTTGTGCAGATAGCCAGCTCAACTCTGCAGGATTGAGAAAAGGCATAAAATATTAAGAATACCTCCCCAAAACAAAAGCGAATAAAAGACATGGAATAGGCGTAAAAAAAAGGTTTAAGAGCGTCTCAGAATCCCTAGCTGGGCTGACTGGTGAAGGTGTTTCTCTCTTGAAACTAGTTAGTAGAGACTGGAGGACATAATTGCTTCAACTGCAAAGCCAGTAATGCAACATGTCAAAGAACAAAAAGTTGAGGAAACATGACACTATCAAAGAAACATAATAATATCCCATTAATTGATCAAAAAAATGGAGATCTACAAATTGTCTGAAAAATAATTCAAAATAATTGTTTTTGGGAAGCTCAGCAAGCTACAAAAAATATATAGACAACACAATAAAATCAGAAAAACATACATGAACAAAATAAGAAATTTAATAAAAAGATTAAAATCATGCAAAATAATCACAAACAGATTCTGAAAAATACAATCAATGAAATGAAAAAATTTAATAGAGAACATTAACAGCAGACTTGATAAAGAATCAATCTGATAAAGATTTGAAAGAATCTGTGAACTCAAAGACAGCTCATTTAAAAATATTCCATCAGAGAAGAAAAAAAAATGAAAAGAAATAAAGCCTACAGGATTTATGGAGTACCATCTAGCATTATGGAAGTTCAAACAGGAGAAGAGAAAGAGAAAGAAAGACACATAGCTTTTTTTTAAGAGTTAAAAACTACTCAAATCTGGGGAGAGATATAGGCATCCAAATACAAGAAGCTCAAATGTCTCTAAACAGCTTCCACTGAAAACATACTTCATCAAGATACATTATTATCAAATCATCAAAAACCAAATGCAAAGGGAGAAAATTTTAAAGCAGCAAGAGAGGCTCATCACATACAAGAAAATTCCCAAAGGTGTCAACAGATTTCTCAGTAGAAACCTTGCAGGCCAGGAGAGAGTAGGATAATGTATTTGAAGTGCCAGAATTAAAAACAAAAACAAACAAACAAAATCCTGCCAACCGAGAATATTTTACCTGGCAAAGCTGTCCTTCAGAAAAGGAAAAATAAAGGTTTTCCCAGAAAAACAAACTTAAAGGAGTTCACCATCATTAAACTTGTTTTACAAGAAATGCTAAAGGGAGTTCTACTAGCTGAAATGAAAGGATGCTATTTAGTAACATGAAAACATATCAAGGTATAAAACTCGTTGGTGAAGGAAAGGACATAGTCAAGTTTAGAATACTTTAATACTGAATTGATGGTATATAAAAGACATAACTCTGGTATAATGGTTAAAAGACAAAAATATTTAAAAATACCTGTAGCTACAATAATTTGTTAACAGATACACAACATAAAAAGATGTAAATTGTGGTATCAAAAACATAAAATGGATAGGGAGATAAAACTGTAGAGTTTTCATATCTAATCAAAGTTAGCTGTTAGCTTAAAATAGATTTTCATAACTATACAATTTTTATGTATGTTTCATAGTAACTACAAAGCAAAAGAGCATGACATTACAGAAAGTCATCAAATCACAAAGACAGCAAGAAAAGAACAAAGGGTCTACAAAACACCCAGAAAATAACAAAACGGCAATAGTACATCCCTACTATCAATAATTACATTGAATGTAAATATACTAAATTCTACAATAAAAAGGCAAACAGTGGCATACAGACCCAACTATATGCTATATACACTCACTAAAGCTTTAAGGATACACATAGATTAAAAATGAAGGGATGAAAAAAAGATATAAATGAAAACCAAAAGACAGCGGGGGAGCTATATTTATTATAAGACAAAGTAGACTTCAAGTCAAAAGGTGTAACAACAGATAAAGCAGGTCATTATAGAATGATAAAGTGATTAATTCACCAAAAGGATGTAACAATTGTAAATACATATGTACCCATCATCAGAATACCTAAACAAATATTAACAGATCTGAAGAGGACAGATAGCAATAAAATAATAGTAGAGAACTTCAATATCCCACTTTCAACAATGGATAGATTATGCAAATAGAAAATAAGGAAACATTAAATTTGAACTATATGTTAGATCTAATGGACCTAACAGACATACAGAACATTCCACCCAACAGCAGCCAAATATACAGATAGCCAGCTCAACTCTGCAGGATTTTCTCAAGTGCACACAGGATACTTTCCAGGATGTGCTAGGCCACAAAAAAACTCTTAACAAATTTAAGAACATTGAAATCATACCAAGTCTTTCCCAGCCACAACAGAATTAAATAGAAACAGGTGGAAAACTAGAAAATTTGCAAATATATGGAAATTAAATAACACACTCTGAAAGAAACAATGGGTCAAGGAAGAAATTAAAAGGGAAATTTTAAAATATCTGAGACAAACAAAAATGGAAACACAACATAACAAAATGTATGTGTGCAGAAAAAGCAGTTCTAAAACAGAAGTTAACAGCAACATACACCTACATGAAAAAAGAAAGACCTTAAACAAACAACCTAATTTTATACTTCAATAAACTAGAAAAAGAAAAACATACGAAGGCCAAAGTTAGCAGAAGGAAGGAAATAACAAAGATCAGAGCAGAAATAAATAAAATCAAGACTAGATAACCAATAGAAAAGATCAACAAAACCAAGCTGTTTTAGAAAAGAGAAACAAAATTGACAAACTTTTAGCTAGACTAAGAATAAAAGAAAAAAGACTAAAATAAAATCATAAATGAAAAAAGACACATTACAACTGATACCACAGAAATCCAAAAGATTACAAGACACTACCATGAACAATTATATGCTAACAAATTAGATAACCTAGTAGAAATGCATAAATTCCTAGAAATATATAATCTACCAACATTGAATCATGAAGAAAAAGAAAATCTCAACAGACCAATAAGAAGTAAGGAAATTGAATCAGTAATCAAGAATCTCTCATCCAAGAAAAGCCCAGAACCTGGTAGCTTTGCTACTGAGTTCTACCAAACATTTAAAGAACTAATAACAATCCTTCTCAACTCTTTCAAAAAACCAAGTAAGAGGGAATATTTCCAAACTCATTTTACAAGAGCAGCATTGCCTTCATACCAAAGCTAAGCAAAGGCATTGTAAGAAAAGAAAATTACTGTCCAATATCCTTGATGACACAGATGCAAAAATTCTCAATAAAATACTAGCAAACTGAATTCAATAGCACATTAAAATGTTCATTCACCATGACCAAGTGAGATTTGTCTCCAGAATGTAAGGATGGCTCCCATATGCAAATTTATAAATGGGACACACCACATTAATAGAATGAAGAACAAAAACCATATGATCATCTCAAGAGAGACAGAAGAAGCACTTGAGAAAATTCAACATGCTTTCATGATTAAAAAAAGAAACTCTCAACAAATTAGGTACAGAATGCACCTCAACACAATAAAGACCTCAACTTCAATGGTCAAAAGTTGAAAGCTTTTCCTCTAACATCAGGAACAAGATAAGGATACCCACTCTCATCACTTCTTTTCAACACAGTACTGCAAGTCTTAGCCAGAGAAATTAGGCCAAAAAAAAAAACAAAAGAGAGAGAATTTTGGTACATTGTGTTTCCATTTTTGTTTGCCTAAACAAAAAGGCATCCAAATCAGAAAGGGAGAAGTAAAACTGTTACTATTGGCAGATGACAAAATGTTATATATAGAAAACTGTAAATACTTCATCAAAAAACTATTAAAATAAACAAATTCAGTACAGTTGCAGGACACAAAATCAACATACAAAAATCAGTTGCATTTCTATACACTAACAATAAAATATCCAAAAAGATATTAAGAAAATAATCCCATTTATAATAGCATCAAAAAGAATAAAATATTCAGATATAAATTTAACTAAGAAGATAAAAGACCTGTACACTCAAAACTATAAAACATTGGGCTAGGAACAGTGGCTCACTCCTATAATCCCAGCATTTTGGGAGGCCAAAGCATGAGGATTGCTTGAGTCCAGGAGTTTGAGACCAGCCTGGCAACATAGCCAAGACCTCATCTTTACGAAAAATAAAAATAATATCCGGGCATGGTGGCACGTGTCCGTAGTCCCACCTATTCAGGAGGCTGAGGTGGGAGGATCACTTGAGCCCAGGAGGCGATTCCATTGAGCCATGATTGTGCAACTGTACTCCAGCCTGGGTGACACAGTGAGACCCTGTCTCAAAAGAAAAAAACAAAAATAAAAGCTATAAAATAATGATGAAGAAACTGAAGAAAAAAATAAGTGCAGCTATCTGTGTTCTGTGTTCACGGACTGAAAGAATACTGTCAAAACATCCATACTACCCAAAGTGATCCACAGATTGAATGTAATCCTTATCAAAATTTCAATGATGTTTTTCACAGAAATAGAAAGAACAATGCTAAAATTCATACAGAACCACAAAACACCCTAATTAGCTAATGCAATCTTGTGCAAGAAAAACAAGGGTGGAAGCATCATGTGTCCTAACTTCAAATTATATTACAAAGCTATAGTAACCAAAATAGTGTGGCACTGGCATAAAAACAGAAACACAGATCAATGGAACAGAATAGAAAGCCTAGAAATAAACCCACACATACGCAGTCAACTAATCTTTGACAAAGGCAATAAAACACACAATGGAGAAGGGATGTTCTCTTCAAAAATCGGGTTGAAAAAACTGAATATCTACGTGCAAAAAATAAAATTGGATCCTTATACCATACACAAAAACCAACTCAAAATAGATTAAAGATTTAAACATAATACCTAGACTCCTGGAAGAGTAAAACTAAAGGAGTAAAACTCCTAGAAGAAAACATAGGGAAGAAGCTCCATGACAAATGTGTTGGAAATGATTTTTTTTTTTTGATATGACAACAAAAGCACAGGCAACAAAAGCAAAAATAAGCAAGTAGGACTACATCAAACTGAAAGGTTTCTGCACAGCAAAGGAGACAATCAACAAAATGAAAGCAATCCATTGAATGGGAAAAAATATTTGCAAACTAAATACTAGTTGAGCATACCTAACCCAAAAATCTAAAAGCTGAAATGCTCCAAAATTTGAAATTTTTTGAGTGCCAACATGATACTCAAAGGAAATGCTCATTGGGGCATTTCAGATTTCCAATTTTCAGATTAGGGATGCTCAACTGGTATGTATTCTGCAATTATTCCAAAATCTGAAAAACTCCGAAATTCAAAAAACTTCTGGTGCCCAGCATTTCAGATAAAGGATACTCAATCTGTAGCCAATAAGGGATTAAAATCCAAAATATATAAGGACCTCACTAGCAAAAAATAAAATAAACTAAAATAACTTTATTTTTTATAATGGACAAAGGACATGAATAGGACATTCTCCCAAAGATACACAAATAGCCAATAGGTAGTTATATGAAAAGTTGTTCAACATCACTATCAGGGAAGTGCAAATCAAAACCACAATGAGGTATTCCCTCACACCTCTTAGGATGGCTACTACCAAAACATCAAAAAATAAAAAGTGTTGACAAGGATGTGGAGAAAAGGGAACCCTTGTACACTGTTGGTGGAATTATAAATTAGTACAGCCATTCTGGAAAACAACATGGAGGTTCCTCAAAAAGTTAAAAACAGAACTACCATATAATCGAACAATCCCACTTCTCGTTGTATATGCAAAGGAAATGAAATCAGTACCTCAAACAGACAATTGCACTCCAATGTTCCCTGCAGCATTATTCACAATAGCCAAGATATGGAAACTACCTAAGTGTCTATCAATGAATGAATGAATGAATGAAGAAAGTGTGTGTGTGTGTGTGTGTGTGTGTGTGTGTGTGTGTGATTTAGCCTTTAAAACCAAGAAAATCCTGTCATTTGTGACAACATGGATGAACTTAGAGGATATCAGGCTAAGTGAAATAAGCCAAACAAAAAAAGACAACTACAGCATGTTCTCACTTATATATAAAAATCTAAAGTCAAGCTTATAGAAACAGAGAATAGAAGAGTGTTTACCAGGGTGAGGAAATGAGGAGATAGTGTCACAGGGTACGAACTTATGGTTGTAAGATGAATAAATTCTGGAGGATTAATGTATTAGCATTGTGATTACAGTTAATAATAATGTATTGTAGAACTGAACTTTGCTGAGAGAGTAGATCTTTATTCTCACGACACCAAAAAAGGTAACTATGTGAGTTGATGGATTATGTTAATTAGTTTGATTGTGGCAATCATCTCACGTTTTTCCATTTGTCTGTGTCATCTCTGATTTCTTTAAGAAGTGTTTTGTAATTCTTTTCCTGTTTTTGTTTTTGTTTTTCTTGAGAAGGAGTCTCTGTCACCCAGGCTGGAGTGCAATGGTGCAATCTCGGCCAACCGCAACTTCCACCTTCCTGGGTTCAAGCGATTCTCCTGCCTCAGCCTCCTGACTAGCTGAGACTACAGGCGCGCACCATCACGCCCGGCTAATTTTTGTATTTTTTAGTAGAGACAGGGTTTCACCATATTGGACAGGCTGGTCTCAAACTCCTGACCTTGTGATCCACCCACCTTGGCCTCCCAAAGTGCTGGGATTACAGGCGTGAGCCACCACGTCTGGCCTTGTAATTCTTGTTGTAGAGATCTTTCACCTTCCTGGTCAAAAAACTACCTACTGGGTACTATGCTTATTACCTGGGTGATGAAATAATCTGTACACCAAACCCCTGCAATTTACCTATATAACAAACCTTTACGTGTACCCCTGAACCTAAAATGAAAGTTAATAAATAAAGATTATATTGGTTACTTATGCAAAGCACCTTCCTTCTTTTCTAGACTTAAAAAAAAAACAGTAGAATGAGGCTAAATGAGCACATATTTGAATTTTACTATGCTAATGAAACAGCATTATACTATGTCATATTAGGACAGTTACAACACTTATTGAACAGAAAGAGTTTATTAATTTCCACACTAATTTTGCAAATGATACTTGAGAGGAAAACAAATTCAAACACAACTAGGAATCTTGCCCCAGAACCAAGAAGCAAAGCAGAACATAAACAATATGAAAAAGGCCAGATTCCACTTCTTCTACTCAATTTAAGTGAAATGAAGATATAAACAAACTTTGTGGTGGCATTTTTTTATCTACTATATTTGATTTTTCAAAACAAAAACATCCATTTTCTATGGCCAGCTCTCTGTTAGCCAAAAATAAAAGATGCATGGTTTTGGTAAGAACAGATTTAAATGAAAATTACATGATTTTTTTAACTCTCTAAATACCTAATCTATAACTTTTCTAGTAAAAATAAAAATAGCTAATTAAATTTAAATTTAGCCTTTCTTCTTCCTTCTCACATTATTCTACCTTCATTGAGGGAAGACACACTATATTCCTCGGGCATTCAGGCCCTGTTTGACCTCTCTGAACTACAGCTTTACTTGAAAAAGAGAATCATTATGTAAAAAGTACTCAGCACAGTACCTGACCATGGCACATGCTCAACAAATGCTAACTACTGTTATCATCCTTATTATTATCTCTTTTAGTTTTTGGTTCATCCTTATTACTGATCACAGAATGATGGCAAGTGTCAAGTTTAGTAGGATACCGGTGGCCACCACCTACACATCTACTCCCTTCTCCTTTCCAGAATGAAATTTGATTTCCTTCTGCTTTCCACCCACCCACAGTCATGTACATAACCCATACGCATGTCCTGTACTCATCACTGGTTCATGGGTAATCCCATTTTCCTCTGTCAGTGATTGATCCAGAAATAAACATACGACATTAGCCAATCAACAAAACATTGACTGAGAAGTCTGCTGGGGAGCTTCTAAAGAAAGAGTTCCTCATTCCTAGGAAAAAAAAAAAAACTAAAAGAAGATTTTTTTTTTAATTCCTCTGGAGATCTTTTTGTGATGAGTTTTCTGGCAATGCAGTAGCCACTGGGCTATCAGCCCAAGAAAGAAGCCAACAATGAAGCAACGGAGCAAGCAAGAGAAGTGGAGAACCAGGTCCTTGATGTCATCAATGGAGCCCGTGAACAAATTAACCCTGGAGTCTTCCTACCTCTGAACTTCCTCTTATGCAAAATCATGTATTTTCTTATTATTGAAGCCAATTTGTGCTGTAATTTCCGTTAACTGCAACCCAAAGCACCCTAATCACTACAGTAAGGGAAAAGGGTAATAGATTTTATCAAAACTACACCAATCCAAACTTAAACTACCCTTCACTTCATAGAACAAAGCCTCTACCATGAATACCTGAAGTTCCGGGTTTTTTTATTATTATTATCATACTTTAAGTTCTAGGGTACATGTGCACAATGTACAGGTTTGTTACATCTGTATACATGTGCCATGTTGGTGTGCTGCACCCCACCCATTAACTTGTCATTTAACATTAGGTATATCTCCTAATGCTATCCCTCCCCCCTCCCCCACCCCACAACAGGCTCCAGTGTGTGACGTTTCCCTTCCTGTGTCCAAGTGTTCTCATTGTTCAATTCTCACCTATGAGTGAGAACATGAGGTGTTTGGTTTTTTGTCCTTGCGATAGTTTGCTGAGAATGATGGTTTCCAGCTTCATCCATGTCCCTACAAAGGACATGAACTCATCCTTTTTTATGGCTGTATACTATTCCATGGTGTATATGTGCCACATTTTCTTAATCCACTCTACCATTGATGGACACTTGGGTTGGTTCCAAGTCTCTGCTATTGCAAATAGTGCCGCAATATACATACCTGTGCATGTGTCTTTATAGCAGCATGTTTTATAATCCTTTGGGTATATACCCAGTAATGGGATGGCTGGGTCAAATGGTATTTCTAGTTCTAGATCCCTGAGGAATCGCCACACTGTCTTCCACAATGGTTGAACTAGTTTACAGTCCTACCAACAGTGTAAAAGTGTTCCTATTTCTCCACATCCTCTCCAGCATCTGTTGTTTCCTGACTTCTTAATGATCACCATTCTAACTGGTGTGAGATGGTATCTCATTGTGGTTTTGATTTGCATTTATCTGATAAGCAGTGATGATGAGCATTTTTTCATGTGTCTGTTGGCTGCATAAATGTCTTCTTTTGAGAAGTGTCTGTTCATCTTCTTTGCCCACTTTTTGATAAGGTTGTTTTTTTCTTGTAAATTTGTTGGAGTTCTTTGTAGGTTCTGGCTATTAGCCCTTTGTCAGATGAGTAGATTGCAAAACTTTTCTCCCATTCTGTAGGTTGCCTGTTCACTCTGATAGTAGTTTTTTTGCTGTGCAGAAGCTCTTTAGTTTAATTAGATCCCATTTGTCAATTTTGGCTTTTGTTGCCATTGCTTTTGGTATATTAGTCATGAAGTCTTTGCCCATGCCTATGTCCTGAATGGTATTGCCTAGGTTTTCTTATATGGTTTTTATGGTTTTAGGTCTAACATTTAAGTCTTTGATCCATCTTGAATTAATTTTTGTATAAAGTGTAAGGAAGGGATCCAGTTTCAGCCTTCTACATACAGCTAGCCAGTTTTCCCGGCACCATTTATTAAATAGGGAATCCTTTCCCCATTGCTTGTTTTTGTCAGGTTTGTCAAAGATCAGATGGTTGTAGATGTGTGATATTATTTCTGAGGGCTCTGTTCTGTTCCATTGGTCTATATCTCTGTTTTGGTACCAGTACCATGCTGTTTTGGTTACTGTAGCCTTGTAGTATAGTTTGAAGTCAGGTAGCGAGATGCCTCCAGCTTTGTTCTTTTGGCTTAGGATTGTCTTGGCAATGTGGGCTCTTTTTTGGTTCCATATGAACTTTAAAGTAGCAAACAGGAACACTAGTTCCAGTTTACCAATGAGGAACAAGTCAGTCATTTTGCCAATCAGAATCTGTTTGACAGTGCTTCAAAAAAGTAAAGGGTTCCTGAATTCAATTCAACTGATGTTTATTGAGTACCTACTATATCTTTAAGCCAATAGTCTCGTCCTCAAGGAGCTCCTAGGCTTTCTGGAGAAAAACAACCATACGAGTAGTATAAGTTCCACATCATGGCACCACTGACCTTGGAGGGAGTAAATCTTTGAAGTTGGGCATGGGAAGAAACAAAAGAGGGAGGGAGGGAGGGAGAGAGACAGAAGGCAGAGCAAGAAGTGGGGAGACAGAGAGGGAGAATGGCTGCAGAAAAGAGAAGATATTTAGCTCATCTCAGGCTTCACCACATGGATAAGGAGGGAAGGGATTCTAAACAAGAGCAAAAAGAGAAACATGCACTCCTCAAGAAATTGTGCTAAGTTGTTTACATTGCAATTATAGCAGAAAGAAAAAATAAAGTGAATGACGGTAGCTAGGACTTTCTATTAAATAATAAGAGTTGCCCAGACTTGTAGATTAATAAGACAAACCTGTGCAATTCCCATAGTGAGTGGCTGAAAACTGTCTATGAACTTGATGGCACAGGCAGGGTTTAACTTGCAAAGGTGGTTCTGAGGAAAGTCCAGGACTACATTGCTTATGCTTATTCCAGATACAAATGTTATAATTCTGATATGAAAAGCTACAAAGAAAGACCTGCTACTAAGATGAAGAATAAAATCAAAACAGGTAAGATGAGTCAGACAAAGGAGGGTATGTAAAACAAAGATAAAAAATCTTTAACTTGAGAATATTATATTTCCATATCCCACAAAATTTACTTTTGCATGAGAAGGAAAGCATAACAGGTAGAGCAGAGGCAAATCTAAATTTTAAGGACAAGAAAGAACTCAGGTGAAACAAATGTGCAGCAAATCTTCAAATCCTTATTATTCTCTGACATGAATTTTACTAGCTATCTTAGCTATACTGCAGTAAATACTCTTTTATATATCTGAGAACACATCACTACATCATCTTAGCAGATTTCAATTGGGAGCCTATTAATTATTCTATCATCAATATTAGTAAACAGTGATCATTATGATAGATTACAACATATATAATTTACTAGGAAATTTTGAAGAACCAGTAAAACATTCTAGGGCTGGGATAGAGAGAGAGAAATGGAGAAACAAGAACTCCTCAGCATTATTAAACACAGCCATAACAGAGTCCCGACTAACAGGAAATGCAATGGTGCGAAGTGAGAACATCCATGATAATTAGCATAGCTGTGTGTTTCTCCTCCATAAGGAAAGGTGTCCCAATTCTGGGATGGATGGGCACAATCCTTCCAATCTGCTCCCTCCGTTAGGATTCAAGCTGAAGTCTGATTCCAAAGCCCATAAATCCCTCACCTCAATGTGCCCCTAAGTGTACTTGCTCTTCAATTCAATGTAGGTACAGGCAGACCTAAAATACCATTGTAGAATTTTAGTTGAAGTCTCTATTTCTTCAATATCCAACTGAGATTTTTTAAAACAACTATCCATGCTTTCTACTAGTCAGTATTTATTTCAATTCTTTTTCATCAAAGCTAAAAGAAAAACACAACATACAAATAAGTGTACTTTTCATGATATGAACAAAACATTCTGAAAATAAAAATGTAAGGTATCTTTAATCGTGGCATTTTATACTGTGGGCTGGATCATGCTGCAATTCACTAATGAGAACCATGACATACATTCAATAACAAGTTAATAAAAATGCAAACTGTTTCTACATTTTACATTTACATGTTCCCACTTTTTCTCCATGATTCATCAATAAATCTTTTTGCCCAAATTAACCAGCCATCATGAACAGAGCTAGTTAAAATAAATACATTTGATTCAGCACTATGCCTTTCTAACCCCTCTATCAGCATCTTTTCAAGTTAGCAGTTTGTTGTATTCACTTCTGTTTGCAGCAAGAACCTTGGCTAACATACAGGAATTGGTATATTCCATAAGAGTCTAAAAACATAAGCATCACTTCTTCCAACACAATAAGCCTGTCTTGGTAGTCTCCATACATGCTAGACCAAATGGTCGGTTGTTAAACTATTCATTAATGCTCACAGGGATACCCAAGAGTCAAGAATATACACCAGATCATCTTAGCTTTAGATGCACCAAAACACAATGAGGAAAGCAACTGGTAATTTGTATGTGATGGGTGTTGCACAGCACCACTTTGTCCATCAAAGTGTTGTCTTGCTGCTTAAAGTACTGTCTGTGGACCAGCAGCACTGGCATTATCTGGGAGCTTGCGAAAATGTAGAATCCCAAGACTCATCCCAGACCCACTGGATCATAGCCTGCCTTTTAACAAGATCCCCAAGGTGATTCATACACTTAAAAAAAAAAAAAAAAAAAAAAACTTGAGAATACACCATTCAGATTATTATCCCAAAGAATGCTGAGAAACAGGAGCCCAAACTAAAGTTTGTGTTTAAAGATCAGTACACCTTACACTGACAATGTCCAGGGAAATCTTAAGAAGAATTAAATATCTACATGTCAAACATCTGAAAGCAAAACCCCGGAATTCCCTGGGCATCAATTTTTTCATGACAGCTTGCCAGTATCAGACATACTAAGTACCTTCAAAAAGTGATGAGTTATACCATGGACAACTTTCATAGCAACAAATTATCAATTTACAAAACTCAAAGTCAACACATTGTACCTCACAGTCATTTAAGCTGGCATGACTTTAAAGTACACACAAATATGAAGCAACCCATTGGAACTATTTGATTTATGTTAAACAGAACTATGGAATTTAAACATTCGTATGCTCAACCAAACCCTATTCCTAGCCAGTCGGCTCACTGATCAGTTTACAGATATCCTT
This sequence comes from Homo sapiens, assembly GCF_000001405.40. Taxonomy (NCBI): domain Eukaryota; kingdom Metazoa; phylum Chordata; class Mammalia; order Primates; family Hominidae; genus Homo; species Homo sapiens. The sequence goes on from NC_000020.11 coordinate 13,516,049, forward strand.
CCAACATATACTGTTCAGCTAAATTTAATATATTTTTTAAAATAAATCTTACTTCAAGTAAATTTCCTGAGCTGAAAAGAACTACAGCAAAATAATACCAAAAACAGCCCTGTGCCATAAAAGGCACTAGTTGTATTTAGTGAATTCTGCATTTCACAAGAACCTTCTACAGAGGGAACCAAGGTGGCAAACCCACGAAGGCCTTGAGTCCAGCAAGGGCCATGAAGCAGCATGTCACAAAGAAATTGTTTTTCTCCTCCTTTTGATGAGTTATGCTTTCAAGTCAGGAAATTAGAAACAGGTGTGCCAGAGGGCACACACATCCTCGCTCCACACTGAAAAACACACGTTTCCAATTTTCAAACATGAAAGAGACTCCTGTTGAATGAAAGAAGAAATGAAAATCCAGCCCTGTTTCTGTGAACCATATGAAGGGAGCTTAGAAAGTCTTTGACAGGTTGCTCAACTTACCCCCTCTCCAACTGACAGCAGGTAGTACTCCACAATGGGAAGGAAAAGGCATTCTTTCAAGTGAGAACAATCAAAGGGAGAACTACATCAAGGATGGCAGAACTGGCATTTTAACTCATCACTTGATCTTACGCCTTTGTTTTTTTTTTTTTTTTTTTTTAACATTTCTTCACCTTGTGTTTTAAAATTAGAAGTCTGTTCTTTCACAAAACAACAACAAAGCAATGCAAAGTAAGTATCTAGCAAAAAAAATCTGAGAAATTAAAACATCAAAAGTGCATCTTGGGGATCACTTTATCCATTATATCCCAGGTCTACAATCTCTTTCAGAGAAAGACTTACCTTCCTTCCATGATGTCCTCAGCTCTTCTAGAGGTTAGGGGCTGAAGACATTTCAGTGAGTGTAGGAGGGTGATGGGTAGTGTTAAGATTAAAAACAACTGGTTTTGTTGAGATTTGGGGAGAGAAAGGTGGCAAGAAGGGAGATGTACTAATGGCTGCAACAACAGTCAAGCCATCAGGTACACTGAGGTACCTGCAAGTGATCCTTTGGGAAGCGCCACAGTGCATATTCCCTAGGTGAATGGATGCAGCAGAGCCTCATTCGGTGCTAATATAAGCCTTTTGCTATAGCTAATATGTCAACATATTCCTATATTGGCAAGAAGGTTTCCTATATTACCAAGGCCCCAGGTTTCATGTCTTTTGAGGACAAGGACTATGTTTTTAATTCTCTCTTATCATAACCAGGCTAGAACATAAAATAAGAGCCTCTAAAACAGCTGCTGCTTTATTGCATGAGGCCAATTACAAGTCGTCTTGCTGAGGAGCAAAATACATGAACTCATGATGCATGGAAAGATATCCTTCATATCCTTTAAAATTATGTTTGGAAGAATAATAATACATAAAAATGTTCATTATAAAATATTAAATGAACAAAGTACAATACAAGCTAAGCAGTATTTCCGCTTTTGTTTAATGGCAAAAATCCACCGAAAATATTAATAGTGACTACCACAGGATGGCAAAAATTATCAGTTTCATTTCCCAAATCCTATCAATGAGCATGCATTATTTCACAATCAGGAAAAAAATCTACTCATTTAAAATCTCTAAGATACAAGTAACATGTCGCACTGAATGAAAGGAAGAAATCCACTCATTTAAAATCTCTAAGATATATCAATTGCTGTCACATTGAACTGGTTTCTTAGAAAATCATCTGGCATAATTCAGAATTCTACATAATTGCATACCATCAGTGACTTTACTTATATAAAAAGCAAGAAGCAATATATTAAAAGTTAATCAGATATGAAGTGACCTAATTAGAGTATGCAATAAACTCAGAATAGAATTCCCATCCCAGATAATTACTTCAGTTCTTAGAAATGTGCTGGTAGTTTATATACTCTGTTATCTGTAAATGAATATTATTTTTCCCACCCCCAACAACCAAACAGTCCAAAGAGTTAAGTGCTTTTAAGATGACAATGTTTACAAACATTAGGGTTTTATCTAGGCTCACATCTAGAAGTCATAATTCACAAAAAGATTTCCCATGGCATTATTCCTAACCCCACATATTATGTCTCAAATTATTTCAGCTCCAGTGGCAGCTCCTCAGCATTCTAAGAATCTCATTGAGAGTGACAAAAATTATGAAGGTTTATTCTTTCATAAGGACAAGAAACTTCTGAGAAGCCAGTGTCAGCCTGCCCAACAAGGCAGATTAAGGAATCAAAGTGGACTAAAGAGTCTGGATGTCACCAACAGGACTAAGAGCAATGTATTTAACTCCTTGACTAGTTTTGCCTCTCAGCGTCTGGATCATTCCTCATCATGCCAGAACACTCTCAGAGAAGAAAGAGCTATCTTCATGTATCTTCTAAAAGTATGATCATCTCCCTACTCAAGAGTCCCCCTTTCATACAAAAGAAAATGTCTAAACACCACGACCTAAGTCCCCAAATTAAGCCCCAAACACCTCAGACTCAATCATCTTCTTCAGGCATCCTCTGCTCTTATCAAGAATATACCACTCTTAGCCCCTCATTTGCCTTCCTCTCAGCCTTCACTCATCCGGGCTTCACTGGCTTACCCCACCACAATGTATTTGTTTGTCATTCATATTCATTCACACTCATTCAGCAGTTGTAGGTAATAAGCAACATTCACACATCAACGAACAAAGCTGATGAAAATCCCAACCCCTAAGGAATTTAGAGCAGGGTAGAAAATAAAAAGAAAATAGCCAAGAGCTAAAAATAGAACCACCATTTGACCCAGCAATCCCATTACTGGGTATATACTCAAAGGAAAATAAATTGTTCTACCAAAAAGACAAGGCACTCACATGTCCATCATAGTATTATTCACTATAGCAAAGACCTGGAATCAACCTAGATGCCCATCAGTGGTGAATTAACAAATAAAATGTGGTACATATACACCATAGAACACTACACAGCCACAGAAAAGAACAAAAAAAATATCCCTTGCAGCAACATGGATGTAGTTGGAGGTCATTATCCTAAGCAAATTAATGCAGAAACAGAAAACCAAATACCCTATATTCTCACTTATATGTGGCAGCTACACATTGGGTACACATGGACATAAAGATAGGAACAATAGACAATGAGGACTACTAGAGTGCGGAGGAAAGAAGAGGCACAAGGGTTGAAAAACTATCTATTGGGTACTACACTCATGACCTGGGTGATAGGATCAATCGTACCACAACCTCAGTATCATGCGATATATTCATGTAACAAACCTGCAAATGTACCCATGAATCTACAGTAAAAGTTGAAATTAAAAGAAAGAAAAAGAAATAAAGGACAACTCAAATTAGAAAATAAAACCGATCCAGCAGCACATCAAAAAGCTTATCCACCATGATCAAGTGGGCTTCATCCCTGGGATGCAAGGCTGGTTCAACATACGAAAATCAATAAATGTAATCCAGCATATAAACAGAACCAATGACAAAAACCATATGATTATCCCAACAGATGCAGAAAAGGCCTTTGACAAAATTCAACAACCCTTCATGCTAAAAACTCTCAATAAATTAGGTACTGATGGGAAGTATCTCAAAATAATAAGAGCTATCTATGACAAACCCACAGCCAATATCGTACTGAATGGGCAAAAACTGGAAGCATTCCCTTTGAAAATTGGCACAAGACAGGGATGCCCTCTCTCACCACTCCTATTTAACATAGTGTTGGAAGTTCTGGCCAGGGCAATCAGGCAGGAGAAGGAAATAAAGGATATTCAATTATGAAAAAAGGAAGTCAAATTGTCCCTGTTTGCAGATGACATGATTGTATATCTAGAAAACCTCATTGTCTCAGCCCAAAATCTCCTTAAGCTGGTAGGCAACTTCAGCAAAGTCTCAGGATACAAAATCAATGTGCAAAAATCACAAGCATTCTTATACACCAATAACAGACAAACAGAGAGCCAAATCATGAGTGAACTCCCATTCACAATTGCTTCAAAGAGAATAAAATAGCTAGGAATCCAACTTACAAGGGAAGTGAAGGACCTCTTCAAGGAGAACTACAAACCACTGCTCAATGAAATAAAACAGGATACAAACAAATGAAAGAACATTCCATGCTCATGGGTAGGAAGAATCAATATCGGGAAAATGGCCATACTGTCCAAGGTAATTTATAGATTCAATGCCATCCCCATCAAGCTACCAATGACTTTCTTCACAGAATTGGAAAAAACTACTTTAAAGTTCATATGAAACCAAAAAAGAGCCCACATTGCCAAGTCAATCCTAAGCCAAAAGAACAAAGCTGGAGGCATCTCGCTACCTGACTTCAAACTATATTATAAGACTACAGTAACCAAAACAGCACGGTACTGGTACCAAAACAGAGATATAGACCAATGGAACAGAACAGAGCCCTCAGAAACAATGCCACATATCTACAACCATCTGGTCTTTGACAAACCTGACAAAAACAAGAAATGGGGAAACGATTCCCTATTTAATAAATGGTGCTGGGAAAACTGGCTAGCCGTATGTAGAAGGCTGAAACTGGATCCCTTCCTTACACCTTATACAAAAATTAATTCAAGATGGATCAAAGACTTAACTGTTAGACCTGAAACCATAAAAACCATATAAGAAAACCTAGGCAATACCATTCAGGACATAGGCAAGGGCAAGGACTTCATGTCTAAAACACCAAAAGCAATGGCAACAAAAGCCAAAATTGACAAATGGGATCTAATTAAACTAAAGAGCTTCTGCACAGCAAAAGAAACTACTATCAGAGTGAACAGGCAACCTATAGAATGGGAGAAAATTTTTGCAATCTACTCATCTGACAAAGGGCTAATATCCAGAATCTACAATGAACTCCAACAAATTTACAAGAAAAAAACAAACAACCCCATCAAAAAGTGGGCAAAGAAGATGAACAGACACTTCTCAAAAGAAGACATTTATGCAACCAAAAGACACATGAAAAAATGCTCATCATCACTGGCCATCAGAGAAATACGTATCAAAACCACAATGAGATACCATCTCACACCAGTTAGAATGGTGATCATTAAAAAGTCAGGAAACAACAGATGCTGGAGAGGATGTGGAGAAATAGGAACACTTTTACACTGTTGGTGGGACTGTAAACTAGTTCAACCATTGTGGAAGTCAGTGTGGCGATTCCTCAGGGATCTAGAACTAGAAATACCATTTGACCCAGCAATCCCATTACTGGGTATATACCCAAAGGATTAGAAATCATGCTGCTATAAAGACACATGCACACGTATGTTTACTGTGGCACTATTCACAATAGCAAAGACTTGGAACCAACCCAAATGTCCAACAATGATAGACTGGATTAAGAAAATGTGGCACATATACACCATGGAATACTATGCAGCCATAAAAAAGGATGAGTTCATGTCCTTTTTAGGGACATGGATGAAGCTGGAAACCATCATTCCATCATTCTCAGCAAACTATCGCAAGGACAAAAAACCAAACACCGCATGTTCTCACTCATAGGTGGGAATTGAACAATGAGAACACATGGACACAGGAAGGGGAACATCACACACCGGGGCTTGTTGTGGGGTGGGGGAGGGGGGAGGGATAGCATTAGGAGATATACCTAATGTTAAATGACGAGTTAATGGGTGCAGCACACCAACATGGCACATGTATACATATGTAACTAATCTGCACGTTGTGCACATGTACCCTAAAACTTAAAGTATAATAATAAAATTAAATTAAATTAAATTAAACCAATTTTTTAAAAAGAAAATTGTGTAAAGATATAAAATATTAGATAATGATACTTGCTACGGGAAAAAATAAAACATGAAAGGGAGACAGGAAATGTTGGCTGAAGGAAGAACTCCATGTTTATATAGGATGGCTGCAGAAGAACTCATCAAGGTGACTCATTTGAATAAAGGTCTGATGAGGTGAGAGTGGGGGCTTGAGACACTGAGGGTGGAGGAGAAGCAGCAGCTTGACAAAGCCCCTATGGCGGGAGTGTGCGTGGCATGTGTGAAGTACTGCAAAGGAGCCACCGTAGCTGGAATTGTGTGAGCAAGAGAAGAAAAGCAAGAGGTTCTGAGGGGAAGCTGGGAAGTATCTCCAACAAGGCCTTATAGGCCCTTCATTAGGACTGTGGCTTTCCCATTTATTAAGATGGGAAGTGGCTTAACATTTCAAAATAGAGGTATATCGTTTGAGTTCGGTTTGAACACCAGTTGCAGGGTTGCAAAACAAATAAAGGGGGAATGGGGCAAAAAGCAAGAGACCAGCTAGGAGGCTAGCAATGATCCAGATTAGAGATGATGGCACCACAGAACTGTTGGTGGCCATTAACGTGCTGAGAAGTGGTCAGATTTTAAATATATTCAGAGAGGAGAGTAAACAAAGTTTGTTGGTGAATTGGATGTGCGTGAGATAGAAAAGAGGGTCAAGGATGAACCCAAAATTTTGACTTGAGCCACTGGAATTGACACTTGCTGTGGGGAAAATATTTCAAGAGAACACGTTTAGGGTTAGGCAAGAGCTCATATTCGGACATGCTAAATAGATGTCTGTTATATATACAAGTGGAGATTTTAACAAGCACTTGAATTATAACTCAGTTATGGAGAGAGGCCCAGGTTGGAGATAAAATTGTAGGAATCATCAGCACATAGATGGTACTTAGCCATCAGACTGGATGAGACACAAAGGGAGCAGGTATACAAAGAAAGAGAGAAGAGGTTCAAGGACTAAGCACTGAGGCACTCCAACACTGAGACGTCAAAGAGATGAGGAATATTAACAAAGGAGACTAAGAAGGAGCAGCCAGTGAGGTGGCAGGAAAAACAGGAGTGTGTGGTCCCTGGAAGTCTATTAAGGACAGTATTTACAGGAGGAGCAAGTTATTTGAGCAACCGTGTCAAATGTTGCTTATAGGACTAAAGGATAATCACATGACTTTAGAGGTAATTGTTAATCTTGACAAGAACAGATTGGTGGCGTGGTAGAGGAGAAGTCCTGACTGAAGTAGAATAAAATTGAGTGAGAGAAGAGAACTAAGAAAAATAATAAACCTTGAGTATAGAAAATTCCTTGAGGTTTCACCTTGAAGGGTTGCTAAGAAATGGGGAGAGGGCTAGAAGGAAGACTGGAACCCTAGGTGATTTGCACTGAGTCCTCAGTAGAATAGGGCTTGTATTCACCAAGAGTGCCTGTGACACACAGAGTACAAGAATGACTGCTGCTAAATAGAAGCTGAAGCATGGATTCCTGCCTGCCTTCCACATACCCTTAAAGAGCAATGACCACATGGCATTTGTCAATATCTCAGCAGTAGTCTCCCATTGGCTCCTGCTGTCACATAACCCCCCTCTCACAGAGAAGGCTGTCTCGTGCCCTCCTGACAAAGGTCTCTGGGCACGAGTTTTCTAACACAGTCCCATAGACAATCTCCCACAGAGGGACAGAGGAAGACCTCTGGTTGTTAAGTTGAGAAATCAAAAAGGAATGGCATATTCTCCTAGCCCTTGAGGAAGAAACTAATCACTAGCTCAGAAATATTGAGGCATAAGGCTGTTCTCAATTTTGGTATTTTTTTAATCCCATCTACCTTTGAAGCTACTCCTGGCAAGTCCTGACCACAACCCTCTCCGTCCTCAGGTTTCTAGAAATGCCCAGAGCCAAGACCTTAAAAAGCAAAGAACTGAGAAAATCAGAAATCCTTTGGCCTCACAGCAGAAACAAGGTAGTAGGTCTTTCTTCATGCCAGAATACTTTAAGGAGGGGAAATGAAGCCTACATCTTCTGATCTTAGTCAATTGCCATCAGTACCCCTGTACTCACTGTTTCCAGCACTTTTTGAGGCCAAAGTGGGAGGATCACTGGAGCCCAGGAGTTCAAGACCAGCCCGGGCAACACAGCAAGATCCTGTCTCTACAAAAAAATTAAAAATTATCCAGGTGTGATGGTGTGCACCTGTAGTCCTACCTACTTGGGAGGCTGAGGCAGGAGGATCACTTGAGCCCAGGAGTCCAAGGTTGCAATGAGCCATGATCACACCACTGCATTCACTCCAGCCTAGGCGACAGAGTGAGACTTTGTCTTTTTTTTTTTTAAAGGAAAGAAAAAAGAACTGTATAGACAAGTAACGGAAAAGCAATGTTAAGGTAAACCAAAGCATAAACTTAATCTCTTGCTTTTTTCCCCTCCTTCTGATCTTCTAATCTTCAATCTGCTCGTCCTTTCCATAGCCAGAGACATATCCCAGATATTTCTAACATTATGTATTTGCTGTGTTACTGAAAAATTATGTGTGAATTCAAATGTGGCAAATTGAATTATATTTTAAAATCCTATTTAAAGAAAGTCCATGGTGAATAATCTGTTTGAAAAAGTAAGCATTCTTCTCAAACAGGGAGGACCCACACATACATTTCTTAATTTTTATTTGTATACCGGGCACTTACCCTGTACAAGGCTGTTTGCCAGGCACTCAGGAGACACAAATATACCCACAGCCCTCTTTCCTCAAGAGTTTATCTTACTGCCTCAAGACAGTCTGAAACAAATTATTTATTTTCTAGAAAAAGCTGAGAATAAGAAAAGCTTTTACTATAATTTATCAATTCTAAAATATACTTTTTTCACATTTTTAAACTTCTGGATTCAGGTGTGTTATAACTGATGCATCCTCCCATGTAATCCTCCAGGCATTACATGCCTGGTGGCAGTAGTGACAGAGCTGCCACTGCCTCTAGATGCAAGCGGTTCGCATGTGTTGACCCTTCAGTTACGTGCCGTGTTGGAACTACATGTGTTGAGTTAAACTGTTGTTTAAAATGTGTTCAGAAGGATTACGGTGTGATACAGAATTCAAATTAAAAATAACTGTACACATAGAAAGGTATGGAAATGGCAATGAGGCATGACTTTGCTATCAGTGAAGGAAATACTTCTCACTGATGAGACATCCCTAATTCTATATTTTCCTGTAAAGCAACCACCATGCATTAAGTGATGAGAAGGCAGTGTGTTATACTTTAATTGACAGTCTTTTGTTTCCTTAGTGGTATAAAAATAATGGTGCATCTGATAAAGGATGATGACTTAGATTCAATGAAATACAGTAAGTATTGAGCCCCTACTCTGGGACAAGAAATGCACTAAAAGCTTTGTGTATGTCAACTTACTTACCCCTTACAGTAATGGTAGATATTATTCTGGTTTTACAAATAACCCCTTGCCCAGGCTCCACAGCTAGTGGGTCTGGAAGAGTCTGGACAGGAACTCATGTGCCTGCTCTAGTCTATCCCTAGCTAGGCAAATTCCTATGACGCCAGAACATTAGTCAGAGTTTGAAAGGTCAGCTCCTGTTAATCCACCCCCTCTCCCCAAGCCCTTACTCATTTCTCCTCACCCAGTGATGAGAACAAGATGCTAGAGTTTATCCCTCAGGCTAATGACCAAATCACCCATCTGGCCTTGGGAGAGCCCTATCCTAACCATAACTAACTATCTTTTCTCCGCCTTTCAATTATCACCTTCTAAGATATATAATCCTAAAATGCAGGCCAGGTCTCTGGATTTTCTGCAGCAGCCTAAGGCACAAGTCTTCTTTATTTTGGCCAAACAGTTGCAAAATTCAGTGCTCCACCTTTCTTCTGACTTGATCACCCAACTCTGCCATGTGTTTCCATTGTCAACTTCATAGCAACAGCCCCATGAGAAACAAGAATGAGGCAATCACACAAAGTCCAACGGACAAGAGGGACTGGAGATTTACTCTATCATCCCCAGGTTCTGTGGGCTGATGATGGTTAGTCTTTTAGCTTGCGAAGAGTATAACATGACAAGTTGGGTATCTAAGTTAAAAAGCTACACTGGATGTCATGAACTGGAAAGCTAGAGGTATCTTTAGACATATGAAACTATCTTCAACTGACACAGGATAGGCAAAAGAGGAAATATTCAAAAGCAATGGAGAAAAACCTTAATTTTACAATTTTAACTTTACCTACCCATTCCTTGCATTCTACTTAATAGAATCAAATCCATGGAGTATGTTCTTATTCCAACTTGCACATCACCAATTTTAAAATAAGGGTAGGGGACTGGTGGACAATCTCCTCGGACTTGGAAATCTCTTTTCCAAATTGACACAATCAGGCAGGCTCTCAGGATTTCAGTTTAGAATAGAAGCCAATTCTCCTAACATCTAGATATGAAAGTAATGTCTAAACAACAACCTATCTCACTGAACAACATATTGACCACAAAGAAAACTCTTATAATACATGATTCCAACTGTGATTTCTTTGAGACAATCAAAATGCAACTATGAATTAGTCTTTGCTTTGTTCAAGTACTACAATTTTCCATAGACACGGGGCCATACTAAATTATGTTCACAGCCTAATTTGTAAACATTATGCATCAAGGTTTTCATGTGCCACCAATATTAAATTAAAATTTAAAATTAACTCATATTATTACATTATGCTCATTTCTTCAAAAATGACTAAAAACAATTTTTTGACAATTATAGTAGTATGGATTCGATTCAACATTAATTCATTTTAGACTTCTCCTGATAGGCCAATGGCTCAAAACCATGTTTTTCCACTGATGCAAGAAATGGAGCTAGGTCAGGAGGCTGCTAAGATAGGCAGGCATGAGAAGATGAGTCTGAAAGAACAGAGTCAGGAAAGAAGAAACAGAAAGAAACCACAAATATGAGAGTGGTGCCAAGATTTCAAGTCTGAGCAAAGGATAGGAGAATAAGAGCAATGAAAGAGATAGAGGACACAGGAGAAAGGTGACACAGGGTGGGGATGAAGAATGAAATGTTCTGTTGAACCTCATGAGTCTGATATGTATACACAGCACCCATAGGAACATGCCCACCAGGAAGTCAGAAAGGACTCACATGCACCTCAAAAGTCCAAAGTAGATACAGACATGGAAGCCAATCCCAAGAGAGAACAGCTGAAATCATGAGAACAGCAGAAATAACAAGAAATCAGCAGGAGAAAGCACAGAATTCACCAAAGGCTCAACCCTGGGGCTGTGGGCAATGGGAGGACAGAGGAGTAAGAATCTATGAAGAAGGCCAAGATGGAACAGGTCAGAGAGGCAGACAAACCAAGAGGGTTCCAGGATCTATGCTACATGCAAAAGAAAAAGTCACTTGCATCAGAGATCGCAGAAAGAGCAGACAGAAAGCAGGACAAGAGGGCTACTGGACTGGGTGCTTTGTTAGTGTGGTGGGGCAGAAACCAATGTGATAAGAAATTGGAGAGAGAAAGGTAGGAAAGGAAGCCATATTTGTCCACTCTCCCGATAAAGTCTGATGCTGTTGGAGAGAAAGGGATGGGACTGTAACTTGAAGGATAACATGAAAAAGGAATGAATCAATATTATTTTGTCAACCAGAGGTATCATCACATAATGAGAAAAGGCTTCACGTACATCTGGCACAGGCATGATTAAAGTATGGAAATAGACAACAACCATTCTGCCTATTAAAACTCTCCATGTCCACCATTCCTCATCTCCTGCACACACGCACGCACGCACACACACATACGCACACACACACTTTGTACTAAATGATAATGCCTTTACAATATACATATAAAAAGAAGACCTGTATTACATTAAAAGTGTCGTTCAAGGACTGAATGTCATAAACTGTATATTTGGAAATGTACCTTGTAAGTTTTATGTCAACATTTTACTCAAGAGATTATCTGTTAATTTTTGAAATTAACTGCTACTTTTATGTCTTTTGTTATCTAAACTTGGCAGCATCATGGGTCATTAGAAAAAATATAGATCTATAAAAATATAATTAACCATAGTTAACTCCAGAGTTGTATTGAAAATGTTAGTGGGTCGGGTGCAGTGACTTAAGCCTGTAATCCCAGCACTTTGGGAGGCCTAGGAGGGCAGATCACTTGAGGCCAAGAGTTCAAGACCAGCCTGGCCAACATGGCAAAACCCTGTCTCTACTAAAAATACAAAAAATCAGCCGGGTGTGGTGGTGCACGCCTGTAATCCCAGCTACTCGGAAGGCTGAAGCATGAGAATCACTTGAACCTGGGAGGCAGAAATTGCAGTGAGCCAAGATCGCACCACTGCTCCAGCATGGGGACAGAGTGAGACTCTGACTCAAAAAAAAAAAAAAAAAAAAAAAAAGAAAATGTTAGCAAAGTATTTACACTGATACTAAACAACCCTTAAAACCTCGCAAATACTGAAGATCTTTCCCACATCCATACACTGTCATAGCACATGTTCTATGTTTACCCACAAATATTGCTTTTAATCATTAAATGATTGACAAGGTTGAAGTTATGAGAAATGGTTATGAAAGCAGCAAATACCTGAGGTACTCACAGCTGTGGAGTAGGGGTTATGAGCTCCAGTATTTTCAGCCCAGCAGCCACATCCATAAAGAGCAGCCTGGGGAAAAAAGAAAATAGATATAATATTTCAGAAATATCATATGTAATTATTAGTTTTCAACAGAAATCATACCCTCTAATAAAGCCTGGTTTAATAATGATGTAAAACAACTAGGTGATAATACCAGATGTTGTATAAGACATACGCACACGATGCTTTTAATACTATCAAAACTATGTTTTCAGATATTCCATTAATCTTAAAACTTTCAGAAAATAGCAAAAGCAAGTTTCTTAGTGTCATCAGCAGTAATTTTTTCCTTCCCTGAAAAACTTCTCCCTTTTGTAATTTGTCAGCTAGTTGTTCTTCTGGCCCCTTAAAACCAATGTGGTTGGCTTAAAATAGTAGTTTTCAAACTAGGTGTGTGTCAGATCACTTGGGGAGCTTACTGATAAGAACCCTGATTCCTGGAAATTCTGACTTAGTGTCTGGGGCAGACCTAGGAATCAGTACTGTTAACCAGGGCCATGGGGTACTGGGATGCAGCTGGTCCTCCTGCCATGCTCCAGGAAACCCTGCTTCAAGAGGGCCTTTTCCATGTCTGTGTTGACGTGGCACAAGAGGAAGTGCAAATAGTTCTGTACCAAAGGGCCCAATATATGCTCACTACTGTGCTAGATTCAGCCAGATGAAAAGAAAGGAGGCAAAAAGGCCTACTCAAGCTCATCACTTTGTTAGGTGGTGGAGCAGATTTATACATCTGAAACCATCAGGTACACAATAAGCTACTATGGTTTTATAACAGATTATGACAATCATTCCTATTTTGTTTTTAATAATGCTACTTCTCTTCAATATCCACAATGACTTTTCTGACTTTGGGAGGGAAATCACAACTAATAACTCTTCCACTCCATAGTAAGAAGTAGAGATTAAAATTTTTAAAAAACCTAGCTAGCTAGCTATCATAGCAAAATACAAGGTGGCATGCTCAAGAGTTCATTACTAAATGGTTGATAAGAATGAGAAACTTGAAACAACCTAAATGTCAATCAGTGAGGAAATGGCTAAACTTTGGCATGGCATTATGTGGAATTCATTGCAAAGGTTAAAAATAAAAGAATTAAGCTTTTTAAAAAGTCTTTAAGAACAAATACAGAAAGAGCTCCCAAACATATTGTTGAATTGAAAACAATAGCAAGCTACAATACATTCAGTATTCCCTGCCACTGATGGAGGAAAAAGATACTCCCATAAAGCAGTACTGATATTTTCTAAGAGTTCATTCTGAGGACTGGGGAATAGGCTAAGACTGAGGATGGGGACCAGACTTCAGCTTTCTATGATATTCTGTTATTTTTTTACAAGGATCTTAGAAATCATTCGCTCCAATATTCTACCCAGAGCGGGAATCTCCATGAAACATCCCAGGCACTTCTGACACTGAGAACCTCACTGCCTCATGTGGGAACACATTCTGTTTACGGACACTTCCCATTGGTAGCAAATATGTGCTGTATTATAACCTCCAACCACTAGTCCTGCCTCTGCTCTCTGGAAGTACTGTAACCTCCCCCAGAAAGTCCTCCAATTTTTTAAAAACAGCTATTTTAGTTCTCTTTTCTAACCCAAAGAAACCCAAATTTGTGAGCTGTTCCCCAAGACTCTGCGATGCACAAACCCACCACTCTCTCATAATTACCCTCCTAGAGAAATAAGTCAGTGTCCAGGATAACCAGAGACGGAAGTCTCCCATGTTCATGTGACCCATAGTTGCTATCTCCAGATGTTACAGACAATATCCCTCTTAAAATTAGAAGCAAGAACTGAGCGGGATACTCTCAATATGGTAGACATTGGGAAATCTGTTTACTGTTTCTGACAACACCACGCTTCTAAAATACATGCTGGCTCAGGGTCAGTGTGGCAACTGAAAGCCCTTCAGAAGTGATTTAGAATATGAATTTATAAATAAACTGGCAGACTTGTGGGATAACTATTCAACTGGTACTCCCTGAAGCAAGTGCTGGGTCAGCCAGTCTCAGAGAACACAAGAAATCAATGGAAGGACCCATTCTTTCTTCATTGAAAACTATCATCTTTTACGTCCCCCACAATTAACATGACCAGTAGCCTGCACTCAAAAAATAGTAAATAAGGTCCCAAGGACACCTCTTATAAAGCCAGGGGAGGTCATCTTTCTAGAAAAGAACATTTACACTTACCCTTTGCTCCTTCCCTTTAAGAAAATTCCCTTTATGATACCCTTCCTTAGTTTCAAGACCTAAAATTGTCTTTCTTCTTAACCTTCTGAAATTCATTGGGCTGAGACAGTGATAGGTAAGATAAAAGAATTAGAGGTTGTCCATCTCTTATCCACTTCATTGGATAAAATATGGCAACCTTAAGCAAGCCTTTAAAAACAAATTTTTAAAATCTTACTTCTTTTTGGTAGTAAAACTGTATTAAAATTTTATTAAAGCTATTATCATGCAGTAAAAGTAGGTCATATAAATGATATTATTATTAGTCTTCTCTGGGCAATAGTTTCCTCTTCTATACAATAAAGATAATGAAAATACCTACCTCATATTGTTGTCACAGGATCATGCGAATTAACGTACTTGCTGAACATAGCAAGTGCTTAATTAACAGTAGCTATAGCTGTTATTACTAGGGGCTATAATATGTAATTTAAATACATTTTGACATTGAATCTTCTACAAGTTTGTAAGGTAGCCGGTTATCCCCATTTTACAGAGGTGGAAAGTGGAGCTGAAAGATGTTAAGTAACTTGTTCAAAGTAAGGGGCATGGTAAATGGGGAGGTGGGATTAGAATAGAGGTTTACCTAGATCGGAAGTCCACACTTAACCAGTAAACTCAACCGCCTATTTGTGTGGGGGTGGGGTGAGGTTTAGGAGGACAAATGAAATATAATAATTCCTTTCTCATGTCCAAACTGTAAATTCAAATTATTACAGTAAGCTAAAGAAGCAAATAAGTTCTAATTCAAATTGCCATTTCTTATCCTTTTTTTTTTTTTTTCTTTTTTTTGAGACAGAATCTTGCTCTGTCTCCCAGGCTGGAGTGCAGTGGCATGTTTGGCTCACTGCAACCTCAGCCTCTCAGGTTCAAGCAATTCTCCTGCCTCAGTCTCCCCAAGTAGCTGGGATTACAGGTGTCAGCCATCATGCTCAGATAATTTTTGTTCTGTTTTGTTTTGTTTTGACACAGAGTCTCACTCTCACCCACGCTGGAGTGCAGTAGCGAGATCTCAGCTCACTGCAACCTCTGCCTCCCAGGTTCAAGCGATTCTCTTGCCTTATCCCCCCCAACTGGCTGGGATTACAGGCTTATACCACCACGCCCAGCTATTTTTTGTATTTTTAGTAGAGATGGGTGTCACCATGTTGGCCAAGCTGGTCTTGAACTCCTGACTTCAACTGATCTACCTGCATTGGCCTCCCAAAGTGCTGGGAATTACAGGCGTGAGCCACTGCACCTGGCTTAATTTTTGTATTGTTAGTAGAGATGGCGTGAGCCAAAGTGCTGGGATTACAGAAAACAGTGAGAAAGTCATGGGGACTATAATGCATTGAAGGTGACTCTGCTGGCTTCTCTCACCTTCTCTACTTCTCTATGGGGTTTTACCATGTTGGCCCGGCTGGTCTTGAACTCCTGACCTCAACTGATCTGCCCACCTTGGCCTTCCATGCTGGGATTACAGGAGTGAGCCACTGCGCCTGGCCTCAAATTACCATTCACCATCTGCACTGCTATCACATATCTACAGCAGGGTAATATGCTAAAATTTTTAAGTAGTTAATTGTGCATTTAAAATACATTAAAAGTATCTAGTTTCAGCACACTTTAAAAAATAATTAGCCTTTGATATAACTTGCTTTTGTATTTTGTTTCATTTGGGCTTGTCAAAAAGAACTGTTCTTTACCTCTCATCTGATACTTACATAGTTTCAAGTTTATTACATCTCCTCTATCCAAGCATTATAATCCAATTAAGCAACTGCATTTTCATATAAGCCCTTTTACTCCTTTCTTCCACACTCTTTCCTGATTTTCTAACTCTCAGAAGCTGTGTATTCACAAACTAGCCAAGTGAGGCAAACCAACACATAAATTTTACGGAAGTATTTCTTTTGCTCAGGACAGTTCTAAGTGCAGTGGCAGAATAGCTTCTAGATTGTTAGACGTAATATCCTGCTAACATAGTCCAGAACTATCCTTAGTTCTGTTGTTGCCATTTTGCTAACCAAAACAAACAGAAAACAGTGAGAAAGTCATGGGGACTATAATGCATCAAAGGTGACTCTGCTGGCTTTTCTCTCACCTTCTCTACTAGCGTATCCAAATCTGATATGCCAAGCTTGACTTTCCTATTGCAAACTTGACAAATACACAGGACTTTATAATGTAGAAAAATACCATGACCAGACAAAGGCTTTTACAATGAGTTAAAGCATTGTACATACGTTGAGTAATCATTCCCTATACAGCCCCTTGCACACTAGGCAGAGTAGCACAAAACTAGTTATTCTTCCCTTCCCCTTTTTCCTAGTCTAGGAATGTAAGCAGCTTAGAGCAGATCAAACAACACCACTTTGGGGTGTGCAGTGATATTCTCCATGAATTGGATCTCTCTGCTTCAAATAGTCACTAACCATCATGAAAAAAGTAACTGTGACACTGACTCTTCTTCAAATGTGACAAAGTACACAAAGCATAACAAGACACATTCCATCTATAAGATGCCACCCAAATACTGAGTTTAAATGAACCCTTGCAACTACTCCGTGAGAATATCCAATTCATCTGTTCACTCAACAAACATTTATTAAGCCCACAAGTAATGTGCCAAAATTGATTTATCCTCAGAAAGCTTCCTAGATCAAATAGATTGTTAAATTTCATTCTCAGTATAAAACTAAAAATGAGAGACGGGGGAAAGGGGCAAAGTGAAGAAGATGTGCAAGTGAACTGGGGACAAGCAAATTTTACATAAATTAGACCATCTCCATTTCTAGATTTGTTAAGTGGTATCATGTGTTGGTGACCTGAAATACTGGTTATTTTCTAAAATGGCTGAAATGCTGGATCAGAGGAGGGATGTAAAGGGCCAAATGTCACAATACATGGAACAGAGGAAATAAAAAATGTAACTCTAAAATCATTTCTCCAACTAAAAAGCAAGCAGTATAGTCAAGTAGAGCTTGTTCCTAAAGAGAGTGACATTTACAGAGAGAAAATGGAAACTGGCACACATTTATTAAATGTCTACTAAATACCCAGGCCAGTGCCCAGCCTGCTGAAAGGAGAAAAACTAGGATCAACGATTGTAAAGATGAGAAACAAACCAATTACTATGAGATAGGTTTTCTTAAAAAGAATTTTAAAAAGGTATTTGGTTGATGATTTATACTACATGTTAAAAAACAATGACATTCATTTTTTCTAAAGAAAAAATGTTCCCACTGGTTAAAAAATTGTGAGCTAAAAATTCCATGCTTTACTTTGAAAGGCTAGTTTAAAAAACCCATAATTACTTACCTGCCCAACTCTCCCCGGATGTTTCAAGGCCAAGCCTCCACTGGAGACAGCAGCAGCAACATTCCCTTCGTGGTCCACAACCACAGCGCCTACCGTGTCCAAAGTGCCTGAGTCATTTTCCTGCAGAGCAAAAGTGGCACAAGTATTCACTAGGCATGGAGTGGGACAATCTGATATGACTACATAGCACTTTTCCATACAATCATGACAGAACAAAATCTAAACTAATCCCTAAGTGGAACATTGAGCAATCTCCTAAAATTATCTATTATCAAGTTGCCATTTAAATCCTATTTAAGTCAAAATGTATTTTCCACCGAGAAATCCCAAACAAAAGGTATCCTGTTGCTTTTCTCTAATAATAAGGCTATAGTGTCTTTTTAATGGAGGAAATGTCACAATTTAATATAAATTACAGTATACAGCAGTATCTCTTCATTCTCAAGAATTAAGTTCATGTTTGAGAATGTGTAGAGGAAACCATCGGTGGCATAAATGAGCTAATAATAAATACTCTTGTTGGTATTTCTTTAAGTATTATATACAAACATCTAATAGAAATACATTCCACACAATAAATTAAGAAAATGGCATTTACAATCTTAAAGTATACCACACTATCATTTTTCTCTTAGAGTTCCTTGTTTGTGAGAAAATTTATGGCAAGCTCCCTTCTCTCCTATAACAGTAACATGCTTGCCAATTGTATGGCAGAAAAGTGTACGTTCTTGGAAGGTTTGTGTTTCAATGTTTTGTCCCAGGTCCCACATGTTTAAGGCACATAGTGATATTTACTGACTATGAGCCGCTGTCTCCTACCTCCAAAGTTTATGGGTCACCTGTGCAAGAGAGACAAACACTACACTACTGGATAGAAACAATGATTAAGGGAGGCAAGAAAAAAATTCATGGAAAAAGAAGTCTCATATATTAAAAAGGGGGGTTACGGTAGGTTTTTAGGTTAATAGTAGTCATGGTGGTGTTCTTATGCTAGGGCATTGGTTTTCAAACCTTGCCCTACAACCCTAGACCCCACCCTTACCCCCACCACCAGTATGCATGTAAGAGCCAGGCCCAACGCCGGGTTCAACATGAACAGCTCCTCATCCTGTGTGATTTATTGCTCACATTACTGAGCAGGACTTGGTTGGTACTGAGAGATCCCTAAGAAGCAAAATGACACACTAAAGCCATCACCAGAAAAGTCAATGAGCTCCCGGGCCCATCTCAGAAGTTTAGCAACATTGAAGAGTTTCTAAATAGTGGAAGCAGAATTCAAACAAGAGATGTTTCCCTAAAGCAAACTGGAAAACTCAGAAGTAGAGTGTGCCACAACAAAATTTTACATCAAGTCTGTTAGGAAAAGGTACTTACATCTAGAATTTATATTTCTTGCTCTAAATTCTAACTTCCCTTAAATATACTGATACACTATGACAGTACTTAGTTTGATAGGAAATGCTGAACTGGCTGAAATGAATGCTATATTCCTAATCCCTCTTTTAACCACAGCTAGGGAAAGTCTAGCCAATGGATCCACATGGTCATATCTCAGAATGACATAGTTCTGCTCAAGGCATGTGCCCTTCAAGAATACTTCCTGGCCTGAACTCCCTAAGGAAAGGTTTGATCCACTCCACATCACACTGAATGCAACAGACACTCAGGACATATTTATTTTTTAATTAGGATGCAGGATGTCTGTATCCCTGGTGGTACAAAACATGCCCAATAGTGAGTAACATGCAATGCCATCCCAATGTCAGGGCCAGTTTTCTACCTCTGTTTCGCAAGATTTGACTTCACGCAAATCCAGATGCTGCCGCTATCTTAGGGAAGACTTAACAATAACCAGACTTGCTCATTCAGGTTGGACAAAGCAAAGTCTGTCTTCTCTGGTAGGTAAGATTAAGAACAGCAGTACGGAAATGCATTAAAAACATTTTATTCCAGAAAAGATGGATAATCTTAAAGAGAAATATACTTTTAAGAGGAATATTTGTTTTATAATGCTAATAAATAATTTTATATCTTTGCAATCTTGGGTAGAGAAGTGTTAGTTCCCCAGATGCCAAGTTTGATGTCACCTTTAAGAAGGCTTCTCAAATTTTAATGTGCACACACATCATCAGGAGAATTTGTTTAAATGCAGATTCTGATGGAGCAATCTGGGAACTATCCAAGACTGTATATCTAACAATATTCCACACTATGCTGATGGTCTAACAGCATCCCACCCCAGGGGACCATTATCCACCAAATACCTGCCCCATTCATTCTGAAGCAAACTATTTATAGGCACAAATCTGCTGAAGGAGAAACTTAAACTACCTAAGGCTAACATTATGCCAGTATAAAAGATTTAAGTTCTATCTTGCTCAACTGTCAACTGACAGCATATCACCACTATTATACTACATGGATTTGGTATCTATATTTTAAAATACTGATCTTACACTTTGAATAGCAAACAAATCTCACACAAATAAACAAACTGTAAAATAACTTTCCTCAACAATAACAACAGAGAAGTCAAGAAAGGGTATTCTTTTAAGATTATTTTTGGAAATACTGAGTTTTTATTGACAGACATATGCCAGTACTTTTTGCCCTTATTCTTTGCTATAAAATTCTGGAAATTTTTACACACTTTTTTCCCTAGCCCAAGTAAGGCATAATGTAAAGTGACTGTCTTCATCAGTCCTACCAGATAAGGATGATTGCTTCTGGTAAATAATCAAATTGTGACTTTCATCCTATTTCACTGTCTAACCTTTGAGGGAGGGTTATGTCTCTTTTTTACATTTCAGTTATTTTAATTAATAAATATTATATATATTTATGGTATATAGCATGATGTTTTGATATAGGCATAGATTGTAGAATGGCAGAAATCAAGCTAATTAACATATACATTACCTCACATAATCATTTATTTCTGGCGAGAATGCTTACAATCTACTCTCTTAAGGGTATTTTTCATTAGCTCTTTTTTATAAACTCCAACTGCTGATACTACCCATGCATTCTGTAAAACAGAATTTTATAGAGGGAATAAGTAACGTATACACAATGCTATGCATTATCTGTAAAGTAATTTTCCTAGCATTTCAATCAGGATATTGTGAACCATGAGAACTGTTATACCTAACCAAACTCCTGTAGAAAGATACAAAAACTGATGTCAGTATAACTGGATTATACATACATGGATTTACTGTAACTTCGTTTTCAAAACTGAAAAGTCATGCAAATAATAAAGAATCCTGTTCCAAATTAAGCTAAATATTCCTAAGAGCCTGTAACACCTAAAAAAAATCAGAATTACTTCATAAATATTCAAGAATTAGTTCATAGGCTTCACATACTGCAAAGCAAATTTAAGGATGATGAAGTAATATTTAAGCATTTTTATGAAGTGCAGATAAATTAGGTGAAAGACAAACATTGGTATTTTGGCCATAATAATTTCACAGAGCTCGTTTGTACAGGAATGAAATCTTAGAAAGGTTAAAAAACATACAATGACTGTTACTATATAGAGCTACTATTACACTCTTACACTCTATAAATACTTAAAAAATATATGCACTACACAGATACACATATACCTATTGTCCTTGACTAAAACATGCTATTTGTATTACTTTTTTGATAAAATTGTAACTAAAAAGCAACTGTATAAAACTATAGTCCTCTTCAAAATAAGCATGTATATAAAGTTAGCATAGAGGTTACATGTGTTAAAGAAAACACTGAAATAAAACTTTCTTGAAGTAACCAATAAATAAGCAGTCCCTGTTTTCTCTGTTCCAAATTAGAGATGGTTATTATATAGTTATTATAAGAATTAAAGTAACAGATGTAAACTACTTTAAAATGAATAAATCCCTTCATACAAAGTTAAGGCACTTCCCACCAGAAAATTAAGCTTCTAATCTGCACTCTCTGAAATCTGCCAAGAGACACCATCTATCAGTCTTTTTTTTTTTTTTTTTGAGACAGAATTTCGCTCTTGTTGCCCAGGCTGGAGTGCAATGGCATGATCTTGGCTCACAGCAACCTCCACCTCCCAGGTTTGAGCGATTCTCCTGCCTCAGCTTCCCGAGTAGGGGGATTAAAGGCACCCACCACCACACCCAGCTAATTTTTTTGTATTTTTAGTATAGACACAGTTTCACTATGTTAGCCAGGCTGGTCTTGAACTCCTGACCTCAGGCTATCCACCTGCCTTGGCCTCCCAAAGTGCTGGGATTACAGGCATGAGCCACCAGGCCCAGCCCCATCTACCAGTCTTTTATCTTATTAACTCAGTCTTTCTTCTGTCCAGACTTACTCAAATATCAAGTAGCTAAAAAATAAGAATATATCTTAAATGTATAAGTGCATTCTAAAATAGGTCTATTATGGGATTATCTTAATATAATGATAAAGACACAAATGCATTCTTTGAAAACATACCAAGCCCTCCTCGTATACCTCTGTCAGGTTTGAGAGCAGCATTATAACTGGCATGAGCTTCCACTTGAGAAATGCAGATGACTTATACCCTAACATGACAGTACAATAATGCCATCATAAAGCTTTCACATCTCTGAGTATCCTAAACACAGAGAGATGGCTCCAGCTACAGGACATCTAGACCTAGCTCTATATCTCTCACAAATCAGCCATCCAACAGCAGGGCCACTGTGGGCTACAGTTTATCAACTATGTGTAAACAAAGTATAATCTAGCTAGGCCGGGCTGGGTGGCTCACGCCTGTAATCCCAGCACTTTGGGACGCCAAGGTGGGTGGATCTCCTGAGGCCAGGAGTTCAAGACTAGCCTGGCCAACATGGTGAAACCCTGTCTCTACTACAAATACAAAAAAAAAAATTAGCTAGGCATGGTGGTGTGCACCTGTAGTCCCAGCTACTCAGAGGCTGGGATGGGAGAATCGCTTGAACCCAGGAGGTGGAGGTTGCAGTGAGCCGAGATCACGCCACTGCACTCCAGCCTGGGTGACACAGTGAGACTCTGTCTCAAAAATAATAATAATTTAGCTAGAATTATCTACTCTCACCTATGTGGACTGCATGAAACCAGCAAAAATCTGAACATAGGAACACTCAATGATATTATCTTCCCTCTTTAGAAAATCATCTTCTGATGCCCAATACTATTAACGATGTTTCTTATAAACTATAGTCAAGATGTCTATTCTTAAGTAATCTTTTATTTTCTTTGTTTAATAGGTATGAATTAAATGGCTTTGCAACACTATACAAATTGGTACCAAATATATTTATAGAGCAAGAGGAAAAAAATGTATACCATATAAAAATCTAAACAGAGTGGTCAACATAGCAGACCCTGCCTCTACAAAAAATAAAAAACCCAGCCAGGCATGGTGGCACACACCTGTAGTCTGAGCTACTCAGGAGGCTGAGGCTGGAAGATCCCCTGTGCCCAGGAGTGCAAGGCTATAGTGAGCAATCGTCACACCACTGCACTCCAGTCAGGACAACAGAGTAAGACACTATCTCTAAACAAGCAAAAAAATAAACAATAAAATCTTTATACTATTTATTTCCTAAATCACTTGACAAAAATTAACAGAAGCATTTTCAGGTTAAAATAAAAATAACGTGTTTGAACCATGCTTTTAAGGGGATTTAACATATCTGGGTTAGAGGAATTAAATTCATACCATAAAAAAGATTACTTAAAAATTCCAAACCCTCAAAGATAGCAAAGGACGATGTTTTCTAACTGGTAGAATTCCTATACAATGTTCTGGGGTTTGCAACATTAAAGGTGGAAAAGGCAACAGTTTTCATCTTGGTTTTTAAGATAATCTTTTAAATAATGAATTGGAAGCTTTTCTCTTTAAAATGGAACAGTTTGAAGGGCCTCAGAGTGCATGTTGAATGAGTGTGTGTAAGTGATGGTAGAGATCACACGAATACTCATGGCTTAAATTATTACACAGCTAAACAGTAAATACTATCACAAAAGTAGTTTTATGCAGCTTTAAATCATTTCTATTCTCACTCATACGCAGTTTAATTAATATCATTTAACTTATACCCATAGTGAACCACTGGTTAAAGATTGAGAACCTGGGATATGCTGAACTTGAAATAAAAATTACAGCAAGTTCCTTAAGATGACATTAAGTAGGTCATTAAACTGCATTCATCCTATCAAAATACTTACAGAACACATCTCAAGGACTTCAAATATTAAATATTTAATGATAAGTATGTCCAATTTGACTTATTTGTCTGAAATGAATATTAATCACAATTTTATAATTCTAAATCAAAATTTATAAGTTCTACATTAAATATAAACCTACCTATGACCCAACAATGAAATTCTTAAGTATTTACCAAAGAGAAATCAAAATGTATACCACAAAAAGACTTGTCAAGGGTGTTCATGGCACCTTTATTTGCAATAGCCAAAACCTGGGAACAATCCAAATGTCTATCAACAGGGGAATGGGTAAACGAATCATGATATTGTCAATACTGGAAGATTGCTGAGCAATAAAAAGGAGCCCATGCTATATGTAACAATATGAATAATCTTTCAGACATATGCTGAGCAAAAGAAGCTGGACACAAAAGAACATATAGACTCCATTTTAACGAACAAGTAAAACTATGGTGAAAAAGAATCAGAAAATTGTTATCTTCATTGGGGAGGACACCACCTATGAAGGGGCACAAGAAAACTTTCTGGAGTCATGGAAATATTCTATATTTTGATAGGAGTATTGGTTACATGGTTATATACACATGTTAAAATTCATCGAATTATACACTCAAGATGCATGCATTTTACTGTGTGTAAATTTTACCTGTAAAAAAGGCAAAAAAAAATCAATAGCAATGTACTATCTTAAAAAACAAAACCAAACATTCAAAACATCAGATCATGAACAAATTTTTCAACTTTTTCCTATTGGCATAAGGCATATTTAATACACATTTGGTTGTAACTATAAGAAAAAAGGGAAAACCTGAAAAATATGAATGAGATATTAAGAGACATGGCTCAAAGTCTAATCTGTGGTTAACTATAGAGAATAGACAAAATAAAAGAGAGAAAATATTTAAAGACAAAATGGCTCAAATTTTCCAGCACTGATAGAAAACAAGAATCCTGATCTCCAGGAAGCCAGAGAAAAAGGGAAAAAGCCAGATAGAAAAGAGATGTCACCTACAACAGAATGACAGCCAAATTCCTGGAAGCTCAGTAGGCCAGAAGGCTATAATTGGTTGGTATAATATCCTCAAAGAAAAGCAACTATAAACTTACAAATGGTATTCAACAAAACTGCCTTTTAGGAACAAAATTAAAGACATTTATCAATATATAAATAAATCCAATGAGTTCACTGCCAGGAGGACTGCATTTAATAAAGTCCGTAAGGG
Source organism: Homo sapiens (assembly GCF_000001405.40). Taxonomy (NCBI): domain Eukaryota; kingdom Metazoa; phylum Chordata; class Mammalia; order Primates; family Hominidae; genus Homo; species Homo sapiens. The sequence continues at coordinate 13,541,449 of NC_000020.11, forward strand.
GCATTCTACTTAACACTACAACCTGTCCTCCTTCTGCATCCTCCCTACCATCCACACACAAGCACACCTAATCTCCCGTTCTTTGCTCTACTTTATATTTTTTCCATAACATCTCATCACCTTCTAAAATGATAGAATGCTCATATCATTTACATTGCCCATCTCTCTGACAAGATGATAGGCTTCATGAAGGCAGGAACCTTTGCATGTTTTATACACTAACATATGCCAAGCACCCAGAAAAGCCCTTGACACCTCTTAGGCACTCAGTAAACACTTGTTGAATGGATGAATAAATAAATAAATGATATATTTCATGAAGAAGGGAAATAAATGAAGGAGGACAAGCAGACACGCAACAAGAAATGGGTAAGCAAACACAACGGCAAACCTGCATATAAATTAAAACACACAGTGAAACCCTGTCTCTACTAAAAATACAAAACATGAGCCAGGCATGGCGGTGTGTGCCCATAGTCCCAGCTACTCGGGAGGCTGAGGCAGGAGAATTGCTTGAACCCGGGAAACAGAGGTTGCAGTGAGCTGAGATTGTGCCACTGCCCTCCAGCCTGGGCGACAGAGCAAGACTCCGTCTCCAAAAAAAAAAAAAAAAACTTAAAAAATAATAATGTCTTATTGAATGTCATCAGATTGGATTTTAAAATCTGGCTAGATGTTATTTATGAGAGATAAGCCTAAAGCATAAGTATATGGAAAAGTTGAAAGTAAAAGGATGGGGAAGAAAAAACGATACACCAAGCAGATATCAATCCAAACAATGAAACTATGTTAACATCACACAAAATAAGTGTTAAGACAGAAAGCATTAATAGAGATACAGGGCTTTACATGATAAATGCTGAAAGCTTAGAGTCACCAAGGAAATACAATATTTCTAAATTTGTATGTATTTTTAAAAGCCTCAAATTTATGTAAAGTAAAAACAGAGAAATCAACAAATCATACTCCACAATGAGGTATTTCAACATGTTTCTCTCAATTATGAAGAGGTCAAGCAAGAAAAATCAGTAAGAAATGGACGTGAATAGCATATTAAAAAGCTTGATTTTATAGCACTGACAGATCTCTGTACCCAATTTTAGAAAAGAAAGTTTCTTTTCAGGCACAAACTGATCACACGTTAAACCATAAACTAAATCATTAACAAATTTCAAAAAACAATATCAAACAATATACTCTCTGACTATAATACAATTAACTTAGGAGTCAATAAAAGTAGATAAAATTTGGAAATTAAAAGATTAAAAATTCTTCTAAATAATTTATGGATCAAATAAATCAAAATGGAAACAAAAAATACTTAAAAATGAAAAACAAAAATGTAGCATTTCAAAACTTGTGGGATACAGTAAAAGTAGTACTAAGAGGGAAATTTATGTCCAAAATTTTAACATCAGAAAAGAAGAAAAAATTAATAAGCTAACTATCCAACAAAAGAAATTAGAAAGAGAACAAGACAAACACAAAGAAAAAGGGGGAAAAAAACCAAAGAAAAAATGAAAAATCAATGAAGGAGATAGATATAAACTTTAAATAAAGAGACCAAAAAAGGCAAAGTTGGTTCTGTGAGAAAATACTTGAATGAATTCAATCTGATTGGCAATCACTTTCTCTGTGTATCACCTAAATCTCAGCAAAAGCCCATCCCTCCAGCCTTGTCCTCCAACACTAGCCTCATCTCTCTCAAGTAATAACAGACGCTAGCATCTCTGCCTCACTTGTACTTCATACAGTGCAAATGTCACTTTCCACCCCTACCCTCATCCCCACCCCACCCACACCACACATTAAAGTACTACATATCTTCAAGTGATGCAGGCTCAAATAATTCCAGAAAAAGATTTCTTGGCCACGCACAGTGGCTCACGCCTGTAATCCCTACACTTTGGGAGGCCAAGGCAGGCAGATTACTTGAGGTCAGGAGTTCAAGATCAGTCTGGCCAACATGGAGAAACCCCATCTCTACTAAAAATATTTTAAAAAATAGCCAGGCACAATGGCATGCACCTGTAGCCCAGCTACTCAGAAGGCTGAGGCAAGAGAATAGCCTGAACCTTGGAGGTGGAGGCTAGAGTGAGCCGAGATTGCGCCACTGCACTCCAGCCTGGGTGACCCAGCGAGACTCCATCTCAAAAACAAAGATTTCTTGAATCACTTCCCGACCAAACAGGAGGCCCTTGCGCCTTTCAACCTCTAATACACACATTTCTCCACAATACAAGAAGACCATAGGCTGGCTTGTTACAGGATCTTTATTGGCTTATCTTGCCCCTCATGCATCTATAAGCAACAAAGTATCATAAAATTAATATTCTTTAATTGAATCTCATCAATAACTCAAACTTTGTTCCTTCTGAAACTGCATCTTGCTCAATTTGGACATGTGATCCAAACTCAGCTTATCTAAAGCAGTTTTCTATTACCTAACATTTCTGATTATTTCATATTTAGATCTTCCCTAATGTACCATTTTGCACATCACTCTTAAATGAGTTTGTTCCCAAAAGCACATCCTTTAACAACTGCCGTGAAATATTTGGCTGGTCCCCATAATAACCAAACCAAAATCCACACCCATTTCTCGTAATATGGGAGTAATCCTTATTTCTGGAAGTTTTGCGTGCCCTTTAGTCTATTGTTCAAAACAAACTTCTAAGACTAAAACCATCGAACATTAAGCCTCTCACTTTATCTGTAAAAAAATTGTATTTCTTGATATTGGTCCCATATTGCTATATTCAGTGTTTCCTTTTTGAAAAAATTCTTTACTGCCCTCCCATCCTATGAGGTCATTTGGTACTGGATCACACTTTTCTCATTTTTTACTAATTCAGTTCTATTTTACTCCAAAGTTTCTTGATTTCCTAAAAGTGAGAACAAGCAATGCCCATACTACACTTTAGCTCTAACTTTGTTTTTCCCACTGGAGAGCTGGTCATCCTTCACTGTAATCAGTCACCACTGTCTGGGAAATATATTCAAGAGAGAAGAAGAGAACCAAGATCATTTGGTAGTTTTACTTCATAGAGGCATGTGTATCATAGTATTAATACTTCAAAGACAGAAACAACACAACATGCTACTAACATACCGACTAATAGGATATGAATTCATTACTGGGCAGATTTAAAAATACAAAGCTAGACAAGCTAAGACCTTGCTAATTATTAATAAATAGCAAAGAAATCTCCTTTATAAATGCAGGCAACCTTTTCCAATTTAGTTGTCCAATTTGGCTCTTTCCAAAAACACCTAGCTATGGTCTGGACCTCTGGTCTTTCTTTCATTTTAGGGCACATATTTATCTTCTCTGGATAAAATTACACTTTCTCTTTTAAATACGAGAGCTCTGCCAGCCTTTAAACTGAGTCTTATAGCAGTGGGGAGTAACAGATAAAGGACTGGAAGGTAACATGGACAATCTGGATTCTATTCCTGTCAATGAAACACCATAACAGTTGGGATGGGCCACTTAACTTGGATTTAAATTCAACCCTTTCCAGACTGTAGAAAAATATTTAATGTTGACTTAATACAGTAATAAGTTACCTTATTTAACATGAGATTTTTTAAGTACAGCGTATCTATGCATATCACCAAATGGCCATATAATTATGAATATACCCACAAAAATAGAAACTGTTATTCAAAATCATAAATACATGACGATTAAAGATAAGCATATTGAAAAGCAAAAAGAAAGAAATAGTACCTATATACTCTTTATCCTTTCGTTCCTCAATAGATCTTATTAGAAAGTAAAGAACTGAGAGAGTAGGAAAGGAGTTAAGTATATTCTAGGATATAAAATATAACCTAAATTATGATAGTGCCATATCCTAGAAAATCGAATGTCATTCAAATTAATCTCAGTGATGTTTTCAGAGACTCTAAATACCCAAAGCCTGTGTTTAGTTCAAATAGCCACAAGGATGGGCCATTCATACATATTTCAAAATATTCCCCTCATTTGGTCAGAAGTACGATAATACAAATAAAAGTAGCATGATATTCAGGGGGACTCTAGCTATGGTCATAATTCCTCTATGGCCTATTTTACTTTGCTAAATTCTGCAGACAGTTTAACTTTATCAACTGACATTCCCCCACCAGGAATTACAAGCTGCAAAAACCAGCGTTTGGTTTGACCAGCAAAGTGTAGTTTGGTGTTACACATTTTTTTTTAAAATATCTTACAATGGAACACACATGGCCAGTCAGCCCCACTCTCTTCTACTTGTCTACCTCTCTAGACCTGTCTCACACATTTAGGCTGCCTACCTGCCTGGCACCCCTGGCTTCTGAGTTTGAAACCACTGTCCTGCAGAAAACCTACGGTGCAACCAAACTCATCCATTTGCAGGCCTCTGAACCCAGGACTTTTATCTTTCTTTCTACCCAGACATATAAGTCTGACCCTTTATCCAACATCCAGCTTAAATTCCTCCAATTCCATTAAGACTGCCATGTGAAACTTAGCAGAGCTTAGAGTGATTTCTCCATCCAGTTAATTCCTGTGGCTCTCACTGATGATTTTGTTCTTCTAACACATACCAAATGGCATGATTTCTTTTTATTGTTTAATTCCTTCGGATCAAATACATAAAGGGCAGGGACTAGGTGCCATATCCTCTATTCATTCTCTAAGATCTATTTAAAAGCCTGTACATAAATAGCATTCAATAAATGTTTGCTGGTGATAATGTTGAGGCCAAAGGTTAAAAAAAAAAGGACTGGAAAAGAAAAATTAAAGACTGCAAGAAGCCATGACTTCTGGTGGAAAAAACACCAATCAAAGCCCATGCACTTCTCCAAATGACTAGCTGGTAGTTCCTCAAGCTACACAAACTGATGAAGCAGTGAAAATAGAGCACTGCCTGTTTCTTGGGCTAATAATCCAAAAAGGATATTTTACAAACCTCAACACTTCTTCACAGAAAAGACAACAATGCTTACAAAATAAAAATGCTCTTAGCACAGCCAAAAAAAGGCACAATCACAAGCTTCATAAACTTGTCTGAGCTCACAAGGCAATTCATATTTCCATTCTGTAAGTCCCCTAGCCCCCCTGGAAAATCACACATCCAAAATAAACATGTGCTACAAAATAGATAGGAATTCTTGTGATGAGGGTCCATTCCTTTTCTTGGCGGTGTGGGGAAGACATGGTCTAGAAGTTCATTTGTAAACAGGCAGTTTTACCTGCATTAACAGGAAAGGCACTTGGTCAAGTTTCTCTAGATGAGCACGCCCCCTTGTGGGCACTTCCTGACTCACCTCTTTGGAATGGCCAGTGGAGATTGTGGGCTGTTTCAAGCTATTATTTTTCAACATTCATTTCCCTCCCTTACTTACATATTATCTTACATCTCTATAATGTTGAGTGAGCATAATAATATTATTTGGTAATACTTCAGATAACCTATCCCTTTTATTTCCCCAAATACAAGCTTATTGTTAAAACAAGCTTAGTTTTTAGACTAATGCATGTTTGAAGCCCTTAAATAAAAGATTTTAAACCTATTGGAAGACTGCAAAATTTACTATTAAGAGGAAATATCATTATATGGGTTTTCTCTTTCAAAATTAATATTCAAATCATCAGCTGTAGATGCTTAAATTAGTAATGTCAACTGAGTAAAGGCACTATTTCTAGAGACTGTGATAAGGATAAAGTAACAAAATGCTCACGCTTCTATGGACATACACAAACAAAATAACCACATACACCAACCTCAAAATGGCAAATGTGTAAAGCAGATAATTCAATTCAATTAACACTTATTAAGTACCTGTCATCTGTGCCAACTAGAAGAAAGAAATTTGATCTGCATGGCATTGGAGCTAGCTCATAAAGGAAGAGTTGAATTAGAATTTTCAGGAAGCAAAGAAGTAGTTAATATTCCATTATTAATTACTGCTTATCCCATTAAGGGAAGGAATATGAACAAAAACTTGGATTTGAGAACTCTCAGCAAATAAAACTGAAAAGAGAAATATATTTGGTGAGAAAAAAAGGTAATTCCAGAAGGAAGATAATGGAAAAGTAGCTTGTAGCTAGGTTTCAAGAGGGTTTATAAAATTCAGCTTAAAAGTTTGGGTTTTAACCCACAGACAGTAAAGATTCTATTAAAGTTTCTTCCAGGAGAGAGACAAAACCAATGCAGGTATTTTTAGGGAAATGTATCTTCTGATAGCACACAGAATTAAAACGGAATAGAGCAGGACTAGAGGCAAAGAAGCCAGGCATGAAGATACTGCAACAGTCCAGCCACTGAGGGTGAAAAGACAAAGGCTCACTGGTAGTATGTCTACTAAAAAGAAACAAGAAAAAAAAAAGTAGTGCATGTATTCATTAAATGTTTATTGAGCATTTATTATATGTCAAGCTGAGAAACCATGGTAAATAAGACATACAATAGCTGTCCTCCTGGAACCTCATTCTACTGGAAGATAAAGACATCAAATAACCACACTAATAATGACAGAGAGACAATTGGAGCAGCACAATAGCTTAAAGAGAGAGAAGAAGGAAGGAGACAGGCAACATTCCCTGGATCTGGAATCACAGGTGTGAAGACCTTGACACAGGAAGAATCTTGACAATGTGACCCGGAGTGAGATGGCAAAAGATTGGAAAGACAGACAGCCATGTCTGCTCCCATAGGGTCCTGGGGACTCTGTTGGGGAGCCTATACTTTATTCTTAAGAGCAGCTGGAAGTGAGTTAAGGGTTCAAGCAGGAGCATGACAAAATCAAACTGTACTTTTAGAAAACTTCAAGAATGCTGGGCAGAGAAATGACTGAAAGGGCAGGGCAGTTGTGGGCAGATAGGTAGGAAGCTAGTGCAATCATCCAGGAGAGTGAGTGGAGCATGATTCTAAACATGCTGAGTTAGACTGTGATGGGTCAAACAAGTGAAAATGTGTAATAGGCAGGAGAAAACAGGCAACTGGAACAGGTTGGGACATAAAAAAAAGGAAATGGAAAAATACATATAGATTCATCCATTCAAATAAACCTTCATTAAATAGCTGCTAATGTGTCAGGTCCTCTGCTGGGCAGGGGAAAATAAAGAGCAAGGAGCCTGACTTGAGAGAACTGGCTGCCTGGTGAAGGTTTGACTGTGAACAATGAAAGTGACCCTGAGGCAAATCCTGGAAGCAAAGAGGAAGAGCTGCAACTCCAAGAAGGGAGTTCTAGACTACCTGGAGGAAAACTAAATGAGTGATGCTGGACATGAAGTCATTAACTGAATTCAATCATATAATCCCAGTTCATCTAAAATGTTCCATGTTTATTTATGCAATGGGTGCTTTTCTAAGCCCACTGTGACATATTAGGAAGAACAAGCAATGATCTCAAATACCGGCCCAATAGCTTACCCATTCCTGCAGATTATGATTCGGTATGTTTAAAGCAGAACCTAAGAATCTGTAGTTTTAAAAGTCCCCAGATGAATCTAATGATCAGCCAGGTTTAGGATCCACTAGAATAAAGAATTCCTTAATAAGAGAATCAAGGAAGTTTGGACATACTCCATGTTGACAATGAATATGTATTAAGAGTATTACACCAAGCTAAAAAAGACCATGGTAATTACCTAGTTCAACATGCTGACTTAACTGCTGAGGAAACTAAAGTCTAGAGAGGTTCCATGTTTGCCCAAAGTCTCTGGACTGGCTTATAATAGATCTAGATACAACTCTTGACCCTTTATACACTGTCTCTCACCTTACCCTATTCCCTCCACTCCTCAAGTAATTCCAGTCTCAAGTCTTGAATTTCAAATAGTTCCTGGGACCCGACTATGTATTTAAAATATTCTAAGCTGATTAGAGAAGACACAGCTGAACCAAGGCTTTAAAAAGTTACAGATAATTTTCCATCAACCTAATTAAGCACTGGTTATTTCTTGTCTTGTGATCTTAAAATACCCTTGTACTTGTAATAGGTGTGTGTGTGTGTGTATGTGTGTGTGTGTACACACACATTTGGTTTTTTTAATGCACTCATTTATTCTGCTGTCTTATTAGCTATACATGTGTCAGCATCACCATGTCTATGATAGGGCAAATCAGGTCATTGGTGTATGGTGATAGCATATGATATCACATGGAGACATATTTAAACTTGGAATGTGATGTTCTTAACACCAGCATCTAAGCCAATTTCCAGATATGAAGGCTTCTATCTGTAGTCCCAGTGAGATTCCATTCACTGGAGATATTTCCTGATAGGAAAGCTACAAGGTGGTGACTTGATATTATACACAAGATCAGCTGGGACTATTCCAATGATAACATTAAGAAATGTTCCTTTTTTCCCTCTCCATTGATTCCGTTAAATACTACAAATTTTAAGTCTCTACAGAGCTATTAAATACTCAAAATTTAGGAAGAATTTACAAGGCCGACAATATCTGATGTCAACTTATAACAAATATTCTGACAAACCACAGGTTACTTCCGTTACAAAACAAAAACAGTAGTTAAGATTTCTTAACATTGCCTTCTTGCCTCAATTTCATCTTACTTATAACTTTAAGACTTCATATAGATTTAAGGTATAGCTTGGTGTGGATTTAAGGACGACCTGGGAAGAAACTCAATCTCCTAGGTATTGAATCTTTATATGCTAAGTTAGAAGCTTTTCCTAAATATGGAATATATACACATACACACACACACACACACACACACACACACACACACACAGAGACACTGCAATTGTCCAGTCATCAAAGGTCGAAAGTTTTAGACTCAGATATTGATGATTGGCATAAAGTACTATAAGCTATAAACATTTAGAAGATCCTCATATACTGAAAACAAATGCCAATCATCAGGCTTTATAACCTAAATAAATGTATGGGATGGGGGTGATCCAATAAGACATTAATTAAGTTACTGACCTATCTACTGATTTACATGTAAAATCTGTAGGCTCATCCAGTAATCAAGATAGTCTTATGTGAGGCAAATGTAATTTTCAGTATATTACCTACAACTAAAAAAAAAATTTCAAATACCAGACAATCATTTCACAGAATGAGTTTTCGGTTTTATTTTTAAAAAATACATAAAGTAATCTCTTTATGTAAAAGATAAGTCAAAGAAGTTTCCTACTTTGGTTTACTCATATATTCATATACTAATCAACTTCTTGAGCAATATGACAAAACTCCAGACCATGCAAAGTCAATTTCTAGAGAAGACTAATTACTCCTTTTCCTGCACTCTTAATACTCTAAGAGTCCCTTCCAGTCACATCCAGGGCTGGCTGTTTGAAACTTATATTTATGGAATCTAGATTATGCCATGCATTCACTCAGTTTGTTTTTCCAGTGTCAGGGTCTCCTCTTCTGGCAAGCACAGACAAGTACAAATGGAACAATCTGAGGAAAACATGTTGTTTTTTGTGCATTTATTTTCTTTGATCTTAGCCTACCTCTCACCCAAAAACTACAATGATTTAGTATGATACAGTTAAGCATTTACATAATAATTTCAAGATGGTGGATAAAAGGGAAAAATGTTACCCACAATATACTTCAAAAGAATAGAATATATTTATATGAAGGGTACAAAGCAAGGCCCAACATTTCCTTTCTGAAACATGTGGCCAATTTGATGTCCCTATGTGGTGGCTAAAGAATACAAAATTAAAAGTTGTAGCATCTCTTTAGAGTGGTTTTGAACACACAACATTGTATGAAAGCACCAAAATCATTGCAAAATTTTTTAACTTGTTTATTAAAAATCAAAGAAGGAAAGATATTCATTCACACAATGGAAAATGTCTGATTAACTTTCATTTCACTATCCCATGTAAGTACTGCTTTACCTAAACACCAATGAAATTAATTAAAAACTTAAATTACTTTGTAAAAGTCATGGGAGGAGGCAAATAATTATGTACATTCAACTGTAAAATCTGTTATTAAAGAAAAAGAGATGGAAACTATTTCAACAATATGCTTGTGAAAAATGAAGAGAAAGGAAAAAAAAGGCTTGAAACATCAAAAATGTTGAGATCAAACAATACCCCCAACCTCTTTTAATACTCTAAGAGTCCCTTCCAGTCATATCCAGGGCTGGCTGTTTGAAACTGATATTTATGAAATCTAGATTATGCCATGCATTCAATCAGTTTGTTTTCCCAATACGAGGGTCTCCTCTTTTAGCAAGTAACTCTCAGTCATGTAGCAACCCAGTCAGTCCTGTAGCATAAGCCAAGTACAGCAATTGGCCAATGAGTTAATGAGTTAAACACTTCATTCCAAAAGTAAGGTTTCCTCTTCCAAATAGGATAAAGATTAGTAAACAATACAACCACTTTTTTCTTGTGTCAAAACAAAGCAAACAATAAATTTAAAACAGGTAATCACTTCATCACATACACCACATGAACTTACTGATAAGTATTCCAACAATGAGAGGCCATGGCAATTTTGTAAGGGGAGATCCAGATGTCCATTTGCAGAAATTATGGAAGATACAGGAACATGCTGAACTTTACTGTGTGTATACAATGAGCAAAACTCAGATTGAAGGAAACATCACAGGACAAACAGTCCAGGTTATTTGACAGAAAAATAGTCCTTGCTTTGCCTAATATACATAAATTTCAATTACCAGAGTTTATTTAAATCACACCAGTCCCTCGACAACATGGTTCAAATTTCAATTACCATGGTATTATTAACTCTGAGTAACTGCATGAAATATAAACTCCCCCGCCATCTCCTTGGTTCACAAACCACTGCAAACATCAGTGATGCACATCACGATCAGTGACCAATCATGACATTCTTTGAAAGTCTGTCAGTGATGTGTCACTGTGCAAAGACAGCAGGTGGAAACGTTGCCTCTCTGTCTCTAAGTGATGAATTTACAGAAGAAAGTCAAGGAAAAACAAAAACAAAACAAAACAAAAGTGATAATGCTGGAAGTGAAATTCAAATGAAAGATAAATGAAGTTATACGAGAAATAAGTGACCACGGGCATGTCTGACACTGCTGCCATTAAGGCTCTAGATATACAGACAGAGGAACTTACTAAAGAGGATCTTATCAAGGAGTGGAGTTGGGACAAAAAGGATGAAGATGTCCCAGAGGAAGTGACATTGGCAAAAATTTCACACTAAAGGAAGACTGGCAGCTATGTGGTGACACTGAAAGAGCAAAAGGTAGAATGTTGAAAGCTGATCCAAAATTAGAAAGGAGTATGAAAATTCACCACCACATAGAAAAGATGTTCATATGACATCATAAGTTACATGCTGAGGAGGCAAGTACTGTTCAAATTATAAATTTTTATCCTAAATAAAACACTGTTAATGTTTCTAAATGCTTTAGTGTACTAAGTAAATATTGGTTTTACTTTTTTCTGTTTCCATACACATTTATAACCAACAGTAAAAGAGATTTCTGGGTTTTTCTTTCTGTTTTTCTTCTTTCCTCTTTTTGAGACAGAGTCGGGGAGACAGAGTCTCACTCTGTTGCCCAGGCTGGAGTGCAGTAGCATGATTATGGCTCACTGTAACCTCAAACTCCTGGGCTCAAGCTATCCTCCCACCTCAGCATCCTGAGTAACGGGGACTACAGGTGCATGCCACCATGCCCAGCCAGTTTTTCTTTTGTATTTACATATAGAGAGACAGGGTCTTGCTATGTTATCCAGGCTGGTCTCGAAACTCCTAGCCTCAAGTGATCCTCTTGCCTCGGCCTCCCAAAGCACTGGGATGACAGGTGTGAGTCACTGTACTCCACCAAGAGTTTTTAACGTTTTGACAAAAATATTTAAAGGTCATGGAACAAGCTAAATTTACACCATTAAGCCCACTCTGCATGGTTTCAGCTTGCATGGTCACTTTATGGTCCAGCCCTACCATGCAAAGTATGGACTGTCTGTATACCATAAAAATAAGAAAGAGATAAAAGAAAAATCCAGAAGAGACAGGTCTACCCAGAGAGTGAAGTAGAACAGAACTTAAGGACTACTATTTTTATTTCACAATATAATACTACAGCTAAATAGTCATCTTTTTCTTCTCCATCATGTCTTCCCTCTAAATAACAAAAAAATAAGCAAGGATGAAACAAAGATGCCAATTACCAAGAATGGATAATTACTAAGAATTTATGTTCCTCATTTTAAAGTATTTTATCTTAAAATCTATACATCCTAAAAGCAGAGATAAAATATGCTTTTATTCAATTTATGTATAGACTAGCTATTTAGCTCAATATTACTTTGTATTAACAAGGGATATGTTAATTGTGGGGAAGGAGATTATAAAAACTTATCTCCATTAATGCTATACACTGTAAACGACCTACCAAATAGCCACTACCATTGACAATAAAACTGCTATTTTGTTTGGGAAGACAATGTGTCTATCCTCAAGCCATGAACTATGAGATGGTAATTATGACAACTCACCCAATTTCCTAGGCTCCTTTGCAGCTGGAAATAGCCATGTGACTGAATTGTGCCCCTTCTCAACTACTAAGGAGAAGTTTATTGAGGGAGATTCCAGAAAAATTTTGAATCCCAGATAAAAAAGGAAAATACATCTGGCACTTCTCCCTCTTTGCCATCCTGCCTTACTCTCACTTTGAATGCAGATGTGACATCTAAAATTTCAGGAGCCATATCACATCCATGAGGCAAAGGTATAAGAAAAAGGCCCAAGAGAATACCAGATATGTTAGCCCTAGCATCATCAGAAACCTAAACTAATGCCAGCAACCAACCACCTCCAAACTTATTACTATGTGGCTACGGGCCAGAGAGCAAGGGGACAAATATGCATTTCTTAAACCACAGTCAGGTTTTCCATTGTTTGCAGCCAAAAGCATTCCATGGATTAATAATTCTTACTTTAAACTAATCAAATGTAAGTATAAACGGTCAAAGACTAAAGAAAACAAGAGCGCTCTAATTTATAGAGGTAGAATACCAAGCAGAATAAAGTCTTCTGGCTTTAATTTGTATTTCTACTTGTACTGTGATAATGTTTGTATAATCGATTACTTTAAAAGAAAAAAAATCAATGCAATAAAAAAATCCCAAATTTATCTAGTTTTTTTTTCACACTTTAAATTACAGGCATAACTTGGAAATAGTGCAGGTTTCGTTCCAGACCACCACAATAGAGCAAATATTACAATAAAGTGAGTCAAATAAATATTTTGGTTTCCGAGTGCACATAAAAGTTATGTTTACACTTTACTGTAGTCTATTAAGTGTATAATAGCATTATGTTTAAAAAAATATGCATACCTTAACTTTAAAATAATTTATTGCTAAAAAATGTTACTCATCTGAACCTTCAGCAAGCAATTCATAATCTTTTGGCTGGTGAAGGGCCTTGCCTCAATGTTGATGGCTGCTGACTAATCAGGGTGGCAGTTGCTCATACATGAGATGGCTGTGGCAACTTCTTAAAACAAACTAATAAGGAAGTTTATCACATTGAATGACCCTTCCTTTCACCAAAGATTTCTCTGTAGTACATGATGTTACTTGACAGCATTTTACCCACAGAACTTCTTTCAAAACTGGATTCAACTCTCAAACCCTGCCGTTGCTTTATTAATAAGCTCACCTAATATTTTAAATCCTGGCTGGGCACGGTGGCTCATGCCTGTAATCCCAGCACTTTGGGAGACCAAGGTGGGTGGATCACCTGAGGTCAGGAGTTCCAGACCAGCCTGGCCAACATGGTGAAACCCCATCTCTACTAAAAATACAAAAATTAGCCAGGCGTGGTGGCGGGCGCCTGTAGTCTCAGCTGCTCAGGAGGCTGAGGCAGGAGAATTGCTTGAACCTGTGAGGCGGAGGTTGCAGTGAGCCAAGATCGTGCCACTGCACTCCAGCCTGAGCAACAGATCAAGACTCCCTCTAAAAAAAAAAAAAAAAAAAAAAAATTATAAATCCTTTCTCATTTCAACCATACTTTCAGCATCTTCATCCAGAGTAGATTCCATCTAAATAAATCACTTTTTTTATTTATCCACAAGCAGCAACTCTTCACCTGTAAAGTTCTATCATGAGATTGTAGCAATTCAAGCCACATCTTCAGGCCCTACCTCTAATTCTAGTTCTCTTGCTACTTCCACCACATCCACAGCGACTTCCTCCACTGAAGTCCTGAATCCCTCAAAGTCATCCATGAGGCTTGGAATCCATTTCTTCCAAATGCCTATGAATGTTGATATTTTGACTTTCTCCCATGAATCACGAATATACACAATGGCATCTAGAATAGTGAGTCCTTTCCAGAAGGTTTTCAATTCACCTTGTCCAGATCCATCAGAGGAATCACTATCTATGGCAGCCTTAGCCTTACAAAATGTCTTTCTTAAGCAATAAAGACTTGAAAATCGAAATTACCCCTTGATTCACAGCAAGCATAATGAGGATCTTGGTGGCATATAATTCAAATGAAAGAAACAGAGGCAGATGGTACACCAAAAGGTATTCTATTAGCTTTGGGTGTTTAAGGGGCTATTGGCATCAAGTAATAGGTTTTATGGTGAAAATGGAAAGCATTGGTCAATCTGAGCCCATTAAGTTGGAGATGGGTTAAGAAAGTTACTGATTTCCACTGCCTACTTCTACCACCAGAAAGCCCCATTTCCCCAGCTCTACTCTTTTAGTAAATGGCAAATATCCAACTGCTCAGCTAAAACCCTTAAATCCTCTGCTCAGCTAAAACTCTTAATTCCTCTCTCTTTCTTGCCAATAACTATTGGCATCAATATTGTCTTTCCAGAAACCCTCAAAATATTTTCTGGATATATTCACTTATCGTCATCTCCATCCCTATCACCTACAGTCCAAGGTGCCATAATCTCCAAACTGCAATGACTTTGTAACTAGTCTCCCAACTTCTACTCTTACCTCCCCCTTGGACTGATTATTCACATAGTAGCCCATGGAGAACTTTGCAAAATGTGAATAAGAAAGCACTGTTTCCCTACTTTAAACTCTTCAATGGCTAGCCATTATTCTTGAATAAAATTCAAGAATAAAATAAATAAAATTCTTGAATAAAATTATTGAATAAAATTCAAACTCCTTGCCATGATCTACCAGGTCCTAAAGGAGCTAGCCCATACCAACTGCTCCAGCTTCATCTCATACTATTCTCCCCTTGCTCACTGATTTGGCACACTGACTCTCTCTCTCCATTCCTGTAATGTGCCAAACTCCCACAGGGCCTCTGCACATGCAGCTCATTCTGCCTGGAACACTCTTCCACTGAGTCTTCATAAAAGCCACTCATTTTTTAGATGTCACCTCAAATGTTATCTCCTCATAGGGGTCTCCGTTGACCATCCTATTTAACAAAGTCTTCATTCAGACTCTCACATCCAAGTTACTCTATATCACATCATTTTGTTCTTCTTTTTTTCCTTCATAACAGTTACAAGAATAACTATCTTAATTATATGCTAATATGTCTCTTTCTCCTAAAATGTAAGGTCTCATTAGAGCATGAGCTTCCTCCATCTTGTTCACCATTATTTTCTTACTACCCAGTTCAGTCCCATTTCCTGAATGGAAAACTGAACTACTTGAGTAATTCCAGCTGAAGATATTCTCCATGAGATGCAGTGAAACTCCTATATATAAAAATCCTAACCTGATCTCCACAAAAAGAATGGTATGAGAATTTCACAGCAGCTTTATTCGTAATAGTAAAAAACTGGAAAAAAAATCAAATGTCCATCAACAGGAAAACGGATAAACAAATTAATGTGTATTTATATTAGGAAATATTAATCAGTAATAAAAAAGAATAAATCGGTGATACAATGTCTAATAAAAGCTTTCTGTGAAAGAAGCCAAACAGAAAAGAGTACATTCTGTATGATTCCATTTATATAACGTTCAGAGCAAGAAAAAGCATTTACTGTAATAAAAATCAGGACAGTGGCTGCCTTTAAGTTGGAGACTAACTGGAAAGCAGCATGAAAGAACTGGAAATATTCTATATCTTGATAGGTGTATGGTTTACATGGGCATATATGTTTATAAAAACTGATTAAATCATTTACTCTATGCAAATTTTATTACGATGTTTTTGGTTTTTTTTTTTTTTTTTTTTTTTTTTGAGACAGGGTCTCACTCCATCACCCAGGCTAGAGCACAGTGACATGATCACGGCTCACTGCAGCCTTGACACCCCAGACTCAGGTGATTCTCCTACCTCAGCCTCCCGAGTAGCTGAGAGTACAGGTATGCACCACCATATCCAGCTAAATTTTTGTACAGATGGGGTTTTCCTTGTTGCCCATGATGGTCTCAACTCCTGAGCTCTAGTAATCCACCCACCTCAGCCTCCCAAAGTACTGTGATTTACAGGCATGAGCCACTGCACCTGGCCTATCATGAATTTTTAAAAAGGCAAAAAAGTCCTAAATTCATTCACCCACACATCACATCCGATGCAGAAACCCAAGAAATAGACTATCCACCATCATATCAAGATCTACTTATTAATTTGTTCATCTGCCTTCTAAATTCTTATCCTTTGCCGGCAGAAAATTAAAAAGGTTTGTACCAAACTGATTATCTCGTGGCAACACACCAAGAAAATATCTATCACTACAAAAGATGATGTATTGTGCATTCATACATAGGTAAACCATATAAAACTATGACACAAAGGACAAAACAGTATCTAAGCCATTACAGAAGAACTAAACAATAAAGAATATTGATGAATGCTAAGGTACATCACATGACTATGTGACCTGGGACACCCATCATGAGCTGTATGCTAAGAAACCCCTAAGCCACAGGCTGAGCAAGAATGTTGTAGTTTTCAATTTCTTTCTATCCCTAAAAACGCCTGAATACAATATGTATATTTTCTTATACTTACACTCTACTCCCTAAACAGTCATGTTAAGAATCACTATCAGGAGCTGTAAGAACCAAAACAGTAGCCACGAGCCAAATGTAGCTATTCAGAAATTAAAATGAGTCAAGGACAAATGGAAAGCTGAATTTTTAATTTTATAAAATTTTAATTTTCTAATATATTAAACTATTAGGAAGATTTAAGTATACCTGTAATAACTTGGTATGTAAATTTACTATTTCACAGTAAATTTTTATGAAATATAAATACAGATCAAATATATCTAATAAAAATTTAGTGTTATAATTGAGATGTGGAAAACTCAAACTGGTTCTGAAGACTTAATACTAAAAACGATAATGTAAAATAGCTCATTAATAATTTTTCCCTGATCATATTTCAAAGTTATATTTTAGATCCACTGGTTTAAATAAAATATATTAAAATTAATTTCCCTTGTTTCTTTCTACTTTCTTTTTCTCTTTTATGAGCCTAATATTATGAACATATTTTTAATGTAGCTACTGAAAAACTTTAAAGTACATATGTGACACACATTCTATTTCTACTGAATTGTATCGTCCTAAAGCTTGTATCTAAATGCAGAAGATATATCATCTGATACATTAATTTGAATATTTCAAACACCACCTGACCTTCTCACTTGATTGTCTTCTTTTCTTTAGTTGCATAAAATCTGTGTCCACCCTTTCTGCCAGCTCTAGTTTCCTCTTGTTTCTTTTAAATGCAGCTAAACTGAATCCTATAAAATAAAAATAAAAAACATTAAATATAACATTTAAGAAATATTAGGGCAATGGGTCAAATAAGATATCTGAAGAGCCTTCCCAGAAGAAAATCCTTCAGTATGTTAAATTAAGGGTTTAAAAAGTCTTTTCAATGTATACAGGGATAGTAGGAGAATAAGAGAAATAAATTAAGATTTTAAAATTAAGAAAATGGTCCAACCCAGAGAAACAAAGGAGTCCTGAAGGCAGATACTACCCTCAGGGCATCTGTTGATGCAAGCCTCCTCCAACTGTCGTTTTAAAGGTCTCTGCGCAAAGGAGGTAAGAGACGAAACTTGGGCACAATGCAGTATGAGAAAACACACTGGAGATTATCCACAAAGAAAGGAGAAAGTCTCAATGGTTGATATTCCCAGTGAATGGGCAAATGAGAAAAAAGCCACCAGGCACCAAAAAATAATAAAAAGTAAATAAAACATTTTTTAAACCAGAAAACTTGCAAATCTCAGCTTTGGTTCTAGATGTAAAGAGGAAACATCTCCCTAGAAATTTCAGGACTAATGCGGGCATTTAGATAGACCTCGAGTAGAATTCTTATTACCTGTGAGATCCCAGGGTAAAAAAGTGATCAACAGTGCTTCAAAGGGCCTCCAAACACAAATGCAAATACTCCCCAGAAAAACAAACTGGCCTTAACTTACCCAGACCTCAAAGAACTCCCATGTTTCAATCAACATGTGCTCATAGTTTTAAAAGGAAAATTCATAAAACACATAAGAGATAAACTACCAAGAATAAAAGCCAGCCGAATATCAGAAAGCATAACCTGACCTGCAAAAATCTCAGATACTGGAATAATCAGATACAGAATATAACACACGTTTATGCTCAGAGAAAGAAAAGAAAGACATCAAAAACAGGATTAAGCAGCAAGATGATAAACTGACTAGGCTGAATTGAAGAACAAATAGAGCTTCAATCAATCAATAAAATAATCAAAATTTTAAAACTTGATATACAAATTTTAACAGCCAATTAGATCCAGCTGATAAGAGAAATTACAAACTGGAACATAACACTGACAAAGTTATTGAAGTTTTCTGATAATGGCAGACTAAGTTATTCAGAGTAATTATCCACAGAATATTCCTAAAAACATTGGGTAAAATATTTAAAATACCACCTTAAAAGCATTCAAAACCTTACAAGCACTAAGCTAAATTCTTGGGTAAACTGAGGACTAAAGGTATTATTGCACTGTGAACATTTGCCAACACTAGCACACTTGCATTCGACTAAATGGCATCAAGGAGAGGGATACGTCAAGCCCAAAGCCCATTAAGAGTACAGAGTTTTATAGGAGACATTCCCCACAATAAACTGGGAATTTAAAGGGCTAATTCTCTTAGAGTAAAGCTAATCCATAACTGAGTCCATTACTCCCTCTATCTCAAAAGCAAATGCATGCAGGCAATATTGTCCCAGATTACAGCAGAGCATGAGACCGACAGAAGGTGGGGGGAAAAAACAGGGAGAAGGTAGAGAAAAAGAAAGAACAAAGTATTCGAAAGAGGTGGGGAAAGAAAACTATCTCTGAGAAACTTTTGGTCTCATGGGGCCCTTGCATAGATTTACAAATATACACACTGTACAGTCCCAGAAGGAAAAGAAAGAGAGAAAGAGAAGATGGTTACTTGAAGAAATAATAGCTGAAAACTTGCCAAATTTGATGAAAGATATGAACACCCAAGATATAAACACCCAAGAAGCTCAAGGAACTCCAAGTAGGAAAACTGAGAGATCCATACCAAGGCACATTATAATCAAATTGTCAAAGGCCAAAGACAAAGAGAGAATCTTGAAAAGCAGATTATCACCTACTAGGGATCCCCAATAATATTATAAGCAGATTTCTCATCAGAAACTTTGGAAGCCAGAAACAGTGGGTTGATATATTCAAAGTGCTGAAACAACAAAAGCATCAACCAAGAACCCTGGAAGTGGCCAAACGATCCTTCAAAAATGAGGGGCAAATTAAAATACTCTCAGGTAAACAAAAACTGAGATAGTTCATTTTTACTGGACCTACCCTGCAAGAAATGCTGAAGGAAATCCTTCCGGTTAAAATGAAAGAACCTTAGACAGAACTCAAACCTGTAAATAAATAATGATCTCTGATAAAGATAAGTACATGGACAACTGTAAAAGCTAGTCTTACTGTAATTTTGGTTTCTAACTATGCTTTTTGTTTTCCACGTGATTTTATTTTATTTATTTATTTTTGAGACAGAGTCTCCCTCTGTCGCCCAAGCTGGAGTACAGTGGCACAATCTGGACTCACTACAACCCCTGCCTCCCAGGTTCAAGCAATTCACTTGCCTCGGCCTCCCAAGTAGCGGGGATTACAGGCACGTGCCACCACGCCTGGCTAATTTTTTGTATTTTTAGTAAAGACAGGGTTTCACCATGTCGGCCAGACTCGTCTCAAACTCCTGAGCTCAGGTGATTCGCCCGCATCAGCCTCCCAAAGTGCTGGAATTACAGGTATGAGCCACCATGCCTAGCTTATTTTCTACATGATTTAAGAAATTAAAGCATTAAAACACTATCAGTCTGTTTTGAGACAGACAATGGGAAAAGATACAATTTTGCAAAAGAGGGTTGAGACAGAGCTGTATAAGAACAGAATTTTTATTTGTTATTGAAGTTAAGCTGGTCTAAATTCAAATTAGAGTGTTATAATTTTAGAATGTTAAATGTAATCCCCATTGTAACCACAAAAAAAAATAGCAAGACAATATACACAAAAGAAAATGAAAAGAGAACACAATAAACCAAGTAGATCTAAAAGATATAAACAGAACACTATATTCGACAACAGAATTCACATTCTTCTCAAGTTCACTTGGGACATTTTTCCAAAATGTCCCATTTGTGTGTGAGCACAAATCAAATCTCAATAGATTGTAAAAGATAGGTATTGTACAATGTATCTTCTCCAACTACAACAGGATGGAGTTAGAAATCAATGGTAGAAGAAAACTGGAAAATGCACAAATTGTGAAAACTAAAATACAGAAAGAAATCACAAAGGAATCAGAAAATCCTCAGATAAGAATAAAAATTAATACACCAAAACTTACAAAGTACATCAAAAGCCTTATGAAGGGAAAATTTTATGGCTATAAACACATTAAAAAATAAGAAAGATTTCAAACAACAACCTAGCTTTAAAACTTAAGGGACTAGTAAAAGAAGAATTAAACCCAAAGCTAGCAGAACAAGGGAAATAAAGATCAGAGTGGAGATAAATAAAATAGATAATACCAAAAAAATAGAGAAAAACAAATAAAACCAAAAGTTAGTTCATGGAAAACATTAACAAAATTTAAATCTTTAGCTAGATTAACTAAGAAAAAAAAAGACAAATTACTATAATCAGAAATCAAAGTGGGGACATTACTACTGATTCTTCAAAAATAAAAAGTATTATAGGCCAGGCACAGTGGCTCATGCCTGTAATCCCAGCACTTTGGGAAACCAATGTGGGTGAATCACTTGAATACAGGAGTTCGAGACCAGCCTGGGCAACATGGTGAAACCCTGTCTCTATAAAAAATACAAAAATTAGCCAGGCATGGTGGCATGCACCTGTAGTCCCAGCTACTCCAGCAGCTGAGATGGGAGAATCATCTTAGTCTGGGCAGTCAAGGTTGCAGTGAGCCATGTTTGCGCCACTGCACTCCAGCCTGGTCAAGAGCAAGACCTTGTCTCAAAAAAAAAAAAAAAATTATATCTCTATATACATATATATATGTGTGTGTGTGTGTGTGTGTGTGTGTGTGTGTTGTGTATGTGTATACGTGCGTATGTATGTGTGTGTATATACACATATATACACACACATAGGTGTATATATACACACACATACATACGCACGTATACACATACACAACACACACACACATATATATGTATATAGAGATATAATTTTTTTGAGACAATGTATATATGCATATATATGTACACACACATATAAATAAGAGAGTTCTATGAAAAATTGTGTACCCAAATATTGAATGGCCTAAATGAAATTAACAAAGTCCAATAACACAAAACCTACAAGACTGCATCATGAAGAAATAGAAAATTTAAATTAACCAATAACTAGTAAGGAGATTGAATCAATAATCCAAACTCTCCCGGCAAAAAAAAAATTCCCAGACTTCATGACTTCACTGGAGCATTCTACCAAACATTTAAACAACAAACACCAAAAACATTAACGAAGAGGAAACGCTTCCAAAGTCATTCTATGAGGCCAGCACTATCCTAATACCAAAACCATACAAAGACACCATAAGAAAGCTATCAACCAATACCCCTTATGAACGTTGATGCAAAATTCCTCAACAAAATACTGCCAAACCAAATGCAGCAGCATATTAAAAGGATAATACACTATGACAAAGTGCAATTTATTCCTAAGAAGCAAAGGTCGTTCAACATATGAAAATCAATGTTATACACCAACATTAACAGGATGAAGGGAAAAAGCCATATGATCTTTTTTTTTTTTTTTTTAACAGAGACAGGGCCTCACTATGTTGCCCAGGCTGGTCTTGAACTTCTGGCCTCAAGTGATCCTCCCGCCTCAGCCTCCCAAAGTGCTGGGATTATAGGCAAGAGCCACTCCACCCAGCATGATCATAAATTGATGCACAAATAATCATGTTATAAAATTCAAAATTCTTTCATAGTAAAAACACCAAACCAGAAATAGAAAGAAACTACTTCAACATAAAAAGGCAAAATATGAAAAGCCCACAACTAACATCATATCTATGGTGAAAGACTGAAAGCTTTTCCCCTAAAATCAGAAACATGACAAGGATATGTACTTTTACCACTTCTAGTACTAGAAGTCCAAACCTAATATTAGAAGTACTAGAACTAGAAGTCCTAGAAGTACTGGAAGTCCTAGCCAAGGCAATTAGGCAAGGAAAAGAGGTAAAAGGCATTCAAATTGGAAAGGAGGAAATTATACTTGATCTTATACTTGGAACATCCTAAAGATCTCCAACCCCGTCCCCCAACACAAACACACAAACCCACTAGAACTAATAAATTCAGCAAAGTTGTATGATACAAAATCAACACTCAAAAATCAGTTGCATTTCTATAAATTAACAATGAACAATTTAAAAAGAAATTAAGAAAGCAATCCCATTTACAATAGCATCGAAAAGTATAAAATGCTTAGAAAAAAACTAAAATCAAGGAGGCAAAATACTTGTATGCTGAAAACTACAAAACATTGCTGAAAGAAATTAAAGACGTTAATAATGAAAAGACACCCAGGTTCATGAATTGGAAGCTTTAATATTGTTAAGATGTCAGTACTACTAAAAGCAATCTACAGATTCAGTGTAATCCCTAACAAAATCCCAATAGTGTTTTTTTTTTTTTAAGAAATAGAAATATCAATCCTAAAATTCATGTACAATCTAAAGGGACCCTAAATAATCAAAACAATCTTGGAAACAAAAAAAAAGTTGGAAGTCTCACTTCCTAATTTCAAAACTTACTGCAAAGCTACAGCAATCAAAACAGTATGGAGGCTGGGCGTGGTGGCTCACACCTGTAATCCCAGCACTTTGGAGGCCGAGGCAGGCAAATCATTTGAAGTCAGGAGTTCAAAACCAGCCTGGCCAGCATGGTGAAACCTCATCTCTACTAAAAATACAAAAAAAAAATTAGCCGGGTGTGGTGGTGGGCACTTGTAATCCCAACTACACAGGAGGCTGTGGCAGGAGAATTGTTTGAGCCCGGGAAGCGGAGGTTGCAGTGAGCAGAGGATCGCACCATTGCACTCCAGCCTGGGCAACAGAGTAAGACTCCATCTCAAAAAAAAAAAAAAAAAAATATGGAAATGGCATAAAGGCCATTACACAGAAAAATGCAATAGATTAAAGAGTTCAAAAATAAACTCTCACATATATGGTCAACGATTTGACGAGGGTACTAGCACCATTCAATAGGGAAACAACAGTCTTCAACAAACTGTGTTTGAAAGATTAGACAACCACATGCAAAGGAATGTAGTTAGACCCCCACTTTATACCATATAAAAAAATTAATTCAAAATGGATCAAAGACCTAAGTGTAAGAGCTAAAACTATAAATCTCTTAGAAAACAACATAGGGGAAAGGTTGGATATAACACCAAAACACAGACAATAAAAGAAAAAAATAGATAAAAATTTAAAAGACACAATGGAGTGAAAGACACAATCAATGGAGTGAAAAGGCAACTCGTGGAATGGGATAAGATATTTGCAAGTCATATCGGATAAGTGTTAACATCCAGAACATATGAAGAATTCCTATATCTCAACAAGAAAAACCCTGATTGAAAAATAGGCAAAGGACTAGGATATATATTTCTCTAAGAAAGATATAAAAATGGCCAATAAGCACATAAAAAGACACTTTAACAGCATAATCATTATGGAAATGCAAATCAAAATCACAATGAAATACCAACTCACAGCCATTAGGATGCCAACTATTTTTTAAAAAGTAAAGGAAAGAACAAGTATTGGTAAGGGTATGGAGAAACTGGAACCCTGGTGCACTGTTGATAGAACATGAAATGGTGCAGCCACTATGGAAAACAGACAATATGGTGGCTTCTCAGAAAATAAAAATAGAATAACCATGTGATCCAGCAATTCCATTTCGGGGTACCCAAAAAAAATGGACAGCAGGGACTCAAACAGATATTTGCATAGCCATGTTCACAGTAGCATTATGCATGACAACCAAAAGGTAGTGTAACCCACGTATTCATCAGTGGATGAGTAGATAAACAAAATGTGGTATATACATACAATGAAACACTATTCAGCCTTAAAAAGAAATTCTGACACATGCTACAACATGGATGAACCTTGAAGAAGTCATGCTAAGTGAAATAAGCCAATTACAAAAGGACAAGTACTCTATGATTCCACTTATAAAAGCAGAATTCATAGAGACAAAAATGAACTAGCCAGGGACTAAATGGAAGGCACATGGGGAGTTACTGCTTAATGGGTACAGCTTTGGTGTTACGAGATGAAGAGGGTTCTATAGTTGATGGTACTGTTAGTTCCATAACAATAAGAAAATATTTAAAGCTACTGAACTATACCATTAAAAATATTTAAGATGGTAAATTTTATGTTATGTGTATTTTACCATAATTTTAAAAAGAACTACAAAAAAAGTACAAGAATGTTTACAGAAGCTTTATTCATAATAGCCAAAAATTGGAAACAACCCAGACATAAATGGGTAAATGGCTAAACAGTAGTAGTACCTCCATACCATGAATACTCAGGAATGAAAAAAAAACAAGCTATTGATAAACACAACCTGGATGTTATCTCCAGAGAGTTATAGTGAGGAAGGAAAAAAAAAAAAGCAAATACCAAAAGGTTACAGTCTGTATGATACCATTTATATTACATTCTTGAAATGACAAAATTATACAAATGTAAAATATATTAGTGGCTATCGGGGTTAAGGTGGGAAAGAAGATAACATCACTGATTATTAGAGAACTGCAAATCAAAACCACAATGAGATACTATCTCACACCAGTCAGAATGGCTATTATTAAAAAGTCAAAAGATAAGACACTGGTGAGGTTGCGGAGAAAAAGTGCTTACACACTGCTGGTGGAAGTGTAAATTAGTTCAGCCATTGTGGAAAGCAGTGTGGTAATTCATCAAAGAGCTAAAAACAGAACTACCATTTGACCTAGCAACCCCGTTACTGAGTATATACCCAAAGGAATACAAGTTGTTCTGTCATAAAGACACATGCATGCATCTGTTCACTGCAGCACTATTCACAACAGCAAATACATGGAATCAACCTAAATGCCCATCAATGGTAGACTGGATAAAGAAAATATGGTACATATACACCATGGAATACTATGCAGCCATAAAAAAGAGTAAGATCATGTCTTTAGCACGAGCATGGATGGAGATGGCCATTATCCTTAGCAAACTAACACAGGAACAAAAAATACCGCATGCTCTCACTTATAAGTGGGAGCCAAATGATGGAAACACATGGACACACAGAGAGGAACAAAAGACAGTGGAGCCTAACTGAGGGTGAAGGGTGGGAGGGGGGAAAAGGATCAGGAAAAATAACTAAAGGGCACTTAGCTTAATACCTGGGTGACTAAATAGTCTGTACAACAAACCCCTGTGACATGAGTTTACCTATATAACAAACCTGTACATGTGCCCCTAAAATTAAAAGTGTTTAAAAAATAGGTATTCGGAAAATAAAATACAGAAAATGTGAAGGAAGAAATTATCCCAAAATTTTCTTTTAATTTCTCCAAATCTGAAGCATATAAATGTCCAGACTTAATGTGCAAAATGAGCACTCAACATAAAGAATTAAAAAAAAAATGCCCCAAGATGCTTCATTGTGATCATCAAAACATGGGAATTAAGAGCTTCCTTCCAAAGAGAAAAAAATACACCACAATATTTGTGAGTCTTGCATAATAATAGCAAGACTGGAAACCAGATGATAAGAGAACAATTTCCTCAAAAACCTAAGGGAAACTGATTTTCAGTCTCGTATGTACTGAATAAGGAATAAAACAAGGAAGAAAAACACATGAGATCCAGGAAACAGAGAACCTGATACTGGAGAGAGGCGAAGGAGATCACAAGGTGAAGCAAGGCACAGTCCAGGATGGCAGCCACACAGCAGACCTAGTAAGACTCGAGACTGGAAGGGGCCAGGTGGCCTGTCTCCAAGGGAAAAAAAGGGAACTGACAGATGACCTAATTTGTTTGCCTGATATAAGGACTGTAAAATAAGTTCCATTGGAAAGACTGTAAGACATAATTAGTGACAGGGATCATGGGAATTTAAAACTCTCATATTTCAGCCCTACTGCTACACACACATTTCTCTTCCCTCTAGCCTCCCTATATTACAACTTTCAGCATTACATGAATATTCATTCTGAATATAATTTTTTTTTAGACACAAGGTCTCGCTCTGTCACACAAACTGGAATACAGTGGTGCAATCATAGCCCACTGCAGCCTCAAACTCCTAAGCTCAAAGGATTCTCCTGCCTCAACCTCCCAAGTAGCTGAGAGTACAGGAGTGCACGACCACACCTGGCTAATTATACCCTATTTAACTAAGTTGGTTTCCTTGGAGTTAATCCTCACTTTTTCATTTGATTATTTAAATTATATTCACAGATTTCAGTGATAAAAATAAAATTTTTATTTAAAAAATAGTGTTTTTAATATTTCTTTCTCATTTTATGCAAATATTTTTAAACAGACATATACACAAACATATACATATTTATAACTTCATTTTTCACTCTTTTAAAGTCATTAGATTCAATCATTATCAGAGATTAGTCTTCATAACAATTTCTAGTTACTTCATAACATTTCATTATAAGAATATATGATCATTTATTTACTCATATTCCTGTGTTGGGTATAAGATTTTTTTCAAAATTTTGTATATTCTTAATAATGCTCACTTGAGCACCCTTCTACATAAATCTTTGTCTATCTCCAGTGACAGGTTCCCAGAAGCAGAACAAGGCTTTTAAAGCTTTTTATCTGTACTACTTAGTTGTCCTCTAAAATCTCTGCCAATTCACATTTATACTTACAATGTACTATGATTATTTAACCAAACACTTACCAGGAGTAATATGTTTTAAATCTTTCAAAAGTTAAAAGGGAACAAATTTAACATGTACTCATTTTAATTTGAATTTGCCTGTCAGTTATGTTATATTATCTACTTAGGACTTTTGATCATTTTTATATTGGGCAATTACTTGTATTTGTGTTGTTTTTAATTTGGTAAATTTCTTCATAGATTAAGGATATTTATCCCTTTGTCATATTTGTGATAACTGTTTTTCAGTTTAACTCTATGTAGTCACACCTTTGTTTTTCCTTCCCTTGCATTTGTATCTAAAAAGTCCTTCCCTCAGCTCAAGGACTGTTAAATATTGACCTATATTTTCTTCTCTCTCTCTCTCTCCATCTCTCTCTCTCATTGAAGGGTGGTATTAATGCTTTATTAGTAGTAATTATTTTAAGTAATCTCTAAAAGGGATCTTTTAGTAATACTTTTATAAAAGCATAAGGAAGCAGTGAGAAGACCTCAGGAATACAAAGGTGGTTTAAAATGAAATAACTTTCTACGTAGCTTTTAACTACAAATCTTTCAACATATAAGTATTCTTCCATAAATATCTGTACTACATGGGTCATAACAGAAGCAATATTATACTTTAGGTATATATGCTCATATAGCTTAATTTTTTTTAAGTTTTTACTCACTTGTGGTCATGATGTTAGGAGGGCAAGAGGGTATTCCATGATCTACTGCCCATCTGTAGGCTCCTTCTCCAACTAAAAAGCTAACAACAGAAAAATTATTTTTAAAATTCACAGTGTCATCTTCTCCTACATATTCAATAAATATAGGTAATATGGTAAGGCAGTTGAGAAAAAGTCTTGCATATGGACATAATTCCAGATTTACCTCAAAGTAGTAAGATGACTGCATGCTAAAAAATTCCTGAAAATTTTTCTCCAAATTAGAAATTTTACAATTGGAATGTTACAATACCATTTGCAATAACTAACTAGTAAAAATTGGCAAACTCAAACATAATAAGATGTAAAAATGGTTGACTTCTCAGTAGAAAACATTAAGATTTATCTTGGACCAACAGGGTTCTCAGTTAATGTCACAAGATTGGTTACTCAAATTAACAGTTTACAATTAAGTGAATGCCTTCAGATTTGGCATTATTACCTAGCAGAATACCTGGATCCATCCAAAATTAGTGGGTACATCTGGAGATGCCCAAATATATATGCTTACATTTCTAAGCCCTGATGCAACGAAAATACATACATAACCTTCAGAATCACTTTTACTGTGGTAAGTACTATGGTATGTCCCAAAAGTAACTTTTAAGTCCTAAATAGCAAGTTTTAATATAACAAAGTGGATAAAAGGATATTGCTAGCTAAATATAAAAGACTTGTTTTCAAAGATTTCAAATAGCATGTAGGATAATTACCCCATTCCCTAAGTAATTTGACTAAGCAAATAGTAATAGCAAGCAGTTACCATAATAATTAATCACTCCATCTTCTTCCATAGCCAACTTCTTAAAGATCTCAGCCAGCTAGTAATGGATTCCTTGAACTTGTGCCTACTTGCTAGTTTTCCACTCCCTATTTTTTTGTTTCTGTTATTTTAATCATTCCAACATTAAAAACTCGAAGTAACACATATTGAAGTCTTAAGATTTGACTGCTAATAAGACCAGTGACAGACTGGCAAAACAAAATCTAAGTAGACCCTCAGAAACATATCCAAATGGTTCCAATGGGAAACCAAATGGTTAATCTCAATAACTGCTTTCTAATATACATAAAGATGGGGATGGAGGGACTATTTTAAATAGAGAGGAGAGAAGGCCAATGAGAATAAACAACTTTACCTCTTCAAAATTCTACTTTAAAAAAAAAATTCTAAAGGATTCTAAGAATAGAAAACAGTTTTTCCTATTCTTGTACGAAATGAAATCCTCTCCAAAGAAAAGCCGTCACATAAACTTCAAATGTTAAGATGACTGAAATAGGAGCTTGGACGCAAATTTGAACTGTCCTGATGGCATTTTTAGCATTTCCTTCTTCTAGGAAAAAAAAACTGATAAAAGAAATAATTCTGTTCATGAGAAGATGTAAAAGAGAAGTTGAAGTAGTAAACTACATGATCAAGACAAAAGTTTGGAGTTAATCTAATATTCTCAGCACTCCCATTGGTCACTTTGGGTTCAATTCCAGTATCTGGAATCAGTGAGGGGCATTTTACAAAATATTCTTAGCTTTATTTTATATATTTTTTAATCATTCGAAGGTTTGATTCTAAGTAAAATCAATTTGCTATTGTCAACTATTTAAGTTTTTAAATACTTCGGGCACTGTAAAATATTCATAGGAAGGCAAATAGTTGGATGTCATCTTATGGATAAGGATACTAACTATCTACCCTTTCCTCAACATAAAAAAGTATTGTATAGTAGGTCATCATCACACAAAATATCATATAATTGCTTTTGAAATCATTTTAGCAGAAGCTTTTACTAAAAACTATACTGACATGTCAAAAAAATCACATTTCTAAACATTGAATGCAGCACCGATTCAAATTTCTCTCAAGCATTCTTCTGATTCTCCGAGGAGGAAACTTTTAGAAAAGGTTCACGCCAATCTACTTCAAAGTCCCATTGACTCTACCTTTATAACATATCTGGAATCTGACCACTTCTCACCACCTCCACTGCTACCACCTTGGTCTGAGCCACCATCATCTGATACCTACAATGCTGCAGTGGCCCCACTATTTTTATGCTTGCCTTGCCCTGTATTCCCTGACCTCAGTCAATTCTCAATACACCAGCCACTAAAATCCTTGTAAAATACAAGTCAGGTAATGGCACTCCTCTTTCAAAATCCTGTAAAACCTCTTGTGAGGACCAGTGTAAAAACTAGGGTCTTTTTAAAAATCTACAAGCTCCCATGGAATCTGATCCTTACCGCTCCCCAGTTCATCTCTTATTGCTCTTACCTCCTTGTGTACTCTACTCATTGTCGTGTAAAGCCACAAACATACCAAGGAGGCTCCAGCCTCAGGGTCTTCACCCTGAATGTTCCCTCTGTCTGGCTCTTTCCCTATTTCCCAAATGGGAAATTCCTTCACATGCTCAAATATCCCTCCTTCATGAGGCTTCCTTAAAAATGCATCCCACTACCCTGCACTCCTCTACCCAGTACTCACAATCTCCTTATCCTGCTCCTTTTACCTTCTTCCACCTTCTAACATATTACATAATTGATAATTTACACATTGTATCTGTTAGTTTATTTCTGTATAAAGTCCTTAAAAGCTTCGAGCTTCATAAGGGTGGAGATCTTCGTTTCTTCATCAACATATCTCAAGCATTTAGAACAGTGCCTAAAGCATACTAAACATTAAATAAAAATTGTCAAGATATTAAACAAAATAATAGAGTGTCAAACTTCTCTAGATTAAAGGACAGCATTTTCCTTGTGTTATACCCATCTTCGTTTACATTAAAGCAGATCTAAATGGTTACAAAACAAAAAGCAACACTCTACTGAAACCACCACGGAGGTGAGGTAATTAAAACTCTCAGCTGGACGCAGTGGCTCACACCTGCAATCCCAACACTTTGGGAGGCCGAGGCAAGTGGATCACTTGAGGTCAGGAGTTTGAGACCAGCCTGGCCAACATGGTGAAACCCTGTCTTTACCAAAACTATAAAAAAATATGCCGGGTGTGATGGCACGCACCTGTAATCCCAGCTACTCGGGAGGCTGAGGCAGGAGAACCGCTTGAACTCGGGAGGTGGAGGTTGCAGTGAGCCAAGATCGTGCCACTGCACTCCAGTCTAGGTGACAGAGTGAGACTCCATCTCAAAAAAAAAAAAAAAAAAAACTCTCAAGAACTGAGCTGCAAGTGCTGACAGAGAAAACACCCTGAAACGGACTATCTGGGCAAATACGGTGATAGGAATTACAATCTCATGGATGTACTCATGTGAATTACAATCTCGTGGATGTTCTCATGGATGCGAACCTCCCATTTTCAAAGAATCATGACTATAATCAGTCTAAAATGTGTAATTTAGTGGTTCAGAAAGCGCTCAAGGATCTTCAGGAACCCCCGTAATCAAAATACATTGTTTTCAAAGAGAAAGATATGGGAGAACATAACTAATTCTCTGGACTCAAGAACTGATTTCCATTTTATCTATGACTTCTTTACTCTTCATAAATACAAAAAACTGAAGAAAGATAACTTCGGTTATTGATTATTTAAAGCTTATCAACACATAAAATGCAAATAAAGAAAAACTTGCTATACTTGGAAATAACACATAACAACCAAATTATAACTGTTCTCTTTTGGACTCTGTTTTAATTTTTTTATTATTGAAATGTTCTAACATATACAACTGTGTTCCCCCAAAATTCATAGTTTGAAACCTCACCCCCAAGGTATTGGGATTGCATTAGGAGGTGGGGCCTTTTGGGAGGTGATTAGGTCATGAGGGTGAAGCCCTCTTGAATGGGATTAGCCCTCTTGAATGCCCCCTTTAATGGGACACTGAATCCCCCAGCTCCTTGATCTTGAACTTCCCAGCCTTCAGGACTGTGAGAAACTTGTATTGTTTATAAGCTAACTAGTTTATGATATTAAGGTGTTTTGTTATAGTAGAAACTCTCTAGAGTTCACTGTCTAAATGTAATATAGTTTTAAAAAATTCCCTGAGTACCCTAAATCAACATAACCAAATTTATCATGTTTTTACTTTGAGCTTATTTACATGTGATCCAAATATTTCTAGTCATCTAATTTCTATTATAATCTAGAAAGTGAACTTCCAGGTATGTGAGAGATTTTTCACTTCTGGACAAGATGGAGTAACAGGGAACAAAGTTACCCTCTTATTTGAAGTGGTGAAAAAAACAAAAGACAAAATATAGAAAATAACAGTTTTCAGACGTTAAGACATTAGGCATAGGACAGTAATCCTTGAGAGAAAGGAAAACAAGGTAAACCTTGTGACTGCCTTACTGCAATCATAGAGTTCACCTTCATTACTGCCTAGAGAGTTTCTAAACCACAGCACAGCAGCTCCAGCAATATCTCTGAGTTGAAGTGACATAGTCGGGCATCCAGAGAGGCCATGTAGCCAGAGTTCACAATACCAGAGAGGAGAAAGCTGCATATAGAGAGTACGCTAGAGATCTGCAGAGAGTATCCCTCTAAGCTTCAGCTAAGTAGAGATCAGTGAATGTGTAAGAAGAAATTACCCAAAGCACTGGAACAAATGAAATGAAAGTTTAAAAAAAAAAAAAGAAACAAAGTCCCCAAGTTCAGACAGCCAGGAACAACAGCTCCTGCTCCCACCAGCCAAAGTAAAGGCCTCATTCTAGGTGCATCTGTTATAATACTTTGAAAGATTCTACCTCAATAGCAAGGCAAAATTAGCTCAAGGCCAAATGCTTTTCGTCTCATGTAAGTTTAAAGCGAGACCTGAAAGGCTCAAGCTGTTTTTAAGTAACTTAGCCACATCCTAGAATAAAATGTAAGAATAGTTTTTAAAATACAAAAATACACAGCACCCAAAAAGGTAAAACTCACAATGTCTGAAACCCAATAAAAATTACCAAGTATGCAAAATAGGAAGAAAGGTAACCTATTATGAGGTGAAAAATCATTCAATCGAAAACAATCCATAAATAACAAAGATAACAGAATTAGCAAACAAAGATATTTAAATAGTTGTTATAACACTATTCATATGTTCAGGAAGCTAGAGGAAAGTTTAACCATGTTAAGTAGATACATGGAAGACATTTTTTAAAGATGCAAATCAAACTTGTAGAGATAAAAATAACAATACATAAAGAAATAAAACACAAGCTGAATGGGATTAGCAGGTAATTAGACATTAAGTGATTAGACAGAAAAATAATTAGTAAACTTGAAGATAGCAATAGAAACTATTCAAAATGAAACAAAGAGAGAAAAAACAATGAAAAAAGTAAACAAATCATGAGTGATCTGTAAACTACTACAAGAGGCTGAAATTACATGTAATCAGAATTCTGAATAGAAGAGACAGGGATTCAGAAAAAAATATCTGAAAAGATAATGAGGAATTTTTTTCCCAAAGTTGATGAAATATATATCCCCACACATCCAAAAAGCAAAAGGAACCCAAACCAAAGTTATTACAAGAAAACTATAAACCAGTATCACTCATAAACATATATGTAAAAATTCTTTACCAAATATTAGCAAACTGAAGCCAACAATATATAAAAAGGATAATATATTATGACCAAGTAGAATTTATCCCAGGAATGCAAGTGCTGCTTTGTCAGTCAAAAATCAAAGAATCACTAAATTAGCTAACTAAATTTTTTAAATTATAAGATCATCTCAATAGATGCAGCAAAGCATTTGACAAAGTACAATACCTATTCCTACTAAAGTTCTCAGCACACTAAGTGATATGGTTTGGCTGTGTCCCCACCCAAATCTTATATTGAATTGTAGCTCCCATAATACCCATGTGTCATGGGAGGGACCCAGTGGGATATAACTGAATCATGGGAGCAGGTTTTTCCCGTGCTGTTCTTGTGAGTAAATCTCATGAGCTTTGACAGTTTTATAAAGGGTAGTTCCTCTGCACACGTTGTCTTGCCTGCCATCATGTAATGTAAGAGGGACTTTTGCTCCTCCTTCACCTTTTGCCATGATTGTGAGGCTTCGCCAGCCATGTCGAACTGTGAGTCCATTAAACCTCTTTTTTTAATAAATTACCCAGTCCTGGGTATTAGTTCATAGCAGTATAAAAATGAGGTAATACATTAGGAAAAGAAAGGAACTTTCTCAATATGATCAAGAGCATCTGTGATTAACCTACAGCAATCATCTTACTTAATGGTGAAAGACCAAATGCTTCTTCCTTAATATCACAAAGAAGGGAATGATGTCCACTCTCACACTTCTCTACCATATACCGCATTGGAGGTTCCAGACAATGCAATAAAGCATGAAAAAAATTAGTTAAAAGAATCCAGGTTAGAAATAGAAATAAAACTATATTCATTCCCAGGAGACATAATATTTATGTAAAAAATCTTAGCTGGGCACGGTGGCTCACATCTGTAATCCCAGCACTGTGGGAGGCTGAGGTGGGCGGATCACCTGTGGTCAGGTGTTCGAGATCAGCCTGGCCAACCCCTCCTCTACTAAAAATACAAAAATTAGCAGGGCATGGTGGTGCATGCCTGTAATCCTAGCTACTCAGGAGGCTGAGGCAGGAGAATCGCTTGAACCTAGGAAGCAGAGACTGCAGCGAGCCGAGATCATGCCATTGCACTCCAGCCTGGGCAACAGAGCAAGATTCCGAGACAGAAGGGGGAGGGGAGGGGAGGGGAGGGGAGGGGAGCGGAGGGAAGGGAAGATAAGAGAAGAGAAAGGAAGGGAAGAGAAGAGAAAGGAAGGGAAGGAGAGAGAGAGAGAGAGAAAGAAAGAAAAGAGAAAGAAAGAAAGGAAGAAAGAAAGAAAGAAAGAAAGAAAGAAAGAAAGAAAGAAAGAAAGAAAGAAAGTCAGTCTTATGGAATCTATAAAAATGGGACTAAAACAAATGGATTTACCAAATTCCCATGATAGAATGTCAATATGTTAAAATCAATCACATTTCTATATACTGACAATGAACAGTTGGAAATTAACATGCTTAATTTCCATTTACCACAGCATCAAAAAAAAGTGAAGTACCAGGTATAAATATAATAAAAGCTGTGCAAGATCTATACACTGGAAACTATAAAACAGTTGGGAGCGTTTAAAAATCTTAATAAATGCATATATTAGAATCACAATCAAAATTCTGGCAGGCTATTTACAGAAATGGAAAAACAAATTCTAAAATTCATATGAAAATGTTAAATACCTATAATATCAGAACAATCAAACATAAAGTTGAAAACTATGTTTGTGAGAAAACCAGCTAGTTCCAGACAAGTGTAGCATTATTATATAATTTTAATAAAGACGCAGCCATCACTTTCTCCCATATGTTTTCTCTTTGTAAAATATTAAAATATTGCATATGTCCCCTTTGACAATTGCCTCATCTTACTCCCTCTTCCCCTGAGGTAATCACAGTGGCTTTAGTAACCTACTTTACAAGTCATTTTTGTACATCTATGCACATATTTATGTAGCCAAAGAAAATTAGAGTATTGTATATGCTGTAATAATATGAAAGAATACGTGGCAATGAGAAAATCAGGGTTATTGTTACCTAGGGGTAGGGCAGAGATGGGGGTCACGGTGAGCATGGGGGACAGTAGAAGGAACAAGGAGTACATGTTAAATCTCTTCTAACTTTGGAAAGATTTTTTAAATGTTATATTACTCCTGGTAAGTGTTTTGTTGAATGATCATAAGACGTTGTAGGTAGAAATGTAAATTGGCAGAGTTTAGTCTAGGCAGCTCCAAATCTTTTGGTGGTGTTTTATTTCCTATCCTAGATGGCAGAAAACAGGTATGCATCACATTGTTTTGTAATCTTTTTAAGAAAACAGAAGTTAAAATGAACACATCATCAGCAACTTGATTTTTTTACCCTACAATGTGAGGTCTATTTCTGTGCACTGAATTGTGTCCACCCAAAAATTCATTTGTTGAAACCCTAGCCCTCAGTGTGATAATATTTGGAGATGGGGCCTTTGGGAAATAATGAGAGTTGGATAAAATGAGGGTAGGGCCCTCATGATGTTATTAGTGTCTTTATAAGAAAGAAATTTTTCTCTCTCTCAACAACCCCTTCCCTACACCCCTATCTCTAGTGTAAGGACACAGTGAGAAGGCAAGCCAGAAAAGGAACGCTCACCAGAAACCAAACAGGCGGGAACCTAGATCTTGGACCGCTTAACTTCCAGAACTGTGAGAAATACTTTTCTACTGTTTGAGCCACTGAATCTAAGGTATTTTGTTAAGGCAGCCCAAGTAAATTAATTCTAACACTAAGCCATGTTACTATACACAAATGTTTCTCTCCTTTTTTCTAATGCCACAGGGTATCTAATAATATAACTAGAAAACAGTTTATTTAGCCATTGATGGATATTTAGGTAGCTTACATTTTTATATTCTACAAGCAACAATGCTATAGCCTTCATGTGCTGTACAAGCCTTCTCATGAAGGCATTTTGTCTCAGGATAGAAATGCTGGAGCATACAGTGTCCCTTTTCAATTTGTACTTAATAAATAATACCAAAATGTCTCTCAACTGGCTGTTTATGTTCCCATCAACAGCAGAAGAATCTATTTTTCTGCACCCTGAATAATACTGCACATTGTTGGTTTTTGTTAATTTTGCTACTTGAAAATAGTGAAAATATCATCTTTTTTTTTTTTACTAACAATTCCTTGATTAATATTATTGGGCACCTTTTAATGTATTTATATCTCATTAATATTTTCTTTCCCATAAATTGCCTATTTGTATCCTTTACTGATTTTTAAAATTTGGGTTGTCTTTTTCTTATTGATATTTTATAGTTCATAAATACTCTGGATAATCTTTTGTTTGCTACATATCCTGCAAATAATTTTTCTCAGTTCCAAAGGACATACTGTCTTTTAATTCTGATCGTAGTATCTTCACTTGTATAATAGGTATACATCTTCACTTGTCATATGTTTCAATACTTAGCTTTATTTTTTATCTTAATATATTTTTTGCTGCCTCATAGTCATAAGAATACTCTCCCATATTTTTTCCTAATATTTTTATACTACACTTTTTTACTTTTGGGTTTGGGCTTTTTCTTAGTGATGTGACATCGGAATTTAATGTTCTTGCACTAGGTAGTCAATTGCCCCAACACAATTTATTTAATACATCATTCTTTTTCCCCACAGTGATTTGAGATGACACTGTTATCATAGACCAAATTCCCTCATGCACTGAGTCAGCTTCTAGACTTGCAGTTCTTACTGATCTTTTTATCCATATCTACATCAACCTGTGTTAATTACTATAGTATTATATAACAGTATCATGCTATCCATTAAGTACATCCAACTCTTTCATCTGTTTTACAACTGTCTTGACTATTCTTGTACACTTGTTCCTCCATATAAATTTGAGAATCTGCTTGGTAAATGCCATGAGGAGTGGGGTCAATGGGATTATGGTAGATTCGTAGGTGAACTTCAAAATACTTTTTACATGGTTTATGCTATTTTTCTTGCCAACCAAACAACTACATCTTTTTCTCCCTACTGGGTACATATCTTCTAAATTGTTTAGTTCATGTTAATTAGGTTTTACACACAATAGGAAATATTGGGTGAAAGAACACAGTCATGTTTAAATGCACATTACAGAGAATATAAATCCAGAGACAATCTCTTTGCACTTATTACTCCCTTAAAAAGGTATGGCTAGAAGGACTCCGCATGCACCTACTGAACAAACACTTAGTAAATTATGGATTGGTAATCTCATACCAGTTAAACAAAATAGCATGGGTTTAATATAAATCATTAGAGAAGCAAGTGTAAGATTTTTTTTTTTTTTTGAGACGGAGTCTCGCTCTGTTGGCCAGGCTAGAGTGAAGTGGCGCGATCTCAGCTCACTGCAAGCTCCGCCTCCTGGGTTCACACCATTCTCCTGCCTCAACCTCTAGCTGGGACTACAGGTGCCCGCCACCATACCCGGCTAATTTTTTGTACTTTTAGTAGAGACGGGGTTTCACCGTGGTCTCGATCTCCTGATCTCGTGATCTGCCCGCCTCAGCCTCCCAAAGTGCTGGGGTTACAAGGGTGAGCCACCGCGCCCGGCTTTTCTCACTTTCAGAGTTATCAGGAAACTTACTGAAATCCATCCAACACATATTAGAAAGGATCTCAATAAATCAGATTTGCTTTCCCTTACCACTGCTTTATCAAAAACACATAATATTAAAAATTGATATTTGAGATTTTTTTCATAATTGACTCTCTAGTGCCATAATTAAACTGGGACATATATAATTAAAATCTGAAATCTATCTGGGTAAAGGATTTAAGATTTTTCTAAACTATATTAATTTATTTTCTGTGACTTCAAAACACAGTAGAATCAAAGTGATTCCTACAGCACTGTCACCACAACTTTGAACACAGAACATTAATGTAACCTCCACAACCAGGCATGCTGAGCATAGACTAAGTGTGACAAGGTATTAAAGCATAAAGTTTTAATATTGTTAGGCATGCTAACAGTACGGTGGCTATGTTGTGCAAACACAGAATTACTTACAAAACTATTTAAGGGTAAACTACAATGTCAGGGATTTGCTTTAAAATACTATAGGGGCCAGGCACAGCGGCTCATGCCTGTTAATCCCAGCTCTCTGGGAGGCCAAGGCAGGAGGATTGCTTGAGTCCAGGAGTTTGAGATGAGCCTGGGCAGCATAACAAGACCCCATCTCTACAAAAAATAAAAATAATGTCCAGGAACGGTGGCACATGCATGTAGTCCCAGCTACTCAGGAGGCTGAGGCAGGAGGATCTCTTGAGCCCAGGAGGTCAAGGCTGCAGTGAGCCATGACTGTGCCACTGCACTCCAGCCTGGGTGACAGAGTGAGACCCTGTCTCAAAAATAAAATAAAACAAAATAAAAATAAACAAAAACAAAAAACCCTATAGGAAAAAAACTGAGATGCATGAAACAGATGAAGTACAAAACACTGGTAATTGGAGCTGTATCACAGGTTTATAAGGGCTATTTACTATGTTCCATGTACTTTTATTCTAAGAACTTCTCAAAATTAAAAATTACTTTAGACTCTGGACTACAATGTGTAAGTTTTTTTTAAGTTTCATAATAAAATGAGCCCAGTTGAACACTGATCCCCTTTCTGCTTTAATCCATAATATTCTTTTCTATCCAAAACTTTATTAGCTGTACAAAATGTTCCAAGATCACGGAACAAAGTTTGTCTTCTTCGCAAAGGCATGCTACCTGGTATGTAACCAACAGCATCAGCCTTCTGTGGATAAAAATGCACTAAAGACAGGGAAAGTCAGGAAGAACAAAGTGGTTACCAGGGAGGAATTCTGCCAGCCGAGAGCTTGCCCTTCTGCCCTTCACATAAGAGTCTGTTGGCAACCGAGACTGGGTTCTTGATTCCTATAAAAAAAAAAAAAAAATTGGCAAAAAAGATGTCAGAAATGTCTTCTAGTTTCCCACTCAGTTTTGCAGTTGTTTCAATAAAACAACTTGAATATATCTTGGAAATTCTTTTTCGATATATCAAATAATACTAATGAAAACCCTTAATAACCATGAGCAATAAGAGTTAAATCAAAAAATGTATGAAAACCTAGAAGAAAAGAACGAATATAAAATACATATTCTCATGTTTTGTCACGTGCTATAGAAGCAAAGGCTGAATTGAAATACTACATATTTAAATTAGGTTCCTTTTTAATAGATTTCAGAATAGAGTTTTTAAAATGAACTGAAAATATGGTACTATCTTACTATCAAAACTATATACATGCTCCAGGCATTTAGTGACCACAAAACCATAAATTCCTTTTAAAGAGTAAACATGATTATAAACAGCTTCAAATTGACCTTGGAGAGAAAAATTAATGGGGGAAAAATAAGCCAAAAATTTTAAATGTCACCTACAAGAGAGACAGAACGGGGAAATGTCCTTCAAATTGGGTAAGGGTGGGAGAAGAGGCCAACTGTGTAAAAGATTGTAACCTAAAATGTGGTTCAGATTCTTTCCAAGAGGCTAACCAGTATGTACAAGTGAGGTGATAGTGCTTATCCAGGAGAACTGACAGGACAGTTTTGAGTGTGATAAACACTGTCAGGATGACAATGACAAAGACAATGACACTGATGACGACAATGATGATGATGGTGGAAGGCAATCAAAGTAACTATTTCCTAATGTGCTCCAGGCCCAGTGCCAAATTCTTAAATCTATCGGATGAGTTAGCTGATCCTTCAATTCTGTCATGTAACCACACTTATTAATCCTATCTGATTAATGAGAAAACATTTATACAGAGGGTTAAGTTGCCTGCCCATGATCACAGCGCTGAGTTTTAACATGGAGGCAGCCAATATCGGAGACCATACCCTTCATCACTAATATACGCCTGCCTTTCAGGAAATGATTAATACAAACAAATCATCAGTGGAATATATAAAGAGACTACAAAAATTTAAATTAAGGCCAACAGACTCCAAGAAAAACCAATTGTAGAAATGTAGCTCAATACCAAATCTTCCACAAAAAAAGTATGAAATACAAAAAAAAAAAAAAAGAAAAGCCCAAATCAGATCCCTTTACTAGTTCTTAAAACAATATAGTTCTAGATGTGATGATTCAATATTGTAAAGACATTCATCTTTTCCAAGTTAACTTATAAATCCAAATCTTTACTCCAACTTATAAATCCAATTTATAACTTTATATTGTTTACAAATTAACAATTTATGTTATAAATGTATAACTTATAACTTATAAATTTATAACTTATAACTTATAAATTGGATTTATAAGTTATAAGTTACAACTTATACATTTATAACACAACTTATAAATCCAATTTATAACTTA
Organism: Homo sapiens; assembly: GCF_000001405.40. NCBI lineage: Eukaryota > Metazoa > Chordata > Mammalia > Primates > Hominidae > Homo > Homo sapiens. The sequence continues at coordinate 13,582,435 of NC_000020.11, forward strand.
TAAATCCAATTCTCCATCAAAACTTCAAAATGATTTCCAGGATACATAAGAAGCTGACTCTTAATCAGAAAAATAAAACTTTGAAAAAGAAAAATGAAGAGTTATTTACCCTGCAAGATATCATTTTTTTATTTGAAGCTATTCTAATTAAAAAACAGTGGTTTGAGTACAAAATAAAGAAATGTCAATGAAATAGAATAAAGCTAAAGTTCAGAAACAAACACTTTTGAATTTAGGTATTTAATATTTCAAATCAGTAGGAAAAGGATAAACTACATATAAGAGGGAGAAAGAACACAAAGGTAAAAGCCTAGGAGTCAGACTACTTTGTAACTGTTCCAGTTAACCGGTTTATTGCTTCTCAGCTACAAATTCACCCTTTATTGCCTGATGTGTGAAAATGGATATGGGCCCTCTAAGTACGTTTCCTTTGCCAGCTAGCACAATAGGTAAGCTTTGTCAGTAGAGGACACTAAAGAAACACTGTAGGAGGAAAGTGTTGTCTTGCGCACCAGGCTTCACTTCTGACCAATGTGGTACTCTCCTGTACTAAGTGCCCACAGGGAGCAGCTTTCTCCAGCATTTGAACACCACGTTTTCTCCAGCTCCTGATTTGTGCCACAGCAGCATAGCTGAGAGCTCCAGAAAGAATGAGACCATACTCCAATTCAGGTCATTGATACCCACACCCACTCCTCAGCCCCATAGGCACACATAGCAAGTGTTCCACGGGGTGCCTGCGTAGTGAGCCAAAGCCCAATCTTTATCCTGCCCAAGGGAGGTTTAATTCTCACAGCATCTTGACCTCTGTGTGCCCACCTACCAGCCTGAGCTTGCCTCTGCCTCACAGGATTGATCCTACTCACACAATGACTGTAGACCAGCTCTGGCCTGGGTAACCCAGCAACTTCTCTGCCATACAGTGAATGATAGCCACACCTTCTTCAATGACGTCTAAACGTACTTCCAAACGTGTTCTTCTTTGGGTATTCTCTCTCTGCCCTAGGATACATTTTTGAGTTCTCGTCCCATGTTTATAGAGTTACTCTTCAATCACTGCTTAATAACTCTTTATATTAAACTTCTATTTAAACTATGGTATGGTTTCTGTCTTCTAGTTTTACCCAGACTAATACAATGTCCTTGGACAAACTACTAAATCTCTCTTGTGTCTCAGTTTCCTCATCTGTAAAGCATAGACCTCATGAGCGTATTGTGAGAATTAAATGATTTAAAAGCATAGACCTCAAAATGGTATTACATAGGATAAAAGCATAGGCCTCATAACGGTATTACATAGGATAAAAGCATAGGCCTCATAAGGGTATCGTGAGAACTAAATGATTTAAAATATGTAAACCACTGGGCTGGATGCGGTGGCTCACGCCTGTAATCTCAGCACTTTAGGAGGCTGGTGGGTGGATCACCTGAGGTTAGGAGTTCAAGACCAGCTTGGCCAGCATGGTGAAACCCGTCTCTACTAAAAATATAAAAATTAGCCAGGCGTGGTGGCACACACCTGTTATCCCAGTTACTCAGGAGGCTGAGGCAGGAGAATCACTTGAACCCAAGAGGCAGAGGTTGCAGTGAGCCAAGATCGCACCACTGCACTCCAACCTCGGCCAACACCCAGAGCTAGACTCCATCTCAAAAATAAATAAATAAATAAATATGTAAACCACTGTAGAACAATGCCTACGGTATTACTGTCATTTAACAAACTGTACTTATTGTTATTCAATTAACTATGTAGGAACAATTTGAAGTCATTTCAGAAAAAAATGCATTCAAGAGGTAAATGAAAAATAAACTATACATATGTTAGAAGAAAATACAAGTAAATTGTGCTTATAAATTATGAGAGACTTTAAGAAATACAAAATACAAAAGCCACAAAAGAGAAAGTAGTAAGTTTGACAAACAAAAATGTTTAATTCCAATATGATTAAGGACATTTATAAACAGGGTTAAAACGCAAGCCACACAAGAGGTATGAACAGGTAGTACACAGAGAAATGCTAATGGCCTTCAAACACACGAAATTTTATTAAATACCAATAAAACTGCATAATAAGAGAAACTAAAATTAAAACTAATTAAAAAGAAAGGATATAAAAGATCAGAACAAATAAATAACCAAATTGACCTAAGTGACACACACAGAGCACTGTACTCAACAACTCCAGAATACATATTCTTTTGAAGTTCACGTGGAAATTTACCAAAACACACCATAATCTGGGCCATACAGCAAGTCTCTAAAAGCTTCAAGGGATTGGTATCATACATAGTATATTCTCTGGCCACAGTGGAATTAAACTAGAAATCAACAAAGAAAGCTAACTAAAATGTCTTCAGGCAAATAAATTTGACAACTCATATGAAATAGACAAATTCCTAGAAAAACGCACATGAAAAATAAAATATAATCATATAAATGTTAAAAATATTGAATCCTACTTTTTAAAACTTCCCACAAAGAAAACCCCGTTAATTTGAAATAATTTATGAATTCCTTCAAACAATTAAAAAGTAATTATTCCAATCATATACAAACCTTTTCAAAGAATGGGGGAAAAAAAAGTACCCAACTCATTTTTGAAAGCAGCCATAACAGGGTACAGAAACAAATTATCACACAGTCACCTAATTTCCCAACACAATTCTGTGAGGAAAAGACTTCCTTTCAATAGAGGGCAATGGACCATTTGGATATCCATATGAGGAAAAAATAAATAAATGTTGACCCCTATGTTACATATACAAAAATTAATCTGAGCTTGATAAGAAAGCTAAACATGATGGATAAAAACAATAAAATTACAGAAAGAATGAAGATTATCTTCATAACTTTGAACAGGCAAAAACTTAAAATACAAAGAGTTAATCACAAAAGAAAAGGTTGCTAACTTAAACTTCATTAAAATCAGAAACTTCTATTCATCAAAAAACACCATTAAGAGATTGTAAAGGCAAACCATAGACTGGGAGAAGATATCCATAATACATGTATCTTACAAAGGATTTGTATGTAAAATATTTAAAATACTCCAACAAATCAATAAAAGATATAATCAAATAAAAATCTGCAAAAGATGCAAATATGCACTTCTCAACAAGGCTATCTAAATGGTCAAAAAGCATATGAAAAGGCTCTTATAAGTCACTAGGGACACTCAAATTGAATACCACTACACACATAAATCACTAGGGACACTCAATAATACCACTACACACATATCAAAATGGCTGAATTTTAAAAACAATTAACAATACCAAAAATTGGCAAGGATGCAGAGTAACTGAAAAGCTCCTACACTGCTAGTAGGAGTATAAACTGCAACAATTACTTTTGAAAACCGGCAGTATCTATTAAAACAAAATATATATGCATATGTACCTAAAGAAGTACATACGTGGCCAGGCACAGTGGCTCACGCCTATAATCTCAGCACTTTGGGAGGCTGAAGCTGGCAGATCACTTGAGGTCAGGAGTTCAAGACCAGCCTGGCCAACATGGTGAAACCCTGTTTCTACTAAAAATGCAAAAATTAGCCAGGCACTGTGGTGGGTGCCTGTAATCCCAGCTACTTGGGAGGCTGAGGCAGAAGAATCAATTGAACCCAGGAGGCAGAGGTTGCAGTGAGCCGAGATCGCACCACTGCACTCCAGGCTGGGTAACAGAATGAGACTCCGCACCACTGCACTCCAGGCTGGGTAACAGAATGAGACTCCATCTCAAAAAAAAAAAAAAAAAAAAAACAGAAGTACATATGTCTACCAAAAGACATGTAAAATAATATTCACTGAAGCTTTACTCAAAAAAGTAAAAAGCTAGAAATTTCATATGCCCATTAAGAGGAGAGTAAATACAGAAGTTATGGTATATCCATTCAATGAAATACTACTAAGTGGTAAAAAATAAAATACTACTGACACAAAACATGGATCCATCTCACAGGCATAACATTAAGCAAAAGAAAACAGACACAGAAGTGTCTGATCCCACTCATGTAAATTTTAGGAACAGGCAAATTAATCTATGGCACCCAAAGTTAGCATGAGGGAAGAGAGCACAAGAAGTATGGACCAAGGAGAAGCATAAGGGGTCCTTCCAGGATTATGAAAATGTTCTACCTTTTGACATGGAAATGTTTAATGTCTTGATCTAGGTGGTGGCTTATATGGTGTCTACATCTAAAAATTCATGAAGCTGTACACATAAAATACATACTTCATGTATATTTTGCTTTAATAAATGAATTATAAAACATGAGACATATCTTTTATGTACTGATGTGGAAAAAATCTCCAAAAGATTATATTTAAATCTAAAAAGTTTATAATAATTAACACATTTATTTTTTAAGAAAACAAATACAGGCACAAAATAAAACTGTGTTTCTGTTACATAAAAATATAGATAAAAGCACTGGATTTTTACTGGTTAAACCCCACGGGGAAAGGAAATGAGAAAGAAAAGATCTTTTGGAGGATCAAAGGTAAATTTTATTTATATTACCTGAAATTTTTTACAACAAAAAATATAGTGTGTATTTCAAATTGTAAAATTAATATTCTAAATCATGTCTTAAATGTCTTTAATCTCTTCAAGGGATACAGGAGAATGATCAAATTCAAACCAAAAACTACTTATAACTAAGACTGTATGTTTTAAATTCAATAAAAAAAGAACATTTGTTTTAAACACTATTCCAAGCAGAAATGGTGAAAAAGACTGTAATCATCTTTAGAAGGCATGAAATGGTCACGTGCATGATTTTCCAAAGATAGTAGGTCATAATGCCCACATACCACTCAGTGCTCCAACTGCTCCAAAATTTAAGGATTTTCCATCCATTATGCTGGCATCACACTCAATTTCACCTAACAGATTTAGATTAGATCCCATTCCTGCATTTGTAAAAGGAGAATCCTAAAAGACAAAAACAAAAATTAAAATATCATTAGTCTTAAAAAAAGTATTAATGTCAGTCCTTCATGAAATTTTCTAAAAGCTAGAAGGTGAGAGAATACTTTCCAACACATAGTATGATGCCAATACCACCCTGATGTTAAAACATGACAAAGATATCAGCAGCAAAGTACAGATCAATATACTTTGTAAATATTGACCAAAAAAACATCAAAGAAATAGCAGCAAAACAAATCCAGCAAAATATAAAAAGGACTGTATATCACAAACAAGAGGAAAGTAAGATTGGTTTAATATCTGAAAATCAATGTAATACCCTGTATTAATAAAATACAGGGAAAAAAACATGATTGTATCAAAAAAAAAACACAGAAAAAAGGCATCTGACAAAATCCAACACCCTTTCATGAGAAAAACAGAAAACTAGATAAGGGAACTTCTTAACTTGACAAAGGGGATCAATGAAAAGGCCAGGCCAGGCGCAGTGGCTCACACCTGTAATCCCAACACTTAGGGAGGCCAAGGTGGAAGGATCACTTGAGCCTAGCTGTTCAAGACCACTCTGGGCAACACAGTGAGACACCATCTATACAAAAAAATTTAAAACTTAGCCAGGTGTGGTGGTATGCATCTGTGGTGCCAGCTGCTCGGGAGGCTGAGGTTGGAGATCACTGAAGCCTAGGAGATTGAGGCTCCAGCAAACCATAATTACGCCAAAAAAAAAGTCCAGAGTTAACATTATAATTAATGGTGAAAGACTGGATGCCTTCCCCTAAGATCAGGAACAAGACAAGGATATCCACTCTCAGTACCTATTCACCAATATACTGTACAATCTAACCAGACAATTAGACAAAAAGGAGAAAGAAAGAAAGGAAGAAAGGAAGGAAGGAAGGAAGGAAGGAAGGAAGGAAGGAAGGAAGGAAGGAAGGAAGGAAGAGAAAGAAAAGGAAGGAAGGAAGGAAGGAAGGAAGGAAGGTAGGTAGGTAGGTCTAGATTGGAAAAGAAGAAGTAAAATTGTCTGTTTCAAGATAACATGACGCTGTATGTAGAAAATCCTAAAGAATCCACTAAAAAAAAATTAGAATTAATAAGTTTAGGAAGGTTGCAGGATATGAGATTAATGTGCAAAAATCAATTGGATTTTTATATATTAGCGATAAACAATCTAAAAATGAAATCAAGAAAATCTCACAATAACATCAAAAACAAAAAAACAGAAATACATTTTTAAAAGAAGTATAAGACTTGTATGCTAAAAACTGTAAAACACATTGAAAAAATTTTTAATTCAATACCTAAATAGGTGGAAAACATTCTATGTACGTGGACCAGAAGGCTTAATGTTGTTACAATGGCAATACTCCCCAAATCAATCTAATTCAAAATAATCCTTTATCAAATCCTAGCTACTTTTTTTGGCAGAAACTGACAGGCTGATCCTAAAATTCATATGGAAATGCAAGAGACGCAGAATAACCAAAACAATCTTGAAAAGAACAGAACTGAAGGACTCATACTTACTACAAAACTACAGTAATCAAGACAGTGTAATATAGACATATAGCTAAGGATAGATATATAAATTGATATAATAGAAATGAGAATCCAGAAATAATACACCCTTATAATCAATTCAACAAGGTTGCCACAACAATTCAATAAAGAAGGTATAGTCTTTCGTGGGTTTTTTTTTTTTTTTTTTGAGATGGAGTCTTGCTCTGTTGCGCAGGCTGGAGTGCAGTGGTGTGATCTCGGCTCACTGCGAGCTCTGCCTCCTGGGTTCACGCCATTCTCCTGCCTCAGCCTCTTGAGTAGGTGGGACTACAGCCACCCACTACCATGCCCAGCTAATTTTTTGTATTTTTAGTAGAGACAGGGTTTTCACCGTGTTAGCCAGGATGGTCTCGATCTCCTGACCTCGTGATCCACCCGCCTCAGCCTCCCAAAGTGCTGGGATTACAGGCATGAGCCACCGCGCCTGGCCAGAAGGTATAGTCTTTTCAATAAATGGTACTGGGACAATTAGATAGCCACATGTAAGAAAATGAAGTTGGACCCCTATCTCACACCATGTATAAAAATTAACTCAAAGTGGACCAAAGCCCTGTATGTAAGAGCTAAAACTACCTAACTCTTCAAAGAAAACATAACAACAAATGTTCATAACCTTGGATAACAAAATAGTTTCAGATTTGACACCAAAAATACAACCAAAGAAAAAACTAGGTAAATAGGACTTCATCAAAATTTAAAACTTTTATTTCAAAGGACACCATAAAGAAAATAGGGGGAAAAAAACACAAAATGGAAGAAAAAATTTCAAGCCATGTATCTAATAAGGGATTTATATCCAGAATATATATTTAAAAAAATTCTACAGCTCTAAAACAAAAAGATGACACAATTTAAAAATGGGAAAAGAATATGAATTAACATTTCTCCAAATAAGATATATAAATCAACAGCAAGCACATGAAAAGATGTTCATGCCATTGTACTCTAGCCTGGGCAACAAAGTGAGACCCTGTCTCTAAAAAATAAATAGATAAAAATCAATTCTAAAAACAGAAAAATGTGGCCAGCCATGGTGGCTCACACCTGTAATCCCAGCACTTTGGGAGGCCGAGGCAGGCAGATCACTTGAGGCCAGGACTTCAAAACAAGCCTGGCCAACATGGTGAGAACCTGTCTCTACTAACAATACAAAAATCAGCTGGACATGGTGGTGGTCATCTGTAATCGCAGCTACTCAGGAGGCTGAGGCACGAGAATCGCTTGAACCCAGGAGGCAGAGGTTGTAGTGAGCCAAGATCTTGCACCACTGCACTCCAGCCTGGGTGACAGGGCGAGACTCTGTCTCAAAAAAAGAAAAAGAAAAATGTTCAACATCTTTTGTCATCAGGAAAAGGCAAATCAAAACCCACAACAAAATACTACTTCAAACCCACAAGGATGGCTATAATCATACAGATAACAACACATGTTGGGAAGGATGTACGGACATGCAAGTAAGCAGAATAATATGGCCCACAACCAGAATAAATACCAAATAATAACAAACGCAGAAATGACAACAATGACCGAATTAGCAAACAATTTTAATGTTAGCTAACAATGTTAAACTCGATCATATAAACATACTCTATATGTTCAGGTAGGTATATGAAAGCATTAGCAAAAGAAGGAAAGAAAACACAACTGTAAAAATTTTTGACCAGGCACAGCAGCTCACACCTGTAATCCCAGCACTTTGGGAGGCCAAGGCGGGAGGATTACAAGGTCAGGCATTCGAGACCAGCCTGGCCAACATGGTGAAACCCCATCTCTACTAAAAATACAAAAATTAGCTGGGCATGGTGGTGCTCACCTGTAATCCCAGCTACTCAGGAAGCTGAGGCAGGAGAATCACTTGAACCCGGGAGGTGGAGGCTGCAGTGAGCTGAGATCATGCCACTGCACTCCATCCTGGGTGACAGAGCAACACACTGTCTCAAAAAAAAATAAATAAATAAAAATAAAAATTTTTAGAGATGAAGTAGACAATAATTTAAGGTAAAGGCACTTTGAAAATGGTTAACAGTAAATTTGGCACTGCAGAAGAAAATAGCAATAAACGTAATAATACAGCAATAAAAATTATCCAAATAAATGACAAAGTGAAAAAAATACTAAGAAAAGGAAAAAGAAGAAAAAGAAAAGGAGGAGGAAAAGAAAGAAAAAAACAGTACTGGAGAAGAATGGGAAATATCAAATGATCCAACATGCACGTAACTGGAGTCCCAAATAAAAGTAGACAAATGGATGAACAATAAAAATATTAGCCAAAAATTATCCAAACTTAATAAACACTATGAACATACAAATCCAAGAAGCTCAACAATCCCCAAATAAAAGAAATATGAATAAAAATACAACAGAGTACATCATAATCAAAATGCTGAAAACCAGCAATAAAATCTTAAGAGCAACAAGAGCAAAAAGACACATGTGAAAATGAACAAAAATATTAAAGCAGATTTCTGGTCAGAAACAATGCAAGACAGAAGACAATGGAGTAATCTCTTTAAAGAACTAAGAGAGGAAACAAACTAAAAACTGAGAAAACTACAAAATGTCTTCATTAAGTAAAGGCAAAATAAAGACTTCTTCAGACACATAAAAATTGGGATAATTTTTCACCAGCAAACCTACACTATAAGTAATGTTAAAGGATATTCTACAGGCCAAACAAAAAAGACACCACATGTAAATCTGGGATATGCAAAAGAATGCAAGTGATTAATACTCTAAATAAGTGGGAAGATATAAAGAACTTTTATCTCATTTTCAAAGTGTTTCAAATGATAATTGTTTAAAGCAAAAATACTAACAATGTATCATGGGGTTTATAACATATACAGGTGCAAACTATAGGGCACAAGTAGCACAAAGATTGTGAGGAATGAATGGAAGTGTAATGTTACAAGCTTCTGACATTATACATGAAGGCCTATAATATTAATATAATTTGAAAGTAGACTATGATAATCCAAAAGTGTATTTTGCAAATGGTAGGGCAACTACTAAAAAAATAAAAGAAGTATAGCTAATAGGACAAAAGTGGAGAAAAAAATGGTTCATTTTTTTTAAATCCTCAAAAGATAGCATAAGAAGAAGAAATAAGAACAAAGTAGAGATGAAAGGAATAGAAAATAACGAGATGATTGCTTTATATGCAGCCATATCAACAATTACATTAAATTTAGCTGGGCACAGTGGCGCACACCTGTAATCCCAGCACTTTGGGAGGCCAAGGCAGGCGTATCACGAGGTCAGGAGTTCAAGACCAGCCTGGCCAACATGGTGAAATCCTGTCTCTATTAAAAATAAAAAAATTAGCTGGGCATGGTGGCGGGCACCTGTAATCCCAGCTACTCGGGAGGCTGAGGCAGGAGAATCACTTGAAACCAGAAGGCAGAGGTTACAGTGAGCCAAGATAGCACCACTGTACTCCAGCTTGGTCAATGAAAGCGAAACACTGTCTCAAAAAAAAAAAAAAATTATATTCAAATTGTCTAAGCACTTGAATTAGAGGCTCACTGACTGTCAGAAAACTTTACAAGAAACTGTACTTAATTATAAGAGCATAGACAGCTAAAAGTAAAAGCATATTAGGAGATATTACCAAAAATATATCAAAACATCCCTTCTCTCATTGCTCATATTAGTGATGTCTGACTCTTCTTTTACATTCCTAATCAGTCTGGCTTGATGTTGATAAATTTTATTAATCTTTTAAAGAACTAACTTAACTATTGGTTTGGTTGACTTTCTGTTTTCTATTTCATTGATTTCTACTTTTTTTCTTTTGTATAATTTTTTTTCTTTTTGTATACTTTGGATATGACATGCTTCTCTTTTTCTAGTTTCTTAAAATGATAGGTTAAGTAACTGATTTGAGATCTTCCTTCTTTTCTAATAAGCAATGAATGCTACAAATTTCTTCAGAATGAGGAACATCATCCCTCTTGAATATACATGCAAAAATCCTTAACAAAATATTAACAAATCTAATCCAGCAATATATAAAAAGAACAATACATTATAGCCAAGTGAAATACATCCCAGTAATACAAGACTAGTCCAACATTAGAAAATCAATTAACAGACCAGGAAAAATCACAAGATCATATCAATACTTGCTGCAAAAACATCCTAAAAATAATTCAGTATCCATTCATGATGTTAAAAACTCTCAGAAATCCAGGAATAGAGGAGAATTTCCTTAACTTAATTAACTTAAAAATGATAATACATCATAACCAAGTAGCGTTTATTCCAGAAATGCAGGGCTGATTAAACAGTTAAAAAAAAATCACCTTCCATTCCATGATGGCCAAATAGGAACAGCTCCGGTCTGCAGCTCCCAACATGACCAATGCAGAAGACAAGTGATTTCTGCATTTCCAATTGAGGTACCTGGTTCATCTCACTGGGACTGGTTGGACAGTGGGTGGAGGCCACGGAGGGTGAGCCGAAGCTGGGTGGGGCATCGCCTCACCCAGGAAGCACAAGGGGTCGGAGGATTTCCCTTTGACAGTCTGCCATGACAGACTGTACCTGGAAAAACAGGACACTCCTGACCAAATACTGTGCTTTTCCCATGGTCTTAGCAGCCGGCAGACCAGGAGATTCTCTCCCATGCCTGGCTCGGCAGGTCCCACACCCATGGAGCCTTGCTCACTACTAGCGCAGCAGTCTGAGATCAACCTGCGAGGCTGCAGCCTGGTGCGGGAAGGGGCGTCCACCATTGCTGAGGCTTGAATAGGTAAACGAAGTGGCTGGGAAGCTCGAACTGGGTGGAGCCCACCGCAGCTCAGCAAGGCCTACTGCCTCTACAAACTCCACCTCTGTGGGGAGGGCATAGCTGAACAAAAGGCAGCAGAAACTTCTGCAGACTTAAACGTCCCTGTCTGATAGCTCTAAAGAGAGCAGTGGTTCTCCCAGCATTTCATTTCAGCTCTGAGAACGAACAGACTGCCTCCTCAAGTGGGTCTCTGAGCCCCGTGTAGCCTAACTGGAAGACACCTCCCAGTAGGGGCTGACAGACACCTCATACAGGTGGGTGCCCCTCTGAGATGTAGCTTCCAGAGAAAGGATCAGGTAGCAATATTTGCCATTCTGCAATATTTGCTGTTCTGCAGCCTCTGCTGGTGATACCCAGGCAAACAGGGTCTGGAGTGGACCTCTAGCAAATTCCAACAGACCTGCAGCTGAGGGACATGACTGTTAGAAGGAAAACTAACAAACAGAAAGAAATAGCATCAACATCAACAAAAAGGACATCCACACCAAAAACCCCATCTGTAGGTCACCAACATCAAAGACAAAAGGTAGATAAAACCACAAAGATGAGGAGAAACCAGAGCAGAAAAACTGAATATTCTAAAAACCAGAGCGCCTCTTCTCCAAAGGATCACAGCTCTTCGCCAGCAATGGAACAAAGCTGGATGGAGAATGACTTTGAGGAGATGACAGAAGTAGGCTTCAGAAGGTCGGTAATAACAAACTTCTCCGAGCTAAAGGAGCATGTTCTAACACATCGCAAAAAGCTAAAAACCTTGAAAAAAGGTTAGACAAATGGCTAACTAGAATAAACAGTGTAGAAAAGACCTTAAATGACCTGATGGAGCTGAAAACCATGGCATGAGAACTTTGTGACACACGCACAATCTTCAATAGCTGATTCAATCAAGTGGAAAAAAGGATATCAGTGATTGAAGATTAAATTAATGAAATAAAGTGAGAAGACAAGAATAGAGAAAAAAGAGTAAAAAGAAACAAACAAAGCCTTCAAGAAATATGGGACTATGTGAAAAGACCAAATCTACGTCTGATTGGTATACCTCAAAGTGACAGGCAGAATGGAACCAACTTGGAAAACACTCTTCAGGATATCATCCAGGAGAACTTCCCCAACCTAGCAAGGCAGGCCAACATTCAAATCCAGGAAATACAGAGAACACCACAAAGATACTCCTCGAGAAGAGCAACTCCAAGACACATAATTGTCAGATTCACCAAGGTTGAAATGAAGGAAAAAATGTTAAGGGCAGCCAGAAAGAAATGTCAGGTTACCCACAAAGGGAAGCCCATCAGACTAACAGCTGATTTCTTGGTGGAAACCCTACAAGCCAGAAGAGAGTGGGGGCCAATATTCAACATTCTTAAAGAAAAGAATTTTCAACTCAGAATTTCATATCCAGCCAAACTAAGCTTCCTAAGTGAAGGAGAAATAAAATCCTTTACAGACAAGCAAATGCTGAGAGATTTTGTCACCACCAGGCCTGCCTTACAAGAACTCCTGAAGGAAGCACTAAACATGGAAAGGAACAACCAGTACCAGGCACTGCAAAAACATGCCAAATTGTAAAGACCATCAATGCTATGAAGAAACTGTATCAATTAACGGCAAAATAACCAGCTAACATCATAATGACAGGATCAAATTCACACATCACAATATTAACCTTAAATGTAAATGGGCTAAATGCCCCAACTAAAAGACACAGACTGGCAAATTGTATAAAGAGTCAAGACCCATCAGTGTGCTGTATTCAGGAAACCCATCTCACGTGCAGAGACACACATAGGCTCAAAATAAAGGGGTGGAGGAAGATCTAACAAGCAAATGGAAAGCAAAAAAAAGCAGGGGTTGCAATCCTAGTCTCTGATAAAACAGACTGTAAACCAACAAAGATCAAAACAGACAAAGAAGGCCATTACATAATGGTAAAGGGATCAATTCAACAAAAAGAGCTAACTATCCTAAATATATATGCACCAAATACAAGAGCACCCAGATTCATAAAGGAAGTTCTGAGAGACCTAAAAAGAGATTTAGACTCCCACACAATAATAATGGGAGACTTTAACATCCCACTGTCAATATTAGACAGATCAACAAGACAGAAGGTTAACAAGGATATCCAGGGCTTGAACTCAGCTCTGCACCAAGCAGACCTAATAGACACCTACAGAAGTCTCCACCCCAAATCAACAGAATATACATTCTTCCCAGCACCACACTGCACTTATTCTAAAATTGACCACATAATTGGAAATAAAGCACTCCTCAGCAAATGTAAAAGAACAGAAATCACAACAAACTGTCTCTCAGACCACAGTGCAATCAAATTAGAACTCAGGATTAAGAAACTCACTCAAAACTGCACAACTGCCAGGTGCAGTCGCTCACGCCTGTAATCCCAGCACTTTGGGAGGCCGAGGAGGGCAGATCACCTGAGGTCGGGAGTTCGAGACCAGCCTGACCAACATGGAGAAACCCCATCTCTACTAAAAATACAAAAAAACTAGCCAGGCATGGTGGCGCATGCCTGTAATCCCACATACTCGGGGGGCTGAGGCAGGAGAATCGCTTGAACCCAGGAGGCGGAGGTTGCAGTGAGCCAAGATCACACCATTGCACTCCAGCCTGGGCAACAAGAGTGAAACTCGTAAAAAAAAAAAAAAAATGCACAATTACATGGAAATTGAACAACCTGCTCCTGAATGACTACTGGGTAAATAACAAAATGAAGGCAGAAATAAAGATGTTCTTTGAAACCAATGAGAACAAAGACACAACATACCAGAATCTCTGGGACACATTTAAAGCAGTGTGTAGACGGAAATTTATAGCACTAAATGCCCACAAGAGAAAACAGGAAAAATCCAAAATCAACACCGTAATATCACAATTAAAAGAACTAGAGAAGCAAGAGCAAACAAATTCAAAAGCTAGCAGAAGGCAAAGAAATAACTAAGTTTAGAGCAGAACTGAAGGAGACAGAGACACAAAAAACCCTTCACAAAATCAATGAATCCAGGAGCTGGTTTTTTGAAAAGATCAACAAAATAGATAGACTGCTAGCAACACTAATAAAGAAGAAAAGAGAGAAGAATCAAATAGATGCAATAAAAAATGATAAAGAAGATATGACCACCAATCCCACAGAAATACAAACTACCATCAGAGAATACTATAAACAACTCTATGCAAACACATTGGAAAATCTAGAAGAAATGGATAAATTCCTGGACACACATACCCTCCCAAGACTAAACCTGGAAGAAGTTGAATCTCTAAATAGACCAATAACAGGCTCTGAAATTGAGGCAATAATTAATAGCCTACCAACCAAAAAAAGTCCAGGACAGACGGATTCACAGCCGAGTTCTACCAGAGGTACAAAGGGGAGCTGGTATCATTCCTTCTGAAACTATTCCAATCAATAGAAAAAGAGAGAATCCTCCCTAACTCATTTTATGAGGCCAGCATCATCCTTATACCAAAGCCTGGCGGAGACACAACAGAAGAAGAGGATTTTAGACCAATATCCTTGTTGAACATCGATGCAAAAATCCTCAACAAAATACTGGCAAACCGAATCCAGCAGCACATCAAAAAGCTTATCCATCACAATCAAGTTGGCTTCATCCCTGGGATGCAAAGCTGGTTCAACATACACAAATCAATAAACATAATCCATCACATAAATAGAACCAACAACAAAAACCACATGATTATCTCAATAGATGCAGAAAAGGCCTTCGACAAAATTCAACAGCCTTCATGCTAAAAACTCTCAATAAACTAGGTACTGATGGAATGTATCTCAAAATAATAAGAGTTATCTATGACAAACCCACAGCCAATATCATACTGGATGGGCAATAGCTGGAAGCATTCCCTTTGAAAACTGGCACAAGACAAGCATGCCCTCTCTCAGCACTCCTATTCAACATAGTGTTGGAAGTTCTGGCCAGAGCAATCAGGCAGGAGAAAGAAATAAAGGGTATTCAATTAGGAAAAGAAGAAGTCAAATTGTCCCTGTTTGCAGATGACATGATTGTATATTTAGAAAACCCCATCATCTCAGCCCAAAATCTCCTTACGCTGATAAGCAACTTCAGCAAAGTCTCAGGATACAAAATCAATGTGCAAAAATCACAAGCATTCCTATACACCAATAACAGACAAACAGAGAGCCAAATCATGAGTGAACTCCCATTCACGGTTGCTACAAAGAGAATAAAATACCTAGGAATCCAACTTACAAGGGATGTGAAGGACCTCTTCAAGGAGAACTACAAACCACTGCTCAACAAAATAAAAGAGGACACAAACAAATGGAAGAACAGTCCATGCTCATGGGTAGGAAGAATCAATGTCATGAAAATGGCCATAGTGCCCAAGGTAATTTATAGATTCAATGCCATCCCCATCAAGCTACCAATGACTTTCTTTACAGAATTGGAAAAACTACTTTAAAGTTCATATGGAACCAAAAAAAGAGCCTGCATTGCCAAGACAATCCTAAGCAAAAAGAACAAAGCTGGAGGCATCATGCTACCTGACTTCAAACTATACTACAAGGCTACAGTAACCAAAACAGCATAGTACTGGTACCAAAACAGATATATAGACCAATGGAACAGAACAGAGGCCTCAGAAATAACACTACACATCTACAACCATCTGATCTTTGACAAAACTGACAAAAACAAGAAATGGGGAAATGATTCCCTATTTAATAAATGGTGCTGGGAAAACTGGCTAGCCTTATGTAGAAAGCTGAAACTGGATCCCTTC
Source organism: Homo sapiens (assembly GCF_000001405.40). Classification (NCBI taxonomy): domain Eukaryota; kingdom Metazoa; phylum Chordata; class Mammalia; order Primates; family Hominidae; genus Homo; species Homo sapiens. Next base: position 13,598,508 of record NC_000020.11, read on the forward strand.
CTTACACCTTATATAAAAATTAATTCAAGATGGATTAAAGACTTAAATGTTAGACCTAAAACCATAAAAACCCTAGAAGAAAACCTAGGCAATACCATTCAGGACACAGGCAGGGGCAAAGACTTCATAACTAAAACACCAAAAGCAATGGCAACAAAAGCCAAAATAGACAAATGGGATCTAATTAAACTAAAGAGCTTCTGCACAGCAAAAAGAAACTACCATCAGAGTGAACAGGCAACCTACAGAATGGGAGAAAATTTTTGCAATCTACTCATCTGACAAAGGGCTAATATCCAGAATCTGCAAAGAACTTAAATAAATTTACAAGAAAAAAACCCCATCAAAAAGTAGGCAAAGGATATGAACAGACACTTCTCAATAGAAGACATTTATGCAGCCAACAGACACATGAAAAAATGCTCATCATCACTGCTCATCAGAGAAATGAAAATCAAAACCACAATGAGATACCATCTCACACCAATTAGAACGGCGATCATTAAAAATTCAGGAAACAACAGATGCTGGAGAGGATGTGGAGAAATAAGAACGCTTTTACACTGTTGGTGGGAGTGTAAATTAGTTCAACCATTGTGGAAGACAATGTGGCAATTCCTCAAGGATCTAGAACTAGAAAGACCATTTGACCCAGCGATCCCATTACTGGGTATATGCCCAAAAGATTATAAATAATGCTACTATAAAGACACATGCACACATACGTTTATTTCAGCACTATTCACAATAGCAAAGACTTGGAACCAACCTAAACATCCATCAATGATAGACTGGATTAAGAAATGTGGCACATATACACCATGGAATTCTATGCAGCCATAAAAAAGGATGAGTTCATGTCCTTTGCAGGGACATGGAAGAAGCTGGAAACCATCATTCTCAGCAAACTATCACGAGGACAGAAAACCAAACACCGCATGTTCTCACTCATAGATGGGAACTGAATAATGAAAACACTTGGACACAGGGCGGAGAACATCACACACCAGGGCCTGTCAGGCGGTGGGGGGCTGGGGGAGGGATAGCATTAGGAGAAATACCTAATGTAAATGACGAGTTGATGGGTGCAGCAAACCAACATGGCACATGTGTAGCTATGTAACAAACCTGCACGTCGTGTACATCTACCCTAGAACTTAAAGTATAATTTTAAAAAAAAATCAATGTAATTCACCATATTAAGAGAAAAAGGAAAAAACCATATGATCATCTCAGTAGATACAGATAAAGAGGCTAACTAAATCCAACATCCATTCGTGATTTAAAAAAAAAAAAAAGATCCTGGAAAACAAGGAATAGAAGGGAACTTTCTCAACCTTCTCAACCACATAAAAACTTATTTATGAAAAACAAATAGTTATTCCTATATTTGTCTATATTTTAAAAACAAGCCAAGTGAACCACTGAGTTAGTAAGCTCATAGGATACAAGATCAATATATAAACAAAAACTTTTTCTATATAGTAGTAATAAACTATTGGAAATTAAATGTTTTTAATATCAATTATCATAGCATCAAAACATGAAATACTTGGGAATAAACATAATACATACAAGATCTGTACACTGGAAACCACAAAATAATCTTGAGAGATATTTTTTAAATCCAATAAATGGAAAGAAATACTATGTTCATGAACTGGAAAATTCAGTATTATTAAATTGATCAACAGGTTCAACACAATCCCAATATAAATTCCGGCAGTCTTTCTCTTCTTGTAAAGATTGACAAGTTGGTTTTAAAATACTTATGTAAATGCAAAGGAACTAGAATAGCAAAGAAATCTTGAAAAGAAATTTAGGGACTCACATTGCCTGATTTCAAGATTTCAAGAGTGTGGTATTGACATAAATTTAGATATATAGATGAAAGAGATGGAATAGAGTTCAGAAATAGACACACAGAGAAATGGTCAATTTTTGCCAAAGGTGGCAAGGCAATTCAATGGAGAAAGAATAACATTTTCAAGAAACTGTACTAGAAAAATATACAAAGGAAATAAAAGATATTTACCTCACACTAGAATTCAGGAAAAATTGTTTTTGAAAAGGACCATACACCTACATGTAGGGGTTAAAACTATAAACACTGTAAAAGAAAAAACAGGATAAAGTATTGTGACCTTACATTAGGCAAGTATTTCTTACACAGAAAAACATATATTATACAAGAAAAAATAATTGAATTTTATCACTTTACTGTTCAAAAGCAATTAAAAAAAGCAAGCCATTATACATATACATATGTGTATGTATATGCACACATACATACATACATAGGTTAGTACAAAAACATGTATATCCTTGCTCTGTCAGCTGAGAGGCCCTATAAACAATGATACTCCAACGAGCACATCTAGGAACCAAGCTTTGGATTCAAATACTATTCTCCAATAAGGTAACCAGTATTCCTTGGAGAAATGGCTGATTCTAGGACTGAGGCAAGAAATGTACAAGGTAAGCCTGGCCGGGTGTGGTGGCTCACGCCTGTAATCCCAACCCTCTGGGAGGCCCAGACAGGAGAATCACTTGAGCTCAGGAGTTCGAGACCAGCCTGGGCAACACAGCGAAACTCCATCTCTAAAAAATAAAATACAAAAATTAGCCAGGTGTGATGGCAGGCACCTGTAGTCCCAGCTATTGAGCGGCTGAAGTGGGAGGATGGCTTGAGCCTGGGAGGCTGAGGTTGCAGTGAGCTGTGATCATGCCACTGCACTCCACCAGCCTGGGCAACACAGTGAGACAGCAACTGTCTCAAAAAAAAAAAATGAGCCTGGAGCATCTTATACTACCAGAAAGGAAGTGTTCAAAAATAAAAAAAAGAAATCATAATGATGGGGATATATCAAAGGGCCACAAGGGCCAACTGAAAGAGCTCCCAATGGCCAAAGCAGAAACAATTTGAGCAACAAAATAAATAAAGCAGTATTAGACTACAACTAAAAGGATAAAATGTAAATATCCATGAGTCCATACTGATATAAATTCATTACTGAATGAATAAATACATAAATAAATAGGAGGAAAAAGAAAATTTTTGCAAAAGAATTCCAAAAATATTAGTTACTCCATGCTCAAGAAGGTGAAGCAAAACTCCCCACTCCTTAAGTGTGAGGTACCTATACTGACTTCCTTCTGAAGAATACAGTATATGTGTAGAGGGAAAAAAGAATACCTTTAGAGTGGAAAAACCCAGCAAACACTACACTGTGTAAGGCATGTGATACAAGTCAACATCAACAGCGATAAGTCATGGTCATAATATGTACCCTTGATATCGTATGATGAGAATGACAATTTATCTCTAAGGTCTTCCACCTAAAAACCCATAACCCCATTCTTTTTTTTTTTTTTTTTTTTTTTTTTGAGACAGAGTCTCGCTCAGTTGCCCAGGCTGGAGTGCAGTGGCTCGATCTCCACTCACTGCAAGCTCCGCCTCCTGGGTTCACGCCATTCTCCTGCCTCAGCCTCCCGAGTAGCTGGGACTACAGGTACCCGCCACCATGCCCAGCTAATTTTTTTGTATTTTTTTAGTAGAGATGGGGTTTCACTGTGTTAGCCAGGATGGTCGTGATCTCCTGACCTCGTGATCTGCCCTCCTCAGTCTCCCAAAGTGCTGGGATTACAGGCGTGAGCCACCGCACCCGGCCACCCATAACCCCATTCTAATCATGACAAAAACATCATACAAATCTCAATTAAAGGAAACTCCACAAAACACTGGACTAGTATTCCTCAAACAGGTTATGGTCACAAAAAACAAGGAAAGTCTGAGAAACTGTCACAGCCAAGAGGAACCTAGAAACATGACAACTAAAAATGTAATGTGGTATCCTGGATGGAACCCTGGAAGAGAAAAAAGGCATTAGGCAAAAACTAAGAAAATCTGAACGAAGTATGGATGTCAGTTAATAATGTATCAATAAAGGTTCATTCATTATGACAAATGTACCTGCTAATTAAGATGCTAATTAGGGAAACTGGATATTAGCATATGAGAATTCTCTAAACCAGTGGTCCCCAACCTTTTTGGCACCACTGGGACCAGTTTTGTGGAAGACAATTTTTCCATGGATGGGGTGGGGAATGGTTTTAGAATGAAGCTGTTCCACCTCAGATCATCAGGCATTAGATTCTTATAAGGAGCATGCAACCTAGATCCCTCACATGTGCAGTTCACAATAGGGCTCCTGCTGCTATAAGAATCTAATGCCACCACTGATCTGACAGGAAGCAGAGCTCAGGCGGTAATGCTCACTTGCCCACCATTCCCCTCCTACTGTGTGGCCCAGTTCCTAACAGGCCACAGACTGATACCAGTCTGAGGCCCTAGGGTTACGGACCCCTGCTCTAAAATATCTTCACAATTGTTTTGTAAATCTTTAAACTGTTCTAAAATAAGTTTATTAAAGAAAAATGGGGCCAGGCATGGTGGCTCATGTCTGTAATCCCAACACTTTGGGAGGCCGAGGCAGGTGGATCACCTGAGGTCAGGAGTTCAAGACCAGCCTGGTCAACATGGTAAAACCCCATCTCTACTAAAAATACAAAAAGCAGCTGGGCATGGTGGCGTGCATCTGTAATCTCAGCTACTCTGGAGACTGAGGCTAGAGAATCGCTTGAACCCGGAGGGTGGAGGCTGCAGTGAGCTGAGATCACACCACTGCACTCTAGCCTGGGAGATAAATTAAGACTCCATCTCAAGAAAAAAAGAAAAAAGAAAAATGGGCCAGGCAGGGTGACTCACACCTGTAATCCTAACACTCTGGGAAGCCAAGGTGGGCAGACAGCTTGAATCCGGCAGTTCAAGACCAGCCTGAGAAAAATGGTGAAACTCAGTCTCTACAAAAAAAAAATACAAAAATTTGCCAAGCATGGTGGTACACGCATGTAGTCCCAGCTACCCTGGAGGCTGAGGTGGGAGGATCGATTGAGCCTAGGAGGTGGAGGCTGCAGTGAGCCATGATCATGCCACCACTCTCCAGCTTGGGAAACACAACAAGATCCTGTCTCAAAAAAATAAAAATAAATAAGTTTATTAAAGAAAAATCAAACCACAGTCTGGGAGAAATTTTATAAAACATATTATCTCTTAACGGACTTCTATCCAGAATTTATTTTTAAAAATCCATACATAACGCAGTAAGACAATCCAAAGTTTTTAAGGGGCAAACAGTTTTATATAGATTGCAAATAACACATGAAAACATGCTTAGCATCATTAGCCATAAAATGTCTCTTATTGATCAAACTCTATTCAAATTTCCCTGAACTACTTTTCAACTGGGCTAGACTTTTGGACTTCCATGTTTATCTCTGTACTGTTCAATTTTAATAAGAATCTTGCTAAATCAGTCTAACAAGATACTCCCACCCTTGATATCTGGTCACCCTCAATATTTAATCAGATTCCTCATTCTCCACCATCCCCCAAGTGACATCTGATCACTGTGGTCTGTCTCCAGCAAGAATTCTGTTAGGCCGATTTAGCTAGAATCTCCCCTTACCTGTGATGTTTCCTGTTAGTAATTTTCCATCCACTGACTCCTACCCAGTTTTTTAGCTATAAATTGTCACTTGTCCATGCTGTATTCAGAGTTGAACCCAATCTCTCTCCCTCACTGCAAAATCCCATAGCAGTTGACATGGTCTGGATGTTTTGTCTCCTTCAAATCTCGTACTGAAATGTGACCTCCAACGTTGGAGGTGGGCCTAGTAGGAGGTATCTGGGTCATGGGGGCGGATACTTCATAGAATGGCTTGGTGCTGTTCTCACAGTAATTAGTAAGTTTTCACTGTATGAGTCCATGTGAGATCTGGTTGTTTAAAAGAGCCTGCCACCTCTTCCCTCTCTTTCTTGCTCCCTCTCTCACCATGTGATATACCGACTCCTCCTTTGTCTCCTACCATTATTTTAAACTTCCTGAGGTCTCACCAGAAGCTGAGCTGATGCTGGTGTCATGCTTGTATAGCCTGCAGAGCCAAGAGCCAAATAAACCTCTTTTCTTTATAAATTATCCAGCCTCAGGTATTCCTTTATAGCAATGCGAAAGCAACTAATACAGCAGTGGTTCCTACAGCTATCACAATAGTTCCTCCCTTGAATAAAGTCTGCCTTACCACCTTTCACACGGGTCATAAATAATTTTTTCATTAACAGTAGCCATTAGGGAAATGCAAATTAAAACCACCAGATACCATTATATAACCACTAAAATGACTAAAATTTAAAAGATTGACAAAACTAAGTATTGGCAAAACTGCAGATCTGTGGAAATCTGAATGAATTATATATGTTGCTAGTGAGAACACAAATGGCAAATTGTTTAGCAGTTTTCTTTAAAGTTAACCATACACTCACCACAGACTCAGCAATTCTATTCCTAAGAATTTTATCTGTGAGAAATGAAAGCATATGTTCACATAAATTCACATAAAGTCTACATAAAGACATAATACATATATATATATATATATATATATATGTATTTCTTATACACCCAACAATATGGGTGAATCTCAAAAGCATTACGTGAGTTAAAGAAGCCAGTCACAAAAGATCACAAGTTCTATAATTCTATTTAGAATAAAATCTAGAAAAGACTGAACTATAGTGACAAAAAGCAGATAATGGTTGCCAGGGGCCACTGAGGGAGAGGATTCACTGTGGATAGGTATGAGGGAAATTTGAGAGTAATGGAAATGTTATACATCATGATTGTACTGGTGGTTACACAATTGTATATATTTGTCGAAACCCATCAAATTGTACACTTTACATTGATCAATTTTGTTGCATGTAAATTATACTCCAATAAAGCTGACAAAAAAGTAGTATACCTATTACTTGACATAAACTAATCAGCCTATATACTAACTTGCCCCTTATAAATAATAAAATCACTTTTGGAGGCTGAGACAGGAGGATCACTCAAGGTCGGCGGTTTGAGACCAGCCTGGGCACCACAGTAGGACCCCATCTCTCCAAAAATTTTTTTTTAAATAGCTGGGCATGGTGGTGCATGCCTGTAGTCCCAGCTGCTCGGGAGGGAGATCAGGGAGACTGCTTGAGCTCAGGAGCTCTAAGCTGCAGTAAGCTATGATTGCACCACTGCGCTCCAGCCTGGGCAACAGAGTGAGACCTTTCTCTAAAAAAAAATAATAATAAATTTAAATAATTTAAAATAATATACATAAACTTTTTAAGCGGTCATCTGATCTTCTGATGTAACTCATTTTGCGTAATTAATAATCATGTCCAGTAAGTAGCCAGTGCTCCTTTTAAAATCTGTCAGACTCTGTCACTCCTCTGTTCATAAACCTACAATGGTTTCCTAGCACACTTAGAATAAAATCCAAAGTCCTAATTTTCAACATTTACAAGGCCCTACATGATCTGACCCTTCCCTCCCTCTTCCAACTTACTCTCCGCATTCTTCTCTCTTACCACACTCCAGCCCACACTGCGATTCTGAGCACATCAAGAAAGCCCCTACCTCAGGGCTGTTGCATCTATTATTCATTCATTCCTTTGAGATGCTGAGTTTGGTGAGAGATTTCTAGTGAAAGAAGAGGGCCCATAAATATAGACTGCATGTGTGTGCGTGCGTGTGTGTGTGTGTGTGTGTAGATGCATTACATGTATGTATAAATACCTGAGGTCCCACAGTGATTAGTATTATAAAGAAGAATGAAGTGGAATATGAAGGGACAGTGGGTACTTTTCTCTCTGAACAAGAACTCCCTTCCCCAACATCTTCACATGGCTTTCTCCCCCATTTCATTCATGTCTCTGTTCAAAAGTCAGCTTTATCAGAGAGTGCTCCCCTTACTGACTCATCTAGAATAGCATTTCCCCAGCCATTCCCAACATTCTCTTATCTCTATTTTATTTTTCTTTATGGCACTTTCCGCTACCTGACAGTATACATAATTTTTGTTTGTCTACCCCTCCAAATAGAATGTAAGACCCTTAAATATAAGAATTTGTCTTTTTAGGCTGGACGCGGTGGCTCACACCTGTAATCCCAGCACTTTGGGAGGCTAAAGTGGGCAGATCACGAGGTCAGGAGATCGAGACCATCCTGACTAACACGGTGAAACCCCGTATCTACTAAAAATACAAAAAATTAGCTGGGCGTGGTAGTGGGCGCCTGTAGTCCCAGCTACTCGGGAGGCTAAGGCAGTAGAATGGCGTGAACCCAGGAGGCGGAGCTTGCAGTGAGCCGAGATCACGCCACTGCACTCCAGCCTGGGCGACTGAGCGAGACTCCGTCTCAAAAAAAAAAAAAAAAAAAGAATTTGTCTCTTTAGGTGCTATATCCCAATATGTAAGGCAATGCCTGGCACATGGCAGGTAGGTAATCAATAAGTATTTGCAGAATGAATGAACAGCAGTTAATTATAACTAGATATAAACAGAGTAATTATTGTGAGCTATAACCCCTTAAGCAAGCTGATACTTATTAATTCTTACAGGTTGCTCCTATAGAGAAATGTCAGGAAAATGTAGTGGAGTGCTAAGAATCTAATCTTTTCAAGATTAAAACAAGAGAAATTAAACAAACTTAGGCAACAGTATTTTCTGTTTCTAAAAAATGGAATTCTAAAACCAAAATATATTTTAAACTTATTCATAACTTTTCAAGGAGACATGGCTTTAAGAAGTGAGATGCCCTTTGACTAACCAACCCAGCAAAGAGAGGGCAGAAAGGCCAACAGGCAAGTCAGGAGCTACTCTCCCACCACGACATGGAAACCCTTTCCTATTAATGAAATTTTGGAACCCCAAGCCAAGGCAAAGATCTGCAAAGTATTACTCTTTCACTATAAACCACAACTTGTATTACCCATTTAATGTCCTTTGCTGAAGGCATAAAATAATATAAGAACTGTTTGCAAGGCTCCAGGGTATACTGCATCTCTGAGGATCTATTATGAGACCTCTATTAACAGCTCTTACAGATGCAAACAATTTAGTTTTCAAATATTGTACAAAAACTAGACTGGCACATTATAAAATCATTTTTATATAAAATGATTTATGTTTGTCCAATTTCCAATCTTCCTTTAACGAGAAGTCAGACATTAACAGGAAATTACTAATATGTTAGTACTCACACTCTGTCGCTCAAGTGCAAATTCAACAAACACATCATTAGATACATGAAATAAAGTAGAATATATAACTCTTGTTGAAAATTGAATGTCCTATCAAAATCATTTTAATTGAGTTTGTGACCAGCCCGGCCAACATGATGAAATGCCATTTCCACTAAAAATACAAAAATTAGCCAGGCGTGATGGCAGGTGCCTGTAATCTCAGCTACTCAGAAGGCTGAAGCAGGAGAATCACTTGAACCTTGAACCTGGGAGGCAAAGGCTTTAGTGAGCCAAGACTGTACCACTGCGTACTCCAGCTGGGCGACAGAGCAAGACTCTGTCTCAAAAAAAAAGAAAAATCATTTTAATTACTAACTTCATTGATAAGCAGATACCTTTAACCTTCTAAAGCTGAGAAAGGTGGGGAAAAAGCTTTCGAAATGAACTTTCTTGCATCTTTTTAAAAGAGTTACAAAAACAGGATATGTACTCCATGTCATTATACTCTTTTTCAAACTAACACTAGTAAAACTTGTACAATATGCCTATCTTAGCTAGCACTATTCTAAGAATTACTAATTTTCTGGTATCCCAACATCAGTTTTCATTTACAGGATGAATGGAAGCCAATGAAACTGTATTACTGACTGAAAAAATCATTTGGGGAATTTTTTTTTGTTTAGTTGCCAATTAAGCTCAAATTTTCAAGAATTGGATGGTTAAAAGATTTCCAATTTAGATTCCTCTGTGGTAGCACAGGTTAAGAGTCATTAATTCAACAAATATTTATTGGACACCATTGTACCAGGCAAATCTTTTCTGTAAAGGGCAAGATATATTAACTAGTTCAGGCCTCGTGGGCCACATAGACAATGCTACAACTACTGAGCTCTGCCACTGTAGCACAAAAGCAGCAATAGAAAATACACAAATGAATAAGCATGGCTGTGTTCCAATAAAACTTCATTTATGGATACTGAGATATGAATTTCATATACTTCTCTGGTGTCATGAAATATTATTCTTCTTTTGATTTTGTTTCAACCATTTAAAAAAGTGAAAATCATTCTTAGTTTGCAGGCCATTCAAAACCAGGCATCTGGCCAGATTTGGCTTTCTGGCCATAGTTGGCCAATCCTTGATCTAAACCACGGGGATATAGCAGTGAACGAAACAGAAAAACATTCTTACCTACATGGAGCCTCAATTCTAGCTAAGGGAGACAAACAATAAGAAATTAAATACATTAGATAACATGTCAGATAGCAGTAAACACGAGAGTGAAAAAATAAAACAGGTAAGCAATAGGAGTACTGGGGATGGTCAGAGGGCTTTTATTAAAAAGAAAACTATAGCAGTAGTTACAATTTATTTATCATTTTTTTGGACATAATTTCAGACTTATAGAAAAGTACGATAGTCTAGTATCTAGACTATATAAAGAGCTCCAAATTTCAATAACAACCCAAAAAATCAATTTGAAAATGGGCAAAAAACTTGAACAGACTCAAATAAACATTTCTACCAAAAAGATACACAAATGGCTACAGGAACATTAATATATCCAATATCATGATCATCAGCGAAATGAAAACCAAAACTACAAAGATTTTACTTCACATCCACAAGGACAGTTATGACGACAAAAACAGAAAATAGTAAGTGCTAACAAAGATGTAGAAAAAATTATAACCTTGCATATTGCTGCTGGAAATGCAAAAAGGGTTCATTCAGTTACCATGGAAAAAGGTTCAACAAAAAGTTAAACACAGGCCAAGCGCGGTGGCTCACACCTGTAATCCCAGCACTTTGGGAGGCCAAGGAGGGCAGATCACTCGAGGTCAGGAGTTCAAAATCAGCCTGGCCAACATGGTGAAACCCCATCTCTACTAAAAATATTTTTAAAAATTAGTCGGGCATGGCGGTGGGCGCCTATAATCCCAGCTACTGGGGAGGCTGAGGCAGGAGAATAGCTTGAACCTGGGAGGCGGAGGTTGCAGTGAGCTGAGACGGCGCCATTGCTCCAGCCTGGGCAACAAGCGCAAAACTCTGTCTCAAAAAAAAAAAAAAAAAAAAAAGTTAAACATAGAATTAATTACCATATGACCCAGCAATTTCACTTCTAGGTATATACCCAAAAGAACTGAAAAAAGTTACTCAAATACCTATACAAGAGTATTCATAGCAACACTATGCACAATAGCCAAAAGGTAGAAACAACCCATATGTCCATCAATGAATGAATGGATTTGGAATGAAACAAACTGTGATAGATACATGAATAATGTTGAATACTGCTCCTCCAAAAAATGAAGTACTGATACATGCTACACTGTGAACAAACTTTAAAAACATTATTCTAAGCGAAAAAAGCCAGACAGCAAAGGCCACATAAATGGCATGATTCTATCAATATAAAATATCCAGAAGAGGTAAATCCATGGACAGAAAGCAGATGGGTGGTCCACAAGGGGGAAAGGATAAAAGAATGAAGAGCAACTGCTTGATGAGTATGAGGTTTCCTTTGGGGAGATAAAAATGTTTGGAACTGAAAGTGGTAGTTGCACAACACTGTGAGCATTTTAATGCCATGGGATTATGCATTTTAAAATGCTTCATTTTGTATTCTAAGAATTTCACTTCAATTTAAAAAGGCAGACACAAAAGAATACATAATATATGATTCCATTTACATGAAGTTCTAGAACAGGCAAGACTAATATATGGCAATAGAGGTCAGGACCAGTGTTACCCTGAGGTGACTGAAGGGGGCACAAGGGGCCTTCTGGAGGGCAGAAATGTTCCGTTTGCTGATCTGGGTGCTAGTGACACAAGGCCGGCCATGTTCACTCTGAAAAAAATTCATGAAGCTGTCCCCTTAAAATAAATGTGTATAGTTTTCCATATGTATACTATACACACAAGAAAGCTTTGAAACTATAAAATTTTCAAAATAAGATTGCAAATTTTTTAAAAACTGTTACCATTGTGAATTAAAGGGTCCAAAGGATCTCTCAGTATTATTTCTTATGCCTGCATGTATCCACAATTAACTTACAAAGTTTTTTTTTTAAAGAGTCAAAGAATTAAAATTCCAGACTCTCATCCCCAAAGATTCTGGTCCAGGTCATGAGTTGAAAGCTAGGGAATCATCATTTTTTAAAATAAGCTACCTCCAACAATTCTAATCCAGCCCTCACCTTGAGAAACTCCAGTGTAAATGAACTCCGTCAGCTGCTTAACTTCATATTCTCCATGAACCACATCTGGAGGGGGCTTGTAAAGGCATCTATTGCAACAGCACAGAGGATATTGGGAGTAAAAAAGCTACAAATGATCCATGAGAGGCTACAAAAGCTAACCACTCTGGGGCTAGGATTCAACCCTGGAAAAAAAATTAGATGGACTGGAGAAAAGTTAATAAAATGGGAGACAGTCAATGGTAAATAGACATAGAAACCTTTCTGGGCAATCATCACAAAGACAGCCATAAATATTATCCACAAAACAGCAATTTTTCTTATGTTTTCCATTAAGATGTAATGCAATCAAGATAAATGATGTTGGAAGCTAAATATCCTTTAGGAAGTTATCAGGACAAAGTGTGAAAATCAGTGCAGTATGCTTGGACTTTCAGTACGTTCCTTCATCACAAACAGTAAAAACAATATTTCACTCCTGGGACTAAAAGTAAATAAACAATTTGGTTCAACCTTATTTGGGTCACCGAGGTTTTTGATCTGCTTTAGCTTCAGGTCAAAAATTTTAGAGTGATATACTTTGGTATTAGTTCAAATTGTTTCAATGAGGAATTTTTTTGAAAAGTCTAGTTTGATTTGAAGCTCATTTTCAAAATAAAAGTTAATATTTAAGTCCAATTCCTATTCTGAAAAATTAAATCAAAGCTCATTCCGGCTTTACTATTAGTTTGGTAGAAATCCCTATTACAACAATTCGCAGCCTCTAGACCATTAAATTAATGACCATTAAACCATACATTCATTTCCCTGGCCCTTGCAACAAGACAAAAGCTAATAATCTCTGTCCAAGACTTATTTCCAGCTATACCTTAAAATGATATACAGTGCTACAAAAGCTCCTACACTCAAAAGAACCAGCTGTCACTTAGCTCTGGGAGATTGTAGCCCTGGGAGAATGCATGCTCCATGTGGCCAGATCTCATTTTTGCCAAGATAATTTAGAAGTCCAGATGCTTATATTAGTCTCCTCATTTTTACATGTTGACAACAAATTCCAGTTTTTAAAAGCTAGTCTATGGGCCAATCAACACGCATCTGTGAAATGTCTCTTTTGCAATCTCTGGCCTACATCACTTTGTAAGATTAAGAAGGTCTCAAGCTTCTTCAGATGCAAAATCTAAGCTTGCGTAAATCTTCAGTTTTCCATACAATACAGGTTTCAGGCAAAATAGCTCTTTGACACAAATGACAGTCCTAACAACAAATTTTATTATCATGCTTAAATATTTAAAATATTGAATTACCTCTTGCTACTTAAAGAAACAATACAGAAGTAACCTGTACTGCAGTCTACCAAGTGTCAACTCACCTTTACTAAAAAGAGCCAGATTAGTGGTCAGAAATGCTGCATATCTTCTGATTATAACAAATAAAATTTGTAATACCTTTTTCCTTCTCCAAAACGAGTCAGATGAGCTTTCTACTCAGAGTCCACAGGAAGTCATGGTATTTTTCTCAAATACCAGAAAACTAATAAAATATCATGGTATTTTTCTCAAATATCATTAGTATAGACAACTTCATCTACAACTTTACCCAGTGGTAAACTGCCTATCAAGACAAAACATGATAACCTTTTTAGAACTAGTAATTTGTAGCAAACACACACACACACACACACACACACACACACACACATTCCCCATACACAGAAGCGCATGGGAGGTGGGGCTATAATGTTCAGGTAACATGCAAAAATGGCAAAGATATAATCAGGTAAAATAATTATAGGATAATGAGAATCTATCTATAAATCAGATAACCAGCCCCCACATAGGGAAAAGTTGACTCTTCCATTCCCACTATGAACATTAACGACTTCAAGATCAAGAAAGTAGGCACATGACATAAAATAAGTATTAAATTTTGAAGAAATCCTGGCATTCAGATGGACAGGGTTTACGGAAGAAAAATTCTCTGGTAAACACAGAAACAGTAACAAGATAACCAACTCAGATATCTGTTCAAGTACCCTGCCCAAGAAATTAAAATTACTACATCCAGGACTTGCCCCTCCATCTTCTCTCCCAGCACGCCCATTCACCATTTCTCTGCACTTATTTTAGGATATAGAGGATGGGTTTGAAGGATGTAAATCTATCAATTATACTGCACTTTGTTCAGTTCTGGAAAAAATGCTCAATGAAAAGAAGGTAAAACTATGGCAAAACTTTTTTTATTAGTAATAAATTTAACTGTGTTAACCTTGTTTTCCATGACAAAATAATTACAGAATATGGACAATAATAGAGATCTGCAACATAGAAGCCACAAGAGGATTAATAATTCCTTCTAAGTTTTGGTATAGTATTGATCTAAAAAGCAGAATTTTCATAACTGCAGCTAATTGGAAGTCACATTATTTATTATCATGGGACTACAGAAAGCAAGGTCAGAAAGAAGCTAGACTTATCATCCAATTTAATATCCAGTTTGCAAGTAGTTGCTAACTACAGCTTAAAATATTTCCAGGGAAGTTATATATCCATGTGAATATGAACGTGTTGTGCCGAAAACACAGAAAACATGCAGTTCCCATATAGCAGAGGGTGATCTGCCATTATAAACACTCTTAAGTCAATGCTTGTATAGGAAAATTAGCAGATATTTGCAAATTCATTTTCGGGTCACTGAAAATTAAAGCCAGAAAGCCTATTTTCATCCATGTATTGAAAAAAAGGCACATGAGATTATTTCTGTAGTGATGCTGCCTGTTCTTAGACTTATTCTTAGTCACATATGAACATTTTCACCCAAATACTGGCCAATTATAAACAATTAAGACATGCATTACTGAGCTATATATTATTATGTTTGAGGCTGTAGCCAATTGGCTACAGCCAATTAATATTACATTTATAAAGAGTAAAAAGTTCAAGAATTAATGAACTTTAACCAATAAGTTTCAGCAGAGTTAGCCACAAAACACTTTTATTAGGCCCAAATGAAGTATCTTTCATTCATTAATACAGAACCTCAGGGCATACTTGCAAATCAGAGGTTCAATTATCTTAAAAAAAAGTTCCTAAGGAAACAAAAAACTTTCCATTTTTGTTCTGTAAACTGCTCCTAAACAACAAGGTATTCTTTCTTTTTTGGCATTCTCTTTTCTCCCTATCTCAGGACATATTTACAGATGCACTGGCTGCTTTACAGACATGCTAAAAGTTCTTGCTGCAGTTGATCAAAGTTGGAATGTCTGAGGAAATTACTCAACTTAGACAGCCTGGAATTATATCTAGCCAAATAGAGCACTCTACTTTCAACATGTGTTAAAGTAATATTTTAGCTATCCTGGATGTAAGTTGAGAGAACATTTGTTTGCATCACATTCTGTGAACACTTGAGTCAAACATAGTATGTTGAATACCAGGTTTTAGTATCTGTGACAGTTCATTTTTTTAACTATTCAATTTACAAAAGACAACATACTTCATTTAAAAAAAAAAACCCTCACACAACAACATACGTAGTAGAAACTAAGGCTTTTTATGATCTTCTTTAAGTGCCCAAGCTTTTCTGGAAATGTCAGAAAAAATTGAACCAATGTTAATATTTGTTCATTAGAGCATTTGTTAATCTGACATAAAATATTCTGTCCAAAAATGGAAACTTTACTTTTTCTTGCACTGCCCACTATGAGCTCAAGATATTTTTATTATTTAAAATATTTTCACAAAAAGGCACTGCACATCTGCACTCACCTCCTTTCTATTACTAATCTGCCTAATTTACAAGGGCACATACAACATAATTAAGCAGAAAAATGACATCACAACAGTTTTCACATTTTTTAATTGAAAGCCACATAATTACAGTACAGTTACTTGTCAAAAACATAACACAAATCTCTAAAATAGAATATTGGCTTCAATAAACTTTCACATTTGAAATAGTTTTAAACTTTGTTTTAGTTGGATTCTTTATGATGTCCAGGAAGAGGTTAGTTAGCACACACAGTACCTGAAATTGTCCTTTCCACATGAGCTAAAACAGAAAAGACAAATGTAGCTGTTTCTCCAGTACTACCAAATTTGGCAGCCACTTATACTTCCCTTCAACCTAAATAATTATACCTTTTAACCATATTGACAATAATATGGAAACATCACTCAAGAAGAACCTAACAGACCATGGAATTATAATAATTTAAACCATCCTTTTATCAAATGACATGGTCAGAACTGGAGAGGAAAGAGGGATACTAGTAACTTTTAAGTCCTCTACTAAGCTTTTTTTAATAAAAAGACTTCCAACCCACTAGAAAACGTTGCTTACATTTGCACATACTCCAGAAAAGGGAAACATAAATAAATTCCCCACTCTGAATGTGTTATAGTGTTGATGTCCTGTGTTACAGTACATGTGTGTCATGAACTGTCAGGAAATGTGTACACCATGCAGGAGGCTGGACCCTGAGTGAGAATGACTGCCAGTAAAAACTACCTGGCAATGGGAATGGCCAAAGAACTTCTGTCAAATGTCTAAGATTCAGCTTTAAGCTGATTTCTATAGTGAGGTACAATCCTTCATTATTCTAACACTTAGGTAATGAACACATGAAAGAAAGAGAGAGAGGAGAGCAAGATTTAGAATCTTGATGAGAATCTGGTTTTTTTTTTTTTTTTTTTTGAGACACAGTCTTGCTCTGTCACCCAGGCTGGAGTGCAGTGGCACAATCTCAGCTCACTGCAAGCTCCACCTCCTGGGTTCATGCCATTCTCATGCCTCAGCCTCCCGAGTAGCTGGGACTACAGGCACCCGGACTACACCCAGCTAATTTTTTGTATTTTTAGTAGAGACGGGGTTTCACCGTGTTAGCCAGGATGGTCTTGATCTCCTGACCTCGTGATCCGCCCGTCTCGGCCTCCCAAAGTGCTGGGATTACAGGTGTGAGCAACTGTGCCAGGCCGAGAATCTTAAAAATTATGTAACTTAAGTTTCTTCCTCATTCTTTTCCAGATTCTGAATAAAGGGGCGGGTTTGAGAGATGGAAAAAAAACTTAAAATCAAAAGGTAGTCTTTGAAATTAAACACCATCATACCAGCCTGTGATTTTCCAAACATAGAAAAATCTTATTAGCCTACATCCTTCATTACCAAGAGCAAAACAGACAAAAACAGTAGATGTTAAGGTATAAACCTGATGCCGCAAATGACACAGATCCAAACAAACACAAATACACATACACACACACACACACAATCATTCAAAAATCACAACACTATAAATCCTAGGACCAATGAATCTAATTAAATCCCTTTTGTGTAATATTCCTATTAATATAGGACTAGAAGACATTTTACACTCAAAAATCCAAAAGTCTAAATTGTTTCCACGTAGTCAAAACACAGGATTTCCACTAACTACACCACGCTACCATATATGGCTTTAGGTAGCTCAAAACTGAATTCCAAAATGAAGTATATTTTTGAGAGTAACAACTCCCAGAGAAAAACAAGGGCATACATAGAGAGTTCCATGCTCCTCAGGAACTGCTAGGTCTGATCTTGGACCCTCTCTTCTACTAGATTCAGCCAGGATGAATATATCTGATGAGATCCACATACCTCATCAAGAAATGGCCGGAAAAGCCTAAAATCATTTTTCATGTTCCCATTACTACAAAGTAAAAGCATGATAAGCTCTATACTTAAGTGTTTTGACTTGGTCAAAAGCTAACACCGGGTTTGCTACCATGTAAAATTAATCTAGAATGTAATCATTGATTCCGTTTTCTTTTTATTCTTTAAAAAAAAAAAAGGGCAGTTGGGGAAGAAATCACTGCTTTTCCATTAAGCAGGTACTTTGTGCTAGAGAGCATGTGTCATTTCTAGGGTCTCAGAAAAAGAACGGATGTATCTATGTGTAAACACAAACAGTAAGTTACAAGTTGCCCCTTAGTACTAAAGGCAAGAATCAGCATCAGTACTCAAAAAAGTGTTTTAAAAAGAGTGTAACTTACTTTTACTGTCCCAGGCTAAATGGGCTCTGTCTGGTGCTTCTTTGTCTGCACATGGCCACCCACAGCCTGTCTTCTAATTAAATCA
Organism: Homo sapiens; assembly: GCF_000001405.40. NCBI lineage: Eukaryota > Metazoa > Chordata > Mammalia > Primates > Hominidae > Homo > Homo sapiens. The sequence continues at coordinate 13,616,942 of NC_000020.11, forward strand.
ATGCTCTAGCAGCAGAACAAGCAAACAAGTTGCCTCCCATCTGCGTACAGCTCTTCAGGATACATTTCCCTTGTTCAGAAGGTGGAAATTCTTGGGAGAGGTGATTTTCTCTGCCTCTTCACAAGAAGGACATGGATACTTGGCTGGATGCAACTCCATGAAGTGTAACTGTGTGTGTACACCTCAAAAAATAAAACAAAAAATGCAGAGAAACATAAAGACTCCATAAACAGCTGGAATACACAGAAATACTGAAGCACCACTGGGAATACTGCTAAACAGACAGGCAAAATAGGGTCTTTGAAATAATCAATAATACCAAGTAAAGAAAAAAAACAGGAAAAAAGAGCACCTAAGGTCAAAACTCAAATTTCATGCAATGAAAACATTGTAAGTACTACAAAAGAAAAAAGGTAAATCTTCTACTTCACATACATAGAAACACATCCCACTCCCCTTACAGAGAATAAAAGATATTATCAATGGAAGAAAAAAATGAGATTTTCAAGGGTGGTAGGTCTAAAATTAGACTCACCAGCCACATCATAGTTAATGAGCACTTACGTAAATGTGAGCTAAATGCATCAAGCTGTCTTTCCAGTGTGGTCAGCTCTACTGGGGGGCAGGGGGCGCTGGGGAAAGAGCAAGGGACCACTCTGCTTATGAAAATATAATTTCTACAAAAAATAAAAATGTACAGGAAACTGGAGATGCTCGTTTATTTAAATAATTTTAAACTTCCCAAATAACAAAAATGACCTTAAAGCAGATGCCCCTCCTTTTCTGCAATAAAAACCAACTGACTGAAGTAGGGTAGGGAGCAGGGTGTGGTTAAGCATCTGCTCACAAGAAAACTTGTTATAAGTTTGGTGAGGTGAAAAGGGAAATTATCGGCCCTTCCCAATGTCCCCTTCCATCCTAGGTATGCCCATATGCCATCAGGAAGCCACACCATCTCCATGACCACTAGGCATTTCAAGGACTGGCAGGCCTTAGAAGTTTCTTCTATCCCCCTGAGGCACACAGACAATTCCAGCCAGAAGTATAGAGCCCAGGGAAGAGAATATGGCCTATTCCTGCAGCTGCACAAGAGGCCTGGGCTGGGGTCCGCTCACAATGAACTACTCAAGTGTGACCAACATTCCCATTCTGGAGATCCCTGCCTGCCTTAAAGAAATGAAGAGCTAGCTGGGCACGGTGGCTCACACCTGTCATCCCAGCACTTTGGGAGGCCGAGGCGGGTGGATCACTTGAGGCCAGGAGTTCGAGACCAGCCTGGGAAACATGGCAAAACCCCATCTCTACTAAAAACACAAAAAAAATTAGCCAGGTGTGGTGGCGCACGCCTGTAGTCCCAACTACTCAGGAGGCTGAGGCATGAGAATCATTTGAACCCGGGAGGTGGAGATTGCAGTGAGCCAAGATCATACCACTGCACTCCAGCCTAGGCGACAGAGCAAGAATCTGTCTGAACAACAGCAAAAAAAATGTAGAGATACAGACAAATGTATAACAGTATTATACATAATAATATAAATATATAATGAAAATACCTACTTTCTTTCTCTTACATACCAAAATATCAGTCACCTGAATAAGTTATTCTTAAAGGACTTCCCTAGAGTTTACAAGCAAGCAATATTTGTATTACACAGAGATCCAAGACAATGAACTGTTTTTAACAGAATGACTAAAAACTTGGCCCAATATAATCTCCCCTATAAACACTAAAGCATTTGGACAAGAAACGAGTTTTAACCATGAATTAGCATCTCCCCTGACCATAGGGAGCTTTAAAGCATGAATCAAGTGAATAAAAAACTTCACAGTCCATTTTTAATAACAGAAGTTCAACAAAAGATTTTTAACAAAGGAACCTGTATAATTTGCCTTTTACTATATAAAATGTAAAAGCTATTCCTATCACTATTCTTTTTTTTTTTTTAGACAGAGTCTCACTCCGTAGCCCAGGCTGGAGTGCAGTGGCACAGTCTCGGCTCACTGCCAACCTCTGCCTCCTGGGTCCTGGTTCAAGTAATTCTCCTGCCTCAGCCTCCCAACTAGCTGGGATTACAGGAACGCGCCACAATGCCCAGCTAAATTTTGTATTTTTATTAGAGACGGGGTTTCACCATATTGGCCAGGCTGGTCTTGAACTCCTGACCTCATGATCCATCCGCTTCGGCCTCCCAAAGATCCGTCCACTTCGGCCTCCCAAAGTGCTGGGATTACAGGCATGAGCCACCGTGCCCGGCCCCTATCACTATTCTTAATACACAGTATTCTACCTACCAAAATAATCAGTTTTCAGAATGAATTAACCAAACTTTCTCAAAGGTTACAACAAGATCTTCAAAACCTCTGCCAAATTCATCAGTTTTCTCACAAAAGATTATAAATTACCTTCCAAAAGTCTGTCGTTCATATTTCACCTATTATTACTCATTAGACTTTTTTAAACCAGGTCTTCATACTTTATAAGAAAAACACCAATGTGCAAAATGAGCTTCAGGCAGTATTTTATAAATAGTTCATTTTCTATCAGAATCCATGAAACACTTTCTACTTTAGAAACAATCCTAAGAAAATGGTAGCATCATGACTCACCCAGTTCTATATCCAATTTTCTCAAAAAAGAAATTCACATCACAAGTTACACCATGTGAAATATGCAAAATTATGGTCCAGAATCTTAAATCCACGTCACTACTTGATCCAAAACTATTTCAAAGGCAGCCAAAAAAGCAACTGTCATCCAAATGTATAGTCCCAAATATGAAGACCAAATTCTTTCACAATATTAATCTTCTCTGCTGTGAGTGAAACCAGAGTTGTACCATCCAGTGAACAGAATTCACTTTCTCATCAGTTATTAAGATAATCTCAAAAAAGCTATATGAAACAACAGGAATGAATCGATTTACCAATAAATCATTAAAATATGATCTATAAACTGACCTTTCCATTTTCTTCCCTGCATTTTGAAGATAAACAAAATATATTTTGGAGTAATATCATTTGCATTTCCACACTGCAGAAAACCTCTCATACAGAAGCAGCCACCTTCCCTCCCAAAACTCTAAAGGAAGAAGGTGGTCAATTTAATAGATAGGAACTTTTGCACCCGCCCCTCCTTTACTTAAATGAAGAAAACACCTCATTCTGGTGTCCAGAAGTGACAGTCTTAAGATGACATCATTTGTCTGCAGTGGTGGTAAAGAAAAATAAAACCACACAAAATTATCAGTCTCTAAGAAAAGCTAAAAAATGATATGTCTGCATAATTCCCTTTACTCTGTGTGTGTGTGTGTCTCTGTGGTATTTACACACACACACACACACACACACACACACACACATACATATACACATATTTCTTTTGCCTTGTCTCTTCCTCTTCCCCATGCATGGAGTTAAGAACGGTGTACTTTTCACTATTTGGGAAAATACAAATTATCACATTTTTTAAATATACAGCCAGATACACTTTCTAGGCAATAAAGACCATTAGAACATTTCAGTCATTTCAATCCACAATTAGTATTTAAGGAATTCACATCAATTTCAATATCTGCCTAAGTAATAATATAACGGGCAAGTTTTTAAAATATGTTTATGTATTGTTTCCTTAAGCTCAGTGGCAAGAACATCATTTTTTAAATCAAAAAGTATATCCCAAAGTCTAAAGAGAAAAGAACAATGACTGTTTGCATCTGTTCAATAATCCAGACATGACTTAACTGAATAGACTGACCAAAACTAAAGATAAGTGTTTATTCTCAAATTAAATATAACACATTGTTAATACAGCTCTCCAGAATTTTTCTCAGCACTTTTCAGTATTCTGAAAGGACTCAATACTGCTACTTATATTTCTCTAAGTACAGCAAATACTAGAATCCAATCTTCTTACATCTTTCCATTGACCCAAGCTATTACAATACTACCCCAACTGAACTCCATCTGAAAACCTATCCTGTTTTAAGGTAATGAATCACAATTATTCAAGGTGAGAGAAACTGCAGGGGGAAGTATAAGCATGATTTCCAACATACTTCTTAAGATTTAGGAAAATTCTTCCAATTAGTGTAAGCTTAACCTTAAACTATTAACATATATTTCATTCAAAGAGTCCATAGAAAAGTTAATTGTTAGATAATTAATTGAAATTCTTCCACAAATTTAATAATTACAAGTTGAGGCCAGGCACGGTGGCTCATGCCTGTAATCGCAGCACTTTGGGAGGCCGAGGTGGGTGGATCACCTGAGCTCAAGAGTTCAAGACCACCCTGGTCAACATGGTGAAACCCTGTCTCTACTTAAAAAAAAAAATACAAAAATTAGCCGGGTGTGGTGGTGCATGCCTGTAGTCCCAGCTACACGGGAGGCTGAGGCACAAGAATCACTTGAGCCTGGGAGGCAGAGGTTGCAGTGAGCCAAGATCGCACCACTGCACTCCAGCTTGGGCTACAGAGTGAGAATCCATCTCAAAAATATATATATAAAAAATAAAATAACTAAAAGTTGAGGTGTGGGATGTACTAAAGTCACTTGGGGAAGAATTCTATGCTACCATTATCCTTATGACTTATTCCAAGCAAAAATAATAGAACAAGAAATTTTTTTCCTTTAAATTCATATCCACATTCTTAAAAAAACACAAGTTATCCGAAACTGTAAGTCCACCTACTCAGGAGAAACTCATTATTTCAAAATGTATTTTTATCATTTTTAAGTATAAATAAGTAAACCCCTTAAAAGTAGGATTCAACACTAGGGGAAAATAGAATGAAATAGTAAACATGATATATAAGTATGACTTAGGAAAATTAAAGTTATTCTAAGATGAAAAGAGAAACTTAATTTTATTCAGTTTTGCATTCATAGTTGCCATTCTAGTATATTCTCCAGATACTCATTAACCTTCTTTCCCAGACCTACAGTGACTCCATGAAAGTAATTTTCAACTAACAATTGAACTAGTTAAGTTAGATGAAGCCCTCTTTGTGTGTCTGTTTTGAGTAAAGGTAACATTTGGTGGTAAATACATCTATCTTCTTTCTTATGTCATTTTTCTCCTCTTATCCTCAACATATAATTAACCTTTCTTTGATGCTGTAAAACTTGTCATTAATAGTTGCCATAAATATTCATCTCATACATACCATTTCCAAAGCACCTCATAACTGTAATAATTGCTAACAGTTATGGGGTGCTTACTACGTACCACACACTGTTCTAAGAGACTGTCATGTATTAGGCATATACTAACTCAGTTTATCTTCACAACTCCATGAAGTGGGAATTACTATCCTCATAAATAGGGAAACTGAGTCAAGGACAGACTGTGCCACACCCACGGACACATGGCTAATGACTGGTAGAGCTGGTATGAAATGTATCAGTCATATCAGGAGGGCATCACACATCCCCATGTCAGATTCAATAGAACTAGGTGCCCACCATATACTTTCACCTTCCTTGACTACATTAGGACCAATCTGAGAAATTAAAATCTACAAAGCATGATCAAAAGCTCAGGTCCACAATTAAGCAAGAGAATATACAGAAAGCTCAGGTCCACAATTAAGCATGAGAATATACAGAAAACACGGCTAGGACTAATGGTAAACACCTGGGCAATTTTCACAAGGAAAGGCATGAAAGGGTAAGTGCCTTGGTATGAGAGCCTAAATACAAGGGCCACAACCCAGTCAACCTGGAAATGTCGACTTTATCATCTCCTCCCTCAAACTCATCATTGTTTTTGTCATCATGTCTTACTTGATTCCCTAAGTAGTATTCTCAACCAGAAAAATATTTTTCACAATAATCCTCTCAACTGATTGACACAAATCTATCTTCTCCAAGTTTGAGCAGCAAGTCGATCTTCTGAAGACCTCAATATCCCCTGCACAAATTCATCAAGGTTCCAAATCAAGAGAACTGAGAGAACCTCACTCTAGAGTATAAAAAATTATGGCAAACGTGAGAGCCTCCCCACTCAATTATTCGATGTCCACAGTAAACTGGGGACAAACCTAACCATAACACTGGGACAAGGCACACTTCACAGCACACAATTTCAGGGTATATATCTAACTGTTAGGTTCGTGAAGAATCTTCCCCTTCTACTTTAGGCACTTCTAGACAGTTGGAATTTTTCTTTTATTTTTAAACAACAGAATATACATCACTTTTTGGGGGTTAACTTCAAGGATTTTCCTACTGAAAATGGGAAACTTAAGTATCCAATCCTTAACTTTTGTATTCATGAATCTCACAAAAAAAAAAGAAAAGAAAGGAATTTAACCAGCTTTTATATTACTCAGAAAAGTCACCAATGAAAACAACAATATCATAGGCTTCTTCATAACTTTGCTAATATTGGTGGGAAACACTGCTCATATAATTTATGGTTGACTAACTCAACAATTTCATGTCATTTAAGAACAATAAAGATAAACTCACAAATATTTTAAATAAAACAGAGAAAAGAAATACCTCAAGTTCCACCAGTGCTGCAGTGACTGCGTCAGTTGCAAGAGCACCGGCCTGCAGCTTTTCAATTGCCTATGAAACCAAGGGGAGAGATTATTCATTGCAAAATCACAACTTCTCAAACTTTCCAAAAGCTTAAAGAAGTATGGGAGACACTTAGATTAATAAAAATTGACCACTAGTTCCATTCCATACTTTAAGACATAAACTACTCAGATTAAAAACAAGCAAGTGTTTATATTCAGGTTAATTGGTAATATGGCTCACTTAATATTATTCAAATTAAAACAATAAAATCTAGTTATTAAATGAAAAGTACAAGGAATTTAGTAAGCTTCATTCATTGTAAGGCAATTCAAAATAGCCACAGAAATTGTATGACCCAGTTTGGTTCAAATATCCTGACAATTCATATTTTATACAGAACACTAAATCTCAAACTAATCATTTCTCCTCCCACTGTTAATACTCTCCATACTTAAAAAGAAGTGACTCTCAGTCACAGGGGCATGCCAGAATCTGAGGATAAAAGCATACATTTGACAAAAACATTTTGGATACTATAATGTAAATTCTAAATCAAGATGTATCATATTATTTTGTAATATAAACTACACAGACTAAAGGTCTATAAAATCACCTGGCCTTGAGCATAAATTAGGAGAGGAAAAGAGAGAGAAGGAAAAGTCATTTATAAATGAATTATTAACATTCCAATTTAGTCAACAAAGAGAAAACTCAAAAACTAAGAACTGTATTCCTAATTAAACTTTTAAGAAGTTTATTCATTGTAAATATTAAAGAGGCTAAGTATACGATTCAAATGTATTAGATTTCTAGGACTATAGTTATATAAAATTTATTTTCAGATGACAGAAAAATTTCACACTTTGAAAAATAAGAAAAAATATAAAATAGCTTCGAGAACTTTTAGCTTTATTATTACAAATTTCAAAAGAACAAAATCCCTGTAACAAAATATTCTTATTTATAGGACTTCATTCATAAGAAAAAGCTTGAATCTCTGATAAAGTATAATCTTCTTTTTAATGTTACGTAAATATCAATGAAAAGAGCAGAGAGAGAGAGACGCATATTTACTTGATATATAATATTCAACTAGATTCTATTTGCATAAAAAGTAATGGAAGGTTTGCCTACAAGACTAGTAAGAATCAAAATAAAAACAAACATTTCTTCTGAGTCCATTCCTGTCCCCACATTAAATATTCAACAATTTAGCAAAACCTCAAAAACCAATGGGAAAAAAGCACAACTGAGTACAAGGGCAAAACTGAACTCTGGAATGACAATGAACTTGCTATGATACAAACTACATGATGAAAAACAGAATGAAAAAGTATAGGAAAGTACCCATTTTAATTTTTTTATTTATTTTTTTCCCTTCATGGAAAAACACATTGACTGCCTTTAAGCTGTTTTCTCTATCCTTCTGTCTACAGAAGTTCAACATCGTTGCAAAGATTAAAAGAGATATGATTGTGTGCCCACAATTACAAAAATACAGACTTTAATCTGGGAAAGTGGGGAAAGAGCTAAGCAACATGTGGAGAAAAACACAAAACAACACAAAACGATCCCCTACAAAAACAAGCAAAATAATTTTGTAGTCCAAACTGGAAGACTGTCCTAGAAATGAAACTTTTAAATGTTGAATTTCAAGGTAAAACTGCTTTCTGTTCAAAACTGCAATGCACAGATCATACACATTGTGTTCATACCTTCTGACAAGCTCGTTTGCATACATGTTTATACTCCTTGGCTTTGGATTCAGAATGATAACCTGCACCTAAAGTAGAAAATAAAATCCAGTTAATTATTAAAATATCAAGAGACCTTGCTTATGTTATATAAATACTCCATATAAACTGATGCTGTCCTAGTAAAAAACAAAACTATTGCCCTAACTGTATGGCGTTTTATGACTTCTTACTCCAGTGTAAGCCTTTTTAATACCATGCCTTATCTCCGTTTTCAAAAGCTCTTTTCCTGCCAAAAGCCCTAAAAATAGCTCATGTCCCCAAAGAGGCTTCACCAAGGTCCCCTCCCCTCTTCTTTTCAAGAACCTCTTTCCAAAATCAGGAGTTCTTTTGATCTGCAGCTAATAACCCAGAAGGTGTCGGGGACAGGGTCCCTCCGGGTTCCTCTCTGCTGACTGTCAGAAAGCCCCTGCCATTTGGGAAGTTACTGTTTCAAATCCAGAATTCATAAGAGTAATTCAGAAAGCTGAATCGCTTCTGAATAACATTTGAAGTTGAGGTGTCTTACATCTCGCATGTCCACAACCACCACCAATTGCACCATTCCTAAACAAACACTTCACATCCTCTCACCCACTAGAATGTAGCTCAGGGTGTCTCTGAAAGCTAAGTGACAGCACATTCATGACTCTCTATGAGAATTCCTGGTGGTCTCTGTCTTTTAATCAAATACCCAAGAACTGTCTCAAGAGAATGGCTCTGAATAAAATGGTTTCCCTACAAGGATACATAACTTGCTTAGTTAGGGACTTAAGAATAATCTAAACAAGAAGGAAACAAAGACAAGAGCCCTTAAACTCTCTTAATTAGGCCTCTCTCTAATCAAAGTTCATTAATGGAGCACTGAACCACCTATCCCTACCCACCCCTAAAGCCCCATAGGGGTCCAATGTATGGAAGGTTAAGAAATACACCTCTAGGCCAAACACAGTGGCTCATGCCTGCAATCCCAGCACTTTGGGAGGCTGAGGCGGGAGGATCACTTGAGGCCAGGTGTTTGAGACCAGCCTGGCCAACATGGAGAAACCCCATCTCTCCTAAAAATACAAAAAAAGTAGCCAAGCATGGTGGCACATGCCTGTAATCCCAGCTACTCAGGGGGCTGGGGCACGGGAATAGCTTGAACCTGGGAGGCAGAGGTTGCAGTGAACCAAGATCATGCCACTGCACTCCAGCCTACGCAACAGAGTGAGACTTTGACTCCAAAAAACAAACAAACAAACACATGTTTTCCATTTTAAAAAAGACAAAAACAGAAAAGCTACATCTCTAGGCCTTAGGATTCCTACAGGTCTGCAGACTCTGACACAAACCTAACCTACCTTTCCTCAAGGTAGAGAAAGCACTCACCCACGAAACTGTCGTACAAGGAGCCAGGAAAGCAGAGATGCCCAAGCCACCAGAATCCACAATACACCCAAATCCTAAACCTGTTTCTCAAGAGAACTCTGAACATTCACAGAGCCTGTGCCAATATTTAATAGGCCTCTCTTCATGGTTCTCTAAGAACAGGTGATCTCAAGTTGGCTGTCTTAGATCTCAGAGGCCACAATCTTTCAGCAGCATTTCCTAAAGCATGGGATACTATTCCAAAAAGATGACTTCAGTGTAAGGGACAAGGGCATTTAATAGCCTTAACATGTAAATCCTTTTGAAATAATAAAAGTCTCAGCAGAGCCCCCCCCCCACCCCGTACATCTTTAATTCCTGGTTAACACTTGCTAATTTCCCTGTTTAACAATGGAAAGGCAGGCTCAGGATCCAAGCCACTGACAAATAGGATCTAGTTAAACTTCAATTACAGTGTTTTGTTTGCACTGTGTTTAAAGTTATTTTCTCTTTATGGCAAGTGATACTGCTATTTCATTTAAGTAACCATAAACTTCATTTTTCAAATGTTAAGATTAAAAAGCGTTTAGTTGTTTGAATATTAGATAAAACAGTATAGGCAGTGGGAAAAATCAAGAATCTACTACATGAATCACAAAAGTTTGGGCAAGTCTACTCTAGTGCTAAAAAAACTGCTCTACACTGGACAAGGATATGAATTTTTGACCCTTAAATGTGCAAGATACACGCTTTTGCATAATCAATCACTCTTTCTAATAATTTAGAAGTGAGGGTCACCCTTAATTCACACAATATCCTATCATAACTCAGAGTTCCTACTCTTCTTGCTGACCCCCAGCACCAACCTTTACCTGAGAGTATGAAATTAAATAATTCAAAGTTAAAACTGTTGAACCAGCTGGGCACGGTGGCTCATGCCTGTAATCCCAACACTTTGGGAGGCCGAGGCGGGTGGATCACCTGAGTCAGGAGTTTGAGAGCAGCCTGGCCAACATGGTGAAACCCCATTTCTACTAAACATACAAAAATTAGCCGGGCATGGTGGCACGTGCCTGTAATCCCAGTTACTCAGGAGGCTGAGGCAGGAGAATTGTGAAGCTTGCAGAGTGAGCCAAGATCACACCACTGCAGCCTGGGCAACAAGAGCGAAACTTAGTCTTAAAAAAAAAAAAAAAAGTTGAGCCATTAAATCATTCTGAGCCTTGAAAGGAATGTGGCTATGCACCCTGAGTCACACAACATGCAGCTGCAACTTTTGCCTTTTTCCTGTAAATAATTAGGAAGACCAAACAACACCAGAGATAAGACCCTCTCAGATCACTGCCCCTTCTCACAAAGTAAAAAGTAATCTTCCTTAGGATGTAGCAATCTATAACCAATCAAATTGCTGTAACTTATGCACTGGTCTCCTACGGAAAATGTTACCATCCTGCTAAAATTTTTCTATCTCTACCTACATAAATGAAAACTTAACTTCTCCACTTTGGAACACAGACCCCATTTGTTTGGAGTCAGTGTTTCCCAGGTGGACATCCTCAAGCTTTGTGCATGAATAAGCTCTACCTTTAATCATAGCTTCTGAATTCCATTATTTAAGGTTGGCAGAGCCATTATCATCTAGTCTGTGTCTAAGACAGGAGGGACAGGGTCATAATAGTTATAGAAAGTAAGGCTTTCCAACTAATTGAAGCTTTATGTTATTGCTTGTTACAACTTTCAGACCTTTCTTTTACACTTTCCAAACACTCACTCTGAATACGGTAACTCACTGGTATCATGGAAGATAATGGAAGATGTACCATCAACATAGTGTAGTGGAAAGAACACAGACTAGGAGTCTGAAGGCAGAAGCTCTAGTCCCAGGTCTACTTTTAACTGGATTATTTCTGTAAATTTACCTCACCTCCTTGTAAAAGCACCTGTGAGAAAATGGGATTAAACCTGGTTTCTGGTTTTTTGGATTTGTTTAGATACTCTGGATTAGATTCACATAAGGCTTCTCGGGTTGTCCAGTCTAGATATGGCCAAACGTTAATGGCCAGGCAGGACACCAGTCTCACAAGAAGAAACATTTCTACTCCTCATTCCATATCAAAGTTAATCCTGCTGTCATCTTGCTTGACTACCCAGGGAAAGTTAAAAGGAAACCCAGACATTCTTTCTCTCTTCATGGAGGTCATGGAAAGTAGACTCTGAATACAAGAAAATAAAAATGGCCAAAGGAAAAAGAGCCTGCTGAGGAAACCTGGGCAGAGCAGCACTGTTCTGCAACCCAAGACCTTTTAAAGATGGGAGGCCCAGGGGATGAACTCCACTGTGTCTGTCCTCATGGTCCTCTGAAGTAGAAAGATCACAGGCTGACACAGCATCAAAAGCACTAGACTGAGACATAAGGGCCTACTTAGGTGTTTCTTACACTGGCTCTAGCACCAACCACCAGTGTCTGAAGTCTCTTAAGTCACTTAATCTCTCTGGTCTTAAGGTTCCTCACTTAAAATATTAAGAGGGTGGGCCGGGTGTGGTGGCTTACGCCTGTAATCCCAGCACTTTGGGAGGCCAAGGCAGGTGGATCACCCGAGGTCAGGAGTTTGAGACCCACCTGGCCAATATGGTGAAACCCCATCTACTAAAAATACAAAAATTAGCCAGACGTGATGGTGGACGTCTGTAATCCCAGCTACTCAAGAGGCTGAGGCAGGTGAATTGCTTGAACTTGGGAGGTGGAGGCTGCAGTGAGCCAAGATCACACCATTGCATTCCAACCTGGGCGACAAGAGTAAAACTCCATCTCAAAAAAAAAAAAAAAAAAGAAGGTGAACCAGCTCAAAGATTGTGTAATAATTATGCCCTAAGATACCCACAGTCTCACATGGGAATCAATACAATTTTTTCAGCAATATTTTATTTTATTTTATTGAGATGGTGTCTCGGTTTGTTGCCCAGGCTGGAGCGCAGTGGCATGATGTCGGCTCACTGCAACCTCCACCTCCTGGGTTCAAGCAATTCTCCTGCCTCAGCCTCCCACAGCAACATTATTTTTAAAAAACATAAACCAGAGTTCAAAAATTACTTTGTCTGGTTTTAATACTACCTAACCTAAATACATCTATTACATAGAGTTAAAGTAAATAATAGGTTAGGGAAGTGAAAACCTAGGAAGAGCTGCCATTCTAAGATCTTCTAACTGGGGAGTAAAGAGGGAGGTCCTCACTATATCCAAGTCAAACAATCGCTTTGCTTCCAATTCCTCTCTGGCAGTTTTGCCTCCTCCAAGTGTGAAATGTGATTCTCAGTGTACTTCAAGGCAGAAAAAGAAAAATCAACATTATTGGCATCTTCCAAGCCATCCACAAAGCTTACCTGCATGCACCAACACAAAGCCTCCTCGTTTCTCTTTATAGGACTGCTTTGTTTCCAACTCTTTGGCTGTTATTTTACCAGCCGAAACCTGAGATGATCTGGAAGGCAGCCCTTCTCCAGAACTCATCCCCTTCTCCATGGTCATTCTCCAAGATTACCATCTTCTACTGAGAAAGGGGCATACTTCCATCCAAAAGTAATTGCAGGAGAGGAATTACCCTAAAGGAAAACAGGCAAAGATGGTATACATTTCTTTCCACCAACACATAAGTTACTTACACAAATTCATGCAAAGATAATGTTCAAAAATCCTATTTTTAAGTTATTTAATTGAGCAATACAAAAAAGGTATCAAAGCTATTTATTAAAATTATTTTTTCTTATTCCCATTGAAGTCGGATAAAATTATTTAATTGGGTAATATAAAAAGGTTAGAATTTAAATCTCTCTGTCCACTGATAGTACCTGCTTAGGGGCGAGCGCAGTGGCTTACACCTGTAATCCCAGCACTTTGGGAGGCTGAGGCGGGTGGATCACCTGAGGTCAGGAGTTCGAGACCAGCCTGACCAACATGGTGAAACCTCATCTCTACTAAAAATACAAAAAATTTAGCTGGTGTGGTGGCACACACCTGTAATCCCAGCTACGCAGGAGGCTGAGGCAGAAGAATCACTGAACTCAGGAGGCAGAAGTTGCAGTGAGCCGAGATCGCACCACTACACTCCAGCCTGGGCAACAAAGTAAGCTCTGTCTCAAAAAAAAAAAAAAAAAAAAAAAGGAGTCTCAAAAAGAAAAAAGAAAAGAAAAGAAACATAAAGAAGTTACTTAGCTGCCTATTCCAAAATAAAAAAAAGCAGGTTACTCAGAACACACTCTACATCCCAGTGTTTATTACCAGCCCACAAGAGAGTATTATTTTATTCATGTTAGTTGCTTTATAAGCACATTTTCAATAATCAATATGTGTAGTTTTCACAATTCTTTTCTAGTTCCTCATGTTATTTTTTAAAACAATTTTATCTGCTAAATCAAGCAAAAATTTGAGCTTTTATTTTTAAGTTTCAAATTTGTTTGAATGTTTGGTTTTGGGTGGTATTTGGGGAGTTTTTTATTTGTATTTTACATAAGTATTGACCCACAATGGATTGAAAATTTTTGAAAGCTGGTCTTTTATAACAGAGATAGTCTGACAAGCACTGTTATCTGGCATTTTTAAATTCCCTTAATTCTTGGTTTAAGAGTCTATTTAATTTTTATTATATAACATTTTATTTATAAGACAAATCATTTAAAATCAATTATATATACACATCGTTGCATTCAAATATTTATACAGATTCACAAATGCAGGAAAAAATTTTTACTACAAAAGTGCTGATTTTTAATTGAGTAACAGTAAATTTAAATGCCTGGTTTTGTTTTTGTTTTGTGGTGGTGTGTTTTGTCTTCCTAACCATGTTTTTCTTCCAAAGATTTCACAAGAATCTGCCTCAATTACCTTTATTTTCTTTTGGTTATTTCTCACAATATTTCTCTGAAATAGGCTATCATTTAGCCATGTATGACTTGACAAAGTTGATTTAGTGGTTCATCTGTCAGCCTATAATGCCATCATGTCTGTATCATGCCATGATATTTGGCCCAGCCATGAAATGAGCTTGGGACCATTAGTCTAGAAGCATAAACATAGATTGAAAACTCAGGCTTTGGAAAATTACGAGCTTCAGCTAAAACGAAAACACATCTAAGCAGTATGGACTATGAAACCTCAAGCAACTTTGAATCACTGTCATCTGAGATATTTTTTCATAACTAAGAAATTATAATATTTATATTTTGTAAGAAAATACTGGCCAGGCGCGGTGGCTCACGCCTGTAATCTAGCACTTCGGGAGGCCAAGGCGGGTGGATCACAAGGTCAGGAGTTCAAGACCAGCCTGGCCAACATGGTGAAACCCTGTCTCTATTAATTAGCCAGGCATGGTGGTGGGTGCCTGTAATCCCAGCTACTTGGGAGGCTGAGGCAGAGAATTCCTTGAACCCAGGAGGTGGAGGTTGCCTTGAGCTGCGATCGCGCCACTGCACTCCAGCCTGGGCGACGGAGCAAGACTTCGTCTCAAAAAAAAAAGTACAGATTTCCTTATTTTTTGGCCGGGCACAGTGACTCACGCCTGTAATCCCAGCACTTTGGGAGGCCGAGGCAGGCAGATCACAAGGTCAGGAGTTCAAGACCAGCCTGGCCAACATGGTAAAACCCCGTCTCCACTAAAAATACAAAAAGCTGGGCATGGTGGCGCGTTCCTGTAATCCCAGCTAGTCGAGAGGCTGAGGCAGGAGAATTGCTTGAACTGGGACCCGGGAGGCGAGGTTGCAGTGAGCAGAGATCACGCCACTGCACTCCGGCCTGGGCTACAGAGCAAGACTCCATCTCAAAAAAAAAAAAAAAGAAAAAAGAAAAAAAGAAAAGAAAAGAAAATACAAACATAATTATAACATCAACATTTTATATGGTTTGATGTAACAGGCATCTTAATATATATGAGAGATTTTAAAGCATTGCTTCTCAACGTTGTCTAAAAAGAAATGTGGAAGGTGATTAATATTCCATTTCTTGAGCAATCTACTCTCCCTCAGAGACTATCTGAAATATATTTATTTAGCAAACCATATAATCTCAACAAACCCCTCCAAAAATCCTGGCCCTAAAGTTCCACTGGACTGGGAAAGGAACTCAACTAAATTAACTATCAATACATGACTCTATCCTCCAACTCCCAATGGTTACTGAAATATTTTTTATTCAGTTAGAAATGAAGCAACTTCTACTCCAACATCAGTTTTTGTTTAACTCAGAACTCATTAAAGGTCTGACATCTAATAAATAAAGAGTGCCAACAAAAGACAAAAACAAAAAAAGGGCAAATAGACAAATCTCAGTTTGCAGAAAAATTACATAATAGCTTAACCAGACAAAAAATTCTAAATCTCACTCGAAAGATGCAAAATAAAATTACACTTAAATACCATTTTTTAACTTAGATTGACAATTATCAAAAAATAACATATTTTGAGAGTACAGAAAAACCGGAGCTAAGTTGCTAGCGGCAGTATAAATTGGTACGACTCAACAACAGCAATTTGGCAAAATCAATCAAAATTAAGATATAGCCCGAAAAATGTCTTGATGGAAGTGGTTAAAAATAAAAGCAGCCATTGGAAACAATGAGAAAACTTGATAAACATATATGTAACAGTCTCAAACATATTTGCTAAGTAAAAAAGGAATGGAAATAACTAATTTTTTAAGGTATGGTACAGAAGTATTTGCAGTACCATATGCAAAGTATAAATCTGGACAGATAAACAAAAAAGTCATACAATACTGATTACCAAAGGAGATTTGGATAACTAATAACAAAAGATGGGATAGAAATTTCACTGTTCACCCCCTTGAAACTTTCGAATTTGAACCATCTGAATGAATTATTTATAAAAAAATTTTTATTAATTTATTCATTTACGGGAATACTAGGTAATGAGCTAAGCCAAAGAACCAAAATAGGGCAAGCATGTTTCTCTGAGTATTGAACTTCTGGGATGCATAAGCTACAGGGAATCCAAATTGAGGGGGAAGGAAATCATAGTATTTGGTCTTTACAGTTAAGATGAGGGAGAAAAATAAATCATGAATGTAGCTTATCATCAAATATCTGTGATGTTTTTATCATATATGTAATCATTGTTACAAATCATTATGTGAAACTGGCTAAGTGTACTTAAGTCAATACATAGATCCACAAGAAAAATGTCTAATACTTCAGCTAACCTTTGAGGTAACACTCAACACAAAAGATTTCCAATGAAAGGAGAAACATAGGCACGTAACAGGTTTAGACCAAAAAAAAAAAAAACTTCTATCAATCACTTTAATAATGGCTTTATTTCTGACAAAAATGTTTGAACACAGACATTTTGCAATTTCCTCCTAGTAATGATATTAAAATTCATCATGATTATTTCTAAATAACACTGGCAACTTGTCTATCCTCTGCAACTGTTGCTCAAAAAGTTAAACAGAGTTATGCTATGACCCAAGAATTCCATTTCTAGGTATATACCCAAGAGAACTAAAAACATATGCTACACAAAAACTTATACATGGATATTCATAGCAATATTATTCACAGCATCCAAAAACAACCCAAAGGTCCATCAACTGATGATGAATAAACAAAATGTGGTATAGTCACACAATGGAACATTATTCAACCATAAAAAGGAATGCAGTGCTGACACATACTATGTCATTAAAGAATATTGAAACAATGAAAAAAACAGACACAAATGGCCACATATTATATGATTCCATTTATATGAAATGTCCAGAATAAGCAAATCTAAAGAGACAGACGGTAGATCTGTGATTGCTTAGAGCTGGAGGGATGGAAGGTAGGGTGATGGAGAGGGACTGCTACTGGGAGCACTTTCTTTTTGTGCTGATAAAAATGTTCTAGGACCAGGTGTGGTGGGTCACGCTTGTAATCCTAGCACTTTGGGAGGTCAAGGCGGGTGGATCACCTGAGGTCAGAAGTTTGAGACAAGCCTGGCCAACATGGCGAAATCCCGTCTCTACTAAAAATACAAAAATTAGCTGGGTGCGGTGGCGAGCGCCTGTAATCCCAGCTACTCGGGAGGTTGAGACAGGAGAATCGCTTGAACCAGGGAGGCAAAGGTTGCAGTGAGTCAAGATTGCGCCACTGCACCTCAGCCTGGGCAAAAGAGGGAAACTCCGTCCAAAAAAAAAAAAAAAAAAGCCTGGGCTCAGTGGCTCACACCTGTAATCCCAGCACTTTGGGAGGCCGAGGCAGGCCAATCACCTGAGGTCGGGAGTTCAAGACCAGCCTGACCAACAAGGAGAAACCCCGTCTCTACTAAAAATACAAAAATAGCTAGGCGTGGTGGCGCATGCCTGTAATCCCAGCTACTCGGAAGGCTGAGGCAGGAGAATCGCTTGAACCCAGGAAGCAGAGGTTGCAGTGAGCAGAGACCGCGCCATCGCACTCCAGCCTGGGCAACAAGAGCAAAACTCCATCTCAAAAAAATAAAAATAAAAAAAAGTTCTAAAATTGAATTTGGTAATGGTTGCACAACTCTGTGAATACACTAAATACCACTGAATTGTACACTTTGAATGGGTAAATTGATACACTGGGTACATTTTAAATGGGTAAACTGATCTTATTAAGCTGTTCGAAAAAAAAGAAAAAAAAGTCTTGCTCCCCATAAATTGTATCTTTCCCAAGTTACTTAACCCAATGGCATTTTCTTAATCTTCTGCTTACAACCTTTGATTCTCTTGATCACCTGCTTTCCTTGGCAACACACAAATCTACTACCCTAGTTCTTCATAACTCACCTCTGACCCCAACTGCAAATGTTTCCTTCAGCAATTTCTTTTTTTTTTTTTTTTTTGAGACACAGTCTCGCTCTGTTGCCTAGGCTGGAGTGCAGTGGCGCAACCTCAACTCACTGCAACCTCTGCCTCCCGGGTTCAAACAATTCTCCTGCCTCAGCCTCCTGAGTGGCCAGGACTAAAGGCACGCACCCCCATGCCTGGCTAATTTTTGTATTTTTAGTAGAGACAGGAATTCACTATGTTGGCCAAGCTGGTCTCGAACTCCTGACCTCAGGTGATCCACCCACCTCAGCCTCCCAGACTGCTGAGATTACAGGTGTAAGCCACCACTCCCGGCCAACCTTCAGCAACTTCATCTACTGCCAACCTTTCAAAACTATCCTCTCAGCAAATCAGATGATTCCTAACTTTATCTTCTGTCTTACCTATAGCCACAAGTTTTATGGATAGCTCAATCTAGGTCCACCTCACTCTTGGCCTAACCAAAACACGCTCTGCAGGGACTTTCATGGCACTAATTTAAGGTCTAAATCTTGCCTCATCTCTCTAAAAGATGGTTTTATTTTCCTACTGTATGTGATGACACTGTTTTTTTTTCTTACACCACTTTGAAAACTACCACGTCCTGTTGCTGTGGTGTTAAAGTTTTTCACCGTAGGTTTGCTTATTCTTTAAGAAGCAGTTGAAAAAGGAAGTAAGTCATGGAATTCATCCATCTTACAGCAAAGGGCTTTGATAGAAATCCAGCCCTTAAGCTATTACAACTCATGAATAAATAATTGTGTTGTTGCTTTTTTTTTTTTTTTTTTTTTTTGAGACAGAGTCTCACTCTGTCACCCAGGCTGGAGTGCAGTGGCATGATCTGAACTCACTGCAATCTCTGCCTCCCAGGTTCAAGCGATTCTTGTGTCTCAGCCTCCTGAGTAGCTGGAATTACAGGCGCAGGCCACCATGCCGGGCTAATTTTTTTTTTTTTTTTTTTGTATTTTTAGTAGAGACGGGGTTTCACTATGTTGGTCAGGCTGGTCTTGAACTCCTGACCTCAAATGATCCGCCTGCCTGGGCCTCCCAAAGTGCTGGGATTACAGGCGTGAGCCACCACACCCAGCCTTGTGTTGTTGCTTTTAACATCGTGATATTGAAGGTTTAATGCCTCATTAAATGAACTCCAGGACATACTTAAATTCATCTTCTAACCAGTAATTCCACTTCTGAGAAAACTTTCTACCAAAATAACTAAATAGAGAAAAGGTTTTATGCCTTTTATACCATGTTTAACACAGGATAATTTAGAATAACAAAAATCTGGGAGCAACCTAAATGTCCAATACAGAAAAACGGTTAAGAAAACAATAACCTACACTTTTATGATCAACTGATTTTCAACAAGAGTGTTGAAATGGTTTCTACCATTCAATGGAGGAAAGGACAGTCCTTTCATCAAATGATGCTAGAACTGGATAGCCACATGCAATAGAATGAAACTGAACTCCTACCTCACATCATACAGAAAAATTAACTCTAAATATCCTCCCTATTGCACTTGACAAGTCTTTGAAAAAAAAATTCTAAGTAGATAAAGGACACCATTCAAGAAAGTAAAAGGACAACCCATAAAATGGGAGAAAACGCAAGAAAATATTGCAAATCATGTATCTGGAAAGGGACTTACATTTAGAATATAGAAAGAACTCATACAACTTTAATATAAGACAATTCAATTTAAAAATGGGCAAAGGAATTAAATGGACATTTCTCCAAAGATATACAAAGGGTCAATAAGCACATTAAAAGATGCTCAACATTATTAGCCATCAGGGAAATGCAAATCAACACTACAATGAGCTACCACTTTATAAGCACTAAGACTGCTATAACCAAAAAGAAAGATAAGTGCTCCCAAGGATATGAAAAAATCAGAACCCTTATAACCTGCTGGTGGGAATGTAAAATGGTGCAACCAGTTTGGAAAACATTTGGCACTCACTCAAAAAGTTAAACATAGAGTTACCATATGCCCACCAATTCCACTTCTAGGTATATACTCAAGAGAACTGAAAACGTATGTCCATACAAAAACTTGTACACAGATGTTTATAGCAGAATTATTCAAAATAGCCAAAAAGTAGAAACAACCTAAATGTCCATCGACCGATGATGGTTAAGCAAAATGTGGCATATTCACACAATGGAACATTACCCATCCATAAAACAGAATGAAATACTGATACACAGACATTGATGAACCTTGAAAACATACTAACTGAAAGACACCAGACAAGTGAGGCCATATATTCTATGATTCCATTTATATGAAATGCCAGTATAGGAAAATCCATAGATACAGAAAGTAGATTAGTGGTTACAAGGCCTGGGAGAGAAAGCAGAGAATCTAATGGGGAGTGACTGTCATGAGTATAGGATTTCTTTTGGGGGTGATGAAAATGTTCTGAAAGTAGATAGTGGTGATGGGTGCACAACTTTGCGATATGAGAAAAAGCACTGAAATTTACAATTTTAAAGAATAAATTTTATGGTGCATGAATACCTTAATAAGACTTTCTCAAGAGGAAAAAAGACAATCTATCCGTGCAATGAACACAATGTATGTAACTATGCCTCTTAGTTATAACCGTATTTTACACGCATACATTATGATCACAAATAGGTTAATATGAATAAAATATTAGAAAAAAGATCAAAATGCTGGGTTGGCAGAACTATAGGTGATCTCTTCATAACTATTTCTGCATTTTCCAGATGTTCCTTAGTAAGCACTGCTTTTTGTAAGTGGTGGGGAAAAGTTTTATTTACAACAAAAAAGATAAATTATTAAACTCCTAAGAATATAAGTAAAAATTCCTTCGCTAATAAAGAATAATAATAATTCAGCAATCTAATGGCCCCTAACACACCTTTCCTTCCCCTCCCCTACAGAAGCCAGGAAAGTTGAACTCTCTCCTTCCGGAAACACGATACCCTCGATTTCCAGGACATCTCTAGCTCCTGCTTTCCCCCCCTCCTCTCCAGCTGCTCCATCTTCTCGGTCCTTTCCTCCTCCTCTTCTTCCTCCTCCTCCTCCCCCTGAGTAGTAAGTGCTAACGACCCGCAGGACTCTCATCAGGCCTCTATTACTAAGTAAGGGGCTGCCTTACCCCCAACCCGCCACCCAGGACAAGGCGCACATTCTCGGCTGTCTGCGAACCTCGGACTCTGAGACATCTCCAGCCTGAGACTGCAAAGTGGGTGAAGAACTGCGAGAACTCCCCACATACAGACAGTACTTCCCCGGTGGCCACGAGGACGCCAAGCCGGAGATGAGGCTGGGAAGGGGGACGACGGGGCCGCCTAGAGCGACCAAGACTAGGGAACTAGGGACATCCTGGCCCCCTCCTCTAGCCCCGCCCGGGGCAAGGGGTGTCCTGCGCGCCGCCCCCTCTCGGACCCGGAGAGGACGTCCCAGCTAGCGTACGGGGCCCACACACAGAGGCAGCAGCGCGGAGGCGGCAGCGGCGCGGACAGCGTGGGAAAGAGGGACACTCACCCGCTTCAGCCCCGAGCCTTCACTGCACCGGAAGTAGTCACCCGCCCGTTGCCAGGGTGAGGAAGCGGGGCTGACATCAAGTCTCCCCATTGGTCATTCGGGGTACCACGTGGTCGGAAGCAGCCTCCCACAAGCGGCTCTGACTCCGCCCTCCGCTTCGGAGCGGCTCACCTGGCCTCAGAGGTGCAGCGCTAACTCCACCTGGGGCTTCGTTCTGAGCTGCGCATGCGCTATTGCTTATCTCTACCCACCCCGCCCCTGAATAAGCCCGCAGGATGTGATTATATCTGAGTGGTTGATTGACTAATACTGTGATGAGAAATGAAATTAAACTGACCATCATTTTATCTAGGTGTCGCTTAAGAGTTACTTTCTTTCAATCCTTAGAGCACTGTTAGACGGTAGGGAAAACTAAGGTTCAGCCTGCATTGCTTGTAGGAGTTGGGGCACGAGCCTTGCCCAGGGGGAAGGAGTGTAGGCGGTCTTTTATCGGCTAGGATGTAAGACCGAAACCCAGTCATGGGTTTTGATGACCCATGACTGATGGATTTTCCTTATACTTCCACCAAAACATCACGTCGAACTGAATGTAAAGGCAGAAATGAGAATCTAACTGGCTTCTTTAAGCCAGCTATAGAGGAATTTACACTAATGCAAAAGATAACACTTTTCTTACCACATTTTTTTGTTTTTGGAAAATATTTATTCTTCATTAAAATGTCTTAATTATATTAACACATAATGGTTTATTATTGTTATTTTAAATAACTTTTTAACATTTCAGTTTTTTGTTGGTTTTTTTCTTTTTTTTTTGGAGATGGAGTTTCACTCTGTCAACCAGGCTGGAGTGCAATGGCACGATCTCGGCTCACTGCAACCTCTGCCTCCCGGGCTCAAGCGATTCTCCTGCCTCAGACTCCTGAGTAGCTGGGATTACAGGCGCTCGATACACACCCGACTAATTTTTTGTATTTTTAGTAGAGACGGGTTTTCACCATGTTTGCCATGCTGGTCTCGAACTCCTGACCTCAGGTGATCCTACTGCCTTGGCCTCCCAAAGTTCTGGGATTACTGGCGTGAGCCACCGCACCCAGCCACATTTCAGCTTTGTATTCAATTTTTAATATAGTAAATATTAATAGATGTAACCCACAGAAACAAAAGCTTTGGAGTGTTCTCTACTATTTTGGGGAGTATAAAGGTATGCTGAAACCAAAAAGTTCGAGAACCACTGATACCATTATTATAAATATAACCTATGTGGTTTTATTATGTAACTTGGGGCTTTTTTTCTTTCTCTTCTACCACTGACTTCTTAGGGAGGGGCAAGGGGAAGAAGTTTATTACATAGTAAGAATAACAGTTTATTACATAGCAATAGTAACTGAAACCGATTTTGTTACCTAGAAGTAGGATGGATATTATAACAAAACATAACATAATAACATCATAAAAGTAAAACGTGTGGCACTGGCTTTGGAACTAGGTGAAGCAGCAAGAGCAGGAAGGGATCCAAAGTATTAACAAGAGTCTAAAAGGACTTGAGGAAGCTGCCAATGAGGGCTTAAAGGGAGCTAAGGAAGATGTTATTGGAAGCTGGAGAAAATGGGGCCCTTGTTATATAGTGCCAGAAAGTTTGGCCCAGGCATTAGGAAGCAGACATAAACCATCCCCATTGTGACCTTTCTGAATTCCTCACCCGCAGAATCCATCAGCATAATAAAATAGTTGTTCTTTTGCACCTTTAAAGTGGATTTTTACACAGCAATATTAACTGGAACCAGCAGGAATAAAAGAAAGATGTTAAAGTTTTAAAAAGACATAGACATGCTCCCTTCCATTTCTTAGGCAACATTCTTCCTGGAATTTAACTACATTGTAATAATCATCTCCCAGTGCTGCTCTGTATACTTTTGTCTTGGGTATCACACCCAGATGCCACACAGGCCATCCTCTGGTAGGTGAATACTGCTCAAGTAAAAGTAACAAAATTCTTCGGACCCTTTTTTTTATTATTATTATTGAGGCAGAGTCTCACTCTGTTGCCCAGGCTAGAATGCAGTGGTGCGATCTCAGCTCACTGCAACCTCTGCCTCCCCGGTTCAAGTGATTCTCCTGCCTCAGCCTCCCCAGTGGCTGGGATTACAGGTGCCCGTGACCACGCCCGGCTAATTTTTGTCTTTTTAGTAAAGATGGGGTTTTGTCATGCTGGCCAGGCTGGTCTCGAGCTCCTGACCTTAGGTGATCCACCCATCTCGGCCTCCCAAAGTGCTGGGATTACAGGCATGAACCACCATGCCCAGCCCAGACCCAAGTTTTAACATTTTTAACCTGCATTGGGTACAGTAACAATGAGATCCTTTGAAATATTAATAACGAACAGTTGTAATATCTATTTGATTAACTCAACATGTTAAATTTGAAAGGAAAGTCTATACTAGTAAATCTCCTTCAGAAAAAATCTGGTTGCCTCCCTCTTCCTGTTCCCACCTCTCCCAAACCCGGAAAAGCAGCAAGCTGAGGAATTACTTCCTTTATCTCAAATAATCATGTCTGCTGCATCTTGATCTTTGTACTCTAAGTAAGCCCCCTCTGTCCTGGTTCCCTGGGGGTCTCCCTTTGTTTTGTATTCCTGGAAAACTATTGCTTTAACACATGTGTCAGAAATGTAGCAGAACAATAGTGATAGTTTTCAATTGTTGTGCCGCAAGTTAACACCAATTCACCTGCTTAAGACAACACAAATGTAATATTTCCGTTTCTGTGGATCAGGTGTCCAGGTCTCTGCTCAGATCTCAGAAGGCTGAAATCAAGGTGTCAGTCAGAGCTGCCATCTCATCGGATGCCCAGAGCGATTCTCCAAGCTCATTCAGGTGATTGGCAGAATTCAAATCCTTGCAGCTGTAGAGCTGGCCACTTTTGTCTTCTTCAAGGTCAGGAGGAGCAGTCCTCTCTGACTTTTCCACCTTGAAAGGACTCAACTGATTAGGTCAGGTCCCCCAGGATAATCTCTCCTTTGATGAACACAGAGTCAATGATTCGTCGTCAAGTTTCAGGAGGGATGGCCATCATATTCTCAGCTTCCATCCACACTCCAGGGGAGAGGATCATACAGGGTCTGTGCACCAGGGGTAGAAATCTTGCAGGTCATCTTAGAATTTTGCCTACCACGTGGAAAAAAGAAAGTTTCAATTATAGATGGACTGCGACAACCCTTCAAGCAGTCCTATGGTAGACAACAGTTGTTTCGCCTGCCCAGCATGAATTCCTTCTTATTTCTCCTAACAGCACCCCACTTCACTTCCAGGGACTGCCCTTCACCACTTGCACCCAGCGTAAGTGGGACTGTCCATCAGGATGCTCCGTGGGATGATCAACTGACCCATGCTAAGCTAAAGCTGCTTCTTGCCTGGAATTTGAAAATTGACAGCAATAATGCAAAGAGTAAAAGCAGTTGTTTATTCAACCAAGGTTACAGAGTTCCCTGTTACTGCTCCAGAGCTTGTATTTTTCCAAAACCTGCTTCCTTAGTTTTTCTTTCAATTATCTTAGGTACTCCCTATCCTTCCAACAAATTCCTTTTATCTTCTTTAATATATAAAATTTTGAGCAAGACAAATAATCCAGAGATTACTTGACTCCCATGTCAAGCCCTGATGACAACACATTGTCTTCGGAGCCCTGACGAAGACTGGTAAGATGAAAGGTGGCCCACCTGCCATCTCTGGTTTCATCCTTGTTGTCTGTCAATTATCTGGCCAGCTATGTTGTCATCCCCCATTCATAGGGCAATATAAATATTCTTCCTGCACAACAAACTGTCTGACCAGTTTGTGATTTAACACCTTTCTCTGCAATCTCTTAGCTTTTTTATTGTAACATGTAAAGAGTGTCCCCCCATTCTCATAAGCTTGTTATAAACATGAAATACAATTTGCTGAACCAGAACCAGTGTCAGCTTCTCAATCACTTTTTCCTAACCACCTTATTTTAAATTGCAATCACACTACCCTGCCTGTTCTCCTTCCTGTTTTATCTCTATCAGTAGCACACACCCCAACTAATCCTCTACAATTTTCCCCATTCTTTTAGTTTATTAATCATCTCTCCTGTAAAGTCAGTTCCATAAAGATGGGGCTATCTTTATTTATTTTTTATTTTTTATTTTTTTGAGACAGTGTCTTGTTGTAGCACCCAGGCTGGAGTGTAGCGATGCTACCATGGCTCACTGCAGCCTCAAACTCCTGGGATCAAGCCATCCTCCTGCCTAAGTCTCCCAAGTAGCTGGGACTACAGATGTGAGCAACTGCACCCAGCTAGAACAGAGATTTAAAAAGAAAAAAAAACATTTTATTGATGTTAAACATAAATACAGAAAAGTACAGCTTGATGATTCTTCATATAGTAAACACAGTGTGTAACCATTCCTCAGATCAAGTGAAAAAAATCATGACCTCGCCCCAGGGTAATCCTGACATCTAACATCACACATCCATTTTCTCTATATTTAAACATTATATGAATGGAATTTTACAGTATGAAAACTCTTTTATGTGTATTAATGTCACACGTTGAGATTAGTCCACGTTGGATGTTTATTCTCCTTGCCATGTGGTATTTCACTGAGATAATTTATCCATTACATTGTGTTTTCTTTCCAACTTTTAGGTTCAGAGGTACATGTACAGGTTTGTTACATGGGTAAATTGTGTGCTGCAGGAGTTTGGTGTACAGATTATTTTGTCACCCAGGTAATAAGCATAGTACCTGATAGGTAGTTTTTTGATCCTCACCCTCCTCCCACTATGTACCTTCAAGTAGGTCCGGGTGTCTATTGTTCCCTGCATTGTGTCCATGTGTACTCAGTGATTAGCTCCCACTTACAAATGACAAAATGTGATATTTGGTTTTCTCCTCCTGCGTTAGTTTGCTTAGGATAATGGCCTCCAGCTTCATCCATGTTGCTGTAAAGGACATGATCTCATTCTCTTTTATGGCTGCTTAGTATTCCATAGTGTATCAGTACCACATTTTCTTTATCCAGTCCATCGTTGATGGGCATCTAGGTTGACTGCATGTCTTTGCCATTGTGAATAGTGCTGCAATGAACATATGCATGTGTGTCTTTATGGTAGAACAATTTATATTCCTTTAGGCATATACCAGTAATGGGATTGCTGGGTTAAATGGTATTTCTGTTTTAAGTTCTTTGAGAAATCTCCAGACTGCCTTCCACAGTGGCTGAACTAATTTACATTCCCACCAGCAGGGTATAGGCATTCCCTTTTCCCCACAACCTCGTCAGCATCGATTGTCTTTTGACTTTTTAGTAATAGCCATTCTGACTGGTATGACGTGATGTCTCATTGCGGTTTTGATTTGCATTCCTCTAATGATTAATGATGTTGAGCATTTTTTCATAAGCTTGTTGGATACATTTGTCTTCTTTTGAGAAGTGTTTGCTCATGTCCTTTACCCAGTTTTTAATGGAATTTTTTTGTTTTGGCTTGTTAATTTGTTTAATTTCCTTACAGATTCTGGATTAGACCTACGTCAGATGCATAGTTTGCAAATATTTTCTCCCATTCTGTAGGTTGTCAGTTTACTCTGTTGATAGTTTATTTTGCTGTGCAGAGGCTCTTTAGCTTAATTAGGTCCCACTTGTCTATTTTTGTTTTCTTTGCAATTGCTTTTGAAGTCTTCATCATAAAATCTTTGCCAAAGCCTATGTCCAAAATCATATTTTCTAGGTTTTTCTCTAGGGTTTTTATAATTTTGGGTTTTACATTTAAGTCTTTAATCCATCTTGAGTTGATTTTTGTATATGGTAAAATGAAGGGGTCCAGTTTCAATCTTCTGCATATGGCTAAACAGTTATCCCAGCACCATTTATTGAATAGTGAGTCATTTCTTCATTGCTTGTTTTTGACAGCTTTGTTGAAGTTCAGATAGTTGCAGGTGTGAGGCATTATTTCTGGACTCTCTATTCTGTTTCATTGGTCTATGTGTCTGTTTTGTACCAGTACCATGCTGTTTTGATTACTGTAGGCTTGTAGTATACTTTCAAGTCAGGTAGTGTCATGCCTTCAGCTTTGTTCTTTTTGCTTAGGATTGCTTCCACTATTTGGGTTATTTTGGAGTCCCATATGAATTTTAGAGTGGTTTTTTTCTAATTCCATGAAAAATGTAATGGTAGTTTGATAGAAGTAGCATTAGCATTAAATCTATAAATTGCCTTGGGCAGTATGGCCATTTTAACAATATTGATCCTTCCTATCCATAAGCATGGAATGTTTTGTTTGTGTTGTCTCTGATTTCTTTCAGCTGTGTTTTGTAATTCTCACTGTAGAGGTCTTTCACCTCCCTAGTTAAGTGTATTCCTAGGTATTTCATTCTTTTGTGGCTATTGTAAATGGGATTGCATTCTGCATTTGACTCTCAGCTTGGACATTATTGATATGTAGAAATACTACTAATTTTTGTATGTTGATTTTATATCCTTAAACTTTGCTGGCCATGGTTCACACCTGTAATCCCAGCACTTTGGGAGGCCAAGGCGGGTGGATCACTTGAGGTCAGGAGTTCAAGACCAGCCTGACCAAAATGGTGAAGCCCCATCTCTACTAAAAAAAATACAAAATTAGTCAGGCATGGTGGTGCATGCCTGTAATCCCAGCTACTTGGAAGGCTGAGGCAGGAGAATTGCTTGAACCAGGGAGGTGGAGGTTGCAGTGAGCCAAGATCGCACCATTGCACTCCAGCCTGGACAAGAACAAAACTCTCTCTAAAAAAAAAAAAAAGAAAACAAAACAACAGCAACAAAAACTTTGCTGAAGTGTTTTATCATGTCATATCTAGAAGCTCTTGGGTCAAGACTATGTGGCTTTCTAAGTACAGAATCATATCATCCGCAAAGAGAGATAGTGTGACTTCCTCTCTTTCTATTTGGATGTCCTTTATTTCTTTCTCTTGCCTTGTTGTTCTGGCTAGGACTTCTAGTATAATACTATGTTGAATAGCAGTAGTGAGAGTGGGCATCTTTGTCTTGTTCTGGTTCTCAAGGGGAATGCTTCTAGCTTTTATCCATTCAGTATGATGTTGGCTATGGGTTTGTCATAGATGGCTCTTATTATTATCATTATTATTATTATTATTATTTTGAGATGGAGTCTCGCCCTGTTGCCCAGGCTGGAGTGCAGTGCGATATTGGCTCACTGCAACCCCCACCTCCTCGGTTCAAGCGATTCTCCTGCCTCAGCCTCCCGAGTAGCTGGGATTACAGGAGCACACCACCACGCCCAGCTAATTTTTGTATTTTAGTAGAGATGGGGTTTCACCATCTTGGCCAGGCTGGTCTCAAACTCCTGACCTCAAATGATCCTCCTGCCTTGGCCTCCCAAAGTTCTGGGATTACAGGCGTGAGCCACCACGCCCGGCCAAGACCACCTTTTGATGGGCAGAGTAGCACGTGCCTATAGGGAGGGAAGGAATTGATGGTGGCATTCTGGGAGACAAATTGCCACACTCAGTAAGGGTTCAGTGGTGGCATGCCCCCAACATCCCTTTTGGTTACTAAAGCAAGAAAAAAATTGAATTTATTAAAAGGATGGGAGTAGCTCACAAAATCAAAAAGAAGACTCTCAGAAAAGATAGGAACTAGAGAAGTTCTAGCTAGCAAGCACTAATGGACATGTTTTCGAGGTGCAGCCACAGGATAAATCAACTTTATGTGTTTCTCATACTTTTGTCTTCCTGCTCAAATTCCAAGCTAAAAAAATTTTGTCACATAATTGAATCAGTGTTTCCACCTTATCCAAGAGAGGACAAGATCCTTGAACTCATACTCCCTCTAAAACTGCATAAAATGGGAGAAGGAAATCAATAAACTATTCCCAAGGTAAGAAACATGGATGCCAGGCTGCAGAACAACGGATGCTCATTGTCCAGGATGCTTTGGGTATAACTTTACCTAAGATAAGAGGACCAGCAAGGGTTTCTCCAACTCCATACATATCCTTTAAAAAAAAAATCTGGGCCGGGCCTGGTGGCTCACGCCTGTAATCCCAGCACTTTGGGAAGCCAAGGCAGGTGGGTCACGAGGTCAGGAGATC
The DNA here is from genome assembly GCF_000001405.40 of Homo sapiens. Classification (NCBI taxonomy): domain Eukaryota; kingdom Metazoa; phylum Chordata; class Mammalia; order Primates; family Hominidae; genus Homo; species Homo sapiens. The sequence goes on from NC_000020.11 coordinate 13,647,005, forward strand.
GAGACCACCCTGGCTAACATGGATGCCTCTATTAAAAATAGAGGCTAACCCTGTCTCTATTAAACATACAAAAAATTAGTTGGGCACGGTGGCACGCACCTGTAGTCCTAGCTACTCGGGAGGCTGAGGCAGAAGAATCACTTCAACCCGGGAGGTGGAGGTTGCAGTGAGCCGAGATCGCACCACTGCATTCCAGCCTGGGTGACAGAGCAAGAAGACTGTGTCAAAAAAAAAAAAAGAAAAGAAAAGAAAAACTGCCTCTATGCTATGTTATCTATGTCTGTGAATTCAATAAAGTTTCACCAAACTTAAAAATATATTATTTGTTTGGAATTATTAATCATTGTTATTTTATATAGTTTAGAACTAACAACATTTCTCCATCCTTTATGATCTTGGTGAAGAAGAGTGTACCTGATAGTACTTGGGGAAAAAATGTATTTAGCTTCTATTTCAATGTTTCTCTTAAGTGTGAGGATAACACTGAAGGGATGTAATTTGTATACTAAACTAACTTTTTTTTTAATGTATTTTATTTTTAGAGATGGGGGTCTCACTATATTGCCCAGGGTGGTCTTAAACTCCTGGGCTCCAGTGATACTGCCACCTTGGCCTCCCACACTGCTGAAATTACAGGCATGAGCCACCACACTCGGCCCTAAACTAACTTTTGAAAAACATTTTATTATGAATTTTTTTTTTGAGACAGAGTCTCACTCTGTCTCTCAGGTTGGAGTGCAGTGGCATGATCTCGGCTCACCGCAACCTTCGTCTCCCGGGTTCAAGCAATTCTGCCTCAGCCACCTGAGTAGCTGGGATTACAGGCATGTGCCACCACACCTGGCTAATTTTTGTATTTTTAGTAGAGATGGGGTTTTGCCATGTTAGCCATTCTGGTCTCGAACTCCTGACCTCAGGTGATCTGCCCACCTCGGCCTCCCAAAGTGCTGGAATTACAGGCATGAGCCACTGCACCCGGCCCATTATGGAAAATTTTTAAAATCTGTTAAAATAAGACAACAATGGGGCAGGTGCAGTGGCTCACGCCTGTAATCCCAGCAGTTTGGGAGGCTGATGTGGGTGGATCACCTGAGGTCAGGAGTTCGAGACCAGCCTGGCCAACCTGGTGAAACCCCATCTCTGCTAAAAATACAAAAATTAGCTGGGCCTGGTGGTTGGTGCCTGTAATCCCAGCTACTTGGGAGGCTGAGGCAGGAGAATCACTCGAACCCAGGAGGCGGAGGGTGCAGTGAGCCAAGATCACGCCATTGCACTCCAGCCTGGACATCAAGAGCGAAACTCCGTCTCAAAAAAAATAAATAAATAAATAAGACAACAACGAAGTTTACAGCATTGATTCACTCTCCTTTCCTTTTGAATGAAATCCCATGTTCCAGTCACCAATTAGTCTGTAGTTTATCTGAGTTTATTCTGGCTGCTCACACTTTGTTAGCAGATGCTGCTGGTGCCCAGATTGCAGCTACTTGGCTACCTCTAGTCTCAGCCCTGGCAAGCAGCTCCAGCCTGCACCATCAGCTTCCCTGTCCTTCTGCTTTCTGTCCCAGAGCCAGCTCCAATGCCCAAGCATAACTTGGGGACACATGGAAGTGAGCACCCACCAAGGGGGGTGTTCACCCTCAACCAAAGGGGATTTAAATGCTCCAGCCTTAAGCCCTTCAGGCCAATTCTGAGAGGCAAACTGTAAACTTCTCGGAGTTCTTGGGATACTGAGTCTTGCAGCAAAGGATGAAGTGTCCTGACATTGGCTTTTCCTTCCTTTCTGCCTTACGCTTCATAGCCTCTCACTTTGCTGTCTGCAATCACCTGCCAAAAAACTCCCTGCACCTACACTCCTGTCTAGGGGTTTGTATTCACGGGAACCCAGATTTAGACAGGCTCCTTTATCCAGTCATATCTTTTGGTTACTGGCAACGTCTAATATTGATTTATATGAAGCTCATTTTGCAGACATAACTCAAGATGTTTTTTCAAGATGTTGGCTGATGTAATTAACTGCTGTAGAGAACAGCATTATGTAGGAGCAGCATTATTTTGCTCTTCCTCTTTTTTGAGACAGAGTCTTGCTCTGTTGCCTAGGCTGGAGTGCAGTAGCACAATCTCAGCTCACTGCAACCTCCGCCTCCCAGGTTCTAGTGATCCTCCTCCCTCAGCCTCCCAAGTAGCCGGGACTATCAGCGTGCACCACCATGCCCAGATAATATTTGTAATTTTAGTAGAGCTGGGGTTTCGCCATGTTGGCCAGGCTGGTCTCAAACTCCTGACCTCAGCTGATCCGCCCTCCTTGGCCTCCCAATATTTTACCTTTCTACAGAAATTGAGTAGCACTCTCTTCAATATTCTTGCTTAGTTAAAAGGGAGGGAGGGAGGAAGGAAGGAAAGAAGAAAGGAAAGTGGAGAGGGAAATGAATAAGCTCTTCTTTCTGACAGTTTTTACTACAAAATTTAAGTGTGCTTTTGGAGCTGAACATAAAAAACTTCACTCACCCAATTTGAGTTCCGAGCTTTACCTCTAAATCTTGTACTAGAGCCATCTAAGCTATGGGTGTATTAGCACCCAGTTAGGATGTGTTAGCAAGTGAATTGGCTGTCAGCACTTTGAGACCTGGGAACACACCCAGGCCCCCAGGGAAGCCGGACCCAGAGGTCAGAGGACAGCACTATTGTAGCCCAGTGTCTCTAATGGGAAACAGATGCTCCCAGCTGTCGCCTGCCATCAGCCAGCTCACTGAATGTTTTCAGCCCTGGCTCCTTCTGGACCAATCGAGCTGTATAAACACATTTTATCCGCAAGCCTGGTTGTGGGGGCAGCCAACCTATCTGTCTTCTTTTCTATTAGGAGAGCCTGCCTGTGCTGAATCCAAGGTTTAACTCATTAGAATAACAATTAAACAAAGGTAGGATTTTTTTTTCCCTTTTTTTTGTAAAGCTTCTATTTTCTTTTTGCTAACAGGGTTGATATTAGCTGATGGTTAATCTATTGAAAGTCAGGGGCAAAGGAAATCTGTTTGAAATGAGAATCTTTTTTTATTTTTTGATGGAGTCTCACTCTGTCGCCCAGGCTGGAGTGCAGTGGCACGATCTCAGCTCACTGCAACCTCTGCCTCTCAGGTTCAAGCAATCATCTTGCCTCAGCCTCCATAGTAGCTGGGATTACAGGCACATGCCACCATGACTAGCTGATTTTTGTATTTTCGGTAGAAACAGGATTTCACCATGTTGGCCAGGCTGGTCTTGAATTCCTGACCTCAAGTGATCTGTCTGCCTCCAAAAGTGCTAGGATTACAGGTGTGAGCCACCGCTCCTGGCCTGATATGAGATTGCTTTAAAGAGAAATGCAGACGTGGTATGGGAGATCGGGATGCCTGACTTGTAGAAGTAATCACATGTCCTTAGGAGTATCACTTAGCCTCTTTGGGCTTCATTTTCCTTTTTCAGTAAAACGAAGGCATTAGACTTAACTGATCACTAAAGAACTTTCTCATTATTAACATTTTAAATAATTTGTCATTTTATGGCTTCTATACATTCTTTCATTTAACATATTTTCTGAGCATCTGTTATGTACACAGCAGTCTTACTGGCACTTGTAAAACATTAACAATAGATTCCTTAGAGAGCCTAGGCCATAAGGCATCTGTTTCCTTGTCTCTCTCCAGCAGCTCTTCCCTTTTGTTCCCAATAACAACAGTCACTTGGACCATGGTAACTTATCTGCATCTCCATTTTATGTGGCTTTGCTGGGTCTGCCAGTCACGGTGACATTGCAGCCCAGCCCAGGTATGAGCATGTGATCCGGGCCTTGCTAATAACATACCATGCCCTGGGCCATGTAAGTCTGGGCTCATGACTTATGCCAGTCCAATCCAAGTTCTTCCCTGAAATTTTCAACAATCATTTTTGGAGAGAAGATGCTCTTTTACATGTAGGGTTACTAAATAGGAGAGAGTGGCCATTCCCTTTTTCTTTTGCATGGAGAAAGTTCGTCTAAAGTTGAAAAAAACTGAGGCCAACACATGAAGAGAAGCAGAGCCAGAGATGGGGAGAAATTTCAAATGGCCTTGTTTGAAGCCCCTTCCCGCCCAGCTATGTTCACTAATCTCTCACTCCCTCTTCCTCTCTTTATCTCTCTCTCTCTTAGACAGTTTTGATCTCAAACTTTTGGCCTCAAGCGATCCTCTCATCCCGGCCTCTCAAAGTGCTGTGATTACAGGTGTCAGCCACCGTGCCCACCGCACCTGGCCACTCTCAGATAGTTTGAGATGGCTTTCTGTCACTTTCAACGAAAAGACTCCTGACAAATACATAGTCAAACCCCCATTTTTTTTAGTATAAGGAAACTGATTCTCACAGTGTTTGGAATTTTTTCAAGCTTCCATGGTGAGTGAGTAGCAGAGGCGGTACACAATCATAGATCTCCTGACTTCCAAACCAGTTCTTTCATTTTCATGTTTCTTCCACCTTTGTATGATGAACATTTTCGAACATGCTGAAAATCTGAAAATAAAGAAAAGCAGGCCGAGTGTGGTGGCTCACGCCTGTAATCCCAGCACTTTGGGAGGCTGAGGTGGGTGGATCCCCTGAGGTCAGGAGTTCAAGACCAGCCTGGCCAACATGGTGAAACCCAGTCTCTACGAAAAATACAAAATTAGCCAGGCGTGGTGGTGGGTGCCTGTAGTCCCAGCTACTTGGGAGGCTGAGGCAGGAGGATCACTTGAACCTGGGAGGGATAGGTTGCAGTAAACCGAGATTGCACCACTGTAATCCAGCCTAGGCGACAGAGCAAGACTCTGTCTCAAAAATAATAATAATAATAATTGCAAAAACGTGGCATATTTAACAACCAGTCACTGCTTTTTTTAGGTGAGTTGAATCCTTACATATGTTATCAAACCGAAATGGGGTCTGCTTGCCTGGCACGGTAAGGCCAAACATCTACATTGAGGTTTGCAGTGGGAGAAAGGAGGGTGTTTATTTGCAGGGCACCAAGCAAGGAGAATCTAGGCAGCTCGTGCTTAAGACCCAATCTCCTCGATGGTTTGTAAGTAAGGGTTTTTAAAGGCAGAGGTAAATTTCAGGAAAGCAGAAGTTACAGGCAAAATCATAAATCAATACATGGAGGTTGCATATTGGTTTGGCATATAAAGGGCAGGATATCTTGAAGTGGGAGCTTCTAGGTCATAGGTAGATTAGAAAATTTTCTGATTTGCAATTGATAAGGAAGAGAAGCATCGTTTAAAAATTTGGAGTCAGCAGGCCAGCGCAGTGGCTCATGCCTGTAATCCCAGCACTTTGGAAGGCTGAGGTGGGTGGATCACCTGAGGTCGGGAGTTCGAGACCAGCCTGACCAACCCCTCTCTACTAAAAATACAAAATTAGCCAGGCCTGGTGGCGGGTGCCTGTAATCCCAGCTACTCGGAAGGCTGGGGCAGGAGAATGTCTTGAACCCGAGAGATGGAGGTTGCGGTGAGCCCAGATCACACCATTGCACTCCAGCCTAGGCAACAAAAGCAAAACTCCATCTCAAAAAAAAAAAAAAAGAATTTTTGGAGTCAGCAGAAAAAGAATGCCAGCCCTGGCTTGTGGATGTGACCTTCTCCAGGTACCTCAGGAATAAATTTAGAACAAAAAACAGCAGTCAGAGTTCAGCTCTCAGTTCTCCCTTTTCTGAGGTCTTTGGGTCAGTGGGTCCATTTGATGGGGGATCTGGATTTCTGAAAAACAATTCAGGGACATAAGTTGTTACCTTTAGGCCGGGTGTGGTGGCTCTTGCCTGTAATCCCAGCACTTTGGGAGGCTGAGCTGGGCGGATCACCTGAGGTCAGGAGTTTGTGACCAGCCTGGCCAACATGGTGGAACCCCATCTCTACTAAAAATACAAGAAATTAGTTTGACGTGGTGGCACGCGCCTGTAGTCCCAGCTACTCGGGAGGCTGAGGCAGGAGAAGATGTTACCTTTAATTTATATAGGAAACCAAATACCCTGTGATTCTACCCTCCTTGGCTATTGTTTTAAGCTACTGTTACTTCTTGCTTATCTATTTTCCTATTTACTTCTCAGGGCTAGCCAGGTGCCTGGAATTTTCCTTGAAGGAACTTAAGATTTTCCTTTCTTTCCATGCTTGAGAGGGATCCCACAGACTCCTAGGAGGGGGTTCTGCTCCATTTGTACCTCTCTTGGCCAAGTGATATCTCAGTAATCCTGCCAGTCACTCTCTAGACAAACAGCTCTAAGAGTAGTTTGGAGACACAGAAGCCGCGTAAGCCTACAGAAAAAAGCTGGTCAGTCCTAAACTGAAACAGGCTGGGCTTTCACAAATTTTGCTTGTCCAAAAAACAGGCTCAAATTACATCCCAAACAACTCACGGCTTTTTATAGGGCTCTTTTAACACTTTAGCCAAATAATTGTTAGTTTATTTTGTGTAAATGGTTTAAATATATGTTTTAGCATTAAAATGATCCAAAACCAACACTTGGCATTGCTTTCAAGTGCCTTTTCAACCTTCCCTCAGTGGAAACCAGATTAACTTCAAATTTTATAAGAGAAATGTCCTAATCTTCCCATTCTGCCCTCAGTGGTTCCAAAATCATGAGAAAATGGGCATCTTCAGTTTCTTCTATTTTCTGTAACTTTTCATTAATTATTGAGATATTTATTCAGAAATGAACCAGGGAACATATGCTTCAAATTTTATTTTTATGGTTTTTTTTCACTATGCCATGAATAATGTCCAAAACATCAATATTAAACCAAATTAAACCATAACTGACAAGGGCACATTTGAATCTAATAGGTGGTCAACTGCATTTTTTCTGATCCAATTCTACAAATGTAGTAGAATTTGTACTAGAAAAATCCAAAATATTCTTAGAAACAACAAAATGGAAATTTTTAAAAGGAGAAATTCTATATAACATGGTCATTTAAAGCCAGATTTACCACTGGAAAAATTTCCTGGGAGCAAAGCCATATTTATTAAAGACAAATGTACCTCAAGTACAGGAATATCTTTCTTTCAGGATTCTCAAAATGTAAATGTTTACACATACAAATAGTGACACATTGTACTTTACAGCAATATTTCTACAACTGTGGAGCTGGAAGAAACTGTGATAAACTCTGTGGATCCCCTTGGGTGCCTTTTACCATTTCTGTGCCCTGCCCTTAGCTTCTATGTTTTTGCTTTGAACAGCCAGAGTCTGTGACTCTTCAAAGCCATCCCTTGGCCTGTTGGAGCCACTCTGCCCACTTTGCGGAGAGCTACAAGTGACTAGGAGTTCACATCCACCCAGGATGGCCTTCGGCCAACAAATGACTGGTGGTGACATATAGATGCCCAGCCCCCTTCCCTCAAGAGGGTACAAACTCTGGGGTGTAATTTAGACTCTAGAGCATCCCTATGGGATGAAGCAGAGACTGGGGCTCTGTCTGAAATTTCTCGCTTGCTTAGCTTCTTTCTATTCCTTGTCCTATCTCCTTCATTACCTTATCTGTTCCCCCCAAAAGTCCTTCCTTAACATATTGCTTGCACACAACTCCTCATCTCAAGGTCTGCTTCCAAAGAACCCCATGTAAGACCTGAGATGAAGTTTACCTGCTCCAATCCTTTCATTTCACCAATGCTTAGCCCAATCTGTCTGTCAAGAACATGTACCATGTTCTGGGCATGGTTTAGGCATGGAGAAGTGCCAATCTCTAGGAAAGTGGAAATGACAGTCTTTTGACCCAGGCTTACATTATCTTCTGTCAGGGCCAGTTTGAGAGTTCAAGGGAATGTGTTACCAGTCACAAGTACGTGAATTACCTCATGCATTCAGCATTCATTCAGGCATTATCTACTAACAACACTCATGGAAGCTGGGAAACAGAGAAACCTAATAAAGATTAATTGGAAAATTATGTAAATCATCTACTCCAACCTGAAGTAGGCCAGTAGAAAAATATCCAAAGATTTACCTGAGTCCAACATCATTCACTCAGAAACTATTAAACATTATTATTTGATTCTCAATATCACTTTCTTCTTTTTTCTATTATTATCTCTAAGGTTTACAAATATAAAACATGACCGGAAATTGCTGGTAGAAAGTGGTTTTATTTTTGGCCCCAAGAGATTCTAAACACTCATATGGGAGGTTTCCAGTAAAAGCACCTCTATTCCCACTTTACTTTTTTTTTTTTTTTTTTTGAGATACACTCTGTCACCCAAGCTGGAGTGCAGTGGTGTGATCTTGGCTCACTGCAACCTCTGCCTCCTGGGTACAAGTGATTCTTGTGCCTCAGCCTCCTGAGTAGCTGGGACTACAGGCATGCGCCAACACAACTGGCTAATTTTTGTATTATTAGTAGAGGTGGGGTTTCACCATGTTAGCCAGGCTGGTCTCAAACACCTGACCTCAAGTGATCCACCCACCTTGGCCTCCCAAAGTGCTGGGATTACAGGCGTGAGCCACCGCGCCTGGCCTCCCACTCTACTTTTTAATCATTTATCCAATAAATATTTACAGGGTATGAGCTTTGACTGCTGCCTACCTTCTAATCAGCCATGTTATATTTTTTGCACAGTCCCAGCTGGTCCTCTTTTTCCTAGAACTTATTACTAAACAAACAAACAAACAAACAAAAACAAATAAACAAAAAACAAAATAAATAAGTAATGGTTACAATTCAGATACTATCTGTAGTAGGCAGCATAATAATCCCCCTGAAATACCTATGTCCTAATCCACAGAATCTGTGAGCATGTAATTTCACATGGCAAAAGGACATTGAAGTTGCAGATGGAATTAAGGTTACCAATCAGATGACCTTAAATAGAGAGATTATCCTAGATTACCTAGATGGGTGCAATGCAATCAGAAGAGTCCTTAAATGTGGAAGAGGGAATCAGGAGTATCAGTGTCGGAGTAATGGGATGTGAGCAAGGCTTAAGTGGCCACTGCTAACTTTGAAAATGGGAGAGGACCATGAGCCAAGGAGTGAAGACAGCCTCTAGAAGTTGGAAAAGAAAATGGATTCTCCCTTAGAGCCTCCAGAAAGGAACACAGCCCTGCCAACACCTTGGTTTTAGCCCAGTAATACTAATTGTATATAATGGAATTGGAAAATAATAAATTTGTGCGTGGGTTTTTTTGTCTTGTTTTGTTTTTTTGAGACGGAGTCTTGCTCTGTCACCCAGGCTGGAGTGCAATGGCATGATCTCGGCTCACTGTAACCTCCGCCTCCCAGGTTCAAGCGATTCTCCCACCTCAGCCTCCCGAGTAGCTGAGATTACAAGCGCCTGCCACCATGCCAGCTAATTTCTGTATCTTTAGTAGAGATGAGGTTTTACCACATTGGCCAGGCTGGTCTTGAACTCCTGACCTCAAATGATCTGTCCGCCTCGGCCTCCCAAAGTGCTGGGGTTACGGGCCTGAGCCACTACACCTGGCCAAATTTGCGTTATTTTAAGCCACTAATTTTGTGATAATTTGTTACAGCAACAATAGGAAATTGATATGCCATCTGCTTTCCAGATTCATTGCTGCATCTGAAGAAACTACGAAACCTTTGCCTGTGTCACAGGCATAATTCATATGTCAATCACTCAATTTTGACTTCCCTACCTGTCTTTGAAATGCCCTGCTATTCTTTCTGGCTGTCACTAGTGTCTTCTATATTTGAGCTCTATTGCAATCACGGGTCAAGTGCCATTGCTTTCTTCTGGCCTCAGTACAAAACTAACACCAACAATAATAAATATTTTCCAGCTTAGAAGTGGTAATTCCCCTTGCAATTTATACTTTGTGGTATCCAGCTTCCTTTTCTGCTTCCCGTTCCATTTTTACAGTCTGTTTCATTTGAGACTTTGGAGATAATGATGTTCAGTGATGATAGCAATAAAAAATGAAATACAGATGGGTTTATGACAAGAGGAAATTTGCCAACTTCTCTGGACAACATATATTAAGACCAAAGACACAGAGTGATGGCATCAGTATCACCAAGGCCCCAAATAATTCCATATATGCATTACTTATACCCTAATTTATTCCTTTATTCATTCGATTGAACATTTACAAGTATCGATTGAGTGCTGACCCTGTGCCAAAAACTGCTCTAGTTACGATTATGAGGATTCACCCATGACAAAGATCTCTGCCCTTGTGAAATTTATATTCTGCTGTGGGGAAGTAGGCAATAAACTAGATAGACAAATAATAAAATAGGTTGATGATGTGAAGTGCAATGAGATAAAAGAGCAGGATAAGCAGGATTAAGTAGGGGTGCTGCCATTTACATCAGGTGGACAAGGTAAGCCTCACTTTAAAAAGTGTATTTGAGGCTGAGCATGGTGGCTCATGCCTGTAATCCCAGCACTTTGGGAGGCCGAGGCAGGTGGATCACCTGAGGTCAGGAGTTCGAAACCGGGCTGGCCAACACGGCGAAACCCCGTCTCTAAAAAAATACAAAAATCAGCCTGGCGTGGTGGCACATGTCTGTAATCCCAGCTACTCCAGAGGCTGAGGCAGAAGAATCGCTTGAACCCAGGAGGTGGAGACTGCAGTGAGCCAAGATCTCGCCACTGCACTCCAGCCTGGGTGACAGAGCAAGACCCTATGTAAAAAAAAAAAAAAAAAAGTGAACAAATAAAAGTAAAAAGTGACATTTGAGAAAATACTTGAAGAAATTGAGAGAATCATTTCAGACAGAGGAGCAACCAGTTCAATGGCTGTGAGTGAAGGGCAAGCCTGGAGGGTTGGAGAAGTAGCAAGGTCAGTAGCTAGAGCAGGAGCAAGGGGGAGAGAGTTAGGCAACGAAGTAGAAAAGCAATTGAGGGGAAGACTCTGACTTTGAATCCAGATGAAAAATAGGGAGTAGCCAGGCACGGTGGCTCACACCTGTAATCCTAGCACTTTGGGAGGCTGAGGCAGGTGGATCATCTGAGGTCAGGAGTTTGAGACCAGCCTGGGCAACATGGGGAAACCCCATCTCTACTAAAAATACACAACATTAGCTGGGCATGGTGGCGGGCATCTGTAATCCCAACTACTCAGGGAGCTGTGGCTGAAGACTTGCTTGAAGCCGGGAGGCGGAGGTTGCAGTGAGCTGAAATCCCGCCACTGCACTCCAACCTGGTGACAAAGCAAGACTCTGCCTCAAAAAAAAAAAAAAAAAAAAAAATGAAAAGAAAAATAGGGAGCCATTATATGTGACATGACCTCATTACGTTTTAAATCGATTGTCTGGCCAGGAGTGGTGACTCATGCCTGTAATCCCAGCACTTTGGGAGTCCAAGGCAGGTGGATCACCTGAGGTCAAGAGTTTCAGACAAGCCTGGCCAACATGGTGAAACTCTGTCTCTATTAAAGATACAAAAAAAAAAAAAAAATAGCCAGACATGGTGGTGCACACCTGTAATCCCAGCTACTCAGGAGGCTGAGGCAGGAGAATTGCTTGAACCTGGGGGGGTGGAGGTTGCAGTGAGCCAAGATTTGTGCCACTGCACTCTAGTCTGGGTAGCAGAGCAAGACTCTGCCTCTAAATAAATAAATAAACAGATTATCCTAGTTGCTAAGAATCTACTGTAGAGAAGCAATAGAGAGAGCGGGGCACCATGCATTAAGCAATTTCAGTAATCTAGCTGAGAGATGATGGCTGGAGCTAGGGGGCAGCAGGGGTGGGAAGAGATCAGATTCTGGTTATATTTTGAAGGTAGAGCCAAGATGATTTCCTGTTAGACTGGACATGAACTATGTCAGAAAGAAAAGGATAAAAGATGACTCCAAGCTCTTTAGCTTAGCAACTAGGATGGCGTGTTCAGTCATTGAAATATGGAAAACAATACGGAGAAGATTATTTATGGAGTAGGGGGAGATCAGGTCAAGTTGGGACATGTTAATTCCGATACATCTAACAGATATCCGAGTGGAGATATCAACCAGGCAGTGGAATATATGAGCCTAGAATTCAGGAGACATTTCTGGATTGGAAATATATTTTTTAGAATCACAAACATATAGTTTATATTTAAAGTCATGAGAATAAAATTGAGATCACCTAAGGGAATGGGTGCAGATACAGAGAAGTGGCCAAAATCTCAGTAAGAGGTCAAGGAGATGGGAAGAATCTACAGAGAAGGTTGAAAAAGATGAGTCAGGCAGGGTGCGGTGGCTCACGCTTGTAATCCCAGCACTTTGGGAGGCTGAGGTGGGTGGATCACTTGAGGTCAAAAGTTTGAGACCAGCCTAGCCAACAGGGCAAAACCCCATCTCTACTGAAAATACAGAAATTAGCTGAGCATGGTGGCACACGCCTGTAGTCCCAGCTACTTGTGAGGCTGAGGCAGGAGAACGGCTTGAGCCCAGGAAGTGGAGGTTGCAATGAGCCAAGATCACACCACTGCACTCCAGCCTGGGCAACAGAGAGAATCTCAGTCTCAAAAAAAAGAAAAGAAAAAGAGGATGTAGGAGGAAAACCAGTAGAGTGTGAAGACCTGAAACCCAAGTGAGGAAGTGCTCCCAGGAAGAGAAAGTGATCAACTAAGAAGCAGACTGAGGTTTGTCCGCATTGAGGATTTAGTGGCATTGGAGTCATTGGTTAACCTTGATTGGAGCACTTTCTTGGAGTTCTGATGGCAATGCCTAATTTGAGAAAAGGAGACTAGGGGGAAAAACATAGACAGATCTTTTGAGGAATTTTGTTTAGCCACACTAAAGAGAAGCAAAGATTGAAGCTATAGCAAGAGAAGTGAAGTCAAGAGAGTGTTTCTTTTACAATAAGAAAATTAATAGCACGAATAAATGTGCTGACAGGAATGATCAAAAGGAGAGGGAGAAATTGATATTGGTGCAGAGGGAAGAACTGTTGAAGCTATGTTTTTGAACAGGCTGTAGGAGATGGTACAGAGCAGTGGTTCCTAAGCTTCAGGGTGAGTCGGAATGCCCTAGAGGGCCTGCAAACACACAGATTGCAGGGCCCCCACCCCTAGAGTTTCTCATTCAGTCCATCTGGAGTGGAACCTGAGAACTTGCATTTCTTTCTTTCTTTTTTTTTTTTTTTTTGAAACAGTCACCCGGGCTGGAGTGCAGTGGCACGATCTCAGCTCACTGCAACCTCCACTTACCAGGTTCAAGCAATTCTCCTGTCTCAGCCTCCCAAGTAGCTGGGATTACAGGTGCACATCACCACACCTGGCTAATTTTTGTATTTTTAGTAGAGACAAGGTTTCACCATATTGGTCAGGCTGGTCTCAAACTCCTGACCTCAGGTAATCCACCCACCTCGGCCTCCCAAATGCCGGGATTACAGGCATGAACCACCCCACCCAGCTGAACTTGCATTTCTAGTAAGTTCCCAGATAATGCTGACGCTACTGGTTTAGGGAACATATTTAGGAACACATTAGGAACCTATATTTACCAATATAGGGAAGGAGGTTGTTGGCTTTATTTTATTTTATTTTATTTTATTTTGAGACAGTCTTGCTGTGTCCGCCAGGCTGGAGTGCAGTGGTGTGATCTCGGCTCACTGCAACCTCCACCTCCCAGGTTCAAGCGATTCTCCTGCCTCAGCCTCCCAAGTAGCTGGGACTACAGGTGCGCACCTGTAGTGGCTAATTTTTTGTATTTTTAGTACAGATGGGGTTTCACCGTGTTAGCCAGGATGGTCTTGATCTCCTGACCTCGTGATCCATCTGCCTCAGCCTCCTAAAGTGCTGGGATTACAGGCGTGAGCCACCACACCCAGCTGGTCGTTGGCTTTAAATAGGAGTCTGGGCTGGGCATGGTGGCTCATGCCTGTAATCCCAGCATGAATGAATGAATCCTCACCCTTTGGAAGGCTGAGGTGGGTGGATCACTTGAGGCCAGGAGTTCAAAACCAGCCTGGTCAACATAGCAAAACCCCATCTCTATTAAAAATACAAAAAATTAGCTGGGTGTGGTGACACATGCCTGTATTCCTAGCTACTCGAGAGGCTGAGGCATGAAAATCGATTGAACCCTGGAGGAGGAGGTTGCAGTGAGCCGAGATCACTCCACCGCACTCCAACCTGGGCGACAGAGTAAGACTCTGTCTCAGAAGAAATGAAAATAAAAGTAAATAGGAGTCTGTTAATTTGTAATAACAGATTCATCCATTAAAGTAGTTATACATGAGGGTTTACTTTGGAAAGATGCAGTCGGGAAGACAAAGACAGCTAACATAGCCAGTCTGTGTCTCAGGATATGTGATTCACCGAGAGCCTAGCAGTGCTTCTGACGAGAAGTCACTCAGGATAGCTCTAAGTTTCCAGGCACATTACCCTCACCTTCTACTAGCTGGGCCATTTTTCTGATGTACAGCCAAGTAGAAACTCTCGGATCACAGAAGTACTCCCTTTACATGAATAGAACGCCTCAGCAGCCTCTCCTGGCTGAAGCTCAGCAGCATTCTTGGAGTCCCAGGTGCTCTTTGCAATGCGTGTTCCATAACATCGCAAAAGAGCCTAACTCAACATGATTGTGTTATTTTGCTCGCCAGCATTTGGAGTCGTGATGAGCTGAGGGCTGAGCCAAAAACCCCAAGAAGCCTGAGCCTGCATTTTTTTTGTTGTTGCTCTTACTGCAATGTTCATCTCTTGCCAGAAACAGCCACTAGCAATCAATCTTTCCGTAAAGTTTTTCTTTTCTCCCCCATCGTTGAGGAGATAGGGGATAGCAATACATTCTGAATATTCAGAATGTAATAGCAACAACAACTTCCCTCTGTGTAGCTGTTTAAAGTTTTAAAACATTTTCCCGGCCGGGCGCAGTGGCTCACGCCTGTAATTCCAGCACTTTGGGAGGCCAAGGTGGGTGGATCACCTGAGATCAGGAGTTCAAGATCAGCCTGGCTAACATGGTGAAATCCCACCTCTACTAAAAATACAAAAATTAGCCAGGCATGGTAGCACATGCCTGTAATCCCAGCTACTCAGGAGGCTGAGGCAGGAGAATTGCTTGAACACAGGAGGCAGAGGTTGCAGTGAGCCGAGATCATGGCATTGCACTCCAGCCTGGACAACAAGAGCGAAACTCCATCTCAAAAAAACAAAACAAACAAACAAACAAAAAACATTTTCCCCTTCAATTTATTGCATCCACTTTGTACATGAGGAAACTGGGGCTCAGAGAGGGAAAGGAAATTCAACTGGTGGAACCAGGACTCCTGATCTTTGGATGCCAAGGTTCAAATCTTTTCCAAATTCCAAATTCATTTTGTCATATGCTGGTCTGAACAGCTCTTCCAAGCCCCTCTGACTTGGCACATGGCAGAAACAACAATGGCGAATGGCATGAACTCACCCATTGCCCCTCTTTGGAATACCTTGCATACCTTATCTGTGTTAGCTTTTGCCCCTTGTCTCTGCACCCTGATTAATAATGGTTTGTTGATTGATTGAGCTGGTTTTCTATATGCCATACATTTGAGGAGGTAAATAGGTGGGCATGGTTTTTATGCCTTTATTTTTTTTAAGTAGACTTTATTTTGTAGAAAAACTTTAGGTTTACAGAAAATTGAAAGTTACAAATTGATCAGAAAGTAGAGTTCCCACATACCCCTTCTCCCTCTGCACAGGGTAGTCTCTATTATTTACATCTTATGTCTATGTGGTACAAGTGGTGAACCAACATTGATACCTATTATTATTACTATTATTATTATTATTGAGACGGAGTCTTGCTCTGTCCCCCAGGCTGGAGTGCAGTGGCATGAATCTCAGCTCACTGCAACCTCCGCCTCCCAGGTTCAAGAGATTCTCGTGCCTCAGCCTCCCGAGTAACTGGGATTACAGGCATGCACAACTGCGCCCGGCTAGTTTTTGTATTTTTAGTAGAGATGGGGCTTCACCATGTTGGGCAAGCTGGTCTCAAACTCCTGACCTCAAGTTATCTGCCTGCCTTGACCTCCCAAAGTGCTGGAATTACAGGAGTGAGCCACCGCGCCCGGCCAATACCTATTATTAACTAAAATCTACAATTTACATCAGGATTCACTCTTTGTGTTATAATTCTATGGCTTTTGACATGTATAATTTATAATGACATGTATCCACCATTACAGTATCTGAGTATTTTTCACTGATCTAAACATCTTCTGTGCTTCATCTGTTTGTCACTCCCTCTTGTCCCCTACCCCCCACCCCCAAGGTCCTAGCAACCATTGATCTTTTTACTGTTTCCATAATTTTGTATTTTTCAGAATGCTATATAGTTAGAATCATACCGTATGCAGGCTTTTCTGTTCAGATTGGCTTCTTTCACATAGTAATATGCATATGTTTTCTCTATGTCTTTTCATGGCTTGATAACTAGATTGCTAGAGTGCAGTGGCATGATCTCGGCTCACTGCACCTCCACCTCCTGGATTCAAGCGATTCTCCTGCCTCAGCCACGAGAGTATCTGGGATCATAGGCGTGCTCCACCACACCAGGCTAATTTTTGTATTTTTAGTAGAGATGGGGTTTCACCATGTTGCCCATGCTGGTGTCAAGCTCCCGAGCTCAAGCGATCTGCCTACCTCAGCCTCCCAAAGTGCTGAGATTACACTCGTTAGCCACTGCACCTGGCTTCATTTCTTTTTATTGCTGAATACTATTCCATTGTATGTATGTGCCACAATTTTTTTATCCATTTGCCTATTGAAGGACATCTTGGTTGCTTCCAAGTTTAGGCAATTATTAATAAAATTTCTGTTAATAACTGTGTGCAGGTTTTTGTGTGGATATAGTTTGCATCTAATTTGAGTAGACAAAGAAGAGTGTGATTGCTGGATCATAGGGTCAGATTATGTTTAATTTTGTAAGAAACTGCCAGCAAAGAAGGAGAATTCCTTTTACTCCACATCCTTGTCGCAATTATTGTGTCAGTGTTTTGAATTTTAGCGATTCTAATAGGCATATAGTGGTATTTTATTTTATTTTGTTTTGTTTTGTTTTTTGAAACAGAGTCTCACTCTGTCGCCCAGGCTGGAGTGCAATGGCACAATCTTGGCTCACTGCAACCTCTGCCTCCTGAGTTCAAGCAATTCTCATGCCTCAGCCTCCCGAGTAGCTGGGACTACAGGCACATGCCACCTCATCCAGCTAATTTTTTGTAATTTTAGTAGAGACGGGGTTTGGCCGTGTTGCCCAGGCTGGTCTGGAACTCCTGGCCTCAAGCAATCCGTCTGCCTCAGGCTCCCAAAGTGCTAGGATTACAGGTATGAGCCACCGCGCCCAGACTATTTTATTTTTATTTATTATTATTATTAATATTATTCTTTTTGAGACAGTGTGCCACTGTGTTGCCCAGGCTGGAATGCAGTGGTGAAATCTTGGCTCACTGCAGCCTGACATCCCAGGCTCAAGCGATCCTCCCACCTCAGCCTCCAAAGTAGCTGGGACTACAGGTGCACACCATCACACCCAGCTCCGTTTATATTTTTGATGTTTATTTCACTAACTCTCAAGTCCTACAAATCATCAACTGTTCTCTCCCATAATATCTTTTCAGGGCCGGTTTTTATTTTGGCTAAGCTGAGTTTAGTTCATAAGATATGGATTAGTAATTTTCACCCTTCATAATAAGAAAGTTTATCAATTCTGAAATAATCTAGTTAGAGTAGAAAGAGTCTTATTCACAAAAGACACTATTATTACCTCCAATTTGCCAGAGAAAGACTCCAGACTTCTTCTTTCTTCCTTTTCTTTTCTCTCTTGTTTCTTTTTGGGTTTGTTGTTATGGATCCTCTAGCGTCAGCCTCCCAAGTAGCTGGGACTGCAGACACACGCCACTGTGCCCGGCTAAATTTTTAAAATTTTTTGTAGATACAGGGACTCCCTATATTGCCCAGGCTGGTCTTGAACTCCTGGCTTCAAGCCCTCCTCCCACCTTGACCCATCAAAGTGTTGGACTTACAGGCATGAGCCATTGTGCTTGGTATCTTGTTTCTCTCCTCTCTCTCTCTCTCTCTCTCTCTCTCTCTCTCTCTCTGGAACTATAGTCTCTAGGCAAAAAAAAAAAATGAAGGCATACCAGATTTCTTATGTTAAAAGATCTTGTCCCTTCTAGAAAGATATGCTAATGTAGATCTAAAGAAGAAAGATTTTTCCAAAATGATGGATTTAATTAACACTATTTCTTTCTTTCTTTTTTTTTTTTTTAAGACAGAGTTTTGCTCTTGTTGCCCAGGCTGGAGCGCAATGGCATGATCTCGGCTCACTGCAACCTCTGCCTCTCAGGTTCAAGTGATTCTCCTGCCTCAGCCTCCCAAGTAGCTGGGATTACAGGCACCAGCCAGCACGCCCGGCTAATTTTTGTATTTTTAGTAGAGATGGGGTTTCACCATGTTGGCCAGGCTGGTCTTGAACACCTAACTTCAGATGATCCACCAGCCTCGGCCTCCCAAAGTGCTGGGATTACAGGTGTGAGGCACTGCACCCGGCCAACACTCTTTCTTGATGTAAGTTGGTATCATTTCATAGAAATGATGAATCATTTTCAGGGAGAAAAAAAAGCTCTCTTAGCTCTAGAGATTTTTAGAACCTTCAAAATAAATGTAAAAGGCTTCTATGTTCATTTCAGATGAGCTGTTTGTACCAGTCAGGGCTCTTGATTGCAAACAACAGAAATGGATTGTGTTTAACTGAACTGGAAAAGAAATTAGTTGGCTGCTCACAGAATTGATGATATGGCTGGAAAATGGGCCACAACCAATGAAGGCTAGACTTGCAAAATTGTAATAAAAATCTTACCCCAGGAAGAGTCTGGTTATGCTGTCATTCCCACTGGATACTTCTTGCTACCACCAAATAAATGAATTCTAACTGTCCCCTCATGTCTGTATCATTTGTTCCAGATTCAAGGTTTTGGGAGAAGACAGCACCTGATTGGTTGAATCAGATCACATGACTGATATTGCTATTGGGAAGGGGAAGGGTCTGAGAGGACTTCCTCCCACCAAAATTTGCGCAATGGTAAATTTTAGAGGTAAAACTAAAAAACGTGTTCATTACTGGGAATATAAAGACAAGAGGCCAGCTATTGTTGAAATAATGCTGTATAACAAGCTAAATACATAAACAGATTTCAGTGGCTTGTAATGACACTTATTTTCCTCAATCATAGGTCTTCAGGCTGGCTGGGGAAGTTCTGCTTCAGGTTGTGAGTTGGCTGGGCTTGGCTCCAGATGGAAGATCCGGTTTACGACTGCTCCAAATGTCTTTCATTCTAGAAAGAGCAGCTACTAAGGGCACACTTATGAAGATGGCAAAAGCACGAGAGGCCACGCCAAACCACACAAGCACACTTACAACCTCTGCTCATATATCTGATGACATTCCGTTGTTTAAAGTGAATTACATGGCCAAGTTCAAAGACAAATGAGATAAGGTATACATTCTGTCTATTCTACTGGTTACTGTGGATTCAATTGCTCTTATTTTTGTAGTTTCCTAAAGTGGAAGCTTGGATGACTGATTTAAGATCCTTCTTTTCAAATATATTCATTTAATGATATAAATTTCCCTCCAAGTACTGCCTTCACTGCGTCCTGAAAACTTTTATAAGTTGTATTTTTGGCCAAGCGTGGTGGCTCATGCGTGTAATCCTAGCACTTTGGGAGGCCGAGGCGGGCGGATCACCTGAGGTCAGGAGTTCGAGACCAGCCTGATCAACATGGATAAACCCCATCTATACTAAAAATACAAAAATTAGCTGGACGTGGTGGCAGGTGCCTGTAATCCCAGATACTCGGGAGGCTGAGGCAGGAGAATCGCTTGAACCCAGGAGGCGGAGGTTGCAGTGAGCTGAGATTGTGCCACTGCACTCCAGCCTGGGTGACTCCATCTCAAAAGAAAAAAAAAAGTTGTATTTTAATTTAGTTCAAAATATTTTAAAATTTCTCTTGAGGATTCCTCTTTGACCTAAAAGTGTGTTATTAAATCTTCAAGTGTTCTTTTATTTTCCTTCGTTTTTTTTCTTTTTTCTTTTTCTTTCTTTTTTTTTCTTTTTTGAGACAGAGTCTTGTTCTGTTGCCCAGGGTGGAGTGCAGTGGCATGATCTCAGCTCACTGCAACCTCTGCCTCCCAGGTTCAAGAGATTCTCCTGCCTCAGCCTCCCGAGTAGCTGAGACTACAGGTGCATGCCACCATGCCTGACTAATTTTTGTATTTTTAGTAGAGACGGTGTTTCACCATGTTGGCCAGGCTGGTCTCAAACTCCTGACCTCAAGTGATCCACTCACCTCGGCCTCCCAAAGTGCTGGGATTACAGGCGTCAGCCACCGTGCCTGAACTTTCCTGTGTTTTTTCAAGTGTTTTTTATATTTTTATGTTTCTGTGTTTTTTTTTAATTTCTGTTTTAATTTCATTGTAGTTTGAGAATAAACATTGCATAATTTATTTTTTTTTACATTTTTTAATGTAAGTTTTATGGCCCAGAATGTGGTTTATCTTGGTGAATGCTCCATTTGAACCTGTAAAAAAATATGTAATCTACAATTGTTGGATAAATTAACCTATAGAGGTCAACTATATCCAGTTCATTGATGGTGCTGTTCAGTTCAACTAAGTCCTTATTGATTTTCTGCCTGTTGAATCTGTTTATTTATGATGGAGGGATGTTGGAGCCTCCAACTGTAATAGTGGATTCATCTATTTCCTTGCTGTTCTATCAGTTTTTGCCTCACATATTTTGATGCTCTGTTATTAGGTTCATACACATTAAGGACTGGTTTGTCTTCTTGGTGTATTCACCTTTTATCATTGTGTAGTACCCCTCTTTATCTTTGATAACTTTCCTTGCTCTGAAATCTGCTCTGTCTGAAATTAATATAGTTATTCCCACTTTTTTTTTTTTTTAGATGGAGTCTTGCTCTGTCGCCAGGCTGGAGTGCAGTGGCATGATCTTGACTCACCGCAACCTCCGCCTTCCGGGTTCAAGTGATTTTCCTGCCTCGGCCTCCCAAGTAGCTGGGACTACAGACGTCCAGCCACCATGCCCAGCTAATTTTTGTAATTTTAGTAGAGCAAGGTTTCACCATGTTGGCCTCCATCTCTTGACCGTGTGATCCACCCACCTCGGCCTCCCAAAGTGCTGGGATTACAGGTGTGAGCCACTGCATCTGGCCTATTCCCATTTTTTATGATTAATGCTAGCATAGCATATCTTTTTCCATCTCTTTACTTTTAATCTATATGTGTCTTTATATTCTAAATGGGTTTCTTGTGGACAACATATACAGGTGTTCCTCAACTTATGATGAGGTTATGTCTTGATAAACCCAGAATAGTTTATCGTAAGTCAAAAATGCATTTAATACATCCAACCTACAAAATCTCATAGCTTAGCCTACCTTAAAAATTAGCCTACAGTTGAGCAAAATAATCTAATACAAAGCCTATTTTATAATAATGTGTGGAATATCTCATGTAATTTATTGAAGACTGTACTGAAAGCAAAAGATAGAGTGGTTTATACAGGAATTTGAAGTACAGTTTCTACTGAGTGCATATCACTTTCACATCATCGTAAAGTCAAAAAATTGTAAGTTGAACCATCATAAATTGGGGACTATCTGTAGTTGTGTCTTGTTTTTTGATCCATAATGGTCTTTTTTTTTTTTTTTTTTTTTTTTGAGATGGTGTCTCACTCTGTTGTCCAGGCTTGGGTGCAATGGCATGATCTCGGCTCACTGCAACCTCTGCCTCCCGGGTTCAAGCGATTCTCCTGCCTCAGCCTCCCAAGTAGCTGGGATTACAGACATGCACCACCATGCCTGGGTAATTTTTTTGTATTTTAAGTAGAGATGGAGGTTTCACTATGTTGGCCAGGTTGGCCTTTAACTCCTGACCTCAGGTGATCTGCCTGCCTTGGCCTCCCGAAGTGCTGGGAACATAGGCGTGAGTCACCGCGCCCAGCTTAAACAGCTTATTTTAGTATTTCTTGCAAGGCTGAGCTATTAGCAACAAGTTCTCTCAATTTTTGTTTTTCTAAGACACTCTATTTCTCCTTCACTTTTGAAGGATAATTTCAGAGTACAGAATTTTAGGTTGGTGTTTCTTTTCTCAGCAGTTTTAATGTTTTATTCTACTCTTCTGGTTTGTATGGTTTCTTAGACGTCAGATGTAATTCTTATCTTTGCTTCTTTGTGGGTAAAATGTGTTTTTTCCTCTGGCATCTTTCAAGATTTTTCCTGTATATTTGATTTTCTAAAGTTTGAATATGATATTCCTAGGTATAGGGGTTTTCTTGGTTTTTGTTTTCTTTTTCTTTCTTTTTTTTGGGGGGGGGATGGGAGGGGCTTTTATCCTGCTAGGTGTTCTCTGAGATCCCTCAATCTGTGGTTTGGTGTCTGGCGTAAGTTTAGGAAAATTCTCAGTGATTATTGCTTCAAATATTGTGTCTATTCCTTTTTCTTTTTTCTTCTTCTGGTATTCCCATTACATGTATGTTGCATCACTTGTAGTAGCCCCACAGTTCTCAGATATTCTGTTCTGTGTTTGTTTGTTTGTTTGTTTGTTTGTTTTCCAGTCTTTTTTCTGTTTGCTTTTTAGTTTTGGAGGTTTCTACTCAGATATTCTCAATGTTACAGATTATTACCTCAGCCACGTCCAGTCTACTAATGAGCCCATCAAAGGTATTCTTCATTTCTGTTTTAGTGCTTTTGATATGTAGAAGTTCTTTTCAAGAGTTTGGGGTTTCACTCTTGTTGCCCAAGCTGGAGTGCAATGGAACAATCTCTTGGCTCACTGCAACCTCTGTCTCCCGGGTTCAAGCGATTCTCCTGCCTCAGCCTCCTGAGTAGCTAGGATTACAGGCATGTGCCACCACATCCAGCTAATTTTTTGTGTTTTTAGTGGAAATGGGGTTTCACCATGTTAGCCAGGCTGGTCTCGAACCCCTGACCTCAGGTGATCCACCTGCCTCAGCCTCCCAAAGTGCTGGAATTACAGGCATGAGCCACCTCGCCTGGCCTAGAAGTTTTTTTTATTCTTTCTTAGAATTTTCATCTTTCTGCTTACATTATCCATCTGTTCTTGTATGTTGTCTACTTTTTCCATTAGAGCCCTTAGCATATTCATCAGTGTTTTAACAATTCCCAGTCTGATAATTCTAAAATTCTGCCATATCAGATTCTGGTTCTGATATTCAGTCTCTTCAAACTGTGTTTTTGTTTTTTAGTATGTCTTGTAATTTTTTGTTGAAAGGTAAATATGATGCACTGGTTAAGAAGAACTGCAATAAATGGAACTTTACTAATGTGATGAGTTGTTGGGGGAGGGGAAGCTCTATATCCTTTGATTAGGTCTCAGTCTTGTGGTGAGCCTGTGCCCCAGACTGTGAACTTCAACAGTGCTTCTCAGGACCCCTCCCCCCTTAGGTGGGACAGGATGGCTGGAGCTAGCTGAAGCTGGGTATTTCCCCTGTCTCAGGTAGATTAGGCTCTGATGAAGCCCCAGAAGGTTGAACTCTAATAAAATCATTTATTTTGAGAGCAGGCCTGTTTAGAAAGAACAGAATTCTCTGGTGTATTTTAAAATGGTTTCTATTCTCCTCCACCTGCCAGAAGCACAAGGGGTTTTTTCTCTAAGATTCACACCTTGTAGAGACTCAGTAGATAAAACTCACAAAACCATGGGTCCCCCGCCCCCTCACAAAACTGTGAGTCCCCCACCCTGTTAAACTCCGGGGGACCCTGGAATCTCAGAGTTGTCCACACTGAGCCTCCAGCAATTCATCAATTACAGTTCAGATTTTCCCATCCTAGTACTGGTGCCAGCTAAGTTTTCTGCCCCTGTAAATTGTGATTCTCCGTATCTGCCTATCTATCTCCTCAGTTCTGGGGGCAGCTGCTTGCCCTGTGACCTCACTTTTCTGATATATCTATGAAGAGTTATTGATTTTTCATTCTGTTCAGCTTTTTACTTGCTGTTGGGACAGAGTGGTGACTTCTAAGATCCTAACATGTCAGACCTTAAAGCAGAAGTTCCTGCCTATATTTTGCTGAGAGGCATTGGAAAGTTACTTGGCAAAAAATTCTATTTTAAACAGTGAAGAATCAGAAACAATAATCCAATCAGCCCCAGGTCCTCCAGGGTATAAAAGAAGGACCAATGGGTGGAAACAGGTTGGAAATCAGCATTGGCTCACAGGAGAATGATCAAATGATAATGATTTTTTGTGGTTATACCAAACTCTGGATGGGACCTGAAGCTGGAGTTGGAGGATCTACAAAGCCTCAAGGGAAGGAAGACTTTTAATGCTTATTGTCTGCTGTCTCTTTCCTTCCTTCCTTCTTTCCTTTCTTCCTTCTCCTCCTCTTCCTCCTTCTTCTTTCTTCTTTTCTTTTCTTTCTTTTCCCAACATCTTATTCCTTAGAATCATACAAAATGAAACTCTACAGATGGGATCAAAGAAGGCTGAAGATGACAAAGAAAAAAGGGAGATAACAAAAGGAATAGAAGAGGAAATTTTAGGGAATTTGTTGTTAGAAGGTAGAAAAAGGTAATCAGAAATGATCCTATGGAAGATAGGATGCCTCACTTCTGATTAAGAAATTCAAGGTTTTATGGACAGAACTTTAACCCTTCTCCCCCAGTGTCCTGAGAGTGACATCCCCTCCACCCCAGGCAATGGCTCTTTCTGGGGCAGGAAATTCTCCAAACAAGTTTCCAAATTAAGGGTTTTGATTGAGCTCACTTCCCAGAATTTTGTTCTGGCCTCTTTTTCCGATTACAGAATATGAATCAGCTAATGATTCTGAAAAATAAAACTTCGGATACTTCTTTGTACTTGGAGAAAGAAAGAAATATACTGTGCAGTGCTCTTTTGATACATTCCAGAATAATCTTCATATTAACTCAATGGGGAAGCAATTGGATTTCCTCTGAAAGAGAGGAGAACATATCTCCCACATTGCAAAAAAAAAAAAAACCTGTCAATAAATTCCAGGAACAGGAGCTACTACAAATGTTCCCATTTTTTGAAGAGAATTTGTTCTGACCTCACTTCTAAGGGACTTGGTGTATGTGTCTTGAGCTTATTTTCCATTTGCTAATTAAAAGTACCTTGTCAGCAGTATTTATTACTATTATTATTGGTGAATGAATCATCCTCTTTTTCCACCAAATCTACTTTCCAGACTCACCCATTCTAAATGCTGGCTTACAACTCACTCATGGCTGCCAAAACAACCCACTCAGATGAGTCTCCTCAGCGTTTCTCTGCCAAATCCTTTTCCTCTCTAATCTGAGACTAAAAGTCTTATTTGAAAAATTGCCTGCTCTTAAAAAATTTTCTGGATTGACATATGTCTTACTCCCATAACAAAACATTTTTTGCATTCTTCCAAGACCAAGTCAGATCTCCTTAATAAGGCATGAAAAATATAGATTTGCCTTCAGCTTAGTGTCTTCCAGGGCAGACCTGTGAATTCTGAGTCTTGCTAATGAATGGATTGCCAGAGAAGTCTTAGAGACCCACATTCTCTCTGTATTTGTAAGATATCATAGCAGTGGAAATTCTAATCAATGCATTAAAAAAGGGCCGCTCTAACCCTGTACTTTATTTTTCAATTGAATTTCCAACTCTCAAAAAATCACAAAAATAGTACCAAGATGCTCGTACAGCCTTCACCAAGCTCCCCCAAAGTTAACAACTTATGTAACTAGTTAATCAGTTACCAAAATCAGAAAATTAACATTAATTGATTCATTACTATTACCTAAGTGATAAACTTTATTCCAATTTCACTAGTTGTCCTGCTAATCTCCCTTTTCTGGTCCCAGATCCCATTGAGTATCACGTGTTGCATTCAGTTGTTATGTCTCTTTAGACGCTTTAATTTAGGGCTATTACTCAATCCTTCATTTTTCATGACCTTGGCACTTCTAAAAGTCAGTTATTTCGGGCCAGTTATTTTGTAGACTATCTTTCAGTTTGAGATATCTCTTCTTAGAAAATGACCTCTCACACACCTCTGACCAGATTTCTGGAAGGGTATTGAGGTTCTACACTTGTGAGAAAATGTATGCTCAGGGGAAAAATAGTGAAATTATGCCAAATAAATACTTATTTCTTCTATAGTTTAGGAACATACTGAAAAATGAGGCCTCATGCCACTGATCTTTTGAGGCCTATATGAGTCTGAAATGTAGTTATCCTTTTCAAAGCAATCAAGTAGTGTGCAATCAATTACAAAAAAAAAAACCCAGAAAAATGAACTCAAATGGCTTAAGCCACAAAGAAGATTTATTGGCATACATAACTGAGAAATCTGGCGGTAAGTTGAACTTCAGGCAAATGTTGACCCAGGTCCCCCTAAGTCTTTCAACCTTAACTTTACCTGCCACAGTGTTGGCTTCACCTCAGGGATGGCTTTCTATATGGTCACAAGGTGGTTATCAATAAAACTGGGGTAACATGCCCTCTCATCCACATCCAGAACATCATAACCCAGTCACTAGGGCCCCCAGATGAAATGCAGTAATTGCCTTAAACCACCTGCTCTCCTGAGCCAAGAATAGAACCACTGTCACCCAAATCACATATGGGGTGCTGTTAGGAAGCGAAAAGGAGAAATGGATGCTATATTGATATGGTTTGGCTGTGTCCCCACGCAAATCTCATCTTGAATTCCCACATGTTGTGAGAGAGACCCAGTGAGAGGTAATTAAATCATGGGGGTGAGTCTTTCCCATGTTGCTCTCATGATAGTGAATAAGTCTCATGACATCTAATGGTTTTGTTTTTTTTTTTTATTTTTTGAGATGGAGTCTCGCTCTGTCACCCAGGCTGGAGTTCAGTGGTGCGATCTCGGCTCACTGCAAGCTCTGCCTCCTGGGTTCACATCATTCTCCTGCCTCAGCCTCCCGAGTAGCTGGGACTACAGGCACCCGCCACCACGCCCGGCTAATTTTTTGTATTTTTAGTAGAGATGGGCTTTCACCATGTTAGCCAGGATGGTCTCAATCTCCTGACCTTGTGATCTGCCCACCCCGGCCTCCCAAAGTGCTGGGATTACAGGTGTGAGCCACCGTGCCCGGCTGAGATCTAATGGTTTTAAAAAAGGGAGTTTCCCTGCACAAGCTCTCTCCTCTTGTCTGCTGCCATGTGAGATATGCCTTTCACCTTCCACCATGATTGTGAGGCCTCCCCAGCCATGTGGAACTATAAGTCCATTAAACCTTTCTCTTTTGTAAATTGCCCAGTCTCCGGTATGTCTTTATCAGCAGCATGAAAATGGACTAATACATATGTAGACAATTAACTATGTCCCCACAGGCTAGAATCCTTAGTGGTGGAATTGCAGAGAAGTGTATATATGGGGCAGGAGATTCTGTGCCCATGTGTTCCAATGGATGCTCAATGCTAAGATGGACTCAGCAGGAAGGTCAGAAAGAACACAGTCTGGAAGAAATTAGGCATGAAAACTGGGAGAAGGTGGTCTGTATTGCTTTAGTATAACACTGTCTTTGGTGGGCATTTAGACCTATGCACCCACAAGTGTGTTCTGTGCAACATGGAATAATGATAGGCCCCATTTGAAATATGGGTCCTCAAGCAGACAAGTTTGAGAAATGTTACCTCCCATCAAACATACCTGTGCCTCAGGCCACATCTCCTCAGCCCATAGTTTTACTCCAGCCATTGCTGTGGCAACTAGCCATGGACCTCATCTCAGCCATACTATGCTCCTCCTGTTTTCTGCCTCAGGGCTTCTTTGTCACTGCAGGCTGGGATGCCTTCAGGAGTCTGTTGAGTGCTTCTAATGCATGTACAATCCTGGACACGTGAAAGAGGTAACATCTAAGGGGAAAGCTTTGATAAATGTGGGATGGAGCCAATGAAAACAATTTCTCATCTGGGTGCAGTCGGTGGCTCATGCCTGTAACCCCAGCACTTTGGGGGCCAAGGCAGGCAAATCACCTGAGGTCAGGCATTTGAGACCAGCCTGACCAACATGGCGGAACCCCATCTCTACTAAAAATACAAAACATTAGCCAGGTGTGTGGTGGTGGGCACCTGTAATCCCAGCTACTCAGGAGGCTGAGGCAGGAGAATTGCTTGAACCTGGGAGGTGGAGGTTGCAGTGAGCAAAGACCGCACCACTGCACTCCAGCCTGGGCGACAAGAGCAAAATTCCATCTCGGAAAAAAAAAAAAAGAAAAAGAAAAGAAAGGAAGACAGAGAGAGAAAGACAGAAGGAAGGAAGGAGAAAGAAAGAAAGAAAGAAAGAAAGAAAGAAAGAAAGAAAGAAAGAAAGAAAGAAAGAAAGAAAGAAAGAAAGAGAAAGAAAGAAGGAAGGAAGGAAGGAAGGAAGGAAGGAAGGAAGGAAGGAAGGAAGGAAGGAAGGAAGGAAGGAAAGAAAGAAAGAGAAAGAAAGAAAGAAAGAAAAAAAGAGAAAGAGAAAGGAAGAAAGAGACAGAGAGAGAGAAAGGAAGGAAGGAAGGAAGGAAGGAAAAGAAAGAAAATTTCTCTCAGGTAGAAATTCTGAGGTGCCTTCTACACAGCTCCTCCATGGAGCACTATCCATGTAGAGCCCTACAGTGGTTATTGACTCAATAGCACACCCTTGGATTGGCTTATTTTTTCTTTCTCTTTTCTGCTGTTCCTGCTCCTCAGGATCACTTTAAAAACAAAACATCCGGGCACAGTGGCTCATGCCTGTAATTCCAGCACTTTGGGAGGCCGAGGTGGGCAGATCACCTGAGGTCAGGAGTTCAAGACCAGCCTGGTCCAACTTGGTGAAGCCCTGTCTCTACTAAAAATACAATAATTAGCTGGGCGTGGTGGCACACGCCTGTAATCCCAGCTACTAGGGAGGCTGAGGCAGGACAATTGCTTGAACCTGGGAGGTGGAGATTGCAGTGAGCCAAGATTGTGCCACTGGACTACAGCCTAGGCAACAGAATAAGACTCTGTCTTTAAATAAATAAATAAATATAGGGCCAGGCATGGTGGCTCACACCTGTAATCCCAGCACTTTGAGACATCAAGGCACATGGATCACTTGAGTCCAGGAATTTGAGACCAGCCTGGGCAACATGGTGAAACCCTGTCTCTACCAAAATACAAAAATTAGCCTGGTGTGGTGGTGCACGCCTATAGTCTTAGCTACTTGTGAGGCTGAGGTGGGAGGATCACTTGAGCCCAGGCGGCAGAGATTGCAGCAAAATGAGATCTTGCTACTGCACTCCAGCCTGGGTGACAGTCAGACCCTATCTCAAAAAAACAAAAACAAAAACCAGATCAGGCCATATCTGTAATCCCAGCACTTTAGGAGGCCAAAGTGGGAGAACTTGAGCACAGGAGTTTGAGACCAGCCTGGGCAACATAGTAAGACACTATCTAAAGAATTAAAGAATGAGCTGGGTGTGGTGGCATGTTCCTGCAGTCCCAGCTACTTGGGGGTGTGGGCTGAGGTGGGAGGATCTCTTGAGCCAGGGAGGTCGAGGCTGCAGTGAGCTGTGATTGTGCCACTGCACTGCAGCGTGGGTGGCAGAGCGAGACCCTGTCTCCAAACAAAACTACTTTCACACAAACCCTTATCTCGGGCTGTGCTTTCTAGAATAACCTAGATTAAGACTCCAGATGAAACAATTAGTTATTCTAGTGCAGACTTCTCTAAGTCCCTATTGTTTAATGGACAGCAGTGATACTCTAAAATTGTTTATAGTATATAGTATTCTCTAAATTTATTGACATTGCAATACTTTTTCTTTCATGAACATTTTGTGAGGCTAGTGTTCTGCAGACACATTTTGGGCAAGTTTGGCCTAGACTGAACACCCTGGGTCTCACATGATGTGATTGTAGCAGCTGTCTCCAAGAGTGACCCCTAATGAGCCATTCCTGGTAGCCATGGCTACCATTCCCCATTCTCACATTAAATCTAGGCTGGCCTGGGACTTGTGTCAGCCAATAGAATGAACATAAATAACACTGCAGGCCTGGCCTTTAAGACAACTGGCAATTCCCACTGTCTCCTTCTGGGAATACTACCTTTGGGAGCCTTGAGTTACCATTTAAGAAATCTGGCTACTCTGGGCCGGGCACGGTGGCTCACGCCTGTAATCCTAGCACTTTGGGAGGCTGAGGCAGTTGGATCACGAGGTTGGGAGTTTGAGACCAGCCTAACCAACTTGGAGAAACCCCATCTCTACTAAAAATACAAAATTAACCGGGCGTGGTGGCACATGCCAGTAATCCCAGCTACTCAGGAGGCTGAGGCAGGAGAATCACTTGAACTCAGGAGGTGGAGGTTGCGGTGAGCCAATATCGTGCCATTGCACTATAGCCTGGATAACAAGAGCGAAACTCCGTCTCAAAAAAAAAAAAGGAAAAGAAAGAAAGAAATCTGGCTCCTAGAGGAGAGGCCCTGAGACAACAGGGAAAGAGATGCAGCTGCTCAGCATCCCAGGCTGAATTTCCAGATGGCTCCAGTCTTAGCCACATCTCACTGTAAACCAAGCCAGACCAGAGGAACTGCCCAGCTAAGGCTACTCAACATACAGAAACATAAGTATAATAACAAGTTTATTGTTTTAAACCACTAAGTTTTGTGGTGGTTTGTAATAAATTGCAATAGATAACAGAAACAGTGGTAGAATAGAGCTTGGAACTGTCTGCTTTTGAGCTCTCAATATGGAGTCCTAAAACAGGGAATTGGGTACAAATGCTTCAGCCTTTGATTTTTTGCTTGGATGCTTTCCTGCTTCTCTTAGTGTCACCTATTAACCTATTTCGTGGGGTTTTCTTTCTATTAAAATTTTAGTACAAAATCATGAGTCTCCTTCTTAGCTACTGCCTAAGGGAGATGAAATCTGCTTTGAGATTCAGATCTTTCCACCTATTTTTCATGGTTTCTGGCCTCCCAGTGTTCCCTCCAAACTTCTGGTAGCAGTTCTTTGAGGAATCAACCATTTCTGCTTTTAGTGAATGTGCCCAGTCCACCCTGGCTCAATTGGGGAATTTTGGGCACACAGGCCTGGCCAATCAGAGCTTCCCTTTCCCGAGCCACAGTGATTAGAGATGGCAATGATCCAAGATAACCAAGCTATATCAGACTTCTGCTTTAACAACTGAAAAATAAACATTTTATCTTCCACTGGAATTGGGGTATGAATAGCTAAGCAACAAAACACATATAGTCTTCATATACATTGAGCTGACACAGCCCACACTGTAGATTAAAGCTAGACTTCTCTTAAAAGCCAGAGGTGTATATTCAGTGGTTTGCTTGACATCTCCATTTACATGTCAAATAGGTGCTACAACTTAGTATGTCCAAAAAGCAACTCTTGGTATTCACACATCCCAAATATGCTTTTCCAATAGTCTTTTCAATCCCGTAAATGGCTCCCCCATTGACCAGAACTATGGAGTTATCCTTGATTCTTCTCTTTATTTCACAGCCAATCCATCAGAAAACTGCTTCTGCTTTCCCCTCAAAGAACATCCAAATCCAATTATTTTTCATTGCCTCCACTATCCTGTTACAAACCTTCATTTTTTCTTGCATAGATTTTTCCATTAGCACATATCATTTATGTGTTTATTTATGCCCTCTCCTATCACTAGTATATAAGTTCTATGAATATTCCCAGGAATGTAAGAATGTAAATTCCGTGGATTTTGTTAATGCAGCTATGTGTTTAGTCACTGTTTTAAACACAATGCTTTGTTCACTGTACCTCTGGTGCCTATAACAATGATTAACACATATAAGATGTTCAATAAAGACTTGTTAATTAAATTAATAAAAATACACAGAAGACAGTGGTTAGATCATAGAGACAGACAAGGTACTAATGTCATAGTTTGAGCTCCTTGATCCAACTGAACCTGAAGACCTATGCTGGGCTTTATGATTGCATGAGCCAATAAGCTCTCATTTTTTATTAGGCCAGTTTTGAGTTGGATTTCTAGGAAAAACTTGCAACTGGAAGAACCCTGATACACTAAATATCCTTAAACTTATTTCTCAAGCAACAAAATGGTAGAACTTTTACTATCTTCTCAGCCTACCTCCATAGATCTGTTAACATTTGTGAGGCTCAAATGAGTAACTATATACGGAAGCACATTGCTGACTTCAACATAATTCTGCCAATGTGTGAGCTGTTGTTACTCACAACTATGTAAATAATAAGATCTTATCATTGAAAGGAAAATTAGACTAGGAAACTGAAATCTTTCAAGTTATCAAAAAAATTACTTTGGCTGCCAAAGTGGGACTCTAAACAGCCATGAAAGCCTGTTCAGGTTTTCCAGGGATAGAAAACAGCATAGCTCCACTGAGGAGACTTAAAGGGATGACAGAGAACCAGGAATACAGCTGCTTTACAAGTTTTAAAAAAGAAGAAGGTAATGGTGGTAGTGCGTGTTTTGCAGAGGGCTGGTGGTGGGAGGTGGGGGTGGGGGGAGACTTAAAGACAACCATGCCCAGATCTCTTCCTTTTACAGAAGAGGCCTTGAAATTGTCAGTTCCTTGTTCAAGATCACAGAGCCACTTTCAGTGGCAGGTTTGGGACCAGAAATCCGAGTCTCCTGGCTTCCAATCCCATACTCTTTCCTATATACCACGAATATACTGTTTTACTCTTTTGATTTTTTTCTTTGTTTTTCCTTCCTCTAAATTTTTGGAGATACATTGTAGCTTTGGAGATAAAATTTGAAGTCTCCTCCATTTCAATATTTGACCTATGGAACAATTTGTAGACAGAGGATGGAGAGACGAAGTCTTATTCCAGTATTCCAAAGTTTTCTTGCCCAAGAAAATCTCAATAGTTCAAGTTGTTGGCTGCCATCTATGCTTCAAAGGCCCTAAACTCTTTCTTCCAAAGTATTTTGGCTTTAAGATCTTTAAATTGTGTTGGTCTTTTATTAATTCCTAAAGGCCTTTTTATAAACACTGAACAATAAATAAAAGAAGAGGGGCCGGACACAGTGGCTCACACCTGGAATCCCAGCACTTTGGGAGGCCGAGGCGGGCGGATCATGAGGTCAGGAGATCGAGACCATCCTAGCTAACACGGTGAAACCCCGTCTCTACTAAACATACAAAAAAAAAATTAGCCGGGCTTGGTGGC
Organism: Homo sapiens; assembly: GCF_000001405.40. Lineage (NCBI taxonomy): Eukaryota > Metazoa > Chordata > Mammalia > Primates > Hominidae > Homo > Homo sapiens. The sequence goes on from NC_000020.11 coordinate 13,680,102, forward strand.
GGGCGCCTGAAGTCCCAGCTACTCGAGAGGCTGAGGCAGGAGAATGGCGTGAACCTGGGAGGCGGAGCTTGCAGTGAGCCCAGATCGTGCCACTGCACTCCAGCCTGGGCGACAGAGCGAGACTCCGTCTCAAAAAAAAAAGAAGAGGAGGACAATCAACTTTCAAGGCAAAAGAGAAAAACATCTACACAACAGTGTGAAATGTGGGGAGTACATCACTGGGGGTTGGGGGAAGTTGAGTGAAGAGAGGAGGTCAGGGGAACGTGTGAAGATCTGGGGTCCACTCTTCATGGAGCTGTTTCCAGGATAAGTATCCACCCTTGGGAATATTATAAAAGGGGTGGCACAGGCTTTGATGCCCCAGCCTCTGCCTTCTGTGACCTTTCTATAGCCACCATCACCACCTTGCTCTCTATGTTCTCACTTCTGGCTCCCAATCTCTTCATTCCTTTTGAAACAGCAAAGAGATTGGCCAAGTTGGCAGCTGTATGCAGATCTGAAGCTCAGAAGAGATACCAGAGTCATTCATGTATTGAGGATCACTGCAGCTACAGGGAGCTATTTCATTCAGGGTCACCCATTTCTGAAGCAGCCCATATCCAATGACTTAGATGCTGGAGTACAAAAGCCCAACACCTCAGCGGGACTGGGGACAACCCTGAAGGCCCATTCTGGCTTCTGAGCTTCTCATACACTGGCTGAGTCTGTGATGAGCCCTGCATTGCTGTCTATCCTTGCTCCTTTCCCCTCCTCTCCTCAGGCATTGAATTCAAGCCCACTCCCCAGTAAACATCTTGCACACTAAACTCCATCTCAGCATCTGCTTCTCAGATAACCCAACCTAGGGAATGCGCTCCTTCATCTCACTCTTGGTTTTTTTTTTTTTTTTTTTTTTTTTTTTTTTGAGACAGAGTCTCATTCTGTCACCAGGCTGGAGTGCAGTGGCGCAATCTCAGCTCACTGCAACCTCCGCCTCCTGGGTTCAAGCGATTCTCCTGCTTCAGCCTCCTGAATAGCTGGGACTACAGGTGTGCGCCACCACGCCCACCTAATTTTTGTATTTTTAGTAGAGACAGGGTTTCACCATGTTGGCCAGGATGGTCTCGATCTCTTAATCTTGTGATCTGCCTACCTCGGCCTCCCAAAGTGCTGGGATTACAGGCGTGAGCCACCATGCCCAGCCTCACTCTTGTTTCATCTACGCTCCTGGGTTTCCTAGTTCCTAATGTCCTGATGGCACCTCCACCCACTTTCCCCAGAACTAACTTGATAACCTGTTCTGTTCAGGGTTTTCCAGAATCTGCCATGACAGCCATTTTGTTGGACTCATCACCAGGAAACACACTCCAATTACCTGCTGAATCCTACTAGCCCAGGTTCTATCTTTTGGACCATGACATTTGAACCTTGAGATGGGGCAAGAACCAGATCCTCTATCTGAGCTGGATGAACAGAAAGAATTTATGTTGGTAGCATACTGAAATAGCCACTGGGTCCCCTGGAATGAGGTCATCACAATCCAAGACAGAAGATATGGTGCAGCACCTGTGTGCACAGGCATTGCTTGAAATTCTGTGACTGAACTTTGAACTGCTGAGTCATTGCTGAAATACCAGAGAGGGCACTGTATAGTTAGCGAGGTGCATGGATGAAACTTAGGTGGAAAAGAAGATATGTAGTTTTTTTTTCAAAATTGACTGCTTTTTGCACAGATGCATTCAAGTTTTCAATTTTGTCATAGGTTCTCTACTTGTAAATAGATATATGCTCACATTATTTTATTATTATTTATTTTCTTACTAATGTTTAATTATTTTAAATTAATTTATAATTTGTCCACAGACAATTCACTTTCTCTGTTGAGTTTTTTATTTTTTTTTACAGACAGGGTCTCACTCTGTTGTCCAGGCTGGAATGCAGTGGCACGATCATAGCTCACTGCAACCTCAAACTGCTGGCCTCAAGAGATCCTCCTGCCTCAGACTCCTAAGTAGCAAGGTAGCAAAGTATGCACTATTATGCCTGGCTAATTCTTTGTATTTTTTTGTAGAGACAGGGTCTTTTTATGTTGTCTCGAACTTCTGGCTTCAAGCAATTGTCCCACCTTGGCCTCCCAAAAAGCTGGGATTACAGGAATGAATAGTTATATTTATGTATTTATTATTATTATTATTATTGAGACGGAGTCTCACTCTGTCACCAGGCTGGAGTGCAGTGGCACGATCTCAGCCCACTGCAACCTCCATCTCCCGGGTTCAAGTGATTCTTCTGCCTCAGCCTCCCAAGTAGCTGGGATTACAGGCATCTGCCACCACACCCAACTAATTTTGTATCCTTAGTAAAGACAGGATTTCATCATGTTGGCCAGGCTGGTCTCAAACTCTTGACTTCAGGTGATCCACCAGCCTCAGCCTCCCAAAGTGCTGGGATTACAGGCATGAGCCACCACGCCCGGCTAAGGAGTTATTTTTATAAAGTGTCCTGTCGACTACTTCTTTGGTTTGGTTTTCGGGAAGTAGATATTTGTTGATTTAATATATGAAAGTATTCAGAAGAGAGTGGTTAGACTATGGTGCTAATATCATGGTTTGAATTCCTGAATCCCACCTAACTTGAAGAACTATGCTATGATTTGAATGCCCCCTTCAAGCATCATGTTGAAATTTAATTGCCGGCTGGGTACGGTGGCTTACACCTGTAATCCCAGCACTTTGGGAGGCCGAGGTGGGTGGATCACCTGAGGTCAGGAGTTTGCGATCAGCCTGGCCAACATGGTGAAACCCCGTCTCTACTAACAATATAAAAATTAGCTGGGCATGGTGGTGGGTGCCTGTAATCCCAGCTACCTGGGAGGCTGAGGAAGGAGAATTGCTTGAACCTGGGAGGCAGAGGTTGCAGTGAGCTGAGACTGCGCCATTGCACTCCAGTCCGGGCAACAAGAGCAAAACGCTGTCTCAAAAAAAAAAAAAAAAAAAAAGGAAAGAAAGAAAGAAAGAAATTTCATTGCCAACGCAATGGTATTGGGAGGTGAGGCTTTTGTTTTTGTTTTTGAAACAGAGTCTCGCTCTGTTGCCCAGGCTGGAGTGCAATGGCATGTCTCAGCTCACTGCAACCTCCGCCTCCCGGGTTCAAGCAATTCTCTTGCCTCGGCCTCTGGAGGTGAACTTTTTAAGAGGTAATTGGGTTATGAGGGCTCCACCCTCATGAATGGACTAATGTCATTATTGTGGGAGTGGGTTAGTTTTCATGGGAGTGGGCTCCTGATAAAAGGATAGATTCAACCTGATTTCTCTCTGTCTCATTCTCACCCTCCCTTGCCCTTCAGCCTTCCACCATTTATGTGGCCCTCACCAGATGCTGTCACCATACCTTCGGACTTTCCAGCCTCCAAAACTGTAAGTCAAATAATCTTCTATTGTGTCTAAATTACCTGGCTTCAGGCATTCTGTTATAACAACACAAAACAGACTAAGACAACCTATCCCTGAGCTTTTTAGCTACGTGTGCCAATATGTTCTCTTTTGCTTGTGCCAGATTGAGTTGGATTTTAAATGAAAGAACTTGCACGTGACCTTGGGAAAATCACTAAATGTTTCTAAACTTGTTTCTCAAGCAGCAAAATGGTAAAACTATAAACCCAGCCTACCTCCTATGTAGCAGATACAAACATATTCCCTTGAGCATTTCTACCACAGTGTAGGCTCACCTAAATTTCAGCAACCAACATCCAAATCTCTTTGGCTGAAGAGTTCTTGGCTACACCAGATTCTACTTCACTCTGCTGGCAGTCAGACAAGCTCCTGAGCAGCCCTCAAATAATGTTACATCAATAGCCCAGCTTCCTTAGCCCTCAGGTGTGATCACTTCAAAGTGGTTGTTCTGTGCTCTCTGCAAGAACATCCTAGTAGGATTAAGCCCTAGTTGCCTACAGTGGTAACCTGCCTATCAACAAACACATCCTTTGTTGCCTGTCTTCTCTTCCCTGACACACTCCCCTACTCCTTTATTGGTGCTTCCTGGAATCTCGTTGTAAACAGACTACTGTCACTCAGATTCCTATCTCAGGATCTGCTTTTAAGGGAGCAAAACTAAAGAAAGTTACACCTTCCCAATGCTTGGTAAACACAAATCTCTGTGTGATTTGCCTGTGATCAGGACATGGCTGAGTTGTCACTGGTAGAAGTGGTTTAAACTCAAGTCATCAATGCACGTTTACAAGCATGAAAGCTGTGATGGCTAGTCTCATGATGAATTAATATTGTTAAGCTCTTCATTTTATTCCATACGCAATTGTGTTTATTTTAAAAATAACTCTTCAATGGATTCTGTAGATCGACGAATAAAGCACCTGTAAAGATAATCTTGCCTTAAAACAGCTGAAAGTATGTGCACCTTTATAGAATCAATTGCATAAACAGCACTGGTATGAATAAAGCTGGAATATATTTGCACACAATGATTGAGAGCTCCACAGAACATGTTGCGATGGTGGAAAAGTATTTTCAATGGCTTAGAGAGGCTCCTGCACATGGAAGGATGAGAAATGAGATGACTCATAAGGAGCCAACTCTCAAGTCTTAAAACCAACTTCATCCGACACCAGACTTTGTGTGGCAACCACAGCCCCAAAACAAAGAGGAAACACCATATGTTCCCAGTGTGGGAAGACTGCTGGGCCCCACTGGTCTTATCGGTGACACCTGCACTCCCAGCTGGGGAGAATAACTGGTAGTGTCATCTTCAAAAGCAGAGGACAGCAAACACAGCACAAAGAAGCACCAGAAATGTGGGCTGAAGGGGTTGGTGGGTTGATTAGCTGGCCATCGTATTCAGGGAGCTGGACGAGAGCCATCATGTCCTCTGTTTCCCATGCTGGTGGCCACAGCTCTCATCTTGGCAACAACCCATCACTGGCAAGGTGGTTTGAGAACTTCCTCTTTCATCCCATCTTCTCACCCTTCCCCCATTCTGCTGCTCTGCCCCCAAACCACACATTTAGGGTTCACTTGACAAGGCAGAGGCTTGTTATAATTTCTTATCCATTCATGCTGCTATAACAAAATGCCTGAGACTGGATAATTTATAAAGAACAGAAATTTATTTCTCACAATTCTGGAAGCTGGGAAGTCCAAGATCAAGGCTTGGCATTTGGTCTAGTGAGGATCTTCATATTGCATCCTCACATGGCAGAAGGCTGAAGGGCAAGCTAGCCAAGCACTCTGCGAAGCCTCTTCTGTAAGGGCCTTAATACTATTTATGAGGAAGGAACTCCCATTGCCTAATTACCTCTGAAAGCCCCCACCTTTAATACCAGCACATTGGTAACACCTGAATTTTGGAGGTGACACATTAAGACCATAGCATGATTTATATTTTGCTTGCCCCTCCCTCTCAATTTCCACCATTATTCAAAGAATTAAAGAACACCAGAGGTGCAGCCTCCTCAAAACTAAAATAATAATATAAATATGTATATAAATATACACACATACTTGATAGGCATCTCTATATAGAGGTATATATATATATATACATAGGGATAGAGAGAAAGAGAGAGAGAGAAGAAAGAAGAGAGAGAGAGAAGGAAAGAGACACACAGAGAGAAAGAGACAGAGAGAAAGAGAGAGACAGAAAGAAAGAGAGACGGAGAGAAAGAGACAGAGAGACAAAGAAAGAAAGAAGAAGAAAGAGACCGAGAGAAAGAAGGAAAGAGACACAGAGGAAGAGAAAGAGAAACAGAGATAAAGAAAGAGACAGAGAGAAAGAGAGATGGAGAGAAAGAAGGAGAGACAGAGAGAGAAAGAAAAAGAGAAAGAAAAAGAGAGAGAAAGAAAGAGAGAAAGAAAAAGAGAGACAGAAAAGGATGGAAGGAAGAAAGGAAGGAGAAGAAAGAAAAAGAAAGAAAGAGAAAGAAAGAAAAGAAAAGAAAGAGACACAAAGAGAGAGAGAAAGAAAAAAGAGAAGGAAGGAAGGAGATGTGGTGAAATTTTAACAGTTGGGGAATATGGATGAAGGGCATATGGAAGTTTTTTAGACCATTCTTGCAACCTTAATGTAAGTCTGAAATGTTATTTCAAAATTAAAAATAAAGAAACTAATTATTAGAACACTGGTATAATTATGTATAATTATGATCACAGTATGATCATAGTATTTTTTAACTATTAAAAATCTATTTGTGGTTGGGCATGGTGGCTTATGCCTGTAATCTCAGCACTTTTGGATCACTTGAGGTCATTTGAGGAGTTTGAGACCAGCCTGGCCAACATGGTGAAACCCTGTCTCTACAAAAAATACAAAACATTAGCTGGGCATGATGGCACACGCCTGTAATCCCAGCTATTTGGGAGGCTGAGGCAGGAGAATCACTTGAACCTGGAAGATGGAGTTTGCAGTGAGCCAAGATTGTTCCACCACACTCCAGCCTGTGCAGCAGAGCGAGACTCTGTCTCAAAAAAAAAAAAAAAAAGTTTTCCTTTCCTTTTCATTTTTGTCAAGGTGAGATTTACATGAAATTAACCATTTTTAAAGTGAATAATTTAGTGGCATGTAATACTTTCACAATGTTGTATAAGCGCCATTTCTACCTAATTCCAAAACATTTTCATCATCTCAAAAGGAAACCCCATGCCAAGTGTTCCAGTTATCCCCATCCCCTCTTCACAGCCTTTACACATCTGTTTTCTGTCTCTATGACTTTGCCTATTCTGGATATTTCATATAAATGGAATCATTCAATATTTGTCCTTTTGTGTCTAGCTTATTTCACTTGGCATGTTTTCAAGGTTCATCCATGCTATAGCATGTATCAGTACTTCATTTATTCTTACGGCTGAATAATATTCCTTTTTTTTTTTTTTTTTGGAGATAGAGTCTCGTTCTATCCCCAGACTGGAGTGCAGTGGCTCGATCTCAGCTCACTGCAACCTCCGCCTCCCAGGTTCAAGCGATTCTCCTGCCTCAGCCTCCCGAGAAGCTGGGATTACAGGCACCCACCATCACGCCTGGCTAATTTTTGTATTTTTAGTAGAGACGGGTTTCACCATGTTGGCCAGGCTGGTCTCAAACTCCTGACCTCAGATGATCCACTCGCCTCAGCCTCCCAGAGTACTGGGATTACAGACATAAGCCACTGCGCCCGGCCTTTTTTTTTTTTTTTTTTTTTTTTCCTTGAAACAGAGTCTTGCTTTGACACCCAGGCTGGAGTGCAGTGATGCGATCTCAGCTCACTGCAACCTCCGCATCCCGGGTTCAAGTGATTCTCCTGCCTCAGCCTCCCAAGTAGCTGGGATTACAGGCATGTGCTACCACACCCAGCTAATTTTTGTATTTTTAGTAGAGATGGCGTTTTGCCATGTTGGCCAGGCTGGTCTCGAACTCCTGACCTCAGTTGATCCATCTGCCTCGGCCTCCCAAAGTGCTGGGATTATAAGCATGAGCCATCGCGCCCGGCCCAGATAATGTTCCATTTTATGGATATACCACAATTCATTTATCCATTCATCTGTTGATGTATCTATGGCTGTTTCCACCTTCTAGCTATTGTGAATAGTGCTGCCGTAAACATAGAACACATGAAAACTTGGTGTTTGTTAGTGTCTATTTATGACTTAAAATATAAGTCCCCTCTGAAAATCTATGAATAATATGACACTTAGACTTCTCAGATGTGTAAGTTCCTTTTTGTATTTAAGCTAGTTTAGATTGGGTTTCTGTCAACTTGAAAGAATCCTGACTACCACAAAATTTTTAAATATCTCTCAAAATGCAGTCTTTTGGATCTACGGAAAAAGTTTGCTCATTAACAATAACTTTTTGAAACAAGACCAAGTAAAATTTTCTGAAGTTCAAAGCTCTCCTGTCCGCAAGCAAACTTGAAATGAATAAGAATCTGAAACATTTCTGAAATAGAAGAATGAGCTCAGCTAAGCACAGAACATTCCTGAACAGTGTCTGCCACTGCAACAGGATAATCATAATACAGGGTCTTGAACCAGAAGTGTTTTTGTGTGTGCCAGATTTAAAGAAATTCACAGTCCTTTAACTGTGAAAGAATTCTAATTTTAAAAACCAAACCTTTCCTAAATCAACGGTAATCATTTTTTGCAACCATCTGAACAGAAGTTGGAAAACACAAACACTGTTCTTTACTTCTTTACCGTCTGCTTCCTGCCATCCATCCTTCATCTCTTGTGGTCATAGGAATTTCAGCATTTTCTTTTCGAAAGGCTTCTAGGAATTGCCTTTGGTTTACTTGGTGAAATCTTGCACCGCATACACTTCTTCAAAAGCACATTGTTTCTTCCCATTTTTGTTGAAGAAAAACCAAGTAATGAGAGAATGTATTTGCTGACAACCTCAAAAAAATTCTATCACCTTCAGTTCATTTTGATCTGGGGATTCTTGACTCACCTGGTTAATCAGGATCCAGTTTAATCTGAGGTCTAGCCTACTTCCCACTATATAACTGCTGTGGTGGATCAGCAGTGGAGTTTGCATTTCCTTCTGCTTCTCAAATCTCTTCACTCTCTTCCTTTTCCCTCCAGGATACTGTGGATTGGAGCAATCAAATTCTTGCTTCTAGAAATGTGAGATTGGTGCAACACATTCTAATTCAATGTGATGTTCACTTAAACTGAGGTGAATTTAGGAACTTTCCATCATTTGGGGGAACTATGTTTGGCTATATGGTCAGTGAACATGTCTTAAAAGTAAAAGGAGAGGGGAAAGGAGAGGAGGGGACAAAGAAGAGAGAGACAGGAAGAGGGGCAGAAGAGAAGGGGAGAGAGAGATGAAGAGAAAAAGAGAGAGAGAGAAATAAGGAGAGAGGGAGAACAGGAAGAGAGAAAGAAAAATACTTTTTTTGGTTTATGTCAGGGGTCCCCCACCCCTGGGCCATGGACCGGTACCAGTCCCTGGCCTGTTAGGAACCAGGCCGCACAGCAGGAGGTGAGCAGGGGTGAGTGAGCCTTACAACCTGAGCTCTATCTCTGTCAGATCAGCGGCAGCATTAGCTTCTCATAGGAGCGTGAAACCTACTGTGAACTGTGCATGCAGGGGATCTAGTTTGCACGCTCCTTATAAGAATCTAATGCCTGATGATCTGAGGTGAAACGGTTTCATCCTGAAACTATGCCCCAAGCCCTATTCAGTGAAAGAAATTGTCTTCCATGAAACCAGTTCCTGGTGCCAGAAAGATTGGGGACCGCTGGCTTATATGACTAAAGAGACAGAGGAATCTCATTTCAGGTGAAACTTGATCAATTGGATCAAACATATCCCCAAGGACCTGATGTTTTTGCATCTCTTCATTATGCTAAGGTCAAGATGGTTGCCACAAGCCCTCAGAGATATATGCTAGCTTTCTATTATCTAGGAGGAAAGAGATGCAGAATTCCCACTGCAGTTCCATGAGTCACCCTGATTGGACTGACGAAGGTCACATGCCTGTCTCTGCATCAATCACTATGGCCAGTGGGGGTGGGGGATGGGATGGATTATGATGACTGGATGGATCTAGGTCACATGTTTCATCCCTAGAGTTAGAGCTGGAGTCAGCATCGCCAGATGCACACAGATTCCCAAAAAGAAACCTAGAACTACTGGTAAGAGAAGTGTATGCTGGAAAGAAAATCAATGAATGTCCATCATGTTGATCTTCCAGTTTGGCCAGATGATTCCATATCTTTATAATTCCTCCTTTTAATCTATATTAGTTTGAGTTGGCTTCTTGTACTTACAGCCAAAGAGTGTTCACTAAGACCTCACACTAGAATAGTGAAAAGAGAAAAAACAGCAGTGGCCTAAGTTTCAGGGAAGAGGTTGAACACAGTGAAGTTACATCACATGGACACTTAGCTCATATAAGAGGACAATAACAGTGTAAATTACTTGGGTGGCTCTGCCCCCCATCTGAGATGGCAGGTGTGAATGGCTCTTCCCTTAACCAGCTTGGTTCTGTCTTTCCTCCCATTGTATGAGCATCTTGCCAACTATAACATGATTCTAGTATACATTTCATAAAAGAGGGCCCTACACCAGCTTTAACTGGTACTCAACAAAAGGAACAGAAATGGCTGGAGAAATAACTGGCCAAGCAGTACTTATTGAATATGTTACTCTCCAAAGTGGCATGTTTCTGAAAGGCTCTAAAGATAATTTTCCTAAAGGACTTTCAAGGAATATTTTTCTAAAAGACATTTTGTTTTTCTTTCTTTTTTAAAATATTCCCACAGCAATAGAATTTTTTTCTTAAAGAATTTTGAGGGAAGTGTTGCTGATTTATAAGATTAGACTCCACCACACCTAGAAAGATAATTATCATCCACTGAAGCTAAGAAAACTGATCAGTGGAAGAAATGGAATATCACTGTGTCTATGAACATAATCAATCTGAGGGTTTGGCCCCATATTGGCCAACTATTAAAATGGGTCTCTGCACATCATTAAAACTTAATAAATATTGAAAAATGAATTTGGTTGATTCTGGCCAAATGGCCATGCTTGATGAGATAACCTGGACCCAGCATGCTTAAATTCTGTTTTGGGGCATTTCACAGTGATTTGGTGGACAGAGAGAGGTGGTATTACTTTTAATACCATTTCTGCTATGAATTATTTGTATGATCTGGGGAAAATTACATAATTTCTCCAAGTTTCAAGTTTCCCCACTGGTGAAATGAGAATAAAAATGCTTACCCTACTTGTTTTCCAGAGTTATTAAAAATTGGTGGCCTATACTCTCTTAAGCAGCTGCTTGATGTCTTCTAGGGCTGCATGAATGATATACAGAAGGAAAAATATTCAGATGGAAAACAATGTCAGTGCCTCCAGAGATATTCAGTGAACAGTTTATCCCATCTAATGTACCCTTGGTTGTTAAAATATAATCAAGCACAACAGTACAACCCAACAGGAAGCATAGTTTCTCCATGGCACCATAGCAATCCTAATGGAGATGATATTTCTACTACTGTGTGTTGCCAACTCCCAGCTTATGATCTTTGACCCAAAAAGCTCCAGAGAGGAACAAATTATGAAAAATAGCCTCTGCTGTCCAGAACAAAGCCTAGTGCTAAGTCAAAAAAGAAAGAAACACTGGGAGCCAGCCACGCAGATCTAAGCTTTCCAAGCAGAGGAAGTAATTTAATGGGACCTGCTTCCAGGGAATCTGGATGTTGTGATGTACAGTGAAGCAGAAAGAGGTTTATGTTGTTCCAGGCAAAGCTCAGTTCTGAGATTACAGAAACTGTCTTTTTGGTCAAGTTGCTTTATGATTTAAAAATAAAAAAGACTTCTCTTTTCTGCATACGCCTAAATCTAAATCCTGCCTTCAGGTAGCCATATGCCTCTTTCAAGAGTCCAATAAGGCTTGGGAAGCTACTAATAACAACTTGTCCTTTGCCCTGTAAAGGCATTGCTTTCCTCATTTTCCGTCATTCCAAGGGATATATGGATATACGTATATGTGTACCTAGTGACCCAGCAAATCCTGTCTTAGTATGTACCCAGCAGAAACGGTTGTCTATGTCCACCATAGGCATTTCAAAAGTGTTCATAGCAGTACTGTATGAAATTGCTCCAAAGTGGAAACGGGTAGGAATTTAACTCTTCAGCTTTATTTACTATTCTTTTAGCATCTGAATAGGAAAGTAGATTAGTTGGACGGAACCCACTGAAGTTAACTGAAAATTCACTTACATGGAAACCTTTATCTGTTCCTAGAATGACTTACACAATTTTCTTGTGAAGATGTAGTGTTTTCAATAAACTCACATCTCATGTCATGGGCAAAATTACCAGGAAAGTTGTTAAGAACTAATACCATTTGATTGTCTCTGAAAATATTGAATATGGGCTGAGCTTGGTGGCTCATGCCTGTAATCACAGCACTTTGGGAGGCCAAGGCTCTCCACCGGGCGTGGTGGCTCACACTTGTAATCCCAGCATTTTGGGAGGCAGAGGCAGGCAGATCATGAGGTCAGGAGCTCGAGAACAGCCTGGCCAACACAGTGAAACCCTGTCTCTACTAAAAATACAAAATTAGCTGGGCATGGTGGCGGGTGCCTGTAATCCCAGCTACTCGGGAGGCTGAGGCAGGAGAATCGCCTAACCTGGGAGTCAGAGGTTGCGGTGGGCCGAGATTGCGCCACTGCACTCCAGCCTGGGCGACAGAGCTAGACTCCGTCTCAAAAACAAACAAACAAACGAACAAAAACAACAAAAAACAGTGAATCTCTCTCTCACTCTCTCTCTCTTTCTCTACACACACACACACACACACACACCACTTATTGGTTCTGTTTCTCTGGAGAACCCTGACAAACACAAGGGATGTGGGTGATGCACCATGGTATCCACGAAGGTTGATGTTATGCTTTGGATGTCTGTCCCCTCCAAATCTCATGTTGAAACATGATACCAAAGTTCAAGGTGGGGCTTGGTGGGAGGTGTTAGGGTCATGGGGGTGGATCCCTCATGAAAGGCTTGGTTTGCTGTCCTTGCAGTAATGAATGAGTTCTCACTCTATTAGTTCACCTGAGCTAGTTGTTTGAAAGAGCCTGGCACCTCTGCTTCTCCCTCTTGCCCTGTCTCTCACCATGTGATGTGTGGCTCTTTGCCTCCCACCATGATTGGAAGCTTCTTAAGCCCCTAACCAGATGCAGATGCTGGCACCACACTTCTTGGGTATAGCTTTTGTATGTGCAGTGACAGCAAAGACCTCAGCTGAGGCATCTCGGAAATTGTCCCAATTTGAAGCAAGGCGGAGTGGCCTTTGTACCTCACAACCCCCTGGTAGGGGGAGGATGGCCTGATCTTGGACTTGGAAGCTCCCTTCAGCAGGGGGGCAGTGACTGGAGAGAGACTCAGAACCATAAGCCAAATAAACCTCTTTTCTTTGTAAATTACCCAGCCTCAGGTGTTCCTTTGTAGCAACACTTATGGACTAACACAGTTATTGAGGTAGGAGGAAAGAACACACACAATGTGTTATCTTCTTGCATAACTTTTAAATATTTACATGTACGGCGTGTGGGTCTCCACTTGCCCTCTTGCCCCATCCAGAGGTTGCTGGAACCAGCTCACAGTGGCTCTCTGGAGCTGATTGTATCCATTTCTTCTCAACTCCCGGTTTGGTGACATCAGGTTGGTAGCTCGGTACCACTGCATGCTGTGGGTATTTACACCAAGGAAATCAGCAAACACTACAAATCAGGGCTATTTTTCCTCCAGGGAGCTGGCTGCTTAATGTTTACCTACACAGTCTGCCTGGGTTCCATAAATGGTAGCAGCAAGCCTGCCCCACACACCAGCAATTCCACGAGGAAGTCCCTGGTCCATGGCGCCATCTCTCCTGAGCTCCCACGACTCCATTTCTTCCCGCACAACCCTTTAGCTATAGGGAGGTGACAGGTCCCCACTGCCACTTCTCTTTGAGTTGTTCCCCACTCTTCCTTGTTCAATTGGTAGGTAGTCCCTCCACTACAGCCTCTTTCTTTGAACTGTCTGAGATGAACTCTGTTTCCTGCTGGGCCTTGACTGGTAAGAAAGGCAGATCTGTTCCTTATTCTGTGCTTCAGCCTACAATTCAACGGCCATCCCCTCCCCTCTTCCAGCTTCTAGCTTCAGGATCAGCAGCCGACAAGTTGTTTGATTTTTCACCTTCCCTCCTTTCTACCCTGTCCATTTGTCCTTCCTTGCCAAACATGCAGAAGAAGAGGCTTAGAGTCTCTGCTGTGGCTTCAGTCCTGCTACAAATATCTTTTTTTTTTTTTTTTTTGGGAGATGGAGTTTTCCTATTTGTTGCCCAGGATGGAGTGCAGTGGCATGATCTCAGCTCACTGCAACCTCCGCTTCCCGGGTTCAAGCAATTCTCCTGCGTCAGCCTCCCTAGTAGCTGGGATTACAGGCATGCGCCACCATGCCCAGCTAATTCTACATTTTTAATAGAGACAGGGTTTCACCATGTTGGTCAGGCTGGTCTTGAATTCGTGACCTCAGATGATCCACCCGCCTCGGCCTCCCAAAGTGCTAGGAATACAGGCATGAGCCACTGCGCCCAGCCAGTCCTGCTACAAACTTTCAGTCACACTCCAGAAAAGACATCACCGCAGCCCATTGTTTTGTTCTTCTGTTACCCTGGCTACTTAATATATGTGGCAGAGTTGCTTATTGAGGTTAGTTTTGGAAGCCCCAAATATATAAAAGAGAGCGGAAAGGCAACTGTCACAATTAACTGGAAACAATACATTTAATTTGAGAAATCAAGAGTTACAGCAATCACGTGGGGCTGTGGGGCTCTGCTTATCTCATCTCCTTCAATTATTTTGCAAATCTGAACCTCTTGTGGTTTCAACATGCAATCTTATATCCCTGCATGTCTGACTTACACTTTCAGTAATCACTCCGAATAATGAGCCTGGACTTAGAACAAGGGCAGGGACTGCTGCAGGCCCTGGCACACCATGCAGACCATTGACCTGCCTTCTTGCCACACAATAGCTGTGGAGTTCGGTGTTTTTTTCAAGTTGCCTCATCTTTCCCAAGTCCCTCTAGTCACACTGCCTCCCTGAGTTGGCAGAGACACGGTGTGGCTTTGGTGAGGTTAATCAAGAACAAAAAAGAACATCTCTGTCTTCTTTTTCATTTGGTTTTGCTAACCACCAATGCTTTTTTTGCTTCTCAGAAAAAAAGGAAAGAAAAGAAAAAAAAGCTGTGGCTATCAGGTTGGTCTGCTTAATCCTTCTGCCTTGCCTTCTCTTTCTTCTGGAAAAAGACCTGATTTCCCTTCCCACATCTAGTCAGTGGGCGGTAAGGACAAAGGAAGTTGGGTAGTTGGAACCACCTGACCCAAGCTAGACCAATCACAGTTTCTGTCCCATATGCCACTTGAGTTGAGTTGCCAAATCAGTTGTTTCTGAGACATCTAGGAGTGGCATCGTTGGGGGAAGGTTTTCAAGGTACTTCTGACGGAGATTCCTCGGGGCACCTGGGTCCTGTCATTTGGCAGATTGTTTAGCGTTTAATTTGAATGCATGAGCTGTGCATCATTCCACCAGTAAATCTCTTATTTACTTGCAAGCCATGAAATGAGGCCCGGAAATGAGACCCAGCTTTGCCCAAAGGTGAGACGGAGAGAGTCAACATAATCTGAAGATAGGATAAAACGAGGAGAGCCTCTCTCTCTCTCTCAAGGCAGTCAAAGTGGAAAGACAGAAGGTCTCAGAACAGCCAATCACAGCTAGTCTTTGCAAGGCCTTCCAGGCACGGCAATCTGTCTTCTGAGCCTCCAAATCTCACCAGCCAGATTATGGACACCAAGGAGCTAGCGAACTCTACCAGTGACACGCTTCCAAAATACTCATCTCTATGTATGGTGGAGGCCTTGGCCATTATGTAGTCTGTATTACTAGCTTCTAGATCTAAAAGGTAAATGAAGTTTCCCTTTTTCTTATTCTGCACCATTCAACAATACTAACTTAGGACCTTAAATGAGTTTTGTCAGCATTTTTACATTTGAATTCACATAAAGTTATCTTCAAAGGAATGACCTTGCGCCCAGTCAAGGGTAACTCCAATAAAAAACTTGCCAACCTTATGTGAAAATGAAATGAGTTGTTGGGGAAGGGAAGGCATTGAGAATATTTTCTGAAGTGTAATAGTAATAATAAGGTTGAATATTTCATTCAATCCTTAATACTGCTCTAGGACCTAGGTACTGTTAGTATCACCATATTAAAGTTGGAAAATTAGGTCTAAAAGAGCTAAATCACTGGTTCCAAATCACTTATTACTAGTGAATGGCAGAGCTGGGATTCAAAACCAGGTTGACTGACTCCAAATTCTATACAGTTAGCCATTATGCTAGTTCCTACATGCCAGTCACTGTGGGGACCCCATTATTCGTCTCGCATCTTAAAGTGTATTGCTAGCAGGGTCAAAGTCATGTTTTTCAAACCTTTGGATACTGTACTGCAATGGCTTGGCACTGGGGAACATATCCCAATATCTGCCTACCATAGCATAATATAGCCCTTCTCTGAGTCACAAGCAAAGTCATCTCAAAAGGAGGGTAAATCTGATGCGATAGTGGTAGATATCTCACAAGTGGATCATCATAAAAAGTTCATATAAGCAATCGTAACAAATAATACATCATTTTTAACATTGAGTTCTCAGAGAGGAGAACTTCTTCCTTGTAGATATGCATAAAAGGCCAGCATGAGGAAACTGAGCCCAGATGGAGAATGAGGTTTCTGTATCAGATAGAATGGGCTAGGTTATGCTGCAGAAACAAATGACTTCCAGTGTCAATGGCTTAAAACAAGGTTTATCTTTTTACTTATGCTATGTGAACAATGTCAGTTGGGTGTTCATTTGGCTACCTTGGGAGTGACCTTGGAAAAGAGGGAGAGAATGTAGTGAGGAAGAGCATGTAGTGAATTCTATATTGGTTCTTAGCATTTCTATGTGGAAGTGATGTACTTTCTTCTGCCTGCACTTATTTCATTGATCAAAGAAAGCACGTGGCCACAAGTAACTTTCAGTGCATGGGAACATTGACTTCCATATGCCGAAAAGATGGAGGAGCTGAAACAGAGCAACCACGACTAATGACTACCTTGCTGGCTTGTCAAAGAGACTTGATCGTGTTGAGGGTACTCAAGTACTCACTTCCTTTCCCTCGTGTGCCTTCCCTCTGAGAGTGAAGAAAACATACTGAAATGCCAAAGACTGCCTGAAAAACTTCCACATTGATGATAAATTGAGGGAAAAGGACACTTCAGAACATATTTGGATCTTTCCATCTTGAAAGGGAAATTTCTTGTGAAGTTTTAAGTGGCCACGCTTGATTGTATCAGACAATTTAAAAATATTTCATTGATGATAAAACATGGCAAGTGAAGATTATGATTTCTTGAATTTTCCCTTAAAGGCTGAGAGGAGAAAAGTCCCTGCTAGGTAGCATTGTCCAACACTCCAAGGGAGATGAGAAGGGAACCCTCAGAGAAAATGTATGGGGGTGGGGGTGATGGAGGAAAGCATAACCTATGGATGCCCAAGTGCTATGAATTAAGGAAGAAACCTTTATGACTTTCCTATTTCTGTAATGTTCTAAAATGTTCCATTGTCAATGTTAACAGTCAAGGTTAGTTCTTGTCCAGGGCAGAGAATATGATAAAATGTCATCGGCAATCACTGGAATGGGATTTTCACCAGATGAGCAGAGGCAATCAGTGTGACCACAGCCTGGAGTTCCATATTGGGCACTTCTTTCTAGCTGGTCTTGGATTCTCATTGCATTTCATGTATCTAATCCCCCACCCTCCCACACTTCCCCAAAAAGGAAAAGAGAGAATTAACAAAATAAATAAATACTCATCAGTCACCAAAAAAAAAAAAAAATCCGGCAGTATAAAACCAGTGAATCATGATATAGTTTCTTGTTAGCGCAGCAGACATCTATTGGAGCATTTTTCCCAATCTCTCTGTTTTAGAAACTATTCAGAGAACTGCTTCCTGATTCCCACTGATCACAGCTAATGGGGTGAGCAGCAGATATAAGCTGGGCCTAAAATTTGCCCAATCACATTGTCTCTCCGCAAATTTAGTGCTTAGAATATTTAAAAAATATTTTAATGTTTTAAAATTTTGAAAAAAATCTCAAAATTTCAGAAAAGTTTCAAGACAGTACAAATATATTTGATTGTTTTTTCTTTTCTCCTTATTTTTCTTTTTTTCTTCTTTCTTTTTTTTTTTTTTTTTTTTTTGAGACAAGGTCTTGCTCTGTTGCCCAGACTGGAGTACAGTATAGTGGTGTGATCATGGGTCACTGCAGCCTCCATCTCCTGGGCTCAAGCCATCCTCCTACCTCAGCCTTCTTAGTAGTTGGAACTATAGGGGCAAGCAACCATGCCCAACTAAAAAAACAATTTTATTGTAGAAACAGGGTCTGACTATGTTGCCCAGGCTGGTCTCAAATTCCTGGGCTCAAGCGGTCCTCCTATCTCAGCCTCCTAAAATGCACGCAGCCAAATATATCTATTTATTTCTAAAAATATGAGAGTAAGCTACCAACACAATGACCCAACACTCTTGGGGAGCTTAGTGTTTTTTATTTCCTTCAGAAAAAGACATTCTCCTATACAATCAAAATGCAGTCTGCAAAATCAGGAAATCAATACGAATACGTCACTACCAGTTAATCCTCAGGCCTCATTTAAGTTCTACCACTGTCCCAATAATATCCTTTATAGTAAAAGGGTCCAGTTCACAATCATTCATTACATGTCTCTTCATTAGGGCTTAGACAACTTAAAGAATTTTGAAAGTTAGTCTTACACAGTAAAACAAAGCCATATAAACAGACATTCAGGGAAAAGTAAGTCTTCCCTCCCGTGTGACGCCCAGAGGCAATCTCTCTTACCAGTGTCTCATGCATGCTTCTAGACCATTGACCATCTACCATACACAAGCACAGTTGTGTACATTATTGAATAGGGATGTCCAAGCCTCTCTTAGTTCAGGGAAAAATAAAATCAGGTCTAGGAGTTCTTCCTTTAAGAATGTTGAATATTTATTAAGAACTTTATTGTTCACCATTAAGACAAAGGTTAAAGAGTTTCCAAGTGAATATATTCACCAAAATTTGTAATACAAAAGTCACTATTCACTTGGAGAAGATAAAAATTCTTCTATTGTCATACATTTGCCATTTTACTTCTCTCTTTATAAACATTAAGAATCCTTTGTCATTTAGTCGTTTCAAATGCTTGGAACATCTTCCAGATTATTACCTAAGTTATAAAATAGTAGTGTGAAAGTTGTTTTTAAAATTGTGTTAGTTGATATATAATATTCACAAGTAAACTTACTAAGCAGTTGTTAATGTTGCATTATGTATAGTAATGTAAGTTTATTTATATAATAATATGTTTTTATCTTAATGACATCAATGTGAAAAATTCAAACTTTATTCCTGAATCTTAAATATAAGGCACAAAATCTTTATTTATTTATTTATTTTTGAGACAAGGTCTTGCTGTCACCCAGGTGGAGTGCAGTGGTGCAAACATGGCTCACTGCAGCCTTGACCTCCTGGGCTCAAGTGATTCTCCCACCTCAGCCTTTCAAGTAGCTGGGACCACAGGTGTGCACCACCATGCCCAGCTAATTTTTAATTTTGTAGAGATGGGGCCTTGCCATGTTGCCCAAGGTGGTCTCAACTGTTGGGCTCAAGCAATCCTCCTGTCTCAGCCTCCCAAAGTGCTGGGATTACAGATAAGAGCCACCACATCCCGCTATTTCTTTAATAACATAGAAAATGGACCTATAACTTAAAATGTGAAATTCTGATGTGGTCATCTTATTCCACTTGCCCAGTGGGCTAAGGAGAGAGACGCATTGGCAGCAATATTAGCAAATATGAATACGAATACAGGAAACAGAGATGAGGGGAGGTGCGTTTCTGAGGACATTCTAGTTTCAGCTCCCAGTCCCTTCCTGAGCACTGATTGCTTTCTTGCCTTTGGATTCTATGCTGCAAGACTCTACAGTATCCTTCTAATAAATACCCATGCTCATGTCTTTTTAAATTTTGCTTAAGCTAGTTTGAGTTGGTTTCTGTTATGTGCAACATTCCTAAGAATATGATTAGGGAAGTGGAGGGTCACTTGAGCCCAAAGAAATCTGAAGAAACACAATTCCCATATGGTTTTGTTGTTTTTCTTTTTTTGAGATGGAGTCTCACTCTGTTGCCGAGGCCGGAGTGCAGTGGCATGATCTCGGCTCATGGCAATCTCCACCTCCCAGGTTCAAGCGATTCTCCTGCCTCATCCCCGCCGAGTAGCTGGGATTACAGGCATGTGCCACCACCATGCCTGGCTAATCTTTGTATTTTTAGTAGAGACGGGGTTTCACCATGTTGGCCAGGCTGGTGTGGAGCTCCTGACCTCAGGTGATCCGCCCTCCTTGGCCTCCCAATGTGCTGAGATTACAGGCATGAGCCACCGTGCCTGGCCCCACATGGTTTCTGATGCTCCGTGAGCTCTCCAGAACTGAAAGATTATGACAGACCTACAAGTCTAAATTATGGATCCAAATGGAGGAAAATATGTAAATCAAGTAATTGTTTTCCAAGTTTTTGTTTAGTTGAAAAATGAGCTGTTGTCAGAGTTAACCTGTTCCATCTTTTAGAGTTGTTCCACTTCTAATTAAAATGTCTTTCCTAACTCTTAGTTTAAGTTTAATAATTTTTCCAAAAAAATTAAAAAATTTAATCCATTTTAGTGACCATTTCCTGTCCTGCTCATCAGATGAACTTTTTGAAGTATGATTGAGTACACTATTTCTTACTAATTCAAGAGAAAAGACACTGCTAATTAATTTCAGATTTTAGTAAAAAGACATTTCAAAAACGTAACACTGCCACATTGGGGATAAAATTTCAACATGAGTTTTGGTGGGGACAAATCAAACCATAGCACTGCTCAAGACAAAAAGCATGTGTAGTGATGAAGGATAATGACTCAATTTTAATTTTTTAAAATTCATGAAAACAGCTCATAACCCCAAGGCAGGAATTTCTCACAACTTGCCCCAACACAGTATAATTCGTTAGTTTATTTGCTTTGGCACTGTCAGATAGCATGGAGTTTTCATCTCCACATTTTGGCCAAATTTGGGTAATGTAGAACCCACACTTAAGGTTGGGCACAGACTCTCACTCACACATTTTCATTTTCCTGTGCCTGATTCTGGTTTGCTCTTGGCAACTACTCCTTCATAAACTCTTAGAGGAAGGTGATCATGTGAACCCAGAGATGCTGAAAATAGTTTGTAACTCTTGTGCCAGTAGTGCTTATAGAACAAAGGGTCCCAATTGCCTTCTAAGGGGATTTGTCTCACTTCTCTTGACTCATGTCCACATCCAGAAAGCTGGGAACCTTACAGTATTGAGCATTCTATTCCAGGAATGTCAAGTTGCAAGCACTCTGACTACAATGCAATATAAAGAGTTTCTTTAAGAATATGGAGAAATGATCTGCAATGGTCTCAAAATAAGGCAAGATAACCCACAAAGACGATAGCCAAAGGCCACCATATTTGTCTTAGTATTAGGTAGGATATAGATAGAACGGCAAGTAACAGAGACCTGAGAAAACAAGGGCTTAAACGAGATAGGATTTAATTTTTCTATCACATAGAACTTTTGGAAAAATCCATGGATGAAATGGTGGGCATGCTCTACAAAATCCTCTGTAATCTTGGCTTCTTCTAGCTTACCATCCATTGTTCCTAGTTAATAGAGTGTGGCTTTTGTCTTAAGGACCTAAGATGGCTGCTAAAACTCTAGCTTTTACATTTGCATTCCAGGCAGTAGAGTAAAATGATGGAAGAAGGAAGAGGCAAAATTAACTAGTCTGATGACTTCAAAGGAAGATCCCTAGAAGCTGTCATTTGCCTCTATACCAGGATACAAAGAAGAATGAGTAAAATAATCTTTATTATGGAAAGCCCTAAACTCAACTAACAGGTTCTATTACTATGGAAGACAGAGAGAACAAATATTTGGGAACAACCATTGTTGTCACTTACTATCACTTCAAGTTCCTTGGAGAGCATGCATAACCTTTCTGGTGGTCTGACCTGCTCAGTGATCCTATGTACTATGGCCCAACTGCTGGTAGAGAGCTTTCTCTGCTGATCCAGGGTGTTCTGTTTGCAAAGAATAAAGATTTACTCAGATAATCTCAAATAATAGGACATTTACTATAATGTAATATACTTTATAAAGGTGGGGGGTAGATGTTCATCAAATGGCCAATGAAGCAGATCTCATTTTTCCAATACGACTACAAAACATTTCCAGAAATCCATTTCAGAACTTTGCCACTCCCCCATTAAGGGGTGTATTTCCTCACCTGGGAAGATTTTTTTGATTGCTGTGACTGATGAAGTATGAATGGCAGAAGTGATACTCTGTGTCTACTGAGGCAAGGTCATAAAATGTAATAGTTTCAGCCGGGTGCAATGGCTCACGCCTGTAACCCCAGCACTTTGGGAGGCCAAGGCAGGCAGATCACCTGAGGTCAGGAGTTCGAGACCAGCCTGGCCAACATGGTGAAACTCTGTATCTACTAAAAATACAAAAATTAGCCAGGCCATGGTGGTGGGTGCCTGTAATCCCAGCTACTTGGCAGGTTGAGGCATAAGAATTGCTTGAACTCGGGAGGCAGAAGTTGCAGTGAGCAGAGGTCATGCCATTCCACTCTAGCCTGGACAACAAGAGTGAAACTCCGTCTCAAAAAAAAAAAGTAATAGTTTTCATCACTTTGGAACTAAGCCACTATACTCCCAGCTGACAGCCAGCACTAACTTGTAACACATGTGAAGGAGCCATCTTGGAAGCAAATCCTCCAGCCTTCAGGATAGCCACCTCAGCTGATGCAATGTGGGGAACAGGTGAGCCTTCCCCCATAGCCCTTTGCAAATCAAAGATTCTTGAGAAAATATA
This sequence comes from Homo sapiens, assembly GCF_000001405.40. Taxonomy (NCBI): domain Eukaryota; kingdom Metazoa; phylum Chordata; class Mammalia; order Primates; family Hominidae; genus Homo; species Homo sapiens. The sequence continues at coordinate 13,702,618 of NC_000020.11, forward strand.
TTATTGTGGTTGTTTTAAGCTGTGAAGTTTTGGGCTATAAAAATGAGTAACAAGAACTGTCAGAACTCAAGGAAACATCCATGATCAGGAAGTACAATATAGCTGGGCCTTAATGTGTACTGGAATATACATTGAGGAACAGGAGGGTCTTTCAGGATCTAATATGGGTCAGGTGACCAGGTTATCTTTGCACACTTGGATATCAGTCAAGATCCAATTAGTAGACAGAAACAGTAACTTGAACAAGGTAAGTTTACATAATTATTCATTGTAACAGGATTAGAGTAACAGAGAATTGACAACAAAGGAATAACTGGGGTTTGGGAAGAGAACTCTAAAGAATATAGGAATCATGGATATAGGGAACATCCACTATACCTAGTACTGAGATAGAGCATTCAAATGAGAGGCAAATCTGGAAAAGCCTCTTCATCCCTGTGGGCTGAGGTCCGAACTTCATTGGTGAGGGAGCAGCTGTGGCACATACTGGACTGTGAGAAGTTACTGGGGTGCCACACTGGCAGGACTTGATGGGAATCTGGCTTCTGGAGAGCAGGAGAGAAACCTTCCACAGGAGTTGGACACAGAAAACCAATAGAGAAAAATGAATAAAACCAAAAGCTGGTTCTCTGAAAAGATCAAGAAAATTAATAAACCTCTATTTAGAATGACAAAAAACAAATGGCAAAGACAAAAATTATCATATATTATAAATTAAAAAAGAGATATCACCAGACCCTTCAGACTTTAAAATGATAATTAGGAAATACTACCAAAACACCCGTTAGGTCGAAGGGAGGAGTGCCTCTGCCAGGCCGCCCATCGTCTGGGAAGTGAGGAGCGCCTCTGCCTGGCCATTGTGCAACCCTCCAAGTGTGAAGTGACAGCCTTGTGTGTGACCTTTCTCCCTTCCCCAAGTTTGCATTTTCGACATTAAAGTTTACTTTTTAATAATTAAAAAAACACCGTTATGCCTATAAATTCAACGACTCGAATGACATGGACTAATTTCTTGGCATACACAAACTATCAAAATTCACTCAAGAAGAATAGATAACCTGAATAGTCCTATATAACTAAATAAATTGAATTTTTAGTTGAAAACTTTCCTATGAGAAAAACTGGTTTCATTTAAAGATGCTTTTAGTCAGGTGCAGTGGCTCATGCCTGTAATTTCAGCACTTTAGAAGGCCAAGGCAGGCAGATCACTTGAGGCCAGGAGTTCGAGAACAACCTGGCCAACATGGTGAAATCCCATCACTACTAAGAATACAAAAATTAGCTGGGCATGGTGGCAGTGCCTGTAATCCCAGCTACTTGGGAGGCTGAGGCAAGAGAATAGCTTGAACCCGGGAGGTGGAGGTTGCAGTGAGCCAAGATCGTGCCACTGTACTCCAGCCTGGGTGACAGAACAAGACTCTGTCTCAAGAAAAAAAAAAAAAGTGTTTAGCTAGCTGGCTAGATAGTTTTATTGACAAATTCTACTAAACACTTAAGGAAAAAATAACACCAATTCAATACAGTGTTTTCCAGAAAATACAAGGGGAAAGACTACTGACTTCATTTTATGAATTAGATTTGCCCTGATATCAAAACCAGACAAAAACATTGCAAGAAACCTGTTGACCAGTTACCTTCATGAATACTGTTTCAAAAATCCATAACATTATATTATCAAATTCAAATAATAATATATTAAAAAGACAATACATCACAACAAATGAAGTTTATCCCAGGAATACAAAGCTGACTAAAGATTTCAAAATCAATAAATATAATTCACCATATTAACAGGCTAAAGAAGAAAAACCACACATGAAAACGACAGATGCTGAAAAAGCATTTGAAAAAAATGCAGCATTTTTTCATGATTAAAAATTTGCAGAAAACTAGGCAAAGGAAGAAACTTTCTTTACCTGATTAAGAGCATCTCCAGGTAATATTATACTTACTGGTGAAAAACTGAATGAATGCTTCCTTCCTAAAATGGGGAGCAAGATCGCTTCTTGGCCTTTTGGCTAAGATCAGGTGAAGACGGGGAGCAAGATATTATCTGCTCTCACCACCTCTATTCAGCATTATACTGGAAGTTCTAGCAGTTGTACTAAGGCAGGAAAAATAAATAAAAGGTATGGAAATACAGAAGGATGAAATTAAAATGTCTCTCTTCATAGATGACATGGTTATCTTTGGAGAAGAATCTTTAGAAATCTACAGTAATCTCCTAGAATTAATAAATGAGTTTAGCAAGCTTGTGGGATACAAGGTCAATATACCAAAATTAATTGTTTTTCTATATTCTAATAATAAACAATTAGAAACTGAAATTTAAAAGTATCACTTACAATAGTACAGAAAATATTGCAACACTTAGGTACAAATTTTAAAAAATATCTGCAGTATACAAAAAACCAGAATACGCTGGTGAAAGAAACCAAAGACTATAGAAGATATATACCATGTTCATGGTTTGGAAAGATTCAGTATTATTGAGATGTCAATTCTCCACAAGTTGATTTATAGATTCAATGCCCTTCTAAAATAAAATGTCAGCAGGCTTTTTTGTAGGAATGAAGAAGCTGATTTTTAAATGGCTTTATATGGAAAGGCAAACAAACTAGAACAGCCAACACAATTTTGAGAAAGAACAAAGTTAAAAGACTTACTATAAAGCTATAGTAGTGAAGATAGTGTGGTGTTGGAAAGAGGATAGAAAAATAGATGAATAAAACAGACTGGAGAATCTGGAAATAGACCCAAACAAAAAAAGGCCAATTTGTTTTTATTTTTTATTTTTAGTGACAGGGTCTCACTGTGTCACCCAGAATGGAGTGCAATGGTGTGATAGCTTACCTCAAACTCATGGGCTCAAGCAATCTCCCTGCTAAGCTTCCTGAGTAGCCCACCACAACCAGCTAATTTCTTAACTATTTTAAGAGAATAAACTAGGTATTGATGAAATGTATCTCAAAATAATAAGAGCTATTTATGACAAACCCACAGCCAATATCATACTGAATGGGCAAAACCTGGAAGCATTCCCTTTGAAAACCGGCACAAGACAAGGATGCCCTCTCTCAGCACTCCTATTCAACATAGCGTTGGAAGTTCTGGCCAGGGCAATCAGGCAGGAGAAAGAAATGAAGGGTATTCAATTAGGAAAAGAGGAAGTCAAATTGTCTCTGTTTGCAGATGACATGAGTGTATATTCAGAAAACCCCATCGTCTCAGCCCAAAATCTCCTTAAGCCAATAAGCAACTTCAGCAAAGTCTCAGGATACAAAATCAATGTGCAAAAATCATAAGCATTCCTATACACCAATAACAGACAAACAGAGAGCCAAATCATGAGTGAACTCCCATTCACAATTGCTTCAAAGAGAATAAAATACCTAGGAATCCAACTTACAAGGGATGTGAAGGACCTCTTCAAGGAGAACTACAAACCACTGCTCAATGAAATAAAAGAGGACACAAACAAATAGAAGAACATTCCATGCTCATGGATAGGAAGAATCAATAACGTGAAAATGGCCATACTGCCCAAGGTAATTTATAGATTCAATGCCATCCCCATCAAGCTACCAACGACTTTCTTCACAGAATTGGAAAAAACTGCTTTAAAGCTCGTATGGCACCAAAAAAGAGCCCACATTGCCAAGACAATCCTAAGCAAAAATAACAAAGCTGGAGGCATCACGCTACCTGACTTCAAACTATACTACAAGGCTACAGTAACCAAAACAGCATAGTACTGGTACCAAAACAGATATATAGACCAATGGAACAGAACAGAGGCCTCGGAAATAACACCACACATCTACAACCATCTGATCTTTGACAAACCTGACAAAAACAAGCAATGGGGAAACGATTCCCTATTTAATAAATGGTATTGGGAAAACTGGCTAGCCGTATGTAGAAAACTGAAACTGGATCCCTTCCTTATACCTTATACAGAAATTAATTCAAGATGGATTAAAGACTAAAATGTAAGACCTAAAACCATAAACCTAGAAGAAAACCTAGGCAATACCATTCAGGACACAGGCATGGGCAAAGACTTCATAACTAAAACACCAAAAGCAATGGCAACAAAAGCCAAAATAGACAAATGGGATCTAATTAAACTAAAGAGCTTCTGCACAGCAAAAGAAACTACCATCAGAGTGAACAGGCCACCTATAGAATGGGAGAAAATTTTTGCTAATTTTGCTAATAAAATATTAGCCCATCTGACAAAGGGCTAATATCCAGAATCTACAAAGAACTTAAACAAATTTATAAGAAAAAAACAACCCCATCAAAAAGTGGACAAAGGATATGAACAGATACTTTTCAAAAGAAGACATTTATGCAGCCAACAGACACATGAGAAAATGCTCATCATCACTGGCCATCAGAGAAATGCAAATCAAAACCACAATGAGATATCGTCTCACGCCAGTTAGAATGGCAATCCTTAAAAAGTCAGGAAACAACAGATGCTGGAGAGGATGTGGAGAAATAGGAACACTTTTACACTGTTGGTGGGAGTGTAAATTAGTTCAACCACTGTGGAAGACAGTGTGGCGATTCCTCAAGGATCTAGAACTAGAAAGACCATTTGACCCAGTGATCCCATTACTGGGTATATACCCAAAGGACTATAAATCATGCTACTATAAAGACACATGCACACGTATGTTTATTGTGGCACTATTCACAATAGCAAAGGCTTGGAACCAACCCAAATGTCCATCAATGATAGACTGGATTAAGAAAATGTGGCATATATACACCATGGAATACTATGCAGCCATAAAAAAGGATGAGTTCATGTCCTTTGTAGGGACATGGATGAAACTGGAAACCATCATTCTCAGCAAACCATCACAAGGACAAAAAACCAAACACCGCATGTTCTTACTCATAGGTGGGAATTGAACAATGAGAACACTTGGACACAGGGCGGAGAACATCACACACGAGGGCCTGTTGGGGGGTGGGGGGAGGGGGGAGGGATAGCATTAGGAGATATACCTAACGTTAAATGACAAGTTGATTGGTGCAGCAAACCAACATGGCACATGTATACCCATGTAACAAACATGCACGTTGTGCACATGTACCCTAGAACTTAAAGTATAATTATATATATAAAAAAAAAAAGAGAGAGAGAAGGGATCTCATTATGTTGCTCAGGTTGGTCTCAAACTTCTGGCCTCAAGCGATTGTCTTACCCCAGCTTCCCAAAATGCTAAAATTACAGGCTTGAGCCACTGTGCCTGGCAGGATTTTTTAATCAAAAGTTTTATTTTGAGATAATGGTAGATGTCCACGCAGTTGTAAGAAATAATACAGATTCTGTGTTTCATTTACCCAGTTTCCCTCAATGGTAGTATTTTGAAAAACAGTAGTACAATGTCACATACAGGACAATGACATTGATGAAAATCATCTGACCTTACTCAGGTTTCATGTTTCACTTTTATTCACCTGTATGTATGTGTTGATATTTAGTTCTATACAATTTTATCCCATGTGCAAGTGCATATAGCCACCACCACACTTATGACACAGAACATTTCCAGCACCCTAAGGATCCTTCATGTTGCCCTTTTGTAACCACACTCACTGCCTTCCACACCCCTCCTTTTTTGTTCCCTGTAGCCACTAATCTCTTTTCCATTTCTACAAGTCTGTCACTTCAATAATATTATATATAAGTGGAATGTTATAGTATATAATCCTTTGGAATTGGTTTTTATTCACTCAGCATAATTCTCTGGATATGTATCCAAGTTGTTGCATGAATCAAGAGTTCAGTCTTTTTATTGCTGAGTAAGGAGTATTCTATGGTGTGGATGTATCATAGTTAAACCATTCACTCATTGAAGGACATCTCGGTTCTTTTGAGTTTTTAGCTATTTCAAATAAAGCTGCTATGAATATTCATGTACAAGTTTTTGCATGAATATAAATTCCCACTTTTCTGGGATCAATGTTCAAGAGCACAATTGCCACATTGCATGGTTATCGCAAGTTTAGTTTTATGATAAATGGTCAAATTGTTTTTGAGAGTGGCTGCAATATTTTACATGTTGTTAGTATATAGAAATGTAATTGATTTTGGTATGATCTTTTATCCTGTGACTTTGCTGAACCCACAGATTAGTTTGAGGCTTTTTGTAGATTCTTTGTGATTTTCTTTTTTCTTTTTTGAGATGGAGTTTTGCTCTTTGTTGCCCAGGCTGGAGTGCAATGGCATGATCTCGGTTCACTGCAACCTCCGCCTCAAGTGATTCTCCTGCCTCAGCCTCCCAAGTAGCTGGGATTACAGGCATCTGCCATCATGCCCTGCTAATTTTTGTATTTTTAGTAGAGACGGAGTTTCACCATGTTGGCCAGTCTGGTCTCGAACTTCTGACCTCAGGTGATCCACCCACCTCAGCCTCCCAAAGTGCTGGAATTACAGGCATGAGCCAATGCGCCCAGCAATTCCTTATGGTTTTCTACGTAGATAACTATGTCATCTGCAAGTATGGAGAGTTCCACCTCTTCCTTTTCTATCTGTATGGTTTTAATTTTTTTTGCTCTATTGCAGTGGGTAGAACTTCCACTATTGTGTTGAATAAGAGTGGTAAGAGTAAATATCTTTGCCTTGATCTTAGAAGAAAAGCATCTAGTCTTTCACTATAAGTATGTATGATGTTAGATACAGGTGTTTTGTAGATATTATTTACCAAGTTGAGGTAGTTCCCCTCTATTCCTAACTTGCTGAAGACATTTATTTATTTATTTATTTAGAGATGAAGTCGCACTCTATCACCCAGGCTGGAGTGCAGTGGTATGACCTCAGCTCACTGCAACCTCCACTTCCCGGGTTCAAGTGATCCTTCTGCCTCAGCTTCCCGAGTAGCTGTGATTACAGGCACATGCCACCATGCCTGGCTAATTTTTGTATTTTAGTAGAGACGAGGTTTCACCATGTTGGCCAGGCTGGTCTCACAGTGTTCACCATTTTGACCAGGCTGGTCTTGAACTCCTGACCTCAGGTGATCCACCCACCTCAGCCTCCCAAAGTGCTGGGATTATGGGTGTGAGCCACCGTGTCCGGCCTGAAAAGTTTTTATCATTAATAGATGTTAGATTTTGTTCAATACCTTTCTCATCAATTGATATGATCATATGTTTTTTTCTTAAGTCTGTTGATATGGCACACATCGATTGATTTTGAATGCTGAGCCAGCTTTGCATACCTGGAATAAATCTTGCTTTGTCCTGTGGTATATTTCTTTGCATACATTGTTGTATTTGATTTGCTAATACTTTTTTGAGAATTTGTATGTCTAAGTTCATGAGACAGATTGACTCTCTAGAATCAATCGCATTTCTATATACTAACAATGAACATCATCCTGTAGTTTTTTTATTTATACTGTCTTGTTTTGCTGTCAAAGATATACTGGTCACATAAAGTAAGTTGAGAGGTGTTCATTCTTCATTTTCTCAAAGAGACTGTGTGAAATTTGTGTTATTCTCAAATAGTTGTTAAAATTCCCCAGTGAAGCCATTTGGACTTGGTAGTCTCTTTTTTGGGAGTTTAATTAATTAACTAATTTCTTCAATGACTATAGGACTATTGGGGTTATGGATTTTATGTGGTTGAGTTTTGGTAATTGACCAATTCATTTTTGATAAAAGTACTCAGGCAATTCAGTGGAGGAAGAACAAACTTTTTAATAAGCAATGCTGAAATAAATGAACAGTTATATGCAAAAAAAGAGTATCAAGCAAACCCTAACACCTTATACAGAAATTACTTTAAAATGTAAAATGGATCTAAATGTAAAACATAAAATTCTAGGATTTTTAGAAGAAAATACAGGAAAAGTCTTTGTAACCTTGGTTTTGTAAGAAAGTTCTTAGATAGGACACCAAGGCAGTCCCTAAAAGAAAAAATTGATAAATTGGACTTCATAAAAATAAAACATTTTTGCTCTGTGAATGACACTGTTAAAAGAATGAAAAGACACAGGCCATAGAAAAGGAGAAAATATTAGCTAATCACATATGTGACAAAGGACTTGTATATAAGATATATAAACAACTCTGAAAACAATAACAACTCAATTTTAAAATAAGAGAGCAGAAGACATGAACAGACACTTCACCAAAGAAGATATACGGTTGGTAAATATGCACATGAAAAGATGCTCAACATCATTAGTCATTAGCAAAATGAAAATTAAAACTACAATGAGATACAGGTAAATGCTTATTAGAATGGCAAATAAAACAAAAACCCAGTAGCCCAAAATGAGCATCAACAAAAACTGACAATATCAAGTGCTGGTGAAGATGTGGAGCAACTGGAACTCATATATGGGAACGTAAAACAGTTCAACCACTTTGGTAAGTAAATTTGCAGTTTACTATAAAGCTAAATATAAACTTAGCAAATGACCTAGGCAGAAAACCTATGTTTCACACAACAACCTATACATTAATTACAGCTTTGTAATTGCCAAAAACTGCAAACAACTTTGTGTTATTTAGGCCAATAGATGGTAAATCATTTTTCTACAGAAGAGGAAACCTAAGTAAAGTGTTGATGGTTTTAATAATAACAAACAATTTGTTCATGCCTCCTGGTATGTATACCCCTCTGCATTGTGACTTTGCCACTTGTTGGTTTAGGGTTTGGCCATGTGATTTTCTTTGCCAATGGGACAATAGCAAATGTGACACTGTTGGAGGCTTGAAAATGTTTGTACATTGGGACTTACTCTCTCTTGCAACTGGGAACCCTCCGTCACATGTGAGGCCTGGACTAGCCTACTAGATGAGAGATCCTCTAGCCACCCTAGAACCATCTGAGTCCTCAGACATGCAGAGTCTCATCAATCCCCAGCTGAGCTGGATCTTAACTGCCCAGCCAAACTATAGATTCATAAGAAGGAATAAATGCCATTTTAAGCCACTAGATTTTGGGTGGTTTGTTAAGCAGTAAGAGCTAACAGATAAAGTTGATATTAAATTAACTTGTCTCCAATCTGGTGGACCCAAAAGCAAATTCTTTGGGCCTCCTTTCTTTGCCTCTAAGCAAAGTAAAAAAGTGGTTCTCCATCTTTGCTGAACATTGGAATTATCTAGGGAGCTTTAAAAAATAATGACGTCTGGGCCAGGCGCAGTGGTTCATGCCTGTAATTCCAGCACTTTGGGATGCCAAGGTGGGTGGATCACTTGAGGTCAGGAGTTCGAGACCAGCCTGGCCAACATGGTGAAACACCCGTCTCCACTAAAAATACAAAAAATTAGCTGGTCATGGTGGCATGTGCCTGTAATCCCAGCTACTCGGGAGGCTGAGGCAGAATTCCTTGAACCTGGGAGGCGGAAGTTGCAGTGAGCCGAGACTGCACCATTGCACTCTGCACTCCAGCCTGGGTGACACAGTGAAACTCTGTTGAAAAAAAAAAAAAAAGTCTGGATACTACTGCTATATATATGATTTAATAGGTATGAGGTGCAGCCTGGCCACTAGGGTTTTTGACATACCAAGTGATTCTAATAAACAGAAAAGGCAAAGATGTTACCTATCTAATATTGGCCTGCTCGGTAACGAACATGGAACAAATGCAGTCTCCACTCTCCTGCTCGTGTCTCTAGCATACCTCTCTCAGAGAATATGTAGTGACGATATTGTGTATCAAGCTGATCTCCAACAATTGCTGCTGGTGAAGCAAATCAGAGCTTTACCAGTATTAAGTTACTTACGACTTTTTCTAGATGATGCTACAGGATTGACCTACTCTCCACGGTCCCAACAGCAATAAAAACTCCAACTAAATGTGACCTTAAGACCCACCAAAACTCCCCTAATTTGTTTGCTGAATTATGATAGTGGCCACTTTTTAATCCTAAATTTCACTACCTGCAATAATTTGAGAACCCTAAAGTTATTGGTGTAGAATATTTAACGCCTGATAATGCTGTTCTCATTTTTTTTCCTACCTAAAAAATATCAACTCTTTGAGAAAAGGAGCCAGGGCTCTGTATGACTTATGTACTCAATTTTTTTGTTATAATTATGTGCTTGACTAGTAAAATGAGATTTTACAATTAAATGCAGTGACTTAACGGGCTCAAAAACAGAAAAACCAAACCCAATGGCTCAGGTTCACAGAAACCTTAAAATCAGACTCTGATTTTGAATTTTTGTGCAATTACTACATTATGATTAAACAGTTTAAAGAGAACAAAACTTTTCCCCTGCAGAGAATGAAATATGAAACATAAATCTGTTTATAGACCATACTCATAAACATATTAAGATTCATGACCTTTCAGTGGTAATATGGGGAGTTCACAGATGTATCTAAAGAAATAATGTTTTATTTGGCTGAATAATCCAACGATCAGTGCTTATGATAAAATCAATTCCCTGTTTGGATACTGTGCATTTTTCTGTTATAATAAGCAATTTAAATGTCCTTTTTTTCTTCCCTTTACAGAGACTATTTATACTCCCTTATTATTTTGATATCACTCTGAGTTTTCCATCATTTTAGTCTTTAAAATATATGCTACATTGGTGACTTTTTTTTTTTTTTTTTAAATAGAGACAGGGTCTTGCTCTGTCACCCAGGCTGGAATGCAGTGATACAATCACAGCTTACTGTAAACTCAAACTCCTGGGCTCATATGATCCTCCCATCTCAGCCTCCTGAGTAGCAAGGACCACAGGTATGTATCACCACACTTGGCTTGTTATACGCACGCGTGCGCGCACACACACACAGACGTGTATATATATATATTTTGAGACAGGGTCTCCTGTTGCCCAGGCTGGAGTGCAGTGGCTCAATCTCGGCTCACTGTAACCTCTGCCTCCCAAGTTCAAGTGATTCTCCTGCTTCAGCCTCCTGAGTAGCTGGGACTACAGGCATGCACCATCACGCCCGGCTAATTTTTTGTAGTTTCGGTAGAGATGGGGGGTCTCACTGTGTTGGCCAGCCTGGTCTTGAACTCCTGACCTCAAGTGATGTGCCTGCCTCAGTCTCCCAAAGTGGGGGGATTACAGGCGTAGGCTACCACACCCAGCCTATGGTCTTACTATATTGCCCAGGTTGGTCTCAAAACTCCTGGCCTCAAGCAATTCTCCTGCCTCAGCCTCCCAAAGTGCTGGGATTACAGGTGAGAGCCACCTTGCCTGGTCAGTAGGTTTGATTTTTAATACCCCAAATGTCAAGTTTAACCACAAACCTGGTCAAATTCCTGTTGTCTTTCAGAAGTTACCATATTTATAATTTGCTCCAAGTTACAAGTCTGGTTTTATTTACATTTACTTATACAGCATATCTAATTTGACTGTCAGTTGTCTATAATATTTAGACCAGATGAGATCCAAGAGTGTTAAGGCCTTAAAGATGTGTTTTAATTTTAAGAAGAATTAAGGTATCCTTAAACTCTACAGCAGCATATCCATCCTTCTAAAGTATTCCAAAAATGTGAAGGACAGACAGAAGACTTTTCTGTTGCTACCAAACAGAAAAACCACTGGAGAGCTCATGAATATTTCAAATGCAATTTACGAGCAATGCAACTCTAGAACTGCCTTTAAATGGAGTTGTCCTCTTAAAAAGTTAAAATCGGTTTTCAGATATTTTTCCAGAGAGTACTTTGAGATGCATAAAATGGAATAAATCAGTGCTATACAAAATAATGAAAATATTTTACACTTTTATTTACAAGTTAATTTCATAAACTATACTTAACATGACTAAACAACAAAAAGTTCTTGACTTCCATCCTTTATGGCTAGAAAAATAAATTATTTTAATAGTTATTTAAACATGCCTCCTGCTTCCAGAGAAATTAATGTATTAAATATATATATTTTTCAAATTATCCCTAACATTTACACAAACTTGAGTAGATACTGCTCTATTTTTACACAGAATTGTAAACAGCCTTTTAAAAAGCTAGAGTAACTTTCCACTAGTTAGAACTGAACATTGTAAAATATAAAAATTTTATAAACCCTATAATGCAGGTAATTTAATTATGACTGATCTGTAGGAATATACAATAAAAATTTGTCAGTCATCCACAATTAAGTACAATTATTTATGGAGAAAAATTTTACTATGTCCAGAAAAAGATTTTATTCATGTTCTTGAAAGATAGCTTTGTTCCCAATAAATATTCCCTCCTATTATTTTTGTACATTTTAGGAAAAGATGTATTCAGTTCAAAAATAAGTAACATCCAGTTATTTGACTTTTTGCTTTTTTCTTGCTTGAAACTGCTCTGTTTTGGTTTTTATAGATTTAATCAACATTGACAAAGCAGGATCAATGGACTTCCTTTGTGATTCCTTTTCAATCTCACTCTCTTTTTTCTTTATTGCCTGAGTAAGTTCTTGTTCTTTCCGTTCTCTTTGCCGGGCCTTCTCCTCAAGGATTTTTTCCATAGCTTTTGTTTTCTTGAAATTGGGATCTGAGGGGTCCAAATTGAACAAGTGGGAAGTGTACATTGCCTGAAACCGTGCATCGTTAACATTTACCTGCAAATCCAAAAAAAAAAAAAATTAATAAATTAATTAAACAAAATTACTAAAGCAAAAGGCCAGAAATGGGGCCAAATTTCGAAAGTTGGTGAGTTGATTATATAAAATACAAACCTGAGTGTTTGTACTGATTCATTAGGAAACTGTTTTTCCATAGCTCTTTATGGCCTACCTTTGGACCACAACTTGTGGGGCACCCTGTTCTTATCATGCAAGGACAATGTATTTCAAAGGGAATTATAGTGGGCCATACATATACATATTATGGCCGGTAACTACAACGACCACTTAGACAAAATGACTGTAGCAGTGGTTTGTGAGGCAGGGCTTTCCCATGCTTACAGCACAAAATCAATTTCTTACCAGCATAAATAAGCCAATCAGAACATCTGCTGGAGGCCCTGAACTCTGAGTACATGTTAAGAAATTTTAATCTTGGTGCCAAAATAAGGAACTATTGAAGGTGATCCATGGATCAAAAGATTTAAAGACCACTATGGCAAATAATCCATCTGAGATCAAGGTCTGGTCAGACACAAGCCCCAGATTTATCTTCTTTCTATAAAAACTTGTGGTTCCATGTTTAAGAATATACCCTTAACTGCAGCCAGCCTTTGAGGGCTGCCAGGCAGATGGGTAACCAGCAGAAAGGGAAACACACGAAATACAAGTCCACCTGGAGATAGATTGTAGCTTTACTTAGTTATCACGAGGCCAAGGGATTTGATACCCAGAACAAGGAAAAAAATCCTGTAAAAAATACTTTTATGCATATATTAATATATGAAGGCAGAATGACTACAAATCATTCTTTGCTTTTCATAAGGAAAGTAACTCAATAAAAACCTAACTGGAATGGGAGCATATGTGAAACTGACTCAAACAACAGAAGCTACAGAGTAGCCCCCAAATCCTTCTATATGCTACTTAGAAGCCATCTGTATGCTACCCTCCATTGTTTGAACAAATTTAAAATTTCCCAAATTTCCCCCATCTTACTCAGGGTCAGTTCTTCCACATTAATGGTTGGAAGTCATTAAGCAGTTTCTAACAGCTGTTTGTAGATTTTTGGTAGACGGCTCAAACTCATGCTTAGGGGACTCTGCAGCCATTAGGAATATGTACTCAACAAAAAGAGGAAGGAGTAATGGAAACAAAAAACACAGCAACTGAAAAAACATGGCTTACTGCGCTGGCCACTGCACACAGTGAGTGTGACCCACTGTGACATGAACCTGCTATTCAAGCATACCTTTGCTGGTCTGAGGATCACTACATGTGATTCTAACATTAAAAACTACACATTTTTGGTACAATATGGCTACCAAAATACAAGTCAACTATTTCACCTGGTGCTCAACCAAAGAAACAATGATTTCATCCACCCTAGGATGAACTGGCTGTGCTGGATTAAAAGACAGTAGCCTTTGGCTCCACCATCAGTCTTTCTGAAGACATTTTCTTTTTTTTTCTTTTTTTTTTTTTTTTGAGACAGGGTCTTGTTCTGTTGCCCAGGCTGGAGTGCAGTGCCACAATCATGGCTCACTGCAGGCTTGACCTCCTGGACTCAAGCGATCCTCCCACCTCAGCCTCCTGAGTAGCTGGGACTACAGGTGTGCGCCACTATACCTGGATTTTTTTTTTTTTTTTTTTTTTTTTTTTTTTTAGACAGAGTCTTGCTCTGTCACCTGGGCTGGAGTGCAGTGGCGAGATCTCGGCTCACTGCAAGCTCCGCCTCCTGGGTTCACGCCATTCTCCTGCCTCAGCCTCCTGAGTAGCTGTGACTACAGGTGCCCGCCACCACGCCTGGCTAATTTTTTGTATTTTTAGTAGAGATGGGGTTTCACCGTGTTAGCCAGGATGGTCTTGACCTCCTGACCTCGTGATCTGCCCACATCAGCCTCCCAAAGTGCTGAGATTACAGGCATGAGCCACCACGCCCAGCCAGCTAATTTTTTTTATTTTTCATAGAGATGAGGGTCCCACTATGTTGCCCAGGCTGGTCTCCAACTCCTGGACTCAAGTGATCCTCATGCCTCGGCCTCCAAAAAAGTGTTGGGATTATAGGCGTGAGCCACTGCACCGGGCCCCTAAGACATTTTCAAGGGTAACTTTGACTATGCTCAATTTCTATCTGCAGAGCTGACTTTAGATTCAATTCCAGCTTTAAGAGGCTATGCCTGGTGTCTATGGTTACCTCAAAGTCATCCTCTATTAATTCCTTCTTTTTCATGAGCTGCTTTTTCTTCTTTTTGCTCAGATTCTGGTGCTCCACAATCTTGTTGTAATTGAAGTGTTTCTTACTGTCCTCGTCCTCATCCATCATAAGCAAAGCCATTTCAGCCTGTAGAGAGCAAAAAAAAGTTCAAATGTACAACAGTGCTTTTTTTTCCACCCCCAAAAAGGAGTATAGGGCAGAAGATATCTCTTCTAGAAAGGAAGACTCAATCACTAGAACTCTGGGGTACCACCTGTTGTCTGTAAACTGACTGTGGATTACCAAAACAAAGAGATCTTTGTATAGCAATAAGGTAGAATCTCTGGAAGCAACATTACTGAGAGCAGGAGAGGTAAAACCTTGTAGTTAAAAACCAGGCCCCATTTCACTTAGTGTGACTCATTAGTAGGCTGCAGGAACAAGAGTCCCCAACTACCCTCAAATAAAAAGTTCTCATTTTCACTTTGTTCTTTTTGCGCAATGATGCTAAATCTAGCAAATGTTTATTTTGTGATGCAAATTATACTTTCTAAATGTGTAACTTTTAACAAGTAAGTTTTTTTTTTGCTTTTTTTTTTTTGGCCTTTACTGTTTCAATACTGATACATTTCTATGAAGGTAGGACCTTAGGATCTGCTTCTGAAATCTAGTAAATGTCTTTTTACACTAAACGGGTATTTTCTACCAGCCATGGGATTAAACGAGAACCCTCAAGAATCAAGTAAATAACCATGTACACTAGTAAAAATACAGAGTATGCTCTCGACCTTTGTGGATCTTCCTATATTACCACTTTAGACTGCCTTAATTTCCTTTTGTCACTGGCACTTTTAGCTGGCTTTTCAGAGACATTTTCCATAAAAATTGATTTTCTTTGTTGCTCTTTAGATAACTTTATGTGGCCAGTCAGGCACACTTCTGGACAGTGACATGAACATCAGCCCTAGGGGCACTGCTGCCTTCAATTCCTGCCTCAGCAAAATCACATATGACTCTGTGCCAAAATTACGTGTGACTCTGGACATAGGGGGTCACTGAAGCATAAGGTTCACTGCATTTCCAAGAATGTAATTTTGTACGTTAAATATACATATTCACAATAAGAAAAACAGAAATTTGCATTTGACAAACCATAACCACAAACTGTATTCCAGGACAGATTCAGATTGAATTAAAACTTATGGCAATATTATTTTGAGGTTTTAAGGGTATTTTCTGCCTCAGGTATAGTAAGTGTTTTTAAAAGTGAGATAATTCCCTCTTAATTTATAAAAGAAAATAAATACCCTTGAATTTGAGGTTAATTTTAACTTTGTACAATTTGGAGAAATTATGTTTGGTAAAAAAAACACTGTATTTAGAAACTACACTGCTAAAATATTTAATTATGTCTCTTACAATTTAGTTATAAATGCCACTGCTAAAATAAGTTGTTTTTTAAAATTAGTGACATGTACAACTTCATTTAAATTGTACCTATGAATTATCCACTAAGCATGTAACAATAATCGTATTTTACCTTTTGTCTTTCTATTTCAATTTCTTCTTCTGGAGATGTGCCATCTTTTGCAGATTTTACCGATTTTTTATTTATACCTGGCACAACAAACCAACATAAGAGTGGTAAAAATTACAGGACTATCAGCAACATTCTGTTTATACTAGGAACAAAAATATAAGATATCTAGGAATAATCTTAACAATAAATGTGTTGAAACTAAAAGAAAAAAACACGTTACTGAAAGAAGACTGTGGGTATATGAATGGAATAAATACAATGCTTCTGCATGGAGTGACTGCATGTTACAAAGGAAGAATTTCTTTCAAAGTAATGTATAATTTACATTACCAATTAAAAAAGAAAAACCATAGATCATTTCCACAGATACAGAATAAGCATGTCCATAAACATAAGAATACTGATTAACATTCAACATCCATTCATAATAAAAGTAGTATACACATTTAATGAAATTCTAAATAAAAAATTCCATTCAAGGAAATCTTTAGAAAGATTACATAGATTCCATGTACTAGTGACATAGTGTATTAACGTGTACTGAAAAGTGAAAATAACCAAAAAATTCCTACACAATAAAAATGATGAAACAGTATATAATAAAATATAGCATCATCATTAGAAACAGAAAAGATTGTTTAATAACTGCTGTTGAGCAATTTGTTTCATTCTGGAAAAAAAGATCAAATTAAAGCCTTATCTCATAATACATAAGAAAATAAAACGCAGGTGAATTTAAGAGTTAAATATCAAACAAAATAAAACAAAGAACCCCTATGAGAAAATACAAGGGAACAGCTACTGTATCTTAAATAGAAGAAATATTTTCTTAGCATAAGAATACTGGAAGAGACAAAGAAAAAACCCCCAAGTGATTTGAATATATAAACTCAACACTATATATCAAACTCTCATCTGCAAAATGAAAAAACTTATCTTTATAATAATAATTTGACAGTCACTACCTGTAAATATAAGTTTTAAAAAACGCTTTCTCCTTCTCTGAAGACAAATCTGATCTTTAGTGAACTTTCTAGCTCTATTACCAGGCAATACCACCAGGTAAAGTGGTTCCTGACTGGAAAATAACATGTATTGGGGTCTCTAAATGCTTATAACTTTGGGCTTCCTTGATACCGTGACTCCTGTAACTGGTAAAACAGGGATCTGGAAGCTATGTCTAGGTGCTGTTAAAAAGCTCTCAGTTCCTATTTGGAACATGAGACTTCTCGCCCAGGGTGACTACTGTACACTGTGTCTCCTTTCCTTGTACCCAAGCTGTACTGCTGAGTGAACTGCCGTGAAGACTCGATGAAGAGAAACACCCAATACTGCCCTGCTGTGTTTCCTGGGCTAACTACCCATGAGAGCCAAGTGTGACCCACTCAAGCCTTTTGTTTGACCACCTAGAGAGCCTAAGAAAATCCCCCGCTGGGCACTGTACCACCCTCAGCAAGTCATCTTTGGAACAATATGAAATCCTATGCCCCTAGATGTGATATAATATGAAAGATAAGCATTGCCTATGAAGTATGCTTGCCAAAACCATTCAACATGAATCTAATGGAACCACTCGTCTAACTTCCAGTTTATGGAAAATATAGTGGACCGAGTGGCAAGGAACAGATACATCTAGAATATAAGACATTCCAAAAGATCACTAGCCTGGGTTCTTGAAAGGCAAATGTTATGGGAGGGGGAAGTGTATATGGTATCTTCTAGACTATAGTGAACTAAAAAGACTACTATTAAATATGTCTATTATATAGTAACATCTTGTATAAATACATTTTTATGATATACCATAAAAGTATATGCATACAAAAGTAAAATGGCAAAATGTTAACAACTGCCAAACACAGGTGCTGTTCACTGTATTATTCTCTCAATTTTTCTCAATGTATAAATTTTCATAATTAAAAACAAGAAACGGCTGGGCGCAGTGGCTCACACCTGTAATCCCAGCACTTCGGGAGGCCGAGGTGGGTGGATCACCTGAGGTCAGGAGTTTGAGACCAGCATGGCCAACATGGTGAAACTCTGTCTCTATTAATAATACAAAAAAATTAGCCAAGCGTGGTGGCCAGCACCTGTAGTCCCAGCTACTAGGGAGGCTGAGGCGGGAGAATTGCTTGAATCTGGGAGGCAGAGGTTGCAGTGAGCAGAGATTGTGCCACTGCACTCCAGCCTGGGCAACAGAGCGAGACTCTGTCTCGATAAAAAAAAAGAAAAGAAATGACTGCTTCTATTATAATACTAATATCTTTCACTTATAAAGATTTCATGTAAATGAAAATATTAACACAGAGCAAAGAGAATTCACAGACAAAACCAAATGGTCAATAAACAGAAGGAAATTATTTCGCCTATCTCACAAATGTTAACTGAGCACTTATTATGTTGCGATCACAGCTCCAGGTGCTGGTGACACAAGCCGTGAACAAGAGGTTAAAATCGTCTCTCATGTAGTATACCTTCACGTTGGGAAAGACAGAGGCAAAGCAGGACAGAAGGGTTGGAGACTGAATGAGGGGGCTGGTTTTGTTAGGGTAGTTAAGGAAGGCCTCTTCAAGAAGGTGACACACAAACAATGACCTGGATGAAGCGAGGGAGGTGATATGTGAGAACACCTGAAGAAGGGTGTGGCAGGAGAAGGGAATGGTCAAGATGGTTGAAGAATTGCAGCTAATGGGGTAACATGATAAGCAAAACCTAAAGTCAAAAGAGGCTTTAGAAACTCCTCTGTGTGTATTAAGTCCCTGCGAATACTCTTGCACACCTGTCCAGTAGACATGCCCAGCCAAGAGAACATGCCAGCATAAAAGTGCTGCCAGGCTTGCCTATCAGTGCTACCAAGCCATTTGTTTTGCACTTCCAAGAAGAAATATTTATTGTATGCAGCCCTTCTCCCTAGAGAAAATGCTCCTCATCACTGGTCCTATCTGAAATTTTTTTCAGGGAATAATATACGAATCTTAAGAGTATAATCTTTCTCTGTCTTAATGTATGTGTATGTCCTTACACATATAAATATCATCAAGGTTCCACTTGCTTAGGGTATGAACCCCCCATTCCCTAAATTTACCACTGCTCCTATGCTCTCAAGCCAAGAGCTCCTTTTGAAATGAATGGACAAATGACATATGCAAAATATTATTCTGTAGCAGGGAGAAAATTAGACTGTATATAATTAATATTTAAAGCAGATAAAGATCTTCACATACAGCTGTGGAAAATAATTTCAAAAAGCCCACAATAAACTATTTCAGATTTTATAACAACCTGGTGAAGAGTCTTAAAAATAAACTTGAAAGGAGGACTGTAATAAGGGAGAAAGAAAAAAAAATCCCCAAGATAGGGCTAAACATGATATCCGGTTTTAGCATGAAGAAAATTTCTTTGCTAACAAAGAATTTACTATGATGTTAGACTGAATTGTTTAGTGAAAAGATAAACAATGCATACAGATGATTTCTGCACTGTTAATAAGATCAAATATTAAGAGATCACATCTATATTTTTTTAAAAAACATTTTTTCCTCCCTGGAAAAATTTCAGACTTAAGTTAGATGAACAGTACTAGGGAAATGAAAGTTTGTGTTCTAAAATATTGTCTTTATTTTTCAGTCAATCTTTTGTCAAGTAAGGAACCACATCTCTAGCTGGGTGTGGTAGCTCACACCTATAATCCCAGCACTTTGGAAGGCTGAAGGAGGAAGATTGCTTGAAGCCAGGAGTTTGAGACCAGCCTGAGCAACAAAGCAAGACCCCAGCTCCACATTTTTTTTTTTTAAATTAGCCAGGCATGGTGGTGTATGCCTGCAGTCCCAGCTACTTGGGAGGCTGGGGCAAGAGGATCACTTGAACCCAGGAGAGTTCGAGGCTGCAGTGAGCCATAATAGCACCACTGTGCACTCCACCCTGAGTGACAGAGCAAAATGCTGTCAAAAAAAGAAGAAAAAAAAAAGAAACTACATCTCCTGGGACTGCTGCAAAAAATACATATGGATTGATTCTATTAAGTCAATACTAACAGAGACTCCGAGTCAGATATTAGAGTTTTACAGTTAAATAAATCTAACCAATCCTTACTGAGGCTAGAATCCTTTTAGGCAAAAAATGTAACAGAATACATCCATGGAAAAAGATAGTGTGTAAAAATAAAATTCATCTGTAAAGGAAATTTCATTTCCCATTACTTATAATGTCAGAGACTTGTTCCCATAATAAACTTCCTCCAGAGGGTTTAGTTGAGCAATTCATATGAGAGAAGCTAAGAAAGTTCACTGGAGGGCAGATGGATGTGGTCTCAGTACTGACCAGATGGGAGTGGTAAGCGCCCTAGTGATTTACTCTTTTGTACCAAGTTCCTGCATCACTTGCCCATAATCAGATGCAGTCTGTTAAGGATAATCTCCCTCTAGGGTTAATCTCCCTCTAGGCTACCACATTCTGGTGCTGCTTTACAATGTTGTAAAATTACAAAAAATAAAGGGAAGCCCACTAGGACTCAGATTCTACCAGCTACCACTGGAAAATTAGCAGATTTTTCTAATATTTCATTTCATTTTCAGCTCATTAATGTGCTCATCCTAGATGATATTTTTAAAACTCTCATTTGACACCAAGTTTGCAATTTAGAAGGAAATCAAAGAAAAAATTATAAAAGATAGAAGAAAAAATTATAAAAGATCTCTAACATTCACCCTGGCACCTAATCTGAGCCAAACGCCAGGTCTGGCATCAATGAACTCATTTCCTCCACATTTTGAAGGCACATAAGTTTAGCTCTATGGGATTGCCTAGAGCAAAAATGTTATAAATGTACCCAAGTCATCTGGTTTACAATGTTTTTGTCCTGTTTAACTACAGAACTTGAACTGTACACTGAAAACACTAGTGTGCCAAATTCATTATATCTTAAATATTTTTGAAAAGCAAGGTCTATATCCTTAGATAATGACTATATTTTACTTCCACCAGGTACTAAAATCTAAAATTATTTTGACAAACTAATAATGAAGGCAACACTGTAGTAATAAATTAATATACCAATGTAGGTCATCTGAGTTATTTTATTTCTACATTTTAAAAATTACAAACTGGCTGGGTGTGGTGGCTCACGCCTGTAATCCCAGCACTTCTGGGAGGCCGAGGCGCGCGGATCACCTGAAGTCAGGAGTTCAAGACCAGCCTGGCCAACATGGTGAAACCCTGTCTCTACTAAAAATACAAAAATTAGCTGGGCACAGTGGCACACACCTGTAGTCCCAGCTACTTGGGAGGCTGAGGCAGGAGAATCGCTTGAACCCAGGAGGCAGAGGCTGTGGTGAGCAGATACTACGCCACTGCACTCCAGCCTGGGCGACACAGTGAGACTCCGTCTCAAAAAAATAAATAAATAAAATAAAAATAAAATAAAAATTACAAACTGGTAAATTTTGAACCAAAGTCCAACTCTCTTTAAGAGTACCTACTACAGATCCTTATATCTGGAAGGCACACAAAAAACTTCCAACTTCTTCCTGACTCCCTATGGGAATCCATTTCCCTGAGGTTATAAGCATGCTTCCACCTATCCTTAAAACCATCCTCCTGGATCATGAGTACAAAATGTTAACATTCAATATATTCTTCCTTATGTCTTCTGGATACTGTTAAGCACAAATTTAGTTTTTGCTGGGGAGGAAAAGGTTCAGAATTGAGTAAAAACTTCTCATTAAATCCATCTATTTGAGCATATACATGATATATATCTAACACATATTTTAAAAGTCCAGTTATACCATAGGAAGTCAGATTAAAATGTAAAGTATGGGAAAACTGTATCATTCTCATATATTTAAATATTTTGTAACATGCTGAAAGTCATATGGGAGGACTGGGTGATTCTGACACTCAATAATTGTTGACTGAATAACCACGTACATGAATGGGGGCACACAGCTTTGTAATGTGCCTTTGAAAAGCCATGTCCAGCATGATTTAAAAGGGACATGCTCCTTTTGTGGCTCAGCTGGTTCTCTCTTTCTCTGCCTAGGCCTCCCATACCGCTGCTCTTGCCACATGTTCTATGGTTTTGTATCTGGCCTGGCCTTCAAATTTATACGCCCCATCTTTCTCCATTTTCAGCCATCCAGACCTGAACACTCTCCTTAAAATTGACAATTAATTGAATCAACCGCCTTAGGCAGTAACCTCCTGCACCCTGCCCCCTCCAGTGACCTGTTTCTACGTCCCTACCCTATCTGCTCATGCAGATTATCTGTGCTTCTGCAAGTGAATGAACAAACAGTATAAATCCATAAACCAATCAGGTAAATCCCTCATCCTTCTGCCACCAAATATACAAATTTATCTGCATTTGTATTTACTTTTATTTCCCCCATTTTCTGTATCTTAGTAACTTCTTTTCTGTTGGAACAATCCCAAGGGAAAGAAAACATGCCCTAAAAGCTCATATCTTTAAAAAAATACCTTCTCCTTACCTACATTCAGGTACTGCTCCACGTCTTTGCTCCCCTTCACAGTGAAACTTCTGAAAAAAGATCTACATTCTTGGTCTCTACTTCCTTACCTTTCACCTCAAACTTTAACCCACACTAATCTACTGAAACCTCTACCACCTCACCAAGTGTCTGTGAGCCACTACATTAATACTGTTCCTCCTATTTCCCAGCCGCCGCTTCTCAGCTTCTTAAGCTTTTCCCATCCTTTCAGGTAGCACTTCCTCCAGTATGACAGATTAACAGTGCCTCATGTGGACTTCACCTGACCTTAGGGCCCATCCTGCATCCTCTTCTCTTATCACTGCTCTCTACTCGCACTGCCATGGTTTGAAGTACTATTTACATGCTACTGATCCTTAACTCTATATTTGTACTCTGATTTCTCTGCTCATCTCTCAGACTTATATCTCAATATCAACCAAACACCTCCATTTGTATATCTAATTGACATCTCAAAGTGATTATACCACAAATGGACGTATTTACTTTGCTTCCCACTCAAACTTATTGTTTCCACATTTCTTCCTCAGTAAATGGAAGAACATTCTTCCATAGACTCAAACCAAAAACAGAAGTTATGCTAAATTTCTTCCTGATTTAGCAAGTATACTTCCAAAGTATATCTAGAGTTCCATTCTCTTCTCCATCCAATTCCACGAGCGGCATGCCAGGTAAACAACCATTATCTTTGGTCTAGAGCTCGGCAAAAGTCTGGTCTTCCAGCCCTCACCAGTCCTCAAACTGTTCTCTTCACAGGCACCAGAGTAATATGTTAATCTATACCAGATTATGTCTCATCTTTGCTTAAAGACTGTTTGGGCTTTCCACTATCAGTAAAGTAAAATCTAAATTTGTTGTCAGGACAACAAAGCCCTACAGGGGTAGTTTCCACTGAGTCTCCAGCCTGTCCTCATACCAATTCCCTCTCCGACAATGCTCCAGCCACACTGATGTCTTTCAATTCTTAACACCACACAGTGCATTCTCACCTTGGAGTCTTTCTACCCACTCTCCCCTCATTTGCAATGCTCTTCCCCCAGCTCTTCATGCCTGACTCCTCATTCCACAGGTCTCAGCTCTAATGCCATCATCTCAGAGAAGCCTTCTTTGCCTACCCAATGTAAACTCCCATATCTCCTACTTCTATCCAGTTATATCTTCTATTTCTTTCCTTGAAAACATTTACCATACCCTCATACTATTTATCTGTCTAACATGTCTTTCTTTAAACCAGACTCCATGAGGGATGCAATCCTGTTTGTATTATCACTACTGTATCTCTAGCCTAGCAGAGAGCTCAGCACCTGGTAGGCAATCAAAACAGTTATTACAGAATGAATAAACAAACATGGCAAGACACTAGCTTTTTGTCCTAAATTTTATGTAAAAAATTCTGGCCTTGCTGTTTTGCTTTTTCAAAACAAAACAAAACAAAACAAAACAAAACAAAACCCACTGCAAAACACACACACAAAAACAGAAAAGCCCAGATAGAAACAATTACCCTCTGGGAACACTCTGAAATCAAAAGTAAATTATAAGCAAGCAAATTTTATCTATACCTTTTTTCTTTGGAACTTCTGATAATAACTTTACAGAAAGCTTACTCTCAATTTAAATGTGTTGATTCCAAAAAACTGGCTACCCCAAGCCATCAAACCATTTAACTTATTCTTTGAATCCTATTCTGAGTTCTGCAATTTGACCAGACTTCACATGCCAAAGGAAACATTTTGGATAGAGAACAAGGAAACTATAATGCTTAGCATTTCTCCATTATAAAGTTGGTTTCCTGAAACCAGAGGATAAGGCTAAAATCCATCATCTTCTAGAAATGACCACTCAGGTATGATAAAAAGCAGAATATGCTAAGTTTCCACTTCTCTGTCCAATTCCCAAGAATCTCACATTCTATAATAGACTTTATTTATCTTAATCTCCTTCTCATCAATAAAATGTCAGTACTAAAAAGCTGTAACAATCAGGAAGTAATTTTGAGCAATTCTGACTTTCCTGTTGAGAACTATTCTGGCCCACTAGTCACAAGGGAAAAAAACAGGGAAACTTCATAAACTCCTTCTCTTTACAATGCCAGCGTGGAGTTGCTCCAGGAGCAAGCCTTTTGGGGTTCTTGTGTGTGGTATAATGATCGGGGAAGGCAAAATGCATGAGAACAAATGGTAAATCCTTACAGTGATTTCTGTACTGACTTACCAAGTATGGCCTGAACCTTACCAAACACATTTACACATACGCATTTCCTCCACATAATGGAGGAAAGAAAGAATGAGTAGTGCATATGAGGTGGAAACAAGGCTCCCTGGATATAGGAAATCAGATACCAGATAATTTAGGGATTCAAGGAAAAAGAGGAGTAAGGAAAGCTGGCTTTCTAGCTATAATTAAGCATAATGAGTACAAAAGGGATAAAATGAAACATAGATGCTTTTGTATGTTTCAGCAGAAAAAGCTTTTATATGAAATTTCATGCATAAATTTAAAAAAATTATACACATATCAACATGCACATAAAAACAAATTTGTTTCATACTTTTAATTCTTGATAGACTTTGCTGAGAGGGACCTAGAATGGATACGCTATTAAAAATCAGTGAAAGTACACAAGAAAATATTTATTCCTCTTTCTATTTCCTCTCATTCTTTTATAGAGTCGATCTGACTGGCACTAAGGATATTTCCCAGAAAGGAATCCCCAGTAAACTATTAACCACATTATCAAAAGTCTCCTATATTAAAATTATCCCTTGTATGTAGAAGGGACAAGTTGACCCTTCCCAATCAGATTAATGACTGTATGCCACAGGACAGACTTGCTTATGTCACTAAGGGAGCTACACAAATACTAGCAATTTTAAAAGAATGATTAGTTTATATTGCTTCCATGTACCTCACCTTTTTCTTTAGATTCCAGTTGAAAACTACAGATATGAGCTGGCTTACCTATTTGTTTAACTTCTTCAGCAAAGTATGGGTCATTCAAATCAACATCAGAGGGAAGTTCCTCTTCACTGGCCTCTTCAGCAAGAGCCTTAAAAGTTGAATATAAAAATACAAAATTTCATTATTACAAGAATTATAATAAATGTATACCAAGAAAAACTATGCATTTCTTTTAAACCAAGTAGTTCAATCTAAAAGTAAATCAGTGGCCAAGCGTGGTGGCTCACGCCTGTAATCTGAGCACTTTGGGAGGCCAAGGCGGGTGGATCACGAGGTCAGGAGTTTGAGACCAGCCTGGCCAACACAGTGAAACCCCATTTCTTCTAAAAATACAAAAAAATTCGCTGGGCATGGTGGTGCATGCCTGTAGTCCCAGCTCCTCGTGAGGCTGAGGCAGGAGAATCACTTGAACCCAGGAGGAAGAGGTTGTGGTGAGCCGAGATCGTGCCACTGCACTCCAGCCTGAGCAACAGAGCGAGACTCCATCTCAAAAAAAAAAATAATTAAAAGAAAAAAAAAGTAAACCAGTTTTTAAATGGACCAGTTTATAAAACAACTCCCACCTAAGTTATTCTGTTTGTTCAACAAATAATTATAGAGGCTGGGTGCAGTGACTCATGTCTGTAATCCCAGCACTTTGAGAAGCTGAGGTGAGCAGATCACTTGAGATCAGGAGTTTGAGACCAGCCTGGCCAACAGGGTGAAACCCCATCTCTACTAAAAATACAAAAGTTAGCCAGGCATGGTGGTGGGCACCTCTAATCCCAGCTACTTGGCAGGCGAGGCAGGAGAATCGCTTGAACCCAGGAGACGGAGGTTGCAGTGAGCCAAGATGGCGCAACTGCACTCCAGTCTGGCGACAGAGCGAGACTCCGTCTCAAAACAAACAAACAAACAAAAAATATAGAATACTTAATAAATGCAGGAAACCATGTAGGCCTTTTGGGAGAAATGGAAGTTATCAGATACATGGTTTCTGCCCTCAAAAATTTTACCATCTATTAAAGGAAATCAGACACATAAACACATAAATAGACAAATACATAAATAAAAATAATTCAAGATAGGAAGGGTTAGGAGGGACAAAGTGATGCAGACATTTGAAGGAGAAGATCTGAAGGAGAAGAATACTTTTAGATGGGTGATCAGTGATGGGAGGTGGCATTTTCTCTCATAAAACTGAAAAATGATAGTGACTGAATTACTTGAAGTAGTGCACTGTGAATTATCTCTTAAATTATTAGTTACAACAATTTATTTGTTGGTTAAAGAAAAGAATTTTTATTATGAAAATCTAAAACATACACAAAAGTAGGACAATGTAATGAACCCTCTGTTCTCATCGCCCAATTTTAACAATTATCTTGTTTTATCTATAAGCCACCCCTAAAAACTGTCAGGCTATTTTTAAGTAAGTCTGTTGGTTAAATTTTTCCTAATCTAATTTGAACAGACTTTTTACTAAATTAGCAAATTTAAATAAAGCAATCAAATCTATACAATAAATAGAACACATGTGAACTAAGATCAGGCTAACCAGACTGAATTTATCTCTAGCAATCTAAAACATCTCAAGTCATTTAAACAAAAATATTTAGAATGCCATTATTGTTAAACATCCTGCATGCAAAAAGAATCACTAAAGCCCTAAAGAATATTTATTTTGACATTAATGTCCTTTTAAGAACAAGTGCTTCTGGCTTTTTTTTTTGAGACAAGAGTTTTGCTCTTGTTGCCCAGGCTGGCTTGCAGTGGCGTGACCTCAGTTCACTGCAACCTCTGACTCCCAGGTTCAAGCGATTCGCCTACCTCAGCCTCCCAAGTAGCTGGGATTACAGGCGCCTGCCACCACACCTGGCTAATTTTTTGTATTTTTAGTAGAGATGGGGTTTCACCATGTTGGGCAGGCTGGTCTTGAACTCCTAACTTTAGGTGATCCGCCTGCCTCAGCCTCCCAAAGTGCTGGGATTACAGGCGTGAACCAACACGCCTGGCCAAGAACAAGTGCTTTTTTTTTTTTTTTTGAGACGGAGTCTCACTCTGTTGCCCAGGCTGGAGTGCAATGGCACGATCTCGGCTCACTGCACGCTCCACCTCCCGGATTCATGCCATTCTCCTGTCTCAGCCTCCCAAGTAGCTGGGACCACAGGTGCCCGCCACCACGCCCAGCTAATTTTTTTGTATTTTCAGTAGAGACGGGGTTTCACTGTGTTAGCCAGGATGGTCTTGATCTCCTGACCTTGTGATCCGCCCGCCTCGGCCTCCCAAAGTACTGGGTTTACAAGCATGAGCCACCGCACCCAGCCAGAACAAGCGCTTCTAAGAATTTTTTTTTTTTTTTACCAAACTATTTTATGGATTCAGCAGTAACATACTTTTAACAAAGAATATTTGCTATGTACCTACTCAACACATTTCTTTAACTGCTTTATAGATCTCAACAACAGCTAGATCAAAATACTAGATAACACGGCATATATCAGGTATTCATTTCTTCAGTAATAATTTTTCAGTATCAAAATTGAAACCACTGAGGAACAAATGGGCAAAAATATTTTTAACTTGAAGAAAATTCTTGAAACTCTTCTATATACAAAGAACCTGTGGAGTTGGAAAGGATCTGTTGGAGTCAAGGCCGGTACTGAGTACTGTAGGGTCTAGAACACCCTGGACACTCAACAATGTATTTTGAATGCTGCTGACCAACGAGTCCAGACTTAGCCCAAATGAATGGAAAAAGTAAAAGCACAAACTCGAAGCTCCCAGCAAATGAAAATCAAACTGAATAGCTGCTACAATTCTCAGAATGACTACTTTATTGACCCCATGAGGGCCCACTTGAGACATCTCCAATAAACTGATAGCTTAACACTTGTGGAGTTATTTCATTTATAAGATATTTTACTCACTTTGGGAGGCCGAGGCGGGAGGATCATGAGGTCAGGAGATTGAGACTATCCTGGCTAACATGGTGAAACCCCGCCTCTACTAAAAATACAACAAAATTAGCCGGGTGTGGTGGCGGGCGCCTGTAGTCCCAGCTACTCGGGAGGCTGAGGCAGGAGAATGGTGTGAACCCGGGAGGTGGAGCTTGCAGTGAGCCGAGATCAGGCCACTGGACTCCAGCCTGGGCGACAGAGCGAGACTCGGTCTCAAAAAAAAAAAAAAAAAAAAAAAGA
The DNA here is from genome assembly GCF_000001405.40 of Homo sapiens. NCBI lineage: Eukaryota > Metazoa > Chordata > Mammalia > Primates > Hominidae > Homo > Homo sapiens. The sequence goes on from NC_000020.11 coordinate 13,731,557, forward strand.
TATTTTACTGCCTACTGAGTTTGAAAAGGAGTTCTAGGGAAGAAGAGAGTTAGTTAGCACATCAATGGGAGCAGGGCTCTTACCCCACGTGGTGTTACATATATATTATTTTCATACATGGTTTCTGGCTCATAAGTTCCTTAGCCCTTGCTATAGTCTTTTGTGTTCGGTCTTAAGGGCAGGACTGTACTCTTCCCTCACCTTTCTAATTGTGCATCTTAAGACCTTCCCCAGAGAGGGTCCTGCCCTGTAGTTGTGGGGAAGGAATGCTGGCATCATGAAGCTTCCATAAAAACCCGAGAAACGAGTTCACAGAGCTTCTGGATAGCTGGACACATGGAGGTTCCTGGAGGGTGGAGCGCCCAGGGAGGCATGGAAGCTCCACAGCCCTTCCCCCATACCTTACCCTATTTCCTCTGTATCCTTTGTAATATCCTTTATGATAAACCAGCAAATGTGTGTAAATGTTTCCCTAAGGTCTGTGGCCACTCCAGCAAATTAATTGAACCTAAAGAGGGGGTCGTGGGAACCCCAACTTGAAGCCAGTCAATCAGAAGTTCTGGATGTCCAGACTTCAGACTGGTGTCTGAAAGGGTGGAGGCAGTCTTGGGGACCGAGCCCCCAATCTATGGGATCTGACACTATCTCCAGGTAGTGTTGGAATTGGAGGTCACCCAGCCGGTGTCCACTGGTTAGTGTGTGGAGAAAACTCCCTACCCATTTGGTCACAGAAGTCTTCTTCTGTGTTGATAGTTGTAGTGTGACAGCAGAGGAAAAACAAAGTCAGAAAGAGTTTTTCCCAAAACACCCAATTTCTCCATTTTACTATCCATTTCCACAAACACTGACTACAATAGAAGTATAAAAATTACTCCACTGCATCATTCAGCTTTGCATCTCTCTACCCGTCACAGCACTAAAAGTCAAAGCTATACCAAAAGCATTATAAGAACACACAGTATAGAAACAGTATAGTGGGGAACAGAAGAAAGAACACTGGTCTGAGTAACTGTGGATTCTGGTCTCAGCTTGGCCACTGGTATGCTATGTAACCTCAGACTAATCAGCTAATTTTTTTTACAACTATAAAACAGGGCTGGACTAGAATTAATAATTTTAAGATTCCCCAAGCTGCAAAATTTTGTCATTATCAGTAATAACGCTCTAAGGCACACCACTTCCAGAATGCTGCATTTCAGTCACAAGAGCACTTTTAGTGGCAAAAACCTAAGTGATCTGTACTATTACTGAGGACTCTGGAAAACTCTGGAAAAGATGCTATTCCCTGAACAACATGAGTCAAATCATATTGTCCACAGAAACCACATTAACACAGAGGAAATACTCTTATTTATTTATTTATTTATTTATTTATTTATTTATTTATTGAGACAGAGTCTTGCCCTGTCGCCCAGGCTGGAGTGCAGTGGCACGATCTTGACTCACTGTACCTCTGCCTCCTGGGTTCAAGCGATTCTCCTAATTCAGCCTCCCAAGTAGCTGGGATTACAGGTGCGCGCCACCACATCCACCTAATTTTTGCATTTTTAGTAGAGGCAGGGTTTCGCCATGTTGGCCAAGCTGGTCTTGAATTCCTGACCTCAGGTGATCCACCTGCCTTGGCCTCCCAAAGTGCACGGATTACAGGCATAAGCCACCACACCCAGCCAGGAAATACTCTTGATAAAGGAATTTAATGACAATAAGGTGACAGATGAGCCATAAGATAATACTGTAAGGTGAAAATGCAGGTTGACAGATGGAAAGTATGGCATAATTTCACTCATGTTAAAAACCTCTATGTGCATATATCCTCAAGGAAAAATGTCTGTATGTACCTCTTTTGCTCAGAAACACAGAACAGAATCATACTGCTTATATCTAGATATTAACTATGTGTTTTACGTAGGTGGCATGTAAATGTAAAATGTCAGAATGCAGCAGTTGAAGTGGCTCTGGACTGTGACCAGGCTTTGTACACCATTATGTGGCCATGATGAAAAAACTTTCTGCATTCTCACTTTCCTCTTTCTTAAAATTGGGATGATAACAAGGCCTACTTCAGTGAGTGGTTACATTTTGAGATAATGGATTCCAAGCACCTGGTACCATCTGATATATGGTTGGTATTCAACAAACATTTGGTCATAATTATCAATGATACCTTCTGTTTCCTTTTCAGTCTTTTTTTCTCTTTCTTCTTCTCTAAAAATTGTTCCCAAGGGGTCAGTTTATCCTTTCCTTCCAATTTGTTTTTGACCATCTCTTCTGCACTTTCTTTAAGACCTGAGGAAAAATCCAAATAGTTTAGCTTAAAATGTCTTATTGTCTGGCAATCACTTAAACATATAATTTATAAAGACAAATATAATTTATGCATATTTAATAGAGTAACAAAGATAACATGCAATGGTAAATATCTGTAATACCCCAATATCATACAGTGACATAGGACCAACTTCTATAAAAGTTATTTCCTAATAACAAACAACAATAACCTAACCAAACAAAATCAAAACAAACCAACAAACAAACCTAGCAACTTGATACATGGTCAAGCCACTAAAGAAAAATACTGTATTTAGGCTCAGCCTTCATTTCTCTAAACTTTTCTGTTTTGAGATGCTAAGAAAACTTCTGAACTAATTCTTCTCAGGATACTAATTAATTTTTGTAGCAAAAGACAAGTGGCTTTTCTTGTCTTTAATTATCCCCACTTGCTTCTGTCATCCAAGTGAAAGCCTATGTTCTCTGCAAACTACAGGTTTTGAACAAAAATTGTTTAGTAAGGAATCCCTGTTGAAATATCCCATGAGCAAAGGATTCTCAATCTTTTCTCAAGCATTCTGTGAGGCCTCATAGAAAAGATCAGAAGGACCACCAAGTTCAGATTCCATTTCATCATATGGTTTAGCTCTTTCAATGCTGCTATTTGCTCTTATATTTCATCTCAAAAGGTCTTTCTTCCTATAGTCTGCTGTTCCCGATTCACGTTTCTAGGTATCTTATGCAATAACTAGAGGGGGTAACAAGGTGGGAGAAAAAGCCCTAAGGCTGATCTATCCATTTACAAAGACCCTCATTATTGCCAAAGTAAAGGAAATGTAAATACTGTGCTGTCCCCTTTGATAATAAAGATGTTTTTTATTTTGTAGTAGTGTTTAGAGGACATAGTTGGGTGGATCTTTAAATATTTAGATGACACAAAATTCATTAAAAAAAGAGACATCATCAAACCAGATCATCTTCTCAGATACATTCTAAATTCTAAGAAAGTAGAAACGATACTAAATACAGTTCTCTTTTGTTGATGAGTATATACAGACTGAGAACATTTAGCAATTTGTCTAAGAACATGGAGGTAGGAAGCTGCACAGCTAAATTTTGAATTCCTGGTCATCCTCTCTTCTATTATCAGATACATCTAAAATGCTAGTTTGACCTACAGAATGAAGAAATATATGGCCCAAGAATAAAATCTAAAACTTTGGGCCTCTGGTTCCTTATCTGCAAAATGAATGGTTTAGATCAGAAGTATGCAACCCTTTCCTCCCACGTGCACTGATTTCCCCCCCTCAAAACATTTGGTAAAAGTAAAAATATATAAAACAACTAAAAACACTGCTTTTGGGCCTTGAGCTTCAACCAACAGTTTGAAACAGCTGAAACAGATCTCTAAGACCTTCCTTGGTTTTTAACCCAAGAATTAATCTCCAAATTTCTATAGCTTAGAAAAGTATTAATGTTAACCTATATGCACACTCAAGGTAACACAGATTTGTTTTTATGACATACTGCTGTTAGGATCTCTAACTTACAGGATGCCAAATCAGAACACAATTCTCAATTCAAAAATGTTTCTTATGAGAAAAACATAATTCATTTAGTAAACAGTTTTCAGGAGAAATGTGTAATATAAAACCATGTTTAGATCTCTGATTCAACAGATAAACAGCACCTAAGAAATGTAAACTGGGATGTTCATTTGAGAGAAAGCAGCAAATTCTGATAAAACAAGTTGATTTCAAAGAACAAAATAATTTATGTATTCTGCCCATAGGTCAGCACACAATCAGTTCAGTCTAAAATTTTAAATGTACAGTGTTGTATTATTACATGATGTTTAAATAATACTCTTTGAAGTATTCTACTATAATTTCCTCATGCATTAAGATTGTATTACTTCAAAATACTAAACTAATATAGAAATTTTTTCACCAAAAAAGTTATTTTCTGATTTTGATCCAAGCTCTACTTCTGAATCACCATGATGCTAAGGAGGGTTCTATGTTGTTGTCTCTTAGGTGACTAGAGGACTGGGTTGATGTGTCTCAACCTTTTTTGGAGGGATGGATAGCATGAGATTTTGATAAAAGTTATGGACTCTAACACTGTACTGGAAAAACTTGCATCCAATGTTCAGGAGGTTTATGACTATCCAAAGATCATCTCTGTGTAATGATCCAAGAGCTTAAGGTAAAGAACATTTATAGGAGCTGAAGAGGTCTAGCCTGGGGGAAGATGAAAGTCCATTCCTGTAACTTTGAAGCTTAACAGCATTGACATTTGTAGGTTCTACATCAGGTTTTCTCAATTTCAGTATTATTGTTATTTTGGACCAGATAATTCTTTGTTGTGACGGGCTATCCTGTGCACTGGAAGTTATTCAGCAATATCTCTGGTTATCCACTAGATGCTAGTAACTCCAGGTGTAATAATAAAAAATGTCTCCAGACATTGCCAAATATCCTCTTGGGGGGCAAAATTACCTCTAGCTAAGAATCACTGTTCTAGACAATCATTAAAAATCATTTCTAAAAAAAAGGGCTATGTCAATATTTGAACCACATAAGTGATGGTATTTTACTTGGTGCTTGATTATATGTCTTCCCAATTTATAAGTTTCATCTGAGCAGTCCTTTCTTCTAACTAGACCAAAAGCAGCTTAAAGTCACCTTCTTTAGTATTTCATAATATTTAGCATAGTGCCAGACACATAGTAAATACTTAATAAACACTTAATTGATCTGTCTTAAAGGAGGGATTCTTATTTCAAGCCATCTGTTTGATCTTTCATGTTTGGAACATATTCTCTCTAACAGAAAATGAATCAAAACTTTAGGATCGAAATAAATGGCCTTGATCCTCAAGTGGTTCATGTGGTTAAAAACAAAAAAGAAAAGGACCTATAACTCTAAAATAATTCGTGAAATGTTTATTCTTAGGAAATAATATTTTTCTGGTACTTTGTTTACAACAATAAAGAAACAGTATCTTCAGTTTAATACAGTCTGTAATTTTTTTTTGCCTGGCTCTCACTTAATACACCCAAATAGCAGCATAAGAAACACATTGCAATGAATTCACACACCACCATGATAACTTAAAAAATGCTTTGTTCTTGTTGTCATCATGAGGTCATTTAAATCTCTTGCCACAGATCACAGCTGTTTATGTTCTAAGTTCTTAAAAATATGCCCATCCCAGAAGCCTCTTGGCATAAGTACGAGAACATTCTTCAGAGACAGTTTTAGCCTCTGAGAGCAGCCACTATGTGACTGAAAAACAACTTCATTGTAACTGCTTTTAGTTTTGCACAAATTTGTTTAAAAAATTTTAAGTGCATATCCAAGGACTTCTGAATTAGTTAAAAATAACATCAATAATCCTACAAATAAGGGGCAAAAACATCTTTCACAGCCAACCACAAACATAGATGACTCAATTATGACAATAATAATTTAAGCACAATCCATTCAGAATTATTCTGGCAGTTTGCATACATATAAAAATATTTTTAAATATCCTTGCAAAACACACAAAAATAAGAGTATACATTCTGCCTACCTTATTCATTTGAAATATCTGAAAAGTCTTCAAAGGGCAGGAGATGAACAACTTAAAATAACTCCACTAGGTACTATAATCGGCTTTGGTTATAAAAACAAAATGTATATTTAAACATTTCTGATATAGGCTGAAACCAGCACTCTTTATTTAAACCTGACTCTGTAACACTCAATTCCAAAAGTAGCTTTTAAAATCTAACCAGCCACCACCACTGCCACCAAAACTTCAAATTTGGAATCCACTCTGAGTATAAGGCTTTTTTTTTGAGACAGAGTCTTGCTCTGTCACCCAGGCTGGAGTGCAATGGTGCAATCTCTGCTCACTGCAACCTCCGCCTCCCAGATGCAAGCGATTTTCCTGCCTCAGCCTCCCTAGTAGCTAGGATTACAGGCGCACGCCACCATGCCAGACTAATTTTTTCTGTATTTTTAGTAGAGACAGGGTTCGCCATGTTGGCCAGGCTGGTCTTGAACTCCTGACCTCAGGTGATCCGCCCACCTCGGCTTCCCAAAGTGCTAGGATTACAGGCATGAGCCACCACACTTGGCCGAACAGAGTATAAGGATTTTTAGAGGAAAACCACTGGCCATGCCCTGAGGAACAGTGTCATCAAAGACACTCCTTCAAACTCTCCACCCCAATGGTGTAGGGAGAAGGAAGGACACATTCACTCACATAACAGGGGTCACAGGATATTTGGTCCAGATAAGTAAACGGGATCTTTGCCAGGGCCATTTTTTCCTCCTTGGTAAAGTAGGGTGACTATGTGCATAGGATATCCTTAAAGCATATTGGATAAGCCAAGTGATCAATCTTTCAAATAAAACATATGAAGATCTGAAGGGTTTTGAACTTGGTTCAGGATCTTACAATTTCTTGTATGAACTTCTGTAAATCCCTCTCTCCTAAACTTTTTTTTTTTTTTGAGACAGGGTCTTGCTGTGTTGCCCAGGCTGGAGTGCAGTAGTGCAATCACAGCTCACTGCAGCCTAGATGTCCCAGGCTCAAGCAATCTTCCCACCTCAGCCTCCTGAGTAGTGGGACCACAGGTGTGCATCACCATACCCAGCTAATTTATTTTACTTTTTATAGAGACGTAAGTCTCACTATGTTGCCCAGGCTAGTCTTGAACTCCTGGGCTCAAATGATCCTCCTGCTTCAGCCTCCCAAAGTGCTGGGATTACGGTCATGAGCCACCGTGCCCAGCCTCTCCTAAACTCTTACAGTACTATGGTCTTTTATTCTCTAGCATTTGTCACAGTTGGAATTATATATTCATTTGTGGAATTGTAAAAATTATTATTAATGGGTATCTCTCTTAACAGGTTGCAAGCTCCATGAGGGCAAAGGTCATAGCCTGTTTTTCTCTTGCTGGTAACTCTAGCGGCCAGTGAAAGGTGTGACATACAGCACGCACCTTATAAATGTCTGCTGAATAAAGAAGCAAATAAAAGAAAAAAATGAGTCAAATTTGTTCCCAACCTTACAGACTAGGAACAACAATGCTTAAAATTAAAAAGTAAAATAACTAGCCTTGTGAACAATAGTAAATAGCAAAAATGACCAATCAGGCAGAGCCAACAAATACTCTTTGGGTGCACTTAACACTATGAGAATAGTGTTATACAGAAACACAGTCATAAGGATAATAAGGATGAGGGTACAGGAAGCTGCTTAGATAGGCAATTGCTTCTTATATAACCCTCAATTCTATATCTTCCAAAACATTCAGTGAAGCATCCATAGAAAATATGCCCAAAGTATGTGATCAATGAACACGTTTTTTTTTGTTGCTGATTGTCTAAAAGCTATTTAACTGGGTAGAAATTGCTTTACATTTGTCTTGAATTTGAGCTTATCATACTCTTCTTCCAAATCGCCTTTTACTCTCCCTTGAAATGATGTCTTCCACTTACAATCATATTTAGTTTACTGTAAATCAAGCTGCCCCTGCTTCTTAGAATCAAATATTCTTAAAAGCTAACTTCAAATACAAAACAACATTTGGGCCTCATTAGGGAGCTATTGTTTCCTGTATTTGCCTGTACTTTATTTGTATGTTTTCTTTGTCTTTCAAGTAGTTTGTAATCACAATGTACACAATATCAAGCTATCCTAGTACTGATAAACTAAAATTCTGGCCAAGTCTGGTGAAGTCATTCTGCTAATTAGTTTACGGCAAAGAAGACTGAAGAACTACTTGTTCTATTGTTATTTTTATACATGTTTATGGACAAGGTCAAAAATAAATGAAAACTTTTAGATGTAAGAAAACAAAAGGAATTTCTTGGAATCCAGTCACAGTAAGAAAGTTCAAAAAAAAAAAAAAAAGAAAGCTCAAACGGAAATATCAAACTAGATTAGAAGCAAGGAGTTTTCCTTGGGGACAAACACTGATCTGCTATGGTCTTATATGGATCTTTGGTTGTAATGGGTTGCTGGCCAAGAAGCCAGCACACAGAGTTTGAAGCCTGATCACGGTGGGAGGTCCCAGCAGAGACCACTACATTAAGCCAAGATGCTTAAGGGTGCTCTCAGTGGGTGATGTCCCTTCCCCCACAAATCAGAGAGAACACATGCCTGTTTGGGCTTTGGTTATGGGCAGAAAGAGGGAAGTAAAAATACATTTTTCCCCCATAGATTTATAACCACAAACCCCTGGGTTTGTGGCTGGAATTCACACTACTTGTGTGGCCCAAAATAATCCAATCCAAAAACTCAGCTTCAATTGGTGTTGGATTGGAAGTGCCCTCAGGCATCTGGCAAATATTTTTTAAAAGAAGTACTTTTGACACAGGCTTCTGCAATTCCCTTAGGTAAAGAAAGATTCAAGAACAATGAGATCACAATCAAACTTCACAGAAACAAACTATAAGAACCATAAAGACTATGAATATTGGAATTATCAGATACAAAATATATATCAGCACTTTTAAAAAACAAAAGAAGAAATTAAAAGATCAGACTAACAAAAGGATAAGACTAGAAAAAAAATAAACAGCACACTAGACAGAGGTAAAGAAAGAATTAATGAACTGAAAAACAAAAGTGAAGAAATTACCCAGCACGTTGTAGAGATTCAAAGGGATGGAAAATATGAGTTATCAGATTCAGAGTTAGAATGTACTACACATATTAAACAGGATTTCCAGAAGGAGAAAACAGAGAAGATTGGGAAAATGTAATATTCTAAGAGAAAATGGTGGAAAAGTTTTCAGAACTAACAAAAGATGATAATCTTCAGTATTTTGGGTATTTAATTCCAAGCAAGATTAAAGCTAACAAGCAAAAAATGACCTACATCAGAGTGCAACTCTAGAACACCTAAAATATGTTAAAAGCCAGGTACCCAAGACAACACTGTAGAGCAAGACCACATCTCTCCTGACAGGATTCAAAAGTGGGCCCTGAGGTATTAAAATACTTGTTCTTTAGTCACACTGGCTTCCTGACTTGCACAGGAGTCAAGAGGAAGTCTTGTGAGCTCACAGTAAAATTGCCCCTTCCCAGAAAGAGGCTAAGACGGGGACTGGCTTGGTGCATCCAAGATAATAGCCAATACCCTTCCCTCCCTAATCCTCAATATTCACAGCCTCACTATCACAATCTGCCCCCAGGAATCATCCCACCAGGAATAATCTATTTATGCCTTTTCTCCCTATTCATTTTGGTCACTGCAAAAAGCCCCTAATCATCTTGTCCCCCTAATATCCCATGTTCTCATCCCCAGAAGGTAACAATACATCAATTCTTCTGCCCCATTCCCTGCCAACTCTCTATCACTAAATTCTGTGGAACTCACAGTACATCATCAGCAGAATCTCATTATATCTCTGAGCATTTTCTTTATCTTGTTCTAACTGAAACCTGGCTCTCCACCAAGGATACCACATACTACAGTCCTTTCAATTGTTGCTTTTGGTTTGCATTTTAGTTCATTTTCTTCACAGAACCCCCATACAAGCTGGCCTACAGGTGGGCTAGATGTGGTGGTCGTTAATGTTCTTCATCCAGTTTTCTGAAGTGTGGTACTGGTCTAGGGATAGGCAGACGAACTGACCAGTAAAACACAGAGCCAAGCAACAAACCCACAGTTCTGAAACTCTGGTACATGAGAGGTGACATGTCACATTACTAGAGGAAAGGAGAGATTATTCAACAAATGGAACAAGATAAAAAAGATTTTCTATATGGCACAAGATAAAATCAGGTCCCTACCTCATATTAAAAAAAACAACTCAAGGACTTAAATGTCCCAAACCTTACATCTTTTAGTAAAAAATCAAAGGGAACATTCTTCTCATCTGGACAAAAAAGAGTTTCTTAGATAAAACAGCAAATATTAACTATAAAAGATAAATCTGACAATATTAAAATCAAGTATTCTTGTTCATTAGATGACAGAAGAAAGTGGGAGAAGAGAGGAATTACAAATTAGAAGATATTAGCTGTCTTATACAAGACAAAGGATCAGTATCAGAAGTAAATAAAGAGCTGCTAAAAGCCAACAGGAAAAGCACAAACAGTACAACAGAAAAATGGCCAAAAAACATCTATTAGTATTTCACAGAGAAGGAAACACATGTTCAATCTCATTGGTGACAAGAGAAATGCAAATCAAGTACTGCTGGTGGAAATGTCAAGTAATATCACCACCCTTATAAAGTTCAACATTCATGGTCAGGTGTGGTGACTCATGCCTATAATCCCAGCACTTTGGGAGGCCAATACGGGTGGATTACCTGAGGTCAGGAGTTCGAGACCAGCGTGGCCAATGTGACGAAACCCTGTCTCTACTAAAAATACAAAAAATTAGCCGGGTGTGGTGGTGGACGCCTGTAATCCCAGCTACTTGGGAGTTTGAGACCAGTCTGGCCAACATGGCAAAACCCCGTCTCTACTAAAAATACAAAAAAACTAGCTGGGTGTGGTAGTGAGTGACTGTAATCCCAGCTACTTGGGAGGCTGAGGCAGGAGAATTGCTTGAACCCAGGAGATGGAGGTTGCAGTGCTGAGATCACGCCATTGCACTCCAGCCTGGGCAACAGAGTGAGACTCTGTCTCAAAAAGAAAAAAAAAAAGTTCAACATTCATATACCTTATGACTCAGCAATTATACTCCTAACACAAATACCCAGAAAAACTTAAACGTGTACTAGGGGACATGCATAGAAATGTTCCTAATGGCATGATTCATCATAGTAACACCTAAGAACAACTGAAATGTGACAGGAGTATGAATATACAAACTATAGTATAGAAGTTAAATGGATGACCTACAGCTACACAAAATAAATCTTAGCAATATAATATTAAGTGAAAAAAAAATCAGTCCCAAAATGATTTAAAAGTATCCCAAACACACCCACACTTCCTCCCACATTAACAAAGTTAACAACTTTAATATCACAGATATGTGCAAATACCACCACAATTTTAGAACATTTTCATCTCTTCAAAAAGAAACCCTGTTCCCGCCCTCCCTCCTGTGGCAACCACTAGCCTACTTTCTGTCTCTATAGATTTCCCTGTTCTGGATACTTTTGATAAAATATGTGGTCTTGTTGACCATCTTCTTTCACTTAGCGTAGTATTTTCAAGGTTCATCTATGTTGTAGCATGTATCAGCACTTCATTCCTTTTTATGTACCCATTATCTCTTAAGAATATTTATAAGTTATATAAAACTATATACAATGTTCCAAAGAAGACATACAAATGGCCAACAGGTATATGAAAAGGTGCTCAACATCACGAGTATCAGAGATGCAAATCAAAACCATGATGAGGTATTACCTCACACTTGCTAGGATGGGTATTTTAAAAATGACAAGAGATAACAAATGCTGGTGAGGGTGTGTACACGGTTGGTGGGATTATAAATTGGTACAGCTATTATGGAAAACAGCATGGAGGTTCCTCAAAAACTTACAAACAGAACTACCATAAGATCCAGCAATCCCACTTCTGGGTATATATCCAAAGGAAATGAAATCAGTATCTTGAAGAGACATCTGAACCCCTATGTTCATTGCAGCATTATTCGCAATAACCAAGATAGGGAAACAACCTAAGTGTCCATCAGCAGATGAATTAATAAAGAAATAGTGGTACATATATACAACAAAATATTATTCAGCCACAAAAAAGAAAATCCTGCCATTTGTGACAACACAGATGATCCTAGAGAACATATTATGTTCGGTGAAGGCAGACACAGAAAGATAAATACCTAGTAGAGTTCATTTATATGTGGAATCTAAAAAAGTCAAACTCAGAAGCAAAGAGTAAAACAATGGTTGCCAAGGGCTTTAGGGTGGGGAAAATAGGGAGATGGTCAAAAAATAGGAATGTTCAGTCACAAGATGAATAAGTTCTGGGATCTAGCGTACAGAATGGGTGGTGATGGATGTGTTAATATCACGTAGTAATCATTACACAATGAATATGTATATTAAATCATCACACTGTATAGCTTAAATATATTCAATCTTTGTCAATTAAATATTTTTAAAAAACTATATACAATGGAAAGTAAATGAATAAATACTGAAATCTGGATAATGGTTTCCTCAAGTATGGAGTGGCAGGGGAGGATCAAACAGGTAAATATAAGTTATTGCAAGGTTCTAGCTTTCGTAGTGGGTGGTGGGTTCACTTATTCATTATAACAAACAAACAAACCAATCAATAAAAAGAGGCCCATGCCGGACCATTGATGAGAGACTGTCTTAATCTATAGATTATGATTACTCCAATTATGTACACCAGAGATACTTAAAAATAAAGAGGTTAAGTTTAATGAATTTGACCATATCACACTTCTGTTCTTCAAAAGACACTATAAAGAAAGTAAAATCACAAACCAGGAAGAGACACCTGTAAAACACATTACTGATAAAAGACCAGCCCAGAATATATGAAGAACTCCTAGGAATCAGAATCAATAAGACAAAGAATACATGAATAGACATTCTACATATGAGGAAAAACAAACTGTTCCTCCTCATTAGTAACCAGGGAAATGCCTAAGTATTTCTTTAAAAACTGAAGTCAGGTGACATCATCTCCATTTCCCATCTCACACAGGGTGAAAGCTAAAGTCCACCCAGAGATGTAGAAAACCCTTTGTGATTTGGCTGCCTCTCTGACCTCATCTTCTGCTTTCCATACCCTGGCTAACTGTGTTCCAGCCACACTGGCCTCCTTATTATTCTTGGACACATCAGTAATGTTTCCCCCTCAGGGCGTTTGCATTTGTTGTTTCCTCTCCCTGAAATGCTCTTTCCTAGGATAACACATGGTGACTACTGTCATTTCCATTAGGTCTTTGCTGAAGTGTCACTGTAGCAGTGAAGCCTTCCCTGACTATCCAGTTTAAATTGCTACTCATTCCCAACCATAAACTTCCTATTCCCCATGTAGGCTTTAGGCTTTTGTTTCCACAAGCTTTAATCACCACCTGAGATTGCATATATTTTGCCTATTTGTTTACTAACTTCTCTCCCTCCCCAGGCCACACACAATAGACTGCAGAGCCCATTGAAGGCCTGGACCTTTGTCTATTCTGTTCAATACTCTATGACAAGAACAGAGTCTGGTATACAGTAGGAACTCTCAATATCTGGGAATACACATACTAAAACCATGAGACACCATTACTTATGTACTCAAATGGCAAAAATGAAAAAGCCTGATAATATCAGTTAAAGGTAACGATAAAGAGCTATGGGAACTCACACTACTGGTGAGAGTATAAGATGGCACAAGCATTTGGGAAAACACATGACCTAGTAGAGGTAATTACGAGCATGTTACAACCAAGAAATTCTACATGTATCCAAGAAATTCCATGCGTATCTTCGTGATACATCCAAGAATATTCACAAAGGCACTGTTTCATAACAGAAATAAAGTATAATAATGAGCAATAGAACAGATACATTGTGATAAGTTATACAATGGAATTCTCTGTAGCCATGAAAATGAATGAACCATATACACATATATGGATATGGCTAACTCTCAAAAATAGAATGTTTAATTTTATTTTTTACTTTTTAGAGATGGAGTCTCGCTCTGTGGCCCAGGCTAGAGTGTAACGGTAAGATTTTGGCTCACTGCAACCTCCCCTTCCCGGGTTCAAGCGGTTCTCCTGCCTCAGCCTTCCAAGTAGCTGGGATTATAGGCACCTGCCACCACACCCAGCTAACTTGTATTTTTTTAGTAAAGACGGAGTTTCACCATGTTGGCCAGGATGGTCTCAAACTCCTGACCTCAGGTGATCTGCCCACCTCAGCCTCCCAAAGTGCTGGGATTACAGGCATGAGCTACCATGCCTGGCCCAGAATGTTTACTTTTTAAAAAGGCAAATGACAAGAATACACAGAGGATGCTTTTATAAAGTTCAAAATTAACAAAACTACAAAATAGACTATTAGGAATAGATGTATCTGCGGTAAAACTATATAGAAAAGAAAAAGAATGACTAATACATAACTGGGAAGTCACACAGAGGACTGCAGACACTGGTAATGTCTGTGGCTGTATGTGTTCATTTTATTTTTATTATTTGACACAGAGTCTCGCTCTGTCACCCAGACTGGAATGTAGTAGCATGTGATCTCAGATCACTGCAACCTCCACCTCCTGGGCTCAAGAGATTCTCAAGCCTCAGCCACCCAAGTAGCTGGGATTATAGGTGTGTGCCACCATGCCTGGCTAACTTCTGTATTTTTATTAGAGATGGGGTTTCACCATATTGGCCAGGCTGGTCTTGAACTCTTGGCCTCAAGTGATCTGCCTGTCTTGGCCTCCCAAAGTGTTGGGATTACAGTTGTGAGCCACCATGCCCAGCCCATTTTATTTTTCTTTAAACTGTAAATACACACTTTAATATATAAATATATACACACATAGTATTTCTTTAATCTATGACTTTTTCCCCACAATGAAGTATAAGCATTTTTTAAAAGACAGTAAAAGAATGTTCACCCTTTGACAACTGTGTGCTAAACAGCTTTCACCTGCCTCTTTGTCAGTTACTCCCCATCAAAATGATAACTTAAACCTAAATTTTCTGACTTTGAGGCCTCTATGCTCTTTCTGTAATCACAATAAACTGTTAATGCTATCCCAAATTTCATTATAAGCAGGCCCTACAGACTGCATTTGAAAAATCCACCTGTAAACTGGTGGCTTGACATTCAAGGGTGCCTAATCATTTTCTTCCCTGGAAGAGTTTCCTGTCCACAGAAGCTATGAATATAGAAGGATATACTGAGGCTGGGGTACAACCTAAACAGCATTTCTAAGTCAATTTCAAACACTTCTTTGTTATAAAAAACAGAAATCATAAACATTTCAACTTCCCTAGCATTCCAATATTTAAAAACATTTATAACAGTCACAACTAAATTCAAACTTGATTTTTCTTCTTGCAATCTAAATATTTTCTTCCATATTTATTAGGGTGAGTTTATATAAGTTAACCATAATTCCTCTACTTTTAAAAAGACTTTCCAAATAACTACTAAGAAAGCAGTACCTTCCCAACCATTTTCCTACATGGTAGACACAATGACAATGTTTGTACAGCAAGATAGAGAAAACGGAGGAAGCAACCAGAGAAGAAAACAGCCTAGGGGCTCTGGTGGGCCTAAGGATGAAAGGGATCAAGATTGTGGCTAATTTGTCATCCACTGGTGGTACGCTGGTTGGGAATCCTTGAAACAGAGTAATCCTTTAAGGTTTACTCTTTCAACTTTTGTATTTGTAATTAACTGGCTACTTCATTGGCAGTGTCCTTTATGCAGTATTTGAAAGAGTATACCAGAGAAAAATGAGTTGTATATTAAAAAAAAAAAAAACAGGGCTGGGCATGGTGGCTTATGTCTGTAATCCTAGCATTTTGAGAGGCTGAGGCAGGCGGATCACGAGGTCAAGAGATAGAGACCACCCTGGCCAACACGGTGAAACCCCGTCTCTACTAAAAATACAAAAATTAGCTGGGCGTGGTGGTGCACACCTGTAGTCCCAGCTACTCGTGAGGCAGAGGCAGAGGCAGGAGAACTGCTTGAACCCGGGAGGTGGAGGTTGCAGTGAGCCGAGATGGCACCACTGCACTGCAGCCTGCCGAGATGGCACCACTGCACTGCAGCCTGCCGACAGAGCGAGACTCAGTCTCGAAAAAAAAAAAAAGAGAGAGAAAATATAGAATGAGGGTAATAGAGAATCAAAATAATATTAACATTTAGGACTTCAATAGTCACATGTCAGCTAATGATGGAACACTTTCTGAGAAATGTGTAGGCATTTTATTGTTGTGCAAACATTAAAATAGAGTATACTTACATAAACCTAGATGGTGTGTAGCTTACCACACACCTAGGCTAATGTTAAGACCTTTTTATCATTGTGTGAACATCGTAATAGAGTATACTTATACAAACCTAGATGTTATAGCTTATTACACACCTAGGTTACATGGTATGACCTATTGCTCCTAGGCTACAAACCTGTACAGCATGTTACTATACTGAATGCTGTAGGCAATTGTAACACAATAGTAGTATTTGTGTATCTAAACATAAAAAAGGCAATGTGTTGTGCAAAAATATGACAGCACTAGTTGATAAGAACTTTTCAGCTGCACTATAACTCTTATGGGACCACTGTTGTGTATGCAGTCCACTGTTGACTGAAATGTCGTTATACAGGGTATGACTGCATTTTCCATAGCTTGCCTTATAAAGCTCTATTTCTATTCTTGTCAGTTCTCTGATGACAGAATCTACAAAAAATCTGTGACAGTTCTTCTGTCTCCTAGTTTTGTGATCTTAAGCAAGTCTATGCTTCAGTTTTTCTCTCCTGCAAATGGGGTACTAACCACCTTGAAGAACTTAATGTAGTATTGTGTGTGAAGCATCTAGAATAGTTCCTGATACAGCACAAGCATCCAATAAGTGCAAACTTCCCCTTCCTCCCTCAAAGGATATATATACACATATATATACATATACACATATATATACACATATATACATATATATACATATATACACATATATACACATATACACATATATATACATATATACACATATATATACACATATATATATACACATATATATGTGTGTGTATATATATATATATATGTGTGTGTGTATATATATATATATATATTTTTTTTTTTTTGAGATGGAGTGTTGCTCTGTTCCCCAGGCTGGAGTGCAGTGGCGCGATCTTGGCTCACTGCAACCTCCACTCCGAGGTTCACGCCATTCTGCTGCCTCAGCCTCCTGAGTAGCTGGGACTACAGGCACCCGCCACTAGGCCGGCTAATTTTTTTTGTATTTTTTAGTAGAGACAGGGTTTCACGTGTTAGCCAGGATGGTCTCGATCTCCTGACCTCGTGATCCGCCCACCTCAGCCTCCCAAAGTGCTGGGATTAAAGGCGTGAGCCACCATGCCCAGCCCCTCAAAGGCTATTTTAAAATGTAATTCTTCTGGATCAAAATTATGCATCTAAGAATTAAATTTTTAAAATTCCCCTGTTTACAGCAATGGGATCCTAAAATAAAATATATTTTATGATGCTCTAAGCTGACAATGCTTAGGAAAAGTCTGATTAAGTCCTACAGAGACAGACTTCCAATTATTATTATTTTTTTTTGAGATGGAGTCTTGCTCTGTTGCCCAGGTTGGAGTGCAACGGCATGATCTCAGCTCACTGCAACCTCCACCTCCTGGGTTCAACCGATTCTCCCACCTCAGTCTCCCGAGTAGCTTGGATTACAGGCACCTGCCATCATGCCCGGCTAATTTTTTTTTTTTTTTTTTTTTTTTTTGTATTTTTGTAGCAACAGGGTTTCACCATGTTGTGATCCACCCACCTTGGCCTCCCAAAGCACTGGGATTACAGGCGTGGGCCACCGCACCTGGCCCAGACTTCCAATTATTAGGAAAGCATATACCTTCAAAGTGTATGCTTCAATTTACTACTAAAGCACATCATTCCAAATACCAACGGGAACTCAGTGGTTACTTATCTTTGGGCATACACAGGGTCAGGTTTTCAAGGTCATGCTAAATAATTTTACAGATAAAAGTTTTCCACATCACTGAATGGGTAGATTGAGCAAGGATATGTCTTTTTTATTTTTTAATTTTTTTGAGATGGAGTCTTGCTCTGTCACCCAGGCTGGAGTATAGTGGCATGATCTCGGCTCACTGCAACCTCCACTTGCCGGGTTCAAGAGATTCTCCTGCCTCAGCCTCCCAAGTAGCTCGGACTACAGGCACGAGCCACCATGCCTGGCTAATTTTTTGTATTTTTAGTAGAGACGGGGTTTCACCATGTTGGCCAGTCTGGTCTCTAACTTCTGACCTCAGGTGATCTGCCCACCTTGTCCTCCCAAAGTGGTGGGATTACAGGCATGAGCCACCATGCCCGGCCGGGTATATCTTTTGATAGCTCATTTGATTACAGCTATCCCACCACCCACCCTCAGTAAAGATTAAATTGAGGAAGGAAAGTACCCTCTCACTCCCACACAAAACCAGCAGATTCAGTTTGCACAGCCACCAGTTAAAGCCATAGGAGTTTTTACTGGCTTCACCACAGACCTCAATTCCGAAAATTACCATTGCATATTGCATACAGTGAGCAACTGTCTACAACAGTCTAACTGAAAAGACATTGAGAAAGGCTGCAAATCTTTCAGAGGACAGAAAATGGCAATATGGTCCCAGAGTGAGATTAAATTTTGTATCAAACCAAAGATCTACAGAGAAGTACTTATGCCCTATCCAGGCTGGGCCCAGTGGCTCACGCCTGTAATCCCAGCACTCTGGAAGGCCGAGGTGGGTGGATCGCCTGAAGTCAGGAGTTCGAGACCAGCCTGGCTAACATGGTGAAACCCCATCTCTACAAAAAATATAAAAATTAGTTGGGTGTGGTGACGTGTGCCTGTAGTCCCAGCTACTCGGGAGGCTGAGGCAGGAGAATTGCTTGAACGCGGGAGGCAGCGGTT
The DNA here is from genome assembly GCF_000001405.40 of Homo sapiens. Lineage (NCBI taxonomy): Eukaryota > Metazoa > Chordata > Mammalia > Primates > Hominidae > Homo > Homo sapiens. Next base: position 13,750,444 of record NC_000020.11, read on the forward strand.
GCAGTGAGCCAAGACAGCCCCACTGCACTCCAGCCTGGGCGAAAGAGCGAGACTCCCTCTCGAAAGAAAGAAAGAAACAAACAAAAAAGTAAAGTACTTACACCCTATCCTTTACTTGGCTCCAAAACCTGAACCTATGGTAGGAATCAGATTATATTTTGTGTATAATTTTATCAGTATTTCTGAGCTTTCAAAAGCTAAACAATAAAAAGTTCTCCAGTTGGCACAACAAATTAATACAATCCTTTCAAAAAGCAGGGCATGGTGGCTCATGCCTGCAATTCCAGCGCTTTGGGAGGCCAAGGAGGGAGGACAGCTTGAGGCCAGGATTTTGAAGCCAGCCTGAGCAATGTAGTAAGAGCCTGGCTCTACAAACAATAAAAAATGAACTAGGTAGACATAGTGGCACACACCTGTGGCCCTAGATGCCTGGGAGGCTGAGGCAGGAGGATCGCTTGAGCCCATGAATGAGTCATGATCGAACCACTGCATTTCAGCCTGGGCAACAGAACAAGACCTTGTCTCTTAAAAAGATAAATAAATAAATAACACCTGAGAAGAGACACGAAGATGCTATACTCAAAAACGTATCTGTGAGAAAATGTAATAAAAGGTTATTATGTTATCCATTTAGCAAAACTTTATGAAGAACCTACAGCATAACATCAGGGCCCAACTTTTCAATTTTGCAATAATGAAACTGATGAAAGCAAGTAGTATGAATGAGTTCTGTCAAAATAACACACGGAACATGTGCAACGAAAAGTGACAGCTTACTAGCCAGACAGTTAGAATACAGATAGAATAATGAAGGACAACCACAAATAGAATAGCGAAAGTTTTGCTTTCCAGACCAAAGAATTCACAACTTCAAACAAATCAGCATAGCTGTGGGCTATGGGAAAACAATACATGTGACAAGTTTTCTTTTCTTGAGCTCACTTGTGGCAGATTGCAAGTTTAAGGCATAGTTATAAAAAGAAAAAAAAGGTATTAACAGTATAGTCTAGAAACGGTGGCTACACATGCAAACAGCGGGAAGGACTGTATTAACAGAATCATTCTAGATCTTTGCAACCAGAGGATCTTGCTGATTTACATATTTTAACTGGAATCCTGTGCAGGGATGTGGGGGGGAACCAGATCAATTAACCTGAAACTTCATAAGGCATTGCAATTTTAGCACTTTCTGAAACTACTAGTAGAAAAATATCCTTGCTTTTTGAGTTAAATCTTTTTAAAAAGCTTCTTGGAAAGTCTCTTTTTAAAAATTAAATCGGCTGGGCGTGGTGGCTCATGCCTGTAATCCCAGCACTTTGGGAGGCTGAGGTGGGTGGATCACAAGGTCAAGAGATCGGCCAGCCAACATGGTGAAACCCTGTCTCTACAAAAAATACAAAAATTAGCTGGGCGTAGTGGCCCACGCCTGTAGTCCCAGCTACTCAGGAGGCTGAGGCAGGAGAACCACTTGAACCTACGAGGCGGAGGTTGCAGTGAGCCAAGATAGCACCACTGCACTCCAGCCCAGGCGACAGAAGAATGTCTCAAAATAAATAAATAAAATAAAATAAAAATAAAAATAACAATAAATCAATATTATTAAGAGAGAAAACAGTCTATCAAATAATTCAAGAAGCACTGAGAAAATTACCAGCAATCACATGGAGGAAATGTATTAGCATCATTTTTAGATAACTCTTAAGTGCTTCTCATTTTTATTACACATTTCAAACATGACTCCAATCTTTTTGCACAGTATGAAGTTATAGCTTATTACCTTACAAACGCCTCATAGTCAACCTGTTAACTGGATGATTCAAGGAAGGAGCTCACGCTTAGGTTTTAAAATTTTAGCCACTTACCAGCTGTGTGACTTCGTACAAGTTACAAGAGTGCACTGTGACCTGGTTTCCTCCCCACCACCAAAATCTGAGGCAAACTACAAATTCTTTTAGCTTATTTTTAAGTTCAGGTTTTCCATTTAATGCCCTCTTCTATACTCGATTCAAAATTTTAAACATCTGGTTATTTTAAAAGTTCTGGCCAAAAAAAATTTTTCTGAATATATTTCAAATAATGAGCACATTGGCAATAAATGAAAATGGAGCCAAAACTAAACAGTGAACAGGTTTTGAGACATCTAAAAATTAAAATGCTTGAAACTGGGCTGCCTAACAAAATGAATGCCCAACTAATTCAAAAACATTTTTACTTCTAAATAAAAAGAATGAATAATACAATGGCCACATATGCATGTCACTGATGTCTCTGTTTAAGCTACTCAGTGGAACAACTGAACAGAGAAATGGAGATAAAATAAATGTGGCAGGGGAGGACGAAGGATAAAGAACAGATACCAGAATAAAAATGAAATTACAACTGTGAAGAGTGGAGGAGGAAAAAGCAGAACAAAGGAAGAGCTACACCCCTACTCCATGCCCAAGGAATAGGAGTCAAAAAGGGACTCCTCTTGCTGTGTGAGACAGTAAGAGAAGTCCTTGCCAGCGTGAGACAGTAAGGGGCACCTCTAGTTTTCTGGTTTCCATGTCTCCTTCCCAAGAGTAAGTATTCTAGAACTCTGTGTGCTCCTGCCAAGATATCCCAATGACATTCACATCCCTACCACTATGAAAGCTTTAAGACGATCAAAACTAATCTCAAAATCCCTTTATTCATACTTAAATCTGCCACCACATGAAGTTTACAATTTCCAAATCATTCCTTCTCCCAAAACAATGCCGAACATCCTCAATGACTAAAGCCGTTCTACTCACTAGTCAGTTATTAGTCATTAACAAAAGCCCCCTTACCCATTTATCTGCTAAGTGGAGTTTCACTAAAACTTAGCTCTCTTCTGAGGACACTGCTTCCCCTCTATCTCTTTTAGCAGGTGAATTTTTCTCTCCCACTGTCCCTGCGACTCACTGCCAATTCCCATCCACTGGCTGGCCCTCCTCCCCAGTGCCTCCACTCTGAATATCATATTTTCAGGCTATACTAGATAGACTACACTCTTCCTTATTGTAGATATCTTTTTTGTAAGCAAATTCTTCCAGAACCTGATGTAGATATCTAATGACCACAGATGCTCTTCTCATTTTAATTTTAGCTCACTGCCACTCTTTCCAATACTCCTGTCATAATTCTTGGTGACTTCAGTATCCACACAGATGATCCTCTGAACGTACCTTTGGCCTCACAGTTCACTGACCTCCTCTCCTATGGTTCTACACTCTATCCCATCTCAGAAATTCACTGCCAGGATTGTAAACAGGTCATGTGATTACCCAAAGTTGCAATCCCACCACAATCTTACTTTCCAAGCATCCTACTCTTCTACCACCAGCTGCAATCTTTTCATTTTAACCCATTTATGCCTGAGGTTGCAATTTTTTGAATTTTTGCAATCAAACTTTGAGCAGTAGGATATAAATAACTTCCACATGCTTAGCATTCCAATAATGGACCACTAGGCATAAGTTAATCTCTCTAGTAGTCTGAGACTAACAATTCCCTTGGTGTGAAAGTGGCAACGTGCTTATAATGGAAGCATGTCTTAGTTTTTGGAAGTTACATTTTGAAGTGCTTTTTTTTACGTGTCATGGTGCTTGCAACTTTCTATCAAATATTTTAGAAAAAGAGTTGCCTCTACTTACTGTCTCTAATTCTTCTCTTCCCATTCTTCCTTCAAACCATACTACTTTCATCCCCCATCATCCCACAAAAACCATTCAATATCACCAGTGAGCTTCACACTGCTAAATCCAATGGTCATTCTCAGCCTGTATTTTATTGACCCATATTCTCACTGAAATGCCTTCTTTATTGGCAGGCTGAATACCCCGCAATTCTGAATTTCCTCCTGCTTCTCTGATAGCCTCTCCAGCTGCTCGGAATGGTCCAGGCTCATGTCCTCTACCTCTAGATGTTAGAGTGCTCCAAGGATCAGCTTTTGAACCTTTCTTTTTTACCTATATTCACTACCTTGTTGTTCTTATTCACTTTCAGAGATTTATACAATGAAGATTCTCTAATTTATATCTCTACCAGCCCTGTACTCTTAACTGTATAACCAACTGATTCCTTGGCATGTCTATTTAGGTATCAATGGGCATCTTGAACTTAATGTATGAAAAAAAAAATTCTTGATGCTCCCTTGCAAACATGTTCCATCCACAAGCTTCATTATCTGAAAATTACTCCAACAGCCATTTGATTGATCTCCCCAATTTGGTCCTTGCCCCCCACTTTAATCTACTTATCTATAGCAGCAAGAATGATCCTGTTAAATATAAAAGTCAGATTTGACTGCTCCTGAGCTCAAAACTCTCCAGTGGTTTCTCATCTCAGTCACAGAAATTCATGTCTTTATAATGGCCTACAAGGCTTTCATGTCTGGCCCCAAACTACCTCTCTGATCTCAGTTACTTCTGTCCTCCACTGTAGTCATACTGTTCTCCTTGGATTCCTCAAACACAAGAGACAAAGTATAGCTTCAAGGATACTCCTATGCTACTTCCTCTGCTCACACAGTCTTCCTGGGCCAGGCTCACTCCCTGACCTCTACTTTCTTTAGTTCCTGGTCAAATATGTTTCTTATATATCTGTCATCTGTTTAGTTTCTCCTTCACCGGAGTATAAGATCTGTGAGTTCAGGGATTTTTATGTTTTGTTCACACAGTGTATAGAATAATTCCCGGCACAGAGTAGGTATTCAGTAAGTATTTGATGGAGTAAGGAAGAGAAGTTGGGGTTCTGTAGAGTGCTGAGTAGAAAAAAGACCAGCTATCCATTTCACTAATATCTATTAGGCCAGAGATAGCTAAGAAAAACAGGACTTTTACCATAATCAAAAATTTAAGATTATAAACAAACATGCCATTATTTATTTCTGGATGGAATTTCATATATATTGTTTATATTCAGCTTGCATTATCTACAAAAAATATTATGTAGATTAACTGGACTATTAATACAGGGGAAGTTATATAAAGAGTTAAAACTGATTACACTTCATTTATACGTGTATTAGAAATTCCTCAACGAGGTACATTTCTTGATGAAGGCCCAACTGGCTAATTATATGCATCACCTTATCTACTCCTTAGTAAGTTGGCAGGATACCTTTAGCAACGCATTGAGATAGGAAATACAACTTCACATACATCAAAATAATTAAGTATAACTTTCTTTAAAAATTTTATAATTCAACATTTTTACTTATTTATAATCCTAATTAATAAAATTGTATTATTACATTTCCATAGGAACTAAAATATTGATAGAAAGAGTAGCTCATTCCAGTTGTTATGCCCACAAACCTGTTATCAGTTCCCTTAATACTTACCCTTAAGAAATTAAACTCCTCATGTTACTATACTGTATAACCCAATGTAAAAAGGTAGAACGTTTAAATAGTCTAAACTAGAATTTCTTCTGAAAAATCAAACCAAACCACAATAAATGTTAGTGATTAAGAGTACTTATTTTCCTGAAGAGGTTAATATTTTGGAGAGTCAAGCCACAGAACCAATGAATGATACGGTATAATCTCATACTGACCCTCCGTGGTTTACTGAAGCATAACATCAAAAAAGTCCTGAGGTTCAGGGTAACTGTTACAGAAAACACACATTTCTTAAGACATAAATTCACTGAAATACACGTCATGAAAGTACTTTGTAGTTTATAACGTTTGTAAGTATCTCTAAGCAAGAAAGTGGTATTATTAGTTCCAATTTCCATATGAATAAACTGAGGTACAGAAAGATTGCTCAATGATCTTATATGTATAGCACACAGAAAAACCCTTTACACTTGCATGTGCATGCGTGCATGTACATAAGGATTCACAGATAACAATACCTCATTAGGGGCCTTCAAAATATTACAGTTTAAGACCTTTGAAACTCATACATTAAAATATCAATTTTCCCCTATTCAATTAAAAGTAAAAAATATATACCCAATGTTGACGATAATTCCGTGAAACTGACACTCTTACTGATTGTTGAAGGTATTATAAGCTGGTACAACACTTCCAGAAAGCAATTTGGCAATAACTTCAAGACACAAAAAGTATTCATGCCCTTTCTTAGTAACTCTATTTCTGGGAAACTATCCTATGAAAATAATTCAAAATATGGAAAAAGCTATAGGTTATTTATAACATCCCAGATACTTGGCATCTGGGATTTAACATTTGAGGTTTTGACACTGGTAGTTTTAACAGCTTGTGAGAGAACCACAGGTTGATCTACAGCACATGTAGAGTTGCTGTGTGAGCAAGGAAGTCACGTAACTAACTAGTGAGTTAAGCCTGAATGCTAGGCATCAGCTTCTCATTGTGGCCTGGTTGTTCTCTACTAGTCCTGACATGCTTGGAAACATTTCTAGGCTGGGAGAGATGAAAAACACACCTCTGTTTTAAAAGTTTTTAAAATTAAAAGGCCCTAAAAAGGCAAGCCAATTACTTGGCTGCTCATGAAAATGAAGAAATTTAAGAAAAGCTTGTTATTTGTGGGTTTGAGATCTGTCCTATTTTTTTTTCAATGTTATAAGTCCACTGTAGTGAAAGATTAGAAATCTGATTGCATATTCAACAACAGAGAAATGGTAAATTAAACTGTAATCTTCTTAACCAGTGGTTGAATTAGGATAGTGGAATTACAGATGATAATCTTTCATTTTACATTTTCACTTCATAAGGTCAACATTACCCTAATACCAAAAACCAATACGAGGAATGAAAACTACAGATCATATTCCTCTTTGCCACAAGTACAAATATTTTTAATAAAATATTACTAAATTAAGCTGGGAATATATAAAAAGATAAGGTACCATGACCAAGGTGGGGTTTATCTGAGGAAATATAAGCAATGCTTATAACTTCCAGTTACAGATAACAGGTGTAAATACCACTTTTAGGTATTTGCCCTACATTACTATGTTTTGTTTGTTTGTTTGTTTGAGACAGGGTCTCATTCTGTTGCCTAGGCTGGAGTGCAGTGGCATGATCACAGCTAACTGCAGCCTCAACCTCCTTGAGCTCAGGTGATCCTACCACCTCAGCCTCCCCAGTAGCTGGGACTACAGGCGTGTGCCACCATGCCCAGCTAATTTTTGTATTTTTTTGTAGAGATGGAACAGTTTTGCCATGCTACTCGGGCTGGTCTCGAACATCTGAGGCTCAAGTAATCCACCCACCTTGGCCTCTGAAAGTGTTGGGATTACAGGTGTGAGCCCCTGTGCCCGGTTTCATAATTATGTTAATAAAGACACAATCTAGATGTGGTCCACTTAGTGTGGGAACCTGTATCATATATCTGTACCTTACAACTGGCATTATATATTTCTGAAATATTTGCTATAAAACACCTCAATCCAGTTTATTTTAGATCTGCTTTCTCAGACAACTGAACACTTCAATTTAAAAATGTTCATATTAAAATATATTCAATAAGCTCATTCTAAGATTAGAATTAAACTACAATATATTCAACTTAAAAGACAGAATTCAACATTTCTTAGAATCATAAAGTCAAGGGACTCAAGTAAAATATTTCTTAACAGACATCTCTGAGTAGCATAATTATGTAGCCTTATGGTGGAGATTTACTGACACAGAGAGCTCAACCCCTTAAAGCAGCCTTCAGTTCTTCTGCGAGACAATTCTAATAATATAGAGAATTCCTCTTTATATTATTACGTTAAAATCTACCTTCCTTCAACTTTTATCCACTGGCAGTACTGCTAACCTGTGAGGTAATAAAAGAGATTAAGTCTTCATTTACATATTCTGCAAGTATTTAAAAATAGCTGTTAAAATCACTTTTTAGACTTTTCCTCTCCAGGCCAAATCAATTGAGTTCTCCCAACCACTTGTCATATGATACACCAGTAAACTTCATTCGTTCTTACCACCACTTCCTGCAAAAGCCAAACATTTAAAACAAATGGGTTGCAACACAGCACTTCATTCCTGTAGGAATATGCAGCAGACCATCCTAGCAAATTTACTACAATAGCCAGTGTCCATCCTAGCAAATTTACTACAATAGCCAGTCAATCCTCAAATATCAAAATACCCTATTTTTTTCCCAAATAAAAACCCACGCAAACATATGTTTTATTCCCAATACAAAAGCACGCTACTTATAAAAATGGAATTGGTAACAGAACACCTTTAAGTTTTAAGCAATGGTATTCCTACAACTGGTTAGTACTCTTTCTCCTAGTGACTAATATAGGCTAAAGAACTGAACCCTTATCCAAAAATATATCTGGTTTTAAAAGTTATACACATATATAATATAAACAGCAGTAATCTATAAAAACAGTATTGACTGCAGAAGTCCCTGATGATTTGCCCAACAATGTTGAAAAAAATGTGTACAGTAGTCCCCCATTATCTGAGGAGGATACATTCCAGGACCCACAGTGAATGTCTGAAATCATGGATAGTACTGAATCCTATAGCTAGTATGTTTTTTCCTATACATCTACAGCTATGATAAAGTTTAACTTATAAATTAGGCACAGTAAGAGATTAACAACACCAACAATAAAACAGAATAATTACACTGTAATAAAAGTTATATGAATATAATCTCTCTTCCTCTTTCTCTTTCAAAGTATCTTATTGTACTATACTGGGTAACAAACTGCAGAAAGTGAAACCATGAAAAAGGGGCAACTGCTGTTTACTACAGAATGATCCCATTTATCCCAGCTTTTATCTTTGTTTAGCTTTGACATGATTTTAATTAGTTTTGTACTAGTACTATTTTACTCTACTATGCTATATTTCTTTGACTATTCGCAGCAAGATTGAAAATCGAAGACTATGTAATACATATTTTGTGTTAGTGAAACCTCATGAATTAAGGACTAGTGGGGGTTATGGAAGAAAAGGTCACTTAAGAATTAAACATTCAAAAGAAGTGTAATAACTTTAGAACACGTGGTGCCTGGATTCAAGTTTCTATATCTTGAGAATACAGGCTCAAACCTAGGAAAAGCTACTCTGATAAATGGACAGGAAAAATTTATAGTTAGTAAATCAAAGAAACCAATTAAAAATAAGTTGGTAAGAGTCTAAAATGCTAGTCATTAAGTTAGTTAAATGGTGTATGCAAATATGATGTTAAGGTCCTCACCAAAACATTTCCGGCTCCTTCATATTTAAAAGGTACTCAACATGCTGAAATTCGAAAAAGAGAAAACATTTAGTATCTAATTCTTACCTGGAACCCATTTAATTTCCATTTCCATATCATTTTCTTTGCCTTTCTTTTCTTTTTCTTGAATAACCTGCAAGAGCTGCCTGTATTTAGCAATTTGTTCTTCATCATCCTTCTGACTTTTCTTTGTTTTCCCATCTTCTTCTACATTGACTCCATCATCACCTAATGAAAAAAAAATTCACTTAATACACAGAAACAATTCATTTCTAACTCGTGTTCAGATCTTATGGTCACTCTCTTTTAAAAGATGCTGTTAGACCACAGGATATCAAAATCAGACTTAAATTTCTGAATATTAAATGAAAGACTTAGGGTCTCATGTAGAATAAAAATCAGTTGCAATATAAATTTGCACTGTCATAGCAGTATGCTTGGGAATGCCCCTTTTTATTAAAATTTATATTGGATAATAATTCTGCAGTTACATAACATCTTTGGGCTTCTTTTTCCTATAAGCTGCAAGATAATGAAGATGGCATTTTCACCCTCTCTGGGAAGTGAGGAGCGTCTCTGCCTGGCCGCCCATCGTCTGGGATGTGAGGAGCCCCTCTGCCTGGCTGCCCAGTCTGGAAAGTGAGGAGCGTCTCTGCCCGGCCGTCATCCTATCTAGGAAGTGAGGAGCGCCTCTTCCCGGCCGCCATCCCATCTAGGAAGTGAGGAGCATCTCTGCCCGGCCGCCCATCGTCTGAGATGTGGGGAGCGCCTCTGCCCTGCCGCCCCGTCTGGGGTGTGAGGAGCGCCTCTGCCCGGCCGCGACCCCGTCTGGGAGGTGAGGAGCGTCTCTGCCCGGCCGCCCCATCTGAGAAGTGAGGAGACCCTCCACCCGGCAGCCACCCCGTCTGAGAAGTGAGGAGCCCCTCCGCCCGGCAGCCGCCCCATCTGGGAAGTGAGGAGCCCCTCCGCCCGGCAGCCACCCCGTCTGGGAAGTGAGGAGCGTCTCCGCCCGGCAGCCGCCCTGTCCGGGAGGGAGGCGGGGGGTCAGCCCCTGCCAGGCCAGCCGCCCCGTCTGGGAGGGAGGCGGGGGGTCAGCCCCCACCGGCCAGCCGCCCCGTCCGGGAGGGAGGTGGGGGGGTCAGCCCCCGCCCGGCCAGCCACCCCGTCTGGGAGGTGAGGGGTGCCTCTGCCCGGCCGCCCCTACTGGGAAGTGAGGAGCCCCTCTTCCCCGGCCACCACCCCGTCTGGGAGGTGTACCCAACAGCTCATTGAGAATGGGCCATGATGACAATGGCGGTTTTGTGGAATAGAAAAGGGGGAAAGGTGGGGAAAAGACTGAGAAATCGGATGGTTGCTGTGTCTGTGTAGAAAGAAGTAGACATGGGAGACTTTTCATTTTGTTCTGTACTAAGAAAAATTCTTCTGCCTTGGGATCCTGTTGATCTATGACCTTACCCCCAACCCTGTGCTCTCTGAAACATGTGCTGTGTCCACTCAGGGTTAAATGGATTAAAGGCGGTGTAAGATGTGCTTTGTTAAACAGATGCTTGAAGGCAACATGCTCATTAAGAGTCATCACCACTCCCTAATCTCAAGTACCCAGGGACACAAACACTGCGGAAGGCCGCAGGGTCCTCTGCCTAGGAAAACCAGAGATCTTTGTTCACTTGTTTATCTGCTGACCTTCCCTCCACTATTGTCCTATGACCCTGCCAAATCCCCCTCTGCGAGAAACACCCAAGAATGATCAATTAAAAAAAAATAAATAAAATAAAAATACAAAAAATTAAAAAAAAAAAAAAAGAAGATGGCATTTTATCCCTCTTTATGTCCTCCACTATCCAGCACAGTGGCTTTAAAATGTTATGCTGAATAAATGTAGGCTGAATATTGTTGGGATGAATTCGGTTTGCAGCTATTCAGCCTGAAGAGAAGAGATAAAGGCAGTTGTTTATAATCCAAACCTAAGAATACTGGAACCTTTCCATTTTTGAGCAAGCATGCTTACTCCAACGATCTCATTAATATATTAAGAATAAAAATGAATTAGGAGTTACTTCAATTAATTTCACTGTGTGGAAAAACATTCACATCTGCATTTCCTAGTTCTGCAAAAATAATTAAAATACAAAGAAACATTATAAAATTCACAGGCAACAAATACCCAAGAAAACTAATACACCAAAAAGTTTGTTCTACATTTCCACTGCAAGTCTCCAAATCAAAAACAAATCAGAAACCTGGGTTTTAATGCAAAACATACAGACTTATTGAATTGACTGTCTCAAGTAAAGGAAACTCTACTAGCAGGATAATGAAGTCCCTCTCCTCTATAACCTATGGCTAACTGCTCACCAAAAATGTCTGACATTATTAAGCATTTAGCTGGGAAACATCAGTGTTAACAGATTGTCCTTGTATCTTTTTTAGTTTTTAAAATTCATTTTGTCCTTGTATCTTTTTTAATTTTTAAAATTCATTTATTTTTTCTTTTTTCAGCAAGTCCTTATATCATCAATGTCCTTATATCTTAAAAAAGTGATATGGAAAAAAACTGGTTAAGTAAATATTTCTATATGTATATATTGTTTTCTTAAAATAAATAAAAAATGGTCCAGGACATTCTTTCCATCCTATCACACTTTTATTTTCATTCAAACAGCTGAAATTCATTTTTTTCCTGTTTGTGCTTTGTGCCACAATAATAATGTTGGATGGAATTCTGTCATGTATCCCGTAATTCAATGGATAAAACATCAGGAACACATTAACAAATGGCAAAGTATTTCTTTCTATTAAAAGCTTACTTCTGAAAACATAATTAGAAGCAAGCTCCTTCCAGGTTGAAATTTTAGTGGTAAGTCTCTGATGGCTTACTTTAAACTGATTTTTTCCAGTACTGAAATTTTACAATCTGAAGCTCTAAAATGTGGGATAAGTCATGTAGCTCTGTTTTTTCCCAATTCAAGGACACTAGTTTGTGAAACCCTTAATACTATATAAGGAGTGAAAGAATAATAATTCTAACAGTAAGCCACCCTGCTATGCTCTCTTATAAACAATAACCAGAAATATTCAGTAGCTTTAAGGCATTTGAATATGCTGATGTATCTATGAGAGGTACTAAATTAGATTATAGTAAATTTGTAATCAATTAAAATGTGGAAGAAAAATATACGCTTTAAAAAAACTTGGTGTATCTCAAACAAAAAGTCATTATTTATTAAAGTTTTTTTTTTTTTTTTTTTTTTTTGAGACAGAGTCTCACTCTGTTGCCCAGGCTGGAGTGCAGTGGCACGATCTCGGCTCACTGCAAGCTCTGCCTCCCGGGTTCATGCCATTCTCCTGCCTCAGCCTCCAGAGTAGCTGGGACTACAGGCGCCCGCCACTACGCCCGGCTAATTTTTTTGTGTTTTTAGTAGAGACGGGGTTTCACCGTGTTAGCCAGGATGGTCTTGATCTCCCGACCTCATGATCTGCCTGCCTCAGCCTCCCAAAGTGCTGGGATTACAGGCGTGAGCTGCCGTGCCCGGCCTATTTATTAAAGTTTTAAGAAATAAAAATACAAGATACAAGGTACATCATTTCAGTATTTCCAACCATAAGCCTGGTATTATTAGATCCTCATTTCACAGCTATGGAAGAAAGATATAGGGGGTTTAGTAAACCTAATCTATGTATGGTGAAGTTAGGATTTGAAACTAGCAGAGCCCAAGCTCTTAACAAGAATGTATTAACAAATTAATGCTTATTTATTCACAATATTAGCTACCCTAATGCCAAAAAATGTCATTTTAAAATTTAGTTCAGTTCTCCCAAAACAGAAATCTATTTGAACAACTTGTATCCAATCTTCACAAGTGTACATAAAAAGTTATCTTTTTTCCTTTATCTTACAGCTGATAGTGAAGAAACACTATCCAGAATTTTCAGAAAAGTTCTAAATGCCCATATAGGCATACAAATAAAAAAGAAATACTGATAAATCATTACGTCTTTCTCCACATGTGTGAGGGGAAAAGACACAGATAGAGGAAAATTGAAAAAAGGACTCAGCTGTTCTGTGAACAATAAAAAATAAAATGGTCATCTAGTTATTTGGAATGCCAAAAGAATTAACAAGCATCAGCCACTAAGGCCTTTAAAAAAATGTGAGGCCCTTTGCACCCAACTTAACTCCCATTGCAAATACACATTTTCAAAGAGTATTAAATACTTAAGCAATTATGTGGTTGTATTAATATGAGATGTCTGAACAAAGAAACCAGAATGATTAAACATGATTTTCCATACTGTTAAGGAGTAGTATTTTATGAAAAGCTTAGAAAAATGAAGCAGTGTCTTCAGGAGTCTAAAAGAAACAATGATAGGCCAATCATGGGATCTCGAAAACTCAAAAGTTAAATGGCATTATGGTCATACTAAAGAAGCATTTTAGGATTTAATTAATTTGACATTTAGGCTATAAAAATAATACATATACAAAAAGAAAACAAAGCTATGAAAAATGTTAAGCTACAAATTAAAGAATATTCATTCTTGCTAATTTAAAATACTTTTATCTATGTTTAACATTTATGGGTTCTTCACTTTCTGTCAGCATTAAATCTCTTACTCATAATTTTTCATGATTGGCAATTCTATTAGATAAGAAGAATGAAGATGTGAAGGTATTAGGCAGACAGTATCAACCAAAAGTTGACATGAAATTACAACCCGGCAACCAGTTTCCAAACAGAGACAGATCAAATACAGGGAAAAAGGGTTTTGGGGCTTTATGTCTACAAAGTGAGCTATTTTAAGCAAAGAGCATATACATTTAAAAGTACAGCTGATTCTTCAACAACATGGAGGTTAGAGGCACCAACCCTAGGCACAGTCGAAAATCCACACGTATCTCGATTCTCCCAAAACTTAACTAATAGTCTACTGTGCAGTGGAAGCCTTACAAATAATACAGTCAGTTAACACATATTTTGTATGTTATATGTATTATACACTGTATTCTTATAATAAACTAGAGAAAATAAAACGTTACTAAGAAAATCACAAGGAAGATAAATATATTTCCCACGCATTACATGGAAGTGGATCACTGTAAAGGTCTCCATCCTCATTGTCATCATCACACTGGGTAGGCTGAGGAGGAGCAGGAAGAGGGGTTGGCCTTATAGTTTCAGGGGTGGCAAACGCAGAAGAAAACCCATGTATAAGTGACCTCACACAGTTCAAACCCGTGTTGTTCAAGAGTCATCAAGAGTCAACTGTACGCCGTTAATCATTTCAAACATTAAAAAAAAAAAAACAAAAACAAAGGCCAGGCACAGAGGCTCACGCCTATAATCCCAGCACTCTGGGAAGCTGAGGCAGGTGGATCACTTGAGGTCAGGAGTTCGAGACCAGCCTGGCCAACATGGTGAAACCCCATCTCTACTAAAAACACAAAAATTACCCGGGCATGGTGGTGGGCACCCGCAGTCCCAGCTACTTGGGAGGCTGAGCCATGAGAATCGTTTGAACCCAGGAGGAAGAGGTTACAGTGAGCCCAGATTGTACCACTACACTCCAGCCTGGGTGACAGAGCAGTACTCCATCTCAAAAAACAAAAACAACTTGAATAAAGATAAAGATAATTTGAGGAACTTCTTAACAGCAAGCTAGGTACTTCAGACTAACCCTTTCACTGAAGATATTAAGTTGGAATTAAGTTGGATTAAATATTATTTTATAAAGCTTCAAAGAGGTTAAGAAAAGAAAGAAAAGTTTCAAAGAACTGTCAAGTTAGAGAAGACTTACTATTTCAAAACCAAGAAGGGAATATTAGAGGGATGACTCCAGGGTAAAGACCTGTTTTGCTCTGAGATCATTTCCTGTTTCCTGATCCACAGAACAAAGAGCTATGAAAGTCAATTGTGGTTTTAGCAGGCTTTCAGGACCAAGAAGACAAAAGTTAAAGACCAAAAAAAAGAGGGAATTTCAATTAGTACCCTGACATTAAGCAGCCACCCAGAGGGATATACTCCCAGGGAAATGGTCAATCTGAAGTAAACCAGCCCTCATGCAGACTTTAATCATCTGCAGAAGCCAGGGAACCTAAGCCTTAACATTTGGAGAAATGTGGTTCTAAACCAACCAAAGTAAATTAAAGTCTTCTCTGATCAAAGATACCCTAACTTCAAATGTCAAAGTAACACACAAAATTAACTAGGCACACAAATAAACAAGAGAGAAATACCTTGTAAAATAAGACACCAACCTGAAAATACATGAAATATTAAAACAGAGACTATGAGTAAAAAATATAAAAAGTGGTATTTCTGACTTGAGAAATAGCCAAATACAACCTCCATAAGTAAAAAATATAATAACCAAGATTAAGACTGAATGGAGAGGTCTATCAGCAGATTTAACACTGCTGAAAAGACAATTAGTGATCTGGAAGATAGGTCAGAAGAAAATATCCAGAATGCAGTACAGAGACAACAGATTAAAAATTTAAGAGTAGAGATAGGCAAGATATAATGACGAGATCTAACATGTATTTAGCTGATGTCCTAAAAGGATAAAGAAAAAACATCTGAAAACATAATGGCTAAGAATATTCCAAAACTGATGAAAGATACCACTCCACAAATAAATGGAACCCAACAACAAACCTCAAGCTCCACAAACAAAAAGAAATCTACTCTTATACTTACCATAGTAAAACTGCAGAAAGACAAAAAGAAACAGAAAACTCTAAAAGCAGTCAAAGGAATAATTACAGAAACAGGGAGTCTACTTTTTAACTAGTTGAAAAAATGGAACGTAAAAATATTTAATCAATCTAAATGATGCTCTTATTTTTTAAAAAGGCAAATGAGGGGAGATGCCTAAAAGATTGTTTTACTGGTTTACTAAGAAACTGAGTGACCATATGCATTAGGACAAGTCTAGAAGGCCATGCTTGGTTAGGTCAGGGTTTTAAACAAAATATTTATAGTTAAAGAAATTCAGGCAAAGAAAATTTTTTTTTAAAAAAATCAATCACTATCTACAGGTATATATAATACTGTGCATGTGAGCATATCTGCAGACAGAATTTGGCTTTCCCTGTAAAGCTACTGCCAAAGACCTATGTCCATTAATGGTCACTGAAAGATTAACAATACCTTGTAGCTCCTCTTCTATCTCCTCTTCATCTTCACTAGAGGAAGCTAAGTAGGCTTGAAAATCCATGTCCAAAAGCTCTTCCTTTTTAAACTTCCTGTTGAGCATTGTAATTCTTTCATGATCAGTCTCATCCCAAGTGATTTCCACCTTTCACCAACAAATAAGAAAAAATAACACACGAAAATGGAAATGTCAGCTCAAACTTGTTAAAGAATATATACTATTAACCTGGATGTTTAACAGTAAGTTAAAAGTTAAGACACATTAAAACAAATACATGAATGATATGATTAATAAATAGTATCCTATTTGTGAAAATGGAACCATTTCTATTAACTTGTACCTCCTCCCAATTCTCTGCTATCTACAGGATACTCCATCACTGACAGTAAAAATTAACCAGTGTCTAAATTAATTACGGTGCAAAAAAACTAAGAAAATGTACTGGTAAAAGAGTTAACATTATGGGCCAGGCATGGTGGCTCACACTTGTAATCCCAACACTTTGGGAGGCCAAGGCGGGTGGATCACCTGAGGTCAGGAGTTCAAGACCAGCCTGGCCAACATGGTAAAACCCCATCTCTACATGAAAAATTAGCTGGGCGTGGTAGCAGGTGCCTGTAACCCCAGCTACTTGGGAGGCTGAGGCAGCAGAATCAGGAGGCCTGTAATCCCAGCTACTCAGGAGGCAGAGGTTGCTGAGATCATGCCATTGCACTCCAGCCTGGGCAACAAGAGCAAAACTCTATCTCAAAAAAAAAAAAAAAAGTTAACATTATGAATCAGTGAAAACATGTTTTTTCACCTGGAGTTCTAAGATTTCAGGAAATCTGCAAACTATATGAAATCTGTTGCTAAAACAAGACAATCTCAGTGGGGTCCATTTTAAAAAAAGATTAAGAACCACTGATGAGAAAAGCATCTATTAGTTGGAAGTAGTTTAAACCTCCATGATACATGAATTCATCTATGACATGACTGATGTGGTGATGACTGGCTCCTGCCCTGTACATAGCCCCTATTCTCATATAAGGCCCTGCCAGATATTTTATCTTCATCATAGGGTAGATCCACATCCATTTTAAGAGATCCTTAAAATCACTGCCACCTGTCTCAGAAATTCCAGCTAGTCAGAGGATTCAGAAATGATCCCTATTCTGACAATTAAGCCTGAGCTGATAACCACCAAAACACTGTTGGAACTAGGACAGATGTTGATGATACAGCCAGGACCCAGGAACTTTAGACTGGCTGGCTGGACAGGCTGGCCCTGATCATTATGTTGGTTCTGAAAATAACATGACTTTAATTTCATGTGACTGAATTTTTTAGACTTTGCTTACTATGTAATGGTAGAGTTTTACTACACCCAGTAACTAATCAATGCCATACAGTGCCCACCACGGCATAGCAGGTGGCAGATACAGCTACTCTCTCTGCTACCAGTCCCTCCTCAGAGAAGCACGGTGATTTATCACACAGGAAAAGCAGAGGGAAGCTAGTGTGGCTACTGCAGAGTACAGCTGTGGACAGAAAGGTTATTGGGAGAAAGAAAAAGGAGAAGGGAGGCCAAGGCGGGTGGATCACCAGAGGTTGGGAGTTCGAGATCGGCCTGACTAACATGGTGAAACCCCGTCTGTACTAAATATACAAAATTAGCTGGGCATGGTGGCGTGCCCCTGTAATCCCAGCTACTCAGGAGGCTGAGGCAGGAGAATCACTTGAACCTGGGAGGCAGAGGTTGCAGTGAGCCAGGATTGCACCACCGTACTCCAGCCTAGGCGACAGAGTGAGACTCAGTCTCCAAAAAAAGCAAAAAAAAAGAAAAGGGAGAAGGGGCCAGGCGCAGTGGCTCACACCTATAATACCAGCACTTTGGGAGGCAGAGGGGGGCGGATCATCTGAGCTCAGGAGTTCAAGACCAGCCTGGCCAACATGGTGAAACCCAGTCTCTACTAAAAATACAAAAATTAGCTGGGTGTGGTGGCACACACCTGTAATCCCAGCTACCGGGGAGGCTGTGGCAGAAGAATCACTTGAACCCAGAAGGCAGAGGTTGCAGTGAGCAGAGATCGCGCCACTGCACTCCAGCCTGGGCGACAGAGCAAGACTCTAGTCTCAAAAAAAAAAAAAAAAGAAAGAAAGGAAAAGGGAGAAGGTAGTCACCTAAGTAATAAACTATTTCAATAGACAAAAACCTTTTGGCTATTTGTTACTAAGCATTAATGTGACATCTATTATACCTTAATTATTCCATATCAATTCTTTTTACAGTTTTGAATCATCTGCAGAAAAAGGTACTCCTATTTTAAATTTTCACTAGTTTTGTTTAACTGTGCTGGGAGGTAATTCATTATCCACTTCCCCTTATTCCCTAGGATATTAATAACTGATGTATTAGAGTGTATAGGAGATACTCTTATTTTAAATTTTCCCTAGTTTCATTTAACTGTGCGGGGAGGTAATTTATTATCCACTTCCCCTTATTCCTTAGGATATTAATAACTGATTTATTAGAGTGTATAGGAAAGACAGAAGAGTGTATAGGAGAGACAGAAGAGTGTACAGGAAAGACAGAAGAGAAAAAAGAAACATCAGCAGATAACTGACACAGGCTTAAATGCGTAACAAGAATCTGAAAACAGGTTCACAGATATGGTAGAGGCAGACACGCTTGTGTCTCATTTCTCTCTGTACCCATGCATTAAAAATTTTGAATACTTTGAGGCTGGGAGCAGTGGCTCACGAAACCTGTAATCCCAGCACTTTGGGAAGCCAAGGCGGCCTCACTTGAGGTCAGGAGTTCAAGACCAGCCTGGTCAACATAGCGAAACACTGTCCCTAGTAAAAATACAAAAATTAGCCAGGTGTAGTGGTACACACCTGTAATCCCAGCTACTTGGGCAGCTGAGGCACGAGAATCGCTTCAACCTGTGAGGCAGAGGTTACAGTGAACTGAGATCATACCACTGCACTCCAGCCTGGGTGAGAGAGCGAGACTCTGTCTCAAGAAAAAATAATAACAAAAAAATTAATACTTTCCATTTTTAAAGATGCTATAAGTAATATACAAAATCTCTTCATAAAGCAATAGAGTCCAGCTACATATTTTTTAAAGTAAAGAAATACCGTTGATGTTCCCATTGCAGCAGAAGTGAAATATTTTGGTTTATATGCTGTTAAATTCACTTCTGAGGCTACATCCTTAGGCTCATCATCAAAAGTAATATCATCTGGTATAAACCTAAGAAGTAAAGAAAAAAAATTTATTTAAAATACGCTGCAGTGATAACCACAGTTTAGATTCTCATCTAATTAGTTGTAGTTTATACATACACAAACTTTCTAAAAGACACACGTTTAAGAGACAATGTTAGACATAACCTTTGTATATTTCTGAATGAATTCATCTTTGTATAAATTTCTGAAATTCATAAGCTATAACTCTGTAATTCCACTAAATTTAAAAGAATGCTGTATAGATAGAAATCGTGCATTAGGAGTCAGTTAATGAGTCAGGTGCAAGCACATGTGGGTCCCTCACGTTTCAAAAAGATCCAGACTTCTGATAGTGCAGTCATTGACTACATGATTTTGTTGTTGTTTTTACAGAGAGGGTCTTGCTCCATCACCCAGGTTGGAGGTCCATGGCATAATCATGGCTCACTGAAGTCTCAACGGCCTGGGCTCAAGCGATCCTCTACAGGTGTGCGCCAACATGCCTGGCTAATTTTTACTTTTAAAATTTTTTGTAGAGACAGGGTCTCACTATGTTGCCCAGGCTGGTCTTGAACTCCTGGGTTCAAGCGATCTTCCTGCCTAGGCCTCCCAAAGTGCTGGGATTATAGGCGTGAGCTACTATGCCCAGCTGGCTATATTGTATTTTGAAGATCAAATATAATTATTAATGGGTAAGCATTGTGAATACAAAGTATCATATACATGAGGTGTCACTGAAAACAAGGGAAAGCTTAAGGTTGAGTCTTACAATTTCCTAATTGTACATTTAGCCATTTACATTTAGAGCAGTGTTGTCCAACAGAACTTTCTGTGACAAGGGCAATGTTCTATATCTGCTCTGTCCAAAATGGAACAATTATTTGAAATATGACTACGCAACTGACTTATAAATTTTAACTAAAATAACCAAATATGACTAGTGGCTACTATACTGGATAGCATGGATCTAGAGATAACAATCTGTTTTCAAATTCCTCTGCCCCTTCCTCCATGCATTTTTAAAAGTTAACTTCATCTGGTTCCTAGCTCTAAAAGCAGTTGCAAGGAAATATTATTGTGTAAGGTACACCATCTTAAAAACAGAGCCAATATGTCTGAAAGGACAAAGATGTGGGGATGATTCATACATAATACTTTAGCACTGTCTTGTTTGTTTTCTTTCTTAGGAGTGATGTTCCATGGGATAGAGTTAACCGAAAAGCAAAAAAATCATTTTAGAATATAAAACAGAGATCACTACCAGTTCAAATATTTTACTTCTTATAATCATGTTGTACTAAAAGATTAAATTGGTAATACATACACTGGATTACCTTAGATCTATGAAAGAACAACTACTTTCAAATTCCAGGCCATCACAATCCTCATAAATTTTACTAGCTGTTTCCGGAGAATCACAGTCTACTACTGCATAATAGTACTTCAGTCGTTTGAATTGATAATCTCTCAATTTTTCTCTAGACGTCCTAAAGTGGGAAAAACTTATTAAGCATACTTATACAGAAACACAAAAATTTCCCTTTAAAAAATAAATGTAATTCTTTCAAGAAAAACATATTACAAGCTGGCCTTCATACCAAACCATCTTTCCTTCATGACTTTGCCTTTATAAACATTAAATACTTAAGCTCAACTTATTATTCTCACAAGGTACAGATATTTGGATTGGAATTTGGTATCTAGGAAAGGAGTGTGTGGGAATTCGTGTGTTTATCTATAATTTAACTCACAGAATAGTTACTTTGCTATTACACACTGCCTTCTCAAGTAAAACCAATAAAGATAATTCTATTATAAAATATGCTAGAAAACCATTAGCTAAAAGACATTCCTGATCTTGCAAAATGTTTGCTTAAGAGTCTATAAGTTTGATTTTGCTTAACTACAACACATTCTTTTTTTTTTTTTTTTTTTTAAGGTTCCACACAAAGCACTGATACAACTCTTTCTTTGAAGGTCTTCATCTGCTCTCTCCTGTCACTAATCTATTTAACCCTCATTTTTATTAAGTGCAAATATAGCTCCACCTAGTGGCTTAAAAACTATCTTAAATTATTTTCTATATTGCACCATGATGATAAAAAAAAAAGTTTTATCATTCTTTCACTTTTCTATTTGATTCTCAAATAAGAAAAAATTATATAATTTGAAGGCAAACAGAGCTTCAATGATGTCTCAAAAAAAAAAGCAAAACGTACTAATTCAGAGCAACGAGGCTGAAAGAATTCAAAAGAACTCCAAATCAGTTTAATCATGAAATGTTTTTCAAAAACTGCAATAATTACTTTCATGAATACAGAAATAGAAATATACACGAACAAAAATCTTCTTGGAATAATGTACCACTTTTAACAGACTTTAAATCTGTTTTGCAACCTGTTTTAACCACGAATGGCACAAGTATAAACTTTAGTTTTAACTATTAAGGTGACCAGAATTCTGAACTAATGACATGAATTTATGAGGTTTAGTTTTATGTTCTATAGTGATTTAATACCAGTCTTTTTCTGGGGCATCTTCAGGAATACTTAATAGCTCTACTGGTCCTTGAACTTGCTCTTCCTTCATCCTCTCCTTTCCAAATTCTGAAGGATATATCTAAACAGAAAAAAATAGGATCAATGTAATTTGTACATTCCTTTACACAAATATCTAGACCTGTCGAAGTCAGGAACTCTAAAAGTCACAACTTGACTCAATGAAAACAGTAAGGGTGACTCACTTCCAAATCCACTATAGGAAGCTAGAGCATCTTGAGAAATTTTATTTAAAAATAGATCACTTTGGCTAGAGACTAACAAGATACGAGGCTTGGAAACAAAAATAAGAGTATCTCCTCCACATACCACCTGGGACAAGATGGTTCCGAGATCCAAACGAAAAATTAAAAGCAAAACAAGATGCTAAGCTCAAGGAAATGTGAATAAAAACACACACATGAAAAATGACTGAATTAGTTTACATGAAATACAGAAAAATAAACATATAATGAAGATCAATTTTGTAATAACCAACTTATCTCTGTCATACCATTTATCCAGTGCTTTCTTTTAAAGAAATAGAACAGAACTGACGACAACCTTATACAGATTAGGTATAGTCTCGATATAAGAAAAAGAATTCACTCTCACCAGGTGTGGTATCTTCTAAAATCTTGCCTACTTTAAGAGTCAAGAAATAATTGTATTAATGACATTGTTTTGATACTACTAGGCTTAATATACATTTGTTAATGAACACATGCTTTTTTAAACTGTCTGAAATATGCAATTTATCAACAAGATGATCCAAGTTTTTCTTACTAACTTGAATAGTATATACACAATAGGTTTAATATGTAAGTTTATAATATATATGTAGTCACATCTTTTGATTCTTTTTTTTCCTCTTTTCTAAGTCTAGAAATTCTCACTATTGCCTAAAACACAGGGTTTTTAAATTGTTTCTTTGGCTTGACTTTTAATTTTTTTTTCCTTTGCTTCATCTAGAATTTCGCTGGAGCTATTAGGAGGTGAAGATCTGAACCAAGTTCTCTATCCAATGACCTGTTCATTTGTCCAAATATTCAAGCAGCCTATTTTGATCTAAGTTATCATATGAACTCTTTCTATCTATTCTGTTCTACCAATTTGTCCCATTTTTACCCAAACCTGTCAACCCCCATAGCATCATGAAATGTTTAGATATTGTAACTTGTAGGGTGAGTTTTTACACTTGATCTTAGCCAAAAGGCCGAGAAGCGACAGGGTGAGTTTTTATATTAGCATGATTTCTCAAAAGTTTATTAGCTAGTCTAGGCCAGGCGCGGTGGCTCACACCTGTAATCCCAGCACTTTGGGAGGCCGAGGCGGGCGGATCATGAGGTCAGGAGATCGAGACCATCCTGGCTAACACAGTGAAAACCCGTCTCTACTAAAAATACAAAAAATTAGCCGGGCGTGGTGGTGGGCGCCTGTAGTCCCAGCTACTCAGGAGGCTGAGGCAGGAGAATGGCGTGAACCCGGGAGGCGGAGCTTGCAGTGAGCCGAGATTGCGCCACTGCACTCCAGCCTGGGCGACAGAGCGAGACTCCATCTCAAAAAAAAAAAAATAGTTTATTAGCTACTCTTAATTTGTTTATTCTTTTAGATGATTATTGGTATCCTTTTTCTTAACTTTGACTTGAACTGGGATTTTGATCAAAATTACCCTAGAACAGTAGACATAACATCTTTAAATATTTAAACAGAATAATACAGGTTGAGCATCCCAAATCCCAAATCCAAAATTCCAAACTTTTTGACTGTCAACGTGAGGTTCAAAGGAAACGCTCATTGGCGCATTTCAGATTTTGGAATTGCGATGCTCATCCAGTAAGTATATATAATGCAATTTTATTTCAAAATCTGAAATTCTAAACACTTCTGATCCCAAGCATTTTGGATAAGGGAGACTCAATCTCTAATAATGATTGAGGGCAGGGCTATTTCAGGCACTGCACTAAATACTTAGTTCAAGCTCCTTTATACTTAATCCTTACAATCACCAATACTATTGTTATATCCATTTGGATATATTGGAAAGATGTAAACATACTTGAGAGATTAATTAAGTGTCCAGGATCACATAACACTTACGAGAATCAAGATTTGAACCCAGGTCTGCAATAATGCAAAGCCTGGATTCTTAATTATTAGGTTGGCTTGAAATATGGTATCCTCAAAATTTATGTAAGTTTTTCAAATTTATCAAGTGTTACAGTTTACTTCACATAGGTCATTTGTGTTTATTAAGGTAATTTCCAAGAACTTTATGTGGTTTTGTTTCTAGTATAATTAGATTTTTTCCTTAATTGGCCAGTGTTAGCAATAAGGAATGCAA
This sequence comes from Homo sapiens, assembly GCF_000001405.40. Lineage (NCBI taxonomy): Eukaryota > Metazoa > Chordata > Mammalia > Primates > Hominidae > Homo > Homo sapiens. Next base: position 13,774,878 of record NC_000020.11, read on the forward strand.
TTTATTGTTAAAAACACTTCTTATATGCTGTCCCTTTACTGAGCTTTTATTTCTTTGGATTTTTAATGTGTAAACAATCATATAACCTATCAATAATAATAATTTCACCTCTTCCTTTCTAACATTTATACCTGTTACATAAGTTTCACACTCAATTGGATTGGACAACTTCCACAGTATTTTCCTAAAAAGGAAAACTATGGCCAAAAAAAAAAAAAAAAATCAGATTTAACTTAAAATGCCTAGAAATATTTATTTCAAAATGAAATCAATTCTCACCTTGACGGAAAATATTACACCTCCTTTGGGTTTAAATGAATTGAACAGAGCCAGCAAATCTTTTGCCTTTAATCTATCCCAGTCCATGTTACAAACTGCTAATCGACGTGTAATCTGAGAAATGAGAAGAATTAAATAGTACATAATCCATATCATTCTCAATACTTGAAAAATAAAGATTCTAAAAATGTAATGCCTTCTGTCCCCTATGCTCTGAAATTAATAGTACAGGAGTTATCTAAGCGTAATTCAGTATATAAAAGAGAACTTCAAATGAGCCAAACAATAGTAAAACCATAACAGGTAAGTACTTTCTCTTACTTGGTTCTTAATTCTTAAATCAGAACATGATCATGAGCTGATTTTTTAACCACCAAGTTTGTTCAGCTATTTTGCCATGCATGCATGAGTAAGGAAGTTGAGTATGTTACCCTGCAACATTTCTTTTGGGTGCCGTACAAACAGAAATACAAACTACTAGCTAAAACAAGTATTAAAAATTTCATGCAACTTTTAATTATTTATGTAGAGCCTCTTCTTATCTGCTTGGACGTCTTCTAGTTCATATAATTATATTCCATATCAAATTTTAATCAGAATCATAAAGAATACTATTACCAATAAGCTTTTCCCACTTAATGACATCAGTTCTACCAGCCATAAAAGCTGCTTGTACTGTGTTTTTCACAAATAATCTTGTTTATTCAAAAGGTTACCTCATCAGCACGAGGAGCATCTTTATCTAATTCTCTCCAAGCATGCTCAAAACCAGATTCTTCTGGAAACAAATCTGCCGTATCATCTTCATCTTCAGAACTAGTTTCTATATTTCCTTTACCCCTTGCAAGATCAGGGCCACTGTCACTTTTATCATCATCCTCACTATCCTCATCTTCATCCTCCTCTTCATCTTCATCCTCCTCTTCATCATCTTCACTTCCATCGTCATCACCTGAAGCTCTACCAACACTTGTAATTTCATTTTCAGATTCCTCATCACTTCCTATTTCACTAACGCTTTCTGAATCTTCCTCCAGAGCATCTTTGTCACACATTTCACCATCTGTTGAGTTTTCATAACCATCACTGTCTCTTGTCATTATGAGTTGAACCACTGCAAAATGTTAAAGGGGAAAGAAATTAAGAAAAGATATATGCTGAATTAAACTGAATCCAAATTATCTTGACATCAACTCCAGTAAAAATATAATTTCTATGAAACACAGTAAAGACAAATATATATTCAGTAAATGCTTAGTCAATTTTTATGATAGAAATCCTAACCATAACTTCTATGAAACAGAGTAAAGGAAAATACACTTAACCAAGTTATTTAATGGAAATCCTAACACATGCTCACATCACGCAAGTAGATCCAGACATTCATTCAATACTTAACAGTGTGCCTGCTACGTGCTAAGTGCTCAATATACAACAGTTGGTAAAAGAGAAGCAAACAGTGCTCTCAGTGAAACTTCTAGCTGAGTGAAAAGAATACATGGATATCAAATAAAATCAATATATAGGAAAAGTTAAAATCACAACTAAGATATCCCAGAAAGAATGTTTTCTAAGGGGATTTAATGGGGTCCCTAAGTGAGTGATAACTGAGCTGTTACTTGAAGGATGAACAGGAGTTAAATAGTCAAAGTTAGACTAATAGATGGAAATTTGTTTGAAAGAGCAAGGAAGGTACCTGTAAAAATCTGCCAATAGGAAAAAGCCAACCATCATGTCCAGATCACAGATAGCACAGAATCAAGTAACAAATGGAAATGAAGAGTTAAGTAGAGGCCAAGCTATCAAAAAACCATATAGAGAGCTTGGACTTTTTCATAAAAGCAATGGGAAGACACTGCTGTTTTCAAAAAAGAGGATGTCATCTTCTTTTGGATATTGTCATCCTCAGACTTGCATATTGAGGAGATCACCTTGACTATACTGTAGAAAACTGACTTGGGAAAGTAAAGAACAGATGTGAATATAGTAAAGGTAGTACAGTACAAAAAGCAAGAAATGAAGGTAGCACTAAGTTGGGTGGCAGTATGTATGCAGAGATGTACATGGATTTCAGAGTCAGTCAGGAAGTGAAACCAATAATTACCGACTGGAGATTTGACACGGGGACTGGGAGTTTTGGAAGTGTCAAAGATGAGTCATAGCTTCTTAGCTTTCAGAGCTAGTTAGCTAAGAAGATGGAAAGATGAAAAGGGAACACTGGAAATGAACTAGTTTGTTTGGTGGAGGGAAATCATGAGTTCAGTTTTGAATATGTTGAATACGAAGTGCCACTCAGTCATCTAAAAGAAAGTATCAATAATAAGAGTGTACAGCTCAGAGAAGTCTGGGTTGGAGATCAGTGACTCATTCATACGCAGTTGACAACAGAAGCTGTGATGTGGATGAGATCACCTATAAAGACAGAGAAATAATATTTATACTTTTTCTGCCAGGTCTTGAACTTTGTAATCAACTGTCATGATTAGCAATACACCAAGATTGAAAGACTGTTTTTGCTTAAGATGGAAATTTTAGTCCTCACAACTCTGAAAGGGCTCATTTCCTACTTCTAAAGCAATCACAGGCTTCTATCTACTTGGTGTGTAGATATATCTTACGTGTTTTACTCATCTTTAAGTTGGAGCTTATTTTCTGCTTACAGGCTCTAAGTTTGGAAAATTAAAAGCAAATTTAAAAGTTCAAGATTTAGAATGAAATTGGAACTAATTTTCTCTTGGTCCTATAATCTTATAATAGTTATTCACTGACCAAATATTTACTGAGTATCTACTACATACAAAGAATTGAGCTAGGATAAGGGAAAAGAGAGAAGATTTGTAACACGATCTCATGCTCTTGATGGATTCATAAATAAAAGGTAACCATTTACTGATTTATAAATCTATGTTCTCAATCACCATACAGTGAGAGACATCTAAATTTGCCTGCAGAGAGGTATTTATAAAAAGGCTTCACAAAGATACAACTTGACTTGAGACTAACTGAATGAAAAGGCATCTTGTTAGAAGGAAAAGCAGGAAATGGGCTTTTATGTTACCACCACAACGAAGCAGGGATTAATAAAAATAACTAGCCAATAGAAGTGAAAAGCGCCAAAATGAAAGCATTGTCACAGGTTCTATATATGAGATCTGAAAAACACAACATTGAAAGTTACTATGAGGTAAGCAGAATTTACTTTTAAGCAACAAGCTTAGAAATAACATCTTACAGACCCAGTCTATCTAGTATTGCAATATTTCTCAACTGTCAGTCATTATACCATTTTCATGATTTTTGAATATCATTTTTTTATTAAATTGAATTTTTTAAAAGTTAGTTTTGCTCTAAACAATATTCCTAAAGTCACAGAAGTGATAGGGTAATTACATTGTTTTCTAAGATGTTGACACAGTACATAACTATTAATATTTTAGAAGTTTGAGTATCATCAAAAATCTTCTCACTTATGACAATGGTACACATACCACACTTTGGGTTATATAATAATAAAGTGTTGCATAAGAGACTTAAAGAGGTCTTCCATTTCAATGTTTTTAACAATATCAACTGCATTCAGAGTATTTATTCATTCAATAAGTATCTGCAGCCGAGCACAGCTGCTCACGCCTGTAATCCCATCATATTAGGAGGCCAAGATGGGAGGATCTTGAGCCCAGGAGTTTGAGACAAGCCTGGGCAACATGGCAAAACTCTTTGTCTCTACAAAAATACAAAAATTAGCTAGGCATGGTGGGGTGCACCTGTGGTCCCAGTGACTCGGAAGGCTGAGGTGGGAGAATCACCTGGGCCCAGGAAGTTGCGGCTGCAGTGAGCTGTGATTGCACCACTGCACTCCAGCCTGGGCAGCAGAGCGAGACCCTGTCTCCAAAAATAAAAATAAAAAACCCCAAAAAGTATCTGCTTAGAGCCCACAATGTACACAGCCTTGTGCAAGATAATGTGGGGTTACACAAATATAAATGTCTCTATTCCTAGACAGTATTGCTCTAGTAGTGACTGTAAACATTACTACTTATCCAGCTACTTCAAACAAAAAACAAAAAAAAACCAAAAAAACTGCTTTACCATTTTCCCCCAATTATAAACATAATGAATGATCATTACAAACCAAAAAAAGTTAGGAAAATATGGTTAATAAATAAAACAAAGGTGACTAGCAGTAATTTTTCATTCAAAGATAACTGGTTATTTTAGTATACAACCATATCCCTAAATTTCTTTTCTTTAATTTAAATACTAATTTGTTTAAAATAACTGGTCATATCGTTATTTTGGAACCTATTTTTAAAACTTCATAGATCACAGATGTTTGCATATATTTAATTAATCTCTTAATGATTTGTTACCATTTTAATTTCTATTTTCATTTTTTGAGACAAGGTCTTGCTCTGTTGCCCAGGCTGGAGTGCAGTGGCACGATCTTGGCTCACTGCAACCTCTACCTCCTGGGTTCAAGTGATTCTCGTGCCTCAGCCTCCCAAGTAGCTGGGATTACAGGTGTGCACCACTATGCCCAGCTAATTTTTGTATTTTTAGTAGAGACCGGGTTTTGCCATGTTGGCTAGGCTGGTCTCAAACTCCTGACCTCAAGCAATCCACCCGCCTCGGTCTCCCAAAGTGCTGGGATTATAAAGGTGAGCCACTGTGCCCAGCCAGTTACCGTTTTATTTTAAAAATAATGCTGCAATGCACATTCTTTGCACACATCCAATTATTTATGTAAAATAGATTCTGAGGAGTGCAAGTGCTGGGCATGAACATTTCATGATGACAAATATCACACTGCAAGTCCTCACATCACCTTTACTTCACAGCACTTAAAAAGGCCCTTGCACACAGTAATTGCTGTAATAACTGATGAATGGATAATGAACAGAAGATTATATATGGAGCCGTGTAATCCTTATTTATGAGTAATGCCTTTCCTAGACTGTGGAACCAACAAAATTACTGCAAGCAATGTGGTGGGGTAGAAGGAGTCAGAAGACTTGAGTTGCAGTTCCAGGTCTGCATGTCCTTACATAAGTCACTTTAATCTTGTTCGCTGATACAGTCTTATTGCTCAAGGTAACTAAGAAAATTAAATGAGAAAAGATATGTAAAAAAGTCTGTAAAATCAATCTAAAGGATTATATAGCTATGTTATATTAATTCAGTGCCCCAAATGAAGTGGATGCTAGACTAACTTACCTCACTAATTCAGTGTCAAATCAACTTTGCTGCCGGTCCCACTCCAATCTTATTCTTCAATTTTAGTAACCGGATTCCTATCCTTTCTTCCCACACCTCAAGAGGTCTGCTGCCTGGTTCCACTACAAATGTAAAATGGGATACCACCACTGACTCCCTAGTCCTTGCTATCCAGAATTCACTCCACTGCCTGATACCTTCTACCCTCACAGTGTGATCTCTGCTTATCAAGACCTCTTGGCCTATCAAAACCTCTTGGCCTATCAAGAACTCTTGGGCTATCAAGACCTCTTGGCCTATCAAGACCTCTCGGCCTATCAAGACCCCTCCTTGGATCCTGTAATCACAGGTCTGGCTCATGTGAACTACTACTGGTTTTCAGTTACATCTTCAACTATCAGCAACATCAACACTCAAAATTGCTTGCTGCTGGAGGTGACAAAAAATTTTAATTAGTAAACACGTAATGCAAACTAGAGCCAGCTGTCTCTCACCTAGTTCCAAACAATCATTTCTCGCTGCTACTCATTTTGGCCCTTCAAGACCTTATTATCTAATCAAACGGGACTACTGACCTCTTCTGAACATGCCCAATCACATCTTTGCTCAAAAAGTTCTTTCCATGTAGCACACTCTGGTCCTCAAACTTAAATTTTTCCACACCCCAAAGTAGTGCGTCCCCTATGAATTTTTCTGATTACCACATCTTGAGTGACTTCTTCCTCCAGATTTCCATGGCTTTCTGCTAAACATCTTTTACGGCACTTACTATTATTGCATTTTGTATTATGGTTCTGACTTTCTTCTACTTTAGATCTATATTGTCCAATATGGTAGCCAGTAGTCACATGTGGTAACGGAGCACTTGAAATGCGTTTTGTCTAACTTGACATTAATATGAAAATAGTATTAGTATGAAATGAGTAGAAAATGGGATGTAAAATATACATTGACTTTTATATTGATTACATATTGAAATAATTTTGATATATTGGGTTACATAAAATATATTATTTAAAATAATTTTACCTGTTTCATCTTACTTTTTAATGTGGTTACTAGAAAATCCAAAATTATGTATTTCTACTAGACAATGTTGCTTTAGACAGGGGCCACTGCACAAAGTTTAGCAGGCTGTTATCCGCACAGGGGCATTTATAAAAGGACAAGAAGGGCTAAAATCAAGGCCATCCTACACTCACCAAGCCATGCACTCTGGAGGGGGCTGTGTCTGCTCAGGGGCAAAAAATCTGTTGCTTCAAAGGCGCCATCTCTTCACCAAAGTGTGACCCCTGGGAGCTCTGTGTGTCCAGAGAGCATGCCTTTTTCTAATTTGCATAAAGGCATCATATAAGCTAGCGACAGCCCTGAGATGGGTGACGACGCCTTACTCATATTCTGCCTGCCACATACTAGTGGCAAAGCAACTGAACAAATTAATGAATGAGTACTCAACTCTACTTACCCTCTTATTTTATTTTTGAGACGGAGTCCTACTTACCCTATTTATTTTATTTTACTTTTGAGACAGAGTCTCGCTCTGTCAGCCAGTCTGGAGTGCAGTGGTGCAATCTCAGCTTATTGCAACCTCCACCTCCCAGGTTCAAGCAATTCTCCTGCCTCAGCCTCCCGAATAGCTGGGACTACAGGTGTGCGCCACCATGCCTGGCTATTTTTTTTTATTTTTAGTAGAGATGGGGTTTCACCATGTTGGCCAGGCTGGTCTTGAACTCCTGACCTCAAGTGATCTGCCCGCCTTGGCCTGCCAAAGTGCTGGGATTACAGGCGTGAGCCACCATGTCCGGCCTACTTACCCTCTTTAGACACATCTCTTCTTATCATGTGATGACATATAACACTTTATCTGGTTAGAGAATATAGTTCTCATTAGGGCTCACCACTAATCAAAATCACTGTTTAACTTCAAGATTCAAATTTTCATGTCTGTCTTCTAGCACCACATCAAAAATTAATAATCACTGCATATTTCTTTTATAGCTTTGTATTTCCAGATAAGCATTTGACCATTCCATAATACTATGAAAATACTTATTAATGTGTTTACATTTTTGAAAGATCAGTATAAAAATAAATAATGTAACACCCAAGAATCTCTAATTTTTTCCAACCTACCTGATTGCATTTCTCTTCTTGTCTTAGAACACTCGATTCTGGGAGATTTCACAATTTCAGAGGTGCCTGAGTCTAATGTCCTTTGTTTTTCTTCGAGAGAAGAGTCTGTAGTATGTTGAACAATGTTTTTTTTCTCTTTCTTATTTTTTTGTGTAAATTCTTTGCTATCCTTCTTCGGACTTATGTTTGAATCTATCTTAAATTTACATGAGGTTTTCATTTTTTTAATTCCTATAGAATTATCTAAATCAGTTTTATTTTCAGAACCCTTGTGATTAGCCTTCTTGGTTTCTTTCTTTTTCTCAACTAGATTTTTTGAATCGATTTCTTTTTTAGTCTGGGTTTTTTTCTTCTTTATTTTCTTTTGACTCAATGCTTTGCTATCTTCACCAGAGAGATTGGAATCAGAATCTGAAAGGTCGTAAAAACGCTTCAAATCCTCTGTAGTGCTATGGCTAATGGGGCGCCCTCTTTTATCCACGGCATAGTTCAACTTGAACTTCTTGTCATGAAACATGGCTCGAAATCTCTTGTCAATTTTGACTTTTCGATCCTTTTCTGGCATTTCCCAAAATCTCGGGTCCTTTGCAACCCGTCTAAACCGCTGGTCACTCATTATTTCTTGTTTGGATGACATTTTTAATTCTTAATCTCGACCAAATGCTTGAAGAAAACAAATACTGAAAAATAAAACAAATGTTTTAATGGTAATAATGGTTAGTACAATAATTAAATGTTTTAAAACACATTCACAATATATTCTAAGTTAATATATTCTAAGTTAAGTGTACATAAAATAGAGGTAACAAGTCTAATTTCATCTCTCCAACGTATTCTGGGTCACATGCAAAAAAGCAGAAACATACCAAAATATCCTCTTTCCATGACAGATCATTTAGAGAAATAAACTTAAGGTAGACAAAGCAGAATCCCAGGGCTTTATGGAGGGGAACAAATGTTTATTCATCCATTGCTCTCACTTAGAATTTCTATTTGTATACCAGTATGTGTTACTAATTGAAGGCAAATGTAGTTAAGATTCCCTAGGCCGAGTGCGGTGGCTCACCAGCACTTTCGGAGGCCAAGGCGGGCGGATCACTTGAGCCCAGGAGTTCAGGACCAGCCTGGGTAACATGGTGAATCCCCACAAGAAATACAAAAATGAGCCCGGCATGGTGGCGCGCGCCTGTAGTCCCAGCTACTTTGGAGGCTAAGGCAAGAGGATCACTTCCACCCGGGAGGTCTTGGCTAGAGTGAGCCTAACGGCACTACAGCACACCAGCTGGGGCAACAGAGTGAGACCCTGTCTACCAAAAAAAAGTAAGAAAGAAAGATTCCCTAGCCTCCGTTGGCCTCATTTGTTTCTTCACATTCTGGTCTCATTCTGCTTACTCCTTATCTCCGGCTACTGCCAACAAACAGCCTTTAGTTCTGTAAGACTAGCATTCTAACTAAACAGACCAAAATCAACTCAGGTTTAGCTAAGAAAGTTTCCTTTTTAAATTCGATCATCCTTCAAAAGTAATAAAAAGTTTAAAAATAAAAAGTAAATTTGAGTCTCCAGGTAAAGTCTCACACCAGTTAATAAATATCACTTCTTTCTATAATATCTGATTCTACCAGTGATGAAGGCCCAAGTGAGCTCATTCCCCCAAAACATACTAGAACATATACATATGTGTGTATAAATTAATATTGTTCCCTTGTGAAAAGTCTCCAATGGTTTAGCATCTCTGGATGGGAATTTTGCAAAGAGCCAAAAGTCGTTGATTATTAAGCAACCCCCCCCCAAAATGATTAAAAGGGCAATATTTCTTATTTAAAAATCAAGTCCTTTTAATTACACTAACTAGGAAAAAAAAGGAAGCTATCGCTGGTGCATTTACACATTTTTCGATGTATTACAGCACTTAACTCTCTGAGCAATCTTACGAGGTAGGTACCACCTCAACCAGGAGAAGTACTGCATGTATTGTAAATGTTTAGAAGGAAAGCACTCATTATATGTCAGATAATCCGAGAGAGGGGAAGGCGACCGGACCTCACTCCCGACACGCGCCCGCATCCCCGTAGCCCACCCTCCCCTTCTGCCCGCTCTCTAATTCGGAGAACACAGGGCTGGCCCCTGAACTAGGGTCTCCTTTCCACCTCCTGTACCGCAGGGGGGCAGCTAACAGACTGATTCGAGAAGCGACCCTGAAAAGGATCGATGAAGACTGAAGAATGAGACCGAAAAAGGCTCAGGAGGAAGGGGCAAAACCCCTCGCAGATCCGAAAGAGATCCTGTTAGAGACTAGTTTTTTCCCCGCGCCACACACACACACGCCCTCAAGCCCTTCATCTCGAGCTCTTCAACTCCAGTCCATCCCCACTCACCGTCCGCAGTCCTACCAAGCCTCACGTGGGGCTCACACCCACAATCCTCCGCGTGACGCTCCGCCGTAATGGCAAGCGAACTAGGCCAAACTACTTGCACGTTCCCTCGAGAAGATCTTTGGAGTAGACACAAAAGCCGCGCTGGCGCATGCGCACAAAAAGCGCCGGCAATTGGGGTCGCAGCTGGAGATGCTGCGGCCGGCAGGGCTCTGGCGCTTATGTCGGCGACCTTGGGCGGCGAGGGTCCCAGCGGAGAATCTTGGCCGTAGGGAAGTCACCTCTGGTGTCTCTCCCCGCGGTAGCACCTCGCCCAGAACCCTGAATATTTTCGACCGGGATTTGAAAAGGAAACAGAAGAACTGGGCAGCCCGGCAGCCCGAGCCGACCAAATTTGACTACCTGAAGGAGGAGGTGAGCCCGCGGGGCGGCGGGGCGGCGGGGCGGGCGACGCGGAGGCTTGTTTTCCTCTCCGCTAGTTCCGGCTAGGCCCCGAGCTCACCCCACCTAGCCGTCTGACCTTGACCAGCAGCCCTGCCTCTTTCGGCCTCTACTGTAATCACGCAAGGCCTGGCCTCGGATATTTGTAACATGCTTTCATTCATTCATGCATTCATTTCGGCAACGTCCTTGAGGCTGAAAGGACCTTATAGAGGCCTCCAGTGAAGCTCCGGAGAGGGAGAGAGTGGGAGAGAAGGTTAGGAGGACCCAAATCATCAGGGCCTTGCAGGATAGGGACTTGGGGTTTTCTTCTGTATCTGCACTGTCCAGCCAGTATGGTAACTGCCGGCCACACATGTGGCTGTTGAACACTTGAAAGGTGACTAGTCCAATTGAGATGTGTTGTAAAATACACACGAGTATAGTGACTTAGTATGAAAAAAGGATGTAAAATAGCTCATTAAGAGCTTTTATATTGATTACATGTTGCAGTGATTATTTTTGATATATTGGGTCACATGAAATATATTAAATATAAATTTAAATTTTTCAATTAAAATTTCTCTCGTTTTTACTTTTTTTCTTATGTGGCTACTAGAAAATTTGAAATTACATATGTGGCTCTCATGATTTTTGGTCAGCACTGCTCTAGGGGAATGTGAAGCTCTTGTTTTAATCAGTGGAGTGATCTGACTTATGTTTTAGGAAGATCAAATTAAGATTTCTGATTTGTCTTGGCTCGTTTGAGAAACCTTTCTCCCTGCCCAGGTGAGCCAGAGACTGAGGGTTTCTACTTTCAGGACACGCATTCTCAAGTTCAGGCCTCAGTAAATTTTTATTCAGGAGTGGAACAAAGTTGGAGTCAAGTATAATGCAACAAACAGTTATTGAACTCATAGCTTGAGCAGAGCTCTGTGCAAGTACAGGTCTGATCAGATGATTGACAGGGTGTCTTTCTCAGGAAGTCTTAGGCTGGTAATGTCTATTATAGGAAGTTTACTACCAATAAATTTTTTGTGTCTCACTTGTAAGGCATGGTGCACGTACTACACTGCTGATGTCGTGTACTTAGAAGATGTGCGCTCATAGCCCTTTCCCTCCAAAGAAAGCACCTGGACTACAACTTGATTGAGGCCTCGCCAATTTGTGAGACTAGAACAAATAAGATAAAGTATATGAGAGTTCTTTTTATAATAAACATAGGGTGTTCATATTAGGAATGACGTACAAGGTGGACTCCTGGGAAAAACATCTACGCTCCCTTCTCCCTTGCCCTTCTCTCAAAAAGCAGGTACATCTGTGTTTGGAACTTTTAAGTCCTAAGAGCAACTCTGGGGTGTTTATGAGGGAATGAGTGGAATGTGGGGAATACTAGACTCCCACGTCTTTATTGCTACCAGATGAAGCTAGGCCAGCAAAAGGTGGTGCTTACCTTATGACTCTTAAATTGGGATGGGATTGGAGCAGGGGAGGTGCACTTTCCTCAGATTTGGCTTTTTCTAACTTGCGAATGTCACTCAGAAAAGTTGTTCATTTATGAGTTCCACAAAATTTGTTAGTCATCAAATAATAGAGTTTTTCTTAAGTGACCACTTACATACTCATCTACAATAAACCCCAACTAACTAATTTTTCACTTTGTGTACCTCATGCTAATATCCGTGGACAGTAATGTGCCTGTTGTGTTCCTTTTGCTTTTCATCCTTGTGATCTTATGTCACATGGAATGTAAAGGCCACATATATATATGTGTGTGTGTGTGTGTGTATATGTATATTTTTAAGAATATTTAGTCTGGATTTCATGAAATTGACTTCTGAAATAATTTGCCTCAATTTTGTTTCCTGGTGGTTTGAGAAGAAAGTTCCTGTGGTGAAATTGAAAAGGGGATAAAGGGAAGTACTTATTTTAAAACATAAGTAACTTGTGGATTGTTGAATACTGGAAAAAGAGTGTTACTTCCCCGTTAACCTACGCCTCGTGTAATCCTTCAGGTTGGAAGTCGGATCGCAGACCGTGTATATGACATACCCAGGTAAGTGGTGGTGATCATAATACAATACCATCAACTTTTGAGTGGAAATTCAGGAGATTAAATGCTGAGAACTTGCTATCTGAAATGGCAGAACCTGGAAGAATTTACTCAGACTGGTGATTTAAATCACTCTGTAAGTCTCCTTTTTCTTGTCTGGAGAGCAAATGTTTTCTTCATTGTTGCCTGAAAAAAGAAAAGAATGTGTGGAAGCACAACTCGTATCTATCTCCAAGCCTGAATCCACTTGATTTGGCCAAAAGCAAGTAATAGAAAGATTGCTCCAAAAATGGAGATACTTAACAACATGCGAATTTTTAACATCCGAAGCCTCTGTACCTAACTGTGCCATATTGCCTGTGTTCATCATCAAGATATAGGGCATTAGGTAAATAAGGTTATCTACCACCAGGGATTCTCCAGCTATGTACTATAATTTTGACAAAGCTTTTTAAAAACAAATTGCAATGGGGCTCTTTTTGTTCCAGTTTTTCAGGAAGAATGTTCTTAGTAGATAAAATTTTAAGTTTTCTTATTATAGGTTTTTTTTTTTAAACCTATGGCCTACAATTAGATGTCTGTACCAATGTAGCATAACATAGTGTATTTAGAGGAGACAGCATGGCATGGAGGATAATAGTTCCAGCTCAGGATTCAGACTGACCGAATTCAAGTGTTGACTGCCCCTTGTTAGTTGAGGCACTTGGTTTGACTTACTTAGCTTCAGACACTTAGCACAGTACTTTGAACCTGGTACGTTTTCAGTAAAAGTTTAACTGTTACTTAAGTTCTTATTTTTTAGTTTAACATTAATACTTAATGGTATTTCACATGATGATTTCTAAGTATTCCACTGCTTCAAGAAGTCTGAGAAATAGGGATAATTATTGATAAGTATGTCAGTTATTTTCAAGTTAATTTACATTAGCTTCTTTGCATTCTTTATCTGGATGTATTATTGAGTTAAAATATCCTCATTAAATCTGTTCTTCGAGTCCACATCATGGAGCCACCTGGTGGAAAGCTGGCTCATCACAAGGTCCTGTGAATAGCTAGCAGACAGACTTGCCTTGTACTGTAGGCTCTGGTATATACAGCTTGTAAGGTGAGGCTGAAAAGGCAGATGATGTAACCTTCTGGAAGTTGTGTTTACTGGAATGATTTTACCTAAGAAAAAATAATTCTTAATTTATAGACTGTGTTATGGACAGAGCATAACCTCTGTGTCTTTTTTTTTAGAAATTTCCCCCTTGCTTTGGATCTTGGTTGTGGAAGAGGTTACATTGCACAATATTTGAATAAGGTATATTTATTCAATGACCTAATTTACTTTGAAAAGTAACATTGGCTAATTTTAAAGAAAGACTTTCCTAATCAGTTTAGCTTGCAACATATTTAGATTTTAATTATATCAGAATTGTTAATTTGTTTTTTTTTTTAAGTGGTAGAATCAATGGTGGTTTTCTCCCTTCTTTAGAATTTTTTTCTTAAAGGGTTTTTCTCTGAATCCATTATATATTATGTTTCTACCGATAATTTATTTGAATCTATAGAAGATATATTTCTCTTTGTTCACATTTTTTTATAATTACCATAAAAATCAGATTGGCATTCATACAGAAAATGTGACTTTTAGCTAGAAAAATATTAATTTTATCAGTTGATTAGAAATCTTTCTGTATCATTAAATATAAGTAGCTTTATTAATGCTTATAACATTGTATTTTGCACTTTATAATTCAGACCATGAAGACATTAATTTATTCTTTTAGCTCCTATCTATACGATATTGTGCTGGACACAAAGATGAAAGTGGAATTTCTTTTTTTTTCTGAGATGGAGTCTCACTCTGTTGCCCAGGCTGGAGTACAGTGGCACGATCTCGGCTCACTGCAACCTCTGCCTCCCGGGTTTGAACGATTCTCCTGCCGCAGCCTCCCAAGTAGCTGGGATTATGGGGGTGCACCACTATGCCCTGCTAATTTTTGTATTTTTGGTAGAGATGGGGTTTCACCATGTTGGCAAGGCCGGTCTTGAACTCCTGCCCTCAGGTGATCCGCCTGTCTCGGCATCCCAAAGCGCTGGGATGACAGGCGTGAGCTACTGCGCCCAGCCTTAAAGTGGAATTTCTTTTTTTTTTTTTTGAGACAGAGTCTCGCTCTGTTGCCCAGGCTGGAGTGCAGTGGTGCAATCTCAGCTCACTGCAAGCTTTGCCTTCCAGGTTCATGCCATTCTCCTGCCTCAGCCTCCCGAGTACCTGGGTCTACAGGTGCCCGCCACCACGCCTGGCTAATTTTTTGTATTTTTTAGTAGAGACGGGGTTTCACCGTGTTAGCCAGGATGGTCTTGATCTCCTGACCTCATGATCTGTCCGCCTTGGCCTCCCAAAGTGCTGGGATTACAGGCGTGAGCCACCATGCCCAGCCTCATAAAGTGGAATTTCTACGTAAAATCTGCTTAGATAAAACCATAGACTTGGGCCAGGGTGAGGAAGGGAGTGGTGGGGCTCCTAAAACACTATTATTGGTAATAGTAAATGCCATAGAAATGGTGCAGTCATTAAAGTGCAACAGGAATTAGGGGAAAAGAAAAAATCAGTAGGAGTTCATGTGGTCAAGGATTCTCAGGGGGCACAGAATCTGACCTGGGATTTGAAAGAATTTGAGTTGGTGGTTCCTAGCATTGGAAATCAGGGCATGGCAGGAGGAAAGGCACAGAGGTAGAATGCTGTAGGGTGTGATATAGTGATGTTTAAGGAAGATTAATCTGGGGATGGCATTCGAGAAAGATTGAAGAAGAGAAAGGGTAGAGAAACCCATCAGAAGGCTGTGTTAAAGGCATTGCAGGCATGAGAAATAAAGGCCTGCCACCCATGCAGAGCCAGCACATATAAATGATGGGATGTATGAGAGAGACCTGGAAGTATCAACAGAACTTGATGACTGATCAGATATGGTAGGCAGAGCAAATCTATTCTTTTAGTAACTCAACGCCAAAAAACATTTTTATTGATTCCTCTTATATCCTTCTCTCCCACATCTAATCCGTCAGCAGCTTTTATTTGCATTTCAAAATATAACCAAACTCTTATGTCTTCTTGCCACCTTCCCCATCACCGTGCTGTTCAGCTATCATCGCCCCTTGCCTAGATTATTGCAGTAGCCTCCTATTGGTCTCCCTGCTTTACCTTTGTCCCTGACAGTCTGTTGTCATGGCAAAGTATCCTCGTAAAACACAAATCAAATCATTGTCAGTCCTCTGCCCAGAACTGTTAGTTTGTCATCTAGTTTAGTAGTAATCCAGAGTCCTAATCTATAAGACCCTCAGGATTCTGTTTTTTTATCATGTCTCTGATCCCATCTTCTTCCTTTCACTCCCAACTTTTCAGCAACCCTGGCCTCCTTGCAGTCTCTCAAACAGGCCAGAGCTTTGCTCTATGCTCTTCCCCAAGGTATCTGTGTGTCTTAGTTGCTCACCTGTCAGATCTTTACTCAGCTGACTTCATCAAAGATTCCTCCCGTGACTGCTTTAGAAAATAGTGCCCCTGCTTTCTGCCGACTAGTTGCTTTATTTGCTTCCATAGCACTTACAAGCTCCTGATGTATGTTTATTTGGTGTCTTTCTTCTCTTACTGGATTTGCTCATTTTTGATCACTACTAAATCCTAGTACCTAAATCACAATGAGTATTTATTAAATGACTATTGCAAGATAACTTTAGAGTTTAAGTTACACCTTTTGTGACTGGAAAATTCAGGGGATGTGATGTGGCAAGGAGCACGGGATCATTCCTGTTTTAGATATGTTGAGTTTGAGATGGCAGTGGAATATGGTAGTATAAATAGCTGGCAGGTAGTTGGAAATGTGGAACTGGAATTGGGATATTGAGGTTAAGAGCATTGACTTGAAGTCAGGGCTTCAAACTTCAGCTCTGCCACTGTCTGTGTATACTCAGACCTTGGGCCAATCAATTGCTCTAGACCTCAGTTTCTATAAAATATGATCAATAATACCCATCTCAAAAGGTTGGTAAGGGGATTAAGTGAGGCAAAGTAAACCTGTCAAAGGAGGCTATAGTTCTTATTTGGAAGTCCCTTTCAGAAGTGACAATTGAAGCCGTAGAAATAGGTAAACTCTCTGAGGCAAGAATATAGAAAAGAACCTTCTGCAATTGTACTTAGGGTTGGGAGAAAGAGGAAGAGCCAATAAAGATGCCAGGAATAGTAAGATGGAAAGTGTCTTAGTAAGGTATCTTTTGATTGTTGAAAGCAAAAATGTGCTGAAGCCAGTTTAAACACAGAGACATTTGTTACAGAGAGGCTCTTATGTAACTCAGGGATCCAGAAATAGAGCCAGGCCTCACAAGAGATGGGAACTTTGAAACACCATAACAATGTTCCTCCTGTTCGCATGCACTCTGGTACTACATGAATGCTGTCTGGTTGCCTTCATTCTTTTTACTCCCTGTAGTCTATCCATAGTAGTGTTCATCAGTGTGTGTGGCCCCATATGAATATGCTACACCCAAGGGTAGCTGAAGCTAGCTTAGGCCAGCCTGTGAGAGCCAATTGTTAGCATCTCTTCCCAACCTCTGTTCTGTGACATCATATTGATAGCTTGACATCAGCCCTGGTGGGAATATTTATACCATGGAAGTTGGCAAATGCTACAAAGCAGTCCCCAACCAAGAGCCAGCACACCACTGCCTATACCCTGAAGTCTAAATGTTCTTCCAACTCCAGGGACCTCTGCTATTATCTCGAAGTCTCTTAGTTCAAATTTTCAAGTGAGAGACAGGGATAGATAATCCTGTCCATCTAATTCTTCACCCCTCACAGGAGTGTGCTGGAGCTGGCTCATGAGAGCTATTGAGCACTCTTCCCAGCTCCATATTTAGCAACATCATGTTGGTAGCATGAAATCTTTCCAAGTTTCAGACAGGGAAGTGGGTGTGGGTAAAGTAAAAAAGGATTGGCTTCTCTAATAGAGAAGGGCAGCCAGAGTAGAAGCTTCTGAAGAAGCTTCTAGTAGGCTGTTGACAATGCTGTGCTTCAAAGAGGTCAGGTGAAGCAGGACTGAGAGCAGTGAGCACAGACTGCAGATAGTGTTAGCAGAGCAGTGAAAGCAAAGAGATACCCAGAATGGGGAGAAAGAATCTAGGAAGAAGTAGAGTTGTGGATTATAAACCAAACAACCAGAAGGTACCTAGAGGGAGGAGATTTTTTGTAATTGGAAAGCTTGTGCCTGTTGTAAGGTGGAGGAAGGAGACACAGAAGACACAGACTAAAGATTGATAGAGATGGAGATGGAGAGAGCAGGATCCCGGAGAAAAGAGGGCTGAGGGGGAAAGAAAGTGTTTTTCTGGTGCAGAAATAGCACAGTCTCCTTTCCTTTTGGAAGGGAGAGAGGGTAGGCGAAACAGGGAAAATGGAACCCTAAGCCTCTACCTGTAAGTCTTTCTTTACTCTGTAAACTCTTTGGATGAACAACTAAAAGGCGGGAAACTCATAGCAGGTCCTTTGTGACACAGGAGTGGGGAAATAGCTCTTAGCATGTTATGCCATGGAAAAGTTAACACGGAAGCCCTCACCCAGTGTAGTAAATTCGGAATGTTGAATACGCATACTCATGTTCTCTATTTTATTACATATAGTTAAATATAGCAAAGGATATGTGTTATTAAAAGTATTTGTGTACCATACTGGTTTTATGCAGAAATATACCTTTACAAAGCTGAAAATTAAAATGTAATTAACACTTTTACCTTTAGAAATGTCAGCAATTGTTTGTGACTGGATTTGTTTGTTTCAGCTTCAGTTATTCCATTGCAGGAAACTATTGGAAAGTTTTTCCAAGCTGACATTGCAGAAAATGCTTTGGTAGGTAGCTTTTTAATACTGTTGGTTTCTAATCTCGTGATGTGTTTTCTCATATTTTATTTCTTTATTTTTATTTCCTTCAAACTAGCTTTCTTTTCTGACACATGAAAAGGAACTCATACAGGAAATATCAAGAACAAAGGAAAAATCACCCCTATCACCCCTAGTCCTACCATTCAGAGGCAACCATTGGTGGCACTTGGTCTCCACATTTGCAGACATATAACTGTCCCCGCCCCCCCAACACACAACTGTGTATGAACATTACTATGCTAATATTCCATGTTATTTACGGCACATCATTTTTTTTGTCAGTGAATTTATACTTATGTGTGTCATATATCATCTTTTTAAATGGCTACATGGTATTCTAATATATGAATACTCCATAGTTTATTTAGCTAAACTTTCTATTGAAGGGCAGTTACGTTTCTAGTTTCTCAATAACCAACACTGCAGTGAAAATCCTTATGTGAAGCCACATTGTATGTTTGATTTATTTTTTTCCGTGGGTATAAATTCCTGGTAGCGGAATTTATGGATTCATTTTGATGTTCATTTAAAAATTTTTTGACATACATCTTCAGACTGCCCTTAGAAAGACTGAACAATGACAAAGGTACTTTTTACTACTTTGCTTTGGCAACACTGGGCCAGCCTTTTCGTCTGGGTCAGTCTGACAGCTGCTGATATCTTTTGACTATTGGTATTTCTTGTGAATTTTGTAAATAATTTTGTGATATGCCTGCACCTTGTCCTCTTTAGCTATCTTGTGTTTTTATTCTAGGTGATTTGTAAGAGCTTGGTTTTTAGGGATATTAATCCTTCATTGTATATGTTGTAAATATTTTCCTCAGTTGTTTACATTGTTTATTGATTTCTATTAATAGAAGTTTTTAATTAGTTTATCATCAAATATATCAGTCTTTTCCTTTACAGTTTCTGGCTTTTGAATTATGTTTACCTAGGCTTTTTCATCTAAGGGTAAAATGTCCAGTCCACCCATATTTTCATCTAGTACTTCGGTTGTTTCACTAAAACTTTCAGCCTTCTTTTTTCTTTTTTTTTTTCTGAGACAGTCTTG
The DNA here is from genome assembly GCF_000001405.40 of Homo sapiens. NCBI lineage: Eukaryota > Metazoa > Chordata > Mammalia > Primates > Hominidae > Homo > Homo sapiens. Next base: position 13,794,312 of record NC_000020.11, read on the forward strand.
CACTGTTGTCCAGGCTGGAGTGCAGTGGTGCGATCTCAGCTCACTGCAACCTCCGCCTCCCGGGTTCAAGCGATACTCCTGCCTCAGCCTCCCGAGTAGCTGAGATTACAGGTGCGTGCCACCACGTCCAGCTAATTTTTGTATTTTTAGTAGAGACGTGGTTTCACCATGTTGGCCAGGCTGGTCTCGAACTCCTGACTTTCAGTGACTGCCCACCTTGGCATCCCAAAGTGCAGGGATTATAGGCGTGAGCCACCACGCCCAGCCAAACTAGCTTTCTGAGATTTGTTTTGGTGTGAGGTTGGTATCCTGTTTATGTTGTTTCAACTAGTTAGCCATTTTTTCTGGCTGATGTTAAGTCATTTAAGAAATGCTTTTTGGGTGCCTTCTCTGTGCCACCTTTGGGAAGGGGGGTAGAAACTGCCAAGTAAATATAACATTGACTTCAATTTAACAAACAGTGATTGTGTTAGTAATTGAGATTCTACATAAATGTGATTTTGATCTTTCGTTTTCTTAACATTAGAAAAATTCCTCAGAAACAGAAATACCTACTGTCAGCGTTTTAGCTGATGAAGAATTCCTTCCCTTCAAAGAAAATACATTTGACCTGGTGGTTAGCAGTTTAAGGTTGGTAATCCACTTTTTAAAAACCATATGTTATAAACAGATCATTCTTGCCATAAAGTTTTGCTATGAGGCCAGGAGCGGTGGCTCACGCCTGTAATGCTAGCACTTTGGGAGGCCGAGGCGAGTGAATCTCTTGAGGTCAGGAGTTTGAAACCAGCCTTGCCAACATGTTGAAACCCTGTCTTTACTAAAAATACAAAAAAGGTAGCTGGGCGTGGTGGCATGCATGAACTTCCTAAAGTTCATCTGTGATAGAAGGTTTTTCTCCCCAGTGCATCTTAATATTTTGGAATTGCTCTTGTTGGGAGCAGGAGTTTGAAAGAGCATATTGGCTCCTGTATTCAAATGTTAGAGCAATTCCAAAATAATAAGTTACATTGGGGAGAAAACCCTTCTATCACAGATGAGTTTAGCAAGTTGGGGGAAAAAAAAGTTGAGGCACTATATCATATTATCTCCACCAGAGAGCATAGAATATATTCTTTCAAACTCCTGCTCCCAACAATCATAACTCATTCTGGACAAATTCTGGACAAACTCATTCTGGACAAACTCAAACTAGGACAGCTAGTTTTCCTTTAGCCTTAATTCTTCTGGCCAGGTACAGTGGCTCTCACCAGCAATCCCAACACTTTGGGAGGCTGCAGTAACAGGACTGCTTGAACCCAGGAGTTCGAGACCAGCCTGGGCAACATAATGAAATGCCATCTCTACAAAAAATTAAAAAATTAGCTGGGCAAGGTGGCGCATGCCTGTAGTCCCAGCTACTTGGGAGGCTGAGGCAGGAGGATCACTTGAGCCTGGTAAGTTGAGGCTGCAGTGAGCCATGATCATGCCACTGCACTCTAGCGTGGGTGACAAAGCAAGACCCTGTCTCAAAATAATAATAATTCTGTACCAGAATGTAGTTCTCAAGATTACTCTTTTCCCTTTATGTTTTCTACTATCTTCCTCCACATATGTTACACAAACATGTAATGCAAGTATATATCAAATAGGTTATAGGATACAAGGCACTGAGCCAGATTTTTGGGTGAATACAAAAATGAATTAGGGATCCTGTCCTCAAATAACTCAGTCTAACAGAAAAAATATCTTTGTGGTATCTTCTTTCTCCTGTCTTATAGTCAAATAGATTTTCTTTCAGAAGTTCAGCAGGCTCTCCACGTCCAGTTCAACTCTTTCGATAGCTGTTTTTAGGGTGACCAGTCATCAAGGTGTGCCCAGGACTTTGCCACTTTTGGCCTGAAAGTCTTATGTTCTGGGAAAGCTGGTCACCCTTGATGTTTTCTTTCGTGAGTGTGTAATTCCTTCCCTGGTTTTTTAGATGTGCTGAACAAAGTTAGAAAACTACTCACATTCTGTCATGAAATGAAAAATATGCAGAGCCTTGGTCTATAAAGAACCCTGGGCAGGGAGTCAGAACCTGAGTTTTTATGTTAGCTCATCTGCTTGCTATTTGCAGGTGACTAATTCTGTTGCTTTCTGTTTTCCCATAAGTATGATAGAGTTTATAGTATGAGCTCCTTAGTTTTTAAAGTATCTAATACTTGTCGAAAAGCATTAGGAAAGATAAACATGAGCTTAACACAGTATGGTTTGAAATGGACATTCAGTTCTGTCCTGGAACTCAGCATAAGGGGAGGCAGTTATACCAGAAAAGTGTGACCGTACTCTAAGGAGACTGGGAATATGACTTTCGCTGTCACGCATGACTACACTCTAGGTGAGAGTAGGGTCAAAAGAAAATTCAAGGCCCGGGCACGGTGGCTCACGCCTATAATCCCAGCCCTTTGGGAGGCCGAGGCAGGCAGATCACTTGAGGCCAGGAGTTCAAGACCAACCTGGGCTACGTGGTGAAACCCTGTCTTTACTAAAAATACAAAAATTAGCTGCATGTCATGGCGCATGCCTGTAATTCCAGCTGCTCGAGAGGCTGAGGCATGAGAATTACTTGAACCTGGGAGGCAGAGGTTGCAGTGAGCCAAGATCGCGCCACTGCACTCCAGCCTGGGCAACAGCAAGACTCTGTCTCAAAAAAGGAAAAAATTTAAGAGATTAAGTTTCAGTGTATACAGCTCTGGTTTTTGTTTGTTTTTATCACCTTAAAAAATGGATGTACCACACACCTACTAGAATGGCCAAAATCCAGGACACTGACAACACTAAATGCGACAAGGATGTGGAGTTCATTATTGGTGGGAATGCGAAATGGTACAGGCACTTTGCAAGATAGGTTGGTTGTTTCCTACAAAACTAAACATACTCTTAGCGTACGATCCAGCGATTGCATGCTCCTTGGTGTTTACCCAAAGGAGATGAAAACTTACGTCCACGCAAAAACCTGCACACAAATGTTTATAGTAGCCTTATTCATAATTGCCAAAATTTGGAAGCAGCCAAGATGTCCTTCAGTAGGTGAATGGATAAACTTTGTTGTATCCAAACAACAGAATATTATTCAGCACTAAAAAGAAACTGTCAAGCCATTAAAATATTTGGAGGAAACTTAAATGCGTATTACTGAATGACAGAAGCTAATCTGAAAAGGCTACATAGTGTGTAATTCCAACTGTGACAATCTGGAAAAAGCAAACTCTGGAGACAGTGAAAAAGATTGGTGATTGCCAGGGGTTGTGTAGGGGAAGGATGAATAGGTGGAGCACAGAGGATTTTTAGGGCAGTAAAGCTACTCTATGATACTATTATAATATTGGATATATGACATTACACGTTTATCCAAACCCTTAGAATATACAACACCAAAAGTGAACCTTAATGTAAACTATGGACTTGGGGGATAATCACTTATCAGTATAGCTTCATCAGTTGTAACAAATATACACTCTGGAGATATTGATAATGGGGGAGGCTGTGCATGTGTGGGAATAGGAGTATGTAAAAAAATCTCTGGGTTTTCCTCTTAATTTTGCTGTAAACCTAAAACTGCTCCAAAAATAATTAAAAATAAAGTCTTAAAAATTGATTTTTTAAAAAATGGGATATTATTGGAAAACTCACAGATTCAAACTTTTGATGAGTTACACTGTTTGCCTTGAAAAAATTTAGATCTGCAGATAATTTTTTTCTAAGAAAGTCTGACTTAGAATAATACTATATTTCTGTAGCTTAATTGATTTAACTGATGAGCTTCTTTGAGCATTTTTACTACTTTTTGCAAATAAGGTCTCAGAATAGCACCGTTTAGATAAAATGCCTAAGTAGGAATGACTTTTACATAATTCAGTGATGAATAATTAGAAAATAATCATATCAGATTCTTTCAGTTACGCAAAGTGATATATTGACATGGGGAATTTTCTGGTGTGACACAAGGCAGGTTTTCCTCTAGGAATATTTATAATTTTAAAACCTGTATGAAAACGATCAGTGGATTTGGATATGCAGTTTTAAACTTCAAAATTAACACCTTTTTATGGGTTATCATTAACCTGGTGATAATTTTACTAATTAATTGTGCCAGTTAAGCTAAAACAAATCTGTATTCTCATATTTTAGTTTGCATTGGGTGAATGACCTTCCTAGAGCACTTGAGCAGGTAAGAAAACTTATGTTCATTCAACTATCTTGTGTTATTTTCTTTATTGTTAGAAATCTACAGATGTTTCTATTTTCACATACTATTTACTTGTAGGTCTGACAGTTGGGAAAGAAATCGGTGAAATCATCTGGTGCCATTTGGCATATTAGTAGTACATTGGGCAACTCTCCTTTCCCTGAGAATTTAAGAAATCTAATTGTAGAGATAAGTTTTAAATATTTATGAAAAGCTTAGGAACTGTGCAAAATAATATTGAAATCATAAGACATTCTCTATGTAGATTTCTTCTTACCCTTAGTTGCCCATAAACTTTTTGCAAGTAGGAACCTACTTATTTATATTTGTATTTTCTCCATGCCTTATACTCAGAGAGTGCTAGGTAAGTTTTTATCGATTGACACGTATCAATAGACAGGTGAGAGGCAGGTAAAAAGTATGTGTTCAAAGGAGAGAACAAGATCCCTGTGGCTTGACATGGCCTAGAAAAGCTTCAAGAGGAAAGTACTTGAGCAGGGCCTTAGAGGGTAGGTAAAGTTTGGATTGGGAAGGCATTCTAAGAAGGCAGAATCACAGGATAGGTGGAGAGGCACAAGAGCTTCATCAGCATTAAGGAACAAAAAGGAAACCTGTTTGGAGGACTAGTATAGTGCTGGGAAGTGAGGTGTGATGTATTGGGACAGTATTTAGGAGGATTTGAGTGTCAGGTTGAGGAATTTGGAGTTTATGCAATTCAGAGCCACTGGAGCATTTTGAAGAGGAAAATGACATCATTATAAAGCTGGTGGGCAAAATAATAATGGCCATATCTGAACACGTATGATTTTCCAGTTTCCCGTTACTGTGCTCTGTTTTATATTTGTGTTAAATAGCTCTGCGAGATGTATTTATTTTGCTGATTAGAAACTGATGCCTCGGCTGGGCGTGGTGGCTCATGCCTGTAATCCCAGTACTTTGGGAGGCTGAGGTGGTTGCATCACCTGAGGTTAGGAGTTCGAGACCAGCCTGGCCAACATGGTGAAACCCCGCCTCTACTAAAAATACAAAAATTAGCCAGGTGTGGTGGCAGGTGCTTGTAATCCCAGCTACTTGGGATGCTGAGGCAGGAGATTCTCTTGAACACGGGAGGCAGAGGTTGCAGTGAGCTGAGATCACGCCATTGCACTCCAGCCTAGACGACAGAGTGAGACTCTGTCTCAAAAAAAAAAAAAAGAAAGAAACTGATGCCTGGAGCAGTTCGTTAAATTGAAGGGAGACTGTTTCAGTGGTCCAAGAATGAGATAAACTAAACCTAGGTGGTAATGGTAGGAGTTAAAAGGAAGAGTATTTAGGACTCTACAAGGAAAGAATCAACAGTTTGGTGACTGATTAGATCTGAAGATCAAAGGGAGGAGGCAAAACTCACTTTGAAGTTTTTGAGTCTGGATTAGTAAAAGTAGGGGAAAGAATGTTAATGATCAGATAAAGGGAATAGAAAATGGCAATAGAAATATGGCAGTTGGAAAGGGGAATTGATTTGATAAATAGATGTTTTCCTTGTAGGGGTTGGAGGGAGCAGGGACGGTGAGTATGCTGAGAGACAAATGTCCAGGGAATAGGCAGTTGAAGATGACTTTGGACTTCTGAGAAGATGGCCAAGCTGAAGTTAGGGATTGGAAAGTGGTCATTGTGAAATCATGGAAGTTGATAAGCTGTCTGAGGGAGAGCGGGGAGCTGCAGAATTCTGAGAACTAAGTCTTAGGTATTTGGTTTAGTAGAGTTTGATGACAGGAGGAGGAAGCAACACTAAAGGTGAAGAAGGGAAGGAACCAAAGCTTTTACAAATTATTTACTTAATACTGCTTTTAATTGCTTCATGACATATTAAATATAAATTTAAGACAGTACTTTTATTAGAAGAGCCTACTGTGATTTGGATTCTGGTTTACTTCAGAATCTACCTTTTCCTGTAATGGTCCTCATTGCTGAGAATAGTCAATCAAACTAGTTACAGCTTGTAGTCTGAGAGTGAGCAAAATCTGTGATTCTGGAATTCTCTCTGGCCATTATTTTCCTTAAGTTACTAATTAGAAATTGGTTTTGTTTTAAAGCTGGAAAATAAATTGATTACTTCTCTTTAACGAAAGGTAATATGTTACTAGGTTAATGCTGTGAATCATAATGATTTCTCTGTAGCTTTTTCTGCATAATAAGGCACCCCAACTTGATGGCTTAAAACAACAACTATGTAGCCCATGATTTTGTGGGTTGGCAGTTGGGGCTGGATTTGGTTAGGAAATCTGGGTCTGGCTTGGCTCATCTGTGTGTCTGTGATCAGCTGCCAGATCGTCTGGGAGCTAGCTGGTTTGGAGGGCCTCGGTGCACACAGCTGGCTGATCTCTGCCCTACATCTCTCCTCCTCCTCTAGGCTAGCTCAGGCTTGTTCACACATCGTGGCTGGGCTGGGCTCCAAGAGAGCAGGTGGAAGCATGCAACACATTTGAGACCTAGACGTGGAACTGGCACACTGTCACTTCCACTGCATTCTTTTGGCCAAAGCGAGTCACAAGGCCAGCCAAGATTCAAGGGGAGGGGAAATAGACTCCCTATCTTGATGAAAGTTGTTAGAAAACGACGTTTCAGAGGCCATAGATGCAGGGAGGTTTGTGATTTTTGCAGCCTACCCCAATTAAATTTTTTTTTCTCTTTCAGCATTTTTCTGATTATAAAACTAAGTTGTATACCTATTAGAAAACTTGAAAACATACAACATATTTTTATAGGCATTAATATTAGTGAATGTATAGTTGTCTTTCCAAGTATATTATGCATCATGATTTTCTGACAGTTGGTTGCATTAGATGTTATTTGTTAAATTATGTGATTATTAATTTGGCAGAATAAAAGTGGTTGTCATAAAATGTTAATTTAGACACTATATATTTATTTTTTAACATTTATATATATAAAAATTTGAATCATTTTGTTTTCTTGTATTTATTACAGATTCATTATATTTTAAAACCAGATGGAGTGTTTATCGGTGCAATGTTTGGAGGCGACACACTCTATGAACTTCGGTGTTCCTTACAGTTAGCGGAAACGGAAAGGGAAGGAGGATTTTCTCCACACATTTCTCCTTTCACTGCTGTCAATGACCTGGGACATCTGCTTGGGAGAGCTGGCTTTAATACTCTGACTGTGGTAACTATCAAGTTCGATTAACCCATAACTTACACAGTTCAAAAAAGAACTTCTTATCATTTTAAAGATAGAAAACTGTATGTGTTCATGGTTTCATGGCACTCTTTCTCTCCCTTTTTTTTTCTCTTTTTAAGGGAAAAGCTCTGATTGACAATGTTTAGTTTGTATAACACATCTTAATTGACACAAGGTAGGAATGTATAATTTTTTACTGTTACCTTAAAAAGTAGCTCAAAAAATGTATCATAGTTAACAAGACAAATTTCTAAACATACAACTCCATTAGAATCTTCAAATCTAGTATTAGGTGTAAAAAGGGCCTTAGAGTATTCCAGATGATAGGAAGAAAAGGGGATAAGTAGGGGAACCTGTAATATTACCACCAATAACTACCCCCAAACAGTGCCATATGAAGCAGAAATGAGAGAATGTGTGTTCTCAAGGCCTAGGGTGAGATCAAGGCTAAAGAAGGTAGGACAGGGTGCTGTACTCCATTAGGGCTAGAGAAATCTCGAAAGAAGACCCATGGGCAATCAGTGAGTAATAAGCATGAAGTCAGCATGGTACGGTGACGGGGTAGGACAGTAGGACTTTGTTCTCCGACAGGAGTAACTTGGATCCTTACCCTATTTCTTTACTAGATAGGGAAATTTGAGTAACTTACCTTTTTGAGCATTTATTTCTTTTAAAAATGCAAATGTGTGGCTGGGTGCGGTGGCTCACGCCTGTAATCCCAGCACTTTGGGAGGCCGAGGCAAGTGGATCATCTGAGATCAGGAGTTTGAAACCAACTTGGCCAACGTAGTGAAACCCCGTCTCTACTAAAAATACAAAAAATCAGCGAATTGTGGTGATGCATGCCTGTAATCCCAGCTACTCTGGAGGCTGAGGCAGGAGAATTGCTTGAACCCGGGAGGCGGAGGTTGCAGTGAGCTGAGATCACGCCATTGCACTCCAGCCTGGGCAACAAGAGTGAAATTCCCGTCTCAAAAAAAAAAAAAAAAAAAGCAAATGTTACTCACCTCACCCTTTAAAGAGATAAAGGGTGTGAAGTACCAGGACCATGGTAGATGCTCAGCTTACATTAGCTCCTGCCTTCCTCTTTCCCCATCACTCTACTCCCAGCATTTTTCTAGAACTAGGCTTCCAAGAGACAGCCATCTGGAGAGAATGATTGCCCTCTTCTTCCTCCCTCCACTAACAGTCTTTCTAAAGGATGTCATTACTCTCTTCAGAGATCAGTCCAGTAGACTTAATATGAATTTCCAAACCCCTCAGGCCTAGAAACATCCCTAAACCTGATTAGTGGAAATAGGAATTTCTTGATGAAGAAAGCATCTTGCTACATAATTAGAGATGATAAGCTTAAACGCTAAAATAGCTGTTTGGCATGATTTTGTGTGAATATATTCATGAAATCAACCAACCAAAAATAGATTGTGTCATATCCTTCCTTGTTTTTATAGAAGCAAGGGGCATGGGCAAGCAGGGCCCCTGATGTTGGAAAGGAGCCTCCAGGGAGGGAAGAATTAACAGGCTGGAGGACTAGGCTGGGAACTGAAGAGAACCCCGGAGGCTTCACACCTGTGACTAGTGTTGATCTTTTGTTAACTTTTAAATGGCCTGAGTCCATAGAAACTGCATCCTGAGAGGTTGCTCGGCTAGAAAGCGGAAAACCGCTTCACATGAGTGCTCTACTTTGTAATGAAAATAAACACTATTAATACAGGCAATTGTACACTGAAGGATCATTGTATTTATATTTGTAATTGTATAAGTAACACAAATATATTTTGGTTGTAACTATTAAGCTATACAGATAAAGCGAAAGTCTGTCATTCCCCCTTAATCCTAAAAATGCTTAGCTCTCTCTTGAGAGTAAGAGTTCTCAAAATTTTGGTCTCAGGACCCCACTACACACTGAAAAGTAATGAAGAAACTTTTAAAGGGCTTTTTGTATAGTGAATTAACATCTGTCAGTATTCACTATATTAGACATTAAAACTGAATTTGTTTTCGTATTCATTTAAAGCTAACAATAATATACCTATTACTTGTTAACATAAATGACCCTTTTTAATAAAAAATAACTATATTTTCTTTTAATTTTTTTTTTGGGGGGGGGACAGTTTCACTCTGCCACCCAGGCTGAAGTGCAATGGCACGGTCTTGGCCCACCACAATCTCTCCCTCCCAGGTTCAAGTGATTCCCCTGCCTCAGCCTCCCGAGCAGCTGGGATTACAGGCACGTGCCACCACGCCCCATTAATTTTTGTATTTTTAGTAGAGATGGGGTTTCACCATGTTGGCCAGTCTGGTCTCGAACTCTTGACCTCAAGTGATCCGCCCACCTCAGCCTCCCAAAGTGCTGGGATTACAGGCATGAGCCGCTGCGTCTGGCCATATTTTCTAAAACAAAAATAATTGAAAGGGAAGAATGACATTGCTTCACATTTTTGCCAGTTAATGTGCACCTTAGTAACAGAGCTAGATTCTCATGTCTGTTTCTGCATTCAAGTTTCTTGTTACACCATGTGTCATGTCATGTCTCCTCTAAAATAACCCATCGTAGAATAAGAGGTAAAAAGCCAAATAGTATCTTGGTATTATTATGAAAATAATTTTGACTTTGTGGACCCCCAAAAAAGTCCTAGGGACCCCAGGACTCTCCAAACCACACTTGGAGAACTACTGTCCTAGAGGTAGCTACTATTATCACTTTAGTGTGTAACCTTCCAGACTTTTTTTTTTTTAACAAGGACTACTTTATATAGACAGTCATATGTATTCACACATTTCTGAAACTTTTTTTATTAACAGTATATGTATTTCCAATATACTGTTAATAGTTTTCTAAATTGGTATGGATATATTTGCACTCCTTAATTTCCGCATATTATTTCCTAGTATGAATGTACCACAGTTTTACTTAACTATTTACCTGTGAATGACCTTTAGGTTTGTTCTGATTTTTTGCCAATAGTAGCAATGCTGCAGTGAATATCCTTCTATACAAATTCATTTATGTATTCAGTCTTGCAACAAACATTTACTGAGTACCTTCTGTGTGTCTGGTACTATCCTAGGTACTTCAAATATAGCAGTGAACAAAACAGAAATCCCTGCGTGGTGTTTTTGGGTTTATAGCAGGCCTGTTGGTAAACTTTAGACCGTTCAATAATACTGGGATGTTGTACACAAAATTTGTGGTGGTGGTGTTCATAAATGGAGGAAAGTACCCATGGTTTTCATCAGATCTTGAGAGAGCTAATATAACTAAAAATAGATTAGGAACCAGTGATTTAAAGCCTTTTTGATAATATTTATTTTACTTATAATATGGAAAAAATTTCCTTTACAGTCTACCCTCTTGAGAATCGTCTCCTATATTGCTGTGTCACCAACCTATCATTGAGATGAAAAAAGAATCTCCGGGAATGTAAAGCCTCTAAAAAGTATAGGAGGTGTAGGGCTGGGATGGTGTGGCGATGTGTAGTGCACATTTTCATGAGGTGATGTTAAAAAATTTATACGAGGTCATACAGGTTAGTCAGCAATATTACAGGACTCAAAAGTTATTGCCCATTACGAAAAAAATGGGATTTCTGCTAATCACCAGAAGAAAGTTAAATTATGTGAACTACACATGGTTTTCTGTGGTTATAAAGAATGAGTTTTAGAAAGATTTCTACTAAAAATGTTTAACCTGATGTTAAAATGTTTAAAAGCCTACATTTCTATTAATTGGGAAATATAATTCAGAATACTATCCATATTCTCTAAAAATGAGCCTAATGACTCATACTTTAATATAATATAAAAATATTGGTGTAGAATCTTCTTTAGTTTATACAATTAGAAAGTTGCTGATTTAATAAGAAAGTTATGAGAATGTCTTCTTGAATCATTACATTTATCCTGTGAGGCATGTATACAGTTTTGTTTCTGAGGTGCTGTATTAATATTGCGTCCTGGCCAGGCACAGTTGTTCACTCCCATAATCTCAGCACTTTGGGAGGCCTAGGTCAGAGAATCACTTCAGCCTGGGATTTCAAGACCAGCCTGGGCAACATAGGGAGTCCTCATCTCTAAAAAAAAATTTTTTTAAATAGCTGGGCCTGCCTGTAGTCCCAGCTACTCGGGAGGCTGAGTTGGAAGGATTGAGCCTGGGACGTTGAGGCTGCAGTGAGCCATGATCTCACCACTGCACTCCAGCCTGTGTGACAGAGCAAGATCCTGTCTCCAAAAAAAATAATAATAATATGTGTTCTAATTCATTTTCTAAAAATTCCCATCCAAAAAAGCTTTTGTATAATCAGCTATACAGGTTTATGTTGCATACATTAGATATATTACTTTTACGCTACAATGGATTTTTATTTTTAAAGTGAAATCGAGTCAGATTAGTATCATATAGATGTATTTACATCTTAATGTATTTTCATCTTAATGAATTATTTTCAGAGAATGAGCATTCTAAGTAAAGCTGATTTCCGTTTTAGAACTGAACTACCAGACTAGTACTTTAAGAGAATGGTGCAAGGCCTGGCACGGTGGCTCACGCCTCTAATCCTAACACTTTGGGAGGCCAAGGCAGGCAGATCACAAGGTCAGGAGATCAAGACCATCTTGACTAACACAGTGAAACCCCGTCTCTGCTGAAAATACAAAAAAATTAGCTGGGCGTGGTGGCACATGGCCTGTAGTCCCAGCTACTTGGGAGGCTGAGGCAGTAGAATAGCTTGAACCTGGGAGGCGGAGGTTGCAGTGAGCCGAGATCGCACCACTGCACTCCAGCCTGGGCGCTGGGTGGCAAAGTGAGACTCCGTCTCAAAAATAAAATAAAAAAAATGGTGCAGATATGGTCCCCTTTTAATTTAAATAAGGCCTTCAACAAAGCTGTTGTGGCATTCTTTTGATTGAAGTGGAGATAGTGCTTTTAGTTGGTTGCACTGAAGAATTGTTTTCAAAGGATATTGCTTAATGGCTAGATAACAGCCTGGAAAGAATTTTGTTTTTAATCTTAGGATCTCCTCTTAAAAACAGCTTGTTAATATGGAAAAGTATATGGATGATGAATGTTCATGGTCTCACTACCTAGAGGTCTCATTAAAAAGCATACACAACCTGATACACGTATATGTTTTTTTAAAGAAGAGTAAGGTATATATAGAGAGAGTGATACAGTGGGGTGTAAAGTGAAACGAAGTCTCCTCTTCCTGACTTCTCCCTCTGTTGCCCAGGCTAGAGTGCAGTGGCGAGATCTCCGCTTACTGCAACCTCTGCCTCCCAGGTTCAAGGGATTCTCATGCCTCTGCCTCCCAAATAGCTGGGACCAAGGGCATGTGCCATCACACCCAGCAATTTTTTTTTTTTTTTTTGAGATGGAGTCTTGCTCTTTCACCCAGGTTGGAGTGCCGTGGCGTGATCTCGGCTCACTGCAACCTCTGCCTCCCGGGTTCAAGCGATTATGCTGCCTCAGGCTCCCAAGTAGCTGGGACTACAGGCACCAACCACCATGCCTGGCTAATTTTTTGTATTTTTAGTAGAGATGGGGTTTCACCATGTTAGCCAGAATGGTCTCGATCTCCTGACCTCATGATCTGCCTGCCTCGGCCTCCCAAAGTGCTGGGATTACAGGCATGAGCCATCGTGCCTGTCCCTCCTCCTGACTTCTCAAACCCTGGTCCCTTTCCCCAAAGATTTGTTAGCTGTGTCTTAGACATCGTTTCAGATCCACTTTTTTTTATAGACCCATAGAATACACTTATGTCATTTAAACTTACTTATATAATATTACATGCACTCTTTTGCTTTTTTTTTTCCAGTCAATAACATGTCTTGGAGATTTTTTTCCTATAGACATGTATCTACCTTATTTTTTGAGAACTGTACAGTATTTTATAGAATACATATTCTTTAATTTGTTTAACCAGTCCTCTATTAATGATGTTTAGATTTATTTTAGGCTAGTTTCCAGCCAGGCGCCATGGCCCACACTTGGAATCCCAGCACTTTGGGAGGCTGAGGCTGGTGGATCACAAGGTTAGGAGATCGAGACCAGCCTGGCTAACACGGTGAAAGCCCGTCTCTACTAAAAATACAAAAAAAAAAAATTAGCTGGGCACGGTGGCAGGCGCCTGTAATCCCAGCTACTCGGGAGGCTGAGGCACAAGAATCGCTTGAGTTCAGGAGGCAGAGGCTGCAACGAGCAGAGATCACACCACTGCATTCCAGCCTGGGCAACACAGCAAGAATCCGTCTTAAAAAAAAAAAAAATTATTTTAGGCTAGTTTCCAATAAGAATAAACCCCTACTTTTAGTGCCTAACACAATAAAGTTTTATCACATCACAGCTGCGTGCTGGTGGGACAGCCCATCTCCATCTTGTAGCTGTGCCATCTGGCCCTGTGTTCTATAATCTGGCCCTGTGTTCTATAAGATCACCACAGCAAAAGAGATGGCCTGGAAAAGGCTCTAGCTCTTAACTGTCTTGCCCCTCCTTTCTTTGGCCAAAAGAAATATGTGTTTGAGATTGGGAAGTGTCAAGGAGCACCTGGATATTTGGGGAGCATCAGTGGTCTCTGCCACTGTACCAACAGTTAAGTCCTGTATCAGGCTTCAAAAAGAAGAGGAAGTCATTACCCAATTGTTCATTTGAGAAACAAACTCCACATGTATCAGCAATGTGCTCATTTCCTAAACAAGCCTATTGGCTGCATTACTAGATATAGAATGAAATATTTTGATTCTAGGTGCCCCATTTTAAGAAAGATTGATATTGACACTGTCCAGGGACATGTAGTCAGAACATGTAAGGATCTCCAGATTTTTGTGTCCTGAAGGTTTTCAAAGACTTGGAGGAGAGGGCAATGGTTTGTAGGGTACAGAATACTCTTATTCTGTGTGGTTCCCAAAGAGAGAACTAGAACCAATGATGGAGTTTTAGGATGATTTCTCTCACAATGCAGGATATTTAATCAGCAATTAGAGACTTTCATAAATCAAACATAAGCCAGATGACATCTATGAAGAATATTGTAAATATTTTTTGCTTAGCATGGGAGATTGGTCTGGGTAGTCTCTGCGGCCTCTTTTTTAAATCTGGAATTTTGTATCATGAATGTCAAATGAATATTTCTTTTTCTTTTTAAATAGGACACTGATGAAATTCAAGTTAACTATCCTGGAATGTTTGAATTGATGGAAGATTTACAAGGTAAGGCACTTTAAAGAATTTTTAGACTCCATTGGGAAAGGTAGGCCAAAAAAAAAGAATTTTTAGACTCCATTTGAGAGAAACATTTTGAGAGCCAGCTCTTTGGCAGGCACTGGGCAAAGCACTAGGGATCCATTGTTGAGGAGAAAGCAGACTGTCTTCATGGAGCTTCTGATATAAAATGGAGGAGGCAGGCACCAGGCAGCTGTCACAGAGATAAGTGTTAAATTAGAATTATGGTCAGTGCTATGAAGTAGAGGCATATAGTGCTACGGCTGTTTGTAAAAAGATGGCGGGACTTTTTTTTGAAGGGTGCACTTGAGGATGATGGAACACATTGGTGACTTCCTTCAGCCACACTTGGCAGCTGAGATACAGGAATGAAGGTAGTTGAGTTGGTTTAGAAGTAGGGTTTTGTCAGGGGGAAATGTCCCAGTCTGGGAGACTCAAAAAGAAGTGTTATCTGAGGAAGTAGCAATTGAGCTGTGCTCTAAAAAAAAATGGAGATGAATTAACTGGGTAGACAGAGTAGGCAAGTGAATCTGAGGCAAGGAGAACAGCATATGCAAAGGCCCTCCTGTGAGAATGAACATAGCAAGAACTGAAAGAAGGGCATTTTGGCTGGTGTTCAGGGAGTAAGAAGGAGAGAGTTAAGTGATGACCTTGGTGGGTCAACGTGAGTCACAGATCAAATGCAGAAGTACTTTATAGGCCTTGTTAAAATTGTTTGCCCTTATCTTAAAATGCCCCTTGAGGCATCTTAGAGAGGTAACAGTATCAGACTTGGATTTTGAAAAGAGTAGATTGGCAGATAAACTAGTCACGAGATTAATTTCAGTATAGCTTGCTGAGAGATGATGGTAGTTTGTACTAAGGTGGTGGCAATGGAGATGAAGAGAAGCAGATTCATCCCAGAGATGTTTAGGAGATAAATTTTGCAGTTCCTGCTGGTGGATTGGCTGTGGGCAGATGAAGGAGAAAGACATTTGAAGCTTAATTGCTGAGTTTCTAGCTCACATAGAGAGATGGTGTCCTTCATTGATAGAAGAAACAATAGAAGAATACCAGGTGTGGGCAGGTACAGCCCTTGAGTTTACATTTGGATACATTGGGTTTGAAGTGCTTTTGAAATACCTAAGAGGTTATGTCAAGTAGGCAGTTGAGTATGTGGGTAGGTAGCTCAGAGGAAGCTACTGGCTTGGTTAAAAAGTTGGGAGTCAGTTGTGAATAGGTGGCATTCAAAGCGTTTGCCTAGGATAAGAACATGGAGTGAGCAGACAAAGTGGCTTGGTACTGAGGCTTTAGCAGGTGGGTAGTCGACGTCTGAGCCTACAAAGAGACTGAGAAGGAGTAGCCAGCAAGGTGTTCCAGAAAAACACCAGAAAAGTGTAGAATTGCCTGAACCAAAGGAAAGAAAGAATGTTTCAAAACAAAGGGAGCACTTAGCAGCGTTAAAAGCAAACTATGAACTGAAAAGGAAGTCCGCTAGATTTAGGAACAAGAAGGTTATTGGTGACCCTGGTGAGAGCTCTTTTGTTAGAGTGAGGAGAGTAGAAGAGGAGTAGGTTGAGGAGTAAGTGGAAAGTGAGGAACTGGAGATAGCAGATATGTGCTGTTCTTTCAAGAAGTCTGGTGGTGAAGAAGAGGTGAAGGATGGAAAGGTTACAGGTGTCAGAAGAGAGGAGAGGAATAGAAGTTGAGATGAGGTTGTTTTTTTTTTTCTAAGACTTGAATTTATTTAATTGCTGACTAGAAGAATCTAAGTGCTTTCCTAGAAGAGGTGACTCTAGAAGAGAGAGAAAAGATAATTGATGATGACAGGTGTCTGAGAAGGTGGGAAGGGTGCAATACAAAGGCCAGTGGAGGGGTTGACCTTGGTAAGGGGAGAGGCAAAGTTATAGCAGGAAGGGAGAAGAGGTAGCACCAAAGGATGTAGGTGTTTATGTTTGAAAACAAGAAGTTCCCATCTTGTGGGTCTATTTTTTTTGTCAAACTGGAAGTAATATATGCTAAGAATGAAAGGGTCAGAGTTTTGAGAAGTGAATGGAACCGTTTGAAATAGTCATTATAGGGAATGAGAAGGTGAACTGACCATCAACAGGAGGTGGCAGCTCAGGACCAGGCACGAAAATCGGATAGTTGAATTAGTTTGGGTTGGGGGTTTGCTAGTTAAAAGTGACAAAAAGACAAAGGTAAAAGATAATTCTAGGAGTATAATTGAGATAATAGGTTAAAGAATCTTAGCTGGAAGAAAAGGGAAGTGGGAACAAGAAAGAGTGAGCTGATAAATTGGGAGGAAAAAGAGGAGCTGAGCACAGGTGGTTCCAGTGTGGTCAGGGATGGTCACGGTTGAAGTTCCTGAACACACTGGAGGGACAGGAGGGTATGGTCAGAAAATGAGATGTTTGATGATTTTGGAAGTAAAGCAGTTACAAGTGATAATGGTCTGGGACGTGTCTCAGGTATCAAGGCAGAGGTGGTGTGATGGAGTGGTTGATTAGAGATGAGATTTTAAAATCTTAACTTGCTGATTATTAACATGAAGTCACCCAGGATGGTGGCAGTACTGGAGTGTAGAGGAAAACTGAGCCAAGTGCCAAACCTTTCAGTGAATGAGGGGAGTGACTAGCCTGATGTCAGACAGCAAGCAGGAGTTAGGAGGAGCTAACAGCCTTCTGGTGTGGGGCCTCAGCAGGGTGAAGGTGTTTAATAGGGTAGGGAAGTAATGGCTTGGAAGAGGCTTCAAGGAGTAAGAAGGATACAGATCAAACTCTGAAAGAGGTTAGATATGCAAAATATATGCAAAAATAAACTATTACTTGAAAGGGATGCTGGAGAAGCAGTTTCCTTAAAAGAGAGCTTCAACTTGCGTCCTTTGTGGGAATTTGTGAGGTGGTTCTTTTATATATATAGACTGACATCAAAAATCATTTCGATGAATGGGGGAAGCAAGAGGGGTTAAAGGTATGTTCTGTGAATCCAGAACTACACTTACCTAGGGGAGCCTTCATCTGGATCCTGAAAAATTGTAAGATGATTTAAAGAAAGAGGATTATACAAATAAGTATCTAGTCTTTACTTACAGATTTATAGTCTTTTGTGAGCATTGTTGTTCTTGCTTGCTTAAGTTACGAGTGAGAATAATTAGGGCCAAAGAGAACAGTTACCTGTCAAGTGGCAGAATTAGCTGCCAAACTCATGCTTCTTGGCTCTGCCCTGGCACTGTCTGAACTGACCCTGTTCCTTCTTGTGTTGCCCATCTGTAACAAGGTTCATTTGACCTATCGTGCAGCCTCCTCTGAGTGTGGAGCTTCTGTCACTCTGCAAACGGAAAGATGCGTAGCTGAAATCTTACCATTGTCATCAGTTTTCATTCATTAATAGAGGGATTGGCAGCCTGTAGCATGCATGGCCAAGATAACAGAGGATCAGTAATAAGTCACACACACCCCTTCCCCAGCATACCCCAAGGACTTACCTGATGTAATCAAGGAGCCACTTTATCCAAAGGCTTGAGAGATGATGGTGGGCTGATGATATATCACTCGGGCTCTAATAATAAAAATGTTATTCAAATACAGCATTTATTTTTGTTCTGCTGTAGAATCTGTGTTCATGATTCATTTCAAGAAAGAAAAGAGAAACATACTAGAAATTAGACCTCTCTGTTGGAAAAAGTTACTTCCCACTGATTTCAACATATGAGCAGCACTTAACTCTGTGCTTAGTGCAATTCTCTGAGGTTTTTCTAATACCCTAATTTTACCGGTGAGCAAATTGAGGCATCGAGAAGTTAAGTATCTTGTCCATGGTCACACTGAATCTGTAGTTACAATTTGAATTCAGAGTCCTGTACTGCATATTTGATATGTATGTGATTCTTTAAATTCAGGTTAACATGTATATTCAGCGAAATGTATTAATCTTAAAGGTACAGCTGCTTGTATTTTAACCACCATCCTGAACAAAATATTGAACATTTTCAGTCTCCCAGAAGGTAGCCTTGTGCTCCTTCCAAATTGATAACCCCCTCTTTTCCTAAAGGTTTCTTGTTTGTTTGTTTTTCAGATGGAGTCTCACTCTGTCGCCTAGGCTAGAGTGCAGTGGCACAATCTTGGCTCACTGCAACCTCTGCCTCCTGGGTTCAAGTAATTCTCCTGCTTCAGCCTCCCTAGTAGCTGAGATTACAGGCATGTGCCACCACACCTGGCTAATTTTTGTATTTTTAGTAGAGACAGGGTTTCACCATGTTGGCCAGGCTGGTCTTGAACTCCTGACCTCAGGTGATCCACCCACCTTGGCCTCCCAAAGTGCTGGGATTACAGGTGTGAGTCTCCTAAAGGTTTTAAATAGACCGTATATTTTCAGAAACTATGGCCTAATACTTTCAGATGCTTTCGTAATGCTGCTTTTTCTTAACTGTAATGTCTGTTACAGAAATCAGATGTCTTAGTTTTTGATACATCTTATCCTTAGGAATATTAAGAGAAATTATTTACACTTATAAAATGATATTTAACAAAATAGATATAATCATTAACAGGTTGGTTTTATATACCTTCACTTAGCGTTTATTGAGCATCTACCCATGTGCCAACCACGGAGCCAGTGGTGGAAATACGTAGTTCCTGATCTCAGGGAGCTTATGTTGTACTAGGGAAGAAGAACGCAAAGATAGAGACAGACTCCTACATTCAACTGTAAAATGAAATCATTTATAATAAAGTACAAGGAGAAACACAGGAGGAAAAGGCCCTAAATCTGCTTAGGGGGTCAGGAATGCTTTTGCAAAAGAGGCAGCACCTAAACGAAAATGAGTTTGCCCGGAGAATGAAAGGTGGGTTGAGGTTTAGGGGAGCTAACATTGCATCCACATGGAGGTAGAATAGGATATGCACATCCTTCACTCTCCTGATTAAGGAATGGTACCATAATCCAGTATTCCTTGAGTATATAGAACGGGGAGATGATGGGAAATGAATAGGATCAGAGGCTTCTAGATTTTTTTCAGATTAGCGTTGTAATGTCTTGGAAGAATTTTGCATAGAGGAGAGAAAATGAGATACATTTGTGTGTGTTAGAAAGCTCACCTTCCAGCATTGTTTATGAGGCATAGTTTATGAGGAAGGGAAGACTAGAGCTAACATGGTTAATCTGTTTGTTTGTTTTTTTTTAATGTGTGAGGAAACCCAGGCAGAAGTTAAGTAACTTGTCCCAGATGTTGTAATTAGTGAGTGGTAGAGCCAGGATTTAAACCTAGTCGAACAGCCTGATTTGTATGCTGAAATCTTAGCCATTCTGCCTTGGAAAAAGTCAGAGGCAGATGAGATGGGAAGAAGCATAGTCAGGGGATGATGGAGGCAGGGAGACCGTGGGAGACTTTCAGGTGTGCCATTCTGCTGACTAGAAGATCATGTTACTTCCAAATTTGTTTCTGGGATTTTACATTTGTGGTGTATTTTTTTTCTTAATGGTTGTGGTGTGTCTCATTTAAGCTGCTATTATTAATTCACAGAACAAAAGTCCAGAATGTTGACCTAATTTTACAAAACAAGCTGCATATCAGCTGATGAATGCATGAGAAATTTTCAAGGCTTTCACAGTGGTCTTAAGGTAAGTTCAGTTATTTTTTTAAACAATACTCAGTATTGTTTTTAGTAAACTGTAATAAATTAGGTTTATTTTTGATAAGCAGTTGAACTTCACCTTAAAAACACTGTGAGAGTCTTAAACAGTTAACCTACTAGCCAGATTTTTCTGTTATCTCAAAGCCCAGGGCGAGTCGGAAGTCCCAAAGTTTCAGTTTTTCCCAGGTGGTCTTCAGTAGAGGTCCCCCATGATGCATTAGGAGGTGTTACTCTTTTGTAGATGGCAAAACTGGAATTCGATAGAGGTTGAATGACTTTGCCCCAGGTTATATAAGAGTTAAAACTGGGAGTGTGATCCCAAAGTCCAGATTCTTTCCACCACCCTCACACTGCTTCTGCAAGAAGGGAGTTTCAGTGTGGCAGTGTGAGTGGCTTGTGAGGGAAGGCTGGAGTGCTGCACAGTTACGCCCTGTGCTCTGCAGTAGTGCTCTTGAATTTCTGTATGGCTGATGTAGGTCAGACCTTCAGAGAGTGTTATGCCTACTAATCTTAATTAGTATATCCTAATACTGATTGTTAGAAGGCATTTTAGAATTTCTAGTGCATCACATGTTTATGTCTAAAAAATTAAATCTCTTTTCTACTGGTGTTGTCCATAACTAATGCATAATTAAGCCATAGCAGCGAGAAGTTGAGCAGAAATGAAAGCACCATACCTGAGCCAACAGACTCTTCCAATGTGAGACCCAGTTTACCTCTGGTCACTTGATATGGTTAAAATGTGAGCACTAGAAGCCTTTACGGAGCATCTAGTCTGGTCACTTTAAAGACCACAGATGATTGGCCCAAGGTTATCCAGCTGCTTCATGACACTAAGAATATGATCCACCTTTTTCTTGATGATAATTAACCTACTAGTTTGTGTCTGTCAATCTGCATGAATTGGGGTTGTTACACTTACAGGATTTTAGTAGCAGAGATTCATTATTTTAGAGAGTAGTAGAAATCTTTTGAGATTAAAGAGAAGAAAAAGGTTTAGGTGCAGCTCATTTGTTGATTGTTTTTAATAAGACCATTGAAAATATGGTAGATTATTATTTTTAAACTGTGAAAGAATACTGATATTGGTAAGTTTATTCATTTGTTGATTTGTGAAAGTAGAAAAACAAAACTAAGAAACATTTGATCATGTGTAAAATTTAATATAGAGAATACATATGAAGGATTTTTATTTCTGAAATTCTTTTAATTTTGCAGACTGGCTTAAAATATGCTCAAAGTAAATTTAAGTATTTGTATAAAGAAAAATCAAATATACAACATTAATCTTAAATGAACAATAGAATAATGCTTAACCTAGCTTTTCACCATCAACTCGAAGGAAGTCTAAATATTTTAAAACATTAAGAGAAGTACCTCCAAAAGAATGCACATAATTCTTTCCTAATGTGGGATTAGTAAAATATTGTAAATCTGAGAGCACATAGTAGCTTTGGTACTATCTAATGAGTTTCAAAGCCGTCTTCCAAGTTTCACAGTCATACTTGCATTATGGCTTAGGAGTGAGGCATTGTTGCACTGACCTGTCCTCCTCCAAAGAGCAGCTAAAAGCATGAGATGTGACATCCTTGGTAAAGTTCTTGCCAATTGCTGACAACTCACCTGGGGTGGCAGTCACCTGGCTTTTGCCCAGCGGGCTTACTTTAGACCATTGCTGGCAAGTAAAGCATTGTGGAGCTGCCTCCTGAAATTTCACTTGCCTGTCTTAATGTTGAAAAAGTTTCAAGTAGTTTCGCTTTAGAGTCACTAAGAAACCCAGTTATAATCTGAAAGTGAAATGAGATTTAGGTTTACATGACCCTTAGAGAATGAGGACAGGTATACTGTTAGATGAGACGGGATTAAGTCTGTGGTATTGAGCTGTTCAGGGTGTTTGCTGTATTATCTCAAACTACCTGTAGTGTATTTGTAGGTATGGGTGAGAGTAACTGTGCTTGGAATAGAAAAGCCCTGCTGCATCGAGACACAATGCTGGCAGCTGCGGCAGTGTACAGAGGTAAGGGGCGACCACTCTTTCACCCGCCTCACCAAGGCACTTGTGCTGTATCATGTTGATTCCCTTCACGTTGCCAATGCATTTTCCATTCCTGTTAAGGCTCCCTCAGACTTCTTGTCCTTCCTCTCAAAACACAGATCCTGTAGCTTTTTCCAGACAGCCTTTACTATTTCCTTACCCTCAGTATTAAGAATTTTTCATGTAAGATGTTCTCAGAATCTTACAAGTATCCTTGTACCCATTTCTTTTTGAAGAACATGACCTTTATTGAGCAGAAATTTTTTCCTACTTGCATTTTTTCAGACTTTAACCATTATTGTCTTTTTAGAAATGTACAGAAATGAAGATGGTTCAGTACCTGCTACATACCAGATCTATTACATGATAGGATGGAAATATCATGAGTCACAGGTAACGTTACTAAGATGGATCACTTTTCTTAGTGGGTTCGTGTTCAGATTATTGTTTACTAACTTGGGGGAAGGGGTAATGTAAGACAGCATTAAGGGCTTTAATTGGGGCTGTGTATTATCTATCTATTTCTAATATCTTTAATCTTTATTATTTTCAGGCAAGACCAGCTGAAAGAGGTTCCGCAACTGTGTCATTTGGAGAGCTAGGAAAAATAAACAACCTTATGCCACCGGGGAAAAAATCACAATAAATATTTATTCAGTGTTAATGTCGTCCAGAATTTTCATCAGAAATGGATAGCTTTAACATCTAAAATTATTATATTTTGAAGCAAGAAGCACTCTAAGCTATTTACTAATAGGCTTTTCATATAATTAGGAAAACCTAATATCACATCTATAGTAACCATTTCAGTTTCATATTGTTTCTGTTCTCATAAGGATACTGCTGAGTGTCTTTGCAGATTCAGCCTAAAAGCAAAGAAAATATTTCCCTAAAATATTTGCAAATAATGTTCACATATGTAAATGCCTTGGAAAATATTACTCATGCTGACCTTTTACACCTTTTTCATTTGTCATACTGTTTTCTTTGCCTTGAAGAGGAACAGATGAATATGCACCTTCTCCAGAGTTATGTGGTTTTAGAATTTAGAAGAGCATGTATCTTTATTAAATCCCTCCTCAACTCTTTTTTTTTAAAGCATCTGAATTTAACCTTATTTCTTTTTTATCTCCATGGTGTGGGTGGGACCACCATGGTTTTACACCCCACCCTACCTTAGGGAAGAAGAAAACATTTTAAAGAATACCAGAAGTAGAATCACATGTAACAGTCTCTGCACAGTCATCAGTTTATTGTTAAGCTTTCCTTTGTAATTTCAGGGCTTAAGCACTATTATCCTAATCCAAGTTCACAGTCCTGTTGTTGTCGAGGAGGGTTCAAAATCATTTGGAGATAATCAAGCTCAGACAGCTTAGGATAGGTGAGAAGAACATAGAGGAAGCAGGGAGAAGGCTGAGAAGCAAGCAGGAGTGAGCGCTAAGTGTTTTGTTTCCAGTTAGCTGTTCGCTGTCTTTTCCATTTAACCTGGGCACTGCCCTAGCCTCATCTTCAGCCTTCAGTGATCTATAATAGCATTTCCTTCTGTCTCCTCTCAGTCTCTCTTCTGCCTTCCTTCCCTCCTTTACTGTATTAGCAACAAGCTGTCCATGGGTGGGGGCTGTGTGTTAGCCTGTACGTAGCACATGGGACTTTCCACATAGTAGATATTCAGTTACATTTTGAACTAATTATATAACAAACTTGCCCTTTGAAAGACTAAGTTATAGTTAAAAACCAAGATTTGTAGGAGAAAAAGAAATTATTGTTCCCTTCAGTTTGAAAAATCATCGATATTTGAAACTGGGATACGCTTGGTAGCTTTTTTGTTTTAACACAAAGTAAACCTGTGAAGTAGAATTTGGCGTTTTGTTTTTTGGGGTTTTTTTTTTTTTTAGCTTAATTTTCAGAACTTGAAGAGAGAGAACAACAACAAAAAACAAACTGCGCTAGCCAGGTGCAATGGCGCATGCCTGTAGTCCCAGCTACTTGGGAGGCTGAGGCAGGCAGGAGTTCAAGGCTGCAGTGAGCTGTCTGTGCCACGGCACTCCAACCTGGGCAAAAGAGGAGACCTCATCTAAAGAAAAATCCACCAAAAACCCTGTGTTTTAAAGTGCAAACTGATGATGGAGGAATGGGTAAATTCCAGGGGTCTATATTTCCAAAAGGACATGTGTTTTTGTGCACTAATACTTGTTTTTGAAGAACACATCTCAGTGTTAAGTGGCTGTTGCTGAGGAAGGGGACTGAGGAACTGGGTGTGTCTGTGTCATTCTGTTTGAATGTCTGTCAGGGGTATAGAAACTAGGAGGGAGACTTGTACTTTTCACTTTTTAAACTTCCTGTAAAATTTGAATTTTCCAAGCAAGAATATTACTTTTGCTTATTTAATGTCAACGGAATTATATGTGGATGGTGGGGTGGAGCTAAGGATTACTCTACTCTGGCTATCCCAAAAAAAGCTCCATTTGTTTAAAAAAATTAAGTAAATCAAACACAGCTAATTGAGGACCCTTATTGTTTAATGTGAGTGATTGTAGTGAAAACACTTATTTTAGTGTGTATAACACTAGTGAAATTATTTTTGTAGTTAAATCTGCTGGAAGTGTGCTATTAAGCTTTTATTGTTTGGAGCCCTCAGGAAACTAATTTTTCTGAATAACCACATTTTCCAAATGATTAAGAGCTCATCCTTTTAAGCAATGAAACTTTTAAAAGGTCTTTATCAAAAATTTTTCATAAATGTTACATTCTTAAATGGTATATGATAAATAATCATCTTTTTTGTTGGTTTATTTTTTTATTTTTTATTTTATTTTATTTTTTGAGACGGAGTCTCGCTCTGTCTCCAGGCTGGAGTACAGTGGCGCAATCTCGGCTCACTGCTGCCTCCGCTTCCTGGGTTCAAGTGATTCTTCCTGCCTCAGCTTCCCAAGTAGCTGGGATTACAGGCGCGTGCCACCACGCTGGCTAATTTTTGTATTTTTAATAGAGATGGGGTTTCACCATGTTGGCCAGGATGGTCTCAATCTCTTGACCTTGTGATCTGCCCACCTTGGCTTCCCAAAGTGCTGAGATTACAGGTGTGAGCCACCAGGCCTGGCCAATAACCATTTCTTGATAACCCCACAGATAATATCATAAACTCAAGTTGTCTGTATTGCTTCTTCCCAGACTGGTCCCAAGAATGCTGTGGTTGGTTTTGTGTCTTTTCCAGCACTTTTCTTACTTGCTGTCAGTTGTCAATCTCAACACCTTGACCAAAATGAACTTTCTTGAGTCATTTCTTCTCTGTTTAGCTATAAGATTAGAATTCATACTGAAAGATTTCTAGGACTTTTGTATTAAGGTAGGAAAGAGGAACTAGGTTCTGGGAGAAAGACTCCTTTGGAATAAAATTCATGAGCTTTATTGGTTCCTTTAACAGATCTTCATTGAGTTTCATGTGCCAGGCATCCAACTAGTCTCTGCTTTTATAGTTGTCAGTCTGACAGGGCTCTAGTATGTGCACACCGTGACACCTGTTGGCTGCCAGGAGACTGTTTGGCTTATTTCCTGGTTCTTAGCAATATTCCAGGTTGGCCTGGAGAATTCCAAAGGTAAATATGAAAATGTATACCTACAAAAGAATTTTTGCTTTATAGGAAGAATTTGTAGGATTTATTGAGATGTAAGCTACCTATATACATCAAGTATGTGATATGATTGTAAAAAGTTACAGAAGTGTGTGAGTCATGAAGTACCTGTGAGGGAAGTTTATATATTTTTTCAAACTCTTTTAGTACCATTTTCATCCACTAGGTGGAAGCAATTACAGTATGACCTGCATTAAAGACATGTACAGTTTTTTGGCCGGCTGCAGTGGCTCACACCTGTGATCTCAACACTTTGGGAAGCTGAGACGGGAGGATTGCTTGAGCCCAGGAGTTTGAGACCAGCTTGGGCAACGTGATGAAACCCTGTCTCTACAAATAAAAAAAAAATTAGCCAGGCATGGTGGCACAAGCCTGTGGTCCCAGCTACTCAGAAGGCTGAGGTGGGAGTATTGATCGAGCCCAGGAGGTCAAGGCTGCAGCAAGCTGTCGCACCACTGCACTCTAGCCTGGGCAACAGCAAGACCCTCGTCTCAAAAAAGAAAAAAAAAAAGTACAATTTTTGTATTGATTATGTATTCCTTAAGTAGGAGTGGAATAAAAGTATTTTACCGTGGATTGGCTTCTGTGAAGGAAAGAAGTGAATATTAGTAGATATTTGGAAAAAAGAAAGATAGTTGATGCAGTGATTATTATTCTGTTCCTTTGTAAGTTACCATTAGCCTCTCTTGCTTAAGAAATATTTTGAGCTTTTTTGGGGAGGGGTTGTGGTTAATGATGTGAAATTAATCTTCAGGAAATTTATCATAAGCAGACTTGCCTTTTCAGATATTGGTATATTTTAATTCTCTACCTGAATACATACATGACAGTTATTTTACCATGCTGGTTTAAAAAACATCAATTTGAAAATACTAGAAGGTGGGGTGAACACTGATAAGTTACTGTTAACAAATAAGAAAATAATGCTTTGCCATCTGTGGTGGTTTTAAAATCTATCCACAAATTTTTGATATGCTTCTCTTTAAGACGGGACACTTCATTCCCCTCTAAGTACAGGCTGAGTTTAGTGATTCCCTTCCAACAAATAGATGGTGTGTCACTTCTGAGACTAGGTAATAAAAGGCATTGCATCCTCCTTACTCTCTCTTGGATCCTTCACTCTAGGGAAAGCCAGCAGCCATATTGTAAGGCCACTCAACTCCATGGAGAAGACCTAGAAGTGAGGAGCAGAGGCCTCCAGCCAAAAGCCATGTGAGGGAGCCATCTTGGAAGCAATTCTCCAGGCCCAAACTTCAGATGACTGTGGTCCCAGCCAATGCATTGACCACAACCTCATGAGAGACCCTGAGCTAGAACCACCTAGCTAAGCCACTCTCAAATATCTTATCTACAGAAACTGAGATGATAAATGTTTGTGGTTTAAGCAACTGTGTTTTAGAGTAATTTGTTACACAGCAATAGATAACTGATACGCGATACACTGTCTTCAGGAGGTGTATTAGGGTGGGCAAGGTATTCTGAGTTGTTATTTTCAGCATAAAACATAGCCCCCTTATTTACAATTAGGTAAAGTTAACATAAACTGTATTACTTTTGTTCTCAGAGAACACCAGACCTGAAATGCTCTTGCCTGGAGGTTTGATTCCATGATATCTTGAAATGGAACTAACTTCCCACATTAAGTTTAGTAGGCCTCAAATTTTCTTTCCTGGGAATATTAGGATAAATTTTTTGGAAGCCTCGATGGGCTAATTTCCAAATGAAATCAGAGAATTTGGGAAGACCATGAGAATTCAGTGAGCTACATAACTGCACACAGATTCTTCAGCCAGTTCCCTTCTGCCGTAGCTGTTGAGTTGCGACAGCTCATTAGGATGGACTGTTGACACTGCATACTTGTTACCAGGCTCACAAATGAGTACAAGGATGTGGAAATAACAAGGACTCTTTAAAGCCAGACTTGATCGTACATTGTTAGTCACTGCTAAAACCAGGCAAAAGTAAATTGCCTGCACTTTGAAAGTGGCCATTGTAACCCGGCCAGTGTCTAGACTCTTCATTCAGGAATCACACGTTTGGCCAGGATGCCCGTTGCTAGTTCTGTCAGAACAGGTCTGGTGGTAGAATATCAGGAACACTTACCAGGTGTACTGTTTTTGTGCTCAGAGTGTTTGTGCTCAGATTGTGAGTGGGAGATTGGGAAGAGGAGAATTCCAAAGAAAGACTTGCCAGTCTGCCATAAAAAACTATGGAAGTCAAAGAAAGGTCGGGGACTGGGAGTCAGGTGGTCTGGGTTTAGTGCTGGTCCTGTTTGTTCCTAATGCTGGGGCAGACTCCATCTCTCTGACCTCAATATCTTCATCTGTAAAATTACAGGTTTGCTAATTGGTGAGTCTCAAAGGAGGCTACCAGCCTGCCTTTCACGTTCCTGAAGGGCTTTTTCAAACACTTCCACCTTTCTCTCCTTGGTTGAGAGTCACAGCCAGAGGGAGCTCATGTTAGAGGTGGGAAATGGTTGCGAGCCATTGGACAGGATGATCTCAGAGGAGCTTTTCAGCCTGACCCCAGAACCTGGGTCCCAAGGCAAAGTGGACAGGAAGCCCTCCCATCTTTACAGTTTCTCAGACTCTGTTGACCTTGGGGACTTCTTTTCCCTTCAAAGTAGACTTTGACTTCCCCTGAGGATAAGATTTAAGAAGGAAGCACAGCATGATTTACTTTGGGTCCCTTAATCTTTAAAAAGTGAGTCAGCATGCTGGGGTTTTTTGGGTTTTTTTGTTTTTGTTTTTACTCCTGGGCTTAAGCTCCCAAGGAGCTGGGCTTACAGGCATGTGCCACGATGCCCAGCTCAATAATGCATTTTGTTGTTGTTGTTTGAGACAGTCTTGTTCTCTCGCCCAGGCTGGAGTGCGGTGGTGCCACTTCGGCTCACTGCAACCGCCGCCTCCCGGGTTCAAGTGATTCTCCTGCCTCATCCTCCCAAGTAGCTGGGATTATAGGCCTGCATCACCATGCCTGGCTAATTTTTGTATTTTTAGTAGAGACAGGGTTTCACCACATTGGCCAGGCTGGTTTCAAATTCCTGACCTCAGGTGATCTGCCTGCCTTGGCCTCCCAAAGTGCTGGGATTACAGGCGTGAGCCACCGTGCCTCGCCAAAGAATGCATTTTCATTTTTAAGTTTCTGGGTCACAAAGGAGGGCCCCAGACCCTTATATGTCCAGCATGGATAGCCTTCTATATTTTCCATGGAAGATGACATTTTCTCATAGGCACCAAGCATTCAGCATTTGGGAAGTGTCCCTTAGTTTTGCACAAAGTTCCCAGTTACTTGTCTAGGTGACAAGTCCTGGCTGCAGAACAGGAAATGCTCAGGCTTCAGGTGGCAGCACTCTGGAGGGCCAAGTGAAGAAATAGATACGAAAGTACTGGTTGTCCATGTAATTTCCTGAGGAGCCAGCTGAACACTCATGGTTCTCCACAAAGGAGGCTTCTTTGAACCTGTACACAGTTGTTACGGATTGGTAAAGCCCTCTTGAAGGCGCCCTTACTGTGCTCTCACCAGGCAGTGTGCTAAGCCTTAGATATCCATTCTCAATTCACATTTCATCCTCAGTTCCCTATGAGATATTAGTACTATTGTCCCCATTTGTTAGATGAGGAAACAGGCTTAGGTTGTGACTTCTCCAAGGTCACATAAGTGACAGAGACAATTTTGACTTCAGTCTTGTATGTGAAGGGAACAGTACAATTAATGATTGTAGTGTGCTGCCTTCTTTGCAAGTCAAAACCTTCTGTGAGCTCCCAGCCTTTCTTCACATCCTCCCTTCCACCATACCCTTGAACACTCCAGCCGCATATTAGAACCAGTCAGGTGATTGCACCCACTGTCTCCAACACTTGCTCAGCCCCGTCCTTGAATCCTTGTCCCTGCAGAACTGCCTGCACTCCAAACTCTTCTGGGTCCCTTCTACTGGGAGCTGTCACCCTTCATATCCAGCTCTTTTTTTGTCCCAGGCCATCTTGAACTTTGGTTAGTTCCATCTCCTTTAGCACTTTGTACATCATTTCCTGTTCATGAATTCTGCCTCTTCAGCTAACTGTTTAGCTTCCTTGAGCATTGGCACTGCAATAACCAGGGTTCCAACAGCCCCAGGGAAAGCCCAGATAGAGTCACTATGACCCCTGTGAGCACGGCACAGCAGGAGACCGGAAGAACAGGCAGCTAGCATCAGGCACGTTCAGCTGCAAATTCTAAGGATCAGCCACTCAATTGGGATTCAAAGCTAGACTCCTATCTCAGAGGAATCTGGGTCCCAAGGAAAAAGAGACATGCATGTGAATGATGGGGCAGAAATACAATTGCTGGGACTGAGAGACAGGGAAGGGCCTGACTTTAGAGAGTAAGCCTAGAACCATGATGTGAGGTCAAAGCAGGGCCTGCAGCGCAGCTGACGGCATTATGTCATGGGGCAGGGTAGATTCCCATCCAGACAAGATGTTCACCTATTATTAGATATAGGGTGGCCCAGTGGAGTAGTGGCTAAGATTAGCATGAGTTCTGAAGTCACACCCTCCCATTGGATCCCCTTTCTACCACTAACTAGCGTACCTGTGTTTAGTTACTCAACTGCTGTGAAATGAGAACCATTCTTCAAAGTATCAATATAACACTTAGCAGGTAAAGCATCACACTTCTTAGGCTTAGGAAGCCAAGCTCATTAGATGCCTTAAGTGTCTGGTACAATAACTCTTACATTTATAGGTGTTGCAAAAGAAGGTAGAGGTGGAGCACAGGAGATGGAGAGGAGAATTTCCAGAGGTAAATGTGGTTAGCAAAGCTGAGGTAAGCATGTGGATATCTTTCCTGTAAGGTTTCGCAGAACCTTTGATGTAATTCTGAATCTCCCAAAGCAGGCTAAATTTTAGGACATCTTCCAGACTTAATGGTCCAGTAACCCTTTTATCAAGGAGGATCAAGTAAGACCTTGAACTCGTTTGGGGAAACATTAGCCTAGCACAATGCTAGGCATTGTACAGGCTTGTTAAATAATTTGAATAATTCTCGAAAAATCTACATTCAGTTATCAGAATCTGTTCACCTGCAAAATTGTTTATGAACTTTCTCAAGGCAGTCAATGCAATGGTTAAGTACTGGCTATGTGGTCTTGGACAAGTTACTTGACCTCAGCTTCCTCTTCTGTAAAAGAGGGATGATGGGCCTGGCACAGTGGCTCACGCTTGTAATCCCAGGACTTTGGAAGGCTGAGATGGTGGCGCACACCTGTAATTGCAGCTACTCAGGAGGCTGAGGCAGGAGAATCGCTTGAACCCGGGAGGCGGAGGTTGCCGTGAGCCAAAAAATCACACCACTGCACTCTAGCCTGGGCAACAGAGTGAAACTCTGTCTCAAAAAAAAAAAAAGGAAGGATACAGTATTCTCCCAGGAAGGCAGTTGTGAAGATCAAATGAGCTAATAATACATTCAGTCAGAACAGTGCCTGGCACATAATAAGCATGATATGTTAGCTATTATTATTCTAGACAGAATGAATTTCGGGGAAGCTCTTAAGAATAAACTATTGACTGCTGTTGTAGTGCTAGTTTACCATTTGTTCTGCATTCAATTCCCTCTTGCTTACTTGGAAGACTGATTAATAGACAGGTACTGCTTAAAGTCACTGTCCCTTTTTAAAAAAGAATAAATCACTTGACTCAGACAGCTATTTTGTTTCTATGGCAAAGTCTAAATAGAATTCAAATATAAGAAATTCATTTAATGCTTTATTAGGTGAAGATTGAACATATTTTCTTTTAGAGGCACTTCATCTTTACCTAGAATTATTTTCTGATTAATGAAAATACAAGTTAGGATAATTCATTTCACACCAGTACACACCTCAAAAAACAGGAAGTAAATGTTTCCATATTGATACAAATGCTGGATGAAATTAATTAGGTGGCCAAAAAACAGCTAAGAATTCAAATCTCACAGCCTAAAAAATAATTCTATTCTTGCCACACATGAAAAGATTTTTTAAATTTTTTGTTATAGACAACTATAACAACACCTCTTAACACCTGAGAGGCTAGAGTGAATTATAAAACTTTTGAGCTATAGGACATTAGAGCAATCTTGCTTTGCAAATAAGGAAATTGAGTTACGCAGAGAGGGAATGACTTGCTTGAGGTCATAGCTAGGGGTGGAGAGAGAGGACATAGGTGTTCCAGTGTCTTGCCCAGAAATCTATGGCAGGCTTGACAGTTACACAACCCCAGCTCAGCCACAGGCCCAGACAGTGCACCTGCCCTCCTCAGGAGGTTTAGAGAAAGGTATGAAGGTTCTCATGGTCCCTTGGGGAGCTCTCCATTCCAAAGACCTCCAGTGAGGAGTCCTTCACAAAGTCCAGAGTCACCCCACATTGAATTTGTTTAGAGCAAATTTCTGTGTTGCAGGTTACGACAGACCTCAATGGGCTGTGTGTTGAGAATAAAAACAAAAAATACTGTTCCCTGGGTCTCACTCCCAGAGATTCTGATTAAATTTGGCACTGAGAGTTTTAAGAGCTACAGCCCCTGCTCCAGAGCAAGAGTTTTCTGAGCAGAGAAAACTTCTACGTGAATCACAGACCCCTTTTTACCTCCCCACCACTTCTGTTGCAGTCAGGAATTTTGAAGAACCGCTGCTGCTGCTGTTGTGTTGGTTCTGGAAACACGTGTGTCATTGCACACTTCACGATGGATTTACATTAGAGAGGGAAGTTGTGTCAGACTGGCCTGGGAGTGAAGCAGGGTGGGTGTGGACAAGTTCTTCATTCAGTACTTATTGAGCACCTACTATATACGAAGCTCACCGAGAGATGAGAGGAACCTGATCACTGCCCTCACAGAGCTCACAGCCCAGCCAACTAGAGACCACGGGGAAGCTGACATTGTGCGTTTTCTTGGGACCAAAAATACTTTGATTAAGGCACCGATGTGGAAGGCACGGTGCAATGCTGATACTTGGATAAATAGGACAGGGTCCCTGCCTTCATTACACTGGTATAAGGTGACATGGGCAGTCAACCATAGTTCAAAGTAGAATATAAGAAGTGCCAGGAAAGATGTCTGACCATGAGCCTTACGAGTTCCAAGGAAAGTGAGTGCTGTCTGTGTGGTGGAACAGGTGGTATCAGGAAAGACTTCATCCATGTTTTCATTCATTCCACCCAAACCACACCATGCCGGGTGCTGGAGTGTAAGGAGGAAGAAACCCCAGCCATTAAGAGGCCTCCAGCCAAGTGGAGCAGAACAACAATAAACAATACAGTATTTCTTCAATTCTAAGTGCCTTCGACTGCAAATTGTATCCTGATTTTGGAGATGTTAAAATTTGGAAAAAGGTGTATTTTAGAATTAATGAAATAAAGGAGTAATAGATAACTCAGATGCTTACTATCTACCAGGCACTGTCCTAAGTGCTTATATGTATCACTTTTTACTTATTTAATAAAAGGCAATTACATGCAGTGACAAGTGGCTTTTGGGAAACACAGTGAATAAATGAGGAAGTGAATGAATAAATATTAGAAGAATAAACCCTTAATAAACCCTTTGTCTTCCATCCTTAGACCATCTGGATAAGGCAGTTCCTGGTCTAAGAATTTAGATCCTTACAAATGGTAATTTCCAAACTTTAGTGTTGTCAAGGAAACCACTAAGAGATAGATATAGATAGCTCAGTAATGATCCCATTCCTTATTTCTAACAAGTCCAAAGAAGCAGTGGTGTGTATCTGTGTGTGTGTGTGTGTGTGTGTGTGTTTGTGTGTGTGTGTTGTGAGGGAGAAGGGAGATACAAAGAATTAAAAAACTGTCACTCACAGGCAAGGCACAGTGGCTTACACCTGTAATCCCAGCACTTTGGGAGACCCAGGTGGGGAGATCACCTGAGGTCAGGAATTTGAGACCAGCCTGGCCAACATGGTGAAACACTATCTCTACTAAAATACAAAAATTAGCCGGGTGTGGTGGCAGTCACCTGTAATCCCAGCTACTCAGGAGGCTGAGGTAGGAGAATTGCTTGAATCCAGGAGGCAGGAGAGGTGGAGGTTGCAGTGAGCAGAGATCATGCCACTGCACTCCAGCCTGGGTGACAGAGCGAGACTCTGTCTCCTAAATTAAAACAAAAACAGTCCGGATGCGGTGGCTCACGCCTGTAATCCCAACACTTTGGGAGGCCAAGGCGGGCAGATGATGAGATCAGGAGATCAAGACCATCCTGGCCAACATAGTGAAACCCAATGTCTACTAAAAATACAAAGATTAGCTGGATGTGTTGGTGTTCACCTGTAGTCCCAGCTACTTGGGAGGTTGAGGCAGGAGAATTGCTTGAACCTGAGAGGCAGAGGTTGCAGTGAACTGAGATCATGCCACTACACTCCAGCCTGGAGACAAAGTAAGACTCCATCTCCAAAAAAAAAAGAAAAAGAAAAAGTAAAAAAGAAAACAACTATTACTCTTTTTAATTATTACACAGAGGGCGAATTTCATTTTAAAGGAGGTTGCCATTGCAAATTGTGAGTTCCTGAGGAAAACAGGATCCATTAATTGCACTTAATGTTCGGTGATAGGGTCTGCAGGTAATTGGAATTCTTGTCACGGGACCCAAAAATCCTACTTTAAAAACAGCTCTCTGGATGATTCTTGTGTACACTAGATTTTAAGAATCATTAATTTTGTCTCAGTCTCTGAAATAAGGAGGCATATTTGCCATACACACTAATGAGACCTAAATAGGGACTGGGATTTCAGGATGCAAAACCTACTCAAACTGCTTTGTCTTTCTCCCATCCCTCCCTCACTGTGCTTCCCAGCCAAGTAAATCACCAGCACCCAAGTTCTTATCCCAGGGTCAGCTTCTGGGAGAGCTAGAACTAGTACAGGGAGTTTGACCTTATTCTGAAGGCAATGCACAATCACTGAAGAGTATTTGGCTTTTTGTTTTAGAGATAGGGCCTTTATCTGTGGCCCAGGCTGGAGTGCAGGAACACAATCATAGCTCGTTGCAGCCTGGAACTCCTCAGCTCAAAAGGGATTCCCCTGCCTCAGCCTCCTGAGTGGCTGAGAGAGACTACAGGTGCAAGCCACCATACCTGGCTAATACTGAAGAGTTTTAATTGAGGGAGTGGCAAGCAATTTCTTTTTTAAAAAGATCTTTCTGGGTTGGGCACAGTGGCTCACGCCTGTAATCTCAACAATTTGGGAGGCCGAGGTGGGCAGATCAACCGAGGTCAAGAGTTCGAGACAGCCTGGCCAACATGGCAAAACCCTGTATCTACTAAAAATACAAAAATTAGCCAGGAGTGGTGACAGGTGCCTGTAATCCCAAGTACTTGGGAGGCTGAGGCAGGAGAATTACTTGAACCCAGGAGGCAGAGGTTGCAGTGAGCCGAGATTGCATCACCATCCTCCAGCTTGGGTGACAGGGTGAGACTCCATCTCAAAATAAATAAATAAATAAAAAAGATCTGTCTGGATACAGTGTGGAGAATGGAATCAAGGAGACAGAACATTTAGAGTAACAAGAGCCCAGGGGTAGAGGTGGAGGCAGACTGCACAGGGGTGAGGACCATGGATGAGGATTGAAAGGGAGGGTAATCAATAGGCCTTCATGATTGATTGATTGCTTGGAGGTAGGGGAAGGATGGGAGTGCTGGATGAAACTGCCCTGGGAGAATGTACAGACTGAGGAGAAAATAGCGCACAAGGAGAGGTCTTCCTTCCCATTTGAGTTGGCTCTTGAAAGATGGCGAAGACTTTTTAGAAAACATTTTTTCTTAGCCAGGCGCGGCAGCATGCTCCTATAATCCCAGCTAATTGGGAGGCTGAGGTGGGAGGATTACTTGAGCTCAGGAGTTTGAGGCTGCAGTGAGATATGATCACACCACTGCACTCCAGCCTGGGTGACAGCAAGACTCTGCCTCTTTAAAAAACAAACAACAACAAAACAACAACAAAACACGTAGGTAGAAAACATTTTTTTCTAATTACCCCCACCATCATTATAAAAGTTATTCATGTTCACTGTGAAAATTTTGGGAAATTTTTAAACCCTATAATACCATCAACGCCTATTAAAATATCAGTGTATATCGCTCCAGATTTTACTAACAGCTAGCTACCTAGATAATAAACATCAAATCATCCTGTATACTGTATGGCATCCTGCCTTCTTCAATAATACTATGCTATGGGCATTTTTCTGTCATTCTTTTTTAAAAAGTATGATTTTTAATGGCTACATATTTCATCGTGTGAATGTACCACACATTATTTGATGATTTCTATTTTTAGGACTATGTCTTTTCCAACCTTTTTCCCATTATAGACAGCTACATGATGAGTAGAATAAATTACTAGGACTAGAATTGCTGAACTAAAGTATGTGAACATATTTAGGGCTCTTGATATTTATTATCCCAGAATAATTATGCCTCTGTACATCTCATACTAACTGGGTAGGTCAGCTCCAGGAGGGCAGGGGTTTGGGTCTGTATTGGTCATTGTTATATCCCCAGGACCTGGAAAGTTCCTGGACCCTAACAGATTTTCAATAACTACTGAATGTTCAAAAATTATGAATGAACAAAGAGCAAGTGAATGAATGTCTCACCATACCCTCACTATACTGGTTATAATTATTTATTAGATCTTTAGCATTATATTATTGTTTTCATTGCTTGGATTATTAAGTATCAGCTCACATGCTTTCCTGTGGAAGGATAGTGGCTAACTTTGGCATTTGATGAGAACCAAGTTCAAATACACTTATTAGCTGTGTGATTTTGAGTCTTGCTTCACTACTCCTTTTCAAATGGACATGATAGTAGTATCTCCCTTACAGAATCACTGTGGTGAAGAATGATATATGCATAGACTACTCACAGTGTCTGTAAATAGTGGCACAAATAAATGTTGCATATGTGTTAAATGATTTATATTTTCACATCCCCTGCCCATTTTTTTTTCTAGTTCATAGTTTAAGTGTTACAGTCCTTAACTCACTGACACATTTATTATGACATTTCCCCTCATTTCTGTCATTTTGTATATGGTGGCTTTCTTAATGTTCCAAAATTTTATTTTATTTCTACCCTAATCTGTGCAGCTTTTCCTTTCTGATGACTTTCATTGCTTTGGTGCTTAAAAATTATTTCCCCACACTGGGATCTTAAACATTTTTTTTTTTTAGGTTGCTTTAAATTTTTTCTAGCCTTTTTTAAACGGTCCTGCACAAAATGGTTTAATCTATTGTTTGTTTTTGTCTATGGTGGGGCATATATTAATTAGACTAGCCTAGATTAGGCAGCAGTTACAAATAAACTCTGAAATGGCTTCGCACAAGAAAAGTTTATTTCTCATTCAGGCCTAGTCTATGTAAGTTGGGGAGGGGATCACCATGTAGTGACTGGGAGATCCACACGCCCTCCATCTGGAGCTAGCGCTTTCTCATCCTGTGGTTTCTAAGTTCTTAGCAGGAAAAAAGAAGGGTGGAGGAAGCAAACACCAGCTTTCAACTGCTTTGCCTTTCTAGAAGTGACAAATACCACTTGTACTCACAGTTCATTGGACAGAACTGGTTACCTGGGCCCAACATAGTCACCAGGAGGCTGGGAAATTTAGGGGAGCATGTGGAATGTTGATTAATGAGCACCCACTGTCTCTATGAGAGGGGGTGAGGGAATAATCCATTTTTTTTCTGAAATTATCCCAGGATCCCTTTTCTTTTAAGTTAGAGATTATTAAAAGTTACGGTGAAGTTTAAGGAATAAAATAACATTCATATCCCCCAAACCCTAACTTAATAACTGTTAAGATTTTGTCATATTTGTCACCATTTATTTTTTATTACAGCTTGGAGATGCCATTTGTATACCCTAAAATTTGCCCTTTTATAGTGAACAATTCAGTGGTTTTTAGTGTATTCACAGAGTTGTCCAACCATTACCAATATTTGATATTAAGACATTTTTCGTCACTTCCACAAGAAACATCATGCCCATTAGCAGTCATTTTCCACTCCCCATCAACCCCTGGGCCCTGACTACAACTCATCTAAATTCCTTCTGTCTCTGGGAACTTACCTATTCTGGATATTTCATATAAATGGAATCATACAATATGTGGCCTGGCTTCTTTCACCTAGCATAATATTTTTAAGGTTCATCCATGATGTTACATGTATCAATACTTCATTACTTTTTATTGCTGAATAATACTCCATTGTATGGATATACCACATTCTGTATATCCATCTGTTGATAGATATTTAGGTCGTTTCCACTTTTTGACTGTTGTGGATAATGCTGCTATGAATGTTTGTGTACAAGTTTTTACGTAAACATGTTTTCAATTCTTTTACGTGTATACTAAGCAGCAGAATTGCTGGCTCATATAGTAACTCTATGCTTAATTTTCTGAGAAACTGCCAGACTGCTTTCTACATAATGCATTCTGCTGTTATTCTATAGGTAACTATTAGGTCTAGTTGGTTTGTAGTGTTGTTCAAGTCCTCTAGTTCTTTATGATCTTCTGCCTAGTTATTCTATCCATTATTAAAAATGGGATATTAAACAAATGTTGTTGAATTTTCTATTTCTTCCTTTAATTCTGTCTGTTTTTGCTTCATGGATTTTGGAGTTCTGTTGTTATATGCATATATATTTATAATTGTTACATCTTCTAATAAATTTCCCCTCTTTCATTATAAAATGTCCCTTTTCTCTCTAATACCTTTTTTTTGTCTTCAAATTTATTTTGTCTAATACTAGCATAGTCACTTTTGTCCTTTTGGTTACTGTTTGCATGGTACACCTTCTTTCAACTTTTACTTTAAACTTATTCATGTCTTTGAATCTAGAGCATGTTTCTCGTAGACAGCATATGGTTAGATTATGCTTTCTAGAAAATTAATTCTGCCAATCCCATCAGAGATAATCATTGTGATGAAACATCCATTTTCACTGTGATGAAACATCCATTTTCATTCTGCATTTGCAGAATTTTCTAACATATGACCTATATAGATACATCTTTTTTTTTTTTTTACAAACTGTGACCAAATTTTATAAACTGTTTTGAAATATGCTTTTTTCCACATCACAATAAAACATGGTATTTCCAGGTCAGTAAATATTATTAAATGGCATCATTTTAAATTGCTCTATGTTGTCTTGACTAGATGTATGACAGTTTATTTATCTAGTGTATTATTTAGGTGACTTCCAATTTTTTGTCATTATAAATAACACCAGGGAAACAGCATCCTCATAGCTAATTTTATGCATGTATTTGGTTATTATTTACTGTAAATGTCAAGAGGTGGAATTGATATAAACTCCCAAACCACCCAGTCTAGCCTCAGCATGCCAGAGTGCCAGTTTTCCCACACTTCAGTCCTTTTTTTTTTTTTATCAGATCACTTAAAAATAACACAAATGTAAAATGTAATCTGGACTTAGGGGGAATATTTGCCTCGATGGTTAGTCCCCGGTAGCTCAATAACGTAGTCTCCTGCTTTCTTAGTCAACTTGATGAAGTTTTAATTTAATGGCATCCTATTATGGACTAAAATCATGAACAGGCCAGTACAGGGAGAAACTAAGAACCAGAAGATTGTCACTGCTTTTTTGAGGAACTTCAGAAGACCTTATGTTAATAACTGTCCCAGGAAACACCAGCCTTGGGCTAATTATTATGGGCCTACGTGCACAAAGCTTTTGCTTCTTTCATTTTTCTAGGACTCTAGTTCCCTAATGAGCGCCGAAGTTCTCAGCACTCTGTTTCCTTGGTGTGTCCTGATATAGAACATATTGGGAAGATGGCTTGGCCACAAGCTGCTCTTAAACTACAAAATTTGTGCCTGGAGCAGCTGAATTTGTTTAATCGGGTCAAAAAAGGGCTTCCCCATTCTAGATTGTAAAAGCAAACAAAGTCCACGTTTCTTGTAATAGTTTTACAGGTTCATTTATTTATTACATTTAAATCTTTGCTTGTGTGAAATCTCTTTCAATGAAACTTGTGAGATAGGGATTTGAATTTATTTTTTCCAGTGGGCTACCCTATACTACAATACAATTCTGGATAACCTACCATTGCCCCTTTTTGTTTTTTAGAGTCAGGATCTCACTCCATCACCCAGGCTGGAGTGCAGTGGTGCGATCATAGTGCACTACACCCTCAAGCTCCTGGGCTCAAGTAATTCTCCTACCTCAGCCTCCCAAGTATTAATAGGTAGGACTGCAGGCATGTGCCATCATGCCCAGCTAATTTTTTAAATTTTTGTAGAGACGGGTTTCAAACTCCTGACCTCAAGCAATTTTCCCACCTTTGCCTCAAAGTGTTGGGATGACAGGCGCGAACTACCACACCCTCCCTTCTCCATTGATTTGAAATGCCACCTTATGTATTTGGGTCATTTCTGGATGCTCTATGCTGTCTTATTCAAATGGATTAATTATCATAGCTTTATATTTTATTGGCTTGTTTAGCTATTTCTTTCTCATTACTCTCCTTTTCCAGAATTGTCCTTGCCATTCATTTATGTTTATTTTTCCTTACAAACTTTGGAAGCAACTGACCTAGTTTAAAAAGCACTTTGTTGGTATTTTTATTAAGAATGTATTATTATTATTATTATTTTTGAGATGGAGTTTCGCTTTTGTTGCCTAAGCTTGAGTGCAATGGTGCAATCTCGGCTCACTGCAACCTCCGCCTCCTGGGTTCAAGCCATTCTCCTGTCTCAGCCTCCTGAGTAGCTTGGATTACAGGTGCGCACCACCACGCCCAGCTAATTTTTTGTATTTTTAGTAAAAATGGGATTTCACCATATTAGCCAGGCTGATATCGAACTCCTGACCTCAGGTGATCTGCCCACCTCGGCCTCCCAAAGTGATGGGATTACAGGCGTGAGCCACCACGCCCGGCCAAGAATGTATTATATTTAAAGATTCATTTTGGAAAAATTAATCTCTATATTTTGGCACTGTCCTGTTCGAACACAATAGTATGTTTCCATTTATTCAAATTTTATAGATGATTGTTTACATTATTACATCATTTCATGTGATATTATGTAATAAGAAGCATATATTTGGTTTTCATCCCTGGTTCCTGGCACAGAGCTTCTAAAATTCTCATACTTTCCTAAGTGATTGGGGTGCTGGGTGTCTTTTACTCTAATATTTGGTCATTGACCCCAGTTCTGGTTCCTGACAAAGAGCTCCTAAATCTCTTGGAATTTCCTGGGTGATGGGAGCATCTTTTGTTCTAATCAGGTGACTCTTGATGGGCTCCTGGCTAGCTTCAGGATAGGGGCTGGATGCCAGAAAGACCAAGGCCTGATCAGGAGCTTGGAACCTTGGAACTTTTCACCCCACTGTACATCTTTCAGGAAGGGGAGAGGGGCTGGAGATTGAGTTAATAATTGATCATACCTATGTGATGAAGTCTCCATAAAAATCCACCAAAGGCGGCGTCAGAGATCTTCTGGGCTGGTGAACACATCCATGTGCTGGGGGGATAGCACACCCCAAGTCCACAGAGGGAGAAACTCCTTCACTCCTCCAGGCCCTTCCAGAACTCACCCTATGTCCTCTTCACCTGGCTCATCATTTCTGTCCTTTCAGTATTCTTTAATAAACCAGTAAATGTAAGCAAATGTTTCCCTGAGTTTTGTGAACCATTATAGCAAATTATCAAACCTGAGGAGGGGCTTGTGGCAACCCCCAATGTGTAGCCAGGGCAGACAGAAGTGTGGGCAACCTGGAAATCTGCTACTTGTGATTGGCATCTGAACAGGCAGTCAGTCTTGTGGGACTGAGCCCTCTGATTTGTGGGATCTAAAGCTAATTCTAAGTAGTGTTAGAATTGAATTGAAATGTGGGACACTCAGTAGGTGTCCAGAGAGTTAGAGAATTCGTTGCTGAAAAACCTCCTACATATTTGATGTCAGAAGTGTCCTGTGAGAATCGAGGAAAACAAAGTCTGTTTTCTTTATTTCATTTCATATTTCTTTTTTTATAATCCTAGTCCTTTCTTTGGCATTAATTAGAATAACTTCTCACTTTAACCTTAGGAGAAAGCTAGGAATCCTCATCTATTTGTTCATTAATTTATTCATTCATTCATTCATTATTCATTTATTGTGCAGGAACAATGTGAGGTGCTGAAAACACAAAAGTGAGCAAATTTTACAGTGGCCCCTGCTTCCATACCCAGTGTACAATGTA
This sequence comes from Homo sapiens, assembly GCF_000001405.40. NCBI lineage: Eukaryota > Metazoa > Chordata > Mammalia > Primates > Hominidae > Homo > Homo sapiens. The sequence continues at coordinate 13,836,430 of NC_000020.11, forward strand.
CTGGGTATGTAAACAAACATTGATTTTATTCCCAACCTGGTAGTTATCTCTGTGTCTTCTGGAATGTTTAACATGATCTTTCCTTAGACTTTTTCTTCTTGCTATAGGTTCCCTAAAAAGCATACTCTGAGATAACGATTTGAGTGCAGTAGTTTATTTGGCAAGGAGTGGGAAGATGAGGGAGTGGAAAAGTGGGAAGGAAGAAAACCAATAAGAATGCGTTCATGAGCAGATTTCTGCAGTGAACAACTGGGGCTCAATCCTGCTGGACACCTTCTGAGAAACTTTACAGAATGTACTCTGCACATCAGCCCACCAAGGGTCAAGGAAACTGTTCCTGCCTGTCACTGGTGGAGGGGTGCTGGGAGCATTAACTCCCGGGCACTTCTGGTCTACCTTTCCTGTGGCCAATAGTGCTCCTGCAGCCAGAGAACCTCCCCAGGGGCAGATGTCTGAGGTAGAAATCCAAAGCTGGCAAGGGGCCTACCCATGGAAGATGCCAGTGGTCTCAGAACTGGGCTGAGGGGACATGGGTAGGGCACTGGGGTATCTATTCCAGAGGAAAGGGAGTTATCTTTGGAAGGCATATTTACATACAGTGGGAAGGGGCAGTAATGGGAGAGGAAATCAGACTGTGGAAAGTTAGTGTAGCTCAGAAAACAATCACAATCAATTGGTCAATAGTATTGATTGATCACAATCAACATTCCATTCTGAGTTGTTAATAAATCACATAGCAAAATTGATGATGTCTTTCTGGGCTTTGTATGTTGGTCAGGTTTTCTCTAAGATGCTTTGAAACATGAATTTTTTAAAAAAGATTTTTCGGCCAGGCCCAGTGGCTCACGCCTGTAATCCCAGCACTTTGGGAGGCCGAGGCGGGTGGATCACAAGATCAGAAGTTCGAGACCAACCAGGCTGATATGGTGAAACCCTGTCTCTGCTAAAAAGTACAAAAATTAGCCTGGTGTGGTGGCAGGCACCTGTAATCCCAGCTATTCAGGTGGATGAGGCAGGAGAATCGCTTGAACCCGGGAGGCGGAGGTTGCAGTGAGTCGAGATCTCACCACTGCACTCCAGCCTGGCGACAGAGTGAGACTCCATCTCAAAAAAAAAAAAAAAAAAAAGATTTTTTCAAAATAAGGTTGTAGATTTTTTGGGTCCACTTTGATATTTTTAATGGGAAAAGTGAAAATTGATAGATAACTACAGTGAAAGCTATGTTTGACAATAAGATAATAAGATAACATGGGAGGAGATAGCATAGAAGAAGGCGCACTGGCTTTGGGGTGGATCCTGAGTTTGAATCCTCAGTTTCTCCACTAACTAGCAGTGTGACCTGAGGCAAGTTGCTGATTTGAGCCAGGGTGTTCTTATCTGGAAAATGTAACAATGCTCTCTTCATCAGGTCGCTTTAGTTCTCATTTCCCCAGGAGCAGACGCTGAGAAGAAAGGCTGTCCACCCCCAGGAGTTTGAAAACTTTAAAGGACTGCCTCTGGAAATGTGTATCAGCCCAGGACTATCCCTCCCTCAAGTTTCCTCTAGTAAAATTGCTATTTTTATTTTTATGATTTTTCTTGTTAATAACAAGCTATTGTTAGAATGGCATATTTATTGTTGCTATGGGTTGCTACTTTTTCTTATAAAAAGAATGTGTCTTAAAGGAGATAAGTAGTTTTTCTATATTAATTACATACAAACAAAATACTCTTGGCCAGGCATGGTGGCTCGTGCCTGTAATCCCAGCACTTTGAAGGGCGAGGCTGGCAGATCACTTGAGGTCAGGAGTTTGAGAACAGCCTGGCCAACATGGTGAAATCCTGTCTCTACTAAAAATACAAAAATTAGCCACGAGTGGTGGTGCACACCTGTAATCCCAGTTATTTGGGAGGCTGAGGCAGGAGAATCATTTGAACCCGGGAAGCAGAGGTTTCAGGGAGCTGAGATTGTGCCACTGCACTCCAGCCTGGGTGACAGAGCAAGACTCCGCTCAAACAAACAAAAAAACCTCTGGGAGACAGAATTCGTTCTGGCAGAGTGAGGAATGATGGGAAGACAGAAATGGGAAAACTTATAGCCCCACATAGAGCAGAATCTCACGTGGAATCCAAGGCTTGTCTCTTCACCCCTTCTCCACCTTCCTTTTCTTTTCTTTCTTTCGTTTGTTGGTAATGATTTCTTCTAAATTAAAAAACAAATTCCCTATCTGACGTCTCAGGTGGTTTTTTTGTGACTGTGGAATAGAGTGAGCAAACACTATTTTTAGGAAGCCATTACAAACTTACAGTACAGGACTTTAGCCTGGCCACAAACATCACTTCTTTGGGCTTTGGGAGACTTTTCTGTCTAACCTCCCACAGGCAGGGAGGCCTGTCTTAGTTCAGAAGTTTTAGGTGCGCACACTGTTGACAGTTTCGTGGCTTTGGAATTGTAGACTCGTCCAGAAGCTGGACAGATAACGTGACCGAGGCCACAGCATTATTCCTGGAGCATCTGGGGCTGAGCCATTTGCTGCGTCCCAGCCCAGAGCATAGGTCTCAACTGTGAAATTGTTCGGGTTTTCTGGGTGATAAAATGGGACCCTTTGAGGCTTGGTTTGGGTTGAAGCCCAAAGGCTGAGAGTTAACAAAGAGAGCCAAGTGGCCCCAATTTTATAAAATGAGGTGCTGGATGTTCTGAGCTGGAACTTGCAAATGGATGGGGGTGAGGGGCAGGGCATTTGAAGGTGGAAGTAGGAGGGCAGAGGCCAAATTTTCCTGGAGTTTTCTGATTGCTGTTGCATTTCCCACTGGGGATGGGGAGAGAGAGCTCTGCCCCTAACTTTGGCCAAAGGAGAGGGGCTATAAGAGAGCCACTGGGAGAGCCTCCTCTGTGGTCCTAGAGTGTGGGGGACAGAGTGGACTGGGGTGTGACACATGCCAAATGCGGAGAGGCTGAGGCTACTTGCCTGAGGAGAGAGTGAGACTAGAAGCAAGACAGCAGGAGAAACCGGGCTGCCCTGGGAGCTAACTGCCCTCCACCACCAGCAGCAGCAAGAGTGTGTGTTCCTCAGGAACCAGGAAAAGAACATAGAGGAGCCAGTGCATGGTGTATTCATTTCCTAATGCTGCTATAAAAAAAATTACCACGAAATTTGTGGCTTAAAACCACAGGCATTTATTCCCTCATAGTTCTGGAGGCCAGAAGGCTGAGACACTCCCTTCAGAGGCTCTAAGGCGGAACCCATCCCTTGCCTCTTTGGGCTTCTGGCGCTGCTGGCATTCCTGGGCTGTGGACACATCACTCCTCTCTCTGCCTCCATAGTGACATTGCCTCCTCCTCTTCTGTCTGTGTCAAATCTCTCTGCCTCCCTTTTCTAAGGACACCTGTGATTACATTTAAAGCCTGCCTGGATAATCCAGGATAATCTCCCCTCTTCTGTCTATGTCAAATCTCTCTCTGCCTCTCTCTTATAAGGACACCTGTGATTGCATTTAAAGCCTGCCTGGATAATCCAGGATAATCTCCCCTCTCAAGATCCTTAATCACTTCTGCAGAGTCCCTTTCTGACATGGAACATTCACAGTTTCAGGGATTAGGACGTGGATGTCTTTTGAGGCCATTATTCAGCCTACTGCAGGTAGAGTCCCATCCAAGAGAGTCTGTTCATGGACCAGTGGGTGACCTCAAGGCTCAGAACACCTCACTCATGAAGCAGATGCTTTGACTGCCCAGTGATTTTCACTGCAGCTGCAGAGGACCTTTCTGTGCAAGGCAGACTCCTGCTAACTGTGCCTAACACTAAGGGAAGGCACGGGTTCTGCCTCAGAGACATCCCCGAAGCAGCTGAGAAAGGATGAGGGGGCAGTTAATGCACCCTGGGAGCAATCCTTAAATGACAGGGAAGGGAGCGGGTGGGAAGTGACCCAGCCTACTGTCTTTCAGGCTACTGTCTTTCAGGCAGACAATTCTGGGAGGTTTTCTGCAAACCTTCCAGATCCTGGTAGAATAGGACCCTCATTGCCTACAGCAGTAACTTTAAAACCGCATGCTTTTTTATGGCTTTTCATCCTTCTCTCTTCCTCAATTCTGAGTCCTGCGATCACTTCCCAAATGAGCTACCTATACCCAAATTCTTGTTTCAGGCTGTGCTTTTGGTAGATCCCAAGCAAGGACATAAGGTTCCCAGCATGGAATCCCCAAGAAAGCAGCAAAAGTGCTTCATGGGAGTCGACACAGTGAACTTCTATGCTCAGCGGGCACCTTTATTGGATAACTTATGTGCCAGCTTAGTGAAATCTTTCCTATTCCTTAAACCACCCTCTCACCACCCTCACTCCCTTCAACCATGGAGGAGGCAGAGGCAGGTAGGGTGGGAAGAGGGGAGGAAACAGGGCAGAACTAACCATGTCCCACACTCCTGTCCCCCATCACTCAGGGTCCCAGGCTGAAGCAGGTCCCGGCTGCAGCCTACTTACTGCATTCAGTTCTTTCAACACACGGCATGCATTCATCAGCCCATTTACTCTGCTCGCATCTGCGTTTCTTCTAGAGGCGGAAACTGTTCATCAGCTAGCATCGATACTACGATCCTGCTTTTAAATATCCTCTGCTGACGGTTACACTGTTCTGAAGAAGTAATCAGATGGTTGCATGGCATGTCTATAAAATGAGAAGAAGAATCTTACCTCACAGAATGCCTGGGTGGATGCAGTGAGCTAGCTCCAGGAAAGTGACTGGCACAGAGTAGATGCCCTAATAATGGAGGCTTCTCTCTTCTACAGCACACATTGCAAGCTTCCTGAGGGCAGCTCTTCCTTCCTGGGTCCTTGGCAGAGTGCTTGGGACACTGTAAGTGCTCAGGGAATTGTTTATTGAAGGAAAGGGTGGGAGGGTCAGGAAAGCAGCTCTTAATCATTGCCCCAGATGCTGCCAGTGCCCTGGCCCCATCCCCTCGGGGCTTCTCATTGCTGGGAGGCAAAGCTGCTAACTGCAAGCACCTGCATCCATTTCCCAAGGGCTTTCCCTGTTGGCTCCACCTTCCTACATGGGGGGTGGGAAGTACGGAAAATTAATGTTCCACTTAAAGCACTGCTCAACCAATGACTGTGAGCAGTTGTGAATAAATATCCTGCCCTCATGTCCCTTGGGTGGGATAACCATGAGGTGCGTGCTCTATACCAGAGTTCCCCAGTGGGACTGAGCTCTGGTGACTCACAGTGGTACCTTTTTTTGTGAGACTAGGGTCTCACTTTGTCACCCAGGCTGGAGTGCAGTGGCGTGATCTCAGCTCACTGTAGCCTCAACCTCCTTGACTCAAGTGATCCTCCCACCTCAGCCTCCCAAGTAGCTGGGACTACAGGCATGCACCACCACGCTTGGCTAGTTTTTTACTTTTATTTTTTGTAGAGACAAGGTCTTTCTACATTGCCCAGGCTGGTCTTGAACTCCTGAGCTCAAGTGATCCTCCTGCCTCAGCTTCCCAAATTGTTGAGATTGTAGGTGTGAGCCACTGCGCCCAGCCTGGCAACTTTTTTGATAACTCTCTGTACTGGTTTCCTTCCTTATTTATATTTCTTGAATATAACTTACCAAATAAACTATTTGCATGCAAAAATCCTCGTCTCATGGTCAGCTTCTGGGGGAACCTAAATGAAGACAACCACATGGCTGAAATTTGAAATGTATATGAGGCTTTCTTAAGGGAGGCCCTTTTCTTCGGAACTATGACATTGACTCCTCTTCCTGCTTGGTTTCAGATTTCTGTATAATGTGTGGAAGGGGAGAAAATTATATAATCTTTTTGCCACTCTCATAAATTCATAATTGAGTCACCCTTCTGAAACAAAAGACAGATCAACAAAGGAAAAACAGGTATGCTTAATAATGTATACATGCCGTGTCCATCATGGGGGAGAAAAGTAACTCTGCAAAGTGACTCTCAAAGCATTGGCTGGAAACCTGAGGCTTTAAGCTTTGTTTAAGTAGCATTTTAACAAAAAGCAATGAATTTTAGTGCAGTGACAAGACAAAGGAGAGAACAGTTCCAGTCTCTCAAAGGGGGAAAGCTGTGGGAAGATACTCATGAAGTAAGGTCTGCTCGCAGGTTTCTCTGGTGTCTGCTAGTGCCGTCTCTAGGCTGATAAGTGGCTATCTCCAGTAAGACGGGATTTATGTCCTGCCTTTAGGCAAACAAAGGAGAGGCAGAGAGTCTCCGTACGTCTCAGCTGTCTTTAGCTCACCAATCCTCAATATTTTAGGGACAAATATTTTGGTTTCCTTCAGTGTAAATTACTTGGCCTACCGCAGATTCATTCCAGGCCTGTAACATGCCAGTTCACATCTGCTCTGTGCTGGCTGGGGCAGGTGTCTACTTCCCCAGTTTGCTGGGGCCAGGCCCCAAGGTGGCCTCACAGCTGTTGGAAGAATACAGGTCCTCATATTGCTGAGGAGTCATTGTCCTGGTCTGATTTGCCTGCTATTGTGAAGACAGTGGTTGAGTATTGCTACCTTTCTCCTTGGTTCTCTTAATAGGAGTGAATCTTTTTGGAGACTCTCTCCCAGTGCATCTGCTGTGGGTCAGTGTGTTCTTTTTTTTTTTTCTTTTGAGACAGAGTTTCACTTTTGTCACCCAGGCTGGAGTGCAATGGCATGATCTCGGCCTCACTGCAACCTCCACCTCCCGGATTCAAGCAATTCTCCTGTCTCAGCCTCCCGAGTAGCTGGGATTGCAGGCATCTGCCACCATGCCCAGCTAATTTTTGTATTTTTAGTAGAGATGGGGTTTTCACCATGTTGGCCAGGCTGGTCTTGAACTCCTGACCTCAGGTGATCCACCCGCCTCGACCTCCCAAGTGCTAGAATTACAGGTGTGAGACACTGCCCCCGGCCATGGGTCCATGTGTTCTTGTTGCTAAATGATGTGGGGAACAGTACAAGACAGTGGGAGAGCCTGGAAGAACTTGGAGTAATTTTCAGGTAAAGCTCATTGAAGTTGCTGAAAATGAAACAATGTCAAGGTGACATTCGTGGCCAGACAATTTGTGAAGGTTTATTTTTAATAATGGGAGTTCTGGGTTTTCTAATCACTTACTCGAAGATAGGATAAAATGCAATGTAAAATTAAAATTTGAAAATTCAAAACCATGAATTTTCTAGACCATGAGTCTCCAGTCAGTAACTACCTGACTAGCAGGATGGTTTGGAAGGGTTTTTCCCACACTTTAATACCTAGCCCAGCGCCACCCAGTGCTAAACTAATAAGGGGGTAACTTTGATATTAAAACCCAAAGCTGGGAGCTGGACACACTGGTGTGTGCCTGTAGTCCCAGCTACTCAAGAGGCTGAGGCAGGAGAGTCACTTGAACACAGGAATTCCAATCCAGCCTGGGCCACATAGTGAGACCCCATCTCTAAAGAAAAAAGAAAAACTGGGAAGAAGTAGATGCTCTTTGTGCATAATAAGGCTTAGGGAACACATGAGCATAAGATCGACCATCACAGTTCACGAGAAGTTCAATTTATTTATTTGATACATTCCCATCTAGAGGCCAGTCCATAGTGAGGGCTGCTTTTCTCACTCTCCACTCCAAGGATGCACAATTTCCTGTGTTCCCCCATCCAGCAGCAGAACCCTAGGGCAGAGGATGGCTGACAGCAACCCATGCTAAAGGTCATATCCCCACAGGAGGACCTCAGCCAGGAGCTGAGGCAGAGGAGCTAGGCTTATGGGGACTGTGGGTTCGGGAACGGAAATTGAATGAGGATGGGAGGTGGTTGAGAGGGTCTGGGGTGTGTCTCCCACCCACTGCGTGTCAGGAATGAATCTTGAGACACAGGAGTGGAGCCTGCACCTAGGGTGCCCCAGACAGAGAGTCCCAACCATGCTGGGACTCTGCATCTCTTGGCTCATGTCTCTTGAGCCAAAGCAAAGAACTAAGCATTATTCAAGAGTGTGTGTGTGTGTGTGTGTGTGTGTGCGTGTGTGTAGCGGCCAATGTGAGGGTGTGTGTGTGTTTAGCTAAGGAACAGAGGAGGACATCTCTTCCCCCCTCCACTTACCTTCACACATCTGCATTTCTTCAGTCTGAAAGGTGGGAAGATGAAGAGAGCCAGGCACGCGTCTAACTGGGCTGTCTAATCCTTGTTTTCCAAAACAGGCAGCTCAGGCTTGGGCTGCATTTTTTTTCTGCCAATTTTTGTACTGTAATTTATGTAACCATTGGTAGATTTTTAAACAGTATCTTTTATAGTAGGTTAAATATGGCTGCAAATTCTTTGCTACTTCTCTCACTGAGAGACGGAGTATAATGCCTGACTAACGGAACATGGTGGAAGGGATGTTCTGGAACTTCTGAGGCTTGGTCTTAGCAAAGCTGTGGCTTTTGCCTGTGTCTCTGTGAACATTCTCTGTGGGAATGCTGAGCTACAGTGTAAAAAGCCCAAATGCTCTGTCCACCATGCCAAGAGGCCGCATCTGGGATGTGGGTATACTGGTCAACAGTCACTGCTGAGTGAGTAAACCTGTCTTGGATTCTAGAACAGCCCATCCACTAAGTGACCAGAAGAATCACCTGACCACACCCTGCCCAAATTCCTGACCCACAAAATCTTGAGATAAAATGAAGTGATTGTTGTTTTAAGACCCTAACTTTTGGAGAAGTTTGTTAAGAAGCAAGCAATAACTGGAACCGTAACATAGAGGAAAGAACATCTGTGGTGTTAGATCTGGACTCAAATCACAGCTCCATTATTTATCAGCTACGTGATCTTTTCTAGCTTCTTCTGGCCTCAGTTTCCTCCTGTGTTAAACAGAGGTCATTCTAGCTACCTCCTAGCCTCATCATGAAGATGAAATGAGAAAACAGATGGAAACAGAGCCTGGCTCATAGCAGGTGCTTCAAAATGTTTCTTTCCTCTCTTCTCAGCCTCACCATGCCCTCTTCTCTAGGGCTTTCTGGGATGCCCAGTGAGGGGAATGCAGCAAACTATATAGCACCTCCACTACTCAAGATTTTGGAGAAAAGAATTCCAGGAGAATGTTACTGAGAAAATGACTCTGGACCCCTGCTCCAGAGAAACAAAATTATTTACCTGACTTGCCTTTGAAAAATGGATTTACTTGAAGAGCTACTCCAATTTAATGAAGAATTGGGGGAGGAAATCAAGGGAGTCACAAAAGCAAATTAGATTTTTTTTTTTTTTTTTTTTTTCCTGAGACAGAGTCTCACTCTGTCACCAGGCTAGAGTGCAGTGGTGTGATTTCGGCTCACTGCAGCCTCCGCCTCCTGGGTTCAAGTGATTCTCTTGCCTCAGCCTCCCGAGTAGCTGGGATTATAGGCGCCCGCCACTATGCTCGGCTAATTTTTGTATTTTTAGTAGAGACAGGGTTTCACCATGTTGGCCAGGATGGTCGCGATCTCTTGACCTCATGATCCGCTCGCCTCGGCCTCCCCAAGTGCTGGGATTACAGGTGTGAGCCACTGCACAAAACCAAGAATTAGATTTTTTAAAAAACAGATACCTTGGGCCAGGCTCAGTGGCTCACATCTGTAATCCCAGCACTTTGGGAGCCCAAGCCGGGCAGTTCGTTGGAGGTCAAAAGTTCGAGACCAGCCCGGGCAACATGGTGAAACCCCGTCTCGACTAAAAATACTAAAATTAGGCCAGGTGCAGTGGCTCACGCCTGTAATCCCAGCACTTTGGGAGGCCGAGGTGGGCGGGTCACGAAGTCAGGAGATCGAGACCATCCTGACCAACATGGTGAAACCCCGTCTTTACTAAAAACACACACACAAAAAAGCTGGGTGTGGTGGTGCGCACCGGTAGTCCCAGTTACTCAGGAGGCTGAGGCAGGAGAATCACTTGAACCTGGGAGGTGGAGGTTGCGGTGAGCCAAGACTGGGCCACTGCATTCCAGCCTGGCGACAGAGTGAGACTGTCTCATAAAAAAAAAAAAAAAACAACAAAAATTAGCTGGGTGTGGTGGCGTACACTTGGGAGGCTGAGGCAGCAGAATCATTTAAACCTGGGAGACGGGGGTTGTAGTAAGCCAAGATCGTGACACCGTACTCCAGCCTGGGTGACAGAGAAAGACCCCATCTCAAAAAAAACGAAAACAAAAACAAAACAAACAAAAAAACTAGATATCTTGTAGCCCACAGGCTATCCATTTTTATTCAAAGCATCAGAAGTAAGAAAATGAAGAAGGGCTCTGTGTGCCCATAGAGTGGGTGGGATTTTGCAATAACCGAGAAACATCAGTGGCTTTCAGGCAGGAGGCTCTCTCCCTCCCTCTGTCAGTCATCTCGGAGATGTCCAGAGGCTGCAAGATGCCCAACCATGCACAGAGGTGGTGAGAACCGCTACCGTGGCGGCTCCAGGAGAAGAGGCCCAGAAATGGACATTTGAATGATTGAAACTGCCTAAAGCACTCCTGCTTTCAAAGCTTGCTCCATGTCTCACATTGACATGGAACAATTAGCTGAAATGGGAAACATATCAACTCAGGCTGCCCTCCCTCTTATATTTCAGGCAGTGTTCTACTCTACACAGCAAGTCCCCAAACAGGTCTCCCTTTCTTTCCTGCCTGCAGTCACTCCCAGAAGTTTACCTCTAAGGAGCTCATGTTCATCCAGACTTTGAGGCAGGGCTCACCAATGCTGCCTTCTGCGCTCCCCTCTCTGTTCTCATCCTGGTCCTTAATGTGCTCACATTCCTGACACCTGTGAGATGTCATAGCATGGCTGCCCTCTCCATGACGTCCTGACCTGAGATTTGGATGCTGCCCCTTCCTGCACATTTCTATAAACTAGGCTGCATCCCTGGGAACTGGAACTCCCTAATAAGTCAGGGACATGACCCCCAAATTCTAAACACTTGGACCTCAGAATCCACCACCTGGATTCGTTCCTGGCCAAATAAATGACTGTGGCCAGTATGTGTGTGTGCTATATTTATAAAGCACTTTTGATGTTAGGTTTATTTAAGCTTCACAATTCTTCAGTGAGGTAGGAAATAATCCCATTTTATGGAGGAAAAGCTGAGATTTGGAAAAGTTATCCCCAAAGTTACACAGCTACTAAGGGACAGAGCTGGACTTCAAATCCAAGTTGTTTGATCCCAAACTCAGTGCATGTCCACCATTTCATCCTACCTTTTGATTACGGTTGACATTATAAATTAAATTTTCATGTCCCTAAATTGGATTTTTAAGTAAGCAAGCAAGATCTCTTCCTACCTAAGCACCTAGCACATTAGCTGGAGAACTAACTGCAAAGCGCTGAAGCCACACAGATTGTTACCAACTCAGCTCTCTCCCCAATGGATTTGCCATGAGTTTTTTAAAGGATATTAAAAGTTACCAATTATGGAACTCATTCTAGGTGCCAGGCCCTGTGCCAGTCTCTTTACATCCATTATCCCACTTAATCTTAATATCAGTTGTCTAAGATAGGCATTATTCTTCCCTTTTTGCACACCAGGAAACTGAGGCTCAAGAAGTCAAATATTGGCTGGGTGTGGTGGCTCATGCCTGCAATCCCAGCACTTTTGGAGGATCACTTGAGGTCAGGAGTTTGAGACCAGCCTGGCCAACATGGTGAAACCCCATCTCTACTAAAAATACAAAAATTAGCCGGGCGTGGTGGCAGGCATCTGTAATCCCAGTTATTCAGGAGGCTGAGGCAGGAGAATCACCTGAACCCGGGAGGCAGAGGTTCCAGTGAGTCGAGATCTTGCCACTGCACTCCAGCCTGGGGGACAGAGGGAAATTGCGTCTCAAAAAAAAAAAAGAAGAAGAAAAGTAGAAGACGAAGATGAAGAAGAATAAGAAGAGAGAAAAGAAGAAGAGAAGGTTAGAGAAAAGAAGAGAAGAGAAGGAGAAGGAGAAGGAGGAGGAGAAGGAGAAGGAGAAGAAGAAGAAGAAGAAGAAGAAGAAGAAGAAGAAGTCAAATATCTGGAGAAGAAGAAGAAGAGGAAGAAGAAGAAAAGGAAGAAGAAGAAGAAGAGGAAGAGGAAGAAAGAAGAAGAACAAGAAGAAGAAGAAGTCAAATATCTGGAGAAGAAGAAGAAGAAGAGGAAGAAGAAGAAGAAGAGGAGGAGGAAGAAGGAGAAGGAGAAGGAGAAGGAGAAGGAGAAGGAGAAGGAGAAGAAGAAGAAGAAGAAGAAGAAGAAGAAGAAGAAGAAGAAGAAGAAGAAGAAGAAGAAGAAAATACAAATATCTGGAGCCGGGATTTGAGCCTGGCCCTTGACATATGTCCTAGGCCTCTTACACTCTCCTTACCAGCCCCTGTCCCTTAGGCCTGGGCCCCTGATTTGCCTGTCAGAGAAGCCAGAGAATCTGGGCCTTTTAGCTTTCATCCTAGGAGGCTTGAATAATCTCCTTCTAAGGGGGTACTAAGGGGGACGCCCCAGGGAGAACAGGGTTCTGATGAGGGATGGAGGAGAGGGGTGTGATGCTGTACTGGCTTTGTTCACTAACACAGCTACTAAGGGAGCTTTGAGAGAGGCCTCTCAGTGAAGAGCCCGGGTCAACCCCCATTCCCTCGTTCAGGTACGACATGCCCTGGGAAGCTGTGACTCATTAGGGCTCCAGAGTCTCTCACAGGTCATTCCTATAGGATGTGCTTGTACAAGGTCTATTTGTATATTTGTGTCTTTATCATATTCTGAGGGATCTGGATTTCTGCCTTCTCCAAACTCCCCCTTCTCTTCACCTTAGTTTGTCTGTAGGAGTCAGGAAACCCAGTGCGTCCTCTTGACAGAGGGGAGGTTGTTCTAACAACATGAAAATGGGTGGTCTTTATTCATAACGTGGGACTAGGTCACCAAGATGACAGATTGGTAACAAGGTCTTAGGTGACCAGTTCCCAGCATCCCGCAAAGGGTTTTCTCTACTAAGCAGGAAGTCTGAAGTTGTTTCTCTAGGATGGTCCCCAAGTCTTGTCTGTTTCCCATCACAGCCCTGAGCGGGAAACTGCAGCGGACTCTTGATTTGGATGGGAAACTGTTTATTTAGTGGGGATACCTTGGAGTGAACTGATTCCCGTGAGCAGGTTTTCCTGTGATCCGCATCCTACCCATGGTGATTTCTAAGCAACAAAATCAGCCCAGGAACAATGAGGCCAATCACAAATAAGTCCCAGTGTGGTCCAATGGTGTTGTCCAGTTTCAGCCAGTTCCATCTCGTTGTGAACTGCTGGCAAGAGACATTCTCTCAAAAACAATCCAAGCTTCCCACCTCCACTCAGAGCCACCATCTCTTCCCAAACCCACCACCACCAACCCTCCTCCCACCCATTCCCTTTGCTTCCTTCAGTCTTGGAAGACACAATCTTCGCTTGCTTACATCTTCCACAAGGGGCTTAAATAGCACCTTTAGAATAACCCCAAAGATTTAGACACTTTACTTTTTTTCAAACTGTAGCTGTTTGTGGTATCCCTTGCCACCTGCCGTCTGCCTACCAGTCTCGGCTATTGATGGTAAGAACTGTTTTGAAGAAGTATATATAGCACATGTCACTGTGCTTAAGGCTTTGAATGTAGTGTGTACTGGAAAAGAACATCTGCTGAATGAATTAATTGCTTATACTCTGAAGTGTCAACACATACTCAATAGAACATGCAGAATTACTCTGCATGGCAAGTGTAAGACTCTGAATTTTACTTCTCAAAGGAAAGCCAGTCCACAAGAGACTCCCTGATGGGCCTTGTCACTTTGTCCCTAAGAGTTGCTCACTGGAGACTTTCAGAGATTCAGGACCTGTTCAAGACAAACTTACATTAAAAAACAGGATATCCCGGAGCAAATGCGTAGTTTCCAGTTTCATGACGGCAAAGAGCACAGGTATGTGGGCATCTGGACTCGTTTGAGCAGCCATGTCGTACAATCTTCTGGCCAAGTGAATGTCCTAGAAGGAGAAGAATAGCCCTACCCATCAGATTCTGTAGGGGTAAGTAAACAGACACCATTGTTCACAATATCAAATGTAATTAAGGTTACAGGTCTTAAGATAGGGAGATTATCATGGATTATCCAAGTGGACCTCAGATAATCAAATGAACCTTTAAACAGAGTTATCTCAGGGCTGGGGATGGAAGAAAGAGAGATGTGGTGGAGGGAGACTTCAGATTGATTCTCAGCATGAGGGACTCAACTTGCCATTGTTGGAAGGGGCCACATGGAATGAGAAGGAATTTGGACAGCCAATAAGGAAACAAGAACCTTGGTCCTACAACCTCAATTAACTGAATTCCACCAAACAACCGGAATGAGCCCTGCAGTGGATTCTTCCCCAGAGCCCTCAATAAAGAACAGCCTTGATTTTAGCCTCGTGAAACCCCAAACTGAAGACCCAGTCAGATCACCTGGGCTTTTGGCCTACAGAAACCGTGAGATAATAAGCTTGTGCTGTTTTAGGTCCCCAAATTTGTAGTGATTTGTTACAGCAAGCATAGAAAACTAACACAATCTCCAGAAAGCTTTCTTGGATACCCCTGGAACAGCTCCTAGTTGTGATTCCAACAAATAGGGTGGAGAATAGGGCCAGGCACAGGGGGGTTCACGCCTGTAGTCCCAGTACTTTGGGAGGCCAAGGCAGGTGGATCACTTGAGGCCAGGAGTTCAAGACCAGTCTGGCCAATATGGTGAAACCCTGTCCCTACTAAAAATGCAAAAAGTAGTCAGGTGTGGTGGTGCATGCCTGTAATCCCAGTTATTTGGCACGAGAATTGCTTGAACCCGGGAGGCAGCGGTTGCAGTGAGCCAAGATCATGCCACTGAACTCCAGCCTGGATGACAGAGTGATACTCTGTCTCAAAAGAAAAAAAAAATTGTACAGTTCTCTAAAATAAGTCAGAATACAGGTAGTTAGTAATCATTATCTACAATTCTCATTATCTTCATAGTACTTACCATACCTGAAGTTCTAGAATTTATTTATTCATTTGTTTGTCTCCAGGTCCTCAAAAACAAGGGCTTGGACTGTCTGTTCACCCCTGAATTCCCAGTCCTCAATGAAGTGCCTAGTACGCAGTAGGTCTTTGATAATACTTACAGGATGATGAAGAAACTATTTTTGGCTCTCATGTTGAAGACAGAGTCCTCAAATGATATAGTACTATATTTTCAGGAGCTTTTTTTTTTCATGAATTATGCCATGGCTTTTTTTTTCATCTACTCATGCCTTGTTTTATGTGTTGCTTTATTTTTGGTTTGCCCAAACAGAGTGACCGTAGACAAGGTGGAGCTGCTTTTAAAGGTGAAAGTGCCCTGGGCCAGTCCCAGAATTAGATTTTGCTTGGGTGCCCATGGGCTATTTTCAAAAGAAAGGGAAGAAGAGGAATTTTTCACAAACTGTGGTCATCCTAATATCTGTCTTTCTTGCTCCATTACTTAGGCTTTGATACTTGTGAATCCTTGAGGATGCTGTTAAAACTGTGTTTTTTTGCGGGGGGTGGGGGTGATGTCTTCTCTCAGCTGTGTTCTGCTTATTATAGCTTAAATATTTTCCAAAGCTTTATGGTCTGGTAAATTGATTTGTTGAAGAAAGAGGAAAGTTCTTGCTTAAAATACAATTCAGGAGATTGGAACAAATCTTCCTGGCAACATTAAATAGATGTTGTAAAAACCCTAATTTGTGTCTCTGATTCCAACAAATTCAGTGTTCATTTGAAAGCACCCTGCAGATGATAACAGCTTTCATGCTGCACACGTGAAAGACATATTGACTTGGATGGGACATTCGGGGAAAATCTCAGGCATTCATGCTTATTTCTTGTTTTGAGGCAGTCAATAGTTATTCACTTATGTCTTGCGGTAGAAGCATTACAATTCAGTCATTTAGTATTTTATAGTAAAAAATAGTGAGAAATACCATTAAAGTGGGATGAACTCACTCCTTGTCCAGGAGACCTCACAATTTGCAGTGTGTGTGGGGCTGGGGGGTGATGTGAAAGCCTTTCTTTAAAATTCCCAGAGAAGGAAATTCTTGAATGCTTCTAGCTAACTAGGGCAACTCATAAAAGAAATTTTAGTACTAGACTAGAAAAGACTCCTCATTCTTTGACCCTATTTAGTAAAAAAATCTAAGTCATGCAAACAAAAAAATCTCCTCCAGATGGTGTTTTGAAGATGACCACAGTTCATTAAATGAGAAGTCCACTACATACCCAGTCCACTTAGATTTAACTTTTCTGTGGTACATTTGAGTTTATTTTGCTTTAAATTCAGTGATTAAAGAGGTTATGTAAACCGAGCTGCAGACTCTTGTTAAAAGAACATGTTTTTAACTAAAATGTTATGTGGATACTGCCCAATATTCAGATGTTCAAAATAGCTTCTTTTAATTCAAAGATACAGAATTCTTCTGCAGTAAAATAGCTGGTTTATGAAAATTGTACAATTGCCCGATGCAGGAGTTTTCCAGCCCCAAATCTTTGGATGTCATAAAAAAAATTTCTTATACTGGGACAGAGCATGTGAATGGGAAGGTCGTTTTTGACTAATTTATTCTTATTTTCTTTTTATAAATATATCATATGTTAATTAGAGGGAACTTAGGAAATATAGAACTGAACAAATAAGAAAAAAAGCCACCCACAATCTCACTGTACAGAGATAACTACTGGTAATATTTTATACACATTCTTCTAGCATTTCATGTATATTCACATATACATACTTTTTAATTTAGAAATTTTTTACTCAGCATAATATTACATCTTCTGTTTTCTTAACCTAACAATATATTTCAAATAATATGCAGTGTCCTAATATATTCCGCTAGCCTATAATTTTTTTTTTTTGAAAACAGGGTCTCACCATGTTGCCCAGGCTGGAGTACGGTGGCAGGCTTTTGGCTTACTGCTGCCTCCACCTCCAGGGCTTGAGCGATCCTCCCATCTGGGCTTCCTGAGTAGCTGGGATTACAGGGACTACAAATGTGTGCCACCATGCCAGGCTGATTTTTGTATTTTTTTTTTTTGTAGAGACGGGGTTTCACCATGATGCCCAGGCTAGTCTTGAACTCCTGGACTCAAGTAATCTGCCCACCTTGGCCTCTCAAAGTACTGGGATTACAGGCGTGAGCCACTGTGCCCAGCCTAGTCTACAATATTTTTAACGGTTGCAGAGTATATTGTAATAATGGTTAATATGTATTAAATACTTACTGTGTGCCAGTTACCACTGTCATTTAATCTTCAGGACAATTCTATAGGACAGGTGATACTATTAACTTCACTTTGAAAATGAAGATATTGAGGCACAGAGAGAAAGTCACTTACTCAAATTTATATGACTTGCAAGTGGCAGAGCAGGGATTCAAATCTCAGATTGTCCCTAGGTTGTCTGCTTCTAGTATTCTCACTTAATCACTAGGCCACAAAGTACATTGTGGAATAGTATACCACTATACAATAACGTATATAACATGGCTTCTATTTTGGAGCATTCTCGTTACTTGTAGAAATTTGTTCTGTAACTAATAAAGCTATACACACACAAAATACTGTTTGTGCATATTTCTGATTATTTCCCTAGATGATAGATGTTTATTTCATGAAAAGTTATGATCATTTCTAAGAAATGTGTTTTCTGTCCTGCCATATTTCTGAGAGGGCCATTTTAAATACCTAATTTTAACTTATCCTTTCCAGAAAATAATTCTGGTGTTTAAAGCTTCAGCTGTAACACTCCATGGGTGGTCAGACCAGACCAATGAGAAATAAAAATGCATTGTGTCATAATCATTTTTATTTTTGACAGGTCTATTGATAATTTATTTGGTAGATGTGGTTTTGTTTTCTCTGCAGAATCCAAAAATACATGTTACCTAGTAGGTCTACATATATGTATTTGAAACTCTTCCCCAAAGGATAATTTCCCCCACCTTTCTGCCATACTTTAGAACAGCTTTCCTATCCATTGTCTTTAAACAGGCCTGATTTCTTCCATGTAAAAAGGTTGTCATATGTTTCTCGTACTCCATGGTACAAAAATATTTTTGAACAGGACCTGGCAGTGCTGATTCCCCTACCTGAGTTAGCTGGTAGGTATGTTAAAGAGGTAATCTTTAACATACTTATGGTACTTTATTTTTAATTCTTTTCAAGTGTGCGTGTGCCTATACATGACTGTCATTTTAGGCTTAACTATAGCTATGGACAAGTCTCTTCTGTAGTGGACTGTGAGCTCTTTGAAGGCTGTCTTGTTCTTATTGTATCCACAGAACCAAGCACAGTGCTTCCTGATATAGGAAATAGTCCTTGATAAATATTTGAGTGAATAAATAAATGAATGAAAAGCAGAGTGCAATACCATGATGGTTTAGAAGTAGATATCTTTTAAATCTGGGGGTTCTAGCCAGGTGTGGTGGCTCACGCCTGTAACCCCAGCACTTTGGGAGGCCAAGGAAGGTGGATCACGAGGTCAAGAGATTGAGACCATCCTGGCCAACATGGTGAAACCCCATCTCTACTAAAATACTAAAATTAGCTGGGCATAGTGGTGCGTGCCTGTAGTCCCAGCTCCTTGGGAGGCTGTGGCAGGAGAATTGCTTGAACCTGGGAGGCAGAGGTTGCAGTGACCGAAGATTGCACCACTGCACTCCAGCCTGGTGACAGAGCGAGACTCCGTCTCAAAAAAAAAAAAAAAAAAAAAAAAATCTGGGGTTCCTTGAGGGATTCCTAGAGGAGATGACATTGGAGCTGTTCTTTGAAAAATGGACTAGTCTTCAATGGGCATAAATATGGGGTAAGATCATTCCAGCAAAAGGATGATATCTCAGGAGGGCTCAGGTCAAGGTCTTTGAGGGGAAGGAATAAGTAGCCTAGAATCTATATAGGGCAAAGTGCTATATCACACCACTATTACCAAGGTAGGCTAGGTCACTGGGGGCTTTGAATGTGGAATAGAAGTCTGGACTTCATTTAGCAATAAAAAGTAAATAAGATTCTTTTTATTTGTATGTTTGCTTGTTTGTATTTTTTGGCGGTTTTATTTGGGGGAGAGGGTAGGATAGAGGGGTGGGTAGGACGGAGGAGGTAAAGGTTATACTTTATCAAGAATGACCTGTCAGTGCTTTGTTAGATGAATTATTTATTAAGATAATGCTATCTGTAACAAATCCCCAAATTTTAATGGCTTAACACAATAGAAGTTTATTTCTCCCCCATTCAGCATTCCAAAGCGTATGTTCCTGGTTGGTGGTGAATTTTTTTCATGTGGTAATTGTGGGGCCAAACTCCTTCCATCACCTGGTTTTGGGGTCCCCTAAAGCCTTTGTATCTCCTGGCGCCTTCAGCCAATGGATGGGAAAGAGACTGGGGGCAGCCACATCTACTTCTTGGCTGCCTTAGCCCAGAAATGACACCCTTCACTTTCACTTCCACTTCCACGCCCTTGCGAGAGCTAGCAGGTGGATCCAAAGGAGGCTGGAGAACATAGTCTTTGACTAGGCAGGTGCACCCCAGCTACAAGTCCTCACTATGGATGGGGGATTGCAAATCTTTGGTGAACAGAGTCATCTCGGTCACAGATTTAAAGGGAGAACACTAGAATTGAAGACCCCTGAGTAGTCTTTACTACAAGCTGAGGTGAGCAGAAAGTCAGACCTGAGCCAAGGTACAGACAGAAAGGATGGCCAGGAGGGGATGGGCAACAGGCTTTGTTCATGGTGCAATTTCCGAAGTACTTACAAATCAAGTATCAACTGAAAAACTGTTTCTTTGTTTTTTGGGGTTTTTTTTTTTAAGAGGGAACCTCGCTCTGTCACCCAGGCTGGATCTTGGCTCACTGCAACCTCTGCCTTCGGGGTTCAAGCTATTCTCGTGCCTCAGCTTCCCAAGTAGCTGGGACAATAGGCACATGCTACCTTGCCCGGTTAATTTTTGCATTTTTAGTAGAGACAAGATTTTGCCATGTTAGCCTGGCTGGTCTCAAACTCCTGACCTCAAGTGATCTGCCCACCTCGGCCTCCCAGTGTGCTGGGATCACAGGCGTGAGCCACCATGCCTGGCCCTCTGAGAAACAGTTTCATAACAACTTGTGTGTGAATGCTTGTGTTTCTGAACTACTTCAGGTCCTCTCCCAGTTCCTCCCCAGGCATTATTCAGTGTTCTCAGAACAATGATGCAGTCACTCCCATTATTCATTGTTCCCAGAACAATGATGCAGTCAGTGAGACAAGGAGCTCACTGGCTGAGACGCTTCTCAGTGAAGCTACTAGGATAGCTCACCTGCATCATCGCAGCCCCAACTTCCTTTTTGAAAGACAGATGATAAAAATAATGACCCATATTTTAATATTGATTTACCAAGAGATGATTTATACCTTTCTTCCCCAGAGGTCTTAAATGTCTGCATGTTTATAAAGCATTATTCCATATCACCTTCTTTGATTCTCAAAGACACTGTGATAGTGGTATTATACTCATCTTTCTCACTAGTTTGCATGAGGATTAACTAATAAAGAGGATTGCAAAGTGCCTCATTGAAGAAATGCTTAATTACTTGATGACTTAACTGCTGGGAAGGCCTATTCTCCTACTCTCTTTGCTTTCATTAGAACAAGCTTTGGGCTTTTAATTATCAGGATATTCATTTTAAGAATTAGAGAAGGTGATAGCACCTTGTAAATTTGACTCTGAGATGGCAAGATACCTCTGGATACTCAGTTATTATTTTTGTAATTGCTAAACAAAAGAAACCAAATAAAAACAAAGGGCAATGGTCCCTCATTAGCTCAGCCTAAAATTCTCATATCCAAGTGGGAGGTTAAGAGTAGTCCCTGATTTTTTTTTTTTTTTAATGTAGAGACTTTCTGTAGGAAAAAAAAAATAGACTTGTGACTGAAAGAGACTGCTCAAAATGAACTACCCATGATTTAACAAGAACCCTGGTAGAAAAGAACAGAAAACTGGCCAGAGAGAAACTTAAGTGTTTTCCTGAATGTATGAAACGTGTGTCTCAACAACTACTATTTGACATTGTGAAGGAAGTGCTTAGGAAACAGATCAGTGGTGACTCCAAAGAGGAAAACCAAACCCTCTGACAGTCCGCCAGCTGGGCACTGGCCAGCAGTGTGCCTTTCCCAGCATTGCTGGCTCTGTGTCCTGAGAGGACACCTGCCTGTCCCCAGGGACTCAGGCAAAATGGCCTCACCTAGGTGCGAATACAGCTGTCAGGGCAACCAAGTCCTTTTTGAATAACATGGTGGTGCCAAGGATAGGAAAGCTAACATGAATTTAACACATGGAGTGGGGTCACTTTATCCCTTCTATAGACAGTGCTTCTCCCATATTATTATGTTTTGCATGAGGAATGATGAGTAGAGAAAGGCTTTAATCTTATTGAAGCCTTACTTAGCAGTTGCTCTAATTCCCTTCTGATCTAAATAGCAGTCATTCTACATACTGTTTGACTACAAAGCCCTTTCATAAAATCTTATTCATTTTATTCTTAATGCCTGGGGCAGGGCAGATATCTGTTTTACTGAGGTGGATAATGGGTGAGGGGCCCAGGGATGGCTAAATAACATCCCAAGAATTATCCAATTTAGCTATCCATCCTGTCCCATTCTTACCCACATTTTACAAACATGGGAAGCTTACACTGCTAGAAATGGGGCAAACAGACTGGATTTGGATTTGACATTCTTTCCACTGCTTAGGGTGCCAGGGCTAATGAAAAATGATCAGCCAAAAGGCAGGCTGCAGGGGAGGACAGGATGGCAGGGATCCATACCGCTGAATAAGAAGCCCTTGGCTTCACTGTGCACCACTAGCAGTTCTCAAATAGGAAATTCCCTACCAATAATTCTCAATTACTAGCACAACCGGAAGAAAGAAGAGCGCATAGGAAAGCCGATAATTCCCACGTTATTTGGCTCTAGAAACGCAGCCAGGAATGAAAAGCTCACATGCTTGACCACCAAGAATGACTCACTGCGAGGCCCACTCTTTCACCAAAAA
This sequence comes from Homo sapiens, assembly GCF_000001405.40. NCBI lineage: Eukaryota > Metazoa > Chordata > Mammalia > Primates > Hominidae > Homo > Homo sapiens. The sequence continues at coordinate 13,858,382 of NC_000020.11, forward strand.
ACAGGGTCAGATAGGGCTGGGTTCAAATTCTGGCTCCACCATTGACGAGCTCCGCAAGCTGGTTGGCCAAATGACATAACCTCTCTGCGCTGTGGCTTCCTGATGCATACACAGTGGATAGTTCTAGGGCTTATCTCGTTGAGTGGTTGTGTGATGTAAATGACAGAAACGCATAGCCCACTTAACCCAATGCCTGGCTATTATTATCGTTATTGATACTGAATACATCTTTCTCACTCTGTGACACCCTGATGTCATCTTCTGCCTTAATTACTCACTGTCTAAGAGATTTACTCAATACCACCTTGCAGTGCTGGCTGTTTTTCTAAGTGAATATGACTCATCGCCTCAAGTCAAGTGTAGTCTTGGGGGACTGGAGATTCACTCTCTTTGGCCTTTCTAGAGTATCCAGCACTGGGTCATGTACACAGTAGGTGCTTCATAAGACTTTTCTGGATTAATACCACCTTGGTATCCAGCTCTGGTCTCTTTTCACTTTCTCCTTGTTCCTGAGAGCTTGAGAACCAGTGGAAATTTTAATGGAAAGAAAGGCCCAGAGGTGAAGGAAAATGGAGACAGGGCCTACTGGAAAAAGCATGTGCTGCAAAAAGCAGGAACTTACTAGTTGAATTGGCCTAGACTAGATCTCTTCTACTCACCAGTTATGTCCTTGGCATAAATGGAGAAAATAACTTCTATCTCATAAGGTTCATATTAGGGTAAGTAATATGTATTGGCACAAGGGATGGATTTGGCAAATGTTAAGTCCTCTCCTTCCTTCCTCTACATTGATGACATCAATGAAATTCAAAACATTTACACATTCTGTCTTCTCACACAGCTGTCATTACTAGGTTTGAATTATTACCAGCAAAATTACCTTTGTGATGCCTAAGCCGTGTTCATACATATAAGCCAGATTGAACATGGCTTGCGCGTTGTGGTATTTGTTGGCTGCAATGCTGTAGTGTGTGGCTGCTGTTTGATAGTCTTTCTTAGTCCCATAGCCATAGTAATGGTAATCTCCAATTTTTACTCTAGCAAATGCATTGCCTGATAGAAATATTAGAGAAAAAAGAATCATAACTCAAATGATTCATGTATAGTTCTCAGGAATTCAACCTAGTAATCTTGTTTCAGTCCTTTAAAATATATATGTATCTATAGCCAAGTATAAAAAGGAACCAAAAACACTCAGAACCCCAGAACTGGAATTAGATATACTTTATGGAATACAAATATAACACTCAATGCTAACTGTTTTCATTATAGCGTAACATCCATGGTATAGTATGCATGTTTTGTTGTTGTTGTTGTTTGTTTGTTTGTTTGTTTTGAGACAGAGTTTCACTCTTGTCACCCAGGCTGGCAGGCTGGAGTGCAATGGCACATTCTGCAACCTCTGCCTCTCAGGTTCAAGCGATTCTCCTGCCTCAATCTCCCAAGTAGCTGGGATTCCAGGCGCCCGCCACCATGCCCGGCTAACTTTTTTTTGCATTTTTAGTAGAGACAGGGTTTCACCATGTTGGCCAGGCTGGTCTTGAACTCCTGACCTCAGGTGATCCACCCGCCTTGGCCTCCCAAAGTGCTGGGATTACAGGCGTGAGCCTCCGCGCCCGGCCAAATGTTCTTAAAGAACAAAAACTTACCAATTTTACCTTTTAATTTTTTTAAGTAGATTAACTCTTGGGAAGTTGGACCCCATCCCTCCCATTCTCAGACGTCACTCCTGAAGCTCTGCTCTCCTGCGTCAACAGTGTCGCCCTCTTTCCCAGATCAATCCTGTCCGCCATTCAAACACGCTCTGGCATCTTCTATGAACAAAAATAAACCCTCTCTTTATCCTGTGGTGTCTCCTTCTAGCTCATGCCCCATTTCTCTGTTCCCCTTTACACTGAACCTTTTCAAAAGTGTGTTCTATACTCACTGTCTCCAAAGCTTCACCTCCCATGGACTCTTCAACCCACTCCAAACTGGCTTCTGCCCCCTTGCCCGTGAAGCTGCTATTTTGAAGGTGGTAGATGACCTCCATGCAGCCAAATCCATTGCCACATCTCTGGCCTCATCTTACCCGACGTCTGAGCAGCACTGGAGTGATGGGCCCCATCTGCCCAAGCACTGTCCTGTCGCAGCATTGATGGCACTGCCTTCTCTTGGTTTCCCTTCTACTGCATGGGCTCTTTATTTCAAACTCTTGTCTGACTCCTCTGCCCACTTCCTAAATGTGGAATGTCAACGGCTCGCTCCCAACTCCTTTTTTTCTCTTTCTTCTTTTCCCTCTTTTCTCTTCTCTCACCTCTCCTCCCCGCCTCTCTCCAACAATCTGCTCCATCTCAACTCTTTCTCTGGGTGACCTTGTTTCGTTCCATTGCCTGTCTTTATTAACTATTTCTAAATTTATATCTACTATCTCTCTCTCCCTGAGGCCCAGGCTCTTATAATTGCCTCTTGATGTCTCCACTTGGATTTCAAACTTAAAATGCCCAACAGAGATTTCCTAGCACCCTACACCCGTTCCTCCAAACAAAATCATCAGTTTCTTCCCTGTCTCAGTACAGCACCCCCATTGTTCAGGCCATAAGTCTAGGGGAATTATTCCTAGTTCTTTTTCCCTCGCCTCCATCAGCCAATTCATCAAGTCCTGTTGGTTCTGCCTCTAAAACACGCTTAACTCCTGATATCTCCTCCACTGCCTATTCCAGCCTACAATACTACAATAGGCTTCAAACCCTTCTTTTATCTTCACTTTCCAACCCGTTCTTCACACAACAGCCAGGATGATCTTTTTTTTTATTTTTATTTATTTATTTTTGAGACAGGGCCTGGATTTGTCGCCTAGGCTGTAGTGCAATGGCATGATCTCAGCTCACTGCAACCTCAGCCTCCCAAGCTCAAGCGATCATCCTACCCCAGTCTCCTGAGTAGCTAGGACTACAGGCATGCACCAACATGCCCGTATTCACCATATTGCTCTGGCTTGTCTCGAAATCCTGGGCTCAAGCGATCCTCCCAATTCAGCCTCCCAAAGTGCTGGGATTACAGGTGTGACGCACCCAGCCAGCATGATATATATATATGTATAATATATGTATATGTTATATATAGTATATATGTAACAGTTTTATTGAGATACAATTCACATACCATCCAATTTACCCATTTAAAGGGTACAGTCAAATGGTTTTTCATATATTCACAGAGATGTACAAGCATTACCACAATTTTAGAATATTTTAATCGCTCTGAAGAGAAACCTCATATTGTTTAGCTAGAGGATGATCTTTTTAAAATGTAAAATCAAGTTATGTTATTTCCTTGTGTAAAATCCTCCAATGACTTTGCTTTGCCCTTGGAATAATAGTCAGACTCCTTACGACCTACAAGTTATGCCTCACCTGCCCTCTGCACAAGATCCCTGCATTCGATTCCTCAAGGCCCTCTACCTGGCAGGTTTGGAACACTCTGACTCTTCCCGTGGCTGGCTTCTCGTCATTCTCAGAAGCGCCAATGCCACTTCTCTCCTAGAGGCCGTCTCCGACTACCTTGTCTAAAGTGCTCCTCAGCCCCCACCCCAGAAGTTATCTACCTCATCTCCATGTTTTATTTCCTTCACAGCATGTCACTGTCATCTGATTTGCTTACTAGTTTATTTTCTCTCTTCCATATGAGGGCAGGTACTTCATGAGGACAAGCACCTTGAACTCTTAATCACTGACACAATCCCAGAACCCGGAATGGTACTTGATAAATACATATAGAATGAATGGATGGACATGCAAGGAAACTTTTTAGATAATGCTTTCCCTAGATATCAAGTACTTTAGAATATGACTGTCCAACAAACATGAATATGTCAAGTAGAAAAAACTCATGTGACTTTTTAAGATCTGAGACTTCAGTCTTTGAAGTCCACTTAGGGATGACCCTTAAGGGTCCCCTTGGGGTCTATGTTCCCATCCACAAAGAGAGTGTTGATTGGAAAGATGAAGGAACACTCATCTAGGACATCCATCTCAGCTGTGGCCAGCCCTTCTAGCATGGTCTCGGCTTACTCAGAAAAAGAGGAAGTGCCCTGTATGAGCTCAGGTCTAGCATTAAGTGATATAGGACTCCTTCCAAAATTTTCTCATTTGGCCCTAATGTAGTGCATAACATCCTTTGGAATTTATTCCTTTAGGTACCGAAGTTCTAATCTTCTAGAATCTTCTATTAAAATGTAGACACTTCAAAAAGATGTAATACCATGAGCCTTCTTTAAGTCTCTCTGAGTACAGCTAACACTATAAAATTTTTATTATTATTATTTATTATTATTATTATTTTTGAGACAGAATCTCACTCTGTTGCCCAGGCTGGAGTGCAGTGATGTGATCACGGCTCACTGCAGCCTCAATCTCCCGGGCTCAAGAGATCCTCCTGCCTCAGCCCCTTGAGTAGCTAGAACTACAGGTGCACACCACCACACCCAACTAATTTTTTTTATCTTTTATTTTTTTGTAGAGATGAGGTCTCACTATGTTGCCCAGCCTGGTCTTGAACTATTGGTCTCAAGCAATTCTCCCACCTCGGTCTCCCAAAGTGCTAGGATTACAGGCATGAACCACTGCACCTGGTCTATAAAATTCTTAGCTGGCAAAGACATTAGTTATCAGGGCTTGCTTTCCAGATGCTTCCAAATGTACAGGTCAGTAACTGGGAGCAAGAACTTATAAGAATGGTGCCCAGAAAAGAGGCCCAAGGGAGTCTGAAGAAGCAGGAGGTCCAATGGAGCTCTAAAGAGAAACCTATTCCATCTCTAATTTTGCCCAAAGCTGCCTTCCTTTGACCCTAAGATTCCTCCTGGGCTATAACCACAAAGAGATAGGACAATTCTGTGCATTGTCAAGTTGTACAGGCAGTAAGCAGGATCCCTGAAGCCTCTAAGAATGGAAGGCAGTGAACAAGCTGGTTCTTGGGGGAATTCAGCTCCACCCTAATAAGGGGGCTGACTGGCAGCATGTGGTGAGCCAGACAGGCTCCTGTGGGGATCAACTGACAGTGGAGGGATTTCCACTTCGATTTCACAGTCACAGGGCAGTGACTGAGTCCTGATGGTTCAGCACCCTCTTTACATGAGTAACTGCTAAAAGGAGTATGGCCAGTGACTAATTGGAAAATTTCATTATTAGATTCCCTAGTCCCAAGTGAGCCACTCAGTAGCCATATCTTCAGGGACACTTATACCTGACCTCTCTTAGGACACATGATTATTTTTAGCAGCCTGACTTTTTTATATTGAGGAATTCAGTTTAATATCAATGTACTAGCTGGGCGATGGTATAGGCTGATGCCTGTAATCCAAGCACTTTGGGAAGCCGAGGCAGGCAGATCACGAGGTCAAGAGATCAAGACTATCCTGGTCCACATGGTGAAATCCCGTCTCTACTAAAAATACAAAAATTACCTGGGTGTGGTGGCGCATGCCTGTAGTCCCAGCTACTTGGTAGGCTGAGGCAGGAGAATCACTTGAACCCAGGAGGCGGAGGTTGCAGTGAGCCTAGATTGTGCCACTGCACCCCAGCCTGGAGACAGAGCAAGACTCCATCTCAAAAAAAAAAAAAAAGAAAAAGATAAAGAAAAAAATATATATGTATATATCTCAATGTACCCTTGTTTTCAATGTCTCTTTTCCTTGCTGCAATTTCCACACCATTTCCTGGCTTGGAATAAACCCACATTTGTTGTAATTGAGCTGACTGGCCATGGCTGAGAGATTGCGGGTATTGTTTCCCCACTCTAAATAAGGTCTTCATTGCATTTTATAAAACATAGACTTTTTAAGGGGAATGTCTCACTAAAATTGCATTGATGGCTGTTGCTGTGCTACCGGCTCAGCTGGATATGAGAAAGCACCACTGTGACTTTTTCCTATGCTTCATATTAGTGTCAGCTGAGAATCATTTTTTATCCTATTCACTTCCTGTGAAAAGGGATGATTTGGCCTTAGCATAAGACAATTTTAAGAAACCTAATTGGAAGCAAAATTGCTCTCTTATTGCAAGAGAGTTTTCACATATCCAAATGCCAATGGTGACAGCTTTGCAGTATTTCTCTGCTTTTAATAATATAATTTTAGGGGAAAAATAGTAAGAGACATCGCAATGCAATGAAAATACCACCTGCCAATGCTTTTCCCACCACTGGTATCTTATATTCCTTATCCATGTGATGCCAGCAAGCGAGACATGGAAACTCGAGGAAAAGCGAGAGGATCCTGCCATGTATCTGTTTTGTTTTGGTTTGGTTTTTTATTCTTACATGCTAATGATTGTAGTAAAGATCTGAAGTTTATGGTAGTCATCAATGTGATATTTTAATAGAGAAATCACATGAGCCTTAGATACATACATAACTAATTTTGCTTGTAAACTCATTGAGACATGGGTCATGTCTCTGATTAGTTCAGTCAAGATCTCAGCAATGAATGAGTGAAGCCAGACCAAGAAAACTGGTTTTTTGAGTAAAATTGTATATTTCAAAGAACTGTTCTGGTGTCACGGAGACAGAGCCATAGAAAAATTCCTATGGCTTGCTGAATCAGGGACCTTGATAATAATGGGGAAAATAAATTCCTGGAAATGATCTCTCACCAAAGACTGACCCTAACATCAGTATAGTTTGAAATGTCACCTACTTGATATTCTACCCTTTGCTGCCTATGTGCACAAACACGCAGCTACAGCAAACGTGATGAATAACAGAGGACAGGGACCGGGTATGTGCTTATTTTTATCTGGGTTCCATACCTTGAATGGCAGCTCGATTCCATAGGAGAAGCGCCATTGGATACATCTTCTCTTTTTCAAGAATGTTAGCCTTTTCTAAAAAGAGGAGACATTCCATTAGGAAGGCTTAAAATGCCTCTGTAGTAAAGTCATACATGCATATGTATGATTGGGGGATTGCAGAGAATTTTAACTCATCTTACTAGATTCCAAAATGAATGCTGAATTGCTTTGAGCTACTTCATACCCCATTTCTGCAAGCAGTGCATACTGAACAAGAGAAGAATCTATATCACCATCCTTATAGGCAAAGTAAGCTGTCAGGAATTTCTCAGCCCAGTGGCCTAGTTCACAGACACCTTTATAAAGCTGTACATGAGAGGAGAAATCAAGGAGACTAGTTAGCCAGTATGCTTCACCCCAGGCAAATGAGAAAGGAAATCAGTCTTCAGCTCCTACCAGCTGGTCAGGGAAGGATTTTAGGTCTAAAACATGGCTTTTGCAAATTATTTAGGGTAAAGAGTTAATACCTTTTATAGGCACAAAGATCAGAAGTGTTTGGGTTTGTTTTGTTTTGTTTTTGTCTTGAGGGAAACTTCCTCAGCCTTATTTTAAATTTGTATAATAAACTTTCCTGACTTGGAGGCTATTTGGAAGAATAAGAATGTATCGCTAGTGTGTGTGTCTGTGTGTGTGTGTGTGTGTGTGTGTGTTCTTAAAGGGACTTTCTGAGCACTGCTGCTCTGCGAGGGCAAGTTATAAGGCCACAGCTGATGTGAAAAGGAGAGAATGAAGGAAAGACAGTGCCGGAGGGTGTAGGTGACATAACTGTGAGAGAGGTGTGCAGAGCCCTAGGGGGACAAATGTCAACTTAGCTGAATAGCCCTTATGTAACCAAAAGAGGTTAGCCATACATAATTCATTAGGAAGTTGGCAAAGGAGCAAATCTAAAGATAGATCATTAGCTGGCAGCTTTTGAAATAAGCTTCAGAGGGGCCAGATTGCAACATAGAGTATTTATGCTGGTGTAGCAGACGTGTTTAATAAATCAATGAAGGACATTAAGGTCCTAAAAGCATTCTTTTGGAAAGCGCATCACTGGCTCAGGCTGAAAGAATTCACTTTCTCAATTGTCATCCAAATCATCAAAAACCTAAGGATGCTGCTTTCTGGGAAGAAGTGGGCTACATTTTCTAGGCTAAATCTAGCCTTTTGGTTCCCAAGTAGCAACTCCCAATCCCACTAGAAGTGCCAAATTGCCCTGGTGATTTGATTGAATGCTGAAACAGAGCTCCTTAACTGCATGTTGAGGTGAGCTCTGAACCTGATGAAAAGCCAAATGTCAGAGAGAGGAGAGATCTTTTCTCTGTCTCCCTTCCCCAACCTGAGTTACATCACTGCTTTTCCCCTCTGACAAATGTCAGTATTCACATTGTCAACTGGAAGAAAAGAGGTAATATTTATAAAATCAAAGACACCAACAATTTAAGAACAGTATCACCTCCTCTGTGTCATATATGACAAGTGCTTTAAAAACAGCCGCATATTATATTTACCTCCACAGCAGTTCTGCATGATCTTACTACTCCTGTTCCTGTTGCATACATCTTGGCCAGATAATAAATGGCAAGGGGCTGCCCACTCTGAGATGCCAGGTAAAAATATTTGAAGGCAAGTTTATAATCCTTCCATATTCCAGAGCCAGCTGAAAATTAAAATTGTTTTGAGCCACCCCTTATTGACTTTATTTTTTATATTATAATCTATGGATATAATAGTCATAGTGATGCCTGCTATTTAAATAGAATGGGAAAAGCCAACCAAAAGTCAAGCTACTCTAAATCCACTATTTGTGAAGGTGGGGGTGAACACTGAGTTTGGTTCTAAGTAAGAATATGGAAATTTATATTCTTGAGCCATTCTGAAAAAAAAATTGAGAAAGAAGGACTACTTCGTCTTATGAAAGTATCTCCTCACTATGGCATAACTAAAATTAATGCAAAGGAGACCAAGTGATGGTCTCTGAGGACCCGAAGCGCCACCATGATTTATCTCGCCATCTTTGTGATCCTTCCATATCAGGACACCCATATAGCTTCTCCCAGCCATGACTATGGCGTATGCAGCAGGTAAATCCCAGCTCCAAGAAGCCGAACTCTCACCAAACTCCTGCTTAGAGCAAGAATAGGCACTTGAAGCTAGAGCAGAGAACCAGCAGACTCCCAGCAGCCAAGATTCTTGTCCTGGCTCTCTCATTAGTTCTTTTGTGACTTGGGCCATTTAGGCACTTTATTTGCAAAAGTGAAGGCTTTCCTTAGATGGTCTTTAAGTTATCTTCCAGCTCTAACACTGGAGCCTTTAGAAGCAGTGCCATGTAGCGATTAAGAGCAAAAGCTCTGGAGGCAAATTGCTTGAATTTGAATTCCAGCTCCACAACTGTGTGATCCTGGGCAAGATGTCCAACCACAACATTGGCTTAGTTTGCTCATCACAGTGGATACACTGTGGGATACCCGGTAGATGTTGAGAGGGTCAAATGAGTTGAGAGGGTCAAATGAGTTAAAACATACGAAATGAGTTAAAACATACGAAGACTTAATATACATTAGCCATGACTATTTTTCTTATTCTAGAAACTTGGGAAATCTGGTAGATCCCAAGCCAAGGACTTGGAATGAACTAGAAGAACAAGGCCATCTTAGGCAACCTCAACCCCCCAAGATAGTACAAAACAGGTGCTCCTGCTGGGCCACCGTGGAAAATGCCAGTGACCCCTTGACCGGATGTGACCTCCTTGATGATGTGGTCTGCTGCTGCCCTGGCTCCTCCTCTGACATGAAGGACTTGGTGGGGATACTCAGGTATGTTCATATCTCCTGGTATTTGTCTTGGCCACTTCCTCTCTCACTCCCCACAGAGATTGTTACAAACTTTCATGGCTTTCTAAGACCTCCTAGCCAACCACTCTACCTTTGCTCACAGAAGTCAACTTTGTACCTACTAGATCATTGAAGAAAACTTCATATTGTCTTTCCTCACTCACCTCTCTCCCCATCCCATTCCCCCATACTTAGATTCGCATCATCCTTTCCACCCTCTCTCCAGTCTTTGAGGGTAAGCAATCCTGTCTATCTATCACGGTTAAAGAGGCTTCCACTGATCTGTGCCTAATCAGGTGCTAATACCACCAATGTTTTTCAGAATCTCTTTCCATCAATTATAATTATGCTCAGGTCTCTTCATCTTAAAAGTAACTCCCTCTGGGTCCTAGTCCCCCTGATGCTGAGTTCCTTCTCTTTCCTTCCCTTTAAGGGCATGCTGCTTGCAAGAATACTTTTATTTCTCAACTTCCTGATCTTCCGTTCATGCCGTTGGCATGCGGCTTCCACCCCAAGCAGTCCAATGACCTCACCCACAGTCTCTGTATTGCCAAGTCTCATACATATTTCATTCTTTCTTACTTTTTTTTTTTTTTTTTGAGATGGAGTCTCACTCTGTTGCCCATGTTGGAATGCAGTGGCGTGATCTAGGCTCACTGCAACCTCCACCTCCTGGGTTCAAGCAATTTGATTCTGCCTCAGCCTCCCGAGTAGCTGGGACTACAGGCAGCCGCCACCATGCCAGGCTAATTTTTGTATTTTTAGTAGACACGGGGTTTCACCATATTGGCCAGGCTGGTCTCGAATTCGTGATCCGCCCGCCTCGGCCTCCCAAAGTGCTAGGATTACAGGCGTGAGCCACCACGCCCGGCCTCTTACTTGTTTTTTAAACCAGGTTTCTCACTGCATTTCACAGGGGTGCCCATTCATTTACTCTTCCTTGAAAGTTCTTCCCTTGGCTCCATTAAGATCTTTTTTTTTTTTTGTTCCCTATTCCGCTGAGCTTGGCTTTCCATTCTTCTCAGTGATGTACTTCCCCTGCCTACCCTTCAATACAGCACGGAGGATCACTAGTTATCTACCATGGCCCACTGCTCTTTCCTCTCACCCTCTTGCTCCTTTCCTTTTGCAACCTCAACTACTCTTAACTAATAGCTGCGTGCTGATGCCTCTCGAACCTTCTCTGTAAGTTTGACCTTTCTCGTGAGTGTCGTACTTGCTTCTGGGGATGTGCACGGGATATCGCTAGCACCTCCAACTTAACCTTGTCAAAGATAAGCTTCCTGACTCTGCACCTCCTTGTCCCCCCTCCCAACCAGTGTCCTTTTCTTTAGGCTTTTTCAAATTCTTATTTAATTTGTTGCCTAAATGTTCTGTCTAAACCACTCACACCAAACCTTTGATGTTTGTTATAAAAGAAGCAGACTTAATAATGCATATGTCATTCTAAATAAAGCAGCTGTATTTGTGGCACTTACAGTAGTACATGAAGCCTAACTGGAACTGTGCGTCGGGCCACCCTTTTTCCGCAGCTTTCTGAAAGTATTTAAGTGCTTCGGCATAATTCTGCAAGATAATTACACTCTATTACTCAAAGGCACAAGTAAAACTCCATGGAAACAATTGCCTTCCACTTCTTAAAAAGAGTATAGACAGTGCCCTATGTGATTTAGGGTAATTAAAATAGTATCAGAAACATTATATATTTTATTTCATTATTATATTAGACTCTATTAGGAAATAATGCCTCATTTTCATCATAATTATGTCTTTTTCTACATTGACAGTAAGTTTTGTTAGATATTGGGGGAAGGTCACTCAAAAGACTATGAAGATAAATTTCTCCATCAATAAAGTCCTCAGAGGATAGATGATTTCTAAGGTTACTTAGAATCTATGATTCTAAGCTATAATTAGAATTACTATTCTTGTCACAAGCTTGTTCTTCAGTGTCTCTTTGGCAGAGATTTCACTGGATTATTTTATTCTCTATTATCTGATATCACAGTTTGGCAAACCAGATAATAGAGATAAATTCCTTTAAACTAATGAATGACCATGAATTTTACCCTGTAAATTGCTACAAATAAAAAGATAATAAAATAATTTAACTTACCAGGGGAACTCCTTTTCCATGAAAGTAAAGAAGACCAAGCCCATGAAGGCCGATTGCATTGCCCTAGAAGAGTTTTATAAAGCCAAGTAAAGTCCCAGAAGAATTCATGATAAGGAAAATTACTGCAAAATTTTTCAAAATATTTGACATGCACCCAGTAAGAGATTAATCAAGGCAGTTGGCAGGTTATTCTGACCCACTCTAGTTCCTCCTTTTATACTTTCATAAACCTTCTGGCTAGAAAAGGGAAGAGGGAAACAGAAGTCAAACCTTTCCTCCATTCTTGTATTCAACACTTATTTAGGACTTGTTTTGTGTATGATTCCATAGTAGGCACTGGGCAGAGGTAGCAGGTGAAAGGTAAAAGATGAAGAAGCCATGATCCCTGCCTTGAAGAGTTCACACGCTAGGGGGCTCTGAGCCATATCAAAGGGGAGGGGCAGGTCAGACCTCTTAGAGTCCTGTCAAATGTGGTAAGTCCTAAAGTTGAAATAGATTGAGGCCGGGCATGGTGGCCCATGCCTGTAATCCCAGCACTTAGGGAGGCCAAGGTGGGCAGATCACCTGAGGTCAGGAGTTCGAGACCATCCTGGCCAACATGGTGAAACCCTGTCTCTACTAAAAATGTAAAAATTAGCTGGGTGTGGTGGCACACACCTGTAATCCCAGCTACTTGGGAAGCTGAGGCAGGAGAATTGCTTGAACCCATGGAGTGGAGGTTGCAGTGAGCCGAGATTGCGCCACTTCACTCCAGCCTGGGCGAAAGATCAAAACTCCATCTCAAAAAAAAAAAAAAAAAAAAAAGAAATAGATTGAGAGTGTTGCAGACACCTAGAAGAGGGACACTCTATTGCCTGATTTAGACTAGGAATTGAAGGAGATCAAGTTGTCAGGGGTGGTGACATTTGAGCTAGGTCTTAAAGGATGTGTAGGAGTTTTCCAGAAGGGAGAAGTCTATCCAGACACTTGTTACCTACTCAGGTCTACAGAGGTTGACGTAAATGGCCTAATCACATTTTAGAGACTCTGTGGATTACAATCCAGCCACTACAGATAGTAAAGCATCGTTGGTATATTTCTTTATTCAAATTTATTGCTTATAACATCCCCGATGTTTCCTTTTCCACTTGATGCTAAATTAATTACTATTTATTTTCTGATTAATATTGGAATACTCTAAGGAAGGGAGTATTTAGCACATTTAGTATTCAGCACATGTTCAAATATATTGATATTTAGCATATCAATTTTGGATGAAGAGTGAACCTTGAAAGTGACTTACTCAAGGAGAAAACTCCTTTTTCTTTCCATGTCCTATCACGCATTTCACCCTCTAGTGACTACAGTAAGAAACCATGATTGACCACCTGACTTTCTTTTTTTTTTTTTGAGACGGAGTCTCACTCTGTTGCCCAGGCTGGAGTGCAGTGAGGTGATCTCGGCTCACTGCAACCTCTGCTTCCCTGGTTCAAACTATTCTCCTGCCTCAGCCTCCTGAGTAACTGGGATTACAGGTGCACGCCACCATGCCCAGCTGTTTTTCGTATTTTTAATAGAGATGGGGTTTCATCATGTTGGCCAGGCAGGTCTCAAACTCCTAGCCTCAAGTGATCCACCCATCTCAGCTTCCCAAAGTGGTGGGATTACAGGCGTGAGACACCGCACCCTGCCGACCAACTGACTTTGATTCAGCAGATCTGTAGGTATGTTTTACAGGTTCCTAGTATTTCTGCAGGAACTTATGTTCTAATAAAAAGCTCTCCAAATTTCTTCTTACCACCTACATTTAGTTATTGTAGATGCAGCCGGAGTAACCCTCAGTAACACAGGAATAGCACATAAATAGAGAAGGCATATTTCAAAAGTGGTTTCAAGACTCCAAATTTTGAGCCTATCATATGAAATGATCTGCTATTGTAAGGGTTCTTAAGGACAGTCCATCTGTATTTAAAACAGGTGGTATAACTCTGCTCTCTTCTTCCCTCTTCTCTCCTGGCTATATCTCCTGTGGTTCTGGGAGTCTTGAGTTGCTCTGCTCTGGAAGTAGTAAGGATCAGTGTGATGGATGTGGCAAAGTCTAGTGAGTCTGTCTTCTTCTAATTAGCCTTGTTTAGATGTCATCTTGAATTGTAGTTCCTATAATCCCCATGCATCATGGGAGAGACCTGGTGGGAGGTAATTGAATCATGGGGGCGGTTACCCCCGTGCTGCTGTTCCTGTGATAGTGAGTGAGTTCTCATGCGATCTGATGGCTTTATAAGGGGCTTTTCCCTCTTTTGCTCGGCACTTCTCCTTGCTGCCGCCATGTGAAGAAGGACGTGGTTGCTTTCCCTTCTGCCATGATTGTACATTTTCTGAGGCCTCCCCAGCAATGCTGAACTGTGAGCCAATTAAATCTCTTTCCTTTATAAATTACCCAGTCTTGGGTATGTCTTTATTAGCAATGTGAGAACGGACTAATACAGAAGGGAAGGAAACAGATATGAAAGGAGGGAAGGAAGAAGGGAGAGAGAAAGGAGAAATGTTAGAATAGCAGGGACAAATTACTTTCTCCTCTAAGGGAGTCCCTGGGATCCCAGGGACTCAGTGAATTACCCATCACTGTTTAAGGCCCAGTGTGCCTATTTAGAACTTGTCAGGCGAAGAGTGGCCAGTTCAGACACCTGCAGGAACCATGCCGGTGATATAAGAAATAAAATATGCCAGGTAGTGGAGACAGTGGTGCAGATGGAGACACGTGGAGTCCCTGCCCTGTGTGAAGGCAGCAGCAGCTCTCAGTTCCTCTGCTCCAGCTGGTTGGTGCCACATGGAATGGCAGTCCTGTTTCATCAGCGTTTGCCATTTTCTTTTTTCTTTTTTTTTTTTTTTGAGACAGACTCTTGCTCTATCACCCATGCTGGAGTGCTGTGGAGTGATCTCAGCTCACTGCAACCTTTGCCTCCTGGGTTTAAGTGAGTTTCATGCCTCAGCCTCCCAAGTAGCTGGGATTACAGGCATGCACCCCCATGCCTGGCTAATTTTGTACTTTCTGTAGACACGGGATTTCACCATGTTGACCAGGCTGGTCTCGAACTCCTGACCTCAAGTGATCCACCAGCCTCAGCCTCCCAAAGTGCTGGGATTTACAGGTGTGAGCCACCATGCCTAGCTAGCTTTTGCCATTTTCAAGAAAAGCTAGATGTTTAGATTTGGATGTGAATTTTACTCATTTATTTTTATTTATTTATTTATTTATTTTTTGAGACAGAGTCTTGCTCTGTTGCCAGGCTGGAGTGCAGTGGCATGATCTCAGTTCACTACAACCTCTTCCTCCCGGGTTTAAGTGATTCTCCTGCCTCAGCCTCCTGAGTAGCTGGGACTATAGGCATGTGCCACCATGCCCAGCTAATTTTTGTATTTTTAGTAGAGATGGGGTTTCACCATGTTGGCCAGGATGGTCTCGATCTCTTGACCTGGTGATCCGCCTGCCTCAGCCTCCCAAAGTGTTGGGATTACAGGCGTGATCCACCATGCCTGGCCAGTTTACTGATTTTTAAAACACTTTCTGGGCCAGAAAAGCCATATGTATAGCCAAACCCTGCAGTATACACCTGCTGTTTCAGGGTGTAATGCTCTTGCTTAGGTTAGCTGACATGAAGCCAGGGAGCAGACAGGCATTTCTTTGGCAAATATTTAATAATCCCCTGCCCTGGACCCCTTTATTTAATAACCCCCTGGCAGGACCTTTGCCCTCCTCTAGTTGAGGACACATGGCCTTTGGACAGGAGGGGAGAAGCCACAGGTAGGAAGCAGTTAAATCCCAGCAGCAGGAGTGAACGCAGGGTAAGTTCAGAACAGGAAAGAGATCATGTGAGCCAGCAAGGGCAGGGGCAGCTCTGTGGATGAAGGGAGGATTGGGCTCCGCTCTGGGGATGAGTAGGACTTAGAATAAGAGAGTCTGGGAAGGGGAGGCAGATGACAAAAGTATGGAGATGGGGACGGGCCTGACATGCTCAGGGCGCAAGAGAGAACTGGAGGAATGTGGTCCAACATGGGCACAACGTCACATACAGTCACTGTGCTTGTTTCTAAGTAAATAAGACAAAAGATGTTGTAAAATGTGTAGCTCTGTGTCATGGTATTGATATCATTTAAAAACAAATTTAGAAAGCAGTTTTTAAAAAAGTAGTAAGAGTGAGAAATCTAATAAATTGTTCAGGCGCTGATCAAGAAGTATGTGGCCATCTCCACCTAATGCCATTTAGAATAATTACCTTAATTGTAAGTTCAGATTTCCTTTGTAAAGGAAAGTAGCTCGGGTTCAGCGCACCGGAGACCCAGATCACTGCTGGTTGGTTCCACAACCCTGAATAGCTTGGAATCTGAGTTAATTTACATTCCCATCTCCCTGGCATTATTCTTATGGGCTGACAAATCAGTGTTATTTGCCAGATGATAAGAGATTTTCCATGTTACTCCTTTTCAGTCTGCTCTTCCTTGTCATCCTAATCTAATGGTACTTCAGATAACTGCCTTTCTGAGCAACAATTCCATATAAATTACAAAGGAGAGGAGCAGAGTACTAGCCTTCTCAGTAATTTACACCACAATAGCAGCAGCTCTGAGGTGGTAGTCACTTATAAATAGGCTCCTAAAGCAGTGTGTGGGTTTTTAAAAACTGAGAACAGTTGAAATGATTCCTGGTTTGAGCACATCTTTACTGCCAGTGTTCCAGTATGCAACTGTAAGACAACAAAATGCTTCCTACTGTGCAGGGTTAGAAAGTTTACCAAGGCCATTCGCCAAGAGCAGGCCGATGGGTGTGGGATGAGGGCATTTTTTATGCATGAAAGGGATTCAAAGGAGTCTACTAAGTCTTATCTGACAGATACCAGCCTCACGGACCCCAGGAGCAGAGGCAAAGACTTCGATGCAGGAGGCATATTATACCATTTCGATCGTCCCTCATACAGCTAATTCATTCTGTCTGGGATGTGCTTCGAAGTTCACTCCACTTTACTGGCCCCAGACTGCAAAAGATAAAAGCGCCCTTACTGTGTGCCAGGCACTGCTTTAAGTACTTCACAATATGAATGAAGCATAGCCTTGTGAGCAGCTGGGACTACAGGTATGTGCCAGCATGCCAGGCTAATTTTTGTATTTTTTGTAGAAATGGGGTTTCACCATGTTGCCCAGGCTGGTCTCAAACTCCTGAGCTCAAGCAATCTGCCTGTTTCAGCCTCCCAAAGTGTTGGGATTACAAGCGTGAGCCACTGTGCCTGGCAGGCAAATATTCTTAAATTCCCATTTTACAGATGGGGAAATTGAGGCACAGAGAGGCTAAGTAACTTGCCCTTGTTCACACAGCTAGTCAGTTTTAGGGCTGCCATTCAAGCCAGGGATTCTGTCTCCAGATCCCTATTCTCAGTCGCCTTGCCCTGGCCTCCTCCCTGACAAGCTCCCGCCTGGGCCAGAGGGAGCTCTGGCCTTTGGATGAGATGAGACTGGAGAAAACTGGACATTCCTAGGATGTCTTTGTCTTGAACTTCCTGCAGCTATTGATTGGATTTTCCCTTCCTCTGTCCTCATCTCTTTTGTTTCCTGTTCCTAAGCTAGATGGCCTCATCTACTGCATAAGGGAGAGGGGAAAGCTGAACTTCTGTCTGGCTGAACTTCTGTCTGGCCTCCTCCTGGCCTCTGCTAGGGCAGCACAAGCCACTGCCATTTTTCATTTTCCAAGAAGGCAAGTTGTAGCTTCCCTTACTCCCATCACCAGTATTATACTTCTCCAGGACACAAAACTCCTTACAGGCCCATTATCTGGGCTTGGGACTTCGAAGTCAATTCTTTGGCACCAGTCTGCGTGTAATAAAAGCAATTTGTGTGTATGTGTTTACAACAGTGCATTGAGGACATACCTTACTGGCTGCCATGGAAAAGTACTTGAAGGCAGTAGCGTTATTTTGCGGCACGGCAGCATTCCCCTCTAAATACATCTAGGAAGAAAAATGAAAAGAGGATAGAAAAAACAAAATAATTTGAGAGTAATGCAAATATTTTAAAATGAAATAGAGGTAACAGTGGTACAACATATTGAATGTAGTAAATGCCACTGTAAATGCCACTGAATTGTATAAAGTGGTCAATTTTGTGTTATTTACATATTTACATTTTACCTCAATTTAAAACAAGAAAAAGTAAGAGTACCATTTATTACAGACTTCTGGAGTGACCCTGCCTGAGGGCAAAGAAATGGACCCTGTTTGTGTTTTCTCTCTCTCTCTCTCTTTTTTTTTTTTTTTTTTTTGCATCTACATTTACTGTATGTTGCACTTAGGAAGCAGGACATTCGTCCCTATGGTTACTAATGCAAATCGGCTGCAGGGAGCCAAGGGTGGCACACAGGGGAGTGAATAGTCTTTGAAGGAGACAGAAGAACATGCCTTTCCAGAGGAACCCTCCACCAGGCTACTCTGCAGCCACAGGAGGCCTCTCATCAGAGGTGGCATAAGGATAGCTCTGGTCAGCCTGGAGCTGATTCACACTCCAGCAGTAGAGCAGAGAAGGGCCTGATTGGGCTGAGACCTGTCCCGGTCTCCAGTGCTCAACCAACCTGGATCTCCTCTTACATATTGGGGAGTGGGGTGGTCATAGGCTCATAGCTACGCTCAGAGGAGGAGCCCTGGGCCAGGTGCACATTTTTATTTTATTTTTTATTTTTGGAGACGGAGTCTCCCTCTGTTGCCCAGGCTGGAGAGCAGTGGCGTGATCTCAGCTCACTGCACCCTCTGCCTCCCAGGTTCAAGTGATTCTCCTGCCTCAGCCTCCCAAGTAGCTGGGATTACAGGCACCCGCCACCACACCTAGCTAATTTTTGTAGTTTTAGTAGAGACGGGGGTTTCACCATGTTGGCCAGGCTGGTCTTGAACTCCTGACCTCAAACAATCCACCTGCCTCAGCCTCCCAAAGTGCTGGGATTACAGGCGTGAGCCACCGTGCCCGGCCAAGGTGCACTTTTAAGGCTGCTTTTGGTGCCCCAGATAAAGGCTGCTGTTATATGGGGCTTCTTCCCAAACTGTCACCTCAAGAATATCACCCTCGGGTTGCAGCCAGATGTCCCACTTAGCCGCTTCCGTGAAAGAGGCCTGCTGCCCTGTCCCTCTACAATGGGTTCAATGAGCTGGTATCATTAATTTGTTAGATTTTTAATTTTTAAATTTAAATTTTAATTATTTTGAGATGAGGGTCTTGCCGTGTTGCCCAGGCTGGTTGCCTGTGCTCAATGATCTTTCCACCTCAACTTCCCAAGTAGCTGGGACAACAGGCACACGCTGCTATGCCCAGTTTAATTTCTTAGGTTTTTAATAAATGAAAACAATGAATCAAGATGAAGCATGTACCTTTCCTATAAATGCCATGGCATTTGCACTCCCGGCCTTTGCTGCCTTTAAGAAGTAGTGTAATGCTTTCTGGAGAGAAAAGGAACAGTGTTATTGCTAGTCACAAAATAAATCCTTCAAAATAGCTTTTTGAACCAAACTTTATTCAATATGCATTCAAAAAATATCTATGGTGCTTGCCACTGAGCTTAAAAAAAATCTGTGAAATGCCCATTTTGTTCAAGGCACTATTCCAACCAAATGCATTTTCAACCATAACCTGAGGAGTGGGAGAGTGTCTATATCTCTTTCTTACATATAATTTTATAACATGAGGACTTGCTTCTTACATTTGGAAAGCCACGATGGGAATGTCGCTTTGTAGGGTGAGATGAATCCCAGCTGTGAAGCTAAATAGTCCATTATTTTGAAAAGCAGGCTTCTCTGTTGACACTGTGTACTTAATGAGGTTTTACTGTGGTTGGCAGAATTGGATACACAGTTTGCTAATGTTTGTAGGCAGAGTAAGACCAGACACACTTGGCCGGCTGCTGAGATCAGGTCTTTATGCAGAAGTGAGCTTTGAGACAATTCCTTCTGACTCAAATTGAAGGAGGCCAGTAAAGCCTCTGATTTTGTCTAGGTCGTTACATTAAATGAAGCACTCTGTCTAGAACACATAAGGGCTGACCTTGTCCCTTGCTGCCACACTCCCTAGGCCTCATCTCGACCTTCCGGAAAGCCCCTCCTTGGAAACCATGTAGAGCAATAAAAGAAATCAGCCTCAAGAATGTGGTATGAAACCGCTCTTTTTTTTTTTTTCGAGACGGAGTCTCACTCTGTCGCCCAGGCTGGAGTGCAGTGGCACGATCTCGGCTCACTGCAACCTCCATCTTCTGGGTTCAAGTGATTCTCCTGCCTCAGCCTTCTGAGTAGCTGGGATTACAGGCGCCCCCACCCACAATGCCTGGCTATGAAGCCACTTTTTAAAGTGTCTTGTTAGGATACGACCTTTCTGCTCTTTAAAAAGTCTTGATCAGGTTGATGTGCAAAGACGTTCCTTCTCAAAGAGAAGAGAATGTTTAAGGAAGAACTGCTGGTAGTTATTTTACATGGAAGTTTGCTGTAGGAATGTTGCTAACTTCTTTGTGGGCATAAGTACAAATGCTGCCACAGTTAAACCTCATGGCGTCATGCATCCATTCATCCATCCAGCTCTTCCAATCTTCATTTACCCTTTCAAAAACTTGACTGAAGCCTGCTATATATAGGATAGTATGTTACGTATTATAGATGATTCATAGATAAACAGAAACATGATTCCTACATTTGCTCCCTAGCAATGTTCCTGAGAAAGAAAATATATATAAACAGCAGTGAGATAGTAGGTAATAGGTGGTATAAAAGAAACTCCATAAGGAATTAGAAGGGAATAGAATAAAAGACATTGTATCCAGTTCTCCTATAAGTTTTTGCAAACTTTTTCTTACCTAATCTTCACAATAGCACCATCAGAGGGTATTATTAATATCTGATCTTATTACCAACATGTCAGAGTCATGCTGTTAGTACTGCAGATCAATAAGCAGCTCACCACTCTGTCTCCACAGTATACAGAGGAGGGCTAAAATGATCGAGGCCTCATGAAAGATGGTGACAAGTCACCAGTACAGAGGCTAGGGGAAGAACCTGAGCAAACGAATGGGGATGGGAGTGGCCAAGATGTGTTCAGAAAATAGTGATTACTTCGGCGTGGCTGAAATAGAACATCCAAAAGCTAAGACTTGCAAAAATAAGATGGCGCCATTACTATAAACAATCTTGAAGACTAAGCTAAGGATTTTATTTTTTTAATTAAAAAAAATTTTTTTGAGACAGAGTCTTGCTCTGTCACCCAGGCTGGAGTGAAGTGGTATGATCTTGGTTCACTGCAACCTCCACCTCCTGGGTTCAAGCGATTCTCCTGCCTCGGCTTCCTGAGTAGGTGGGACTACAGGTGCGTGACCACCACAACTGGCTCATTTTTGTATTTTTAGTAGAGATGGGGTTTTGCCATGTTTGCCAGGCTGATCTTGAACTCCTGACCTCAGGTGATCCTCCCATTTCGACCTCCCATAGTGCTGGGATTACAGGTGTGAGCCATCACACCTAGACGTAAGGATTTTACTTTATTTTATTTTAAAAAATAGAAAATAGAAGCCACTGAAGATCTATAAATGTTAGGGAATCCTGAAGATAAAATGCCTGGAATCATCCAAGTGTCAGCTGGAGAGGAGAAAGTTATAGCAATGTACAAGTTACTAAATGAGAGAACACTAATATCAAAAATAAAAGTGTATCTCATGAATCTCTCTACTGAGCCATGACCAAAATATGTCCCCAGGTAACTGTGTAAATTACACAAATCACATTATCTCCTGGGCTTGGTTTCCTTATTCAGATTCTCCTCCTCTGTGATCTCACGGCACCTCATCCTGTCCGTATTGTGGCATTCATCCATTGATTTCATTATTGACTTATTTTGTCTCCTCCAATGTTGAATCCTCTGTACTTAGCATAGTGTGGGCTATATGTTAGGCACCAGGAAATGTTTCAGAAATGAATAAATGTATGAATGTCTATCCATCTCTAAAACAAGGCAGCTGGACTTTAATCTTTATAGGCTCTTCTAGCTCTAGTATTATGATTCTGTAAAATCATTTTCAAAGTCCAGTTTAGTAATTTGGCTCTCAAATATCTTGTAATAGAGACTTCTGAAAAAAGTTTCATTCTGGGAAATCAGTGAAATTTTAAAAGAAAGTAACTTGTTCTCCTGAAGCAAATATAAATCCTGGAGTTTTCCCCACCCTTAAATATAATGATTTGATAAAGACCTAAAGGAATTGAGACTCTGTCTCATACACTGCTCCACTGTCATGGCTTACTTAGTATTTCATTCCCTTTTTTTTTCTCATTTTTAAATTTACATGTCCTTAATACTATTGCTTCAACTATATAAACCTTTATTAAACACCACGTGAAACTACCACCAAGCAAGCTACCTTGATGGATATACACGAGCCAACCTGAGTTCTTGCTCTTGAAGAGTTAAGATCAAGTACTCATCCATCCATCCATCCATCCATCCATCCATCCATCCATTCATCCATCCTTCCTTCAAATATTAACTGAGCACCCAACATCATATTTCACTGATTCTAAGATGTACATCTCCTCCCACCTCACTTCCATCAGGACATATTATAATATATATTGGTAAGTTTTCTTTTTTTCTTCCTCAGAACATAAAATACTTGTGTGTCTTACAATTGGTGGTGTCTTAGTATGAAATATAGTACGCCCCAGGTATTACACTAAGTAAGTAAAGTTTTATTATTTGGACCCATATCTCTCTTTTTAAAAAATGATCATGATTTTTCATTGGCTCTAAGAAAATCTGTAGTTTAACCAGTTTGTAACATTTCCCCTAGAATGAAATGCCAAGAAAATGTACTGTTCTAAAAACATTTATGAATATATATGTATTTTCTTTTTGAGATGGAGTCTCACTCTGTCGCCAGGCTGGAGGGCAGTTGCGCAATCTCAGCTCACTGTTACCTCTGCCTCCCAGATTCAAGCGATTCTCCTGCCTCAGCCTCCTGAGTGGCTGGGACTACAGGCGTGCACCACCATGCCCAGCTAATTTTTGTATTTTTAGTAGAGACGGGGTTTCACCATGTTGGCCAAGATGGTCTCAATCTCTTGACCTCATGATCTGCCCGCCTCAGCTTCCCAAAGTACTGGGATTGCAGGCGTGAGCCACCGTGCCTGGCCTGAATACTTCTTTTATCTCTTGCTCTGTAGAACATCCTGAGAAAAGATGGTATTAGCTCTTTTTCTAAATTTTTAAATGGGTGGTAGGATAGACAAAGCAGTTGCCCTTACAAATTTGATATTATTCCTCTGCTAGGTTTAATTTAATTACGCTTTATCCATTTTAATAATATTCACCCAAACATCCCGCTTTCCTAATCCAATTTATTCTGAGCCTTCATATATTTAGAAATGCAAATAAAATTAAAATCTATGTGTAGAAAATCCAAGATAATGTAATCAAGAATTGCATATACAATATTTTTCACTAATTAAGAATTTGGTCAGGGAGAGGGTAAAAACGTTTTCTGTGATGACAACTCATGAGAGAGATTAGTTCAACCAAACAGTGAGGAAGGAAAAGAAAGGCAAGCTAGTCATTTCCAGGTATCTTGAAATTTAATTTTCTGAGCAGTGGACTGGAGCATCATATTTAAAGAGAGACTTATACTAATAATTCTCTTTGGTGGACTGAAATATTAGCATGCTGGCTCAAGTGGTGGTCTTCAGGCTGAGGACTATAGTTAAAAATAAGATATTGTATATTTCAAAATAACTAGAAGAGAGGATTTTGAATGTTCTCACCCCAAAGAAATGACAAGTATTTGTGGTGATGGATTTGCAAATTACCCTGGTTTGATCATTACATAATGTATACACTACATTTGCATACATATGTATATATTACATAATGAATATATTATGTAATGATCAAAACATCACATTGTATCCCATAAATATGTACAATTATTATGAGTCAATTAAAAAAGAAAATAAAAAGAAAAGAAAACATTATCCTGTCTGAGGAGGAGAGACTTGGAAAGATGAGAAGCGAGGTATGAAAAGAGCTGCAGTAATAGCCTTTTGGAAACTGGATTTATCTTTGTATCTTCCCTCTCCCTTATGTATCTCCCCTGCCATTCCAAGTTGATTCTGGAGCAGCTACACTATGGTATGTTGCAAGAATGACCACAGTACTTTGCAGCTCTGCCCATTGAGAGGAGAAGCCCATTTCCCTACCCCTCCAAGTTTGCTGGCCTTGTGATTTGCTTTGGCCAAAAGAATGTGGCAGAAGTGACTTGTCAGTTCTGAGCTCAGGCCTCAAGAGACTTCTGCTCTGGTGTTCTTAGAACTTTGACTGCCATGTGGAAAGCTTGGGCCAGTTGGCTAAAGCATGAGACCACATGGAGAGGGGCCCCAGTCATTCTCGCAGTCACAGATGAAGCCATCATAAACCAGCCAGCTCTAGCTAATGTTCCAGCTAACTGCAGATGCATGAGCAAGCCCAGCTAAGATTAGCTGAGCCTGGCCCAGATCAGAATTGCTCAGCTGAGGCTAACCAAAATTGCTGACCTGCCAAAATCATGAATTAAATAAATGGTTATTATTGAAAACCACCTAAGTTTGGGACTATTTTTTTAAAAATGCAGACAAAGATAACTGATAGATAAGTCAATTTGTCTTTTTTTTTTTTTTTTTTTTTTGAGACGGAGTCTCGCTCTGTCGCCCAGGCTGGAGTGCAGTGGCGGGATCTCGGCTCACTGCAAGCTCCGCCTCCCGGGTTCACGCCATTCTCCTGCCTCAGCCTCCCAAGTAGCTGGGACTACAGGCGCCCGCCACTACGCCCGGCTAATTTTTTTTGTGTGTTTTTAGTAGAGACGGGGTTTCACCGTTTTAGCCAGGATGGTCTCGATCTCCTGACCTCGTGATCCGCCCGCCTCGGCCTCCCAAAGTGCTGGGATTACAGGCGTGAGCCACCGCGCCTGGCCTCAATTTGTCTTAAAGTTTGAGATTTCAACTGGAGTTCTCCATTCAAGTTCAGGGTCATTAGGCTGAGGGGAGAAGAAAGGACCAGCCTGTGCTTACCCGCAAAGAGTACCTGCATCACAAGGATGGTTCTGGAATTAAACTCGTCTTCTTGGGATATGTGGAAGCAGGAGGCCCAACCCACTATCAGGAAGAGCTAAAGGAAACTGAGAGATCATGTCATTTCTTCTTCTTGCTTTATAAATGAGGGAACAGATTTTAGAGGCTGTTTTTTGTTTTGGCCTGGGTCAAATAAAGTTTAATGTAAAAAGCTCAGGTTTTGATTTCTGAAGGCCTGAGTTCAAATTCTGCTTCTTAAACAATCTTACTTCCCAGCTGTGAGCCTTGAAGCAATTTACTTTATGTCTCCAGCCTCTGCTTCTCATTTGTAAAACAGATGTAATAAAACCTCGTGAATGAGCCCACAGGAGATCCTGGCTGGGCTCCTGGGTGACACTCAGCTGCCTGGCTGCTACACAACAGCTCTGGGATCCTGCAACAGCAGCCCTGGGATTGCACTTCATCCTCACCTGGAGGCAGCTGCAGCTGCCATCTGGTGACCACAGTGGCTGGAGCTGACTGAAGTACCAACTTAGTGGGATTTTATTGCACTGTACAAAGATTGGTTTGTCTTCCCTACAGCTGAAGCTAGGATGCCCTCACATCCAAATTTCATGTTTATGGAAAATGAGGACGTCTTCCTAGTTACATATTCTATGATTAACATGAGAAACTCATTGCAGGCTGAAATCTGACAGAGTAAAATTATGAATCCAGATATTTCCATCTAAGAAGCTAGAACTTTGGTTATGATTAAGATGAAAGAAAATCTATGGATCTTCAACCGAGCTGTCTTGGGGTGCGTATGCTTATTTAAATTCCTACCTATTTTATCACAGTTTATGAAATGACTTCGACATTTACCTGATGTTTACTGGATCTCATATAAAATACAAATTATAGTACCAAAGACACATCCATAAAATAACACAAAATGAAATGCAAAGTAGTAACAGATTACTTTTTTACGTAATAGCCTTATAAAGTTGTTTCTATCACTTAGCCATTGGGACTATGTTGAAATAGGCTACATGTTCCTTTGAGACAAGGAGCATGTGGCTCCTATAAATGAAAAGAGCAGCAAAATCATCTTTAAAAAAAAAAATCCAGTTACTTCCCAGGTCTGTGGTGATGTAGGGCCTTGAAACCACTATCAAAATCTAAGCAAGAACTCATCCCATGACCCTGGCATCTTACAGAGGAGGATCCTGTGTATGTCAAGGTGAAGTTCATTTGTTCATTTGCTTTTTTCTTCGCTACACATTTGAATGGTTAATTAACTTATTTATTTTTTTTATTTTTTTATTTTTAGAGGGAGTCTGGCTCTGTCACCCAGACTGTAGTGCAGTGGCATGATCTGGGCTCACTGCAACCTGTGCCTCCCAGGTGCAAGTGATTCTCCTGCCTCAGCTTCCCGAGTAGCTGAGATTACAGGCACGTGCCACCACGCCCGGCTAATTTTTTGTAATTTTAGTAGAGACGGGGTTTCACCGTGTTCGCCAGGATGGACTCAATATCCTGATCTCGTGATCCGCCTGCCTCAGCCTCCCAAAGTGCTGAGATTACAGGCATGAGCCACCGTACCTGGCCGGTTAATTAACCTTTTAACCTCACTGGGATAAGGTAAGGTTAAGCAAAATGATTGAAAAGAGCTTTGCAAATGTATAAGGATGTTTAATATATTTTTAATTATATTAAAAGCAATCTGTCTTCTGATATAGCCAAATGGGGATGAAGTTGCCTCTCAGACTCCTTAACGGTGATCCCCAGGTGGACTCTGCAGCTGGCCTTGTGTGCAGGCCGGCAGGTGGGGATATTCTCTCTCCTAATCCCAGCCCAAAGTGCGTGTGAGTGCGCAGAACTAGGTTCTGTTGGAACATGGATACCCCCCTGCCTCGATTGCTCCTCAGAAGTCCCTTCCCCTTTGTTCTTGAAGGCAGGTGGGTAAGTGCTCCCTCTGGAGAACTTAGTTCTTCCTAAGAAGCTGGGAAGCATAGCTGACCAAGGAAGCATCAGTGGGCTTTCTGAGCAACTCTTCCACCTCTCCCTCCCCCTGCTTTCACTTCCCTGCCAGCCTCCCTCACCACTACCTTCCCCACCCCATTTGACTGGATCTTGAGATTGACTTACGTAGTAATCCTGATCTAGACCTTTCCTGCCAATTAGATGTAATTGTCCAAGAGAGACCTAGGAATGATGAGTTTGGAAATGATTTTAGCAGCAGTATTACTTTAAATAAAGAAAACATTTATGTGGTGATTTTACTTTAGTATGTTGATTGTTGGACACGTTTGAAATGTCCTGAAAAAATCAGGGAAACATTCCAGACTATATCATTTATTGGGTAATTGGTTGCTGCTGGACATATGGCTTCCTTAGTGGCTGGAAGCTGGTCTTCTGGGGTACAGAAACACCCAGGCACATAAAGCTAGGGGCCTTAGCTCTTGGCTCTCAAAGATCATGCAAATACTGTCCCATTCCCAAAAACAGAACCTTTCTGGATTGCCGTAGTTTATTCATACTAAAACCAACATTGGGGTTGGGCGCAGTGGCTCACGCCTGTAATCCCAGCACTTTGGGAGGCCGAGATGGGCAGATCACGAGGTCAGGAGATCGAGACCATCCTGGCTAACATGGTGAAACCCTGTCTCTACTAAAAATACAAAAAATTAGCCAGGCGTGGTGGTGTGGGCACCTGTAGTCCCAGCTACTTGGGAGGCTGAGGCAGGAGAATGGTGTGAACTCGGGAGGCGGAGCTTGCAGTGAGCCGAGATTGTGCCACTGCACTCCAGCCCGGGCGACAGAGTGAGACTCCAACTCAAAAAAAAAAAAAATTAATTTTTAAGGAAGAAATGCAAAAAAGTTGCTATTATTATGGCAACTAGTTCTCCAGTGGGCTACAGGAACTGTAAGTAGCAGGGAACAAAACAGGAGTAGGGTGAGAGAGGAGGGCGGGTCTCCCCCCATTCCTATTTAGGATGGGGCATTGTTCATCCCTCCAGGACTCAGAAAGAATTAAGCCCCTTGTAATTTTCATGTTCTAAAAACTCAATCTCATCTGTATACATTACTTGTATCTGAACATCTCCTCTTTCTGCCAAAAATTTATAGTATTGGTATATGTCCCAATCCAAAATCTCACTGTTAGAACTCAGATTTTCAGGTCTTTCCGTTAGTCTCACTTTTTCCACTGGAACACCTTCACTTTTTTCAAATGTGTCAGCAACTGTGAATAAAAACAAGCCAGAGAATAGCTAGAAAACAGAGGCTGCAAGAGATAACAGTCAATTTAGAGAAAACACCGTTAGCTTATTATCTTAAATTGTGCAGAAATCTGTTCAACTAATAGAGACAGAAGATCCATGAAAAATAGAAATTTTCAGATTTTTGGCCAGGTGCGGTTGCTCATGTCTGTAATCCCAGCACTTTGGGAGGCAGAGGCGGGCAAATCACTTGAGGTTAGGAGTTTGAGACCTGCCTGGCCAACATGGTGAAACCCCGTCTCTACTAAAAATACAAAAATTAGCCAGGTATGGTGGTGCACACCTGTAATCCCAGATACCTGGGAAGCTGAGGCATGAGAATCACTTGAACCCAGGAGGCAGAGGCTGCAGTGAGCCGAGATTGAGCCACTGTGCTCCAACATGGATGACAGAGGGATACTCTGTCTCAAAAAAAAAAAAAAGTGCAATTTTTGTTTATTGGGTTCTCTAGTTCTTCTTTGCAACCTATACAAGTATGGTATCAACTTATATCAGACTCTACTGAAGATCTTGACCAAAAAGACTCAAGGAAAGGGGATATTTTAGGAGCAGATAACTCATTCCATTCATAATTTTTTTCTGGGACTAAGACTATAATATAGGAATAATCACTGCTCTTTAATTACTTCCTATGGATAGTCTGAAAATAAATATAAAGATAGATATGCTTGAATACACCTAACAAAGTGTGCAGTTTGAAATATATATAGTAATTCCAATTTCATTAAACACATGAAATGATCTCATTATATACAGCATCTTAAATTCAAAACTAGTTTTTTTCCTCCTTCTTTCTTTTCTCAGATCCTAATAATGCCAAAGATGTGTGCTTAGACATTATTCTGATTACATTTAGACTAATGGTTGCTTGAATTGTTCTCATATGTGGTGACAGATACCTCCAATGTATACCTTACATTCATTCCTTTAGGAATTTTTGGCAGTCATCCCATATTCTGAATGTTATATTTAGGGAAACTGCTTAATATTTATCGGTGCTACATTCAAATTCTCAGTAAGGAAAGAACATCACAAAGGCAAGTAAAACAGAATTGTTTGGGGATACATATTAACAAAAATAAAAAATGAGTATAATCTTTTAAAACCATTTGGAAAGTAACTATTAAGGAAACAGAAACTGTATTATGTTAAAAGAATTGTATTATAACATATTAAAAACGTACACTTTTGATATTTTCATAAGTTTATATCAATTGAACTGTTATTGATTTATTTTTCTAATTCCTTGGCAACTGTTTATTTTAAAATAAATTATGTGGATTACTTACTATAATCTGCCACTTTCTTGTAATAACTTAGGGCAACTTCACAATTCTGTAGAACATTGATTCCCGACAAATATCTGTACCCCTAAAACACAGACAGATGCATTCTTAATATTCAAGACAATGCTGTATTTATGGCATACAAATTTGGTTCCAAGAATATTTTGTTTACAAACCAAAATCATCTGGGACATCATGTTTCCTCCAGCACTTCCAAAGGTGTAATATATCAGTGCCTAAAGTAAAAACAAACAAACAAAAAACCCCCCAAACCAGGTTGGCCATTTAAATTTGAAACTCAAACCAAGTATTCCATTTTTATTCCTAGCTCCATAATGACCCATTGAGTTACTCCAAAATAAATTTCAAATTTCACTCTCCTTTGTAAAGATGTTTGCCATTTATTAGGGGTTAACTAATCTCTGGAGTCTGTGATAAGGGCATTGTATAAGATATTTCATTTAATCATCATAATTTCCTTATGAAGCAGATATTATCTATCTTCAATGAAGAGGCTGACTCATGAGGCTTTAAGAAACTTATGGCATAAGAACACTAAATTTCTTTGACTATTAAGTTGGTGTTTTCAACTACTACACTAGAGTGAGCCCCTTTACTTAATGAGTAGATTTTATTCAATGTCCCTTTTAGAGAAATCAATTTTGTTCCAGAATAAAACAGAATGATCTTTACCTTAGCTTGATCATATTCCATTCCTATTCCATAAGAAGACAAAAATCCTAATGCCTAAAGCACAAAAGAAGAAACAAAATTTAATAAATCAATTTATTTCCTAATTATCTATATGGATAAGGGATATCTTAAATGTCTGCTTCATAATAATTTGCATTGTTAATTTCTTTCTTTCTCTTTTTTTTTTTTTTTTTTTTTGAGACAGAGTCTCACTCTGTCGCCCAGGCTGAAGTGCAGTGGCGAGATCTCGGCTCACTGCAATCTCTGCCTCCAGGGTTCAAGTGATTCTCCTGCCTCAGTCTCTCGAGTAGCTGGGACTACAGGCTCCAGCCACCACGCCCCGCTATTTTTTTTTTTTTTTGTATTTTTAGTAGAGATGGGGCTTCACCCTGTTGGCCAGGATGGTCTTGATCTCCTGACCTCGTGATCTACCCGCCTCGGCCTCCCAAAGTGTTGGGATTACAGGCGTGAGCCACTGCTCCCGGCCTCTTTCTTTTCTTTTCTTTTTTTTTTTTTTGAGACGAAATTTCAGTCTTGTTGCCCAGGCTGGAGTGCAATGGTGCAGTCTCAGCCCACTGCAACCTCTACCTCCTGGGTTCAAGTGATTTTTCCTGCCTCAGCTGCCCAAGTAGCTGGAATTACAGGTGCCCACCACCACACTGGCTAATTTTTGTATTTTTAGTAGAGATGGGGTTTCACCATGTTGGCCAGGCTGGTCTCAGCTGACCAGATGGGGTTTCATCTAAGGCCAGGCTGACCTCAAGTGACCCACCTGCCTCGGCCTCCCAAAGTGCTGGGATTACAGGCGTGAGCCACCACGCCTGGCCATTGTTAATTTATTTTTTATACTATAACAGCACCCTTTTACATTTTTATTAAGGCTGCAGGAATTTGGGAAAGCTCACAATAGTGGGAGGTTTGTGTAATATACATGAATATAGGCTAATTCTTACTGTGCTTTAGTATAAATTATAGCAATAAAACCAAGGGCCCTTATATACTTTCCTTTCTTGGAAACGAAATATTTTTCCTTCAATATTTAAAACATTTAGGCTGGGTGCGGTGGCTCACACCTGTAATCCCAGCACTTTGGGAGGCTGAGGTGGGTGGATCACGAGGTCAGGAGATCGAGACCATCCTGGCTAACACAGTGAAACCCTGTCTCTACTAAAAATACAAAAAATTAGCTGGGCGTGGTAGCGGGGGCCTGTAGTCCCAGCTGCTCGGGAGGCTGAGGCAGGAGAATGGTGTGAACCCGGGAGGCGGAGCTTGCAGTGCACCAAGATCGCGCCACTGCACTCCAGCCTGGGTGACAGAGTGAGACTCCGTCTCAAAAAAAACAAAAAACAAAAAAAGCCCATTTAGATTTGGATACTTTTCTTCACATTAATTTTAACGTGATGGATGTAAAATATTCAAACAATAACAAATATACAGAATAAAAAAATCAAAGGCTGAGCACAGAGCAAGATGATGGAATAGGAAGCCTCAGACTGCATTCCCTCACAGGGACAATGATTTAATTATAAATGATCAAAAAAGCCTTTTTGAGAACTCCAGAAACCAGTTAAGAAGTCATAGGACAGCAGGCAAGCTCAAAGCCAAGAATAGTCCGTGAAACAGGTAAGAAAAGCCATTTAATTTCACCCATGATCCCTCCTCCCTCAAGCCAGCACAGCTTGGTGCTTTCAGGAGAAAAAGCCCAACTGACAGTTTCTACCTTGGGAGGGAAAGAGAAGAAAGGAACACATGACTTTTCAGGGGGCTGTTCCAGTGACTGGTTTTTTTCCTCACCTAACTCACAGTGCTGACAGAGCCAGTATATTTTCCATCCCTAGGGGCTACTGAGAACAAAAGAGCTCAATGGCTTACTGCAGTGCCAGAGAACTTGCAGTACCACAGACAGAAGGAGAAAGAGATTATAAACTCCTGGAAGAAAAAAAAAAACTGGCAAACCACTCTAATTGGGAAATAACTTACACAAGCCCAGAGAAGATGCATCCCCAGAAAAGGTTCAAGAAGCTCTCAGAATTTTTAACTGTGCTGATTGGTGAAGACCTTTCACATACGAAGCTAGTCTATAAAGACTAGGAGAGATAGCTGTTTTTTTAAGTGCACAAATCGTAGCAAAATAATAACAACAACAACAACAACAAGGCACACCAGGAAACAGGAAAAGATGGTCCTATGAAAGGAACAAAATATCCTGAAATCAACCTTAAAGAAACACCAAATAATGACTTACCTAACAAATAATTTAGAATAATCATCTTGAAGAAGCTCAATGAACCATAAGAGAATAAAGAAAACAAAATCTGGAAAATGATGCATGAACACAATGAGAATATCAACAAAGAGAAACTATTAAAAAAACAGAAATTCTGAAGCTGAAGAATACTATATCTGAATTTTAGAAATGCACTAAAGGAATTCAATAATAGAGTTGATGAAACTGAAGAATCAGCAAACATGAACATAGGTCATTTGAAATTATTGAGTTAGAGGAACAAAAAGAAAAAGGAATGAAGAAAAGTAAAGAAAGCCTAAGGGACTTATGGGATACCATCAAGTGGAACAATATATACATTATGAGAGTCTCAGAAGAAGAAGAGAGAGAAAGGGACAGAGAGGATATTTGAAGATTAAATGATTGAAAACTCACAAATCTGAGGAAGGAAATAGGCATCTAAATTCAAGAATATCAAAGGATTCCAAGTGAGATGAACCCGAAGAGCCCCAAACCAAGACACATTACAATCAAGTTTTCAAAAGTCAATGGTAAAGAATGTTAAAAACAGCAAGAGAAAAGCCACTGGTCACATAAAAGGAAGTCCCTGTAACATTATCAGCAGATTTCTCAGCAGAAACATTACAGACCAGAAAAGGATGGGATAATATATTCAAAATGCTGAAAGAAAAAGCTGTCCAGGCCAGGCGCAGTGGTGCACACCTGTAATCCCAGTACTTTGGGAGGCCAAGGTGGGCGGACCACAAGATCAAGAGATTGAGACCCTCCTGGCCAACATGGTGAAACCCTGTCTCTACTAAAAATACAAAAATTAGCTGGGCATGGTGGTGCATGCCTGTAGTCCCAGCTACTTGGGAGGCTGAGGCAGGAGAATCACTTGAACCCAGGAGGTGGAGGTTGCAGTGAGCCAAGATCATGCCACTGCACTCTAGCCTGGTGACAGAGCAAGACTCCATCAAAAAAAAAAAAAAAAAAAAAAGGAAAAGACAAAGCTGTCCACCAAAAACACTATATTTGGTGAAAGTGTCCTTCAAAAATGAAAGAAGAATAAAGCCCTTCCCAGACAAACAAACGCTGAGGGAGTTTATCATCACTAGACCTGCTTTGAAGGAATTGCTAAAGGAAGTCCTATAAGTTGAAAAGAAAGGACTCTAGAACTCTAGAAAGCAACACAAAAGCATATGAAATTATAAAGCTCTATGAAAAGGTATGTATGTAGACAAATACAGAATTCTGTAGTATTGTAATGGTGGTGCATAAATCAATTCTGGTATACAATTTAAAAGACAAAACAGAAATAATTATAACAATAAAACTACATTTAAAGTATATAAAGTAGTAAAAAGATGTAATTTGTGAAGTTGATAACATACAGTGGTGGGGATATATAAATGACTTGAGATTTTGTGTGTGATTGACATTGTCATTATCAGTTTAATATAGATTGTTATAAGATATTTTAGCCATCCATTGTGCCTCATGCCTGTAATCCCAGCACTTTGGGAGGCCGAGGTGAATGGATCACCTGAGGTCAGGAGCTTAAAATCAGCCTGGCCAACATGGTGAAATGCCATCTGTACAAAAATATGAAAATCAGCCACCATATGATGGCAGGCACCTGTAATCCCAGCTACTTGGGAAGCTGAGGCAGGAGAATTGCTTGAACCTGAGAGGTGGAAGTTGCAGTGAGCTGAGATCACACCGTTGCACTCCAGCCTGGGCTACAGAATGAGACTCCATCTCAAAAAAAAAAAAAGTATAAGATATTTTATAAATTATTCATGGTAATCACAAAGAAAATGTGCATTGAGGATGCACAAAGAAAATGAAAAAGGAATCAAAGCACACCACCAAAACAAAAACAAACACACACAACTAAAAACAAAGGAATGCAGTAAGAGAGGAAAAGAAGGACAAAATAACTACAAGATGTACAGAAAAAAATAACAAAACAGCAATAGTGATTCCTTCCCTATCAGTGATTGCTTTAGACGTAAATGGATTAAACTTCCAAATAAAAAGATATAGAGTGACTGAATGAATAAGAAAACAAGTTTCAGGTATACACTGTCTATAGGAGATTCACATTAGTATAAGGACACACATAGGCTGAACATTAAAGGATAGACAAAGATATTCCATGTGTCAAATTATGCCCCTGCTTAACAGACAAGATGGACTCCCTGTGGCTGAAAAGATGAAAGCAGAACCAAGAGTTATATGGCAGGGTGAAGAAATGGTCACACTTTCTGTGTCCTTGGAAAGCATTATAAAACCTGTTTTTCCACAACCAAGTCAAAGAACAATTTCTGAAAATAACTGCAGCTAGAAATTCTTCAATTGACCCCAACAGACCACCTGGTGCCTCCCAACTGAACACCTGGAACCAGCTAATTAAGACAGACTGGTGAAATGGTCATTTAATCAAGACTCTGTTCCCCACTCCCCTGATTCCCCTCCCCTGCCCTGTGTTTTTGGCCTTTATAATCTCCAACTTTCCAACTCCCACCTCAGGTCACACTTCGATTTTGCACTGAAGGCTGCATCTCTCCAATCTGCAGATTGCTTTTAGAAAATAAAGTTCCCCCTTTTCCTCCACAGAACTCATTGATCTTTTGTTAACACAGGCAAATGGTAACCAAAAAAGAGCCAGAGCAGCCCTACTTATATCAGAGAAAACTGACTTTAAGCCAAAAATTGTCCTAAGAGACAAAGAAGAACATTATATAATGATAAAAGGTTCGCTTCATTAGAAAGATGTAACAAGTATAAATATATATGCATCTAAGAGCAAAGCATCCAACCATATGAAGAAAATATTGACAGAACTGAAGGAAGAAATAGAAAGTAACGCAACAGTAGGAGATTTCAATACCCCACATTCAATATTAAATAGAACAATCAGATAGAAGATCAATAACAAAAGACCTTATTGTATTTACACAATAAGATCCATTACAGACCAGTTGGACCAAACAGACATATGTGGAACATTCTACTTTACAGGAGCAAAAGTATACATTATTCTCAAGGGCGCACAAAAACAGTCTCCAAGATAGATCATATTTTGGGACAGAAAACAAGTCTCAACAAATTTAAGAATATTTAAATCATACCAAATATCTTTTCCAAACCCAATGGAATGAAACTAGAAATCAACAGCAAAGGAAAACAAAAAACTTCACAAATATGTGAAAACAAAATGACATATTCTTGAGCAACAAATGAGTCAAAGAAGAAATCACAAGGGAAATTAGAAAACATCTTGAGAAAAATGAAAACAAACAACAAAACACACCAAAACTTATGGGGATGCAGTAAAGCATCCCATAAGATGCTAAGAGGGAAGTTTAGAGCAGTATATAATATAAAATGCATTACTAAAGAAGATCTCAAATAAACAACCTAACTTTATACCTCAAAGAACTAAAAAAAGAACAAACCAGACCCAAAGTTAGCAGAAGAAAGGAAGTACTAAAGATTAGAGTAGAAATAAAAGAGACTAGAAAGCCAATACCAAGAAGTCAACAAAACTAAAAGTTAGGTTTTTTAAAAATATCAACAAAAGTCTGGCCAGGTGCAGTGGCTCATGCCTGTAATCTCAGCACTTTGGGAGGCCAAGGTGGGTGGATCATCTGAGGTCAGGAGTTCGAGACCAAGCTGGCCAAAATGGCAAAACCCCGTCTTTAATAAAAATACAAAAATTAGCCAAGCATGGTGGCAGGCACCTGTAATCCCAGCTATTGGGGAGGCTGAGGCAGGAGAATCATTTGAACCCAGGAGGTGGAGGTTGCTGTAAGCAGAGGTCACACCACTGCTCTCCAGCCTGGGCAACAGAGCAAGACTTCGGTTCACAAATCAAAACAAACAAACAAAAAATTAACAAAATTTGCAAACCTTTAGCTAGATCAACAAGACAATAGAGAAGACTCAACAAAATTCAGAAGTGAAAGAGGAGACATTACAAATGATGCCACAGTAATAAAAAGGATCATACTGTTATGAACAATTATGCACCAACAAACTGGATAACTTAAAACAAATGGATTAATTGCTGGAAAAATACAACCTACCAATACTGAGTTTTGAAGAAATAGCAGATCTGAACGATTTGTAACTAGTTAGTAGATTGAATCAGTAATCAGAAACCTCCCGACAAAGAAAAGCCCAGGACCAAATGGCTTCACTAGAGAATTCTACGAAAAATCTAAGAAGAATTAACAGAAATCCTTCACATTTTCCAAACTTTCCATGAGGCCAGCATTATCCTGATTCCAAAACTAGACAAAGACACTACAAGAAAACCATAGACCAATATACCTGAATATTGATGCCCAAATCCTCAACAAAATACTAGCAAACTGAATTCATGGCACATTAAAAGGATTATACACCATAACCAAGAGGAACTTACTCCTGAAATACAAGAATGTTTCAACATATAAAAGTCAATCAGGCTGGAGCAGTGGCTCATGCCTGTAATCCCAGCACTTTAGGAAGCCTAAGTGGGCAGATTGCATGAGCTCACGAGTTTGAGACCAGCCTGGCCAACATGGCAAAACCTTGTCTCTATAAAAAATATGAAAATTAGCTGGGCATGGTGGTGCATGCCTGTATTCCCAGCTACTTGGGAGGCTGTGGTAGGAGGATGAATTGAGCCCAGGAGGTGGAGGTTGCAGTGAGCCAAGATCACGCCACTGCACTGCACTCCAGCCTGGGAAATAGAGCCAGATCTTGTCCTAAAAAAAAAAAAAAAAAAAAGCCAGTTACCATAATACAACACATTAACTGAATGGAGGACAAAAGCCATTGATGGATAAAAAATATTTGAAAACTTCAACATGCTTTTGTGAGAAAAACACTCAACAAACAAGGACTAGAAGGAAATTGCCTCAACATAATAAAAGGCCGTATATAAAAGCTTACAGCTTACATCATACCCAATGGTAAAAAACTGAATGCTTTCTAAGATCAGGATCAAGGCAAAGATGCCCACTTTTGCTACTTCCATTCAGCATAGTCATGGAAGTCCTAGCCAGAGCAATTAGGCAATAAAAAGAAATAAAAGTTATCCAAATTGGAAAGGAAGAAGTAAAATTATCTCTATTCCCAGATGACATGATCTTACACGTAGAATTCCTAAAGATTAGACACACACACACAAACTGTTAAAACTAATAAATGGACCAGGTGTGGTGGCTCACGCCTGTAATCCCAGCATTTTGGTAGGCTGAGGCGGGTGGGTTGCTTGAGGTCAGGGGTTTGAGACCAGCCTGGCCAACATAGCAAAACTCCATCTCTACTGAAAATACAAAAAAATTAGGCAAGCGTGGTGGCAGGTGCCTGTAATTCCAGTTATGCGGGAGGATGAGGCATGAGAATCATTTGAACCTGGGAGGCGGAGGTTGCAGCAAGCTGAGATCGTGCCACGGCACTCTAGCCTGGGCAACAGAGTGAGGCCCCATCTCAAAAACAAACAAACAGGCCGAGCACGGTGGCTCACGCCTGTAATCCCAGCCCTTGGGGAGGCCGAGGTGGGTGGATCACAAGGTCAAGATATCAAGACCATCCTGGCCAACATGGTGAAACCCCGTCTCTATTAAAAATACAAAAATTAGCTGGGCACGGTGGGGGGCGCCTGTAGTCCCAGCTACTAGGGAGGCTGAGGCAGGAGAATGGCGTGAACCCGGAAGGTGGAGCTTGCAGTGAGCTGAGATCACTCCATTGCACTCCAGCCTGGGCGACAGAGTGGGACGCAGTCTCAAAACAAAAACAAAAACAAACAAATAAACAAACAACTCCCCCCCCCCCCACACACAAAAAACTAATAAATGAATTCAGCAAAGCTGCAGGACACAAAAACAACATGCAAAAATCAGTTGTGTACCTATATACTAGCAACGAATAATTAAGAAAAAAATCCAAGGAAGAAAAGAAAACACTTCCACTTACAATAGCATTAAAAAGATAAAATACTTAGGAATAAACTTAACTAAAAAGGTAAAAGACTTTTACAGAAATCACTACAAAACATTGCTGAAATAAATGAAAGAAGATACAAATCAATAAGAAGACAGCTGTGTTGATGGATTGTGAGACTTAAGATTGTTAAAATCCTCATACTACTCAAAACAATTACAGATTTAATGCAATCCCTATTAAAATATCAATGTTATTTTTTGCAGAAATAGAAAAACCCATCCTAAAATTTATACGGAATTGCAAAAGAACCATGCATAGCCAAAACAATCTTGAGAAAGAAAAACAAAATGGGAGGCCTCATATTTCCTGATCTCAAAACATTCTACAAACCTACAGTAGTCAAAATCGTGTAGTACTGGTATAAAGACAGACATTTAGACCAATGGAACAGAATGCATAAAACACAAACAAAACCTCACATACAAGGTCAAATGATCTTTGACAAGGATGACAAGGCTGCACAATGGGGAAAGGATAGTCTCTTCAACAAATGGGGCTGGGAAAACTGGATATCCACATGCAAAAGAATGTAGTTGGACCCTTACTCTAGATCATATACAAAAGTTAGCTAAAAATGGAATAGACCAAAAGTAAGTCCTGAAACTATAAAACTCCTCAAAGAAACTATAGAGGAAAAGCTTCATGACATTGGATTTGGCAGTGATTTCTTGGATATCACAACAAATGTGCAGACAACCAAAGCAAAAATGGACAAGTGGGACTATACCAAACTTTAAAAAGTAGGAAAGGAAACAATTGATACAGTAAAACAGCAATCTATGGAAGTGGAGAAAATATTTGCAAACCATATATCTGTTAAGGGATTAACATCCAGAATGTATAAAAATTCTTACAACTCAATAACAAAAACCCCCAAGTACCCCAATTTTTAAAATGGGTAAAGAACTTGAATACATATTTCTCCAAAGAAGATATACAAATGGCCAACAGGTATATGAAAATGTGCTCAATATCAAGGTGCTCAACATCACTAATCATTAAGGAATGCAAGTCAAAACCACAATAAGAGCCCGGGCATGGTGATGCATGCCTGTAATCCCAGCTACTAGGGAGACTGAGGCAGGAGAATCGCTTGAACCCAAAAGGTGGAGGTTGAAGTGAGCCAAGATCGTGCCACTGCACTCCAGCCTGGGCAACAAGAGCGAAAACTCCCTCTCAAAAACAAAAAAACAAAACAAAAAAAAACCCCACAATAAGATATTACTTCATACCTGTTAAGATGGCCACTATAAACACACACACACACACACACCCCAAAAAAACCCAGAAAATAAAAACCGCTGGTGAGAATGGGGAGAAATAGGAACCTGTGCACTGTTAGTGGGAATGTGAAATGGTGCAGCTGCTATGGAAAACAGTATGCAGTTTCCTTAAAAAATTAAAAAATATAATTATCATATGATCCAGCAATTCTACTTCTGGGTATATAACCAAAAGAACATAAAGCAGACTCTCAAAGAGTCTAGTTTCCACCCAGTAGGTGGAGCTGACACATGGGTATTGATTAGAAGTCTATA
Source organism: Homo sapiens (assembly GCF_000001405.40). Classification (NCBI taxonomy): domain Eukaryota; kingdom Metazoa; phylum Chordata; class Mammalia; order Primates; family Hominidae; genus Homo; species Homo sapiens. The sequence continues at coordinate 13,898,227 of NC_000020.11, forward strand.
AAAAGAGCAGTCCTAACCCCTGTCCTGTGCAGCCAGGCAGATAGCCCATCCCCTGACCCCACTGGAGATGGGAGGCTTATTCCCTGGAGAAATTAAACCAAGGAAACTTCAGACTTTGAGACACAGACACATTAAAGAATATGGGTGAAGAACAAGGCTGAAAACAGGAGTATTAGAAGAGTCTACATTCTGTATAGTGAGTCTCCGGCTCTCTTTCCCAGAACTCTCGTATTTATAACCCCACACAGGAGGTATCTGAGATACCTTCTACTCTCTTACCCCAAGTAACCAATTTACCATCAACTTCCAGTGAATTTCACCTCTACAATATCTCTCTAATTCATTTCTTCCAGCACCTGCTATTGTGAGCTAGTCTCAATTCTCATCAGGACAATTGTAGTAGTATCCAGGCTTGTTCTCCTCCTGTCCATTCTTCATTTATGGGTAGAGCCAAATCTACTTATGTCACCTGGGCCCTGTTTAGCACCTTTTAATGGCTTCCCATTGTTTTTTTATTTTTAGTTATTTATTTTGAGACAGAGTCTCGCCCTTGTCACCCAGGCTGGAGTACAATGGCCCGATCTCGGCTCACTGCAACCTCCGCCTCCCGGGTTCAAGAGATTCTCCTGCCTCACCCTCCCGAGTATCTGGGATTACAGGTGCCTGCCACCATGCCCAGATAATTTTTGTATTTTTAGTAGAGATGGGGTTTCACCATGTTGGCCAGCTGGTCTTGAACTCCTGACTTCAGGTGATATGCCCACCTCAGCCTCCCAAAGTGCTGGGATTACAGGCATGAGCCACTGTGCGCAGCCTGTTTTTTATTTTTACAATTTATTTATTTATATTTAAAAAGATGCCATGTGACACTAACCCATTGTTTTTTAAATATTCTCTTGAGTATACTAAATTGACACATATCATCTGTAAATAATAATTTTGTAAGTTCCTTCATGTAACTCTTATTTCCTTTTACTTTATTGGGTAAAACTTCCAGAACAATGTAATGAATTGTGGTCATGGCATGTATTCTTTTTTTTGTTTCTGATTTTAATATGGATGTCTGTTGTGGTTTGCTATTATATATTACATTTTGCTAATAATTTCAATTAAATGCTCTCAGTTTACTAACTTTTAGAATCAGAAACAAATGTTGAATTTTATCACTCTATTTTCAGCATGTATTATAATTATTTATATTTTTTCTTCTTAGCATAATAATAAAATTCACTTAACCAGCATTTACTAAGCAGATGGTGCCAGGCACTGTCCTCTGCACTGGAGGTAACAGAAATCAACAAGAAAGTCAAAGCCTGTGTCCTTCCCTGGCAGAGGGTGGAAGGGCAGAAGGAACGAACTTCCTCCCTCAAGCCCTTTTTTTTATAAGGGCACCTAGTCCTATACAGGGGGTGCCACCCTCATGGCTTAATCACCTCCTGAAGGCCTCACCTATTAATATTGTTAAATTGGGCATTAAGTTTCAACATGGATTTTGGAGAGGACACAAACACTCAAACCACAGCAAGTACCATGAAGAAAACTGAAGCAGGATAAGTAGGTAGAAAGTGATAGGGTGCTATTTTATTGAGATTAAGCTACAAAAATGTATTCTTAATGTTGAATTATCTTAATATTTCTGGTTAAAAATCCTACTTGATTAAATTTCATGCTTTTCAATTCGCTAAAATTTTATTTAGAAAACTTATATTGGTGTTCATAAATGAAATCTGCCTGTTTTACTCTTCTGGATTCTTATTAAGGCATTTTGGAATGATATTTAAAGATTTTCTTTTTTAAAAATGATTTACATAATAGAAAAAAATTTCTGATGGTTTTATTTTATAGAATTTCCCAGTAAAACCATCTGAGTGTAGTGTCTTTGGAGAGGCTTATCTTTGACATTTTCAGTTTGTTCCATAGTTATAGGTCTAGTCAAGGCTCCTACCACACTGATATGAGTGTGACCTATAATACCCTACAGGAGGAACTGATTTATATTTTCTGGAAAATGTCTTTATTTCATCTAGATTTTAATGTATTCACATAAAGTTGAATATAGCACTGTCTCATAATTGCTTACATTTCTTTCAATCTGTGGTTTTATTTTTAAATTTGCAATGTTATCCATTAGTTATTTTTAAAAAATTGTGATAGACTGGTCATGTAACTCAGGGGCCCTGGGTTTTCTGGTACACACTGAAAAAGTGCCCACTTGTAACTGTTGCACCTTGAGTTCTTGTTGTTTCAAAAAGTTCCTGGAGAAGCTCGGCCCCAGAAAAACAAAAAACAGTTGGATCCAGAGATGGCTGAGTAGGAGATGAACTTTGGCGAACTCTTATTGTTATAATCTTAAAAACCCGGCCCAGGGAGGAGCTTATTCTCCATTTTCTATACAGGCGACATATGTAGAAACATAATCCGCCGCTGTGCCTGTGCGGCCAGGACTCCCTCTCTACACGCAATGATTCAGCTGACCAGCCCAAGACATGCTCGGTTTTCACGCCTGTTTGTAGGGGCACTGCTTTGGGGCACTACCTCCGGTGTCCTCCTTACTTGTTTCAAGTAATAAAATCCCCTTGTTAAATCCTCCTTGTTTATGGTCATTGGGGGCTCACCTGGCAACAACCAAATGCACCTATTATATGAGTAGCAGCTAGAGTTTTGTCCCCATTATTGGGAGCATTTTAAAGAACTAAAGAATCATCTCGTTTTTATTTATGAAATAAATGACTTTGTTCTCGAATTCATTATATTGATTTCAGTTTTTGTTTACTAATCCTTTTGTCCTACCTTTATTTTGCTAGAGTTAATTTTTTTTCCTTTTCTTTTTCTTTTTCTTTCTTTCTTTCTTTTTTTTTTTTTGAGACGGAGTCTTGCTCTGTCCTCCAGGCTGGAGTGCAGTGGCGCGATCTCGGCTCACTGCAAGCTCCGCCTCCCGGGTTCATGCCATTCTCCTGCCTCAGCCTCCCGAGTAGCTGGGACTACAGGCGCCTGCCCCCATGCCCGGCTAATTTTTTGTATTTTTAGTAGAGACGGGGTTTCACCGTGTTAGCCAGGATGGTCTCGATTTCCTGACCTCGTGATCTGCCCGCCTCAGCCTCCCAAAGTGCTGGGATTACAGGCGTGAGCCACTGTGCCTGGCCATTTCTTGTTTATTAAAACACGTAAAGCTGTATATTTTCTTCTGCGTCTGGCATTAGCCCTATTCTGTAACTTTTACTATGTAGTATTATCATCATGATTGAGTGCTTAATATGTTATTTCAATTTCTATTTTGCTATTAATTAGGAGACTTGTAATTTTATAAAAAATGTGACTAAGCTATCTTTTTGTCATTATTTTGTAGTTTTATTGCTTCTAGTCAAAGCTACCATTTCTCAAATAAATTGAGATTTTTCTTTGTGGAATCTTTTTTTTAAATTTTTTTTGCAAATTTTTTTCTTTTTTTTTTTTGAGACGGAGTCTCACTCTGTCGCCCAGGCTGGAGTGCATTGGCACGATCTCAGCTCACTGCAAGCTCTGCCTCCCAGGTTCCCGCCATTCTCCTGCCTCAGCCTCCGGAGTAGCTGGGATTATAGGCGCCCGCCACCACGCCCGGCTAATTTTTTGTATTTTTAGTAGAGACGGGGTTTCACCATGTTGGCCAGGCTGGTCTCAAACTCCTGACCTCAAGCAATCCACCCGCCTCAGCCTTCCAAAGTGCTGGAATTACAGCCATGAGCCACTGCCCCTGGCCTTCATACTTACTTTTAATTACATATAGATTAAGGGGTGGTTTATGAAGAAATTTCCAGAAAAAGGGTAGTAATTTCTGGGTTGTCAGCTCATTGCCACGGAAAAGGGCAGTAACTCCAGGGTGTTGCCATGGCAATGGTAAACTGACATGGCACACTAGTGGGTGTGTCTTATGGAAAGCTGCTTCCACCTCATCCCTGCTTTAGCTAGTACTCAATTTGGTCCAGTGTCCAAGCTCTACCTCTGGAATCGAGTCCCACCTCCTATCTCGGATCCACTGATTGATTAGGGGTGGCAATGAAGACATTATAATTCTGTCATTCCTTCTTCATTTATTAGCTGAAATAATTCTATAAAGAAAAATGTCACCCATACTCTATTGTGCAGAATAGGCAAGATAAATACTTGACTCCCTTGATCAGTTTTCAAAATAATGTGAGTTGGTTCTTTAATGTCCCCTGAAGTGATGAATAAGTGTTGTTTCTAGGTATCATTATGAACAAATGGATTTAAATGATTTTAGATGTTTCAGTCCATTGCGATCATTATTCATTTTGGTGCTTGATCATTCCAGCTTTAGCCGGTGGGAGCCTATTTGAGTTGGATCCTCCATCCCTTGGTCATGACTCTAATTTCCTGACACCATCCTTCCTATCAGGTATGATAAGATGTTTTAAGATCATCTTGTACATTTATTCTCCACACCTGGAATTTGACATTTTCCAAATTGCTGGTCCCTTTTTAGTAGAAGAAAAAACGTCTGGTTTTTTCTTTAAAAACAATTATTTTGAGAGGAGAGAGTTAATATCTAAATTTAACTTTTAAAATATTTTTGTCAAATTAATCAATGCAAGTGTATGAAAAGTAAAATTCCGGCCAGGCGCGGTGGCTCACGCCTGTAATCCCAGTACTTTGGGAAGCCAAGGCGGGCGGATCATGAGGTCAAGAGATCGAGACCATCCTGTCCAAAATGGTGAAACCCCGTCTCTACTAAAAATACAAAAATTAGCTGGACCCACTGGTAGCGGGGGCTGTAGTCCCAGCTGCTTGGGAGGCTGAGACAGGAGAGTCTCTTGAACCTGGGAGGCAAAGATTGCAGTGAGGTGAGATCGCGCCACTGCACTCCAGCCTGAGCAGCAGAGCAAGGCTCTTTCTCAAAAAAAAAAAAAAAAAAAGTTAAAATTCAAATGGTTCTGAAGAGCTGATCAACCACTTTTAATGATTTCAACAGTTCTGATAATTACCATTGTTATGACTCTAGATAAATTGCTACTATTTGCTGTTGCTTAATTTAGATATTTCACACATTATCTATGGATGTGCTATGGTAGATGATGATTTAGATCATCAATATCACTTTCTCACGGTTCCTCCTCACTCCTTCTCTCAGTAGAGTCATTTTTTGTCAGAGCAGAATTGTAAAAGTCTGTTTGGGTGTTTCTAGTATTTGCAAGGTTCTACTTATTTGGAGCTCATGATTTCTGTCACCATTCTTAGAAGTTCATTCCACACACTTATGTGTGCCATTGGTAATATGCCTTTCTTTCTATCCTTCTTATTGGCAACACTCTAGTCTTTGCTATTCAACTGACTAGTCGAAGAAGTATTTAGGAGGCCGAGGCAGGCAGATCTCTGGAGGTCAGGAGTTCGAGACCAGCCTGATCAACATGGTGAAACCCTGTCTCTACTAAAAATACAAAAATTAGGCAGGCATGGTGGTGAGCCTGTAATCCCAGCTACTACTGAGGCTGAGGCAGGAGAATCACTTGAACCCGGGGGGGAGACGGAGGTTGCAGTGAGCCAAGATCATGCCACTGCACTTCAGCCTGGGCAAAAAAGTGAGACTCCATCTTAAGAAAAAAAAAGTATTTGAAGCCCATAGGGTCACGAGGAGAATCCCGTCGAGTATTTCAGAGACCTGCTTTCACCTTGACATTAGTTTATTAGTGTTACCACTCTCCAACTGCCATTATCAAGCCCACATTTTTATTTTTTCATCTAGTTCATGAGAACATCATGTGAGACTCTGTAAAATGTCTTCCTAAAATCAAAATACATCAAGGTCTTACAATTCAATTAAAACAAAAGTACATAATTTTTAAAGCTTTTTATTATAATTTCAGTTACATTTATTACAATTTCAAGTACAAAGAACTCCTTAAACTTGGAAATTGACTATGGAGTTCATTTCCTAAAAACATTATAGCTCTAACATGCAGTTTATAAGCATAATTTGTGTCATTTATTTAATACATACACCAAAAATAAAAAATATATATGTATTTGGCCGGGCACACTGGCTCACGCCTGTGATCCCAGCACTTTGGGAGGCCGAGGTGAGCAGATCACTTGAGGTCAGGAGTTTGAGACCAGCCTGGCCAACGTGGTGAAACCCTGTCTCTACTAAAAGATAAAACTTAGCTGGCTGTGGTGGTGTGAGCCTATAATCCCAGTTACTTGGGAGGCTGAGGCAGGAGAATCGCTTGAACCTGGGAGGTGGAGGTTGTATTGAGATGAGATGGCGCCACTCTACTCCAGCCTGGGTGACAGAGCAAGACTCCATCTCAAAATAAACAAACAAATAAATATATATATATAAATAAATACTCTCTGATTCTGCTAATTCCTCTAATCTTAAACATTCCTCTTTTAGGAAAGTGGACCATAAAGGCTGTTACTGCCAATGGAAGGCATCTGGGATCCTGGTACTCCTCTCACCCTTGTAACGTATATATAAATGGCTAAATTGGCTCTTTTTAAGGATATCTTCTGCCAATATTAGATTTTTATTTTTCTTGCAACTCTTGGCAATTCTTGATTCTGCTCAATTTAGAATCTAATTTAGTTATGCAGAAACACTGACGTAAACAAATATACTGACCTTTTTTAAATAAGAAAATAAAGATACTGTTCTATTGAGTTGGGCTTGTATTTTAAGAAACTTTCACCAACAGTGGATCCTTTTGTGCGGTGCCTGGCAAACTATTTGGCCTGATCCTCCTGGAGAAATCTGTGAGCTCAGGAAGTTGTGAAGTGGGTTGTGTGAGAGTTGTATTTCCATTCTGTGACTGGGGAGGGGCGTATTCCTCAGTATAAAGCTCATTCTTAAAAGTAAAGAGTAAAACCATGCTTTTACCAGCCTCAAATAATCAACCCAGGGTTACACTTCCACTCTCTTTAGCAGAAAACTAACAATGGGTGATTTTGAATTAATTCTCTGGAGGGCTCAGCTTTAATTTAATCTTTAAAATACTACTTGAAGTATGCCAGGACACTAGAGGAAGTCATAAGATCTTACGGGCTATCGTGTAGTAAATATGTTGATTATAGTAAGCACTGTCCTATAACTTTTTTTTTTTTTTTTTTTTTGAGACGGAGTCTCACTCTTGTCACCCGGGCTGGAGTGCAGTGGCGTGATCTCAGCTCACTGCAAGCTCCACCTCCCAGGTTCATGCCATTCTGCCTCAACCTCCTGAGTAGCTGGGAGTACAGGCACCAACCACCATGCCCGGCTAATTTTTTGGTGTATTTTTTAGTAGAGACAGGGTTTCACCATGTTAGCCAGAATGGTCTCGATCTCCTGACCTCATGATCCGCCCTCCTTGGCCTCCCAAAGTGCTGGGATTACAGGTGTAAGCCACCATGCCTGGCCTGTCCTATACCTTAATACTTGAGCATTGTCACTTACCAACTTTACAATAGTCCATTTTTAGTATTTGGTCCTTTTCTAAGATAAAGGTGAGATAAAATGAGATGGATTACAGAATGATTAAATCTTAATCCAGAAAAGAAAAATGTTGTGAATTGAAAGAGAAGCTACATAATAGTGATGATACCAATGACACTTTCAGTGGTTTGTAAAGGTCAAGCTCAGCAAATTGTTTGTAAGACTTATTTCTTTTTCTTTTCCTTTTTTTTTTTTTTTTTTTTGAGACAGAGTTTCACTCTTGACGCCCAGGCTGGAATGCAATGGTGCAGTCTCGGCTCACTGCAACCTCCACCTCCCAGGTTCAAGCGATTCTCCTGCCTCGGCCTTCCAAGTGGCTGGGATTACAAGCATGCACCACCATACCCAGCTAATTTTTTGTATTTTTAGTTGAGACGGGGTTTCACTATGTTGGCCAGGCTGGTCTCGAACTCCTGACCTAAAATGATCTGCCCGCCTCAGCCTCCCAAAGTGCTGGCATTACAGGCATAAGCCAGGGCTCCCAGCCCCTGTAAGACATATTTCTGAACTTAACCATTATGCTGTGTTTTTAAGGAACTGTTACAGTAGCTGGGATTTAAATTAATAGAGTTCAGAGTTAAGTTCAAATATTTTACTGTACTTCAAAGTAAATTACTCAAGTTCCATAATAACAATTTAAACATTAAATATTCCTCCTTCTACTTTTTATATAAGAAATTATTATTAAAGGAGAAAAAAGATTAAGCAATTTTCCTTTAATTATTGCATGAAGCTCGAAAGCACCTGTGATCATTACTTTTAGCTCAAATTGCATACCAAACAAAAGTGTGAATCAACCCTAAGGAACAACTCAGGTACTGTCTGTACTTTTAATACAAAAAGAACATTAACATCAAGAAGAAATGCTCAATGCAGGTAATTCTAGAATTATCAAAATGATCATTAGGTGGATACTAAAAATAATTTTTTTTTCTGTATTAGCACAGTTCTAATAACCTATAGTCTCTCTGTGAAATGCTTCTGTATTTTAATTTTTTAAATTTTTTTGAGACAGCGTCTCACTCTGTCACCCAGGCTGGAGTGCAGTGGCCCCATCTAGGCTCACTGCAACCTCTGCCTCCCAGGTTCCCGCCATTCTCCTGCCTCGGCCTCCCAAGTAGCTGGGATTACAGGCGCGTGCCACCACATCCAGCTAATTTTTGTATTTTTAGTAGAGACGGAGGTTCACCATGTTGGCCAGGCTGATCTCAAACTCCTGACCTCAAGTGATCCACCCGCCTCAGTCTCCTGAAATGCTGGGATTACAGGCATGAGCCACCACACCCGGCCTTATAATTTCAATTTGAAATAAATAAAGAAAATGTGGAATCTTTGCCATTAAAATAGAATAATTATAGAATCATAAAGCATGATAAAATAGGGAAACACTCATATCTTTTTCTTTTATATGTCAATGATGTTTATTTTTACATGATAGAATGAATTTTCTTATAATCCACAGCAAAACTATTTTAAACTATGTAACCAAGGAAGTGTATACATCTAAGTTAAATATTTTTTTCTGATATCAAAGGTAATACATACCCATGAATAAAACATTTAGAGGGAAAAAAAACCAGAAAAGCATTTTTTGAAAGAAAATAGGTGGCTCATGCCTGTGATCCCAGTGCTTTGGAAAGCTGAGTTTGGAGGATCACTTGAGGCCAGGAGTTTGAGACCAGCCAGAGCAACATAGTGAAATCCTGTCTTAAAAAAAAAACTAAAACAATATTAGCCTGGTGTGGTGGCCTATGCTTGCAGTCCTAGCTACTTGGGAGGCTGAGGTGGGAGGATTGTTTAAGCCCAGGAAGTTGAGGGTACAGTGAGACATGATTGCGCCCCTGCACTCTAGCCTGGGCAATGGAGCAAGATCCTATCTCAGAAATAAATAAACCCAGAAAATAATTGCCACAAATAGTACCACACTTAGAGATCACCACCATTAAATTAAGCTTTAAGGGCAATACAATGCAAATGAGTAATTTCTCTTTTTCTCTTTCTTTCTTTCTTTCTCTTTCTTTCTTTCTTTCTTTCTTTCTTTCTTTCTTTCTTTCTTTCTTTTCTTTTCTTTTCTTTTCTTTTTTTTTCTTTATTTGAGGGACACGGTCTGGTTCTGTTGCCCAGGCTGGAGTGTAGTGACATGATCACAGCTCACTGCAGCCTCAACCTCCTGGGCTCAAGTGATCCTCCCACCTCAGCCTCCCAAGTGGCTGGGACTACAGGCACATCCCGGCACGTGCCAGCACTCCTGGCTAATACTTACTTATTTATATTTTTTTGTAAAGATAGGGTCTTACTATGTTGCCCAGGGTAGTCTTGAACTCCTGGGCTCAAGTGATCTCCCGCCTCAGCCTCCCAAAGTGTTAGGATTACAAGGCAGGAGCCACCATGCCTGGCTGATCAATTTCTTGGTTCTTTTTTTTTTTTTTTTTTTTTTTTTTTTTTTTGAGACAGGGTTTTGCTCTGTTGCCCAGGCTGGAGTGTGGTGGTGCGAACACAGCTCACTGCAGCCTTGACCTCCTGGGCTCAAGTGATCCTTCTGCCTTAGCCTCCCGAGTAGCTGGACCAACAGGCATGCACCATCATGCTCAGCTAATTTCAATTTTTTAAATTTTGTAGAGACAGGATTCTCACCATGTTGCCAGGGCTGGTCTTAAAATCCTGGGCTCAAGCAATCCTCCTGCTTCAGCCTCCCAAAATGTTGGGATCATAGGCGTCAGCCACCGTGTCTGGCCATTTTTGACTCTTAAAGCAAATGAGATTTCATCCAACCTTCTTGTCTGGCAAATTAACAAATTTCCTATTGAGGACAGTTCATCAATATTAAGGAAAGAGTGAGTCTTTATAATTCTAATTTCTGCTTCCTGGATGAGAAATGAGAAATAGAAAAATATATAACTTATCTACCTCCAGCCTGGTAAAGTACAGTATTTTATAGGACATCTTCTAGGGTATGATTGTTTGAAATTTCCTCAATTTCCACCATTTTCATGAAGACTATTCCGTTAATTAATAGTTCTCATTATTTGAAAGGTACAGAATCTCTGAAAATCAATTTAATGGACTCTGTTTATAACCTTAATTGCTTTTGTTGCCCTTATCAGGATTTCCTTCAGTTTATTTGAATTTTTGCAAGGTAAACCACTAAAGGTGCATGAAAAGAAGTAATTATGCCTCCTTTCCTCCATCCAGCTTCCCTTTGTACATACCCAGAAATTGCATTTCTTCCCTTCTATCTCCTCAATGTCACTTTAATAGGAATTCCTATCTTTTTGTTCTTGTTATTGTTAAATAGGGTCCCTACCAGACCTCTGGCACTCCAGGCTCCTCTCATCTATTATATTTCCTTATTTCTGACTGTTCTTCCCTTTTCCCTCAGAGATAGTAGATGTCTTCATTCTCTCTTCTCTCAGTCTCGCTCTCTCTCTCTCATTTTCTCTCTCTCTTTCTCCAGCTTCTTTACCCACATTTCTGTTGCTATGTTGTCCTCACAGTTCCCAATACTTCCAGCAGTGCGGGCAGGATTTCTGTACCAAGCTGGCACAAACGGCCCAAGAAGAAAGGTGGTCACTGGGCCAGCCTCATTAGAGAACTGTGGTCAGAATGGCCTGTGGCCAGTCTGGTCCTAGCAACCAGCCATCAAACTATTGTTTGTGGCACAGAATCTCTTTAACGAGCTGTTCTTTGCACAAGGAAATACACCAACTGCAAGGGGACTTGCTACTGGAAACAGATTTTCCTATAGTGGTGACAGGGATGATAGTCAAAATATAGAACTGAATCCATCAAAGCACTGGAATTTAATCCAGCTATAGTGCCGGGAGCAGGATCCTGGAGGCTCCCTGCTTATCCAGATGTTAACACTATGCTTGCTAGATCATGTGAAGTTTTGGGGCAGGGGAATTCAAGTGAGGAATAAGGGTGGATGTCAGGGAGGGCATAAGAGAGGGTCGGGCAGAGACTTTTAAATCAATAAATATCATAGTATTTTAGTATTTTAATAAACAGAGGCTGGGTGTGGTGGCTCAGCACTTTGGGAGGCCAAGGAGGGCAGATCACCTGAGGTCAGGAGCTTGAGACCAGCCTGGCCAACATGGTGAAACCCCTTCTCTACTAAAAATACAAAAATTAGCCAGGTGTGGTGGCACAGCCCGTAGTTCCGTTCCAGTTACTCAGGAGGCTGAAAGCAGGAGAATCTCTTGAACCTGGGAGGTGGAGGTTGCAGCGAGCCAAGATCACTCCACTGCACTCCAGCCTGGGCAACAGAACGAGACTCTGTCTCAAAAAACCAAACCAAACCAAACCAAAACAAACAACAACAACAACAAACCGGTTCAGCTGAATTTTGCACACCAGGTCAATGTCAGCCTTTTGGGCCATAAGTTTGTCCTCACTCATGTTCTGTCTTCTGTTTCTCCTTGAGACCAAAACACACGTATCTAAGTAAATATCCCCATTTTACAGAAGAGGAAATTGAGACCCAGAGAGGACAAGTCATTAGGGGCCAGGTGGAGCTCAGATGTAAAGCCAGAACTGACTGATCCCAAAGACAATGCTGTTGGGACTAAAATTGTTACACAACAGTATTCATTAATGTTCTTTAACATTTGCTAAGGACTCTTGTGGATATTTTTCAGTTCTTATGGCAACCTTGTGAAGTAATGTGGGTATTACTATCAATCTCTTTTTACCCTAAGATAATAGATACAGGTTTGGGAAACCCAAGGTTTAGAGAAGTAACTTCTTCAGAGATACTAAAAGAATGAACAAAAGATAGAAGAGCTATTATGTGATAGAATACATGGACTCACATATGGTCATAATTTCTGGTTTGGGAACCTCTTCTCTGCCACCACACCATGCCACCCTGAGGTCTGTAACTGTACATTTCTTAGAGTACCATCTCAACAATGCCTCAACAATACAAAGATGGCTGTAATAATTTGTGGCCAGTGGTTAGACATTTAGAGTTATTCCTTCCGGCACTGGGTTGGCACTCAGCCAATTACATTCTTCCACATGATTTTCCTTAAAACCAATAGCAAAAAAAGAAACAAAAAATGGCAAGCAACTGATGGTCACTTAACTGGGATTTGAGGATATTTGTGGCCATGTGATAACCACACTACTTAGAGTAACACTAGCTAGATGTAACTGGCTAGATGTAACTACATTAGCTAAAGTAACACAAATTAGATGCAATAACCACGTTAACTAGAGTGAAACTCCAACTTCAGCTCTAAAATTCATGTGTTTTAGGAACCATTCATGTAAGTTTGGAACTTCTTTACTGGGAGTCATATTTTGACCTTCTATCAAATGCTTTATTTATATACAAACAAGTGAAATCTTTGTTATTTCCTTTATCCAATATTCTAGACTGAGTGTAAATGTCACTTCTTCCTTGAAACATTCTTTACCTGCCCTAGGCAGAACTAGCCAGACCCTCTTCTGTGACTAAAGCACTTTATACGCACCTTAACTGTAGTCCACCTAAATTGTGCTGCAGTTATTTGCATTTCAGGTTGACCTAGGAGGACTCTGTCCTAGTAATCTTTCTCTCCCCATTACTACATTACGTTTGACACATAGTAGCTATCCAAGAAACAATTGTTGACTTATTAACTAATGTATACACACACTAAGAAAATAAAATTCATGTTCACATAGTTTGAAAAGAAATTAGGTGTTGCCATTTTTAGTGGTGGGAGTGGAGTGAGGGTAACATTTGGTCTTTAGTGATACCATTTTTAGTGGAGGAAACTGTTATCTGTGGTAACATTTGGTCTGTCTTGGAACTTTATATTTTTGATTAAGCAAATACGGGGAATGAAGGTTTAGCAGCTCTCATATTTTATTATAACATTTACAAATCTGTTTATTGCATTATTTCACATGTAATTTCAAGAAAGAGTTCCTGATGTAAAAGCAGTATTCAGCAACTTAATTTAATTAAAATTATATGGATTTTTAAAATGATGATGTCGGTCTGTATATATTAACATGGAAAGACATCTATGATACATTGTTAAGTGAATAAAGAGCAAGTTAGGAAGCAGCAACTAAAGTATTTGTTCGTTTTTGTAAAAAAATAATTCTATGGAGTCTTAGAAAATATTCCAGAAGAATAATATTGGAGTAATAATATTATTTTTATCCTCCTCCTTGCTTAAATTTTATATCCTTTGACCAATATCTCCCTAATCCCTACTCCTCCCACATATCTTTTCTTTATAATGAAAGATTACAGTGTTCCAGGTATGAAACTAAGTGTCTTCCCACATTATTTTAATCCTCACAATAACTCCATAAATTCATTCATAATTAATTAATTAATTCCTCATTCAACTTATAATTCTTGTCCTAGGCAGTGTGTTAAATGTTAGAGATATAGCAGTGAACGAGAAGGATGCGGTACCCAATGTTTCATCATTATCCTAACTTTACAGATGAAAATTAGTAAGGTTGCCCCATCTACAAGGGGTCTTCCAGTCCAACTTCTGGTTCAACTAAACATACAGACTCACAGGACACCCATGGGCTTTGTCGCCACCAGTGTATGAAGACAGGTATGGCATAGCATCTGGACTTTTTTTCTGTGGGATTTTTTTTTTTTTTTTTTTTTTTGAGATGGAGTCTTGCTCTGTCGCCCACGTTGGAGTGCAGTGGCACAGTCTTGGCTCACTGCAACCTTCGCCTCCCAGGTTCAAGCAATTCTCCTCCTCAGCCTCTCGAGCAGCTGGAATTACAGGCATGTGCCATGACGCCCAGCTAATTTTTGTATTTTTAGTAGAGACGGGGTTTCACCATGTTGCCCAAGTTGGTCTCGAACTCCTGGCCTCAAGTGATCCGCCCACCTTGGCCTCCCAAAGTGCTAGGATTACAGGCATGAGCCACCGCACCTGGCCCAATTTTTTCTGTGGGAGTTCTTACAGCAGAGTTCATACATTCTTCCAGGAACCACCATCTTTGGTCCTTCAGAAGATGGCTCAGATGCAAGGAGATGAGACCCACATTGGGTGGATGCAGGAGCCACCCTGACGTAAAAGCCTCATTCTCAATGTAACAACTCCATAGGCACAGTATCCAGTGTCCCCATAAGAAGTACTACCCCCATCTGGTATTTATAGTTCATGATCTTTTCTCCCAATTCAAAGGCAGTTTGCCAATCAGAGGTCATTTCTATCAGAAGCAAGCTTAACTAAAAATATAGTTAGCATTTTATTTCTATCAGATCACCAGGGAAACAGAACTAGAGAGTGAAACAAAGGTCAAATTTTTCATGCAGAAGGAGGTGAAAGGGTTTTGTTAAGTAGCTTATTCAAAAAACAAATGAAAGAGTGGATTCAAACTTAGGTCTGTCTGACTGCAAGTCTAGCTTCTGAACTTCACTGGATAGTAACAAATGTGATCTCTGGGGGGAAAGCTTTTAGAAAACTTTACTTTCTTTTTCATACTTTCTGATTTCTCAGACTTTTTTCATAATCAGAAAAAAATGGTTTTCATAGTAAAGACTATAGCAACATGAAAATATGCTTTTGCTACAGCATGAAGTGAAAGTAGCCAGAAGCAAAATGATATATGCAATTGCATTGTGATTAGGATGATGTAAAAAGAGAAATGCACAAAGAAAGAAGCCAAGCAAAAGTACAAAGCAGTCCTAATAGTAGTTGAATCAAGATGGTTGGCTTGGAAATAGCTTTTTTTCCCCTGTTTTCCAGATTTTCTATGAAATGGCTATGTTATTCTTGGAATAAAATGGAACGCATTTATTAAAATAGAAAAGGAATTACATTTAGCTTATAAAATATTTGAAAAGTAAAAATCATGCAAACATGTCACCCTAAGATAATAGACAGTTTCATATTTCTTCATATAGGTGAATACATTTTATATAAAATTTAGCTGTTGGGGGTTCGGAGGCTTCTGCTGTACTCCTGCCCTGACACCACTGTTTCAGTGCATTATGGTAACCTCCCTAGACTGGGTTCATGCAGCAGAGCTGGAATACTATTGCTCAACTCCTTTCACATGCTGTCTATAGTTATTTCAGGATGGAGCTATTTAAGGTTTCATTTTCCTTCAAAACTCACGTTTTGGGCTTTACATGATCCTTCTTTAGCCAAGGACTCATATAATTGGATAGCTGCTGTTATATTTTGCACGCCAAAATTTCCAAATAGCAAAGCGTCAGCCATTTTCTCCATAGCTTTCAAGTTTCCCATGTCAGCTGCTTTGGCAAAAAGTAGGTAGGCTCTGTTTCAAGAATATAAAGTCAAGTTTGATTTTCAAAAATGAAATTTTCTTCTCCTTCTTCAACACTATTCATACTACTTCTCTCTAACAAGCAGGAACCAGTTGTCATACAGTTTAGCTGAAGTTCATTACATCTCTAGATCAGTAGATTTTTTTCATTCCTAAAGCAGTCTAAGGCTATAATTTCAAATATATCTCACAAATAATAATGCTACTAAAAAGGAGAAATATATAACATACACCATCTTATACACTGATACAGAAATATATAAGATACACCATCTTATACACTGAGTAAGCTTATACACTGAGTAAAGTGAAAAATTGAGGAACTTTTTCTAAAATACTGAACTCTCCCATGGCCACCACCATTATTTATGAATATTTGTTTTATAAAATAAATTCTGAAAAATATAAGAATAATCAAAATTGGAATGTAACCTCTAGGAAGTTACTATCAGAAGAATGATGATCCCTTCATATCTTAATTTGCTAAACAGAATATATTCTTCAACACAGCAAAGTCAGACTCTTTGGAAAAACAATAATGAAACAAAACCTTAATGGCTAGGGCTCTAGAGTCTGACTGCCTGGTTCAAATCCTGGTCCCACCACTTACTAGTTGGAGAACTTCAGCCAAGTTATATAACTTTTCTGTGACCCTCTAATCTATGAAATGGGGATAGCATTATAGCACCCACTTCATAGGGTTGCTGTGGAGATTAAATGAGATAATCCATGGGAAGTGCTTGGCATTGTGCGTGGTATAGAGTAAGCACTCAGTAAATTTAGCTGTTATTATTGGGACAGTTGCATTGATTCTAAAGTTTTATAGCATGGTAATTGTTCTCCTATAATTAGGTGGTAAGTAGTGTGAACATTTAGTGATTAAAATGATAGGTGCCACAGGATTACCTTACACTGCACTCTTCGAGA
The DNA here is from genome assembly GCF_000001405.40 of Homo sapiens. NCBI lineage: Eukaryota > Metazoa > Chordata > Mammalia > Primates > Hominidae > Homo > Homo sapiens. Next base: position 13,914,881 of record NC_000020.11, read on the forward strand.
CCCAGTCAGAAGCCATCTGGACCTGATTGGTATAAGAAGTGATGGAGAGTCTTGCAAGGTCAAAACATGTGTCAGAGACAGGGAGTATTTTAGGGATTTATTTTTACTTTTATAACTTCGTTTTGAAGGTAAAGACCAGAAAGCGTTAACTTCTACCTGTGACCTTGACTCAAATACAGGGAAAAAAAACCCCATAAAAATCTACCATTGCTTCTGATTTAGGAGGATCAGGAGACTCACCTTTATGTACAGCCCATCCATGCTGAGGCTAAAATAAGCTGCTCTTGGGCAGAAGCTGGAGCAGAGTAGTCCAGGCAAGAAGGACCTCAGACAGAGAAACATCCAGGTAGGCATTAGAATCCTGGATGTCAAAACACAGGGTGAGTACTCCAGTGGAACAAAAAGAGATAGAAAACTGGAGTTCAGGAGATCAAGAAAGAAATTAACCCAGGTCAAAGCCAGCTGAAATTCTGGAGGCGGGAAGGCAAACAAGGCAGATGGTCTCAAGGTCACTAAAGGCAAATGTCTGGCACCCAGAGAGAGGCAACAGGAAGAGAGCCTGGCATCAGGATACAGACTCCCTTGAGCCTTTCTGTCACGTGGCTTGCTGCTGCAACTCTATAGCCTACTGGGACAGGAGGAGCACCAGCATGGACCAAGGCACAGAAACCTGAGATAGGCTGCAGGGGCCTCCAATAGTACGCCTAGTAGCTCCAGCATTTTATACACAGTCTCTGGACCCAGAGGGCAGCAATAGGCTGCAAAACAAATCCTTCTAGGTGTCTTGCATTCCAAGGGCAGTGTGGGCATATGGGTTCCATAGCAGAAAACCCAAGGCACTAAAAGGGATACTAGAAGCAGTATCCAGGGCTGGAGAAAGTTGCTGATAGGTAAGATTAAGATGTGGGCTGCAATCCCCAAAAGGAAAAAGGTGGGAGAAGCTGGGCAGCAGGGGCAGATCCTAAAAGACAATTTAATTAGTTATCTGAATGGTCTCTACAGGGTCTGGCATTGGACGCTTAGGTGGGTGATGGGGGAGGAAGGGCTCAATGCTTCTGCAGGGCACATCAGAAACTTGGTGTAGAACAACGGCTTATCTTCGAAACTTCTTTGCTGATGGGGAGTGATTCTTAATGAAGGACCACTCTAGCTGTCAGTGAGGCTTCCTGACTCACTCAGACAAATTTGTTCTCTCTGACACGCTTGCTTAATATCTGTACTTTAAACAGCACTGACTTGTTCAGTGATTTTTCCTACTCATACAAAAGAAGAGGCTGAATGAGTGAATAAATGAATGAATGAATTGGTCCAGGATGTGGGTGTGGAGGAGCCAAAAGGATAGTTTTAACCTATCTTACATCTGTCCTGCCAACCCAGGAAGTAGCAAAGCAAAGAGAGGGTAGGATAGAGGAATGAGCGGGAATGAAATTATTCTCCTTTGGTCAGGAGGGTGTGCAATCATTTTTCTCTCCACCTGCCCTATGCTTAGGCATGGCTGCACAGATGTAACTTGTTTAAGGAGACAGCAGGCCATCCTGATAACACAAGAACTTCACCCAGCTTGCCCAGAAACTCCTGAGATCTCTTTCTATGAGCCCATTAGAGTTCAGTTCTCCATTGCTACCGACTCAAAAGGGTCAGGAGGCTGGGCGTGGTGGCTCATGCCTGTAATCCCAGCACTTTGAGAGGCTGAGGCGGGCAGATCACTTCAACTCAGGAGTTTGAGACCAGCCTGACCAACATGGCGAAACCCTGTCTCTACTAAAAATACAAAAATTAGCCGGGTGTGGTGGTGGGCACCTGTCATCTCAGCTACTTGGGAAGCTGAGGCAGGAGAATCGCTTGAACTGGGGAGGTGGAGGCTGCAGTGAGCTGAGATTGTGCCACTGCATTCCAGCCTGGGCAACAGAGTGAGACTCTGTCTCAAAAAAAGGTGGCGGGGGTGGTCAGGAGACTGAGTTTTGGGGCAAGGATGTGGGCAGGACAGTCTTGGTAAGAATAGCATGAAACTGAATGACACCCAGGTAGGCATGAAGGTTCCCACACTAATGGATGGTCTGCTATTAGGACTGGGCTTTCTCCCTGTTCTTTAGGCCAAAGAGGAAGGTCCCCTTCAAGGTTGAGTGGATGGTTACCTGGGACCTTCTCAGAGTGATTTTGTCCCATTGGGCCAAATCCAGGGTTTCCCTGGACTTGATGTAACACACCTAGTTGGGCCCCTTCTTTGTGTGGGCTCCCATGCTATAGTTAGGGGTCATCTGAAATCTCAGGGACCAGCCCCTGACTGGCGCTCCACATCTGTTTCTTCTAGCTAGGCTGGCTGGAGAACTCTCTGTTCTTACTTATTTAGCCAGTGGGCATGTTAGTGAGATGAGCTCCTATTAGGCTGGATTGTATTTTTGGGATCTGATTTTACCCCTTCCTCATTATAACAGCCCCCAGGGACATTCAGTGGGAGGCCCAGGTTTTGCTGTGGTTGGTTGAACCACCCCCTCACTTCTTTCTTGTCTCTTAGGAAGTATTACATCATCTTTTTGACTCTCCATTTCCTTCTTGTAATTTGGAGATAATTATCTATGTCTCACGGTATCACTGTGAGCAATGAATAATTTACACATGTAAAGTACCTAAAACAGTAACTAGCACAAAGCAGGTGCTTAATAAATGAAAGTTGTTGATGTTGTCATAACCAGAATCATAGTTGAGTGCTCCTTATCCTCTGTATTTTTATACTTCTCAAAGGTTTGGGTTTTAAGAACTCATGGACTTTGTTGCTGCCCTGTCTGGTGCTAGCTACCACAGCTCTGGGATGCTTTCCTCTGACTGGTGTGCCTATTCTGTGTGAAAACAAGAGATGTCTCCTTGTTGGGGGCTCAGGGCCCATACTTTCTTTATTTCTTTCTTTCTTTTTTTTTTTTTTTTTTTTTTTTTTTTTGAGATGGAGTCTGGCTTTGTCACCCAGAGGCTAGAGTGTTATTGCATGGTCTTGGCTCACTGCAACCTCTGCCTCCTGGGTTCAAGAAATTCTCCTCCCTCAACCTCCCAAATAGTTGGGATTACAGGTGCGCGCCATCATGTCTGGCTAATTTTTGTAGAGACGGGGTTTCACCATATTGGCCAGGCTGGTCTCAAACTCCTGACCTCAAGCAATCTGCTAGCCTTGGCCTCCCGAAGAGCTGGGATTACAGGTATGAGCCACCGTGCTTGGCTAGGGCCCACACTTTCTATTATTGGTTCAAAATACCCTTGCTTTCTTTGCCCCCATACCTTCAACTTAGCAGTTAGGGGACTCAAGATAAAACTAACACACCTGTATTTCCTGGTTACTAAGTGTCAGGCACTATTGTAAGAGCTTGATTGCATTATCCGGGTCACAGAGAGGTTGAGTAACTTATCCAAGTGCAAACAACCAGTAAATGAGAGAGCTAGGATTTGATCCCAAGGCTTTAGCTAGAGCCTTGAGGGGTGACCACAGGTTGTGCCCCTCCACTGGAAGTGTGGAGTGGAGGGAGAAGATATTTCTGCCTCCCCTTTAGACAAGGTAGAAAAGTGATAAGAGAAACAGTGAACATGGAACAAGACCATGTGGCCACAGCTTGGTCACCTCCCAGCTATCTGTGCTCACCTCACTTTAACATCTTTGAATCTCTGTTTCCAACTTCTTAAAGGAGAAAAATTAAGCTCTTCTTACCTTATAAGACTGTTCTGGGGATAACATGGAATCACATACATGAAAGTGCTTTTAAAAATCATAAGATACTGTACAAACACCCAGGCAGAAGTAAAGCATTTTTAATACAACAACTTGCTCTAATTCAAATAACACATTTTATTTCACTTGAATCATCTAATAAATTAAAGCCAAAACAATATTTCTGCATGAATGCTCAGGTCAGTGTCTTAATTCTCAATTTCACTTAATACGGGGACTGCAATCTCACATGCAGTTCTCCTGTTTGTTTAGAGTGATAATTTGTGGGATTCTTTAAACACAATTTGATCCTTTTAAAAACAATAGTTTATGGGCAAATAGGCTTACTCATTATCCCAATGAGTTTTAATGATAAACTACATTTGGGATTTTTCTTTTTTCTTAACCTGGAAATTCAACTTGGCTAAGGTCACTGGATAAAGACTTACTCTTCTTTTTGTTTTTGGCTTTTAGACTGCTGGAGAACCTTGATGCCCATCTTAAATAGCTGGTCTCCTTCATCTGTAAAATTTTTCTCTGCTTGCTTTTGTACTATACATGAACAAACAAAAAATAAAAACAATATTACTTCTATGTTCCATATTTTAAAAATAATGTGCTAAAGTAATTTGTTGGCATATTAGAGTTCTGTTCTACTTATTTTTTAAACCTCTGCATTCAAGAAGATCTGTTAATATTATTTCTTAGCTGAGGAGCGTCGGTAGGTCAGAAGGCTGAAGCTGCCTAAAAACTTATTCCCTGCTGGTTTTTGTGAAAGGATCTGGAAGGTGAAGTAGAAAGAGAGATGCTCCTGATGGGAGAAGGGATGCTTTTGGTCTAGGGAAGGGATACAAGGTTCTCCGATCAGAAGGCAGGAGATGCCTGGTATATAAGAGGGGCAGGATCTTAGCCCTGGCTGGCAAAGACTCTCTTGTCTGAGCATAGCACAGTAAATCCCAGAGCCACAGGATTCCAAAAAAACATGAGGACATGGGCAACAGGCATCTCCAAGATGACCAGTGTGCACCTAGGAGAGGAGGAGGGAATTGCTTTATAAATTTCCTTGGCTGGGCGCGGTGACTCACGCCTGTAATCCCAACACTTTGGGAGGCCGAGGTGGGTGGATCATGAAGTAAGGAGTTCAAGACCAGCCAGACCATCCTGGCCAGGGTGGTGAAACCCTGTCTCTACTGAAAATACAAAAATTAGCCAGGCGTGGTGGCACACACCTGTAATCCCAGCTACTCAGGAGGCTGAGGCAGAGAATTGCTTGAACCTGGGACGCGGAGGTTGCAGTGAGCTGAGGTTGCACCACTGCACTCCAGCCTAGGTGACAGAGCGAGACTCCGTCTCAAAAAAAAAAAAAAATGTTATTGGCCAGGTGAGGTGGCTCACTCCTGTAATCCCAGCACTTTGGAAGGCCGAGGCAGGCGGATCACTTGAGGTCAGGAGTTTGAGACTAGCCTGGCCAACATGGTGAAACCCTGTCTCTACTAAAAAATATAAAAATTAGCTGGGCAGTGGCGTGCAGATGTAGTCCCAGTTACTTGGGAGGCTGAGATGGGAGGATCCCTTGAACTCAGGAGGCAGAAGTTACAGTGAGCTGAGATCAGGCCACTGCACTCCAGCCTGGGTGACAGAGCGAGACTCCGTCCCAAAAAAAAAAAAAAAAAAAAATTCTACCTAAGGCTTTTCCACCTCCCAGGACCCTTTCTAAGACTTAGGGGAAGGCACAGAGACAGAATACTCATGATAACTTGCCTCGTAGGATGAGGGCTCAGAATCAGTTTTGCAGAATTCAAGGAAAATGAAGAAATTAAATTTTACCTGCTACAGTGATATTTTCCAAACGTTTATGTAACACTTTGCAATTTTTAAAAAATCATCACCAGTTTATAGTTGGGGAAAGCTGGTTGTGGGAAGAGTCACACTTAAAGATATAAAGATCCTTCCACCAATGTGTGCATATGCACACACACACTATTTTTCTCTCTCTCTCACACACACTCTCACATACACACACACACACACACATACAGCCTTTTATAACATCACAGTGCCTCTTGAAGTCCATTACAACACTTAGTAAAATCTTTGATTAGAAGAACCACGCTTGAAGCCATTTCAAAGGAAAGGCATTTGGGATTTGATGCCTCATTAACAAGACCACAAAGAACAAGTAGCTCTTGTTTTTTATCTTTCTGACAAGCAATCAGAGTTGCTCATTTTTCTTTTTAAATTAAATTTAAAAAATTAAAAATTTAAAAACTAAAAAAATTCTTAACTGAAAAGCCTATTTAAAATTATTTTGAATACTTCACACTATCCAACCAATTTAGTAATACCAGGCACTTTCAGGATCTAATTTCTGCTCTGAGTTATCTGTTACCTATACTTCTAATTAAAGGGGGAAAATAATGGAGAAAACCTAATAATCTGTGTGTGGAATAATAATAGCTCCTATGAAAATGCTTTTAGAGAGTGAAAATAAATTTTGAAAGATTGGCTCTGTATACATATACATATGAGAAATGATTTTACCACCACAAATTTCTACCTATGGCTTTTACTTTTATTTGTAATTCTTTTTTGGCTTTCCAAATGTATTGGAATTCAATTATTCGTTTTCTTCACTCTGTTGCCCCGGTTGGAGTGCAGTGGTGCAATCTTGGCTCACTGCAACCTCCACCTCCTGGGTTCAAGTGATTCTCATGCCTCAGCCTCCGAGTAGCTGGGACTACAGGTGCATGCCACCACGCCCAGCTAATTTTTGTCTTTTTGGTAGAGATGTGGTTTCACCATGCTGGCCTGGCTGGCCTCGAGCTCCTGACCTCAAGTGATCTGCCCACCTTGGCTTCCCAAAATGCTGGGATTACAGGCGTGAGTCACCACACTCAGCCGCTGTTTATTAAAATACTAAAATACTATGATATTGATTGATCAAATTTTCTTTACTATAAGAGGGTCCAGGGCCGGGCGCAGAAACAGTCAAAATAAAAAGGGATATGACTCACCTAATGGGAAAAATGATTTACAGGAAACACTTTCAATAATGTCAGGTAAATAAAGTATTACTTTCAATAAACAACCCATTGCTTAAAATACTTGTAACAACTTGCAATAAATTTATTTTAAAGCAAAAAAATGTATTTATGGAACCGTTTTTCAAATTTTTCATCCATTGATATTAACTTGTGTTCTCTGTCTCATGATTCTGCATGTTTGTAGCTTTGAGAAGCAGTATGAGCACAGACTCAAATCAGACTGCCTAGATTTGGAACGTCATTTACTAGATACCAACTATATAGCCTTGGGAAGATTATTTAACCTCTCAGTGCCTACATCACCTCATTGTAAAATGGGAATTATAATAGCCCCTTCTTCTCAAAGGCAGTGAGAAAATTAAGTACAAGAACTGAAACCTGCCTAGTATCTAAGTGCTTTATAAGTTTCAGCTCTTATTCCAACATAATTGATATTGCTTTTGATTCTTCACTTGTTTCATGAACCATATTTCTTTCTGCTAAATTAAAGGTTTTTGAAAATGAATTAAGTCCTTGTACCAAATATACAATAATGCATTATTATATAATTAATAAATAAGAACACAATCCCTGTTATTTCAAATCTTGCTGAAAAGAGATTTTCTTTCTACTTTTAATGCAATTTTTTTTACCATTTCTCACAATATGACTGGAGTTATTTATGTTTGACAATGATCTGGAGATTGCGAGTAAACCTGATTATTGTAAATATATTTGCTCTTATTCAAGCGTATTTGAGTCGATTGCATCTTTATTTGACTAAACTCTTTGCTGAGTCATTCTTTCTTGGATGAAATGTTATTTTTAGTAATGGATCGTTATTCTTCTTCCACATCTAGGATTGTATCTTCCTGACACACATAAGGGCAAATGTGAAGAACTCTTCTGATGCATTATTCACAAAATCTGAAGCTGAAGCTGGTTTATATTAAGCACAATTGAAATCAGATTTTAAAAAAAGGATGCAGTGTCTGTGTAGGCTAGATTTTCCGCAGAGGAAAATAATTTCCCATTTTTATCCCTTTGTATCATTTTAATGATGAAAGCACCTGATTTTTAGTCAGACTATGATATTCACCTCGCTCACTTGTTAATTTTTTTTAGCTCTATATGATCCTTTACGTGGTTTGTGATGTAAATATAACTTGAGATTCAAAATACTGGAATGTGCTATCTTTTTCCTTTTATTTTTCTAGATAGTATTGATTGATTTGTTTTTAAACTTACGTATTAAGATTTTAGATTTTGTGGTAAAACATATCCAGGACTGAGAAATGCAGCACAGAGCATAGGAAGGAACCAAGCAAGTATAGGGTTTCAGGAGAGGTTTAGAGCTTTATAGGGTGGATGGCACTAGAGGGTTACTCCCTTCCCACAGGTAACAGGGCTGGGCTGTTACATCCCGAGTCTGTTAGCCAGTTGCTACAGGCCACCACCAGGATATCATATTTAATCAACAGCACTTTTATTTCTTAGTGGCCATAAAACAATGGTGTATCTTATAACTTTTGACATCTTAAATTTGACACAAACATAGTATATGAATTTGAAACAATACATTTCTCTCTAATTACTGTTTTGGTGGCATTCCACAATTTTTATGTAGCATTTTCATTATCAATTATAAATATTTTCAAATTTCCATTCTAAGTTATTCAAACAACGTTTAGAAGTGTTTATGACACTTTCCAGACATAAAAGGTTTTTAAAAATTGTCTACTTATGGCTTGTAATTTTATTGCATTGGGATCAGGGAGCCCAGCAGAATCGTATAGATTCCTCAGTTTATGTTGAAACTTGTTTTGTGGCCTTGTGTGTGGCCAATTTTTATACAGTTTCCATTTTTTTACTTAAAAAGATTATATATTCTTGGCTGAGTGCAGTAGCTCACACCTGTAATCCCAGCACTTTGGGAGGCCCAGGTGGGTGAATCACTTGAACCAGCCTGGGCAACATGGTGAAACCTCATTTCTACTAATAATACAAAAATTAGCTGAGCATAGTGGCACGTGCCTGTAGTCCCAGCTATTCGGGAGGCTGAGGCACAAGAATTGCTTGAACCCGGCAGGTGGAGTTTGCAGTGGGCCGAGATTGTGCCACTGCACTCCAGCCTTGGCGACAGAGTAAGACTCTTCCTCAATAAAAACAAAAACAAATAAACAAAAAAAGATATTATATATTCTTTAATTATTGAATTAAATTCCATATATTATTAAATTGAGCTTTATACATTCAAATCTTTTTGATTTTCAGTAATTTTTTGTTTGCTGAATCTACCAGTTTCTAAGAGATGTTAAAAAATCTTCAACAATTGTGGATTTGTTCATTTCCTATTGCAAGACTGTTAATTTTTCATTTTTATATTTTGAGATTATGTTGATGGATACATGCTTAGAATTATCACAACTTCCTTGTGATTGTTCCTTTGAACATTATGTGGTGATTCTCCTTTTCTCCCTATTATTGACTTTACCTTGAAGTCTATTTTGTCTGAAGTTAATATGAGCTTTCTTTTGATTAGTGTTGCCTGGGATATCATTTCTATTCAGTTAACCTCAGTTTTTGTGCATCATGTTTTAAGTATGTTTCTTACAAACAGCAGATAGTCAAGTATGGTATTTTTCTTTCAATCTAAGAGTATCTCTTCTTCAACTTGGTTTTTTTTTGTTTTTCTTTTTTTTTCTGGGCTGCATTCAGGACAATTTCTTCTGATTTTTCCGGTAATTTGTTAATGTTCTCTTCTACTATGTCTGATCTTCTTAAGCCATCCTTTGATTTTTAATTTGGATGAATACACATTTTCTTTTTCTTTTTCTTTTTTTTTTTAAGAGACAGGGTCTCACTCTGTTGCCTAGGGCAGAGTGCAGTGGTGTGACCATAGCCCACTGTAATCTCAAACTCCTGGGCTCAAGATATCCTCCCACCTCAGCCTTCCAAGTAGCTGGGACTACTGGTATGTGCCACCATGCCTGGCTAATTTCTTTTTTTTCATAGAGACAGACTCTCACTGTATTGCCCAGGTTGTTCTCTAATCCTTGGACTTAAGTGATCCTCCCACCTTGGCCTCCCAAACTGCTAGGGTTACAGGCGTTTCATTTTTCTTAACTCTGGTTGGTTCTTTTACATGGCTGCTTATTCCTTTGTCAGGATGCCTTGTTTTCATGCTTTCTTAACCATTTTAAAATATATTTATTCTGTAGACTTTTGCAGGTTGTTCTACTCTATCAAGTCTTGAGGTGCTGGCCAGGCACGGTGGCTCACACCTGTAATCCCAGCATTTTGGGAGGCCGAGGCGGGCAGATCACCTGAGATCAGGAGTTCGAGACCAGCCTGGCCAACATGGTGAGATCCTGTCTCTACTAAAAATATAAAAATTAGCCGGGCATAGTGGTGCGCACCTGTAATCCCAGCTACTAGGGAGGCTGAGGTAGGACAATTGCTTAAACCCGGGAGAAGGAGGATGCAGTGAGCAGAGATTGCACCACTGCACTCCAGCGTGGGCAACAGAGTGAAACTCTGTACCTCACAAAAAAAAATACTTGAGGTGCTATGCCTTTTATTGTGTGTGTGTAGTCACTTGTGTATTTTCTAAAATTTTCTTGTGAGTCCAGTAAGTCTTCCTTTGTGGGAATTGTGAGATTGTTTCTCTAGAGTGAGTTTCTGTTGCTTCTGTCAGGTTTCCAGAGTCATTATTTTATTGACTGAGGAAAAATTTTATATTGGTTTAGAAGTTTTCACCCAAAAAATCAGGTGGCATAAATTCAAATCCAAATCTGTATGAGGGTCAGGGCTGTGGTTAAGGTTTTACCAGGGAGAGGTTTTTCCCTGTGAGAGCTTCGGTAGAGAACAAGCTTCCTTGATATTTGCCTACGATGGCGGGTGGTGATTGGTTGGTTGGTTGGTTTTCCCTAATCTTCTCTTTTGCTGTCTGAACAGCTCTATGAGACTCCTAGCTTTATTCATAGCTCTTCTTTCCGATTCCCTTCTCAAAAGTCCTAATGTCTTTTTTCCTTCCCTGGTCTGGGACTTAAAATACAAGGCTTAGCCTTTATCAGCTCTGACTACAACTCGCCAAAACATCGACTACATACTTACTTTTCATTATTTCTAACATTTGAGGATTTCAGCTCCTTGTGAGCCCAGTTCTGCCTTTAAAAACATTTAAAGTTATGACATACTTTAGGCAACACTTTTAGGTATTTGTAGCAAGAGGATTTTCCTATTGGATTAACCCACCATTTTGCTAGAATGAGAGATCTTTAGTAGTTTCCTTTTAAAATCAGTTAACTTACATAAAACTGTGAGCTGATTTAAAGAAAAACTTGTAGTAAATACTAGGAAAGGCATTAATGGTGAGCAGGTTGGGCTCCTTGATAAGCAGATCCTAGGAGTCAGGGTTTTTGTTAAGAAGGGACCTTCAGGGCCGGGAGCCGTGGCTCACGCCTGTAATCCCAGCGCTTTGGGAGGACAAGGCGGGCGAATCACGAGGTCAGGAGATTGAGACCATCCTGGCTAGTACGGTGAAACCGTCTCTCCTAAAAATACAAAAAATTAGCCAGGCGTGGTGCAGGCGCCCGTAGTCCCAGCTACTCAGGAGGCTGAGGCAGGAGAATGGCGTGAACCCTGGAGGCGGAGCTTGTAGTGAGCGGAGATGGCGCCACTGCACTCCAGCCTGGGCGACAGAGCGAGACTCCGTTTCAAACAAAAAAAAATTAAATAAATAAAAAATTCAAAAAAAGTGACCTTCAGAACCACATCTAAAGAAGAAGTTGGACTGGGCAGAGGGAGAAACTGCGATGCGGGCTCACTTGGCTGCAAGAGAAACACCTGGCTGACCCCACAGGTGGAGCTCTGTGGCGCTAAAATGGCCTGTTAGAGTTGTCTCAGGTTAGGGTTAGATGATCCTGCCTTCATACTGCTGTATCAACTGGCCATTGGAAGTGAGCTGCCCCAGGAAGGAGGCATGACCTTGGCTATGCAGCACTCTGTAGCTGAAAACAGTCCCTTCAGAGACTGACTGCCAAAGGCTGTCTAGAGACTGTACTCCAGCAATTGGGCAAATAGTTCCTCGTTGAAGGGGGTCTGAACAGCACTTCACAGTGTCCATTCCAAATATGCCGAAAAATAATCAATAAAATGGAATGCAAATGTTAAATTTAGCCTAGCTGGTCACAGGCCCCAGAAGCAGCAAAAAGGAATGCCAAGACTGACTTAAGACAAGGTTCCAAGATACCTCCCTTCAACCAAGAGCACAGTGGTGATTGGGTATGATCATCAAAATTAATGATGATTAATTCTAAGGGGTGCCAGGAAGGACATGGCCTGTAGTGTCCCAGTGGCCTGCAGGAATAGGCTCCACTGTTCCTACTGCATGATTGGTTATTGATTTGTCTTGCTAACAATTTAATACAAATAATTATTCTTTTAGACTTCATTCTGACTCATATGGAAGAATTAGTTGTTGAAGTTATGGTGTTAAAATACCCTGAGGAAAAGTGAACATGCCATTTCAGAAAAGGTAATGGATGGGAAAGCATCATGTTCAACTATAAAATACTATCCAAATGTACTCTAAAAACGTTAAGCCTTATTATTTTTATGTAGCACTATATTGTAACACAGCATACAGAGAATGCTAAATTTGGAGTTAGATCTAGTTTACATCCTAGCTCTCTACAAAAAGAATTCAACTCAATGTAATTCAGCAAATATTTCTTCATTCCAACTATGCGACAGATACAGTGCCAGGCACAGATCTTGCCTTTAAGCTATGGGGGTATAAATGCTACTTGTTATATGTGAGAAATTCTGGGTAAAGAGACAAGTGGCAAAATTCCAAAAATGGCTAAATAGTTTTCTCTGTTTTTAAAATGTAGAGAAATTTATTTATATTCTGGAACTATAACTTGATGTTAATCTCTTTAATTTTTAGAACAGATTATTATATGTGTTTTGTGAGCATTCCATTAAGAATATTTAATCACTAAGAATTAGAAATAATTTTTCAGAGTAAGTTAAATCCTATTTCTCTTTTGTGAAGGACCGGTAGGTCTGTGGAATAGCATTTATAGAACACCTATATCTCAAGCATATCCTGTGCACAAAATGTTGAAATGGGAACTAAATGAGAATAGAGTTCAATAAGGTTCTGAGCCAGTCTGATAATCATGTGTGACTCATATTCTTGTTTCATTCCACATTTATGAAGTTCAAACTCTCCTCTAGGGAAGGTAGCTTCTCCGTGGCTTCCTCTACTTTCTTAACTCCTAACTAAATAGGTACTGTTCCCAAGCTGTGTCGCATGGACCCACAGTGAGACTTAATATCTCTTTGAGTTGTCCCAAAAGGATATTTACTCTTACAAAACGTTTATGAGGAATACACATTTTATCTAAGATTTCATAGAGCAGAAGAGAAGATGAGTTATCCTAGGAACAAAAACAATTTTTAATGGTCACCTTAGACATTGCTGATTTAAAAATATCAGTTGGAATCCCCCAACTTTGAAGTTTCACTAACTTTTCAGTTTAGCGCAGCCAATCACCATCTTTCTTGCTCCTCACATCTGCTGTTTTCATAGTTCTTCTCCTGTTCTTTTCTTCTCACCCTTTCAAAAACAAAATGTCAACGTTCCTCTCCCTAGTTCTGTAGGGCAATGTCTTTCCATCCTTGAAGACTTGGCATCAGCTGACACCAGGCTTCTGTGTTGCAGGGAGGTGGGAGAGCAGGAGGGGGTGTTTACCAGCCACGAATGCTTGTTAAGACATGACCCCAGGCCCTCGGCACACTGCCGTATAAAGGCAGTGCACACTGTATAAGACATTCTAGTAAATAGAATTTTTCACCCACATCACATGCAGATTTTTATCTTATCTATATTTGGTCAGATATTCCTGACCAAATAATTACAATTACCCACCCACCAATAAGATACCCAATCAACAACAAAATTCTAAAGATTTCTGGTGTATTACTGCGGGCCCTAGGTGCTAAATTTGGCCCATCTTGCTAACTTCTCTAACAAGAACATGGGTAAAAGATCGGAAGTGATATGCTTGTCAAAATTTCAAATGACAGAAAGCTAGGAGAGAATAGCTAATGAATTCGTTAATGCAATCAATAGGTTGGAATAATGGTCCAAAATGAAGTTTAATCCATATAAATGTAAACTGCCTGTTAATGTAAAATGCGCACAGTGAAGTTTAATACACATAAATGTAAAATGTTACACTTAAATTAAAAAATGTAGACAAACACATAAGGATTAGGAGACACCTGGCTGTGTTGGTCAATTTCATGTGTCAGTTTGGCTTGGCTATCATCCTCAGTTATCCAAACAGGAATCTAGTTGTTGCCGTGATGCTGTTTTGTAGCAATGATTAAAACCCATCAAAAGGAGATTATTCTAGATAATCTGGGTTGGCCCGATTCCATCAGTTGCAAAGCCTTAAGAATGGAACTGAGGCTTCTCTGAGGAAGAAAAAAATTCCGCCTGTGGATAGCAGCTTCAGCTCATGCCCAAGAGCTCCAGCCTGTTCTCCCTGAGAGCCTGCTCTTTAGATATGGGACTTGCCCCGCCAGCCCCACAATCGCATAAGCCACTCACTTGCAATAAATTCCTAAGTATAGACATCTCCTACTATTTTTTTTTTTAATCTTTTTCTGGTTGAACCCTGACCACTACACTGACTTAGTACTTTTAGATGAGGACCTCTAACGTTCCTTTTTACTCTTAAGATTCTGAAACTTCACTTTTACTAACTATGCTTCTACTGTGTGCCCCTAAAAGGTCTTTATCCTTTTAGTTCATGCCATCTAATCTCCCCTGTCTGGAAAGCCAGGTGTGTTGGATATCCTCTAATTGCCTTTGCCTTTTTTTTTTTTTTTTTTTTTTTTTTGAGACGGAGTCTCGCTCTGTCGCCCAGGCTGGAGTGCAGTGGCCCGATCTCAGCTCAGCTCACTGCAAGCTCCGCCTCCCGGGTTCACGTCATTCTCCTGTCTCAGCCTCCCGAGTAGCTTGGACTACAGGCGCCTGCAACCACACCCTGCTAATTTTTTGTATTTTTAGCAGAGACGGGGTTTCACCGTGGTAGCCAGGATGGTCTCGATCTCCTGACCTCGTGATCCTCCCGCCTTGGCCTCCCAAAGTGCTGGGATTATAGGAGTGAGCCACGTGCCCGGCCTTTTTTTTTTGAGACGGGGTCTCCCTCTGTCGCCCAGGCTGGAGTGCAGTGGCGCAATCTCAGCTCACTGCAGCCTCCGCCTCCTGGCCTTAAGTGAACTTCCTGCCTCAACCTCCCAAGTAGCTTGGATTACAGGCACATGCCACCACACCCGGTTATTTTTTGTAATTTTGGTAGAGACAAGGTTTCACCATGTTGGCCAGGCTGGTCTCAAACTCCTGAGCTTAGGCAATCCGCCCACCTCAGCTTCCTGAAGCGCTTGGATGACAGGCATAGGCAATGGCCACCGGCCTTCTGATTGCCATTCTAGATCCCACTCCATCCTGCTCTGTGCCTTGGGACTCTAACTCCTAAGGACCACACCACATCAATGGACTCCCTTTCCTTCCTGCTTCTGAAGAGATTTGCTTGAAGAGCATCACTAGCAGGAGGTATGAAGGGTAAGCAGGAAGTGAGGTGGGGCTGTTTCTTCCCTGCCTCCTCAATCCGGGTCTCTGCAGGCTGGCTTTGTCCTTGACTTGAGACCATAGTTCTGTCACAGAGCCTTCTCCACATACCTCTGGTAGCCACTACTGCCCTGTGGCACTTCAGGGCCATGGGGTGGTAATGCCAGTCCTGCTACTGGCCCCAGGGGGAACTTTGTGGTTTCCCTATATCCTGTCTACGCCTTTAGAAATAAATAGTCTCTTTATTAAACTCTTCTCAGATGACTCAATTTAAATGTGCTATTTGTTTCCTGCCAAATCCCTAACTTCAGTTAGCTAAGCATGTCAACATTTCGATGTCATATCTAGAGCCAATTCTTCAAATGGGCAGTGAACCAGTCTTTTGGAGCTAAATGTGAGGAAAAAAATACGCTTAAAATATTAAGATTTAAAAACTTGAAAATCCTTGTCAAAGCTGGACTCTCAGAAAAAAACAGAGACTAACATCAATGAGTTCATCCAGCCCCAAAACTATTCTCTTTCTTCTCCATAACCCATGGTTCATAACCCATGGTTCTCAATTTCTATCTATTGCTCTTATTAGCAGTGATCACTTTTCTGTATTTACTTGTGTCAGAAGAACACATTTTGTGATTATCAACCTTCCTTATTATCATCAGCACAAATTCTGAATCTAAAATAGTGGGTAACAGCCCGGGCAACATAGCAAGCCCTCGTCTCTACTAAAAATTAAAAACATTAGTTGGGCCTGGTGGCACACACCTGTAGTCCCAGCTACTCAGAAGGCTGAGACAGGAGTATCTATTTTTTTTTTTTTTTGACGGAGTCTCGCTGTGTCACCCAGGCTGGAGTACAGTGGCGCGATCTTGGCTCACTGCAAGCTCTGCCTCCCAGGTTCATGCCATCCTCCTGCCTCAGCCTCCCGAGTAGCTGGGACTACAGGTGCCCGCCACCGTGCCTGGCTAATTTTTGTATTTTTAGTAGAGACGGGGTTTCACTGTGGTCTCGATCTCCTGACCTCGTGATCTGCCCTCCCCAGCCTCCCAAAGTGCTGGGATTACAGGCGTGAGCCACCGCGCCTGGCCTGACAGGAGTATCTTTGAGCCCAGGGTGTGGAGGTTGCAGCAAGCCAAGATCATGCAGCTGCACTCCAGCCTGGATAACAGAGTGAGACCCTGTCTCAAAAAAATAAAATAAATTAAAATAAAACAAAGGTAGAAGACTGCAGAATTTAATGCTTTTGTGTGTATAAATATTTATGACTATATCCTAAGACTTCTCAGAAAGTAGCTCTAAAATTTGATTTTATATTGCATGTAGTCATTTTAAATTTACATGTGAAAAGATATTCTACTTACAATGATTCTTATTTCTCTTCAAGATATCTTTATTTTGAATTCCTTTTATTCTTATTTTACGTTGATTCTTCTTTTTCTCCAGGAGATTTTCTCTTTTATTGATTACATTACTAGATGTTCTTTGTTCCAATATGTGTGATAAATATTGTTTGATTTCGTTCACTGATACCTACAAAGAAAAAGACTGTTGCTCATTTTGTTCATGTGTGAGTTTTTTTCAAATGAAACAACAGGAAAGTGAAAATTCATATATTCATGGCAAAAATACAAGCTTAATGCAATTACTCTAATTCTTGCTTTTTTCAAATCAAAATGACAGATGGCTTACTTCACTTTAGAAATCCATATGTTTTATGAATAAAAACCTTTTAAATCTATTATATTGTCATCTGAACTACAGAGCCAAGCATTAAAAGCTAAATGTTATAAATAAAATAGTAGGAGAATTTAACCAATTTACCTTCCACTGGTAAGTTGTCATGGTAATGTCAATCGTGTTAGCTAAAAAAATGAAGGCGTTGATATTGCCTTACACATTACAACAAATTTATAATGGGTGGAAAGTACAGAAAATCTTCTGACTGGCTTTAAAAAAACAATATTTCCCAAAAGTCCTTTTCAGAAGTTATATAATTACAATTAATCTTTTTTAAGTAGGGTAATAGTTTTAGCAGGTTATTTCTGAGTAGTAGAAAATAATGCAGGAATTAAGGTAGAAAAAGCTTTATGGAAGTAAATATTCATGATTTACCTACATAATTTTCTGGGTAAATTATACTGAAACATTAAAATTTTTCCTTTGTCAATTATTATTATTATTATTATTATTATTATTATTATTATTTTTTGAGACGAGTTTCACTCTGTCACCCAGGCTGGAGTGCAGTGACACGATCTTGGCTCACTGCAACCTTCGCCTCCCGGGATCAAGTGATTGTCCTGCCTCAGCCTCCCGAGTAACTGGGACTACAGGTGCATGCCACCGTGCCTAGCTAATTTTTGTATTTTTAATAAAGACAGGTTTCACCATGTTGACCAGGCTGTTCTCGAACTTCTGACCTCAGGTGATCTGCCCGCCTCGGCCTCCCAAAGTGCCGGGATTACAGGCATGAGCCACCACACCCGGCCCTTTTTGTGAATTACTACTTCTAAGAAGAGTCAAGACTTTTTGTTTGCTTTTTTTTCCTTTTCTTCAGTATAGTTTAAACTTTCTTTTCTGGCATGCTTAAATCCTTTGAGGTGGTAGCAAAGACATCAGAGCAATGACCCAGGGGCCAGAGCAAGCAGAAACATGAAGCCATGTAAAGGACTTTTTAAAAACAGCTTTAGGCTAGGCGGGGTGGCTTACATCTGCCAGCATTTTATGAGGTGGAGGCGTCCGGATTGCCTGAGGTCAGGAGTTTGAGACCAGCCTGGCCAACATGGTGAAACCCCGTCTCTACTAAAAATACAAAAAAATTCGCCAGGCCTGGTGGTGTGTGCCTGTAATCCCCGCTACTTGGGAGGTGAGGCAGAAGAATTGCTTGAACCTGCGAGGCGGAGGTTACAGGGAGCTGAGATTGCGCCACTGTACTCCAGCCAGCGTACTCCAGAGTGACTCTCAAAAAATAAAATAAAATAAAAAATAAAAATAAAAACAGCTTTAATGAGATATAATTCACATATTATAAATTATATATTAACCCATTTAAAGTGTACAATTCAATGGTTTTTTAGAATATTCACAGACATGTGCAACCATTACCACAGTCAATTTTAGAACATTTTTATCACCTTAAGAAAAAACCACAAATCCTTTAGCTATCACCTTCCCTGTACTCCCATCCTCCCTACCCCAGCCCTAAGCAACCACTAATCTATGTTTTACCTCTACAGATTTCTCTATTGCGGACATTCATATGAATAGAATCATATAGTATGTGATTTTTGTGTGTGACTGGCTTCTTTCACTTAGATTTGTTTTCAGGGTTAATCCATGTTGTAGCATATATCAGCACTTCAATTCTTTCTATGGCCAAATAAAATAATATGCTCCATGGCTGTCATTCAGGGACCCAAGCAGATATTAAATAGATACTGTGCCAGCTTCAACATGCGGATTCCAAGGTCTCCTGGAGCATCAGTATCTAGCAGACAGAAAGAGAAAGAGCCTGGAAGACTATGTGGAGAAAAGGTTTCTGTTTTGTTTTGCTTTGTGTCATTTGGTTTGCTTTGCTTTCTTGGTTTGCTTTGCTTTCTTTAATAGGCCAGACCTGGAAGGGGCACATAGTGCTTTCAGCTACTTTCTTTTTTTAAATTTTAAATTTTAACTGAAATTTATTAGATGTTTAGTAAGTACATAATAGCTCAGTAAACCTAAGGTTTTTTTTTTTTTTAATTTCCACAGGTTTTGGGAGAACAGGTAGGATTTTGTTACATGAGTAAGTTCTTTCATGGTGATTTGTGAGATTTTGGTGCACCCATCACCCGAGCAGTATACACGGAACCCAATTTGTAGCCTTTTATTCCTCATCCTCTTCCTACCCTTTCCCCCCAATTCCCCAAAGTCCATTGTATCATTCTTATGGCTTTGCATCCTCATAGCTTAGCTCCCACTTATAAGTGAGAACATCCAATGTTTGCTTTTCAATTTCTGAATTACTTCACTTAAAATAATATTATCCAGTCCCATCCAAGTTGCTTTGAATGCCATTAACTCATTCCTTTTTATGACTGAGTAGTATTCCATATATATATATTCCATATATATATATTCCATATATATATATTCCATATATATATATTCCATATATATATATTCCATATATATATATTCCATATATATATATTCCATATATATATTCCATATATATATATTCCATATATATATATTCCATATATATATATGTCACAGTTTCTTTATCTGCTCGTAGATTGATGGGCATTTGGGCTGGTTCTGTATTTTTGCAATTGTGAATTCTGCTGCTATAAGCCTGTGTGCAAGTATCTTTTTTGTATAATGACTTCTTTTCCTCTGAGTAGATACCCAGTAGTGGGGTTGCTGAATCAAATGGTAGTTCTACTTTTAGTTGTTTAAGGAATCTTCACACTGTTTTCCACACTGGTTGTTTTAGTTTACATTCACATAGCAGTGTAGAAGTGTTCCCTTTTCACCACATCCATGCCAACATCTGTTTTTTTTTATTTTTTGATTATGGCCATTCTTGTAGGAGTAAGCTGGTATCACATTGTGGTTTTGGTTTGCATTTCCTGCTTTCAGCCACCTTCTATTAGCCCCACCTAATTGCAAGGTGGCCGAGAAACATAATCTATTTAGGTATCTGGAAGAAGAGAACATGGATTTTGATAAGCATCCTGCACTCTCTAGTATAGTGGAATTATCATATGTTATTGCCATTTAACTTTAACTTTTCAGTTCAACAATAACTAGCATCTAAGTTGAGGAGGCAGTACAAGTTTGGCAAATGCCTGTGACTGTCTGATGTTTCTACTGGCTTCTTTACAGAGGTCAGTGTTTCTTGACTTTGGGTTTCTCTCTCATCCTGAACAACAGCAGAACACAGTCAGCGAGACCAAGTATTAGGGAGCCTTGGAAGACAGAGAGGCTTTCTCTGACTCTCCAAGGCATCCAGAGATTAAATAATTTAATAACAAGCATTTTTGGAGCATTGCTCTCAGTCCCTGCTCTCAGAGCCAGGGATACAGCCAAACCAACCAACCAAACAAACAAAGTCTCTGCCCTCTTGCAGCTGATTTTCTGCCAGGGAAGATAACAGTCAACTGATAAAAGGAGTTGTTTTTAAAAAGGGTAAGGGGAGGGAAGTGATAAAAGTTAGTGTTATTTGATACAGGGTGGAGAAGTTCTATGATTACATTTGAGTAGACCCCTGTGGGAATGGAGGGAGTTAGCCACGCAAATAAACCTCAGGAAGGGAGTTCTGACAGAGGCAATGGCAAACGCAAAGGCGCTGAAACAGGAACACACAGGTGTGCAAGGAAGACAGGGTAACTGGAGCAGAGTGAGTGGGGTGGGGAGAGGGGGAAATAATGAGGCAGAGAGGCAGCGCTGGGGCCAGGTTCAGGATTGGGAGTTGTGTTCTGTGTGAATGGGAGCCCTATGGAGGGTTCTGAGCAGAGGAGTGATATTAACTGAATTAAATTTCAGAAGTATCATTCTGGCTCATGTGTGGAGAATATGATATCGTAGAGATGGAGTGGGGAAAAGAGGCCAACTGAAATAGGCCACTTGAGAATTGATGGTGACAGTGAAGAAAGAAGATGGTAGAGGGGGAAATGGTGATAGTGGTTGTGGTTTGTTTCTGGAGATATTCCGGAAACATTGCTGACAAGATTTTCTGTTGAAGGGCTTATCATGTGAATTTTAGTTTTTAAACAGCAAATGCAATAAAAGCATGTTTGTAAAACTCTCCTGGGCCCATCTATAGACTAGCTATAGCTCTTCATCGGAGAAAGAAGCTGTGTTTTGATAGTCTCTGACATCTTCACTTGCCCTCTGCCTCTTCACTTCCCTGTATCTTGAAGCTCTGAAATAGCCTTTGCCAAAATTATGACAGCGAGAAAATTATGACATTGAAAGAGATCTGACCTAACCAGCTCCATCTTACTTTTAACCTCCAAACTGCCTTTGGTCATTCCTGGGTGTGAGCTAAGCTAACTTTGGGAGAAATGATAATAGCCCTTCCCAAAAACTAAACCACCTTTGTAAAACTAATGAAAGCCCACCAGGTTAGGAGGATGACAGGGGCCCAAATTCTGCTAAGATGTAGGCATAGTTCAATGATAACCAGCCACAATTCTAGAGGTCACAAGATTTACAACTTCCCCAATGACTCCTGTAAATAACGTCACTATTTTAGAACATAAGATTGGCCTTTTGAGATGTCTTTTGAGGCCCACCTGTACCAGTGACTCCTCTGTGGTCCCCATCCAGAATTGGATTCAGTGCATAAAGACTGTTTTCCACACCCAGATGATTACATCCCCAACCAATCAGCAGCACCCATTCCCTACCCTCCTGCGCACCAAACTATCCTTGAAAATCCCTAGCCTTGGAATTTTCAGGGAGGTTGATTTGAGTGATAATAAAACTCCAGTTTCCTGTTTAGCTAGCTCTATGTATATTAAGCCCTTTTTCTATTGCAATTCCCCTGTCTTGATACATCTATCAGGGCAGAAGACAAGATGAACCCATTGGGTGGTTACAGATTCACACTGGATAAGTTTTTCTCAAGCATCCCTTTGAACATATTATTGCCCAACTCAAACCTTCAGTTCTCAGGAAGAGCAGGATAAAATCAAACCACTTTGTACAAAATCTAAGATTCCTCACAGTCTGACCTAAAAATGTCACAGTGAGCTTGTTTCTTACTACTACCACACCTACACAAACGCTGGTGACAGCCAAACTCTTCTACTCCCTGTTCCACAGATAGAATAGATTCTTTCCTATTTCCTTGTTTTTACTTAAATAGTTTTTATTGTCTCTTCTTTCCTGTTATCTCCAATGTTACTCCTGCTTCAAGGCCAAACTAAGGATCTTTTTCCCCAAGACTCCTCAGTATCACTGTGACCCACGGTGATGGCCCTCCCTCTGAACTTGTAGTTTCTTTTCTTCTTGGTTAGCAGTAATAAGACAGCCAAATGCCTAGGCAGGTGAAAAAGGGGTCCTCGGAGAATCTCCAACCCGCCCAAGTGTTTATATCAGATGCTTTTGTGCAGATGAGCGACTGGAGCCCGACATGCGCACTGGGGGAAGTGGGTGGAGCCAGGAGGAATTCGTGCCTTACAAAGTCTAGGAGCCTGCTCTCTTCAGCTGGTGTGGTGACCCAGGAAACAATCTAGGAGGTGGTGGGGGCTGGCTAGCAGGAACTCCATCTCGCTTTGCTGAGTTTATTTTTTCCTTTTGGCCCAATAAAACCCTGCTCTACTCACCCTTCAATGTGTCCATGTGCCTAAATTTTCCTGGTCGTGTGACAAGAACCTGGGTTTTAGCTGAACTAAGGAGCAAAATTCTGCAACAGTAGCTCACTGTTCTGCATTCTCTAAAGCTGACCTCCTAGTACATCACATATTACATGTTTTATCTACTCAATTATTTATAGACACTTTGTAAACCTTTGGGTATATTTCTCATGTAAAATAGGCTGCCTTGAATCAAGGGAAGTTTAATGAATATGTGAGTTTCTTTATTTTGGGGAAACCTCTTGTTTCCTTAAAGGAAGGAACGTGTTTCACAGGAGAAACTAAAAAGGACAGAAGTCTTTGAGGAAAGAAAGTTTGAATTTATCTTGCTACACATTTGATTGTAATTTATTTGTGGCTAATGTCTGCTTTTTATTCCTAGAGACACTTCCAAAGTAGGACCCAGTCCTATGGTACTATGCTTGAAGGCAAAAACAAACAAACCCACAAACAAAAACAGTGCTGGGAGGCAGAAAACCGTTTTTTCTTTTTTCTTTTCTTTTTTTTTTTTTTTGAGAGGGAGTTTTGCTCTGTTGCCCAGGCTGGAGAGCAGTGGTGCGATTTCAGCTCACTGCAACCTCCACCTCCTGGGTTCAAGCGATTCTCTTGCCTCAGCTTCCTGAGTAGCTGGGATTACAGGTGCGCACCACCACACCTGGCTAATTTTTGTATTTTTAGTAGAGATGGGGTTTCACCATGTTGGTCAGGCTCATCTCGAACCCCTGACCTTGTGATCTGCCCACCTCGGCCTCCCAAAGTGCTGGGATTACAGGCGTAAGCCACTGCGCCTGGTCCAGAAAACCTTTTTAATAGCTTCTAGTTTAAGAGTCTGTCAGTCTTCTAAGGCTAGACTTTGACTTAAGAGTTTTTACATTGTTTTGTTTGGATGAAAATTAGTTTTATTCTCAAAACAACACACAATTTAACTTTTTAAACACAAGAAACTTTGAGTACATGTTAACATATAAACATATCTTATTCACAATCATCCATTCCAATTGCCAAACCCCAAAATAAATGTTATAGATTATAACAATTTGATTGACATTCCTCACATCGTATTTTCTGTTTACCATTTATTAGCTGTGTCTAACTGTGAGCAAATTAACCTCTCTGTGACTTACTTTACCCCTCTATAAAATAGGGGTAATAAATTGCCTATCTCATTGGGATGTTTTGAGGATCAAACGAGTTAATACATGTGAAGAGCTTTGGACACTGCAAGCAGTCAATAAATATTAACTGTTATTACTATATTAACTATATATGTTTTCTGTTTAAATACATTTTTCTGTTTTTCTGTTTCAGATTCTAACATACTAGAATCTGGGACCTCTGGCTATTTAATTTGCTCTGTCAGTAAATGCAGGTGTTCTGAGTCTTGGAAATCAGTAAACATCATTTGTTTTATTGAAATATAGTGGGTTTTTTCTTTTTGGTTTGTTTGCTTGTTTTGTTTTTTTTTTTTTTTTTTTCTGAGATGGAGTCTCGCCCTGTCACCTGGGCTGGAGTGCAATGGCGCAATCTCAGCTCACTGCAACCTCCACCTCCTGGGTTCAAGTGATTCTCCTGCCTCAGCCTCCTGAGTATCTGGGATTACAGGTGTGTGCTACCATGCCCGGCTAATTTTTTGTATCTTTAGTAGAGATGGGGTTTCACCATGTTGGCTGGGCTGGTCTTGAACCCCTGACTTTGTGATCCACTCACCTTGGCCTCCCAAAACGCTGGGATTACAGGCGTGAGCCACCACGCCTGGCCAAAATATAGTGTTTTTTAATCTCTTAAGCAGAATATCTTAAAAATGTTTTACTAGTAGAAAATACTTATATGTCATACATTTTCTGAACTAATTTCTTTCAAAGACACTGAACAGCAATTTTAGCATATCCTAGGCCCCTGTGGCTGCCTAGGCTGTATTTGATGCTAAATATTTCAGCCTCCAAATCCCATACTTATTCTTTAATAGAATTTCAATAGCAGCAACATGACTGATGCTAATGGGACTATTTTAATAGCCTCCACAAATAGTTTTTTGAGCGGCAACAGGTCTAAAATAGTCATGGAATGAAACACCCTTATTCTTTTTTTTTTTTTTTTTTGAGACAGAGTTTTGTTCTTGTTGCCCAGGCTGGAGAGCAATGGCATGGTCTCAGCTCACTGTAACCTCCACCTCCCAAGTTCAAGCAATTCTCATGCCTCAGCCTCCCAAGTAGCTGGGATTACAGGCACACACCACCATGCCCAGCTAATTTTTGTGTTTTTAGTAGAGATGGGGTTTCGCCATGTTGGCCAGGCTGGTCCCAAACTCCTGGCCTCAGGTGATCCACCTGCCTCGGCCTCCCAAAGTGCTGGGAATACAGGCGTAAGCCACCGCGCCTGGCCAAAACCCCTATTCTTTAAAAGTCATACAAAAAGCACTGATTCACTCATTCAATACATTTATGCTAGGCATTCACTAGGAATTGAAGATATAGTGACACATAAGACAGAAGCATTTTCTGATCATATGGAGCTTCCATTTGTCTGTAAGAAATACAGCAACCAGTAAACAAATAAATGAACAAGTTAGTATCAGATATCCATACATGCTATGAAGAGAATAAAGCAAGAAAATGTAAAAAGTCAAATATGGGGTGAAGAGGGGTTGGTGCATAATTTTGATTGGGTGTCCAAGAAAAGCCTTACAGAAGAGGTGACTTTGGAGCCAATAATTTAATGACAAAAAAGCAGTTCTGCAAAGTTATGAAGGCAGAGCATTCCGGGCAGAAAGGACAGTAAGTACGAATGCCCTAAAGTGGGAACAAACTTGTATGTTCCAGGAATGGAAATAACTCCCAAGTGGCTGAAGGAGTGTGAGCCAAGGAAAAAATTATCAAAGAGAAAGACACAGAGAGAAGTAGGGGGGTGATATCATACAGGGACATGGTAAGGAGGTGGCATTTTACTGAAGGACAAGAGGAAGATATTGCGATCCTAGGAGACAAGCTCTGATTGATGTTTTAGAACAAAAGACTATTCTGGCTGACATGTGAGGAACAGATTATACAGCATCATGAGTGGGAGCAGGGGCTGGGCGTGGTGGCTCATGCCTGTAATCCCAGCACTTTGGGAGGCCAAAATGGGCGAATCACCTGAGGTTAGGAGTTCAAGACCAGCCTGGCCAACATAGCAAAACCCTGGTGGCAGGCACCTGTAATCCCAGCTACTTGGGAGGCTGAGGCAGGAGAATTGCTTGAACCCGGGAGGCGGAGGTTGCACTGAGCCAAGATCTCACCACTGCACTCCAGCCTGGGTGACAGAGCGAGACTCCATCTCAAAAAGAAAAAGAGTGGGAGCAGGAAGAACAGTTTGGAAACTATTGCAGTCAACTAGGCGAAGGATGATGTGACTCAGCTGAGTGCAGAAGCAATGGAGATAAATTATATGGGCAGACTTAGGGTATGTTTTAGAAGTTTAACAGTACTGACTCCGTGTTAGAGAAAAGCTAGCTTGCTTGCTTGAATATAATTATTGTTTTGCTTGAGTGTGGAGATTATTCACTAAAACAGCCTTGAGAAAACAGGACCTTCAACAGAAATAAAAGACACGACCAACAACTCTGGGAATGAGCTGACCGGCCTCGTAAGAACAGGTTGATGGCCCCTGCAGAAGGTCACCGGCATTGACCTAGAAAGCAATGAGTAACTGCCTGCCTGAGACTGTGCACATTTCACAAGAATGTTTTGATATCACTTCCCCTCATTACTCTTAAAAATCCCTGATCTAGAGGGACAATTTGTAACGGTGGTCTTTGAATGCTAATTCACTGCCTTCCCCGGGTTTCTGGCTTCTTGAATAAAGCTAACTTTCCTTTCATCAAAGCTCTTTTCCTGAGTTTTTGTCTTTCAAGTGATGAGTGGCACAGTTACAGAAGTGGTGCAAATAAAAATGGAGATGGACTGAATACAGGGGTAAGAGAAAGGACAAAGTCAAAGATAACTTCTTGTTTTGGAGCGAGACCAGCTGAGTGATAGGAGATTCCATTTACAGATAGGAGATTACATTTACAGGGATGAAGAAGACTGGGGACAGATGAGATTTTTGGAGGGAATCAAAGTCTTCCCCCAACCCCCTAACAAGCAGACCTGTATATGTGGTAATACCTTCAAATTGGGTGCCTATATATGAAACATTAAATGTATTTGTCTAAGAGTAAAGAGCGAGTCATATTTGATATGGAATGGGAAGTGAGCATCATCCCTCACAAATGATAGATAGGTGGGAAGTAAAAGAACTGGAAGGTGAGAATTCTTTGCCTGCCAGTCACTTACTTTTCCTAGGGCTCAACAATCAAAGACATTTCTTGTTTTCCTTAACAATCTATGTCCCTTTTTTCTTTCCTGGTTCATATCCCCCAAAATAGTCACTGTTCCTTGGCACTGTGTAATACATTAAATTCTGCTGATAAAGCTCTTGGGAAAAAGAGGAAATGAAAAGTAAGAGCTTATAGAAGGCATCAGTGAGGACAATAAAAGTAGCAAACCAAGACTAGCTGGTCACCTTCTCACCAGTGGTCTTTGTTTAGGTAAATGAATGAGATGCTATCGAGATATAATGTGGCAGAGAACACAGGCTGCTGCCATTGGTTTCACAAAAGGGAGAAATGAATTTCTACTTTTCCCACTATGTATAGATGCAGATTCCATATACTATGTTTAAACCACTATATTTCTAAAGAGTATGAACACTAGTGCCCCAGACACTAGTGAAGAAAGTCAAGAGCAAGTGAAAAACAAAGAAAATGAGTTTTTCTATAAGAAAACTAGGTTTTCCTAGGTCATTGGTTCTTAAAGTATGGTCCCTGAAATCTGTTAGACGTGCAAATTATCTGCTCCACCTGAGGTCTACAGAACCAGAAACTCTGGGAGTGAAGTCCAGCAATCTGTGATTTAACAAGTCCTCCAGGTGATTATGATGCATCCTTAAGTTTAAGAACCCCTGCCCTAGGTAATAGTGGAAGAAGGTTATTAGTACATGAGAGTGAAATTGAAGTCCAACATTAAATAATACAAAAATTTAACATCAGTCATAATACAGTGAAGATATGTGTACATATAGCAAAGACTCACATAGAAGCAGATGTTTTAATTATGGTTTCTCATCAGAAATTGAAAATATGTCAGATTATTAGCTTTCTAGGTCTTAAATAAATGCATGTATGTTTGAAAAAAATGGGGGCTGGCAATTTTAAACTTTAAAATTAACTGTTTTAGTAGTTTTTCCTCCCTTAAAATAAGAGTTTATGAGATGTTTACATTGAAGCAAAGCTGTTTTTGTTAATGGACTTGATGTCTTTTATTTTTTTCCTAGGCTTTTCAATTAAGAATATAAAACAATCTCAGGATACATTTTCCTAACACATCTAAGATTTTTTAAAACAAAGCAAATATGTTAGATGTAATAACCACCCCTAAGTGAAAAGAATAATTATCCCTTGTAGAGAAGAAGTAACTCATTCAGTTACTTCAGCAAATTATCAGTAAAAATATTTCTTCCTCTTGGCAAAGCCATTGCTTATTATTTTATTGTGTATTTGCATATCCACCTTCTAATATCACCAAATAAGAATAGTAGACAGCTTCCTAAGGGTAAATTGTGAAATACAGGGAAATGGTAAAGCAGCAAATAAAAAGGAAAAAAGTGGCATGAGTGATATTAATAATACAGTGCTAACATAAGATTTATATTAACTGCTAATGCTTTCTGAAATTCAGAGAACATTAACAACTGATACTTACTGGAGTCTGTATTTATATTCTGTATTTACATGCAAGGAGCAGAAAATTATAGTTAAACATATAGCCATGTCAACTTTTCATGGTACAGGGAATACATGGATTATCAAAAGAGCTCTGGGTTTTTTTTTTTTTTTCATTACTTTCAGCACTTCTTTTCTCTTAATTTTACTAGAGCTACTGATAGTTTCTGTTCATTCCTTGATACAAGGATTGCTAAATGACATTCATTCATTCACAAATATTTAGCAAGCACTTATTAAATTGTAGTGACTAATCAAGAGATATTTGTATCTCTGAGAACTATACAAAAAAGTAAAGAGTTCAGTTTCCTTTGGGGGAGTCAAATGGGGAGTTAAGTAATGAGCAAGTTTGTAGACACATGATTACATGCAACAAGAAAGCAGATGAAGACCCAGTAGTCTGGGAGAGGAGTTAGAAAATGAGGGATGTGCTATTTTAGATTGGTGATTTAAAAAATTCACCAATTTTTATGGACTTAGAATGGGGGTGTGCATGCTGATTGGTCCGTGGGTGGGCTTGCAAAAAGCACCACTCAGTTGGTTAAAAGGCATCATCCTGAAGGAACCAATTAAGAGAGAGAGAGAGTAAGATGGGGGTAGAACTTCTCATTCCAGGTGTGGACTCCATCCAGAAATGGCAGCTCGGTTTTCAGGCTTTAAACTCTCTTTGGCTTGAAGGTTGGGTCTCACCAGGGACCTGTCCCTGTCTGCCTAGGAATTTGTCTGTCTTCTATTACTATCAGTACAAAGGCCCTGAGGTAGACAGACTTGGGTACTCCAGAGATAGCATGGAGGCCAACGTGACTGGAATAGGGTGAGTAATGGGGAGTATGGTCAGAGCTCAGAGAAACAGCAAATGCCAATCATGTAAAGCCCCATGGGACTTGATGAAGAGTTTAGATTTTGTCTTAAGTGTAATGCAATACATACCGTGAGGTGAATAGGCTGCAATAGAGCAAAAATGCAGGAGATCAGAGAGTTGGCTACCACAGAGTCCAGATGGGTGAGCTGGTGGAGTAGTTAAAAGGGATTGGATTCCGGATATTTGAAAGACCAAGATAACTGGGATATTGTGTATGAGAGAAAGAAGCAGAGGGTGAGCTTAAGATTTTTGTTCTAAGCATCTGGTGGATGAAGGAGCCATTTACTGGCCTAGGAGATGTCAGGAAAGGAACAGGTTTGGAGTTCAGAAAAATCAAGAGTTCAGTAGTCAACATGTCAAGTCTCAGATCCATTTTACACATCCCAGTAAACATGTGCCTGAAGTAGTTTGTGTCTGGGGTTGAGGCAGTGCAGGTTACAGCTGCTGGTAGGTTGATAGAGTTGATGATGGGTGGATATAGAATTGCTCTTCAAACTGTTTCCTTTTTTCAGTGTGAAAAATACAAAGCGTTTTGCTAAATGCATGATGATGGTGATTTCTGAAATTGGAGAACAAACAAAACCCAGGAAGGTCATCAGCTGAGATGTGTTGGAATTTTGGTAAGAAGGGAGAAGATATGAAACAGTGATCTTAGAGATGTGGAATAATAAATTTGACTAGGGAGATGTTCAGGTTTGCTGGGAAACACTGAAGGCCTCCTTAGTCTGTGGTCATGAAATTAAAATGAGACTGGTTGCCTGATTCTCTTTTCCCAGCCATGTTCAGCCACCCAGAAGGAGGAATTGAGTAGATGGAGAACTACATTTCATCAGGGTTAAGGTTTTACCAATAAATGAAATGGAGTGCAAGGGGAATAACTAAATGGAAGATCTATATGAGGAAGTGATTTCACAGCACCCTGCAATGTTAGCTGCAATTCCCAAATCCAAAAAAGATCTGAACACTGAAAGCTTTTTCATTAGTTTGGTGCTCAAAATCAGTTGGTGTGAAAACTTGACCTGACCTTATGTTAGGTTAATTCTATTCTTTATCCCATTTAGTGTGATATTCTTACGTTTTTCTGCATAACTATTAATGAAAACAATGTATTTCCTGAATCCCTACTTGGGGTATTCTATAATATGTGAGGGGTGTGTGTATGTTTCTCTCTCCCTTTCTCTCTCTCTTTTACATTTGACATTATTTTACATTATTACACACTATGTACATTTTAATATATACATATATATATATATATTTACATTTCTAAAAGTTTTTTAAGACTTTGAATTCTGCCTCACACTCTTCCAAAAAATTGCAGAGGAGGGAACACTTTCAAACTTATTCTATGAGGTCAGCATTACCCCAATACCAAAGCTAGACAAGGACACTACCAGGAAAGAAAACTATAGACCAATATCTCTGATAAATACTGATGGAAAAATCTTCAAAATATTAGCAAACTGAATTCAGCAGCATATTAAAAAATTATTTACCATGACCAAGTGGGATTTTTTTCTGATATGCAAGGATGGTTCAACACATGGAAATTATGTAATATGTCACATTAACAAAATGAAAGAGGAGAAAAGCACATGATTATCTAAATTGATGTAGAAAAAGAATTTGACAAAATTTGACATGCTTTTGTGATAAAAAGCATTCAACAAACAAAGAATAGAAGGAAATTACCTCAACATAATAAATAAAGACCATATATGAAGGGTTACATACTCCATGGTTAATATCATACTCAATGGTTAAAGTTAATATCATACTCAACAGTTAAAGACCAAAAGCTTTTCCTCTGAGATAGGAACAAAGCAAGGATACCCACTGTTAACTGCTTTCATTCAACATAGTACTGAAAGTCCTAGCCACAGCAATTAGGAAATAAATTTATCTAGGGAAAAGTTATAAAAAAAAAGTTATCCAAATTGGAAAAGAAGAAGTAAAATTATCTGTTCACAGAAGATATAATCTCATATGTAGAAATCCCTAGAGATTCTACACAAAAAAACTGCTACATATAAACAAAGTTTAAACAAAAGTTGCAGAATACAAAATCAATACAAAATAGTTGTATTTCTATATACTACAAATGAAGAAGCCAATAAGGAAATTGAGGAAACAATTCCATTTAAAATAGCATAAAAAAGAATAAAGTACTTATAAAGAAACTTAGTCAAGAAGACAAAAGACTTGTATTAAAAAAACTATAAAACTTGCTGAAATAAATTAAAGAAGACACTAACAAATGGAAATGATGATGGTGGTGGCCCACCTGGAGCAGCCACTGCAGAAATGCCAGCTGCAGCAGGGGAAGCACGCTTAGGGCTGTGTGCTCCGCAGAGCCAGTGGAAGCTGGGAACAGGAGGGAGCCATGACCCATTCCGAGTTGGCCAGGTGGGAGCCCCACCTTCCTGGGCACAGCTGTAGCCGCCCAGCTGCGGCTGCAGACCCAGGCATCCCTGTGCTCTTGGGGCGAGAAACCCTCCCATCCCGCAGGCTTGGAAGTGCCTGCTCCCACTGCCTGGCCTCTCCCAGCACCTGGTACTGTGATTTTGGAGCAAAACTGAGGTGGAGCCTGGGCACTGTTGCAACCCAGCTGGTGTGTGTGCACTTAGGGTGGTGCTG
Organism: Homo sapiens; assembly: GCF_000001405.40. NCBI lineage: Eukaryota > Metazoa > Chordata > Mammalia > Primates > Hominidae > Homo > Homo sapiens. Next base: position 13,946,881 of record NC_000020.11, read on the forward strand.
ACATGCCAGCTCCCTGCTGCCTCAGCCCCTCTGGACTTTGGGCACTGACGAGCATGGGAGGGAGGCCGAGGGGGTACTGAGGATGGCTCAATGCAGGCCTGCAGGTGCCACTCCACATGAACAGCCTGGGGACCATGGATGACATGTAGATGGCAGCAGGAGGCAGACAGGCTCCTGGGTGGAAAGGGGCAGGTCCCCACTGAAACCCCACCTTCAAGCCAGGAAGGACCTGAAGCCTGGGGGCCAGGATCCATTCCGGGTGGAGTCTGTAGCTGGGAGTGAGAACTTATGGTGCTTTTTTTAGGCCGACCCATGGCCACCCATGGACCAATCAGCATGCACTTCCCCTCTTCTGAGCCCATAAAAACCCCCGGACTCAGCTAGACTCCGGCAGACATCAAGAAGACCTGCCTGCAGGTAGGAGCTACCCATTCCATATCTCCTCTCCACTGAGGGCTACAGAGATGATGGGATGACCTGCCTGCAGATGGGAGCTACCCACTCTGAATCTCATCTCCAGTAAGAGCTGTGTTCATCAGGACCACCTGCCTGCGGAAAGGAGCTACCCACTTTGGGTCTCCTGAAAGCTGTACTGTCGCTCAATGAAGCACCTCTTCACCTTGCTCACCCTCCAATTGTCTGCGTATCTCATTCTTCCTGGATGCAGGACAAGAACTTGGGACCCGCTGAATGGTGGAATTGAAAGAGCTGTAACACAAAAAGGGCTAAAACATGCCCCCCACACTGCAGGCAATGAGAAGAAGAGAAGAGCTGTAGCCCTTTTAGGAGCCCAGACCTAGGGACTCCCTGAGCCAGGGCTGTGACACCCTCTTTGGGGCACTGTGGTTTCTGGCATTTCCAAGCTTCTGGGCACCACTGTATTCCCTTCATCCAGACGCAGGTGCCCACAACAAAAGCCACTTTGCAGTGCATCTGATCCAGCCACAGGTTTGCATGAAGCTGTTGCCTATGCCAGTGCCTGTAGCTGCCCACTCTGCCACAGCAGCTGGTGTGCCTGGCTGTGCACAGTGACTGGACCCCGTGCTCACTCATGCACCCTTCACCACTCCATGCTTGGCTCGCCCTTGGCAGTTGTGGGGTCCAGGCTGGTAGCATGAGCCAAGTGCAGCCTGCCAGGCCAAGTGGCCAGAATGAGCACAGCAGGTCTGAGCAAAACTTGGGCAAAGGTGCCACCAGCCACAGAGGCTTCCAGCTGGAAAAGTGACACTCCAAGGATCCTGTGACAGAAACACACCTTGTGTTCATAGATTGGAAGTCTTAATATTTCTAAGATGTCAATACTATCCAATGCGATCTATAGATTTAATGCAATCCCTATAAAAATCCCAATGGCTTTTTTTTTTCAGAAATAGAGATATTTTTTCTAAAATTCAAATGAAATCTCAAGGGACTCTGAATATCCAAAACAATCTTGAAAAAGAAGACTAAAGTTGGAGGTCTCAAATTTCTCAATATCAACACCTATTACAAAATTACAATAGTCAAAAGAGTGCGGCACAAAGATAGACATATAGACCAATGGAATAGAATAGAAAGCCCAGAAATAAAGCTTCTCATATATGATCAAATGATATTAAAGAGTGCCAAGACCATTCAGTGGAGAAAGACAGTCTTTTCAACAAAATGTGCTGGGAAAACTGGATAGCCATGTGCAAAAGGATGAAATTGGACCTTACCTTATTTCATATACAAAAGTTAACTCAAAATGTATCAAAGACCTAAATACAAGACACAAAACTATAAAATACTTAGAAGAAAACATAGGAGAAAATTTTCATGACATTGGATTTGGTAATGATTTCTTGGCTATTGTTACTGAAACATCAGGGATTTGGTCTAGGCCCTACTGCATGCCACACAGAAAGCCACTGCACAGAAAACCAGTGATTGAGACAACTAGTATTGCCAAGGAAGAAGGCTTTAATGAGGATCAGTCTCAAATCCGTCTCCCTGACCAACTGAAACCGAGGGTTTATATAGCAGAGAAGAAATGAACAGAACTCAGATAAAACAAATATAAGTTTCAAGCTTTAAGACCAGAAGGGTCAATTTCTATGTTTATCCAAAAAACTATCTATGGAACTATTGGGTCAGTTTTCGTATAACACCAAAAGCCCAGGCAACAAAAATAAAAATTGATAAATTAGATTACATCAAAATTTAAAACTCCTGTGTATGAAACGATACTATCCACAGAGTGAAAAGACAACCCACAGACTGGGAGAAAATATTTGCAAATTAGATAAGAAGTTAATATCCAGAATATATTTTAAAACTTCTACAACTCACCAAATAATAAACTCAATTAAAAAATGAGCAAATGAATTGAATAGACATTTTTCCAAAGAGGATATGCAAATGGACATCAAGCCCATGGAAATCTGCTCTGCATCACCAATCATTAGGAAAACAAAAATGAAAACCTCAATGAGCCACCACCTTACACCCTATTCAAATGGCTACTATAAAAACAAAACAACAGGCCGGGCGCGGTGGCTCACGCCTGTAATCCCAGCACCTTGGGAGGCGGAGGCAGGCGGATCACGAGGTCAGGAGATCAAGACCGTCCTGGCTAACACTGTGAAACCCCATCTCTACTAAAAATACAAAAAATTAGCCAGGCGTGGTGGCAGGTGCCTGTAGTCCCAGCTATCGGGAGGCTGAGGCAGGAGAATGGCATGAACCCAGGAGGCCGAGCTTGCAGTAAGCCAAGCTCGTGCCACTGCACTCCAGCCTGGGCAACAGAGTGAGACTCTGTCTCAAAACAAAAAACAAAAAACAAACAACAAAAAAAACCAAACAAACAAAAAAGAACAAGTGCTGGAGACATTAGAACACTTGTGGACTATTGGTGGGCATGTAAAATGGTGCAGCCACTGTGGAAAACAAATGATGATCAGACAACAAATTAAAAATGGAATTACTTTATAATCCAGTATTGCCACTTTTGAGTATGTGCCCAAAAGAATTGAAACAGGGTACTGAAGAGGTATTTGTATGCCCATGTTAATAGCAGCATTATTTGCAATAGCCAAAATGTGTAAGCAATCAGCATTCATTAATGAATGAATGAATGAACTATGATTACATATTTCAGCTTTAAAAAGGAAGGAAATTCTGACACATGTATAGATTTTGAGGAGATTATGCCAAGTGAAATAAGTCAACTATTAAAAGAAAAACACTGTATGAACACTTAGATGAGGTACCTAAAGTAGTCAAATTCAGGGAGACAGAAAGTAGAATGTTGATTGCCAGGGGCTGGGGTGAGAGGGGAATGGAGAGGTTTTTGTTTTTTTTTAATGGATATAGAGTTTCGGTTTTACAAGATGGAGAGTCCTGGAGATTAGTAGCACAACAGTGTGAATGTAATTAGCACTACTGAGCTGTACATTTAAAAATTGTTAAAATGCTAAATTTTATGTTATGTATATTTGACCACAATTTTTTAAAGCCTAATTTCTGAAACAGCTTTGTTCCCACAGGCTTTGGAAAAGATCCTGTGGTCCTGGGGTGATGAGGTATCAACTTTCAGCCAAGTAATAAGGGAAATGAGCATGTGAGGGGAACAATGAGCAGTAAAAAGGGCAAATCGATTTGAGGTCCTGGTGGGATTGAAGCATTTATGGAACAACCTGGAAAGATATCAGTGGCCATCAGAGACTTGGATACCTGAAATTTTCATCTGGAACAGGCACAGTTTAGATTATGACCATGGGAGTGTTAAGGAGGATGGGACTATTGGAAGCAAGAAGATGTAAGTAATGAAACTGAGCTGCTACGATTCATGAATACTGAAATCTCCAATGTAGACAGGAGCTCTCTGCTCCTGGGAGAGAAAGACCACGAGCTACGTTTCTATCTTCATCTCTTACTACTTTCCCAATGAGAATGTGGCAATAGGGAGGGAGAAGGATACCTACCACCCTATCCTGAACCAATATAAGTGGACTGTGTTAGAAAATGCTTGAAAGGGTTACAGGGGAAGAAGTCATCAGGAGACAACTAGGTTTCAGTTAAGATGAAGGGAAAGGAAACATTTGGAGAAGTACGACCCTGAAGTTAGGTGATTAGAAAGAAAATACTGATTAGAGGCCGGGCGCGGTGGCTCACACCTGTAATCTCAGCACTTTGGGAGGCCGAGGCGTGCGGATCACAAGGTCAGGAGATCGAGACCATCCTGGCTAACACGGTGAAACCCCATCTCTACTAAAAATACAAAAAAATTAGCCGGGTGTGGTGGCGGGCGCCTATAGTCCCAGCTACTCGGGAGGCTGAGGCAGGAGAATGGCGTGAATCTGGGAGGCGGAGCTTGCAGTGAGCCGAGATAGCGCCACTGCACTCCAGCCTGGGCGACAGAGCGAGACTCCGTCTCAAAAAAAAAAAAAAAAAAAAAAAGAAAGAAAGAAAGAAAATACTGATTAGAAAGAAAATACAGTGTATTTGCTCACTCCTGTAATCCCAGCACTTTGGGAGGCCAAGGCAGATGGATCACGAGGTCAGGAGATCGAAACACAGTGAAACCCCGTCTCTACTAAAAATACAAAAAATTAGCTGGGCATGGTGTCACGCACCTACAGTCCCAGCCTGGGGAGGCTGAGGCAGGAGAATCTCTTGAATCCGGGAGGTGGAGGTTGCAGTGAGCCGAGATCATGCCACTGCACTCCAGCCTGGGTCACAGAGCAAGACTCTGTCTCAAAAAAAAAAAAAAAAAAAAAAGACTAAAATCTAGCCTATGTAGAAATAGTGATTCTTGCTGTACTTTATGCAAATAATCTGTTTTGCAAACAACTCAGTCCTATCATGATTGTTTTTTAACAAAAATGAGGACTGGAGAGAGAAATTATATTTCAAAACTCATCATACATTTGTCATTAAATTCTAAACTCATTAGTTGTTTTTTTTGTTTATATTTTTAGACTACCCCTGCTTGTTCCTGTGAACCAACCAATCAATCAACCAACCAAGCAATCTCCAGCTGCAGCTCAGAAAGAACAAAAGGGATGGGTAATGTAAAAATCTGGATCAATATTCTAGTTCTGAGCAATTATCCTGCAAATCCTGCCAGGTGATGGAAATAAACAGGATACTCATCACGCAGAGGTTTCCTTTCTGGGAAAGGAAGACCAAGGGAGCTAACCAAAGCCAAGCACCATGCACCCAAATCTTAGCAAGCATAACTATAGCCACCAGTTATTTGGGCATGTCACAAGACATGCTTTTCTCTCCCTTGTTGGAGGAGGATTCAATTCCACACCTTCACCTCAGCATTTGGCTTCTGATAAGGAGTCCATGTACCCCTACCAAGACACATTTTTTCCCAAACTCAATTCCAAGCTTCAGGTCAAAGCCCTAGGAAAGAAAACTGGATCTAAGGAATCCAGAGGCAGACAACAACAGAGGTTAAAAGACAGTGCAGGTAAGCAGGGCTAATTCCTGCCAATAAAGCCAAGCCTCCCATTTCATGGATAAGGGTCATGCTAGTATCCATGGCATAAATGAGGTCTAGGGAACTCCAAGGCTACTGATAGTAGGTGGGATAGAGACATAGGTGAGAGCAGCTAATTCCTATTATCTAGGCCCTCCCTGCTTCATGGGTGCAAGCTACTTTGGCACCTATGGATGGCACCTGCTAAGTTCACTGGGACTTGATGATTCAAGGACAGAAGAGGGAAAGAGGACACTCTTCCTTCTCTCCTTCACATACCCCAGGTATTGCTAGGAAGAGAAGGGAACCAGGGATGCCTGCTCCCGTCTTTCTAGATGGGTAGCCATTCATCTTCAATCTATACCCCTTTTGAATGCATCCTGAACCCCTGGGACTCCTTTTTTAAAAAAGCCTCCTTGGCTGGGCGCGGTGCCTGGACGCCTGTAATCCCAGCACTTTGGGAGGCCAAGGCGGGCAGATCACGAGGTCAAAAGATCAAGACCATCCTGGCCAACATAGTGAGACCCCATCTCTATTAAACATATAAAAATTAGCTGGGTGTGGTGGCGTGTGCCTGTAGTCCCAACTACTCTGGAAGCTGAGGCGGGAGAATCGCTTAAACCTGGGAGGCTTGCAGTGAAAGCCTTCTTTTTTCCTCCTCTTTCCTCTCTTCACTGATAGGTAATTTTGTCTCTGTACTCAGGACACTCCTGTCAGATGCATCCTCCAAACTGGGAAAAGTTAATTTCCCAAACCTTAGACTGGTTGGCTTAGGATTGGGCTCAGGGGAAGGGAACCCAGAAGCTTGATATGCTGGCAAAAGGGTAAAAGTTTTTTTTACAGTCGGGCTTTTGGCCTCCCTCTCCCTGTGCAAACTGGTAAAAGGCCTTGGGATTTTTGATGTGTCCTTACCCATCCCTTTTTTCTCGTTTTGATACGTGTTTTCTAATAACCTGGTTTGTCTCTTCTCACCTTCAGGCTATCAAACTCCAAATGGTCATGCAACTGGAGCTTTGGAGGATGGCCCTTTCTGCCGGGTACCCTTAGCTAGCTAGACCTCTGAGGGAGCTCCAATGCCATTCCCCCAGAACAGCGCCCCCTGTCAGCAGGAAGCAGTTAAGATCGGTCTTCGTCCTTATCCTTATCCTTATTTTAACAGCAGTTAGATGTACTTCTGCAGAGGGGGGAATGAGACAGCCAGGTGTAAAAGGGTCCCTGGAGAAACTCCAACTGGGCTGCATACTGGGTGAATGAGGTGAATCCTTGGGAAGTTCCTGCCATTTGCAGGGAGGAAGAGTCTGGATTCTCCTATTCCGGGGTTGGTAACCTGGATTTAATTTGTGAGCCCACTGGCAGGAAGTACACTCTCTCGCTTTGCTGAAAGTCCCTGTTTCCCCACCTTTTTTCCTTTTCACCCAATAAACCCTGCCCTTCTCGCCCTTCAAAGTGTCTGCAAGCCTAATTTTTCATGGTCGTGTGACAAGGACCCTGTTTTTAGCTGAACTAAGGAGAAAGTCCTACAACAAAAATGGTCCCTCAGCCATATACTTGAGTTGCTCCCTTAGGGGGCCTCAGTTACTTCCCGATGGTACATTACATACCTGGGGGTTTATTACCTCTGTAATCAGGATCATTCTTTAATGTGGAAGGAAATAGCACACAGAACTCCTGAAAAAATTAGATCCTTAACACAAGACAAATTATCTTTAAACATTTTTTTCATGTGTGTATGTGTGTTTTCAAAAAGTTTTTGTCGGGGAATGGAGGAGTAGATGACTTTTTTTTTTGGAAGTTGTAGAGTCGTAAAGCCAGAAAGAGAGAAAAACTATGGAAAGAGCAGCTCCACTTAGGTGAGTGTGTTTTTAAAATTATAATGTAAATGGTAATTATTATGGAAGATAACCAGAATTTGCCAAGCCTACATTGGGGGTAGAGATGGAGAGAGGGTGCTTTCAGCCAAATAGTATCCTGCTCATTGCCAAGGAGTCATGTAACACTATGGTAAGTTCAGTGAGCTGAGGATACTCTATTCTGGTTGTAGGATAGCATGCATATATGGGCACTTTGCAGTAGAGGTGTTTGCAGACTTTGGGCTTTTCACTTCTGCCATCTGTGCTTGGGCCAATGGAATTGAGTGAGATATACAATCTACAAACAGGCTACCCTGGAACATTTACCCCAATCTTTGACACAAAGGTAGTGTTTTGTTTTGTATTGTGTTTTGTTTTGTTTTACTTTCTAATATTCTGAAATATCTTAGAATAGTTCTTAGTTTTCTTTTGTCCCAGGCTTTACAAGGTTGGAAGGGGCCTATTCCCATCTTTACTCTGGAGGTCTCATCTTCTAATGCTGGGCATTGGGTAGATGCTTATGGGTCTGGGCAGCATCCTTGTTCTCAAGCAGTAAGAGGATTCCAAAGGCCATTTTAGGTGTTATTCAGCAGGCACTGACTTGCAAGATGCCAAGAGCCCACAAGAGAAAGCAAGATGACCTGAAGAAATGGATGTTCCTTCATTCTCCACTTGCCTGAAGACAAACTGAGATTTAGGTGAAGCTCACATCTATTTCTGCTAATAACAATCCCACTGCTAATTATGGGATGTGGTAGTTATAGTGATAAGAGAGGAGCTATATTCAGAGGGGTTTAGAAAAGGTTGCAATGTACAGAGGGGTTTTTAATTTGTATTAATATTTCTCAGTTTACTTCCTCCATTTAGATTTAAGATTTACTCATTAATTCAATAAACATTTATTGAGTGTCTGCTATGTACCAGGCACTGTTCTATTGGCTGGGGATAACAGCAATGAACACCACAAACAAAACCCTTGCTCTCATGGAGTTTGTACTTTAGTGGAGGGAGAGTGACAACAAATATAATAAAATACTGTATGTTGCATGGTGATAATTTTGAGAAGAAAAATACAGCAGGGAAGGGGTATAGAAGAAGGTGTTTGACAGGATTTGCAATTTTAGAGAGTGATTGTAAATTTAGAGAAGGTCCAGGGAAGAACCTTCTGAAAAGATGAAGGTGAAGGAAGGGAGCCCTATGGACATCTGGGTGCAAAGGTATTCCAAGCAGAGAGAACACGAAAGGGGGGCACATGCCTGGGGTTTTTGAGGAACAGCATGGAGTCCAGTGTATATGCAATAACATCAAGAAGACAGTAGTAGGAGCTGATATCAGAGAAAAAAAACCACGAGGGCAAGACCATAGAGCCTAATAAGCAAGCCATTGTAATGCTTTGGTTTCATTCAGTGTGAGATGGAAATTCACTTCTTTACTTGACATATTTACAGGAGTAAATCATTGCTGGGTTGAGAATAAACTGAAAATTTGAATCCCCTACTTCCAAAATGTGCAAAGACATCATAAGATTGATAACGTTTAATAAGCATCTGTGACTTTATAAGCCAGGTGGGTCTCTGCTCTTTGTGTCTTAATATTTTGCAAAAGTAATTGCAGTTTTTACCATTGACAGTAATGGCAAAAACCACAATTACTTTTGCACCAATCTAATATTTAGGACCTCAGACAGTCCACAACTTAGAAGACTCAGGCCTGAAGACAGTCTTATCCTCTCACGGTTGACTAAGCAAATGTTTGTTGAATGAATGAAAGAATAATATTGATTGAGAATTAAAAAAAAAAGAGACAATAGTTAATAATTCTGAGTATCCTGAAAAAACTAGTGCCTATAGCCTAAATTTTCTATTAAAAAATGTAAAGATTTAGCAAAATATTTACCTGTGTGGTGACATTTCTTTCCTTTTGTCTTTTATTATGTTCCTCTGCTTTGATAGCTGCAATACACAAAATTTTTTTATAAAATTTAAAAGCATTTTCTTTTTAAAATTTCACTAAATACAATTTATTGTTAAAAAAACTTCTAGAAAACTTTTAGAACTCTAAGAATAATTGTTGACAATAATTTATAATTTAGAGTTCCTAATAATGTGTTAAAAATAATTCCTTCACTGATAATTTGTAAAGCTAGAACTTGACACCAGAGACAATCTATATACTTTAATCAAGCATTCTGAAATTGAGTTAATAACATGAAAGAGTTCTATAAATCATAGAGCTAATTACAATAGTGGAAAACTTTCTGAGCTAGAAATGTATTTAATTAAATGTATCTATATAAATAAGTGCCATCTATTAATAGAAGCTATTAAAACATAGAAGAGGAAATATAACATTTTATATTTTTATAGACTCATCCATATGTCAGAGAGATACTGAAAATTAATTGAATGATACAAACATCTGAGAAATGTAGACTGATAATTATACCAGGCTTTGAAATTTGAGAAAATAACTTTCAATGAATTTTTAATGAACCAATTTTAATACTTTTTTTTATAAAGACTATATATATATCATATAGAATACATGCATAATCATTGGCATATTTATTTTTGCACAGTGCTTGAAATTTCTTCACTTTCTTAGAGAAACAAGTCGGAAAACGTGAGATGACAGGATAACACATCATGATGTTTCAACTTTACTACATTACTAAGATTGACAAATTTTCAATTGCTGTAAACAAACAAATCTGATGCATTGTAAAAATGATCATATGTTTTGGGAAGTAAAAAAAATGCAAATATGTGATACATTCACATTTCACAGGCTGAAGAATTTGACCACAAACCAATATGAAATAGTCAAAATTTTGTATTTCCAAAAAGTCAAAAGCTTTTAAGAACAGGTCATAAATTTTCTAATGTTATTTCTGACATAGTATTTATTAATTAATTAATTTATTTCTACTTTTTTTTTTTTGGACACAGAGTCTCACTCTGTCACCCAAGCTGGATGTAGTGGCACGATATTGGCTCCCTATAACCTCTGCCTCCGTGTTCAAGCAGTTCTCATGCCTCAGCCTCCCAAGTAGCTGGGGTTACAGACATGCACCACTGCCCCCAGCTAATTTTTCTATTTTCAGTGGAGGTGGTGTTTTTGCCATGTTAGCCAGGCTGGTCTTGAACTCCTGACCTCAGGTGATCTGCCTGCCTCAGCCTCCCAAAGTGCTGGGATTACAGGCGTGAGCTGCTGCGCCCAGCCCATTGTATTTATTAATTTGATGTTTTATTATTTCACTTACCAGTGAACTTTAGTACTTGGCAGCAGCCTCACAATTATACATCTGTTGTGTTTACTTTGTAATCTAGACCTTATAGGAACTGGTCCCAGATTGATTCATATTTAGTCCTCTGTCAAATTAGAGAAATAACTGGCAAATTCTAAATAAAAATTAGGCTGGGTATGGCAGCTCACACCTGTAAACCCAACACTTTGGAAGGACAAGGTGGCCGGCTCCCTTGAGCCCAGGAGTTTTGAGACGAGCCTGGGCAACATAGTGAGACCCTGTCTCTACAAAAAATGCAAAAATTAGCCAGCTATGGTGGCATGCACCTGAAATCCAAGCTACTTAGGAGGCTTAGGTGGGAGGATCATTGAGCCCGGGAAATCAAGGCTGCAGTGAGCAGAAATTGCGCCACTGTACTCAAGCCTGGGTGACAGAGCGAGACCCTGTCTTAAATAAATAAATATTCAAAAACTGCCTGGTAAGCAAGGCATTACTAAGGCATACCAAATTCTTTTAAAGACGATACATATCTGATACTATTATATACATTAGGATTGTTCCTTAGGTTCAAGATATGAATAAGTTTTATTAAATATTATTATAAATAAAGCTTTATCCCAAGTTTGTCAAGTGATTATATTGGGACCATGAATACTCAACGTCAGAGGCAATGTAGCCTCATGGTCTACCATCTGGCTTTAAGTCAAACAGGCCTATATTCTAGTCTTGATTTTGTAACTATTTCATTAATTGGTATGATAATTAAATGAGATCGTTTATATATTTAGCACAGTACTTAATACACAGTTTTTAATAAGTGTTAGGTATATAAAATTATTATTATTATATGGAACCTACTTCTTTAAAGGATTTAAGATGCCTTGAGGATATTACATGTGAGTGCAAAAGTACTTGCAGTTTTTGCATTGTTGGAATTTGCCGTTTGATATTGGAATACGCTACTTAAATAAATGTGGTTATGTTACACATCATTTTAATGGGCATTTCTCACCTCATGTTTTTTGCTTATTACTTGCTGTTTATTTTATGTTTATTTTAGACTATGGAATGATGTTAGACAAAAAGCAAACTTGAGCGATTTTCTTATTTGAGTTCAAAATGGGTCGTAAAGCAGCAAAGACAACCTGCCACATCAACAACACATTTGGCCCAGGAACTGCTAACGAACGCACAGTGCAGTGGTGGTTCAAGAAGTTCTGCATAGGAGGTCTGGGCGCGGTGGCTCACGCCTGTAATCCCAGCACTTTGGGAGGCCGAGGTGGTCAGATCACGAGGTCAGGAGATCGAGACCATCCTGGCTAACACACTGAAAGCCCATCTCTACTAAAAATACAAAAAAAAAAAAAGTTAGCCGGGTGTGGTGGCAGGCGCCTGTAGTCCCAGCTACTTGGGAGCTACCCAGGAGGCAGAGCTTGCAGTGAGCTGAGATCGACCCACTGCACTCCAGCCTGGGCGACAGAGCGAGACTCTGTCTCAAAAAAAAAAAAAAAAAGTTTTGCAAAGAAGACAAGAGCCTTGAAGATGAGGAGCATAGTGGGCGGCCATCGGAAATTGACAACGACCAGTTGAGAGCAGTCATTAAAGCTGATCCTGTTAAAACTACATGGGAAGTTGCCAAAGAACTTAACGTCGACCATTCTATGGTTGTTCGGCATTTGAAGCAAATTGGAAAGATGAAAAAGCTTGATAAGTGGGTGCCTCATGAGCTGAACGAAGATTTGAAAAATCATCATTTTAATGTGTCCTCTTTTCTTAACAACGAACATTTCTCGATTGGATTGTGATGGGCAACGAAAAGGGGATTTTATATGACAACCAGTGATGACCAGCTCAGTGGTTGGACCAGGAAGAAGCTCCAAAGCACTTCCCAAAGCCAAACTTGCACCCAAAAATGGTCATGGTCACTGTTTGGTGGTCTGCTGCCGGTCTCATCCACTACAGCTTTCTGAATCCCAGTGAAACCATGACATCTGAGAAGTATGCTCAGCAAATTGAAGAGATGCACCGAAAACTGCAACGCCTGAGCCAGCATTGGTCAACAGAAAGGGCCCAATTCTTCTCCAGGACAAGGCCTGACCGCTCGTCGTACAACCAAAGCTTCAAAAGTCAAACGAATTAGGCTTTGAAGTTTTGTCTCATCCGCCATATTCACCTGACCTGTCGCCAACCGACTACCACTTCTTCAAACATCTTGACAACTTTTTGCAGGGAAAATGCCTCTACAACCAGCAAGATTCAGAAAATGCTTTCCAAGAGTTTGTCGAATCCTGAAGCATGGATTTTTACACTATGGGAATAAACAAACTTATTTCTCCTTGGCAAAAATGTGTTGATTGCAATGGTTCTTATTTTGATTAACAAAGATGTGTTTGAGCCTAGTTATAATTATTTTAAATTCACAGCCCAAAACCACAATTACTTTTGCACCAACCTAATGCATTAGTAGTTTAAAAGGGACTATGGCAAGTAAAGCATAATTAGAGAATTCATGTTACTAGCACTTATTAATGCTTTGCCTGTAATGTGACATCTCTCAATTATAGTATCTTTCAAAGAAAATTCCTTAGCCTAATTATATTTGTGTATTAGAAATCAGACATTGTGACTGATATTATAGTCACATAAAATGTCTAGCAGTTTTTAAACTCCATTATCACAACTAGAAAAAGTAAACTAGAAAAAGCAATGTGATTTGGTAGATTCCCATTATTATATTCCCCAAAGTACACAGAATAAAATTAGAGTTAGTATGTACAGAACGTACAGACACAGAAGTACAAACTGTCATGTGTATTTGAGTGAGAGGAGAAAATTATAGATATTAAATGGAGTGAAGTTTATATTATACACTGGTCCAGAAAATCAAACTGTCAGTGGTCAAAGAGTAACATGAAAATTACAGGGCTAAAAGCAGTCATCGAAAGTAGGATAAGTGTAGATAAAAGAATTAGGGAAATGGAAGGAAGCATAAGCATATAACTGAAGGAATTAACTATTCAGTAGCTTAAAACATAACATGAAGACAACAGCAATTGTTCATTATTTCCAGCAGAAGATGTGCAAGCCAAAACACTTTTGAAACTTACGACAAGGGTGTTTATTTTCTAAATTTCAGGCTTTTAGATTTTTTACCTAAAGAAAAAGAAGCTTCCATTGGCTACTAGGGAAAACATTCTGTTACAAATAATGTGTCCCATAATACTTTAGAGTAGCTTGTTTCGTACCACTTGAGAAACATTGGTGATTGCTAGAGATCTGCACCACTGTTTTATCACTTCCCCTACAGGATGCTGAAATTCCCACAAATTCAAGCACTCCCTGTAAAAAACCACAATCTACCGGGTACAGGAAGAAAATATTAGATCTACTTGCCTGAGGCTTTAAAAAATCTCCTTCATTATCTCTATTTTAGGGATATGTTTCATAATGCACATAATAGATCAGTAGTTCATTATCATCATGAATAAATAAATATATATAATAGCGTACACCATCAAAAATGTCTGATGTAGAGTTAGCCTTGGAAGGGGACTAAAGTTTCATTCAGCTCTAGAATTATAGCTCTAACTGTAATTTATTATATGCTAGATTCTTTAGATACTTTATCTTCAATCTCCATAACAACCCACCAAAATAGCAAGCACAGAATATCTGTGTTCTCACCAAGTGAGAATAAGTCAGTTGTCCAAGGTCACAGGGCAGAGTGGGATTCAAATGCAGGTCTGACTCCAGAGCTCTTCTTTCTACACCATTGCCACTTCAAACCTTACCAAAGGATTCACAATAGGTTGATTTTAAGTGGCAAATTTCTGTAATGACATCAACTCCATTTTTTTAAAAAACAAAAATCTGATTTATGCAGAACATTTTATGGGACATATCAATTTACATAACATGAAACACACCATCCTATGCACACTACAGCTTTGATTTACTCCTCCCCTTCCACTGAGATAGAAGAATTTTGAAGTGGTAGGGAAGAAGCTAGCACTACAGCCTACTGCCTCCAAAAGAATTGTCCATGTGGTTTTTGGGGCATGGAGGGGAAGCCCATCGGATTCATAGAAGACTTATAAGGTTTTTAAAAGTGTTGTGTTGAACAAAAGCCACTAGCTTGGGTTAAAAGAAATTGAGACAGTTCAAAATGAGAAGAGGCCTCTGGGCCTCCATCTTTCTAGGAATAGGAGACAGCATGAGAAAGCTACTCAGTCACAAACATGGGCCATTTCTTATGTAAAAGGAAGGACGACTCAGAAGGCAGAGCCAAGCCCAGAGGGTATTGCCAAGAGCCAAATAGAACAATATATTAAGGAACCACTTCCGGAGGGTAGAACTGGGCCCTAATTAATAAACATTGCCTGTCTCTGTAGTAGAGGAATCTTCCAACATGCACCTGGCTAGATTTCCAAATTGCCATGGACCAGTGACTAGTATATCTCTCCTTTTGGGACAGCAGTGTCTAATATAGTTTTGCTGTCTTTCCAGTGTACATTGGGTATGTGAAGGCATAGGGGAATAACTTGTCTTTTTAGTTTACAGGTGCCTGAATTAAAGAACTATACCTAAGGAACTTCATCGACATCTTGACTTCATACAGACCATGAGATGATGGATTCCGAGCTTGATGATATGATAAAGTGAGACCTGGGCAATTTTGGGAGGATGAGATTCATGAAAGAGACATGAATCGTTGAGGCCTAAGGGTGGACTATTGTAGATTGTTACAACAATGGCCCCCAGGGAATCACAACTCCTTGTATTCACATCGCTTTGCAGTGTGACTTTGCCCAGTCCTCCCATCAGGAGATGGAGATTATTTTTTCCCACTCCTTATGTCTGGGCTGCCGTTTTGACTTTCTTTGACCAACTGAAATGTGGCAGATGACACTTCAAATTCCAAGGCTAGTCCTTAGGCCTTGCAGCCTCCTTTACCTTCCTGGGGCAATGCTGTGAGACCACCATGTCCTGAAGAAGCAAGGAATAATAGACCATGTGGACAGAGAGGCCCAGCCATCCCAGCTGTCTCTGCTGACCACCAGCTGCATGAAACTGCATGAGAGTGAGTCCAGATGAGATCAGTGAAAAGCCACCCAATCAACACACAGAATTATGAGATTATGAGGAGTAATAAATCATTGTTGTTTGAACTCACTAAGTTTTGGGTTGTTAATGCAGCAATTGACAACTGAAATGATTCTGTGTTTTCAGCCTATTAGGACTTCTTGATTCAAAAATCTCAATTCTCTGAAGCTAAGGTAGACCAATAACTAATGACAAAATAAATCATACAGAATATAGTCCTAGCATTGAGAAAAGGATTAGAAGAATAAAATATCGACCAGGCACAATGGCTCATGCCTGTAATCCCAGCACTTTGGGAGCCTGAGGCAGGCAGATCACAAGGTCAGAAGCTCAAGACCCACCTGGCCAACATGGTGAAATCCCATCTCTGCTAAAAAATATACAAAAATTAGCTGGGCATGGTGGCATGCACCTATAATCCCAGCTACTTGGGAGGCTGAGGCGGGAGAATTGCTTGAACCCTGGAGGCAGAGTTCCAGTGAGCCAAGATCACGCCACTGCACTCCAGCCTAGGCAGCAGAGCAAGACTCCATCTCAAAAAAAAAAAGAAGAGGAAGAAGAAGAAGAAAATATAAAAAAAAACTCTCTATTATAGTTCTTACCAGATCTAATTTCTCATGAGAGTTTCAAAATGCTTTAACTCCTGGCTTCACCATTTATTTCTCTAGTGTAGACTCACCTCCTTTTTGTCCCTGGTGTTGTCTAACTCCATTCAGTTCACTCACCTACTTAACTTCCACGGACTATTGTTCTGTTCATCAACCCTTGCTAGCCAATATCTTGACTTCTCATTCTCTCTTATATTCTTTCTCATTTCCTTGAAATATTTGGCAGTTTCCCAATCTAAACAATCTGGAGCAGCAAAAAAAAAAAAAAAAAAAAAAAAAAAAATCAGAGTAACAATAGGCCAGGTGCGGTGGCTCACGCCTGGAATCCCAGCACTTTGGGAGGCCGAGGTGGGCAGATCACCTGAGGTCAGGAGTTCGAGACCAGCCTGGCCAACATGGTGAAACCCGTCTCTACTAAAAATACAAAAATTAGGCAGGCGTAGTGGCATATGCTTGTAGTCCCAGCTATTCGGGGGGCTGAGGCAGGAGAATTGCTTGGACCCGGGAGGTAGAGGCTGCAGTGAGCTGAGATTGAACCGCTGTACTCCAGCCTGGGAAACAGAGTGAGACTCCATATCAAAAATAAAAAATAAAAATAAAAATGAGAATAACAATTAAAAAGCAAAAAAACCATTTTCCCCTAACTTCACCCTTGTTACCAGAGGCCTGACCCTAATATTTGCACACCCTAGAGTAGGAATACAAACGGCAGTCCACCTTCTATATGCCTAAATATATATATTTTTTTCCTTGAGATGGACTTTTGCTCTGTCACCCAGGCTGGAGTGCAAAGGCACCATCTCAGCTCTCTACAACCTCTGCCTCCTGGGTCCAAGCGATTCTCCTGCTTCAGCCTCCCGAGTAGTTGGGATTACAGGCACGTGCCACCACTCCCAGCTAATTTTTTTTTGTATTTTTCTTACAGATGGGGGTTCACCATGTTGGCCAGGCTGGTCTTGAACTCCTGACCTCATGATCCACCCGCCTCGGCCTCCCAAAGTGTTGGGGTTACAGGCATGAGCCACTGCACCCGGCCTGTATGTCTAAATATTTAAATGTCATCAATCAAGCTAACAGTCAAAGAAAATATGTTCTATCCCCCTATTTTGTCAAATATATCTTTATTAAAAACCTGGGAGGCCAAGTTTGAATTTGGAGTCTTTGCAATCCTTGCTTTTGTGTAAGAAATTGTCAGCATAGGAAGAGCCAGCCCAAGGACCCCACCCCACCCCACCCCCAAATGCAACCTGCCCTTTTTCGTTGAGCACATTGTAAATGTGTGGTGTGCTCTGCTATCTGCTATCTCTTCATTTTTTTTTTTTTTTTTTTTCTGAGACAGAGTTTCGCTCTTGTTGCCCAGGCTGGAGTGCAATGGCGCAATCTCAGCTCACCGCAACCTCCGCCTCCCTGGTTCAAGCGATTCTCCTGCCTCAGCCTCCGGAGTAGCTGGGATTACAGGCATGCACCACCACCCCTGGCTAATTTTGTATTTTTAGTAGAGACGGGGTTTCTCCATGTTGGCCAGGCTGGTCTCAAGCTCCCGAGACCTCAGGTGATCCATGCGCCTCGGCTTTCCAAAGTGCTGGCGGCCATCTCTGCTTCTTAATAGTCTTTTTTTTTCCTACTTTACATTCTTGAAATCTAGCTTTTAACCTTTTCACATAGATAACTTCTTTCTCAAAGGCCAGTAATGACCTCTTTTTCTTGTCTCATTCAATGACATCTTCCCCCAGACATATTTGCTTAGCTTTACAGTCTTTCTTTTTAGACGCTGTTGTACACCAGCTTCTGTGACGTTATACTATCTCCGATATCCTTCTTCCTTCTAACCCCCTATTTGAGAGTTTCTCTTTTGTTTTGAGTCTCCTAATGATTTTGTATTTCTCAGTGCTCAGTCCTCACCTCTTCTCTCTGGCATGATGTGAGGGTTGAGCTGGGCCAGTGGGGAGTTTGGAGTGGACAGCTGTGGGTGCAGGAGGTCAGGAAGTAGGAAGGGATACTGATTCCCACATAGGCTGCCACTTAAGAAGTAAAGCCCTGGGAATCACACTGTGATGAATGGAAAGCAGAAAAACACAGGTAACAGGAGAATCCAGAGAAGACACTCATTCAGGCTGACAGAGGTGAGACAAATAGTAAGAGGTCAACCTGGCAACGAGGATGATTCTAAAACCTGGGACTAAGTTTCGAGAGCAGGTCAGGCTGGGAATAAATGACTAGAAGTGTGCAGACAGTAAGTACCAGAAATGGGGAGAAAACTGGTGATACATAGAAGAAGAGAGATGATTTGCACTACAAGGGCCCAGAGAAAATTCTCCCAATGGGATTTTTGTTGGGTGAGTACTTAGTTTTCTGAGGAAAGCACAGCGTAAATCAGACCCAGTCATTTCATGCCTGCATTCATACAATAGCCTCCTAATATATTTAATTATAATTGTTCTCATTTTAATCTAATTTCCGTCTACCCTTAGAATAATTTTCCCTAAGTACTGTTTTCATCAAGACACCCATCTCCTTAAAAACCTACAAGTCTTTGGTCGGGCACAGTGGCTCACGCCTGTAACCCCAGCACTTTGGGAAGCAGAGGCGGGCAGATCACGAGGTCAAGAGATCAAGACCATCCTGGCCAACATGGTGAAACCCCATCTCTACTAAAAACACAAAAATTAGCTGGGTGTGGTGGCATGCGCCTGTAGTCCCAGCTACTCGGGAGGCTGAGGCAGGAGAATCGCTTGAACCTGGGAGGCGGAGGTTACAGTGAGCCGAAGTTGCACCACCACTGCACTCCAGCTTGGGTGACAAGAGCAAGATTCTGTCTCAAAAAAAAAAAAAAAAAATCACTGATCACAGACCACCGTAAGAGATACAATAATAAAGAAAACTTTTGGAATATTATGAGAATTACCACATGTGACAGAGACACGAAATGTGCATATGCTGTTGGGAAAATGGTGCCGATAGACTTGCTCAACACAGGGTTGCCACAAACCTTCAAATTATAAAAAATGCAGCATCTGTGAAGTGCTATAAAGTGAAGGGCAAGAAAACAAGGTACGCATGTATGACTCTAGGTTCTTTATTAGTTTAATTTGTGAGATGCTTATTTTTGGACATCATCAATTGGTGTTTGTTTTCTTCTTCTTCTTCCTTCTTGCCTCTTCTTCTTCTTCTTCCTCTTCTTTCTTCTTTCTTATTTTTTGAGGCGGAGTTTCGCTCTGTCGCCCAGGCTGGAGTGCAACGGCACAATCTCAGCTCACTGCAACCTCTGCCTCCTAGGTTCAAGCGATTCTCCTGCCTCAGCCTCTTGAGTAGCAGGAATTACAGGCGCCCATTACCACACCCAGCTAATTTTTCTATTTTTTAGTAGAGACGAGGTTTCACTGTGTGGGCCAGGTTGGTTACAAACTCCTGACCTCAGGCAATCCACCCACCCCGGCCTCCCAAAGTGCTGGGATTACAGGTGTGAGCCACTGCGCCTGGCCACCAAATGATGCTTAGAAATAGTCATTTCATATTTTCTTATTTAACCATGTGAAGAAGTTGGATAAATTACTAAGTTATTTTACCTCCCTGAGCCTCAGTTTTCTATAAAATGGGAATAGAAATACTGTTCCTACCTTTTGGAGTAAGTGTGAAGACAGAATAGAATCAAAGTTTAAATTGTTTGGTGTTTTATTAAATACATGGCACTTTAATAACAAATGTAAGTTCCTCTCTCTTTCTCTGTTACCAGAGACCTGTCTTTTTTTTTTTTTTTTTTTTGAGATGGAATCTTGCTCTGTCACCCAGGCTGGAGTGCAGTGGCACAATCTCAGCTCGCTGCAATCTCTGCCTCCTGGGTTCAAGCGATTCTTCTACCTCAGCCTCCTGAGTAGCTGGAACTATAGGCACGGGCTACCATGCCCAGCTAATTTTTGTATTTTTAGTAGAGATGGGGGTTTCACCATATTGACCAGGCTGGTCTTGAACTCCTGACCTCGTGATCCACCCGCCTCGGCCTCCCAAAGTGCTGGGATTACAGGAGCCAGCCACTGTGCCCAGCCAAAACCTATCTTTTTAAAGGAAGTAGCATTAGCATCTGTGAGAAAAGTACTTCCCTTACTGAAATAAAGTGAAGAAGCTACACTTTGTAAGCCATGGAAGAAGCAGCTCCTGCTGAACTTTACTTTCTCTCTGGCTTTTTCTTGCTCTGATCACTGCTCCTACCCCCTTTTCCTTGAAACCTCTTTTCTTGGTTCCCCTTACCACATGTAAAACTGACTGGCATTTTCAAAACAGATTTAGTAATTCAAGAAAGAAGAAAAAATATTTAAAAGGCACAGATACAGTCCTATATACACTGACAGATCTCTGGTTATAATATCTCAACTGCCTTCTGCCTGGTCCCAGCTCATTTCTTTTCCTGGTAGAATTTCACAAGAACCTTTCCCTACTTGCAAGGGGAGTGCCATCTTACTTTCAACCATATGGGGGCAACTTTCCTTAACAACTGGTTCTGTCTGGCATTAAGGGCAGGAATACAAATTCTAACTGCCACTCACCTAAGCTCTTCCCATTCTGAAGGACACAGCTTTTCTCTTCTCCAGAGCTGTGAAATGAAGAGGGTGACGGGTATTATTGCCCCCCAACCTCTATGCTCTGAGAACACCTTGGTTCCCTAGAGAGCCATCTCAGTCATATAATAATTGTAACATCCATACAGCAAGAATTGCATATATATGAGGGATAGAAGGGAGCTATTCCATTCCTCTCTTAACAGAAATGATTTACAATCATTATTTCTACATAATTAGACCAAACCTGGATATTTCAAGGTCTCTAAATACAAATACATTTTGATGTATTTTTATATATTTGGTAATAGGCTAATGGCTTAGTTATATAAATTAAAATATAGTAGATGTTCTGAAAGTCTGTAATTTAGTGTCAGTGTCTTGAAAAGATATTTCGTAGTCTTTTATTCTCTCTTCCTCATCATTTCCTTCTTCAAGTGCAAAGATAGCAAAATTTCCATAAAAACTAAAGTTACTGGGGACTAGGTTTTTATTTATTCTTTTCTGGAATAGTTCCGTTACTTATTTTAATTTTTATGAAGTTTAACTGAGTAGAGAAGGCCAAATAACTCAGCTTTGCTGAGAATATTCCTTCCAGAAGCCTAATTACCTCCTGTAGATACAAGTAAAGAGCTTAACAGCAACCTTGAAGGATAGTTGAATAATTGATGCAATGTGCCTGGCACAGTGCCTGGCACAGTGCCTAGCGCATAGCAAGTGCCTAATAAATGTTATTCTTATGATTAATTCTTCATTAGGTGAGAAATAATTTTGGAGAAATGCAAATTATAAATGAGAGTATGCGGTGGAACATATTAACTGATGACAATATTAACTGATGGTTTTTCTTGGTACTTCTCTGTACCTGTGGCCTTTTCCCAATTTAGTCAGTGAGTTGCTCATTGCTTCAGAAAAAAATAATGATGTGGTAGAAAGAAACGAATTTTCTTGGCTGTTGGAGGAAAAGAAAGGACTTACAATCTGGACAACAGAATAAATGTAGAATAACTGGGATATAACATCAAAGTAACTGCAAGGCTTTCTGTGCTCTCTTCCCAAAATGAGAAAACATTCCCTGGACTAGGAGTAGGGAGAGAGCTAGAGAGGTGGTAAAGAGAAATTAACACTACAATAGCTCGACATTAAATGTATTAGCTTGACATTAAACAGAAATTACATTCCAATGTTGAAAAAACTGTTGTATTTCTTGCTTGCTCAAATGTATGAACTAAAATGTATAATGGATATATTGACTTAGTTAATTCTATTCATACAAAGTATGAAGGCTTTGTTAATGGTGATTTTAAGATGTGATTATGTCCTCTAGAAATAGGGCACTAAAGCTTTTAAGCTTAGAGACACACAGTGACTTTAGTTGAAAGGCTGAAATTTTGCAATAGATAGAAAGTTTCCACTTAGGGTTGTGATGAAGAGTGGAAATACTCAAACTACTTGTTTTGTTGTCACTAGTTGAAGTGGCTGAAATATGATTAAATAGGCAGCAAGGTGGCCTGAATATATTCCTGTCATTTCTAAGTCCCAATGTCCCCACAAACTAAATCATTATTTCTCATGTGCCCCCTCCCAAGTCACCTTCCTTTCTCCAATATTCTGCCCCTGTCAAGGGGATCATCACTTTCTCAAGCTCCAAATCTTCCATCATGTTTTACTCACTCCATGCCAACATCCCCATGAACAGGTAAAACATTGTTGTGTTTTGTTTTTCTTTGAATTGCACAGTCGTGGGTGGGGAGTGGGAAGAGTTATTCTCAGAAATAAATGAGATCATGGATGTGAAAGTGCTTGACATTTGCTAGGCACTCAGTAAAGTTTCTTTTAATTTCTTCTATCTGACAATTTAAGCCTTTGAATAATCCAATCTTATTTTTCTTAGCCAATTTATTTCCCACTACACCCTGCTCTTATTGAAGTGGTAGTATCCTCCTACCCCATATGTACATTCTACTCATTCTCACACCCATGTATTTTACTTATTTGTGCACTTCTAATTTGGAATGCTTTCCTATTCTTTTCCGAATATCCAATTGTTATTCATCCTTCCAGGACATGTCTTTCCTGTTTCAACATTAGAGCCAGATGCCTACCATAGTTCCTGTCCTATAACAGATTCTTAATACATATCTGTTAAGTGACTAAATAAATTTGCCTTCCTACCTGTAGGTCTCACTGGATACTACTGCCTTCAATGACCCATCATCCGTTCTTGGTACATCTTCAGGAAGTGGTACTCCCTTGTCACTTATGTTAGCACCCACTCATATATTGAATTTTATTCTACGGATTGTAAGATCTCTGAAGAAAGTGCTCCATCCTCTTTTTTTTTTTTTTTTAAAGTTTGCCTCTAGCACCCTGCACAGTTTCTTAATTAAAAATGTTGTTTGATTAAATACTTTTATTATAACACAGCATGTCATTCTGCTGCTGGATCTAAAATTTAACCAAACTGCCTTTTAAGTTACAATAGAAAACTTAGAGTCAAAGAATCGCAAGTTTGGAATTGTCTTCTGACATACCGTGAAATAAAATCCAGAATCTCAAGGTTGGAAGACAGTTGTCTCTGCAACAGTGGTTGACATTTAATTACTAAATATGGATAGACATTTATGATGTTTTTAATTATTTTGCCATGACAAACAATACTGTAAGGGATAACCTTGAACATGTTTCCTATAAAACATGTATAAGGGTTTGTTAGGGTGGACAAGAAGAAGTAAATTTGCTCATTTGAGAGGTAGTATGCTCATTTTAAATATTAATAGATAATGCCAAATTGGCATTCCAAAAAGCTACCATTCTACTTCCACACTTAGTATACGTATGTTATATATAATACTGCCATGGCCGGATGCAGTGGCTCACGCCTCTAATCCTAGCACTTTGGGAGGCTGAGGTGGGCAGATCACCTGAGGTCAGGAGTTGGAGACCAGCCTGGCCAACATGGTGAAACATTGTCTCTACTAAAAATACAAAATTAGCCAAGCGTGGTGGCAGGTGCCTGTAATCCCAGCTACTCGGGAGGCTGAGACAAGAGAACTACTTGAACCTGGCGGGTGGAGTTTGCAGTAGGCCAAGGTTGTGCCATTGCACTCCAGCCTGGGTAACAAGAGTAAAACTCCGTCTCAAAAAGAAAAATACTGTCACACATATTAATTAATAGAAATTAATATTCCTATATATATTACTATATATATTATATATACTATATCTATTACTATATAGGAATATTAATTTTTTCTCACCATAACTGGCACGTTTCAATTTTTTTCAATGTATTGTGATAATACTGGTGTCTCACTGTTAATTTTCATTTGCATGATTACTGGTACAGTTAACCATCTTTTCACATTTGGGAGCATTTATATTTCCTCTCTAAGGAACTGACTGTTAGGTCATTTGCCCATTTTTCTATCAGGCTCTTTTTTAAAAAAAATCTTTAGGAATTCCTTATATGTTCTAGATGTTATTTGATATGGTGTGTATGTTGTAAATATATTCTTCAGTCTGTTTTCAGCCTTTTAACTGTTTATTGTATCCTTTTCACCATAGAGGTCTTAAATCCTGAAGCAGTGAAAATTATCCATTCCTTCCTCACTTATAACCTTTTTGTTTGTGTTTTGTTCAAGAAGGTTTTCTTACCAAGCATTTGAATCTATATTTTAATGTATTTCCTTAAACTATTTTTATAGTTTTGTTTTTACAATGTACTTTTGTTTTGTTTTGTTTTGTTTTGTTGAGATGGGGTCTCACTCTGTCATCCAGGCTGAAGTGCAGTGGCACAGTCTCAGCTCACTGCAACCTTCACCTCCCAGGCTCAAGCAATCCTCCCACCTCAGCCTCCTGAGTAGCTGGGACCACAGGCATGTGCCACCATAGCTAGCTAATTTTTTTTTTTTTTGTATTTTTAGTAGAGATGAGGTTTCACCATGTTGCCCAGGCTGGTCTTGAACTCCTGAGCGCAGGTGATCCACCCACCTCAGCCTCCCAAAGTGTTGGGATTACAGGCGTGAGCCACCGTGCCTGGCTACAATTTACATTTTTAATCCATCTGGATCATTTTTGTGATTCGTATGAAGTGGGATCTACCATTTTGTCCTAAATAAATGGACAATTTGTCACTAGCAATCATTACAATCCATCTCTTTCCTATTACATTTTAAAACCTTCTTTCAGGTACTAAATTCTTATTCATACACTGGTCCATTTTTTAACTCTCTGTTCTGTTTTCCTGATCTACTCCTCTATTCTTCTGGCAATACCCTAATTACTGTATATCTAATTACTGTATATTTATAATTGCATATTTTACTATCTGGTTGAGCAGGAACTTCTCTGTGTGTGTGAGGACACACACACACACGCCCTCTATGTTCCTCTTTGTGAAACTTATCTTGGGAATTCCGGCGTAATTTCTTTTCTAGATAAATTTTAGAATAAGCTTGTCAGATTCATTTAGAAATCTGTTGATATTTTGACTGGAATTGTTAATTTACAATTGATTGGAAATGTTAATTTACAAAAACTTGGCATATTTGCAACACAGATTCATTCAGATGTACAGCTTTAATTTATTCACGTTTCTTTGTTTAATGTTCTCCAGATACACTTTAATTTTTATTCCTTGGGTATTTTACTCCAGCTTCATTAAATTTATTCCTAGCTATTTTATAACATCTGTTGCTACTGTGAAAAGGATTTTTAAAAAGAAATCTCTGTGATTGTTGTATTTCTAAAAAATAAAATAAGCCTTTATTTAGATTTATCATAAGTCTTAAAGGTTACTTGGCTTACCACTGACTTCCAGTCTTCTCTTGGATTCATTTTTCATTTTGCTGGAGCATGTCTTCTAGCTATTATTTCAGCTAGGGTTTGTAGGTGATAAATTTTCTGAATCCATTCATGTATGAAAATGTCTCATGTTTGAAAATGTCATTACACTTGTTTGATTGTCAGATTATAGAATTCTAAGTTCAAAATCATTTTCACCTCAGTATTTTAGAAAATATTTCTCTAGTGTCTTCTTATACTCAGTGTGGCTAAAGAATCTGAAGTCAAGAGGGTGCTTTTTGTTTGTAAATAACATGTTTTTCTCTTTAGAAGCTTTTAGGATTTTCTCATTATCCATAAAGTACTCACATTTTACCACTATTTTCTATGAGCGGGTCTTTTCCCAGTGTTCTTGCTTGGCACAAAGTGGGCCTTAATGTGAAAATTTGAGTCTTTTTTCATATCTAGGGAATTTTATTTGATTTATTTTTCCTCTGAGTTTTATTTTCTCTTTCTGGAAATCCTATTGTATGGATATTGTAACGTTTGTATGTATCCTCCAAGTGCCTTAACCTTTATTTCATATGTATCACCTCCCTGTCTGTTTGTATTATGATGTGAGGGAATTTCTCAGTTTGATCTTGAGCACCCAGGTTGCTCTTCAGCTATGACAATTTTGCTATTCAGCCTTAAGGTTTTCACTTTTGCTATCAGATATTTCATTTCTAAAATATCTTTTTTCTTTCATTAAAACCTGTTCTTGTTTCATGGATTAAGTAACCTCTCTAAATACATATTATGGTATTTTATGTTTAAAAGTCTTCAAATGTTTGCTTTTTAAAAAATATGGAATGCTTCACAAATTTGTGAGTCACCCTTGTGCAAGGGCCATGCCAATATTCTCTGAATTGTTCAAACTGTAGAATATGTAAGCACTGCTGAGTCCTAATGTCCTCGTGTTAGGCTTGGATTTTCCGTTAGCCTGTCTGTGAATGCTATAACGAATTATCTCAGCTTTCTACCAGTGACTTTGTGGGTATTGCAGAGTGTGCTATCAGAATGTAACAAGAGCTAGTCTTCTAGGAATAGAGACTCCATGAATATCACTAGCCATTTGCAGTAGCATCCTATGTCTCTGGCACAAATGCCGACCACAAATGCTCCCACCTAATGGCGATTTGTCTCTTTTTGCACTTATTTTTGACTATCTACTGCACACTTTATTAGAGTGGATTCTTTGAGGCCTATGATGAAGTTGTCTTTCCATGGAGAAAACATGAATTTACTTTTGCCAGGTTCCTGATGTTTAACCTAGGTGCCTAGATCTAACCTTAGATCTAGTTCTAGGGTTGGGGTGCCTGGGAATCCCTAAGCAATGTAAACCCAAGCTGTGAGGGCTGGCACATGACCACACAATTTCTCAGAGATATATATTTTTCTTTTTCTTTTTCTCTTTGCTCTGCTAAAAGTTAAGTCCTGCTGATCCCTGGACTTGGGAAGGGGTAGTGTGCCCTTATTTTAAGAGTATAGCATTTTCCGTTGAAAAGGTCTCTTATTATACTTCTCACCTTGGACGGGTCTAGAGTATTGGATTCTATCTTCTTTGTGTGGCCATTAAAACTAATGTCTACACTTGTCTAGCACAGGGGCAAAAGCTGCTTTGATGTTCAGGTGCAGGGCTGGGGCCAGGATGGGGCAAGTCCTGGCTCTGCTCAGGGGCACTTGTGCTTACTTCTCTAGATTCTAGATTTTCCCTAGATTTTTTGTCTGGTACTTCACTGTCTTCTCAACTCTCTGATGCATTTAAGAAGTTTGTATTTTACATGTATCATTTTATTTCAGTGGGAGGGTTGGTCCAACAACCTAGTAATCTAGCCTTTCCTAAGTCTTGCCCTTTCCTCTGTATATGGTGGTAGTGGCGGTTGAGAGGGGAGTAGGGGTCAGAACTGCTAGGCTGCTCCTACTGCTTTTTATTTTTTTTCCTTTTCTCTCTCTCTCTCTTTTTTTTTTTTTTTTTTTTTGAGACAGAGTCTTACTCTGTCCCCCAGGCTGGAGTGCAGTGGCATGATCCTGGCTTACTGCAACCTCCGCCTCCTGTGTTCAAGAGATTCTCGTGCCTCAGCCTCCCAAGTAGCTGATATTACAGGTACCCACCACCATGCCTGACTAATTTTTGTATTTTTAGTAGAGACGGGGTCTCACCATGTTGGCCAGGCTCCCGACCTCAGGTGATCTATCCGCCTCAGCCTCCTGAAGTGCTGGGATTACCGGCATGAGCCACTGCACCAGGGCTCCTTCCTTTTTTTCCCTGAACCTACTTGTACATCTTTCCTAGAAGTATTCTCTTTTGCACATTTTGGGCAAAAGTTTTCTCTTTGAATTCAATTCCACCGATTATTTTGTCTCTTGGGAATTCCTGATGATTTCAAAGACACTCCTGCTTGTTTCCAGAGTTAATGTTTTCTTGTTTTTTTCTCCCTAAATCTCTCAATCATGGAAGCTGCAGGGTGTAAATCATTTTATCCAATCTCAGAATATTCTCTTCAATCCCAGCATTATAATCTTGGTTCCAAGTCTGTGGGGACAGGCTTAAAGAAGTCATAAGAACCAGGTTTTTTTTACTACATTTTATGGGCTGATAAATGATATAAATAAGACTAGATGACTATAGTAAATAAATGGAAGAATCCAGTAAAATTAGAAAATCTATAAAAAACTGATTGTCACTATTAGAGTTTATATAATAATCATACTGCCAAAACAACTGGTTGAAAAGCAAATAGCTCAATCAATCACCTGGCTGTTTGTTCTATATGAAAGCAAACATATGTATATTACATTTAAAAATATTTGGATGATTGATTGAATTTTTAATTTTTCATCTGGCTGTTTAATAGTATGCACAAACAGCCTGAGGCAAGTAAATATGATTGTGAGGAAAATACGCAGCACAGTCCTTTGGAGAATTCAAACTTAAAATAACAGAGGTAATACAGAGTAAACGCCTTTGATTCCCACCACAGAATTCAGGTCCTACTAAACTCTGTTCTTCAGAATTTTAAATATCTATAAATTTAGAATAATAAAAACATTTGAATGACCTACTCCACAGGTTTTGGGAATGTATTTTACAAAGTATAGCATTACATGTATGTTAACTACTATTTAATTTTATAAGTGCTTCTGAGCATCTACTAAATGCCAAGTTCTACAATGAGCTAAAGGAGATCTAAAAGGCAAGTACAACACAATCTCTGTAATCACGTAGTTAGCAATCTGCTAAGGGAGTTAAAAACTAACTTAGTTATGAGACTTTGATGCATAGGACAATAAAGGCACAATGTGCTATTAGGAAGGGGTTGGGAAACTTTTGTTTTGTTTTGTTTTTTGTTTATAGAGACAGGGTCTTACTATGTTGTCCGGGCTAGTCTTGAACTCCTGAGCTCAAGAGATCCTCTTGCTTCACCCTCCCAAAGTCCCAAAGTGCTGGGATTACAAGCATGAGCCACCAAGGTTTTTTGTTTGTTTGTTTGTTTGTTTGTTTTGAGACAGAGTCTCGCTCTGTTGCCAGGCTGGAATGCAGTGGTGCCATCTCTGCTCACTGCAACCTTTGCCTCCCAGGTTCAAGCGATTCTCCTGCCTCAGCCTCCCGAATAGCTGGGATTACAGGTGCATGCCACCACACCCAGCTAATTTTGGTATTTTTAGTAGAGACAGGGTTTCTCCATGTTGGCCAGGCTGGTCTCGATCTCCTGACCTCGTGATCCACCGGCCTCGGCCTCCCAAAGTGCTGGGATTACAGGGATAAGCCACAGCACCCGGACTGTTTTTTTTTGTTGTTGTTGTTGTTTGTCTGTTTTTTTAAAGAGGAAGTAGAACTTAAGATAGACCTTAAAAGATGAACAACATACTATACTTTAGATTTATGGCGGTGATGGGGAAGAAGATCGGATGACAGCCCACTCCTGTTGACAGATCGTCTGAAGAACAGATTGAGAAAGACATGGAGGTGGGAGAGTTAGCTAGGTATACTGAGTAGCTAATAGTTTGAATTGGTTGAAATAAAATACGTGTGTAGCTAAGACAAAATAGAAAGGAAGCTAGGATCTAATCACATAGGATTTTGACTACTGGACAAGACATTAGACCTTTATTCTATATAAAGTGGATGTCTCAGCAGGAGAACATAATGAGGATAGATTTGGAGTTGAGGAATATTATTTCTGGCAGTAATGTATGTGGATAAGAGAAAAGCAAGTTAGAAGTGCATTAGTGTAGTTAAAAGATACTAAAATGAGATTTTAAATTGAGACAGTGAAAATGCATAGATGGGAAAACCCCTGAGGACGTAGAATTGACAAGATTTGGTAAAAGAATAAGGGAATGAATAAATATAAACGATTAGGAGATTCTGGTTCTAGATTTAGCTTTGCAAGATGACCCGGGAGAAGCAATTTCACCATGGTGGGCCTCAGTCTTATCTGTAAAAACACTGAATTAAATGATACTTAGGGGAATTAGAACTGTATAATCATGCAATTTGGAGTACTTGAGAACAAGGTGAGCAGGGAAGGATAGTTGATGCCATTAACAAGAGAAAAAACACAGGAGGAAGTAACCTTGAAAACAAATGTTGATTTAAGGAATCTGCATACATTGTTCATGATCATCATGTAGCTGGATATGCTGGTCTAGAGATTAGAAGGAGGGTATGAGATATAGACACACATGTAAACAAAGTTGTGGGGCTTGGGTGAGAGCACAAGAAGCATAGAATATGAAGAGCAAGAAAGCCAAGCACCGAACCTTGGGCACAGCATTTAAAAGGTGAATTGAGAAAGACAAGCCCATGAAAGAGCCTGAGATGGCTATACAGAGGAAGAGGGAAAAAGAAGATGGTGAGTAATGTCACATGGTGCACAGAAGTTAGCAGAAAGAACAGCAAGAGGCCGCTGGATTGGTAATCAATGAGCTGTTGGCGTTCTTTGAGAAAGCAGTTTCAATTGATGGGGGGATAGATCTTGGGATCCATTAGGAGCAGGTAGAAGGCTAACACTGGCAAACAGAATTCTTGGGATATACATAAAATGGGAGAGACTTATGAACCCTTATGTGCAAAAAAAAGTGGAGTGGAATTGGGAAGAGTGATTCCTGTCAGACAAAAAGAACTCAATGAAGCTGAGATAAAGCTGATGCATGAGTATTTATGTGTTCTGCAAGGGGGTCTGTTCCCCTAGCTCTCCCCAGGCCGAAGACTGTCCTCTCTCCAATAAGTGCTACCCTACTGAATAGATCCAAAAAGTAGTAGTAATTGTTTGATACAGAAACCTTTTAGATCTGTATACTAAAAATTATAAAAATTTGATGAAAAAAATTCAAGGAGGCATAAATAAATAAAAAGATATATTCATGGATTGGAAAAATTAATATTGTAAAAATGTCCACATTACTCAAAGCAATCTACAGATTCAATACAATCTCTATCAATATCCCAACATCATTTTTCACAAAAATAGAAAAAAAACAGCCATTAATTTTGTGTGGAACTACCAAAGACCCCAAATAGCCAAAACAATCTTGAGCAAAAAGAACAAAGCTAGAGACATCACACTACTTGACTTCAAAATATATTACAAATCTATAATACTCAAAACAGCATGATACGGGACTAAAAACAGACACACTGACCAACGGAACAGGATAGAGAGCTCAGAAGTAAACTTACGTATTTACAGTCAATTGATTTTCAACAAAGGTGCCAAGAACACATGATGAGGAAAGGACACTGTCTTCAACAAATGGTGTTGGGAAAAATGTATATCCACTGCAGAAGAATGAAATTGGACCCTTATCACACAAGGCATACAAAAATCAACTCAAAATGTATTAAAAACCTAAACACAATAGAATAGCTCTATTATCAAAAAGACAAAAATTAACAAATGCTGGCAAGGATGTGGAGAAAAGGGAACATTTAAACACTGTTAGTGGAAAGTAAATTGGTACAGCCATTATGGAAAGCAGTATAGAGGTTTCTCAAAAAACTAAAAATAGAATTACCATATGATCCATCAATCCTACTACTATTTATCCAAAGAAAAGGAAATCAGTATACTGAAGAGACACCTGTGCCTCCATATCTATTGCAGCACTATTCACAATAACCAAGATATGAAGTCAACTTAAATATTCATCAACAGATAAACGAAAATATAAAAATATAAAATAAGTATACAAATAAAAAATAAAATAAAAATATACACAATGAAATATTATTCAGCCATGAAAAAGAATGAAATCACCAGGTGCGGTGGCTCACGCCTGTAATCCCAACACTTTGGGAGAGGCCAAGGCGAGTGGAACACTTGAGGTCCGGAGTTTGAGACCAGCCTGCCCAACATGGCAAAACCCCGCCTCTACTAAGAATACAAAAATTAGCCAGGCATGATCGTGCACGCCTGTAATTTCCGGTCACTTGGGAGGCTGAGGCACAAGAATCGCTTGAAACCAGAAGGTGGAGGTTGCAATGAGCTGCGATCATGCAACTGCACTCTAGACTGGGCAACAGAGTGAGACTCGTCTCAAAAAGAAAAAAGAGAAAAGAAAAAAAGAATGTAATCGTCATTTTTGCAACATGGATGAGCCCAGAGGACATAATGTTAAGTGAAATGTCAGGCACAGAAAGACAAACGCTGCATTTTCTCACTCATATGTGGAAGCTGAAAGAATTGAGCTCATATAAGTGACAGAGTAGAATTGTGGTTATTAGATAATAGGAAGGATGGGAAGAGAGGAGGATAGGGAGAAGTTGGTTAATTGATACAAAAATACAGCTAGATAAGAGAAATAAATTCTAGTGTTCTATGGTACTATAGGATAAATATGGTTAACAACTTATTGCATATTTCGGAAAAGCTAGAAGAGAAGATTTTGAATGTTTACAACACAAAGAAATAATAAATGAGGTGCTATGCTAATAACTGATTTGATCATTACACATTATATATATGTACTGAAGTATCACTCTGCATCGTTGATGAAATTGATGCATGATTATGTATCAACGAAAAACAAAAGAAAAAATATTCAGAAGACATACATTCAAGGCTGACAAAAATATAACTTTATTTTCCTGAAACTGGCACTTAATCTCTGTGTTGGGCTACATATTGGCACAATGGAAGAAAATTTAATCTAGTTACTTACAAATAAACCCAGTCACTTTGTCATTTCAAAAAAATAAAAAAGATTTAAGCATAAGACCAGAAACTCTAAAAGTACTAAAAGAAAATATAGAGGAAAAGCTTCATAGTATTAGCCTGGGTAGTGATTTCTTAAATATAACCCCAAAAAGCATAAGCAACAAAATGAAAACAGACAAACAGAATTTACATCAAACTAAAAATCTGTACAGCAAAGAAAACAATTAATAAATTGAACAGACAACCCATGAATTGGGAGAAAATATTTGCAAACCATACATTTGATAAAGGACTAGTATCTAAAATATATAAGAAACTCAACTAAATAGGAAGAAAACAAACAACTTGATTAAAAAATGGGCAAAAACCCTGAATAGACATTTCTTGAAAGAAGACATACAAATGGCCAACAGATATATGAGAAAATGTTCAATATCACTAATCATCAGGAAAATGCAAATTAAAATCACAACGAGATATTGCCTCACACTTGTTAGAAAAAAGATGAAAGATGAGAAGTGTTGGTGAGGATGTGGAGAAAAGGGAAATCTTTTTTGAGACAGAGTCTTGCTTTGTTGCCCAGGCTGGAGTGCAGTGGCGTGATCTCAGCCCACTGCAACCTCTGCCTCCTGGGTTCAAGCTATTCTCCTGCCTCAGGCTCCCAAGTAGCTGGGATTACAGGCATGTGCCTGGCTAATTTTTTTATTTTTAGTAGAGATAGGGTTTCACCATGTTGGCCAGGCTGGTCTCAAACTCCTCACCTCAGGTGATCCACCTGCCTCGGCCTCCCAGAGTGCTGGGATTACAGGTGTGAGACACCACACCTGGCCAGAGAAAAGGGAAATCTTATACACTGTGAGTGGGAATATAAATTGGTACAGCCATTATGTCAAACAACATAGATAGAGATTCTTCAAAGAAAAGAATTGGCATATGATCCAGCAATCCCCCCTCTAGGTATATATCCAAAGGACTCGAAATCAGTATGTCGAAAAGATGTCTGCGCTCCCATATTCATTACAGCATGATTTACAATAGTCAGGATATGGAAACAACCTAAGTGTCCATCAATGGATGAATGGATGAAGAAAATGTTGTATATATATACAATGAAATATTATTCAGCCTTAGAAAAAAGGAAATCATGCTATTTGCAACAACATGGATGAGCCTGGAGTACATTATACTAAATGAAATAAGCCAGGAAGTGAGAAAGAAATACTTCCTGATCTCACTTATATGTGGAATCTAAAGAGTTGAAACTCATAAAAATAGAGAGTAGAGGCTGGGCCCGGTGGCTTACGCCTGTAATCCCAGCACTTTGAGAGGCCAAGGCGGGTGGATCACCTGAGGTCAGAAGTTTGAGAGCAGCCTTGCCAACATGGTGAAACCCCGTCTCTACTAAAAATACAAAATTAGCGGGGCATGGTGGTGTGCACCTATAGTCCCAGCTACTTGGGAGGCTGAGACAGGAGAATCACTTGAACTCGGGAGGTGGAGGTTGCAGTGAGCCGAGATCGTGCCATTGCACTCCAGCCTGGGCAACGAGAGCAAAACTCCACAACCCCCCTAAAAAAAAGAAAGAAAGAAATAGAGAATAGAATGGTGGTTATCAGAGGCTGGGGAGGGGGGTGTGGGGAATGGGGAGAGGTTGGTCAAAGAGTACAGTTTCAATTAGATGGTAACAATAAGTTTTAGATGTTGCACAGCATGGTGACTATAGTTAATAACGTATTCTGTATTTCAAAATTACTAAAATAGTAGATTTCAAATGTTCTCACCACAAAAAATGGTACTTATATGAAGGGATGGATATGTTAATTAGTCTGACTTAATCATTGCCCAACATATACATATATCAAAACATCACATTGTGCCCCATAACTATGCAATTAATATTTGTCAGTGAAAAAAATACAAAATCAGAAACCATTCAGACAAGTCTAAGATATGAAGATGTGAAAAAGCCTTATAACTTTCAGGAAACTCACAAAAGAGAAATGTGCTTTTTTACTGATCCCTCACATAACACAGTTATCAAACTTCTCTCTTGCAGTCATCAGTCCTGTCATAACACCTGGTCTCTCCTGCTTCTTTTCAGGGAGAGATGCTCCAGATACTTGCAGTTTGTCTTTTCCCTGGTTACAGGTACAACATGAAAGAATTTAATGAAAGCAAAGGTAATTTAGAAATTCTCAATTCCATAGGTTATTCAAAATAGCACTGGTAGAAGCAAGAACATTTCTGAAGCAGCAGGATATTTCCTGCTTCTACTGCTTAGGCTGCAGCTCCTCTGCAACATGTCCAGGGCTTGGTCTTTATGTGGCCTCCTTCTGGACCACACAGGGACCTAGACATGACTGTGAGGCAACTGCTTTCTGGACTCTGGTTACTGTGAGATTGATGAGCTATGTGCCCTTTTCAACTGGGATAGAGAGCTGCTGGATAGGTGAGTGTCTGAGAGAGTTGCTATTAACTTTTTGTTGTTTTGCTTTGCCTTTCTAATCACAGAAGTGTATGATAGGAGTTACTACTAGAAAGAAATAGATGGGGCCAGCCATGGTGGCTCATGCCTGTAATCCCAGCATTTTGGGAGGCTGACGCAGGAGGATCGTTTGAGCTCAGGAGTTCAAGACCAGACTGAGCAACACAGCGAGATCCTCTCTCTCCAAAAAATACAAAAATTAGCCTGGCATGGTGGTGCATGCCTGAGGTCCCAGCTAGTTGGAAGGTGGAGGTGTGAGGAATGCTTGAGCCTGGGAAGTCGAGCCTATAGTGAGTTGTGATCGTGCCACTGCACTCCAGCCCAGGAGACAGAATGAGACTCTGCCAAAAAAAAAAAAAAAAAAAAGTATATTCCGAGACAGTAGCAAGTTCTATCATTGTAAACAAAAAATTAAAAAAAAGAAAAAAGAAAAAATTGTTTCTAAGAGAGATGTAAATAAATAAATAAGAAAGAGAAGAAATAGATGGGAGACAGGACCCTGGATGATCTAGAGCCAGAACTCCTGGCAATGCCTTTTCTCTGCCTCAGTGATATATTTTACACTACCTTAAAGCAGCAGCAGGCCAGGCACGGTGGCTCACACCTTAATCCCAGCACTTTGGGAGGCCAAGGCGGGTGGATTACAAGGTCAGGAGACTGAGACCATCCTGGCCAACATAGTGAAACCCCGTCTCTACTAAAAATACAAAAATTAGCTGGGCGTGGTGGTGAGCACCTGTAGTCCCAGCTACTCGGGAGGCTGAGGCAGAAGAATTGCTTGAACCCAGGAGGCGGAGGTTGCAGTGAGCTGAGTTCACGCCACTGCACTCCAGTCTGGGCAACAGAGCAAGACTCCATCTCAAAAAAAAAAAAAAAAAAAAAAAAAGCAGCAGCCAAGTTGATAGAGTGAAGAGAGAAAAAAACACATGATTAGTTTAACATGATTAGTTTTCCTTCCATTTTTCTAAGCCATATACTTTGGGATGGACTGTTCATTCCTTCCATCATTTTCCATCACTATTTCACTCTGAGGATTTACCAAAAGGGAAATAACTCAGTAACTTTTTAAGAATTTCCCTAGGCGAACGTAGAGTCAGGGACAATTGAATAGTTATGTCCCCCTCAATAATTTTATATAGGCAAAATC
The DNA here is from genome assembly GCF_000001405.40 of Homo sapiens. NCBI lineage: Eukaryota > Metazoa > Chordata > Mammalia > Primates > Hominidae > Homo > Homo sapiens. The sequence continues at coordinate 13,983,310 of NC_000020.11, forward strand.
AAAATACAATGAGTATCAAGTGAAAAAATGAATAAAAAGGCAACATGCAAGCTTGCAAGGTGTATCTGAATGAAAAAGGGCAGACCTGTCTGTTTTGCCTTGAGAAATAGGGTAGAGGGGCAGAGAGAGGGAAAAAAAGTGAGGTTAAGGGCTAATTTTACCTATGAATCTTAGGTCTTTTAGCACTAGCTTTTGTTTTTTGTTTTGTTTTTGTTTTTGTTTTTTTTTGAGACAGAGTTTCGCTCTTGTTGCCCAGGCTGGAGTGCAATGGCACGATCTCAACTCACTGCAACCCTCTGCCTCCCAAGTTCAAGCGATTCTCCCGCCTCAGCCTCTGGAGTAGCTGGGATTACAGGCATGCACCACCACGCCCAGCTAATTTTGTATTTTTAGTAGAGACGGGGTTTCTCCATGTTGGTCAGGCTGGTCTCAAACTCCCGACCTCACGTGATCTGCCCGCCTGGACCTCCCAAAGTGCTGGGATTGTAGGTATGAACCACTGTGGCCCGCCAGCACTAGCTTTTAAAAAATAACTGTTTTCTCTTCCACTAACTCCTTCCCTGGTTCTCTATACACCCACAATTAATGAACGATCTATTGATAGCTAGAGTCTGATCCTGAACACTGCCACAATCCAGGAAGAACTCTATAATCATTATGTCTCTACTTTCTCTCTTCATGTTCACTTTTACCAATTGAAATCAGATTCCTTTTTTTTTTTTTTGAGTTGAAGTCTCTGTCACCCAGGCTTGAGTGCAGTGGCGTGATCTAAGCTCACTGCAACCTCTGCCTCCTGGGTTCATGTGATTCTCCTGCCTCAGCCTCCTGAGTAGCTGAGATTACAGGCACATGCCACCACGCCTGGCTAATTTTTGTATATTTAGTAGACATGGGGTTTCACCATGTTGGCCAGGCTTGTCTCGAACTCCTGACCTCAGGTGATCTGCCCGCCTTGGCCTCCCAAAGTGCTGGGATTTCAGGTGTGAGCCACCGCACTCAGCCTTGAAATCAGGTTTCTGTTCATGCTTCTCCACTGAAACTGTCCTGGAAACATAAAAATTCTCAAGCTATTGAATTTCATGGTCACTTGCTGACTCATTCCCCATTCTCTGTGGCATTTGGCATTGTTGGCAATTTCTATGTTCTTAGTACTCTCTCACCTTGGACTTCCGTGATAATCTCTTTAGCCTTGATATCCATCAACTCTTCTCAGTTCCCACTGCTGTTGCTATAGTTTAAGTCTTCATTGTTTCTTGTTTGGACCATTCAATAATGTCCTACTAGTTACACTGTCACCAGAGTTATACAGTGACATCCAATCCTCTACTGCCAAAGTCTCTCTCTTTCTTTCTCTCTCTCTTCCTCCCTCCCTTCCCCTCCCCTCCCATCACCCTCCTCTCCTCTTCTTTCCTTTTTTCTTTCTTTTTTGCTAAAGGGCATTAAATATTTGCTTTTTTTGCTATTAAATATTTTTTGCTTTTAAATTTTTTTTGCTTTTTTCATTTTTAATTAACATATAATAATTGTACATATACGGAGCACAGTGTGATATTTTGATACATATATACAATGTGTAGTGAACAAATCAGGGTAATTAGCATGTTTCTCACTTCAAAAGTTTATCACTTCTTTGTGTTTGGAACATTCAAAATCTGCTCTTCTAGCTATTTGAAAATATACAATAAATTGTTGTTAAATATAGTCACCCTATAGTGCTATAGAACCCTAGAACTTATTCCTCCTATTTAGCTATACTGTTGTATCAGTTTAACCAACCGTTGGATATCCCCTCTCCCCCAACCCTCACATCTAGTAGCTACTATTCTACTCTCAAAGTCATTTTTCTAAGGCATAATTCTATTCATGTTCTTCAAGGAGTAAACCTGAAATGACTACCCATTGCTCCCAGGATAAAGCCCAAACTTCATAGCCTGTCATACAAAGTCCCTGCCTACCACTCCAGCCTCATAAGTTGCTTCTTACATACTACACCACAGCAAACTGATACACTTATGTATAGACAATGCTCTTTCATTCCTCTGTGTCTTTGGTCCTTTTTTCTGGCCTGAAATGTTCTTGTTCTCCCTTGCCTGCTTGGTGAACACTCACTAATCTTTCAAGATTCTGTCTATGCCATTTCCTTTGTGAAGCCTTTCTGACTACTCCACACACCATTAGAATTGACCTCTCCCTCATTCTGTGCCCTACAGTACCCTGTAAATGCTTCTGTTTTATTACCTACAACACTTTATAATTTATTCATTCAATATTTTGGTTTTCCTCTTCGAGACTCTAAGCTGCTCAAGGATATGGACTGTTCTTAGGTATTCTTATATCCCCAATACTCCTGGTGTATAACTTTCATTAAAGATTTATTTTCTCCCTCTACAATTCAATGGCCTTTAGGATATTCACAAATTTATGCAAACATCCCACAATCACAGAACATTTTTCATTACCCCAAAAAGAAATCCTGTACCCCTTAGTCATCATTCCCCAATTGCCCCATACCTCCCAGGCCTAGGTAACCAGTAACCGACTTTCAGTCTCTGTGCATTTGCTTATTATGGACATTTCATACCTAGGAAGTCACATGATATGTGGCCATTTGTGTCTACCTTCTTTTGCTTAGCATGTATTCAAGGTTATCCATATCATACTTCGTTTGTTGTTTTTGCTGAGTATTCCATTGTATGGATATACCACGTTTTGTTGATCTGTTCATCAGTTGCTGGACATTTGGGCTAGTTCCACTTTTTGTCTATTATGAATAATGCTACTATTTATGTGTAAGTTTTTGTATGGAAATGTTTTCAATTCTCTTGGATATATACCTAGCAATGGAACTATTAGATCATATAGTAACTTTATGTTTAACCTTTTGAGGAATTGCCAGACTGTTTACCAAAGCATTGCAACATTTTAAAAAAAATTGAGGTGAAATCCATATAACATAAAATTACCCGTTTTAAAGTGTGCAATTAAGTGACATTTAGTGCATTCCCAGTGTTGTACAGCCATTACCTTTCTACAGTTTCAAAACTTCATCATCCCGGAAGTACACTCTGTACCCATTAAGCAGTCACTCCCCATTCTCCCCTCTGCCATTCCCTAATCCAGTAATCTGCTTTCCATCTCTATGAATTTGCCTATTTCAGATATTTCATAAAATAAGAACCATATAATAGGCAACCTTTTGTCTCGCTTTTTTCATGTAGCACAATTGTTTTTGAGGTTTATCCAAGTTGTAACACCTATGAGCACTTCATTTTTTTATGGCTGAGTAATATTCCATTGTATGTATATTCCAATGTATATACCACAATTTGTTTATTTACTCATTTGTTGGTCAATATTTGGGTTGTTTCCACCTTTAAGCTCTAATGAATAATGCTTCTATAAATATTTGTGTACAAATTTCTGTGTGAATATTATGTTTTCATTTCTCTTGGTTATATACCTAGTAATGAAATTAATAGGTCACATTGTATAGGTTGGTGCAAAAGTAATTGTGGTTTTCTCCATTACTTTTTATTTTTTTGAGACAGAGTCTTGCTCTGTCACCCAGGCTGGAGCGCAGTGGCGCGATCTCGACTCACTGCAAGCTCCGCCTCCCGGGTTCAAGCCATTCTTCTGCCTCAGCCTCCCGAGTAGCTGGGACTACAGGTGCCCGCCACAAGTCCAGCTAATTTTTTGTATTTTTAGTAGAAACGGGGTTTCACCTTGTTAGCCAGGATGGTCTCCATCTCTTGACCTCGTGATCTGCCCACCTCAGCCCCCCAAAGTGCTGGGATTACAGGCGTGAGCCACCGCGCCCGGCCTCTCCATTACTTTTAATGCCAACACCGCAATTATTTTTGCACCAACCTAATAAATCTATATTTCACGTTTTAAGGAACTGCCACACTGTTTTCCACAGTGACTATACCATTTTATATTCCAACCAGCAATGTGTGAAGGTTCTTGTTTCTCCACATCCTTCCAAAATTTGTTAATTTACTGTTTTTTTTTTTTTTTTTTTTGTTGTTGTTGTTGTTTTGTTTGGTTTCTTTTTGAGACAGAGTCTTGTTCTGTTGCCCAGGCTGGAGTGCAGTGGTGCGATCTCGGCTCACTGTAACCTCTGCCTCCGGGGTTCAAGCGATTCTCCTGCCTCAGCCTCCTGAGTAGCTGGGACTACAGATGTGAGCCACTATACCCAGCTAATTTTTGTATTTTTAGTAGAGACAGGGTTTCACCATGTTGGTTGGCCAGGATGGTCTGGATCTCTTGACCTCGTGATCCACCTGCCTCAGCCTCCCAAAGTGCTGGGATTACAGGTGTGAGCCACTGCGCCCGGCCGATAATTTCCTGTTTTTTGATTATAACCATCCTAGTGGGTGTGATGTGATAACTCATTGTGCTTTTTGCTTTTATTTCCCTAATGACCAATGATGTTGAATATCTTTCATGTGCTTGGTCATTTGTTCATCTTCTTTGGGAAAATTTCTATCCAATTTCTTTGCCCATTTTTAAATTGGGTTGTCATTTTGTTGATGAGTTGTAAGGTTCTTTGTATACTCTGAATACTGAATTCTCATCAGATATATGAGTCACAAAAATTTTCTCTCATTCTGTGGGTTGTCGTTTCAGTTTCTTGAAGATATCCTCCAAAACAGAAGAGTTTTTAGTTTTGATATCCAGTTTGGTTTTTCCTTTTTTGCTTGTGCTTTTGGTGGCATATCTAGGAAATCACTGCTTAATCCAAAGTTAGGAAGATTTATGCCTATGTTTTCTTCTAAGAGTTTTAAATCTTTAGCTATATGTGTAGGTCTCTGATCCATTTTGAATTAATTTGTGTATATGAGGTATGAGGTGGGGGTACAAATTCATTCTTATGAATTTTTATTTATTTTTGGTTTAATTTTAAAGAGATGAGGTAGGTTCTCGCTATGTTGACCAGGCTGGTCTTAAAGTCCTGGCCTTAAGTGATCCTTCTGCCTAGGCCTCCCAAAGCGCTGGGATTACAGATACGAACCATTGTGCCTAGCCTTTAAAAACTGTTTTATTTATTTTTTTCAAATTCATTTTTTTCATGTGGTTATCCAGTTGTCCCAGCACCATTTGTTGGAGAGATTATCTCCTCCTGCACCTCCCACACTGAGTTTTCATGGCATCTTTGCCAAAAATCAGTTGATGATAAGTGTGATAGTTTACTTGTAAAACTCTCAATTCCATTCCAGTAACCTATATGTCTATCTTCACATCAGGACCATACTGTCTTGATTACTGTAGCTTTGTAGTAAGTTTTGAAATTGGGAAGTGTGAGTCCTCCAACTCCATTCTTCTTTTTCAGGAACATTTTTTTCCATATGAATTTTAAGACCAGTTTGCCAATTTTTGAAAAGAAGTCAGCTGGGATTTTGATAAAGATTGTGTTGAAGCCCAGATGCGGTGTGATTCATTCCTGTAATCCCAGCACTTTGGCAGGCTTAGGCGGGTGAATCACCTGAGGTCAGGAGTTAAAGACCAGCCTGGCCAACATGATAAAACCCCGTCTCTACTAAAAATACAAAAAATTAGCCAGGCGTGGTGGCAGACGACTGTAATTCAGTTACTTGGGAGGCTGAGGCAGGAGAACGGCTTGAACCCAGGCAGCGGAGGTTGCAGTGAGCCGAGATCACGTCATTGCACTCCAGCCTGGGCAACAAGAGCGAAACTCCATCTCAAAATAAATAAATAAACAAATAAATAAAGATTGTGTTGAATATGTAGATCAATTTGGAGAGTATTGCCATCTTACCAATATTAAGTTCTCCAATTCATGAACATGGGAAGTCTTTTCATGTAGTGAAGTCTTCTTTAACTTCTTTAAACAATTTTTGTGGTCATCAGAATATGAGTTTCACACTTTTTTTGTAAAATTTATTCTTAAGTAGTTCATTTTTGATACTATTATAAAGTTTCTTTCATAATTTCATTTTTGGTTTGCTCACTGCTACTGTATAGAAATAGAACTTTTTTTTTGTATTTATCCTGCATTTGTTATGGAGCTCATTTATTAGTTCTAATAGTTTCGTAGTTGATTCCATACGATTTTCTGTATACAAGATCATGTCTTCTGTGAATACAGATCATTTTACTTCTTTCTTTCCAAGCTTGATATCTTCTACTTTTGTTTCTTGTGTAATTGCCATAGCTAGAACTTCCAGTACAATGTTGAACAGAAATGGCAAAAGTGGACATCCTTGTCTTATTCCTGATGTTAGGGATGAAGCAGTCAGTCTTTCACCATTAAATATAGTAGCTTTGGGTTTTCAATATCTTCTATCAGGTTGATAAAGTTTCCTTCCATTCTTAGTTTGTCACACATTTTTATCACAAAGCCTGTTGAATTTTGTCAAATGCTTTTACTAGATTAGAATGATCATGTGATCTTTGTCTTTTATTCTGTTGATGTGATTGTTACATTGATTTATGGGTGGTAAACCAATCTTACATTTCTGGGTAAAATCCAAATATTTCTTTTTTTTTCCTTTTCTCTGACAGGGAATTGAACCTGGGCTGTGGCAGTGAGAGTGCTGAATTCTAACCACTAGACAAGCAGGGACCAAATACATATTTCTTAAATTGAATTTATCATGAGCACATTATATGAGGATTGGGTAAAAAGTAACTAAAAAAATGGCCAAAGAAACAAGATGGAAAATAACTTCCATTTTCAGATAGTAACTATTTAGGAAACATTGAAACTTTGGAAGTGAAATTGTTATTGTGTAAATATTTTAAAAAAGCATGTTTATACATCTTTCACACTCTTTGAGTCTTATATTTTTCCTTTAAAGTCTTGGAACTAGACCTTTATGATATTCTAAATTTAATAACACTTAACAACTTGCCCTAAATATCCCTACTTTATAACAATTACTGTAGTGGTTTCCTCATAGATTTGTTTTTTCCCCATCCCCCACACCCTTCCCAAGTACACACCCTTCCCAAGTATTATCCCAAGTGAGACTATCATTATCATCTATTATTCTTATTGGACATTTTAAAGTACCTGTACAAAAATGGCATTAGTTAGGGATATAGTAAAGTTACTTCTAGTCTTTTAATTGGCTTCTGCCCTTGGCGCTGTTTGAGCAAAGAGAAGAGACCCTCATAGAGAACTCTAAGGACAAAAAAACTTACTTTTAATTGTGACCCCAAGAATTATCAATATCTCTATTAACAGAGACAAGGGCTTCATCTTCTCTTAAGCAGCTTCTCTTCACTGTAACACAGGCAGAAACTAGGTGATTGGCCCAAGAGCTCCTCTTCTCAGGGACTGTGGTGGGGGCAGGAGTCAGTTGCTAAGCAACCATTTCCTTACTCTTGGGCCAATGGGCTGCCAGAGTGTTCCTTTCAAGCCGGAATGAAGGCAGCTGCTGGAGAATGTAGGCTGTGGAAAGGATCCACTGCTATTCCTCTGGCTGAAGATAAGGGGTAGGCTAGAAATTAGGGGTGGCTCTCTAACATGAAAGGAAGGGACCAGAAGTCCGACTCGTACGTGTCCACACGTTCAACTGTGTTCAGGGGTGCTGGAAGTTCTTATTTTTATGTTGCCTCTAGAGGTACAAACTACACTTATGTAAAAACACAATTAAGGTACATGAACTGATCTGACATCATCCTGTAAGCTGGTATCTCTAGGCTATGGCGGAAAAGAAACAATGGGCCAAGTCTGCTTTGTTCCCAATCTGGATGAAAATCTTTATCCTCTTTTCCAGTTAGAAACTGCTGAGGATTTACTGGAACAAAGGCAAACAAAGACTGTTTAACAATGTCTTTACATACCTCAGATAATACAGACATCTCACAAGTGGTACCTTCAAAGCTACGAGAAATCAAAATGAATATTTAGGGAAAACATATAAATATTAAAAATATCCAAGGCACAGAGCTAGTTGAGAAATTATGCCTACAAAAAATATCCAACTTTTACAGTCTGTCCAGGTCATTACTTTAGAAATAGACATTTTATTGTTTTGAATTTACAGTTTTATTCCTTTTATTAGTTTCCCATTGCTGTGATAACAAATTACCACAAACGTAATGGGTTAAAACAACAGGAATTTATTCTCTCATAGTTCTAGAGACCAGAATTCCAAAACCATTCTTACAGGGCTAAAATCAAAGACAAGGCTAGCTCCTCCTGGAGGCTCCAGGGAAGAATCCATTCTTGGCCTGGAATTTTTCAGCTTCTAAGTGGCTGCCAGCATTCCTTGATTTGTGACCACATCATTTCAGTCTCTGCTCAGTCATCACTTGCCTTCTGTAGTTTAATCTCCCTTTGTGCCCCTCTTATAAAGATACTTGTGATTACATTTAGGGCCCACCAACATGATCCAGAACAATCTCTCTCTCTCTCAAGATCCTTAATGTTGGCTGGGCGTGGCAGCTCACACTTGTAATCCCAGCACTTTGGGAGCCTAAGGCAGTTGGATTACTTGAGGCCAGGAGTTCGAGACCAGGCTGACCACCATGGCGAAACCCCGTGTCTACTAAAAATACAAAAATTAGCTGGACGTGGTGGTATGCGCCTGTAGTTTCAGGTACTCAGGAGGCTGAGGCATGAGAAGTGCTTGAATCCTGGGGCCAGGGGCCTGAGGGGTGGAGGTTGCAGTGAGCAGAGATTGTGCCACTGCAATGCAGCCTGAGCGACAGAGTGAGACTCCATCTCAAAACAACAACAACAAACCCAAACTTCTTTATAGGAAAATCAATGAGCAATGAAGGCATATAAGGGGAAGCGGCAAACAAAGGTCAGGTAGGGTCAGAGTCAGGGAAGGCTTTGCTAGGGAGTGATGTTCAAGCTGAAATATGAAGAACGAGAGTGAGTCAGCTAAACAAATCATGTCCCAGGTGTTGCAATGAACATGTTAAGAGGCTATGTGGGCTGGGTGCCGTGGTTCATGCCTGTAATCCCAGTACTTTGGGAGGCTGAGGCAGGTGGGTCATCTGAGGTCAGGAGTTCAAGACCAGCCTGGCCAACATGGTGAAATCCCGTCTCTACTAAAAATACAAAAATTAGCCGGGCATGGTGGTAGATGCCTGTCATCTCAGCTACTCGGGAGGCTGAGGCAGGAGAATTGCTTGAACCTGGGAGGCAGAGGTTGCAGTGAGCCAAGATCGCGCCATTGCATTCCAGCCTGGGCAACAAGGGTGAAACTCCGTCTCAAAAAAGAAAAAGGCTATATGGTGTTCCAGAACATGAAATGATGCTCTGTGGGCTGGAATCAGAGACTGGGGAATGGGGGTGGTATGGAGCATAGTATAAAATAAGGCTGGGTTAGTAGGTGATAGTCACTCCATTCTTAATAATTTAATTGTTATAAAAAGACTGTATTAGCCTGTATGCAACAAAATAATATAGACTGGGTGACTTTACACAGCAGAAATTAATTTTCTCAGTTCTGATGGCTAGAAATCTGAGACCAGGTTCTGGTGAGGGTCTTCTTCCTGCTTGCAAGATGGCTACCTTCTTGCTGTGTCCTCATATAGCAGGGAAAGGGGGTGGGAGGAGAGGATGAAAGAGATCTCCCTCTTCTTATAAGGCCTCAGTCCTATTAACCTCACTCACCCTTATGACCTCATTTAAACTTAATTACTTCGTAAAGACCTAATCTCCACATTTAGTCACATTGGAGATTAGGGCTTCAACATATGAATTTTGGGTGCACGTAAGTCAGTCCATAGTAAAGACCACCAGAAAGTCATTGAATGACTTACAGAAGTGAGAAGACGTGATCACTTCTGACAAGGTATCACTAGATGCAGTCTAGACAATGGACAGAAGAGGGGCAACAGTGGGCATGAAGGCCACTTAGGAAGTCTTTGCAATAGTCCAGCTAAATTCAGACTAAGTTTACTGCAATGCTGTTGGAAAGTAGTGATTCCAGACTTATACAGACCGCTCAATAAAATTGCGTAGGTATAGCAACCGATTTGATATGAGAGTGAAGTTATAAGAGGTACCAGGGATGGTGCTTAGGTTTCCAGATTTTTCAACTAAACGGGTAATGGAGCCATTCGAAGAGATGGGGAAAACTGGGAGAAGGAGCATGAGTTCAGTTTGGTACACGGCACATTTCAAGTACTTTAGGGATGTTAAATATTTAACAGTTTTGAATGATAATGGTATTTTGTCAGAGTGATTAATACTAAATGCTGGAACAAATGCCCTCTACATACTTTTAATGTGCTTTCACACAATAAAAGTTCCAGTTCTTTGAGCTGACATGAAAGAAAAGATAATCAATAGTGTAATGTTCCTAAGAAAGCACATGTGGAAGGACTGGCTGGAGGCTGGAGTGCAAACAGCTTCTCTGTTGAAGGGAAGGTGTCTAGTATGATGTACTTGTCTTACCTTTCACATTTCTACATAAGAAGTCAATATCTTTTCTACAAAATCTGCAACTGTTCCCATATTGCTTAATATTAGCATTGCTATTTTGCCCCCTTACCCATCCTATGAAATGTTTTTCTTTTCTTCCTCACCTTTCTTTCAAAATCTATTGCATTATCAGGTTTTATTTATTCTTCCCTGGTAATGTCTCTAATCAAAGACCTCTTTCTATTTCTAGTGCCAATAAATAAGTACATATTTTTATTACTAGCTCAAATGTCACTTCCTTCTTGAAGCCTTCTTTATTTATCCCAAATCTATTTTTTTTCGTATTTCACAGCATTAAAAGAAAAACAGGCTGGGCACGGTGGCTCACGCCTGTAATCCCAGCACTTTGGGATCACTTGAGGTCAGGAGGTCAAGACCAGCCTGGCCAACACGGTGAAAACCCATGTTTACTAAAAAAATACAAAATTAGCCAGGCATGGTGGCGCATGCCTGTAATCTCAGCTACTCCAGAGGCTGAGGCAGGAGAATTGCTTGAACCTGGCAGAAAGAGGTTGCAGTGAGCTGAGATGGAGCCATTGCCCTCCAGCTGGGGGACAAGAGTGAAACTCTGCCTCAAAAAAAAAAAAAAAAAAAAAAAAAGACAAAACAAAAATTACCTTACCATGTTGTGAATCATCCTTATGAGAGTGTCCTACTACTAAAAATATTCCATTCTTTACAATTCTTTTTGGGGCCTCCCCCCTTTCTTCCTTTTCTCTTCTATTATTTTTTAAAAATGTGTTCCAAATAATTATTTGCCCAATATATATAACAAGTACCCAAACTGCCAAATAAATGTGGATTTACAACATCCACTCAATTAGCCTTGAAGATGATCTGATATATAGAAACACAACAAATTTGGGGGGAGGGTACCAAACTTCTAAATTATAGGTCACCCTACTCATGTGGCGGACTTTAGTGAAACTGGATTTTCAGAACCCGCCAGGTGAGTATTATCCAGAATCAAGCCAGCTTTTTGGACCTGCGTCTTAACATTAAGCAATTGGTAGAATAAAGTAAGACCACTCGGCTCTGGTTAACAGGCATCTGGATTTGTTTTGACGTAAGACGTGTTTTCAATATAACATTTTGGTTGTCCGCAACTTCTTGGTTCTTAAAACCGTCTTGAGTATCGCAGTCTACATTTGTTCTTTCTAAACTTCACCAAATTCCAATGAAATTTGTAATTTTCACTACAGGTTTGAGGAGCCAACTGCATACGATGTGGAACCATTTGCCAATACTTTCATTTCTTTTGGTCTTTTTTAGTTGCCCACCCAGAGGAAAGCATCAGATTACCTGGTGAAAATCCTCCTCAACAGGGCAGTTGGAGTGAGCACGGACAATTCGTGTTGACCCTCGGTCTCCTCCCACTTCTACATCCTCCAAGTCCCTGAGGCGGCTTTCCGCTAGCTCGCCTGTCACTTGGCGCACCTGGCTCTACAGGCCACGCCCTCAAGTCTTCCAAGAGGCCAGCGGTAAGCGCGGTCCACCTCCCTCTCCCACTAGGCGTCGGCTTCACGCCGCGCCCACGTCTCGAGGACAGCTCCAGCCCCCTCGCTCCCTGGCTCCGCCCCCTCGCTCCCTGGCTCCGCCCCCTCCAGCTCCCTAGCGTCGTCGGCGTCGAGCCCGAGCCTGCGCCTGCGCGTGCGCCCTGGGGCCCAAGTTGGGGCGCGCCGTGGCTAGAACACGGAGAGCGGCGGGCAGTGCAGCCAATGGGAGGCGGCGCTGCCTAGCGGCTGGTAGGCGGTGCCTGCGCGGGTGTTAGGTTAGCGCGAGGCGTGACCTAGTTGACAGGCTCTGAGGTGCTGCTGTGGCGGCGTCCGCGGGGCTGAGGCGGGTGGGAGCCGGAGCCGAGCGCGGGCTGAGGGAGGAGGGCGGCGACTGGAGAGCGGCGAGCGGCGAGCAGCGCAGGACGCAGAGCCTCTTTCACTTTTTCCCTGCTGAGTGCCCCCTCCCACCCCTCCCACTCCACACACACCCTGTTTGCCCGTGAGCCTGGGGAACTTGCAGCTTAAAGCCAGCCACCCCCACGGCAACATGTACCCCAGCAACAAGAAGAAAAAGGTGTGGAGAGAGGAGAAAGGTAACCGGCCCGTCGAGTCCTGGGGGTGCGGGCGGTGGGGGTTAGGGTGGGGGCGGGGGTCAGGCTGTGTGTGCCGCGGCGCCCTCCGCCCGAGCTCCCGCCTCGCGCCCTCCCGGCCGGTGCCGCCTCCCTCCGGTGTCCGTGTGTACACACGCGCACACTCGCGCGCACTCCGGCGTGCACGCGCCGCCCCTGGGCACCTGCAGCTCGCGCACGTGTGGGCGCACGCCCCTCTCTGTTGCCCTCGGCACCCCGTCACCTTCTCCCGAGGCGGTGCTGCGTTCGCCTCGCTTGCGGCGGGGACCCCCAGGCGGCAGCCCCGGGCGCGGCACAAGTTCCTCTGCACCGCAGCTGGGACTTGGGCACTGCCGGCCTGGGTGTCCCGCGGACAGGTGCCCGTCGGCGGGCGCTCAGGCTGCAGCTGCCGCTGTGCCTCCGCGCTCCGTGCACCCTCATTTCTTTCCTTCTCGCCCCTGTCCCCCCAGCCCCCGAATGGCAAAGCGTACCCACCATCGGGTGTTTACCCCTTGTCTAGGTTTCCTTCCTTCGCTGCCGCAGCGTGACTTTTGAAACCTGGAACTCTAGGGGAGCCCTAAAACGAGCGTGTTGTCCGTGAGGATAAGTGCCTTCAGAGAAGTCTGAATGGGCTGTTCTCCCAACAGTGTGTTTCTCTGTATTCCATCCCCATTCATGGGCTGAAGTTGCTCAGAGTAAGATTTTGTGACTAATGTCACTCTGTATGAACCCATCTCTGAATTTTGTGCGTATAAGGTTTATCTAAATCAGCTAGATTGACAGTGGCACTGATTCTTTAAGAAACACAAGTGTACGATCCAGCGTCTCCCACCAAGATCTCCCGCTTATCCCATCACAGTTTGGTAATATTCTAACTTGAGTGTCTCTGGCGTTTTTCACCCTCCTTTTCACACCTCTTTCCTTTTCATTCTTTAGCTATTTACAGAAATGTAGCAAAAACTTCTTGCACTCCTATTGCTAAAATAAACTAAAACCTGTATAGCAAGGGTGAGGTCTATTGAGGGTAGTGCGCATTTCTCCTGGTACCTCATCTTTACAAAAGGATATAGGGGTGACTAGGTATCAAGTTGATTTCCTTGTTAATAGTTCGTTAAAACCTGTAGATTTTTATTGCAAGTCCCGGCCTTTATGAACACGAAGGCAAAACAGTGGAGGTAAGAAAGGGAATTAATGTGGAAAAAGAATCCACTATATAGGATCGGCTTCCACAATGCACGAACAAAGGCGTGAGGAGGGAATTTTTTTTTTCAAATTTACTGCAGGAAGATTTAATAATAGAACCGAACAACACAATTAAAATGATCTTTAAAAATGTTGAAAGTTTAGTCATTTAATTATGTTTTAATAATTATGGGTTTATAGAGAGCTAACACTTCTGGTGTTATAAATCAAATGCTGTCGAGAGTAATAGCCTGATAGATAAAGTAGTGTAAAATAATTTTGCTTTGTTTTTTTCAGTAGTAGTTACTTTAGTTTCAACACACTTTCAACAAGGATTTGCCTTGTGAGCACTGAAAAATCATTTATGCCCATGTTTATTGATGATGCTGAAATGTTCGCTTTGTATAATTGATGATAATGAGGGCAAAACAGTGGAAGACATAGACATTGTTTTCAGTAACATGAATCATTGATGAAATTATAGTGAGTACTTAAGAACTATTTTTCTGTCATAATAGAAAAACAGTGTTCCTCAAGTAATAACGTTATAATGTTTCCTTCATTTAACATCTACACAGTTGGACTGTGACCAGCAGGCATTTTAGAATCTTTTTTAATGTCTTGATTTCTTTTCTTCTAATAATGGAGAATATATAACCAATTTTTTTTCCTAAGGAAGCAAATGCACCATTAAATAAGGCAATTAACAAGTAATTATCCAAAACTAAGTTATTTTTGCATGAAGTTTAATGTTAAAGGAAAACGTTACTGCGATACGAAGACTTTAATGCATATCTCAGTGTTTCTTTTTTTCAGGATGTCTATGTTTGGAATATTTAAATATAAAATATATATTATACCCCCAAGGAAGAGCTAAGGATTTCTAGTACCATAGTTAGTATTAGAGAAGCTGATGGGATGCATGACCTTTTTCCTTTCAGCCCACTGGGAAGCTGATGGTATAGTATTTTTGCAGCTGTCCTTTAAAGCTAAAGGAAGGCTTACCTACCTCATTGAAATGTCAAGGCATTCTATAAACATATTTTTAACTCAGTATACCATTTAATAAATAGGTCTGCCTACTTAATTGCTTGGTTCACAGAGAAAGGACTCATTGTAAAGGTGAAGCATTCTTTAAATAAAAGTTTTATGAAATGACAAAGAAAATGCATATATATTTGTGGCCTCCAGTATGTTTCATTGTTTAAACAAGTAATTAAGGAGTTCTGAAGACCACATATGTTTAAATAAACATGTTTGATCTAGTATTTTGAGTCCTAATTCAGAACCACTAATGTGCATTTTCAAGTATTGCAACTTATTTCATTGTTTTGTTTTAAATTGATCTCGTTTTTAAGTGTTCACACTTCAACTTTTAAATAACTGGAACAACAGAGGCCAGGTTGCATTTCTGTATGTACCTTTTGACATTCACAAAAACTGTCAGTTGCTTCATAATGTCTTTTAACCTGCTCAGTAATATTGTAATAATTTTTTATTTGTGATCTGAGCTTTTTTAGCACTGCTTTGGCATACTGCTAATCATCTCCCTTTTCTGCCTTTATGTGATAATTCTAAATTTACCATTCCCTTCAAGTTTCCTGTTCTCTCAAGACCCTATCCCCCATACTAAAGAGATGACATTGCCTTTTTAATTCACAGAGAAGGGCTAGGCGCGGTGGCTCACACCTGTAATCCCAGCACTTTGGGAGGCTGAGGCGGGTGGATCATGAGGTCAGGAGATTGAGACCATCCTGGGGAACACGGTGAAACCCCGTCTTTACTAAAAATACAAAAAATTAGCCGGTCGTGGTGGCACACGCCTGTAATCCCAGCTACTCGGGAGGCTGAGGCAGGAGAAACGCTTGAATCCAGGTGGGAGAGGTTGGAGTGAGCTAAGATCGCGCCACTGCACTACAGCCTGAATGACAGAGCAAGACTCCGTCTCAAAAAAAAAAAAAAAAAAATTCACAGAGAAAATAAATGCCATGTAATATGAACAGCCCTAACATCCTCTTGCATAGTCTCATTGGTCTGTTCCTTTACATGTCCTTTTGACTTTGTTCTATCTTAGAGGAAGGACTTTTCTTCCTTGTGTGTAAGATGAATCTTTCTGCTGTGCTCTTTATCCCATATCTTCTTTGAGTTCTTGCACCATCATGTATTCTTTCTTGGGTATGTTTAATTTCTTGGTGTCTTCAGGTTCCTCTCCATTGCCTGTAACAGTGCTCGGATCTCTTCCACCTTAGAGTCACTTTTCTTTCATAGGGCTTCACGTGAACTTGGAGTTGCTGTTCTCACTTTCCTTCTTTTGCTCAGTCCTTCATTGTCTTCTGGATTTCCGTTATATTCTAATGAAACTAATGTTCCTGAAGTCATTCAGTAGTAACAGTCATGATAGTATTCATGTAAGAATAGTTAATATTTAAGCCCCATTTGTATGCTCAGTACTATTCTTAGTAGCTTACATGGATTATCTCATTTAATTCTCACAACAACCCTATGAGGTAGGAAACTATATGAGGCGAAATATTGTGAGGTTAAGAGCTTTGAATACCAGTTGCCTGGGTTTGAGTCCTACTTATACTGCTTAACTAGCTGTGGTACTTTAGGTAAGTTATTTGACGTTGTTTATAGTTTCCTTATCTATAAGTTGGGAATAATACCTGCCTACTTACCTCGAAGGGAAACTGAAACATAAAGAGGTTAAGTAACCTACAGATTTGCACCATTTAGATTACAACTCAAACAGCTCTGTTAACCACTTTTCCTCTTTATTCCATGCTGTTGGTAACCACATTGATAAAAGCAGGTTAATGGCTAAGTAATTTTCACTTTTTCTGACCTTCCTGTAGCAGTCTGTGGTATTTCCCTTAGTGCACCTGTAGTCCCAGCTACTCAGGAGGCTGAGGCAGGAGAATCGCTTGAACCCAGGAGGCGGAGGTTGCAGTGAGCTGATATCGCGCTACTGCACTCCAGCCTGGTGACAGAGCAAGACTCTGTCTCAAGAAAAAAACAACTCTGTTTTCTGAATGTTTCCTTGTACCAGGAACTTGCACCCATGGTGACAACTACGATTTATTTCATTGTTTTCCTATTTGTGCCCACTTCCTAAATACTGTGTTTTGAGGTTTGATGCTTCCTTCCGTTCCCTCTTCTTTTTCCTTTAGGACTAGAATTTTAGGTTATATTTTCTAAAGTCTCTAGGCTAGACCACTCTTTAAATTTCCAGATTCTTGATTTCAACTTCTTCAATGTCCTATAGGTACCTTAAACTCAATTTTTGTGAATATGTCACCTCTGATTAAGATACCTTTTTTTTTTGTCTCCTAATGTGGCTGAAGTTCTAGTTATAGGAGTGGGAAAAATATTGGTTCCCCATTTTCTGTTCACTTGTGCTTACATTAATACTTCTGTAGTTTATTTCTGTGAAATAGTCTTTTAAAGTGGTTATTTTTTGAAGGTTAGATTACCTTAAACTAGATACTAACTATCCCTGCATCCATTTATCTAAACTGCAGTACCTTGTGATACACTGAAAGAGAATTGCAGAGTATGAGAAATAACTGTCTCTCTCTCTCACTCTCTACATCGTGGAGACCATTGGTATGGTATGGGAGACATGAAAGCTGACATACAGAGTGAAGAAGCCAGTGTCAGTTTATACATTGAATATTGGTAAATATTTCTTCCTTGTTTAGGTGAAAAACGAATGTAAATAGAATTATTTGCATGTTTTCCTGTGTCCTAGTGGGTTGTTTTATACACCCTCTGGGAAATGCATAATCAACTTTCAATATTAGTAGTCTATAGGATAAAGGTTAAACTGCTCACTATGGCATACAAGTCCCTGTACAGTTTTGTTTTACTTTTGTTTCCGGCTACTTTTCACTTCTGTGGCCATTCCTCTTCTCATACCATATCTTGCAGCTTCATTTAGTTATAGTATTCATACCTCCTTTGTTTACATTGTTTTGTTAGTCTGAAATGTTCTTTTTACCTCTTCATGCAAAATTCTTCCTGTCCTTTGTGAAGCAGCATACATATTACCTTTTTCGGGGAGTTTTCCTGAGAATGTAGTGTAGTACAGTGGAATAAATAACATAGGGTGTAGTCTTTGATTAATGGAGATGTTTGTCTGAATTTTAATTTTGGCTCACTTCCTGAAACCTCTCTTGCTTTGGGCAAACTACTTTGCTGTGCTTCATTTCCCTATCTGCAAAATTGGCATAATAATACTATCAATTTTATGAGTTATTAGGAAGATTATTTTAATGAGATATACATGTGAAGTACCTGGCCATAGTGAGTTCTTTATAAATGACATCCACTCTAATTCTAAGATGCAATTTGTAAAATATTTTCATTTTATCGTCAAGATATATATATTTAAAGCAATTCTTATATCATCTACACAAAGCTGTAAGTAAATTGATAGTGCAGTTGAGGAAATATCTTGGTGGTTGCCTTTTTTTGTGCTCTTACTATTTGTACATACCTGTCTTAGCATTTTATTTATATAGATACTATTTTGTATCTTACTGTGTTAGACTGTTCTTGCAGTTGCTGTAAAGAAATGCCTAAGACTGAGTAATTTATTAAAAAAAAGACGTTTAATAGACTCATGGTTCTGCAGGCAACACAAGGATAGCATTGGCATCTGTTAGGTCTTCTGGGAGGCCTCAGGGAGCTTTTACTTACAGGGCAAGATGAAGCGGAGGGAGCTTTTACTTACGGGGCAAGATGAAGTAGGAGCAGGCACTTCACGTGGCAAGAACAGTAGCACGAGAGGGTTGGGGGGAAGTGCCACACACTTTCAAACAACCAGATCTCACGAAAACTCACTATCTTGAGGCTAGCACCAGGCCATGAGGGATCTGCTCCCATGACCCAATTACCTCCCACTAGACACCATGTCACACATTGGGGATTACATTTCAACATAAGATTTCAGGGGATATATATCCAAACCATATCACTTATCCAGCATATCACCTGGCCCATAGTAAACTGTAGATGTTGCTTGAAAGTGTAAATGAGTTTACTTATTTCTTGGACTATCATAAGAGAGTCTTCATCAGGCTTTGATTTTTTTCTCCCCTGGTAATATGAAATTTAACATTTTTTAACATTTAAATATGGAGTCACTGGATTTGCATTGTGTTCTTCAGGACTGTATCAACTCTTTTGTTAGCTTAACTTGGTTAATACTTAAAGTATAAAAATAATTCCCATGTTTAAACGTTAAATACAAATGGAGATTCTGCTTTTATTTTGCAAGAACGTTTATTGAAGATGACCTTAGAAGAGAGACGCAAAGAATACCTAAGAGACTATATTCCCCTGAACAGCATTCTATCATGGAAGGAGGAGATGAAGGGCAAGGGCCAAAATGATGGTAAGTTTCTCGGAACATTTTTTAGGTAGATATTTTTCCCATTTTAGGACAATTGTTGACAGAAATGAATAACTGGCGTTCAATAAAGAGATTACTATTTTGCTATTTGAAATTATTGTTTGGTTGTGATTTAATTGTTTTTAGTAACCTACGGTGTTTTTTAAACTTAGGAAAGTATATTAACATAATTTGTGTTCTGAAATATACCACATTTATAATATGGTACTTTTTTTACAGGTCCTTTTTTATTTTTTCTATTCTGTAACAGTTCTTGGAGCAAATGCTATTAGAGATTTGCTGCTTTGGTGGTGTGGCCCTTTGAGTTTGCTTTAAGTTCATTTATAATCGATTATCTTATGTTATTTTTAGGATTGGGGATACAGCTGAAAGAGAGAGTATATTAGGAAAAATAGAAAAACCAAAGAACATTTCTCATTATTTTAGAGAATATATTTTGTATGATGTGTTATTATGTCTGTATGTAAAGTATTTGTATGACAGAATTTACTCTCAAAGTCTTTATGATTTGGTGGGAATCTAGATTATGTTAGAATATAAAGGAAGTTTTAAGGATTAAAAAGGTACGTGAAAAAGTTTCTAAAAACAACATAATAGATTTAATGGATGTTTAATATGCTTGTCTTTGAATTAACACTCGTTGGTATTAATGATCTGGATGTGAAGTTTAGACAAACGGTGCTTCTTAAGGTGCTTAACAGTTGAGAAAGACTTTATGAAATGGACTTGAAACATGCTAATTTCAAAGGTTGTGGTCTTAGATCGATGGAACTACACCGGGTACTATGGGCCCAGAATAAAGACTAGCATGGAATTCCTATGGATAAAATCTGAAGGGAAAGATTAGGCCTTGGTGTCTGTGAAGAGAACACATTGACCTGAGGATTTGGGTTTTAGACACAACTTTGTTTTTCTAGAAAGGCAAAGCATGTGGGATTAGCAGTGAAAAGCTGTGGGTTCTTTTAGACCTTACGTAGCCTGGAAACGTGTGACCTTGGGCAAGCGGGGTAGCAGCTCTACCCCACGTTCTAATGGGGTCATTGGACAAGCTGATTGGGATGTGCACATCTGACCTGTCTGCCCAGTGTCTTCTGTAAATGCAAGTTGTTTTAAGAATGGTCTGATTCCAAACTGATAAGATTGGCCTTAAGAAGCCCCTGCCTGATCACGTGAGCATCATGGAACCCAAAGATGATTTGCTGCCCACCACCCCGTCTCAGAACAGAAGGGTGGGAAGCCAGAGCCACCTGCATTGCCCTAGCCAGTCCCCACAGTGTAACAGGGTCTCCTTGGCAGCTGTATTCTGGAGTCTGGTTGTTGCTCTGTAAAGACCTTTAATAAAATCTTGTACAAAGGTTAAAAAAAAAAAAGGTCTGGTTAAGACATCATTGAAAGAGAGGAGAGTGCTGTGTAATGAAAAGAATACAGGGCTAGAAATCAGGAGAACAGAATTCTGGTCCTCTGTCTTACCTAAGGCTATGTGCCTCTTCATGTTTGAGTCTCAGTAATTTCTTTTTTTGTTTATAAGCAACTGGTATTGAATATTTCAGCAGCAGCACTATCTTCTTCTTTTTTTTAAATGGCTACAGGTCGAGTATCCCTTATCCAAAATGCACAGGACCAGAAGTGTTTGGGGTTTTGGATTGTTTGGATTATACTTGCTGGTTCAGCATTCCTAATCCAAAATCCAAAATGTTCCAGTGAGCATTTCCTTTGAGCATTATGTTGGTGCTCAAAAAGTTTCAGATTTTGGAGCATTTGGGATTTTGAATTTTTGCATTAGGACTACTCAACCTGTAGTAAATGTTCCCCAAATTAGAAAAGAATACATTGAATAGAATAACACCTAACATAGTTATCCTCTAACAAGATATTGCATGTTTAATCCTGCCTCCCAATATGAGCTTTATAAGTGGTTACAACTGCTCTGTGTGTTTCTTATTTTCCCCCTTATGCTGTTTTAAACTTGAAAGTCCTCCATGGGGAACAAGGTGATGTGATCAAAATTATATTTCTATTTTTCCTGAAATGTTACTTGCTTCTCTCTGTTGTGACCCAGACTCTGGTGAATGGCCTCTTCCTTTTTCATGAAGTGGAATGGCTCATTTTACAAGTAATATTTGTAAATATTTATATACAATACACATTTTTCATATGACTTTTTCTTGTGTTACCTATTCAGTGCTCAGTTATTAAAAAATATTAGTCAAGAGAGTTTTAGTGTTTTAACAGTTTAAAAATCCTTTAAAAATATAAATTTACAAAAAATAATAAAGGAAAACTATACATATGGTTATATTTGAAACGTTTTAAGTCATTGCTTATACATGTATAAGTAGGTATTGATATTTATTAAATATGGGATTTTAAACTAAGTATTAAAAGAATTCTATAATTCCTTGTCACTTAGTTTCTAATTATAGGAAATGAACAATATTTATCGGGTTAGAACAGTATATCAGTTTTAAATTTAATATCTTATCATTACTTACGTTTTTATAGAGGACCATTTTTGCCTAAATATTCCTGAGTACTTGAATAGTTCTTGAGCTATTGCTTTTAATTTTTTTCTTGCTTTGTTCAGATTTATTTTACTTTAACCAAATGCTTCTTGTTATTATAATACAATAGAAAGTTAAATAAAAAAGAGGGGAGCAGCCAAATATATTTGTAACAATTTGGATTTTAAGCCTTCTTGAAACAAAAGGAAACAAAATATTGCCAAGGAACACAAAATCAGTGTTTATATGGAAAGGGGGAAGCAAGTTTTATTTTGACTTACCCCTTTGGTAATATTGGAAAGCCATGGATTGGAAGAGGAAAGAATGGGAGATGATTACCAAAAAATAAAAATAAAAAAACCCAAAAAACAAAAACCCCATCCAGAAAAACCCATTAAATACATAATTTGCTTGCTGTTTATGTTCATATTTATTAACTGTTGTTAGCTAATTTCTAGACTTACATATTTCTAATTCTTCCTCTGTGTTACCAATTATGTAATAATTCAATATCATTTGTCAGTTGCTATGTTGTGGGGATTTTAAAATTCTTGTCTCTCCTATTGTACTGTCTCTAGCACCTGGAATGGTGCCTTATGGGTTGGTGGGGCTTAATCGTAAGTTAAATAAGAATGCCTGAAGAGTTAATAATCTACAAGGGACAATTCTTTCTCCAAACTTTTTTTTTTTTTTGAGACTGAGTCTCACTTACTTTGTGCCCCGGGCTGGAGTGCAGTGGCGCGATGTGGGCTCACTACAACCTCCACCTCCTGGCTTCAAGCAATTCTCCTGCTGAGCTCCTGAGTAGCTGGGATTATAGATGCGTGCCACCACGCCTGACTAATTTTTGTATTTTTTGTGGAGATGGGCTTTCACTGTGTTGGCCAGGCTGGTCTTGAACTCCTGACCTCAAGTGATCTGCCCATGTTGGCCTCCTAAGGTGCTGGGATTACAGACGTGAGCCACTGCACCTGCCTCTTTTTCCAAACTTTTAATGAGCATTTATAAATATATGTAAAGCTAGAATACAGTCATGTGCCACAAAATGATGTTTTGGTCATTGACATCCTGCATATATGATGGTGGTCCCATAAGATTATAATACTGTATTTTTACTATGCCTTTTCTGTGTTTACGTAGGTTTAAATACACAATGACTTACCATTGTGTTATAGTTGCCTACAGTATTCTGTACAGTAACATGCTGTATGGGTTTTAGCCTAGGAGCAATTGGCTGTACCATATAATCTAGGTGTGTATAGACTGTGTACCATCTAGATTTTTGTAGTATACCTTACAATGTTTGCACAGCAATGAAATCACCTAACAA
Source organism: Homo sapiens (assembly GCF_000001405.40). Lineage (NCBI taxonomy): Eukaryota > Metazoa > Chordata > Mammalia > Primates > Hominidae > Homo > Homo sapiens. The sequence continues at coordinate 14,006,254 of NC_000020.11, forward strand.
CGCCTTTCTCAGAACGTATTCCATTGTTAAGCAATGCCTGACTGTAGCAATGCATCCATTACCCAGTTTCAACAGTTATTACACGGCCAATTTTATTTCATCTATACCAGTGCTCCCTATACCTTCCCCCCAGACTATTTTGAATGAAATCACATATGTCATATAAATTTTATCTATAAATGAGTATCTGTGTATATGCATATGTATGTATCTCTAAAAGATGGCATATTTTTGTTGTTTTACTAAAATACTATTATTACCTCTCACATTTAAAATTTAACTTAAAATTTAATTTTGATATAATTAAATATCCACTTAGTATTCATGTTTTTCCCATTGTCTCATAAAGGATTTTTTCTTTTACAATTGATTTGCTTGAATCAAGATCTAATCAAGGTCCATATATTGCATTTAATTGATTTGTTCCTTAAGTCACTTTTAATCTATAGTTACCTTTCTCTGTCCTTTTTTCCTTCCTCCCTTATAATTTATTTGTTGAATACACTAGGCTGTCCTGCAGAATTTTTTATATTTTGAATTTTGCTTACTGCATCTCTGTGGTATCATTGAACATGTTCCTCTGTCCCCTTTATTTCTTATGAGTTGGTAGTTAAATCCAGAGGTTTGTTCAGAGTGGGGTTTAAATTTTTTTGAAATAATGCTTTATAGATTATTGTACATCTTTTTGCATCATATCACAGGGCACATAATGCGTCATTGTCTCCCTCAGTAGTGATAAGATTGATCCCTGGGTTCATGTATTGTCAGCTGAATATTGTCACTAAACTGTCTGGTGTAAAGTTCTCTGACAACCTTTTACCTAATGGTTTTAGCAGCCATTCGTGATTATTGCTTAGATCCATTACGTTATTAGGGGTTGCAAAATAGTGGTATGTGAATTTTATCATTCCTTATTTATTTGTCAGACTTCTATAAAGAGGAACTTTCTGTTATTAAGTCTTTTATTATGCAGTACGGTTTATAAAGGAAAGCAGAATAAATGCCATATTTCCCTTATTTACTGATTTTCAGATTGAGTTCATTCCCTAAAATCCTCCACAGGTGACCAAAGAGTCCTTTTTTTAAAATTTTTGACTATCATTTTCAATTTGCCCCTTCCTTCTCTCCTCTTCTCTGTCTCTTCCTCCCTCTTCCTCCCTCTCAACATGTATATTAAATGAGAATGTCCCAGTGGTTAACAGTCTACAAAGGAGGCATATACGTGTGTGTTTGTGCATGCGCGTGCATGTATTTATAGCTCCCATATAAAATACATAGAATTACTAAACAATAGGCCCAGGATATGGTAGAAAGACAAAGGTAGATATATAAATGGGTGGATGGGTAGATATGATAGAAAGATGGCATTACTTCTTTGTTGAGACAAGAGTTCTAGTTCTTGGGTTTAATAGTTATGCCTTCTGTTAATCTCCTTTCCTACTACTGTGTTAAGGCTCCACTAGAATACCACCTAGAGAAGCAATGTTATTGTTACACTTTTTGGATGGAGTAGTGTTGGCAGAGACTCTGCCAGGCTTATGCTAATTTTCTCTGACTGGTTAGTATCAGGGAAAGCAGCTATGGCTATAAGTTTAGATTGTCTTTTTGAGTAATTACTTTTAATGTTTATACAGAACAGCAATAGGGGAAAAATAAAATAATAATGAGGATGAGTTAGGTGAAAATTATAAAATTATCTTATACTCAAGTATAAAATATTTTTAAAAATTGGTCATTTAAAGAGCCATCTATGATAATACCATACTGAATGGGCAAAAGCTGGAAGCATTCCCCTTGAAAACGAACACAAGACAAAGATGGCCTCTCTCACCACTCCTATTCAAGATAGTGTTGGGAGTTCTGGGCAGGGTAATCAGGCAAGAGAATGAGGTAAAGCGTATTCAGCTAGAAAGAGAGGAAGTCAAACTATTTTTGTTTGTAGATGACATGATCCTACACGTAGAAAACCCCATCATCTCAGCCCAGTAGCTTTTCAAGCTGATAAGCAACTTCAGCAAAGTCTCAGGATACAAAATAAATGCATACAAATCTCTAGCATTGCTATACACCAAAAACAGGCAGGCCGGGAGGCAAGTCACAAATGAGCTCTCATTCACAGTTGCCACAAAAAGAATAAAATACTTAGGAATGTGGCTAACAAGGGAAGTGAAGGATCTCTTCAAGGAGACCTACAAACCACTGCTCAAGGAAATCAGAGAGGACACAAACAGAGAAACGTTCCGTGCTCATAGATAGGAAGAATCAATATTACAAAAATGGTCATACTGCCCAAAGCAGGGTATAGATTCAGTACTATTCCTATTAAACTACTATCAACATTCTTCACAGAATTAGAAAAAACTACTTTAAAATTCATATGGAACCAAAAAAGAGCCCAAATAGCCAAGACAGTCCTAAGCAAAAAGAACAAAGCTAGAGGCATCACGCTACCTGACTTCAAACTATACTACAAGGCCAAAGTAACCAAAATGGCATGGGACTGGTACAAGAACAGACATAGACCAGTGGAACAGAATAGAAAACCCAGAAATAAGTCTGCACACCTACAACCATGTGATCTCCGACAAACCTGGAGATCACAAACAAGCAATGGAGAAAGGATTCTCTATTTAATAAATGGTGCTGGGAAAACTGCCTAGTCATATGCAGAAAATTGAAACTGGACCCCTTCCTTACACCTTATACACAGATTAACTCAAGATGGATTAAAGATTTTAATGTAAAACCCCAAACTAAAAATCCTGGAAGACAACATACGCAGTACCATTCAGGATCTAGGCATGGGCAAAGATTTCATGTGAAGATGCCAAAAACAATTGCAACAAAAGCAAAAATTGACAAATGGGATTTAATTACACTAGAGTTTCTGCACAGCCAAAGAAACTCTCAGCATGAACAGAGAACCTACAGAATGGGAGAAAATTTTTATAATCTATCCATCTGACAAAGGTCTTATATCCAGCATCTATAAGGAACTTAAATTTACAAGAAAAAACCAAACAACCCCATTAAAAATAGACAAAGGACATGAACAGGCACTTCTCAAAAGAAGACATACATGTGGCCAACAAACATATGACAAAAAGCTCAACATTACTCATCACTAATGAGTAATGATGCAAATGCAAATCAAAACCACAATGTGATACCAACTCACACCAGTCTGAATGGCTATCATTAAAAAGTCAAAGAACAACAGATGCTGGCGAGGTTATAGAGGAACACTGATACACTGTTGGTGGGAATGTAAATTAGCTCAACCATTGTGGAAGACAGTATGACAATGCCTTAAAGACATAGAGGTAAAAATACCGTTTGACCCAGCAATCCTATTACTGGGTGTATACACCCAAATGAATATAAATCATTCTATTATAAAGATAATAAAAGAAGGCGTATGTTCATTACAGCACTGTTCACAATGGCAAAGACATAGACTCAACCTAAATGCCCACCAATGATAGACTGGATAAAGAAAATGTGGTACATATACACCATGCAATACTATGCAGCCATAAAAAGGAACAACATCATGTCCTTTGCAGGGACCCGGATGGAGCTGGAAGCCATTATGCTCGACAAACTCTAACGCAGTAACAGAAAACCAAATACCACATGTTCTCACTTTTATGTGGGAGCAGAATGATGAGAACACATGGACACATTGTGGGGAGTAACACACACTGGGCCTGTCAGAAGGTAAGGATGGGAGGAGTGAGAGCATCAGGAAGAATAGCTAATGGATGCTGGGCTCAATACTTAGGTGATGGGTTGATCTGTGTAGCTGGCCACTACGGCACACGTTTATTTGTCTAACAAAGCTGTGTGTCTTGCACATGCACCCCTGAACTTAAATGAAAGTTGGAAATTAAAAAAAAATTTGGTCATTTAGAAAGACTTTATATTTCATATTTTTATACATGTTTATCTGTATTACATACTATAATAAAGGAAGCTAGAGAAAAAGTGCTATTAAGATCATAAGAGAAAATCTACTTACTGTTTATTAAGTGGAAGTGGGTCATCACAAAAGTCTTCATCTTCATTGTCTTAACATTGAATAGGCTTAGGAGGATGGGGGGCTGGTTGGTCCTGCTGTCTCAGGGGTGGCAAAGGCAGAAAAGGTAGAGGGAAGGTAGAGGGGGAGGCAGGCATGCGTGATGCAGCTTCACAGAAATACATTGTAATTTCTGTCTGACTTTTTTGCCTTTTCATTTCTCTAAAAATGTATGGTACCAATGCTTTAATCTTTTTTCCAGTGCTTAGTTTCAGTGCCTATGTCATAGAAGGTTCTATGTCATAAATCAAAAACAGTCTTGAATAATAGGAACCCTTCTGCCAGATTGTCTAATGTCAGTTTGTTTTCTGGCACTGCATCTGGTATGTCTTCTTTCTCATTGTCTGGCACTGGTTTGGAAGCACTCATCTCCATCAAGTTTTCTTCTGTTAATTCCTCTGGTGACCTGGTGTTTGTTAGCTCTTGAATTTCTCCAGGATCTGCATCTTGAAACCCTTCACCCCCTACCCTTTTTGCCATATTCCCAGTCTCTTTCATGATTTCCTTGATTGACTGTGTCATAAATTCTGTGAAGCCATGTGCAACATCTGGACAAAGTTTTCTCCAGCATGAATATTGTTTTGGGCTTGATGGTTTTCATGGCTTTTTCTATAACAGCAGTGGAATTTTCAGTGGTGTAATTCTTCCAAACTTTCATGATGTTCTATCAGGGTTCTCTTTCATAGCATTCACAGTCTTTTCCATAGAATACTGTGTGTAGTGCTGCTTAAAGGTCCTTATGACCCCCTGATATAGAAGCTGAATTATAGATACTGTGTTTGGGGGCAAGTAGACCACTTTGATATTTGTGGTGTTGAACTCATGGGGTTCTGGGTGGCCAGGGGCATTGTACAACCTCAAAATAACTTTAAAAGGCAGTCCCTTACTGGCAAGGTGCTTCCTGATAGGAGCACAGCGTCTCATTATCTAGGCCTTTCTTGTACAACCAAAAGACTGGCAGCTGGTGTTTATCTTTTTCCTTCAAGGTTTGGAGGTTAGCAGCCTTATAAATGAGGGCAACTTTGATCATAAACCTGACTGTATTTGCGTAAAACAGCCTGTCCCTTCCTGTTTTAAATCCTGGTGCTTGCATCTCTTCCTTAATAATGAATGTCTTTTGTGGCATTTCCCCCCCTTCAGAATAGAGCACTTTTGTCTGCGTTAAAAAGCCTGTTCAAGTAGATATTCTTTCTCTTCGATTTTTTTTTTTTTGTAAGACGGAGTCTTGCTTCTGTCACCCAGGCTGGAGTGCAGTGGCCCGATCTCGGCTCACTGCAAGCTCTGCCTCCCGGGTTCATGCCATTCTCCTGCCTCAGCCTCCCGACTAGCTGGGACTCCAGGCGCCCGCCACCACACCTGGCTAAGTTTTTGTATTTTTTAGTAGAGACAGGGTTTCACCGTGTTAGCCAGGATGGTCTTGATCTCCTGACCTCGTGATCTGCCTACCTCGGCCTCCCAAAGTGCTGAGATTACAGGCCTGAGCCACCGCGCCTGGCCTCCCCTATGATTTTCTTAATGGCATCTGGGAATTTGCCTTCTGCCTCTTGGTCAACAGTAGCTTTTTCTACTATTATTGCGACTTTTCTTTTTTTTTAAAGGCAGAGTCTCGCTCTGTCGCCCAGGCTGGGGTACAGTGGCATGATCTTAGCTCACTGCAACCTTCGCCTCCCAAGTTCAAGTGATTCTTGTACCTCAGCTACCCAGTTAGCTGGGGTTATAGGCATGTACCCCCGCCCAGCTAAATTTTGTATTTTTAGTAGAGATGGGGTTTCGCCACGTTGGCCAGGCTGGTCTGGAACTCCTGGCCTCAAGTGATCCACCCTCCTCTGCGTCCCAAAGTGCTGGGATTACAGGTGTGAGCCACCGTACTCAGGGTGTGACATATTTTAAGACAGACTTCTTTATAACACATATCAAACCATCCTTTGCTGGCATTAAATTCTTCAGCTTTAGATCCTCATCTTCCTTAATGCTTTAAGTTGTCATATAATGACTTTGCTTTTTCTCAGGTCCTATTAGTCTATAGGTATGCTCATTCTTCTAGCAATCCTGCACTCACATAAAAGCTGCATTTTTAGTATGAGATTATCAGTATGAGATTAAAAGATATTATGCAAAAACTGCAAGGTTTTCGGACCTGCGGGCATAGCTGTAGTGATGCAAATTTTCTTTCCTTTTTTTAATAATGACTCTTAGGCTGGATTCATGTATCTTAAATGGTGAGGGATTGCAGCTGCAGACCTAAATATCAAGCACTTCAGCTTTTTCTTTTAACGTCATGACTTTTCTCTGCTTCTTGGGAGTACTTCCAGCATTATTAATGGCACTTTGTGTGGGTCTGTGATGTTATTCAGGTTTATGGTATTGCACTAAACATGATAAAAAATATGTGACAACTGCAAGAGATCCACTTTTTTACTGTGATATGCAATTTATTGGAGAGACAGACTGTTTACGCAGAGGTGTTCAGCCTCACACAGCATTTTAAGTGGATACTTGAAATACTTGAGGTCACCGCAATAGCAATAGAAGGTGGCTAAGAAATATTACAGTAGTACAGTATGTACTGTGGTTAATTTTGTGCAGTTGTGATTTAGTACTGCCTCTTTACCTTTGTTTACCTTTCTCTTGACTGAATGGCGCCATGTATGATCTATAAGTGTGTGCATAAGTTTTGATAAATTTTCATTTTTGTAATAGATTTGGGTATATTTTATGGTAGTAAATGATGAAATAGACTAGTGTCTACATGTATTTTAAGCATTCATGACATACTTTTTCTTAATTTTCATATTTCTAGACTATGTGGTTTGTCTGCCAGTTTTTTTTTCAAATTGTTGCAAGTCTCTAAAAAATGTTCCAATATATTTATTGAAAGAATCAATGTATAAGTGGACCTGTGCTGTTCAAACCTGTGTTGTTCAAGGGTCAACTGTACTTTCTTTTTTTTTTTTTTTTTGAGACGAAGTCTCTCTCTGTCGCCCAGGCTGGAGTGCAGTGGTGCCATCTTGGCTCACTGCAAGCTCCGCCTCCCAGGTTCATGCCATACTCCTGCCTCAGCCTCCCGAGTAGCTAGGACTACAGGTGCCCGCCACCATGCCCGGCTAATTTTTTGTATTTTTAGTAGAGACGGGGTTTCACCGTGTTAGCCAGGATGATCTCTATCTCCTGACCTCGTGATCTGCCCACCTCGGCCTCCCAAAGTGCTGGGATTACAGGCGTTAGCCACCGTGCCCAGCTGGCTCAACTGTACTTTCCTAAGATTATTTTGACAACACATCAATTTCATTGTGTATTGCAGTGTGTACCATTAAGTATTATGTAAATTGTCCTTATATTAAGCTTTTTTTTTTTTTTTTTTTTTTTGAGACGGAGTTTCGCTCTTGTTGCCCAGGCTGGAGTGCCATGGCACTTGACCTTGTCTCACTGCAACCTCCGCCTCCTGGGTTCCAGCAGTTCTCCTGCCTCAGCCTCCCGAGTCGCTGGGGTTACAGGCGCCTGCCATCACGCCCAGCTAATTTTTTATATTTTAGTAGAGATGGGTTTCACGATGTTGGCCAGGCTGGTCTCGACCTCAGGTGATCCACCTGCCTCAGGCTCCCAAGGAAGCTTGTTTTTAAAAATATTGTAAAAACAAAACCCCCAAATCTTTCATTTTTTGATATATATAAACATGACTTTGTGTTGACACAAGATGGAAAATTCTTTCTTTATATTTCTTAAGTCTGTAACTTCATCACATAGTCTACTAGTTTTCTTTTTAACATATTAAATGAATTATGTTAGTAAATAAGGATTTTCCTTAAATACATTTTGGTCAGCGTGAACAGATATTTTGACATGGGTTACAGATTGGTGGTAGCCAGAGACGACAACTTTTCCTTTCTTGCTCCCCCCTCCCCCCCACCCCCAATAATTTTTGCATAGGAGAGAGTCTTCTTAATGTCTTCTTTCAGATGTATTCATTTAGTTTATTTTTAAGTTGACAGAGAAATTGTATTTCATAATGTTTTTGTCTTTTCTGAAATATTTAGTTACTGAATTTTCATCAACGTGTTTAAAACAAGAATTTAAGTATAGCTTATTGATTTATCTAAGCCTTTGATTTGGAACCAGGTTGAGGATTGCCGATGAAATAAGTAAGAAAATATCGTGCCAGGGCAATGAAAACCTATGAAGATTTTTGAGCAGGAGAGCTACAGAAACTTCAATACGATGAGAATAAATTGGCAACAGTTCATACAATAATTTAGAGGGTATGCAGTTTCCACCCCTTAATATCGTTTTTGCTTCTCCAGAGTTAATTCACTTGCCATTTTTTCCTCCTGCAGATATATCTGTTCTTCTTTCATAGCTTTTCTGTGTTCACTTATCATACCAGTTCCTCATTTAATTTTCTCTGTTTCCTTCAATAACCGAATACATCTGTTCTTTCTTGATTAATCTTTACTTGCTTTTCTTTCTGTTTTTTTGTTTTGTTTTGTTTTTTTAGATAGGGTCTTGCTGTTGCCCAGGCTGGAGTGCAATGGTGCAATCATGGCTCACTGGAACCTTGACCTCCTGGGCTCAATCAATTCTCCTACCTCAGCCTCCTGAGTAGTTGGGACTACAGGTGCACACAACCATGCCCAGCAAATTTTTTTTTTTTTTTTTTTGTAGAGGTGGGGTTTTACCATGTTGCACAGGCTAGTCTCGAACTCCTGGGCTCAAGCAATTGGCCATTCAAAGTGCTGGTATTACAAGTGTGAGCCACTGTGCCCAGCCCCTTTTCTTGAGTTCTCTTGTTTCCCAATCTACTCTTGTAAATTTAAGCTTTTTAATTATGGTAAAATATACATAACATAGAATTTGCCATTTTTACTATTTTTAAATGTTCAGTTTAGTGACATTGAGTACATTCACAGTGCTGTGCGACAATCACCAGTATCCATTTTCACAATTTTTTCATATTCCCAGATAGAAACTTTGAGCTGGGTACAGTGGCTTGCTCCTGTAATCCCAGCTACTCAGGAGGCTGAAGCAGGAGGATAGCTTGAGGCTAGAAGTTTGAGACCAGCCTTGGCAACATAGTGAGACTTCATCTCTAAAATGAACATTCAAAAAAAACTGGTGGTGTGCACTTGTTGTCCCACCTATTCAGGAGGCTGAAGTAGGAGGATTGCTTGAACCCAGGAGTTTGAGGCTGCGATGAGCTGTGATTTGCACTACTGTACTCCAGCCTGGGCAACAGAGTAGACCTCCTCTCTTAAAATGAAATGAAAGAAACTTTGTAAACTTTGTACCCATTAAACAATATCTACACTATACAGTCTTCCTTCTCACCTGTCCCCTCTTATTCTTGACTGTCTCTATAAATTTGCCAGTTGTAGATACAATCATGTAAGTGGAATCATAACATGTTTATCTTTCATGTCTAGCTTATTTCACTTAGCATAATGCTTTCTGGATTCCTCCATGTTGTAGTATGTGTAAGAATTTTATTATTTTTAAGGCCGAATATTATTACACTGTATGTGTATAGCACATTCTGTTTATCCATTTAACTGTTGGATATTTGGGTTGTTTCCACCTTTATCAACTGTGAATAATGCTGCTATGAATATTGGTTTAGAAGTATCTTTTTAAGTCCCTGTTTTCAATTATTTTGGGTATTAACTAAGAGTGGAATTGCTAGATCACATGGTAATTCTACTTAACTTTTTGAGGAGACACAAAACTTTTCTGTAGTGGCTATAGTATTTTACATTCCAACCGCCAGTGCTATTCCCACCACCAATGCACAGGGGTTCCAGTTTCTCCATGTTCTTGGCCATTATTTATTTTCTGTTTTGGTTTTGGTTGTTTGTGCTTTTGATGAGCATCTTTATAGATGCTTATTGGCCATGTGTATTTCTTTGGAGAAGTATCTATTCAAATCCTTTGTCCATTGTTGAGTTGGATTTCCTTGTTGTAGGAATTCCTTTGTATGTTCTGGATATTAATTCCTTATCAGATATATTATTTGCAGGTGTTTTCTCACACTTTGTGGGTCGTCTTTTCACTCTCTTAATAGTGTCCTTTGATTGAAAAGTTTTTAATTTTGATGAAGTCCAGTTTATCTGTTTTTTCTCTGGTTGATTGCTTTTGGTGTATATTCTAGAAGACATTGTTAAATCCAATGTTTCATAAATTTTCTCTTGTTTTCTTCTAAGGGTCTCATTGATTTAGCTTTTGCTTGGTCTTTGATCCATTTTGTATTAAGTTTTGTATATGGTATAAAGATCCTTTTTGCATGTTGATACCCAGTTTTCCAGTATTTGCTGTTGAAAAGACTTGTCTTTTCAAGACATTTGAATGGTCTTGGCACTCGTGTTGAAAATCAATTTGAAAAAAACATTCTATTGATTTGTAAATCTCTTGTAATCCAGAACCACATTATTTTGATTAATGTAGCTTTGTAGTAAGTTTTGAAATCAGGAAGTGTGAGTCTTCCAACTTTTTCTTTTTGAAGATTGCATAGCTGTTTGGTGTCCCTTGAGATTCCAAATGAATTTTAGGATTTTTTTTCCCCACAAAAAATACTGTTGGGATGCCGATTATATTGAATCTGTAGATCATTTTGGGTAGTGTTGTCATCTTCACAATATTTAGAGTTCCAATCCATGAACATGCGATGTCTTTCTACTTACTTATGTTTTCTTTAACTTCTTTTAGCACTGTTTTGTAGTTTTCAGTGAATAATCTTTCACATCCTTGGTTAAGTATATTACTAATTATTTTATTCTTTGTGATGCTATTGTAAATTGAATTGTTTTCTTAATTTTCTTATCAATGTTCATTGCAAGTGTACAGAAATGAAACTGATTTTCATGTATTGATTTTGTATCCTGCAGCTTTGATGTATTCAAGCTAACAATTTTTCGGGTTTTCTGCATTTACGATCATGTCATCTGTGAACAGAGATAGTTTTACATCTTCCTTTCTAGTTTGAATGTCTTTTATTTCTTTTTCTTGCCTGATTACTCTGGCTAAAACTTCCAATATTATGTTGGCTAGAATAAGTGAAAGTGGACATCATTATTTTGTTTCTGATCTTAAGGAAAATGCTTTCAGTCTTTCACCACTGAGTATTGAGTATTGTGTTACCTGTGGATTTTTCATATGTCTCCATTATGTTCAAGTTATTCATAGGTTATTGAGGGTTTTTATCATGGGAGGGTGTTGAATTTTGTAAAATGCATTTTCTATATAAGTTTAGATGATCATGTAGTTCACATCCTTCATTCTTCATGTTGGAGTATTACATTGATTATATTGAACCATCCTTGTATTCTGGGAGTAAATCACACTTGGTCACGTTGTGTATTCCTTTTAAGATGCTGCTGAATTCAGTTTGCTAGTATTGAGGATTTTTTTCATTGTGATTCATAAAGGATATTGGTCTGGTTTTCTTGTATCTTTTTCTGCCTTTGTTATCAGGGTAATGCTGGCTATAAGGATGAATTAGGAAGTATTCTCTTTTCTTTAAATTTCTGGAAGAGTTTGAGAGGATTGGTGTTAATTCTTCCTTAGATGTTTCAGTAGAATTCATCAGTCAAGCTATGTGGTCTTGGACTTTTTGGTTGTTGTTGGAAGCTTTTGGTTACTTATTCAGTCTCCTTACTAATTATAGGTCTATTGAAGTTTTCTATTTCTTTGTCAGTTTGGGTAGATTGTGTGCTTCTGTGAATATATTCATTTTATCTAGGTGATCCAACTTTTTGGCATATCATTTTTCATTGTATTCTCATAATTATTTCTGTAGAATCAATAGTAATGTCCTCACTTTAATTTCTGATCATAGTAATTTGTGTACTCTTTCTTATTTTCTTAATCAATACAGCTAAAGGTTTGTCAATATTGTTGATCTTTTTAAAGAACTAAAATTTTGTTTTGTTGATTTCCTTTATTTTTTTTTTCTGTTTTATTTATCACCACTCTTATTTTTAGTATTTCCTTCCTTCTGGTAGCTTTGGGTTTAGTTTGTTCTTAAGTTCCTTAGGTGTAAAGTTACGCTGTTGAAATGAGATCTTCTTATTTAATGTATGCATTTATAGCTCTAAATTTTCTCTTAGCACTGTTTTCACTGCATGCTCTAAGTTTTGATATGTTGTCTCTATCTCAATGAATTTTCTGATTCCTTTCCCCATTTTTCAGGAGTATGTTGCCTAATTTCCACATATCTTTTAGTTTTCCTTCTGTTATTGATTTTTATCTCTTAAGTTATTTCTTCTTTCAGCTAAATTCTGCTTTTGAACCCTCCCATGAATTTTTCATTTTGGTTATTCTTTTTAGCTCCAGAGTTTCTGGTTGGTTCTTTTCTCTTCGTTGGTCTCATTCAGTTTATACATTGTTTTCCTAATTTTCTTCTAAAGATGATTGTTTTAAAGTCTTCTGTTAATGTCACTCATCTCATCTGGGTCACCGGAATTGTCATTGAGCAGTGGGCTTGCTGCCCAGTGTGCATAGAAGCAAATATTATGGCACCAGCCTTTGATAAAAGAAAAAGCTTTATTGCAAGGTTGACTAGCAAGGAGAGAGGAGGCAGTGCTCGAATCTGTCTCCTTAAGCTAGGGTCTGGGGACAGGTTTTATAGGCAGAGTGACTATGAGGGGAGACAGGAAAATACAATGAGGCATGATCTCATTGGGCTGTTCAGGAGGTAGTGCAGGGACCTTGACCCTTAAATTAACTCTGCAGCAAAACAGGGCACTCCTTGCTTCTTAATTTGCTCTGCCCTGGGTTCAGTTACTGAGGTTCTGTAACTGACCAGAGGGTTCCTGTTGCCTGCTGCCCAGATAGAGCCTATTTATCAAGACAAGGGAATTGCAATAGAGACAGAGTGTAATACACGTAGAGCTGGCTAAATAGGAGACTGGAGTTTTACTATTACTCAAATTAGCCTCTCCATAAATTTGGAGCGTAGTGTTTGTTTGTTTTGAGATGGAGTTTTGCTCTGTTGCCCAGGTTGGAGTGCCGTGGCGCAATCTTGGCTTACTGCAACCTCTGCCTCCTGGGTTCAAGCGTTTCTCCTGTCTCAGCCTTCTGAGGAGCTGGGACCAGGCACGTGCCACCATGCCCGGCTAATTTTTTGTATATTGTTTTAGTAGAGATGGGGTTTCACTGTGTTAGCCAAGATGGTCTTGATCTCCTGACTTTGTGATCCGCCCACCTCAGCCTCCCAAAGTGCTGGGATTACAGTTGTGAGCCACTGCGCCTAGCTGGGTAGTGTTTTTTTGAAAGTAGTTTGGTGGGCAGGGAGCTAGGGAATGGGTGCTGCTGATTGGTTCGGGATGAAATATAGGGGTGTGGAAAATGGTCCTCATGTGCTGAGTCTGCCACAGGACCATTGAATCATGAGTCTTGGATCTGGGTGGAGCCATCTTGTTGTGAGAAATGCAAAAGTCTGAAAAGACATTTGCAATCCGAAAAGGCCAATCTTAGGTTCTACAATAGTGATGTTACTTATAGGAGTAATTGGGGAAGTTGCAAATCTTGTATCCTCCGAATAATGGCTGGTAATTGTTTAACTATACCTACATCTTAGCAGAATTCATGCCTCTGTCATCCTTCTAACCTGGTGGATGGCCTTTTATTAGTTTTACAAGTGGTTTAGGTTTGGGGAGGCTATTATCATTTAAACTGTAAACTAAATTTCTTTCAAAATTAGCTCGGGCCATGCCTAGGAATGACCAAGGGCAGTTTGGAGGTTAAACTAGAGGTAAATTTGGCTCCTGGATACACCAATCAGGCATGCTGGATTAATCTGCACATGCTCAGGCTTTGTGATTTGCAATCTGGGATGTAGATTGCAGTTTGTGATTACAGAAAGCCCATTGTCAGCCGGGCGCGGTGGCTCATGCCTGTAATCCCAGCACTTTGGGAGGCCGAGGCAGGCGTATCACCTGAGGTTGGGAGTTCAAGACCAGCCTGACCAATACGGAGAAACCCCGTCCCTACTAAAAATACAGAAATTAGCCAGTCGTGGTGGCACATGCCTGTAATCCCAGCTACTCGAGAGGCTGAGGCAGGGGAATCACTTGAACCTGGGAGGTGGTGGCTGCAGTGAGCCGAGATCGCACCCTTGCACTCCAGCCTGGGCAACAAGAGTGAAACTCCATCTCAAAAAAAATAAAATTAAATTTAAAAAGTCCATAAGTCCATTGTCTGGGCTTGTTTGTCATCTTAATTGTTCCTTTGAATGGGCCATTGTTTTCTCTTTTGTTGAAAATCAGACATTTGACTATTATGTGGTAACTCTGGGAATCAGATTTCTCCCTTCTTCTGGGTTTGTTGTTTTTCGTTTTATTTATTGATTGATTGAGTACTTGTTGAAGGCTGTAGTAGTCCATTTGTCCTGAGACTTTCCAAACAATTTTTGCAAAGACTAGTCCTTGTTGTGTGTGATTATTGAATTCTGTTCCTTTAGTGTGTGTTCAGCTTAAGTTACAGAGATTTCCTCAGGAGTTCTCCCAGTTTTTGCAGTTAGCTCTGTGATGGGTTACTCTTTCATCTCTTAAGTAGGCTTCTTTTGAACATAGGGATCATCTTCTTAGGTATTTTCTGAGCATGAATCTTGCTTGGTCATGTACGTGACTTTCTAAATTCCCCTGTATACACAACTGCTTTTGAATATTCTTTTTTTTTTTTTTTTTTTTGAGATGGAGTCTTGCTCTGTTGCCCAGGCTGGAGTGCAGTGGCGCCATCTCGGCTCACTGCAAGCTCCGCCTCCCAGGTTCACACCATTCTCCTGCCTCAGCCTCCCGAGTAGCTGGGACTACAGGCGCCCACCACCATGCCCAGCTAATTTTTTGTATTTTTAGTAGAGACGCGGTTTCACCGTGTTAGCCAGGATGCTCTCGATCTCTTGACCTCGTGATCCGCCTACCTTCGCCTCCCAAAGTGCTGGGATTACAGGCGTGAGCCACCACGCCCAGAGCTTTTGAATATTCTTATTTCCCAAAGAGCCTCACCTTATCTTCTCTTTAGGGCCTTACCTAGTCTTTTGTATTGTCCCAGGGGTCTGTGAGTCTGTAGCGGCCTTGGAACTTTAAGAGCAGGGCCTGCTGCTCTTTTTCACCTGAGTTTTGTGTTAGGCTAAATAGAAATGAAAGTCTTACTCAGGCCTTTAGGTATCCCCCAGAAGGGTTAGAACTACAAAGCTACAGAACTTTCCTGCTCTTTGACTGTTTTCCAGCACTTCAACAAAGTTTGTTCAGGCAGTTTCTCTTTGTTTTTTGATGTTTCTCTGTGGGGAACAAAACCTCAGAGCTTCCTATTTCACTATTTTCCTTGAACTTAATAATTTATAATGTGAAAAGCAACTGTGTTAAGTTTGGCTAGAACTAGGTGATATAACAAACCCTCAAGTTAAGTGGCTTAACCCAATAAAGTTTATTTCTAGTTTACCTGACAGTCCAGAGTGGGTATACATGATTAGTATCAGTGAAGAGGTGGTAGAGGTATAGGAGTGTTTGTGTGTTGGGGCTGGGGGACATTCTGCTTCACGTAGTCTTTCAGAGACAGAGTTGAATGTCTTTAACATGTTGCCCTGGAGAACCTTAGGGGGAAGGGGAAAGGGAAGGACTGAGTTGGAGGCTGTTATGAGCTAGACTTGGAAGTACAATGGTACACCTGTTTTGACTTACATGTCTTGGGCTAGATCTCAGTCATACGGCCATATTTAATTGAAAGAGAGGCTGAGAAATGTAAAGTAGTTATATGTTATAGGAAGAGGATGGAACTGGAAAGTGATTTTGGCGAATAGCTAGTAATTTAACCCATATCAATTGCACACAGAACTTCCTCGAGCTTCCATGTTCTGTTGAAGCAGCTGTAAGATACACATTTTATATTCCATTGAGGAGGAATGAAAAGAGAAAGCATTGCCAATTAAACTATTACACAGTGCTTTCTTAGAATAAAGTATTATTTCTTTCAATAAATGCAAATATAAAACTCAGTAAATATAAAAATTATTTTACATTTACTCAGTTTTATCATGTATCATCTTTGAACATACGTTGAAAGTATAAGTGAAATAAATTGATTAAATTATTCCTAAAATGTCTTTGTACTCAGAGCCCAATTCTTTTTTTTTTTTTTTTAATTATACTTTAAGTTCTGGGATACGTGTGCAGAACATGCAGTTTTGTTACAGAGGTATACATGTGCCATGGTTTGCTGCACCCATCAACCCGTCATCTACATTAGGTATTTCTCCTAATGCTATCTTTCCCGTAGCCCTCCCCCACCCACCGACAGGCCCTGATGTGTGATGTTCCCCTCCCTGTGTCCACGTGTTCTCATTTTTCAACTTCCACTTATGAGTGAGAACATGTGGTGGTTGGTTTTCTGTTCCTGTGTTAGTTTGCCGAGATTGATGGTTTCCAGCTTCATCCATGTCCCGGCAAAAGAGATGAACTCATTCTTTTTTATGGCTGCATCATATTCCATACTGTATATGTGCCACATTTTCTTTATCCACTCTGTCGTTGATGGGCATTTGGGTTGGTTCCAATATTGTGACTAGTGCTGCAATAAACCTATGTGTGCATGTGTCTTTATAGTAGAATGACTTATAATCCTTTGGTATATACCCAGTAATGGGATTGCTGGGCCAAATGATATTTCTGGTTCTAGATCCTTGAGGAATCGCCACACTGTCTTCCACAATGTAAAAGTCTTCCTATTTCTCCATGTCCTCTCCAGCATCTGTTGTTTCCTGACTTTTTAATGATCACCATTCTAACTGGCGTGAGATAGTATCTCATTGTGGTTTTGATTTGCATTTCTCTAGTGACCAGTGATGATGAGCTTTTTTTCATATGTATGTTGGCTGCATAAATGTCTTCTTTGGAGAAGTGTCTGTTCATATCCTTCGCCCTTTTTGATGGGGTTGTTTCTTTCTTGTAAATTTGTTTAAGTTCCTTGTAGATTCTGGATATTAGCCCTTTGTCAGATGGATAGATTGAAATAATTGTTTCCCATTCTGTAGGTTGTCTGTTCACTCTGATGATAGTTGCTTTTACTGTGCAGAAGTTCTTTAGTTTAATTAGATCCCATCTGTCAATTTTGGCTTTTGTTGCCATTGCTTTTTATGTTTTAGTTATGAAGCCTTTGCCCATGCCTATGTCCTGAATGGTATTCTTCTAGGTTTTATTCTAGGGTTTTTATGGTTTTAGGTCTTACATTTAAGTCTTTAATCTATCTTGAGTTAATTTCTGTATAAGGTGTAAGGAAGGGGTCCAGTTTCAGTTTTCTGCATATGGCTTGCCAGTTTTCCCAACACTGTTTATTAAATAGGGAATCCTTTCCCCATTGCTTGTTTAGTCAGGTTTGTCAAAGATCAGATGGCTGTAGATGTGTGGCATTATTTCTGAGCCCTCTGTTCTGTATTATTGGTCTATATATCTGTTTTAGCACCAGTATCATGCTGTTTTGGTTACTGTAGCCTTCTAGTATAGTTTGAAGTCAGGTAGTATGATGCCTCCAGCTTTGTTCTTTTTGCTTAGGATTGTCTTGGCTATGCGGGCTGTTTTTTGATTCCATATGAAATTTAAAGTAGTTTTTTCCAATTCTGTGAAGAAAGTCAGTGGTAGCTTGATGGGGATGGTATTGAATCTATAAATTACTTTGGGTAGTATGGCCATTTTCACGATACTGATTCTTCCTATCCATGAGCGTGGAATGTTTTTCCATTTGTTTGTGTCCTCTCTTATTTCCTTGAGCAGTGGTTTGTAGTTTTCCCTGAAGAGGTCCTTCACATCCCTTGTAAGTTGTATTCCTAGGTATTTTATTCTCTTTGTAGCAGTTGTGAATGGAAGTTCACTCATGATTTGGCTATTATTGGTGTATAGGAATGCTTGTGATTTTTGCACATTGATTTTGTATTCTGAGACTTTGCTGAAGTTGCTTATCAGCTTTAGGAAATTTGGGGGCTGAGATGATGGGGTTTTCTAAATGTACAATCATGTCATCTGCAAACAGAGACAATTTGACTTCCTCTCTTCCTATTTGAATACCCTTTATTTCTTTCTTTTGCGTGATTGCCCTGGCCAGAACTTTCAATACTATGTTGAATAGGAGTGGTGAGAGAGGGCATCCTTGTCTTGTGCTGGTTTTCAAAATGCTTCCAGCTTTTGCCCATTCAGTATGATATTGGCTGTGGGTTTGTCATAAATAGCTCTTACTATTTTGAGATACATTCCATCAGTACCTAGCTTATTGAGAGTTTTTAGCATGAAGTGGTGTTAAATTTTCTGTATCTATTAAGATAATCATGTGGTTTTTGTTGTTGGTTCTGTTTATGTGATGGATTATGTTTATTGATTTGCATATGTTGAACCAGCCTTGCATCACAGGGATGAAGCTAACTTGATCGTGGTGGATAAGCTTTTTGATATGCTGCTGAATTCGGTTCGCCAGTACTTTATTGAGGATTATCACATTGATGTTCATCAGGGATATTGCCTGAAATTTTCTTTTTTTGTTGTGTCTCTGCCAGGTTTTGGTATCAGGATGATGACTGTCCTCATAAAATGAGTTAGGGAGAGTCCCTCTTTTTCTGTTGTTTGGAATAGTTTCTGAAGGAATGGTACCAGCTCCTCTTTGTGACTCTGGTAGAATTCAATTGTTAATTGTCTGGTCCTGGGCTTTTTTTGGTTAGTAGGCTATTAATTACTGCCTCAGTTTCTGAACTTGTTATGGTTTATTCAGGGATTTGACTTCTTTCTGGTTTGGTCTTGGGACAGTGTATGTGTCTAGGAATTTCTCCATTTCTTCTAGATTTTCTAGTTTATTTGCATAGAGGTGTTTATAGTATTCTGTGATAGTAGTTTGTATTTCTGTGGGATCACTGGTGATCTCCCCTTTATCATTTTTATTGTCTGTTTGATTCTTCTCTCTTTTCTTCTTTATTTGTCTGGGTAGCGTTCTATCTATTTTGTTAGTCTTCAAAACACCAGCTCCTGGATTCATTGATGTTTTGACGGGTTTTTCGTGTCTGTATCTCCTTCAGTTCTGCTCTGATCTTAGTTATTTCTAGTCTTCTGCTAGCTTTTGAATTTGTTTGCTCTTGCTTCTCTAGTTCTTTGATTTTAGATCTTTCCCACTTTCTCCTGTGGGCATTTAGTGCTATAAATTTCCCTCTAAACACTGCTTTAGCTGTGTCCCAGGTATTTTGGTATGTTGTGTCTTTGTTCTCATTGGTTTCAAAGAAGTCATTTATTTCTGCCTTAATTTTGTTATTTACCCAGTAGTCATTCAGGAGCAGGTTGTTTAGTTTCCATGTAGTTGTGTGGTTTTGAGTGAATTTCTTAATCCTGAGTGTTAGTTTGATTGCACTGTGGTCTGAGAGACTGCTTGTTATGATTTCCATTCTTTTGCATTTGCTGAGGAGTGTTTTACTTTCAATTATGCGGTCAATTTTAGAATAAGTGGGATGTGGTGCTGAGAAGAATGTATATTCCGTTTATTTGGGGTGTAGAGTTCTGTAGATGTCTATTAGGTCCACTTGGTCCAGAGCTGAGTTCAAGCCCTGAATATCCTTGTTAATTTTATGTGTTGTTGATCTGTCTAATATTGACAGTGGGGTGTTAAAGTCTCCCACTATTACTGTGTGGGAGTCTAAGTCTCTTTATAGGTCTCTAAGAACTTGCTTTATGAATCTGGGTGCACCTGTATTGGGTTCATATATATTTAGCATAGTTAGCTCTTCTTGTTGCATTGATCCCTTTACCATTATGTAATGCCCTTCTTTGTCTTTTTTGATCTTTGTTGGTTTAAAGTCTGTTTTATCAGAGACTAGGATTGCAACCCCTGTTTTATTTTTTTGCTTTCCATTTGCTCGTTAAATCTTCCTCCATCCTTTTGAGTCTATGTGTGTCTTTGCATGTGAGATGGGTCTCCTGAATACAGCACACTGATGAGTCTTGACTCTTTATCCAATTTGCCAGTCTGTGTCTTTTAATCGGGGCATTTAGCCTGTTTACATTTAAGGTTAATATTGTTATGTGTAAATTTGATCCTGTCATTATGATGGTAGCTGGTTATTTTGCCTGTTAATTGATGCAGTTGCTTCATAGTGTTGATGGTCTTTACAATTTGGTATGTTTTTGCAGTGGTTGGTACCGGTTTTTCCTTTTCCATATTTAGTGCTTCCTTCAGGAGTTCTTGTAAGGCAGGCCTGATGGTGATAAAGTCTCTCAGCATGTGCTTGTCTGTAAAGGATTTTATTTCTCCTTCACTTATGAAGCTTAGTTTGGCTGGATATGAAATTCCAGGTTGAAAATTCTTTTCTTTAAGAACGTTGAATATTGGCCCCCACTCTCTTCTGGCTTGTAGGGTTTCTGCAGAGAGATCTGCTGTTAGTCTGATGGGCTTCCCTTTGTGGGTAACCTGACCTTTCTCTCTGGCTCCCCTTAACATTTTTTCATTCATTACAACCTTGGTAAATCTGACAATTATGTGTCTTGGGACACATAATAAGAGCACCTGGGGGAAGGGGCGGCTGTGAGTGCAGCTTTAGCAGAAGTAAATATTCCTGCCTGCTGACTCTAAAGACAGCAGTGGATCTCCCAGCACAGCGCTCACGCTCTGCTAAGGGACAGACTGCCTCCTCAAGTGGGTCCCTGACCCTTGTGCCTCCTGACTAGGTGACACCTCCCAGCAGGGGTCGACAGACACCTCATACAGGAGAGTCCTTTTCCAAGTTGTTCCATTCTCCCTTCACTTTCAGGTACACCAATCAAACGTAGGTTTGGTCTTTTCACATAGTCCCATATTTTTTGGAGGCTTTGTTCATTCCTTTTCATTCTTTTTTTCTCTCATCTTGTCATCACTCTTTATTTCATTAAGTTGATCTTCAATCTCTGATATCCTTTCTTCCGCTTGATCGATTCGGCTATTGATACTTGTATATGCTTCACGAAGTTCTCGTGCTGTGTTTTTCAGCTCCATCAGGTCATTTCTGTTTTTCTCTAAACTGGTTATTCTAGTTAGCAATTCCTCTAACCTTTTTTCAAGTTTCTTAGCTTCCTTGCATTGGGTTAGAGCATGCTTCTTTAGCTTGGAGGAGTTTGTTATTACCCACCTTCTGAAGCCTACTTCTGTCAATTTGTCAAACTCATTCTCTGTCCCATTTTGTTCCCTTGCTGACGAGGAGTTGTGATCCTTGGGAGGAGAAGAGGCATTCTGGTTTTCGGAATTTTCAGCCTTTTTGCATTGGTTTTTCCTCATCTTCGTGATGTGGACGTCCTTTTTGTTGATGTTGATGCTGTTCCTTTCTGTTTGTTAATTTTCCTTCTAACAGTCAGGCCCCACTGCTGCAGGTCAGCTGGAGTTTCTTGGAGGTCCACTGCACACCCGGTTTGCCTGGGTATCACCAGCAGAGGCTGCAGAACAGCAAAGATTGCTGCCTGTTCCTTCCTCTGGAAGCTTTGTCCCAGAAGGGCACCTGCCAGATGCCAGCCGGAGCTCTCCTGTATGAGGTGTCTGTCGACCCCGGCTGGGAGGTGTCACCTAGTCAAGAGGTAAAAGGGTCAGGGACCCACTTGAGGAGGCAGTCTGTCCCTTAGCAGAGTGTGAGGGCTGTGCTGGGAGATCCGCTGCTCTCTTTAGAGCCAGCAGGCAGGAATGTTTACTTCTGCTGAAGCTGCGCTCACAGCCGCCCCTTCCCCCAGGTACTCTATCCCAGGGAGTTGGGAGTTTTACCTGTAAGCTCCTGACTGGGGCTGATGCCTTTCTTTCAGAGATGCCCTGCCCAGAGAGGAGGAATCTAGAGAGGCAGTATGGCTACAGCGGCTCTGCGGAGCTGCAGTGGACTCCGCCTAGTTTGAAGTTCCTGGCGCTTTGTTTACACTGTAAGGGGAAAGCTGCCTCCTCAAGCCTCAGTAATGGCAGCTACTCTCCCTCCCCACCCGCCCACCAAGCTTGAGCATCCCAGGTCCACTTCATACTGCTGTGCTGGCAGCAAGAATTACAAGCCAGTGGATCTTAGCTTGCTGGACCCCGTGGGGGTGGGATCTGCTGAGCTAGACCACTTGGTTCCCTGGCTTCAGCCCCCTTTCCAGGGGAATGAACAGTACGGTCTTGCTGGCGTTCCAGGCGCCACTGGGGTATGAAAAAAAACTCCTGCAGCTAGCTCGGTGTCTGCCCAAACAGCCACCCAGTTTTGTGCTTGAAACCCAGGGCCCTGGTGGTGTAGGCAACCAAGGGAATCTGCTGGTCTGCAGGTTGCGAAGACCATGGGAAAAGCGTAGTATCCAGGCTGGAATGCACCATTCCTCATGGCACAGTCCCTCATGGCTTCCCTTGGCTAGGGAAGGGAGTTCTCCGACCCCTTGTGCTTTCTGGGTGAGGTGATGCCCCACCCTGCTTCTGCTCGCCCTCCCTCTGTCAACCAGTCCCAGTGAGATGAGCCAGGTACCTCAGTTGGAAATGCAGAAATCAACCGTCATTGATCTCGCTGGGGGCTGCAGACCGGAGCTGTTCCTATTCGGCTGTCTTGCTCCAGAGCCCAATTCTTCTCAATCATTTTTTTCTTACCCAGAGTTGTCTGTTTTTCCACAGAGTATCTTTTCTGTGCAGTTAGGAAAGTTGATGATATAGCATACTTCATCCACTGTACTTTGATCTGGGATTTTCTTCTTAACCATTGATACTGGTTTCTGTAAGTGTTAATGCTGGCACTTTCTTCATGTTACCGGATGATGTTAATGAAAGGTTTTCAGACAGTTGCTAGCTCATATTCTTTCTTCAACTGTTCGTTAAATGGATTGTTGCCTGGAATGTTGAGAGGTTGCAATTGTCCAGTTATATCACTGGAAAAAACAACTAAGTTCTTATACAGGCAGAGAGAACTGTCATTGTCACCACCTCTTCAGTAGCAACTATAAATGTCTTTAATTGTAAGCCATCTGCCAATTTCAGAGAAGTTAACATGTTAGGGGAAAAAACGCATCATAGAATTGAACATATATAGTATGTTGAATTTGTTTTGAAATTCAGGTTTTTGTGTCTTGTAATATTTGAGGCTTTCCTCCTTCCCCCATCATGCCTAGCCTAGTCAAAATACTTTTTATTGAATTTATTAAAATAATTACAGTTTATCATGATCCATAGTTTAGAAAAAGAAAGGATATGGGGGCAAGATGGGTAACTTCAGTGACTTTAAGGGCTGAAAGCAACAATTTGGAGCATCGTGTCAAAGTTGTGGGAATCTGATTTTAGAACAATATAAGAAAAAATTTAAAAAATTTTAATTACTTCTGAATGAAGTGGACTCTGACAGTGAATTTGCTGTCATTGAAAGTATTCAGAGAGGTTCTAGATACAAATCACCCAGACACAGTAAAAGCAATTTCTTCACTGGGTGGTAATTGAAGAATATGTTGTTTAATGTGTTTTTCTGACTATTGATATTCCTATTCTAAAATAATTTACCTTTGTACTAAGTGGCCTTCTCTTTTCAGATACTCAACAATGTAATTTATCGATACTTTCTGTTATTGATTGGAACACCATTGAGTTTCTTTCTTAATGTAAGACAGGCAACTAAATGCAAATTACTGTTCTGTTTCTAATTAAGTGATGAAATACACTAAGCCAGGTCATTCTTTGAAACACTGATTGACACAGTGGGAGGAGGGAGCTAAGAAATAGTACTTTTTTTCCTTGCAGATTTTACTTGCAAAGTATTGTAACCTGATTTTCCTTCAGGTCACCTAGATTGGAGTACAGTGATGCGATCTTAGCTCACTGCAGCCTCCAACTCCAGGGCTTAAACCATCCTTCCACTCCTAGCTCAGCCTCTGGAGTAGCTAGGACTACGGAAACTTGCTACCACTTGTGGCTATTTTTTTATTTTTTGTAGAGACAGGATCTTGCTATGATGCCCAGGCTGGTCTCAAATGCCTAGGCTCAAACCATCCATCTGCTTCAGCCTCCCAGTGTGCTGGGGTTATAGGCATGAGTTACTGTGCCCAGCCTATACTCTTCTAATTTTTGATTCTTTCAGGGTTTAGTTGGTGAAAGAGCCATTATGAATTTTATTTTTTAATTTAATTTCTTTTTTTTTGAGATGGAGTCTTGTGGTGATGCCCAGGCTGACGTGCAGTGGCGTGATTTCGGCTAGCTGCAACCTCTGCCTCCCGGGTTCAAGCGATTCTCCTGACTTAGCCCCACTGAGTAGCTAGGACTACAGGCACACACCACCATGACCAGCTAATTTTTGTATTTTTAGCAGAGACAGAGTTTTCCAGTGTTGGCCAGGCTGGTCTCGAACTCCTGACCTCAGAGGATCTGCCTGCCTTGGCCTCCCAAAGTGCTGGGATTACAGGTATGAGCCAGAATTTTATTTTTAATCAAAAAAAGGTTTTAAGGAAATGGCTCACCTTCCTTCCCTCCCTCCCTCCCTCCAAAGGACTTGTGGTCAGACTCTTTGGAATTGCCAGTACTTAATCAGCTGAATGAAGAATTTTCTGATCTTTCTGTTTAGTAGTTCAAATGGTCATTACCAGGATTCTTTGTATACTTTTGGGGAGCAAATTAAATAGATGAAAGACAGCCAACTTTTAGGATGAGAGATAGGCATAGATATATCGTTTTCTTATCTTCTTCCACATACTCAAATTTAGATATCAGGTTATCCATGATTTGCTTTTTAGTTCACCAGACATAGTGAAGTTAACACTCCTAATTTAGTTTTGGCTATATATAACTTGCTAACAGCTCTAGCCTGGGATTTTAAAGACAGCTTAACTATGTTCATGGAATGCTATGACTGGCTAAATATGACTCTTTAATGTTTCATAAAACATGTCTTTTTCCTAAATAGGGTTGTAACATTCTCTTAAATATTTCATGCATGTCTTTCTCTCTCTGTGAGACAGATCTCTCTAGATTTCTCTGGTTTTATTTCTGACATGCTATATGAAGTACTTTTTATTTAAAAGTAAGTACAATATGTAGTATCTCAGTGTGCATATGGCTTGGATGCTTACTTTGACGATGAAAAATTGCTTAAATATGCTGACATCTGAATTGTATCTGTAAATTAATGTTAGCAACTTGAGACTCAGTAATTGTTTCTTAAAATGGATTCTAATTAGTTACAAGTAAAAAGTAACTTTCCCTTAAATGTTGGTTGTATTAATTACAAATACTTTAAAAAGATATATTAAAATGATAAATCTAATTTTTTTCCTGGACATTGATTTATGTTGTGTGATGACATAACAGTACTGGAAATCAGTAGAGGTGACACTGCTGTACATTTGTAGCTATTTATATTTTGTTGTATTTTTATAAAACAAAGAAATACATCAGATCATAGTCATTATAAAGCATTAAAAAGATATGAAAACATACAGTTAAAAAATGATAGCTTCTCCTTCCCTAAACACCCAATTCCTAATGAATAAATACTGTTAAAAATTAGGTGATTATCTTCCCACACTTTATGCATTTTTAGTTTATTTAATGCACCATTGTGTCAGACATTGTTCTAAGGATTAACAAATAGAAGAGAGTTTATATGAAGAGGCAAAAACACTATGAAGTAAATAATAATATTGGGAATTGAGGCCTAGAGAGGTTAACTAATTGTATGGTTAACCTAGACAGTCTGGCATTAAGATCTGTGCTCTTAGTCATGTTGCGTCTTATGCTTTTACAAATATACTATTAATATATGTACTCATATATAGTATTTTGTTAGCTTTTAGTGTAAAAATTTATTATTGTACATGGTGCTTTGAGGCTTGTTTTTTTCTCACTTAAAACTATTTTTTGATGATCTCATTATTTTTTAAATGGCTGTGTATGTTTTACTATAACTTATTTAAATTTATTTACTATAAATTATTTTGTCTTTAATGAACTATTAGTTTTTTTCCAAAATTGCAAGCAAGGTTGCAGTGAATATGTTTGTTACCCTTGTGTGTATGTGTGAGGATTTTTTGTGAGATTCCTACAAATGATGTTGGGTCTGAGGCAGTGCATATTTAACACTTAAGTAAAACTTCCAAATGACCCTTCAAAATGGCCGAAAAGGTTTATACCCACATCAGTTTTATATGAGTACCTGTTTTCTCATAACTTTGCCAACAAAAGGTACAAATAATCCCTGAAATATTTGCCAGTGGGGGGTAAAGACTAGTAACGCCTTGCTGTTACTATTTGCATTTCTTAACATTTTTTATTTCTTAGCCATCTGAATTTTTTGGGTCAATTACCTGTTCATAACCTTTGCCCATTTTTTTCTATTGCATTGCCTGTTTTTGTATTTTAACTTTGTAAATGTTAACAGTATTTTTAAGTTTGTTGTTGAGCACTATATAAGTTGGCTGTGGAACCACTATAGTGATTGAGAATGCAGACTTGCACCAGACAGGCTAAATTCTAGCTCTGCCACTTCTTTGGGAATATGCCTAATCTTTGTACATCAGTTTCTTCATTGGTAAAGTGGGATTAGTGGTGGTACACCTCAAGAGATTATTGTGAGGATTAAATAAATTATTAATTACAAACAGCATATAACTTTCTGATCTTTAGTAAGTGCTAGCTTTTATAATTATTATTGCTCTAATGATTTATGCTATCTTGTTATTAGCACAATTTTCAATTTTTAGTCACCTGTTTTAAAAAACTGTCTTTTTACTAAATTAAGACTCTCTTCATTCTAATATTTATAAGAAGAAAGTAGAGTTTAAATTTCTTCAGAAGCTTGGTTTTTCTTTTTTTTTTTTTTTTAACTTTTGGTATATTTTCTATATGGAATTTCTTTTTGTGTGGTAGGCGGTAAGTTGTCTTAGTTTTTTTCCCCCCAGATATCTATCTAGTTATCTTCACTGATTAAAAATTCTGTGTTAGTCATGTATTAAAGTTTTCATGTATGTAGAAATCTTTTTCTAGATTCTTTATTTCATTATTCCCCTTGCGATCTGTTTATTAACTCTTGTGTCAGTATGCCACTGTTACAGTTACAATAGTTTCTTTATATATTTTGATAATTTTGGAAAAATCCCCTCTCATCCTTCTGTTTTAGATTTGTCATAGCTGTTTTGATACACTTTTCCAGACTGATTGTAGATTCTATTCTATTCATAGAATATTCATAGCATTCTATTCATAGAATATTCATAGCATTCTATTCATATTCTATTAAAACATCCTGTTGGGTTTTGAAAGGGCTAATATCTTTACAGTGTTGAGTGTTCTTATGCAAGGATATATCTTTCCCAAAAAATTAATGAACGTGATACATGCACATGGAGAAAGAATCAAACAGTACAGAAGAGCATAAAATGAAATACAAGTCTTTCTTTCAAGCTCACACCCCAAATCCATAACCACCATTAGTATTCATGTATGGATGTGTATGTGCTTCATGGCCTTATTCAATCAAGCACCCTAGTCTTGATTTACTGCTATATTCCAGAAAACCTTTCAATTTATATAAATGTGTGTGTAGAATTTACCTTTCCTTTTATCACACAGAATGATGCTCTAGTATTCTTCACTCTTTTGTATCTTTTACTTTTTTCCACTTTGTAATGTATCATGGAAATCCTTTCATAAGAAATTCTATTGATCTACCTCACCTATTTTTATTTTATTTATTTATTTATTTATTTATTTGAGATGGAGTCTCGCTCTGTCGCCCAGGCTGGAGTGCAGTGGCGCTATCTTGGCTCACTGCAAGCTCCGCCTCCAGGGTTCACGCCATTCTCCTGCCTCAGCCTCCCGACTAGTTGGGACTACAGGCGCCCGCCACCACACCAGGCTAATTTCTTTTTGTATTTTTAGTAGAGACGGGGTTTCACCATGTTAGCCAGGATGGCTACGATCTCCTGACCTTGTGATCCGCCCGCCTCAGCCTCCCAAAGTGCTGGGATTACAGGCGTGAGCCACCGCGTCCAGCCCCTACTTCACCTATTTTTAAAGGCTTCATTGTCTGTCATTGTATGGAAGTACTGTGGTTTTATTTAATCACCCCCTATTCATAAGCATTTTGATTATAATAATTTTCATTTTGCTAGTGTAACTAATACAGTATGTTCTTAGAGATTTATTTTTGTATTCTTGTGTTTATGTCTGTAAGAATAATTTCCAGCCATGGAATTGCTAGGGTATGCAATTTCAAATTGACAGACGTTTTTAGTTTCCACTTTAAAAATGTTGAACCAACGTTATATTCCCACTTTTAGTGTATGCAAATGCATATTTCTCAGCACCAACACTGGATTATATCAACTGCATTATTTTTGCCAGTATGAATGTTTTGCTATTTTTAAAATCATGAGTGAGATTAAACCTGTTTTAACATTCGTCAGCCGTTTATTATAACAAATAACATTTATTGAGCACTTACATGGGCTAGGCACTGTTCTAAGTGGGTTGCATATTCATTTAATGAATTGTTTCCTCACATCATTTGCTCATTTAAAAAAATGTTTTTTCTTAGTGAACTAAGAGTTCATTGTACATTAAGAAAATTACCTTTAATCATATGTATTGCAGATTTTTTCCATTTTACTTATTGTCTTGATGTGTATGTATACATTTTATACACAGTTTTACATTTTTATGTGCTTAGATTATGTTTTATGATTTTTTTCTTCTTGGTCTTAATCGGTTTTGGTTAAGCTTATTGCTTAACCATGAATATGATCATTTTTACCATATAATTTCCTAATTGGTTATTGCTCAGTTATAGGTAAGTGTTGATTTTCAAATACTGGTGTTGAACTCTGTTATTCATCAGTCTTTTAAGGCATACTCTTGGACTTTATAGGTAGATGATAAAAGCTTCTGCAAGTATTTTTATAGCTTTGTACTTGCTATTTCTCTTTCTTTTCCTTTGCATTAGCTAAGGTCACCAGTACAGTGTTAAACAATAGTGCTCATAGCAGGCATTCTTGCCTTGACTTTAATGCATTTTGTTATTCAGTGAGATTTATTCATGTATTAATTAATATGATAGTAATTTTACTGTTTAGGAGCACTTATTTTCAGGGAAAGTAGCCTACTAATTAGACATTAACAAGAAGGTAAAGATACCTAACTTTTATATCAGTATGTGGTCTTGTGCAAACAGTGTATTCTCAACTCTCCCATTTATATAGTGAGGATAATTATTAATCTGTAATGTAAAATTCCTGTAAATGACTAAGCAATATGTAAAATATCAGAGCCCACATATTAAAGTATCATCATATGACAGGTTGCCATTTGTTGAGTTATTTTCAAGTGCTTACGGATATTTTACACTGGGGCATGACTTCTGAGTTCGTGGAAAATTTTTTGTTCTGAATTTTTCAGAATGGCTGATCTGAATAATAACGTATATGGTTCATCAGCATAATATGAGTAAAGCCTATTCAAACCTTTACATTTCTTTCCTGTCGGTTCCCAAAATTATTCAGAGAAATGGAGGGGTAAAGTAGTATAGATAAACAAAATTGTTCATCACCAGCCCATGTTTGAAATATACCATTAAGATAGACAGCGGCTGGGCGCGGTGGCTGACGCCTGTAATCCCAACACTTTGGGAGGCCAAGGCGGGCGGATCACGAGGTCAGGAGATTGAGACCATCCTGGCTAACATGGTGAAACCCCGTCTCTACTAAAAATACAAAAAATTAGCCAGGCGTGGTGGCGGGTGCCTGTAGTCCCAGCTAGTCTGGAGGCTGAGGCAGGAGAATGGCGTGAATCCAGGAGGTGGAGCTTGCAGTGAGCCTAGATGGCGCCACTGCACTCCAGCCTGGGTGACAGAGCGAGACTCCGTCTCAAAAAAAAAAAAAAGCTAGCAGACAGCAGTTATTCAATAATGAATAAGACACGATTTCTGCCTTTTTGAATTGTATATGAGGTTAAGTAGCCTTTACTTGTCTTCCCAAGTGAGATTTACTGAAACTAACATTTTAGTAGTCTCCCATTCCTAGCACAATGCCTGGAATCTGTTGGGTTCTCAGTACATTTTTGCTTAGTGTACTTGAACTTCAGTGTTTATGAAACATAGATTCCTGCATATTCTGGTTCAGTAGGTATTAATTAGGACCCAGGAGTCTGCACTGTTAACAAGCACCTCAGGGTGTTTTCCGGTGGTTTCTCTTAATAAATACAAAGAAAATTTTCTGAAGAGAGATGTTATATTCATCTCATAGAAAATCAATTTTGGGTGGGAGGAAGTTTCACTGTAATCTTCATGCCTTATACAAAGGTAACTTTGCCTTTTACTTCAGACTTCAGCTTTTCATTTAAGAGGAATCTGTATATTTAGCACAGTCGTGGGTTGTTGGTATCCACTTAGTAAATATCTATTGATTACCTTATTTTTCCCTGCTCTGTCATCCAGGCTAGAGTGCCCTGCCGCAATCTTGGCTCACTGCCACCTCTGCCTCCCAGGCTCAAGCGATTCTCCCACCTCAGCCTCCCGAGTAGCTGGGACCACTGGTGTGCACCACCACGCCTAGCCACTTTTGTGTTTTTTGTAGAGACGGGGTTTTGCCATGTTTCCCAGACCATGTTGATTATTCAGCATTGATTACTTGCAGTAATTATGGAATTAGTTTTTAATTTACTAATCCAGCGTTTTGTGGTAAAGTTACAATTTTAAATGTAGTTTAAAAATAAAACGTTTTTAAACTGGTCTCTGTTTTTCCTCCTTGGGACCTTGTCATAGCTTAGGTGGAGCTTGAAATAATGAAGCGTGTCAGATGTGGCATAACATGGTTTTTTAATGACCAAAATGTAACTTTTATTTTAAAGGGTATTATATACCTGGTTATATTGAAAGGTAGCCTTGAGATGTATAAGAGCCTTCTTTGTATTGTTACACACTCTTCCAAAATATGGACAAATCATAAATGATGAAAACATGATTGCAATTTTGTAGAATTTACTAGTTTTGGCATCATTAATTTGGCCAAAATACATGTAATAATGGGAATTTAATGCATTATAGGTTTCTATAAAAATTCTACAATTATAGAAATATTTTTACAGTGTCCTATTCAGTAATTAATAAAGCCTTCTTTCATGCAATTATAAATGAATACCAATGTCCTATTCAGTAATTAGTAAAGGCTTCTTTCATGCAGTTATAAACAGATACCAATATTTTGTATTGGTGGACGTGAAAATATTTATTTGGTAATCTTAGTAAGGGATGCATATTTTTTGATTGAAGACTATGCATTTACCCAGCTCAAAGGAATGGATATTTTATTTTTGAATTTAACTCAGTGATGTCGCTAATCTATGTGAACACGCCAACTGTGTGTGTGTTGGTGGGGGGGGTAGTTAGTAACCATGGAGCTAAGGATTGATGAAGGTTGGTGATAAAGGGAAACATTCCCTTGGAATTAAGACATTGTTCCTTGCTGGGTGCAGTGGCTCATGCCTGTTACTCCAGCACCTTGGGAGGAGGCTGAGGCGGGTGGATGGTTTGAGCCCAGAATTTCCACACCAGCCTGTGCAATGTGGTCTCTACAAAAAAAAACCCCAAGAAAATTAGCCCAGCATGGTGGTGCGAGCCTGTAGCCTCGGCTACTCAGGAGGTTGAGGTGGGCGGATTGAGGCCAGAAGCGGGAGGCAGCAGTGAGCTTGTGAGGGTACGGGGGCGAGATAACTGTCTCAATTAAAAAACAAACAAACAAAAACCAGGCGCAGTGGCTCACGCCTATTATCCCAGCACTTTGGGAGGCCGAGGCAGTGGATCACTTCACGTCAGGAGTTTGAGACCAGCCTGGCCAATATGGTGAAACCCCGTCTCTACTAAAAATACAAAAATTATCTGGGTGTGGTGGTGGGTGCTAGTAGTCCCAGCTACTCAGGAGGCTGAGGCAGGAGAATTGCTTGAACCCAGGAGGCAGAGGTTGCAGTGAGCCGAGATCGTGCCACTGCACTCCAGCCTGGGCCACAGAGTGAGAGACTCCGTCTCAAAAAAAAAAAAAGATTCTGTGTATTAGACACATAAAGCACTTGTGTGCCAGGTATAGTTGTGTTTTACAAATATTGACTTATTTAATGACTACAATAACTCCATGAAGTAAGTACAATTATTATTTCTTTTTACAAATCAGGAAACTGAGGCACAGAGAAGTTAGAGAACTTGCCCAACGTCATACTGCTGTTGAGTGGCAAAGTTGGGATTTGAACCCAGACCTTCTATCCTCTTCACCTTTGTTAATGCTGCCTTTTGTTTCCTGAAAGCATTGCTGGTGTGTTTATGCGTTATGTCTTTACTACTAATTATATTTGATTTTTGGAAAGATGTGGTATTTTATGCTGTGCATTATGTCGTTTTTGTGGTTTATAATTCATAATGCCATGATGTTTTTAATTTAACAAACAAGTATTAGAAAAGGTAAAGTTGTTGTATATAATAACTTTGCTAATAATCACTGAACGTTGTCTCAGCAAGTATATGTGTAATGAATATAAATTTATACCATTAAAAAAAAGTAGCCATTCATTCATTCACATTTTCTTGTAATTCTGCTTGTTTCCATATTTGCACTTAAGATCTGTTGAACGTTAAAACAAATTTGCTTCCTTAGATTTTTTAACCAGTCACCATTTTTTTAAGTTGGTAGGATGGGCCATATTGAAGATAAACTATATTTTACAAATTTTATCAGCATGCTCTATGAACTTGCTTCTCAAACTGGAGTATTAACATATGTATGTGTTTTTACCAGGGTGTTTGTGAAGCTACACATAAAAGTATTACTCTTTTAAAGTACCATTTCTAGTTCTAAAGATTGGTGAGGGTGGAAATATTAAGTACTTTAAATTTTCAGCTTTTAAAAATTTTTTATGTTGAAACTAAATGATTTTTAAGAAGCAAAGAATTTCACATAAATTATGGTTGACCATCCTAGAGACCATGAAGGTTGTATTAATTCATTCCATGGAAAACTTTTAGGAGTACTTGATTATATTTGAAGTAAATTGGTATCTTGGAAAGTTGTGAAATTGGTGAACCTGCCATACCAAAATGGTAAACAAAAACAAAACTTTCCTGGGGTACTGAAAAGAATGATGTTACCAAAGGCACGTCTTGTTTTAAATCTTATGTTTTATTTTTTTCTTTAATCTTAACAAACCCCACTTTTAAATAAATCCTTAGTAAAATTAGGATTTATTTGGGGCTGTTAATTTACAAAAGGATTGATTGTGATATTCCTTTAAATAGCTTGCTTCTTCAGTTTACAAATGTTCATTATATTCATAATGTTCAGGCCTGCATATAAATAAAGCAGGGAAAACCGGTGATAGATACTTAGTTTTTTAACTATAAAACATCCTGGTAAAAACATTAAAAGGTTGTAAATTGGGGAACCTGTATAGCCAGTGTGTTTTTTAGGTTGGCATATATAAGTGATATTGATATAATTGTCTTTTGTTTCATTCTAAATACTGAGCTTAGGGCTTGAATTTGCCATCTGTTTTTTTTTTTTTATTAAGTATGACCATTAAAACAGGAATAATTTGATTGAAGACTACGCATTTACCCAGCTCAAAGAAATGGATATTTTATTTTTGAATTTAACTCAGTGATGTCGCTAATCTATGTGAACATTGTAGAGTGACATAAATGTCTTCTTTAGAGTATCCAGATGGAAATTGTGGCACAATGCTTTTGTATTTCAGTGACTTCAGAAAGAAGGTAGGCCTTTAGGAGAGTATCTGGGGAACCTTTCAATAGGGTAATTGTGGGGATAGCAAATTAAGTACAGTCGTGTGTTGCCAACAACAGGGATATATTCTGAGAAATGTGTAGTTAGGTGATTTAGTCATTGTGTGAACATGATAGTGTGTATTTACCACAAACTGAGATGGTATAGCTACCTATCACACACCTAGGCTATATGGTTATATATAGCATAGCCTATTAGTCCCAGGCTACGAAAGTATACAGCATGTTACTGTACTGAATACTGTAAGCAGTTGTAACACAATAGTATTTGTGTATCTAAACATAGAAAAAGTACAGTAAAAATAGAGTGTAAAAGAAAAAAGGTATAATTTTTTTAGCTTAATCTGTTCTTTTAAAAATTATATTTCAATAAGTTTTTGGGGAAGAGGTATTGTTTGGTTACATGAATAAGTTCTTTAGTAGTGATTTCTGAGTTTTTGGTGTACCCATTACCTGAGCAGTGTACACTGTACCCAATGTATAATCTTTTATCCCTCACCCCCATCCCACCCAAATATGGTATACTTGTTTAGGGCAGTTAGCTTGCAGGACTGAAAGTTGCTCTAAGTGAGTGAGTGGTGAGTGAATGTGAAGTCCTGGGACATTACTATATGACTTTATAACCACTGCACTTAGGCTACACTAAAGTTGTAAAAAAGTTAAGTGATTGTGCTATGACATTATGACAGCTACAGCATCATTAGGCAGTAGGAATTTTTCAGCTTCGTTATGACATTATGGAACCACTGTTGCATATATGGCCTGTTATTAATTGAAATGTTGTGTGGCACATGATTGTAGTGGGCATGCTATTCTGGAGTTTATTTTCTTTGTGGAATTTGCCATCTAATAGCAGAGATAAGTATAAAACATTTTCTTTTAGTAGAAAGTTAAGTTAGAAGGAGTATACTTTGTTCTTTTGGTTTGAGTGCCATTTAGACTTGAGTGAAGAAGAAAAATAGTTGGTAGAATTCGCATAGTTCTCAGGTTTCAGATTCATAGTCTGAGTTTCCTGATTTGTCACTAAATTTGTTTCTCATCCAAACATTTTTAATTTACCTCATCTGTAAAACTATGTAGATTGCAAATTTTTATAATGTAGCTAATTACTTTTATAAAAGAGAATATTTAAAACAAATTGTGCATGATAGAGGAATTTGTATCTTGAAGTTTCTTGTGCTTTAAGTAGGAGATGAACCAGAAGTATGAATTAAATTGTTGGAGAGTTTTTTGATTTTTCTTTTTGCTTGATAAACAGGAAATTCTGGATATGTGATAGTAAATGTTTGAGGCTCCTCTAAGGAAGTGCTCCATCAATTTTCTGTCCTTGCTATTTTGGAGGGGAAATTTTTCATTTTGAGGACATAATTTCTATGATATGATAAATACTAAGAATTTTTCAAAAAATAAGGCAAATATGATAGCAATGAGTCCAGATTGCAGTGGGAAAGAAATATAGGAATAAGAAATACTTCTGTAACAGCTCTGGAAAACAGGAAAAGATGAAATCATAAACCAGAAAATTTTGAGGCTTTCTAGAAAGATGTAAGGCTGACAAGATTAGATTCCTGAAAACCATTAGTATTGAACAGCTTGTACTACACATAGGGGAAAGTATCTGGTTTCTGAGTAGAAAAGTAGACTTGCTTACAAATTCACCTAGCTTAGAGATGTCAGGGCTAGGGCAGAGAAATGGCTCTGTGAGCAGTATCAAGGTAATTAGAAGACTCTGGAATTGATGAGTCTTGAAGAAAAATCTGTCTGTTCCTCTCTCTTCTTTACCACACTAAGAGCAGAGTCTGCTCACAAAATCCAATAGCCTTCCATTATGGGGTTGATGGAGATGGGGGAGACTCTTGAGGGAAGTAAAGCAGTGATTTTCACCAGCCATCAGTACAGAACAATCCGGATTTAAAAAGATGAAGACAATGAGGAAACACTGGATATTAGAGGAAAAATTAACAGTGTAAAAGAAAGGACTGGTACTGAAACAAGCAAAGCAAATAGCTCAGAGATAATAGTTTATATAGAAAATAAGAAACTGAACTTTTTAGTATTGGGAAGATACAGTATTGAGAAAGGAACCATGAACAAAAAATTCTTGACAATTAAAAATATGATTGCCAAGAAGTCAAAAAATAGAGAAGGTTGTAGAATCCAGAGTACTAAGTTGATTCCACAGCTGCTCTCTGAACATTTGTTGACCTAGAGGCTTGCAGTTAAAGGTCACATGGATTTTAGGAGAGAGATCTTTGGGCCTTCAATCATTAGATTGAAGAGTTAGAACCCTGCAGTGGAAAAAACACACTCAAAGTGCTTTTTCCTATGTTCATACTCACCAATTAACACAGAAGACTCCTGTGACCTCAAAATATGTAGGATTTCTTCCCACCAGTGAGTGAGCAGTCAGTTCTGCAGACACCAGCTAGTGTCCTCCAATTCAATTCTTTTCTTCTTTTTGAGACAGAGTCTCACGCTGTCGCCCGGGCTAGAGTACAGTGGTGCGATCTCAGCTCACTGCAACCTGCAACCTCCGCCTCCTGGGTTTAAGCTATTCTGCCTTAGCTTCAGTAGCTGGGAATACAAGTACGTGCCATCATGTCCAGTTAATTTTTGTATTTTTAGTAGAGATGGGGTTTCACCGTGTTGGCCAGACTGGTCTTGAACTCCTGACCTCAAGTGATCTGCCCGCCTTGGCCTCCCAAAGTGTTGAGATTATACGTGTGCGCCACCGCGTGTGGCTCCTCCAATTCAGTTCTCACACTATCTACCTGAAGACAGCATCAAAGCCCAGAAGTTGAGGGTTCAGTCTCACAA
This sequence comes from Homo sapiens, assembly GCF_000001405.40. Classification (NCBI taxonomy): domain Eukaryota; kingdom Metazoa; phylum Chordata; class Mammalia; order Primates; family Hominidae; genus Homo; species Homo sapiens. The sequence continues at coordinate 14,042,874 of NC_000020.11, forward strand.
AACTGCCCATTACTCCTGATACCAGTTGCAAACCCAGGTGGTGGGTTTTTTTTTTTTTTTATTGAGACATGATCTTGCTCTGTCACCCAGGCTGGAGTGCAGTGGTGTGAACACAGCTCACCACAGCCTCGACCTTCTGAGCTCATATGAGCCTCCTGCTTCAGTCTCCCAAGTAGCTGGGACTGCAGGTTCACATCACCATGCCTGGCTAATTTTTAAATTTTTTTGTAGAGATGGGGTCTTACTATGTTGCCTGGGCTGGTCTCAAACTCTTGGGCTCAAGCAGTCCTCCCACCTTGGCCTTCCAAAGTGCTGGGATTACAGGTGAGAGCCACTGCTTCTGGCTCCCCTGGGTTGTTTTACCTGTGCTTCTGACGGACCAACTATAAATCAGGGATCTCACACCCTTTCCTTGGTTTCAGTTAAGCTGCTGAAGTGGCTTACAGAACACAGGGATACACATTTACCAGTTTATTATAAAGGACATTACAAAGGATATAGCTAAAGAGATGGATAGGGCAAGGTATAGGAAGGGGCATAGAGCTTCTCTGCCTTCTCTGAGTGTGCCACCCTAGAGGAACCTTTATGTGTTCAGCTATCTGGAAGCTCTCAGAAGCCTGTCCTATTGCTACTTTTATGGAGACTTCATTGGATAGGTGTGATTGAAGAACTGTGTAGAAATGTGATTGGACAAAAAGGTTATGAGCTAATACTTATAGACTGAGTGGGAAAACCTAGAAAGGCCGGTTCAGATTCTTAGCCTCTCTGTGCACTGTTAATTTCTCCAGGGTATGGGAGAACCTCTTCTGAAATGGGTGTCTTATTACCTGCAGTCAGACAACGTAGGTCAGAGAATTTCTTTATGGGCAGCTTCAAGATGGAAAGGCAGGGGAAAATTCCTGCCTTGGGGAGAAAAAGGATCATGTGAAAGGAGGGAAAGAGAAGGTCAGAGACATTACCTTCTGAGGCCTACTTCTGAAGGCCAATGTATAACAAGGACTGTCAGTGTTATGAACCAGGATCCATGGGCGAAAACCTGTGTCATCTATCTTTCACACCTGCATAAAGCCAGGATTCTTCACGATAAGGCTTCAGTGAAAGGGAGCCTAGAAAATTAAATTTACTTTCCACGAGAAAGACACTGTGTCCTGAATTGGTGGGTTCTTGGTCTCACTGACTTCAAGAATGAAGCCACAGACCCTCGCGGTGAGTGTTACAGTTCTTAAAGGCAGTGTGTCCAGAGTTTGTTCCTTCTGATGTTCGCATGTGTTCAGAGTTTTTTCCTTCTGGTGGGTTCGTGGTCTCACTGGCTCAGGAGTGAAGCTGCAGACTTTCGCGGTGAGTGTTACAGCTCTTAAGGCGGTGCGTGTGGAGTTGTTTGTTCCTCCTGGTGGGTTCGTGGTCTCGCTGGCTTCAGGAGTGGAGCTGCAGACCTTCGCGGTGAGTGTTACAGCTTATAAAGGCAGTGTGGACCCAAAGAGAGAGCAGCAGCAAGATTTATTGCAAAGAGCGAAAGAACAAAGCTTCCACAGTGTGGAAGGGGACCTGAGCGGGTTGCCACTGCTGGCGTGGCAGCCTGCTTTTATTCTCTTATTTGGCCCCACCCACATCCTGCTGATTGGTTGGTCCATTTTACAGAGAGCTGATTGGTGTGTTTTACAGAGAGCTGATTGGTCCGTTTTGACAGGGTGCTGATTGGTGTGTTTACAATCCCTGAGCTAGACCCAAAAGTTCTCCACGTCCCCACTAGATTAGCTAGATACAGAGTGTTGACTGGTGTATTTACAAACCCTGAGCTAGATACAGAGTGCTGATTGGTGTGTTTACAATCCCTTAGCTAGACATAAAGATTCTTCAAGTCACCACCAGACTCAGGAGCCCCGCTGGCTTCACCCAGTGGATCCCGCACTGGGGCTGCAGGTGGAGCTGCCTGCCACTTCTGTGCTGTGTGCTTGCACTCCTCAGCCCTTGGGCGGTCGATGGGACTGGGTGCCGTAGAGCAGGGAGTGGCGCTCGGGGAGGCTCGGGCCACGCAGGAGCCCATGGCAGTGGAGGGGAGGCTCAGGCATGGTGGGCTGCAGGTCCCAAGCCCTGCCCCACAGGGAGGCAGCTAAGGCCCGGCGAGAAATTGAGCACAGCAGCTGGTGGCCCAGGTGCTAAGCCCTTCACTGCCTGGGGCTTGCGGGCCGGCTTGCCGCTCCGAGTGCGGGGCCCGAGGAGCCCACGCCCACCTGGAACTTCGGCTGGCCTGCAAGCGCTGCACGTAGCCCCGGTTCCCGCCTGCGCCTCTCCCTCCACACCTCCCTGCAAGCTGAGGGAGCCGGCTCCGGCCTTGGCCAGCCCAGAAAGGGGCTCCCACAGTGCAGCGGTGGGCTGAAGGGCCCCTCAAGCGCAGCCAGAGTGGGCACCAACGTCGAGGAGGCGCCGAGAGCAAGCGAGGGCTGCCAGGGCTGCCAGCATGCTGTCACCTTTCAACATCAGAGACGTTTTCTTCTCTTGGGCTTTTGGTGTGGGACTGAAAAGTTTCCACTAAAAACTTGTGACCATTAGCCTGCCTTCATAAGGGTATGGGATTGTAATTTATACTACCTGCATAGTTTAGGAAACTGCAGACAGAAAATTATTTAAAAGCAATCAAATAAATGTTGGCAGTGCTACAAAGTACCTAACAGAAAAGTGAATTATCTTCAGAGGGATGCTCCTTCAGGTATGCCCATTGATAGAGTCTAAATGAAGTGCTTTCATATTAAAAAAATATGAGAAACTCAGCAATCATGAGCAACAGTGAGCAGGAAAGACAAATAGCAGAATTAGACCCCTGTGAATGTCAGATATTGAAATTACTAGGTAAGACAATGGAGTATAAATGAATAAAATGTTTCAAAAGAATTAAAAGGGAGGGGGGAATTAAAAACATGAGCAGGGAGCAAAATACTGTTAAGAAATACCAGGTAGATCTGAAAAAGAATCTAAAGCAGTTGTAGAAATTAAAGATATAATAATGACCTTGAAAAATATTAAATGGGTTAAGTAGATTGAACTCAGCTGAACAGAGAATTAATTAACTTGAAGACAGATTTGAAGAAAGCCCAGATACGGAAACATGAAGATGTTTAGAGTCAGAAGAATAAACGTCTAATGTGTATGAAATTGAAATTTCAGAAAAGGATAATGAAAAGACTCACAGTTGGTGTCCAAAGAAAGAATGAGAAATTCCCAAAATTAAAGTGTGAATCATTAAACTGAAGAAGTACGATTAATGCAGAGGAAAAAAAGTAACTGGATAATACTGAAAACTAAGAGAACCTTTTTTAGCAGCCAGAAACAGATTATCTACAAAGCTATAGAAATTAGACTGGCAGCAGACCTCTAAACTATAACAATGAATGGTAGAGATCATAGAGCTAGGTTTTCAAATGCTAAGAAAAACAAATGTCATCCTAGGGAGAGTAACTGGCAGAATCATTCAGAAACAAGGATTTTGAAATAGATTTTTCAGACAGCATCAGATTGATAAAAATCTGACAGTATTGTGTTGGTGAGTATGTGGAACAATGGGAACTCTTAGACAGCTGGTAGAATTATAAACAACTGCTTTTGAGAGTAATTCAGTAATGTCTAGTAAGTTTCAGTATGCCTTTCTCCAGTAACCCAGGAATTCTACCTATGCATACATATATATCTTAGCATTGTTTATTGATCTCTTTTGACCATGATATAACTGAGATCAAATTTTCGGGAAACAAAATTTATCCTTCCTACAGGCAGTACATTGTGATCTGTCTCTGTACGTCATCACTTTGTTCATCTTCCTTTTTCCCCTTTACTCCCAAGCATTCTCTTTTATTTATTTATTTATTTATTTATTTATTTATTTATTTATTAAGCTGTTTGTGATCCTGGCTCACTAATGTGATATTATTGATGGGTTACAAACTGCAGTTTGAAAAACACTGCCTTAAAGAAACAAACAGAATAAGGATAGGGATATTCATAGCAATATTGTGTGTGAGAGTGAAAAACTTGAAGTCATCTTAAGCTCTAACAAATGGAAAATGGGTAAATAAACTGTGGTATATCTATCTAAGGATCTTGAACTAGACATCATAATAAATCATTGAATTACAATGCCTATATTAAATGAATACCCTTACAAATATAGAGTATAGAAAACAAATTACAGATGAGTATATAATGTGATACTCACATGAAGCTTAAAAAATGCAAAGCAATGGTATATATAGTTTTATGAGTATATACATATATAAAAACAAAGAAATCCATGGAAATGGGCTGGGCGCGGTGGCTCATGCCTGTAATCCTAGCACTTTGGGAGGCCGAGGTAGGCGGATCACAAGGTCAGGAGTTCGAGACCAGTCTGACCAGCATGGTGAAACTCCGTCTCTACTAAAAAAACCCAAATATACAAAAATTAGCCGGGCATGGTGGCATGTGCCTGTAATCCTAGCTATTTGGGAGGCTGAGTCAGGAGAATTGCTTGAACCTGAGAGGTGGAGGTTGCAGTGAGCCGAGATTGCGCCACTGCACTCCAGCCTGAGCAACAGAGCGAGACTCCGTCTCAAAAAAAAAAAAAAAAAAAAATCCATGGAAATGATAAACACCAAACTTAGGTTATTCCTGGGAGTGAAAAAGAAAGGTATTTCTGTTATCCAGATAATTTTTTTTTCCTTAAGCTGGGTAGTGGACATAAAGGTATTTATTAAATAATATCTTGTACTCATGTGTATATCTAAAATATTTGACAGTAAATTTGTTTGAAATGGAGGTGGCAGTATTGACAAATTGAAATTTCTCAGAAAGTACAGCAGAAAGAGTTGAACATTATGAGAGAAAAGTTTGAGACCTGTATAATAGATGTGGGATATCAGTATGTGTGAAATAGGAATTCCAGAAATAAAAAATACAGTGCATGTAGCAGAAGCAGTAGATAGTAAAATGGTAGAATAAATTTGTTCTGAGCTGAAAAAAGCTTTAAAATAAAACCTATGAAATCAAGTTTTTGGTAAAATCAAATATTTATAAAACTTCAAAATTTCAAGTATCAAAAGAAAATGAAGTTCCCAGATAAACAGCAGGCGTACCCCTAACAAAGAATCTGATTGGCATTTGATTTTTTTTTCTTTTAATGCTGCACTGGATACTAAGGAAGAGTAGAAACATTCCTATAGAATTCTGAGGTAGAAGTATTGTTAACGAACACCATGGATTTTCATCTAGGTCCTGCTGCTCACTGCACAGAAAGCCAGTCAGAGATAATGATTATTGCCAAAGAAGAAGGCTTTAATCTCATGCTGCAGCTGAGGAGATGGAAGATCAGACTCAGATCCATCTCCCTGATGGACTGAAACTAGAGGTTTATATAGCAGGGAAGAAATGTAACAATATGCAAGAAAACAGTAACTAGAGGGGCAAGGAAGCAATCATGATGAATGAGGAGTCCGCTCTCTATCTCATTGTCTGGTTGTTGGGATCTGGTGAGTTTCAGTTATTTGATAGTTTTTTTGGGAGGCCTGAAAGTCATTTCCTTAGGAAGGAACTCAGATAAAACAAAAATGAGTTTCAAGCTTTAAGACCAGAAGGATCAATTTCTATGTTTATTAAAAAAGACATAAAAACCCAAAAAACTATCTATGGGACTATTGGGTCAGTTTCAGTATTACGACCCTAAAGTTCTATGTGCAATAAAACTATTCCTTCACGATAAAGGCAAAATATATTCTTTCCGAAGGACTGTGAGCCTATAATAATTACATATTTAAATAAATAAATATAGTATTTGGGAGTACTTAAGCAAAATGAAATGAATTGGAATGGAGAATTTTCTGGACCAAAAAAAGAAAGGTTTATGTTAAACATTTGTGAACAAAAACAAACCAAAACCCAGTCAGTGACATTTAAGGTTAAATACAAAGAATTACTAATAATGTACTTTGAAGTGTAATATAATTTTTGAGAAAATATTCCTGATATAATGAATGGAACTTAGGAAAGAAATGACAGCTGAGAAATAAAATTCTAGGTGACTTAATACAAGCTGTCCTACAGCAAGTGGGAGTGGAGCAAGGAGGGGAAAGTAAAAGAATACTGTCTATTCATGGTATACTATGCAAAGAGCTTCTATGCACAGGAATGGATGGATATTTTATACTTCTTGATGTTTATGACAAAATACAGGCTGAAATACGTGTTGAAAATTTGAGGAGACTTTTAAAAGAAGGCCAACAATCAACTCACCCAAACTTCCTCAAACCTGTTTGACAGAACTAAAAATATATTTAATAAAAAAAAAAAAAAACAAAAAAACAAAAAAGCCTATAACAGCATTAGGTATTAAGAAGGGTGACATTGGTGCAGCAAACTTGGGGGAATTCCCTGATGATAGAAAGTAGATGGACTGAGAGGGGCAGAAGAACAAGAACAGAGAAAACCGCAACTGAAAGTGAAAAGCTCCTGAGGTTCAGTGGACCTCAAGGAACTCTATTTGTGTTACCAGTTTGAAAGAACTGGAGTGGAGGGGAGGTGGTGATGTGATAATCAGAGTAATTAATTAAAAAACTGCCTCTAGGCTGGGCGAGGTGGCTCACGCTTATAATCCCAGCACTTTGGGAGGCCGAGGTGGACAGATCACCTGAGGTCAGGAGTTCAAGACCAGCCTGGCCAACGTGGTGAAACCCTGTCTCTACTAAAAAAAAAAAAAAAAATACAAAAATTACGTGGGCTTGGTGGCGGGCACCTGTAATCCCAGCTACTAAGGAGGCTGAGGCAGGAAAATCGCTTGAACCCAGGAGGCAGAGGTTACAGTGAGCCGAGACTGTGCCATTATTGTACTCCAGCCTGGGTGACAAGAACAAGACTGTCTCAAAAACAAAACAAAACAACTAAACTAAACAAACAAAAAACAAAAACAAGGCTGGTGCGGTGGCTCACGCCTGTAATCCCAGCTCTTTGGGAGGCCGAGGCAGGCAGATCACCTGAGTTCAGGAGTTTGAGTCCAGCCTGGCCAACACTGCAAAACTCTGTCTCTACTAAAAATACAAAAATTAGCTGGGCGTGGTGGCAGGTCCCTATAATCCCAGCTACTCAGGAGGCAGAGGCAGGAGAATCGCTTCAACCCGGGAGGCACGGAGGTTGCAGTGAGCCGAGATCGCACCATTGCACTCCAGCCTGGGCAACAAGAGTGAAACTCCCATCTCAAAAAAAAAAAAAAAAAGCTCCAAACTGCCTGTAGTAGCTGGATACTTCCCTTCCTCGCTTCCTCATTCATACTGAATGATCAGCAGCAGGGTATTTTTCTCAAGGATAGAGTCATGGCTTCTATTCTGCATATGATGATTCTGGAGAAGGCTTCTGGTTGGGATTGGAAAGAGCCTGAGAACTCTATCAAGAACTCATATGGGAAGAAGGAAAGGAAAGATGGCTCTGTATGTGTGTAATACATGAAACACTCTATCCCAAAAGTAAAGCCTTCCTTATTTTGGCAGTCTTGGGGGTTCCAGCCTATAATCTGCTTTGCAAGCACACACACTAAAACATGCTGCTTGATATGTTTTGCCCGCATTGAGCCTGAAATCTGCTCTCCCATTCAGGGAAGATGGCTTCAGAGACGGACAGACGTGTAGATCTATAGGAGAAACCCAGGCCAGTTAGATAGTTCTGGAACACTATTCACAAATTTGGCCAAGGAGCACCAGAAAACCAACAGTGCAAAACAGAAAGTGAACGAAGGAAAAAACTGACCCCTGGAAAGTGGGAATGGTGCAACAAATACATAGAACTTAAATATAATAACCTCAGAGAGATTTCAGAGGGCAAGGTAGCTAAAAATTCAAATCAGGCCATTGTGAAAGAAGCAATAGGTGAAGTTCTCAGAAACGAAAAATCTGATTGTTAAAGAATAATCAAAGGAAGGACTGAAAATTGAAACAGTGATTTAGAAATAAAGTTGAAGAAACATACTGGAAGCTAAAGATAAAAAGATGGAGATAAAAAATATGAACAAGTGTTTAAGTGACATGGGGCACGGAACCAGGTCTTCAGAGGAGACAGGAGGAGGGGAGAAAAGACGTAACTAAGTACAATACCTAATGCCGTGGCGTATTAGATAAATATTTAAAAAGATGAGTGAGATTGAAATATACTTGTGAAAAGATGGTCAAGATATATTAAGTGAAGAAGGAAGTTGTGAGAACAGTATGCATAGTATGGTATTTGTGGTTAAAATCTATATGCATGTTCAAATGTGTACAAGAAAGAGTGAAAGGATATGAAACACTAATAATGGTTACCTTTTGAGGAAAGGATGGAGGAATGAGAGAGGAATTCTTTTAAAATACATAATGTTGTTTTGAAAGGAACATTTTTATTTAAAAAATGAAAGAACTACAAGTTACATTGGAGAGGAAGGGAGGAGAGCAACATGAGGGTAGAAGTGGTTACCTAAATAAGCCATTTAAATTTACACATAATCTCCAACCTATACTTTTCTTTATAACATGTACTTTTCTGTTACTTCTTAGCAGTTGTCTCCTTCCCCTATTATTCCTGGACGTTTACAGAAGTATATTTTCACACACTTCTCTGAACCTTCCCTTTTACCCAAAGTATGGTGGGGGTGAGGGTGTGACTGATAATTTCCTTATTGCACATAGATTTTGTGAGAGATGATATAGATGGGGAGAATCACGTAAAGTAAGGATATCTTTAAATTCTAGGTATTGGTTTACTAATAATAGTATCAACCCATCATCTTTTTTGGAATGAGTCAGCATATAAATAAAATAATGAATGGTAAAGAGAAAAAACAAAGAGAATTATAAATTCAAAAGGTATATCCTGGTGGGTATTTTTGAGTTGAGATTAGGAATTGATTAGTATCAGAATAGTAACATGTAAGTATAATCACAGAGGTTTGTAGTGGTATTCTGGACCACTTGAAAGGCCCATCCTTTTTGTGAGGAGATGGATATGATCCTTGGTTTCAATATGCCACATCTACTATAAACTTCTGAACCCTCCACCATCATTCAGGATGCATCTCTCATGGTTGAAGAAGTGGTGGAGGATGGCATGGGAAAGAGTGCCTGAGGATCCTTGCCTGGAACAAGTTATGGAAAGAAAGTCTTACAGGTATTCTTCTTACATATTTTACTTGATTGCTATGTTTTTATGGGACAAAATAGTTCTCTTTCTTGGAAGAGTGGGTTGGGAGGGGGAGAGAAGAGGAAGATGGGTGTGTTGGGGTAGAGCAGTGGCCTTCTTTTCCAAGGGTGGTAGAGAAATTAGGAAAGAATATTAGTGTCTTTCTGTCTTTTTTCTTTTTCTGTTCCCGTACAACTTTTCTGTCATCTTCATAACTAAGTTGTATCAGAGTTTTCGAATTGCAGACTCATTTACATGATAATATGATTCATCAGGAACATTTAGGTACACAGCATGCTGACATAATAGTATTAGCTATCAATAACTCTTAGAAACCAATGGGAAATGTTTAGATCTGTGAATTGTACTAAATTTTAAATATTTTGAATATTTTTAATACAAATCTTATTTGTAACTAACTTGTTGATGATCTCTTCTTTGGTTATGTTAATTGGCTATTTAACCATTTCACACTCTGATTTATTTCTCAGGCATGAAGATGTTAACAATGCTGTGCGTTTTAATTAAGTAGTTAATTAACTGGAGCTCCCTAAGTCTTAAGTTCCTGATTTTTCTCTAGAATACCAGAAACTTAAGTGCCAAGAGCTCAGAGAATGGCTTCCAGGACAGCTCTAGCCTCACTGCAGCTTAAAAAATTGCAAACAGATTTTTTTTTTTGCAAACCATATGTCAGGGAATTTCTCAGAGGTTTTCTAAGAAATTCTTTTATTTGAAGTTTTAGAAACACTATCTTCAGTTGTATTGCTGATAATTCATAATTCTGTTGTCCTTTTTAAATGATAATATAAAAAGTATGCATTAGTATGTGGGGAAGTTGTTTTTGAAAACTTACAGCAGTTGGAACTTACTCCTGTAACAACTCTGTTAAGTGGAAGTAAACAAAGATAAGTGAGCATAAAATTGGTCAAGGTAAAGTAAGTGAAATGAAACCATATAATAGTAGAGTTTTTTTTTTTCTTTTCTGTTTCAGTGAAAATAAGTAATGTTGCTCTTAAGAGAGAATTTTGTATTATTTTCTCCTCTTCTTTTTTTTTTTTTTTTCTAGCTTGGGCTCTAGGAAAAGAGCCTTTTATCCCACCTTGTCTTCCAGTCCATTTTGAATCAAGAAAGACTCATTGAAGACTCCTTTGAGAAAAGTCTGTTTTGAAGAAGGAAAAAGAAATACTGTTTGAGAGAAGGCAAACAGACAAAAAGGGTGATAGAAATATGTATTTTTGTTGTATATGTAACTCTAAGAGACCTTCCTAGAGTGAATGAAGGTAGAAAACTGAAAAGGGAGTAAATTAAGGAATGATTGAATTTTGTGGGTCTTGATGGAAAAACGCTGGTCTTCTTTTAATGTGGAAAAACAGCTAGTGCTTCAGTCCTAGGAATTATGTCTCTGCTGTGGGCAGTTGTCATAAACTCTTCTCACAATCCGAGCTGCTCTTTGTCCTCTGTGAATGAAGGTACTTTTGCTTCCATTTCATCCAAGGATGAATGAAAATGTATAGCATCTGCCCAAACCTAAAAAGTACAGTGTGTTTATCACGAGAGCTTTGTAAGGTACTTCACTTCCACTTTAAAATTCTTTAGTGCTCAAAACCAACTATTGTGGGTTTTTGTCAATAAATACTAATTTTTCAAGATGAAGTATGGTGATTTCTATTCATATTGTGGTCAATTTTCTCAATTTTGTTTCCCATAGATAGCGTGATGGAACTTAAATTTTATTTTTTACACTTAAATAACTGTGCTTTTTGTGATGCGTAATCATGATTTTCTCTTTTCCTTGAGATTTTAACAGACCTTATATTAGTGCATATGTCAAAATAAAAATTTTTAAATAGTAAATATGTTGTAATATTAAGGATATTGATTTTTTTCTATTAAATGTTGAGCTTGGTGTTGGTATAAACCCTGATCCTAAACGGTAAATTAATACTTGGAAATTAAGAGTGTAACTATGTTATATAGAAACCATCTTGCGAATTGGTTTGTGTGGGTGGTTTTTAAATTTAGTTTTTAATTTTTTTAGTATGTAATCGTACTCTTTCAGGATTATCTAAAGCACTTATTGTAATTGGTTGTTTACTTTTCTGCCTCCCCCACCACATTGAGTGGGGAAATAAAACCAAATGAGTATTTGGAATCTAGTATGATCCACCCAATAGTGAAAGCTACCAGGATGGGAATGATTCCTGGAGAATACTGGGGAAACTTGTAGAGTGTATGACAATTTAGCAAGATGTATAAGGATGAGGAGGAATTCCAAAAGCAGGTGGATGGGGGAGCTCCAAGAGGGGAGTTTCCAGCTGAGTGCAAGTTGTAGACCATTTACTGTAGCAACATCTTAGAGTAGAAGGCTGGATGGTAGAAGAGGAGCTGCAGAGATAAGCAGAGGTAGCTAGCACACAGTTATGAGAAGTTGGCTGGAGAATGAGATTTGGCAAGTGCTCCATGTAATGAAGATTTGTTTAAAGAAAAGATGTGATAGAAAAGGGCTGAGTTTTAAACTCCCCAAGTTTAAGAAGGTTTGAAGTTTTTAAACTTTAAAAGTGGCCAGGGAGGGAGCCAATAGAGTAAAAGTATAATGGTGAGGGTTATGCTGGATGCAAGAAATTAGTGTTTCACTAAAGAAGAATGTTCAGTTGTGTCAGATGTCACAGAGAGGTGTAGAAACATAAAAAGTGCAAGGAATCCTTCAGATTTGGTAAAGAATTGCCACTGGTAAATTTGTCCAGAACAATTTCAATGGGGCCAGAAAACTCTGGATTGTGAAGTACTCAGAGATGAGAACATGCAGGCAGTGATTTTATTTTAGAAGAATTATTTATCTGTCTTTGCCTTTCATTTAAAGGCACTTTCTCAAAGTTCAGGTTCCTGACTCTATGATATAATTATTTATAGACTGCCTTTCTGAAAATAGTTCTATATGGGTTAATTTTGTTAATATTAGTATGTTGACAAAAGAAAACATAAAGGTCGATATGATTATTTTCAAACTGAGAAGCTGCTGTACCAAAGCTAGTTTATAAAATTAGATTTTGTATTTATGGACTTACTCATCTACTATGTTACAGTAGTCTTTGTTTTGTGAAACTCCAAGGAAATATTTTCTACACATTTCAGGTTAAGAAAGAAAAACATGCGTTTATTTTGTCTTAAACATGAAATAATGTTTTAAGCATTCTAAAAAGTACTTACAAATGGATTAAACACATTGGCGTTCTTTATAGTTTTACTCTGGTTCTTTTTTTTGTGACTTGTTATTCATAGTCTTTGCAATGCCGCCCTCTAGTGATCGATTTCCAAAAATGCATTAATTAACTTGTAAGCCTGTTACAGTCTTTCTCTTTTGACTCTACTGATCCTTTGCCACAGCCTTTGTTTGGTGTTCTCTTTTATTGCTCTTCCATTAGTTATTCTTATTCTCCTTTAATGGCATTAGGGAAAGATCAGAAGTTTCAGGAGCAAAAAAAAAAAAAAAAAATACATATATATACACATTTGACTATGAATCCTTAAAACTTGTCCATTTACCAGTCTGGGCATAGGGCAAGTTACCTGTCCAGAGTTCTTACTGGGAATGAATGAGAATGTCTTTTTGTGGCACCTGACACAGACAGCAAAGAGCAGGCATTCAACATATACCAGCTGTCTCTTCCACCCTCTTCTCCCCAACATTGCTGAGAGTAGGGATCAGTACTGTTTTTTTTTTTTTTAAACCTGTCCCTTCTCCTCTTATATAACATCTCAATTTGTTGTAATTACCTGTTTACTTGTTTGTGTTCTATAACTTCTAGAGGTCAGGTATCATGTTTGGCTTGTACATATTTGTATCTGGTATTTAGCAGAGGCCAGTACACACAGGGTCCTCATTGGATATATATTTGTTGAATGAGTAAATGAATTAATGGATGCCAGTTTTTAATAAGAACCCCAGACTGTGTTACCGACATTTCTGTTGATTGATTGATTATGCAGATTGTAAATGGGTAATATATGATATAATTAGATTTTACCCATGACCTTTCATAGAGGTATTTATTTCATGACTTTTTCAGTTTATTCTATAGTTATTGGTCTTCTCAGGTTTTGGATAATATGATAATTTGTGTTTTCCTTAAGAATTGTCTGTTTTGTTCAGTTTAAAAAAATTATTAGCAAACACTTATGTATAGAATTTTCTTATGATATTTGACTTCCATATGTGACAAAACCCCCTTTATCATTACATTTATGTTATGTCTTGTGTTGTCTGTTTTTAGATTGTAATTAGATTGGAGGTATATATGTATTTTATTGTTTTTTTAAAGCAATGGCCCTTTGAATTTTATTCTTCTGCTTGCTAACTGAAAAAATAATTTTACCTGTTTTTTTTGTCTTCCAGGTTTTTCTAACAACTTAGTACTTCCATTTTTCTTTTTGTGCAAAAGCTTTTATTACTCTAAATTTGCTTCTAAATTACAGATTTGAGTAAATGCCATATAATAGAAGATGCTGTTTTTGTTATTTTCTAGATTTTCAATAAAATGTAGCTGCAATTTCCTCATTGATCTAAAAGTTACTTAAGAGGGTATTTAAAAATGATGAAATGTATGTGTTTACAATTGTTATTTTCCATTTTTAGTATAATATAATCAGAGAATAAGGAATGTACAGTTTCTGGTTTTTGAGAATTAAAATCTTTTTTGGTGATACATATAAGATCAGTATTTAAAATGTGCCCCAAGCACTGACAAAGAAGGTGAGTCCTCTGAAGGGTATACAGTTTTATATATTTATTCAGATCTCTTTTTTTTTTTATGTGCTTCAGCTATCATGTATTTATGATAATTTTATTAAAGTTTTGTATTACTGTTGTGTGTTTGTCATTTTTCTCATTGTTTTTTAACGTTTTATTGCTACATTATTTGATTCTTAGAAGTTTGTGATTGATATCTTCATAATATATTTTATTCTTCATCAATTAAAAATATTCAATCTTTTCATTAAACATTGCTTATCATGTGGATATCCAAATGGGAAAAACAATGAAACTTGATCCCTGCTTCCCACCATGCACATTTGATTGAAGATCTAAATGTGAAAAGTAAAATAAGCCCCTAGAGGACAGTATAAGAGAATATCTTACATCTTTCTATCAGACTGAAAGTATCAGTACTTTATAATCTTGAAGTAGGAAAATGTTTCTTAAACAGGACACACAACTCACAGGTATAAAAGGGAAGATTGATAACCTGGACTGTTGACAGTTCAAGAATTTCTGTCATCAAAAGTTACTGATAAGAGAAAAACAAAACAGTAACAGCAGATACTTGTAATATATATATCTGACAGATGGCTTATATCCATACTATGTAAACTCCTACATCAGTATAAAGGACAGACAACCCAATAGAATAAATGGGAAAGAGATTTGAGCAGTCAGTTCAAACTGTAAAGACATAATATTAACACTCAGCAGAATGGCTAAAATTAGAAAGATCGACAGTACCAAGTATTAGCAGAAAGTGGAGAGCGATGCACCTCTCTTTTTGCTGCTGGTGGGAAAATATAAATTGTAAAAATCACTTCTGAAAACTAGCAACACCTGCTAAAGCTGTGGGTATGTGTATACATACATATATCCAGCAACTTCGATAGGAATTCATGCAGATACCCACTAAAAGGCAAGCACAGTAACATTCAAAGTAGCATTATTTGTATTAGCCGAAACCTGGAAACAAAAATGGCCATCAGCAGTAAAATGGGTAAACAGATTATGGTAGATTTAATTCAGTGCTGTATAGTAATGCGTACAGCAATAAAAATGCATGAATTGCGGCCCCGTGCAACAACAAAGATAAATTACATGAACCGATGTTGATCAAAATAAACTAGACACAAATACTTACCGTGTATGATTCCCTATATAAAATTCAAAAGCAGGCAAAACTAGGAATTTAAAAACTATAAAATACAAAAGCAGGCAAAACTGGTTATTAGACCTCAGGTTAGTGGCTACTTTTATGGATGAGGAAGGGATAGGGATTGGGAAGTGGTATTGGGCTTCTAGGTATTAGTAGTGTTCCTTTTCTTGACTTGGGTGGTGGTTACATGGGTATACTGACCTTGAGATAATTCAGTGAGTTGTAAAATTTATGATTTGTGAGTTTTTCTGCATATATGTATGCTTCAATAAAACTCAAATTACGGTAAGCAAAAAATACTGCTTTAGTGTGAGGATATTATTATTAAATAATATTAAAATAACTAGAAATTCAGTGAAACTTAATCACGATTGTATTACCTATTGAAAATGTCAGTGAATAATACCCTCTGCTAATTGTTTGCCTATATGTTCTCACATTCAGTCCTACCTCTTCTCTGTCCTCTGTATGGCAGGGTACATTTAGAAAAATACAAAAAAAAAAATGAAACTTTTTTCTCTTATATTTTGGTTTTGTTTTTATTTTCATTTGTTGATTATATCTTTGCCCTCTTTTTTTAAAAAATTTTTCCTTATGGAGTTTTTTCCTATATTGAGAGTCTTTGACTCCTTTTTTCTTTGACTTTTACTAGAGGAGTTCTATTCATTTTTCTTTTTCTTTTTCTTTTTTCCTTTTACCTTTTTTTTTTTTTTTTGAGACAGAGTCTCGCTCTGTCACCAGGCTGGAGTGCAGTGGCGTGATCTCGGCTCACTGCAACCTCTGCCTCCCAGGTTCAAGCAATTCTTCTGCCTCAGCCTCCTGAGTAGCTGGGACTACAGGCATGTGCCACCACACCCAGCTAATTTTTGTATTTTTAGTAGAGACGAGGTTTCACAATGTTGGCCAGGATGGTCTCGATCTCTTGACCTCATGATCCGCCCATCTCAGCCTCCCAAAGTGCTGGGATTACAGGCTTGAGCCACTGCGTCTGGCCTGTTTTATTCATTTTCATTCATATTTTAACTGCTGGCTTATTCATTTAGTTTCTCATGCTTCATTGCTGTTATGCAAACTGTTTTCTTTCTACGTGTGTAGAGGGTTAACTTTAATTCTCCTGAAAACTATTTCTATGTTTTTCAAATATTTGAGCCTATATTTTTTGAATTAACACTATTAAAGATACATTAATTTCCCCAGTTTAAGGTGAAACAATTTAACTTCTCCCATTCTTTTTCCTCTCACCTCTGTCTTTTTAATGATGTAGTTCGTGATTCAGATTAAACTTTATTTTCAATTTTTTATTTTTGCATTTTGTTTAATCTCGAGTTAATTTCAGACATATGCTTTTTTGTAAACATATTTACAATCATTATTCACTCAAAAATTTATTGAGCACCTACTAAGCACCAGACACTGTCCTAGGCAAATAAGAATATAAGTGAAAAAGACAAGACCCCTGATCTCATCAACTTGTTGATGGTCAAAAATAGGTAAATAAGATGCTTTAAATTTTGAAGGGTAGTATGATGGGAATAAGTAGGGTGAAGTGATACAGAATGAATGACTGCAGTTCGGATTAAGGCTATGTTAGGTTGGTCAGAGAAGTCCTTTTTGAAGCAGCAATATATAAGCTGAGACTTGAATAAGATGGGACATGAAGCTGGGTGGAGTGGTTCAGGGAGAGGGGTTAGCCAATGCCCTGATGAGGTTTCATTTTTTGGAAGAACATTTATTCAATATTACTGATTGAATTTTGTCAGGCATTTGAGATAGTCATGAACGAAACAGGATTTTTGCTTTCAAAGTATTTACATTTTACGCAGAACAGATAAATAGATGAGCAAATAATTTCAGAATGTGATAAGTGCTATAAAGAAGATAAAATGCTAGAATGAGGAGAAGGGACCACTTTAGGTAGGATAATGAGGGATGCTTTTCTGAGGAGGTGACATTTGAATTAGTAACTTGGAAGTCAGTAATAGACCCAGACATGTGTAAATCTAGGGAACAGCATTTAGGGTAGCGTTTTAGTTGGGTTGGAACAAAGAGGGTGAAGATGGGTTGAATCTTTTCGACCCTTACGTGCTTATGATAAGCTTAGAACTTACTCTAAATATGGTGGAAAACTATAGGTTATGACTACAGATTCAATTACTATAGCAAAAGATCTTTAACTATAGAGCACCAAACAAAATTGAAGTTACTTTCATATAACTCAGTCCAAAGCTGGTAGCTGGCTATTTTCCTTCCACAAGGTTGTCTAAAGACTCTGGTTCCCTCTATCTTAGTCTTTAACCCTCTGATAAGCAGTTACCTGTGTCTATGTGGTCCAAGCCACTTCGCCATTTACAGATCCATGTTTCTAACTTGGGAAAGGGGATGAAAGGCTAGCAACTTAAGGAGGAAGGGACAGAAATTTTTGCATGTAGGAGTGGAAAACATTACCAGACCTTTTAGCTTTGAGGAACATGTTAATTTTTTTTTAAGGCTTCCATTAAGAATGTTGATATTCATAGGGGACACCTAGGTTTCAGTGAAATCAAGAAAGTCAAGGAAACATTGAGAGAATAGGCTGAGGAGATAGACGACATTTCTGATCTCAGATAAGTAGTTCCAGAAGGCATGCACAGTGAAATCATTTGAGACCTGGGATGGAGGATGGGGGAGATTCGTAATCTTCTTTGTGCTCAGAAAGAGAATCTGAATATTTTTGTTAACAGTTTCAGTGCCAGTCCACTTATGCTATTATGTTATTTCTCTTGGGTTATTGTGACTTATTTATAGATTGGCTTTGTAGTTTCTTTTAACAGTATTTCAGATGTGCATAGGACTGGTAAAAAATGTTGAGCTTTTCTGTATTTTGGCCAGCTGTGAATTCATTGAGTATAGTCTTTGTCCCTGAAACTTCAATAGCCTTTGTTTAATTGATTCTAATATTTGAATTAGTTGACAGATTTTAAAATATTCAAGCTTTATGTCCTTAGGTACCTCGTGTCTTAATAATATAGCCATGAAAATATTAACATTTGTAATCCTTATACACTAAACAAAAAAGGGGGGAGTGTGTATATAATAAAGCATGTTACCTTAAAGCTATCACACTGATTGTTTTACTAATCATTTGTATATGTATATACACCATAGAAGTATAAACAACATGCACTCTCACACTGAAAAGCATTGCTAAATATGATGGTTTCTCCTTTGAAATGTACTTTGAGATATTTTTGCATGTAGGTACACTATTGATTACATCTTCTATTAATAGACTATTCCACTGAAATAAGTTGGATGCTGGAAAATTCTGTTTAAATTTGATTAGATACTTGAGTTGAATGAATTTGTTTAAAGTTCTTTTTAAAATTGCATGAAAATATGTGAAAAAGTTTAAAAATAATCTACAGTATTTTGGCAGGATAACAAGAAATAAAATTTCTTTTTAAAAAATGTGAGTTTTGGTAAATGTTTCTCCTTCAGGACTGGTGCTTCTAATACAGGTTGGTGGTTGTGCATATATTTATGGTTTCACATATCAGTACTCAAAGTCTGATCATAATCATGTAAAAATCATTGAAGGAAAAGGTTGCGAGGGTGCTGGCCCAGAGTTTCAGGAAGGTGTGTACCTAAGTACTCTAGGACAGATGTGTATTTCCACTAAATATCTTAGAGGTGGTTATTTCATAATTTTCCTTAAATTCTGTGGATTGATGACCTCAAAAATAATGATGTATAAGTATAGTTATGGAATTTAGCATTACCAGCATCTTAAGCATAGCTGTAGTTACATATCCTTCCATGTTTGTGACAACATGGAGAAGCTCGTGAAGACACACTGAGTCAGTAAGCTGATAGCTCTTACTTTCTGTGAATATGTGCATAGTTTACAAAAGTCTGTTGGGCTTCTGATATTAAAATTATGTTAGTGAACTTATATATAAAATAATTTGAGGAGTGGTCCTCCAACTTTAATGTGTTTAAGAATGATCTTACAACTTGCTAAATCCTGATGTCTTGGCCCTTGTTCCAAGAGCTTTGCTTGGTTCTGTGGAACACACTTGAAACTATTTTAGAGATTAAAGAATAAAAAATAGAAGCTTTGAAGAATAGTGATCTGTGAAGCAGGAAATTAAAATATCATGCCTAAGTCATTAACATTTCTGCATAGAAATTTGCATTAGTTTGATATAAGCCTTTCTATTATTGTTCACTAAAATATTTTAAGTGATTGACTTTGAAAGTGTCCTTTGTTTTAGCTTCTTTGTTCCATTCTTTCCTGACATGTTCCCTTCAGTCTTCTTTTACTTTCTTTAGTAAATGTTTGAGTGTTTACCATGTGTCAGTCATTGTGCTAGGAATCTTGAAGGACTCAAATACGCAAAACACATGGATCTAGCCTAGAAGTTCTCATTTCAGAGATTAAGCGTCATTTATAAAACAAGTGATAATTGTATAACATGTTGAATGACACAGTCATTCAGAGTAGTGAAAAATTCACAAAACAGCTTTGTAGTAGCTCCTAAAATATGAATAGGAGTTTCTCAAGGGGACAGAAGGGAAATGGCATTCCAGTTAGAACAATATTTGCAAAGACATGGAAGCATTAAAGAGACATTTGATGAGATCAAGGTGGTGGGTAAGTTGTAGAAAAGGAGGCTATAAAATAGGTTAGGGCCAGAGACTTTTATCTTTTAATTTATTTTACTGTTTAACTTATGCCAGGGGAGTTGCAGTGAATGTCACGGGGAGAAAAAAAGATATTTCAAAAGTAGAATTGGTAGGATTTAGAGACTAGTTGGATGTGACTTAGAGTTTAAAGTTAGAGGAGTCAAGGGTGACTAATTGGAATAATTAAGGAAAATACAGAATCTAATGAAATCTGACTTCTTTAATTTTCAATTATATTTGGATAAACAAGGACCTTTAAATCTGATAGCCTCTTTTCAGGGCTTATTCTTCCTGAAGTCATCTTAGCATGTGAACATTACCTCTTATAGTCTGAAGCCACATTTGTTTGTTTTTCCCTCAGCCCTACTGGTGAAACTGTACGATCTTGCAGTCTGCTTCAAAAGCCTGTGTGTGACTCAGTCATTCTACTTTAGGAATTGAAACCAAAGAAGTGATCAGAGATGTGTTCCAAGATACATATAAATAGGTCTTTATATTATAGTGTTTTTATGATTAAAAAATGGGACATGGCTTAAATGGCTTTCAAAAAAGGAATTGATTTAATTTTTGTATATCTAAGGTACTGAATGGGTAAGTTAGGGAAAGGCTGGGCTATTGTAACAAAGAGATTTACTAATGATTCCATGGTTTAATTTAAAAAGATGGAAATTTATTTCTTTATAGGGGAATGTTTCAGGTCAATTAGAAATTCTACTTCTGTGGTCATTCAGGGACATAGGCTCTATCCATCTTATTTCTCTACCACCTCGTGGGGCATTAATGATCTATGCTCAATTTTAGGCACATCCATATGCTGGCTTTATTGAAACTGTTCTTGCCATGGTTGCCAGCAATGACACAGGTTGAGTATCTCTAATCTGAAAATTCAAACTCCAAAATATGAAACTTTTTGAGGGGTGATGTGACGCCACAAGTAAAAATTCTACACGTAAGTACTTAACATAAACTTTGTTTAGTGCAC
This sequence comes from Homo sapiens, assembly GCF_000001405.40. Classification (NCBI taxonomy): domain Eukaryota; kingdom Metazoa; phylum Chordata; class Mammalia; order Primates; family Hominidae; genus Homo; species Homo sapiens. Next base: position 14,063,595 of record NC_000020.11, read on the forward strand.
AACATTATTAAAAATGCTGTATAAGATGTATATGAAACAAATGAATTTTGTGTTTAGACTTAGGTTGCATCCCCAAGATTATGTGTATGCAAATATTTCAAAATCTGAAAATTTTGAAATCCGAAACATTTCTGGTCCCAAGCTTTTTTTTGAGACAGGGTCTCACTCTGCAGCCCAGGCTGGAGTGCAGTGGCATGATCTTGGCTCACTGCAGCCTTGACCTCCCAGGCTCAGGTGATCCTCCCACCTCAGCTACCTGAGTAGCTGAAACTAAGTTGTGTACCACCACACCCGGCTAATTTTTGTATACTTTGTGGAGACAGGGTTTCACCATGTTGGTCAGGCTGGTCTCAAACTCCTGGGCTCAAGTGATCTTCCCACCTCGGCCTCCCAAAGTCTTGGAATTATACGCAAGAGCCACTGAGCCTGTCCTGTCCGAAGCATTTTGAATAAGGGATACTCAACCTGTAATTAATACATGAAATAGGCATTTCAGTGCTTCTGTTGTTTCACTGTGATATTTGAAACTGCTGGCCAACTTTCTCCTCCGTGGGCTTCTGCTGGTTTCTCTTCTGTCCCTCTAAGTATTTGTTCACTGTGTCTTTTTCATGTTCTTTTCCTTTGCCCTTCCTATAAAGGTTTTTGTTCTCCAGTTTTCTGTCTTTGGTCCGTTTTCATTTACATGTGTACCTATGTTGATCTCACCCAGGGCCACTACCACATGATGGTGTCTCCTAAATCTACATCTCTAGCCTGAAAACCTTTGTTTTGAGCATCAAGACCTGTACATGTAATGCCTCTCTACCTGAGTACTCTGCAGGAAATTAATATGTAACATATCCAGGACTGACTTAATTATCTTCTTTCCCAAGCTGGCTCTCGCACCTGCATTACCTCTCATAGCCTCCTAGATCAGAAACCAGGAAGTCAACCTCAGCAATTTCTTGTCCTCCCTCTTCCAGTGAGACCTCAACACTTTATTAAATATGCCTCGAGTATTATTGCTGACATTTTCATTTTTCTATCTCCATTGCCACAGTCTTAGTTCAGGCGAAGATTATTTTAAGAGCTTCCTCAGAGATCTGTGTTTCCATTTAGGCTCCCTTTCAATCCTACTTATTGGTTAAATGGGTCAGTGATTTTCTTCTACTGGTATTTGGTGGGCAGCAGCTGTAGTTTTAAATTGCATGATATCTGGCCCAGTGCTGAGTGCAGTTCAGCTGTTAATACGATACTAAATGAAGAACATTTGTGAATAAAGACAAGATTAGTAATGAAGTAATTATTACCATAATATTCAAAGAAATCTGGAAGAAAATTAGAAACTACTTTCACATCGGTAGGGAAAAAGTACTAGAGCCAAAGAAAATGATTTTGGTATTTTACTGTTTAAGTTTACATACAATCTGAATCACGGAACCAAAGACATTTGTTGCAGAGATTAGCATTATTTAAGGAAATCAAGAACAAATAGTTCCTGAACTCAGTGTGTCAGTTCAACCTCTGCACCTTTGAATTTGGCTGGACTCCTGTGGGTCCTACCAAGGCTGCACGTAACAGAAAGCTATAGACTTCCATTCCTGTTCTGGCCAGTTAACTTAAATTCTTTGTGTGTGGACATCTGACACACCTGTTTGATTCTCCCTCTTGGTGTTAGGACTCCTCGCATCTGATCTGTGGTGATCCTTCACAGTCTCTCTCGCAATTTCTTTGACTGTTGTATAACTCTGCAGTCCTTAACTATATTTGCTCACCTAATTTTTTAGTGCTTTCTGAGCTTCAAGTAAGAAGCTTTCTTCTTTATTTCATGCTTCTTGGTTGAGTCATCTCTGGCTTACCTGGCAGGAGAAAGGAGTATTTGGGCATAATTAGTGTTTTTACAAAGTATGTATAGGGTATTGTGCTGGCTGGTATATATGGCAGAAAGAAGTGATTCTGCCTCAACTCAGATTAGTAATAATTCTCCTCCTGCCAGTTGACGTTTATTGTGCTTTTACTATGTCTAGGGCACTTTCTCACATGCTTTACTATGTTTTAATCCATTTAATTCTCACAACAATGCTGTGAGAGAGGTAATATCCCCATAAGTGGGGAAACTGAGGCCTAGAAGGGTTATATTTGACCAGTACCACAGAGCTAGTAAGCGACAGAGTTGAGATTCAAATCGGCATAATGTTTCCAGAATCTGTTGCCTCCGTTTTTTACTGACTCTTGAAAGAGGGGTTAATATGGTACATGCATAGCTATAACACAAACAGAGATGCTCTTTTAAATAACATTAAGTTACAAGACAACATGCAAAATACGTGAGTCGTCATTGTGGAGGGAAAGGAATATTGGACTGCCATCCACTAGTTCTGTGACCTTGGGCAAGCAACATAACCTCTCAGTACTTTAGTTTCATTATCCATAGAGTTCAAAGGTCTTTTGCAAAAGTTCTGTGGATTACATTTTTTTTTCTTTTTACTAATTTAGGCTTTGTTTCCTTGTTGTGTTTAGATTTAGGTATCTACTGCAGATTAAATTACATCTTTTGAAAATTTTGATTTTCCACTTAGGTTATACCAGTGAGTTAGTTATAGCTTTGTATGTGATACTGTAAATAACTCCATTATTTGTGCTTTATTATGTGAATTTGGACTTGTATAGAACAAACCAGGTCCTCTTAAGCATAAACACATTCTGTAATCAATCAATTCTATATTTATTGGGCATTTACTATATATCTTATTCTCTGCTAGACCCTGTAAAATCTTGGTATGTTAGTCAATATATTAGCTTTGGTTCTGCACTCAAGAATTCTTACAGAAATGTTCACTGTTTGGTATTTTGATACATAGTCTTGAAAGTCTGTCCATTTTTGTGAAATGGCAAAATATCAAAATGACAACATTTTAAAACATTTTATTTTTGTGTCAGAGTAGAGACAAACACTGATTTCAAAAATTTCAAAATTTTACCCAAGACCCACAGTAAGAAACATATGACCTATGTGTGTCTAATGTATATGTAACAGACAAAATTTTCATGAAACAATTATTTACTACATGTGACTCACTGTAATACTTTAGTTCTAGTCTATACTATTTTGTGCAAATGTTCATTGCAGTCTATCAAGTTAACCTCACAGGTTCTAAAGCTCTTAACCGACAGGCTGAAAATCCTACACTTGACTGATAAGGCAAAATTATGAATGCTGTTGTTTTAGTGATTTTTTTTTTTTTTTTTTTTTTTGAGACAGAGTCTTGCTCTGTCCGCCCAGGCTGGAGAGCAGTGGCGCCGTCTTGGCTCTCTGCAAGCTCTGCCTCCTGGGTTCATACCATTCTCCTGCCTCAGCCTCCCGAGTAGCTGGGACTACAGGCGCCCACCACCACGCCCGGCTAAGTTGTTGTATTTGTAGTAGAGATGGGGTTTCACCTTGTTAGCCAGGATGGTCTCAATCTCCTGACCTCGTGATCCGCCCGTCTCGGCCTCCCAAAGTCCTGAGATTACAGGCGTGAGCTACTGCACCTGGCCTGATTTTTTAGTGTTTTTTTTTTTTTTTTTTTGAGACAGAGTCTTGCTCTGTTGCCAGGCTGGGGTGCAGTGGTGCTATCTTGGCTCACTGCAACCTCTGCCTCCCTGGTTCAAGCGATTCTCCTGCCTCAGCCTCCCTAGTAGCTGGGACTACTAGTGTGCGTCACCATGCCCAGGTAATTTTTGTATTTTTAGTAGAGATGGGGTTTCACATGTTGGCCAGGATGGTCTTGATCTCTTGACCTCATGATCTGCCCGCCTGGGCCTCCCAAAGTGCTGGGATTACAGGCATGAGCCACTGCACTCAGCATAAAAAGGTTTGTGTTTTGAATGAACATTTATTTCCTTTTTTATAAATGAGGATTTCGTACATTTTACTAAAAGGGCAGAAATGTGCTTCTCCTTTTCTTTGAAGTATAATCTTTTGAACTTTATTTTTACACAAGATTACTTGAAGAATTAGGTTGCATTATTATATAAGCTTTAGACTGAGTCATACTGTGTATTCATATCACAATTTTTTAACTAAATTGTTTTTTAGCAGATTATAGCAGTAGGATAAAATGCACATTTTTAATGCCTGAGCTCCCATCCCAAACAGCTTCACACATAGTCTCATTAAAATAAAAAATCCTGGGAGAGTGAAGTGTGTCCTTATTTAAAGAACTTCTGGATCTATTTTTACCCTTGTGAGGCTGATTCTTATGAGGCAGTTTGCACAGTGACTCAGCACATGGGTTCTAGAATCAGACTTCCATTGTTCAAATCTTAGCTCTGTCAGTTGTAAGACCATGGGCAAGCTAGTTGATTGATCTCTCTGTGTCTCAGTTTTCTTGAGTTACCTCAAGAGGGTGGTTATAACCATTCAAAATATTAACATAGAGAAACAGGACATATAGATCTATAAAACTCGACTTTATTTTAGGAAAGGGTAGAATTAGGATGTCTGCAGATGGCTCCATTGTTCGTTCTTAAAGATACAATGCTGAACGCTCTCATGCGCATGATTTTTCTCTTGAGTGCTCGCCCTTCCAATTCAACAGCTCACTTATTTAATTGGCCTAAGACTTAATTCCCCTGCCTCTCTTCCTAGCTCCAACTTTCATGAAGCTTCCTTGGATAAAAATCTTAGCAACAGATTATCCTCTCGCACCCCCCACCCCCCCTGTGCTCCACAGTTTCTGAGATTCCAAACTAATCCTGGCAGGGAAAATCAAGGAAACCTTCATATAAGGATCTCATATTTGAGTGTAAGCTCACCTGAGCAGGAGGGCATTCCAGGCATGATCAGCTTGCTAAGTAATACAGGAAACAAAAAGTTCAGCCAGAATACGAACTCCTCATTCTAGTAGAATGATGATAAAACATACACAGATAACTTCAATACTGTGAAGGATATGATAAATGTCATGAGGATGACCCAAAGTGCTTTGGGATTCAGAGAGTGAGAAGTAACATTCATAGGAAGTTTTATGAAAGTAGAGACATCCAGGCTGTTTTAAAGGATAGTTAGGAGTACCAGAGGGCTTTAGGGTGGGATGAGGATGACCAGGCAAAGGGCATTCTAAAGTCACAGGGGAAGGAAATAGAGGATGTATTGAGGAAAAGTGAGAATTCACCCATGATGAGAAATATAGAGAGTACCACAGATTGGGGAATAGGGGCTGATAAGATTGGAACTATCCAGGTTTTAACCAAGTGATGGAAAGCCTTACATGGTGGGCTGTTTGGGATCCATTAAAGAACTTACAAGTTAATAGCTTTTGCTTGAATTCTGCCCAAAGATAAATTTTTTAACTTGACCAGTACCATGTTGCTTTTAAATGGCTTTTTTTTGTTTTGTTTTGTTTTGTTTTGAGATGGAGTCTGGCTCTGTTGCCCAGGCTGGAGTACAGTGGCGTGATCTTGGCTCACTGCCACCTCTGCTGCCTGGGTTCAAGCGATTCTCCCGCCTCAGCCTCCCAAGTAGCTGGGATTACAGGCCCCCGCCATCGTGCTCAGCTAACTTTGTATTTTTAGTAGAAATGGGTTTCACCATGTTAACCAGGCTGGTCTCAAACTCCTGACTTCAAGTGATCAGCCTGCCTCGGCCTCCCAAAGTGCTGGGATTACTGGCATGAGCCACTGTGCCTGGCCGTTAAAGTTCATTTTAAATTTTTATTTTAAATTTTAGTATTTAAAAATCAGGGGATTTTACATTACAACTTAGATTTCCTTTTTTTCCTGTAAAACGGAGATCTGAAAGTACAAGGCCCACATCCCTGCATGACATGTGAGCAGAGGCAACATCCTTTGGACAGGGCATTCTTTGCTTTCAGATTTACAACACAGTATATTTGTATATATTTATACCAGGCTGGCCTCCCTCAGTTATGTTGCCTGTCTGTCTCCTATAGGCATTTGGATATTAGATTTCTGCAGTAGAGAAATGTATTAGAAGTCAAAAATAGTTACTGAAATGGCATTAAAAAAACAGCCAGTATGAACCAAGTTTCCATCAGATAAAAATATATCCCAAATAAATATTTGCACATCAAGCAAAACTGCAATCAAAACAAATATTGGGATCTAGTATGCAGAAAATTCAGGAACTCAGAATGTGCTTAGTAAATGGGGCCAAAAAGATCCCCAAAGAATGTCACTTCCCTGTGTCTATGCTCCTATTTACTGCTCTTCCAATGACTTTGGGCTTTTCCATGTGATTTACTTTGACCAATGGGACTGCAGCAAACATGACCCAACCAGAGGCTTAAAGATTGCTTGCACGTTGGTGTCTGTGCTCGCTTATCACGCAAAGCCCTGGCTAGTATATTGGAGAATGAGAAGCCACGTGAAGCAGAGACAGACCATCCCAGCTGAGGCCCCTATACCAGCCTGACTACTGCCAGCCAGATGTGAGTGGGGCCATTTAGAACCATCTAGCCTTAGTCACCCCACCAGCTGACTGTAGAACTGCCTGGTTAACCACAAGCTAATGAGCAATATAAAGGATGTTGTTTTAAGCCACTAAGTTTTGGAAGGGATTTTTGCACAGCAAAAGCTTAGGAGGAAGCTTTGAAGATGTAGCCCAAAAATGACGTTGTAAACCTCCAGCACACTAGCTACTATTAATTAGCCTACGAGAGAGAATCTTCTAATATAACATCTATAATACCTAAGAGAACTGAACTATATATTTGAGAATAAATGGATATGCTGGAGTATAGAGGGGTTTGTGTGTGTGTGTGTGTGTGTAATCTAGAACAATGATCAGATAGGAGATGGAGGTGTGGAGATTGACTGGCTGGTTTCAAGAAATGATCTCAGAAACAGCTTGACCCCTGGGATTCCTCTAGTTCCCTGATTGTATATCCGTAAAACCTCTTACCGAACCCAAAATTATTTTTCTGATCATCTTGATAATACATTTATTATAATTTCATTTTTACATTAATTTCTATAGATATTTGTGGGGTTTTCTTGGGATGGTATACTACTAATTATTTGGTTTTTCTTTTGGGGAGCGGGAATGTTGATTTAAATCTGTATCCACATGGCTGGATTAAGACTAAACTCACTTTTCAGGCATTCTCAAAAGGGAGGAGGTTCACTGACAGCACGCCCCTTCTGATATCATTAGACAACTTACTGGTACCCTTGGTGGCTTCTCTGAATCCTGTCTATGGGTGCCAAAATACAGGGATTTCAATATGGGGGAAAGTAAGAATTTGGAGTATTCCCAGGCATTTTGTGTGAATATCTCCCAGCATCTTATTCTTTTAAGTGTGACGGCTAAGGGATCATCAGGACCTACTGATGGTCTTCCAGAGATCATCAAATCTGGCTAAATCTTCAAAGCTTCCTCCTACAGTTAGCTTTTGCTGGGCAAAAAAACCCTTCCAAAACATAGTAGCTTAAAACAACATCCTTTATATTGCTCAGTACCTGGTGATGATCCCTTAGCTGTTTATCAGATGATCTTCAGGGAGTTTGACAGTCCCATAGGGAAAGTGATGAAACAATTTTAAAACGATATTTAAGAAGTTTGAAATGTAAAATATACTTATGATTTTAATGAAAATTCTGTTATATCCTCAAATGGAATTATAATCTTAAAAGTTATGCTTTTGAAATAAAGACAGTATTGGCCATTTCATCTTGTGTTTTTTTTTTTTTTTTTTTTTTTTTTGAGATGGAGTCTTGCTCTGTCGTCCAGGCCAGAGTGCAGTGGCGCGATCTCAGCTCACTGCAAGCTCCGCCTCCCGGGTGCATGCCGTTCTCCTGCCTCAGCCTCCCCAGTTGCTGGGACTACAGGCACCTACCACCACGCCCGGCTAATTTTTTGTATTTTTAGTAGAGACAGGGTTTCACCATGTTAGCCAGGATGGTCTCCGTTTCCTGACCTCGTGATCCACCTACCTCGGCCTCCCAAAGTGCTGGGATTACAGGTGTGAGCCACCGTGCTGGGCCCGACCATTTCATCTTGATTAAAATTGAGTTAACAGAGTTTGTTTCTCCTCGTCTGCCTCATATCGTTAGTGAATTATATCTTTTGTTAAATTTGCTTTTCTTGTTCCAACAGGATTACATGATATCTCTACCTCATAAAATGAATCAATCTATCTCTAATGTGGCTTATTGATGCCTAAAATAGAGGTGAAATAGTAACATAATGCCAGAACTCAGAATAAGGTCATAGGCCAGGTGTGGTGGCTTACACCTGTAATCCCAGCACTTTTGGAGGCCAAGGCGGAAGGATTGCTTGAGGCCAGGAGTTCAAGACCAGCCTGGGCAACTTAGTGAAACTTTGTCTCTACAAAACAATTTTAAAAAATCAGAATAAGGTCATAAATATAAATACTAAACAGAATTTCAGTGTAAACAAAGTAGTATATGTATTGGGATATGAATCTCTGAGTTTGATGATTTTGTATAAACAAGCAAAGAAGAAAACATAAATAGAAGATACATGATTAATATCTGCAAATTTGATTTTATGTTATTTTCTAGTACTTGGTGTGTTGTATGTTATAAAATTTTGTCAAATAGTAGCAGAAACTACTGACACCTTTGTATTGCTTTCAAAGTATCATAACTACTCTGGAAAACCAGTTATGTTTTTTTCCTCTAGGGCAAAGGCAAGTAATGCTTTTTCTTGGTGTGTGTGTGTGTATGGGGTGTGGTGGGACAGGGATGAAATTGCTGCATTTTGCCACTAAAGGAAGAGATAGGACTTAGACAGTTCATTCACAGATGGACTCTTTGAACTAAAAATGGTATATGAGAGCCTGCATAGCATGTTGATGAAGATCATGGGCTGCCTGGGTTCAAATCCCAGCCTTCTTACCTGCGGAGCATGTTGATTGATTAACATCATGGGCTGCCTGGGTTCAAATCCCAGCCTTCTTACCAGCTGTGTGTACTTGGTCAAACCACTTCATTTCTGTATGGCTCAGCTTCATTTTACTTATTGAGGGAATAGTAGTAATATGTACTATATATGTATGTTTGTTATGAGAATTATAGGAGTTAATATTTGTAAGCATTAGAAGAGCATGTAGATTGGCCAGGCGCAGTGGCTCACACCTGTATTCCCAGCACTTTGGGAGCTGAGGTGGGCGGATCACGAGGTCAGGAGATCGAGACCATCCTGGCTAACACTGTGAAACCCTGTCTCTACTAAAAATACAAAAAATTAGCTGGGCGTGGTGGCGGACGCCTATAGTCCCATCTACTCGGGAGGCTGAGGCAGGATAATGGCGTGCACCCAGGAGGCAGAGCTTGCAGTGAGCTGAGATCGCATCACTGCACTCCAGCCTGGGCGACAGAGCGAGACTCCGTCTAGAAAAAAAAAAAAAAGCATATAGATCATGGTAAATGCTATACAAATATTAAGAACATGCATTAGAACTAAATAAAAATGTCTATGAGAGGGAAATGTTTTTTATAAAGATGAGATTACGCGGCTGGGCATAGTGGTTCATGCCTGTAATCCTAGAACTTTGAGAGGCCAAGGCAGGTGGATCACCTGAGGTCAAGAGTTCGAGACCAGCATGACTAACATGGTGAAACCCCATCTCTACTAAAAATACAAAAATTAGCCAGGCATGGTGGCGCATGCCTGTAATCCCAGCTACTTGGGAGGCTGAGGCAGGAGAATCGCTTGAACCCAGGAGGTGGAGGTTGCAGTGAGCCAAGATCATGCCATCACACTCCAGTCTGGTGACAGAGTGAGACTCCATCTCAAAAAAAAAAAATGAAATTATGATTCACGCAAATATAAAATGAGCACTTATCAACACATTTAACTTTGGTTGAAAGGAGAATTTAAAGAACCATACATATATAGGCAATAAAGAATACTGAAATGAATTTACAAGTAATGTAAAATAAATGAAAATAAATATAAATTGTCCTCAAGATAATACTCAGTTGTATTCCAGGGAATATAATTCATGTGCATTTATATGGACAATAATTCACATTATTATCCATTTTCTGCAGCTTACAGAGTTTTAAAATAGCTCAAAGACAGTGAAAGGTAGAGATCACCGTGATAGGTAAGCTATACAGGACACCCACTAATTTCTTGGAGTGAGCTCATATCGAAAGTTTTTCACATTTTCTCTGACATGTATTATAAACAATTATAAATGTAATCATTATAAACAATTATAAAACCAGTGCAAACTTAATAATAAATATTACCCTCAGAGGAGGAAGTAGAAGGGACATACTTTTTCCCCAAATATGACTTTTTGAACAGCATATGATATTGACAAAGACTGTCTCTTTAACCAAACTTTAGTTAGGTCCCTCTGGACAAGCCCTTTTCTTGTCTAGACCCTGTCCTTGTCAGACCTTCGTTGTCCAGTTTGAGCAAGAATCTTGCTAAGTCAGTTTAGAGAGAATCTCCTATCCCAAATATCTAACATTTCGGTATCTGATCAAATTCCTGATCCCCCACCATCCCCCAGGCAACATATGATCATACTGGCCTACCTTCAGCAAGAATCCCATCTTACCCCTAGTGTTTCCTCTTAGTGATTTTTCCATCCATTGACCCCATCCTGCCCCTTGGCTATAAATTCCCACTTGTTCCTGCTGTATTTGAAACTGAGCTCAGTTCGATACTGACGTCTCTTTTCCTCTATTGTAATAGTCCCTGAATAATGTTTTTACTGCTTTAACTGCTGTCCAGCTCTAGTTCCTTTAACAGTTAATGGTCCTGTGATACGGGTAGGATTAGATTTATTATTGGATTCCTGGATCTCTCATCCAGGACTCAGCTGTATACCTTTGAAGCCTTTGTCTTCACTCCTGACTGATTGATCTGGGATCTGTTGATGAGTCTGACTCCTAAACCATTGCCCTACATGACAGTTCACTGAAGCATGGTAGGAACAGATATTCATACTTAAGATTCTGAGTTTACTGGTTGAAGTTGGGTTAGAGACCTATGTTTTTTTTGAAAGGTACTACTGGGCTGGTAGTCTTTCTTCATGGCTTTTGGTTCCAAGTGGGGATTCACATCCAGAATCCTGAGATGGAAATGGTTTCTCCTGGCACTCTGTGAGGTCTCCCTGTTCTGTTTGAACATGCTTCTCCCATGGGAACTTATTAGTTGACTGAAACCCTCTTCTCAAGGTTCTGCTGACTACAGTAGTCTCCCCTGATCCTTAGTTTTGCTTTCTGCAGTTTCAGTTACCAGTGGTCAACTGTGGTCTGAAAATATTAGGTAGAAAATTCCAGAAATAAATAATTTGTAAGCTTTAAATTTTGTGCTATTCTGAGTAGCTTTATGAACTCTTGTGCTATCTACTCCATCCTTCCTGGGAAGTGAATCATCCTTTTTCAGTGTATCCAAATTGTAGATGCTATACAGCCATTAAGTCACTTTGTAGTCATCTCAGTTATCACATTCACTGTCTGTGTATTGCACTGCCGGTGTTCAAGTCACCTTTATTTTACAAAATAATGGCCCCAAAGCACAAGAGTAGTGATGGTGGCAATTTAGATATGCCAAAGAGAAGCCATGAAGTGCTTCTTTTAAGTAAAAAGGTGAAAGTTCTGTACTCAAAAAAAAATCGTATGTTGAGATTTACTATAAGAACAAATTTTCTATGCGTGAAATTGTGAAAAAGGAAAAAAATTTGTGCTAGCTTTGCTGTCGCATCTCAATCTGCAAAATTACAGCCACTATGAATGACAAATGCTTAGTTACCGTGGAAAAGACATTAAATTTGTGAGTGTGAGACATTAATAGAAATGTGTTCTGACTGACAACAGCCGAGTGTAATACTATCTGCGGTTTCAGGCATCCACGAAGGGTCTTGGAACATATTCCCTGTGGATAGGAGGGACTACTAGTATGTGCTCCTCTAAATCTGTTTACTTATTATTTGACAAGGATAATTTAGAACTTCACTGGCTTCTCTAGGAAACTTAAGATCTTTCCAAAGTGGCTCCTCTAAGACCTCTCCCTTCCCATTGCTTCTGCTCCTCCTTCTCCCCTTGCCATCTTTGATTTCCCCTTTAATTCTCTTGAATCTTTTGATGTTTCCCTTCAAAGCCTTACCTCTTTCATCATCCTTCTGTCCATATCTGCCAGACTTTTTCTTCCCTACTTCAGCTTCTCAGCTCCCTATAGGCACTTGAACTTTAAGCACACTGTCCCTCGTTGAAGGTTTTCAAGGGTCTCAAGGATCCCCAAAAGCAACCACCTGAGGCTATAAAGGAAAAAACACTAATTGGAAACACTGAATATTTTATCCAGTCAGATGGGCTTTGGAGACATCCTTAAAGCTGTTCGATGTCACCTCAGTTACTGCCTAAAATTTGGTCCACAGCCTCCATAAGATTACATGGGAAAATCTTAAAAATCTTCTCTATAAATATTATTAAAAAACATTAACTCTCATATAGAACAGGTAACCTAATTTGTTCCATTTATCAAGAATACAATTTTGACAAAAATGTAGACCAAAGATAAAACTATATTACTTTGTTTACTTGATTAATTGCTAAAGTTTTAGAATAAAAGCTGTAAGATCTGTTTGCGGCTATCTGCGTATTTGTTTGTATATGTTTATGTATGTATGTTATATATATGTGATATTTTTCTACCTAAGGATAGTATTACCAGCATAATTCATAAAATCTCATAAGGAAGCACTATTCAAATTATCTTAGAGATTAATGAACTCTTATATAAGTTAAATATTCCAAAAACTCCCAGAAATGTGGAAACTAACCCAAATGTGTTTTAAAGTTCATACGGGCTGGATGTGGTAGATCACACCTGTAATCCCAGCACTTTGGGAGGCCAAGGCGGGAGGATCACTTGAACTCAGGAGTTCAAAATCAGTCTGGGCAACATGGTGAAACCCATCTCTACCAAAAAAAAAACCCCAAACGCACACACATAAAAAATACAAAAATTAGCCTGGCTTGGTAGTGCATGTCTGTAGTCCCAGCTACTCAGGAAGCTGAGGTGGGAGGAACGCTTGAGCCCGGGAGTTGGAGGTTGCAGTGAGCTGAGATTTCACCACTGCACTCCAGCTTGGGTGACAGAGCGAGACCTTGCCCCCTCACCTTCCACCCCCCAAAGAAGTACATATAACTTTGCTAAGTCTTCAATAAATAAGATTAATATTATTGGTTTAATAAAAATGGGTTTGTCTTAATGACTTGTCAGCGTTAAGTATAATGTGGGCATGTTTTTATTCTACTTAGGTTTGCTGATCAGATAAACTTATGTCTACTAGATATTTAAGATTATAAAAATTATAAATTTCACCTAAGAACCACTGTACAAGTAAACATGCACTAACATTGAATTGCTTTATAGCCATGACTTCTTGTATATCAAGCATAGCAGTAAAACAAAAATCCATGTGTTTAACTTTTTTAGGTTTTTGCTTTTATAATACTTTCCTAATAAATGCATATGTTGTAGAAATCGTTAACAGGGAAATAACTTGAGATGTTGGCTAGCTTTGTTTAATGTTATAGTATGTCTGCCTGGAAATTGTTTTTAAAATCTTTTTAGTAATTTGCAACCTTAGACTTACATTACATTACATTAATAGATATTCATTAAAATCTACATAATTTCTAAGAAATATAAATGACTGAAATACTAATGCTAAACCTAAGTTTGAGTTTATATACTTTGGCTTTTTATTTTCATATGACATAAAGAAACTAGATATAATTGGGCCTGTTAATAAAATGTTCTTCTGAAAGATTACACTATAAAGAAACAAATATCTCTAGGAATTGTAAGATGATATACTCATAAAACCTGCTAGTTTGCTATAGAATGCTAGTATGTGACACAGTTTACAGCTGTCTCCTTAAGTTTTCTTTGTAAAAGTGTATTGGTCGTTAAAATTACATTTAATACATGTAAGTTAAACTACTAAAAATAATAAGTGTGAGGAGAAACAACTCTGTATGCAAAGTATGTGAGGAATGAAGGACTTTTTTTTACTGTTGATAAGGGAAAAAGAGTGTAATTTTGTCTTAAAATAAGATTACTGGTTATTCCAGAATGAGAAAGAGGAAAAATGTAGGACGAAATCTGAATGGATATGGAAAACTGTAGGTTTGCAGAAAAGGAATTCTTTATGTTTTCAAGCTGGCTATGATTAAATTGATTTCTATATAAAGTTTTTTTTTAAATAACATCAGCCCAACAGTGTGCTAATATAAAACTAGAACTTGGTTTTATTTCTGTTAAAGCAACAAAGTTTTCTTGGAATATTGGTCTGTTCTTAGTAAGAGACTGTGAAAGGTTTTTCTTTTTTTTTTTTTTTTTTCTTTTTTGAGACGGAGTTTCACTCCTGTTTCCCAGGCTAGAGTGCAATGGTGCGATCTCGGCTCACTGCAACCTCTGCCTCCTGGGTTCAAGCGATTCTCCTGCCTCAGCCTCCCGAGTAGCTGGGATTACAGACATGTGCCACCACGCCTGGCTAATTTTGTATTTTTAGTATAGACGGGGTTTCTCCATGTTGGTCAGGCTGATCTCGAACTTCCGAACTCAGGTGATCCGCCTGCCTCGGCCTCCCAAAGTGCTGGGATTACAGGCGTGAGCCATCGTGCCCGGCCGCCTCTTTACCTTTTAAGTAATCTGCCTAGGGAACAAAAATTCTGTGCCTTATCAAAATAATTTATTGTGCTTTGTGTTTTCTATGTCATCTCCTTTTAAGAGAACTTAACTATTGTTTCATAGTTATCGAGGATCCTGTTTAATCAGCATTCAAATCTTTTGACATTTTTGAGTTTTCCAAAATCAAATTCTAAATGAATTCTTTTTTTGTTTGTTTGTTTGAGATGAAGTCTCGCTCTTATCCCCCAGGCTGGAGTACAATGGCGCGATCTCGGCTCACTGCAACCTCCACCTCCCAGGTTCAAGCGATTCTCCTGCCTCAGCCTCCCGAGTACCTGGGATTACAGGCGCCTACCACCACGCCTGGCTAATTTTGGAATTTTTAGTAGAGAAGGGGGTTTCACCATGTTGACCAGGCCGGTCTCGAACTCCTGACGTCAGGTGATCCGCCCACCTTGGCCTCCCAAAGTGCTGGGATTACAGGCGTGAGCCACCGTGCCCAGCCCTAAATGAAGTATTAATCTTGGACTGACCTTGAGATTTCCCATAGGTCCCCTGGAAAATGTCAAAGGATTTTTTCTTTCACCTAGTAAAAATTTTGTTTGTTTGATATATTAAATTATGTGGGAAACATTGTCAAGTAAAAAGTGATGCTTAAGCTTTTCTAGGTTATATTTGTATGGGTAAATATTAATAATAAAACATTCCAGAAATTATGTGAATTTCATAGACATTTGCCAATACCCTCATTGTCCATCATATGTTCTGGTATATACTGTTATCATCATAATGCCAACTATTATTTAAATATTTAAATATTGTGTGTCACAAAAATAACCAAATTCCCTCACCAGTTTTATCATTTTTATAATGAACAGATGTTTAACCACAGACATTTTAAGTCTTTTATTATCCACAGATAGTTTTTCTTTTACTCTGATTCTTCCTGAAAGCTTCCATAATCAGCTTATAAGCCAGAATGCTTCATTTTCAACAAAACTGATTGTCTCAGAGACCTGTGGAAAGGACTATGCCAGGTACTCTGGGGTATAGCCTTCTAATGGCATTGCTTAGATACTTGTAGACCATACCATTGGAATGAGTATGGATTTCTGCAGCTAGTAGAGAAGCTGACGGGTTCATAAAACTGCTAACGCAGGATAAAGCAGAAGATTCAATTACATGGGGCCGAATAAACTAATAAATAAGATAATTTTTATGGTTATTGTTTTGGAATATTTATCATTCTTTAATGTCTTATTTAAGGAGACTTTTTTTCTGTTGTCTCATGCTTTCTATAACTCATGACAATTTAGTAGGTTATGCTTTTGTAAAAAGAGATGAAACATATTTTCTTCCAACCTGATCCCTCCAGAATTCAGAAACACTTACTGAGTATTCTTATTCTCAATGGCAATACAATTATTTGGATAAGTTCAATAAGATTCTGTCTTCCTTGTAACAGGGCATACTTGGAAAAATCAGTTTATAACCAAGGCTTTGACTGGAATGTCATATTTGAGAATGATGCATTGAATCAGATACGTCCAGACAGTTTTAAGGCACAAAGACTTTATGGAGTCAATGCTTACAAAGTCCTCTTGGGAAAACCGGCCTGGTACCTGGCTTATTGGGCAGGGGTTCCCAATCCCTAGGTCTCAGACTGGGCCATACAGCAAGAGTTGAGCAGCAGGTGAGCCAGCATCTTCCCTACCCCCAGTCTGTGGAAAAATTGTCATCCACAAAACTGGTCCGTTGAACCAAAGACTGCTGTTATAGGGTTCCCAGCCTTATAGGTGGGTAAGGAAGGTCACTTCCTGGCAGGTCCAGGAAGCTTAGGATATTTTGGGAACCTCACAAGAGAGGAATTCACCCAAATCTATAGTTCTTATAGGAAAAATATGGTAGTGCTTGGCTTGACTTTTAATCTTCAAGAGGCTTTTAGAAGCCTAATATGAAGGTCAGGCACGGTGGCTCACGCCTGTAATCCCAGCACTTTGGGAGGCCGAGGTGGGTGGATCACGAGGTCAGAAGATCAAGACCATCCTGGCTAATATGGTGAAACCCCATCTCTACTAAAAATACAAAAAATTAGCCGGGTGTGGTGGCAGGCGCCTGTAGTCCCAGCTACTCAGGAGGCTGAAGGAGGAGAATGGCATGAACCTGGGAGGCAGAACTTGCAGTGAGCCGAGATCGTGCCACTGCACTACAGCCTGGGCAACAGAGTGAAACCCCGTCTCAAAAAAAAAAAAAAAAAAAAAAATCTAATCTGAGATTCCTCATAAAAAATTCCAGTAAAACAAACTCAAAAAGGCCTAAGTGGTCATTTTTGCTGCAATTATGTAAATAACCAGGCCAAATCTAATGAGACCAGACTTATTTTGTAAACAAGAGTTAAAAAAGGAAGTGAGTGGAGAGAAAATTTATGCTTAAATGGAAAACTATAGTGTACCCTTGTGGGTTATTAAATTCTAGTCCTGTTCATTTTTTTTTTAGCTTTCCGTTGTCAACCTATAAACTGGACTGGATCCTGCCATCTTATGCATTTTCTCAATTATTCTAGTTTCCTCTGATAGCCTACTACAAGTTTCCAAACTAACATTTCTAATTTTTCCCCACCTTCCTCACTTGGCATCACTGAGAACTAAAACTATGCTTTTCCCAAAGCCCAGGAAGCTGAAGCTGTACCACTTGGTATAAGCTGAAGAAATCACCACACCTTTTCATGTATGGGTAACTTCATGAGAATCTCTTCTTTCCTTGAACAATAAGAGGGACTGACAAAGTCTGTCTTCTTAAGCAAACTTTAGGCAGGTTTCTCTAAGCCTTTTTCTTGTCTAGGCCCCATTCTTGCAATACCTGCGTAGCCCAGTTTCAGCAAGAATCTTGCTAAGTTAGTTAAGAGAAAATCTCTTACCCTTGATATCAGATCACTCTTGATACTTGGTCAAATTGCTCATCCCCCACCAGGCAATATGTGATCACCCTGACTTGCCTTCAGCAAGAATACTGTTCAGGCTCTATAACCAGAATCCCCCTATATTTCCTCTTAGTTATTTCCCATCCACTCACCTCCATCCTGCTCCTTGGCTATAAATCCCTGCTTGTTATTGCTGTATTTGGAAATGATCCCAGTTCTATACTGAGGTCTCTTTCCCTTTATTGTAATAGTTTCTGAATAAAATCTGTTTTTACTGCTTTAATCACTTCCAGTTCTGGTTTTCTTTGACATTATCAGAAATATATAATATGAAAGAGCAATTACTGTCATGTGTTTACACTGACAGATATTTCAGCTTGCAATTGTATAAAACCAGTGATGTACAAGCTGAGTTGGTGCTTTGTGTACATAGAGAATGTCCATGAGGGCGATATACTTGGCAACTTTTTGTCTTATTTATTACTGAAAACCTAGGGTATGGAAAAAGATACATTGAGATCTGTGTGTGAAAAGGAAGGCAAGGCATTGCTATGCAAATAAAAGAGGTGGCCTCTAAGTGGTAATTTATATTGTTGTATTTGCAAAGAATAGTTGGTGGTCAAAAATACTTCATTAGGTTTTGATTTACTGTTGAAGGAAATACTGCTAATTATTAGTCCTATCAAGCTGTAGCCTTTAAGTATGTACATATCTTTTTGGCATACTATGTGAGGAATTGGGCTGTAAGTATAATCTGACTGTTGAGGAAAAAAGAGCCTCATGTTAGTTTTTAAAATGAGAGACAATGAAAATATTCCCTCATAATGCTGATAACTTGAGTAAAGACCATTTTGAGTAACTTATTTGAGCAACATTGTCACAGCAGTATATTTATTCAATAAATATACTGAATTGCTTGAACCTCCACTTCAGTCTCAAAATATTCCATTTTAAAAATTTGCAGATGACAGATTAGAGTTTCTTTTGAAACAACTGAACGGTGGTATAAAAATGGTTTAAACTTCAATGTTTTCCCATACCTTTCTTTTTTTTTCTTTTTTTTTTTTTTTTTTTGAGATGTAGTCTCCATCTGTCGCCCAGGCTGGAGTGCAGTGGCATGATCTCAGCTCACTGCAACCTCCACCTCCCAGGTTCCAGTGATTCTCCTGCCTCAGCCTCCCAAGTAGCTAGGACTACAGGTGCGTGCCACCATGCCCTGCTAATTTTTTGTATTTTTTTTTTTTTTTTTTTAGTAGAGACGGAGTTTCACCATGTTAGCCAGGATGGTCTTGATCTCCTGACCTCATGATCCACCCGCCTCAGCCTCCCAAAGTGTTGGGATTACAGGCGTGAGCCACCGCGCCTGGCCCTCCCATACCTTTCTTTTATAATTTCTTTGCTTTTGAGAAAGAAACACATGACTTATTGTCTCATATGTTTAAAAATTCTATCACTGCAAATGTGAGTTACTTACATAATGCTTCATGAGAAAATGAAATAATACTTCTTAGAGCTAAAAGCAGTTAAAGAATGATTAGAAAATCTATTTACTCTGTTTCCCATGTTGAAATGGTCTTTCTGCATTCGTGATAAGTCTGTCAATTTAATGCCTGATAGAGTTCTGAAACATCTTCAGTGATGAATCTTTGTAATTTCTAGGTTCACAATAGTCTAAATATCCATTTGTCTCTGACAAAGCCACCAAATGTTTATTGTCATTTAACAATCGTTAATGGAGAATCAAGAGTTTATAATTTGGTTAATCACAATAGAAACTAGTTGGATGTGGAACTCAAGGACTTGTGGCTCAGAGTCCTTGTCATTGGGTCAGGTGTTGACAATTTGATAACAGCACAAACAAAATATAGTCTCTTTCACTGATAAGCAATAGTAATAAATATGATATTTTATTTAAAATAAAATATTTTGAAAAAGTATCTTAGTATTGTGGTCCATGAATGCTGAATATGGATGCTGAAATAATATTTGTCACCTTTGTAAAAAAAAAAAAAAAAAAAGGTAGTTTTGGCCAGGTGTGGTGGCTCGCGCTTGTAATCCCAGCACTTTGGGAGGCTGAGGTGGGTGGATCACCTGAGGTCAGGAGTTCAAGACCAGCCTGGCCAACATGGTGAAACCCCCTCTCTCCTAAAAATAGCTGGGCGTGGTGGTGGGTGCCTGTAATCCCAGCTACTTGGGAGGCTGAGGCATGAGAATCGCTTGAACCTGGGAGATGGAGGTTGCAGTAAGCTGAGACTGTGCCATTGCACCCCAGCCTGGGCAACAAGAATGAAACTCTGTCTCAAAAAAAAAAAAAATGATTGTGTTTGTTGATCACTTACTATGAGGCAAACATTCTAAGTGTAATGAACTCACTTACAGTGGTTTACAAACTGATGCATGGAGAGAATAATTTATCCAGACTCACCCAGCTGTTAACTGGCAGAATTAGGATTTTAACAGAGTCAGTCTGGTAGGAAAGTCTGCTCTTTCCCACTATCTGGCAGAGATAAATAGTACTGTAGGAGTCCCTGAGAGGTCAACTCAAGTGTAAGTATTTTATATTTTGAGGTTCCTAAAGTTTTTCTCTATGTCATTAACATACAAGTTGCCCACATTATTCTCCTTGTCATTATTACTACAACCAGTGAGTATTTTGATAGAATACTTCTGGGAGAGGCCCAGGCGCGGTGGCTCACGCTTGTAATCCCAGCACTTTGGGAGGCCGAGGCGGGCAGATCTTGAGGTCAGGAGATGGAGACCAACCCCGTCTCTACTAAAAATACAAAAAACTAGCCGGGCCTGGTGGCGGGCGGCTGTAGTCTCAGCTATTCGGAGAGGCTGAGGCAGGAGAATGGTGTGAATCCGGGAGGCGGAGCTTGCAGTGAGCCGAGATCGCGCCACTGCACTCCAGCCTGGGCGTCAGAGCGAGACTCCGTCTCAAAAAAAAACAAAAAACAAACAAAAAAAAACCTTCCGGGAGAGAAGCGGTTACTAAGAAGGGAATGCTTTATAGACAGAGAAAGGATCATTTTTATGGTCATAGATTATTTTCTAGTCTTGGCCAAATTTTTTTTTTTGGGGAGGGTGTATTGTGGTCCAAAGACAATTTAGGTGACTCATAACCTATCACCTCTAATCCCCCAGGTGTCTCAAGATTGCATGCTCATGAGAGTATCTCAGTGAGTGAATAGCAGTGTCTCCTCTCATTAAAAATTTATGCATATCATAAATACTTTTAAAAATGAGAGTGTCTCAGTGAATGAATAACAGTATCTCCTTGTATGAAAGATTTACACATATCATACTTTAAAAAGTTTGAGTTTAATATAAATTCAAAAATATAAATCAGCTTTCCTGTAAGTATATTAAAAACCTTTTTATGAATAGCAATTCAAAATATTTTAAAACATTTATTTTGCACAGCTTTTACTAGATTTATCTTATTGCTATTTTGTTCAAAATAAATGGAAACTCAAGTTTATAGTCTTGCTCTAAATCATTTTTTAAAATATCAGATTTCAGAAAGTAACGTTTTTGGCTTATTTTAGATATACCTGCTTGCTGGCTGTTGTGTGTTGGGGTAGAGCTTTCTTTTTAAAATCTAGTAGCACCCTCTAGAGCAAAAGGTAAAATACAATTTGATAAGAAAGGAGCAGTTTCACAAATTCAAATTTCCTATCCGGAGTAATAGTTTGTTACTTAGAAGTACCAAAGAGCTGGCCAGGCATGGTGGCTCATACCTGTAATCCCAGCACTTTGGGAGGCCGAGGTGGGCAGATCACTTGAGGTCAGAAGTTCAAGACCATCCTGGCCAACACTGTGAAACCCTGTCTCTACTAAAAATACAAAAATTAGATGGGCATGGCATGGTGGCTCATGCCTGTAATTCCAGCTACTTGGTTGGGGGGTGGGGGGGTGGTGGGGGAGAGGTGGGCGGGGCTGAGGGCAGAGAATCTATTGAACCCGGAAGACAGGGGTTGCAGTGAGCCGAGATCACGCCACTGCAGCACTCCAGCCTGGGCGATAGAGTGAGATTCCCTCTCCAAAAAAAAAGGAAGTAGCAAAGAGCTGAACCTAATTTTTTTTTGCTCAAATATATATATATTCTTATCAAGGATGCCTTTTAGGTAAGTTCTTCTTACCTAAGATTAAAGATTAATACATCTTTTTCTTACCTCCTTGTGAATGTAATGGTACATAATTTTATTTTAGAATGGATATTTTAATAAAATTACCCATAAGTATTGAATTTCTTGTTGACCAATATAACATGCTAAAGTTTTATTGTATGTCCATTTTGTATGTGATAGTGTGTTTGTTTTGAGAATTACAAAATAGAGAATAAACCACACCCCTTGTACTTACGCTCTTATTTCCACTTGTTTTTTGTAGTAGAGCATGACACATATTGGGTCTTGTAGTAGTCTTGAGTAAAAAATTATCTCGATTAAGTTAATTAATAATATTATTATTGATATATATCCATTTTCTATTACAGAAGAAAATACTCAGGAAACATCCCAGGTGAAGAAAAGTTTGACTGAAAAAGTTTCTCTCTATAGAGGTGACATCACATTGCTAGAGGTAGATGCTATAGTCAATGCCGGTGAGTAGTTGATTTTCCTGTGATGTGTTTGTTATGTAAGTATTATTTCAAAATTTTTAAATAAATAAGAATGTAAGTATTTTAGAAAAAAATGCTTTTTGACGTAGAAATGTCTATTCTGTTTCTCTTCTTGATTAAAAACATTGGAGATCTATTTTTTTGTATGTTCTGCAATTAATGTGCATCTACAGTACCCTCTACAGTGAAAGGCGCTAGGTTGAGATTAGGATACTGCACCACTGGAGAAGTGACAGATTGTTGCAGAAAGTTCTTCAGAAAGAACTTTAGCAAGTATATTATTGTTACTTTCGTAGCTTGAATTAATAGTTGGCCAACATAAATACAAGCTCATCAAGCTTTTTTCTTCTTTTGAATAGGTTGTCAGGTGATGATTGAACTATGTAAGACAAAAGTGAAAATATAAAGAAATTATTTCAGTTATTTCAAAACTTAAGTTGTTAGGGTTCCAGTTTTCATTTTCATTATGAAATGCTTAATTTTAACCAGCATATTTTAATTATTTTTAATAATTAGTTGTCTAGTTAATTTTCCTATTTCAACATTGGGAAAAATTTTACAGATGTTATATTTTATTATGTGGCTATATATCAAAAAAGATATAACAGCCGTGATTCTACAAAAATATTGTAAATGAGAGGATATTTAATGATTTTAATTTGTGTTTTGTAAAGTTAGGCTGTTTGAAGTTTGCAAGTGTCAATTAAAAACAAATCTGGACTTAGGTAAGGAGAGGCTTTATCTAAATAGACTATGACAATAAAAGGAGGAGGATGATTTCAATAGGGGGAGGCAGAATATTGTGTTATCGGGAATGTTTTTCCAGAGTTCAGCTGGTTCTGGGGAAGGGCTGTTAAGGAGGGGTTACTCACCTTCCATTGCTTCAGGGTGGACCAAAGTTCAGGGGTTTTGAGGAAGGAGAGGAGCCTGACTAAAGTTTGGTCAGGTCGTTTGTGGGCATTGACCAACCAGAATGGTAAATGGGGACAAAGAGTTTGGCTAACATGTATGAGACAGAGAATGGGAATTTGGAAAGTCTGTTTCTGGCCTTGTCATTGGTTGCAAGGTGGTCATCTGTCAGTTTTATCTAGTAAACTTTCCCAGAACACAAAAGGGTAGGGGTAATTTCTTGACTGTGGCTCTTTCCAAGAATACAGAGTTCAGGTGAGTTTCAGTGTTATCTCCAGGTTTCCTTTGGTGATAATAAATTCACAGAGAATAGTAGGAAAGTGCATTGGCAGGTGAACAGAAGGGTCTAATGGAGAACTGAAACATTGTTCAAGGATATTGTACAGCTCTGGCAATTTAGCAGAAAGTTCAGAATACCGGTCAGCTTGTTGTTCCCTTAGAATTGGGTATCAGTTACAGCTGGGTGCGGTGGCTCATGCCTGTAAGCCCAGCACTTTGGGAGGTCGAATTGGGTAGATCACTTGAAGGTAGGAATTCGAGACCAGCCTGGCCAACATGGTGAATCTCATCTCTACCAAAAAAATACAAAAATTAGCCAGGTGTGATGGCGAGTGCCTGTAGTCCCAGCTACTCGGGAGGCTGAGGCAGGAGAATCGCTTGAACCTGGGAGGTGGAGGTTGCAGTGAGCAGAGATCATACCACTGCACTCCAGCCTGGGTGACAGAATTGAGACCATGTCTCAAAAAAAAAAAAAAGGATTGGATGTCAGTTGCTTTGTACCACAGCTGCTTTGCTGTAATCAAGGCTCAGTTTTCTCCTTTTCTTCTTCTGATGCTTCTGCACTTCCTTTCTCCTTTGCTGCTTCTGCTGCCTGTCTAAAATGTAAAAGTCTTCTTGAGAGAGGAGGCTGGGTCATTTAATTGCCACCCAATATGACTCACTCCTTCATCCTCAGGTTACCTCATAGGGTACAGGTCTCTCTTATATGTAGTATCTATGGATTGCTCATTTGTGGCCCTGGGTATCAAGATGCTTTCTCTGTCCCGTGGGGCCTCTGGGGGAAGACAGGCCCTTAGAAAGGGTCTCAGGAAGTCCTCTCCTGTAGTTTTAATAAGATATCACTATAGCTAGTAATTTAATGTATATGCCCTAAATTCTATAAATATATGAGCTTTAATTTTAAAACATTTAAAAGATTATATGTGTGTATATATGCATAAAAGATATATGTGTGTGTATATATACATAAGAGAGATATATATACACATATAATCTTTTATATATATACACACATATAAATAAAAGATATATATACACACATGTGATCTTTTATATATACACACATATGTATATGTATACACATGATCTTTTAAATTTTTAAAAATTAAAGCTCTGCTGGGCGCATTGGCTCATGCCTGTAATCCCAGCACTTTGGGAGGCCAAGGCTGATGGATCATGAGGTCAAGAGATTGAGACCATCTTGGCCAACATGGTGAAACCCCGTCTCTACCAAAAATTCAAAAATTAGCCAGGCGTGGTGGCGTGTGCCTGTAAGTCCCAGCTACTCGGGAGGCTGAGGCAGGAGAATTGCTTGAACCCGGGAGGCAGAGGTTGCAGTGAGTCGAGATCGTGCCACTGCACTCCAGCCTGGCGTCAGAGCGAGACTCCATCTAAAAAAAAAAAAAAAAAAAAGTTAAAGCTCATATGTTTATAGAATTTAGGGCATATACATCAATATATATAGACACATAAAAGATATATATTTATACTCACATATGATCTTTTAAATTTTTAAAAAATGTTTATATGTATGTACATATGTATATAAATACACTTATCAGCCTTCCTGTGTGTTCTTGTAATTTCTAGCCATTACTCTTAGTTCTGTCCTGAGGAAGTACAATTGATCATATCTACTTCCTTTTTAAATACTTGAAGATCACTCTCACAAGTTTTCTCCTTCTTGTTATTAAGATAACATTGAATTTGCCACGTTAGCACACACTTAATACAGTAATAATGGTCTTTGTTGGATTTTGCTGTCTTCCCATGGAAGCCACACACTAGTGCCATTTTCTCTTTTTGTGTCAACTCCCCAAGCAATGTCATCTCCTTCTTAAAAATATTTAATACTGTGTATTTGTTAAATTGAATTATTTAATATGTATGATTGAATTTGTAGATCTCTGACTAATAGGACATTCAGCATTGGAAACGACACAGTGAACCAGTTGGCTCTGGTGTTTTTTATCTGATCAATTAATACAAATATTTTGGGAGTAATTATTGAAATAAATGGTGCAAAACAGAAGAACATCATTAACTACCTCATCACTATTTTGTTCTTTTAAATATTATTATCTTGCTCTTGCCTAAATGTATAATTTTTCATAGCTGCTGCATAATATATAAGGGTATGATGAATTTATATGAAGACAGGCAGCAACTTTTGCTTACTCCCAAAACGATTTGGTAATTTTAGCTCACCTCTCTGGTTGTGATGATTGTAATTTGGCCATGTTTTGCATCTCACAAGGATAGTCTCATCAGGAAGATCCCAGGTAGATAGAAAAGGGATGCCAAGTGAATATACACTGTAATGGCTCTATTTACAGCTTTCTACTGTGCAGTTTGTTTGCCTGGTGTGGAAGGAGTGGAACAGCTGTTAACTTTTCAGGTGAACAAGACAACATGGCAGGAAACTATAGAGCTGCCTCTACTGAGAGGGGGAGTGAAAAACAGTACCCCTAGTCACTATGCCAAAGCAGCCCAGTTGTCACCTCCTATTAGACTTCTGAAGTTCTCATGACCATATTAGTACATTGGAACACCTGGTCTTAGTTGCTATGAATGAAATGATTTCATATTTTAAACTTATTTCTAATAAAGTGTTTTTTGAACTACCTTAACCTCTTTAAATGTGACCCAGGGTGGACTTCTTGTGTATTATATTCTTCTCTCTAGGAAATTATGCATATTTAGTATGTTTTAATAAAACAGATTTTGCAGGCATTATAGTACACAGGGCAGTAGCACAAGTTTAGAGTTAGGCAGACCTGGGTTCAAAATTCAGGTTATCATAACCAAGGCCATTTTTTATTTAAACTTTTTATTTTGAAATAATGATAGAAAAGACAAAAATAACACAGAGTCCTATGAACCCTGTGTAAACTTCTCCCAATGGTGGCTTTGTATATAGCTATAGTACAATATCAAAAGCAGATTTTAAAAAATAATTTATTTTAGTTTCAGGGAGTGCTTGTATACTTGTTACATGGTATATTGCATAATGCTGAAGTTTGGGGTATGACTGATCCTGTCACCTAGGTAATGAGCATAGTACTCAATGGTTACTTTTTCAACCTTGCCCTTTCTTTTCCTTCCCCCTTATTAGTGTTGCCATTTTTATGTCCATGTTTACCCAATGTCAAAAACCGAAAATTGATATTGTTACATTACTGTTGTCTAGACTACAGACTTTATTCAGTTTTAACAATTTTTAAACTTGCATTCATGTGAATGTGTGTATATATGTGTGTAGTTCTTTGTAGTTGTATTTAATGAATAGATTCATGTGACCACCACCACAATCTAGATACAGAACTATTCCATTATCATAAAAGAACTCCCTCATGCTGGCCGGGCACGGTAGCTCACACCTGTAATCCCAGTACTTTGGGAGGTCAAGGCGGGTGGATCATGAGGTCAGGAGTTCGAGACCAGCCTGGCCAAGATGGTGAAACCCCGTCTCTACTGAAAATACAAAAATTAGCTGGGCACGGTGGCAGGTGCCTGTAATCCCAGCTACTCTGGAGGCTGAGGCAGGAGAATCGCTTGAACCCGGGAGGTGGAGGTTGCAATGAGCCGAGATTGCACCATTGCACTCTAGCCTAGGCAACAGAGCAAGACTCCGTGTCAAAAAAAAAAAAAAGAACCCCCTCATGCTGCCACCTTTGTATTTATATCCACCCATCTGCCTCCCTTCCTGTTTTCCATCTCTAAGGTTTTATCATTTTTAGAATGGAATATAATTCTAAAAATACATAATCAATAATGCTGCAGTGAACATGGCAGTACCGATATCCCTTTGACATACTTTTCAGTTTCTTTGGATACCTAGAAGTAGAATCAACAGATCATATGGCAGTTTTATTTTTAGCTTGTTGAGGAACCTCCATGGTGTTTTCCTCTGTTAACTTACGTTCCCAACAGTGTGCGGGAGTTCTCTTTTCTCTGCATCCTCACCAACACTTGTTAGCTTTCAACATGACAAAAGCCATTCCAACAGGTGTGAAATGATATCTCATTGTGGTTTCCATTTGTGCTTCCCTAATGATTAGTGGTGCTGAGCATTTTTTTTCATGTACTTGTTGGTCATTTGTGTGTCTTCTTCTGAGAAATGTCTGTTCAGATCCTTTGCCTGATTTTTAATGGGGTTATTTGTTTTCTTGCTGTTGAGTTCTTTAAGTTCTTTATATATTTTGGCTATTAATTCCTTTTCAGATGTATTTTTTGCAAATATTTTCTCCCATTTTGTGGGTTGTCTCTTCACTTTGTTAATTGTTTGCTGGGCAGAAGTTTTTTAGTTTGAGGCTGTCCCATTTGTCTGTTTTTGCTTTCATTGCCACAGAAATTGAACTTACAGTAGAGAGTATGGTTACCAGAGGCTGGAGGGGGATTGGAGGAAGGAAATGGGGAGTTGTTGATCAAAAGTTTCAAAGTTTTAGATATACAGGAGGAATAGGTTTTGAGATTTATCTCATAGCAGGGTGACTGTAATAAATAATAATGTATTATATATTTCAAAATAACTAAGGAAGTAAATCGCAAATGTCTCACCATAAAGAATGATAGATAAGTGAGGTGATGGATGTGTTAATTAGCTTGGTTTAATCATCCACACTGTGTATATATATATCAAAACATCACATTGTACCTCATAAACGTATACAATGATTGGTCAATCAAAATAATAATAATAATAAAGTCATGTAAATAGAATCATACAGCATGTAATCTTTTAAGGTTGCCTTTTTTCACTAAATATAATGCTCTGAGGGCCATTCAGATTGTATTAATGAATTAATGAATTTATTTATTAATTCAGTAATTGTTCATTCCTTTTTATTGTTGAGTAGTGGTTCATTGTATGGATGTACCAGAGTTTGTTCAACCATTCACCCATTGAGGGACATTTGGATTCTTTTCAGTATTTTGCTGTTACCGATAAAGCTTTTATGAACATTTATGTACATGTTTTTATATGACCATACATTTTTGTTTCTCTGGGATAGACATCCAAGAATGTGATTACTAGGTTACATGTAAGTGCATGTTTAGTTTTGTAAGAAACTGCTAAACTGTTTTTCATAGTAGTTGTACCATTTTACATTCTTACCAGCAATGTGTGATAGGTTCAGTTTTTCTACATCCTTGCCAGCATTTGGTGGTATAATTATTTCTTATTTATTTTAGCTGTTGTAATAGGTGTGTGTTAATAGCTAATCATGTTTTTTGATATTTATTTTTTATTTTTAAATTTTTTTCTCTGCTGTTTGAATCAGCATCATCATTATTTTAATTTGTGTTTCCCCAAAGGTTAATTATGTCAAACACCTCTCCATATGCTTATTTGCCACCTGTATGTCTTTTTGGTGAAATATCAGTTCATATCTTTTGCCATTTTGTAATGGGTCTCAGTGATATTTGTGAATTTTGGGCATTTTTATTTTTTAAGGCCCCACCCTAAATCATATTGATATATACTGAAATATACTACAGCCCACATCCAAAACAGTCCATACTTAGTTGGATGATAGTTAATTAGTTAATATAATGGCATGTTTTGTAGATATTTAGGTAAACATTAATTTTGATTTTGTACTTTTCATATTTTGGAAACCTAAATTATCTTTTTCTAGGCTCTTGAAAAGCTTTTTGGTATTATGCTCATAGTACTAATTATAAACTGCCCTGCTGACATCAGCTTGATTGGGCAAATTATTCAACCCTTTAATCCTCACTTTTGAAATCTATAAATAGGGATAATACTAGTAATTAAGATCAGACAGATGTTGTAAATAATGTGTGAAAAATACGTAGCACAGTTCTCGCACAAAATATGTACTTGGTATAGTTTAGCTATGGTATTTATTTTTGTATGGCTACTGAATGGATTTAATACTACTGCTGTCTTTTCTGAGAGAACTCAGGTTAGTAGAGGAAACGGAGGATATCTTCTGTGTTAAGCATTGAGATTTTCCATTATTCAGAGCCAGTTTTCCGCTGAAAAGCACTGGTGCTCAAGCTAGAGCAGCTGCTTTCTTCCTGAGCAGTTTTCAAAATTCCACATATTTTTATATGGATTTGTCTAGTTACTAATATATAATTGACACTTACCTGTATGTACTTTTAGTTTGACTCTATTTTACCTTATTTTTTAAAGACAGGAATCTCACTCTGTCACTCAGGCTGGAATACAGTGGCATAATCATAGCTCAATGCAGGCTTGAGCTCCTGAGCTCAGGCCATCTTCCTGCCTCAGCCTCCCAAGTGCTAGGACTACAAGCACGTGCCACCATGCCTGGCTAATTAAACTTTTTTTTTTTTTCTGTAGAGACAGCATCCTGCTATGTTTCCTAGGGTGGTCTTGAACTCCTAGCTTCAAGCGATCCTACTACCTAGACCTCTCAAAGTACTGGGATTATAGGTGTGAGCCACCTTGCCTGGCCTTTGTTTTGATTCTGGTTTTAAATAAAGTACAACTGTCTGTACAAAAAAGAGGTGTTTTCAGAACTAGATTGTCTATACGTGATGTTCAGATTCTGCCTCACAAAGCAGTATTTTTGTAGAAAAAAATTCAGTATTTACTATGAGTAAAAGTCACACTTTAAAATCAGTTACCTCATGGGGATGCTTGAAAATATTTTGGTACATATGCTTAGCTCTTTACGGTTAAACAAACAGATTTTCAAATGCTGCCTAAATAGAGGAGTAAGAAACACTCATTTGACAAAAAAAAAAAACCCCAAAAATAAACAAAAAAACCCCAGGAAAATGTATTGAGTGCTTATTATCAGTTAAGAACTAGGTTGAACAGTGGAGGTAAAGACAAGTAAGTAAACAGTTGCTGTACAGCAGGATGAAGTGTTTATTAGAGCCACGTCCAAGGTGCCATGGGCAAATAGAGAAAAGCAAACAACTCAAGAAAGCAGGTGAGTGTATATTGCACTTAGGAAACCACATGTGGCTGAGTGTGCTTGGAGCAAATACAGGCAGAGGCCAGATCATGAAGTGCTTTGTATGTCACTTTGAGGGCTGAGGTTTTTTTTTTTAAAATTTTTTTTTTATTTTTTAGAAGATGGGGAGTTTTTGAAAACATTTTTAGGGAGGATATGTGTTAGAGAGATCCCTTTGGCTGCAGTGTGAAGGATAAATTGGGGAAGGATTAAGTTTAAGGGGGAGACTGGAAGCAGAAATGAAACTATTTAACTTTGTACTAAGTACTTCAGCTTAAATAAGTCTGATTTTTCCCCTCCTAGCTCATAATTGTAGCTGTTGCTTCTTCTGACTCTGCCCTCTTTAATGGTGGGATGATTCTTGGATGATTATGATTTGAATGCAGTTTGATTTGGAGTAACCTCGAAAAGCTTAAGTCTATTGTGACTGGATTAGAGCAGACAAATAGAATCAAAGTGTATTTGTTCTTTCAACAACTTTCTTGAATTCTCAATTTGTACATATGACATATCAAGACACTGCTAATCTGGCTTCTGCTAAACTGTTTTCATTAAAACTGTTCTCACCAACGTCACCATAACCTCTTTTTCTTGAAGTAATGGGCCCTTTTTTGATCCTTGTTTTCCTGGATCTCTCTGTAGTATACAATACTGTTGACTACTTCATCCTTGAATGTTAATTTTCCTTTAGCTTCAGTGACACATTTGGTAGTCTCCTCTCCTTAGCTATACAGCCATAACCTTCATTTAAATCACATTATTTCTTACCTAGACTATTGCAGTACACTCCTGAATGCTTTACTTGCAAACTCACCTACTCTCCAGATGCAGACAAAATTATCTTTCTCACATTACTTCTCTGTACAGCCACCTTTAGTTGCTCCCCATGGCCCATAAGATTAAGGGCAAACTTAGTGTGTCAAACAAGACTTGCTTCAATATCCCTGCCTTGCCAGTCTCCAGTCCACCAGTCTCTTGCCACTGACCTGCAATTTTTTCTGTCCCCCACCGTTTTTCTCATTTCTCCCTCCCACCCACTTTCTCTTTCCCCCTTTTCCTCCTGGGCTTTGCACAAGCTGCTGCCTCTACCTAAAATATTACTTCTCTAAAGAGTTTCCCTTCCTAGCAGTTCCTGCCTCAGTCTTTCAGCATGCCAGATGTTTCATCTCCTACTGGAAGCGTGGATTCCCCTCCATCCTTCCAATCTTGAATGAGTGTCAGTACTATGGGTTCCTTAGCTTTATACACTTCTGCTAGCATAGCACATAATCTAATATCAGTTCACTTATGAAGGCCACCGAAATGATTTGGATACATTTGCTTATAAAGGCTTTATAAGATTTTTACCAAAATGAAATCACAAAATTAAAAAAAAATTGTGGGAAACTTGAAGATCCCCAAGATCTTCAGATGCCAGTGTGAGAAACACAGCCATAGAGGATAGGAAATGTAGGACTCAAGTGAGAGACTGGAATTAAAGACATAGATTAAGTTAGCATATTAATTTTATAAATATGATTGGTAAGAGGTATTGAGAGCTAAATGTGCTAAATTGTTATGATAACCTAAGAGGCATATTTAACAGATGAAGAAACATAGCCACGGAGAGGTTAAGTGATTCACCTCTGGTTATACAGCCAGTAAGTAGATCTAGAGCTTGTGTTCCTAGCATCTTTCCTGTTGAATTCTTTCACACAGAAGCTATGATACCATCCTAAGCCATCTATCTATATTAAATATAGATAATTCCTTAGTTGACCTTTTGGCTCTTGGAACACTATCAACCAATATGTGATATCAGGAGTTTTTATTAAAAGCATGTAGTAATTATCATCTCTATTAAATAATACCTCATGTTTTAGTCCTTCTCTGGGAATTTAACAACCACATCTTGTTTGAATTGACTATAGGTCAGTTAGTGAAGTGCTGACAGTCTGAGCAGGTCTGGAAACATGGCCTACTGAAGTGTAGTTGACCTGCCTTTGACAGTTCATTGTAACTTTGGAAGGATTATATCCAAATATTTTAAATGCAAAAGAAAAATGTTACCTTGCTCACTGTGCAGGAATAGTAAACAATAAGATCATTCCTCTTCTTTTCAAATTTTTTGGAAGTGTTTAATTTACTAGTATGTAGGACAGAACGTATTTACAATCAGGTCTAGATAGGTATAAATAAAAGGATGAATTAAGGTTAAAAATGTCTGTGGGTCCTAGTAAATTATATTGGCACACTTTTGGACTGAGAGTGGATTATTTTTTCTCCACGTACAGATGGATTCTCCATGTACAGAAGAGATAGACCTGGAAGCAAATAGATACAGTTCATTGTGTATAAAGTATGTATCGAGTACTCTTTGTTGATGCAAAGAGAGTTAGTAAATTATTTGTTTTGATCTAATTCCTGTGATGAATAAATTGTAATTTTGAGTCAGAATTAATTTTCAGGACCTAGATATAAGTTATTTTACCTTTTTTTTTTTTTTTTTTTTGAGACAGAGTCTTGCTCTGTCACCCAGGTTGGAGTGCAGTGGCACAATCTCCGCTCACCACAATATCCTCCTCCCCAGTTCGAGGGATTCTCATGCCTCAGCTTACTGAGTAGCTGGGATTACAGGCAGGCAGCACCACACCTGGCTAACTTTTTTGTATTTTTAGTAGAAATGGGGTTTTGCCATGTTGGCCAAACTGGTCTCAAACTCCTGGCCTAAAGTGATCTGCCCATCCGGCCTCCAAAAAGGATTGCAGGTGTGAGCTACTGCACCTGGCTAGTTTTAAAAACAGTCTTTGCATATATGCCATATGGTCAGGGATTTTATTAGTTCCTTACCTTGTTTGAGCCATAGAGCTAAGAACATACTTGGTCCCTTATCTTAACATTGCATGTCCTAAATTGTGTTTTGAGAGAGGATAACAGATGCATCTACTAATCTTTGGCCTCCTGTCTTTCTCCCTTCTTGACATTTACACACAAACTTTGCCCATGGGAAGTTTAGTGCCTTTCCTAGATTTCTGAGGATTTGTTTTGAGGATGCTTACATTTTCATGATTGCTTCTTTCTCTGTAATATGGTTCTAGTAAATTTCCGATGGCCACAGTTTCCTCCTTATTTCTTGCCATTGCTGTTTTCTCTGTCTTCCCTGCAGGCTTCATCCCACACTTAGAACAACCCAATATTTCCTCTATTTCCCAAAGCACTACTAATATTATGGGTAGTAGGTGTGTACTGTAATTTAAGGGTTCATCAAACAGGCCTGCCATCTTAATGTAGCTGCATATAGGATTATCTGTTTACAGTGACTAGGTCCTTGTATAGTCTTATACCAAACCCATTGGTCAAAGAGCTTTGGTCTTTTCTAGAGCTTGGGGATAAATACATCCATCTGATTTATGGTTCAGTATGTCATTAGAGACAATTTTACTTGTACTGTGCCACAATCACAGAAAAATATTTTGGAGAAGATAGATTGCAGGCTGTGTTATGAAAAACGAATGATAACTGTCTAATTGTAATTGGTTGGTTATAGCCAAAAATTAATTCAGTTTGTCAGAAAAGTGATTTTTAAAAATGGAAAGTGAAGAAAGTTGATTTATTTATTTTAGCTCTTCCTACCCCATACTACAAGGAGAGGCATATTTACATTGTGATTAATTATAGAGGACTTGGAGTCAGATCAATCATTATTTTAAATATGCCTATTCAACTTCCTGGCCAAATAACTCTGACAAATTATTTAACCTTTCTGAACCTCAGTTTTCTCATCAGCAAAATGGAGATAATACAGGTTGAATATTTCTTATCCAAAGGGCTAGAAGTGTTTCAGATTTTTTTTGGGTTTTGGAATATTTACATATACATAATGAGAAATCTTGGGGATGGGACCCAAGTCTAAACATGAAATTCATTTATGTTCATATACACCTTATACACATAGCCTGAAGGTATTTTTATACAATATTTTAGAATACTTTTGTGCAATAAACAAAGTCTGTGTATGTTAAACTGTCAGGAAGCAAAGATGTCAAGTGTTGAATTTTCCACTCGTGGTGTCATATTGGCACTTAAAAGCTTTTGGATTTTAGAGCATTTCGGATATTGGATTTTTGGACTAGGGATGTTCAACCTGTCGTAGAGCCTATTTCACAGGTCTGTTGTGAAAATCTAAAGAAATGATGGCCGTCTAAAGAGATACAAAGTACTTCACACAGTGCCTTATATACAGACACATCAGTAAATGGTAGCAGAATTATACTCCTTAGTTTTAATATTTGAAAAAATTTTTATATGAATGTTACAAGGTAATTATGGGTGTTTTTCAAGTCCTGTACAAAGATATGTGTAAGACCAACTAACAGGGTTTATTCTGTGTCCTTCAGCTTTAGCTGTGACAGTATTTACTTGAATTGCATTTAGGACAAGTTGTCCAATTCTGAAGTTTTATAATAAAAGCCAAGTTTTTATGACATTCTTGTAATTTGTATGAACCATTGACCAAGGAAAAGAATGGTTTTAGTGTACGTTAACAATGTGTTTTTACTACATTAGTTGTGAATGTCATACTTGTGTCAAAAATTGAGATGATGTCATAAGATTGTATAGATAACCATTTAATAGCTGAGCATGATTTAAGAATAATTGATGTAGAATATATGAATTTTTATATAGGTAAATAACATATTAGGACTGCACAGGATGAAAGGAATTGTACTTATTAGAAATGTTTTATTCACCTCTACTTGCTTAAAATAAATGTTATTTTTATGTATTTGTTCAGTAAAACTGAAATGAAATAAGGCATATTTGAAGTTAGAATTTAAGTTATTGGGGAAATAAGGTTAATTTACTCTCTTAAATATTTTAGGACACAATTAACAGTAACTACTTGATTCAGTTTGAAATTTCATCTCTACTAGCAAAGCATCAAAAGTCATCAAAGTCAAAAGTCATTTTGACTTTTCACAAAGTTTTTGTATTATATATTTTTTCTCTTGACTTTCTGTTGAGCAGTAATAGATCCAAACACACACACAGAAATATATAGCTTAATAAATTTTGAAAAACTGTCACACCTGTGTAATAGAATCCAGATAAAAAAGCAGAACGTGGCTGGGTGTGGTGGCTCACGCCTGTAATCCCAACACTTTGGGAGGCCGAGGCAGGTGGTTCACGAGGTCAGGAGTTCAAGACCAGCCTAACCAACATGGTGAAACTCCATCTCTACTAAAAATACAAAAATTAGCCGGGCGTGGTGGCATGCGCCTGTAATCCCAGCTACTCAGGAGGCTGAGGCAGGAGAATCTCTTGAACCCAGGAGGCGGAGGTTGCAGTGAGCCAAGATCATGCCACTGCACTCCAGCCTGGGTGACAGAGTGACACTCCATTTCAAAAAAAAAAAAGGCAGCAGAATGTTACCAGTACCCCAGAAGCCCTCTTGGCATCCCTGGTAATGAATATAGTGAAGTGTATTTACTATCTTGACTTCTAGTAACGTGGATTACTTTTGCCTGTTTTTGTATTTCAGGTAAATTGACCTATATATATTCTTTAGTGTTTGGCTGTTTTTGTTCACTATTATGCTTGCAACATTGATACATACCATTGGTTATAGATGTAGATGATTCATTATCATTGTTATGTAATATTTCATTGTATAAATATGTCACAACTTATATATCCTATCTACTGTTGATGAGCGGCCTTAAGTAGTTTCTAGTCTGGGTGTTTTAGTACTGCAATGAACATGGTAACACATTTGTGTGTGGTATTTTTGTAAATAGATATCTATATATTTGTGTTGGATCTATATCTGGGATATTAACTGTAAAATCATAGGATATATGCATAGGACACTGTTGTGTGGTTTTCACTTTATACTTCCAATAGCAGTGTATGAGAGTTCTTATTGCTCTAGATCCTTGTCAACATTTATTTTCTATGTTTTTAAAAATAGTGCATAAATTAGGTCAACTGGTAATATTTTCATTAATTTGTAAGATATACCATGATAAATCAAATTTGATAGCAGTTTGTAGCTAACAATCCATGTTAAGCCAGCATTTGTAAGTGAAGAAATAAAAAATGTAAATGTTATGGTCATATGGCCAAGGATAAGAAGATGGGGTTGTTTTATGTAGTTCCTATTGAGTTCATGAAAATACAAATGTATTTTTCTCCCATAGATGGCAACACTTAGGAACAAATAAACCATTGTATTATGAAGGTAATACTATTATTATTACTACTATCACTGTTAACCCTTCATCATATGGGAAGACAAAGGGAAAAAAGTTTTTGGAATGATATTCTCAAAACTACATTTGGAAAAAAAGGTAATTTTAGAAAAATGTCTCAGAAAGTCTATTTCCATATGTGAAATATTCCATAAAGCCTGTCATTTTGTTGAACATAGATATTTTAAAATCCTGCAGTATAATCTTAAAGTCACATTCAAAATAGGTTGATATTAATAGTTTGCTTTTGCATCGTAGATATGCCTTATTAATAAATAAGATTCGTCTAATTTCTTATAGTATTAATAATTTAAAGATATATCACATTAATTTTTTTCCAACTATAACACTGATGCATGTTTATTGAGAGAAAATATAGAATAGTATAAAGAAGTAAAATGTGTCAAATTTTACTATCCAGAAATAACCACTATTAATACTTGTTTTACATCCCTATAGGGGATTTTAGAGACTTTAAATATTATATATAGTATATATAAAAATATATATTTTTTTTATTTTAAATATATATAAATATATATTTAAATGTATTTATATATTTATTTTAAATATATAAATATATAGTATATATACATTTATATATAATATATATAAATATAATATATAATATATAAAAATATAATCTATAATATATATTACATATTATATATTATATATGATATATAATCATATATCATATATAACATATATAATATAATATAATATATATCATATATAATATATAAATAGTATATTTATTTTTGATTAATATAATCAAAATTGACTTGACTTAAGTTAGTTCAAGAGTTTTGACATCTTTACCGTATTGTCCTCCCATCTCGGACTGTGGCTGGTTGTTAGATTTATTTTATCTTTTCCCCCTGATATTTGTCAGTACAATTTTTTTATTATTTATTTTATCTGATTATTTTGGTGATATAATCAATTTGATAATTGTCCACCTTACTGAAGTTAATTATAAAAACTTTTGAGTTGGTTCCCTTGGATTTTCTAGGCATATACATTTTTATGCACACTGCTTCTCTGCCCTTTTTATTCCATTGGCTACCACATGGCAACAATATTAAATTAGTTATCATAAGGCATTCTTGATTATTCCCGATTTTATTGGGAATGACCATAGTATTTTGCAATTCATTCAATAAATATTTATTAAGTACCTACTATATGACAGGCATTATTTTAAATATGAGAGATAAAATGATGAGAAAAACAGTTATAATCTAAGCCCCTGAGTTTACAACCTAGTGGGAAATTGTGGTCAAAGAGTTATCTTAATAAATATAAAATTATAATTATGTAAGTTTAGCGTTGATAGATTGGGGCTTTTGTTGTAAATTTCCTTTTAAATTTGGCTAATTATAAGGAAGCCTAAGTTTCCAACTATAAAGCATTTAGGTCCTTATTAGAGAGAGTTTGCCTGTTAGGAAAGTTGAAATGAAGTTAAAGTATTAATCACAATGAAATGGTTATTTTGTGTTTATAAGCAAAGACAAAATAAAACCTAAACAGAAAAACCCACCTCATCTATTTTTGACCCCTGTATCTCTGCTTTTAAGGGTCTATTCCCTGGAGTTAAATATTATAGTAACATAGTCTTCCAGGAGCTTTGTTTTGGTCTTTAAGAGAGACTAAAAGAAAAAAAAAACGTGAGACAACAGCTGCTTCGGCATTTATTCCATGTTATTTTGAGTTTTTAAGCAAATAGACAAAATAAAACATCAATTTCTCTGCATGATTTCTTTAAACCTTTTGTGTTTTTTTCTTCTTGTTGACTGAGCACTTAAGTTCATACTTTTTCATATTGCTCTTTTTTCTTTAAAATAATTTGGATGTCTTTTAATGAGTCTTTTTTTTTTTTTTTTTTTTTTTTTTTTAAGACGGAGTCTCACTCTGTCACTCAGGCTGGAGTGCAGTGGCATGATCTCGGCTCACTGCAACCTCCGCCTCCCAGGTTCAAGTGATTCTCCTGCCTCAGCCTCCTGAGTAGCTGGGACTACAGGTTTGTGCCACCATGCCCGGCTAATTTTTGTATTTCTAGTAGAGACGGGGTTTCACCATGATAACCAGGATGGTCTCAATCTCCTGACCTTGTGATCTGCCCGCCTCAGCCTCCGAAAGTGCTGGGATTACAGGCTTGAGCGACCGCGGCTGGCCTTAATGAGTACTTTCATTGCTTCTGAAGAACTCAGAGGGACTCAAGAGCCTGTTGAGAAATTCATTATTAAAACTGTTAATTATAAAGTTACTGAAATTTCAGACTTCTTAATTTGGGATAACCATCTAAATAAACAATTAACAGCTGGCTACAAACTACTTATAGAATGATACTGTTAAAGTTTGGGGGAGCAATAGTTCTTAGCATAGAAACAATAATGTTCAGAAACCACCTCCTGCCTCTCTGCAGATCCAACCCAATTTCCATTCAAACTAAGTCAGCCAAAGGGGAAAAAATGACTGCACACCATTCACTTCTTTTGTTTTCCCTCCTCTGCTATGCCAGAAATTGCTGGAAATTGTCCAAATCACCACTGTTGATAGCTGTCATTTAGTCAATCTGTGGGATATGTTTGAGTAGGTGATGGATGGGAATATATGATATAGGATGGGGATTGGGATATAGGATATATGGGGATATATGGGGATATAGGATGGGGATGGGAATATTTGGGGATATAGGATGTAGGATGGGGAAGAACTTTTTTTTTTGAAGTGGACTCTACACTGGTTATAGCTTCATGTTTGAGCTTCTAGCTATTAGGATCTCAGTGTCTTTTTAAAAATAGTGTGGGGATAGACAGAAAACAGCATTTCTATGAGGATGGAGTGAAAGAACAAATGAACATGAGCTTTTGTAATGTGTTAAATTATCATTTTTTGTTGTTATTTAGCCCTGCATCTCAGCGTCTTTTTCTTCAATCTGACTTATCACTTTGTTTTTCTGATCTATATTTTTTTTTTCTGAAGGAATTTGTGCAGTCAAACTAAACATTAAATCCTTCAAGGAATTAGAAGATAATTCTCAAGAGAAAATAATTGCCAGGGAGATGGATGGTTGCCAACAAATTCCCTTCTGAGTTTATTTTTTTGTTTTCCTACTTTGAGCCCTGCTATCCCTATTTTTAAAGGAATATCTTCTGAAGTTAAATAGTAACAAAGTCTTCCAGAGTCTTTCTTTTAGTCTTTGAGAGAGACTAAAAAATGCAAGGGAAACTGGCAGCCACTGCTTGGGCATTTGTTCCATGTTTTTAGAGATCGTCTTCTCTCTTTGAGAATTCTTCAGTGCACTTAGGGAAACTTATATTTTGTTTGTTATACATACTGGTCAACTGGGTTTTTTAAAAAAGAGAACAGTTTTTTTTTCCAGTCTGATTATAAAAGGAATACACATGAATACTTAAGATAGGAAGAATGTAAACTAGAATAACAGAACTTCATCTCTAATGTTTGTAAGTATATATATCATTGTTTGTTAAAGTTCAGTGTTTATGCTTCTGGTTATTTTATTTTCATTGCATAGATGTATTTTGTTTTTTTACAAAACTGGTGCAATAGTACATTTTAAAATTTGAGGACTGCTTACTTTTTTGTTTATAAATACAATACTTTTTATATGTAATTTTAAATAGCTACATGATATTCAATCATATACATGAATTTTAATTTATTTAATCATCCCCTCATTGTTGGAAATTTAAATTATTTTAAGTTTTTTACTGTTATAAGCAGGCTGCGACAAACATCCTAGCACATAAATGTTTGTAGAAATCTTTGATTATTCCCTTGGAGGACATTCCCTTAAAGTGAAATTATGGAAGCATGAAAGTTTTAAAACTTTTTTAGGTACACACAGACACACATACACATACATGTATATCTTATATCTACATACACACACACGCACATACACACACATAACCAAATAGCTCTATGGAAAGGTTAAATTAATTTATATCTCAAGGTGTAAGAGTATATATTTCCCTAAACTTTACCATTATTAGGTTTGATGAATTTTTTTATGCTTTGTCTTTGAATTATACTTCAATGTTGTTTTAATTTCCATTTCTTTGAAGACAGGGAGTATACCTTTTGGTATTACCTTCTGTAATAGAAAGCAGGATCTTACCTATAAAATTTTATTGGCACCAATAGGGTACAAAGTAACTTGGTGGTGGGTAGCCAAGAGGCATTGGTGTTGGGGTGGGACTTGAGGAGCAACACACGCTGAATGTTTTTCAGCTAAGAAACTCAGATAGCCGAAGTTCAATGTCACTGCTTCTCCTCCTGAAATTTAAGATGGTGGGGAATACAGATGATTGCTGAAGTTCCTCAGAGTGAGAGAGGAACTGTTTATTCAACTTTCAGCATAGTACCTACCATGTAGCACAGCACTTGGCACTGGGGATGTCTATGGCTATGGCTTTGGTTCTTGGAGTTCACTCAGGACAGTTTTTCTGAAACTTTGAGGTTTTACCTTAGGCAAGAAGCTCTCAAGTTTCTCCCCCAGGGCTAAGATGAGAGTGGGGATCCATTGGTGACGTATAAGCCAGAGCACTTCTCCCTTTGCATCCCCAGCTTCAGAAGATGGACTAAGCCCTCACATGCTGCTTTTCATTTGGACTGAGCCAATTAAACTGAGACTGTAGAAGAGGGAACCAGTTTCTGGGAAAGTAAACAGCAGCGTTTATATTAGTATGAGGGTCATAGGGAAGTGGATTCTTATTCTACCTGTGGTTAACAATGAATATAAATACCCTCTGCTGTAGTTCAGTTCTTGTAATTGCGTGGCTTGTCAGAGGTCAATTATAGTTTAAATATAAGCTGAACTGTATAACTATACTAACTGATAATTCATGAGGCCTAGGGGCTGGCTAATCCTCATGTGCAACCTTATTTGGAATATTCCATGCACTTTTACTTTTTAAAATTTTTATTTAAATAATGAGTAAGGAGGAAGGCTGAATAGAAGCCCACACCATTTGTCTCTCCTGTAGGAATACAAAATTTTAACAACTACACAAAAAAGCACCATCACAAGAACCAAAAATGAGATGAGGAATCATAGTACCTGATTGTAACTTCATATTGCTGAAAGATGCACTGACGAGGGTAGGAAAGATGTTCTTGAATCACCAATGCCACCTCAGCCCCATTCCTCGGCATTGGCTATGTGGTACAGAGAATCTGAATTTGGAGGAAGGAGAGCACAGTGCCTGGGTGACTCAGTAAACTCAGCGCTGCCTTGTCACAGTGGTGATCACAGCTATGCTGGGCTCAGCCAGTACCTGTGCATGGAAGGAGCATTTGGACCAGACCTAGCCAGAGGCGAATTGCCCATCCCAGTGTTCAGAATTTGAGCTTCTTAGTAGACCTCCCCACTGAGGGCCAGAGTGCTCTGGGGTCCTAGGTAAACTCAAGAGGCAGTCTAGCTCACAACGACTGCAGTTCCTATGCAACTCCTAGTGCTAGTCTGGGCTTGGAGCCAGTGAACTAGGGTGGCATATGGCCTAGAGAGACACCAAATGGGGCAGCTAAGGGAGTGCACCATCCCTCTTCCAACCCCAGACAGTGCAGTTTGCAGCAACAAAAGTGACTCCTTCTTTCTACTTGAGGAGAGGAGAGCAAGGAGTGAAGAGGACTTTGCCTTGCATCTTGGATACCAGCTCAGCCACAGTAGGATAGGGCAATGGGCAGAGTTGTGAGGCCCCCTTTCTGGCCCTAACAGGCCAAAAGAGAACCTGCGGCCTTGAAGGAAAGGACCCAGTCCTGGCAGGATTCATCACCTGTTGACTAAAGAGAACTTGGGCCCTGAATAACCAACAGTGATACCAGATAGCATACCATGGACCTTGGGCTCTGAGATGTGCTGGCTTTAGGTGTTACCCAGAACATTTCCAGCTGTGGTGGCTATGGTGAAAGACTCCTTCTGTTTGAGAAAAACAGAGGGGCCACAGTGGGGTAGAGTAACAAGCAGGTTCTTGGACAGCATTTATGGAACTGCCCTGTGCCTGTGGGGAGCCCACTGCCCTGAAGGGTGAGTCCTAGGCCTGGTAGCATTCACCACAAGCTGACTGAAGACCCCTTGGGTTTTAAGTGAACATTGGTGGTAGCCTGACAGAACCCCACATGGGCTGGTGGTGGTAGTGGCCACAGGGAGAGTCTCCTCTGCCTTTGGAAAGGGGAAGGAAGAGAAGGAAGGACTTTATCTTGTGGTTTGAGTGCCAGCTTAACCGTGGTAGGCATTGGTGTTGGGGTGGGACCTGAGGAGCAACACATCACGTAAATCTCTAAGGTTTTTGACTACAGTCCTTGGATCTCAGAGAGCATTCCTGAACTCACCTAGGGCCTGGGGGATCTCATTGCCCTGAAGGGAGGGACAAAAATCTGGCTGGCTTTGCCACCTGCTGATTGTAGAGTACTAGGGCCTTGAATGAACATAGGTGGTAGCCAGGTAGTGGTTACAGTGGGCCTTGGGCAGGACCTGGTGTTGTGCTGGCTTCAGGTCTGAACCAGCATTGTCCCAGTGGTGGTGGTCACAAGGATATGTGTGTCCCTATACCCTCAGTTCCAGGTGGCTCAGCATAGAGAAAGAGATTCAGTTTGTTTGGGGGAAAGTAAGGGGAAAATAATAAGAGTCTCTGCCTAGTAATCCAGACAATTCTTCCAGATCTTGTCCAAGACCACCAAGGTGGTACCTTTATGAGTCTGCAAGAACCACAGTGTTTTTGGGCTTGGGGCCTAAGTCCCTTTGAATACCTGGAAAGTCTTTCCAACATGGAGGGGCACAAACAAGCCCAGACTGTGAAGACTACAATAAATACCTAATTCTTTAGTGCCCAGACACCAGTAAACATCTACAAGCATCAAGAGCATCCAGGAAAAA
This sequence comes from Homo sapiens, assembly GCF_000001405.40. Taxonomy (NCBI): domain Eukaryota; kingdom Metazoa; phylum Chordata; class Mammalia; order Primates; family Hominidae; genus Homo; species Homo sapiens. The sequence goes on from NC_000020.11 coordinate 14,107,028, forward strand.
ATGACCTCACCCAATGAACTTAAATAAGGTAGTAGGGACCAATCCTGGAGAAACAGAGATATGTGACCTTTCAGACAGACAAATCAAAATAGCTGTGTTGAGGAAACTCAAATTCAAGTTAACACAGAGAAGGAATTCAAAATTCTATCAGAGAAATTTAACAAAGAGATTGAAATTATTAAGAATGCAGTAGAAATTCTAGAGTTGAAAAATGCAAGCAACATATTGAAGAATTCATCAGAGTCTCTTCTTAATAGCAGAATTGATCCAGCAGAAGAAAGAATTAATGAGCTCAAAGACAGGCTATTAAAATACACAGTCAGAAGAAACAAAAGAAAAAAGTATAGAAAAGAATGAAGCATGCCTACACGATCTAGAAAATAGCCTCAAAAGGGCAAATCTAAGAGTATTGGCCATGAAGAGGAGATAGAGAAAGAGATGGGGTAGAAAGTGTATTCAAAGGAACAATATCAGAGAATTCCCCAAACCTAGAGAAAGATATCAATATTTCAGTACAACAAGGCAGATATAACAAAAAAGACTACCTCAAGGCATTTAATAACCAAACTCCCCAAAGTCAAAGATAGGGAAAGGATCCTAAAAGCAGAAAGAGAAAAGAAACATATAACATAAAATGGCACTTCAGTACATCTGGCAGCACCTCTTTCAGTGGAAACCCTGCATGCCAGGAGAGAATGGTATGACATATTTCAAATCTGATGGAAAAAACCCCTTTGCCCTAGAATATTATGTCTGGAAAAAATATCCTTCAAGCATGAAGGAGAAAGAAAGACCTTCCCAGAGAAAGAGGGATTTTATCAACACCAGAATTGACCTACAAGAAATCCTAAAGGGAGTTCTTCAGTCTGAAATAAAAGAACATTAATAACAATAATAAATTATCTGAAGGTACAAAATTCACTGGTAATAGCGCACAGAAAAACAGAATATTATAACACTGTAATTGTGGTGTATAAACTACTCAAGTACAAAGACTAAATTAACCAATCAAAAATAAGTACAACAGCTTTTCAAGATATAGACAGTACAATAAGACACAAAGAGGAACAACAAAAAGTTAAAAAGTGGGGGATGAAGTTAAGGTACATGGTAGTTATTAGTTTTTTTTTCTTGTTTATGCAATCAGTGTTGTCATCAGTTTAAAATATTGGGTTATAAGATAATGTTTGCACGCCTCACGGTAACTTCAAATTGAAAAACATACAATGGATACACAAAAAATAAAAAGCAAGAAATTAAATCATGCTATCAGATAAAATCACTTTCACTAAGAGGAAGACAGGAAGGGAAGAAAGAAGGAAGAGATCACAAAGCAACCAGAAAACAAATAACAAAATGGCAGGAGTAAATCCTTACCTATCAATAATAACATTGAATGTAAATGGACTTAAGTCTCCAATCAAAAGACATAAAGTGGCTAAGTGGATAAAAAAAAAAAAAAAGCTAGACCCAATGTCTGTTGCCTACAAGAAGCACATTTCACCTATCAAGACACACATAGACTAAAAATAAAGGGAGGGAAAAGATATTCCATGTCAATGGAAAGCAAAAAAGAGTAGGAGTAGCTATACTTGTATCAGACAAAATAGATTTCAAGACAAAAGCTGTAAGATAAAGAAGGTCATTATATAATGATAAAGGGGCCAATTCAGCAAGAGGAGATAAGAATTTTAAACATATATGCACCCAATGCTGGAGCACCCAGATGTATACAGCAAATACTATTATTAGAGCTAAAGAGAGAGATATAACCCAATACAATAATAACTGGAGACTTCAACACCCCACTTTCAGCATTGGACAGATCTTTGAGATGGAAAATCAACAAAGAAACACTGGACTTAACCCGCACTATAGACCAAATGGACCTATTAGATATGTACACATCATTTTGTTCAACGTCTGCAGAATACACAGTCTTTTCCTCAGCACGTGGATCATTCTTAAGGATAGATCATGTGTTAGGTCACAAAACAAGTCTTAAAACATTCAAAGAAGTTGAAATAATATCAAGCATCTTCTCTGAACACAATGGAATAAAACTAGAAATCAACAACAAGAAGAATTTTGGAAACTATACAAACACATGGAAATTAAACAATATGCTCCTGAATGACCAGTGGGTCAGTGAAGAAATTAAGAATGAAATTGAAACATTTCTCAAAACACATGGTAACGGAGACAAAATGTACCAAAACCTATGGGGTATAAAGAAAGGGAAATTTATAGCTAAAAGTTCCTACATTAATAAAGAAGAAAAACTTCAAATAAATAACCTATTGATGCATGTTAAAGAAGTAGAAAACCAAGAGCAAATAAAACCCAAAATTAATAGAAGAAAGAAATAATAAAGATCAGAGCAGAAACAAATCAAATTGATATGAAGAAAACAATACAAAAGATCAATCAAATAAAAAGTTTGGTTTTTGAAAAGATAAATAAAATGAACCCATATTTAGCCAGACTAAGAAAGATAGAAGACCCAAATAAATAAAATCAGAGATGAAAAAGGAGACATTACAACGAATACTGCAAAAACTCAAAGGATCACTAGTAGCTACTATGAGCAATAGCATACTAATAAATTGGAAAATATAGTTGGAAATGGATATATTCATAGACACATACAACCTATGAAAATTGAACCATGAAGAAACCCAGAACCTGAACAGATCAATAACACATTATGAGATCAAGGCCACAATAAAAAGTCTCTCAGTAAAGAAAAGCCTGGGACCCAGTGGTTTCATTGTTGAATTCTACTAAACATTTAAAAAAGAATGAATACCAATCCTACTCAAACTCTTCTGAAAGTCATTCTGTAAGGCAAGTATTACCCTGATACCAAAATGAAAGACACATAAAAAAAACACCAAAAACACAAGTACAGGCCAATATCTCTGATGAATATTGATACAAAAATCCTTACTAAAGTACAAGCAAACTGAATTCAACAGTACATTAAAAAAACCATTTATCATGACCAAGTGGGATTTATCCCAGGGATGCAAGGATGGTTCAACACATGCAAATCAATCAGTGTGATGCATTATATCTATGGAATGAAAGACAAAAACCGTATGATCATTTAAATTGATGCTGAAACAGCATTTGATAAAATTCAATATTCCTTCACGTTTGTAAAAGATCTAAAAAAACTCGGTATAGAAGGAACGTATCTCAACATAATAAAAGCCATGTATGACAGAGCCACAGCTGGTATCACCCTAAATGGGGGAAAACTGAAAGCTTTTTTTTAAAGATCTGGAACATGACAAAAATGCCTACTTTCAACCACTGTTATTCAACATTGCATTGGGAATTCTAGCTAGAGCAATCAGACAAGAGAAACAAATAAAGGGCTTCCAAATTGGAAAGAAAGAAGTTAAATTATCTTTCTTTTCAGATGGTATGATCTTATATTTGGAAAAATCTAAAAGCTTCACCAAAAAACAAATAGAACTAATAAACAAATTCAGTAAAGTTGCAGGATACAAAATCAGCATAGAAAAATCAGTAGCATTTTTATATGCCAACAGTGAACAATCTGAAAAAGAAATAAAAAGGTAATCCCATTTACAATAGCTACAAATAAAATTAAATACCTAGGAATTAAAGAAGTAAACTATCTCTACAATGAAAACTATAAAACATTGATGCCAGAAATTGAAGATAACACACACACAAAATGGAAAGATATTCCACATTCATGGATTGGAAGAATCAATAATGTTAAAATATTCAACTACCCAAAGCAATCTATAGATTCAGTGCAGTCCCTATCAAAATACCAATGGCATTCTTCTTTACAGAAATAGAAAAATCAATCCTAAAATGTATATGGAACCACAAAAGACCCACAATAGCCAAAGCTATCCTGAACAACAGGAGCAAAAACTGGAAGAATCACTTTACCTGACTTAAATTATACTGCAGAGCTATAGTAACCAAAACAGCATGGTGCTGGCATAAAAACAGACACATAGACTAATGGAACAGAGAGTCTGGAAACAAATCCATACACCTACAGTGAACTAATTTTCAACAAAGGTGCCAAGAACATACATTGGGGAAAAGACAATCTCTTCAAAAATTGATGCTGGGAAAAACTGGATATCCATATGCAGAAGAATGAAACTAAACCTATATCTCATCATATACAAAAGTCAAACCAAAATGGATTAAAGACTTAAATCTGACTATGAAACTACTACAAGAAAACATTGGGGAAACTCTCCAGGATATTGGTCTGGGCAAAATTTTCCTGAGTAATACTTCACAAGCATAGGCAACCAAAGCAAACATGGACAAATGGGATCACATCAAGTTAAAAAGCTTCTGCACAGTAAATGAAACAACAAAGTGAAGAGACAGCCCACAGAATGGGTGAAGATATTTGCAAACTACCCATCTGACAAGGAATTAATAACCAGAATATGTAAGGAGCTCAAACAACTTTATAGGAAAAAAATATAATAATCCCATTAAAAATGGGCCAAAGATGTGAATAGACATTTCTCAAAAGAGGACACACAAATGTCAAACAGGCATATGAAAAGGTGTTCAGCATCACTGATCATCAGAGAAATACACATCAAAACTTCAATAAGATATCATCTCACCCCAGTTAAAATGGCTTATATCCAAAAGACAGGCAGTAACAAATGCTGGAGAGGATATGGAGAAAAGGGAACCTTTGTACACTGTTGATGGGAATGTAAGCTAGTACAATCACTGTGGAGAACAGTTTGGTTCCTCAAAAACCTAAAAATAGAGCTACCATCATCCAGCAATCCCACTGTTGGGTATATAACTGAAAGAAAGGAAATTGGTATATTGAAGAGATATCTGCACACGCATGTTTGTTGCAGCACTGTTCACAATAGCTAAGATTTGGAAGCAGCCTAAGTGCCCATCAGGAGATGAATGGATAAAGAAAATATGGTAGGTACATATATACACAATGGAGTACTGTTCAGCCATAAAAAAGAATGAGATCCAGTCATTTGTAACAACATGGATGGAACTGGAAATCGTTATATTAAATGAAATAAGTCAGGGACAGAAAGACAAACTTCACATATTCTCACTTGTGGGAGCTCAAAAAATCAAAACAATTGAATTCATGGAGATAGAGAGTAGAAGGATGGCTACTAGAGGCTGGGAAGGGTAGTGGGGGGTTGGAGGGTAAGTGGGGATGGTTAATGGGCACAAAAAATAGTTCAAAAGAATGAACAAGGGCTAGTTTTGATAGCACAACAGAGTGACTATAGTCAATAGTAATTTAGTGGCACATTTTAAAATAACTAAGAGTATAATTTGATTTTTTGTAACACAAAGGATAAATGCTTGAGGGGATGGATACCCCATTTTCCATGATGTGATTATTACACATTGCATTCCTGCATTAACATATTTCATGTACTCCATAAATGTATATACCTACTATGTACCCACAAAATTAAAAAATAAAATTGAAACATTTTTGATGTATAGTTTTATTAATTTTAGTTGAAAGAAATGTATGCTTTATTTGTTACATATACAGGTCAACTTAATTTCTAAATATTATTTTTTACTTTTTTATTTGTGACTTTTAAGCAGCTGCTACCTTTGTAGATTCTAAAAAATCTGGATGGTATTCATTTTCTCCTATTGTCTTAATATAATTGCACACATTTGGCCATTTTTTGACTTAATTTTTCTGGAAAAATGACATTTATTATTGAATTCCAGTCTTTAATTTACATAAAAATTAGGCACCAGAAAGAGTAGTGGAGTAAAATAGCTTATCAGTAGATAATAGACATCCTCATATTTTCATGAAATATAAATCTATACAACTTTAGGAGTTTCAGAGGAACTTACCGATTTATTAACTTTGCGTTGGGTGAATAGCTCTTTTATGATGTGAATTCTGTATCTTTAAAAAGGATACTTGATTAAGAACAGTATTCTTATTTGTAGCCCAAATTTGTGCCTTTTGAATAATAATGGTTTATTAAACTTGGTGTTGTGTAAAGGAAGATTTGGCCATTTTGATAAGGAAAGGTTGAGAATTATTTTTCAACATTCTTCTCTAGTTTACCTTTTTAGTTATAGAAGCACCCCATGTTTGGTTTACAATAAGAATAGAAATAAATATTTTATTTTTACATACTGTTAGTACAAAGGCAGCAGCTTTTTCACTACTCATTTTATTTTTGTAAATTTGAAGCAAATTTATGGCATGAAATTTCCCCAGCTTCTTTTGACCTTGAGGTGCAATATGATTTGCTTTGTGAAGTTTTAATTTTATGACACATCACATTTCTGTCATGTCCAAAATTAAACTTCAGGGTAGGTGTATATTTTTCTACACTGGGATTATGAACAGAATAAATTATCAGAGAATTATGTTTAAATGAATATATAAGTATAGGAATGTATAGGCTTAGCTACATCTCTCTACATAAATAGCTTGTTAGTGTGCAATCAGTCACTGGAGTTGCCATGAACTTGGAGCTTAATGAACAGGTGGAGAAAGAGGATGAATTCCAGTTCAAAATGGATCTGACAGCTTATCAGGCAATTTCACTGATCGCTAATCCAGTTCGTTTGGCAACTTAATTTATCACACAGTTAGAATTCTCATCCCGTGGGTTTCCAGGTGGAAATTAATTCTGGAACATGTCCATTACCACTGGGTTGAAGAGACCTGCTTAAGCTTTGTGAGGAAATTTAGAAATAAATTATTTTAAATGCATAAGCCAGATTTCTCTTATGATTCCCTTTGTGTTTATCCAATTCCTTCTTAAAATATTTGGATGCTGCTAGCATTTGATGGTATGCCCATGGAGGTGAACTAAGGTTTATTTATTCATTAATATTTATAAATTAAATGGAAGAAATTGTTAATCCTAATTAATTAGTGAAATAACTACTATAATAGATAATCCTGTGAATATAATTCTATCTTTAGGTATAGAAAAATTGCTGATCTCGAACATGTTTTAAGCATTTCATAGCAACAAATAATGAACAGAAGAAATTATTTCCTTAAAGCTCACAAATCTATGTCTTCTGAGTACTTACAAATTCTCTAATTAGTCTGATTTACAGCCCATTATTTTATGTAAAAGTATCTGCTAAAGCAATTTCCTTGACAATAAGGAAGAAATGCGACTTGCCTCTCACAGCTCACATTCTGACTCTGTTTGGAATTCCCAAGGATGAGTCTAATTAAATGGGCTTGGCTTAGGACCTGGCTGTAGCTTAAAATACCTTCAAAACCAGAAACACATTTTCTCCACTTTTTAAAGACTTGATTTATAGTGCATAGAAAGTTAAATTGAATATTGATCCTTGAAAAGCAAATGTGTCCTGTAAAAAATGACAACAAAAGAATACAATAAAAGATGACAGAGTGATTGATTGTCCAAAGCCTATAGATAGTAGCCTCCCCCTTTTATGTCATCTTCTCTAGGCATCTGTAGCTCTGAGAGGGTGATAGGGATGAAGTGTTAGAGGAGGATTAGTTGCACCCTGACATGAACTGTTACATTTTATAAGAAGATTGAGGAAGGTGGTAACAAATTATTTCTAAGAAGGAATTTTGAGAAACGAGGAACGGGGCACAAGATCAGTAAGACCTATGATATAACTCCAGGAAGGGACACGACGGAATTTCTTATAATTTCTCAAACTCTGAAGCATCTTCAAAAAGAATTTAAGTCAGTGAAAAATAATTGAGATGATAGAAAACTACAAACTGGCGTAACAGTGTCATTGATTGGATATGTCAGGAAAATTGTGCCTATCATTCTTATGACCAGGCTTATTAAAGTAATATCTTCATAATCTAGAGGGGCTCAGTGTTGGATCATCCTGGCATCCTTCTCAAATCCCTTTTCTGAGTCCTTGGCATTTTTCCCTGGAGCATATTGCAGACCTACAACCTTGTCATTTCAGAAACTGTCCTTTCATTTTTACCTTTGAAGGGAAATGGTTACTGAGTCCAGTACTAGCCCTTGGGAATCAAGCCAAAAGAAAAAAATGGTAGGGCATTGTTTGATTTTCTCCTCCTTTCCTACAAGAGCAGTGGTTGCGTCAAAGGTTCAGTGGGTATTGGAATCACCAAGAAGGAGATAATGATGATGATAAAGCACAGTGGATCAATTCGGGGTTTTCCTCCTTTTTTTAAAATGTTTTTCCTATTACCATCACTGTCACTGTGATGATGATAATGGTAATAGGAAAAATATATAAAACAAAATGGGGAAAACCGTAAATAGACCCAGTGTGCTTTATAACATTTCTGATTTACTATTTATTACTCCTCATTATTTAATAAAGTGTCCCATGTACTATGCAAATGGCAGACAGTAAAACCCCCACCATGCTGTTTAGTGAAATGTGAGGATCATGTATAAAAAATCCTCAAGCTAGACTTAGGTTGGATGAAGAAGACAGTGAGAAATCTTGTCTTTTTAGGTTAGGCTTTCTTGTTTTTCCTTTGTTTAACTTTTGTTTCTTCAAATGGCTTGCAGCTTGGAAGAGACAACTTTTGGTCTAAAAACTATTTTGGTTGCGGACAGAGGCAGTATCATTGAAAAAACAGTGTGTTCACCAATTAGAAGTTCATATTGCTTTTAATTCTGCTTCCAACAGTTTTGGGACTTGAAGAGTGAAATTGAGATTTGTGTATTTTTTCTTCAGTGCTGCATAAATGGCCATTTATGGTAAAACCTGAGAATAAAGGAAGACCAAAAAAAGCAAAATAAAATAAGACAGAAATACACAAATTATAGTGATTCTGATTTTTCCTTATGAAACTTGAGATCCAGTAAGTAAACTTCGGTTGGAATTATTGGGCATTCAAACATTATCATTCACATAAGAAAAAGGCTCCCTGTCAGTAAGCCGAGATATTAGATGTGTAAATATAATGAGCCATTTGTGGAGACACCGACCAGATTGCCCTGCATTGTGATAGAATTGATGTAATTTGAGTATCAGATGGGGCTGATTGGTGAATCTTGAGAAGACAGTTACTTGACAGCAATGATAGATTTTGACCCTGTTGTAACTGGTATACTTGAGGTAGGAAGCAATTCTACTCATTCTGTCAAACGGAGGCCTCCACTCATAAAGTGAACTATTATTTAGAGGATCTTGTCTTCTTGGCTATTATTAAAATGCAATTTTTGTCTAATCAGCTGTTATTAAAACGCAATTACCAAATAATATATTCTTCTCACTATGGTGATTTGACAGATCAAAAGCTTTCTGAGGGCAGAGACTGCGTTATCCGTTTACGTATCTCCAATGCTTTGTATCATGTCTGGCCCATTGTTAGTACTCAAAAAGTGTTTGCGGAATTAATGAATGGTTGAGTAAGTTGCTTCCTATAATCAAGACTTTTAGTTAGAATGGTGGTAAATTTAGACTTAGAGGATTTTGTACTTTGTATCAGTGGGGCTGCCCTAACTGGTGGATTTATTTTTTAATGCAATTTTTTTCTTTTTATTTAAAATTTCTTTGGAAGCACAGATGATATTATAAACATAATAATGTAAATAAAGTAAGAAGAAATAAATTACTGATTACTCCACCTTCCAGCAGACTGTGTTGATTTTTTCCTGTTCATCTCTATGCATTTATATACTTTTTTGTTTGCATTTTTATGACTTAGAACCCAGATTTGATGTGTTATACTGAGTTTTCTACTTAATATTAACATTTTTAATATAGTATTTAGGCCAGGCACAGTGACTCATGCCTGTAATCCCAGCACTTTGGGAGGCCGAGGCAGTTGGATCACGAGGTCAAGAGATCAAGACCATCCTGGGCAACATGGTGAAACCCCGTCTCTACTAAAAATACAAAAATTAGCCAGTTGTGGTGGCATGCACCTGTAGTCCCAGGTACTTGGGAGGCTGAGGCAGGAGAATCGCTTGAACCCGGGAGGCAGAGGTTGCAGTGAGCCGAGATCGTGCCACTGCACTCCAGCCTGGCGACAGAACAAGACTCCATCTCAAAAAAAAAAAAAAAAAATGTACAGCTTCTAATTTTACATGGCTACATAGTATATTCTTTACTTTGTATTCCCCCTCAACAATATTCTATTTCCCTATCGCTTTATCTTTCTATTGAATTCCTACTCAGCTTTCAAGGTCCCATTTAACTTTGCAACAGTCTTCCAATTTCTGTTGACTCTTATGATCCTTGTACTTTACGTACAGTGACTATAGAACTTTTGATACTTTAACTTTTTTCTTTTTATGAAAATTATGAGAAATAAGGTACATCAGAGCATGGATTACACAACTCTGTGTCCTGATGCCTAACTCAATGTTGGTCATGTAGTTGGCCCTCGACAAATACTTGCAGATAACATTCTAAGGTCTGGGAATAGAGGGATAAATGAGATATGGTTTCTGGATTTTATGCTCAAAGTATATTGGTAGGCAGGTAGGCAGATATCATGTAGAAACTGACCTTCTAGAGTTGTTTATATGGTGCTAGGAAAACCGAGAGGAGGCCAGTATATTCACAGCATAGCTTTTTCTTCTTAATAATCTTTTTTCCTCTACTTTCAGGAATGGTATGTGTAGGCTAAGGAGTTCTCACATTTTCATGACTCTTCATTTCCTTTGGAAATTATTTTCTAAAAGATTCCATTTCCTCATGTTTGCTTTTCTCATGCCTTGTTTGCCCATGTCACTTGCTCTTTTTCATTTGGTATCTTGAAATATAGTTTTTCACCACATTATATAATCTTCCTACATAATTGCAGCAGGCAAAGTTCTAAGATGTTCCTCAAGATTCTCCATACTTCCCCCACCAGGATACAGGCCCTGAGTAATCCCTGGGGCTATAAATTTGATGGATTTTACTTCCATGACTAGGTTATATAATATAGCACATTTAAGAAAGGAAGATTATCAGGATGGGTCTGACTCACCGTAGTCATGATTATGACTACATTAATCCTTTGAAAGTACAGTTTTCTCTGTACTTCTGGTCTACAAACATGTGAGCTAATAAATGAATATTGTTTTAAGCTGTCGAGTTTGTGGCAATTTGTTATACAGCAATAAAAGTGAATACAATAGTATATTAACCATTTGTGGTATTTGCTACATATATATTTTTTAGTTTATCTTGCTATAAGTTTTGTTTGTACAAAACTCGGCTTCTTCATATAATTGCATCTACTGAAGATTTGTTTCTTTATGATTTCTAGTATTTCTTCAAAGTTTAGAAGGCATTAAACAGGGTATTGTTGGTAGGACGCACAGAGGATTTGAGTCTGAGTGTCAAATAATTAATTTGATTAGACTCTGCCACTGGCATTCTTTTGCATAATAATTTATAAACTTTCAACCTGAACATTGACTTTCTCCATTGCTACTTAGCTGAGGAGAAATACGAATTCTCCTTTGGAAAAGTTTGGGGATTTCTAGAACACTAAACCATTCTTTTTGATGATTGAATGGAACTTTCAAATCTTATATTTCAACACGAATGGGGATCTCACAATGGAAGGCAGCTCCCTAGAACTATGCTGTTAGCCCTTTCCTTCACCATAATACTTGGCAAGAGACAACTTACACAGACTTTTCATTTTTATTCTACCCTTCTTCCAAATTCTCTGGATGGTCTAGCCTGTATTGCCTGTTGTTTTCAGTGTTGTTCTGATCTCAAATGGGCTTCCACAAGTGGCTAGAAGGGATTAGTTTTCATATTTCTTCCATTAGTTCAGTATTGAACTAAAAAGCATGGTTATAAATGACAACTTTAGTGACTGTGATTTTTTTTTTTTTTTTTTTTTTAGACAGAGTCTGACTCTCTTACCCAGATTGGAGTGCAATGGCGCGATCTCAGCTCACTGCCACCTCTGCCTCCCAGGTTCAAGCAATTCTCCTGCCTCAGCCTCCTGAGTAGCTGGGACTACAGGCACCCGCCACCATGCTTGGCTAATTTTTGTATTTTTTTAGTAGAGAAGGGATTTCACCATGTTGGCCAGGCTGGTCTCGAACTCCTGACCTCAAGTGATCCACCTGCCTCAGCCTCCCAAAGTGCTGGGATTACAGGCGTGAGCCACCGCGCCTGGCCAAATGACTGTGATTTTTTTTTTTTTTTTTTTTTTTTTGAGATGAAGTTTCACTCTTGTTACCTGGGCCGGAGTTCAGTAATGCGATCTTGGCTCACTGCAACCTCCGCCTCCTGGGTTCAAGTGATTCTCTTGCCTCAGCCTCCCAAGTAGCTGGGATTACCGGCGCCTGCCACCACACCTGGCTAATTTTTTATATTTTTAGTAGAGATAGGGTTTCACCCCATTGGCCAGGCTGGTCTCAAACTCCTGACCTTCAGGTGATCCACCTACCTCAGCCTCCCAAAGTGCTGGGATTATAGGCATGAGCCATCGCACCTGGCCATGACTGGATTTTTAACACCCATCCACATTATTGGTCACTGTTGGTGCTTCAAGTGTTTCTGTAACATTCCTGGATTGACACTAAAAAAAATCCTAAACAAGAGAATTGTTACTATTATGGATACATTTGTTCTTTCAACTTACAAATATTAAGGACCTACTGTCTGCTAGCTCTGCAGGCCTCGCCATTTTTTGCCTTTTCCATTTGACACTTATATGTCAAATAGCCTGTGCTAAGAAAGTCCTTAATGCTACAAAGGAAAGTAAATGTACTTATATTTGTTGCCTGACTTAACAGGAATATATAGGCAAAAGCTAGTAGTTATGCTGAATTTAAGACAGTATGTTTGGTCTAATATCCAGAATTCACAAGGAACTTAAATTTATAAGAAAAAAAATGAACAACCCCATCTAGGCAAAGGATATGAACAGACACTTCTCGAAAGAAGACATTTAAGGCCAGGCACGGTGGCTCACGCCTGTAATCCCAGCAATTTGGGAGTCCGAGGTGGGTGGATCACTTGAAGTCGGGAGTTTAAGACCAGCCTGGGCAACATGGTGAAACCCCTTCTGTACTAAAAAAAATACAAAAAATTAGCCAGGTGTGGTGGTGAGCACCTGTAATCCTAGCTACTCGGGAGGCTGAGGCAAGGGAATTGCTTGAACCCAGGAGGCAAAGGTTGCAGTGAGCTGAGATCATGCCACTGCACTCTAGCCTGGGTGACAAGAGTGAGACTCCGTCTCAAAAAAAAAAAAAAAAAAAAAGAAGAAGACATTTATGTGGCCAAAAAACACATGATAAAAAGCTCAGCATCACTGATCATCAGAAATGCACAACAAAACCACACTGGGAGACCATCTCACACCAGTCAGAATGGTGATTATTAAAAAGTCAGGAAACAAAAGATGCTGGCAAGGCTGTGGAGAGATAGGAACACTTTTAATCTGTTAGTGGGAATGTAAATTAGTTCAACCATTGTGGAAGACAGTATGGTTATTCCACAAGGATCTAGAACCAGAAATACCATTTGACCCAGCAATCCCATTACTAGGTATATAACCAAAGGAATGTAAATCATTCTACTATAAAGACACATGCATGTGTATGTTTATTGCAGCACTATTTACAATAGCAAAGACATGGAACCAACCCAAATGACCATCAATGATAGACTAGATAAAGAAAATGTGATATATATATATATCACATGTATTATATATATATATATAATGGAATACATGAAATCAGAACACCATGGAATAAAAATGAATGAGATCACATTCTTTGCAGGGACATGTATGAATCTGGAAGGCATCATCCTTAGCAAACTAACACAGGAACAGAAAACCAAACACCACATGTTCTCACTCATAATGAGTTGAACAATGAGAACACATGGCCACCGAGAGGGGAACAACACACACCAGGGCCTGTTATGGGTGGGGGGTGAGGGGAGGGAACTTAGAGGATGGGTCAATAGGTGCGACAAACCATCATTACACATGTATACCTATGTAACAAACCTGCACGTTCTGTACAGGTACCATTTTTTTTTAGAAGGAAAAAACAGTATTTTTATTTTTATAATGTAAGTGTGTGATAATTTGTTTAAATCTAATATTGTTTCTATTAGCTTAAGTTAAGCATTGAGACAAAAATTGGAAGCATGGAAATGAGAAAACTCTAGTAACGATTCTGTCAGGGGTGCATAGTCATTGTGTATAGATTAGGAGGTAGAAAGTGATCCCGTCTTATGATTTTAAAGTTTGAAAGGAACTGAAGGATAATCCAGGCCAAATGCTTCATGTCATAGATGGGGAAACAGAGTCCTAGAGAGAGGAAATAACGTACTCAAGGACGTGGAGGTCCTATGTGGCAGAACCATGCGTAGGACCCTATTTCCTGTTACTCACTTCTTTTCCTTTCCTTGATTTGGGTTGCTTTGTTACTGGTACTTAATAATTCGGTAGAAACTTGACATGTACTTCATGATATTAAATTGATATTGTAGGTTGGACTCTGGAGGGGTTTTAGGACTCCTTGTCTTTTCTGTGGGATTGAAACAATATGGTTTCTATTAAAATATTCAGTGACCCTTCTATCTTTTGAAGTATTTGGTTAGATGAAATGTGGATAGTAACCAAAACCTCTATAAGTAGTATTATACTTTGGTCTGATTGAATTACTGAGCAGTTTTGTATTATTCTTGTTGAGTATTTTTGGTTTGTTGGTTTGAAAAAGGAAACAGTTCTACAGATGTGTTTTTTTCTAGTAACTTCTGACTGCTTTTCTATTGATCTCCTTTTTACGTCAAATAATAAAGCTAAAAGAAGCTTTGTTATGTCTTTTAACAAAATATTGATCTTTTATTGGTATGAAAACATCTTGGTTGTTAAATTGCTTCATTAATTTTATACCTCTTTTATATTGAAGTCTGTAATTGTTTGGTGTAAGAGTTACTCCAGTTACTGCTTGTTTTAAAATTGATTTTCCTTTTAATTTAGAGACATAAATGAATCATTTTTTCCCCTTTAATTTCTTCCTGCTATATAAAAGACATTAAAACTTTTTTAGGCTATCAATAATATTACATAGGTCTTTTTGGATAATACAGTCCTATGTTGTTGGTGAAGGTTCTAAACCTGCTAGTCTTGCCTAGTTTCAGATATTGTCTGGTAAAATAACATCACTATATTATGCATGCAGCTACTCCAATACATATGGAATTCAGGAAACTTGGATTTGAATTGTCTCTCTTTTAGTTATTATCTGTGGCAAGTCACTTAGCTCCTCTCAGTATCTCTGTTTCCTCATCTTTTAAGTGGAGACAATAAGATTTTTAGAGTCCTTGTATGGACTAAGTAAGATAAAGCATGCATCCCTGGCACATTGTCAATGCTCATAAATAGTAGCTGTAAAAATACTGCACCTAGGGTAAACTATAGAACAGTATATTTATTCTGAAACATTATTCCTGTTAGCTATTATTTAATTCACCCAGCTTACTTTCCTCATCAGTTAATCTGTAACCCTTTTCTCCTTATATAAAAGACTTGGAATTATTTCATTGAGGGAGGTCAATAAGAAGATTCCCAAGGAGGATCTGATTAAAGAGTATCTATTTTCCCCATGATAAGATCAATAATTCCTTCTCAAGGGGGTGTCAGAACGAATATTTGAAAATTACCTTCCAACAAACTCTTTCTTTGCTTCTGGGAATAGTACATATTTGGAAAGGAGACAATAAATAGATGGGCAGTATCTTGTGCAGGAGTTCTGAACAACTATAGAATGCTTCCATCTGTTCACTTTTCAGTTTTGTTCTCCTTGACTTTCCTATCTTAGACTCCTGAGGTTGTTAGATGCACCCCTCTCATCCACACAGTGACTGTGTCTATCTATCTGGCCCATAAAACTCCTTTCCAGTATGTGAGAAATACATCCGTTATACAGGATTAGAGACAGTGGCATCGTCTTCCACACTGTAGTTTAACTCAGGCCTGGCACCAAACTAGTGTTTTTTGATGAGGTTGTTATCAGGCAAGAGAATGAAGCTAGTTCTGTAGTATGGTACCACAGAGAAATTAGCCTGTTTCATGAACAAATGCAGATAATAGGGTACATAATTTTTAGTACTTGAAGCATAGCCATGAGTGTAATCTGATTGTCGGAAAGTATACAATTCTTAACCTATGGCCCTTATTTTAACCAAACATAGTCTGAATGTTACAAAACTTTAAATTATTTATAGAAATAAAGTCATTTTATCATTGATTATCTGAAGCTCCTGTTTTTGTCCTTGATAAATCATATAGGACCTTTAGTTACCTCTCCAATTTGCACTCTCTCTGTATTTCTGGACATATCAACAAACTATTTCTCAGCTGCTATGTGGCATTGGTCATACTGTTTCTCTCCTACCCAAATGCTCCTTGCTGAAGGAGCCTCACCTTCATCAGCACTGCAGCATCCATGGTAAAGATGTAGGGAAGACAACTAAGACCCCAGCTCCATGCTTCACCTGGTCACCTAGGCCCTTTGAAGAAATCTTGCAGTGCGGCATACCATTAGTCTCCCTTGGACAAGAAAATATAAAGTCCTGCCTCCCTAGATACCAGCCTACCTAACGAAGCCTTCTAAAATAGTGGGCTTTAGAAAATCAAATCTCGTATCTGAAGATAGTGGTAATCATCAATGTTTCAGAAAGGTAGCATTTCTGGCCCTTGAGTGCACTTATAAAGGTTGATGAATGTCAGTGGTTTCTGGCAGGTTTAATGCTTAGGCAAGGGAAGGAAGGGAGGAATCAAGGAAGAATAGGAAATAGTGAAGAGAGTAAGTAAACAGTGGGGAAATAAAAATATGTCTGTGATCAGCAGTGGTAAAATTCCCCTGAAATTTGTTAGAGATACAACTTAGTAGTTGCCTGAAGATGCTTATCTTTCCCTAGTGGTATTTAAAATCTCTCTCTCCTGCCACTAGCATTTTAGTTCTTTCTTTCTTCTTTCATGTATGTTTAATTTTTGAAAATAATTGGAGATTTATGGTAGTATCAGTGGTATTTTTTCCATTTTTTTTCTCTTGAACTATGTTTTCTTTGCTCCAAAAAGCAAATGGCAGTCTTCAAAGGACGATTTGTTTCTATTTGTATAAATTGAGTATAAGCTGCATCCAATTCCTAGTGCATGCATAAAACTCTTTTTGAGGAAATGTGACCAATATATAACATTTTATTGAATGTTTCTTGAAATTGGTGTCAAACTGTTTTTTATTTCATTTCTTTTGGGATGCCTAATTGAATTGAAACTTCATTATTTCATTCCATGGCTTAGGCCACCTTTAGAGGGAATATACCATGTGAGCTCCTACTTACCCATTAAGACCAGATATCCACTAGGGACTTAATAGGCTAATGTGTTCCTCTTTCACCTCCTATGTCCTAAATTTAGCATTAGCTAAATTGACTAATTAAAATAACCCTAGCCTTATTCCTCTTCCTAGTGGATATTGTTTTATTTAAACATTTCATCACAGAACTTGGTACAATTGTTAGGCACTTCTTACATGATCCTGGAACTGAAATGTCAGATGCGTGTAGGGTATTATAACCTAACCAACCATAATGAGATACCAGGATGGCTATGATTAAAAATAAAGGAAGTGGTGAGAATGGAATAAAAAGTGCTGCAGAGGATGTTGAGAAATTGGAACACTCAAACATGGCTGGTAGGAATGTAAAATGGTGGAGCCACTGTAGAAAACATTTTGGGGATTCCTCAAAAAGTTAAATATAAACTTAACCGTGGAATGACCCAGCCATTCCACTCCTAGGTATAATGCCCAAGAGAATTAAAAACATATGTTTTCGCAAGAACTTTCACATGAATGTCCATAGCAGCATTTTTTGTCATAGCCCAAAAGTGGAAACAACTCAAATGTTCATCTTCTGACGAATGGATACACAAAATGTGGTCTATCCATACAATGAAATATTATTGAGCTATAGAAGGGAATGAAATACTAAGATATGCTACAATGTAGATGAATCTCAAAAACATTGTTCTGAGTGAAAGAAGCCAGACACAAAAGGTTACATATTGTAGGCTTTCATTTATATGAACTATCCAGAATAGATAATGGAGGCAGAAAGCAAAATGGTAGTAGCCAGGGGATGACAGAAGGAGGGGATAGGGAGTGACTGTTTAATGGATATGAGATTTAATGGATCTGAGATGAAATGTCTTGAAACTAGATAAAGGTGGTGGTTGCACAACATTTTGAATGTTCTACATACAACTAGATTTCACTTACACTTTCAAAAGGTTAACTTTATGTTATATAAGTTTTACCTCAGTAAAAAATAAGCAAACTCACAGAATTTAGAGTGAAATTCTAAAATCTTGACAGCCACTTGCTCCCTTCATTTTTTCGGGACTAATCTTGTATAATTTCAGGCTTAGGCTACCTTGTTGGGGTAAGATCAGTTTTAAAATTCATAATGCTTTTTTTCTAAAACAAAGTGTTCAGTAAAGATAAACAAAAAGAAAAATTAGAATCACCATAATTGTACCACTCAGAACAATTCTTAATATTTTTGTATGTGTATTTCCTGTGTTTTTTCCAGTGTGTAATATATGTACACATACTCTATACATGCATGTACATATTTGTGAAATAGGGTCATTTTGCATATAGTGTTTATAACATACTTTTATCATTTAATGATGCATTAGAAAATTATTTGGTCTATTTTCTATAGTTTCACAAGTATACAGCATAACTCTTTTAAAATATGTCTTCAGAAAAAAAAATAGCAGCAAAATAGGGTAAAGATCATGTTTCATTTGTTTTTGAATCCCTGGAGTTGTTCAAAAGAAATAGCCACTTTATTGGATTGGGTTGGACTGGATTGGATTAGATTGA
Source organism: Homo sapiens (assembly GCF_000001405.40). Taxonomy (NCBI): domain Eukaryota; kingdom Metazoa; phylum Chordata; class Mammalia; order Primates; family Hominidae; genus Homo; species Homo sapiens. The sequence continues at coordinate 14,125,891 of NC_000020.11, forward strand.
ATTAAACTAGAATAACTTCTAGAAACCAATGAAGAACTTCTGAAATATTCAACATCTTGTTTTGTTATAATACTCTCTTAGCTTCATTTTAGTTGGTGACTTGATATACCCCTTTTTCCCTTCAGGGTGTCAGGATTGTAGAAGCCTGAGTGTTACGTGAAGCAAATGTCCCCATGTATTCTGTTTTAGTTTACTATAGCTGCCACAACAAAATACCATAGATGGGGTGACTTAAAAAGAAAACTTTATTTTCTCACAGTTCTGAAGGGTGGCAGTCCAAGATCAGACCAGCAGGTTTAGTTTCTCCTGAGGTCTTTCTCCTTGGCTTGCAGATGGCTGCCCTCTTGCTATGGCATCACATGTCCTTTTCTCTGTGCATGCGCTTCCCTGGTGTCTGTATGTTCTCATCTCTACTTTTTATAAGGACATCAGTCAAATTGGATCAGGGCCCACCCTAATGGCGTCATTTTAACTTAATTACATCTTTAAAAGCCCTATACAAATAAAATAAACACATTCTAAGGTAATGGGGGTTAGGGATTCAACATATGAATTTTGGGGGTCCATGTAGGCATACCTCATTTATTGTACTTTGCTTTATTGCGTTCCATAGTGTGGGTGTGTGTTTGTTAATTTTTTAAAGCAAATTAAAGGTTTGTGGTAACCCTGTGCTGAGCAAATCTGTTGGCACTGTTTTTTCCAATAGCATAGGCACTTTGTGTCTCCATGTCAAATTTTGGTAATTGTAATATTTAAAAGTTTTCATTAAAAATTTAAAACATTTTCAATTATTATGGGCACATAATAGTTGTGTATATTTCTTTTTCATTATTATTATATCTGTTACAGTGACCTGTGACAATTGGTCTTTGATGTTACCATTGTAACTGTTTTGGGGTACCACCAACCGCACCCATAGAAGACAGTGAACTTAATCTATAAATGTGTGTGTTCTGACTGCTCCATCAACTGGCTGATCCCCAGCCTCTTTCCCTGTCCTCAGGGCTGCTTATTCTTTGAGAAACAACAGTATTGAAATTAGGCCAATTAATAACCCTGCAGTGGCCTCTAAGTGTTCAAGTGAAAGGAAGAGTCACATGTCTCTCACTTTCAATCAAAAGCTGGAAATGATTAAACATAGCGAGGAAGACATGTCAAAAGGCAAGAGGCCAAAAATGAGGCCTCTTGCTCCAGTTGGGAGAGTTATGAATGCAAATGAAAAGTTCCTGAAGGAAATTAAAAGTGCTACTCCAGTGAACACATGAATAGTAAGGAAGTGAAACAGCCTTGCTGCTGATATAGAGAACGTTTTATTGGTCTGGATAGATGATCAAATCAGCCACAATATTCCCTTATGCCATAGCCTAATTGTAAGGCCCTAACTCTCTTCAATACTGTGAAGGCCAAGAGAGGTGAGGAAACTCCATAAGAAAAGTTTGGGCCATAGTGTGCAGGTAGCTGTCCCTACTTGCTTCTTGCTGAGGCTGCCTCAGAACCCCTTTCCACTGCTTCATGATTTTCTGTTGTCTCTTGGCAAAAATGGCAAATAATGATGCTGTTCTGAAGAGGCTGGAGCAGAAGGAGGCAGAGGTGGGTCAAATCATTGAATATCTTAAGCAGCAAGTTGCTCTACTTAAGGAGAAAGCCATTTTTGCAGGCAATTTTGAGGGAAGAGAAGAAACTTTGAGTAGGAAACTGAAGGAAGAAGTTGAATTGAAACAAGAGCTAATTCAGACAGAAATTCAAAACAGAATGAAGCAAATACCATTTCCATCTGGTATTCCACTGCATGCTAATTATGTGGTTTCTGAACGTGATACAATCTACACCAGTAACAACCACATCTTCTGGTATCAAAGAACAGATAAAAGGAGGAGCAGGAGAAGAAGAGAAAGCAAAAGAGAAAATTGAAGAGAAAGGAGAGAAGGAGAAAAAACAGCAATCAATAGCAGGAAGCACCAACTCTAAGCCAATAAATGTTTCCCAACTAGATCTTTGAATTGGTTGCATCATAAATGTCAGAAAACACCCTGATGCAGATTCTTTGTATGTAGAAGACGTAGTTGTTGGGGAAATAGTCCCAAGAACAGTTGTCAGTGGTCTGGAGAATCATGTTCCTTTTGAACAGATGCAAAATCAGATGGTGATTTTACTTTGTAACCTGAAACCTACAATGATGAGGGGAGTATTATCTCAAGCAGTGGTCATGTGTGCTTGTTCACCAGAGAAGGTTGAAATCTTGGCCCTTCCTAATGGAGACAATTACTTTTGATGCTTTCCCTGGAGAGCCCAACAAGGAACCAAATCCTAAGAAGATTTGGGAGCAGATCCCACCTCATTTTTATACTATGATGAGTATGTGGCTATATACAAAGGAGCTCCCTTTGAGATGAAAGGGAAGGGAGGGTGTAGGGTTCAAACTATGAACAACAGTGGAATAAAATAAAACAAAATGCCTTCATTATGGAAATACATTGGAGAAAACCTTATAAAAAGGAATGTATTTGCCACTTGTACCTAAAAAAATAATAACAACAGCAAAGTTTGAGGCTACCAGAAGTTTATGAGGTTTAAGAAAAGAAGCTATGTCCATAACATAAAAGTGCAAGGTGAAGCTGCAAGTACTGATGTAGAAGCTTGAGGCAAGTTATCCAGAAGACCTAGGTAAGATAATTGATGAAGGTGGTTACAATAAACAACAGATTTTCAGTGTATATGAAACAGCCTTTTACTAGACGATGATACCATTTAAGACTTTCATAGCTAGAGAGAAGAAATCAATGCTTGGCTTAAAGTGTCAAAGGACAGGGTGACACTCTTGGTAGGGGTTAATGCAGCTGGTGACTCTAAGTTGAAGCCAGTGCTCATTCAACATTTACAAAATCCTAGGGCCCTTAATATTGATGCTGAATCTACTCTGCCTGTGTTCTATAAGCAGAATCACAATGCCTGGATGACAGCATATCAATTTGTGGCATGGCTTACTGAATATTTTAGGCCCACTTTTGAGACCAGCTGCTCAGAAAAAAAGATTCCTTTCAAAATATTACTTTTCATTGACATTGCAACTAGTTACCCAAAAATTCTGATGAAGATGTACAAAGAGCAGTCATGTTAACACAACATCAATTCTTCAGCCCATGCACCAAGGAATAATTTCAACTTTTAAGTTTTATTATCTAAGAAGTATATTTTATAAGGCTATAATTGCCATAGATAGTGTTTCCTTTGATGGATATGGACAAAGTAATTGAAAAGCTTCTAGAGAAAAAAGTAACCATTCTAGATGCCATTAAGAACACTTGTAATTCATGGAAGGAGGTCACAATATTAACACGAACAGAAATTTGGAAGAAGTTGATTCTAACCCTTGTGGATGACTTCGAGGTCCATCCAAGTTCAAGGCTTCAGTGGAGGAAGTCATAGCAGATATCGTGGAAATAGCAAGAATATTAGAATTAGAAGTGAAATTCTAAAGATGAACTGAATTATTTCAATCTTGCAATAAAACTTGAACTGATGAGGAATTGCTTCTTATGGATGAGCAAAGAAAGTAGTTTCTTGAGATGGAATCTAGTCCTGGTGAAGATGCTGTGAATATTGTTGAAATGACAACACAGAATTTGGAATATTACATAAACTTAGTTGATAAAGCAGAGCAGGGTTTGAGAGGATTGACTGCAAATTTGAAAGAAGTTCTACTCTGAGTAAAATGCTATTAAATAGCATGACATATTGTAGAGAAATCTTTCATGAAAAGAAGTAAATCGATGTTTTAAATTTCATTGTCTTATTTAAGAGATTACCACAGCAAAACCAATCTTTAGCAACCACTACCTTGATCGGTCAGTAGCCATCAACATCAAGCCACGACCTTCTACCAGCAAAAAAATTATGACTTGCTGAGGACTCAGATGATTGTTAGCATGTTTTGGCAATAAAGTATTTTTTAAAGTAAGTTATGTGCATTGTGTTTTTAGACATAATGTCATTGCACATTTAATAGACTACAGTTTAATATAAACATAATTTTATATGCACTGGGAAACCAAAAAATTTGTGTGACTCGCTTTATTGCAATATTTGTTTTATAAAAGTTGTCTGGAACTGAACCTGCCGTATCTTTGAGGTATGCCTGTAATTCGGTGTTCATAAAATATACCCAACTGAGGAAGACAATGTCATTGTGTCTACAAGAATCTTACCATGGGGACTCAGTTAAAGTGAGTCACCCAAATCTATCAAGAGGTAGATTTTCTTACATTTTTATGAATGGCTCTGATTAGCAGAGGAGAAAATTGATAAAAAATATGTGTGGCAAGAATAGTAGAAAAAATGTTGGACATTTTTTGTTTTTAAACCAAGAAAATATCTAGGCTGGGCACGGTGGCTCACACCTGTAATCCCAGCACTTTGGGAGGCCAAGGTGGGTGGATCACCTGAGGTCAGGAGTTCAAGACAAGCCTGGCCAAGATGGTGAAACCCCGTCTCTGCTAAAAATAGAAAAATTAGCCGAGCGTGATGGCGGGAGCCTGTAATCCCAGCTACTCGGGAGGCTGAGGCAGAGAATTGCTTGAACCCAGGAGGAGGTTGCAGTGAGTCGAGATCACGCCACTGCACTCCAGCCTAGGCAACAGAGTGAGACTCTGTCTCAAAAAAAAAGAAAGAAAGAAAAAGAAAATATCTACCGTTAGCATAGGAAAATTCATTATAGCAGCATATTCCCACTATTTTAATGGCCTGAAGAGAAATAGCACTATATTAGCAGTTCATAATTAACCCATAAGCAGGGCTTGTTGATCAGTATTTTTTGGGAAAAGAAGGCTTCACAGTCGGGATTTTTTGGTGCTAAACAGAAGATACTCCTTTCAAATAAAAGCAAATTGGGATAAATTTGTCATTTTTTGGAGATAAATTATGAACATTTTAGATTAGTAGAATCTTCCTAATGATGAATTCCATTTCAAGGACAAGTTTTGTTTAAATTTTATCTTCAAGATCTGTGAATATAGAAAATTTAAAATAATTGTGTTTTTTTTGTTTTTTTTTTTTTTTCTTGAGACAGGCTCTGTTGCCCAAGCCAGACTGAAGTAGCTCAATCATAGCTTACTGCAACCTTGGACTTTTGGGTTCCAGTGCTCTTCCTGCCTCTGCCTCCTGAATAGCTGGGACTGCAGGAACGTGCCACCACACCTGGCTAATTTTAAAAAATTTTTTAGTAGAGACAGAGTTGCCTGGGCTATGTTGCTCAGGTTATGGAAGATTTTTTAAAACCTGTTTTCATATTGGATAATGACTTCTTTAAATGTATACTCTTCACTTGAGCAGGGGATAAAGAGTTGTTTTCTGAAGTTTGGCTTGAGAAAACAACTGTTTGGGTTTTAAAATCCAAGTGGAAACATGTTACAAATGAAATTTTTTTTTATTTCTCTTATTTAAAACAAACATAGTTTATAGCTTTTATATATTAACAATCAAATAGCAGAACCATCTACATTTATCCAAAATAAGCTAGATTAGTTTGTGTGTATTTTCATGTAAGTCAAATAGGCATTTGCTTATGAGGAGTCATTTAAATGCAGCTTTACAAGAAGTGGTACAATTGTCTGCAACATTTCTTTATCTCAAAGTAATTTGGATGAAATAACATCAGAAGATGTCAGTTTAAATGTTCCACTTGAAATCCGGTTAGTTTTTGATTATTCACACTAATGGAAGGAGAGTGTAGGCATGTAGACTCCGAAGAGACCTTTAATCCAAAAATTACTTCTTAGCATTTGAAGATATTTGGGTAATACATTTGGATAATGGTGTGTTTCATGTCCTTTGGCTTTTTTAATTTAAAAAATTTTTTCAGAGACAGGATCTCACTCTGTCACTCAGGTTGGAATACAATGGCACCATATAGCTCACTGCAGCCTTTGGTTTAAGAGATTCTCTTACGGTTTAAGAGATTCTCGGCCGCGCGCGGTGGCTCACGCTTGTAATCCCAGCACTTTGGGAGGCCGAGTCAGGTGGATCATGAGGTCAGGAGATCGAGACCATCCTGGCCAACACGGTGAAACCCCGTCTCTACTAAAAATACAAAAAATTAGCTGGGCGTGGTGGTGTGCACCTGTAGTCCCAGCTGCTGGGGAGGCTGAGGCGGGAGAATGGTGTGAACCCGGGAGGCGGAGCTTGCAGTGAGCCAAGATCACGCCACTGCACTCCAGCCTGGGTGACAGAGCGAGACTCTATCCAAAAAAAAAAAAAAAAAAAGATTCTCCCACCTCAGCCTCCAGAGTAGCTAGGACTGCAGGTGTGTGCCACCACACCTGGCTAATTAAAATTTTTTTTTTGTTGAGACAGGGTCTTGCTATGTTGTCTAGGTTGGTCTTGAACTGCTGGGCTCAAGCGATCCTCCTGCCTTGGCTTCCCAAAACATTGGGCATACAGGCACGAGCCACCATGCCAGACCCTTTTGGCTTTATTGACAGCCTTTGAATTTTAAGTAAATGCTGAAATGTATGTAGCTTACTGGAATATATATAGGAGACTTTATAGTTCTTTCTTTAGATCTTTGGATTTCCTTAAGAGACAGAGCACTTTACAAGACCTTTTGTTTCTCAAATATACATATAAACAGCAACACATTTGAAAGATAAATTCCAACTAATGATTAATGTTCTTTGCAGAGAATGACAAAATACATATTAATTACTTAGGGTTCTATTTGTATTTTACTTTCATAGTTAGAAATCTGTTTCTTTTTCTTTCTTTTTTTTAGAGGCAAGATTTTACTCTGGTGCCCAGGCTGGAGTGCAGTGGCTCAATCTTAGCTCACTTCAGCCTTGAACCCCCCAGCCTCAAGCGATCCTCTTTTCTCAGCCTCCTGAGTAGCTGGGACTACAAAAACATGCCACTGTGCCTGGCTAATTATTTTTATTTTTATTTGTAGAGTTGGGGTTGCTTTGTTGCCCAGGCTGGTCTCGAACTCCTGGTTTCAAGTGATCCTCCTGCCTTGGTCTCCCAAAGTGTTGGGATTATAGGCATGAGCCACTGCACCTGGCCAGAAATTTGTTTAAGTAAAATGACTGTATCAGTCAGGGTTCTCCAGAGAAACATAACATATGTGTGTGTGTGTGTGTATATGGGACTGGCTCACATGATCACATGATTATGGAGGCTGACTAGTTACAAGATCTGCAGTTGGCAAGCTGAGGAGGGTTGTTAGCCTTTTTGTTTTATTCAAAACATCAGTTGATTGGATGAGGCCCATCCCATTACCCTGAATAATGTTTGCCCAAATGTCTGGGCACCTTTTGGCCCAGTCAAGTTGATACATAAAATTAACCATCACAATGACCTACCTTAAAGTTCTTAGCTGGACATTTTGCATTTCTCATCAGGAACCTAGGCTAATTTACAACCTTTGATATTGATTTCAACCACAGTACAGTTAATGAGTTATCAGTGATGACAAATCATGATCATTTCCAATACAAATATTAACTCTGATTATTTGTAAATATGTTATTTTTCCCACATTGTTCTAGACAGTGGGACATAGAGGTAAAGTAGGTAAAGGTGCTCACCTCCTGTAACTTATATTCCAGTGGGAGTGACAGATAATGCCCAATAAACAAATAAATGTATATTAAAATGTCAGGTAGTGATAAGCATAATGAAAAAATAAAACACAGTAAAGAGGTACCATTTCAGATAGGTTTGTTAGGAAAAGTCCTGAATGGGTGACATTTGTACAGAGATGTGAATAAAGTGAAGGAACAACTTATGTATACCTTGATAAGCACATATCTAACTAACATTTTTGGCATGGTTTAAGGTCTTTCTTTCATATATCTGTATTTTGCATACTGTGGTGCTACTCAGATATCCCTTCTATGAAAGCTTGTTGCCCCAACTTCTGGGAATACAATGGGCAGGTACCCCACAGCTGTCAGCCCCTTCAGGGACTCTCTCAGCTGCAGGGCGCCAACTTGACTAACTAAGGTAACCCTCCTTCCCAGGATGGCCCACAGTCAATGACTGATTGCTGTGGAAATATAGAGTCCTATCTATTTTGGCCCAGCTAGAGATAACTCTGAAGGGCCATTCTAACTCCAGAGTTCCCTGCGGGATGAGCCAAGACTGTTGGTAGATTTGGATGACAGTTTAACTTTTTCCTCTGTCCAAACCTGTTTCATTCCCCTCCCTTTTCATAGGTTTGATCCCAAAGGTACTCCTTAATATACCTCCTGCTAATCTTGGTCTAGAGGTCTGCTTCCCAGAGAACTCACCATTTAATATGAAGTTTTGTGAACCTACAGCTTATTTATGATCTTATCTCAGTAGTACTTGGCAGCTGGTTTTATATCGGGCCACGGTCTGCTTCCTGACAGAATCTTACATGTTAATATGAACCTTTCTTTTCTGACTCTAGCACTCTGAAAACTGACTTTATACCTACCACACAGTTTGGAAATTGTTAAAAAGGTTATGATTCCCCTAACCACTTTGATCTTATTATTTCACTGAGAGATATTTTAGAAGCATTGGTTTATCTTCACTACCTACAGGAGTCTAATATATTGTTTTATTTAACTAGAGTCTGGTCAACATTAACCTCTTTTTCGTTTATAAAGAGAATGATACGGCTGGGCGCAGTGGCCCACGCCTGTAATCCCAGCACTTTGGGAGGCCGAGGCGGACAAATCATGAGTTCAGGAGATCAAGACCATCCTGGCCAACATGGTGAAACCCTGTCTCTACTAAAAATACAAAAATTAGCTGGGCGTGGTGGCGCGTGCGTGTAGTCCCAGTTACTCAGGAGGCGGAGGCAGGAGAATCGCTTGAACCAGGAAGTCGGAAGTTGCAGTGAGCCGAGATCGCGCTACTGCACTCCCGCCTGGCGACAGTGAGACTCCGTGTCAAAAAAAAAAAAAAAAAAAAACAGCTACAAATTCATGTCAATGAATAGGGATTTTCAAATTATCTTCATGCTGCAAAAGGAGAGAAATCACTTTATAACTTATAACCATGAAGCTATTTCCATTAAATATTTAAGAAACGCAAAATTCTTGGTAATGGCAACAAAGTTAAACAAGTTAATATGGGGGATTTTTAAAAGCAACTATGTTTAATTATTTCAGGGTTTCATATAACTTTTGAAAAATTAATATATGATATAAATTCCCATTTACTGTGTAATTGGTATTATTTATGAAAGAACTTCATTCTTCCTGTATCAAGAAACATAGGGATTAGATTTGTAATTTACATAATCTATAAGCATCATCATGAATTCTTTTCAAACCTGACACCAAAAGTATTTTAAGAAATCTCCATACCAATATCTGTCATGGACATAGATATACACATTCTTTATAAAATTTTAGTATATGAAATACAGAAATATATACAGTGATAATAAATCATGATCTAGTAGAGAATATCCCAAGAATTTAAGATTGATTAAAATTTGAAAATCAGTGTAATTAATCATATTATCAGGCTTAAAATTAAAAACCAGCCAGATGCTATGTCACAGTGCTTTGGAAGATTCAGATAGGAGAATCACTTGAGGCCAGGAATTTGAGATCAGCCTGGGCAACATAGGGAGACTCTGTCTCTACAATTTTTTTTTTTAAATAAATTAGCTGGGCATGGTGGAACATGCACCTGTAGTCTCTGCTATTGGAGAGGCTGAGGTGGGAAGATCACTTGAGCCCAGGAGCTCAAGGTTGCAATGAGCTATGATTGCATCACTACACTCCAGCTTGGGTGACAGAGCAAGACTCTATCTCTAAAAAAAGAAAAACCATATATTCCTTTCAATAAATACAGGAAAAGTGGTTGACAAAATTCACTATTTGCTCATGATAAAAACTCAGAAATCTAGTATTAGAAGGGAACTTAAGATTCCCTACCATTGATGTGAATTTGTGTCATTCTCTTTATAAATGCAAATTGGAAGGGAACTTTAGGGATATCTCTGAAAAACTTTCAGTTAACATTGTACTTGATGAAAGACTGAATGCTTTCTCCCTTAGATTGGAAACAATGTAAGAATGTCCATGCTCACCATTTCAATTCAACATTATGCTGGTCCTAGCCAATGTAATAAAGGAAGAAAAATAAATAAAAGGCAGAATGGAAGGACATAAGTAAAATAGTCTTTATCTACAGATGACGTGATCTTCTATTAGAAAATTCTAAGGATTATACAAAAATGCTGCTAGAACAAATAAGTGAGCTTAGCAAGGTCTCAGGATACAAGATTAATAAAGAAAAATCAATCCTATTTCTATATAGTAGCAGCACTCAGAAATTTCCATTTCCAAGTGTTATTTTATTAAAAAAAACAACTCAAAATGGATCGTAGACTTAAATATAAGCACAAAAAATGTGAAAGTTTTAGAATAATTCATAGAGGAATAAAAAGCTGGAGTTAGCCGGGGGCAGTGGTTCACGCCTGTAATCCTAGCACTTTGGGAGGCCGAGACAGACCTAGATGTAAATTCCAGACTTGCACTTGAATCACGTTCTTGCTACATATTATCTATGCAATCTCTGTTAAATTATTTAGTTTTTCTTAGCCTCACTTTCTTACCTATAAAATGGAGATAATATCTGCTAGGAACTGTTAATGTAAGGCAGCGGTTCTCCAAGTACGGTGCCTGGACCAGCAGCATTAGCACCACCTAGAAATTTGTTAGAAATGGAATTCAGACCTACTGCTTCAAAAACTCAGGGTGGGTCACAGTAAATTGTGTTTTGCCTTTCAGGTGATTCTGATGCTCAAGTTTTAGAACCATTGATGTAAGGATTGTGTGTATTGTGTGCTGAGTTTCACAGTGTTTGCTATGTACTAGGCACATAATTAATTTTAAAAACAAATGTCTACCCCAGCAAACCTTCTATTCTCTTCCCTTACACTATTTCTTCCAGAAATGCTTTCCCCATTTTTCTGAACCTTAACATTCTTTCAGGACCCAACTCAAATTCCATCTGCCCCCAGAATTCATTCCAAATCATAATAATTCTCTATCCCCAAAACATAGCACTTAATAGCTAGAACTGTTGGTGCTCACTGGTAACCACTAGCCACATATAGCTATTGAGCACTTGAAACATAGCTATTATGCATTGAGATGTGCTTTAAGCACATCTCACTGGATTTCAAAGGCTTACTACAAAAAGGGGATATACAGTCGACTCTTAAGCAATGCAAGAGTTAGGGGCACAGACGTTCTACACAGTTGAAAATGTGTGTATAACTTTTGGCTCTTTGAAAATTTAACTACTACTAGCTTACTGTTGACCTCCAGCCATACTGATAACATAAACAGTTGATTAACACATGTTTTGTAGGTTATATGTATTACATACTCTATTCTTACAAGAGTAAGCTAGAGATAAGAAAATGTTATTAAGAAAGTCATAAGGACTTATAAGGAAATGTATTTACTATCCATTAAATGGAAGTGCAGCATTATAAAGGTCTTCATCCAGTGAGTTTTATACTTTCATATGTTTTCATGTTACTAACCAGCATCCTTTTGTTTCAGCTTGAAGAACTCCCTTTAGCATTTGTTGTAAGGCAGGTCTAGAGGTGATTAACTATTGTTTGACAAAGGCACCCTGAATACACAATGGAAAAAGGATAGTTTTTTTCAAAAATGATGTCGTGAAAACTTCATATCCACCATGAAAATAAGAGAAATCATATTCTTATCCTACATCATATACAACAATCAACTCAAAATGGATTAAATATTTGAGCATATAACCTGAAACTGTGAAACTCCTAGAAGATAACATAGGGAAAAATCTCCATGACATTAGTTTTGGCAGTGATTTTTAGGATATTACACCAAAAGCACAGACAATAAAAGTAAGAATAAACAAGTGGGACTACACTAAACTAATAGGTTTCTGCTAAGCAAGGAAATAGCAAAGTGAAAAGGCAACCTATGGATTGGAGAAATATTTAAAAATCATGTATCTGATAAGGAATTAATATAAAAAATAAGAAACCTGTACAACTCAGTAAAAACAAAACACCAAAGATGGGCAAAGGACCTGAATAGAAAACTTTCCAAAGGACACATACAGATGGCCAGTAGTTATATTACAAGGTGCTCAGTCATCAGGGAAATGCAAATCAAAACCACAGTGAGATATCACTGCATACCTGTTAGAATGGCTATTATAAAGAAGAGACAAAAGAAAACAAGTGTTGGTGATGATGTGGAGAAAAGGGAACCTTATACATTGTTGTTGGGAATGTAAGTTGGTACAGCCATTATGGAAAGAAAACAGTATGGAGGTTCCTTGAGAAATTAAAAATAGAACTCCTATATGATCCAGCAATCCCATTTCTGGGGACTCATCTGATGGAGATGAAATCAGCACATTGAAAATATATTTGTACTTCCAGGTTTATTGCAGCATTATTAACAATAGCCAAGATATGGAAACTACTGAAATGTCCATTGATGGATGAGTGCATACAGAAAATATGCTATTTATATGCAGTGGAATATCATTCAGCCTTTAAAAAAAAGGAAATTTCTGTTATTTGTGACAGTAGTGAAATACATTATGTTAAATGAAGTAATTTAGGCACATAAGGACAAATACTGCAGGATCTCATTTATATGTGGAATCTAAAACAGTTGATCTCATAGAAATTTTAGAGCATGCAATTTAGTATGTACAGCATGGAATAGTGATTGCCGGTGGCTGGGTGGGGGGAAAATGGGAAGCTGTTGGTCAAAGCATAGAAGCTTTAAGTTATAAATAAATTTTGGAGACCTAATGTATTGTATGGTGACTGTAGTTAATAAGAATGTACTTGAAATTTGCTAAGAGAATAGATCTTAAGTTTTCCACACACACACACACACACACACACACACACACACACACACACGGTAACTATGTGAGATTACGGATGTGCTAATTAGTTTGATTGTGGAAATCATTCTACAATGTAACATATATCTAAACATTTGGTACACCTTAAATATGTATAATTTTTATTTGTCAATTATACGTCAATAAAGCTATAAAAACTTTTCTGTTCTGAAGGAAAACATAAATAAAGATTATATTTTAGAAGAGTAATAAGAAATAAATTTTCCTGGATAATTTCATTGTTTTCTCTACAAAGAAAGGAAGAAAATACCTTTTCCATTAAAAACAAAAAGAAAATATCTGATGTGCTTAGTGATTCTGAGAAGTCATTTATGATAAACACAGCAAAATAATATAAATATTATGTTACCTCTTTATCATTTAGAATATTTTTGAGTTTGGCATTATACATAGTCTCAAACTCCTGACCTCAGATGATCCACCCGCCTCAGCCTCCCATAACTGCTGGGATTACAGGCGTGAGCCATTCCGCCCAGCCGCCCTTTAATCTTTATAACAAATATGCATCATAGGTGTTATCTCCTTTTATAGATGAAGAAAGGCAAATGTTAAGACCAAAACAAAACTAGCAAGTGGCAGAGCTAAGATTCAAACACAGATATTTCTGACTCCAAAACCTATGTTTTTAACTGTACTGCACCATAGAGAAAACTGGTTTTACTCATCTGTTCCTATTTTATGGATGGGGAAATTTCCCCATACTTATATATTTTATGTAGAAATAAGAATTGTAAACAATTTTTTAAGCTGTAAGGTGACATTATTGATTTGTATTTTTTGCAATAGTGGTATAATTTCAATACTCCTGTAAAGTTTGAGGCTCTACTATTTTGAGATAAACAGAATATAAAGGACAATATTTAATCAAATCTGTGAAATAGTAAACAGAATATTTTGTAACAGTTTTCATATGCACAGCATATTACAAGAAAGTCTTGAGTTACAGATTGAATATTCCCAATCCAAAAATCCAAAATCTGAAATGCTTCCAAATCTGAAAGTTTTTGAGCACCAACATGACACTGTAAGTAGAAAATTTCACATCTGACTTCATGTGAAGGGTCGCAGTCAAAATGTAGGCACACAACACAAAGCATCTGCAAAGGAAAAATAAAATTGTCTTTAGGCTTTGTTTATAAGGTATACACATAAAAAATTAATGTATTAAGTGTTTAGACTTGGGTCCCATCCCCAAGATATCTCATTTTATATATATGCAAATACGCCAAAAATCTGAAAAAAATCAAAATTCAAAACACTTCTGTCTCAAGCATTTTGGATAAGGGATACTCAACCTGTAGTAAGGAAGATGCCTGTAGTTGATAAAATATTAAGTTTGGTGGGATTTAATGAAATAAAAATACTGTGACATGATTCATGCAAAGTGGTTTGTCATTTACTAGGATTTTGACCATTTCTAGGTAAACTCTGGCTTTCTTACAGAGTAGATGTTCAGAATATGAATTTGCATTTACTGTTTTTAAGGAATGATCACTGCTTTCATTACACTATAAAAACATGTAAATGATAAACTTTTTAATGTGAAGAGGTAGTTTTTTCTGTTATTAGTTGTATAAACAAATGCCTGAAGATATAGTTGTAAGAAGGTTCCCAAACCAATATTCTTATCTTGATTCTGAGCATAGCATTTGATTTGGCCTGATTCATACAACTAGAAAGGGGTTAATGTTTATATAGGGTGAGAGCTCTGCCTATAATTGTTACATATCTTGCAGATGAACCCTGTATTTTTAATATACATATACCCATATCTTTTTAGTCTTAATGTTTTAAAGTATCAACTTTCTTTTTTCTTTTTTTGCTTGAGAGGGTGGTAGGATAGAGCTTGTGTGTACCTCAGCTCCAGCTGCTGCCGAATGACTTCCAACCAACACCTGTGGGTGGGAGCTGGCTGGTTTTCCTTTCATTGTCAAGCCTGGGCATACTAAGGGAAAATGCACCTGCCAGAGACCTCTTTATTTTCGAAATGATTATCAGTGGTATCGGCCGAGAGAGAGGCAGCTGGTGGGCTCCTGTACCCTATCTAGCCCTCTATATGGATCTTTCCTTCTATGTTGGAAAAACAAAGTTGAAATTTACCACATTTTGGCATTACACTTGGCAGTTACTGTGATGAAGTTGATCATATTAGAGAGTCATTCAGGATACCTGACCTTCCTGCCTTCCGCTACCTTAAGTGAAAAATCTCTTCTGTTCCCTAATTTACTGTAGCATATGCTTCAGTGTGTTGTGTTGGGTAGGGCAGATATCCTTAGACTAATTCTAATCCTGAGTGATTCAAGACTATTCCAGTGGCAATGGAATTTTACACCTATTTAGTCATTTGGAACAGAGAGGTATCTGCTTGTAATAGGCCAAGACACCTTAATTCCTCATTTATCCATTAGCTACCTGTGGGGCTTTATCTAAGACACTTCAGTTTCCTCATCCATAAAATAGGAACAGATGGGTAAAACCAGTTTTCTCTATGGTGCAGTATGGTTAAAAGCATAGGTTTTGGAGTCAGAAATATCTGTGTTTGAATCTTAGCTCTGCCACTTGCTAGTTTTGTTTTGGTCTTAACATTTGCCTTTCTTCATCTATAAAAGGAGATACACCTATAATGCATATTTGCTATAAAGATTAAAGGGCGGCTGGGCGCAGTGGCTCATGCCTGTAATCCCAGCAATTTGGGAGGCTGAGGTGGGTGGATCATCTGAGGTTAGGAGTTCGGGACCGGCCTGTCCAACATGGTGAAACCCCATCTCTACAAAAAATACAAAATTAGCTGGGTGTAGTGGCACATGCCCGTAATCCCAGCTACTCGGGAGGCGGAGGCAGGAGAATTGCTTGAACCTGGGAGGCGGAGGTTGCAGGGAGCCGAGACTGAGCCATTGCACTCCAGCCTGGGCAACAATAGCAAAACTCCATCTCAGAAAAAAAAAAAAAAAAAAAAAAAAAAAGATTAAAGGGCATCATGTATGTAAAGAGTACAGAGGAGGGCACATAGCAAGCACTCAGTACCTTATAACTTTTATTATTCTTTTTCAGCTTAAAAAATTATATGTCTACATTGAATTCATATTTATTCATGAATGAATACATACGATGTTTTCTGTGTGCCAGGTCCTGTTCTAAGCATGTTTCAAATATTGTCTTTATTTGATCTGTATGGTATCCTGTAAGGTGAGGACTTAAAATATTCCCAATGTGAAATTGTGAAATTGAGGCACAGACAATCTAAAAACTTGCCCAAGGTCACATTGCTGGTAAGCCACTAAGCCAGATACTTTGAAAATAGTATTAGCATTTATATTATATAAAATCTCTTTTAGTTTCCCTTTTTTTCCTAATAGTGCAAGTTTATTCACCATGTTTTTAGTTTTTCTCAGGAAGATTTAAAGAAGTGTTAGGTGGTGGCCTTGGTGCTTCAGTGGCTATCAGGTCAGCCAGAGGTGACTCGTTTTTGTCACCAGGGTGTGCTGTGATTCCACCAGTCTGAACTTACTGCAGCTGCTGTGAAGCTGGATGGGAATCTCTTTATTGTCTTTGCTGCTGCTTAGCGACCACAGGTTTTTCAGCTTGGCGCTTTACCATCACCTGGGCAACTGCCTGAGATCCCAAGTTATTTTCTTTTTGTGTTGTACCATCCTTTCCTGCTCATTTGTGTCCTCGTGTAAATGAAGGAGCTAGCATGTCTGGCTTGTTAGCAGAGTGCCTAGATGCCCGAGCTGTATGTTGTCAAGCATTATGAAGCTGCCACCACACTTATTATTTTGCTACATAAGAAATTAGTATGTCACCAAATTGATTGCTTTAAAAAATTTGGTATCAATAGCATTTTGTTAAACTTGCCACTGCCTTTAGTACTTGCATCTTTGGTGCTAAGTTCCTGATGAATTTGGAATTAATCATTAAAAATGCACATAGGCTTGATAAACTTCTATAAAATATTAATATTTTCTATAGAATATAAATTTTTCCTATAGCCAAATACTCCGTCATTATGAATAAATGTTATCTGAGATTCTGTTTATAAAGGATCACTTTCTATTCATTTGTGGCTTAAAAGAGATACTTATGTCTATGTAGTAAGAATTATGAAAAGAGCATAGATTGATTTAAAGTCTTAAGAGTGTGGGTGTACATGCATGCACACACACGAAATATAATAGGGCAGCATCTCTGGCAGACTAATCTTGCTTTGTATAATTAAGAAAACTTTTCATGTCTTTCATCATTCTTTTTTTCTAAAATTGAAGTCATCTCTTGATGGTTATCATCCTAGAAAATTTGATTAGTAGGAAGCTTAAACAAATAACCAAAATGAATTTATTAGCATGGCCATGTGATGTTGGCTTTGTACATTGTTTTCAATATATGTATTAATCTGTAGTTTTCCTTGAAAGGGTACTTGTTTCTACATTTTTATAGAGAGTTTCTCAGAAGCCTGGGCTGTTTAGTGAGAAATCTTGGGAAATGCCTTACCTTACTTTAGAAAAGAGACTTATTTCTCCAGATAACACTGTCTTTAAGCAAACAGTGTTTGTGTAACCACCTTGTAGCAACATTCAGCTTGAAGATAATAGCCTTCACATGCTTGATAAAATGATGAAATCACTGACCAGCAGGATCCGTCAGTGGAGTCAGCATTTTATCACAATGTGATAATTCTGTTTAATGTGGAAATGGTTACAAAATCTTCTGATATGTGTGGAATTCCTGTTTGATGACCACTTGCTTGGAGGAAAAAAAAAACCTGTGCAAGAAGGTTTAGTGTGTTTATTTCATTGTAAAGACATTTCTGACCATTTTCTTTAATTGAATAGCAGAAGTGTATGTTGGTTCATACACTTTGAAATGTAAAGTTTCTGCTCAGGCCATTGTGGAATGAGCATCTTCCATTAATCTCGCTTCACACTAAAATGAGTAAGAGACTTATGATTTTTTGAACTGCATGTTTAAATTGTAATTTTGCTGGAAAAGTTACCAAATGAAACATTTCTGAAGAAATTAAGATAATTAGACAAGACTTATGAACCACACAGTGTCATTATTTTTTTAAAAATATATAGATGAAAGACTGGACAAAGTTCAATTCTGCATTAAGGTTCCTTTCAAAGTCAAAATAATTAAGGTAATCAAGCCTCACACTGGGCAAAGGTTTTTTTCCCTCTTTTAATCTGATTGACTTTTTTTTCTATCTTTGTTTTTTATGAACTCATATTTTTTAGGAGATTTTAGGGAGAAAAACCCAGTGCCTAGATAGATGTGAATGATCATATACCAATGAATGCCATTAGCCTGTTTTTTCATGTTCTTTACTTGTGCTCTTGGAAATTTGAGTGTCTTAAATAATTGGAATGCATATAAAGACATATTTTTTTCTATGCTAAAGAAAAGCAAAAACTTTGAAATTTTTTGATAAGTGGAAATATAGATATTACAAAGAATATATTACACACTTCTAAATCTAAATTTGTCAATCACCGCTTTTTATAACTTAAGTTTTTGGTAGAAGTATGTTAGCCTTTAGTTTTGTACTGGAATATTTTTAGGGCTATCTGACCTTCTAGGTTTTCTTATCCCCTCAGTCTGACCTTCCACATAACCTGTTTCTGTTCATTTATTGATCTCCTACCTTTTACATATGGATTGATTCACTTTTCATTCATTCAACTAATATTTATTACCTGCATGTATTTGCCTGGTCCAGAACTGGGGTGAGATATTGGCCATAGGAAGGTATGATCCTATTGTCTGTTCTTACAGCACTTATGGTCTAACCAGGGAAAGAAAAAACAAATAATTGAATTTACAGTTAATTATAATTTTAAGTTCTATAGTATTCTTAAGCAGTCATTTTTTTACATCTCCACACAAGAGGAAATTGTGTATTCCTTCAGCGACCTTTAGAAGCAGCCTGCATTTTTTTGTTTGTGAGGATAGTTGAGGGTGGGGAGAGACTACACTGGTATGTTATTTGTATATAATGCACAGCTTTAGTGGTCCATAATTATGGGGGTGTTGCCCATTGTACTGTATGAAGTTTTTCACCTCCAGACTATGCCTTGCTTCTGTAGATTTCTCTCAGGGCTCATCATGTTCGCCACTCTCTATCTCAGTTCGCAGCTCCATTTCCACTGCTTGCCTTTTCTTTAAAGATAATCATGGTTTTGTCCAGGGCTTTGCCTTATCCTTTGGTTGAGAAGATATCCTCTGGATTTCCCCAATTCCTCCAGGTTTTCCTACCACATCTTCCCTGTAACCATGAGTGCCTTCTCCCTTGTATAGATACATTAATTATGAATTACTATATACCTCTACAAAAAAAGCACTGTATGTGTCCCTCTGCGCTAGGCTTAAAGGGAATTTAAGACAAAGGTGAATAGATTTGTTTCACCACAGTTTTTTTGTATTAACTAATTAACTTTATTTTATTTTTGCCTTTTTCTACATGTTCTAAACCGCCCCACCTCTTTTCTCAAAGAATTTATAACCTCGTCTAGTGTTTGTGGTAGGTATAAATAAATGTTAGTTAACATCATGATTATATTTTGTGTATGCCCCAGCCCACAGTTGGAGTTCAGAAAACATTGATTCCATTAATTTGTGTTTATTTTTCATAGATTTCTAAATAAATACAAATCTTTTAGAAAATATTGACTCTTCCATTTGTGATCATTATGCTTGAAATCACTAGGTAGAAGATATGTCCTGGGGAATATCAGAAACACTAGTTTTCTAGTGTTTTCTTACTGGTAAAGCCCTAGGTAATAGAGCTTTAATAGCATGAATCTCCAGAAATCTAAAGCTAACTTTAATTCTTTTCACTTTCTCAAAACTATTTGCTTCAATAGTTGAATAATATTTACAAAATAGTTAACTAATTTGAAAACTACACACAATATTGCTATTCTACTTGTTTCTCACAATTAAATTCTCTATTAGAAATCCTCATGGAGAGTTTGAGCTTCCTAAAGATTTATTGTAAATGTACAAATTTTCCAAAACAAAAAGGCAATTAAATCTTCTGAAATTTGAACAGTTAATTAAAATCAATATTAACGTAATGTTAACATAATTGTTTTGTGCATATTAGTTTATTGGAAGTCTGTTTAATCACTGCCTGGGAGACTATTGTTTTATGTAAACCAGTATTCTATTGAACGGTTCCTTTTTTTGTAAGACTGGTTACAGTTTTATCCCCTTTAAAGATTTCTGTAAGTGGCCAGGCGCGGTGGCTCACGCCTGTAATCCCAGCACTTTGGGAGGCTGAGGCGGGCGGATCACGAGGTCAGAAGATCGAGACCATCCTGGCTAACACGGTGAAACCCTGTCTCTACTAAAAATACAAAAAATTAGCCGGGCGTGGTGGCGCCTGTAGTCCCAGCTACTCAGAGAGGCTGAGGCAGGAGAATGGCGTGAACCTGGGAGGCGGAGCTTGCAGTGAGCCGAGGTGGCGCCACTGCACTCCAGCCTGGGCGACAGAGCGAGACCTCCGCCTCAGGAAAAAAAAAACAAAAAACAAAGATTTCTGTCAGTATCGGGTTGCTCTGCGATTTAGTGGTTGGCCTTGATAAGCTGAGTGCAAACTGTAAATTTGTTTTCTAGTTCTGCCCCTTCTCCACTGGTTGCTGCTTGTGTGGATCAGGTTTCCTTCTGTTCTAGTTAGCTGTAGGCTTGGGTAGAATTCAGCAGTTAATTGGAGGGAGGGAGAG
Source organism: Homo sapiens (assembly GCF_000001405.40). NCBI lineage: Eukaryota > Metazoa > Chordata > Mammalia > Primates > Hominidae > Homo > Homo sapiens. The sequence goes on from NC_000020.11 coordinate 14,146,533, forward strand.
AGGGACAAGAAGAGAGGCTCCACAATCCAGTTGCTGGTGTATGTCACTGTAGAATCCACTGACTGATATTTTATCCTCTGGAAATTATAAAATCCTACTTTAACACCTACTTTTCTCTTTGCTGATGGAGAAATCAGGGAAATCGTGGAGAAGTCTTTTAGATTGATGCTAAAAGATGGATTGATACTTCTTTCATCCTATCAGCCTTTTAGATTGATAGGATGAAGGAAGGTTCATCAAGTTTTTCCAGACATCAAGAGGTTAAAGTCCCTTGCTGGACGGGAGGTAGAGGGTCAAGTGGCTAAGTAGAGAATGCTTATAGAGCAGTGCTTCTCAAACATTGCCATCTATCACAGTCACTTGGAGAGCTAATAGAGAATACAGTGGCCCAGGCTTCTTGACATAGGCCAGGGCTTTTGTATGTATATAGTAAGTTCCCTAGGTGAGTCTAAGCTTGAGAACTCCTGGGGGTGAGAGTATCTCCAGTCAGCTTTTCCTGTAGTATGGTGAGTGGTAAAAGGGAAGCCAGGGACAGTGGGATGGAAGAAGGACTAACATCTGAGGGCTTCTTATGTACTGGGTAATGAGGTAGGTGCTTTCAGGTGTTATCACATTGAATCTTCACAGCAACACAATGCTGTAGATATTGCTTCTTTTTTATAGATGAGCAAACTGAAGTTCAGAATAGATAAATACATTTCCCAAGGTGGCATAGTGTGTAATAATCAGGATTTAAACTCCTTTGATTCTATTTGAATTCAAAGACCATGTTCTTTCCTTGCCATTCATTCCTTCAGCAATAGAAGTTGAGCCTCAGTTTTCTTATCTGTAAAATGAGATTAATAATAGTAACTCATTGAGTTATGAAAATTAAATAATATATGCTAAGCACATAAAGCAGTGCCAGGTACTTCTGTAGTAAGCTCCTAATGTTAACTATCATCATTATTTAAATTATACTCTAGTTCTTGCTATGGGACAGTTATGATGTTAGGGGATGGGGATACAAAGATGATAAGATATTACTTGACCTCAGGTAGTTTAACAATAGTGGGAAGACCCGACAGTTGAAAGTAGTATGTTATTTCTTTTTGGCATCCATTATAAAATATGTGAGTAAATTTAGATAGAAAAGCAAGGAATGCTGAAATTCAGAGATGGAGCCTGTAGTGGCGTGCATGGACAGACTTTCCATGCTCGAGACTTCCATTTAGTAAAAATTCAGGCCTGTTGTGGATCTTCAGATCATTTGAAAAACAGTCACTGAGCACTTGGGGTTTGCTGTATTTCTTTTTATTAAACCTATTTTTAGAACCCTCATGCTGATCTCACTCTTTTTTCTTTTTAATGGAAATATTATATGCAAGTACAGTGTCTGAAAAAAAAAGTGACTTTATGTATAGTGAAAAGCTTCCCTTCAAGTTATTAGAAATTTTAGATCTTTTGAGTCTTAATAAGAATTTGATTTTTTACCTTTTTATGACTCATAAGCAAATTCACCAGATAAGAAAAATTGAATCTGAAATTAGTTAAATTTTACTACTCTTGGATATTAGAATTAAGGTAATAGTAGAAGGATAATTGAATTTCTTAGCTAAATTGAGGGCTTGAAAAGTTTCTGAATTTCAGTACTACCACTGACTCATGTTTGAGTTATTATGGATTATCTACCCTTTGTTTATATGTGTGGTCTGTAGATAGCAGCAGGGCCTGGCTTAGTGCTTGGCATGAGCAGATATTCAGGACGTATGTTTGGGAAGAATGTATGAATGAGAGTAGGTAAGTAGCAAAGCTGGTGAATAAGCAGTTGAAGAAGATTTTTGTGATATCTTACCATATTTAATAAATTACTTTGGAAGACATTTGTGTACTGGGATCTGAAGAACATGACTGCATAATTTAATGATTTTGTAGGATTTATTTTATTAGGTCTTTTTTGGTGTCACTGCCTCAGAATGTTATTGTATTATTTTGATCTTCTTCACTTGTCAGGCTCTCAGATTTACTTTTGTCAGTCTTTTACAGTTTCTATACAGTCAAGGAAGCTGCACTGTTACATATTCTTTCAAGATTAATGTTTTGGGACCACATTCTTCATAGTTTCTTTTCTGTCAAACCAGTCATCTTTGGTGAGAAGGGTGTTCATGTAAGCAGAGAAGCTGGTGTTGTATTATGCAGAATGTCATTTCCTCTCACTTATTTTATTTTTTACCCAGAGCCTTTATCCTCTCTCAGCTCCTGAACTGTGGATAGAGATGCCCACAATCCAGCAAATACTTTTTGCCTTCTGGATTCTTTGTTCAGGGTCTTTGTGCTCAGTGTAGCTTCCTTCCTAAGTAGTTAATAGGTCCCTCTTCTGCTGATCTCTTCTCTCCCCTTCCCCCAATTGCCAGTGGTAAGAAGTATGAGGTTCCTTAACATAGCACACTTTTCTGCTGTTCCAGGTGCTTCTCCTGCTGTTCCTACTCTTCTTCCCCTACCTCTCTCTGTACCTAGCTCCTGTTTCAGTCACCAAGGTTTGGGGTGCAACTGATTCTGTCAACAAGTATGGAGCATAGTACCCCCAAATTAGTTTTTCAACCTTGTCCCTTCCCAACCTTCCTCATCTAGTAGTCCCCAATGTCTATTGCTGCCATCTTTATATCTATAAGTACCCAATGTTTTTTTTTTTTTGAGTACCCAATGTTTAGCTCCCACTTACAAGTGAGAACATGGAGTATTTGGCTTTCTGTTCCTATGTTAATTCGCTTAGGATAATGGTTTCTAGCTATATCCATGTTGCTTCAAAGAACGTGATTTCATTCTTTTTTATGGACACACAGTATTCCATGGTATATATGTACCACATTTTCTTTATTTAATTCACCATTGGTGGGCAGCTAGGTTGATTTGCTATTGTGAATAGGGCTGCAGTGAATCTACATATGTACATACATTCAGTGGAACCATTTATTTTCTCTTGGATATATACCCAGTAATGAGATTGGTGGGTCAAGTGGTAGTTTTAAGTTCTTTGAGAAATCTCCAAACTGCTTTCCCCAGTGGCTGAACTAATTTACATTCTCATTAACAGTGTATAAGTGTTCTATTTTCTCCATAGCCTTATAGCCAATGTGTGTTGTTTTTGTCTTTTTAATAGTAGCCATTCTGACTGGTGTGAGATGGTATCTCATTGTGGTTTTGATGTGCATTTCTCTGATAATTAGTGATGTTGAGCATTTTTGCATATGTTTGTTGGCCACTTGTATGAAAGTGACCAGTTTTAAATGAATGTGTCAATATAAAGTTTTCCTCCTGGTTCACAGTGTTTTTCTTAAGAGTATTGCCTTTTTTTCTTGAAAAAGAGAATAAAACTTGGTATTTTTTTTCCCAGACAAATCCTAAACCTTAAGTTTGGGAAAGCACTGTGGTCTTCTCCTTACATTGTATTTCTGTATTAAGACATGAATGTATTTTGTCTATAAACTGATTTATTTCTCTCATCTATCAATAGCTAAACATAATTTCTCTTCTTTTATGTCTCTCTCTCCCCACCTTTCCCCCATCATCCCTTCTTCTACCTCTTCCCTTTTCTCCCTACTTTTCTGCTTCTCTCTTACCATTTTTCTTCTCTCTTTCTCTCTCCTGGACCCTCTGATTTTCTCACTTGCCCTTCACTAACTATGCTCAAAGAAGTTAAAAACTGAGGTCGGAGATGGTTTTTGTAAAGACTAATAATTCTGATGCAGGACTAAATTAAAAATAGGGTTCTTACATGAGGTTTGAATTAGAAAGTTGTGTGGATATTGTCATGTAACTTCTTCTAGTAACCTGTTCTATTGCTTACATTTAATAAATAAAAGCCAAGCTATGACTTAAAAATCTTATCCCGTAATCAAAGTAAAGTCTGTGCTATTGTTATAGTGAGTGTTATACAAAAGCAAGTCAGTGTTAGTCATTTACTTTTGGAATTATTATCTTTCTTCTAAATGCAAGCAGTACTTTTTCCCTCAGCAGACTTTAAGTGTAAATAACTAGAGATAATATAAAAATATTAGGAAGAAGGGATTGATTATCTCTCATTTTTGATTAGTACAGATACAGAATTTTATTTTTCTTTTTTCTTTCTGAATTTTCTTCCTCCCTTCTGGATTTTTATCTTCTTTCGGCTTTCTTTTAAAGAGAATACTTCTTTGCTGGAATCAATTCAGATAAAAAGGTAGTAGTTTTTTATTGGTTAGGGAAATTTAGTAATAAAAAAGAAGAATGGGAAAGAGAGAGATAAGAAAAATGATGAGGAATCTAGTCAATTATGAATTTACCAGTACAGGAAAATATAATGGTAACATGGATATCTTCTGTTTCAGAAGAGCAGGCAAGGATTGGGGGTTACATGCCTAATAGTGATTCCTGCAAGTCAACTTTTCAAAATAGCAACATAGTGGAGAATTCTGCTGAATGATATTCTTAAAAGCATAAGGCCAGTATTTATCATTCAGCACCAAATAATTACAGATAGCTTTCTTCCCAGAGGAACAGAAGAAGTAATGTGCTAGTAAATGCACTAATTCTGTATCTGGCCTGCTGTCTGTCACTTCATGATAGTAGAAGAGTTGTGGAGGAAAGACGTTAAATCATTTGAGATGTTTTTGGTGCTATCTTGTATCTACTAGTCAAATTTTACATTACACATTATGCACTTAAAGGGCATAAGTTTTAAAGATATTTCAATGATGTTCTGCCTAGTGTAGATTTTTTTTCTGTATTGTGTAAGTTCCTGACTTGAGGTTGTGAAACCTTAGCTTGAGGGTGACAATGAGGTGAAGAAGAGATGTCTATGAACCTGATTTTGTGTGTATAGTATTTTGTGTGTTCTACTACAGAAGGTCCATAGGTTTTATTCCAAAACCTAATAAAAATAGAAACCTGTGCTATGAGACCCAGGTAAGAATTTGGCATGGAAATGTTAGCCAGGCAAATAGAGAAAAGATACATTGTTTTCATAGACTCAGCCACAAAACTGTGCCTTCCCCCTCTGATCTCAGCCGCTTACTGTAAAGAATGTTACCTATAAGTATTGTATTTTGATTTAGATTCCCATGTTTTTGAGTATAATTGTAACCAATTTTATGGTAATTATTTTTGAAAGAAAAACAAAAACATGGTCTAGTTATATGGCAGTTATCCAAAAGTATTGTCTCCAAAGCTGATTCCAGGATAAAAAAATTAACTATTTTGAATAATAGCTTTAGGATCACTTTGATAATTAGAGGTGGTAATTGGCCTTGTTGTATTGTATCTTTTTTTTTTTTTTTTTTTTTTTTTTTTGAGACGGAGTCTTGCTCTGTCGCCCAGGCTGGAGTGCAGTGGCACAATCTCGGCTCACTGCAAGCTCTGCCCCCCGGGTTCATGCCATTCTCCTGCCTCAGCCTCCCGAGGAGCTGGGATTACAGGCGCCTGCCACCACGCCCGGCTAATATTTTGTATTTTTAGTAGAGACAGGGTTTCACTGTGTTAGCCAGGATGGTCTCGATCTCCTGACCTCATGATCTGCCCGCGTCAGCCTCCCAAAGTGCTGGGATTACAGGCGTGAGCCACCACGCCCAGCCTGTTGTCTTGTATCTTAACACTCATTTTTAAGTCATTAATTAACTAAGCTACATACTTTATGTGTATTTCTCCATGTTTCAGAGATACTTTGGCTTAATAAAAAATATTTTTAAAGAGTCTTGTGGTTTTCTTTTTTAAAAATCAACTAAAATATCTGATCTATTAAGCAGAATTTATCATTCTGTTAACACAATCTAGTCTATCATATTTGACAGTAGTATTTCTCTAGTGCTTTGAATAAATTAAATCAGTCAACAATAATTGCATTTTTAGTATTTTAAAATTCTGTTCCTTTTTCTCCTCTACATTTTTTTTTTTTTTTTGAGATGGAGTCTCGCTCTGTTGCCCAGGCTGGAGTGCAGTGGCATGATCTCAGCTCACTGCAACCTCCACTTACCAGGTTCAAGCAATTCTCCTGCCTCATCCTCTTGAGTAGCTGGAATTACAGATGTGCACCACCATGCCCGGCTAATTTTTGTATTTTTAGTAGAGATGGGGTTTTGCTACGTTGGCCAGGCGGGTTTCGAACTCCTGACATCAGGTGATCCACCCACCTCGGCCTCCCAAAGTGCTGGGATTACAGGCATGAGCCATCGTGCCCGGCCTCCTCTACAATTTTATTTTAGTATTATTTATTCTCAATTAGTCCAGGTACTGATGCTTGTATTATGACCATTAATATATAATCTTGGCAACTCTTGTGTTTCTGTTGGTAAAACATTTTCATGGATTCTATCATAATGTGATCATTTTTACCTATCGTTAAGCAGTTTTTCATCATTGTATGCTTACATTAACTTTCCATTCTGTGTTGACAACCTTTTAATGTTAACCAAACAACTAAATTTACTTTGATCATAAATTTAAATTGGGATGAATGGGTAGTTATAGATAAAAAATAAATTAAATGTTATTATAGATAGATGTCAATAATCAACTCTTCATTTTCTGATTGAATTGAAATGTACTGCTAAGGTTATAGTTACGAAAACCAAGGAAAGTACATTGGGGTTTTCTTGGTGCCAGCATAGTGTTTGAGAAGAAAGTTCTAAGAATAGCAAGAGGAGGAGTGATGAATTTAGCAAATCTTTCATTAGTAGTAAGGTGTGATTGCTTGAAAAGAAAACAATCTTTTCGAGTGAGAAATAAAAACAGTGGCAGGAGTATATATAGAGAAAAATCCAATGCAAAACCGTCCTAGTGGGTGTCAGGTAACCCTACATGCTTTAGTACAATTAAAATAGGAATGTTCAAAGTGTAAAGAAACAGTGGAAAGAGAAGTCCATCTGGGAACACTGAGAGGGAAAGATGCCCAAAGTTTCAGCTGTTTTGTGGTCCTTGGGGCCTTCTGGGGCTACTGGTTTTACAGTTCCAAGAGCATATTAAGATTTTTTTCAGATACAACCAATGTTGCAGCTATTAATGAGAACAAACCATATTAACATTATTATTTTGATCCTCAAAGGAAACAATACAAATGCCTCAGCAAGTGCTTTCTGATTGTGTAAAACTGAAAATAATTAACTGGAAAATGATCAAGGAGTGATTTTCAAAAAAGATGTGATATATATGTTCTGTAATTGGCAAAAGCGAAAATAATCATATTAAGTTGAGAAAAAAAGTCCTTGATTAAAAGACATTCACCACGCCATTTAAAACATTTTGCAAAATTTTAGTTTTATGTATGTTATTTTTAAATCAGGTTCATATAACAAAAAGAAGCAAATGTTTTAATAATATATTTATGTAGTATCAGAAAGGAAGAAGACTCCTCTCCCATTTATTTTTCCTGCTGACTCTTGTTTTAAATTCTAATTTCAACACCCTTTGCCAGTTTGGAGAAATGATTTGTCAGCTGCTCTGTGAAGAACACTAAAATGCGATAGGAATATTTTAAATGCACAAGTACTGAAAGGAAAGTGCAGGCGTTTCCCAAGACTTTGAACTGATGCTATGTTGTTTCTTAACAGTGTTAGATCTACTAAATATTTAAAAGGCTTTTAAAAGATAAATGGCTTTTTTTCATTCCTCATGGTGCTGATGACTTGGTTGTGTCTGATTTTTAACTGATGTCATCAGTATTGACTTGAAACATTTCATGGGTCCTTTTCTCATTATTCCTGACGAGTGTACTGGGCAGCTTTTGTTGCTGAATGATAATTTTTTATCTAAGGAGAATACCAGCAACAAAGGGAAATTCCATGGGCGCTGAAAATGGAACCTGCTGGAGTAGGTTCAGTATGTAATTTAGTAATACCTTTTCTTTTCTTTTTTTTTTTTTTTGAGACGGAGTCTTGCTCTGTCACCCAGGCTGGAGTCCAGTGGCGCAATCTCGGATCATTGCAAGCTCCGCCTCCCGGTTCATGCCATTCTCCTGCCTCAGCCTCCCAAGTAGCTGGGACGACAGGCTCCCGCCACTACGCCCGGCTAATTTTTTTTTTTTTTTTTTTTTTTTTTTTTTTTTGGATTTTTAGTAAAGACGGGGTTTCACCATGTTAGCCAGGATGGTCTCGACCTCTTGACCTCGTGATCCGCCCGCCTCGGCCTCCCAAAGTGCTGGGATTATAGGCGTGAGCCACCGCGCCCAGCCTAGTAATACCTTTTTAAATTTTATCAGTGAGCTCTGCTGTAGTTCCTGGAAATTCTGGTGTCATATTCCTTTGTGCCTGTAGCTGTTCATCTTCCCTTGGGCCACAAGCCTGTATAATAACTCATTTCACTCTGATCTTTGGAAACACTGTGTGAATCTCTATTTTAGCATTTATAATGCATGTCATAATTATTTGTTTACATGAAACTCTCCCTTGCCAGAATGTGAGCTCCTTAAGGATGAGAACTAAGTGCTTTTTTCTTTGCATCTCACCAGCACTCAACACTGGGTAGAAAGAAGGGAGCCTTGGGGAGGCCTCTTGGATGTGTGTTTCGTAGTTGAAATCTCTGTTAATTTGAGTTAGAGTAAGAGTACTTTGTTTTGACTTGAAAGTCCTAGTGAGAGTCATTCCTTAATCAAAATAACTGATACATGTATATATACACACATATATATAACTCATATATACATGCATTTATGTAGACCTTTATTTGAAATATATATGAAACATAACATAAGTGAAATATATAAATGTATATTTGAAATTGTAATCATAAATATATCTGTAATAACATTCAAATTGAAGAAAGATAATTGGCTCAAAAATCAGTTAAAAATTTCTTCCGAGATTTCTACTTTTATAAGTCGTATCTTTTCATGTATATTTTACTTTTTCTGTACAATTAAATGTTGTTATAAATACCTTCCCATCGGTATGCTATTTCACGTATAGATTGATTATCTGTGGTATAAGGAATGTCACAAATTTCAAAACTTACTTTTTTGCCTTTTTGAAGTATTTGACTAGGGAATCCACAGACATGACTGATTAAAAGGGATTATCAGCTTTCACCTAATTCAACTTTAAGCCTTTAGTCTGGCTTTATTTAAACAAGTCAAGATAAATGTGTTCCTGGCTTTTTTAATCTTAAAATAGGAAATTCATTTCCTCTTTAGTAATGCATTTTACTATGTTTTATTAGTTTTTTTTCTGTTGTGGTTAAACTCATTTTAGAAAACTTTTAAAATTCAGGATACCCTTTTCTATGAAAACAAGCAGAATTAATTTCTATTATTAATAATCAGCCTATAAAAGTTATCTATCATTTTGTTATCTTAATATTTAATTATAAATATCAGTTTTTAATTTACAATGGCTACATTAATTAGCTGGGTGCAGTGGCTCATGCCTGTAATCCCAGCACTTTGGGTGGCCAAGCCAGGAGGATAGCTTGAGCCTGGGAATTTGAGACCAGTCTGGGCAGCATGGCAAAATCCTGTGTCTACATAAACTACAAAAATTAGCCAGGCATGGTGGTACATGCTCGTAGTCCCAATTACTTGGGAGGCTGAGGCAGGAGGATTGCTTCAGCCTGGAAAGCTGAGGCTGCAGTGATCTGTGTTCATGCCACTGCACTCCAGCCTGGGCGACAAAGTCTCAAAAAAAATAAAAAATAAAAATAAATCACTATGCCAATGTGGGAGTTATGATCATCTCTGTTTTTAAAAATTATCTATGCAAGCATGGGGCATAACCTTTGTTATAGCTCTTTCACTGCATTTTTTGGCTCTATTTCCCAAATAAAATAGAGAAACAATATTTTAAGGAATGTATTGTCCCCTTAGCTTTCTTATTTTGCCTTTTCAGGAACTATTTGCGTTTGCGGTATTGCTTAACTATGAAATGCTAGAATTCATAACCCACTATCTTCATTTCCTCCAGGCTAGTAGCTTAATAACATGAAGAAAAATTGATTCTTGTAGTACCTAAAATGACATTTTCTGCCTACATAACCTGTTAATCCAGTTTTGAGTTCCCATTACATTTTCATCGTCAGTGGCAAGCCAGATTAATTTATAGTATAATCATTCAAAAAGTTTAGTTTACAGATTTTAAAGTTGCTTTTCATATCAATTTTATTTATGCTGTTTTTATATTTAAATTGCTTTCTATGTGAGTCATCCATGTAATTTTCATCCAAACTGAAATTAACCTTTGCGTAATTTCTGCTTTCTTGAAACTACTTTTTCTTTTGATGATTAAATATTGTATGATTACTGGAGTTGGTGATTGCTAACTACTGAGAGTCAGTGTCTAAAGCACAGTTTCTGACTGGCATAAATGAAACTACTTTGCAATAGTCAATGTAATTTCACTGTAAGGGTCATTGTGAGCAGATGGTTTTCCATCCTGCAGGATTTTAAATCTTGAATTCTACAGAGTTTGATATTTTGCACATTACCAGGAGTTTACCATTAAAGTCATGGATTTCAAGTGATCCAACTCTTCTAGCTTTAAGAGAATATTAATTTATGCTGCTTTATGTTCCAATTCTTGAAAGAAACTGGTATTTAGATGAAATTAGGTGATTGACTTTTAGACTGGGCAAAATTAAACTACAAAGGATGGCTTAAAAAACTGAGAATGGAGCAAGTGAGGCTCCCTATTCATGCTATGAGAGTCTGTTTTTGGACTCCTTAGAGCAAGGTATAGTAGCGCTGAATTCTTTCATGAATGCCACCTCCTTTTTTTCTCTTTCATCCTCTTTTTCAAAATTGATACATAAAATTATACATATTTATGGGGCACATGCAAAATTTCATTACATGCATGAATGTGTAATGATCAAGTCAGGGTGTTTGGGGTATCCATCATCTTGAGTATTTATCATTTGTATATGTTGGGAACCTTTCAAGTCCTCTCTTCTAGTTACATTGAAATATATAACAGATTGTTGCTAACTATAGTCACCCTACTCTACTTTTGAAAATTAGAACTTGTACCCTCTAACTAACTGTATATTTGTACCCATTAACCAACCTCTCTTCATCCCCCCTCCCACCCACACATCCTTCTCATCCTCTGGTATCTTATCACTTTACTCTCTACCTTCATGAGATAAACTTCATGAGTAAAGTTCATGAGATAAATTTTTTAGCTCCCACATATGATTGAGAATATGTGATACTAGTTTATCTGTGCCTGGCTTATTTCACTTAACATAATGACCTCCTCTTCAATCCATGTTGCTGCAAAAGACATAATTTCATTCTTTGTTATAGCCAAATACTATTCCATTGTGTATAGCCACATTTTCTTTATCCATTCATCCATTGATGGACACTTAGGTTGACTCCATATCTTTACTCTTGTGAATAGTGCTGGAATAAACATGAGTGCAGGTATGTCTTCAACATATGGATTTATTTTCCTTTGGATAAATACCCAATAGTGGGATTGCTGGATCATATGATGGTTCTATTTTTTAGATTTTTAACAAAAATCTACTATTTTCCATAGTGGCTAGACCAATTTACCTTCCATCAACAGTGTATAAGAGTTCCTTTTTCTGTGTATCCTTGCTAGCATCTGTTCTTTCTTTGTCTTTTTAGTAATAGCCATTCTAATTGGGGTAAGATGATAGGTATCTCATTGTGGTTTTGATTTACATTTCCCTGATGATTAGTGATGTTGAGCATTTTTTCATATACTTGTTGGTCATTTGTATGTCTTCTTTTGAGAAATGCCTATTCAGATCCTTTATCCACTTTTTAATGGGATTATTTGTGTTTCTCAAACTATTGAGTTGTTTGAGTTCCTTGTGTATTATCTTGCATATTAGTTCCTTGTTGAACGAGTGGTTTGCAAATATTTTCTCCCATTCATCTGCTGTCTTTTTACTCTTGTTTTTCTTGCTGGGTAGAAGCTTTTTAGTTTCATGTAGCTTAATGTCTCTATTTTTTGTTGTTGTTATCTGTGCTTTTGAGGTCTTAGGCATAAAATCCTTGCCTAGACTAATGTCCTGAAGTATTTTCCTTATGTTTTCTTCTAGTAATTTTATAGTTTTGGGTCTTGAGTTGATTTTTGTATATGTATGGTAAGAGATAGGGGTCCAGTTTCATTGTTTTGTGTATGGATATCCAGTTTTCCCAGCACCATTTATTGAAGAGGGTGTCCTTTCCCAAAAGTATGTTCTTGGTGCCTTTGTCAAAAATCAGTTGGCTGTAAATATGTGGATTTATTTTTGGATTATCTATTTTGTTCCATTGATCAATGTGTTAGTTTTTATACCAATACCATGCTGTTTTGGTTTCTATAGCCTTTTAATATATTTCTAAGTCAGGTAGTGTGATACCTCCAGCTTTGTCGTTTTTGCTCAGGATTGCTTTGGCTACTTGGGCTCTTTTTTGGTTCTATACAAATTTTAGGATTGCTTTTTCTATTTCTATGAAAAATAACATTGGCCAGGCATGGTGGCTCACGCCTGTAATCCCAGCACTTTGGGAAGCTGAGGCAGGTGGATTGCCTGAGGTCAGGAGTTTGAGACCAGCCTGACCAACATAGTGAAACTCCATCTCTACTAAAAATACAAAAAACTAGCTGGGTGTGGTGATGGGTGCCTGTAATCCCAGCTACTTGGGAGGTTGAGGCAGGAGAATCACTTGAACTCAGGAGATGGAGGTTGCAATGAGCCTAGATTGCACCATTGCACTCCAGCCTGGGCAACAAGAGTGAAACTCTGTCTCAATAAAAAAGAAAAAGAAAAAAACAGAAAAATAACATTAGTATTTTTGTAGGCATTGCATTGAATTTATAGATTGTTTTGGGCATTATGGTCATTTTAACAATATTAATTCTTCCCATCCAAGAGCATAGGATATCTTTCCATTTGTTTATGTTCTCTTGAATTTCTTTCATAGTTTTATAGTTTTTCTTACAGAGATCTTTCACTTTCTTGGTTAAATTTATTCTTAGGTATTTTTTTGTGGCTATTGTAAATGAGATTGTCTTCTTGATTTCTTTTTCAGCTAGTTTGATATTTATGTATAAAAATGCTACTGATTTTTGCATGTTGATTTTGTATCCTGTAACTTTACTGAAATTATTTATCAGGTCTAAGAGTTTTTTTGGTGGAGTCTTTAAGTTTTTCTAGATATAAGATTATATCATAGGCAGAGAGGGGCAGTTTGACTTCCTTTTTTCCAATTTGGATGTCTTTTCTTTGTTTCTCTTGCCTGATTGCTCTGGCTAGGATTTCCAGTATTGTGTTAAATGGGAGTGGTGAAGTGGACATCCTTGTCTTGTTCTAGTTCTTAGAGAAAAGGCTTTCTGGTTTTCCTCATTGAGTATAATGTTAGCTGTGTGTTTGTCATATATGGGCTTTATCATATTGAGTTGTGTTCTTCTATGCCTAGTTTGCTGAGAATTTTTGTGATGAAGTGGTGCTGATTTTTATCAGATGCGTTTTCTGCATGTGTTGAGATTATCATGTGGTTTTTGTCCTTTATTCTGTTGATGTGATGTGTCATGTTTATTGATTTGTATATGTTGAACTATTCTTGCATCCCTGGGATAAAGCCCACTTGAACATGTATATTGTTTTTTTGATGTGCTATTGGATGTGATTTGCTAGTATTAAGATGAGGACTTTTACCTCTATGTTCATTAAAGATACTGCCTGTGGTTTTCTTTTTTTGTTGAGTCTTTCTCCGGTTTTGGAATCAGGATAATGCTGATCTTATGGAATGAATTAGAGATAATTCCCTCTGCTTCAGTTATTTGGGGTAGTTTGGGGGAAAATTGGTGTTAGTTCTTCTTTGGAAGTTTGGTAGAATTCGGCATTGAAGCCATTTGGTCCCGGACTTTTCTTTGTTGGAAAACTTGTTACTACTGACTCAATCTCATTATCTGTTTTTGTCTGTTCACATTTTCTGTTTCTTCCTCATTCAATCCAGGTAGGTTGTATGTACCAGAAATTTATTAATTTATCTCCTCTAGGTTTTCTGGTTTGTTATTATATAGCTGTTTATAGTAGTCTCTGATGATCTTTTATATTTCTGTGGTATCAGTTGTAATGTCTCCTTTTTCATTTCTGATTTTATTTGGGTCTTTGCTCTTCTTTTCTGTGTTAGTATAGCAAGTAGCTTATCAATTTTGTTTATCTTTCCAAAAACAACTAAATTTCCATTTTGTTGATCTTTTATATGTTTTTTAGTTTCTGTTTAAGTTCTGCTCTGATTTTTATTATTTTTTCTTCTCCTAATTTTGCGTTTGTTTTTTCCTGCTTTTTTAGTTCCTTCAGGTGTATTTTCAGATTATGTATTTGAAATCTTTATACTTTTTAAAAATTTTTATTTTATTTTAAATTCAGAGGGTATGTGTGCAGGTTTCTTATGTGGATATATTGCATAACGTTTGGGTTTGGGCTTCTGGTATTTCCATCACCCACATAGTGAACATTGTACCCAATAGGTAATTTTTAAACCTTCACCCCCTTACACCCTCTCTCCTTTTGGAGTCCCCACTGTCTATTATTTCCATCTTTATGTTCGTGCATACCCATTGTTTAGCTCCCACTTATAAGTGAGGACATGCAATATTTGATTTTCTGTTCCTGAGTTATTTTACTTGGGATAATGGCCTTAAGTTCCATTCATATTACTGCAAAGGACATGATTTCATTCTTTTTTTTCTTTTTCTTTTTTTTTTTTTTTGAGATAGAGTCTTGCTCTGTCACCAGACTGGAGTGCAGTGGCATGATCTCGGCTCACTGCAATCTCCGCCTCTTGGGTTCAAGTGATTCGCCTGCCTCAGCCTCCTAAGTAGCTGGGATTATAGGTGCACGCCACCACACCCAGCTAATTTTTTGTATTTTTAGTACAGATGGGGTTTCACCATGTTGGCTAGGATGGTCTCGATCTCCTGACCTCATGATCCGCCCACCCCGTGTCCCAAAGTGCTGGGATTACAGGCATGAGCCACTGCGCCCGGCCAATTTCATTCTTTTTAATGGATGCACAGTATTACATGATGTGTAGGTACCACATTTTCTTTTTCCAATCAGTTGTTGATAGACCCTTTGGTTTTTTTTTTTTTTTTCTTGAGACGATGTCTCACTCTGTCGCCCAGGCTGAAGTGCAGTGGCGCGATCGCAGCTCACTGCAACTTCCGCCTCCCAGGTTCAAGCGATTCTCCTGCCTCAGCCTTCCATGTAGCTGGGACTACAGGTACGCGCCACCACACCACCACACCCGTTATTTATAGTCTTTGTTTCTTTCTTTTTAGTAGAGACAAGGTTTAACCGTGTTAGCCAGGATAGTCTCGATCTCCTGACCTCGTGATCCACCCACCTCAGCTCCCAAAGTGCTGGGATTACAGGAGTGAGCCACTGTGCCCAGCCTGATAGACACTTAAGTTGATTCAATCACTTTGCTATTGTGGATACTGCTGCAATAAACATGAGTGCAGGTGTCTTTTTTATATGATGATAAACTCTTTCTACCTTTTTGATGTAGGTGTTTATTGCTATAATGAACTTCCCTCTTAGCACTGCTTTTGCTGCATCCCATAGGTTTGATTTGTTGTGTTTTGATTTTTAATTGTTTTAAGAATTTTTTTTATTTCATCCTTGACCGAGTGGTCATTCAGTAGCACGTTGTTTAATTTCTATGTGTTTGTATGGTTTCAAAAGTTCCTCTTGTTATTGATTTATGGTTTTATTTTGATGTGGTCTGAGAAAATACTTGATATGATTTCATTTTTAAATAATTAGTTGAGACTTGTTTTGTGTCCTAATGTATAGTGTATTCTGCTGAGTGTTCCATGTGCTTATGAGAAGAACATTTATTCTGTAACTGTTGGATGAAATGTTTTGAAATATCTGTTAGGTCCATGTGGTCTAATATGCACTTTAAATCCAATGTTTCTTTGCAAATTTTCTATCTAGAGGCTAATTCTGAGAGTGGGATGTTGAAGTTCCTAATTATTATTATACTGAAGTCTTTCTCACTATTTAGGTCTAATAGTATTTTCTTTATATACCTGGGTGCTCCAGTGTTGGGTGGAAATATATTTAGAATTGTTATATTCTCTTGTGGAATTGATCTCTTTATCATTTTATAATGATGACCTTTTTTTTTCTTTTTACTGTTTTGACTTAAAATCTGTTTTATCTAAGTATAGCTACTCCTGCTTTTGCTTCTTATTGGCATGGAATATATTTTTTCCATTCCTTTCCTTTCAGCCTGTATGTGTCTTTACAGGAAAGATGAGTTACTTATAGGCAGCATATAGTTGGGTCATGTTTTATTTATTTATTTATTTTTAATTCTTTGAACCTGTCTATATTTTTTAAGTGGAATATTTAATCCATTTACATTCAAGGTTGCTATTGATATATGAGGCCTTATTCCTGTCATTTTATTAATTGAAGTCATTGTTATTTATATTCTTTGTTTCTTTCATTCTCTCTTATTGTTTATCTTTGTGGTTTGGTGGTTTTCTGTAGAGGTAATATTTGAGTCTTTTTATTTGTGTTTGCTTCACCAGTGGTTTTTATATTTTCATATGTTTTCATGAGGGTAGATTTCATTCTTTTGCTTCTAGATGTAGGACTCCCTTAAGCCTTTATTGGAGGATGGGTCTAGTGATGATGAATTTTCTCAGCATTTACTTATCTGGGAAATACTTTAGTTCTCTTTCATTTATGAAGGATAAATTTTCTGGGTATAGTATACATGGCTGTCAGTTTTTTTTCTTTCAGCTCTTGTGAATATATCATCCTAAACTCTTTTGACCTGTAAGCTTTCTGTGGAGAAATCTGCTGTTAGTCTGATGGGGATTCCTTTATAAATGATTAGATACTTTTTTCTTGCTGTTTTTGGAATTTTCTCTTTGTCTTTGACTTTTGACAGTTTGACTATAATGTGCTGTGGAGAAGTCCCTTTTGAGTTGTATCTGTTTGGGGATCTGTGCACCTCCTGAATCTGGATGTCTAAATCTCTTGCTAGGGTAGAGAACTTTTTATCTATTATTTCACTAAATAGGTTTTCTGACTCTCTCATTTTCTCTTCATCTTCTGGAACACCAAAAATGCAAATATTTGGTCACTTTATGGTATCCTATGTCATCTAGGCTTTGCTCATTCTTTGTTTTTCTTTTTTCTTTATTTTTGTCTGACTAGGTTATTTCATTAGACCTGTCTTCAAGTTCTGAGATTCCGTCTTCTGCTTGATTTAGTTTACTATTGAAGCTTTTGAATATATTTTGTATTTCACTGGTTGAATTCTTCAGCTCCAGAATTTCTGTTTTATTCTTTTTTATGATATGTTTTTGGTAAATTTCTCATTTATATCCCAAATATCTGGCTTATTTGTATTGTTTTTCAGAGTTCTTCTGTATCTCACTGAGTTTCTTTAGTATACATATTTTGAATTATTTTTCTGGGATTTTGTAAATTTCTCTTTGGGGTTGATTGCTAGAGAATTACTACATTCTTTTGGAGGTGGCATATTTCCTTCTTTTTCATGTTTCATGTGTCCTTATGTTGCTCTCTGCACATCTTGTGTAACAGTTGCTTCTTTCAACTTTTTTGAGTTTGCTTTATAGGGGAGAACTTTTTTTTTTTGAAGATGTATCATGGTATTGGTTGGATAGGGCACTTGGCTTTGATTCTGGGTGTGTGCAGTAGTACAGCTTCTATGTAATTTCTTTGGCGCTAAACAGCATCAGTGGTGTCTGTGATTTCTTTGGTGGCTTAGGGTGTGATTGTTAATGGAAGCTGTGGTGAAATTTTGCTGGGGACTGGGATGCCAGGTGGGCCAGTTTTGGGGCCCCAGTGGTGGCAGCAGTGAGCTGAGTGTGCCTGTCCTTGGGCCTTAGGGTGGTGTATGCTGGCACTGGCAGTGGGTCCAGAAAGGCCTATTCTTGAGCCTCCAGGTGACTTGCTTAGGTGCCAGGAATGGCAGTGTGGGTCAGGCAGGTAGGCAGGTTCTCGGTCCCCTGGGCGGCTGGCATGGAGTGAGTGATGGCAGTATCAATGGTGGGACAATTGTCTGGGACAAAAGTAGTCTGTGCTGGTGTTGGCAGTGGCTGTGACAGGCTGGGTGGGCCTGTCTCCAGGGCCTTAGGAGAGTGTGTGGGTGGGTGCCAGCTGTGGTGGTAGCAGCAGGTTGGGTGGGCCTGACCGCAGGCTCTGGGAGGAGTACCCGGGTGCCAGTGATGGTGGACTTAACTGTTTGATCACCAGGTCCTTAGATGGCACGCTTACTTACTGGAGGATGAATCTTCAGGTGGGGTTTGACGCATCTGTACTACAGCCCTGCTACTGAGGAGGGCAAGATGCCTTTCAGTGGGAGCAACTGTAAGCAGGCGGCTGGGACGCATGCACTTTGCTCATGCTTTGGCCTTGCAGTAGCCCATAGTGGCAGTGGCTGTGGGCATTTGAATTTGTCCTTGGGGTGTGTGAAAATGCATGACCCTTCTGCTGCTGGGGTGAGGTTGCTGCCAGTGGCTCCTGCATTGGCCCTGGCAGAGGCTGCTGCAGGCAGCGAATGTAAATGGCACTCCAGGGATGTGGGGATGCAGGGGCTGTTGGGACCCAGGGAATGATGCAGTCTGATGGGGGCTGAGTTCTCAAAATGGTGCTGTGCCATGCCTGTTTAGGACTCAGGGTTTGTAGGACTCAGTATGAGCTCTCTCTGGAGCAATACTATTGCACAGTCTCCAGGCAGCTCTCTATGTTGGTCTCAGGGCCTGCAGGGGTCAAGTCTTTTCCTGTGTTTCTCCTATGACTAGGATTGCAGGAGTTCACAGTGGGAACGTGGACTGCTGGGGGATCTCTTACTTATCATTTCCCCACATTAGGGAGCCTCTCCAGGCTCCCAGCTGATCTCAGTCAAGCAGGCTGACTTGCTTCCCTTTCCTTTCTTGCTTTAGGTGTTTCTGTCACTTCCCTGTTGAATGCCAGTGTTCTTTCTTAGAGGATCTATTTTAAGTGTGATTAACTACTTGCTATTTGGGTTCTTCTTTGTGGAAGAGAAGAGTACCAGATGCATCTAGTCAGCCATCTTGAACTTGCTACCTTCTACTTTCACTGACATTCAAATTATAAATCTTTAGAGAAATAATGGAGATACTTATACTTTTTCTTTCCTAACATTGAAATGTGTTTTGATTAAAGACAACAATGCCTTGTATAGCAGGGATATAGCTTATTTATGTTTGTCTTCTTAGTGCCTGCCACAGAATGGCTACTCAGTAATTTAGTGAATAAAAGAGTAAATGCATTGATGGATGAATGAAAATCCCTCGGTTATCAGTGTGGAAATTTTTAATCATTAGCTATGTTATCCTGCCTGTTTGGCCTTTTCAGGAACCTATCTCTACTAGGTAAGTCCTCACTAGGGCATTAGGCTCTAAATTCTAATCTCTAGTGTTACTGTTACCATGATTTTCAGAAAGGAATTAACTTCCTCCCATTTTAATGAAACATAAAATGCTCTTGCATATGTTTTAATAGAATTAACACAGTATGATTTCTGGTTGAAATAATCTTTTTTCATTTTTGCTTATTAATAAATAATGTATCAATAGTGAATGATTTATCATAAGTAAATGGTAAAATACAATTCACACAGATTGTCCCTTGAGGTCTAATATCTTTTGTATAAAAAAAGTTTTTAAAAATAAATATTTTGTGATGGTCATAGGCTTCTGAAGTTATTAGAAAGGGATATATGGATTATAGGAAATATTTTCCTGATAATATGGTAGAATAAAATTTTTCTAGTTTTTATGGTGATTCTTTACTTTCCTTTTAGACAATTCCGTGTGTGTATGTGTGTGTGTGTGTTGTGTGTGTGTGTTATACTTGCATCTGTTTCTTCATCTGTGCCCAAAAAGTGGGTTCTCAAATTTTCAGTTAGCTTTCTATTCTTATCTCTCTGTAGACAGCTTCTCCTTTGGAAAATAGCATCTATTTTCAGGGATTCAAATATTACTTCTTTCAAGTTAATTCAATAATATTTCTCTTTAGTTTTAATCCACAACTGAGCTCCAATTCTAATATCATCAAATTATGTAATGTACATTTCCACCTGGAGGTCTCCCAGACAGTCCAGGTTCAGCATGTCTGAAATCAATTTTTTTCACTTTTATCATTCTCCCTAGCTTCAGAGACTTGGGCTCACCTTCCATCCCACTCTCTGTATCTCCCTCCCTGCAGTTTTTTCTTTTCTTTTCCTGGGAGGTAGCTTTTGTATCATTTCCCTTCTCATTGTTCCTCTCCCAATTCAGCCATTTATCCTATTGTCCCATAATAGATTTCCTTATAGCTACTTAACTTTTCTTCTAGTCTACTCCCACCTCCCTGAACAAATATAAACTGGATACAACTGTTTACTTCAGCATATTGCTTTCCTCTAAATAACTTCCCATGCCTTATATACTCTGTAGTTAATATCTAAACTCATTAGCCTGGAATTCAAAATCTGAATTTTGCCCCACTCTGCATTTCTGGTTTTGGTTCCAGTCCTTCAGCTTCTGAAATCTACCTCAGCAGGTCAGCACATGTACTCTTTAACATGTCTTGATTTTCTGTTTTTTTTCTCATGTCCCTTTTTTATCTCAGTTTTCTTTTCATGAATCTATCCCATTTCAGGAAGCTAGGTTTTTGTTGTTTTGGACTCTTCTCAGAATTCCTGTAGCACTTATATAAGCCATTTATTTAATAGTTAATTGTTGACAGTGTGACATTTTCTATATTTTTGTCCTATGTTATTTATTTCAAGTTTTCTCATTTTTTTCACATGATTATATGCTTCTTCACAAACTAACTGTGAAGTCCTAAAATAGTCTTTAAGATCAGAGACTATATATAATATCTTTAAATATTTTTTTTGTTTTTTTTGAGACGGAGTTTTGCTTTTGTTGCTCAGGCTGGAGTGCAATGGCAGGGTCTTGGCTCACTGCAACCTCTGCCTCCTGGGTTCAAATGATTCTCCTGCCTCAGCTTTCCAAGTAGCTGGAATTACAGGCGCCCACCACCATGCCCAGCTAATTTTTGTGCTTTTTTTTTTAGTAGAGACAGGGTTTCACTATGTTGGCCAGCCTGGTTGCGAACTCCTGACCTCAGGTGATCCACCCACCTCGGCCTCCAAAGTGCTGGGATTACAGGCGTGAGCCACCGCACACGGCCTAAAATGTTTTTATAATACTGAAGTAAAACCTCAAAAGACCCATAATTTCTTAATTATAATTAAGCTTTTATTGAGTTATATCTTTTGTAATACTTTCTATGTATAAAATATTATTTCAAAAAACATTGAAAACTTTACGAAGACTCTCCTGTGTGCCAAGAACAAGTCTTAGGAGCTGCTAACTCTGTTCATCTCACCCCAGTATAGTACTGTATAAAGCGTAATAATTGGTAACATTAGTTGATAAAGCAAAAAAATTAACTCATCAGTCAAAAGAAATATCCAATTAAAGTTGAGTGGGCCCTATTTGTACATGTTTTAGTGACTGTACTCATAGTAATCTATAAAAATAATTCCAGGAGTCTCCTTCAGAGAGGACATTAATCTATTAAGATATTAAGCTTATACAATAGATGATTCATAATCTCTAAATATGAAAATAATGTAAACATTTTCAAAAAGGAGTAAAATGACATAGAGGAAGTTATACTTGTAAAATTATGAGTGAGTAAGTGACCTACAAACACATAAATATTTTAGCATTAAATGACTGAATTAATGAATGAATTAGAGAATAAATGAACCACCATAGAGATATTATTGTCAATTCAAAGATACCTTCTAAGTTGTTGCAGCATTGGAAGGAGAAATCTAGAAAGAGAAAATAATGGATGTCTTTTAAAAAATCAAGACTTTTTTTTAGAGCAGTTTTAAGTTTGCTTAAACACTTCTGCTTAATTTTTAAAGAAAAATGGAGCAGAAAACCCAGTTTTCATATTTCCCCTTACATACCCCTACACAGAGGTTTCCATGTTATTAGCACCTTGCATTATTGTAGTACATTTGTTACAATATTGAACCAATATTGATGCATTATTATTATTAACTAAAGTCCACAGTTTACATTAGGGCTCCTTCCTTGTGTTGTACAGTTCTATGGGCTTTGCCAAATACATAATGTTATGTATCCACTACAGTATTATACAGGATAGTTTCACTGCCCTAAAAAACTCCTTTGCTTCACCTACTTATCTTTCCCCCTTGCCTTTTACCAGGTGGATTCACAGCTGAATTCTATCAAACATTCAAAGAAGAATTGATACCAATCCTATTGACACTATTCCACAAGATAGAGAAAGAGGGAATCCTCCCTAAATCATTCTGTAAAGCCAGTGTCTCCCTAATACAAAACCAGGAAAGGACATAACAAAAAAAGGAAAACTATGGCCCAATGTCCCTGATGAACATAGATGGAAAAATCCTCAATGAAATACTAGCTAACCAACTTCAACAGCATATCAGAAAGATAATCCACCATGATTAAGTGGGTTTCATACCAGGGATGCAGGGATGGTTTAACATACACAAGTCAATAAATGTGATACACCGCATAAACAGGATTAAGAACAAAAATCCCTTGATCATCTCAATAGAAGCAGAAAAAGCACTTGACAAAATCCAGTATCCCTTTATGACAAAAACCTCAGCAAAATTGGCATAGAAGAGACATACATACCTTAACTGGAACATGACAGGGGAAACAAAAGCTCTGGTTTTCATTGAGTATTTAAATAATTAAACTTTTTCTCCAATAAAAACTTATCAATTATACTTTTTTTTGGGGGGGGGCGGTGGACAGAGTTTCACTCTTGTTGCCCAGGGTGGAGTGCAATGGTGCGATCTTGGCTCACTGCAACCTCCGCCTACTGTGTTCAAGCGATTCTTCTGCCTCAGCCTCCTGAGTAGCTGGGATTACAGGCATGTGCCACCACGCCAAGCTAATTTTGTATTTTTAGTAGAGATGGGGTTTCTCCATGTTGGTCAGGCTGGTCTTGAACTCCCAACCTCAGGTGATCCGCCTGCCTCAGCCTCCCAAAGTGCTGGGATTACAGGTGTGAGCCACTGCACCTGGCCAATTATACTTCTTTTAAAAAATTTTCTGATGCCCAGCGTTGGCCATATACATAAATAACACTATATTGCTTTATAAGTAGTGCAGGTATTCCCAATTCCTGCCTCCCATCCTTTATAATATTTTTGTTATTCATTTTACTTATCCATAAGCTATAGTCATTGAATACATTGTTCCTATTATTATTTTGAATACATTGTTGTCTGTAACATTCATCTTTTCTTTATATAATCCAAGTTTCTAACCTAAGCCATTATCCTCTCTTCTTAAGAGGTTCTTAAGAACCTCTGTTAACTTTTTTTATCCCCCCAAGACAGAGTCTCGCTCTGTCGCCCAGGCTGGAGTGCTGTGGTGCAATCACGGCTCACTGCAATCTCCACTTCCCAAGTTCAAGCAATTCTCCTGCCTCAGCCTCCTGAATAGCTGGGATTACAGGCGCATGCCACCATGCCCAGCTAATTTTTGTATTTTTAGTAGAGATGGGGTTTCACCATTTTGGCCAGACTGGTCTCGAACTCCTGATCTCATGATCCACCTACCTTGGCCTCCCAAAGTGCCGGGATTGCAGGTGTGAGCCACCACACCCGGCCAACACTTCTTTCAAGATAAATTTCCTCATTTATCAGTTCTAGGAGCTTTTTGGAGGAGTCTTTAGGGTTTTCTTGGTATACAATCATATCATCAGCAAACAGCGACAGTTTGACTAACTCTTTAATGATTTAGATCCCCTTTATTTCTTTCTGTTGTCTGATAGCTCTGGCTAGGACTTCCAGTACTATGTTGAATATAGGTGATGAGAGTGGGCATCCTTGTCTTGTTCCAGTTCTCAGGGGAAATGCTTTCAAGTTTTCCCCATTCAGTATAATGTTGGCTGTGGGTTTGTCATAGGTAGCTTTTATTATGTTAAGGTATGTTTCTTCTATGTCGATTTTGTTGAGGGTTTTCATCATAAAGGGATGCTGGATTTTGTCAGGTGCTTTTTCTGCTTCTATTGAGATGATCATGGGATTTTTGTTTTTAATTCTTTTTACATGGTGTATCACATTTATTGAGTTGCATATGTTAAACCATCCCTGCATCCCTGGTATGAAACCCACTTAATCATGGTGGATTATCTTTCTGATATGCTGTTGAAGTTGGTTAGCTAGTATTTCGTTGAGGATTTTTGCATCTATGTTCATTAGGGATATTGGGCCTTAGTTTTCCTTTTTTTATTATGTGCTTTTCTGGTTTTGGTATTAGGGAGATACTGGCTTCATAGAATGATTTAGGGAGGATTCCCTCTTTATCTTGTGAAGTAGTGTCAATAGGATTGGTATCAATTCTTCTTTGAATGTTTGATAGAATTCAGCTGTGAATCCATCTTGTCTTGGGCTTTTTTTGTTGGCAATTTTTTAAAATTACCATTTCAGTCTCGCTGCTTATTATTGGTCTGTTCAGAGTTTCTATTTCTTCCTGGTTTAATCCAGGAGTGTTGTATATGGCCAGGAATTTGTCCATCTTTTCTAGGTTTTCTAGTTTATGCACATAAAGGTGTTCATAGTAGCCTTGAATGACTTTTTTTGTATTTCTGTGGTATCAGTTGTAATATCTCCCATTTCATCTCTAATTGAGCTTATTTGGATCTTCTCTCTTCTTGGTTAGTCTCACTAACGTTATTAAGTTTGTTAATTAATTTTCGAATAACCAGCTTTTTGTTTTATTTATCTTTTGTATTACTATTTTTGTTTCAATTTCATTTACTTCTGCTCTGATATTTGTTATTTCTTTTCTTCTTCTGGATTTGGATTTGGTTTGTTCTTGTTTCTCTAGTTCCTTGAGGTATGACCTTAGATTGACTATTTGTGCTTTCTCAGACTTTTAGATGTGGGCTTTAGATGGACTTTCCTCCTAGTGCCATTTTTGCTGTATCCCAGAATGTGATAGGCTGTGTCACTATTGTTGTTCAGTTCAAAGAATTTTAAAAGTTTCATCTGAATTTTATTGATTGTTGACTCAACAATCATTCAGGAGCAGGTTATTTAACTTCCATGCATTTACATGGTTTTGAGTGTTCTTTTTGGAGTTGATTTCCAACTTTATTCCACTGTGGTCTGAGAGAGTTCTTGATATAATTTCAATTTTCTTTATTGAGACTCGTTTTGTGGGCTATCATGTTGTCTATCTTGGAGAATGTTCCATGTGCTGATGAATAGAATGTATATTCTGCAGTTGTTGGGTAGAATGTTCAGTAAATATCTGTTAAGTCCATTTGTTCTAAGGTATAGATTAAATCCATTGTTTCTTTGTTGACTTTCTGTCTTGATGACCTGTCTAGTGCTGTCAGTAGAGTATTAAAGTCCCACAGTATTATTGTGTTGCTGTCTATCTCATTTCTTAGGTCTAATAGTAATTGTTTTATAAATTCGGGAGCTGCCGTGTTAGGTGTATATATATTTAGGATTGTGATATTTTCCTATTGGACAAGTTCTTTTATCATTATATAATTTTCCTCTTTGTCTTTTTAAACTGCTGTTGCTTTGAAGTATGCTTTGCCTGATATAGGAATAGGTACTCCTGCTTGCTTTTGGTGTCCATTTGCATGGAATATCTTTTTCCACCCTTTTACCTTAAGTTTATGTGAGTCCTTTTTGTTAGGTGAGCCTCTGAAAGACAGCAGATAGTTAGTTGGTGAGTTCTTATCCATTCTGCCATTCCGTACCTTTTTTTTTTTTTTTTTTTGAGATGGAGTCTTGCTCTGTTGCCCAGGCTGGAATGCAGTGGCATGATCTCGGCTCACTGCAACTTCCACCTCCTGGGTTTAAGCAATTCTCCTGCCTCAGCCTCCTGAGTAGGTTGGATAACAGGTGCCTGCCACCACACCCTGCTAATTTTTGTATTTTTAGTAGAGACGGGGTTTTGCCATGTTGGCCAGGCAGGTCTTAAACTCCTGACCTCAAGTGATCCACCTGCCTCGGCCTCCCAAAATGCTGGGATTATAGGCATGAGCCACTGCACCCAGCCAGCATTCTGTATCTTTTATGTGGATTATTTTAGGACATTTTCATTCAACATTAGTATTGAGATGTGAGGTACTATTCTATATATTATGCGATTTTTTGCCTGAATACCTTGGTTTTTTTCATTGTGTTTTCGTCTTATAGGTCCTTTGAGATTTATGCTTTAAGGAGGTTCTATTTTGGTGTATTTTGAGGATTTGTTTCAAGATTTGGAGCTCCTTTTAGCAGTGCTGGTTTGGTAGTGGTGAATTCTTTCAGCATTTGTTTGTGTGAAAAAGACTATCTTTCCTTCATTTATGAAGCTTAGTTTCACTGGATAGAAAATTCTTTGCTGATACTGATTTAGTTTAAGGAGACTAAAGATAGGACCCCAATCACTTCTAGCTTGTAGGGTTTCTGGTGGGAAATCTGCTGTTAATCTGGTAGGTTTTCTTTTATAGTTACCTGATGCTTTTGCCTTACAGCTCTTAAGATTCTTTCCTTCATCTTTAGATAACCTGATGACTGTGTTTCTAGGTGATGATCTTTTTGCGATAAATTTTCCAGATTTTCTTTGAGCTTCTTGTATTTGGATGTCCAGATCTCTAGCAAGGCCAGGGAAATTTTCCTCGATTATCCCCTCAAATATGTTTTCCAAACTTTTAGATTTCTTTTCTTCCTTGGGACCACCAATTATTCTTAGGTTTGGTCATTCAACTTCTTAAAGTCTTTGTTCATTTTTCTTTTCGTCTTTGTTAGATTGAATTAATTCGAAAGCCCTCTCTTTGATCTCTGAAGTTCTTTCTTCTACTTTTTTGATGTTATTGATGAGACTTTCTGGTGTGTTTTGCATTTCTCTAAGTGTGTCCTTCATTTCGAGAAGTTGTGATTATTTTTTATTTATGCTATCTATTGCAGTGAAGATTTTTCACTTCAGATCTTGTATTATTTTTAAAATTAAATTTATTTGGACTTCACCTTTCTCTGGTTTCCCTGATTCACTTAGTATAATCGACCTTCTGAATTCTTTTTCTGGCAATTCAGAGATTTTTATCTTGGTTTGGATCTATTGCTGGTGAGCTAGTGTGGTCTTTTGGGAGTGTTAAAGAACCTTGTTTTGTCATATTACCAGAATTGTTTTTCTAGTTCCTTCTCATTTGGGTAGACTATGCTAGAGGGAAGATCTAGGGCTCAAGGGCTGCTGTTCAGATTCTGCTGTCCCACAGGGTGCTCCCTTGATGTGGTGCTTTCCCTCTTCCCCTAAGGATGTGGCTTCCTGAGAGCCAAACTGCAGTGATTGTTATTTCTCTTCTGGATCTAGCCACCCAAGAGAGCTACGAGGCTCTGGGCTGGTACTGGGGAGTGTCTGCACAGTGTCCTGTGATATGTGAACCATTTTCAGGTTTCTCAACCATGGATACCAGCACCTGCTATGATTGAGGTTCCAAGGGATTGAAGTGGACTCTGTGAGGGTCCTTGGTTGTGTTTTTGTGAAGTGTACTGGTTTTGTGTTGGTTTGCCTCCAGTCAGGAGGTGGTGCTCTCAAGAGTGTATCAGCTAGGGTTGTATAGGGAGGATACAAGCTTGCCCTAGGGTTGCCGTTGGATAAGTATTCAGGTTTCTCAGGTGGTGGGCAGAGCCCTAGAGTTCCCAAGGGATTATGTCCTTTGTCTTTGGCTACCAGGGCTGGTAGACAAAGATCATCAGGTTGGGGGAGGATTAGACATGTCTGATCTCAGACTCTTCTTGGGCGGGTCTTGCTGTGGCTGCTGTGGGGGATGAGGATTTGGTTCTCAGGCTAATGGAGTTATGTTCCTAGGGGGATTATGGCTTCCTCTGCTGTAACATGCATGTTTCCAGGGAAGTCAGGGAAAGCTAGCAGTTATAGGCCTCACCCAGCTCCCATACAGCCCAAAAGGCTGGTCTCACTCCCACCATGCCCCTCCAACAGCACTGAGTTTATTTCCAGGTAGCAGGTGAACAGGGCTAAGAACTTGCCCCAGGCCTCCCGGCTGAGAAAGCAAGTGGGGCTTTCAAGTTTCATGCCTCCCCACCTGCCATGGCTTCTGTGCTGTGTCTATACACGTGATTTGCCCCCTTCCCAAGGTTTTGTCCAGGAAGCTTTGTGTGCAGTTGAAATTGTTACAAAGTTTAGCTGGAAGTTTCCTTCTTCCTATGGTCTTTTCCCAGTTCCTTTGGCAGCCCTTCCCATGGACCCCTGTGAGACAAAGTCAGAAATGGCTTCCCTGGGGACCAAGAGTGCCCACAGGACTCTTTCTGCTGCTTCTTCTACCGTTGTATTTCACTCAGTTCTCTAAATTTGTCTCAGCTCCAGGTAAGGTCAAATCCTTTTCCTGTGATCTGGAACTTCAAGTTCCTCAGTGAGAGTGTGTGTTCCAGGGCAGATGATTCCCCTTTCACACTTTCACACTCTGGGCACTAGCAGTTTTTCAGCTGTCTCTTGGGGCCTGCAACAGCAATCTTCCTTCTTCAAAGGGTCTCTGGATTCTCTTGGTTTTCCTGGTATGTTCCTGCCATAGTTCTTGGAGGAAAAGTTCATAATGTGAATCTCCACATGCTGCTCTGTCCATCTGAGTGGGAGCTGCAAGGTAGTCCTGCCTCCTATCTGTCATTTTTTCCCACATCTTAGCCTACATTTTCTTCTACTGCTCTTGTTTATGTTTCCCCTCTTGTCTTTGGGTTTCCCTAAAGACTCCTTCTTAAATAGGACCTATGACTTGCAGTTCTTTCAGCTGTAATCCACTGTTATTATTCAGGAACCTAATTGCTGTGCTAATGAAGTGTGGAGGGAGGGAAAGTGTTCTGTGTTCCTATGATTAGGTTTTATTTTGTGCTAATGAAGTGTGGAGGGAGGGAAAGTGTTCTGTGATCCTATGATTAGGTTTTATTTTGTATATGAGTCGGTTTCCCCAGTCTGTAACCTTCACAAGTGCTTCTACTCCATTGCCCCTCATGTGAGACAGGAAGTCTAGAGGTGTTTGAAGTTAGGCATTCCTCTTCACCAGTGTCAAAGACACAGGGTGCTAGAGTTGGATATTTTCCTGCCCCCAAGTGAGTTAGGCTCTCATAAATCACAGATGAGATAATCTCTGGCAAAGTAGTTTCTTTTTAATTTGATTTTTATTATTAATATCTGCTGGGAAACCGATCACAACTTGTTCAAATTGTTCCTAAAATCAGAGCAAGCAGATATTGGGTGACAGCTTCAAAAACTGTCTTCTGAATTATGAATGTAAACTTAATAACATAAACTTTGAGACATTTATTAATTATCTTTCAGGGTTTTGGCATTTGGTGGATGAGATTGCCAACCTAATGTCTTATAGGCAAATGAGGTTTAATCTTGTTGTCCTAATTTTTCATGCATTACTTATTAAAATTAAGCTCCAAACAAATATAAATATAGTTCAGCATTAGTAGGGAATCCAGCGATATGTCTCCTGTAAATGTTACTAACGGTTGTTAGCTGTATTTGTAAGTTTACATTGATCTTGGACTTCCCAATGCCATTACCTAAAATGTAGAATCCAGAATGAATCTAACTTGAACCTATTTTTCTTCCTGGTTTATTAGAGATGTTTATCTGAGAGATTACTATGAATCATAGGATTGTGAGATTGCCTGTGGTGACAGAAGGCATTTTTCCAAATGTAGAGCTTCTGCAAGTCTTCAAAATAATTAAAATTCATAAAACACATGTAACAGATGGCATAAGTGTTTGAACTAAATGTGTGTGACTTTTTACTACTTAGTTTTACATAATAATGTGTTTGTGCAGTTAAGGTGGTGACCTCTCATGATAACTTCTACAGATACATAAAGTGAAATGTGCTCTCTGGAGTTGCTAAAATGTGACAATTTTAGAATAGATATGAAAGTACTTTTCTAATGATTTTTCTATAAGTTCACCATTGTAATATCAAATTACAAACTCCTGTCATTTGGAGTTTCTTTTCTTTGATATTTAGTCCTTTCCTTCACCAAAATGGCTTGAGAGAATTAACTGGCAGTTAGTGCTGTGTTCTATAGCATTCAGTTTTTCCTGTTAAACCTTAAAAGCCATGTGTATTTGAAACTTTTAATTATGTTTTAAATATCTCTTTGAATATAAGAAGAAATGTTATGCTCTTCATTTTTATCTTGGTTTTGAGGAGCTAAAATCAGTTCTTATCCATCAACTATCCCCTTTACCTCAAAATAATACAACCATAATTCTGACTTGATTATCTGTGGGTAATGGTAGATTTGTGTTAACTCATCTGTTTCGATTATATATTGCTGTGTGAGAAACCATTCCCAAATTTAGGAGCTTAAATCAATAACCATTCCTGTTGAAACAAAGATCAAATCCTTAAGAATTAGTTTAGTGAGAAATATGCAAAACCTGTACTAGGAAAAAGTTTAAATACTCCAGAAACACATAAGTAGAGTTGAAAAATAGAGACTTCCCCTCTTTGTATACAAACACTCAACATTATTAAGATGTTAGTTCTCCTTACTACATTAGTGTACAAACTTAATGCAATACCAACAAATGTCCCAAGAAACTATTTTATGGAATTAGATCCTATATTTGTTGATCATGTATTTGTATTGTTACAAACATGTAACAAAAGTTAGGAAAAGGCCAAAAAAGAGAAAACTACAAGTGATGGCTAGCCCTATCAGACATTAAAACCTAGTAAAATAGGAGATATCTTCTTTTTTTTTTTTTTTTTGAGAAGGAGTTTTGCTTTTGTTGCCCAGGCTTTTGTTGCCCAGGCTGGAGTGCAATGGCACTATCTCGGCTCACTGCTACCTCCACCTCCTGGGTTCAAGCAATTCTCCTGCCTCAGCCTCCCAAGTAGCTGGGATTACAGGTATGCACCACCACGCCTGGCTAATTTTGTATTTTTAGTAGAGACGGGGTTTCTTCTTATTGGTCAGGCTGGTCTCGAACCTCCAACCTCAGGTGATCTGCCCGCCTCGGCCTCCCAAAGTGCTGGGATTGCAGGTGTGAGCCACCACGTCAAGCCGAGATTTCTTCTATAACTAAAACACCGTTATACTCATGCTTGTATCGACCAATGACCAGTGAAATAGGATAGAATGTCCAGAAATAAATTCAACTACATCTGGAAATTTAGCATGTGATAAATATAGCATCTCAAATGACTGGGCTAAAGACAGACATTTTAGTAAATGGTTCTGGAAGAACTAGATCACCATTTGGAAAAAGATATTTTATACCATGTCTTATATTACACCCAAAAATAATGCACTAGGGATCTAAATGTAAAAAATAAAACCATACAAGCACTAGAAGAAAATAAAAGTGCATTTTTCTTTAAATTTTGTATAGGGAAAGGCTTTTTAACTCTGACTTAAAATCAGAGGCAATAAAAGAGAAGATTGATAAATTTAACACATAAAACATTAAAAAAATTTTATGCTCAAACTACTATAAATGAAGTCAAAAGACAACTGACAAAGTGCAAGGAAATATTCACAACATCTAGGGAAAAGGCTGATATCTCTAATACATAAAGGAAAAAGGCTGATATCCCTAATACATAAAAAACTCTTAAAAATGAAGAGGCAAAAGATCAAAAAGTCTAAAGAAATCTTCTCACCACAAAGAAATGATAAATGCATGAGGTGATGGATAAAGTAGCTACTCTGATTGGATCATTATACTACATAGATATGTATTGAAATATCAAATTTTAACCCATAATCATGTACAATCATAATGTACCAATTAAAAAATAATAATTTTTAAAAATGAGGAACATATCTATGAATTTATTTGGAGTAATTTCTAGAATATTCTGTTATGAAAAAATAGCAAAGTGCAAAAGAATGTCTCCAGGGCACTTCTTTCATATGAGAAAGAAGGAGATATTAGAAAGTACTTTTGTGTTCTGCTCATTTGTGAGAAAAACATATACAGGAGTTAATAGGTAAGACTCTGAAGAAATTAGTTATGTACATGGATTGAGTAGAAATGGGTTGGAATAAAGGAGAATAACAGCAGAGTAGTATGGATGAGGAAGGCATACCTTTTTTGTACGGCTTTGACTCTTAGAATCATAGTAATATTTTACACAGAAAACAAAGTAAATAATTGAAATCAGCCAAGTCAGCTTTTTTTTTTTTTTTTTTTTTTTGACCGTAGTGAGGAGTCATCTAGAGGTTTGACTTGGATGTAGAGAAAGTTTGGTCTCTCTTCCTTGTCATGTAGTCTCACGGCCTTTTCAGTAACTTCCCCCTTTATCTCTGCAGCAAGATATCCTGTACTTCTTACACGATGGTTCCAAACTCCAAGAGTATAAGAGCAAAAGCTACCAAGCATTCCTAATGTCTAGGCTCAGAAATCCCAGAACATCATTTCCTCCATATTCTATTGTCAAAGCAGTCATAGGCTAGCAAAAAACCAAAGGTGTGGAGGATGACTTTTACCTCTGGGTGAGAGAATGGTTTGTGCATACAGGAGGGAAGGAATTGATAGTGACTATCTTTGGAGTTTAGAGATCATTGACTGATATCAGACTATGTCTCATGATGTAGCCTGACTGTAGAAGAGGGAAGAGCCAAATGACTCACAAAGGAGCATAGTCTCTTGTGGGATGTCATATTTACTTTTTTGAAAATAACTGAGCAGTCATTAGATTATCAACTGAAATCTTTCTGATTGTAAGAAGATATGTTACTATTTCTGAGATTTTCTTTGTAACTGAAAGTAGATAGCTAGTATTGCAACTACATAGTGTAACATAATAAATCTTTTTACATGGTAGGTCATCATAATGTTGATTATTCTTGTGCCCTTGCTAAGTTTTCTATTTTTAATCTTCATACTTTTCAACTATTCTTCATTTTCATTGTTAGCAGATAAATGTACTATTCTGTCTATCTACTGTGGCCATTCTCCAATTTGCCATTGATTGATTCACTCATTTATTTACTTAACAAACAAATATTTGTTTGATTACATTAGAAACACAAAGATGAGTAAGAAATCATTTTTGCATCAAGATTAGTCTAACAAAGGGGAAAGACTAATTAAAACACAATAGACATATGACACAAATATGTTGGAAATAGGCTTGTTTGGGGACGTTTTACCAAAGATATGATATTTGTGCCAGAATTTGAAGGATTTATTGTTCTTCAAGTGGTGGAAGTACAGTAGAGCATTTTAAAAAGACTCAGTAGCCCAGGCCTTGGCTCAAAGGTCTGAGAGTATGTCTGACAAGATGGGATGCTCAGACTAGATAGTGTGTCTAGAATATTAGTGTAAAATTAGAAATTGTTTTACATTTTAAAAAATTGTAGTAAATATAAATAAGATATAATTTTCCATTTTAGCCATTTTAAAGTGTATAATTCAGTGAAATTAACTCCATTTACATTGTTGCATAACCATCACCACTTTCCATCTCCAGAACTTACCATCCCAAACCAAAACGCTGTACCCATTAAACAATAACTTTCTATTACCCCTTCCTCAACCTCTGGCAACCACCATTCTGCTTTCTATCTCTATGGATCAAATTAGAAATTGAAAATTTCTGTTCTCTAGACTGTTATTGGGTATTACACAGTAGGTAAGTAGCAGTCCTAGCGAGGGAGAAAAAAAAAAGGATGGAGAGTTTGTTGCTTATTATAGCTGAATTTCTACTGCTTGGATGGAAACATATGACCCCCACAGGTTTAATGCAGAGAGTGTGTTTTAGAAGATAAACTTCTAGTTCATTATGTAAATATTTTTTGATACATTCCAGGTTAATTCTTGCTTGATATTCTATGGTGAGTGCATTGAGATATTACTCCCAAACTGGCCACTTGGTTAAACTAGAATAGTATATTATTTAGTGGTATAATAAAGAGTATAATTGCTGAGATTTTCATCTGTTTTTATTCTTTTGTTGCAGTTTTCTTTTTTAAAAACTTATACGAATTTTTTAAATTGCCTGAGGTGTTGTTCAGGCATTTAGATTATCTTTCTTTTCAGTCTAAGAGTAATTATGAAGCAATAAAACTGCCAGAGAAAAGTAAAAGTTGAAGTAATTAATATTTTATTATTTTCTTTTATCTTATTTTTCTGTTTATGTTAGTTTGAAATCATTGATTTATATATGAGTGTAGTGATCAGTAGTAGAATAAAAGTGCCACTTTGTTTAATTCTTACAATATCTTAAAAGAATGTTAATAGTAAATTGCTCAAATATTAGACATTGTGCAAAGAAATTACAATACAAATCAAGTGTCTTGTGTTTCATATTTTAAAGTTATTTTTTATAAATATGTATTATAAAGTAGACTAGTAATTTAGTAAGGATATATGTGTTAATCATACTTTGACTTGGAAGAAACATGTATTCACTATCTGAAAATTTATACAGAAAGATTGCTTATCTTTCTATTTCTTTTCTGTAGTTTCAGTTAATTAATTTTGTTAGTAAGGTTGTTATTCTGTCATTACATTTTTTTTTTTTTTTTAGACAGGGTCTCTCTCTCTGTTGCCCAGGCTGGAGTGCAGTGGTGGTGATCTTGGCTCAGTGCAGCCCTGACTTCCTGGGCTCAAGTGATCCATCCACCTCAGCCTCCCAAATAGATGAGACTACAGGTGCACGCCACCACACCTGGCTAATTTTTTATTTTTTGTTGAAATGGGATCTCATTATGTTGCCCAGGCTGGTCTCAAACTCCTGGGCTCAAGCATTCCTTCCGCCTTGGCCTCCCAAAGCACTGTAATTATAGGTGTGAGCCACTGTGCCTGGCCCTCTGTCATTTCTTGACTATATTATCCTCACAATAGAGTGACGAAAATGATGGGGAACCATCATTTTGCTAAGCACTGATTATTTTTTTTGCTTCAGATTTAAAAAAATCAAGATACAGTTCACGTACCATAAAACTTACCTCTTTAAAGTATATATTTTGCTGGCTTTTAGTGTATTTATAAATTTGTGAAGCCATCACCACTATCTAATTCCGGATCTTTTTTTTTTTCCCCAGAAGGAAATCCTCCACCCCTCAACTTTGTCACATCCCATTTCCCCTCCTCCAGCTCGTAGCAGTCACTAATTTACTTTTCATCTCTATAAATTGGCCTCTTCTGGACATTTCAGATAAATATAATGGAAATATATAATCTGTGACCTTTCGTGTCTGGCTTCTTTTACCTAGCATAATGCTTTGAAGAGTCATCAACATTGTAGCATGCATCAGTACTTCATTCTTTTTGATGGCCAAATACTATTCTATTATATGGCTATACCAAAATTTGTTTATACATTCATCAGTTGATAGAAATTTGAGTTGTTTCTATTTTCTGGCTATTGTGAATAATTCTTCTGTGAATATTTGTTTGCAAGATTTTGTGTGGATATCTTTTCAGTTCTCTTGGTTAGATACCCAGGAGTGGAATTGCTGTCATGTGCTAACTCTATGTTTAACCTTTTGAAGAACTACCAAACTTTTTCCCACAGAGGCTACACCATTTTACATTCCTACCAGCCATGTATGAGGGTTCCAATTTCTTTTCATTCCTGCTAACACTTATAATTTTCCATTAAAGGAAAAACCTATAGCCATCCTAGTGAAGTAGTATTACACTGTGTATTTTATTTTTATTTTCCAAATGACTAAGGATGAAGAGCATCTTTTCATGTGCTTACTGATCAGTTGTCTTTGGAGAAATGTCTATTCAAATTCTTTACCCATTTTTTGTTGATTTATTTAGTCTTTTTTATTATTGAGTTGTTAGGTTTTTTCATATTATAATACTAGACCTTTATCAGGTATATGATTTGTAAATATTTTTTTCCATCCTTTGGGTTGTCTTTTCACTTTCTTGATAGTGTCCTTTGAAGCACAGAACTTATTAGTTTTGATGAAGTCCAATTTATCTATTTTTAAGTGTGGTTGCCTGTACCTTTGTTGTATATAAGAAACTATTGCCTAATTCAGGGTTATGAATATTTACCCTTATGTTTTCTTCTTAGAGTTATATAGCATATAAATGTAGTGTTTTAGCTCTTATATTTAGGTCTTTGGTCTGTCTTGAGTTAAATTTTATATGTGATGAAGGTCCACAAATGTTAGTTTTTAAAAATACTCTTAAGTGTGAGATGAAAAAGCACTTACAGTTTGGGAGCTTTTTTTCTCCCGGGTCACTTTCTCCTGTTTCTTTAGCTTCAATAGAAAGACTCTGGACTCAGTGCTTGCACTGCCTTTTGCCTGGACTGCTCTTTTCCAGGCCTTTTGCTTGACTGGCTCCTTCTCATCATTCACACTGCAGAGTGTTCTTCTCTAACTTTTCTAGCTAGATCAGCTAACCCTTTCATACCCCACCGAGTTTAATTCTTCACAACTAAATATATCTAGTTAATTTTAACTTTAAGTTCAGTGGTGTGAGTGCAGTTTGTTGTCTGTATGACAAACCCCCATGACACAAGTTTACCTATGTAACCTATTTGTTACATAGGTAAACTTGTGTCATGGGGGTTTGTCATACAGATTATTTCATCACCCGGGTATTAAGCCTAGGCTTAATAAAATTGGTTATTTTTCCTGATCCTCTCCCTCCTTCCACTCTCCTCCTTCTGATAGGCCCCAGTGTGTGTTGTTCCCCTCTATGGGTCCATATGTTCTCATCATTTAGCTCTCACTTATAAGTGAGAACATGCTGTATTTGGTTTTCTGTTCCTGTGTTAGTTTGCTAAGGATAATGGCCTTTAGCTCCATCTATGTCCTTGTAAAGCATGTGATCATGTTGTTTATTGTAGCTGCATAGTATTCCATGGCATATATATACTACATTTTCTTTATCTAGTCTATCACTGATGGCATTTAGGTTGATTCCATGTCTTTGCTATTATGAATAGTGTTGCAATAAACAGACACGTGCATGTGTCTTTATAATAGAAAGATTTATATATTTTTGGGGTATATACCCAGTACTGGGATTGCTGGGTTGAATGGTAGTTCTGTCTTTAGGTCTTGGAGCAATCACAACCACAGTGGTTGAAGTAATTAATACTCCCATCCTGGACGTATAAATTATACAGTGTATAAGCATTCCTTTTTCTCTACAACCACACTAGCATCTGTTATTTTGTGACTTTTTAATAATAGTCATTCTGACTGGTGTGGTATAGTATCTCATTGTGGTTTTGATTTGCATTTCTCTAGTGATCAGTGATGTGGAGCTTTTTTCATATGATTGTTGGCTGCATATATGTCTTCTTCTGAAAAGTCCTGTTCATTTCCTTTGCCCTCTTTGTAATGGGGTTGTTTACTTTTTCCTTGTAAATTTGTTTAAGTTCCTTAGAGATGCTGGATATTAGACCTTTGTCAGATGCATAGTTTGCAAAAATTTTCTTTCATTCTCTAGGTTGTCTGTTTACTTTTTTGATAGTTTCCTTTGCTGTGCAGGAGTTCTTTAGTTTAATTAGATCTCATTTGTCAATTTTTACTTTTGTTACAATTTGGCATCTTCGTCATGAAATCTTTGCTTGTGCCTGTGTCCTGAATTGTATTGCATATGTTTTCTTCCAGGGTTTTGTAGTTTTGGGCTTTGCATTTAAGTCTTTAATCCATCTTGAGTTGAATTTGTATGTGGTGTAAGTAAGGGGTCTAGTTTCAATCTTCTGCATATGGCTAGCCAGTTATCCCAGCACCATTTATTGAATAGGGAATTCTTTCCCCATTGCTTGTTTTTGTCAGGGTTGAAGATCAGGTAACTGTAGGTGTGTGGTCTTATTTCTGGTTTCTCTATTCTGTTGCATTGGTCAATGTGTCTGTTTTTGTGCCAGTACCATGCTGTTTTGGTTATTGTAGCCCTGTAGTATAGTTTGAAGTCAGGTAGTGTCATGCCCTCGGCTTTGTTCTTTTTGCTTAGGATTGCGTAGGCTATTTGGTTTTTTTTTTTGGTTCCATATGAATTTTAAAATAGTTTTTTTTCTAGTTCTGTGAAGAATGTCCATGGTAGTTTAATAGGAATAGCATTGAATCTACAAATTGCTTTGGGCAGTAGGGCCATTTTCACGATATTGATTCTTCCTATCCATGAGCATGGAATATTTTTCTATTTGTGTTCTCTTTGATTTCTTTGAGCAGTGGTTTGTAGTTCTCCTTGTAGAGATATTTCACCTTCCTAGTTAGCTGTACTCCTAGGTATTTTATACTTTTTGCAGCAATTGTGGATAGGATTGCATTCTTGATTTGGCTCTCAGCTTGACTGTTGTTGGTGTATAGGAATGCTAGTGATTGTTGCACACTGATTTTGTGTCCTGAGATTTGCTGAAGTTGTTTATAAGCTTAAGAAGCTTTTGGGCTGATACTATGGGTTTTCCTAGAATATATCTAGTTAATTTGTTTACTTGTTGACTATTCATTGCATTTCACTAGGATATAAGCTTCATGAATATAGACATCTTGTATATCTATACCCCATACCTAGAACTGTAGGGTGCCTGAAACATAGTAGATGTGCCTGAAACTGTGTGTGTAGATGCTCAATAATGATTTGTTGAATCAATTCAATGCATTGTAGTACAGGGAAGAATCTAGCATTTACCCCCTTTTTATGAGGGAGACCTCTTGAAATCATAACTTTAGTATCTAGAAATCAGAAAACCATCAATTAAAGTAGCTATGCTAATCTGGAAAAGAAGTGCTTCATTTTCTTAAAGTTTTTATATGTTCTGACGCACTCTCAGATATTAAAATGCCCTTCTTTCATGTTCCTTGGAAGGACTATCTACACCTAGGGAGAGCTACGTTTCTCCTCAGTGTGTTCTTGGAAATCATAAAGGCAAACTTAATCCCAAATGTTGTGCATTTGCTCTAAGATCTAACATTAATTTAATTATGGATATGACCAACAATTAATTCAAGGAGTATTTATTGAAAGTTCATTGTGTGTAATACACTGCTGGATGCTGAGGATGGAAAAATAGGTAATATGCCATTAAAGCAGAGTTATAACTATACATTTCATTAATCTTTAAGATAGTAAAAATATAAAATATAAAGTAAAATAATATAAAATGCAAAGGTCTGTAGTAGAGTAATTCAGAGGATCAAATTTAAGGTCAGAATTACTGAATGCAAATTTCAACTCAGCTACTTGCTAGCTTTAAGGGCTTAGATGAGCTAATCTTTTTAACTTTCAGTCACCTCCTTTGTAAATGATAACAATAATATTACCTGCCACACAGGGCTTTTATGAAGATTAAATGAGAAAATGTATAAAAACCACTTAGCATACACATAGTAAGTGTGCAAAATACTACATTATATAAATATTAGAGTTTCAAATCTGCAGGTATTTTTTTTGAAACTTTTAAAAACTTCCTTACTTAGCTGGCTTGCTTTCAGAGTGTATCCCAATTTACTGGCAAGCCTAGTACATAGGCATGTGCTATCTTCTTACCAGCCTTTCTTCCCCAGGTGTATAGCTCTATCCCTGGCCTTTTTGATGCCCAACCCAGCTAGCTTCTGACAGATGTTTTCAATACTGACTGCTTTCCTGAATTTCCATAGTGTGTATTTATAATACACATATACCTAGGTTCTATAGAGAATAAAATGTGCCTTGAAGGCATTCCCTAGTGAACACAAATAAAATTAGTTGTTACCAGATTAACACAACTTCTATCTTTGCCTATCATATCAATGTTTTTGCCATTTACTTGGTGGTTAAGGAATGTGGTACTTCTCAAAAGAAGACATACATGTGGCCAAAAAAATAGATGAAAAAATGCTCAACATCACTAATAATTAGAGAAATGCAAATCAAAACCACATTGATATACCATCTCACACCAGTCAGAATGGCTATTATTAAAAAGAAAAAAACAGATATTGGCAAAAATGCAGAGAAGAGGGAACACTTATATACTGTTGATGAGAATGTAAATTTGTTCAGCCATTGTGGAGAGCGGTTTGGTGATTTCTCAAAGAACTTAGAACTACCTTTTGACCCAGCAATCCCATTACTGGGTATATACCCAAACGAAACTAAATCATTCTGCCAAAAAAAGACATTCACTCATATGTTCATTGCAGCACTATTACAATAGCAAAGACATGGAATCAACCTAGATGCCCATCAACAGTGGACTGGATAAAGAAAATATGTTACATATACACCTTGGAATGCTACGCAGCTATAGAAAAGAACAAGATCATGTCCTTTGGAGCCACATGGATGCAGCTAGAAGCCATTTTCCTGAGTGAACTAACACAGAAATAGAAAACAAAATACCACATGTTCTAATTTATAAGTAGGTGCTAAACATTATGTACACATGGACATAAAGATAGGAGCAGTAGACACAGGGCACTGGGGACTATTTGAGGGCGGAGATGGGAAGGGAGGCAAGCATTGAAAAACTACCGGAAGGGTACTGTGTTTACCACCTGGGTGACAGGGTCATTCTTATACTAAGCCTCAGCAGCGTACAATTTACCCATGTAACAAACCTGCGCGTGTACCCCGAACCTAAACTAAAAGTTGAGAAAGAATGCAAAAGTTTAAAAAAGGAAAAAAAAAAAAAAAAAAGAAATGTGGTAGATGTGTTCATACTTTTTAGTTGACTATTCCAGACCTGAAAGAATACAATGTAAATTGACCATAAAAAATAGAAAATTTTGAGAAAGAGACAGATTTTGTGACATTGGTGTAAATGACATTGGAGAATCTATTGAATCCCAGTAAAACCACTGATACGTGAGGATTTGACAGTTTACAATTGAAGCAGAAAAATTATCAAGGGTAATAATATAATGATGCTTCAAAAGGAACTGATTGGAAGAACAAAGGATTAAGAGAAACTATTTGGAAACCAGATAAACCCTTGAATATACCTGTTAGAAGATATCTGTTACAGTCTTCTAGGTGTTAAATGTGAATTGACAGATACTATATCAGACTATCATGAAGTAATTTCAGAAAAATCAACAAAGGACATATAACTGGTTTATTCTTT
The DNA here is from genome assembly GCF_000001405.40 of Homo sapiens. Lineage (NCBI taxonomy): Eukaryota > Metazoa > Chordata > Mammalia > Primates > Hominidae > Homo > Homo sapiens. The sequence continues at coordinate 14,187,585 of NC_000020.11, forward strand.
GATCTAAAAGTTAGTCCAGAGTTATAATTACAACTAAAATTTTGTTAAATATGACATAAAGCAGCTTACTTTTATATTTCTCCAAGTTCCTTTTCAAGATGAAATCGTTAATAAGTGGATCAAGTTAACTTTGTAAGGACCAATTAGTCTTAGCCAAAGTAGTATCTCTGTACTACTGGTTCCTTATTTGCCTGTGCTCAGCCTATCTGTTGGGATACTTCACTTAGGATTGCTTTGAATCTGAGGTCTGTATTAAGCCCAATGTCTATTAACTATTTTTTTGTATCCCATGATCCACTGGTCTGTACTAAGCTGGACTTTAACTGGTCTGTACTCAAATTGTGATATTAATACAAAGGATTGAGGAGGTTCAGATTCAGACTTTGATACTCAGCACAAAGGTAAGATGGAAGTAATGAGATTCAAGTGACTGAATTTGGTAGTTCATCCTATAGAATATGATTGAAAGGTAGAGTAAAACCAGATTATGAAAAACTTTGTCAATCTAAAGGGTATATGCTTTAACCTACAGGTTAGAGTTTCTCAAATTGTGGTCCACAGACCACTTGCGTTGAAATCACTTGTGATATATGTTAAAAATTCAAATTTCTGATCCCCATCTATGAATCAGAATTCTGGGGCTAAATCCTAGGAATATCCAGTTTTGAGATATCTTTATGTACCTCTTACGTACATTATAGTTTTAGAGTTATTGTTAAACCTAAGTAGTTTGATAAATTTTCCCCTGCATTTTATTTTTTAAGTGTTGATGATGGTGTAACTTTTGTCACAAAAAAACTTAGAAGCGATGCCATATTTACCTGGAATTTTAGCTTCATTAATTGTTTCTTTAGATAATATTCCAAAGCTTATTCTAAAGATAAATATGTTTTATATGATAATTCTGTATATGAAATAGTTTAAAGAGAGCATTAGCACTTAATTCCATGCTTTCAGGATTTTCTTATAAAAACAAATTTTCTTTGAAAGTGATATCTAAATTTTTTCAGTTTCCCCACATGGAAACTCCTGCTGTTATGCAACACTGAAATAACAACATTGTTTTCACCCATTAAGATACCGCTGCAAGATATTGTGAATTGGCTCATTTGCCTTAAATTTTTTTTAACAAATAAGGCAGTGTTTTGAGTTATGCCAGATGTACAAATGAGAGATTTGAGTGTACTTGTAGAATTTAAATTGGAATGCTAATGAGATTCTGACAGGCAGAAAAAACAACACAGCCTACATTTTCATCTGTTTTATTAAAGTCATTATTTAACTGGAAAAACACATTATTTAGAGCTATTTATTTATGTGGCATTTGTAATTCAGCTCTTAAATTTTATCCAATTAAAGTGCTTCTCATTCTATTTCACTTAATGCAGTAGATTGTTTTGTGCATTCATCTTTTTCTCTGTTTCATTCAGTGGTAGAGTGGCAGTAACTCAATTGAATGAATGAATGTGCCTTTTTTTTAACTAATGCTTACATGTGCTGCTTCATGCTGTGATGCTACATTGACATCTTTATTTTTTGTTTGCAGTAATTCCATTGAAATTTAATGGTACATTATTATACAAGATTGCTTATGGTTATTTCATGCTTTGGTTACTTTACTAAAATTCCCAATATGTGAAAGAAAAACATAATGTTAAAAAAACTCCACATTTCTGAGAAGATAAATTGATCTTAGAGATAATTGAACATAAGACACCAAGCCTTAAAAGTACTTATTTCAACAAAGATATACAATGCCATACCAAAAATATTGCTTTTTCAAAAGACTTTTATTTATTATTTATTTGCATTTTTCCATTTGTATAGTTATTTTAAAGAAAGGCTTTTTGTGAATGTTTGAGATTGCTTAATTACAGCAGCTTTTTGGTTTCCTTTATTTATATTTATCTATCTACCTCTCAGATGAGGTTTAAATTAGAGTTTTTAAGGTTATAGGGGTTTAAAATTTTATGTACATGTACAAAATCTGTACTAGAGGAAGAAATACTAGTGCATAATTTCAAGGGATAGCGTGAGGCTGGCTGAGGTCAGACCCATGATGGAATGCAGAAATTATGAGAGGGTATAGAAGACAATGTGTTTCCTTGAAAAGGCAACTTCTGTGAAGAGAGTGAAATATGTGAGTCCAGAATTGTACAGATGTCATCATGAATGTCAGATCTCTCAACTGTATTCTATAGTGGGTTTAGGATTCTTATATTGTAAGAAGGCTTTATATATTTTAAACAGCCTGATGGTATTCTTATGAAAATCTAAGGTAAAAGAAGCTCATTGGCATAGAAACTATTTCAGTTAATGTTCAATGAATAAAATCTCTATATTAACTGGAAATTGAACATGTGACTGTTGGTTTCCTGACATTTACATAAAGCTTCACTCAAGAGGGCGCCATTAAGCAGCATTAAGGAATTTCATACACAACTGTATATCTCTAAAACTTCCATAAGAGGTAGGCTCTTGAGGTGACAAAAAGGACAGCAAACTAGGAATCAAGAAACTGAGTTCTGGTTCAGACTCTGGCACTCATGAACTCTGTGGACCTGGATATGCCACTTTACTTCTTTAGGCTCTAATTCTTCATCTGCAAAATGAAAAGTTTGGTGATGGTTTCTAAGAGTACTACTAACTCTGTAACTCTGTGATTTTACAGTTCTTTTATTTACCAATGAGAAGCCCAGACACAACATTTAAATGATAGATTTTATCACATCTCTATGCCTTCTTAATATGGTGTCCAGAATTATTTTTGAAGATACAGTATTTAGGCTGAATTTCCTAATTAGTGTTTAGAATACTTACAGAAAATAGCTTTTGTAGGTATAGCTAACTTTTGATTATCCATGCTAACATGGGATAACATGTGTAATTGAAATGTGTATGAAGTCTTCACTCCTCATTTTCTCTTCAAATTTGTCTCCTTTTGGTAAGGAGACAAATTTGAATAAAGTTGCTGAAAAATATGGGTTTGAGTTTCATTTTCAGCCTGGGCAGAAAACTGCCTTTAGCATCTTTGTATAGCTTTATTTTACCCACACCACTTTGCTGAGGAAAAGAAAAGTATTCATTCCATATATATATATATATATATATATATTTTTTTTTTTTTTTTTTTTTTTTTTTTTTCCAGAGTCTTGTTCTGTCACCCAGGCTGGAGTGCAGTGGTGCGATCTCGGCTCACTGCAAGCTCCGCCTCCCAGGTTCATGCCATTCTCCTGCCTCAGCCTCCTGAGTAGCTGGGACTATAGGCGCCCGCCACTACGCCGGGCTAATATTTTGTATTTTTAGTAGAGACAGGGTTTCACCGTGTTAGCCAGGATGGTCTCGATCTCCTGACCTCATGATCCGCCCGCCTCGGCCTCCCAAAGTTCTGGGATTACAGGCGTGAGCCACCGCGCCTGGCCATAGGATTCATTATTAAACCATAGGAATGAGCCTCATTTTATCCTGGTTGGTTTTTTAAATCTCAGAGGCACATTACATTCGTGTGCATACTGTCCACATCTACTTTACATCTTGTGTACGTATTGCTTCATATATGTGCCTCAGGCTCTTGTGCCTCCATACCTTTACTTGTGTTCTTCCTGCCATATTTTTTACTCCTGTTGCCCTCAGACACAGAAGCTCTACTCATCTTATAAAGCCCAGCTCCTCAGCCCTTGATATTTTCCCTAAGCATGTGAGCCTTATTATCCAACAGATTGATTCCAGATTCTAGTGTTAAAATTCACTAGCTCTCTGATCCTGAGAAAATTACCACAGTCTGACCATCTGCAAAATGCAAACAATTCCCAAATCTCAGGATCGTTTTTAATTTTAAATGGTATATAATCCGGTCATTCAATAAATATTTAAGTAGTGATATCACCTATCTGTAGAACAAAATAGACCAAAAACTCTGCCCTCACAGAACCTATACCCTCGTGGAGATAGGTAAATACATAAAAACAAAATATATATTTTGAGAAATAGAGAAGGGTAGAGGAGAGGGAGAGTAGAGAATGCAGAAAGTGGAGAAACTATTTTAAAATAGGATGGTCTGAAAAGGACTTCCTGAGAAGATGGCACTTGAGCAGGGACCTGGAAGAGCCAGGGAATATTTGAAGGAAGAGTATTCCAGGCAGAGGGAACTGCAAGTACAAAGTCTCTGAGGTGTGTGTATGCTTGGCATGTGCCAAAACAGAAAAGAGGTCAGTTGGCTCATGCAGAGAGAGATGAGGCAGAAAGAACAAGCCAGATCATATAGGGTCTTTTAGGTCAATTTTAGTGAGGACTTTGCCCTGAATGAGATGAGGAGCCATCAGAGGGTTTTTGAAGAGATAAGTCACTTGATCTGACTTACCTTTTTAAAATACTGTGTGGCTTCTGTATAGTTTGTGGGGGAGGGGGAGGGGGAGGGGCAAAGTAAATATTGATTAAGCTATTGGTTGTAATATACCAGGTGAGAGCTACACATCACTACAGAGTCTTTCAGAGGATCTAGACACTAGTAGGCATTCTATAAATGTTAGTGCCTTCATTCTCACTTTCTCTTCTTCATATTCCTAGTTGGAAGTTTTCTCTTCTTCTTTGGGATTATCTATTATGACGCATACCATTTTAGAACTAGAGTTATCTGTGTATTTTTTTTTGTTTCTCCTACTAACCTAAACATTTCTTGAGGATACCTTCTTGAGGCTCAGTTTTATCTGTCTTTATAAATGGATCCTATCCCAGCTCAGGATAGGGTTATATAAGTAGCAGGTTGAGAGTGTGTTTGGGACCTGATGAACAGCAACATCCAAGAGGAGAAGGTTAGCAAGTGTGGGAGGATAGGGAAGTAACACTTCAGGAGACACACGGGAGGTGTATCTTAGGATATATTAGCAAGGAATAGTGGGATACTTTAAGTAAGATAGATGTGGGAAGAGGCACTGGTCCTACACTACATGTGGGAGATGCCAGGACAGATCTAGTTAGGCATGCTGTTTAGGGACTTTGGCCATCTTCATTTGTGATTCATGAAGATGTGTAGCTGGGGTCTGAGGTGACATAGTGAAGTGCCCAAACAGGTGGATAATGCAGGCAAAGGAGTCTCCCCACAAGGGCCACTTGGGAGTATAGATAAACTGCTCGTTGATCTCTGGGCCATCTGTTTATGCGTAGTAATTTCATAGCCTTCACAGGGGGATTGAGGTAGATTTGGCAAATTACTGGACTGGGAACTTGTGATGGTGCTGTACCCTTTAGGATTTTTGCTTCTGCAAGTGGCAGATTACCCAACTCAAAGGAGCTGAAGAAAAAATGATCCTTGGTGGCTCATCTGACTGAACAATTCATAGGGAGTTATTGTCAAACAGTTTAACTTGATCCAGCTGCACAAATAATGTCACTAAGGGCCTGGATTCTTTGTAATTCTCTCTGCTTTGCCTTTGCCTAGGAGCATCCTCATCTAAATAGGGGGCTCCTGGCACCTTCAGCCTGACATGTTACAAATATCTTATCTTCAATACAATCTTATCTGGTAGAAGAAAGCCTTTTTGGCCATCACACAGAAACTCTGGACTTCAGTCTAATTGAACCATCTTAAAGTGTGTACCCATTCTTAACCATTCATTTCTAGTGAGCTAGGATTACATTGATGAACACAGGCTTCAGCCTCTTGCCTAATCCACAGAGCCAGGGATAGAAGAAGTTACCCCAAAATATGTGGGCTTTGTATTGTGGATGTATAAACCTAACTGAAAATTAGCTGCTTTTATTAAGCACTATATGAAATGGGATGTGGATTTGGGCCCAGCAAAACAGTAGATGTCCACTATGGGTATTATATTATCAGGGCCCCAGAAGGAAACACAGTTCAGCTTAGATAGCTCAAAAGAAGAGACTTTAATGAAGGGACTACTTACAAAGGAATGGGCAGGGTTAAGGGCACAAAACAATGGCTGGTGAGCCTCCTAGAGACCAGTATCAGTAGGAAGGTATTACCAACCCTAGGACCTAGGGATCAATGGGAAGAAGTAGTGTTGCCCGGGTCAAGTAAGAACTTGAGTCCTGCAGGAGGAGCTAGAGCTGTAGCTGCGGAGTGCAGCTATAGTCAGAGATGAAACATTGATTGAAGCAGGGTGGGAAAGAGAAAAAAATACCCTGACCCTTTTCTCTTTTCAACTCCTAATCGCCTGCTGTAGTGCCCATTGGCTCAATTGGAACGAGGCAGAAATCTCTAGGGGTCAGCCTCCTGAGACACATAGTGGAGCAGAATATGGATCTTAGTTGAGGCCAAATGGAAAATAATGAGCACAGAAAACAAATTAGAGTCTCAGTCTTATAATAGGGAAATATATTGGGAAGGAAGATAGGGATGAAAATTTAGGGGACAGAATTTTATTGGAAGAAGGTCCAATTGAAGGAGTGCTAACCTTTCACACAGCGCAGATTAAGAGAGTTAAATTGTTAAAGGGGTTCTGAGCTCCAGGTCAGTCTACTGGAGGGACTGATTTGGTTGTAACTCCTCCTTGTGGTGGGGAATAGGTACCTACTCACTCTTAATGCTCCATATCAGAATTTGCCTGGGAACTGGAATGTGGCTGCTCCTGAAGACATGGATCTCAGAAGGTCTGTGGGTGGGTAAGTGGCTTATGACGGGAACAGAACAAATGATACATTGTTGTGTATCAAGGCAGAAACCATTACTACAACATGTAGCTGCCCTGAGTTCAGTTGCTTTTGTTTATGTTCCTGCCCAGCCAAGATTGGGATCACTTCCTGCTGAGACCTGACTTGAAAATGATGGGCAAATCTTGGCCCAAATAGCTAACTAGAAGTGAATGAGGGTAGCCCTACCAGTCTTCATCTAGAAGCCATGCTATAGGGATAGGGGATAATTGCTCTCACCAGCTGCTGAGACAAATTCATAAGTGACACTGTGGCGAGGGGTCAAAAACAACCCAGGATAAAGCAGGAAGCTCAAATTGTGGCTAACAGTGAGGAGGCACACAAATAACACAGCTCTAACTCCACTGAAGACAGGGTAAGTGACAGCTTCCCCTGAGTCAGATGGAGCGGGGATAAGTGTGCCTTGATGCGAAGTGGGAAACCAGAGGAGGACCTGACTGAGCAATAAAACTCTTGGCTGAGACTAAAATGATTTCAAAGCAGAACAAGGGTGGGACTGTTTGGTAGTGGAAAAGAAAGCTTGGTTTGATGCCTAGAGAGAGAATTACATGATATGAAGAAAGGTCATTATTTATTACCTAATCAAGCAGTGTAAACATACCAACAAGCTTGAGACAGTCTTTATCTAGCATTATTAGATGTGCAATTCAGGTGAGAGAATATTACCAAATCTAACCTGCTTATCAACACTTGTGTAATGAGAACATAAAAGTGAATGAAAATGTATCTAGTCTGCAATGAAGTGGTAATATAAGAGACTCAGAAGATCCTTTTTTCCTACTTTGTGGGATTGAGCCTAAATTTAACTTGAATTATTTTTAGAAGGGACTTCTTATTTAGCCTTTTTAAAAGAAGAATTTATCTATTAATAGGAAATATGCATTTTATTATTAAAATGAGTTTTATTTTGGAGTAGTTGGGAAATGTGGAAAGGAGAAACCAGTTGCAAAAAGGGATATAAAAAGAAAGTTGTCAAAAATGTTTAAAGATAGAGTATAGCACACCAAACCCCACAGCCATCTGCCCAGGAAACTCTCCTTGTTGCCTTGTTTTCTCTTTCATTTGTGTGGGCTGTTCTCTGCTTAGGTGCTTGGAATGTCCCTCTGATACAGAAATGGGGAAGGGAAGTGCTGGGAAGGGAAGGGCATGGTCCCTTTCAATGATACGGAAGGGGAGAAGGGTGTGGTCCCTGGCTAGGGCTCCGCCTCCAGGCCTGTGCCCACAGGTCTAGTTGAGGACAGGCATTTTTGTTTTCCTGCCCAAAACATTTCCTAAGACCACCTTGGTCTGCCACGCCCGCATCCTGTGCCTATAAAAACCCCCGAGACCCTAGCAGGCAGACACACACACACAAGCGACTGGACATCAAGAAGAACACATCAGAAGTAGACAGAAGTGGCTGGACATTGAGAGGACATTGAGGGGAGCACGCCGGATGCTAGCAGGCTGCCGACTGGCAGAGCATGCGAAGTTTGGCTGGGGCAGTTGAGGGAGAGCCCCGGCTGCCAAGCAGCTCGACTCTAGGGGAAAACCAATCTCCTTTCTGGCTCCCCCATCTGCTGAGAGCTACTTCCACTCAATAAAACCTTGCACTCATTCTTCAAGCCCAGGTGTGATCCGATTCTTCCAGGACACCAAGGCCAGAACCTCGGGATACAGAAAGCCCTCTGTCCCTACGATAAGGCAGGGGTCTAATTGAGCTAACACAAGACACCTACAGACAGCTAAACTAAAAGAGCACCGTGTAACACACACCCACTGGGGCTTCAGCTGTAAACATTCACCCCTAGACACTGCTGGGGGTCGGATCCCCACAGCCTGCCCGTCTGTATGCTCCCCTAGAGGTTTGAGCAGTGGGGCACTGAAGAAATGAGCCACACCCCCATCACACTGCCCTGTGAGGGGGACAAGGGAGTTTTTCCTGTTTCACCTCCTCCCCTCTCTCCAGGCCAAGTCTTCCTTGTACTTTAAGATTTTAGGCAATTTGACTCTCATACCTTCTAATATCCTCTTCACTTCAATGCCACCCCAGATAGATCTGTGATATGCAAATCCGTGTTGTGATGCACTTATCACAGTGTACTGACATGACTTTCTGATCTGTCTTCTCCATTAGACTGTCAGCCATTTGAGGGACTGAGGCAGTAAAAGAGTAGGTATTTATATGGCCAGAATTACATTAAAATTACGTTTGTTATAATGAAGTAGAATATTTCTGTGCTTTGCCCTTTCCACTCACTATCAGATGGCTTCACAGCATTCCTCTGGAATGTTCTAAAAATAGTCTGACACCAAATATTAGTTTGAACTCTTGATTATAAGCAATAGAAACCCAATTCAAAATAGCCTAAATAAAAGGGAGAGTGTAGAATATCTTGGTGTATATTTCAGCATGACTGAGGCATGATGGAGGCAGGCATACAGCTAGGCTTTGGAAATACGGCTCACATGCTTTTGGGACTCTGGCTATTTTTTATTTTGGCTTCTTCATCTATTTGGGTCTCCTCTTTCTCTGTAGAACAGCTTTCTAAATTCAGAAAATATGGTTGCTGACAGCTCTTAGTTTTACATAATAAAGCTTTGCCACTACAGAAAAACTAGAAACTGATTTGAGTTTCCTATCTCCAAAGTTCATGGGTCCTAGGAAATGTACCAGTTTGGGCCCTGCCCAATTATCAGATGCTCTCATTGTAATCAGATGGAGAGGGTGAGTAGTTCCTGCAGCCAGGCAAAATAGTACATGCTGTACACACGGCATATTAGTATTATGGGAGAATTACATTTAGAGGGCTCTGTTTGCCAGGACATATAGTTAAGTCCAGGCCATACATATTTATGGGAGAAGACAAGTGCTCCAAACAGTTAAATAAACTTTTATTTTGGCATTTGAAATGCATAATATCATTATTCTTATGGGACATTTACCATCTTTATTATGTTCTCTATTGGCTAGCATTAAGATGCATTCTTTGCATTCTTAAGCATAAACTAACAGGAGCATCAAGAAGGAAAAGTAGCCTGGATAATGAAAAAAGTTGACTTGGGAGCAAAACTATGCTGTGGTTAATTGATAAAGCAGAGGAGTTTCTGACTAACCGAAAATATTTTTAGTCTTCCAAAAGGTATTACTAACATCTTGCAAGTGAATTTTTAAATATAACTTTCAACTGAAATTTTCTTACCAGCTTACTGTACTGATCCAAGGGTATGACAGACATTAAAGTAAAAGAAACTGGCATGGTTGCTCATGCCTGTAATCCCAGCACTTTGGGAGGCCAAGGCGGGCAGATCACCTGAGGTTGGGAGTTCGAGACCAGCCTGGCCAACATGGTGAAACCCTGTCTCTACTAAAATACAAAAATTAGCCGGGTGTGGTGGTGGGCGCCTGTAATCCCAGCTACTTGGGAGGCTGAGACAGGACAATTGCTTGAACCTGGTAAGTGGAGGTTGCAGTAAGCCGAGATTGCACCACTGCATTCCAGCCTGGGTGACAGAGCCAGACTCCATCTCAAAAAAAAAAGAAACTGGCATGTTTGCTACTCTTAACAGAGAAGTAGGAAGTAGATGTGTTTAAAGCTAAACAACCTTTTAAAAACATCATGTTTACAGTGTTAAAATTTGTGTGCATGTGTATAGCTTATGTACGCTAAAGGCCGATCTTAGATGTAAATCAAATGGGTATGATTTTAGAAATGACACATTACATTACAAAAAAAAGGTAGGTATGTAAAATGAGCTTAATTATTTTCCCTTTTGTACTTCACAGGGTGGGGAATGGTGGAGAATGCTGAGTGGTGATTTGGGGCCATAAGTCCAACATTCTGCCTACTTTATAACAACTTTATTGCAGGCTGGAGGGCTGTGTGTTTGTGTGTGCGTGAGAGAGAGAGGGGAGAAGCGAGAAAGAGAGAGAGAAGGTAAGAGGGAGAGAGAGAGAGGGAGAGGAAAAGAGAGAGAAGAGAGAGCCCTTGGTTTAGTTATTAGGGAAGAGCAAGGAGATGCTGGTAATTTGATATCTAATAGTTTACTGACTTTTCTCTTTGTATACACATTTTATAGGAGTAAACAATGGAGAATGATGTGAGATGGATTACATGACCAAACATTGCTTCTAATTTGAATCTATGAGCCTTTGAAGCCAGATATAAGTTGATGTATCAATTATATTAGTCCAGAGCCAATGTATAATTTCTGTATCAATCACTGTGTTTCTTATTATTCGGTTAGAAACTTGATTTTACCGCTTTCAGAATCTAAAACTCTGGTTATTCATCAAATGGACACAAAATATTAAAAGAAATAGACCTTTTCCATAGTCTATGTTAATAAACCCAGGTCATCAATCTTTGTTCGCATATATTATGTAGTCCCCTGGTGGACAGTGTGTTATTTCTGTTTCTGGTTTGGTAACAGACAATAATCAATCTCTCTCCCTTGCCCCCACCTTTTTCCTTTCCAGTCTCTGATCCTTTTCCTCCTTTTCTTTCCTCTCTCTTTCTCTTCCTCTCTCCTTAAAACATGCTTATCTGTAAGTATTCATGAAGACAAAGTACCCTTTGTATTACCTTTGTAAATAATCTAAATGAGCATTTTCTGCAGTGATGGGGATTGCTGACCTCAAATATAATTGCTTTTATTTCGACATCTTAAAGCTAAAAGATTTCTTTTTTATCATCATAATGCAATTTAAATTTCTCTCTTACCTTCTCGCCTTTTCTCTTTTTTCTATATGTCTTTCTTTTTCCCTTTCTTGTCCTCCCTCCCTTCCTTCCTTTCTTCCTTCCTTTCCCCCTCACTACTCTTTCTTTAAAAAGCATGACATTTGACCTTTGGTTGGTACTAAAGCTTATCTTCAGGGAGAATGTGACTTTGAAAATTAGTTATCATACATAGAATACATACAGCTTTTTGCCTACATAAAATGATGGTTCTCTTCAGGAACTCTTGATTCCAGTCTGCTAATATTGCAAATCTAACTAAAATGGACATTGTCTTTGTTGTACGTCGGTGAGTGACAAGGGTTCTGCACTTAGAGCTTTTGCTAGAAAACCTGGAGGGCAGCCAGCCAAGAGCTCTGTAATAGACTTGAAGAAGTTGGAATCTGTAAAAAATGTTTCAGGAAGAAAATCTTTCAGATTAGACAGCTGCATAGTTAACAATCAGTAGCTCCAGAGAACTAATAATTAGTTCTAGTCAATTAAACCAACTTTTAGCCTTATGACAGAGAAGATAGCTTGCATAGCTAAAATGCACAGTATACTCTTAATTTATGCTACCCAATTCCTTACCAAAATATTTTTGATTTTTGTTTGTTTTGTTTCATTGTTAACATTTTGTTGTAGTTCCTGTTGTGGGTTGTTTGGTAGGTTACTATGTACCATGTTATAGTATTTTTCTTTTTCATGTAGTATTCTGTTATAAGCCATTTCCATGTTCTTAATTTTAAATGACTGCATATAATTTTACAGTAATAATTATGTACCAGGCTAATTATTTTACATATATTAATTATTTTAGTCTTTATAACAGTTTTTTGAGGCAGGTACTATTATTATCCTCATTTAAAAATGAAAAACAAAAATGAGATACAGGGAAGGTAAGTGGACTGTTGAAGATTCCAGTGCCAATACATGGTAGAGGACTGAATTTGTGATGGTTTACTTACTTCCTTCTTATCCACCTATTCTTAGATATTATGTAGTTTCTTATGGTATTTATTGTAAATATCATAAGAACCAATGTCATGATTAGTAAAGTGTTTCCCAATAGCAAAGACATTCTTGCAAGGCAGAAATTGAGAATTGAATTATTGTGTTTTTATCAATAAATTATAGTTAGACTCATAAACCTGCATATTTTGGAATCAACCTAAATGCCCATTAACGATAGACTGGATAAAGAAAAATCTGGTACATATATACCATGGAATACTATGCAGCCATAATAAACAACATGATCATGTCCTTTGCAGGGACATTGATGGAGCTGGAGGCCATTATCCTTAGCAAACTAACACAGGAACAGAAAACCAAATATAGCATGTTCTCATAAGTGGGAGCTAAATTATGAGAACACATGGACCCATAGAGGGGAACAACACACACTGGGGCCTATCAGAGGGAGGAGGTTGGGATGTTGGGATGAGGGAGAGGATCAGGAATAATAACCAATGAGTACTACGCTTAATACCTGGGTGATGAAATAATCTGTACAACAAACCCCCATGACACAAGTTTACCTATGTAACAAACCTGGACATGTACCCCTGAACTTAAACAAAAAACAAAAAACAAAAAAAGATTTCCTCCTCTTTAAGAGTATTTCCTTAGGATAGGTTCCTAGAAATAAAATTACTGAATCAAAGTTTTAAAAAAATTTAAGGCTGTTGATACACAGTCCCTTAATAGCTTTCTTAATTGTTGGTTACATTTCTGCAATAATTTATGTGTGCACAGTTTGGTAAATCATTGTCATCTCTTGATTTTATGTTTTTAAATCTTTGCTAATGTGACAGCTAAACATGGATTTCTTTTACCTTTGTTGTAATTTGCTTCTTTGTATTTGAACTTCCTCTTGTGTGAATTATTCATGCCTTTTTGCCTGTTTTTCTCTTAAAGTTCTAGTCTTGCTTTTGTATCTTTGTATAAGTCCTTTAACCAAGATACTAATCTTTATTATATTTGCTGGTAATGTTTTTTTTTTTTTAGCGATTTGTCTTTTTTTGGACTATTCCTTTTTACCTATGAAGGATGTTTTTGTTTATGTTTTTTAAACACAATTTTACTTCTTTTGTGATTGCTGCTATTTACAAAGGCCTTTCATTTATGAGATTAATGCTAAATTATCTTTTTCTCTACTTGCACTACAGATGTTTTCCTTTTGTGTTAAATTTTTAACGAATCTGGAATTTATTTTTTATGGCATCAGTTATGTATCAGAATTACAAGTTAGTAGAAAAATGTTTCAAGTTACATTCTTCTCTTTCAATGAATTGATTAAAACTTGGAAGAAAGGCCTTGGATAATCTATAAACTATGCAATCAGCTTCTTAAATATTCTTTTCTCTTTGAAAGGCAGAAATTGAGAATTGAATTATTGTGTTTTTATCAATAAATTATAGTTAGGCTCATAAACCTGCATATTTTGTGCTTTAAAATTATAATATTTTGTCTTTTGCTTTCATAAAGAAATCTTACAAAGGGAAACTAGAATCTAGCCTTCCTTGTTCTTTGAGGTTCTATGTGCCTCACTGATGATAGTTTATTATCTCTGGACTTCTGCCTGTTATTTAAAACTGAGAACAAGACAGGCGTGGTGGCTCACGTCTGTAATACCAGCACCTTGGGAGGCCGAGGTGGGTGGCTCACGAGGTCAGGAGTTAAAGACCAGCCTGGCCAAGATGGTGAAACTCCGTCTCTACTAAAAATACAAAAATTAGCCAGGCGTGGTGGTGGGCACCTGTAATCCCAGCTACTTGGGAGGCTGAGGCAGAGAATTGCTTGAGCCCAGGAGGTGGAGGTTGCAATGAGCTGAGACTGCGCCACTGCACTCCAGCCTGGTGACAGAGTGAGATTCCATCTCAAAAAAAAAAAAAAATCAATATGTATTAGGAACAAATATTAAAATCTAAAAGTGGGATGGATATATATATATGCATGTCACATATAACAATATATAATATATATTGCTAATAATATGTAATTTAATATTTCAAGAAAAGCCTGACCATATAAAAGTGTTAAAATATTGGACTATAATACTGAGACTCCTAAATAATATGTAACTACTATTTCCAAGATGATATAAATAGGAGTCTTTTATCTTCTGGAATAATTCTTCTTTTCGTCATTTTACTACTAATTATTTGATAACCCTTATTTGTGTTTTAGCTGCATATTAAAATGAGTGGCAAATTAATATAGATATAATGATTTGGCAGTGTTGAATAAGGCTTTTTCTTTTCTTCACCCAAAGTGATTGTATTTAAAATGCATGTTAATCAAAATTCAGTGACTCATCTTTGAGGTTTGTTTATTACCTAGATTCATTGGTGTCAAAACTGTTTGCTTAAGATTTGATCCACACCCAATTTGTACAGTGTCTTTTGAAATACAGGAATTTGGAAATTTTATTAGATTAGAAGAAACACTTCTGTTTTATAGCCTACTTTCCTTCTACTTTAGTTATTTTTACTCCATGAGAATTTTTCATTAAAAAATAATTGCAGTCCTTGACACATCAAAGACAACATAATTACTGAATGAATCTCCATAATTATGTCTCTTTTGTAACTTACTTTTGCTTATTTATTTTTATTGTTCAAAAGAGCACACTACTTAGAAGGGAGGCAGAACCTCTAAATCAGAAGTAAACAAGAATATAAGAAGAAAAGAAGTGCTATAATAATGTAGGTATTCTACAGACTACCTAGTTGCAGAAAGCAATGGATTCTTAGTTCTTGAGGAGCTAATGGAAGAGATCTAAAGGAGGTAGAAATTCTCAAACATCTGGGCATTTGTTAGAACTTCCTTTAAACAAGGGTAGTACTTTGGGAGACCAAGGTGGGTGGATCACTTGAGGTCAGGAGTTTGAGACCAGCCTGACCAACATAGTGAAACCCCGTCTCTATTAAAAATACAAAATTACCCGGATGTGGTGGCACATGCCTGTAATCCAGCTACTTGGGAGACTGAGGCAGGAGAATCACTTAAACCCATGAGGTGGAGGTTGCAGTGAGCTGAGATCGTGTCATTGCACTCCAGCCTGAGCAACAAGAGCAAAACTCCATCTTAGAAAAAAAAAAAAGGCACTAACTCTATTAAATTATTTATTTTTTCTTTTTGTTGTGTGTGTGACTGTGTTATTTCAAAGATTGTCTTCAAGTTCAGAAATTTCTTCTGCTTGATCTTGTCTACTGTTGAAGCTCAATTGTATTTTTTAATTTCATTCATTGAATTCCTCAGTTTTAGGATTTCTAATGGGTTCTTTTAAACATCTATCTCTTTATTGAATTTCTTATTCAGATTGTGAATTGTTTTCCTGATGTCTTTGCATTATTTATCTGTGTTCTCTTGTATCTGAGTTCCTTTAACATCATTATTTTGAATTCCTTTTCAGGAATTTCATAGATTTTTTTTTCTTTGGGTTCTGTTGCTGGAGAATTATTGTGTTTCTTTGGAGGTATCATGTTTTCTTGCTTTTTTGTGTTTCTTGTGTCCTTCTGTTGATACCTGTGCATCTGATGTAACATTTATTTCTTCCAATTTCATGGATTGGCCTTCACTGAGAAAGATTTTTTTCTATAATCATATCCATAGTGTTTGTTGGGTAGGGTGCTTTGGTTTTGATTCTGGGTAAGCACAGTAGTGTAGTCTTCATATGATTTCTTTAGCTGTAATCAGTGTCAATGGTGTGAGTTCCTTAGAGGCTTAGGCTGTGGTTGTTAGTGGAGGCTGTGGTGAGGCTTTACTGGGGACAGGAATGCCAGGTGGGCTGGTCCTTAGGCACCCATGGTGGCAGTCTGGGCATGCCAGTCCTCAAGCCCTTGGGCACCCATGTAGGTGGCAGTGGTGGCAGGTCCAGGTGGGCCAGTCCTTGGGCCTCCAGGTGATGTGCTTGGGTGCTGGTGGTGGCAGGGTGGGCTAGGCGGGCAGGTCCTTTTGCCCAGTGGTGGCAGGGTGGGTTAGGCGGGCAGGTCCTTTTGCCCCTGGGCAGTGTGTGTGGCATCAGTGGTGGTGGTAGCTATGGCAGCTTAACCCTTGGGCCCCTGAGTGGTACATGTAGGTGCCAGCAATGGAGGGACTGTCCTAAGGCCCAGGGATGGTGTACAGTTGGACTAGTCCCCAGGCTTCCTGAAGGTGCATGGCAGACCTGCCACTGGAGGGGGTGGGGTTGCTGTCAATAGCAGTGGCCCTGGTGGGCAAGTAGCTCTCAGGCTCTGGAGAATGCATGCTTCAACTTCCTTTGTCCCAGGGGCAGGCTCCCTGGTGTCCTGCACCAGCTGTTCTCTTGAGTATCGGATACTGTGTGGGCTAGAGTTCTAGGGACCCACATCACTGTGTCTAGCTGGTGTTGAAGCCTGCAGATTTGGGGTAAATGTGAGGGGATGTCAGCAGTGCTCCAGAGATGTGGAGATGCAGGAGCTGTTGGGTCCTAGAGCAGGACGTAGTCTGGTGGGGGCTGAGCTCTTAAAATGGTGCTGTACCATAGCTGCTTCTGTCTGGGTATGTGTGTGTGACCCAGTGTGAACTCCTCTCTGAAACAATGCCATCATGTGGACTCCAGGAAGCTCCTTATACTAGTCTCAGGGCCCATGAGGGCCAATAAGGGTCTGCAATGGGAATGTGGACTGCTTGGGAATCTCTCACATACCCTTTCCTCATAGTGGAAAGCTCCTTCTGGCTCTGAACTGATCCCGGCCAGGCCAGCTGTTTCACATCCCTTTCCTACCATGTCTCAGAGGTTTCTTGTCACTTCTGTGCTGAATTCCAGTGTTCTGTCTTAGAAGCTTTATTCAAAATGGGGTTATCTACTCACTGTTTTGGTCCTTCTTTGTGTAGGAGGCAAGTGCCTGGAACTTCTAGTCAGCCTCTTGAACCCTTACCTCAATTATTATTATCATTTTTTAAAGAACTGTAGAGTCTCATAAGGCGTAGAAGTGACACAGGACCTAGTACTCTACATAACTATGGATTAGAGAGAGGAATTTCTTCAAGAAGTAGAAATGATAGAGAAGGCTGTAGAGAGAGGAAATGCTGTAACTAGCTACATATATATTCTGGACTTAAAAAACTGTTTCAGATTTCAAAAATCTCAGGGAAAAGATAGATTTGATCAAATATCTGGAACAGGAACCCTGATTGGAACAGGAATCTGTATTGTGGCATTATTTATTTCTCTGGTGCCCATAGAAGACATTATTTAAGTGACCTCAATAATCTCTCATTTTTCCTGAAAACATCTCTGGAATCCTTCTTAAGATAATACTCTAGGTAGTTACTACTGATGCAGGATGTTTTGCTCCTCAGCTCAGCTAGGTTTGGTTTCTTGTCTCATGACCAGGAAGAAATAGGCAAGTGGACATTGAAGAATGAGTGGAGTAGAATGTATTAAGCACAAAGGAAACCCCTCAGCCGAAAGAGGAGTTCTGAAAGCAGGTTGCCGGTTGCCCCCCTTCACAGTTGAGTACCAATACTTTGTTATAAAAGCTGATGGGGCTGGGTTCCCTATTTGTATAAGGTGCAAATTCCTGGTGGCTCCACCCCACCCTTCCGGTGCGCATGCGGGCCCTTAGTCTGACCCACTTCACATTGATTTATTTCCCTTACTGTGCTTGTGTTAAGGGACAGAATTTTTTACTGCAGGCATATTTAGGCAAGCCTCCTGTGCTAATGAACTTGGTGGGTTGGAGGTTCTCCTGGGACCCTGCCCTATCTGCCTAGGAGAGTTCTCTGCCTCCTGTCTCTGTCACTACCATTTGATTGTCTTTGCAGGAAGTGGAGCCTGACACCCTAGTGTAGGAGAAAAATAGCTCAAAATGATACAGCTTTGAATGGCTTGCCTCTCTGCTATAGATCTATTCATCAACACTCTTGGATCCAATAGTTAAATAGATACAAAGCCTTCTAATTCTTTTATTATTGAGCCCATATTTTTATTTTATCCATGAGGAAAGCTTGAGAAATGTTGTATAATGTTCAGTTAAAATCTAGATGACAGTGCTTATAGGAGTAACTAGGTCTGTTAGTTTAGTAAACCACCCAAAAAGGTAATCTGTGTAATGTGTAGCATTGGTTCTCCATCAGGGGCAATTTTGTCCCCCTAGGGGATTTAGCAATGTCGGGGGGTGGGAGTGGGGTTGTATGCTATTGACATTCAGTGGACAGAGCATAGGGATATTGCAAAGTATCTTACAATACATAGGATGGCCCCTCACAACAAAGAATTATCCAGTCTAAAATGTCAGTCATACCGCAGTTTAGAAATTCTGATCTAGATCACTGGTTCTTGACTGGGAACTTGTTAGAAATGCAAACTATTGCATTCCGCTGTGGAACTGATGGGGCAGAAACTCTAGAGGAGAGTCTCAGCATTTTATCTTTTAACCAACCCATCAGGTGATTCTGATGTACCTTAAAGTTTGAAGACCAGTTGTGGGACCATTTTGGCATATAAAAACGTTCAGGAAATATTTATTGAGCATCAAGCTTGGACCACGTGCTTCTCTAAGTGCTCAAAAAACAGTCTTTTCATAGTTTGCTTTTGCCATCTTACCTATGATCTTGTTATTTCTTGTAGTTCTCAAATTCTTCTGTTGTCTAACATGTTGTTTGATATGTTTGTTAAATTGTATTAAATCGAATTGGTAGCTGGTCTTTTTCATCCCACCATCCCATGAGGCTTTTTTTTTTTTTTAAGTCAGTTACTTGCTTGAAGATGTAGTCGTCATGGTTATCAATGTTTTAGGCCTCATAAAGATGGTAGGGATTGGATGATAGAGGCAATCTTTGATTCTTAATAGACTAGCAATAACATGGTCATATTTCTAAGTTCCAAAATTCCCATTATATCAATTTTACCAAGCATTTCCTACTTGCTAATCAGAATTAGGAACATATTTCTTAACTGAGTACATTGCATACAAGAAGAGATTTTTAAAATTTGTCGAATTGAATCAAAGACAACTCCTAGGTAACTTGGAAGAATGATAGTGATAATAATAGAAAAAGGAAATTTAAGAGAAAGATGGGCAATATGCTGAGTTATTTTGTACTTAGCGAATATCAGATGGTGATACACACTAAAGTAAATATATTCATCCATCAATGGAATCAAAAGCACAGGTAGAAGGGACACTTTTTTTTTTTTGAGATGGAGTCTTGCTCTGTCACTCAGGCTGGAGTGCAATTTCAGCTCACTGCAACCTCTGCCTCCCAGGTTCAAGCGATTCTCCTGCCTTAGCCTCCCGAGTAGCTGGGATTACAGGCACATGCCCCTACGCCCAGCTAATTTTTGTGGTTTTTTTTAGTAGAGACGGGGTTTCACCATGTTGGCCAGGATGGTCTCGATCTCTTGACCTCGTGGTCCGCCCGTCTTGGCCTCCCAAAGTGCTGGGATTACAGGCGTGAGCCACTGTGCCCGGCCAGAAATGACACTTCTTGACTGACGAGGGAAGAATAAAAGGAAAGTGACATACCAATACAAATAAATTTTGTTGTAGGAAGCAGTTAGAGGAACTTTTAAATAATGGTTTCAGTTGTTTCTGGAATACTTTGGCACGTCAGTATCTGCTACATTGCCAAACTTCCTTAGCTTATATGAGAATTCTGTGAGGAATTCCTTGTGAAAACTCGACTGAGGGTAAAAAATTACAGATAACTCAGAAAGCTATTCGGTTATGAGGCAGAAAAGAACTGCTACACCATCACAACCCCTATCAACAGTGACAGCGAAGAACATTAAATAAGAGAAAAACTTTGAAGACATATAACTTTAGGCAGTAAGTCTCATTATCCACTTAGCCTGGAAGGAGAGATAGCCGTGGGTCATACAATTCCAAGGTTTGGGTTACCCCTCTGGGCAAAAACCTTATCAGGAAGCATTTTTTGAATGCAAATGCAAGGTACATGTAGTGAGTCCTGGAGGAAGGAATTTTCAAATGCCAGCCAAGGTAGAAATACAGCCTTATTTTCTATTTGCATTTGTTTATTGCTAATAATTGTCTTCTTTTTTCCTTTTTAAAATAGGAGTTGAAGTGAAAACAATTTCTCTGTTGGAAATTGATATGTTGATAGTGTGTGGTTACTGCTGAACTAGAGGAATTCTGAACACTTCTTGAGGATTCTGGACTTGAAGAAGAGTAGGTCCATGATGTTGATCCTGGATGTAGTTGTTGAAGGTGATTTGGGGTCAGCTTCCTTTGGGGAGAGTAGTGATTATATTGTAGTTGTAGTGGAATAGATGGATTACAGGGTCTTGGGTATATTGAATCATCTCCCTTTGTGGGGAGTGATTATATTGTTCTTGTAGCTAGATAGTTGGATTGTGACATCTTTGGATATACAGGAAATAGTGGATGTTCATATATGGGGCAAGGCCAGGGGTTGGCATGTTGTGGGTACCTTTCTGGGATAGTGCTCAGTGCATGGCCATTTTCTTTCTCTAGGACTTTTCCCTGAAACCCAGGGTGGAGTTCAGTTGGCCGTTAGCACCATATAGCTACAACTCAGTTGTCACAACTGAAGAACCCAAGAGTTCAGAACAGATTAAAGCTGCACTACTCAGACTCTCATGTGGAAATCTGAAATTGATAGTAGTGTTACAGAGAGTAGGTTCCCAAACTACACTGTAGAGTTTCCTATAGCTGATTTGGCTTCTGTTTTAACAAAAGTAGTTGTTGATCTCTTTGTGCATTTCCATCGAGACTGCCCAGTGTTCTATCAATAAAGTTCCCTGTTTGTGCTGATTAGAGTTGGTTTTCTGTTTCTTCCTACCAAGAGTCTTAACTTAAGCTGGTCATATGAGGTGGTATGAGCCTCAAAAAGGGCTGAATACTTGAATTATGACAGTAGACTGTAGATACAGAAGTGGCAGCAAGGAGCAAGATACATGTTGATCCATTCTCCTAAAAGTAGAAGAAAAAATGCCTTTTATTGGAGAGAGTGGGGAGGGATATGGCTCATTTTTTAAAAGACAGTTTTCTCGTACTATGAGAAGAAAGAAGTAGTGTGTTAAACTCAGGCTGAGGATGTTAGCTAGTGTGCTCCTAAGAGATTTATGATTTCTGGAGGAATTGAGTAAGGATTATATAGCAAATGTTCTGTAAATATTTGATGAATGTGGAAACAAATAAATTGAGGAGAATGATCCCTTCTCATTATAACCTCAGTAAAGAATGCTGTGTGCCACAATTGGCCTGGGCTTCCCAAATTATAGCTTACTTGCATAATCATTTCCATGGTAAAATTGCCAAAGCTGCCATTCTCTCTGGGTTCATGTTCTTTTCCCTGCCACTCATTTTTGGTCAATACAGTACTATTTTAGTATTGAAGTTTAGTTAGAGGAATTTGAGTAACTTTTACTTTTAGGGAGAAGAGTTTCAAGGCCTCTATCTCTTCCCTCTCAGAAGCTCCAGGAGACAGGCAATTTTTTTTCATGATTTCACCAACAAATAGCAAGCCCTCTCTCTAAGAAATGTCAATGATGCTGGAAAAAAAATAAAGTTCCATTTTCATGTGATATAACATGTGATATTAATTAGGGTAATACTAGCCATGAAAAGAATAGACTTCAAAATATAAAATGGCTTAAAACCAATAATTTATTTCCTGCTCATTACAGGGAAGGTAAGCAGATTACTAGGTGGCCCTTCTTGTGGGTCATTTAGGGACTCAGATAGGGAAGCCTACCATAATCAGAATGTGGTTTCCAAGGTTACCCTAGGTACTGTAGGGCATCCGAGCCAGACATAAGAGGAATGAGCATGGGGGGTTTTGTCTAGAGTGGAACATAGCACTTCTCTTAACTTTCAGTTGACTAGAATTCAGTCTCATAGCCACTTAGTCGCAAGGGAGGCTTGGAAATGTAGTCCACTTTGTGCCCAGGAAAATGGAATATATACTGTATTTGGATGGTCAACTAACAATTTTTATCTTTGTGGCTACTCACTATTATTCAGACCTCACTTTCCAGAAATTCTGATAAATACAAGTTTACTGTATTTTGAAAAAAAGAAAAAGTTGGTAAACTTGCCTTTCTTCACAGTTTCTGTAAATTCCATGACTTAAAAATAAAGCTCATATTGAGGGAAGAAAATTAATAGATTTGAATTAGCTAAATTATATACATATGTCTTTTGCCACATGTACTGAGAATCGCTAAACACATTTTTCATATTCAGGCCTTGTTATCAAGCTGTAAAATTCTAAGCTAACAAAAACCATCCTTCATAAAACAATTCTAGGACCAGGAAGGATAAGTCAAACTGGGATTTGCAGATTGTGAGTAAGTACTTAAGTGAATTGGACTAGAGAAAATACCAGGAAGCTAGCAGCTGGGGTAATGTCAGAGGTAGAATCCACATGTGCAGCTAAAAGTAGGAACCTATGTCGGCACCCAAGGTGAGAGACAGTTGGAGGCTGGATGCCTTATTTATAGGGACTTTGAATACACTTCCTGCTGGGCAGCAGTGAAGCCCATGGTGTGGACAGCTGACAGAGAAGAAAAGCAGGTAGATAGGCTCACCTAGATGAAGGCAGGTTTGAAGAGATGGAGGCCCTACACAGCAGTCCTGAGAAGAATTTTTTTTACTAATTCAGGATTAGCAAATTGTTTTCCTGGTGGTTTTTGGTTTTGAATTACTATGTTGCAAAGTTGGTAATCTTAGTGAGAATACAAGAAAACATAAGGTTATTCACATTCAGGTTTATTTTGTTTTGTATCCACTGTGATGATTAAAATTGGGATTAAATATTCAAGTGTACAAATACAATTAAAATTGTAACCTGTGCCCAATAAGAGTGGTAAAAGTGTAACTCAGTCAAAAGAAAAGAAGCTCTAAGCTTTGGTGCTGTGTATCACCTATGAATTAAAAGATATTTTTCAGATGATTGGCTGATTGGCGACTCTGGAACTGGGAACAAGTTAACGCTGAGAACACCAAGTACAGTGCGTCATGTAAGGGGAGGGAGACGCTTAGGATTACATGGTTAGCTAAGACCATATGCATTGAGGTTTCAAGTCTACAAGCATGATACTTTTCTTTCAGAGTTTGTTGATACTGTGTAAGGGTGTCAATCATTGGTACATTCATACCAGATTGCATGGTTTTACAAGATGAGGAATTATACAGCAAATGAGGTAAACGTATACATTGTGGATTCCTTTATAATACTGTTCTATCAGGAAAGTAATTGGGCAAAGAAGAGTGGTTAGCAATTGAGGTTCTAGAGTCAGAACTGGGCTCAGATCCTGATGTTTTCATTTCCTAGCTTTGTGACCTTGGACAAGTTATTTCACCTTTGTAAGCCTTTGTCATCTTTAAAATAGAGATAATAACTATATTCAAAGCCTCTGAAAATCAAAAGTTTTTTTTTTAACTCATTTGGCAGCAAAACTTGATGTGGAATAATGACAATTTATTTGTTGTCTTTATCTCATTTAATGTGCATCTTTATACATTTTGTGGCAGAAATATTGATATATTTGATTAATGTATGCTACTCCAGAATCTACTCAGGGAAAATGCTAGATAGCTTTCATTTATACCTCCAGATTCACTGTCCACCTTTCTCCATCTAGCTATGTGTCCAGGAGTCTGATAGTATAGATTGTAAGTATGCAGTCTGTGTTTACAGGCTCTCTGCTATCTGCTTTCCCATTAGCTCTGGCCGATGGAAGTCACTGGCGAGATATTGGAGTGAGGCAGCAGAGTGAGAGAGGTATTTAATTCACCTAGTTCTCTTCATGAGTGGTCACCGTAGTGTGTCTCTAGACTGAAGGTCTCAGCATGTGAAAGGTACCACCCCTCACAAGGCCTCTTAGTCTTCAGCTTTCAGTAACAGCTCCCTTCCTTTACCCATTATGACCCAGAGGTGGTAATAGTCACTACAGTGCTAGCTTCAGGTTATCAAGCTATCCTTTGTGGTTTCTCTACACCTTAGCAAATAGTGCCTTTATTAAATTTTCCTCAATTTATCCTAAGTTGACCATGTACCTACTTACTTCTCAGACCCTAAAAGATGCATAGTACTGTTTAATTTATGAAATATTTACTAAATTACTGTCTGAATACATACACATGCAGAGGCACAAACATACACACCTGAAACACATCTTGCTTCAAGGGTTTTGGATGAAGGATTGTAGATCTGTATTCTAATTATATTAGCATAGGAATTTTACTGTATTTTATAAATTATTACTGTTCAAAAAATTATATTAATGTTCAGTTAAACACAGAGCATGTAAATGGCCTACAGGTAACACCACCAACATCTCAGTTCTAAAAATATGAAAAATGTCATTGAGCTACCAATTTAAATAAATCTCCTAAAGTGAGTATAGTATATGGAGCGCAGTTTCACAATTATAAACTTGCCTTTGTTACTTAAGAGGAAAAAAGCAGCAGCAAGATTAGACCTTAATTCCACTTGATCACTTGTTCATCAACAAATGGTCTTCTCACAAATTCCAAGACGCCTTAAGAAGAGATGCCCAGCCGGTAGCATTAACATAACTTTATCTAAATTATTTCGCCTTCTCTCAGTGCTTCAACAGGAATAAATTCAGCTTCTGAATTTTTGCCAGTGTATGACAATGTATTTTCTAGTTAGCTGTTGGGTGGTGGAAAGAATGTAGAATTTGGAGTCAAGGAAGCTAGTTTGGGTCTCAACATTGATACCGTTCTTGAGTCACTGTGAGCTTGATTTCTGTAGTCCCTGTCTCTAAAATTGGGGTAAAACCACATACCTGTCAGGATCATGAGGATTAAACAGAGTAAATATAAATTATCTAGTATGGAGCTCAGCTCATAGTAAGAGCTTGAGTGTTTCTCAAACTTGAATCAGTTTGTGAACATAGCCACTCAATAGAGGAAGGTTTGTTCCTGGGGCTGATCCATGACTGCAGCTGTGTGACTGCTGTTGTGGCATTTGGACTGTTCATGGATGGACCAGAACCTCCAGATTCTACATGTGATAACCGTGGCTGAGTAAAGGCTGTTGTCAGTATACATCACGCAACAACAGAATGAGTGTGGGGTAGTATTTGTGTAATTTGCCAGAGAAGTGAGGAACTGAACAGAATGAGTTTTTTCTTGTTTGTAACCACACATTTAGTTTATGCTTCCATTAATTCATAAGTATTATATTTAGCACTGTAATATTTAATATTGATGTTACCAAATGTGGGTCAACATTTAAAGTCTATAAAAACATGCATACAGTCTTGATATTTTTAAAACTCACTATAGTAAGCTTCACTTTTTTCTAATGAAATTCACTAACCAGTTTAAGAAAATGGTAAGGTTAGTGTGAAGAATTCCATGCCATAATACTATAGAATTGCTAGAGATGGGCCACATAGTTGATTTTGAGCTTCTAGTGGCAAAAAAAAAAAAAAAAAAAAAAAAAGGCCAATTATAAGATCCCTAGAGTCTTAGTTGCTTTTTGGTACCAAGATCTGAGAGGGCTTCATAAAGTGGCATACAAGATTGAGAATTTACACAAGCAGTTTTGAATAGAATAACAGAGACTTTAGTAACAAATTTAAACCCAAGCATAGCAAGCAACCTTGTTGAACCAAATAGTTCTGTGAGAGTTGGCAAATCTTACCGGGATATAGCTTCAATAGTGATGATGGAATGATAAGAAATAATTGCCTTTTTGTTAAATTTTTTATTTGTTAAAAT
This sequence comes from Homo sapiens, assembly GCF_000001405.40. NCBI lineage: Eukaryota > Metazoa > Chordata > Mammalia > Primates > Hominidae > Homo > Homo sapiens. The sequence goes on from NC_000020.11 coordinate 14,213,665, forward strand.
TAGTAATCAACTCTCTATGGACTGGGAGAGCTCAGGAACAATATAGCTTTAAAAAGTTTTTCTTCGGCAGTCAAAATAAAATATTACATTTAAAATTAATTGAATCTGTGAATATGATTATTAAGATAAAATGTTATTTCCAAATTAAATTAAAAGTTTTCTTTATTTTTTACTATCATTCTTCTCCTCAAATTAATATTCCATCTGAGAAGCCTGAAAAGAGAAGATTAAAAGGAGTCATTAATAAAAGGAAGTGCATTTAATGGGAATATGATTATCATGTAGTTCAAAGAAAATTTCATTGTGCCTCATACTAATTGCTATTTTGTGCACCTACTTGCCTTGCTTATCTTAAGATGGTTTTGGCTTTAGGGGAAGTATAAAAAATTAAGGTATACATATATTATTTAAAGTAGACCAAAGTTAAGGCATAAATAAATAGTTAATAATTGAAGCATGTGAGTCAGTTAACTTTAAAACTGTACTTATTAAAGTCTTTGTTACTTTTAAGAAGACTATCCTACGCTTTGAGAAATTGCTGAGTCATGGTCATGATCACATCTGTGTTGTAGTTGTAGCCCCCCTGTATGGGAACTATGATTCCTGCCTTCAGGCTAAAAGGCATTAAAAGAAAACAAAAACAAAAACAGAGAGACCATGTAGTGCCATCCCCTTCTTTCAAGTGTGAACTCCAGCTCAATTTCCCCCTGCTCATGTAAATTATTTAGAGCTTTCAAATAGTTGTTTTAAAATTTTTCTTCAGAGTTTGTAGTTGTTATGTATTGAACACAATGGAAGTGGGCATAATCTTTTCTCTGCCTAAACTCTTTAAAGTTTTTGAAATGAAGACATTTAATTTTTTTAACATTTAACCTGATATAATTTTAACTGTTTCTACCTGAGAAGTTATCCAGCAATGTTCTTTTTTTTTTTTTTTTAAGGTTTTTTTTTTCCCATAAGTTATAGGGGTACAGGTGGTATTTGGTTACATGAGTAAGTTCTTTAGTGGTGATTTGTGAGATTTTGGTGCACCCGTCACCCGAGCAGCATATACTGCACCATATTTGTAGTCTTCTATCCCTCGCTCCCATCCCACTCTTTCCCCCAAGTACCCAGAGTCCATTGCATCATTCTTATGCTTTTGTGTCCTCATAGCTTAGCTCCCACATATCAGTGAGAACATATGATGTTTGGTTTTCCATTCCTGAGTTACTTCACTTAGAAAAATAGTCTCCAGTCTCATTCAGGTCACTGCAAATGCTGTTAATTCATTCCTTTTTATGGCTGCCTAGTGTTCCATTATATATATATATATTCCATCATATACATATATGTTTATATATATTCCATCATATATATGTGTGTGTACATATATTCCATCATATATATATATTCCATCATATATCTATTCCATCATATATATCTATTCCATCATATATATCTATTCCATCATATATATATTCCATCATATATATATATTCCATCATATATGTTCCATCATATATATATTTTCCATCATATATATTCCATCATATATATATTCCATCATATATATATTTTCCATCATATATATATTCCATCATATATGTATATTCCATCATATATATATGTTCTATCATATATGTTCCATCATATATATATGTTCCATCATATATATCTATGCCATCATATATACACACACACACACACACACACACACACACACACACACACACACCACAGTTTCTTTAGCTACTTGTTGATTGATGGGCATTTGATTTGGTTCCACGGTTTTGCAATTGCGAATTGTGCTGCTATAAACATACATGTTTAAGTATCTTTTTCGAATAATGACTTATTTTCCTCTGGGTAGGTACCCCCCCAGTAATGGGATTGCTGGATCAAATGGTAGTTCTGCTTTTACTTCTCTAAGGGATCTCCACAGTGTTTTCCATAGCGGCTGTACTAGTTTATTTTCCCACCAGCAGTGTAGAAGTGTTCCCTGTTCACTGCATCCATGCCAGCATCTACTGTTTTGTGATTTTTTTGATTATGTCCATTCTTGCAGGAGTGAGGTGCTATCGCATTGTGGTTTTGATTTGCATTTCCCTGATCATTAGTGATGTTGAGCATTTTTTCATATGTTTGTTGGCCATTTGTATATCTTCTTTTGAGAATTGTCTATTCATGTCCTTAGCCCACTTTTTGATGGGATTGTTTGTTTTTTTCTTACTGATTTGAGTTCATTGGATATTAGACTGGATATCAGTCCTTTGTCAGATGTATAGACTGTAAAGATTTTCTCCCACCCTGAGTTGTCTGTTTACTCTGCTGACTGTTCCTTTTGCTGTGCAAAAGCTCTTTAGTTTAATTAAGTCCCAGCTATTTATCTTTTTTTTTATTGCATTTGCTTTTGGGTTCTTGGTCATGAAATCGTAAGCCAATGTCTAGACAGGTTTTTCCAGTGTTCTTTTCTAGAATGTTAATAGTTTCAGGTCTTAGGTTTAAGTCCTCAATTCATCTTGAGTTGATTTTTGTATAAGGTGAGAGATGAGGATCCAGTTTCATTCTCCTACAGGTGGCTAGCCAATTATTCCACCACCATTTGTTGAAAAGGGTGTCCTTTCCCCACTTTATGTTTTTGTTTGCTTTCTTGAAGATCACTTGGCTGTAAGTATTTGGGTTTATTTCTGGGCTCTCTATTCTGTTTCATTGGTCTATGTGCCTGCATTTGTACCAGTACCACACTGTTTGGTGACTATGGCCTTATAGTATAGTTTGAAATCAGGTTGTGTGATGCCTTCAGATTTGTTCTTTTTGCTTAGTCTTGCTTTGGCTATGCAGGCTCTTTTTTGGTTTCATAAGAATTTTAGAATTGTTTTTTTTAATTCTGTGAAGAATGATGGTGGTATTTTGATGGGGATTGCACTAAATTTGTAGATTGCTTTTGGCAGTATGGTCATTTTCACAATATTGATTTCACCCATCCATGAGCATGGGATGTGTTTCCATTTGTTTGTGTCGTCTATGATTTCTTTCAGCAGTGTTTTGTAGGTTTCCTTGTAGAGGTCTTTCGACTCCTTGGTTAGGTATATTCCTAAGTATTTTATTTTTTTGTTTGCAGCTATTGTAAAAGGGGTTGAGTTCTTGACTTGATTATCTGCATGGTCACTGTTGGTGTATAGAAGAGCTACTGATTTGTGTACATTAATCTCGTATCTGGAAAATTTGCTGAATTCTTTTATCAGTTCTAAGAGCTTTCTGGAGGAGTCCTTAGGGTTTTCAAGGTAAACAATCATATTGTCATAAAAAATGACAGTTTTATTTCCTATTTACCAATTTGGATGCCTTTTATTCTTTCTCTTGTCTGACTGCTCTGGCTAGGACTTCCAGTACTATGTTGAAGAGGAGTGGTGAGAGTGGGCATCCTTGTGTTGTTCCAGTTCTGAGAGGGAATGCTTTCAATTTTTCCCCATTCGGTATTTTGTTGGCTGTGGGTTTGTCATAGATGGCTTTTATTGCATTAAGGTATGTCCCTTGTATGCCGATTTCACTGAGAGTTTCAATCATAAAGCAATGTTGGATTTTGTTGAATGCTTTTTCTGCATCTATTGAAATGATCATGTGATTTTTGTTTTTATTTCTGTTTATGTGGTGTGTCACATTTATTGACTTGCATATGTTAAACCATTCCTGCATCCCTGGTATGAAACCCACTTGATCATGGTGGATTACCTTTTTGATATGTTGTTAGATTCGGTTAGCAAGTATTTTGTTAAGGATTTTAGCATCTAAGTTCATCAAGGATATTGGTCTGTAGTTTTCTTTTTTTGGTTATGTCCTTTCCTGGTTTTGGTATTAGGGTGATGCTGGCTTAGTAGAATGAATTAGGGAGGTTTCCTTCTTTCTATATCTTGTGGAATAGTTTCAAAAGGATTGGTACCAATTCTTTTTTGAATGTCTGGTAGAATTCTGCTGTGAATCCGTCTGGTCCTGAACTTTTTTTTGTTGGTAATTTTTAAATTACCATTTCAATCTCACTGCTTGTTATTGGTCTGTTCAGGGTATCTAATTCCTCCTGACTTAAGCTAGGAGGGTTGTATTTTTCCAGGAACTTATCTGTGTCCTCTAGGTTTTCTAGTTTATGTGTGTAAAGGTGTTCATAGTAGCCTTGAATGATCTTTCATATTTCAGTGGTGTCAGCTGTAATATCTCCTGTTTCATTTCTTAGTGAGGTTATTTGGATTTTCTCTCTTCTTTTCTTGGTTAATCTTGCCTTTTATGGCCTATCATATGGTCTATCTTGGAGAAAGTTCCACGCGCTGTTGAATAGAATGTGTATTCTGCGGTTGTTGGATGAAAATGTTCCCTATATATCTGTTAAGTCCATTTGTTCCAAGATATAGTTTAAATCCATTGTTTCTTTTTTGACTTTCTGTCTTGATGACCTGTCTAGTGCTGTCAGTGGAATATTGAAGTCCCCCAATATTATTGTGTTGCTATCTCATTTCTTAGGTCTATTAGTAATTGTCTTATAAATTTGGGAGCCCCAGTGTTAGGTGCATATATGTTTAGAATTGTGATATTTTCCTGTTGGACAAGGCCTTTTACTGTTATATAATGTCCCTCTTTGTCTCTTTTAACTACTGTTGCTTTAAAGTTTGTTTTGTCTGATATAAGAATAGCTACCCCTGCTCACTTTTGGTGTCCATTTTCATGAAATGCCTTTTTCCATTCCTTTAAGTTTATGTCAGTTCTTATGTGCTATGTGAGTCTCCTGAAGGAAGCAGATAGTTGGTTGGTGAGTTCTTATCCATTCTGCAGTTCTGTATCTCTTAAGTGGAGCATTTAGGCCATTTACATTCAATGTTAGTATTGAAATGTGAGGTACCATTGCATTCATCATGATCTTTGTTGCCTGTGTACTTTGGTTTTTTGTTTTTTTGTGTGTTTGCTTTTTAACTTGTATTTTTGTTTTATAGGTCCTGTGTGATTTATGCTTTAAAGAGGCTCTGTTTTCACATGTTTCCAGGATTTGTTTCAAGATTTAGAGCAACTTTTAGCAGTTCTTGTAGTGGTGGCTTGGTAATGGCAAATTCTCTCAGCATTTGTTTGTCTGAAAAGACTGTGTCTTTTCTTCATATATGATGGTTAGTTTCCCTGGATACAAAATTCTTGGCTGATAATTGTTTTGTTTGAGGAGGCTGAAGATAAGTCCCCAATTGCTTTTAGCCTGTAGGGTTTCTGCTGGGAAATCTGCTGTTAATCTGATAGGTGTTTCTTTATAGGTTACCTGGTCCTTCTGTCTCATGGCTCTTAAGATTCTTTCCTTCACCTTAACATTGGATAACCTGATGACGAAGTGCCTAGGCAAAGATCTTTTTGTGATGAATTTCCTGGGTGTTCTTTGTGCTTCATGTGTTTGGATGTCTAGGTCTCTAGCAAGGCCAGAGAAGTTTTCCTTGATTATTCCCCCAAATATGTTTTCCGAGCTTTTAGAATTCTCCTCTTCCTCAGGAACACTGATTATTTTTAGGTTTGATTGTTTAACATAATCCCAGACTTCTTGGAGGCTTTGTTCATATTTTATTATTCTTTTTTCTTTGTCTTTGTTAGCTTGGGTTAATTTGAAGACCTAGTCTTCGAGCTCTGAATTTCTTTCTTCTACTTGTTCAATTATATTGCTGAGACCTTCCAGAGCATTTCTTATTGTTAAAAGTGTGTCCAAAGTTTCCTGAATTTTTTTTTTTCTTTAAGCTATCTATTTCCTTGAATATTTCTCCCTTCACTTCTTGTATCATATTTTGGATTTTCTTACATTGGGCTTCGCCTTTCTTTGGTCCCTCCCCAATTAGCTTAATAACTAACCTCCTGAATTATTTTTCGAGTAAAGCAGGGATTTCTTCTTGGATCCATTGCTGATGAACTAGTGTGATTTTTTGGGTTTGTTGAAGAGCCTTGTTTTGTCATATTACCAGGGTTGGTTTTCTGGTGCCTTCTCATTTGGGTAGGCTCTGTCAGAGGGAAGGTCTAGGGCCGAAGGCTGTTGTTCAGATTCTTTTTTCCCACAGGGTGTTCCCTTGATGTAGTACTCTCCCCCTTTTCCTGTGGATGTGGCTTCATGTGAGCCAAACTGCAGTGATTGCTCTCTCTTCTGGGTCTGGCCACCCAGAGAGTCTGCCTGGCTCTGGGCTGGTATTGGCACTTGTCTGCACAGAGTCCTGTGATACCAACCATCTGTGGGTCTCTCAGCCATGGTTACCAGTGCCTGTTCCGGTGGAGGTGGCGGGGTGGGGGGTGCAATGGACTCTGTGAGGCTTCTTAGCATTGATGGTTTAATATTCTATTTTTGTGCTGGTTGGCTTCCTGCCAGGAGGTGGCACTTTCCAGAGAGCATCAGCTGTGGTATTATGGGGAGGAACCAGTGGTGGGTGGGGCCTAGAACAACCAAGTTTATATACCCTTTGTCTTCCACTACCAGGGTGGGTAGGAAAGGACCATCAGCTGGGAGTGGAACTAGGTGTGTCTGAGCTCAGACTGTCCTTGGGCGGGTCTTGCTGCGGCTGCTGTTGGGGGGTGGAGGTGAGATTCCCAGGTCAGGGGAGTTGTTTACCTAGGAGGATTATGGCTGTCTCTGCTGAGTCATGCAGGTTGTCAGGGAAGTTGGGGGAAAGGGGGCAGTCACAGGCCTCACCCAACTCCCATGCAAATGAAAGGGCTGGTCTCACTCCCCCAGTGCACCTCCCAACACCCTCCAGAGCATTTCCAGGCTGAGAGCAGTAAGGGCTTGAAAACCTGCCCCAGGCTGTATGCCTCCTAGCTTTGAAAGATAAGAGCTTGGTTCTTCCCCTGCCTGTGGAGTCTGCACACTGAATTTGCACCCTCCTTCCAGTTCTGGCCAGGAGGCTTCTCATCTCGTTCAAATGGTTACAAAGTTCAGCTAGAGATTTCCTTCTCCCTGTGTAGTTTTACCCTCTGCTCTTCTCCCATTGGATCCCTGGGGTGCCAGGCAGGAATGGCCTGCTAGGGTACCCAGCGAGCTCCCAGGGCCTTTCTGCTGCATCCTCTACCCCTGTATTTTGCTTGGCTCTCCAGATTGACTCAGCTCCAGGTAAAGTTGGAAACTTCTCCTGCAAACAGACCTTCGGCTTCTCCAGTGGGGCTGTGTGTTCAGGAGAGGAGGGTCTCCCTCTCCCACTTCCGCAGGTGGGGCACTCGCAGTTTTGGGATTGTCTCCTGGTTCCTGCAGGAGCAGTCTGCTTTTTTCAGAGGGTCTGTGGGTCCTCTCAGGATGGCTGGTTTGTTTTGCAGTCGATCTGATGCTAAAATTCACAGTGCGAGGTGCCGCCCACTGCTCTGTCCAGAGCTGCAATCTAGTCCTGCCTCCTGTCTACCATGATTGACCTTAAAAACTATCCAGCAGTGTTCTGATAACAATTTGAATTCATTTACATGCTGTCAACATTATTGCTTTAGGATATATTTTGTTTAGCTGCCAAGCCACAACAGTAACTTCTTTATTCTTTGCATCCTTTGCTGAGAATAAAACCTGTTTTGTTATAAATTTACTTATCTTGGGGTATGAATGGGCTTTGGAATGAGAGAGTCTTGAGTCTAATCCCACTCTGCCATGTAAACTTAAAATTGTTCCCAGCTTAAGTTTTCTCATTTGTAAAACAGGGTAACAAGCCTTACATTATTGTGGTATTTTGAAATCAAGCATGTTGGGGGGCTGACACAAGTGCTTTGCAAACAATAAATGCCCTGTGAAGGATAGGTATTACCCCCTGCAGAAAAATGAAACTGGATCCCTATCTCTCATTATATACAAAAACCAACTCAAGACAGATTAAAGACTTAAATGTAAGACCTGAAATGATAAAAATACTAGAAGAAAACCTAGGGAAAACTCCTGTGGACATTGCTGTAGGCAAGGAACTCATGACTAAGACCTCAAAGGCAGAAGCAACAAAAACAAAAATAGACAAATGAGCTTTAAGTAAACTAAAAAGGTTTTCCACAGCAAAAGAAGTGATCACCATAATGAACAGACAACCACAGAATGAGAGAAAGTATTTGCAAACTACGCATCCCACAGGAGACTAATATCCAGAATTTATAAGGAAGTCAACTTAACAATAACAAAAACTAACCCTATTAAAAGGTGGGCAAAGGACATGAATAGACATTTTTCAAAAGCAGACATACAAATGGACAACAAGCATACAAAAAATATTCAACTCACTAATCATAAGAGAAATGCAAATTAAAACCACAATGAGATATCATCTTATACCAGTCAGAATGGCTATTGTTAAAAGTAAAACAAACAAAACAAAACAGATGTTGGTGAGGATGCAGAGAAAGGGGAATGCTTATACACTATTGGTAGGAATGTAAATGAGTGCAACCTCTATGGAAATCAGTATGGGGATTTCTTAAAGAACTAAAATTAGAACCATCATTCAATCTAGCAATCCCACTATGGTGTATCTACTCAAAGGAAAATAAATCATTATATCAAAAAGATACCTGCATTTTTATACTTATCACAGCACAATATTCACAATAGCAAAGATATAGAATCAACCTAAGTGTCCATTAACATATGATTTAATAAAGAAAAGGTAGTATCTATACACAATGGAATACTATTCAGCTATAAAAAAGAATGAAATAATCTCTTTTGTAGCGACATGGATAGAACTAGAGGCCATTGTCTTAAGCTAAACAACTCAGACACAGAAAGACAAATACCTTGTGTCCTTACTTATAAGTGAGACCTAAATAATGTGTATATATGGACGTAGAATTTAGAATGATATGCAATGGACACTAGGAAGTGTGAGGGGATGGGAGGAGGGTGGATGACTGGGAGTTACTTAATGGGTACATTATTTGGGTGATGGATACCCTAAAAACCCTGATTTCACCACTATGCATGCAGTCCATGTATATAATAAAATTGCACTTATACCTCATACATTTATACAAATTTTTAAAAAGGCAAATATAAGCCCATTTTCTTTTAAAAAAAGTAAAATAAAAGGTGGATATTATTGTTAGATGCGATTATTGTTAGATGCTACTTTCTGACTTATTCCCAGTTCTTAGATTGGGGGAACTCGATTTTTGACTCTACAGTTCACAGTTCAACCTTTGGATTTCTGAAAAAAAAAAAAAAAAAAAAAAAAAAAAAGAATTGAGAAGCATTTTGTAGAACAGATTGGAGTTTATCTTTAAATAATCAAATTAAGCCTTTGTAATGGGAACAAGACTAAATTCAGCTCTCTAAATTAGCCACAGGAAAGAAACAAGAAGGACAAGTGATATTATTTTAGGTGCTCAGATATTTGTATAGGCTTTGCTTGCTCACATAAGGAATTGAGGAGAGTATATCAGCACTGAGCTGGTGCTGTAGTCCCAGCTACTGGGGAGACTGAGGTAGGAAGATCACTGGAGTCCAGAAGTTCTGGGCTGTAGTGTGCTATCCCTTTTGGGTGTCCACACTGTTTGGCATCAATATACTGACCTCCCAGGAGTGGGGGACTACTAGTTTGCCTAATGAGGGGTGAAGCAGCCCAGGTCTGAAATAGAAGAGGTCAAAACTCCCATGCTGATCTGTATATCAGCAATGTATACAGTCTTGAGGAATCACACAGGACAGAAAGTACCTGAATCTTAATCTCAGATATGTCTAAAAGGGATTGTTAATTTTCTGCTGTGTGTCAGGCCCTATCTAGTCATGGTGTGAAAGACAAAGATGAAGAAGGCAAGGCTCTTATGCAATTGATGGATAGCTCCAGGAAAGACATCCTGGTGAGCAGGACTGTGTGAAATAGGGAAGCAGCTCCTCTAAATTCTTTTTTTTTTTTTTTTTTTGAGACGGAGTCTCACCCTGTTGCCCAGGCTGGAGTGCAGTGGTGCAATCTCGGCTCACTGCAACCTCTGCCTCCCGGGTTCAAATGATTCTCCTGCCTCAGCCTCCCAAGTAGCTGGGATTACAGACGCCCGCCACCATGCCCAGCCAATTTTTGTATTTTTAGTAGAGACAGGGTTTTACTATGTTGGCCAGGCTGGTCTCGACCTTGTGATCTGCCTGCCTCAGCCTCCCAAAGTGCTGGGAGTACAGGCGTGAGCCACCGCGCCTGGCCTCTACATTCTTCATATTGGGACTGTATTAGTTAGGGTTCTCCAGAGAAACAGAGCTAACAGGATGTATATATAGAAAGAGGCTTATTGATGGCTCACATGATTGTGGAAGCTTGACAAATCCAAAATCTTCAGGGTGGGCCAGCAGGCTGGAGACCTGAGAAAGAGTTGCAGTTTTAGTCCGAAGGTGATCCGTTGGCAGAATTCCCTCTGCCTCAGGGGCGGTGAGTCATTTTCTGTTAAGACCTTTAATTGATTGGATGAGGCTCACCCATATTATGGAGGGTAAGCTGTTTTACTCCAAGTCAACTGATTTAATATCAATCACATCTAAAAAACACTTTCACAGAAACATACTATTTGATCAAATATCTGAGTACAGTGGTCTAGGCAAGTTGACACATAAAACTATCACAGGAACTTGTTTTTGGAATCTGCCTTGTACCCCATAGCAGATTCAATCTTATATAGTATCCCAGCCCTAGGCCTTAAGCCTCCATCACTTAGTTCCATCCTTTGTTTATGACTGTGCTTCAAGCCTACTTTGATTGATGGCACTGCTAAGACCGTGTGCCTTTCTGATCATACCATTAGCTTCAGTCTTGTCAACATTTTTATCTGTTGCAGACTGCTGCCTGGGCCTGGCCTCTTCCTATAACCCTAAGCTCCACTTTGATCCCAGCCTACTTCAGTCTTCTGCACAGTTGATTTGGCCTACAGACTGCTGAACTGAGGCAGGATACTCATAGCTCTTAGGGGGCCATTAGTGTCCTGACAATGTCATATCTTCCCCTTAGCTTTGTATACTATCTAGAAGTTACGTGGCTTCCTGGGATTCTTATTACAAACTTCAGATCCTTCTTGTTTAGAGGTCATTTATTGTGAGGCTGCTCCTGCCCTCTTTGTTCTCTCATCATGTTTTGTAGGGAGGAGAAATTATTAAATATACTGCCATTTTTTAAATAATTGAATGCATATGGTATTTATGACCTGCATACCAGTACTGTTATTTCGCTCCATTATGACTTTTATTCTCAGAGGCCTATGGTTTTCAAATGCCACTGTTGTGAATAGCTGTCTGTAGAATTGCTACCATGGTGCTTGAATCCTTATACACTAGCCATTCTACCTGATACCGTATTCCAGTGAGCACTGTGCTTGCTGCCCAGCATTTCAGATTGGATCTGATTTCCTGGGATTAAATTCCAGACGTTATTTTCCAATTTGTCATCTGCCTGTTTGGGGGAAGTTTCTTTCAGGTTGTAGGTCAGATGGGTGTTCACTGACATCTTTAGATCCTATTTATTGGGTCTTCTTGTTGGTATTTTTTTCTATAATGGCAGAATAATTTGTTTTCCTCTTCAGAATAATTGCAAGGTGAAAACAAATAATTCTAGCTTAAAAATGATATCAAATGACTTCATTGGTTATATTTTAGTAGCTTGGAATATTACAGAAAAGAAGTACATATTTTCTTCTGCTTTGAAAGGGGAAATTTAAATCAGGATACTTTTAGTCTGTAAACATGACTACTTTTTAAAAACATATATGAGAAATATTGGAACAATAAAATCTGATTCATCTAATAGCTTTCCTTGATACTTTTTATTTTTAACTATGATAGATATGTATTAACATGTAGTTATTCTCTTTGAAAAAGTATATTCATTTTCTAAAATGTACTTAGCTTTTCAAATATGATTCTCACAGTGTCCTGTGTATTGTTAAAAATAATTACTGAAACAGTTTCACTTTGAAGTACAGTACTTGAAATCTTCAGATCAATATCGCCTTTTAAACCTTTAATACAACCTTATGCCAATCAAGTCGCAAGTGTAGTTTGCTAAGGTAGAAACTTCTTGATTTCAGTACAATTATAACTGACCAATCTATATTTCAAAATAGAGGCTTTTATAATGAGATTCCATATGGATATTGATTTCAATTTTCTGTGTTAATATAAAAGTGCAAGTGGTCTCAAGCTTAGGTGATCCAAAATATTTTTTTAAGGTAGTTGTTTGAAACTTAGAATGTTTTTTCTAAAGAACTAGTGTTATACATGACAGGTTTCCAGGCCCACCCACAAAAGGCTGCTCAAACCATAGTGTAAGCTGAAAATAGTGTCCTAATGGTGGCTGTAACTTCTTACTTCCCTGAAACCACTCTAAGTCCTGATTTTCTTTGTGTTCCTAGTATTTGAGTGTGAGAGGGAAGTTGGTAGAAGCAGGTAGGTTGTATCTGGTTAGGGTAAAAGTGAGAAAAAGGGTTGTTGATCAGTTCAGGTGGGGTTTAGGTATAGAAGCTTCATGAATTAGTGAGTTGCTAAATATCAGGGAATGTAAAGGGCAAAGTTTTGGCCTCTGGGGTCTAGCAATAGCAGGAATGGTGCCCCTGTCTTTAGCAGAGGACCTCAGTGTTTCCATAGGGTCTGTGATGGCGCAGTAAGGGTGTGGCCCTTAGCAGAGGTATTGGCACTGGTAGCTGTTTGTATACATAGGATTTTCGCAACTGTTTATAAGGATTGAATGCTGGTGAGAGGTGACAGCATGCTGGCAGTCCTCACAGCCTTCGCTCGCTCTCGGCGCCTCCTCTGCCTGGGCTCCCACTTTGGCGGCACTTGAGGAGCACTTCAGCCCACCGCTGCACTGTGTGAGCCCCTTTCTGGGCTGGCCAAGACTGGAGCCGGCTCCCTCAGCTTGCAGGGAGATGTGTAGGGAGGCGCGAGCGGGAACCGGGGCTGCGCGCGGCGCTTGCGGGCCAGCTGGAGTTCCGGGTGGGCGTGGGCTTGGCGGGCCGCGCACTCGGAGCAGCCGGCCGGCCCTGCCAGCCCGGGCAATGAGGGGCTTAGCACCCGGGCCAGCGGCTGCGGAGGGTGTACTGGGTCCCCCAGCAGTGCCAGCCCACCGGCGCTGTGCTCGATTTCTCGCCGGGCCTTAGCTGCCTTCCCGCGGGGCAGGGCTCGGGACCTGCAGCCCGCCATGCCTGAGCCTCCCACCCACTCCGTGGGCTCCTGTGCGGCCAAGCCTCCCCGATGAGCGCCGCCCCCTGCTCCACGGCGCCCAGTCCCATCGACCACCCAAGGGCTGAGGAGTGCGGGCGCACAGCGCGGGACTGGCAGGCATCTCCACCTGCAGCCCCAGTGCAGGATCCACTGGGCGAAGCCAGCTGGGCTCCTGAGTCTGGTGAGGACGTGGAGAACCTTTATGTCTAGCTCAGGGATTGTAAATACACCAATTGGCACTCTGTATCTAGCTCAAGGTTTGTAAACACACCAATCAGCACCCTGTGTCTAGCTCAGGGTTTGTGAATGCACCAATCTATACTCTGTATCTAGCTACTCTGGTGGGGCCTTGGAGAACCTTTGTGTCTAGCTCAGGGATTGTAAAGGCACCAATCAGCGCCCTGTGGAAGCAGACCACTTGGCTCTACCAATCAGCAGGATGTGGGTGGGGCCAGATAAGAGAATAAAAGCAGGCTGCCGGAGCCAGCAGTGGCAACAGGCTCGGGTCCCCTTTCACATGGTGGAAGCTTTGTTCTTTTGCTCTTTGCAATAAATCTTGGTACTGTTCTCTCTTTGGGTCCACGCTACCTTTATGAGATGTAACACTCACCACAAAGGTCTGCAGCTTCACTCCTGAAGCCAGCGAGACCACGCACCCACCGGGAGGAACGAACAACTCCAGATGCGCCGCCTTAAGAGCTGTAACACTCGCCGCCAAGGTCTGCAGCTTCACTCCTGAGCCAGCGAGACCATGCACCCACCAGAAGGAAGAAACTCCGAACGCATCTGAACATCAGAAGGAACAAACTCCGGACACGCTGCCTTTAAGAACTGTAACACCGCGAGGGTCCGCGGCTTCATTCTTGAAGTCAGTGAGACCAAGGACCCACCAATTCCGGATACACTGGGATTTAGATGCCAACTTTACTTTTTTTAGGGTCTGCTGGGCTGAGCCTTTAAAATTTCCCTTTGCTTTTAGAAATTAATTTATGGACCATACTTGTATTTGACCCATTATCCCAAGAAAATTCTTAAAGCAAACATAAAATACATGGTCCAGGATTTAATCTAGTTGTCATATCATTTTAGGTTTTCTTAATCTGTAACAGCTGTTCAGTCTCTCTTTGTCTTTCATGACAATACCATTTTAAAAAATTAATAGACTTTATTTTTAAGAGCAATTTTAGGTTTACAGTACAATTGGGCAAGATAATAGTATTATGTCAATGTAAATTTTCTGATTTTGATAGTTATACATGGTTCTGTAAAAAACTGGCTTGTTTTTAAGAAATAAACTGAAGTGCTTAGGGAAAAGAGCATCATTCTGCAATTTACTCTTAAAAACTATATATATAGTTTTTTCTATGTATATATATAGAGAGAGAGAGAGAGAGAGAGTGTGTGTGTGCGTGTGTAGACAATAAAGCAAGTGAAGTAAAATGTTAACAATTAGGGAATCTGGAAGTCTGTGTTCTATATATCTTTATATCCAATAATTTTACTTAAAATAATGTTTTAAGGAAATGGTCATAAATATTTTTCTTTTTTTTTTTTTTTTTGAGATGGAGTCTCTCTCTGTCACCCAGGCTGGAGTGCAGTGGCGTGATCTCGGCTCACTGCAAGCTCCATCTCCCGGGTTCACGCCATTCTCCTGCCTCAGCCTCCCGAGTAGCTGGGACTACGGGCATGTGCCACCATGCCCAGCTAATTTTTGTATTTTAGTATAGTCTTAACTGTAATAGCAAAAGGTTAGAAAAGACCTAAATGGCTATCAATGAAGAATTGCTTACATAAGTTAGATTTTTACTTAATGGAATATTATGTATGTATCCATGAAAATGATGTAAAAACGTATAGTCCTTGATTTAGGAAGATGTCTGAAATATTTTCTTAAATAAAAATTGTCACAGAAAAAAAGACATTAATTTCGGCCAGCTGAGGTGGCTCATGCCTGTAATCCCAGCACTTTCAGAGGCCAACGGGTGGTTTACTTGAGGCCAGGAGTTCGAGTTTAGCCTGGGCAACATGGCGAAACCCCATCTCTACTAAAAATAACAAAAATTAGCTGGGTGTGGTGGCACACGCCCATAATCCCAGCTACTCAGGAGGTTGAGGCACAAGAATTGCTTGAACCTGGGAGGCAGCAGAGGTTGCAGTGAGCCAGGATCATGCCACAGCACACCAGACTCTGTCTCAAAAAAAAAAAAAAGAAAAGAAAAAAGACATTAAATGCAAAGAACAGTGTCAGTATTGCTAGGATGTCTGTTCTTTCCAACTATATGTTCAACATATCCCAAAAGTAAGTTGCAAAACTATAAAACTTTAGGAGATAACATAGGACAAAATATAGGTGATCGTAGTTTGCTGATGAGCTTCTTTTAGATACAACACCAAAAACACTGTACATGAGAGAAGAAATTGGCAAGTGAGACTTCATTACATAAAAAATTTCTGCTTTGTGAAAGACACTGTTAAGAGAACGAAAAGACAAGCCACAGGCTGGGAGAAAACTTTGTAAATATATATCCATCTGATAAAAGACTGGTATCTAAAATATACAAATAATTCTTAAAACCCAACAATAAGAAAACAACTCAAGTAAAAAGTAAGGGAAAGATTTGAACAGATACTTCACTAAATAAGATGTACAGATGGCAAATAAGCACATGAAAAGATGCTCAGTATTATATGTCATTAAAGAATTGCAAGTTAAAATAACAATTAGCTATCATAATAGCTAAACCCAAAACTCTGATAACATTGAATGCTGACAAGGACGTGGAACAACAGTAACTCTCATTCATTGCTGGTGGGAATGCAAAATGGTACAGCTGCTTTGGAAGACAGGTTGGTAGGTTCTTACAAAGCTAAACTTAGTCTTACTGTATGATCCAGCACACATGCTTCTAGTATTTACCCTGAGTTGAAGACTGTCCACACAAAAACTTTTACATGAATATTTTTAGCTACTTTATCATAATTGGACCAAAGTAGAAGCAACCAAGATGTCCTTCAGTGGAAAAATGCATAGACAAACTATGGTACACAGATATAATGGAATACAGATATAATGCGGAGACACTGCAGTTTTGGTTTCAGACCACCACAATAAATTGAGTATAGCAATAAAGTGAGTCACAGAAATTGTTTGCTTTCCTAATGCAAATAAAATTATGTTTATACTATACTTTAGTCTATTATTTGATAGCATTATATCTAAAAACATGTACATACCTTAATTTAAAAATACTTAATTGCTAAATATTGCTAATGATCATCTGAGTCTTCAGTGAGTTACAGTCTTTTTGCTGATAGAGGGTCTTGGCTCATTGTTGATCAGGGTGATGGTTGCTGAAGGTTAGGGTGGCTGTGGCAATTTCTTGAAGTAAGACAACAGGGAAGTTTGGTGTGGTTAACTTATCCTTTCAATTTCTCTGTAGCACGGGATGCTGTTTGATAGCATTGTACACACAGTAGAATTTCTTTCAAAATTGGGTTCAGTCCTCTCAAACAGTACCGCTGCTTTATCAACTAAATTTGTGGGATATTCTAATCCTTTGTAGTCATTTCAACAGTCTACATAGCATTTTCAAAAGGAGTAGTTTCCATCTCAAGAAACCACTTTCTTTGCTCATCCTTAAGAAGTAACTCCTCATCTGTTCAAGTTTTGTTGTGAGACTGCAGCAATTTAGTTATGTCTTTAGGGTTCACTTCTAATTCTAGTTCTCTTGCTATTTTTACCACATCTGCAGTGATTTCCTTCACTGAAGTCTTGAAGCCCTCAAATTCATCCACCAGGCTTGGAATCAACTTCTTCCAAACTCTCATTCATGTTTATATATATATATATATATATATAACACAGGCTGGGCCTATATATATATATATATATATATATATATATGGGCCCAGCCTATGTTATAATTTGACCTCCTTTTACAAATCATGAATGTTCTTAATGGCATCTAGAATGGTGAATCCTTTTAAGAAGGTTTAGAATTACTATCTGTGGCAGTTATAGCCCTATTAAATGTATTTCTTACAAGAAGGCTTGAAAGTTGAAATTAGTCCTTGATCCATGGACTACTGAAGGGATGTTGTGTTAGCAGGTGTGAAAAAAACATTCATCTTGTAGATCAGAGCTTTTGGGTGGCCAGGAGCATTGTCAATGAGCAGTAATATTTTGAAAGGAATCTTTTTTTTTTTTCTGAGCAGTAAGTCTCAATAGTAATCTTAAAATATTCAGTAGACCATGTTGTAAACAAATGTGCTGTCATCCAAGCTTTGTTGTTCCATTTATAGAGCACAGGCAGAGTGCATTTAGCATCATTCTTTTTTTTTCTTTTTTTTTTAAATTATACTTTAAGTTTTAGGGTACATGTGCACAATGTGCAGGTTAGTTACATATGTATACATGTGCCATGTTGGTGTGCTGCACCCATTAACTCGTCATTTAACATTAGGTATATCTCCTAATGCTATCCCTCCCCACTGCCCCCACCCCAAAACAGGCCCCAGAGTGTGATGTTCCCCTTCCTGTGTCCATGTGTTCTCATTGTTCAATTCCCACCTATGAGTGAGAATGTGCGGTGTTTGGTTTTTTTGTCCTTGCGATAGTTTGCTGAGAATGATGGTTTCCAGCTTCATCCATGTCCCCACAAAGGACATGAACTCATCCTTTTTTATGGCTGCATAGTATTCCATGGTGTATATGTGCCACATTTTCTTAATCCAGTCTATCATTGTTGGACATTTGGGTTGGTTCCAAGTCTTTGCTATTGTGAGTAGTGCCGCAATAAACATACGTGTGCATGTGTCTTTATAGCAGCATGATTTATAATCCTTTGGGTATATACCCAGTAATGGGATGGCTGGGTTAAATGGTCTTTCTAGTTCTAGATCCCTGAGGAATCGCCACACTGACTTCCACAATGGTTGAACTAGTTTACAGTCCCATCAACAGTGTAAAAGTGTTCCTGTTTCTCCACATCCTCTCCAGCCCCTGTTGTTTCCTGACTTTTTAATGATTGCCATTCTAACTGGTGTGAGATGGTATCTCATTGTGGTTTTGATTTGCATTTCTCTGATGGCCAGTGATGATGAGCATTTTTTCATGTGTCTTTTGGCTGCATAAATGTCTTCCTTTGAGAAGTGTCTGTTCATGTCCTTCTCCCACTTGTTGATGGGGTTGTTTGTTTTTTTTCTTGTAAATTTGTTTGAGTTCATTGTAGATTCTGGATGTTAGCCCTTTGTCAGATGAGTAGATTGCAAAAATTTTCTCCCATTCTATAGGTTGCCTGTTCACTCTGATGGTAGTTTCTTTTGCTGTGCAGAAGCTCTTGAATTTAATTAGATCCCATTTGTCAATTTTGGCTTTTGTTGCCATTGCTTTTGGTGTTTTAGACATGAAGTCCTTGCCCAGCCTATTCTTAATGGCCCTACGATATTTAGAATGTTAAACAAGCATTGGCCTCAAACTAAAGTTACAAGCTGCTGTAGCTCTTAACAAGAGAGTTAGCCTGTCTTTTGACTCTTCGAAGCTAAGTATTGACTTCTCCCCTCTGGCTATGAAAATCCCAGATAGTGTCATCTTCCAAAATAAGGCTGTTTTGCCTACACAGGAAATCTCTTGTTTAGTATAGCCACCTTCATCAGTTATCTTAGCTAGATCTAGATAACTTGCTGAACCTTCTACATCAGCACTTGCTACTTCATCTTTCACTTTTATGTTATGGAGATGGCTTCTTTCCTTAAACCTCAGGAACCTACCTCCGCTAGCTCCCAGCTTTTCTTCTGCAGCTTCCTCACCTCTGTCAGCCTTCATAGAATTGAAGAGACTTCGGGCTTTGTTCTGGATTAGGCTTTGGTTTAAGGGAATATTGTGGTTGGTTTGATGTTCTATCCAGATTGCTCAAATTTTCTCCACATCAGCAATAGGGCTGTTGCACTTTCTTATCAAATGTGTGTTCACTGAAGTGGCACTTTCAGTTTCCTTCAAGAAATTTTCCTTTGCATTTACAATTCAGCCAACTGTTTGGCACATGAGGCCTAGCTTTCAGCTTGTCTTGGCTTTTGACGTGTCCTCCTCACTAAGCTTAATCATTTCTAGCTTTTGATCGAAAGTGAGACACATGTGACTCTTTCTTTCAGTTGAACACTTAGAGGCCATTGTAGGTTTATTAATTGGCCTAATTCCAATCTTGTTGTGTCTCAGGGAATAGGGAGGCTGGAGGAGAGGGAGAGATATGGATAATGGCTGGTCAGTGGAGCAGTCAGAGCACACACATTTATAGATTAAGTTCATTGTCTTATATGGGTGTGGTTCATGGTGCCCCAAGACAATTACAGTTATAACATCAAAGATCACTGATCACAGATCACCATAAGAGATAAAATAATAATGGAAATGTCTGAAATGTAAGAATCACCAAAACCTGACACAGAGACACTAAGTGAGCACATCCGCTTGGGAAAATGGTACCGATAGATGTGCTTGATGCAGCGTTGCCACAGACCTTCAATTTGTAAAACATTCAATATCTGTGAAGCACAATAAGTAAAGCATAATAAAATGAGGTATGCCTGACTTATTTAGTGATATAAAGAAATGAGCTGGCCGGGCGCGGTGGCTCACGCCTGTAATCCCAGCACTTTGGGAGGCCAAGGTGGGAGGATCACGAGGTCAGGAGATTGAGACTGTCCTGGCTAACATGGTGAAACCCCGTCTCTACTAAAAAAAAAAAAAATTAGCCAGGTGGGGTGTGGTGGCGGGTGCCTGTAGTCCCAGCTACTCGGGAGGCTGAGGCAGGAGAATGGCCTGAACCCGGGAGGCAGAGCTTGCAGTGAGCCGAGATTGTGCCACTGCACTCCCGCCTGGGCGACAGAGCGAGACTCCGTCTCACAAAAAAAAAAAAAAAGAAAAGAAAAGAAAAGAAATGAACTAACAAGTCATGAAAAGACATGGAGGTACCTTAAATGCCTATTACTAAGTGAAAGATAGCCAGTCTTAAAAGCCTTTATATACTGCCTGATGCCAACTATATGACATTATGGAAAAGGCAAAACTATAGAGACAATAAAAAGATCAGTGGTTGATAGGAGTTGAGTAGGAGGAGTGAATAGGTTGAGCATATGGCAGTTTTAGGGCCGTGAAACTATTCTGTATGATACTCTAAAGGTAAATATATGATATTACGGATTTGCAAAACCCGCAGAGCTGTACAAGAATGAACCCTCATGTAATCTCTGGACTTTAATAAATAATAATGTATCAATATTGGTAAATCAGTTGTAACAAATGTACCACAGTGATGCAAGATGTTAATAATAGGGCCAACTTTGGACAGGGGAGAGAGGGTATATGGGGACTCTGTACTTTATGACCAATTTTTGTCAAAACTTAAAACTGCACTACTAAAAATAAAAGCAATAATAAAACTCACTAAAAATGCATCAATTTAAAAAAAGTTAAAAAACCATGTATTCTATTGATTGTTCATATATCCTTTTCCATAATTCTCCAGTGACTTAATATTTGAATTTAAACAATTTAAAAATGATATTCATATAATTCCAAGGTTTTCCACACATTTTTTATGGACTCTCAATTGTTCTTGGGTGTACCTTAGTTATTCTTAGTTCATCTGTTATTTTCCTGTAAGTACATATTTCCTGAAGGTATATGGTTATACTTTGAAACAAAATTAGAAATGATCTTACATTAAATATTATCCTATTTAAACTATTTTAATAGTTTTAGATGATTTAAGTTCTCAGCATGCTTTTTCTATCTTCTGTGCTATATATGCTCTATTTTTATATCCTTTGTTTCTTTGCAGATGAAATGGTTTCTATTGTTCTAGTTCTTTCTGTCTTTTGCCAATAGCCCACCTCATATCTCTGTACATGCACACCCATCACAAACAGACAGACACACACATGCATACAGACTTTTGAACCTTAGAGTTAAGCTGCATTCTTGTCAAAAAGATCTAGCACTCCAAGAGTGGATGCCTCTCCCTTTCTTTGGGAGATCAGCATTACTCATCACCTCAAATATTCTTGCTTCACTATTTGCTCATTGTTTTGGATATACAGAGCACTTAAATATTTGCTATTTTAGTGCATCATTAATGAACCGTTTATTATGTTTTCAAAGTCAAATATGGGTCAAAGTAATTTTTTTAACTAAGTTTTACTCTTCAGGTTCTTTTTTAATGTGAAAAAAAGAGGCCCACACTGTTTCTGTCTATTTATAGGTGGTAATTGGAAGTTGGTACAAGAGTAGTCTAAACAGAGGAGTCATATTGCTCCAGGCAGATTAAAAAAGGTATCTAGTTATATAAGCCTACATAAAGCCACATCTCCAGACTAATATTTTCAAACGTGAAGGGGATAAAATTTATATTATGAACAGCTGTAGATTTAACTTTGTAAAGCCTAAAATTATAGTAGAAAATATTTCAATTATAGTTCTTAAAATATGAAAGAGATGTTGATTGTACATTGAAATATTTTGCATAATGACATCTATTTTTCACACACATGCATACATACACACACATTCCCATTTTGTAGATTATAAAACAGAGGCACACAGTAGTTAAGAGGCTTGTATAAGCTTACACAGCTAGCAGGGAGACCATGATTCAAACATCAGGCAGTAGAACTCCTGAGTACCCTCTCTGAACTGCTAAGCTATGTTACCTCTCATCTTAACTAACATGACTCATTTTTTGCCCTTAAAATGCCTTGAAAAATACTATGAAGAAATACCTCATCCAGCTGTAGAGGAACAACCAACTACATTTATTTTTAGAAATGATAAAGGAATTGTTTTGCTCTGTACATAGACTTCTACAACTAGAGCAGTTGCATAACGTGGTCTGTGTAGATTACACTTTTTTCACGATTCATTTAACTACTTGAATTTGATATCATTTCCTTTCAAACTGAAGCACATCTGATGCAGATTTACTGGGACATTCGCACTCCATTTTGGTTTTAAAAGTTGCAGACCTCATTTACAAGAGCATGAACAACATAGCTATTTGAAATTATCCCATCTTTTATAAGGTTTCACTTTTCTTCTGGAAAGGCAAATAATACGTGGAAAAACATACTTAATAGTATTACTGTTTTTTTAATTATAACTGACATACTGCTCATGGACTAGTTGCCAGTTAACCCACTGATGTGTAAATGTCCTAAACTGAGAGGCTTGACTGAAGAAAAATAACCAAGTTACTTAGCCTATATGACGAAGTTTCCTAAAAACCCCTCCATACACATTTGGAAATATTCATATTATATGTTTTTTTAAATCTCTAAATGGGAAATTCATGTGTATTTTTGAAATCAAATCCAGACTGCTTTGATTTGCTTGTGCTTACGTCCTATAATTTCAATGTCAAGATGCAAAATTGTACTAGTCATTCCTTGGAGTGGTTAAAAATGAAACAGTAGTTTGATTTCATATTCATGATCGATTAAGTGAGAAATCAACTGTGCAGTAGAACTTTTCCAGTTTATGTAATTCTTGAAGCTTTATGAGCTTTAGAATCAAAACGCTTTCATGATCTTTGCTTAAGACATTATAGTAGTGTTGCTTAGAAGACAAAGCAAATAAAAATACTTTTATACTCTTCGCTTAATACCTTGTAGTAGTCTTGCTTACTTAAAAAAAAAGCAAAAAAAACTACATCTGCCACCTTGCATTTAATATTTAGAAAATACGAAAATGAAAGAATCAAATTAACAAACATTTATTTACTCAACATAAATAATTAACATTTTTGGTTTTTTGCTTAATATATTTTATTAAAAATTTGACGTCAAAGATAAGGTTGAAGTCCACTCTGTTACTTCTTTAGTTCCAGCAACCGCCCTCTCTTTTCAGAGGCTACTGCATTTATGAATTTGGTGTATATTCATTTAGTTCATACTTTTGTCCATTGCCTCTACTAGTTTAATGCTTTAAATTCAATCTGCCTTCTTGTATCAACCATCATGTTTAGCATTTTAGATACACCATATTTTAAACTATTTCCAATCAAAATGTCAGTTATTAAAAAAATCAGTGTTTATTATAAATTTCTATGATAAATATTTTTCTTGGATCTAATTCCTTCTTTATTGCCAAAATTTGTTTTTAATGAGTGTAACAAACTGTTAATTTTTGTATGTCTGAAAATTTCTTTATTTTATCCTTACTCTTCAATAACTTAGATTCAAGTATAGAATCCTGGGTATAGAATTCCTGCTGGATGGTTAGTCTTCTTCAATAATTAGAAGATAATATTTCATAATCTAGTAGCATTTGTTGTTGCTGATGAGAAGTGTTAGTATAATTGCTACCTCTATAACAAGCTCTCATATCTCTCTGATAGCTTTAAATATTTTCTTTTTGTCTTTGTTGTTATGGAATTTCATTACAATTATGAATACCTGTCGATTTATGTGTGTATATATAAATACAATCTCCCATTTCTTCAATCTGATGATTCTTTTTTTTGTTAGAGAATATCAGCCACATACTTTGTATATATTATCATCTCTGCACATTCTCTTTTTTTCCTCACTTAGTGGGACTCCTATGAGACAAATGATTCATCTTTTCATTCTTATACCTCAAATCAATTTCTCTTTCATAGTTTTTATCTTTTTTCTTTCCATATTGTGTATCTGCCTCATATATCTCTTTAGCTAAGTCTAATTTATAGTTCTATTAATTCTTTATTTATTTATTTTATTATTATTATTATACTTTAAGTTTTAGGGTACATGTGCACAGTGTGCAGGTTAGTTACATATGTATACATGTGCCATGCTGGTGTGCTGCACCCATTAACTTGTCATTTAGCATTAGGTATATCTCCTAATGCTATCCCTCTCCCCTCCCCCCCACCCCAAAACAGGCCCCAGAGTGTGATGTTCCCCTTTCTGTGTCCATGTGTTCTCATTGTTCAATTCCCACCTATGAGTGAGAACGTGCGGTGTTTGGTTTTTTTGTCCTTGCGATAATTTGCTGAGAATGATGGTTTCCAGCTTCATCCATGTCCCCACAAAGGACATGAACTCATCCTTTTTTATGGCTGCATAGTATTCCATGGTGTATATGTGCCACATTTTCTTAATCCAGTCTATCATTGTTGGACCTTTGGGTTGGTTCCAAGTCTTTGCTATTGTGAATAGTGCCACAATAAACATACGTGTGCATGTGTCTTTATAGCAGCATGATTTATAATCCTTTGTGTATATACCCAGTAATGGGATGGCTGGGTCAAATGGTCTTTCTAGTTCTAGATCCCTGAGGAATTGCCACACTGACTTCCACAATGGTTGAACTAGTTTACAGTCCCACCAACAGTGCAAAAGTATTCCTATTTCAAAAGCTAATCCACCACGATCTTGTAGGCTGTATCCCTGGGATGCAAAGTTCATTTAACAAATGCAAATCAATAAATGTTATTTATTACATAAACAGAACTCAAAAGAAAAAAACACATGATTATATTATTATCTTAATTAATGTAGAAAAACCTTTTAATGAAATTCAACATCCATTCAGGTTAGAAATACTCAACACACCAGGCGTTGAAGGAACATAATTCAAAATAATAAGAACTATGTATGAAAAACCCACAAACAACATTTTACTAATGAGCAAAAGCTGCAAGCATCCCCCTTGAAAATTGGAACAAGACAAGGATGCCCATTCTCACCACTCCTATTCAACATAGTATTGGAAGTCCTGGCCAGAACAGTCAGGCAAGAGAAAGATATAAAAGGCATCCACATTGGAAGAGAGGATGTCAAACTATTCCTTTTTGCAGACAATATCATTCTATTCCTGGAAAATCCCACAGTCTCTACCCAAAAGCTCCTTGAGCTGATAAACGACTTCAGCAATCAGGATACAAAATCAGTGTACAAAAATCAGCAGCCTTCTGACCAGGCCCAGTGGCTCATGCCTGTAATCCCAGCACTTTGGGAGGCCGAGGCGGGCGGATCATTAGGTCAGGAGTTCAAGACCAGCCTGGCCAATATGGTAAAACCTCGTCTCTAATAAAAATACAAAAATTAGCCAGACACAGTGGCATGAACCTGTAGTCCCAGCTACTTGAGAGGCTGAGGCAGGAGAATCGCTTGAACCTGGGAGGCAGAGGTTGCAGTGAGCCAAGATTGCGCCACTGCACTCCAGCCTGGGCGACAGAGTGAGACTCCGTCTCAAAAAAAAAAAAAAAAAAAAAAAAAAAATCAGCAGCCTTCCTATACACCAGCAACATCCAAGTTGGGACCCCAATGAAGAATACAATCTCATTCTCAATAGGCAAAAGAGAATAAAGTACTTAGGAATACAGTTAACTATAGAGGTTAAAGGTCTCTACAGTGAGAATTACAAAACACTGCTGAAAGAAATCAGAGATAACAGAAACAAATGGAAAAACATTTCATACTCATGGATAGGAAGAATCAATATTGTTAACATGGCTGTACTGCCCAAAGCAATTTACAGATTCAATGCTATTAATATCAAGTTACCAATGACATTCTTCAACGAATTAGAGAAACTGTTTTAAAATTCATATGGAACAACAACAAAAAGCTTCAATAACCAAGGCAATCCTAAGCAAAAAGAAATGCTGGAGACATTTTCTACCTATCTTTAAACTATTCTACAAGGCTGGAGTAACTGAAACGGCATGATACTGTCACAGACACACAGACAAATGGAGCAGAATAGAGAGACCTGAAATAATGCCATATACCTACAACCATCTGATCATCAAAAATGTTGACAAAAACAACCAATGGAGAAAGGACTCATTCAATAAATGGTGGATATGCACTAGACCCCTTCCTTACACCATATACAAAAATCAACTCAAGATGGATTAAAGTCTTAAATGTAAAACCTGAAACTATAAAAACCATGGAAGGTAATCTAGGAAATACCATTCTGGACACAGGCCCTAAAGATTTCATGACGTAGATGCCAAAAGCGGTTGCAATAAAAACAAAAATTGACAAATGGGACCTAATTAAACTAAAGAGCTTCTGCAGAGCAAAAGAAACTATTAGCACAGTAAAGAGACTACCTACAGAATGGGAGAAAATATTTGTAAGCTGCACATCTGACAAGGCTCTTATATCCGGAATCTATAAAGAACTTAAACAAATTAACAAGCAAATGAACCCCAAACAACTTCATGAAAAAGTGGGCAATGGACGTGAATAAATACTTTTCTAAAGAAGACTTACATGTGGTTAAGAAGAACATGAAAAAATGCTCAACATCACGAATCATTAGAGAAACAATAATCAACAACCACAATGAGATACCATCTTATACCAGTCAGAATGGCTGTCATTAAAAAGTCAAAAAAATAACACATGCTGGCAAGGTTGTAGAGTAAAGGGAATGCTTATACGCTACTGGTGGGAATGTAAATTAGTTCAGCCATTGTGAAAAGCAGTTTAATGATTTCCAAAATAACTTAAAACAGAACTATGATTCAACTCAGCAATTCCATTATTGGGTATATACTGAAAAGGAAAATAAATCATTATGCAAAAAAGAAAATGCACTTGTATGTTTATTTCAGTACTCTCCATAATTGCAAAGACATGGAATTAACATAAATGCCCATCAGTGGTAGACTGGATACAGAAAACATGGTACATATACACTATGGAATACTATACAGCCCCCCAAAATGGATGAGATCATGTCCTTTGCAGCAATATGGATGGAGCTGGAGTTCAGTATCCTAAGCAAAGTAACATAGGAACAGAAGACCAAATACTGCGTGTTCTCACTTATAAGTGGGAGCTAAACACTGAATAGACATGGACACAAAGAAAAGAACAAAAGATACCCAGGCCTACTTGAGGGCAGAAGGAGGGAGGACATGAGGATCAAAAGCTACTTAAGAGGTACTATGCCTATTACCTGGGTGACTGAATAATCAGTACACTAAATGCTCATGACATGCAACTTACCTATATGATAAACCTGCACATGTATCCAGAACCTAAAATAAAAGTTTTGGCTGGGCGTGGCGGCTCTTGCCTGTAATCTCAGCACTTTGGGAGGCCGAGGTGGGTGGATCATGAGGTCAGGAATTCAAGATCAGCCTGACCAACATGGTGAAACCCCCTCTCTACTAAAAATACAAAAAATAGCTGGGTGTGGTGGCACGTGCCTGTAATCCCAGCTATTCAGGAGAATCACCTGAACCCGGGAGGCGGAGGTTGCAGTGAGCCGAGATTGCATCACTGCACTTCAGCCTGGGTGACAGAGTGAGACTCCGTCTCAAAAAAAAAAAGTTTTTAAGAAATAAATACAAAAGAACACGAAGAAGTATTTGCTAACGCATATTTTTCTTTTGGAGCTTAGTATATTAATAGGTATGTGATGCATATTAACTAGCATAATCTGAGATATTTATAAAGGAAAATATCATCTTGCTAAGTGGTTATATCTCAGCCAAAAATAAATTTACATTTGTTATAAAAACTGAAAATTTATGTGGTTTATGTGTAGAAGGCTTATAGAATCAGTATGATTTTCATTCAGATTGGTGTGTGATTTTTTTTATCAGTAGAAAATTTTATGATAACAACATGAACCACTGCTGGGAATTCAATGGACCGTAAACATAGGCACATAACAGACATGGAAACACGTACATTGTGAAGGATAAGTAGATATTTATCAAATTATATATATATGATACATATACATATAAGCATATATGTATATATATGTAAAACATTGTAACCATGGCCACCACCTTTAGTAAAGGTACATGGTGATATGAGTGCTTATAATAGGGAATTACCTTGTCAGGGAAGTTAAGGAAGGCTTTCCTGAACAACTGATGCTTGAACTCCAACCTGTGGGATGATGTGTTAGAACTGGCTAGTGAGTGGGAATATCCTTACAAGGAGGGGCCCTGTAGCAGAAGGAAAAGCAGATGAAAATATTGTCTTCATACTTAGAATTTAATTTTAAATTTTACTGATGTTTGTGTTAATATCCTTGTCTAATACTATTCTTTTACATAAGCTTTAATGGAGACCACCCAATTGGTTCCTTCAGAAAATGTATGTTAATTAATGCTAGGGACCTATAGTAGATGTCATAAACCTTATGATTAAACATTACAACTGTGTAAAATTACATCTTAGTAACCTCAGTCATTTGTATTATATTAAAATGAGAAAATGCACAGTGATAGAAGTCAGATTAAAGGTCATGTAACTAAAATTGTATGCTGAATGTTGAGGAAAGAAAATTTGGATGTTCTCTGTTCATTTGGGTTATTCAAAATAACATGTAGTCCTGCATACATTTAAAAAATTAAATTAGACAATTTATCAGTTGTCTAATTTAAAATGTTTGGATTCATCTTCCTATCTGATAACAATTTTTTGTTTTTATATTCAGTACTTTGAAAAATCACAGACTTCACGTTAACACTTAAGCATTCTAAAAAGGCACAAAAGCATGTGAATATAGAATTTAAGTTTTGAGGATTGTTCTTGTCATTTCCTGCACACACAGTATTTGAAAAATGCATATGACCTTGCATTTAGGTAATATTAGATCAGAATGATCTTTCCACATAGAATATTCATATGCCAGCAGAAGTATACATATCTACTTTAGAGATAGTAAACATAGGTCAAATAGTGACTGTGGACCACATATATTCACAGCATAAAGAAATTCTCACATTGAGGAAATTTTATTTATTTGAATTTTTAAATTGTTCCATTGGATGACAGATAACATTTAGGTGTTAATTACCCAATTATTTTCCTTTAAAAGTAATAAATGTATGTAATTTCTGTGAAAAGGAAAACCAGAAAACAGGCATCTGTTTATTCTCATGTACTGCTAACTTAAATTTTATGTAATTTCAAAGTCCAAAGCCAAATTATACACCTTTTCTATTGCAAGCAAATAAAAACAATGTAAAAATTACTTTAAATTCAAGAAACACGAGCTTATACAGTTTTCATTATGATCACATCCCTAATGTTCAGAGCCTTTCAGAAAAAAGGATTTTCATCCATTATTCTAAACTATTTTATTAATTTGTTAAATTAAACAGATACTATCACGTAAAAGTAACCTCTTCCCATCTTGTTTTCACTAATTACTTTCACCAAGATCATAATACCTTCTTAAACTGAAGAAACTATTCATGTCCCCAAATACAGTGCATTGGCCTTCACACACAGTTATTGTATGTTTTGGCTCATCATGGGCCCTCTTTGGAGATATGCTTGAGGACTCCCCTTTACCTCTAATGTCTACAGATTCAGCTTTTCAGTTCATTGTGTTAACTGAGTTTTACATACAGACTATAAACTGTCTGCTGAATCTATTGAGATAAAATTTGTCAGCTTTTGTGCTCTTTTGCATAGGGTGAATACTAATCTTCATATTCTTATACATTTAGTTTGAAACAAAGTGAAATTAACTGGTAGTTTAATACTTCATTGCCTTATGCCTTTTTAGCTGACCATTTGACTGTTTCTCTCCAGTCTTGCTTTTTCATCTACAAGTTTACTACAAAGACTCTACAAATGGTTAATTTGATTGAAAATATCTGCCTAAACTATGTCAGTAAAGCATTTTTCCCCTTTTTTGGCTAGATGCCATTATTCCATATATATAATTATTTCATTATTTTCTCTTCTTTATATCAGATTAAGATTCATGATACACATTCTTGTATTGCCTGTACGGAAAACACAGCTCCGTTATTCACTTTGGCTAAGAGCCCCTTGGGATTTCTGACATTGGGTAAATTATAGATATAGTAGACAAACTGTTAACTCAGGAGTAGTGAAGAACTTAACTCTTTAATGGGTAGCTTATCCCAATTCACCGCTTTCATGGGAAACCAAGGCTGTTTTGAACAACATATGATAGAAAGTGGCAAGACATATTCTGTCATTTGACACCTGACAATATATTATATATCTCTTTTCCTTAGTGTACATGTTAGGAAAATTAGCAAGCATTTATAAGCTCATGGAAACTCTGAAATTCCATATAAGTTGTTTTATCAAGTCGTAGCAGTCAGTTCTATCACAGCATATGCTAGACAGGGCCAGGGCAAAAACTACATCTACCTAGACATGTTGCTGGCTACACATCTTATTGAAGACCAAATTAGACAGTAAGGAGGTGGTGAGTCCTTACTGGAACATCTAAAGATAATCATCAAAGACATGTACTGAATATTGTTATGTCTAGGCTTCTTTCTAAGTGCATTTTAGGTGCCAGCTCATTTACTTTTCACAGTTCTTTGAAATACTGATATTGTCTCCATTTTGTAGCTGGGGAAACTGAGTCAGAGAGAAAGGTTAGGAAGCATTGCTCAAGGTAACATAGAAGAATGACAGAGCTAGGATTTGATTGCAGATATTCTGGCCCATGGCACCTCTTAACCTTTGTGTTATGTTGCTTCTCAGGCTGACAGTGAGCTCAGACGCTGGAATGTTGGTCAAAATGAGGGGACTTGAAAGTGAACTTCAAAATTATCCAGTTATTTTCTGGGGTGATGCTAAAAAAAAAAACCCATATTCAGTAGTGAGCAAAAGAGGTGTCATGAAGAATGTTTATTTAGTGGTCAGTATGTAGATGGCCAACTCTAGAAGGAGGTGTGACATTGTGGTGTCCAGGCTGCATGTTATGAATAGATTTGGAACCTGGCATGAAGATCCATAGCAGCCCATGGGTGGATCTATACAGAACAAAGGCCCTAACCCAAGAACTAGTATGTCCTTTTTCTGGCCTCCTTTTAAAACAACTTCTTGGTATGGGTATATAATGTGGGCAGAGGTGTTCTGTTCTCTAAAGCAGGTACAAATGATGGCCGCTGAGCGCTGGAGCCTCCAGGGCCATCACATTTTTAACAGATAAATTACTTAAAGCTTGAATAAATGGAATCTTGTCCATGCTGTGATATTACTTGGCTCTTTGTGGGTCCTCAGTAAACATGAAATAACCCTGACCTTTTAGGAAAAGATTAATCTGGTTACTAGCCGTAAGTGTTAATGTAATATTCTTGTAGCAAATAAAACCCTAAGCACACAGTTGTTGTTTGGTAAACATTTTGTTTATTGAGCCTGATTTTCCTGCTTTCAGCCATAGAGAAATTTAAGCTTCATATATTATTCTTTCATGGGTAAATTGTACCTGCTTTTTGAGGGTGAGTAGACTGAAACTAAGACTACGGAAGCTAACAGTTTCATATGCCTAGGCCGGGCGTAGTGGCTCATGCCTGTAATCCCAGCACTTTGGGAGGCTGAGGTGGGCAGATCATGAGGTCAGGAGATCGAGACCATCCTGGCTAACAAGGTGAAACCCCGTCTCTACTAAAAATACACAAATCAGCCGGGCGTGGTGGCGGGCACCTGTAGTCCCAGCTACTTGGGAGGCTGAGGTAGGAGAATGGCGTGAACCTGGGAGGTGGAGCTTGCAGTGAGCCGAGATTGTGCCACTGCACTCCAGCCTGGGTGACAGAGCTAGACTTCGTCTCAAAAAAAAAAAAAAAAAATTCGTATGCTTTTGCTAGGCATTATAACATTTAATCCTCACATCAACCATGGAAATTAAAATATATTCATTCCCATTCTTCAGTGGAGAAACTTGAAGCTCAGAGAGGATGAGTAACTTGCACAGAGTTGCATAGTTAGTAAGCATTAAATCCAGCATAGAACTCAGGTCTGAGGAACTCCCAATCCATTGCTTATGTTACTTCATCCACAAGTATTGTGAAATATACAACTTTAACATTTCAAAGAGCAGAATTAAAGAATCTGCCAGCTTCCTTTTGAATAGGAGAGGGGTATTCCAAGGTCATTAGAGAACTGGCCTGGAGCTCTTAATGCTATAACTCCTACCAACACTAAAGGAGAGAGTGGGATCATTGTCCTGTTCCCATTGCCATCACCTCTACCCCTAAAGCATGCAGACATACTTTATCCAGAGAGTTGAAAATTCACAGACACCATTCCTCTCATTCCTTCCAAGCTGCTGTGGCTTAGATCCAAGCAAGCTCCCCATGTTTCCCTTAATTCCAAGGGCTATTATCTCAGGTTCTGCACATCTTACAAAGTAGATGTAGTATTGCAAGTATTGTTTTATCTCAGGCTAACCTATCCATTTAAAGCTCTGGACAGTCATGTTGGTATAGTTTATGAATGTAAAATTCTTCCTTAAACATAAATTCTAGCTTGAAATTATTCCTAACCACCATCTACTCCAAGGCCACATGAAATTAATCTTTTACATATGATTTTTCTGGAAAGTAAGTTTTTGCTTCTACCTGAAGGAGTACATCTTTATCTGTTCAGGGCTCATTAATGTTTCCTCTAAGATCCCACAGCAGCCATTTGTAACACTTCATGGTGCTTCTCATGCAGGCAGGCATGGATTTGCTCTGAGGACAATCAGGATATCATCATCATCTTCATTGTAGTGACTTCTATCCCTTTCTGTAGTACTTTGATGTAGTATTGGAGTATTAGATCAGGATAATACGGGATGAAATCCTCCCAAAATAAATCATGCTTGACTCTCCGCCGAGGAAATTCCTCCCTCTATTTAATAACGGAGAAAAATCCAGTCATCTCTGAGTCTAGCTCAAGTATCTCCATTGTGTGAAGCTTTTCCTAATTCCTCATTTAAATTAGTCTGTTTTTCCTCTTCTTTGTATAGACTACACCATGCTGCCTCCTAGTTCTGCTTCTGATTCCTTTTCTAGGTAGTCTCAACCTTCCGGAATGAGAGATATTAAGGATACAAGGGTGAAACAGGTAGAAGAAGATGTGATTTTATAATTTCCTTTATTTACTCTGGTTCTTACCAAACAACAGGTTTATCAGAATCAGAATTTTTGTAGCATTCAGACCCAGTTTAACCCTTTTTAAAATATAACAAACTTCTTTATCCTGTTGTAAAAACCCCTCCCAAACTCTTATTCAGCCTTCCCTCAAGGTGAAGCTCCATTTGCCGCTACAAAGTACTTGATTCATATCTGTTATTTCATATTATAATATAATTATCAAAAGTTAGGGGCCTCATTTCCATGGCAACCAGGGTGAAATTTTGTCTTTATGACAGTCTTAACCCTACTTGATTGAATTCCAGAATATCCTTTTGTCTCCTCTCATTTTTGTGATTGAAAGCATACAAAATGTCTACAGTTCACCTGTCTGCTGCTCCCAGTTTTTTCTGTCTAACCATAAACGAATCTGTGCATTCATAACTAAATCACTAACTTTGGCCTCCAGATTATTTTGATAGTTTTAGAAATAAGTGTATATAAATATATAAATAAATTATTAACAATAGAGAAGCAAATCTACAGGATTGAAGTAATATACACAAGGTGTGACATCACATACAGACAGATCCAAAACTTGGACCTGATCTTCAGGATTTCCAGTGCGAGGCTCCTTCCACTAATAGATGGAAGGGTGGAAAGATGCCTTCTTATGCCAGCGCTAACAAAACATGTTATGCATTGTCATTGTCAACATCTCACTGGTTGTTGTGGTTATGTGGACTTTTGCAGTGTTTATATTCAGAATATGGCTACGTAAGAATTAGATGAAATATAAGGAATGACTCAAAGTTGGTTGTAATATTTGAAGTCATTTCCTTTATTTTATTTAGCATAGCCACATGTTATTTGGAGATAGAGTTTTAAATATATTGTTTTACAGGTTGGGTGTCCCTAATCTGAAAATGTGAAATTCAAAATGTTCCAAAATCCAAAACTTTTTGAGTGCCGACGTGATGCCACAAGTGGGTAGTGAAGATGACGTTTTTAACACTGCAGAAGAAGTGCCTATAAGTGACATGGTGAAAATGTGTGATGGGATTATTGAAGGAATAGAGCAGCACACATTCATAACAGAACAAGAAATCATGTCAGTTTATAAAATCAAAGGAAGGTTTCTAAGACAAAAAAATTCATGAGGCAGATGACTCTGAGGGGAACATTTGAAAATCGTATCCAGCAGAATTCCTCCTCATCCCTATAGGACCCATTTCCACTGCTTCTTATGTTTTTTCTTACCTAAAAAAAATGCTGTTTACAGTAGCCTTTTAATCAAAACACAGCATCATAGGTGGAGACTGAAAGCCTGCTGCTGTTTGTTGTTGCTGTGGTCTAACAGCTGCTATAGGTATCTGGTGATGCAACTGTGCTGCTTAGCTACACTTAACACATTACTTTTTCACTGTATTAATGATACGCCATATTTTTTTTACTGTTAAGTACTTATATCTGACTAAATATAAGAAAATGATTGCTTATCAGTAGCATATAAATTCAGAGTCAGGAATAAGCTCATGCCAAGCAACCACAGATTGTCCGTATGGGTGGCTGAGATAGTGACACCTTTGCTTTCTAACTATTTAACGTACACAGACTTTGTCTCATGCACAAAATTATTTAAAATATTGTATATGGCCAGGCACAGTGGCTCAGCCTGTAAGCTCAGCACTTTGGGAGCCGAGGCAGGTGGATCACCTGAGATCAAGAGTTCGAGACCAGCCTGATCAACATAGTGAAACGCTGTCTCTACTAAAAATACAAAATTAGCCGGGTGTGGTGGCACATGCCTGTAATCCCAGCTACTCTGGAGGCGGAGGCAGGAGAATCGCTTGAACCCGGCAGGCGGAGGTTGCAGTGAGCCAAGATTATGCCATTGCATTCCAGCCTGGGTGACAGAGCGAGACTCTGTCTCAAAATAATAATAATAATAATAAATAAAATATTGTGTAAAATTACCCTCAGGCTATGTGCATAAAATGCATATAAAGCATAAATAGATTTTGGGTTTAGACTTATATCCCATCTCCAGGATATCTCATTATGTATATGCAGATATTCCAAAAATCAGAAAAAAATCCCAAATCTGAAACACTTTTGGTCCCATGCATTTCACCTAAGGGATACTCAACCCATATTGGCATATAATTTTTTTTTGTATATATTCTTCTTCATAATATATTCAATAAGATAATCCATAACTTTTTTCGATATGAGATTAGATTTTTAAAAATACATTGTCTCTAGTTTCATTGGTCACTTAGGAAACAATAGACTACACTGTGTCATTTAAATAGCACTGATTAGCCAAATGGCCATTTTAAATTCCAATTCTTACTCTGATTTAATAGCCAATAGAAGAAGTTTTTCTAGAGGCAAGATCTTGTCAGAAACAATTAATGGGTTGCCCTTTGTGGCTTCTTTGTTCTTTTTAGGGTATTCTTTTCTATGATTTCAAAGGTTTTTTTTTTTTTTTTTTTTTTGGTAGATGACACAGAAACTTCTCAGTTTATTCCCCTGTGTCATCTAAAATACTATAATTTGCCACAGAAATTTGCTCTGATGCAGTCCCCTGAAATCATTCTACCACCCTCAATTGTGGCAGGAAATATGTTTAAAATGTTGTCTCAGTATAATGCAAAAGCCAGAGTTAAGAGTGATATGGAAAAGTGATCCGATGAGGTGGAGAGGCAAGAATAGTAGCATGAATCTCAGTTGTGTATATTTTGACAAGAAATAGGAAGGGGCAAAACCAAGGAGAAGGTGGCAGGGATGGAGAAAAGAGGGTGGCTTTCCAAGAGATAGGCTTCGTCTTGGTTCTGCCTGCATAGTTGCAGCACTTGAGGGTTGGAGAGGGACCACAGGGGGTCACAGAGCTATGTCTCCAGCATCAAAATTAGAGGGCCCAAAGACATAATTCAGAAGTTTGGGATGCAAACTTTTTTGAAGTTCTCTCATGAGATCTGCCATCAAGATCCTGACTGTTGTCATATTGAGTTTGTTTTCATAGCAAGATTTATTGTTATCAAGTTCTATCGTACCTTGTAAAGCTTTTTTTAAAAAAAACTTCAGAGTGATTTTGAGCTATAGTATGGCAAAATTTATACCCTGCTACCTTTCTGGAGCCATACAATATACTACGACAGAAAATATAAGGTGGCACGTTGTATATAATACAAGTGATAATGGAGGAACTGAATAATTGGAAGTACTCTAAAACTACACCCAGACACGGGGGTGGGGGATAGCAGTATAAAATGTTCATCAACCAAAGTCAAAGTATAAAAGGAGAAGCAGGACTTTGGAGCAGGAGTGTAAGATCTCAGGGACTCATGGGTGGGGTGAGGGTGGATATGGGAGAATAACTTTACAAAATATTGAGGGTAATAATTACAAAGTTTGGCCTACCCAGAAAGACTAGATAGGGATGCTGAAAAAGGTGAAAGCGCTCACCTTTTTCCAGCCAAGACTGACTATACGTAGGTGGCTTCATTCTGAAAAAAAAAAATAACTGATTTGGACCTCCTCTGGGCTGTATGTGGGCGCAGTTGAGAGGATGTACTGTCCCACCTTTCTGATAAAGGAACTATGTAAATAATTGCTTTGTTGCCAATTTTAAGGAATGACATGTCTGTATTGTATTTCTCCTCACCTCCCCACCCCCAGCCTGCTCATTTACATTTCTTTTAGTTCTTTGAAAAATAGAAATCATCACTGGAATACATGATAACCATTATTAATTTCTTTTGACTTTCATTTTCTAAGAATAATGAATACTTACCTACTACCCTCCATGCTACTACCGAAAAGTGGATTGGAAAATACCCTTTGAACCAGAGTCTTCAGTAGAGTGTCTAGGTCAGGAGTGCCCTGTTTGAGCCATTGTGTCCTTTAGAAAATGGCAGTTTATCTGGCAAATTCTTGATTGGGGAATTGTAGATGGATCAGGCATTGTCTGATTCCCTTATTTTCTTTTACGCATATAATTTGCCATCTTATACCTTTTCAAATATATTGAATTGTCCTTAGTATATGTAATTTATTTCCATAGAGTCTCTAGCTTGTTGTACTAATAAAGTGATAATAATAACAGTAATGACAATAATAATAATAATGTCAACCTTTTTGCCAAAGAATTATTTGAATCTGAAAAAATGCAATAATAGGTATAACTGAAAGTATGACTCTATGAAGTGATCTTACCTTATTTAAGCCAGTAATTGCATTGCTATTTAAAGATTTTTTTTTGTTATGGTTCCTCATGGAACAGAAAAGTTCTAATTGATTGTCAGCAAATACTGTGACTAAAATTAATATTTATTACCTAACTGGAAAATAATATTTTATAATAGTTTGATGACATTTTAAACAGATTTTGAAATCTAAACATATTTTTATTGCTGGCACTTCTAGATTCATAAAATTAAGTGACAGATGAATTCGAATGTGTTTGAGGACCTATGTACTATCAGATCACAACAAAACTTCCTAACTGCCATACACCAAAAAATAGACTTAGGGACTAAACCTTGTCTTACTGCACTGTACAGTGTACTTTTTTCTGTTTTCTAATTGCATATCCTCTTTTTCTCTTGGAAAACGTTCGATAAAAGTACTTTAAGAAAGAAACTTGAAGTTGAGCTCCTGCTATTGGAAAATGTTCTGTGTACTCTTAATGAATTGTTTGTATATTTGTCATTAAAACATTTAATTATATTCTTACATTACAGTCTTTGTTTTATCTAAACTTGTGTTTCCAAGGGTATATCTGAGTAAGATTTAACTGAACACACCACACTTTCAGATTGGATATTTTACTCAAATAAGACATGATTATATTACAGATGGAATACAGTCAATTATAATATTTCTACATATGTTAGAAGAGCAAAGGTGAAACAGCGAAAACTCATTAAGGATTTAATAAAAGGAGCCAAAATATTACCACTAGCATTTGTTAATCTAAGTGCTAAAAATGTCTGCCTCTGAAGCCAGCAGAAAACAATTATTTAAGCAAGTGGAAAATAGACAATGAGGAAAATGGTGCTTTCAAATATCTTCACTATGTTTGTCTATGCAATGACATGATAGGAAGTAGAAAAGACTGTTGAAGTGTAAAGTGTACCAAACTTAGACAAATACTAGAAAAAGGTCTAGAATGGTTAAAAACCAAAGGAGTTTAAGGAAGCTGAATTTCCTTAAGACCATGTATCTATTAATTTACCTTCTTGGGAACTTCATCTGCCCAAATTTGCACTAGTTTTTTCTTGAGGTTTAATTTAAATCTACAGTACTCACTTTAAAAAAATCCTTAATTTGGTTGTAAGCAATAATATCTGTAAATAAAAGTGTAAAATTTTAGCACTGTCTACCACTTAATCTTTTATGTGTCCCACTATGGACACACTGCCTTGGGGAAGATGTTAAATATATCGGAGGGTAACTGTTTCTATAAAGATGAGAAGTAAGAAATGGAGGAAGAAATCTAGAGAGCTAAATACAGAATTGCATAATTACCAGAGGCAGGAGAAAATTGCACAAATCTATGCTAAGTTTATCCAAATCAGGTCTCTCCAATTATATTGTGAGTGGGTGATGTGAGCCTATCTGGAGACTTTTCTGTTTCCCAGTCACTGTTCCCCCCTAATAATTATCCTGACTATATGGGATCAGAAAAATTTTGGAGTGGGCTTTGGTTGGCCACCTTTCCCTCATCTAGAGGATTTGCTGCTATTCTTTTATTCTTTCACTGTATAAAAACCCCAAAGAGGAGTCTCTGTTAAAATCTACTGATTTTTTTCTATTTATTCTATGTATCCCTACTTTAATATTCACATATTCTATGTATTATTTATATATTTTTTGGTCTCTTTCCCCTCACTTGTATATAGCTTCATGAAGACAAGAATTTGTGTGTTTTGTTTACTGCCATATTTTGAACTCCTAGAACAGAATCTGGCACACACCAAATGTTCAATAAATATTTGCTGAATGAATGAATGATGAATGATTTTAGCTTTGAATATTATCTCATGTTCTTGTTATTTCTTGTCCCCTGTCTTGATAACAAATTTCCTCTCACCCAGCATTTAAAATGGATTTTTTCTTCTTGCATTGTTTAGTCTCTTCCTTTTATTTAGGCTGCAGCTTTTAAAGCTACATTTTATTTAGTTGTAGTATTAATTTATAGCTGAAGCTCCAAAAATGTTTTATTTTTCTTTTATCATGGTAAAATTAATCCTTTAATTTTATTCTCCCTTGTCATTGATCATTTCTAGCATAAGATTAAAATTATATACTTCATTAATTTTCCTCACACTGCAAAATTTAGTTTTACAGTATGGTATGAACCCTGTTGTTTTGAGTGTTGTTATACTTCTTGTGCTTTAAACT
This sequence comes from Homo sapiens, assembly GCF_000001405.40. Taxonomy (NCBI): domain Eukaryota; kingdom Metazoa; phylum Chordata; class Mammalia; order Primates; family Hominidae; genus Homo; species Homo sapiens. Next base: position 14,253,061 of record NC_000020.11, read on the forward strand.
TTTGTCATTTGATAGAAATGGTACATTTCGAAGGGTACATGTAAATGGTATATTTTTAATTTTGTTTTCTTTTTAGCACTCAAGGAGATTCTGACAGAAAATGGTATATTTTATGAGTAGTGATTTTGTGAAAAGCATTTCAGAGCTTCCATTTCCCCTCTTGCTTTGATAAATACCTTTTACTTCAGATAACATGGTAGTTTTGGTCTGTTGTTAGTAAATATAGTCTTATGGTTTTCAAAAGAAATGTTTTAACATAACTTATTTTTACTTCTTCACTTTATATTTCTTTAATGCTTAAAGTATGTTCTCAACAAATAACTGAGGCAGAACATAGGTGATTAATCAATATGACTAGAGTGTGTTTTTATCTTCGCTAAGATATGTATGTGAAAGATGATATAGTATGTTTTCCCCAAATATACTAATTTCTCCTACTTTGGATATTTTCTAAGATTTTAAACTATATTTTTAGATTGTTAATATTTTCATAAAAGCTACTTTAAAAATAATGTCCATATATGTTTGAATTGTTATTACCTCCAAGCCTGTTCTTATTCTCTACACTTCCTTGCAATTGAAATCAAGTACAATGCTTTTGATCTACAATTAGAATGTTTATCATCAAGGGGTGAGAATCTGAACTTTTTCAAACCTCTGGATTTGAAATTCTGTGTGTTTTCTGAGTCAAAGGATGAGTACATCTTTGAACTTCATAGGCCGTAATGCAAGGCAGACAGCAAGAAATACAAATACTTTCCCTTCTTGTTTACTGTGAGATACAGACGTGCATTTATTTGTTTCATATGCCCCTCACTTTTTCAGTCTAAACCAATGGGTGCAATTAAATTAGAATAAATGTAAAACAAAAAATTAAAGTAAAACATCATTTAGAAAATTCAGGGACTGTCAAATGGGAAAAGCAAATAGATTTCTAAATGCCTGATAATTTAAAACAAAATTAATACAAAAATTAACAAATAGAGCATTAAAAAAAGATAGATATGCAAATATATTAACATGGAGGACATTTGTTTTTCTGAAAGAATATGTAAATCTGCAATCTTTATGAAACGAATTTATTTAATACATTTATTAGTGAATTATTATTCAGGCCTGAATTTTGTGGTATATTGAGGATTTTACTATTATCATTTTGCTTTTCAGTTATTTTCCATTGTCCTAATTCTCTCAAAAATATTTGGAAACTATTTTTTCAATCAAATTTTCAATATTCAAAAATTTGACATTGGTTTTAAGAACTGCTAAGAATATACACTTGAATGTATCTACATGATTAGCACTGAAGTGTCATTTTTAATAATTTAGTGAAAAAAAAGATAAAGATTGTGTCTTAGTGTGTGGTAATATAAAATTAAGATACAAATAGGGCCTAGTTTTCCATATATGTTAAAATATTTTATTTTATTTTTATCAGGTAAAATTGAGTCTTTAATTATATTCTCTTTAGTCATTTATTATTTATTTCTAGTAAAATAAGGAGAGTTACCTTTTATCTAAAAGAAATTCAGCTAGTTTTCCCTACGAAATACTAAACATTTCCACGAAATAGTTTTTTACCAGTGTTGCTAAGAAGTTGCAGTAAATAATTTTGTTCTATCCATATTTTAGTGATTATGCTATAGCTAGCCCTCTTTTCTAAAAATGGAATTAAAAAGAAGTGTAAGGTTAATATTGTTATGTGTGAATTTGATCCTGTCATTATGATGTTAGCTGGTTATTTTGCTCGTTAGTTGATGCAGTTTCTTCCTAGCCTCGATGGTCTTTACAATTTGGCATGTTTTTGCAGTGGCTGGTACCGGTTGTTCCTTTCCATGTTTAGTGCTTCCTTCAGGAGCTCTTTTAGGGCAGGCCTGGTGGTGACAAAATCTCTCAGCATTTGCTTGTCTGTAAAGTATTTTATTTCTCCTTCACTTATGAAGCTTAGTTTGGCTGGATATGAAATTCTGAGTTGAAAATTCTTTAAGAATGTTGAATATTGGCCCCCACTCTGTTCTGGCTTGTAGAGTTTCTGCTGAGAGATCCGCTGTTAGTCTGATGGGCTTCCCTTTGTGGGTAACCCGACCTTTCTCTCTGGCTGCCCTTAACAATATTAACCTTAAATGTAAATGGGCTAAATGCTCCAATTAAAAGACACAGACTGGCAAATTGGATAAAGAGTCAAGACCCATCAGGGTGCAAAGCAAAGAGTTGGAACCAAGCCAAATGTCCAACAATGATAGGCTGGATTAAGAAAATGTGGCACATATATACCATGGAATACTATGCAGCCATAAAAAAGGATGAGTTCATGTCCTTTGTAGGGACATGGATGAAGCTGGAAACCATCATTCTCAGCAAACTATCGCAGGGACAAAAAAACCAAACACCGCATGTTCTCACTCATAGGTGGGAATTGAACAATGAGAACACATGGACACAGGAAGGGGAACATCACACACCGGGGCCTGTTGTGGGGTGGGGGCAGGGGGGAGGGATAGCATTAGGAGATGTACCTAATGCTAAATGATGAGTTAATGGGTGCAACACACCAACATGGCACATGTATACATATGTAACTAACCTGCACATTGTGCACATGTACCCTAATACTTAAAAGTATAATAAATAAATAAATAAATAAATAAATAAATAAATAAATAAAAAAGAAAATGTCATTCCATTGTCTTCTGTCTCATTCCAGGAAGTCAGCTGTAACTCTCATTGTAGCTCTTTGAAAGTAATATGTCTCTGAATCACATTCTCCCTCTCTCTCTTTTCACCTCTTTAAAACATTTTTTGTCTTTGTTTTTCAGCAGTTTTACTTTTATGAAGGGCCTAGATGTTGTTTTTTTCTTTTCTTTTTGCAGTATTTCATAGTGCCTATTAAATCTGTGGCTTCATATTTTCAATTTTGAAGAGTTCTCTGCCTTTATTTGTTTAGATTAGTTTTTTCCCATTTTGTCTGTCCCCCAAGCCCTTTCTTTAAATTTAGTTGCTCACATCTAGGACTTTTTTCCTAAGGGTCTCTTAGATTTATTCTCTGTATTTTCTTTTTGCCTTTTTATGCCTAAATCTGTCCGTATTCTAGTTTTGCTATTCAGTTTTTAGCTGCATCTAATCAGCTGCTTATCCCGTACTTGGGTTCTTATTTTCACTTATACTTTTTCTAGAATTTTTATTTGTTTTTCTTTTTGTGGTGTCTATTTATCTTCTGATATAACCAACTTTTAAAGAAATTCCTCACGCATATTGATCATAATTATTTCAAAGTTCATGACTGATAACTCTATTATATGAATTCTTGTGAGTTATTTTATTGTAGTATTTTTCTCTTAGTTTTTGACTATGTCTTATTTTCATGAATACATGATTATTGATTTATATTAGACATTTTTTTGTTTTAAAATTTAGCAAAATGTTGAGGCTCTGAAACATGTTATATTCCCTTAGAGAAGATTTACTTTTGTTTCTGGCAAGTAATTGGCCTGGGAATGGCAGTATTCCATGATTACCTTAATGCCATCAAAACTTGAGATTATTGGAAGCTTGCCTTCATTTCTTGAGATGCTAGCCTATTTAAGACCTTGCACTCTTCCTAAGGTCTCCTAATGGAAAGTTTCTTGTGTCTAGTCTTTCCTATTTGTTAGGCCATAAACTTTCATTTTTATCCCGTTTAAGCCCCAGAATCTTTTGGAAGATCTGTTCAATTTTCTAACTTCTCAGCTCCCACTGCAGATTCTAGATATTTGGCTTAGCTATCTGGGATTTACTCTACTACCTTCATCCTTTCACATTTCTTTCTGCTTTGGTATTTCTCTGATGGCTTCTAATAATTGTTTTTATATTTTCCCATGATCTTCTAATTGTTTTCATTATTATGTTTTGTGTTACACATTCTAGTTCACCACTGGCAGAAGTAGAAGCAAAGATCTGGTTTGGTTCTATGCTTCTTAGTCCCAGCCTCTCATGCATACCAAAGACATTACAAGGGAGACAATATTTGTCACCAAAAACAAAATAAAACAAAAAACAAATACAAAAAAATTCACCATAGCACTAGTGGTCTTTACCCTGCACCAATAAGGTACATTCAGATGCAAGAGAGACTTGTTAATGTAAACCTCCCATGACGATGATGATTGGTACATGAGTGGTCAAAATTTAAATCAGAGCTTCTCTTCTCTTGGCTAGGCACCAAGGTCTAGAGGAATAATAATATTAGATATCATCTTCCTGAGGAAAAAACCATTAATTCTTTATATAGATGTCAGAATTTTAAGATGCAGATTACTTTAAATTTGTTTTACCTATTTTTACTCCTTTTAGTTTTTTACCTTCATTTTAAACCTAAAAGTGGATAATTTTTAAGGTTTATATATAGTTACCAGGTTTTTTTAAAGTACAGTAAAAGAAAAAGTATAGTATAGCTTTATGTTGTATGAAAACTCTAAAAGGGAATTTTTTCACTATAGATGAAATCTTTTAAACATAATACTTATTTTCTGTTAAGATTACTTAAAAATCTGAGGTACCCCACATGGTGGCCTCATAACCCAATTAAGATTACTTAAAAATATAAAGAGAGACAAAATGTATGCATAACTTTTAAAATTTATTTTTATATGAAGGAGTTCTGTAATTTAGTGATGATTTATAAATCAACTTGCCTGTCCTTTATTTATTTATTTAAATAGTTTTTGGGGAACAGATGGTTTTTAGTCACATGGATAAGTTCTTTAGTGGTAATTACCGAGCTTTTGGTGCACGCATCATCTGCGCAGCATACACTGTAGCCAGTGTGTAGTCTTGTATTCCTTGCCCCCTTCTTCACTTTCCCCAGCATCCCCAAAGTCTGTTTTGTCATTCTTATGCCTTTGCATCCTCATAGCTTGGCTCCCATTTAAAATTGAGAACATATAAGATTTGGTTTTCCATTTTTGAGTTGCTGCACTTAGAATAATGGTCTCCAATTCCACCCAGGTTGCTGTGAATGCCATTATTTTGTTCCTTTTTATGGCTGAGTAGTATTCTATGATGTATATATGCCACATTTTCTTTATCCACTCATTGGTTGTTGGGCATTTGGGTTGGTTCCATATTTTTACAATTGTGAATTGTGCTGCTATAAACATGCATGTGCAAGTGTCTTTTTTCATATAATGACTTCTTTTCCTCTGGGTAGATGCCCAGTAGTGGGATTGCTGGGTCAAATGGTAGTCCTACTTTTAGTTCTTTAAAGAATCTCCATACTGGTTGTACTAGTTTACATTCCCACCAGTAGTGTAAAAGTGTTCCCTTTTCACCACATCCTTGCCAACATCTATTATTTTTTTATTATGGCCATTCTTGCAGGAGTAAGTTGGTATCTCATTGTGGTTTTAATTTGCATTTCTCTGATAATTAGTGATGCTGAGCATATTTTCATATGTTTTTTGGCTATTTGTATATCTTCTTTTGAGAATTGTCTATTCATATCATTTGCCCACTTTTTGATGGGATTTTTTTTCTTGCCAATTTATTTGAGCTCCCTGTAGATTCTGGATATTAGTCCTTTGTCAGATGCATAGCTTGCGAATATTTTCTCCCATTGTGTGGGTTGTCTGTTTACTCTGCTAATTGTTTCTTTTGCTGTGCAGAAGCTTTTTAGTTTAATTAGGTCCCATCGATTCATTTTTGTTTTTGTTGCATTTGCTTTTGGGTTCTTTGTCATGAACTCTCCCTAAGCCAACGTCTAGAAGAGTTTTACCTATGTTATCTTCTAGATTCTTTAGTGTTTCAGATCTTAGATTTAAGTCTTTGATCCATCTTGAGTTGATTTTTGTATAAGGTAAGAGATGAGGATCCAGTTTCATTCTTCTAATTTTTAAAATTAGTTAATTTATTAATTTGTTTTTTCCCAGACAGAGTCTTGCTCTGTTACCCAGGCTGGAGTGCAGTAGCATGATCTCAGCTCACTGCAACCTCTGCCTCCCGGGTTCAAGCAATTCCCCTGCCTCAGCCTTCTGAGTAGCTGGGATTACAGCCATGTACCACCATGCCCAGCTAATTTTTGTATTTTTAGTAGAGACGGTGTTTCACCATGTTGGCCAGGCTGATCTTGAACTCCTGACCGTGTGATCCACCCGCCTTGGCCTCCCAAAGTGCTGGGATTACAGGCAAAAGATTTCTTTAATGTCACCTCCCTTAACTTGAGCAGTTAGAATGGTTTGAAAAAAATGAGAAATATTTTGAACCTTGTAAATTTACAAATTCATATATAAACTTAGGGTGCTAAAACAAATAGTTCTTTCCTTTTAAATTTTATAATTTGATTTTAATACTCTTTCTGTGTCAATTATGTATATTAGCCCAAGTTCTATCCTTTGGGAGCTATTTTGCTTTGTTTCTGTAGCTCATACTTACCCTCAGCTTTTCATTCTGTGAAAGTATGCTATTTACTGCAAGGGATTGTGAATTTAGTTTCAATGTAACTGGTAAAAACAAAAAAACAGAAAGATGAGCTGTTTATGTACCATTAGTCAAATATTTATTAAGCAGCTGCTATGTTTTAAGCACTGTGCTAGGTGCTGGGGACCCAAAAATGAATGAAACAGCCTTTTCTTCAGGGAGCTGCTGGCCTAATGGGGATGCAGACAAGAAGAAAGAGAGTTATTTATGGTGTGATAAGTGCAACTGTAGAATTAATGGAGTATACTATGGAATCACATTCTTTTCTAACAGTTGCTGAACAGTGTCTTGGTATGTAGAGAAGTAGTAGCCTCTGCTGTCTATCCTTTGTTTATGGGATATAGAGGGGAGGCGGGGAAAACTCATGAATCAATCAGTTGTTACAGAACAGCATTCCAATGAGTTGTGTAAAAGAATTGGAAACAGATTGAAGTTCCTTAATTCATGAATCTCTAAAAGTGGTTGGGGACAAGTGTGCTTTGCTCTTGCCAAAGTGTAGTGCATGAAAGATAGTGTGTCATTTTACTGACCCATATCCACCCTCAAATTAAGTTACTCATTGTGCTCTCATCAGATTTTAAAAGAGAAATGCAAAACATGGATATTAGTAGAAATGCCACAAAATACAATAATCAGATAAAACAGTCTTAAGAAGAACACTGTTTTGTGTGTGTGTTTGTGTGTAGAAGTATGAGTACATATGTGTTTGTATTTTTGCATGGACATACATTTATTTGTGTATAGTGAGTATTTATATGAAGGTACATAACAAAATGAACTATGGTTAAACATATTTATGCCACTAGTGGGTAGTGTTAGTGGAGACTGTCAGAATTAACTTCATAGGATTTCTCAGTGCAAAAAAATGTCATGATAATGTCATGTCTGCCTTTCTCAAAGATAAAGGTACTTTGATTAACCCTAAGCTCCCTTTTTTTGTTTTAAGAGACAGGATCTGGTTTTATCACCCAGGCTGGAGTGCAGTGGTGCAATCATAGCTCATTTCAGTTACGGACTCCTGGCCTCAAGGGATCCTCCCACCTTGGCCTCACAAAATGCTGGGATTACAGGCATGAGCCACCACACCCAGCCCCTAAGCTCCTTTTAAAGAGGCAATGTGATGTAGTGGCTTAGGACACAGTCTGGACAGACTGCCTGAGTTTAAATCATATATCTATCATTTGTTATATTTGACACATTCCTTAACTTTTTAGTGTCCTGGTTTATTTGTCTATAAAACATTTTAATAATCCCTATCTTATATGCTCTTGTGAGCATTAAATGATATATGTAAAGTTCTTAGGTGAATAATGGGTATGCAGTAAGGAATACATAAGTATAACAAACACTGATGGTTACACTTTATGTGGAAGGCCTATTCCATACTGAGAATTGGTTATGGCAGACAGATTTGTGGTATTCTTTCTTTGCTCTCCATTTCCTTCAATGGCTTAAGAGTACTTGGGACAGGATTTAGGGAGATCTACAGAGTACCATCATAATAAGATGTAAATTACATGCAAATCAGTAGGTACATATTATTTGTCCAGCATGTACTTGATGTTAAAAGAAAATTTGGATACATAGTGAAAACAAGTATAATTCCTCAGAGATTGTTTGGAGTCCTTCCAAGTGTTTTTAGTGATCAGAAAATACTGAGGTGTTTAGCTGATGAGAAAATAAAGAGAAAAAAAGGGGAAGCTATTGTCAAGTAAAATAGAGACAGTCACTTTGGAACATCAGTAAGTGAAGTTTTTTTATTTCATTGTAGAAATGAGGAAGCATGTTGAAAAATTAATTTGGGTTAGTAACAAAATCCCTTTTGTTGTGATGTTTGTATTCTTAACCAAAAATCTATCTTTTTTCTACTTTCGCATTTAATGTGACTTTTTTCCTATACTTATTTTGAACTCACTGAAAATATACTTTATATCATCTCTTTTGTTTTAACAGTTATAGTTCAGAGTAGGTGAAAAATAAGAATAATATATTAGTTTCATTATCACTACATCTGTTATCTACACATGTGTGTGTATGTGTGCGGGTGTGTGTAATCTGAAAAAACATAGAATTGAAAATCAAGAAACCTATATTCCAGCCATAGTTTATCTCACCTATAAGATGTGTGTATGTTGAATGAGAACGTTATATATGCAAATGATTTATTCGTTCCTTCCCCTGTTCATTTATTTAATTTATTGAATGTCTTTTATGTGTCAGATACTGACAGTACAAAGGTGAGTAACTCATAGACTCTGTCTACAATATACTTTACATATAGTAGAAGACTAATTCACAGTAGAGCATGTGACCCAAGCCATGTAATCAAAGTCTTCTTGGGAATTTTTGTGGGAGTCTTGGAGAAACGTGATTTTTTTTTTCCTTTTGATTTTGTGCTAGAAGGACATGATAAGGATAAAGATGCTAGTGACCATCTCTTAGACCATAGTGTTTTGGAAAATGAGGTCAAGATAAAAGAAAGCAAAGCTAAAAGCTGGAGAGGAGACAATATGTTTCTTTGGTGATAGAGATGCAAGAAAGGGAAGGCTTTACCAGGTAGAGGAGGCACCACAAACAAGGACATGGAGAGATATAAAACAATATAATGTTCTAAATGAAATGTAAGATGTGCAGAGGGGTTGAAGGAATGGAGGGAAAGTTAGGCAGAGGCTAAGTATAAAAGATCTTTTAATCTTGCAGGTAGTGGGGAGCCATTGAAGTACTTTAAAAATAATCTGGCAATAAAGTAAGGAGAGAGAATCTACATGATGTGGTAAATGACCTAATTGGGAAGGTGAGAGAATAGGTGGAATGTAGGTTGGCTTCAAGGTTTCTTCTGATTTGGGTGTCTGATTGCATTGTGTTATTATTCAAAAAGATAAGAAATTCAAAAGGAGAATAAGGAGAAAAGATAATTACTGTTCTTTTGGAAATAATGAATTTGAAGTTCATTTGGAAGATCTACCTGGAAGTGTCTTGACTAAAGTTCGGCAGAGGGCTCTCTTAGTTGACCATCCGATTACAGCTATCAACACAGATGTGATAGTGGAAACCATGAAAGTGAATGTAATTACTTGGAAAGAGCAAGTAGTTCTAGAAGAGAAGAAAGATGGAGGCAGAACTTTGGGTAGGTGAAAGAACATGAAAGGAGACTAAAAGGGAGAGGTAGGAGAGGGAGTGGTGTCATGGAGGCTAGGGAAAGAAAAGGTTTAATAAGAAGGCCTGCTCAATAATCAACTGCACAGAGAAGTCAAACAGCATTACTGAAAACAATCTATTGGATTTTGCAATTAAGAGGATATTTATATTCATCCAAGAGCAATCTTTTTTGAGAATAGAGTGAGGAGGTAGGCCAAGGTATGATTGTAGTGGATTGAAGAGTAAAGAGAAAATAAAAGAAAAGAGTGATAGTAGTTCTAGAATAACGTAGGATTGAGGAAGTTTGGTTTAGTTTGGATTGTAAGATGGAAAACCACTTAAATAGATTTTGAAGAAGAGGTCAGTAGAGAGGCACAGATTGAAAATAAAGGAGATGGAGAAAGTGAATTATCAGTGAATTTCTGGAGAATATATCAAGGAACCATGTGGAGGGTGACTTTTCGTTAGGAATGCACCTTTTTTTGATACTAGAGGAAGGAAGGGAGAGGATACATATGGACATGGATAGGCATATCAGTCAAGTTATAACTATCCCCAAAAGAAGCCACTTAAAGTGTTTAAAAGAGAAGGAATTTAATGCAAATAATTTGTTAATAGGTCATGGAAGAATTGGAAAGCTAAATAGGGAATTGTAAACCAACCCAATAATTAACAAGAGCATGAAGCCAATAAGCTGGAGGGACAAAAAAGGAGGTAGCATTACTAGGAGTGGAAGCTAGAACCATGCCATCCTGTCTGTTACCCTTTGAAGGAAACAAGCTCTGGTAGAGATACCATCAGAGGCAGAGGGTAGGGGAGAGGAATGTCCTAGCTTCTCTCCACTTTCTCCCTTTCAGTCTCCTGCTGGTGCCCCCCAGACATCCAGCATGAAGCCTCCAGGGTCAAGCTTTGTGCCATCTTAAGCAGAGCCAGGAAAAAGAACAAAAGGCTCTGAGCTCAAACAGGCCCATGACTATTATAATAGGGTTGGAAGTGTGTGAGAGAGGAAAGAAAATAAGAAACGAAGAAAAGCCAGGCATGGTGGCTCATGCTTGTAATCGCAGCACTTTGGGAGGCCAAGGTGAGTGGATCAGTTGAGCCCAGGAGGTTGAGACCAGTCTGGGAAACATGGTGAAATCCCGACTCCACACACACACACACACAACAAAAAGTTAGCTGGGCGTGGTGGCCTGCTAACTTTTACTCCCAGTTACTTGGGAAGCTGCAGCAGGAGGATCACCTGAGCCCAGGAGGTCACGGCTGCAGTAAGCCATGATTGTACCACTTCACTCCAGCCTGGGTGACAGAGCAAGACCCTATCTAAACACACACACACACACACACACACACACACACACACACACACACACACACACACAACACAAGTGAAGGAAAAAGATGGTAGGAGTATGTGCATGAAAATTGGTAAAGCTACTATGAAGAATGGTTGAAGGAACCGAGCAGGCATATATAATACACAATGCAATTTGGCTGATGATCCATTTCATTTCTAGACAAGAAGTTGCTATAGCACCAATTTGCACTACTGGACGTACCAGGAATACATGTCCACAGGACCAGAGAAGCTTCTCTGAGATCCAAGTAAATATATTGTAAGTAAACAAGTGAGAAAGCTTACAGGAGAAAGAGCAACTGTGAGAGACTAGTATGTTGTCATTTAAGATTTTGGAAGGGGAACAGTTCTAAGTACTAGGAAGTTCCATGAAAACATAAGCAGGGGTGATTTCTGTGTTGCAGAGAGGGTAAAATAACTTGCATACTAGGTAATTGAGAGCTATTGACATGGGTGTTGAAGTCAGCAGTGATTATAACATTTTTTAGGGTAAAAAGGAAGACCAAGTCAGGTGTCCAAATCTTCAGGGAATTAAGTGATCATCTGGAAAAGACAAGGATGATAACAGTAAAGAGTAGAAAGTGATACACTTGATATGTGTCTCTAAGAGCAGAGGGTTTTGAGATAAGGTTGGGAAAGTAATGGTATAAATATGGTGATTAAGAGAGTGCTACCCATGGCCCTGTGTCACGTGAGGAGAGAATGAGGAATTTCCTTATGAGAAGGCCAGGATCTAGTTGAAGGAAGAAGGCTTAGAAGTGTTCTGGAATTAGGTCTAAAATGGCAGGTAATTACAACAAAATGAGAATTTGAGAGCAAAATGGGTAGAGGCCAGTAGAGCTGTAGGAAGAAAATGGCAGCTTGGGGAATAACACTGTTTAGACAATTGATAGATGAGACTGAATTTTGTTGAGGGGCAAATAATAACCAGAATGCAAAAGACTGGTTGGATCAGCTGGCTTCAAAATTCCTGGTCTAGGAAGGCTGAAGTCCTTGTAGGTTTTGGAGGGCCCCTGTGTTTAGTAGCCTTTGCTCAGTGCTGATGTTTCATGTGCTGCTTCTGTTCCTCCCTCTGCTGTTCATTCAAATATATTACACTTGGAAAGTAGTTCTTGTCTCTTCATTCCAGCATAACCTTAGGGTCCAGTTTTTAGAAGTTTGAATGTTTACACTGGGTTATCATTATTCACTACAGATGCATTTCCAAGTATCACAGTGAACAGATGATCAGCTGATTCTTTCTACATTAGCATAGAAAAGAGTCCCCAGGTGTGAGAATGGGTCCTGGTAAGGGTTGTATGATGGACTTTCTTATTTTCACAGAGGAGGTATTCAGTAAAATGTTTCTGAAGATGATCTTGATCAGAGGATGGGGAGGAGGAAGAGAAAGAAAATAAAGGGGGTAATAAATTAATGAAGTGGCTAATGACCATCATGTGGCTGACTCAATATACACTCTTATCCATGTACCAAATTTCACTGAATCTAAGGGACTTTTTTTTCACATTTTTTACAATAAATTTTTACAATAGTTTTTTTCACATTTTAATATTTGTGAAATGTTAATGACATTACAATTAGAATTGGTTATATCTTTTCTTTTGTGTCAGTCCATACAACACTCTCATGGATTTAGCAAAATCTGATGTGTGTTTATTTTCATTCTTATTTGCCCCTACTATATCTCACATTTTAAAAACGCTTGTTTTCTTTGTGCTTATTTTCCTTAAGTTCTTTAACTCTACTCAAATTCAACCTGTTCCCCGCCTTGTCCTTTTTTTTTTTTTTTTTTGAGACAGAGTCTCGCTCTGCTACCCAGGCTGGAGTGCAGTGGCGTGATCTGGGCTCACTGCAAGCTCCGCCTTCCGGGTTCACGCCATTCTCCTGCCTCAGCCTCCCAAGTAGCTGGGACTACAGGCGCATGCCACCACGCCTGGCTAATTTTTTGTATTTTTAGTAGAGACGGGGTTTCACCGTGTTAGCCAGGATGGTCTCAATCTCCTGACCTCGTGATCTGCCTGCCTTGGCCTCCCAAAGTGCTGGGATTATAGGCGTGAGCCATCACTCCTGGCCTCCCTTGTACTTTTTATTGCAACTTCATTTTTCTTTTGGCTTGTAGTTTTCAGAATATTGTTTTTTCTCCAAATCCTCAGCTTTAAGAAGATAGAATATAATACACATTCTCTAGGCCTAACTCTTTTGTTAAGTATCACATGGCTCTTGGGCAAGCAATTCAACCTCTTTGGGCCATAATTTTCTTATATATAAAATGAGGGGTTAAGTCTAATGATACCAATAGTCTCTTTCTGTTTTGAAAATTTGGGGTTTCTTGATCATCAGAGGGCTGAAAAATCCCTACTCTAAGCCTTTGAGAGGAATCAGGGCAGAGGATAAGGATATAGAGAACTCTGCCTCTTTTCTTAGACTCATTCCTTAAACCTGCATATTCTACATATTCTCTGATCTACATATTCTCTGACTTTTGTTGCTGCCAAGCTACTCTGGCTCAAGGTTTTTATGTCTGGGCATAGACATCTAGCAACATCATCTTCATTTATATAGATCTACTAGATAAAAAAATAGCATATGTCCCTCTCTTCAAGTTTAGTAAAAAGAGTCAATATTTTTTATAATACATAATTTGGATTTTTAATTTTTTCCTGGGAAGTTATTGTTTTCTGTTGTCTCTAGCACAAATTGAAGATTAAGTCTCAGAATGGAAAGTTTAGAAGAGACTATTTGCTGTGGATTACTGTTATATGTATATGTATTTGTATTTGTATGTATAAAGTATACCATAAAATAAGGTAGCTTGCTAGAAGTCAGATCATTAGTTATCAGGTCACCCAGAAAGTGGGGATTGTTTTATTGCCTGTTGGAATTGAAATGGTGTTTCTGTAGAACATATTGTAATCAGTATTTTTTAGCATGGATAAATACTGGAAAATAAACTCAGTTGGAAGTGAAAATAGTTGAACTCCAAGTTCTTTTTATTTGCCAAGTGATGACTTTGGGCTAGCTAAAATATCTATTAATTTTTAAGGGAAAATTAATGGTAGTGTCAGGTCTTAATTACAGAGTAGATACTACATTAGATTATCACTAGAAAGGACAAATGATCCAAGAGAAGTTATGTTAGTGGCCCTATATGTAAGGAAACTAGCTCGGAAGGAAGCTAATAGTTCCTTACGATTTCCTAGGGAAATTGCTTTAAATAATCTGTAGTTTGGTAGATATTCATATCCCAAAAGTCACTTAATGACAGCACAGGTTAAGACTACAACAGTGCTGCAAGGAAGTGTATATAGTTCATTTAGGGGAATAATTTAATATGAGGGCTAGAATATAAAACAAAATGTAGAGTTAACAATTGTCTAGCAAATTCAAGAATGTTGGTAGGGAAGCACTGACTTAACCAATGACGTATACAATTATTAGAGAGTTACTTTGGTCAGTTAAAGCAAATGCAAAAATAACAACAAAAACTAATCTTTCTCAAGTATCTATTAACATTCTAGATATTCTCTATTTTAAATTTCAAGAAGGGCTTAGAGATAGGGTGAACATGTAATTTATCATTCAAACCAGGGCAATAAGCATAAACTAAGCTTATTCCTGGAAATCAAGGGTATAAAGTTGCTCTAGTTAGGTCTTACCATGTGTCTACTCTCATTTCTGATTATTGCTAAAAATGTTAAGAAATGAACTAGTTAACATGCCAACTGAAGAGAAAGAGACAAAAATCTTTCTCAGTAAGCCTCTAATCTGTTGATTCTAACCTTTTGGGGAGAACTGATGTCTTGGAAAGTGATGACATGGACTCTCTCCAATAGAAGTGAATTGAAAATGAAATATGAGGGATTCATAGACCCCTGAAAACCATTCATGGGCAAGAATCTTAGCTTAAAGCCAGAAAAAAGAAATAGGATATCAATTTTTTATTATGGTAAAAGAGCTACCCACAAGCACCACCACTACTCAAACACATTTTGATGAACTGTAACATAATTAACATTTCTTATTATAAATAATTCAAATATATACAAAAATAGAAAGAATATTATAATGAAACCCCATATAACTATCATGTGAACTCAAGATTGCATAAGATTTGTCCATACTTGTTTCACCTATTCCCTTTTTTAGTTGTGGTTGTTTCTGAAGCATTTTTAAACAAATCCCAGATTCATATAATTTCTCCCCTCTATACTTTAGCTTAGCAGAATGTCATTATCACAACTAACAAAACTGACACTGATTCTTCAGTATCATCTGATACTCTATTCATATTCAAATTTTATCAGTTGTGTCAAAAATGTTATTTTCCATTGGATTTACTTGAATTGGTATCCAAACAAATATCACGCTTTGCCTTTTAATTTTTATAGTCCCTCTACTGCCATAACCTTTCTCCCTTTTTGAAGCAAACTGGTGCAGTTGTGTCATATTATGGATTTGATTCTTAATCCCCTATATTTCTTGTAAACAAGAAGTGAGTTGTTAGGCTTGCTTAGATTCAGATTAGATTTATTTTCCTTTTTCCAGGAAAATTTCCATAGATGATGGTATATATTTCATAGGTTATGCTCTATAAACTGATATTTTAGGAATTGCTGAATCAGAAATTAGAATCTTACGACCAAAAGAAACACCAGGACTAATTCTTTTTTCTCACTTTCCAAAAGTATCTGTGGTCCATCCAATGTTCTTTCAGCCATCAAAATATTAACTATTCATATGAAATATTTATAAAAAGTGACGTCAACTATATTTCCCTTTAATATTCATTTTAAATTATTACAGTGAGCATGTACTTTTCATTCTTGTCCCTTCTCTTTTCTGGTTTCCTTTATCCCATTCTTTTAAAAACAAGCTATCAGTTCCCATAGCAGCCTTTACCAAGGTAGATAAATATCAACATCATGGTTGAAATACCAAAGCTCAGTGCCAGCAATTATCCTACAATTTGTGTGTTGGCGTAATAACACACAGGGACTTGAGCACATTACTAATAGCCATTGAGGGGAGCAAGCTAGTCTCTAAACATATTAAAATGCCTCAGAGGACTTTTTCAGCACTACATAATCAAGATTTGGTGATACGAGCTGCTTTGTTAGGACTTGTGAATTTTGCATTGCCTTATTGTGTGTGTGGAAATTAGTGCCGACCTTCATAAATTGGCTTAGATAATACACAGATCAACCAACAGGAGACAGAACTAGCCAAATAAAGCATATGGCAAATCACTGGAAAAAGAGCGTATTATGTAGTGACTTTTAATTTGGAAATGAGAATGTAAGAATATCTCCAATTTAATTGGGGCTTGTCTGAAAAATGCGTTGATATCTGTCATTTCAGAATTGAAATGTTTTGATTTGCTGAAGTTTTATTTGCTTTGCTGAGGACAAGGATACTACCAGGAATGGGGTCTGACAAAAATAAATTATTAAGTTGGGTTATTCTTATTTTTATTCTTTTTCAAGATAGTATTGGCAAAATCTATCTTGTTATTCTTAGCAACATAAATAAGAAGTATTTTGGGGGTAAAGAGCATATTAGAAAGAAGTTTAAAAATTTTCTGTCTTTTGTTATATTTGATTTTCAGGAAAATAAGGTGAAAAAACATCTATTTTCATACAATTTCTTTGGATTTAATTATACAAATAGTCATTAATAAAGTAAGAATAATGCATGGTTTACTGGATAAAATTTGAAGGATTTCTGTTAACACTGAAGCCATTCTTTAAACATGCTGGAATTTGGAAGTCAGATTTTCTTCAGCGTCTTTGATAAACTTGTGGGTTTTTTTTTTATCATGTTGATTTTTAAAGAGTGTTTTTGGATTTGTATCTCCCTTTATTTATAGTTTATTGTGTTAAAACCCTCCTAATTGCCACTCCTCATCCTAACCCTGGGAAAAATTCTTGTTATTGGTTACTCCCATTCCTTAGGGATATTATATAAGCTTTTTTACCTACTACTCCAAGAAATCTGCATTATATGGGCATTATTATGTATTATATTCAATAAAGAAATTATAGGGCAAGGCAGCTGCCACATGAAAAATGACTTGTTTGGTATTGTCTGTTTTTTTAGAGAGGGGCATGGAATAAAATTAAAAATATATAAGGCTCATAAAGCTTTAATGGTGTGTATATATATTAATTTCTCTCAAAAACAACATATGAAAGTGTCTATATGCACACAAACATATATACACACACATATATGTCTACATACGTGTGTGTGTGTATAAAAGGAGTGATTCCATTGCAAGGTGGATCTAATTATTAGACTATGTCCTCTCAACCGGGCACAGTGGCTTATGCCTATAATCCCAGCATTTTGGGAGGCTGAGGTGGGCGGATCACGAGGTCAGGACATTGAGATGAACCTGGCCAATATGTTGAAACCCTGTCTCTACTAAAACACAAAAATTAGCTGGTTGTGGTGGTGCATGCCTGTAGTCCGAGCTCCCTGGGAGGCTGAAGCAGGAGAATTGCTTGAACCCGGGAGGCTCAGGTTGCAGTGAGCCAAGATCGTGCCACAGCACTCCAGCCTGGCAACAGAGTGAGACTCCATCTCAAAAAAAAAAAAAAAAGGTTTTCAAGACAAGTACCATGTCTCTCAACCTCTTTTTTCAAGACCAAATGTCTTGCATTTTCTCAACTCAACTTTTTTTCCTATGTCATCCTTTCAAGACACTTCAGGTGAGAGAGCCAAGATGGCCGAATAGGAACAGCTCTGGTCTACAGCTCCCAGCGTGAGTGACGCAGAAGACGGGTGATTTCTGCATTTCTATCTGAGGCTTAAAAAATGGCGCACCAGGAGATTATATCACACACCTGGCTCAGAGGGTCCTACGCCCACAGAATCTCACTGATTGCTAGCACAGCAGTCTGAGATCAAACTGCAAGGCCGCAGCGAGGCTGGGGGAGGAGCGCCCGCCATTGCCCAGGCTTGCTTAGGTAAACAAAGCAGCCAGGAAGTTCTAACTGGGTGGAGCCCACCACAGCTCAAGGAGGCCTGCCTGCCTCTGTAGGCTCCACCTCTGGGGACAGGGCACAGACAAACAAAAAGACAGCAGTAACCTCTGCAGACTTACATGTCCCTGTCTGACAGGTTTGAAGAGAGCAGTGATTCTCCCAGCACACAGCTGGAGATCTGAGAACGGGCAGACTGCCTCCTCAAGTGGGTCCCTGACCCCTGACCCCCGAGCAGCCTAACTGGGAGGCACCCCCCAGTAGGGGCAGACTGACACCTCACACGGCCAGGTACTCCTCTGAGACAAAACTTCCAGAGGAACGATCAGACAGCAGCATTTGCAATTCATGAAAATCTGCTGTTCTGCAGCCACCGCTGCTGATACCCAGACAAACAGGGTCTGGAGTGGACCTCTAGCAAACTCCAATAGACCTGCAGCTGAGGGTCCTGTCTGTTAGAAGAAAAACTAACAAACAGAAAGGACATCCACACCAAAAACCCATCTGCACATCACCATCGTCAAAGAGCAAAAGTGGATAAAACCACAAAGATGGGGAAAAAACAGAGCAGAAAAACTGGAAACTCTAAAAAACAGAGCGCCTTTCCTCCTCCAAAGGAATGCAGTTCCTCACCAGCAACGGAACAAAGCTGAATGGAGAATGACTTTGACGAGTTGAGAGAAGAAGGCTTCAGATGATCAAACTACTCCGAGCTACAGGAGGAAATTCAAACCAAAGGCAAAGAAGTTAAAAACTTTGAAAAAAATTTAGACAAATGTATAACTAGAATAACCAATACAGAGAAGTGCTTAAAGGAGCTGATGGAGCTGAAAACCAAGGCTCGAGAACTACGTGAAGAACACAGAAGCCTCAGGAGCTGATGCAATCAACTGGAAGAAAGGGTATCAGTGATGGAAGATGAAATGAATGAAAAGAAGTGAGAAGGGAAGTTTAGAGAAAAAAGAATAAAAAGAAACGAACAAAGCCTCCAAGAAATATGGGACTATGTGAAAAGACCAAATCTACATCTGATTGGTGTACCTGAAAGTGATGGGGAGAATGGAACCAAGTTGGAAAACACTCTGCAGGGTATTATCCGAGAGAACTTCCCCAATCTAGTAAGGCAGGCCAACATTCAGATTCAGGAAATACAGAGAATGCCACAAAGATACTCCTCGAGAAGAGCAACTCCAAGAAACATAATTGTGAGATTCACCAAAGTTGAAATGAAGGAAAAAATGTTAAAGGCAGCCAGAGAGAAAGGTCGGGTTACCCACAAAGGGAAGCCCATCAGACTAACAGCTGATCTCTCGGCAGAAACTCTACAAGCCAGAAGACAGTGGAGGGCAATATTCAACATTCTTAAAGAAAAGAATTTTCAACCCAGAATTTCATATCCAGCCAAACTAAGCTTCATAAGTGAAGGAGAAATAAAATACTTTACAGACAAGCAAATGCTGAGAGATTTTGTCACCACCAGGCCTGCCCTAAAAGAGCTCCTGAAGGAAGCACTAAACATGGAAAGGAACAACCGGTACCAGCCACTGCAAAAACATGCCAAATTGTAAAGACCATCGAGACTAGGAAGAAACTGCATCAACTAATGAGCAAAATAACCAGCTAACATCATAATGACAGGATCAAATTCACACATAACAATATTAACTTTAAATGTAAATGGACTAAATGCTCCAATTAAAAGACACAGACTGGCAAATTGGATAAAGAGTCAAGACCCATCAGTGTGTTGTATTCAGGAAACCCATCTCACATGCAGAGACACACATAAGCTCAAAATAAAAGGATGGAGGAAGATCTACCAAGCAAATGTAAAACAAAAAAGGCAGGGGTTGCAATCCTAGTCTCTGATAAAACAGACTTTAAACCAACAAAGATCAAAAGAGACAAGGAAGGCCATTACATAATGGTAAAGGGATCAATTCAACAAGAAGAGCTAACTATCCTAAATATATATGCACCCAATACAGGAGCACCCAGATTCATAAAGCAAGTCCTGAGTGACCTACAAAGAGACTTAGACTCCTACACAATAATAATGGGAGACTTTAACACCCCACTGTCAACATTAGACAGATCAATGAGACAGAAAGTTAACAAGAATACCCAGGAATTGAACTCAGCTCTGCACCAAGCGGATCTAATAGACATCTACAGAACTCTCCACCCCAAATCAACAGAATGTACATTTTTTTCAGCACCACACCACATGTATTCCAAAATTGACCACATAGTTGGATGTAAAGCTCTCCTCAGCAAATTTAAAAGAACAGAAATTATAACAAACTGTCTCTCAGACCACAGTGCAATCAAACTAGAACTCAGGATTAAGAAACTCACTCAAAACTGCTCAACTACATGGAAACTGAACAACCTGCTCCTGAATGACTACTGGGTACATAACGAAATGAAGGCAGAAATAAAGATGTTCTTTGAAACCAACGAGAACAAAGACACAACATACCAGAATCTCTGGGACACATTCAAAGCAGTGTGTAGAGGGAAATTTATAGCACTAAATGCCCACAAGAGAAAGCAGGAAAGATCCAAAATTGACACCCTAACATCACAATTAAAAGAACTAGAAAAGCAAGAGCAAACACATTCAAAAGCTAGCAGAAGGCAAGAAATAACTAAAATCAGAGCAGAACTGAAGGAAATAGAGACACAAAAAACCCTTCAAAAAATTAATGAATTCAGGAGCTGGTTTTTTGAAAGGATCAACACAATTGATAGACCGCTAGCAAGACTCATAAAGAAGAAAAGAGAGAAGAATCAAATAGATGCAATAAAAAATGATAAAGGGGATATCACCACCGATCCCACAGAAACACAAACTACCATCAGAGAATACTACAAACACCTCTACGCAAATAAACTAGAAAATCTAGAAGAAATGGATAAATTCCTCGACACATACACCCTCCCAAGACTAAACCAGGAAGAAGTTGAATCTCTGAATAGACCAATAACAGGCTCTGGAATTGTGGCAATAATCAATAGCTTACCAACCAAAAAGAGTCCAGGACCAGATGGATTCACAGCCGAATTCTACCAGAGGTACAAAGAGGAACTGGTACCATTCCTTCTGAAACTATTCCAATCAATAGAAGAAGAGGGAATCCTCCCTAACTCATTTTATGAGGCCAGCATCATCCTGATACCAAAGCTGGGCAGAGACATAGCCAAAAAAGAGAATTTTAGACCAATATCCTTGATGAACATTGATGCAAAAATCCTCAATAAAATACTGGCACACCGAATCCAGCAGCACATCAAAAAGCTTATCCACCATGATCAAGTGGGCTTCATCCCTGGGATGCAAGGCTGGTTCGATATACGCAAATCAATAAATGTAATCCAGCATATAAACAGAACGAAAGACAAAAACCACATGATTATCTCAATAGATGCAGAAAAGGCCTTTGACAAAATTCAACAACCCTTCATGCTAAAAACTCTCAATAAATTAGGTATTGATGGGATGTATCTCAAAATAATAAGAGCTACTCTATGACAAACCCACAGCCAATATCATACTGAATGGGCAAAAACTGGAAGCATTCCCTTTGAAAACTGGCACAAGACAGGGATGCCCTCTCTCACCACTCCTATTCAACATAGTGTTGGAAGTTCTGGTCAGGGCAATCAGGCAGGAGAAGGAAATAAAGTGTATTCAATTAGGAAAAGAGGAAGTCAAATTGTCCCTGTTTGCAGATGACATGATTGTATATGTAGAAAACCCCATTGTCTCAGCCCAAAATCTCCTTAAGCTGATAAGCAATTTCAGCAAAGTCTCAGGATACAAAATCAATGTACAAAAATCACAAGCATTCTTATACACCAATAACAGACAAACAGAGAGCCAAATCATGAGTGAACTCCCATTCACAATTGCTTCAAAGAGTATAAAATACCTAGGAATCCAACTTACAAGGGATGTGAAGGACCTCTTCAAGGATAACTACAAACCAGCGCTCAATGAAATAAAAGAGGATACAAACAAATGGAAGAACATTCCATGCTCATGGATAGGAAGAATCAATATCGTGAAAGGTAATTTATAGATTCAATGCCATCCCCATCAAGCTACCAATGACTTTCTTTACAGAATTGGAAAAAACTACTTTAAACTTCATATGGAACCAAAAAAGAGCCCGCATCGCCAAGTCAATCCTAAGCCAAACGAACAAAGCTGGAGGCATCATGCTACCTGACTTCAAACTATACTACAAGGCTACAGTAACCCAAACGGCATGGTACTGGTACCCAAACAGAGATATAGACCAATGGAACAGAACAGAGCCCTCAGAAATAACGTCGCATATCTGCAAGTATCTGATCTTTGACAAACCTGAGAAAAACAAGCAATGGGGAAAGGATTCCCTATTTAATAAATGGTGCTGGGAAAACTGGCTAGCCATATGTAGAAAGCTGAAACTGGATCCCTTCCTTACACCTTATACAAAAATTAATTCAAGATGGATTAAAGACTTAAACGTTAGACCTAAAACCATAAAAACCCTAGAAGAAAACCTAGGCATTACCATTCAGGACATAGGCATGGGCAAGGACTTCATGTCTAAAACACCAAAAGCAATGGCAACAAAAGCCAAAATTGACAAATGGGATCTAATTAAACTAAAGAGCTTCTGCACAGCAAAAGAAACTACCATCAGAGTGAACAGACAGCCTACAGAATGGGAGAAAATTTTCACAACCTACTCATCTGACAAAGGGCTAATATCCAGAATCTACAATGAACTCAAACAAATTTACAAGAAAAAAACAACCCCATCAACAAGTGGGCGAAGGACATGAACAGACACTTCTCAAAAGAAGACATTTATGCAGCCAAAAAACACATGAAAAAATGCTCACCATCACTGGCCATCAGAAAAATGCAAATCAAAACCACAGTGAGATACCATCTCACATCAGTTAGAATGGCAATCATTAAAAGTCAGGAAACAACAGGTGCTGGAGAGGATGTGGAGAAATAGGAACACTTTTACACTGTTGGTGGGACTGTAAACTAGTTCAACCATTGTGGAAGTCAGTGTGGCGATTCCTCAGGGATCTAGAACTAGAAATACCATTTGACCCAGCCATCCCATTACTGGGTGTATACCCAAAGGACTGTAAATCATGCTGCTATAAAGACACATGCACGCGTATGTTTATTGCAGCACTATTTGCAATAGCAAAGACTTGGAACCAACCCAAATGTCCAACAATGATAGACTGGATTAAGAAAATGTGGCACATATACACCATGGAATACTATGCAGCCATAAAAAATGATGAGTTCATGTCCTTTGTAGGGACATGGATGAAATTGGAAATCATCATTCTCAGTAAACTATTGCAAGGACAAAAAACCAAACACCGCATGTTCTCACTCATAGGTGGGAATTGAACAATGAGAACACATGGACACAGGAAGGGGAACATCACACTCTGGGGACTGTTGTGGGGTGGGGGGAGGGGGGAGGGATAGCATTAGGAGATATACCTAATGCTAAATGACGAGTCAATGGGTGCAGCACACCAGCATGGCACATGTTTACATATGTAACTAACCTGCACATTGTGCACATGTACCCTAAAACTTAAAGTATAATAATAATAAAATAAAATAAAATAAGACACTTCATTATGCTATTGTAATTCCTTTTAATTACTGCATTTTGACACTATTGTATTAATGTAGTACTGAGACCCTAACATACTACCAGGTATGGTCTCATTAGAACATTAAGACTATTATTTTCTGATATCTGACATCTGACATGTTGTGCTGTTGGTTTTTCCATTAGTGCAGGCTAATGGATGAGATAATTTTTAGTTGCAAAACCATAGAATACTTAACAGTCACCTAATCTTTATGTCTTCTTCTTCATCATTTCTTTCTAACAGAAAATACTGTCGGACCATGTCTTCCTCATCTTATATGTGTTTAATTGAGTCTCCAAGACACATTAATTCTAGTTCCCAGGTTTACATACACGTGTCAGAAGAGTTACAATTGGCTGGGCTTGGTAGCTCACGCCTGTAGTGCCAGCACTGTGGAAGTCCCTGGCTAGCTGATGATTTGAGATCAGCATGACTGACATGGTGAAACTGTGTCTCTACTAAAAATACAAAAAAAAAATTAACTGGGCATGGTGGCACTGTGGCTCACGCCTGTAATCCCAGCACTTTGGGAGGCTGAGGGGGGCGGATCGTGAGTTCAGGAGAGTAAGACCATCCTGGCCAACATGGTGAAACCCCGTCTCTACTAAAAATACAAAAATAAGCTAGGCATGGTGGCACGCACCTGTAGTCCCAGCTACTCGGGAGGCTGAGGCAGTTGAGAATCGCTTGAACCCAGGAGGCGGAGGTTGCAGTGATCACGCCACTGCACTCCAGCGTGGTGACAGAGTGAGACTCCGTCTCAAAGCAAACAAACAAAAAGATACACAAACTCAGAAAATGGTTTCCAAAAAGCTAGTTTACTTGATGGTTTAAAGGTATGGGGAGAGTAACTAGTATTTGAATAGCTTAAATAAAAAATGTTTTGATTAACTAATGAAACATGGTGGGCTGAAGATCTTATATCAAAGAAAAGGGTGGTGGAGACCATTGTTTTATTTATTCATTCATTTATTAAGTATTTATTTGTCACCACTTTAGTGCCAGGCATTGTACTCTTAAAAAAAAAGAGAGAGTGAGAGAGAGAGAGAGAAAAGAAATAGGTAGAGAATCTAATTTAATCCGAGGTGTGGGAGGAGGAGGAGAGGATTAAAATGGAAGAAGGTAATGTCAGCCTCCTGCAAATTCTTTTCTCACTCTGTAATTCTTCCATATGGAGGAAAGGAAAGCAGAGTGCTGAAAGGATGAAGTAAAATCTGCAGAATTATTTCACCATTCAGCATTAGATTTATTAAAAAAGCATACAACTGAAAGTTTTCTAGGTTGAATTACTAACTTGCCTTCTTAGAAGAATCTGGATACTTAGTTTGCCTGAGGGAACAAATATTTGGAAAGGGCTTCCAACTTCAGGCTAAGACAAGTGAGAGGAGTTATAAGATCATTCAATCAGAATTAGTGTATAAGCAAATGTTTAGAAAATGCTGAGAATAGTTGATGAACAGTGAATCTTTATTAGCTGCTTGTTTACTTTTAAATCTCAGAGTAATTTTAAATATTAACATTGCTTAATGTTCAGCAATTTCCAAAAAGTTAATAATTTCATTGAAGTATTGTTTCTTTCAAAGGTATTCAGATACATACATGGGCATAGTCATGCACGCACACACTGACAACACAGTCTTTGTTCACTTTGTTGCCAGTTGGCTTTTTTATATGGAATGTAGCTGGGCAGTGGTGAGAGGCAGGTTATCCACTAGTGGACAAGTGACCATAATTTAATTTTGAAAGGACTGAAAATTAATTGCTGTGAGTAGCCTATAAATAAAACGACACTACTTGAGTACTTGTTTGAGAATAATAATAATATTTGCTCTAAGTTTTAGCCATCTCTTTTTCAGCAATATTTTTTCTTCTTCCTTAAACTAATTGGTTGTGCGAAAACATGTGGTTGGTACCACTGTAAAGAAATATGTTTGCATAATATAAATTTAATCTGAAATTAACTCTTAAGAAAATGAAATGGAATTTACTTCACATTAATTGTGTTTAGGTTAGCCAATAATTGTATTAGAGAACATTAGTACTTCAAAATACTATCATTTTGAATGAATTGCTGTCATATTTAACAACATTTTGGAGTACATGAGTTCTGCCTCATGAGTACATCAGAAAAAATAATCAGTAAGTTTTAAGTAAGACTTATTTAAATTTAAATACTAATTTAAATGAGTTACTTAAGTAAGAGTTACATATTGTTTTAAATACAGTGAAATGTAAGCAAGAATCTATTCTTAAATGAAGTCATTGTTACTATAATACAGAGTTTTTGTCATATAAAGTTTGTGAGGAGCTGGGGGTAATGTAGGGTAGAACGTGGAGCAAGAGTCTGTGTTGGATATTGGAGGCCATTAGAGGCCTTTGCATACTTCCAGGCAGGGCAGGGGAGAATATCAAAATGATGTTTGAAGAAAAAATTCTAATTGATGTGTTGTACATGGGGTACTAAAGGCTTATCACTGAGTAAGAAATAACATTTTTGGAGTTAGAGCAAATATAATTTCCCCTTCTAGTTTCTTACGACAGAGAAGGAAAATAATTTCCTTTTCACAGACTATCTTCTCTCCTCTTCCTAAAAACAAAAACAAACAAACAAAAACAAGTGTGATATTTTATTGACCAGCTTACATCTAGGACAATCATACCTTTTCTTCCATTACCATTATGCTTGATTTAGTTGGGTAATAGTCATTCTTCTACTCTGTGAATTGCAGTAAATTTCTTGGTAGATTTATGTTACCTTAAGTTGATTTTTTTTTCTTGTGATAATAGTCATAACAACTTTAATAAAACATAGCAATATACAGATTCCCTGTATTTTATCAGATAATTTACTTGCTTTTGCATAATTAGTCTGCAAAGATTTGCTTCTATTTTTGCAGATGGAGAATTTAAGTCTCAGAGAGGCTTGTAACTTCCTTGTGGTCCCTCAGTTGATAAGAGACAGGGGCAGGATTTGAATGACAAAGTATTTGACTCTTCATGATACTCTAATACTGTTTAATTGTAACCTATCTTTTCTTTTACAAGACACATGTATGTAATACACAAAATTTACATCCAAGAGATGTGAAAGCATAGATTTTTTTCTTTCTGAATCCACATTTTAAATGAATGGTGTGGTACATGAGGTTCTTTCCTACACTTGGGAAATGTATGGCACTAACGCGGAAACATTTCTAAGTTAGTTTGTCACATGGGGATTCAATCAGGAATAACTGTGTGACCTTTAAGAAAATTAAGATTGGCTGTCAGAGGGAAATTTCTATCCTACCCTATGGGATAGTCTTACAGAGAAAGAGGGTATCACTTTCAATTCTCAATAAAGAATGGTAACTTATTAACCTAGAACATGTGTTTATTACTGAATATAGTCATTTTAATAATGGGAGAATATTCTATGATATCTTTCCTATTTTTAATGTCTATTTAGAACTTTAATTTATCACATACAGAAAAACATGATCTAAAGCCTTCAAGGATCTGGTTCACTACATGAATGAGTTTTTAAAATTTGGAGAAATTCAGAAATCAAGAAGTACATATATAATGATAGGCCAAAGGATATCATAATTTAGCCACATTCGTAGTTACTTAAAGACACCAAAGAAATACTGTAGGAGTTTATGATTTTAATATCTTTTGGAAGATATATGCTTAATGTGCTTTTTAATAGGAAATTTTGAAGCTTTTCCTAAGGTTGAATATAAAATATTGGTTCAAGAATTATGATTGTGCAATGCCTAATAAAAAGAACATTCTGTGAAAAATGAGTAGATGGTAGAGGAATGCCACCTAGAAGAACTTTGTTAGAAACTAGATTAGCAGGTATCTGACTAGGACCAAGGATCTCTTCCCCAAGTATAAAGGGGCCAAGAAAATTATCTCAAAGTTCTGAAGATTGACACAGGCACATTTAGCCCATTTAGGTCATGAGTTTGTAAAGCTTGTGTGTTTGATGAAGTTCAACATTTTTAGAAAGCTCTAGCAGTTTATAAAAGCAATAAAACATTTCACCTTTTTAAGCATCTTTGTAGGAAAAAAAACTTCCATATACTATCATGACACCGACCCTCTTTGGGATGACGTTATTGCATTAGTCGATCATTATTTCTCCTTAAATATAACCCAGGAGATAAAGCTGTGAAGATAGCATGTTTTATAAAAGCTAAAAGTTATTGTGAATTCTTCTGAATCAATAATTGAAAAGAAACTGAAGGGAAAATTTTTATATAGCAGCAGTTTCCAAGTTATTACTTTTAGGAAACTTTTATACTTTAAAAAGTTATTGAGGCCCCCAAACAGCTTTACTTTATATGCATTTTATAATTAACATTTTTTAGTTTAGAAATGTTTAAAATATTAATTCACTAAAATACTACTAGTCTTTACCCAAGAAAATCACAAAGATAATTCACACAAAATTTGTACACAAATGTTCATAATTTTTCATAATAGCCAAAAAATGGAAACAAACCAAAGGCCCATCAGCTGATCAATGGATAAATCAAATGCAATATATCCATACAATGGAATTATTTGCCCATAAAAATGAATGAAGTACTGATATTTATTACAGTATGGATAAACCTTGAAAACATCATGCTAAAAGAATACAGACACAAAAGGTAACATATTGTATCATTCCATTTACATGAAATGTCCAGAATAGGCAAATCCATAGAAACAGAAGTAGATTAGTTGGTGCCAGGGAGTGGGGATAGTGGAGAATGGGGATTAACTGTGTATGGGTATAGCGTTTCTTTTTGGGATGTTCAAAATATCTAGAATTAGATAGTGGTAATACTTTTGCAACTTTGTGAATATATTTAAAACTGCTGAATTGTATATTTTTTACTTTATTTTTTTAAAGGTCATCTTGGCTTCAGATGAATTCTGTACTTTACAATGGTGAATTTTATGGTATGTGAGTTATATCTCAATTAAAAATATAATAAGCAGCCAGGCGCAGTGGCTTATGCCTGTAATCCCAGCACTTTGGGAGGACAAGGCGGGCGGATCACAAGGTCAGGAGTTAGAGACCAGCCTGACCAAAATGGTGAAACCCTGTCTCTCCTAAAAATACAAAAATTAGCCGGGCGCGGTGATGTGTGCTTGTAATCCCAGCTACTCAGGAGGCTGAGGCAGGAGAATTGCTTGAACCCAGGAGGCGGAGGTTGCAGTGAGCTGAGATCCCACCACAGCACTCCAGCCTTGGCGACAGAGCAGACTCCCTCTCAAAAAAAAAAAAAAAAAAGAAAAGAAAAATATAATAAGCACATTATATTTTATCCTAAATTATATATTTTTATGAAAAACAAATGTGTATTCCAAAGAAAAATATTAATGAGTAGCATTGCTTTACATTTTCTACATACCTTTTTGCTGTTTGGCTTCATGAGAATAATTGGATTCTATGTTTGCTTCTACATTCAATTTATTGTAATATATTGTTTTGGTTGAATTATATAAGAAATTCTCGCCATAGGCACATATATAGTTAGAAAAGAGAGGAGTATCGTAATAAATTATTCAGATAATTATAGATATTTTTCTTTGATATTGTGACAAAATTTGTTGTGTGATGATTCTTAAAGGTTAGTTGAATGTAGAATTTCAAATCTCCAAATAGTGCTGACTTGACTGCAGTTATTCAAAGGTTAGACTGGGCTAGGAAGTTGAAGATGACTGACTCACGTGGCTGGCAGTTGGAGTTGACTGTCTGCTGGATGGTCAGTGTTTTCCTTGGTTATGACCTCTCCATGTGACCTGGGCTTCTTACAGCCTGATGGGTGGATTCCAAAATGAAATGTTCCGTGAGAAAGTGAGAAAGTTGAAGCTAAGCCATCAATGTTTTAAAGGCTTGTATTCGGCCATTCTTGGATTGCTTTAAATACCGGAGACTGGGTAATTTAAAAATAAAAGAGGTTTAATTGGCTCATGGTTCTGTAGGCTTTGTGGGAAGCGTGGTGCTGGCACTCAACTTCTAGGGAGGCCTCAAGAAGCTTACAATCATGGTGGAAGGCAAAGGAGGAGCAGGCGTATCACATGGTGAAATGGAGCAAGCAAGAGAGAGAAGTGTGAGGGTTGCTACACACTTTTAAATGACCAGATCACGTGAGAACTCACAATCACAAAGACAGCACCAGGCCATGAGGGATCTGCTCCCATGTTCCAAACACTTCCCACTAGGCCCCACCTCTAACACTGGGCATTACAATTCACCATGAGATTTGGGTGGGGACAGATATTCAATGTATATTGAAGCCCAGCCTCAGAAATCACAGTGTCATGTTCCCTACATCATACTGGACACAACTGTAGGGTCAGCCCATATTTGAGGACAGTAGAAATAGACCCTGCTTCTTGATGGGAAGAGTGGCAAATAATTTGCAGCTAGTTCCATGATACAACCTTTTCTGACATTTTGAATGCCATAGGCATGTGGGAGCTTGGGATATACTATGATTAAGTATTATTTTTATACTATTGCAACTTCTGCTTTGAAATGAACATCTTAACTGGATGCTTTTGTTTGAATTATTTAAAATTTATTGTCAAATGCAATAAATTTAGTGCAATGAGAACTAAGAGTGCCTCATGGCTTTTGATTACCTGCCCTTCCTTTTACATTTGTGACATTATTGTTCAGTTTTTAAATTATCGTTGATAATTACTTAAGAACAATTTTTTTCAATATGGTATAAAAAATGGAATATTAAGTGTCCACTCCAATATCAGTCTGTTGTTCTTAGAATGAACATCTCCACTTCCTGTCAATGTTTATTCTCCAAGAGTGCCTTGGTTTTGCACTTACAGGTTATCTATCAGCAATAGTTATAAGAAGATATGCTAGAGATTAATTCATGTATTTACTTAATTACAATCTCCTTTGGAAGAAATTAAACCCACAAAACATGAAATAAAAATTTGTTTTTTAATGTGGAGACAAAAGGGAGAGCACACAATTTTTTTTTTTATTTTTAGTAGAGATGGGGTTTCACCATGTTGGCCAGGCTGCTCTCAAACTCCTGACCTCAGGTGATCTGCCTACCTTGGCATACCAAAGTGCTGGGATTACAGGAATGAGCCACCATGCCCAGCCATACAAAAGAGAAGAATTTTTTAAAACTGGCTACAGTCTTCAAATTGCTTTTCCTGTATCCCAAACTTAAAGTGCTGATAAAATGCCTTTTAAGTTTTCTGTTAGTTTCTCCAGGAAAGGTGGTATCTGACATAGGCCCAGGTTGGAAATGCTTACATGTTATTAAGCATTTATGTAATTTGGGAATTTTTATCATTGTCAAAGCATGCTAGAAGCATCATTCTTTCAGCTGCCCTTAGAAGTTGCTTCTAGAAATCTGCTTTAAAATTGCCATGTGAAAGGCTTATTTCTGCTGTATAAAAAATAAAGCTTTCTTTCCATTGCAAAATGGCAGTGTCTGTAGATTGTTAGTAGAGGTGTTGGGTTGGACATGACTGCTGTTACTGATCAGGATAGGTAATGCACTGTGCTTTCTTAAAAGAGCAATATTAGAAAACTGCAGCTTGATTGACAGCTCAGCATACTGAAAATCTTAATGCTAAATTTGTTTAAAAATATTTGGTGGAAAGACATTATAAAACTTAAAACTCAGGGTTCAAAATTTCTCCAGAATATTTTTGTCTACTCTAAGTATTTGTAGTACCAAAGCATAATTGGTCACCATTGCCATTTGAAACAGCAAATTACCTTAGTGTGGTATAATGGTGTCCCTCTGAAACCCTCTGGATATTTTAGCCACATCTGAAAACTCAGCATGTGGATTTTAAATATTCTTGAGAGGAAGATAGAATTCTGAGGCATAATTTTAGCTGAATTTGTATTGGTAACTAAACTCTCATTAAGATGGGTTGCCAGATTAGATCTGAGCTAGGGTGTAGCTGCCACACCTTTGTACCGTGTGTAGCACAAAGAGGTGCAGCCCTTGTGATCACAGAGTGTTCTAAATTGCATAATACTTTCTAAAGGCCTGTAGCAATCTCAGTGCATTTCTTAAATTCTATGAGTGCCCCCCATTTACTTTGATTTTATGTTGGCCTAACTAGATGGTTTGTTTCTCTGTTTAGTTTTGGTTGCTGGTTTATTTTGGAGAGTTCACACTTCACTGGGAAAGTTTTAAGTTTTCTTGTATAGAAATAACTTGGTAATGTTACATTATTAGACATTATTATAACAAACTCTTGATTATATGGCATCAGATAAGCTTGTTTATGGATTGATTGTAAAAACTCTGAAAAATGTAAATTCTTAGAAGTCATCAAAAAATAAACACATTAAAATAAATCTGTTATTTGGAACTCTATAGTAACCAACAAAGCCCAGATTCTCTCTATTGCACAGTTGGCACACTCTTTCCCCCTCAGAAAGGAAAGAAAAAAATACAGGTTTAGTATCTCTTATCTGGAATGCTTGGAACCAGAGTGTTTCAGATTTGGGATTTTTTCTGATTTTGGAATATCTGGTTATACATAATGAGATATCTTGGGGATGAGACCCAAGTCTAAACACTTAATTCATCTCTATTTTATACATACTTTGTAACCATAACTTGAAGGTAATTTTATACAATATTTTAAATAATTTTGTGCATGAAACAATATATTGAACCATCAGAAAGCAAGGGCGTCAGGCATCGAATTTTCCACTTGTGATGTCATGTTGGTCACAACAAAAAGTTTCGAATTTTGGAGCATTTCAGATTTTTAGATTTTTGGATTAGGGCTGCTTAACCTGTATATTGGAAAGGAACCCTATTCAGTTATTTTGTAGTGTTAACTTTTGAGTTAATAAGTCTCCTCTATTAGGATGATTTCTTTTAACTTGATCATAAGCATGCCTCTTAAATGGAGAGTAAAAAACAATAAAAAAAACTAAACTTAGAAAAAAAAAAAACTTGAGGACTTTTCTTCCTCCCTTTTTCCTCCATCTCCAGTCCCTCACTTTATGGGAAGGTTGTATCATGGTTTTTGGGTATGGATAACTTTATTAACCCACCATTGGTAGAATATGCACTGGAGTGGTAATAGATTGTGTTGAGACCATTAACAATTATATTTTCTCATTCAGTCCCTCTCCCACAACTACCAGTGATAGTTGTTGATGTGATTAGTGACCTCTATGGTCCTGCTACAGTTATGTATATCTTTGTACAAAGCTGACTGTATACTGGGATGGAACTTTGGGATAGTGACTTTGTTATTATCTTGTCACTGATGTTAGAAATAGGGACAGACTCTGCAGCCAAAAAAAAAAAAAAGTGAAACACAATTCTGTAGAAATGGAATTTTCTACACAGGAACACTGTTAGGAGGTTTTTCTTATATGTTCACTAGCATTTTGGGAGTCAATTCATTATTTTTGTAGAACAGGAGCGTGAACCACAGAGGGAAGAAAAATAAACCCAATTGATTCCAAGAATTTAAAAATTACTATCAACATTATAATAGTTTTAAAAATTGCATAGCTATTCTGATGTCTTCTAGCAATTAATGCCACCAAACTTATGGGAGAAGTCTTTTTTTCTCTCTCAGAAGTATGCTGTTTTTAGCATTTCTGTGCTTTAGTTTTTCATTAGTTTCAAGTACTTTTTCCTCTTTATAAAGTATGCTGTTTTACATGAGCTTTTCTATAAAAATAAACATAAGCAAAAACTACAATGGGTTTTTGTTATAATAGCTGGCTATTCTACTCATATTCTCTCTAAGATTCTTGAGTTGCTTTAAGCCAACAACCGAAATCCATTATTAGAATGTTCCCCCTGCCAGGTTTTTATTACTAATACATTGTTTATTTTTAATCATCTTTTGAATTATTGACTATTTTATGGTGTCTCATAATAGCAATTTCTATTTGTTTTATGTACTTCATAGAGTAGATTTTGTTTTTCTGCCTCACTCCATTATATATAATGGCTTAGCTTTGAAATCTTTGCTTGATATAGAGGATGTTAATTTGCTTTAACACATTACTATCTAAAATAGCTCAGGTTTTGTATGGTCTTGTAAAAGCTTTATCTCGAAATGCTCTGAAAGATGCTTTATTTTTTACTCTCTATTTAAAAAAGAAGTTTAAATTTCCTCCTGATATTCTTGTCTCATGCCAGGATATTAAGCAGATGCTCAGATTGGCTCAGCTAGGTGATATTAAAATGTATAGATTCAGATTTCAAAGCAATTAATAACTTTCACTCTGACATTATTCTTCCAATATTTTATTCCTACTCCATGACCTAAGTCTTCTAACGGTTGTTTTGCTACTTAATCTCTAGCTAATTATTTCTTTTCTCCTCATCCTGACTGCATTGAGTGATAGGTCTGTTTTCTGTAGGCTTGCCTGCATTTCTTAACTGAACCCCTAGAGTACTGTGTCCTATCCTACTCTCTTCAATTCTTCCCCAATGAGGCATGACCAAGAGATTGTTGTATCCTTAAGAGGCAAATTCTTAGAATGGAGTGGCAGATGGATATATAAGAATCACCAGTGCAGTGATAATGGAAATTCAACTTCAATTAGATTTTAAAGTTGGTTGCCTCCAAAAAGTCTAGAAGTGAATTGAATAGAGCTATTTGCCCTATTAGGATTTTGTTCCTTGCTACCAAGTTGTCAGGGGAGGTGATTACAAAATTGGAGGAATCCATGATTAGGAAATGATGATGATGATGATGATGATGATGATGATCATGGTGATGATGATCATTGCAGCCTACGTTTATCAAAACTTATTATATATTTGGCACTGAGTTAATTAAGCCTTTTATGCACTATTTTGAGCATCTGTTGGTTGTGCTTAATATTAATAAACTAGTTTTCTATTACTATGTAATAAATTACCACAAACTTAGGGGCTTAATACAACCCACATTCATTATCTTAGTTTCTGTGGGTCAGAAGTCTGGGCACAACTCAGTTGAGTCTTCTGTTTAGGTTCCCACAAGGCTGCAATCAAGGTTTGAGCCAGGGCTAGATTCTCATTTACAGGCTCAACTTAGAAAGGATCTGCTTTCTTGGTCTTCTGGTTTTTGGCAGTATTAAGTTTCTTGTGATTGTTGGACTGAGAGCTTTATTTTTTGTTGACTGCTAGCCAGAGGCTACCCTCGGCTCTTAGAGATCACCCTCAGTTCCTTGACATGTGGCATTTTCCAGCATGGCTGCTTGGTTCCTCCCAGCCATCCCTGGGAGAGAGAAATATTCCTGAAGGACAGATGTTACAATCTTATATAATGTAATCATGTACACTGATCATCAACAATCTATCATCTTTTCCATATTCTATTGCTTAGAAATAAGTCATAGGTCCCACCCCTACTTAAGAGGAAAGGATTATACAAGGTGTGACCACAGGGAGGTAGG
Source organism: Homo sapiens (assembly GCF_000001405.40). Taxonomy (NCBI): domain Eukaryota; kingdom Metazoa; phylum Chordata; class Mammalia; order Primates; family Hominidae; genus Homo; species Homo sapiens. The sequence goes on from NC_000020.11 coordinate 14,288,087, forward strand.
AATCAGGGGCATTACCTTAGATAAGGTACACCCTACAAGGTAGGGTGTACCTTGTACACCACCAAGAGATTGCTATTTGTCTTCCAATATCTTTCCTTCTTCTTCCCCACCTGAGAAATAGAACTACTAATTCATTATTAGTTAAATATATGGTCACCTGGAATACAGAGTTTATTCCCTAGTTTCCCTCGTAGCTAGGTATGGCCATTGTGAGTAAGTGTGGCAGAGGAGTAAGATAAAAGAGTCTAGGACTCTGAGGATTTTGTGAAGTTACTCTATCAGTTTTTTGAAGATTCTTTACTCCTGACTTCTTTCAGGTGAGAGAAAAATAAACTTTTATTTTGCTTAAGCCATTGTTATTTTTGGCTGTCCCTTGTAGGACACCTCCTTTAGACCCTCCTCTGCTGGCCAGCCCCAGAACAGGGTGTCTTATCCTGGTCCTGCCCAAGTGTGATCACCCTGTGGGACAGGAGCTGGTCTCTTCAGCCCAGCCTCTCCATGAGGAAAAGTTCACTTCTTAACACCATGGGAGGTGAACCCAATCTTAACTTTGTTCTTTTCTGTCATCTCTTCTCCCCTTTCCTCTTTTCAAGAGCCCTTCATTTCCATTTTGTAGTGTGTGTGTTTTTCAAGGAACTTGAAATCACCCCAGGTCCAGGTTTAAACCAACCAGGACATTCTGTTCTCTGACTCAGTGGTGAAAGCATGACATATGCCAGTCTAATCAGAGTGAATCTTAAAACATTTACTGAGAAATCGTGGCAATACTTGTATGTAGTGATAGTTCTGAGTAACCATATTTTCCATGCCAGCCGCCAATTCTGTCCTAAGGAGAAACAGACTTTACCTGACCCTTGAGCCTGTTGCTTGACAGAGATGGCTCATGGGACATATAAACAACCCAGCTACTTCCTTATATTAACCAATATTTAGGGGGTAGTCTAGGGGAAGCTTCCACACCAGCCCTGAGGTTAGAAATAGCATGTAAGGGAGGACTCAGAGAATTGCTCTGTCTCCTTGACTGCAACAGTATTAGTCATGGCTGACTCAGGTAGAACTGGGGGACTCTATTCAGTACAGATCTTAGAGACCATTGTGTGAGTACTAAGATTTGGTGTCCCTGTGCTTGTGGATTCATGCAGATGTCACAGGATATTGGAATGCTAAAGTGATTCATCCCGTTCAAGTAACAGATCCTTCCTAAATTGTCTATCAGTCTCCACACCTATAATCTTGAATTTATTATTACTTTAAAAAATTACAAAAGTAACCCTTGCTCACTGTAGTAAATTGAACAATACAAAGGTGTGGCCTCTGTGTAAAACAGATGCTTGCTTTCTCAGGAAGTCTTCTGCCCTTCAGTGTTCCTTTCACATACTCCTTTTAGCCTTACATTGATAAAATGTTTACTTTTTAAAAACTAACATTGATTCAATGCTTCTCATAGTCTGTTTGTTTGTTTTTGTTTTTGAGACAGAGTCTTGCTGTGTCACCCAGGCTGCTGGAGTACAGTGGCATGATCGCAGCTTACTGCAGCCTTGTTCTCCTGGGCTAAGGTGAACCTCCCACCTCAGCCTCCCAGGTTGCTGGGACTATAGGCGCATGCCACTATGCCTGGCTAATTTCTGCATTTTTGGTAGAGACAGGGTCTCACTATGTTGCCCAGTCTGGTCTTGAACTCCTGGGCTCAAGTGATCTACCAGCCTTGCCTCCCAAAGTGGTGGGATTACAGGTGTGTGCCACCATGCCTGACTCTGCTTTTCCTGTTCAATATTTCAATGATTACAGGGTTTTAAAATATTTTTGACCTAAACAAATAATAATTTATTAATTCCAAAATAGATAAAGTTGTCAGCATTCTGGAGATAAAATCAAAGTAAGGATTCACTAGTTTTTCCCCAGTAGGAACTTAACAGTTAAGTTAGGGCATGAAACGTTTAAATAAGTCAAACAGTGAGGGAGAAGGTGCTAATCATGCACTAAAGAAAGTGAAAAGGAAAGTGCATCTGTTTTTGGTTTGGCAGTTACCACCACAGCTGTTTTCTAGTGCTGTATGTATAAAAAGAGAAGGCAATGATTTGGAATGGTCATTACCTGGGTAACAAAATAATCTGTACACCAAACCCCTGTGACGTGCAGTTTACCTATACAGCAAATCTGCACATATACTTCTCAACCTAAAATGAAAGTTAAAAAAATTAAAAGATAGATACATAGTATAAAAAAGAAGTTTCTTAAAGGAGAGATGGGACTGAAGTTGGGTCTTACACCAAACAAGGGAGGACAGAGAGAATTGGGGCTGCTTTAAGAATCTTGGCCCAAAACAGAGCAGCTGTCCTCAGACCTACCTGAGCACCCAGGCCACAGCCAACCTCAGATCAAAAGGGATGGAATCTCAGGAGACTGACCAAGGTAGCTGTATTTTTTTTTTTTTTTTTTTGAGATGGAGTTTTGCTTTTGCTGCCCAGGCTGGAGTGCAATGGCACAATTTCGGCTCACCACAACCTCTGCCTCCTGGGTTCAGGCAATTCTCCTGCCTCAGCCTCCCAAGTAACTGGGATTAGAGGCATGTGCCACCACACCTGGCTAATTTTGTATTTTTAGTATACACAGGGTTTCTCCATGTTGGTCAGCCTGGTCTCGAACTCCCGACCTCAGTTGATCCACCCGCCTCAGCCTCCCAGAGTGCTGGGATTACAGGCGTGAGCCACTGCGCCCAGCTGGTAGCTGTATTTTTAACATGCTCTTTAGATAATTTCGTCTGAAGACTGGCATTTAGGAGTTTCTAAAGCAGGTGTGTCTTGTTATTAAATAAGCACAGCTGCTTGAAAATTAGTTTGGGAACATAATTTATGACTAAAAGTCTTTCCAAAAAATCAAACAAATGGTCATGTTCATATTAGTTGATATATTTGTTATTCCTTAAAGACATGGTTTTGTACATGAGTTGCTATTCTCTTAATTCTTAAGATTCTGTGGAATCATTTATTTGTACAAGTTGTACCAAAAAGGAAAACAAGAGTCCACAGAAATAACTTTTTTATCATTGATTGATTCATTCTCCATTTATTTGTTTATTCCTCTGACAAATATTAGATAAGACTAGAGTCAAAAAGGATAGAAATTAGAACAGGACATTCATCCAGTCCTAGGGAATTTTAGTAGAGATTATGTGAATTAAACACAAATTAATGTAAGGAAAAGTGCCAGAGAAGGGAGGGATTACTTTTAGCTGTGGGAATTTGAGAATCCTTTTAGAAACATTTTGAGCTTGAGATTTGGACATAAATGTGTGTAAAATTTGAGTATTTGGACACAGGTAAAAGATGTTCCAGACAGAAGATACAGTGTTAACAAAAGCCTCTGCATGGGAAATCCGTGGCTTCCCAATAGAGGAGGTTGTGCTCTTTGTTTTGCCTTAAGTGCAAGATGTGTGGTGAATGAGAGTGATATGAGTTTGCAAATTTGATAAGTATTATGTATTTGCCATAAAAAAGTTGAAACTGTGGCTCATGTTTTCATGATCAACAAGTTGAAAATCTTGAAGGGCAGAAAGTAGTAGCAGTAGTGAGCTGCCACCTTTATATGCCTTCACATTTGTCCACACCCTGTTAACATTCCACATGTAAGTACTGAAAAAGTACTGCACTGACTGTTTCTGCAGAAAGCACCACTTAATACCCTGAATAAAGCTTGTCTCTCATATTTTAGGAATGTACTTTTAATGCTTAAGAATTACTTTATTTTTCTCCTTACCTATTACGTATCTTAGGTTGGATTCCCTAGAAATAGACCCTAAAATGGCAATTTTTAGGCAAGTGGTTCACTAAAGGAGTGCTCTCAAGAGAGTCCTGTAAGACAGTGAGGAAAGCAGAATAGCACAGGGAGGAAAGCTAAGCAAAGGTGTAGTTTTCCCTGAAGTCTAGCCTTCATCTGATTCCAATGGGAGCTGTGAAGCACGAATAGCATCTCAGAATTGTAGGACCTACAGGCATCTTGTATTCTTCCCTTTTATCACTCATTCATTGCCTAAAGCTATCCCTGGAGGGAGGGCATAACCTCCCAACTTTTCCCAGAAAGGCAACTGAAGACAATTCTCTGTAGAAGGGTACAGCTCTTACTAGCCAACACTCATACAGCTAGAAGATGAAGCACTACAGGTAAAGGGCAGTGGTTCTCACCTGGGGGTAATTTTGTCCTTGGGAGACACTTACCAATGTCTGAAGATATTTTTAATTAATGTGACTCGGGGTTGGGTGGAGGTGGTGTTGCCACTGGCAGCTAGTGGGTAGAGGCCAAGGATGCTGCTGAACATATGCAGAAGAACTTTTCTACAACAAAGAATTATGCAGTCCAATTGTCAGTAGTGCTAAGGTTGAGAAACCCTGGGTAAAGGGAGTCTGAGTAGGACATCAACAGTGACTGCTGCACCTTTCTTTTTATGTATGCCCTGGGCTATATTTGTAAACTGCAGTAGCAGGAGCCATTCTTAAGTATTGACCAGATCAGGTGAAAAAAACTAAAAGCTCATTCATTCATTCATGCTTTTTGTTTTGTTTTGTTTTGAGATGGAGTCTCACTCTTGTCGCCCAGGCTGGAGTGCAGAGGTGTGATCTCGGCTCACTGCAACCTCCGCCTCCCAGGTTCAAACGATTCTCCTGCCTTAGCCTCTTGAGTAGCTGGGATTACAGGTGCCTGCCACCACGCCCAGCTAATTTTTGTACTTTTAGTAGAGATGGGGTTTTGCCATGTTAGTGAGGCTGGTCTTGAACTCCTGACCTCAGGTGATCCGCCTGCCTTGGCCTCCCAAAGTGCTGGGATTACAGGCATGAGCCACAGCGCCTGGCCTCATTCATGCATTTATTCAGGAGATGTTTCATTAGGTAATTAAAGAACACCTGCTATGTGCCAGGCACTAGGCTAAGCAGTGGGGATACAGAGAGATAGTATCCGCTCTTGGGAAGCTCAGAAAATTAAGAACTAAGAGACATCATAACCCAGTGACTTTGTCAAGTTTAAAAGAGAGAATATATATTAACACAATTTGTACAAACTTAAACATAAATATTCAATCATTTACCCAACAAATATTATTGAGCACCTACTAGATACCATATGCTATTCTAGGCACTGGAGATATAGCAGTGAACAATAGGGAAAAAGTCTTTGCCATCAAGTAGTATATAATCCAATGGGAGAAACAGCTAACAAACACTCAAATAAATATGTAATAACAATTTAGATAAAGATAAGTGCTTTGAAGAACTCAGAAGAAAAAAGTAGAATAGAGAGTGAATTGAGGCAGGGGCTGTGGGTGCCTTATATTAGTAAGAATGATCAGAAAAAGCCTCTTTAAAGAGATGACAGTTCAGGTGAGACCTTAATGACGAGAAGGAGTTAGCCATGTGAAGATCTGGGGGAAAAAGATCTATTTCAAGAAGATGCTTGGCTTCATGGAGAAACCAAAACTGTTGCTAGATGTGCGGGCTGGGGAGTGGTAAGGTGTGAGTTCAGAGAGGTGAGCAGGGACTGCATCGTGGAAGCCCACTAGACCACTGTAAAGAGTGTGGACTTTATTCTTATTGCAGTGGGAAGCCATTGGAGGTTTTTAAGGCAGCATTTTGGCAGATGTGTGATAGTCCAGCAAAGAGATCCAATGGAGGAAAATGATCACCAAGAAGGACATTATGTGCTTGCCAGCTGAGTCTTTGACCCTTCCCAAAGTGCATTATAGAGTGTCTTTCCATTTTATTTCATAACTCACTTTCCTAGGTAAAATATCTGCCATTGGAAGAGTATGAAAATATAGACATAAATTTAACATTACACCTTTTCCAGCAGCATTGCATTATTTCAAAAATGGTGAATGAATATTAGGTTTGAGTTTTAAAGGGCAGTGAATCATTTGTTATGCCCAAGTCCCAAATCGGGACACATCACTAGAAAGAGGAAGCCCATCAGATTAATGAGGAAAGTTAGATATTAGGTACCTAAACTGTATTTGGTGTAGTGTTTCAACCAAACCAAATCACTTTTAACCTTTTTATGTATGTAAGTCCTCATTTTGACAGATGTAGCAGCATAGGCTGAACAATTATTGAATAATGTATTTCTAGTTAGTTTGGGTGTATGCATGTGTGTGTGTTCATGCATGTGTGTGTGTTCATGCATGTGTGTATAGCACAGTGACTAGAGGATTGAATTTCTGTTAGGGGATAAATAAAAAGCCTACTAGATGAATAGTTTGTAGAATGATTTTTGAGAGCTGCTTGGAACCCAGAGTTTACAGCCTAATTACAATCTTCTGACAGACCTTTAGTGAGCAGTAATCATGAGGATAGGCTTGACTTGAGTTTGAATGGTACTGTTGTTTATTCTGCTGTTCACAGAGAGCAGCATATAAAATGGATTATTTTGTGTGTTAGTATTCTTTTATGTGTTAGTAGCTAATGACATTTTTGATACATTAATAGGAAGCTTGCCAGAAGCCCAAAGGAGCTTGAATATTTTGTAGGCAAGTAATTTATTTAAAAATTAGCTACGGCATAACGTGTATATCATAGAAGCAAACAACATTATTCCACTAGTAAAGAGTAGGCATTGAGATGCTCTTTTGATAGAATCCTTTTTTAAGAAGTATTTTCAGAGCTCATAAATTATAAATTTGGCAAATATGGAGCTCTTTTAAGTTGATTTTTAAAGTGAACCATATGTTTAGCAGGATTTCTAATTGCTGTAAATGTCCATTGATGAATAAAAATGAGTAAGCAAGTTTTCTTTTTTACCATACCTGGCAATTTTATTAATGTCTTACCTAACTGTAAACTCAATAGTAGCTGTTTCTGACACAGAAGTGTCAGAAACACTACTTCTGTGTCAGAAACAGCCAGTCAGTGGCTTCCCACTGACTCATCATCCAACTTAGTAATTATCAATTCATGGCCAATGTATATACCCATGCAATTTCACCCTTAACTATATTTTTGAAGCAAATCCCAGAAATTATATCACTTAGTTCATAAATTAATAGAACCTCTAAAAGATAAGAATTGGGTTTGTGTGTGCACGTGTGTGTTTTTACTATCACAATACCATTTAAATTCAGCTTGGAAACACTCTTTATTACTCTTGGGGAAGTTAGGAAAACGACTTGTACTTCTTTCCATGAAGGTTTAACTGCTGCCAGAATTTCTTTCCTGTAATAAAAAACTAGAAAATCAAACACAAAATATGTAACAACTGTTTTCAGATAGCAGACAACAGGCAATGTAGGACTGTGAGACCTGAGAGGAGGGAAATCAATAAGGCCGGCCCAACAATTGTCCCAGCTTCCTCTCTGAGGCTGATTTCAGGCCAAGGGGCAGGAAGGAGAACTGAAACAGAGCCCAGCCAACTCACTGAATTGAGGAGGCGGAGACTGGAGTTAGGGGAAACCCACTGGGATTTGCAAGACAGAATATCATTAGGAGGGGACTGTGTGGGGGGGCTGGGGGGAGTGGTAATACCTGGTGCTACCATTCTGTACCTTGCTCTTTTTAACTTAACAATGTATTTATTTATTATTTAAATGTTATTTGTAGAGTTTCCAATATGTGCCCACCCTGTTCTAGATGTTGTGGATGCAGCCTGCCTTCTGATGTATTGTCATCTCACAAGCAGTAGTTCCAGATTTCAGTCCAACTAGGAAGACACTGTGCGACTGAGTCTAGCACTAAGTTTACTCTATAGAGGATAAAACTTTTATTGCACATGTTACTGTCTCCTAGAACATTAGCTTTCAATATTCAAGAATTGTAGAAACTCATTAGGTATGCTGAGCTCTGGTCCCAAGTCAGAACAGAATTTTGAGGTACTATTCTTGGCCTGTCAATTACTCAGGCTGATTCTACTTGCACATCAATAGAGTAGTTTCATAATCTACTGTGATTCAATCTGTTGGAATCGTCTATCTATATGGAAACCTAGCTAGAAGGACATGTAAATAACCATGCATTTTCTCATCATAAAGCCAGGACCATGCTTATTGTAGTTTCAGTTGCAGAACTATTTTGCAGCCATGCCCATAGACTATGAGTCAGTTTGAACAAATTATCATATTTATAAGCTTGCTATAATTAATACTTAGGATACAATGACCTTGGGAAAATTCGATATCATCTGCTACATGTGAAGATATGAATATCTAAAGATTCAGCAATTCTATCCCTAGATGTGTACCCAACATATTTATATGTGTGCATGTGCATTTAGAGACATGTACAAGAAGTTCATGGCTGCATTATTCATAATAGCTCAAAACTTAAAACTACCCAAGTGTCCATCAGCAACAAATACATAAATATATTTTGGTAAATCATGTAATGGAACAGTACACAGCAGTGAAAATGAAGAAACTACGTGTATACATAACTTATGTGAATCACACAAATGTAATGTTTGCGTGAAAGAAGCCACACATGAAAATATGCATGGTGGGTGATTCCATTTGAGTAAAGTTCAAATACAGGCAACATTAAAGTATAGCTTGAAGAGATGCAAATTTAGGTAAACTATTAAGCAAAGCAAGTAAATAATTACCGTAAAAATGGGGATTGGAATTACTTTTGGTCAAAGATTGTAATTACAAAGCAGTGTGTGCTGCACTTCCGGGAGTGCTTGCAGTGTTCTTTGCCTTCACCTGGGTGGTGGTGTAAAAGTATTCATTCTAAAATAATTGATAGTTTTATATACCTATACACATATTTCATTTTATTGTCCTTCACTTTATTATACTTCACAGTTACTATACTTGTTGCAAATTCAAGGCTGATGGCAACCCTGCATCAAGTAAGTCTATTGGTGCCATTTTCTGAACAGTATGTCTTTCCTTGTGTCTTTCTGTCACATTTTGGTAATTCTCACAATATTTCAAACTTTTTCATTATTATTATATCTCTTATGGTGATCTGTGGTTAGTGATCTTTAATGTTACTATTGTAACTGTTACAAATTGCCGTGAACTGAGCACATATAAGATGGCAAACTTAATCAATAAATGTGTGTGTTTCTTCTTACTGCTCCACTGACTGGCTGTTTCCCCATCTCTGTCCCTTTCCTCTGGCTTCCCTCTTCCCTGAGACACAACAATATTAAAATTAGGCCAATTAATAACCCTGCAATGGCCTCTAGATGTTCAAATAAAAGGAAGAGTCCTATGTCTCTCACTTAAAATCAAAAGCTAGACATGATTAACCTTAGTGAGAAAGCCATGTCAAAAGCCAAGATAGGCCGAAAGTGAGGCCTCTTGTGCCATACAGTTAGCCAAGTTGGGAATGCAAAAGAAAATTTCTTGAAGGAAATTAAATGTGCTACTCCAGTGAACACATGAATGATAAGAAAGGAAAACAGCTTTACTGCTAATGTGGAGAAAGTTTGAGTGGTCTGGAAAGAAGACCACTAGCCACAACATTCCCTTAAGCTGAAGCCTAATACAGCATAAAGCTACAACTCTTCAGTTCTAGAAAGGCAGAGAGAGGTGAGGAAGTTGCAGAAGAAAAGTTGGAAGCTAGCAGAGGTTGGTTCCTGAGGTTTATGGAAAGAAGCCATTTCCATAACATAAAAGCACAAGGTAAAGCAGCCAGTGTCGTTGTAGAAACTGCTGCAAGTTATCAAGAAGATCTAGCTAAGACCACTGATGAAGGCCACTAACACTAAACAACAGGTTTTCAGTGAAGATGAGCTAGCCTTCTATTGGAAGAAGCTGCCATCTAGGACTTTCATAGAGAGGGGAAGTCAATGCCTGCCTTCAAAGCTTCAAAGGACAGGCTGACTTTCTTGTTAGGGGCTAATGCAGTGGGTAGCTTTCAGTTTAAGTCAGTGCTCATTTACCATTCTGAATATCCTAGTGCTAATAAGAATTATGCTTACTCTACCCTTCCTGTGCTCTGTAAATGGAAGAATGAAGCCTGGATGATAGCACATCTGTTTACAGCAGGTTTTCTGCATATTTTAAGTCCTCTATTGAGACCTACTCCTGAGAAAGAAAGATTATTTTCAAAATATTACTGCTCATTGACAATGCACCTAGTCACCCAAGAACTTTGATGGAGATGTGCGAGAAGATTAATGCTGTTTTCACACCTGCTAATACAACATCCATTCTGCAGTCTATGTATCAAGGAGTAATTTCTAGTCTTCGTATATAAGAAGTGCATTTTTCTGGCTGGGTGTGGTGGCTCACGCCTGTAATCCCAGCACTTTGGGAGGCTGAGGCGGCTGGATCACCTGAGGTCAGGAGTTCGAGACCAGCCTGGCCAACATGGTGAAACTCCATCTCTACTAAAAATACAAAAATTAGCTGGATGTGGTGGTGGGTGTCTGTAATCCTAGCTACTCAGGAGGCTGAGGCAGGAGAATCACTTGAACCCGGGAGGCGGAGGTTGCAGTGACCCAAGATTGCGCCATTGCACTCCAGCCTGGGTGACAAGAGCAAAACTCCACCTCAAAAAAAAAAAAAAAGAAGTGAATTTTTCTTAAGACTACTGCTGCCATAGATAGTGTTTCCTCTGATGGATCTGAGCAAAGTCAATTGAAAACTTTGTAGAGAAAGGAGTCACCATTCTAGATAAGAACATTTGTGACTCATGGGAGGAGGTCTGAGTATCAACATGAACAGGAATTTGGAAGACATTAATTCCAACCCTTATGGATGACTTTGAAGAGCTCAAGATTTCAGGGGAGAAAGTCACTGAAGATATGGTGGAAATAGCAGGAGAACTAGAACTAGAAGTGTATCCTGAAGATGTGACTGAATTGCTGTAATATTATGATAAAACGTACATGGATGAAGAGTTGCTCCTTATGGATAAGCAAAGAAAGTGGTTTCTTGAGATAGAATCTACTCCTGGTGAAGATGCTGTGAACATTGTTGAAATAACAATAAAGTATTTAAAATATTATATAAACTTAGTTGATAAAACAGTCGCAGGGTTTGAGAGGACTCTAGTTTTGAAAGAAGTTTTACAGTGGGTGAAATGCTATCAAACAGCATCACATACTACAGAGATACCTTCTGTGAAAGGAGGAGTCAATTAATACAGACAATTTCATTGTTGTCTTATTTTAAGAAATTGCCACAGCCACCCCAGCCTGAAATTGATGCAAGACCCTCCACCTGCAATAAGATTATGAGTTGCCGAAGTCTCAGACATTTATTGGCATTTTTAGCAATAAAGTATTTTTTAATTGAGATATATACATATTTTAAAGATATAAGGCATATTGCATGCCTAATATACCTCAATGTAGTATAAACGTTAACTTTTATATGTACTGGGAAACCAGAAACGTGACCCACTTTATTGGCATATTCTCTTTATGGGTGAGGAGTTGCTTCTTATGGATGAGCAAAAAAGGGTAGTTTCTTGAGATAGAATCTACTCTTTGTGAAGATGCTGTGAACATTGTTGAAATAACAACAAAATATTTAGAATATTATATACACTTAGTTGATAAAGCAGTGGTAGGGTTTGAGAGGACTTTTGGTGGTCTAGAACCGAACCTGCAATGTCTCTGAGGTATGCCTGTACATGGGAATTATTTTTTAAATAAAACTTAAAAACAAACCCTGACCATAACTACTTAACCTGGGAATTTTCTGAATATTAATATTTGCAAAGTACCTTTCAGTGTAGAAGGGATAAGATTACTTGTGGAATCCTCTGAACAGAAAGAAGAGGCATCTGACCCAAGATTTAATTTCTTACATAGTGAAGGACTTCCTTTTGATATATACAGAGAAAGACCAGTTAATTGAGATTCTCGTATTCTAAATTTCACATTTTTTTTCTGTGTTAGACTCCTGTATTTATTCCAAGAAGCTCGATAGAATAATTTAGGATTGTAATGTCACATGCAGGTGCAATGTGACATTTCTGAGTCATGCCTTGGAGCTGACAGTACAACTTTTCCCCACCCCCATCCATAGCTTTTTACCTGTTTCTAAGGTTTTCTAAATCATAAAGATGAGGCTACTGATAGTTTGAGTGAGGCTTATCAAATCCTGTAGCTTATTACATGGAAGAGATGGATTTCACCTAGAAGTAAAACTTTCGTTTACTGATAATGATAACAGCTAATGTCTGTTACAACATCGCTACCTCAGAGATTTTATTATGTATCACACATTCTTTTATGTGCATACTTGCATTAGCTCATGTGAATCTCACAACTATTCACAAGTATTATTTCCATTTTAGTAGTGAGGAAACTGAGACCCAGAGGAGTGCCTTGAAAATAGATGTGTTTGACTCCAAAGCCCATGCTCTTTATTGCTGGGATACTTTATAATGCTTTCGTTTAGTTCAGGGTCGCAAAAGAAACAAAGCTCTTGGGTTTTTGTTGTTGTTGTTGTTGTCGTTAATGGTACATTTATTTCAAGTGGAAACTTTAGAAAATTGACAAGCTTTTCACTCATGTCTCACTGATGTCTTCCATGTGCCTTTGAGTCTTCCTTGGCCAGTCACTTATGTTTTTAAGTAGGATTCAGAATCAGAGGTGGTCACACCACCTACCTCAAAGGCTGATTCAGCTTCGGACTACATTTTTGGACTAATGTTTAAGACTCAGCTGGGCCAGGCTCAGAGTCCATCCTGTGTTTTCCACATCTGATTTCTTACATAGTGAAGGACTTGCTTTTGATATATACCTAGAAGCAGCCATTGAATAAAAGACCTTGGATGTAATGCAAGAGAATGGGGCAAGCAGAGGAAATAGTTGAAAGTTTGTAGTGAGCCATCATTGTCACATTAGACCTTTGTTTAAAAAATGTATCCATTGTTAATATTTCTACTTTTACCTAAAGTTAGGTGACAGTTATAAGGAAAAGCTGTGGCCGTCTTAATAATAGCTAAGATATATTGAGCACTTAGTATGTTCCAAGAACTGTTACAAGACTTTTTACCTATTAATGTAGTTAACACTCGCCACGATCCTATCAGGTATGTATTCTTAATTCTCCTCATTTTCAGAAATGGAGTTGGAAGCACAGAGCAGTTCCTAATTTACCTGAGATCACACACCTAGTAGGTGGTAGACTTAGGAGTTACTCAGGAAGGCTAATTCTAGAACCCACACATTTAACCACTATGTCATGCTGCCTCTTCTTGAGTTGAAGAAAGATTTGCATGTGAATATACTTTATATTTTTAAAAAAATGAAAGGTGCCATGGCATCTCAGGTGGGAAAAAATAAAGAAAAAATAAAAAATGAAAGGATATCAAGTGTTGGTGGCATATTGAATCCTTTGATTTATTTCAACATAAACTATCTGCACTGGTAGAAAGACATTTATAGTTTGGTCGCCTTATAGGTTATAAGGCAATAAACCTCATACTGTAAGTTTATAAGACTGCCAAGCATTTTCCAAACTCCTTTCATGTCTATGAACCACTGAACAACAAAGATCAAGTATGAAAAAATGTTCTTTTGAATTTCCCTAAAGCAAGAACATACTGAAATGAATGGTGAATAGTTGGTTCCTTGTCATTCCTTGATCAAATAATGACCTTCGTGTCTATTGATTCTCACTTTTCTTTTGAAAATAGAGTGTTTTTATTCTACCAATGATTTAAACTAGAAAATTATTATTGCTGTCCCCTTAAAGCATTACATTTTTTTTAACTAAAATGTCTTGATGTTATTGATTTAACCTGTTTCCCTCTTTTGAAATAGCTGTGTAGTCCTCTTAATGTATACAACATAGATTTCTGGAAAGCAATTCATATATACTTATAAAATATGAATTCTATTTTAATTCAGATCTTTTATGCATAACTACTGTGAAATCTGTAAGTTCTCTTGATTTCCTTTCTTTGGATTAAATCTTTTTCTTATAAAAATGTAGAAAACAAATTTTACCTTTATTAGGATAGATAGAACTATGTACAGAAAGTACAGTATATAGTTTTCTGTTGCTATATAATTACTACAGAATTACTGTCTTAAAACAACATGCATTTATTATCTCAAAGTTCTGTAGATCAGAAGTGTAGCTGGCTTCTCTGCTCAGAGTTTCACAAGACTGAAATCTAGATATCATCATGCTGGGCTTTTATCTGGAGTCTCTGGAGAAAAATCTGCTTCCAGGAGCATTCAGATTATTGGCAGAATTGAGTTCCTTGTGGTTGTTGGACTGTACTCCCTGTTTTCTTGCTGACTGTCAGCAGAGAGCCGCCTTTAGCGTCATGCAGCCCTCTCCATCTTCAAAGGCAGCAATGACTTATTAAATCCTTTTTAGGCTTGGATATTCTCTGACTTCACTTTCACTCACATTCAAAGGGAGGATGTTATAAAAGAGTGAAAATCATTGGAAGTCATTCTTAGAATTCTGCCTACCACAGAGAGGTAGCAAAGTATTTATGAGTTTGGTACTTCCTTGAGATTTGATATTGACAAAGCCTGAAATAGGCGACTTGCTTTACATGAGTGATTTTAATGTCCTTATACCTATTGATTTTTCAAAGGGAGTACAGCACTTTTAAATTTATTATTATTCTTGCTTATGTTAGAATTCAGACTTGGAAGTGTTTTTTTTGTTGTTGTTTTTTTTTTAGACGGAGTTTCACTCTGTCACCAGGCTGCAGTGCAGTGGCGCGATCTTGGCTCACTGCAACCTCCGCCTGCCAGGTTCAAATGATTCTGTTTCAGCCTCTTGAGTAGCTGGGATTACAGGCGCGCGCCACCATGCCTGGTTAATTTTTTGTATCTTTAGTAGAGATGGGGTTTCACCATGTTGGCCAGGCTGCTCTTGAACTCCTAACCTCATGACCCACCCGCCTCGGACTCCCCAAGTGCTGGGACTACAGGTGTGAGCCACCGTGCCTGGCCGGAAGTTATTTTTAAAGTGGTGAAAGTATAAAATTATTTTGCATTCACTGAAAGATTGTTAAACATTCGTAAAGAAGGTGGTCTTCTAACCCTGATTCCAAAGTTCCTTCCTCTGATGTCAGTGGAGAGGTGGAGCCACTTACTATGGCTTATATTTATGGTAAAGGCAGAACATGTTGAGAATGAACTGAATTTCACAGAGAACTTATCTTTTCAATTTTCTTGCTTTAGGGTCACATAGCTTTGCTATGCGGCATTTTTTCAATGAAACTGACCACCAGCCATTTCTTATAGGAAATGCACAAGGCCTCAGGCAGCAAGCAACAGCTGAGGGGATCAGCGGATCTTTTAATCTGCCTGACGCTGGCCGTAGAGTCCTTGCAAGCATCCACCACGCCCCAGAGAGCTTGTTTTCTGAGGTGGTAGAAGGGCCACATCCACAGTATTCACATCCCTTAGATCCTCTCTCTGGGAAGCCACAGTGGTGATAAATGTCGAGAAGAGCAGTTATTCTCAGGGTATATGACCTCACAGCCACCACAGCTCATCTCTGCTTTATTTGGCTTTCATTCATTGAAGAGACAGATTTTGAGCAGGAAGTACATCTTGCAAGTACTGTCTAATTACTGATTACCCTCTTTCTGACTCCACCATGTGAGAAGCCCTTCAGCTGACCCGTTTCCTTTATAACTAGTACTTAATATGCATCAGATTTGTGCCTTTTTAAGTTTTATAGTCTTCCAGTTCTGCATAGTTCCAAATATGTCTCTTTAGTGAATCAAGCCTCCCTGACACCACTCCCTGTGTCTTCCAACCCACAGCCCCCAATGCATTTAAAGGTACATTCAGCAGAACAAAATTTCCCAATAGAGTCATACAGTGGCTTATTCATAGTGCACACTGGGGGTCTTCTAATGAAGGATAGAGGGCACTTGTGTCATGGTATCTTCTATGATTCTTTTGTGTCAAATTCAACATCTACATTAGTGCCCCCTTGAAATACCATGACCTCTTAGCTCTACAAGTCTAGTCTTTTATCATTTACCAGAATGAACACATTTTGAGTGTCTTTATTATTCTGTACCACTTTATTTCCATGATAAAGAAATGAGAACCCCTTCTTTATGTCTGAGACCTTTCCATTCTCTTACTACTTACGAATGCAAACTTTCATGTCATCATACTTTTCAGGTAAGAAAATTTCCATTATTTCTAATAGAATTGATGTCTAGATTATTTTAATCATGACTACCTATCCTTGGACACTTTATGTTTATCAGAGCTCTCTTTCAAAGGCTCATCTGAACCGAACATAATATTCCAAACGTGTTCTGCCCAGCCCAGAGCAGTCTAGACTGCTTCCTCCCTTGATGTGTGGATTATACTTTCCCAGGTTCAGGTAGTATCCATTCTGTCGCCAGAAGACAAGTTAATGAATGTCTAATGAAGCCAACCAGTATTTTTAAAAAGAAGTCTAAGATTGCCTTAGAATATTTAGTAGACATACTGTGCCTCTGGTTCAGACTGAAATTGTGGTTGACTAAACTCCCCCACGCTCATTTTCTTTGGTTTGTTTATTTAGATCATTATACATTGATGAATTCCACTTCTCCACAGCTTTCAGCTTTAATTCCTTCTTGCTTCAGGTTATATCCAACAGTTTATTATTTCAAAAGCTCTCTGTTAGCCTTTTTAAGTACTCTTATCTCTGAACTCCTAGTACTGGGTCAATCCAGCCATCTACTCCACACCTAACCTCAGGCTGCTGAGAACTGCTGTTGAAAAATCACACACCTTATTTTTGTCTTTGTCTTTTTTATGTTTTTTTTTTTTTGGTCTGTATAAAATAAGATTGATTACTTTTGCTAGTCAGCACCATGATTTAAAATTTTGATTTAAACTTGATTAGCTGCCCCATATTTTCCTCCTAGATTGTAAGCATGTTCCTTGCTCTGGGACTTTGCGCTTGTGATTACCTCTGTCTAATGCTCTTCCACTAGTTGAGTAATTTTCAGTCTTGACTATATATTAGAATCAATGGGGACTTTAAAACAGCTCTGATGCTCGGCCCCACTCCAGACCAATTAACTCAGAATTTCTGAAGGGTGGGACCCAGGAATTAGTTTTGTTTTAAAAGATCCCCAGGTAATGCTACTGTGCACTAAGGTTAAAAGTCACTACCCTATAAAGATGCATGCTTTGCCTTCTCACTTTAATTGGTTTTAAGCTCAAATGATCACCACTTTAGGGAGGATTTTCCTGTTTATCTAAAATATAGACCTCTTTCACTTTCTATTCCCTTCTCCTGCCTTATTTTTCTTCACAGAATGTATCATTTATTTACCAGGTAAGCTATTGTTGCTTATTCATTTCATGTGTTTGCCTTCTTCTCACAGAATATAACCTTCATGAGTGCGTACATATATATAATAATATACACATTATGTAATGTATTATCAATGGTGATTAGAACCAAAAACACAAAAGAGTGGAAGAGACTGACTTGGAACAGTATATATAGAGAGAAGAGGGCCTAGAATAGAACCCCAAGGAACTAAAACATTTTGGGAGCCCATGTGGTGGTTACTCTATTTCTTGATTGGTTTAGTTCACTGCCATAGTCCACCATCTATAGTAGAGCATGGCATACTATTCAACAAAGTTGTTGAAAGGAGTTCCCCAGTACTTCACCATTTTCCTCAACCTCCCAAATAAATTTTCTTTTTCACTCTTAGAATATTTTTAAATTGCAGAAAAAAATAAAAACTGTCTAATGAAAATTCTTTAACATTCTAGTCCCTTTGACCAAGCTTATAAAGTGCCCATGTATCTTTTTTCGTATCTCAGAAAATTGATTCTCCTGGTGTTTGGGGGAAAGATTTTGTTACATATTTTTTTTTTGTTTTGAATTCCTTTATTTTGGATCCTGTTCCATTCTCTTCATCTTAAGACTTTGATCTATTCACTCTCTCTCCTTTATTGGTGCCTTTCTTCAACGTGAGTCTACTTGTGTTTCTCCCATTTAAAACTAACATTCTCTCTTCTGTCTCTCTTGCTTTCTCTCTCTCCCTGCTAAATCCTCTCATTTGTCTTATCTCTTTTCATTTTTAAACCTCTCTATCCTCTCATTTCTACCCCTGATGCTTCAGCAAAAGTGCTCTGAAGTCAATAATGATCTATTTTTTTCCAAATCCAGTGGGCACTGTTCATTATTCATCTTTCTTGACTTTCCCTCTATTAAGTTGGGAATGTTGTTAACTTCTCCTTTTGAAAATTCTCTTCTTTCTTGGTTTCTGTGATATCCCTCTCTCTTAAGTCTGATTCTACCTCTAAGGTACAATCCTTGGTAAGAAAGTCATATGTGTCATTATTCAAGTTATTGATAAAAAGCTTGAAAAAATTCAGGCTTGAGGACAGGTTCTGTGTTGTGCTGTTAGAGACCCACGTCTAGGTTGTTGCTGATCAATTTTAGGGGTCTGTTATTCAGTCTGCTGAATAACATGATTATACAGTCTGTGGATCTCCATCTAGTCCTGGAGGATATAATTAAAAATTGTTAAATGTTTTAATGAAATTATGATAAAATATAAATCATACAGGATTATACCTCACAGTAACACAAATTTTAACATAAGGCAATTGGCAATTGATATTTAGGGGGTCTTCAAGCCAGCACCTCATTCTCAAACAAGGATAAGCTAAAATTCCTATCTTCTAGGGAGAGGACAAGTTGTAGAGGGTAGCAAAACATCAGACAGCTAGGATCTTAAAAATAGAGAGGCTGAGAGCAAACAAGATCCTAATATTTTCTCTTTTCAGTGTCCCCAGATTGGTTGACAAAGCAAAGATCAATTGTATATGAGGCCATTAAATTACTGCAGCTATCCCAGGAGTGCCAGTTAGCCATGACCCAGCATTGTCTTCTTGTTTAATTAAGCTAGAGGAGCAAATGCCACTATTTGATACCAAACCATAGTTGGACTTGAGTTGGGTGTTGATTGCTGCAGCTAGAACATAGGTATTCTATACGCCTCAAAGTGTGAACCGTGGACTAAATGTAAACACACACACACACACACACACACACACACACACAATTGACTGTTGAGAAGAAAAATGAATTTTATTAGTCAGAGAGGGAGGTAAAGTACAAGTATAAAAGTTATGGATGACTTACTGATAATTGCTTACCATAAATTTGAAAACTTCAGCATAATCTGAGAATGAGATGGCCTCCATATTAATTTAATAAAGTTGACATTAAACTTGAAATATTAATTCAAAACCAAAAGGGACCTTTGTATGTGTGGTTCTGAATTTTGGTTGGGGAATAGAAAAGGAATCTGAATGTTGACCTAAACTCATAACATGGATAGGTGAGAGACAGTCACTTCTTTACCTTTCATTTTTTCTTCACTATGGATTTGATAAAGAACTTTTGAAATTTTTTTTACTACATTGGAGGATGTTATGGACTTCATTCACTTTTTCTTCAAGTAAAATTTTGGTAAATATTCAGTTTTTTAAATTGGTTTGAGAAACTATTGCTTTGGGGCAAAGTCTAAAATAACAATTGTAGATCTCCTTTTAGAGCTATGAAATTTGAGGTTAATAAGTTAATGTTTCAGAGGATCATAAAACAGTAAGCTGAGAAGAAAACTAAGATTTTCCAACTTTCAGAAGACACTCCATTTAGTAAGCCCTATGTTGTCAGATGTTGCCTGTATTTCTGAGTGAGAAAGAACTTTTAATATTACCAACGGTCTTTGAAATCTTTTGGAAAAAAAAGCAGACAAATTTTTTCTAATTTAGCTTTATTTTGTAATTCATTTTGGTAAATTATTATTTGCCTCCTTTTCTAGATTTTTCTTTTCTAGCATTTGAATTATAATCTCAGAGGATGTCCTTGATAGTGGAAGTATGGGGTTATTTGTCATGTCAGTTGATAATTACTTTGGATGATCTTACTGAAAGCTAAAGTTGATTGTGTTCATCTGCAAAGCAAACAATTTTGACAATTAAGGCATAAAAATTGTGAGTGTTACATATAGCTGTTCCAACTATAATGTGTTGATTAGAGCTGTTTCATGAATCTTTCTCAGGAACAGTCTGAGTGCTATATACTGCTTAGAAAGAAAATACAGAGTCAGTGTATTTGCTCTCACAATGTGCTGATTGCGGCAGCTTGCCCAGAGCTAAACTGGCTGTAATAAAAACTTCTGGATTGGAACATAATGATGGCATTTATGTTATTTGCCTCCTGCACTTTATAAACCCAAGCAAACAGCTCTCAGTTTGAGAACCTCAGAAAGATCTGTCATTAGGTATGGCTGAGTTTCCTTATGTCGATTCTTTGAAGAATATGTCAGCTGAAGTCTTGCAGTGAGCAGTAGAATATGAATCTTACGTAGCTGAAGGTGCTAGATTAAAACAGCTTCCATCTTCTGACTTTGTCCAGATCATTTTATTGAACTCAGTTTGATAGATGCCTTTCTGTGAGGGTGTTATTATTTTTAAAGACTCATAGTGAGTTCCTGGACCTTTGGATGCATATTGCCCCCTAAAATAGCATGAAATCAGGCAAACTGGACTTATTATTAGCATGGTACTTAAGAAAATTTGAAAACAGTTCAAAGGAAAATGACTGAACCCATCTTATACATGCAGTATGTTTTAACAAATCAATTGTGGATTAGCTCTAGGAAGTGGCCGTGTTTGTGTACATGGAAGGCCACCTAGATCTCTGCCACATATTACAGTGTCTGTTCACAAAATTGTCCCTTTTTGAATTCATAGAACCATCACTGGGAATAGCAGTGCCTCTGAGTGCCTACTAAGGAACAGTTGTGGAGATAGGCCAAAGCTAAAGAGAGAATAGGAAAGAAAAAATAAAGATGGAGGGAGTGGGCAACTGGAGATGGAAAGGGTAAAGGATGAGTAGCAGTGGTTATGTCCTGTCTCTTAATAACAATCTAATGGAAGAGTTGGCTTTCCTCTTGCTGAGAAAGGATATGCATTTTTCATATGCATATGCCACCCTTCACTGGGTTTCCTGTGTATCTTTGGATCATATACCAGATTAACAGGAGTTCTTCATTAGTACCAGTGAAGCTGTTATTATCATCACTTAGCCTTGCTGCTGTGGACAATCCTTTTGAAGATCTACATTTGGAAATGGCACGTGGAATTTCAGCTCTTTTATAATTTATTTCTTACATTATTTTTTAATGAATAAAATGAGGATTACCCAAGACCGAGGGACAGTATGATTCAACCTCTTCAAGGAAAAAGTTTTTAAATGGCCTTACTATAATATTCGAATAACTTAGACCCTTCACGTAATTTCCTTAAATGGAGGAATTTAGTCCCTAGTTATGAAAAGAATACAGTACTTTCTTTCTAGAAGACTGGGAAAGTCAGAAAAGTAAAAAGAAAAAAGTGCACCTATAATCTCACCACTCAGAAGTAACCAGTCAGGATTAGATATAATAGTCCTAAAGTGCCTTTGTATTTTCTAAATTCTTGGGGCAGTGGATAACTGAAAAACCTGAAGTTTTGTGCCTGTTCCCTCGGGTGATATTCTAAGTAATACCTGTTATATGTTTTAGTTTAACTCATGTGTCTATGGACAGTAATATTTGAATAGCTATAATGACTATGTTTAAGTCTATTTTATTCCAAATTCACGCATTTAGCCAGAAATTCTCTGACCAGGAGAATAGAGAGAATTGCCTAATGATTTCTCTATTTTACCTAATGATTTCACTGTATTAACTCGTATCTTAAACAGTAATAACTATACAAATAAACAAAAAAATGGACAGATACATAACTTCTTGACCACGTTGGCTAATGAAATTAATAATGAACTATGTTGAAAACTGTAAACATTTGCTATGCTATAGTTTACAAGTGTTCTCCATTTAGTAGAATATCAGTGCTATTTTTATGTTATTGTGCTAGTATTTCCTACACAATTGTTTTGCGTGTGTTTCTACTAGCATATAGATTCCAGACTCTTCAGTTTTAGAAGTTTCAGCATGTATGGGGTACGTGTGTGGTGTGAGCATGGGGGCTTGCTGGAAAGGAAGTTATTTCCTCTTATCTTTTCTTGAAAAAATTCAGATCCATGCTTGTGCTAATTTTACTCAAACTATAATTTGTTTCTAAAAACTAATGTTCAGAAGGATCAAGGAAAAGTAATGATTATACCCTTTAATTTTTGTAGTTAATTTATTTGAATGTTCTAAAATTGTTAGCATTTTTAGCCCGTTAACAATGACAGCAGTGTTGTAAATAACTGTAACAGAGCTCTTGAAGAACCAGACCTCTTGATTAACAGGACCCTTGATCCTACACTTAATGAACTCCTCAGGATAAAAGGTACCATAAAATTACAGTCATGTGCTGCATAAGGACATTTTGACCAATGATGGACTACATATACAATCATGGTCCCATAAGATTATAATGGAGCTGAAAAATTCCTATGGCCGTCATAAGGTCATAGTGCAACGCAGTACTCGCGTATTTGTGGTGATGCTGGTGTAAACAAACCTACCATGCTGCCAGGTGTATAAAAGTATAGCACATACAGTTATGTACAGTACATCATCCTTGATAAGAAAAAATGACTATCTTACTAGTTTATGTATTTACTATACTTTTTTTTATTTATTTATTTTTAAGTTAACTGTAAAACAGCCTCAGGCAGGTCCTTCAGGAGGTATTCCAGAAGAAGGCATTGTTGTCATAGGAGATGACAGCTTCATGCATGTTATTTAGTGGGACAGGATGTGGAGGTGGAAGAAAATGATATTGGTGATCCTGATCCTTTTTAGGCCTAGGCTAAGATGTTTCTTTGTGACTTAGTCTTTAAGAAAAAAGTTTAAAAAGTAAAAGAAATGAGTTAATTTTTTTTTAAATAGAAAAAAACTTATAGACTAAAGGTAGGAAGAAAGGAAATATTTTTGTGCCGCTGTACAACGCGTTTGTGTTTAAGCTAAGTGTTAGTATAAAAGTCAAAATGTTGAAAAAATTTAAAAGTTTATAAAATGAAACAGTTACAGTGAGCTAAGGTTAATTTATTATTGAAGAAAGAAAAATATTTTTAAAATACGTTTAGTGTAGCTTAAGTGTACAGTGTTTATACAGTCTACAGTTATGTTTAGTAATGTTCTAGGCCTTCACATTCACTCACCACTTACTGACTCACCCAGAGCAACTTCCAGTCCTCCAAGCTCCATTTGTGGTAAGTGCCCGATACAGGTGTACCATTTAAAAAATCCTTTATGTCATATTTTTAATGTACCTTTTCTATGTTTAGTTATGTTTAGACACACAAATACCACTGTGTTACAATTGCTTACAGTATTCAGTATAGTAACATGCGGTACAGGTTTGCAGCCTAGGAGAAGTAGGGTATACCATATCCTAGGTGTGTAGTAGGCTATACTATCTAGGCTTGTGTAAGTGCACTCTCTGGTGTTTACACAACAATGAAATGGCCTAGCAATGCATTTTTTGAACATATCCTGTGGTTAAGTGACACATAACTGTATGCATATCTTTTTTTGTTTGTTTTTGAGACTGAGTTCACTCCGTCACCCAGGCTGGAGTGCAGTGGCGTGATCTTGGCTGACTGCAACCTCTGCCTCCTGGGTTCAATTGATTCTCATGCCTCAGCCTCCCAAGTAGCTGGGATTACAGATGCCCGCCACCATGCCTGCCTAATTTTTGTATTTTTAGTAGAGACGGGGTTTCACCATGTTGGCCAGACTGGTGTTGAACTCCTGACCTCAAATGATCCACCCCCCATGGCCTCCCTAAGTGCTGGGATTACAGGCGTGAGCCACCGCACCCGGCCTGTATGCATATCTTTGTTGAGGACGTTCTTCCTTTCTGTTTACCACTGTTACCACCCAAATTATTTCAATTTTTAAGAGTAGGTTTCTTTTCCAATTAACCTTTGTACACTGTTTTGTGAATTATACTATAAAATATGCTCAAATTGCCCTCAATCAATATTTGGTACTGATAAATAATAAAATATTTTCTGAGTAACAAGTCATTTTCAAAATTCTCATTTTCATTACATAATATTTATAATACAATAATTCTCTTAGGTGGATGTGACTGCTAGATATTCTTCTCCGGTTCTGTGTTTGGGCACAGCTTCAACTGACTCAGGGATTCTTAGCCTGCCTAGCCATAAGACTCCCCTGGAAACTGATTATGCATACAGATTCCAGGCCTCACCCCTCCACCCCAGACCTGCTCAGTTACAATCTCTGGGTGACTTGTATCATCAGACAAGTCTGAGAAACTTGAAACTAGTGAGGCTGCACTGGGAATTTGATCAATGCGTAATTGCATGTTGGTGTATAGGAAAGATTTATGGATGTGGATTGAATTGATAGTGTTCATTTACTTTTATCACTAGTCAAACATCATAAGAGAAAACTGCTCTCCTACTTTCTTTAAATTTTAGCTTCTATGAGACTTCAGTTGAGGTAATATAAAAATTATTTTTTGAGCACTACCATGTACAAAGCACTATTCTAATGTTTTTCATGTATCTATTACTATTAATATAGAGAGACGAAATAATTTGCCCAGAGCCAAATAAGTAACATATGGGAAAACTTGGACTTGAACCTGAGAAATCAGATTTCAGAATCTACACAATTAACCCCTGCAATATATTGCCTATAGCCACCAAATCTAAGTATGTATTAATGTGTCAGGCACTACTATATTAAGTACTTCATATACTTTTAGTACTTTTAATTCATTTACCAATTCTATAAAGTGGGATTACGAAAGGCAAATTCAGAGATATTAAGTATTTTGCCCAGAGTTGCCCTGCTAGTAAGTGGTAGAAGCAGTGTGGTTTGAAATTGGGGTAGCTCAACTCCAGAACTCTTTTCACAACCACTATCCTGTACGCCAGAGTGGCATGTTTGAAAACACTCATACTTGTCATCCCTTCAGTATTTTATATAAATAGTATTAGCACCTGAGTGGTTTTCTGTAAGCTAATTATATAACACTTCATTGTCTACATTTAAAAATGTCTACATTTAACATCTACGTTAAGACACTTTGGTGTGTACATTAAATTTTTAAAGAGATTCTACAGTATATTATAGAATTCTGTCTCTGAGAAAGATTTGAATATAATATATTGGTCACTCTGTTATCTGTCATAGGCTGGCTGAAGGAGAGATAAGGATTAACATACTTTCAAGGAATTCTTAACCCTCTAGTTTTTATCATTAAAGGATAGTATAGTTGGTGAATACTTGCGTATTTTGTGAACATTTGGTAAGCAGTTGCACTTAATTTCCTTCACTTGAACATTAAATATTCCACATTTGTTCTGTCCCAAGTAAGCTATTCTCCTTTACTTTGAAATGACTTATAAATTTACTTTCACACAATTATTAAAGATTTACTGTAAACTGCTGCTTTCCCCCTCCTTTTTTTTTTTTTTTTGTCCCAAAATGAAGGTGAAGTGTTAATTGGTTTTAATGGCATCTATGGTTACCTCTTTGTCTGGGACTTCTAAGGAAAAGCGAAGAATTGGCAGAAAAATGTGTGAAATTTGTCTGGGGAGGTGAGAAACTTTAATGTGCTTGTGAATTAGTGCACTTCTTCTAGGTAAGACTATTGCAGCATAATAAATATTGAAACGGAATTCTCACTCTTAGACCTAATCCTTTAAGTATATTAGTAGACATCATAGAAGAATTTTCTGAAGAAATATGTTAACTAAGTTTCTGTAGCTGGAAAAGATCAGCCCTTGATAGACTATGAAATAAGAATGTCTTGTGTAAACATACATGGACAACCAGTGAATAGACTGTCTCTCTCAAGAACAAAGGCATGCTAATTTGGATTCAGAACTAGAAAGAAGGAGCCTGGATTTTGCAACATGCTGTTATAGTTAAATACAAGACTATAGTTGCCTGAGACATGTACCTGGCTGTTAACACTTT
Source organism: Homo sapiens (assembly GCF_000001405.40). Classification (NCBI taxonomy): domain Eukaryota; kingdom Metazoa; phylum Chordata; class Mammalia; order Primates; family Hominidae; genus Homo; species Homo sapiens. Next base: position 14,313,952 of record NC_000020.11, read on the forward strand.
TTCCCAATAAAAGTGATTCTAATACCAAGAGTGGCTAATTCATCTGAAACACTGTTCCTGGTGCTTATACACTGATACATTTTAGTAACTCTGTGCCTTTGATTTAATAGGTAACCATCTAGATAAGTGTTCTTATTTAACAAAAAAATGTACTGGGATTCTGGAAAGCTCAAAGAAGACTTCTTTACCATTTTAACAGCTTTAAGATAACTAATCTTTTTTAAAAAATTATTATTCCTTCTGCATTTTAGCAGTTGACATTTCCACTTGTACCTTTACCAGAAGGCAGCAGAGTAATGTAATGAGCCCAGTTCTGTGTTGGGGGAGAGAGAGAAAAATATGGCTTTGTTAGCATTTGCTTCTGTAAAATCAATTCAGAGTACAGTGGGACAATAGAAATGCAAACAAAGTCTGTTGATTTGTTTCTACACTTCCCTCTTTTTGTCATTCCATATTGAAGTGTCGGTTGTATTATAAGATACCAAGAAAATGTTTTTTTATCATCAAAGACAAAAACAAAATTTTTTGGCCGTGGGCGGTGGCTCACGCCTGTAATCCCAACACTTTGGGAGGCCGAGGTGGGTGGATCACCTGAGGTTGGGAGTGAAAGACCAGCCTGACCAACATGGAGAAACCCCATCTCTACTAAAAATACAAAAATAGCTGGGCAAGGTGGTGCATGCCTGTAATCCCAGCTACTTGGGAGGCTGAGGCAGGAGAATTGCTTGAACCTGGGAGGCGGAGGTTGGGGTGAGCTGAGGTCACGCCATTGCACTCCTGCCTGGGCAACAAGAGTGAGACTTCGTCTCTAAATAAATAAATAAATAAATAAATAAATAAATAAAATTTTTTAGGCACTTTGAGCCATTAACCCATACCCGTGAGTTAAGTCCTCTACTTGAAATACATAATTTTTTCCACACAATTAGACAGGCATTATTACTACCTTATTTTACAGAAGGTGAAACTGAGGCTTAGAAAAGTTGACCAAGGCCATATCCCAAATAAGCAGCAAAAACTGGAAAGCAAACCTAGGTCTGTCTAATTCAAAGATAATGCTCTTAGTCATTATCTCAAATATGAATTGTATATATAATTTAATAGTGTTCTGGTGTATTTTGTTTTATGTACTTGGAGTCAGCATGTCACAATAAAGAGCAAGATAGAAAAGGCAGGAGATCTGGAGTCAAGACACTTGGATTTGGAATCAACTTGTTTGTTGGAATTCTAATTCTACCACTTATACTGTGTTATATTGGGCAAGTTGCTTTAACTGTTTGAACTTTGGTTTCTTTTGTGAACTGGGAAGTAAGGGAGATAATGGATATGAAATGCTTAATAAATGGTCTATGCTAATACTCTACATTTGCAGAGTGGCTTACGGTTTACAAAGAGCTTTCACCAAGATTGTCTCAGGTAATACTTAGTGATATAAGTGTTTGAAGTTCATTCATTCTTTTATTCATTCATCCAACAAATATTTTATAAGTGTCCACTAGGTTTCAAGCATTGTTTTACAAGTTGGAAAGATTTAGCAGTGAAACTACAGGGAAAAAAAGACTCTTGTTTTCATGGAGTTTGCATTTTAATGAGGCATATAGATAATAACACATAAGCAAAATATTAAATATATTAGATAATAACAAAGGTAGCATTTAACTCTTATATGGTAAGCACTATGAGCTAGTAGTTAGCTTAATAGCTAGAAGCATATTGTGATTCATAGATTAGCTACATGATTTTCCATTATAGACAAACAAAACCTGTAAAGTACTTACAGTTCAACTACAAACTTAAAAAATTGTATTGTTTTAAAACAATTAGGGGATTTAAAACAATTAAATGTTGGTACACATCACCAAAATTGGTGAAATATCTTCTAGCTTTAACATTCTATGATATATTGGCTAAAAGCATGGAGTAAATATGTACCTCTTATACCTGTCTGTCTTTATGTAGGTCTGGCAAGTGTACTCTGAATATAACATAACAATAATTCACAGATTTTTTTAAAGATTATTGAAAAACACAAAATAATCTTGGCATTTGTTAACTTTGTAAGCTAGTCAGTATTCTCTTGAGTTGTATGTCTCAACTTCAGCGCAAAGCTAGGAAAAAGCTTCAGTGATCTGAAACTTCCATTCTCTTGTACTATGGCTCTTAAGAAGATGCAATGGGATCATGAGCAGATCTTGTAGGGAACCCAGACATTAAGGTTATTTCTGTCTACCCTGAGTTTAAATTCACTGAAAGCTACAAGAAAGACAAGTGTTACTTTTAGGGTAGTTGACAGCCATTGACTATTGATGACTCCAAGTCATCATTCAGCATCATGGGGCAGAGGTCTGTAAGTATTGGAAGAAAAAGTCACATCTCCCCATTAAACGTTTTGAGATTTAATCCTGAAAATGCTTTCTAGTTATCTCAGTAAAAGGAAATAATCTTTTTTTCTTGACTCAAACATTAAAAAATTTACTGATGAAGTATTTCTGGTCAGTGTTTAAGACAAGCTTGTCCAACTCATAGCCCATGGGCCACAGGCAGCCCAGGATGGCTTTGAATGTGGCCCAACACAGATTTGTAAACTTTTTTAAAACATGAGTTTTTTTTGTGATTTATTTTTTATTTTTAGCTCATCAGCTATCATTAGTGTTAGTGTATTTTATATGTGGCTCAAGACAATTCTCCTTCTTCCAATGTGGTCCAGGAAAGCCAAAAGATTGAACACCCCTGATGAAGAAGTTAAGAGCCCAAGCTTCAGTAACAGAATTCTTGTTCTACTACTTACTATTTAAGAAGAAATCCATTATAGCTTCAAAATATTTTGAGCATCTTTCCACCTCTCTACTCACCACCACTATTCTGTTCCACACAGTGTTTCTCCATACAGTAGCTAGAGTGACCTTATTACAATTGAAATCTGACAGTCTGATCCCCACACCTTCTCCTCCTCTTTTACTTACTTCTCCTGCTCTCCACCCCCTATCTTCCCCTTATTCCTCCCTGCCCTCTTAAAAACTGCCCGTTTTCTTTCTTTTATGCTAGAATGAAGTTCAGACTCCTTATTCAGGCCTACCTTGCTGATCTCACCTACGTCTTGATCACTGAGTGTAAGTCACCTGAATTCTTCTAATCCTTAAACACATTAAGCTGATTTCCTATTTGCAACTTTAACACAGCCTGTTTCCTGTGCTCAGAACACTGTTCATTTTACTCTTTACATGGCTGACTCTTTATCTCTCGGGTCTTAGGCTTTCTCTTACCACCCAATCTAAGTAGGTTCTCTTGTTATGCTCACTCATAGCACCATGTTTTTCTCTTTCATGGTACCTATCATAGTTTTTCACTTTATATTCCTTTGAGTTTTGTTTAATATCTGGATTCCTGGGTGGGCACGGTGACTAATGCCTGTAATCCCAGCACTTTGGGAGGCCAAGGCGGGTGGATCACGAGGTCAAGAGATCAAGACCATCCTGGCCAACATGGTGAAACCCCTCTACTAAAAACACAAAAAATTAGCTGGGGGTGGTGGCATGCACCTGTAGTCCCAGCTACTTGGGAGTCTGAGGCAGGAGAATCGCTTGAACCTGGGAGGTGGAGGTTGCAGTGAGTGAGCCAAGATTGCGCCACTGCACTCCAGCCTGATGATAGAGTGAGACTGTCTCAAAAAAAAAAAAAAAAAAAATCTGGATTCCTGTCCTCCCCCAACCATAATCTTCATGTCTTTTTGGTCTACTGCTGTACACCCAACTCCAGCCACAGTCATTGAACAGATACTCAGTACATCATTGTTAAGGTTGAATGGATAACAAATCTCTATGACCTTTCGAAGTCTTAATTTGCTTTTCTGAAAAATAGGGATAATAATTCCTATCTCTAAAGTTATTGTGTGAATTAAATGAGATTAAAAGATCTAAAATACTTAATGCTGGGCTTGACAAAGTCTTCAACAAATGGTAGGGTCTGTAGCAGCAACAACGTAATCAGCAGGCACTTATTAAGCCCACTGTATGTGTAAGACGTCACTAATATTTATAGAACATATTTTAGAAAGAGAAACTTTTTTTAGACTTTTGTTTAATCTAGCCTTTTCTGGGTATATTCATTAACATTGATCCCCATATTAAGGAAATTAAAATGCGAGTTTCCAGCAGTGATTCCATGCTTTTTAATGGAACATTGATATGAACTAGCCTCAGTTTTATGTTGTCACAATTATCAGAGCCCCCAACATACATTCAACAGGGTATTACTTTGTGTAGTAATTGCCTAGACTATCCTCCCTCCACTCCAGCCAGCTGGCATTGAAAAAGAAGCACTGCTTTTATGTGTGCACGTAATCAATCTGTAAAATCCCATTATCCCCAACTTCCACACCCCCGTGGCTGCATGCTTCCTTTTGAAGCCTCTTAAAAAAGAAAAACTTTGAAGGCAACCTTGAAGTTTATTTCTAATCTCATTCTAGCCATATAACATAAAAATGAGATAGGGGTAGGGAGTGGGAGGGGTTCATAATGTGATTTGCTTACCTCTTTGCCTGGAATCTTATGATACTTGTAGGTAAGCCCAGTGAAAGTTTACATGAGTAAAAATACTTCTTCAGTGTGTATTTTGAGATAAAGTTGGATTTAATTCTGTTTCAAAGTGTGAAGAATAGAGCAAGGTTAATGTGGTTATTCTTGTTCTTCTTTTAATCTGTTCTTAATGTCTATACTATTTAGAATAAGAGTTTCCACCCACCTCTTATGACCAGCAGCCTGTGTAACTGATTATCTGTTAGAGTCCTAGGTGCAATGCCCTTCCCACTCTGCTTTCCTGTTTCATGTCTGTTTCTTTCTGAGAATATTATCTCCCTTCTGGATCATTTTCTAACTGCTTTTACTAGGCCACTGCAATCTTTTTCTTTTGGGTTCCAATTTCCCATGTGATTGGCATTTTTCTTAGCATTCTTCCCACAGTCTTGAAGTAATTGACGTTTTTGCTTGAGGATGACCTTTCCTGTTTCCTCCATCTCTAGAAACTACCAACATTTGATTAAAGTAGGGTAGGGGAGAGGTGTGGGATGTAGGTAGGTAATCTCAAAAATGTTTTCTCCAAACATGAAAGATGTGACTATGCTTCTGTCATCATTATTCAAAAACATTTATTCTGAAGTCTGTATTTTATATATGCATCACCTAATCCCATCATCTTCTCCATCCTCTTCATCTCTGGGACATTTCCCCATCTTCCTTAGAGCCTGAACTACAAACCTTACCTTCATACCAACTCATTCCATCTCTCTCAGTGACTTTGTTCTCCTAGCTAGTGATTCTTGTAAAACTGTAGCTTCTCGGTCTTTATTTCAGGCATCCTAGAGCCACAGTCATGGCTTAGGCCGCACCTCTTGGGCATCTCAACTTTCTTTTCTCCTATTAAATATTCTTCCTGTCTTCATTGTAGATTCCTCTCACTATACTCCCATCTTCTTCCTCAGGTTGATATATCTCCCTCCTGGTGTTCACTTCCTTTTTTTCTATCTTGTTCCTCCCCATGACCCAACAAGACCCCTTCACCCTCTTAACTTCTTGAAAGAGTAGTCTTAATCATTGTTTCTGTTTTCTTTATCTCCCATTATCCTGTCAGCACCCTAGAGGCTTTTCCCTCATTACTCTGCAGACGCTGCTTTCATAATCCCCAAGGGTCACCTCATTTTTCATATTCAGTGGTGACCTCTTCTATGTCTTTACCCTGATAACATTTTTGACATCCTCCTTTTTTAATACTTTCCTTCCTTGACTCCATAATATTTTCTTTCTGTGATTATTTTCCCTCCTCTGCAATCCCCCCCTTTTTGTTTGTTGTTTCTTTGATGTGGATTCTTCTTCTTCCCCTGCTACAAAGGGTAAGTTCTCCTTTGGCACCTCTTTTCTCTCTGCTTATTTTCTGTTGATTATCTCATCCGCCCTCTCAATGTTAATACTCACCTCTTAGATGTGGTTTCCCTTCCTGATGCTGAGGATATGTCCCCACATCCTCCTTTGTAACATTCTGTAGACATGTCCAGAGGGATAATGTAAACCTAAGGTCATGTTAATTTATTATCTAAACTGGGTCACTGTGGAGGGTTGAAGAGGGCACTATTAATAATTAGCAGATGTAAACCTGTACTGCGCACATAGTCACCTGTTCAAAGCCAACATTTACAAAATACTCTGAAATCTGTTTCTTCTCAGTTGTTTTCCATCTTTATTAATTGCCTCACCAACATTCTACTTACCTGTGCTGAAAATCTTCATCATCTTCAATATTCTACTTTTTTTACTGTATCTTTTTAATTAAAGCTTTCTTTTCTTTATTTCTTTTTTGACCCCATTCCACTGGCAGTGCGCTGTTCAGGCCCTTATTTCCCCTTGCCTGAAATACTGCATAGCCGTCTAACTTGTCTTCTTGTTCCCAGTTTCTCCCATTCATCTTTAAGCAATATTTTTTATTTTTATAAAATGTTGCCTGAAGTGCACTGATCATTTATATACCTGCTTAAGAGTCATTGCCAAAGAATATCAATGCAGACTTCTCAGCTTGGAATTCAACACACTACAAAGCCTAATGGAAAATATACCTTTCCAGTCTTACCTCCTTCATGGACCCTGTATTTCAGTTGGACTATTGGCCTTTATCCAAACACCTCCTAAATCAGTGGTCCTTGACCACATCATAATCACCTTTGGAATTTTTTTTTTTTTTTTTTTTTTTTTGAAATGTACATGCCTAGCCTTCATCTGGGAGCTTTTAATTTAGTAAGTCTTTACTGGGGCCTAATCAGACCCCAATAAAACCTCTTAATAAAAACCTCCCTCAGGTGATTCTGACCAAGGCCAGGGTTGAGAAACATTGCCCATTTTTATTTCTCGATAATTTTGGTCACATTTTTTCTTCATAACCAGTATGTGCTTTTCTTTAAATTCCTTCTTACCCTTCAACACCTATCCTATCTCCTTCATGAGGTCTTCCTTGAGCTATTCAAATAGATGTAGTTGTTTCTTCCTTTTTACTGCAGAGCAGTGAACGGTCACTGCTGTTTATGCCTAATAATTGGTAGACAGCACACTTCTTGAAGGCAAGCCATCTGCTACTTATAAAAAAGAAGCCAGCTGGGTGTGGTGGCTCACGCTTGTAATCCCAGCACTTTGGGAGGCTGAGGTGGGTGGATCACTTGAGGTTGGAAGTTGGAGACCAGCCTGGCCAACATGGTGAAACCCCGTCTCTACTAAAAATACAAAAATTAGCTGGGTGTGGTGACGCAAGTCTGTAATCCCAGCTACTCGGGAGGCTGAGGCAGGAGAATCGCTTGAATCCAGGAGGCACAGGTTGCAGTGAGCCAAGATTGTGCCACTGCACTCCAGCCTGGATAACAGAGTGATACTCCATCTCAAAAAAAAAAAGCCAGTCAGTAAAAGTCATTGACTAGTTAAGAATATTTGTAGAGAACTTTGAAGTTCTTAAAAAGTGATTGATAAGCAGGAGTTATTTTTTGCTAATTTAACAAAAAGTCCCAAAACAAAAAGTACGGTGTTTGTAATTCTAAGACTATGCTAAATTAAGATTTGTTAATCATGCTAAGAAGGAAAAAGGAATTAGAATTTTAAATGCTGCTACCATTTTCAGCAGCAATGAACTAATAGTACATTCATTGGTGGATTGATTCCATTAACACTCATGCTTCAGATGCTTTAGGGCATGTAGCTCTCTTTGGATTCCTCATGAAATTGTCATGTTGGCATGTAGCTATAAAATATGCATTAATCAGAAACTGTAGTTACTAAAGCCAAGTTCTTTTCACTAGTTTGTTTGGAATAGGGGAATAATACTTTTAATAAATCGGCCTTCCTGTAAGATAGAGCACAGTGTCATTTTTAATAGGGAGCAAGAATAAGTGCAGTGATTAAATGCAGTTACAAATGGCTGCATCTAAAAACAATTTTTGATTTTTGTCAAACATTTAGCAAGGGAGTAATTTTTTTCCTCTAGTTTTTTGTAGCTTTCCCAGTTTTTTTTTGTTGTTGTTTTTGTTAAAGTTATATGCTATATATTCAGAATTGGATTCTTTTTCCCTATAAATTTGTTAGTACCTGATTTGGAATTTAGTCTTATTAATATCATTTAGTTTGGGATGCATGGAAATGTATGTATAATTATTGAGTGCCCTTTAAGGTGGAGACTTGTATCTTGATATTCTATTGAAATATATATATATATATATATATATATTTTGTATTTTGCAAAGCAACTGGATTTTATAGCAAGCGTAGGTAAAGAAAAAACTTGTATCCTCTTGGTGCTCTGTGTATTTGCTAGTATAAAACATGTTTCTGATTTATTCCAGGCAACATAATCAAAAGGTGTATTTTAGAACATACACAAACTTTTCTATGCTCATGAAAGGTATACTGACTGGAAAATATCAATATAATCTCTTTTTTTTTTTTTTGCTTTTTATAAACTACAGGTTTACAGAGACTTTATGGAGACATCCAGTCCTTTCCCTGACTTCTAGCAGAACTATAGCTTAAACTACTCAAAACTTCTAGAAGCAAAGTCAAACTTCCTTCAGAAACATTCCTTATGTTTAATGTTAATCACATTCATCTTTTAAGTTGTCCCTCGAAAACAACCATAATGGGAAGCCAAAAGACAGAGTGTTGGGAAACATTTTGAAGACAGCAAACAAATAATTAATAAGATTTCATAGTCACTTGGAGATATCTCCTTGTCAGTAGAGGAGTAAAAGGAGCAGTATCTAGTAAAACTTGGGAACAGATGGCAAACATTTGTTGACCATAATAATAGTAGTAACTTGTATTTTGTAGAAGATTATACAGTTTCCATGCACATCGTGTCATTTAATCCTCACAAAAATGAGGGTACTATTAACCCCCTTTTACAGATATGGAAACATAGCTAGGAAGGGTAAGTAGTTTGTTTTTAATTGCATACCTAAGTGGTAGATCTGAGATTTCAAGTCTTTTGATGCTCTGTGTGGAAAACACAAACTCAAAGTGTGTATGTGTGTTTAATTCTCTCATTCAACAATAATCAACATAGAAGACTTGTCTTAACAAGTTTTGCCCCATACACCACGCAAGCAATCAGTTCTTCAGCAGATACCAGCTGGGTGTCCTCCAATTCAGTTTAATCCCAACACTGTCTACCTGGAAATTGTGTCATATCCCACAGGTTGAGGGCTTATTCCCACAAAACTGCCTCCTCTTCAGACACCAGTTGCAAGACTAGTCAGCTTCAAGTTTGGTTTCCCAGGATCCCCTTTTTGTGTTCTATTAATTTGCTACAACAGCTCACAAAATGCAAGGAAACAGATTTACTGACGTATTATAAAGGATGTTACAAAGGATCCAGATGGCAGGAAACATAAGGTGAGGTCTAGGTGGGCACAGAGCTTCCATGCCCTCTCCAGGCATGCCATCCTGCAGGAACCACCACATGTTCAGCAATCTGGAAGCTCTCCAAATCTTGACCTTTTGTTTTTTTATGGAGGCTTGATTACATAGGCATGCTTGATTAAACCACTGGTCACTGGTGATCAACTTAATCTTCATCCACTTCGCCCTCTCTGGAGGTTAGGGTTTGGGGTTGTAAGTCCCAACCCTATAATCATGTCTTGGTCTTTTCAATGATCAGACTTTATCTTGAAGCTACCTAGGGCCTGCCAGCTATCAGTGAACTCATTAGCATATGAAAATATATCACTTTGAAGATTGCAAGGATTTTAGGAGTTGTATGCCAGAAACAGGGACAAAGAGAAAGTGTGTATTTCACAGTATCACAAATGCCAACTCACTCTACTAAAAGGCTATTTTAAAAAAACAGTTTTTCAAAGACCACCTTAAAAAGTATCAGGACAGTGGCAGCAGTGCGCCTAAGAGAGAAAGGCTTTGAAACCATTTCTTAAATTTTCCATCTATACAGTGTATAAGTAAGAGGAAATACATTTATACATGAAACACTGAACTCTTTGAAGTAAAATGATACACAACCTCAAGATGTTGATTTTTTAAAATTTTTAGCCAACTTTTATTTTTATGCCTAGAAAAATACATGGGACGTTTAGGACTAATGTGCTGGGCAATTTGCTACTTAGTGATAGTAACACAATCCTGAAAAAGCAAGCACAATTATTCTGTACTTTTTAAAAGTTTTATTCAGCAATAAGACCATAATTTTTCATATTTAAGGAGTATGAAAAATTTGTGGAGTTTTAAAAGCTGAATACATGTAGCGTTGGATCAAGGCACATACAAGACTGGCCAAAGGGCGTACAATGCACTTTGGTTTTTTGTTGAAAAAAAAAAAATCATGGCAACAGAAAAGTGATATGGTTTTTCAACAAGTAACAGCTCACAATTCAGTAGGAAGCTAGAAGGAAATGTTACATTACGAGTTCATTATATAATATCTGGAAAATTGTGACAGTAATGGGCAGTATTCTTGATCTTTGTAAAAGTAAATTGAACATTTATGTACAGTGTTAAAACCTTTGACATAAACCAGATCTAAATTTGATGTCTAGTATTTATTTTTCTTTAAATTATCTCTTATTTAAAGAACTACTTTCTCTGGATTGTTGAGGGGAATCGCTTATAATTACATTACATTTTTAATATGCATAAAGTTTCTCTGACATCCTTTATGATAAAAACATCATAAACACTAACAATTTTGTGTTTATAATTCACTTTTCAAAAATCAGGATGGTATAGGCAAAACCAAAATGCAGTTTTGGTATTTGTGTTCATTACACTATACAAGTCTAAGTTTCCATGTTTTCCTAAGTACACATTTTCCCCCCAACTTGGAAGCACATTTACATTACCGTTTTTGTGAAGTCCTTTATTTTCAAAGCTTTGCTGACAATGGCTTTAACAGACTTCATGCTCCTTTTATGCCAGCTGATGTATTCAGTTCAGAAGATATGCTTAACTTTTTTAAGGATAATTAATTTGCCTAGAGCAAAAATGGAGATATGCAGGAAGTTTGATATTGCCCATTACTTCACACATTTTGATTTATTGAATACCACTGGGATAATACAAATTTAATAATTGGAACATTATTTCATAACCATTTTTTAAAATTAAATTTTATCTCATTCAGCCATTCAGCCAGTTTTTTTTTTTTACATTTTATTAATACCAAAGTGAAAAATGGCCTGTGCTTATACTACAAGGATCTCATATGAATGCAGTCCTGATTGTTCGACACAGCAAGAAAATTCACTTTCACAGTCAACAAGTCATCTTACTCAGTAGAACACAAAGTAAATGGTTTATAACTCCAATATTTGCAAGGAAAATACAGTACAAATTACTAAAAAATACTAAAATATAGAATTGTGTTCAGGCATCTCCACTACATCAATCGCAGCAGTAACCTGAAATTTGAAACTTTTAATAAAAAGTTCTTAAATATAAATTATATGGCAAATGTACAGTACATTGCTTTTTTTCAGTCTCTTTTTCCAGTGTTTTGCAGTAGAACAGGGTTCCTACCATCACCTCCCTTAGGTTTAAAAAACCCAAAACACAAGTCTGCTGTGAGTCCTTCAGCATCATGAGTGTGAGTGATCTGAGTCTGGAATACCACTGTCTCTGTAGCTTCGGTTACTACTGCTTTCACTGTGATTGTTTTTGTACAGATTCATTCCATTAGGAGGAAATATGGTGTGTATTACAAACTCCTCCTTCGAGATGGGTTCATTGCTTATTGGTAACATCTGAAAAGAAGTTTCCCTGATTTCCAGGATAGAGTTGTCCTTCTTAGTGCCAGCTTCTGCATAGTCATCCTTTCTTCTCCTCCCTTTGCTATATGCACAGTTCCTTGAGAAGAGCGATCCATTCCTATGAACATACCAACACACTAAAGCAAGAAGGGCAATGGTAACCAGGGCCACAGCCCCACCAATGATGGCAGCCAAAGGTAAATTGGGGTTTTTGTAAGGTTCTTTCTCTTGCTCTCGATTGAGGGTGGTTGTAGGGTTGTACATTCGAAGGGGTGCAGTTTCAGTCTCAATACAAACAGGAGTTTCATCAAATAGGTAGAGGTTGCTGGTTTCCATGGGAACCATGCATACTTTATAGGGTGAATCAGGCTCCAGGGCTGTGACCAAGTACTCACTGCGTTCCCCTGTTACAATTGTTTCTGTTATAGATCCAAATGCCGGGCTATGGCCCAGTTTAAGCCAGCTGAGTCTCAAAGCAGTCATAGGTAGAGCAAGTTTCCAAGAGATATGAATGGTATCAGAGGTGACAGACTTCACAGTAATTGTAATTGTTTTTCTTGAGGGACTCCCTGTGGTTTGGTGATCCTTAGTGAGCTTGGGGTTCTTAATATCTGGCTGTTTGGTCACTGGAGCTGGCCACTGTCCTTGGGCAGGATACACTGTGTTGGGTATTGCAGTGGTTATCTGAATGGTGCTTACAATCCCACTGTCCTTACAATCAAACAGTTCTGCATTGAGATCCTTAATAGCCATCCCACGAACCTTTTCTGGGGCTTGGCACATGAGCCCACGCACGTTGACCTTCACAGGTAGTGATTGTAACCAGTCACGTACCCATTTCATCTTGCACCCGCAATACCAGGGATTGTTGCGAAGAATCAGTTGTGTTATATTGTCCAAATCATCAAAGATACCCTGAGGTAAATTACTTAGGTTATTATTGGACATATCCAGTCGATAGAGCTGCCTTAGATAAGAAAAAGCATTTGGGGGCACCCGATTGATGTGGTTATCTTGAAGATAAAGCTTCCTCAGGTTTGTGCCTGGAAGGTTTACTGGTGCAGCAGTCAGGGAATTCCGCACCAGGGACAGCTCTGTCAAATTAACTAGGTTGAAGAAAACTTTGTCACCTAAACCATGATTGTTCAACAGGTTTCCATCTAGAACCAGGCGTTTTAGACTAGTGAGACCTTGAAGAGATGGTGATGAAATAGTGGATATGCGATTATCATCCAAGCGTAGTTCTTCTATAGTCCTGGGCAAACCCCAGGGAATTGTGCTAAGGTGATTACGGGACAGGAAAAGCAGTCGGAGATAGTTGCTGTCTCGGAATGCTCCCTCTTCTATGCTAACTGCAGAGACAGAGTTGTCATCTAAATGTAATTCTTCCAGATAGGGAATTTTTGAAAGTGAATCATAAGTGATAGTCCTTATGTTATTTTCTTGCAAATGTAACTCTTTTACATACTTTGGGAGGTTGGTAGGAAATTCATCTAAACTGTTGTGGTATAGGTATATTCTTTCTACTTTCAGCAAGTTTTTCAAATCTGAAGGAATCCCAGCATTATTTATTTGGTTGTTCTGAAGGTAGAGAGTTGTAGCATCCTCTGGTATTCCTGTTGGAATGGATGTCAGAAAGCGATCATTACAGTAAATGAAACCCGCATCGCAGCGACACACAGATGGACAGGATTTAGCCATAACTGATAGAGGTGCTACTTGAAGGAACAGCCCAATTTTAGTCCCGATGAGGAAGATGCTCCAGGCTGCGCTGATCATGGTCAGCAGTGTTGAGGTCTTTATACAAGGTAGCTTCCGTTACTTCAGAACCCTAAAATGAAGTGAGTAAAAAAAGACAGAAAACAATAAGGCCAGCATACTGAATATAATGTTTAAAAACAAATGTGGAAACTAAAATATCCATAATCACTTTTAATATTTTCATTTGTTTTGGGAGGGGGCATAATAGGGTTTATTGCTAGCTAACAATAGACACTGTCATATAATCTCTTTACCTTAATGGTTTCTTAATTTCTTTATAAATTAAAAAGTATCTGTCCTAAATCCATTTGATTTTGAAATATTAAATATAATTGAAGTTTTATTGAATAATCCAAAGTATTTTAATTATACTTTATATCAACCTTTAGACAGTCACTGATCAAGCTAATTGAATATCCATTTCTTACTTAATATTCATAATAAGTAACACCTTGGAATATTATTTCTTATATTTAAAGGTAATCATTTTACTGTTATCAAAAAACCACACATTTTTATATTTACTTTTTATTAGGCAAAAACTATACAGGTGTAGAAAAATGTCATAAAAATACCTATTCTCTTCATACTCAGGAATAGTTACACACATCTTGAGATCCTCAATCTCAAACCCATAGTTTGCTTTGATTATTAATGTCATTTCATTTTCTTTGGTTATTAATTTTAAGCATTATTTTAAATGGATGGATTTCTGCAAGAAAATAAGAATGATTCCTTCATTTATTTTTGGGAAAGAATTACAAAGCTAATACATCCAGCTAACCTAAGTGGAAAATTTCACTTCATATTAAATTCTGTCTTTCTTCTGTTCACATTTTGTTATATGTTTCATACTGCAGGTTTTAATGACTTTGTCCACATTTTTCATTATTTTCTACCTCATAACGTGTTGTCACAGTGCATTTATATTTCTTTGAATTCTAACCTAGAACATAAATCAACTTTTTCTATGGCTGGCAAAGTATAGATTTATACTGATGTATTGTGTAATATAGTCTCTTCTGTCCTTTTAAGTATTAATTAGCCTTTGTAATTTTAGGCATGAAAATAAAATACTTTGTTTTTCCTACCTTATTGAACGATGTGAGTAAATTTTGCGGGGGTGAATATCCAATGCACATATATTATTTTCCTGGTGAGGGACTGGGACTTATAAACTTTTGTTTAGTCCTTGGAAATGTTCTTCACCGTTTATTCAAGTAATCCTATGGCGTACACACCTCCAGATCAGGCTTGCTGTTGTCAATGAACATTCCAGCTGCAGTTCAGCATGGTGGGCAAGCTCATTAAAGTGGGGGCAGAAACAATTCTGCTTCCTGTTACTATGTAGGACACATGGCTTCCTATGTATTTTTTTTTTCTTTCTGATAGAGTTTCTGTGTGAAAGTTCCTTTTGTGTAGCTTAATTCCCTTAGTGGAAATTGCCCTCTTTGAAATTCTTATTGGCTCTTCTGTGCAATGTGGTCAGAGATAGTAACTTCAGATCCTCATGAAGAAAGTCATTCATGATGCTAAGGCCTGTATAGTAATAGGTTTTTCAGGCAGTTACCCCCTACCTTTATTCCCATCCAGGATTATCCAAGTATAAACTTTGTACAGTAGCTACATCCTGAGGTATGATTACCTGCTGTGAAATAGCTATTTCCAGCTTTTGCTTCTTGCTGATTTTTCAGAATGTCTGGTGCAGTCACGTTATACAAGAACAGGTATTCTCTTTTAAGAAGTAAAGGAAACTAAATTCTTCATTTAAAGAAAAGGAGGCATACTAAATTTCCTTTATATTTCTCTTCCTTAAAATATACTGGGACTGAGCATCTCCTGTGAAAGTAAAAGGTTTTAATGAACTATTAATAATGAACTTTAACATACTAGAGAAATTTCCTAGACATTTAATTTCAATGTCTTAAAATAACACATCTTTCATCATAGTGGTTAGTCAGAAGGGATAGGTTGACCTCTTTGTTTTTAGACTTCTCATTTTCTTATACAAATAAAGTAGGAGCCAAAGTTGAGATTGTCATCAAACAGATAATTTCTATTATCTGATTGTGTCACTTTGAATTAAACACCATGGCTTTCAAATTCAAGCCAGTCTTTAAAAATTTACTTTTAAATCATATGCATAAAATGATAAAATGTTTAAAAAGAAGAAAACAAGTACATGTCAAAGAGGTGAGCAAATACATTAACAAATATTTTTGACAGAAATGCCAAGGTAACTTTTTAGGCATTTCTGAACATGATTTAACAAAGTCACACAATCCACAATTTAGAGTTGAAAAGACTATTTTAAAAGCTTTTCTTTTGATTTGCTTAGTGCCCTGTTTGATTCCTCCTGCAGGTCTCAATTCTCCCAACTGCAGAATGTTGACATCATCCCCTTTCTCTTTAGGGGTGTATCTAAGGACTACTTAGTGATCTTGAAACTCTAAGCACTCAGGTGTTCTTGCCCAAAAGGTGACATAGAAGTTCAAGTCATATTTAGTTTTTCTGGAGAATACTGTTCTAATTTTCTTTTAGCATACTGAGTTTGAAAAAAAAATTGTATTTGAAATAGAAGGGACACTATTATTTCAATCTCCTTGTAGTGACCATTAGGAAAGCACATCAAAACCAGGTGGGGCATTTCTCTCTAGGTTCATACATGAATATTGCCAGTTTTTAATAAGTGTATTTTTCATTTCCAAAAGAAGACTTTTGGCTTGACTAAAGAGATCATTGAATTTAATGTTGACTGCTTTGCCCATTATCAAATATGCACGAAGATTTTTTGAGAGTTTAGAGGAGGTGAGTAATATTCGAATTGGTTATGCAGGGTCATCCACTCTGATACTTTGTATATATGTAGGGAACATTTGAGTATCCTGGAAATATGTGACCCTCAAAGTAAGGACTAAAGTAGTAGCAATTTGCTTCTCCCACAGTTGCTATCTAACATCCAACAAGTATAGCATCTGTTCCATAATTCAGATACTCTGCTGAACGAGTATGTTAAATAAGGCCACAATTTGTGTTTCTGGTTCTCTCCAAAAATTCAGTTTCTTTTAGTTTGCTAACTACATACCAACATGGTCATAGGCTATATTAACGGAAGAAAAGTGAAAACAATTACAGATACATATAATTTATTATTTACGCAACTTGAAACAAAAATAGCAGTTAGCAGATGGATCAAACAGTCTCTAGTGAATATTGCAAAGTGCCCACAGAGGAAAGTTTAAATGATTTATTGTTTAATGTGAGGTTTTACTGTGATGCCTTTAGGGCTTTGCTCATTATTGTCAAATTCCAATAGTATCTTTTCTTGAAAACTGTTGCTTTCTCAGTGTGTGAAAATGGAAAACCAAGCTGCTGAAATTATAATTACAAAGTTACTTTTTAAAGTATCTTCTGTAAAAGTTTTTTAAACTTGAAAATTATTCAACATATAAAATAATGTGGTTAATTTAAGTTTAGAAAACAATTGCTTATGTTAAATTGCATTAGAAACTAATTAAAAACCATTATAAAAATAACAAGTGAGAACCTGCTTAAAATGTTACCAAGAGTCAAGCATTTCTGATATTCCAGGGATGATGGTGAGGCAATATATACTTGAGATGATGAATCCGCTGATTGGGGATTTAAAAACTGATTGTCCCCTGAGTCAGGTCAGACCACAGTGTGTCCAAGGTGATGATCATAATGATAACCAGACATAAAATAAATGTCTTTTATCTTGTGTCTGGACTATATATATATTTCACCAAATAAGGCTCTAACAATATGTATTGATTTTCACATTTTTAACCCAGAGAATGAAAGAGTTCTAAATTGGTGTGAAAAGACGGAAGATTAATTTGTTTATTTTACCTGTTTTACATTTGTGAAGCTGCTTTCTCTATTCTGTTTGATATGCAAACTCACATTTGCCATTCATACAATAGTGGTAATAATGTGGGATTAACAGAAAGCCTTAAATCTCATTAAGTTCTTGGAAAATGTCATTCTCTTCTCCCCACATTGTATTAAAATAAAAGGCAAAAACATAAAACAGGTTTCTTAGGAGAGAAGGATACTCTTTCGGAAATGAAGATTACGTTCAGAGCTACTCTCATATGCCCCTGCTCCCTTAGGCTCAAAACAGTTCATGTTTAACTACGTTTTATATCTTCTCTTTCCCATTTATGTTTGAAACTATAGTGCTAAACAGATTTTTGGGTTTTGGTTTTGGCATATTAAAGGCTGCAAGGATCTCTTCATCAAAAATGAACGATCCTCTCCTATCCTTAGACCTTCCCCTTTCTGAGCTGGATCTACATATTTGCGCACCTAGAAATACTGTAGTCAAATGTCGATGATGAAAAGAAAAATGACCCCCACTGGCATGGACACTGTGGCCAGGTTTCCATAACACTGACTTCAGAGCCTTTCTGTCCGCCTAGGCTTGAAAGAGGCCATTACTTCTGAACAAAATGAATCGATCTTTTAGAAAAATACTGTTAATGGGGTAACTTGGGAGGAAAACATAAATGAAGCCCTGGTAACTTAATGGAATGTTTAAAAACATTTTTTAATGGAATCATTATTTAACTATAAAACACTTAAAACTGTAGTAAAAAGAAGAAAAACATAACCACCTCACTGATGAATCAAATTTTTAATAGGGATCCTTATATTCATATTCAGTTTATTTTTACAAATAAAAATTGTGGGGTTTTTTTGCATTTATAATGTAATCATCAAGTCTGAAAGCTTCCAATTTATTTCCATGATACACCCAATAAAACATGTAAATAGATAAGGATACTATTTTAGGGAAACTAATATAAGAAGTTGTATCTGAATAGAAAACTAGTATTTAAATAAAATCAAGAGCTTGCGGCAATCTACATGTTTATGTGATTTCTTCCCTGCTACTACAATATTTTGGAGGTGGGAGTGTTATGAGAAGGTATTTCTTATGTTTTGAGAATATTACTTAGATTAAGATGAAGCTGTATAATAGTAGTGCTAACTTCTTATTTAATGCCTTAGATTTAAATTGATTTTGATTTGACCTGTTTGATCATTAGTCATTTTTTAAAAATATTAATTCAAGTATAAGGTTTTGAGATTATAGTTTATTTTTAATGATTTCTCTCACAGAATGATTTCTTAATGCTGGGGACTTTTAAAAATATTCAATCTAAAATCTAATGGCATGTAGAACTTTTAATCCAAGTTAGTTGCATTGTTTTAAGTAAAACCTTGAGACTAAAGAAAACACATGCCTAAACAAATGTATCCAACTTTGTGAATATTTCTAGGTAAACTGGAATTTATACAATCATAATTTAGAGTATTAGGAAGGTAATTTATTTATGAAGGCTTAAATTGCTGCCAAAAAAGCTCAACCTGTGAATGCTAAGCCTTTGCAACAACAAACGGTATTTCAAATAAACTACATATACGGTTAAACTGAAAAACTGGAGTACATCAGGTTAGTTGATAGTGACAGCAAAATGCTTTCTAAGCAGCCTGTCTGGTAGTTAAATTTTCCATGATCATCAGATTTCAGGAAAGTTCCAATTCTTTTGTTCAATGCCAGGCAAGCAGAAGGACCTCTAACTCTCCTCTTGAGAGTCATGAAGTCTGAAGGGTTTGCTGAGAGGCAGAGAAGCAAGTGTGCCTTTTCATACTTGGTTTTATCCAGACTATTTTCTAGCCTGAACAAGGTCCTTGTTTCATTTATGGAAAATAGAGGATAAAATTTCCAATGCTAAGTATTTTTACTTTTTCTTTTTCTGTTACTGGTTATTTTCCCCGGTACGTTTCTGACAAATGAATCAAATTCTGCTTCATTTATTTTGACTTGTAAAGTTAAATCAAGCATCCTTAAAACAAAAAGGCAAACTGGGATATTATCCGTCAGCATAGTGAATGCTGCTTCCTTTTATGATATTAAACCCAAAGTAAATGAATTAGAGAACAAGAGTTGTAAGAACGAGTAAGATATTAATTTAGAGAGTGGTGAAGGTAAGTGGTGCAGAGTTTGGGGTGGGGGCATGCTTTAAATTTGTGCTTTTGAGCAAATGCAATTAAAAGTTTGCCTACTTTTGTTAAACCACGTTTTACCATTGCAGACTTCAAATTCCTTTTTAACAGTGTGGGTACAACTTGGTTGATGTGCTTTAAATTTCTAATATTTAAGTTTCCATACAGTAGTTCAGCAAATACATTTATTTTAGTCTACTGTGTGGCAAGCACTATACTGGTCGGTGAGACCACCTGAAATCATAAAATACATTGTTTTTCATGTCCAAGCAGGGTATTACTTAAACCAGATGAAGAGGAAGAAAATCAACAACACATAAACTGATCAATCCACAGTCCAGTGGCACACTTTAAAAATGGTTTTTAACCAAATGTGGTCTGTGGGTTTTCTCTTCAAAGTTGCCTCGGTAACTTGTGCACATGTAAAGTGAAAGAATAAAGAACAAAAGCTGTCATTGTCTCATCGAGTGAGAGCAATTTCTCCCTCCTTTGATTTAAACAGAATAATACCTGCAGAAAGCTTTTTATACATCCCTGACACTTGATTTTAGGGTAGGAAAGAGATTATGCATATGCAAAACAAATGAAATTTTAGCTTTTGCTTAAATTATATTCTATTGCTTTCTACTTAAAATCTGTTTTCTCTGGGGTTTTCGTAAATAGATAACTCAAAGTTCTTTCTTACACAACATAAACATAGCTTTGAAAACTGTCTTTTAGTGTGATGTTTAACCAAATTGAGTGATGTCGATCTGTATTTTGAAACTGGAAAATACTTTTTGAAATGTGTATACCTATTTTCTTAAGAGGAAGAATGCTGTTTCAGAAGACCAACTCTTTGTTGGAAATTTATTTGTTGACTTTCAGTAAATTTTTGAAATGGTGGAATGTTAGAAGGAGCTGAGAAACATCCCTTTTTATGCTCTGAAGAGAAAATGCAGTTTTGAGGATTAATATTGCTGAGAGATTTTTACTGTAGAGTTTTTGCCCACTGGGGGGTGGTACACTCTACCAGAACACTGCTTTCTGAAGCCGCAAGTCAGATGTTGGCTGCTGCTGGCCAGTTTTTCTCTGGTTTAATTACAACAAAGCCTCCCGTTGAGAAGAACAGTGAAGGCCTCTGGGGCAAAAGGTGGGGGGTGGGAGGGAAGGGGGAAGGAGGAAAGACGGAGGGGAGAAATTATGGCCTTTGAAAAATTACTGAATCTTATTTCCATTGTTGACTTTATTTATGGTAGTCTTCATTTGATTTAAACAGTTATTTCTAATGCTTTTTTTTTTTAAATAAATGGGTTTGAATAAAAGAATATATAAGGGGATCTATTCAGAATTTTTAAGTTAGCTCTGGATTTTGCCATTAATCAATCACATTCTTTGTTATATAGCCCACCCACCTTAAAAAGAGGCATAGAAGTTAAGAAATGACTGAAATGGCAACTATAAACCAATACTTTTTCATTGACCAGATTTAATATTGGTATGAACATTGGCATATCAAAAATGAAAAGCAAGAAAGAAGAAACATTAATATATTATTAAGACAAGGCCAATTCCCTGCACTGATTTTTGTAGGGCTTAAAACTGTTCAAAATAATCCAGAAAAAGGAGGAAGCCTTAGGGTGTGTGGCCAAGAAAAGCACAGAAAAATCTCTCTGCAGTGCACTTGCATGTTTAAAGCTGATTATTGTATTTTTCATCTAGAGAGACTGAGTGTTCATTAGGGTCTTGTGTCCCTAGGCAGGAGATGCTGAGCATAATTGGAGTTTCTATTTGATTGGGCAATATAGTCTAGAGAAGAAACTGGGGTAAAGATAATTAATAGCTTGCTAACAAAGTCTGACAGCCACAAGATTTCAACCAAATTTATTTCACACTGCTTCATTTAGCTCTGAAAAAGTTTTGATAGAATTGTAGGCTCCTTAATTAACACTTGAAAGCAAAAGAAACATACCTTCTATTTTGCTGCCACATTTAGTTATGACAGATTTTCTTACTGTTTTTCTTCTTTTTGTAAAAACTTTATTTGCTATCCAATTATATATCTCACAAACGTTATGTTTGGGAAGTGTTTAATTGTGCATTTTGAACCCAGTCATAATTGATTTTAAAGGGTGGGGTGCAGCGAAATGAAAAACCCAATTAGTAACTGGTAGACAGTTTTACAGAACCGCAATATTAATGAATTCATTATGTTTATTCATTCACTAATATTTTGCTGATCCTTGGACTTGATGTGTTTTGGTTGTGCTCTTCAAAAAATCAAATTTTAGTTTTCTTAGTAAATCTATGCGTTTTTGTAACTCTGTTTTTATTTCAGGGTAATAAATAGATGTGCGTTTGTCTGTGTGTATATATATGTGTCCAAACTAAGGGGCATATCTCTGATTTAATTTTCCCATGGTAAAACCTGGCATATTATCATTAATATTTGTAGTAGTTGGTAATGTTGATATTATTGATTGTGGCACTTTTAAAGGATTAATTTTTCTTTACTCATTTCGGAAGAGATGAATATTAGTCATCTGTCACTTTGGGTCAGGTATAAGTGATTCTCCCTGAATATAAGCAAATTTATTCTTTATGTTTAGGCTGGTCAGGATATTTTTATGCAGTCAGAGATAAATGAAAGGCATTGCTACAGCTGAAGGACTTTTCTAGTGGCTTTATTTATGTTGTTTCTGGATAATAAAATAACATAGATGAGCATTTTAGACAGATTTATTAATAGACAGATTTATTAAGAATGTTTAAAATAGCCTTATTATTAAAACCATTAGAGATTTTGGACTAAAAATTGAAAAAAAAATCAATTTTTTTTCTTTTAAATTCTAAATAAAATAATAAAAACAAACCCCCCAGATGTTGAGAAGACATGGATGGGCCTGTTGCACTCTTTACCTATATGCAACCATTTTGTTTCAGACCTAATTCAGTGAACAAAATTTTTTGAGAAGATACATTTAACTACTTTTTCAAGCTTTGTAGTATAAATGCATTTCTTCCAATATAAGATTTTCCTATTATAAGTTGCAAAGAATGGATCCTCTGCAAAACCCACTTGATAAGGGCTCTACTCATTTATTTTTCTTTCCTGCTACCCCAAACTCACTGCATACATCAGGCATAGCTTCCAGGGTGAGCTTTGTTAGTTTTTCTGAGTAGACTTAGCCATTTACTATGCTAGTCACATACTTCACTTGCCTAAGCAATGGATTTTGGTGTTCTATTGAAGAGGGAATATGGTTTGGAAGAGTGTCTCCCCCTCCTCTGAGTTCAATTTACTAGTTGAGATTTGCAAGCCTGAAATGCTTGAAGCAGCTCAGGCACGATAGCAGTGCAAGCTTTAAAATCTAGGTGTAGCTGTTAATCCTTTACAGAGGCACATAAGTCTCCAGGAGTAGCTCGGCTAGCTGTGAGCAAGATGTATGCTTTTCATGTACTGCGTACTCATGGGCTGAGGGATTATTGATTTTCTTTCACAGTTGTAAAAACAGCAATTGGTGATCATCCCACACGTACAGTACACACCAAGTTGCTTTCCTATCTGTGAAGAATCTCCTTGTATTCTTTAATATTTAACATTGAACTTTCCAACTTGCTGTTTTCCATAAGGCTCTTTTCACATAGCAATTACTCAAGACAGAAAATAGCCACTTACTATCTTTTATAAATGAAAGAAGGTTCTAAGAAACTTCTTACATTCAGCCATGATAGTGAAATTTTTCATTGCTGGCTTGCACGCACATATATTGCTTGTTGTGGTGACAGAGCAAACGTTCCTATTTGGATTTCTCATAGTATCAAGTCGTTTCTTTCTAGAGAGTAAAACCAAGCAAACTTTCTGGGACAATCATAAGAAAAAACATGGAAAACACTTACCAGGAAGACGAGAAAAAGCAATCCTATATACACTGCCGCTATAGCTGTAATTCCATTGACAGTGAATTGGAGTAATAGCCCTCCCCCGTCTCCCAAGCTCTGCGTCCAGTCCACACAAAGCCCACGGCAGCTGCAGGCTGAGCTTGTCCTGCTTCAGATCACTCCTACACTGAGGAGTGAGCGAGGGAGAGCATTCCAGTTTACTGCACACAGCCCACCTCCAAGTCTGAAGTTTAAAGCTTCACCTCGCAGTGGCTGAAGAAGGGGGTGATGTCATAGATGGGCAGGACTTAGCCAAGATCTTGTTCAGTGAGGTAACTGGATAATCAGACAGATGAGCTTTGCAAACGCTAGAGGGGGCGAGAGCAGCCAAAATGAAGCATCAGCCTGCCAAAGCTAGGATGCCATTTGGTTTGTAGGCAGCCCTTTGGAATCTCAACATTTTCTAAAGTTTACTACAAGGCAGTGGTAGCATACTTATGTATTTTTTTTAAAAAGCATGTTAGAAAGATATTTTTAAGATCACAATAGAAAAAGACAGGCTTTGTCTTATTTTTAAACCATCTGTATTGAAAAGAAGTTAACCAAAATCAAATTAGTTTTATTATTCACTAGCTAAAATAATGTTATAATTGTGGAAGATGTATGCCAGTAATCCCAACTGTGAATGTTTATTCAACATATGAATAAACAGCAGATTCAAATATATACATCAGGGCTGGGTGTGGTGGCTCACGCCTCTAATTCCGGCACTTTGGGAGGCCGAGGTGGGAGGATCACCTGAGGTCAGGAGTTCGAGACCAGCCTGACCAACATGTAGAAAAAATTAGCTGGGCGCCCGTAATCCCAGCTGTTTGGGAGGCTGAGGCAGGAGAATCACTTGAACCCGGGAGGCAGAGGTTGCAGTGAGCCAAGATTGCACCATTGCACTCCAGCCTGGGCAACAAGAACGAAACTCCATCTCCAATATATGTATATATATACACGTGTCACTGATTCATTTAGTTATGGGAAGGGCAATAGGAATGCCAAAAGATTTTTTTAAATGGTATTAAATGGTCTGTTCTTTTGGAGGCGAAGAAGTTACTGTTCTCTATGTTTTAGAAAATGAAAGTATGTTTTATGTACTTCTGCTACGTGTTTATATTATTTAAAATGGATTATTTATATTTAACGATCCCCCAATAAAATGTTTTTAAAAAATTTAATAGAATATTTTCCTTTCTAAATGTTTTTGCTGATCTGAGCATGGGTTTAGATATAAACATCTTAAGAAAAAAATCTTTCAGGGTGGTTTGCCTGGATTGAAATTATTTTAGTTTAATTTAGGTACATGAATAAACACTGGACAATTGTAAGACGTGGAGATTATAAATTTCTATGCCTAATTAACAGAATTATACTTGTATTTTTAATTATGATTTTTGTAGACTGGTTTCTGCTATTTGGTCAACAATTGCTTTGTGCCCGTAAGTTTTCCATCAAATAAGTGTATTTCACTTGTTCATGTTGGTGGTAAGAACTTAGCTTTTATATTTACCTGGAGGACCGTTGTCTTAAACTAATATCTTTATTTGCTCTATTCTTAGAGGTGCATGACCTTCTCCTTTGTCCTTTCTCAATTTTTCCCTGCATGTTTATTTCTGAAGAAGGCCAGCTAATAGTCTTTCCCAGGACTATTTGATTGTGGTCTCTTCATTAGCTTCATTTAGTTTATCTATTTATATATTTGTTTGATAACAGTTTGACCTGAGTTCCCTTCCAAGAATGGGTGATATCAAAGTAGGTGAACCCTTGATAAGAAATGTATTGACCCTATTGTTCTATGATTGCACTTTTGTGGGCCTCAGAGGACAGACCCATTAAATCTAGGAGTTTTAGATTCTAATGTCCATTGAAAAGCCAATTTCTTTGAACTGCTAGGTAGTACAATTAAACTGATATGCAGCAGCTGAATTTTGGGAGGAAAGGGAGGTGGATATTTTTCTGTTACTATGAAACAAAGACATGGATTAAATTATTTTATTAAATAATTATTTCTAGAAGCCATTTTCAGATAGGAGTTGGTTCTGTTTAAAAAAGAAAATTTTTGCCTGGTCAAATTCCTGTGGGTTTATAGCCATATTTAATCAGTTTCGTCTTCATTCAGGCAGGCCTTAAACAGAAAAGAAAAATCAATTGGTGAATTGGGTTATAGGTATCAAAAATAAATTGTACTGGCCTGGGAGTTAGCAGTTTGGAGGTTTCCCTTCTCTGGGCTGCCATTGTTATATGACTTCATATTTGTTGCCCTAGGCTTTGGTTTCATCACTTGACAAATAAAGGCAGCAAGGATTTATTAAATGCCAATTATTTTTTGTTGCTTTTTTTCCCCTTTTAAGCTATGGATTAAAATATGGGAAAAGAAAAGAAATTGTGAAAATATATTCTATACTGGGGTACTGACTTTGGGGGCAAACTCTTAGTAGAATCTGTGGCCTCCTATTCTGTCCAAAAATATATACTCTTTTGCTGCATACATAGTTTTTCACTTCCCGCTCTTATCAGCTACCTGAAATGCTACTAGTTGAAGGTGAATTTATAATAATGTGTGCCCCCTTTGAAATAGTATGTACAATCTCTGGAAACATGAGGTTATCATGAGTTACTTCAGATTGCCCTCCTCTTTTGTTTTCTAAGGCACTTTGGCTACAATAAGGGGATGACTGTTTTGATTGAAGGGGATGGAATGCTGGCAATCTTTAGCATGAAACCCTTTTGGCTGTAATAGGAAGGGAGGAGGTGGATTCTCATATCAGGAAGGACTTGGCTCAGGGTAGAGGACAACCAGTGTAGTAGACCTGGGTAGTTTAAGAACATGGGCTTCAGAGATTAGCACAGCTGGGCTCCATGTTGGCTTTGCCACATGACTGTAGACAAATTACTTAATCTCTTTGAGTTTGTTAGCTCAGTGCCTGACTCATAGTAAGTGCTCAATAAGACGATAGCTGTCATTATTTAAGATGGGGGACATCCAAGCACCTGGAACAAAAAGGACACTAAGAATGGGAGAAGAATACACAAAGGGAGGTAGTACAGGGCCAATAACAGATTTTTGGAATTTTTCAAATTTCTCTTTGAAGTAATTTTACAGTCAGTAAATGGAAGTGGAAAAGAGGAATAGAAGAGCATTTCATTGATTTTTTTTTTCTCTTGTACTTACACATCTCATGACCTCATGTTCCCAGAACTTAACACTTAGTTGGGTTCTAGTAGATATTTTGGGTTGAAAAGATGTTTGCTGTTTTGCATTTTGTTCTGTTTTGTTGGCTAGCCTGTGAATCTAGCATTGTACGTGAGAAAGTGCATTTCAGATTGAAAGCAACTGGTTTGGAAATGAACTTCAATAACATATCCCAGTTTTAAAACTCTAGGACTATCTAAACTTGTCATCTCAAAGGACTTTGTGGTGTTCTTTGTTTGTTTTTATGAGAAAATGTGAGATGTTCACTAGTGGACATGAAAGTAGATTGGATTTGGAATTGGGTTTCCCAGGTTCTGCCATTTACTTGTATATCCAGACAAAAAAATGAAAAACAACATACACACAGAAGCCTCAAATCTGTCTTTTAGTTACCAACTACCAGCTGAAACTGACTAAAACACACAGTCATTTCATGGAACAATACAATTCAGGTCTGTCTAGAGTTAAGCTACCTCATTCACACATTCATTCATTCAGTCTTCACATTCATTTATTCATTCATCATATACATATTTATTGACTCCCTGTGTAAAAGAAACTAGTAGGACTAGATGATCCCCAAACTATCTCCAACTATGAAGTTCTGAGATTTAATCTTAGAAGACATTAAGGTTCTTTTAAGCCTAAGAAACATTCTTCATGATTTTCCTTTCCCTCAGCATTCTTCATGAGAATAAAATCTTCAAAATTGTGTAAAGAAAACAGTTTGGATGGGCGCAGTGGCTCATGCCTGTAATCCCAGCACTTTGGGAGGCCGAGGCGGGAGGATCACCTGAAGTCAGGAGTTTGAGACCAGCCTGGTTAACGTGGTGAAACCCCGTTTCTAGTAAAAATACAAAAAGTTAGCCGGGCGTGGTGGCACGTGCCTGTAATCCCAGCTACTTGGGAGGCTGAGGCAAGAGAACCACTTGAACCCAGGAGGTGGAGGTTGCAGTGAGCTGAGATTGTACCATGCACTCCAGCTTGGGCAGTACAAGCGAAACTCCATCTCAAAAAGAAAAGAAAAGAAAAAATAGTTCATACTTTTGATAGATTAAATGTCTTGGACTGTTATTAGTTAAGATACTTTTGGTTGCAAGTCATTGAAGATCTAAGCCTTACCTGCAAAATCAACAATGGGAATCCATTGGTTCATGTAACTGAGAAGTTAAAATGTATAGTACAACTTCAGGTAAAGCTTGATACATGGCTTAAAATATGTCAATAAGAATACAGTTTCTCTCTGGCTCTCTGTCCTGCCTTTCTCATTGTTGGCAGCCTCCTCAGGCTATATACAGTGGACCTTTGGCAGCTCTGGGATTTCCTCTTAGGCAATAACAGTTCCACATATCACATTCCCATAACACAATGTTCAAGGGAGAGAAGCGTCCTCCAAAAGCCCCTGCACGGAGCCCTGGGGGGGTCACTGTTTCTCATTTGCTTAAACTTGATCACAGGTTCATTCCCGAACCTATTACATGGGTGGGGAGATAACGCTGGTGAGCTTAAGCCCAATGCAGGAGCTGCAGATAAGCCCAGCCTTACTCAGACACAGAACTGAGAATGGAGGACAGGGCATGATCCAAAGGAAAATGGGGTACTCTTAGGTTGAGAAGGAAGGAGTGGATGCTAAGGATCAGCTCATTTTCAGAGGTTTTACCATGCTGAAACTTGGGCATATTTTATACATGTATAAACTTGAAACTGCTCTTTTTCTCTTTGTCTTTTTTTTCTTAAGCCAGAGTTTCTGTTAAAATTGCCAAAACATCTTTAAAAGATACTCTTATTTGTAGACGCTCTCAAGTCTAGCCCAGATTTTTCTGTCAACAGGTAGTGATGCATGTCAGGGCACATCAGTATTACATCTTAGCATAAGCCTATAGGATGTTAATAAAATATATAGAGAGTGCACTATCTGTAATTCTGTGAAGTCAGGCCAGATGCTTAATGTAGTAGTTAGAAACTATACCACATCTTTCTCAACAATTCCAAAGGGTATTGGAGAAATAATTAGATTTTAGCAGGTCACGGATGCCTTAGAATGCCGAAAGGTTTTGAAAATGCTACGTTAAACTGTTCTTTTGTTCTGATATTTGCCTTTTATTAGTCAACACTTAAAATGTACCTAAAAACAATCACATAACCCTTTTAACTATATTCCCAAAACATTCTGCACTGGAATGAGATCTGTCATTACAGGACTTGAAACAGATATCAAAGCAAAATCAGAGTGGTTATTTCCCTGCCTGCCTGCCTGCTTGCCCACCCTCTGGTACACCCTTCTTTTCCCCAACACTCATGTTGGACTGTTACACTTTGGGGACTGGGAGAAATGCAATTAAAAATCACAACTGAGAAAAAGCACCTCCTTGGCCTCCCAGGAAAGAAAGGAGGAATTGTGGTTCAGAATAAGCTAGTAAAAGTCACGGGGTGTGGCAGTAGCTGGTGCAAAACTAGAAGCCTGCTGATCCCTACTTTCTTCCCTCTTCAGCACCTCCATATATGGCCATGCAGATACAGCATATAGAACTCCAGCTGATATAGGTCAAAGCTGTGTCCTTGACCCCTTGCCACTCCCCAGTGCCCTGTCCCCTTCACTTGTTTTAAAATGTTAAAAAAAAAAAAGACTTAAAATGATCCTTGAAAAAAATGAGAGACTTGGAGGAAGCAGATTGAGTCAATCATTTCTATATGATACTTTCTATGTGGCCCTGAGAAAATAACTGGAGCTCTTTGAGCCTTAGTTCCTTTATTTATGAAGACAGGTATGTGGCACCCACCTAATTTCCTATTATGGACTTCAAATAAAGTGGTGGATGTAATAGTTCACTACTAAATCCGAGAAAGCACATACCAAGACTGAGTTGAAACCTGGGGATAGTTGCTTTTAATCTTCATAGTGATGAGTGGGGCCAGGATCAGTTCAAAAGAAACAATTCACTAATGTCAAATTGAACTGTGTGCTTTAACAATTTATCTTTGGGAATGAAACAATTTGAGAAATGCTTCTGCCTTCTCTCCTGGATGCTAGACTTTGAGATAACAGTATCTAACCCTGGTTCTGAGACTTAATTACAAATCAAAGGACAAATTCCTTATCTTTGGCAATGATTAGTATAAAATACAGCTTTGGAGGAATGACTAACAGTTAATAGGAGCAGATCAATATGTGTCTGATTATTGACATGTGGATCAACAAGATATTATACAAGTGGATTGCCCTGAAGCACGTGATTTTCTCTGTGTAGCCAGCTACTGCTGTCAGTTTGGACCAAAGTGGTCGTCATTTTGAAACCATCTTATTGTTTCACTATTTCTGGAGTATTGGTGCTAATTTTAGACACACAAATAGACTTTCTGAAAGGAAGATTTTCTGAAATTGTCAGATTTTTTTTTCTGGAAACTGGCTCTGTAGTTCTCCTTGTATTGGAGATTATCTCTTTGCTATTTCTCTGCAGTCTAGACTACTTGGGTACATTAACATGCTTAATGTTGAAAGAAACATGTTTAAGGTAGAGTCAAAGACTGTTTTCTATTTTATCAGTTTATTAATGACTATGGAAATTGCCCTTCATTGGCACTGTCTGCAGGAAGCAGATTTACTACAATTAGCATTTATTGCCCCTTGGGAACTGATATGAACTGATTATTTGCCAGATTTTCGGGGATCAAGTATCAGTTGATTAGATTTGGATTATGTAAATGTTTTACAATCTATTCCAAATAAAATAAGTTAAAAATTAAGTCACATTTACCATTGGGAAATTTTCTGTAAAATATAAAGGTACTTAAATTTTCTAAGCATGATTTATGATAAATATGTTATATATTAACTAGACTCACTTAGTTCATTCTGTAAATGATTAACCTCAAATTTGAGGAATTTGAAAACATTTTATAATTTTTTCACTAGTTTTGTTTGTTTTTTGTTTTGTTTGACATTTGAAGTGTATTCATGCTGGAAATTCACAAATACTTTGCTAGGTTTCCTATGTGGATTTAAAAATTAAGATCTAGACTGAACAAGTTTATTTAAAGTACACAAATATTGCCAAAATGTATTTATAGTTTAATGAGCTTTCATTCTTATGTTCAAAGTTGTTTTAAAAATTGAAGGTAGACTTGAAAAAGAATAAAAAAGTGTGTCACTTTTTAAAGTTATTAATTTTTGTTTGGAGAAATTCAAGGAGCTTTTTGGTTGTTTAATTCTCATGTGTACATAGAAGCAACACACAACTGTTTGAGCAGCTTTGGATGTAACCCCTCTTTGTTTTCTTCAGTAGCCCAGGGAACAGACTTGTCACTCTTAAGTGCTCACGTGTAATCCTGTCCTCCCTTTCTTCCCCAAGGCAAATCAGAAATAAGCTTATCAGATCATATCTTATTAACAAAGAACAAAGGATTTTGACTGACCAAAGAGTAGGAAAGGACTAGCAAAATATAAATGTTAAATGTTTGCTGCCAAAAATCCTAGTTTGACAGTGGTTTTAGGTAACTAAACTTTTTTTGAAAGTAGGATTTACATATTTTTAAAACATTTGCCTGAATTATACTTTGTCTAGGATTTTAAGTGCATTAGTTAATGGCTTTACCTATATTTTATATATGAATTAAGTACAATTGTCACTCATTATTATTGTCATTGTTATTATTATTTGTTCCTTACAAGCAAATCTTTCTAGCTTATATCTGAGAGAAGTTAGAGACAATTATATTATATCCTATGTGTTTTCAGTATAAAGTGTTTTAACAGAAAGTATAAATAGCCTTCTAATAAAGGGAGAAGTGTTTTTCTGATAGAAAGTACAATACATTATTTAGGTAATTATAAGGAACTTTTAAATCATATTTGTGTCTTGTTTTCTTGGTTATTTTTATTTGAAGGTTTTTTTTTTTCTTAGATGGAGTCTTACTCTATCGCCTAGGCTGGAGTAGCTGGGACTACAGGAACGCACCACCATGCCTGGCTAATTTTTGTATTTTTAGTAGAGATGGGTTTTGCCATATTGGCCAGGCTGGTCTCGAACTCCTGACGTCAGGTGATCTGCCAGCGTTGGCCTCCCAAAGTGCTGGGATTATAGGTGAGAGTCACCACACTTGGCCTGAAGATGATTTTTCTATAAGGACAACAAGTTGTTCATTATTTAGAGTTGTGATAGTAGGAAGGAAATAACTTTAGAAAGGAAGACAGCAGGCTGGGCAAGGTGGCTCACACCTGTTATCCCAGCACTTTGATCACGAGGTCAAGAGATCGAGACCATCCTGGCTAATATGGTGAAAATAAAAATATAAAAAATACTACTAAAAATACAAAAAAGTTAGCTGGGCGTGGTGGTGGGCACCTGTAGTCCCAGCTACTTGGGAGGCTGAGGCAGGAGAATGGCGTGAACCTGGGAGGCAGAGCTTGCAGTGAGCCGAGATTGCACCACTGCACTCCAGCCTGGGTGACAGAGTGAGATTCTGCCTCAAAAAAAAAAAAAAAAAAAAAAAAAAAAAAAGTAAGAGAGCAATTCCCTTGTGAAAATCAGGCTTGCATTTTCTTGAAGTTTGAAGTTTAAAGTAACCTAACTTTATCACAAAAACAATAATGATCCCAAATATATTTGGGAAGAAAGATAAATTTTTAATCCATATGAATAGCAAAAACATAAACACTACAAGACGTATGAATGTAGTGTTTCTATTTTGTTTGCTGTATGTTCTGTAGACTTCCTGTGTGGCTCACATTCTATCAATTGTTTTTTTAAACTTTCTTTTCCCTTGGCTTCTTTGCTCCTACATTATCTGATTCTGCTTAAGGAAGAGCCCCTGAACAAAGAACAGATATTACCATCTCCATTCTAATATAGCTGATTTCTAGTAATTGTATAGCAGATGCTCGTTCAAGCACCTATTTATGTGTATTCTAACAAAAACATGGTATTCAGGCTCAGAGAGGTTACAGTTTTTTAAAACACTTTATCCAACTTACTAGCATTCTCTTTGTTTTGTTTAGATTGATTTTACTATCATCTAAGTCTCAGAATTTGCTAATTAGGAGGAATGGGTGGTGATGTCTAAGTAATCTGTTGCTTTGAGAGTGTTTAGTAGAAACTCAGACGGAACAAAAGGAGTAAGAAGGAGAAGGTAGAACAGGTACTCTAAGAGGACCCCTAGTTTAATGCCTTGTTTGCCACGTGTCTTCCCTTGGTCAGTTTTTCAACAAATGCTTATTGAATAGCAAGGTGTGCCTCATAAGTCTGATCTCTTTTACTATATTCTCTGTTTTTCAAAGACTTTATAACTAACTTTCCCAAGTTGGTCTGTCCACTTATACATAGATTATAGGTTGGACAAAACCATCTCATGACATAGATATATAGGTTCTTGAGCAATCTCAAAGAAATGACAAAGAAACTTTTTCGTGGTCTGTGGGTGAGAAGGTCAGCAACAATTTAACCAATGTGCTCTAGATCACAAAACGTATTTGAAATGAGACTGAAAGCAGCTAGAGGAAAAGTTTTTGAAGAGATAGTAAGGAGAGAATCAGAGGTGCTAAGATAGCAACAGCATGTTAATTTGAGGTGAAAAGTGTCCTAATTAGTAGGTAGATTTTGGACTCTTTATCAGTTACTATGGTGGTAAGTGCAAGCAAGGAAGACAGAGGAAATTCTCTAGGAACATTCATAATGCACATATGAGAGGTCACCCATCCTTGTAGTGCGTTTTGGGGATGGATAGAGGAATTTGCTGAATTATAGAGGCCAATTATGAAAAAGAAAGTACGTAGATTTGGGCTAAATAATAATATCGATGTAATGAGACTAGTATTCTAATAATGATAATAGCATGAAAAGAGTAGTGGACAGCTAAATATAGACGAAAATATAGTAAAATCTGATTGTACAGGATGGTAAGGGTACACAAATATGGAGATGTGTTACTAGTCTGGAATGTGACCTAATCCTGCTGATTTCCATCTTTTGCTCTTCCAGGGAAGAGAGATGAGGCTTTCCAAAAGCTGCCACTTTTAAGTTTACAGGAGAATCCATGGGATTCCCAAGTTTTTATCTGTTCTGTATTCAGAAATGCAATTCCTTGGCTAAGAAAGGGTCCCCTCTACCATTTGCTTTAGAAGAATGAAAACTGACCCTTGCCAAGAGAGCCAGAACTAAGCCTTGGCTATTAAAACGAAGATATGGGACATGGGGCCAACATGTCCCAGCCAGATCACCCACACATCCATTAGGAATATGGGGCAGCTTTCAGGGGTTTCTGGTGTGTATCCAGGTTAACATCTAGCCTAACATTGCCATGTCAGTGGAGGCAACAGAGTCATCCAAGATATGAAACCAGAACAAATGTATAGGTATAAGCCAGGCACGGTGGCTTACACCTGTAATCCCAGCATTTTGGGAGGCTGAGGCAGGTGGATCATCTGAGGTCAGGAGTTTGAGACCAGCCTGGCCAGCATGTTGAAACCCTGTCCCTATCTCTACTAAAAATACAAAAACATTAGCCGGTGTGGTGGTACGCACCTGTAGTCCCAGCTACTTGGGAGGCTGAGGCAGGAGAATTGCTTGAGCCCAGGAGGTGGAGGTTGCAGTGAGCTGAGATTGTGCCATTGCACTCCAACCTAGGCGTCAGAGCAAGACTCCGTCTCAAAAAAAAAAAAATAAATAAAATAAAGAAAGAAAGAAAGAAAAGAAAAGATGTATCGGTATTAGAACATGGAATAAAAATTCTGTGACATTAAGGGTTCATGGTAATTTGTATCAGAATGTACATGAAAGAAAATATCAAGAAGGAAGGTATACCAGTTCAGGATGTGTTATCTACTAAATAGTGTGCCAGAATCCTAATAGGCATTTCTATTTACATTTGGCTCCTCTGAACCTTATTACTTCCTTCAACTTGTCTTTTATGAACAACATCTTTTATTAGTAGACAAAAAAAAAAAAGAATTTCTTATCAGTTTAGGAAAACCACCAATTGTCCTGTTATCTCAAGGAATGATTTTTGGTGGAATGTACCCTAATTCTATTTTTTCTCCTCAGTATCTTTAATATGTGATGCTTACAGATTCATTAAAAAATAAATGAATATTTATGACTTGGAATTTTATGCTATCAGGAACCATATATGCATTTTTTAACTGTAAGAAATGAACTGACCACTACTGTCTATTTCCATCAGACTTGTTTCAATTAACAGCACTTTGGGAGGCTGAGGCAGGCAGATCACTTGAGCCTAGGAGTTCAAGACTAGCTTGGGCAACATGATGAAGTCCCATCTCTACAAAAAATACAAGAATTAGCTGGGCATGGTGGTACATGCCTATGGTTCCAGCTACTTGGGAGGCTGAGGTGGGAGGATTGCTTGAGCTTAGGAGGTGGAGGTTACAGTGGGCCATGATCACCCCACTGTATTCCTGCCTGGGTAACAGAATGAGGCCCTGTCTCTAAATAAATAAACAAACAAATAAATAAATGGAAAATAAAAATAATCTGAATTCCCACTATCCAGTATTAACATTGGGTGGTTTAAAGCCTTTCAAATATTTACAACTTGTACCTATATACAAACTTTTTTTTTTTTTTTTTTACAAATTAGGAAAATAGTGTACTTGTTTTATAACTTATTTGTTTTTTATTTTTAATTTTTGTGGGTACATACTAGGTATATATATTTATGAGGTACATGAGATACTTTAATACAAGAATGCAATGTATAATAATCACATCATGGAAAACAGGGTACCCATCCCTTCAAGCATTTGTCCTTTGTGTTGTACTTCAGTTAATACTCTTTTAGTTATTTTAAAATGGCTATAGTCACCCTGTTATGCTATCAAATATGAGGTATTATTCATTCTTCTTTTATATATATAATAGTACCTATTAACCATATATATTGTATCTATATGGTTAATTAATTATATATTATATATTAACATTATATATATATATATTGTACCTATTAACCATCCCCACCCACCTCCCCACTGCCTCCTGAGTACTTTTCCCAGACCCTGGTAACCATTCTTTTATTCTCTGTCTACATGAATTCCATCGTTTTGATTTTGAAATTCCACAAATAAGTGAGAACATGTGATGTTCGTCTTTCTGTGCCTGGCTTATTTCATGTAATATAATGACCTTCAGTTCCATCCATGTTATTGCAAATGACAGAATCTTATTCTTTTTTTCTTTTTTTTTTTTTTTTGCCCAGGCTGGAGTGCAATGCGATTCTCCTGCCTCAGCCTCCCAAGTAGCTGGAACTACAGGCATGCACCACCACGCCCGGCTAATTTTTTGTATTTTAGTAGAGACGGGGTTTCACCATGTTGGTCAGGCTGGTCTCAAACTCCTGACCTCAGGCGATCCACCCACCTCAGCCTCCCAAAGTGCTGGGATTACAGGCGTGAGCCACTGTGCCTGGCCATCTTATTCTTTTTTATTTTGTTTGGCTGCATAGTACTCCATTGTGTATAAGTACCATATTTACTTTATCCATTTATCTGCTGATGAACTCTTAGGTTGCTTCCAAATCTTGGTTGTTGTGAGCAGTTCTGGAACAAACATGAGCGTGCAAATATTTCTTCAGTATACTGATTTCCTTTCTTTTGGGTATATAACCAGCAGTGGGATTGCTGGGTCATATGAGAGCTCTATTTTTAGTTTTTTGAGGAACCTCAAAACTGTTCTCCGTAGTGGTTGTACTAATTTATGTTCCCACCAACAGTGTATGATGGTTCCCTTTTTCTCCACACCCTCGCCAGCATTTATTATTGCCTGTCTTTTGGATAAAAGACAGGCAATAACAAATGGGGTGAGTTGATATTTTAACTGGGGTGAGATGATATCTCTTTGTAGTTTTGCTTTGCATTTCCCTGATGATTAGTGGTGTCAATCACTTTTTCCTATGCCTGTTTGCTATTTGTGTGTCTTCTTTTGAGAAATGTCTATTCAACTATTTTGTCCATTTTTTGATTGGATTAATATTTTTTTTCCTATAGAGTTCTTGAGCTCCTTGTATATTCTGGTTATTAATCCCTTGTCAGATGGGTAGTTTACAGATATTTTCTCCTTTTCTGTGGGTTGTCTCTTCACTTTGTTGATTGTTTCCTTTGCTGTGCAGAAACTTTTTAACTTGATGTGATCCCATTTGCCCATTTTTGCTTTGGTTGCCTGTGCTTGTGGGGTATTACTCAAGAAATCTTTGCCCAGACCTATGTCCTGAAGAGTTTCCCTTATGAGTTTCCTCATAGCTTGAGGTCTCAGATTTCAATCTTCAATCCATTTCGATTTGATTTTTGTGTAAGGTGAGAGATAGGGATCAAGTTTAATTCTTTTGCATATGGATATTCAGTTTTCCCAGGACAAATTATTGAAGAGACTGTCTTTTCCCCAAGGTGTGTTCTTGGCACCTTTGTCAAAAATGAGTTCACTGTAGGTGTGTGGATTTCTTTCTGGGTTCTCTATTCTGTTCCATTGAGCTATGTGTCTGTTTTTATGCCAGTACCATGCTGTTTTGGTTGTTATAGCCCTGTAGTACAATCTGACGTCAGGTAATGTGGTTCCTTCAACTACTTTTCTTTTTGTTCAGGGTGGCTTTGGCTATTCTGGTTTTTTTGTTGTTGTTGTTCCACATAATTTTTTTTAAATTTCTGTGAAGATTGTCATTGGTGTTTTGATAGAGATTGCATTGAATCTGTAGATTGCTCTGGGTGGTATGGATATTTTAATAATATTGATTATTTCACTCCATGAACATGGAATATCTTTCCATTTTTGTGTGTTGTCTTCAATTTCTTGCATCAGTGTTTTATATTTTTAATTGTACAGATCTTTCACTTATTTGGTTAATTCCTAGGTATTTAATTTTATTTGTGGCTATTGTAAATGGGATTTCTTTTTTAATGTTCTTTTCAGGTTGTTCATTGTTGGCATATAGAAATGCTACTGATTTTTGCATGTTGATTTTGTGTCCTGCAACTTTACTGAATTTATCAGTTCTAATAGTTTTTGGTGGAGTGTTTATGTTTTTCCAAACATAAGATCATATCATCTGCAAATAAGGAAACTTTGTCTTCTTCCTTTCCAATTTGGATGCCCTTTATTTCTTTCTCTTGTCTTACTGCTCTAGCTAGGACTTTCAGTTCTATGTTGAATAACAGTGGTGAGAGTGGGCATCCTTGTCATGTTACAGATCTAAAAGGAAAGGCTTTCCTCACTCAGTATGATGCTAGCTGTGGGTCTGTCATATATGGCTGTTATGTTGAGGTTCATTTGTTCTATATCCAGTTATTTGAGGGTGTTTATCATGAAAGGATGTATAACTTTATCGAATGCTTTTTCAGCAGCAATTGAAATGATCAGATACTTTTTGTCTTTTGTTCTGTAGATATGATATATCACACTAATTGATTTGCATATGTTGAACCATCCTTACATCCCAGGGATAAACCCCACTTTGTCATAATGAATGATCTTTTCAATAAGTTGTTTAATGCAATTTGCTAGTATTTTGGTGAGGTTTTGCATCAATATTCTTCAGAGATATTGGCCTGTAGTTTTTGTTTTGTTTTTGGTGTGTCTAACTTATTTGTTTTATGACTTTGCACAGGGACCTGCATAACTAGCCTCTCTAGCTGGGCGTTTGTGTGCTTTCCAGTTTTTCAAGATTGTGAGCAAGTTTTGATAAAAATACTCGTCTCGCTTCGGCAGCACATAGACTTAAATTGGAACGATATAGAGAAGATTAGAATGGCCCCTGCACAAGGATGACAAGCAAATTTGTGAAGCATTCCATATTTAAAAAAGAAAAAAATACTCCTAACTAAATCTTTATGCTTATTATGTATATTTATTAGGATAACTTCTTTGAGGTAAAACTGATGGTTTATAGGGATGACACTCTTTTAATGAATTTGCTGTAATTACAAGATTGCCCTCCAGAAAGGATATATGCACCCTTCTAACCTCTGCCCCTTCAGTAACATTGAGTAGTGTTCATCTTTAACTTAATAGGAGATACATTGTATGTTAATATTGATTTAATTTGTATTTATAGAAGGAGCACATTTTCTTGTTTTGGGAAAGGATGTTTTCTTTTTCTTCTTTTTCTCGTTCCTTAATTTCCCCTTTTTGGCTAAACTTTTTCTATGTGATCCATTTTTTTTTTTAGTAGATAAACATGGAAGTACAGAGACTAATAGAACAACAATGCACCACCCAGAATTAACAAAGGTTAACATTTGAATATTTTTGCTTTAGCTTCTTCATTAAAAATGGGATATAATATGATAATAAAGTTGAAATATTATGAGTTTCCACTCTCATCCACTCACCTCTTTCCTTATCCATAGGCATCTACTATCATCAATTTGATGGTATTTTCCAGTTTATGTTTTTCATATTTGTTTAATTAAAATTAGCGTTAGCTGTGACTCTTCAAAAATTCAAATTATGAGTGGCTTAAACAATATGGATGTTGATTTGTCACTTGTGTAAAAGTCCAAATAGGGGGTCTAGGGTGTGTATGGTCCTCCACATAGTCAGCGACCCATGTTTCTTCCAACTTGTTGCTTTATAGTGGGTTACCTTGGTCTCATAATAGTAGCAGCCTTATTCCAGGAAGAACAGAAAAGGGATTATAAATATACTAGAATTAATAATTACTCATCTGTTATAATTAATAGCAATAATTACTTATTTTAATGATAATTTATTCATTAACTGCAAAACTGTATTTAGTTGTCTCCTGTGCAAATAAGACTGCAAGGAACATTCTTTTCCATATCTCCTACTCCACATGTGTGAGTTTCTCTTGGTGAATATACCTAGAAGTGGAATTTTAGGGTTTTAAGGGATGACTATTTTTTACCTATACTAGATATTGCAAAATTTTTAAGCTTTCTCTGTTAGAGTATTTTTAACCACAGGTAACAGACAATGGAATTTAAAGTGGCTTAAATAAAGAAAGCTATCAATCACCTCATATAATAAGAAGTCCAGAGGTAGAACTGCTCTAGATTTGGGTAATTCATTGACTCAATAGCTTTCCTCTTGGTCATGAAGAATCAGGCGCAGACAAAACCATGGCCAGAGGCGTTTATTCCTCTATGTCTCTTTTGAAGGGCAAAGAAACTTTCTTTAGAAATTTGTGTTAGCTACATTCTTTCATGTTTCATTGGTTAAAATTAAATCACATGCCAATGCCTAAATTGATTACTTGTAAGGGTCTACAAGACCATGATGATTGGCTGGGGGGCAAGGCTAATTTTGCTTAAAAAATATCATCAGGAGGAAGGAGATACCTGAAAAAAATATACCTTTAGGAAGGAAGAAGGGGAAGGTGGGTGTCAAGTCGGCAATCTGCAGTGTCTGCTCTGTCTCTAAAGTGGTTACTGCATTCCCATCATTAGTATTTGAGTTATTAATTGTCAGGATTTTTGTTTGTTTTACCAATCTAATGATCAACACTTTGTTGTTGTATTCCTTAGAATTTTCTGTTTCTATTGGGTTGTACACCTTTTTAGATATTTATAGACCCTTAGGCTTTTCTTTTCTTTGAAGTACCTTAGCTATGTTCTTTGCCTGATATTCTCCTAAGTTATTTGTACTTTTCTTATTGATTTGTAGCAGTTCTTTACATATTCAGGATAATAATTACTTGTATGTATACTTGTGTTGGAAGTTTCTTCCATCAGTGAATGGCTTGTGTTTTTACATTTGTTTGCATTAAAAATGTTTTTATAACTTAAATATTTGTTTCTTGTGTCTTATTCGAAGAACCATTTTTTATACCAAAGTCATACAGGTTTTTTTTCTATTTCTTATTGAATTTTAGGTGGATATCAGCCTTTGCTTGCTATATCCTAGCAGTTTTTAAAGTGATGGATGGACTCTTTCAAAGTGTCTGCAAGACTAAAATTATTTTTATAATGATATTAAGATGTCATTTGCCCTTTCCCCCATATATGTAGAATTGGGTCTTTTTCAACTTTTATTTTAGATTCACGGGTACCTGTGCAGGTTTGTTACATGGATATATTGAATGATGCTGAGGTTCGGGGTACAAATGATCTTATCACATAGGCCCTGAGCACGGTACCCAACAGTTAGTTTTTCAACCCTTGTTCCCCTCTCTCCCTTCCTTCTCTAGTAGTTCCCAGTTTCTGTGTATTCCCAGGTATTTTATTTTGTTCATGGCTATTGGCTTTATGCCTATGAGTATCCAGTGTTTAGCTCCCACTTCTAGGTGAGAACATGCAGTATTTGGTTTTCTGTTCCTGCATTAATTCACTTAGGATAATGACCTCTGGCTGCATCTGTGTTGCTGCAAAGATATGATTTCATTCTTTCTTATGGCTGTGTAATATTCCATGGTGTATATGTACCACATTCTCTTTATCCAATCCACTAGTGATGGGCACCTAGGTTGATTCCATGTCTTTCTATTGTGAACAGTGTTGCAGAATAGAAACTGGTAGAATGATTTGTTTTCTTATAGATATATACCCAGCAATGGGATTGCAGGGTAGTTCTAAGTTCTTTGAGAAACCTCCAAACTGCTTTCCACAGTGGCTCAACTAATTTACATTCCCAACAGTGCATATACAGGTCATTAACAAAATTAACATAAAAGATACCACTTGTAACCTATCAAATTATAAAATAATGTCTTAAATGATAACTAATATAAGACAGAGTGAGTTATGACTCTGACTAGGAGTGTAAAGTGATAACTTTCTGGAAATATGTTGCAAAGACCCCACTAATCCATATATTTTTAACTCAGTAATTTCTGTTCTAGAAGCTAGCCTGAGGAAACTGTAAGAAAGACGTTCAGTGTAGAATTATTTAAAAGATAAAAAAGTGGAAGCAACCACATATCCATCAATAAAATACAGAATCAAGTTTTATCTATGGAGAGAATTATTTTGTAACCATTTATGTGGTTTTTTTGTGATGACATGGAAATATATTATGTAATTGTGAGAAAATCAGCATATAAAACTCTACATGTCTTATGATTTTAATGATATTAAGAGCAAATTTGAAATGGAAAAAAGGAAAGAAACTATCAAAATGTTTACAGTGGTTATCTCTGAGTATTGTTATGCATATTTTAAAAATTAGCTTTCCAACTTTTTATGATAATATATATTGTTTTCACTAATACAAGTGTTATTAAAAAGGTCTGGTAGAGATTGGCTATTTTTCATTTCAGCCTTGAGATTATTGGGAGTGGAGAGGGCCCTTTTATGAAATGAAGTCTCTTATTTCTTTGGGGAGGGAGTAGAACATTTGGTAGTGTGTCTTTCCCGATAGAAAGAGAGGAATGTGACCCAGCAGGGCCTGGGGCAGCAGATACTAACTCAGCTGGATTTCAAGAACAACCATTGGATCCTGATTTAGTGGAATGCACTCCAGACTGCTTAGTGTCATGGTTAAGGGTGCTAGTTTTGTAGCCAGAGTTTCTAGTTTATAGCCTAGTTCTGCCACTTGTGAGCTGAATTAAGTTTTGGGTAAATTACTTAATCTCTGTGTGTGTGTTTCAGTGTTTCCATATATGAATTGGGAATAATAACACTCTCTGTGCCATGGAGTTTTTAAGAGAATAAACTGAATTATTGTGTTTAAAATTGTCAGCAGAGTATTCCCACATAATAACCTCTTACTATTTTTTTAGTAAGTTTTAATAGGTCTTACTATTAGTGGTTTAATCAGCTATCTATTACCTCATAACAAACCTCCCCAAAATTGGTGCCCTAAAATAACATGAAATAACTTATTTAGTCCATAAATCTCAATAGTTATAGCTCATCTCTGCTCCACAGGGCATCAACTGAGATGGCTCACCTGGGGGCTGGAGGATCTACTTTCTTTTTTTTTTTTTTTTTTTTTTTCGAGATGGAGTCTTGCTCTGTCACCCAGGGTGGAGGGCAGTGGTGCAATTTTGGCTCACTGCAACCTCCGCCTCCTGGGTTCAAGCAGTTCTCCTGCCTCAACCTCCCAAGTAGCTGGGATTACAAGCATGAGCCACCATGCCTGGCTAGTTTTTATATTTTTAGTAGAGATGAGGTTTCACCATGTTGGACAGGCTGGTCTCAAACTCCTGACTTCAGGCGATCTGCCCACCTTGGCCTCCCAAAGTGCTGGGATTACAGGCGTGAGCCACCGTGCCTGGCCTGGAGGATCTACTTTCAAGAGACCTCACGCACGGCTGGCATATTGGCGCTGGCTTCTGCTAGGAGCCCAGCCAGAGCTGTGTGATGGGGGTCTCTATTTTCTCCAAGTGGGCTTCTTCAGGACTGTCCAGGCTTCCCTATGGCAGCATGTCTGGATTTGGAAAGTGAGCATCTTGAACAAAACAGGCAGAAGTGCATCACATTTTTATAACCTGTCCTCAGTAGTGACTTCTTTATCCTACTACTTCATGGAGTACTACTTCCATCATAGTCATGAATCCATCCAGATTTAAGAGGGAGGAACGTAGACACTTCCCTGTCTATGTGAGGAGTGTTGGGCACATTGTAAGAAGAGTATGAGTGGTGGAAAATATTGTTTCAGCCATGTTTGAGAAATACAGCTGGCCATGGCAGTCTACTGACCTTTTAGATAACATAATATGCTTGGCTTTCTTATCCACTAACAGCAGCAATCTCAATTCTGTGTATTAGAACCATCTTAGGACTTTTTACTAAATGCAGATTATGAGTGACTTTTCATTTCTTTTGAATATTTTCTGTATTTTTCAATGTTGAAAACTTATTACTATAATGAAAAGTTTTAAATGAAAAGATAAACTTTTTTTGCAATGTATCTAGATATTCTACAATCTATGAATGTAAGATTTCTATGTAGAATTTTAAAAATCTATTACACTCCTTCTTTCTTGGTTTGGTCATATTTCTAGTAGCACTGACCTCTAGAATGAAAGAAAAGAAAGAAAAAAAAGATTCTACTCACAAATATTTCTATGTTAAATGTAGTGGTTCCTCAGGGCAAACCTTAGACACCAAATACAGCCTATAAAACTATGAAGTGTGATTTCCACTGGCTTCTCCTTAGAACTCTGGGTTGCAAACAACTGATGAGCAGCTGCTGGCTTTTACTGCTAGTGAACTTGAACAGAGAGCAGTTTCTAT
Source organism: Homo sapiens (assembly GCF_000001405.40). Classification (NCBI taxonomy): domain Eukaryota; kingdom Metazoa; phylum Chordata; class Mammalia; order Primates; family Hominidae; genus Homo; species Homo sapiens. Next base: position 14,357,764 of record NC_000020.11, read on the forward strand.
TCATCTGTCAAGAAGGACAGGCACACAATAAATTTTTGACTACATTTGATGATACAATTCATGCAAATAAACTTGCAAATAAGACAGTGCTCTCAAGATTTCAAGAAATGGCCAAGGAGGCTGTTTTGCCCCTCCTCCCCAAAAAACTTTGGAGCTGCCACTGATCTCACACAAAGTCATCTCTTTGAATTAAACATGTCTTATTCTGAAAGATGCCAAGGCCTGGTCCATTGAAACATTCAACTTGTCTTTGCAGCTGTAATTTATTTCTTCTCTTTCTTCCCATCAAATGGGAAAATTGTTCATTTTAAAAAGCAAAGACCATTTAAGGTTTGAGGCAAAAAGAGAATGAAATATGGAAGTCAAGGGTCAGTTTCAAAAAGGAATAGTACTGTATAACAATTTAGTTTACTTCTAAGTGGCAACTGTTGTTACATATATATAGGATAAAGTATGCAGGAGTAAATAGTGGATTGAATGTCACTGTGGTGACCCAAAGGAGTCAATGCAACCTCTCAAGTAGATTAACTTATTCTTGGGGACAGTTTATAAAATGGCAGATTTGGGGCTCAATATAATTTTTATTCATTGAACATATATATATTCCAGTTTCTATCCTAAATACTTATATTAACTCATGAAATTCTCTTAACACCCCTAGGAGGTAGTTAGTACCATTGTCCTGCTTTTTTATTTTTTATTTTTATTTTTTGAGATGGAGTCTCACTCTGTTGCCAGGCTGGAGTGCAGTGGTGCAATCTCGGCTCACGGCAACCTCTGCCTCCCTGGTTCAAGTGATTCTCCTGCCTCAGCCTCCCTAGTAGCTGGGACTACAGGTGCCCACCACCACGTCTGGCTAATTTTTTGTATTTTTGGTAGAGACAGGGTTTTACCATGTTGGCCAGGATGGTCTCGATTTCTTGACCTCGTGATCCACCCGCCTCGACCTCCCAAAGTGCTGGGATTACAGGCGTGAGCCACTGCGCTTGTCCACCATTGTCCTGCTTTTACAGAACAAAGTGGTTAAGAAACTTGCCCAAGGTCACACAGAGTTGCACTCAGGTTTCAAACCCTGGCTGACCTCTTTTCACCTATTGTGCTTTATTGCTTCACAGATAAGTTTTTGAAAAAATTGTAGTGAGGCCAGGCATGGTGGCTCATGCCTGTAATCTCAGCACTTTAAGAAGCTGAGGAGGGAGGATCGCTTGAGCCCAGGAGTTCAAGACCAGCTTGGGCAACATAATGGGACCTCATCTCTACAAAAAATTTAAAAAATTAGCCAGGCATAGTGGTGCCTGCCTGTAGTCCCAGCTACTTGGCAGGTTGGGGTGAGAGGATCACTTGAACCCAAGAGGTAGAGGTTACAGTGAGCCAAGATCGCACCACTGCAATACAGCCTGGGCGACAGAGCAAGACTCTGTCTCAAAAACAAACAAACAAACAAACAAAAAACACCTAGATTGAGAGATCATGAATAATTATCTGTAGGGGATTTTTTTCAGAGTTCACATGCAAAAATTAAGGGTGGTTATTACCAAAAAGACAAAAGATAACAATTGTTGATGAGGATGTGGAGCAAAGAGAACTCATGCACATTTTTGGTGGGAATGTAAACTAGTACAGCCATTATGGAAAACAGTATGGAGATTCCTCAAAATATTAAAAATAGAACTACCATATGATTCATCAATCCCAATACTAGGTATATATCCAAAAGAAATGAAATCAGTATGTCAAAAGGATATGTGCACTCCCATAGTCATTGTTCATAATAGCCAAGATATGGAATCAACCTAAGTATTCATCAATGGATAAATGGATAGCAAAGGCTGGGCATAGTGGCTCACAGCTGTAATCCCAATACTTTGGGAGGTCAAGGGGCAGGATTGCTTGAGTTCAGGAGTTTGAGACCAGCCTGAGCAACATGGTAAAACCCGTCTCTACAAACATTAGCCTGACATGGTGGCACACACCTATAGTCTCAGCTATTCAGGGTGCTGAGGTGGGAGGATCACTTGAGCCTGGGAGGTTGACGCTGCAGTGAACTGAGATTGCACGACTGCACTCCAGCCTGGGTGACAGAGTGAGACCCTGTCTCAAACAAAGAAGGGTAAAGAAAATGTGGAATATATACACAATAGAATACTATTCAGCTTTGAAAAAAAAATGAACATACTGTCATTTGCAACAGCATGGATTAACGTGGAGAACGTTATCTTAAATGAAACAAGCCAGACACAAAAAGACAAATACCACATTATCTTACTTATATGTGAAATCTTAAAAAGTTGAATTCATAAAGGCAGAAAGTAGAATTGTGGTTACCGGTGGCTTGCTGGGCACAGGGTGGTGGGGGGTGGGGCTGGGGGCTAGGTTGGTTCAAGGGGTCCAAAATTTCAGTTAGGCGTGAGGAATAAGTTCAAGAGATCTATTGTACTGTGTGGTGACTATAGCTAAATAAAAATCTATCGTATACTTGAAAATCGCTAGGAGAATAGATTTTAATTATTCTACCCACAATCAGCGTGTGAGGTAATACATGTGTTAATTAGCTCAATTTAGCCATTCCACAATGTATACATATTTTAAAGAATAATGTTGTACATGATAAATATATACAATTTGTATTTAAAAAACAAGTAATGTTTTTTTAAAGGCAAGAAATGTCTCAGAAAGGGAAGGTAGGCAGCAAATTGATACATTTCAGGTTCATTGTTCAACTTTCTTTGCATCTGGAAGTTGAGTCCAATGGGTTTGGAATGTGGGAGATGTCTGACCTGCACTGCTGTTTGTAAAAAGAACTTGAATGAGTCACTTCATCTCTCCTGAGGATATTAACAGCTGCCCTGACAGCCTTGCTAGGTTGTTGGAGAGAGCAAATGAATTATCATGGTTATCAAATCCTGTTGCAAGCTATAAAGACCTCATTACTGTTAGTTATTGCTGTAATCAGGCATCTTTTCTTTTAGAAAAGCATTTCAGGAATGCCTCCTTTTAGAAGATCACATTCTGCAGTTTGTTCCTCTATTTTTCACTACATTTTATTTAATGATACAGGTGTGTCAAATGTTTAGCATGGTGCCTGCCATATGATCACACTGAATAGATTTTATTAATTATTACTTAATTTCTAGCAGAAGTCTTGGATTTGCAGAAGCAATTAAGGGAAGATATCTCACAGAAGGACAGAAGCTGCCGAGTCAAGATCTGAAAAGCAGGGCTTCCTAGCTTTTCCTTGATGTCAAAGACCATAATAATACTGAAGAGAGTTTGGAAGTCGAATTGCTGTTTTCATTCTAATTTTAGTTTTCGGTGATAATCCCTTTCATTTATACTATCTACTTATGTACTTATGTGCCAAGGCCATTGAAAGTGGCTCTTTGAGGACTGTGTTAAATGTTCTGGGGGCACATCTAGGTTTGATGAGAAGGAATGTCATGATCACTGCCTCCAGGAGGTAGTATTTGCCATCCCTAGCCTATTCTAGAAAGTTTATAAAATATTTTTGCTTCCATTTTTAAATCATACCCTCACTACCACCCTCTATATTTGCCAGGGGTTAGTTTACCACTGTGACGTGAGGAAACTGACATTGTGACTCCTCTTTACCTCTGCATTTTTCTCACTAGACCATGCTGTGATGGTTTTGCCCATTCCTTCTCAGGTTTCAGGTTCTGTCTTGAAATCTAGAATGGAGCTGGATACATAATAGATGACCCATACATTTTTGCAGAATTAAACTTTAATGAATTGAAATTTCACTCCTAACCAAATGATACATGTTTAAAGATAAAAGCTCAAACTTCAAAATGGAGCTGCTGGTACTTCCCTCATTCTTCCTAAATACCAGAGATTTCAGTCTCTGTAATGCATGTCACTCCAATAGGTGGAAAGGGTGAACAGGGTCATTTAATGACCCGATACTGTTCTCAGATCATTTTTGTTAGAATGGCCATTGGACTAGGGAGGTGTCTAAAAACCATAAGGGCTGTGAACAGGATGCCAAAAACAAGCCAATAGCTGATGTGGCACCCAATGGGAATAGGGAGAAAAAGACTCAGTAGCTAGGCATTCTTGCTTCTTCCCAATGTACTTTTCTGACATTTGGGCTTTTTCTGTTTTGCCCATAGCTCACCTTAACCTTTTAATTTTCTTTGTCTGTGCCCAGCACAAGTTTACTTTCTAGAGCCCATTTATTGACGTCTCTGGTTTATCTGCACATTTCACAATCTTTTCTAGCTGTTTAATAAAGGTCATGTTTATAGCTTTAGTATTGATGGTTTGCCCAGTAGGCCAAGTGTCAGCTTCTGTAATGTCCAATAGAATCCCTTCCCATAAGACAAAGTCCTAAGATGTTACTCAGGAGTATGAGTTTTTATAGATCCAAATAATGACTTTTGGTCTTCAAAATATATCATATGTTAATAATAATAACTTACTACATTCCGATCATTGTTCCCAGCACTTTCTTAATCTTGATACCAACCAAGTGAGACAGGTACTTTTATTGTCCTACTTTTATAGATGAGAAAACAGAGGCACAGAAGTCAAGAAGCTGGTCCAAGGTCTCCTAGTGATTGCTGGAGTCAGTATGCTATGCTACTTCCCATGTGTGCTATGTGTAACACTTATGGGTCAGGCCCTGTGGTAGCTAGCGGGATTTTGCAGTGAGCAAGACAGTTTTTACCCTCTTGAGTTCAAGAGTTCCCTCAGAGAACCCTCCGCCCTCATTCCTACCATTCATGCCTTAATGGAGACGGCTTTTAAATGAAGCATTTGTGTAAAAATTTCACAGCCCCAAGTTAACTTTGTATAGTATGGTTTAATTGCTCTATCTAGGTGCATTTCAGACCCCTACGAAAACCAAACTTGCATCCCCAGGAATCTTTGATCTCTTGGGCTAGAGGAAAAAATAACACCAAAAAGTTCCTTTGGGAGGAAGAGAATTAACGATAGATTGAAGCTTATTAAAGCAATGAATTGACACCTGTGAATGAAAACCAGATGTTGAAATCTCTGGGGAAAAAAAGATATGTAAATGTATACAGGGTATATAATGAACCTTAAGAGCATAGATAATAGTAAAATGTAGTAAGATAGGAAGCGATGACTTTTGAGTATTCTTGTTTTTAATGTAATTTTTTAAACATATAAGTACATATAATTTAATTATTAATAATGACCATTTAACAACCAGCTCACAAAATTTCTGAAAACTTAACAGTTGGCTTTTGAGACCCAGTGGGAGCCGTCTGACACCTGTTTATTTATATACACAAAGAAGTTCAATTAACATTAGCCCTGAAGACTCATATCACTCAGCTCCACCTCTTCACCTGGGGTTTGGAGGCAGATACACTTGAGCTCTAACTCTCACTCTATATTTTATTAAAACTGAGACATCAGGCAAATTACTGTTTCTGAGCCTCCTTTTATTATCTGTAAATATAATATAATAATTGTGAACAATTATCTTGTGCCAAACACAGTTGTAATTCAATGAATTTCTCAACGGGGAGATACTGTAATTCCTCATTTTACAGCTGTGGAAATAGAGGAGTAGAGAGGGTAGATAGCTTGCCCCACTGAGAAGTGAAAGAGGTGATATATGAACAAAGGCATTTTGGTCCTAAAACATGCCGTTCTAACCATCTCAATATACTGCCTACGTTATCAGTTATGAAGATGAAATGACATAGCATATTTAATATGACTGGCTCAGTGAATTCTCTTCAATTCTCTTTTCCTTCTTCCTATTTAGAAAATAAGATTAGGGGCCGGGCGCGGTGGCTCACGCCTGTAATCCCAGCACTTTGGGAGGCCGAGGTGGGCGGATCACGAGGTCAGGATATCGAGACCATCCTGGCTAACACAGTGAAACCCTGTCTGTACTAAAAATACAAAAAAATTAGCCGGGCGCGGTGGCGCCTGTAGTCCCAGCTATTCGGGAGGCTGAGGCAGGAAAATGGCGTGAACCCGGGAGGCGGAGCTTGCAGTGAGCAGACATCGCGCCACTGCACTCCAGCCTGGGCGACAGAGCCAGACTCTGTCTCAAAAAAAAAAAAAAAAAAAAAAAAAAAAAAAAATAAGATTATAAGATTAGGACCACAAGGTGTTGTTGGGAATGTGTCAGAAAAAGGGAACACTGCAATCTAGTGATGGTCTCAATCATGGTGGCACAGAAAAATCCCCTGGGGCACTTTTCAAAACATAGATGCCTTGGCCACACCCTGTACTAATTACCATAAATCCGAACTCTAGGGGTTTGGGGCATGGGTATTAGTGTTTTTTAAAAGCTTCCCAGGTGATTAAAAGGTGGTTTTCTACTTTTAGAATTCTTGATAATGGTACTCTCTTACTCCTGTTTGCTGATCTTTTCCTTTTTTCTCATAAACACAGTAAGAAGTACTACACAGAAAAGAGGTCCACATTAGGGACCACCTTAATCCAAACAGAAAAATTGATTTGGATTTCCTTAACAAGTTACTGCAAAGCTTATAGGTTTGTTAGTGGAAGTTCCACTTTATGAAGGCAGATTCCTGCTGATGTAGAAATATGTAACCTCATTCTACAGTGAGCTGCAGTCATCGTATAGGATCTTACAAAGGTTTAGTTTTGCCTATCATTTAATGATTTGTGCGCTTTGTCCCCATATTTAGTTGTATAATTTAAAAATTATTGTGAAATTTACATATCATAAAATTGATAATTTTAAAGTGAACAACTTAGTAGCTAAGGATGTATTCACAGTGTTATGCAACCACCGCCTCTATTTCCAAAATATTTTCATCACCTCAAAAGGAAATTGCATACCCATTAAGCAGTTACTCCCTATTTTCCCTGGTCCCTTCTCTCCTTCCCTTAGCTCCCAGAAACCACCAAACTGTTTTCTGTTTCTAAGAATTTGCCAGTCAGGATATTTCACACAAATGGGAATTGTACCGTATATGACCTCTTGTATTTTGCTTTTTTTCGTTAGCATAACGTTTTCAAAGTTCATTTACATTGTACCATGTGTCAGTAGTTCATTCCTCTTTGTGGCTGAACAATATTCTCTTGTGTGTCCATGTCAAAATTTGCCCATCCATTCATCTGCTGCTGGACACTTTGGTAGTATTTTGTTGAAAACTTTTTTTCATTTATATTCATGAGCAATATTGGTCTGAAGTTTTCATATAGTGTTCTGTCTGGCTTTGGTTCAGAGTAATGCTAGCTTCATAGAATGAATTAGGAAGTATTTCTTCCGCTGCTGTTTCTTGAAAGAGGTTGTTAAGGAGTGGTGTTAATTCATCTAAATGTTAAATTCTTTTAAATGTTTTCAAGCCACATGGTCCTGAGCTTGTCTTTGATGGGTGGTTTTTGATTACTGACTTAATCTCTTTACTTGTGAGAGACCTGTTGATATTTTCCATTTCTTCTTTAGTCAGTTTTGGCAGTTTTTGTGTTTCTAGGAATTTGTTCATTTTATCTACATTATTCAATTTGTTGGTACACAATTATTTATAGTATTCTCTTATAATCATTTTTATTTCTCTAAGATTGAGAAATAAAGCTTAGAGAAATAAAAGTGGGATAAATAAATGAAATAATAATGTTCATAAATAACATACTTATATTGTTATAAATAATTATATAATAATATTTATGTAATAATGTTCATGTATAATAGTGTTTATAGTGTTTCATGCTATAAAACATAATATTCCCACTTTCATTTATGATTATTGTATATTTTTTACCCTTTTTTCTTAGTCCAGCTAAAGGTTTGTTAGTTTTGTTGAAATTTTCAAAGAACCAATTTCTTGTTTCGTTAACTGTTTGTTGTTTTTCTAATCTCCATTTCATTTATCTCTGCTGTAATCTTTATTATTTCCTTCACTCTGTTAGCTCTGCACTTAGTTTTCTGTTCTTTTTCTAGTTCCTTAAAGTGTAAAGTTAGGTTATTGATTTCAGATCATTCTTTTTTATAATACAGATTTTGTAACTATTAATTTCCCTCTGAGCACTGCTTTTGCTGTATCCCATGAATTTTGGCATGTTGTATTTTCATTTTATTTTAGGATATTTTCTAATTTCCCTTGTGATTTCTTTGGCCTAATAGTTGGTTAATATTGTGTTATTTAATTTTTATGTATTTGTGAATATTCCAGTTTTTCTTCTGTTATTGATCTCTAGCTTCATTTATTGTGGTTGAGGAAGATACTTTGGATGACTTCAATTTTTTAAAATTTATCATGACTTGTTTAGTGGCTTAATATGTAGTGTATCCTGTAGATGTTCCATGTGCACTTGAGAGGAATAAGTATTCTGCTGTTGATGGTGGAGTGTCCTATATGTATCTGTTGGATGTAGTCTGTTTATAGTGTTGTCCAAGGCCTGTATTTCCTTATTAATCTCATGTCTAAATATTCTATTTATTGTTAAAAGCAGTGCATGGATGTCTTCCACGATTATTGTATAATTGGTTGCTTTTCCCTGCAATTCTGTCAATTTTTGCTTTATATATTTGGTTCTCTATTATTAGGTGCATATATATTTGTAATTTTTTTATCTTCTTTATATATTTCTACTTTTATCTATATATAGTGTCCTTTTTGTAACTTGTAACTTTTTTTTTTTTTTTGAGACTGAGTCTCACTCTGTCGCCAGGCTGGAGGCAGTGGCGCAATTTTGGCTCACTGCAATCTCTGCCTCCTGTGTTCAAGCAATTCCCTTGCCTCAGCCTCCCAAGTAGCTGGGACTACAGGCACGCACCACCACACCCGGCTAATTTTTTTTATTTTAGTAGAGATGGGGTTTCACCATGTTGGCCAGGATGGTTTCAATCTCCTGACATCATGATATGTCCTCCTTGGCCTCCGAAAGTGCTGGGATTACAGGCATGAGCCACCACACCCGGCCAACAATTTTTGACTTAAAGTCTATTTTATCTGATTTTAGAATACCACCTCTGGTGTCTTTTAGATATGACTTACATGGAGTATCTTTTCTCATTCTTTCACTTTCAGCCTATCTGTGTCTTTGGATCTAAAATGAGTCTCTTATCACAGCATGTAGTTGTATCAAGTTATAAAATTATATATATTTTACTAATCTCTAGCTTTTTGTTGGAGAGTCATTTAATTTACATTTTAAATAATTTCTGATTAGGAAAGGCTTGCTTCTGCCATTTTGCTATTTGTTTTCTGTATGTCTTATAGCCTTTTGTTCCTCATTTGCTTCTCTACTGCCATATTTTGTGTTTAACTTTTTGAAGTGTGCTTTTTTGATCCCTTTTCCATTTTCTTTTGTGTATATTTTAAAGACTTTTCTTTGTGGTTTGTATGGGGATAACAATTAAAATCCTAAATTTATAACAATCTAGTTTGGATTAATGCCAACTTAGATTCAATAGGATATCAAAGTTCTGTTTCTATACAGTTCTCTCCTCATGTTAATGTTTTTATAGATAACATCTTTATACATTGTGTGTCTGATAACATACATTATAATTATTGTTTTATGCATCTGTCTTTTAAATACCATAGGAAATAAAAAGAAGAGATACAAACAAAAATACAATAATACTGGCTTTTATTTATCATGCAGTTACTTTTACTAGAGCGCTGCATTTCTTCACGTGATTTCAGGTTGCTGCCTAGTATCCTTTTTGTTAAGTCTAAAGGACTCCCTTTAGCTTTTCTCATAGGTCAGTTTTACTTATGAATAGCTCCTTTGCTTTTTGTGTTGGTTTTCCTGGAACTGTCTTAATGTTTCCTGGTTTTTGAAGGACAATTAGCCAAACATAGAATTCGTGGTTGACAGTTCTTTGCAGTACTTTAAAAATGTTATTTAACTTCTTCTATGATTTTGATAATAAATCAGCTATTAATTTTATTGAGGATCCCTTGTATGTTGGATGAATTGCTTCTCCTTGGCTGCTTTCCAGATTCCTTCTTTACCCTTGGTTTCCAGTCATTTGATTATAATTTGTCTTAGTGTAGATCTCTTTACAGTTATTCGTCTTGGAGTTTGTTGAGCTTCTTGAATGTGTGCATTTATGTATTTTTCAAATTTGGAAAGTGCTCAGCCATTATCTTTACAAATTCTGTCTGCTGTTTCTTTTTCTCTTCTCCATCTGGGGTTCTTATGACATATATGTTGGTGTGCTTGCTTGTGTTCCACAAATCTCTTTGATTCCATTCATTTATCTTTAAATTCATTTAAATTTAAATTCTTTGGTAAGTTTTTCATGTTAGTTATTGTACTTTTATTTCCAGAATATCTGTTTAGTTCATTTTTATAATTTCTTTATCTTTACTGATATTCTCTACTTGTTTATACATCACATTGCTGATTTCCTTTAGCTCTTTGATTTTTTAAGGACAGTTGATTTAAAGTCTTTATTCATTAAGTCCAAAGTGTATGCTCCCTCAAGTACAGTTTTTGTTAATTTCTTCTTTTGATGGGGCATAGTTTGTTGTTTCTTGCACACTTCATACTTTTTTGGCTTAAAACTGGGCATATAGGCCACGCACAGTGGCTCACGCCTGTAATTGCAGCACTTTGGGAGGCCGAGGTGGGCGGATCATGAGGTCAGGAGATCGAGACTAACACAGTGAAACCCTGTCTCTACTAGAAATACCAAAAATTAGCTGAGTGCGGTGGCGGGTGCCTGTAGTCCCAGCTACTCAGGAGGCTGAGGCAGGAGAATGGCATGAACCCGGAAGGCAGAGCTTGCAATGAGCCGAGATCGCACCACTGCACTCTAGCCTGGGTGACAGAGCGAGACTCTGTCTCAAAAAAAAAACACACACACACAAAACTGGGCATATAAAATATGATAACGTATTAAATCTAGAAATAAGATTTTTCCTTCTCCTCTGGGTTTACTTTTGTCCCTTGCTATAGCATGTAGCTATTTGTTTAATGACTTTTTGAACTAATTTTTTAATGTAGTATTGTTTTTCATGTGTGTTCTCTGAGGTCTCTGTTCCTTTAGCCTTTGTTCAGCTAGTGTCTTGATAGAGAATAACTTCAATAACAGAAGGCAACAGAGAAGAAACAAAAGAAAAAGTAAAAACTTTAAAAATCAAGAAAAACAAAACAAAAAACCTCTCCTAATGTTTACAGATTGGATCTTTGCTGACAAACTTCTTCAACACTTTGCTAGGCTATTTTTAAGCTCTGTCTTAGCCTTCATTTCCTGTTTGCATTGATCCTAGAGATCATCTAAAGCTGAAAGAATAAGTTTTTATTAGCGAGCATGGGCATGGATTTTTTTAAATTCTTCGGTATACATGAATGCTATACATGTCCTATTTCCCAAGGAAACTCTTTAGTTCTTCTGCCTGAGCTTTGGGTACTCTACTATATGCCCCAACTATAATGTTTTTGTCTTAGGTAGCTGTGGATTTTTTGTTTACCTTACAGTATTTTCAAGGAATCTCTGCTGCATTTCTCCTCTGAAGGAGTCCTCAGTTAGAGAAACAAAGTAAGGTGCTTTGCGTTATTCCCCAAGGGATTTCCCATACAGGTTATAGCAAATGTAGTTTTTTGCGAGTAAGATTGTCTTTGCTTCCTCCAGAACCAAGGACCAGGGTTGCCTACTGGGGAAGCTACCTGCAGTTTTGAAGACTGCTGTCAAGCCAAGGAGAGAGTTGGAGCAGGGGCAAATACAAACATCACATACTTTTCTTACTGTTTTTAAGTCTCCTTTATCTTTTATTTTTAATATTTTGGTTTCAGCATTTTCTTGGTTGCTATCAACCTGCCTATTTTCAAGAGTTTTGTTAGAGTTGATTCTGACACTTTTGCTTGATTTTGAATATTTCTGTGGGAACACAAGCTCTTGGAGCTACCTACTCCGTCATCTTCACTGATGTCACTTGCAGTTTACTTTCAGGGCTTTAGTTATCCACATGGTATAATGTGCACTGTCCGTTGAATACTATTTCCTATTTACCTTTTTTCTCTTATTTAATTATTTGCATATATTTATTTTAGAATATATGTACTCTAGGTCTTCTCTTTACTTCATGAAATCTACCACCTCCATAAAAAAAGATGCATTCAAAGTAGACTTGATAAATACTTAATGTTAAAAGATTTTCTTTCACATAGTTTCAGATTTAATAAAGCAAAAATGCAATTTCAAAAATAATCTTTTTGCAAGTTTTGAAAAATTCTGGCTGCTGAAAATAAAATTGAATTATTGGCAAAGGCAGGAATTTGGAATAGAATAAATATAAACTTTTGTGATGTTAAAACAAATTGTTTCGTTGAATATTCTTTATAAGAAACAATTACCATAGAGTCTTCAAGACCTTATTATTAGAGATAAATGGAAATTAATTTATCTCAGCTATTATGAAAATGTGATTTTAAACTTTAATATTAGGTAGACTGCTGCTCAATAGTTTACAAACAGAGGAGGTAAGAAATAATTTTGGATAAAATATTAATGTATGAGTTATAATTGAATTATCATGTTATATAGTCTCTTTTAATAATTAGCAGTTAATGGAAGAAAAAAGCATGTTCTCATTAATAAATATAAAAAAGCATTTAAGTTAAATAAAAGAAAAAGGTAGCTTTTGAGGAAACTTCAGTCTGAATTGTCCAAATAGACTGAAAGGACTTTAAGGGCAAAATTTTGTTTGGGTTTGGGAATACCAAAATTTAGGATAAAATATTTCTTTTATCCTTCTTTTTTTGTTTTGTTTTAAGAGAAGAAAAAATTTACATAGACTCTTTGTATACCAGTGAGAGGAAGTATAGCATAGAAGGCCATCTAAAGGATGAAATTCCCATAAGGAGTTTTCTGAACCACTTATATCAACTGGTCAGAACTTAGTTTTAATTAAATTTGCTGGGCTGGGGATGGTGGCAGGACAATAGCCTGTTTTAAGGATAGAGAGCCAGCTTTAACTTTAACTTTGAATTTCCTGGCTCCAATCCATTGGTGTCACTACTTCAGTGTTATTTAAATGCAGGATTTTCCATTTAATTTCCTTTTAAGGGAGATAAAAACCACAGTTTCTTTTTCAGAAAACTGCCAAAGAGTCTCCCTGTGCTTTATTAAGTAACAATTGCATTTTCAGTAGAGAAATGCAATCTAAGTGGTAGCACATTAAAACATTATAGTGTAAATGTGCAGATGAAAATACTAAAAATTAAATAATTATTATTCATAGCAGTTAATTCAGTTATATGTATTTTGAACTCAGTGGGAAATTGTTTATACAACAGACTTAGGATATTAAAATTAAGTTTAAAAATTTGATTTATTTTTATAAGACAGACAATACCAAAACTCTTTTTTCCCTTTTATGCCTTGTATTAGTTATAATGTTTGCTCTTACATTTTGTGACTTTGAGCAATTTATACTTCATTATACTTAAAATAGAAAAATTTTAGGCCAACTTAATTTTTTGTAAGTTTTATAAATAATAACTTTTGCCAGGTGTGGTGGCTCATGCCTGTGATACCAGCTCTTTGGTAGGCTGAGGTGGGAGGATCACTTGAGGCCAGGAGTTTGAGACCAGCTTAGGCAACACAGCAAGACCCCATCTCTACAAGAAATTTTTAAAAATTAGCAGGATGTGGTGGTGTGTGCCTGTAGTCTCAGCTACTCAGGAGGCTGAGATAGAGGATCCCTTGAATGAATCCAGGAGTTCAAAGCTGCAGTGAGTCATGATCATGCTATTGCACTCTGCGCTGAGTGACAGAGTGAGACTCCATCTCTAACAACAAAAAAAAGAAGAAATAATAACTTTGATCATATTTTGTTTGTATCCATTTGAATATCTGCCTTTTTATTTTTAGTAATAGAGATTTTAAAATATAGATTATTTTTTAATAGTTGACCTCAATTTACATACTTGAATAGTGAGCATTTACTATATTAAAATTATTAGAAATCAAGTGAAGGAATTAAGTAACTAAATAAAGTGACTTTTAAAATCTACCTGATATTTCTGTGTTTATGATAGGCTTTAAAGAAGCCATTGCTAGATTGCCTTCCATGAAAGCCATTTGTGCCTAGGTTCTCTCTTCCATGATTGCTCTTTTCTTTTCTTTTCTTTTTTTTTGAAGAATGGGAATGAAGATTCCCATTCTTCAGATTTTAGCTCAGGCATCAATTACTCGAGGGCCTTTTCTGACCTCCCTTACCACATTAGCTCCCCCCAACCCCTCTGTATGTTCTCATAACATTATCCTTCTCCTCCCCAGCATTCATAATAGTTTCTAGTTTGACTTCTTTGTGATTATTTGATTAATGTCTGTTTCCTTGACCACGTTTTCCTGGTCCGTGAGGGCAGGGACCTTGCCTGATTTTGCTTATCATCATAATTCTTGAGCCCTGCATAGGCTTGGTCCAGAAGCAGATTCCAGTGAGTGCTTGTGTGTTGTATGAACGCTGTACTCGGAAGTACTACATCATGCTGTCCTATTTTATGCTGATAAATGAACTTCAAATAATTTTACTAGAAAAAACATTTATTTATTATATGTATGCAAAATAAGTCTTAATTAGGAACATTAATACAGATATCCTAAATAAAATATTAGCAAATTATATCTAGTAGTGAGCATATCAAAATAATAATACAGAGAGTAATACTAAGACTGTTTCAGACCAGTAAATGAAATAATGACTGTAACATGGGAATAAAATATAGTTTGGAGATTTGATAGAAAATGTCCATATAAAGTCTTTTGTGCCTTGTGTCTTTTTAGTGGTATATTTTTGGTTAAATATAACCAAAAAACAGGTATATTTAACCAATTTTCTTGGTTAAAAATGATCGTATTCTAAATATATTAAAGAAGGGATATGTATTAAATTGTTTCTTTGCTTTTCTGATTCAATTCCTCTCACCGTTACCCCCAGCTCTCAGCCTTCCATCTCCCCATTCCTTTATTTCTTAGTTATGGTAGACTTCCAGACTTCCGATAACACATTCCTGTTTTTTTTGGAGAGTTCCACTAGGCATTTCTCCACATGGCTATCTACTTAGGCTTTAAAAAAGTTTCTATCCTTGGATTTGTTTTCATCTAGTCCATATCCAGGTAGAAAAAGATGTGATCAAAAGATTTCATTGGTTCTGTTTGCTGTGTCTTCTTTCTGGTCTCGCCTTATTCTACCATGGCTTTATAACTGTGTGTCCCAGTGTGGTTTGTTTTGAAGCTTTCTCCTCCCTGGGGCATACTGTCAAAATTCATTTATAGTGACCCACACTTAGATTTTCTTTTGTAAGTCTTCAAATATTTTGCCATTCCAAACACTGCCTTAAACCTACTAAAGACTCTCTATAGTCTCTAAGGGACACATGGGAGAAACATCACTGGTATACCCTTCTTGACAGATATGTAGGTGAAAGATAAGAAAATAAATCAGCAAGTGGCGGTTGCTCTTTCAGCAGCCCTGCTTTCTCAGACTTTCCAAACTACCAAAATGAAAAAAATACAGAGGAAATATTTAGTGCCCTTGCTTTTCCATGTGATTATATATCTGGTAAAATTTGGCATATATAATATGTATGTTTAATTTCCCTCCTATTTTTAATATGAGATGAAATGTAATACATTTGAATTATGACAACATCAAGAGGTTATTTAGACCAAAATAGGTTGTATTATATACAAAAATAATGGCAAATGTTATGAATTGTCTCTAGTATTTTTTTTTAACGTGTGTTTTAAAATTGAATTGGTTGGGAGACTATTTGAATGTGCTTTACTTATGTGGAAAATATCATCGTTTACTATTTTTCTGCAGATCCCTCACTCTAGCCCCTATACACATAAACACCAAATAATTTGCTTCCATTGAGTTAGCATAAAAATCATCAGGGCTTCAGGATAAATACCCTTAAAGTAATGCCTCAGAATGTGCCTTTTTGTGGAAAAGGTTAATCTAGCCTATTATTGGCATCATTAGAAAATCTTGAAAATAGAAGTTCACAGTTTCTATGTGAAGTGCTGCATTAATTATGCAGCGAGAGTACACCTAAATACAGGAGGTGCTCACATTTAGGAGTAGTAGCCACAGTTACGCGGTGTTACACTAGCTCTACATTTGCACACATGCTCCTTGTTTTGTTTATTATAGGCTTTCCTTAGAGAATAAAGTGTTGCAAATAAATATTGCATGTGTATGTAGGCAGTTTTTGTTTAATAGGTATTAGAGTAAATGACTGTGAATTTGTTCCTAAGAATCTTCTGTGTAAAAAGAGATAATTTTATCATCTTATCACTTTATCTCTAACATTAAAATGGTAATCTTTGCATGACATTATTTACTTGCGATTGTGTAGACCCTGAAAATAGTGTATATTATATCTATAAATTATTGTAAGGAATATTATATTACTGAATGTTCAACACTAATTATACTTTTATCTCCAACTTCTTTAGAGCTTAATGTATTGATTTATTTACACTTATAGCTTCTAACAAGGTATATTCTAAAAAGTTTTTACAAATCAAAAAATTTAACTAGTTTCTTAATACACAAAAAGCCTCAGTACAAATGACCCGATGACCTTAATTCCCAGGAAACTGTCACATTACTTCTTTACCCCTTTGTCTAGCTTAACAATGTGACCCAAAATACTGCGGAGCTTTAAAGTTTCTCAGCATTGTAAGGTCAAGCTTTGGTCACCATAGTTACAGTTTAGATCTGCAAGTCAGAGGTCAAATAGATTAATGATGTCAGACACATCTTTAAGTGGTTCTAACACCACTTCACCATGCAGTAAACAGCTGAGCATATTCGATATGGCAAAGGTATTCTTCAGTCTTGCTAATAAGAATATCTTTGGAGATATTCTTTTTCTGATAGAAAGATTTTTTTATAAGAACTTGCAATATTGGGCTGTGGCATCAGCAATAATAGTTGGCTTTTAGATTTGTAATATCAGATGCATATTGAAAAGTATATTAAATAGCTCAGATTTACACTTTTCTGCACGTCTGTGTTTTGTCTGTCATAATCAAATTGATCATCCACCTATTTATAAATAGGTATCCTCACTCCCCTATTAATTTATGGCTAACCATGACAGTGGACCGAAAAAAACAAGCTTTTTGATTAGGAGTTTTTGCTTTTTGCGTGTGTGAATGGCACATCTCTTTTCTCCCAATTTGGGTAGTATGCGCTTTAAACAGAATTATTTAGAAAATTGTGTTTGGGAAATCTTTCTCACATTAGAGAGCAGGTAATTATCCATTTGTATTTTATATCCAAATACCTTTATTTATAGCCTAGGACTCTTTATAAAGATCATGGGTTGTATATTCACTTTTTTTGTCCTAAAAGGAAATTATTTCCTCCCTTTTGAATCAGAATGGAAGGAGAAAAAAGAAACTATTTTACAGTGAACGTTACTTCTAGAAAAATTCAAATGTTATTTTTTACAAATAAAAAATACTCTATAGATAAATTTTAATCAAAAATCACAGAAATACAAATAAGACAAAAATATTAAGTGAGGTGAAATTGCAATTATTAATAAAATATATTTAAGCAAAAACAATCATCAGAATTTTACTATAGAATATATATATTTAAAGCTTTGCCAGTATGGAATTTTGCAGCCAGTAGACAGAATTATGTTTAAGCAGTAGGCTTAGGTTAAGCTAAACATTAAAGGATACCCTGTTTCTGAAGGTTTTGTTTCCCATGTGTATTTTGTGCAGCTGTAAGATTTTAAGCTTGCTGGAGCATTTGCTCTTGATCACATACTATAAAGGTAGACAAAGGGGAGAACGAAGAGGTTTGGCAGCTGGGAGGTGTTATTATGGAATTTAATAGCAAAGAAGATGGGGGTTGGGGCTTTTCTAGGTGAAACAGAGATTGGCAGCTGGGAGGAGGAAATAAGTCCTGGAGTCTGAGAAGAGCTAGTAGTTCAGTTGCCTGTGAGTTTCAAATGACAAGCTAGCTTTCATGTGAATGAATGGATTGTCTCCGGTTTTGCGTTCAATTCAATGGAAATCACTGCCTTGTAGATATCGTGGAAACCAACAACTCAGCAAAGACATTAATTGCTGACCTGTTTTGCAGCACTTAGGGCCATTGGTTCAACAAACTGATGGAGTATTCTGTTTGGTCATTATGCCAGGAGAATGGCAAATCAATATTTAACTACCTTTTGAAGAAGCTACACCACTGAAATGCTGGTTTTGTATAAAACTGTTTACACATAAGAGTGTCCTGAAATGCAAGAAAAATGATTTTATTCTAAATGTAGAAAAATTTTGTAATCAAATAAAATATCAGGTTGAGTTCTGACTTTCAGAATCTGAAATAGTATTATTTCTGTAAAAATTGCCTTATGCCTTGCTTTTAGATTTCTTGCTCCTGATGCATTGTTAAGGTGGGTAAACCAACCAATACTTAATGTCTAAATATTTATTTATCAAAAATATATGAAATTGGAGATATTACATTTTATTTACTCTTCTTCCTTAAAGTCTGCTTTTCTTGTCTACTTCCTATGCCTTTTTATTTAAATTTTTTCAATTTACACCTTTACACTTTTGCTAGTGTCGTGACCAGAATTGTACATATATTGCTACTGTAGTGCATTAGTAATAGTTTCCAGTCCTTGGTGCACATGAAAATCATGTAGTGAACATTAAAATCACCTGAGCATAATGCCCAGACCCACCCAAGACCAGTTGAAATAATGTAGTGAAAAGAATGCACCCTGTGGGGATGGGTGTAGTGGCTTATGCCTATAATCCCAGCACTTTGGGAGGCCAAGGTGGGAGGATCATTGCGCCCTGGAGTTCAAGACCAACCTGGGCAATATAGTGAGACTCCGTCTCTACAAAAAATTTTAAAAACATTAGCCAGGCATGGTGGCATGTGCCTATAGTCCCAGCTTCTTGGAGGGCTGAGGTGGGAGGATCGCTTGAGCCTGGGAGATTGATGCTGCAATGAGCTATGATCATGCCACTGCACTCCAGCCTGGGTGACAGAATGAGAGCCTGTCTCAAAATAATAATAATAATAATAATAATAATAATAATAATAATAATAATAATGTACCCTTTGACTCTTTGGAACCATACTTCCCTTTGGCTCTGGTTTTCTCACATAATAGCCATGTGATATTGGGAAAGTTACCTAACCTCCCTGAATCTGTTTTCTTATCTATAAAAGGCAATAATATTAATACTAAATTTGAAAGATTTCTTGTGAGGATTTTATAAAATATTGGCATAACTTCCAGCCTAATCCCTGGCACATAGGAGACATCCAGTAAACAATAATAAATATCACTGTCTCCAATTAGCTTGCTGTGGGACCTTGAGCAAGTCACTCCTAGCCTTTTCTGGCCCCATTTCTTTACCTATATAATGCAGCTGTAATACTTGTCAATCTCAGAGTGCTTGTGAGCATCAAATTACAGATGTGTGTTGAAGGGCTTTGAAGAATAGAGAGCAATATAGTAAAGCAAGATGTAGCTTGTACTCTTATTGCTAAGGCTCCTAGTTCTAAGGCTCAGAGAAAACACCATCAAAATTTGAAACTGTTTGTGGGCATTCAATGCTTCATTTATCATTTTCTCAGAAGGTTTCCTGGGATGCTCTAATGAGTTGCAGACCACACCATCACTCCTGTGTTATTGAATACTTAGAGTGACAATATCCATGAAGATTTTTCACCACCTTGTCCTGTCACTGTTTGGAATTTGTCTCATCACTATCTATCATATAGAATTAATGCAGACTTGAGGATTTTCCTTAGCTTTTTGCAACCCTGTGCATCCCTCTTGGCTACAAATACAATTTCTGTAGAAGAGACAAATAGCCTTGAGGCTGCTCCCTGCCTCCTTTCTGAGCTGATCTTGGTATTTCTTCACGTGCAGATCTTTTTAGAAGCCCAAGGAGAGAGTCAGATGCCAACTAAGTTGGATTTGGCTAGAATTGTTCACCTATTAGCATTTTGCTTTACTTAATTCACATTTGTATAGCCCTTAGCATGTTCTCTTATACTTACAGACTTTTTTTGCAATGAGTATAACTTTATGTTGTTAATTCACTTTTCTGTGGATCTGTGTCACATATAAAGTACCATGTCAAATATTGTTAGAGCTTAGTAGTTACCTTCGAGTCTGTAAACCAACAGCTCTGTGATTGACCAGAAGTCGGGGCTCCAAGTAATAGAATTTCTTTGTTTTCCAGTAGTATTGGACATCAGTCCATGATGTGCATTCATAAGAGTGCAGGCTGTACCTGCAGTGAAATAATTTTGCATGCATTTTATATTTTACATAGCATATATAGTAGTGGTTCTCAAACTTAGCATGCATCAGAATTACCTGGAGAGCTTATTGAAAGACAAATTGCTAGACCTTACCTCCAGAGTTTCCATAGTTTATTAGTTTTAGCGTGGGACCTGAGAATTTGCATTTCTAACAAGTTTCCAAGCCCTGCAACTGCTGCTTTGGGGACAATAATATGGGACCCATTAATATGGTGAGTGCTAAGGTGCACTACACAGATTCCCTTTTGAGAGTAGAGCATTCATTTCCTAACTGCAAGGGGTACTGGCTGTCATGGTTTCCAGGCCCTCTGGGAGTTGCCCTCAGTTGATGGGCACTGCCTCACTTAAAACTCCATTTCTGTCCCTAGTTGTAGCTCACATAAAATGACAGGTTAATGCAGGGAGTACAAAGGCCCATCCTTCTTGCTTCAGTTCAGGATAACTGAGGGGCCACCCCAGCTCAGAGGCCTCTGCTGCAATTGCATCACAGCTCAGCTTTTCTCTACTTAATCTCTCTTCCCTTACTCCCAAGAGCACTCTCTGATTAACCTGTGTCTCAAAGTCTTTTCCAGAGAATTTGGCCTGCAGCAGTAGGTAATAAAAGAGAGTTGTATTTGTTAAGCACATATCTGACAGTAATTAAATATCACAACTCCTTCTTGTGTAGAAGCATGAAGGAGTTTGTGGTGGTTTATTTGGTAATCCATGAGGCCGGAGCCCTTAACTACTATCTCTCCTATGCTTCAGCATGTCAGTCCTCCTCTTTTTAGACATATTTGGCTATTGTCTTCCTTCCAGTTCATCAGCATTCTTGTTGCAGAAGCTTTCCCACAATAGCCATTTTTAGAGTACACATTTGCTCCATTTCATTTACAACAAATATTTTTCAAGACAAATTCCATGCCTCTCATGAAGCAGGTTGTTGTTCTTCAGTGGGTTAGAAGTGGGATGATTCCTCCAAATCTACCCTAGAATCTCAGATGCTTTTCTCCGAGCACTTTCCCCAATAATAATAATGACTAGCATTAGTGCTTCATATGTGCCAGGTACTTGACTAAGTACTTTAGAGATATTAACTCTTTGAATCTTCATAACAACCCTATGAAGAAGATACTATTATTCTTATTTTAGAAAACAAAACAAAACAAAATGATAGGTTAAATAACTTACCAGGGTCGTATAATTAGAAAGAGGTGGAGCCACATTTTAAATCCAGGAAGATTGGCTCCAGAATCTGTGCGTTTCACCTGTATGATGTGCTACAAATTTTCCCATCTGTGTTATCAGGTGGCAGTTATGACTTTTTTGTTGACATAAATTTTTAACAGCTTTATTGAGGTGTAATTTACATATAATACAGTTCACCCATTTAAAGTATACAATTCGATGGGTTTTTGTTCATTACATAATTAAGCTTTTAATTGTAAGAAATATATAAATAAAATGAGCTATTTTAACCATTTTTAAGTATGCAATTCAGTGACAATAAATACTTTCACGATGTTGTGTAACCATCAGTAGTACCTATTCAAACCTATTTTATTAGCACAAATAGAAACCCTGTAATGAGTAAACAATAATTCCCCATTTTTACCTTACCCTCAGCCCCTGGTAATCTCTAATCTACTTTCTGTGTCTATAAATTTGCCTGTTCTAGGTACCTCATTCAAGTAGGATCATACAATATTCATTCTTTTGTGTCTGGCTCATTTTGCTTAGCACAATGCTTTTCAAGTTTATCAATGTTGTACCATGTATCAAAATTTCACTCCTTTTTAAGGCTGAATAATACTCTATTATATTTATAGGCCATATTTTGTTTATTTATTCATCTGTTGGTAGACACTTGGATTGTTTCTACCTTTTGGCTATGATGAATAATGTGGCAACGCACATTATTGTACAAGTATCTACTTTCAATTCCTTTGGATCTGTACCTGGAAGTGGAATTGCTGGGTGATATGGTAATTCTATGTTTAGTTTTTAAGGAACTACTTTAAAAACCATTACATTTTCTATAGTGGCTGTACCATTTACATTCCCACCAGCAATGTATGAGGGTTCAAATTTTTCCATGTCTTCACCAACACTTTTCTTCTGTTTTTGGTTTTAGCCATCCTAGTGGGTATGAAGTGATATCTCATTGTGGTTTTGATTGGTATTTCCCAAATGATTAATGATATTGAGCATCATTTCATGTGCTTATTTGCTATTTGTATGTCTTCTTTGGAGAAAAGTGTGTTCAAGCCCTTTGCCCATTTTTTAGTTGGGTAGAGTTCTGGATATTTAACACTCATGTGATATATGATTTGTAAACATTTTTCCCATTTAATAGGTTGTCTTTTCACTCTCTTGAGAGTGTCCTTCGGTACACAGAGTTTTTAATTTTGATGATATCCAACTTGTCTATTTTTTCTTTTTTGTGTGTGCTTTTGTTATCCTATCTGGTACTCAATTGCCAAATCCAAGATCAAGAAGATTTGCCCTTATGTTTTCTTCTAAGAGTTTTGTAGTTTAAGGTCTTATATTTAAGTTGTTGATCCATTTGGAGTTAATATTAGTATGAAGTGGGAGTCCAACTTAATTCTTTTACTTGTGGAAATTTAGTTGTCCCAGTGCCACTGGTGGAAGAGATTATTCTTTCTCTATTGACTGGTCTCTTCATACCCTTGCCAAAATCCCATTGACCATAGATGTGTAGGTTTATTTTCCAGACTCTCAATCTGTTTCATTTGCTTATATGTCTGTCCTTATGCCTCCATTATACTGCTTTAATTATTGTACCTTTATAGTGACTATTGAAATCAGGAAGTGTGAGTACTCCAACCTTGTTCTTTTTCAAAACTGTTTTTCCTATTCAGGGCTCTTTTAGAATTTACTATGTTATGCTTTTGTACTTATCAGTATTCAGTATTTATTTGTCCAGGCTTGTATTTTCTCTTTTATTTTGTATTCACATAGTGGCTATCACCTTAGAAAGATTTCTTTGCAAGCTGTTAGCTAATAGTTCATCTCCTGATTTATAACTCTGCTAGTACAAGTCTATGCTTTCTTAAACACAGTTCCCTAATCCAAAATTAAAACCTGTCCTGACCAGAAGCTTTTTGGAACAGAGACTGATCTGGATTGATATAAGGTTATTTTGCCTTTTAAAAAAATCTTACCTAATATGAATATTCATATCTTTTACAGTAGAACTATTCATATATTTGAATAGACTAAGCTATCTGAGACCTTACAATGGATATTATATATTGCATGTAAACTGTATTTTGGTTTATTTCCCTTATTAAAGTGAAGTGATTCTAAATCTTAAAACACATTTTGCCCTAAGGATTTCAAATGAGTGATCGTTGACCTGGATTTTTATTTTTGAGATATATCAAGAAAAAAATTTCCAATGAAAATATGATAGGTCCTGTGTTAGAGTAGTTCTTATAAAATTTAGTGATCTTTGTTATGATCTTTGTTTCAGTTGTTATGAAAGAATAGTTGTGGTCAGGTAAATCTTTGTGGAGTAAAGCTTGATATATTGGGAAGAACTTTTTACTAACATTATTTATCACTTACAAGGAACCATGCACATTATAAGAAGGAAGATAGTAGTAGCAGTAAAAAATAGCAGTGAGCGGTGTTTCCTATATGAATGTGTTGCATGAAGAATATGTGTGCTTATCCCTTCATCTAAGAACAGATTCTTTGTCTCTATTATGTTTACACCAAAACCCAACACTAAGATTTTCTTCAATAAAAAGAAAAATTCTAAATTCAGCCCTCCTACTCCCATCCTTTGATAACACTCTCTGCCTTGACTGGCATCAAGTCTACTTGTTGAATTCACACTCTCAAGAGGACAGGAAGAAAGACAGACAGATAAGAGAGACACTTGTCTCAATCATATAGTTTCATGAACTAACAGGTTTTTGAAGTCCTGGCTCTGAAGAACATGGTCATTAGGTTTCCAAAATCAAACTTGGGCAATAAAAAGGATATTGCTTTGTTTGTTTTGGTACCACATATACTATAATGGGATTGATTTTTTTTTTTTTTTTTTTGAGATGGAGTCTCGCTCTGTCGCCCAAGCTGGAGTGCAGTGGTGCCATCTGGGCTCACTGCAAACTCCGCCTCCAGGGTTCACGCCATTCTTCTGCCTCAGACTCCCGAGTAGCTGGGACTGCAGGCATCCCTGCCACGCCCAGCTAATTTTTTGTATTTTTAGTAGAGACGGGGTTTCACCATGTTAGCCAGGATGGTCTCGAGCTCCTGACCTTGTGATCCGCCCGCCTTGGCCTCTCAAAGTGCTGGGATTATAGGCGTGAGCCACCGTGACCATACAGGATTGATTTTTGAAAGGTTAATCTGGGCCAGGCGTGGTGGCTCACGCCTGTAATCCCAGCACTTTGGGAGGCTGAGGAGGGTGGATCACCTGAGGTCGGGAGTTTGAGACCAGCCTGACCAACGTGGAGAAACCCTGTCTCTACTAAAAATACAAAATTAGCGGGGCGTGGTGGTTCATGCCTGTAATCCCAGCGACTCCGGAGGCTGAGGCAGGAGAATCGCTTGAACCCAGGTGGCGGAGGTTGCGGTGAGCTGAGATCGTGCCACTGCACTCCAGTCTGGGCAAGAAGAGCAAAACTCCGTCTCAAAAAAGATATAAATAAATAAATAAATAAATAAAAGGTTAATCTGAATTCTTTTTTAGGGGTGACCTACCGATTTGCCAAGTATTCTATGTTTTCAAAAAGGCAGCCTGAGAAATTTCCTGACTTCAGTTATTCTTGAACCACCTTCAGAACTTTTACCATAACTGAGTAATCTTTTATGATCTTTCATGTAGTGCTATATTTGTTATCTTGCTTAAAAAAAATTGCATTTAACTGTCGTAAAAGAAAAAAATCAATATTTTCCAAATAAATATGTAACAACTAAAATTAAAAATGTACATATGTTTGCTACCTAAAATCACCTCAGAAACCACTGGAAACAAATGCACCACACTTTTGGGAACACTGCCCTAACGCTAAGTCTCAAAAAATTGATGCGTTCTTCAAGAGGATGTAAGAATTGGAGGGAAAAGCCACAAATTTTTCTTTTAAGTCTGGGATTAAAAATGCATTCTTGCTTTCTTAGTTTAAAAACAAACAGCTAAGTACCAATTGAAGGGACCACCATGGAAGTCCACATATAGTTTCTGCACTTGTCATTTTATAGAAGCAATCTCTACATCTCCGCTGCCCCAGACTGAAAATTTTTAGAGCAGTAATTTGTCATAACCGTTTTTTGTTTTTTTTTTTGCTTTTTTTTTGGAACTCCGTGACGATAGGAATAAATAGTAAACAAACAAACAAAAACTTGTGCCTCTTGTTCCTTCGTGAACACTGAAGTTGTGAATAAAATGATAATGTAGAGTTTGTAAATATTCAAATTTGGACTTCTGTCTTTCATGTTAAATTGCCCTAGGCACTTGGACTCAATTTCAGACATTAGTCATCTGTAAAATAGAGGACTGACGATGCTAGCCATTGATGCCAAAGGGATAGAAAGACTTTATGCATATCGAGTTCTAGAATGACATAGTTGGCTATGTAAATCAGTTTGCCTGATTTATCATAACAGTGCATTTAAATACAATGTTCATGAAATATTACAACTTGTAATTAGAAAATTGATGTTGGTTAGAGAAATTGTGTTGACTTTGTCTTTTCTAAACACTTCAGAAACTTTATTTATTAGCTTTAGAGGTAGATCCTTCAATTAAGCTGACTTAAAGAGGTAAAATGAGGTTATTGTTAGAAATAAAAACCAATTTTTCATTAAGTTCAATTAAGTTCAGTTTCTCCTTTATTATGCTTGTATTTAATAGAATAATTTATGTGGTATTTCCATTAAATCATTTACCAGGGTTTTATAACAATATGTTACTAGTGTTTGGAAATATAAATACAAATCTCTTATAATTTTCAATTTGTGCTTATATTAACCATTCATTTCTTAAGCTTTGATCATTTAAATGCTTTATTTACTAGTTTTCATATGCTTCTTGTAAACCTAGTCTCACATTAAGAGGATGCTTAAAATGCCAAAATGCCCTGGTAAATTAAAACGAATTCATCGTATTTCTTACATTACTTAACTCTGATGACTACAGTCTAGTTGATACTTGTAGGATTCAAATTCATAAAACCTGAGATATTCAGATCAAGGAGAGGATAGCCATTGGGAAATGAGTTTTTTATTCTTATGGAACTGAAAAATGCGGTATCACTTGAAATTATTAGTCTAAAGTTTGCCTTCACGTGACTAATATTGGGAAAAAAAGTTTTTAAGAAAACTTTGGAAAATCAACACTTTTAAAATTTTATATTTGGCACCAGACATAATTGGCACTAAGAAAGGAAATAACTAAAGTTGTGTTAAGATAAATACAAATGTTTTGTTTCCATCTTAAGAAGGGTTTTTGATGTCCTCTGGTGTAGATATTTACTGGAGAGAAGGCTATTGCCAATCTACATTCCATTGCAGTTGATTTTAAAATATAGAGCTAAACAGGAAATGTCATGAGTGATGTGACCATCTGCCAAGTGTAAATGGAGTCTGAGCAAGTGGATGTAATCTGTACTAAACAAGCAAATGCGTTGGAGTACAGCCTGAAAGATTTTTAAATCATGAAGCTACAAGCCCAATATATAATGTTTATTTTACATACTAGTAATTCTTGTGCAATTGGGTTTATTGTAACTCTTGTAACAACTGTGATAATTTTTGCTAAGTGAAATTAAACAGCATCTTATTCCAGTTTCAGAGTTTCCATCTGATATACTTTAGAGTGCTTGGAATTCTTTGGTAGTTCTTTTCTGAAATCCTTAAAGTTCTTTCCCTGCCAAGAAACCTGTTTTCACAGTAATTATAAATCAGGAATGCAGGTAAGAGGAAAGAAGAAACACAAAAGGGTGCTTTATGTAATCCCACCCCTCTGCTCTGTTCAAAGGTGCCAAAAAGAAATCAGGGATTGTTAAAACTCATACTGAAGGATTTATAGAAGCCATCAAATTGGGGACAAGTTACAATGAAAACTTTTCATTGTAAATGCACTCAGCTAACAGCATGATATCTCATTTTAATAATCAATGGAGAAAAAGTTCTTTCAGGCAAAGTGTATTCTAAAGTGATTTTTTTCCCTTATGGAAACATAGATAGAATAATCATTTAAATAAAGCTTTAGGAGTAAAATGATACACTATTATTTTAGTTATACATGTTATATACATTTTTATTGAAATGTAGATGGCTACACCTTTATCAAATTACAGTTTTATTGTTTCAGTGTTGTTTACATTAACTTCCATTAACTCTGTTGTGATTCATAGTTTAAAATGGGCCACAAAAATTACATTTATCATTTCACAAATTTAAAAAAGTATCAACGTCGGGCTATCCTATTCCTTTAATGGACCAGTTTAATGCTTAGTAACATAACCCTTTAAAGTCTACATGTCAAAGATAGCATTTTTACTTGAAGAAAGTAAACATAAAAGAACTTTAAAGTTTTAGTATCTGTTTCCTTAACTGATTTTAATGGACTTCCAAAACAATCAAGGGCAGTGGGTGGCCTCTTACTTGCAGAAGCCAATTTTTAAGTGCATGTGTTTCTTTTCCATGTTGACCTCTTGCTGGGACATATTTGTTGTCTTTTAAAATGATATTTGCTAAATTAGCTTATTGAAATGCTAAATCATGATATGTTGCTTTTCAGCCATCAATTTGAAATTCCACGCTTTATAAATTTCAAGTGATTTAAAAACACTGACTTTTATATTCATGCTCAGATAACAACTGCATATTACAAATGACTTGTAAAGGTGTGTGGATCTTCCAATAATGATTGTATTACTTGCATGTTATTAGCATTAAAGAACATGTATCATTTACTTATTCTTTCATGCAAATGTATTGAAGGCATGTACATTTATTGAAGGACTGCTGTATGAGCCAATACAGCGTATTTTTGTTAGGTACCTAATTTGTGTGAGGCCCTTTGTTAAATGCACTTAATGCCATATATTATTTAGTTTTCATCATAACTTTGATGTAGTATACTGTTTTTATCTTCATTTACCAAATGAGGACATGAAGACAATAAAGAGACTCACCCAAGAACATATTTTTAGGAAGTGGTGGTTTAATGATGGAAACTCTCATCTGTCTGACTTTATGTACAGCTATGGTGCACAGTAGCAGTCTATAAAATCTATCTTGTAGAATTCATGGTTTTCTAAAATACTACTGTGGTGATGATAGTTTTCTCTCTATTGAATTCTGCCATACTCTACCCACAGATTCTGCTTTCTCTTCTCTGATGGCAATATAGTTTGGATATTTGTCCTCATGCAAATATCATTTTAAAATGTAATCCCCAGTCTTGGAGATGGGACATGATGGGAGGTGTTTGGAATATGGGGGCAGATCACTCCTTAATGGCTTGGGCCATCCCCTTAGTCAAAAGTGAACCCTCGCTGCTCTGAATTCATAGGACATCTGATCATTTAAAAGTATGTGGCACCTCTTTTCTCTCTCTTTCTCTCTCTCTCTTGCTCGCTTCTGCTTTTGCCATGTGACATGCCAGCTCCCCTTTTGCCTTCTGCCATGATTATAAGTTTCCTAAGGTCTCATCAGGAGCCAAGCAGATGCCCAGCATCATGCTTCCTGAACAGCCTGCAGACACATGAATCAGTTAAACATCTCTTCATTATAAATTACCCAGTATCGGGTGTTTCTTTGTAGCAGTGCAAGAACAGCCTAATGTAGATGGCTTTTCTCTGTCTCCTTTGCTTCAAATGCAGAGAGGCAGTACTAGAGACAGAAACTGCATAAGGCTATGGCCTTGGATGACATCACCAGGAGTGTGTGATGCAAAAATCGGGTTGAGGCTAGAAACCGGAGAACACCAGTAATAGAATCAAAATTATGCTTTAAGGACATGAATCTAACAGCAGGCGTATCTCCTTATTGATGTTCTCTGCTTACTCATACATCATTCTCCTGAATTTCTTTTTTGTCCATAGTTTTCTTCAGCTTTTTCAACATAAGACAATTAATTTAAAGTCTTTTTATAGTCTGTCCAAGGCTAGGCCTCCTCAGGAGTAGTTTCTCTTTTACCTGTAAAACAGTATGAATGTGCCATACTTTTCTGTTTCTTTGTATGCTTTGTAATTTTTTGTTGAGAACTGGACATTTTGAGTATCATAATGTAGTAAGTGTGGAAATTCTTCCCCCTCTCCAAGGATTGCTGTTGTTAACTTGATGAAAGCTGCAGTTGTCCATTTGTTTAACAAGTTTTTTCTATTTTTTTTCAAAACTATATTCTTTGTCATGTGTGGTCACTAAAGTCTCTGTTCCATTATTTTTGCAGTCAGCCAGTGATCCTACAGAGAATTCCTTGAATGCCTAGATCCAATAAGAAAATAGAAAAAAGTGTCTATCTTTTTAAGTTCCTTTGACAGCTGCTTTAGCCCAATAGGGTTGAAAGAATGGCCAGCCTCTGTGCTTCTGTGCCGGTTTCTCAATGAACAGCCAAGCATATAAAAACACACAAGCACAATTGTTGGAGGACAACGTCCTTATTGTCCACTCTAGCACCAACAAGCCATACCAAGTACATGGTCTTATCTCCCTATGGCTGCCAGCTTGGAGCTGGGGCTAAAGGATGGTAGCTGCTTTGTGAAATGCCAAAATTCATTGAAATTTGCCATGCCTCTTTTTCCCTTTACACTCTCCTCATGTTGCAAGTGTCTCACCAGACTTCAGAGTCTGAAATACTATAGTTTATTCTGACAGTTCTTGCTACCTCAACTGATTTCAGTGGAGACATCAATTCTTGGAGCTTCCTATTCAACCGTCATCTGTGACATAATTCTATTTTCCTTTTTTCCCTTTGGTTCATTTTAAAATTTCTTTCTACTTTTTTTTATAGGTGACTTTTATGTAAGTAGGTTTTTTTTTTTTTGAGACAGAGTCTTGCTCAGTCACCCAGGCTGGAGTGCAGTGGCATGATCTTGGCTCACTGCAAGCTCCACCTCCAGGGTTCATGCCATTCTCATGCCTCAGCCTCCTGAGTAGCTGGGACTATAGGCGCCTGCCACCACGCCCGGCTAATTTTTTTTTGTATTTTTAGTAGAGACAGGGTTTCACTGTGTTCGCCAGGATGGTCTCGATCTCCTGACTTCGTGATCCACCCATCTCAGCCTCCCAAAGTGCTGGGATTACAGGTGTGAGCCACTGTGCCCAGCCTTATGTAAGTAGTTTTTATTAATTTGGAATTTTAAGTACACTTGACTCTGAATAATGTGGTAGTTGGGACTCTGATGTCACCCCACACAGTCAAAAATTCATATATGACTTGATTTTACAAAACTTTATTAATAGTCTACTGTTGACCAGAAGCATTACTGATACTGTAAACAGTTGATTAACACATATTTGTATGTTATATGCATTATATACTGTATCGTTGCAATAAAGTGAAACAAAATATCACAAAGAAAATCATGAGGAAGAGAAAATACATTTACAATGCTGTACTTTATTTGTCCGTACCATAAGTTTACATTGCCTTTTCAGAAAATGAATTGTCTGTCAGAACTAGCAGGCCATCTGCAGCCGCAGACCTCAATCTATGGCACATCTCAAGCAATTCTATTTTTTTTTAATGTTGTGACTTCTCTGCTTCTTGCAAGGACTTCCGGCATCACCAGTGGCATTTTATATGGGTCCCATGGTGGTTATTCAAGATTTATGGTATCACACTAAACTCAGTGAAAAATACATGAGAACTGAGACACAGAGAGAGAGAGCAGTTTTTGTTTTTCATTTTTGAGATAGAGTCTCATTCTATTGCCCAGGCTAGAGTGCAGTGGCGTGATCTCGGTCCACTGCAACCTCTGCCTTCTGTGTTCAAGTGATTCTCCTGCCTCAGCCCCCTGAGTAGCTAGGATTACAGGCACCCTCCACCATACCCAGCTAATTTTTTTGTATTTTTAGTAGAGACGGGGTTTCACCATGTTGGCCAAGCTGGTCTCGGACTCCTGACCTCAGGTGATCCGCTCGCCTCGGCCTTCCAAAGTGCTGGGATTACAGGCGTGAGCCACCGCGGCTGGCCATCGGCCAATTATTATTATTATTATTTTTTTAAAGAGATAGAGACCAGCGTAGCCAACAGGCGAAACCTCGTCTCTACTAAAAATACAAAAAATTAACCAGGCATGGTTGCCCTTGCCTGTAATCCCAGCTACTCGGGAGGCTGCGGCAGGAGAATCGCTTGAACCCGGCAGGCGGAGGTTGCAGTAAGCTGAGATTGCGCCACTGCACTCTGACCTGGGCGACAGGGCGAGACTTGGTCTCAAAAAAAAAAAAAAAAAAAAGACATAGGGTCTCCGTCAATTGCCCAGGCCGGAGTGCAGTGGCATGAGAGAGATCACTTTTACCATGACGTGCAAATTATGGGAGAGATAAACTGTTCACATCGAGATGATTGGCCACACTATGTTTTAAGAAGATACTTGTAACATTTGAGCTCAATGCAGGGGCAACGGGAGCTGGCTATGAAATTATGATAATGGTACAGTGTACACTACAGTTAATACTGCATTTTTACATTTGCTTATATTTCTCTCAATGGCAAATGGCACCATGTACAATCTATTAGTGTTAAATTTTAACCATAAGCATACTTCAAAATAATAAGAGCCATATATGACAAACCCACAGCCAGCATCATACTGAATGGGCAAAAGCTGGAAGCATTACCCTTGAAAACTGGAACAAGACAAGGATGCCCTCTTTCACCACTTCTATCCAACATAGTACTGGAAGTCCTGGCCAGGGCAATCAGGCAAGAGAAAGAAAGGGCACCCAAATAGGAAGAGAGGAAGTAAACTATCCCTGTTTGCAGACAACATGATCTTCTATCTCAAAAGCATCATAGTCTTAGCCCAAAACTTCTTAAGCTGATAAAAAACTTCAACAAAGTCTTAGGATACAAAATCAATGTGTAAAAATTACTAACATTCCCATACACCAACAGCAGTCAAGCTGAGATCCAAATAAAGAAGAAACTCCCATTTACAATTGCCACAAAAAGAATAAAATACTAGAAATACAGCCAACTAGGGAGTTGAAATATCTCTACAAGGAGAAGTATAAACCATTGCTCAAAGAAATCAGAGATGACACGAACAAATGGGAAAATATTCCATGCTCATGGATAGGAAGAATCAATATAAAAAAGACCATACTGCCCAAACCAATTTATAGATTCAGTGCCATTTCTATTAAACTACCATTGACATTCTTCACAGAACTAGAAAAAAACTATTTTAAAATTTATTTGAAACCAAAAAAGAGCCAGATAGCAAAGGCAATCCTAAGCAAAAAGAACAAAGCTGGAGGCATCATGCCACCTGACTTCAAACTACATTACAGGGCTACAGTAACCAAAACAGCATGGTACTGGCACAAAAACAGACACATAGACCAATGGAACGGAATAGAGAACCCAGAGATAAGACCACACACCTTTAACTATCTGATCTTCTACAACCTGACAGAAATAAACAATGGGGAAAGATTCCATGTTCAACAAATGGTGCTGGGATAACTGACTAGCCATATACAGAGATTAAAACTGGACCCCTTACTTATACCATATACAAAAATTAACTCAAGAATGGATTAAAGAACTTAAACAAATGTACAAGAAACAAACAGACAACCCCATTAACACATGAGCAAAGGACAGGAATAGACACTTTTCAAAAGAAGACATACATGCAACCAACAATCATATTTAAAAAAGCACAACACCACTGATCATTCAAGAAATATAAATCAAAACCACAATGAGATACCATCTCACACCAGTCAGAATGGCTATTATTAAAAGGGCAGAAAACAACAGATGCTGGCAAGGTTGTGGAGGAAAAGGGGCACTTACATACTGTTGGTGGGAGTGTAATTAGTTCAACAATTGTAGAAGACTGTGTGATGATTTTTAAAAGACCTAGAGACAGAAATACCATTTGAGCTAGCAATCTCATTACTGGCTACATACTCCCCAAAATATCAGTTGTTCTGTTATAAAGATACATGCACATGTATGTTCATTACAGCACTAGTCACGATAACAAAGACATGGAATCAATCTAAATGCCCATCAATGATAGATTGGATAAAGAAAATGTGGTATGTTACATCATAGAATACTATGCAGCCATAAAAGGAACAAGATCATGTCCTTTGCAGGGATATGGATGGAGCCGGAGGCCATTATCCTTAGCAAACTAACACAGAAGCAGAAAACCAAATGCCTCAAGTTGTCACTTATAAGTGGGAACTAAATGATGAGAACAAATGGATACACGGAGGGGAACAACACACACTGGGGCTAATCAGAAGCTGGAAGGTAAAAACAGAGAGGATCAGGAAAAATAACTAATGGGCACTAGGCTTAATCCTTGGGTGATGAAATAATCTGTACAACAAACTTCCATGACACAAGTTTAGTTATGTAACAAACCTCCACATGTATCCCTGACTTAAAATAAAAATTAAAAAAATTTAGCCTTCTATAAGAGATCTGTGTATATTGTAGCAACATGGATGCAGCTGGAGGCCATTATCTTAAGCAAATTAACCCAGAACAGAAAACCAAATATTGCATGTTCTCACTTGTAAGTGGGAGCTAAACACTGGGTACTTATGGACATAAAGATGGCAACAATAGACACTGAGGCCTACTAGATGGGGGAAAGGAGGGAGGTGGACACGGGTTGAGAAGCTTACTATTAGGTACTATGTTCACTAACTGGATGATGGGACATTTGTACCCCAACCCTCAGCATCATGCAATATACCCATGTAACAGATCTGCATATGTACTCCCTGAATCTAAAATAAAAGTTGAAGTCATTTAAAAAAATTAAGTTTTCTGCCTTAGGAATGCGACTTCTTTTTTTTTCAAAGTAAAAATAACCTCCATGAGACTTTTCTTTTAATTTCATTTGTTATTCTATTCCCATAGAATACATTTTTATATTTCATCAACTCCATATAGACTTTCTGAGTCCTAAATGGAAACTGAGATATCTTCAACTAGATAATTGAACTTGATATATTTCAAGAATTGTTATGTATTTCAAAATTTTACAGATACAAATATTTTTATACTAGTTCCTTTTGTCCTCCCTCCCTTCCTTCTTTCCTTTTTCCTCTCTCCGTTCTTTCCTCCTTCCTTCGTTCCTTTTATTCACATATTACATACATAATATCACTTGTATGTGTAAATATATGCAGTTAGACTTTTCTGAAACTTTATGTGACTTCAAAAGATTATTCTAATTCATTATGTAGATCAAAAAGCTGATTTCCTTTGAGAGGGTTTTAAATATTATAAATGACTTAGTATGCAGAAGCTGGACTTTGCCTTGTTATATATGATAATTAAATACTTGATTTCAAAATATATAAATTAAGATGGAAAATTATTTAAAGATTGTGTGAACCTATTATTTTAAAGTTACTTAAAAATATAATTTCTAGTCATCAGAAATATTTTATGGTTTTGCCATGAGTTAAATATTAGTCCAAAATGAATCTACATTTTGTTATAATGTATATGCCTGTTTGGACTGTCTGTTCCTAAATTTCATTCTCCCCAGCTCTGTAGTCCCTTAGCTCTATTATGTGGCTCCCAATGGAGTCCCACCTTAGGTTTCTTATATTGACGGCAACTTGGATGCATGCCTCTTAAGCTGACCCATGCCTGACTCTGCCCTGTGTATGAATTTGTGTCTGCTTGTAGATCTCTGCAGTATAGCTCTGGGTCAGAAGCATTTCCATAGTTAACCTCAAGCCTGTGCCTGTCCAGACTGTCTGTGGTACCCATGGATCTCTAGAATACTAAAGGCTTCACTGACATGTTGAATCCAAACTCACCATATATTAAGTAAAACCAGGTTGAGATCTTAAAATGTGTTTATCCTCCCAACAGTAAGCTTTTTAGACCCGAGAAAGTGGAGAGATATAAGAGAGAGATTATCATTACAGTTTAGAGGAGTGTATCTCATTGAAATATTGTTAAATGAGAGCTGATCAAAACTAAGATATGGTTTCACAATACATGTGAAACACATTTAGGTCAGGAGTTTAGAAAACTTCTGAATGAGCATGTTAACAAGAATATTGATATGGAGTCTCTTTCTTTCATAAGGAATGGAGGAATGGCAAACAGAAATTAATGTTTGAAGTCAATAACCTAGTGTGCAAGTTCTTTATGATCTAACTCCATTTCATTTTATAAGCTTCTTTCACTGTCTACCCTTTAGCTATGCCAAGGGTCAGAAAATTGAATATATTCTGTCTTCCTTAGTGTATTTGTTTTTTCTCCTTTTCACATTTTCTTACCTTAGTTCCTCTGCCTGGAATCTCTTTCTGCTCATGACTGTAAGCCATGCGTAATATCTGCTCTTTCAGACTCAGATCATCATCTTGTGCAAAGCCCTCATTCCTCCCTTTCTTTCCCAGCTCCTCTCTCCCACCAACACAGAAGTAATTCCTCTTTCTTCTTAATTCCTACTGAAATTTTGGCATGAGTATAATTTCTTACAGTTTTATATCATGGCTTAGTCTCATTATTGCTTGCCATATGTGAGGGGAGTTGTTATGGACTGAATGTTTGTGTTTCCCCAGAATTCATGTGTTGAAGCCCTAATCCCAAACGTGATTAGATTAGGATTTGAGAGTCTTTGTCAGGTAATTAGGTTAAGATGATGTCATGCGGGTGGAGCCCTATGTTAGGATTACTGTCCTTATAAGAAGAGGAAGAGACACCAGAGCTTTCCTTCTCTACCATATGAGGACACAGAGAAAAGTTGACCACCTGCAAGTCAGGAAGAGGGCCGTCACTAAGAACTGAATCTGCCAGTACCTTGATCTTGTACTTCCTAGTCTATGGAACTGTGAGAAATAAATGTCTGCTGTTTAAGTCAACCAATCTATGATTTGTTATAGCAACCCAAAAGGACGTGTAGAGGAATATTATGTCCTATGAATACCACAGTAGTTTTAGTATACATGGAATCAGTTTGTCAATTGAGATTGTGTTGAATTTATAGATCAATTTAAGGAAAATTGACATCTTTGAGTTATCAAGCCTTTCAACCCATGAAGATGGAGTTGCTCTCCATATATTTAGATCTTCTTTAATTTCTCTCAGCATCGCTTTGTAGTTTTCAGTGTATAGGTCTTATATCTTTTGTCAGATTTATACCTAAATATTACATATTTTTGATGCTATGGTAAATGGAAAAGGTTTTTATTCAATGTTAAACTGCTTGTTGCTAGCATGTAGAAACACATTTTTTAAATATTGCTCTCATAAATTGCAACCCTGCTAAGCTTATTAGCCCTAGAAGCTTTTGCACAGAATATGTAGATCTTCTACATAGTTATGTTTTACTTCTTCCTTTCTTATATGAATGCCTTTCTTTTTTCTGCCTTTTTTTAGTGTCTTATATTGCCTTATCACAATGGCTAGAGCTCCCCATACAATGCTGAATAGCAGCGGTGTGAGGAGACATCCTTGCCTTGTTCCTAATCTCAGGGGTAAAGCTTTCGGTCTTTCCCCATTGGGTATAATGTTAGCTGCAGGTTGTTTTTAAAAAATACATAAAATGTGCCTATTATTCCAAGTTTGCTGAGAAGTTTTATATTTTCCTTAATCAGGTATTGATGTTGGATTTTGTCAAATGCTTTTATGCATCTATTGATATGATTATATGTATTTTCTTATTTGTCCTGTTGATATGGTGAATTATATGGGTTGACCTTTGAATGTTAAACCATCATTATATTCCTAGAATAAACTCTATTGTGTCAAAATATGCTATCTTTTTAATATATTGTTGGATATGATTAAAATTTTAAGATTTTTTATATATATTGATTAGGGCTGCTGACCTAAAGCTTTCTTTTTTTAAATGTCTTTTCTGATGTTGATAGTAGAGCAATGTTGATCTCATAGGATACGTCAGGAAGTGTTCCCTCATCTTCAACTTTCTGTGAGAGTTTGTGTAGTATTGGTATTATTTTCTCTTAAAATGTCTGGTGGAATTCATCAGTGAAGACATCTGGTCCTGGAGTGATTATTGATTATTAGTTTGTTTTTTGTGGGGGAAGGTTTTTAATTATAAATTTAATTTTTATAATAGATATAGGGCTATTTGTATTTTTTGAGCAAGGTTTGGTAGTTCAAGTTTTTTAACTAATTTGTCCAGTTCATCTAATTTGTCAAATTTAGGGGAACAGAGCTATTCATAATATTTTCTTATTATCCTTTTAACATATGTAATCTGTTAAAATGTCATTTCTCTCAGTACTAATTTTTGTAATTTGTGTCTTTATTTTTTTTCATGATCAGTTGGCTAGAAATTTACCAATCACATTGATCTTCTCAAACAGCAGCTTTTGATTTCATTGGTTTTTCTCTGTCATTTTGTTTTTTATTTAATTCATTTCCACTTTGATATTCAGTATTTATTTTCTTCTGCTCATTTTGTGTTTCATTTACTCTTCTTTTTCTGGTTTCTTAAAGTGGCAGCTAGGTCATTACTTGATACATTTCCTCTTTTCTAATATAAATATTTAGTATTACAAGTGTTCCTCTAAGTACTTCTTTAGCTGCAATCCACAGATGTTGGAATATTGTTTTAATTTTAATCAACTGTACATACTTTCTAATTTCTCTTTTAATTTCTTCTTTGACTCATGGGTTATTTAGAAGTGTGTAATTTAGTTTCCAAATATTTGAGGATTTTCCAAGCATCTTTCTGTCATGGATTTTTTATGTTTATTTTTGTTTTTAGAGACAGGGTATCTCTACAATGCCCAAGGTAGACTACAACTCCTGGACTCAAGTGACTGTTCCACCTCAGCCTTCCAAGTAGCTGGGACTACAGGTGTGTGCCACTGCACCTGCTATGGATTTCTAATTTAACTTCATTGTGATAGGACAATATACTTAGTATGACTTAAATCCTTTTAAATCTATTGAGACATGTTTTATGGTCCATGGTGTTGTTTGTCTTGGTAAATGTTCCATGTGCACTTGAAAAACATTTGTACTCTGCTGTTAGTGAGTAGAGGGTTCTATAAATATCAAGTCAAGTGGTTGATAGTTTTATTCTATATCCTTACTGGTTTTTCTCTACTTGTTCTATTAATCATTCAGAGAATGGTGTTGAAATCTCTATCATTGTGGATTTGTGTATTTATTCTTGTAGTTCTATAGTTTTTGCTTCATATGTTTTGAATCTTTGTTATTAGGCATAAAAGTCTAGGATAATTGTCTCCTTTTGATGAATGAATCCTTTTATCATAGTGAAACCTTCTTTATTCTTGGTAATATCATTTTCTCTGGAATCTACTTTTATAGCCGTTCCGATTTTCTTGTATTAGTGTTAGTATGGTATATACTGTGACATTCTTCTAACTTTTTTGTGTCTTTACATTAAAAGGGGATTATCTGTATCAGCCTATAGTTTGGTGTTGATTTTTAAAATCCAATCTGGGCTGAGCGCAGTGGCTCACGCCTGTAATCCCAGCACTTTGGGAGGCTGAGGAGGGCGGATTACGAGGTCAGGAGATCAAGACCATCCTGCCTAACGCGGTGAAACCCCGTCACTACTAAAAATACAAAAAATTAGCTGGGCATGGTGGCGGGTGCCTGTAGTTCCAGCTACTCGGGAGGCTGAGGCAGGAGAATGGCGTCAACCCAGGAGGTGGAGCTTGCAGTGAGCTGAGATCACACCACTGCACTCCAGCCTGGACGACAGAGCGAGACTCCATCTCAAAAAAAAAAAAAAAATCCAATCTGATAGTTGTTAATTTTTAATTGGTATATTTAGACCATTTACTTTTTTTTTTTTTTTTTTTAATTGAGATGGAGTCTCGCTCTGTCGCCCAGGTTGGAGTGCAGTGGCGCAATCTCGGCTCACTGCAAGCTCCGCCTTCTGGGTTCACACCATTCTCCTGCCTCAGCCTCCAGAGTAGCTGGGACTACAGGCATGTGCCACCACACCTGGGTAATTTTTGTATTTTTACTAGAGATGGAGTTTCACCATATTGGCCAGGCTGATCTTGAACTCCTGACCTAGTGATCTGCCTGCCTTGGCCTCCCAAAGTGCTGGGATTACAGGCATGAGCCACTGTGCCTGGCTGACCATTTACATTTAACATAAATATTGATATTGCTGGGTTTGAACATACATCTTGTTTGTTTTATATTGTTGGCTTATTAATTATAAGTCCTTTATAGTGGTTGCTTATAGTGTGCACATTTAACTTATCCCAGTCTACTGTTCAAAAATAACATTGTAGTTTATGTATGTAACAAGCTCTTAAAATAGTATATTTTCATTTTTCTCCTTTGGCTATGTGTTATTTTTGTCACACTATTATCTTTACATAAATTGTAGACCCTACAATACATCGTTATAAATTTTGCTTTAAATAATCAGTTATCTTTTTCCCTTTCATTTTTAGTTGATACATAATAATTGTACATATTTATGGGACACAGAGTGATATTTTCATAGATGCATACAATGTGTAGTGATCAAATCAGAGTAATTAGGATTACAAACATTTATTTTTTTTGTGCTGGGAACATTTGAAATTCTCTCTTCTAGATTTATAATATATACAATAAGTTATTGTCAACTATTTTTCTCCACAGTGCCATAGAACACTAGAACTTATTCTTTTCTAGCTGTAATTTTATATCTATTAATAAAACTCTGTCTTCTCCTCCCTGCTACATTTCCCAGCCTCTAGTAACCATAATTCTACTCTTTCCTTCTACTTCTGTGAGCTTTTTTGTTGTTGTTTCCACATGTGAGTAAGAACATGTGTTACCTTTCTGTGCCTGAGTTATTTCACTTAACATAATGGCCTTCAGGTTCATCCACGTTGCCATGGATTTTTCATTTTTTATTGATAAATAGTATTTTATTATACTTGTGTGTGTGTGTCTGTGTGTATGTATCAATCACATTTGCTTTATCCACTTATCTGTGGATGGACATTTAGATGAATTACGTATCTTAGCTATTGTGAATAGTGCTTCAATAAACATAGGTGTGCAGGTATCTCTTTGATATATTGATTTACTTTCTTTTGAATGAATACCTATTAATGGGATTTCTGGATTATATGGTAGTTCTATTTTTAGTTTTTTGAGAGATGTCCATACTGTTTTCTATAATGGCCATACTAATTTACATCCCACCAACAGTGTGTAGGAGTTCTCCTTTCTCCACATCCTTGCCAGCATTTTTTTTTTTTTTTGGTCTTTTTGATAATATCCATTCTAACTGGGGCGAGATGATATCTCATGTAGTTTTAATTTGCATTTCCCTGATGATTAGTGATGTGGAGCATCACTAAAACAAATTTGATGTTTAAACTTGTTGGGCATTTGTATGTCTTCTTTTGGAAAATGTTTACTTAGATTCTTTGCCCATTTACAAATGGGATTATTTTTTATTTGCTATCAAATTGTTGGAGCTCCTTATATATTCTGGATATTAGTTCCTTCTTGGATGAATAGCTTGCAAATATTTTCTTCCGTCCTACAGGTTATCTCTTTACTATGTTGATTGTTTCTTTTGTTGTTAATAGTCAATTATCTTTTAAAGGTATTTCAAAAATAGGAAAAACATCTGGTATATTTATCATTTCCAGTGCTCTCCATTCGTTTCCATCCATATTTCCATTTAGTATCACTTTCTTTCTGTCTGAAGGTCTTCCTTTTATATTCCTTTTTTTAAAATTAAACAGCACGCCCTGTTCATACCATTCCTTTAGATTTCTTATAATGTAGTTCTGTTGGAAGTAAACCCATTCAGCATTTATATATCTAAAAAAGTTTTTATGCCTCAATGAGTATTTTTTTTTTTTTTTTGAGGTGGAGTCTCACTCTGTTTCCCAGGCTGGAGTGCAGTGGCACGATCTCAGCTCACTGCAACCTCCGCCTCCCGGGTTCAAGTGATTCTCCTGCCTCAGCCTTCCGAGTAGCTGGGACTATAGGCACACGCCACCACAACCGGCTAGGTTTTCTTTTGTATGATAGAGACAGGGTTTCATCATGTTCGTTAGGCTGGTCTTGAACTCCTTACCTCAAATGATCCATTTGCCTCGGCTTCCCAAACTGCCACCGTGCCTGGCCTGAATGAGTCTTTATTTTATCTTTTTTAAAAAGACATTTTACTAAATATTAACGTCTATGTTGACAGGAGTTTTTTCTTTTTCTATGCTTTAGATATCCCTTCACTGTTTTTGGCTTGCATTTTTCATGGAGAAGTCTGCTGTCATTTTTATCTTTGTTACGTAAGATGTAATTTCTCTCTAGCTACGTTTAATTTTGTCTTTATCACGGTAAATAATTTGATGATAATTTGCTTTGTTAGTGTTTTCTTCATATTGCCTGTGCTTGTCGTTCTTGAATTTCTTGGTTCTGTGGATCCATAGTTGTCATGAAATTTGAACATTTTTCTCTGTTGTTTTTCCAAATAAATTTTCTGCCCCTCCCTGACTTTGGGGATGCATATTAGGTTGTTTACATGCATGCATATTAGGTTGTTTAAAATTGTCTTACAGCTCACTGATGTT
The DNA here is from genome assembly GCF_000001405.40 of Homo sapiens. NCBI lineage: Eukaryota > Metazoa > Chordata > Mammalia > Primates > Hominidae > Homo > Homo sapiens. The sequence continues at coordinate 14,399,745 of NC_000020.11, forward strand.
CTGATCATTTAAAAAAATTCTTTTCCATCCTCTTCTCTGTTTTATTTTGGATAGTTTCTGTTGTTGTGTTTTCAAGTTTACTATTTTTTTCTGTCTTATCTAATTTGTTTTTAGTTCCACCTACTGTATCTTTAAATGTCATATATTGTATTCTCAGTTCTAGAATTAGATTTTTAAAAATCTTTCCTGTTTTTATTTAACATGCTTAATCTTTCTTCTGTCTACTTGGATGTACAGAATATAGTTACAAAGATTTAATGCCCTTGTCTACTAATTTTCTCATTTCTGTCCTAAGTATTTGTATTGATTAATTTTTCTCCTTGTAGGTTGTATTTTTTTCTTGTCTTAGTAAGCATTGTAATTGTTGACTGGATGAGAGACATTGTGAAATTTATAATATTGGGTGCTAAATATTTTTGAATCCCTATCAATATCTTAACTTTTATTCTAGGATTCATTGGAGTTACTGGAAAGTAGTTTGACCCTTTCAAGCCTTGCTTTTAAGGTTTGTTAGACAGTACCAGAGCAGATTTTATTCTAGGGCTAATTTTCCCCACTACTGGGTTTAATACCTTTTGAGTACTCTCCCTGATGACCCGTAAATTATGAGGTTTTTCCATTCTGGCTAATTGGAACATAAACTTTCCCCAGTCATGTTTGAATGCCAGATATTATTCCTCTCAGGTAGTTTTATCATATGCATGTGCTGATCAGTACTAAGCTGAAAATACAAGGGGATACTGCCTGTAAATCTTGTAGCTCTTCTGTATATCCTTTCAATATTCTGCCAGTGAACTACAGCTGTCATGGCATTTCTGGGTGCCATACTCCATTTCCTCAACTTTAAAAGAATGTCTGGATCTACCTCCGTTCCTCCTCCCTACACTGTCATGTGGAAAATGTCTCCGGGCAGCAAGATGGGGCAATCCTAGGGCTGATTTTATTTGCTGCTTTTCTCTCAGGGATCACTGTTCTGTACTGCCTAATGTCCTATGTCTTGTAAATCTTGAGTCATATATGTTGTCTTATATTTTTAGATGCTTCAGACTGGAGTGTATATCTGGTTCCTGTTATTCTATCTTGTCCAGCAGTGGAAGTCCTTTTACCATATTTATACTCTACTGTGAGTCATAATGATCTATATTAATAATATCCATTAGTACTTATGATGTTAATGGTAAATGTTCTTTGGTGTGGTAATGCCATATGATTTGCTATAGACTATCATCATTACAGAGATGCAGGCTGTATCCACATCGGTCTATACAGACTTCAACCGACTTGGTTGAAGTGGCTGGTCAATTTAAACTCTTGCCTAATTCTATCAAAAACTAATTTTCGTGTTCTTCAAATCAATTAATCATTCCATAAATTAACTAAATTGAGCAGATTTCTGAGTATACGTGTAGTCTAGTTATATTATTTATGCCAAGGGATAGTTCTGGAAACTGCATATTTCCATTCCAGTAGGTTGATTCCATGTGTTTGCTATTGTGAATAGTGCTGTGGCAAACATAGGTATGCATGTGTCTTTATAATAGAATGATTTATATTCCTTTGGGTATATACCCAATAATGGGATTGCTGAGTCAACTGGTATTTCTGTCTTTAAGTCTTTGAAGAATCTCCACACTGTCTTCCACAATGACTGAACTGAAAGAGCAAATTTTAATTGTTACTGTATGCTTTCTTTACTGCCTGAAATTTTTGTTTGTGTATTTTACATAAATAAATAAATAGAATCACACAGATATTGTATTTTTTTCCATTAATCCAAATATGAATCTAAATAAGTCACACTTATTTCTTCTTGGGTGTTAATTGCCTTTTTTGACAACCATTCATCCAATCAGTGTGTTTATTCTGAATTGACTCAATTCAAGTAAAACACTCAGCATGTGATTTCCTTTTTCTTTGTAAGTCCCCTGTCAACACTGATGGATGTCATTGTGAAAAGGCATCTCATGGTGGTTTTGTTGGTTCACAGATCTGTCTGTTTTTTTTTCCCCAATACAAATTTGAGTCTGCCATCATATACTTTAGTTTCATCTTTGTTGTAATCTAGATTATAATTGTTTTATTTCATATTTATTTCCCCTTCTGCTAGACTATCATACTGATCTTGTATGGGAGAGGGTGTGTCAGTACTGTTGCTTCCTGCTTTAGATCCACAAATTGAAGTGCCATCCACCAGCTGTTACATTCTCTGAACAGGCAGCTTGCCAACAAACCAGAGATTTTCTGATATACTGCAGGCTTTGTCAATTATTTTAATATACTTAGATATAGAAATATTTTCATGGTACAGAGTATGTATTAGCTGTTTTCCTTGCATCAATAAACAGCTATTATAGTTCAATTATAAGTGTATGTGTATGTGTATGTGCATGGGTATATATGTCTCATGCTCAGTGTCTTCTGGCTTTAATTTGTTGCCTGGAATTAAAAATTATGAACTCTGAGGAGCAGTGGCTTTTTTGTGTTAGTGTTGTTTTCTAAAACACTTAAGTTCTGGTTGTAGTTTATGCAATTTTTAGTTGCTTTGAAAATATGACACAGAAAGTGTTCTGGAATAAAATGTACCCAAGAGAATTGTATTTATCCCATTCATTTGCTGCTCATCCTTAATTCTTGCCTTTTCATGATCTTTATAAACACATTGCTCTAAATATTCTAGCTTGGGTTTTCTTAGATTAAGCATTTTATGCCAGTGGTGGTAAAACTGAAAAGGAAGGTTCACATCATAGGGGAAATGTATGTGTGTACGTATGTATGTCTGTGTCTGTGTGTGTGTGAGTGTGTTTGTGTATGTCTGTGGGGTTTTGCTACAAAGGTTAAATCCCAGAAATGTTATGATAGTTTATAGAAAATGTGTCTCAGTTACAGCTGAGTTAAATAAGAACCCTGAGGTAATGCTCTAAGAAAAATGAACACTTGATGCCCTTTTCTTTAGTGTCCCCTTAGAGTTGCCTAATAGGATCTTAGTGAACTAACAATCATAAACAGACCAATAGAAAGAAACCTTCTTCCTTAGAGGAAAAACAGTTTCAGAGTCTTGGGGTATTCAGTTTGCTCATGTTGTTAGAATAGTTTCTTTTGCCAAACACTGAACATTGGGGCTGTGTTTTCTTGTTCAAGAAGGAGGAAGAGGCTATATGCTAATGACAGAAGGCAGCTACTTGCATGGGTAATAGACTCAAAGGAATGTAAATGGCTTTCATAAGGCAAAATATCTCGTGTATAAACACTTCAAAATCTAGAACTCATATTTCATTAACAAAGATATTATTTCCTTGTCTTATTTAAAACTCACAAGATATTTTAAAAATTATGTTTGATATTGGGATATTAAAGAAATTCTTTTATTTTGGAATTTTCTCAAGATGAGACAAATGTAGAATTATGCATTTGTTTAAATACCAATGGAAATAAAAAAATCACTTCTAAGGGGTCCATAAACAATGCTTATTGACTTACTGGCTCATTGTACCCCCAAACACTGACATTGCCATGTCACTGGATGATTTTTCATTAATTAAGGAAAAAGCCAAGTACTTTATTTACAAAAAATTGTTAATTTTGACATTACCTTAATGTCTTTTTACAGATGTAAGGCATTTTACACATCCCCCTGCCCTCAATTATTTGGTTGGCTTTATTTTAAATAAAAATCAAGGGATGGTATTTTTTTTAAAAAGCCCAAAGTATATAAATGTGAAACTCTTCAGTAAATGATCAGAACTTAATATCCAGTTTGCTATTGAAACATTACAAATCACTAACTATAAAGGTTGAAATAGAATTGCAGCATCAGAAATAATATTTTAGCTTTAGAAATACAAACCAGAAATACAAAGCAGAAATTTTGTTGCCTGTAAAATCAGTACTACATCCTTTTATGGAATAGAAGATTTCTTTTTCACAGAGTATTCTCTGGAGCCAAATACCTGGGTTGTCAAAAATGCTGCAAAATGAGAATTTAGTTTACAGTAGTTGCAATTGGGCAGTGTACCCTAATTGACTTGGAACTAGAAATCTATTAAAAGGAAGCCTATTAACCAGATCTCAAAAATTCCTGTAGATAAAGCTCTAGCAAATATGAGCTTACAATCAAAATTCATAAAACATGCAAGAGCCCAAGATACCCTAAATAATATAACTATTGGAAAAATCAGATATAGAATAAAAATTTATATGTTTAATATGATAAAAAATAATTAGGGGAGTTGAAAATAAAAGTAAGTAAATTAGAATAACCAGTTAAATTGGACAAACATAAACAGAACTATAATAAATTGAAAGTATAATAATTGAAACTGTAGATCAGACCGTGGAATGAAAACATGAGTGAATTAGGGAAATATAGATGTGAGGAAATTCCCAATAAGGCAGAAGAGAAAGATAGAGACACAACACATGAAAGAGAGATTAAGGTACATTAAATATAGATTTAGAATATATATCTAGTCAGAGTTCCAGAATGAGATAATAAGAGAATAGGGTAGAGGTAGTATTTGAAAACATAAAGGCTAAGAATTTTCCAGATATGATTAAGGAAGCACATGTATACAAAGCAAGAGAAGTCAAGAGAAATCTAATGGGGCAGGTGCGGTTGCTCATGGCTGTAATCCCAGCACTTTGGAAGGCTGAGGTCGGCAGATCACTTGAGTCCAGAAGTTCGGGACCAGCTTGGGTGACATGGGGAAACCCCATCTGTACAACAAATACCAAAAGTAGCTGGGCATGCTGACACGGGTGCCTGTAGTCCCAGCTACCCAGGAGGCGGAGGTTGCAGTGAACAGAGATCATGTCATTGCACTCCAGCCGGGGTGACAAAGTGAGACCCCCATCTCCAAAAAAAAAATAATAATATATTGAAACCCTGAAAAACCTTAGTGGAACTGCACATCACCAAAGGCAGAGAAGATTTCTAAAATAGCTAGAGAAGAAAGACATGACCTAACAATAATGAGACTGACAGCTGGCTTCACAATAGAACAGAAACCAGTGTGACAGCTATCTTTAAAGTTAATATTATTTTAGGAAGAAAAAGCAGAGCAGAGAAGCACAAAATGCAACACTAGAAATGAATCCAAATACAGTATCTATCAGTAATTACAATAAATTTATATGGACTGAAGTCACTAATTAAAGAAAAAAGATTGTTAGAATAAAGGCATATTTAAAACGTACAGAATATTTAAAGTTGAAAAAAGAAAAAAAATATATATTCCAGGCAATTATCAACTGAAGAAAGGTAAGATAGCTATGATTGTGTCATAAAAAATAAAATTTAAAGTAAGCATATTACTAGAGTTAAATAATTCTAAACTTACATGTATCTAATATGAAGTTCAAATATAGAAAAGCAAAAATTCACAAATCCAAGACCATGTTGAGACTTTTGAAGACTCTGTAACAGTAATTTATGTACTAAGCTAAAAATAATTTTAGTAAGAAGATTTGAAGGAAAACTTGAGTGATCGGTTAGCATTTAAAGCAACTTGACAATACTACAGAGGTGGTTATTTAGTAGGAAGACTTAACCAAAAAGCCCCTTTTCGGCTGCTATGAGACTTTAAATATGTTTATGTCTGACTATTATGGAAGGGTTTGTTAATGGAAATTAGGAATAATTTTCTTCTTTAGTGAAATAAGTTCAAAATATGTGTGTTGGTTAGAAATATCCTATAGGCATCTCCAGTCTGAAACAAAGAGGATTTAAGAATCTACGGGAGTCCAGTAGGCTATTGGAGGACTTTGTCCTACTCTGTGCTCAGCCATGTTCAGGTACTCTGTCACTTGAACTCATTAGAAGATTAGCTAAATACTGCTGCTAGAATGGAGTCGTATCTGCTTAGATTATTTTATGTAAGATTCTTGTCAGAATATCTAAATGTGCAGAAAGCTGGGACTTCATTGGTCTTTCATCATGGCCTATGTGACTGGTTTTTTGCTTGCTTACAAATTCATATTTGTACCTATGGTTAAATTCAGTCTCAGATCTTGTATTTCTATCATACCATGCATAATTATAGTTTTATTGGAGTGGAGATCTAAGTATGAGCTCTAAATATTTTGTGCAAAAAAGTAATAATTGTGAAGAATCTATTACATATAGGTAGTTTACAGCACTATGGTTTCAATTCATTGACTAGAGGTCAGAATCCAAAATAACTTGAGCCATTACTGTGGAATTTTATTTTCTGATTTTATCTAATAAAAAAAGAGACTTTTGTCAAAACAACAGTAACTTGAATTATTCCTGTGGATCATAACTGGACAATTTGGACTGATGGAAAATGAGAATATTTATTAAAAATGTCAAAATAGGACAAGATCTTAGAGGATACTTTCTTTTATATAATCATGAGGACCTGTTTGACAAAAATTTGCTCCTCTCTGACCTATCTTATGGGAAGTACTCCAACAATGGATAAGATGTACTTATTCTTCATCAAAGTAACCTTTTATTTGCATAAAATAGCAGTAAATAGGATAGCAGTAAAAGTTCTGTAGGTTTCTTTTTGAAGTATGCACTACTTAAAATTATTTAAATATCACCTTTTACCTATGGAAAAGGCAAATATGTATTTCCTTTTACATATGGAAAAGGTCCTGGCTTAGACGTGTTCTGATTTTATATTCTTGTAAGTCAAGATGGAGAGTTGGGTAGAGAATAAGGGAACCTGGTACAAAGAATGATGTGTGAAAGAAGATTTTTAGAACTAGAACAGTGCTAGATTGTATCAATATTGTAAGCTATTTATATACAGAAACTGTTTGAGACAGCTATTTAGTCTCCTTCTTTTGAACTTCTGCAACTTTTCCCCCTTAGCATTGTGTGGTTAGCTATCTTGCCCTTATCTTTTCAACTAAACAGATGTTACATTCCTCAAGGATAGGAAGACATTGTCTTTGGCTTTCTTATGTGCCCATCCTTGCCAGCCCATTACTTTGCAGATAGTAAATACCTAGTAAATATTTGTTAAGTGACTAATTCCCTGAAACTCACCATCTTTGTCATGTCTCAGTAAGTCATTCTGTAAATACTTCAGCATATCACATATTAATCATTGACATTTCAGAAGCAAAGAGAGAGTTCTGATGATCCCAAAATTAAGTTTCATTTCTTTGTAGGAAGGGCTCAGCCTTCTTCAATTTTGTGTCCCCTAACACCTTACAAAGAGCCTTTCTTGGAATGGGCTTTTAATATGAAGCTGTTGATTGCAAATGTGGGTTCTGTTATCATGAGAAACTGTATTGCATCCTTGCAGATAGTTTTATAGTCCTAATGGTCTACAGGCCTTTTTTAGCCACCATATTTTTAAACAATCCTTTTATTCAGATCTAGTGATATTACTCTAGTGGCAATGAAAAAAAAAACATGGTAAGAAAGTATAGCCCTGTTTCTACTGGATGTAGATTTAATTTTCATTTAAAGTCTTTCTTACCCTGCTCTATTTTCTCTATTTTTGTTTTCTCTTGGGGTTTCATCTGTTCATCTGTGGGTCTGTATTTATTTATTTGGCAGGTATAATCTTTCCTTTCCTCTCCCTCCCCCTGGCATCTCCTTGGAAGCTGCTCTTACTTTGTGTCACCCTAAAGCTGATGGTGACTCTGTTTTCTGGCTTCAAAAGCAGTTTTATGCACTTTTTTCTCTCTCTCTCTCCCACTCTCTATCTTTTTTGAAATGAGCTGTCTTTGATTATAGTTTGACAGTGTGGTCTGACTGCTAACATTGATTCCCAGCAGTGAACAACTTTGTCATATTGTTCAACATTAGGTTTCGATGTGTCATTTAATAGACTAAAAAGCCATTCCCAGTAAAATCGAATTCCTGTGGGAATCATTGTTAAGGACGCTCTCAAAATGAAGTAAATATGTAATGCTTTAGAAATTTCACTGGAAAGGCATCAGGTGACTACATTTACTGAAACTACCAATGTCTTAGCTGGATTTTATATTCTGGAAATGCAATTTACAACTTGCTTGCCTTTATTTAGGCAAAATGTGATTCACAATAATTAAGCTTTATGAGCTTCTTCACTTAGGCAGGTCAAATAATATTTTTATTTTGTTTTTAACTGTAAGAAAATACTTGCTCTTTCTTCACATTTCTATATGTGAACCTAACTAAATTCAGGTCTGGGCCCAGAAGTGCCTGTCCCATTTCAGGCTAGACATGCAGTATCACTAAAAACTAATATTTAACTGTATGCTATAGTGGTGGAAAGAGCAGGCCCTGAAACCAGACTGTATGGGTTCAAATGCCACCTTTGGCATTTACTGACTTTGTGACTTTTAGTGTTATGTAACTTATCTGTGCCTTAGTATTGTATCTATAAAATGGGGATAGTGCCTCCTTTATAGGATTGTTGGATAAGAGTTAATACACTTGTAAAATCTGTGCACACTTAGTGTGCATGAATCATATTAAGATTTCAGTATTATTTGTCATGCTTATTATGCTGTTTTGTTTTTTTGTAGTTGACAATGTCCAATATTTATTTAGAGATATTCCTCTGTCTTATATCTGAGAAGGATGCAGAAGTAGAACCAAAGGCTATCCTCTTCATTGACCCAGCAGTTTGTTTCTCACACCAACTTTGCATAACACTCGCTAACAGAATGAAAGCACTTCAGTAGACCACACCAACTTTCCTTGGGTGGCAGTGTGGAGGCCCCTTGTGATTACTTAAGTATGCTCCCGAGAGTCTGATTTCCCTTTGCCATCAATTCCTTTTTGAGATAAGACTAGAAATGTTTTCCACATGTCTTTAAATTTTCAGCGAACATGTTTTTCTTACCTGGATAGGCCATATTATTACTGAGGTTCAACTGCCAGGATCTCAGTCCCTGCTTCAGAGGAGTATAAACATGGGTGGACCCAAAGAGAAGCCAAGTGGGTAGCGCCCACTAAGCATTTGGGCATCTATATTGGTTCATTAGCCATAGAGATGGCATTTAGATAACTATTAGTTGAATAACATCTTACTCTTTGTGTGGAATCGTTTTATAGGCACTGGCTATTTCAGATCAAGTAAAGTTTACCTCTAGAGAGAAGCTTGGTTGATTCCAGAGAAGAAGTCTTTATTTGCCTCAGATTCTTACCCTGGCAATGAACTATTTTTAGGGCTGTTTGTAGTATGTGCCTTAGACCTAGGCCTTGAGTCAGTCAAAGTAACCCTGTCTATCACTTCTGTGTCTTGGCTAAACTACTACATATAGAGCCTTCACTCCTGCTGCAACTCTTGCCCATGTCAAGCACATCTAGAGCTTAGTCCTGCTGGTACCTGACATGAATTTTGAACCTGTTTTTGTCTCCTGTTTTGTCTTACTTTGCCGTGGGCTGTCTTTGCCTGGGCTTGCTCTACGCTCTTCTTCTAAGGTCTGTTTTGGCTTTTTTTTTTTTTTTTTTCCAAACGTATCCCCTAGTGCCATGCCAGGTAAGTGATAGGTCCTCAGTAAATGTTTATAGAACAGAAATGCTGGATCCCCCTGCAATGGAAGCTTGTCTAATTTGCTGTGACCTTGCATTCAGCTTTGACTTCTGTGATGGTATCCCTACAACTGTACTTCTCAATGCTCAGTAAGCTCTTACTAAGTGCCAGGCACTGTGTATATCACTTTGTATTCAGAATATCATTTTATCCTCTCATGAAACCCTATGTTATTGGTATTTTATTATTATTATTATTATTCCCTTTGTACAGGTGAGGCAACCGAGACCCAGAGAGATTAAGTAACTCACCCAGAGTCATCCAGGCCAAGTAACCATCGATGATGGGATTGAAATCCATGTCTATCTGAATGCAGAGACAGATCATAACCTCTACTGGGTTGCCTTGTATATCATACCATTTAGAAAATAGCATGACACTTTGAGTCAGCTGTCCCATAGGCAGAGTTTATATTTCATCTGGTTGGGCCAAATCTCCACCTTATCCTAACCAGGTTTTGTGGGCTGCTTTAGCTGCACTTGCTCAGATGGCTATAAACGTGAGGCTTAGTGTCCTTAATTGCTGCTCGGGTTGGAGAGCGCATTGATACAAGAATGCTCAAAGACTAAGCCACTGTTTGTGGGATGGAAACTCCAACTGCTGAACTGAATCAGATCTGCCAGCATCTTTAGAAGAAACATGAAAGTATAGCAGAGCTGTAGCTCTTCCCATATCTCCAAAGCATTCACCCGTCCTGTGTAGGTAGACATGAAAGTTTTTATTTGCAAGTACCTTCTACTCTTTCTTGAGGGCTTTCTCTGGCTCCTGAAGCCAACTCAGCTTGGAGGGAGAGAGGGAGTAGATCAGAAGTGTTGGGGAGTTGAAACCCAGGAGATGTCCATCAATGATTGGCAAGAGTTTGTAGATTAATACCCTAGCTTAGTTTCTATCAAACTGTAGCATGCTTAAGAATCTTGAAAAGTTGTTTAAAAATTAGTAGGTTGGAGGTGAGGCCCAGAGTTTGCATTTCTTTTTTTTTTTTTTTTTTGACTTTTATTTTAGATTCAGGGAGTACACGTGTAAGTCTATTACATGGGTAAATTGTGTGTCACTGGGGTTTGTTGTACAAATGATCCTGTCACCCAGGTAGTGAGCATAGTACCCTGCAGTTAGTTTTTAAATCCTCACTCCACTTCCACCCTCCCACTTCTAGTAGGCCCCAGTGTCTGTTCTTGTCTTTCTATGTGTACTCAATGTTTAGCTCCCACTCATCAGTGACAACATGCAGTATTTAGTTTTCTGTTCCTGTGTTAATGCGTTTAGGATGATGGCCTTTAGCTGCAGCATGTCAACTGCATGTTGCTGCAGTGGACATGATTTCATTGTTTTTTTGTGGCTGTGTACTCAGAATTTGTACTTCTAATAAGCTTCCAAATGATGCTAACCTTCAAACCACATTTTGAGTAGCAAGGCCCTGTTGCCTCCCATTTGGGATAAATATGCAGTATAGGGTATGCTGTAGGTTCCTTAGCAGGATTGAGCTCCAGTTGTTGATAAATGTAAACTGTTTAATAATAAACACTTTATTATCTCCTTTGGTTTTCTTTCTGACTTCCCTACTTTTCTATCAATGCTCTCTGGCATCAGCATTTACACAAACTGCTCAACTACAAACACTCTCATGCTTGTCTCAGTGTCTTCTTCTGGTAGAGACCAACCTGAGCAGATGACCATACCAACTTCTAGAATGGAAAGCCCTACCCAGACAGTGGGACTGTCTCCAGTCCTCCAGCCTCAGGATTTTGGCCGACTTGAGGTCACTCTCATGGATCCCTTCCAGAAAAGTATCACTGGGCATGAGGTAGTCCAGGTTGAGAGAGTGTATTGATCTTAAAGTGTTTGCTGATGACAGCATAGCTGGCATTCTTCCCTGGGGGAATTGCCAGGACCCTTATTTGAGAAAAAGGTACTGTGTTCTTTCTCTAGTGACCATAGGGCTTCTAAACTTGATATGAGCCAAGATTGCCCAGTATTCTGGGATAGATTTTTTTTCTTAAGGGTTAAAAAAAGAGAGATTCAAATCTTCAACTCTAAGAAATCTATCACACTTTTGAGGATCCATTAGGGATAAGGGTTAGGGAGTAGTTAGTCACCGGCATGCTTTCACTCTGAATTCCTGCTCCCAGCTGAATTCCCTTAATGTTTTCTCTCTACCAGCTCCTAAAGTTTTCTCTGGTTCTCATTAACCCCGAATTTAAACATGGCTCCTCCTGCTTCACTTCCCACAGCATTACTCCCATAATGCTGTTGGGTATGTTAGACCCTTCCTGAAGGTCTGAGGTTAAAGGATGGAGGTTACCTAGAGAACACTTAAAATTCAGTCTAAGATACTAAATACTATCACTGTGCTACTAAGAATTAGTATCACAGTCACTAAGTTTTGGCATCCATTTCTGTTGCCAAGCTTCCCATACTGGTGGCTGCTGCTCATATGAGCCCCAAGACCTGTTATATTTTCTCATCTTGTTTTATTTTTCTTCTCAGTTCAAGCTGCCCCCTACCAGCACCTCCCTGTGTGTCTGCACAGGCTGTAGACTGTGCAACTATGGGGGGCACTATTTACCATAGACTGCGATGAAAATAGCATCCCCTAGAGTTTATGCAGCTTGATAGCTCTCTGTTCTCAACCCCAAAAGACTTAGACACCACTCTCTTAAAACCAGTGGAAGACGGAATTTTCTATTATTTTATTATACACAGCAATTAAACATCATTTTCTTTCAATCTGTATTTTCTAGAAGTGCCCCAAGAATCCCACATCAGCATAACCAAAAGTGTCATTAATGTATTTTTTCCCCAAAACAAAATAGCAGTTTTCTTTCTGTGAAGAATTCTGTCTTCCTTTTAAGCTCAAATTGCATCCAGCTTCTAAAATTGCAATTTCTCTGCCCGCACTTTCTGTTTAGCCCAGTGAAGGATGACACAGGTTCTATCTAGGCCTTAATCAAACAAATCACTGTGAGGACTTCTGTCTTAGCTGTGACCCTGGGCCCTTTGGGAATTCCCGTCCCCCCTAGGCCCTTCTGGAGCCAGCTTTTTATCTTGATATTTCTCTGCTTTCAACGCAGGCTTAGAAAACCTTTCAATTAAAGATGTCATGTTGGCCTTAATGGAAGCCGCTCTTCATACCTCTCATTCCCCCAAATAGGCTGTTTTCCATTGGCAGTGATTCATAGGAGCCACAGAAGAGTTTGAGATTTAAGTCATTCTCAACCAGTTACAGACCCTAGGAGCAGTTACAGACGTTAGGTGACAGAGTTGAATTTCAGAATCCATAGCCTACACTCATGCTAGTAATGGTGAGAAGTGTAAACATAGGGATAAGAGACAAGGCAGTGATCTCAGAGGAACCTAAATATAGTTACCATCCCTGTAACCTTTGCATAATTGTTTTTTCAGCCTTCTTCTCTGTAAAATGGGGATGATAATCCCTACGTTACAGGCCTGTTAAAAAGATTAAACAAACGAATGTCTGTAAAGTTCTTAGCATGGGGTCTGACAATAATAAGATATCACAAAAAAACTATTGTCATCAAACCTCTAAGTCTGTGCCTCTGAGGGATGTGGTATCCTGATATAGGTTGGTAGTCTTCCTAAGTAAGTTGAATCTCAGGCAGCAGAGGAAAAGTCCAGTGAAGGAGAACTTGAAGATTCTAAATGGATGTGCATAGCACACCCCTTTTGGCAGAACAGTGACTCAAGACTGTAATAAGCAGAAATTAAGGGAACATCTTCCTCTGGAGCTCCTAGGAGACTTGAAACCAGTGGCAGAGTCTCAGGCCCTGTGGGATGTTACATTACCACAAATCTAGCCATAGCCTACTATTACCACTTTTGGTAGGAGCCAGCTATACTATTATTATTATGAGGAAACTAAAGCTATTAAAGGGTTGAGCTGGTATTGGAACCCAAATAATCCAACTTTAGAACCTGTGCTCTTTACCACTGTTTTTTTTTTTGTCTCCTTAAATATGTACGTGCGTGTGTACCTATTATGCACATAAATATAAAATTATATATCTATTAATATATAGTATATATGTTAATATAGAATATCATATATAAAGTTGCAAATTGCCTTAAATATATTTCCCTGTAAAACTGATATTTATAAGTTTAGAACATATTTTTTTCTTGCATTTGAACAATGTTCATGTATACTTTGGTCTCACAAATGAAACCTGTTTGTCATTGTGCTTCCTAAACTTGAATATTTTATGGACCCTGTTGAAAGACATTCTCTGGGACCCTTAGTATTGACATAAATAATTTTTTGTTGTAATGTTACTCTAAAATGTAGAAATATATAATCAGGTATAAGTGTATTATGCTTGTGGCTCCTAAAATTATTTAAAAACAAATTTTGAAACTACAAAAGCAATGGCATTCAAATTAATGACACAAGTTTCATGTGGCAATGATGTTTGCTGGAACGAAATTGCTACTTGAGAAATCAATATGGTGTAGAGTTACACAAAACAGGATCTTTAGAGTTCAGCATGACAGAAGTACCATGTACCATGTGATGAAAACTTTTGCTGCTTTTTTTTTCCTGCTTTTTTTTTCCTGTTGAAATTGCTATGAAACCATTCACAGGATGGGCAGAAACAGCCTTTGCTCTTGGTGTGAATGCAACATTTATATACTCAGTGTCTACCTTTGTTCCTCCAAAATAATGGTACTTGGTACAAATTGATTATAAATGTGACTTTTCAGTATTTGATCAGAACGGGGGATAATAAGGGAGTCATGCAGATGACACTAACCAGCATTTCTTCTGCTATCTGCATTCTGTCCCTAAGGGATGTCATCTGGTGTCCTGGCTTTAAAAAACATTCATTTGCTGACAACTCTCTAATTTATATCTATGGCGTGTATTGCTCCCCTGAACTTCAGATTTGTGTATCTAACTGCCTAATAGACATCTCGGCTTAGATTTCTAAATCTTACAGTTTACAAGTCCCAAACAAATCTTCTGGCCCCCTGACCTGCTCCAAACCTGCTTGTCCTGTATTCGTCTCCATTTCCCAGAAAGGCAACTCCACTCTTCCTGTCGTACAAGCCCCAAACCGTAGTCGCTCTTTACTTTTCTCTTTTTCTCACATCTTAAATCCAGTCACCCTGAAAATCCTGTTGGCCTAAAAATATATCCAGAACCTGAATACTTCTGCCTGCCTCCATTGCTGGCCCCCACTCCCAAGGCACCATCATTTCTTGCCTGGATGATGGCAGTAACCTCCTCATTTGTCTCCTTGTTTTCACCCTGGCATTCCCAATTATGTAGTGCAAATACAGTATTTTACATAGCAATCAGAGTGATGCTTTAAAAGTAAAACACCTAATAGGTTACTACAGCATTCACAGTCTTCAACCCTCTAAAGGGCCCATTTCAGAGTAAAAACCAAAACCCTTACCATGTCCGTCAAGGCCCTGCCACTGTTCTTTAGTCAGTTGATTCCAGCCTTACTTTTCTTCAAACAACACACAAGCCTCGACTTTGTGTAGGCTTTGCACTGCTTTTCCCTCTGCTGGGAATCCTGTTTCCTCAGATGGTCACCTGGCTTGCACCTCCTGGCCTCTGCTTAGATGTCACTTTATCAGTGAGGCCTTCCCTGACAATCCTATTTAAAAAACTCTGTTCCCAACATACTTCTTCCTCATCACTTTCTCACCTGCTTTATGTTTTTTTTTTTTTCCCATGGTGTGCCTATCACCATGTATTAGTATACACATATAAATGTATATGTATTTCAATTGTTTATTACCTGTCTCTTTCTACTAGGGAATATATAAGTTCCATGAATGCAGAAACTTAGTTTTTTCAGTATCTAAAATAGTGCTTGTCACTTATTATATGTGTAATAAACATTTGTTGAAGGAATCAATGAATGCTTAGTTTTTAAAACTTGTCAGCAGAATAAAAACACGAAAGGAAGTATTATTAGGGAGAGGTTGCAAATCTGAGGGTAAAAATTTTATACCAGCGTGTAACACCAAGGAATGTACTATGAGTACAACTTAGATTTTGTAAAATGTTAGAAATCTTTTTACTGCCAACTTTCATTTTTATCAATCTAACATCTTTTGAATTTTACAGTTGAACATAACTTCTAATTTCTCCTAAATATTTGCATGTATATTTACAGCTTATTTAAAAGGTAACCACGGCCAATTGTGTGACCACCAACACCATGCTGGGGTGTTAATATAGTTCAGATTGTCTGAGAGAAAAGTTCTTTGTAAATCAGTCACTCCCCTGATTTTCACTTGGAATTCATCCAATTATTGACAGCACTTAGTTTGTAACATTTCCTGGACTCAGAAGAGAGGGAAGCTTGCTGAGCTGAAACCCTGATATGCAGTGGAGATTTACATTCAGGGGGAAACAGTGTCTGTTGAACTGTGTTAACAGCTATCCATGTAGGAAACTCGAACAGTATCCAAAGAGCACACATAATTGTGGTGATTAAGCCGATAAGCTGGTGACACAAGGAAAGAAAGTACAAATTGAAGTTTCAGCAACAGGTGTAAGGCACGTGGTCTATCCTTTCCTGGTAGTCTTAGGAAAGTAATAAGATAGCTTAATTACATGATTAAAATACTCAAAGTCCAGCTGCAACCCATAGTTTCTGCCTGTGCTTGCTTGCTTGCTTTTTTCTTATTAGAAGTGTTGAGATCTTTAGATTGTTATGGTTTACCTTTCTGTTGTCCTCTATTTTTTTTTTTTTTTAAGACTGAGTCTCGCTCTGTTGCCAGACTGGAGTGCAGTGGCGCGATCTCAGCTCACTGCAACCTCCGACTCCCTGCTTCAAGTGATTCTCCTGCCTCAGCCTCCTGAGTAGCTGGGATTACAGGCACACACCACCACGCCCAGCTAATTTTTGTATTTTTAGTAGAGATGGGGCTTCACCATGTTGGCCAGGATGGTCTCAATCTCCTGACCTTGTGATCTGCCCTCCTTGGTCCCCCAAAGTGCTGGGATTACAGGCGTGAGCCACCGCACCCATCCTCTGTTGGCCTCTATTTTTTTAGCTTTTATATTAAAATACTGTTAATATAAAATTAATCCAAGCTTGTCTTCACATTCTGCTGTTTTTTCCCCCCAGTGTAAATTAATGACTTACTCAAAACAATTTTTAAGTCATTAGCTAAAACGTGTACACATCTTAATAATATATAACAAATAGTGTGTTCATGAATACACAGTGTCTTATATACACTTATTATCATGTATGCGATATATTTGTTTGTACTTCAAGAACATTATGAAAATAAGGGATGAAACCATGATTTGATTTGCATGCATAAGAAAAAAGAGTCTCTTTGTTTAAACAGAAAATTGAGTCGTATTGAAGCCATACTTCAGCATTGTAGGAAGCATCCTGTTATAAGCACGTCTTTCTTTTCCTTCCTCCCTTTCTTCCTTCATGTTTCAATAGATATTGATTGAGTACCCACTATGTGCCAGGCAATAAAGTACACACTCAGTTTGGCATTGGTATGAATGCTAATTTAGCAATCCTAGGCTATCCTGGAGTGGCATCTTGAAAGTACTCAGTTGGAGTGAGCTTGCATTTAGTTTTTCAGTTGGGCATGGGAAAGATGAGGCCCATTTCCCTGGATTTGGAATCTGGTGGTTTTGCATTTGCCAGGGCAAGGTGCTGTGTTTATTCTCTAAAAGAGTCTCACTTACCTGTTAGTTTGGCTTCAAAAACTTTTAGCAACCTGAACTTTAATTTTCTGTTATGTGAACACACAGACACCACACACACACGCTATCTATCTATATATCTATCTATTATCTATCTATCTATCTATCATCTATCTATCTATCTATCTATCTATCTATCTATCTATCTATCTCTGCAAGGTCTTATGGCTTATTTTTCTTCCTAAGTTCTAGACTTGTTTTATTTTATCTTCTTATTCTTCCTCTGAGTTCCCTGTTTTAGTTAAAAGTTTGCATTATATATTGTAGCAAATTGTTTTTGAGGAAATGTACTATATTTATTCAATACAAAAAGATAAATGCGTACATGTCTAGAGGACTGAGAAGATAGATACTTTGAAAACTGCCCTAAGATTGAATGTAATAGGAAGATGAAATGTTCTTAAAAGAAATTAAATAGATTAACTAACTTATTTCCCACAGACCATTAGCCAGACAGAAAATGATAGGAAAGTCAATGCTTACCTGATCACCTATTTCAATATCTAGAGGGAGGCCAGAGGTTTCACATCTCATTACCAGTCTTTCCTAATATTATTTCTTTATATCCTTTACTTTTTCATTGGTTACTCATAGGGGAGATGGCTACCTGAGAGAGCTCTCTATTTGAAAATGTGTTTATTTCAATAAGAACAAAATTATCTGGACATTTTTGTGTAGGATATTAGACAAAATATTTTTATGAAAGACCTTGAAGTCTGAACTTTGTGTAGGTTTTCCACAGTACAGAAAGAAGGTGGAGTTTTTGGCTGAAGCTGACCTGCATTTAAGTTGAGATTGAGTGCTGTATTACTTCTGTTTTGAATCCTTCTTCAAGACTTGTCCATCATAGTCAATCCCAAAGCTCAGAGTTTCTGAAAAGGATTTTAGGCTGTTAAAAAATACATTGTATGGTAACACTTAACAGTTTTTAAGAAAAATGATACATGTGAGATATGATGGATTTTAGAAATTATAATAACACCCTCTGGTTAGTGTTCCTTTACTACTTCTGTTATAAATCAGGAGTTTGCAATTTTGACAGCTAATCTTTTTTTCTGTCAGCGAAAACTTGAGTCAGCCTCTTAACTATAAGCTAACTGAAAATGAAGACTCTGTCTCTTAAGATATTGATATATATTTTCCTTGGAATTATAGTTCGAGCCTCTGAATTTTTGTGTCTTTTGGGCTGTCATACCCTGTGATGAACAGAATAGGACTTTGTTCCTTTACAGCTGGATTAAAGATATAACTTCAGATACTTATTTAAAAATTAGTATTGTTTCCATAATAAGCAAAATAGTATTGTTAATTCATAGCACAGGCATTATTTCAAAACAAACTAATGATGAAACTAAGATTTTTAACATAAATCTGCAGTATGGTATGTGTTCTACTGTCCTTATTCCAGCTGTTGAGGATTTGAAGTGAGAACGGGCCAATTTTAGCATGTGTTGGAACCATCCATTTGTCTATTTGACAAAGATCTTAGAATCTTCCAGTTGAAAAGGTCTTTGGAGACCATCTACTTCAACTCCCTTAATTTACAGTTGAAGGGATCCGTGGAGAAAGTTACTCCCCAACTACTATGTTAATAAGTACAACATTGTTACTCAGTTCATTGCCAGGCAAACCTTTGTTAGGAATTTAACAGTTCCACAAATAGCCAACAAATAGTTGGCAAACTTTATATTCTTATTTGTAGGCAGCTCATCATATTCAGGAAATAATTTTCCCCAGGAGTGCTCTGACTTTAACACATGGAACTTGTTTTCACTGAGAGAACAACTGAAATTCTTTCAGAAGAGATGTTTTAGAATCTCTGTTATAATAAAACACAGTATAATGTTACATGCACTAGAATGTAGTGAGGTCCAACTTTCATTTTGATTCCATTATTTATTTGAACGCTCCCTTCCTCCTCTTCTCTTGTTTTGTTTCTTTGTCTCCATGTTTCCAAAAGGAGTTCTTATCTTGGACAACCTATTTCATCTTTAAAATAGAAGTAATATTGTCACGTCTTCCTAGATCTGGGGGGCTAAACCCAGAAATTCTCGTGACTTTCTTACTACTCAAGACAGTCTTAGGATTTTTTTTGTTTTGTTTTTTGTTTTTTGAGATGGAGTTTCGCTCTTGTTGCCCAGGCTGGAGTGCAATGGCGGGATCTCGGCTCACCGCAACCTTCGCCTCCTGGGTTCAAGTGATTCTCCTGGCTTAGCCTCCTAAGTAGCTGGGATTACAGGCATGGGCCACCATGCCCGGCTAATTTTGTATTTTTAGTAGAGAAGGGGTTTCTCCGTGTTGGTTAGGCTGGTCTTGAACTCCTGACCTCAGGTGATCCGCCTGCCTCAGCCTCCCAAATTGCTGGGATTACAGGCGTGATCCACTATGCCCAGCTAGGATCTTTATATATTTTTGAATATATTTATTAGGTATCTTCTAAAGTTGTTTAAAGTTGCTTCAAATTTAATTATCAGATTGATTTCTGGAAACATTGTCTTTCTACCTCCTCAGACTGCTGGGGAATTGACAGGAAAATTTGGAATCAAACACCTAGTTATTAGGGAATATATTTCATTTACTTGCCTGGATTAACCATTCCCCTCCTCCCGCTCTAGCTGCTATGTGTATTTAGACCTACCTTTATTGTAAAATATTTTAAAAATGTACTTCTATTTTTAAATTATAAAATAAGGCATATTCTCTTTATAAAATTTGGAAAAATAGAACAATTTAAATAAAATCAAATGTTTATAATCAGGATCTAAAGATGATCTTGCTATATACTGGTGTTTATATATTTCTAGTATTGCTTCTATTATTTCTTTTCATTTGGAATTACATTGATCATTTCTTTTTTTCTCTTTTGTTCCATTGAATCAATATATCATGGGCATTTTGTCATGTCATTAAATATTTTTATGAAAGTTGACATAGTGTTACAAAAATGTATCATGTGGATAAATCACAATTTAACCAATCACTATTGTTAGTCATTTGTGTTGTTTCCAAAATTTGCTATTAGAAATAATGTTATAATGCACATTCTTGTGTGTATATCTACGATAATTTTCTTAGGGTAAATACCCAAATGTGGAATTAGTCATATGGTATTTTCATATGTAATACCAAAAGGTCCTCTAGAAATTTTTATTTCTTACCATAGGGCCCATTTACCTCTGTCCTAATTATATATATATATATATGTTTAGAGTTTAGAGATTCCTCAAAAAGTTAAACATAGAACTACCATAAGACCTAGCAATACCACTCATATGAGTAGTTTTATGTTCATTATGGTAGTTCTATGTTTAACTTTTTTGAGGAATCTCTAAACTGTTTTTCATAGCACCTGTACCATTTTACATTCCCACCAGCATAGCACAAGTGTTCCAATAGCTCCACTTGTTCCAATAGTAACACTTGTTGTTTCTTATTTTATTGATAGTAGACACCCTAATCATTATAAAGTGATATCTAATTGAAATTTTTATTTGCATTTCACTGATAGATAGTGATGTTGAGCATCTTTGCAGGTACTTACTGGCCATTCGTGTATCTTCTCTGGAAAAATGTCTATTCAAATCCTTTCCCCATTTTTGAATTGAGCTGTTTGTTTTTCATTGCCATTATTGAGTTTTAGGAGTTCATTATGTGTTTCAGATATTAATCCTGTGTAAGATAGATGATTTGCAAATATTTTCTCTTATTCTGGGGTTTTTCTTTTTAATCTCTTGAAAATGTTCTTTTTTTGAGACCAGGTCTCTCATTCTGTCACCTAGGCTGGAGTTCAGTGGTGTGATCACAGCTCACTGAAGCCTCAACTCCTAGGCTCAAGCAATCCTCCCACCTCAGCCTCCCAACTAGCTAGGAATACAGGTGTATGCCACCATGCCTGGCTAATTTTTAATTTTTTGTGTAGAGGTGAGGTTTCTATATGTTGCCCAGGCTGGTCTCGAGCTCCTGGGCTCAAGCAATCCTCCTGCCTTGGCCTCCCAAAGTGTTGGGATTACAGGCATGAGCTACTATGCCCAGCCTTGAAAGTGTTCTTTGATACACAAAAGTTTTACATTCTGATGAAGTCAAGTTTATCTAAATTTATCAAAACACGCTTGGTAATGGTGTATAATCCTTTAAATATGTTGCTGAATTTATATTGCTAGTATTTTGTCTAGGATTTTTGCATCAATATTCACAAGAAATATTGATTTGTAGTTTTCTTTTCTTGTAGCGTCTTTGGTTTTGTTATCAGGGCAATACTGGTCCCATAAAACGAGGCAGAAAGTGTTCCTTACTCTTCAATTCCTGAGAAGAGTTTGAGAAGGAATGAAGTTAATTCTTCCTTAAATGTTTAGTAGAAATCACCAGCAGAAACCTTTGGTCCTATGCTTTTTTGTTGTTGTTGTTGGAAGCCTTTTGATTATTAATTCAGTCTCCTTAGTAGTTATGAGTCTATCCAGATTTTCTGTCTTCATTTTTCAATTTTAGCAGATAGTGAGTTGCTAGGAATTTGTTTATTTCATCTAGATTACTCAGTTTGTTGGCATACAAATGTTCATAGTATTCTATTCATAGTCTTTTTCTTTTGTTTTGTAAAACCAACAGCACTTGCTTTTGGTGCATCCAATAAGTTTTTGTTTGTTGTGATTTTATTTTCATTTGTCTTAAAGCATTTTCTAATTTATTTTGTCATTTATTATTTGATCTACTGGTTAAGACTGCATAGTTTAATTTCCATATACTTATGAATTTTCCTATTTTCCTTCTGTTAGTGATTCCTAGTTTCATTCCATTGTGATTGGAATTTTTTTTGTATGATTTCAATCTTTTAAAATTTATTGCAATTTGTTTTGTGGCTTAACATTATTGTCTGTTCTGTAGAATGTTCTATGTATGCTTGAAAAATGAGTAATTTATTGTTGGATAGAGTATTCTGTATATGTGTGTTAGGTCTAATTTGTTTACAGTTTTGTTCAAATTTAGTATTTTCTTATTGATGTTCTGTCTGTTGTACCTGTTATTGAAGGCAAGGTATTGAGTCTTCGACTATTATCTCCCTTGTATTCCAGTATGTAGAACTATTTCTTCCTTCAATTCTAGGAATGTTTGTTTCACATATTTTGGGGTTTTGTTGTTTGGCACATAATTTATAATTGTTATATATTTTTGATGAATTGACCCTTTTATCAGTATATAATGTGTGTCTTTCTCCTTTTACAGTTTTTGACTTAAATTCTATTTTGTCTAATAATAGTATAGCAACCCCAACTATCTTTTGGTTACATTTGCATGTAATGTCATTTTCCACCTATCAGCCTGTTTCCATCTTTCAATGTATTTGTGTCTTTAGATCTAAATGAAGCCTCTTTTGGATGACATATAGTTGGATCATGTTTCATTTTAATACTTTTGCTAATTTCTGTGCTTTGGAGATTTTAATACATTTACACTTAAAGTCACTACTGTTAAGGAAAGATTTACTTCTGCCATTTGTTATTTGTTTTCTTATAGCTTTTTTGTTGCTAATTTGCTCTATTACTGTCTTATTTTTGTTCAATTGATTTTTTTTTGTAGTGAAAAGCTTTGATTCCTTTATTATTTCTTTCGTTTATATTCTACAGGTATTTTTTTTGTGGTTACTCTCAGGGCTATATAACATTCTAAATTTATGGCAATGTAATTTGCATGGATACTAGTTAAACTTTGGTCACATACAAAACTGCCTCTATATACCTTCATGTTATTGGTATCTTTATACGCTGTCTACCCAATGACATAGGTTTATAATTGTTATTTATGCATTTGTCTTTTAAATAATGTGGAAAATAAAAAATAGAGTCACAAACCAAAATTGCAATATTACCTGCTTTGTATCTGCCTATGTATTTACCTTTACCTGAGACCTTTATCTATTTATATGGCTTGAAGTTACTGTCAAGCATCCTTTCATTTGAACCTGAAAGACTCGGGTTAGCATTTCTTTTAGGGCTGGTCTAGTGGTAAAAAACAGCCTTAGCTTTTATCAGCCCCGCCCACACTTTTACTGCCTGAGTTCTAAATTAGATGAAACAAAGATGAGTACCTTGCTTCAGTCCTTCTTGTATCCCTCAGGCAGGTTAGAGCAAATGTACAAATAATTTGCAAATAAAGTCTGTTCTGCTGTGTTTGCTTTGAGGGAGGGAATGGGAACTGGAATGCTCTGGTTTCCCGACCAAGACCACTGTCAGACCAGGGAGAGGGAGGGGCAAGTATGAATAAAGACACCACAAAATTTTCTATTATTTCGAAGATAGGTTTTTTTTTGTTTTTGTTTTTGTTTTAATTAGGCAATTGCTTGTTTGCTGTAAACTTTTGAGTTTTTTTCACAGCTCCATAAAAGTAGGTTTAGACACTTGCTGCTTGTGTTTTTTGATGTTTCTGGGGGATGGGGGCAGGCGGTGGGGGTGTTTAAGAACTTGATGCGGCCTGGAGCGGTGGCTCACGCCTGTAATCCCAGCACTTTGGGAGGCCGAGGGGGGCGGATCACGAGGTCAGGAGATCGAGACCACCCTGTCTAACACGGTGAAACCCCGGCTTTACTAAAAATACAAAAAAATTAACCGCGCATGGTGGCGGGCCCCTGTAGTCCCAGCTACTCGGGAGGCTGAGGCAGGAGAATGGCTTGAACCCAGGAGGCGGAGCTTGCGTTGAGCTGAGATCGCCTCACTGCACTCCAGCCTGGACGACAGAGCGAGACTCTGTCTCAAAAAAAAAAAAAAAAAAAGTTGCTTTCTAGTCCACCATTTTGCTGACATCTTAAATTTTTTTTTTTTTTTTTTTTTTTTGAGACGGAGTTTCGCTCTTTTCGCCCAGGCTGGAGTGCAATGGCGGGATCTCGGCTCACCGCAACCTTCGCCTCCTGGGTTCAAGAGATTCTCCTGGCCCAGCCTCCCGAGTAGCTGGCATTACAGGCATGTGCCACCACACCCGGCTAATTTTGTATTTTTAGTAGAGACGGGGTTTCTCCGTGTTGGTCAGGCTAGTCTTGAACTCTCGACCTCAGGTGATCCGCCCGCCTCAGCCTCCCAGACTGCTGGGATTACAGGCATGAGCCACCACGCCCGGCCTTAAAGTATTTTTTAATGTGTCTAAATTTTTATATTGTCCCTTTAAGGTATACTTATGCCCTGCAAAGTAATTATACACAAACCAATAAGCTAAGAAAGAATGAAAGGAGTAATAATTTTTGGTGCTACTTTAACTGTGAATTTAGAGTAGGAAGCTTTTTTTGCAAGTATATTTTTTGTATAAAATTAAGAAAATATATAAAATAATTGTATCCCCCTTTTTTAAATATTTTTACCTCTTACTCTTTTCAGGTTCTAAAATGTGACTTAATTATGAAGGTTATTAGCAAGAAGTGGCATTTCCAAAAGTTTCAGCACTGATACCACTACAATTACAACTACAATACCACTGATACCACTGATAATTTGCTTCTTCTTTCTCTCCTCTGTCCACATTTTTAGAGTTGAAGTATATTTTTAGAGTTGAATTTTAATATTTATTTTTGGGGAAGTAATTTTGAAGAGTCAGACATGAAGGGTGATTGTCAAATTTCTTCTTTGTTTACAATTTAGGTTGATTGTTAATGACAATTTGTGTACTGGACTGCTGTGATGCAATGGAGTCTGAGACTGGGTTATGGCTCAGCTAGAAAGGGTATTGTGACCAATTTATGATGTTTGCCATAGTCCTGGAAGGTGGCAGTATTTATGTCAATCATTTTCCATCTTTATTTTCAGCATCCCTGGAGCCCCAATCTAATAAAGTCCTCAAATCACCTATGTGCTGCTTTAAATTACCAGCTGTTATAAGGTACTTAATTTGAATCATGTAAATCTATAATAAATTGGGGATGATTTCTCTAGTAGATCATTTTAGAGGAACTATAATATTTAATGAAAGTCCAAGTAAAGAGCGTATTTAAAATGTCAAAAGACCATAGGTTTATCACATTGAATTCTTTATTCCTTTGCAGTCTAGACATTTAATTCACCTTGTTTCTGTTCGGGTTCCAACCATCTTTGAACACGCAAAACAATATGATTCACACAACTCTTTGACATACTCAGCCTAAATTTATACCTAATGTTTACCTACGTAACAGCAGTATTTCAACGCCCTCTTTTTCATTTACTCTTTGGTCAAAGAAAATCTCTTTCACCCAGTGTTAGCTTAAGTTTTTGATATTGAGCTTCATGTCTCTGAGTGTCATATCTTTAAGTACATTTCCTGAGTTTTCATTTTTAGGCATTATCTACTGGCATTCCATTATGAAAAGATAATTTGTCTCTTCTTTCTCTCCTCTCTCCGCATTACCCCATAATATACCAGACTTTCTCCACCCTCCAGCTTTCTTACATAATTATATCAAAGTAATGCTATACAAATTATGATATAGCTCTGTTCAGTGTTTGCATTACTATACGTATGAAAAGCGATCAAGAACTAGACATATAACAGCTACAATATTTTTTCCTTTTCTGTGCAGCTCTTATTTACCTTGGAGTTAATAATAGCATTTATAGTTATTTGCTTGGTTTTCTATGTACTTGTTAATTCAAACCAAACATTTAATCTGTTACCTAAATCTCTTCTCAGGATACCCAGACAAATCTGGTATTCCATCATTTTTGTCTTTCTGAAGAGGATTTTCCTGGAAATTTCTGACCTCCTGTCCTGTGAACAAATTATCCTGTAGGTTTTGTATCAACTGTCATCATCCTGGCCTGTCCCCTCACCGTTACCCTGGGGACTCTTCGCATCTTTCCTCTGTCCTATCTATTGTTTCCTGTGTCTCATCTTCCTGTCTTAGTTTATTCTTTTATTTTGGTGACACTCATCCCTCTGTATCTTTCAAATAAATGCTACTTTGCAACTAAATTTTTGAATGATCTTGTATCTGAAAATATACCTTTTACTTTGTTGATGGTTTCCTGACTACCGAATTCTAGATTGAAAGTTTTTTTCCTCAGTGTTTTGAAAGAATTGTTTTTGTTTTTTCTCCTCTGGAAGCTTGTAGTACACTAGGTACCGAAATTTCTCTATAATGTGCTTTGATGTGGGTTTATTTCTATCCGTTGTAATAAGCTTTCTGTGAGCACTTTCACTCATGTTCTCCCTGGGGAATTGTCTAAATTATATCATTGATTTTACCACTCCTCTTGTTTATCTTTGTGGAATTTATACAATTTGATGTTGGATCTACTGGACTGGCCTTTCTTTCTTACATTTGATCTCTTTGTATTTGATATTTTCTCGATTCTGTCAACTTTTTATTTTTTGTTATATTTTTTGTTTCCAAGACTTATTTTTTTTGTTCCCCAAATATTCCTCTTTTTTTCCTTTTAGTAAAAGTATTTTGTTTTTATGTTATGGTTCTCTTCTCTTATCTCTCTGATATTAATAATAGATTTTTTTAAAGTTTTCTTATTTCTGCATATTGCATTTCCTTCAAGTTGCTATTATACATATTAGTTTGCTTAATTTTTAATCTTTCATATTAGTGACTTTCCTCAGATGTCTTGTAGTCTTTTGCTTATCCACTGACATGTAAAGGTGTGGGACAAAGTAGCTCGATTGGAGTTTTTGTGCATAAGTTTGTCCATATAGTTTTGCAGTATGATGATCCATTTGGGCTATTTAGTTAGGTAAACTTCAGAGTTATCATCTCCATATTTTTCTACTTAGGCAGATCAGATATCCCAGAGAAGGATCCTCTAGCCTCCTTCCTGTGGAGGGAGTACCTAGCATCTTCAGAGCCCCCATTAGGGAGGAAAAATGGGGAGATTCTGGCATCCATTGTGCTTACGTTCACTTAATCTCTCTGTTTTCAGTGTGTTT
Source organism: Homo sapiens (assembly GCF_000001405.40). Taxonomy (NCBI): domain Eukaryota; kingdom Metazoa; phylum Chordata; class Mammalia; order Primates; family Hominidae; genus Homo; species Homo sapiens. Next base: position 14,426,841 of record NC_000020.11, read on the forward strand.
TCCACTGTTAACTATGCAGAGACCTTTTACTTTACCCCTTAGCCCTTATTTGAAAATGAAGAGGGACATTTAACTGTATAAGATCCAGGGATGCAATTTGGATATCCACCTGCTTCTTAGATATTTTTTCAGCAAATCGTTGTTATTTGGCTTTATTCCTTCACCCTTATCTTTGAAGTACCCATAACCACCAATTCCTTAGTCTTTTAGAATTTAGCAGTATAAATTTGGTTGGCTCTTACATCATGGACTCAATTATTCACCCCTCATTCCTCTCCAATTAATTACCTTCTTTTATCTTTTTTTTTAAACGGTGAAACTTTTATAATAAATTGATTTTATTCGTCCTCTGTCTTTCTTTACTTGTCATGCCTCCCAGTCTGGTTTCAGCACCCCTCAACTTTCATTTAAGACACCTCTGTGTTGATAAATCTAGCAGATATTTTTGGCCTTTGAATTATTTGACATCTGTGAAGATTTGCCCCAGTTAGGTACTTTCGCCTTCTAGTTTGTCTACAGCTTCTCTGGAAGCTCTCAGTTTTTTCTAGTTCCATGGTCTTCTACTTTCCTCATGATTCTTTCTTTTAGAGAATATCACTCAAGACCAGTAATATCAATATATCTAATATATAATATTAGATCAATATATCTAGTATCAAATATATATGTATGATATATAATATACATGTAACATAATATATAACATATCTCACTATATTATATATGTGCATGTATCTGTATACATACACAAACATGCATATGCAAATCCACAACCATGACACATGCCAAATTGTCCTGTCATGTAGTTTGGTCACAGACTTTTGGAAAACTTGCTGTATAATGAATGATTTCTCTTTTTTAATGTGCAAAGGTCTGGAAAACATCCTTAGAAATATAGCTGGTGTTTCTTTTATTTGCTCCATGTCAAATGGCAGAGCTGGAAGTGCTCAGTTAAACCCTGATTCCTTGCAGCTTAATTCTTCAGTCTCAGTTTTAGAGTAATGAAATACCAAGTGGCTGAATTAGCAGATTTTGGAATGCTGTATAATGTTCTCTTTATAATGGAAATGATTGATGGTATTGTGTAAATGTTCTATGATATTTGGTAAAAGTTAATAATTCTGTTTTCTTATTTGTAACCTTATCATAATTTCTACCATAGTAATGAGCAGACTTTTAGACTGGCAATTTATTGAAAATGTTAGTAAAATAATGATATCATATGAGGCAGTTTAGTCTATAATCTCAAATGTAATTTAGCAGAAAATATTAAATAGCCATTTTGTAAACTGACAGAACTCAATTTTTAATGAATTGAAATACAGATGGAGAGAAATGCCAAAATGGATTAATAGTGTTATAATAGCTGATCCTTTTAGACCAGACCACACTGTCTTCAAGATATATGCCTATTAAAATCTTGGTATTCTAATTTTAAATATGACAGTAGTGCTATTAACATAAAAATATGACTCGATTAATAAGATTCACTTTATGACTATTTAACTCTCTCATAGTCAGGAAGAATCCCTCAGTCTAGTATTCAAGAGAATCTTCTTAATTTCTAGATTTTCGAATAGAAGTAGGAGATTAAATCAAAATGCCAGTTGTTTTATGAAATGAAAAGAATGTCTGTTGTTGCCTTTTCAGATTAGGCATATTGGTACTTGGTGTTATCTTCCTGATATTAATTTTATACTACTCCTGTATTTTTACTAAGATGAATTTGGTTTAAATGTGAAAATAAATTATTTAAAAAGAGATAAATCTTTTGCAATCAATGTCGGCAATAGAGTTGATTTGCAGCAGTGTTATCTTTGAAATTAAGTGATAGTGCCAGTAAGGGTTGCTTAGAATACTTCTTACAGATACTTATATGAATTAATGGAATTGTACACTTATTACCCGTGAAGATAAATATGATCATTGAAATGGTATGTGAAACATTCAATTCCTAAATTAACTAGAATGAATAAGAACTTTCATTGAGTGATTTTTTATTGTATAGCCGAATATACTCCTGAGTCTATAGGGAGCTTTGCCTTTGAGTTGACTCATAAATATTATGCTTTTCGATGAGGTAATTTGGTCCTCCAGTAACTAAACCCCTGAAGGGGAAGTCTAATATTGTCCTGTTCTTGAACTTCCCTCTAAATTTAGGACTGATACAGTGAGGGGTTACCTTTTAATATGCAGTATTTACTGCTTTAAAAACTAAATTAACTACTCCTCTTGGTCTATTGTTAATGAATTGAGGGTTCAGCTTAACCTTCACAAACTGTTTAAATGAAGCACCTGATGATATTTAAACTCACTGTAATATTTCATTTAAAATAAATCCCAGAGGTACAGGTTCTAAGGTTGTAAGAAAGCCACGGTGTTCCTATATATATGTATTTATTTCTTTTACACTAGGCCAGACCTTTATAATTTATAACCAGGATGATTTCTGTGGCCTTTAAATGTCCACAGTGCTTGATAATTTCTTCCTTGTTCATGGTCCTGTTAGGTAAAAGTTTTACACTTACAAAATTAGATACAAAGCTTATTCTCAAGAAGCATACAGCCTGATAACCATATTCAGTATCTCCACAAGGATAAAGAAGTGATCTAATGGAAAGAGATCAAGTAATGATCAAATACTTCATATTTAGAAGATCAGAGAAAGCTTCAAGGAGAAATTGCCTTAAACATGTGTTGGAAGTTAGTATAGATGGGCTTTGGTCCTTTTAGTGGACTTTACAGTGCTCTGCTCACCTGAGTCCATTTATAGCTGTGGATGGTTCTTGGCATGCAGATGTTTTCCTAAGTCAGGCATCAGCACCTTTTTGCTTTTCTGCCTTTGGGCTTTCTCTGGCACTAGAAGAGCTTGCTTGGCTATGCTGCAGTTTCCACAGGGGAATGGAGAGGAGTTAACACCCTCAAGAGCAACCCTCAGACAGTGGCTGATGGGAAAGAATCTATAGATCAATGGCCCTGCCTCCCCAGCCTCCTTCAGGAGAACCATTTGGTGGTGTGACCTTCATGTTTACCAGAGGGTCCCTAACAGGATTGTGCTCCTGTGGCTCACAGTAGTAACTTCATCATTAATGCAGCCATTATTGCATTTTCTTTCTTTTCTCGCTTTCCATTTTCTTATATTTCTTGAGATCACTTCTGAATTAAACCATCTACTTCCAAATCCTTTTCTCAGCATCTACTTTTGGTGTACCCAAACTAAAACGGTTTGTTAGCGTTGGAGAAAGAACAGCATGAATCAAGTTGTGCAGATTAAGTATAGCATCAGTGAGTGGTTCAGTTTAACTAGACTATCAGGTTTATGGTTCCAGGGCAATAAAATTAGTCAGGTCACAAGGAACTTAAAAGTCAGTCTAAGGATTTGGGGCTTTTCTTCAGGCATTGCAGACTTTCCAAAGACTTAGCAGAAGGAGGTGACATGATCAGGATTTTGCTTCCACATAGTGACTTGATGGCAGTCTTTAAAAGAGATCGAAGATGAGGGAGACTGAAAGTGTGGAGAACATCTAGGAGACGGTTCTGTCGTGCTAGGATCTAGGTTAGGCAGTAACACTAGTGGGAATGGAAAGGAAGGATAGTAAATGCTACATTTAGCAATCGGTTTGATATGGATGCCACAGGAGAGAAAGGCATTAAAAATAATGCAATATTTCTAGCTTTGACTGCTAACTGGGAGGATGGCAATGCTTTGTTCAAAACAGAAAACACAGAGGACGAACATATTTAAGTGAGATAAAACTTTTAGTTTACTTCTGTGGCAAAATCTGTTAGTTGTCTGTACAACAGTCTTTCTCCCTTTCTTTTTCAGTATGAGAATCCTCATTTTGGTCAGGCCTATAGTGTGTCCAGATAAGAGATATTTCCCAGCTTCCCTTGCAGCAGGTTGTAACCATGTGACTAAGTTCTGGGTAATGTGATATACAACAGTGTTGTGTTAGACTTCAAGGAAGGCTGCATGAGAGGAGGAGACCCATCTAGAGGTAAGCGCCTTCACCTTGCCCTCATTCTTACTGCCTAGCATCCCAAAACACGGAAGTCCAGCCAGAGTCTCAGACTTTTGGAGCTTGGAAGCCGCATGATGGGAATTTTTAAAGACTAGGGAGACCACACCAGCCCCAAACTGCCTACCTCCAGAATTTATTTGTTTAAGAGAGAAATAAACATCATCTTCTCTGAGGCACTGGTATTTTGGGTTTCCTTTTTTACATAAGCTGTTGTACCTAATGCTGTCTGATGACACAGAGTATATTGAGCCTGAATTAAGAGCAGAATATCTAGATGGAGATGTTCGATAGGCAGTTAGAAATAAAAATAAATACATAAATTTAATAATAGCAATTAACATTTGAGTGATAATTATATTTCCAGGTCCTTATTGTGTATGCAAGGAGGCATACAGAGGCTTAACAGTTTGCACAAGATATATAACTGATAAGTGGCAGAGGTGGGATGGAAACCCTATACTCTCTGATGTCACACTGTTAACTATTGTGCTGTAGGGTGGGATGGAGCTTAGAAGAAAGGTCACAAGAATTTATTTTTAAGAGAAGATAAGTTGAGATAATTCTTTAAAACTACTAAAAACACAGAAGTATTTATTTGCATACATATTTCACAAAATTGTTTTATGACTTTTAAATCATTTACATAATATCCATGAGATCCACAGTTTTTACAAGTAAAATTATGTCAAGAAAGAAATTCAGCTGTCAATCTGAATTATAGTAATTGGTGAATTAGGGAAGTTTATTAATATTTCTCTTGTCTTTTTAGAGATGTTTATTAAGAGTTCTACCAGGTCCAAACAAATGGAAAGGCATCGAATAACTATAAAGTTAGAAAAGAATTTAGACATTATCTGGTGCAGTGCTCTGCCTTTAAGATGAGGAAGTGAGACCTGAAGCAGTTGAGTGACTGAAAGTGGTTTATCAGAGTTAGGGACAGAACCAAGAAAATAATTCGGCCTTCTTATTCATCCTTAAGTTTCCCATATGCCAGGCTTGAAGAAAGCTCTGTTGCAATTACCTCTAAGTTCTCACTGATCCTGATCCCCAGGATGTGAAATGGTTAAGTATTATATTTAGAGTACTTCCACAGCAGAGGGGGTAAGTCAGGCACAAATCCAGCCATGCTGACTATCTGTTGTAAGAGAAAATTATTTGTCTCAATTCCTCTTTTTAAAAAATTCAGATTATGTTTTAATGTGATTATTTGGCTGAAGAATATCATGGCATAAAATTCAAATTCCTCCTTAGAGCGTACAGGGCCTTCTATGATGTGCTCGCCTGCTGTTATCACGGCACTTCCCCTTGCTCTAGCCATGCTGTTCCTGGACATTGTTGATCATGTTCCTACCTTAGGGCTGTCTCACTTACAGTCCTCTCTTCTAAATACTCTACTATTATTATCTGCAGAGCTGAATTCCTCACTTCCTTTATGGGTAGCTCATACGTCATTTCACAGGATATATTACTACCTGGTCTGTTTAAATGGAATTGTTTATTTTTATATGTATTCATTAGTCTGTCTGACTTTGCTAGTGTCATGAAGATAGGCACTTTTTTTTTTTTTGCTGTATATTCAATGCCTAAAGTAGTATCTGTCTAACATGTGGTATGTATTCAATAAAAAATGTGTTGAATAAATGAAGATAGTACGTGAGGGCTAACTTATAAAAGTAGTATTCTATAATACAGATTGTTATTTTAGAGCCCACTTAATAGTTGTTACTTTCTGTTTTCTTAAAAACCATTATGGAAGTACTGTAATCAAGAGGTTTAAATATATTGAAGGCCAGTTACTAAAAATAGTTTATCTGGAGCACTTCAGGTATGAGGCCTTTTCAGAGTCTGTCATCTGTAGTCAATGTGAGCTCCTTTGTTCTTCAGGTATTCCAAATTTCTGGAATATTTCTGCAGTTTCTAACTAGGACTAGGTGCCTGGCCACCATTATCTTATGGTAGTAAATGACCCTCTAGTGGCCTGAGTGAGTTGATGTATTTTACTTATTGTTAATTTGGTGCAACTTTGAAGAATTGCTTTCAGAATCTAAGTCTTTTTCAATATAGAGAGACTGAAAATTTTATGCATACAAATTTGTAGTCATAGAAAATAATAATAATAATAATGGCAACCAGTGTTTATAGAACTGTCATTATGTGTCTGCACTGGGCCAAGCTCTTTACACGTGTTGAGGTTTTAAGTGTGTGTCACCATCAGCAGGTAGGGGAAATTTTCTATTTAGAGAAAAATAGACCAGTTCATATTCTTAAACAGAAGAGACAGTGCACAGCTCTACCTGCCTTGGAGGAAATTGTCATTTTATGGTCTTAAGGAAGGAGATGAAATAAGCATAATAAATAGTAGTAAAAGCAGAAACACAGTGAAAGAGACGTAAAACACATTCATAACAAAGCCCCAGGTGACTGAAACATAACCTGTGGATAACCAGCAATGAATGTGTAATAGGAATGTTTCAGATGATTTTTTAAGACATTTTATTAAGTGAAGAAATGCAAGCCTTTTTATTTTGCTTGACAACTATTTAATTTTCTAGTATGACCAATAATACAGAAAATAAAGTGAAAAGGGTAAAATTTCTAAAACAAAGTGGACAAATAAATGATTTTGGAAAGAAACCCAAGTACTTCAAGATAGAGAGAACTGCAGAATAATCAGAATCATAAAATTCAATCTTCATCAGATGGAAGTTTGGTCATTCTTATTTAAACAGTGCAACCATCTTCATTTGCTAAGTTTCCTGAAGAGTTAAGACTACTCACAAAACAGAAAATTCCAGTAGCTAACATATGGCAGCAATGCAATGAAATGGAAAGAAAAATGGCCAGTTTACCTGAATATTGTCTCACCAAGACAGTTTTTTTAATATTCTGCAAGTGGCTGGAGAATTGATTTGCTTGTATATGGTTTGACAGAGAAACATTTTTTTTTTCAATCTGGGAAAGCAATTCCCAGAGGATTTAAAATAGTTAGAGAAATTCATCATGTGATTTTTCTCTTCTCAATGAAGCTTTATCTATGAAAATGACTTGCATACATAGTTAGTGTTGCAATAATATGGCACAAAATAAACAATTCTTTTAACCATGGTCATATATCATTGAAGACACATGCATCTAGAAGTTATATGCAATTTATGGATTTTCTAAATATTTAAAGTGTCATGAATGGCTGGTCTTAGTTTTAGTCAGTATGTTTTTATTGCCAGTAAGTTACAGATACAGCAGACAAGTGAACACAAAACTGATTTTGTGATTGACTTAGCTGAAAGATATGAAACTTCTAATTTAAATTCTCAAATTCTATAATGCGATTCTGTATCTATTTGACGTTACTTGTAAAGCAAAGAGAAAAAATTGCTACAGCGTACCTTGTGGAATAAATGCAATGAGTTATCAAATCAAATGAGGCAAACTGAAATTATTTTGAATCTTTTTTGTATTTGAGTTTTCATAGTTATGGCTTTCTACCATTTTTAAACTCGGTTTAGATATCATTTCTTCAGAAAAGCTTCTCTGATCCCTACCACCACTACCACCATCCCCTTTCCCAGTATTAGGTGCTTCAGTTCTACACTCTCATAACACTTCTACCTTTCCTTTTTGGCACCTGATGCCCTTGCAATTGTTAGTTTAAATTCTCTCATCCAGCCTTTATTACAGACACCCCAAGGGCAAGGATGATGTCAGTCTTGTTAACAACCTAAGGTGAGTCAAGCACATTGCTCCATCAGTTCTTCCTTCTCCTGAATCATAAGCTTTCCCTTCTCTGTTGGCTCATCCCATCAATATACAAACATGCTATTGTTTTTCCTTTTTTCAAAATAACTCTCTTGACTCTATGTCCCCCATTTCTAACTTTCTTACAACTTTTCATCAAAACTCCTTGAAATGGTTGCCAATACTAGTTATCTTTAATTTTTTCCTCTTTCATCCACTTTAGTAACCCATCACTCTACTGAAAATGCTTTTATTAAGGTCACCAATGAGTGCCAGTGGTCAATTCTCATCTATATACATTGAAGATTGTTAGCAGAGGTTCCTAATACTTTCTCAGTGAATCAGCTACAGCTTGGCAACTACCCACGTCAGTTTTCTTCCACAGAAGGTCTGTTGATAACTGTATTACTTTCCTAGGGCTTCCATAACAAAGTACCTCAGTTTCTGCTTAATACTGCAGAACTTGATTCTCTCAAGTTCTGGTGGCCAGAAGTCTGAACTGAAGGTATTCAGGGCCACACTCACTCCAAAGGCTTCAAGAAATAAAGAATCCTTCCCTGCTTCCAATTTGTGGTGGCTTTCGGAATTCCTTGGCTTGTGGATACACAACTCCAACCTCTGCCTCCATCTTCATATGGACTTCTTCTCTGTCTGCGTGTGTCACTCTTCTCTATGTCTCCTAATAGGACAATTGTCATTAGATTTAGAACCCACCCACATAATCCAGGATGATGTCATCTCAGGATCTTAACTACATCTGCAAAGACCCTTTTTCCAATTAAACTGCCATTCAAGTTTCCAGGCATTAGGATATGGACATATCTTTTGTGGGGGCACCATTCAGCTCACTGTGATAACGATCCCAGTGTTCACTGCTTTTGTTCATAGTGGAGGTATGATATAATATTCTCGACCAGATGCCAATTTTACCACTAATTAATTTTTTAATTCAACAGATAGTTATTGAGTACCCCTTATGCGTCATTATAGGTCCTGAAGAGAAAGTGTAAGCAAATCCCTACTCTCATGGAGTTACATTCTAGTTGAGGGAAAAATAGAATTATTCTTATATTACTTAAAGTACATTAGTACATTTCCTAAAGTTATAGAAGTCATTTTTTTTTTTTGACATAGGATCTTGCTCTGTCACCCAGGCTGGAGTGCAGTGGTATGATCTTGTTTCACTGCAACCTCTGCCTTCCAGCTTCAAGTGATTCTCCTGCCTCAGCCTCCCAAGTAGCTGGGTCTACTGGTGCCCGCCACCACACCTGGCTAATTTTTGTATTTTTGGTAGAAACGGGGTTTCCCCATGTTGGTGAGGCTGGTCTTGAACTCCTGGTCTCAACGGATCCACCTACCTCAGCCTCCCAAAGTGTTGGGATTACAGGCATGAGCCACCATGCCTGGATGAGAAGTCATTTTAAACTTATAATTAAGTTTCTAAAAGTCACAATTTTATAAAAGCCAGAACATACACAATACAAAGCAATCTTTTCCATTCAGTGGTTGGCAGACTGCATATCAGATGTTTCACCCACGTGCTAAAGCAAAAGAAAAAAAAAAGTGCCAAAAGTCTTATTAAATTTATGTTTATCTGTTGACAAGTGATACAATGTCATGCATTTAGTGTGATTTTAAACCCCAGAGTAAATGAGAAAGTGATACCATGATGACCCTGATTTCGCTCATTAATGTTGTATTTATACCACATTATTAGTCTAATTAAAATAAATATAAACAATGTACCTTCCATATCATGAAGCCGATTTCAAACTAACTTCTGTTTCATTTAACACCTCTCCTGCTTCCCACCTTTTCCGAAATACTTAATTATGCTGTTTTCTTTGCTGGCTGTAAATTATGTAGATTTTGTTACTCTTACTAACACTATATGCCTAGGCACTTCACCCACCTTAACCATCACCCTGTATTGTGATAGCGTCTTCCATATGCGTACTCCCTAGTGAACAATGAGCTCTCTAATAGGAGAGGCCGTATCATTTCAGTTTTTGTTTTCCCAGCACTCTACACGTATGTGACATGTAGTGGGTTAAAAATGAATTAAACTTAGTCAACTGTAGGCTTGACAAGTACAAGGAGCAGGATTCCTTGGATGCTGAGTGACCTAGCTGTATCAACCAACTGTCTAGTATTGGGTTCTTCTTTGCCAATTTAACTCAGTGTCCTTGTCTTTGAAAAACAGAGAATAATAACAATGAAAGGACTTATGGATTATTTGTGAGACACAGTGATGTGTATTAAGCATGCACTTACTGTGTACCTAACTCTTAGTAAGCACTCTGTAGATCTTAGTCATTAACTTTGCTTGGTTTTTGTTTTTAGCATTATTGCTTTAAACATCTATCCTGACAATGAAGTGGATTTTCACTTATACAAATAGCTTTTAATTGAAACACACAGAGGTTTCAATTTGGCAGGACCCAAGGTTTAAAATTGTAGGCAGCTTAATAAATAGAAAGTATAATTAATGGCTCAAATTTTGAAAGCCATTAACTATATTTTAGTGACATGACTTGGAAGAGTTAGCTGCATAAAGCACACATTTTTATAAAAAGAAAGGTAAGTGGTGATGTTTTCTAAGCTTTCTACTGTTTCTCCCAAGCACCTTTTTTTGAGTGGATGTCATCCTTAACTTTTCCCATTCTTTTATATTTTATATTTGACAATTCACTATGTTTTAAAAAGGGTTTCTTGGGCCGGATGCAGTGGCTCACACCTGTAATCCCAGCACTTTGAGAAGCTGAGGCAGGTGAGTCACAAGGTCAGGAGTCTGAGACCAGCCTGGCCAACATGGTGAAACCCCATCTCTACTAAAAATACAAAAAATTAGCAGGGCGTGGTGGTGAGTGCCTGTAATCCTAGATACTTGGGAGGCTAAGGCAGGAGAATCACTTGAACCAGGGAAGAAGAGGTTGCAGTGAGTCAAGATCATGCCATTGTACTCCAGCCTGGGTGACAAAAGCAAAACTCCATCTCAAAAAAAAATTTTTTTCTCATTAAATATTTGTTATATGAATCTCTTCTCTCTTCGTCAATTTGTTAATTCTGTCTTCACTTTATCACTTTGAAAATTGAAGTCATAGAATTTAAGCAATGAATAATAATGGTACTTATATAAATGAATTTTGCTTTTATATTACTACACTCAAAATACATTTTCAGTAAAAATTGTTTGAAGTGTTGCCTATTAAGATGTTTTTAAATAAATTCTCTTGTGTATATTTAAGATACAAAACATTATAAGACACATCTATATAGTAAAATTATTACTATAGTGGAACAAATTAACATATTCATTATCTCACATAGTTACCCATTCCCCCTACAGTGACAAGAACAGCTATATCTACTCATTTAGCAAAAATCCTGAAAAAAATATACTGCTATTAACTATAATCCTCATGTTGCACATTAGATTTTTGGACTTTTGTTCATCCTACATATTTGCTATTTTACATACTTTGACTTGCATCTTCCTATTTCCTCCTCCCACCTCAACCCTTTATTCCTTTTTTAATAGATTCCACATATAAGTAAGATCATGCAATATTTTTCTTTCTGTGTCTGGCTTATTTAATTTAGCATAATGTCTTCCAGGTCTATCCATGCTGTAGCAAATGATAGGATCTCCTCCCTTCTTTAAGGCAGAATAATATTCAATTGTGTATGTATACCACAGTTTATTTCATCCATTTGTCTGTGGACACACAGGTTGCTCCTATATCTTGGCCATCGTGAATAGTGCTGCTGTGAACATGGAAGTGCCAATGTTTCTCTGTCATAATGACTTCCTGTGCTATTAATATATACCCAGCAGGATTGCTGGATCTTATGGCAGTTTTGTCTTTAATTTTTTGAATAACCTCCAGACCATTTTCCATAATGGCTGTAGCAATTTACATTCCCACCAACAGTTTACAAAGGTTCTCTTTTCTCCACGCCCTTACCAACACTTGTTAGCTCTTGTTTTTTGATAACAGTCATCCTAACAGATGTGAGGTGTTATCTCACAGTGGTTTTCATTTGCATTTCCCCGATGATTAAAGATTAGGGCACCTTTTCATGTACCAGTTAGCCATTTTTATGTCATCTTTGGAGAAATGCATATTCAAGTTCTTCGCCCATTTTAAAATTGGATTATATGTTTTCTTGCTATTCAGTGTCATGAGTTCTTTATAAGTCATGGATATTAACCCGTTATCTGTTGCAGGGTTTACAGTTTTAAAAAATAATTTGTAGGTTGTCTTTTTATTTTATTGTTTCCTTTGCTGTGCAGAAGCTTTTAAGTTTGATGTAGTCCCATTTATTTATTTTTGATTTTGTAGGCTGAATTTTGGCATAATACACAAGAAATAATTGTCAGGGCTAATGCCAAGGAGGTTTTTCCGTATTTCTCCTAAGACTTTTGCGGTTTCAGGTCTTAAGTGTAGGTCTTTTATTTGTTTTGATTTGATTTTTGTACATGATGTAAGATAAGAGTCAATTTTATTATTTCGCATGTGGAAATCAAGTTTTTGTAGCACTATTTGTTGAGGAGACTATTTTTTCCTCTTTGCGTCCAGTTGGTGATCTTGTCAAAAATTTGTTGACTGTGTAAGTTCGGGTTTACTTTTGAGCTCTCTACTCTGTTCTCTGTGTCTCTTTTTTTATGCTAGTACCATACTGTTTTGATTACTGTAGCTTTGTAATATAATTTTAAATCGGGCAGTGTGATGCCTCTAACCGTATTTTTCTCAGAATTGCTTTGGCTATTCATAGTATTTTGTGGTTCCCCATTTAAAAAATATCCTATTAAGTTTTCATTTTCTAAAAACCACACTGAGTTATTGAAAAATGGAGTTTTTAGTCCACTAGTATTATTTTAAAATATCTAATTTTAGGGATTTTGTGTGTGTGTGTATGTATATAAGAAATTGTTGAGAGACAGCATTGAGTTGGGGTATGGATCATAGGCTCCAGAACCAGTCTTCCAGAACTTGAATATGGGTTCTGCTACTTATAGCTGTACAACTTTGGGCAGAATGGTTAATCTCTCTATGCCTCAGTTTTTTTCATTTTTAAAATGAATTTAATAATGTTATTTACTAACAGTTGTGAGGATTGAATGAGTTAAATCACTTAAAACACTTAGAATAATGCTAGACACATAGAAAGAACTGAATAAGTATTAGTTCTGCAAATTAATTAATGGAGTGAAAAGGTTTTTTGTTTTGTTTTGTTTTATTTTTGGTTGTGAGTACACATAGATAAGTCCCAGAGGCAGGAAGTCATGGGATTTTTACAGAGTTAAGCAGTAAAAGAAAGCCCATGAAAATGAGACTTGGGCCAGGTCTTAGAGGTTCTGCCCTCAACATTCCAAACAAGAGGCCACAGTAATCCCACATCCCGTAGGTCATCTCTGAGATCACTGGCAGACTTCCCACACTCAGAGATTTGAACCTTATTCTATAGGCAAAGGGAAAATATTGAAGATAGTACAGAGGCTAGTACATGGGCTTTAGCAGCAAACTCCCTGGAATTGGCTTCTGATTCTTTTCTGTACCTGAGTTTCATTATTGATAATAGTAATGATTCCTACTTTATAGGGTCTTGCAATGATTAAATGAGGCAATATAGCTAATATATTCAGAACAAACTTGTCTAACCCCAGCTGGTCACAATGGCTTTGAATGTTTGAATGCAGCCCAACACAACTTCATAAACTTTCTTAAAACATTATGAGGTTTTTTTGCAATTTTTTTTTTGGTTTTAGCTCATCAACTATTGTTAGTGTTACTGTATTTTATGCGTGGCCCAAGACAATTCTTCTGCTTCCAGTGTAGCCCAGGGAAGCCAAAAGTTTGGACATCCCTGAAGAACATTGCCTGGCTAATAGTAATTGTTTAATAGAAATTGGCTATTAAAAATTGTGAGCAAAGGAATATTGTGAGCAGATCTGTGTACCTTTACATAATTCTAGGTAAAGTGCCTGATCTTCTATATGAGAACAGAGAGAAAATGAGACGTCTGTAGAAGAGTCAAGATTAATGAGTATTTCACGCTTGTGCTACTTTTCCACAAGGTTGGCCTGGGGACATGGGTGTGGAAAAGGGAAAACCATTGCTGAATTTATGGCAGTTATTGCTAAGCCTCAGGGGGCATTAATACCATGGGATCTCCAGGCCTCCCTTAGGTAGCTAGGGAGCCCGGGGCATGAGTAGAGGACCACATTCAGAGTTCATGGAGAAGATTGCCTCTATTCCATAGAGTACCTTTGTGAACATTAGAAGAGGGTGCCACTTTCTTTGGGGCCATATAACCCTGCAGCAGGGCACATGGCATGGTAAACAGAGCCTAGGACTCACCCCCTTTGCTAGATACCTTTGGACAGGACACAACCTGAGCAACACACTTATGTCCTGGCCAGAGAGCACTTGTGATTACGGGAAATTCTGCCTAGTAAGAAAACATGTGCATTATTTATGTCTGTACATCTTTTGAATTTGGGGTGATCTTATGATTTTCTTTGATAAATAGAATGTGATAGAAGTAATTTTATGTGACTTCTAATGCTAGACCTTAAGAGACCTTGCACCTTTCACTTTTACCCTCTTAAAATTCTGCTCTGGGATCGCTATGTAAAGAAGTCTAGTCCAGCCTCCTGGAGGATGAGAGGCCATGCAGAGGAGAACTGAAGTGCTCTAGGTGACAGCCAGCACTTCCTGGCAGCTGCGTCTTCATAAGTAATCCCAGGCAAGATGGCAAGAACAACTGCCTAGTCATAGAGTTGCTGAACCACAAGATCTTGTGCAATAATAAATGAGTTTTAAGCCTCTACATTTTGTGGTAGTTTGTTATACAGCAGTGGATAACTGATATACATATGTAGGCCAAAAGGGAAGGAACAGAGGTAATTCTCGGTCTAGAAGTCATCTGTAGTGACCGTTTTCTCTCAGCTTCCAATAAAGATGCTTCCAGTGATATGGCATTGAGTCAGAACATTTCCTTTTCATGAACAGAGATATTACTGCATCATACAAGTCAGTTTGGTCTGTAGGAGCATCAGAAATGACTACAGAGATTTCCAGCATAGTTTCTGATACCCAAATGGCCTGGAAATGTCTGCTGGCATATTACCTTTCTAGTTACTATGTGCCTCATAAAGACAGCAACAAAAGACTCAGCAATATTAAAAATGAAGAACCAAGTTGCTGGTTTATTCTAGTTATCATTATCACTGAGAGTGTGCTGTTACAATGTTGATAGTGATGTACGCGTTTACGAAGAAATGACTTCTAAAAACACTAGCTAGACTAGAAAGTCACATAATGAAGCAGTAGAAAGTGTAGCAGGAATCTGAAGAATTGAGATAAATTAAAAATAAATGGGAGGCTGGGTGCAGTGGCTCATGCTTGTAATTCCAGCACTTTGGGAGGCTGGAGCAGGTGGATCACCTGAGGTCAGGAGTTTGAGACCAGCCTGGCCAACATGGCGAAACCCCATCTCTACAAAAAATATAAAAATTAGCCAGGTGTGGTGGTGCTCACCTGTAATCCCAGCTACTCAGAAGGCTGAGACAGGGGAATCACTTGAACCCAGGAGGTGGAGGTTGCAGTAAGCTGAGATCCCACCACTGCACTCTAGCCTGGGTGATAGAGTGAGACTCCATGTCAAAACAAACAAACAAACAAAAAACCCAAAATGAAATACCTGGAAAAATTGGAAATATATATACATTATATTTACCAAATGGGGAAAATTAAATAAGCAGGTGAATCTTTGTATTTTGGTCAATTTTACTCTCATGATTCTGATTTTATGAAATTATTATTTTCTTTGATTTTGCAGTGATTTTTCATTAGCTGGAAGCTACAGAGCAAATTATTTTGATGCCAAAGTGAAAAATATGGAGATATTTATTGGAATAATACAAACTTCTTTCTCTTTCTCTTCTTCTCTTTCTTTCTTTTAAACTAAAGTCTTTCATGAAATGGGAATTAATAATGAATGCCAGCTGCCTTCACACTGGATTCTTGCTGGAACTTTCACTCCCCAATTCCTAATGCTCTTCTTCTGGTAGAGCAGAGAGCCATGCCCAAGCAGTCAACAGACTATAACCTGGCCTTGCTTGGTCCTAGAAGCTGAATACCTACCTCCCCACAAGAGATGGCATAAGAGTAAGAAATGAGAACTACAGGGCCGGGCACGGTGGCTCACGCCTGTAATCCCAGCCCTTTAGGAAGCCGAGGCGGGCAGATCATGAGGTCAGGAGATCGAGACCATCCTGGCTAACACTGTGAAACCCCGTCTCTACTAAAAATACAAAAATAATTTAGCCCGGTGTGGTGGCGGGCGCCTGTAGTCCTAGCTACTCGGGAGGCTGAGACGGGAGAATGGCGTGAACCCGGGAGGCGGAGGTTGCAGTGAGCCGAGATCGCGCCACTGTACTCCAGCCTGGGCAACAGAGCGAGACTCTGTCTCAAGAAAAAAAAAAAAGAAATGAGAACTACACTGAGTGTGGTAATACTGACCCTGCCACAGAAAACTTGACATCTGGTACTATGGTCTCTCAAATTTAAAGCTCTTTCTTCCTAAGGATGAAGGAGTAAGGGTGAAAGGACTGGGTAGAGGCTGGGACAAGGGTGGGAAAAGACCTACCCTTTGAGATTAAATTAAGAGGGTATAGGGTGTATTACCTATGCTTTTTTTTTTTTTTTGAGGCAGTGTCTTGCTCTGTCACCCAGGCTGGAGTGCAGTGGCATAATCTCGGCTCACTGCAACCACTGCCTCCTGGGTTCAAGCGATTCTCTTGTCTTAGCTTCCTGAGTAGCTGGGATTACAGATACATGCCACTACGCCTGTCTGACTTTTGTATTTTTAGTAGAGATGGGTTTTCACTATGTTGGTCAGGCTGGTCTTGAACTCCCTACCTCAGGTGATCTGCCCGCCTCGGCCTCCCAAAGTGCTGGGATTACAGGCATGAGCCACTGCGCCCAGCCTGATGTATGCTATTATATGCCAAAATGGAAAGGGTATTCAGCTTCTTTTTATGGGGAAAATGTCAAATTGATTCAGTTAAAATAGAAGAAATATTAGTGAGTGTATCAGTAGTAATTATGCTTGAGTAGCATGAAATCAAACTGAATTTGAATCATGGCTCTGCTACCTGCTAGCTGGGTAAATTGGGCAAATTACTCAATTTCTAAGCCATAGTCTCCTTGCCTGCAAGATAGGAATAATCACAGGTCCTGCCTTGCAGGATTACTGTCAGGGTTTAATAAAGCAAAGCATTTAAAGCACTTAGCACATTGCCTAGCACACAGTCAGTGCTCACTAAGTGGTTGCTACTATTGTGGCATAAGTCTTTTATTTAGATAACAAAGCAGCTTACATTTTAATTTATATGTTATTTTAAGTAATTTAGTTAAAACCAAATCTCACTTTATCTAAAAACTACAATATGATTAATATGATTTATAATTAGTGTCACTGTTATTCATAAAAACTATATAAAATGGACAAATAGGTCAATGTTATCAGGGGATACAGTAAATTAGAAGCATAAGAAAAAGTTTAGGATAAATCATTTATAACCTTGCTAAAAGGGAATAATATTGCCAGAGAGATACTTTGTCAGGGAGAATTATAAAATGAGTACATTCTCCTGTGTTTTGCGTTGCCCAATCCTTCAAATTGCTCAATTGAGTGGTTACTTCTGAGTCCTCATTTTGTGTGACTTAGCAGCAGCATATGACAAATGATCGCCATTCCCTCCTTGAAACATATCCTTCACTTGGCTGCTAGGACACCACATTTGCCTGGCTTTCCTTCTCCCTTTCCGTCTGTTCCTTATCAGTTTTTTTCTGATTCCTCCTTATCTGCCCAGCCTCTTAATATTGAAATAACCCGTGGAACACTCTTTAGGGCTCTTTTCTGACTACATTCACTCCCTAGGTGATCGCATTCAGTCTCAAGTTGAGTTACAATCTATGTGCTGATGACTCCCAAATTTGTATCTTTAGTGTGTGTGTCCCTCCTTTCAATTTCAGACCCATAAACCAACTGCCTATTTTTTATCTTCACTTGAATATCCAACTCCACATATCCAAAATCAGCTTCTTCTGTGGCCATCACCGTCTCAGTTAATGGCAACTCTTGGTATTCCTGTTTTTCTCTCACACATAACGTCATGTAGTTCAGCAGAAAACCTTGTCAGTTCTACCATCTCTGTGTGTGTGTATATATATATATGTGTGTGTGTGTATGTGTTTGTGTTCCATATATATATGTAGAGAGAGAGAGTTCACCATCACCCATTACACCCCTATGACCACCATCATCCTGCTTCAAGCCAGCATCACCTCTCTCCTGGATTGCTACAATAGCCTTTGTCTCCTTGCTTCTACTCTTGCCCCTCTGTAGTTTGTTTCCAACACAGCAGCCAATGTGGTCTTGTTAAAATTTAAATTAGATTATGTCATTTTTCTGCTCAAAACCCTTCAGTGGCTTTCCTTTTAGGGACCTGGGTAAACAGCCTCCTATTACCTTTCTGATGCCATCTCTTACCACTTTCTCCCTGGTTCATCCTGCCCCAGCCACAGCGGTCTTTCTATTGAACTTTAACGCAAGCTCCATGAGGGCAAGGATTTTTGTCCATTTTGTTCCCTGCATATCTCCAGCATCTAGACCAGCACTTGGCCTAAAGTAAGCACTCATTAAATATTTCTTGAATATATTATGGACAACTTCTGAACCCATCTCTTTTGCACAATTTTCCCATAAAGGTCATTGTATAAGGCATCAATGTATGTATCAGTCTTTACCAGAAGTCTGAGGTAATGATGAGATATTTGTTCATCATCATGTTATTTAATGTGTTTCTTCCTCAAGATTACTGACACATTTCCCCAATTCCCCATTTTCCTGGTTGCTGTCATCCTCTGACTCATTCCCTTCCCCAGAACTTGATTCCTTTGTTTATCATACAGTGTAAAACAGTCCTCTTCTCCTGTGCTGGACTAGGTCTGGAAAAGTTTAATCCATGGCTTGGGAAAAAAAGACTGGAAAAATGGCATTTTCCTGTTTCCTTTTTAAAATTTCAGTGCTTTGATGTTTGATTTTAAAAATCATCGCAAGGATAGTTCTAGGGGCAAAACTTAAAGTTGGCTTTGTTAAGGTAACACCAATTGCCGTAATACATAATTCTCCAAATTTCAGTGGCTTTACACAAAAAGGACTTTTGCTTGCTTCATGCACATCTAGTTCCAACAGTCATTTCTGATCACTGGGCCTCTAAGTGGCTCCTTCAATAATGCAAACCTGCCATCATGCAAGTTTGCTGTGGAAGAGGGAAAGAGTATAGAATATTATTGAGGGATGTTTTATAGGACATGTTTGTGACTATACATCCACTACTATTTTACTGTCCAGAATTTGGTCATACCTGAATGCTGGCAAGTTTGGGGCATGTGATTCACATGTATACCTAGGAAGAAGCAGAAACAAGTTTGGTGATGACCCATCCAGAGTCTCTACCAAACTTTGTATTGCCACACTTTCTCTCTCACTCCTTATTCATAAGCCTCTGATGTGTGGATCCTCTTCTTGCTTGGTGTTGGATGGAATCATAATAGTAATAGTATAAATAATAAATATTTTCTGCTATTCACTGCTTATATTATTTAATTATCAAAAACTGTGAGGTAGGTCTACTTATCACCATTTATAGATGTGGAAATTGAGGCATTAGTGTGTCTAACGTCACTAACTTGTAAGAGTTGAAACCAAGATTTGAACCAGGCTGTCTGACTTCACAATCCACCTCCCTAACAAGGACACTGTATTGCCTCTCAAGTTTTGAAGAGTTAGACCTCTTTTCCCTTATTATATTGCTTCTTGAGGAGCCAGGATGAACCTGGAAGGAACTTTGGGACCCCATTTCAACTTCAAATTTCCTCCATTCATTTGCTGATTTGACTTCTACACTTATGTCTCCAATTCTTAACCAGAATGACTCAGGGCCTCCCAGTTCTCAGATCAGTTTCAGACAGAGTGGCAACTTGAGGCTAAAGGGTGAAGGAATGGAGCCCTGTTTGTGTAAGAATTCTCTCAGAGTATTTCATTGTGGGCACTTTTCACAGTTCCAACTCTCCTAATTGAAACACATTTCACCAAACACTCCAAGTGATATGGTAATTAAAATTAAATCTGTTGCCAAAAAAGGCAAAGAAAATAGTATAAGCAGTCTATAAACTATTATAATATCACCTGCTAAAGATATTTATTCTGGAGAAAACAATGCCTATAACTTATAAACTGATACAACAGAGTGCTATTTTTTAGTTTTATCGGAGCCACCAAAATACAATATATATCAGATACTGAAATGACTTAGAAGATATCAAGATGCAGATTTTCTTTTTTATTTTTTCCTTTTTTTGAGATGGAGTCTCGCTCTGTCGCCCAGGCTGGAGTGCAGTGGTGCTATCTCAGCTCACTGCAACCTCCACCTCCCGAGTTCAAGTGATTCTCCTGCCTCAGCCTCCTGAGTAGCTGGGATTACAGGCACCCACCACCACACCCAGCTAATTTTTTGTATTTTTAGTAGAGATGGTATTTCACCATGTTGGCCAAGCTAGTCTTGTACTCCTGACCTTGTGATTCACCTGCCTCAGCCTCCCAAAGTGCTGGGATTACAGGCGTGAGCCACTGCGCCCAGCCGATGCAGATTTTCAAAGGAAATGTTCAACTAATGGATTTCATCCCCCAACAAGTGTATTCAAAAGTCAGGTTTTTCGAGATTAAAGATTTTGTGAGGACAATTTCTTTGGAAAATAGCATCTGCTGTTATTTGCCACCTTTTATCCCATGGCAAGGGAGGGAAGTATGTGTGTACGTACACGTGTGTGTGTGTGTGCTGTGACTTTCTTCACACACTGCCTATAGGAAGAGGCCTCAGAGGAGACTCTAGGAGTTTATTGTCTCCCCCAGACTTGGGAGAGTACAGCTAGCTCATGTCTGATGTCCACCTGAGGTATCTGAAAGTGAAAAGCTGTCAAAAAGGGCCTTTGGAAGCTAAGTAGAGGGCTGTGTTTGGGCTGTAACTGAACTCTACTCCAGATGGGCCAAAGGTCTGTGACTCCTGGGGACCAGACATGGGACCCAGAGAAGCAGACACCACTGTCCAAAGTAATTTTGACTCCTGCTTGAGAGGACTGCCAGAGACCGCAGAGCAACTTCAGCAGTCTTTGAGTAATGGAAGATGGGAAAACTAGAGGCTGAGGGGGAATTAGCTGCTGGAGGGTTAGAATGAATAGTCCATGTCACCGGAGTTACAATCAAAAGAGGACAGTAGAAGAGCACTTGAGAACCCATGAAAATGTGTGTGTGTGTGTGTGTGTGTGTGTGTGTCTGTGTCTGCATGTGTGTATCTGAGAGAGAGAGAGATGTAAACATCTGCGAGGCCAAGAGAGTGTGAAGCCATTTTACAATAGTATTAGTCAAGTGAGAACTTTGCAGCCCGTCTTTCCCACATCTCTCTTTCATTTAGACCCTAGAGAGGTCAGATTACCACAGTCCAAAGTAGGGGAAGAGGGATGGTAGTCTAACCTTTGAATAAAGATTCAATTGCTGTTTAATTTGTTAGACAAACTTCAGTGTACTAAATTGAGACTCTGTTCAGCAACTAATGTCTTTTTATTACCTATGAATGTCCAGAGATGTCATGGAGCCTGCCAGAGTTTTCATTCGTTGGAAAGGGAAAAACTTTCCCTAGTGAATGGATTTTTTAAACAGTGGGGCCAGGCGCGGTGACTCATGCCTGTAATCCCAGCACTTTGGGAGGCCGAGGTGGGCAGATCACTTGAGGTTAGGAGTTCAAGACCATCTTGGCCAACATAGTGAAACCCCATCTCTACCAAAAATACAAAAATTAGCCAGGCATGGTGGTGCATGCCTGTAATCCCAGCTACTCAGGAGGCTGATGCAGGAGAATGTCTTTAATCTGGGAGGCAGTGAGCTGAGATCATGCCACTGCACTCCAGCCTGGGCAATAGATCGACACTCCCTCTCAGAAAAAAAAAAGAAAGAAAGAAAGAAAGAAAGGCGGTGAGAGACAAACATAACATTGACTTTGGATTTTATCACATGATTTACATTCATGATTACATCTCATCATGCAGTGCGTTGATTGTGCTTGTTATACGGAATGTATTGCTCCTCAGCAAATATGGATTTTCTAATATCACTAATTTTTAATTCAGAATTAATATTTGAATGTATTAATTTTCTGCCTTTTAGAGAGTAATGGAGTATTGTATAACTCATTGAGGATTGATCGGTATGTACCTTAAATCTTAAACAATTTGAGAATTATTAACAAATCTATAATTAAGTCTACCACTTAGAGAATCTTTTCTCTGGCACAATAGGAAAGTTAGGTTCTAGTTGAAGAAACTGAAGAAAGAGGAGGCAGTTTTGAGGTCTTTATTTGGCCATTAGCTTGCTTTAACTAAGAAGGTTTTTTTTTCCTGTGCTTTTTTTACCCCCTTATCTGAGTCCTTGTAAAAAGAAACAATATCCTCAGTGTATGCTAAATGCTTGACAGATTAATTTTTCTGCATCACAATTGAAAAAGTTGCTCTTAAACCAGAGAAATGAATAGATGGTTCTTTGTAGACTTACTTGGCATTGTTTTCAAGGAGTTTCTCTGACCATGTCACATAGTGGATCAATCAACAGACTTTTTCAGCATCCACTAAATACTTATTATTGTGCTTGGCACCACAGGATTTGGAATTCAGTCCAAATAAATTCAATAGATTATAATTGAGTACTATCCCATGTTAGACACTGTGCTAGGCTCTGAGAAAATTAGCATGAATGATTAAACCCAAGGTATGTAGTCTGGTTGTGAAATACATGTATAACTAATACTGTACATAGTGGGATGAATGTCAAATGTGGAGTACAAACAAAGCTGAGTGTTAGTAGTGATGAGGAAATGATTCATTCTAACTGAAAAGATTGAGGACTACAAAATAATAGGTATCATTTATGAATAACCCGAGATGGTACAGGTACTCTATAAAGAATTGATATTTATAAGTCCCCTTGGGATAGTTTTCATATCCTCATTTTATTGGTTAGAGGATTCAGAAAACTTAAGCAGCTTGTCCAAATCACATAGCTAGTAGTTATCAGAATCAGCAACTAGAATCTGAGTCTGTTTGATTTCAAAGCCTATGTTCTTATTAGCAACACTGTGACATCTGTGCTTGCAGGGGATCATTTCAGATTAAAAGGAGCAGTGTAAATAAAGGTACAGGTTTAAGAAGGAAGTGTTGACAGGTAGGTTGTAGTCCATTGTGACTAGGCATGGCTTAGAAGCCCTGGAAAGACTGAAGGCATATTGTGGAAGATTTTGAATTCTATGCTAAGAGATTGGACTTTATTCTAGGTATAGTCACTAAAAAATTATAAAAAACAAAAAAGACAAATAGACAATGACAATATCTAATAGGTGCTAATTATCTGATGCAAATCAGTGTATCTCAATGTAATTTAAAAATTGTGCTATTATTAATACAATGACAATATTAAAAAATAATACGTCATCTAAATCACCTTATAACTGAGTCCACCACTGCAACTGTTTGCTTTTCTGTTCATATGCATGTTGGTTCTAAGAAGTACACATTGGGCTAATGAGAATAGAACAGAAACAAATTTCATGTGTAAATGACACCATTTTAGGAAGTGAACGTCAAATGATGTTAGACTGCACACACTGAACAAATAATGTGTTCATATTAATGAGGAGAGAGAAAAGGAGTGAGAGACGCTTATCACCTCACAGCTCACTGTGGCCTATGCACAACAGGCTTCTAGGTCTTGCATCAGCCTCATATCTTCAGTGGGAGTAGTTAGCAGAAGTAAAAATCACATTGAGTTAATGTTAATTTGAAATTTATTGATTTTGGTATTTAATATATAACTTTGCTTTGGTTTCATAATTACATAAATGTTATGACCCTAAGGAGTTTATAACATTTTAAGTTAGCATGGATTTAAATACAAATATGCTATATAGTTATACTTAAGGCTAACATGGGAGACCCAGAAACGTGTTTTTCTCTTAAGTTTGAAAAATACTTCATGAACAATTCCTACTGAGAAACATTAACATAGTACCTGAAGGAAAAGGGGCTAGAAGGTGGGGACGAATTCCGAATGAAATAGGATTATAAGCAGAAACACAGAAACAGGAATGAAGAGATGGTTACACTAGAGCATGAAGTTCGTTTTGTGGTAAGTAGGCAAGAGAGCCAGACAATTAAGAAACTCATATCACTGAAGTTTCATATCACCATAGAAAGGGGTCAATATGGACTCTTCAGGAAGATAATGAAAATGTGACTTAATTTGAGTTACCCCCAAAACACACTCTGAGAAGAGGATTTGAATGAAGGAGTTTTTTGGGGGGCTGGTCCCAGGAAGCACTGGTAGAGGCTTGGTGAAGTGAGACAGAGGAGGAAGGGAGGACCATAAAGAGTATGTTACCTGGCCGGGTGCAGTGGTTCACACCTATAATCGCAGCACTTTGGGAGGCTAAGGCAGGTGGATCATCTGAGGTCAGGAGTTTGAGACCAGCCAGGCCAATATGGCGAAACCCTGTCTCTACTAAAAACAGAAAAATTTAAAATTAGCCGGGCGTGGTGGCACATGCCTGTAATCCCAGCTACTCAGGAGGCTGACACAGGAGAATTGCTTGAACCCAGGAGGCAGAGGTTGCAGTGAGCTGAGATCATGCCACTGCTCTCCAGCCTGTGACAGAGAGAAACTGTGTCTCGACAAAAAAACAAAGTGTGTTACCCCAAGCATGTTACCTCTGTGGGTCACTAGAGCTTAATCCCACTGGGAACTCTGGGAGCAAATGCAGAACATGTGCCTTGGGGCTATCCCTTCAATGGACAGAGAGGCTGGAATGCTTATTCGCCTTCTTCCACCAGCATTTGGTTGAGAGATTTCCCAGGGCACGTAGACTCAGCGGCAGGCCTAGCCTGAGGCATAAGAAACAAGGCAGTGGCTGGAGGCCAAAGAAAGCCCCCAGGCAGAGCAATGCAGGCACTGGCAGTTGGAAGCAGGGCTGTGTGCAAGAAAGTGGTAAGGCCAAGGGAATATGGGAGGAGCGTCCAGTGTCTGCTAAGTGACCTTTTACCTTTTTAAGACTGTCCATTTTGTGGACAAAGGACACTGACATTTCAGAGTTTCTGTCATGTGCCTTGAATTATGCTGAACACTTTTACATTTGAATTTTATAAAAATTCTGTGGTATATTTATTTTCTCCATGAGGGGGTGGAGGGGATCTCCAATAGCACATAAAGCTCACGCTCAGAAAGTTTAGTACCTCTTGAAGGTGACACTGCTGAGTCATGTTGAAGTTAGAATTGGGAGAGGATTTTGAACCCAGGTATTTCTGACCCAGAGGCTTCTGATTCTTCTATCTACTGATGGAATGGAGAAACTAGAAAGAGTTTGGAAATTACAAGGATAGAAGATAATAATGAATTTAGATTGTGCCCTATTTTTCATTTATATGTTTATTAAGAAATTAATTTTTTTCTTTATTCTAATTGCACATGGCTAATAACAGTCTCATTTTCAATGTGTTAAATAATAAGGTTTTTGTGTCCTTGAGTATTTATTTTGGAGATACATGACATAGAAACATCTTAACATTTAGGGATAATATTCTTTTATGATAGTGTTTCTCATAGTTAATCTGAAGTTTTTAATAGAATCAGTAATAATAATGACAATATCCATCTTATATTATTCTTGTAGGACTTTTCATTATACCAAATAAATTACTAAATTAATTTTAGTGAGTCATTACAATAGGTATGTGACACCAGTAACAGTCTTATTATTACCAACTTAAGAAGAAGCTAAAGTTGAACTCAGTGGCTTGTCTGATGTAATTCAGCTCATCTTTGATGAAGTCGGGTCTGAGAACTGCATTATTTCCGGATTTGTTTGTGGAATGCAAGTGTAGCTCCCTTTATACAATGTGCAGTTCTGAAAAAGTGAATTGTTATTACTACAAATCTTATTATTCAAAGCAATCCTATTGTGAATCCTTTGGTAAACCGAATAGCTTGTCTTTTGTTCAAATGTGGATTTTTTGCATTTAGATTTGCCTGAAAGTAAAGAGTACTTTGGCCATTTTTGCCTTGGAAATCATTATATTTGTTTCTTGATGCACATCTTACATCTTGAGGTTTTCCTCTTATGGCAGTCATAGAGATTTTCCTTTGAATGTGTCTTTCCACTTACGGTTGCTGCAATCTCCTGCAGCATTTGTACTGGTTGGTATCATTTCTCAACTATTGATTTCAATTACCTTATCTAGGTCCTTAGGACAAGAAGTGAGAAATATGATACCCAACTCTAAAGAAAGAGGTTTTGAAGGGAAATGTGCTGGAATGTGGATAGAGCTTTTTTCTGTTCTAACATGAGAATCAGGACTACCTACATTCATTGATATTGGTGCTGATAGTGTTATTGCATTCCTATGGACATTAAGACCACCAAGGCCTGCATATGACTTGTACTTTCAGGCCTGAGAATGCTTGTAGTTTGTCAGCGGTTTGGGAATATGGTTCCCCTCTGATGTGTGTCCCTACTTAGCCCTGTGGATTTAGGCTCCTCTTCTTGAAATGGTGCCATCTATCTTTGATCACTGCTGTCATTTCCTAATAACCCACAGCTTCAGACTGTTTGGCTGTGTTGCTTTGGAGTGCTTTTTTTCCTGCTTACCTTGCATGTGGTTGTTCCAGTTCATCTCATCTGACTATATAAGCAGTTACTTAGGAATTCTGTTGTAATCTGTCTTTGCATTCCTAACCTCGTGAAACTGAGGCATATGCAGCATGCTTCAGTGATGGGAAGTTGATCAAATGCTTTAAGTACGTGGGATTCATTGATGTGTCGAATGTTGGACATAAGCAACCTTCATTCTGCCCCTTCATCTTATTTTATATTACTTTAAATAGTAGAATGTACTGTATTCCTCGTTATAAATGGAAATCTTAGAACTTGATAAAAATTTAAAAGAAATTACCTATAGATCCACTACCTAAAGAATGCCACTCTTAACAGTTTTTTCCATTTAATTACCTGTGTCCAGTTCATTAAAAATACATTTATAGCCTATATATAATTTTATATTTTGCTTCTTATATTTAACAGGACATGATTGGCATTTCTGAATGTATATAATTCATAAGTATAATTTTAATATTTATATACTATTTAGAAAGAGTTTTCATACCTTAATTTATTTAACCAAACCCCTATTACATTATGTTTTAAATATTTCAATGCATATCACCAAATTGTCTTCCAATAGTGTAATAAAAATTCACATTCTTATTAGCAATGTATGATAGTGTCTATTTTACTGAACCTTGTTCCTCTATAGCTATTCTAATTAATACCATTGTTTCTGGTAATCTGCTGGACAAGAAATGCCATCTTCTTATTTTAAATTGCATTTATTAGGCTTATAGCAAGGATGAAAAATTGTTGTATGTTTTTAAAATTCTATTCTTTCTTATAAAATTTCTATTTATATTCTCTGTTCATTTATCTATTAGTTTCTCAGTGGTTTTCTTATTGGTATGTATGAGTAATTTTCATAGTAAATATATTACTCCTTTACCATATCAACTGTATATATTTTTCTAGTTCTTATTTTTAACATTCAATAGCTGTAAATTTTTATGTAGCTAGATGTATGATCCTTTATTCCACATGAGTTTTTTTTTTTGTTTGTTTTCCCAGTGAGGAAAGTATTCAGCTCTAAGTAACAGAATTCCTAATTAACAGTGACTTACACAAGAGAGTGGTTTATTTTTCTTGCATAAACAGAAGTCTGGTGGTAGGTTGTAACAGCAGTGGTTTAGTTTCTCAGTAAAACCGTTTTAGAACCAGGCTTTTTTTTCTCTTTGTTCTATCATCTTTTATCATTATCAGATTTTTAAAAATATATAAGCAACTTCTTCATTAAGAAAGCTAAGGCCCAGAGAAGTTAAGTGATTTGTCCCTGCTACTCAGCTAATGGAGTTTCCTTTTTCTGTCTCTACACTCTTTTTTTTTTTTTTTTTTTTTGAGACGGAGTCTTGCTCTGTCGCCCAGGCTGGAGTGCAGTGGTGAGATCTCTGCTCACTGCAAGCTCCGCCTCCCGGGCTCACGCCATTCTCCTGCCTCAGCCTCCCTAGTAGCTGGGACTACAGGTGCCCACCACCACGCCTGGCTAATTTTTTGTATTTTTAGTAGAGACGGGGTTTCACCGTGTTAGCCAGGATGGTCTCGATCTCCTGACCTCGTGATCCGCCTGCCTTGGCCTCCCAATCTGTCTCTACACTCTTTCTGTTGCACTGTGCTGTCGCATATCTTGCTGTGCATTTCACATTGGTACCTGCTATTGGCATACAAAACACATACAAATATGACTTCGCTCTGTACTCCCTCAAGAGGTGTCCAGGCAATATTATGTATTAGCAATTAACACCTCAGCTATTAAATTCTTTTATAATAAACCATAATTTAAAATAACATGGGAATTCAGTATCTGCTAAGTTGAAAACTTTATTTACTCTCATTGTATTTTTGCAGATGTGACAGAACTTTTTGATAGAAAGAGCTCAAATGTTTAAGAGCATGGTTCAATTCTTATTTTATGTATTAAAAACTAATTTGTAGCAGGAGATCCTGAAACCTACTGAAGTGAAATATCAGACAGGCTTTGATCAACGAAAGAAAGAAATACTCTCATCAATCTTTGTAAGCCTCTCATTGGTAAATCTAAATCAACATATATAAAGTCTATATCTGTGCAAAGCATTCAACCTGCCCCTGTGGTAACTGAGCTCGTAAATTAGTTGAGGAGACAAGAGCAATAGATAATATTTAATCCACAAAAGATGTAAACAGTAGTTGAAAGCAACTATAAATTAAATGCCACAGAGTAGGGCATGTCTACTTTCTAAGCAATAGAATACATAATATTTTCTTAACTTCACTTGTCTATGAACCAACATCATTATTTTTTGCCCTAACTATAAAGTTTATTTAAATATTAATATATTTTTTCTTTAAAATAACTTTGAAGCAATTTAGTTTATAAAACTTAATCTTGCTGAGTGATAATACCCATGAACTCATGAATTCAATCTTCTAGCTGTACTTTTTTGTTTTTAACTGTACATATTTTAACACATTAAAATAAATGTATTAAAAAAATGGTCTTCATGTATCATCTAAAAATTATCTTATGTCTCAGTCTTTGGGAAACACTGGCTTAAACAATCAATTACTAGGGAGTTCAGATGAGGAACAATAGAACAAATTTGCAGTGATTCTATTAAAATATATGAATTAAAGAATTCTCTTGTTCCCCTAAGGCCATAATCAAAATTATAGTTCAGATATATTGTCTGCTAGGTAATAGCATATTAATAAGGATTTCTTATGTGTTCATAGATATTTTATATAATTTAGCTTTAAAAACAGCCTTCAGATAACAGTCTTTCATGAGTGTTGAAAAGACTTCAGTTTCATTCTTAATCTTTCAGTAATAGATCCCAGGAGTGAATAAGGTTACGCATTTCACTTTTATAATCATCTTTGCTCAGTCTGCTGAAGGTAGGAATGCCTTAATATGGCATAGCACAGTATTTTTTCTAGGCTGCTTTATAATTTGTTGAGAATGATTGCAAATCTTACTAAAAGCAATTCAGATACTTCAAAAAGAGCTCATCATTCATGATTAAAGACACATAAGCCTAAAGAAGTATCTCCAGCTAATTTTGAAGAATCATTAAAATATTTTGGGAATCAGCCCTCTTAAACAAATATAACAAAATTTAGAATTCTGTTTACACTTAGACATTTCTAGGCTTATATTCATTAGCCCATAAAATCCAGACTATAGATTAAAGGGAAACATTTTAAAATGTTAGCTGTTTTGAATGGAAATCTTTCTAAAATATACTATGCAATTCTAGGCCTGATAGTGAACAAAACATACATTTTCTTTAAGACTCAGGATCTTTTTTTTTTTTTTTTTTTTTGAGACTGAGTCTCTCTCTGTCACCCAGGCTGGAGTGCAGTGGTGCGATCTCGGCTCAATGCAAGCCCCGCCTCCCGGGTTCACGCCATTTTCCTGCCTCAGCCTCCCGAGTAGCTGGGACTACAGGTGCCCACCACCACGCCCGGCCAACTTTTTTGTATTTTTAGTAGAGACGGGGTTTCACCGTGTTAGCCAGGATGGTCTTGATCTCCTGACCTCGTGATCCGCCCGCCTCGGCCTCCTGGTTTCCGTTGGACTTTATTTTGCAGCTATTATGCTTGTCTCCCTAATACGCCTCTACTTTTACTATCCTTCTTCAAATGTGTTACTCGCAGTATTCTAAGACCTCAGAATTACATAGTGGAGTTTGTTAAAGGTATCATTATAGCATCAGAAAGTGGAGACATCAGGGGCTTTTTTCTTCCTACTTCTAATTCAGGGTAGTGTTGTGAATGGTTGCAGTTGTGAGAGGATTAAAGATTCATTAAGTGAGCTGTTTAGTGAACTATTTTCTAGTTTTTATTAGTTTTGATTCTGAATGATGATCGCTTTATTAATGCTTCATCAACACACTGGGATTTACAGCTTTCAAAGGTTACTTTTATATGCAAGATTGGATTTGGTCTAGACTGTCTGAGTTTACTAATGTTTACCATCTTGAGAACTGATAAAGTGAAGACATTCACCAAACACTTAGAAAATTTTAAAGACATACCTTTTAACTGGCTATGACATAGCAAAGAAATATTCTCTTTCTTTTACAACTCTGCTATTTAGATTCTATCCGTTTATACTTCTCATCTTAGTTGCATACAAAAATTCACATGTGTACACACTCCCCCCGTACACATACAGAGAACAATAACTTTTATTATTTCATTCATTCCCTTGGGGATCAAATATGTGTCCAATGAGAAGATCCAGGATGTCATACTACCATATACCAAGGAGACCTTTGTTGGGGAAACAAGTTGAGAAATGATGATCCGTTAATGATGTCCACAGCGGGGGCTGCAAGACATCTTACTGACAAGAGAGGAAGAAAATACTGGAAGTAGTACTTATATTTATATCATAAATTAAAAGTCAGAGGGCTGGGATCATGCCTGTAATCCTGACACTTTGGGAGGCCGAGGTGGGTGGATCACTTGAGGTCAGGAGTTCAAGACCAGCCTGGCCAACATGGTGAAACCTCATCTCTACTAAAAATACAAAAAATTTGCTCGGTGTCATTGCACGTGCCTGTAATCCCAGCTACTTGGGAGGCTGAGGCAGGAGAATTACTTGAACCCAGGAGGCAGAGTTTGCAGTGAGCAGAGATCACGCCATTGCACTCCAGCCTACATGACAGAACAAGACTCCATCTCAGAGAAAAGAAAAAAAAAAAGAGTAAATAAAGACTTACTAGTAATCAATATCCAGAGCTTACAATTTAGATATTTAGATGAGGTATCTTAAATGAAGACTATTTGACAATCCAGTGGAGTTCACAGAAGTTCCTTCTTTAAATATTAACTTTCCAATTATTGAAATATTTTATGATTGTGGCATATTTTAACATATTTCAACAAGATGATATAATGTTAATTTTATACAAGTAAGACTTTAAAAATTATGGATCATTAGAATACTTTTTAATGAGATGAGGAATGACTGGGAAAATATTTTGAATTACATTGAGGCCCACAGTTTTTCTGGTGACAAAGTTCTTGAAAATGTTATTTAAGATGAGTTATATAGATTTACACAAAAGCCAGGCTTCTGATTTGGTTGATGTTTTCTGTGGCCATCTGTGGCAGTCAGAAAGCAGTTATTTTGGCATGAGGTTCAGAGAGCTTCTAGGTTGGTGAGCACATGGAGGTGCTGTGAGTGTGGTGTACTCTGAGAGGGCATGAAAGCCCCTTCCCCTTTACTTTGGCCTATGGATCCCATCCATTTGGCTGTTCCTGAGTTGTATCCTTTACAACATACTACTAAATATAAAAGAAGGGAAAAAAAAGGCAAGCAGTTATGTTGAAAAACCTGAAATATACTGAATTAGTCTCAAACACAATAAAGTCAATGTTTTAGTAATGAGTGAAAAATTAAGTGCTTTTCAAAAGGAGCCCATGGAGAAAGCATTCTGAAATGGCTATTTGGCAAGGCTGTCATCATTTTGTTTTACTGTATGTTCTTTTCTTAAGGATCTTTGAATTGTAGACTAGTTTACATACTTTATAAATAATCTAGGTTAATATTGGCAACACATGTAACAGATATTATACTTTTATAATTATTCAGAAAATTATATATACCTTTAATCCCTCCCCAATACTCACTTTAATAAATATTAATTTATTACCAAAAGAAGGTGTGAGATCTAAGAACTCTGAGTCTTGTAGCAGGTAAGACATTTGTAAGGGCTACTTCTTAATAAAATTTTCCATTTCCTTTAGATGTTTCTAAAATTAGAAGTTTTAAAATATATTCGTTTGATGTGATTACTTAGGGGCTCAAGCAGAGAATTTAGATTGATTGGGCTTGCAATAAAAAGGGACTTTAAAAAATGACATCATCAGAAAGAAGGCAAATAATCAGCTCTTTCTGGATCAGGAAGGGGAATTCTGACAAATATTTATACTTATGAGACATATACATGGGTGCAAGAGAAGTGACATCGGAAGAAAAAGTACACATTTTTGTATTTAAAAATCTATCAATATTATATATGAACATCTGAAAGATATTTATATATAAATATACATGTAAATATTATGGCATATAAACAGATTTATATATGTGTGTATGTATGTAGGTAGGTATCTACCTATGGAATATACTTTTTCTTCAGAAGTCAGTTCTTTTGCTTTAAAACTTTCTCCTTTAGGAAAAAAATTAACACTGAATTTTACCAGTTCTAATTTTTTTTTACTTTAGGTTTTTGTTTATCTAAATGTTATAAATAATGAGCACAAAATAATTTTATGATTATTATTTCATGGATCTGTTTCTGATAGATTTGTTAAATTATACTTTAAGTTCTGGGATACATGTGCAGAACATGCAGGTTTGTTACATAGGTATCCACATGCCATGGTGGTCTGCTGCACCCATCAACCCGTCATCTACATTAGGTATTTCTCCTAATGCTATCCCTCCCCTAGTCTCTCACCCCCTGACAGGCCCTGGTGTTTGATGTTCCCTTCTCTGTGTCTATGTATTTTCATTGTTCAACTCCCACTTATGAGTGAGAACATGTGGTGTTTGGTTTTCTGTTCCTGTGTTAGTTTGCTGAGAATGATGGTTTCCAGCTCCATCCATGTACCTGCAAAGGACATGAACTCATCCTTTTTTATGGCTGCACAGTGTTCCATGGTGTATATGTGCCACATTTTCTTTATCCAGTCTATCATTGATGGGCATTTGTGTTGGTTCCAAGTCTTTGCTATTGTGAATAGTGCTGCAATAAACATACGTGTGCATGTGTCTTTATAGTAGAATGATTTATAATCCTTTGGGTATACACCCAGTAATGGGATTGCTGGGTCAAATGGTATTTCTGGTTCTAGATCCTTGAGGAATCGCCACACTGTCTTCCACAATGGTTGAACTAATTTACACTCCCACCAACAGTGTAAAAACCTTCCTATTTCTCCACATCCTCTCCAGCATCTGTTGTTTCCTGACTTTTTAATGATCGCCATTCTAACTGGTGTGAGATGGTAACCCACTGTGATTTTGATTTGCATTTCTCTAATGAGCAGTGATGATGAGCTTTTTTTCATATGTTTGTTGGCCGCATAAATGTCTTCTTTTGAGAAGTGTCAGTATGATATTGGCTGTGGGTTTGTCATAAATAACTTATTATTTTGAGATACATTCCATCAATACCAATTTATTGTGAGTTTTTAGCATGAAGGGGTGTTGAATTTTATTGAAGGCCTTTTCTGCATCTGTTGAGATAATCATGTGGTTTTTGTCATTGGTTCTGCTTATGTAATGGATTACGTTTATTGATTTTCATATGTTGAACCAGCCTTGCATCCCAGGGATGAAGCCGACTTGATCATGGTGGATAAGCTTTTTGATGTGTTGCTAATTCAGTTTGCCAGTATTTTATTGATGATTTTTGCATTGATGTTCATCAGGGATATTGGCCTGAAATTATTTTGTCATTGTTGTGTCTCTGCCAGGTTTTGGTATCAGGATGATGCTGGCCTCATAAAATGAGTTAGGGAGGATTCCCCCCTTTTTTTTTTATCGTTCGGAATAGTTTCAGAGGGAATGGTACCAGCTCCTCTTTGTACCTCTGGTAGAATTTGGCTGTGAATCTGTCTGGTCCTGGGCTTTTTTGGGTTGGTAGGCTATTAATTACTACCTCAATTTCAGCACTTGTTATTGGTCTATTCAGGGATTTGACTTCTTCCTGGTTTAGTCTTGGGAGGGTGTATGTGTCCAGGAGTTTATCCATTTCTTCCAGATTTTCTAGTTTATTTGCATAGAGGTATTTATAGTATTCTCTGATGGTAGTTTGTACTTCTGTGGGATCAGTGGTGATCGCCCCTTTATCATTGTTTATTGTGTCTATTTGATTCTTCTGTCTTTTCTTCTTTAACAGTCTGGCTAGTGGTTTATCTATTTTGTTAATCTTTTTAAAAAACCAGCTCCTGGATTCACTGATTTTTTTGAAGAGTTTTTCTTGTCTTTCTCTCCTTCAGTTCTGCTCTGTTCTTAGTTATTTCTTGTCTTCTGCTAGATTTTGAATTTGTTTGCTGTTACTTCTCTAGGTCTTTTTTTTTTATTATACTTTAAGTTTTAGGATACATGTCCACAACGTGAAGGTGCAGGTTTGTTACATATGTATACCTGTGCCATGTTGTTGTGCTGCACCCATTAACTCGTCATTTAGCATTAGGTATATCTCCTAATGCTATCCTTTCCCCCACCCCCACCCCACAACAGTCCCCGGTGTGTGATGTTCCCCTTCGTGTGTCCATGTGTTCTCATTGTTCAATTCCCACCTATGAGTGAGAACATGTGGTGTCTGGTTTTTTGTCCTTGTGGTAGTTTGCTGAGAATGAGGGTTTCCAGCTTCATCCATGTCTCTACAAAGGATATGGCTGCATAGTATTCCATGGTGTATATGTGTCACATTTTCTTAATCCAGTCTATCATTGTTGGACATTTGGGTTGGTTCCAAGTCTTTGCTATTGTGAATAGTGCTGCAAGAAACATACGTGTGCATGTGTCTTTATAGCAGCATGATTTATAATCCTTTGGGTATATACCCAGTAATGTTGGGTATATACCCAGTAATGAGCATGGAATGTTCTTCCAGTAATGGGATGGCTGGGTCAAATGCTATTTCTAGTTCTAGATCCCTGAGGAGTCGCCACACCGACTTCCACAATGGTTGAACTAGTTTACAGTCCCACCAACAGTGTAAAAGTGTTCCGATTTCTCCACATCCTCTCCAGCACCTGTTGTTTCTTGACTTTTTAATGATTGCCATTCTAACTGGTGTGAGATGGTATCTCATTGTGGTTTTGATTTGCATTTCTCTGATGACCAGTGATGATGAGCATTTTTTCATGTGTTTTTTGGCTGCATAAATGTCTTCTTTTGAGAATTGTCTGTTCATATCCTTCACCCACTTTTTGATGGGGTTGTTTGTTTTTTTCTTGTAAATTTGTTTGAGTTCATTGTAGATTCTGGATATAAGCCCTTTGTCAGTTGAGTAGATTGCAAAAATTTTCTCCCATTCTGTAGGTTGCCTGTTCACTCTGATGGTAGTTTCTTTTGCTGTGCAGAAGCTCTTTAGTTTAATTAGATCCCATTTGTCAATTTTGGCTTTTGTTGCCATTGCTTTTGGTGTTTTAGACATGAAGTCCTTGCCCATGCCTATGTCCTGAATGGTATTGCCTAGCTTTTCTTCTAGGGTTTTTATCATTTTAGATCTAACATGTAAGTCTTTAATCCATCTTGAATTAATTTTTGTATAAGTTGTAAGGAAGGGATCCAGTTTCAGCTTTCTACATATGGCTAGCCAGTTTTCCCAGCACCAGTTGTTAAACAGGGAATCCTTTCCCCATTTCTTGTTTTTGTTAGGTTTGTCAAAGATCAGATAGTTGTAGATATGCGGCATTATTTCTGAGGGCTCTGTTCTGTTCCATTGGTCTATATCTCTGTTTTGGTACCAGTACCATGCTGTTTTGGTTACTGTAGCCTTGTAGTATAGTTTGAAGTCAGGTAGCATGATGCCTCCAGCTTTGTTCTTTTGGCTTAGGATTGACTTGGCAATGCGGGCTGTATTTTGGTTCCATATGAACTTTAAAGTAGTTTTTTCCAATTCTGTGAAGAAAGTCATTGGTAGCTTGATGGGGATGGCATTGAATCTATAAATTACCTTGGGCAGTATGGCCATTTTCACGCTATTGATTCTTCCTACCCATGAGCATGGAATGTTCTTCCATTTGTTTATATCCTCTTTTATTTCATTGAGCAGTGGTTTGTAGTTCTCCTTGAAGAGGTCCTTCACATCCCTTGTAAGTTGGATTCCTAGGTATGTTATTCTCTTTGAAGCAATTGTGAATGGGAGTTCACTCATGATTTGGCTCTCTGTTTGTCTGTTATTGGTGTATAAGAATGCTTGTGATTTTTGCACATTGATTTTGTATCCTGAGACTTTGCTGAAGTTGCTTATCAGCTTAAGGAGATTTTGGGCTGAGATGATGGGGTTTTCTAAATATACAATCATGTCATCTGCAAACAGGGACAACTTGACTTCCTCTTTTCCTAATTGATTGCCCTTTATTTCCTTCTCCTGCCTGATTGCCCTGACCAGAACTTCCAACACTATGTTGAATAGGATGGTGAGAGAGGGCATCCCTGTTTGTGCCAGTTTTCAAAGGGAATACTTCCAGTTTTTGCCCATTCAGTATGATATTGGCTGTGGGTTTGTCATAGATAGCTCTTATTATTTTGAGATATGTCCCATCAATACCTAATTTATTGAGAGCTTTTAGCATGGAGGGTTTTTGAATTTTGTCAAAGGCCTTTTCTGCATCTATTGAGATAATCATGTGGTTTTTGTCTTTGGTTCTGTTTATATGCTGGATTACGTTTATTGATTTTTGTATGTTGAACCAGCCTTGCATCCCAGGGATGAAGCCCACTAGATCATGGTGGATAAGCTTTTTGATGTGTCACTGGGTTTGGTTTGCCAGTATTTTATTGAGGATTTTTGCATCAATGTTCATCAAGGATATTGGTCTAAAATTCTCTTTTTTTGTTGTGTCTCTGCCAGGCTTTGGTATCAGGATGATGCTGGCCTCATAAATTGAGTTAGGGAGGATTCCCTCTTTTTCTATTGATTGGAATAGTTTCAGAAGGAATGGTACCAGTTCCTCCTTGTACCTCTGGTAGAATTCAGCTGTGAATCCATCTGGTCCTGGACTTTTTTTGGTTGGTAAGCTATTAATTATTGCCTCAATTTCAGAGCCTGTTATTGGTCTATTCAGAGATTCAACTTCTTCCTGGTTTAGTCTTGGGAGGGTGTATGTGTCGAGGAATTTATCCATTTCTTCTAGATTTTCTAGTTTATTTGCGTAGAGGTATTTGTAGTATTCTCTGATTGTAGTTTGTATTTCTGTGGGATCAGTGGTGATATCCCCTTTGTCATTTTTTATTGCATCTATTTGATTCTTCTCTCTTTTCTTCTTTATGAGTCTTGCTAGCGGTCTATCAATTTTGTTGATCTTTTCAAAAAACCAGCTCCTGGATTCATTGATTTTTTAAAGGGTTTTTTGTGTCTCTGTTTCCTTCAGTTCTGCTCCGATCTTAGTTATTTCTTGCCTTCTGCTAGCTTTTGAATGTGTTTGCTCTTGCTTCTCTAGTTCTTTTAATTGTGATGTTAGGGTGTCGATTTTAGATCTTTCCTGCTTTCTCTTGTGGGCGTTTAGTGCTATAAATTTCCATCTAAACACTGCTTTGAATGTGTCCCAGAGATTCTGGTATGTTGTGTCTTTGTTCTCGTTGGTTTCAAAGAACATCTTTATTTCTGCCTTCATTTCGTTATGTACCCAGTAGTCATTCAGGAGCAGGTTGTTTAGTTTCCATGTAGTTGAGCAGTTTTGAGTGAGTTTCTTAATCCTGAGTTGTAGTTTGATTGCACTGTGGTCTGAGAGACAGTTTGTTATAATTTCTATTCTTTTACATTTGCTGAGGAGAGCTTTACTTCCAACTATGTGGTCAGTTTTGGAATAGGTGTGGTGTGGTGCTGAAAAGAATGTATATTCTGTTGATTTGGGGCGGAGAGTTCTGTAGATGTCTATTAGGCCCTCTTGGTGCAGAGCTGAGTTCCATTCCTGGATATCCTTGTTAACTTTCTGTCTCATTGATCTGTCTAATGTTGACAGTGGGGTGTTAAAGTCTCCCATTATTAATGTGTGGGAGTCTAAGTCTCTTTGTAGGTCATTCAGGACTTGCTTTATGAATCTGGGTGCTCCTGTATTGGGTACATATATATTTAGGATAGTTAGTTCTTCTTGTTGAATTGATCCCTTTACCATTATGTAATGGCCTTCTTTGTCTCTTTTGATGTTTGTTGGTTTAAAGTCTGTTTTGTCTGAGACTAGGATTGCAACCCCTGCCTTTTTTTGTTTTCCATTGGCTTGGTAGATCTTCCTCCATCCCTTTATTTTGAGCCTTTCTGTGTTTCTGCACATGAGATGGGTTTCCTGAATACAGCACACTGATGGGTCTTGACTCTATCCAATTTGCCAGTCTGTGGCTTTTAATTGGAGTATTTAGCCCATTTATATTTAAGGTTAGTATTGTTATGTGTGAATTTGATCCTGTCATTATGATGTTAGCTGGTTATTTTGATTGTTAGTTGATGCAGTTTCTTCCTAGTGTTGATGGTCTTTACAATTTGGCATGTTTTTGCAGTGCCTGGTACCGGTTGTTCCTTTCCATGTTTAGTGCTTCCTTCGGGAGCTCTTTTAGGGCAGGCCTAGTGGTGACAAAATCTCTCAGCATTTGCTTGTCTGTAAAGTATTTTATTTCTCCTTCACTTATGAAGCTTAGTTTGGCTGGATATGAAATTCTGAGTTGAAAATTCTTTTCTTTAAGAATGTTGAATAGTGGCCCCCACTCTGTTCTGACTTGTAGAGTTTCTGCTGAGAGATCAGCTGTTAGTCTGATGGGCTTCCCTTTGTGGGTAACCTGACCTTTCTCTCTGGCTGCCCTTAACATTTTTTCCTTCATTTCAACTTTGGTGAATCTGACAATTATGTGTCTTGGAGTTGCTCTTCTCGAGGAATATCTTTGTGGCGTTTTCTGTATTTCCTGAATTTGAATGTTGGCCTGCCTTGCTAGATTGGGGAAGTTCTCCTGGATAATATCCTGCAGAGTGTTTTCCAACTTGGTTCCATTCTCCCCGTCACTTTCAGGTACACAAATTGGACGTAGATTTGGTCTTTTCACATAGTCCCATATTCCTTGGAGGCTTTGTTGATTTCTTTTTATTCTTTTTTCTCTAAACTTCTCTTCACGCTTCATTTCATTTATTTCATCTTCCATTGCTGATACCCTTTCTTCCAGTTGATTGCATTGGTTACTGAGGCTTGTGCTTTTGTCACGTAGTTTTTGTGCCTTGGTTTTCAGCTCCATCAGGTCCTTTAAGGACTTCTCTGCATTGGTTATTCTAGTTATCCATTCGTCTAATTTTTTTTCAAAGTTTTTAACTTCTTTGCCATTGGTTCAAACTTATTCCTTTAGCTCAAAGTAGTTTGATCATCTGAAACCTTCTTCTCTCAACTTGTCAAAGTCATTTTCTGTCCAGCTTTGTTCCATTGCTGGTGACGAGCTGCGTTCCTTTGGAGGAGGAGCGGTGCTCTGATTTTTAGAGTTTCCGGTTTTTCTGCTCTGTTTTTTCCCCATCTTTGTGATTTTATCTACCTTTCGTCTTTGATGATGGTGATGTACAGATGGGTTTTTGGTGTGGATGTCCTTTCTGTTTGTTAGTTTTCCTTCTAACAGTCAGGACCCTCAGCTGCAGGTCTGTTGGAGTTTTCTGGAGGTCCACTCCAGACCCTGTTTTCCTGGGTTTCAGCAGTGGTGGCTGCAGAACAGCAGATATTGGTGAACCACAAATGCTGCTGCCTGATCGTTCCTCTGGAAGTTTTGTCTCAGAGGAGTACCCGGCTGTGTGAGGTGTCAGTCCGCCCCTACTCGGGGGTGCCTCCCAGTTAGGCTACTCAGGGGTTGGGGACCCACTTGAGGAGGCATTCTGCCCATTCTCAGATCTCAAACTGAGTGCTGGGAGAACCACTACTCTCTTTAAAGCTGTCAGACAGGGACATTTAAGTCTGCAGAGGTTATTGCTATCTTTTGTTTGTCTGTGCCCTGCCCCCCAGAGGTGGAGCCTACAGAGGCAGGCAGGCCTCCTTGAGCTGTGGTGGGCTCCACCCAGTTCGAGCTTCCTGGCTGCTTTGTTTACCTACTCAAGCCTGAGCAATGGCAGGCGCCCCTCCCCCCAGCCTCGCTGCCACCTTGCTGTTTGATCTCAGGCTGCTGTGCTAGCAATGAGCGAGGTTCCGTGGGCGTAGGACCCTCCGAGCCAGTTGCGGGATATAATCTCCTGGTGTGCCATTTGATAAGCCTGTTGGAAAAGCGCAGTATTAAGGTGGGAGTGATCCGATTTTCCAGGTGCCATCTGTCACCCCTTTCTTTGACTAGGAAAAGGAATTCCCTGATCCTTTGTGCTTCCCGGGTGAGGCGATGCCTCTCCCTGCTTTGGCTCACGCATGGTGCGCTGCCCCCACTGTCCTGCACCCACTGTCTGGCACTCCCCAGTGAGGTGAACCCGGTTGGAAATGCAGAAATCACCTGTCTTCTGTGTCACTCACCCTGGGAGCTGTAGACTGGAGCTGTTTCTATTCGGCTATCTTGGCTCCACCCCTTCTCTAGTTCTTTTAATAGTGATGTTAGGATGTTGATTTTAGATCTTTCCAGCATTCTCCTGTGGGCATTTAGTGCTTCACATTTCCCCTAAACACTGCTTTAGCTGTGTCCCAAGGATTCTGGTACGTTGTGTCATTGTTCTCATTAGTTTCGAAGAACTTATTTATTTCTGCCTTAATTTCATTATATATCCAGCAGTCACTCAGGAACAGGTTGTCCAGTTTCCATGTAGGTGTGTGGTTTTTAATGAGTTTCTTTATCCTGAGTTCTAATTTGATTGCACTGTGGTCTGAGAGACTGTTTGTTATCATTTCTGTTCTTTTGCATTTACTGATGAGTGTTTTACTTCCAATAATGTGGTCAATTTTAGAATAAGTGTGATGTGGTGCTGAGAAGAATGTATATTCTGTAGATTTGGGGTGGAGAGTTCTGTAGATGCCTATTAGGTCTGCTTGGTCCGGAGCTGAGTTCAAGTCCTGAATATCCTTTTTAATTTCCTGTCTTGTTGATCTGTCTAATATTGACAGTGGGGTGTTAAATTCATCCACTATTATTGTGTGGGAGTCTATGTCTCTTTAGAGGTCTCTGGGAACTTGCTTTATGAATCTGGGTGCTCCTATATTGGGTGCATATATATTTAGGATAGTTAGCTCTTCTTGTTGCATTGATTCCTTTACCATTATGTAATGCCCTTCTTTTTATTTTCTGATCTTTCTTCGTTTAAAGTCTGTTTTATCAGAGACTAGGATTGCAACCCCTGCTTTTTTTTTTTTTGCTTTCCATTTTTTTGGGAAATCTTCCTGCATTCCTTTATTTTGAGCCTCTGTGTGTCTTTTTTTGGGGGGGGGCGTTGGGGGCACCGTCTCACTCTGTCACCGAGGCTGGAGTGCAGTGGCTCGATCTTGGCTCACTGCAACCTCCGCCTCCCGGGTTCAAGCAATTCTCTGCCTCAGCCTCCTGAGTAGCTGAGATTACAGGCACATGCCACCACACTTGGCTAACTGTCGTATTTTTAGTAGAGTTGGGGTTTTATCATGTTGACCAGGCTGGTCTTGAACTCTAGACCTTGTGATCCACCCGCCTTGGCCTCCCAAAGTGCTGGGATTACAGGCGTGAGCTGTCACGCCCAGCCTCTATGTGTGTCATTACATGTGTGTCATTACATGGGTCTCCTGAATACAGCACCCCGATGGGTCTTGACTCTTTATCCAATTTGTCAGCCTGTGTCTTTGAATTGGAGGATTTAGCCCATTTACATTTAAGGTTAATATTGTTATGTGTGAATTTGATCCTGGCATTATGATGCTAGCTGGTTATTTTAGTTGATGCAGTTTCTTCATAGTATCGATGGTCTTTACAATTCGGTATGTTTTTGCAGTGGCTGGTATCGGTTTTTTCTTTCCATATTTAGTGCTTCCTTCAGCAGCTCTTGCAAGGCAGGCCTGGTGGTGACAAAATCTCTCAGCATTTGCTTGTCTGTAAAGGATTTTTTTTCTCCTTTGCTTATGAACCTTAGTTTGCCTGTATATGAAATTCAGGGTTGAAAATTGTTTTCTTTAAGAATGTTGAAT
The DNA here is from genome assembly GCF_000001405.40 of Homo sapiens. Lineage (NCBI taxonomy): Eukaryota > Metazoa > Chordata > Mammalia > Primates > Hominidae > Homo > Homo sapiens. The sequence continues at coordinate 14,469,249 of NC_000020.11, forward strand.
ATTGGCCCCCACTCTCTTCTGGCTTGTAGGGTTTCTGCAGAGAGATCTGCTGTTAGTCTGATGTGCTTCACTGTGTGGGTAACCTGACCTTTCTCTCTGGATGCCCTTAACATTTTTTCCTTCGTTTCAACCTTGGTGAATCTGACGATTACGTGTCTTGGGGTTGCTCTTCTCGGGGAGTATCTTTGTGGTGTTCTCTCTACTTCCTGAATTTGAATGTTGGCCTGTCTAGCTAGGTTGGGGAAGTTCTGGATAATATCCTGAGGAGTGTTTTCCAACTGGGTTCCATTCTCCCTGTCACTTTCAGGTACACCAATCAGTTGTAGGTTTGGTCTTTTCACATAGTCCCATATTTCTTGGAGGCTCTGTTCATTCCTTTTCATTCTCTTTTTCTCTAATCTTGTCTTCATGCTTTATTTCATTAAGTTGATCTTCAATCTCTGATATCCTTTCTTCTGCTTGATCAATTCACCTATTGATAAGGTATCATGCTTCACGAAGTTCTCGTGCTGTGTTTTTCAGCTCCATCAGGTCATCTATGTTCTTCTCTAAACTGGTTATTCTAGTTAGCAATTCCTCTAACCTTTTTTCAAGGTTCTTAGCTTCCTTGTATTAGGTTAGAGCACGCTTCTTTAGCTCGGAGGAGTTTGTTATTTCTCACCCTCTGAAGCCTACTTCTGTCAATTCATCAAACTCATTCTCCATCCAGTTTTGTTCCCTTGCTGGTGAGGAGTTGTAATCCTTTGGAGGAGAAGAGGCATTCTGGTTTTTGGAATTTTCAGCCTTTTTGAGCTGTTTTTTATTCATTTTTGTGGATTTATCTACCTTTGGTCTTTGCTGTTGGTGACCTTCTGATGGGGTTTTTGTGTGGACATCCTTTTTGTTGATGTTCATGCTATTCCTTTCTGTTTGTTAGTTTTCCTTCTGTCAGGCTCCTCTGCTGCACGTCTGCTGGGGTTTGCTGGAGGTCCACTGCAGACCCTGTTTGCCGGGGTATCACCAGCAGAGACCGCAGGACAGCAAAGATTGCTGTCTTTTCCTTCCTCTGGAAGCATGGTTTCAGAGGGGCATCTGCCAGATGCTAGCCGGAGCTCTCCTATATGAGATGTCTGTTTACTCCCTCTGGAAGGTGTCTCCCAGTCAGGAGATACGGGGATCGAGGACTCACTTGGGGAGGCAGTCTGTCCCTTAGCAGAGCTCAAGTGCTGTGCTAGAAGATCTTCTCTCTTCAGAGCTAGCAGGCAGTAACGTTTGTCTGCTGAAGCTGCGACCATAGCCGCCCCTACCCCCAGGTGCTCTGTCCCAGGAAGATGGGAGTTTTATCTATAAACCCCTGACTGGGGCTGCTGCTTTTTTTTCAGAGATTCCCTGCCTAGGGTGGAGGAATCTAGAGAGGCAGTCTGGCTACAGTGGCTTTGCCAAACTGTGGTGGACTCTGCCCAGTTCAGACTTCCCGGTGGCTTTGTTTACACTGTGATGGGAAAACTGCCTACTCAAGCGTCAGTAATGGTGGACGCCCCTTCCCCCACCAAGCTCGAGCATCCCAGGTCAGCTTCAGACTGCTGTGCTGGCAGCAAGAATTTCAAGCCAGTGGATCTTAGCTTGCTGGGCTCTGTGGGGGTGGGATCTGCTGAACTAGACCACTTGGTTCCCTGGCTTCAGCCCCCTTTCCAGGGAAGTGAACAGTTCTGTCTTGCTGGCATTCGAGGTGCCACTGGGGTATGTAAAAAACTCTTGCAGGTAGCTCGGTGTCTTCCCAAAAGGCCGCCCAGTTTTGTGCTTGAAACCCAGGGCCCTGGTGGTGTAGGCACCTGAGGGAATCTCCTGGTCTGTGGGTTTCTATGACCATGGGAAAAGTGTAGTATCTGGGCGGGAATGCACTGTCCCTCAGGGCACAATCCCTGTGGGCTTCCCTTGGCTAGGGGAGGGAGTTCCCCAACCCCTTGGGCTTCCCGGATGAGGCAACGCTCCACCCTGCTTCGGCTAGCCCTCCGTGGGCTGCACCTACTGTCTAACCAGTCCCAATGAGATGAGCCAGGTACCTCAGTTGGAAATGCTGAAATCACCCGCCTTCTACATTGATCTCACTGGGAGATGTAGACCGGAGCTGTTCCTATTTGGCCATCTTGCCAGCCCTTTCTGATAGATTTTGACATGCTGAATGACAACAGCATTATGAGCCTTTTCTTATTTAAATACTGGCATTATGCCTTCTATGTGAGGTTTAATGGGCTTCAGTTACAATAGAGGGTTCCTAGGGGCATTATTAACATTTAGAATGATGTCTCTAAGTAGTATCTTTGCTGCTTCTGTTAATTGATGGCACTGTTATCATGAATTATGGTGCAACATTCTAAGCAACAAAATAAAAGTTCATGCGAATTTTACTAATTTTTGTTTCATTGATTTATGAATTCAAGCATACAAATGTTAAAACAAAAATGAACCTTAGGAGTGCCTTCTAAGGTTCTAAGGTTAGAAGGTACTCTTTCTAACGTGTAGTTATCTGACATAGGAAACTACCTTTAGGGGAAAATTATTGAGGGGTAAAACATGAAAAATCTCTTCTAAAAATGATTAACTTATTAATCTTGAAAATGTATACAAATGGGACAGCAAGGTTTTAAAAATAATTCACTATTTTTGCTTGGGAAAATAAAAGAAATAAAAGAAATAAAATCAGCATTATTTTCTTTTTGTTAGCTATGATGTTCAGCATGATTTACATGATTTAAAATTTGCAAAGGAGACAACTGTTGGTCTGCATTGACTTATTAAAAGTATTTCCTTAAGAACCAACTCAGGAAATCTTAATTAGCATTCAGGGGAGTTTCAACAAATTTTAAGTTTCTGTTGAATAAATTTCTTCCTTATAATTCTAACTAATTTTAATATTTTGATTTTCTTCTGTGTGTAATAATCTAGCAACTGATTACTGTTTAGAATAAGCAATCTGTTCAATCTTTGTGAGGAATATTTACTTCTGTAATGATAGGATTGTTACAGTCATATTTTTTGCTTTATTTTTATTTAGTTCTGTTTGCAATGCATTTTTTCAAACATTCATTTGTTCGTTCCTGTTTTATTCATTTACTAAGCATTTACAGAATGCTTACTGTAAAATTGGCATTGTTTTTAATACTTAGGAAAACAATTTCCAGCATATGTTGAATGCTTTATATGTACTACTAAGTGCATTAGTTAATTATCTTTTTTAATCCCCACAATCATATACTGGGAAATAGCCTATTTATTAATGTGGGCCTTGGGTAAAAAGAGATGAATACATTGTAATCACTTTTCTTGGTAAGTTCACAGTCTAATGGAGTTGGACCCAGAAAAATAATTAATTAAAATTTTATGGGATAAGTGTTGTACAAAAGCTTGTGTTCATACTTGGACCTTCATAAGAAGGACTATCTAATTGTGCCTGAAGGAGTTAGAAAAGGTGTTACAGAGGGAATGACATTTGAGGTGAGTCTTAATTGTTAAATAGAAATTTGTCCAGGGAATGAAGGCAGAAACACTGCTTATAGCAATCATGAAATGATGAAGGAGCCTGGTATTTGGTGGTCCTGGTGAGTGAGCTGCGTGGCATTAAACTCAGGTGTTTTTGTGTATGTGTGTATGTAGGTGTGAGTGTGGGACTGTGTGTGTGGTCTGGGCCTGGAAGATGTAAGAAGGTAGGAAGGGAGGATAATGAGGCTGGAGAGGTAGATTCGGACTTTATAGTCAAGACCCTCACTAAGAGGTTTATTTATTTATATTTTTAAAAGTTTTATTTTATTTTTAATTGACACATAGTAATTATACATATTTATGGAGTAGAACGTGATGTTTCAATACATGTATACAATATGTAATGATCAACCTCAAATATTTATTATATCTTTGTGGTGAGAATATTCAAAATCCCATATTCTAGCTACTTTGAAGTATGTAATGTATTATTTATTGTTAACTACAGTCACCCTACTGTGCAATAGAACTGGAATTCATTCCTCCTATCTAACTGTAACTTTATACTGGCTGACCACCCTCTCCACATCCACCTGTAGCCTCCTGCCTTTCCCAGCCGCTGGTAACCACTATTCTATTCTCAACTTACATGAGATCAACTTTTTTAGATTTCACATATACGTGAGGTCATGGGGTAATTATTTTTCTATGTTTGGCTTATTTTACTTATGGTGCCCTCCAGTTCATCCATATTGTTGCAAGTGACAGAACTGTCTTGTTTTTTAAGGCTGAATAGTATTCCATTGTGTATGGACACCAAATTTTTCAATCTGTTCATATGTTGATAGACACTTAGGTTGATTCTCTTTCTTGGCTATTGTGAATAATGCTTCTAACAAACTTGGAGTGCAGATGTCTCTTTGACATTCTGATTTCATTTTCTTTGGATAGATACCTAGAAGTAGGATTAAAGGATCATATGGTAGTTCTATTTTTAAATTTTTCAGAAACCTCCATACTGTCGTCTATGATAGCTTAACTACTTTTCATATCCACTAACAGTGTGTAAGAGTTCCCCTTTCTTCACATCCTTGCCAGCATTTGTTATCTTTTGTCTTTTTAATGATGGCCTTTCTAACTGGAGTGAGATGATGTCTCCTTTTAGTTTTTATATGCATTTCCCTGATGATTATTGATGGTGAGCATGTTTTCATGCACTTGTTGGCCACTTGTATGTCTTCTTTTGGGAAATGCTTCTTCAGATCTTTTGCCCATTTTATAGTTGGATTATTTTATTATTATTATTTTTTACTTTTTTTTGCTTTGGAGCTGCTTGAGTTCCTTATATTTTCTGGATATTAACCCCTTGTTAGATGCATAGCTGGCAAATATTTTTTTTCCCATTTTGCCAGTTTGTCTGTTCATTCTGTTGATTGTTTCCCTTTGCTGTGCAGAAGCTTTTGTGTTTCATTTAATCCAATTTGTCTGTTTTTATTTTCGTTGCCTGTGATTTTGAGGTCTTATCCAAAAAAACCTTGCCCAGCTAATGTTATGTTATGAAGTGTTTGTTTTCTTCTAGTAGTTTCATAGTTTTGGATCTTACATTTATTTCATTGTGGCCAGAAATGTTATTTGATACAATTTCAATTTTTAAAATTTTGTTAAGACTTGTTTTGTAGTCTAACATGTGGTCTATCCTGGAAAATGTTCCATATGCTATTGAGAAGAATGTATATTCTACAGATGTTGGAATGTTCCATAAATGTCCTTTAGGTTCATTTGGTTAGAATGCAGTTTAACTCTGATGTATCTTTGTTGATTTTCTGCTTGGATGGATCTGTCCATCACTGAAAGTGGGGTATTAAAGTCTTCTACCGTTAATGTTATTGCAGTCTATCTTTTTCTTTAGGTCTATTAACATTTACTTTATATATTTAGGTGCTCTGATGTTGGGTGCATACATATTTACAATTTTATTTCCTCTTCCTATATAGACCCCTTTATCATTATACAATATATTTTTGTTGCTTTTCACAGTTTTTGACTTAAAGTCTATTTTATCTGCAATGAATGTTGCCACCTCTGTTCTTTTTGGTTTCCATTTGCATGGAAAGTCTTTTTCCATTTCTTCACTTTTAGGCTATGTATTTACTTACAGGTAAAGTGAGTTTCTTGTAGGCAGCATGTATTTAAATTTATTCAGCCACTCTATGTTTTCTAATTGCAGAATTTAATCCATTTATGTTCAAGGTAATTGTTGATAGGTAAGGGTGTACTCCTGCCATTTTGTTATTTTTTTTTCCAGTTGTTTTGTAGATCTTTTCTTTCTTTTTCTCTTACTTTCCTTTTTTGTGATTAGGTGGTTTTCTCTAATAGTGTGTTTTGATTCCTTGTTTCTTATTTGTATTTTGTTTTTTATAGGTTTTTACTTTGTGGTTACCGTGAGGCTTGCATAAAGCATCTTACAGTTATAACACATTATTTTAAACTGATAACAACTTACCTTAAAAAGAAAAGAATCACACAAAAAACCCCAGTATACTTTAACTCCATTCCCTCCAATATTTTGAAGTGTTGATGTCACAATTTACATCTTTTTATGTTGCCTATACCATAATTAATTAATATAATTATTTTTAATAGTTTTTCTTTTAGTCTTCATATTAAAGATACAAGTGGTTTACACACCATGATTACAGTATTAGAGTAAATATTAAATTAAGTCTAGTTTGTCTGCAAAGTTACTTTTATCAGTGAGTTTTATACCTTCAGATAGTTTCACACAGTAGCATCTTTTTGCACATTAGCATCTTTTCACACATTAGCATCCTTTTCTTTCAGTTTGAGGGACTCCCTTTAGCATTTTTTTTTTTAAGAACAGGTCTGATAGCAATTAATTGTTCATCTTGGAAGGTCTTTATCTCTCCTTCATTTCTGATGGAAAGCTTTGGTGGATACAGTATTTTTGGCAGCTTTTCTAACTCTAGCACTATGAATATATCATCCCACTCCCTTTGGGCCTACAAGGTTCCTCTTGAGGAGTCTGCTGCCAGATGTATTGGAATTCCCTTATATGTTATTTGCTCCTTTTCTCTTACTGCTTTCAGGATCTTCTCTTTGTTTTCAACCTTTCAGAGTCTGATATAACACTACCCCAAGACCTTTCAGAGTCTTGGGGTAGTGTTATTTGGTTTGAATCTGATTGGTGACCTTTAAAACTTTCCTGTACCTGAATATTCACTAAAAAGTTTTAAATTTGAGGATCAATTTGAATGAAAACATGAGCCATGCCTCTATATAAATGAATATTTAGAAAATATTTTAGAAGTCATGAGATTAACAACTTTAGAAGAGGTAAGTTGAACCAACTGCTGAATATATCTGTCTGATATATTCTTTTGGAGTTTATTGTCTCACTTTAAAAATTACCAATTAGAAATATTGTCTTTATAAAAACTAGTAGCAATGGTAAGTTTATTAGAATTAAACTGTAGAACTGAAAAGAAACATATCACTGTTTTAAATTTTTTAAACAACAAATATACTGAGTTTCCTGAATATTATGCAACTGCATGCTATCTAGTCTTGACTACTGAGCTACTAATCACTTTGTAGCTTAGAAATGAATAAATGAGTAAACCTTCATTTATTACCTTTTGTTTTCTTGAGACAAAGTCTCCCTCTGTCACCCAGGCTGGAGTACAGTGGCGCAATCTCAGCTCATTGCAACCTCTGCTTCCCAGGCTCAAGCGATTCTCATGCCTTAGCCTCCCTAGTAGCTGGGATTACAAGTATGCACCACCACGCCCAGCTAACTTTTTGTATTTTTAGTAGGGAAAGGGTTTCACTATGTTGGCCAGGCTGGTCTCGAACTCCTGGCCTCAAGTGATCCGCCCACCTCAGCCTCCCAAAGTGTTGGGATTACAGGCGTGAGCCACCATGCCCGGCGTATTACCTTTCTTTCTATAATTTGACTCACAGTCAGTTGGTACTGATTCTGCCACTAACCTGGTGGGCAGAAACAGTGAGCAATATCTGACTTAATATTTTAATGAGGAACAAAAATAGAGTGGATTAACTAAACAGAGAGGAATAAATAAGGTAATTTGGTCTAATCCTTTCATCCTTCTATTAAGAAATGTTTCTTTGTATTAAAACACATATTCAACTTTATTATTATCCATACCTGTATCATTTTTGCAGAATCACAGTAAAAGGCCAAGATGTGGCAGAAAGAGTGAATTATAGCTCAGGCTGATGGCATAATTGAGACTGTCAGTCTCTCAGGTACCACAGAGGAAGTAGAGAGTATTGACTACTAGGCAGTGAGAGTTAACATCAGAATAATCTTTCTGCAGTGGTCTCTTGTGTCCAGAGAATTGGGAGGCGGGAAGGGGACTGGACAGAGTTTGGCTACTGGAAGGGCCTGGTAAGTAGCATTAGTTAAGCATAGTAGGAGTTCAAATGCACAAGCGAAGAGGGTACTATCATGAGATTAAGAAAACAGGAAGCTTCAAGATTCCAGGGAGTTCAATCAAAACATACAAAGGTTGGGATGAATTAGAGTGGCTTGTGATGACTCTCTGGGCACTGGGGGCAATGAGATCACCAAGTGTTCTCTAAGAAAATCAGTCATCTGTGGCATGATTTCAGCAAGTTCTCAAGGCTAGCACAACACTGTTCATTGAGTAAGAGGTAAACTATTACTACGTTTTGAAATTTTAAAGTTGTAGCACAAGATTTTACATAGAAAACATCAGGCTCTTGTTATTTACATTATTCAGATCTGTAAGAATAGTTCCGTGTCCAAGAACTTGCTTCCTTGCTTCCTCCACACAAATTTGTATAGGTCTACTTCTTTCTAGGTATTTTTTTAAAGAAAAAATTGTTTTCAGAATGATTTTTATACTGTTTCATTTAAAAAGTATTCAAAATTATACTTTTTATACTTGCTCTAACAATGACTCCATACACTGGCATCATTATCGTTAATATTTTATATATTAATTTTAATTTTACTCATTGGAGGTTTGAAGTCTAATTTAAAAATTAAAATGTTAGAATTGTAATTTAAAGCAACATTTGTAAATGAAGGTTCAAACTAGCCGAATGCTGTAAGATGTTAAGGGATACTTTTCTTATTGCACTGGAATTGAAAACTAAAACTAAGGGCAAAGAGGTATCAGATGCCCCATATTGTAAAGGGAGCTTCCAGTGGTCAAAGACTCACTCCATTTAGTTTAAATGCCTCCCGATTAGGCCTTGCTTTTTCCTGCTATTACCCACTCCCATGATTATGGTTGAAGGGTAGGTACCCTAGAAAGCAGACTCCGAGATAAAGGTAAAGATTAGCATGCAGGATATTACTCAGGGAACATTTTTAGGATAAAAACCTGTGAAAGAATGGAAAAGGAGGCAAAACTGAGTAGTGGGAGAAGTTGAACTCTGTTGTAGTCTCAACAAAGCCCTCAGGTGAACCTTTAGGAAGCTGAGATGGCCCTTCAAAGTTGTCTTGAGTTGGGGCAAGGCCTGGGCCTTTATATCCCCATAAGTATCAGCACTGGGCAGAGGACCAAGACTCATATCCCCAAGATATTGGATATGAGCCACCCAGGGAAGGGGCATGATCTAGAGTGAGGCAGCTGTTTTCTGCTGAGGTAATTCTTGAAGGGGCTGCCAGCTAAGGACTATCTGCTGTCATTTGAATTGGTGTTCCTTTATAGGAAATGTTCTGTTTCTCTCTGGCTGCTTTCAAGCTTTTTTTTCTTTGTGTTTAGTTTTCAGAAGTTTAATTATAGCATGGATTTTTTAAAAAATTTATCTTATTTGTCTTATCTTATTTGGGGTTCACTTCATGAATCTGTTGGTCTATCTCTTTCACAAAATTTGTGACATTGTCAGCTATTGTGTCTTTCAGTACTCCTTCAGGGCCTACTCTCTTTCTCAACTTCTGGGATCTTTTGGTTTTGTCCCATGGGTTTCTGAGGCTCTGTTCATTTTAGGAGACTCTGGGTCCTATTTAAATCCCTTATTTTAGTAGGTAGTAACTCTGTTAGGTTTACATCGTAGGTCCTAGCCTACTTTAGTGGGCAGTAGTTCTAAGGACAATTTAATTTTCCAAGATTTTTTGGTCTTATTTTGGTGGGCCTTGTGTATCTGGTGCTGGTGGGGCTCCCAGGGGTCTATACTGTGATGCCTGAGGGGACAGAACACATTTTTCTAGGCTAGGCTTCTTTATGTTTCTAGGTGGGGAAAAGAAAGTCTCTGGTCTGACTGGATGAAGAGTGCTTCCAGGCCTAGCTACTTATTGTGGTGGAGATTCCCCTCCACACCTCCCTCACCAGCATCTCCCACCCACAAGTATCCTGGTGAAGGAGGGGATTCTCAGGCCTGGTGGAAAAGAAATGACTTCTGAGGCCAGAAGCTTGTTGAGACAGGATGCCTCCTGTCTGTGGGAGATGGAAAGCCCTTCCTGGGCTGGGTGCTTGTGGTAAGATTCCCCAGTGCCTGTGCTCCCCAGCCATCAGTGTCCCTTGGTGTTGGAGAGGAAAGTCAGGTCCGTAGATCATCCTGGCAGGTGCTTGTTGAGGCCTGATGCCCCGTGCTGGTGCTGTCCTGTGTCTTCTGGTAGGAGAGGGGAGTCTCAGACCCTGTTGAGAAGGAGAACATTTTTCCTGCTGGTTCATCAGCTTATCTTCAGTGGGGCTCCTCTTCAATCCCAGGGAGGACTGAGCCTACTTGGGCTGCCTTCTGTTGCTACATTGGATGTCAGGGAATGCTGGCCCTGGGTCACCTTCTTCCTTTTGGTGGGAGGTTGTAAGATGCCCTGCAACTATGCTGTTCCTCCAGACCTGGGTTCTCTAATCAGTTCACCCTCCTTTTGCACCTTTCAGAGTTCTCCTTTGGTTGCCTCTCGCATTATCTCCAGCGTTTACAGTTGTATTTAGCAGGAGTGGGTGGGAGGAGGAACCAGAAAAAACAAATTATGCTATCTTCACCAGACTTCAGCTTCATCTGAGAGGGCAGAATTTTGCAAAATAGAATATCGTAATCTCTCATCAACTTGTAAAAAATTTTAAAAAAAATCTTCAACATCATGATTCTGATGTTTAAATATTATGTATTATAAAAATAACAACATATACTTTATAGATTTATTTACTATAGTTATATCTTTTTTTAAATAAGATACAAGGTCTTGCTTTATCACCCAGGATGGAGTTCAATGGCGCAATCATAGCTCACTGTAACCTCAAACTCCTGGGCTCAAGCAATATTCTTGTCTCATTCTCCTGAGTAGCTAGGACTAATAAGTGCATGCCACCATGCCCAGCAATGTATTTGTTTATTTATTTATTGTAGAGACAGAGTCTCTCTATGTTGCACAGACTGGAACTCCTGGGCTCAAGCAATCCTCCTGCCTCAGCCTCCAAAAGTGCTGGGATTACGCCACCACACCTGGCCTATAGTTATATAATTTAATGTGACTATTTTACTTACCTGTTTATTTCCAGCAATCGTTCCAGAACAGCCACAAACAGTGACTACCTGAAAAATGGTTGTTAAATAATTAAATTATAATTTGTATTCTTTATAATTGGCATAGAGGTTTCAGTAATTTGCCCAAAATTATATAACTATTGATGAAACTAAGGATTAATATTAAATACTTCTTTTGGTAGACACCACATCTATTGCATCTGGAATACCATATGCAAATTCTCTTATTACCTATTGCTGCATCTGTTTTATTTCTGGTCTTTAGAAGTCTCAGAGTGACATTAGAATTACAACTAGTTTTAGTAAGTATTATTTAGTTATCCTGAGAGATTTGTTAAATAATAATAATTTTTAAAAGCCTCTGTAGTCAGTAATCAGCTTCTCACCAATGATAATACTTCTGTCTGAGATTAATATCAGTGCTTTTCAATGCAGCAGACTAAAACTAATCTCTATTATAGAATCCACAGCTGGCCTGATGGAACTGTAATACAAAAGTAATTGGTATTTTTTGATGTCCAGAGGATGCAAATTATAATTTGTCTCCTGTGTACAGAAAAAAAGTGTGTCTTGTATGGTAAATAATTAAACTTGATACTCATAAAGTTATATTTTTCCATGTCTTAAAGGAGATGACTATTTTATACTTACAGTCGATATAAATATAATAATGTATTTATTTCATCCTTGAACAATGTAACTAACATTTTACTATATATTAATAGAAGCCAACTACAATTTGAAATTAAATAATTAGACTTATTTAGGAAAGAAAAATTATGGTTTTTTATTTGCTACTTCAGGTTATGATGAAGATTCTCTATTTGATTGTCCTAAAGTCAAGAATGAGGAGTGCTAACGATAGAAAACTTAGGACAAATGAAAACATATATTTTACTTTCATTTTGTGTATTTTGCAATAAGCATATAAAATCTTAGGTTAGCCAGTTTGCATTTATTTGATGAAAGCCAAACTTTAATGTAGTATTTATTATTGTTTTCATAAATCTAAATTTAGCTCAAGTCTTTCAGCATTGATAATTAAGAAATATATGCCCTCTTTAATAGCGATGTATGTTTAATTGTTCATATTACCTGAAGTCATACTGAGAATTTTCATCTTTTTAAATGTCAAAATTTGGCTAAGGTTATCAGGATATTAAATGTAATATTTCAAAGGAGTATGATCTCTTATAGATAATTCCAGATTTTGTGAGATCAAAATTGCTGATTATAATAATGTTAGTAAATAATATGGGAAAGGTATGGCGAAATATTTAAATTTTTACAATTTTAAGTTGTATGATGTATGTAAATGCTATTTTTTCTGGTAACTTTGGTTTAAAAACCAGTAATACTGCCTTTGACATTGGTGTTAACTGGATACATTGCTTTTTGTGGGCATTGGATATCCATCTATTTTGAAATAATTTGGGAGAAATAAAATAATTCCTTAAGATATAGTCTAGCATACTAAAAAGAACATTTGTTTGATGTTGGGTGAAAGGACTCAAGCATTGGATTGAATAGTTACTTACCAGCCCATGACCTTGGGCAAATAACTTAACCTCACTATAGCCTCAGTTTCATCATTTGTTATAGGAAAAGTAAAATTCCCAATTTGCAAGATTATTTGGAGGATTAAGATATCATAAAGATCAAATCTTAAACATTGCCTGATACATAATAGATGCTTAGAAAATTGTCTTCAGGATCTATTTGTATATTCCATTATTTGGTTGTTATTTTGGGCATATTTTCTACCTTGATAAGCTTACTAAAGTATGTATCAGCTGGTCCACTGGCTTGGTGATTCAGAGCATAACTTTCTAATGGAAATGAATCATACAAGAGCTCATTTTATGATTTTTATAAGCTGGTCACGTCATGAGTTAGATTTGTGCAAGAAGTTAGTTCGAACTTCTTGATGATCCAAGCATTGCGTTAGGGTGAATGCAGAGCCAGGTCAGCTTCTGCATGAGCCAGCATACTTTAGATGTGTAACAAGACTTTAACAAACTGGAAGAAGAATATTGCTTTAAAATGATGTGTCCAGATTGGAAAAAGAAGAAATGGAAACATATGTTCCATTGAATTTTCATTAATTTATTGTAAGTAGAATTGGCACTACTAGAGAAAGTCTTCATATACTACAGTAGTTTAAAAAAGAGAAATACAGAAACAGGGATTATATAATTTCCACTTTATTCCTTACTCTATATTCCTTACTATATTACTTACACTTTATTCCTTTCTCTATAAGCTGGCCACGTCATGAGTTAGATTTGTGCAAGAAGTTAGTTCAAATTTCTTGATGATCCAAGCATTGCATTAGGGTGAATGCAGAGCCAGGTCAGCTTCTGCATGAGCCAGCATACTTTAGATGTGTAACAAGACTTTAACAAACTGGAAGAAGAATATTGCTTTAAAATGATGTGTGTAGATTGGAAAAAGAAGAAAAGGAAACATACGTTCCATTGAATTTTCATTAATTTATTGTAAGTAGAACTGGCACTACTAGAGAAAGTCTTCATATGCTACAGTAGTTTAAAAAAGAGAAATACAGAAACAGGGATTATATAATTTCCACTTCATTCCTTACTCTGACTTTTTTGTGGGTTGGAGGGTATGGAACTTGGCTTCTCTTATGGGAGGTGCTTAAGAGTGTGAACTTTCTAGTAACATTACATGGCTTCAAATACTGGTGCCAGCCTTTGGTCTCGAACATGTTACTTAACCTCTCCGTGTTCCAATTTTTTAACATATAAAGTGGAAATAGAAAATGGTACCTACTTCATTAGCTTCTTTGGGGGACTGAATTAGCTAGTAATACGCCTGGCATCTAACAAAAATGATAAATGTAAGCTATGTTATTTTTTAGTTAGGATTCGGGGTATAAATGTAAATTTGAGTAATTATCTGGTGATTACTTTTAGCCATTGCATTCCATTTCTCTTTAGCCTTCCATTACACTTGTACAAAAGCAGTGGGTGCCTAGTACAATGTTTGGCATACATGAAGCGTCTTAATGGTTGGTTTTAGATGAATGGAAGCAGAAAGCTTAGAATTATCATGGGGACATGATATTTAGCCTTGAAATTCTTATTGAGCTGAAGTATTCTTACCTATCTTTGTGGGTTTTTTGATAGATTTTCCATATCTTTCTAGTAAGTTAATATCTTCTCAAGTTTTTTATTTTTATTTTTATTTTTTTTTGAGACGGAGTTTCGCTCCTGTTGCCCAGGCTGGAGTGCAATGGGGCGATCTTGGCTCACCGCAACCTCCACCTCCCAGGTTCAAGCGATTCTCCTGCCTCAGCCTCCCTAGTAGCTGGGATTACAGGCATGTGCCGCCACGCCTGGCTTATTTTGTATTTTTAGTAGAGACAGGGTTTCTCCATGTTGGTCACACTGGTCTCGAACTCCCGACCTCAGGTGATCCACCCGCCTTGGCCTCCCAAAGTGCTGAGATTACAGGTGGGAGCCACCATGCCCAGCCTATCTTCTCAAGTTTTTAAACCTTAAGCTTCTAAAGTATACTTTAAATTTTCAAGAAATTTAATTAGAAAGTAGTGGAAAATTTCTTACTCTAATCTTTTCTAGCCAAGTTTTTCCTTTGCATTTAAGTTCAAGACCTGTCATGCTTTGTGTCTAACAAACATGAAAAGAAAGTGGTTAAAGAGACTTACCTTTAGTTGAGATAGTTTTACTATTTTTACATTAAAAGAAGACCATTAAAAAGTTTATATATTTGATATCTGTCAGAAATTGAAACTAAATATCTTTTCATGTATAGGTGAAAATGTTTCATTGATGTAGTTTACATTTACATCAGAAGCACCCCATTGAACTGAAATCTCATCTAACATACCAAAACATTTGATTCAGATTATTTACAAACATAGAATAATACTGATGATTTAGGTGTTCTCCAAGCTATACTTATGCATGCTAAATTTCAGCTAATTTTGACTTATTTTAATAAACATATTTTAATATGCATTTTAAAATAGTTATTAAACTCTTAAATTTTAAAAGTACATATGTCCTTTTACCCATAATACTTTGGAGAATTTTTTTTTAATTTTTAATTTTTGTGGGTACATAGTAGATGTGTGTGTATATATATAGAAGTACATGAGATTATTTGATACAGGCATGCAGTGTGTAATAATCCCATCAGGGTAAATGGGGTATCCATCACCTCAAACATTTAGCCTTTGTGTTACAAACAATCTAATTATACTCTTTTAGTTATTTTTAAATATACAACTAAATTATTATTTACTATAGTCACCCTGTTGTGCTATCAAATATTAGTTCTTACTCATTCTTTCTATTGTTTTTACCCATTAACTATCCCCACTTCCTCTCCACCCCTCGAATACCCTTTCCAGTGTCTGGTAACCACCCTTCTTTTCTCCATGTCCATGAGTTCAATTATTTTAATTTTTAGCTCCCACAAATAAGTGAGAACATGCAAAATTTGTCTTTCTGTGCCTGGCTTATTTCCCTTAACATAATGATCTCCAGTTCCATCCTTGTTGTTGCAAATAACAGATTCTCATTCTTTATTCTGACGGAATACTACTCCATTGTGTAGCTGTACCATGTTTTCTTTATCCATTCATCTGTTGATGGATGCTTAGGTTGCTTCCAAATCTTGGCTATTGTGAATAGTGCTGCAACAAATACAAAAGTGCAGATATCTCTTTGAAATACTGATTTTCTTTCTTTGGGGTATACCTAGGGGTGTGATTGCTATCTTTTGGGTATAATGTAGGAGTGGGGTTGCTGGATCATATGGTAGCTCTGTTTTTGTTTTTTTTTGTGAAATCTCTAAACTGTTTTCCCTAGTGGTTGTACAATTTACATTCCCACCAACAGTATATAAGGATCCCCTTTTTAAAGAACTTATTTTATAGAAGCCCCAGTATGTGGATACACACACACATACACAGACACACACACACAAACACACAAATTTTTACTAGAACATTATCTCTAACAGCAAAACTGGAAACAATGTAAGTGCCCATCAGTAATGGGAGTAGTTTTACTCAAACTTTGGAATCTCATAGGGCGTTACATATTATTTCATTAGTTAGAGTCATGGTATATTGATAAAAGAGAAATTTATGTTGCGTGGCAAATTTATTTTTGTCATAACCTCAGAAGCCTTAACTATTTGCATATATTTATAAGAACATGGAGGCCAGGCGTGGTGGCTCACGCCTGTAATCCCAGCACTTTGGGAGGCTGAGGCGGGCGAATCACGAGGTCGGGAAATCAGGATCATCCTGGCTAACACGGTGAAACCCCGTCTCTACTAAAAATACAAAAAATTAGCCGGGCGTGGTGGCAGGCACCTGTAGTCCCAGCTACTTGGGAGGCTGAGGCAGGAGAATGACGTGAACCCAGGAGGCGGAGCTTGCAGTGAGCCGAGATCGTGCCACTTGCACTCCAGCCTGGGCAACAGAGCAAGACTCCGTCTCAAAAAAAAAAAAAAAAAAAAAAGACCATGGAGAAAAGTATGGAAGGGAATGGTAGATAAGAGGAGTTGAGTTTGTTTAATATACTTGATTCTTTAACATGTTCAAATGAGTATGTATTATTTTATATTTTATATAAATATAATTTATTATACTTACATGTTTTATGTTTTTTCATTAACAAAGTAAACACTCTGCTATATTGATCATTCTTCAAATGGAAACAGAAGAACAGGGGCCATCCTTATGACCATCTGCACTAAGAGAGTTAGCCTCTGAAGGAATGTGAGATTTAGGCTAGCCATCATCAGTGACCAGTCTGTTTAAAACATACCTGTTCAATCAGGTCCCAGCGGGAAACAGATGATGCAGTCAAATTACGATAATTCAAGAGCTGGAGCCAGGTGTAGTGTAGGAGAAACTCAAGGAGTTTTTCATGGACCAGGGGCCACCAACAGCACAGCTGTTGCCACTTGAGGCACAAAGAGACAAGGAGAGGGGGAGGATGTCAGAACCCAGAAAAAGTCATGTTGTAAAGAACCTTGATTAGAATGGTGACCTTCTTTCAAGGGACATAGTCCATTCACGGTAAGCTTACAGGAAGTGAACCAGGGAAGAAAATGTTGAATGCATTCTAATCTCTCCTGTCATCTGCCAGGGCTCCCCACTGACTGAACCCAACTAGAGACAGATGTTAAGAGAGAGCCTTTTGATGTCAAGTACCTAGATCAGCAGCCTTGGGCAGAGAACAAGGGCAAGTATAGAGAATGGGTTTTGAGGAGTAAACAGGAGCTATCTGGCATAAAATAGCCAACTTTTTATTTTATTTTTTTTTTTTGAGACAGAGTTTCATTCTTGTCGCCCAGGCTGGAGTGCAGTGGCGTGATCTCGGCCCACCGCAACCTCCACCTCCTGGGTTCAAACAATCTCATGCCTCAGCCTCCTGAGTAGCTGGGATTACAGGCGTGTGCCACCACACAAGGCTAATTTTTGTATTTTTAGTAGAGACGGGGTTTCACCATGTTAGCCAGGGTGGTCTCAAACTCCTGGCCTCAGGTGATCTGCCCACCTTGGCCTCCCAAAGTGCTGGGATTATAGGTATGAGACACCATGCCCAGCCCCAATATTCTTTTTGAATTAAATAATCAAAATAACCCAGAAGAGGAAAACATAGATAATATGCAAAATATTGATATCCATTTACTTTATGGGCTTACATAATTATTTTTTAATTGACCTAAGCCCAAACACAAAATTAAAAAAGAAAATCTGAAGATGGCATTGTTCCTCACCCTCTTCTGTACATAAGTCCTAAGTTCTTCCTTAAACTCCCATGAGGGCATAGCAGTGAACATCTCAGAGTGGGGACAGAAAACTATTCCTAAAGATGAACATGGCCCCAGACCCACAAAACGCCAGACTTTGGACTTGGTCTGAAATAGTGGAGGTTTTCTGTTAAGTCCTAGCTTGTTTCCAAGGAATGACACTGTAAATCAGGTCATGGAATGGGAAGCTGACATTTACTGACCCTTGGCATGTGCCAGGCTCCATGACATACATTCATGTAAGTTATCACTTTTACTCCTCTCAGCAAACCTGTACTGTGACCAATATGGTCACATGAATGTATGCCATGGAGCCTGGCACATGTCAGGTTTGCTGAGAGGAGTAAAAGTGATTACTCTTTAAGAAACAGAAACTCCAAGAGTTTAATTTGGAGTTTAAGGAACTTTCTCAAGGTCAATGATAGAGTCTGGAATTGGAGCTAGGTCTGCTTGGCTACATCGTGGCACAGCCTCACTTGGCTGCAAGATGGTAAAGGAGTCATTATCTATTATCAGAGGTCTCTCACCTGTCCCAGAAATATGGCTTTCCCCTTCCCCTCTCTCTCATTCCCTTATCTTCCATTCATTCCCTTAGTTATATATTTAACAAGTATTTATTCAGTACCTACTGTGTCAGGAATCATGCATTGTACCATTGATATCAATGAATATGGCCTCTGCCTTCATGGATTTTACAGCTTAATAAGAATTCTCAGGGGATTCATCGTATGGATTTCCACTAGCCCCAAGTCCTTTTCATTTGAGGTCATTTGCATCTCAGTCTTCCTATATCTTTATTAAGACTGAGAATTATTTTTTGGCCTATTTGTTTAAATAAAAGTGTAATATAAAAATTGTAATAAACCTTTTTAAAAATCTCACTTGCTAGTTCATTATTTTAGAGAATTGAGGATACTATAATATTATAAGAAATATGAAATACTGGAACTAGGTAAGATAATATTTTTAAAGGTGCTTTCTGGTTTTATTGAAACAAATCAGCCAGCTCCCCCAAAAATGTGGATATATGGGTACATGTTGAGGCTTATGTTTTAATCAGGCTAAAAGCGTATCACATTCTCTCAAATAAGCATATCTTTCATTTCTTAAATTGAAAATTTATTTGTATTTATTCAAAACCTTTCTTGTCAAAGACAAGTTAAAACTGCTGTTCAAGTGTCTTGTATAATTATAACCATAAAACTAATAAACATTTCAACTAATTTTTTCCCTATTCAGATATGCTTGTTCACTCTTGGGAAAGCCCCAGATTGGGTTACTGAAGTAATCTCATTTTTGTAACTGAGCCAGTATTATCATTATCAAAATTACAATTGATCTACAGTATAGTGTCATAAAGGGTGACTGGTATGTAGCACATTCTGATTTCTCTCATTTTGCATTAGATGCATTGCATAATAGAACTGTAGGAATTGCCTGCTAATGCTTTAGTTCACCCTTTAACAATTAAGTTAGGCAATCTTGGGTAAAGCAACATTCAGTAGGCTCCATGCATGTTGTTTTCTATAACCACCTTTGGATGCAATTTTGGGGAGTGGGAGGGCTGCAATACACACACAGAGACACATACATATATTTATAATTTGTTAAGAGGAAGTTACTATTAAACATCTAAGTTGACATATTGTATGGTGGGTTCTTCTGGGTCTGATCCTAGACAAGTGAGTTAACAACATCTTTGATCCTCTTTAGCTTTCTACTTTTGTAAAATAAAGGGGTTGGACCAAATAAGTGGGGTTTTTGTTTGTTTGTTTATTTGTTTAGCTTTTAGAGTTTTTTTTGCCCATGCTACGATATTCCTAGAAGTCACTGAGTACCTAGTAAGGCAAACCAGGACCAGCTGTAGCTCCTCCCTTGTACTTTAACAACAGTAATTCTGTTTTGTTTTATATGTGAATCATCCCAAGTAAGACTTCCAATCTCTGATGCCTTTTCACCTATTTATTAGTAGTAGGGGTCATTGTATTCTATTTTTGGCTTCATAGTGAATGACAGCTTGTACAAACAACACAGATACTGGAATAATCAGTCTTTTCTTCAAATTCTGTAGTAGCATGAACTGTAAAGTATTAATCATGTGTTTATGCCTGGTTTCTACATGTGAATCCGTTAAGCCTATTCTTAATTTTCTCGCTTCGTCAGCTTCAAAGCAGGAAATTACACCATTGCCCAAAATCTCCACCATTCTGTTGATTTTGTTTGGGAGGTGTAAATCTAGTAAAGCATAGACAGAGGCCTGTTGCCAGATTGATAGCTGTATTTGTCTGCGTAGATTGTATTTTCACAGCTGTCAGGTGAGATGGTTGCTTCCTATATAAAGTGGTTCTAGAATCATGCATGTGCTTGGGATTTTAATTTATCAGATTTTTTAGCACTTCCTACTTAAAGAGCTTCAAACTCTAGGGAATATAATGTATGCCATTCTGAAAGGTGGTATTTCAGCTTTTGTATCTTTGGGGATAACATGTTGTGAATGAAATTGGTGTTTTAAATAGAGCTCCTGGGGAAGTTTTTGCCAACAGTCCTTTTGATATCCCATGTGCTCTATTGTAATAAGAAAGCAGAATAAATAAACTAAACTAGGTGGTCAGGATTCTGTTAGGATGAAAACAAGTATAATTTCCTTTATAATGATGAAAAGCAAACAAAACTCTGTACGAATAGTTTTAATCAATGTTTAAAGACTGGTTTCCCAGACTCTTGTGTGTTTGACAGATAGTCTTGGGTGGGGTAGAAATGGAGTGGAAAAACAAACAATTACTGTGGAGATAATAAAAATTACTGGGCAAAAAGAAAAAAAATATTTGAAATACTTCTTTTTTTTTTTTTTTTAAAAGACAGAGTCTTGCTCTGTTGTCCAGGCTGGAGTGCAGTGGCACAATCTCGGCTCACTGCCACCTCTGCCTCCCAGGTTCAAGTGACTCTCCTGCCTCAGCCTCCCGGCTCATGGTTGACATAAGTTACCTCTCCCAGCATTTTTCATTTGTATTTTGAGAAAAACATAAATTAATGTGTTATTGAAAACTGCCGTGATCATTTTTCATTTAGGCTAATTATTCCAGGAAAGGGATTCCTATATTGTATTCACTTTTTTTGGTTTTAATACTTTAATAGTGAGTATTTATAGCTATAGAAATTTGATACTTTTAATTAAAAAATTTGAAACTAGGTTCAAATGAAAGAAAAAATTCTTATAAACTTTAAAAATGTAACCACTTGTTTAGGGTATTGGAAATCAATTCTCCATATTTGACACTATCAAATTAGCTTCAGATAACCCTTTTCTTCATTTTGTGTTCATGTTGTTTTCACTTTGTAAACAGTAAAACTCCATCTCCTTGCGTGAAGTTATTTTAGGGGGAAGAAAAAGTGCAATACACAGATTCATTATCTTGTAATGACTCATTTTAGTTTTGCATTGAATCAATCTTTGAGACAATTACTGTAACTTGATTTTTTCCTTCCCTCCACTGGTAATAAAAGAGACATTTTATTTCAGGGAAATGTGAAGTAAAATAGTCTTGCTTCATAAGCATGCTCAGAGAAGAGATTTTTAAATCTTGTTTTAAAAATAGTGGCATCATGTTCATGAACTTCAAGTTTTCTTTGTTCCTTTTCTTCTTTTCCTTTTTCTGTGAAACTCAAGGATTAATAGGAAGCATGTCCAAAATTCCCTCTAGGAAGAAATTTAGATAGGGACATAAATATATTTTAGGCATTCTTACTAAGCATTTCCAAATAAGCTTTAAGAGTTTCTTAAGTAATCTTTGATTTTATAGGAAGAAAAAGGGTCAAAGTTTGCTTTCTTCACAAACTTCAGTAAACAAATCCCTCTTGTATTAATGAAGAAATTGACTAAACCTACCAATTATCTCACTATTATAAAACATGTCTTGAAAATTTATTAGATGCAGGCCAAACCATTGAACTCAGACCTTGCCTTTAAGAAGCTTCCATCTAATTAGGATATATCTCAATCTATTGGAGATAATGAAGTAGAAACTAAATTATTATTAATTTTAGACACACAAAAGTCATTTCACTTCTGTAAAATGGAAGAAGTAACGTGAAGCTACCTGACTAATGAATGTTGGATAACCAGTTATTGGAGTGCTTTGTGGAGGTAAAGTAATAACTACAAATAACAATAAAGTTTCACCTTTACTTGCGTATTTTTATGTCACTTTTGCTGAAGAAAAGTGCCTTGACATTTTTACTAGTAAAGTTAACTTTTTTGTTATTTTTTAGAGAATAGAAATGGATAAAATAGACAAATTTGATGGATTCTTTGGAAAAATCATTATTGGATTTATAGTTATCGGAACGTTTTTGAATATGATCAAACAGTTTAAATTAAGATTCTATTACATGGATAGTAATACACATGGAATTACCTTAAAAGTGATTGTGTACTATGTAGAATATCACAATTTTGTAAAATAGTTCTATAGCGAAGTTAAAATATTACTGGATATGCTTATGTAAAATACATGAACACACAGTTGACATAAACTAACTTGATGATTGGCCAGAACTGGAATTCCAATTCTTACACCTACCCATCCACCCACATCTATTGGACAAGTGCCTGGTTAAACAGATGGGCCTTGGGCTGTGCTCTCAAAACAGGCAACCTCCACCTTTATTGAGCAAAACATTGGATGAAAATAGACTATATTGTCTTATTGTGCTACTGAACATGGTAATTTAAGTGAAGAGCTCCTATTTATTATTGTTGTTGGTTGTTAAAAATACCTTTTTCCTTATGAATGAATATGTGAAAATTGGAGGACAACAGATGGAGTCCCAGGGAACTGGAAAACCTATAGATAGGGAGGTAATTCTCAGTCAAATATGAAAATAAAAAATCAGCAGGAGTGTGAAATTTCATGTGGTTTTATAAATGCATGTAGCTAAGATTTTAGAAAATGTTTGGTTTAGCCTACAGACATGGGTTCATCATGAAATTTCTCTTTTCCACTAAAGGGTATGAGACCAAGTAGAATTCTCGAAGTCTGTCCTCATGCCCCTTCAATAAGTTACCACTTCAAAAGCTACAAAGCTGGATTCAGGGCAGGACCTTAAGTTCTGGCTACCGTCTGTGTAAATATCACACACTTACATGTGGTAAAGTCAGAGGGACTTGCAGACCTGAGTGATACTTATGACATCAGAAGTGAGTTTTGTTTATGGTTGATTAATGACATTGCTACTTGGGCCATGTTTGTGACAACAGCACTGAGGGCAATTAGCAAGAGCAACAGTTAGACAGTCCCATACTTGGAAGATTATATGAGACTAAATTTGACACTCTTAATATTGACATCTCGTAAATAGCATTTGGTCTCTATGTATTTTCATGATATTCTCTTTAATGTAACAACAATCAGTAAACTGTCACATATCTAACCTCATGGAACTCACATATCTAACCTCATTGAATCATTAACAATGATATTTGCACCTCTTAAATTATGAAATGGGTGGTCTGTGGGCAGCATGCTAAAATTCAAGTAAAAGACTTCCTACTCCTTTTTCCTAAATTATTTTTTTAGTCTTTTGGTAACTCAGTTTTCACAAAGAAGGGGAGTTTGGTTGCTACCTACTTTCCCTGTAATACTGCTTGGCTATTTTTCAGTGGCAAGAAATAATTCCTGTGATACTTAAGAACTCTATGGAATAAAGCTCAGTATAGTGTATATTGAATTATGCTTTCTGGTTATTATATTTGGATAAATTTAGGCATAAGGTTGTTTAATACTTCAGCAGAAACCTGCAATGGAACTTCCTAAAAATTTGACCTTGTGAAAGAAATCCAAATGGAATTGTTTTATATTTTTTTAGCTCCTATAAATGTGTGTGCGGGGTTAATAAATAAATAGGTAAGAAATAGCACAGCATTGTTTAACGTTTATTTCTTTCCTCAAAATAAAAAGTTAATAGAAAAAGTAATACATTGTTATTATTTAAGAGTTATTTCTTACTGCAAAATGTTTTGTGATAGCTTTGTTTCATTGTGTTTAACTTAATTTAAATTACTATAATACTTTTTTGTTACATCGTCCTTTGAAATCATTGAAATTGACTAAATAATATTGTTCTATTCTACTTGATAAAATGGAGAGCTCAGAAGATTAATTTAGATACAGAATTGAGAATAAAACAGTCTCAATTTGTGCTTAATTTTATTAGAAGGAAATATATTATAAAAATAGCCATTTGAAGAGAAAAAAGATAAAAGTAGTGAAATATTTTAATTTTCAAACTCTCATAAAATAGTAATACAGGCTGTCTTTAAATGAAAGTAAATATTTTGTGTTTATGTATGTATATGAGACATATGATCATTATTAGCTTTATCTTGAATTACTCTGATATACTATATTTCTTATACATATTATTTAATGTCTTTTGTTGTGTTTTGTTTTAAACAGCAAATGCCAGTCTTCTTGGAGGAGGAGGTGGTAAGTCCTGAACATCACTTAACTTAAAATACATTTTAATTGTTATACCAACTACAAGATATTTAGTAAGTTCTGTGACACTTAAAAGAAAATTAATTTTGCTGTAGTCATCAATTACAAAAATGTTAATCTTTCAAAAATAATTTATAATATAAATACCTTGGTTTGCTTAAATGTTATTTTAATTGACTTCGAGATATATACAGTACTCTTGTCAAACTTTGTATTTCTGCTTTTGGCATAAGGTGTAACAGCTATAAGCTATATGAACACACATGTAATACATGTGTGTGCATAGTTACAGAGTAACTATGTACATATTACAGAGTTACTTTTAATATGAATTCTAAAACAACAGAACATTTGGAGGCTATGGTTTCTTTTTCCACTATAATGACTTTCTTTTGCTTTTCATGACTTTGTAGCCTGAGAGCTTAATATATCAGCCACTTACTTTGAAAAATAAAAAAGAAATTACTGTTGACACTCTGCTTTTTCTTTCTGCTCAGTTAGAGGAGAAAGAGAAGGAGATCAAAGTGAGCTGAGGGAGACAGAGATTCCTGTACTGGGAATTTTTTTGATACTAAAATCTTGTAACTATTTGTATTTTTACTTCTAGGTTAGGAAGATGAAAGCTTTCATAGTCCCAGTATATATAATATAGTAGGAGAGAAAAAAGTATACGATTAGAACAGAGTCCTTTTCATATAAGGCCCAGATGGACATAACTAGGTTTGTTTCCTCTTTCCCTGTCACTCTCTTTCTCCCTTCCTTTCTTGCTCTTTCTTTTTTCTTACACACAGTTGAAACAGATAGGATTGTGCAGAGCCTTAGGCTTTCATCAGGAGGTTTCATTGTAATTTTTATTTGGAAATTAAGCATTTAACCTTTGTTTCTCTGTAAGAACAGTTGATTTTTAAAAAACAGAATCTTGAAAATAAGAAAAATAGAAAAGTGTTTGAACTAGGAAGTGCTCTTCGTATTATCACATGTCAGTGCATGTTCTGTACCAGAGTATCATGAAATGAGTGTGGGATTTGAAATTGGACTTACTGTGTGGAGACCAGGAAAGCATTACTAAATATCTCCAAGCCTCAGTTACCTCATCTTTAAAGTATGAGGATAATATTAACTATCTAAAGTGTTTATTGGGAGAATTAAACAAAAATATTTGCCAAGTAACTAAGTAATAGAACAGTGGGGGATTCATAAATGTCTATTTCTTTTCTTCTTTCCTAAGTTATTTTAGAAAATATGAATTTGTAGGATGTTTCATTGCACTTGTTATTTTATTTGGGGGGAACTAGAAGGGAAAATTTTCCTTAGAAGTTGAATTTCCAGTAATTTTTTCTCTCTGTCTCTTGTAATAGGTGAAGAAAACATGATTAAGTTAAATTGTCCATAGTGCTGATTTTCTTACAAGATATATTAGTATTTTAAGAAACCTCACGAATATTGTTAATAGCATAGAGGAAAGTTAAAATTGAGTCTATGTAAACACATTCATCAACTTAAAACAACAAATTAGGTAGACGATTCAGTTATTGCTTTTGAGTATTTCAAAAAATTGACTTGACTAATTATATTAGTTAAAATCACTTTAGCCACTATAACAGAAAAAGTAAAAAACATTAAAATCCACAATAACAGTAGTTTAAAGGAGATATAAATGTATTTCTGTCTCATGTAAAGGTAGTCTAGATACAGGCTGGAATGGTTGTGTGATGAATCAGAGACTCAGCTCTTACTTTTCTGTTCTTTCCTAGTGCATGGCTTTCATACTTAGATGACCTCAGGGTACAGGATGGCTGCTGGAGCTCTAGCCATCACAAATATGGCACAGGTCAGGAGAAATAGGAAAGGCAAAACATGAAAAAAAGTGGGCTCCCAAACATGAGTCAGTTTTCTTTAAGCAGATTTCCCTGGAATCCCACATTGTCTTTGAATCTGGACAGTATTCATTCCTAGCATGTAGTCTTTTATTCCAAGAAGCAATGCACTCATCAGAAAAAATTACCGTTCTGTTCACTAAGGAGGAAGGGGAGAATGGAGGTTGAGGAAAACAGTGTAATGTACCTGCCATGGTGGTTACCTCTATATTGTCAAACTGATTTCTTTAAATATATGTATGTATTGTTGGTGTGTATAGAACTGACTCCAGTGATTTGGCTTGTATTTTCTTATGATTCCTCTCTTCTCTGTGAGAAGATTTATGAATTTCTAGCAATGATAAGACATTCAGGAATAGGCCAACTCAGTTTTCTATTTAGCTAAAGTCTTTATTTTAGTGACTTCCTCTAGATGGTTGATTTTGCTCAATTTGTCACGATTTATAATTTTTGAATAATAAAATTAGCAACTCAGCATCATCATAAAGATAAATTACAAGTATTTAAGATGGTTGTAATTTCTTTCATTAAAGTAGGTCATCGACAGGTTTAAATTTATTTATGCACTTCTGGAGATGTCAAGATTGCTCTAAAACACGTGTCTGATTTTTGGAAAGCTGCATTTAAAAATTAAATTTAAGGAATATTTTTAGCCTTCTCTGAGCTGATTTTTGACCTTATGATTCTATGACAAATCTTTTTAATCCTCTCAGTGATATTTGTAAAGTAACAGCTAGTAATCATCTAATAAGAAGCGATTGAATTGATGTAATTCTCTTGGATTTAATCAAACAATTCCTTTTTTCAACATGAATTAAAATCCCTTCAAAGGTCCATCAAGAGAATAATTTTTTAATTGACTAAACAATTTGATCAAGAAAATTTGACACCACATACAAAAATAATAATGGGACCTAAGTCCCCTTCTTTAGATCCTCAGGAGGGCTTCCCCCATATTCTATATGAGTAGTACCTGATAGTGAAATGTAGACAAAATTATTGTATGCAAAATTGTATTAGCCATAAAATCTTAGCATTTTGTTGTTCTTTTCTGAGTGCTTACCACCAATAAGACTGATCCCCTGAAAGACTTAAAAAATGGTCACATATCATCCTCTCAGTGCTGATTTTAAAGTGAGAGATTTACTTTACATTGATGTGAATTTTCATCTTTGAGCTAGATATCAATCTTTCTATGAATGTATTGCCACTGACTGCAGTTCATTGTAGTGAGCATAGGTGATGTGATTACTTCTACTCAGTCATTTCAGTTAAAATTTGATAACTTTTACCAATTTTACCAATTTGCTTGGTAAAATTGATCACTTCTGTTCATAGTTTCTAGATAGGTTGAAGGCAGAGACAGTTATGTACTAATTTCTTAATATATAGCTGGTCTATAGTGACTGAATTGTACTTTTCAGGAGGCATTTATATTAATGTTAAAAATCTTTGAAGTTCCGTTAATTTTTTTGACAAACTTTCCATTATTATTACCAACAGTACCCTGTATATTATTTTACCTGTTGTTATTTTAATGGTTGAGAGAAACTTCTTCAAAGTTGCATAGCTTATAGGGCAAAGTTGGAATGAGAAGACAGCGTTCTTGACTGCCACTCCAGGGCTCCTTGCCCTGGCACTGTGGTTTTTAACATGCCTCTGCTCTCCAGGTTTGCTTTTCTATGCAGAGATGGGTAATTCTGTTTACACCAGGAAAAATAAGTGAGAGGACAGGAAAACATACAGTTAAGATACGGATGTTGCATTCCTTGGCTTATTTTCACAAGTCTCAAGATCTACTGATAGCTTGAAAGTCGATACAATGGCACTGTCTTACAGTACTCTTGGATTGCTGCCCAGATTCATATACTTTTTTGTGCATTTGAGATTCAGTCTTAGAAAACACTGCATTTCAGATACATGTTCACCCATCTGTAATAAGAATGTTGTACATGCACAAGGTCCTGTGATGCTGGTACTTTTGGAATATATAGTAAAATATAAATCATTGTAGCCAGTCTTAAATTACATAAAGAAGTAGAATTAGAAAGAAAAATCAGAACTGAAGAGCTAATTCCTCACTTCCTTTTGGATCATTATATAATAGGAACAAAATTTACGGTCTCTTACTTTAGATAATATCTTTTGTTTTTCATTGACGTAATAGTTAACACAAAACTAGAACCTGCTGATAGAACCCAAGCAGGATGTTGTTTATGGGATGTGCTTCCTCCTCCAGTCTGTCAAAGCACTTGAGGGATAATGCTAGACATTTAAAATGACGGTTCCTGACAGAGTGGTAACTTACTGTCTTTTGTACACATAGCTTTATGACTGCCATTTTAATCATATATACATACACAGAGATAAAAAATAAATATATATATTTGCATCAATGCTGTAATTTGATACCTTATTCCTGAGTTGATTCTGTGGCAGGTTAATAGATAAGTACTGTTGTCTAATAAGCAAGTGCTGTTATCTATGCAGTCAGCCCCAGCTGCAATGCATGCAAAGCCATTTGTCCAACGCGAGAACAGAGAGGACACTGTGAGCCTTCCCACCTCTGATGGCTTCCTGCTCTCCTTCTGCCCCTTAGAGTAGGCCCAAAGATGGACAAGGTTCAGTGCCTTGTGTTAGTACCTGCTCCTCTAATCTCCCTCATTTCTGATTTGGACAGTTCTACTTGCAGAGAGGATTCATTATGCTTGTCTGTTATTAATGTCCCTTCATACAATGAGGCTGTTTGTGTGACATACTAAAATTCATGCTTGAAAAGGAATAAAATTATAACCTGGGTGATAGGTGATAGGTGCACCAAAATCTCAGCCTTTGCCATTACACAATTCATCCATGTAACCATAAAACACTTGTACACCAAAAGCTATTGAAATAAAAAAAAAGAAAAAAAGAAGAGTGAAATCATAAACCATGTGCTGTTATATCATAGATAGTATTTGTGCATCTCCACACACCCATCATCTGTTTCTAAACACAAGCACACATATGTGCATACATTCATTCAGCAAATATTAATTGAGTTACTATTGTTTGTCAGTATTGATTATTGATTGGGCAGTAAACACAGCCTTTTCCCTGTGGCCAATCATGATCCCTGTTCAGCTGAATTACTAGAGCAATTATAGTTGTCTACATTCTTTCAGATGTTCCAAGGATTCTGCTGGCATAGTCTTTTGAGTTAAAATGATGCTTTAACATTAATAGAATGGGCATTGGATGTCTTCTTTAAAAGGCAGAGCAGATATCCTGAAAACAACTAATTTCACAAAAAATCTGAGTTGCTACCTGGAATTCCTAATGTGAAGAGCAATGTGTTTAAAGGGCTTTTTGAGTGTGTTTAAGAGGGAATGATTTCATAAATTTTGTCTTAAGCATTCACAAGCAGAGTGGAGCGCCCTCTCACCTCCCTCCACATACACAACGGCTTTCCCAGCATATATCACTCCAGCGCTCAACATCCTGCAGTGATTCTGTTTCGCTCTTGTTAAACCTCCAGATGTGGCTGGGCTTCAGGCATGCTGGGAGGAATCTAGGATAGCAGTCAGCAGGGAGGGACTGAGGCAGTTTACAGAGGGTAGAGTGTTGGGGGTTACCCCTCAGGAGAGTCAGTCAAGCATGGCTAGTAGTGACTTTGCCAGCTGGCCTGTGCTCAGCAGGGGAGGGGCCCCAGCCATGGGCCTGGGGAACAGCAACAGCCTTTCAGTCCTGAGAGAGCAGCATGGCAGGAGAAACTCAGGGGCTCTGGCCTTTTTACTCAGGCAGGGAGCAGAGATGCAGGAAAGGATGTGATGCTAGGCCACAGAAAATAGGGTTTAAATCTTAACTGCCTCGGCCAGGCACGGTGGCTCATGCCTGTAATTTCAGTACTTCGGGAGGCCAGGGTAGGAGGATTATTTGAGACCAGGAGTTTGAGACCAGCTTGGGCAACATACTGACACCTCATCTCTACAAAAAATAATCAAAAATTAGCCAGGTGAGGTTGTGCATGCCTGTGGTCCCAGCTACTTGGAAGACTGAGGTGGGAGGATCGCTTGAGCTCTGGACGTTGAGGCTGCAGTGAGCCGTGATCACACCACTGCACTCCAGCCTGGCCATCAGAGTGAGACCCTGTCTCTTAAAAAAAAAATCCTGACTGCCTTAGGTGGGATTGATCCTGGGCACTGTGGGCGGATAAGCCTGCTAAAGGAGGCCAGGAGGCCCAGATATGAGGAAGAAGAGGGAAGGTGGTTAGGGACCAGGAGCCAGGCCAGGTCTGACAATGCTGAGTTACACACTGAGCCAACCTACCTTTGCCCTCCCTCCTTCCCTCCTCCCCGTCTTCTGTCCTCCCTCCCTCCTGCCTCCCTTCCTTCTTTGCTTTCTTCCTTCCTTTCCCTGTTTCCCTCCTTCCTTCCTTCTTTTCTTTTTGTCTTTCTCAGTCAACAGCAACTATTGATTACTTCTTGTATACTAGCCTTGAAATCAGTGTAGGTAAGATTCTTAGAACTAAGTGCAGCCAGAGGCATAAGTACTTATTTACACATTAATATTTTAAGAACTAAATAGGTTCTTCAAGCAGGGAAAATGAAACAGAACAAAGGAAGTCAACAGCTTATAGTGGTCAGGGAAGGCTTCCCAGAAGAGGTGACATGGGAGCAGTCTTGAATGATGAGTAGTAGTTTTCAGGAAGCAGAAGGTCATGATCTATTCAGATGTATTTCCTACTCTTTGCTGTAGAGATCTTGCTCTGCCATCTCCTCACTGTTCTGCCATCATATCATCCAGGTCTTGGTTAAGCTGTTTTCTTTGACAGTCCCAGCATGCCACTTAAAATGGAGTGAAAAGTGTTAGGGCAGAACTGAAGAGAGGAACTCTGGTGCTGGTGATGTGGGTAGCAAACCTCCATCAGAGCAACCTGGGCAAAGTCTGGTGGTCATCGCCAGTGCGAGCTCCTCCCCGCTTTACTTTCTCTTGTGATTACCTCACCTGCTTCTCAGTCTAGGGACCATCTCTACAGCTGCTCACTCCAGTTGGATTTCTAGTATGTGTTTTCTTCATTCCACATGAACTTGTCTAGTTCTTTCTCTTAAAAGTTTAACTTAGCCCTGATTGCTCTAATCTTGCCTGCTTTTTGTCATTAAGCCTTCCAGATGCTCTTCGTGGTAGAGGAAGGTGAGGTGGGGAGGGTTCAAAATCCAAGCCATGCATCTGCCTTGAACTCTTCTATTGTAATGGCAATTCCAAGGACATAATTTGTTTATTACACTTCTAACTTTGGTTACTGTGATCCCTTCATTCTAAAACTAAACTTCAAAGTTATTCATCATGTTTACTACACATGCTCCCACTTCTAAGTGAACCTCCCTGTTGAAAGGGCAACCCTATGCAGATTAAATGCTCCTTCTCATTGTAGCCATACCTGAACCTGGAAGTGTGTATTCCCCAATTAAGGCAGAAATTTCCTGAGAGTGAGTAATTTCATATTCATCTTTATAGCCCTGGCTTATTCTATCACATATAGTAGGTGCTTTGAGATATTACTGTCTCTCATCCCGGATTCTCAACATGTTTATATAGTTCGGTTTTGACCAGTTTACTTTGGAAAGTTAATCTCTTTATCTTCAAGTGATTTCTAAATGAAAAAAAAAAACAAAAACCCAAACTTCAGAAATGCTTTTAACAGGCAACCTGAGGATTATATTCATATTTATACAGTAATTATTTTTATCATAGTATTATCTTTTATTTTTAAAAAGTTTGTATAGCCAGGATCTCATAATTTTCTTTAAATATATTTACTTTAAATGGGCAATAAAGAGAACAAT
Source organism: Homo sapiens (assembly GCF_000001405.40). Lineage (NCBI taxonomy): Eukaryota > Metazoa > Chordata > Mammalia > Primates > Hominidae > Homo > Homo sapiens. The sequence goes on from NC_000020.11 coordinate 14,501,223, forward strand.
ATGTAATTGAATAGATGGGGAATGAAATACAGAGAATTTACATTCTACAGATCACATGGAAAGAGGGAAAGCCTATTGTTTCATTCATGTTTTACCATATTGAGGGTATTTAACCAGTTATATCATTCTCCTTTTTCATAGTTTGATTTTAATTTATTAATAATTTGTCTTTTACATACTACAGGTAACTTGTCATTGACATCATATTACTAATATGTATACTAGTGTTATCCTACAATACGTTTCTATTTTTTTTTTTAGCTTCAATAATATAGAAAAATTGTATGTGTTGGTGTTCTTAACTGGATACTCTTTTAAGGTCACTTGTTTCCATTTTACTTTTGATTTTTAGAGTTTGCGTTTTTAAAATGAGTTTTATAATTGGTATGTATTATTTATATTTGTATGTTTCATAATTAACTCTTTTTAAAAAAATAGAGGTTTAGTCATTCTTTCAGAAAATGTTGAGATTAGCAAATCATGCTCAAAGATAGGAATTAAAGGTTGTAAAGAAAAAGAAATAAAAATAATGGAAGCCCTCTTTTCAGATGTGGAAATACGTTGGTAAAAATTCTAGGCTCTTATAAGTTCTCTCACTGTGTTGGGCTAGCTAAATGATACCTAAATGGTTGGAAGTTCAGATAATATCTATAAACAAATATTTTAAAGTTAGGAAGTACTCTAACAGGTGCCAGGATATGTCTACATATCTTCCTAATTACATAGTAGCTATAGTATAATGCTTGTGTAGCTTATCTACTTGCGTTAAAGGTAAAATCTTTTTAAAACTATAAAAAAGAGAAGTTTATTGAGTTCCCGATTTAAATATCTCTCATCCCCAAAGAATCTCTGAATGTGACTTGTTGGTACACAGTAGGAAACAAGTTTCAAGCAAAATACTGCAGGTCAAGCCTGTTATGTTTTGGGATGACTACATTATATTCCTTCAGTTTATGGCACAGAATTGTTTTTTTAACTGTATCTGATGTAGCTCCACAGTAATACAAGGTGGGGCAATTTCTTAGGGAGCCACTTTTATAATCTTTTTTGTTTTTGGCACTGTTAAGAATCCTCTTCTTCATTTACCCCTCAAACTGAAGATACTGTAGGGATGAATGAATCTGGCCAGTTCTTGATGGCAACAAATTCAAGATCTCCAGGGTCCTGTCACAGGCACTGTGGGTCCCTCGGGTTACATGATCCCTTATTGCTGCAGCTCTCTTTGGTCAAAAGTCATTATTTTTTTAATGAGTTAGGACAAATTTATTGTTTTGTATACTAGTTTCCTGTTCTAAAATGATGGTTATAATGGTACCTAACTACTTTACAGGTGTGGAATAACTAATTGCCCACTGTAAAATGTTGTTGAACTACAAAGTGTTAGATAAATGAGTATCACTCTACTTGTCATTATTATTAATATTATAGTGCAAATCTGAAAGATGAAAGTTGCTGGATAATTGCAAGATATGGTGATGGTGTATCCAAATAAAGGGGAATAACCTGAATTGTTGGATAACACAAATCCAGATATCTGTGTGTAGTAGAAGAGTTTGTTTTACAAAAAGATTATATAGATAGCTGTGCTTTAATTAACCCCTCAAAAATCTGAGGATTTTTCCTACAAATATGGATAGAGGAATATTCTAACAGTAGTTCATTTCATCGGTATGTATAGTGGTCATCATAAGGAAGCGTCTTTCAAGTATTTAATTGCCCAGAGTAAAAAATAATTATATACTAGAGTATGAGGAATTCCAGCTTCATGCAACATTACCAGTCTAGGAGAAGGTGAGCTTAATGTAGTCTTCAGGACAGGACACGTGATGAGGCCATCTCTTAAGGTATGTGAAAAGAAGCCAGAAGCAGTAGCATTTTTCTATTCAGGCACATGCTTGGCACTGGGGAGGAACAAGGGATCCCACAGAATAGAGTTAATGGCCCACCCATGTGTATGTCCAGCAGGCAGTCAGGCCTGGAAAAAGAAGTAGGGAAAGAAAAACCTAGCAGAAGCTTAGAGTACACAAGGGAAGGGTGGTGCTGCAATCTGGAAGGTGACAGGGAAGACCAGGTATCCTCATGGGGACACCTGACCCTGAGTTTAAATGGCAGCAGGAGAGACCTGGCAATAGTCTGGAGCCCTCTGAGGTCAGTATATAGACCCCAGGTCTGAAAGGGTGACCCAAGTCAGATTAGCTAAGAGAAGGTTGAGGCTGCTAGAGAATCTGAGTCTCCAAAACTGGCTTTGAGAGTGGGGCTGAATGGAGCTTATGCATGGGGAGAATCAGTGGATTCAGCTATGAACAACTGGGAGAGAGATGCAAGAAGACTCAGAAGTGTACAATATTGGGACGTTCTCCAGGAGAAGATGAACAAGAAGTGATGTCTGAGGAGTTGTAGCTAAAATACTCTCTCAGCTTCTGCCACATGGTTATTTCTGACCAACAAAAAGCTCTCAGAAATAGCCATGAGGGGCACAAAGCCCTCACTAGGCTAAAAATCCACTAACTCTGCAACTTCCTAGATGCTGAACACACCAAAGGCCTCACACTTACAAATGTGGTATGATGTCCATGCCTGCAGGGTCAGCTTTGCAGAACAGACCAAAAAGACTTTTACAAAGCTCCAGGTTTCATTTCTAGCATGATTGGAAAAAGCATAATTTTCTAGTCAGATTTTGTTAAACAAGGAATAATTCTACATCTCCATTAGTACAAAAGCCTTGCTCTGTCATTAGATTATCTCTACTTAAGAATCTTCTAGCAGGCCTCTCTGCATGCCCTGGATGGTTGGGCACTATCCCTACTGTGTCTCCATCAAAGTCAGTGCATTTTCTTAGGTAACTATCTCTCTTTCCTCTAAGATTATAGATTTCACAATGACATGGACTGTTTCTATTGTGTTCACTTGCTGAAACCTCAGAATCTTGTAGAAAATTTGACATATAATAGGCACCTACCAACTAGCTGTTGGACAGATGGCTAAAGAAATAATGGTAATAACTAACGTTTATGGGGTGCTGATCTGTGCCAGGCACTGTGTAAGAATTGCACATACATTATCTATGTTAATTATCTCAATATTCTGAGTAGATAGATATTATTATTCTTCTCATTTTACAGATGGAAGATCAAAAGCTCAGTGAGGTTAGGATGAATAAAATATTGGGCAGACCCAGTATTTAAGCAAAGACTCTCTCCAACTCCAAATCCCCCTTTTAATCATTGTACTGTAAGTTCACGAGTTCAAATTAACTTAGTATTACTTATGGGAATAAGGAGTATATTCATGGATTTATATGTCTCTAAACCTTCTTATTCTGATTTTTTCTGGGCAACAGATTTTCTTCTTTGAATTTCCAACTCATCCTTATGTCTAATTCTCATCCTCTGGAAATAGCTTTACCCCTCAGAGTTATTTCCTGGGAATAGAAGAATCAGTGGTGCTAAGCTAGGAATTTCTAGGCTTGTCTCTCCTTCTTTCTCAGTTTGAATATGATACAGTATCCGTTATTTAACCTTAATTCTGATAAAATAGTATTTTCAATAATCAGAAATTCTGAGGATCTTGTTGTATTTATAAATAACAGAAATAAACTATAAAGAAGTCCTCTTTGACTTTTCTCAATTCCATTTTTCTTTCACACAGACAATCATTATTCGGTGTACAACTTTTTATTTGTCATAGTTTTATATACATATGTATCTGCAAATAACAGGCAATATTGTTTAAAAATGTTGCATAAATATATTATGGGCATTCTAAAATTTGTTTTTATTTTATTATTTTGCTAAGCATTGTTTAAAAATGTATTCATGTAGATATAGAAACCACTAATTACAAAATGATTACTCTAAGGATACTTTCAGTTTAATTGAGAATGGCTTTATGCCTATAAAATTCAGTTCTGTTTTTGAAAAGTAGCTTTTAGGAACATATGTACCAGTTATACAAGAATATATCTTCATAGTCCTGGTACAGCTAGTCTTTCTAATGAAGATGATAAAAGTTGGAAAATTTGAAGTATGTACAGTATATAGCTTTGGAAGGCAGCAGCAGTACTAAATTTCAACTCCCACAAGTTTAGATGTGCCAGGGTAGTATATCTGGATAATATTTAGATTGGTGCTCTTAAATCTGTCTAGTGTTTCTTTGCATATATCAAGGAATACCTGTTTTTGGCCTAAAAATTTTATGCCAATCTTTATACCCAAACGCCAATGGTTAATTCATCCTTTAAAAAATAATACAAGATAACTTTGATAAAACACCTAGAAAGTTCTTATGTTTGTCTCTTTTCCCTTGAACAGGGAGAAGAACTCTATTACAAGTATTATCTTAAATATACTCTGAATTAGTGGTTCTAAAATTTGAATATGCATCAGAATTGCTTGGAGGGCTTGTTAAAACACAGATTACTGGGCCTTATGCCCAGAATTTCTGTTTTAGTAAGTCTGAGGTGAAGTCCATGAATTTGCATTTCTAACAAGTTCCGTTTTAATGCTGACCCTGCCAATCTGGGGACCACACTTTAAGAATTACTGCTCTAAATAAAAGTGAATAAAGAGAGGATTTTAGGTTATGGCAGAGTGAGGAGATTGGTAAATCCTCTCTCCAAAAAAAGCAGCTATAAGGCTGGACACAAAATCTCCAACAAAATAAAATCATAACCATTTTAGTACTCTTAACATCTAAATAGAATATAACAATTTGAGAAGGATTTACGCTTCAAAAACTGCTGAACTTCATAGTTGGAATCTATGGCAACCTTGCTCCCACCCTCTCCATTTGGTTGTGTGGAAAATCTGCAAGGGTTGGGAGTGTTGGGGGGTGGGCAGGTTGTGCCTCTGTAGTCAAACAAGACTCATAGACTTTGAGTGGTGAGTGATTAATACGCCCTGAAGAGTTGTCAGTGAAAGTGATGATCTTGGCCAGATGAGGGCCAAAAGCCTGAAGTTATGGTTGTGGTTGGGACCAATATATTTCTGGCTACCACTGAGCACATGCACAGTGGAGACCAAAGAGACCCTAAGCTTTTTATGTACTCTTGTCCAAACCTGAGGCTGTACACATTTGCATAGGAGCCACAAAAGGCCAAGAAGAATATAAAAGCCAGAGAAGACTTGTAAATGGCCTTAACCGTGGAATGCACTTCCCTACCCATATAAAGATCTGTGAACAGAGAATGGAAGTCTATCTGGCTCTAGATATTTGTGCAAAAGGACTATCCAGTCATTGGCTGAAAACTTACAATGAATCAGGAGTAACCCTTGGGAAGCCAGAATTAAAAATAAAAAGCAAGAATAAAAAAAAATCCAGGCAAAGATGTCAGAGACTGCTGATCATGAAGGAGACGTATTTTACAGATTTAAGCCTGGGTAAGTTACCAAACAACTCCAAAACCTTCCAGCACCGATAACTTTCAGATAAAAAATAATCATGTTCTGGCCAGGCCTGGTGGGTCACGCCTGTAATCCCAGCATTTTGGGAGGCTGAGGTGGACAGACAACGAGGTCAGGAAAGCAAAACTGTTTTGGCTAACACAGTGAAACCCTGCCTCCACTAAAAAATACAAAAAATTAGCCGGACGTGGTGGCACGTGCCTGCAGTCCCAGCTACTCGTGAGGCTGAGGCAGGAGAATCACTTGAACCCAGGAGGCGGAGGTTGCAGTGAGCTGAGATCACGCCACGGCACTCCAGCCTGGGTGACAGAGCGAGACTCTGTCTCAAAAAAGAAATTAATAATAATAATCGTGTTCCAGAGTTGCGATACTATATCATTCAAAACACTTTTAAAAAATGGGACATTCAAATAAACAGGAATCTGTGACTAGTATTCAGAGAGAAAAAAACAGTCAAAAAGTAGAATGGTGATTACTGTAGACCAGTGGGGGTGAAGAAGGAATAGGGAGTTATTATTTAATGGGTACAGGGTTTCAGTTTGGGAAGATGGAAAAAGTTCTGGAGATGCAGGGTAGTGATGGTTACAGTTGAGTTTTGGCCATTATTTCTTCAAATATTTATTCTCTTTCCTCTCTTTCTGGGGCTCCTGTTACATATATGTTGTAAAAAAATATGCAAATAAACAGGTACTTGTGACTAAAACTCAGAAAGTAAAAACAGCTGAAAAGTAGAATGGTGATCACCAGAGACCAGTGGGGCGAAGAAGGAATAAGGAGTTATTGTGTAACGAATACAAGGTTTCTGTTTGGGAAGAAGAAGAATTTCTGGAGATGCAGAATTGTGTGAATGTCTTTAATGTTACTGACCTGTACTATTAAAAATGGCCCAAATGGCCAAGTTAATGTTATTTATATATATATACATATTTACCACAATAAAAAATGTAGACAATAGAAACTATGACTGAGTGTCTCCAGATGTTGGATTTAGCAAAAATTTCAGAGAATTATATTATATTGCCATTTTAAATATAGTTAAGAAACTAAAGGATACATATATTTAAAGAATTAAAGGAAAGTGCCACAACAATGAATCAATAGATTCTCCACTCCCCACTATGTTGATGGCCATAAGGATGGTGGCCCATGTCCGTGATACAGTTTGCTGATGCTGCAGGGAACAACATGGACCTTGTTTTTCTATGATTGAGTGCGCTGGCCTGTTTGTTGTCTCCCTGAGAAATCAGCTCAGGGGCTTGCCTTTGTTTTACTTAACTCAGAAATTTCTGAGGGCTGGAGTGGCCTCCTGAAAGTATTTAAAGGCAAATATACTAGCTACAGCCTCCTGAGATAAGGGATGTGAAATCATGCAAACATTAGACATACAGAAAAGCCTGGGAAAGAAGAGGCATGGAGGGAGAGAAGTGATTTGAAAGGCTTTCACATGTGCCAGGAAATCTACAAAGCCACAGATAAGCCCAGGGCTGGATTCATCTTCAGAAAAGACTCAAGAAACAAGAGTTTCACCTCTGGTTCACCGTTAGGATCAGTGAAAACAGGAAGTGAAGGCTAAGGAAGAGTTATAAATAGCCTGAATAAGTATTGAAGAAATGCCTCAACATACAGTCAGTCTGCAAAGATGGGAGATTTTCTTTTCTCTTTTTTTCTCTTTTCCTCTTCTCTTCTCTTCTCTTTTCCTTTCTGCTCCTTTTCTTTTCTTTCGGCTCTAGGCATTTAAGGAAATACCTGTCAAATTGTTATTTGACCACTAAGCTAACAGAGCAGAGACCTCAGTGACCACACTTAACAAAGAACACAGTCTTCATGCAAACGGTTTAGAAAAATCACTGAACAATCAAAACCCATGACAGCGGCCAACAATAAACCCAAGGGAGGGAGAGAGAGCAGAATCTGATTTTCAGAGATTTGACATTAGAATATTAAAAGTTCACTTTTCATCAGAAAATTACAAGGCAAGCACCTCCATGTTCCAGGCACCGTTCTAGGTAGTAGCAATATACCTATGAACAACGTGGACAAAAATCCTTGCTCTTGTGAAGTTGGCATTTTATTAAATAAATATATTTATTCACTAAGGCCTTAATTTTTCAGCATCTTATTATGGTAATTTTCAAACACATAGAAAATTAAAACAATTACACAGTGAATTGTTCATATGTTTACCACCCAGATTCTACCTTTGACATTTTACTATATTTGTCCTATCTTGTATCTATCCATGTAGCCACCTATTTATCCATCTACCAATCCATCCTTTTTGCTTATAGCATTATATTTAAGACCACACAATGAAAACAACCTAAATGTTCAATAGTAGGGGATTTGTTAAATAAATTTATGTATTTGCACTCAATGGAATCATATGCAACCATTAAAACTTATAATTTTCAGACTGAGGAAAATCTGTATCTAGTTTTAGGAGAAAGCAGGATATTAAACTACTGTGCATTTTTATTTTAACACTATGTAACAAACTATACAAATCAAAAGAACCATAAGCTATTGTAGAAAAAGGAAGGATACTTTATCTGTTAGGCTAGAGGGTTTTTTGTAACCATTTTTTTCTTTCCCCTTTTTTGATTTTCATTAATGTTGTTACTGCATTATTTATTCCATACATACATTTACAATTTTTTAATTGGGACAGTAAAATCATTAACTGTAATGTGCATCCAAACTATTTAGCAGGACATGGAGAAAATTGTAATATATTTGATTAACTAATTGCATATTGGATATTTTCTAGTGCCTAGATATACAAAGATGAATAAAATGAGCTATTCCTTGCCCAATAGAAGTTCACAATATGTTAGAGACTATATATTTCCATAAAAGAATAAGTATATGATGAACAATAATTGTGCTGTGTATGTTATGTAGTGATTAAGAGTGGATTTTGAACTGATTCTTTAGATTTGCTTCCAAGACCCATTTCATACCAGCTGTTTGATATTTGGCAAGTTATTTAACCTCACTTTGCCTGAGTTTCTTATCTCTAATGAAGTTAAAATTACTTCCTACTCCTCACATTTATGTGAGGAGTAAATGAGTTAATACAAGTTAAAAGCTCAGAATAATCTCTGGCACATTATAAATAGTAAACAAATGTTAGCTATTTAGTTATTATTTTAAATATTAGCATATTGTTAAGATTTCATGTTAATATATTGGTATTAAGATTCTATAATACGTTAGATTTTTCTTCAGAACTTCTACTGATTATGTATTTATACATATTTTAGTGCATATATGCTGATACAGTGAAGTAAAGGTAACATATTTATGTTTGGATGATCAGATATTAAAGTTGCAAATTTTACTTCAGCCCAATATATTTATATTCCCTTTTAAAAGTCTTTATTGGCAAAACATAGTTAAAATATTCCAACCCTTAGAAACATAAGGTGGAACTCATTTCTAACTTAAAAATTATTTAAGACTATTTTAGGGTACAGACTGATTCTCTTAGAAAGTGTTCTGCTTTCTATTATCTTAGCGTTGGTGTTTAAGTTGTATAAATTTATGGCAGCGTTTGGAACTAGCTCAAGGTTTACATTTGATCAGGATATGTGGTCAGATTAAAAGCAGTTTTTCCTTAGCTCTAAGCCTAATGTCAATAGAAAACTATATTGAAAAGAAAAATGTCTCTTGAGTTTTCAGAATATGTTGTGTAATTCCATGGTAAATACAAATATAAATATTGTGATTAATAAAATGAGAAAAACATGAGAATTTAGATGCTTGCTTCCTAAGTTACCAAAGTGAAAAGAGGACATTTATTTTTGTTTGTCTTTACCTCACTTTCACAAGGAATTTCAGATGGAACAGTTGCCAGTTTATAATTCTCCTCTTGAATATTTTAGTGTCATTAAATGGGAATAATTTGGATCACATACAAGATTATGATGGAAATGATAGAATGATGTAATGACTTTGGAGCGAGTTTTGTCTTGTCTCAGGAGAACTCATAATTGGATTGTGTTTATGGAAGAAGATGAAGAAGAAGAGACCCAAAAATGGAATAACCCTTTTATCTTCATCTGACTCTCTATTCTTGTCACAGTTTTTATCTTCAGGAGGGCACAAATAGCCTCTATCTGATTTCCCTATCCCATGCATAGGGTTTTCTTAAAGTTTTTTCACAAAGAAGAATTTATTTTTAAAAATTCTGTTCTATTCTTCATGTGTTATTTTTAAATGAGTTTCACAGAGATACTCTGAAGCTGAAGAGGTTGTTTTTAATAATCTGATGTTACATGATAAGTACTGGAAAAAGGTGGATGCAGGGAGTGGGTGGTATGATAAAATGCTGTGGGTGTAGGTCCTGAACTGCAGGTTGGTAAATGTTTTTTTGGTAAGTCAGGAGATAATTTAAGCTTACTTATGTGATTGCTCTATTCCCCATAATCCTTTGCAATGCTTGGTGAGACAGAATGAAAGAACTCCAGGTCTTAGCTGTTTGTTAGTGAACTGCTTTTTCTTAGAGCTGATGCTTTTGGTTATCAAGGAAGTCTGGATAGTGATGAAGACAAGTGTTGACAGGAGGGAGGCTGAAGATTAGGGTTATTTTTTTGAGTAAGAAAACATGTAACTTAATTGTACACTTAAAAATAACTGAAAGAGTGTATTTGGATAGTTTGTAATGTAAAAGGGTAAATGCTTGAGGGGATGGACACCCCATTCTCCATGATGCTGTTATTTCACATTGCATGTCTATATCAAAACATCTCATGTACCCCATAAATATATACACCTACTAAGTACCCACAAGCATTAAACATTTAAAAATTAAAAAATATATATGTGCATACTCTTTAGGAAAAAAGACCACTCCCAGTTCAGCTAATATCTGTGATCTTTTTGGATATTTTACTCCTGAAAATGGCTTCGATGGCTTCATTAGAAACAACCTAAAATATTTCTTTTCCATAGTGAATAAATTCTGAAAGATATTTCTCCTCATAAAATTTAACTAATTAACCTAATGCCATCCTTGGAATATTTAAACGCTATGTCTGTTGTGTTTGGTTTAGGAAAAGACAACCCTAGAACCCAATTTTTTTCAGATTTTGCACTATAAATTTATTCATATATATTAAACAAAGTTGCTGACAGAAAAAAAAAAAGTTGTATATCCTATTACATGTGTGATTTAGTAATATCCTTTAGGACACAATAACAATTATGAGGTACAATAAAATTTCATTCTGTGCAGAGCTTTTCATGGAACCTCTAACCTCAATTCTTCCATAGCACTGTACTACACCACGCAGTAAAGAAACATTTTTTCAACTTATTTAGTATTTGAGGTATAAAATCTGGAGGGGGAAAAATGAGGATTTCAGTTGGATTTGAAATGAGATGGAGAGTTAATGAAACAGAGAGATACAGGCGGGATTCCTTGGGCTGTCAAGAGTAGGGAAGATTGAAGAGGCAAAAATGAATTCAAAGTGCATAGGCAGATGCAAAGATATCCATGAAGGTCTATCATCCATGATATTAACTAGAGCAAATAGGCAAATTTTCTTTTCCAAAAGGAAGCTATATTTAAAGAAAAATTAAACATAAGGGGAAACTTGAGAGTGATTTGTAGGAATTCACATCAAGCGGGTGGTCCTGTTTCTTAGCCCATGCTGAAGCATTCCCCATCTGTCATCTGAAGGGAAAGAGCATTGAATTCGTAGTATGGGAGTTTCCCCTGTGGAGGAATGAGAAGATGCAGTGTGCAGCTAACAACCAAGGCTTGGGGGTGGAAGATGGGAAGAATCTGAAGAGCATGGAGGTATTAGGGCCATGTTAGACTGAATGAATGAAATAAATACGGGTTAGAGAAAAGTGGAGGGAGGAAAAAGTAAAATCAGTCAAGAATTCTAATTGCTTACTCATTTGGAAATGAATGGACACTTATGAATGAGACCTCGCTGCCCAGAAGATAGGAAGTAGCTTAGAAGTTGTTTCCTGATGGATAAAGCAGTGTGCAGATTCCAGTCACTTGGGTCTGTTCTTGCTTCTCATGAGCACACACCTCACACGTACTTGACCTGAGAGGAGATGCTCTTGTTGGAAACTAAGATTTTTTTGTCCTCTCGTGCCTCACATTATGCAGTCGCTGGAGGTGAAAGATCAAAGCTGGAAAAGTCATCTTTGAAGGGGAAACACCTTTCCTCACTCATGTTTACGATTTTTTTCTGTCTTGGTTTCATAGAAAAACTATGCAGGTAGCCAGAGCCCTAAGTTGTTGTGCCATCTGTAAACCTGACATCATGTGCAAATAACAACAGATGATGGAATTTCACCTAGGGTCTGATCGTGCCCAGGGAGACTTCATAGGCTCCAAATGCCTGCTTTTATCTTATACATCGAGAAGCCATTCAAACTTTCAGGGCTCTGCCAACTTGGCAAGAAGAAGAGTTGGCAAGCTTCCCATGCTAGTTTTCTTTTAGTTTGAAAGTTTTGAAGTGGGTCTGAGGTTGTGATAAATGCTTGTGAGGTCTCTTATTTGTTGACTGTAAGCTTTTCATCATTTGACATGAATGAGAAACATCATTCCTTTGCAAGGATATTCCCTTTTTTCTGTTTCTTTAAAGTTATCTTAGAGACTTCTCAGTTACTGTATGAAACCATAAATTCTCTGAGCAAATGCCTGTTTTGACAGAGAGCTTTAAAGATACATGGCAAAAGTTTAAACAGGTCCTAACTGATGGGATTTAAATACTGTATATAGTAATTAAATAGTTGTGCTAATAAAACCCTAAAGCACTGCTTGCATTTTTCTTCTTTAATCTCTCAAATTTTTCTCCAAGACTCAAAATTCATGAATTAAATGAGTTAGCCAAGGGAAATATAATTGTGTTAAATTTCCTAAGTGCTTTACACACTGATGAAAAAATTTAAAGTTTATAATAAATCTACAAATTATAGGTGGGGGCTCATTTTACCACATAGCTTCTTTAAAATGAAACTCCCAAGCATGGTAAAGAAATTGCATATAAATACTTGCTGCAGAAGTAAGAATACATAAAAAAACTCACTATGTACTTGAGTCTATTTGATTTGTTATGTTTAGATGGCTCCCATATGAATAAAATAACATTACAACAAAGCATTTTATGACTTTTTCATATGGATTGATTATATATTGTGCATCTCAAATAATCTCTATCTCCTTTAATATTCCTCTATAAGTCACCATTACATAGTTTTAGTTCTTACATAATGGGATGCTATTAAATTTCTTCTCCCCCTTTTCTTAAAAACAAAAACAAAAACAGAAACAAGAATAAAAAAACACTCCCCAAAATGCTATGCTATCTTTTTAAATTTTACAACATTTTTAGCCATGGGCTTCATATCTAGCTCAAGGTTTATTGTCTTTCTACTTTTTCTAAATGATTTAAGGCTTCTCTTTCTCACTGGACTTACCATAAAGTGACTTCTTGCTCTTCTGTCACTTTCTGAACCAAAATTTCTAGCCTCATTACACTGTGAGAGACTTAGGACCAGGGGCAGAAGAGAAGCCTTGACTCTCTTTGAGGACTAGCATAACATGATATGAACATAGCAGGCCACTGATATGTGAGCATCCCATAAATAAAAGAGAATTATCGCCAAGAAGCCCTTACTCAGCCAGACTACATTTCCAGTTTCTCTTGCATCTAAGTGGAGGCTTGCATCTAGTTTTCACCATTGGAATGTCAGATAAAATGATGTATGTTCTTTCTAGCCTGTTAGGAAGCAGATGTGACTTCTCCATGCTGCCTTTCCCTGTCAGCTGACTGGCTATAGAAGACTCTCTGGACATCACAATGTCATCCTAGCCACAAGATCAAAAAGAGTAGAGTTTCTGTGTCACCATGTGGAGAAAAGTTATCCACCAATCTGAAACAATTACGTTAGACTACTGCATGGGCACAAAATAAACCTCTGTTCTGTTAAACCACTGAATTTTTTTTATCGCAGGTAATGTTATCTTCACTAATACAGGGAAGAAGTCCTGCTGCTTGTCAGACTTAGTAGGGCCCACTAATCCTGTTGAACCCAGAAGAACAGGAGCAAAGCTGCTCTAGTGTGTTGAATGGCGCCAATACCTTGTGAATGAGAGAAGTCTGCTTGACCAAAAGACCTAGGATACAATGGATGCCTTCTACAACTTCCTCTTAGTGACTATAAAACAGAGAAAAGCCTCTTCTAGGACTTCCATGGTAGATTTTCCACTGCTTAAGCAATAGCATCTGCTTAGTGAATATGTCTGCTAAAGAAAAATCCAGACAAGTTAATATTCACATTTTATTTAAGAATATTCTAGATGAGGAAGCAATAATTGAACAACTAGAAGTGTAGGCTGTCATTAAATTAGAGCTAATAGAGGAACTGGAAGAGAACTTTATCAAAAAGAGAAGTGCTCTCAAGAAGACTGAAGAAAATCGTGAAAAAAGAGCATTCAAAAGTATTCTGGAACTTAAACTGAAAATTCTACAAAGCTCAATAGATGAGCTGAAAAAGAAAGTCACTGTGTTATTTATCATGTAAGATTAATGTTAGGAATAACACATAAAAGAAATATTTCACAATACAGTGCAAAAATCGAAAAAAATCCACTTAATTGTAAAACTAGCTCTGAAAAACTGTGGGGAATATATATGGAGAGATCCAATATTTCCACTTCTTGCTCTGTATACAAAGGAATTGAAATTAGTGTGCCAAAGAGATATCTGCACTCCCATGTTTATTGTACCATTATTCACATAGCCAAGATATGGAAGCAACCCAGTATCTATCCGTAGTTGAATGAATAAAGAATATGTGAGATACACACACACGCACACACACACACACACACACACACACACACACGATGGAATATTATACACCCTTAAAAAAGAAGAAAATTCTGGCATTTGTGACAACATGGATGGACCTGGAACATTATGACATTATGCTAAATGAAATAAGCCAGGCACAGAAAGACAAATACTGCATGATCTCACTTATATGTGGCATCTGTAAAAGTCAGTCTCACAGAAACAGAGAGTGAAAAACTGGTTAGCAGAGGCTGGATGGGGATTTGGAGAGAAGAGGAGCTGTTGATTGAAGGATACTAAATTCCATTTAGACTGGAGGAATAAGTTTTAGTGATCTATTTCACTGCATGGCAAATGAATTATAAGGTATTATGTATTTCAAAATTGCTAAAAGAATTGATTTTTAATGTTCCCATCACAGAAAAGAAGTTGGTAAGGTGATAGATATGTTAATTAGCTTGATCTTTCTACAGTGTATACATAGATCAAAACATTACATTGTACATTATATATTATATAATATATTTTATATAAAATATAATTTATTTTATATATTATATACTTTATATAAAATATAATATACTTTATAGTATCTATTTTATATCTATAAAATCATTATCTCTCAAATAAATAAATAAATAAATAAGAAAGAAATTTACCTAGAGAGCAAAATGCCACATTTATAAACCTTTAAAGCACTTGGGTATCATATTTTGCTTAACAAGTATTGCTCACCTCAGAGTCTTAAAATGTTCTATTTAATAATACTATTATTTTATCTTTCAACATTTAATTTTTAAAAATGTAATTTTTCACTCTGATGATAATTTCTTTTGCTGTGCAGAAGCTCTTTAGTTTAATTAGATCCCATTTGTCAATTTTGGCTTTTGTTGCCATTGCTTTTGGTGTTTAGTCATGAAGTCTTTGCCCATGCCTGTGTCCTGAATGGTATTGCCTAGGTTTTCTTCTAGGGTTTTTATGGTTTTAGGTCTTACGTTTAAGTCTTTAATCCATCTTGAGTTAATTTTTGTATAAGGTGTAAGGAAGAGGTCCAATTTCAGTTTTCTGCATATGGCTAGCCAGTTTTCCCAGCACAGTTTATTAAATAGGGAATCTTTTCCCCAATTCTTGTTTTTGTCAGGTTTGTCAAAGATCAGATGGTTGTAGATGTGTGGTGTTATTTCTGAGGGCTCTGTTCTGTTCCATTGGTCTATATATCTGTTTTGGTACCAGTACCATGCTGTTTTGGTTACTGTGGCCTTGTAGTATAGTTTGAAGTCAGATAACATGATGGCTCCAGCTTTGACAACCTACAGAATGGGAGAAAATTTTTGAAATCTATCCATCTGACAAAGGGCTAATATCCAGAATCTACAAGGAACTTAAATAAATTTACAAGAAAAAAAGAACCCCATCAAAAAGTGGACAAAAGATATGAATGGACACTTCTCAAAAGAAGACGTTTATGCAGCCAACAAACATATGAGAAAAAGCTCATCATCACTGGTCATTAGAGAAATGCAAATCAAAATCACAGTGGGATACCATCTCATGCCAGTTAGAATGGTGATCATTAAAAAGTCAGGAAAGAACAGATGCTGGAGAGGATGTGGAGAAATAGGAAGGCTTTTACACTGTTAGTGGGAGTGTAAATTATTTCAACCATTGTAGAAGACAGTATGGCAATCCCTTAAGGATCTAGAACCAGAAATACCATTTGACCCAGCAATCCCATTACTGGGTATATACCCAAAGGATTATAAATCATTCTGCTATAAAGACACATGCACACGTATGTTTATTGCAGCACTATTCCCAATAACAAAGACTTGGAACCAACCCAAATGCCCATCAATGATAGACTGGATAAAGAAAATGTGGCACATATACACCATGGAATACTGTGCAGCCATAAAAAGGATGAGTTCATGTCCTTTGCAGGTACATGGATGAAGCTGGAAACCATCATTCTCAGCAAAGTAACACAGGAACAGAAAACCAAACACCATGTGTTTTCACTCATAAGTGGGAGTTGAGCAATGAGAACACGTGGACACAAGGAGGGGAACATCACACACCGGGGCCTGTCAGTGGGTGGGGGACTAGGGGAGGGATAGCATTAGGAGAAATACCTAATGTAGATGATGGATTGATGGGTGCAGCAAACCACCATGGCATGTGTATACCTGTGTAACAAACCTGCATGTTCTGCACATGTATCCCAGAACTTAAAGTATAGCAGAAAAGTTTAATTTGATGTATTGTATATAGGATGAGGTAGAAGTTCATTTTTTTCCACATGTATGCCATTTATCAGTGCCATATACTAAAAAAAGTATCCTTTTCCCGTTGATTTTAAATGCAGCTTTCATGATGTATTCTATCCTTTTCTGGTATATATTTTCTGGGCTCTTTTTTTTTAACCAATATTTTGTCTATTCCAGTAGCCATATCATGCTATTTGGTTATGATGTCTTCGAGACTGTTATAATGTTTGGTGAAAAAAGTACTGTCAGTACTGTTTTCTTTTTTGTAAACATTTTTGACTTTCTATTCATTAATTGAATTTTAAAATCATTTGTCAGTTTACAATGGTTACTGGAAAACATTGACGTTGTAATTCTATTTTTCATTGCTTACTTTACATATTTTATATGATTTAACACTTTTAAAAATAAAGATATTATACCTCCATTATGAAATTAATTTTTACATGTTTTATAATTTATATTGCTTTTGTAAGTAGGACTTTTTAAAATATCCACTATTATTTGATTATTATTGCTATTATTGAAATGCTGCTGACTTTTTTATATGTATATTTGAATCCAGCTACTGTATTTAATTATCTAACTAACTCAACTTCTTTCTTAAATTGGAAACAAAGACTGTCTTTTCTTCACAATATTTTTACAAATTATGTCATTTTTAGAGTCATTTCATTAGATAGAACTTCAAAGGCAATATTGAAATAAGTATGATAAAGCAGCCTTCTTTATTTTTTTCTTTATGTGAATGGAAATCATTTCAGTGTTGTCCTGTATTTGGTGTTTGCTGTTGGACTTTCATAAATAGTCTTTAAGATGAATCTTCCTATCCATATGTTAAGTAGAGTTTTATTACAGATGGCTACTGAATATTACTAAATGCCTTTTAGGTGTTTATTAATACAATTACATCATTTTTCTCTTCTTATTTGTTAGAGAAGGTTATGGTATCCTAGAATCAGAGAGAGAAAAAGTCAAGAAGGAAAGAGTGGCACCTTTATATAAAAATATAAAGCCTGGCTTATGCCCTGGTGAAACATTCAGCAAGGGAGATAAGACTAAAGTGTTTATATCAGCACTCATAGGATATAATTCACATGAAATTATGCAGTTAAGAGAGGAAGCACAGATATGAGTGAGGTCTGGATTTCACAGGAAAGGCTTTTTGAAAAATCACAATCCTTAAAGCTGGAACAAGATAGGACAAGCTTATTCATGACATTATGAAAGCAGAGAAAAGATTAAAGAACTGAAAATTGCATATATGTGGTGGCGAAAAAGTTATTCAGCCCCTAGAAATGAAAATACTGGTGACTTTAAATATATGAAAACAATACAAAAGATAATTTGTTCTTCTTCACTAGAGATAGACAAGAGAATGACTAAAGTACTAAGTTAAACAAAGAAAATTATAGCAATGTGAAGTGTTAGTCACTGGAATCTTTTACCTCCCAACACAGTTTTCTGCAATTTTAAAAACTTTCTCTTCTGCTTGAAAGCAGGGACAAGGAGACCTTTCTTAGAATCAAGATTCATTGATTTTATGAAGTATATTCAGAAAAACCAGTTCTGCTGCTTAGTGATCTGTTTACTCCTGAAATCCTGAAGTGTCCCAAACTGTAGGGAATAAGATCAGAATGTGTAGGGTTTTTAGAACCTAGAACACCATGAAATTGCACAAACTAGGGGGAAAAGGACTGAACAGGCACTTTTCAAAGAAGACATACATGCAGCCAAAAAGCATATGAAAAAATGTTCAACATCACTAATTATTAGAGAAATGCAAATGAAAGCCACAATGAGATACCATCTCACAAGTCAGAATGGCTATTGTTAAAAAGACAAAAAATAACAGGTGCTGGTGAGGTTGCTGAGAAAAGAGGATACTTACATACTGCTTGTGTTTTTGTAAATTAGTTCAGCCACTGTGGAAAGCAGTTTGGCGATTCCTCAAAGAGCTAAAAACAGAATTACCATTCAACCCAGCAACCCCATTATTGGGTATATACCCAAAGGAATATAAATTGTCCTAACATAAAGACACATGCATATGTATGTTAATCGCAGCACTATTCATAATAGCAAAGACATAGAATCAGCCTAAATGTCCATTAATGATAGACTGGATAAAGAAAACATGGTACATATACACCATGGCATACTATGCAGCCATAAAAGGAACGAGATCGTATCCTTTGCAGAAATACGGATGGAGTTGGAGGCCATTATCTGTTCCTGCATTTGCAGGAACAGAAAACCGAATACCACATGTTTTCACCTATAAGTGGGAGCTAAACAATGAGAAAACATGGACACAAAGAGGCAAACAACAGACACGGGGGCCTTCTGGAAAGTGGAGGGAGGGAGAAGGAGTGAATCAGAAAAAATATCTGTCAGGTACTATGCTTGGTACCTGGGTGGCTAAATAACCTGTACAGCAAACCCTGTGACATGAGTTTACATGTATAGCAAACCTGCACGTGTACCCCTACACCTAAAGTAAAAGTTTTTTTTAAGTGCACAAACTAGAGGCTTCTTTTAAAAGATGGTGGAGTGTAAAGCCAATTTATTTGCACTAGCTTCTTTTGAAACCCAACAAAAACAACAAAAAAGAAAGAAAACTCAAGAAAACCATCAGTTTATTTACCATGATTCATTATGCCTGAATTCTTTACTCTGATTTATTTCTTTGATGCTTATCCTTGAGTAGGTTTGTTTGCTTGTTGGTTTGAAAGACAAGCTCAAGATATTTCACTGTTTGAGGTTTTTTTTGTTATTATTTTTTTTTTTTCTGTTTCTACAGCTTCTTTTCTGGCCTAGTTGAACTACTTTTATTGATCAGAATTGGCATGTTACAATCTACATACTAATCCACATATAATCTTTCGCTCCTTGCTCCTAGTTTTTCATCTTCCCTGGTGAACTACCGATTCTTTATAATTCAGCTCAAATATTAATACCACCTACTTTGTGTAAACTTTCCTGACTTCCCCAGGTAGAGCTGACTCTTCCCTCTTTTGCTACCTTTGTACCTTTACCATTTCTTTATCTTCCACCTGTAATGATAGGCTTTTACTTTGTTTTTTTCTTGTTTGTTATAGACCAAGTTGGGATCAGTCCCTGCTCTACTTACCTCCTCCCTGAGAAGCTTCTTTCTTCAATCAGGGGCAATCTTAAACAGGACATTAGCACTAGATACACACAGACACAGATACACACACAGACATGCACGCGTGCGTGCGCGCACACACACACACACACGCACACACACACCCCCCAAATAGGTTTTCTTGAAGTTTTACAGAAAATTCCTGGGGAGACATGGAAGAGGATTAACATGATGCACTCCAAAGCACAGACTTAATAAAAGTGCATTGGCTACCTCTATTTTTCCCCAAGCAAAATACCTCATGTTTTTCTTTCTCATAATGTCATCTCTTCCATATGCTTTCTAAAATGTGCCCTTCCTCATTCTAAGCAGGTTAGTTGTCACCCTCAGCTTGCATAAGCCACCCAGCAGAGCAAAAGCCTCTGTTGTTTCTAAAACCTGCCCTCTTGGGGGCCTCTTCCTTCCCCTTAGGTTGCTTATCACAGTCTCCAGTATTTGAAAATTCATCTCTCTTCTTTTGGGGAGCCAGTAAATAGCAACAGGAGATTAAGCTGCTAATAATAACTAACATTTATAGTTAGCTTATTGTATGCCAGGCAGCATACTAAGTACTTTCTATATTACATTAAATAAGATTATCTTTATATCCCTCTACCTGCAGGTTTGTCTCCTACGGAAGACTGTAAGCATTTGCACAGTGATGACTATATTATTTTTTTCTGTATTCTTAATACTTAGCAACATGCCTGGCACATAGTAAGCACTTCATAAATGCTTGTTGGATGAATAGTGTGTATGCATTGATGTGATGTAATTGGTGGTGAGAAGAATCAGCCTGTTCACAGTAACTTTAGTCATAGTTCTTTTTATATTTGTTTTTTGTTTTCACTTCACCATGGTTGTCTTCCACTATTCATCATGTAGTCAGTACAAGCCCTGGTTGTCACTCTGTTAGCCATGGATATTTTCAGCTCTTATATTCTGACAACTAATTATTCCATGGGAAGTCTTTTAATCAGGATTCTCTTTGTTTATATTGAAATGACTAATATCTTTCTCACACATCTCATTTCAGCAATATGAGTTGATGCTGTATTTTGGATCATGTATTTTAGACCAGGTGGCCAGGCAGCAGCACTCCCCACCAATGCAGACAGGTTAGGTTTTCAGTCTGTGCTTGGTGCATCTCTAGGGGGTTAATGAAGCCTTCCCGTCGAAGCCGCTGTGATGAGAGGACAGGCAGGACTCCTGCTCCCTCCCCACCTGCTCTGAGTTCTAATCCGAGCAGCTCTTCTTCTGTCTGGTTTACATATTCATCTTTTGGGTGAAATGGTGTTAAATATAATATATTTGAAAACGATTGGGTTAAAAAAGCTATTCTATTTAAAATATCAAGATGGCCATACATAACACAGATAGATAGGTCCTCAACATTAGCAGGTTGGGTAGTGTAGTCAACTGCTGAAAATAAATACAGCACAACCCAACAAAACACCTTTCCCCTCAAACACTAACAAAGTAAAATAAAATAAAAGCAAAACCCTGAAACCCAAGCAGAAATGTAAAGCTGAAGAGACATTTTCTAGATTGGTCAGTCACAGCAGTGTATTCAGAAGGCAGTTCTTCCTCCGGGTTTGAGAGGCCTGTAGCCATGTATACAGAAACTATCTTGGGTAAGGTGCCTCTACTCTGTCGGGCTTACTATTTAAGATCCTTAGTGGGTGTCAGAGGCCTTTGGCCTGTACTGCACAGGTCTTTTCTTGTTTGTGGAACGTCAAATTCATTTTCTCTCCAACAGGCCTTTTGGTTTCTTAAAACTCTCCGGTTCTTGTCCCTGCACGTTTTTCCCTCTCAATGGCATTTGACTCAGGTTGCCAGTCATTAATTTCCTTGTATGGAATTAAGGAGATCTTCTGGTCCATTCTGTGGCTAGAGGCAATAAGAGAACCCATCCTCATAGATCTAGTCTCAACATGAAGCATTAGAATGTAAACTCCCAACTCTAGAATATAAATAAGGTCACTGAGGACAGGGATTTCTAACTGTTTTATTCATAGATGTTTCCCTACCTCCTAGAGCAGTGTTTAGTAATCTGTAGGCACTCAGTAAATATTGTTTAAATGAATGAAGGAAGGAAATACCGGTCTCACAGTCACGCCTTTTATACTTTTGAGAATGAATTTCTCAACTGTCTTATCCCTCGATCTGTTATTAACTATGCTAAAAATATTTCCTGGCTTTGAGTAGCATTGTAGAAGGTCCTCTTCCATTTTCCGATTTTCATAGATGATCTTCCATTAAAAAAAGACGCTGGCATGTTTCTGCTGTAGAAAAAAGGAAGCAAAGGGATAGTTACAACTCCTTCTACTCTTCTCCCCCAGAAAAACCTTTCGAGGCCTCACCAATAGATGGCTTGCTTTCTCCTCCAATCACCAGCAGACAGAGGGGCCCTGGTGTACTGCTGTGTTCTCCACACCAAGGGGGAAATGAATAATGTGTGAGATTCCTCTCTGGAATGTTGAGTGTCTCAACCTTCCTTCTACAATTATATTTTCTGCTTCACGGTGATGACAGCATCACCTGTGGGTTCAGAATCAGAGACCTCCAGCTTCTGTCCCCATTTTGGGGTAATGTATGTGCCACCTTTCTTGGATTTTATTTAATCAGTGAGTCTCCTCCCCAGGAGATTGGGGACTCAACTATCTCTAAACATTTTCTCATCTTTTCTTCACCTAGGGTTCCTGGGCTCCTGTTGGGCCTCACTGGAAGCTCCTAGGGTTAAACCAACCTTGGGCATTAATTTCAGTGTCTGTTCTCCACAGTCACAAAAATATGGACCTCTAGTTACACTTCATAAAATAGCAGAGATCCTACCTAGTCCACTGACAGATGTCAGCATAGCATCCTCTTCTAGAAATTTACTAGCTTATGTTTTCTGGGTACCCCCAAATTCTATAGCAAGATCTAATTCTCAGTGCAGATCTTAACACCGTATCTGAGTATTTTGTGTCTATATGAGTTTGCCTATTCATAAGAGTCCAGCGAATGGTATTAAACATCCCCTTTTGTCTCCTGCAATTGCCCTTAGATCCTTCCTGAGGATATGCCAGTCTAGTTATGAGAGGTGATCCGGACGTTGTTCATCTAGAGTTAATCTGGACATTGTTCTAGATAAAACACACATAAAACCATGAACTCTAAAATGTCCTCAGTCCTTTAAGGATGATAGAATGTGCTTATAGGTTATAGCTAGGTTGATTATATAATTTATTATTTAAAACATGACACCTTGAAAGCAAAAGGGAACGGTATTTATAATTACATTGCCTCAGAAGTCATAAACCAGGACCTGTAGTCACTCTGGTTATGGCAGAAATCTTGCATTGGAAAATCTTTCCTTCAACTTATTTCACCCTACATGGTGAAAATTTTTTAAAACTCTTCTTTAAAGTAGTCTTTCACCTTAAGGATTCACTTTTTCCGAACCACCAATGTCCTTTCCGATATAATTATGTGGTCTAATTCACCCATTCCTTCACATTGTTCATGTTCTTAACCACTTTCTCTATCTTTACTAGAGTTGGCTAGGGCTCTAGAGATGTCCTAAGCTTTTTCTTGAATAGCAGCTGACTGGACAAGTGAAGACTTTCTTTTCTAACTTATCCTAATAAATTGGAATCTCACTTTTGTTTTGTTTCAACGCCAAATGAGGACTAGCAGTGGCAAGATAAGGGTGGAACAGAGGAGGAAAAGGAAGGACAGGATAAAGGAAGGAAGCCTACCACTTACGTATACATCACACCTGGGATGCTCATGCTCTTGTCCCCTGCCTGCGTTAGCCTTGGACTCACTGCTCCCTTGAGATGCCACTAAGAGGGAAAGGGAGAGCATATTTAGAACACTCACCCCACCCCAACTTTACCACCTTCACTGATGCTCCTCAAGTCCTTAACCTTCTCGCTAGCTTCCCCAGCCTCCTTCCTGGTCTTGAGCAGCATTCATGCGGAGTCTCAAATCAGAGCCCCTTGCCCTGCTTCCTCACTTGCCTCATACTGTCTCTGTATTGCTTTCCTCTTGCAAGAACTCGTTCACCACACTAGGAGAAAAGCCTAGAAGAACCCTATTCTTATTGCTTTATGGATGAGAATGTAAGGGGTTAGGAAGAGCCCCCATTTTCTTATCTTTATGTTGAAAACGCAGGGTGATATGTGGTCTTGACACATCAATTTAGAATTCCGAATTTATTTTCTCATCAAAACCCCTTTATAACTGGCCATTTGGTTTCAAAATACTACAAGTAGTACCCACTGGATATATTAGCTATATTGGTGTTTAAATAGATGTTTATATTCTTATCTATCAGTCTAATTACCATGTATAATAGTATTTCCATACAAAAATCTGAGCTTAGTTCCTCAAGATTGCTCAGATAAAATTTGGGGAGATTGTCTATTTATAATTAGGTCTATCTCCCTTTTTTGCTAGTTCTCATTTGAATACATTCAATTCCAAGCTGTTAAAAGTTAGCAATGCTAATGATAGTGATGATCACTAATGTTTATTAAGCAGCCTTCATGTAGCAGGTGCTGCGTTAGTTACTATATTGTCATTATAATTCATATCTCACTGTGATGAAAGTATTATTTCCATATTACAGATGAGGAAAGTGAGGCACAGTGAAGAAGAGTGAGGGGCTTAAGCTTATGTAATGAATAAATGATAAAGCTAAGATTCATGCCCAGGCTTGTCAGACTCTGAAATTGGCATATTTTTACAATGCCATGTGGCCACCTGTGCCTGGCCATATTTTACCATGTGTTACCACGCTGGTGTGTCTATTTTAGGTTAGGAGCAATTTTAGAGAGAAGCAGTGCCCTAATCTGCATCTTCAATGCCATTTAGGTATGTTAGTTAGGACAGTTGGATGCTAAAGCACTTAAAGTAACTTTTAGGTCATTTGCATTTTCCAACAGTGGTAAATGAAGATATCAAATAAATCATATATTCCCTTTGATTTGGAGTTGCTTGCTATGTTCTCTCCCTTCTGCTGGTTTTTCATTCATTGCAGCCAATAGCTATTGGATTCATGTTGTTGGCTAAATCTACCCTTTTTCTAATCATGCTTCCTGAAGGTTGGAGGGGGAAATATTTGCCATAAAATTGATTTCTAAGGGCAGGGCAATGAGTAAGGCCGATATCGGAATGTTGATAGAAAAAAGCCCTTCTTTTGTCTTGTTGGCTGTAAAATATCTTGCATGGCCCAGAGTACAATGAACTTAAAATACAAGGAGAGCGCAGTGCAAGTCACCATGATGACTCTGACATCAGTATTTTCCATATCTCTTTTAACCCAATTGTGACTTTGTAGAATGTAAATTGCATAGAAAATATATTTTTTCATACTGTCTCTAAATCCTAGTTTCCTTTCTTGTCATATTCTTTTTTTTATTTTTCAATTAAAATAGGATCCTGTTTTCCTTTCTTTTCATAGTCTTTTTTTATTTCTCAATTAAAACAGGATGGGTAAAAAGGACACAAATTCTGCCATTGCAAATGATCTATCAGTTTTGGGGGACATACTGACTCAATGAAGATCCAGTGTTGTCTTTCAAAATTTCATTTACATTCCGCTCATTCACACTTTTAATTGTTATTCCCTTAAAAATTAATAAATAAAAGGAGCCATCTTGTTTACATATTTCTGCACTTTTTTTCTTCATAGACAGAAGTCTTTCAAATCTGATTCATATTTCTTTTCAGATTGCACTCTTAAGTTCAACTCTTCACGGACGTCTATAATATTCCTTATCTCAGCTAGTTCTCCAGAATATGCTTATGAAACAGAAAAGGTTCCCTTGTCCCCCTCACAGGGCATGTGGTGGGGGTGTGGCTCACTTCTTCAGTGTCCTGCTGCTGAAACCTCTAGGGGAGCATACAAACTGACAGGCTGTGGGGCTCCAAACCCACGACAGTGTCTAGGGGTGAACGCTGAGGGCCCCAGTGGGCTGAAGCCCCAGTGGGCGTGTGTTACAGGGTGCTTTTTTAGTTTAGCCATTTGTAGGTGGCTTGTATTAGCTCAGTTAGACTGTGGTCTTAATTGCAGAGACAAAGGGCTTTCTGTATCCTGGGACTCTTGCCTTGGTGTTGTACGGATCATATGTGGACTTGGAGAATGAGTGCAAGGTTTTATTGAGTGGAAGTAGCTTTCAGCAGATGGGGGAGCCAGAAGGGAGATGGTTTTCCCCTAGAGTTGGGCCTCCGCTTGGCGGACTGGGCTCTCCTCCAACTGCCCCAGCCAAACTCCATGTCGTTCTGCTGGTTGGTGGCCTGCTGGCCTGCCGACGTCTGTCAGTTTGTTCTTCTCGACGTCCAGCCACCTGTGTGTTCTCCGCTGATGTGCTCCTCTCCATATCCAGTTGCTTCTGTGTTTGCCTGCTAGGGTCTCGCAGGTTTTCGTAGGCACACGATGGGGGTGTGGCAGACCAGGGTGGTCTTGGGAAATGCAACATTTGGGCAGAAAATGCCTGTCTTCACCTAGGTCCATACGGGTGGAACCCTAGCCAGGGACCATGCTCTCCTCCTAGCACTTCCCTTCCTGCCTTCTGTATCATTTAAAGGGACCACTCTCTTCCCTTCCCAGCACTCCCATATCACTTACAACCAACCTCTGATTATATAGGCAAAAAAAACCATGGTTCTAGTGAACAACCTGAAAACCACAAATAAAAGATGCATCAACGAATTATACTGACATTATAGGAAGATATGCAAATGTACTATTTCTATGGAATGAATACTCTGGGGACAATGTCTCACGCTGTGCATTATGGAATCATGAATTTCAGCAGTTTCATTTTTCTGTGTTTTACATTAAAATAGCAAAGAAAGAGTACATGTCTAGAAAACTATTTCTTAGTGACCTGTTAGACACATGCCAGAATGTCTAATGTTTTTCACATGTGGTTCACCTGAGCCTGTAAGATTTGATAATGCACCATTCTGAAATAAATGAGTGCCTCTAAATGTAGTAACACTTCTCATGTCCACTTAAAGGTCAATTATTTCAACCATTATGGTTTAGGAAAATGGGCTGGTTAAATAAGCTGAGTAAAATAAGCAGCCCAGCTCACCAAGAAAGGACCTGATTTGAGAGAAATGGGACTAGGCTTGCTTTTCTCAAGTCCATCCTCAATAGCCATCAGTATCATATAAACTAAAATCTTATATAATCTTATTTTAATCTCAATATAAGATAAAATCTGACCTTTAATAAGCCCCACTGTCTACACTTTTTTTTTTTTTTTGAGATGGAGTTTCACCCTCATTGCCCAGGCTGGAGAGCAATGGCATGATCTTGGCTCACTGCAACCTCTGCCTCCTGGGTTCAAGTGATTCTCCTGCCTCAGCCTCCCAAGTAGCTGGGATTACAGGCATGCGCCACCACACCTGGCTGATTTTGTGTTGTTGCTTTTTTTTTTTTAGTAGAGACAGGGTTTCTGTTTTTTTTTTTTTCAGTAGAGATGGTTTCTCCATGTTGGTCAGGCTGGTCTCCAACTCCAGACCTCTGGTGATCCACCCGCCTCGGCCTCCCAAAGTGCTGGGATTACAGGTGTGAGCCACCGTGCCTGGACTGAAGTCTACACTCCTTAACATGGTGTACAAAGTTCCTGATCTCGCCACTGCCAGCTTTTATAGCTTTTTTGCTTATCCTCTCTGTCTACTACTTTTAGCCACCTGAACTGCTAATATTTCCTTCCAATGTCCTTTGCTTTCTTAGCCCTATGTCTTTGTTAGGCTGACTTTTCTTTTTCTCCTTGAGATGTCTTTTTTTCTTTTTGCGGGGGTTGGGGGGGCCCAACATTTCTCGATCTCATTTGTGGATTATTTTCAGGATCACTGTGTTGTCCAGAAAACGGACATGGACCATTGATTAGGTTGGGTTGGGCTGTCTTCTCTAATCCAACAGTAATAGAATAACCAACACTTACAGAGTAATGTGAGAGGCTCTTGGTACATCCTGTAGGTGCAAGTTATCTAATTTGACCCCTCTACCCACCCTATGGAGGAAGGTATATGAGGCTGGGTCTTATGTAATAATAACTAGAGCACGGATTAGGTACTGGCTTTTCAGTATCTTTTCCTCCCATGCCTTTATCCCTATATCTGCATGTATAACTAGGTCCAGAGGTGGGTAAACCTTGATGAGTTCATTCACTTCTCATATTCAGTGATTGCTCAGGAAAGGGCACGAGATTGGGTTGTGATCTAGAGGGCACTAGGGGAGCTATTAGGTAGGTTGCCTTTACCTAGAAAGATGAGATCGTCTGTATGAGAGCATTTTGCACACTGAAAAAGCCATCATGCTAGTTTTAGGCTTCAAGTAACAAGAAACCCAAAAGATTAAACAACAAGATTTATTATCTCACATCACAAGAAGTTCAGAGATAAGGCAGTTCCAGGATTAGTTAATTCATTAGTTAATAACAATAAATATATAATTAAGAACCCAGGTCTCTTTTCATCTTTCTGCCCTGCCACACTTAGTGTATTGGCTTTTGTCTTCAGGGTTTTCACCTCGTGTTTTTGATATGGCTACCACGACTCCTAGACTACCTCATTACACAGCATTTACAGGCCAGGATAGGCTCCTCTTCATGTCATTATATGACAATAATTTTCATGTCCTTTTTAAAGCATAAAATAAAAATTCCCACACACCTCCAATAAAACTTTCTGTTCTGTCCCATAAGCTAGAACTGCATCTCTTGCCCATTCCTGAGCAGTCAGTGAAAATGGAAGTGAAATGACATGATTGCCAAGACTGATCAAGGTTTATTCCCTAGAAGGATTGAGTTTCCCAGAGGCACATAGTCATTCAATGTTTGAATGAAATTGGGATTTTGGTAAAAGAAGAAGGGGCTAGGTCATGTCTTTTTATTAACTAGTGGTACCTGCCACAGCACTATACAAATATGAGCTCTCATTTTTAATATTAGTATATCAATGTTTAATATATGGCAGTGGTTTCAGAAAGATTCATTTTTGAGATAATTTTTAAGCAAAGAGGGTAATAGTGTTTTCTTTCCCATGTTTTAGGTTGGGTTGCCTCAGAAGCAGAACCTAAAACAATGATTTGAGTGCGACTAGTTTATTTGGAAGGTAGAGGCGGAGGGGAAGTGATACAAGGATATAGGGAAGAGAATGGATTATCACTGGGTGACCGAAGCTCATTGCCATAGGGGCACTCTGAGAAATGGTACAGAATTACATGCAGAGTTATCCCTCAGAAGGAGGAAGGGAGCTGGGGTAATTGTACCCCAGCTTTTGCCAGTTATCTGTTGAGAAACTCAGGGAAGTGTGTTAATGTCCCCAGGGCCCTTGTGATATGGTGTTTTGCAGCTTGTGGGGAAGCTTTCAGGCAAAGACATACAGATATTGGAAGCTAAAAGTCCCAGGGAACTGATAAGGCTCAGGGGATGTGAGACCAACAACAACTGCCACATTCCTTTATGTCCATAACACAAAATAAAGAGCAGAAATGTCACAGAGCCTGCAAAGGGATGGAGATTTGTTTCGTCAAGAAGGGAAAGAAGCACTTTCATATTTTTTATTTAGCTCTCAAATGGGGTACTTTCTAAAGCTGTGTGATTTATGTATGTATTATAGCCAGTTGTTTCCCTGCACACTGCTTACATTCATGTTATATTCTGGCAGAAAAAATCTGATTTTAATTGCTCTAAAAATACATGTTCTTATCTGCAGGATTTGTATTGAGGCTTACTGAGAGCAGCTTAAAGGTCAAAACCTTATATTTAAACTATTAGCTCTAATTGTTAGCGGAGTACATTTTAATGTTACAGAGTTGGTTAAACTGCTGGTATCCTTCCACCTTCCAAGATGATTAAGAGCGCGGAAAAATAATTTATCTTAAATTTTTAAGTGTGTGTTTAATTTTCTCATTTATGGCATACGTAACAGAATGGCAATTAATTATTAAGTCTAAAGAAAGAGAATCATTGTTCAAAATCAGTACACTATGCTTCATTTAACTCCTATAAATATCACATTCTAGAGACATAAACTTGCGCAGTCAGTAGCAAAAGGTGGTTGTTAATAATCTGTTAGTCACTGTGTACACTCAATTGGCCAAGCATTTTCTCCACTTATTCTTTTGTTATTTTCTCTTTTATTGTCCCAAGAATACAAAGCAATTAGCCAAAATTATATGACAATCTCTGGAAATTATTTTATTTTCCATTTGTGGTTTGGGGACAGGGAAGGTAGGAGGAGGAGGGATGGAAAGAACTTGTCAAAAATTGAGGCAGGTGTAGTAGATTGAAATAGTAGGATCTCAAAACATGTCCATATCCTAACCTCTGGAACCTGTGAATGTGACCTTATTTGGAGAAATGGTCTCTGCGGATACAATTAAGGATCTCAAGAGGAAATAATCCTGGATTCAGGGTGGGCTTAAAGTCAGATGTACATTTGAAACACAGGGATACACAGGGAAGGTCAGAGGGATACTGGAGACACAGTATCCCAGAGGACAAGAGCTTGTGAAGATGGTCACAGAGATTGGAGTCATGTGGTCCCAAGCAAAGGGATGCCTGGAGTGACCAGAAGCTGGAATTAGCAAGGAAGATTCTTCCCTGTACCTTCTGAGGTAGTACAGCCCTACTGACACATTGATTTTGGACCTCTGGCCTCCAGAGATGTGACAGAATAAATTTATGTTGTTTCAAGTCACCAGTTGTGTGGTAATTTGTTACAGAAACCCAAGAAAACTTATATAGCAGGTATTTTATTAGTGGTAGTAATGATAATGGAGGTAACGTTTTGCCTATAATTTTATAGTTTACCAGATGTTCTCATCTATGATTATCAGAGTCAAATGGTAAGCTGAATGATACATAGAAATTAAATGTCCTGCCCCAGCTATAGCCATAAGCAGTCCAGTATCTCAGACACAGAGCCACTAGCCCACAAGAAGCTACCTCCGGGAAGGGAAGGTTGAGGAGCTTCCTCAAGCCTCTAAGGAGTAACAAATCCTGGTGGAAAGTTTTTTCTCCCCACCCCATATTTTCTAAAGCCAGCCTTATAAAAGCTGTGCTTCCATTTTCTCATTAAACGTTCCTCTCAGCCAGCACTCGACGTTCACTGTGTGGACACATTCCAATGAGTTTTGTTTTTTTCTTTACCATATGGTGATTTCAATTTGTACTCACTGTAGATTCATTCATTTCTTTATTAAATGCACATTTACTTCATACTTCCCAAAGGCCTAACCTGTGCTTATGCTGAAGGACAATAGCAGTATAATGATTTTAGTACCCATGTTTCTTAGAAACGTAGCCTTCACATTTTGTGCACAAAACAATCCTGTATAACTAATCTTTTTTTTTTTTTTTTTTGAGATGGAGTCTTGCTCTGTCACCCAGGCTGGAGTGCAATGGCGCAATCTCGGCTCACTGCAACCTCCGCCTCCCGGGTTCAGCCATTCTCCTGCCTCAGCCTCCCAAGTAGCTGGGACTACAGGCGCCCGCCACCATGCCCGGCTAATTTTTTTTTTTTTTTTATTTAGTAGAGACGGGGTTTCACCGTGTTAGCCAGGATGGTCTCGAACTCCTGACCTCGTGATCCGCACGTCTCAGCCTCCCAAAGTGCTGGGATTACAGGCTTGAGCCACAACTAATCATTTTTAACAAAAAAATTTAAGGACAAGATTTGTGCAGTATTAAGAGCCATTACTTATTACTGTGTGACTGAGATCATTTATAGTCATTCAATGTTTGAGCAGGTTAGTTTTCATTAGCAGTTTCTCCCCCCTCTTGGTTAAGAGAGTGAATGTTTCAGATGTGGTGACTTGGTTGCCTGTTGTTCAAATATACGCTACTGGCAGTTTCTCAAAATGTCAATCACTTCATCTCTGCTTTAATTTACTACATATATTGCTCAGAGTGCTGAATTAATGATGTGAACTTGAAGTTTCAGGTCTTCAAGTAATCCCTGGGTGATGCATCGGGATTAGGCCTTTGTAGTAGAAATTATGGACATGCGTGCTGAGCTTTTTGTGTCTTGCTATTTTTTCAGCCTTGTATGAAGGGCCAAAAGATGTGAAGCCTTATTAAACCCAGTTTATGGGAATCTGTTGTTTTGGACTGAGCTCCTGCAACTAGGCCCATACCAGACCAAACCAGAATGGAGTCACTCTTGCTGGGTGCCATGTAATAACCAAACTGAATGACCAGTTTTCCAAAAAACAGGAGATTTCACAGCAACCAATCAGAAAGGGCTCAGTCTACCTAAAGCCTGGAGGATAAGGAAATTCTGTCTACTTTAACCTTATAAGGAAAGTAACTTTGAAATGACCAATCTGCTTTTCGTTCTTTATTTCTTGATCCTTATTTCTGCTTTCTTTAGCAATTTCTGTCTATAAAGTCAACACCTGCTGCTCGGCTCATGGGAGTTTCTCCTGTTTTGTAGACAGGATGCTGCTCAATTCTGAATCGCTAACAAAAGCCAGTTCTATCTTTAAACCTCAGTTAGTGAAAATTTTGTTTTTTGACAAGCTATAAGAAGCACATAGCCACATGACTTATGATTATACATTTTTAGATTATTTCTTAACTATTAAGATTCTCAAAAATGTTTAGGAAAATAAATGACCTCTAGGTTTAGGTTTATGGTGGACTAAGTGGTGAACCATTTGATCTTGAAAAAAGAAAAAGAGGATGAAAAGTAACAAAGTTGCACTCATCCCTGATTTCTAAACATCTGGTCATATTAAAAGATTCTCATGTATTCCAGAACTTAAAGTATAATTAAAAAACAAGTTTCTCTTTTTTAACTTTTAATCCTAAATAGTATGTAGTTTTAAATTCTCATATACTATTGTATACCTCTTTTACTACAATCATCACTTTCTTTGCAAATATTTTCATTGGAATCACTAGTAAAGCCATATATTGCCTTATTCACAGTCCAGGTAAAGAATTTGAGAGCCTTCTTACCTGTGTTTGGACATTCATTTTTTGGATATACTTTAATGTGTCCACATGGATATACTTTTGGATACGCTTTAATGTGTCCACATGGTAACTTGAAGCAATAGCAACTATGTTTAACTTATCAAATTTTCCATAAACCAATTTGATGGTCAATCCCTGTAATATTTAGTTCTTCTTCTGCACAAGATATGTTCTTGTTACAAGTCTTTCTACTTATTAAAAAAAATACCAGTTAAAAGAGAAGGACATTTAGGCTCTATCTTTTAAAACCTAAATTATTAATTACACGTATGTTTCTTGAGGATGGTGTGGAGATCCAGCTGTGAAAGCCTAAAACACAGGAAGGGCCACACCGTCAGATTCGAGCGTTGCTTTATCTGGAAGGGTAATTTCATTTTCCTCAGTGTGAGTGGTGAACAAAGAGGAACTAAAGGTAGAGACCAGATGGAGAACTGGGTCACTTTTCTGGGTCTTGTTGTATTTGGATTTTTATTCTTTGACTCAAGTTTTGTTTCAGATGTGGTGAACTTTAAGAAAGGAGGATATGCTGACGTTCAAATATAAATATGTATTATGTTCTTACTTTTATCCATGCTTCTGTTTTCCTCCACTGGTATAAAAATTGCCTTAAATATAGAAAAGAAATTTTTTTCTACTTAATAATGTATGTTATGTATAATTGGGATCAATGAATAATCTCGTTGATCAAGAGTGTCTTCAAATACAGATGTATTTTAGAAGGGAATGGAGATTGCTTTATGTTTAGCATTTCAATGTGTAGCATTTCAATTGAGCATCTACTTTGGATCAGATCCTCAGAGTCTAAAAATAGTTTTAAAATAATTTCTTCATTTTCAAGGGGCTTAACATTAATTGATGGGGAGTAGGGGAAGGATAGTTTTTGAACAGAAAAATAAAAGACAGTTACTAAAGAGAACTATGAAATATATTGTTGTCCTTGGAGACAGAGTCTAAAAATAGTTTTAAAATAATTTCTTCATTTTCAAGGGGCTTAACATTAATTGATGGGGAGTAGGGGAAGGATAGTTTTTGAACAGAAAAATAAAAGACAGTTACTAAAGAGAACTATGAAATATATTGTTGTCCTTGGAGACAGAATTAGGGACAATAGATGAAAGAGGCAAGGAGAGAGGTTCTGACTTATTACCAGAATAAGCTTGATAATGATCCAAGCATAAAAAACGATAGAATGACTCTGTCTATTGGGAGCTGATGAGTACTTTCTAGTTAGAAATATTTATGCAGAAAATGAATGATTTTATCTGAGTACTACTACTTGGTTTAGAGGATTGAAGGAACTGCCAAGATTCCTTTAGAATTTGAGATTGTATTTTTGAATTAGTTAGGCATCTTTATAGGAGTTATCTTGGCTGGGCGCAGTGGCTCACGCCTGTAATCCCAGCACTTTGGGAGGCTGAGGCGGGCGGATCACCTGAGATCAGGAGTTCAAGACCAGCCTGGCCAACATGGTGAAACCCCATCTCTACTAAAAATACAAAAAATTAGCTGGGCGTAGTGGCGGGCACTTGTAATCCCAGCTACTCCGAAGGCTGAGGCAGGAGAACTGCTTGAATCCAGGAGGCAGAGGTTGCAGTGAGCCGAGATGGCGCCATTGTACTCCAGCCTGTGCAACAAGAGTGAAACTCCGTCTCAAAAAAAAAAAAAAAAAAAAAAAAGAGTTATCCTTTTCTCCTTGAAGTCTTGCCAAGGACTTGGGTGGGCACTGTGTTGGTTAGGTAGCTAGGAAGCTGTGGTTGATTAACTGTTAAAGTCTTGAGTATATAGTGAAGAAGAAGAAACAGGGCAGAATTAATTATGCATTAAGGCCTCCCAGTATCTTCCGTTAGCTGCTGTGATTTTACCAGGACCCTCACTTTCCTTCACTTTCCTTGGATTAGATGGTCAGGTGGCACTGAAGTGACTTGTACCAACAGGCTTAAGCATGAGAACTAACCTGATCATATTATATCCTAAGAAGGTATTCTAGAATTGAATTTGTAGAAGATTTCACTAGTTCTTCAAGTATATATTTTTAGATTCAAGTATTAAAGTTAGCACTAATGTAATTCACTTTGTTTATGGAGAATTGTTTACTTATTAGAATCTATAAAATAGTTTTGATCTAATGGAAACAGGCCTGTTGGTTATAGGAGGGAAATGTATCATGGTTTGACAAAAAAATAAAAAATAAAGGAGCTGGGGCATGACAGCTCTTAGAAGTAAAATCATTTGAACTATTTGTCATTGGGAGAAATTACCTACAGTATCAAAGAGTTGTCACAAAGAACTTTCCCCTGATACCCAACAACATATATGTGTATATATATATGCACAACGTTGACTTCCAGTGATCTCCATTTAATATAAAATAATTATCTGTGACAATTATTCTTTAAAAATGCATTCTCCATTAACATAAGTGGAATTTCGACTAGCCAACACTTTGAACTTTTATGTCTCAAGTGGAGGAGTTTACTGGGTACAGAAAAATGAAGGAAAATCCATAGCCTGAATAGAAGAGAAATGAGCTTAGTTTTATATTATACTTTAGGAAGAATAAAGAATAATATATGAGAGTTGGAGGTGTAGAGAACATATGTGAAATAGTTGGCAATTATTTATTTTATTCCCTTTGAGGACAGTTCATCTTTATACATAAGTATTAACATGGTTAAATGCAAGGAATCTTTAGGAGCAAAATGATAATAAGAGGTTATTTTTATCTTTGAACAAAATCTAACCTAACTGGGCTGAAACCCAATAGGTAACATTGGTGTGTGTGTGTGTGTGTGTGTGTGTGTGTGTGTGTGCATGCATGTGTGCCTGCATTTATGTGTGCATGTATACATTAAGTCACATTTTTTATATTTGTTTCACTTTTGATTGAAGGCAGATATTGTTGGAGAACAGATCTATTTGTGAAACCTTATTGGGAACATCCAAATTGGCAAAATGACTTGGTGCCCATCTGCAGTAAATTAAGATGTACATCTGACTA
The DNA here is from genome assembly GCF_000001405.40 of Homo sapiens. NCBI lineage: Eukaryota > Metazoa > Chordata > Mammalia > Primates > Hominidae > Homo > Homo sapiens. The sequence continues at coordinate 14,536,852 of NC_000020.11, forward strand.
GGTTGGGGCTTCATGCCAGTGCCTGTCTCAACATGTTCAGTTTTTAACTGAATTCTGTCAAAATTCCGAGTCAGATAATAATTAATGCCACAGACATTTAATGCATCTTTATTATGCAAGTGCCTGTCTTTGTGACTGTAGATTTAGTCAGAAAGGGTCAGGGTGGCTTCCTGGCCATGATATTAGCCTAGAGCTCTCCCTACTCCCTCCAACCCCCTTCCTTCTGTTTTCTGTTCACTCTCATTCTACCCTGGGATTGATCACTGGGATAGTGGTTGGAAAATGTTACTTCATTGGTGAAGAAAGCTCATATGAGATCTATGTTGTTTGAAAGCATTATATGGTGTCCTAGTTAGGATTCTTCCAAAAGCAAAACCTGACACAGTGACTCAGATATGATAGTTTATTTGATAGGTAGTTCCAGGAAACAAGAATGAGGGAGAGTGAGGCAGCTTTAAAAAAAGGATTTTAATGAGCAGATTAAGGATAAGGGTAACTAGGACTAAGTCCTGCTATAGATCTTGTATAAAATAGCCTCAGAATTGTCTACACCTAGGGACAGGGAAGTTGAGTATTTGTTCACTTACCCCATTCTTCATTGTTGGTGTTTTCTCTTGGGGGTGTTTAATCTCTGGCACTTTCAGCCTGCCCTAAACATGGACTGAGCAGGTGGAGAGGCAGAAAGACACAAGTGCTTTAAGTTGGGGAGCTGTTGGTGTGTATAGGAACCAGATAGCTTCAGGTGAACTCAGAGGTGGGCTAAGAGGACGTGAAGCAGGGCATCACCAATGTAAGTTCCATGCGGTTTCTATTGAAAAGGAGCTTCAGGGCTCTATTAATGTATAGAATGTCTACTTCTGTTTTCTCCAGCTCATCTACTTGTCTCAAACCAACTAAATGACCAAAAGGAAAAGTTGGAAATGGCACCAGTGGTTCATCCTGCTCATTTTCCAGCATAGTCCGAAGGTAGACAATTCTCATACTTTGCCCATTTTAGACAGTCTTCCTCAGGATACAGATGGCAGGAAGGAAACAGGAACCTCTCAGAAATCCGATGCAGCTCCTTACTAGATCTCTATTTTCACCTTCTTTGCCTCTTCTCAAATGTGGATCTCAAAATACCATCTGCTTAATTGACCTAATAGCAATTGTAGTGGTAGTGCTATTTGCTATCTTTTCTCGAGTGCTTACCATGTTCCCACCATTATTTTAGCACTGTTCTGTATAAATAATCAGAACAATCCCATGAAGGGGATACTATAATATAATGATCCCATTTTAAAACATGAAAAGAAACTGAGGTAGAGAACGATTACCTGTCCAAGGTCTCAACCGTGGGAGGGGGTGGAGCATATGACCTGAGTAAGCTGTCTAGAGTCTCTCGTACACTGAAACCAATGCACCCTTTTCTCAGGGCTAAACCCAGCTCTTGGCCCCAGGGCAGGACTAGAATATCCCTGGTCCTCATGCCAGAAGGCTTGTGAATCAAAGGCTGGAGCAATGGAGGAGAGATGGCAACTTATTGTCACAAGCCTTCCCTCTGTTACACTTCCTCTCTTCAGTCCATTCTCCATGCATCATCTGAAATGATATTTAAAATGCAGAAATCAGATCACAATACACCCCTGCCTAACACTCTCTAATGAGTCCTACTGCACTTAGAGCAAAATCCACAATTTGCTCAGCTACTATGAGCCTGCTCTTGCCTGTCTTCTAGTCTTCACCTCCCACCTCTCTACGCATGACTCTCTCAGCTCTAACCACACCGGCCTTCTTTCTATTCCAGGCGCATAAGGAACTGATACCCACCTCAGGACATGACTATGTCCCACTCACTCCTTCGTACATTGTCATCTCACTGTCCTCTTGTTATCCTTCAGATGTCAGCTCAGATGCTGCCTCCTCAGACAGGCTTCTGCTGACCGCCCCCCTCTCTTACTCTAGGCATCTTATTACCCTCTTCTGTTTTCTGTATAGCATGTATCCCATTCTGAAAAAGTACCTCATTTATTTTCGAGCCTACATGTTTATTATCTCTTTCCGTGCTCCCCACAACCCAGTCTCCAAATGTAAGCTCCGTGAGAGTCAGGACTTTGTGTGTTCTGTTTCGCTGGTGTGTCCCTAGTGCCTAGAACTTCCTGGCACATAATGAGCATTCAGTAAACATTTCACATATGACTGGCTAACTGCTGAGTAAGGAAATGAGTGAATGAATGAACAATGGATTAAAAATGTAGATACTTTATCTTAGACAAAATTTGGCAACAGTAGAAATCAAGACCTTTCTCTGTCCAGCTTATGTGACTCTGTTCAAAATTATCTCAATTGTGTACAATATTTTGAGCTACAAACATTTTTCTCCTCAAAATCTCATTTTTTTCTTTTATTTAGGGGAAGGAAAAGGCATAGCAGTTGTTTCCTGAAGCAGTTGTTCCCACATACACAAGTTGACACCTCTTTTAGCTTTTCTGACCAAGTTTCAATAATCATACACAGAATTTTAGAAATACCTTCTTCTGGCCATCCTCCCTTGACTCCTGCTTTTCCAGTGGGAGATGGAGCTGGGAGGTGGTGGTAGAAGAAGGGAGAGTGTTGGGGGAGTGAGGGAAGGACCTGTGTGAAAAGGATTGGATTTGACCATTTAGGGAAGGGGGACAATATGAAGGCCCTGAAAACCAGCTATTAATGATGGGGCTCATTTCTGCACAGGTAAATATATCAGCACTCATGCCACTAAGATATTTTATAAAAATGCTTCCTGAAACAAAGTAGTTACTTCTAAGTTTCCCTAGGGAATAACTTTTTTAAAAATTAAAAAGATGCATTCAACGTATGTGCCATAAATCCTCTATTTTTGATAAGCACTGATAACTCAAAGATAATGCTGCTAATGTATAGACAATTTACTTTGTTTTCTTCAGAGAAATTGAGAACTTAGGTCTTGCTTTGTACACAAATACAGAGGTAACAAATTCTGATAAAGATGTGAATCATATTTTTTTCCACTGGTTAGTAGAGAGGTAGATTGGGAGGAAAGCATTAGATGTAATGGCAGCTGTGGCCCGTTCCTGGATGCTAAGCAAATCTGTTTCACATGTGAACATGTTGGGATCTTTTACATTTTGAGACCGTTTTGCCCTTCTTTTAAAGGTCCTTATAGTCTCATAACTCACAGAGAATTATGGTTTAGTTTCAGTTACCAGTAATATTGTAAATATATTCACATACATTTTTAAAGACATTATGGCAATGTCCTTAATTAATAACATAGCCATCATTTTATAAAGAGTCCCAATTTATTAAAAATAAAACCCTAAAACCAAAAATGATGGGATAACATCTTTATGTTGCCCTTGTTTGCATTCAGGATGTTTCCAAGTTTATCATGTCTGTGACCTCAGTTACGTTTACTTCCCCAGATGGTTTTTTACCACATGAGCAATTAATATAATTGGAGACTATGAAGTGTTTATGTCAAGGCAAGAAGCAGTAGCAGCTTCAATGTGGTGACTTTGCAGGCAGTCAAACATATTTCACTGTGTGCTTCCAACCTAACCCTTCCCCTGCCCTTCCCCTTCTATTTTTATATTAAACAGAAAAAGAGAGTTCACAAAGGTGCTCAGAAACTGGCAGTTTCTTTCAGAATGTGGTATATTTCTAATTTCCATATATTTCCTTCAAGTGGAATGGCCCTGGGAGCACAATTACCTTCAATCTTGACAGGTATAAAAAGGCCAATCCTGCCAGTCTCTGATTGAAATGTTAGATCAACTTTTCTGAATCTGGCATGATGGGTGACAAAAGACAGGGATGTTGCTGGGTCAGGTGAAGATGTTGCCATAATCCCTTTTACCTATTTTGAGCTTCTGAGCAAGAAAATCCTATATCAAGGTACATTAGCACCACCTGCTATCAGCACCCTTAGAGAGGCTGGCAACAGAGAGGTTCTTTAACTTTTATAACCGTGCTCTACATTAGGAGAGGCTCAAGGAAAGAAAAATCAGGCATAATCTCTGAAGACTTTATAATGAGCTCATGTTCTCATTCTTCATATAGATTCCATTTTTCTGTATGAAAATGGTCTGCCAACTGTCCATAATTAGCCCCATCTTACTTCACCTGGCAATATCTAGTGCTTATGAATTCTGTTGGTAGGGAATATCTTTATGTGGTGAATGCATTCTGCAAAAAGTATACATCAAAAATTGTAAATCATATTACATCTTAATTACAGAATTGATTCCTCTGAATAATAAGCTTATAATAAAGCCTTGCTAGGGTGGTTTCATATCCTTAAATCCAAAATATTGTGTTTGTTCTTTCACTATCAATTTGTATAGACTTTATGTGACAATAGGTACTCTGAAAGGGGAGCACACATATATTAATTTGCATTTGATGACATACTTTTTAGAGGTGCATTTAAGGTCTTCCCATTTGGTCTGGCAAGTTCTGTCTGCATGGATCTCTCATCCCCAGGATATTTTTAGTGCTCCCTCTCTGTTTCTTCCTCTTATCTCCCTTCAGAGTCCATCTTGTCGGGGAAGTCTTCTCCGACCATCTCATATAAACCTCCCACCCATACCATGCTTTACTTTTCTCCTATTACTTATAATTACAAGGCATATTATGAACTTATTTTCTATCTTCCCTGAACTAAACTCTATAAAACTGGGTTTTTTCTTTAACTTACTGTTGTATCTTCAGACCTAGGACAGTGCCTAGCACATGTACACACAGCACACATCACACACACACACACACACTATATAATGAATGCATGGATATGTGAACAAAATGATGTGCTTGAGAGGGAATGGTGTCTATAAAACCGCCGGTATTATCAGATTCATTTTGTGTGGTTATGTTTCCTGAGGAGAAAGAGACGTATTACTGTTTACTTTTGGTTTTTATGTTTATCTGTTATAATAGCATATGGTATATCTGGTATATCTAACTGCTCAAGTCTTAAATGTCTTAAAAATATTGATTAATAGATCCTTTAAATAATATGATTCTAAGACTCATCTGTTCTGATCATCATAATACTACAGGGGAACCACAAGTCATCAAATGGCATGAAACTCAAAACTACAGAATGTAATCTGGGAGACTTATAGGCCCAATTTTAATAAACCACATAATGTTTTTAAAATGTATAATTTCATTGTTAACATTTGAGAAATTCAGTATATTGCACATAAATATCTGGATTCCCAGCCTTTCTTGAATAGCCTGAACGTCTGCTGACGCGAGACACCTATGCCTGCATGGCATCAGTTAGCTGGAGCTGAATGTGGGTGTGTTGACCGCAGTCGCCATCACACCCTTTTGTCTTTCCCTCACCGCACTCCTATGTATATTTTGCCAATATGGCACTGTCAGTGTTTGGTGTGGTATCCCTGCTGTAAATCAAGCTAATCCATAGGCATCACTTCATGTGCTGCTCTTTATTTATTTACTGAAATGGAGTTGAAAATATTTGTTGAGGTTAAGGAAAAACTATGTTCTTTGTTGCACTTTAAACATTCTAAATATTTTGGATTAGAGAAAAGAAAAGGGAGCTTATACTAAGTTTTTATTTTCCTGAAAATAATCCATAACTTAATGTTCTATGTACTGAAGGAGTTTGGGTGTTCACAAATACACATATTTATCAAAATTCAATGAATGAATACTTAACATTTGTGCATTTCATTGTATGTAAATGTAATATAAAGTGGAAGCAAATGTTGAACTATAATTAATCATATGCATGCAAAAGTATTTAAGGAGAATTTTTCTGTGTCTGAAAATCTCTTTGAAATGTACCAAAATCAGATGGATTAAACAATGGATTGAAGGATGGTTAGATTAATAGATATGTGATAAAAGAAGCACAATAGAATAGTCATGGGAGAATCCAGGTAGTGGGTACATCGGATTTTACTCTACAGTTCTTTCAACTTTGCTGCATAATTGAAAATTTTATAATAGGATATAGGGTAAAATAATCTGCAATTAAATATGACAATTTTCATACTGTTCCTGCTTTCTGGAAAGTTTTTTTCTAAACTAAATGTACAATTTTACATAATGAATTAATGAAATGGTAAATTATTATAATTTTCAGATTCTGCTGTAGGTTTAATTTTAAAATAATCTTTTATTTTAAAACAACCAATTATGATTTGGAGATGTAATTATGGGATTTTTAAATTTTTCTGTATTGTCCCTTTTGTACCTTATTTTCTTCCTCTGTCCTATACAATGATCACCCCTTATTCTCAAGGCATACATTCCAAGACCCCTAGTGGATGCCAGAAACCACAGATAGCACCAAACCCTATATGTATTATGTTTTCCTATCTGATGATGTAAGTGACTAATGGACTGGTAGTGTATACAGAGTGGACATGCTGGACAAAGTGATGATTCAAATCCCAGGCAGGACAGAACAGAACAGCATGAAATTTATAACTAGTTGGCACAACATGCAATTTATAACTATATTTTCACACAACCACTCTATCTCAAATAATATTCCCTGGTCTCTTTAAGTTTTACATCTTTTAAGCTCCTATATGTAGTTTATGAATTAATTTTAACTGGTTATTGTTTTACTCTACACTTTTTAAGGTGAAGCCATTTAGGATTTTAATGTTTTAATCATACATAGTTTTTAAAATAATTGGCATATTGATATAATGAAAAGTTCTGTTTTTCTCTCATGGACTATTTCTTCCATACATTTAGAAACTTCTATTTTACAGTTATAAATAGGAGGTTGTAGAACTATTAAAAGTAACTTAATTGTAAATGCAGATGCTCCTCAACTTGCAATAGGGTTATATCCTGATAATCATAAGTTGAAAATATCATTAAGTCAAAAATTTTAAGATAGTATTATATCAAAACACCACTTACGTTACAATATCAGATGTCTTTGAAGCACAAGTCCTTCTCTCTGTAGATAATACTTAGGGAAGATCATGGATTTCATTTCTCCTCGTTTTCTAACATTTCTCTTTCCTATCAGTCTCCTTTGCATCCAGATGAAGTCTTATCAAAAAGAATTTCCCTCAAACTTGTCCATATCATTACAATTTAGTAGACCCCAAGTCAGTCAATTCAACTAATATTCACTAAATGTCTATTTGGCTGGCTTCTTCCTGGGAATCTGGACACAAATAAGACATTATCCCTGCTCTAAAGGAAGTCTCCTGCTCCTATAAAAGGCTAATGTGGCAAAAAGCAGACACTGACAAACATTAAGTGGAGGAATGTTCCATGTTGATATACTATCCACTTTCTGATGACTCTTTTCGAAACTATTGTTAGGTTGATAAATATATTCTTGGATATTTATTATTAAGTAGCTGAAATAAAAATGATTCCTTCTTTTTTTTTTTTTTAGAAAATAGGGTAGGGCTCAGCATGTGAATTTTGTTTTTAAATCATTTTAATTTTACTTTTTATGGGTGGCAGCATAGTATGGTAGAATGAGCAAAATGAGTTTAAAATCAGACAGATTCTGTCTTCTAATCTTATTAATTCAGTGATCTAGATCTCAGCAACTTATTTAAATCTCCCATGTCTCTCTTTTTTCGGCTATAAGGCATGGGTAATATAGCTATATGTGTGAGAATTAAAATTTTAGTAGAATAATGAGTAAAAGTTTCGAGTCCATATGGTAGGAACCCAGTAAGTAGTGAGCACTCTTATTATTGTTGCAATGATGATGATGGTGATAATGATGATGATTTCCATTTGAGTTGCTTGAGAATCACACCCTGAGACAAAGATTCTCCTATAAGTAATTTATGTGAGAGGTAATCTCAAGGAACACTGATAGGGGAGTGAAAAAGTAGGGCAGAGAAGGAAAAAAGCCAATAAGGAAGGCAACTGGAGCTTAATGATGCTGTGGCATTCTGAGAGTCAAGTGTACAGAATTTCCCACTAGAGATAAGGGAGCTGGAGTATTTATCCGTCAACTCCTGGCAGTCATTAGTTGAGGGCTACTCTGTGGGGGTATTAATTCCTTGGCATTTACAGCCTTCCACTTGCATAGGCAGAGTGGTGTTTGGCAGGCAGAGAAGCTTTCAGGCAATGAAATACAAGTGCTAACAGTTGGAAGTCAGCTCGGCCTGCCTGAAATGGTAAGAGCTGAGGGCATATGGGTGGAGCACTAATAGTATCTGTCCAGATGATGATGATGACGATGAGACCACTTGATGAAGATGGGAACACTATATTCACTCTCTGAGAGATGAAATGTAAGTGTAGCTGATTAAATGTAGGGAGAAGCCTGTCTAGGAAAAAAGACACTGTGGTCTCTGCCCACTCATACACACAATTTACCCTACAGGTTTGAGATTATTCTTGCCCAGGCCAATGAATCATTTTATTGGGCACAGAGTTCTATGCAGGTATCCTGTCTGGTACCTGGGTGGGTTTTGGGTATTGTTGGCTGCTCCTTGGATCTGGGAGTCCAGTTTTCATTCCTCTGAACTCACTTCCTAAAGCTGTGTGCATTTAGCTAGCAGCCTTGGTCTCAGGTGATCTAGTCATTACAGCCTACAGGATCAGATTCAGCTGTAACCCAAAGGTCATGAGCAGAAGGAACAGCTCCACCAGTCCCTTGCATTGTTTGAGGAGATTTTTTACCATCTTCCAGTTTAATTATGAGATGTGGCTTCTGGGCAAGAAAGCAAGTGAGATCTACTTTCTGCATTTTGTTTTGTTGATAATTGAATCATAGTAATTAAGTAATCATGCCGGGTGTAAGCAATAACTTTTATGAACATTAAGATAGTGCATTTCATAACATCTAAATGCTTTGTTTGTTAAAGTTCACTTTTGAGAAATTGCAATCAGTGTTGGGAAAACACTATTAATTTGAAGGTGTGGAAGAGAGAGATAAGGTACCTCATTTAGAATTGTATATGTCAGGTAACTATTATCTCTGGGAAGCAGTGAAGGTGTCTTATTTAATAAATCTCAGAATCTATACAAGCCATAAACCAGTATTTACATATATGGGTATAGAGATATCTGTATACATGTGCACATATATTATTTTAGCCATGTTCTAGACACTTAACAAAGATGGGATTGCATTGACTGGCCGCTTGTAGTGTAAAAGAGAAAATGTAAACTGTAATCAGTGTTTCATTTAAATTTATAAATGCACTGTATTTTTTATTTTGATGAATGGGAACAAATTATTAAGGTAATAATACATTAGCTATAACTATGTTTAAATAAGTCCAGGGAATCAGGTCTCCCTATTAATTTTCAAAGTGTAAGATGCTATCCATCCACATTGTAGATATTAGGAACTGTTGAAACTCTATGTAAATATAGTAAAAATTTGTTGCAAATGGAAATATGAAGTAATTGCTAGAACTTTTTTTTTGTATTGATAGCATTAAGTATTAAGGCTAGCTGTTGCAGTAGCTATAACCTAGTTATAGCAATATGCATGTGGTTGACTGGTATGTGCTTTGCCACAAAATAGAAGAAAGAATCCTCCAGGAGAAATATTTTGCAAATCTGCTTTTCAACAGTAATTAGAAGATGGGTGATATTTTGCTACTGTTCATAAGTGTTTCTCTTAATATTTTGACTGGTTCAAAGGAAAGAAGGGCCAATATCCATCATATATTGTTAGGGAACATGTTTTAGGATTGCAGAGTGAGAAAATAGAGACTACATCTTGCTATCCACATTTTCCACTTTTCTCTCAGACAGATCCTGATTGTCATCCCTGTTTAGCCTCCTGCCTTTTTACTCAACTCTTCCCCCTACCTGGATGGCTTTTCCTTCTTTTGATCCCAACTTTCCCTTCCTTTGATCTCAGCTAAACTCCTTCAGTTAGCCTACACTTCCATCTTTTATTCTCTCAACTTTTCTTTTCCATAGGGTCATAATTATACTGCACATAACTTGGGTATCCTCTAATCATTACAAATAATAGCCATTGTTCCTAGCAAAAATGTGTGTTTATGGCAGCAATTACATTTTATGTATCTTTGGTTAGTCCCTGCACAGTGTTAGCTTATAGTAGGTGCTCACCCAATATCTGTATTTTCTCTTTTTTTTTTCAAGATCTAAATACAATTATATTTTTAAACGTTGGGTCCAGGCTTTACATAAAAATATCATCCTACTTTGCCCCCTAAGTTTCTAAAATATCACGTACTTTTCCCCCAACATCTGCAGCCATCCAGAAATTTGTTGGAAACTTTTTTGCATTATTTTAATTCCTAATCCCTGCCTCTTTGGGCTCAGTGACAAACAATCAAAACCACCAAAAATGTGGTTCACTCGAAGTCAGATGAGAGAGCCTGGCTCAATTAATCTTATAGGATGTAAGCAGTGCTGCATCAACTGGCTCCATGCAGGAGGGACACGTGAAGGATCTCATCAACCAGTTATCTATATAATCCTCATGATAAATGTGCATGCATGGCAGAAACTGAATCAGGTCCCCATAAACAAAGTCCATCATACAGATCACATACTCCCAGATCTTTGTTTCTGATCTGATCTATCTCTTCCAGGGTCATAAATCCCTTCAGGCAGATGTTGTATAAGGCTTATTCTTTGAGCTGTTGTATTTTGCTTCAGTCAACTGAGCTGCAAATCGAGTCTGGCTAGGTGTTGGATGGTAGAGCAAAACTGGAACTTTTTCCTGATGTGACAGCAGTGGCTCCTGATCTGGCTGTCTCCTCGCCAGAGCTAGCCTGGTGGGACTGAGATACGTGAAGCAGAGAGATGTCATCCGAGGAGTGGAATTATCAGACTGCACTGTAATTGCTTGTTGAATCAGTTATCTGTTATTGCTTAACAAACCACTCCAAAACTTGGTGGCTTAAAACAACTTACTATTTCCCATGATCCTGTAGCTTGGTTGGGCTCAGCTGGGAGATTCTCCTCGATTGTGTACCTGAGGTCACTCATACAGTTGCATTCAGCTGAGAACTTAAGAGGGGCTGGAATTTCCAAAATGGCTTCTCTTTTTCCAGCGTCTCCTCTGTATGGCTCTAATCATCCTGCAGTCTCGTGTGGACTTGGCATCACCATGCTGGGCTCCAAGATGGGGGAGTGAAAGTACCAGTCCTCCTGAGGGATAGAGTAGTAATCCCAGATATTACTTCCACTGCATTTGGTTGCTCAAAGCAAATCAAAAGGCCAACTCAGAATTAAAGTGATGGTAAAATAGACTACACCTCTTGATAAGAGGAGAGGCAAAGCCACGTCGCAAAGGGGCTTGTGTAAAAAATTGGAGGAATTATTGGGGCCATATTTGGAGACTTGGCCCCTTCACATTTTGTATCTGACTTTCTCATAAGACTTTTATTTCTTCAGAGCAAGGGCTATGCCTTCTTCACGTTTTCAGAATCAGAGTATGAAAAATATTTGCTGTTTCTTGAGTAAATGATTACTCCATGATAGTTTTCCCTCTACCCCAACTGCCAATTATAAACTCAGATTTACATTCAGAATACTGGTGTGAAGCATTTCTACTATATCTTTTTTTTTCAATCATTTTCACCTTTTGCATTTATCTTATAAATCTAACACTATAAAATACATTATCTGGCCGGGCGCGGTGGCTCACGCCTGTAATCCCAGCACTTTGGGAGGCTGAGGCGGGCGGATCACGAGGTCAGGAGATCGAGACCATCCCGGCTAAAACGGTGAAACCCCGTCTCTACTAAAAATACAAAAAATTAGCCGGGCGTAGTGGCGGGCGCCTGTTGTCCCAGCTACTTGGGAGGCTGAGGCGGGAGAATGGCGTGAACCCGGGAGGCGGAGCTTGCAGTGAGCCGAGATCCCGCCACTGCACTCCAGCCTGGGCGACAGAGTGAGACTCCGTCTCAAAAAAAAAAAAAAAAAAAAAATACATTATCTTAGTTTTTTTTTTTTAGATTAGAATGCTGGCAATTCACTGGGAAGTGATCCCTGGAAGTATTAAATGAACAGAGGAGTGGGAGAAGTAAAAAAGGGAATGGATGAGGCTAAAAAAAGGGTGACAAGCAAATTAACCTGGAGCAACTGGGGTTGTTTCTACTGGGGAACTCTGCACGTGCCTCGGAGCTATCCCACCTGAAGGGTGAGAGCACTGGAGGACATGAATTTCCCAGAAGTTATGGTGCTCCATGATTACAGGCAAAGCAAGCCCACTCTAGTGGCCAGAGAGAGCCCTCAGGCAAAGAGACACATGTTCTAGAAGTCATACCAACAGCACTGAATGGTCCAAGTCATGGAGATCTGGGCAGTGCACCAGCAATGACTGCCATGCACACCATTCTCGTCTGAGACATTATCAGAGAACAAACCACACTCAATTTATTGGTGGTATCAAGTATCTAATGAGTTTATAGGCTGGGCTAGAATCTATATTTGGGGGGAGAGGAGGAATTACTTAAGAAGGTAGTTTCTTCATATGTTCTTTGACCCCTTTAACTGTTAATATCATATTGTCCTAACAAAATAATGAAATAGAAAAAAGTAGACCTAAGAATAAATACTGTATATACTAGTTTTCTTTTAAATTAAAATTATTAATGTGTTTTGTAAACTGTTCTTATCACCTGTTTTATATGTAAATAAGTAATATTTTTACATCAAGCATTTTTAATTGTTTATTGCCTTGCTGTAAAATTGATTGTTATGATTATTTTAGTAATTTTTATGTGATTTCTTTTAAATCACATAGGGATAATTATGCTTGGCAGATTACTTCTACTTTTTTTTTTCAGATGTTTTCAAGGCAGAGTCAGAATTAATAAATTTTAGCCCTCTGCCCAATCCATGATAAGAAGGTAAGATTTAGTCATTGATTCACTCAGCATTTACCAGGTATTTATCTTATGTCAGTCACTGTGCTAGGTGCTAGAGATGCAAAAAGGAATACAATGTGATCTTTGCCCTTGAAAAACTCAAATCTTAGAGTCATTCAAATATCACTGTGGTGAAATCTCTTAATTTATCACCATTGTTAGTAATGCATAGTATTACTGACACATTGATAACCATTTTCATATCAATCACACCTTTTTATAACCATAACCATTTTCATATGAATTACACCTTTTTTTTTTTTTTAAGATGGAGTCTTGCTCTGTCACCCAGGCTGGAGTGCAGTGGTGCCATCTTGGCTCACTGCAACCTCCACCTCCCAGGTTCAAGCAATTCTTCTGCCTCCTGAGTAGCTGGGATTACAGGCGGGTGCCACCATGTCCAGCTAATTTTTGTATTTTTAGTATAGACGGGGTTTCACCATGTTGGCCAGTCTGGTCTGGAACTCCTGACCTCAGGTGATCCGCCTGCCTCGGCTTCCCAAAGTGTTGGGATTACAGGTGTGAGCCACTGCACCCAGCCCAATTACACCTTTAAGCCCATGTAGTCAATCATTCAGCTCCACCTCTAATTTAATGGCCTTCCTTTCCCTGTCCCTTCCTTCCCTTCCCTGTCTCTTCCTTCACTTTCCTTCCCTTCTCTTTCTGCTATAGACTGAATGTTTGTGTCCCTCTGAAAATTTTTATGTTGAAATCCTAATACCCTATGTGATTGTATTAGGAGGTGGGGCCTTTGGAAGATAATTAGGTCATTTGGAGACCTCCCTCCCTCTTCAGCCATGCGAGGTCACAGTGAGAAGAGAAGACATAAGTCTGTGAACCAGAAAGCAGTCTCTCACCAGACACCAAATCTGCCAGTGCCTTGAACTTAGACGTTCCTACCACCAGAACTGTGAGAAATAAATTTCCCCCTCCTACTAAATAGTTTTAGCTAAAAGGAGTACCAAGAAAAGCCCTGTCTCCTATTTGGAAAGAAACATAAGGGCTTTGGACTCTAAATTCACAAAAGCAGCATTTATAGTTTACATCTATTGTTGCACATCATTGTAACTCCAGTGCCTGGAAAAGTATCTGATCATAGTCAGTATTCAATGGCCTTAGGTGGAAACTGAAAGCAAGGAGGCATAGTAGAGTGTGATTAGAGGTGTTGACTGGAGATTTGCATGTTTTATCAGTAGCAGTTTTTTTTTTTTTTTGAGGCCTAATGATGCTCTGCTTCCTCATGAATTTCATTCCAAATGAAGACAGTAACTAATTGCATTATTTTTTGAACTGCTTATATTTGCTGTTACCCTTTCTTTTATGCAGAAGATATTCAAGTTGGAGAGGGAAATTATGATTTTTTTTTCCTTTTTCAATGAATGTAACTGTTAATAGGTTTGGATGAGTAACTTCTGTGATATAAGGTCTCCGTACAAGCAGTTATCATGCTCTGTCAGTCTTTCTATGCAATTTTATCATGTAGATTGTTTTGGGAAACATGAAAATTAAGATTTAATTTGTCCTAGGAATTGGATCCAAAATGTAATGGAATTGGTTCCTTAATGCAGTGCATAGTTGTAGAGTATAGTGTAAATTAAATCAACTTGTGCTTCAATAATCTCTTTATTAGTTTTCAAATATTGATTTAAATAATGATATTAAATTGTGTATAGTTGAAAAGATGGCATTGCTTTCACTGCAATAGATGAATGTCATGAAAATGTTCTTCTCTTGTAATGGAATCAGATGTAGAACATGATAAAGAACAGTTCTCTTCACACCTCATAATTTCTGACATAGTAAGTTATGTTGAGGAAAATAGGCACATTATATTGACAATATATTTTTGTTTACAAATATGCCAGGTGGCCTGGTGTACAGATTGATTGAGGGTGATCACTACTGCCCATCACAACTATTACCTTTTGCAAAGATGGCCGAAGTGGAAGGGAAAACTTCCCTGCACAACTTTTGTGGTGGATTACTGTTGAGATATAGCTATGCATTGGATGTTTTGGAAAAGGAATATATAAGAATAGACCTTTGTATTTATTGAGGAAAATTAAAATTATAAAAGATAAAAAGGCAACTTAATATTCTCTCATTTAAATTTTAATTAACTTTCAATTTTGAATGGTGTTTTCCTGAGCTGTTATCCAGTTTCTGCTCTAAAGTTGGCTGTAATTTTATAACATTCTTTTGATGACTGTATGTGCATGAATATGTCTGTAGTTATTTTGAAGGTAAAACTCTACTTATTTCACTTTTTTGAGTGAAGTATTAAATTGTTTTCAAGATAGCAGTGACTGAATATTGCACTTAATACAAATGTTTAATTTCTTTAATCCTTTTTACAGATAAAAGTATATGCTTTTTATCCTTTTCCTTAAAATGACAAAGGCTTCTCCTCAGGGAGATCAGAAAGCATAATGACTGGCATGCTGAACCTGGTATCTGAACATTTGTTTTTTATTCTTTATTTCATGTGACCTTGGAATAATTCAGTGGCTCCTAGATTTTCTCAAAAATGACTCAATTTTTCATTCATTTCATTTAAATGACCCTTTGAGTTATCTCGTATGCTACCTGTTTTTATCTTTATAATACAGTAAAATTTAAACTATTCATATCTCTATGTGGGGGTGGGGGTGGGGGCAGATAAGGGTCATAGAGAAGGCACCTCTTTCTCAGAAAAGTAGCAAATGACCACCCTCCATCCCAAAATAGATTTAGCTACAAGAAGAGTAAAGTGCACATGGAAGAACAAAAAAGCCTTTTGGTGTACAAGGATTTCAGACTTTGTTGGGCTTCAGCATCAGTAGAGAGTCTTATTAAAAACACTGTCATACATCACTTAAAGACAAGGATATGTTCTGAAAAAAACAGATCATTAGGCAATTATGTTGTTGTGTGAACATCATAGAGTGAACCGACAAAAGCCTAGATGGGATAGCCTACTATGTACCTAGGCTATATGGTATAGCCTGCTGCTCCTAGGCTACAAACTTGTACAGCATGTTACTGTAGTGAATACTGTAGGCAATTGTAACAAAATGGTAAGTATTGTGTGTCTAAGCATATCTAAACATAGAAAAGGTACAGTAAAAATTTGACACAAAAGATTAAGAAATGGTAATTGTGTATAGGGCACTTACCATGAATGGAGCTTGCAGGACTGAAAGTTGCTTTGGATGAGTCAGTGAGTTAGTGGTGAGTGAATGTGAAGGACTAGGACATTGCTGTATACTACTGTAGACTTTTATAAACACAGTGAACTTAGGCTACGTTAAATGTATTAAAAATATTTTTTCTTTCCCCAATAATAAATTAACTATAGCTTATTGTAACTTTTTTATGTTATATACTTTTAATTATTTTTAACTTTTTTACTATTTTGTAATAATACTTAGATTAAAACACAAATACATTGTACAGTTGTACAAAATTTTTTTCTTTATATCCTTATTTTATAAGCTTTTTTCTATATTAAAATTTCTTTTTTTTTACTTAATTTTTTTTTGTTAAAAACTAATACAGAAACACTCACACTAGTCCAGGCATACACAGGACCAGGGTCATCAATATCACTGTCTTCCACCTCCACATCTTTTCCCAGTGGAATGTCTTCAGGGCCAATACATGCATGGAACTGTCATCTCCTATGATAATAGTGTCTTCTTCTGGAATACCTCCTAAAGGACCTGCCTGAGGCTGTTTTCTAGTTAACTTTTTTTTTTTTTTTTTTTTAGTAAGTAGAAGAATTATACTCTGAAACAGCAATCAATAGTATGGTAGATACAGAAAGCAGTAACATAGTCTTTCATTATCAATTATTATGTACTGTAAATAATTGTATGTACTATACTTTTGTATGACTGGCAGCACAGTAGGTTTGTTTACATCAGTATCATTCATTGTGCTATGATGTCATGATGGCTATGGCATTTCTATGCAATGGGAACTTTTCAGCTCCACTATAATCTTATGGGATCACCTTGTATATGCAGTCCATCAATGATCAAAATGTTATGTAGTGCATGACTGCACCTACTCCAAAACTACAGAAGTGGAATTTAGAGTCATGGGAAGCTGGATAATGACCATCAAAGTTGGTCTTACATGAGGTAGGACCTGGTCCAATTTGAAGTAAGAAATCAGGGAACTTTCCTTCAACACTTATTTCCTTCCATGGTCTAAGACATTTCAAAATTCTGAGCATGGTTTTCCATTTATCACAGAGTTTAAGTTACTATTCAGTGTTGAAATTCCTGGCCCTCAATGGCATTATGAATCAGCTGTTCATAGAACTCAACTTTCTTGAATGGGCCATTTCCCAGGTCTTCTACAGCTGTTTTGCTCATTTTTAATCCCTTCATTTGCCAGCTTAATATTTGCTAGCTGCTGTTATTGGGGAATTCAGTTTTTCCCCCATGTCCCTATCTTTTGCCAGTTTTTCTCTTCATTCCTCAAAATCAGTAGTTCTCCTTTCTCAAAGGTTGCCTATGAATCATCCATGATTTGTATATCACCCTTTGGGAAACACGAATATTTTCAGAACCCTCATTTCTCTGTCGTTAAATGAGGTCAATAATGACTGCTGACGTTTCCTTTGACTCTGAAGGGCGTGGTCAGGCTAGATGAGAAAATTCTTACAGAATGTGGTGTGCTGTGCTGCTGTCGCCACTTTGCTGGGAGACTGAAGCTCAGACAGCTAAGCGATTTGCCAGGGCTGTGCAACCCATCTGTGGTGGGAATTCCAGAATTCCAACCTGGAGAATCTGACTTACTCTTTTGGAGAACATTATATTTGATAAACTGGAATCATTGTTTTGAGTGCTCCCATGGCTCTGTAGGCCAAAACAGTAGAACTTATGACAGTAGTTTGGTCTTCAGGAACTCCACTTAACCCCAAACTACCCTCCAGTTTTCAGAGAGCACTGGGGAAAAGGGAGGGATGAGTGTGTATTGAATTATCTGAATTCTGCCACTTATGCCTAAGAGATATGTATGAGAGAATCTTTACATTTTGTACACATTATTCTAAAATTCCTTTTAGTCCTTAAACAACTCTCAGGGGGAAAATAGTACAGAATTAAAATAAAAGTTCTTAACATTTGTCCCTGAATATATTTTTAGAAAAAGTATACTTGAAATCTGATCACCTATAAGGAAAGATTTATCAGGAGAGTTTAAATTTTTATATTTACTCATATTAAATGCATGTGTGTTTTGAGACCAAGGTTTTTTGTTTGTTTTAATATTTTGGGGAGACATACTTCCTTCAAATATATAGGTTAGAGGTAGGGGGTAGGGATGGTTAGTGGTATAAAAAAAAACAGAAAGAATGAATAAGACATACTGTTTGATAGTACAGCAAGGTGACTGTAGTCAACAATGACTTAATTGTATATTTTAAAAAACTACAAGAGTGTAATTGGGTTAGGGTTTGTAACACAAAGAATAAATGCTTGAGGGGAGGGATACCCCATTCTCCATGATGTGATTATTTTACATTGCATATGCCCGTATCAAAACATCTCATGTACTCCACAAACATATACACTATGTACCCCCAAAAACTTAAAGAATATATAAGTTTAAATTAGAATTCCCCCAAATTCTAGTAGTAGAATATATTCTTTTAAAATTCTAGTAGAATTTGGGAGAATTCTAATTTAAACCAATTCTGGTGTTCCTGAGTTATGTGAGCTCCTCCAAGTTCCACTGTTTTGTCATTGCCAACTCAGGGAGTCAAATATGTACTTATTTAGCATTTTCTGAGCCAGGTACTGGCTCTGAGAGGTACATACTTTCATTTAATTCTTCAAGAGAATTAAAAGCAAACGGAGCCCATATGTTATAGACAAGGAAACTGAGGTTCTGAGATGTTGAGTAGCTTACTCAAGGTTGACCTGAGACTCTAAATTAGGTTCATCCTCCTTGAAGACACCTATATTCCTTTTGTTCTCATAAAATAGCACATCCAGCCAGCATTCCATCCCAGATATTGGCACTAAGGAGAGGCGTGGGAAAGGGCATGGACACTTTCTGTTAGGTACATGGGGGACGTTGTGCTCTAGCTTATACATGACTGTAAAGGCGCAAATGAAAACTCTTCCTTTATTAGTACATTTTCTTTTGCATGGTTATCTGGGATGAGTATGTGGTGAGGTGGGGCTGTGGGAGGAAGCTGCTGCAATTAGTTTTGCCTCAGGTAGAATGCTGACATCAGTTGTAATGAGATTAAAATCTTCTACTCAGCTGTTGCTTGAAATATTCTATTGTGTTCTCATCCAACTATTTTAACTAATTGAAGTGACTTAACCATATAATTATTTTCAAATGTTTACAATTACTTTTAGATAAATATAAATGAATGTTTGCCTGCATATGAACAACAAAAGGAATAATCTGGTACCTTCACCCAAATAGTCAAACCCTCTAAGATATTGGTAGAAACATCAGAGTGTATCAGTGAAGGTCAAAGGACACAAATAGGCATTTTTAAATACTAAAATGAAATATTACTTTCAGTTCCACCAAAATGGAGTAGCCTCATTCCTTCCGGGTTCTCTCCCTTATAACTAAAAATTTCTAGATACAGTGCTACGAAGATGGCAAGGAAGTCTCTCAAAGATCAAAAGAAGAGGGTGAACTGCTAGGAATTTTTGGAACTTGAACTACAAAGCAGTGAGTTCCTTGAATTTTTGTGTTATCTGTCATATATCCTGAGCTAGGTGCTACAGAAGCCTCCAAACTGCCAGAACTGCCAGAAAGTACAGATAAAGAAGCTCCAAGAAAGTCTTGTTTTCTTTAGGCAAAGGACCAGGTGAAGGGTGGCTTTACACCAGAAAATTTTTGGCAGTATCTGCCAAACACCACTGGAAAACTCACATCTTACTCCCTCCATGATTTCAGTGGTGCTAAACAGAATTTGATCCCGTCATTCCCATACATTGATACTGTTAGACTTGATGAGTTACATGGGTATATTGTTATTTTCTAGAGCAGCTGCTAGGAAAACTATCCAAAGCAATATACTTTTGAAAAGATAAAGAAATCAAGATAGAAATTTTTAATATGATCAAGTCACCCAAAGGAAAGTAAGAGAAACAGAGGAAACAAAGAGAAAACAAGTAATAAAATGACAGTCTTAAGCCCTAGTATGTTAATAAACCCAATTTTATTACTTTAAATTTAAATGATCTATGGAAATGCAAGGGACCCAGGATAGTTTAAACAGTTTTGAAATGAAAGAACCAAGTTTGAATACTTAGATTTTCTGATTTTAAAACTGTAAAACTATGGTAATGAAGACAACATGGGGCTGGCCTAAGGATAAACAGATAGATTGATGGAATAGAATTAAGAGTCCAGAAATAAAGCCTTCCATTGATGTCCAATTGATTTGCAACCAGAGTGCCAAGACAATTCAATGGGAGAAAGAATAGTGTTTTTGACAAATGGTACTGGGTTAACTGGATATCCACATGCAAAAGAATGAAGTTAGATCCCTTCCTTACACCATATATAAAAATTAACTCCGAATGGATCATAGATCTAAGTGGAAGAACTAAAGCTATAAAACTCTCAGAAGAAAGCATAGGTGTAAAATTCATGACCTTGCGCAATGAATTCTTAGATATGATACCAAAAGTACAAGCACTGACAACAAAAAGAAAGATACATACACTGGACTTTATCTAAATTGAAACTTTTGTGTTTCAAATCACACCACAAAGAAAGTAAAATACAGGTCACAAAATGGGAGAAAATATTTGTAAAGCATACATCTGATAAGAAACTTGTATCCAAAATACATAAAGTACTCATATACCTCATTAATTAAAAGACAGATAACACAATTTTGGATTAGGCAAGGGTTCTGAATAGATATTTCTCCATATAAGTTATTCAAATTGCTAATAAGCACATGAAAAGATGCTGAACATCATTAGCTCTCAGGGAAATGTAAATCAAAACCACAATGAGAAGCCACTTTCATTCAGTAGGATAGCTATTACCAAAAAAGACAGATAATAAGAATTGTTGACCAAGATAAGGAGAAATTAGAACACTTACCCATTGCTGGTGGGATTGTAAGATGGTGCAGTCACTGTGAAAAATGGTATAGCAGTTCATCAAATTGTTAAACATAGAATTACTATATTAGCTGGCAATTCTACTCATAGGTATATACCCAAGAGATTAAAAAAATTTACATAAAAACTTGCACATTAATTTTCATACCAGTGTTATTCATAATAGCCCCAAAATGGAACAACTTAAATGTCCATCATCTCATGAATGGATAAACAAAATATATCCATAAAATGGAAAATTGTTCATGCTTAAAAAGGAATCAAGTACTGATACAAGACAAATGAACTTTGGAAAACTTACGCTGAATGAAAAAAAAGCTAGTCATAAAAGACTACATATTGTATGATTCCATTTATATGAAATGTCTAGAATAGGCAAATCTGTAGAGGCCGTAAGCAGATTACTGATTGTTGGGGGAAATAGGGAGTGAATACAAATGGCATGAGTTTCTTTGGCGGATGAAGAAAATGTTCAGAAATTGATTGTGGTGATGGTTGAAAGAGTCTATGAACATACAAAAACCATTTAATCGTGTATTTTTAAAGGGCCTGGTATGTGAATCAATAAAGCTAAAAATGTAAATGGTCTAAATAAACTAATTAAAAGACAGATTTTGACATAATAGATAAAAAACATGACCCAACCATATGCTGTCTATAAAAAATTTGCTTCAAATACAACAATATAGGTAGGTAGAAAGTAAAAGCATGGAAAAATATATACCATGTAAACATGAATTTAAGAAAAAAATTGTTATATTCTTACCGATAAACTTCAGAGGAGAGAAACATTATTAGAGCTAAAGAGAGACATTGTATAATTATAAAAAGAACAATTTATCAGGAAAACATAACTATTGCAAATGTGTGCACATCAAATAATAGTGCCTGGAAATATGTGAAGCAAAATGAAACATTACATCTAAATTTTCTTAAATTCTTTAAACCTTACTCCACGTATAATAGTCTTTAATTATGGCATAAACTAAAAGATTTATGTCTATACTAAGTTTCATTCCTGAAAGAGCTGCTTCTGTCTTTTTATCCTCAAAATACAATACTGTATTAGGTATTGAAGTGTTTGTGTATGTGTATGTGTGTATTTATACCATATAGACAAGGTCTATGATTCTGTAATCATAGAACTTACAGTGATGTGATCCTTTTCAAGCTTCATATTATAACACACACACAGACACAAAGATTCACAAATGTACTGAATCGATTTAATTCCATGAGTTGTAACGTTCTTGATACCATATTTGTTCTAAAGCAGCATTTCTTAGTAATTAAAATGAATGAGAAGATCTCTACCTAAAGAGATAGTATGAACTTTAAAAGCAGAAGCAGAGTTCAGTATTTATATTTGGTAGCAATAAACTACCTGTTAGAAATATTTATCAAGTGAAGATATAATTGCCTGCTTTGTCTGTGAACCTCATAAGTACAAAAATTGTGTTCTTTGAATTTACACTTTTTAAGGGATGTATGTTAAACATTTTAGCAGTGTATTTTTTTAAATTAAAATATATGAATTTAATTTACACAAATAATTTATTTTACATAAAAACATTCTAGCTAGCATCTAGCAGTTTTAATACCTTATACATTTTAATCATATCTGCTAGAACAAGTAATCTCTAGAGTGGTCAGCTATGGAAGAGGATAAAGTTAGTAGACCTACTAACTTTATAGCTCATATATATTTTGGTTATATACTCGAATTCCTATTACTCGATGCTTCAAGCATTATCTTTTAACCTCTGTATACAAAATTAGAATGTCAGCACGTTTACACTTTTCTACTTGTTCTCCCTCTACTTTCTGTTTTTATAACTTACTGATACTAAAATGTTCAAAGCTTATAGTATTTTTATGTTCTGTAACTATAATTCTCACACTTTTTTCTTTAGTTATATACATAAATCATTTTAGGGCTGACCTCCAAATTTTTACAATAGACTCTCCATTCTATAAGTTGACTGGAATAATTTCTAACAACATGAATCATGCATGACTTGTACATACCCTTTGGGAAATACCAGGATTCTCAGAGGTTTTACTTGTGTCATTAAATGGAGACTGTAATGGCTGCTACCATTTCTCTTCTCTGTCTCTCCGGTGTGAAACAGGGCTCAGGGGTACACATAAGGCTGCAATCTGGTCCTTTTTCTTTTCTCTATCTATTCACATTTCTCTTTGTTTTGACCTCCTGAATGTGAAAATGTTTAATAGCATGTATATTTACATATTTAAGTATTCAAGCTCTACTGCTTAGTTCTTAATAGTATCTTACCTGTGCATTTTCACCAGCCAAAGATTTTGAGAGGACAAAAGAGGGGACAAGAACTTGCTATCCGTTTTAAAGAATTTTCTATAGAGACCTTTTAAAAGTAAGATGATTAGGATTTCATTAAAAAGAATTTTAAATATGTTAAAAGCATGAGTTTTTGCAGCTGCTAGGCAGAAAGACTTGCTTGCTAACCACACTTTGTTTCTTGGGAATGAATGACTGTACTTAATGTACACACACACACACACACACACACACACACAGGTGCACGCATGTGTGTATACATGCCCGGATATACAGGAACTAAAGATAGGATAAAAAACTGACCTCTAGAATATTCAGATACAGACATCATTCTGTGGCTGCCTCACCAAATCATATGTGGTTGGATATAAGAAAGTACAGCCTATTTCTGGGATTTACAGAGATAAGAAAAGGGAAAAATAGGAAATTTTAAAATGTCACAACTCATTTTATTAATGATTATTACTCAGCTTTATTATTTTAGATAGTAATGCATTTCATGTTTGAATATCACAAAGAAAACTTTTCTGAAGTGATTTTCTTGAGAATATTGTTATACATGTTTTCTGCATCCTCCCATAGGTCTATGAACATAAGAGTTTATCATATTTTACCTATCCTGTTACCACTACCTGTGGACAGTGTTAATTGATTTCTAGGAAATGCCGACACTTATTTTAGCACTAATTTCACAGAGTCATTTATTTCCAAGGTTTATATAACAGTAAATAAACTAATAAAATATATTGAATTTTAATTTGCCTTTTTACCTCTTAATTTCTCTCTTATGAATAGACTTTAGAATTTGACCTTATTAATATACTAGGAAACTCAGAAATTAGTTTCATGAAATAATGTTTGATTTATTTTCATTCATTTGATAGGACAGGAGCTTTAACAGATGGACTGTCAGATCCAAATAAAGTTTTATTGCTTTATTGTTATGTGCAATAATTAAGATATTGTTCAGATAGATTGACACCTAGACTCTGGGAGACTTATGGTGTGGTGGTGTCTAGATAGAGGTATATGGAGAATTCGTAATACTGCATGTGTACCAAAGAACACCTGTATTGTTATAATTTGTATGTAAATTGTATATGAACAATTGTTTATAATCTAAAGTAATATTATTTAGAAGCATTTTATTACATTTATTTTTAGATTTGTAACCTGATTAGAAGACTAACTTTTTCAAATTTTTCTTTTTAAATGTCTTGATTTTTGAGAAATTTTAGTTCACTCTTAAGTTCCCTTAAGATTATGGAGTAGAAACCACTGTAAGCTTAGGAAAATATTTTGAAATAATTTGTGAAATACCTTTTTGTATCCCAATAATTTCTATTGTCATGAGCTTTTGAATGTTAACAAAATGATTTTCATCTCTATGTTAGGTTTAGGTGCAGGGTATACAAATGTTATATTTTTATTTTCAGTACAGTACAGGATTCTACAGGGGTTTTCATTGTTCATTTGGGGGGTAAACTTTTTATTTCCTTTTCTAATAGCTAAGAGGTATAAATTTTGATGGTATTATTATCTCAGTTTACATATGTTTCACTTGTAAATATTGCATTCATGAAGAAGAAACACCACAACAATTTAAACACATAAAATACTTCATGTGAGTTACTTGAAAATGACAAATCGAAATCTGTCACGTAATAGGAAAACTATGCTTTGAAGCATAATCTCTAGTGCTGCCTCTTCTCTATTACAGCTTAAACTGTACTCTGCATGTCATACATAAAGAATGAACTTTGCAGTCAGTTAAAAAAGCTGAAACAATTGGTATGAGAAACATACCAAGAAAATATTCTAATCATAATTCCAAGTTGAGGTCAAAAAAATAAATAAACCAGAATATGAGCCATAATCTTTTTATTTTTTTTAACTTTAATAGTCCTTAGCAATAATCAACAATTTACTGATTCAACAGGAGACATGTTACTCTACTGCCATCTGGTTATTCTAAATAGAACCTATCCCTCTGGACGAGCAAAAGGCGTAATGATTGGATAGACGTTTTGGCAGAAAAAAGACTTTTTTAATGTCTTGGGATTTGGGAGGTAAAACCAATGGCCATAATTTTGAAACATCTGCTCTTTTCATGATCTCGTCTACATGGAAAGAGATTTGGAAACAGAACATCCTCAAGCATTATTTTTTTGCAGTGATAAAAAAATTTCATTTTGTCTAAATATGTAAGTAGAGTCAAATTCACTTCTTAGTAAAACCTATTATACCATTATATAAACATGTAGCTTGCTTCTTCTTTTGAATTCAACATTATCTTAAGTTGGTATATTTATTGTTTATACATCTACCTACAACCAAAAAGGTGAGGAGTTTTACACAAAAAGAGTATAGATATAATTTTTAAAAATTGTTAAGTAACACTTGACAGCAAAAGGATGATTGCACCCACAACACATTTGTCAGGGATAGCAACTGTAGTTGGCAACAAAAATGAGGCCTATATGCTCCAACCCTGGGTCATCTTTCTACTGTTTGAAATTGGTATCCAACTATCTATTGGATGAATGTCCTTCTTATGGAAATAAGAAGTGAGATTTTCAGTCAATCACCCTAGACCCTAAATTGGTTAAATTTAAAAATGAATGGGCCTGCTCTCCTCCTTCTTGCTGGGTCTCTTGGCTTCCTGGGTTGTTTCCATCCTTTCTCATTCTTTCTTTCCCCTCAGAGTCAGGGACTCTAGAGGAAAACCTTTCTCTGGATTTGTTGCCTGTCGTGTTCTTGCCAGTCCTCTTCTGGGGATATGCTAGATTCTGGTTTTGTGCTCTTTTGCCTTGCTTAGTATGAACTTATGGAAATTTGGTCTGGTCTGAGCTTTCTGAGCCCTGTGTCTGCCCCATTCCTCCTGGATCTGATTTACCTTCTATCTCAGCATTGGCATAAAATGAGTCAGGACCTGCAGTCACACCTTTACTTGGGCTAGATTAGACTGTAGACCTTACCATTGCAGGAGTAGGGTGGAATTGACCTCAATTCTGCCCTCACATTCCAGCCCTCCTAATTGATTTTCCACCAGCATCTTCCCCAGGTTGTTCCCTCCTCCTCTGCCTGTATGACTGACTGGCAGCATGAAGCTAGGGTACGTTAGTCCCTGGTAGGGGGCAAAGTTCTTGCACAAGTTTCCAGGAAGCCAAGTCCAAAAGAAAAAAAGACACAAGAGTATGGTAATATGCAGGGGAGAAAGAACGTCTCCAAAAGGGAATGGAATTTATTTTTAGATCTAGAAAAATGTCTTCATTATTTTAATAAGTAAAATATTTAAACGTTAGCAGTTATAAGCACCACTACATATCTATTAGAGTGGCTAAGATTGAAATATGCTGACAGTACCAAAGTCTGGTGAGAGTGCAGAGAAACTGGACATCAAGGAGTTTGGCAGTTACTCTTTTTAAAAAGAAAAAAAATTAGTTAAACTTTTTATTTTGAGATAATTGTTGGTTCATATGCAGTTGTAAGGAACAATGAGATCCCATTTATGCTTGACTCAGTTTCCCCCAATGGTAACATTTTCTGAATTACAGTTCAATATCAATTCTATAATTTCTATTTGGTTCTTTTTTTATAAGTTCTATTTCTTTTCAAATAAATTCTAGTTTTTCATTTGTAAAGCTATATAGTGCAGTATCACTGCCAGGTTATTAACATTGACAGTCAAGCTATGCAATCCTATCAAATTACCAACATCGTTTTTCCCAGAATTAGAAAAAACAATCCTAAAATTCATGTGGAATCAAAAAAGAACCTGAATAGTGAAAGCAATCGTAAGCAAAAAGGATAAAGCTGGTGGTGTTACATTACTTGACTTCTAACTATACTACAAGGTATAGTACCCAAAACAGCATGGTACTGGTATAAAACTAGACACAGATCAATGGAACAGAAAGAGAACCCAAAAATAAGGCTACATACCTACAAGTACCTGATATTTGATAAAGTCAACACAGATATACACTGGGGAATGAACATCTTATTCAATAAATGGTGCTGGGAGAATTGGAGAACCGTATGCAGAAGAATGAAACTGGACCCCTATCTTGTACTGTATATAAAAATTAACTAAATATGGACCAAAGACTTAAATGTAAGACCAAAACCAATAAAAGTCCCAGAAGAAAACCTAGGAAAAACTCTATTGGATATTGTCCTAAGCATAGACAAAGAGTTTATGACTAAGTCCTCAGAAAAACAACAAAAACGAAAATAGAAAAATTAGACTTAATTAAATGCAAAAGCTTCTGCACAGCTAAAGAAATAATTAACAGAGTAAAAAGACAACATATAGAATGGGAGAAAATATTTGCAAACAATGCATCTGGACAAAGGTCTAATATCCAGAATCTACAAAGAACTCAAATAACTCAACAAGAAAAAAACAAATAACTCTGTTAAAAAGTGGGCAAAGGACATGAACAGACATATTTCAAAAGAAGACATACAAGCACCCAACAAACATGAAAAAATGCTCAACATCACTAATCATCAGGGAAATGCAAATTAAAGCCACAATACCATTTCACAACAGTCAGAATAGCTATTAAAAAGTCAAAAGCAATACATGTTGGCAAGGATGTAGAGAAAAGAAAATTCTTATACACTGTCGGTGGGAAGGTAAATTGTGCAACCTCTTTAGAAAACTGTGGAGATTTCTCAAAGAACTAAAAATAGAACTATCATACTATCCATGTATCCTACTTCTGGGTATGTATCCAAAGGAAAATAAATCATTATATCAAAAAGACCCCTGTGTTCATATGCTTATTGCAGCACCATTCACAAAAGCAGAGTCATGGAATCAACCTAAATGTTGATCGAGGAATGACTGGATAAAAATATGGCATATATATACCATGGAATACTACTCTGCCATAAAAAAGAATGAAATCATGTCTTTTGCAGCAACATGGATAGAACAGGAGACCATTATCCTAACTGAAATGACTCAGAAACAGAAAGTCAAAAACCACATGTTCTCACTTACAGGTGAGAGCTAAACAATGGACATACATGGACATGCAGAGTGGAATAATAGACATTGTGGACTCCAAATGGTGGGAAGATGGGAAGGTGAGAAGGGGCCAAGGGATAAAATACTACCTATTGGGTACAATGTGCACTATTTGGGTGATAGGTACAACAAAAGCCCAGGCTTTACCACTACACCCTATATCCATGTAACACAACTGAACTTATACTCCTGAATCTATAAAAATGTAAAAAAAAAAATTTTTTTTTAAAACGTAACACTTTCATCACCACAAGGATTCCTCTTGTTTTCCTTTTGTAGCCACATTCATTTCCCTCCCACCCCTCCCTCTCTTTAAACCTTTTGTCATTTCAAGAATGTTATATAAATAGAAGGATATAATGTAAACCTTTGGGATTGGCTTTTTTCCCCTCAGCATGAATCTCGGAAAATTCCTCTAGATTGTTGCATGTTTCAATAGTTGGTTCTTACAAGTCCTAAACTATTCTAAAATCAAAATTTGTCAACAATAATATTTTTAAACAGTGCTAACGTAACAATGTTATTAAAGTTCTTAAAAAATGTTGAAATTTTCTTCTACATAAAAAGTTAAACATTTTATATGGTGTGTTGATTATTCTCCATTTACTCTCCTCCTACTCTAAGTCCCCCTGCCTTTCTCTGGCTTGCTGCATGACCCAAGGGGCTTACTTTTATGCAGTGTATCATCTGGGCCCCTCCTCTTCCACATATCCGGCTCAACAGAGTTTAGTTCCTTCCTTTCTTTTTACCCCTAAGACCTAGAGGTTGAGACAGCATTTTCTTATTGTTGGAAGATTTGTTGATGCCTTTAATCTTCCTGCATCTTTGGACATGGCTCCTTTATTTAATTCCTTTCACTCAAAGTTAAAAGCCTTTGAGTGTACTATCTGTTTCCTGCCAGGACCCTGATACATTTAACAAAAAATAGATAAATTGGATGACAAATGATATACTGGGCAAATATTTGTAACTCGTGTGATAAATATAGGTTTATTTTCCATAATATACAAAGAGTTCCTACAAAAGGAAAATAAAAAACCAAATGACCAAAAGAAAAATGGGCAAAGGGCATGAACAAGCATGTTACAGAAGACAAATTCCAAATGGTCAATAAACGTGAAAATATGCTTCTGCATTAGTATTCAGAGAAATTCGTATTTCTGTAGTCCTAGCTACTGGGAAGGCTGAGTCAGGAGGATCACTTGAGCCCAGGAGTTCTAGGCTTCTGTGTGTTATGATCATGCTTATAAATAGCCAATGCACTCCAGCTTGGCAGCATAACAGGTCCCCACCTCAAAAAAAAAATTAGGATTGCTGAGTCAAAAGTTATGTGTTTGTCTTTTTAACTGATTATGTGAGATTGCTTTAAAAAGACATTGCAACAATTTACACTAAAGCAACAAGATACATTTTTCAACCGTAAGATGGGTCAGATTCCCCTTTAGGACTGAAGCACTCTCCCTTCTGCTGAGAGTTTGGTCAGGCAATAATTTTCAGCTGATTCCTTCTCCAAGAATTTTCCTCAGAGACAGCTGCCTTGCCTAAGATTATGGCCTCTCCCTGAGGATGGCCTGCCAGCAATTACTCATGATGTAACATACGAAAGTCCAACTGCCTTGCCTGTAGGTTGGAAAACTCTAAAGGGCTATTTTCCAGGGAACCCAAACCACAGCACAGCATTAACACTTACCATGTGTAATCCTTAGGAACATAGGAATTCTAATAGTATAAATTGTTGCAATGTCTTTTTAAAGCAATCTCACATAATCAGTTAAAAAGACAAACACATAAATTTTGACTCAGCGATTCTAATTTTTTTTTTTGAGGTGGGGTCCTGTTATTTTGCCCAAGCTGGAGTGCAGTGACTATTTATAAGCATGATCATTGCACACAGAAGCCTGGAACTCCTGGGCTCCAGTGATCCTTTTGCCTCAGACTCCCTAGTAGCTAGGACTACAGGTGTGTGCCACCACACCTGGCTTTAGCAATCCTAATTGTCAGAATATTTGAGAATTAAAAATTAGAAAGCATTAGTACATAAATATATATATGTATAAATGATGTGCACTGCTATTTTATTTGTTGGAATAACTGAAAAAGGCTTAAATATCCATCAATAGATGAATGATCTACCAATAGAGGATATTGTATGTTGGGATATTTTGATAGTATTAAAAAGAATGAGCTAGATCCATATTTAATGGGATGTGGAGGATGTCCAAATGTCAATGATACAGTGTTGTATAAAAATAAAAGAAGAAAAACAAGTTATAGATTTATGTTGGCTTGTGTGCATGCGTGTGCCCTGCTATAGCTTATTAAAGGTCAACAGATCTCAGTGACTGTTAGAATGACGTGTTTTATTGGGCTCACTCTTCAGCCAGAACATGCTAGCATGGCTATACTTGTTATTTATGGTGATGACCATTTTGATTGGCTGGGTATTTTTTCTAATTAGGCAGTGCCTGTGCTGTCCTTGTTGTTAATTATTTTGATGGTTGGCTCCTCCTTTAAAGTGTATTGTCAGCTGACTGACAATTTTTGAAAGCCTGTTTATGTAGTTGGCTTCAGAAGCAGCAAGGATTCAATAAACCACTTTTATATTCAGATTATGCCAGATATTTGGATGGAAAAGGGAGTATTCATTCCAGATATTATATCTGTATAACAAATATAAACAAGTTAGAATTATAATCAAAACTTCTAATTCTATCTGTTAAGCTCTTTGTAGACACTCCCTCTTCATTATGAATAACATAGGTAAGGAGAGAGAAATTATGCATTATATAGTTAAACACTGGCAAAACATTATTTCTCATTCTCCTACTATTGGCTTCTGGGTTACCAGAGCACATACTTAGGACTGCCAAATTCTGAAGTTTAGAAAACACTGTCATAAGGCATAATGTATCCATTAGAAATGCATTAGGAAAAGAGAGAAGTAACATTTTATTAGGGCTTTTAGCTAGTTGGTGGAGTAATAAGCATACTTTTGTGTTACCTTTATATGATTTATATTACTTTTCTTCTAGAGAAAACAGTGGAATCAAAGAGTATTTTGATCAGTTTTATAAAGAAATAGATGACTACTTAAGAAATAAATATATTCAGGTTAGAGTTTGCTCATTTGTATTTGATATGATCTGACACTGCAGAAGGCCAAAGGATCTCATTATTGCCCGGGTCTTTACAAGAAAGGTTCCCCAATGCATGACATGGCAATTTGTCGCCTTTATTTAGAGGGATTTAGACAAAGCTTGCAGCATTTAGCATTCCGTTCCTTTGACAGTACCTTTTAACATCCTTCTTATTGTTCTATTTGTGGGTCAATGCAAAGCATTCATGAAGATTTTGTGGTTTAGGGAGCAAGTGAGGCTGTTGTCTAATTTGTTGTAATTGCTCAACTTACTCAAATAGTTTAATTTACCTCTGAATATGTTCAGCAGCTTAGAAGAAAGGTGTTTGTTCAAACATGAAATCTTTATAATTAGAAAAAAATTATTATATGGGTTTGTGTTATGTAAACCTTAGTGAACTTTCTCCCAATCTAATTTAATTAATCTTTAAATAACATTGGTTTAGTTCTTTTGGCATAGGGGCAAGGAAATATTATGCTTTGAAAATGTAGGCTTTTCTGAGAAGTAACATACATTTTTCTACGTGAGCGACTTTTTCCTTAAATCTCTTTCTAAACAGTCATTTCAACTTCTGCCTGAGGGAATGGATTAGCTGTATCATTCCTCACTCTCAGATTAACCCCCTCCCTGCAAACTGCTACAGCCCCAGTCAGCATTAAGGTTACCAAACCATGAGGGAGGACACAAAATGTTCTTTCTCTTTCCAACTCAATCTATCTTTGAAGTGCCAAGGAGAGATATTCTGGCAGTACGTAAATCTGAAATTCTGTTTTGCTTCAAAAAAACAAAAATGAAATTCTCACTCAGCCATGATTCTCTTACAACCGGCAATCTTTTTCTGTCCTTTGTCTACCTCAGTGTCTTGGAGGTGTCTCATTAGTGGGCTGGTATTTCTGACAGAATGCTTTTTAAGAGTTACATTTCTAGCTAAATCTATGCTGCATTTTTAGAGACAAAATAGCATACAGGGAAAATGAAAAATAACACCAGAGTCTTGAATAATATCGTTAGCTCACCTTCCATCAGTTAATTGTATTTCTTCTCTTAAAAAAAACTATTAAAACTTCAATTTCACATTATATTGCTTTCACAAATACATT
This sequence comes from Homo sapiens, assembly GCF_000001405.40. Taxonomy (NCBI): domain Eukaryota; kingdom Metazoa; phylum Chordata; class Mammalia; order Primates; family Hominidae; genus Homo; species Homo sapiens. The sequence continues at coordinate 14,569,379 of NC_000020.11, forward strand.
GGCTAATAGTATAGATATTGAGCCATTACTGAAAATGAATTTTTGTGGGTAGAATTTGCAACCAGGAAGAATATTAAAAAACTGAATACTTTGTATTCCTGTGTGCCTATTCAGTATCCTCCACAACCCAGCATCATTCTTTGGTGAAGAAATTGTTTACTATACTTGGGTTAGCAACATTTAGGTCCCCCCACCTTTTTTTTTTCTCTTTCAATTTTTAGGGATGCTGAAATTAGGTGTGAGTGTTGATAATGACTGTTTCTGCCTCTGCTTATATAATCAAAGTAAAATGGAGTTAGGTTAAGTTATTTTAGAGGGAGCTTACTATCTTCTGTGTGGCCAAATTTATCCAGGAGCTTAAACTTTAGATACTTTGGGTCCCGGGACTAGCATAGACTGTGAAGCGTAGAGCTGTGAAAGAATTTGGATCCTAAGGGAAAAAAGTTTGGAAACCAACCATAGAAAATGCAAGTGCAAACCACAAAGAATAGTTAAAATGAAAAAAAAGGGGCAGTGTAAAGCATGGGAGGAACTGAGATTCTTTTCCTCTGCTGTTGGAAGTTCTACCACATCAGAAACATATTTGGTAATAGAACTAAAGCTAAATATATAGCTATCCTCTAACTAGCAATTCCATTTCTAAGTCTATAACCAACAGAAATGAATCTATATGTTCATCAACATGTGCAAGAATGTGCATAGCTGCACTTAGTAATAGTCCCAAAGTGGAAACAACAGTACAATAGATGCATTAATTGTGGTACACTATTACAAAAAATACAGAAAAAAGGATGAGACAACTGTACGTATATACAACGGCATGGATTAATTTCACAAGCTCAATGTTGAGTGAAAGAAACCACTGGATACCAGTAAGAACATTCTATTGTTCAATTTGTGTAAACTTCAAAAGCAGGTTAAACTGATCTGTGGTGTTGTAAGTTAGGATGGTGGTTAGCATTATTGTTGGAGGGTGAGTAGTAATGACAAGAAGAGGACCTTCTTGAGTGCTGGTGGTCTGTTTCTTGATCTAGGTGTTGGTTACCTGAGTATGTTCACTTTATGATTTGTACAATTTGCTGTGTGTGTGTTTACTCCAATAAGAAAGATTAAAAAGAAAGAAGGAAGAAAAATCAGCTATAGAAATGAAGAGGATTGGCAGTGTAAAAGTGTCATTTTTTTTTCCCCATGGTAAAAGATTAAGAAAGAGATACATGATTAAAGCCAATGAAAATTTGGGAGTCAAAGTTTTAAACTCTCTTAGCAGCCAAACTAATTGTTTGAATAAAATGCATGCTAGTTATCACAGTGTTTCAAACTTTCCTGATCCTTAGAACACTAAGGAAGATAGTCTCAAAAATATTTACTCCCTGGTCCTTCTGTGGGAGATTTCAGTTTAGTCTGTTTAAGATGGGGCTAGGAATCTTTATTTTAAAAACACAACTTAGACAAGAATTAGAATAATGGTCAGTTCAAAAGAGGGAAACAGAATTATGTGATTTTTTTTTACAGCAGCCAAGAATGATGTAGCCTGGTTTATTCCTACTTCTCCTTCATCTACCCCAATCCTCCCACGTATCTCCAATTCCAATTTGAGCAGTGATTCTGAAACTTTACTTTAAGCACTTGTTAAGAATGCAGATATCTTGGCCTTACTCCAAGGATTTTGAATTGGTAAGTCTGAGGAGAGGCCCAAATAGGGCTATGCATTTTTCATAAGTACCTTCGAAGATGCTCAGATTCAGAAGCAGTTGGTCTCAGATGTACACCTTGAGAAAGTCAGGCCTGGAGAAAAAGAATGTACTAGACAAACAGATATATTTGGCTTAGTTTTTTTCCTTTCATGACTGGGCTGGTTATCTAGCACTGGTTATATTTAAGTCCCTAATAAATTTTAAGGTCATAGGAGATGAGGAGTGTATCTTATATCCTTCTTAGGAGCAATTTCACAGCACCTGTAATTGTACTGCTTAGCCAGTAGGTATTTTTGAAAGTCATGAAGTCCAGATGATTAAAGTTATTTTTAGTTTTATTATAATCATGGTTGGAAATTAACCTGGAAAGCACTGAGTTTCCCTGTGTGTATATATATCACTTGTAATTAAAAAGTAATCTATTTCCCCAGTCATTAAATGTTTATTGAGTATCTATTATGTACTGGTTTTCTGAAATATCATTTTGTCCCTGTCATTTCATGGTCTCTAGTTGGAGCATGCGTAGCAAAGAAAATTCATGTTCCAAAATGGCACAAGGAGGGTCTTAAGCATTTTTAATATTCCACTTATCAGAATTGGAATATAGATAAGTATTTGCCTGCTCCCAGTTCTTTGATAGGCATTCTATTAAAATCAAAGGCAAATGAATTGTCAGAAATAGATTTAGCTTACAATATAGATCCACTAGTCCTTGCAAGTTGGAGTCACGGGCTAGTTCTACAATTAAGAAAGACCAATTATTCAATCTCTTAGAAACTTAGCTTACCTAATACCTTGTCTTTATGTATTATGTAATTGTTTTTATTCTAGGAGAAGGTACTTTATTAGTTCAAGACTGCCCAGATATACAGTAATGAAAAAGAAGAAAAAGGCTATCATCACTCTAATAAAATGATTAGTTATGTTCGGTTTGGAAGTGTTTGCTCAATATATTTTGTCATAGACAGCATAGGATCCCAGACCTCTTGACATTTCTTTGCCACCTAGATTTTATAGTCCTGCTGGTACGTGCAAGCACCTTAAAGAAGAGGCTAATACTGGGGAACACTAAGGTATATATATTTATTATATCATCTCTATTTTTAAAGTATAGGCCAATCATATATGGATTTCTCTGTAAAATGAAATAGTATGAGAGTATCATAGAGATCAGTTGGTGTTCATTTTTGAAGAATCTTGACATTGAATTTAAATATTTACAGCCTGGAGCAATTAGGATTCTCAAATATTGCTGATGAGAAAGTAAATTAGTGTAACCACTTTGGAAAACTGACATTAGCTACTAAAGCTGAACATATACCTATACCTACCCTATGAACAGCAGTGTTACTCCTAGGTGTATACTCAAGAAAAATATGTGAAATATTCAGCAGAAGACTGCATAAGAATCTCGATGGCAGCAAGTACTCTAATCTCAACCAATAGTAGAAAAGATAAATAAATTGAATGAAAATGAATAGTCTCTAACTACACTTAATATGGATGAATCTCACAGACATAATATTGAGAAAATGAAGTTAGATGTTAAAAAGTATATTCTTTGTGATTCTGTTATTCAAAAATAGACAAAACTAATCTCAGGATAGTGGTTACCATTGGGGGTTTGTATTGTGACTGGAAGTTGGCATGAGGAAGGATTTTGGGGGAATAGTGATTTTCTGGGTTTTGATGCTGGTTAGAATGGTGTGTTCAGCACATGAAAATTCACTGGGCTGTGTACTTATGATCAGTGCTAATATATAATACTCCAATAAAATATTTAAAGATATTTTAACATATTAAATATTAAATATTAAAGATATTTTAATAATATAAAATATATAAAGATATGAATTGGAATCAGTTTCCAGTGTTTATCAGTTAGGCTTGTTTACATGCACCTACTTGAGAATTTGCCAGCCTCAGAGAAAAGTAGAGAATAGTCTAAGTATAAACAATATCATTTAGATGTCATGAAATAGCCTTTTTTTTCCCTTTTGCATAGTGTTTAGTGTGTGATATGAAGGTGTTGTAGCCAGGTGGAATAACATCAGGATTTGGTATCATTAGATCATATTTGAGTTCTAGCTCTCTCCTTAAAACACTGTGAGGTCTTGGGCCCAGTCACTTAATTTTCTGATTTGAAAACTGAGTATAGTAATACCTAAGACTTTATAGGTCTATGGAATTATGTATTATTTTATATAATGTTTGTTTACTAGAATGCAAATCTCATGGGGGCAGTGATTTCTGTCTGTTTCATTGATTGTGGTATGCCAAGTTCCTGGATCTGTGTCTGGCAAGTAATCAGCACTTACTATATATTTAAGTGAATAAATTACTAAAACAAAAATATAGAAAGAACTAAAATAGAAAATAAAGTATCTACGTACATTTTAGCTGCTGCTCTTTTAAACTTTATTAAAAGTCACTGGAAACCTGAGACTTGTTGAGTTTAAAATATTATGGATAAAGGGTAGGATTAGGCCTTAGAGAAAAGATATTATTTTTTTTTTCAGATATACTTGTCAAAATGGATGTTTCTTTATTCAGGTGTTCCTTCTAGGATGATAGAATCCTGGGTCCTAGAGAGAATACTTAGTGCTATACTGCCATCTTTTTGAAAGTATTCCATACCTCACAACAGAGTAGACTGTTGAAAAAGTCACAAAACAACTGTACTTACTGAAAAATTAGATCTTTACACCATATATCCAAAAAATGTATAGCTGCTGGTTAAACCCATCCAAAGTCCAGCTTTGCCTTAGTTCACTGGTAGGAGCCAAGCTAGGACGGGTTCCAGAAGAAGAGTTCCAAAGTCCAGAGGAATGGCTTGTTCCAGTTATGGGATCCCTTATATCGAGGCTCAGCTGTGACTTATCTCCCTGAAAAGGTAGCACCACCTTCTTCAGGGTTGACTTTTTGAGCACATGAAGTAGTAGCCTTAACCACGTGGAGCTGATCTTCCAAGAGGGCCTGATGCTTTCAAGGTCCCATAAGGCATAGAGATAATCAAGAACGACACTGCTGCCTGTGAGACAGTGCCGTTTCTCCATGGTGGTCAGGTGCCAGGTCTGTGAGCAGGAGACATTCCTGAGGCTGTTTTCCCTGTACCAGCTCAGGCTCTGTATCTTCTTTCTGCTCTCGTTGCTCCTTGGGCTCAGACCTCTGCTACTTGCCTGGACTTCCACTTGAATTTTTCCATCGTCTTGAATTGACTCATTCAGAGTGTTACCCAGTCTTGTTCTATTGAACCTTACTCTCTCAGCTGCATCTCAAATCAAACCATAGCATTTACCCTGCCATTCATTCATTCATTCATTCATTCATCTAATATATGCTAAGGTCTGTAGGGATAATTGGCAATAAATATAAGCAGTTATCTGAGGCTCTTTGTCCTGGCTGCAGTGCCTCCTGCTTAAGTCCTGCAGAGCCCATAACAGTCTAGGTTTTTCTGATGCTCTTTTCACTTGCCCCCTAGTATTCTGGCTAAGGCACATTAATGATGTACACAAAACTGTTTTCTCAGTCTCTTGCATTTTGGGAGTGATTGAAAAATTACATATATAAATTATAAAATATATTATTATGAAATATATTATAAAACATATGCAAAAACATACAAAATATAATATATCACATTTTATAAATATTCACGGCCGGGCGCGGTGGCTCACGCCTGTAATCCCAGCACTTTGGGAGGCCGGGGCGGGTGGATCATGAGGTCAGGAGATCGAGACCATCCTGGCTAACAAGGTGAAACCCCGTCTCTACTAAAAATACAAAAAATTAGCCGGGCGCGGTGGCGGGCGCCTGTAGTCCCAGCTACTGGGGAGGCTGAGGCAGGAGAATGGCGTGAACCCGGGAAGCGGAGCTTGCAGTGAGCCGAGATTGCGCCACTGCAGTCCGCAGTCCGGCCTGGGCGACAGAGCGAGACTCTGTCTCAAAAAAAAAAAAAAAAAAAAAAAAATATTCACAAAGTTTTTGGTCTCTGCACCCCTTTCCACTTTTAAAAATGATAGAAAACTGCAAAGAGTTTTGTTTATTGTATTATATATAGCAATATTTACCAAATTGGAAATTAAACTGATAAAATTTAAAATATTTATTTACTAATTACCTTAATATAATAAACCCATTATATTAGTATAAATAACTTATTTTTAATGAAAAATAACTGTGTTTTCCCAATGAAAAAATTTAGTACAAAGGGTGGCATCATTTTACAGTTTTGCAAAACACTTTAATGTCTGGCTTAATAAAAGACAGTTGGATTCTTATATCTGTTTCCATATTTAATTTGTTGTGCTATCACACATCCCGTAACCTCTGGAAAACACCACTGTACACTCTTGAGATATGAGGATGAAAAAGTTAAATGATGTCTTAGTATTTATATGAAAATGGCTTTGACTTGTGGGCTCCCTGAAATAGTGTCAGGAATGCCCAGGGGTCCCTGGACCACATGTTAGAAATGATGCCAGAAACTCACAATTTTATTTATTCCTTGTTACACTGCATTCGATCAATTGAATTTTAGTGAGTATTCATTCAAAGAATCTTAGTAGTCCTCCTTCTAATAAGAAAATAGTTTATTAATGTTGGCATATGTACATTTTATAAATAAAATTTTAATATTCATTATTAATGTAGGAAAAAATTATAGTGCCCTGTTACTTAGAGCTTTATTTGGATGAAGGATGTATTAAATGTAATTTTAAAAAGAAAATGTTCTACACAGGTCAATGACCTTTATAATAAACACATTTTATTGCTTAAATTTAGTGCAGTAAGATTACCAAGACAAATATTTATCTTTCTGTCGAACAATACTAATAATGCTGCAATTAATTATAGAACTTATTTGAAGAGAGTTGCATTTATATTAAAATACCTGCCTATATCATGGGCACCTAAATATATAGTTGTCTTCATTATCACATTGGAGAGCCTAGGTTCCTCATGTTTTGTAAAATAATGATTTTTTCACAGGCACACGATCTTTTAGATAGCATGCATCAGGAAGAGGTACCAGCATGCTAGTTTCTTATTTAAGATTCCCCAGCCCCACGACTGGTATTTATGAAAGAGAAGAAAGGATGTCATTACTTGTTCCTCAAGATGACACAGAGAGGTTTATGCTGCTTGAGCAGAGGCTTCAGAATGTGAAGACTCAGGCCCAGGTTTTGATGTGATTTGATGGCCAGTAGCAACAGAGCTGCCACTCTTCATGGATGATTAAAGACAAAGAGAGTGAGATGGCATGAACCACAAAGCCCTGCTGCCACCTGACAGATTTTTCCTCCGATTCAAGGAAGCCCTTATGAGAGCCCCTTTATGTGAGCCTGGTTCCCTTGCCAGTCTATTTCAAATTTTTTTAATCTCTGCTACTGGATTGAAAGTGTAACTGCCACTTTCAATATGCTTCAGAACTGCTAATGGCAAAGTTGCTTTTGGGAACCAGTTGATTAATTTAGACAATGCAAAATATGGAGGTCCCAAGTCAAGAATAAGCTAAACGACTTTGCCTTATTTGGATATAATTAAAAGGCATGGATCCAACGTAAATGTGTCACTTCCCAGTGACATCTGCACTTTCTGTTTGCAAACACTGTTATATAAGGGCTCTCAGAGGTCAAGAGTGCAGAGGCCACCCCCTTTTAAAACTTCTGGTATATTATAAAAATGGAGAAATGAAAAAGCAGTGTTAAAAAGGAATTTTATTTTCAGGGCTTATATTGGAAGAAATAATGCTTTAAACACAAATTATAATGCAATAGAACTTGGGTATTCTCAAAGTAATTACAGGATTTATTTGAACCTATCTTTAGTAAAGTTTGTTACTCAAACTTTATAAATATACCTAATAGTAGTCATGAGTTTGAATTGTATGGTAAATACCATGTTCTTTTGATCTAGTCAGAATATTCCAGTTATTTGAGTGAATAGCCTCATTTGGAGATAAATCTTAAACTTGAGTTTCTTTCTGGGTGTAATTCTGAAATGATAGGGTCTTCTGCTTCATCTTAAAGGAGTGACATCACTTCATCCAAAAGCAGATACTATTTAAGGTGATGGTTTTAAATCTAAGGCCACTGGATGGCCAAATCATTGAGGATATAATATTAAAACAAAGAGAGATTTTAAAATTCTAAAATGCTATATGTGAGTATCTTATAAATGAAATCCAGAAATATGCCAACAGTTTTTTCATAATATGCTCAACCTTGAGAAAAACCCTGTTTAATATCTAAACATACGTATCAATAAATAATTTTACATTAAGAATTACTTTCCTCTTGTAAAGCGTATATTTCAAAACCATAATTATTTTAAGACCTAAAAGGGATTATAATAACTTTTCATCTAAGCTTTATAATTGTGGTTTTGGAACTTAGGTAACTTTTTGGAACTATATAAGAGGGACTGGATGTGGTGGCTCACGCCTGTGATCCCAGCGCTTTGAGGGGCTGAGGTGGGAGCGATTGTTTGAGGCTAGGAGTTTGAGACCAGCCTGGGCCACAGAGTGAGACCCTATCTCAAAAAAATAAAATAAAAAATTAGCCAGGCATGGTGGTGTGTGTCTGTAGTCCCAGCTACTCAGGAGGCTGAGGGAGGACGATCACTTGAGCCCAGAAATTCAAGGTTACAGTAAGCTATGATGGCACCACTACACTCCAGCCTGGGCGACAGAGCAAGATCATTTCTTAAAAAGAAAAGGAAAGAGAAGAGAAGAGAAGAGAAGAGAAGAGAAGAGAAGAGAAAACAACTATGTAAGAAATATCTGCTTCAAGTTAGAATTCAGAAAAAATTCATGAAACTAGAAAGAAAAGTAGAAGAAATGGATATCAATTCCCTCAATGTAAGATGAAGACACTTAGGCTAAATGACTGAATTGATTCCTCCATCAAGCTTCTTATAGAGCTAGATCCAGAACCCAGGATTTCTGAAGTACAACCTGTTGTTCTTTCTAGTCTATGACTTGCCACCTTCTTACAATTTTACATAGTCAGGAAATGGTATGGAACTTTAAAGGCTCTTCCAAGAGGAAAGAGAATTGTTTGTATTTAAAAATATATATAATATATATTATATTTTATATTACACATATATCAATGGCAGGTTTTCTTTTCACAAATTGAGAAAAAATTTAGTTCATGTTCAAATACAACATAAAAATAATAAATATAAGCTATTTTAAATGCCTTTATTTTTATCTATTTTTTGATATTACAGTAGTCAGGTACAAGGAAGTTTATTATTACAGGCGATATACTTTCAGTGAAGAGAAAATTGTGTGTATGCTTTATTTTGTATATTGTAGGCAGGGATTTTTAGTGTTTCATTTAAGGGAGGGATTGATAATCCAGGTATTTTTGACTGCCTCTCAGATATTCTTTGTTAAATGTCATTTATTTCTTTAAGAATCCTGTTCAGTCAAATATTTACTTGCTTTTTAACAAATAATAACTCAGGGCCCTTCATTCCTCCTTTTACATTATTATAGAGTAGAATTTCAACAACAGTGAACCTAATTACATAAGTCTTTGTTTTTATCAAAGTTTTTAGTGTTTTGTCAGCCAAAACTCTAAAATATTACAACCAAATATCAGATGGATTTAGTTACAAGCAGTTAGATTTATTTTTTAAGTGTGAATGTATTACTTCTGAATAAAGGAAAGAGCTGATATCGGGGAAGGTAAATTCACCGAAACCTAAGGCAGATAATTCACTGTAGATGGATAATAATTTACTTTTCTATAGCTTTGCTATTTTACAGGGAGGAGCGTGTGACTCTGGTTTATGTGACTTTTCAGCTGTTTCTTCTAAGAATTCCTTTTTTCTTCTCTAAATCTTCTTAAGCTTAAATGTTCTTCCCATGTTTCTTGGAAGTACTTGCAAATTTTATGGAATGCACTTCTTTAAAGCTGCTGCTAGCTAAAAGTCCTAACCCCTACATTTTACCATTTCATTCTATTTTAATTCAGGTATTTGCCCATATTAAAAAACATAACACATTCATTTTTTTTTCTGGGAAGCAACTGTATCCAATTCTTTTTTTTTTTTTTTTTTTTTTTTTGAGACGGAGTCTCGCTCTGTCGCCCAGGCCGGACTGCGGACTGCAGTGGCGCAATCTCGGCTCACTGCAAGCTCCGCTTCCCGGGTTCACGCCATTCTCCTGCCTCAGCCTCCCCAGTAGCTGGGACTACAGGCGCCCGCCACCGCGCCCGGCTAATTTTTTGTATTTTTAGTAGAGACGGGGTTTCACCTTGTTAGCCAGGATGGTCTCGATCTCCTGACCTCATGATCCACCCGCCTCGGCCTCCCAAAGTGCTGGGATTACAGGCGTGAGCCACCGCGCCCGGCCAACTGTATCCAATTCTTAATACACACTCTTTGACAAGTGCAAATGACATTTTATAATCAGATTGAAAATAAATGTTTAATACTTGCTTTGTGTGCTTTTGAGGGAAAAACCGTTTCGATATTTGAGTAATACATTTTTTGTTGATTATCACATTTTGTTCTTAATAGAAAGTTGGTTTTTCTTATAAAGATGTAATTTGATTCTATTAACTTTGTCTTTTTAAATAAGTTATATTTTAAAAACTTGAAGGAAAAGCCCATTTTTATGTATTGCAATCATTTTGTATTTCAAAATCTACTTTGCATATCTTTGTATACTTGAATTAATATAAAAGCTTGATAAAGAGATGAGAATTAATACACTCAACCTGTGAGGAATAAAGTAGTTGTATTGTTGATTTAAGCTTGTTGAATGTGATATCTCAGGATGCTAAAGAGGCAGACCAGCAGGTTTCAGGTGATTAAAGAAAGTCCCTCATCTTGGAGGAACTTGAAGGAACATGTTGCTATTTAAGTGGAATCTAATCAGTAAGAAGAAAAGCTTGGATGTAAAAAGACGGAATGTTTCATGTCATTATTTACAAAGCAACTGAACAAAAGCTTAGCAAGATAATTAAGTGCCTTGATGCTAAGTAGAATTTTTCAAAGCAGGTTGATTAGAGGTCTTCTTCAAGAAAAAAAAATTAAACATCTAAGTACAAATAGTCTAGTTGAAAAGGCTAACTCAGTTACATAGATGGAGACCAGTTTGAAAGAAAAATCACAGTATTGTATATGGTGGCTGATGTTCACAGTGATGCTTTTAATTGCTGAGCAAAATCCCGATCATCCCTGGGTAGTTATAGCACTAAGAGTATTTTACTGTGTTTTAAGTTTTTGAAAACTGAAAATCCGTACAGACTTAATATGCAGTGGCACTGAATGTATTATTCCATTATCTTGGTTACTCCATTTTTCAATTGGTCTGAATAAATAGAATTTGATTCTTTTTCCCGTTGCCTGAAAAAAAAAAAATCAAAAGTAAATATTATCATTCTCAATATAAAATGTTATTTGCAACTGTCAAGCAAAAATTGGATGTCATGTCTTGTATCTGCATTTTGTATTTCAAGACACTCCTGGTGATAACATAAGGAGACTGGCATGCCCAGGATTGTGCTGTGTAAACAAATGCTGGCAAAGCCCTGGCTTCTCTTAAGCAGGTGGTCAGGTCAAAACACTGATGGCAGCATTATAGCTAAAAATGAAAACTAGGAAGTCGTGACCTTAGGACCTACTTTTCTACCAAAGAAAGGAAGCTTGAAGTTAACAAGTTTGTGCCAAACACTTCAGTAGACATATGTTCTTTTTTCAGTGTTCTTTTACTGTGTTAACATTTTAATGACCTCAAGTTTACTTAGTAATGAATACTTTGGGGGCAAACATCCAGTAGCAGATTGCTTCATTTATTACCAATGAATTTATTTATTCAGTCAGTCATTGCAGAGCTTTATCTCTGAAGAACACATTTGAAAAGCTAAACTGATCCTCTGCTCACCTGGCAGTCCACTGTGAGAATATAAAACGAGTAACTATAATACCAATCTACCTGTGGGCAGTTTGCAAAGGCTGATGTCGTGAGTGCCATATATGAGACTCTTTTTGAAATCTAAAACAATAACCCAGCCCAGACATTTTCAGCTAAAGCATATGATCTAAATGCTTGAATTAAAGGAAAAACACTTTGGATTATAGTCCCCATTAGTACTTAAAACACTCTTGGTTTTTTCACTTGTGCTTTGCTTAAGCCAATGTGTCTCAACCTTAGCTGCATATTAGAATTACCTGGAGAACTCTAAAAAATTCTCATGTTCTAGCCACACTCCAGACCAATCAAATCAGAATCTCTGATTGTAGAACTTGAGCATCTATATTTTGTAAATCTCTTTACCTGATTCCAGCGTGGAGCGAAGGTTGACAACCACTGATTTAACCACTTGCAATTTCTTCATTCATTGTATTATTTATTTTTCTTGGCCTTTTAAAAAACACACTGTAGCATGACTTCCTTAATTTAGAATCCTGGGATAGAGTTTCTATTTTAAAATATCCCTTTTATTGGAATTGGACTAAGGAGCATTATAAAAGGCCATCATTTAGGATTTATATTACTTTTACATTATTTAAATATATAAAACTTAGTCACTGTGGTTTGATTTCTGTGGACACTTTGATGGACAGAGTGCATTTTAATATGAGCATTAGACATCTTTTATGCTTTATTTCACATTCTCCCAGCCGACTCTTCCCATCATCCATTGCTGTTGCATCAGCTGAACAGAGATATAACCTGATAACTCCTCACCTTAGCTGTACCTGAAACTGTTTCTTCCTCGGAGGTGTGTTGGCTACTGCTCTTGGGAGTCAGGTAGTCCAGTGCATCCTTATACCTGATTCAGTTCTTGGCCAATATGGGATGGGAGCAGGTAGGAGCATGCTCTTCTTTCTATGTCTCAGGCAGACAGTTCTGAAGTTATTCTACACATTTCCTGATAGCATCCCCAGTAAGATTAAACGTCAGTTGCTCACGTTAGTCACCAGCCCAACTATACACCCTTGGATTGGCTTTCCCCCTTCCTGTTTTACATTTACACTTCCTATCCCATTCAACTCTCATTCTAGTTTTTTGGGAACCACTTCTCTGAATAAACTATCTGTGCACAAGTCCTCATCTCAAGCTCTGCTTTTTTATTTCATACAAGCTAAGACAGTATGAAAGAGAAAAATCATCATAGGCATGTTTTAGTGCATGCTCCCTTCTCTATTGTGTTTTTAAAATCACGTTATTTTTCTACTTAATACATTCAGTTTATCATATTATGATAAGGGACACTTTACTCACAAATCTCGAATGCTGGAAAAGAGCCCTATCCCCATGTTATCTGTTACCATGTTATCCCCATGCTTTCGTCTGCTGCCCTTATTATCCTCTGTGAGTTGGTTGCCTTAAGATCCTCCTCCTGATGTCTCCCAGCAGCGTGACCTAGATTCTTGATCAGTGTCCACACCGAACATTCACTCCAAACTGTGCAGCAAACATTTTATAGACTCAAGCCACATAATAGGTCCATAACATCAGCATAATATTAAATGGAATGGGAGAGATTTTTGCAGAGAGAAAAATGGTGCTAATGCAGTGTGATACACTTGGTGTAGTGGAAAGGCAAGCACTTTACAGTTAGGGTCCCAGTGTAGGGTAATTGTGTCTTCTGTTGCCCAGAAAATAAATACAGTTAAACATATTAATAAGGACCACCCAGATATTTTTTTCCTCCAGCATTGAAACCAATTGCCATTTCTTTGTTGAGCATCAGATGTTTGAAACATATATATGTGACCATTATAATGACATTGTTTGCCATGAGATACTCATATAATAAGAGGCACACAGGAGGAGGCACAGCTCCCAAATCACACTTACTCTGGGGCATACACATCAAGTGAAATTGTGGCAAAAATCCTCTGCACTCTTGATCTTTTCTCTCCGTCTGTCACTTTGTGGCTGAGTGCATGTGGTTGAGTGTGCAGAAGTACTCATGGATGATGCAACTCTCTTGTCTGAGCGTATTTCCAGGCTCAGGAACTAAGGACGTGTGACTGTAGCAGATGACTCTCATGTCTTGTGTTGGATTTCCTTGGCCTCTCTCTAACTTGAGAAACAGCTGCAGTGGACAGTTCTGTGCAAGCTCAGATTCATCTCAAGCTAACAGCATTTCATCTCCAGCATGAGCATGTCTTTTAGCTTCCTGCCCATGGCCTTCTTTTATGTTGCTGGAGTTCCTAACCCACAGACCGTTAGGGGCCAGAATAATGAGGATGTTAATGCCTCAAAGACCACCATCAATCATCAGGGTCCAGAACCTTGAATAAACTCCCCAGCCTCTCATCATTTAGGTGGGCAACCCTGGGAGGCATCTGTACTTTTCTCAGCAGGTCCCAATGGATTCAAGCCCTAGTTTCCCAAAGAAGTAGCCTCAGTAATAGATCTGTATATTGGCCTAATCTTCTTCCCTGTGTCATTCTCCTCACAACTTCAGTCTGCTTCCTGAGATCATCTCCCAAATAAACAACTGATGTCCAGGTTCTTGCCTCAGGCTCTGATTTCAGAGGAACACTAATGAAGAGCGATGTTAGGTCAGTAATGTAATCTCTCTGAGTCAATACTTACTCATCTATGAAACAGGAATATTAAGATCTACCTTAGAAGGTTGTTGAAAGGATTAGATATAATTTATATAATGCATTTATCCCTATCCATGGTACATGACTCACTTTAAACACTGACAGGTGTCTTAAGAGATAGACAAATATAAATAGAAACCTAATTCTAACATGATTTCTATAGAGAAGACGAGAAAGAGACAGAGTGAACAGACCTGAGGTGCTACATGCATGAATACTTGCTACTGGTTTCCTTTTATCTTCCTGAGGCAGTTACCATAGGCATGATCAATCCTCCTCAGAACCAGCCTTTGCCCTTGTGTTACCCGGCATGAGGGTGCCCTACTGTTCTGCTCCTCCTTCCCCTCTCTAGCAAATGCCTCCAGGAATTAGGGATGCAATTTCATTTTCTTAGTTCACTCACCTTTTAACTATGCCCATTACTATTCCATTTTATTCTAACCAATGAATTATATTCTACTTTCATTAAGGGCTTTCCTATCCAGGAAACTCAAGTGGGTCCAAATTTCCCACAAGCACCTCATTTACCCAGCAGCGTTTTGTTTAGAAATTAGCTCTTCTATACATAGGGCATGCCGAGATAACTGAAGCTTATTTATTTAAGTTATGCTTACTTTAGAAATACAAATATTAAAATACACCAATTTTGTATTAAGCTAAAATATAGTAAATGTGGGCTGTGTTTTAGTTAGGGTTGCTATAATAAATACCATCGACTGGGTAGCTTAAACAACAAACATTAATTTGTCACGATTCTGGAGGCTGGGTAACCCAAGATCAAGGTGTGGGCCAATTCAGTTTCTGGTGAGGGCCCTCCCCCTAGTTTGCAGATGGCCATCTTCTTTTTGTATTCTTGCATGGCAGAGAGAAAAAGGGCTATTCTTCTTCTTCTTATAAAGACATTTCATCATGGGGGCTCCAATATTATGACTAAATTACCTCCCAAAGGCCCCACTTCCAAATACCATCACATATAGGGCTTCAACATTTGAAATTTGGTGGGGGGACACATTCAGTCCACAGCATTGAGTGACAAATCTTTAAAAATTGGTGCATCTTTTTAGCCTTCTTTTATATAATTCATTGAGCCTAATTAAAAGTTTTTAAATTTATAATTTAGAGTTATTATACCTAGCAATCCAGTGATACCTAGTTGATGAGAAGTTAAACTAGAAATTATTGTCAGTTCTGTACTAGTTACTTATTAAAGGCTTGTTGAATAAATCATTGAATGATCGAATGAATGATGCATGATTCTTCCCTGGGGTTTCTTCTAACTCTAGAATTGTATGATTCTATGATTAGCAAATCCTTTGGGAACAAATCTTCTTTCAACAAAGTTGGTCTAAGGTCCTCCAGGAAGGTGGAGGTGCCAGTATCCTTAGTTGTGGACTGATGTAATTACAGCTAAGGATCATAGTTTAGTTTCTTTTGTTGGCCTTGCTAGAGCAGCCCAGTTGTGGCTGGGGTAAGGGAACAATAGCTGAGTCCCGAAGTTGACATGCTTTAGCCAGAATTTTTACATAGGCGGAACAGCGTAATTGGAAGGGGATCTAGCAAGTTTGTCTTGGAGCTGGGCATACATAAAAACATATTGTTTTTTACTTAGCACATGTGCTTCTTACTGGAGGTGTTAGGATTTATGAAAATTATGGAGTGCTAACATCTTCCTGATCACACTGTGCTACCAACATAACCCCATTTCCGAAGAGTTAAAATTAAGCCTTTTAGAATCATATGTAAACTATGAGAGTAGGTTCTTACTAAGGGTTTCTGAGGATAGCATAAGAGGAATATTCAGGTGCTTTAGTGCAATGACTTGTTTTAGATATAGATAATTATATAGGTAATCTTTACAGATGTATAACTATATAATATATAATGGGATATATTATATGTATTTTGGCTTTACTTCTTCATTTATAAGATATTTATTGTATATATTTGCTCAGGTAACTACTGCCAATAATCAATAAGTGGGACAGATATGGTTTTGTGACCTCATGAAGTGTACAGAAAAGATTAAATATGTAAGGTGTTCCTATACCAAAGATGGAATCATTTTAAACCTACCATTGCAAAGAAAAATAGTTTTTAAACAAAGCTGTTTTTCAAATACAGGATCTTGGTAGATTAAAAGATTTATGTTGATATTACAATATTGTTAAAGAAAATGCTGAGTTTTAGGTGAGATATTCAAGGTGTGTAGCTTTCTATGTAATTTCCTTAACTTGAACCAACTGTTATTAAGACCTTTTGAGGCCAACCATTTAAACACCACTAGGTAACACAAAAAACAATGATATCTGTGACATTGTATGTATCAAAAATTAAATGTTATAAGGACAACCAGTGCACTAAGTAGGATACACTTGTGATGGCCTTGTTTGTGCTTATTTTCTTGTTTTGTTTTAATTCTTTACATTTTGGAGAAAATAGGAGAAGATTCATGGGTTGGTTACCAAAAGGGAAATGTGAATTAGTGAAGTGAGAAACAATATGTATATTTTCATCTTGCTAAATAAATGTGGTCTCAAGTCTTGTGATGAAGGGCGATGAGATACTACTAAGTGGCTGTGTGTATGTGTGTGTGTGTATGTGTGTGTGTACAATATATCTGTTAGCTCTAATGATGTGTTTGCATATTCTTTGAATAAATGACTCTTTTATATTCTTAGAATGTTCTAGATAGGTTGATTTAATCAGTAACATCTTTCCTTAAGTTTCCTAATTCTAGGGTGCCATGTGAAAAGATGCAGAAGAAAAGTTATGCTTACACAGATGACATTCAGGAATGAATACTTTCTGCTATAACAATAAAAAAGTCCAGTACTAGTTTCAATATCAAAAGACGAAGAGAAATGGTTATTTAGAACTCTGTGCATAGAATACCAATCTGGCTTTCTCTGTAGTTAACTGATTCTGAATAAAGATGGTGATTTGATCAAATTTCAAACATTTTGAATTCCTCAGAATACCCTTAATTGGCACAGTTTTGTTCTTTACACCCTTTGCTTCACTCTTGCTTTACAAAAGTTAGTGAATAAATGAATGATCCATTTAGTCTCCCAAAGTTTTGATATACTACTTTTGTCATATCTAGAATCTCACATATATTGAGGTTTATTTTAGAGGCTTTTGTTCTGTGTCACTGTCCTGGGTCCATATATCAACTCTGGATTCAAATTATTTTAGTTACTATAGCCTCATAATATTTGGAGAGGCTGATAATACCACATTACTCTTCTCTTTCAGAAATTTCCAGGATTTTGACATAATATATTTTTTTTCAGATAAACGTAGAAATTATTTCAAGTTTCAAAATGTATTATTTTCTTGTTTAGTGTATTTTATAATTTAATTTAGAGAAACTAGATTTTTTATAATATCAGGTTTTATTATTCACTAACAACACAGGTTTTCTCATTTCTTTGTGTCTTTTTAATAGCTTTTATAGAACTTTAAAAATTGGCTGCACACCTTTATATTTGTTTCTAGGTGATTACTGGTGTCTATTGATATTGTGATTAAAATGTTTGATTCATTAGATTTTTTACCTTGATATATAGAAATATCATTAAATATTGCATATTCATGTTCTCATACCTTAGCTACTTTGAATTCTTTTTGGTTATACAATTTTTTCAGTTAATATTTTTTAGTTTTCTTGTGAACTATTATATTGTCTGCACTTAATTAGAGCTTCGTCTCATTTTCACAATTTTTCAATGAATTAATTATTATTGTTATATTGGTTAGAATTGAGTTGTTTTATATAGCAGCATATCACTAAATAGGCATTCTTAGTTAAGTTCAGACATAAATAAAAATGCTTTGACATTTCGTCATTAAAAAGGTTTAATCTTTTTAAGTTCCAGGGAGAAATCTTTTTCAGATTAAGTAGATTTATTTTTATTTCTAGGTTATGCAGAGGAGAAATGATTGTTTTATTAAAATGTATAAACAGAATTATTAATACATTTATATAACACATATTAATATACACACATTCCTTCAAATGATTTAATTTAAAGAATTTCATTAGTAAATTTTATAATGTTGGACTATCCCTGCATTTAAAAAAAATAAACCCTACTTGATCATGATACATTAATCTTTTGATGTGTTGCTATATTTTTGCATGCTGTTTTTAAAATTAATTTTAAATTGAGATATAGTTTACATACAATAAAATTCACCCTTTTAGTATATAATTCCATGAATGTTGACAAATGAATACAGTGGTGTTATCAATACCCCTTTAAGTGTGTTGCTTTGATTTGCTAAGATTTATGATTGTAGCTTCTAATTCTGTAAGGGAAAAGGACCATACTTTTCTATTTTCCAATGTTATCTGTCTTTTTCTGGATCTGGTATCAGGCTTATTTTAACTTTATAAAAGGAATTAAGAAGATTTTTATCTATGTATATGTTTAGGAACAGTAAATAACGGGATGATCATCTGTTTCTTAATGATTTTATAGAACCTGCTTCTTCCTAGGAGTAAATCTTTGACCATCCTTTCATTTTCTCCTCATGGTTTTTCCCTCTGGTTTTTAAATCTTCTTGAGCTACTTTTGATTATCTCTATTTTCCTAGAAAATCGTTCATTTAATTTAAATTTTCAGAATTACTGGCAAAAAGTTTAACAATTGTGTACCAATGTATGTTTTTATTTACATTTATCTTGTTCTAATGACATCTGGTTAAGTGTATTTTCTTCTTTACCTTAATAGGTCTTAAAAATTGTTTTACCTATATTTTTAAAGGACAGCTTTACTTTTATAATTAGCTACTCTTTGTCTTGCTATTTAGTTCTTTTCTGGCTTTGTAGTTTTTCTTTTTTTCTCTGTCTGGTAATGTCTTCCACTTACACTGTATTTCTGATGTGGCTGGAGTGCAGTGGCGTGCGATCTCAGCTCACTGCAACTTCCGCCTCCTGGGTTCAAGCACTTCCCTGCCTCAGCCTCCCGAGTAGCTGGGATTACAGATGGGGTTTCACCATCTTGGCCAGTCTTGTCTTGAACTCATGACCTTGTGATACACCTGCCTCGGCCTCCCAAAGTGCTGAGATTACAGGTGTGAGCCACCACTCCTGGCCAAGGCTATATATTATCTACGTTACATGATAAACATTGTACGACATGAGCATGTAGCATTTTATAAAAATATTCATTGACATCATCTCACAGCTTTTGATATGTTTCTTGTCATTAATTTCCAAGTAACTTATAATGCTATTTTTAGTTGCTTTACAAACCAATAATTATTAGACATTTAAAAACATTTTTGAATGATTAAATTATTTTAGAGAGGGGATACATTCTTGTTTTTATATTAATTTTAGTTTAGTCACATTATCTCAGAAAAAAAGTGTCCTGTATGACTTTCTGTTTCTGTATTTGAAATCCCAATTTGAAGATCTTTGTATTCTAACACATGATGTTTAAATTGTATTATTTTTGTTTGAAAATAATGCATTTCAGGATTCATGGATTTTTCTCTTGTTTTATGTATATCTAATGATTAAATCAACTTTGTATTAAGTAAATCTTATAATCACTCAATTTTTTATACACTTGAATGACTAATTTCTGAAAGAGTTGTGCTAAAATCGCTATTCTTTTAAAATGGTGAATTTCTCCTTTTTTCTATCTGTTATTGCTTTATCAGTTTTTGAAGCAGTGTTAGCATAACATCTCAATAAGTGAGCAATTTACTATATAATTATTTGGTTATAAGTTTTGTCAAAACATCTTTCTTGGTTTCATTTTATGCTTTTTACATTGAATTCTATTACATTTGGTAGCAATGTTGCCATTTATACTTGCTTTTTGTTATCCTTGTCTGTTATACTATTATATTTTCCAGTTTTAACGTTTCTGTAGCATTTAGTTACATATGTAGCTCTAGCCATTCTGAGAGTTGCTATGTTTTAATAACATAATTTAAACCATTTATATTTATTATAATGACTGAAATGTTTATACTTATTCATGACATTATATTGTTGGTTTTCTCTATACTGTTTTCCTCTCTTTGGCTGTATTAGACGTGGCTAGCCAGATGCCTGATTAAGCTGAAAATCCAGGTAAAATCTATTTTAAATTCAGAGAGAAAAGTTCTAACCCCAACCAGCTGGAAAATGGTACATCTGTGTGCAGTTCACTAAATGCTACATACTGCTGTATGGCATGAATTCTGCAGCACTTTATAAAAATATGCCGTTCTCATATACAAAGGTGAACTTACTGACCCTTCCATCTGTGAGACATGTGCTTTGAGCTGCTTTTGATATGTTGGTGAAGTGTTATATTGAGCCATGGCATACATTTGTATTATAGCTTCTTGGGGTTAGAATTTAAAACTGTGGATATTAGACAGTTTTTTCTCTCTCTAGCTCTAAAAAGAATTATATTTTTAATATTTAATAATCTATATCTTTTGGTAACTCTTGAGCTATTTTGACTACATTAAGGTGGTCATACATATGTTACCCAAACTGGAATGCTTTTGATCATGAAAAGTGACACTGTTAATAATTCATGCTGGATAAACACATATGAACTGGGACCATCTAGGGCAAAATGGAATATAGAGCTGTCCTAACCTTACTAGTTAGAGGAAAGAGATCATAGGTATAACATAAATGAAAATTTGTACTGTCACTCATTTACCCATAAAAATACTTACTAGGTAAGGTGGTAGGCAGAACATTCAGCCTGGGTTTAGAGGTTTGTGGGGCAGTAAGATTTGAATTAAAGAAGAGATTATGATGCTGTGGCATGGCTTAGGTAGGACACATTCAAACTCCTAGCCTACCCCGTACACTTGAGTAGCTGTCAGGGTGAAACTGCAAACAGATACCTTCAGAAAAGAACATACAAATCCAGATTTATCCATTTTGCATACTATTTTACTCATTTGTCTGTTATTTACTTATTGTGGTCATGTTACTATTTTTCCCGTATCTGTATATTTTAATAATTATCTTATATTGAATGACCCTGCTTGCCCAGTTTTTCTCTTTTCTCTACTGTAAGCAACATAAAAGAAAATATTTCATTTTATTTGTATTTTCTGCTCTTAACTATAATATTTTGCGTATTTAGATGTGAGAAAATGTAATACTGTCAGGTCATTTCTTAAAGTATGGCCTTGTGTGATCCTAAAACATTACTGAGATAGTTTAAGTTTCAGGTAAATGGTGGATGATTGTTACAATCAGTATTACTCAATATATTAAGTCCACATTAGGTCTCAAAATCTTAGGTCTGCATTTGATTTTAGAGACATACATTATGGTGTGAGTCATTTTTCTATAAATCAGGTAAAAAATAGATACATTTTGATGTTATACGAAACTGTATTTTTCTACCATAGCAGTTACTAAATATACAAATGATATCCTTCAAGAAAGAAATGATAAAACTGTTTTAAATTCTTTTATGAGTGTATTTTAATTATAATCTACATATAATGTTAATAGTTTTCTTATTTGATTAGAGGAAAATTTTTTGGGCTAAACTTTATTTTATTTTGAATAGTTTAGTGCCATTGAGCTTCTTTCTGTATGTATTACAAATTTAATACATTTAATCCATTTTCTCCCTCATTGCTTTCTTTCCCAAAAGGACACAAGGCTGTTAACATAATTATTTGGTCTGGAGATGTCAGAGGCTTCGCTCAAATTATTATATATCAACTTTATTTGCTCTCTCTTATTCTGTATAGTTTTCTTTTTGTAAATTACGTAGTATAGCTAGATTGGCTCCCTGTAAATATATCTCATAGCACAAGAAATTTAAAATATTTCCAGCAATGCCTGTTTTAAAAGCGATTTCAGCTGCACCTGTGCTTAAATCTGGCCACCTCTAGTTCAGAGCAATATTCAAACACCAAAAGCCAATGATGAACTGGACATTACTACCCCATGTCTACAAAGGAAGAACATTAACTTAACATAGTGTGGTGTCTAGAAGAAAATGTACAGCCTCATAAAGTTTGAGGAGACGTTTTTATGCACTTTAAGCTTCAGTGTAATACCTTTATAAGACAGGTTCTGCAGAGAGGGGCAATATTATCTTCTCAGGCTAGCTAGTATTACAACACACTTTCGCTGTAATAGTCAAACAAACCTTTATTGAAAGCCAACCATATACCAAGCAGTGTTCTGGGAATTCTGGAAAAATATAAAAATATGAAATAATTTGAGATCATGTAATTATGTAATGAGTGAGAATACATTTAAGTGCTACAGTACTTCCAAGAAGGGAGAGTTTAGTACTTGATCAAGAAATTTAGACTGAATGTGAAGGTGACAGGAAATCATTGGGCAGAGAGGAGAAAAGAAGATATGCTGGATAGAGAGGACTGCAGTGGAAGGACATGGCAAATAGGAATGCAGAGGGCATGACTAGACATGCATTTGTGTTCACTAGAAATTACAGTTAATGGATTTGGATAGGAAGGGTTTATTTGGAGTTCCTCGAGAACAAAACTAAAAAAATATATACACGATATGGTTAATAGAAGGCAGTCATGAAGGATTTTTGAATGAGAAGGTTACATGAAACTATCTGTATTTTAGAAAGTTAAATATGACTATGCCATCTGTAAGCTAGATTGGAAGAAGCAGCTCAAGGATAGTAGTTAACAACATAGTTGTTAAGTTTTAGGAACTTTTGGGCATTTGATTTGGTCCGCTAGAAGAAAGGAACATTATTGCAAAGAGGAAATGCATATTCCTTAGTGTCTCTGGGTTTGTTTGTTTGTTTTTCTGAGACACAATCTTGTTCTGTCTCCCAGGCTGAAGTGCAGTGGCGTGATTACAGCTCACTGCAGCCTTGACCTCCTGGGCTCAAGTGATCCTCCTGCCTCAGCCTCCCAAGTAGCTGGGACCACAGGCGCAGGCCACCATGACTGGCTAACTTTTTAAAAAAGATTTTTGTAGCGACAGGGCCTTGCCATGTTTCCCAGGCTAGTCTGGGTATTGTAAGTTCTCACTTTGGAGATTGATTGGTTTTATTGGTCTGCATAGGGATCATTTATTAGCAGTAGCTACAGGAGGTCCATCTCAATGTTATTAGGTTACATTTTCTGTACTGTAAGCAATATAAAAGAAAATATTTCATTTTATTTGTATTTTCTGCTCTTAACTATAATATTTTACATATTTAGATGTGAGAAAATGTAATGCTGTCAGGTCATTTCTTAAAGTATGGCCTTGTGTGATCCTAAAACATTACTGAGATAGTTTAAGTTTCAGGTAAATGGTGGATGATTGTTACAATCAGTATTACTCAATATATTAAGTCTACATTAGGCCTCAAAATCTTAGGTCTGCATTTGATTTTAGACACATATATTATGCTGTGAGTCATTTTTCTATAAATCAGGTAAAATGTAGGTACATCTTGATGTTATACGAAACTGTATTTTTCTACCATAGCAGTTACTAAATATACAAATGATATCCTTCAAGAAAGAAATGATAAAACTTTTAAATTCTTTTATGAGTGTGTTTTTATCTTAATCTACATATACTGTTAATAGTTTTCTTATTCGATTAGAGGAAATTTTTTTGGGCTAAGTTTCCTATAAAAGGCAGATGTTTTTAAGAGTACAGATTGTGTATAATAATGAAATGTATCTGTGCAAGTAACATTCTGATTTGTACTTTAATTGCTGTTTATATACAGTGTGAATTAAGAATAAAACAGTGAGGTGAGGGAGGGAAGAAGGAATGAGGAATATAATTAGCATACTCAGTAGTTTGGAAATGTAACTGTTTTAATTAACAGCTTTGTGGTGGCAAAACAAACGTGCTTTGGGAAAGCTAAGAATAACTAGGATTGTGGCATCCTCCTTGGGAAAAAGTTGTTTATAATCTTAATGTTTTATTTCCTTTTGGCTGACAGACAAAAGAAAACAAAGTATATGAAATATTTGTGTCAGAAGATATTTATATGTTCAGTTTTACCAATTTTATGCATTATTAAAAAGATATTTACTTATTAATTCAACTAAATGCCAAGCATACTACTTCTACTAATATTAACCTTTGTCTTTGTATCCTTCCAGAATTGCATTTATATATTTATAAGAATATGTATATAGAGTCTATTTATTCATATTTTTAAAAAAGTGATCACATTGAAATCATGTTGTTTTGAAAATTGTCTTTTACTTAACTAGACATTAAGAATTTAGAATTGTTTACTTGCATGAATGGGTCTGATTGTCAGGTGATTTTTCAGTTCAATATTTGTCCTTCCCTTTGTCTAAAATGGTCTTGATTTACATTTCTTAGCTCTAGGCATGACTAGTAGATAGGGCTAGAAAACAGGCTTTCAGAGACTAAGACTCTCAAACAGATAAATAAATATACTAAATGAGACATGGTAAGTGCTGTTAAAGACATGCCAATGAAGATAGTAGGAGTACAAAGGAGGAGAAACTAACTTTGCCTCAGGGAGTTGTAAGGAACTGCAAGGACCTTCTGCTGACTTTTCCTCTACCCTCTTCAACCTGGTTCTTCACCTCTGCAGTTTGTTTTCTCTGTTTTCTCCTGCCTAATACTCACTCATCTGTGATCTTTTCCCTTATATTTTCTCTCACTTAATTGGCATTGGTCCACTTCTTTTAAATGAAAAAAGAAGATATTTAGAAATTACAAGGCATTTATGGTTTATTAAAATATGGAAAATGCTTTTTTTAGAATAAAAACTAATATAACACTTCCTACTCCTTTGTCATAATCAAATAGATACGTTAAAATTGTATTAATTTTTTAAAATTTTCCCTATCTGCAAATATGTGGTGTCCATCACAATCTAAGTAAGACCATCTAAAAGTAAACCTTAATATAACATATTTTTTCATCTCTTCTTTAAAATAAATACATATGCAATATATTATTTGTTGTGGTTAAGTTAGAAAATACAAAGAAGACTGGGCGCGGTGGCTCACGCCTGTAATCCCAGCACTCTGGGAGGCCAAGGCAGGCGGATCATGAGGTCAGGAGTTTGAGACCAGCCTGGCCAATATGGTGAAACCCTGTCTCTATTAAAAATACAAAAATTAGCCGGGCATGGTAGGGTGTACCTATAGACCCAGATACTCGGGATGCTGAGGCAGGAGAATCGCTTGAACCCGGGAAGCGGAGGTTGCAGTGAGCTGAGATTGCACCACTGCACTCCAGCCTGGATGAAAGAGCGAGACTCCATCTCAAAAAACAAACAAACAAAAACTAAATAAATAAGAAAAGTTATCAACCCCAAATTTCACTGCCATTATTTCACCATACACTTTTCCTGTCTTTTTTTCCCCCTCTGGTATAAATATATACATAGAAATACTAACAACAAACACATTTGCATAAAAATGGGTCAAACCATATGTACTGTTTTATATTCAGCTTTGTTCACTCATTCAACAATCAAATAAACAACTCACAATCAAATAAACATCTCATTAGTAATTGCACAGTTGTCTTCATTTTTAATGATAGTGTTGTAGGACTCTCTCCTTAGTTCAGCTAAAAGCCCGGGGGTCCTTGTCACAGGGCCATGAAAAATTAGGCGTGCAGACAATTTGAAGGGTGAGCACGGTGGGGTTTATTGGACGAAAAGGAAAAAAATACACAGTGACTCTCCACAAAGCCAGAGTTCTGCTAGTGCACTTCCTGCCTGGCAGACTGAACCCCTGTACCACCTAGGAAGAAGAGGGGCCAGCCTCGTCCCCGCTGCAAACAACGCGAACTTCTGTGGCTCCATCCCAGTGTGTACTCCTCCCAGTGTGTAGCAGGTCAGTTGCAGTTTTTAGTTTTTCCCGGGAACCCCCTTACACTTGGCTGTCTCAATAACATAGCTTTCTACTCTGTGACTATATAAAATTTCTTTAACCCCTCCATATTTGGTTACGTTTCTAATCACTGACCGAATTAGTAACATCTTTGTCAAGACAGCTTTGCATGTATGTCGAGTCGAATTTTCTCTTCAGGATAAATTACTAGACACAGAAGCTCTTTGTCAAATGTTACGCACTTTTGAAGGTTCTTACTACACATTGTCGAATTGCCTCCCATGTTTTGCCTACGTATATGCTGACTAGCTGTTAAAATACTGTTCTGTTGAAAGACATTTATGCATATATGTAATCTTTATATTGTATACCGGAACCAAATTAAATAATTGAATTCTATACAAAACATATATATTATTTTGATTCTTTTTCACAGTTAAATGGTCCCAATAACGAGGAACATTCCTATACTTTACTTCAGAGAGGAGTTTCTGTCTTCTTGTAAATTTCCCATCAAAATGCAAATACATTGCTTGAATGGGTTTAATATTAGTGGATCTTTTTGGCTTTCCTATTTATGTGTTTCCACACATACACCCACACACATTTATATATATATATGTAATTTTTTTATTTTTTAGACGGAGTCGCCCTCTGTGGCCCAGGCTGGAGTGCAGTGGCACGATCTCGGCTCACTGCAAGCTCCGCCTCCCGGGTTCACGCCATTCTCCTGCCTCAGCCTCCCGAGTAGCTGGGACTACATACAGGCGCCCGCCACCAAGCCCGGCTGATTTTTTGTATTTTTTAGTAGAGACGGGGTTTCACCGTGTTAGCCAGGATGGCCTCAATCTCCTGACCTTGTGATCCTCCCGCCTCGGCCTCCCAAAGTGCTGGGATTACAGGCGTGAGCCACCGTGCCCAGCCCATATATATGTAATTTTTTAAACATATATATATATATATATATATGCTTTTTCTGAAGGAATGAGCACTTATGACTTAACTAAAATATTTTTGAGGACTAATTTTTTTGAATGCATTTTTTTCTGTCAATTACTCATAAAATTTATTATTATGGCCTTTTTAAAATGGAGCTTTTGTCTTTCTTCAGTACTTTTATCTACTTATTCTATTTAACAATAACTTACCAAAATATTATGTTTACTTATTCACTTTTATTGCTATACTTACACTTTTAGAAGTAGCAGAGTATAAAGAAATGGAATCTGAAGAGCCAGTTTTGATTCCTTGATATTACACCTGCTAGCTTGTGACTTTAGACAAGTTGCTCAACTTCTTTGAGATTAAGTTTGCCCATCTGTACCATGGAGTTAATAACACCTACCTCATTGTTTTGCCTTAAGAATCAAATGAAGTATGTTTGTACATGGGGTTTGTAATCTGTAAAGGCCTTCACAAGATGCAGCCTGTTATCATTTGAACATTTCATATCCAGAATTACTTCTATTGTGTAAATTATTATGATTGGAAATTTGATGTTAAGTATCAAAATTTTAAACATCACTACACTGAAATTTTAAAATGAAGTGTCATCTTTTCAAAATGACCGTTTTATCTTACAAATATCATTTGCAAATAATTTCTCCCTTATTAACTTTTATTGTAGATAAAAGATATATTTTATTGATGAATATTTTAAAAAGCATAAAGCCATTATATTTGAGGAACAATTTTTACATTCTTATTTCCTTTCTGAGGATGTAAGTGATGAATTCTTGATGAAATAGTATCAGTATTGCTTACATACAGTGGATATATTTTCATTACTGTATAAATAAATTACTACATAAATATTTGTTTGAAACCAAATACATCTTATGTGGGAATGAAGGCAGTTTGTTGTTCTTGGCTTCCCATCTCTGCCCAAAACCATTTCTTAATCTCTTAATTTCTAAATACAATAGTGTTTTTGAAGAAATATACAGGGAAGAGTGCTCAAAGAGTGAGTTGACTTGGAAGTGTTTATTTAGTCCTCAAAAACATGTGCAAAATATCAAGAAACTTTGTCATCTTCAAATCTGGAATCATTTTAGAAGATCTGCTTTGAAAATTAAGCTTCTAACATTAAGAAACTGGCTTATCCAACTATCTTGTTTCAAGGAAAATAGAGGAGGCTAGTTGGCTGAAATGAAATCTGGTTCATTATTCACTAGCCTTAGGGATAATCACATTTAGGGGAAAGGCTATAATTAGCTCAACTTGCCTTTTACCTCATGTGTGGCAAAATCTAATTGTTTCTTCTTTCCTTTTCCTTTTTTTGGTAAAGTCTCCTAATATTGTTCTCAACTTATAAATTTCAGATTTCCAAAATATTAATAAAAAATAGAGTTGTTTGCAATAATTAAACAATATATATTGACATGAACATAGATTCAAAAATTTGTATCTTTAAAATTTATACTTTGGTGCTGTTGATTGAACTTCTCATTATACTCAGTTATTTATTGTACTATGGCTCTTTGTTCAACTGTGAGTAATTAAAAATATAATCTTACAAAGATCTCCAACATAAACAAATCTGTGCTTCTCTACCTTTGTTTGCCTTCTTACAGCCTCCAGAAAGGACTGGGTTTGGAAGTTTATTTTAATTAGAGTTTAAGAGTAATGAACATTAATTACAGTCAAACATATGGACATTCCCAGAAGCATTTCTACAAGCACTATGTTCATTGGCAGACTCACGCAAACTTCATGATCATATTAAAAATTCTTCCTGCTTAAGACCATTTTGCTTAGGCATGTGCAAGTTTCCCTCGTATTTTTTCTGATATTTGTGGTTTAAAATGTAAAACAAAAGTTTTATCTTCTTTCCTTTTATATATTTTTATATTTGCAGTAACCATTTTTCCAGAAGTATTTATCTATCTTTCAGGTTTTTTAATTGACCTTCATTATGAACATTCTAATATTTCTGCTATTATTTCAGGAGAGTTGAATAACTAGGAATTGTAGTTCCTACAGTCTATGATTTTTAAAAATAGAGATGGTAATATAGAATATAATTTTATTCTCGTAATATGATTTTTTATGCCCCGTGCATAAGTATATCTTGTTTATATTTTGCATTCCTAATCCTTCATATTGATTTAGCCAACATTTCTCTTAGGAAACTAAGTATATTAATTGATTTACATGTTAATTAAGTAATTTTCACTAGGTGTACTTACTGTGAAAATGTAAAATTTATTTGCTGTGAAGCTTTCCCAATAGCCTAAGTGTATACAAGAAATGTAGTAGGGAGC
This sequence comes from Homo sapiens, assembly GCF_000001405.40. Taxonomy (NCBI): domain Eukaryota; kingdom Metazoa; phylum Chordata; class Mammalia; order Primates; family Hominidae; genus Homo; species Homo sapiens. Next base: position 14,598,729 of record NC_000020.11, read on the forward strand.
AGTTTGAGAATTTGGAAAGCCTTTAATGGAGGCTGTCAGACTTCCTTTTGCCCTGCAATTTCACATTATATGTGTTCTCCATGGTGCTATGACATATGCCACAAATCTTGGGCTAGATTCGAAGATGAAGAATTATATCATGTAAATCATCAGTTTGATAGAAGAGTTATACTCGAAGCACATCTTAATTATCTTTATATTATAATTATATGAATAAGATAAGATTTGGATATTGGCTATATTTACATAGATATAAATGGGGATACTATATTGATTTATACATTTTGGTGAGAAGAATATGTATTTCTGTTAAAGTTACCAAAAGGTGTCTGGGTATGTCAGGGTGAGGCATTAACCATCTAGCAGGGATACAGGTACACCCAAGTAGTTATAAATGTATATATTAAGTATATAAGTATGTATTAAGTACAGTAATAAAAATATTTTTAAAAAACTGTAGAAGGTGGAGGAAAGGATGTAGGGGGCAAAGCCTGGGATGCAAAGGCTTCCAGGAGAGAGGGCACTTCTGTTGTGCCCTATTAAAATGCATGGTAAGTACTGTTAAAGCGTTGAGGACAGGAGTGATGAGGAAGTGGGGAGTTAGCTTTTGGTGGGAGATAGGAGAATGATTATCAGAAGATGGTGCATGATTGGGACTTTGGAGGATGGGTAGAATTCTGAAAGACATCAGTGGAGTAAAGGATATCCGGGTAGTCAAGTAGCAGGAGCAAAGCCAAAAATGTGAGAACATGCTGAACATTTCTGTAATACTCCTGTTTGGCTGTGAAGTATGTAAGAGGGAGATAATGCTGGAAAAATAGGTAGAGACTGGATTGAGGGGAGCCTAAAATGTTAAACTGAGCTGCTGGACTCCCATTTGTAGGAAGTTTTTCAGCAGCAGTGCGTAGGATGGCTTAGAAGGTAGAGAGATTGGAAGCACAGCCATGTGCTGTGTGTCAGGAGGCAGTAATTGGATTCTAACAGTGAGGGGCAGATTTAATAAAGCCCTGAATAGGGCAGACAGTGACAGAAGTAATGGGAAGGTGGGAACAGATGCAAGAGGCATTGTGGATGAGGAATTGACAAGACTTGGCAATGCCTCACATAGGGAGGCGGACAGGGGAGGATTTCAGGATGAGCTGAGGTTTTGAGCCCATGCGATGTGGAGGAGGGTGGCACTGGCAACTGAGATAGCTATCACTGAGTAGGAACAGGACTGTGAATTGAATTAAGGTGGTGAAAGGACATAGAGGTTGACATTTTCAGCAGTCACTAGGAATTAAGAGGCTAGAGTATAGGAGAACTCAGCTACTGAGTCCACCACACTGCTGGATAGTGCTGCCATGATAGGAAATTAATATTTTCAGGAACAAATGATTAAAGTTTTGAAAATGTGGCAAGGCCGTCATCATCAATGCAATGCACACAAAAAAACTGGATGTGACTAATCGGATGTCAGTCAAATCACTTAATCTTTCAACAGCTTAATTTTCTTAGCTATAAAATAGGAAAAACAGAACCAGTTTTGTATCCATCTCCTAAATTCCAGGATTATATTAAAGCTATTGCTTTGGTAAAAAGTATGTAATATGCAGCTACATATATATATATATATACACACACACACACACACACACAAATATATATACTATATATACACATATATATTAGTTTATTATATTGAGAGAACTCCAGAAAGAAAAAAAATACAGTTAATGTTTTACTTTCTTTAATTGTACATTGTAAGATATTGCAGATACAAAAATTTTTAAAAAGAATTAATTTTTATTGGGCTCTTACTCTGTGATAGGCACAATTCTATGTACTGTTCAAATGTTAATTTAGTCTTTTAATTAACACCAAGACATTGTATTATTTTCATTTTACAGGTGAGGAAACCAAGGCTCAGAGAAATTAAATGACATTTATAAAGCTAGGATTTGAACGCAGGCACACAGACTCCAGAGCCAAGGCACCTAAACGTTAGTTCATGTTGCCTCACACTGAGTAAACATCTGCTCCTGAGCAGGCTTTATTTTGTCATTGCATTTGTATTAGTGTGGCCTTCCCTGGTACTCTCTTATTTCTAAAACTCTTGCAGCCCAGGTATACTGTCTTTGCTTTAATGCACATTGCATTTCTTTGCTCTGAAGGTAAATTGGTTGAGGGCTTGTCTCATGTATTATATAGAAAATTCCATGGCATAGAGAGAGAGCACAGGCTTTGCATTTAGTCCAAATGCTTGCTTTAAATGGAAGCCTCTGTCTTGTTGACTATGAGACCTTGGGGAAGTGTCTTACCACCCTGAATCCCGGTTCTCATCTGTAAACACTGAGTTATAGAGAGTTAAATCACATAATATATATATATAAAGCCTACAGCATCTGGCTCCTAAAAGTCAAGCACCAGGGCTGACTTATCCCTTCAGCACAGTAGGCACAGTGTTGAGCAGTGGTCCCCAACCTTCTGGCACCCGGGACCGGTTTTGTGGAAGACAATTTTTTCCATGGTGTTTGGGAGTGGGAGATGTTTTCTGGATGATCATCAGGCATTAGATTCTCATAAGGAGCATGCAACCTAGATCCCTCACATGTGCAGTTCACAATAGGGTTAGTGCTCCTATGAAAATCTAATGCCACCGGGGATATGACAGGAGGCGGTGCTCAGGTGGTAAGGCTTACTGGCCATTCACCTTCTGCTGTGGGGCTGGGTTCCTAACCAGGGTACTGGGGTTGGGGACCCCTGGTATAGATAAGCCACAATACTTTTAGGAACCCAAAAAATGTTTTAGTCCAAAACAGTATTTTTTTTTTAATATCAGAAGGGAAAAAACAAACTTTCAGGTTAAATAAATTGTTGAATATATGATACTATTATATTCATGTTCATGCCAATACAATTGTAAAATATAATTTTCTTATTTCTTTTTTAATGGAGGAAGGGGCCCACAGTGGCAAAAAGTACCTCAGGGCCGTGAAAGTCATAACTTAGCACTGGAAATCACTCCTTACTTAGGTTCTTTAAACCTCTTCTGGTGTCTAGGTCATAATGTTTTCTTCATGCATTTTGTTGATTCATTAGCCAACTAATTTCTAGCTTATGTCAATTAAAATAAAACTGACCTTTGTTCCCTCATACAATAAGATTTTTCTAACACCCCCTTCCTAAATAGTTAATTTCCTTTTCTGGGTTACTTCTGTACCATATGATTAAGCATCTCGCACCATATATAAACTATTTATTTGCACGTCTATTTCTCCTCCTTGACGCTCAAAGCTTCTTGAGAACATGGATCATGTCGTAGTGATGCAGGACTTCTGCTCCTTACTTCAGCTAAATCTGATTTCCTGTCTCACGACCAGGAAAAATTAGGCATGTGGACACATTGAAGGGTGAGGAGGGCAGAATTTATTGAGTGAAAGGAAAGCTCTCAGCAAAGAGAGGGGTTCTGTAAAGCAGGTCTGCCCCTCACAATGAAGTACCAGCACATGAACCGAAGAGGCCAGGCTCCTCCCTTGCATGAGGCACAAATTCCTGGTGGCTGCACCCTATCCTGAGGTACTGTTTGCACATGCAGGCCCTTAGTCTGAGCCACATTGATTTATTTCCCTTACTGCGCATGTGTTAAGGGATGGACTTTTTCACCGTGGGCATGTTTAGTCAAACCCTCTGTGCACAATGACCCGGTGGGTCGGAACCTCTGGGGACTCTTCCCTATCTGCCTAGGTATTTGGCCGTCTCCTTGCCTCTATCAGTAGCCACTGCTATGTCCTCAGTAACTGGCAGAATACATGACATTTAGAAAGTCAGTCATGAAAGTTAGGTGAATTAAATTGATTCTGTTTGGAACACTGACATTTTATTGCCAGCCATAGGCTAATTCGTGTTTGTAAATGTGCTCTGTAACTAAGATTTCACCTAAAACTTTATGTATCTGAAGTGAAAAGTTGTCATCTATCCTGCAATATTATCTCCTCTTTATAAGTTTTCTATACTGTTCAGCATTCTTCCCTACCAGCCCAATTATTTCTTAAAAATTGAAAAGTTAAATAAATTAGTTTGTCAAGACATCTTCCCCTTCTTGCTGAATTAATTTAATTAACAAAGGGCCTGTCAAAATAGCCAAGGCCTTTGATGTCTGCATGTATGGATTCCAGTATTATAAATGATTCTGTGTCCCTCTGACCTAATGGGAATACAGTGTAAGGGTAAGAAATGAGCCTTAATTCCTCAGTACCAAAGAGAGACCAGCATTACCCAATTACATCTAGGAGACAACAAATATCACCACTAGGATTTAAGTATCTAGCTTTATGGATGGAGCAGAACACATAATAAATTATTAGGAAATTGGTTGCTGATTAGTTTGCACCATATAGTTGGTTTTTTTAAGAGACTGTAAAGTGTTACTTTGTTTTTCATTTATTTTTATCTCTCCCATTCTCTGATTTATAACTTTCTCAGGCTTGAAGAGTTTTTACATCTTAATAGCTTGTTATATACAGAAAAGTGAAGCACTAGAGTGGGGAGGAACTGTGTGCAGTTTGGACAATTGTGGATGATGGTACCAATTACATCACAGAAGTTGGAGGAAAGAGTAATTTTTGTTCTTACTCAAGTCTGGTAGTGCACAATAGCCTGTAACAGGGCTGGCTACTGGTAGAGATTATTTTTCATTCTTAATATCTCTGAAAAAAAGAAGTGGCTGGATTTAGCAGAGGAAAATCAGTGTATGCTCATGTATAGAGATTGAAAGTTCACAATTTTGGCATGGTCTAATACTTGGAATTTCATTTTTATTAAATAGGTTCTTCTAAAGTTGTTCAAATTCTTAATTATAAAGGAAGGATGGTTGGTAAGAAAAATGGGTAATGATTAACTTGATGTGAAGTTTTAGGGGATGATTTTCTCACTTTAGTAATAACAATGACAGTACCTATTATAGACATGACATTTTTCAATGTTTTCACAGGCATTATTTCTTTTGATGCTCTAACAGGAGAGTTTTATTGTCATCAATATTTCACAGATGAGGAAATTGAGCTACATGGACTTTAAGTGATTTAGACAAGATCTTATACTTAGTCTGGCAGTATTAGGACCAATCTGGGTATTATTCTTATTTAAAATCTCATATTATTCATGCCTTCCTTGCTTCTAAGCTCTTTAGTTCAGTAAGATCTAATCACAGGCCGGCCTCCTGCTACAATTGGAAGGCAATTCAAAACAAGCTTTCTCTGACCCTTTCCAATCTCGCTTCCCTCAGATTCCTCATTCACCTTCATTGGCCACTTGGACCTTAATCGATGCTTTTGCTCCCTCTGACTTGGGTGTTACATGTGGTCTGTCCCTTATTTGGGTTTGGTCTGAAAACATATTTGTCTTATTTTGTCGAATTAACTACTCAATTATATACCAGAACAGCAGGAAGTTTAGTTTCTCTTTCCTAAGGTTTTTCCTCTTCTCCTTAATTATTCAAGAATCCTGAAGTTTGCTAAATCCAAAGGAACCATTCTGCCTTCTAACTGCCAAGCAGAGAGCAAATTTCACTTGAGCCATTGGCTCCTACTATTGCTTCCAACTGTCACACAGTGTTGCTATGGTATATTTATCTTGCACACTACCATAGCTAATATTTATTCACTATTGATTTTTTTGCTCTTGTGGGTATAGGTCCCTTATTATCTTACAGGCATACTCCACATTGAGTGCCATGATTACAAGTCTTTCAATTCACATTTCCAGGTCCAATCATTATTTCCCAAACTAGGATAGCATTGTGGCAGGTGGCTGCGTTTAGAAGGGCTTTCTGCATAAGCCTCAGGCTGGAATCATCTCTCATCCTCAAAAACATCCGTGTGTCTAAACCCAAGATTCCAGTTGGTATTCTCCCTTTCCTTAAGGCATTTTATTTCAGTATTTTATTGCTCTTTCCTCCAACAGGGATTTGGAAGAGGTCATCTTTATCCATCTTGATAGGTCTCCCAAAGTTTAAATTTTAGGGAGCAAGACCAGAGTCCTTCTTCCAGGAGGATCAGGGAACTCAGCAAATGGCATCTTTGGTTGTCTTCCAAATTCTTTTTCTCGCTTCTTCAAGGAAGAAGATCCCCTCATACTTCATATTCACATGACTAAGAAGATACCTTCAAGGGGCCAGGAAAATAAATGTCTTTATGTATGGAAAGGCTGGTACAATTTTAAAATAAATTCCCATTGGGCATTCTACTTAATCTCTTTGAACATGCCTACATCACACTTATGTTTGCATAATGCTCTATACAGTTTGCACTTGTATATTTGACTCTTACAAAATGCAGTGAAGTAGCTATAACACTTTAATCTCTTCAATTCTAGGTAGAAAGATTAAAACCTATGAAGTTAGACTTGTTCCAGATAGCTAGTAAAGGGATATATTAGTTTCCTGGTGCTGTTGTAACAAAGTACCACAAACTAGGTGGCATCAACGACAGAAATGTATTGTTTCACCGCTTTGGAGGAGTCTGAAACCAAGGTGTTGGCAGGTTTGGTTCCTTCTGAGAACTGTGAGGGAGAATCTGTTCCATGCTGGTCCCCTTGCTCCTGGTAGCCTGAGGAGTTCCTTTGGCTCGTAGATGGTGTTCTCCCTATACTGTAACATAGTCTTCCCTCTATACCTGCTCAGGTGTCCAAATGCCCCTTTTTATAAGGACATCAGTCATATTGGATTAGGACCCATTCTAATGACCTCATTTTAACATGATCATTGGCAAAGACATTATTTCCGAATAAGGTCCCACTCGTAGGTGCTGATGGTTAGGACTTCAGTGTCTTTTATGGGCAACAAAGTTCAACCCACACTATAAGTTAGGTTTTCTAACCCTAACTGTCACAAGATTTTCACTATATACTGGAGTCTCTTGTAATCTAAAATTTTTTCAATCACTGTTAAAGCATTTGTTAGGAATACACTTAATTGTTATTGATTTAATGGCTCCTGATTCTTTTACAGGATTTTTTTGTTGTTTTTAAAATTTCTTTTTAAAGAATTCTCAACTGAATCTTGACTTATTGTTTTATGATAATCAATTTTCTAAGAGTTACTTCTCAAAATCCTTGAGATACATTAAAAAAAATGGTTAGGCTTTTAAAGAAAAGCCAATAGAGATGTAACACCTGTTAGGAAATGCAGATTATAATTGTAATGTAAATGTAATTATACGTGTAAAATTTTTTGTGTCTAGTAATATTACCCAGGGATAATAGAATGAAAAATTTATTCACTGTTGCTTGGTTGCTCTTGTGTATATAAATCCCCTTTCAGCTCACAGGGATACCCTATGTGTAAAGAATTTTAAAGTTGTAAAATAGAATGGGCGCTTGTTACTATTTATAAGCATGGCATGGAATAATACTGAGATGTTTCCTACATTTGAAAAAAATGAATTTAACTGTCATTATCTTTTCTATATCCATTTAATATTCATTAGTACAGTAGTTTGAAAAGTGGGCTTTAGAGTAAGAAAAACAAATGTGGCTGCATCTCAACTGTGCTGTTATTGTATGAGTGACCTTTAGCAAGTAGTTTAACTTCCAAGTTTTAGGGTTTTTTAATGTCTAAAATTGAGATAAGAAGACCATTTTCCTCATAGGATTTTTGGGAATATTGTCTAAGAAATATATGCAGCATGCCTATAACAATTCCAGGTACTTTGTGAGCAGATGATATACATCAACAATATTGTCACCACCAGTTAAATTAATTAGTTCCATTGAAATTGTGATTACTATTTTACCCTATTAAATTAAAACCCTGAGCCTGAAAAGCAGGAGTTGCTGGGATTCTGTGCTTACAGCAATATTAGAAACATAGTTGGCAATAAATTATTATTGTTTTATGTCAGAGATTGGAACTATGAGTCTTATGGGCCTACTGTTTTCAATACGTTTTTCTGTACCAATAATAACTTTAATTGTTAGAACCTATCCAGAAACTCCTAAGATTAAAATTTTTTTGTGTGTGTGATTTGGCTATTGATTTTTGCTTTTCTTTTTTAGCACCAGATATCCTTTCTTGTTTGTCCCAAGGCTTTTCATTATTTGTTAGAGTGACTTCATTTCATGGTATTATCTACTTTTATTTTCAAGTGCCAATTTATTAACTTAAAAATGCATAAAAATAAACTTTTGTTGTGTAAGTAACACATTTGCATGTGGGAAGAAATGGATGAGTGCACACACACACAATTCAAGGCACCCATAGTCCTACAATGCACACAAACACATGTGATTCAAGGCACAGATAGTCTTACACCTCACATAGCATCAGTGTTTGCATTTTGAGATACCATATCTTAATGTCATCTTTTGACTTTTACGCCATGTTTTGGTAAACTGAATTTCGTCTGGATTGAAACTCTCTTCTGCATAGCTAACCCCTTTGGTTTCAACAATGTGCAGAGAAGAGAACTCAGCAGCAAGCAGAGTCAATAGGGGTTCTAACATCTCTCTTCCAGCCCTGGGTTCCTTTCATGTAAAGGTGGCATCCAATAGGACTGCTGAAGTAGCATGAATTCACAAATGGAAATTGATTTCTATCAATTCTATATGAGCTAGATTATCTTCATAAAATCCAAACAGTCTGATTCTAAAACACAATTGGCCCTAAAGATGTTGAATGAGAGTTGGGAACTTGTATTAGCATAGGGAGGTAGCCAAGGAACAGTGTTATAAGGAGAAGAGCCCCAGAAAGGCAGTTATGTCTCAACTGCACTGTGATTTTATGAACTCTAATTCTGTTCTGGACTCACACTGCTCAATAACGAGGATGCAAAGCACCTGCAGCCTCCTCCTCTTTATTCTGTCCATTTCTCACCATGTCTTGCAGACCAAGGCATGTTTCCTGAATTCCTAGACTTAATGCTTTCTGTTCCATTAACGATACTTAATACATTGCCTTCTTCAAATAAAACAGATTTCCTTTGTTATAACGCTACATGACGGTCAGGCTAGAATGATCCTTTGCTGGAGCCACTTTATGAATCATACCTGTTTGTGAGATTGTAACACAATAAATTCCATGCCATCGTTTTGTCTCTGAATTGAGAAGAATCCCAAGAAGGGCAAATGTCACACTTAAATGCTATGGAAAGAGAAGAAAAGGAAGGACTGGAGAAGAAAACAAAATAAAGGAGGAGATTCATTTTTCCATAGTGGATAGCTACTTGAATTATTTTTAATTATTGTGGTTAAATCTACCAGGAAAAGGCCAGGTGTGGTGGCTCACACCTGTAATCCCAGCACTTTGGGAGGCCGAGGTGGGTGGATCACCTGAGGTCAGGAGTTCGACATCAGCCTGGCCAATATGGTGAAACCTCGTCTCTACTAAAAATACAAAAAAAATTAGCTGGGTATAGTGGCAGGCACCTCTAATCCTAGCTACTTGGGAGGCTGAGGCAGGAGAATCACTTGAACCTGGAGCACGGAGGTTGTAGTGAGCTGACATTGCGCCATTGCACTCCAACCTGGGCAACAAGAATGGAACTCCGTCTCAAAAAATAAATAAATAAATAAAGTTAACAGGAAAACATTTAGTAATTGTGTATTCTGTTTCCCCCTACAACTACTGTGAGTAATCTGCACTTTTATTTCTCTTTTGGCCCATAAGTTTTACATTAATCCTATTTTGCTATTTACTGAATAAAGGGAATTGAGAAAAAGGCATTTCTCATTCCAAGTTAGCCCTACAATGCCAAGTGTAAAAACTCAGGCCTAAGTGAAGTTTGAGGTCAGGATAAGCCAGGCTAACAGATCTTTCTGGATTTTACTTTGCATCTCATTCATTCATTCATTTATTCATTTAACTGATACTTATTGATTACTGAGGATGTGCCAGGACTGTACTGGGTGCTGCAATAGTAGTGGATGAAACAGTAAGGTCCCTATTCTCATGGAGTTTGACTAGTGGGAGGATGAGGGGAGAGCGACAAGTGTCAGTATACAGTAAATCAGTGAACGAGTATTTGGATTATATAACTTTAAACAGTGAATGGGGCTGTAGGAAAAATTGAATGGGTAATTGGGTAGAGGGACTGGAGGATAGGTAGGTACCGTTTTAGATAGAATGATCAGGGAAAATTTCTCTAAGGAGGTAGGATTAGAGCTGAGAAAGAGACAGATCTAAGGGATGTATTCCAAAAACAGGGATAGAAAATACTACTACCCTCAGATAAGAATAAGTTAATTCTGTCCAATGGCAGTGAGGGGGCCAGTGTGTAAGGTACAGAGAATTGAAGGACAGGGGAACTTGGTGAGGTTTGGGGGTTTGGTGGGGTCTATGTGCCACAGAAAGCTGATTTTGTTTTTGTCACAATGGGAAGCCATTAGAGGCTTTGAAGCACATGAATCAACATATTCTTATTTATAAAGGCCATTCTGGGAAAAACAGTGAAAGAAGGAAAATAAATTAAGAGACTTTCCAAGAAGTGAGAGACATTGGTGGTTTGAGTTGTAACATTAGAAACAGAGAGCGTCATAACATTAGAAACAGAGAGAAGTTAGAGGATTCAAAATACAAAATTGAGCTGCTAGTAGTTGCTGTTGTATTGATGTTGGGATGAGGAAAGAGATGAATCCAGGATAGTTTCCGGTTTTGGGATCTGAACAAATGGGAAGGTTATGCTGCCACTTACTGAGGAGGGGAAGACTTATTAGCAGACTAGCCAGTTTGATGTGTGTTTGGGGGTACTGTGGGGAAGTACTTAAAGGTCACTTCTTTCCCCTTTTGTGTCCTTAGTGCTTTGTGGTGACTCAGGAAGTTAGAGTGTGTACTTTTTTCAGGTGATCTTTCATGAGCTGCCTACTCTGAACTTCATTGGCTTTGATTTCCATTGCAACCTAATTTTTGAAATACCAAATAGGAGTATCATTCTTCTCCCTGCAAAAATACTTATGTGTATGAAGATTACACAAATGGCCAGTTCTCAGTAAATCATGTGTTCAAAGTTGTGGTTCCATATAGTGATGGGTTTATGTGGAAACAGACATCCTCATCTTGCTTCATCTGCTGTGTAATCATTAACTCATGAAGATAACAGGACTGTCTGGGGTCATGGGCTGTGGGACAGAATGAAGCTCCATTTTCTACAATGGAGAGAAAATCCCAAGAATCAGTATTTTCATACACGAAATTAACCAGCAAAAATCTTCAAGAACTTAATCCCTTTCCAGTGAATGAGTAATAAATTTTTTGTTCTTCTTTTTTCGTATTTTGTAGTCAAAAGCTCATGTATACCGCAGGGTTTTACAACACTTTCTGTCTTTAAATTTAAAGCAGCAATAAGCAGACATGTTCTGTAACCAGATCCAAATGTTCTGGTCCCTGCTTTAAGTTGAGAAAATCTGATTTGGCAAACAAATAAATGAGCAACAAGAACAGCAAAACTAACTTGACAAAATGGGTCATTTAGTTTGGAAAGGGGTTTATTGTAGAATGCCTTTAAATAATAAACAACATTAAAAGACTTAAACTATAATTTCATAAACAATTTTACAGAGACACATTTATTTCATCTAACATTGACCTTCTGTAATGTGTTGAATCTAAATTCTTAAGTTAAAGCATAAAGTAGCATGGGGATTTTTACTTCATTTTCAAAGAAAACACAATATAATCTTTCATTTCATTTTCCTCAATGAATAAAATATTTGTCACTCTGTGTTATAATGTGAGCGCTTCTAGTAATTTTTCATTTTTACCTGAGGTTTCTTTTTTACCCACTGCTAAGTTCATTTCTCAGGTCAGCAATAATGTTGGGATAAATTCATAAATAGTTATTCTTTGAATGGTGAAAATAAAATGTGTTTTATTCATGAGTAAGTATAGTGTTTGCTTGTTGCTGATATTGTATTTGGGTTGAAATACATATTTTCTTTTTACTATTATCTATTTTAAATAATTCTGGAAATACAGTATGACAGATTTTAATCAGTAAAGCCTAGCATTGTATGAGGGTTTTTTTCTCTTTTCAAGATAGTGTATGTGAAAGCATACATCAATAATAATAAAAGTTGAATTCAGATGAAAATGCTTTGAAAATGGTCAACATATGCAAATGTAAGGTATTTTTATTATTGTTATTGTTATTCTTTGTCATTATTAAGGTATACTCGATAATGATGTTAGCTTGGTTTATAATTCAAGCATTAGGTAATAAAGACAAGGTACAGTTAATTCTGCATTGGAGACTCATATTAACAAACGTTTTTGGTAAGTCTATTTTAGTCATTTCATAGAGGGCTTTGCTGGAATTGTATTGCTTCAAATACTTGTTTTCAGTACTTTTACATTCTTGGAATACTTGCATTTAGATTTTTGTTAAGAGGCAGTATATGGTATGGTGGTTAAGAATGTGGTCTATACCTATGGTGTCAAACTACCTGCATTCAAATATCACCCAAGCCACTTATTATCTGCAAGAGCTTGGACAAGTCATATAGCCATTTTATACCTGTGTTTCCTTATCTGTGAAATGACAATAATAATAGCATTCAGTTTTGATGATCAAATGTGCTAGTTTCCCAGATGTGAAACATTAGAAGAATACCTGGTGTATAGTAAAAAATAAATGTCAGCAATGATTATTTCTTACACAAGCCTGGTGAAAATTCAAGTTTACTGGTTATTAAATTGCATTGGTTCTGTTTGGGGTCTTCCTCATTATGTTCAGAGATCAGCAATGCCCTGAGGTTTTTTTTTTTTTTTTTTTTGGCGGGGGGTCATATTTGCCTGATTATATCTCATCGTCAAGTAGAAACACTAAAATACATAATTCAAAACAAAGATTTGATCTTCAAAAGGGAAAGACAAAGCACCATCTCAAATTTGCTGTACCGAAGGGCCTGGCTCAGTGCCTGACACATGGTAGGTGCTCTGCAGACCTGGGTCCACCCATGGATTATCTCTGCCCAGGATTCTGACCCATAAAAGGAAGGGCATTCTTTCCACATTCTTGGTAAATCTGTGTAGGATTCTTATCTTAAATGTAGTCTTTAACCTTAGGAGACTCAGAAACTTTGAAACTATAGTATTATGACTGAAATATTAAGCTTTTTAAAAACACATACTTTAGTTCATTTAGCTGTCTAATATTTTCTCTGTTCTTAAATTTGCAACCTTTTAAAATGTATGGTTTTAAATTACATAGTGGATTATTCAGGTACTCATCTAACATTTAAAATGTAAACAGTGCAAATTTTTCTTAAAGGCAAGAAGCAGGGGATTATCATATGTGAAAGGGAGTAGAAATATGATCTTTTTATTCTTGCTTGCCTAGATTTTGCAGTTTTAATCAAATTGGCATTTAAAAATACTGGGCTCTATCTGTTAAGAACTGTCTGTTGTTTATAGAGATTTTTAGGTGTAAATTATCTAGCCAGATGTTTAAGCACCAAAGGGAAACAAGTTAAATACAATTAACCCAGTCTTCATTTATCAAGTAGTTAATTCTCAGCGGTAGGCCACAAAATCAGTCTTTTGATCCCAATAATATATATAGGTATAACTATTTAGATAACATAAAATGAAAGTTACAAAGCCTTATTTTGAAACTCTTTAAGCTTGGCCAAATTAGGGAACATTTTATTCAATATAGGTGGCTTCCCAAATTTTGGTTACTGATTGCCTTTGTCATTGCCTTTAGGACAACTGTAGACTTTGTGGATATTGGAACAGATATAATAATTGTACTGTAATTTCCCACCAGGTAAATCACATAATTATTATGGGAGTATGAAAATATCTGAGAACAGGGACAGGGTGGGGGTGTGTGGGATACATACACATATGCATGCAGTATAAAAATAAGATTGCAAAATGTTGCATCATTTCAGTTGCTCAACTGCAGCTCAACTCAACTCTTGCATAGTCCCCTATAACATTGTGTTAGTGTGGAATTTAGGTACATTTTAATATGTTTCATATGCTATGAGGTCGGACCTCCCTAAAACAATAGTCTTAGGATCTATAAAGTTCTTAAAACTCATCTGATTATGGTGAGTTTTTAAACATTTTGCATAATTTTTTAAATTCTAAAAGTATTATGAAATGACAGAAGGTTTGGGTTTGGGAAACAAAGGGAGGAAAAAAATCAGCTACTACTTAACAAAAATCATTTGTACCTTGCTCTATATCTAAATCTATATCTACATCCCATTGTACTTTCAGGCTTGTACTTTATTTCTTCTATGCACCTACAGTGAAGTTTTAAATATTCTGGGCTCTGTGTATAAAGGTTCTGAGTTCTTCAGTATTCCTGAGAAGGAGCTTAAAAATACTGTGATTTTTATAAGTCGCATTAGAGACCTAGGAAATCATTCCAAAACATTAATTTTGAGCCAAATTTCTAATAGGGTATTAAAAACAGGGGTATAGTGGAAATTGTATTAAATAAGAATCAGGAGTTTATGTTCAAGTCGCACTTCTGACAACATGAGTTCTATCAGTTGAAGTATGTTTGCGATACATGAATGTATATGAGAAATACACATATACAGTCAAGAGAATAAGCAATGATTCATACGCATTCCCCAGAACCATGCTTTATGCTTAAACAAGATTTATGGACTTGTTTTCTTGGGCTTGCATTTCCCTGTGAGAGAGTATTTTACGGTGGGCTGGAAGGTGTTTCTGTTTCTCTTGGTTAACATATATGGGGAGCAACAGAAGGTAACAGGAATGATTGAGAGGGAGACAAAGAGACCTTGGGAAGGGTGGATGAGAGCAGTGGGGAGGAAGAAAGAAGGGTAAGGATCCAATTATTTACTTGACATCTATTTGCAACTCTATTAAGTATGGAGATAAAAAGAGAGATGGGTATTAAGGGGACAAAACACAGTGGAGATTTTAGCTACCCCCAGTGTTTTCCTCTGGCTCACTGACTTCCAGTTATCCTCTTTCTTTGCTTATTGTTACATGTTTTTGGATATCAAAGAGAGTATCCTAAAATAACTTTGATACAGTTAATGATCTTAGTGGAATGATAGGAGTTTTAAAAAAGAACAAAGAGCATTCCATTTGTATTATAGAACAATTAAATAAAAATCCACTTACAGCCATAAGTTGCAAATTTTTAAACATATATCATTTACTTATCTAGCTCATTTTTACCTCATCTGCCTATGTAAACCCATCGTTATTCTAAGTCTCCCTTAATAAACTAAGATTTCCTTCTTACTCTAATATTTGAGATCTAAGTACAATCCAAATGTCAGAGGTTATTGTTGTTGTTATTATTTCCACCATGGAGACCTCCGATTTTCTAATAAAATATTTTTATAAATTTTACTCAACACAAATTAGTTTACTTTTCATGCTGTCTCCAAAAGTGAGGAAGTAGAGTAGTTAAGAGTCATAAATTCGGAGCCTGAGTTTTGGGGTTTGATGTAACTCCACACCTAACTAACTGTGTGACCTTGAGCAAATTACTTCAACCTTCTGCCCTTTCATTTCTTGGTCTATAAAATGATGACAATTATAGTAATTTTCTCATAATGCTGTTATGAGGCTTAAATTAGTTAACTTGGGGTAAGTGCTTAAAACAGTACTTAGAACACATAGCTCTTCATATTTCAGTGGTTCTCCACGTTGGTGACACATTAGAATCACCTGGGGAGTTGGTGCTCACCTCACCCATTAAATCAGAATCTTTGGGGGTGGGGCCCAGTACTGGGAGCAATTGAAATTGGGAGCAATTATTGAAATTGCTGAGGTGATTCCAGTGAGCAGCCAGCGTTGGGAACGATGGCCGTAAATGGCTGTAATTATCCTGCTGACTAAATTATAAACTTCCTGAGGGCAGGGAGTCCATTACTTCTTTTTATACATCCTTCCTAGTGCAGCTAGCACAGTGCCTTACTTGTAACTAATGCTCATTAAATACTATCAATGAAAGAAAACATGTTGATGATATTTTAGATGTGTAAAGACCTTGCAGGACCACAGAGGTGCTAATTTTAAGCATTAATTATTCATTCCCTCATTTATTCATTTATATGTGCTACACACTTTGGAGTCTTGATGCTAAACACTGCAGGCATATATGATTTGAAAATGCAATCCCTGTTCCAAAGAGTTTATAATTTAGTATGAATAAATGCATACATGACTTTAATAGAAGGGAAACTAACCATGTATAAGTGCTGTGTTACAATTTAGGTTCCCTTGGAGGCTGTCTCTAAGATGGAGCATGCAGAGCGTTTGTTTGGAAGTGCTCTTGAGAATAACACCTCTGCGTGTGCTGGGGAAAGGGAAAGCTATGGAACCATTGAAATATGAAATAATTGGACAGGGAAAGAAGTTAGGTTTTGATGCATTCCAAGTGAAGTTTTCAGCTAACCCCACAGGAGCTCTGGGGCTGGGGTGACTCTTCAGAGTCTTAAGTTGGGCTGCAGGGGGCCAGGTTTTTATTCCTGCATATTGATCAGTGCTTGGATACAGCTGTCACTGGAAGTAGTGACCTTGGATGAGGCATGTTTCTTTAGCAGAAGCAATTCCCAGATACAAGTGACAGCTCAGGGTGCCCTCTGGCAGTTCTTCCCCGGATAGGGGAATAAGTCCTTCATTCCTAAAGGAGGATTCGAGTGGAGTGTCACCGCGTCCATCACATGCAACAAGAGATAAACGAACAAAAAAAATTATCCTGGCTAAAAGAAGAGAGATCACATTTATTTAGATGGGGAGGATAAGAGTTAGGGTGAATTGGGAATTACTTTTTCAAATGGATGCCATTACAATTTGATATTTAAGGATGGGTGAGATTTCAAGAGGCTGAAATGAGGTGCAAGGTGTTCCTGGTATAGGAAACAATAGAGGTAATGGTGGGGAGGTATGAAGTATAGATTTGTGGAGAAGCCCATGGGTCTAGAAGCTCAGGCTAAGCAGCTTAGGCATAATTTGGTTGACTTTCAGGAGCAGGGAAGAATATGTGCCAGTGTGTATTAGAAAGATTAGCCTGGTAGCAATATGGAGACATAGGTGGGGCAGAGCTTGCAATCAGGAAGATTAGGTAACAAGCCAATGAAATAAACTACACTAAGGATCAATGCAAGAAGAAAATGCATGAGAAAGGCAGGAAAGCAGAGAACTGCAAAGAGCTGAGTGGATGCAGGAGGCAGTGTAGATGTACGTGGGACAGGTATGACAGCAGACAAAATGTTTCTATGTATGTAAGGTGGTGTGAGTGGTCAGTCACCAGGGGATAGCCTAGTGAAGAGAGGCACAGTGATAGAGAAGAGAGCCAGAAAGAGCAGTGGCTTTGATCCATTATCCGCAAAGGAAGAGACAAGTGTGACCAAGGTTTTTATAGAGCATTGAGTGTGCATGAAGGTAGATTACTCATGTTGATTTGAATCCTGTTTTCTTGTATTACTATCTGGGACTTTCTTGGCAATGTCAGAACATTCTGTCATGGCCATATAAACAGCACGTATGTGGTCTGAGCCCAGTCATGTTGGAGCACTGTGCTAGATGGTACTAGGCAAAGCTATGAAATGACTAATATTTGTTCTAAAAATGCTAGTCATCAGTGTTTTCACTTTCTAGCCATCCCTTCCAGGCCTTTAGAGTACTCATCCACCTTCTATCTTCCTTCTTCCCTGTCAAAAATGGTCGCTTATACCACAGTGATGGTTTCTCCAATTATATGTCATCTATTCCTGAAGTATCTGTAGTCATAGGATTCAATTCAAATTCTCTTTAAATGAATTTTGGTGAATAATATTATTTTGAGCAAGTGGGCTTCTGAGCCCCTGGAAATGATGTTAAGTGTAAGGCCACCCTCGGTGATTTAATTTTGAGGGCCAGTATTTTCAGGATTTGAACAAAGTGGAAAATTAAGTGATTTTTGCGGCTTCTTAACCTTGGAAGGAGGTCCTGGAATGATATAAATACTGCCTTCTAGGGGACTCAGCTGTGGGACATTGTATGACTTAATATTGTTTTAATTTCTTTTTTCTCCTCTCTGTCACAAAAATGAGATGGATGAACTGATCATCCCATAATTTTTCATTATGAAAGAACTTTTCCTACTTCATCTTAATGTCTAGGGTATTTCATTTAAGAACAGCTTAAATGAGCCCTCTTTCAAAATAAGCTGTCCTGTAATACCATTAGTTCCCAGCTAGTCACTTTGTGAAGTCACAGAACTGTGTACAATCTCTCTTTTGATTCTAAAACCTTGGGAGAAAGTAATTGAAGTATAGACACTTGAGAGTCTCAATTTTATTGCTTTGCAAAGAAATTTCAATTTAGAGTTTATCTAGGTTACAGTCCCCAAATATTTCTCAAGGAGGATAAATCAAATTTGTTGGAGAGTTCCTAGTCATGTATCATTCAGTCCTATTACCTGAACTGCCTTGTTTGACATTGTCAGTTGGAACACTCTCTTGGCTATGATTAGAACTCAACCTTGGTTTGGGTGACAACTCACTCTTCTTGCTTGTTTCTCTCTTTCTCGCTTTTAACTCCGAGATTCAACATAGTTCTTTGAAATGATTTATGTTTCATCCTAAGTCATTAGTGTGTGCTTCCAAGTGGCCAATCTTTCCTCCTTTGTTGGTTAATGTTTATAGGAAACCTCTTGGAGTAATGACTCACTGTGATACTTCATCACTTGCCTGCCTCCTTATATTTGAGACTTTACCCTTCTTTGCATCTTTAAAACATATTCTGCTCTCTCAGTGGTGAATATGATTCTATGCCTGCTCTATGGGTAAACACAAACCATTCTCTATGTATTAGGAAAGATAAATGTGTGCCACTCTCCTCTGTTTTTCTGCAAGAAATGTTCTTTTATCTGCAGACTAAGAAACCATATACAAAACTCATCTAGGTTGCTTCACAGATGATTATTCATCATTAGAGTATTAGAAATCAAATGAAAGGATAATATGTAACTACTTTTAAGAAGTAGTTCTCCTTTTAAAATAACTAGCTCACTCAAGTACTTCTATTTTTTAATGCTACTTTCCTTACTCAGTAAGAGTCAAGACACTATGAGACTCTGCGAAATTTGAATTCTGCTTGTTACCGAAACCCTGAGCCCTTATAGATGATGTTAGAGAGCACCTTTTCCAAATTCCTTCAGGCGAAGCCTCGCAATCATGAAAGAGGGGAGAGGAATGCTTTGGTGGTTATTTGTGCAGGTGATAATTTGTACAGAACTAGACTTCAGAGTCTTGGAGCTGAAGGGAGTCACAAAGGAAGGTTTCTTCAATCTCTCTTCTTTTGCGGAAAGAAGGATGTCATCCTGACTAAAGTCATAAAGCAACTAGCAACCTGAGTAATTGAATGATTTAACCAAAGCTCACTTTAATGGGTCTGCGGTCCACACCTGCCCTCCAATCCCTATGAATTTTTTTTTCATCAATGTATCCCAAGCAGCTAAAATAATGCCTGGCACTTAGAAGGCCCTATTTGCTCATTTACTGAATGGATGAATTGATGAGCTGAGCTAAGGGAAAAAGGAATTCAAAATAGCAGTTGCTTTCCTCTTAGGCAGTGTTTTTTCCACCACCTAGCTATACCTTATCTTGTTTGTGTGTTTTGAGAGGCAGCATAGTAGAATGCTCAAATACAGATGTTTTGGAAAAGAACTGCCTATGTTCAAATTTCTGCAGTGTAATCTTCAACAAATTACTTACCTCTCAATTTTCCTGTGTTAGAGATAATTATAGAACAATGTCTCTTAGGATTGCTGTGAGGATTACCCGAGTTAACTTGGGAAAAGTACTTAAAATGATACCTAGTATATTGTTGGCACTCAATCTGTGTTAGCTGCTATCTCGGGAATGGGCAGTCAGTGGCATGTGGTGTAACGCACAGGGTTCCTCCCTGGAGGCAAGTCTGGAACTTGACAAGCTCCTCTGAAACAAGGTGGAATCATGGGGTTTCAGCGTGGGGTGCTGAAGACTTGCACTATGCAGCTCTCCTCACATGCCACATTGAGTCCCAGATTTCTGCAACCACAGAAGTTTAAGAGAAGCTTTGCTGAAAGTTTGAAACCAGTGTGAATACATTCATATGGTAAATAACAGAGCCTCTGAAAAGGAGACAATGAGATGCCCAAGAAATTCTATGGGCTTTAGTGCCACCCAAATAGAATGTCTTTATTGGCTCAGCTGCTCATTAGCTGCCTGTCCTGGCAAAACTATTCAAATCCTTAGAACCTTAGTTTTCTTACTTGTAAATTTAATTAAAAAATACTTCTTGTATAAAATATGAAATAACAGGTACATGTAAAGTGCTAAGTGTATCATAGAGATGTAATAAATGATAAGCCCTTAAAATAACGATCATAGCCATAAAAATCCAAGGGATTGGAAAAAGCAATGCACATACTATGTAAAGATATCATTATTTCATTTGCTTGCTTCTTCAGAAAGTAACAAGGTGGTTTCTAGGCAGTCAGTGCCATGCAAGTATTTTGTCTCAGGAGCCTTTGTTCTTGAAATTTTTATCCATGAACTCTGTTAAAATTATACCATGACTTCAAAGTCATCTCTGATTCCAAAGCCTCCCTCTAACTAGGCTGCTTGCAGGAGACTTTGGTGTCTTTCTTCAGTAGAAGAAGAAAGAAAGAGAGAGGAAGAAAAGGAAGGAAGGGAGGGAGTGAGGGAGGGAAGGAAGGAAGGAGGGGGGAGGAAGGAAGGAGGAAAGGAGGGAAGGAAGGAAGGGAGGGAGGGAGGAAGGGAAGGGAGGGGAGGAAGGAAGGAGGAAAGGAAGGAAGGAGGGAGGGGAGGAAGGAAGGAGGAAAGGAGGGAAGGAGGGAGGGAAGGAAGGAAGGAAAGAAGGGAGGGAGGGAGGGGAAGGGAGGGAAAAGAAAAAAAGGAGTATAGAGATAACTAGGCATAATGGACATCAAGGCCAATTTTGTCACCCATTTGTATTCCCTATTTTTCCCTTTCTTTTGGAGCTTATTGATAATGAGGTGTTTCATCTGACTTTTGTGAGTGAAATATGGCTGTTATCAATCCATACTACCTTGTAAGATGACTGGCCAGCTTAGTCTGCAATAACAAACAACTGCAGAATCTCAGCGCTTAAATCAACAACAAAAGGTTATTTCTTGTTCGTGCTATGATTCCACTATTGATTAGATGGGAGCTCTGTGCTGCTTCATGCTTATTCAGCCAATAGAGCCTCCACTGTCTGAAATGTTGCTAGTGGCCATCATGGGTGAGGGAAGATAGCAAATTATGATCTGGCTTTTAACACATATCTTTGTCTAAAAGACTATGTGGCCCTGACATTTGTCACTTTGAGACAGGAAGTAGGCTGGAAGAGGAATGTGTCAAATATTTGGTGACCAGAAAGTTGAGTAGTCATTATTTGGGATTCCCGTCTATTCTGGTTCTCTTCTTCTGCATACATGGTAGGGTTGCACTTTGATGCCCATTTGAATTAGCCATTGGCCAGTGAAGTGTGCATAAGGATGATGTGCCACTTCCATGTTGAAGCTTCAAAATCTAGCGTGCAGTTTGGAATATTCTTTCCTCCTGTCCAAGTGACCCATATGTTTATGGCTCTGTCAGTCTGGGTTTTTGAATGAAGACAAGGTGGAGTAGATTGCTCCCACCAACCTAAGATGGATGCGTACTATGAGCAAGAAATAATAGATTTGTGTTCTGTCATTGAGATTTGAATGTTGTTTGGTCTGGAACATATCCTAGCTTATTCTAACCAATTCTGATAGGGAACATATTAGGATAAATTTCCAAAAGTTAAAAAAAAAGTTTTCTTTTGTTTATCTAGATATATATCTCCTCAAATTTAATGAGCCCAGAGGCAATTTTTCAGTATCATAGGGAGAAAAAAATTACGTAGGCTCCTTTGATTGGTTCACTTGATTAGTGGTAGGGGTGCTGGTGTTAGTAAGAGGTCATATTTGGGAACAAGGAGCTGTCTATATTAATTATAGCTGCAGGATGTGGTTGGGCTGTCAACTTCTTTTCTGCTAGACAGAAAACATAATTTAGGGATCCATCACAAATACATTTATCCTAATGACAGGATATCGGAGAGCACATGATTTTCATACACACTGTCTTTCCTTTCTACTTTTTCTTTAATTTAAATGAGTTTATTATATACTTAGATATTTTAAAGGGAAGATTCTTAATTTCTTAGCTTTGTTTTATAGAAATCAATGAAGAAAGGAGGGTATTATTGGCAAGTGGGAAAACAATAGGTTTGTATTCCAAGCAGATGGTTTGTGGACCTCAAAGATTTCACATTCTCTATCAGTCCTGAAAATTAGACAGAGTTATGAAATCAAGTACAGAGCGTACTACTGATTCGCTGTGTGACCTTGGGCAAGGCACTTAATCACTTTAGATCTTAGTTTCCTCATTTTAAAAATGAGGATAATAATACTGGCATAAGTCACAGGGATGTTGTGTGGATAAACTAATTAATGATTGTAAAATGCTTTGAAAGTGCAAAGCGTTGTATAATTGTTAGGTGCTATTATTAAGAAGTATTATTACTGTGTTGTGTGTAATTCTTATTAGGGCTTCTCTTTGCTTTGAAGTCAGCCTCCACGTGGACTATGGGGTTGGGATAAGTTTACAGATGTGCTGCTCAAGTGCCTTTTTTGCCTGGAGAAAATACTCAGTAGCTAGGGTAATCATCATTATGAAGAGGATCTCTTCAAGATAAAAAAGATAGGAAATGATCTCCTTTTTAAAAAATGGAAATTGCTCTAACTTTAAAAGTATCAATCAATTCTTTAAAACCTCATACAGCCCTATGTTTCAGGAAAGTCTAACATCATGCAAAATTTGAAACTTCAGGAATTTTCTGCTCAGCATAACATGGGAAATGTTGTTGCTAAGATAACTTTAAATCAGCTGAACCAGCTCTTTCTAATTTTCCCACAGTGTTTGCTTCAAGGATGAAAACAAGTGAGGTATCCTCTAGAGGAGAGAAATTCTGAGCTGTGGCTGTGTTTTGCATGTACAAAAAGTTAAAACCCCAATCCAAATTAATTTTTATTTGTTTTGTAGATTCTCCGTTGGGAAGTGTGTTTCTAGGTACATAAAAACGAGCTATTTTTCTGAAGGTCAAGTATACACCATGTTTATACGTGACTACCTGGTGCAGCTGAGCAATATTGACTTTGATGCAAAAAGACCACAGTCAGGCCTTGGGAGGATTTCTCATTAGCTGTGTGAGTTTTAACAAAATAATTTAACATTTGCCTCAGTTTCCATATATAGGAATGTGTGTAAAATAATTCCTGCTTACCTAATAGGCTCTGGAAGAGCTCAAAGAAGGTAAAATCTTTGGAAAATATTTTACAAATACAATGAAATAATTAAATTGTATTACATTATTTTATTTAACATTTTAATCATTTTTAATGTATTCCTGAGTTAACAAGCCTCTACATATATTTCCATTGGATAATAAAGATATTAGAAACTCAAATAATTTTCTTGCAATGATCTACATACATGCCTTTAGTTTTATATCCCATGACATGAAGAGAAAGAAGTCCATATGCACTTTCTGAGAAGTTGTCCGTTAAGTAGGTCAAGGGGTATCTGAGATGTGAGCGGGTAGCTTTGGTCATTTGCTTTTCTATGATTGCACACCTTTTTAAAAAAAAATGCTGTGTGCAGTCATATATGTGTACAGCATTACCTTTTAAAATCACCAGGAACTAGGAACATAGGATAGATTTGTTTGCTATGCAAATGAATAAAACTTGTACCAAAGAAATCTAATGTTTAACTCCAAGACACAAAAGAGTTGTTAGAGTTTGAGCTTATTGTACTATCATAGGGGATAAAAACTTCCAGAAACTTCTGAGAGGCCAGAAGTTTTCAGAGTCTAGCTTTCTAGGATCTGAGGACGAAAGTACTTAGGTCTACCCTTGAGGCACCATTATTTTCTACCAAACATTTCACTTCTTGTGATCGCCTAAGTCTTTGCAAGAAGAACAAATCTCACAATCCATTTATTTACTCTCCTAAAAATGTTGACCACGTGAAATGACAATCAGTATACCACAGTTGTTTATCCCCTCAGTGGTGCCAGAGAAGAGGTAATGGCAGAGTTTGTAAGGTTTGCTTTCTAATTTTTGTCTTACTGGCATATTTTCTATGGTAGATGCTCTGGTGGGTACCCAGATCCCCCTTTCAGAACCGAGGCACTATTTCCCCACCTACTGGAAGTGTTGTCTGCTGATGACTCACGGCTAAGTCCCTCTACTGGACTTGACTGCTGGTGCAGGAAGCTGCCCTCTCCAAGGTAATGCCTGCCTCCCAGGGGCTAGCTCACATCCAGTGACTCAACAACATAGATAGTACAAAGCCACAGCCCCTTGTTTTGATGAGGAAACTCCCAAAGACTATCTTAATGCCAAAGTTCTCTGTAAGTTTGGCTGAGACCTGTGTTACAACTGAATTACAGTTTTTTTTGTTTTTTTTTTCTCAACCAACCTTGAAGCCATCAGGCTGATATCTAGGGTCAATTCCCAACATAACATGGACAAGAATATACTGGGTCTGCTATGGAAGGAAGCTCAAAGAGCCATGTGTTCTCCAGGAATTGGGAGCATATATGTTGGACTGGATCCAGAGGGTGCTGGTTCAAAGTGGTTGGAACAGAAAGTTGAATAAGGGAGAGTTTATGAACGTGGGATCACTTGCTAATGATAGAGAATTTAACACCCTGGCAAGGGCTTTGGGAGATGGTGTTAACATATTGCTAAAATGATTCTTGAAAGCTTGGTAAAAATGATGACCAATACTATAATAAATAGAAATGCCAGAATTTTGCTGTAGCAGACAGTGGATGAACTAATCAAAAGGCTCAGAGAAGTTGTGTTGGTACACAGAGGGCTGAAAAACTAACAGATGGTCGTGTTCTGGAGGACCTGGAGCCAAACAGATAATAAAAATATTAGTGAGAGGAGCATCATCATCCCTGAAAAGCCAGTGGTAGCCATCCTCTGTTGTCCAAGGTTCACTGAAAAGATGCTGTTACAGAATTGGACTCTCTGATAGCAAAGAAAATGGTGATGAGCATAAGTCTGGCCCCTACAAAAAACATATAAATTCTAGTGAATGACAGAGGGCTATCACAAACTCAACCAGGCTTCAAGTACATGGTTGGCAGCCATTGATCTGGCAAATCCATTTCTTCTCATCTTATCAGGGAGGAGGAACAGAAGCACTTCACATTCACTTGAATTAGATAACAGTAAAAACTTACAGTCTTGCCCCAGGGCTATGTTGTCTGTCTTGGACTCTTAAGGAACCTGGACTGTCTGGACATCTGCTGAATCTCACATGGATCTGTTATTTGATGGCATAATGTTTATCAGACTTATCTGCAGTAAGTGGCAAGTCTTGGTAAGGCATGTGTGATCTAGAAGGCAGGAGGTAGACCTTATGGGGATACAGGGGTCTTCTCCATCAGCTTTAGGTGTCTGAGGCATGCCGGGACAGCCTCTCCAAAGTAAAGGAGAAACTATTGCAATTAAGCAGTGAGACACGTTAAGAAGGAAACACAACATCTGACAAGCCTCTTTGGGTTCTGGAGGTAGCATACATATTTCACACTTAGTAATACTGTTCCAGTCTTTTACTAAGGGACATTTTAATGCTGTCAACTTTGATTGGGTTTTAGAATAGAAAAGAGCTGGATAGCAAGTTCATGCCACAGTGAAATCAGCCCTGCCACTAGAGTCATATAATCTGGCATCTCTTGTGCAAACCCCAGTAGGAAAATGACAAAACAGAACCATAGGGTTAGGAGCAAAGACATGCCCTCTGCAGCTAATAATTATGCACCTTTGGAAAAATAACTTTAGTGTGTGCTACTGGGTGTTGGTAGTATGAAGCACTGAAATGAAACTACTACATCTGGGATTGAACACAGCAAAGGCCAGAAGGCAGAAGAAAACTGCATGAGCAGGTGGCCCCTTTCCACATGTGAGGGACCACAGTGGAAACTGCACTTCTTCCTCTGCTCACACCAATAGCTGCATCCAAGGTGGGGGATGTTATCCTAGTTGATAAAGAAGGAAAAAGTATGAGCTTGGTTCATGAATTTATCAGCTTATTAGATGAATGCCAGCCAGAAATGTACTGCTGCAGCACTACTACCTCATTCAAAGGTGCCTCTGAATTATAGCAATGAGAGGAAATCCTCCCAAAGGTCAGAGGTTTGCACATTGCACCTTTTGTATGGTCCAAGTTAAGAATATACACAAATTCATGGTTAATGGTGAATGGCTTGGCCGGCTGGTGAGGGACCTAGGAGAGATTGAAAGATTAGGCTGGGTGTGGTGGCTCATGTCTGTAATCCCAGCACTTTGGGAGGCTGAGGTGGGTGGATCCCCTGAGGTCAGGAGTTTGAGACCAGCCTGACCAACATGAAACCCCGTCTCTACTAAAAAGACAATAATTAGCTAGGCATGGTGGCAGGCGCCTGTAATCCCAGCTACTCGAGAGGCTCAGGCAGGAGAATCACTTGAACCCAGGAGGTAGAGGTTGCAGTGAGTCGAGATCGTGCCATTTAACTCTAGCCTGGGTGACAAGAGCGAAACTCAGTCTCAAAAAAAAGAAGAAAAAAAAGAAAGATTAGGAATGAGGGGGTATAGGAAGTGGTATATAGATGGACCTATTGAATGGTCATGAAGTGTGAAGATCTTTGTAGTATGTATCTGTTAATGCCTGTCAGAGGGCAATCACCACCGAAAAAGCTCTAAAAATAAAATAGAGAAAATGACCGTAGTCATTGGCCACTCCAATGCTGACACAATGATTGCATGAATGGAGTAGACATGGTGAAAAAGACAGAGTCCATGAATGGGCCATATGGCATGTATTCCCACTCAACAATATTGACCTGGCCACTGCTGTTGCCAAATGCCTAATCTGACAGCAGCAGAGACCAACACTGAGCCTCCAATATGGCACCATCTCTTTGTGAGAGGAGCCAGCTAGTTGTCAATGAATATCATCAGCCCCCAGGTATGACTTTGCCTTTCCTAACTTCTGAAGCTCAGCTGGCATCACTGTTTGAGGGCTTTAGAGTTTCTGGGTTTTTTTTGTTGTTGTTGTTTTTCAGATGGAGTCTCACTCTATCGCCCAGGCTGGAGTGCAATGGTGCAATCTCAGCTCATTGCAACCTCCAACTCTTGGGTTCAAGCGGTTCTCCTGCCTCAACCTGCTGAGTAGCTGGGATTACAGGCATGCACCATGATGCCCGGCTAATTTTTTTGGTATTTTTAGTAGACACAGGGTTTCACCTTGTTGATTAGGCTGGTCTCAAACTTGTGACCTCGTGATCTGCCCGCCTCAGCCTCCCAAAGTGCTGGGATTACAGGCGTGAGCCACTGTACCTGACCAAGTTTCTGTTCTATCAACATTGTGTATATATTACATTGCTTTAGATCAAGGGGCACACTTTACAGCAAGGGTAGTTGTGGGGGTGGGCACATTACATTGGATGCTATCACATATCATACTTCCTAGAAGCTGTCAGCCTGAGAAACCCATGGCACGGCCTTTTGAAGGTGAGGTAGTAGTTTGGCATGGCATCTGCAAGGAACCAGCTTGGAGATGATACCTGTGGGGTTGGGGTGCCATCTTTCAGATATAGTATATAGCCTAAAATAATGACTATTTTACAGTGCTGTATTCCCAGTACTACAATCAATAGGTCCAGGAACCAACAGAAAAGGAACAGGAGTGTCCCTGCTTACCACCTCTCCTAGTCACCCTTTAGGGACATTTTTTGCTTTCCACTTTTAGATATTTGGGCTATGTTTACCTAGAATTCCTGGTTCTAACACAGGGAATGCTGCCACAAGAAGGCGTGGTAAGATTTCCATCAAACTTGAAGTTGCAGCTGCTCCCTGCTTACTTCAGGTTCCTCATACCCAGAGACCAGCAGGCAAGGAAAACAATAATCCATACTGGCAAGGGTAACGTATCCTCAGGAGGAAGTATGGCCATTGTCGCACAATGGGAGAAAGGAAAAAAATATTTTTGGCACCCAGCTGATCCACTTAGGTCTCACTTAGTACCCCCTATTCAAACGGACAAGTGTGGGCAGCTGTGACCTAAGACAGGTGTGGTGATTAGGGACTCAGTCCCCTTCTAGACGAGGGTCTGTGTTATATACCAGCAAACAACCTGGACTGGAAGAGATGCTAGCCAAAGATAAGAAGAATTGGCAAGGGATAGTAGAGGATGGAGACAATGAATATCAGCTGTGACCTTGAGACCACCTGTGTTGGGAGCTATAGTTTGTCCCACTAACTTTCCTCTTGTAAATTTCTACAGGAGAAGAGATAGACTAGAATCCTCGAGGACCTGCTCCCAGAGAGTGAGAATTTACTAACTTACTATATGAACTAGGTGGATCTGAGTGGCCTGAGGAGTGAACTAAAATGCGTGCTGTATGTACCACCTCGATATCCCCTACAGAAATGAGACATCCAATCCTTCAGTTGCTAGTAGTGTTGCCTGATGATGATTCAAAACTAATTCTCTCAATGGGAATTGGCCTCTTCTCAAAGTAGCTGTCTCACCAAGGCCATGGTTCCTCCCTGGCAGTAACCTGCATCTAATGACTGGGCGATGTAGGAGCACAGAAGCCCAGCCCTACTGCCTTGATGAGCCCATTGTGAAGGGTCATCTCAGGTTCAGAGGTCCCATTAGGATCAACTGAGGTCTCTGTTGTAAGTGCCTTGTAGTTCACCTTCTCCTTCAGTTCAATCCCGTTTCTCTCACTACTTTACAGGCATTGTTCCTGGGAATACTCCTCAATAAACTTCCTGCATAACAAATCTCTGCCTCAGAGCCTGTTTGGAGGGGAGGAAAACTTAGAACTTTGTCCCCAACATCAAAATACAATTTAATTTAAAAACATTTCAGTGAAGTTAATATGTTTTCTGAATTAGTGCACCCAAAAACATTTCCAAGCACCCCCTTTGTGTGTTTTGATTCTTACAATCTATGTCCTTTATTCATTCTATTTATTGAACAATTAAAGAGTGCTTCTCATATATGAGGCAGTGTGCCAGGCATTCTGGATTCAATGACAAAAAATGCACTCAGAAAATTCATTCTGGATTCAATGACAAAAAATCCTGACCTTAAGGACCTGATGGACAAAAGGGAAAAGCAGATAAATTAATAGACAGTTAAAATACACTATAATTAATAGAACATAATGTGGGAATGCAGACATGGGATAACTAATTTAGCTTGTTGAGCAGAGCAACACAGAGAAAAATTTGTAAGGTTTCCCAAAAGCACTATCTGATCTGAACCTTTAAGATAAGTAGGAAATAGGTAGGTAAGGAATGGAATATGTTCAGAGTGGGAAGCAGTGTGAGGTAAAAAGAGAACAGGTTTGGAGAAAAGAAAACACTTCTTTAGGATCAGACCAAGGAGTGTGGCAGATATTAGTGTGAGGTGCAGAGAGCTGTTGGCATCTGTGGAGTAACTTCAGGCAGGGGAGTGATATAGTCAGCTTTTCATTTTGGATTTATTACTGTAGTCTAGTGGATGTAGAGAGAATGGATTAGAGAGGAGACCAGTTAGGAGTTCCTTGCATCAATCTAGCTGAGAAACGATGGCTGGAAATCATGTAGTAGCAGAGGACATGAAAAAAATAAAATAATGGAATCCTGAGATTTGAAGGAATTTGAACTAATAAATGTGGGTGATGGACTGGATGTGGAAATGTAGAGTGGTTGAAGATACCCTGTTTGGATTAGGAGGTAGAAATGCTATTCTCTGAAATATGTGGTGAGGGTGAAGGTAATGGTGGTAAGTGTGTTTGTATGTAGGGAGAGTATTGCAGGAAGGCTGAGATATGATGACTTTTAATTTTCTATTTCTATTTCAGACATTTGGAGATGTCCTAAGACAATTGGCTATGTGGATAGGGAGATCTGGTTTAGGGACCATATCATACAGACAGTAGAAGCCATGGATGATCTCATTCCAGGAGCACATATACAGTGGGAAGAGAATGAAGCTGAAGACAATTCCAGCTCCAAAGATAGTGACAAGAGCTGTTCATCTTCATCATCCTCTCTGTAGGCATCTTGAATTAGAAGATACTATTTAGTGTGGTCTCTTACCCAAGATAAATAATCTAAGTTTCCGTAATCTTTCCTCATTGTTCTAATTGTGAATTTCTTTGGAACTTTGGTGATGTTTTCTATGTTCCCATTTAGTTCTGAGTACCAGAATTAGACACATTATATTTATTATTATCTTTGACAAAAATAGTGCTAAAAAAGCCTTCCTAATATGCCATATGCATCACGGCCGTAGGAAAATAGGCGTACCACTTGTCACTTCCCTAAAACAGGTGCTCCCAAAGGCAATTCCTGCATGTCCTAGAGGACTTTTGTGTGTGTGTGTGTGTGGTCTGTGTGTGTGTATTTTTAACTGCCGTTTTTGAACCAATGTAACATGATAGAACATGTATTAGGATGTAATTGGTTCCAGGTTAGTTAAGTAAGAAATGCATTTAATTCTTTCTCACCCCTTGAAGAATATTTCTACTTCTCCATTAAATAAATCAGATTTTAAACAAAAATGGAATAATCCCTCAAATGTAATTCAAAATACAACACACAGTCTCTTGATTTGTGAGAATTAGCTATTGTACTTCTTCTTTTGAAAATAACCCTTTAAACATTAAAATCAACAGATGACAGCTTTAGTAATCTGAGACAATTTCATGAATTGCAATATTTACTTATTTGGGAGGATGTTAAATGCTTTTAAAAATTCTTTGTACCTGATGTGAATATATAATAAATGTGTAGAGTATTTCAGTTGCATGTAATGATTGTGAAGCTGTAGGAAAGGTGGCTTTCCCAAGTCTTGAGTGACTGATTCCATCTTTTCTTCCCTGACTCCTTCTCTCCAAGTCTTCTAAAGGTATAACATCTGCACAGATGCAGGGAAGGACTGCACTACAAAGATGTGCTGTCAATGAGCTTTGCAGACTGGTTCTTTTCCCTCTAGCCAAGCCTTTTTTCTTTTTATCCTAAAGAACCCTGGTCTCTTTTTATTTCCTGGTCAATCTTAATTTTTCTAATTTTCAACTCAAAAACACTGAGATTTATCTCCATTTCTCTGTCTTAAAGAGAAATATACACAAAGCAGTCAGAGCATTAGCTAACTCAGATCCTATTATGTGCTAAGGTCTATCTATCTATCTATCTATCTATCTATCTATCTATCTATCTATCCATCCCCTTTTAAGATTCACGACAACCCCATGAATTGGTACTATTATTATCTTCTCTTAAACAGAGGCAAAGGAAAGCTAAGTAACTTGTCTGAGATTTCCTGGCTGTAAAGTGGCAGGACCAGGCTTACAGTCTCCACAGTTTGGCTTTTGAGCCAACCCTCTTAACCATCCTGTTACCCTGCCTTTCAACAGTGTAAAACAACAGGAGCAATTTTGGTGTGCTGCGGAATGTAATTGGGGGATCTGGGTCAGAATGGAGAAAAAGCAAGAGAAATTTTTCATAGGCAGCCAAGAATAAAAGAGCCTAAGAGCATCTACACCGATTTCTATAACTTAGGCTGTAAGAGAAGTAGGAAAAGCATTTTGTTTTTCTGCTTAAACTTGTTGCACAGTAGAGGAAGATAATTTTAACTAAACTTGTTTGAGGCTTTAAGAAGTAGGCCTCAGAGACTCAAAAATCAAAGTGAAGTGAAGTAAAATTAGCAATTGTTTTCTAAAAATTCATGTAACTCTTAGCAATGATTTAGGCTTTCCAAACAACGTAAATTATATATGCAGATTACTTCTAATTATAATGCCTTTCCTTCTAGATTATTGAACACTTACACAATAGGATTTTAATTGATTCTCACCAGCCTGCATCTCTAGTGTTTGATTAAAAATATGCCCATTGTCAAGAAAATAAATTCATTTAGGCATTTATAAGCATTTGTAGAAGATAGGTGAACAAAATTTAAATTAAAAAAATATAGTTATCTACATTTGAAAGAGTTCCTTATTATTTAATCCCTTTTGAAATATGCTTAGAATATCCTTTCAAGGAGATGATCTACAGATCTTTATTTGAATCTAACACTTTTAAACATTTTCCCTGATGTACAGATTCTTGAGTTTTGTTTTTGTTTTTGTTTTACATTTTGCCACTCAACAAGAACATAATTCACTTACAGAATTATTTTTGTGTGTCTGTAACAGCTGTGATTTTCCACCTTACTAAGCAGTTTGGAATTTATCAGTACATTTCTATTTGTCTTATTTTTTAAATTTTTAATATTTTTTAAAAGAATATATGGAATCGTTAAATGAAATTTACAAGAGTTCATTGCTTTGGACTGAGTTCCAGCACTAGGCCCAACAGACCAGACAAAACCAGAATGGAATCGCTGTGCCACATAATCAAACTGAACTTTGAAACAAGCCAGTTTTTCAAAAGAGGAGATTTACAGCAACCAATCAGAAGGGGCCCAGTTTACCTGAGCTGGCATGATAAGGAAGTCGTCTCTGTTTTAATTCCATAAGGAAAGTAACTTTGAAACAACCACTTCTCTTTTGTTCACGGTTTCTGCTTTTTCTTAGCCCTTTTCTGCCTATAAAGCCATACTCCTGATCAGTTCATTAGAACACTCATTCTGTTTTCTGGAATGAGATGTTGCCCGACTTTAGAATTCAATAAAAGCCTATTGGATCTTTAAATTTAAGAAAAACCGGGCCGGGCACGGTGGCTTACGCCTGTAATCCCAGCACTTTGGGAGGCCGAGGTGGGCAGATCACAAGGTCAGGAGATTGAGACCATCCTGGCTAACACCGTGAAACCCCGTCTCTACTAAAAATGAAAATAAAAAAATTAGCCAGGCATGGTGGCGGGCGCCTGTAGTCCCAGCTACTCAGGAGGCTGAGGCAGGAGAATGGCGTGAACCCAGGAGCGGAGGTTGCAGTGAGCCGAGATTGCGCCACTACACTCCAGCCTGGGCGACAGAGCGAGACTCCATCTCAAAAAAGAAAAAGAAAAAGAAAAACCAATTATATCTTTAAATTTGTTGTAATTTTGTCTTTTGACAGGATCTTTATGAAGTTACATGCCATTGACAATCTTTGCTGTGTTGTTGTAACTTCAGGTATGCTACTGCAATGAGCATGCCAGTTGGACTCTTAGACAATGGCCATCTGAGTAAGAAAAAATTTCAGTTGTTTTAAAAAATAAGTGTGGTATTCATTTTGTAATTTATTAAAATAACATTTGAATTTTCAAACTAGCTATTCCCTGAGATTCAGAAGTCTTTTTGCCTGCTTTTTTTTTTTAAGATGAAGTAATCTGGCTATAAGGAATATTGATTATATTAGTCTAAGGACACTTACAGAGAAAGTAAGCTTACTGTAGTGTGAATGATGCTTCTCTTTCTATTAAGGGTGGTCATTCTAAATATGACTGCATAAGGAATAATTCTGGCAAAAATCAGTCCTTCATTTTCTCTTAAGATATTTAGAATTTAATTTAAATATTATATGTCAAGGTTAAAAGTTAGAAACATGTAAGGAAATATTTAAGAACTTACAATATGAAAACCTGTTTTCTTTATGGAACTCTTTGGTTATATGATTGGATAGGTAAAAACAAATTTGTAAAATATGGTAGATATGGGAAATTGTCAATATATTTGTAATTCATGCAGCAAACATAATATTTAGGAAGTATGTTATTCTGTTTTCTTAAGTACATAATGATAAGGGTTCTTTTCTCCACCAAGCCCCTTTTCTACATTTGTGGTTTTCATTTTTGCTGTTTTTATGTTATTATTGATAGTATCTCAATACCAACCTGCTATTGTTAATTTGTGACATTCCTTATTTAGTCTGGAAAGTGGAAGGTAGTAGATAGTTAAAAGTTTTTGGTGTCTGATACAGAGATGTTTATTTAAAAGTATAGTAAACAAAATTAAATAAATTGAGATGTTTTTGAAACATGGCTTCTCTAACTCCGAAGAACTTTGTGACAAAAAATGATCTCTTATGATAATATTTTAATGTAAAATACAAGAAATTCTTTGAATTAAAAAACATTGTCTTGATTATCACCATTTAGGCATATATTGAAAGTTCTCATTTAAGTGGTAGAAATTATTTGAAATAGTGTTAGTTTCCTGTGGCTGCTGTAACAAACCACCACAAACCTGGTGATGTGAAACAACTGAAATTTTTTCTCTCACTGTTCTGGAGGTCAGAAGTCTGAAATCAGTGTCGCGGTGTGGAAGTCCAGATGTGGGGGAGCTCTGCTGCGTTCCCGCAGAGGCCCTGGAGAGGAACCTTTCTCTTTCCTCTTCCTGCCAGTAGTGGCCACTCGCCTTCTTTGGCCTGTGGTTGCATCACTCCAGTCTCTGCCTCTGTGGTCACGTTGCCTTCCCCTTATTTGTCTGGGTTGAATTTCCCCATGTGTCTTTTTTATAAAGACATTTGTGATTCATTTTAAGCCCATCTGGATAATCTAGAATAATTTCCCCATCTCAGAATTCTTAATCTCATTTGCTAAGACCCTTTTTCCACAGACGGTAACATTTACAGGTTGCAGGGGTATCTTTGGGGGCCATCATTCAGCCTACTCTGGTAATCTTTATTCATATTTAATCTTCTTCAAAGGAAATTGAAGCCAATGAGAAAAGCAGTTTCACTCAACTACTCTGAGTTGGTGATAAATAAAAAATCCCTATTTCTCCAACTGGTGTTGCATGTAAAGTTACCTGCTATATATTGCCACCTGGATGGGCTGCCTTCGCATGAACTAAATTCAAATAAACTTAAAAAAACCAAATTCATCATCTTTTTTCCTGAGGTAGCAACTCCTCTTGGCTCCGAATTCTCCTTTTAGAGTCACCATCATCCCAGTTATCGAGGCTTCCCTTGGCAGTCATCTCTGACTCTCGCTTCCTTCTCTCCCACATCCTGTCCTTAAACGACCTCCCTCTTGAGTTTTCACATACTTAAAACATCACCAGACACATAAGTCCATTGAAACCACCTCAGGCCTTTTTAATTTAAAGACTGGGGTATCATCATAGCCTCCTAACTGGCCACCTCATGTTAGTATTCCCCTATGGCATTCTCTCTTATAGCCACTGGGTTAATATTCCTGAAACACTACCATGGCCATCTAATTTTCCTGCATAGACATATTGTTTGGCTCCTTATTTCATCTGAAGTTAAATATAAACTCAGCCTGGCCTTGATTTATTTTGTAGCGTTATTTCTGATGCTCTCCTCACCTGACACTTTGGGTCCAGGAGCATTGCTCTCTTCACAGCCCCCTGGGCGTGCCATTTCCCACAACCCGCCACACCCCCACTTCTGACATGCCTTTTCCCACCTTGCCTTTCAAAAGTCTACTCACCTTTCAAGATCCATCTGAGATGTGGCCTGAAGTAGGACATTTCCCTCTCTCATTTCTAAGTAATGTCTGCCACATTACCAGCTTGAGTTACACTTTTCCATAAGCTTGTCATCCCTTTGGAGGATGGACACTGAATGAGCAAAGATGATGCCTTGTCCATTGTTAAATTTCTTCAGTGTTTTGCACAGAGTAAGCATTTAATAAGCATTTCTCAAATGAATTTTGTAAAGGCCACCACTGGAAGTAATTTGCTGTTTTCACATCGATTTGTATATTCCTCCTTTCCATGTGCTTCTTTGATCACATATTATTCATAAACCTTGTGACTGTTTTTCATGCCTAACATTTGGTCACAATTTTGGCTTTTTCCTTCTTATCCCTCCCCCCGCCCAACTGGAGTTTAATTTATTTTCCTATATGGTCCTGTCAGCAGAACTGTTCAGAGAATTTGGGCAAATCAGGACTTCCTGAGAGAGTTTTACTTGAATTGCCTGTAAGTCTGTAAATGTTGTGGGGCATAGAATGATAGGAAAGACCTCTGGTTTTCAATGCTGAAGGCTTTTTATTGTTAAGATATCCAAAATAGGCATAGCATGTTTAAAAGTAAAAACCCTGGACCTGCTCTCTCTCTTTCATCTGAAATTATGTGTTTGCCAGAGTATAATAGCTCTAGACAGGAAGTTATGCCCTCAGGGCATAATTCTTGCAAGGGAGAGAATAAAAAGTTTAGACTCATGTCACATCCTGAATCTCAATCCCTTCATGTCTGGGCAATCTGCAGGGAGAACTTTTGTTCTAGTCTTCTTTGCCAGAGAGAACTCTGGGGTTAGCATTTTAGTCCACAGTCCCCTGATGAATATTTATTGAGTGCAGAGTGCAATGAGGATATGGAGGTGAAGGTGGTGTGGCCTGTGTCTTCAAGGAGCGGTGTCCCTATAGTTGTCAGAAAGAAACTCCAGGAAAATCCTAAAGAGGGAGTTTAAAATTGCAGATATCACAGTTATACAATCAGTGTTGAATTATTTCCGTTTTCCTCATGATCAGAGGCCCCTGGAGAGGCACTCTGGCATTGTCCTAGTATTACTATCCTGTGGCTATTTCAATTATTGCTTGACTTCTTCCCAATGCTTTCACTCATCTTGTCATGGTTTGGGCTAGAGGTTCCTTCACTACACCCACTAGCAAAGGTGACAAAGCCAGATTTGTACCTAGAAAAGTCACTAAAATGCTCCATTTTCCAACTTTCCAAAAAGCAGCAATACTGATCATACTCATAAGTAAATAAAGCTCATTGATATTGAATTATCTCTACCCAAAAAGAATGTCCATCACAATAGTGTTCATAAATGAGAGGCCCTTCTTTGCAATACAAAGGTAAAAAATGCAACATAAAATTGTATATTGTGCTGGCAATTAATTTTTACTTATTAATACATTATAACAGTTACTTTCTGCCTGATGTATTTGTCATTTACAAAGACACAAGACCTTATTTCCATATTTCAGTCAGTGCTTTATTTTGATCAATACTGTATTCATGTATGTAACTCTCATATCATACTCTTGAGTTATGTTGAAGTTTTAAACAACTATTAGACAAATAATGAATGTTACATGTTGGGTACAAGCATCCTTTGAAAAATCAAGAAGATAAAAGCAAAGCCAAGAGTATATGATTCATTTTAATGTAATACTGGGATAAAAATGTGAGGATGTGATGTCAAATGGTAATAAATGCTGAGTTTTCCCAATGATATGAGACAAATTTGACAGAATACAAAATTTTAGGAACATGTTTATAAACTAAATTAGTCTAATGTTCAATGGGAAAAGTGGAATTTGATTTATTTATGTTTTGCTTTACTGCATTTATTAATTTTTAAATACCACACAATTTATTTTCAAGGTTTATTTATCTTCATGTTTACTTGATGTAATTCTATTGCTCATTATATTGCACAGAGCTTGTCACCTATAAGAATAAGAGTTCTATGAAAATGGATCATTTTAATGTGATAATGAATGGAATAGGAGTTTAGCTTCATTTCATTTTTCATGATAGAATTTGTTTCGGAAGTTCCTATCCTCCATATCAATGTCACGCCCAAATATTTCTGGCTTAATAGGAACTTCTGAAACAAATTCTATCGAGAAAAATGAAATGAAGTTAAATTCCTATTCCACTCTCTGACCCCCGTCTCTCCTCTGTCTTCCTCCTGGCCTCTTGCCTCCCCGCCCTTCTCCCTCCTTCCCTCTCTTCTTTCTTTCACCGGAGGGCACTACAGCATTTAAGCTTACACCCCTGATTGAGGACCGTCCCTTTCTTAGGGACTCCAGAAGAAACACCTGCAATGTTGAGACACGAAAGGCAAGAGTGATCCTGGAAAGCCAAATGGGTGCCTGTAGAAGAGGAAATGATGCACAGGGATTTTGCTTTGATTCATCACCAGGTTGACTAGGTGACCAGGCTTCTTACCATTCATGTGATCTGCACCTGTGATCAAAAGCCTTCTTTATATTCTGTGAGAATAAAAGAGGATGGCCACAAAATATTCTATAATCTTCTCAGTGTATTGTACTTCATATCTACAACAATATTTTGAGCACCTACTAATATAAGGGACTGTGCCTTGTATCCAAGATAGAAAAAATAAAATAGCTCCTGCTCTATTTGGGGAAGAAGGTCAAAATCAGGGTAAGGGAATCCAGAGGAAGCAAAAACTGATACTGACGGAGTCTGTTTAAGTAAAGGCACTGAATTGTGGAAAGGTAAAACACATATGAAGACTGGAATTCAAATAAGAAGGTCTCCCAAAAGCTGAAATGCAGAATAATGATGGTAGATAAAAATAATCTCTGACCTGAGATGGTTTTTCATACTCTACAAACAAGATGGGATTTGTTAATAGAATACACCTACTGAAAAATGAGACTGGAGGGAGCTGGTGGGAGGAAGGAATGGCCTGAGAGAACAGGTGGGGGAAGAATAGAGATTCAGAAAGATTCCATCAAACACTTTTGCAGCTGCCGTTCTATACTGGTTTGAAGTCCTAGTTTGCCTTGATTTACATGTGTCTAACAGTTGACTCTACTGGTATATGTGTCTCCAGCTTTAAGAAGAAGAAAAAATCCACTCTAATGACGGATATTAGTTGCCACTTAAAGATGCTCTTCAGATACTAGTGTTCCAGTTAACCATTAAAGATATATAACCCCTGTACAAGTTGGCAACCATACCAGGTCATTGATTTATTATCATTAAACTGCCTAACTAGTAGTTATGTTGAGATGAATGCTGGGTAAAATATTACAATGAATGCTAAATGAAAAATACATCTCAGGCTTGTAAGCTCCCACCTTGTGTAGTATTTCTGTGTTCCCTGACACCCTGAAGCCTAATCGTGCCTTCTGTATAGTTTTACATGTGTAGACTCTCTTCTTCGTTACGATTTGCCAATCCCCTGTTGCTCACATTGTACTACAGCAATAATCTTTGTCATTTTTGAATTGGTGTCCAGGTGGTTGCTGTCACATTACATCCATTTTTAAATGTTGCTCAAACCCACTGAGGTGACATGCAGTTTTCCAACAGTGTGAATTTTTTTTTTCCAAATTTTTTCTCTTCGATGGAAGAAAAATTTGCTGTCTTCTTTGACAGCTGGACAAGTAGAGATTGCAATCTCCTTTCCCTCTCAGTATTCTCTGGCAACATCATGAATAAGCAACATTTTAGATGGTTGACTTCCAAAAAATGTTTCTTGTCAAGCTCCTGTCAGGATTTTGGAAGTCAGGGAACAACTTTTTTCCAGTTGTGATTTTCTATAATTTCATTTCTGAAGTCTGAATTATGATTTTTTTTTCTTTCTGGGTTTTTTTTTCTGTAGTAAAAGGCAGGATGGGAAGAAAAAGTAGCTCAGTTCCTTTTTGTGTTGATGTAGAGGGTGGTACATCATTGGAAATCTATAATGGGATTTTCTAAACTGGTAGTTTAATTATTGTTATATTTTAAGTTGAATTATCTCTATCATGAGCCAATGTCTAAATAACCTTACAGTAATCATTTTTATGGTATCAGATGATTTTTTAAAATATTATTACATTTCATACTTACAAAAGATACTGGGAAATACATTAGACATTTCAGAATTTCTCTCAGTTATGACTATGAG
This sequence comes from Homo sapiens, assembly GCF_000001405.40. Taxonomy (NCBI): domain Eukaryota; kingdom Metazoa; phylum Chordata; class Mammalia; order Primates; family Hominidae; genus Homo; species Homo sapiens. The sequence goes on from NC_000020.11 coordinate 14,638,330, forward strand.
AATGAAAAGAAAGTCTTTTAAACAGTCCTGGGATTTTTTTTTTCTGCTGCTATCTAGTCTACTTCAAGTTGTAATTTTCAGTGGTTCTTGTTGGTAACCCCAATTTAGGCCACTCTAGAGATAGGCCTCGACAGGATTATATATAGAGAGAGAGCTCAGCTTAGTCGTTGAGAGCATGGACTCAGAAGATGGGCCAGCCCTAAACCTGATTCTGCCAGGATTCATGTGACCTTGAATAAATTTCTTACCCTCTCATTTGCTCAGTTTCCTCATCTGTATAATGAGGATAATAAAAATCATATTTACTCCATGAGGTTGTTGTAAGAATTAACTGAGTGAGGCTGGGTGTGGTGGCTCACACCTGTAATCCCAACACTTTGTGAGGCCATGGCGGGAGGATCACGAGATCAGGAGATCGAGACCATCCTGGCTAACATGGTGAAATCCCATCTTTACTAAAAATACAAAAAGTTAGCCAGGGGTGGTGGCATGTGCCTGTAGTCCTAGCTACTCGGGAGGCTGAGGCAGGAGAATCACTTGAACCCAAGAGGTGGAGGTTGCAGTGAGCCAAGATCGTGCCACAGCACCCCAGCCTGGGCGACAGAGCAAGACTATGTCTCAAAAAAAAAAAAAAAAGAAAGAATTAAATGAGTGAATATGTGTTAATCTCTTAGGTTAGTAGCACATAGTAGGCATTGTGATGGTAAAATAATACATACATACCTAATTTATATCCAGCCTCACATTTTGGTACTGGGAAACTGGATATCTTGTTCAACAGTGGTATTCATAGTTTAATCTCGGCAGCAACAAAGTGCCCTGGGGTTCCTGACTGAGGTAGAAGAATTTATAAGTGTAAGCTGTTTCCATTTTAGTGTAGTCTAAGGTAACCCTCTCCTTTCTTTTTTTCCTGTTATGAGTAAGCTTAATTTTTTTTAATATATAGAGTTTACCTTTAAAGAAGTTAACACATCATTAAGATCTAGGTACCTTCTTCAACTCTCCCCATTCACTCATTCCATTTCAATTTCATGTACTCCAATCAACTTTGGTATGTTTTGAAATGTTATTATTATTTATCCAACTTTAGAAGGTTCTGGTAGAGTTAGTTCCTGAGGCTAGGGAAATTCTTTTAATTAATAATCTTTCTGTTAATCACCCCATAATCTCCATCAGCTCTCCAATCCACCCTGTCTGTGGCCAGACAGGACTGTGGTTTAGTTCAATTGCCGTCAGGATACACATACGCAATTCAGTGAGAATTTTGCCACCATTTTTCCTCTTTCAGAAGTTGATTACAGAATAGCCATCATTCAATGAAAGTCTACAGGCTTCTCTAATTCTCTTGCAGTTCACAGTCCTTTAGCCAACAGCAACTCTACACCATCAAAAGTAGGATTTACTGAGGTATCACTTAAATTCCCCCTTGATTTAAGTTCTTAAGTTTCAGGACCACTTAAGTATTATGAATGACAAATCAACACTCACATAGTATTGCAGAAGTATAGCTTGAGTAAGTCTAATGGGGAACACTTTTTTTACAAGCTCAGGGTAGGGGATATTTTTTGTCACTCCCTCAAGCAAGCGAACTACACCAGTAGAATTATAAATCGTTCTCAACTCTCCCTCCCTTTCTTTTTGTTCCACCTCCAGACCATAGTAGGGGTTTAAAATTTTTGGTGTTGTTGTTTACTTTTTTGGTACTTCGGGGTTACCTGTGGACCCCTTTCCAGAATATTTTACAGGCATACGATAAAGTGCAAAAACTTACTTAGGAAATCAGTTTTATGGAAATATACTGATCACGATTTTGAAAAATGTGAAGACTAATTTATGTGCTTTTATTTTAACACATTAAATAACAACAGCTAACAACAGGTCAAAAAATCACTGCAATTCCCAAGTACTGATGGGTATAAGTGAAATATTGAGATTTCTATAGCAACTGGAATCTAATAGGAAAATAACTGTGATTTCTGCTGTTGACATAGTCACAAGTTTTCCTGAAACTACTTTGCTTTTTTCCCTCATTCACAAGTGAAGGAAATGGGAAGATTCACTCAGAGATTAGTGAAAAGGATATTTTTTTTTCTAAGTTCATGAACCCTAAGTCCCTGAGGATGCAGACATATATACATCTAGTTTTCTATCCCTGAGGAGCTTTATAGTCTACTGGGAGAGACAGGTGGCAAGGTCAAAGAGTGCTGAGAAGTGGGGCCACTATCACCCCATAATCTTCATCAGCCCTTCAATCTACCCCAAATTATCTAATACAGGCACACTTCAGAGATAGTGTGGGTTTGGTTCCAGACCACTGAAATAAAGTAAACAGCAATAAAGTAAGTTATGCAATTTTTTTGGTTTCCCAGCGCATATGGAATTTATGTTTATATTCTACTATAGTCTATTAGGTGTATAATAGCATTATGTCTAGAAATACAATGTAAATACCTTAATTTAAAAATATTACTTAAAAAATGCTAGCAATCATCTGAGCCTTCAACAAGTTGTAATCTTTGCAGGTGGAGGCTCTTGCCTCAGTGTTGATGGCTGCTGAATGATCAGGGTGGTGGTTGCTGAATGCTGGGATGGATGTGGCAATTTCTTAAAATAAGAAAACAAGTTTGACACATGGATTGACTCTTCCTTTTATGAAAGATTTATCTGTAGCATGCAATGTTGTTTCATAGCATTTTACTCACAGTAGAACTTCTTTCAAAATTTGTATCAGTCCTCTCAAACCCTGCCACTGCTTTGTCAACTAAGTTTATGTAATATTCTAAATCCTTTTTTGTCATTTCAACATTGTTCATAGCATCTTCACCAGGTATAGTTTCCATCTCAAGAAACTATTTTCTTTACTCATCCATAAGAAGCAACTCTTCATTGGCTCAAGTTTTATCACAAGATTGCAGTGATTCAGTCACGTATTTAGGCTCCACATCTTCAGGCTCCAGTTATCTTGCTGTTTCCACCACATCTGCAGACTTCCTCCACTGAAGTGTTTGAAGCTGTCAAAGTCATCTGTAAGGGCTGAAATCAACTTATTCCAAACTTATGTTCCTGTTGATGTTTGAATTTTCTTCCATGAATCACAAATGTTCCTAATGATATTTAGAATGGTAAATCCTTTCCAGAAGGTTTTCAGTGTCCTTTGCCCAGATCCATTGGAGTAATCACTATCTATGTCAGCTATGGGCTTACAAAATGTATTTTTTAAATAATAAGACTTGAAAGTCAAAATTGCTCCTTGATTGATGGGCTACAGAATGGATGTTATGTTAGCATGCAAGAAAACAACATTAACGTCTTTGTACATCTTCATCAGAGCTCTTGGGTGACTGAATGCATTGTAAATGAGCAGTAATGTTTTGAAAAAAATCTTTTTTTCTGAGCAGTAGGTCTCAACAATGGGCTTAAAATATTCATTAAACCATGCTGTAAGCAGATATGCTGTCATCCAGACTTTGTTGCTCCATTTATAAAGCACAGTTAGAGTAGATTTAACATAGTTCTTAAGGAACCAAGGATTTTTGGAATGCTCAGTGGGCACTGGCTTCAATTTAAAATCATCAGCTGCATTAGCCCATAACAAGAGAGTCAGCCTGTTCTCTGAAGCCTTGAAGCCAGGCATTGACTTCTTCCCTCTACCTATGAAAGTCCTAGATGGTATCTTCTTCCAATAGAAGGCTGTTTTGTCTAGATTGAAAATCTGTTAGTTAGCGTAGACACTTTTATTAATTGTTTTAGCTAGATCTTCTGGATAACTTGCTGCATCAGCACTCGCTGCTTCACTTTTTACTTTTGTGTTATGGAGACAGCTTCTTTCCTTAATCCTCATGAACCAACCTCTGCTAGCTTCCAACTTTTCTCTTCCAGCTTCCTCACCATTCTCAGACTTCATAGAATAGAAGAGAGTTAGGGTCTTGCTCTGGATTAGGCTTTGGCTTAAATGAATGTTGTGGCAGGTTTGATCTTCTATCCAGACCACTCACACTTTCTCCGTATCAGCAGTAAAGGGCTGTTTCAGTTTCTTATCATTCGTGTGTTCACTGGAGTAGCACTTATAATTTCCTTCAGGAACTTTTCCTTCGCATTCACATCATGGGTAACTATTTGGTGCAAGAGGCCTAGCTTTTGGCCTCTCTCAGCTTTTGATGTGCCTTTCTCACTAGGCTTAATTATTTCTAACTTTTCATGTAAAGTGAGAGATATGCAACTCCTCCTTTCACTTGAACAACTAGAGGCCATTATATAGTTATTAAGTGGCCTAATTTCAATATTGTTGTGTCTCAGCCAATCGAAAAGCCCAAGGAGAGGAAGAGAGATGGGCAATTGCTGGTTGGTGGAGCAGTGAGAACACACAATATTTATCAATTATGTTCTCCTTTTTTTATGGGCTTTATTGGTGGTGCCCAAAACAATTGCAATAGTAACATCAAAGATCACTGATCAGAGATCACTATAACAGATACAATAATAATGATAAAGTTAGAAATATTGCAAAAATTACCAAAATTGTGACACAGAGACACAAAGTAAGCATATACTGTTGGAAAAAGTGGTGCTGATAGTCTTGCTCAACACATGGTTGCCACAAACCTTCAGTTTGTAAAAAAAATGCAGTATCCGTGGAGCACAGTAAAGTAAGCTATGCCTGTATTTAAAAAAATAAAATAAAAAATAGAATAAAATCTTAGGTTGAATATTAATAAAATAATGTTTAGAAAACATTAGTATTTTTACTGTTGCATAACAAAATATCCAAATAAAACTTACATGTTTTATATGTGAATGCCACTTTACATAATTCCCTTAGCTCTGCTTTCAAAGTACTGTTGCTGCCCAATGTCATATCCCCCTCCATCCATTTTTCTATATGGAAATTCTGGAGCCCCCACTGGGTTTTAAAACAAAAAATAGGTTAAAAGTTAATTGCAGTCTCTTAACATTATTATTATGTCAGTGCAATGCTGAGAACTTGTTGGTTGAGTGATGGTGGCAGCTGTTACACAGTGGTCATATGGCAGATTGTAACCCTGAGGCCTATCCACAATTCAAAGCTCATGTCATTGCCAGCTAGTGTGATAACTCATACCTGGCATTTTTGTTTACTAGTGCAAATGGCACTGACATTTTGTGAAAACATTGTAAAAAGTTTGATTCATTTGGTCTATTTGAAATTAAGACAGGCTTGATGAGCTCTAGGAGCATTCACAAATTTAAATTTATAAATAGAGATGTTAAAGTATTTTATATTACTTTGTGTCATACCATTCATAATGTACTCTTCCTTAAAAGAAAGAGGAAAAGAAAGGAGATATTAAGTTAAGTGTGTTAATAGGTTATACCAGTGTTTGCATGTTAGATAGTCATGTGGTTTAGCTTGTTACTTGGCATATGTGGCCCCGATTGTCACATGACAAGGCACCTGTGGTGACTGTCCTTTGTTCACAGCTGCAGCCTCAGCTCATGCCACAGTACCTGAAACCTGGTATTTTATAAAGATTTGTTGAATGAATGTATGGGTAGGTAAATGAATGGATAGTTGGATGCCTGGGTGTGTGGATGGATAGAATTTTTTTTAAAAAACCCAAAACTTCCTTAAGCTGTAGTTAGTCATCTATAACATGGAAATAATAATACGTAACTGATAAGATTATTATGTGAATTAAAAACAATAATGTATATAAAGTACTTAGCTTGCATATAAGTGGGAAATAAATTGTAGCATTAATAAAAATATATAATTCTGGTTCTATTAAATAACTAAATATTTTTTGCCAATAATTAAAACTGACTGCTTTTGTGAGTCTAAGAAACAGCAGTGAACTTGGATTACAGTTTTATATTCTTTGCGTCTAGAAAGTGATGTTTCATCACAAGGCAAGGGCTTTCTTCTCATGACAAAGAGCCTGATGTAGCTGCTTAATAACTGTTAGTAACACTGAAAGGATCTACAGTAAATCTGTTAGAAAGCTGTGATCAAAAATGTGAGTGCCAATCTTCAAAAGCCCATTTCAAAGCTTGTTTGCTATAATACTATGTAGTGGTTTATTTGCCTTTCTTTGTAACTCATTAAATTAAAAATTTGGATCCATCCTCATGGGGTTTTCAGAAATGGTTTTATAATTTAGCATTCCAATGACACTTCTTATTTGCAGATTATTATATACTAGTTTTTTTGTCCCACTGTCTCACCCCAGTGTAGATTATTAAGTCCATATCATTGCAATTTGCCAAAACTCTCTGGATAAATGTCTATGAGAGCCAAGGCTCCATTTTACTTGTTTATCGAATATGGAATTAATGAACTATCTTGAAACAATGTTTATAACTAATGTTTATATGACAGAAAATTGGTGCTGATCGTAGTGTACATATGCAAACTAATGCTATTTTGTTCCCCTTGCCTGAACTCTGGCTACACAGGCAGAATTATATTGCTGTTGTGTTCAAACTTCAAATACAATAGTAACTCCAGATGCCATTTTTGTGTTCTTGTGAACTTGGAGTGGGTAACCAAAAGCAAACAACAAAAACAAACAAAATTGGGACAGGTGAGAGGCAGTGGCATGGAAGGGAGTGTAGGCAGGAAACAAATAATATGATGACTACAGGATACTACATTCTGATGAAGACTTTACACTTATGGATTGAACAACTGTTAGAAAAAGATCAAACATATTATTTGCACAGGGGTAATGATTATTTTAGAATTACTTCCTGTCAGTGATAAATAGCTTTATTTAAGCAAAATCCAACCTCTTGAAATTGTTCTCCCCTTCAGTGTTATTTTTGTCATTATTTTTTCTTCACTTAAATTACATATAACTGTAAAGCTCTTTGAAAAAGTATATTATCTAAATGCATCTATTTAAATTGAATGGGTATTAAATTTATTAAACATATTTACAAAATATAAGTAAGACATGAATTTAATATGAGTCTGTTGAATTTTTCATTGTAGTTGAATGAATGAATAATATATTCTAGTCAGCCTTTTCATTTTCTGGTGCTTCTTTTTAGCACCCATAGACTTTCATATATTGTAAACATTTTCTTCTCTATATCTAGTTTTAGAAAATAAAATGTTGGGAACACAGAATTGACTTCTGGAGACTGGGAAGTATATAACTAAAGTAATATGTGTTTGCTTTTTCTAATTTAATTTTGATTGTGGTGTGCTTAATTTATAATCTTTTAAAATGTTTTAATTTTACTCAAATAGATCTGTACATACTTTTTATACTCAATTAACATAATTATTTAGCTATCATACTTCCGTGTGTAAGATTTCTAGAGCATCGCCATAATGTAGCACTTTGGTTTGCAGGAGAGAAATTTTCATGGTACATTATTTACTTGCATTCAAGTGAAAATATTGTTAATATTGGTTGCATTTGAAGGATTCTTTCAAAAGTACGTGGTGCTCAAGATGGATTTAAATGGAACATGCAAGAGACAGTAATAACAGAGAGATCACATTCTCTCTGTAATTTATTTTAATGCCATTACACAGGGAATTCAAGGCAGATAAAAAACTCCATTTACAGAAACCAAATGTGCAGAAATGGATTGTCATAATTCCAGATGAAATCAATAATACATACTCCCTGGCATATTTTTTATTAGAAATAACTTGGAAAAATTTATATTTTCTACTAAGTAAATATATAAGTTATAAGAAATAACTTATATATTAAATAAATAAGTTATAAGAAATACCATATATTAAATAAATAAGTTATAAGAAATAACTTGGAAAAATTTATATTTTATACTAAGTAAATATACAATCATAGCCTTAAGATCTTTTGCAGCATTACTTTCCCCTTGATGAATTACAATGCAATTTTCTAGCCTACTCATTTTATTAAGGAAGCTAATGACTGGAGCAAAAGTCTAATCAGCTGCCAATCAGGATTCCTTGAAGTGCAGAGTGTCAAATATTGAAGCAATTTTTACAACTCATAAAAGCACTTATGTTCCATGGTATGTCATAAAACTTGTGATGAAAATCTAGCATTGATGAAGCTACCTTATTTCTCAAGTGTTTTTCCCCAAACAAACAGCTTTCAAATTTCACCAAATCTTTCATTAATATTCAAGTCTATTAATATAGCACTATTATGTTATCTGTTATAGTATTATATTATCCAACTATAGCAAGATAATTAGTTATATATAAACGTCAGTCAGAGAACTTAGTGGATTCATCATAAAAGCTGTAATGGTGGAATTTTTTTTTCCATAGTAAAAAAATTGGTCTTTCTTCTGATAATGTTAGAGTGGGTTTTTGTTTTTATGTTACAGAAACAATGAGGCTGCACACTTTGCTTTCACCCTTTGCATCATTATGTTTGCATTGTTTATTTTTAACATAATGGTACATTGTTTCATGAAAAGTAACCATATTTCAAATCATTAATTCACTTGTCATTTATCATTTTAATACCAGAAAGTAGTTACCTTCCTGTGTTTGAAGGTACTGTATAATTGTATTTCTTTACCATGTCGACTTCCTGTCTCTTAAAACGCAGCAATTACGTGTGTGTTTGTGTGTTTCTTCATCTGCTTCATGCATATAAATATGTGCGGGTGTCTGGGGTTTTGTTGTTAGCTGAGAGGTGGGAAGTGTTTCCACACATCTGAATATTTGCTGCCGACCTTCTTGATGATCCGTCTGTTAATGTTTTTATCAAGCTGGCACACCTCATGTGGGATCTTAATAAAGTAATCAGCATTTTCCCTCTAAAACAAGTTTGAGAAAATCCTAGTTAAACTATTCTCTTCAACACTTGAAGGCCTTGGTTGTACAGCAAGCAGCTACTAATTCAGGAGGATTTATTTGGCTTTTCCTGAGTTCTCTGAAAAATCTATTTGTGTAAAAAGAACATACTGCATGATCCCCAGGGCTCCTGGAACTGAAAACTCAAGGATTTAGACGAAGCTACCCAGTTTGTTTAATCATTTGAAGTTTTGTTTCAGCAGCTCATGCTTTCCTCTTACATTTTGGCAGAGGCAGAAATCTCAGATGATTGTTTTTGGGTACACATGTAAAAATTTTCTCATTAACCTTGGGGGTGGTGTAATGATAAAAGAGATAACATTTTGTTTCAAAAAAATAATACTAACTGAGCACATATTTCAATGCATTGCAAATCTGAAGGAATTGTCATGGCTAACACCATCTCAGTCTCAGTATTTGTGCCCCAGTTTTTTTTCAGGTCAAGAATGTAGGGAAACACTGTACTAAGTTCTCATTGGATCCCTTGATGCCTCATAAGACACCCAGACCCCTAGCTCTCAATTTCATTTCTAAATGTACCCCAGCTACTAGAATCTCTCTCACAATGATGACAAACATCCTCTTTAATAGGACAGATAAATATTCCTGTCACTCTTGACTGAGAGACAATACTCCAGGTCTAGGGGACATGATCTGCAAGGAACTTCCCATGATTCAGGCACCACTATTCCTGTTCATTTTTTTTCCATTGTCCCGGGATTTACAGCTTTCAGGAGTACCTTCATGTTACTCTTCTCATAAGAGGGCAACACCATATTTTTCTCACTGAATCAGAAGACCCAACACCACCTCTTTCCCCAGAGCACTGCCATTTGCATCCTATCCAGCTAGGTAGGGCAAAAGTGTCTTTCATTAGACTAAGGACCTCCACAGGCAGTGCTTAATTTTCATTTACCTTTGCCTCCATAGTGCCTTATATGTAGTGCCTAAATACGGATGGTGGGTGACTGCTTAGAGTAATAATAGCTAATATTTTTGTGACATTAGAAATGGACACAGTGGTAATACAGGTCAGGATTATAACTCAAAATCTTGGCAATGTGATGTTTATTGGAACAAAGGAACCTAAAGATCAGAATGCTTTCTCTATGTAAGATGACTAGGCCTGTAAAGTAGAGTGGGTCACTATTCTACAGAAACACAGATATCAATATTTACATTACAAATAAGATATATTAGGCCATTCATACAATTTACAAAATGGTTCATTATAGGACTCACTAACTGAAAGTACCCAGGTGACATTGAACGTCCAGTTTATTTTCAATATAATCTTCCTGAAATCTCTGTATTAATTTGGAAAAAGTCAACAAAGTAAACCATTCTTAATGTAACAACTGGATTTAAACTAGGGAGGATCAAAATGTTTAGGTAACAGAAACTAGCAGTCCAATGTGGATCTTTCTACTTTCTCTCTTTTTGCCTTTGCCTTTGTCTACGTCTACTTTCTCTCCTTTGCCTCTTCTTTGTTTATTTAAACATATATATATATATATCTATCTATCTCACATACTCAGAGGTTTATTGCTTAGTTTTGTTTTTTATAAAAATGGAGTCATACTATACACACTACTCTGCAACTTATTTAAGAGTATACTATGAATATTCAGTTGGGTCTTATTAAAGATCTAACATCCTTTTTAATTGCTGCTTAATATTTTGTACTTTATACCATTATGTATTTAACCAAGAATGTCTTTATTAAATAATATAATCTTCACCTATGCCAGTTAATCTGTTATTCTTAGTGATTTAAGCTCCTTTCTCTCATCTGGAAAATACAGCAATAAATAGGTAAAATCCACAGTTTCTCCTTCAAGTGCTACGTGCAATAGGCCCATGAGGTAACCCCTGAAATTCATGTTTTCTTGGAAGTAATCAGCAGACCTGGAGTCCTGTGTATGTTTGTGAACTCCAGAGGTCCACACTCCTTCACTTCACACTCAGTGTCCTCCATACTTAGGGCTTCTACCCCCCTGCCCAGTTTTGTTAAAGAAATTACTCCTTGGGACATGGACAAAATAAAAGAAATAGCCATTTGTGTTTCTGTATCCAACACTTCTTTGTCCTGTCATGGGTTCAGTTAGTTCTACCATGAAGTATGGACTGTCTGGTAAGAGGAAAGAGTTTTAGAGATTAATGAGGGTAGCACTAGTGAAACTAGTCTCAAAGATGGCATAGTCAATTTCCTCAGATATAGACCAATACTGATATCTAAAAAGTTTATTCTTATGGGTAGGGATGTCTGGATGATAGCAATTTAAGTCTTCAAGGGAGAGCATCTCCGTTGCTTATAGGAACAATCATCTGGACTAAGTCATGACCACAGTTCTAACAGGGAAAGTAAGCAAGATCCAGCTCCCGAAGAGGAGTTTGCATTGGCTGCAAAGGGGATCCAAGACCTTAGCTCAGTGAGCCAAGCTTCAGGGAAGGACTGCAGTTCCCTTAGGGACATAGAATGCTAACAAAGAACTGGTTTTGGAGCTTGGTCATGGGGCTGGCCATACATGTTGGGGGCTGGCATGTTTATATGACAAGGTATTTAGGCTTTCCACACCTAAATATTCAGCTATATCTCTGTAAGTGCATAGATCCCTAAAGAGTTTGCCCTGGGTACATTGTGCTGGTTGTCAGATAAGAATACCGAGGCTAATACCAGGGCCCTCCCTTTGTTAGAACTCTACATCTAATAAACACCCAGGCTTGGTTCTCATTGAGTCACAGGCTGGGTGGGGCTGAGCCTACAGGTTGAATATTCTCAGTTCTTGACTCTGGATCCAGGTGGAGTATGCATAGACTGATAACAACTTGTTTTTGCAGTAAGTCTGAAGATTAAAGCCCTTAGTTGAGCCAATACCTTCCTTCTCAGATAAGTCAAATCCACATATTCAGAATGGGAGCAGGAGGCAGAAGGGAAAATTTTGTAACCTCTTAACAGTTCTAGACTTAACACATCCTACTATCAATCTGAGTGGATTTGTTCCAGATGCTTGCATGGCTGAGATATGCAAAAAACTGTCTCCCCATGCTGATTGGTAGCATCTTTACATGGGCAAGTCTTCCTACTTGTAAAGAATGAGTTAGGTGTGTCTGGGACTTACTAAGGAGTCTCAGGTGTTGACAGCTTAAACACCTTGCCATGTAAATATGTCTGATCTCTCTTCCAGTTCTTACACAGTTGGCTGTGGTTACTGACTTCTTATTTTGTTCAGGTCTAAATGAAATTGATCTTGATCTATTACTTTACCCTAGGCTGGAGAAACAACTTTAGTAATTATCTCCTCACCCCTACTTCCCTTTTGAGCTTTGTAAAAATGATTAAGGAGATCAGAATATATGGCATAAATTATCAATGGTTCTTCTCCATTGGAGGTTAGAGTTCCACTGTCAAAAATTAGTAATTATCATTCTTCTTACAAGTTTAAGACTCAAATGGAACTGACTTTTTCAGCCTATTTGTTGTCTATGGTAAACTAACAGCAAACAGCTGGATGTTCTTCTGTGGTTACATAACCTTAATGGAGATTAGTTCCTTTTATCCTTCTATACTGCTTCCCTACCAAATGATTAGATTTTTTGAGGGGCAGATATAAACCCCTTCCATTGTTTAAAAAACATTGTTAATAACCCTTCGCACTACACACCAAAGTGCAGCCTTTAATATAGTTGCCAGAAGCAGTTCTGAGTGAAACACTGAAATGAAAAGTAAACTCATGTCATTTGGTCTATGATAAGCATTCACAGTTTGAAAAACCCCAAACAGGGATAGTTAAGTTGCAAGCACTATTTCCAGAATGAGAGTTGAAAATTATATACATAATGTGGAAACAATAGATCAATGAAAGGGAGTATAGAACAAAAGAGAGAAGAATTTCCATAGCCACTCCATAGAATATTAGGTCTATAGAATGTCAAGAGGGGTTATGTCCAAAACAGGGTTCTAGGATCAGATAAGTTTGGAAGGTACAGAATTAAATGTCATTAAATAGATTTACTTCTTGCAGTATTACTCATTATGCACTGTGAATTTCCAAGACAGGGACAGCGTATGCTGCATTTCCCAAACTTGTATGGTCTGATGAATCCACCGAAGACAGTGCTTTTATAGGGGGACGTCATGATGCCAAAGAGAAAAGAGCTTAAGAAAGGAGTTCAACAGGTCAAGAAGATTAGTGCATAGGAACTTACAGAGGGGAAATTGGTGCCTCCACAGCATTAGTTAGAACTAGACCCTGATATAATAGGGGACCAGAAGAAAGGAGGGCATGAGGAAGAGAGGACTGGGCTGCACATCCTGGCTTTGACTGGAACATATTTCCCAAATCCTTGGTGATCAAAGCCAAAGTAAATACAACCAAGGTTATATAGGAGTAATAAGTGATGGAGGTAGGGAGTCAGCTGGATGAGGCAGAGACTGGAAATCCTTGTTTTGACCTCAAGCCTCAATCCTGAACCATATTGCTATATTGAAATATAGTCAAGAAATGAATGTATCATGCATAGTGGCATGTCAGGAAGTTCAAGTGTGAGAAAGCCACTTTGTTATAGGCCCAATTCCTGGAGGAGGATATATGCCTCTCCAGATCCATTTGGCTTCACTTGTCTCCACAGCTGTGGCAATCAGTTCTGCATGGACTCCAACTATCTTCCTGTGGGGACTGCCGACCAGTGTCTCATCAAATCCCATTCCCACTGCGGATTTCTGTGTTGGTGCTACCTGGGGAACTCAGGCTGAGGCAGTGTCTCACCTAGGTAGCAGCCTCTGTTTCTTGTTTATTTAGAGAGTAATTATGAATTCATAAACTTTCATATTATTACAAATCTTACTGGAGTATCTAGTAGGGGCTTAGTTATATGCTAAACAGTTGTAGTTTGAAAAGCCATAATAACTCTGGTTATTTGACAGATATCAAGGCAGGGCAAAGAGATACCCAACTAGGGTAGGTCATCCCATCAATATTTTGGAAACATATGATTGCCTCACATTGTATATCCTTATCATTGTTTTCTTTTAATTATTTTACATATAAGTTTAGACAGTTGACTGTTGGGAATTCCTATTCAGAGATTTATCTTTTAACCCCAAATGATTAACCTGTAAGCTGTGACTTTCAGTGTTCTGGTATTAACAATAATTTTACACATTTCAAAATTATAGTGGAAAGTAATTTTACCATAATATTTTATCTCATATAACAAGAGCATGGTATTTCTTTTGTCGAACTGCAGCTTTTGTAGATACCATACACATTATTAATTTCAAACATATCATTTATTCCACTAGAATTCCATTTTTTCTTACCTAATTTATTTCCCTTTTTAATACTGAGAAAAACAGTATGAGATTGACTATTGAATTTAATAAGATAGTAACTTAACACAATAACTAAAAACATTGGAAGTTTAAAAACAACAGTTTTTTCCTAAACCTGACTCGAAAACCATTGACATTTTAGCAAACAGATGGGTTTTATGTACCACATAATGAGGTCCTGGGCTCACTCAAGACCACCAGGTTGAAGGAATTCTAAAGCTGGAGATCTTTTAAAGATGGCAAAATGACTATGAGATTATCTAAATATATAATTAAGGAAAATAGATCTTTTCTGTTTGTCCTTGGTAAAGTCCTCAAGGTTGCATATGACCTTCCATTAATTTTCTTCAGTCCCAATAGGTGTTTATTTTGCCACTGGGAAAGAATTAGGATTTAGGTAATGTCTTTGCCTCACACTTAGGCTTCCTAACATGTTATAATGCACTCTATGTTCATTTCTTGCCTGTGTTGCAGTATAGCAATATGGTGAGGACTAAGGTTTAGAGTCAAGCAATTCAGGATTTCCAGTCTCTGCCCCATCATTTATTAGCCGTGTATACCCTTGGTTAAGCTGATTACCCTCTCTGAGCCTTAGCTCATGAAATGAGGGCCATATAACTCATATCACTCTGTTGCCCAGGCTGGAGTGCAATGGCGTGATCATGGCTCACTGCAGCCTCGACCTCCTGGACTCAAGCCATCCTCCCACCTCAGCCTCCCAAGTAGCTGGGACTATAGGCATTCACCAACATGTACAGCAATTTTTTTTTTTTTTTTTTTTGAGACGGAGTTTCGCTCTGTTGCCCAGGCTGGAGTGCAGTGGCACAATCTTGGCTCACTGCAAGCTCCGCCTCCCGGGTTCACGCCATTCTCCTGCGTCAGCGTCCTGAGTAGCTGGGACTACAGGCGCCCGCCACCAAGCCCGGCTAATTTTTTGTATTTTTAGTAGAGACGGAGTTTCACCATGTTAGCCAGGATGGTCTCGATTTCCTGACCTCGTGATCTTCCCGCCTCGGCCTCCCAAAGTGCTGGGACTGCAGGCGTGAGCCACCAAGCCCGGCTGCAATTTTTTTTTTTTTTTTAAGAGATGAGTTCTCCTTATGTTGCCCAGGCTGGTTTCACACTCCTTGCCTCAAGTGATTCTCCTGCCTTGGCCTCCCAAAGTGCTGGGATTACAGGCATGAGCCACTGCACCTTGCCTACTATAAACCTTAAATGATATAACGTGTTACAGCAGACTGTGTTAAGAGACCTCATTTGTACACCTCAGGTGTTCTTTACTGAGAACACTTCCTATTCCTTGCCTTTATTCTGGCTGCAGGAGCATGGTTGGCTCATTCCAAGGCAAACTGGAAGTCTACAAAAGTAATGCCTCAAAAAGCAGTCCCCTATTTAGAATACCTCTGAGGCATGTTTTACACGTTTTCCAGAGTTCCCCAGCAGAACTGATGTCCAGTCGCCCATAGAAGTTGCTTGCTTGACAGTACCTCTTTCCCTTTCTTTCCTGACCGCATTTCTTTGTCCCCTTCTAGTAGGTTTCCTGGGATCTCTTTTCAAATAAATTACTTGTACCCCAATTTTTGTCTCACAGTCTACTTCTAAGGGAAAAATAAGGTGTGAAAAGCACTTAGTATTGTGTCTGGCACATAATATATTATAATAATTATTAATTTCAGAAACATATTTAATTCGTTCTTTTTTAGAAAAAGAAACCAAAAGTGCTATATTTTTGTAAACCACTCTCATGGTAGCCACATCAGTTACAGTTATTTTTCATTTTCTCTTATTGTTTTTAAGAAATCATTCTTTGGCTAGTCTCGGTGGCTCACACCTGTAATCCCAGCACTTTGGGAGGCTGAGGCGGATGGATCACCTGAGGTCAGGAGTTCAAGAGCAGCCTGGCCAACATGGTGAAACCCAGTCTCTGCTAAAGTACAAAAATTAGCCGGGTATGGTGGTGGGTGCCTGTAATCCCAGCTACTTGGGAGGCTGAGGCAGGAGAATCTCTTGAACCTGGGAGGTGGAGGTTGCAGTGAGCCAAAATCGTGCCTTTGCACTCCACCCTGGGAGATGGAGTGAGACTCCATCTCAAAAAAAAAAAAAAAATCATTCTTTGAAAACTTGTTTTCTATTTGAACAGCAAAACCAGGTTCAACAAGTGAATTTGGGCAATGACTTTACATGCACTAATTTTTCTGCCTTTTAAAATACAATTTTCTGACACCTATTTTGGTCTGGCAGTTCATCTGAAAAATAAAAGCAGAATTTTAAATGTGTAGGTAAGAAAGATTCTATTAGTTTCCGACAGCACTGTAGAAAAACAAGAGCTCTCTATTTCACTAAAAGCGCTCAGTTCCCCCTTTTTAGCAAACACTGAACATTGATAGTGTGTTATGATAAATTAACTACAATACCTTTGGAGGTCAAGTGTCTCAGAAAAAAGCAACAGTAACATCTTAGGCAAAATGGAAAGCATTAGATTCACACCTGTAACTCATTAATTTTAACCAAGAGTTAGATTTCACAGAAAGCAATTACTAGGATGGATTGAGTTCTTTCATACACAGGGTTGTTTTTTTTTTAATTGTAAGACTGTTAAATATTTTCTCTGACTATAGTTGCCCTCAGCAATATCCAGAACTAGTGGCTATGGATTACTTCATTGTTTCTTTCTTTGGTAACTGAGAAAGGTTTAACTATTTATTACAACGTTTAAAAAGTTAGATTAGAAGAAAGGATGCTTCCATCTATTTCATCTTTGTATTCTAAAAGAGTGTAGCTCTACTGTCAGTGGAATAACAGTGTGATAAATGCACTAATTACATCTGCCATACAAAGCTTATATATAAATCCAAAGTGGACACTGTGTGTGTGTGTGTGTGTGTGTGTGTGTGTGTGTGTGTTTTGAGGGTGTGCTTGTGTGTGTTCCTGTCTGAGTTTTGCTTCTGTGGTTGTTCATTTGTTAACAGTTATCTGTTTACAAGCTCTTTAAAGATGAATAACTTAGTTATTCAAACATGATAAAATCGTGTTTGGTCGGGTCTTGGTGTTAAAATTTACCTGACCTGACTCTTCTCAAATGTCTCTCTTTACAAATTCCAGTAACTTTATTGCTAAGCTATAAGAGGAATTTTTTAGCTTATTTTTGCTTTGAGTCTGTTTTTAACTTTCTACAAATAATTTAATATCCCTTCTCTTTGCCTTTTCTTAATGAAGCAGCATTTCTATGTGTCTCCTTTCAGGGATGTATGTAAATGTAGCTATATTGTTGATAGATTAACATAATAATCAAATAGAAATTAACTTCCTGTGATTCATCAGTAAAACTCTATGGACCTACTTTTACTCAAAATTGTTGCTGTCAAGCATTTCAGGTATGAGTTAATTGGCTTTCTAGAAAATGATAGAGGCTATCCTAAATCTCAAAGCTCAATGATATCTTTTTATTTTCTGAGATGCCATTTGTCACCATAGCTTATTATACATGGGCTGATTCTCACTCCCTGGAAATAGAAATGAAGAAAGGAGCTGTAGGGTCCCCTGCCGCCTTCTATAAATGAGCAAATCAAGGACCAGAATATCTGTGGGACTCCTCCAGAAGCTCTTACAGTTACTTACATAGCTAAGTAAGAGCAAAGGCTGGAAGTAGAACCCACTTTTCCCATAGCCAATCCATTTCTCTTTTCTACCAGGTGTCTTGTGGCATTTCCCCAGGGGACTACATCTTATCTGCTGTAGTAGAATCATGAAGGTCATGAAATACTGGAGCTACAAGAGATTTCGGAGGTCTGCTCCCCCCCACCCATTTTATACTTCAGAGGAAGAAACTGAGTACAGAGAGTTGGGTTGACTAAGAAATTCATATAGCCAATTGGCGATCTCCTTATAGCCATTCTAACTTTAAAAAGGTGGGGATTAAACCTGCTTTCAAAGCACAACCTGAACTGTTCCCTCATCCAAGCTTAAGAGAGAATCCATGACACCATATAAAACAGCTCTTTATTTCCACTGGCAACAATGGATGTATCCTAGTTCATTTGAACATTTTCCTCTCTCTATGATATAGGTTAGCTGGTTTATTTCTATATCCTTGCCAAAACTGGCAGTGCATATAGGCTGAACCATGCTTGTGGAGAAAACACTATTCATATTTCATTATATTACCTTCAGCAGCCCTTTACTGGCATTATGACTAAAACGCGTGTCTCCGAGTTGTTGCTGGAGAAATGGCCGGCCAGTGAATTTCGCGTCAGACCAGTGACTATTCCAGTTGATATGAAAGATGTCATTACTCTGGGGGTTATATTGTGGTCATCAGGATATTTTCTAGTACTCCTGGTTCAGAATTTTGGAGTATTCATCTTGAAAATTGATGTCTGTCCTCTATTTTGGGGGGAGATTTTCTGTGTGCTGTCTTGGCTTTCTTTGTTTCCTAGGCTATAGGTAAGAGTTAAGACGTACATGAGTGTCTTCTAGTTAATAAACCTCACTGCCTTCTCACATGGCTGCTGTACATACCTGTCATAACATGTATGTGATATACTCTCTCCCACACATACCTATGCACACACAGACTCACACACTCTCACAAGAAGGGAAATACATACCATTCTTGCCATAATGTTATTTCATACATTTGTGCTTTATTTAACATTTTTCAATGCATTAGTATTATGAACTCTTAAATTAATGTACCAAAGGGCATTTACATAACTTTGAATATGTTGATTCAAAATCATTACAAAATATAATCTAATAAGTTACAGAGCCTCATTCAATGATTCCAGTTAGCATCCGCTTCTAAGCGTGCTATTACTTATTCATTAGTAGAAGCCCTTTAATTTTATATTCTGCTCCTGGCAGTTGTGGCTTATTTGGTACTTGTTACAGCCACTTTAGACAAGTAAATAAAAATCAGATGAAAAATCCTCAGCAACAGCTGGAAATAAACCAGTAGTTTCTGTTTGGGTTTGGCAGAGTGAAGCACTGCAGGGCTATGCATGGAAAAATACCAGCCAGAACTGTTACACACTGTGAGAAAAGATTACATATCTCTAGGGTTTTGGCCTTCTAATTACTAGGGGGTTTCTTTGTCCATGAAGAGTGCCACCTGCGTGGTTGGGCAACAATATAAAATAATTAAATCATTATCACAAGGGTAATAGTATACGTCTTTCTGGTTTAGCTGTGATAAGAAAACCTTAAACCTGAAATACATTAAACAGTGTAGAACATATGAAAAGCCTCTTTGAGAGGCTTATTCTTGTTGTTATTTAAAATTTTCCTTCACTAATGTTTAGTTCAAATACATGATAATTCTAGGGAATTACCCGTCTTTATCAGACCACCCAAGGAAGGAAGATGCTCTGCCAATAAGTAAAGCCATTGGCCTGTAAGAACTTGCTTCTGACTTCTAAGTCACACTCATTTTGATAAGCAGATGTCTTCTAAAATGACTGTGTGGCTTAGCATACTGAGCTGTTTTTCTTTCCTTTTCCAAGACAGTATGGACATAGTTAAAAAAAAAAAAAAAAGACGAAAGATTGTTAAGTACCTGATAATTTCAATAACATATTTGTAGTAACTGCATTGCAGTTAAGCCTTATTTAAAGTAAATTATCTATTTTGCATCCTTTTTTTTCAATAAACAGTTTCACTTCTAAGATGATGAGGGAAAAAAGATGATTAAGGTTTAGCAATCTTGTTGCAAGCTTATTTAAAATTAGTTGTTTAATTATCTACTTCAGATATTATTTTGCCAACTGGTTATGTTCATGCCCTGATTAATTATTCTTTTCTTCCAAGTTATACTCATTTTGGAAAAATCAGGTTTAGCCATAGCATGTGAAGCCCTTAAAATTGTCTGGAGACAGATATCTTGATCTCAGAAACTTAAATTATCTTAATACTTTCTGGAGTAAGACCAGGAATGGAAGAAGAAGAGAGAAATATTTCTTTATTTTTCCTAATTTTATTTCTTCTTTCAGCAGAGGAACTGTACTCTTAAAATTAGAGGGTCAGAGCCCTTGCTCTGCTGCTGAATTTATCTCTTACTTGAGGAATTAGGCACAATCTAAACCCAGTACTATTTATTTCTCCCTTTAGAAATTGAGGAAGTTACCTATGGCTAATATTTTTCAAATTTATGTATTTTGTTTGTTTGTTTGTTTTTTTGGGAGATGGAGTCTCACTCTGTCACCCAGGCTGGAGTGCAGTGGCACAATCTCGGCCCACTGCAACCTCCGCCTACCAGGTTCAAGCAATTCTCCTGGCTCAGCCTCCTCAGTAGCTGGGAATACAGGCACATGCTGCCATGCCCGGCAAGTTTTTTGTATTTTAGTAGAGATGGTCTTTCACCGTGTTGCCCCGGCTGGTCTCAAACTCCTGAGCTCAGGCAAACCACATGCCTCGGCCTCCCAGAGTGTGGGATTACAGGCATGAGCCACATTGCCTGGCCTCAAATCTACATTTTAAAAATATTTTAAAATAGCGATTTTCAAACATTAATATGATCAGAATCACCTGCAGGGCTTGCCAAACTCTAGACTGTTGGATTCCACCTCTAGAGTTTCTGATTCGGTAGGTCTGGGATGGATCTCCCAAATTTGCTTTCTAAAAAGTTCCCAAGAGATGCGGTTGTTGCTAGTTCCTGAGATCACACTGTGGGAACCAAAGCCTTACAATAACTAGCCTTTTTCATGAGAGAATGGTAAGGAAATATACCACATATCAAGAGAAGTTATCTCTTGGGTTATCGGAATGTTAGTAATTTTGTACTTACCCTTTTTTCCTCTATTCTCCATATGTCCTACAAGTTATGTATAATACATATATGATTAGAAAAAATAATGAATGTTTTTGGAAGAACACTTGTTGAACTAGAAATTCATTAATCTCTATTCATTCTTCCCTTCTGATGTCTTGTAGCAATATAATAATGTCAGTTCTCCTCACCTGCTGGGGACAGACACTCCTTTCGATGTCTTTTGAGGGAGCTTTCACTCAGCAACCACCAGACAGTTGCTTGGTTCCTTTTAGAGTGCTGTCTTTATTGTGCCAGAATTTAGTACAAGAGGTGCTGGCTCTCCAAGATGAGCAAATCCCTTAATTGTATTTCAAAAATTCTCCCCAGTTTTTTTTCTCTCTACCCTCCTCAGGTTACAATGCTAAAAGTTCTGTGTGGGCCTAAACACTAGTGGGAAAAAGCGCCTGGTGAACAAATGCTGGGTGGCATGCCCACTCAGACATAAAGAAGTTCTGCTCACCCTTTTGGGAGTGTACTCATTTTTGAGAAATTTGCCTCACTTAGAGCTCCTTAAAATAAATCAAACAAAATTATATATAAAATATATGCTTTCACAATTTCAGCCATTTCTTTTGGTGTTTCTCTTCTAATAACCTTCTAAACGTTGTTGCTTTATGTTTTTATCTCAGATTTTTGAAAACAAACTAAATATAGCACCCTAAAAAACCTTTCAAATATTTTGGATTCTTTTATTTATGACTCTTACAAGCATGTGAGGGGGCTTGTTTAGAGAGAATAAAGGTTATAACCTGGTCTGTCTGTTGAGACAGTGATTTTAATCACATTTAATTCCCATTCACTCTGTATGTTACTTGATCCACTCATTGGTTTAAAAGCATATTGATAAATACAGCCATGGCTTAGCCTCTTGCCCTTCATCCCGTCTAGAGTTGCATCCAGGCTTAAGTGAGTTTGCCACATTTAGATGTCATACTTTGTTACTGATGAGATCCTTGCTAGATAGTGGAGCCTATGTTTTTCTAGAGAAAAGTCCATATTCCATTATAAAGATAAATAAATAATTTGTTTCAGAAGGCTTTCAAGATGTTGGCTTATAGTCAAACTATAAGTAACAGCTTGAAAAACCTCAGTGCTTCTCACATACATGTTAATGGCTGTTCTCCTTCATAAATACTTTGAAGTGTTTCAGTAAATATTTTCCTAAAGAACTTTAACTTATTTGCTAACTTATTGAGTATCAAAATGTATGTTGTATATGACACTATGCTAGGCATATATATACAATATTATCCATAATTTTTCTAAATTTTTTTGCAAATCAGATAAATTTTTATTTTAAGATTCAGGGGGTACATAAGTAATTGTTACATGAGTGTATTGTGTGATGCTGAGGTTTGGGCTTCTAATGATCCCATCACCCAAGTAGCGAACATAGAACCTGATAGGTAATTTTTCAACCCTTGTCACCAGCCCTCGATTTCTCCCTCCTCTTTTTGGAATCCCCAGTGTTTATTGTCCCCATCTTTCTGTCTATGCATACCCAGTGTTTAGCTCCCACTTATAAGTGAGAACGTGCGATTTTTGGTTTTCTCTTCCTGCATTAATTGACGTAGTGTAATGGCCTCCAGTTGCATCCATGTTGCTGCAAAGGACATGATTTTGTTCTTTTTTTTAATGGCTGTGTAGTATTCCATGGTACATATGTACCACATTTCCTTTATCTAATCTACCATTGATGGGCACTGGGTTGATTCTGTCTTTGCTATTGTGAATAGTGCTGGGGTAAAAATACAAGTGCAGGTATGCTTTTGGGAGAACAATTCATTTTCCTGTGGGTATATACTCAGTAATGGGATTGCTGAGTCAACTGGTAATTCTGTTTCTAGTTCTTTGAGAGATCTCCAAATGGCTTTCTACAGGGGCTGAACTAATTTGCACTCCAGCCACCAGTGTGTAAGTGTTCTGTTTTCTCTGCAATCTTGTCAACATCCATGATTTTCTGACTTTTTATTACTAGCCATTCTGACTGGTGTGAGATCCTATCTCGTTGTGGTTTTGATTTGCATCTCTCGACATTTAGTGATTTTGAGCGTTTTTTCATATGTTTGTTTGCCACTTATATGTCTCCTTTTCAGAACTGTCTGTTCATGTCCTTGGCCCACTTTGTAATGGGGTTATTTGTTTTTTTCTTATTGAGTTGTTTAAGTTCCTTATGGATTCTGGATATTAGACCTTTATCACATGCATACTTTGCAAATATTTTCTCCCATTCTATAGGTTGTCTGTTTACTGTGTTGATAGTTTCTTTTGCTCTGCAGAAGCTCTGTAGTTTAATTAGGTCTCAATTGTCAATTTTCGGTTTTGTTGCATTTGCTTTTGAAGATTTATCATAAATCCCTTGCTGAGGCCAAGGTCTAGAAGGGTTTTTCCTAGGTTTTCTTCTAGGTAGAGCAAAACTTTAAATACACATTTAAAAAATATATTTTCTTCAGAAACCAGGATGCAAAAGAAATTTCCAATATTCCTATATTTTATTAATAAATGTATGAATTTGAGCAATGAAAGAAAACATCTCAATTCTTTTCAAAAAACACATTTTCCTTCTTTTTGGTGTTGTAATAATATGCTCCCAAGTGACATGGAAGTGACTACTTCTACTGGTCATCAGTGGTAGGATGGGAGGGTACCAAATCTGGCAGCAAAGAAGTTTACAAATCATATTGTAAAAAATAAGCAATTGTGAGAAACGGTTATTGCAATAAGTTCCAGAAATCATTATGGACTTCCATAAATCATTAAACTCCATAGCAAACTTAAGTACATTTTAGTTGGATTGGATTCTGGTTCAGAAAGCTAAAAAGGACATTGCTGGGACAATTGGCAAAGTTCTAAAAAGAACTAAAAAAAGATGATAGAACTGTACCAACATCCGTGGAACAGAATAGAGAACCCAGTAATAAGGCCACACACCTACAACAATCTGATCTTCAACAAACCTGACAATAACACACAGTAGGGAAAGAATTTATTTAATAAATGGTGCTGCGATAACTGGCTAGCCATATGCAGAAGATTGAAATTGGACCCCTTCCTTTCACCATATACAAAAATTAACTCAAAATGGATTAGAGACTTCAATGTAAAACCCAAAACTGTAAAAACCCTGGAGGAAAACCTAGGCAATACCATTTTGGACATAGAAACAGGAAAATATTTTATGACGAAGACATCAAAAGCAATTGCAACAAAAGCAACACTTGACAAATGTGAGCTAATTAAACTAAAGGCCTTCTGTACAGCAAAGGAAACTGTCAACAGAATGAACAGACAACCTACAGAATGGGAGAAAATGTTTGCAAACTATGCATCTGACAAAGGTCTAATAATCAGCATCTATAAGGAACTTAAACAAATTTACAAGGGAAAAACAACCCCATTACAAATTAGGCAAAGGACATGAACAGACACTTTTCAGAAGAAGACATACATCTGAACAACAATCATATGAATAAAAGCTCAACAATACTGATCATTAGAGACATACAAATGAAAACCACAATGAGATACCATCTCACACCAGTCAGAATGGATATTATTAAAAAGTCAAAATACAACAGATGCTGGCAAGATTGTGGAGAAATACACTGTTGATGAGAGTGTAGATAGTGTAGATTATTTTAACCATTGTGGAAGATGGTGTGGTGATTCCTCAAAGACCTAAAAACAGAAATACCATTTGACCCAGCAATCCCATTACTGGGCATATACTCAAAGGAATATAAATCATTCTTTTATGAAGACACATGCACACATATGTTCATTACACTACTATTCATAATAGCAAACACATGGAATCAACCTAAATGCCCATCAGTGGTAGACTCGATAAAGAAAATGTGGTATATATATACCATGGAATACTATGCAGCCATAAAAAGAATGGGACCATGTTCTTTGTAGGACAGGGATGGAGGTGGAAGCCATTATCCTTAGCAAACTAACACAGGAACAGAAAACCAAATGCCACAGGTTCTGACTTCTAAGTGGGAGCTAAATGATAAGAACACAT
Source organism: Homo sapiens (assembly GCF_000001405.40). Taxonomy (NCBI): domain Eukaryota; kingdom Metazoa; phylum Chordata; class Mammalia; order Primates; family Hominidae; genus Homo; species Homo sapiens. Next base: position 14,663,291 of record NC_000020.11, read on the forward strand.
GGATACATGGGGGAACAACACACACAGGGGCTTATTGGAGGGTGGAGGGTGGGAGGAGGGAAAGGATCAGGAAAAATAATGAATGGATACTAGGCTTAATATCTGGATGATGAAATAATCTGTACAACAAACCCCTCTGACATAGGTTTACCTATATAACAAACCTGCACATGTACCCCTGAACTTAAATGTTAAATGAAAACATAATAAAAATAAAACAGGGATGTATACACACACACACACACACACACACACACACACACACATGCACACATATATATATATAAAATGATGTGCATATATAATGGTCATATATATATGAGGTAAAATATTAACAATTGAGAAATCTGGATGAAGGAGATATGGAGATATAGGAGTTCTTTATACTGGCTTTGCAAATTTTTTAAAAGTTTGAAAGTATTTTAAAAATAAATTATGTAAAGGGATCATACCATATGTAGTTACGCATTAATTGTCACAATGTTTCTCTGATTATTTACATCATGGCATTTAGCTTTACAGTTAAACTATTTGTACAAACTCTTGGTCATATAACATTCTGAGAAGACAATTAATTTTGGCTTTGAATAAATAAAACACTAGAAGAATTGTTTTCTCCTTACCACTTTGTGTCTTATGGCCATTAACAAAAAATACTGATAGATTGACTTTACTTTTTATGACTCTTTTAGTTTTCTAGTTCTAGAACGTATATTACAATTTTAAGATCTAATTAAAGCACTTTATCGCATACAGTATTGTCTCTTTTTTTCACTGTTGAACAACATATTTTTAATTTTGAAATTCTTCTTTTCCATTACTAATGGTAAGAATTAGATGATTGTTGGTTTTACAAAAATCACAATAGATGGAAAAGAAAACACTGTATTTTCTCACATGTGCATCAAATACCAGGGTTTTGGCTCATAAATCAGAAGAGCACAAAAAGATACAACTGGAGTCCTTCCTAGTTCCACTGTTACAGCCAAAATGCTGACATTCAGGCATATTTCCAAGACCCACGTTTCGGTAAGCCCTTATGTGCTTCGAGTGGGCTGAAAAGAATGTGAAATAATTTCACATGGCACCTTTTACAGAAGGCTGTGTGAGGAACACAACATTCTCTTTGAAAGAGAAAGTCATCTTTGTAATAATAACCATTGGTTGCTTTCTTTTTTTTAGGCATGTAATAACATTAGAAGATTTACTTTGGAACTTGTTTGGACCATTATCAACACGTTAGTTTTGGTGACAAAATTTGCATTTACTACTGTAGAGCTGTAATACCTGAAAGATGCACCATCCTGACTTGGGACTAAGAGCAGCTCTCAACCTCTTTTATTCCCCTCAAAACCAACACCAGTGCACAAGTACCTCTGATATTAGATAAAATAATGAAGCTCACAGTAATTATAATGCCTATTATTTTATCAGCATCTACCACGTTCTAAGTGCCTTACATTCTTGATCCAAACTAATCTTCAAAACCATCCTTAAAGAAAAAAACTTTTCATGTTACAAATAAGGAAACTGAGGCCCAAAAGAGCTAAGCAGCTTGCCTAGCATCAAAATAGTATTGATGGACAAGAAATTCACCTGTTCTATGTCACTCTGGAACCTGTGCTTTTTTCACAAAACCTGTCTGAAGTTAGAGGGGTAACAAATGGTTACTAGCATGGCTAAGAGAAGTTACATGTGGACAGCACTCGGATTTCAACTAGTTGGCAGATTATGCTTGCTTCAGTGGGGTGGGAAAACTGACAAATCCTCTGACATTAGGGCAAAGAACTTTGTTAGATGTCATCATTATTACAGGTGACTCTGATGCCATTTTATTAAAGGCTGTATCTTCTTTCTGTTTCTATCTACAATGCTTAGTGGTACACAACGCATGACAGGTGCCTAGGAAGTCTTTGTTAAATAAAAGAGTGAATGAAATATGTAATAGAGTAACTTATTGAATGGCAGCTTAATGGCCTTAGTGACCAGAATTAACTGGTCAAGAGTTAGGGGGGTATTGCCAGTTAAGATTTCAAGAACAGTTTTTTTTTTTTAACTGCAGTATGGGTGAAGAAGGGTGAAGTAGAAAAGTTTACAAAGAATTAAGAACTGATTTTGAAAAATGATAAGCCCTGACCTAATGAATTACATTTTAAAGCATTCTTTAGTTATGGAATAGGAATATATAAAAGCAGTGATTATCTTCTTTTTTCTTCACTGTTTCCAATTGGTTGTATTTTTTTTTTCTCTCCTCAGCTGGAAATGCCTAGGTTCCACAGTTACAATGTCTGCTGATTTTATATTACTTAAGTCTTGTAGTTTTTTCCTTTAATTGTGAAGCCATTCTTACCTAAGTTCAATCATATTGGAATAATTTTCATACTCCTAAATTAGTATATTAGAATTTTTTTTCCTCAACCTATCTTTACTAGCATAATTAACTTACATATATCCATCCTTTAGATTTCGTTTTCTTCCACAGTCACTGGAAGGTGGTTCAAATTCTCCAGGGCACTTTTATCTTCCCATTCAAAACATGTCCATTTACATTCTCCCTGGATTGTGAAGCATTATGCACTCCATATGAATGTGGAGGCACCATTTTCTTCTGCCTCCTAGTAATAAACTGCTGTTTTTCATCAGTTTTAATATTTACTTTCAACAGAAACTGTCAAGATTGCCATTATACTATTTGCTAATAGGAGGCCTGCCCTTTTTAAATATGCTTTTTAAAAAAACCCAGATTCCTTTTCTACAGGGCCGAAATTAAAGCAGGTTATGACCATGGCCCGTGAGGCATGGTTTTATGACTCTGCTGAAATCTCAGCCTCCTGCTCCTCCCCTTGAGGGATAAGAAGCAAATATGCTTTGGTAAGATTGATGAAGCAATGATATCCCCAAGTATATTCCTATTAAGTTCCGGTTTCACAGAACTTACAACAGGGTAAAACCCCCAAATAATAACTTTCTCCAGATATTTATGATACATAGTTTATAAATTATTACCTAGCAAAAATACTCTTGTATACAAATAATCAGTATTTTCTTCAAAGAGAGCATATTTCTGGATTAATTTCTGAAAACATTCTTAGCAGGGAAGTTTCCAGAAAGTTGGGGACTTTCTGTATCCCTTGACTTTTGATTTCTGTGCGACAGAGCTCAGTAGTAAATTGTCCTTACCATCCCTCATTTACCTTCTAAGGTACTGAGTCATTGTAGAATATTTTTAACATCTTGTGTTTCCAGACATTGCTTCATTTGCAAACTTAAGAACATTTAAATATTTAAGAGTATTTATTTTTTAAAACAGAGATTTCATACAAGTGACACAGCTAAGTCCAAACACTGTATTATTTATGTCCCCAGCGCTTGACTTTTTGAGTTTCTTTTCTTAATATTTCAGTTCTAGAGATTTCATGTGATATACTAGATACCAATTACTAAAGTGTTGTTCAGAGAGCAGAGGGTTAAAATGTTTTCTTAGTGAATTCTTTAAAAACTGTAGCTGTGGAAGCAGGATTGCTCTTGTTTCATCCTGACAGGAATGGTAGATTTAATAGGTTCCCCAGAGCTTTTTATCGCATTATAACTCTTTCTGTGATGGTCAGTTTTGGGTCCACATTATGTGACCTGACTTTCAACTTGTTTGAACTGCTGTCAGGCTGCAGAGGAACTGAAGGCTACTAGATAGTCCTGTAGTTTTCCAGTTGGGAAAACAACAATCCTGCCTGAAAACTTCTGACAAGATCCAATACTGTTCTTCTTATAGCAAAACTGAGTCAGCCTGATACCTGGAAAAATCTTTACCTGCTCAAAGTAAAGCAGTGTGGCCAGAATGCCTTATCGTAATGTAAATCTGTGTTGCTTTGCTCTATAATAACAGCTTGTCTATCTCTTGTGATCATTCATTCCCTGAGGTTGAAACTATTATCATGTCAGCAGAGCTCCCTTCTCAGTTAGCTTGCATTGCTAGCCAGCACTCCTGTATAAATCTTGATGTCTCCTAAATGTTCTCCCTAGATCCAGTGTGTGGTATTTAAATTAAGGAAGCTCAGACATGTCTTGAAAGGAACTGAAGTATTGCATTTAGTCTTGCCAATCCACTGATTAAAATTCTTGCCAAGTGTTACATTATGCACAGCTTCCTTATTTTGGCTGTAAATTTCATTGCATATTTTTCTAGGATGAGAAAGTTTGTACTTTTTATTTCATAAGCCCACATAATAAACACAGCTTTCTTCAAAACCGTTTGAGGTGTTGGATGCGTGTGCTGTGTTAAATATAGGGCTCCTTTGTGGAGGAAAGCACATGTGGCTCATTTTAACTTCACACACAAGCATTTTAGACGGGGCAAAATGGTTCTGCTGGGTAAAAAGAAAATAGACATTTCGATGAGCTGCAGGATTATCCAAGCCATAGCTTTATCCTCTCTGAAATCTCTTCTATGCACTTGAAGAATGAACAAAACTTTCTTTATGGACACAGAAGAACCCACTCTCTTCTCTCCTATAGCCACTGCCACTCATTCTGCCCCTGTATTTTAAATTTTTAGTGGGTGAGTATGTGAATCGAAAGCTCTCAGAGCTGGGGGGTGGTGGCTCACACCTATGATCCTAGCACTTTGGAAGGCCAAGGCAGGCAGATCTCTTGAGTTCAAGACCAGCCTGGGCAACATGGCAAGACCCTGTATCTACAAAAAATACAAATATTTGCTGGGCATCATGGTGCCCTCCTATAGTCCTAGCTACTTGCTACTCGGGGACTGAGGCAGGAGGATGACTTGACCTCAGGAGTTTGAGGCTGCAGTGAGCTATGATTGCACCACTACACTTTAGCCTGGGCAACAGAGTGAGACCCTGTCTCTTAAAAAAAAAAAAGGCTCTCACTTTTCACTAAATAAATGCTTCTCTAGCATAAAACTTTGTGTAGCGTCCTTTCAGCTACCATTCTGAAGAGAAAACCCCAATGTCTTAGAGAGGGAACAAATAGATTTAGAGGGAGATTAGCAGAAGCCATAAAATGCATACTTTGGACCCAATGACTGGGCCTGCATTTGGAATAAGGGGTAGAAAACTGGATAATTCGCTCCATTTACTTCTGTAAATGTATTTTTCTTTGGTAGCAGCCTTGCAGGAGAAGGGCATCTTTGAAGGTCTGGAGGTGGGGCTCCACTGACATTCAAATAACGCAGGCCTAGGGTACAGGGACTGAAAGCTCACTGCACTTTTGATTCGGATTGGGATCCTCCCATAGGTTCCATTGGCAAATGACTACTTTCTTAACAAAAAGAAATAGTTCTATAATTAATTTTTCTTAAGGAAAATCATATCTCAACCTATTAATTTAGAAATATTTTAAATGAGTACATGGGGATACAAATTTAGTTATACAAATCACATGTGACACTGTTCATGCTGTTCGTATTTCAGTATAGATTAAAATTTTTTAATGCTAAAAAGAGCTTTTCTTGCTCTTAGAGTTTTTTTTCATGCACATTTCCATGAAAATTTAGAAGTTATGAGGGCAAAATCTTCATCTATACACAAACACTTTTTTTTAAACAAAAAGGAGTAAAATTTCATCAACATTATGAACTATGAGCCCTATTGAATAATTTTTTCCTGTAAAAAACAGAATCAAGTTATGAAATGAAGAAAATAATTAGGTCTTTGCTAAAACTTAGTCTTTATTAAGCCCAACTTTTTCTTAATCAGAAAAAGATGTCAAAAGGAATAATTGTATTGCTTGACAAAGTGATCAAGATGTTTTCTGCTCCTAAGTTATTTCTTCATGTGACAATCATTCCTTAAAGCTCCTCTTAATAAATAATGGAAAGAAAGAAAGTTGATGTTTGGATTGGGGCAATAAATGTCATCTTTATGTGTGTAGTTTGGAGAAACGGGCTTCTTGTTTGCCATCTCCTCTCCAGAGTTACAGATACAGTGTCATTGGTCCTTTTAAAAGTATGGAAAGCAGAGTGAATGGCAAAAGGTTTGCCAAAACAGATTATCTTTTGTATGCGTCAAGATTTTATATTTTTGCAAATATACATACACAGACAGGCTTTTCAAAACCATTTTCCTTCAGACATCCAAGTAAAAGTTCAGAGTGATTTCTTTTTTGCTCCTTAATATTTTTAATCCTTTATCATCTTACCTAAAGCCATTTAGTATTTCCTGGAGCAGATGGGGTATAAGCCATAAAATGACATATTTACTTCTTTGTAGGAAGAAAATTAGGAGAAGAGATTCTATAACACGATTGAAGTTTAAAAGCTAAATTCCTTGAGGAAAGATTATCTTTCTCCATAGATCTCATTCTCTGATAAAACAAATGAGGTTGTCTCAGAGGCACCTGTTAATATTGACCTACATCATCCCTAGTTCTGACCTTGTGTCCCCAGCCACTGGGAAGTTTTTGGTAGAAAAGGAACTATTAAGTTGGTTCGTTTCTTATTTCTTGGAAAGAGAAAGGTCTCCCTCCCCTTGCACTTCTGCTTGATCTGGTCTCTGAAGGAGACTTCCACAGAAACAAGGGCACAATCTGTGCCTTGCAACTACGCCTATCATTTCCTCTTTACTTAAGGTCAAAATTTCCATTACTGCTTAGACTCTATTAATAATGGGTTTGAAGATTATTTTGGGGAATTATTCCTTCAAGGAATATAGTGTTAGGACCTGCGCCTTGAGAAGGGTCTCTGCCTGGATGGAGGAACGAGGATGCTCTTGAGAAAGAACTGAATTGTGAATTTTTTCTTTTCAAGTAAATTTCCCAGTTGTTTTAAAAAAAGGTATGTTGCCGAGCTTTTGAGGAACTCTTCAGAATACCAGAGATGTCTTCAATTTAATAACATCTTACAGCACCGTTTTCACCAGCTAGTATATCCTTTGCCTGAAAATCCCTGTCATCTACGATGATGAATTTACTCCTCATTCAGACTGTCTCTCTGAAATACCAGAAAAATATGATCTTCATTCTCCTCTCTGGACCCTTTAGTAGTACCTAACATGAGTAAATTCAGCCTCATTGTTGATGGAAATATCCCTTCCTGGTGAAAACTGACAGAATCTAAGCAATCTTAAGGTCCCATGGCTACCAGTCTGGCACATTCTAGGTTTTTCCAGCTGCCATTTCTTCTTTAGTGGTGTGGTCAGTTCTCCTCTGGCCCCTTCAGTGAACTGTTTGGGGTTTTACCCACTCTGGCATTGTCTTTACAATGTTTCGTCAGATCAGAATTTCCCAGTAATTTAACACTTCTGTAATGACCAAAGAGAAATTTCTTATCCAGAATGTCAAGGAATATGTCTCAGATAAATGAGATGTATGCCTACAACATTTCAAAATGGCATCAGGCTTCAAGTTACAGAAACACCATCCACATCCTAGGTAGTGACTTACACAAAACACAAAGTCATTTTTTAAAGAAAACAACTGTTTTCTCTCATTGAATGAGAAGTAGTTCAGGGCTAATGTGACTCCTTCACAGATGATGTCAGAGATTGAGACACCTCCCAACTGTTCTTTCTACCACACCATAGTGTAGTCAGCACGCCCATGTTGACTAGATGGCTGCTGAAGTCTTACCCCCATGTGGTTAGTCTTAGGCAGGAAGGTGGATGAGTAGGAAATCAATAATAATAAATAATAAATAAATAACAAAGATCTGCTATGGAAGTAAGCCCTCTGTAATAAGCTTGCCTGGAAGCCCCACCTAATGGCATCCACCTCCATCTAAATTGGTCACTCATCTCTTTTTCATCTTTGAAAGAGATGCTGATAAATGTACATTCTAAATTGGGCATATAGCCTGCCCACTAATATAGGGATTCTGTTACCAGGGAAAATGAGAATTGATAGTGGGTAGGCAACCACCAATCTATGTCATAATGACATTTTCTTTGATTTAGAATTTCTTTTTAAATTGGGATCATGCGTATGTGGAAGAAAATGCATGAACTAGGTCTTAAAATATTTTGTTTACTATGAATTTAGCATCTGAAAAATACATCTTTAACATACTCTGGGCAGGATTTTAATGAGCTTGACTTTTTTGCTCTCAGACCTAATGATGAGATATAGGTCATTGTTTCATATTTTTCCAAGAGATTTTAAGGGTCTACTGTAAACATTTATGAGAAACATTTTTTTTCTCATTTGCTATTTCAAGTTCAGAAAGAGGAATGAAAGTCACTGTTTCTTGGGTATCTGCATATTATTTAGATCTTAGAGTCTAGGAGAGAGAAGCATCTCTTGGTTTTTAAAGATCAGTCCCTACGTTTTTGGATTTGAGATGAAGAATGCTAGTGTGTGATCTGTAACTAAAAACTGCTCCAGTTTCCTGATGTGTAAATATTTATTCTATTATACTTATCATCTTCTCCTAGGATCACGGCCCAAATCTCATCTTCAAATTGACCAACAAGATGAGGAGGTTCATAACAAGTTATTTTTTAAGTCAGCCCAAGGCAGGCTCAAATAAATTAACCAAATTCCTCACATCTGTGAAGCTTCAAGATGTGGATCTCCTTGTCATTGCATTGTATTTTCTTAGAGATGTTTCTTCTGCTCCCTAAAGGAAACACTGATGCTATTCAGTACCTGACACATGAATCTTTCATGCAGGCTATAGGTGACCTCTAATGGAATCCACTTTTTACCTGATTACTTCAGCTATATTGTTTTTCCTCCCCAAGGGGTTAGGACAGCTATTTAACCTTATTGTTTTGTGTCTTCCTTTGAGAGTGGCTTCTTGCTTTGTATCCCTTCTGATGAGGATGATGATGATGATGAATATCTGTGTAACAAACCACTTCCAAAGTTTAGTGACTTAAAACAACAGCTATTTAATTATTGATTCTATGGGTTCACTGTAAAGCTGGACAGTTCTTTTTCTGTTATCTGGCCTCACTCATATGTCTGGTCAGTTGCCAGGAAAGCTGAATGCTGGCTAGTCTAAGTTGGCCTCCGCTGAGATGGCTTAATCCTGTTCCATATAATCTCTCATCCTTCAGCTAGCTGATCTGGACTAGTTCACATGGGAGCTAAGCAGAGTTCTAAGAGAGTGAGCAGAAATGTGAAAGGCCTCTTGAGACTTAGGACGAGTACTGGCACAGAGTCACTTTTGCCTCATTCTATTGACCAAAGCAAGTCATGAGATTAGCCTAGATTCAAGTGGTAGGGAAACAGATTGTATCTCTTGATGGCAGGAGCTGCAGAGTCATATGGCCAAGGGCATGGATACAAAGAAAGAAGTAATTGCTGCAACCTTTATGAAAGGTCTACCACATTAAGATTCTTCGAGCACTTATTCAGGCACTGTATGAGCTAAGCACTGTACATGTTATCTCATTCAATTCTCATAAGAACTCTACAAGGTTGATACTAATATTATACCCATTACATAGATGCAAAAATTCTAAGCGACAGAGACTGGCATTTTGATTTTAAAGCCCTTTTAATTACCAGATCTGTGGACTCCAAATGTTCTTGATTGTATAGTTCTCTCAGTACAAATATTTTGAACATGTACTTATATGTATGTGTATGTTTGCTTATAAATTACATACAAGTACTACTGTCATCTATATATTAAATATTAATAAACTTGAACTTCATTCTTATCTTTTTAGATAAAAATTATAAATATCAACTAAAGTTTCAGTGCATTTTTTCATCCTTTATATGAATGTCTTGTAGCCTCACTTTGGAGACCATGCATCAAGCGGCTCCTTATGCCCAAGATATTTCATGATTCCCATGTATAGCGTTAAGTGAAACACTGTTTAATTGAAATCCTACTTGTCATTGAGTTCAGTTCCAGTTCCAGTTAATATTGCTTGCTTTCAATGCAGACTTTTAAGGGTGGGGACTCTTCCTTTTTGGATATTTGATTAGGACTTGCGGAGGAGCGTGAGAGCAAGGCTTTAATTAAATTTAGAGAGGCTCTTTTGATTTATGAGAGTCAGGACTCATGGTTTCATGTGTCCAGTGAATACTCAGATCACTTAACACAGGGCCCAATTGCTCATCACTTTCTGGAGCTGTGTCAATAAAACAAGATAACGTGGAGGAATGCTTCTCAAAGTTCTCAGTTGGCAGTGTGTGTCTCTGTTATCTGCAGAGATTACGAAATGCAGACTCTGGGTTTCCATGGCTGGAGAGACTGATTTTACAGATTTGAGGCTGGGTATGGGAATCTGCATTTTTACTAGGCTCGCTTGGTGACATTGACCACAATTATAGGGCCATAAAATCTGAATTCATATCTGCCACTTAGGTGGATGACCTTAGATAAGTAATCTATTCTTGAACTTGTTGAATTTCTTCAACTATAAAATGGAAAAGGTGGCTGGGCACAGTGGCTCACACCTGTAATCCCAGCACTTTGGGAGGCTGAAGCAGGTGGATCACTTGAGGTGAGGAGTTCGACACTAGCCTGACCAACATGGTAAAACCCCATCTTTACTAAAAAAACAAAAAATTAGCTGGGTGTGGTGGTGGGCGCCTGTAATCTCAGCTACTCGGGAGGCTGAGGCAGGAGAATTGCTTGAACCTGGGAGGTGGAGGTTGCAGTGAGCCAAGATCGTGCCACTGCACTCCAGCCTGGGCAACAAGAGTGAAACTCCATCTCAAAAAAAAAAAAAAAAAAAGGAAAAGGTAATAAAGCTCAAGACCACCTTGCAAAATATTTTGCAAATTAAATTTGTGATAATTTTGTCAAAGTGCTTTATAAAATGTAATACATTAATATGTGACCCATTCCCTAAAATGTTGTCAATCTATTAAAAGATGTATTCTCCATACTAAGGTATTCGGTATATTGTAAATTACTTTTAATTTCAATGAAAACGTGATTCTGAGCTTCTCTGCCCTATTCATTTGGGTCCCAAGGAAAGAGACTATGGTTTATATTTCCTTTCTTCTCTGCATGAATGGAGGTAGAAGACAGTAGGGATTTATAACAGACTTTAAGTTCAGGCAAACATGGGCTCTGACCCCAGCTTCTACATTATCTTGCAGTGATTACTTAACTTCCACCTGTTTATTTATTAAGTAGTGATCCTAATGAATTCTTCCTTTCAAAATTTTTATCATGATTTTATCATGATTAAATGAGATATAGCCAAAATTTATTGCATACTTGCTGCGTGCCAGACATTATTCAAAGTGCTTGTCAGTTTACTCACGAAAATCCTATAATTTTGAGTGGAGGTCCTATGAGGGATCCCATTTTAAAGATGAGAAAATCAAGAAAAAGAGATTTAAATGGTGGCACTAGGATTCAAATCTCTGCTGTCTGACACCTTAACCATCCTCTTTCTACTTCGTAACACTACCTCTAAAAAGTGAAAGCTTTCAAGTCACTTAGCACACCAGTGGGCACACAGCACATCTTCAAAATATGTGACATTATTATTGTTGTTGTTAATATTATTATTTGATTTCCCCACAGCTTCATGCAGAATGCTTTGTGCAAGGTAGTTGTTTAACAAATTTATGGTAATTCGATTTTTAAAGAACCCTGTTGTATCCTCTTGGGCTTCTGAGAGATACATATTCAATGAGCGAAGCCTCTTACTTTTTAGGCTAATATGATTTATGCAGCTGCTTTTAGATTAAGTTACCATCTTTTATTTACAAAAAAAGATTAAATAAATATGTGAAAATCCAAGAACTCCAAAATCTCCCTGTGAAAATCCAAGAATTCCAAAATTTCCCTTGCTAAAAACTGTTTAGAAAATCATCTTTGTAAGACAAGAAGGAGACAAAGACCAAACCTACTTTTGATTGGTGTACCTGAAAGTGATGGGGAGAATAGAACCAAGTTGGAAAGCACTCTTCAGGATATTATCCAGGAGAACTTCCCCAAACTAGAAAGACAGGCCAACATTCAAATTCAGGAAATACAGGGAACACCACAAAGATACTCCTTGAGAAGAGCAACCACAAGACACATAATCGTCAGATTCGCCAAGGTTGAAATGAAGGAAAAAATATTAAATGCAGCCAGAGAGAAAGGTCAGGTTACCCACAAAGGGAAGCCCATCAGACTAACAGCAGATCTCTCTGAAGAAACCCTACAAGCCAGAAGAGAGTGGGGGCCGATATTCAACATTCTTATAGAAAAGAATTTTCAACCCAGAGTTTCATATCCAGCCAAACTAAGCTTCATAAGTGAAGGAGAAATAAAATCCTTTACAGACAAGCGGAGGCTGAGAGATTTTGTCACCACCAGGCCTGCGTTACAAGAGCTCCTGAAGGAAGCACTAAATATGGAAAGGAAAAATCGGTACCAGCCACTGCAAAAACATACCAAATTGTAAAGACCATCAACACTATGAAGAAACTGCATCAACAAATGGGCAAAATAACCAGCTAGCATCATAATGACAGGATCAAATTCACACATAACAATATTAACCTTAAATATAAACAGGCTAAATGCCCCAATTAAAAGACACAGGCAAATTGGATAGAGTCAAGACCCTTTGGTGTGCTGTGTTCAGGAGACCCATCTCATGTGCAAAGACACACATAGGCTCAAAATAAAGGGATGGAGGAAGATTTACCAAACAAATGGAAAGCCAAAAAAAAGCAAGGGTTGCAATCCTAGTCTCTGATAAAGCAGACTTTAAACCAACAAAGATTAAAAAAAAGACAAAGGCATTACATAATGGTAAAGGGATCAATGCAACAAGAAGAGCTAACTATCCTAAATATATATGCACCCAATACAGGTGTGCCAAGGTTCATAAAGCAAGTTCTTAGAGACCTACAAAGAGACTTAGACTCCCACACAACAATAGTGGGAGACTTTAACACCCCACTGTCAATATTAGACAGATCAATGAGACAGAAAATTAACAAGGATATTCAGGACTTGAACTCAGCTGTGGACCAAACGGACCTAATAGACATCTACAGAACTCTCCACTCCAAATCAACAGAATATACATTCTTTTCAGCACCACATCATGCTTATTCTAACATACATCCACAACACACTTATTCCACATAATTTAGAAGTAAAATACTCCTCAGCAAATGCAAAAGAACGGAAATCATAACAAACTGTCTCTCAGACCACAGTGCAATCAAATTAGAACTCAGGATTAAGAAACTCACTCAAAACCGCACAACTACATGGAAACTGAACAAGCTGTTCCTGAATGACTACTGGGTAAATAACGAAATTAAGGCAGAAATAAATAAATTCTTTGAAACCAATGAGAACAAAGACACAACATACCAGAATCTCTGAGACACAGCTAAAGCAGTGTTTAGAGGGAAATTTATAGCACTAAATGCCCACAGGAGAAAGTGTGAAAGATCTAAAATCGACACCCTAACATCACAAATAAAAGTACTAGAGAAGTAAGAGCAAACAAATTCAAAAGCTAGCAGAAGACAAGAATTAACTAACATCAGAGCAGAACTGAAGGAGATAGAGTCATGAAAAACTCTTCAAAAAATCAATGAATTCAGGAGCTGGATTTTTGAAGAGATTAACAAAATAGATAGACCACTAGCCAGACTAATAAAGAAGAAAAGAGAGAAGAATCAAATAGATACAATAAAAAACGATAAAGGGGATATCACCACTGATCCCATAGAAATAAAAACTACCACAGGGCCAATTTCTAAAATAACTGGATTTCACTAAATGGTGCATTTAGTGTTTTTCAAAATCTGTATTTAGAACTTTGTCTTGGTTCTCTTTTATTTTTATTTTCTGATAGCTCTACATTCATTACTGTACAGTACCTGATACGTTTCTGCTCAATGCTTTGCAGCTTGTTTTTTCTCTTTTCAGGATCAACTTGTTCATTTGCTTATAAAATGATGAGCTTTACCTGAGGAATGCCAGAGAGGCAGATTGGACTCTCTGGGGCAAAATAATCTTAAGTTAAAAAAAAATTGAGGTGTTTTCATGTCCTATTTCTTTTGCCTTTATTTAAGCTATCTAAACAGTGGAATAAGACTATTCTATAATAACATCTTCAAACTCTAAGCTCCAAGGTAATATGAACAAAAGTGACAACAATTCCCCTCAAGCATAACTGAAACTTATCTTTCTATCCCGCTCTCAGACAGTGGAATTCTTTAGGCTATAGTCTAAGGAAAGCTAACCAAGATAGCCTAATTAATAGGCTGAAGTCCTCTGAATTTAGCCTTTGCTAGATAATTGGAGAAAATATGTCAGGGAGTCAAAATCCTTGCCTTAGTTAACCATCTGCCTGCAAGCATTTTGGCCTTCTTATCAGGGTGGTAAATGACAGGTATGTCAGTACAGCAGAAAGCCTAGCCTTTAGAAGGAGCTGCAGCTAGACTCCCCTCAGTCCTGACGAAGAGCAGCCCTGTGAGTGACCTCAGTGTTCACCCCAATACTAGCTGACCTTACCACAGGCAGTCTTTAATAAGTCTCTGTTTTAATCTTCTGTTAGTCTGGTTTCAGTCACTAAGTAGGAGGAACAGCTATTTCAATGAGTAGGAGAGCTTGGCTTTGGGTACTCACCGAGTCTTCAGACTCCAGCATGATTAAGGACTCTGAGACATACCTAGGGCAATGAGCTTGGCCAATACATTCATTCTAGTAATAAAAGCTGATTTTTTTGCACAAGTTTAAAAAAAACAGTGATCCAGTGGAACAAAAATTGCCATCATGATATTTACAACAGAAATGAATGTATTTGTTAAGGCAAACTGGTGTTGCAAACATCCCCAAATTGTAGTGGTTCTACATAATAAAGGTTTATCACCTGATTCACAGTCTAGTATGGGAAGTGGGAGTGGAGCTGTGTTCCACACAGTCATTTAGGGACTCAGACACTTTTTGTCTGGTTGCTGCACCATCTCCTGGGTCATTGGTGTCCTGCCTGAGCCCCTGCATTCAGCCTGCAGACAATGGAAGGTCATATGGAGGACCTTGTGCAGGATTTTTATGGACTGGATGTAGAAATAGTTATATCACTTTTACTCATACTCTTTAAACAGGACTCAGTCTCACAACCCCCTAAAATTACAAGAGTGTTTGGGAAGTACTGTCTTGCTCATGTAGCCCAGGAATAAAACCAAATGGGCTTTGGTGAACAAACAGCAGACTAGCCACAGTGGTCTTGAAAAATTCTATATATTGTGGTTCTATTTACTGATGGAGCTTAGTTGTCTTTTTTCCTATAATATATATATTTTTGGTATGATAAGAAGCATAGACAGTCCTATTGCTCTCTAGAAGATTGTATTCCACTTTTTTCCCTCTTTTAGATTTCTGATCTTGGGTTCTATTCTTTTCTTCTTTAGTGGTGATTAGGTTTAGATGATCTCTGTCAGCCCGAGTACAAACTATGGGTCTCCTCCCCATCTGCCTCCCCAGGGTAGATGTGAGAAGTGCTACTGTGTTGTATTCCACATCTTGCCACTATTCAGCCTGCTGTCTTTTTATTCTGACCCTTTGTGAAGTCAAAAGGCAAGGTTTTCTGCAGATTGAACTAGACCTGAGTGGAGAAGGGGGTGAACTTTCAGATTCAATGAATTATAACACTTCTAATATAGAACCTCATCACCAGATTTGTGATGACAACACTAGCTGTGTATTTGACTTTACTTTTTACTTTCTAATTCCTTGGATTTGAGTAACCTAACCATTTCCTCAGTATTATCAGAAAAAAAAAAACAACACATTACTTTTCCTCCCACATTTAATTGAATCAAAATCAACTGTATTAAGCAGTTACAGAGTCATTTATTAAGATAGGTGGGGATATACAAAAGAATAAGCCACCTCCTGCTTCTTCAAGAAACTGAGAGTAAGGTGGGAAACAGACTTTTAGCATATAAGCATTCTGCTGTGTTTATGTAATAGCTATAAAACAGTTTATAAATATGACAATAAGGGTGCAAACCAGAATATGATGGGAACATAAAGAGACATTTATTTTGTCCAGTTGTAAATGGTTTCTTAAAAGAGAAAACATTTGAAATAGAAATTGAAAAATGGGAAAGACCTCGCTAGGCAGAAAAGGAGAGGGAATAGAAAGCCTGGGTAGAGGGTACCGTGCAAAGGACGTCATGGTGCCTTTAGAGAACAGCAAGGTCATGGGTGTGGCCAAATCAGAGGATGTGAAGGGAGAAAGTGTAGGAGGATATGAGAGTTGGGAGGATAAGTTGGAACAACATTTATGAAGGGTCTAAACACCTTAATTTGGAATTAGTGTTTTACAATGTAAGATATGAAGAACAACAAACATGACTTTAATAGAGAAGCAGTAAGATCAGACTCACATTTTATA
Organism: Homo sapiens; assembly: GCF_000001405.40. Classification (NCBI taxonomy): domain Eukaryota; kingdom Metazoa; phylum Chordata; class Mammalia; order Primates; family Hominidae; genus Homo; species Homo sapiens. Next base: position 14,679,580 of record NC_000020.11, read on the forward strand.
AAAATAAGTCTAGCAACAGAATTGACAATAGATTAGAGAATTTTAAACTCTTATATTGAGTTTGTACATATAGGGGTATTACCTTTTTGTCTTTCAAAGACTTGCTTTTGAGCATAGAATTGATACAATTGATATTACCATTGCCCTTTTCTCCCACACGCTTTTTTTCAAGTGCCACAAATATAGCTCTGAAATAATAGGAGATCATATTTTAATTGAAAGTGTGGTATGTAGTTCCATTGTTCTATAATGAAAGACTAACATGTATCAGATGACCTTCATACCAATAGTAACTAGGAATTCTTGACAAAATATAAGCAACAACAGAAATTGTTTATTGGCACTAGCAAGTAACTTAAAATAGGCTGAAATAAGAGAGATTCTATTTGTGACATAAGGAACCACACTGAGTGAGAGCCACATTTAAGAGATCATGTGACTTGGACCCTGAGGGTCCTACTTAACTCATATGGTAAGTGGCTGAGAGGGCTGAAATAGAAAGCAATAGTTATTCACATGGGAAACCACAGGACTGAATTCAGGATTGTCAGAATAGGAATTAAGGAGGAGATGCCAGAAAGGAGAGAGTCACAGATGAAGGAGCCCAAAATCTACAAATAAATCCCTCTTGAATCCTTGGTTGAGTCTATGCATATGCAGAGAAAGACTCTAAGAAGCCTAGGAAGAAAATGAAAGCTAGAAGGTGTAAATAACTGAGAAAATAATTCAGCAGCTTCTTAACTGTATGTCTATAGAATTTGGAATTTTAGTTCTCCCCAAGTTAGAGGGGGCTTGGCTAACATCTTGGGTTTTCCGCTGAAACTCCAGAAGGGCTATGCGGTAGGAGTAAAGACTACATCCTGGCATTAAGGGATTTATCATAGAACTTAAGAAAAAATTGAAATAGACCCACCTTAACGAAACGTCCATATTACTTGGCAGTATTTTACCTGCCTGCTAGAACAAACTTCTAAGATAATAGAATCTTCTAAGATAATAGAAGATAATAGAATCTAAAGCCTCTACCATATATTATACACAAGTTTCAATATGCCATCAGTAATTTACTAGACATGCAAAGAAATAAGAAAATGTATTCCAGAGTCAAATGAAAAATGAGTCAATACAGACAGACCCATAGCTGACCTAGATAATGGAATTGGCACATAGGGACATTAAAATAACTATGTCACATCTGTTAAGGAATTTACATGACTAGATAAAATAGAATGGATGAGGAGATGGGAAATTTCAGGAGTCATAGGAAAACAGTAAGAAGAAGAACCAAATGGAAATTTCAAGAATGAAAAAAATGAAATATTTGAAACTTTAAAAAGTGAAATGGAATTAATAACAGATTTATCACAACTCAGTAATAAAAAGACAACAAAAATTAGCAAAAGACATGAGCAGATACTTCCAAAAATAAGATATATGAATGGCCAGTATACATTTGGCAAGACATCTAGCATTATTAATTATCAGGGAAATGTGCATTGAATACTCCTTTATAGTCATTAGAATTACCAACATTAAAAAGGCTGACGACAACAAGGGACTGCCAAAATTTGAACTCTCTTACATTGCTGGGGTTATGTGTAACATGGTAATCACTGGGGAAAACTGTTATGTTAGTTCTTTATAAAATAAATATGTACTTACCTAGTAATTTCACTCAATGATATTTGTCCAATGGAAATGAAAACGTATAGCTACAAGATGGTTTATACAAGTATGCAGATTGATTCATAATAGCTAAAAACTAGAAACAGTCTAATGTCTATTCACAGATGAATGGATAAAGAAATTACAGCATATTCAACAATGGAGTATTACAAATAAAAAGGAAGAAGTCTAAATATATACAACACAGGTGAATCTCAGAAATATTTAATATGTGGAGTAAAAGAAGGCAGTCTCTCTATCTTTATATAAAGTTTGAAGTTATATAGCAGGTAAAACAGTTCTGGTGATCAAAGTCAGAACAGGAACTCCCTCTGGGTGAGGGGAGGGGAAATTGAATGGAAAGGGCACAAGGTAGCTTTTTGGGTTCAGGGAAAGGTTTTGTATCTTTATTAGCATCATGGTTACATAAATGCACACAGTTGTTAAAAGTTGTCAAAACTGCACACTTAAAATCTGTACATTTGATTGTGTGTACATTATAAGTCATAAATAGAATGGATGGGAATTTAAAAGTAATGTAATAGAGTGCTTCGATATGCCACATGCAGGAATTGAGAAGACAGTGATTAATAATGGTTAAGAGCATGGTTGCAATATCAGATAAATCTGGGGTTTTGAATCACGTCGTGAGTACTTTGTGAATGTAAGCAAGTTACTAACCTAAGATCCTAGGAAATGGAGATGATAAAATTAATATTTACCTTATAAGGTTGTCCTTAGTGCAGTGCCCAGCACATTGATGCATTTGGTACATTTAAGCTGTAGTTATTATTATTAAATAGCTCTTCAGCTAGACTTTCACTGCCCGAGTGCAGTCAGGAATACTGGGATAACCATGAAAATTTTGAGAATTAGATATCTGCAAACTGCATTAAGGAGCAATCTAAATAATGCAGGTAATATTTGACAGCATATGATTAAGTATACTAGGAAATCCTATTTTCATTATCTATTTGAAAGCAACTAATTACCTCTTTGCCAAGAAAACGTTTACTTTAAAATACTTTTCTTAAAGCTCTTGTAAAAAATTTTCATATATAGAGAAATTAGGACTTAATTTTTCCCTTATACAGTAATCTCACCCTCTGTTTCCCATCTCATAATAATATCACCAACTGCTGCATATATTTTCAGTACATATATATATGTGTGTGTGCTGAATATATATATACACATTACATATATATATTACATTACATATATATATCCATATATATGTATATTCAGTACATATATATATGTACGTGTGTGTATATAATGTTGTAAACAAAATGGTAACCATACTATATGTACTTTTCTAAACCTGGCATTTTCACTGAGAAATCTTTTCATTTGAAGGACTCTGTTTACCTATAGCTGGTCTATTCATTTTAAGTGGTGTATTACAGTCTATGGCATTGATGGGCTTTTATTTATTTAACCAGCTCCTGTTGATGGACATCTGAGTAGATCCAAGTTTTCACTATTGTAAACAACTGTGACATCCTTGTATACGTATTTTTTGCACTTGTGTTAATAATTTCATGTAATAAATTTAAAAAGTAAAAATGCTAATTGAAAGAATTTTAACAAAATATATTAATGTTTCTTTGTAAGAGAAAAAACTTTATTTTTATTTATTTATTTTTTTTGAGACGGAGTTTCACTCTTGTTGCCCAGGCTGGAGTGCAATGGCACGATCTTGGCTCACTGCAACCTCCGCCTCCTAGGTTCAAGCAATTCTCCTGCCTCAGCCTCCTGAGTAGCCAGGATTACAGGCATGCACCACCACACCCGGCTAATTTTGTATTTTTAGTAGAGACGGGGTTTCTCCATGTTGGTCAGGCTGGTCTCGAACATCTGACCTCAGGTGATCCGCCCGCCTCAGCCTCCTAAAGTGCTGGGATTACAGGCATGAGCCACTGTGCCCGGCCTTTATTTCTTCTTTTTAAATAAAGAAGAATTATTTCAAAATTTACACAAAATTTGATTTAGAGTACTTAAGATAACTACCACCAAAGGGACACATAACACTGTACTAGACACTATGCTGAATGCCTTCCATGCACAAAATTATTCAAATTTTATGCACAACTTTGTAACTGTGTGAGATACTACCATTATTGACAAGGACTTGTAAGAAAACCAGTGCTTGGAGCATGCCATATCTGGTAAATGTTTAAGTCTGGATTTCAACCTAGATTTTGCAAAACATGCAGTGTAGCGTAGTCTGGAGTGAATTTATTTTTTTGTGAGTGTCTTTGAGGTTGAGGATCATTGTCAAACTTTGGTGATATGCAAGTGGTGAAGTAATAAAGCCCAGATAATGTTGTTTCCCTGGAACACTTGTGAGGCCAAAAGTGATGCCTCCCTGCCATGCAGTGGCAGCAGAAGTCAACCTGGACATTAGACAAGTTATACTTCCCTTAGTGCCAATAGCCTGTCCCATATCCAGCTTCGTCTTAAATAATAATAATGATAATGATAATAAAGATCAAGGATCAATTACATGGTGTTATGGACTGTGGAGAGGAGAAGTCTTCAGACCTCTAATATTCTATCTATTTTCACATTCCAGTTACTACTACTCTCTCTTTTCCTTTATTTTATAATCTTGCTTTTTTTTTCTATCCAAGGGGCCCATTCAATAATAACTAAAGCCCCAAATCCTCAATTTCCTAATTTATGTGTCTGTGATCTTTTAGTCTTCTACCCTTCTACCTGTGCACTCACACACAGAGAACTTTAATTTCCAGCGACATCAAATTTGTGCTCTCAAAAGGTAATTTGTGATGCCTGGATGTCAAAGGCGCCCAGATGTAAAGCTAGAGAGCTGATGAGACCTGAGGCTGGTCACGGGCACAAAGCCTGCCCTTCTGGCAGAGTCGGAGCAGCACTGAAGTTCTGCTTCAGGCCGTGCCAAGTGAGAGTAAGGGGTGGTCTTATGGGTGTTAAGCAAGACCTAATCTACCCTTGCGCAGCACCCAGTCAGACACCCTGCAGAAACACAATCATGTGTGTGTCATTCTGTTGTGGGGAGAAGTTGCTCAAAGGTTTGGTTTTGATTTTGGTAGCTTTAATTCTACTCCTTCAGTTTTGAGGTGAGCACAAATGTTTCAGAGTACCTTTCTAGGTTTCTTACTGACTTTTTTCTTCTCTAACCTGTGGTGTGTTAGAGGCAACATGTACCAGCTCGGGAAAGAGAGACAATTGTGAGCATTTCTTCTCAACCCTGTGTTCAGTGACATCAAGTTAATAGCTTAAAATTGGATATGGGGAAAGGAATTATACCACTGAAATGGAAAAATGCTACATATCAAGGATTCTCCCACCCCAGAGAACCTGTTGTTTAACTAGCACACAACTTCTATAACCCTTCTACTTCTGTTCACCACATAACCTCACCCCCCCCCCCCGGCCCCCGCCAACACACACACAAACAAGCTAGTGTTTGAAACATTGGACACCCTGGGTTTTCTTCCACGGGCTATGGTTATTTACAGGAAGAACAAATTGAGTTCTCTTCCTCTTCCCATCTTGAGCTTTATATTTATTTCCAAATGCCAAATATAAGCTAACTTTCTTCTTTCTCCCTTAGTGGATGGCTGTATTCATAGAGCAGCCGGCCCCTGTTTGCTAGCTGAATGTCGTAACCTGAATGGCTGTGATACTGGACATGCAAAAATCACATGTGGCTATGACCTTCCTGCAAAATGTGAGTACAACTGAATACTGTTTCAAAACCAGATGAGACATCTTAACTTGTTTTACTCCAGTGTATAACTGGAAAAGGAAATGGCAGTGGTGGTATTTAATTAAATGTGCTTGAGTTCAGATTTTGTACATGGTAATAAAAACGTGCTTTCCAAGTATGTCTCCAAATATATACATATATATAAAATATACATATACTGTGTATATTATATATATATATGTATATACACACATATGATGTTTAACTATTCAGGTCTTTGACAGAGTGTCTCTGAAAGGGAAATAAAAACATGAGCAAAATATACATTATAGCATTTAAGTGCCACAGAGTGACAGCTCCTGGAAATGATGCCAATTTCTTATTCCTTGTTCAGGTTTCTTGATTGTGGATGTGTTTAGAGCAAAGGAGATCAAAGTGATGTATTGTTTTTCCAGCTGCCATGTAAAGGCTGATTGGCAATTACAGCCAAGGCATCTGTCACACTTTGCTTTCAGGAAAAGCCAACGAAATCTGGTTGTCAGTGTGAGAATGTGTTTGCTCTTTGAATGCGGAATGGTCAAAATTTCCGTTATATTTTAATAGAGAGAAGTATTGCATTTGATTGACCTTATTGCTTAGTGATTCAACCAACTGGGTGGCATGGTATGGGATAAAATACTTAGAGAGAAGCTGGTCAGTGTCATAGCTTTTTTATCCTGTAATCTTCAGGGCCTGAGGTTGGAGGTAGAGGGTTTCATTGCATCATTAAGGTGTGTATTGACCTGGAAATTGAGACACCAATTTGTTGATTATCACATTCGTCCACTTCTTATGATACTGCTGAGATCTGTGGAATACATTTTATGTAAAAGTGAAGCTGGTTTTGATTTTTGTTTTAGCAGTGGAGAAAATATGAATGAAAATTTATAATACAACCTATAGGATACTATGGGTTATATATAGACAGGTTGTCATAACAGTGAATTTCTTGTGGATGTGTGTGAATGGAGAATAGCGTGTTATATTTTAAAGATTACTGTAAAGGTATGTTTAAATTTGAGGACTTGTAGCAAATAGTAATATATTAAAACAGTATTTTTCTTTATCAATATAATATTGCATCCTATATTGTTCATAATGGTTTCAGTGAAAGTACTTTCATGTACTGCATAGCGATGCTTTGGTCAATGATGGAACACATATATGGCGGTGGTCCTATAAGATTATAATACAGATTGAGTATTCCTTACCCAAAATGCTTGAGACCAGACATGATTTGGATTTCAGATCTTTTTTTCAGATTTTGAAATATTTGCATATACAAAATGAAGTAATTTGGAGATGGGGCCCAAGTCTAAGCACAAAATTCATTTATGTTTTATATGCACCTTATACACATAACATGAGTGTGATATTATACAATATTTTAAATAATTTTGTGCATGAAACAAAGTTTTGATTGTGTTTTGACTGGCCTGTCACATGAGATAAAGTGTGGAATTTTCCACTTGTGGCATCATGTTGGCACACAAAGTTTTAGATTTTGGAGCATTTTGAATTTCAAAACTTGGATTAGGGATTCAACCTGTACTATATTTTTACTGTACGTTTTCTATGTTTAGCTATGTTTACATACTTACCATTGTGTTACAATTATTTGCAGTATTCAGTACAGTAACATGCTGTACAGGTTTGTAGCCTGGGAGCAATAGGCTATAGCCTATAGTCTAGGTGTGTAGTAGGCTATACCATCTCGGTTTGTGTAAGTATACCCTATGATTACATAACGATGAAATCACCTAAGGAGTCACTTCTCAGACCATATTCCTGATGGTAAGTGAAGCATGATTGTATATCAACTATATATGCTGTTTAATTTTTCCTTTAATGATTTTTCATTTATTTTTCTTTGTTAGTATCTTTACCTAGTGTGAAATAGTCAAATCATGTGCCAAATGGCTCTTCACTACTACTTGGAATATGTACTTGTGTCAAACAAACCCTTTGTGTAGAATGGTGTTTAGAGCAGTTCTCTTTGTAACTCAGAGGTCATGATCTGGGTATTAACGGTGATTTCTCTCTCCAGAATCATATAGTGCTATTTTTACAAATATTGGTTCTTTTGCTTTCTAATACCATTCTACCTTCATAATTTACCTAACTTACACTGCCCTGAGAACAAGCAAGGTTGTTGACTGCTACAATAATAGCAAGATTATTGACTGTTTTCAGACTTGTATCTGTCCTTAAACCAAGTAATATTCCCAGTCCCCTATTGATTCACTGTTTTCTTTTTTATGTATTAAAATACAAATCAAATTTCTCCAAATCTGAACTTTCTAAAGAACAGTATACTCAGAATCATTAAATACGCCCAAATAAAATGGTGGCTGTAGTGTATGGGTTCACACTGTGATAATTTTTTAAATGTGCTTGTATCTGTTTGACATCCCTTTGAATAAGTTATTCAGTTTCCTTTGAATACAATTCATCTTATTTTAGGGTTATTGAAGACTTGCACAATACCAGGCACTGAGGAACAAAGATCAGTGAGTCAATACCAGTGCTTGAAGAATTCCAATGCTTGAGTCATAACTTCGAACTGAAGTGTGGCTTTCATGGGCATCCTGGGGCAAATGGATCTTTTGGGACAATGAAGCTAGAAATGACCAGTCAATCAATGGGACTAGCTACAGAATCCATGAGAGCTGAGATCCTGAGAGCCGACAGATACTCAAGTCACTGCATGCAGCCCACAGGGCATGTTTAGTAAAAACTCATCCAATAGAATAGAAATTACCAGACAGGCATTGCAGTGCCACCTCATAAAAGTCATAAACATGGAATATTTGTGACTAGGTCTTGCTTCTTCCTATATATTTAAAAGGTTAATGATTTATATTAAAAGCATAAAGGAAAGCAAGGAAAGCAATATGAAAATGGTAATAATAGCTTACATTTTTATGCCACTTTATAATATTTCACAGTACTTTCACAAGCCCTTATATTTAAAATTATGTTTGATAAACATTGTGTGTGTTCATTTTCCCTTTCCCTATCCCTGAGAGATGTTTTTCTTTCTCATCAATTTGGTTCATCCATTTCAGAGTCATTAACAATCCACAGATGTGCTTTTGTAGTGAGAATGAAAAGGGAGCTCGTTACATACTGTTTGGGTCATTTTTCCTCTCCATATTTAATAATTCCATGACAGTTTGACAGCAGAGACTAGTTGCTATCTGTCCTCTGAGACAGCGGGTTTATCATTATAGGGGTACTAAAGCCAGTCATCCAGCCACAAGTGATAATATCTTCATGCATCAGCAATTTGTTTGGAAAATGCTATTGTCTGGGTTACAGACAAACTTCATAGTTTTGAACTGGTTTTTGCCTCTTTTATGCTTGCTAAATTAATCTATTCATAAATGGTTGTATTTGAATTAATTATACTTGTATTCTGTGTTCTGTGACTCATCATAATTAGTAGAATGATAAGCCCCAGATATTTAGTTTACTTTTCACTGCTTGGATGTTTTGAATGATTTCTTTTTGACATTAAGAATATCCAATCATTCTTTTCAAAAGAAATCTTAAGGGTAGAAAGAATATTGGTCAATATTTCATTGAAGGCTATTGCTAAGGAAATGACTTAGAAAGTAGATGGAGGATTGTTTATGTAATTGGATCTTTTGGGAATCTTCTCTACAATATTAGATATTTTTGAATTCATAATGCAATTTAAATTTTTATAGATTTTTAGAAGCTTGTTGACATATGGGACATTTCTATTCATGCTATCATCATTCCGCCAAGTAGTCAGCTTCACATAGGCAAGATTTGTCTATCTCAGTCAGTTCCAATGTCAGTATCAATCATAGTGTCTCCTAAATATGTGCTGAATTAATGTGAATAAATGAAGGATCAGACGAGTGAATTATTTCAAGACTTCTTCACCTGAAAAATAGTTTTTAAAAACACTTTTGCCTCTACTTCTAATACTTTTCCTTCCGCAATTATTCTGCACATTTCTAGTAAATTAACATTCTTAAATCCAGAGTCCTTAAAATTGTCTACAATGCTCTACATGATGTGACCTTTACTTCTCTACATCATCTCCTTCTGTGCTTCCCCCACTCACACAGGCTGCTTTGTGTGAACCTGGTCCTCAAAGCCTTTGCACTGGCATTCCTTCTGCTGGATTTCTATTCTTCTAGATACCTACATGGCTTGTTCCTTACCTACCTCAAACTCTTGTTCAAATGTAACATCAGGTGTCACCCTAACCAACCTATTTATAATTGCTTCAGTTTTTAAATTTGTAATTGCTTACTTGTAAAGTTAATCTTCAAATAGCATTATATCATTTACTTATTTCTTTTGTTTCTTATCTGTTTCTATCTACCAGAATATGGGCACAGATTCTTCTTTCTTCATTTTTCTAATGTATTGCTATATTCATATAGCTTAAAAAATGTGTGATATATAATAGGGGTTCAAAAGATATTTGATGAATGAATGAATAAAACGTAACTCTAATCCTCTCAAAATCCGATAGTGGATTTTTCCTTAAACACAGACTCATTAGCCTGATTACCTTTGGCCTTCCACTGAACTACTTACAACCTTTTGTATGATATGAATTGCTCACAATGGTGTGTCTATGCATGGGGTCTGTATCTGAGCTATCTAGAAAGCTCTTTCTTTGCTCCTTTCACTTGTCTTCCAGACTCAGTTCAAATATCACTTCTGCCATGAAACAAGTCTTCTCGCCTCACCTCAGCTAAAAATGCCTTCTTTTTTCTTCACACTCCAGAATACTTCATGTTAACATACTGAGGGCACTTGTCACGTGCTACCTTTTATTGTTGGATATGCAAACTTCCCACTTTTATAACAGAGTACCTTGTATATCACAGGTACTAGAGAAATATCTAACAAATGAATTAGTTATTGAAAGTGTCAAACCTGGTTGATAATTGGTAGTAGGTGGAATATAAAGGAAAAATTATGCTAATATTCATAAGAAATTATGAAATCAGTGTCAATTATCCATTGTGTTTTTAAAAAACATATTTTAACATATATATACTACAAAGTCTCCTGTCTCCAAAATTTACTCTTAATGGAGTTTCTCCTAAGGAGAAAAAAAAATAAAAATAAAGAAACCATATCACCCTTATTTGATGGTTTTCAGCATAGCTCACATGTCTATTTTATTTCTTTAGAATGCTTCTCTCTTAGGCTTCAGGGCTGAATAGTCATCAAGGATAAATGGAAAAATATTAAACTTGTGTAAATGAAATGGTGGAATCTGTTTCTTTTATTTCTTCTATTTAATCTTTGGAAGGCATCAAGGGGTAATATTGACTAACTCAAGGTTTTCATTAATCATTTGAAGGGAAACTCTAAGGTGAGAGACCATAGCATAATATGTTTGAATGAGTGGTATGAATCAGAATACACATTCTATTCCCAGGTGCAATAATAATCAGATGATAGTAGCTTAAAATGTACTGTTGATAATAATTAGTACTTCTTTTCTGCCCTTTATCAAGAAATCATAGTACTTTGAAACAGTAGCTCATCAGTCCTTTTGAAATTCCTATGAGGAGGTGACGTGACAAGTAAAGTTTTCTTACAACACAAAGAGAAATACAGGTACAGGGAAAATAAATCTGTTGCTCCCATTAACAAACTAAATCCATATTAGAGGCATCGTGGTGGCCAAGGATCCCTGAGCTGGGAAAGGAGTCTCTGTTAGGTGTTAGCCAGGCCTGCTGCCTGTTTTTATAGATAAAGCTTTATTAGAACACAGTTGTGGCCATTTGTTTACATATTGTCTATGGCTGCTTTCATGTGGCAGAGTTGAGTTGTAGCTACAGGGATTTTACGGCCACAGAACCTGAAGTGTTCACTATCCAGCCTCTGTGGAAAAAGTTTGCCAGCCCCTGGTCTGTGGCAATCTGCACTTTTATTTTTATTTTTTTCTCCCTGAGTCAGACGGATTCCAGCTCTGTCGCCCAGGCTGGAGTGCAATGGCGCGATCTTGGCTCACTGCAACCTCCGCCTCCTGGGCTCAAGCGATTCTCCTGCCTCATCCTCCCGAGTAGCTGGGATTACAGGCATGCGCCACAACACCCAGCTAATTTTTGTATGTTTACTAGAGCTGGGGTTTCGCCATGTTGGCCAGGCTGGTCTCAAACTCCTGACCTCAGGTGATCCACTGGCCTCAGCCTCCCAAAGTGTGGGATTACAGGTGTGAACCACAGCACCTGGCCAATCTTCCCTTTTTATAAAGTAAGAAAGGTGAGATTCAGAGAGACTAAATATTGAATTTTATTAAATGAATTACTACTTATTCAGATCAAAGTTGATAAAGTTGAGACTAAAATACCTACCCTCTATTCCTTGGGACATCCTTGCTTCTGTTGCCTCAAGAGAACATTACCTTGGGAAGATGATCTGAAACCTTTCAAATCTTTCAAATAATAAGGCCACCTTGAAAAGAATGCCTAGAAAAATATGGTGATTTTTCCCAATAGGGCCAGATCTGGGAAGTGAGTAAGTCGAGTCTCTCAAGGGAGAGTCAGTTTAAACCACCAGAGTATTAGGAAGCAAATCTTTGTTCCTTGTTTCCTCCAGTGGTGTTAGCTGCAAAGGAGCCTGCAGTCCACAGGAAATGCAGTTTCTAGAGCAGGTAATTCATAAGATGGTTCTGAGTTAGTCCTTTGCAAAGGGTGACCTGATTTCAGCCATCGTGGACTCTCCCAGCAGGTGTCTGATTGTGAAAGCAGTGGAGTGGACATGCTGCTAGGAGTATGACTCTGCCAGCCTTTGATGAAGACCTGAGGGCCCTCATGAGCCCCTTCCATAATCAAATGACTTATATTACACAAAGAGAAAAGCCGCTTTTGAAGATCATAAAATCATCTTCCTTTCTGAAGAGGAAGATGGGATTGTTCCTCCTAAAATCAACTCGGATTGGCTCATTTTCTTTAAGTGCTTAAGGAATTCAGGTTTTATTTGAATCTATTTCTCCATAATTGTCACCCTTTTCATTTACATTAAGCAGTTTCATACATTTAATCTCCTTAGTGATCCTCATGATGAATGTGGAAATAAGAAGGGCAGAAATATTCTAAAAACCAGAGCAGTGGTTCTCAAAACGTGGTTCCTGGAGCAGCAGCATCACCTGGGAATTTGTTTGATACAAATTCTCAGGCCCCACCCCACACCTACTGATTCAGAAACCCTGTGGTTTAACAAGTTCTCCAAGTAACTCTATTGCGTGCTCAAGTGTGAGGGCCATTGCCCTAGAGAGTGGTGGAATCCAGTAGCACCCTTGCCTTGAGATTTCTTTTGGCTTTACAACACAGGTATCCATTTGGGTCACAGATTAGGGCTTTTTTTGAAGAGAACTCTGACACGTTCTTCTTTTCCTTTATAGCATTTTCCACTAGTGATGACATCTGTGTTTGTTTATTTGTTTATTACCTGTCTTTTTAGACAAAATAACATTTTAAGAAGGGAAGGTGTCCTATGGGTCTCATTTACCCCTGATATCCTTAGCATCTGACATAGTACCCAGAACAGAGTTGGCTCTTGATACATATTTACTGGAGGACTTAATGAAAGCATTGTTTTTATCTCCTCTTGTCTTTGTCATAATCATAGCTGCCCTGCAGGAAACCGAGCAAGAAGACACTCAAGAGAGAACAACATGATTCCAGGAATCTGCAGAGCTAGTACTCCTGCTGCTTTTAGCATCTCTGTTATCCCATCACCAAACATACTGCCTGCTCAAAGGCTAGCAGTATAAGAAAGCACAGGGGCCAAACTTTGCTTAATGTATCCACATGCCACATGTCTGTTCTATGCTTAGCTTCTTTCATTTTCTCTTATTTTGACCCATTGTGATAACATAGAGTCCACCCCCAAATGGCTTTGTGATGAAATAACTTAATGATTCTAATACTAAATGTTGTCTTTTAAAAAATATCTACCTTTTGGAAGCAACTGGTGTTTACACTGTTGTATTACTGGCTGAGTGTAGAATTAAACAGCTGTGTTTTGCATTATTTGCCATCATAGCAAGCCTTTAGAGGACGCTGTCTATACCTCCTATTTCCTATGTGATCAATAGGAAATAACAGTGTAAATCAATTCTAGGTAATAATGTAAATGGGCTCTTGAAGGCAATTCCTGCTGTGAAATAAGTAGTTAGCAGTGACACTGGCATTAACCACAGTGGGGGTAATCAGCCTTTGGATGTGTTTAATCAGAGTTATCAGCTAAGATTAAAAAGAGAGCCACTGTTGTACAGGGATAATCATTTTCAGGATTTAAAAGATGAATATTTGGAGGTGTTCTCATAAATTAAAGCCATCAGAATGGCTTTGAGTAATTTAGGATGCCCTGAGGTCAGGCACAAGCAAACAGGAAAGGTTAATCTCAGAGCTACGGTAGCTGATGTGCAGAGATGGCAGAATACATTTATTGAAATAAGTAGCAAATGCTGAGTAAAAGTGTAGATTTTTTTTCTCCCTGTGTTAAGATGTTCCTTGAGCTATTACTTACATATATGATTTGATTAAAAAGTAGTCCACAGTGAACACTTCGTGAATGTATTAACTCTCCCTGTAATTAATCACTAATCCCAAAGATTAAATATTAGGCCATGTTATGACTTGATTAGAGGTGTTTCTACTTGAAAATATTGATGTAACCAAGCTCTGTATTATAGAATGTAAGATTGATTCTGTGTCAAGAACACTAAATGTCATGGTAGAAGATCTGAGATGCATAAATGCAGAGTGTTGTAATTGGTAAAGTCCTTAACTTCTGAGCCTGAGGTTCCTTATACGTGATTGTCTAGGAGTGTGAAGATCTCACTCTGGAGAGTCTGTTAAGCCATATACGCAGAACCGCTTCTTAATACTGTCAGATAAGAGAGATAAATGGCTCTATTATTATTTGTAAAATACATGGCACACTTGATTTGCTTGTTCAGCCCATGTTTTATTGAGTACTTACTCACAGCTAGAGTGCTCTTCTAGAGTGTAGACGACTATAGTGAGGAAGACAGCAGGCCCCTTGTCCTCTAAGAGCTTAGGTCCTAGCAGAGAGAGGATGCTAATGAACAAGTCACATAAAAGCAAAGAACCTCAGATAATGGTAAGGGCTATGAGAGAAAAAAGATCCCCTTACCAGATGTATACAGTAAGGATAGTTCATACATTTTTGAAATGTTCTCCCTTGCTACAAATATTCTATTTCAGTTCTTACATATTTGTAACTTTAGTCTAATTTTTGGAGATAACAAAGGGAATGCTGCTTCTGATAGAGCTGACAGGAATTTTAATTATTACCTATTTGATCTCAGAATTTTACAGATAAAGTAACCGAGGCCTAGGAAAATTACTTAATTTTTCCCAGGTCATGTGGTAAGAGACAGTGCTAAGACTATAGCCTGACTTTTAGTATAGTGATCTTTCTGCTGAAGGTACTGCCTCTCTTAGTCTCTTTGATCATACCAACCCTCTTATAGAAGTATGGTGAGAATTTAATAACTGTTAAGTGAGATGATGAACATGAATGTATTTTTAAAATAAAAGTTTCTTATCTCATATGGTACCTTATTATTTAGTAGTAATTTGTAGTAATATTGCAAGTAATTTTAGATGAGTTACATATAAATTAATTATGGTCCCATGAGCTTTGCCAATAAACTTTATGACAATAATCCATCAGTATATGTGCAACAGTGACTGGTGTTTGAGAAAATATGGAAGTCCCAGATAGGGATTAATAAATATTCAATACTAGCCTCAAGACTCAGACATTTGCTCATGTCTCTTTCCAGTATCTTGACCTCAGAGAAAAGGGGTACTTTAAAAGTTATTTTGAGAAACTTCAGATGACAGCTTTATTGGTTTTAAAGATATGTCCACAGATTCTTTGATATTTCTCTTCTGGAGAGCTAGAGCTTAATTCCCCTCTACTTAAACATGGCCTGGACCTAATGACTCCCTTCTAGCAAACGGAGTATGTCAGAATAATGGGAACATCTGAAACTAGTTTAAAGAAAAGACTGTGGTTTCCCTCTCTCTCTCTCTCTCTTTCAATTCACTCTGTATTAGCTTCCTAGGGCTGCTGTAACAAATTACCACAACTTGATGGCCAAAAAAAGCAGAAATTTATTCTCTCTCAGTTCTGGAGGCCAGAGAGCCAAAATCAAGGTGTCAGCAGGACCATGCCCCATTCTGAAGGTTCCAGGAGCAGATCCATCCTTGCCTCTTCCAGCTTCCATTGGCCTCAGGTGTTTCTTGGCTTGTGGCAACATAACTGCAATCTCTGCTTCTGTTTATACCTGACATCCTCCCTGTTTCTCTCTGTCTTTACCCCTTCTCTTCTCTTATAAGGACACTTGTCACTGGATTTAGCACTCACTCGAATCCGGGATCATCTCAAGGTCTCAAGATCCTTAACTTAATTGCATTTACGTAGATCCTTTTCCAAACAAGTTCACATTCATAAGTTCCAGGTATCAGGACACAGGCATAACTATCTGGAGTCACCATTTAATTCACTACATACTCTCTCTGAGCATGGCCAGTTTCTATGTCATGAGGCAGTCTAGAGGAGGGGAAAACCAGCTACCATGTTGTGAGGGAACTCAGACACCTTCTGGAGAGGCTTGTATGCTGAAGAACTAAGGCCTGCCTGCAGCAATGTGAGTGCGCTTGCAAGCAGATCTTCTGAAGCCAGCCCACAGCCACATCAGTGAGCTTGGGAGCACATTCTCCTGCCCAATCAAGCTTTCCGATGTCTGCAGCCCTGGCTGACAGCTTGACTCCAACATCATGAAAGACCCTGAGCCAGAGGCATCCAGCCAAGCCACTCCAAAATTCCTGGCCTGCAGAAACTGTGAGATAATACATATATGTTTTTTTAAGTGCAGGGTAATTTGTTACGTAGCAATAGGTAGCTAATGCAGCAACTATGATCCTGAAGTTTATAAAGCAGGGGAAAGGGCTCACTATCAGAGTGGGGGATATCAATCACATTTTCTCAGTGCAGAACCTGCCTGTGTCAGAGACAGGCCTAAATTGGAAAATGAAAGCCAAATCACATGGTGGGTAATGTTACATTATACAACCAAAGCCCTTTGCCATACCATTATCATAGGCAGCATATTACATTGGAAAAACTATTATGAACGAAAACTTCTTAGATAGATAGATAGATCGATAGATAGATAGATAGTCAAAGAGAACCCAAAGTCCAGCTTAGTAAAGAAGCATTGAGAGAAAAACAACACAAACCAAAACACACAACTGGATATTAATATCTACCTACTCCTGTTACTCCTTGACCATGCTCTAGTCTTTACCTTTGCCACTCACATGCTTTTTTTTACTGATAAGAATTACTGTTTCTATTTTGGGGGGAAAATTAATTCAGTTTCTGTCCTCTGTTAATGCTGTGAGCTAAGTGAAGCAGAGGTAACTTCTCATCCGCATATGTTGTGATGCCCTTCTAAATGTGTTTGCTGTATAAGCTGGTGTGTTTCCCATTAGCTGTTTTATTTTTCAGAACTACCGAGAGTTTGCTTCATTTTTAATCACGTGCTATTTGTGAAATCCCTGTAATTTCCTAAGGCCTTCTGGAGCTTGCCTCTTCCTACCTGTGACATTTTCAGGAAAGATTTATTCTCTCTGTGTGTTTATTCTGCTTAGTGAAGATCATGAGACACAGCCTTAACTGGAGTTTTGCAAGTTCTTTTTAAAATTGTGTCTGTATTGTGTTTGGAGTCTAGTTACCCATTTGGAGGTCTGTGGAGGGCAAAGGGCTCTCTTGGGAATCCCTTTCTTTTACTGATGCTCAGTGTCTGCTTTCTGATATTATGGCATGTGATGACAAACTATTGTCCTTCCGTACTGGGCTGGTTGAGTTTGTTCTTGCTTTTATGTTACTCCTATACTTAGTACAGTATATTAAATACATATACATGTCATCTCTCATGACCTTCATTCTCATGTAGAACATATATTTCCTTCTGAGTTATAATATGTTTTGTGAATATGGAATTCAGGGATTGTGTTCAGTTTGTGGAGCTGTTTGGGAAAGCAGTCTGAGAGAGTGGGTTTGGGAGTGGCTTGACGGAACTGGGATGAAGGGCACTGGGGATTCCCCAGGAAATCCGTTGGCTGGCAGAGAAGAGCTAACTGCTGTGCTGGCTAAGCTCATGGAACTGGGCTTTCCTCCATATGTCCGGGATATGTCCTACCTATTGTTTTAAAATTAACAAAAGTTATTTTGATTTTCTTCCTCCTAATAATACCTATTGCCTGAGAAGAACGATGCCAGATTGAGAAACCCCACATCAAAATATATCCAACAAAATGGTCAGAGCTTTGTACATAGAATATTCCATAGTTAGAATGATCCATACAGCTATGCACAAAGAGGGAGCCGAAACAGGGAACTGCACATCAAGAGTTAATACAGTACTTTTAGCCTTTCCTTAAATTCTCTGTGTTGTGCAATGGCAGGATTTCTCCATATACCAAATTAACTGATTGCCGTGGGCACTAAACCTGTTACCTTAAACACATTCATATCACACTACAAGTAATATCTTATCCTTTATACTTATTTTGAGATTAACTGTCTATCACACAGCCCTCTTTCCTCCCATATTCTCATTTTTTTTCTTATCACTCCATTCAGAAATAAGGGATCGATATTTTAAAGGCTGAATGTGAGATGTTTCTATTTATTGTTCATCATGGTAATTAGCAACTTTTTAATTATCACTGTTCTTGAGGATGTATGTTTGGGAACAGTGGAGCTTTCGGTAGAGTCACAATGACAGCAGTTTAAAGCTGGAAAGAAATCTGGAAATT
This sequence comes from Homo sapiens, assembly GCF_000001405.40. Taxonomy (NCBI): domain Eukaryota; kingdom Metazoa; phylum Chordata; class Mammalia; order Primates; family Hominidae; genus Homo; species Homo sapiens. The sequence goes on from NC_000020.11 coordinate 14,697,847, forward strand.
GCTTTTCTGGCAACTGACACCAGTTTCTAGGCAGTGCCTAAGAACTAGGCAAGGATTTTTACCCTGTTGTTTAAGACTGTACACTTTGCATCTCACAATCTATCTGCTACATAGTAAGCAAATGGTTCATTCAGGCAGCAATCACTGATTTGCTCCCTAATATGTGCCAGGTGCTTTGCTTATTTTTTTGGAAAATAATACTGTGCAAAAACAGACAGGGACCTCACCCTCATGGAACTGTGCTGTGCTGAGCTGAAATGAATCAAGTGACCTGCCCAAGGTCTTCTTGCACAGATACTTAAGTGATGGAATGGGGATTTTACTTGGGGGCCCTTCCTTACAATGAAAAGACCTGATGGTTTTGGTCTTCCCGTCTGGGATGTTCTTTCCATTAATAGCCACACTGTCTAAATGGTTAATAACATGGACTTTGAAGCCCAACATTCTAGGCTCAAACTCAGGCTCTGGACGTGGGCAAGTTGTTTAACCTCTTTGTGCCTCCGTTTTGCTATCGGGAAATAGGTATGACAATCACCCTACCCTCACAGGGAGGCTCTCATGAGTTAATGTCTGTGTGGCACTCAGAGCACTGCTTAACTCCAAGTGAACACTGAACATGGTTAGCTGTTTTTCAGTAAGATCACCCCAACTATTTTATCTAAAATGTCACCTCTTCACTCTCTATCTTCTTGCCCTGCTTTGGTTGACATCACAGCCCTTATAATCATCTGAGGTTATTTAATGTCTTTATTTTTTTTTTTGCTGAATGTTTTTCTTTTCCACTAGAATATAATCTTATGAAAGTGAGGACTGCATTCACTGTTACATCTCCATATTCTAGGAACATATTCAAAACCACCTGTGAATGAGCAAATATGTGCACATAGAAAACTTTATTAATTTAATTAAATAATTAAATGTAATTATTTAATTAAATAATTACATTTAATTATTTTAATAAATTTAGTATAATTTAATTATTTATAATTATTAACAAAGTTATCAGAAGAACTAGCCTAAGAGTACTTTCAGTTTCATGCTCTGTTCATTTGATTCCTCTAGTAACTTGGCTAATAGATACAAATAAGCCAGGAAAATAGCATCAACATATGGTAAGGTCAAGCTCATATTTCATATTTAATATACCTACCAAGCAAGTTTTAGGTGTGCTGCACATCTTTTTCATATTTTTAAAAGTCTATAATTTAAGTAATAGTGTCCGGATGAAATAAAGCAAGAAGGAAGAGGTTTAAAGAACTTCAGGGACCTGAGAGCCATGTTCTGACCTGCCTAATGAAAAGCTCATGAATTGATAGTGAGGTCCTTTCCCCCGATACAGAGTCAGCGTTCAAAGTCTATTTCTAAGCTCAATTTATTGTTAAATCTCATTAAAATAAAGTGATAATTTTATGGGTTTGAAATGTGTTATAACTGACTTTTCTGATTGAGACTGCTAGCCCAAGTGCTTACAACTTGCTTAAATGTTGTAAATGTGTTAAAAGGGGGAATGTTGATGTGTATTTCCTCTGTGTTCAAACTGTTCAGATTTTATGGGAAATAATAAAGCTTTACAACTTGTTCTTTACAAATAGAATGCTAGGGACTTTGCAGCAACATGAGAAATCTATTTATTATTTTGTGTCAGAGCAAGCTGGGCATCTTCCTCTTTGTAGACTGCCAGAGTTCATTGTTATTTGGGACAGAGAAGGAAATAGCATGATAGTCAGGGAGATAATATTAATTTTACAGAAATAGAATCTTATTTTATTACAAGGAAGGCCGTCAGTCTCACAACTTGCACTCTATTTGTGAAGAAATATTCTTAAGCATATATTCCAGTAATATGTAGTTTAATACCTATGTGAAAACTAATTTCTTTTCCTCAAGCATCAACTTTTATCACAGAACTTTAAATCTAGAAGTTTAAAGTTTAAACTTTTTAAATCTAGAAGTTTAAAGTTTAAACTTTTTAAATCTAGAAGTTTAAAGTTTAAACTTTTTAAATCTAGAAGTTTAAAGTTTAAACTTTTTAAATCCAGAAGTTTAAAGTTTAAACTTTTTAAATCTAGAAGTTTAAAGTTTAAACTTTTTAAATCTAGAAGTTTAAAGTTTAAACTTTTTAAATCTAGAAGTTTAAAGTTTAAAGTTTAAATCTAGAAGTTTAAAGTTTAAATCTAGAAGTTTAAAGTTTAAAGTTTAAATCTAGAAGTTTAAAGTTTAAATCTAGAAATTTAAAGTTTAAATCTAGAAGTTTAAAGTTTAAATTTTAAATCTAGAAGTTTAAAGTTTAACTTCTCCTTATATTAAAGGAGCAGTATGAATATTCTTTGAGAGATGAACTTTAACCATATTTTGTGTGTGTGTCTCTGTGTGTAATATATACCTATAGACCATAGTCTGGGGAAAACTCATTTTTCACTTCTTCTTTTCATGCAAGATCTTAGGTGCTGTATTTTGCAACGTGCCGTGTAGCATTACATTTCATGATATTATAAGCTGAGTTTTATAGAACTGTTTCAAAAATTTTCATTATGGACCTTTTATATCATAATTGAGTATCTAGCAAAAGGTAAAAAAAAGTTCCACTTATGAAGCTGAATATCAATCACTCAACTATTCAGTTATGCTTAGGCATAGATGAGTAAGCTTGTTCTTTGACAGTTAAGACATATGGTGGTGTGTGTGTGTGTGTGTGTGTGTGTGTGTGTGTGTAATAGATGTGCCAGATAACTAAAATCTTTGCTTAGTACTTTGAGGGAAAAAGAGATTCGTGATGAGTGCATTTATTTTATTCCATTCTATCCACATTTTGTATAAAATCCATTTAAACAGGGGAACTAAATTGCTTACAGTAGTAAAATGCATTTCCCTCTGTGAATGTTGGTGCCTTTATGATGCATGCTGATTTGGACTCTGACACAGTCATAATCTACATACCAAACATAGGCATTTTGCTTTCAAAACAGAAACTGGCACTGCTAGAGCTGTAGGAGTGAGCTGGCTCACCAGAGTAATCTCTCCTTCTTGGAGAGATTTGGCTTATTGTTGATGGCCTGAAGTCCACTGTCTTGGACCTCAGAGTGGGCTTTCCAGTTTGTAGTAATGGGTTCTGTAGCATGCCAAGACTATAGAGACCCCCGAATTCATCTCTTTTATTTCCCTTCTATGAGGGAATTCCTGTGGTCATAAGGCCTGCAGCTTAACAGATGAGCAGAAAATGTGCTGAAACATTGGTGCTTAAAAATATACAAAATATAAGTGGGAATCAGTGTCTTTAGCTTTATCTTTGCAATGGGCAAAACAGAAATGACTCAAAAGTGATTTCTTTAGTTATGGAGCACTCAGGTTTCTCTTCTGCCTTTTGTATTTCCATATGTCACTGCTATCTATATTCTGTAGATACTCTACCTGTGACATTCTGGGATTATAAATATGTGAGTTGCATGCTTATTCACTTTCTCCCACCTTTTCATTCTATCCTGAGTAGTCTAAACTGAAAGCTTTTGAAAGCCTTGCATGTTTTCCACATCAACCCTTGAACATTTATACTTCTAAAAAAGGATGCTGGACTCTCTTGATAACTCTGTCCTTCAAGTTTGCCTCATCGGTGATGCCACTTGACTGAAAGTCCTCTTGGTAATCCAGTAATTAAATCCTTCTAGCTGAGGCCCAAGAGAGATCCCTCTGCTGAATTGCACTGCACAGTAAATGACATTATAATGAGGTTTTAACTTATTAGTTAAATGAATGAATGGAAACTTTGCTGCTGCAATTCATTAGATTTTTACGTTATAAACCAGGACTTGCTGCTGCAGATGAGAGTCCGTGCAATTTTCCCTTCGTATAATTAATTATCATATCAGTGTATTAAAGATAGTTTCACTAAAAGGAGAAATACCCTTGTATAGAAAGTCTAAGACAGTCTAACAAAACATGGTGATCACTTCTGTATGTCCCTGAGCTTGGTGTGATAGGCACTGTTCAGATACTTCTGCAATATTATCAAATTTTAATCCTCAAAACAACCCTCTGTGATAGTTACTGTTATTATTCCTATTATATATGAGGAAAATCAGGCACAGAGAGGTTAAACAACTTTCCTAAGATCTCATAGCTAGTAAGGGTAGAGCAAGGATTCAAACTCAGGCAGTCTCTCTCTATAGCTCTGCACTTATAAATAAGATTTCCTCTCATCCCTAGACATGAACATGAAGATTTGCTTATATATAAATTCATCTTATTGATATGTTTCTTTTGAATTTCTTCCCCTTTTTCTAATGAAAACTGATGATGCTATTTAGAAAGCTTTATTTTTTTTTACCTAAAATGTTTAATCTCAGAAAAGTACTGAGAAAAATAACAGTACTCATGCATTACCCACCAAGAATTTTAAACATATTAACATTTTGCCTCTTTATTTCTACTTTTTGTTTTTAAAATAAAATAACCAGTTATTTCTGACAAATTCTTCTTTTCAGTCTCATTCTTTCCTTCCCCTCTTTCCATTCCTTGTCCAGAGCAACCCACTCTTAAGAGCAGAATGTAAATCCTTCCAGACTGTGTTCTTATATTTCTACCAGAAGCACGGAAATAGCCATAATCCATATACATGGTATTGTGTTTTTAACTGTACACAAATGGCCTCATGGTGTATGGGCTGTACTGTTTCTTGGCTTTTTCACTAAACATTACATATGTGTGTGTGTGTATATATATATACACATATATGTGTATATATATGTATATATATGTGTGTATATATATGTGTATATATATATACATATATATATGTATATATATATACACATATATATGTGTATATATATATACACATATATGTGTATATATATGTATATATATGTGTGTATATATATGTGTATATATATATATTTTTTTTTGAGACGGAGTTTTTCTCTTGTCATTCAGGGTGGAGTGCAATGTCATCATCTCGGCTCACTGCAACCTCTGCCTCCTGGGTTCAAGCAATTCTCCTGCCTCAGCCTCCCTAGTAGCTAGGATTATAGGTGCCTGCCACCACACCCTGCTAATTTTTGTATTTTTAGTAGAGACGGGATTTCACCATGTTGGCCAAGCTGGTCTTGAGCTCCTGACCTTACGTGATCTGCCCGCCTTGGTCTCCCAAAGTGCTGAGATTACAGGTGTGAGCCACCACAGCCAACCTAAACATTATATTTTTAAAACCTCTCCATAGTGATCTATCTAGCTATAATTCATTCTCAGCTGCTATATTTCTTTCTTGCAGATACACCATATTTTATTTGTTTATTTTCCTCTAAATGGGTGATTAGTTGTTTCCAATATTTTCCTGTTATAAACAATACTGAGATGAACATTTTTTGGGTACATAATGTCTCACATACTTTGCCTCCTGGATCGGGATTGCTGGTTGGGAGGGACTGTGTGGTAAAATCTAGCAATGAACATAGAAGAGCAACAGCTGGGAAGGAGGGGTATGTCAGGATTACATTTGAGAATTAGAGAACAAAGTCACGCAGGAATATTTACTATAATTATGAGATAATAATAAATTACACTGCTAACAGATAGCCCAAGTCCATACTTCATGAAGTCTCTATAAACAAATGTTAGGTATATGTGAGGTTTAATAAAGAGAACTCTAGGCTGAGAGCCAAGAGACTTGGATTTTCTCTCCAGCTGTGCTCTAACCTAGCTTTGTGCCATAGCATAATACATTAATAGAGTTGGGCACAGAGGCTCACACCTGTAATCCTAGCGACTAGGGAGGCTTGAGGCCAGGAGTTCAAGACCAGCCTGGGCAACAAAGTGAGATCATGCCACTGCTCTCCAGCCTTGATTACAGAGCGAGACCCTGACTTATTTTATTTATTTTGTTTTAATTTAATTACTTTTTTTTTTCAGACGAAGTCTGGCTCTGTCGCCCAGGCTGGAGTGCAATGGCATGATCTCGGCTCACTGCAACCTCTGCTTCCCAGGTTCAAGAGATTCTCCTGCCTCAGCCTCCCAAGTAGCTGGGACTACTGGCGCACACTACCACACCTGGCTAATTTTTTGTATTTTTAGTAGAGACGGGGTTTTACCATATTCCCCAAACTGGTCTCGGACTCCTGACCTCAAGTGATCTGCCCGCCTCAGCCTCCCAAAGTGCTGAGATTACAGGTGTGAGCCACCGCATCTGGCCTGAGACCCTGACTTCTTTTAAAAAAGCAAAACAATACATTAATGGTCTCTGAATCTCTTTTCTCTTATCTGAAAATGAAGAATTTTTGGTAGTATTTTCTTATGATTTCTTCCAGCATTAATCTACCCAAGTTAAGGCTGGAATAAGTTTCCTTTATGATATTAATACCTCTCCTCAGCATTGAACTAAATGATCCACAGGCCCAAATCTTCATCGTCCCCCAAACTGCTGCCCTGTTGTCCCTGAATATAGCGTCCATTTGTAATTCCAGGCAGTGGGCTGTAATGGGCCCTTGATTTATTGCGCCCTTTTCCTACCGTGTAAATAGCCCAGCTCACTGCTTCTTGGGTGGGATAATTATGAACCTTGTGGCCCTCAGATTTCTCAGTGGGATCGGGCTCCAGTTACCCACAGTGGTAACTGGCTTGATAACAGCATTGTTTATTGTTTCTTTCCTACTCCTGTCTCACTTCTCTACTTCTGGCCATTGTATTCTGAGGTCACCTGAGATTCTTGTCTCAAGATCTTCTTGCTGGGGAAACTCAAAGGAAGATATCCACCTATTCAAATCCTGCCTGTTTTCCTCCCTCTAGCTTCATTCTATAGCCTTGGAAGGTTCGTCCTGGCCTGTTCAAGCCTGTTTTCCTCTCTCTAGCTTGATTCCACAGCCTTCGAAGTTTCTTCCTGGCCTGTTCAAACACAAGCTCATGGAGCTGCACCAGACTCTTACCACATTTGTCATTGGAACCAAGTAATGCAACATCACATATGATTATATGCGTGTTCTTTTTTTAAATTTTATTTCTCACAGCCTTGGAAGCTGGGAAATGCAAAATCAAGGCCTGGCAGGGGCTGGCTTTTGAGACAGCTAGGTGTTAGCTGTTACTTCCTATGGAGGAAGGGGCAAGGAACCTCTCTTGTGTCTCTCTTTTTTTTTTCAATACATTTAATAGTATATATAGTTAAGGCCTATAATATGAGACACATTCAGATAGTAAAATGATTACTATAGTGAAGCAAATTAACAGATTCATCATCTTACAGTTTCCCATTTTGTGTATGTGTGACAAGAGCAATTATATCTACTTACATAGCAAAAAAAAATCCCACATGCCACACCACTTTCTTAACTATCCTCCTCATGTTGTACATTAGATCTCTAGGCGTGTTTATTCTACCCGTCTGTTACTTTGTATCCTTTGAGCTACATCTCTCCGTTCGTCTCACCTACATTCATGTTCGTACTTTTTATGTCCCTTCCCCTCCCAAGCATAATATAAACCGCCAAGAGCCAGGAACTCTTTTTTTAATTTCATTTTTATTAAAAAAAAATAATGCCCCTCTATGCCTAGCATGGAACTAATGCAGAATGTACCCATGTAGTGTATTGTCACTGAATGAATAATTTAGTCTGAGTAAGTCTATATCCCCAGGACTGATTTTGTGGATGCCAGCCATCTCTTCTTGGATTTCTTTGCCTTTTAATTAACTTCCCATTAGACTTGTGGTTCTTAGTGACCTCCTGAGGGCCTGAAAATCAGAAGGTTGCAGACTGGGCCATCTATTTTATGGGAGTAATATAAAGACATACTCTCTTTGGTCACGTTTTCAGAACCTTTTGACTAAATGGGCAGAAGTAATTGGGAATAAAAATGTGTTGGGAAGTAGAAGTTATAATTTCTTATTTTTTTCTAATAAGGACTTTAATTCTAAATTCATTCATAGCTTTGTTTTAAAGTTATTGTCAGTATTTTATGAAGTTAAAGACAAATTCAAACATTAATGATTCTAGATGTTTTGCTTCAAGTATCTTTGCCACTGTTTCCTCCTGTGAGATGGAGTCTAGATTTTCTTTCCTTCTCTTCCTCTCTCTCTTTTTCTTCTCTTCCTCTCTCTCTTTTTCTTCTCTTGTACAGAATAAGCCTGATTTTTTTTAATTTTGTGATATTTTAAAAATTCTCTTTTATTTTGATTGATATTGCATATGCTTAAAAATTGGTAGAAGAGGCTGGGTGCAGTAGCACATGCCTGTAATCCCAGCGCTTTGAGAGGCCAAGGCGGGTGGATCATGAGGTCAAGAGATCGATACCATCCTGGCCAACATGATGAAACCCCGTCTCTACTAAAAATACAAAAATTAGCTGGGTGTGGTGGCACACACCTGTAGTCCCAGCTACTGTGGAGGCTGAGGCAGGAGAATCACCTGAACGCAGGAGGTGGAGGTTGCAGTGAGCAGAGATGATGCCACTGCACTCCAGCCTGGTGACAGAGCAAGATTCTATATTAAAAAAAAAAAAAAAATTGGTAGAAGAATTCAAGTGAGTGAAACTGAGAGTTTATGGTTTTCTCCAGCAAATCAGTGAGTGTTTTCCCTGAACATGGATGCTTTGGCTCTGGTCTTCACACTCTGTGAGATGAGGACCAGCCCTTGTGGCCTCTGACTTCCAAGACTTCAGTACCTGAGGGTATTATTACATATTTTATGAGTTTAAAAATTGAGGAAACTTTTTTCCCCTCCAACAGTGAAACATTCTATTTATCATTTGTTGAACCTGTCTAGTGAGTACTGATTTTGTAGAATACTTCCCCAAAAGCTGATTTTCCAGATTCAGTTCTTTTCAAACTGCAACCAGCCCGGCTGGGCAGACAGCCCTCTCCTTTTGCTCCGCTTTATTCTTCCTGAATTGACTTTATCACTGTCCCTCCAGCCATTTCCAGGATTCATCACAGATTATCTCTGCTTGTTGGCAGAAAGCAAGCACCGCCGAGACTGAAGGGCACAATTGCCGAAAGGTTCTTCTTTCAGTTCAGTCCTCATTCTAATTTTTAACTTATTTGGTGCTGCTGTGGAAAAGCTGTTTGCCTGAAATATGGTAAATAAATAAATAATATCCTACATATGGAGTCCATAAAATAGGATGCAGAAAGCTAGGAGCTCAAATTTAGATCCAAGGCAGTAATTCTCCTTGCTTCTTTTTCCGCTTCCCTTCTTAGCCTCCCTTTTCTCCTTAAATGATCAGGCTGAATGGGGTTGTCAGGATTGAAAGAACAGGATCCCAGATTTTATAAAATTGTTTACTCCTCTCTGTTTGAAATGTGTAACTTTGCAGAATTGAGTGTAATTCCAGTCATCTCCTAAAAGGCTGGGATGATGGCCAGGGCGAATGGGCTTCCTGACCTTTTCTGTGTGGAGAGGCTTCACGGAGGAGCACTGAGGGCAGAAGACACAGAGCCAGTCTTCCATGGAGGCGACCCATAGCAGCGGGATCCAGCAATGTGTGAAGTCATGCTGGTTTTACATATGAACCAATTTGAATAGAATCCTTCATTTTTTTTACATAAATATTACATCTTAACCTTTTCATAGAAGAGCCTCGGTTTTCTTTCCAAAGGTATAAAGGCGAGGTCTGTGTTTCCATAAGCAGAGAACATTTATCCTCTGTCCTGCCTCCCTCTAGAACAAAATCCATTGCTGTCTTAATTTCCAGTTTTGATTGTAGCTCTCAGTGTGAGACCTCCCAGTGCTGTAGAGTGTGTTTCCTCTATGAGGCTCACTCACCACAGGCATAAAGATCGGGGTGAATTTCCCAGCCGCCTACATCCGGGAATCTCTCATTCGGACTCAGCAAGATCATTTTTATTTTTGACCAGAACCTTATAAATAAATCACAAATATATAAATGTGATAGGGAAGGCGCCCATCACAACTATTTGTTCAAACAAATCCTGGGCCCAAAGAAGGAGTGAAAAATTAACTTCCTATCACTTTATTTTAGTAGTTCATACTGACAGCAAATATTTAATTATCCATTATTTTGAATTCCACATTAAAATAATACTCATAAGGTTTGGATTAATAGAAAATACTCATATTTATAATAGTTAGAGCTTTCCAGATACATAGAGGCAATATAGTCTAGTGCTTGGTAATTCCCTAGAGTTGGAAACCTTGGTTTAAACCTGGCCTTTACATCAAACAAGCTATGTGTGCATAGGAAACTCTGAGCTCTTTGTTTCAGTTCTCTCATCTGTAAAAGAGACACAACAATAGTGACTAACTCACAGGATTGTTCTAAGGATAATATGAGATGATGTGTAACACATACAATACCTAAAACTTGGTAAGCACTGTTAACATTAACTAGTAATAGCATTTCAGTCTCTTTTCTGTTCATTACGACATTTAATCTTCCTGATAACCTCTTATTATAATATACACTGTGGTAGACTAACTTTGCTTTAAAGGGCCAGATAGTAAATATGTTCAGCTTTGCCAGCTGTATGGTTTCACTTATAAACACTCAACTCTGCCAGTATAGTTCGAAAGAAGCCAAAGGCAATGTAAATGTAAGGGTGTGTCTGTGTTCCAATAAAACTTTGTTTACAAAACTAGGTGTCAAATGAGATTTGACCTGGGGACTGTAGTTTGCTGATTCTTGACAACTCTCTACTTGCTGTTACAAATAAGAACATGAAAGCAGCTTGGTTAGGAGATTGACTGTGAGAACATTGCTACTTAGTGGTATATTTCAAAGTAATATCCATTTTTTTAAAACTTATTTCAGGGCTTTTCTGCACAACTTTTTGTTTGTTTGTTGCTTTTATTTTGAGACTGAGTCTAGCTCTGTCACCCAGGCTGGAGTGCAGTGGCACGATCTCTGCTCAATGCAACCTCCCCCTCCCACGTTCAAGCGATTCTCCTGCCTCAGCCTCCCGAGTAGCTGGGATTACAGGTGCCCGCCACCATGCCCAGCTAATTTTTTTGTATTTTTAGTAGAGACGGTGTTTCACTTTGTTGGCCAGGCTGGTCTCGAACTCCTGACCTCGTGATCCACCCACCTCGGCCTCCCAAAGTGCTGGAATTACAGGTGTGAGCCACCGTGCCTGACCTGAACACCTGTTTTTGATGGCAATTTCTTATCTAGTGATCATCTGCAATGTCTGAGATATAGACTTATGTACATCATTGGTTAGAGTGTGGGTTGATGTGAGCAGTCTTCTTTGACTTTGTTTTATAGCCAAGAGTTCAGCTTTAAATACTGAGCAAACTTCCTGCCAGCATGGATTTTGGTTAGAAAAAGAAATGGGCAAAAGTAGATGCCTGTTTCAATCCTGACTGAGGAACAAATGTAGCACCTCAAAGCATTTCTTTATACTTATACATTTCTTTAGGTTTTTTATATAACACTAAAATACTTACTTTTTTTTTTCAGTCAAAAATATATTCCTGAGTTCTAAATCTTTAATTTGGGGGACATGGATCAAAATTTTGAAATTTTGGTTGTAAAAGACACCTAGAGGGGCACGAAGTCTGTGGCTTGTGCAAAATCTTTTACACATGCTTCAAGGATGCACACACATATACAAACACACACTCTCACACACTCACATAAGGTAAGGAGGGTGTTTGGGTGTATAAAAGCAAACAGTAGAAGCTGCCTCAAACCACTGTATCCAGTATATATCCTGATCCAACATATATGTATTTAGATTCAAATTTAATAGGTCTGGCGTCAAATTTCTGAACCCATCACAAAGTAGAAGCAATAAATACAAAAAAGGCATATTGTTCATAAAGCGTGACTGGCTGTAGCAAGAGATGACAGCTGACCTTTGGATACTAAACTAGCCATAAAACTGAAAAATCATGCCATGATACCTTGTTGAATCACTTCTTAAGTAAAGGTTAACTTACATACATTACATTCTGATTGTTTAAACAGAAACAAGTGTAGTATCTTTTAGGATTAGGTCATTTTAAATTTATTCTGACAATTAGAAGTTTTGATTCTTCAATTTGTTAAATTGAGTTTTCTGGAAAATGTACCTCTTTCTGAAGTTGAAGTTGGATAAATGTAGCAATTCCACATGTTCATCAATGTGTTACAGCCTAAAATTCATCTTTTAAATGAGAATATTAATTTCATGTTTATAAACATATTTTCTAATTGATCAACTGTATTTATTTTTATTTATATATTTCTCCATGCAAAATAGAAATAGCTCTTTACTCAGATGAGTGATACTGAATCTAATATAAAAGCAAATTTGTATAGAAGAAATCCAGGGACAGCAGCGGTCAGAAGATAATTCACAACTTGATGAGGTAAACTACCTTGAATACCCCTGAGAATGAGAGAGTAAGCAAGGAGACCTCGAGTGGCCAAAGCAGAGATTTCAGTTATATTTACTGGACAAAATGGACACCATAATCAACAGGGAAACACAGGATGTACTTTGGGTGAGTGGTAAAGTTCTGCCCATATGAAGGCATACTCCCATTTATTTGCTCAGTCTTGGCCTGGTGACAGGCAACAAATATTGAATAAGACCCTTTAAATGAATTTTCAAAAAATGAAGTTTAGTGATTTAAATAGCATTTAAAAAAATCAAATTCATAGTAAGGGTGCAGTAAATATTTGGTTTACAGTTTCATCTTGCATACTGTGGAAAGACGATGAGCATGGAACTTGTTATCACCACGTAGAATTCCTAAAATAATTGTTTCAATAAATACGGAATAGTAGCTCAGGTTTCAGATTTTTACATGTTATTGACTGAGCCTCCCTTTGGGGAAAATTTAAAAGTTAAAAGATCTCTTTTAAGATGATTCAGAAATGCAAGGTTTATTTAACATCTTCCTCATTGCCATATTGTGTTCTGTTGTTTTCCTCATATCATGTAACTTATTATCATTTTTTATTACTTAGTTTCATTTTTACTTCCTTTACCTACTCACTCATTAATTCTTACTGCCAGTATTTTAAAACCTTTCTGCAAAAAAACACATGCAACTGCACTGGGTCAGTGTTTCTCCTGATTGATAATCCACTTTCCACCTCCACATCTAAGTATACAATCATTGATAAAAATGAAGCCCCCATGGACTCTTCTCCTGAGAGATCTCATTCTTCCTGCTTATCAGCTTCTGCCCTCTGTCTGAGGGATTCCATATTGGCATCTCCGAAATGGAGATATTTTCCTATCAGGTGTATTGGAGTTAAAATTGAGAGAGAACATGCAATCATTTTTATCTTTTCCTGAATCATATGCAAGTTTAGCACCAGGTCGAAAATTCAAGCTTAGACTTGTTTGTGCTCTAAAGATTGAGAAAGTTGCTCAGATTGCTCTGGAGTGGGTCATGAGTTTTCTTCCTGGATTTTTGTTCAACACAGATAGCCATCTTTGATTTATTGGAACCTCTTGCTAGAGCATAGTTATAACTCCCAGAGAATCCTTTTGAAGTCAATTTCAGCTTTTTCATATTCAAGGAAAAGAGGAATAAATCATGTATCCATTTTTGATCTGTAGTTTTTCAGGAATCATTCTCAATGTTGTTGAAGAAGTTAGAAAAGCCCAAGCTAATCACTGTATCATATAGGTTTTCCGAAGGCAAGGTGTAGAAATTTTTAGTGTTGTTTAAGCAACCCATTTATTTTGAAGTATTGAAATGTTATTAATCCTAAAGACCAGGTGATAGTTTATATATTCTTGAAGGCTTTAAAAATATAATTAGCCTCTCTGTTACAAATTGAGTCCACATTCATCTTGGGGCTAATTTATTTCCTTTACAAAACTAACGAGTGTTTGTCTACAGGATCAGTGAACTAAATCTAAATGGGGGCCAAACCTTCAACTTCACCCTCTGGCAACTCTTTTTCCCATTTTCAGAACTCTTCCAAATCCCCCGCCCCAGCCCCAGTATTTCCAATTGACTTATAGAAACAGTTGCATTGTTCTTTTGCCCAAATCCCAAGCATTCCCCAGAGAGCTGTTTTCACTTTCTTTAGAGCACTTACAGTTTATCTCTGTAAGAGAATAGTTTTGAGTTTGGCACTTAGTCTGTTTCTTTTTCATTCTAATAGGAATCGCCTTAGAGCTAGCTAAGTCCCTGTTAGTCAGCTTCTTAAGTGCTGACCAGACTTCTTCCATCTGTATAGAACACTCACTTTTTCACATCAGAGGTTTAATGAAACTAGAAAAGAAAACTCTTTAAAATAACAATAATAATGAAAATCTCTAATAGATTCAGGCAACTTTACATATATCTTTTCAAGATTGGGTCAATTTTGCAAAAATTTTGAGGGTTTTATTTTTTAATATGGCCTCAGGTTAGAGTCACACAAATCAGTTAAAAAATATATTTCTTTGAGTTGGAAATACACACTTATTTCATCCCTGTACTTCTATATAGGGGAGTTATTTTTAATGAGAAAAATTTATAGCTGACTGCCAATGACACATAAAAATTAGTATGCATTATTAAAAATAAATTAAGGCAGAAAGCAGCCAAAGTGGACTTTGTTCTAGAGTCTTGGTAAACAGCCAACAGCAGTGCTCACTTGTCTTCATGTGACATTAAATAGTGCCCGTCTAAAAAGTGATTAATAGATACCGCGGGTTGGAACAGGCTGGCATTCGTCTGTTTCTTACAGCTCCTGATACACGTTGAATGCCCTGCATACCTATAGTTCTTAAGGGAATAGTCACTGTTGAGACATTTAGAGAAGCTGATATCAGATGAGGGCAATCTTGTTTTGGCTATTTTACCACATCTCAAGTATACAAAGTCTACATATAAACATTACGTAATGCCTTCAGACATTGCACTGATTCAAATAGATTTTAATGAGAAAGGCCAACTTTTCCTGTTTCTTGGTCATTCAGAGACTTTTAGGGAGCTTGAATTGTCAGTATCTCCTAATCTCTCAACTATTTTTTTCTTTTGATTTTTAATCTCACTCAGTTAGACTGTTGGGAAGAGAATACAATAGGAGGATTAATGGCTCAGAGCAGAAATGTTTGCTTGTTGGACAATAGGAAGGGAATTTGGTAGAAGTTCTTACCCTTCCTGTTTACATTCAGTAATGTTGCTGGTATATTGAAAAGACTGTCAATAGTGGGTATATATTTTTTTCAACAGTAATTTCCAACATCTTGTTGTTAGGTGTTCATCAAAATAAGAAAGACGGAGAAAGAAGAAAACAGAGACAAAAAGAAAAAAGATAATGGATTTGAGAAGTCAAGTCAATTCAGTCACAATATGGGAGTAAAGGACAGATTAAAAGAAGTTTCTTGTGTGAGTGTGTGTGTGTGAATGAGTGTGAAAATGCGTGCATGGGTACATGTGCCTTAGAGTAGAGGTAATTGGAAGACTTGAGGAGAAATTACTCACTTTTCTTTTAATACCAATGACCAGACAGCTTGCCAGGTGCTCACTCAGATTTGTATCATATCTTTACATACTGTCTTCTGGATAGGTACAACTATCCCCATTTTTCAGATGAGGACACAGAATCTTAGAGAAATGAAGAACTAGATCAAGATCTGTTTGAACGTAAGTGGTTGAGTCAGGATTTGAATACAGGCTTTTTGTTTTTATCACTCCAGAGTCTCTTTTTTCTTCCTTGGTAAATCCAGACTTATCACTGGAGATTCTGGTTCAAAATTACTCTGGCAGTTTTACCACCTAATATATGTTACTCCAAGAATTTTCCAAGTCTGATTAAATAGATTAGGTGGAGTCCTCCGAAACCCTTTCCTGATTTCCTGGGCCAAGGTAAAGCATATCTCAGAGCAAATTTTAAACAGTACTTTGTCATTGAAGACCTAACTATATATGAAGCATTGTGTAGGTGCTGAGAAAGGCACAGAAAAATATACAATAGGGCACTTGCCACCAGTGCCTTATTAATTAGATAAAGAGATAAAACATACACCTGTGAAAAGCTAAAAAAATTACTATTATCAATTGACAATTTGGCATAGCAAAACAAGGCATGATTAATTGCCAGATAACACAAAATGCATGTGGTAGAATTTGAGAGATCTGTAATTGGACTTCAGTGGCCTGATAATTCTTAATGGAAGCGGTTTAAGCTGGAGGGAAAGGATGGGCAGGATTTAGACAGGGAGAACAGAGGTGGGAGATGAATTCAGGCCTTAACAAAAGTGTAAAGAAGAGCAGGACAGCAGGAGGCTGGGTTGAAGGACATAAACAACAGGAAGGTAAGTAAACTACTTTGGACAAAGTGGGGCTCTGCATAGATAGGAAGTGGAAAAGCAACCTCAAAAATAGGTTGGGCTCAGGTTTTCAATCCTGAGTGCCAGCATAGACTGAGCCTGTTGCCATGGGTACGTGGAAAATGACAGAGTCAGTATTGCACTTTGAGAAGATTATTCAGGAGGCAGGGTGCAGGATAGAGGACGAGTGTCTACAAATAAAGAGTGAGGCAACACATATGTCCATCCTGCATTGGGCCACACCAAGAACCTACCATGTGCACCTCTCACCACCCACTGGCGCTCAGACTGCTGCACACAGTAGCCCCCAACTCATCTACCCAGATCCACTTTTGTCCCCATCCACTCTGTTCTCCACAGTTTCAGCCAGAGTGATCTTTACAAAACATAAATTATTGTCACCTCCTGCAAAAGATTTCAACGTGACCCATAAATATATTCTTATTTTTTCCTCCATGTCCTATCCCTCAACATGACCTACAAGACCTGGCCTCTGCCTTCTCTTCGGTCTCATCCTTCACCCTGCTCACTCTTGTTTTCTAGGCATGGTGGTCTTTTTAAAAACTGTGTCTCATTCTTTGTGTTCAACATGCCCCCTCTCATGATAGGGACTTTGCTGTTTCCTCTTCCTGGCATTCTCTTCTTTCCCCTCATTGTCTTGTCAACTCCTACTTATCCTTCACATCAACACACTCTAATTTCAAGACCTCCTTGACTAGGTCAGATCCCCTTATAGAAGGGTCTCACAGCTCCAAGTAACTATCTCTCCTTTGCAGCTTTTATTACATGTGCGGTTTCACCACTTATCTAATAGTTAATTCATGTTTCTTTTCCGCAGTGTCCACAGTGTTTTTGTTCTTTATTTAATTCAAGAATCTAGCTCTTAGTGGACTCTCAATAAATATAATATAGTGGAAACAAAATAATATGTGGTTAAAATGTAAGGTGTTGTATTAGTCCATTCTCATGCTGCTAATAAAGACATACCTGAGACTGGGTAATTTATAAAGGAAAGAGGTTTCATTGTCTCACAGTTCAGCATGGCTGGGGAGGCCTCAGGAAACTTACAATCATGGCAGAAGGGAAAGCAAACACATTATGCTTCTCATGGTGGCGGCAAGAAGAATGAGAGCTGAGCGAAGGGGGAAGCCTCTTATAAAACCATCAGATCTCATGAGGACTTACTATCACAATAATAGCATGCAGAAAACTGTCTCCATGATTCAATTACCTCCCACTGGGTCCCTCTCACCATAGGTGGGGATTATGGGAACTACAGTTCAAGATGAGATTTGGGTGGGGACACAGCCAAACCATATCAGATGTTATAAAAATTTCTATATTTGAAGGCCTCAGCTATTGGCAACATTACTTAATTTTAAATACATTTGGCACTGATTTTAAAAAAGTGTTACATAGTATTGGAATTATTTTCAGAGGGCTGAAGAATCCTTCATACCTTGGAGAGTGAGTGAGCACTCTTTAGCAGGCCTCTTGTGCTTCCAACCTAAATGCAGGCAAACGTCCTGTTGGTATGTAAAGCTGCCACCCAAATGCAGAGAACCTCTAGAGTGCATGCTGTTCTCATTCAAACTGTCCCATCTGTTCAGACATGGTCAAGCTCTCTGAGCCCTGGGAGAACGAAAACAGGCCAGGATTACCAGTTTTTACAGATTTTAACGTGAGGCTTAGGGTCTGTGGGCTAAAAGGTTGATTGTAGTTTTTAAGTTAAACATCAACAGGGGCTGAAAAGACCCTAAAATTACATTTGGGAGTCATACAAAGACAATACAGCTCCAACTGCATTACTCGGGACCTTTTTGCTGCTGAAACAGAAAAAATGATAATTAACCAATCAGGATGAAATGTCAATTTGAGAGGAAGGTAATGTGAAATTTTCCTAAATCATCTAAACACCAAAAAATCTGTTACATCTGATTTCCAACCTGCTCTGTTGCTATGAAAACTTACTCTCCACTCAGCTCTCTGAACGCTACATATTCATGCAATTATAATTCTTTCTGAAAGATGGACTCTGTAATGATATGAAGGCGTTTTCCTTCAGTCTGCCTAGAGTTTTTCCAGAGCCACTTAATAAGAGCCATGCTCTTTTGGAATTATTTTGCTTTATCCACATTTTTCTTCATGATCCAAATAAAAGATAGTTTTTTAAATGTGAGGTGGCAGTTGTCTTGGGATATATCTCTATGGCATTTGCTAAATTAAAGCTCATCTTTTCAAGCCCAGTCTTTATTTTGTTTTCCTATAGTTTGCTGGCAAAATCAAAGCCCTTGCTTCCTTACTCTTGCACTGTGGAGCAGACTGGTAGGATGATCACAGGGGAGTGAGCAGGCTTCAGTGGTTCTTAAAAAGACAATTTCCATTTCCTTGGCAGAGGGACCCCATACTGCGCTCCAGCCAATTCTTAATTCTTTCTGCCATTGGTTCCGAGGGGCAGGCTTTTGTGGGGAGGGATTATTTGTTTCTTTAAAATCCACCGTGGTTCTTTTCCCTCCCACCTTTTCCCCTTTCTTTTGTGGCCTGGAACAATACAATGTTAGCGATTCAGTTTCTGACTTGCAGAGAATCCATCTATGCTTGGAAAAATGCAGTTCAATTATATACTGCAGCTTGAGGTGAGATAGAAGTGAAGATGGCTTAACACGTGAAGTGGGTAAAAAAAATGTGTAATTGAAACAGTATGATGTTGATGAGGCAGTGTGTGAGGCTGTCAGGAGGCATTATAATAAGCTGATGAACGAGACTAGCTTCCTAGTTCTGCTGTATGCAAATGTTCCATTATTTTTGGTGGAGGAAAGGAACCTGGCATATTAATTGGCTTTGTTTTTAGAGATGCAGGTGAAGCCTTTTCATTTTGCTTTCTGAAAAGAAACTTGCAATATGTCCTTAAATTATGTTTAATTTTGAGTGTCGACTTACAAAGAAATAAAAACTCTTCATTTTTAAAAAATTTAAAACAAAAAAAAATTTGGGGGTATTGAACCTTAGAACCAATCACTAAAAATTCTGATTTTGTGTCGACTAAAAATTCTGATTTTGTGTCAACTAAACTGCATATGAGATCTTCGAGTTTTTAACACTGAAACATAATAGTTAATTTTTTAAAGTACTATAAAACAGAATATAGAAAATAAATTACACTATACTATATTTTCTATATTTGGAAGTTTACAGTTGTTTGCATAATTGACAAGTTCGTTTCCTGGTGCAGTCATCAGCAGGTTATACAGGATGTATCTATCTGTCTCTTTCTTCAGAGGACACTGTGTGTGTGTTGAGAATGAAACCGAATGTGGGTGGTAAGAGGAAATATTAATGAACTTTTAAATATCTCTTTCCTTGAAAAGACTGAAATATGAGGTCTTAAGTAAAATAAATCATTTAAAGTATAAAATGCTTAAAGATCCTTACTTTTTATTACCAAGTTATTAGCAGACTGCCATACTGAATACCTTTTATGTAGTTTTTTTTTTTTTTGGCTAACATTTCCAAACAACTTTAAAATATAGTTATTCATTAACCGACTTGTGACTAATCTTTTTCAGAGAGAGAGGATTAACTTTATTCCTCTCCAGTTTTAACGTGACCAATAAGGTGATATGCAAGTGAGGATTTGGGGAGGTGGGGAAGAATTGGAGAGAGGTAATAGAACTGATCCTTGAGTCAGTGGGATGTTGGAAGTGGTTTTCCATTACTTTCCTTGGTTCTCAGAAAACCAGGGAGATAGGGAGGATGTTATCAGGCCCTTTGACCTTCTGGAAGTGACTGTGGACTTAGCAAAAGCTAGTTGGAGCTAGGGGAGGAAGGAGGCAGATAGATAAAGTAGGAAGAAATAATTGTTCTCCCTAAGCACAGAATCCAAGGTGGTGCTATTAAAACAAACAAACCAAAAATACACACACACACACAAATGCACACACACACGTCTGTGAATGTATACAGAGATGGTGCGGTGGCTCGCGCCTGTAATCCCAGCACTTTGTGAGCCCAAGGTGGGCAGATCATGAGGTCAGGAGTTCGAGATCAGCCTGACCAACATGGTGAAACCCCGTCTCTACAAAAAATACAAAAATTTGCCAGGCGTGGTGGCACGTGCCTGTAATCCCAGCTACTCAGGAGGCTGAGGCAGGAGAATTGCTTGAATCCAGGAGGCGGAGGTTGTGGTGAGCTGAGATCACACCACTGCACTCCAGCCTGGGCGACAGAGAGAGACTCTGTCTCAAAAAAAAAAAAAAAAAAAAAAAAAAGAAGAGATATATATGTGTATATATATTAATATGTTGACACCACAGAGTACAGTATTAGAGGAAACAGTGTGGGTGCATGTGATTCAAACATCAGTTGTGAGGCCGAAAGAGAAGCTAGTCAACAGGTGGGGGTCTTTTAACTCCTTCTCTCCCTCCACTGATACAGAACCCCCAACACTCATATACAGTGTGTTTCCAGAAATCCAACCTGGCTATCCCTTTGAGGCTGATAAAGGAGCCAAGTATCCAACCTGAGATCCTGTGGTTCATGGAGTCTGAGTTCCTATTGAACACAGATCATGGTTGCCTGGATGGGAAACCTGGTTTAAACATTTAAATGATCAGAATCAGAGCAGCCTGAAACAGTCATCCTTGATGCTCAAGTTCCTGAGAAATAATTACTAGAAACAAAATTTCATTGTTTGGAAACTTTTCCAGAAAATGATAAAATAATACTCGTGAGAACATAGATCACAGAAAAAGAAAGTTCAGTTCTAATGTAGTATGTTTCTTTTACCTAGATTTATTCATTGTTCCTGTGTTTATTTTCTTTAACAAATATAAACAAAGAAGAAAAGGCAGCCTCCTGTATAGAATGCTTACACATTTTATAAGTTAAAAATACATATAGTCAGCCGGGTGTGGTGGCTCACGTCTGTAATCCTAACACTTTGGGAGGCTGAGGCGGGCAGATCACGAGATCAAGAGATCAAGACCATCCTGGCCAACATGGTGAAACCCCATCTCTACTAAAAATACAAAGATTAGATGGGCATGGTGGTGTGCACCTGTAGTCCCAGCTACTTGGGAGTCTGAGGCAGGAGAATCACTTGAACTCGGGAGGCAGAGGTTGCAGTGAGCGAGATCGCGCCACTGCACTCCAGCCTGGCGACAGAGTGAGACTCCATCTTAAAAAAAAAAAAATACAAATAGTCATTTTATAGTTTAGTCTAAGCATTTATTACACATTTCAAAAGACAAATAAACTCTCTCCTACTTTTGTCCACCTGTAAGACTCATTTCAGTACCTATTTTATTTTCTCCTAGTTTTTCCCATGGTCTTAGTTTAAGAATTCCCAAATTCTCACTTATTGAATTCACTCACAGAATTCTACTTCCCACTACAGTTCTATCAGGAATAGGCAAGATAGAAAGAAAAAAAAAAAAAAGAAAGAAAGAAAGAAAAAGAAAATAAAGAAAGAAAAAGGGATGGGAATTTTGCAAACATGGGGGCCTGATTACTAAAAGCCTTATGAGATGCTCATACTCATTCTTTAAAGAATATTGGAAATAAATCAGTCATGCATTTAATTAAACCATCCTAAAATGTGCCCCTCTTAAAAAAAAATGAGTGCCATAATACTTCCCAAATTCCCGGAAATGTTGTATGTCTAAGAAAGCAAGATCTGAACTGTAGGTGTATTTCAGTTGGAAATTGTAGTTTACATTACTTCTAATTCGAGGCCTATGTTTGGTCATTAAAAGCTCCCAGCTAAAAACAGTGACCCTGCTCTCCATGTGTGCGCAATCTTCAGCCAAGTCCCACCAGAGCATTGGCCCTTCAGTGGAGGGAGAAAGGATGATAGAAAAAGAAATTCTGTGGATGTGAGAGGTTAGGGATAGAAGGGTATTTGGGCAGCTCTGGCTATCTCATATCTGGAATTTCACCTTTTATCTTCCTGGAGGATGACTCCTTATATGGTCTGCTTTGTAGACCACTTTCTTGAAAAGCAATTGCATATAATATAAAACAGAGGATGCTGTGCTAAAAAGAAAAACAACCCTCCTTTTATTGATACTTTTTTCTCAAATATAGTGATCACTACACGATAGTAATAATGGTTTGATATTTGTAAATCTTAGGTCTTAGGAAAAACCACATATGGTCTGTTAACCTAAATGATCTTTAGAATAAAGTACAGCGTTCTAATCAATTCAATTCATATTTCACATGTAGTTATTCTTTGACTAAACAAGTACTTTTTGTTAAAGGAAGCAGGTAAACTAAAATTTATGTATTTCCTCTTCTGAAGTCCCTGACGTAGTTGGTTTGGAAAAGGTCTCCAACCAACCAGGGTGCTGAACATTCATCCTGAGTAATGTGCTGTTTTGGTTGATAACAGTTGTCATAGTCATTTCCTCCTTTAGTTAGCATTTTGGCCTAAAGGTAGTAGATTTATGGTTTTTAGCCTGTTTCATTTCCCAGCTGCCCCACAACTTTTTTTTTTTTTTTTTTTTTTTTTTTTTTTTTTGTGAGGCAGAGTCTCGCTCTGTTGCCAGGTTGGTGTGCTGTGGCGCCATCTCGGCTCACTGCAACCTCTGACTCCCTGGTTCAAGTGATTCTCCTGCCTCAGCTTCCTCTGTAGCTAAGATTACAGGCTTGCGCCACCACCTCCAGCTAATTTTTGTATTTTTAGTAGAGACGGGGTTTCACCATGTTGGCCAGGATGGTCTCAATCTCATGACCTCGTGATCTGCCCTCCTCAGCCCCGCAATGTGCTGGGATTACAGGCAGAAGCCACTGCTCCCGCCCACAAAACTTCTTTTAACCACATTTACAAATTGCTGGGTGCTTCTGCATACACACATAATGAATTATAAATATTAGATAAAAAGTATGTTGAAGTAAATTGAACATTAAAACTCAAGGAGTTGGCCGGGCATGGTGGCTCAAGCCTGTAATCCCAGCACTTAGGGAGGCCGAGGCGGGTGGGTTGCTTGAGCTCGGGAGTTAGCGACCAGCCTGGGCAACACGATGAAACCCCGTCTCTACTAAAATACAAAAAGTTAGCTAGGCATGGCGTTGGGCGCCTGTAGTCCCAGCTACTCGGGAGGCTGAGGCAGGAGAATTGCTTGAACCCAGGAGGTGGAGGTTGCAGTGAGCCGAGATCGTGCCACTTCACTCCAGCCTGGGCAACAAAGCAAGACCCCATCTCAAAAAAAAAAAAAAAAGAAAAGAAAAAGAAAAGAATCTCTCAAATGTGAAAGTCTGGATACACAACTATGTTTGCACAACGCTCAATTTGGCATAATTATAAATTGCACTCCAGCCTGGGTGACAGAGCGAGATACTGTCTCAAAAACAAATGAACCAGAAAACCCCCACAAAACTCAAGGAGTTAATTTACATTTAGACCAATCTAGATGTGTTTAAAATAAAAGTAAAAATTTCAGTTCTGTAAGAAGTGTCTACTGGGGCAAGTACAATTAGTCCTGGCTTACACATGAGAAATAATTGCCTATTGTCTATTATTTTATTGCCTAGGTTACTGCCAAAGCTTGTGGGTGATTCCTCTGACCCTTTGTACTAAAGGGGCTTTCTGAATTGCCTTTCTTCATAGGTTTCTTCTGTATTGAAAAGGCTTTCATGGCTTTTCATGTCCTTAGAATGAAGTTGAATTTCCTAAGCCTGACATTCAAGACTCTCCTAAATTTAGATGAAAGTTACCTTCCCAACCTCATGAATCATTATGCTACCTTAAGACAATTTCAACCAAGATAGGCTTTTCCTTGTTACCTCCATGACTTCCTTCATTCAGCTGCTCTAACCATGCAGTGACCTCTCTAATCCTCCCCTTCTCTTAAGGAACCGTGTGGTAGAAATTATATAGACTTAGGCCCATGACAGACTAGAATTCTATGTTGGAAAAGCCACTGCTTCCCTCTGGGGCTCAGTTCCTGACTCAGTAAAGAGGTATCAGTTACTGGCACAGTAATGCCCCATAACAAACAACCACAAAATTTCAGTGGCATAGACACTTATTTATCCTTCATTTGTGGGTGGCTGGGCTCAGTTCAAGACTTCTTCATAAGACTCTCATTTTTTGATGATCAGTGAGAGATAAGGATTGTTTTTCTCATGGGCTTGGCAGAAAATCTGAATGTACATGTGCAATTCAAGGCTTTGCTGGCGCAGTGTCCACTTTGGCCTCAGAAAGTCACATCATCAGAGTGGGGAAATATAGTCCACTCCTAGTGGGAGGAACTACAATGTCATTGGGAAAAAAGGCATAGATATGGGGATGAGGTAAAGAATTGAGAACAATGATGGAGCCTCCAGTAGTATTATTAAGAGGTTAACTCAGATAATCTAGGTTAGGTTTCTGACAGGGCATGTGGCACAAAGACCCTGAACACGTTTTTCTTTCCCCCTGTACTTTCCTCACACCCACTTGTTCAAACTCTCCTTCTTCCTTTAGTCTTGCAGCTGTTATTCTATCACTGGCACTTCCTGTGCTTTTCACATAGTAAGCAGTAAGTAAATGGTTTTTAAACATAATTCTATAATCATTATTTGCTTTTTTATTGAAATACATATGGAACAGCCTATATGTAGCCCTTGTATCTTCTCATCAATCCTAAGTTTTAAGTTCAAGTAGAATTTAGTTGCCAATTTAGACACCTATATTGGTTCCCAAATGTAATGAAACAAAGCTAATAAAATTCTTTAAACAAAAAACAAAAACAAAAAGGTATTGTCTCTGCTTCTTAGTAGCACTTTCTCTATAGCCATCTCTTTGAGTGATGTCTGACTTTATCTTCTGCCAAAGATAGATAATGTTTATATCAGACAAAAAAATAATTATAATAACATAAGATCGTAAGAAATGACTTGTCAGCTTATATTAATCTGACTTTGGTCTCTGATCATGGCCACCAGATATATTTGGTGGAACCACTCCCTTGTCAGACCACCTTGCAGGTTAAATCTGTAACCCAAACACCTCCCCACTTCTCTTTTAATTCTCAGCTTTTTAAACTTTAAGTGGCTTAAATTTGATCTTTACATTCCACTGTCATTCCAGCACATACACAAAAATATGTATTTTGTGCTATCTCCTTGGTGTAGTGACTGTGTGGTAAGATGGAAAGACTATTATTGAGCTTGGAATCAAGTCCCTGCTTTGGCACGCGTTAGCTGGGCTGCAGTTTTCTCATCAGGAGCATGATTCAGATTGTTTATTCTTATATATCCTTTTTGATTATTACCTTTTGCAGCTCTATTCACTGGAAATGAGGGGACTAGAAAAGAGAAAAAAGAGATAAAACATTGACTAACGTGTCTTTGTGCCATTTTCAGTCACTGCTTTGGAATCTGGCAGGAGAGCTAATATTCCTGTTTCATTTTTATTGGGCTTAAAATATATGTTTATCTTCTCTTGATGAAGATTTGGTATTTTTTTTATCCCTCGGATTTCTTCTTTGAGGTGACTAAATGTGCTGTTTCTTAGAAAGCTTGGCTGGAACTTTTCATCTAGTGTGCTAGAGTCTCTATAAAACATATCTAAATAATTTTCAAAGACTTTGCTTTAAATGCCTGTTGAATTCTCCTGGGTAATATTAGCTGAGTTTCCTCATGTACATTTGGTGGTACATTTTTATAATTATTTCTATTTGGTGCTATTCGGCTTTTCACAAAAATTATGTATCTGGTCATATCCCTTGGTCTGTGGGCCATTGTGACTCAGATTTCAGATTGCATACGTATGTGTTAAATGGAGTTTCATTCTCGTAAAAGAAACCTTACTGAACATGACCACTCTTCTAGTGGTTTCCATGTGAAATGAATTATGTTCTATTGTAATCTGGAGTCTTTTCATTTTCCTGTGAGAAATGGTTTGAAAATTGTATTCTGTTGTTTACACTGTTGGGTATCTCTTAGGAGGCTTATACAGAGGATAAGAACTAAGATAGCTTTGCTCTCCTTACTTCTTGGTGTATCTACATAGCATAAAAATTAAGATTTATTTCTTAAGGACTATGAATGTTTTGTAACATTCAATTTTGAGACATTCAAATATGCTGAGTGTTTTTTAAACAGATACTCTGTAAAAATGAATGTACTAAGTTCTCAGACTAAGGTGTTTTTTTTTCCCACTCATATGTAGAGGAAGTTTGGTGTTGTGGTTAAAATTATGAACTCTGGGGTAAGACTGATTTGATTTGGGTATCAATCTCTGCCTCTATTTGACTGAGTAAATTTCATAACTACCTTAAAGCTCCGTTTCATCACCTTTAAAATGGGGATAATAATAGTTCCCATCACCCATTTTACTCAACAAGATTTATCAAAGGCCCAATATGTGTGAGTTTATGTTGTAAATGGTAGGGATGCCCCATAAGAGAAAATTCCTATTTTTGACTTCTACTGAAAGGAAATAAGCAACATGAGTAAATGTGCATGAAAAAGCAGTAGAAACAACTCTGATAAAATAGGATTGGGCACTATATTAGGTTCAATAGTTTATGAAATCCTTTCTGCAGAGGATATTTTTAAGCTGGGGCTTTAAGAAGGAAATGAGAGAAGAGCATTCAAGCAAAGGAAACACATATGGTAACAATTCTGTGCTAAGAATGAGTTTGCTATATTCGAGTAAAAGGCAAAAAGGCCAGTGAGACTTGAGCATGATCATCTAAGGAGAAAGTCATTCAGGTATTAGACAAAGACAGGCTCAGGAACTGTAGAGTCCTGTAAGCCAAGAAAGGAGATGGGGTTTTATTTGAAGTATGTTGGGAGCCACTGGAAGGTTGTGAGGAGGAAGCACCATGGCTTGCTTAGTATTTTTTTACATATTACTTGGGATATTGTGTGGAGAATGGAATGTACAAAGAAGGCATGTTATGAGGCTACTGCAATAGCCCAGATGAGAAATAGTAGTGGATTAGATGAGGGTGGTACTTCTGGAGATGGAGACAAATGGGTAGTTTCAGAGTATGTTTTGGGGGTGAAGTCAACAGGCTTGCTCATGGATTGGATATGGGGAGTGAAAGGATGGGAAGAATCAAGAACAAATCCTAGGTTTTTGGCTTGAGCAACTGATGGATGACAACACCATTTCCTGAGATACGAGAGGGAGGAGAAGCAGGTTTTGGAAGTGATAACAAGAGTTGTTTCTTGGCCTTGTTAACAGCTACTTCAGGGTATTAAGTAGCACTTGAAAATGTGAATCTGGAGTTAGGGGGCCAGTCAGGGATAAAAATATAAATTTTGGAGTCATTGGTTTATAAGTATTGAGAATGGATGAGATCACCTAAGCAGAGAATGGAGATGGAAAAAAGAAGCTTCCCCAGAATGAATAGTGTAGTGCACCAGTGTTTAGACATCAGGGAGAAGAGAAATCAGCAAAGGAGACAGAGAAGGCATGCAAACTGAGCTAGAAAGAAAAATAGAATATGAAGCCCTTAGCATGCTCATATATAGTAGCTTCTCTATAAATGTTGATATATTATGTGTGTTTCCCCAGAACACTGAGATAAGGAGACTGAGAGATGGTCCCTGGAAGTGCTGGTACGGAAGTAGAAAGTGAGGCAATGGAAGGAGAGGAAGCCAGCAAAGCTTGTGTTTTCAAGCAGGTTACCAGCAAAAAACTGAAGCTCCATTCTGCTGGTGACCGCTGGGAAACAATATAGAATATGCCTCAGAGTAGCCGCCCCAGAGGGTGAGGACATAGATGTATTCATCCTCCAACCCCCATTTGTCATTAACTGAGGGCTGCTCTCTGGTGAGTGAACTCCTCAGCACTTTGGGGCTGCTCTATATGGGCCAAGAAAAAGCCCTTAGGGGTTGCAGATGCTGTTTGCACAGGAAACAGTGTGTGCACCCACAGTGTGTGCTAGAACAGGTGCTGAGCAGATCTGACAGTGGTTCCTGTTATCATGTCCCTTACGTGACTGGCTCTCATCATTATACCTTTCTTCATTGAAATATTATAGGAACAAAGGAAATTCCAATTGATAAAAATGAATTATTAAAACAAGAGAGAATTCAAAATTCTTCATAATGGTCATACCAAAAGATGTGATGAACTCATTGAAGCATATTAACCAATGGCTCAGTAATTCTCCTTATATTCTTGTTTGAAAGTAGCAATAAATTTTAAGGCATATTCCTTGAGTGCCAAAGACATCATTAAATGTGACACCATCAAATATGAAGATGAACACATATAACCTTGATATTTTGAAATACTAGAATAAGAATTCATACCATACAGTACCTTGAAATCCAATGCCTTTCTCCCAAAGGGATCAAAGGTTACGCTTGATGCTTTTCAGGGCACCTTGTACACAGGAGATCACTTGATCCTAACTCCTGGGATCAGAACGAATGAAGCGATTAGTGTCACAGGCGAAACTGAATTGCTTTTAAGCTTCTTATCTGAGCAAGTGTCGATACTGAGATCAAGACTTAGGTTTGCTAAACTCTGATTTGGTTTCCTCATCTCTCTGCCATAATGGAAATAGTAAAATGTTTCCTAGTGCTTATAATATGCCAGACACTGCCCTAATCACTTTACAAAATTAGCTAATTTTATCGTCAAAACAACACTATGGCTTAAGTAGCATTATTGTCTTGCTTTTAACTACTCGGGCATCAAGTTAGGAAACTGGTTCAGTTCACATCTCATAAGTACGAAAGTAGGGATTCAAACCCAGGCACCTGCCTCCAGCTCTGTTCTCCTCAGATGACTCTTACACAGCTGTTACACAGCTTATGTGGCAGTAATAGGCTGTGATCTTATCCCTGACTATATGAATTACTTGGAAAAAATCACACACATGATGTGTTTACTACTTTTTCCATAAATCCACTTTAAAAATCATTTTACCAGAGGTTAAAAAAAACCCTCCCATCAGCAGTCTTATTTATAATTGAAAAAATTTAGGTTCCTTTTTATTAAATCTCTTTCATATGGTTTAAACCATATGGTGACTAATTTTTTATACAGTCTAAAGTGTATACAATTTGTTCAATGTAGTTTTGCCTTTTTGTGAATTCCTATGCTTTATCATTAGGCTGAAAAGCATGCAGGATACCAGAAATACTCTTACCAGTAAACTTCCATTGAAAATCTGGCTATGGAAGAAAAGTCTGCCAGCCAGTACTTTGTACTTTGGAAAGGAAGCCATAGATCCAGATATTCTCCAAGAAATACAGGCAGTGGCTCATGCCTGTAAACCCAGCACTTTGGGAGGCTGAGGTGGATTGATCACTTGAGCCCAGGAGTCCAACACCAGCCTGGGCAACATAGTGAGACCCTGTCTCTACAAAAAAATAATTTAAAAATTAGCCTGGCATGGTGGCATGCACCTGTGGTCACAGCTACTTGGGAGGCTGAGGTAGGAGGATCATTTGAGCCTGGGAGGTTGAAGCTGCAGTGAGCCATGATTACTCCATGACATTCCAGCCTGGGCAATGGAGTGAGACCCTGTCTCAAAACAGAAAGAGAGAGAGAGAGAGAGAAGAAACAAAGTAGTTACTTTATCACTCCCCAAATGTAATTTATCAACTGTCTCTTCAGTCTCATTTGCTGTTACCTGCCTGCTATACCAAGTAACTAATCATAATTTTCAAAGGAATTTCAAATATGTTACGTCATTTGATCTCAGTAAGATTTTTGATGCCAGGTAGATCTGCAAGATTACTTTCATAACACAGGAGAATCTGATATTCCACCTTTAGGGAAAGGGATTGCTCCTGGAAGCTCTTTCCAACTCTTTTCCCATATGGAAGAATTTTCCAGTCCCATTTCACTCTGAGATATTATTATTACTTTTCCTGGCTACTTTATATTAGTGACTATTTTAAATCCTACTGGAGGGGATTTAAAGGCTCTTGTGCAATCCTTTCATAGCCCATGAATTTCAAGAATAAGAGTTGCTTAACTTACTGGCCCCAGAATTCTGTTTCCACTTATCTCTATGTTAAACTAGAGCCACAGAGAAAAATTATGACCCAGTAATTTCTTCTCTTATTTAAAATGTCAAGCTCCTATGTCCTGAAAGTTAGTACTAGATTTTATATGTCTGCATTTTAGTTTTAGTTTTGTTTTTTATTTCAGATCGGAAGAAAATGAAGTATTCTGTTAATTTAAAGTTACTTATGGCACATCCCTGTAATACTAATCACTTAAAGATGTAGCAATTTATATTTTTTACAGTGTTAATTCATAAGTGGATAGGACTGTGAACAAATGAATTAAACCGAAGTCCTTATAATTTAAACATTCCTTTTTGGAAAGTACTTTAAAAATAAACTGACTTAAATACTTCCTATTTGAATTATTATTTTCTTTATTCTTCTCATATTGGTTCTAAGATATGCAATTTTATATAGCATACGTAATAGCTAAATGTTAAAGACTGAATACCTGTGCTTCTCTTTAAAGTCTGTTTTGTCTTCTGGCTAAAGCCAGATTCCATTTAAAAACCTTACAGAATATGAGACACTATTTTACCATTATTGTTTGTGTCAACTGCAGCCAGAGATGAGCTCCCGATATCTCTGGAATAATTTAGAAGTTGATGCCAAGTCATGATTCTGGTCAATACAGTAATTTCAGTTTTGTAAAGTTTATTTATTTAAAAAAATTAGTTCAGTGTTTCATTCATGATTTTTGTAATACCACAAGGAAGAATAGAAAAATGTAAGGATAAGCATGAGAAACAAATTAGTTGATAAATTATTATAAGCTTCTTATAATAATGTCAACTCAGATAACTCTCCATGTAAGCTGCATATGAGCATAAATAAAGTTAACTGTATGATTAATCTCTACTATTGTGTTTGCATCCAAGAGATATTAAAATAAACATTATGGTTAGATAGAGTAAATTCTAAAAAGCTGCAAAAACATTTAGGTTATATATTTAACACATAGTAATATGCCTGTGTTTACATCTTCCAATTAGATAAATTTCTGATAATTTTTGTCTCCTTAGGATTTTCTAATGAAAATAGAGAGCAGTATTTTAATTGTTTAGTATCACATAATTGTTCTAGCCTTCATATACAATTTAAAATAAATGGCACAAAAGTGCTTGGTAAAGCACTTTATAAAACTATATGAATTTCATCTGTTATTCTGACTTTAACAAATTATACAAATATCATAGATGATTATAAGTTAAAATACAGATATGCTCTAGTAGCAGAATTTCCACATAAGCATGCTACCGTACATACTTTAAACCAAGAACTTCCATTTCTAATGATAAGATTGACTAGACTAGATATGTTGACAATCCTTTTATCACGCATGAAAAACACTTAATATATTTTATGTAGTATCCTCAATAACTGTTTAAGATATATGATTAGCTGGCTTGAAAATAAAGAAATTGTCTAAGGTCAAAGGACTAAGTGAGAGCTGGAATCTGAATACACAAGGGAACATTGATCTCCTTTGACCTGGGCAATTCTTAACGTCTCTGTGGGGGTAAGAACCAAAGCCCAGGGCCCATGCAAGGTGAGGAGTGTTTGCAACTACAAGCTCACCATCTAATGGATTGGCGGCACACATTCATGCGACTTATTTGCTCAAAAACTCCCAAGCTAAATATTTACTTTAAGGTTCTCTTGGGTGATTTATAGCAGAAAATGAGAGTCCTTGTTAAAGGTACACACTCTCAATACAAATCACAAAATAATTTTATGAATAAAGTTAAAATGGTCACAAACTCAGTATGAAAAAAAGCACTAAATGTACGAAGAAGTCACCATGATCTAGGATCCACAAAAGCAGCAAAGGTAGGATTATAGTATTAGAATCATTAGGTAAGAATGTAACTAAGTATTTGCATTACATTTATTAAAATAAAAGGGAACTAAATGTTCTTAAGAGGTGAGAGACTATAAAAAATTATTAAACCATTTTTTTAGGAGAATCAAATAGAAAATTAGCAAATAAAATAATAAATTTTGAAGAGCACAACGTGGATGAACAATTAAGACCTGGCAAACTAGAAGATCTAAACAATTGCAGCCTGAAGAGTCAAAGAGGTAGAAAATATGGGAGCCAGATGAAGAGATGTGGAGGGTGTGGTGAGCAGACCTAGCACACATTCAAATGAAATTCCAGAGGAAAGCATAGAGAAAGCGGAGGACACTGGTTTTTGACAATAAAATGGGTAAGAATTTTCCAGAATTAATGAAAGACATAAATCTTTAGTTTCAGGAACACCAACAAATCCCAAGCAGGAAAAAGAAAAATAAATCTACATCTAAACACATTGAGGCCCAATCATGCTACTCCAGAGACAAGACTAAAATTGTAAAAGCAGCCACTGAGAAAGGACGACTCACCCACATGACCAACAACCGTTATTAGACTGGCAGGTCTCTCTCATGGCGTTAGCGAAAGATGGAAAACATTAGAATAAAAGCTTCAGAGTGCTGGGAACCACAGCTGTCAAAATAGACTTATAAACCCAGTGAAACTGTCTTTAAAGAAGGAGAGATACCTTTCAAGAAATTAAGAACAAAGAATTTGCTAGCAACAGACCCTTCCAGAAGGAATTTCTACGTTATGCACTTCAAGAAGAGAATCCTAAAAGGATGGCACAAATATGAAAATAAATAGCGAGAAAAGAAATTCATACATATATAGTATATAGATAAATCTAATATAATATTGACTGTATAAACCAATAATAGCATCCGTTCATAAGATTCAAAAACAGATAAAAAAAATACTGGACAAAAGTTACATGTAAGCTGAGAAAAGGGAGATCAGGTTTAAAGTGTTTTTTTAAAGATCTTTCTATTATTCCAGAGGTGAATTCAGATTACATTTAAACATTGTTAAATTAGGTATGCATGTTTTACATAATAAACTCTAAAATAATAGAAATTAGCTGTGTATTGCCCAAACAGGTTTAGCACACACACACACACACACACACACACACATGCACACACACACTCACAAACACATACATTAATTTTGCATCAAAAATATTGTCTTCTGTAATTTCAGGAACTATTTTCTGCTCATAACCTTGTAGGCCCTACCTGAATCCAACAAGAAAAATGTAAAAATAATGCTCAATCCTGGTAATAAAAGAAATCATATGTTTAACAATATAAAGATCCATCAAAAACAACACTTTAAAGAGATGAATGAGACTGAGACCTTTGCTGGCCTACCTGGGAGGAAACGTGCCTGTCCTGAGTTCATGCTGCCCCTATAATGCAGGATTAGAGAACACATCATATTTGTCCTCATTATAGAGATCGTTCTAATGAGGAAAAAACTTATGTCACCGAATCTACTTTTCTAAACAGAATCCACGATCTCTTAGAAGACCAGGAAGCCCTTCCAACGTACCACATGGTGCTGACACTCAATCTCTGCCTAAATGAACTCAGAGAACTATAACTGGTGGGACATATATTTAGAAGAAATAGTTATGAAAACCATAGCATGGTGCTGCCATTGTTATTTGCTAGGTAGGAGTCTGCTAATAGTTATCTCCTTCATGTGGCTTCAATTTCTATATGATTTGGGGATATTCTAAAGCACTAGTATTTAAAGTGTGGTGTGGGGACCTCTGGAGGTCCCCCGGGCCCTTTCGTCCAGGTTCATGAGGTCAACTCTATTTTCATTTAAATACTAATGAGTGATATGTGCCTTTTTTCACTCTCTTTCTCTCTTAAATGCATGGTGTTTTCCAGAGGGCTACATAACAGGTGATACCTTAACATATTGAATGCAGAAGCAGATACGAGAATCCAGTCGTCTTTTTTTAAAACCAGACATTAAAGATATTTGCAAAGATTTAAACAATGCCATTCTTCTCACTAAATTTTTTGGTTTTGAAAACATGGTTATTTTTATATGTTAATTTATATTCATCTGTATTGTTAATCTTTACATGAATTAAATATTTTTTAAATTCTCGCTTAATTTCTAATATGGTAAATATCTATAGATATAACACATAGAAACACAACTGTAAGGTCTTAATTTTTAAGAATGTAAAGGGGCTTCTGCAAACAAAAAGTTTGAAAATGACTTCTCTAATACAACAGAAAGGGAATATTTATAGTCCAGTAAGACTTTGAAAAGGTATAGAGTTCTTAGGTATTTTGGAGGAGACTGTGGCTGGCGTCATTTTGTAATGTTCCTATGTAGCAACATCTATTGGGAAAAATAAAGCATGTGTGTATTTGGGGGCAGGTGTTTCTAGTATTTCTTGGGCAAACTTTGAGTGCTATGTATTATCTGTAATCTTTGTTTGGACTTTCTTTGTGGTAAATTAGAACCCCAAATGTTTTCATAACTTCAACCTTGAACTGTTGTTTTAGGATAGACACCAATAAATATAAGGGGTCCACTGGGAAGGCAGAGAGCATTTTTAGATTTATGAAGGGGGAAAAAAATCAATAGTGTCCCTAAGGCCGTGTAAGTCATGAGTAACACAAGTATTCTTATGCAAAGTTGACAATATCATGAAACATAAACCTTTGCTTTGGAATTTTACCAGAAATTAAAGTGGCATTATAAAGGAAAGTCGATGTTTTAGCCCGTATCTCAGGAGGAATTTGTCCTTCTGATTGCTTTGCTCTGTTACCTCACTTTGGCTGAGCTCTGTGAAGAATTTTTTTTTCTTTTCCCCTGAAAAGTTAGGTGACCTCCTCACATTCTTCTGCCTTCTGGCTCATTCACTTTTTCTCCCCCTTCAATCTTTGATTAAAGCTTCTAGGCCCCTAGGAGTTCTTATTTCTTATACAGCAAGCCATGCACTTTGTCCTCTTGTTAAGGAATGAATTAATAAGCTTAACTCCCTCTTTGAAGAAGAGTTTGGAATGCTTTCTTGGAGAAAATTAATATTCAATTACCAAGGTTGTCATCTCACCAAATAGAAGAATAAAAGACATAGCATAGCCACACTTGAAGATAATTGAAATCGAATTTCAGTTTGTATTATACCTTAATTACCCAAGCTTTCAGGGGAAATTCTTAATTCTTATGTCTACTTTCTTATGAAAGTGAGTACATTTTTCCTGATGCATATTTATAACAAGACTGTTTAACACACTGCTTTAAAAGAACTTGGATTGAGTGGTTCTTCTTGCAATGGACTTTGGAGTTTTAGACACATCCTAGTTACCTATGAAATTCATAGTGTTTATCTTTTTTGACATTGCATAAGTCCTCCAAAGGACAATAAAAATAATACTTCTCCTAATTGCATCCTTTATATTTTATAATATTCCTGTGATACTTTGATTGGTGATAGTGAACAGGTACATAAGAGGCAGCTCAGGGTACTTCCTTATAGGTAACCCTTTTCCTGCATAGGTTTTTAAATCACAGAATATACATAAACATTTATGTTGGTTAATTGTATGATAAAAATATTTTATAGTTAATAATAATTTAAAGATCAAACAAAAACTTTGTGAGGGCAAGGAGAGTAAGAAATTGATAATGTATCAGTACATGGAGAAGAATTACAGCA
Organism: Homo sapiens; assembly: GCF_000001405.40. Lineage (NCBI taxonomy): Eukaryota > Metazoa > Chordata > Mammalia > Primates > Hominidae > Homo > Homo sapiens. Next base: position 14,733,565 of record NC_000020.11, read on the forward strand.
TAGCATAGAGTGTAGAAAAATGAATTCATAGATGGTAAATCTACACACAGATAACTCTGGGAAGAATTAAAATCTGTGCTTGGCATCTGCATTTTACATTTGTTTCTCTGGGAACTTGGAATAAACAATGAACCTGCAGAAGCAATTATAAAAGCTTTGATGCATTATAAAATAGGCAGGGGTTTTTTTTCCCCAAACTGGGGTAAAATTATAAATGAAGCCAAGTTTATCCAAGGCTGATGTTGACCTGTCAAGCTAAAATAGAACCGACTTGAGAATCCAAGGACATAGCATTTTGTTGGGGCTCTAGTACTTATTTGCTGTGCAACATTGAGCTAATTGCTTAACCTCTTAATGCCTTAGTTTCCCCATTTGTATATTGAGGATAATCGTGTGTTCTCTGACTACTTCACAGGACTTTTGTTAGAAAATATCAGATACTGTATGTAGGCACTTTCAAAAATGATCTTATATTACTGATTTCAAAGAGTTATTATTAAGCTCCCTTACCCTCTGATTTCTCCCATTCTGACACATCTTCTTAAAAACCGTCAAAGAGTCTGAAAACATATCCCTCCCCACCCTTTTTTTCAGCCAAGACCTCACTCTTACAATGTCCAAGAAATATTTTATATTAAAATTAACAATAAGGGGCCGGGCGTGGTGGCTCACACCTGTAATCCCAGCACTTTGGGAGGCCGAGGCAGGCGGATCATGAGGTCAGGAGATCAAGACCATCCTGGCTAACACAGTGAAACCCTGTCTCTACTAAAAATACGAAAAAAAATTAGCCACGTGTAGTGGCGGGTGCCTGTAGTCCCAGCTACTCAGGAGGCTGAGGCAGGAAAATGGAGTGAACCTGGGAGGTGGAGCTTGCAGTGAGCCGAGATCAAACCACTGCACTCCAGCCTGGGTAACAGAGTGAAACTCCATATCAAAAAAAACAAAAAAACAAAAAAAACAAAAACAAAAACAAAAAAGCAAAAAAAAAAACAACCAATAACAGGAAGGTACTAACAACTACCAGAGCCTTGTTATGTCTTCATCCAAAAAACAACTTTTTTTTTCTTAATAGTAACTTTATTAAAACTAAAGTCTTTTGACTCCATAGCCAAAATGACTTTGATAAAGAAGGAGAAAGTTGGAGGGTTCACATTTCCCAATGTTAAAACATATTACAAAAATACAGTAGTCAAAACAGCTTGGTACTGGCATGAATATAGGCATATAGACCAATGAAATAGAATTTATCATCCAGAAATAAATCCATGCATCTATGGGCCACTGATTTTCAACAAGACTATCAAGACCATTGCATGGACAAAGAATAATATCTTCAACAAATAGTACTGGGATGACTGAATATTCATATGCAAAAGGATGACATTGAGCCCTTACCTCATACCATTTACAAAAATTAACTCATGATAGATTAATGATATAAATATGAGCTAAAACTATAAAACCCTTAGAAAAAAAATAGGAGTAAGTCTTCATGACTTAGAGTTGGTGATGGATTCTTACATATGACACCAACAAGTAATAAAAGAAAAATATTAATAGATAAATTAGACGTTATTAAAACAAAAAAAGCCCTTTTGTGCCTCAAACGACACTATGAAGAAAGTGAAAGGACAGCCCACTGAATGAGAGAAAATATTTGCCTGTCATATCTGATGAGTCTATCTAGAATATATAAAGGACACTTACAACTAAACAACTGAAAGAGAAACAATGTAAGTAAAAATTAGACAATGAACTTGAAAAGACATTTGTCTAAAGAAGGTATACGAATGGCCAACAAGCACATGAAGCACATGAACAGGCGTCCACACTGTCAGTCATTAGGGAAGTGCAAATGAAAACCAAAGTGAAATACCTCTTCACACCCCTGATAATGGCAAATAATAATAAAAAACAAGTAACAAGTGTTGGTGAGAATGCGGAGAAATTGAATGGACCCTGCATACTTTGCTGGTGGAAATATAAAGTGGTGCAACCAGGCTGGCATGGTGGCTCATGTTTGTAATCCCAGCACTTTAGGAGGCTGAGGTGGGTGGCTTGCTTGAGCCCAGGAGTTCGTGACCAGCCTGGACAATGTGGCAAAACCGTGTCTCTATTTTAAAAATACAAAAATTAGCTGGACATGATGGTGCATGCCTGTAGTCTCAGCTACTTGGGAGGCTGAGGTGGAAGGATCACCTGATCCCAGGAGGTGGTTTTACAGTGAGCCAAGATTGTGCCACTGCACTCCAGCTTGGTTGACAGAGCCAGACTCGGACTCAAAATAAATAAATAAATAACAATAAATAAATAAATAAAGTGGTGTAGCTACTGTGGAAAAGTTTCGTGATTCTTCAATATGTAAAATGTAGAATTACCATATGATCCAGCAATTCTACGCCTAGATATAGATGCCAAAGAACTGAAAACAGGTGTTCAAACAAAAACTTGTACACAAATGTTTATAGCAGCAATATTCATAATAGCCAAAAGGTAGAAACAAGCCCATATATCCATCATTTGATGAATGGATAAAGGAAATGTCTCATATACATATGTATAATGGAATATTATTTAGCCATAAGGAGAAATGAAGCACTAACACATGCAACAATGGAGATGAACCTCAGAAACATTACACTAAGTGAAAAAAGCCAGACACAGAGGCCACAAATTGTGTTACTCCATTTATATAAAATATTCAGAATAGGAAAATCCATAGAGACATAAAGCAAATTAGTGATTGCCAGAGGGAGACAGGAGTGGGGAGTGATTGCTTAATGGGTATGGGATTTCCTTTTGGAGTGATGAAAATGTTGTGGAACTAGATAGTGGTGACTGCTGTACAACATTGTGAAAGTATACTGAAAGTCACTGGATTGTATACTTCAAAATGGCAAAGTTTAAATATTAAAAAACCTAAAGTAAACAAAGTGTTTTTCAAATATATCAGTCAGTAACCAAACCAAACATCCTTCATGTATTTACATGAAGTATCTCCACAACAACAGTGATATCATTAATATCAGTGATAATCATAGATAATGATAACGTACTCATTATGCACAAGGTGCTATTCTAAGAGTTTTGCATGGATTTGCCCATTTAATCATCATGACGACTCTCTGAAATAATCTTCATATTTTTATTTTAATATGAGAAAACCAAGACACAGAAAGTTTATGACTTATATAACATCACATACATGGTTAATAAGAGATTTGATTCTAATTGGTCTGTTTCCGAAGCCAAAGCTCTTACCCAGTACATTGTATTGTCTCTGCAGCAAAAAATGGAAACAAATAGATACTTCTTGGACCTGATTTTTTTATTAGAAGATGTTAAGAAAATTATACAACAGAATCTGTATCACCATTGTCTTTTTTTTTAGAATTTTTAAAATATACTTTAAGTTCTGGGACACGTGTGCAGAATGTGCAGGTTTGTTACATAGGTATACACATGCCATGGTGGTTTGCTGCACCCATCAACCCGTCACCTACATTAGGTATTTCTCCTAATGCTATCCTTCCCCTAGCCCCCACCACCCAACAGGCCCTGGTGTGTGTTGTTCCCCTCCCTGTGTCCATGTGTTCTCATTGTTCAACTCCTGCTTATGCGTGAGAACATGTGGTGTTTGGTTTTCTGTTTCTCTGTTTGTTTGCTGAGAATAATGGTTTCCAGCATCATCCATGTCCCTGCAAAGGACGTGAACTCATCCTTTTTTGTGGCTGCAGAGTATTCCATGGTGTATATGTGCCACATTTTCTTCATCCAGTCTGTCATTGATGGGCATTTGTGTTGGTTCCAAGTCTTTGCTATTGTGAATAGTGCTGCAGTAAACATACATGTGCATGTGTCTTTATAGTAGAATCATTTATAATCCTTTGGGTATATACCCAGTAATGGGATTGCTGGGTCAAATGGTATTTCTGGTTCTAGATCCTTGAGGAATCGCCACACTGTCTTCCATGATGGTTGACGTAATTTACACTCCCACCAACAGTGTAAAAGCCTTCCTATTTCTCCACATCCTCTCCAGCATCTATTGTTTCCTGACTGTTTAATGATCACCATTCTAACTGGCTTGAGATGGTGTCTCATTGTGGTTTTGATTTGCATTTCTCTAATGACCAGTGATGATGAGCTTTTTTTCATATGTTCATTGGCCACATAAATGTTTTCTTTGAGAAGTGTCTGTTCATATCCTTCATCCGCTTTTTGATGGGGTTGTTTTTTTCTTGTAAATTTGTTTTAGTTCCTTGTAGATTCTGGATATTAGCCCTTTGTCAGATGGATAGATAGTTTTCTATAGCTAGGAAAAAAGTTTCTTTGGAAGAACTGAAAGCTGGCCTATGCCAGATGTTAACAAAATAGCAATACATGCTAGGAGTTAGTTGTTTATTATGTCCTCTACACAGTCCTCATTGGTTTTGTGTTTACCTCTGATAATAGTTGCTATATACATATTTCAGAAATTTGCAAACTGTTTTGTTTTTCTCAACATATTCTATCAAGTGTTTTTTTTTTTCATCTCTTGAACTGAGATAGAAATTTGAGAATGAAAATGGTTGGTTTTTGGAATTTTAGGAGAGTATTTTAAAAGTCAGTTTCCTGAAAGCTGTTTAGGCAAACATTTATAAAAGGCAAAATATAATTAACAAAGAATAATTTCAAAAAATATTATGCAAGGTAAAAGATGTCTAAAGTCTGAATAAAGAGTATTAAAACACTCTTTCCGATCATAAAGAACAACTTTGGTGATATAAAAAAGCTGTTTCTATTTGGTGATCGCCTTATACTTCAAGAGGGTCTAATCAGTCCTTTTTGAAACCGACACCTTCAATGTCTCCTACCCTATCTGAAACCAAAAAAGGTAAAATGAAAATTCATCTCACCCACTAGTCTCCAGCCTCTTCCCCTCCGTTATTTTTCCCCTCATTGAAATGTAAGTGAGGGAGGGCTGGAACTGATTCTTCTCTGTCAGTGCTTAGAACAGTACTTAGCAAACATAGATATTTGACACATTTTGAATGAGCAAATGCACGCATACATGAATAAATGAATTTACCAATTTCTTTGAGTCTGTTATTTCTGCAAATTATATATTTATGTATATGTATATATTAACATATAATCTATAGATTATATGTTCTTTACATAAAATATCTACTCAATCCATTTCCAAATAATTTTAAACATCACAAATAAAATTAAAAGAGAAATAATGACATAAAAAAATTCACAAGTATCCTTAATATAGAGTACGCTATTGGAAAACAGAAGGGAAAATACTAATACTTTAATCAAATTAGAAAATAATAGAAATAGATTTCTGCTAAGTATAATTAATAAAAATTTTAAAAGTTCCACGTCACTAATTTATAAAAATACACAAGTGGAATTAATAGGAGATACCATTTTCTTACTTAAAATATTTGTAAAATCTTTAAATCATAATGTTCAATTCCATAGAGGAATGATGAAGTAAGGTATATCAAGTGAAATATATACCATCATATGCTGATGGCTGTTAGGACTTTAAATTGGTATAGCATTTGGAGGAAATAATTTAGCAATGTGAATCAATAGTTTCAAAAATAATCTTACTCTTGCTCTCATAATTTTACTTCTAGAATTCTAGTATGAGAAATTATGATACAAATATGCAACCATAAACAAAAGAATGAAAAATCTCTTTAAGTACTGATCTAGAAATAACTGTATATTAAGTGGAGAAAGCAAAATATGTATGATGTATATTGTATGCTACCTTTTTTGGCAAAAAAGGACAGGATAATTACATATATTCATCTTCACCTATATACTGAAAGGTAAAATATAAAAGATTATATATATTAATAACAATGTTACCTGTGGGGTAGATGAGGTGGAAGTGGATAAATAAGACCATGGACGGGAGCAAGATTTTTCACTGTCTACACTTTGTTTATATAAAAACAACTTATAAGACAAACAAAGGTATTATCTACTCAAAAATTAAATATTAAAAACTATTAATAGAAAAAAGTGGGATTTGTAGAAATGCATGTTTTCAGGTTGAAGGGAGGAAAAATATATAAATGCTTTTGTTTGTGGGATGTTGTCATAATTATGTTTGGGTTAAAAGAAAATTAGAAATGTACACAAATACTTATTGGAAGCTAGCTATATACATTACACTGTTTTTTTACATTGACTGAATATTGGAAGCATTCCAAATACTTTGATATATTCACATAATAAAAGACCATTGAAGTTAAAATGATGTTGTAAAATAATACATAAAATGGTATTAAATATATGGAAATGCATTCATGGTATGTTAAGGTAGGGCATGGATAGGGAAGCAAATGAGATGATAGTATGTAAAGTAGGAATCTATATTTTTAAAGTAAAAATTTTCAAAGCATGCATACAAGCTTATATGTACATATAGAGAAAGAACTGGAAGGATATTCACCTATTAATGATAGTGCTTTTCTCAGGGTAGGGGGATGATGGGTATGTTTCCTATTATCTTTATTCTTTAAAGTTCTTCAAATAAATACTTTATGAAACAAAAACCAAAATTCCTCCGCTTATTAAAGGCTTAGAATGGGCTATTTATTATATTAAGCATTTTGAGCATAGTCTCTTAAATTTCTTAAAATCACACAAGGTAGGTCTTATGAACCATTTTACAGATGGAAAATCTGAGGCTCAGAGAGATTGAGTAACTTACTCAACACTGCACAACTAGTGTAAGATGCAAAACTCAAACGCTGGTCTGTCTGTCTCCAATGCTATTTCTCTATCACCCTACTAAATAATTCAACAAAAAAACCCTGCTTGCAATTGGAAAACATTTTTCCTACTAGTTTTCTTTTTAAGTGGCAAATCTTTTCCTTGGTTATCAGAACTTACATTTTTGTGAAGTGTGCTAAAATGCTCAAGAATTCCCTGACAGTAATTTAAATTAAACTATCTTGCATATGTGAATTATTTCATGTTTTTTTACAGTAGATAAAATATGCTAATTTGTGTAAATGGTCTTCTGGGTACAGATGCTTACACTGAAAGCAAGCTTATCTTAAAAGCTGCTTATCTTTCATTTGAGGCTTCTTTATATGCATAGTTTATTTTTCTAATGCTGTCTCAATATAGGAATAATTTTAAGGAGGTATTTGTGGCTAAATGAAAGATTAAAAAAAAACCAGGTCTCTTGGCTTTGGTAAATATTAATGAGCTCATAGAAAATCTTGTTACTGAAGTGGGCCCTCTTTTGAGAGTTTTCTGCCATCTTGGCCCTTTGTGGGCCCTTCTCCTTTGTTGGGGATTAGCATACTGGGTTGTGTGTGCTGTTGTGAGTTCTGCTTCAGTTCCTTTGTGTGTGCTGACAGAAGGCTCACCTTGGTCTATTACCAGAATAGTCTAGGCATCTTAATATTATATTGGATTTCTGTGAGAAAAAAGCAAATCATCCAGAAATAATTAATCTGACTTATTCATTTAAAAGCTTTAACACAAAATGGACAGTGTTCATTTCGGTCATTTATATATTGTCATCATTAACAAAGTAAAGTCCAATGTTTATTAATTTTCAAGTGAGGAGAAGTTCAGAATTTGAATTATTTTTATCGATATTCACACATATATTGTATGTGCAAAATTATTACAGCACATACACAACTTGATTTAGGCACTCTGTTTTCCTTTAGACCAAGCATCATGTTCACTTGCCTACAGATTTCTAAAAATTATTTTTAGTTTCATAAGCAGTAATATTTTTTAATTGTGTTAAGAACTCAGAGAAGGTAATGTTGGCGCTATTATTACCACATTGGTCATCCTCTAAAAACAGTGTTGTGAGGTTGGTGTTAGATATAAATTGTGAATGATGATTAAGTACATTTACTGATTTCATTCTACTATATGCAATCCTGAAATATGAGAATAGGTATATTTAACTTGTTAGGTAATTTAATGAAATATATTTGCTGATATCATTCTACTATATACAATCCTGACATTATGTAAGAAGAAAAAAGGCAATTCCACTATTGACAGGATATAGGAATGATCAAAATTACTTAACATAAATTTTGAAAAATTAAATTTCCCATGCATATTTTAACTTCTCCATTAGTCCAACAGGTTGTATGATGCTTATAAGGGAATTATTTGGCAAAGAAATATTTTCTTTTTAAGAATGCAGTATATGAGTATAGTCACAAGGGGTCATAAATTCACACCCAGTTTTTTTAAAATGAGCCCATTGGATTAAAAAAAATCAGAAAAACTAAAGCAGTTGTTTGAAAACTTTTTTTAGGCAAGAAAAAAATGCATTAAGCACTTTCAAGAGTTATTACTGTCATCATACACTTCTTCATCTTCTTTCATAGAAGTTCAATATACCAGACATTTTTACTGTCATGAAGAGAGAAAAATGATAGTTCAAGAATATAACAAGAGTATTTGGAAACACAGATAGAAGTGTCATTAGCCCACTATTAAGTCTGTACTGAAAAACGTTCTTTAAATTTTGTGCTCAATCATTTGAATAAAGGATTTAAGTCCTTTTATAAAAACTGTTTTTGGAAGAAATTTTATAAGAATTTTTATCAGAGCCAATTTTGAGCTGAGGTTGTGGCTGGTAATATTCAGTTGTTGATAAATGGAGTGTGAATCCTGAGAGAAACCACTTCAATAGTTTGAGAAAGAAGGAGACAATTTCTGAAAATGATTTCCTAATCTGAGAAACAGAGCTTTCTTCTGAGAAAAGTTTTAATAATTTTAAAAACTACAGAAATATGGAGTCATGGTCACATATAGCCATTTTTCCATAGTTGTATTTGTGGTGAGTTAGAAAATAGATATATAATAAAGGTCTGGAAATGCAAACAGTCAAATTTAGGTTTGATTATTATTAGTTTTGAGAGAAAGACAGAGAATAGTACTTAATATAAACTATCATTATGTTACTTCTAAGTATGTTCCTTTCAATTCAGCTGTACTAGTAAAATTTTACTTTTTTTTTTTAATAAGGGTTAAAATCATGGTTGAAATCTGAAGCATAGACTTGATATATTGCTTTCCTATGCTAAGGTTCCTAGCCCTGGACACTAATTCTAGGAAAAATATTGAAAAGAGGAAAAGAGCTCTCAAATATTAAAACTGCACCATAAAGTTCAAAAGTAATATAAACTTTATTTTATTTTATTTTATTTTTTTTTTTGAGATGGAGTCTCACTCTGTCGCCCAGGCTGGAGTGCAGTGACGGGATCTCGGCTCACTGCAAGCTCCACCTCCCGGGTTCACGCCATTCTCCTGCCTCAGCCTCCCAAGTAGCTGGGTCTACAGGCGCCCGCCACTATGCCCGGCTAATTTTTTGTATTTTTAGTAGAGACGGGGTTTCACCGTTTTAGCCGGGATGGTCTCGATCTCCTGACCTCGTGATCCGCCCGCCTCGGCCTCCCAAATTGCTGGGATTACAGGTGTGAGCCACCGCGCCCGGCCTATAAACTTTATTTTAAAAGCTTGACTGGTATTAAGAAAGCCTATAATAAAACTCAAATGTATTTTTTTAAAAGATAGCTAATTTCTTCAATGAAATTCAATATGATCTGAATTTTTACTTAGACACAGCTTTCCAATAACATATTGTGGTAGTAAGAATGCTGGTCCTTCCAAGATGTCCACACCCTAATCTCTGGAACCTGTGAATATTACCTTACATGGCTAGAGGGATGTTATATAGTTGTGATGAAAGTTAAGGACCTTAAGATGAGGAGATTATCCTAGATTATTTGGGTGCGCCCAGTCTAATCATATGAGTCCTTAAAAGCAGAGAACCTTGCTGTGATTTAATCAGACAGAGATGTGCCTGAAAAAAAGACACAGAGATACAACAGTGCTGGCTTTGAAGATGAAGGAAGACGACCACAAGTCAAGGATTATGGGCAGACTCTAGTAACTAGAAAAGACAAGAAAATGGTTTCTTCCCAAATGTCCCAGTTAACACTTAGTCCAGTGAGACCTGTGTTGGACTTATGTCATACAGAACACCAAAATAATAAATTTGTGTAGTTTAAGCCACTAAATTTGTGTTGATTTGTTACAAGAGCAATAGAAAATTAATACACGCGATAGTAGGTTGAATAATGTCCTTCCATATATGTCCATATCCTAATTCCCAGAACCTGTGAATGTTTCCTTAAATGGCAAAATGGACTTTGCAGATGTGAGTAAGGACTTTCAGATCGGGAGATTATCTTGAATTGTCTAGGTAGAACTGGATGTAGTCTTAACAGTCTTTATAATACAGACACAGGGGTGGTCCAAGTCAGAGGAGAGGGTGATAAGCTGATGGGACCAGAGACTGAACTTTGAAGATGGAAGTAGGGGCCACAAGCCAAGAAAAATAGGCAGACACCAGAAGCTGAAAAAGTCAAGGAAATAGATGCTGTTTTCAGAGACTCCAGAAAAAAAATCAGCTTGACCACACTTCAACTTTAGATCATTCAAATAGAGTTTGGACTTCTGACTTCCAGAGCAATAAGATAATAAATTCGTGTTGTTTTAAGTGATTACACTTGTTGAAATTTGTTACAGCAGCCAGAATACACTAATAGAGACACATTTATGATATAAAGTGAGGTATATATATGCAAGAGGCTGCATGGGCATAGGATGGATTTTTGATTCTTTGAATAGAAATTTTGCTATAAGATCATAGAAGCTATGTTTTCAGGTAAAACCCAGTTTACTTTAAAAAAATTTTTTAATTGACGTATAAAATTGTATGTATTTACCATGTACAACATATTGTTTGGAAGTATATGTACCTTGTGGAATGACTAAATCTAGCTAATTAACATATATATTATCTTACATAATTATCATGTTTGTGGCAAGAACACTTTACATACACTGTCTTAGCTTTTTTTCAAGTATTTACATCTATATTAAGTGAATTTAACTTTAAAAACTTACAATGTAGTAGCTTGTGAGAAAATGGCGGTCATAGTTCACATCTGTATTTTCACACATTGAGTAGGCCCCTCCCACATCAGCTCTGGGTTTTACCAGATAACTTACTTTGGCTGATAGAACAGTGTCAAAAATGGCTCAAGCAAAGGCTTAAGAAGTGCTTTTGCATTCGACTTGCTCTTTCTTGTCGCTGATACCCTTTTTCACTGTCTGAAGAAACCTGAGTTAGCCTTTTAGAGGATGAGATACCTTGTAGAGAGGTCCCAGCTAAGGCCCCTAACGTGAGAGTTTTGCTGTCATAGACCATCAAACCCCAGCCAAACTGGTACAGACTGGAAGAACTACTCACTCAACCCACAAAATCAGAAGTAAGAAACGTTTGTTTTTTTCAGCCACTAAGTTTTGGGATGATGTGTTTCTCAGCAATAGATAACCACTGTAGTGCATTTATTTTCTCAGGCTGTAAGGTGCATTTCAGACATGACTGTTCCTCCAGCAATCATAAGGAGGTAGCATTAGCTATCCTATATTAGATTTCTTCTGAATCATTTGTTGCCTTTGGTTTTTCAGGGAGGTGGGCTAGAAATTGGACTAGGGACTTCCTGGGCATCCTGAAACTACTGAAATTGAGTACCTTGACTTGTACTTTTCAGAACCAATTTTTAAAAATCTTTATCCTCCAGAATATATCCAACTAAAAAAATTAGGTTAGAAATATTTTTGTAAAGTATTTTACCCTTTGAATAGATTCTGAATGAAAAGGAGAATGTACTTCTTGCTAAATGTCTATATTTGTATAGGCCTATATGAGTATGGTAGAAGAGAGGTTGTCTAAGCAGCCACCTAACATGTTTTAATGCTGCGGAATATCATGGCTGATGGGTGTCCTGCAGAGGCAGTGTTACAGCACTGAGGACATGCCTCAGAACATTTCCCTAGGCATTCTAACATGTTCAGAGATGGATATCATAGTGGTTAAGGCTATGGCTGTGGATATAGACTTTCAGCCATCCAATTCTGGTTCCGCTTTTTACTAGGTTATTTACTTCACCACATGGGGACAATAATTGTACTTATTCATTGGGTTGTTATGAGGCTTTAATAAGTTAATGTACAACATTTGTAGGAGTTGCTGGCTGGTTGTTAGTGCTCAATAAATGCCTCTCATTGTATGTACCAGGCGATTTTACCCCCACCCAGAGTCTGCCTTGCTGTAGCTGTGCTACTGTCCTATGTTGGAGAGGAGGTGTTACCTCATTGGGACCCTTCAGTCAGGTGGTTGAAGTCAGAGCTTTGTAGAAAAGAAACTAAAGATCCATTTGCTTCTGATGAAAACTTACTACCAGAAAATTTCCTGAAAAATTAAAGAATATGGATGCAGTCCCTCCTGGTCTCTCAGAGAGCTGTATATTAATCTCTAGGGCTCTGAAGGAACAGTTTGAAGACAACTTGGCCAGATAACCTCTGAAGTCCCCACACCCCGCCCCAATGCTGCTCTCAAATTACCACCTCATGGCTACTCCTCTCATATTAGGAAGGTGATATTTATTTCCATGGAAAACAACAAAGTTAACTGACTCCTTTGGGAATGGAAAGAATGACAATGTTTCCTTCACCATGAACTCAATCAACTAAAATAACCATTCACGCCTCCCAGCTGCTTTCAACTTTTCACTACCAGGAATTTCCCTTTACCTCTTGACAGAGGAACTCCTGCAGTTATCTTCTCCTGTGACCGCTCATGTTTGCAGGCAAATATATTCTCCTTCAGAGGAGCTGACATAAAAGTATTTTAAATCAAAATGGGATTTAATATCACTTGTTATTAAAATACATTTCTGGTGCCTGTTTTAAGGGTTTATTTTCTTGCCAAATAGTTTAGTGTAAAAGGAGAGAAAATAAGTAAATCTTATACTATCTAAGGTTAAAAAATTTACGTTTTGTGATCATGATGTTTGTATTGAGAAAGTATGTGTGTGTGTCTGTGTCTGTGTGTATAGCCTGTAATGTGTAAGGATATGATAGAAACTATATCACCCACGCATTTCATTCTATTGCCTTCATGCTTAGTTATTTGATAAATAACTGTATCTCTTATGGCCTAATGTAAAATAATGAATCAAATTTCCCCAGTGCTGAAACTAGTCGAGGCCTTTTGGGAATACTTTTCAAACCATTAACGCATTAATGTGCTGCTACCTATGTGTCCTGAAAGGGTTACTGTAGGTTTCAAAAAGGGTCTAATTTACTAGCTAATGGTATTTTTTTCGTAAGAGTCACTTGGCTTTGCGGAATCGAATTTCATCTTTCTGCTTTTGGGTTAATTCAATTGAATTTCCAGCAAACTACATTGTTTCATTCTCATTGCAGTCAGTCCCTCATCTTACAAACCATTGTGTTCCAAAAACTCATTTGTTATTTGGTTATTTGGAACTTAGAGGTAGTTTTCAATAGAAAAATTAAAGCTACAAATGTTGGGTGTGTTCCCAGAATAGCCCACAGAAGCCAACTTAACCCATCATATGTCCAGTCCTCATGCTGCTATCCAACAAAACCAACATGAATAGCAGTGCCTATAAAGGTAGCGTGCTTTGCCAGATCCAAGCTGGGAGTCCCAGAGCTCATTCTTCTATAGCAGCCCTGTCAGTAGGAGTGAGAACTTTCCTGTCTTCATTCCTCCAACCTCAAAAGAAGCAAAGTGAGAACACAGCCCAGCCATAAACCATCAACAGTGACTGTGATTGTTTGGGCCAGGGGTTGGGGGTAGAATTACTCAGGGACAGGGGACTATGTAATAGAGCTTAAGCATCAAGATAGAGGCAGAGGAGAATGAAGAGTCAAAATTGTTTATAAGTTGTCAGGATGTAGTGAGGTCTTAGAATGAGGAGTAGAAAGATTGACAACTAGGTGACTGGGTGAGTGAAGACCTGAAACTAGATTAGATTTAAAGGCTTCTGCCACCCTCTCTTCCCCTTTACAATTTCAGAGTCAGCTACAGATTCAAGTTCACCTAAGTAGGATTGCTTGGTAAAGAGCAGGCATTTCACTCACTGGAAGGCTTTATAAGAAATAGCTCATTTTTTCTGCCATTTTTTTTGCCCCTGAGGCTCTTGCTCGGGTGGAAGGAGGGAGGCCAAGGGAGAATCTCAGGAGAGCATGGGAGCAGATTAGAGTGGTATGATAGAGGTTCTCAGGCAGAGACAAAAAAGGGATCTCAATCTTGGTGTGCCTCTGCTCCTATCTCTGTTGTTATAATGGGAAAAGTTTGAACGTCAAATGGAAGAGAAAGTGAACTTCTAGAAGAAGGGATGTCAATAGAGGAGCCTCTCCTGCATGTCTACTAGGACAGTATCCACGTGTAATAAAGTCAAACCAAGGTGGTCTTTCTGGATTTGGCTTTTCTGACAGTTTCCTGAGAATTGTCTCAGGAGGAAAGGATGCAGTTCTCAAATGTTTCTTTGGAGGAAGCCATATACCTGTCTAAGGAAACCATTATAATCTTAGAAATGAGCTTTTGTACCAGATGTACCACATATACAAGATTCTCATAGGAGGATCCTTGATGAGCCTTTCCTTCTCCTGTCTTGAGTGCTCTTCTCCCCTCATTTAACCCAGTTAGTTCCTACACGCCTCTTAGCATGCCCATGTCATGTGCTCACGAAAACCTTTCCTGAACATGTTTCCCAGTCAGGCTAGGCCAGACCCTGAGATAGAAGCACACTCAAAGCATATTTTGCTGCTGCTTTTCATTATTTTTACTCTCTGTCACAATTTGAAGTACATAACTCATTGGGGAACTCCTTTTTAAATGGTTGTCTTCCCCTTCAAGAAACCATCTCCATCAAGACAGAGACTATGAATTAACCACTGTATCCAGTGCCTAGTTCAGTGCCTAACACTTAGTAGGTCTTTGTAAATATTTGTCACGAACTATCAAGAAGCAGAAATTTTGTATCTTAACATGTCTTTGTAGGGAGGTCACCTTTAATGCATACCTTTGACTATTAAGAAACTTAAGTAGTGCACAGAGAAGATGTAGAGAACTGTTAAATAAAATAAATTGACTTAAATGTATCATTGCTTAGTATAAGGGTGGACTCTAGACAGCCTTTATATCTCAAGAAATTTGCCTACTTCTATGTCAAAATTGTATTAGTACCTATGAACTTTCCAAACTAGTTAATGCTGTTTTGAGTTGAATTGGCTTTAGAAATTCTAAAGTGGAGAGCTGCCCTTGGCTTGCTGCATTGAGCAGACTACAGTTCTTAGGTAGGAGGCAGGAATGGTCCTGAGGAACAGTCAGCATCTCTGCCATCCATGCACCACGGTAGTCTAGAGCAACTGAGAAAACCAGATGCCTCCATAGAACCCACAGGTGTAGACATTAACAATAGGACACTGTGGATCTTTGTGTTGATTTCAGCCACCCACCCAAGTCATTAATTTATAGTTTATGCCCTTCACAAAGGAAATGTTTTTGCTAACAAATCTCTTATGATTTCATCTATTTGTCTTTTCCTCTTTGTGTTTTGTCTCATACAAATAATAGTTAACATAGTGACACAAACACCACTAAAATACTTCAGTATTTTTCTCAGGACTTATTCATTTTACCTGGAAGGAAATTGCCGTATAACCCATGCCATTAGAAAATTAAAAATGCAACCATTTCTGCAGCTCGTACGTCATATGCTATGTAATGAAAACGTGCCTAGCCTCCTACTCCCTTGTATTTGCCAACAGAACTTAAGCAAGTTCTGTCTGGGCTGCACTCACACTTTCTTAGTGCCAGGGAGATGATTGGATATAAATTACATAGCTTATATTTCCTAATATACTAAAAAGAAAGGGAAAAACAGAAAAGGAAGGAAGTAAAGGAAGGAAAAAAAGAAAAGGAAGGAAGGAAGGAAGGATCTCTAAGTGTGTATCACCAGAAGCTTAGAGAGATGATATTTTAACTGTAGAAAATTCTCGAAGATTAATCTACTATATCATGATTCTTTGAACTTCAAAGTATACCCCCAAAATATAATATGTGAACAGTTGAGTACTATTGCATATTTCAGTCAAAACTAAAAACAATAATCTGTAACTGAATATGTAACTTAGAAAATATCAATATAAATTTTAATCTAAATGATCTGTTTATTCCTTTCTCAAATAATGACTTCATTTTAGTAATAGAGTGTTTTATTTACTCATATAGGCATACATAAATAGATTTTAAGCATTATTTGTGATGAGGCATAAACATGAATCTTCTAATAGAAAGTGGTACCTTGGGGTAAATTTTATTAGGGAAAGATTTCACTTATGTGAGCTATCAAAGTGATCAAATTCATGGAAACAGAAGGTAGAATGGTAATTACCAGGGGCTAGGAGGATGGAGAAAAGAAGAGTTGTTTAATGTGTACATAGTTTCAGATCTGTGGGAGGAAAATGTTCTGGAGATCTGTTTACAAAAATATGAGTATACTTAACACTTCTGAACTATACACTTCCAAATGCTTAAGATGGTAAATTTTATGTTGTGTGTTTTAATCACAATTTTCAAAAAGAAAAGAAATATTCATAAGAAACTTGAATATTCTTCTAGTTTTGCAAATTATCCTTATTGTTTAGCCTCTTAATTGTATATCTTACAAAAATCTAGATTTAGAATACAAAATTATTATGTGTATTTTATCATATAAACTCATTTGAGATGTTAAATGATTTAGAAACACTATAAAATTATAGACAGTTTGTATTCACTTTTTCAAAGTTAGTTAAAACAGTGTTGATGTTTCTCTGAATATTGTCATGTTTCATAAAAACGTTAATCTTCAGTAATTTACATTTATTAGAATAATAGTGTAAAACATGTTATTTACGATCATTAAAAGTTAGAGTGTTCTAACCAATTATTACTATTTATTGTTGTTATTATTATTATTAGTTTGAGACAGGATCTCACTTTGTCATCCCAGCTCAAGTGCAGTGGCACAATCTGCTTACTGCAATCTCTGCCTCCTGGGCGCAAGTGATCTGCTCACCTTAGCCTCCTGAGTAACTGGGACTACAGGTGCATGCCACCACACCCAAATAATTTTTGTATTTTTTGTAGAGATGGGGTTTTGCCATGTTGCCCAGGCTGGTGTTGAACTCCTGGGCTCAAGTGATCTACCCAACTCAGCCTCCCAAATGCTGGGATTACGAGTGTGAGCCACCATGCCTGGCCGTAACCAATTATTTTAATTAATATAAATAATCAGAGTATAACAAAATACACCAAAACTGGTTATATTATCTTTATAAAATATGTTTTATAAATCACTAACAAATAACTAATCTGGTTGGTGATAAATATGTCTGCTTTTACTTATTCCTCTCCATTTTAGTATTGTAATTTTTTAGCATTCTATACTAGATCCCATGTACAGTTGAAGTTTTCTTTTGTTTGTTTTCCCTGTCAGGCTTTTAATTAAAGAATAATAAGATCTTATATTATTATAGATCTTATATCGCTTATATAACTAAAGAGTACATTCAACCAAACTTTAACTGAACTTTACTTGTTTCATACTGGTGGAAATAAGCACAATGTGAATAACACCTGAGACTGTCACTGGTGGAGAGCGCTCATGAGCCCAGCCCTCCTTGGGCTTCCTTACTGGCCTCCCAGCCCCACCCTTGGCCTGTGCCATCCTTAATGTGAAATCCCATTACACCTTACCTAATCTCTCAAATGGCACCTATCAGATCTTCTCTTTTATTCTTGAGTATTCAGTTCCTCCCTTTTTTTTTTGATCTTTCTAACTGACATGTTTACAGCCATTTAAGACACACAGCACATGTACACATGTAACTTCCCTCAAATCCATGTGCTTCTTCCATTACTCTGTCTCTTTTCTTCTTTGCATAGCAAAACTGATCTGTACCAATTAGTGACCGACATCCTTAATCTAGCAGACAGGTTTTAGTCTAGTTTTCTATTGTCCAGATGATGTTGCATAATCAACAATGTCAAACTTCAGGGGCAAACAATTCTGAAGTTAAATAAAGCACTGCCTAGTTCTTGTACCTGTGAGTTCGCTCCACCCTTGGGCTCTGCCCTGCTGTCTCTATTTCTTCTGGAACTCAATGGCTAGACAGGCGTGTCCTTCTCATGGGAAGAGCAGAAGCACAAGAGGGCAAGTGGAAATGCTCAGATCCTACATGCCATCAATTTTTCCTTTTTCTTTTGGCTAAAACAAGTCACTTGAACAAAAGAAACTATACTCCACTGATTTTTGTGGGTGAAACTGCAAAGTCACACAGTAAAGAATGTGGATATATGAAGAGGGGAAGAACTGGGGCCAAGAACATCATCTACCATAATAATCTTACCTACCTTTGGAGTAGCAATGAGTACTATAGGCTTTTGCCTTCTTTAGGAAATACCCTCTTCCTGTGGCTTCCATAATGAAACATTGTCTTGATTTCCTCCCATCCCTCTGGCTGCCTTTGTTTAGTTTCCTTTGCTGGTCCAGCTTTCTCAAGACCTGGTACCACCATCTCCTCATCTTTTTTTTTTTTTTTTTTTAATATGGCCTCTCTACTTAGTGTTATCCATGATTCTGGAACTCATTGCCACCCAAATAAAGCTGAAGCAGAGATGCTTAAATTGTTCCCTTAGTTTCAAAACCATATATTTAATTACCTATTTTATATTTCTTCCAAGATGTTTCAAAGACACCTCAGACTCAACTTAAGCCTAAATTTAAATTTAAAACATTTATAATTATTCCCTCTTGTACCCCCAGACTTCTTCAGTGCTCCCTAGCTCAGTGAATCCTACTACATCCATTGAGTTATAGAAGCCAAAAAAAAATAAGACTCATCCTCAACACTTCTTTTCTCATTAAGCTCTATTGATTTTATTGCCTAAATAGTCCTGGAATGTATCTGCTTCTTTCTGTCACTGTGGTTTCTCCCTAGTCTAATCCACCATTCTCTCTCACCTGTAGCATTGTATTATCTTCTGAACCTCATCTCCTTTTGCCCCCATCTGATCTGTTCTCTGCATTGGAGCCAGAAAAATCTTATTGAAAAGCACATCTAATAATGTCTCCTTCCTTTTAAAATACTTCGAGGACTTTCCATTGAATGGATAGAGGTAAAATGCCTGACAGACCTATATGCATTTTTGTCCCTGTCTCATGCCATGCTTAACCGTATTACTTTGCAGTTCCGCAAAAAACATATCATGAGACACAGATTTTGTAGGGCATTTATTTGGAATATGAGGCCAGGAAGTAGGAGTGAGGGAATAAGGAGAATGAGGAAAAAACAAAATAACACAAGCAAAAGCCATTGTAAGAGTGTATGATTGAGTTTGCCTCTCTAGGGAACGGTGGTCTGATTTCATAGCACATCTAGAAAGTCTGCAGATTAGGACCCATAATTATATGCCTGAAGAATAAGCACCTAGTTGCATATATCCACTGGCTCCCCATTGTTTGAGGGTTGCACTCACTTGTGTTTAGCTCCCCTGCATTTCAGAGCCAGACACGTGCACATCCTCCCTGTCTTTGCCTAGTTAACTCCTATTTATTTTTCTGAACCCACCTCATTCCTGTGACAGAAAACCCCTGCCTCTAAATGAAGCAGGTTCTTCCAGTTTTCTCAAGACCACATGCCTCTACTATACACCATATATATCTTCTTTGCAGTGCTGATTGCTGTGATGAGTTTGCATTTTTTAATGATTATTTCATGAAAATCTTTCTGCCCTCTGGACTGCAAGCTTGAGAAGACCAAGTTTCATGTCAGCTTTTGATTTTCATTGCCTTACCAGCACCCAACCTAGGACCTGGTACATAAAATATGTTCAATATATTTTCAACAAATGTGTAAGTATAGGTGTGTGTGTATTAATATGTGTGCATGCATGTATATTTATAAAGGGAAACTTTGAATTTTTAGAGCTTAAATAGATTACTATCAATATCTAAAAAGGTTATCATTTTTAATTCAAATTTCATATTCTATTTTTACTTATTGCTTTCTTTTAGTGCTTACATAGTCGAATTATACCAGAGGCATCTGTTTAAAAAAAGTCATACGGAGAAAAAACAGAGAACTCTTGCTTTACATTATCATGATTTATCTGACAGCTTATAGTATTGGTGGCACTTTTCTGTAGAAAGTTATCGCTAGGCAGTTGCTTTAATAAAACAGAGATTTTTGAGTTAAAATGGGTAATATCAGACCATAAAAGACAATCCTTTACAATCCTGCCTTATTCAGTAGAAGTCACATTCGTTAGTGTTGAGCAATTTGAGGACTTAGGTACTTACAAATATATATATATATCCATCCCCTAAAACACCATGTCCAAATTTTTGTTTCATGAACTGGGAACTGTGACTTGATAACAGGAAATATGTGGCAAAAATAGATGAGTGTTCAGTCTCTGGGGTTTTATGCTGATATAAAATAATAACAACCAAAATGGGAATGGAGAGGCAGATGGAAATCAACAAATTATTTTTAATGAAGTAAAATACTTCCATAAAAGTAAGCTACCAGTTGGAAGTTATCACTATTTAATAAATGTTTTTTATATTTCTAGTTACCATGTTGTATGCCAGATGATCCAGCATTAATTCAACAAATAATATGGTACCCTTGGCAAATAGAATGGTCATCATGGAGATGGACATAGTCTCCACCTTCACCGGGATGGTTGTTATTGCTTTATTTAAAAATGCAGTTATTTTCTCTGAAAACATCTATACAGATCTATCATGTCCTGAGCTTTTTCTAATTTCTTGGAAGGGAAGCCAAAGTAGCATGCATCTAATTCAGTCTCAGACCTCAGCTTCCAAGAGATGTTATTAACTGTGGTGAAAGGATTAGTAAAATAGTAAATGGATTATGAGATAGTTGTATCTGTGTCAATTAGTGGTTGCTGTCAATTACTAGTTGCTTATATTCACTTTCTCTCATTTAGGGAGTGTGGAGAGTAGAATATTAAATGTCTGGTGGGCACAGAGTCTCTTTTCATCTGGTAGTTGTCTTAGTTATACACGGGGCTATAAACTGAAAATGGTGTGTAACCCTTTAATTGAAGACTCTGGGGTCCTAAAATAATTTCCTCAAGAACACTCTGGCCCATAGAATAAACATTTTGAAAAATATTTTCTTTGGTTTATTGCATATTTGAAATCAGATAATATCTGTCACTCCAGGATCTATAAACTCTTGCATGTGGGATATTTTTAGGTAAAGTGATTTTTTTTTTTTTTTGAGGAATACCAAGGGGATAGTGGATTTCCATGAACTTAAGGATCACAGTTTTTGTTAAGCCGAATACCCAACTTGAACAAATTTTCTATTTTTTTGTTGTTGCTTATTGACAGATGTGCCATGAAGGTGTTTTTAAGGTCTCATGACCCTAAAAATGGCTTACGATAAGCAAAAGTAATGTCAGCTTTGTCCTGAGGGGATCTTGATTCACTTATCAGCTGAAAACAGCTGAGCAATCAAAGCACAGGTTCTTCCTTGGTGGAAGTGACAACTCTAGTTCAGAATCTTCCAATCTGAATCTAAGATCATCCTTAGAAATTAGGGTGGGTGGAGAAACCAGAGTGATGTGTGCTGGAGCCAATACTCCATCAGAGTGGGAGAGTCCACTCTTTCCTGTTGCTTTCCCCACTCAGGCCTTGGGCTATTTTAGATGAGGTCACCTTAGCCATGTTCTCACCACTCCAGCTTTGGGCCATCTCTGATGAGTTCACCTCAGCCATGTTCTCATCATTCCTCCTCTGGGGCATTTCGGATGAGGTTACCATGGTGGGCACATTTCTTGCCTCATGTACTTTAGAATGCCATGTATGCTTTTAAAATCAGAGACAAGTGCCTAACAACTTCTTATTTATATGTTTTTAGGTTAGATGTAAAATGACCTGAGAACTGCAGCCCTCATGAGCATTGGCTACGTGAATTTTTGATTAATAAAGTCTAGTAAATTCATTGACTATATAGCCTTATCTACCAAGAAAAGATAACTTAATTTTTGAAAGGATTACTTAGCTTGCTTTGGAGAGGGTCAAAATTTAGTAGAAGGTGTGTCAAATGAACATTATTGCTGAAGTAAGTCTGAAAAATTCAAAACTGTTGATGGTGAGAACTGAAGTGTTTATTATATTACCCTGGGTACTTTTCTATGTCTATTTTCCTTTGGAGGAAAACATAGTTCTAAGAATCTAGGAGGCCTGTGGATGTATGAAATTAAGAGGAAATAAATATTCTATCAATAGGAAGAACTTCAAGAAAACCCAAATTGTCCATATTCTGAACATAACATTTGTTATATGTGTTATACTCAATTTAGTTGCTTTTGTTTATCTGAGATTTCTGTAGCTTTCAAAACTGATCTCTTAAGATTTACTAGTAATGTGAGTTATTAAGGGGGGCAAAATTTCATTAATTCATTCTGTTTTCTAAATACTTTCCCTTATCCTTGCCTCTCTCATGCAGTCTTTCATTGTTTCTCTCCCATTTATTTTACAAGAAAATAAAAAATCTTACTGAGACTTTTAGGCCTTACATGATTTGGCATCTCCAGTGACCAGAAACATCTCCTGTCTCACCATTGCTTACTAAACTCCGTGGCTTCCATCAATTCCTAAATTATGTCAAGCTTTTTTTTCATATCTGAATCTTGCTTTCTGTTCCCTCTTTCTAGGTTACTTTTTATGTATGTTACTCCTTCTTCTGGTCTGAGCTTAATCATGTCCCCTCCTCAGAATAGTATTGTCTGACCACTTTTCTAAATTCAACATTTCATCTTATTTTTCTCACAGCATCTGTTTATTGTCTTCATTGCATTTGACATAATTTATGATTTGTAAAAATGTGTTGGCTTTTCTCCTTAGGTAGTGAGCTTCATGACAGTAGGAACCTTATGTATCCTGATTATTAATTATATCCCTGGTACTAATAGTTAGTTTGACATATGGGAGGTTATCACAAAAATTATAATGTATGAATTTCAACTGTAAATTGGAAGCTTGTCAAGCCCCTTCATGGTTAGTGACTGACCTGTTTTCCTCAATCTTGATCTAATGAGGCTTTAGACTACTGCTCCTAGCTTTATGAAAATATTTCTAACAAATACCATGAGAACAAAAAAAGACAATGTTTAAATTCTGAATCTTGACAATGTTATACTCTTTTATAAGTGATATGCTTTGGCTCTGTGTCCCCACTCAGATATCACCTTAAATTGTAATAATCCCACGTGTCAACGGTGGGACCAGGTGGAGATAATGTTTCCCCCATACTGTTCTCGTGATAGTGAGTGAGTTCTCGTGGGATCTGACGGTCTTATAAGGGGCTTCCCCTTGGCTCTTTTCTCATTCTTCTCTCTCCTGCCACCATGTGAAGAATGACATGTTTGCTTCCCTTTCCACCATGACTGTAAGTTTCCTGAGGCCTCCCCAGCCATGCAGAAGTCAATTAAACTTCTTTCCATTATAAATTACCCAATCTCAGATATTTCTTCATAGCCGCATGAGAATGGACTAATATAATGTTTATTGCAAAAGATGACATTTTTGAATTAAATATCTGAAAGAAAATAAAGGTGTCTTGTAGAGTTTTGTTTCCTTCATTTGTTATCCTAACATAATAGAAATAAAGAAGTAATACAAAGTTTTAGGAAAACATAGCAAATGAATAATACAGTTATGACTTTAAAAGGAAATCACTTTCAGTAACAGTAAATTAAAATCTTAATTATTATATTTCACTTCTCTATAGCAAATTGAAAAACAAAACAAGCACTGTGAAACAAATTAGAAATTCAGTCGTAATACTCTCAAATGTACTAAGGAATTTAGAAGAGTAAATTTCATTTAGTTTCAAAAGATTAAAAAGTACAACTTTGGACAATAACGTTATTTTTCTTAGGTAGGCATTAAAGAAAATAGATCCCATATGTCTCTTTTTAAAAGACTGTATCTAGGCCCTGGCCCCGGACCCTACAGCCATCAAGATGTTGATGCCTAAGAAGAACCAGATTGCCATTTATGACTCCTTTTTAAGGAGGGAGTCATGGTGGCCAAGGACATCCACATGCCTAAGCACCTGGAGCTGTCAGACAAGAATGTGTCCAACCTTCCTGTCATAAAGGCCATGCAGTCTCTCAAGTCCCGAGGCTACGTGAAGGCACAGTTTGCCTGGAGACATTTCTACTGGTACCTTCCCAATGAGGGTATCCAGTATCTCCGTGATTACCTTCATCTGCCCCCGGAGATTGTGCCTGCCACTCTATGCCGTAGCCGTCCAGGGACTGGCAGGCCTCGGCCTAAAGGTCTGAAGGGTGAGTGACCTGCAAGACTCACAAGAGGGAAAGCCGACAGAGATACCTACAGACGGAGTGCTGTGCCCCCTGGTGCCGACAAGAAAGCCGAGGCTGGGACTGGGTCAGCAACTGAATTCCAGTTTAGAGGCGAATTTGGTCATGGACATGGTCGGCCACCTCAATAAATTTGGAGAGGGTTATTTTGCATTGTATAAACATCCAGCCAAAAAAGCTTAAAAAAAAAAAAGAAAAAATCTAAACCCTCACTGATTTCAGATTTATTAAAAAAATAAACACAGGTAATTTCCATTTTCTAGTGTCTCCTTTGCTGCGTATTTCTTTTGTTTAACCAGAAGATCACTTGTGCCACTAGATTTATAGAATATTAAGTGTTACTCACTTCAGTATTTGTAATGTCATTATCCATTTTAGGATAATTTCAACATTTGTTTATTCTGGAAAGCAGAAGTAATCTGCATTCAGATACAATGGCAATTCCATGCCCAGAATGCTTCCCTGAGCTTCACGGCTTATTAAAGCATGCAGTCCTGTATTTCCACAGCCATACTAAGTAGCTGGATTCAGGCCTGTGAATTTGGTAATGCTCAGTACATTTCAAAACGTGGACTGGGATTGAATATTTAGGTAAGATTGACTTAAAGATAATTAGTTCATATATTATAACAGATGCTTTAAAGGAGTTTGTGACTGAGCAAATCCACTGGGGGACCCATGCACTGTACAGCATTTTAATAGCTTCCCATGGAGCTGGTTTTTATCCAGCTAGGCTTTAGTGTGCTGCCATCTCCTTGTGTGGAGAGGATTTGAGTCTCACTGTGGATCCTATCATTGGAATTACTCTAAGAATATCATAGAAAATACTGAGGATCTCTTTAGGATTTCAGTATCAGAGATACTTGTTCTCATCCTTAGATAAGTACTATTAAAGTAGTTTTTATTAGGTAAACACTGCAAATCTTGAAATTGATCATTTTTTTCTCTCTTTAGGTTGGCTTCTATAACTCTAAGAACCAAATATGGGGGCCCACTTATAATTGCAGTATTTCATGGCATGTATCTCTGTATGAATCCACCTATGCTCTCCATCTTACTCTCCTTTTTCTATCTCCTTTTTCAAGTTCATATTCAATTCATTGTACCTTGCTTAATTATATGCTTTCTGTTAAGCTGACTTGCGTGCCTTTTTGAAATGAGGTAGATTATTAATTCATTAATTACTGTATAGATTGCTTTTCTGGCTCATTGTAATTTTCAAGTCATTAGCACAACAGGAGAATTTATAAGGTATTTTTGATATGCCATTAGACGTATCAAAACTAGACATTGGGAAGGTCTTACACTCTTCATATGCTTATGTACCTTATATTTGAGTTAATTTTCTTAAATAATTTCTACTACATAGGAAGCTGCTGAAAAATTTTAAAGAGTATTTGATAGCATAACTAATCTAGTACAAAAATTAATTAATAATCTTGGAAAAGACATCATTAATGTTTAGGTAGATATTCCATGCCATCATTTGCATAACAATATCACATTATGCTTTATCTTCATATTCAAAGAGTTTTCAACATACAAAGAGATTCTATTATAAAGGTGTATTTATAAGTTAGTCATTTAGAATGCAGAGTTCATTTTCATGAACAATCAAGTTTCTAAATGACAGCTAGGTTAGCCCATAAAACCTGTTTTGCCCATAGTATATAAGAAATAATTTTAATTTACAGTGACAAATTACAGAAAATATTATTTTACATCTTAAAATAGAAATAAAAGCACAAAAATTACCTTATTTTAATTTTGAAGGCTAAGACAAAAATGGTATAATTAGGAAATCAGGACGTAGATACGCAGGTTCTTGTAGATGCTGGAGAGAAATTCTGGGTATCTTTAAAGGGAGGAGGATTTATTGTACTGTGTGATTTCACTCCACTGTATATTAGTTGTCCCTTCTTTTTATAAATATATCATTAATGGTAGGTGCTTTTCTGATTATCAAGGAGGATTAAGTTCCCTTTCAACTTAAAAATTAAATGAGTAACAGAGGAGAGGAGCAGCAAAAGACAGAGTAAGTGAATTGGTATTCCTGAGATAAACAGATGGGAGCTGGAGCAGAGGCATCTGAGTAAGGGAAGTGCTTACCTGGGCATTGGACATGGGAGAGATTTTCTGAGGTGGCTCTAAATGAGCCATAAACTGCTGAAATCATGAGGGTAGAGAGGATTCATGTGTTGCACAGAACTCCCAAGGGGAAAATAACAACTGCAGATGAAGGGATATGGATCACACAGGTCCCCACGTTTCCTGTCGGGCTGGGGGCAGGGTGGAGTGAGGGCAGGGAGGGATCCCGCGTAGATGGCAAGTTCTTTATTTCCAGGTGGTGGCAAGCTGGGTGTTTGCAATCTTGGAAGTGCTTATACTTATAAAACTTTCACTTACTCTGGGGGTATCTGATACTATAAGCATACAGAAATGATGCAGAATTTTATTTTAAGTATAAAGTTCTGAGCCTGGGGCCAGGTACATAGGAAAGTATTAATTAATTTTAGTTCTTATTATTTTCTGGCATTTAATACAATTGTCAGTGGAAGTTATTAATACTCACTATTTATTATTACTGAACACAGTCCTCTAAATCATGAGTTAAGTAAATCTAAAACAAAATACAGAGTACTGTTTCCCCATCACTCTGCCCCAGCTCCATTTAGGACCTTGTTCCCTAACATGCACCATCCACCAGGCCTTTTGGTTCTTTTTAACCTTTTAGTTTCCCTTCCTTCACATTATTCTGAGTTATCTGCTATCCCTCCCAGAAAGTGAACATATGCCCTTTAATTACTCTGCCTCCATTCAACGTTTTGAACCTTTCCTCTTCTTCCCTTTACCAGCCAACAACTACAAACTTAGGTCTCCACTTATTATTGTCACATTTTTACTAGCAATTTACAACCTCAGCTGTTCAAAATCGAGCCCTGATTCGTCAACGTTACTGAAACTGCTATTATGGAAGTGACCAAAACTCTCCTTTGTGCAGAATTTAATAGTCTTTTCTCTGTTCTTGTTCTCTTTGATTTTTTTGCAGTATTGCAGTATCGAGGCTGTTAGCCACCTTCTTCTGGAGCTCCTCCTCATTGTTTCTCTGAGACCTCCTCATCGCACAGCTCAGTCTATTGAAATCTTGCCCTTTCAGGTTCCATCTTAGATGCCTCCTCCTTATTGGACCCTTCCTGATTCTCCCAGCTGCCCTCAATACCATTTTGTCTTTGCCTCTATTGGAAAGTCTGTTTTCATCTTTGACATATAGATATTTGGGTATTGTTAAGATCTCTGCTCTGGATTCTGAGAATGAGGTTCTTGGGAATAGGAAATTGCCTTACATTTACTTACTGAGTAAATTCCCAATCAACAGTTGCTGAGGACTGGCTTTCTTTCTCCATGCAACCTCCTGAAACATTGCCATTGCTGTACATTATTAATATTTGAGTCACGATATCTATACCTGAGGTTTAAAAGCTGACGAATTGCTCATTTGATTGCCAGCATCATACCCCGACTGGTGAGTGTGCTCCATTTTTGGTGAACACAGAATTTTATACATTTATTTCAGTGAGTTTACTGCCCCTTCCTTCAAAGTAGTTCTCACCTAAACTTGTTTTTTATTCCCAAGATCCTTATTATGAAATAGCTGTTTCAGCTCACTGGTATGCGAGAGCAAGTCTAATAGCACTGAATCCTGACACTGGTTCTGTGTTCCAGCTCTCACTGGTTCCTCTCCTGGGGTGCTTTTTCTCTGACTGCTTTTTTAAGGCCACCAATCTGAAATGCAGTTTCCATTTGACAGAGCTGTAGATGAGCTTACTCTGAAAACACACTACTTGCCCTTGGGTCTAAGGTGCTCATTTGTAGTCCCCGCACATAAACCTAGGAGCTCCTTACTTTGCAATCTGCAGGTGCTCAGCCTATTGCATATTGGAAAGAAATGTTGTCAACAATGAAAACAAGTCAGTAAATACTTAGGCATTTTCTCACTAGTAAATTGCTGCAATCTGAATCATCACCATGTTCTCCCAATTCTTTTCCCATTCCATACTAGGTAGATTTATGTGACATCCCTGAATATGGCTTCTGCTGGTGGCTGCTACCTGAGGTCTGTTCTCCTGCCACCCTCTCCGCTCAGGGCCTCGGCTGGTTCACATGGCCTCCTGCTGGTGAGGCTGATCACTTCCTTGCCTGGGACCCTTATTAACTCTGCAAGGTATCCACAGCCTTCCCCAAGAGAGATTGGCAGTCACTTTTATGCCCGCCAGGGTCTGTGTCATGCTTTCAGCACAACCCTCCACTTATTCCGTCATGTAGCATATTAGGGATTCCCTCCTCTCGAACTTATCTCCTCTCAAGTGTCTATACAAGCTAAGAAGACTTACTCAGGAGTGGGGTCATGGTGTCTCTTCACTGAGTGACAGATTCTTCTTTCTCAGCTCCTTTGAAATAGATAAGAGCTAGTAGTACTGACTCAATTTATAAGATGGCAAAAAACTAAGTAAATAAAACCATGCCAAATCAAAAACAAAAATAAAACCCACCTACCCTGATGTCTTTTAAAGAAGCCTTTTGATCATAGGATTGGACATTCTCTCACTTACTTACTGAGCATTTATTTCTCAGGTGTCTACTTAGGGTAAACTCCGCAAAAGTTCCTGGTAATGCTTTGCCTATGTCAGTGTGGAACTTGGCCTATTAAATGACAGGCAGACAGGCCAGGTGCAGTGGCTCATGCCTGTAATCCTGGCACTTTGGGAGGCTGAGGTGGGTAGATTGCTTGAGGCCAGGAGTTTGAGACCAGCCTGTGCAACATGACGAAACTCTGTCTCTACTGAAAATGCAAAAATTAGCCAGATGTGGCTGTGGGCATCTGTAGTCCCAGCTACTGGGGAGGCTGAGGCACAAAAACTGCTTGAACCCAGGAGGTAGAGGTTGCGGTGAGCTGAGATTGCGCCACTGCACTCCAGCATGGGAGACAGAGCAAGATTCCGTCTCAAAAAACAAACAAACAAACAAACAAAAAACATAAATGACAGACAGGTAAGCTAAGCACAGAACAATGTCAGAGTGCAGTTACCATCGAGAGCAGGAAAATAACAGAGAACAGAGAAAGGGGGAAATGAGCTTCACAGGATGGGGTTAGGACCAAAGAAAGTGATCCAGGAAGTGGATGTTAAGGAATGAATGAAAATGCAGAGAAAAGGATGTAAAGGAGATCTTTGTGATATTTATGCAAGTCTTCTGTATTTTCAAAACTCCTTCTAAATAAAAAGTTACCACCTCACCAGGCCAATAAAGAGGAAGCTAAGAGAAAGGTATTCACAACATACAGTATGCAAAAAAACTTGTCGCTCATTTGGTGTTACTAGACCTTCAGAGTCACGGGGAAACCCTGGAGACAAAGCTGGTGTACATGCAGTTGAATCTGGATGGATTTGGATTTCTAAAAGGGAAAGACAGAAGAGTTCTAATTAATGGAATGGAATGATGTGATTTTCTTTTTAGAAAAGTTTCTCTCTGTGACTTTGTGGAAAATAGGTAAGAGGTCAGGGATGCATGTGAAGGGACCGTGATCTAGGTGAAAAGTGATGGAAATCTGTATCAAGGAGGTGGCAATATGACTGACAGTAAAAGAAGAAGTTCTTGAGATACTTAGAAGATGGAATTAATAGGGCTTAGTCACTGATGGGATTTAAGAGAGAAGGAAAAGGATTTAAAGATTTAGACTTATCTGGCCAGAGTGATTCAAATTCATAGAAAAAGTAACCTGTGAGAAGGAGCAGGTTAAAAGGAAGAGGAAGGGAACCACTTCTGTTTTGAGCAGCCTGAATCTGCACTGCCTATCGGATAGCTGAGAGACGGTGTCTAGTGGCAGCTGTACATCTAAAACCCGGACTTGGGGGAAAGATCACAATATAACTTAGAGATATAGATTTGAAAGTCATTAATAGATTTAGACTGTCTTACCCTGGAATCCATGAATAGTCCTAAGGGGTTCACAAACCTCAGATATATGTATATACTTTCCCCTTGGGCTAAGGATCTGCACTGAGTATTTCCAGTTGCCTTATCCCACATGCATATATGTGCATGAGATCACTTATATCCCTTCTCTGTCCTATGTCTATCTATGTCCCCAAGAGGCTGATGTGTTTGCTGGCATTACCCGACTCCCTTGCCATTTCTTATGGTGAGGCATTGGCAGGAGATGAGAGGGAAGGAGAAGGAAAAGGTTGGGATATTCTTTTCCCGCCTTCCCCACATTGGGTCCCATTTCTGGCAGAGGCTGTATTCCTCCAGGACTATGGTCCTGTCCAGAGTCCCCTCCTTCATGGAGCCAGCACTCCCAAGCCTGCAGTAACACAAGGCCTTCAGTCCCAGCGGGTCCCACTTTTTGCTCTTGCCGTCCTCTTGGTGATTTGACATGCTTTTCCAGTTGCCTGAAACCTGCCCATACATCATGAGGAGTCCCTTCATTATGGTCTTTGTACCATCTGAGGTGGATTGTTTCTTGCCAGATTCCATGTGTCTTTTTTTGGTGCTCTAGTATACACTTGTGGGAGAAAAAAACTCTTACAAGCTATGGGGACGGCTGACCACACCCACAGATTGTGGCCCGTAAACTACCTGTGAGGACCAGCAAGTACCTTCATGGATCCTTATTTACCCTAAAACAGTTTCTAAAATCTTAGTGACAAGAAGTTGTTACCAGACATCCCAGGTGAAACTGCACCCAGTGAGTATTGTACCAAATTCCTAGGACTGGCCTCAAGTACTGCTGAGCTTAGAAGGGGAAGAGAATGTGAGAGTTCAGAATCTATGAATGTGTCCAGCATAAAGAGGGCTGAATGTTACAGTGATGCCTTCAATCTAACCTGAATGTTCTTCTTGTATTTTTGATATTTATTTTTTTTCTCCACTTTTTGAGGTGGAGAGGGGGATCAGGATGGATGGAATATTTGATAGACAAGGAACCCAGGAATTTCTCCACCCTGTCCAGCTAAAACTATACTGCTTGGCAGAGTTCCCAAGACGGCACTGTGCAAACAATGGCAGTGAACTGGATATCCAAGTGCTGCCTTACCAGCTGAACCGGTACCTAGTGTTCCAGCAAATACTTCAGTTCAAAACTTAAGCAGTGCCTCCTGCCCTCTTTAAATTTGAGAATACATATCAAGCACCTGGAGTGCAGGTTCTTACATTTTAAGAAACAGTGACCCCACTCATTAGAAAATGTGATTCAATTAGTAGCTTAGGCTCTAACCAGTCAGATTAACAACTCCATTCTCTATTCCCTCCCCGCTTTCTCTTTCTCCCCTACACCCATCCTTACTCTCTCTGAGGACACACAGGAGTTGGCAGAAATGGGTCTGGTATGAGGAGAGGGCTGAAAGCTCCCTGTCCCTGGACTCGCCTCAGCTTCTCTTCTGCCATATTCCTGCCATTTTTTTTTTCCTACTGACTCTCCTCGCTGGCACACTTTTTTCTTCCTGACTTTTTGTTGAAAACGAAGCATTAGATAACCTGGGGGACAACTGACCTTGTATGCCTATGTTTACAACATGTTGCCACCCATAGGTAGCCAAGTCAGTGATTCATCAGGAGTTAGTAGATAGGGTAGCTAGTGGTGGTGAGAATAGAACCATTCACCTCTTTTCTCTTCCAGAGGAATCAGGGGGTAAGATATTAGGGTTGAAAGGGACCCTAGGGATCACTGGGTTTAATTTTTTTTAACATTTTCAAAACGCCTTAGAAACCTGTATTTAAATAAAATCTTTAAAATAAATCAACATATGAAACAGGCCTTGTTCTGGATGAAGTAGGTTGGAAGTCTGAGTCCACATGAAAACACCATGGCTCCTTCCCATTGTCACTATTGCGTGGAGGCTCCTGGGAACCCTGAATGCTTCATGAAGTCCACCTCGAAAGCCTTCAGTTATGAAAACCTTATGAAAACCTGCTGTACCACAGACTTAAAGGACTTGCTCACAGAAGTTAAATGGCCTAGAGAATTGGAGAGCCTCCTAAATCTAGGAAGCAGCACCTTAATCCACATTACATTGCCTTCCTCTTCTCTGCCCCTTCAAATCTACAACATTGGATTCAGGATCACACAGCTGACACCCCATTCACATTGCCCTCACACTTACGATTCACTAGAAAGCTGTTTATCTCAGAAGACATTTTTATATTTAAAATGGTGTGTGTGTGTGTACACTGAAGAGTGTAGTCATTATAGGTTTATTCTCACGGGTAGTCGGCCAATTCTGGACAGGGAGTGCTGGCTTACACTGTTAGCCAATGAGTATCTGACCATCGCCCATGCTATACTTCCCTCATTTAGAATGGCACCCCTAAGTTATTTATTTACTCTGGCATGGTCCTTCTGTCTGTGATTGTAACTGCTCTGGCACACGGTTTTGACTATTATTAGCTGAAAAAGAGAATCCCAGTGATAGTGCTGGAAGTGCTGATAAAGTGAACACTTGGTGGTAAAAGGCAATTTTATGGCAGCGCCAGGAAGAAAAAGAGGGTCAAATTCACAAAGCAATTAGAGATTGGTGGAAGTCCTTTGAGATATGAGGGATATAAACCTCACTGAAGCCTTGTAAGATTAACCAATAATTGTATGGACAATATCTGGAAAGAAAGGAAAACTATTGCTGAGGCATATCTCCAGTTAATGGCTATTGAAAGAAAAAGAAAAATGGTTGCTTATGTTTGATATTGAAGACAACATATTCAAAATGACTGTGCTCCAAGGAATCCATGTAGGATAGATTAAATTAGTTTGTCATCTCAAGGAGCTTGTTCTTAAAGTTAAGTGTTGTACTCATTTATCAGTCCAGGTAAGGATACAGTAATCAACGCAAAAGAAGGCAAGATCTCTTTTTTCTTTTGTGTTGTCATATACTCAAAACAATTTTCAGCTCTATTCCAAGTATTGGCTTAAACAATTCTGATTATATCAGTTTAACTGGACTATAAATGATACTTAAATATTTCCCAGTAAGCCGTTGGTATAACATCATACCAATGACTGGAATTTTCTGATCTTCATGGTTGGTCACACAGTTAGATGTGCGAACAAACATTCTCGTATAAGAGCAAAGGCCAGGCGTGGTGGCTTACACTTGTAATCCCAGCACTTTGGGAGGCCAAAGCAGGAGAAGTGCTTGAGGCCAGGAGTTCAAGACCAGCCTAGGCAACATAACAAGATCCCATCTGTACCATCAATAATCAATCAATAATGTATTTATTTATTAGTCCAAATGAAAAGAAATAAACACTTCATTTTTTTAATAGTACAGTTCTATTATATTTTTAAAATATAGTTGCCATGGTCAACAGTTATCCAGAATCCGACTTGGTATAAAAGGATTAATTTTTTTTTGTTTTTTGTTTTTTAAGGAAAAACACTAGCTGGAACCAACTGTGTGGACAGTGAAAATGATGAAAGACTGAGAGAAACTTTAGAAATGCAAGTGAGGGAGTAAGGTGCTAAGAGGCCCTTAGAAGTCTTGGCAGATGAAAGATACTGAGTGTCAGTTTGCCTGAAGACAATACATATATAAACAGAATGGGTTTGACTCAGATTCCACCATTTATTGCTGTGCCCCTAGGAACCCACTCAGTCTTACTGAGCCTCAGTTTCTTCTTTGGTTAAATTGGGGTAACCATACTTGTCTAATTTACTTTCTTTCTTTTTTTTAAAAAAAATTATATTTTAAGTTCTGGAGTACATATGCAGAACCTGCAGGTTTGTCACATAGGTATACACGTGTCATGGTGGTTTGCCGCACCCATCAACCTGTCATCTACATTAGGTATTTCTCCTAATGCTATCCGTCCTCTAGTCCCCCACCCCCTGACAGGCCCCGGTGTGTGATTTTCCCCTCCCTGTGTCCATGTGTTCTATTGTTCAACTCCCACTTATAAGTGAGAACATGCAGTGTTTGGTTTTCTGTTCTTGTATTAGTTTGGTGAGAATGATGGTTTCCAGCATCATCCATGTCCCTGCAAGGACATGAACTCATCCTTTTTTATGGCTGCATAGTATTCCATGGTGTATATGTGCCACATTTTCTTAATCCAGTCTATCGTTGTTGGACATTTTGGTTGGTTCCAAGTCTTTGCTATTGTGAATACTGCCGCAATAAACATATGTGTGCATGTGTCTTTATAGCAGCATGATTTATAATCCTTTGTGTATATACCCAGTAATGGGATGGCTGGGTCAAATGGTATTTCTGGTTCTAGATCCTTGAGGAATCACCACACTGTCTTCCACAATGGCTGAAGTAATTTACACTCCCACCAGCAGTGTAAAAGCCTTCCTATTTCTCCACATCCTCTCTAGCATCTGTTGTTTCCTGACTTTTTAATGATCGCCATTCTAATTTACTTTCTAGGGTTGCTGCAGGAACCCAGTGGAATAGAGTATGTGAACATTTCCCAGGAATTTGGGAATTGATATCAGTTTTATTTCCCTGTTCTCAGTTGGACTGTGTGTAATCTTAAAGACCCAGCCAGATATGAACCTTTCCCTTTTTAACATTTTTAAAGTTTTTATGGGATCTCTTTATGGTGCCTAGGCTTGTCTCAAGCACGTGGCCTCAAGCAATCCTCCTGCCTCAGCCTTCCAAAGCACTGGGATTACAGGTATGAGCCACTGTGCCCGACCTTTCCTCTTTTTTTTTGAGATGGAGTCTCGCTCTGTTGCCCAGGTTGGAGGGCAGTGGTGTGATCTCGGCTCACTGCAGCCTCTGCCTCCCGGGTTCAAGTGATTCTCCTTCCTCAGCCTCCCATGTAGCTGGGATTACAGGCCTGCACTACTGCATCCAGCTAATCCTTTGCTCTTTTAAGAGAGTGTTTGATTGCACATATTCCTGAGTGAACAGCCATAAAGATCAGAAAATTCCAGTAACAATAACTTTTTAACCAACACCTTCTAAAGAGCACCTTGAATTTATTTCTCAATAAAGAAGAAGTAAGGAGGTTTTGAAACTCAAGAAAAGGATAAAGGAATGTTTGAGTTTGATTGAGACCAGGAGACAGAGTTTAAGATAATTCTTAATCTATTATTAATAGTGAGGCCTTAGGCCTCATTTAAAAAATGACCTCCTTATAGAATATGAGGTGGTACCCTTAAGACCTAACCATTGATGAGCTTACAAAAAGAGATATGTTTTCCCCCATCGGAAAGCTTCCCTCTCAGTGCAGTTTGAAAAATGAAGGTCTACCCCAGGGTAGTCATCCTTCATGTAACATTAAATATTAAATTAAATTGGTTGGTTGTAGAGCCAGTGTTTTCTTTGAATTCTTTAGTGTAAAGAGGTATTTCTTCTGGAATATTTTCTGGTAGTGTATCTTATTTCTTTACCCACCTGTGATGTAGAATCTCTTCTGTCTTGGCAGGAAGAGAAATTTGTACTACACTTATTTACTTTTGGCAAAGCAGTTCCTATTTTAACACCTACTTGAAAGTGTTAAGACTTTTATTTTATTGTTGTTGTGAGGGGGATGAATTATTTATACAAATTTCTCCCTTTAAACCAGAACAATGATACACTGCTCTGTAAATATCTGTTGGAAAGGCTTTCAGTTTTAACTCATCATATTGTACCGCACCTATCAAGTCCTTTACTGGGTTTTGCATCAGAGTCAAAACACTCAAAAATGATTCAGGGTTCTAGATGACTTCTTAGCTGTAAAATAAGTTTGCCTTTTTCTCACCATTTTGGTGCAACCTTACATACACATCTGGTTGAGATCATTTTCTTGAAGTCAATTGAAACCTATTGGAAACACACAAGACATAGCACAAATATTGCATTTTTGGAGTACGGCTATGCTGTGTGTCAAAAACCTAAAATCATTTATTTCTATAATTGAGCTCAACCATATGAAAAAGTATTAGCTACAAGAAGCAATCAGCATTATTTATGACAGAGAAAACACAGAAACTAATTAAATGTCCAATGAGTTACCCGAGGAAATGTTGAAAAAATTCATAAGAACTAGCTATTTAAAATGATGCTGTAAAAATATTTATTTAAAATATTTATTGACATGAAAATCATTTCATGAAATTCTAAATAAAAGAAAAAGATTGCAAATAGTATGAATATGTGATCTAATTTTGGTATTAAAATATATATTATTTATTTAAATTGTTAAAAATGCATAGAAAATGGTATGAAAGGACACATACGAAAATGTGTTTATCTCTGGGTAGTGGAAATCTAAGTAGTGTTTACTTTTTTTTTCTTTTTGCCTATTTATTTACTATTTTGTGTTTTGGATTATGCTGTGGTGAACATATGTTACTTACTGCATAAAAAGTAAGAAAAACTGTTCAGGATGATAGACCCATCTTCAAATAGGGGACTACAGGAGAGGGAGGTGGTAGAAATTGACCATTCTGTAGGGGGACCATTCTGATTTTAGGATTTCTCTTTTTAGCTTTGGTAAAAATAAACAAAAAATAAAACTATGTCTTAAAATATAAGTATAAAAACTGTGTTTGTTCTATATGTTTATACTGAGGTTCAAATAGCTCTCGTAGATTTACACTTTTTGAGTGACTAATCTCTACATTTTTAGTCTAATTTTTTCATTTGCTTTTTGAACCAATATAGGTGATATTCACTTCTAGAATATTTTATGATGATGTCTGTATCACAAAATAATAGTTAAATGCATTGCGTGCTGACTAGATCTGACTAGATTCTAGGCCTATTCTAAATACTTGGCATGTATTTACTTGCCTAATTCTCACAATATCCTATAAGGCAGGTACTATTATTTTCTCTATTTTACATCTGGATGAAGAACCTGAAGCCCACAGGAGCTAAGTCTTTATTGGAAGTTGTAAAACCTGTGGTAGATCTGGGATTTGAATCAAGCAGGCTGGCTCCAGTGCCATACAAATATGTGTCACATATGCTACATTATATTTTCATATTTACCAAAGATGTTATGATGGTTAATTTTCTGTGTCAACTTGACTAGATCATAGGGTGCCCAGATATTTGGTTAAATGTTAACTCTTGGTGGCTTTATGATGGTGTTTCTGGATGAGATTAGCATTGGAATCAGCAGACTGCATAAAGCTGATTGCCCTCTCCAATATGGGAGGGCATTGTCTGATTGACTGAGGGCCTGAATAGAACAAAAATGTAGAGGAAGGGAGAATTCACTCTTTCTGCCTGATGGCTTGAGCTGGAACATCAGTCTTCTCCTGTTTTGACTGGTACTAGACTTATATCATCAGCCCTCCAGTTCTCAGAACTACACTACTAGCTTCCTGGGTCTCTAGTTTGTAAATGGCAGATGGAGTTTTTTAACCTCCATAATTACGGTAGCCAATTTCTATTGGCTTTGCTTCTATGGAGAACCATAACACAGATTTGATGAATGAAAATGCTCATTTAAAATGAAAGGAAACTTCAAACACCATATTATAATTATAACTATAAAGTAGGTAATATATTTTTAATAGAAGAACAAAAACACCCAAAGAATTTTATTTTCACAAATAGCTTGTAAAGAGGTTTAAAATTTTAATTTGTATTTTTTTCTCTTTTTGTTAATATGTGTGTGACACATTTTGTATGAATGTCACAATATACCATACCCTAAAATACATCATTTTTGTGCCACTGGTTAATTTAATATTTCTTTTCTTTGTAATATTTATCCAAAAATACACACACACACACACACACACACACATATATATATATATTTAAACATATATGTTTATACTTATCCTATACACACACACGTTATACTTATCCTACACACACACACACACACACACACACATACACATATGGTGTATATATGTATGTGTATATATATATGTATATGTATGTGTGTTTGTGTGTGTGTAGGATAAGTAATTCTTTTTTTCTTTTTTGTATGTAACCCATAAAATAATTAGAACGTGCAAACTCACTCTGTGTTTTCAAAGGTCCAATTCATTATCACCTCACACCTTTTCAGGAAAGACAGTTATCAAAAGCATCTCAAATTTAGGCTTTCACTGTGTAATGTCAAAGTTCAAAAAGCAGGAAAAGAAATTTATGCTTACAAACATCTCATGGTGCATGACATTTTAAAAAGCGTCCGCCATCCTAGAAAGAGACAATAAATGTTTTTACACTTTAATCTTTAGACTGTTAAAAATTTTCACACTAATTTCCTTTCACAGGCCTAAAAATGTACTTTTCCCCCTCTACCATTTTTTCCCTTATTTATATCATTTTATGTTGGCCTCTTTCTTTTCACTTTCTTCCATTCTTTTATCTCTTTCATTTTTCTCCTTCTAATAACTTTTTATCCATACTAATAATATAGATGAAGATAGTATATGTGTATTAGTTCATTTTCACACAGCTGATAAAGACATACCCGAGACTGGGAAGTTTATATAAGAAAGAGGTTTAACTGGACTTACAGTTTCATGGGGCCAGGGAAGCCTCACAATCATGGTGGAAGGCAAGAAGGACCAAGTCACATGTTATGTGGATGGCAGCAGGCAAAGAGAGAGCTTGTGCAGGGAAACTCCCGTTTTTAAAACCATCAGATCTCCTGAGACTCACTCACTATCATGAGAAAAGCATGGGAAAGACCTGCCCCCGTGATTCAGTCATCTTCCACTGAGTCCCTCCCATAACACGTGGGAATTATGGGAGCTACAAGATGAGATTTCGGTGGGGACACAGAGCCAAACCATAGCAGTACACAAAAGGTGTTGCTAAAGATTTTTAAACATAAATTGACAATACTTTTAATGACAGTGAGTCAGTGCTATTTTTCAAGAATAAAAAGAGAAGCAATGCCAGATTTCCCCCAGTGACATAAAAGAGAAAAGTAGTTATTCCAGAAAAGATTGTATTCCAGTTTCTGGTAAAAGAAAAACTGACTAAAAAGTGGCTTAAACAATTTTTTCTCTTTCTTCATATAACAAGTCCAAAGGTAGGCAATTTCTGGTATTACTTTAGCAACTCCAAGACATCAGGGTCGAGGTCAGTATGATTCTCCTGACTTTTCCATCTAGTGGTGAAGTGGTTGTTTCAGCTTCAGCCATCACACCCACATTCAAGGTAGGATGAAAGAAATCACATTTATCAGGACAGAAAAATGGCGCTAGAAATCCCCTGCAAATTTCTATATGAGCTCACTGCCTCACCCATGCTGCAGGGCCAATTCTAGCTGCACAAAAGACTGAGCAGTATATTTTTGCCACTAAAATTGCCAACTGAATAATAAATCAGGTTTCCCTTAAAAGAAAATGAAAACTGAATATCTGATAGATGTATTACTAGATATTTCTATGCAATAAATTCTCCCAAAATCTAGTGGTAAGAAGCAACAAACATTTACTATCAAGCAGTTTCTTTTTCTTTTTGAACCCTTTGACCAACATCTCATTTCCCCTATTTCCCAGCCCCTGGTAACCACCTTTTCACTCTCTGCTTACTTGAGTTTGAGTTTTTAGACTTCACATATAAATGAAATCATATATTTGTCTTTCTCTGTCTAATTTCTTTCACTTAGCATAATGTCCTGCAGGTTCTTTCATGTTGTCATGTTATCACAAATGGGAGGATTTTCTTTATTATGGCCAAATAATATTCTATTATGTATACATATATAAATGGATATAGAAAATAGGATGTGTATATATGTCACATTTGCCTCTTTCATCACAATATGCCTCAAGTGATAGAGTGACTCACCAAAGGGCTTAACTCACATCTAATATATAGTTGACTTCATTGTACAGTAAGTCTGACATCAAGTATGGTGCCTGTTTTAATTTGCTAGGGCTGCCATAATAAAGTACCACAAACTGAATGGCTTAAAGAACAGAAAATCATTCTCACCCATATTAATGTGCACACAGATTGAAGTGTCCTTATGTGATGTAGCTATACTTACTTTTTGGTGTCAAACATCTTAATGTCTTTTTTAAAACTATGAGTCAGTGAGAACTACCACCTGATAGGAAAGCATATTTAGATTCTTTTTCAAACAAATCTCATTGGGTCTAATATATAATAGTTTTACAGATTGTATGTCTTATCTTTATAATATACATTTACTTGATTACTGGTGTTTTTATCCCAAAGTTACAGTTCTGTTTGTTATCATTTGATATTATCATAGAGGAATAGCCTTTAAAGACCTTGGAAGTAGAGTATTACTGCAAGGTTTGAAAGAAAAACGGCAGCATTAAAGAGTGTCAGCTCTTATATGTATATGCTTTTTAGGAACATAAACTTAGAACATTAAAACTCTTAGGTCATACTTGTCAATAAATGATTTTTTTCTCAACAGTACTTTATAACCTTTTAGAAATTTGCCAACAGGTGACAATACTCCCTAACAGTCTGCTAGAAGTGTCAGAGCTCAGGATATCTGCTTTTTAATTGCCATATTCAAGGTCTAATTATTTTCTCTATATTGGGGTAAGAGAACTGTAATGAGGAAGTAAAATCATTAAACACCAGTGAGTAAGGGAACAGAGTCTTCTTGAAT
Organism: Homo sapiens; assembly: GCF_000001405.40. Lineage (NCBI taxonomy): Eukaryota > Metazoa > Chordata > Mammalia > Primates > Hominidae > Homo > Homo sapiens. The sequence goes on from NC_000020.11 coordinate 14,774,486, forward strand.
TCTGATGTGAATTAGCTTCCCCAGCAGAGCTTTGGCTGTGGATAATTTCTATCTGAATGTCTCCTTCTCAGTTATTTGAGAGGACACATAAAATATAAAGGAAGACTGCTCAACTCTTGTGGTCTTTAAAGAGAAGGGAAGACAATGGATTAAAAGGCTATTATTACATCTAGACTTATAGACTGTTAATACTTAAGAGTTTATTAACCTCAAAGTGTCAAAATGTTCTATAAATGAGTAAGATACTATGTAAATCAGGCTACACATATGATAAAAGTTGTCATTAGAATAAGTGGCCTAGAAATATATAATACTACACAGTTTTCATACTTTTTGAATTCATAGAATTTAGACACTCAGATTCCTTTAAAACCAATTTTGCTGCTTTATTTATTATTTATCATATTGCCTTTCACAGTTATTCTTTTCTGTAATTCTCAGCTGTTTTAGAAAACTACCACAATTACCAAACTGTCTCAAAAGCAAAATTTGTTGCTGTAGCTACTAGAAGGCTAAGAAATCACAAACATTTGATTCTGTAAGAGTCTATGTGTGTGCCTGAGTGTATCTCATGCATGGTTTTATGATAAAGCATGCTAAATAAATTGTTTATATTTGTGTTTGTGTGTATATGTTTACCACTTATGAAAAGAACATACCCAATGGCAGAGATTGAATTAAGTGCTTTCTGCATGATCTCATTTTTCCTTATGACAATTCTTGAATGAAGGTATTGTACACATTTATTAGCTAACGCGGTGGGCTTAGCAAGTGGCTGTATTAGTCCATTTGTCTTGCTGTAAAGGAATACCTGAGGCGGGGTAATTTATTTTAAAAACAGGTTTATTTTGGCTCATGGTTCTGTAGACTGTATAAGAAGCATAGTGGTGGCATCTGTTTCTGGTGAGGGCTTGTAGAAGCTTACAATCATGGCAGATGGGGAAGGAGAGCAGGTATTTGACATGATGAGAGAGGAAGCAAGAGAAAGAGAGGGAGTACCATATTCTTTTTTAACAACCAATTCCCACGTGAACTAGCACAGCAAGAACTCACTCATTACTGAGGGGAGGACATCAAGCTATTCATGAGGGATTCACCCCCATGTCTCTAACACCTCCCACCAGGTCACACCATCAACACTGGGGGTCACATTTCAACATGCGATTTGGAGGGGACAAACATCCAAACTACATCAGTGGTTTAGCTGGGATATGAACCTAGGTCTGCCTGTCTCTAGAGACCATTCATGTAAGTACATAGAAACCATATTCTTCCTTGCCACTAGAAAAAACCCTCTAGCAATTTTTGCCAATGTTGATTATAAAAAATTTTATATGGACCCATAAAGAAAAGAGCAAATTTTGAGCCTCTCTGGGAACTGTGAAAAAAAAAGATCTGTCCTCATATCAACCTTTGACAATTCAAAGAGCAAACAGAAGATTGGGTTACTTCTGTGATCACACTGATAATTCCAGCAGGCAAATCTTAGTCACAACAAGTCCCTGGAGTCCAGCCAATCTGGCTGCTTTGATGCTAGGCTCAGTAGAACTGAACCAAATGTGCGTGGGAAAGAGAAGAACCAGATATTGCCATGACTGCTCATCAGTCAGGATTTCAGAGACTGAAGAATGCAGACTGAACAAACCTGAACCCATACAGGAAAAATGAACATAGTAGGAGCAAACCATCGCCCTCTCATACAGCATAGGGAGGGATTTTCTGGAGCCAAAGAGTGGGTTTGGGGTTTCGTAGTCCAAAGTCTGGACTCAAGGGAACCTCAGATAACCAGTAAAAATGATCATCCATATCTTGGGTCTCCTAACAACTTGACATGAGTAGTTTAATATGTTGAAACTTCAGTTTCCACCCTTGCAAAATGAAAGTTATATTGTTCTCTTCCAAGGCTGTTGGTGAGGTTGAATGAGATAAGGTTGATGAAAGGAACCTCAATACAGTGCCTGATACACAATAATGACAATAATTATATCATAATCACAGTCATAATCACAATAATGCCCTTTCTAGCCACATATGGCAGAGACATTGGTGCAGTGGTCCTCAAACATACGGGTCAGATTTGTCGCTCAAGTCTGTGATCTAATGACATGATGAACCCATTAGATGCCTCCCTATCATCTGGATATTGTTCCTTGCTTTTTCCAAGATCTTTTTGAAGATGACAATATATTTTCATAATATTTCACTATTTTAAAAGCTTTCTGTTGAGCATAATATACATATTGGAATGTGCAAGTATCAGTTATACTGCTTGATGAAATTTTACCAGCTGGATGTTTTTGTAGCCAGTACCCAGTTGAGAAACAGAACACTTTCTCCAGTCACTATCCTCCCGCAATGAAGTGTACCTTGGGCTAATAGATAAGTTTTGCCTATTTTCCAAATTTAAATAAATAGAGCCATATACTCTGTATATGTTTACACCTCACTTCTTTTAGTCAAGATAATGGTTGTGAGATTCATAGATTCATTCATGTTTTGCATGTAGTCATGCTTTGTTCTTTTTTATTGCTATGTAATATTCTATTGTGTGACTATACCACAATTTATCCATTTTCCTATTGACGGGCATTTGATTAGCTTCCAGTTTGGGGATATTATGAATAGAGATTCTATAAATATTCTTGCACATGTCTTTAGTGTACAAATGGAAGCATTCTTGCATGCCTAGGTTTGGGACTGCTAGGTCATAGTATGCATATGTTTAGCATCTTTTCGAAAGCAAGGGTATCATTTTACATTTCCACCAGCTGTGTACTGGGTTGTTTTCAATGATTATTGTGTGTTAGGAATCATTCTTCCTGCATCACGGTTATTTTTAAAGCATCCACCTGAGAAAAATGCAGCTCTACTAAGGGCTGGTTCTTGTGGACATTAGATCCCACCAAGATGGCTGAGAGCAGGACGTGCCCTATGATATGTGTATGTGTTAGAGGCTGGAAAGCTATCAGAACCATGTACCTCTGCTGCTGTTTTATGGCTTCATATATTTTGGTGGCAGTCCTTAACAGCTGTGGATTTATTTTTCTAATGTTTGCTTGGAAACTGAAATGAGTTTGAAAGCAGCCCGATTCATATAGACCACACAAGTAAGAAGAAGCATATTAGATAACACAAATATGGGCTAGAGTGGCGCCAGAGAACAAAAAAGAAACAACTAATGATTAGGTAACTAGTGGACCCAGGCATGAAATTTAGTAATATGCTGTTTAAACATAAAAGGCTAAGAAAAACTTGTTTGAAATTGTAGAAGTGTCTGACAGCTAGTGTAAGGAATGTGTGAGTTTCCACGCTGACATCCTCCCATACCAACAGCAGTTTCAACTTATCAGGTGGCCTTCAATTTTAGCAATGAGGAGAAAAATGGGTAATAAATATGAGATCTTGTGTTAATTCAAACCATTCACAAATCTCTTTATTTTAGGGAAAGTCACGCTAAAACCACAAACCAGCAGGAAGAAGTAAAACTTTCAATAATGGGTTGAGCATCGACTGAGCTTGAGGCCTGACACGCTGCATTCCCATTTTATCCTCAAGCCAGGCCAGTTGTGTGTTTTCACCAACATGTTTCCCACAGATTGGTCCCAGAGATGCTAAGTCACTTGTCCCAAGTTCCAAAAGTTTGTGAATGACAGAGCCATTTTCAAATTGAGGTTGAGCTGATTCCTCACTGCTTCATGTTGCGAGAGAGAAGTAATAGGGAAGTAGTATGATTTGGCAGTAAACAGCAGGCAAACTATAAAACATTATCTGATGGACGACACAAACGCTCTTTACATCTCTGTCATTGCGCCCTGTCCGGTAGGAGCAGCTGAATGCCATTTGGCTCTTTCACCTTCTGCTATCTCAGGAAGGCAAGCTGAGCTTAGACAACTCCGTGCCTTTGTTGTCCCCTCACCTCATGTCTGTATTCATCTCTGTTCCCTTATGTTGTAATTTTCTAACCTTTTCCCCTCCCATCCAGTGGCCTTATCTGAAAAATGAATCCTCAAGTTGTCCACAGCTCTTCACTAAGACCCGGTCTAGATCCAAAATGAATTCAGAAGGCTCTCAGCCAGCGGGGCAATGTGTGGAATTTATGGTAGTTTGGGGGCGTAATCTTAGTGCAGACAAGTTTCCTTTGCCTTGTTGGAATCACATCGGAGCCATCAAATTATATTGCTTCTCAAGATGCAGTTAAAGTGATTTGGGATGTGCTCCTCTGGCTCTCCCACTTGAAGAGCTTTACTGTGAAGCTTGAGCTTAAGGTAGAGATGAGCTGGTAGGCCCAGGTGAGGAAAGTGGTTAGATTCCTTGTGACATCTGGAATCAGTACTTGACTGATAGAGTTGGACAGTACTTTCATGATCAAGCATTCCAAACACCTCATTTAATGAGGGAAGCTCCAAAAGTCAAATCCAAGAATGCCAAGTTAGGGAGGAGTAAGAGCTAGAATAAAAATCTCTCAATGCATGGTACAGTCCTCTTTGCTTTTTTAAAAAAGTTATTGTAATCTCACAGATGAGTAAAATTAAGCAAAATGAAGCTAGCTGGTTTAACAAACTTCATTGTAGCATCAACCAAAAATGTGTGAGTCAGCATTAAATTGGGCCAGATTTGGGGTGGGAGAAAAAAATGGTCAGATTTCTTCCACCAAAAGGCATCATTAGATGTCTTCATTCCAAGCTCAGAGTGTACATACAGCAATTTGCTGCTCACAGCACGTCCACAGCAAATTATTTCCCTTCGTCAATCAGAATTGTGGTCGTCTAATTTGCCATTCTCAATACTAGTCACGCTTTCACTCTGTGTAAAAATTCAGATTTTCTTCTCTCTTCTTAGACACATGGCACCTTTTACCTGCAAAAGGTAATTGCAGTGACTGTATTGACATGTAATGATATATTCACGAGCTAATCACATTTGCATTTCCTCCGCTTGCTACTGAAAAGCTGCAAAGGAGTCCCTGTCATCATGTGTAGGTCCTCTTCCAGCCCAGCATTCACAGCAGGCTGGCAACACCAGGCATTCAGTCAGCAGGTCATAATGACTCTACCGCTTTCTATTATTCAAAATGGAATTTAACTGGGAACTTCATATTGTATTGTACACTTAACCCAGTTTTCTTATTTGTTATAGGTTTATATTGTTAAGCAGTATGGTAAAAATAAAATTCTATTTACCAAATTCTCCTTAACAGATGGAATGTTTAATAGGCCAATAAATAATAGGTTTTAAAATAACTTACTAATCTTTATATTCTCCGTATTCTTAATATCCTTCTTATCTACTCCAGACCTTTTATTTTAAAACTTTAGAATATCTTAAATAATTACCAGTCAATATTTATTACATCATTATATTCTGCATTTAGCTTTATTGCTTATATTTTAACAAATGTAATAAAGACAATGGCATATGCAGCTTGTAGTTTGTTGCTATGAGCCAGGCCCTGTGTTAAGCAATTAGAGGATCTAAGTGAGTCCTCACCTTAACTGTGTGAAGTAGATATCACTGTCCTCTTTTTACAGATGAAGAAACTGAGGTTCAGAGAGGTTGAATCACTCTTTCAATGCCACACTTAAAAAAGTGGTCAAACCAGGAGTGATGGCGAGTGCCTATAGTCCCAGCAACTCAAAAGGCTGAGGTGAAAGGGTCACTTGATACCGGGAATTCGAGTCCAGTTTGGGCAACTTAAGAGACCTTGTTTCAAAAAAGCAAAAACAAAAATAAGTGGTCAAATTAGGATTTATAATCAGAACTATCTGACATTAAAGTGCTCTTAAAAGTGAAAACACGACTGGGCGCAGTGGCTCACACCTGTAATCCCAGCACTTTGAGAGGCCGAGGCAGGCGGATCACCTGAGGTCAGGGGTTCGAGAGCAGCCTGACCAACATGGAAAAACGCCATCTCTACAAAAAATACAAACTTAGTCGGGCGTGGTGACGCATGCCGGTAATCCCAGCTACTCGGGAGGCTGAGGCAGGAGAATCGCTTGAACCTGGGAGGCGGAGGTTGCAGTGAGCAGAGAGCACTCCATTGCACTCCAGCCTGGGCAACAAGAGTGAAACTCCGTCTCAAAAAAAAAAAAAAAAAGTGAAAACTCATTATTCTGCTTTTGAAATGGAGTGACCTTTCTTCCTTGTTCCATATTCACATGGACCATTTCATCCACAGGAAAAGAAGAGGAAATTATAAATACCATGATTCATAATTTAATTACTAGTGAATTGATAGATAGTAATGAAACAAAAGTATGAGATAACAGAGAGGAATGAGAGTGGTATTAGTCAGTCAAAATCTATTCAGATGCCAGCAATGGACCGTTTTCACAAAATCTAGGATCTTTATAAAAACTTTTTTAAAGATAGCTGAACTTTATTGATTCAAATACTAAAACTTTTACAAAGAAACTTTTTTAGTTTTATTTTATTTTTAATTGACAAATAGTAATTTTATTTAAGGGGCATACAGTGATATTTTGATACATGTATATATTGTGGAATGATCAAATCACAGAACTAGCATATCTATCACTTCAAATATTTATGATATTTTTGTGGTAAGAACATTAAACATCGTCTCTGTTTGCTGTTTTGAAATATACAATACATTACTATTGACTATAATCACTTTGCTGCTCAATAGAACACCAGAACTTATTTTTCTCAGCTGCAACTTTGTATCCATTGGCCAGTAATAGTTCCCCCTACCCCGCCCCACCTCAAACCTCTGGTAACCACCAATCTACTCCCTACTTCTATGAGTTCAACTTTTAAAAGTAACTTTTCATGGAAATCTTTCTAAAATATTCTATAGGCATTTCTGTATAGCATTTAAACAGATGACCTCAGGACATGACTTGAAAAATCCAGGATTTCACTACGTGGTGGAATAGCTCTGGTCCGTTTTCATTTGTCTTGAGCTCTGCTCTCCTGATGTTTACTCTCATGTCTGAATCCACTTGGTTCTTGCCTTAGTGACTTCTCTTCCATCTAGTGTGCTATGGACCATATAACACAGAGTTGCAAAAAAATCTGTGTATGGAGTGATTGGGATTCTGAAGGAAAACCTTACAGAGGAAAGTGGTACTTCAGTTATAGCTTTTTGGGGTACCAGACAAGTTTTACAATTTTGAAATACTGATTTATTTATATTTCACATTGTTCACTACATATAAATGCACATGTAAGAAAATGATGGTAAATGTACATACAGAAAAATTAGGCATAGAAGTGTACAAATGAGAACCCATATCAAGGAGCTTCTTGGCAGTCAAACCAAGGCAAAAAGAGGCAGATTTAGTTATGATTTTTATTATCATAGAAGATAATGTATAACAGCCGTGAAAGAGCTCATAGAAAGCTTCATGTATCTTTTTTTAAAAAAATTCCCTAAGTCAGAGCTGTGTTGTAGTGGGCTAAAATTTCTTTTTCTGTTTTTCTTTTTCCTTTTTTTTTGAGACAGAGTCTTGCTCTGTCACCCAGGCTGGAGTGCAGTGGTGATCTCAGCTCACTGCAACCTCCGCCTCCCGGGTTCAAGTGATCCTCCCACCTCAGCCTCCCGAGTAGCTGGGACTACAGTCATGTGCCACCACGCCCAGATAATTTTTGCATTTTTAGTAGAGATGGGGTTTCACCATGTTGGCCAGGCTGGTCTTGAACTCCTGACCTCAAGTGATCTGCCTGATTTGGCCTCCCAAAGTGCTGGGATTATAGGCATGAGCTACCGTACCCAGCCTAAGATTTCTTCTTGGTGTTGCTTTCACTAAAAAAATAATCATTAGCAGTAATAACAACTGAACAATTATATTAAAATACTGTGGATCAAATAATGAAATAGAGAGTTATGCTCCCTAGGGCCTTAACTATCTATTCAGAAAGCAAAGATAAAACTTTATACGGCTAGCCAATTCAAGTTAGTATATGTTGTCATTACTGAATTTATGTAAATTTTAGATATAACGTTCTAACCCCAGTTTTTCAACTTCATAACTAAGATATGTAGTTGAAGATTCCTCAAATGCTTACGAGGACATTAACATCACCCAAATCAGCCAAAATATGTCATATACCATTGAATTGGACACCCACATCTAATGACTGGTTAATGCAGATATGAAAAGGCCAGCCCCTTCACCTCAATTCCTGACAACTGTAAAGTGTATCCCAGTTTCAGAGACCTCCACAGGGTTGGCGGAGGCCTGGTGATGACCGCCTCTCTGCCCAACTTCTCCCTCTGCCCAGTCCTGCTTCCCTCACTTCCACTGTAGTTGTTAATCTCAAGATCACTCCCTAATAAATTTCCTGATTTTCTGTACTCCAGTCTCTATCCCAGGTGCTGCTTCCCCTAAAAAGAACATGCCGCATTACAGGTCACTTTGTGCAAGCCACTAAGAACACTGTTCAAGGGAAGTTACAGTCTAATTTACAAGACAAGGCACAGCAGTGCATACACAGGCTGAGGGGCAAACAAACCCTTCAGCTTCTGAATGCTGTTACCTCTCAGAAGCCAGGGAGATTGCTGAGAGTTGGGGGAGCCAAGGAAGGCTTCTCAGAGGAAGCATCTTTTAAATATTTTCTTCTTCCACCCAAAGCACCTATCTTGGAATGTCAAATGATTCAACACTACTACTTTTCCATGTGCGTTTGTAAAAGTATATAACAATTTGAGGGATCATGTTCTTATGCTGTAATCTTTCTAAATCCTCTTTCTAAATCCTAATGATGTGTATGAATACCATAGAAGTAGCAATAGCTCACAAAGGCCTGCAAGAAGGTAGTTGTGTTTCCTGCATAGAACCCTGTTCAATTGCTGCCTTTCTCTTAAGATTATCATGTAGCTTTTCACCTTAAGAAATTAATATGCTGTCATCTGACTAAATAATGCTTTTGGCTGAAATACTGGTCCCAAACATCTCTTATTTTGTTGTGTCTAATATTTTACCATCTCTGCTCAGCATAACTTATTCTCCTCATAATTTCACTTTTTCTCTGCTTACACTAACACGTGGTTTTAAAGGAAATATTGATGATTCATGGTGATAATAGTACGTACTTTAATGAGGTTCTGCCATTCATCATGTTGTTACATCCATGTATTATAACACTGAATTGTAGTCACCTGTACTGGTAGTCTTCAGTTTGGTTTCCCCAGAAGCAGACTCTGAGATTTTAAGGATTTGAGGGTAGGTAGTTTATTAGGGAGGTAACTCCAAGTAGGAGAGAGGAAAAGTGAAATAAGGAAGAAAAGCCCATCAATAAATGTATATTATCAAGCCACTTACAACTGTGAGCAAGTATAGCTTAATCCAACTAAGGAACTCTGGTGACCCCTGTAGAATATGTACCTCCCTTTCCCACCTAAAGGCAAGGGATCTGGGCTACTTTTACCCAACTATTGTCAGTAATCTCTTAAGAACTGTTCCTCTTAGACATTAAGTCCTGAGCACTCTCAGTTTCCCAAGTGCTTGAGCAAAGTAAATTCTTGAAGTCAGAGAAAGCTCTTAGGCAAAATAAATAAAATGCAGGTACTAGCAGTCAGGCCTAAGGGCTCTGAGATGGTAAAGGCAGGGGGATGTGGGTGATGTCCTGAAACATCATCTACACTGGCTAATTAAGAGAAAACACAGGATTGCAATCACATTGCGTAGACTGGATATTCTCTTCCTCGCTCCTACAGTCAATCACGCCCCAATTTCTGCTGATGCCATTTCCCTGCTAGCTCTGGGGACTCCCTTTCCTTTGCTGTTTTTGCTGTCTTCTAGCCACATATGTCTGCTTTCTTGCCTGTTAATACCCCAAGAGTTCTTGCCTCTGAGCCTTTGTTCAGGACGGAGCTTGGGTCCCTTTGCTAAAATGTGTTTTTACCTTGTATATTTCTATTGCAGTCCTTCTCCAAGCTCACTTTCTCTAAGATACTTCACACATCTTTCTGCTATAGTTGGTGGCACTTCATTTTAGCTTCATTTTAGCACTTCTCATAATCTGACCTTTTATTAAGTCGGGTTCATAGACATCTCTGTTTCTCACTCAATTGTGAATTTCTGAGGGGCAGGTGCTGGCATGCAATTACTGTGGTACCCACTCCAGTGCTTCACATGTAGTAGATATTTGATAAATGCTTGTTGAATTAAATTGAATAATTTAAATCCAAATTAGGTCAGAAAAGGATGGTGTTTTAAGTGGGGGGGGGGGGGCACCAGATTCAGTTACCTGGATAGGGAAAACATACACTTGAATTTTCTAACAGCTTGCACTCAAGCTGTCATTAAAATTAAAGTCCTTTATTAGATGCTTTCATTGTTGCCGAAATAATACTCCCTGTGCCTTGGAGCAGTAGATGTAACAGCCTCTCTTAGTTATAATTTTGTGACATCAGGCATCAAGCAGTCGGGAAATTGCGAGAGCTGGTAATATAACTTTACATATAGTATATCATTACAAATGAGAAAACAGGGCCTGCGGGCAGGGATGCTCTGTAACATATTTTTCTGAGAAGAAAGAAAACTCAATGGAATAACAGTAAATTCTGTAAAAAACATTTTCTCCTTAAAAAAAGACAGTGCCCATTTAGTTATCCTTTAATAATTTCAATTAACTTCTGCATGGCAGCATGCTAAAAGAAACAAATTGCCTCTCAGTCAGAAAACTGTCTGTCTCTCCCTGTCAGTCTCTCATGAACACACACAAACACACACACACCCACACACACACGCATGCACACAACTCTAAGAGCAATCATTTTAGGAGTCTGGGCTGACTCTGAACACTGCTCCAGGAATTAAGGGCCTAGACTGGGCAAATCACTCTGTTTACTGGAAGTATCCACCATTTCCTCTCCTGTTTCCCACCCATTTCTATGTTTGCACACTTGTAAGCTAATCTAATTTAAACAAGAAAAAAAAAGCCTTTAATGGGATGATAACCAGAAAAAATGTTCCCATTGTGTTTAAATGAATTCAAATGAAGTCATATTTTGAGGGAAGGGGAGAGGGCCAGTCCCCCTGGGGGACTTGGAGTCAAGACAGACAACTGTGGGTAAGCTTTACTGGCAAGCCTCTTTCAATCTATTTCATAGCTTACATACCCCCGCTCCTCTGATGCCCCAGCCCAAACAATGATACACAGTGTGTCAGGAGGCTGTAGTAGCCTAAACCCCAAATTACTGTGACTTAAAGTCAACGTAGTATTATTTTTGCTTCTTATTGTTGTGTTTTTCTGTTTTTATTTTCAATCTCACCTGAGAAGGAGGCAGACCAGGGGTAATCTGGGAGATCCATGATCATTAGGGACCTAGACTCCTTTTATCATCTTTCTCTCTGTATTTGTCTTCCATCTTCAGTGTTGCCTCATGGTCACAGATGACTTGCTGGAGCACCATCAATCACCTCTTTGTTCCAGGAAGAAAAAAGGGGGAGCAAGGAAAAAAGATTAAAAGGACAATGCTTCTTCAGTACATCAGCAGCTTACTTTCTCTTGGCCACCTCTATCAAAAAACAAGAATGGAGAACATATTTTGATGAAAATGCATATTATAAAAAGAAGGGAAGAATGGCTATCAAGTAGACAAAACACACAGACATACACAATATTGCTTCTGTCAGATCCTTATGTGGATTGGGTTGCAAAAGAGTAGTGACAGCATGCTTTAAGTGCCTAAAAAGTCTCTGTAAATTCCCAGTTCTCTTGTTGATAGTGTTTGGTTCACTCAGAGAAAGATAGAGAGAGAGAGAGAGAGAGAGAGAGAGAGAGAATATGAGGGAAGAGGCCTGACATTTTCTTGAGAACTGAAACCTTTCTTTTAAGATGGCTTGCCTTTATCACCATCCGAAATTCTAAGCACTGGATATTTGTACCAGACTCTAAGGTAGGACAGCACAAATCCTTTGTTAACATGACTTGGTCCTTAACTCTTAATATCCCTATTTCTTCCCTGAGGGAGAGTTTGGCTGGGAAGGACGCAAGTATCATTATTTTTCTTCTGCTGGCCAAAGTTGTCTCTTTGTGCATTCTCAGCTTTCAAAAGAAATTGAGCTGAATCCACTTTTAAACTCTAAGGGATTCGTTATCAGAAAAGAAAAAAAAAAAGAGAGAGAGAGATTTGAGTTGGCTTTGAAGGAAGTGGAGACTAGGAGGTCCAAGGTTGAACTCCTTGCTCTTAAAAGCAAAAACTAGAGTGAGTCTTAGGATTGCAGTGGGCTCTGTGCACCAGTATCCATAGCCCTTGGAGAGGAATGCCCACAGTCTTTTGTTGAGATGATCACCTATCTCTTCAGAATCTCCAATCTAGAATTTCCCATTTCACTTTTTAGTAAGAATATAAAGTTGGATACTGGGTATTCAGATTCCTGTTTCTGCTCTCTCTGTACCCTGAGGCCTCCAAATACGTATAAAGAAAGAGGCAATGTGGCAGTATAACAGCTAAGATAGGAGTGGTAACATGCCTGTGGGATCCTCAGAACAGCCACCACTGGGAAATTCAAATGATCATAGGCAATTTCTAAGGAGGTCAAGGTTGCAGGCTTAAGTCTTACATGAATCATTTAGCTCTAGTACATTCACCAGCCATAAGCTATACACATAATGATGATCATTGCTACCAAGAATTTATTTATTTCTCATTTTTGATCTGTCATGTACAATATGATCTAAATGTAATAGACCATTTGATTCAATATTAAATGCCTATTAAAGAGATGGTCAGTTTTTAAGTTTTAATAACTAATTTGAAGCTTCTTCATCAATCTTCTCTCAATTGCCTTTTATATTTTAAATGATCGTTTTTGAAAGGCTTTGTCATTGAATATATTGTAACGTGTGAAAAAAAAAGTGTTTATACTAAATGTGACTTATCCTCAAAGGTCCACAGAAAAGAACATCTGTCATTGTTAAAGATCATGCAGCCTTTTTCCTCTGCCTGGGGAAAAGTTCAAAGTTGACAGTGAGTTCACTTGAAGAGATGTAATATGAAGTCAGAGCGAAGGTAAGTTGACAGGACCAGGACAAGCAAGATAAGGTTTACCAAGGAGTCTTGGCCCCTTTCATCTGTTCCATGATCTCACCTGAAACAAAATCCTTGTTCTGCTTTATCTTCCTATGTATCCAGGAGATTTAAGTAGTAACTGAAGCTGTCTGTAGAGTAAGTACAGTAGACATAACACCACACCTCGTTTTCCTTTTCATGCCGGGGAAGCCATGTTCCCGTGTTGAGACTACCTTTAGTGGGGACTTTCTATTCCTTTCCAGAACACCATTTACAAGGGAAGAGGGAGCAGAATTATTCCTCTTTACAGTGCTTGGAGGAGATTCAGAAGGTGATCTTGTTCGGACTATACCTTCCTTAAGTATTATTTCCCTGAAGAAATGCTGCAGAGTCTATTCTGTGGCATTCTTGGACCACAGGATTGGAAGCACTTGATTGGGAATAAGACAGCACATTTCTAAGATCTCTTTACTATATTTTGGCTTTTTTACTCACTATAAAACATTTACCTAGAGGGCTTTCTATTAAATTTAGTCCAGCCCATTCTCTGACAGGTAAGTCCAGGCATCAAAAAGTGTGTATTTTCTAAATATTGAAGTACCATTCAGCCTGTGAAAAATAAAGCAAATTTGTACTGATGTGGAAAGATGTTCCAGTGCATATTAAGCACCAAGAAATGAATTAGATTTGAAAGCATTCATAATATTATCCTTTTTTAAAAGTGGGAGTTGGTAGATGGATGAGCAGACACATTAGGGCGACTTGCTGCAGCCTCTGGGGATAAGCAGTGTATGCAGAAACTTTGATAGTCAATTTCTTTATTAAGAAGGACTGTGGCCCGGTGCGGTGGCTCACACCTGTAATTCCAGCACTTTGGGAGGCCAAGGCGGGCGGATTGCTTGAGTCCAAGAGTTCAAGAGCAGCCTGGGCAACATGTTGAAACCACATCTCTACTAAAAATATAAAATATTAGCCAGGTGTGATGGTGTGCACCTGTATTCCCAGCTACTCCGGAGGCTAAGGTGGGAGGATCATCAGAGCTTAGGAGGTTGAGGGTGCAGTGAGCCGAGATGTAGCCTCCAGCCTGGGGCAACCAAAGTGAGATCACATCTCAAAAAAAAAAAAAAAAAAAAGACTTTTAGGAAAGAGAACATTCTGATTATTTACTTTTAAGTAGTTTGACTTAAAAACCATATTAACAGGGTTTATTTGAACCCTGGAAGATAGTGGACCATTTTTATTTTCTTCTTTGTACTTTTTGTATTTAAAAAAAAATTCCTCAAACTAGTGGTGGTGTTTTTTTTTTTTTTTTTTTTTTTGAGACAGACTCTTGCTCTGTCCCCCAGGCTGGAGTGCGGTGGTGCGATCTCGGCTTACTGCAATCTCCGCTTCCTGGGTTGAAGCAATTCCCCTGCCTCAGCCCCCTGAGTAGCTAGGATTACAGGCACTCACCACGATGCCCGGCTAATTTTTGTATTTTTAATAGAGACGGGGTTTCACCATGTTGGTCAGGCTGGTCTCGAACTCCTGACCTCAGGTGATCTGCCTGCCTCGGCCTCCCAAAGTTCTGGGATTACAGGCATGAGCCACCACGCCTGGTCCCCGTGTTATTTTTAAAAGGTATCCTTGCTGTAATTTTTCTTTATATTAAGGATTCTATTTTAGACTTTTATATATACTATTCTAATTCATCCATTAAAAATTTAGGCCTATATCGAAACCTGTAAATCTCTTAAATAATTATTCAACCAGAAAAAAAAGTTAAATGCAATTAAACTTTGCCATATGTGTATGATATGCCTAAACTAAATGGTAATAAAACCATCCCTGGTTTTCATTAGTTAGATATGTGTACTCTCAGGGATAAAAGAAAGAAATAAGATCATTTTGCAGCCTTTCTTTGAATCCAGGGCAGCCATCCAAGAGGCCAAAAACGTAACGCCTGGAAAAAATAAATTCCTTTTAATCTTGTGGATTAATCAGGTAGTGCAAATTTTTTTTTTTTTTTTTTTTTTTTTTTTTTTTGAGATGGAGTTTCACTGTTGTTGCCCAGGCTGGAGTGCAATGGCAGGATCTCAGCTCACTGCAACCTCCGCCTCCCAGGTTCATGCGATTCTCCTGCCTCAGCTTCCTGAGTAGCTGAGATTACAGGAAGTAGCCACCATGCCTGGCTAATTTTTGTATTTTTAGTAGAAGCGAGGTTTCACTATGTTAGCCAGGTTGTTCTCGAACTCCTGACCTCAGGTGATCCTCCTGAGTTGGCCTCCCAAAGTGCTGGGATTACAGGTGTGAGCCACTGCACCCGGCCAGGTCCTGCAAATTCTGATGCAAACTTATAAACCACCCACCTTGATTTACATTAGGAATATAACTGTATTTACCTTCCCAACATTACATAAATACTATGATGAGAAATCAAAATTAAAGTGCTCAAAATTGAAAGAAAAAATGTAGTTTTGAAATAGGAAAACCATATAAAAATGAAATTTAGATTGCATTTTCTATTAGAAAAATGTAAATATGTAAATGATTACTTAGGATGCTAAAATATGCTTTTATTCACTTATATGCAAACAAACCTAAACAACATATCTAATATGTAAATAATAAAACCAAAATTATCTTCTTTATTTCAATTGGCAACTTTTTTCTCCTTAAGTGCATATTTTATATAAACACTTCTTATTTGTTTAGAAATAAAAACTGCATGTAAAATTCTTTTATTCATTTTTATAGACTGCAAATATGCCATAGCCTTCTGTGAGCTCGATAAATATCAGGTGATAATTTGGTTCATTTAAAAAAAAAACAAATATTTTACAGCTTTTGTCAGATTTTATTGCTTTAGGCCAAAGGTCAATCCAAGGCCCAGGGCAAAGTATAGGTAGTGTGTTTTTTGAGTAGGTATACATTGGAAGGAGTTGCTGAAAAGGATTATATGTCATATTTCAGAGGTACTTCCATAAAAGGGATGATAACCAAGCTGGCCTGATGAGCCACAATTGAAGTTGTTCCGTTTTATAAAAGAGTACACCATTTCCCACAGTAGGACTCCTCAAATGACCTTCACCAAGGCAGAGGCATATTGTGCTGAGGCTTTTCAGGGATTAATTAAGGGGCTGTGAATAGTGTAGGCTAGACATAATTGTATGTGTTTTGTGTGCTTGTAAAGTTACCTGTTATGCATCCCCTTACCTTGCTCATATAATTAAAAGTAGACTCCAAAGACCAAAATTTAAAGCAGCCCCTGTTCACTAATCGCCCCATGGACTTTTGCAGAGATAGTTCCGTTTTGGGAATGAATTTGTAAGTGGAGTTTAGACCACAAACACTCAAAATAATGCTTTCATCTGCTCCACTGGTTGAAGTTGCCCCCAGCGGTGTTGCTTCTCCTCTGTACATTTCCTCAATTGACTTTCAGGTTACCTCTCTGTGCGAGCTCTGGGGGTGCCAGAGAAAGGCAGAGAAAAAGAGAGACCTAAGTGCTTGAGGCAGAACATCGACAGCTACCAGTACGTGTTCTCAGCTGCAGGTTTACTCAGCTGTTCCAAAGGACAGAGAGGCAGGGCAGCCGCAGGGTCTGCTCTAGACTATTCTTTCCCTTTGAGAAAATGCCCTCTGAAATTTCACGTGGCTATATGCAATATCTATATTTGGTCTAGAGTATTATAAAAACGAACTAGTCCTACATTGTACAAAAAAGCTAATTTAATAATTGAGAGTAATTTTTGTTTAAATATACTATGTTGAATCATGCATCTAGACATTTGAGCTTAAGTTTTGAGACTCAGTATGTACTGCAAGACTGAAGAAATGTATCACATCTGTGCTCCAACGATCCCTGTGTCTGCAGAGTGCTTCGTGGTTTAGGAAGTGCTTTCACAAGCACATTTTTGGATACTTACAAAAGATGTGAGGTTTACAGAGGCGTTATTGAGATTTTTCAGTTGAGAACACTAACACCCAGGATGGAATAGTGGGATAAAAACACAGCTATCAGTGTCAAGAGACATGGATACTGCCCCTGGTTTTACCCATGGCCTTTTCTGGATATATATATTTTTTTCTCTGGGCCTAATTTTCTTCATGTGGAACATGAGAAAATGGACAAAATAGCTATAAAATTTTGAGCATCCTGAAGTGATGACCTTAGACATGAATCAAAGACTCTTGAATCTCATTATTTCCATGATCCCCTCAAGTTCCACGGGACCCTCATTACCACTTGTAAATTCAGTATCTACTATAATGAAGAAATTCGTATATGTAACTGTAAATCAAAACTGGTATAATAAAGCCTTTCAAAAAGCATATAAACAATGTATAAATATGAATACACTCCTATTTTGTTAATATATACATGCATTTATATTATATATAATTATATTTTTTACTTGGTAAACATTTCAAATTAGAATATTCTCTAATTTTGAAATGTTAATAATAATCCATTTATTGATTATTGTTGATGTTGATATCATTGAAAATTTTACAAAATCTTTTTATATTCCCAATAAAGAATCCTATCTTTCTCAACATTATGAACATTTATCTTACAGTTACATAATGTTTAGAATTAATGTATTTATCTCAAAACACTTGAGGGTTTTTTTAATGAAAGATGCATTATATAACTTGCCTCATATCATGTATCATGCATTTGGTATTTAACTTAGCGAACTGTTTGTTATCATGGAATGGCGGCCACTGTTTCTCTTTTTATGCAATCCATTAGAACATTGGATTAGCACTAAATTATTCTGTATTAATTGTGAATATAAGACTGTTAGATTAGTTCTGAATTGTTCTGTGTTACTTGTGGATACACACACATATTTTAATACAGAACATATATTTCTTCTGAATCCATTTCTCTCTCCTACTTGACCGTAGTAAACATACTCTGCACTCCAGTGTCAGTGCCAGGTTATTTTTGTTCTCTAAGATTTTAATTGCATTCATTATTTTGGGCTCAGTACTGGTTAGGAATAGTCTTCAAAGATTAAAGCTGTTTATGTGGATATGAAAAATCATTTGGTGATCTGCCGAAACCCTCCTGTTCATAAGAGGAAGCTTTTCTGTCAAAAGAAAGAATCAGACACATAAAACAGATTTTCTCAATTGATATCACAGCTCTATAGAGTCATTAGGCTAAAGCACCTGCACCTTGAAATGCTTTGATTGCCCAGTGTGCTGTGAGGACCTGGGCTGTCACCTTGAATGCTGATATTCCCTTCCTCTGAGTTAAAGTAACATCCTAGATTTATCACCATATTGGAAATTCATTTACCAAGTTGATTCAGTTTGTTTTCCCCACTCAGTGTTGTCCTAGTCAGCAGATGGGCCCCTTATTTATTAGAATGGTGCGGTCACTGAATTGTATCCACCAAGCTCTGCTACTTTTGCAGTGGAAATGTTAGCAGTTTTATTTACCAATGCAAATATTTACCGAGAAGCTACCAAATAAAAGTTATTTTGGATTTTTTTTAAATGTCTAATTGTTTATGCAATCATCTACTCAAGAAACATTTACTGAGCACCTATTTTTACATGATTCTATCTTGTTTGTGGCAAGGAATACAAAGGTAAATAAGAGGAAACAGCCTGGTCTAATGGAGATGAGGGCACTGGAGTACTAAAGACATGGGTTACAATTTTTCCTTAGTCATTTATTAACCATCTGGCATTATCTTCTACTCTGTCTTCCCTGTACTTGTGTGTGTGTGTGTGTAAAGTGGGAAGAATATATCTTTATCAGGTTATAGTGTGAATTAGAAATTAAACATATATAGTATTCAATAAAAGCATAGTGGCAGAATAAACAGTTCTTCTCAGCATCATGGTAGTATCAATAAGACCCGGACTGTGTCCTCAAAGGAGTGTACATTTTGTTGGTGTAATTTATGAGATGCCTAACATAAAAACTCTCCAACTTATTCATTACATAGACTGATACTTCATTTTATCTCCCCCCACCATGCCCCCCGCCAGCATATTTTCTGGCTCATTTGTCCCTTTAGTTCTCTTCTGTGTCATCCAGAGTCCAGTCAGGAAACAGGAATCTTAGCAGTTATTTCAATTGAAAAAGGTTAACATAGGGAATCGATTATACCGGGGTTGGAAAGCTACAAAGCCAAAAAGAGACCTGTGAGCCAACAGCAATCCTAAGGATGGGGGAACAAATTAAAAGACATTCGCGTTATCAGATTCCAAAAGCTCGAAGAAAAGACCCCCAAAACTTAGGCTGAGACCTCCACCCAGCTGGGGCTGATAACTCACAGGCTGCAGGAGGGTCCCAGTACAGCCATCCTTCTCAAGCTGCTATCTCTAAGGTACAATGAGAATTGCACCGACAGTGCCAAAAACAGTAGAAGATAGAAGATGAGGCTGACTGCTGCTGCTGGAGGGAAGAGCTATGGCCGGGGCTTCTCTGACAGTAATGATGGGTGAAAAAGGAAGGAGTAGGTCTTCTCCTGCCTGCCAGTTTCATACCAGTGTCCTATGGCAGAATCTAACAGGGAGCCAGCTGTGAAGAGGAGGTGTAGCTTCATGGTCCCAGGTGCAGCATCACAGAGCCAGGAATAGAAAGGGATTGGGGCTTACTTACTAACTAGCACAGGTCTGTTTTAGCAGGGTGACTTTATGTCCAGATTTGCAGGATTACAATTTACCCTCAAAGACTGGAGAACTCACTGGCTCCTTTCATTTCGTCTACTATGATATGTTCACTTTTGAAGAGACCCCAATCCACATGAATGTTGAAAGTAAACATTTGTAGTTATATACTCAAATTATCTTTTGAAAAGAATGGATCTGACTTTTCCTACTTACTATGTCACCATTGAAGACTACCTTCTCAAAAGACTTCTGTTGTTACTTTAAAATTCTTAAAAGACAAATCTTCATGTAATTCTGTTGGTATCAACAAGGGAAACACCTAATGTGGGAAATTAACTTGTCATTCTTCTCCAGTTAAAATGGTTAGAAATATGACCATTACCATTAGGAAATTGTATATGAGGTTAAACATTTATTAAATGCAAACACTTTTCCAATAAATTTAAAATAAGAGATATTTCTCGTTTTTTTTCTGGTTTCAACTGAAATAGAAGATGACATAGCCTCTGTAAGAAGATGTAGAAGATGAATTTTGGTATTTACAAGTTTGCATGTTGTTGAATAAAGGTTTATATTAGGTTTCATAATTAATTCTAATATTCAAATATCTGTTTGTAGAGCATTTTAATTAGTTTAACAAATGTTTACTGGGGTCTTATAAGTGCCAGGCACTGAGGAATCAAAGTTAACAAGACCGCCAAGGTCTCAGCATGCAGGGAGCACATATTCTAGTGGAGACAAGTAGAAAAACAGCAATTAAACACAGAAACAATGTAAAAGTGCACAAAGGGAAAAAAACTGAGTTATTTTGGGGAGTGTGTTTGTATAAGTAGCCATGAAAGTCTTCTTGAACAGATGCTATTTAAGATGAGAACTGAAGGCTGAAAAGGAAGGAGGAGGAGGTACCTATGTGAAATACAGAGGAAATAGGAAAGACACCATTCCTTAAGCAGAATACAACTTGGCATTTTCAAGATACCGCCATAGAAGCTACTGGAGCCAATGCACAGGGAGAGGAGAGAGAATGAGTTTGAAGGGATTGGAGGGGCCAGACCGTGAAGGACCTTGTAGGGCCCAGTAAACAGTTGGGATTTTATTCCAACCAAAATGGGAAACCATGGAATGTTTTAAATCTGGGAGTCATGAAAGCTGATTTATAGTTTTAAAAGTCACTCTGTTGACTGCAGAGAATGGATTTTAGAGGTTAGAATAGAAACAGAGAGAGTATGAGGAGAAGAAAGCCAGGATCTAGGGAAGAGATAAAGATGGTGGTTTGAGATACACTTCAGAAGTGAATCTTGAAGGACTAGCGAGTAACTTGGACATGAGCATGGGTAGGAAAATGGGAGTGGGGAAAGGATTTACGAATGCTTCCTATGGATTAGAATAAGCAACTGGGTAGATGTTGATGTCATTATGAATCTGGTAGAAACAAAGAGAGGAATAGATACCTGAAAGAGTGGAAGAAAAGTGAATCTTATTTTAGACACATAGGATGTTTGAGACATCTGTGAAATATTCAAGTGCAAATATTAAATAGACAGTTGAATATCCAAGTTTGGAAATTACAGCAGGAGGCAAGGCCAGTGATAGGAATTAGTAAGTTATTTATTTTTGTTTTCGTTTTTTTAAAAATCATCAACCATGTATCTGGATATGTTCACTTGCAGAGAGAATCTGCATAGTAAAGAGAACATCCAGCATTGTAAAGACTGGAATAGTAGGAGTGACAAATAAATTCAGCAGAGAGGTCAGAAGGAAAGCAGGAGTCAAGTCCTGTGAAAACCAGGAGAGACGATTGGTGCATGAATAAAGGAGCCAAGTGTATCTTGTGGGAGCCAATCGAACTTGCAGAGAAGTCCAAGTAGATCAAGAGACAGAAGTGTCCATTAGATTTGGCCACATGGAGATTTCCATTGACCTTGACATGAACAGTTCCACATTATATGAAGTTTTATGAGCCTATATATATTCAGTTTTTATGAGCCTCAGGTGGTTGATAGGAAGGAATAATAATCACGACAACTTTTGTCAAGTCTGAGGAAGAACTGTCTGCTGACTTATCACATTTTCAATTAGGGGATAATATTTGATGTAAGTGGCTCTGAAAGGTTTTCTGTCTCCTCTCTGATTGGAATCCATAACTTGAAATTGATCCAGTGTGGTAACAAGAATGCTATTCTCCTGTTTGATCTCTTAGGCTTTTTCACTGTAGGGCATTCGCTGAAAATGATGACCAAGAATTGTTTAAGTGCAACCAGGCTGGGAAAGCCAGTAGTAACCACCGTAGGACAGACAAGAGGTACTTCATCTGAATAACCATAAGAATGATAGAGCAATGTTTTTTTCACTCAATGTCAATTTAAATTACTTGAACTAAAAAGTGAAATATAGTTTACTTATTCGAGGATACTCTATAGCAGACAATCTAATGTCTGTGGATGTTATTGAATTACTTCCTTATCGGAGGGCAAGCTGAATTTGTCTGCAGTTATTTTCGTTTATAAGAGTACAGCATTTATTTTTTCTTAACTGTGCTCGACTTTTTGTTTTGATGGCAAAAAGCATTACTTGGAATGCTGAATTTTAAGTATAGAATTGTGCCCTTCATATTCTCACATACATAACTTTGCTTTACCACATAGAGACCTGATATGTATACATAGCTTTAATATATATCTTGTGTATTCAGCTTTACCAAATTTGTGAACTTTTCTTATTTTAAATCTGGTTTTAAAATTTTTGAAGGGGCATTCTAGTGTTGCTTTCTCCCAACAAACCCCAGACTGATGCCTTAAAAATTTGTCTCAAGTTACATATAGACCACACTTTCTCAACATTTTCTCTTAGATATCTCAGATCTAAGATGTCTGGAACAAGCTCACACTCTTTCTTCCATAAGCCCCCTCCTCTTCCATTGTTTCTTATCACAATGTATAGTATCAATGAGGAGGTGAAGCCAAAAATCTCGATTTTATACTCTCCCTTGCTACCATAAGCAATTCATTATCACAGTCTGTCCGTGTTACTCTCGCATCTCCTTCTCTGTATTCATTGACTTGACCCCTGCTGAGCCCAAACTACCATCACTATTCACCTAGACTGTTGCGATATCCTTCTAAATGGTCTCTATGTATTTCTTTCAACCCATTTCCTAGACCGCAGTCAGAATGCCGTTTTCAAAATCCAAATCAAGCATATCATTCCTCCACTTAGTACTCTTCAATGACCGGCCATTGCCTTTGGGATCATGACCAAAATTCTTAACCCAGTCTACCAAGCTTGCATGATCTGGCTCCTGCAGTTCTCTCCTGGCTCACCTTGTAGCACTCTGTCCCCACTCTCTCTCTCCATTACTCTGCTCCAGACATACTGGCCTTCCTTTCTGGACTATGCCAAGCCCCTTCACCCTCAGCGCCTTTGTGCCTGCTGTCCCATCTGCTAAGGATGCTCTTCCTCTCCGTTCTTTCTCACCTAGTTAATGCTTATTTCTACTTTTGACTCCTACTCAAATGACATTTCCTCATGAAGTCTTCCCCAAGCCCCGGGTTCAGCCCTATCCCTTTGTAGCACTGGCTGCTTTCTTTCACAGCACATATAGCTGTAGATTTTTATTCCTGCACTGGGATATGGGCTATGAAGGATATTTTATTAACATTTGTTTCTAATTGTACACTACCAATTCCATGGGGACCTGGATGATGCCTGCTTTACTTGACCTTTGTATTCCCAGTGCGTATTGCCAGTAGCGTAAGAGTGTTCACTAAGCATTTATTGCTGGATGAATGAATGAATGAATGAATGGTGTCGAGAGGACTGCGGAGAAACATAAGGCTGACTCTGCATCTTATTACCAAGACTGGAAAAAACAATTTAAAGTTCATATCCTACTGTGTTAATAGAACTTTCTGTGTATGCAAAGGTCAGTACATTTTAAGATTAAAGTTGATTTTCTATGAACTTACTATATATAGATTGAGGTGTAATTAATAATGTCAGGCTATGGGGCTCTATGGACAAGTAATTATTTTCAGATATGTTCTACAGCATTTATTATTGTTACCATCGATAACTGTAATAGCTAGCATTAGTAGCTTGCAAAACCCACTCATAAACCTGATTTCATTTACTTTAAATGGATTTAGTGTAAAATTCAATTGGAAACAGTGCTTAAGATATAGATTTGAGGTAAATTTAACTTTACTATAAATATACTGAACAAAAGTCTAATTTTTTTCCCTGTGTTTTTAAAGTTTCAATTTTTCTATAATTTCTCAACATGGATTTGTCTTGATAATTTTGCAGCACAGGTCTGGTTTGGGAAGATCATTGCTTTTCTATTTGTAGCTGAAGTCTCTGCCAGAAAAAAGTATTCATCATGTGTGTAACATGGTATGATTGGCAGTTATATAATTGATCAGAGAGAGACTTTTTTTGTCTCATCACTGGATTTCATAAGTTGATGGAACCTTAATGGTTGTGTAGCTGCTACCCATATTTCATTAGTGCATACTACATTATGGACACACAGTAAATATTAACTGTGTTAATTCAAATGTAATTTATAATTTAGGAAGTAAATTGATTTCTGTGTCTTTCTGACAAATCCTTTCATTTCTTTGAAGTATTGTTTATTTTAGTTTGATGTATAAATACAGCCACATAAACAAGAAAAGGTAACTCTGTCACCTTATGTTTTAATAACTTTGAAATAATGAGACATTTATAAGTATGCTGAGATTTTCCTCCAAGTTAATTTTTCATTGTGATTTGTTTTAAATCTTTCTACTAAAAACTATCATATTCAGATTTTGTATGATGCAAGAATGTGATAATATAAATCGGGACAGATTTTTCTGGAGTAAAATTCAACTGTATATATTGAAATATATAACAGTTGTATACAGTGAATATATATTGAAATGTAACAGTTAATTTAACATTATTTATGATATCTTTTAACATTCTTCCTAACATACATTTCCTCTTTTAGAAATTTACCTAAAGTAAATCGTTAGAGAAGGGGCCCTTGTAGAATTATAAAAAAAGTTATGAAATACAATAACTTAATACTATTTTATCCTATAAAGATTTCTTATTTGTATAAATATACTTCTGATGAGATTTTGATTTTGAAGAAATTAAGTCATTTTTCCCTTTGTATCCCAAATCAACTTGATGAAGCCCTTACTTATTAACATTTTAATTTGAGAAATCCCAGCACAATCTTACTATTAAAATAATAAGAGATAGTAATTTTGATTGTCATTGTGACCTTTTTAAACAGGAGCTAAAGCACACCAATTGGATAGTTTATGCAAATTGTAATGTTTTCTTTTAAGAAAGTGCTTAAAATTATGTTTCAAAGGTTTTTATACTCACTTTAATCTTAGCATAGATGATGTTGAGTTCTGCATTAACGAGGAAAGTATCACCTTAATTATGTAATAGGGTAACATAACATCATTAGATAAAGGCAAAAATAGGCATGGCATTGCCGCTAATGTGTTTAAGTTTAAAATAATAATTTAGATGTCTTTGTGTGTTTCCTTAGAAGTTGCTCTGAGGAGATAGTATGCTCTGCTTCTTGGCCAGCTTCTGGGGAGGACTGGCTCTCACATTAAGTATATTAGGTAACAGTACAAAGCACCAGGACACATCTATATAATTGCAGAGACCTTACTTGCTGGGTTGGAATCTCACTTGGGGCCCTGTTTGTTGATATATTTGCAACAAAAAGCCATTAACTTACAGGGTCAAGGGTTAATGGAAGAAATATTCTTGTCTTCCTATTATCTTGCAACGTTTTGCTGGGAGCTGAAGAAAGATAACGCTTTTCTCTCCCAGTTTCTCCTGGCAGTTTTAAAAATGGTGACTTCTTGTTTCTGTGACTAAATAAAAGATTAGATGCCAATATGGAAAGCTTTAGAATTGTACTCAGTCAAGCTGACAGTTCAGACAAGTGTTCCATCACGACCACCTTTGCTGAGGTCACTGGATGGTCCCAGTCACAGAAACTAGGAGGAAGGCACCTAAATAATTTCTTGATTTCTATGACTTCAGTTTTTTTTTTTTCCTGCTCCATTTTAGGTAAGTTAGTCATCTTGCACAAGAAGGCGAGAAAATTTCATAAAACTTTAAAGGAGAGAACAAAAACTACTGCTAAGTCCAAAAGGAATTCTATGTCTAAAAGAGAGAATTTAGCTAATCAGATTGGTGCCCCTCAAATTCCAATTATTTTAGAGTGTATAAAGAGAGTGAAATAAATCCTTGTCCCAAAGAAATTCTTATTCATTAAAACTATGTTGATGATTTTAAATGGAATTATGGATTAAATTAGTTTGCCCAGATTTTATGGGTGAAAATCATTGCCTACCAAAGGTTATTTCTGTCATTTTTAAAAATACATTACATAGACTAACTGTTTCATTATAACGTATCTGATGAGAGTAGGTTGCCCAATGCAATTTAAGAGTCAGTGGAAGGTCTTTTCTTATATGTAAGCGTTCCACTGGGAAATTTTTTCCGGAAATTCCACCAATTAGGGGATTCTCCAGGTTAATTAAAATAAGTCCTTTCAGGTTATAATAAAAATATCGCTGAGTACTTTAGGGAACTTGTGAACTCCTTTCTGTTTGAAGGCCGGAATACCTTTATAATTTCATCCGGAGGTTAGTCGTAGCCATGGGTATAGTTACCACTCCAGAATTGTCTTGAATTGAAAAAATCTCAGCCTATTTAATTGTAGTGCTCTGCCAACAAACACAGGTTGTGCTGGTTTGATTTGACACAGCTTGGATGGTGGGTTTGACTAATTTTCCTAATTAAATCTGCCACAACAGTCAATGCATGTGGACACATATGGTTACAGTCCTCCATTTCACCCATAATTTAGCTTGACAACACACATGTGAGTTTTCTCTTTACTCAATGTTTATACAAAGGGACTTTTTAGCACATAATTTTCTAATTTTCCTGAAATTCTAACTTCAAAATAATACAAGGGAGAAAATGGAATCACAAGTCTGCTTAATTTAAAATGAAGCTGGTGGAAAACTTTTCCCTAATTGGGATATTTGTTTTCTTCCCAAATTAGTTGAGATCATGCTTTATAGCAGGTTAGCCAGCATGGCTGATAGGCTGATAAGCCGTTTCCCCTGCGCCCCTCAGCAGTGACAGCGTGCTTCTCTACAGAAAAGCTACTCTGTGTCTTTGCAAAATGACCCAAGCCTCAGTCCCTTAAGTCCGTGGACCATAATCATTAGACCAATTTGTCCACTTAGCATCTCATGTAGTCAAAGGGCAGATTTTGTATATTCATTTGTGCAGACTTTGTATATTCATACACCTGTTAAAGATTTCAGCGTTAATGTTTTTCCCCAGAGATTTTTTTAAGACCTTCTTCTGTAATCTGTTTATTTTACATATTCTCACACCAGGAGTTTTTTATACAGTAATAGCTACAATGGCAATATATATTGACCTTCTGCTAAGGCATGTTTCTAAAATATCTCTCATCAGAAAAACCAAGCATATTTGGAGTTTCCAGGGAGAGTTTTATGTATGCTCACCAGTAACCTAGTCAACTGTGCAGACTGCTGCTATATGGTGGTTACTGTTTTGGCTTCATCTGTGGTGCTAGGGTGACTGAACTTGATGATCTCTAATAGCCATTCCAACTGGACACCTCTACTGTTCTATGAAAAAGGAAAGTGAAAGGCAAAAGCAGAAATGCAGGCAATTGATTAACACCGAGCATCACTGTACTTTCCTTTCACGGCTTCCAGTCCTATTTTTCTGATTGTTTTCGTTTTGACTTTCCAAAAGATGAAATTGTAGAAACCTCTCTCTTAAGTTTCATCCAGAAAAGGTACAGGGGGTCAATATCAGTGACTTTGAGGACTTCAACATAATTAATTCTAGAAACATCAGGAACATAGCAGAATTTAATTATATATGTCTTTATCAAATTACAGAACTTGAGTGTGGCTGGCAAGGGCATCTCGGCCCATCATCAAATGTGATGTCGCATGTGCTGAACTGAGTGGTGTGCCTGCAGAAGAAGCCTGAGACAGCATGCCTGAGTTTCTTTTTAATGCATGATCATATGAGCACCTGCTCTACTGTGCAAACTGTTTCTAACCATAGAAGGCAGGAATCTAGTTCACTAGTGGGAGAATTCTGAGGTAAAAATTGGAGTGAAGAAACTTGGATATGGTTTTCACATGCTTCTGAACATCTTTACATTAATTGAGTTTTTCTTTTATGGCTAAACGCTTTTATTAAAGGAAGACTTAAAGATCTAGAATGACTTGTCATTGTTAAATTTTCCCTTCTGCTATATAGTTTCAGAAGGAAGTTCAGAAGCATTAAAACTGTCCCTCTTCTTAGCACACACTGTTGATACATGTGCTTACACATTCAGTCACACATACGCAATTATTTCTTTTAATTTAGACATATCTAGTGTACATGCTGAGTGTGCCTATAAGTGTTAATTATAACAATATTTTTGAAATAAAAATATATAATATGCATACCTTCTATGAAGTAAATAATGATGAGGCAAAATAATAATTGTTCCATCTGATATCTTCGTAAATTTGTATTACAAATGATTATCTCTCGTGTGTCTCTGTCTTTGGATCTCATTTCTTTGTATTTCTCTTAACAAGCACACACATACACACATACACACACACACACACACACACACACATCCTTGGTGATTTCAAAAGAAATAATTGGTTTTACAGTTTGTATCTGCAAAAGATTTTTTTTTCAGTTAGAATATCTCATTTTTAATGATAGTATTAGAGATATGCCTACCATTGGCATTCTACTATGATTCAATTTTTTATTAGTCATCTTTCACCCGTTGCTTAACGTCAATGGCTCTTTCATTCTTAGACCCTGAGTTGAAATGAATTTTTACATATACTCAATATGGTTTGGGGCCCACCAGTTCCCACTACAGTGGTGCTCCCCATCACTCACATACAATTTTATTTAAGACAAAACAGCAGCTCCAGCAGAAAATAAGTGTAATCTTCTCCTTTGTAAGTTGTAATTGAGGTTATGGCACAGCATATTGCCTGTGGCAGAATCTATTACCAAGAAGTGGAGACCATGATTTGAAGCTGGCTGCAGTGTAAGCAAAATGAATTAATTATCAGCAGTACAGAATTGAAGGGAAATACAGGGTTTCCTAAAGTGAAATATATTGGCATTTTTAAATAGAGAACACTCACTGCAAGGAACTTATTGATGAATCACCAAGTCTTTTCTACTTTTCTTGCCTTTCAGAATTTGTATATACTCAGGTTAAGATGACTATGTGTAAATTAAATCACACTTTGCTCAGAATGCATAGAAATATTTTATAGTATATTTTGTTCTTTTTCTTAGTTGTTGAAATGGAGTCTCACTCTGTTGCCCAGGCTGGAGTTCAATGGTGCAATCTCGGCTCACTGCAACCTCTGCCTCCTGGGTTCAAGTGATTCTCCAGCCTCAGCCTCCCGAGTAGCTGGGATTACAGGTGTGCACCACCACACCTGGCTAATTTTTATATTTTTAGTAGAGACGGGGTTTCACTACATTGACCAGGCTGGTCTGGAACCCCTGACCTCAGGCGATTCACCCACCTTGGCCTCCCAAAGTGCTGGGATTACAGGCGTGAGCCACGGCACCTGGCCTGTTCTTTATTAATTTAAAGTTTGCCTATTTTTAACATATAACTGTTACTGTCACTTGGACAGGTAAATGGGCAAATAATGAATGGACTAAATTAGCTTCAGTATTATTCTTTAATAGAAAAATAACTCTCTCCTTATCAAGTGTGGCTCAAAGAAGGCAAAATGGAACGTTTTTTGAGAGTTTATAAACATTTATAATTTTACGTCATAAGTTGTGAACTTTAGTGACCATAACTTTTGTTGGTAATTATTTAGCAAAATTGAGTATCTTCATAGCAGCAAGATAATTAGCTTATTTGTATTTCTTTATGTGTGGTTTTCCATTTAATTTAAATTTCATTCAGTTGACTAACAATGATTTTTCACTTTTAAATATCACCATTCAAAAACCAAATACAATTACATTTTGCCAAATTTATTTTTAATTTTTTTTTCTAGGAATAGGTCGTTATTTGGCTGTTTTTATTTTTCTGTTTTTAGATAATTGTTTCATATAATTGTAATGAAACTGTTTGCTTTTAAGCTTCATTTAGATTCTTTTGTGAAAGGATGCTCTGTCTCTACTGGGTATTTTCTAGCAGTTGTGCACATTGACTTTTCTTTAAGTTGTAGAGGATCTGAGCAGATGGTTTTCTCAGCATCTAGACAAATAGCATACATGGTTCAAGGTCACTCCATGCAACCTGCCTATGATAAATTGGGAATCCAGAATTTGTCTCATTTACAAATGTCCAACAACATAGGTCCATGGAAAACAGTGAAGTGCCAAAGAAAAAGATCAGCCTCCTGGGAAGGAGGAGACCCATGGAAAATCCCCCTAGTTTCAGAGGCTTTCATGTGAGAGGGCTGTACTGACCTGTGGTGGGGTCTTCTGATAGTGCTTCTCCCTTCTACCTGCCGTTCAGATGCTCTGAACTGATGACCTCCATGGAAACTACAATTACCAGGAAAGCCTCCTGTTGCCGTGGTCACTAGTGACTGTGCCCATGCTAATCTTTCCCAATTTCCTTTCCAGTTGTTTTCTAGGGATTTCTGTCTTTGATAGAATGTAAGAGAAGAGATGAAGAGGTGTCCAGGTGTGTGTGTGTGTGTGCTTTTGTGTGTGTGTGTGTGAGAGAGAGAGAGAGAGAGACAGAGAGAGAGAAATGTTGATGATGGGTAGTGAGGTAAATTCTGGTGCCTCAACAATGAGTTTCTACACAGAAAACCACAGTTATTAAGTTGATGTCTGTGGAGCTCTATGAAGTCTTTATGTGAGCTTCAGTGGGTCCGTGGATCCTCTAATATTTTGTGTGCATGCATATATGCCTTTTTAGGGGAGAGAGTTCATTGCTTCTACCAGATTCTCAAAGGGAAATATGAAATTTCTCCCAAGAAAATCCTACCTCCTGTGGTATAATGGTTGCCCAAAATGTTGGTTGCTGGATGCTTTCTACTTCCTTAAGGAAAAGTTAAGACGTTTTGTACCTACTTTCAGGCAGTCCTGGCATGTATGGGCCATGGATTGAACATTAGAATTCAGTTTAATTGATCTTACATTTAGAGAAATTTTTCCCTAGCCTCTGGCAATGATTTGGCTGTTATCCTTTTTACTTATTTTCTTTTTTACCTCTATTTTTCCCCAGTTTTGTATTTAGGACCAGGAGAAGACAGTTCTATGAGTAACCAGCTAGACACCATATTAAAAGTAGTCTGTTCATATTAAATATTGATCACATGAATGATTGTAATAATCATACATGCTTAAAGCTGTATGTGCATTAACCAAACCTGTGTAAAAATTTAGCGAAGCTCTGAAAGGTTAAAGAATTTGCCAAAAAAGACACAGCTGGGGAGTAACAGAGCCAGGGTTCAAATCTAGGTCTCTGATTTTAAACTCCATGTTCTCAACACTATGCTATTATGCCAGCCATAGTGGGTGAACAAAGCCCACCAGTTTTCACACTCTATCCATACGTCTAACAAGACTCATCTTCCGAACATTTTTTTTTCCTCTCCTGGCTTTTAAGAGCAATGGCTTAGCTAGAAAAAAGTGAACCCTAGCAAGTGTTTGCTACCCAGTTCACAAAGGTAAGAATTTCAGGTTGTCTGTTAGGTTTAGGTTTTCATAGATAGTCAGATCCTGACCACTTTCTCTTGTGTGACCTCAGACACATAATCTGGCATCTCTTTGCTTCTGTTCCTTTGTGTCTAAAGTGGGGTCATTGTGAAGATTCGATGAGTTTATACAGATAAAGCATTAAAAATAGTGCCTGGTACATAGTAAGCACTCACTAAAAGATAGCTGTCATTATTAGTTATAACTTAGTTGGAAGGTCTTATTTCCTGAGGGCATCTGGTACGTCTTTGGATAAATGTGGCCATGAAAATGACAGTGACTCGAAGAGGGCCGAATAGGATCAGCTCAGATCTGGAGCTCCCAGTGAGACCAATGTAGAAGGCAGGTGATTTCTGCATTTCCAACTGAGGTACCCGGTTGATCTCACTGGGACTGGTTAGACAGTGGGTGCAGCCCATGGAGGGCGACCAGAAGCAGGGTGGGGCGTTGCCTCACTGAAGAAGCACAAGGGGTTGGGGAACTCTCTCCTCTAGCCAAGGGAAGTCTTGAGGGACGGTGCTATCCAGCCCAGATACTATGCTTTTCCCATAGTCTTCACAACCCACAGACCAGGAGATTACCTCAGGTGCCTATACCACCAGGGCCCTGGGTTTCAAGCCCTAAACTGGGCGGCTGTTTGGGCACACATCAAGCTAGCTGCAGGAATTTTCTTTTTGTACCCCACTGGCACCTGGAATGCCAGTGAGACTGAACCATTCACTCCCCTGGAAAGGGGGCTGAAGCCAGGGAGCCAAGTGGTCTTGCTCAGTGGATCCCACCCCCACGGAGACCAGCAAGCTAATATCCACTGGCTTGAAATTCTTGCTGCCAGCACAATAGTCTGAAGTTGACCTGGGATGCTCGAGCTTGGTGGGGGAGGGGCATCCATCATTACTGAGGCTTGAGTAGGCGGTTTTCCCCTTCACACTGTAAACAAAGCTGCTGGGAAGTTCGAACTGGGCAGGGCCCACCGCAGCACTGCATAGCTGCTGTAGCCAGACTGCCTCTCTAGATTTCTCCTCTCTGGGCAGGGCATCTCTGAAATAAAGGCAGCAGCCCCAGCCAGGGGCTTATAGATAAAACTCTCATCTCCCTGGGACAGAGCACCTGGGAGAAGGAGTGGCTGTAGGCACAGCTTTAGCAGACTTAAACGTTCCTTCCTGCCTGCTCTGAAGAGAGTAGCAGATCTCCCAGCACAGTGCTGGAGCTCTGCCAAGGGACAGACTGCCTCCTCAAGTGTGTCCCTGTCCCCTGTGCCTCCCAACGGGGAGACACCTCCCAGCAGGGGTTGACAGACACCTCACACAGGAGAGCTCTGGCTGGCGTCTAGCAGGTGCCCCTCTGGGACAAAGCTTCCAGAGGAAGGAGCAGGCAGCAATCTTTACTGTTCTGCAGCCTCTGCTGGTAATATCCAGGCAAAGAAGGCCTGGAGTCTAACCCAAAAAACTCCAGAAGACCTACAGAAGAGGGGCCTGACTGTTAGAAGGAAACTAACAAACAGAAAGCAATATCATCAACATCAACAAAAAGGATGACCATGCAAAAACTCCATCCAAAGGTCACCAACAGCAAAGGCCAAAGGTAGATAAACCCACGAAGATGAGGAAAAACGAGTGCCAAAAGGTGAAAATTCCAAAAACCACAATGCCTCTTCTCCTCCAAAGGATCAGAACTCCTTGCCAATAAGGGAACAAAGCTGGATGGAAAATGAATTTGACAAATTGACAGAAGTAGGCTTCAGAAGGTGAGTAATAACAAATTCCTCTGAGCTAAAGGAGCATGTCCTAACCCAATGGAAGGAAGCTAAGAACCTTGATAAAAGGTTAGAGGAACGGCTAAGTAGAATAACCAGTGTAGAGAAGAACATAAATGACCTGATGGAGATGAAAAACACAGCACAAGAACTTTGTGAAGCATACACAAGTATCAATAGCTGAATCAATAAAGCAGAAGAAAGGATATCAGAGATTGAAGATCAACTTAATGAAATAAAGTGTGAAGACAAGATTAGAGAAAAAAACAATGAGAAAAAATGAACAAATCCTCTAAGAAATATGGAACTATCTGAAAAGACCAAACCTACGATTGATTGGTGTACCTGAAAGTGATGGGGAGAATGGAACCAAGTTGGAAAACACACTTCAGGATATTATCCAGGAGAACTTCCCCAACCGAGCAAGACAGGCCAACATTCAAATTCAGGAAATACAGAGAACATTGCAAAGATACTCCTCAAGAAGAGTAACATAATTGTCAGATTCACCAAGGTTGAAATGAAGGAAAAAATGTTAAGGGCAGCCAGAGAGAAAGGTCGGGTTACCCACAAAGGGAAGCCCATCAGACTAACAGTGGATCTCTCAGCAGAAACTCTACAATACAGAAGAGAGTGGGGGTTGATATTCAAAATTTTTAAAGAAAATAATTTTCAACCCAGAATTTTATATCCAGCCAAACTAAGCTTCATAAGTGAAGAAGAAATAAAATCCTTTACAGACAAGCACATGCTGAGGGATTTTGTCACCACCAGACCTGCCTTACAAGAGCTCCTGAAGGAAGCACTAAATATGGAAAGGAAAAACCAGTACCAGCCACTGCAAAAACAACCCAAAATGTAAAGACTATTGACACTATGAAGAAACTGCATAAACTAATGGGCAAAATAACCAGCTAGCATGATAATGACAGGATCAAATTCACACATAACAATATTAATCTTAAATGTAAACAGGCTAAATGCCCCAATTAAAAGATATAAACTAGCAAATTGGATAAAGAGTCAAGACCCATCATTGTGCTATATTCAGGAGACCCATCTCATGTGCAAAGACACACATAGGCTCAAAATAAAGGGATGGAGCAAGATTTACCAAGAAAATGGAAAGAAAAAAAAAAAAGCAGGGGTTGTAATCCCAGTTTCTGATAAAAGAGACTTTAAACCAGCAAAGATCAAAAAAGACAAAGAAGGGCATTACATAATGGTAAAGGGATCAATGCAACAAGAAGAGCTAACTATCCTAAATATATATGCACCCAATACAGGAGCACCCAGATTCATAAAGCAAGTTCTTAGAGACCTACAAAGAGACTTAGACTCCTACACAATAATAGTGGGAGACTTTAACACCCCACTGTCAATATTAGATCAACGAGACAGAAAATTAACAAGGATATTCAGGACTTGAACTCAGCTCTGGACCAAGTGGACCTAATAGACATCTACAGAATTCTCCACCCCAAATCAACAGAATATACATTCTTCTCAGTACCACATAGCACTTATTCTAAAATCAACCGCATAATTGGAAGTAAAACACTCCTCAGCAAAGGCAAAAGAACAGAAATTATAACAAACAGTTTCTCAGACCACAGTGCAATCAAATTAGAATTCAGGATTAAGAAACTCACTCAAAACCACACAATTACATGGAAACTGAACAATCTGCTTCTGAATGACTACTGGGTAAATAACGAAATTAAGGCAGAAATAAATAAGTTCTTTGAAACCAATGAGAACAAAGATACAGCATACCAGAATCTCTGGGACACAGCTAAAACAGTGTTTAGAGGGAAATTTATAGCACTAAATGCCCACAAGAGAAAGCAGGAAACACCTAAAATTGACACCCTAACATCACAATTAAAAGAACTAGAGAAGCAAGAGCAAACAAATTCAAAAGCTAGCAGAAGACAAGAAATAACCAAGATCAGAGCAGAAATGAAGGAGAAAGAGACACAAAAAAACTCTTCAAAAAAATCAATGAATCCAGGAGCTCATTTTTTTGAAAAGATTAACAAAATAGACTGCTAGCCAGACTAAAAAAGAAGAAAAGAGAGAAGAATCAAATAGACACAATGAAAAACAATAAAGGGGATATCACCAGTGATCCCACAGAAATACGAACTACCATTAGAGAATAGTATAAACACCTCTATGCAAATAAACTAGAAAATCTAGAAGAAATGGATAAATTCCTGGACACATACACTGCCCCCGCAAGATTAAACCAGGAAGAATTTGAATCCCTGAATAGACCAATATGAAGTTCTGAAATTGAGGCAATAATTAATAGCCTACCAACCAAAAAAAGGCCCAGGACCAGACAGATTCACAGCTGAATTCTACCAGAGGTACAAAGAGGAGCCGGTACCATTCCTTCTGAAACTATTCCAAACAATAGAAAAAGAAAGTCTCCTCCCTAAGTCATTGTATAAGGCCAGCATCATCCTGATACCAAAACCTGGCAGAGACACAACAACGACAAAATAATTTCAGGCCAATATCCCTGATGAACTTTGATGCGAAAATCCTCAATAAAATACTGGCAAACCAAATCCAACAGCATATCAAAAAACTTATCCACCATGATCAAGTCGGCTTCATCCCTGGGATGCAAGGCTGGTTCAACATATGAAAATCAATAAACGTAATCCATCACATAAACAGAACCATTGACAAAAACCACATGATTATCTCAATAGATACAGGAAAAGCCTTTGATAAAATTCAACACCCCTTCATGCTAAAAACTCTCAATAAACTAGATATTGATGGAATGTATCTCAAAATAATAAGAGCTATTTATGAAAAACCCACAGCCAATATCATACTGAATGAACAAAAGCTGGAAGCATTCCCTTCGAAAACTGGCACAAGACAAGGATGCCCTCTCTCACCACTCCTATTCAACATAGTATTGGAAGTTCTGGCCAGGGCAGTGAGACAAGAGAAAGAAATGAAGGGTATTCAAATAGGAAGAGAGGAAGTCAAATTATCTCTGTTTGCAGATGACATGATTGTATATTTAGAAAACCCCATCGTCAGCCCAAAAACTCCTTAAGCTGATAAGGAACTTCAGCAAAGTCTCAGGATACAAAATCAACATGAAAAAATCACAGGCATTCCTATACACCAATAGTAGACAAACAGAGAGCCAATTCACGAGCAAACTCCCATTCACAATTGCTACGAAGAGAATAAAATACCTAGAAATACAACTTACAAGGGATGTGAAGGACCTCTTCAAGGAGAACTACAAACCACTGCTCAAGGAAATAAGAGAGGACACAAACAAATGGAAAAACATTTCATGCTCATGGATAGGAAGAATCAATATCATGAAAATGGCCATACTGCCCAAAGTAATTTATAGATTCAATGCTATTCCCATGAAGCTACCATTGGCTTTCTTCACAGAATTAGAAAAACTACTTTAAATTTCATATGGAAACAAAAAAGAGCCCATATAGCCAAGTCAATCCTAAGCAAAAAGAACGAAGCTGGTGGCATCACATTACCTGACTTCAAAGTATACTACAAGGCTACCGTAACCAAAACAGCATGGTACTGGTACCAAAACAGATATATAGACCAATGAAACAGAACATAGGCCTCAGAAATAACACCACACATCTACAACCACCTGATCTTTCACAAACCTCACAAAAACAAGCAATGGGGAAAGGATTCCCTATTTAATAAATGGTGTTGGGAAAACTGGCTAGCTGTATGCAGAAAACTGAAACTGGACCCCTTCCTTACACCTTTTACAAAATCAACTCAAGATGGATTAAAGATTTAAATGTAAACCATAAAAAGCCCTAGAGGAAAACCTAGGCAATATCATTCAGGACATAGGCATGGGCAAAGACTTCATGACTAAAGCACCAAAAGCAATGGCAACAAAAGCCAAAATTGACAAATGGGATCTAATTGAACTAAAGAGCTTCTGCACAGCAAAAGAAACTATTATCAGAGTGACCAGGCAACCTACAGAATAGGAGAAAAGTTTTGCAATCCATCCATCTGACAAAGGGCTAATATCCAGAGTCTACAAGGAACTTAAACAAATTTACAAGAAAAAAAACAACCCCATCAAAAAGTGGGCAAAGGATATGAATGGACACTTCTCAAAAGAAGACATTTGTGTGGCCAACGAGCATATGAAAAAAAGCTCATCATCACTGGTCATTAGAGAAATGCAAATCAAAACCACAATGAGATACCATCTTGCGCCAGTTAGAATGGCGATCATTAAAAAGTCAGGAAACAACAGATGCTGGAGAGGACGTGGAGACATAGGAACGCTTTACACTGTTCGTGGGAGTGTAAGTTACTTCAACCATTGTGGAAGACAGTGTGGTGATTCCTCAAGGATCTAGAACCAGAAATACCATTTGACCCAGCCATCCCATTACTGGGTATATACCCAAAGGATTGTAAATCATTCTACTATAAAGACACATGCACACATATGTTTATTGCAGCACTATTCACAATTGCAAAGGCTTGGAACCCACCCAAATGTTCATCAATGTTGGACTGGATAAAGAAAATGTGGTACATATACACCATGGAATACTATGCAGCCATAAAAAAGAATGAGTTCATGTGGGGACATGGGTGAAGCTGGAACCCATCATTCTCAGCAAACTAACACAGGAAGAGAAAACCAAACACCACATGTTCTCACTCATGAGTGGGAATTGAACAATGGTAACATATGGGCACAGTGAGGGGAACATCACACACCAGGGCCTGTTGGGAGGTAGGGGGCAAGGGGAGGAATAGCATTAGGAGAAATACCTAATGTAGGTGACGGGATGCTAGGTGCAGCAAACCACCATGGGACATGTATACCTATGTAACAAACCTGCACGTTCTGCACATGTATCCCAGAACTTAAAGTATAATAATAAATAAATAAATATAAAATTACAGTGATTCACTAATAATCATATTCTGTGTCTGAAATTCCTTTTCCCCTCCTTTATCTTTCTGCACCCCTACAGAGATAGGAAAAACCAAAGTGTTTTTTCTCCGCTCAAACATCACTCAACACAACACTTCTCACACCAGATGTATGGGGGTTTCTCTCCACACACCAAGTGATCAGTTCTCTAGCAGACACCAAGTGGGTGTAATTCACTTCATTTCTGATGCTGGCTACCTGGAGGAAGAGTCAACCCCACAGATTAAAAGCTCAGTCCCACAAGACTGCCTCCCACTTCAAATGCCAGTAGCAAGCCCCAGGTTATGACCTGTACTTCTGATGTGCTGGCTATGGATCTAGGTTTCCAAAACCTCCTTCTCAGGTTTTATGAATTTGCTGGAGTGGCTCACAGAACACAGGGACATGCTTTGCTTACATTTACCCGTTTATTGCAAAGGATATTTTAATTTTAATTTTTGTTTTTTTTTACAGAGTTGATATGATTTACTAACAAGTATTAATTGTCGATCTTGAGACTTCTGAAATATTTTCATTGGCTTTATATTTTAATATGAAAATTAATAATTTCTTTTTTTTAAATTTTATTTTATTTTAAGTTCCAGGATACATGTACAGGGTGTGCAGGTTTGTTTCATAGGTAAATGTGGGCCATGGTGTTTAACTGCACCTATCAACCCATCACCTAGGTATTAAGCCTTACATGCATTATCTGTTTATCCTGATGCTCTCCCCCTTCCTCTGCCCCCCTCCCACCCCTTCAGGCCCCAGTGTATGTTGTTTCCCTCCCTGTGTCTATGTGTTCTCATTGTTCAGCTCCCCACTTATAAGTGAGAACATACAGTGTTTGGTTTTCTGTTTCCTGCATTAGTTTGCTGAGGATAATGGCTTCTAGATTCATCCATGTCCCTGCAAAGGGCATGATCTCATTCCTTTTTATGGCTGCATAGTATTCCATGGTGTATATGTACCACATTTTCTTTACAAGGATATTTTAAAGGATACAAATAAGGAGCCAGATGGAGGAGGTGCTCAGGGCAAGGCATGTGGGAAGGGGTGTGGAGTTTCCATGCCCTCCCTGAGTGTGCCACTCTCCATATACCTCCATACATTCATCAATCTGGAAGCTCATTCAAGCCCAGTCCTTTGGGGTTTGTATAGAAGTTTCATTATGTAGGTATGATTGATTACATTATTGGCCATTGGTGATCCACTTAACCTTCAGCCTTCCTCCCCTCCCTCGATGTTGTAGGTTGGGGCTGAAGGTGCCAACCCTCTGATCATGTCTTGACTTTTCTGGTGACCAGCCCCCATTCTGAAGCTGTCTAGGGGTTTCATATCCACTGACAAGCTATCTCATTAACCAGCAACCAGCTATCTCATTAACATACAAAATACACTCTTATCACTCCAGAATTCCAAGGCTTTTAGGAGCTGTGTGCCAGGAAACTGGAAGAAAACCAAATAGGTATTTCTTAGTATACATCACAATATCATATCCCTGCAGCCACAGCAACTTTGTAGATAATCTTTAAACATCAGAATGGAGAAAGTGGAAGATGAGCCCGGACAGAGTGCATTCCAAATCAGTGCTGTTTCGTGTCTCTCTTTTTCACCGTATAATCTGAAGTTTAGTCTCAAGATTCTGCCATCTCACCACTACCCATTTCTAAATGGAAATTTTTCAGCTGGTCACAGCCAGGAGCCACATATGAAGAGGAATAAGAGACAGAAGACTTCTAACTTTTCATTGCTTGGCAACAGTAAATGCTTACAGTTTTTTTAAAAAATAAAATTGATGTTATAACTTTATGGAAATCAGTTGTAAAAGGGAGTTAGCAGATATTTTATCTTTGTGATAAGACATTCTACTGGTCTGTGGATATGTGAATAGTAGATCGTTTTTTGGAAGACACTAAAAAAATTAAAGTTTTGTAATAAGAGATGTAAATTAAAGTCATCAGTAGAGAGAAATGGGTGCCCTAAAATATGGAATATTTGGAGTTATAATGCCTTCTAAAGGAGGATATATTATTATAACCATCATTTATTCAATAAAAACTATAGGTACTTACCATGTTCCAGGTACATGGCTAATTTCTGGGGCAACAAAAATGACAAAGTTATTGTCATCCTTGCCCTTGAAGTGCTGGTTAAAGGTGACAGATAATCAAAGAAATAATTGCAGAGCGTGGCACTGAGTATGATGATAAAAGTTAAAAAAAAGAGTGCTGAGAGACCACAGAAGAGGAAGCTATCAGCTCTTAAGATGCTTGGAAAAATAACAGATGAAAGGACATGCATTGAACATTTATTGAATGAATGAATGAATGAATGAATGAATGAGTGAATGGTGTCACCAAAGCTTATGTCATCACAGTGTTAAACACTATATCCTGAAACAATGACCTGGAATTTTGCAAACAAAAGAGAAGATTCAATGTAGTAGTCAACTCCATTGCAGAACACTGGGGCCTCAAGGTGAGAGAGGAAGCTTTATGACTCCTACAGTCCCCTAAAAATTGAGTAACATATTTTAATCTGTTACCCAATAACATACTTTAAATAATGTAAGCTGCATGCTGTTATTTCCTAGAAAGATGTGGTTTCCTGGAGATAAGTTGTGTCTAGGTGAAGCTTCTGCATGATAGCTTATTTCAACTATGTAACAAAGTATATATTTTAAAGACAGCCAGTAGTGAATCTTTCGGAAAGAAAAAAGTTATCTTAAAAGTAGATGCATTTTGATTTAGGATTTTGCATGTCTGCTTTCATAAATAGGTTTTCATATCTGGTTTCCTGCATTACCAAATGACATTGAAGTTTTTATAGATTTAATATTTATCATAACATACAACTACATCTATTCCCTGGAATTATGTGTGGGTGTGTGTGTGTGTGCACGCACATGTGCATATTTATCTGCCAACATCTGAATTCCCTCTATAGCATTGCAAATGTAAAATTAGTATGTCATTCTTAGAGGTGCTGTTTAGTATTACAATCTGTAGCTAAATACTAGGCTAATTATTCTGTGAATAAGTCTCTTTCTCTGGTATAATGTAGCACTCAAGCACAAGCGATCAATAAATGTTATTATGTTATATATTTTAATGTTATTCTACAAGTTAGTAAATAAAATATCTAACATAGTAACATTTTTTGTTTTTTATTTTTATTTTTAAAATATCTAACATAATAACATTGCCAACTCTTTTCACACATGAGTTCATGTAACCCTTATGATTTGCCATCTACAACCATATTTTAAAGTGCCAAATATAAAGTTGGTCATTGTTTCTAAAAAGTCAGTGTTCTCACGTTCTATTTGACTCTTCGTGTCTAATAGTGATATTTAAAGTAGGTCATTTAGCTGCTGATTTTACTCCTGAATAACTCCGGTCCCCTTAACACTATCAGATGTTCCTTTCCATCACGTGTTTTTCTGCTTCCAGTTGAAGAACCCACATTAAAAGGAGTTGAGTGGAAAATGGAATGAGCAATACGCCCTCAGTTTACTATTCCTTCCAGATATTTTTAAATGAAGGTACGGAAAGATAAGATGGTAGGTTTGTTGCGGGGCAGAGGGAGGATGGAAGGAGAGTTTATCAAAAGCGAAAAAATAAACAGATGAGGGATATAAGAATCATTCCCACAGCCTCCATCTCCCTTTATGTTCTCTGATTTCCAAACATCTGTATTTCTATTTTTAACTTTATAATAGCAAAAATGTTGTTTAAGAAGTAAATAATTCCTAACATTTTAAGGATAAATTAGTGTAGTATACCCAGTATAAGGCAAGGGCCCAGATCCATGAAGGTATCAGCATTAAAGAAGACAAATTACAGAAGACCTTCAAAAGCCTTTAGAAGCTTATGTACTCCTTAACAGTTTACAAATTGCCTTATCTCCATTTTTCATCTGTATAAATTGATCACATTTCCTCAATTTCTAACATAGAGCAGAACCACTTTCATATTTTTTATTTATATGTGTGTGTTATACTCATACATATAAACTGTATTTTTAAGGACACATTTAAGTGTTCCCTTTTTTCACCTGACACTAATGTTAAGAATGGAAAATTATGATACAATTCAGCAAGGAGAGGAATTGCGGTGCATGTTATTATTGACTACATTCAGGTATAGTTGGACAAATTGGGTAATGGAACCAAATTGGATTATATGAGATTCTGGCCTTAAAACTATCATTCTATTATGTCTTCTGATGAAACACAATTGAATTTGAGTTGTGTAAACTGAAAAAAAAATAAATAATTGCAAAATGTAAAGTGAAAGATACAAGAGTAGCTACATAGAATCGAAATAAAACTACTCACGTAAATAAAATATTTCTTACACACTTAAAGCACATATATTAACATTATATAAGAACACATCTAAATGAATGCTTATCACTGAGCAATATGATTTTCAAAATGTTATTCGAAGACAACTTGGCTGTTCATAAATCTTTTAATTTTAAGCTGCCGATTTACAGTTTTTCCTTTCATCCTCTTGTTTTGAAGGCTTGATGTGGGAGTGCTAATTAATGTTAGAATTCTTATCCAATGTACTTGTTGCTAAGCAGATAGAACTATCAGAGCATTTTATTTTGAAACTGCACTCTTTTTTGACTGATATAGCATTTGAAATCGTGCTTGAAGAAACATTTCATGGCAGGGAGCCAGTTTTCTCATTAAGAACATATTGCCCATGACCAATTCACTGGTTTATTTATTTCCACAATGCCTGTTGCCCCTGTGGCTCATACATGCGTCGTGTTGAAAACCACATGTAAAAGACATGAACACTAAGTTGTCTTATCAGTATGAGAATACACAATTTAT
The DNA here is from genome assembly GCF_000001405.40 of Homo sapiens. Taxonomy (NCBI): domain Eukaryota; kingdom Metazoa; phylum Chordata; class Mammalia; order Primates; family Hominidae; genus Homo; species Homo sapiens. The sequence continues at coordinate 14,817,459 of NC_000020.11, forward strand.
AAAATCATAAAACATGGAAGTTAATGAAAAGTTTATTTAGAACTGTATATTTTGCCTTCCAGGCAGAAGTTCTTACTGACTCCTTGGGCTGTCTTAGCTGATTGCACGTTGACTTCTGTATTCTTCATATACGTTTTTTGTCTCAATTTGAGTTTCTTCAGAAGCAGTTCCTGTGTCAGAGGTCCTGTTTGTTTGGTTTATTTTATAAGTTCATAAAATACTGATAGGGATCTGAGAAATGAGAAAGGGGACAGCAACTGAGAGAAGCCTTGGAAATGGTTTAAAACCATGTCTCAGAGTTAAGGGACAACGGAGGTAGGATATTTATGCACCAACTCTTCAGTCACTGGCTGAGTGTCACAAGGTTTGAAGAAGATGTGATGTCCCTGACACTTACCAGCCTGCCATGCAAAAGGACAGAGTAGTCTTTGAAGTTTCAGAGAAAGCACTGAGCCAATGAGAGGCGATGACCTGTACTAGCAGTTGGATGCCAGTTGGGGCACACTGAAGCAGTAACAGCTAAGTGCTCTAGGTGGGCCACCAAAAACATCTGCCATATCTTCTGTGGGCTTACATCCACCCAAAGTGTTATTTTTATTCTATCCTGATCTATGGAAGATGGAAGGATCATTTCGTAGTTGTGTATTCATTTTTTTCATTAGTTTGTACACATTTATGGATATCCCCTGCTGGGGCCACTGTTCTAGGCATGGAGGCAGACACCAGGGAAGAATATGACACACCACCATCATTGAGGTCCGCACAGTCAGGGTAATGGGCAGAGGCAGTGAAGAGCCACGGAAAATCCTTGAGGTGCAAATGAAGTTGAATCATTTACTCCATCTATGGGAATCATTTACTTCGTCTACTATGAGTAGTACAAAATCCTACTACCTTCTGGAGTGGCTTTGGCTCTTTGTCTGGCATTGAGTTTCTTTCTCTGTCTTAGCCCGCTGGTCTCTGAGTACCCCCCTGAAGATGCATTCATATAGAAAAGGGAGGAGTCAGTAATATCTTGTTTTTCTATTCGGGGTATTTTAGTAACTGCATCCTGTGGCTGAAACATTCAGATGATTTCAAGATTTTGACACATGAAGATTCCAGGTTCACCTATGAAAGAAAATAGGGAGTCTGCCTGCCAAAATTCTAGTTTTATCTAAAGGATGCCAACTAGCATATAGCATGCATGCAGAAGATGGCCAGTATTACATTTTTTGAAGGAGTCCATTACAAAAACTATAATATTTAGGGATATGTACTTATTAATCTAGAATGAGAGCTACAGCTATGGTAATATGAATGGAAGCATAATAATTTTTCCAAATAGTATTACTGTTTAGAGATTGTTTTTGTTTCTCTTCCTTAGGTTTTTTTTTTTTTTTTTTTTTTTTTTGAGAGAGGAGATAGAGGTGGCTGCTGTGATGGCAATGATAGCTATGGTTACTGTCTTATTGAATGCCTATTATTATATTAACAAAACCGAAGTTCAGAGAGGTTAATTAACTTGTCTAAAATCACAAGCTTGGCTGGGCATGGTGGCTCATGCCTGCAATCCCAGCACTTTGGGAGGCCGAGGTGGGTGGATCACTTGAGGTCAGGAGTTCGAAACCAGCCTGGCCAACATGATGAAACCCCATTTCTACTAAAAATACAGAAAAATTGCTGGGTGTGGTGGCAGGCATCTGTAATCCCAGCTACTTGGGAAGCTGAAGCAGTAGAATCACTTGAACCAGGGAGGCAGAGGTTGTAGTGAGCCAAGATCACACAACTGCACCCCAGCCTGGGTGACAGAGCAAGACTCTGCCTCAAAAACAACAAAAAACAAAAACAAACAAAAAACCCCCAAAAAATCACAAACTAGTCAGTCAGTATTTTGACCTGAGTATCTTGAATTCTCAGGTGTGGCTGCAAGACGTATTGATAAGAAAAAAAAAAAAAAAAGGTACAACATAAGAGAATTCAAGTTTCATTCACTTTTCCAGCAAATATTCTGTAGAAAATCCACTATGGCCCAGCCACTTAGCTAGGCAATGTGAGTACCACCTTCTAAGACAGAGAAACAAAACCTTCCCCTCATACAGCTTACCATCCGGTAGGGAGGTTAGCTAAGCTATTAAACAGATCAGTACATACCGGGGGATGAGTGTTGTGATGGGAAATTCAGTTGATAAGAGAGCCCGAAGCCAGAAGACCTCATTGATTTTAGGGATCAGAAAAGGCTTTCTGCAGGAAGTAAATTTTAAGCTGAAAGTTAAAAGAGGATGACTAAGCTAAAGTGGGAGTCAGGGGAGCGGAAAGGAGAGAAGTGTTCTAGGCACTGGGAAGGCCCAGAGGCCTTATTCTAGCATTGAAAGGACAATGTGGCTGGGACATTGAGTTCAGGAGGGAGAGTGGAGACAGAAGAAGCCGAGGAGATGGAAGCCCTGTGAAAGATGCAGCAGATATCATGATGTTGTTCCCAACCTAAAAGCCCTGGGAAGCCCATGAAGGAGATTCCTCTGGCTCTGGTGTGTGGGCAGATTGAAGAGGAATATACCAAATGAAAGGAAGCATCCTAAGTAATTCTGATGATCATCCCGGAGTGCTGCTGGTGAAGGTGGACAGAGTAGATTTCTTTGAGAGATACTGAGGACTTAGGAAGAGAAGACTTGGGAGAGTTTGCACTGAAGAAGGGAGAAAGCAATAGCATTGTCTGTGCTTTTGATTTGAAGGAAAGGGTAAATGTTAGTGAAATAGCTTCTGAAGGCCTTTAAGAAGACTGCCTACATAGAAAGCCTACTTCTATCTGCCGGCCAAAGATCTGGAGGAACCTCATCCTTTCATTCTAAAAGGAGTCGTGGATGTAGATTTAACCGTTCTGGTATCTGAAGGTGGTGGGATTAGGAATAATTTTTCTTCCTTTTTTTTTTTTTTTTTTTGTTTTCTCTGCTTTAGTTTTATAATTAAAAAGGAATTTTCTTATAAAAATACAGCTACTGTGATATCTTCTGCTGAACATGTGGCTCAACTTACTCACAAGGTCAGGAAAGTTGGGCCCAAGGCATAACTGCTTAAACTCAAGAAAAGAGAAAAGACAATTTCATCACCAGTGTAATTAAGTGAGCTTCCCTACAATATCTTAACTTAGCTTCTCATCTAAGTAATATGAATCCAGGTATAGTGGGTTTTGGTGTTTATTTTAATCTTGTATTGTCATTAGCCAGTTAGTTACATTAGTTACCCTTGGGTGTATTGTGGAAATAGATTTCCGTTACATTCTTTTTTTCCCCCCTTTTTAAGGATTTAGAGTATTATGCCTGAGTGAATTGATTCATAGGGATTTTACTTACTCATTCGTTGTGCGCTGCTGTGTTTTTGTTCTCCATCTGGTTAAGCTGCCGTGACTCTCTGTATAGCATTTGCACAGTGTTCACATGATGCTTGGGTACTTAGGTGTCAGTTTTTCATTATGCCCGGATGATGTGCGTTGCGTGGAAAGCCTCCGGAACCGTAAACTCTCATTTCCCAATCATGAATAGTTAGGAAACCAGAGTTCGGCATTTTCATTAACATAGGGTCTTACATGCCAGTTCAGCTTACTACCTGCTAAGCCTCCTAGTCTGTTGGAAAATGTGCATTGGCAGTTTTCCAGTCTTGCTAAGACTCATAAATAGATGCCTTTCATATGAAATGTATTTGCTTTGGCATATTGACACTGGAATACATTATTCTTTTAGCAGTTGAACAAATTAAAATAAAAATGATGACTTCTTTTTTTCAGTATACTAAAATGAGCATAATTGGGTTAATATCTTAATCTGGCAGTCAGGAATTAGCTTGTATACCCACAACCACATAATTTCACTAAGGGAAGTTTACATGTTTCCTTTTCCTTGTTCTGTTGATGACCTTCCTACGTGTCAATAACTAGCAGAGAGTTTGGTCAGATAAAGGGGTTGGAATAACCTGGAGAGCTTACCAAAAAAAATCCTTATCTCTGAGTACCATCTCTGTAAAATCCTGGTTTAATTGGTCTTGGGTTCAGCCTGAGCACCTGGATTTTTTTCAAAGTTCCCAGATGATTTCAATGTGCAGTCAAGGCTGAGAACACTCGCTCTCATCATGTGTACCAGAGACAATACTTTCGTAAGCAAACAGCCTCACCTAATTGTTTCTTTCTCTTTTGTTTTCCCTAAGTCTAGTCCACATCTTTGGGCATGGTCCTTGAGTAGGAGAATAAGAGAGCTATTGAATGGTCCAAGAAGATTCAGATGGCTTCATTTTACACTCCAGTTGATCATATAGAAGTTTAGGGAGAACACTCAAGACCACTGGGAGCTACTATGTAGGTGAATAGATTTGTCCAAGACCCACTCTGGCACTTCCAAGCTGGCCCTGGTGTACTCATGAGTAAAGCCTGCCAGTGTATACTTACATTTCCAAAGACTTCCGTTTAGTAAGGGCTGCCTGATCTTATAGGTGCCTCAGACTGGTCCTTCTACAAGTATAGTTGTTTTATTTCATACTTCTAAATGGATGTTTGATATTGTTTAGGATTCAAATGTTTATTCAGAAATCCATAAAGTAGGTATTTGACATCTCATAGTTTTGAACAAAATGGTAAGAACAAGATATATCAAAATATATCTTGAAGGCATGAGTACCATAGACCTTTTAGAAGTGCATTTTCTAGCATCTTGTACAAAACAAGACCCTTATTTCTGTAAAACTTGATGGACCTTAGCTGGGAATGTGATATCACTTATCCTTCAATGATTTTTTAAAAGAATTATACCTGCATTTAAAGCCTTGGCAAAATATGGTAACATTCTAGCTACTGAAAACCCATAAGATATTGTTCCACATAAGATGGATAACTTTCCACTGAAGATGGATAAGTTTTAGGGTATCTGAACCTTTTAAACCTTGTGGGTATCATTTGTATAATATTCTACTTAATAGTAAACTCTGCCATTCACAGTGTCCCCTTTCTCATTTTTCTAGCTACAGTTTTCGGCAAGCCATTTGGTGTGCTTGCAATGCTATCATGAGCTATGGCTTGGCGTTACAAGGTCTGGAGAGTGAAAGTGTTTTCTGAGTTTCTATTTTCAATAGTTATTAGGAAAACAATTGAACTTTGGCTATTTCCTGGTAGGTTTAACTTTCATTTAAGTGAGGCATCTGAATATTTTTGTTGAAAATATAATCTTTCACCATGAAACTATCTGAGTTTGAGATTTCAGTTATAAAACACGCTCTTTTCAGTCATTGAAAAAATAACCTCCTGCAATTTTCCTCTGAAAAATAAAAATGTGCTTTGATAGAGTTTTCGATAATTATTATCATACATCTGTGCATGTACCCACACCATTGTGTTCATCTCCCATCCATGTCATTAGTGAAGATATGGATTAATTCCACATTGGATTTCATTGTATAGAATCTGGGTATTTATATCTAAAAAAAAGTGCTGTCATTTGATTACATTTAGGCAAATTTTCTCAGTTTATAATCTAGAATGTGTGTTTCGGTCTTCTTCTTTAACTGGATGTTCTCAAAGTATACTTAAATGGCATGGCCAAACCATTGAAGAAATACAACAGTGATGACTAGTTTCTCTGTGTCTTTCCCTGTTCAGCAGTTATAGAGGCATGATTCTATGATTATTTTTGTGTAATCTTTGAATATGCAAAACAAATTATAACAAAAAGCTGTGGACTCTTATGGGATTCTAGGTCGTGTATATTTAATTTTCAGCAGCAAACTTCTCCCTATTTGTAACTTGTTGATCTTCTTCAGAAATATTTTCTTTTCCATTTAAAAATTTTAAACTGAGACTACAATCAAACCTTTTTCTTTTCTTCATGTATAGCAATGCTTAAGTTATTTGTATTTCTTATAATTAATTTTATCTGCAAATAACAGAAATCCTGAAATAATAGTGGCTTAAACAAAGTAGAAGTTAATTTTTTATCCTCATGTTAAAACAAAAAGTGCAGACATAAGGAGTCTGGAGCTGGCAGAGTGGCTCAGCTGTCATCAGGGACCTGGGTTTCTGTATCCTTAGCACACTCAAGGTTGCCTCATGGTTCAAGACTGCTGCTAGATTACCAGCCATCGCATTAAGAAGGAAGCTAGAAAAGCGAAGTGGGAAACCAAGAGAGTTGTCCTCTTCTTTACAAAGAGTCTTTCTGTGGATCCCATACATCACTTCTGCTTAGGTCTTGTTGGTCAGAGCTAATTCACATGACCATACCTTGCTGACGGGAAGGCTTGGGATGCTAGAACTGTAGTTGGGTGTAATACCATCCCAAATCCCAAATATATTTGGTGGCTTTTTTTGTTTGTTTGTTTGTTTGTTTGTTGTTTTTTCGCTAAGAAGAGGAAATAGACTTTGGGATAGGAAATAGCAGTCTTTGCTACCTCACTGTTTTCAGATTATGATATTGTAAGATATGCTCAAAATACTCCAAGTACAAATACTTACATTGCTTGTTGACAGAGTAAAATAAATTATATAAGTAAAGCTAGTTAGGAACTTGCCATATTGGCAGTTCATTTTGAGGATATTTCTAAAAATCATGGACTGCAGGAGGAGAAATACCAAAGCCAAACACATAAAAATTTCCCACAACTATATGAAAATTCCAAAATTTATCTATATGGTAATCATATGTCTGGTGACTTTATTTATTCAGAATATCTCTAAGAAAGAGAGAGGGTTGTATATTTGACCAATTGTTTTTGTCAATTCAGAGCTGTTGAACAATTATAAAATTCCAAAGTTCTCAGAAAATACTTGGCTAGTCATGGTATTGCATACTGTAGCTTCTTTAAACACTCTGCAGAATTCTTGGGAGTTGGTCATCAGTAGCAGACGGTAAGAAAGGTTATGAAGTCTCCTGGTTGTCTGTTGCTAAAAAATCATCCCAAAATATAGTGGCCTGAAACAGCAACAATTATTGATTTGCTCATAATTCTACAGTTTGGACAAGATTCAGTGGGGATGGCTTATCTCTGCCCCATGTGCCATCAGATGGGATAGCTCACCTGGAGGGGCTGAAGGATCCACTTCCATGGTGGTTTAATATACACAGCTATGAAGTCAGTGCTGGCTGTCTACTGGGAGGTCTCAATTCTCCTCACGTGACCTCTCCACATGACTAGGCTGAGCTTTTCACAGAATGGCAGCTGATTTCAAAGAGGGATCATCTTGGAGAATAAGCATTCCAAGAGTACAAGTCCCAGTGTGCAAGTACTTATCCAGTTTTTTGTTAATGTCTCATTAGCCAAATCTAGTCCCATGGCAATTGGGAGGGGCTACCCATGGATATATAAATACCAGGAGGTGTGGTTCTTTGGAGGCCATGAAAGAAACTTTCTGCCACATTTAAGTTCTCAGGCAGAAAAAATAGTGTTTATTGAGGTACTACCATGTGCCGGTCACTGTCCTTAAACACAGAGCTGCCCTGCATAAAAGGTCTTATTCGTCCCATTTTCCATTTAAGATAAATGAGGTTCAAAATGTTTTAAATGACCTGCAGGAGGTTACAAAGGTCCTGTGGTGAGGCTCCATGTTTCAATCTACCTCTGAAAAACTCCTAAGTCTTTGCACTTTGCAGGGCCTCCAGCTGCCTTTTTAACCACATGGTCCATTGTCACTGCTGCAGGCACGTCTGCCCTGTGTGCTTTCACTCTAAGCACAATAAAAGACTTACCACCCGATAAGTCTGTTTTTTGAATTGAGAACAAGAGAAAGAGATTCCTGAACATTCTAATTAACCAAGTACCGCTCCTGTGCCACAGAGATGCCTAGCAGTGAGAGCCGTAAAAGGAAAGTGCTTGGCAGTGAAGCAAGACAAGAAACCTGGTCCTTTGTGCTCTGCCCCATTGCAAGCTTTCTCCTAGCAAACCTGACCAGTGACAACAGTGTCCAAAGTCTTTTCTAGAAAGGTCTCCATATTGGTACCTTTTTCCTGAAGTAAGGGCTTATAACAAGGGCATTAAAATATGCTAATTTCTAATGCTTTCTATTAGGCGTATCCACATATCAAAGCTTTTACTGGAACACCTTTGTCAAAAAAAAATATAGGTCATGCACATGGCCATGAAATTCCATTCTTTATATTTTAAGCAGCATCAAGATTGTTCTTTTCCTTCGCTGTTTGGCAGATTAGAATTCCTCTTTAAAGTGGGAGAAGTTAGTTACTTATCAAACCATTTGATTAATTAGCTAGACCTGTCAGGCCAAACAGGACTAGCCAAGTCTTTTAAATCTCTTAATATGAGCCAATTTTCACAATAACTTGTTTTATTCATGGCCTTCACATTTTAAATTCTTGCTCATTAGTGACCTGGTATTTGGGCTTGTCTGAAAGGAGAGCATCCGTTGTGTTAAACAGGGCTCATTATGGATTATAGGTTTTCGAATGGGGATGCCTATGCACAAAAGATCGCCCTCCCATTTTCCTCTGAATAGTTAATTGGACCTTCACCTTGTTTTTACAAGCAAAGGCTAAGCTTCAATAAGGAGATAGGCTTTTATAATGCCACAGTTTGGGTTGTACTGAAGAGCTGGTGACCTATCATTATCAATACAGATGTGGAACTAAAGTACAGCATGTGTTTGGTTTTGCTAGAGACAATAAAAGTAATGGCTGTTTTTAAAACCAGTAAAACACTGAACTTGATAGAAGGAGAAATTCATTGAATATATCACTCTGCAATAGTTCAATTCCTTGAGTAATAAAATACAACCACCAAACACTCAGAAATAAACACTAGTTAAAAAAAAAAAATGAAACACAAGCCTGAACCCACAATACCCATGCATTGACTCCCAAGAAAACAGATTTTTACATTCCCTAATAAATACATGTATTACTATATCCCCAAGGTTTTAGCATCCTCATTGTATATCAGGCTAATGTCTCTAATACAAATTCTTTTTGAATTTTTCTTAGTTAAAATAATCTTCTGTTTTGGTGTGTATTTTCAATTTGTTTTAAGATTCTGTTTCTGTTGCTTGCAGTAATTCTTTTTATTTTCTTTTCCTACAGAATTTACTGTTTATTTCCAAATTACTCCAGACCCTAATAGTCTATTTTGCTTTTGGCAGAATTCGTGTATCTATTGAGTTGCATTCTGTTTTGTTGAATTTCACTCAATGCGTGTCTCTCCAAAGGCTTCGTTCAGGGACAAAACATTCAACTGCTTCTTTAGGGCCTTTGGGTTGTGTTTGTAACATGTATCCACAATCAGCTGTCATAATAAGCCGAGCATCCTGATTAATTCACTGTACCCTCCAGTCGAAGTATTCACGGATGTAACTAGTTGAAATGCGGATACACAAGTTCCTACTGGTCTTAAAAGAAATGATTTTTCTGGTAGTTTTATAATTTTAGCAATTCAGATTTCGTACATTTGAGGTTAGAAAATTCAGCAGACAGCCTAAATGCGGCATCATGCTAATGGAGTCCTGGAAGCTGCTGGTGTTAAAATGAGTAAATTAAGGAGTCAACACTGCTTATTTAGGCACATTAGGATAAAATAGTATGAGAGCTCGGACTTAACAAAAATCAATTCAGCACGCAGAGTGCACATCCATCAGGGCTTTGTTATGATGTCAGGGCGAGCAGCAACCCTGTTTTATTTTATGAAGAATGCTACATTAGCATCATCGCGTCCTTGGATGGCTGTGACATTTGCTGTTATGGAACTACTTTGCGGCAGCCACAGGGCCCCCAGGGACTACTCCAACTACATTAAAAAATTAGGTTGGCATCAAATGACTTATTGAACTCTGTATTGATATCCTTGGGATTTGGTTGTCAATCTACACAGTAGTTAGTCTCCTTTCACAGCGACCGCATTAAGTAGGAAGTTGTAACAGTTATTGACGATTTGAGCAAATTATTTTCCTCTATCCAGCCCCTACATACAACAACAATAGTAATAAACACAGCTTGAGTGAAAAGTATATTCCACATATGGCATGGATGCTTTGTTTACATGGTACGTGGTTTTATTTCACAATAACTCCTAGGTAGATATTATGTCCTTTCTGAGATTTAAGCATTACTTTAGTCACTTAATCAAAAATCATAAACTGAAGCTCATGCCATTGACCCCAGTTATATAAAAGAAGTTTGAAATTTTCTTTTGATCTAGGTTTTGCACCCTGATAGACTTCACAGATAATGTAACTAATTAGTAACTGTGTTTTATTTTTGTGTACCCATATTCTCCTTGCCAGAAAAAAAAAAAAAGTTGTTGGAACATACTCTTTGCTGTGTTTCCTCTTGGAAACTATTAGCCTTCATTATTCAGAGTATTGGAGGTTAGATATTTAATTTTACAAGCCTAATTATTGACTAACATTTTAATAAACATTTGACATTTATTAATAAGAATTCAAAATATATAACCATTTAATTTTTTACATACTATCTAATATCTAATAGTCTCATATGAAGTAGAAAAAATTACATTCATGAAACACTACACTCTATTCATATTATGATCACACCATCTTTTGTTTTCCTTCTTTTAAAATTTTTATTTTTTGATTATGAAATTAATGTGCATTCATTGGTAAAGTTCGGGAAGGCATAATAAAGAAAATAAAGATGATATATACCAATTAAAGGTAAGCCCTGCTAATAGTTGATATTCTTTCAGAATTTTTTATATTCATTTTCTTCTGTATATGTATACAATTTTCCTATGTTTGCTTTATATATATTGTTTTGCAACTAGTTCATGCATTCTAAGTATATAGCAGAATTTGTTTCATTAATTACTTGCTATTGGAAGTTGGTTCTGAGCTATTTTGAGGATGAAAAACGTTTCTTTGACCATTCCTGTATATACAACTTCTATGAAAGAGGCAAAAGGTTATGCATGCTAAATATTCAGATGTGTTACCAAAATACCATCCAGAATAACACCTATGTAAGAAGTTCCCTGATTCTCACTTCACTTTTAGGGTTAACTGGGACAGTATGGACATTCTTTTCTTAATTCAGTCATTCAAAGCCATTTGAGTGCTTACTATGCATTAGGCACTCTGCAAGACCCAAGAGACAGCAGTGGTAGGAGACAGATAATCCTGCTGCTTACCTGGAATGTACCATGCAATGGGTGGAGACTAATCTGAAATAAATAATTGTACAAATGCCTTTCTAATGGAACTTGTGCTGTGAAGGAATGTTACGTCATTGAACCTGATCTAGGATGGAGAGTCAGGAAAAGCTTCCCTGAAGAGGTGACATTTGACACTTGAAAGGGGCAGGTGTAATGAGTTTAATATATACTGTGTTACATCATGCTAATAACTATTAACCATTGCATTTTTACTGAGGAATGCTATGTATGTTTTGGCACATCTTAAGTCAGATAATTTTATTCTGTTTTATTGTTGGACCAAAAAAATGGACAAGTTCTCTTTTCCACTTCTCTTCCCCTTTTTGCCCACAACTACAATTAACATGTGATGGTCCAGAACTATTTTTTCCTTCTTTTTTTTTTTTTTCTATTTAATGTTACAAAGGTAAACGTGTGCCATGGTAGTTTGCTGTGCCTATCAAGCTATCACCTAGGTGTTAAGCCCAGCGTGCATTAGCTGCTTTTCCTGATGCTCTCCCTCCCACCGCTCCCTGCTCCCCCGCCCCACAGTGTGTTGCAGAACTATTTTTTTTTTTTTTTTTTTGAGACAGAGTCTCACTCTGTCGCCCAGGCTGGAGTACAGTGGCACAACCTCCCCTCACTGCAATCTTCGCCTCCCGGGTTCATGCCATTCTCCTGCCTCAGCCTCCCAAGTAGCTGGGACTACAGGTGCCTGCCACCACGCCCGGCTAATTTTTTTGTATTTTTAGCAGAGACGGGGTTTCACCATTTTAGCCAGGATGGTCTCAATCTCCTGACCTCGTGATCCACCCGCCTCGGCCTCCCAAAGTGCTGGGAGAACTATTTTTTAAAGGAAAATATGGTCTCCAATTCAGAAGAGTTGCACATCTCCAGGATAGGGTTTCATCTTCCAGGCAGTGTATTCAGGCAGCTCAACACTACTCATTTTTTCACCTGAGCCAGCTGAAGTTCTAGCGGCAGTTGTCTAATGATGATTTTTAAGAGTCATAAGCAAAAATGAGGGGACATTGGAGCAGTACCATATTTAGAATGCGAATATTAGTGCCTCCATAGTCTGACCTTTTCTCTCTGGACATATTTTATCCATCACTGTGTCCACACATGCCAAAATGACTAGTAAGGAAATGAAAATATGTGGCCTTTGAATGCAATTTGTGACCAACATTATTTTTTGATTAACAGAATATATTTTTGTTTCATTGAATCAATTATTTTATTTAGTATCAGCATTAATTGTCTACAGACAAAATATCTTTGGTTCTTTGTTAAACATTTCAAAATGTGCTTTTTATTGTATAAAACTCTACAACTATTATTTCCCTAGAAGTTCAATGCATACATTGATAATTTATTATGATAAATTGATGCAGAATATTGCATGATGTAATATGAGTTTCATGTTGAATTAAGCCATCACCCCTAAATATGAATCTCAAAGAGCTGTGGCTATTTGGTTTCTTTATCCAAAGAAAAAATGATTCATAACCATTGTTGATGCAAATATTACTACTTAAGATGCAATGGGTTTCTAGTTTCCTCTTTGCTGTGTAAAATGTATGCTTGGTTGACCAGAATTCAGTGAAACCTCTCATTAGGGCACTACGGTTCATTAAGGTTTAAAGAGGCATCACTGAAATTTGAATTGGCCATGCTGTGATTGCCAAGTCTCTCTGAGTGGTAATTGGGCTGTGTTATGTTGTGTGCTTTACTGCTGCAATGGTTTTTAGAGTTGTTAAAAAATAATAATAATAGTGATTAAGCTCTGTGCTATGTAAAACTGGCAAGTTTCTTAGTGATGGCATCTTTTTGTTTATAAATTGAGATTTAAAAAATCATATTCTTACAAAAAACATTCAAACACCAAATTTGAATATCATACTGAGTTTGTTTTTTACTTATTGGAAAGAGTATGTTAACATAATTTTGTTTCTATTTCATTTTCTCAAACTGGAAGAAATATCTGGATGTGCACATAGCACTAGAAAAATCAATAAGTAATCTAGATATTGATTTACTGAATACCCAACATGCAGATTGAGAGAAACCATATTCAAAATGTGACAATTCAGTTAAAAGTGAACTGAAACAAGGGTGCGGTTACTAATAGGCAGGGAATTACTAGGCAGATGCATATCAGAGCCAGATCCCCAAGGGAAGGGCTTATTTCACCTACGTGATAGCACAGTTTGTACTCAGGCACTTGAGAAACAATAATTTACCATAATTGAACCAGCCACAAATATTTATTTTGTTAAATCAGACCCACAATACCAGCCTGTCTGTGCTTTGCTGGCTAGAAAATGTCCTCATGAGTCTTAAATTTATCCTTAAAATATATTTAAAAAAATAATCTTAACTGGCTTTACCTGTACCTAGTTCAAATCGTTTTCTCTTTATGCACGGTGAAATCTCAATGTTGGTTACTGTTTCTGCACATTTCCCTCGGGATGGTGGTTTGTGAGCATACCTACCTGTGCTGCTGTGTTGCGAGCCTCACTTTGCTCACCTGGGTTTCCCCAAGTGTTGTGTTTCACCACTGGGAGGAACTGGCCACTGCTGTCACCTCACCACCTACCATAAGGCCTAATATATGACATATGTCTAATATATATTTGTTGAATAAGTTAATTACTCTGGATTCCTACCTGTGGCGCAGTGGCTGACACACATATATCTGCACTGCCTTTTGTGAGTGACTGAATGAACGTATGCATTTGCCATTTGGGAATATTTTCAGTTTTATCGACGTGACTGTTTAGAGGCATAATCACAGACTTATAGGAAAAAAACGTTTAGGAAATAATTCTTTGCAGATATCCTTTTGGAATATCCATGTAAGATTTGCCTTTTGACAGTTACTCCCCAATCCTCCTGCCTACCTTATCCCTCCCATTAAAAAAAGAGCAACAACAGCCGGGTGCTGTGGCTCAGACCTGTAATCCCAGCACTTTGGGAGGCCGAGGAGGGTGGATCACCTGAGGTCGGGAGTTTGAGACCAGCCTGGCCAACATGGCGAAACCCCATCTTTACTAAAAAATACAAACAATAGCCAGGTGTGGTGGCGGGCGCTTGTAATCCCGGCTACTCAGGAGGCTGAGGCAGGAGAATCGCTTGAACCGGGAAGGCGGAGGTTGCAGTGAGCTGAGATCGCGCCACTGCACTCCAGCCTGGGTGACAAGAGTGAAACTCCGTCTCAAAAAAAAAAAAAAAAAAAAAAAAAAAGCAACAACACAAGATATCTGGCACACGTTGTCCTGCCGAGTTGTTGTGAGTTTGTCATCGTTTTCGTTTGTTGTTGCTGTTGTGTAAGCTTCACGTTTGGTGATTGTTATGTTCTTGGGGATGCATTCTGACTATATTGGGTCCCCTTGAGACCAGTGTTGCAACCAAAAGAAGCAGAGAAGATGTAGTCCCTACCCTCCCGCACCTCGACTTCATGCCTTTGCGAGTTTTTTTTTTTTTTTTTTTTTTTTTTGAGAGGGAGTCTCGCTCTGTGGCCCAGGCTGGAGTGCAGTGGCACGATCTCGGCTCACTGCAAGCTCTGCCTCCCGGGTTCACGCCATTCTCCTGCCTCAGCCTCCCGAGTAGCTGGGACTGCAGGTGCCCGCCACCATGGCCGGCTAATTTTTTGTATTTTTTTAGTTGAAACGGGGTTTCACTGTATTAGCCTCGAGTTCTTTAACTACTTGATCTTCACTGAATTGATCAGGCTGAGAAAGAAACAGAACAGTGTCAGAAGCCAACCAGTCAGGTGAAAATATTGTGTTTTGCAAGTAAGGGGGGTTGAAGAATGAGAGGGATGGGAAGGAGGGAGGTACAGAGGAGGGGAGAAGAGCAGGTGCGCTAAGGTATGGAATGGCAGTTTGAGGAAGGCTGGGTCCACATCTTCTGTTCTGATGCAACCCCCTCACTGCTGCTTCCTAGAGGGACCTTCAGAAAGAGCCACATTTGTTTTCAAGGCTTTCTGGAGTTAGACTTCTACCTCTTTGGGGTGCCCCACTGGTCTCAAGGGAATCCAACACAGTCAGGATGCATCCCCAAGAGATTGTAAATACATACAATTTAATTGTTATAATTATCTTTTTCCTGTTTGCATCTCAGTTAAACATTGTAAAAAATGTTGAGATGCTACTTCTCTTAATTTCAGTTCCCTCACAGAGCAGAGCCTGAGTCAAGATCTTGAGTGCAAGCAGTTTACTTGACTTGTTTATTTGACTTAGCCTGGGAAGTAGAAGTGAGGTAGAGAGTGAGCTAAGAACAGGGGAAAACCCAGTGAAGGATGTGCTGTTTAGGGGGTTACCACTGTGGGCAACTGAGTTTTGGTCCTGCTGGGAACCCTCTGAAGAACCATGTAGTAAATGTAACCTCAAACCTGCCTATCTAAGTAGCACTGTTCAATAGAACTTTCTGTAATGATGGAAACATTGTGTGTCCACACTGTCTTCTGCCATAGCCACATGTAGCTGTTTAGCATCTGAAATGTGACTAGTGTGACTGAGGAATTACATTTTTAGCATTAGTTAATTTTAGTTAACGTAAGTGTAAATAGCCATATATAGCTAGTCACTGCTGGATTGCACTGCACAGGTCCAAAGGATTGGATGTTCAGGCGTTTATCACTAACTCTCATTCCATACGTGGGGCTTATGGGGCTGTGGGTGTTAACTCCCTCATACTTCCAACCTGCCCTGCAAGGGGCTAAGATAGCTGCCATGACTTAGGAGAAATCCCTGAGGAAGAAAAAATTGAGAGAATCAAAGTCCTTAAGAGGAGACACTGCCTTGATACAAGAAAACTGTCCCTGACAGCTGCAGAAGAAATCACAGGCTGAGAGGACACACAGGAGGCACAAAGTACCCGTGTGATGCCACCTTATGAGGCATTGAAAAAGTGACAGTTTGGTATATTCATATCTGTTTTTACGATTCTGAAGTATCAAAGTTCACATCATAAGAAACGTAATTCTGGTAATAATCCTGAAGTTTTCAGTTAATTTAATGCTTGGAAACTTTTAATGTTTTCTAAATAGCTTTTTTTCCTCTCTTTTAAAACTTCAATTATTTCGATTTTACTCTAATGTAGGTACTAGGACAAAACGGTCACCTCATTAGTATGTAGTATTTTCTGTGTTTTCAATTATTACATTTTGAAATGCTAGTGGAAAATGCTGTCTGCCTTACTTTTTTATTTTCATAGAAGTGTATTTGAATTGGTTTCAACCACCATAAAGACTATTTCAACTTATTTGTTACTAATGATGCCATAGCTTAGTAAATTGCATAAGCTGAATAAAAATAGTATAACAAAAAATGTGGCAACTCTAGTGATTCAAAATGTGAAAAATGATGAGGCTCTATTTTCTTAAAGTTAGATTTAAACTATTCTATGAATATTTACATTTTAAAAAATTAAATTTTCTGAGAAAATCTTGCTTATCCCTAAAGATACCCATCAAGCTGTAAAAATGTAGAGTTTATATAGATAAATGAAACTACATAATATATTAGAGTGTTGCTATGTAGATATGAAAACAAAATTTACTCTTGCTTTTTGCATTTCTATGAAATAACTGTTTAAAGGTTAGGAATAAAGGCCAAAATTTGCATTTAAATGGATATATTTTAAGAAGAAATGCCAATTTGTGACCTTTACCCTTGCCGCTAGTATGGTTTTTTTTTTTTAGGATTAACAATCAAACTTCAGAGGAAACACTAGAAATATAAGCAAATTGATAGAAAATGTTTAGTTTAAACAGCTTCCCAGAAAACTGTTTTTATAGCCTGTAGGGAGGGCTAATTGGGCCTTGTCATGAATCAGTTTAATCATGTAAAATATATTTGATGACTGCAATGATAGTGAAAGATTGATCCGTAGTGGTATAAATCAGGGGTCCCAATCACTGCAGACTCAGTGGAAATGAATAGTTAAAATTCGAAGGGACCCATTAAGTGTATGATGGCAATCACAGATTTAAGGCTTCATTCTATATATTTATGTATGCATTTTAAAATCTTAAGAAGATACTTCAAAATATATTAGAGAATTTTTAAATTTGTAAAATCTACAATGGGTACTACAATATATCTACCTGTGAACCACCACAGTTGCTGGTTGAAATTACTTTATTCTATTATCTTCCAAGTTGTATTAGCCATTGTTAGATTTCAGTGTTATCAGGGTAATAGAAATTAGGTAGTGATTCAAAGTGTGTTTTAAATTATTCCTCTCTTTTCATTGACTAGTTGCATGTCTATGAGAATATGTGTGTATATATATTTATATGTGTGTATATATGTATATGTATAGTCTATACAGATTGACTATGTATAATATGTGTGTATATTTATATATAGACTATACATATATAGACTCTCTATATATACATACATATGTATATATGTTTGAGTGAGTGAATGATTGAGAAACAGATAGATTCATCAAAGCTGACTCTCCCCTTTATGTGGTATAGTAGAACTGAATGGAACATGTTTTTAGTTTAGTTTTTGCTGATGTGTGCATGTAAAGTCCTCTATAACAACCTTTTTTTCCAAAACTGTGCCATTTCCGGCACTGCTTTTTCCTCCATTGTTACTTTTTGTTTATTACTTGCACCTTGGACACATGGGGGAAAAGTCAACCTCCCTGGACAGGTTCAGGAATCAGAGGATGAAGGAAAGAGGATACATGAAGACATATATGAAGTAGGAGTTCTATTTAGAAATGAAAGAACATGTGAAATATCAGTTAACATCGGTTCATATGGAGTCCAGGATTCTATTTAATATATCAGATAGTCAGTAAGGTCTAAGAGAGGCAACTGAAGTACCCTATTTAGAGGAAAGTTGGCATCATGGAAGTTTGTTAGCCATTGCCTGGGCTCAGCCATTAGGAAATTGATATTAAGTTGGGACATTCAGTCCTTGGTCTACTAGAGAAAAAGACTTAGAAATCTAGGCTCTTAAAGTCTGAGTGAAGCTAAGGGCAAGTACAGAGGGGATGACCCAGGAGCACAGTGCCTATGGGACTGACTCTACCTAATTGTAGTTGCTTGAGGTCAATGTATCATTGAATCCACTTGCTCAGATACTGGACCAGAGCAATTTCTACTACCATTGCTCTGGAACAGGGCATTGCACCATTCTCTTAGAAACTGGACCTTAAGAAACTGTGGCCATTTCAATTCCATTTTGATATTTATTACAGATTTCTTAGTAGATGCCAGACAGTGTGTTAGGTCCCATCACTCATATTGCCTTAGTATCCATTAGGGCTAAGTACCATTTTCTTAGCTACACTCTTCCGCATGTAGCTTATTTAGGAAAAGTCGGGCAAGTGGGTTACAGACATAGTAGAAAACATTATGTCAAATAACAACCTGCCCAGCAATGAAAGATTTTACCACGTCCTTTTTGATTCCTATTTTTGCTAAACAGGTTTAAATCCTTAAATGGTTACAGAATTCCCCCAAAGAGTAGATTATTTGTAGGTATTAGACAAAAACAATCAAACAAACAAAAAAAACCACAACACCATAAAACTAATAAACACACACAAAAAGTGAGGGGTCCGTACTCAAAAAAAATTTTGGAAAAGAGTGGGTTAAGCAAGTTATTTTACTTCTACTGCAGAGGAGGCTTTCAGTTTGCTGTTACGCTGTAATACCCAAGAGAGACTAATGTATGCAGAGTTTCCCAAAATCATTTGATCTGGGAATAGTTTGTATTGAAGCATCTTTAGTGACTGGTGTCCTGTAGCACAAATTCGTTAAAATTCCAATGCTCCAGTTTTATCCATCACTAGGAGGAGCTAACCTCAGAGAAACTCAGGGAAGGATGCTGGGAATGGACCTGCTGGTTGTACTTCAAAAGAAGCAAAGGCAAAGGGGTCCACACAGAAGCCCCAAAGAGAATCAAGGTTAATGAAGGGCTCTGCATATGATGACTGTCTTTAAAGTAGGAATCCTCCAATCTGAAATGGCACAGACACTGAAGAGATAGAATTAAAATGTCTAAAATTATGAATGTTATCCATAGGTTGCCTATACTAGTCAATCAAATTCTGGAAGATGGAAATGACTAGATAAATCCTTCCCCTTGCTCCCATCTTGAGGATTAATTTATGGGTAAGAGGTCCATAGAGGCTTGTTAATAGGAAATCAGACTTTTACAGCTATATGCTAACTTTTGGCAATGATAGACAGTTAAACAGAATACTTACCTGAATGAATCAGTTTGGCAGAAACATGCACAGGATTTGAAAATTTTATGATTCCAAAAGCATATCTGAACATATGCCAATTGATAACAAATATTAGATGATCCAAGAACTATTTGGTGAAATAATGAAGGTAGTTTGTATAGAAAGCACCTGTGCTTATAGAGTTCATAAAAGTTTTTCAAAATGATAAGAGGAAATAAAACTCTTGTAATTAACTAGAAAGATATAATGTATTGATCTGTAAATTAAAGAATTTTAAATAATGAGTGTTTTCTCTCTTCACTCTTGAGCCTGTTTCTTTCCTCAAGAAAATTTTGATTCCTAAAGACTAAAGTGGAAGTGTTTATTATGTATGCATAATAAATATCTAGAAAATAATAAATATCTAAAAAAAGACAAATCAACATCTGACATGAACTTTGTCTTTCCAAAGACCATAGAATGGGCTATGAGTGAATATCTTTACAAAGACAAACTTATCATTAGAACATTTTTGGTTGTCTAACAGGCAGGAAATTGTTAAAAAAAAATCTTGTTGCAGTAATGGAGAAAAATTAGATGTTCATAGGAGCTCCCAGTGAGGATAATCACATCTGAATGCATCCTTGAAAATAAACACAACTCAACATTTTAGTGTTCTATTATTTAACCAATTGGAGTATGAATGGATATGTAACAAAGCTTCAATAATGTGTTTCCTCCCAGTAATTGCGTTTCTTTGTAAATGTCTGTCCTTTGAGCTAACTGTGTCTTGAAATCTCCTGACTTCATAATTCTCAAAATCAGGTGTCTGAGATGGTACTACAACAGGCTACTTGAGATAAGAGTGACCATATTTAATGATATTGACCAGTCAACTAAACAAAATAATTATTTTGATCAATCTTTACCAACTAACTAGCAAAATTTACCTTACTATGACAAATTCTAATGTTTTACATAGGAAACAAAATACTAATGGCTTTACCTATATCATGCCCAACCAGGAAATTTAATTTGATTAGTGTTTTGCATATACTAAAATATTTCTATCTGGATACATGCAAGGCTCCACAGGGTGGGGTTAGATTTTTTTTTTTCAATGATACATTCCACATTCCCCCTGAGGGAAATGTCAACTATTATCAGGCACAGCCAAAAAACAAAACAAAACAAAACAAAACAAAACAAACACATGGAAACAAATGAAAAGAACAAACTGAAAAAGTGTTAAGTCCATACTATTGGGCAAAAATAGTAGTTAACATATGTAAAACAAGGAGAATTGTTCAAAGCTTTTTTTTCTTCTTGATATGAATTTGTTGTAAGGCAAATATCTTGTTTGAGTCATTTGTTTATTGTGTGTAAGTGTATGTGGGTGTGTAATCATTTTGCCCATCTCTTTTGTCAGGAACCATTAAATTCAGTGCCCAGAAAGATGTTGCAAATCAGCTACTATAAAATTAGAATATGCTAGAAACTTGTAATTAATAGTATAAAATTCTTTTACAAGACCAGACGATGGTTCTACATTTTATGTTATATTAAAAAATGAGAAAACGTCATTTGTGAAATTTAATAAGGCAGAACATTATTATGTTCATATTGAAAGTCAGACTAATCTGAGTGGATTAAGGGTGCCTTGTGGAATATCTTGTGTTAGTTGACTAATTCTTGTCCTCATTATTAATGTTCTGCAGCAACTGTAATACCTACAAGTAAACATCAATTGAAAATAACTTCATAAACATTTCTTAATCACCACAGATAGAATATTGTTTGCTGTGTTAATGCAGATTAAATAGCATAAATTTACTTTTATCTCTTTTTAAAAAAATAAATTTTGAAAAGCAGATTAGTGAATGGCAGAGCTGTCACCCTTGATAAAGCTGTTTCACATCTTTGGAGAGCTTAAACATGATACACTGAAGTGTGTTCACTGTCCCTTATGAGCATTAAGTGGTTTGTAAGATAAAAGAGAGAAACCAGAAGTGAGAAGGTTTCTATTACAAACTTAGTCATATCATATAAAGGGATGGCGTAGATTAAATCCCTACTCCCACCCTTTGCCACCTCCCCTTCACTCCCCAGAACTTCAACTGTCCTTTATGACACACAACTGAGCAGGAGACATAGAATCACATTTTTCACAGGGATTTGAAATGTCTTTGTGGTCATGGTCTGGCAGTAATAGAAGCCATATGCTGTGGGTCAGGAAGAAAGCTATCTCGAAACAGAAGAACCCATCTCCTGGCCTAATGACCTTGGGAACGTTTAGTCATTTCAAGGCATTTATCGTTGAAGCAGCGTAGGGGTCGTTTGGGCTATGTTTTCCTCCATGTGACTCCAAGTTGTGAGGGGGAGAAGTGCATATTATCCATAAAGAAGACAGCATCAGTGATAAGTAAGTGGCTAATGTCAGTAGCAATAAAATTCTCTTCCAGGGCACCTGTTAGCTGATTTGTTGTAGATTGATTTGCATTTCCCTTTGTGATTTTGAACTCCTTTTAGCTTCTTAATACTTTAAAACACAAGTCTGATGGAATGAGAGATCGCATGAAAGAATTTGATTTAAGCTGAGTACTTTGTGGACATTGGAAAAGCAGCTTTTGTCTTAAATTACATTGCCTTTGGAATACCAGCATGTAAGACAAAGAAACATGATCTTTGTAATGGCTGTTGGCCCATCTCCAGTTGACACACACATGCAAGTTATATGGGCTGGGTCACTTGAGGTTTCCCATTTCCCATAAAATAATGTTTATCATGGCATGGTGGGGCTTAAAATTGGTTCCTAAGTAATTTTTGCTCCAGTCTCTTATAGTTGTCTCTGAGTATGTCCCCAGAACTGACAGTGATTTGGAGGCATTGACCATTTAACATGATACTGGTGGACATTGATCAGATGGCCAGTATTTGGGTAAAACTTATATTTGGAAGAGGAGAACTGATTTTTGGATATTAGGAAAAAGAGAGCCCCCTCCCCAACTTCACCAACACTGCTGAATTCCGATTATAGGTATAAGCAGGAATTTTCTAAAATTTTAGATTAGGTTTTACCAGAAATTCTCAATATTCTACTGCTGAATCTTTAAACTACCAGACACCTTTTGCTCTCCATTTTCTCAAATTGGAAAGGGGTGATGAAAATGGTAAAATGTCTCTTCCCTCTTCCTTTGTTCTCAGGGATGTTTGTTACTCATCCTTCTACTTGCAGCTAGTATATAAAACATCTTTTAGAGTCTCCATGTCTTTTTTTTTTTTTTCTTTTTTGAGATGGAGTTTCACTCTTGTTGCCCAGGCTGGAGTGCAGTGGTACTATCTCCGCTCACTGCAACCTCTGCCTCCCAGGTTCAAGCAATTCTCCTGCCTCAGCCTCCCAAGTAGCTGGGACTACAGGTGCCTGCCACCATGGCTGGCTAATTTTTGTATTTTTACTAGAGACGGGGTTTCGCCATGTTGGCCAGGCTGGTCTTGAGCTCCTGGCCTCTAGTGATCTGTCCATCTCAGACTCCCAAAGTGCTGGGATTACAAGCGTGAGCCATCACGCCTGGCCAGAATCTCCATCTTAAACTGGCTTCCTGAAAGAGTAAATTGATCAAGCTTAAAATAATTTTCTGCTGTTCTTTTTTTCCAGTAGGGACAAGGTCTTGCCATGTTGCCCAGGCTGGTCTTGGGCTCTTGGACTCAAGCAATCCTCCCACCTCAGCCTCTCAAAGTGCTAGGATTACAGGCCTGAGCCCCCATGCCCAGTCTCCTGGTGTTCTTGGAGGGTTTTCCTCTGTAGGTACTTGTTCATTTGTGTCCAGAGAGACTTGGGAGACTATAATCAATACTCTTATCAGCCAGAACAACATACATTAAAACTAAAAGAAAAAGAGGAAGGTTGAGTTAAACTGGCCCTAAAAATATTGATGTTCTCTCATTGGAAAGGTTGACAGGTTCTTTCAAGGAAAGGTCATTTCAGGAACATAAGAAGTCTTTTTCACTTTACTCTTTGCTCTTATCTGAAAGCTCATCACAGTGTTCTATAATATTTTATCATGATTCTGATAGGTTTCAGGATGAAAAATGGAATTTGGCTTAAAGAGTGCAGGGCTAGTATGAGGACACTGCACTCTGAAATAAGTCAGAGTGATTTGTCTTCATCAGATGTTCCATAATAATACTTAACTTTTACTGTATGACGTGAAACGAGTGTTATTATTTCAAAAAATGTATTTGTAAATTTCAGGTCAAAACTAAGAATAACTCTAAGAGTGTAAAAAATAACATATTTTAATGTTAAATTTTTTTATTGCTTACACTCTAAATATTTTCCTTTGACCAATATGAGAAATATTCCCATTGATATCTCTGTGCATTTAAACAATTGTGAAAATAGAGAACTCAGTTATAGTTAAATGACTGATGTTCTATAAGATAACTTTATCACATAGATAAAATAATGAAGAAAAGAAATTAAATAGGCATTCCTCTGAGAGTTTCTCTGACAATCAAATCAGAGGTTTTGATTGAAAAATTCCCTCATTAATGTAGATTGAGTGAATGAACTAATTACTTTGTAATTTGTTCTAATAGAAACTTTCCACTGAGGTGAGGGGCAAGGGGAAACCCCACCGTCTTCACTGTCATGGAAAAGATAAAGAAGTAATGGATCTTTGAAATATTTCCCCTAACTTTCAAAACCTTAGCTTACAGTGTTGGAGACTACCTGAGATTACCTTTCAAGTAGATGTTTTCAGGAAAAAAAAAAGAATATAGAAAGGCAGCCCTTGCCACATACAATGTATTTGAATGACACTACAATGCAGCTTTTGTAGGTGATCAGATAGAAGTGTCTTGCTGTTCTATTGTATTTCAGCTTGAATATCCTTCATCAAGGCAGTTACTGCAAAACAATGTTGTAAATGAAAGTTAAAATGACATTATTATAAGTAAACTTGAGTTTTCTTTTATTACCTGTCATTTATAAGGTGGTAATGCACCACGAAAGGAATTGCATATTTTGGGTAATAAAGAAATATTCTATGACCTTGGTATTACTTATACTAAGATTGGTTTTAAGACTTTTATTTTGGGTACTATAGAGTAGAGACCATGTCATTCCCCCTTTCCTACCCCATTTAGACATTAAGACATTCTTAGTGATTTTTTTATAAGTACCTGTCTTCATCCATTTTCTGCTGCTGTATAACAGAATACCACCAACTAGGTAACTTACAAAGAAAAGAGGTTTTTTGTTTGTTTGTTTGTTTGTTTATTCACGAGTCTAGAGGCTGGGAAGTCCAAAATTAAAGGGCTGCATCTGGTGAGTGCCTTCTTGCTGCATCATGGCATGATTGAAGGCATCGCATGGCGAGACCGACCGTTCTCTAGAGAGAGGAAATGTGGCCTAACTCCCTTCTTTTATAACTGTCCCACTTCTGCAATAATAAACCCACTCTCATGATAACAGCCTTCATCCATTCAGGAGGGTGCTGCCCCCTGACCTAATCACCTCTTAGAGGTCCCACCTCTCAAGATCACAATGGCAATTAAATTTCAACATGAATTTTGGAGGGGACATTCAAACCATAGCAGTACCTTTTTTCTGAAGTCTCCCCAGAGCAGTAATCTTTAGTCCTGAATATTTCACTGAAACACTTACATGTAGAGGTATTTTCTTAAAATTGAGACCTGTCTTTATTAAAAATTATTTATAGTGATACTCTTTTCTGTTCTGTTTACAGTATATCTGAGGAAATATAAAGTGTATGCTATTAGGCTTTGTAATGTCTTATTATTAAGGCAGATATAATAGCTTTAAAGAGAACACTGATGGATAGCTTTTTAGACTCAAAGCAGATATTTGTGTGCGATTAAAGTAGAAAATGATACCCTACAATTGTTGAGACATTTTTGATGTTCTTTGGCTTTCCACACTGATCTTTTTCTATCTCTACAGTTAGTTTGGTTTTGGATTAATGTTTTTCATTCAGATATAGGAAATCAGTAGCACTTGAAATGCCATCCATAGTACACTGAAGTCTTCAGTGAAACAACAGAGTCCAATATTCAATCAGAAAAGAAAATGAACTCTAGGAGTCATTTCCAGGAGACATGTCTGAAGTCAAACTTGGGCTTTATTTCCTGTCTTCAGAGGGTGCACTTTCATAGTTGTTTTCTATAAGGTTCAAATCCCAGAGTGTATGTGCCACTCTCTCTCCATTTATACCATAAACAAAAATTCAGGTCTTTATCATTTCACACCCTGGCTGTCAATGTGGCTGTCTCTCCAGCTTCTGGTCTGCTAGCTCCCCTTCTACCATCCCCAACTCTTATTCCCTGGCTTAATTTTTATAAAACAACTATCTGATCATCTCATTTCATGTTCATTAACTTTTTTTTTTTTTTTTTTTGCTGCCTCTAGGATATAATGTCTAGGCTCTTTGTGTTATGACTGGGGCTAGGAAAGAAAGCCATTATCTAACTGAATGGCCTCTGAAGGAAATATTAGAGCTTTTCTATAAATTTATTTTTCTCATCCTTCTAAATCTGCATGTTTGTATATATTTTATTATATATATATACTTTACCCATACAGTAGTATATGCATATAATTGATGAATAAAAATACATATCTTGGGATATGCTCAAAATACATTTTACTAAGAGAATGCATACATGTGGCAGTTATAGATTATTAATGTCACTTTATTTTTCTCTTCTTACTTTTCCACTAGGTGAGCAAGGCAGGTAAATTAAATCTGTCCTGTTGATGGACTGAAAACTAACCTCAATACATTCTCTCAAATATGCTACAGGAGTTTTGATTTGTTCATGAATTTATTTTTATTTTCCTACAAAGGCAACTGGTAAACACTGCCTCGCTTTTGTTTACCTCCTTTCTTTTTGACTTTTCTTTCTGAGAACTTTTGTTTTCTTGGGCATATTTCAAAGAGCTACTAACTTTATTTCTTACATTTGGCCCAAACTGGCTTCTATTTGCCCACTCTTGTTAACTCCTTTGCCATGAGACTGTACTTTTAATGTATACTCTTTGTTTGTACAAGTTCTTTTCTTTTCAGTAGTTGTTTCTCTTTCAGCCTTAACTTATGGCCCTATGTTCTGATGCTTGCAACCTGCCAAGTACTTTCCAAGCCCTACACCCCTGTGGTCATCTGGTACAATTGGTACTGCCATTAGCACCACTTCCACCATCACCAAGCTGTCCTGCCTCCATTAGTTCACTTTGCCTCTTATGCTTCTTCTCTCACATAGATATCTCAGTGCATATCTGAGACTATCCTGGCCTTCCACCTCATGGTTCACT
Source organism: Homo sapiens (assembly GCF_000001405.40). Taxonomy (NCBI): domain Eukaryota; kingdom Metazoa; phylum Chordata; class Mammalia; order Primates; family Hominidae; genus Homo; species Homo sapiens. The sequence continues at coordinate 14,844,097 of NC_000020.11, forward strand.
CACACTGATTATGAGTTTTTCTTGTTCTAGGAGCTAAAAATATCTCTCCTGCCATGGCCTGAGGGTCTCAACATTCCATATTCTCTTCATAGTAAGATAATTTTTTTTCCCCCAAAATCCCAGTAGTCTGGGTGGCAAAGTACTGGTTCAAAAAAGTTGATAGTCCCAGCACTTTGGGAGGCTGAGGAGGGTGGATCACTTGAGGTTAGGAGTTCGAGACCAGCCTGGCTAACATGATGAAACCTCATCTCTACTAAAAGTACAAAAAAAATTAGCCAGGCTTGGTGGCAGATGCCTATAATCCCAGCTACTCGGGAGGCTGAGACGGGAGAATCGCTTGAACCCAGGAGATGGATGTTGCGGTGAGCCAAGATGGCGCCACTGCACTCCAGCCTTGGTGACAGAGCAAGACTCCATCTCAAAAAAATAAAAAATAAAAATAAAAACGCTGATAGAAGGGCATCTCTTCATAACACTAACTGTCCCCTGACTACCTCAACCTAAATACTCCTTCTTGTTTTCTTTTTCCTACTTTAGTATAAACTCAGATACTTTAAGACAAAAGGGGTACTTCTTTCTCTCAAAAAGAAAGGCATAAACATAGTGTCCTAGGCAAACTGGTCCTTATGCTTACTATAAATCAATCCAAGACAACTAACTATCAAAAGGAACAGTAGAATATTCTTTCTGGAATTTTAACAGAAGAAGAAGAGCCTTCCCTGTGGATTTTCTGAGTGATATATGGATTCAAGCTCTTTACATTCTGGCCCTGTCTGCCTTCTTAAACGTATCTCCCTTCTTCTTTTTCTAATATTCCTGTCACATTGAGCTATTCTCTATTTCTTAGACACAGTCTACCTCTCTGCCTTTGTCCATGGCCTTAAATGCCTTCCCAGCCACAATCTAGCTGTTGAAATCTCATCCATCCTTGAATATCTAGCTCATGTAATGGTAATGGCCATAGAACAGCTTCTACTAACCACCCCCAGCAAAAGCAACCTCTTTCTCTCTCATGTGATGCCTTATGACATTTATTTCATAATCTTGTCACATCCTCACTTTATGATTTCTCGTATGTAATTTAAAAAATTACATAATATCTAACCTGCTAGTTTGTAAGTTCTTTGAGGACAGGTTCTATGTCAAATTCATCTTTGTATATTCCTGACAGCCTAGTTACAATGATATTAATATATTGGAGTCACAGTTGTATTTCTAGAGAGGATTATATGGCTGAACAAAATGTTTCACAATGATATGTTCTTCTGATGGAATTTTTTAACCTAAGATTACTGAGAATTTCTTGGTCAGCAAAAAGACAGGAGTATATCATTCTGACACTCTTTTGAGGCACATGTTTATTCAATGTCCACCCTCTCACAAGCAGATATTTAATAATTAAAAAAAGAAAATCTGCAGCTTGATTATATGCTTAGCCAAGAAATTCTTTTGCAGTTCTAAGGAAAATCTCCAGCAAACCCAATTACTCTCCCAGCAATGCACTTCAAAGGAGAGCAGAATGCATTTCTTGTACAGAATTCCTGGATATGTTTGATCATTAGTTAGGGCAAGTAGTTTGACTTGAGGCTATTTACTCAGCAGGAATAAAAAGTACAGCATTGCTTCAACCAAGAGGAGTGCCCCATACCTTCCCCAAGCAGAATTTAATAATTTGATCTGTCAGAGGAGGTACAGAGGTTGGCTATAGAAATGAGTCACGACCAGTCAGATTTGGCTGACTTGTGGGCCATTAAAAATGTTCCTTCCCCCAAACGGCATTTTTTAGGAATAATAATAACAGAAACAGTTGGCACCATGTAATTGACCAAGAACCTGAGAATTTCACAGCAGTACTTATCACTGAAACAGTTTTTGTTTTTTTGAGTCTAAGCCAAATCCACACTTGAGTATTTTTTTAATTTATCCAGGTGTTCTATGGCTAATATTTATTTCATCTAGCAAGTGCCACAAAGTATTTTTGATGTAGTCAAAAAAAGTATTTCTGATGTAGTTTAAAAAAGTATTTTTGGTGTAGTCAAGAATATAACATGATATTATTAGACTCCTAATTACAAATATTTGGTAGAGACTATCAGTTTAAGAAAAAATTGCATTAAAATGTCAACTTTTTTCTTTTTTTGAGACGGAGTCTCGCACTGCACACTGTCACCTGGGCTGGAGTGCAGTGACGATCTCGGCTCACTGCAACCTCCACCTCCTGCATTCAAGTGATTCTCATGCCTCAGCCTCCTGAGTAGCTGGAGTTACAGGCGCACGCCACCATGCCTGGCTAATTTTTTGTATTTTTAGTAAAGATGGGGTTTCACCATGTTGGTCAGGCTGGAAGTTTTTTCGAAAACTAAATATATATTTCATTATATAAGGTAGACTTTACACTTTTTGGGAGGAAAATGCACATCACCTTTTAATTTTTTTTTTGAGACGGAGTCTCCCTCTCTCACCCAGGCTGGAGTACAGTGGCACGATCTCAGCTCAATGCAAGCTCTGCCTCCCGGGTTCACGCCACTCTCCTGCCTCAGCCTCCTGAGTAGCTGGGACCACAGGCGCCCGCCACCACGCCTGGCTAATTTTTTATATTTTTAGTAGAGACAGGGTTTTGCCGTGTTAGCCAGGATGGTCTTGATCTCCTGACCTTGTGATCCGCCTGTCTCGGCCTCCCAAAGTGCTGGGATTACAGGCGTGAGCCACCGCATCCGGCCTTAATATGTAATTTTTAAGCACTTTAGGTTTTAATTAAATTTTATTTCAGTTATAAAAATGTTCATTACCATTTGGCATATTCCTCAGCTAAAATAATTAACAATAATTAAAATTACCCATGCTTGATTTTCTTATTTCAATTTTTATAAAAGTTATGCCTTCAGTTTATAGAAAATAAAGAAACTTATGTACACATCGATGCTTTAGACAATATCTATTTTTCACCATGAATATCACTGAAAGAAACAAGTATCTTTTCATCTTTAGACAAAAGAAAAAAAAGTACTAGTGTATCTTTTATTATTGGTTACTTTAAAAAAAGAGTAAAACTACTTCTGTAACATTAATTTTTAAAAGTTAATTCTCATATTCTAATGGGAGTGTAATGAGTTTTTCTCACAGTGAACTCTAATGAGTTTAGGAACGTGCTGCCATATTTATGGTAGAGACTATGCAAATTGGACTGATGTTTATTTATGCATTTATTTCATTTGGGAATCTAGTTTTCGACCTTAAGTTTGCTGGAGAATTTGTTACAGGAAAGAAAGTGTATGAAGAAGTCTTCTTGTCCCAGGTGTGGAATTAAGGTAAAATTAACAAGGAATTGAAGTTATCTTTGATCATGATTTTTGATTCCATTTTTATTCACTTTGAGGAAGTGTTGCCTGTTTTTTTTTTTTTTTTTTTTGATGTTCAGCAGAGCAGTACAATGCAACACACAGAAGCATAATGTTGAATTTTCATAATAATGTTTGTGATGCAAATGAGGCACACTTCAAAAAGTAGAATGATTAGCATTTCTTGGTAAGATGACAGTCCCCCCTTTTAAAAAAAAATTGTTCATTAGTTTTATCAATAGATTACATATCCAGATTTCAATTTTGAGTGCATACTTTTTGCTTATAATTATAATGTGAATTTAAATAGTTTTAGATTGTGCATTTAAAACAATTCTTCTGTCACTGTATTATACTCTGAATTAATGAGCTGTTTGCCACCTCAGAGCCCTTTGCTTTGAAATTCAGTCCAGTTTAAAGTGAACTCCAACCATTTCAGGCCAGCAGCTCACAGAAGGTTGCAGGATTAATGAGCTCCAGGGGCTCTGTGGCTTCCTTAGAAGCATTTATCACTAAATTCTATTCTTAGGGAATATCATCCTTATGCAAGAAGATGGGGAGCTGAATGTGGAAAAATGCTATTCAAACAAATAATTTGATAATTGCCAATGAAGAGTGTTCTTTCTTCTCACTACAGATGAAATACAAGAGATGCAGCTAAGACCAGAGCTTTTAGTTTCTCTAACTGGAGTGAAATTAAAATTGATGGATATTTTGATAAGATTACTAATGTAGGTGAAACAATGCTTCCCTATAGCTTGTTCTACAACACTGTACTCATTCACTTACTGGACTTCCTAGGGCTTACTTAAAGAACTTGTACACATCCACTGTCAAATATACTTCTGCATACATATACTCTTGGATATCATAGCCTATTTATAAAACTGTATCTGTCTCCCTAGTTATCCTGTAGGAATAGCTAGTGTTTTCTCTCCTTTTAGATCTTCTCAAGGCATCCTCTGAGTTTATAAAACAGAGAGTAATATGGGTGAGAAAGTTGGCCCTTGCTCTTTTTTTTTCTTTGAGTATGCTGTTTTTATTTAATTCTCACAATATCTGGAGATAGTAATTTTTAACATAATGAAACAGATTTAGAGCAAGTGCATGACAAGTAAAAAGCAGGGCCGGAATTTGAATCCACATTCATTTGACTCTAAGCCTGTACTGTCTGATATAGCAAGCACCTGTAGTTATTGACCACTTGAAATGTGGTGATTGCTGCTTGTTAAAATCATAATAATTTCGATATATTCATGCAAATAAATATATTACTAAAATTCTACCTAGAGAGGCATTTCCTGGGAGCTGACAATCCCCTTTTTAAAATAATGATTATTAATTTTATGAGTAGATTATATAATCGGATTTTCATCTTGAAGGCAAACTGTTTACCTCTTGGGAGAGTTTGTGTACCTGAGGTTGTGCCGTCTAATTAGGGCAGCCTGGGCCAAGGATGGTAAATTCATGGCAATCACATGGATACTCCACATCCTCCGGCAGACATCACTTATCGGTCGTGGCATTTTTCTCACAGGAACAGCATTCTGTCTCACTGAGACACAGCCTTGGAATTCTTCTCAGTACTGTTCATTGATCCAGGCAGCCCCCACCTCTTGACTGGAGTTGGCAAGTGAGATAAACATGTTAGCTGACTCTCTTCTGGTCAGGGCTCTTTGGCACAGTTAGGTGCTCTGACCTTTTGAATAGACCTGCAAAATGCAAGCCTATCTTCAGCTTTCAATTAGATGTTAGGATATGAAAACATGGGCATCTTTAAATTGATGAAATATTCAGCCACTTCAGGTCTGTTTCTTCCCAGCTAATCATGCTTGTCATCTACATTTTATTCCACCAACTTTATTCAGGTTTTACCCCTCACCTCATGATTGCTTTATTGCTAGAATGTGAAAATATCTTCTATGCCTAAATTGATATCCTTGAATTAAAGGTGTGTTGATGTTGCGACTCTAACTTCGGTGTGCTGGGGCTGTCTTGCAGCAGTAGGGAGTGAAGTCTAGGCCTACCAAGCATTACGTGATGTCCTTCCTCAAGCCCTCTCTCAGCCAGGCACAGTGGCTCATGCCTGTAATCCTAGCACTTTGGGAGGCCGAGACAGGTGATCACTTGAGGTCAGGAGTTCAAAACCAGCCTGGCCAACACGGTGAAACCCCGTCTCTACTAAAAATACAAAAAATTAGCCGAGTGTGGTGGAGGGCGCCTGTAATCCCAGCCACTCGGGAGGCTAAGGCAGGAGAATCGCTTGAACCTGGGAGGTGGAGGTTGCAGTGAACTGAGATTGCGCCAGTGCACTCCAACCTGGGTGGCAGGGCAAGACTTTGTCTCAAAATAAATACATAGATAAGTAGTAACTCTCACATCTAAAGAGCAAGAGCAGACTGTAGCAGATAAATGTCCCAATAAAAATAGGCTCCTAACCCTTACTCTGGCATTTGTGTTTCATCGTAGCAAATTTGGATGCAAGAAAGCTATTGAAACTGAATCTTCTCCTACACCTGAAGAGATCTATTACTTCAATCACTCCACCGAAAAATCTACCAAAGATTAAGTATGTTTCTCTATTGTATTCCTGCAGGTTAGGATTGTTACAGATCACAATGACTTAATGAAATCTCAATACTTGTGGCCAAAATAACGTAGGATGGAGAGCCATAGTTTAAAAGTTTGAAAGCTTTGGGGGTCATCTAGGACACTGAAATTCTGCTTGCAACTTGTTTAGCTGGAAAACAAAAAGCATGAAGATAAGACTGGAAGATGAACATCTCATACCATCAATATATGGGTGATTAGAAGCTCTACAACAATTCTAAAACCCAGCCTAATAAAGTATGAAACATTCTGAGGAATGTTCATAAAGATATGCAAATGGACTTTGAAATGGAAAAAATGCAAATCAGTTGAGGTGGCACAGGCCTAATTTACCCATTCTCTCTCAGGGAATATCAGAGCTTCACACATTTAACAGGAAATGTACACATGCTGACTTCCTTCAGGTGAAAAAAAGATTCCACCTGCAACTAGTATTAAATATTTGAGATTTGTTTGCCACTGTTGTATCACAGATGCTTCAACTAGAGTGTTTAATTTTCACACATATACCATTTAGGAGCTGTTTAGTCCTCTCCCTAATGAAAGAGAGATGGGAAATCCAGGACACCCCACACTTACTGGTAGGTTTCCAAATGTTCCGCTCTTAGATGCCACTGGTACCTCTAAATAATTCAAAATATCGAAGAGCTGACTCCACACAGCAGAATGTGTTTTCTTAGTTGGAATTAGGTCTATAATCAGACAGAGATGTCTTATTAGTCAGAATGGAAGACAACGGACTGGTAAATATTATAATTTGAAAATGTTGATATAAAAGAAGCCTCAACATAGGAAAAGGTGACATGAATGTCAATGGCAATTATAATATATAAAAAAGATAATAGTGTTTTAGAGAGTGATGAATAGCTGTGGGAGGAAGAGTTGAGGCCAGATTTTGCAACTTCTAATTTTTTTTTTAAACCTAGCATTGACAGTACAGTCCTGAATTGTTGTGTTGTGATAGGACATACCTTTTGCTATTAAAAAATAAGGCCTCATATTATTATTAATTTTTTTTGGCCTTCTGCCTAGGAAAAGAAGTATGTCTTTGGAAATAAAAATACACAAAGTAAGTTGTCATTGAGGGAAAGAGTTAAAAAGAATCACTTACCTTTTATGAATTATTTTTTAAGACTACACAGGTGAGTTTTTTGGTTTTGGAAATTCTTGAACATTTTGATTTCATTCTTCCTGGAGAGCCACCGATACTGGAGGCTGGACACCACATAACAAATTAACCGTCCTCTTTCATTTGTAACCTCCAGGGAGATAAGATCAGTTTAGTTGCTAATGAATTTTGGTCCCCAGCACAGAACAATTACAATGGAATATGAGGACGGTTTCAAGAGCATCAGGAAGATTTTACCAAATTCTATTTAATCTCCTCTCACCCTGTTTACAGGTCAGCTTATTAAAGTTGAAAATTCCTGGTAGATGGTTTCCATGGAGAGAGAAAATTATCTCTTTAGATAAACTATTCTAGGGTTAATTTGATTCAACCAACATTTATTTAGAGTTTCACATGTGAAACACAATACTGTCTTAGGAGCTACAGGGATACTAAGATGAACGTGGAAAAAAATGATTGCCCTTAATTAAGTTGGCATGAAGTTCATGTACACAAAGATGTACACGGATCTAGGATAAAATGTGGCAAGTACTATCATGTAAGTATAAATAAATAAAAAATTGTACTCTTCATACAAAGTCTTGTTTGCCCCTCATAACAACCCTATTTGAAGAGATAATTATTCCCATTTCACAGAAAACAAAACAGTGTCATAAAGCAGCACATCTGGTAAGTAAAGCCAGGACTTGAGCCCACGCTGTATACCAGCCATCCCACAGAGCTTTCTTGATGCTAGGGAGAAGCCAGTAATAAAGCATTTCATAGAGAAGGTGGCATGGTAATGGACCTTGAAAGACAGGTGTCATCTCAAAAGGTGGCCAGAGGGGACATGTCAGAGAGTCATGCATGAAAGAGGAAATTTAAGCTTTAAGGACAGGACAGATGAGACTTCCAAGGGGAGAGCAGAGATTGGGAAGAGCATCTGAAAGTGAGCCCTCTGGAACACTCCATGAGGGATGGGAGCAGGCGGGAGGAGGAAGCGCAGGAGCCAGCTAAGGAGACAGGGAAAGAGCAGTCTGGCCGATGTGAGATCATCTTGGACAGCGAGGTGGCCAAGAAACCAAGGTACAACAGTGCAGAAAATCAAAGAGGCCCCCACAGTAGTCCGTTTCAGAGAGAAAGATACACAGAGCTAAAAGGACCCCAAGAGTCTTCTTGATCTGGGGGTCACTGGTGACTATAGAAAGAATAGTTTTATTAGAGTGATGATAAGCCATAGATCATGGGAAAAATTGCAGTGGGCAAAGGATGAAGTAAAAGGGGAAGAGGGTGACATGAAAGTTGATCACTGTTTCAAGAAGTTTAGTAGTGGAGGAAAGAGGGAATAGTGGTATTAGTTTTGCACACTCACAAGCCCAGGTAGGATCCTCATTTTGGAGAGCCTCTGGTAACATCTGATAAGCGAGCAGGCCCCTTAGGTGGCTCTGTGACAGAGCTTTTGTTCTGAGGATGCCAGCATGAGGCCACACTTTAGTATCAAGTCACAGGACCCCTGCACCTTTGTGTGTCAGCCTGACCTGGGGCATAGGACTAGAGGGCAATGGGAAATCATACTTGTCCAGTTGGAAGCAAATTTTTTGCAGAAATTTGCTTTCATGGCTTAACATTCATAATGCCTTAGGTTGGGAAACCACCCATGCCCATTTATGGGCCATGGTTAATTCTGTTTTATTCTGTTCAACAAACTTATCCCTAGGTACTCTGTGTGAAGCCCCACTGTGGCTCGGAGTCTACAGCATGTTTCAAAGACGTTGCTGTCCTCAAGAAACATAATCTCTTTGGGGAAGCAAGAAGCAAAAGTAGCCCTTTACTGTAGTCTGATGAATGTTGCCGTGTAGGAATGGGTGAAGGGCCTGGTCATAGAAGGACTTACATATCACGCTTGGCACTCAGATCTTACTCTGTAGATAATGGGGAAATTCTATAGTGTTTTAATAGGAAGCAGCTTCACTGTTTTCATTTATTCTCACTGAGGTGTGAACAGTGTGTGTGTGTGTGTCTGTGTGTGTGTGTGTGTGTGTGTGTGTATAAATGGGGATAGAGAAGCAAGTTTGTGACATATAAAGCAACAGTCTAGATAAGAAACCTTGACCTTAATTAGGCCAGAGGAAGTGGGTTTGGAGAGGGCAGGTGACACTTGCTTTTGTTAGTGACTGAATTCACTAACAAAAGGGGTGCGGAAGAGTTAGGTTGCATAGGTGCTTCCTGGGTTTTTTCTGGTTGACTGGAAATGCTTTCATGGCCCGTCTTCCTGTCTAAATTAAGATGTTCATAGATGTTTTAAAAATAGGGTGGAGTCTGGAGGTAGAAGACAAAGCTGTATAAAGTCAAAGTAGGGAGAAAAAAAATGAAGAAAGGCAATAAAGAGAAATAGAGACAGCCAGTAATTATTTGCTGTCACAACCCATTCTTAGGTCACCTTTCGGTTTCAGTTTTCCAGCAATACTTTTCTTTTTTTCTCCTCTTTTCATTATTAAATGCCTTAAGAAATGAGTATGCTGCATCGATAGAGTTATGATGGCTTACATGAGAAGAGCTTCTGAGAAGTGAGTTCCTGGAAGCACTGTGGTGGTGGCCAAGTATTTGCTTATAAGATTTTATTTGACATCTATAAGGAGAAATATACACAAACTTTTTTGTTTTGTTTTGTTTTGTTTTGTTTTGGTGCTGGAAGTGGGAAAAGTAACAAGAATTTAATGAGTAATAAGGAAATGTAAGAGGAACCATTAAACATAACTATAGTTACATGGACCCTACTTACTCCAAGTGTATTTTAGTTAGATTTGGGTGTATTTTGTGTCTGTTAAGGCAGGTGGGCAGTTTGTTCATTTGGCTGGAATCCTGGGGCAATTAGGTCAGCATTAGGGGCTTAGTATTTCTGCAGGCCATTTAGTTTTAACCTGCTCCATGACCCCAGGACACTTTCTACCTCATCATTACCCTGATTTTTGTCCGTGAGTTCAGGGAGGCACCAATCAGAGAATGTCGATAGCTTTCTAGCACATCCATCTTCACCAGGAGAAAGCTGTGGTCAGATAAGTAGGATTCCCCTTTACATAAAAAGAACAGCCTGTTCCATCGTTAGAAAAATTAGAAACTGCGGTGAGAAGTGCAATAATTAGTGACTACTGAATGCTTGTTCTTGAATTTGCTTTATAAAAAATGGGATCTGGGAGCCTTGTTAATTATATAGCTTTGTAAGAATAGTTTTTCTATAACTGTATTAGTATACTTAATCAATGACTCATAGAATACTGGTAACTAATAGACCTGGACTTAACGCCTGGAATGTCCTACTAAGCATGGTTTGGTGAGCTGTCTACTTTGATTCTAGGATAGTTTATGTTTAATTATGCCACAACTTGGGCTTATGCTATGTCTTGATGTAATGCAAATAAAATAGATTATATTTTACACTACAAAGTTCATTAAAAAACAAAAACAAAATCCTTAAGCTTGTCACTCAAAAGTAAACATCTGTATCCAATGCAGGAAAGAATGCAGGTTTCGTGGGGACTAAAACAACACTAAGGTGAGCTCTCTTTAAGAAAAAGACAAATGGGCCGGGCACGATGGCTCACGCCTATAATCCTAGCACTTTGGGAGGCCGAGGCGGGTGGATCACAAGGCCAGGAGATCGAGACCATCCTGGCTAACACGGTGAAACCCCATCTCTACTAAAATTACAGAAAATTAGCCGGGTGTGGTGGTGGACGCCTGTAGTCCCAGCTACTCGGGAGGCTGAGGCAGGAGAATGGCGTGAACCCGGCAGACGGAGCTTGCAGTGAGCCGAGATCGCACCACTGCACTCCAGCCTGGGCGACAGAATGAGACTCCGTCTCAAAAAAAAAGACAAATGTACAATATAAAATTAAGTATAAAGTGGTTATTTAAATTCAGTCTTTCCTGTAAGGTGATGGAATTTTCAAAAAGTATTAATAGTTGAGAAAGGTTTTTCTCCATTTTATAACTCTCGATTGATAATAACGTGTACATTTTTAGAATTGTGGTTAAACTTGGGAAGACTTCTTTAGGCTTCTTTCCCGATGAACTGCAAGATTTTACAGCATCTCAAAATTTCTGGTGCAGGGACTAATCTTAAATACTTTGGAACTGGCTGTCTTCATTAACTAGCTTGTTACCATAGATTTCTCACATTTGCTAATTAAAAAAATATGACCATATGAACACATTGCCAGGACCCCATCCAAGTCCTTAAAAGGGACCTGGCGGGGGAAGGTCCCTGAAGCTTAAGCTCCATTGTTTCATGGTAAATTTATCTCTGATCTGACAGCATCATAATTTTCCACTGAATCTGTCCAAACAGTATTATACTCAATAGTCCAACAAAACAACATAACCTTTCATACTTAATACAATAAGTCAATTGGGGAAGAATTCAGAATTTTAGTGATCCTACCAAGTTTTTTTTTTTTTTTTTTTTTTTTTTTTTTAATAAGGCACAGCTCAATTCTTATCTCTTGGTTTGACTGGCATACAATGGCTTATTGTAAGACTATTACGTTAATATCTTTGTATCTTTTACAAGCTTTAATTTACCCCTGATAGCATGAAACGAGACTAAATTCTCATATAAGAACATGAAAACATTTTTAAAGATGTTATCTCTTATGGTATGTCTTATAGTCCACTGACTAGATTAGTTGTAGGCATCTAAAATAACAAGTAATCTCAACAGATAGTATATAGTTAAATAGAAATATCGTATTTCTAAGCAATTACCTTGTAAAGAGAACCCTTAACATTTTAAAATGTTGTTATTTCTAAGCCTAAAATAAAATGCAGCTTGTTATTTAAAAGATTTCAGAAGAGATATAAAGATCCCATTGCACTTTACATGGCTTTGTGTTAAATTTATCAAGATCCATTATATTACATGAAACATACTTAGTTTCATTAAAGATGCTTGAGCCTCTCTCTTTTTTATGCTTCCTGCCCCCTCTATGTACACAAATTCAGCAACCTAATCATGTTGCCTTTGATCAAATTTTATTTGTATTTTTCCCCAGTAATGCTGTCTGGTGGCAGTTAAATAGAATTTAATTAAAATAAATATTCACATGCTTTAATAGAGATTAATGATCTGATTTGACTTAGTAAAATTTGGCAAAAAGTCTAGACGCTGTAAGATATACCTATATTACTTGACTTGGATAAAGGTTTAATAAAACACAGCCAGCATTCAAAAAAAGGGAGAAATGGGGAAATCCAGTTATAAAAGCTATCTGAGCATTTAGCTAGAACTATGCATACACAAACACGCCCTATTGAATTTGTGTCCACAATAAAAATTGGGCTGTTTCTTGTTTTTCTATTTTATTACAACCATAAAATGAAAGTGTGAATAACAAGGCAATCCACTTGTTAAGTGGCAATTTGGATTGACAAGCTATTTTCCCAAATTTAATTTCTGGATCTGTACTTCTCAGCCTTTAATGTGAACATGAATAACCCAGGGGTGGTGTGAAAATACAGATTCAGATTCAGCAGGTTTTGGACAAAGCCCAAGATACTGTGTTCTAACAAGATCCCAGGTAGTGTCCATGCTGCTGGTGTGAGGACTGCACCTTGAGCAGCAAGGTCCTAGACAGTGAAGTGAAGAGACTAGATTTGGGATGGTTGCCGCCACCATCATCACCACAATTGTATGGATAATAATATGTAAATGACCCCACCTCTCAAATATACAGTCCTTTCACATATTTCCATCATCTCATTTTGGTCTTCACAATATATAATGTCACATGCGTATCTCAGCCTGAGTGCCACTGCTTGTAAAGCCAATTAATTACATAAGAATATTAAATTTCAGAGTCTTAACCCATATAGTCCAGCATAAACAAAGCATAGCTAGGTTTATCTTTCCAAAGGGTATTCTCCAAATCTTGTTATTTTCTCACTCAAGATTCATCCAGTGGAATATCTCCTCTGCTCCCCAATCCCATAAACCGTTATCCCTATTCTCTCTCTGTTCTCCAAGGCTGATCATCTCACTGTCCTCCACACAGATTAGTTTTATTTATGAATCCAAATTCTGCACATGCAGTTGCCTGACCAAGAATGCTCCCACTTATATCTCCTGCTCTTCATGAAATCTGGTAAACTACTTCCTGCACACACAGGCGTTGAGGGGCCTGGCCCCTTATCATCTGACAGACCTGAACAAGGTGAAGACACTCTAGAGCTGTTGGAATTGTTCTCATGTATGCTGGGAGATATTTTTTAGCTTCCTTATGTGCTGCATTTTAAAACACCCTAACATTTGTGCCCATTAACTCCCAAGCCCTGTTTCTTTTAGATAATGTATCAAGCAAATTTCTATAGTTGAAGTTCTGAAGTGTGACAAGGGAGCCCTGCCTTAGCACACATGTCCAGATGTTGACACTACAAGTTATAAGCAGCCTTCATTTACAAAATTCAGACTTAAAAGCCACGAAGTGAATAGGTAATTAATGCGGAAAGTGGCAAGATTTGATTTAAACAGAAGGAGCCATTAGACAATTAAATACTAATTTAAAGGAATTCTCACATTAAGTTCAATAAAATTAAACATTAATAATGAACAATTAATACCTTTGTGGAGTTATTTAGTCAATAGGGAACTGTGCTTTTTTTGTTTGTTTTGTTTTGTTTTGTTTTGTTTGAGACAAAGTCTCACTCTTGTCGCCCAGGCTGGAGTACAGTGGTGCGATCTCGGCTCTCTGCAACCTCCGCCTCCCGGGTTCAAGCGATTCTCCTGCCTCAGCCTCCCGAGTAGCTGGGATTACAGGCGCCTGCCACCACGCATGGCTAATTTTTGTATTTTTAGTAGAGACTGGGTTTCACCATGTTGGCCAGGCTGGTCTCATACTCCTGATCTCAGGTGATCCGCCTGCCTCCGCCCTCCAAAGTGCTGGGATTACAGGCGTGAGCCACAGTGCCTGGCCGAGGAATGTTTTATATAATAGTCCCACTTGTAGGATATTTGTTAGAAAGAGAGTCACATGATACATTTTTATCACTCTTATCTGCTACTTAGAGATTTGGCACCTATAGCAAGGTGATAAATACGCCCCAAGGGTGCAACTGGAAAATGTGGTTAACCCGATGCAGGAGTCTGAGTGGAACTCTGAACAGGATGAGACAAGCCGGCAGTGACCTGTTGAGCCCTTGGACCCCAGAATTTCTCGGGTTATTGTTTCTCCGAACAGCCACTCAGAAGAGATTCTTTGAGTTGATGCAAAAATCTCAAAACTTACTGTGTGACTTTGTGGTAGAAAAGAAAAAATGCAATTTGGATCCAGATTACAAACTTGATTGTGAAAAACAAAAACAAAAACAGATAGTCCTTATGATTTTGGAATGATACAGTTAAGGGTGGTGTAGGAGATCAAATAAATTATCCTTTAACATCCAGACTATAAGATTTTGACTTCTACCTACCCAAAGCACTTGGGTCAGTATACGTTTTAGTGCACTGATGCATCCACTTGCCCGTGTGAATGCATTAAGGACAGGATATCGTATTCTTCTAAGCAAAAAGATTGCAGCATACTCTACGCACAGCACTGGGTAGAAATCCCACTATTCCACTTCGTAGCAATGCGACTTTAAACATGTTTTCAAACCTGTGTGAGCCTTAGTTCATCTGTCTGTAAAATGGTGATAATAGTAGTACTCACCTCAAAGGTTGTTGTAAGGATTACATGAGTAAAGTGAAAGTTTTGATTTAGGGGAAAAGAGGCAGAACATGAAGTACTAATTTAAAGAAATATTCAGGTAAAGCCTATGAGATTAAGTAGTCACGAATGGTTAATACTTCCATGCAGTGCCATCTAATAGGGCTTCACTATGATGATGCAAAGGCATGAGAATGATATAATGGACTCTGGGGACTCAAGGGGAAGGTTGGGAGGGGGGTGAGCGGTAAAAGACTACATATTAGGTGTAGTATATCCTGCTTAGGTGATGGCTGTGGTGCACTAAAATCTCAGAAATTACCACTAAAGAACCTATCCGTGTAACCAAAACCACCTGTACCCCAAAAACTATTGAAATTAAATAAATAAATAAATAGGGTTCACTGCCAAGCAAATAGAAAGCATTCTATAAATGTTAATTATAGAAAGTGTTCTATTTAAGTGTTAATTATTATAATAATCATGATTGCTGGTGTGGAATTAAGAAAAAGGCAAGGGCTGCATCTTTAGAAATGCTTTAATTCATGTAAAGTGCTTAAAACAGTGCCTGTGTGCATGTGTGCTTCATAAATGCTAGTCGTTGTTATTATAAGAGTTACTATGATCATGCTAGTGCTCATCCTTACCTGACTTCTGGAGTACCCATCATATTCAATATTCCAAAAGATAAACACAATACTATTTGTTGGATATTTATCTTTTAAGGCAACTATTAAACCATTGGAATGGTGATTTTCTGAGAGATTCTTCTTTTTTAAACCATTGACAACTTTATTCTGCTATTGAGATTTTTTTTCAGAGCCAACATTTCTTTCATTTATAATTCTACTTTGGAAATGCAAATGTTATCCATTTTTCCAATGCATAGTTTCAACTTACTAGTTAGCTCTGTAAATATCATTTATGAGACTGACCCATGTTAGATCTTTGCTATGGTCTGTGGTTTGCAATAATTGTCATTCTCAGTTCCCTTAAGTACTAAATAGGAGAAAAGACAGTAGAATGTTAAATCAGGACAGGGGTCTTTGGAGGTCACTCTGTCCAGCATCCTGATTTTTTAGATAAGGAGACATGACTTGTCCAGTGTCACCTAGCAGCTCAGAGGCAAATCCAGGACAACATTCTTAAAGGTCATACATTGACCCTCTGTTAAATAAGTGAACACATAAGTATATCCATTAATTTCAGATTGTTTTAAGAATAAAAATCAAAGTTATATAAGGTTCCTGAATAAATCTCATAGCAGGAGGGAGACCATGTGATAAAACCTTCAAAAAAATGGAATATATTGTCTGGTTGCTTCCTGAATTGTACAGGTTACTATTTCATTTCTGAATATGGCCTCAAATAAATTGAAAAGTACATCCCTTAAATCCTTGTCAAGTGCAAGGTCTGTGTCATAAATGCTTTCAATATTGAGGGGGAACAGGACAAAAATTTAAGGAAAAGAATTTATGCAAAAGATTGAATCAATGCTTTTTTTGGATAAGCAAAGCAATCTGTGTGATAATTCTACTTTCCTCCTCCCCTTTGTGAAGCTGGGTGGGGGTGGGAGGATTAGCAAGAAGGGAGGGGCCTAATTTATGGCGAGAGTGAGAACTCTTTTCAAGCCTGTGGGCAGAAAACACCGCTGCACCTCCCTCCCGGCTGGAACCTGCTCTCTGTGATCTGGGACTCCTCCGGGTCTCTGTTTGCCTAATTGCAACTTGTGCTTATGCCCTCCAGTTCTCACTGGCCCCTTTGATGCTTTTCAGCAAGTCCTCTGAAAGCAGCAGGACAAAATGGGAAGGTAAGCAATCCTTTCACATAAAAGAGGGCAGCAAAACCCAGGTGGAGGTCCCTGCTGAGATGCTCCCTTCCAAGGCTGTGACCACACAGCCTAAGCAAACACTGTGACTAGTGCCAGCAAATGAAATTTACAGCCCTCTTAACCTGCAAGCCACAGCCAGCATCTCACTCCACTCTCCAAAATAAATTCAACGTGGCTATTTTAGAAAACATACTTATCCCAGGTTTTCCTTTTGGGCATCTAAGGACTGAATTAGATGGTCTCCATCTCTAACTACATCCCCATTCTGGAGACTTTAAAAAAAAAAAATTGCTTTGTTTATTTATGTGTTCATCTCATGTTTATCAGTTCAGCAGTTCACAGTTTTTATTCTGTTATATAACAAAGGAGCCTAACAAAGGATCACAATAGGAAAAATAATTTACCCCACATGGTTACAATGAAGAGAATTTAATTAAAGGAATTGTTACAAAGTGTGGGCAGCATTGAGGGAACTGACACAAGATGTTGAGCCACTCAAAGACTAGCAACTGGTGGAAGCCGTTACTACCCACTTAGGCCTACCTAAATGGGCAATGGGAAGATAATGTTAATGGAGCCCAGTGAGCTCTAGAGCCTCGGAGGAAGGGCATCCTGCAGAGATGTTGTTCTCAGTCTTGTCTACTCATTGGAATATCAGGGAAACATACTAACAGCTGGGTTCCACGTCCTAGAGATTTTGACGTAATGACTTTTTTTTGTGGTCATCAAGACACAGTCATAGAAAGACACAGTCACTGACTAAGAGACAGTGGCAAAGCTAGGAACAAACAGGAAAGAAATACCCTGACCTTCCTCTCCTACTCTCTGATATCCTGCTGATGCCTCCAATTAGAAGCCAGACTATGAGGGAGCTGGGGGAATGCACTCTGCATGGATCAACCTCCTGTAGTCTATGTAGTGGGGAAAATGGGTGAATAACCAGCACAGAGCTCACAATAAACCCCACAAACAGCCTCTGTCCCTCCCACACACAACCCCAGGAATTAGAAGGAAGGGCAGACTGGCACTTTCTCATTAAGGTAACTCACTCATGCCATCTTGGCATTGAGCTGGGCACTTTTAGGTGGAATGACCTCCCGAAGGGCTAACCCCATCTGGCACCTCTTGACAACGTTCCTTCTTAATATCAGTGGCTCTCCTGCTGCTGGCCAAGCAGGACCCCAAGGTCCACTGGGATGTACATACTTATGGTATTATGCTCTGCAATACTTGTGGGGGCTGTGGAATGCACACTTCCAAAGTGAAATAGGACATTGGAGGTTTTATATATAAATATATATATATATATTTATATATATATTTATATATATATATTTATATATATTTATATATATTTATATATATATTTATATATATATAAATATATATAAATATATAAATATATATAAATATATATTTATACATAAATATATAAATATATAATATATATAAATATATATTATACATAAATATATAAATATATATAAATATATATAAATATATATTTATACATAAATATATAAATATATATATATATAAATATATATAAATATATATTTATATATTAATATATATAAATATATTACTATGTATATTTATATATATTTATATAAATATATATAAATATATGTAAATATATATATAAAAATATATATTAATATATAAAAATATATATATAAATATATATAAATATATATATAAATATATATAAATATATATATATAAATATATATAAATATATATATAAATATATATAAATATATATATAAATATATATAAATATATATATATAAATATATATAAATATATATATAAATATATATAAATATATATATAAATATAAATATATATAAATATATAAAAATATATATATAAATATAAATATATATAAATATATATGTATAAATATATATATAAATATAAATATATATAAATATATATATATAAATATATATATAAATATATATATATAAATATATATATAAATATATATAAATATATATATAAATATATATAAATATATATATATATATTTTTTTTTAATAGAGAGGATGAAGACCAAAGCAGTGAGTTCCACCTAAGCTGGCCCTTGCCTTTTGTCTAACAGGAAACCCAGTCCTTCCTAATGGGCACAGAATTTTCAGAGAAGAGAGCAGAAGTTGAGTTGGCATACCTACTGTAGTGAGGGATTTTGAACAATGAGCTGTACATTCCTATATGGGAGCCAAACTTTTAGTTAAATAGTAATACAAAAATGCTGATGTGGATGCCACGGCTTCCTCCTTTCACACAGAAGATGGGCAGTGACTACACATTTAGGTTCACCTTGCATGAAGCCACGCTATAGTTTCTAATAAGGTATTATTAGTATTCACTAGCCATTCTCCAAGGGTTGGCTTCAAATGAGATCAGTAAAGCAGAAGCAAATCACCCACGGGTTCTTTCACAGTTTCTTTCACCCTAAGCCTCTCATTTCACTAGACAACTGTAGGAAGAAAAACGAGATCCCTGAAGGGCAGCAACTTTTCATAAACTGCACTTGCAGTTTTGCCAATGCACATATCTGTGGGCTCATTGCACAGGCAGCGCTTATATCTATGGGCACATTTCACATTGTAGATTTCTTGTCCTTTCTGATTTTCTCCCCGATCACACTGATACAGGCCACTTCCAGTGCCTCTGTAAAGCTCCAAGGGGTAAAGGAGGGCAGGGGTGAGGAGTAAAGGAACGATTCTTACAGGTGTTGTGAACACGACTATTTTATATCAAATGCTTCTAATTGAATAGTTTAACTTAAAAACATGTATCACAAATACAGTTTGACCAACTGTAACAATATCAAAGCATATTGAACAGGAAGTGAAAGTCTTTGGGTGTGGATAGAGATTTCCAGAAAAATATAGTTACATAAATGTGAGTTTCCAAATTGTAAAGAAGAAAAAAGACATATCTGGCTTAATATATATAACATTAATATCATGCATAGAGATTCTATTAATAACATTTGTCAGCCACTATTGCTAAGAGCTTTACATCCATTTTATCCTCACATCAATACTATTAAAGAGGAACTATTATTATCTTCATACGATAGATGAAAAAACAAAGGCTGTAAGAGTTTAAGAAACTTGTCCAAAATCATGTAGCTAGAAAGCGGCCAAGCCAGGATTCAGACCTTGGTTAACCCACTTACAAACTCTAAACTCACTTCTCCATTGTTAAACTTGACTAGTGCATTGGCTTACAATGAAGTTTGCCATATTCTTCCCTCAAATCTGTATTTTTAATAAGTTGCTAGGTGATTTTTATGGTCAGGAGAAGTGGGGCCATACTACATGATGTAGGCTATTTCCTGAGTATAGATAATTTCTTTCTTTTCCCTTAGGTGTCCATTTTCTAAAATGTGGATGAGAACACTCTCTATGTGTCCTGCAAAATTTAAAAAGTTTCCATTTTAAAATATGTTTTATAAATACTAAATAACATGTCCTTTTCTTGCTGCCTAAGACATGATTATTGGTATGAAAATGCTATGAGAAGTCCTATAGTAAAGACATTTTTGTCCAGAGAATCTGACTTTTGTCTTTCTCCAGAGAAAGCAACCTGACTTTTGTCTTTTACCAAATAATATCTGTTTGTGTATCCTTCAGTTGTGCCCTTTGGAGAGGGCTATTTCTCCATGTAACTTCATGCAGTTACAAGTCCTATGATAGCTTTATATGGATTTATAAATCAGTAAATTTTTTTATACTGTAAAACTTTAATTTTAAGATTTCAATGTTTTTATTCATTTTGAACATATAGGGTAATAATATCTTCTGAAGCCAGGCAAATCTACTATTAAATTTTGCTTTCTATAAAAACATAGTTGTTAGATAACTAATACTGTGCGAACAAATTTCTTTTCCCTATAGAGAAATAGTGAGTGTTGAACCGACGGACCTTGTCTTTAGAATAAAAAGACTTATAAACACTTGTAGGCCAGCTCCATGAGAATATGCCAGCTGGAGGAATTTTAGTGCTTCTAAAGATAACTGAGAAAGCAGTGGCTCTGAAGGTTACCTTTTTCTGCTAATGGATGTTTAGATCTAAAATCCCAGTTTGCTTTAAAAAAAACAGTAGTATGTTAAGAAGGTTTCTAGACCTGTGCTATCAGTGTCAATGTAAGTCTTATAAGTTCCCTATGAGAATGTTAAATCACAAGGGCTTAGGGTATATAGGAGTTAAGTGATGCTTTCAGTTGATGTTGAATTTCATGGTGACTCCAGAGTCACATAATATAGGAGCTTCCAAGCTTGACAAATTGCTCATATATACGTAGGCAGAAGTGGCTGATCACTACAGTGCTGGTCCTGGGCCTGTTTGGTTTGTGTCCATTCTTGTCTTTCCCCTACTATGCTGTATCACAGGGGAACATACCTCCCACAGGCTGCATTTCCCAGCCTCCCATGTCTGACTGCTAACAGTTGGGTCAATGGTAGGCATTGTCAGGAGATTAGAGGGCAGAAGAAAGGAGAAGCCAGGGAATTTCTGCCTTGGCAACGTCTCTGCCTCCATGATGCTATCTCCTGCCAGAGAAGCCTACCAAGGTTCCAGCTTACTCCATGTAACCCTGGTCCCTGTGCTCTGGTGATGCTACCTCTTCTGTGTGCCCTTTGTGGTTTCCTGCCTTTGGTAATCCCTAGGTTGACTCACTGCTACTTATTTGGCTTTTTTTTTTCTCTCCTATTACCTATAAACCAACACCCTGTGTTAAATTCCCTTAAGTTACTCATTGGTTTGTGTTCTCCTGGTTGAACCCTGATTAATGAAATTTCCATTTAAATACCAAACGTTTCCTGGAGTTCGTTATTCTAGTGGAATAACAAACAACCAGCTCCATGAATTGATGGCTTTTCAGAATTTATTGTCTCCACAATATTTGTTTCAAATCCTCTTTTAATAATCACTATTTTAAAACTTAATTACTACTACTATTGATAATAATAAATGTACCCTTAAATGTATTATATACCAGATTTGGATTTGCATCTGTGTGTCATATGCTCTTAGTTCAACTCTTTCTTTATTGCTCACCTGAAATAAAGCTTCTTTTGCCAGTTCTATTTAATTAAAGATTATCCTGTGATGAGAATGCAAGCCTAGGTTCTGCCTTGATTTATATGGCACTGCTTTTTCTTCAAACACTAAGTGATTTGTAGCAAGTTCTCAAAAAGATGTGCTTGCAACTTTCATTTTCTAAGGAACTGGAAGGCAGCCATAATTTTCTCTTTGAAAGTTCCACCTCTGTTAGAGTATGTATAGAGGTCAAGTTCCAAAAATAGCTTCATAATGTCTGACTCCCCTTTAATGCAGTTTGATTAATCTTTGTGTAGGATTCCTGGCAAATGATAGGCACAAAATGACTATATATGAAATGAATAAATGAATGAACAAATAAGTGAATATAGCAACTGTCTCTCCATAGTTATGCATACAATTAGCTATTTTTTGACTCAAAATTAACCAGGAAAAACTTAAGTTATCCTTCCACAAGGTGAACTTAACTGGATGTGTCTTGGTTTGAAATACCAGCAACCAGCTGCATACTGTAGGAGCTATCAGAGCAAAACTCAGGTGTTGACACTAAAGATTAATGAACCACCTTTAGTTAATTGATCACATCCAAAGTGCACTCCCTTCAGCCTTTTGTCTGTCAGTTGGCAGAGGGTCCAGCAGGTAGACACACTCCATTGCTCACTGAAATTAAAATTTAGGTAATTTAACCTTCTCAATGCTATAGATGATGATTTTTTTAAGTTGCAGTGGAAACAACAGAGCAATTTCTGGGTGAGTAGGTCTTCTTGGTGATTCATAATTTAGTAGATGACATGTTCAAATTTATTAAGTTGGCCTGAGCATAAAATTGTCCAGGAGAACAACAGTTAATCTACAATGCTGCAGAGGTATCTTTCAGGAACAATACAATCCCCACTACTATTACATATTGGGCTTTTTAATTTTAGGCTTGCAGGTAAAGAGTGAGCTTTTCAGTGTTTGCTTTTCAATGATATACACGTGCAGGAGTAACAATTCTAGTTTTTGAATGTGGGTAGGAAGGCATGCCTGAGTGTTTATCCGGGGAGTAAGCAATTTTGTACATAGAATGTAAGTTGGATAAATATGCATTTGCTTTAGGTTAAGGTGTTAATGCAACCTTGTCAAGAAGAATAAATCTGAAAAGTGGTTAAATCAAAGCTATTTGATTTTAAAGAATAAAAGTACCATCTTTCAAACGATATTATCTTTGTCTAACAGTAATTTTCCCCCCTGCCTGTAATTTCAGAGCTCTGTGATGTGGAAGCTGTCAATGTTACGTAACTGAGAGCAATCTGACTTCTGTCATTGTGTGCATTCCTCAAGGATCGTGTTTAGGTGGCCCTACTTGATGCTTTTCTAAAAAGCCCCATTCTACTTCTAAGTAAATACTGAGTTCCTGGAGAAACCTGATGAAAGAAGGCATAATTTTGATAGCTGCTTTGTAAATAGTAGGAATAAGTATGTGGCATTATTTTCTTTGAGGGAGAAGAAACTTTTTATTTGGGTGCGATTCATATGAGAACATACTTACTGTAGATTTTGAACCTTGATACTGGCAGTGTGGATTGGCCTGTAAATTGATGCTTTTGTTTCTGGCTGAGGAACTGCAAATATGCCAGGTGACATTCTCTTTGAAGTGTAAATGTTGTTTCAGTTGAATTTTTTTTCTAGTACACTTGGAAAGTGAGTTTCATGCCTATGAAAGAGTCTGGATTCTAATAAACATTATTCCTAGACACAGGAAAGTTGCTATAAGCGATGGGATTTTGAATTCTACATGGATTCCTGTTTAACAGGTGACTTCACACCTTAACCTTGACCAGCCTTCTATCTACATCTGCCATGTTGATTTCTTTTGTATATTCATTTCTTGTTACTTCCAGCGGTAATTACATTTCTAGGATATATTGGTGTATTTTGGTTGTCTCCAAGTCCCCTTGGATTCTGAGGCCACCATTGTCCTTTCTAGACAAATGGAATGGCTTAAGCCTCCACACAGTGCACTTTGGGAGGTCCTGGATTGTACTTGACATTTCCAAGGTGTCTAAAAAGTCTGATATTGTGGTGTCACCTCTTTCTCCAAATTCCTGCTCCCAGTTTCATCTTTAATGACCGATGGTCACTTTCTGCCCTATCTTGCACCATCTGCCTTTAAGACACCCCTAAGGCTTATACCTCAATCACAACTGATTTTTCCTCAAAGTTCAGTGAAGGAGAGGGCAATAGAGTGAAGAATTTGTTGCTGTCATCCAAATATAAAACAGGAAACACATTATATTTTAATATAAAAGCATTATTCCTAGAAACATATTAGCCATTCTCTGCCAAAAGGACATTATCACTGACCTTATACTTTATTAGGCCCCCAAACCCAACCATCTTGAGAGGGTTCCATCTCTCTCCCATATCTTTTTCTTTTTTCTTTCTTTCTTTTTTTTTTTAAGAGACAAGTTCTCTCTTTATTGCCCAGGCTGGAATACAGTGGTGCAATCATGGTTCACTGCAGCCTTGAACTCCTTGGTTCAAGGGATCCTCCTGCCTCAGCCTTTTGAGTAGCTGGGACTGCAGGTGTGTGCCACCACACCTGGCTAATGTTTCTTATTTTTTGTGGAGACAGAATCTCAAACTCTGGAGCTCAAATGATTCTCTCACCTTGGCCTCCCAAAGTGCTGGGATTACAGACATGAGCCACCATGCCTGGCCTCCCATGTCTCCTGTTCCAGATTCTAGTTCCATACTATTGGCCACTACAATAAGAAAATCCTTGTTATTTTATTAAGCAGATGACTTGAGCTTTCAAATTCTATTCCAGCCTAGAGTCTAGGGCCCAACTTTGCATACTGGACTAGAATCATTAAGGTGTTTTCCCTTTTCCCAAATGCAAATGTCTTTACTTTCACAAATGGATCCTCAGTACCATCAGAAAATTTGAAATTGCTGTGTTTTCCTTTCAACATATTACAGATCACATTCTGATAGCTCCTCCTCAACTCAATAAAGTAAACATCATGGTTACAGGCAGTGTGTGGGTGGTATTGGTATGTCGAAAGTGGGTGCAGAATGAGACTGTATGTATTGCCATATTGAACTGGAGAAGCAAAATATGTTAAAGCACCTGGATATCTTTCTTTGCATATCTCTCCTGTGGTTCTTGGTCAAGGACTATCGTTGATACAGGACCAGCTATGTAAGCCGGAGGGCACAGTGCAAAATTAAAATGTGGGGCCCTTGTTCACAAATTATCAGGAACTCCAAAAGATCACAACAGAGCACTAAAAGGTCACAACAGAGCACCAAACCTTGAGTGGCCCTTTCTAAGCACAGGTCCTGTGCAATAGCACAGGTCACATACCCGTGAAGCCAGTCCTGTGTTGATGGTTGTTGTTGAGTGAGATTTTAATACATGTATATTTATAGTCTGAGATGCATTTGACTGCCACCTTTGGAGAAAATATGTGCTAGAGTAGAAAAAATAATTTGAATGGCAGTAACAAAAGATTGGTTGCCTTGAGAAGAACATTCTTTTGTATCCGTTAGAGTTTCATCAGAGAAACAGAAACTTCTCTAGAGTTTAAGTTGGAAGGGGTTTTATATATCAATGAAGTATTTCTAAAACTGTTGGAAGTGTTAGAGGATCAAAGCTCAAGGAAAGCCGTCATTAGCTTTCAGAGACCCTGGAAAGTGTAGGAAACCCACAAAATCATTAGTGATGTCCAGGCTTCCTGCAGTGCTGTGAAAGGTGATTTTCACCAAAGCCGTGGCGCTGCCTATTCCTGCACAGGAGCAATGGGTTGCTGTCAACCTCTCTCCCTCTTTCTTTATCTTGCATAAATCTTCTTGTTGATGAAATTTAAAATGGTAAATAAGCATTTAAGGGGATCTGACTGCTACAGCTAGATGGGAAAGCCAAACCCCTTTTCTCAACAAGGAATAATTTGAAGAAATTGGATTCTTCATTGTTGGTAAAGTAGTATCTGCCATTTGCATAAATATCTAAATTGTAGAGAGCAGCCATTATTAGTTAAAGTAAATGCTACATGCTATAATAGATAAACACTAAAATCTCAATAGCTTAATACAATGAGATTTTATGTCTCGTTCACCTCAAATTTAAAGAGCAGCTGGGAAGACGGCAGTAACTGCACCATACAACCATTCAGGAACCAGGGCTCATGGAGGCTCTGCTATTTTTTAAGCTTTTATTTTAGTTCAGGGGTACATGTGCAAGTTTGTCATATAGGTAGACTTGTATCATGGGAGTTTGCTGTACAGATTATTTTGTCACCCAGGTATTAAGCCTAGTGCCCATTGGTGATTTTTCCTGATCTCTTTCTCTTCTCACACTCTACCCTCCGATATGCCACAGTGTGTGTTGTTTCTCTCTTTGTGTCCATGTATTCTCATCATTTAGCTCCCACTTATAAGTGAGAATATGTGGTATTTATTTTCTGTTCCTGTGTTAGTTTGCTAAGGATAATGGCCTCCAGCTCCATCCATGTCTCTGCAAAGAAAATGGTCTCATTTCTTTATGGCTGCATAGTATTCCATGGTGTATATATGACACATTATCCAGTCTATCATTGATGGGTATCTAGGTTGATTCTGTATCTTTGCTATCATGAATAGTGCTACAATGAACATATGCATGCATGTGTCTTTATGATAGAATGATTTGTATTCCTTTGGGTATATAACCAGTAATAGCACTGCTGAGTCAAAGGGAATTTCTGTCTTTAAGTCTTCGAGGAATCCCCACTCTGTCTTCCACAGTGGTTGAACTAATTTACACTTCCACTAACAGTGTACAAGTCTTCCTTTTTCTCCTCAACCTCACCAGGACCTATTATTTTTTTTTTGACTTTTTAATAATGTCCATCCTGACTGGCATGAGATGTATCTTATTGTGGTTTTAATTTGCATTTCCATAATGATCAGTGATGTTGAGGTTTTTTTCATATGATTGCTGGCCATGTGTATGCTTTCTTTTGAAAAGTGTCTGTTCATGTCCTTGCCCACTTTTTAATGGGGTTGTTTCGTTTATTTCTTGTAAATGTATTTAAGTTCCTTATAGATGCTGGATATTAGACCTTTGTGAGATGCATAGTTAGCAAAAATGTCCTCCCATACTGTAGGTTGTCTGTTCACTTTGTTGATAGATTCCTTTGCTGTGCAGAAGCTCTTTAGTTTAATTAGATCACATTTGTCAATTTTTGCTTTTGTTGCAATTGCTTTTAGTGTCTTCATCATGAAATCTTTGCCCATTCCTATGTCCTGAATGGTACTGGTATACTTGAAAGAGATAGGGGGAATGGAACCAACTTGGAAAACATATTTCAATAGATCAACCATGAGAATTTCCCCAACCTAGCTAGGAAGGCCAACAAATTCAGGAAATGTAGAGAACCCCAGTAAGATACTTCACAAGAACATCATCTCCAAAACACATAATCATCAGCTTCTCCAAGGCAGAAATGAAAGAAAAAAATGTTAAAGGCAGCTAAAGAGAAAGGTTAGGTCACCTATAAAGGGAAGCCCATTAGACTAACAGTGGACCGCTCGGCTGAAACTCAGCATACAAGCCAGAAGAGATTGAGGGCCAATATTTAACGTTCTTGAATAAAAGAAATTCCAACCCAGGATTTCATATATGGCCAAACTCAACTTCATAATTGAAGGAGAAATAAGATCCTTTTCAGACAAGTAAATGCTAAGGGAATTCAGTGTCACCAGACCTACCTTACAGGAGCTCCTGAAGGAAGCACTAAATATGGAAAGGAAAGACTATTATTAGCCATTACAAAAACACACTGAAGTACACAGGCCAGTGACATAATAAAATGACCACATAAACAAGTCTGAAAAATAACCAGCTAACAACATAATGACAGGATCAAATATATACATGTGAATACTAACCTTGAATATAAGTGGGCTAAATACCCCAAATGAAAAGCCACAGAGTGTCAATCTGGATAAAGAAAGAAGATCATAGATATGCTATCTTCAAGAGACCCATCTCACATGCAGTGACACAAACGGGTTCAAAATAAAAGGATGGAGAAAAATCTACCAAGCAAATGGAAAACAGAAAAAAGCTGGAGTTATAATCCCAGTTTCTGACAAAATGGACTTTAAACCAACAAAGATTAAAAAAGACCAAGAAGGGCATTACATAATGGTAAAGGGTTCAATTCAGGAAGAAGATCTAACTATGCTAAATATATATGCACCCGACACAGTAGCACCCAGATTCATAAAGCAAGTTCTTAGAGACCACAGAGATACTTAGAGTCCCACGCAGTAATATTGTGAGACTTTAGCACTCCACTGACAATATTCGACAGATCACTGAGACAAAATTAACAAAGATATTCAGATCTGAACTCATTACTGGATCAAATGAACCTGATAGACATCTACAGAACTCTCCACTCTGCCATTTTCAACTCATGGTTTCTGCAGTTGTTGTGAGCATTGACACTAGTTGGCAGAAAGGGAAAGAGGGAGAGTGGAGGATTTTATGGCAAATTTTTATGGGCTAAACCTCAGAGTGGCACTTGTCACTTTTTCCCACATTGCTATTGCCAAGTTCTGGTCATATGACCCCTTCTAATTGCAGAGGAGGCTAGGAAAATTAGCTACGTGCT
This sequence comes from Homo sapiens, assembly GCF_000001405.40. Classification (NCBI taxonomy): domain Eukaryota; kingdom Metazoa; phylum Chordata; class Mammalia; order Primates; family Hominidae; genus Homo; species Homo sapiens. Next base: position 14,872,410 of record NC_000020.11, read on the forward strand.
CAGGAGGGAAAAAAAGGGTAAACAGCTAGACAGTTTCTCTCACATGATGTCTGACAGGGATCCAGGTTGCCCTTCTACCATTTCAGTAATCAGAGAGTCATCATTCACGAGGGGAAAATGGCTAGTGGTATGAATAGCTTTTGGTATTTTATTAAACCTCTTTGCTTCTAAGTTTCTAGATCTGTAAAATGAGGGTAAGTGCATCTTATAGGATAATTTTGAGGATTTTAGATTTGACACAAGTAAAATGGTTTAGTGTAATACCTGAAAATTAGCAAAAAATATAGGAATATTACCCATTATCATTATTATTTTCATCACTAAGTGACTTAGTTTGTTTTCACACTGTGGTAAAGAACTGTCCGAGAACTGGGTAATTTATAAAGGAAAGGGGTTTAACTGACTCACAGTTCAGTATGGCTGGGGAGGCCTCAGGGAACTTACAATCATGGCTGAAGGGGAAGGGGAAGCAAGGTACCTTCTTTACAAGGCAGCAGGAAGGAGAATGAATGCAGGAGGAACTACCAAACACTTATGAAGCTATCAGATCTCCTGAGAACTCACTCACTATCATGAGAACAGCATAGGGGAAACTGCCCCCAAGATTCAGTTACCTCAACCTGGTCTCCCCCTTGACACATGAAGAATATGGAGATTACAATTCAAGATGAGATTTAGGTGGGAACACAAAGCCTGACAATATCACAAAAACTCTAAGAAAGGGTAGCATATTTGGAAATAAGTTAATATATCAAATGTGCTCAACGCATGCACAGAATGTAGTAAAAGTTCAATACATGTTTTTATCATCTAAACTTATTGAGTCTTCCTGGTATTATACTTACATTTATTATTATGACTTTCTACTCATAAGAACCCCTCAGATAAATTTCATTTTCTTTTATTAGGTTTCTTTTTAGAATATTGTCTGTCTGCAACTACAGTCACTTGGATACATCACTAGGTTTACATGTGTTTTAAGTCGACTTTTGCTAGATGTAGCTTGATCTTTGAGGCTCTGTGTAGGCCTTTATAAATTGCCCTTCATTTGTTTATTGAGAATTGAAATGAAAATGGAATGCTCCAGACTCAGATGATGGGATTTGAGGTGGAAAATCTCATTAATGCATAAACATGTAAATAAATCAGTTGTTTCTAAAAATTTATTCAGGGCCGGGTGCAATGGCTCACACCTGTAATCTCAGCACTTTGGGAAGCCGAGACAGGCAGATCACCTGAGGTCAGGAGTTCAAGACCAGCCTGGCTAACATAAACCCTGTCCCTACTAAAAATACAAAAATTAGCCAGGTGTGGTGGCGGGCCTCTCTAATCCCAGCTACTCAGGAGGCTGATGCAGGAGAATCGCTTGAACCCAGGAGGCAGGGGTTGCAGTGAGCTGAGACTGCGCCATTGCACTCCAGCCTGGGCACCAAGAACAAAACTCTGTCTCAAAATAAATAAGTAAATAAAAATAAAATAATAAAATACAAATTTATTCAGGATAGCATATTAAACATTGATTGATGTTGGTACTTTAACAGATAAGAACTATTTTAATTTTGTGTTCAATTGAGTCAACCCTAATTTGTTTAGAAACTTCTGGAATTGAATGCAATCTGTTAAAAGTAAAGACGTGTTAGGCCAGATAATAATATTGCTTTAAGCTTGCCTATCTCTAACACTTATTAGGAGAATATATTTATATCTGTCTTTTTAAAGTAAGTATTGAAACAGCTTTGTTTAATTCTCTTTTGGTAAGAAAGATTTCTTTCATAACATTTGCATAATTTTTAAAAAAATAATTGTACAAAAATCACAGAACCAGTAAAGAAATATCTGTGACTTGAGGGTCTCAGGAAGGCAGTATCAAATGGAGATTCATTTATTTATTTATTTATTTATTTATTTATTTATTGAGGTGCTGTCCTTTTTTAAGAGTGTATTTGTTCCTCTTTTTGTAAACTGCAGACAACTTGAACTGATGGTGAGGTCTGGTAAGAAAAAAAAAAAAAAAAATTCAAAGCTACCAAGGGAGAAAAGGTGAATTTCATTGGATTACTAAATTCACAAACAAACTTTATAGGTCATCATTGAACATTTTATTTATATTAGAATAAGCAAGCATTGAGCAAGATAGAAATAATTTTGCTTCAGGTTATCATCATTGTGAACTATCACAAGGTATAAGCACAGAAATGACAGAAGTTCTGGCACAGAACAAGGAATTTGCACATGGTCCAATAACATGAACAAAAAAGGTTGTATTTATTTATTTATTTATTTATTTATTTATTTATTTATTTATTTATTTTTGAGACAGAGTCTCACTCTGTTTCCCAGGCTGGAGTGCAGTGGTGCAATCTTGGCTCACTGCAGCCTCCACCTCCTGGGTTCAGATGATCCTCATGCCTCAGCCTTCTGAGTAGCTGGGATTACAGGTGTGCGCCACAACCCCTGGCTAATTTTTGTATTTTTAGTAGAGACAGGGTTTCACCATGTTGACCAGGCTGGTCTCAAACTCCTGGCCTCATATGATCTGCCTGCCTTGGCCTCCCAAAGTGCTGGGATTGCAGGCATGAGCCGCTGCACCTGGCCAAAGTTTCATATTTCTTGTGATGACACTGAATTTTTAGACAAAAGAGATATATTGACTTTGTGTGTTGATGGTTTCAATTTAGAAAAGACTATTTGGGCTGGGCGCAGTGGCTCATGCCTGTAATCCTAGCACTTTGGGAGGCTGAGGTGGGCGGATCACGAGGTCAGGAGTTCGAGACCAGCCTAGCCAACATAGTGAAACCCCATCTCTACTAAAAATACAAAAATTAGCCAGGCGTGGTGGCACGTGCCTGTAGTTCCAACTACTTGGGAGGCTGTGGCAGGAGAATAGCTTTAACCCAGGAGGTAGAAGATGCAGTGAGCCCAGACTGTGCCATTGCACTCCAGCCTTCTAGTCTGGGGGACAGAGTGAGACTCTGTCTCAAAAAAGACTATTTGGGAATTTGTTCATCAAAATTTATGCATCCACTTTATTTTCTCAAAGTTCCTCTTACTGGAAAGCATTTAAGTATTTTGATTCTTTTTAAAAATAATTTCAACTTTTATTTTAGATTTGGGGGGTTCGTTACATGGGCATATTGTGTGATGCTGAGGTTTGGGGTACATATTATCCCATCACCCAAGTAGTGAGCTTAGTACCCAATAGGTAGTTTTTCAGCCTTTACTCTTCTTTTTCTCCCCTCTCTAGTGGTCCCAATGTCTATTATTTCCATCTTTATGTCCATGTGTGCCCAGTGTTTGGCTCACACTTATAAGTTGGAACATGCAGTATTTTGTTTTCTGTTCTTGTGTTCATTCACTTAGGATAATGACCTCTAGTTGCATCCATGTTGCTAAAAAGGATATAATTTTATTCTTTTTCATGGAGGTATAGTATTCCATGATGTATATTTACCACGTTTTGTTTATTCAGTCATCTATTGATGGCCACGTAGATGGATTCCATGTCTTTGCTATTGTGAATAGAACTATGGTGAACTTTTTGGTATAACAATTATTGTCCTCTGGTTATATATCCAGTATTGGGATTGCTGGGTCAAATTGTAGTTCTGTTTTAAATTATTTGAGAAATTTTTAAACTGCTTTCTACAGTTTAGAAATTGATCTAATTTACACTCCCACCAACAAAGTATAAGCATTCTCTTTTCTCCACAGCCTCACCAACTTCTGTTCTGTTTTGACATTTTAGTAATAGTCATTCTGACTGGTGTGAAATGGTATCTCACTGTGGTTTTGATTTGCATTTCTGTAATAATTAGTGAGGGTGATCTTTTTTTCATATTTTTTGGCTGCTTTATGTCTTCTTTTGAGAAATGTCTGTTCATGTCCTCGTTTCACTTTTTAATAGGGTTGTTTTTTGCCTGTTCAGTTGTTTAAGTTACTTATAGATTGTGGATATTAAGTTTTTGTTTAATGCATACTTTGTGAATATTTTCTCCCATTCTGTAGGTTGTCTGTTTACTCTGTTGATAGCCTCTTTTGTTGTGCAGAGGTCTTTAGTTTAATTAGGTCCCACTTGTCAATTTTTGTTTTAGTAGCAATTGCTTTTGAGGACTTAGTCATGAATTCTTTGCCAAAGCCAATATTCAGAATGGTATTACCAAGGTTTTCTTCTAGGACTTATAGTTTGAGGTCTTACACTTAAATCTTTAATCCATCTTGAGTTACTTTTTGTATATGATGAAAGGTGGGAGTCTAGTTTCATTCTTGTGCATATGGCTAGCCACTTATCCCAGCACCATTTATTCGGTAGGGAATCCTTTCTCTTAATGGTTTTTGTCAACTTTGTTGTATGTCAAATGGTTGTAGGTGTGTGGCTGTGTTTCTGGGTTGTCTGTTTTGTTTCACTGGCCTATGCATCTGTTTTTGTACCAGTACCATGCTGTTTTGGTTACTGTGGTCTTACAATATACTTAAAAGTCAGGTAATGTGATGCCTCTGACTTTGTTCTTTTTGCTTAGGATTGCTTTGGCTATTCAGGCTCCTTTTTGGTTTTGTAAGAATTTTAGAATCAGTTTTTCTAATTCTGTGAAAAATGATGTTGATAATTTGTTAGGAATAGCAGTGACTGTGTTTGGGCAGAATGGCCATTTTAAGGATATATACTCTTCCAATCCATGAGCATGGAATGTTTTTCCATCTGTTTGTGTCATCTGTGATTACTTTCAGCAGGCTTTTGTAGTTCTCCTTGTAGGGATCTTTCACATTTTGGTTAGCTATTTTCCTAGGTATTTTATTTTTCAGGTGGCTATTTTAAGTAGGATTACATTCTTGATTTGGCTCTCAGGTTGAATATTATTAGTGTGTAGAAATGCTACTGATTTTTGTGCATTGATTTTATATCCTGAAACTTTGCTAAAGTCATTGTTCAATTCTAGGAGACTTTTGGTGGTGTTTTTAGTGTTTTCTAGGTATAGAATCTTACATCAGTGAAGAGAGACATTTTGACTTTTTTTTCCTATTTGGATGCCTTTTATTTCTTTCTCTTCCCTGATAGCTCTGGCTAGGACTTTCAATACTATGTTGAATAGGAGTGGTGAGAGAGGGCATCCTTGTCTTGTTCCTCTTCTTAAGGGGAATGCTTCCAGCTTTTGCCCATTTAGTGTGACATTGGCTGTGGGTTTGTCATAGATGGCTCTTGTTATTTTGGGGTATGTTCCTTCAATGCCTAGTTTCTTGAGGTTTTTTTGTTTTGTTTTGTTTTGTTTTATCGTGAAGGGATGTTGGATTCTATTGAAAGCTATTTTTGCATCTATTGAGAGGATCATATGGTTTTTGTTTTTAGTTCTGTTTGTGTGGTGAATCACATTTATTCATTTGCATATGTTGTACCACCCTTTCCTCCCTGGAATAAAGCCCATTTGATCATGGTGAATTAACTTTTCTGTATGCTGCTGGATTCAGTTTGCTAGCATTTTGATGAGGATTTTTGTGTCTACGTTCATCAGGGATATTGGCTTGTCGTTTTCTTTTCTCACTGTGTCTTTGCCAGAATTTGGTATCAGAGTGATGCTGGCTCCATAGAAGGAGTTAGGGAAGAGTCCCTTTTCCTCAAGTTTTTAGAATAGTTACACTGGCTCTTCTTTTGTACACAACTTTATAAACATACCTGTAAGCGTAATTTTGCAAAGATCTTTCATTCATCAAAGAGAATTCCTTTGTGAAGTAAAATGGTAAATAGTCTAAGCATCTTGCTTTCAACTTGACTCAGAGCCAAATGTGTGTAAGCATTGAGAGGGTTTGCCATTTTACATTCCTTAGTCTGAAGAAGGGAAGAAAGAGAACATCCTTAAACCCTAAAAATATTACTTGGCCTGTATGGCATTTGTACGCAAAGGTAGAATCTGAGACCTTGCATAAGATTTACTGGAAATGCTACATCTCCATGAAAGACTACATCAAGAGTGTCAAAGCATGATTAGTTGGGGCACATTCATATTTTTTTGTTAGGGAGTCTATGTCCTCTCTTTTATGTATTGTTTGACGTCAGATGCCTTTAAAGTAAAACTATAAGAATTATTAGTCATTTGATGAGAAGTAATAAATGTTATATAGAGAAACATTACAAAATAGAGATAGACTCAGGATAGGGGACCATAGAGCATACAACCATGAACACATATCATTTGCTTAAATTAGTTAAAACACAAAAGCAAAATATTTGAAATAGTCAAAAGAACATTTTCAATTCTACCTAATAATTTATTGGATGAATTCTTTTATTTTTTTAAATAGTTTACTGGCCGAGTTGATAATATGATCTATCCTAGTTATTAACCAGCAGAATTTTAATTTAGTTTTCAAGGTTCTCCATGGTCTAAACTCAACATGCCCTTCCAGGCTCAAATTACACTCTTCCAGTTCAAAGGCCCATCTGAAATGGGCTGCTTCTATTATGTTGCCCAGGCTTTCTTATCTCTAGCTCTTTGCCCTGATACCTTTGTCTTTCTACTTGGAGTACCTATTCTTTCCATCTTTAATACCCCACCTTCATTAAATGACCCTTTCTAATTACTTCCTGCATGCTTCAGCCAGATGTAATCTCTTCTCTCTGATTATCACATAACACTATTTTGTGCTTCTGTGGTTTTCACCTTACTCATCTCTGTTGTACTGACAAATGGACTGTGAGCTCCGTATTTTTTATCTTCACCCTTATGCATTGCGTAATTAAAACCTTGTACACAGTACAGGTTCAGCAAACACACACTGAATAAATTAATAAGTAGGTGAATAGTTTTGTTGTTTACATTCACTAACAACCCATTCTGATTCATGTTTACATGGACAGAAAAAGAATGAGTTGATTATTAACTAAATTTAATGTATGTCATCTGTATACCTAAATTCTTTGGGTTAATATTAAAAAAGTATTCTTCCAAGTTAGCATGAATTTGACCTATCTTTTAGAGTGTTCAGATTGGTTCACTCATGTTGACATTAGTCAGTTTTGAAATTCAGACATAAAGGTATACACATATAGATTTGACATTTGAGATTAACTTACTTTTTTCCAGTTAGATTATGGAAGAGATAAACAATGACTCAGAGGAAAATGGAGAGGCTATAGAGGTGAAATACTGTAATAATGTGGCTAAACTTGCTTGAGAGAAGATGAGACATAAGCCTGCTTTGTTAGTCCTTTCATAGAGAAATGACTCAGCACTGTTAGAGAATATGATGAGGTTACATTGTTCTTTCATCACAAACTGTTGAGTTAATGGTGGCATATATAGAGTATAGCTCTGATTCATAAGACAATTGGTCATTGTGCTTCTCTCTTTTTATTTTTTAAAGCAAATTAGTGCTTTAAAAGAGCATAGTAATCTGGTTCTTTTCATGAAAACTGATGATTAAAAACAAACTACGAAAATAATTTTAAATACACCTGGGTTTCCAAATGGACAGAGGTTGTTGAAAGTCATTTTTAAGTTCCTTCAAAGCTACAAAGTCTATGTGTTTCTCAAATTATCTTTTGCAAATCTTAGTAGGAATTAAACTTGTGCAAATCCAACCCCTGGCTCTTTTTAGCCTCGTGAGAGCAGAGTATGCATCGTGCTTTCGTTTTGGATGAGAAATATACAAACTGTGTGTTGACTGGTGGAAAGCAGAACAATGGATCTCAGCAAATTGTATCATGCCCAGCTCTGACTTGAGACGCAGAATCAATTCATTTTCAGTGTCATGACAGGATCTGAGATAGAAGTGAGTCTCTTGTTGCCATCATGAGAAAAGATACGTATGTCCACAGTTTTGGGGAGAGGGAGCATGGGAGCTGGGTGCTTCACTGCCAACACAGCCTCTGATCACCTGATATGTTACAAAATCAATTTTATCTTCTGCTGCATTTCATGTGACAATTCAAAGAGCAACATTTGTTTTTCTACTCTTTACATTCTCAACTTCCATGGAGGCATAATTGCCATGAGTTAAAGCTAGGAGGAGAGTGATCACTGCACACTGATTTGGATATAAAATCTATGGCCATTTGAAAGGGAAACCTTCAAGAGCCCACGTAATAAATCCCCGAGGAACTTAAGAGAGATGAACTGTACCTAATTGCATCTGACATGGCTAAAACACAGGGACCTCTCTAAAGAGTGTGAGGGCAGGTCCCCAAATCCTCTGCTCAGCACTATTCAAGGTTCAGAAGAATTCATGCATTTAGCTTATCTACAGCTATGTGGCAAAACACCCTTCAGCTGCAGTCAGCCTCCCTCTAATGACCAATGAGGAGAGGCCAAAAATTAAAGTTGTATAATCAGAGATTTTAAAGACAAACTGAAAAGAACTGGTGGAACCGTCTAACTTATGCCTTGGAATGGCATGCATTATTTTGTATATGATTTTGGGCCTCAGAACACAAACACAACTCCCTCCACAAAGGGGATGAGTTTGCTGGGCCAGAGTGGCCTCTTGTTGCTGGGAGCTACTGCCGCCCAGCGTGGGCAGCTGCAATCACAGTGCCCCTATCCCTGCCTGAGTGGTCCTGGAGGGTTGGAGAGCTGCGTGACTCCTCAAGACCTTTGTCACTAGCCTGTGTAATGCCTGTGCATGAGTCCTTGAAAGCAAATCCCCCAATTAGGGCCTACATGGCCTACCCTGAGGAGGGAAGAGGTGCAATACATGTTGCTTTTAACAATTCTTCATCAGGAATGAGAGGATGTTGCAATGGAAAGGAAAATATTAATTCCTGCTAGGCCCTTGTCAGTGGGATCTTCTCCCATTCTCTTCCTGCTGGAATTACAGATCCATAGGTTTTGGAGCCAGTCAGCCTGGGTTCTTTCATGCATTCCCTTCTTCTGGTGGGCTTGACCATACTAGATATCAAATACTGTGACTCAAAGTTCTACCACCTCTGTTGACTTAAAGGTCAAACCTAGAACAAGCCTTGGTCTCTAGGTCTAAGAGGCAAAATAAAAGCTGGTGAACCTTCTTACTGACAAGGCACTTGACTTCCCTGTGCCTCAGACTTCAAATCTATAAAACGAGACTCACTGTTCTTATCTCTGAGGTTTATTGCTTGGAATTGAATGGGGTAATTCATAAATTCCCTAGCCTGGCACCCCACACACGGCCTCTTCAAGAAGTTTCGGGGTAGCTCTCTTGCCAGTCAGCTGAGAAAACCAAGCAGTGAGAAGAGGGTCATATATTGACTTGGTTTTCATGCTGACAGGCTTTGGCATCTCCTCAAGCTTGTCCATACTCTACAGTGGCATTAAGAGAGTAGTGTCCTGCACTTGTGTTTGAGCACTGTGGAACATTCCTCAGGAGTTCTGGCTGAGATGCATGTGCCCCACCTTTTCCCAGAACCAGGGCCCTCTAAGTCTAAGTCAATAAAGGGACCAGGGGAAGTTCCTGGAAATTCTGATCCAATTCAAGTCCCTGCTACCTAGGTTTACCTCTTGCCTGGCCTGTCTCCCCCTAATTTCTCAGGAGTAGACTTCTATTTGTATAGTGTTTATATGGGCCAACATTTGCATATGTTCACGCATGTTATCTTCACAGCAATTCTAAAAAGACAATTAACTCTTGTTATGTCTGTTTATAAAAGAGGAAATTGAGGCACAGAAATGTCAAGTCACATGAACAAATCCCTACAGGAACCATCTTTAATAAGTGTCAAAGTAAGGAGTCAAGCTCAGGCAGTCATGCCCTTATCCCACAAATTTTGAGATTCTGCCATAGCCAGGTTTATGCCTTGCTTCTCACTTGTGATGGACTTTCCAGAGCTTGGCCCAGTCACTGAAACATGGCAAACATTGTCAATATTTGATGAGTAAAGACATGAATGAATGATGCTTTTGCAACTATCCCATTCCCTGTGCACTCACTGAATTTTTCTTCCCCTTTTTATCATCGCAGTGTTTGAAAATTTTACTTCCTTATTTTACTAGATATATCTTTGTCTTTACATGTGTCATCTCTCAACCAGATGTAAAAGGTACTTCCCTGAAGGGAAGAAGCATGTTTTATACCTGTTATGTAACCTCCGTAAGAATAGCTGAATACTCAGTTTGTGACACACAAAAACCCTAAAATAACTATCTAAATAGATTGGGAAGTTGGGTTGTTGAGATACAGAAGATTTACTCTTCTTCCCAACTCATCCCTTCTCTTTGCTCCTTCCAATAAAATGCTATTTGGTTGAATAGTTTAAAGATGGAAAACCATTTAAGGTTAAAACAGATGAATAAGATCATTCTAAAGAAGCAGAAAGGCGTTCAGACCGTTAAGTTGAATAGATCAGAGTACGGCATTGATTCTGGCTGTAAGATTTCAGGTCACCAAAGGAAATATGTTGGATTGCATTATCTCCATTTTTTTTAAAAATAAAGTTTAGATCGCTCCCTGAAGATAAAATTACTCTTGGAACTATATTCAAGAAGGACTTAAGTATGTAGACCTTATGTAACAGATGTAAGAAACAATTCCACCAATGCTGATATTATGGAGACACCAACATGCCCTCTTACATAAGCCATAAAAGTGGTGAGAATGGCCACATTTTTGTGATGGGGTGTTTGGAATTAATTCATCTTCATGAAACAGAGGCCACATCATATTCTTGGTCATGAGTAATGATGGTAATACTGTTTCTCTTTCCTTTGAATCACTTACCTATCCATTGACCTAACATGTTTTAAATACCACAAAGGAGTAAGATTCTCTCTCATGTCTTTGGGTAGAGAAATATGCAACAACCCATTTCCTAAAAAGTCTGTAATTACATGTGGGAAATGCTGGTAATTAATAGCCTGAATGGGTGATTCTAAGTTAGATTCATGAAAAACCAAGAGACATATCTAACCTTTCTTAAGCTCCAGGGCACATGCATAATTTGAACATTATGTCTACAATGTGGGTGTATTTTCTTCCTTTTCAATGAAGACAGTGATTAGGATGATAATAGAAATAATACTTGGGTTTATAGAGCCTTTAGCTGAAGTCTACCTACATGGTTTCTGGCTCTGTGGTAAGCATGTCGGACTAATGTCAGCTTTTGAAGTGAATTTTTCATGCCTTTTTCCCTCTGGGCTTCCCCTTTCTCTAATAAAACTACTTTAATCCCATTCACATTCCAGTTCTGAATACTAGCACTTGAAATGAACTGTCTATATCTGACTCACTTAAAAAAAAAAGTAGTTTAAATAAAAACAAAGAGTTGTTTACTTTCCTTTCCTACCTGGCTGCATCTGTCACATGCATATAGTGTCCCCTGACATGAAGCTCTGATATTGATCTGGAGCCTTATTGATCTCCAACTTAATATAGGGACAATGTCTACCAATAACTTAGGCACTTCCAGAGAGGCTCACTCTGTCTTCTTTTGTTCACTTACAAAATGAAAAGAATGTCTTTACTAGAGTACCTATTAAAGGGTTCCAGTACACCCTACCACAAGCTCAACTTTGGAATCTGATAAAATATTTTTTAAGCAAGCTTCTGGTTTTGTTATATTAATTTGGGATTGGATTCCCTCCAGTGGTTCAAACAAAATGAAAGTATGATCTTTAAGTATGTAATATATTCTGTCAGTTCTCTGGTTAGTTTGGATCAGAATTAACTCCTTTCAGGATCATCCCAAAATAACAGTGTAACCCCATAGTAAAGCACACTCTCTTCTTTCCTGTGATATCCCATGGAGTAGGAATAATTAGGCAACCACAACTGCTTAACCCTGTGTGGTTTCACACAGAAAAATCATGACAATTTCTCTTCTTGTTGACTCTTTCTCATTTTTCTGGTTATCCATAGCTTTTAACAACAAACCACCCTAAAAGTTATTGGCTTAAAACAATTGCAATTATTTATTTGGTTCACAAATCTGCAGTTTGGGCAGGGCTCAGCAGAAAAGGCTTGACTGTGCTCCAGGTGGTGTGAGCTGTGGTGGCTCAAGTGGGCTGAAGTATCTATTTTCAAGATATCTTACCAACATGGCTGGTGCTGGCTGTTTCCTGGGAACTCTACTGGGTCTGTTGTATGGGGTCATTGATTCTTTGGATCCAAGATACCACAGCTAGAAACTGCCACTCTTTTTCAGTCTGGTACAGCATCACTTCTGCGATATTTTGTTGGACAAAGAAGTCACAAATTCTGCCCAAATTTAAGAGGAAGGGACATAGGACCTGTAAAGCAAAATAAAATGTTAAGCCCCCAACCAACTAAATGGATCCCCCTCACAACCAAGAGCATTCCAAAGTTAACCTGAAACATGAGTTCAGGCCATGATGGGAATGGATAGTCAGACATGCCTCATTATACCATCCTCCCTTTGGAATTGAGGCACAACTGACCAGCGTTAATATTGAAACAGAAACGTTAAAACAATCTGTTCTCTCTGAAGCCTGGAGGCTTCATCTGTGTAATAAAAACCTTGGTCTCCACAACCCTTTACTTTAACCCAGACACTCCCTTCTATTCATTCCAGGTATTTATCAAGAGCCCATCTAATTGCCAGTCAGAAAATCTTTGAATCCACCTATGACCTGAAAGCACTGATCCCCTACTGACCCAACTTCCATTTGTCCTGCCTTTCCAGGACATGGAACATACATCTTAATGTCAAAGGCATGTCCTTAACCTTGGCAAAGCAAACTTCTAAACTGATTGAGAACTGTCTCAGATACTTTTTGGTTTACAAACCCTACCTGTCATTGAGAGGAGTGTCAAAAAATTGGGCCATGTTTATACTACATGCTCTTTAATTAATATCTGTCTGATACTACTAATATCTGATACTATAGTTACCCAAGCCAGAAACTCAGTCATCACCTTTGACCCTTTCTTCTCTCTTATCTTTCTCTTCTTGACCCACCCTAGAAATACATGTAATCTTTATTGCATATAATTAATAATTCTGTGACTTAATCAGATATTATTGTATCATATACATAAATACCAATTACAAAGTCTTCTAATTGACCCTAGAATCTTCTGCTTCTCTTGAGTGCCATCACCTCTACTCTGGTACACACATCATCCCTCCTCTACCTACTAGCCAGTCTCTCTGCCTCCAGCCTTACCCCTTTTTACTCTAGTCATGATGATTTTATTTTTAGTTAGAAAGAATAACTGTCCTCTGATTATAATTTCTCAAACATCCTCTATTGCTGTAAGAGTAAAGTGCAAATTTGTTTGCCTGGCTTCCAAGGCCCTGCAGGATGGGGTCCCAGCCTCCTTCACTAGCCACACCTTGTTATCTCCTATTGAACCTTTGGCCCTTAGCCTTCAGCTTTACCAAAATCTTGATGTACTCCAAATCTCTTCCTTTGAAATGCTCTTTCCTGTTCCTCTTCCTTCTTACCATCCTCCATTCCCTTTGCTGGGATAATTCAGTCGCATTCTTTAGATTTCAAGTTAGTTTTCAATTGCTCACTTCCTCTGGGAAGAATTTTATGACCCTTCATTCATTTATTCATTCACAGAGTATTCATTGAGTATCTACAATGTGCCAGGCACTGTTCCAGGCCCTGGAGATACTACAGTGAGCAAAATAAATAAAAGAGCCTTTTGTCATGGGATTTATCCTTCTCATGGAAAAGTCAGGCAATAAACAAGAAAATAGGTAAATTACATAGTATGTTAGATAATGATAACAGCTGAGCACAAATAAATGTGAAGCAGGATGGGCAATATAAAATGTTGGAGGGTGGGGATGTTGCAGTTTTGGCAAAATCCAGGTAAGGCCCCACTGGGCAGGTGTCATAAAGTCAAGGCTTGATTGAAGTGAGGGGTCTAGCTATGAGGCTGTCTGGGAGAATACTATTCCAGATAGAGGAAACAGCAAGTGCAAAGGCCCTGAGATAGGTATGGGCCACTGTGTTTAAGGCGTGGAAGGGCCAGAGTGGCTGGAGTGAACTAAGAGGAAAGCAGAAGAAGAGAAGATGAGGTCAGATAGGTGATGGAGCCCTGCTCGCAGAAAGTCCTGTTGGTTGCTGTAAGGACTTTGGCTTTGGTCATAAGTAAGGTGGGAAGGAAGCATTGGGAAAGTTTGAGAAGAGGAGTGACCTGCTCTGGTTTATCATTTAAGGGATCCCCTTCACATCCCAAATCCTCCCACATTAGCCCCTTCTCCCATCATTTAGCTTTTTACCTGTGCTATAACTTGGTTCTATCCCTTACTAGTATCTCATTTCTGGGAGGAGAGGACTCTGTCCAACTTGTTAGTGTTTTATTCCCTCCATCTAGCCCAATGTCCAGGAACCATAGGGTATCAATAAGTATGATTGCATTGAAATAATGAGTAAATGAAAGCCAGCTCCCGTGCTAATCTTTAACTTTTTAATTACTACAACTTCTTTATATTGGTTGTAGTAAACCCAAAATACAAATGAGGAAATGAAGTAAGAACAGAAAGTGACAGAGAGAGAAAATGGGAAGAGAAGAAATAAAATTCTTGGAGCCATCATGGCAGCCTTCTTTAAGCTAAGAAACCCAGGTTCTCATTCCGACATTGGCGTCTCTAGTGGGGAATTTTAGGGCTGTCTGTGGGACCACAAGATGATCATACACTTCTCTGAAAATAAATGTTCATAGTGAATGCTTTTTTGATTTTTGGCAGAGGATGGGAGGCACTTCCATTTTGGCCCATTATGAGAATAACAAGACAAAATAGCCATATCATAGTATATTTATTACAAAAATTCATGTCCTACCTGGCTGTATGTGTGCATACATGTGTGCATGTGTGTCTGCAAAGGCTTCATACTAGTCCACATGTATTTATCAGTGTGGACTCTATGCTGAACTAATGCTAGGGATGGAGATGTCCTGCCCTCAATGGACTCAACAGGGGCTACACAAATCAAGAGCGGTATAGTGAGTAATATGGTGAGGAAATAAATACCTCTTCTAAGAAGCAAATAGACTTGAATATATTAGATAGAAAAATATACTAATGCCTGCACTGAATATGTGATTAGCTTTTTTTGTTTTTTTTTTTTTTTGACTGTCTCACTCTGTAACCCAGGCTCAAGTGCAGTGGCATGATGTCGGCTCAGTGCAACCTCTGCCTCTAAGGGTCAAGTGATCCTCCTGCCTCAGCCTCCTGGGTAGCTGGGAGTACAGGCACACCCAGCTAATTCTTGTATTTTATTTTTTGTGGAGACGGCGTTTCACCATGTTGCCCAGGCTGGTCTCAAACTCCTGTGTTCAAGCAATCCATCCACCTCAGCCTCCCAGAGTGCTGAGATTACAGATGTGAGCCACCGTGGCTGGCCATGTTGAGCATTTCTTGAAAAATAGCAGAAACAATTGCTTCCTTACCAAAATGGTATTTTTCATTTTTGGTTTAATGGGTAAGACTGGAGAAGGAGACACTTGGCCACTATTTGGAGTATCACAATTGGACTTGTCTCGTGATGTCACAAAATATTCAAACTGGAAGAAAAGCATTAAAAAAAAAAAAAAACCTGTGTTCAGCTCTTTTGTTTAAACTATAAAGAAAAATGTGGCCCAAAGAGACTGGGTGTTGCCAAAAATTGCACATAGGAAGAACAGAGAGGGAAAACCAGGCCTCTGAGCCTGGGACCAGTCACATGATGACATTTTGTTACCTAAGTCAAAAAGAGAATGACAGTCTTCTCCACAGGAGTACTTTGGGATTAGTTAGTGGGTGGTCTCATTACCCATAAGCCCCTGCCTTTATTGGTTGGTTTTTTCTCACTCCATCTAGACACGCTGTTATCAGTCCTGGAGCCTGAGTACACTGTGATGGCTTCATGTTGTCAGCTGCGTTTTCTCATGCCCTACACTGCAGACTGAAAAAGGATGCTCCACAGCCAGCTTTAACACCATGCACCAAGCCTGCCACAGCCATCCTCTCTTCTGCTCCAAGCTGCTGAGAGACAGGAAATGGAGGTTCTGAGTTTTGAGGCTTGCAGGGTTTGTCTGCACTGCATTCAGCTTGCCAGTCCCCAGGAGAGCTGGCATGCTGCTTCAGATCCAGAAAGAAAAGGAGAGTGCCAATCAGATATATACACTTCTGTAAATCTCCAGTTAGTTCCAGAGCTGTCATTTGCCTGTAGAAATTTTACCACGTTTACATGACTGACCCAGACAGCAAGAGCTAGTGATGCCCCTCTGTTGTAACTACATGGCCAGAGGGACATGCAACCCAATTAAATAAAATTAATTTTAAGCACACATCCTGATTTGGAGAAGCATTTGGACAATAACATAGTGTCAGTGTGAGTCACTTATCCTAAACAGTTTTATTGTTGTGACCCTGATTTGGACATCGCTATGGTTGCTGTGCATGATAAACTTGAACCATGTTTTGCGCTTAAGTTTTAAAGAACTGTAATTTAAAACATGTATAACAAAACAATCTATGAATAAATGAGATCTTTCCAAATTAGATATCTCCTTTGGTAGCATGATGAGTAATTCTTTCCAGTATCATAACATTGAGGGTCTCTGAGAGTCTCCTTATTAAATAATAATCCTTCTTCATAGAGGGTTTTGCATGAATTTTGGGAGAAAAGCTATTTACCTACTTAATCTTAAACAAAAGGCATCACTTCCCTGCTTTCTGTGTGATCACTGCTGCATGTGTTTGCATGTGTAAACTGTGGTGGCTTTACATCATCTTATACTATGGATTTTTTTCCATATACAGCAGTATGAATAGAAACAATTTTTGCAGAATTTCATGAATTATAACTAAGGCTAAAAGCATGGATACTGTTTTCCATCTCATGCTGTTATGTTCCTTGCCTTATTTTGTTTATGTAATAAACATTTATTCAGTGTATACTACTGGCCAAAGGTTGTTGTAGGCACTGAGGATATATCGGTAAACAAAACAGGAGAAGATCTCTGCCCTCATGAAACTTATATTTTAGCAGGGAGGTAGGGGCAGGTGATGCATGCAATAAGCAATTATCATAAATATTTACATAATTAAAATTACATAGAATGCTTGAAACTAACTACAGCTGTAAATGGAGAAAAAAAGGAGAGCAAACTAAAGGGGAAGTGGTTAAATCTAGGATTCAATAAGAAATAGAGGGGTCAGGAAAGCCCTTATTGAGAAGAAGAGATTTTAGCAATGACTTAAAAGAGATAAAGGAATGAAACAAGCAGATATGCTGGGGAAAGATCCTATCCGGCATAGGAATCAGCTAAAGTGAGGACCGTAAGGAGGTAATCTTCAGCCAGGGAAGTCCCAGGAGATAATTGTGGATAAATCAAATGAGCAGAGGGAAGATAAATGCAGCTAGAAAAGGTAGCTGTTTAGGGTCAGAGAAAGGGCTATGGGCAGATTATGTAGGGCCTTGGAGGCAGCTGTAAGACATCTGGGTTTAATTCGAAGTGAATTGGGAAGCCAGTGCAGTTGTTTGAGAAAAGGAATGGTGTGATTCAATTTAAGTTTCTAAAAGATTAAGCTAGTGAATCTTTTAGCCAGAGTAATCTGTATGGGGAGGATGACATGGCATAGCAAGGAAAGAAACAGTAGCCTACTGCAATAATCTGGGAGACAGCTGGTTGCCTCAGTCAAGATGGCAGCTTGCAGTAGAAGTGATAAAAGGAGTACAGACTTTGTATATATTTTGAAGATAGAACCAACAGGGAGAATTTAAGAATGACTCCAAGGGTTTCTGTCTGAGCAACTGGAAGGATGTAATCGCTTCCAGCTGTTATGGAAATGGAAGCAGGTTTTGTTGGGGAGAATGAAGAATTTAAGTTTGAACGTGTCAAGTGGAAGATATATAAGTCAGGAGAGAGATCTGGGCAAGAGATACAACTTGAGAGTTGTTGGTAAGTAGGAGGTATTTCAAGTCATGAGGATAGATGCAAACTCCAAAGGAGTGAGTATAGATAGAAAAGAGGATGGAGGTCTGAGCCTTGGTCCATTCCCCCAGTAAGAGGTAAGGGATATGGACAGGAACCAGAGAAAGAGGCTAAGAAGATATGACCAGTGATGGAGGAAGAAAACCAAGAGAAGATGCTATCTTGGTGAAGAAAGTACTTTGATGAGGGGGAGAGCTTCATGGTGTCGAGGTCTGTTGAAAGGGGCTGGGTGCAGTGGCTCATGCCTGTAATTCCAGCAATTTGGAAGAACAAGATAGGAGAATCTCTTGAGGCCAGTAGTTTGTGACCAGCCTGGGCAACATAGTGAGACCCCCATCTCTATTTAAAAAATAGCCAGGCATGGTGGCACATTCCTGTCATCCCAATTACTCAGGAGGCTGAGATAGGAGGATTACGTGAGCCCAGAAGTTTGAGGTTGCCATGAGCTAGGGCCACTGCACTCCAGGCTACAAAATAAGGCCCTGTCCAAAAACAGAAAAAAAAAAATAATAAAAATTAAAAAAAAAAGAAAGAAGGAAAGAAATTCTGTTGAAAGGTAAAAAGCTGAGGACTGAGAATGACAACCAGATTTAGCAACATGGAGGTCATGGGTGGATTGCTGGCAGCAATTTGAATGTCATGATGGAAATCAAATCCTGACTGGACAAATAGGGATCTTCTTTCTCTTTTTCCTTCCTTCCTTCCTTCCTTCCTTCCTTCCTTCCTTCCTCCCTCCCTCCCTCCCTTCCTACCTTCCTTCCTTCCTACCTTCCTTTTCCTCCTTTCCTTCTTCTTCCTCTTCCCCTTCCTTTTCTCCTTCCTTCTTTCCTTTTTGTGCCATTGAACTAAAAACCCATACTTGGATATTGTTGACAGTATGATTTTAATGAATCCCTTTGGGAATTTTTTTAAACTCTTGGAAGATTTTCACTTATTTGATCTGTCCCTAACATTCCAAAACTGGCATGAATTTTAATTATCCTGAGATTTCACTTGGGAATAAAATGGCCAAGATAACAGATAAGCACTTTAGAAAATCATTAGCTTATTTTAGGCCATTACATTATATCTTCTTACACTGAATATGAGGAAAAAAGTATTAGTAACTTATTTTATCATGTCTTGGTAATTGAAAGTAAGTCACATATTCTTCTCAAAGTACATCCAGGGTTTACATTGTCTGTTATGTATGCATGGCTTCCCTAACAAGATAATAAATTCTTGGAAGATAACAACCAGACCTTCTATTTTTAATAATATCTTTTGTGCCCAGCCATGTCTTGTACATAGTCGGTATGCAATAAATATGTGTTGGTTTCATTTTCTATGCTCATTCTGTCTGATCCTGCCTTCTTATATACAAGCCTCATTCAGTAATGGGAGGATAGTAATAGAAAACAGAGGGAACAGTGCTAATACTGCTAGAACTTGTAGGCTTTGAAGACTTTACAATTTTGTTAGGAAGAGAATAGAGATGTATTTGAGAAATTCAGTAGCAAAAAAAGAACCATATATAGCAACAATAAAAGATGGGCTCATGATTAGTGACCAAATGAAATCTGTAGGTAATATATTTTTAAAGGGTCCTGTGCTGGTTGGAGAAACAGACACTGAGAAAATTATTCTTAAAATACTCTCCTGTCCTCCCCTCTCTCCTCATCAATAAGATGAATATATGTTTATAGAAAAATTAGTTAACATTATATTATGAAAAACTTTGACTATTCAATGATTTTAAACATAATTTCCAATGGATTTAGAGTATTCTATCATGTGACTGTATCATAATCTATTTACTCTCCTGGATTGAAGGTTTCGATAGTTGTCCTTTCTTTTTCATGACATACCAAACTAAGATGAACATCATTTATTGCCATGTCTTTTTGCATATTCAATAGTTATTTCTTTATATTAAATTTCTAAATGTGGGCTGGCATGGTGGCTCACGCCTATAATCCCAGCACTTTGGGAGGCCGAGGCAGATGGATCACTTGAGGTCAGGAGTTCGAGACCAGTCTGGCCAACATGGTGAAACCACATCTCTACTAAAAATTCAAAAAAAATTAGCCGGGCTTGGTGGTGCACGCCTGTAATCCCAGCTACTCAGGAGGCTGAGACACGAGAATCACTTAAACCCAGGAGGTGGAGGTGGCAGTGACATTGCACTCCAGCCTCGGCAATAGAGTGAGACTCCATCTCAAAAAAACAAAAAATCTAATGTAGAATTATAATATTAAAAGATTGACATACCTGGAGAATTGTTTTTAATTGTGGTGAAAACATACAATGTAACATTTAGCATCTTAACCATTTTAAATGGAAGTTTAGTGATATTAACTATATTCACGTTGTTATGCAATAGATCTCTAGAACTTTTTCATATGTGAAACTGAAACTCTGTCTCCATTGAACAACAACTTGCCATTTCCCTTCCCCTTAGCTCCTGGTAACCACAATTCTTTCTGGAGTGCAATGGCATAATCTCAGCTCACTGCAGCCTCTGCCTCCTGGGCTCAAGTAATTCTCCTGCCTCAGCCTCGTGAGTAGCTGGGACTACAGGTGTATGCCACCACTCCCCGCTAATTTTTGTATTTTTAGTAGAGACGGGATTAGAACATGTTGCCAAGGCTGGTCTGGAACTCTTAGGCTCAAGCAATCCTCCTGCCTTGGCTTCCCAAAGTGCTGGGATTAGAGTTTTGAGCCACCACGCCCAGCCCATGATTCTACTTTCTGTTTGTATGAGTTTGATTACTTTAGATACCATTTATGAGGGGAATTATACAATAGTTACCTTTTGTGACTGGCTTATTTCTCTTAGCATAATGTCTTCAAGGTTTAGCCATATTATAGAGTGTGATAGGAATTCTTCTTTTTTAAGGCTGAATAATATATCTCTTTGTATGTATATACCACATATTGTTTATCCATTTATCTTTTGATGAACATTTGGGTTACTTCCACCCCTTGGTTCTTGTGAATAATGCTGTAGTGAACATGGATGTGCAGATATCTCTTGGAGACCCTGCTATCAATTCTTTTCATTATACGCCCAGAAGTGGAATTGCTGGGTCATATGGTGATTCCATGTTTAATTTTTTTGAGGAAATTTAATACTGTTTTTGATAGTGGCTAACACTATTTTACATTCCCAATAACAATGTACATCTTCACTAACACTTGTTACTTTCCGTTTTTTGATAATAGCCATCCTAATGAATGTGATATGCATACACGGCTTTAAAAAAACTTGTTTCTTCAGAATATTTGCATATGGAGATTAGCATATATTATTTACCTTTAATATTATATATTTTGTCCTTGCTTATTTGATAGATAAAAAATAATTTGTATTTATTTGACTACTAGTAAAATTTAATATTTTTAATACTTGGTTACTAGCCAGTTTATATTTTTCTTTTGTGATTTGTAAGTTCATAATCTATACCTCATTTTGTATTGGGTTTTCTCCACCCTTCTTATTTATTTATAAGAGCTATTAATATAATACATTATCCTTTTATCTTTTATTTATTTATTTTTAAGACAGAGCCTCGCTCTGTTGCCCAGGCTGGAATGCAGTGGCACAAACACAGCTCTCTATAGCCTTGACCTCCTGGACTCAAGCAATCCTCTTGCCTCAGCCTCCCAAGTAGCTGGTACCACAGGCTTGTACCACCATTTCTGGCAAATTATTAAATTTTTATGTAGAGATAGGGACTCACCATCTCGCCCAGGCTGGTCTCAAACTCCTCAGCTCAAGCAATCCTCTTGCCTTGACTTCCTAAAGTGCTGAGGTTACAAGCATGAGCCACCATGTCTGGCTGTTATTTCATGTTTTTTTACAAACATTATTTTCATGTTTCAGATACATTTCAACTTTGTTTATTGCAATTTTTGCTTCTATAATACTGATAGAATCAAACTGAAACTTAAGACTATTTTATTTCTCATTTACCCCTACTTTTTTTTTGTTTGTTTTGTTTTTTGAGATGGAGTCTCACTCTGCCGCCCAGGCTGGAGTGCAGTGACGTGATCTCGGCTCACTGCAAGCTCTGCCTCCTGGGTTCACACCATTCTCCTGCCTCAGCCTCCCGAGTAGCTAGGACTACAGGTGCCCACCACCACGTCCGGCTAATGTTTTTATATTTTTAGTAGAGATGGGGTTTCACCATGTTAGCCAGGATGGTCTCGATCTCATGATCCACCCGCCTCAGCCTCCCAAAGTGCTGGGATTACAGGCATGAGCCACTGTGCCTGGCTTTTACCTCTACTTTTATATGAAGAAAATCCATGCTCATGTAATAGCCAAATACAGTCAAATTCATTTTTCTCTAGTGTTAATATTTCAGTCAAATTCTAATGCATTAGGAATTTGTTAATATTGCATTTAATATTATTTTTCCCCAATCTTTTTTTATTTGAAAAATATTATAATCCAGTCAAATAGCAAATAACATAACAAAATGAGAATTTCTTACCAAGGATTAATTCATATTAACATTTTATCATATTGATTTCAGATCTTGTGTGTGTGTGATGTTTACTGATAAATTTTGTGTCCTTGTACAGCTTTTGTGGATCAGGGACAAGGGGAGCATGTTGCCGAACAAAAATATATTAACATGTTTGGGACTAATGCACACTGATTTTCACAGAAAGTAACTGATTGATTGCAATCAAGTATGGGAGACTAGAGGGTGGCAAGAGTTTTGATAAAATTCAGTTCAATAAACTTGTGAATTTAAGAGCATAGAGATTCTATTAACGAGAATGAATAGAAGAAGATTTAGACATGGTGATTTAAAGGGGATATCAAGTTAGTGTTGAAGAGTAACCATCTCAGGAAAACAGTAGGAATTAGAGCCAGTTCTGAGAATATTCTGTGTGAGATCTATGGAAATAAAAAAGCTAGGAAGGGAAAAGCTTAAAGGAATGTGTGTTGGGAAGTGCTTATAGAAGAGAGCAAGCAAAGTGCCTTCCTGTTGTCGTTTAGACTTTTCCTTAATCTGCATTCCTGCAGTTAGGTTTACTGAGCTCTATGGCCTGAGTTATTGCTCTTCTATGTAGTTCCAGATTAAGGGTTAAGAATTCTAGTAGAGCAGGAGTATTTCTGGAAAAGATGGTTGGGGGGCAAGTATAGGGATGGGGAGAAGCGGAGGGCTTACTCTCCACCTCCCAAAATTTTCATGGAAATGACATTCAGTAAAAGTAAATATCCATATAACAATGGTGGTGGAAAGGAAAATGTAGGGGTAGATGGCTTTTGCGGATCAGGAACAAAGGGTATCATAATGCTAAATAAAAATATGTTAACATGTATTGGACTAAGGCACACTGATTTCCAGATGGTGTTTACATCTGAGGAAGAGGAAATGGGGAAAAGGTGGGGAGGTAGCCTCTTTATAAGAATCTTCAATGTTTTATTAATTAATATTTCTAAAAGATAACTCTTTTTGAAAAGAGAAAAGATAAAAATATTATCATCCATTAAATGTGGGTAGTGATTAACTTATTATCTCAGGTTAGGTTCCTTTCTAGTTGAGATTTTTATAATTAAATTTTTAGATAAGAGTCAGAAAATTTAGGATAATAACCTTGGATGACAAAGGAAGAAAGTTTTAGGATATTTTAAATATTAGTGAAATTCCAAATAAATTTAAGCTGAGAGCTCACTGGTTACCATATATGTTTCTCTTTAACACAAGAAATTGGAAATGCGTTAGGTCAATTCAACAAGTAACATTTGGAAATAGGCCGGGTGCTGTGGCTCACGCCTATAATCCCAGCACTTTGGGAGGCCGAGGCGGGCAGATCACGAGGCCAGGAGTTCGAGACCAGCCTGGCCAACATGGTGAAACCCCATTTCTACTAAAAATACAAAAATTAGCTGGGCGTGGTGGTGGGCGCCTGTAATACCAGCTACTCAGGAGGCTGAGGCAGGACAATTGCTTGAACTTTGGAGGCAGAGGTTGCAGTGAGCAGAGATTGCACCACTGCACTTCAGCCTGGGCGACAGAGCGCAACTCTATCTCAAAAAAATAAATAAATAAAATTAAAAAAAATTGGAAATAACATATTTGCTATTAATATCTTAAAGGAGGTATTTGTGTTGAATTCTTTGTCTTAGTCATTATCCTTGCTTTTAAAAAAAATGTTAGAATTCCTTTTTCTCAAAATTCTGAATGTGCTGTGTTTAACAGCGTAGTTACAGTTCTGAAAGGGTAGTAGATTTCTCCCCTTGTCTATTTGTTTGCAGCAGGTCATGAACTCAGACCTTTTCTCTTCAGTGCTTTGCTTCTGAACTACTTATTCTGATACCCTCCTCACCTGAGGAAACAGAGCCTAAGAAGGTTCTCCTTATATGGATTCAGGTAGATGAGTTTCCATAAAAAAAAAAAAATGACATCAAGCATTGATCTGCCTGAATAAAGCAATTCTACCAGTTATATGGCATTTGGTGCTTCCTGTGAATTGATACAAACTTCATTAAAGAAAATGACAGATGGCATATGGCTGCAGGCAAAATGCCAGTCCACATGATGAATCCTACCATACTCTAGTCCAGTATAAACAATGTTTTTAATCACCTTCAAAAAACTGTTGCATTAATTTGTCTACAGTAACCAGGTAATTATAAATGTGTAGCTAGTTCCTTATTATCTTAAAAAAATAAAAATAAAAGTTAGCAACTAATAGGCATTTAGCTTGAGTTTATATTATAGATGGCCAAAGGAGATTTTATGGCCCAAAATGGACATGGTGAGGTCTGCATGTGAACGATGTTACAGTAGACTAACCACAGAGCCTGGAGTTCCTGCACTTTTCTTGATTTGTTTGGAATATTACTTTGAGAATTGGAAGGCCTGGGGTACGAAAAATGATTATAAGATTTTTCTTTGTTTGACAAGATAAGCAGGTCTGTGTGAGGCAGATACTTTCTATGGACTGACTGCAGACAGGTTTCAGTCACAGACTCAGGTTTTATGGCATTCTCTTTGAAGGTGGGTGTCTAATGTAACTGAATTTTAGGGGGATAATTACAGTCTTATCAAATTCTGAGATGAACTTCATCACTTATTTAAAAAAAATTTCCTGTCAATTAGTTCTTATAATAATATACTTTTCTGGTCAATTTTACATGCAGAATTTGGTGAAATAAAGAAACATAAATAGATAAAAAATAAATATTTTAATGATGCCCAAATAAAATTTAGATGTGTAAGGACTAAAAATGATTTTTAAAATAGTTGTATAATAGAACTACATCTTAGTTTCAGCACATGGAATTTATATAGTTCATTTTAGTTAGTGCTTCATTTCAGGCTGCTTTTTTTCAAACAACAGAAATTGACTTTGGCTCATTTAAATGGAAGAATGTTTTAGAAAGTTATTCACTGATGGGGCAGAAAGGCAGAAGAACCAAGCATGAATCAGGTTCCATAAAGTTTCAAGCTGCTGTAACAGAATACCATAGACTAGGTGGCATATAAAAAACAAATTTATTTCCCACCATTCTGGAGGCTGGGAAGTCCAAGAACAAGGTGCTGACATATTTAGTGTCAGTGAGGGTGCTCTTCTTCATAGATGGCCGTCTTCTCATTGTACCCTCACATGCCCAAAGTGGCCAACACCTCTCTTAAGCTTCTTTTTAAAGGCACTAATCCCTTTCATGAGAAGTCTGCCCTCATGAACCAATCATCTCCCAGAGACCATACCTCTTAATAGCATCATCTTGGGAGGTAGGATTTCAACATATGAATTTTGAGGGGAAACAAACATTCAACTCATAGCAGATAACAAGGCAGTAAAACAATTAGCCAACACTTTATAAAAATCTTCAATGTTTTATTAATTAATATTTTTAAAAGATAACTCTTTTTGAAAAGAGAAAAGATAAAAATATTATCATCCATTAAATGTGGGTAGTGATTAACTTATTACCTCAGGTTAGGTTCCTTTCTAGTTGAGATTTTTATAATTAAACAAATTTCTAGATAAGAGTCAGAAAATTTAGGATAATAACCTTGGATGACAAAGGAAGAAAGTTTTAGGATATTTTAAATATTAGTGAAATTCCAAATAAATTTAAGCTTAGAGCTCACTGGTTACCATATATGTTTCTCTTTAACACAAGAAATTGGAAAAAATGAGTTAGGTCAATTCAACTAATAACATTTGGAAATAGGCCAGGTGCCGTGGCTCACGCGTATAATCCCAGCACTTTGGGAGGCCGAGGCGGGCAGATCACGAGGCCAGGAGTTCGAGACCAGCCTGGCCAACATGGTGAAACCCCGTCTCTACAAAAATTACAAAATTATGAAAATTAAAAAATTTCAAAAAAATACAAAAATTAGCTGGGCTATAGTCTGGGTAGGGCATTTGGTACTGGTCCCAACTCCACTGGGCACTCTTGCCTGTGCTGGAATTATCCTACTGCCACAGATAATGTCTCAACTGTCCTCACATCTTTGTACCATTCTCCAGAGATTCAACGTTCTAAGCAGAAACCTTTAGCTGGCTGAGTTTAGGTGATGTACCAGTTCTCTAACTGCCTAATCCATTGGCTTCTGAATGAGAGGTGAGGCCCTCCCTCCCAACAAATAGGAAGTAGTATCATTGTTGGACAACCAAAGGCAACGACCAGATGGGAACTAATAAAGCTGTATGACACTAAAAATTCTTCATTAAATCATGCCTTTTTTTCTAGTATTTTTCTCTTTGTTTTTGATAGCCAAAAACATATGTAGCAAATAATGCCATTGTCAACATGACTAACTCCAACACTTAGTTATAGTTGTTACTTTTCAGCCCATGGTGTTTTCTGCTGTGACAAAGGCAGAGTTGTTGTTCCTGAACTGCACATCTGCCTCCTTTTCTTGTACACACTTCTGATATTTTCAAGTTTAGGAGAAAGCAGGCATTTGCCTTACGTCTCAACTCATATTTTAAAATCAGTGTCACTTTCCTCTGCTTATTTTGCTATGCTTTTTTAGTGAATAAATATTTACCGAAGACTTCTGCATTAGTTTGCCCGGGTTGCCATAACAAAGCACCACACACTGAGTGGATTAAACATCAGAAATATAGCGTCTCACAGTTCTGAAGGGTAGAGGCCTGAGATCAAGGTGCTGGGTTTGCTTTTTTCTGTGGGCCGTAAGGAAGAATTTGTTCCATAGCTATCCCCTACCTTTTGGTGGGTTTCTGGCAACTTTGGCATTGCTTGGTTTGTAGAAGCATCACTCTGATCACTGCTTTCATCCTCACATGGGGGTCTCTTTGTATGTGCCTCTGTGTCCAAAATCTGCCTTTTTTAGAATGGCATCAGTCATATTGGACTAGGGTTTGCCCTAATGACCTCTGTTAACTTGATTACTTCTGTAAAGATCATATCTCCAAACAAGGTCACATTCTGAAGTACCGGTGTTGGAGTTTCAACATATCTTTTTTAGGGGGAACACGATTCAACCCATAGCAGCTTCTTAAAAGGCAACCTCTTTAATGTGAAGAATTTGAAATATTGACTCATTTCTGGAAGAAACAAAAACAATAACAACAACAAACCAAACTTTAAGAGTAAGGAATATCTAACTGGGCAGTGTTGGTTGTCAAATGAGTATTATACACATAACTAAATTTCAGGGCTCAAATTGACATGATTTCTTTGAGGAAACTTAAGGAATTACTAAATAACTTTTATCAGTTTGAAGAGGTTCTCTTCTATTCCTAAAAATATTCCTGGTTGAATATTTTCATTATGAAAGGCTGCTGTATTTTGTCAAATACTTTTTCTGCATCTATTGAGATGAGCATATGGTTTATATCTTTGATTCTTTTAATAATATATATTACATGATTACTTTTCATATGTTGAACCAACTTTGAATTTCTGGAATAGCTCCCACTTGGTCATGATTATAATTCTTTTTAAAAGCTGCTGGGTTTGGTTTACTAGGAAATTGGTGGAAGATCTTTTCACCTATATTCATAGGGGATATTAGCCTGTAATTTTCTTTTCTTCTGAAATTTTTGTCTAGTTTTAGTATCCGAATAATACTGGCTTCATAGAATGAGCTCGGAAGTGTTTCTTCGTACTCTTTATTAGAAGAATGTGAGGATTAGTTGCAATTCTTCAAAGTATTTAATAGTAGAATTCACCAGTAGAAACCATTTAGGTCTGGGCTTTTCTTTGCAGGAAATATTTTTATTACAAGTCAATCTCTTTGCTTGTTACAGTTTTATTTAGACTTTCTGTTTCTTCTTGAGTGAGTTCAGTAGTTTGCGTCTTTCTGAGATTTTTTTTAAATTTCTTCTTGCTTATCTAATTTATTGGTCTACAATTAGTTATAGTATTCTTGTAAAATCTTTTTTGTTTCTGCGAGGTCAGTAGTAATGTCCCCTCTTTAATTATGATTTTAGTAATTGAGCCCTTTTTTTTTCTTTGCCAGTCAGCTAAAGGTTTGTCAATTTTGTTGGTCCTTTCAAATAACCCATGTTTGGTTTCATTGGTTTTCTCTTTTGTTATTCTATTCTCTATTTCATTTGTTTCTGCTTAAGTTTTTATTATTTCTCTTATTTTGCTTGCTTTGCATTTATGTTGCTCT
Organism: Homo sapiens; assembly: GCF_000001405.40. Lineage (NCBI taxonomy): Eukaryota > Metazoa > Chordata > Mammalia > Primates > Hominidae > Homo > Homo sapiens. Next base: position 14,900,864 of record NC_000020.11, read on the forward strand.
TTTTCTGGTTTCTTTCAGATTTTCTTTGTGGATGTGCTCTGAAATACTAGAAAATTGAAACCAATTCTATTTCCCTTCAGCAAAGCATTAATTATTGTGAAATACTAATGTAAAGTCAATGTAATAGCAACTATTTATTTAAATGAGTAGATATACTGCAAGAAAACATTTTACTGCATATATGAACATAACCAAAGGGCATCTTTAAAGACAGAAACTTTAAATGCCAAATGCATTTTTCATATTTTGAGTTTCATTTCAAGACATCTGATGGAAGATAGTATTATTCTATAATAAAATATTTTAACTTTTACTTATAGTAGATGCAGTAAACACTATTGCAGCTTTAAAAATACTTATTATAGTACTTAGCATTAGACAAATTGTTTGAAGTTTTAAAAAAATCTTTACAAATTAAAAGCTATAGAGTGCCTATAATCCTTTAATTCAAAACAGTTGTTTTCATTTTCCAATAAATTGGTAAAAGGGAACTTAATGACATTGTCTTTCCACTAAACATCCTAGCTGTTTTCAAGAAAACAGAATTAACAAGAAACTTAAAAAATAATATTGTAAAGCAGACAGTATTCTAAGTCATTACAGTTAATACAACAACAAAAATTCAGTGTGAAACTCTTGAAACGAACTTTAGGATATATTCGGTTAAATTATGGTCTACTATTTGTAATTTCATGAATTTTTTTCCAAGTATTGGAAATGATCTAAATGGCTGTGTTTGTGTCACAATAATGTTCAGGTTACAATATGCTGTATATTTAAAATTACCTTTGCATTTTAAAAATAACTATTTAAAACACTGCCAAAATCGGCATCATAATTATTTTGGAAGACTTAAAATAAATACACCAAAAACAAAACCAGAATTTGCATCTAATTGCCTGGAATAGTTTCTCTAGCCTCATTTGCCAGACAGAGGAATGAGTATCTTGAAAATCTAAGGTTCTTTAGGGCTATAGGATTGTATGCCTATCAGCTTGGATTGCTTTTTGCTTTATTTGACTGTGGCCAAAGGTGGAAAAGGCCTTCTTAGATATTCTTACTAGGAAATGTAATCTTGAAGTCTATGTCAAAGCTTTCACACAAAATTGGTATAAAATTTATACAGTGGAACTTACTCTAAGCAGTCAATAATAGCTATATTTCTGAAAAGATGATTTTAAAGCCAACTGCAATAAATGGAATAACTAACATTTACATGTGCTAAATCTTCTAATTTATTGGAAATATTGAAGGGCCATTAAATTTAAAAATGCTTTTGTAAATGCAAAACATTAACCTCTAATTTAATCCTTGTAGGAATACAATTTTTTTTAAATCAAATTTTCCTGAAGCAGCCATAGCTGAATTAGTTGTTTTACTTTTCAAAATTCGCGGTGAAGGGTTACATTTAAAGCAGAGAGGAGCCCCCTTTTTCCTCTTCATTTATTCTAAGTAGTACCTGAAAGCAAAAGTTGGCAGGCCGCAGGCAGAGAATAGGTCAGCCACATTGTTCCTTGCCTTGCTGATGCAAAAGAGAGAACATTTCAAAGTAAAACAAGGATTGGCATCAGAGAAATTGAGTTCTGTGCTCTTTTAAAATAATCTTCCTGAGGCATTCTTTCAGAAAACTAGCATTTACCCTCCCCATACCACACGAGTGAAAAAGTGACCTTTTTCAGAGAGCTCAAAGTCAAATTAGTTCTGTAAGTCAGTCTAGGGGGAAGTGAGAGCCAATTTGTGGTCAGGGTTGCCAAAGAGCCAATGTCCAAGAAAAGAAGAGAGGCAGGGTGGTCAGGACGTGCTGAGAAAGACTGAAAAAAATAGGGACCTTGCAGCTGTTGAGGCCATAGTAGTGACTCTAGGGAACATGTAGTCTAAAAAGCCTATCTAAAAGCAAAGTTCAGCCTTGAGAGCAAGAGCTGGGAAGGACTCAAGGAATGCCATGAACTCCACATGAGGGAAACAGATCACAATACATAAATGTAAGTTCAAAGGCAGAAGAAGAGAAAGAGTTATGAGAGGTAAATGGAGAGGGTACCATGTAGGAAGTCACAGAGAAGCAGTAATACAAGGAAAGATTATAGGTCACTTTTTTGCTCTTCTGTCAGCAAAACCCATGTAGTAAAAGAAGTACGTCAGGGAGAGGACATCTAAAGGTTTCTTTTTTTTCTTTCCCTTTTTTTTTTTTTTTTTTTGAGACATAGTTTCGCTCTTGTTGCCCAGGCTGGAGTGCAATGGTGTGATCTCGGCTCACTGCAACCTGTGTCTCCCGGATTCAAGCGATTCGCCTGCCTCAGCCTCCCGAGTAGCTGGGATTACAGGTGCCTGCCACCATGCCCAGCTAAATTTGTATTCTTAGTAGAGACGGGGTTTCACCATATTGGCCAAGCTGGTCTCAAACTTCTGATCACAGATGATCCATCCGCCTCGGCCTCCCAAAGTGCTGGGATTATAGGCGTGAGCCACTGCACCCGGCCCAGGTTTCTTACATGACTTATTTGAAGAAGACAGGAACAGACAACAGATGATCATATCAAAGACCAAAAACAACCTAACATGACAGTTAACCTTGGCTGCAGAATTCTTATTAATTCCTAATGAGAGTAGACTGATGATAACACAATTATGCCTGAAATTAATTTGAATACATAATTTAATGTATTTATAGTTTATCAGCACTATAATTTTGTTAGTTTTAAATTTTTATTTAAAAATTATTTAGATATATCAGGAGTAAAAATTGCTGAACCTGGGAGCACTTAGAATTTTGACAGGTTGCAGTATTCATTAGGATACTGTTAGATGCTGTGACAAATAATCCCCACATTTCAGCAGCTTAATACAGTAAAGGCTTCTTAACAGACTAGCGTAGGTAACTGTTCCCGGCCAGTAAGAGTGGGCAGATCTGCTGCATGTGGTCATTTAGGAATACAGGCTGATGGAGGCTTTCCCACTATCAGTGTATGACTTCTGTTATTATTCTGGGCACTGATGTTCATCTCACTGAAGGGGTTAAAGAATGAAGAAGCGTGCATGAAAGGTTTTTTTATTTTTCTTCACATTCTCTCGCTGAGAATGTAACCACAGGGCTACAGTAAACTGCAGGGCAGACTAGAAAGTATAGTCCAACTGAGTGCCCAGAAAGAAGGGAAATAGAGATTTTAGTGAACACTAAGAAGTTTCTGCCTGGTACACATAATCACTGGACTCATGGGAGGGACTGTGATACCATGTCTACATCTACCAAAGACTTTAAACATACTGGGATCTTAGTAGGCTCCTGAATGGGTTACAAAGTTGGTTCTTGGATATAGTTAGTATGAATTTGTAGAACTAGCAACAGTGGAATGCTGTTGGATAGTCAAATTTTCCTAAGGCATAGATTTATTCTAAATTTTACTTGTATTCTAATCTCTGGGGTTTATGTGACTCATTCACATAAAAATAGAAAAATCAGTGTATATCTGATAATTGGCAGTATTCACTGATTTTATCCATATAAAATATCTTTTATGATAGAACTAAAGATGTGACATGTCTTTGACAAATCACTGTGCCTAATTAGAATATTATGTTTCAAATATAACTTAAAAATATATAGGTGGGTACATATATGCATTATGCATATATGTACATTAGTGTGTATACATGTCTGTGTACCAATGTATATAACTAAAAAAATTTCTGTGCAGGAGTTGAACTACAACAGTGGAGATAAACTCATAATTTGTTTGCTATATCATGGACTTTGGAATCATCTGTTTTCAGATTTTAGTAATGCTATTTAATACCGCATAACCCTTAAGCAAATTACTCAACCTCATTAAGCCTCAGTTATTTCATGTATACAATATGAATAACAATAGCTGTTTATCAAACTGGATTATTATAAGTAATAAAATGAGATTATGTATGTAACACACTTCTTACAGAATCTGGCACATAGTAAATGCTCAATGGCATATATTATGCATATTATATGTATAGTAGGAAGCTTGACGTGGCCTCCAGGGCCCCTGTAACACACAAACCGATGGTGCAGATAGACATGAAAATAGATAGGAAATAGCTGGCTGCTGAGATTTAATAGCTTCATTTATTCGTTCCTTTGTTCCTAGCAGTAAATACTGCTCGGCCCTTAATATGTACAAGCTCTGAGTGATGGTGGGCACAAAAATTACTAAAGCAGCTTTATTGTTGTTAAAGAGTTTGCCACCTGATTATGAGAACTCTAGCAGTCATGATACAAGGTGACATTTACACAAGAGAAATACCACAGAGTGATATATGGCTTGGAAATAAGGAAAAATATTTCTTGGAAGGGAGAGATTTGAAGAAAATGTTTTGGACATTTAGAATTCTGAGTCTTAAACTGGCTCTTAAATCCAGAATTTCAAGAAATGGATAGAGGAAAGAGAGACATTCAATTCAGAAAGAATAGCATGAGCTGGGAATCAGGGAAAAGCACAGAATATTTTTAGGCAAACTGAAAAATAAGCAAAGGGATTACTATGAAGTCAAACTGCAAAGTCAAGCCATTGATGTCATACTAAAGAGTTGGACTTCATTCTGTAAACAAGGAGAAGGAAAGGCAAGGTGAGAAATAAGAGTGAGGAAGGCAAGTTCTGAGCAGCAGAATGACATCTATGCCCTTGAACATTTTACTTGGCCTTTTTCTCCATTCATTTTCCTCCCCTACACAGCAAATGGATGGAACTAAGATCCCTTCCTGCCCTCACAGTCTGGGAGACCACTACATCCTCCAGAGTCACTGTCATTCTCCGTCTGCTGGAACATCCCGATTCTCATTGGTGTAACCTCTCCAATGCTATTTACCTAGGCTCTACCCAGTACTGTTGTCATATCCTTTAGACTCTACATTTTTCTTCTCTGTGGGCCTGCTTTTCATCCTCTGCAATAGGAACATGAGCTGTATCTCATTCATTCATAGAGAGGTGTCTTCCAAGCCCAGATCTCCAGCTCCTGAACCACTCCATCAGCTATGGTGAGATTCTTTCCTGGACCTCTTCCAGCCTTCACCTCAATTAGCTGGGCATGGGCAGCTAATTCATTCTTGCACTTTCTCCATATTATTGCTTCTCTCCTAGGTTTTTTATTGTGGTTTTGTTTTTGTTTTTTGTTCTTTGACTTGGTACTTCCACTGTTCTGGAAGAATGCAAGCAGAAATATCAAAGAGGAACAAATAAGAAAGAATTACTGGGGAAAAGTGATGCCTTTATAAGAGTAAAACGTTATTCTTCACTATAAAGTATAATAAGAGGGAAATTTTCTTCTTTTACTTGTTAGAATTATAAAGATAGTTATATATGTACTTTTTTCAAAAATCAAGCTGTGCGTGTTAGCTCATGCCTATAATCCTAGCACTTTGGGAGGCCAAGGAGGGTGTGTCACTTGAGGTCAGGGGTTCAAGACCAGCCTGGCCAATATGGCAAAACCCCGTCTCTACTAAAAATACAAAAATTAGCTGGGCGTAGTGGCGCATGCCTGTAATCCCAGCTACTGGGGAGGCTGAGGCAGGAGAATCGCTTGAACCCGGGAGGCAGAGGTTGCAATGAGCTGAGATCGTGCCACTGCACTCCAGCCTGGGCAACAGAGTGAGACTCAGTCACCAAAAGAAAAGAAAAGAAAAAAAAATCAGCACTAGCAATGACCTGGTTTTTACGTAGCACTTCCTAATAGCTTGCTTCTCTTTTTGTGAATAGGATTTAGCACAGATATCAGCCAGTATACTAAGACAATTAAATTTTTTTTCAGAGTAAATAAATATCGAATATACCAAAATATCATTCAGTAATGCGATTCTGAAACTAACGTCACAAATTAGGTTCAATAAAAGAACAGGATCTTTTTGTCTCCAAGTATAACATGTTATTTCTTTCGTAAGTCTTCTCAGGACTTAAAACTGCTTCTTTGAAGTATTCTTTAAAGCTTTCAGCCTCTCTTGTCTTGTCATGGCTACAGTATTTGTTAATTAATTTAACAAACATTTTTGGGGTGCTGAGGTAAAGAAATAGATTAACATCCAGACTTTACCATTGAAAAGTCCACAGAAGAAGGCTAACATGTAAATACAGAATTGTATGGAATGCAGTAGTGAAGTAGGAGGTGAGACTCAGCTCTGGAGGTGGAACTTGGACACTGGACCAAATTGCGGACTAGCTAAAACAGGACCAGAGTGGAAGAGTTTTCCATAAGACACACCTACCAGTGTGCCATGTCAGCTTACCATTGCTATGGCAACACCTGGAAGTTACCACTCTTTTGCATGGCAATAACCTGACAACCCAGAAGTTACCACCCTTTTCCTAGAAATTTCTGCATAATCTGCCCCTTAATTTGCATACAATTGAAAGTAGGTATGAATGAGTGCAGGACTGCCTCTGGGCTGCTACTCAGAGCACACTGACTATGGGATGGCCCTGCTCTGCAAGGAGCAGTGCCTCTGCTGCTGCTGTACATTGCTGCTTCAATAAAAGTTGCAGTCTAACATCACCAGCTTGCCCTTGAATTCTTTCCTGGATGAAGCCAAGAACGCTCCTGAACTAAGCCCCAATTTGGGGGCTTGCCTGCACTGTGTCAGTAAGTGATAGAATAGAGCTCAGTATGTGGTCCAGGAGGGAGTGATCAGTCTGTCTGTGATGTCCCGGGGGGAATCAATGAGAAGGCAATTCACAAAATTCACAAAAGAGGCTTTGAAAAGTAAATTAGAATTTGCTGGGTCAAAAATGGAGAAAGTATGGCCCAGGCATAAGGAATAGAAAGCGCAAAGACAAAGAAGGAAGTTAGGATATTGTGCAGAATTAAGTATGGCTTGTAAATGGGTGTGAAGTGATGGGTAGTGAGAGAAGAAATGGGAGAATTGGCGGGGACTAGATGATAAAGGGCTTTTCATGTCCAACGAAAGAGTTTAGATATTGACTATTGATTCCCATTTGTTTATTGTTCATCTGTTTTTGGTTTTGCCTTGTATTCATTATTTTGGGGACACTTCCCCTTTTAGGCATTTGTTGAAAGAAAGCTCAAGACCTTCTCCCAAGAGAAAGATGCACACATAATTACTTTTGCATACAAACACATCCATGAACTTGGAACCCAAGTTTCAAACCACTGCAAAAAGTCACTATGAGTCATTGACAATTATTGAGCAGGGAAACCACATATTCAAAAGTGTATTGTCAGCCAGGCACGGTGGCTCACGCCTGTAATCCCAGCACTTTGGGAGGCCGAGACAGGCGGATCACCCGATGTCAGGAATTCGAGACCAGTCTGGCCAACACGGTGAAATCTTTTCTCTACTAACAATACAAAAATTAGCTGGGCGTGGTGGGTGCCTCCAATCCCAGCTACTCAGGAGGTTGAGGCAGGAGAATCACTTGATCCCAGGAGGCAGCGGTTGCAGTGAGCTGAGATCGTGCCACTGCACTCCAGCCTGGGTGACCGAGCAAGACTCTATCTCAAAAAAAATAAATAAATAAAAAGTGTATTGTCGGCCACGCATGGTGGCTCATGCTTATAATCCCAGCACTTTGGGAGGCCGAGGTGGGCAGATCACCTGAGGCCAGGAGTTTGAGACCAGCCTGGCCAACGTGACAATTCCCTGTCTCTATTAAAAATACAAAAATTAGCCGGACTTGTTGTCAAACACCTGTAGTCCCAGCTACTCGGGAGGCTGAGGCATGAGAATTGCTGAATCACTTGAACCTGGGAGGCGGAGGTTGCAGTGAGCTGAGACCATGCCACTGCACTCTAGCCTGGGTGACAGAGCAGACTCTGTCTGCCAGAAAAAAAAAAAAGTGTATCTTCAGAGTGAACCCCTGGAGGAATGTGGAGAATCTATTAGAAGGCATGGGACTCATGTTAGGGAAAATAGGAATTTATTGCAATATTTCAGCCAAGAAATGAAGGTCTACGATAAGGTGGCAGCAAATACTTGTTTTTAATTTGGCTCCTGCTTTGTGTTGTCTATCTGCTTATTGAGGAGACAGTACTACAAGAGTTAAATGTGTAAATGGTGTTATTACTGAAGTAGTGATTTCAGATATAAGTGCAGCTTCATGAGGAAGGATGAAGCATTCAGAAGGCATGATGGGTTTGAAGTGTCTATGGGTTAGACCACTGCAGGTATGGATTAGCAGGTCAAAAGAGATGTCAAAAATGATTTTAAAAATATTCTGTTTCACCATATAGAGATGGGAGATTTAATAGTGTGAGGGGATGAGATCTTAGTGGTGAAAGAGCGTAAATTAAGAAGAGTTAGAGGCATCAGACTGGAAGATTGGTGGAGCTTGTTCCCTAAATCAGGAATTTAAGCCTTAACTCTCTTGTTAACTACTGCTCTGTGTTGGTACCAGGTTTGTGAATGATCAAGCCACTGGCAGAAGATTACTTTCTAAGAGTGAGAGCCTTCCCAGGGCTTCGAATCTGGTTAAGTGAAAGAATGGAGAAGACGGTAAATTTTAAGAAACCATCTGATGGATGTTATTAGGTCACAAAGTTGACATTCATCAAGCTAATAGGCCTATCGTTTATTGCAAACTACCTGAGGTCGGGTAAATTATTACCTGGATTAAAAACCTGATGCTGACACTGGTTAACACTTGTTACTTACCTTTCTGAACCTAAATTTCTCCATCTGTAAAATAAAGTATACACACCTACTCAAGAGCCAAGCAGAGGGAACGAGATAACCTATATAAGCCACCTGTATAGCTGCTGTGCAAAGAAGCTGTTGAATAAGGAGTTGGGGCTGGAAACTCTGACCTACCTCTTTAAGTTTTGTAATAAACCTTCCAGTTCTAACTAGTCAATGAATGACCCATTTTGATTCTCAGACCTGCCACTGCTTCTACCTATCTGAAAAAAACAAAACAAAACAGGAATTTGAAAATCTGTTATAGAAGTACATTTTATGTTTAGCTATTTTTTTTTCCTTCCTCTATGATCTGTAGGTATGGGGTGAAATGATTATATTGTGGTCACTTTAGAACGTTCACTCTCTTTGGGAATTAAGTAATTACAATTTCTTGAACTAACTGCCTTATCCTACAGCCTAGTACAGTGACAGCTCCAATGTAGATTCTTGGGCATGCGTTGTTTTCTTGAGAACCTTTGGAATTCTAGCCATATCTTGCTAATGATACTCACTTAGCCTCATCAAAGTCTCACTGATCTCTTTTCTGTACTTGAGATATTAAATGAAACTCTCTTTTGAGAATGTTTGAACTGGAAGGGGAGACTTCAGAATTCATTTAGTCTACTTCATTTTATAGGCCACAAACTGTTCATTTTAAGTTTGGTGTGCTCAAGACCTGATCATATTTTCCTCTCTATTCTTATATCAGAGTTAAAAGAATGTTGGCTATGCACTTCGCGCTTACACATTAATATAGAGCCCAGACTGTAGGGAGAATTGGAGACTTGAAGTGGGGAAAGAAGATTGGGGAGCAGAATTACAGTGTGTTATATAGTACTGCAGCCCCTCAAGGGAGCTGTAATTAATGTGTGCAAGGAAAACACTGCAAGGAAACTAATTTAAAGAACATACTGAAACAATTTTCTCCCAGCTTTTCAAAACAAATAAAGAAAAAAAGAAGTCACCATCAAGTTTTGAGGAAGCATGAAGAATTCCAGCAGAAAGGAAATTTGTTGAGAGCCCGAGAAGGGGCTGCTGGTTAGAATGTAAAGCCTCTTTTAAACTTAGGCTTCCTCCACCATTTGTCAGAGCTCTGTGGTCCCTGATCCATTCATTAAGCATTTCACATGTATGTCACTCTCATTATGGGTCAGAGTTTGGTTACAACCCATTGACTGCTCTTTCTTTGCATCTTGGAGACTCAGTTCTTTATACCAGTTGATATCCCGCTAGCCTTTCCTTTCTGCTTTCCTGCTTATCCTTTTTTATCCTAAGCTTGTTAGGTAACTTCAGAGTTTAGAATGCCTTGTGATGGTATGTCACTTGATATTGATGCTGTTAATTCCCTAGAGCGAAGTCTTCTCAACTTTTTGTCTACAACCCATAATAAGAATTTCATTTTCAATCCAACCCAGTACACACATACGTATGTTATTGAAAATTAAAGTTTCATGAAAAAATACTATGTGTGATATGCTTTGATACTTTTGCTTCTCTTCAACTCTATCTCATTTATTTAGGAACAAAAAAGCATCAAAACTCATTGAAGAGGGCCATTTGATTCTCAGTTCTAATCACTATGAGTATGCTTCACACATTGAGGTCTTCAGATCATCTGCAACAAGTCACTTGAAGGTGTCTGGTCCCAAACCCTCCCCCAGACCTATTGAATGAGAGTCCGTATTGGCAACTTCTAGGAATACATAGTTTAACCAGTTCCTTGGTGTGGTTTTAAAGGTTAAAAACTAGCCCCAGATGTTAACATCTTAACATTATCTACTCACAAAAAGCTATCTCCTTTGCTAGTTGATTTTTTTTTCTTTTGTATAGCTATCAATGGCTAGAGCAAGGGCTCTGATCACTTTTTTTCCCCCTTCTAGAGATAGGGTCTTGCTCTGTTGCCCAGGCTAGAGTGCGGTGGCATGATCTTGGCTCACTGCAGCCTCGGCCTCTTGAGCTCAGGTGATCCTCCTGCCTCAGCCTCCCATGTAGCTGGAACTAGAGTGCATGCCACTATGTTGAGGTAACTTTTAAACTTTTTTTTTAAAGACAAGGTCTCACTATGATGCCCAGGCTGGTCTCTTGGCTGCAAGTGATCCTTCTACCTCAGCTTCCCAAAATGCTGGGATTGCAGATGTGAGCCACCAGACCTGGCCAGGGTTCTGATCTCTGAATTCCCCCTTCTTCTTGCTGATAGAGATCAGCTCAAAAGGTACTGGAAACCTTGAACATCTAGTAATACCTTACTATATGCCAGATGCTATTCTAAGTGTACTATATGAATTAAACCTCACAACAAACAATGTTTTGTATGTGGTACTATTAACCCATTTTACAGATGGGGAAACTGAGGCATGACGAAGTCTAATTTTTCTGAAATTACATTGCAAGCAAATGACAGCACTGGGATTCAGATCTAGGCATTCTGACTCTAGAGCCCATAATCTTGACCAACACCCTGTCTAATTCTTCACTTAGCATGAAACGGGAGATAGTGATTAGCCCAATTTGTCACTGAGAGTCTTAGGTGATTTCACTAACCTACAGCGTGCTACAGGAAGATAAATTAGGGGGTCACTTGGTCCCATCTCTACTGCGTACCCATCCTCAACTCTAGGGATCTGATGATTACTCTTCCTGCACTTGTCTGTCTGTCTTAAGAAGGAGGGAGAGTAGCAGCTTTCTGCCGTTATCTCTAGCTTTGACTCATTGTCACCTGTGAGGCTAACATCACTCAAGCCTATAATAAAATTCAAATACTTCAAATACAGCAAACTTAATACTTAGTGATTATTATATCATATAACAAATGCTCTTATGGATCATTAAATTCATTATATCTAAATATTCAAATGATTCTGACCATACAAATGATTCTGACAAGACAAAGGGATAATTTATTTAAAGTATATATTTAGAGCAAAATGGCCTTCAGAAGTCATTACTAAGGAAACTTTGTCAAGTTTCCTGTTGGGGCATGCCAGCTAGTCTTCAAGGGAATTTTCTAGTATTTCTCCTAACACGTGCCACAGTAAGAGACCAATAAAGAAGAGTTGAATTCTGAAGAATGACTTCAGACAGTAATCATTGGAGGTGAATTGCGACTGTTGAACAGGCAGAGAAATAAGGAACAGATATCTGGTCAGAGGGTTCAACATATGTGAAGACTAAGGCATGAAGGATTATGTCGTCTTCAAGAGCTGGAACTGAGAGAAGGGAAAAAAAATCACACAATGAGACAAGGAAAGACTGAGTTGAGTTGAGAAGTTTCTTACAAGCTTACAAACTTGGGTCTACTCTTCTCTGCACTCAGCTGTGTATGAAAGAGACCTGTCAGGATCTCACTGTGGGGGCTCATCTATGCCCCAAGTTTAAGATGCTTGCCCCAGATATACTCCAGAGTTTTAGATGGCTTTGGGCTTGCAGTTGGCTCATACACATAAAGTATCCAGAAGTACTTGCCAGGATGAGTACACAAATTCTGTCTCTCTTCTATAGCCCTGTTCAGTTAGGAATAAAGATGAAAATGAGGGTTGTGATAGCTGTGTGTGTGTGCACATGCGTGTATGTGTGTATGGCTGTGTGAGTGTGTTAGTGTATGCATCCTTGTGTGCATGCACTTAAATATACTTATATGTACATGATAGAAAGATCCATGTTTCAGACAGGAGACTAAGATAGAAAATTAAGTAGAAATTTTATAATTTTGTTTCTATTATTTACCTGCCATGTGTTTGTCTCAGTGTTTGAACTGAGAAATAGGCTTTTAGTTACTATGGATATGATAATGTTAAAACAAACATCATTTATGGATTGTACTTTATATCTCAAAGTTTTCCGATATCCTTATTTATGTATTATTTTAATTTTTTCTTAACCTATGAAAAAAGCTGGGTGCCATGGTTCACACCTGTAATCCCAACACATTGGAAAGCCAAGGCAGGAGGACTTATTGAGGCCAGGAGTTCAAGACCAGCCTGGGCAACATAGCAAGACTCCGTCTCAACAAAAAATTAAAAAATTAGCCAGGTGTGGTGACACATGCCTGTAGTCCCAGCAACTCATGAGGCTGAGGCAAGAGGATCATTTGACCCCAGGAGTTTGAGGCTGTAGTGTGCTATGATCACATCACTGCATTCTTGCCTGGATGACAGAGTGAGACCCTGTATCAAAACATTTTTTAATTAAAAAAATTCCAAATTCCATATAAGACTATCCCTCAGTGTGCCTTCCCAGCTGCCCTACCCCGACCCTATGTCAGACTGTGATTTGTAGTATGTTTCTTCATATTTATTTTGAGTATTAATAATGTAATCTTATCATATTCACCCTGATAGGACACTGTAGAGTTTGTTTAATGAACCATCTTGGGGGAAGAATTAACCAACAACCAAGATTTGAATACAGCTTGGTCCTGGGCCTCCTTGGGCCATAGCGCAAGGCAGCTAAGTGGTGCTGGAATAATTTCTCTTTGTTTGGCTGCAGATACCGCATACTCTAAGCAATTTGCAGCCTTCCTTATATAAGAACTGTTTCTGAAAGGAAATTCCCCAAGTCCAGCTCTTCTGGTTATTTCCGTTTCAGCTCTGAAGCGCTTACTCTTTGTAGCTGAAATATGGAGAACTATTGTATTTTTTGGTTCCCTAACTCAGAGGAAACATGTGAGGAATTTGCTGTAATAACTGATCTGAGTTGGAGTGTTTGATTCCTGACACAGAGTGGAGGACAGCATTGTGAGGGGACATTTCATTCAAGATTGTTCTGTTAAGCGGGAGGGAGGTGAGCTGCTCACAGTCTATGTCAATGAGAATTTCCCTCAGGATATTTAGTGTGTGGTGGTAATGCATATTTAAGCTTACGTACAACAATGTTTGCAAAATCCCAAACTTGGAATAGAACTCTAGATCATAGTGGCCAAAGAAACTGACTTTGCTTGTAAGCAAGTTGGATCAAGATCTATATGAGAGCTTTGGGGCTAAGGGAAATAAAGCATTGTCCCAAGAAGGAAGACTTTGCCTTGACAAAACATTCTCTTACAATGTGATTCTCCTAAGAAACCATAAAAGAGCAGTTAGGGATCCATCCATGCATTTTAATATTTGAAGAGTTTCAGACTGACTGCATGTTTGACAGCTATAGGAATTTTATTTTTATAAGAATTTATCTATAAAAATAAAAGTATATCTACTATCTCTAAATCTATATATCTGAGTTTTAAAAATATAGCTTCTCTTTAGCTTTTGCTAGCATATGCTGTCAAACTCCTTCATGCTGCCAGACTCATCCAAAAATTAATTCTTCTAATGCATGCCATATTTCATGTTGTTTTGGCTGCTTTTGTACATTCTGAAGAAAACAGGGAAGATAATGGTTTCCTTTTCCAATTTAACATATACATGCGACAGAGAAATGTAAGGATGTTGCACTCCCAGAGGATCAAACCTAAAATGACAATAGATTCGACTGATTTTTTTAAAAAAGAATCCTACTTTATGTAATCTGGACAATAAGGCACACATGGTTGGATTAAAAATATTGTGTTTTTAAGATCTCTTTCTAATTCTTACTTTATAACCATAAAGAAATGAGGCTATGTGTTGTTGCAAGAAGTCTTATTGCAAACACATGCATGTGCATGTTTGTGTGTGATTTGTAAATTTAGCTCTAGAAAGGTGTAACAATAAAATGGAATTGAATTTAGCCATGGCTCTTACGAGCGTGAGTAAAGTATGCATGTGGAAACCTAAGATGTTAATGAAATCAGCATAGACTTTAATGGCATTCTGGTGTCTTCAAAAGATCGCCACCAAATAAAGCTTAATGTGTCAAAATGGAAACCCCAAGTAAGAGAAATGTGGGAAGAAGTTCAAGGAACAGAAACTGTTTGGGGAAGATGATTTGAATGTCTTCCAAAACCTTCGAGAAGCATTAAGCTCAAGCTCAGCCCTTTATCTTTGACAAATACCACACTGTGTATCTGCTTGTTATTTCGTGGTCCTGTTGCTCCTGTCAGCTTGTTAAATGGAACTCTGGTTTCAGTCAGATGAAAATGTGGTAATCTCTGTGCTTTGCTTGCCTCGGCGTCCGAGGAGCGGCTGTGCCCGACTGTGTGAGGCCGCCCAGTGCCAAGGGTAACTACTGGCACCTGCACTGACAGCAAGCAGTCTGCAGCAACAGATTGAAAATGTTCTTTTCAGATCTTTAGATTGGAACTTCAGCTTTACTTTTAAAAGTTTCATGTCCACAGCACGGTTGACAAAATAAATTACTAAACCAATTGCTTTGGGAGCTTCCAAGCTGTGACATTAAGGTAGCTGCGAGTCATCATTCTTGATGAAGGAGCAGCTTCAGAAATTGTGTGCATCTGATGGAGGTTTGGCAAAGTGTGTAAGTCTGCAGACCTATGGTAAACAGGTCTCATTTCTAAGCATTTATTTTCAGAAAGGGAAAAAAAGAGCTGTCCATTCTCAATTTCGGACTTATTTTAAATTACTCACAGGGAAATGGGTGCCCCATTTAATGGCATTGTTTATTCTCACAGAGAAATGTTTGCAGTGAAAATGCAAAATACCATTTCTTTTCTCTGCTGAGGCTCCTCATCCTATGGTGCCCACTTTACTCTCCCAGCAGAGAATGCAGAAAAGCACCAAAGGCAGCATCATGAAACGCAGAGCTGTTAATTCCCAACTCCGTCAGAGTTCTGCCCTCCTTCCCATTTGGGGAGCTGAACTGAGCCATTAGAACTTTCCTTTTACACTCCCTCTAGAATACAAGTCCTGACAAAATTAAAGGGCTTTATACCCCTAAAGCCTCAGAAATTCTACAGGGTACGGTGAGGGTAGGGGTGGGGTTGAAGGGATGGGAAATTCATAGGTTAAAAACAAAAACTTGGGCGAAAAATCCAGGCTCTGCCAGTTACTATCAGTGGGACCTCAGCTAGTTACTTAGACATCTGGCCCTCTGCTTACTTGTTTGTGAAATAGAAATGATCATATCTGCCTCATGTGCTTGTTGGAAACATATAAAACAAGATAACTTCAGGAGCAAAGTGATTTATATCTGCAATGTTGAAATGGATAAAAAATAAAATAGATATGTGAGTGCATAGATGATAAATATGTCATAAAACAAAGGCAGCAAAGTGTTAGCAATTGTAAGGAGAGATGTGGGTGTATGCATGTTTGTTATATAATTCTCTCAACTTTTCTGTGCATTTGAAAGCATCTTAATCAGGAGGAAGCGATTTAGAAGGGCAAATCTTTTCCATGTAAGTATAATTCCCGTATTCCCTGCCTCTAGTTAAATTCCAGATGTAGGCACATGGCCATACTGAACCTCAGCGGAGAATGGAAAAAAATATATCTTTTTCATGGACCACTGTCAGCCCAGCAAAAATTTAGAAATTTTATTTCCAAGGAAGAGAGATAATGGGGGAAAAATAGGCACCTTGATTGGTCATGCAAACTTAACTCTCTGTGGCACATACTACATGCCAAATAACAAATGGTGCCATTCCTATTAAGGAAGGGAAGTAATGCCTGCCCCTTTTCTTCCTCGGGGTGGAGTGTCCTGCCAAGTCTCCTGTCCTTTCCTGGGTGACCCAGGGGGCTTATTGCTTCCATCCCTGCTCAGATGGTTTTGCATTTCCGTGGCAGCATTTTACTCCACCCTCCATTGTGCATCCTAGATTCTCTCCAGAACCCCTCCCAGCGGAGGCCTGAGGTTAGCTTTTGTGTGACATCGGGTCTCTATTCTTCCATGTATTTAAGCTCAAAATGTTTCCTTATGGGGAATTTTCTTAAAAGTCTTCAATATTGTTAACTCTTTGAAACCACTGCTGTGTGAAGGCAGCTGATTGTTCCATTGTGGGTCCCATAGGAAGAAGTTCTATGGTTCCTCCTTATTGCCTTCTTGGTGGGCATCCCCTATGAAGCAATGCAGGGAGGACTCCATGATAGTGCAGGCACTTGGCCTTTGATTTCCATCCAGGGAACTCCCTCCACCTGTCTATGAGAGAACTGTGTTGTGGAAGCTCACCGGGAAGCCTATGGAAGACCAACACATAGAATGGGCAGAGGAAGACAAACCTCCAAAACACACCGACTACAACAAATACAGGACAACAAACAGCAATAACATTGAGAATAGGAAGCTCATCATGGAGGAGAACCAGGACAGACATCCACGAAACCCAAAAGAAGAAAAAAATTCAAGAAAGACTGGTCAATTGCATCTAAAGCTACTCAGTGACTAAAAAAGATAAGGGCTGGTTGTTGTCCTTTAGTTGGTGATTTAATGAAGAGCCATTCCAGGGAAGCAGTGGGGGCGAAAGTCAAATTTCACTAGGATGAAGATGACAGACAGGTAAAGGAGGGAAGAGAGTAACTGTGTAGGAATTCAGCAGCAAAAAGGAGAGGTTTGTGGTCACAAGGGTAATGCGGTATACGGAAGGATTTTGTTTTGTTTTTGTTTTTGAGACAGGCTCTCGCTCTGTTGCCCAGGCTGGAGTGCAATGGTGCAATCTTGGCTCACTTTAGCCTCGACCACCCCAGGTTCAGGTGATCCTCCCATCTCAGCCTCACGAGTAGGTGGAACTACAGGCACACACCACCATCCCCAGTTAATTTTTGTATTATTTTTGTAGGGATGGGTTTTTGCTATGTTGCCCAGGCTGGTCTCAAACTCCTGGGTTCAAGCAATCCACCTGCCTCGGCCTCCCAAAGTGCTGGGATTACAGGCATGAGCAACTGGACTAGAAAAGGTTTTTCATGATGAGAAAGACTTGAGTGTGATCAAATGCTGATAAGAAGGGACCAGAGAAGAGGCAGAAGTTAATGATCCAGAAGAGATAGGAAGTAGCTGCTAGAGAGAGGTTGCTTAGAAAGAAGGTAAGGTACCATCCAGGCAACCGGAGGAGGGATTGGCCTTGGCTAGAAGGATTCCTCTCACATTGGATAGGAGAGTAGGCATATGCCATGGTTTGCATGTAGGTCAGCTGGCACAGGGTAGAATTGTTACTGCTTTATTTAGTAAATGTATTCCTCTAAAGTCATCTGCAATCATATCACATTAGCCCTTTTTGTGACACTGTGTTTTTTTTGTTTTTTTTTTTTTTTCTGGAGTTTATTAGCAAATGAGATTTCATTACCAGCTCCTGCTAAACAATGTCTCCTCTATCCCACACTTACGCATTTCTGAAACCAAATTCAAGTCCTAACATTTATTTTCACTGAAGGTCATACTATTAGATTTAGATCATGTTTCCAATTTGTCAAAATCTTTTTATATTTTAATTGAACTCACAACATATCACTGATGTGTTTCAGTCTTGTGTTACCCATACATTAAACAATCAGCTGTATGTATGTCTTCATTTAAAGAACTGTCTTTAGCTCTATTTTACTTTTATTTCATCAACTACTCTCTCCCCCAACCCCCTGAGACTCAAGGGAAGAAGAATTAAACTGAATGCTTTGATGATAACTGATAAAGCCTTTTGTCCTAAGGAGTCCTCCCAAATTGGATTAAGAGGATTCATTTGTGTTTTGCGGTGTTTATATTTGAGGAAGACAAGGATGTGAAAACTCTCACTCTCTCTGTGTTCATTCTCACAAATAGATGGATACCGTCACTTTTCAAGGCTTGTCCATCTGGAATGCATCACAAACACATTGCTGGGAAAGTAAAAGTTCCAGAAAGAGCTTCGTTTTCTCCTGGAACTGTGAAATTGAGTGGCCTAGTTCTCTCCTCCATGTTGTTGTAAATTCACAGGAGTGTAATATAAGCTACATTTTTAACCATTTGGGATAGCTTATGATTGAATAATGCTTCCTGCCAGACATGTTTTCCCTTTATTTATCACTTACTTTTCTCTCTAATTTCAGCAACAGCAATTGCTGATTATGAAAATGACTCTAATTGTTCAACCTTTCATAACCACATTTAACTACCAAAAACAATCTATCTGCTACTTTGAAAAGCAGTTAAACAAGCAAGCAATTTATTCCTGCCTTCTTGCAAGCAACCAGGAACAGGGCCGTGTTCTCTTTGTTCCTTGTACTGCTTTGGAACCATGAGTGCCTCTTTCTAACTTGAATCAAAATCTGCTTGTTCCTAACTGCTGCCTTTGCAATCAGTAATTTGACTCAGTGGGCTTAATTCAAAGCAGGCACTCACATTCTTTAGACTCTTTGTCAGTCTTCCAGGAAATCAAGTTGAACAACAAAAACAAACAAACACCGGCCCTAAATTAAACCAGATAGGGAGGAAGAAACGTCAATGAATGATGAAGCAAAATAACAAGAGTCAGGAGAAATAAATAGAAACCATTTCAAGGCTCCACCTGCCGTGGCCCCATTAGCCCCTCCTTTACCTCCCTTTCCTAGAGGAAATCAAAGCAACTCCTATGAGCAATCATTCTAGTCAGCTTCCAGACTTCCAGAGCCTGCTGAATCTAGCTCCTCCCACCCTGCCCCCAGCAGGTGAGCACACCTGGGATCGCTGCAGGCTGACATTGCATCGTGATTTCTCTGCATCTCAAACAGCCGGCAGCCCTGCAGAAACCTCTTCCCCTTGCTGAGATAAAGTATATGAATTAATTCCCTTTTGAGTTAACCCGCGCCTGGTTCCTCTCAGTAACTACTGGTACTGGGATAGAGAAGGAGTTGGCAGCTCTCTTAGAAAACCAGATAGTTTTCCTTCTTTGTGATGTGCTCAACTTTCTTTTGCCCCAGGCTTGAAAATACATGCCCTGTCTTTAACTTTCCTTGTGTGAATAACCAGGGCTCAACAAGGTAATAGTTGGGTAAAATTGTTACAGAGGCATTCCAAATCTAAAACAGAGATGTTCCCTGGTAAATCTGATCTTATCTAATGTTTCCTAAATGTAAATAGGCCAGAGGGTGTTCCTTTCTGAATACCCTTTAACCAGATACGTTGGAAATCTATTATGTATTGTTTATTTTAATTTCGTTAAAAATGTTCTCAGGTTTGAAGTGTGATTTCTTTGCGCTCTCATTTAATTTTTTCTTCTTTTTAGAATAAATTATTGAAGACAGAACTTTTTCAAGGTATTTATAGATATATCTGAGGTATTCATGATTTATATAAAGTGTACAGGTGAAGAGTTACCTTCTAGTATAGACCTTAAGCATGTTATCATAGCTATGTGCAATAAAGGTGATATTAAGTTTATTTAATATTGCTACCATTTCTTCTAATCCTTGAATTTTCTCTGGAATAAAGCTGCAGTGTAATGAATGAGATTAATAAAAATAGAAGGGTTATGTGTAACTGGAAAGTGGGGAAATCACTTTGTTCATTTATGGTAGAATATTTAATTGAGGTTCCTCCACACATTCACATTAGGAAAGTCACTTGGTCTTTAGGTTTAAAAATAATAATTTAACTTCAAACAATCCTTAACTCTTCAAAATGTTTAAGGAATTAAGGGCAAAAAAACCTAGATATGTTCCACAACTTTGGTGACAATAAACATGAAATATGGAATCCAATTTTTGAAGAATATAGCCAGTCATCCCTTTAAACCACAACCATTTTTACATAATGTATAGAATTAAAAAACACTGGTGAATCAACTCTGTGCTGTGATGTGTATTACCAGTCTATTGGATCTGTGTATTGGGTGTTTGGGGAGCATATCGACATTATGGGCAATGCAGTTATTTCCCATGACATTTTAAAAATCCATTTCTGTATTACATATTCCAATCTAGTGAAAATTACATCTACTCTATTTAGATTTGGCATCCAACACTTGTTGGCCATGGCATGTGATGTAATTTAAACTGCTCATGTACATTTAGGAGGAGATTGATTTATAGCCGTCTTTGCCTGAGACAAGCACAATTTAAACTAATTCTTATTGATCCAGAAAAATTTAAGATTGGTTTTGAAAATTCTCAAGAATAGAGAGTTTTGGATACATTTGAGCCATTTTGCTAAGCATAATTGTCATGTATATAAAAGCATGAAACTGTTAACACTTATCCTTCTTTGCCTTGGCGTCTTTGTTAGTCATTGCATACCTAAAGGCTAATTTCTGCTCCAGATGCTGTGATGTCTGCCCAGCTGGCCCAGCTGTTAGGATATATGCTATTTGCAAATGGCAGCATAAATAGCATATCCAGAATATTTTGCAGGCTGGGGCTTTGCCATTAAAGGCTAAGATATATTTAGTGTCAGGGATAATTGTTTGGTATATTGTAACCAGAATGGAGCTGACAGAATGCCAATAGGTCTAGCAGAGTGACTCATAAAATAGTCCAATGAAGAAATTATTTACTCAAACATTTCCATATTAGCATGTAATGTGCACTACAAATTGGATTTCCTGTGAATGTACAATCATTGTGTGCAGAGTTTGTAAAGGTGTCTGATATTGCAAATGTATCATTTAAGAAGACCAAATTGCATCAGATTCTCTAACCAAGTCTCTTTTAGCATCTAAAGGAGTAGTTCTTCTAATTATTTTCTGATTGCAGGATAGCCTTGTTGGAAATGCTCAACTTGGAGTTGGGAAGAACTGGGTTCTAAATTCTAGCAATTTCTATGATGACCCGGTGACATTAAACAAATCTCCCATCTTTCCTAATCTTTTCTATTTCTGGTTTCTCAGTTTATAATATTGAAGATACCTGCATTTTAACTGTTTTTGTGTTTTGTCAAAGAAAGGTGCTTTATACATAGTCTAGGTCTATTTGCTTTTCAACTTTTCCCCAAGATCTTCTGTCTTTAGATGTATAGTTTTTTCCTGCTTTTTTTTGTATGTATCTGTTTTTAGCTACCTAGGTATTCATAAGGTGATTAGAATGCAACGGTTACATGGCTTCTTAACCACCCCTAATTTAGACAAGCATTTCTAAGTAGGACTTCTAATATTCAAGGCAAAGAATATTCTAGAACTCAGAAAGTTTGCTTTTATATTCCAAATTATTTTATTGTTACATCTAAAAAACAGTGGTGTCTGCCCTTATCTGATTCTGGATGCTGCTAAAATATACTGCTGGACAGAAATTTGATTCATTAACTTTTTTGGATCTTAACCTTTTAAAGGTGCAGTATGTCCATTGAATCTACAGCTTTACCGAAGCCCTTGACAAGGCACTGGTATCCACAAGGAAAGGCGAATGTTGATATACAGTGACTGGAACTGATTTTTATCAATGTGGATGGTACCAGACTAAGAAAATTATCCATCTGGGCCATGCAATCTGTCTTTCCAGAAAATCACTGAACTACATATCTAATAACACAGTCAGTGAGATAATTTCCTTTTATTGAGTAATTTCCTCATTTGGTAGGGATTTTAAAAGCCTAGGGGCATTTTGAGCATATGGTTCAGGAACATTATTTTAAAATGTGAATTATCAATAGAATTTCAATACAATCAAAGTAAAATAACTTACTTCCTAAGTGTTACAAATATAAGCAGGATATTTCTACAAAGGCTGTTGCTTTTGAGTCAGAGTTAGGAGCTGGAGATTAAAAGCTTTTCTTCAGCATTGTTAGAGCAGGGTGCATCATTCTCAATTGCCAGCGGTCAATTCTCTCCAGACACAGTTGATCGCTCCTCCCACATGAAACAATTTCTTCACTTGAATTCCTCCAACCTCGCTGGCTGTTTCTTCCCAATCTCTTTTGCTGGTTCCCAGTTGTGTCACTCCCCACTCATTACTGAAGAGCCCTAAAGTTCAGTCCTTGAACTCCTTACCTATCAACAATCATCCTTGCTTATCTCAGCTAGATTCCGGGCTTTGTATACTGATCAATTACAAATTTGTATCTCCAGCCCAGACTTGTCTGCTGAATTTCCAACTTGTACATTCTGCTGCCTACTCAGTATCTCCACTTGGATTTCTAGTAAACATCTAAAATGTGTCATCTCCAAAACTGACTTTCTAATTTATCACAACACTTACTTTCAAAAAATACATGCACACCTTCTGTAGTTTCCTGCCTCTTAGGTCACAGCAACTCTATTCTTCCGCAGTTCAAGCCAAAATTTTCGGTGATCTCCTTGACTACCCTGTTTCTCTTACTTTCTCTATAAAGTCTCTTAGAGAAAATCTTGTTAGTGCTACCTTCAAAATATCATGGTGTGAGTTCAAGCAATGTACTTTTTCTTTTCCTTGCATACTTACTCCAGTGGTCTACCTTGTTGAAATATCTAAGATAGGTGACGGCACGGGCCTCCAGGGCCACTCTTAATTATAGGCCTTGTGCCTCAGGGTTTCCTAGGCTGGCGGTGCGTTGGGGGAGGGGGGGGCGGCGGGGCGGGGAGGGGGTGGAGGGTTGGGAAAGAGAAGAACCTCCATAAAGGTAGAAAATGATTCATCTTATATTTCTCTGCAACTTTTTCACCAGTGCTCAGACTGAAAAAAGATGATGACTGGTGGTCATTAAAAAGTTAATTTTCCGTTTACGAGCAAACCTTTTTGGGTCTTTGAGGTCATATATAGACCACGATAAGCAAATTATCTTATAGATTGTATCTATTTTCAGCTGTTATAAAAGTGTTTTAAATTAGACCAAGGCTATTTTTAGTTTTTGGAAAGTTAGCTTATAACAAAAATCTTGCTTTTTCATAAAAAAGTTAAGCATATTAAAAAACAGAAAAATAATACCATATGGAAATAGAGTTGGCTGGGTGTGGTGGCTTGTGCCTGTAATTCCAGCACTTTGGGAGGCTGAGGCGGGTGCATCACTTGAGGCCAAGCCTGGCCAAACATTGTCTCTACTAAAAATACAGAAATTAGCCTGGCGTGGTGGTACACGTCTGTAATCCCAGCTACTGGGAAGGATGAGGCATAAGAATTGCTTGAACCTGGAAGGTGGAGGTTGCTGTGAGCCGAAATCATGCCACTGCACTCTAGCCTGGGTGACAGAGCAATACTCTGCCTCAAAAAATAAAAATAAAAAATAAAAAATAAAAAAAAAGAAAGAAAGTAGAGTTAAATACCACAGATATAGGAAGTCTAGACAATATCAAAGGAATAAGATGATGCGATTTTGAACTAGGAAAGGGTAGATGAGAGCATTTATTTATCTAAGATCTTTTGTATAGATAAGCAGAGTAAACAATCACCCTTATATATGTAGCTCTTTAGTCTGCACCAAGACACTGTCCAAGTGGGAAACAGGGAGACTCAAGCAAATATCCTGTTGGTGTTGTCTCTTTATCCTACTTTAAAAAACACTAGGATCTGGACTGTGAAATCTGAGAGCAGTCTCTGAAGAGACACAGATGAAAGTGAAAATGCTGCTCTATTTTCTATCACCCAATTTCTTGTCACAGTTACTATCATTAAAACATATTAAAAACATGGAAAGGGCTGAAAGGGAAGGTACAAATCTAATAAGATTTGTAATATAAATAACCCTCAGTATGTTTTTATTCCCGATTGCCTTGCCTCCTTAGGTTCTGATATTTAAAGATTGGGTTAAATATCTCCTTTTCTGTGTATAAGGTATTGGCACAATTTTTTTTTTTCTTATTCACTTCTCCTCATCAGGCAGGTGGTTGAAACTACGTAATGCTTGTCTTTTATGGCCATTTTCAGAGAGAATCATTTTCACCAGGGGACGATCTCCTGTGTTTTTTGTTTTGTTTTGTTTTTTTACCCTTTTCTCTCAATCTCATCTCAAAGATAAATGGGAGTTAACAACTCTGGTTAAGATTATGCTCATTTTCAAATGCTTTCTTTATACTTTTTAGCCTTCCATAATATAAATAATATTGTGGTGCTATTGTAATAACAAATCCAGGAAAAAGAAACACCTTACTGTCCCAGACTGATCTTAGTTTCAGAAAACTCTGCCCTCAGATAGTGGTTATACATAATACTTATCCACTGCACCCAATCACCAGGGTGCTATTTTGTAATGAGAAGTCCAGAGAATTTTCTGAAGGCATGACTTAATCATCAAATTACCAGATTTTAAAAGGCTGTTACATGTTTCTATCTCTGTTCATTGATTCTGCATGAGTCATCATCCTTGGAAAGGAAAATGACATTTCCCCCATTGGAAATTGGCAGAATACATACAGAAGGCTTAACTTCTAAAGTTCTCTGCATATGGGGCTCTTGAGCTGTTATATCCTCTAGAAACCTTGGTCATTCAGATATTTGTGATTTGTATAGCGTAGAATGTACTTCACCAATCTTCCTTCTCCACAGAGTATGACAACATCTCTACTGCGTTCATATGACCTTTTTATGTTTATTGTACAACAGTATTTGCATTCGAATTGGTACCTTAAATTATAATCTCTAAACAAGATTTCTTGGTGCGTTTCATTGGAACAGATTCAAAGAAAGAGATACAGGATAGGATTATCAATGGCCTGGCTCGCAGGGACTTATATAGTATGTTCCTGACCTCTCTGGTGGAGTTTAATGGAAATGGCTTTGGAGACAGGAAATACTGGGTTCCAGCCTTGTCTCTGTGGCATACTTACTCCATGAATTTAGGCAAGTTATTTGTCTCTTCACATGGTCATTGAGAAAATGAAATAACAAATCTGTATCAGTAAGGCACCTGGGACAGGTAGCCTCTTGATGGATATTACTTTTCTTTTTCCCAGGCTGTCCTGTTGCCATCTTCACACTTTTGCCTAAATGCAGAGTTTGTTTGTTTGTTTGTTTGTTTTTTAATAGCTAGGGCATTATTTAAACATTTTTGTTAATTGAGAAATATCTGAAGCAGTTTTTAAAAAAATAGGGAGCACTGGCCAGGTGCGGTGGCTCACACCTGTAATCCCAGCACTTTAGGAGGCTGAGGCAGGTGGATCATGAGGTCAAGAGATCAAGACCATCCTGGCCAACATGGTGAATCCCCGTCTCTACTAAAAAATACAAAAAATTAGCTGGGTATGGTGGTGCGTGCCTGTAGTCCCAGCTACTCAGGAGACTGAGGCAGGAGAATCACTTGAACCCTGGAGGCAGAGGTTGCAGTGAGCCGAGATTGCATCACTGCACTCCAGCCTGGTGACAGAGCAAGACTCCGTCAAAAAAAAAAAAAGGAAGCATTATGTTTGAGTGCTCAAGCAGTTTTAGTATATGAACAAGTCAAACTCAATATAGTCATGCCAGAGACATTAGCTGCATGTGTGGGAATGAGAGTGGAGTGTCACAGGAGGCTGAAATCAGAGCCAACCCAGAGTGTTGAACATGATTTCAACTCTTCCAATTGACATGATATTTTTTCCCTTTTTGAGGAGGAAAAAATGCTCTAGCTTGCTATATCTTGTGTTTGCCACCTGTATAGTGGGCTGCAAAAGCAGGGGGTGTGGGAGCCAAAGGCAATGGCTAATTAGAAAAGTGTATTTGAAATGTCTTGAATGCTTCAATAAATAAAATTAACTGACACTATAGCCTTACCAAATTGATGATAATTATATTGGGTTTCCTGTGATTCCAGTGAATGTGGGTTTTAACTAAATACATCCACCTTATTGTCAGTTCATCCTTGCATTATTGTGGGAGAAAAACTTCCAGTGTTCAATTTCTTGTATTGTCAGTCATACAACTTAAATTTTTAATTTCAGTATAATCTTGCCTTCTCCTGCCTATTTACAACTTCCTGAAAACATATCGAGTGTGGATCCCGTACGTAAGTGAGATTGTCTTCGCTAAGAGCTTCTTGCAATCACAGGAAAAGGGGAAAAAATGTTGTTACAGCTGATCATTGCCAGAAGGTGAAAGTTCAAGAAGTAGAGAAAAAGAAGATTGTAGCATGTAATCAGAGTTCTTGGTTGCATGCTACAGAATCCATTCTATGTAGTTTAATCTGGGAACAATGCAGCCAGGGATGACACCTCAAAAATGCCCAGCCTCAACACTAGACTGTCCTAGCAGAAACACTACTGCTGCTATTACCCACATATTGTCACTTACGACATTAAAGTCCAGGGGCCAGAAACTCTGGCACAGCTCCTCAAGAGAACCAGATACTCTGCCGCCATGCTTTCTCCCAAGGAGCCATTCTTTCATGCAGCTAATAGTTTGTGTTGCTTGCTTTCACCTTCAACATTCACACATTTGGGTTGGCTTGGTGGCTCCACATTCATTACAGGCTAGTTCCTGGGGAACCTGGGAAATGTAGTTTTAGCTTTTTGTCTTCTATAGTATAGCAATCAAAGTAAGCTAGAAGGGTGTTGGAATAGATGCTGGTTGAACTGCTTGTTAGTATCTGCTCCTGATGGAATTGAACTGAAAGATGTTACAGGTGTTTACTCCTCAGTGGTCCATGTTGGAATGTCACTTTCTGTTTTCAGAAGCTTATTACTATATGTAAAAAACAACAACGACAAAAACTATTGCTTTTTTCTTCTGCACTTGATCAAAATTCTGTTTAGGTATCCACATTTTACCATTATATGTATTCAACAGTGCAGAATGCTGGTGACCAGTTTTACTTGTTAACCAAGGCATGGCTGAGTCCTCAGAGACTTTTAATTTGACTCCATTCTTAGGATGATGTGCTGCATTTCTGCAATGGCACCCACTGGCGTGCAAAAGAAAAACTGGATTTTCCAGGTTAAGCAGAAACATGGACGCCATACTAAACTCTGAACAGACACATTCATGCATCTTCTTGTCCACCAGCTGCAGGAACTCAGGGGTTTTACTACTTCATCCTTTTATGCCCAACACCCCATCAGCTCCAGAGGCAGCTTGGCTGCATGCCAATGTCAGTGTAGAATTATTCTATCCTCACGGGTTCATATCGTTTGTCAAGTCACCAAACACTCAGAAATATTGATGAGTCATCTACCTAGATGTTTTTGTTCATTTGTAAGACTAACTTGTACAGAGTTTTGAGTTTTCTTAAGATTTTAGAGATATAAATAAACCATCAATTAAGGATTTAGAATTCACTAAAAATAAAAGCTTTAAAAGGTTGTGATTTGAAAGATATGCTTAGTGCTGGAAGGTGTTTAAGGGTCAACTATTCTGACTTAGAGGAAGATAAAGCAAGTAGTAGGTAAGGGATTTGCCAAAAAATTACATAGCTGGTTAATATCAATGCTGAGATTGAAACTCAAGTCCACTGCCTGCTGGACGGGGAATGTTTCAAAGGTGCTTGATACCAAAGCATAGGTCCTAAGTCCTCATCATCCTGTATGAAGCATGCACATGATGCCACATGGTAGCTGAGGCCATGCTCTGAAGGATGTCTACATGAAACAACCATGAAAAATCATATAATATGGGTTACATTCCCAACCCACATCTTCTCAAATTCACTAGAAGGTGTCCATTTTGTTGACAAAACTGAATTTGAAGTATATGCAATAAATGACACCAACATTATTTTTATGGCTAAAAGTACTTGAAGAGCACGCTTCCTGTTTTTAATCACTAGCGTTCCTTTAGCTGCAGTCAGCCATATTTGTTGCTTACATTATAAGCATATGTTTGTTTGGTTTGCTCTAATTCTTTGCCCTCTTAAGGGAAAAGCAAGGGAGGTTTATGAAGGGCCTTAAAATGAGAGAAACTAATTAATTGCTGACTTTTTATATTTATCAGCAAAGGAAAACATTTCTCTACTCTCATAACGCTTCTGACACCAAATGTGCGGATTTTCTACACATTACAATTCTCATACCAACTAGGTGTCCTATAATTTAATTCAGTTCTGGCTCTGGAGTTAGCACAGACCCCACAGTTTAAGGAATCAGTCCCACAGACTGCTCCACTTCAGATGGTGATCATAAGCCTGGGCTCCCTATACTTCTTACTGACAGGCTATAAATCAGAGGTTTCTCACGATTCCCTCAAGTTCAATAATTTGTTAGAATGGCTCACAGGACTCAGGAAGACACTTGACTCACCATTGTCAGTTGATTATAAAGCACACAACTCAGAAACAGCCAAATGAAAGAACGGGGTATGTGGGAAGGGCCGTGGGGAATCCACGTCCTCGCTGGGCTCGCCACCCTCCCCGCACCTCCATGTGTTCACCAACCTAGCAGCTCTTGGAACCCCTTTATTTGGAGTTTTTGTGGGGGTTCCATTACATAGGTGTGATTGATGACATCATTGGCCACTGGTGACTGGACTCATCTCCAACCCCTCTCCCCATCCTGGAGGAGGGAGAGTGGAGCTGAAAATTCCAACCTTTTAGTCACATGGTTGGTTCCTCTGGCAAGGGGCTCCCATCCTCTGAGTCACCTTATTAACGTAAACTCGGGTATGCTTGAAAGGGGCTTATTAAGAGTAACAGAAGATGCTCTTCTCACCCCTATCACTCGGATAATTCCAAGAGTTTCAGAAGCTCTTCTGTCATGAACAGAAAAATTCTCCTGTCACCCCATCACTTAGAAATTTACATGAGTTTGCTGGGCGCGGTATCTCACGCCTGTAATCCCAGCACTTTGGGAGGCCGACACAGGCGGATCATGAGGTCAGGAGATCGAGACCATCCTGGCTAACACGGTGAAACCCCGTCTCTACTAAAAATACAAAAAAATTAGCCGGGCGTGGTGGCGGGAGCCTGTAGTCCCAGCTACTCATGAGGCTGAGGCAGGAGAATGGTGTGAACCCGGGAGGCGGAGCTTGCAGTGAGCCGAGATTGCGCCACTGCACTCCAGCCTGGGTGAGAGAGTGAGACTCCGTCTCAAAAAAAAAAAAAGAAATGTACATGAGTTTTGTGTCAGGAACCAGGGCAGAGGCCAAATGTATATTGGTATTAAGTCACAATCAATACGTACTTTTTAAAAATGTAAATTTATGTATAAATGAAAATAACTACATTTCTTGCTTTCACAAACCTTGTTGTCAATGTGGAATGATTTCTCACCAGTTTAAACACAGTTGAGTTCTTACATAAGGAAAAATGGGAAGCAGAGGTTAAAACATGTATATTAACTGTGGTGTTCTGAGTGTAGACTCTGGAGTTCAACTATCCAGGTTTGACTTCTTCCATTTCTGAGCTATGAGGTCTCAGGCAAGCTACTTGCCTTCTCTTTACTTTAGCATTTCATCTATAAATTTAGTATGTCACAGGCACCTAACTTTTAGCATTGTTGGGAGATTGAGATGGTGCATGTCAAATGCCTGCCATGACACCTTCTCAGAGCTGGTACTCAATAACAGTATTAAACATTTTGTCTGGGCACAGTGGCTCATGCCTGTAATCCCAGCACTTTGCCAGGCTGACGCCAGAGGATCACTTCAGGCCAGGAGTTCAAGCCAGCCTGGGAAACATAGGGAGAGCGTGTCTTAAAAAAAAAAAAAAAAAAAAAAAAGTCTATCTCCTGTTCCCATGTTTTCATTCATTTTTTAAGTAATTTTTTTTTAATTATGGCAATTTTTTTAAGTAAAAAAAAAAAAAAACAAAAGCCAGGCACAGTGGCTCACATCTGTAGTCCTAGCTTCCCAGGAGGCTGAGGCAGGAGGATCACTTGAGCCTAGGAATTCAAGGCCAGCCTGGGCAACATAGTGAGACCCCATCCTTAAAAATATATTTTTTTAATGTATGGAGTACCTACCAAGTCCCAGGCACTACTGTAGGCACTGAAGGCACAGAATTGATAGATGAGGTCCTTATTCTAGTAGAACTATGAAAATTTTCTTATTCAGAATAAAATTTAGGAAGCAACCAGAAAACACATATAGACACTGTCATGCCAGGCCCCTATTGATTCCAACAGGGATGGCTCGGTAAGAGACCCGGAGCCAGTGAATGAGACATAGGGTTTATAGAAGACTTATATACAGAGCATTCTCGGAATGGGAGGCTGGATAGGAAAACCACTACCATTTGTAAAAAGCATGCATATTATATAGCATGTTCACTTAGCAATCTTCACCAAGCAACCTTCCTTTAACCCAAAACAAAAGGCCCCTGATCCCTGTATAGTCTGCATTCCAAATGATAGGCCAGGGGTTCAGATGTTCTTCATAGATGAGGAGTGAATCTCCAGCTTGACCACTCCTGGATTCTTCTCAGGGTATGCTTGAGTTATTGCTGTTAGGTGCATCTGCCATACAGACCCATAGCATGATTTTCTCTAAGAAGCTTTGTGATGCATATTGGTAAACGTTGTAAAGTTTTAAGTGGACTTCAATTAATTTTTAAAAAGTAAACATACATGAATAAATATCATCCCTCCCACATAGCTTTAAATTACTTCTGATATGTCCCCGATTTAAAAAAACAAAGGGTCAGTCAGGTGTGGTGGCTTACACCTGGCGTGTAATCCAGTGCTTTGGGAGGATGAGGTGGGAAGATCGCTTGAGGCTATGAGTTCAAGACTAGTCTGGGCAACATAACAAGACCCCCATCTCTTAAAAAAAAAAAATTAGCTGGGTGTGATGACACATGCACATGCCTGTAATCCCAGCTACTTGGGAGGCTGAGCTGGGAGGATCACTTCAGCCCAGGAGTTCGAGACTGCAGTGAGCTATGAATGTACCACTGCACTCTAGCCTGAGCAACAGAGTGAGACCCTGTTTCTTAAAAAAAAAAAAAAAAAAAAAATCCACCAAGCAAACCAGCAAAAAGTTAATAATCTAGGGCTTTACCTACCTGGTACGAAATAAAGGAAGCATAATAGAGAAAGTTCTCAGAACTGGCTGTGCCCCTGGTTCCGGGTGGGCAAACTCCCTATTACTTATATAACCTTCCTCACTTGCTTGAGAGAAGGGAGTTGCTGGGAGTTCTTGTTAGAGGTTTTGCAGAAATTGCCCACAGCTGAGAGTTTCTAATTTAGAGTCATTGTTCCAGTGAATGGAAATGAGCTGAAGGAACAGCCGTGACACTCACTTTCAGCTAAGCAAGGAGACCTGCCCTGGGAACAGGCGGAGTGAAAAGCCCAGTCCTGAGCATTACCCAGCTCCTTTGACCTTTTCTCTCCAGAGCTACATCTCTCTTTCCTTCCCTTCTCCTGCATCACAAAAAAACCTGTTAAAAGTTATCCATCTTTCTTCTTTGAGCATGAGAGTCCATACAAACACTTCCATTTCATGTATACCCAAATTCCAAGTGATCCTGAAGGAACATTTAAAGTTGAAGTTTTTTGTTTTGTTTTGTTTTTCTGAGATAGAGTCTCAATCTGTTGCCTAGGCTGGAGTGCAGTCACACAATCTCAGCTCACCACAACCTCCGCCTCACAGGTTCAAGTGATTCTCCTGCCTCAGCCTCCCAAGTAGCTGGGACTACAGGTGCGTGTGCCACCATGCCTGGCTAATTTTTGTATTTTTAGTAGAGATGAGGTTTCACTATGTTGGCCAGGCTAGTCTCAAACTCCTGACCTCCTGATCTGCCCGCCTCGGCCTCCCAAAGTGCTGGGATTACAGGGATGAACCACGGCGCCCAGCAAACTCATGTAAAGTTGAAGTTTAAGTGGCAGAGAGAATGCTGTGCTGATGAAATTTGGATAATTATATAACTAATTTCTGGCAACATTGTAATATGATGCCAGGGTGTCTTCTTTTCTTTTATATAGACAAAATATATTGTTGAGATTTTTAAATAAGTATTAACGAAATAGAAAGAATAGTCTTCAGAGAAAAACTCTTTTAACGTAACCTTTTTTTTTTAACCACTTCCATGAGAAATTGTCAGGGTTGTCAACATCATGCTTCATGGCTTTTGAAATCTGGACTTTAACACAAAATCCCTTTATACATACTGGAAATTATTGTGCTTTTTGGATAAGATTGAGGTCTTATTCAAAATTCTTACAATCATAGAAACAGATAACACACTATCATTATCTGTGACAAGAGGATAGGAATGGGAAGGATAATTAAAATGCTAGCATTGGGTCTTTCAAATTATGTTCTCTGAATCTTAGCACAGAAATAAAATATTAGAATTTTAACCTCTAAGATATATTTTTAAAGTTTTTGGCTGGGTGTTGTGGCTCAGGCCTATAATCCCAGCACTTTGGGAAGCCAAGGTGGGTAGATCACTTGAGTCCAAGAGTTTGAGACCAGCCTGGGCAACATAGAGAGAACTCAGCTCTAGAAAAGATAAGAGATGAGATGGGAAGATCGCTTGAGGCCAGGAGATTGAGGCTGCAGTGAGCCATGATCATGCCACTGCACTCCCACCTGGGTGACAGAGTGAGACCCTGACTCAAAAAAATAAAAAAAAAAAGTAAAGTTTCTATTGGAGTAAGTCATTCAGTGTCTCAAACTTTTGTTTTAATGCCATAATTCAACTTTAATGGCTCTTTGTAGACTAAAATTAATATCTGCAGAAAATAGCCATTTAAAATAACTTACTATTTATAGAAAAATAACATAAGGCACTTGTCATTTATTGAAGGTAATGGTTTACTCTGAAATTTGTACAGTGAGGATTGGAATTTTTATTTGTATTTATTTAAAACATACTTATTTTGTTCTAGGGATGCTCTTTATAGGTGATAACTCATTCAATCATCATTACCTATGAGAAAGGTATTATTATTATTTTTTTACTTTACAGTTAAGAAAGATCAGGAACTCAGAAAGGTTAAATAACTTGTCAAGTTGCACAACTGATAAGTAGGTAGAACCGGGACTTAATTCCAGGCCATCTGGCCCTCAGAGTTCCTGCTTATGCCCCCATGCACTGGTGCCTCTTGCAGCACGTCAAAGAGTTTACCAAGACGAATGAGCTCAGAAATTTGAACATCTAACCAGCCATCTGTCTGCCCTTCTGGCCCTTCCAGGATATCAATGTTTCTTATAAAATGGACATAAATTCCTGATGAGACAAGATTTGTATGGAGAGCCATGGGACTATCACCCCTATTCTAGACACATAATAAAGCAACAGAAGAAGGCCACATTCTCGTTAAGTGAGAGCATAATGAGAGCAGCAGCATAGCTGCTCTTTTTTACAAGCAGCTATGAAGCTGTAATCCTACGCACCTTCAACCCGTCTCCCCATGAGATCAGACCATCAATTGTGGTCTCAGCAAAAACAACACATCTAAATGAGAAAAAAAATCAGAAAAGGTTTAACAGGCTGGATATGGTGGGTCATGCCTATAATCCCAGCACTTTGGGAGGCTGAGGCGGGTCGATCACTTGAGGTTAGGAGTTCGAGACCAGCCTGGCCAACATGGTGAAACCTTGTCTCTATCAAAAATACAAAAATTAGCTGGGTGTGGTGGCATGTGCCTGTAATCCCAGCTACTCAGGAGGCTGAGGCAGGTGAATTGCTTGAACTCAGGAGGTGGAGGTTGCAGTGACCAAGATTGTACCACTGCACTCTAGCCTGGGCAACAGAGTGAGCCTCTGTCTCCAAAAAACAAGATAATAATAAAATAAAATAATAAAAGAAAAGGTTTAACAAAGGGACTCTCTGGAGGAGGAGATTTATGTAGAGGGACTGTGACCTTTCAGTTGAAGACAGACCTCCAATAGAGAGGGCTGAGGGAATAAGTACCCAGAGTGCTCTCTTTTCTCTTCCTCCACTCTCCTGAGGGGACTCTTCCTTGGCCTACTGGATACCAGAGGGTGAGGGACACCATTGATGAAATCCATAAAGATCAGCCTCCAGCCATGGAGCAGGGTGAAAAATGGGGATCGAACTGAGTGGACCAAAGACAGATATTTGACACAGTTTTACAAATCCTATATTTCACACACACACACACACACACACACGCACGCACACCTTCCTTCAGAACAAGTGTTTCTATTCTTCCACTGAAAATTTTAAATCTTTGTTCATTAACTCAGGTTCTTCAATACCTTAGAAAGATTCTAAATGTATCTTGTCTTTTTTGGCACATTGCTCAAGCCTGTTAAGGTCTTCTTGAATTCTGGTTCCATCATTCAACACAGTGGTCCTCAAGTCTAGTAGTAGCATCTCAGAATATGCTGGAAAGGTCTTTAGAGTACTAATTTTTCAGGCTACCCCAGAGACTTAGTGAATCTCAGGTAAGGCTCAGGAATGCCTATGTGTTTGTTGTTGTATTTAGTTTCCCAGGCAACCCTAATGTAGCCAGTGAAAACTCAGGCATCTGGGATCCCTTGATATAACCACTTCAACACAAGGCATGTGCTGGACACCTTTTTAGAATTTATCTTTGTCCAGAAACGCAGAGATCTTCCACTGGGACTAGATTTGGGAGTGTAGACTGGAATGCTGGAATTGCCTAGGGAACTTTTCTGAACTTCATCACCTCTTCCTGGGTGGCCAAGCCTCCTTCTGGAATCCTCTCACTACCACAGTGAACTGCTATCATTGAAGGGAGCACGTTAAATCCTTCCAGTCTTCTAGTGCAAAAATGTTCTAAGACTCCTAGATTTACCAGTAATCTTCTTTACAAATGATTGTTTGACTTTTGCATTAATTTTACTATTTGTATTTTCTCTGTGTTGTGCTAAGAATATTATAATAGACTCTGAAAATATTTTACTGGATTTGAATCATGTCCATCAAACCTATTCACCCATCCTTCCTTCTTTTCTTTTTTCCATAAGTACTAATTGTTCTAGGAGCCAAGCACATTCCAGGCCTTAGGAATACCATAAGGTACAAGACAGCTGAGGTCTTTGCCCTCTTGTGCTTACATTTCAGTGGGGGATGCAGACTTTCAAAAAGTAAATAAAACATCTGCAAAAAAAATGTTAATATGAGTATGTGGTATAAAGAAAACAAATGGTACTGAGCATGGAGACAATTGCAGGGAGGGCCTCTCGAAGGGTAACATAGGAGTTGAAAACTGAAGGTCAAGAAGGAGCCAGCCTTGCAGAGATCTGGGAGAAGAGCATTTGAGGCAGAAGGAACAAGTGAAAATGCCCTGAGATAAGAAAGAAACTTTAGAATTCAAGTAATACAGTGAGGTCATTTCAGAGTGACTTGTCCTTATTGATTGTGTGCTGACCAGCAAAGAGATATTTCCATCTGCTCTAGGTCCCATAAACTACCTCTTCAAATACCTGCTGAAAATGTTTCTATGTCCCCACAAGCTTTTAGCCAGCCCATCTTTATATATGCCTATAATGGATTAGAATAAAATAAATACATGAAAACTGCTGATAAACCAAAGCTTTACTAGTAAATCTTTGTAGCTCTCTCTCCTCCAGGAGCTGATCCAGGTTATATGGGATCTGAAGCTTTTACAATTTTAAAGGTCCTTTCCAAAAAAAAAAAATGCAAATAAAATGTTGCAATGGCCCCACTCATGCATGTGAAGGGCCCAGAAACTTCAGGCTAATTGGCTCCATGGTAAATTCACCTGTGCCTGGCACTTGTCTTTAGATAAGAGACTGAGAATGACCAAAAATCAAAATCCACAAAGTTGTAAGTAGGAGGCAATGAAAAAGCATGTATTTCTGCTAATAGCCAGAGAAACCATGCTCTTCTCCATGTCAGCTGATGAGGAGAGGGAGAGGAAAACTTGTTTAGATTTAACTATGCAGTTATTATGGCAATCACTAAGTTAGGAGCAGGAGAAAATAAACAAAAGAAAAAGAAGGAGCTTGTTATTTTGTAAGGAAGCTGCTAAAGGAAGCTTTAGGCAAGTAAAGGAAGGTAGGTTAGGTAAATACATTGGAAACAATGTGGAATGGAGACTGCTGAAAGAGGTAGAGGTAGAAGAAGGTGGTCGGGACCAAGCCAGTGTGGGAGGTCAGGAGAGTGTGGAGGTTGTTTTGGTGGATGCAGAGGAGTAGGACTCTGACATGGAAAGGTGGAGGTAGGGGTGGAGGTAGCGTAGGCCGAGATGGGAAGGTCTGGGAGTGTGAGTGGAGGCAGTTGGTGAAGGCAGTAGAAGAGGTGGTAGGGGGTGAGTGTGCAGGCAGAGGAGGAAAGGTAGTGGTGGTGGTGGTTGTAGGGCAGAGTTTGGTTCCATTTGGGCCTGTGGAGATCCATTCTTCTTGCCTTGTGTGAAAGGTTTTTTTTCATAATTACTTCTGAGTCTCAAAAAATATTCTTGTGAATAATGGAGAATCAGTCATCTTTTACATTATCAAAACAAAGACTTATCTTATCACAAAATGCTCAGACTGTGGTCCAGTTTGGGTCCAGTATTTTGACATTTGCTTTCCAGGCAATAATAATGAGGTATATTTATTTTTTTGAGGTAACATGTGATAATGTAATACATTCATGTAATTTGTAAAGAACAAATCAGTGTAATTGGGATATATATATGTATATATAATCTTAAATATTTGTCTTTTTAATGCTAGAAACATTCAAATTATTCTTTTAACTATTTTGAAATATACAATAGATTATTGTAAATTATGGTCACCCTGTTGATCTATGAAACACAAGGTCTTATTTCTTCTATGAAACTGTATATTTGTACCCATTAATCAGGCTCTATTCATCCTCCCACCCCCTTACCCTTCCTAGCCTCTAGTAACCACCAATCTACTCTATCTTTATGCAGTCCACTTTTTAGGTCCCATGTACGATTGATGTGATATTTGTCTTTCTGTGCTTGGCTTATTTCACTTAACACAATAACCACCAGTTCCATCCATGTTGCTGCAGATAACAAGTTTTTTTTTTTTTTTTTTTCATTCTTTTTTATTGGATGACTCATGTTCAATTGCATACATATACCATATTTTCTTTATCCAGTCATTCATTGATGGATACTTTGGTTGATTCCATATTTTGGCTCTTGTGAATACTGCTGCAATGAACGTGGGAGTGCAGATACCTCTTTATTTTATTGATTTCCTTTCTTTTGGATATATACCCAGTATTGGAATTACTGAATCACATAGTGGTTCTATTGTTAGTTTTTTCAGGAACCTCCATATTACTTTCCAGAGTGGCTGTACCGATTTACATTTCTGCCAACAATGTATAAGGGTTTCCCTTTCTTTAGATCCTTGTCAGCATCTATTATCCTTGTCTTTTTGATAACAGCCATTTTAACTGGGGTGAGAGGATATCTCATTGTGGTTTTGATTTTTATTTCTCTGATGATTAGTCATATTGAACATTTGAAAAGTGCTCGATTGTGACCTTGAATAAAACCTAAACCAGGCTGGGCACAGTGGCTCACACCTGTAATTCCAGCATTTTGGGAGGCCGAGATGGGCCAATCACTTGAGGCCAGGAGTTCAAGACCAGCCTGGCCAATATGGTAAAACCTCAGCTCTACTAAAAAAACAAAAATTAGCCAGGCTTGATGGCAGGTGCCTGTAATCCCAGCTACTAAGGAGGCTGGGGCGGGAGGATCACCTGAGCCCAAGAGGCGGAGTTTGCAGTGAGCCAAGATCATGCCACTGCACTCCAGCGTGGGTGACTGTCTCAAAACAAAACAAAACAAAACAAAACCTAAACCAAACAGAATTTGTGGTCAGGGAGAGAGATTTCTTCTGGAAAATATTCTTCCTTCCATGATTTGTAACAAATCAAATGGCCATTTATGTGTCTTCTTTTGAGAAGTGTCTATTCAGATATTTTTTTCATTGTTAAATCAGATTTTTTTTTTTTTTTTTTTTTTACTATTGAGTTGTTTGAGCTTCTTACATACTCTGGTTATCAATCCCTTGTCAAAGGGATACTCTGCACATATTTCTCCCATGCTATGGACTCCAACTTCTCTTTGGGGTTGTTTCCTTTGCTGTGCAGAATCTTTAGCTTGACGTAATCTCATTTACCAAGTTTTGCTTTTGCTGCCTCTGCTTTTGAAATCTTATGCAAAAAGTCTTTGCTTTGGCCTGGAGCATCTCCCCAAAGTTTTCTTCTAGTACTTTTATAGTTTCAGGTCTTATATTTAAGTCTGTAATCCATTTGATTTGATTTTTATATATGGTGAGAGATAGGGATCTAGTTTCATTTTTCTACAAATGGTTACCCAATTTTCCTAGCACCTTCATTGAAGAGACTCCTTTCCTCATTGTATGTTCTTGGTGGCTTTGTCAAAAATGAGTTGGCTATAAATGTGCAGATTCATATCTGGGCTTTCTATTCTGTTCCATTGTACTATGTGTCTCTTTTTGTCCCAGCATCATGCTGATTTGGTTACTATAGCTCTGCAGTATATTTTAAAGTTGGGTAGTGTGATGCTTCCAGCATTGTTCTTTTTGCTCAGGATTACTTTGGCTATTTGGGGTGTTTTGTGGTTCCATATCAATTTTAGGATTGCTTTTTCTATATCTGTGAAAATGCCATGGTATTTTGATAGGGATTGCATTGAATCTGTAAAATTGCTTTGGATAATATTATCATTTTAGCTATATTAATTCTTCCAATCCATGAGCATTAATTATTTTTATATTTAATTCTTTCCCTTTTTTGGTGTTCTCTACAATTTCTTTCATCAGTGTTTTATAGTTTTCTTTGTATAGATCTTTCACTTCTTTGATTAAATTGATTCCTAAGTATTTTATATTCTTTGTAGCTATTATAGATGGGATTACATTCATGAATTTTTTCAGATTATTCACTGCTGGTATATATAAATGCTGATAATTTTTATGTGTTGATTTTTTATCCTACAACTTTACGGAATTTGTTTATCAGTTCTAACAGTTTTTTGGTAGAATCTTAAGGTTTTCCTAAGTACAAGATCATGTCGTCTGTATATAGGAAATCCTAAATCAAAAACCTAAACCTGAACAAGGCTAATTTGACTTTTTTCTTTCCAGTTTGGAGCCTGGGCAACATATGGAAACCCTCATCTCTGCAAAAAAAAAAAAAAAAAAAAAAAAAAAATTAAAAAGTTAGCTGGGTGTGGTGGCACATGCCTGTAGTCCCAACTAGTCCAGAAGCTAAGTTGGGAGGAACACCTGAGCCCAGGAGGTGAAGGCTGCAGCGAGAGGTGATCGCACCACTGCACTACTGCCTGAGCAACAGAGTGACACCCTGTCTCAAAAACAAAACAAAACAATCATACACGCAAACACAAACCAATCTGGATGTCTTTTATTTCTTTATCTTGCCCAAGTGCTTTGGCCATGACTTCTAGTATTATTTTGAATAAAAGTAGTAAAAGTGAGCATCCTTGTCTTGTTCTAGATCTTAGAGGAAAGGCATTCAATTTTTCCATGTTCAGTACAATGGTAGCTGTGGGTTTTGTCATATAGCCTTTATTATTTTGAGGTATGTTCCTTCTGTATGCAGTTTTTGGAGCATTTTATCATAAAAGGATGTTGAATTTTCTAAAATGCTTTTTCAGCATGTATCAAAATGATCATTTTTTTCCCTTGGTGCTGTTAATGTGATATATCATGTTTATTGATTTTTGTGTGTTGAACCATACCTGCATCCCTGGGATGAATTCCACCTGATCTTGGTGAATTATCTTTTCAATGTGTTGTAAAATTTGGTTTGCTTGTATTCTGTTGAGAATTTTTGTATCTATGTTAATCAGTGACATTGGCCTGTAGTTTTCTTTGTTTGTTGTGTCTTTGCCTGGTTTTGGTATCAAGTTAATGCTATCCTTGTAGAAGGAGTTTGGATATATTCCCTCTTCTTTAATTTTTTTGAAGAATTTGAGTAGAATTAGTGTTAGTTCTTTACATGTTTGTTAGAATTCAGCTGTGAAGCCATCAGATCCTGGGCTTTTCTTTGATAGGAGATTTTTATTACAGCTTCAGTCTCATTACTCATTATTAGTTTGTTGAGGTTTTTTATTTCTTCATAGTTCAATTTTAGTAGATTGTATGTGTCTAGGGATTTATCCATTTCTTCTAGGTTTTCCAATTTGTTGGGGTATAGTTTGTAGTAATCCATAATAATTCTGTAGTCTCAGTTGCTATGTCTCCTTTTTCCTTTATGATTTTATTTATTGGGTCTTCTCTCTTTTTTTCTTAGTACAGAGCAGAGTTTCCTGGGGAGGGGTTGGTAGTCCTGCCTCACCTCTTTTTCTCTGGCTGCCCTCTGGGGTATTTCTTCCTCCAGGCACTACTGATGCTTCCTGTGGCTTGAAACAGGGACAGGTCTCCTGCTAGGGAACCCAATATGGTAAGGAAGTTGGTTGTCCTCCTTGATCTCACTTTTCCCAGTGTAGAAACTGTGAATTAGTGGAAAATTTCTGCACACTTGATGCCAGGCAGATGGTGGGAAGAGGTGTCACAGATATGTAAGTCCAATTCTCTTACTGTCATCTTGGAGTTTTTTCACTTCTCTGTAGCCCTGGAAACTGTCTCCTCATATTTTAGTTCTAGGGTATTGCTGGTAAAAAACTAGGTGCTATATATTTGGTTTTGTTTTTCTATTGGGGGAAATGAAGCCACCTTGTTTCTAAGCCGCATTTTAGAACCAGATGTCAAAGAACTTTTTAGTTAGCATCAAGATTCTGAATTTCTTTCTCTCTCTCTTTTTTTTTTCTTTTTTGTTTGTCAGGGTCTCACTGTATCACTCAGGCTGGAATGTAGTGGTGCGACCATGGCTCACTGCAGCCTCGACTGCCTGGGTTTCAGCAATCCTTCCATCTCAGCCTCCTTAGTATTTGGGACCACTGACGTGTGCCACCATGCCCGGCTATTTTTTTTTTTTTTCTTTTTAGTATTTTTGCTACAGGTGGGGTTTCGCCGTGTTGTTCAGGCTGGTCTCAAACACCTGAACTCAAGCAACCAACCTGCCTCAGCATCCCGAAGTGCTGGGATTACAGGTGCATGCCCCTGCACCCAGCCAACATTCTGATCTTCTGTAGACACTCTAACAATGTGTTGCTTTTTCTTGCTTTTAAAACCTGCCAGGTGGTCACTTATTATCTATCATTAAATATCTGATATCAATCATTTTGTGCTTTTAAAATATGTTCCTCATATATATTAAATGTCATATATGAATTAAAGTTACTTTTCTTAAAAGTCAACTTGTTAGGACATATATGTAATTCTGAAATAGAATAATAATTGCTGCCCTCCTTCTCCTCCTCCTTCTTTTCTTCCTGTTCTTTCTCCTTATCCTCCTTTTTTTTTCTCCTTCTCCTTCTTCTTCTCCTCTTCCTCCTTTCTCCTCCTCCTCTTCCTCCTTTCTCCTCCTCCTTTTTCTTCTTCAGATATTTGGGTGTGCTCCACGGTGTATCACCTTAATAAAACCTAAACCAAACAGAATTTGCGGTCAGCAAGAAATTTCTTTTAGAAAATATTCTTTCTTTCAGGATACGTAACAAATCAAGTGGCTGCAAAGCCATTGTGTGGGTCAGCATTGGTGACAGCTTCATGAATGTTAACGTTGAATGTCACATGTCAGCTGAAAATCATCATAAGCCCCTGAACATGATTTTTAAAAGGCTTATGGTATGCTCAGGCATGACTTCGGACTGAATGTCACGTCTTAGATTTATGCATATGAGCCTAAAAGCCTAAATTTTTAAAAAGAGCAGAAAACTATTTTATGTGTTTGTTTCTGAATACTCAAGTGCCTTGCTTTATCTTTCCACTGTGCCTTCTATCCTGACTACTTTAACTGATAAAATAATTTGCAAAGACGGACAGCCATTTCCTTGCCAGGGTACATTCCAGTGTGGGAGATTTCTAAATGCTAATTAATTCCAACCTCAACTATTTTACCTGCTGTTTCAAAGGCTGGCAGCTTGTATTCATCACCTGAATGACAGCTGTTTCTAACCTCTTTTCCCTGAAAAGAAATAAGAAATTAAATAAACCTTTTGCATGCTAATCACTGATATTCTGAACTGACAGTTGAAAAGTGTTCAAGTGTGAGTCAAAGGCAGACTTGAATTGAAAGACTTTGTCTGCACCAACTAGTTGTTGAATTTTGACCAGATATTTGCGAAGTGTAGAGAGACAGGGTTGCAGGCAACTGATGAGACAGTGTTATCATAAGTGAGAGAATAATTAGAAGAGACTTTAAGTATGTTAAATGTCTACATTTAAGCAAGTTGAGCAACATACCTTTTTTATTTAAGTTTTATAGTACAGATTTTTTTTTTTCATTTTTT
Organism: Homo sapiens; assembly: GCF_000001405.40. Classification (NCBI taxonomy): domain Eukaryota; kingdom Metazoa; phylum Chordata; class Mammalia; order Primates; family Hominidae; genus Homo; species Homo sapiens. Next base: position 14,943,376 of record NC_000020.11, read on the forward strand.
ACCTAGTGAATTTTCTTCCAGGTCAATGGACAGATAGAAAAAGCAAGGCTTTTTAATTTTTTAAAATTTTGTTTACATGCTATTTTTACTTTAAAGTTTATTAAGTCTAATTAATTGTCTCATAATAATGGTTGATATATTGCTTCCCAACCAGAGCTATCCTTTGTCAAGATGTATTTTATTTCTACTGTAGTTTTAATTTCTGCTTTTTACAATAATGGTTGGAGTTAAGAGCATTTGACTGATTCCCCCTAAACAAAGTAAATTTTATGTTAGGACCATCTTCTTATATAGTAAACATGCACAGACAGTTTTGGAAAGGATTATTTAATCTTCATGGAGGATTAACATTTAAATACCAATAGTAGATTATGCTTCTTGATTTGTTTAAAGGTATCTACCACTGAATGTTTTCTCCTGCATGTTCCTGACTTTCTATAAGACCCCAGATAGTATCGTTCAGTCAGAAGTTGTAGATCTCTCAGAGTTCATGTATTTCATTAATTCAAGTTGCTTTGATGATGCCTACTTTTGTTACAAGAGGATATGTTTCTTTTTATTGTTGTCTTAAGGTTATCACCATTCAGTAATTTTACTATCATATGGTAAAATCTGACCTTCCGGTGCTCTTCCCTATGAATTTTAACAGTCGTATACATTTCTGTAATTAGTCACTATCACAATCAGAATATAGAACAGTTTTATCATTCCCCAAAACACTTTTGTGCTATCCCTTTATTTACACCTGCTCTCCTTACCCCTAACTCCTGAGAAGGTATTTTTGTGATGTTAAAATATAAAGAAGAATGAGAAAGTGGAAGAGGAAGAAGAAGAAGGAGCAGGAAGAAGAAAGGAAGGGAGAGGAGGGCTGGGGAAGGCAAGGAGAGTGAAGAAAGGAAAACTGGGCGTGCAACCCAGTGAAATGTTCATTGAATTCTTATCAAAGATTGTATGTGTTACCTGGGACAGTATCTTCAACACATTGCATTCTCCTTTCTTCATGTAAGAAGATGAAATTGTTCAAATGCTTTCTGCAGTCATTCTCTAAATTGGAAATTGTATACTGTGCCTTGAAAGTGGAATTATCCCCAATGATAACTTTTCTCATCCGGTACTGTCAGTACTAGGCTTGTCTGCTGTCAATTTGACATCATCCCATCTCTGGGATGCAATGAAAAGGAGAAACCAAGAAGCACATACCCCAGAGTCCTCTTTTCTTAATAGTTCTGATTCCAGATTCCCAGTGAAGGGAATGCGTACAGGATCTGGGAGGCAGAAGAGAAGTGGAGTCTGTTGCAGCTGAATGTGTGGGCAGATGTGGGATTCCTGGTGGCTTGAGAACCACTCACTTCACTGCTGCAGACAGTAATCACTGGTGGGATCTTTCCAGGGAATTTCCAGGACACCTTGCCCATAAGCCACTGAGAACCACCAGTCTGGTGTTGCTCTAGGATGAGGTTTCTGGGTCTGCCTTCTCACCCTTCTGCCTGCCCGTCCCACAACTTCCACCATGACTTTTCTGTCCTTTATCCACTCTGGCTCACCTATCATTTGTGGAAACGCCAATTCCTGCATTCAACTTGCTATTTCTGGTGTCTCTTCAAGTGACTTGGTTTTCCTGCACAAATCCAGCCTACTAAACCATGATTTAAAGAAAAGTTTAGTATTTGTGGCCAGCGTTTAAAAATTGGAAGATTTCTCTTTGAAGTCCTAATGGCTACTTTTCTTTTCTTTCTTTCTTTTTTTTTTCTTTTTTTTGGAGACTGAGTCTCGCTCTACTGCCCAGGCTGGAGTGCAGTGGGCCTGATCTTGGCTCACTGCAACCTCTGCCTCCCAGGTTCAAGCGATTCTCCTGCCTCAGCCTCCCAAGTAGCTGGGATTTAATAGAGCTGGGTTTTCATCATATTTGCCAGGCTGGTCCTGAACTCCTGACCTCAAATAATCTGCCCGTCTTGGCCTCCCAAAGTGCTGCTGGGATTTCAGGTATGAGCCACCATGCCTGGCCAACTTTTCCTTTGAGAAATCAAGTCAGGAAACACTGGACCAGCATTCTGGACTGAAGACAGGGGCGTCAAGGTTACAAGTGGCTGTCACCTTAGTAAGGGTGTGATTGTCCACTTCACCAGCCAGCCCACTTCATTGTATCATCTTCTTGGACCTTGCAGCCTTTACATTTGGGTACCTTCCTTGCTAAATAACATCACCTTAGTCTTATTTATTAAAGGATTACCAATTGCAAAGCTGTTTTCTAGGAACTCCTGGGTATATGGAGATGTGTAAGAAGAACCGAATGCTTTTAAAGAGCTTGGGGGAATGAACTGCGGGAGACAAAAGCAAGCATGTGACTGTCCTGTGATAGCAAAGTACTTGCATGGAATGATCCCTTAAAGGAGGGTGAGAAAATAAAATGAGAAAATAAACTTAGTAGCTCACTATTTGGGTATTTTTGTATACTCACATAGAGTTTTATGGTGGCCTCACTTGTTATTGATACTCTAATTATTGTTGATGAAATTTATCTGCATTTTAGTAAGAATTTCATATAATGCAGGCTGTGTGAAGTGGCTTATGCCTGTAATCCTAGCACTTTGGGAGGCCGAGGTGGGTGGATCACCTGAGGTCAAGAGTTCGACACCAGCCTGGCCAACATGGTGAAACCCTGTCTCTACTAAAATTAGCCGGGCATATTGGCGAGTGCCTGTAATCCCAGCTACTGGGGAGGCTGAGGCACGAGAACTGCTTGAGCCCAGGAGGTGGAGGTTGCAGCGAGCCAAGATTGTGCCATTGCACTCCAGCCTGGGTGACAAGAACAAAACTCTGTCTCAAAAAAAAAAAAATTGTATAAACTGGAAACTCAGTGAATGTTGTGGAATAAATGCAAATTAATCTTTTTCCAAGTAAGCAAATTCTCAAAGTATGTTTCTTTAGAATATTTTTTGTTGATCACTATCTATCTAGTTCTATCACATATCTGTATCTAAATACCAATAATATATGGATTTTAAAGAAGATGATATATATCAGAAAAAATTACACTTAAAATTTTTCCAATATGTTGTATTTAAATAAAATACAAGGGGCATTATCAGGTTAATTAATTGCAGATAAAAGTAAATATAGATATATATGAGCCTTTTTCTTTCTTTTTTTTACTTTTACTCTGCTTGGTGTTGCATAAATATGATAGCATATAATTTTTGATGCAGGATTTTTTCACTTTATGTTGAGATGTTTTGTATGCTGAAATAAAAATATGAGAATAAGCAATAATTATTGTAAGGTCAGCATCTGTTGATTTTCTTTTCCTCCAGGTAAAAATAGACATTAGTTTATCAGTTTAGAGAAAAGAACACAGGTGCTTCCTAGTGGCAGGCACCTAGCACACTCCAAGTAGGAATTCATAGATATGCCTTTTTAAAGTTTATTTCTTTTAATTCACTTTCATTCCACGTGATTTATTTTTTGTGGAGGGAAGAAGTAGATTCAATTTTGTATTCTCCCCCAATGGCTGATGAAAGTATGGACAATGTGTATTTTGCTATGCATGTGAGGTGTATGTGTGCATGTACAACACATACACATATATATTTTGGTGGAGACACAAAGGACATTTATTTGGGCAACTCCAAACCTGTTTAAGTTTGATCCCTTCCAGATGGCCGGATACCTGGCTGTCGGATCCTTGGCTCAGCCCATTTCTTATCTCCCAAATATCCCTTTGTGCTTCTCTGAGAATACGGCATATCTTAGAGCTGGATGAGTTTCCTGTTAGGACAGCTCACAGATTCGCCGAGCAAGCTGGGGACAGTCAAAGTTGTCTTACAGAAAAGGCTCACATCTTTTAACAAATGTACGTCTTTGAAAAGTGCATTTTGCTCTATAACAATGTTTCTGGCTTTGTTATAGAGGCAGAACAGCAAAGTGAAGTGATTCAGAACATTGGGAAGACCAGCATGATTCCATTTCTGACTCCGGCATTGGCCACAGGCCCTTGTGTATGCTCTGCAAACTAGCTGAGCCTCAGTTTACCTTCCATACACGGGGGCACCAGCAGTACCTACCTCACAAGGGTGTTGTAAAGAATAAATGTGATAATTCAAGTAAAGGCTTTAGCAAGATGATTGGTTCATAATAAGTGGTAAACACATGGTAACTAATAGTAATAATATTGGTGCTAAGGCATTTGTGCTAAGACAGTGGGGCTCAAATTTGAGTGTGCATCAGAGTCACCTAGAGGGCTTATTAAAACACAGATGGCCTACCCCCCACCCTGCAGAGTTCTGACTCAGGAAATCTGGATTTTGCATTTCTAGCAAGCTCCCAGGGAATGCTAATGCTGCTGGCCCTAAAACTGCAGAATGACCACTGACCTAAGGCATTCAGACTCCAGACTATTTCTTGGGGCAGGTGAGGACTGCAGTTTGGTCATGGATCAGAGTGAAGGATCAGATGTGGGATTACATCCTTCAACCTTGGGCAATGCTTCTACAGCCACGATCCTGGTAGCTCAATGCTGGCCCAGTGTTTATCAAGTACAACAAAAATAGGAAGTCCTGTATTTGCTTACATCTACCATTCAACAACTCACAAAAACTTTCTATCTTGTTTTTCACATCCTTAACTTTCAAGGAGCAGCTCCCTCGCCTGCTCCAGAGCAAGTATTTCCCCTCCAAGGCATCAGAGGACTGTCATCAGCTGCCTCAATTCTGCCTTCCTTTGGCACAGAGCAAGTATCACATCCTCTGTGCCCCCACCAGCTGATTGCAGCTCCTTTGAGGAGTGGAGATTTTATTTCACTCTGGCTCCTTTTCAGGAGAGAATCCTCTTCCCTGGATTTTGTCAGAGGAGGGTTTTGGGTAAGCTAAGCAGGCCATGCACAAATACTTGATGGGAGTGGGGAATGGCTGTGAACCAAATATTTTCATTTCTTCACACTTAACTGAAACAGCTGCCTTCACCTTGGTGACTCATATTCTAATCAAATCCTTAACTAGCTGTGGACCCTCATCAAATACCATTTGCTTATTTTGGCTTTAACAGTGGGTGGCATCTATCACTTACTGATTGTGACAGACCACTGCTGAGTTCTTCACCTGCAACATTTCCTTTTATCTTTCCTAGGAGTCTATGGCCTGAGAAGTGAGGTGGCAAAGATGCTCATACAGCAACTCTAACTGTTTCCAGCCGTTCTAATGCCAACACAGACCCATCTGTCTTCTGGTCTTTTGCTGGTGCCCTCTGTCTACCAAACCTGTGGTACTGCAAGCTCTAAAATAGGCCTCCCTGGGCCAAGAGCAGGGTAAAGAATTACAGAGAATCAGTGGTGGGGCAGAAACAGGGTAGGTGGCAGACAGAAGACAATGAGTAACGTACCTAAGGAAAATTTTAGGAGACAAAGGCTATGTCAAGTGCCTAGCCTAATACAGGACTTTCGCTAAGTAACAAAACTAGGGTTTGAAGCCTGGATCATCTGAATCAAATTATAATCATGCCAATGGAGCATCCCTGCCTTTTAGGAGCCTGCAAAACAGGTTGACATTATCACAAAGCAAATTGTGTGTATAATCAGTATTGTCCTTACACGTATATGAGTAGATAGAACTATTCAGGTGGGGAAGTGTTCTCTCCTCCATTCTGAGATATTCTGAAATGAAAGGTTAATAGTCAGTTATTTTTGGAAAATATGTACACTTTTCACTTCGATATCCACTCAGCAATAAGTACAACCATCAGAATTATGCTTTAGCGATTTGGCTTTTCTCTGCCCCCAGCCATACATTTAACCAAGACCAAAATGTTCACTTTAGTTTCAGAAAGATTTTTTTTCTTTGTAGAACAAAAATGCAAGTGACCTAAAAAGGGAATTGACTTTTAAAAATAATCTTCGTATATCTAAGTTTGAAATGTTTAACTCTAAAGTTCAGCATAGGAATGATACATTATCATTTAGTGTAAGAAATTCATCTTTAAAATAAGTGTGTTATTTTAGCAATTGCAAAGCTTTATCTTTCTGAAGAACAAATTCTCCCCTTCAGAGGCAGGGTTTTAGTATTAAATTGCCTATAAATGTTCAAATGTGACTTGCAGGTCAAAAATCACAGTTTAAGTGGATTTGATGGATTTTCAGACATAGTTTATAATGTGATTTCAGGTCACTACTTGTTCCAATTGAAACATCAAGCTAACAGTTAATAAAAAGTAATGCAGACGCTTGTCCAATCTGATTGCCTGGTGAATTAGGCTCCTTTTGGAAAATATTCTCATACTCATGGAAGCAAACATGAACTGGCTCATTGACGCATTCATGGTTTTCTTTCCATATGTTTGAGTGCCTGCTATGTGACAAGCATTGTGCTTCAAAGATGTTTATATTTTAATTTTGCACTTTGGCACAAGACTGATATAATGGGCATCATTGTTGAGAGTGTCTGTCATTTGACCAGCACTTAATGTATCTTATCTCTAAGCTGTACATCAACCCTATTATATTTTTATTATTATTTCCACTTCATCTTTGTTTAACTGAAGCTCAAAGAAACCAAAAAACTTGATGAACATCACCGAGTTAGTCTGTGGTCAAGTTGTGATTTCAGCTCAAGTGCATGTCAGGGCAAATACAATATTTTTTTTAGACTATGTGTGCACTTATTGTCCCTTCTTGACCATCTCTAGGGTTGTCTATGCTGTCACCTCAGCTGATCACTTGGCAGTAAGAGACATACTGGCTGCTAGTGTTTTAACTTCTGAAAAATCTAATTCTTGAAAACGTGGGGCCAGGTTGAAGAGACAGGGTCTGATTAAGGCAGATGGCTTCTAGGATGTGTGCCATACTGGCTGAGTTATATCATTCTAGGCTACTAGAATGGTTCATCCTGGGGTTTTCAGACTCATGCTGTCTTGCAGACACTGGTTGTTCATTAGGGACCACATTATACATCTCAGGTTCAAGAGAGATGACTCTTCCACAGATCTCTTCTATTGTGGGACGTGGAAGTCTTGCCTGGGTCTAAGGGAATGACCAAATTAGAATAGCAGGATTGAGAAGAAACAATTAAATCTATGGTGTCATGGGACTTGGCAGGACGTAAACATAGGAATTCTAGAATATTTTATCAAAGTAAGAATAACCTCTGTAAGGACAAGGACCTGGTCTCACCAATGAACCGGCAAGAACTAGAGACATAGGCAAGCCCACATTAGGTATTATTTTGTTTTGTTAGGTTTGTTGCTTCAGAGGGAGATTCAAGCTTGGTGCACAGAAACTTCAGGGAAATAATATCCTAGTTTCAAGCTTATTCCTGGACTGCATCTTGGACTTCAGGGTCTCCATTGAAGAGAATACATGAAACTTTGGGAGAGTAGGCCTCTGACATTCTTAGAGTTATTTCCTGGGCCTCTGAGATGTTGCAGGGCTTGTTTTAGGGAGAATGTTTTAGTGAAAAGACTTGAGGTCAGGATGACCTGCTGTGACAATCTTCAAACTTAGGAGTCGTTAAAAGGCTTCTTTGTTGCTTGGTTGGTTGAGGACTTACTGGCCTATGGGATCTGGCTTTTTATGCAAAATCACTAGGGAATTGCAAATTTAGAATTAGAAGGGGGAGATACTTCAAGTGTATCTTCTTTCAGTACTGAGCTTAATATGTAGAGAACCAAGGCAGCCCACTCACTACCAACAAACATCAGATTTCTCTCTTGCCTCAGTCAGTCAGTTGGGAATGAGTCTTGAGGAAATGGATTGGGGGATTGAGGGTTAGAGCCATGGTTTACTGCAGTGGTGTGTAGTGTTCATGAATAGGCCAGCCCTGAATGTATGGTTTCTGTTTAGAAGTTTGTGAGTAGGTATCAGATCCCCATACATAACACTAGTGAAGCTGAGGAACAAAAAATCCAGTTCTTACAGAACTGGGGTATCAAGTAGGTAACTGGCCATGGATGTAAATGCAGGAAGCTGGTTATGAGTAAGCCAAGTACACAGCAAGACTTGTGTTTTACTCAAGCATGGTGACTAGATCCCATCTCAAGCACCTCCTTTGATCAATGAGTAATGGCTTCTCAGAGCACTCTATTGAGAAGTATTCTGAGGCTCCGTATCAGCTAAGTGAGAAAGGATGCTGTGCTTGATTAATAATGTCTGTCATAGTCATGAAGTAAGAGAGGAGTGGTGGCACCTGTACCACATATTTGTTATCCCTATTAAGCTTTGGAGGCACTGCTGTAGGACTCCGAGGGCATCACTGGCCCCAGAGACTGGACAAAATGAACCCAGATAATGTGAATAAAGTAACCCAGCAACCCACTTCTCCGTTGCAGCTGTTTCAAACTATTCCTGTATTTTTCAAGCTCATGAAACTCTGACAATCCTCCATGCTTAAAAGATAACCCCTTTGGCTTTCCTGAAAGGAAGGAAGCCATGTGTCATGAGTTACCCTGTGTCCCTGCCTCCATCACTCAGTGTCTCTTATCTTCCCCCATCTTTCCTCCCGTGTTTTTCCATGACAGAGGATAAAGTGTCCTCCCTCCCCTTCAGGGCAGCTTCTCCATTTTTTTTTTTTTTTTCCAGAGCTTATTACTCATCACTTAAAATAGCTGTTGTGGGGAAATAAGGTTTGCTTGGAAATGCATTCCTGATCCCAAGAGGCCTCTCCCATACCATCCTGCCCTCCCCTGTGACTGTAACTTACCAGTGGGCATGATTTTCACAAATTACTATTTTTCTTTGTTTCAAGTTAATTTTGCTCTGTCATCAAGCTATCAGATTACAGCTCTAATTCTAACTAATTGTGCATGGAATTTGCATGATTTTGTAAAATACAGACAAAGGAAAGTGGAAATTCGGCTTCCTGGTTCCCACCCCTTGCTGAGCATGTCTCACATAGGCCTGATGCTGTTTAATTACATGAGTTGGAGTTCATGGTCAAGTGTAAAGAATGTGGGTATAATGTTGCCATCTAATAGTTCAAAGGAAATACAGCTTAGATCTGTTATTAAAATTGTGTTCTGATGTATTTGAAGTGTTAACATCTATGCTGAGAACGAGGTCTTGAATATTATATTTTCAGTTTATATTTGAAGTTGAGATTTTGGATTGTGTTTACGTTTTCTGAACTTGCTTTCTTCCTTAGTTGACCTTATGCAGGGAACAACTTATTAATATTTAAGTACTAATCCCAGTACTGCCTTCCATCAAAAGCAACCCACATATCTCATTAGCAACTCACATTAGTATTGATTAAAAAATTTTCTTGCTTACTTTTATAATCTTTATTTAGCTGAGTTGTACAGTATTTGTGATATTTCTATCATCATATATCATCAGTGGAAATATATTTTTTTCATATTTTATATGTATACATGCATTAGTTTTTATACTGTAAGTTGCTCACCTGAAAGTGGTTTTTAAAAATCATAAGTATTCACAAAGAGGGAAGTAAAAGGTTCAATATCTAAAATCATCCTTTTTAAAGGAACATGACATTCTCCTAAAACAATAGAAAGTATACTCATTGCATATTTCTTTAAGACAGGGAAAAGGAAACAGTTCTGTTTTTTAAAGATGTGGAGAGAGACAGGGAGCAAGAAAGAACAGAGCCAAAAACTACTTCTATTTTTAAGAAAAGAGGGAGAAATTGAATATGCTTTTTACAAGGAGAAGACACAGTATACAGTGGTATGTGTCAGACTTTCAGTAAAAGCAAGCTTCTTTACTCATATCTAATAAATAATAGACCAGAAAAAAAAGGGCCTGGTCATCTTATTTTATAATGAAATGATAAAATGCAGATAAACTGAACCTCTGAGTCAAAAATGTATTGGGTTCAAAGGCCATTTTTAGGATAGCTTTGACCTTTCCATAAAGTGTGAAAGGTTCCTGTCTCCCATAAAGTTGTGACCTTAAAGAGCAAGATGTATTCATTGTGTTTTTAATTTTTTATTTATTTATTTATGTTTGAGACAGGAGTCTCTCTCTGTCGCCCAGGTTGGAGTGCAGTGGTGTGATCTCGGCTCACTGCAAACTCCGCCTCCTGGGTTCACGCCATTCTCCTGTCTCAGCCTACCGAGTAGCTGGGACTACAGGCGCCTGCCACCACGCCCAGCTAATTTTTTGTATTTTTGGTAGAGATGGGGTTTCACGTGTTAGCCAGGATGGTCTCGATCTCCTGACCTCATGGTCCGCCCACCTCGGCCTCCCAAAGTTCAGGGATTACAGGCGTAAGCCACCGTGCCCGGCCTCATTGTTTAAAAAAGTTATAAAAGAAATAGAGAGTGCTCTGACCCATCAGATGTGTAGTTGTGGTGTCTGTCACACAGAATTCTGTCAAGAAAATAGCTAGCGAGTCTTGAACATAAGGCATTCTGAGGCCAACATCCCCTTTTGATTTCTAAAGGACTTATTGTTACTTCTGGTTTTACAAATTGCAAATTAGGGTCTTAAAAATTTTAGTATTTGATGTTAGTTCACTGAACTCTCTTGTCAGCCAATTCATAAGGAGAATTTACTGCCTACCATGTATCTGACAATGAAATGGAGAACCGGTAGAAACAGCCCTTAGTCTCAGTGTTGAGATGAGTGAGTGTTCATTTAGAATGCATTTCACCAGTACTTCTTCAGTTTGATTGTTAACCCATTTGGTTTCTAAGTCTTAGGAGATATGCAAATGCTGAAGTCCTCAATGTTCTAATGCGGTAAATAGATTTTTTTTTCTTTGTTGTTATGTGAGACACCTTAAGTATAGATTGGTGTTAAAACAAGTTTATAATAATGCTATTGATGTGTAAAAACAAGCTTTCTAAATGAAAATCAATACCTGGGACAGCTTATAAACTATTCTTCATAATCCCTTTGGGTGGAATTCACAGAGTGGTTGTTTCTTTTTGGTTTAAATGCTAAATCTGGCCATCTTTGGTTATCAAATGGAATTTGATGATCCAAAATGTATTTACCACATTTGTTGGATCTACTTATGAATCTTTGGAAAAACTAATTGTAGTAAAATGGGAAAAGGCTGGGACTTGTCATCTGGGTGAACCTGAACACGGTAAAACCTCCCTGTAGAAAACCTAATATTTGTAATCTGTAAAATGGAATTGAAATTATATATATATTTAAATATATAAATTATATATAATTATTATTATATAATTAATATTATATAATTATATATAATATAAATTATAAATAAATTATAAATATATAAATGTATAAATTATAAATTATATATAATAATTATATAGTTATTATATATAATTTATATAAATACAAATATATAATATATATAATTTAGGTAAATATACATATAATATATTTATATTTATATAAAATTATAAATAAATTATAAATATATAAATGTATAAATATATAAATTATAAATTATAAATATATAAATAAATTTTATATAACATAAATTATAAATATATAAATATATAAATAAATTTTATATAATATAAATTATAAATATATTATATATAATTTATATTATATGTAATTAAATATATTATATAATTATTTAATTATATATTATATATAATTTATATTTTATATAATTAAATATATTATATATTTAATTATATAAGTATATTATATATAATTTATATTTTATATAATTAAATATATTAAATATATTATATATTTATATTTATATTATATATTATATATTTATATTATATATAATTTATATTATATATAATTAAATATATTAAATATTTAATGTATTAAATATATTAAATATAATTTATATTATATATAACTTATATATTATAATTTATAAATTATATTATATGTACTTTATATAATTTATATAATATAATATATAATTTATATAATATATCATTTACATAATATAATTTATATAATATATAATTTTTATTATATATAATTTATATAATATAATATAATTTTTATTATATATAGTTTATATAATATAATATAATTTTTATTATATATAATTTATATAACATATACTATATAATTTTTATTATATATATGCTGTATATAACTATAGTTATAATTTCCATCAGTTTTGCCCTTCTCTTCTTCTCCATGTTTAATGTTCCATGGTCTACACACCTCATTGCCCTCCACACAAGTTAGTGTTATCGTATATTGCGATATGTCTGCCATCAAGTGTGTATTCATGATATATCCAAGGTAGAAGGCATGTTTTTCTTTTTCCAGGCCTGTGTGGCCAAGAAGCATTTCTGAATCATGTGAATTCATTCTGCAACCTCATCTACCAGTGTTCACCCTTCCCCCACTACTGCCCTGAAATTTCACCATTTTAAGTTTATTGCTTTTTGTCTTGTAGTTTCTAACTCTGCGACCAGCGCTCCCCCACCCCCAGCCCTGCAACTGCAATGCATTATGATTTCTTTTAAATTTGTTTCAATGCCTGAGCTTGGGGCCCCAAAACTATAGACTGGACTCTTACAGAGCTGAAGGAGAGAGGGGGAAGCGAAGGAGTTCATCTGGGATAAATAAAAGAAAGGAATGTCAGGGAAGGAGAAGGACCCACAATCACTATCTCACAGATTTACGTGGATGTTTTACAATGAGATTAACCATATTTAGAATCCTAGACATTTTATTTTTGCAATCAGTTTTTCTGAAAAGAAAGAATTCTTACTGTTTAGCTGAAATACAGCTTTTAGCTGTTTTTTTTTTTTGTAATTCAGTAACTTATGTGATGTTTTTATTGATTTCCATTATCTCTCATTGTTTTTAACCTAGTACTAAATGGAAAACCTAGGCTAGCATTTATTTGTACAACTTAGTGCATGGTTTAAGGAAAAAGGGGAAAAAAGCCTTGTTTACTTGCCCTATAACCTAGTGCTTACCTCTGAGGTTTATTTAACATGGCAGGTGGTGACGAACTGCAGCTTATGACATCTCTTGCAATGTAATTCACCACTCAATGACGAATGCTTCTGACAAATGGAAACCTGGTATTATTCTAAAACAGAAAAAAGATCAATATCATTTGGATATGGGATAGTAAAAATGGCTTCTCTAAACACGTGAAATAAATTAGCCCTTTAAGGTGAGACCATATTATAAGTGGCAAAGATAAAATAGAGTGGAATTTTTGTTTTCCTTAGAATTTTTTTCTTGTCAGTTGTCAGAGTAAATTAATACTCTTAGAAGCAGTCCTATTACCATGCCACCCTGTGCTGTTGTTTTTTTAGTAGTTTGCATTGTTAGTGCTAATTAAAAAACTATCTTGGAAGTTAATTGGGGGTGATACTAGTTAGTTGTGACTGAGGACATAACCATGTTAATTATCGATTGTAGGTCAGACAAAGGGCTAGGCTTTTCTACCTCTTGAATCTTAACTAAGGTCATGAGTAAGTTGTTTTTAAATCATAAAATTTTAGTGTTAGACAATTGCTAGAGGACAAGCGTAACTTCACATTTAATTAGGGGGCAGTTGGAGATGTTAGTGGTGTGTTGTTGGGCAGTTGCCACACGCTTCTGATGATGTAGTAAATCAGCAGTGAAATTAGGTGAGACTCACTACATGAATACACGTTTATGTAACAGTTTTTCTCAGACTTCGGTCACATGCCACCTTCAAGATATTTCCTGCCTGCACCATTACTTATTTGATATTTTCCTCTAAGCTAATTACAGTGTTACTTTATTTGTACTTATCTTTGACAATAAGCAATAATACTCATAAATTCAGAGACTGATTTTTTAAAATTATACATTAAAAACACATTATCAATGATTTTTTTTAGTATATGTGCTGCTGAAGTGAGCACACAATTTTTTTTTAATTTAGCTTTTTTAATGTAAAAAAGAACTTGGACCACTTTTAAATACCTCACATTTTAGGATACATTTATATGATCTATATATATGCCATTCATTTTCATAATTTCTTAGTTTTTTTTGTAGTTTTAGAAACATTGATTTTCCCCACATTTGTGGAAATTGGAACTGTGTTTATGTATATGTAATACTGAAAAGGAGACGAAAAGAAAACACGTTTCACAGAGTTACTTCTTGGTCTGTTCTGGAATTATAATAGCGAGTACTAATAAGAACAGGCACACTTTGGGACATTGTATGGAAGAGGCTTCTAGTGGCAAAGTGATGAGAGGCAGAGCTGGGAGCAGGACCAGTTCACCAGCCACAGCCCATTCCAGAGAGTCATAGATGGCAAAATAGCAGCTCTAATCGATTGGTAATGGCTGATGGCTGTTTCTGTTGAGAACTCTGAGGCTTAGTCTGGGCTCAGCAGGGAGGAGTGCAGTGCTGATAGTGATGTCTGACCCAGGCTGGAAATAGGCAGGAATAGCGAGAATGCCAGGGATTTGCCATGTCTCTACTGTGGGACAGAACCAGTGTGTAGCACTTCTCTGGGTATCGTTTTACATAGAAATAAATGTATTTTAAATTGTTTTGTTTTTGGAGCATTGGATTTGTCATCTACTTAATATCTCCATCCTTGTTATTTTTTACTTTGGTGTGTAATTTTATTGTACTATGCATCTAATATCAATCATCATAAAAGTTTTATTTTTCAATTACTTTTTTATAATAGAAGTTATATTGGCTCATCCTTTGCTTTTCTCTGACCATATTCTATTAGGTTGGTGCAAAAATAATTGCGGTTTTTGCCAACCTAATAATATCCACTCTTGTCTAGTGCTATTTGCAAGGCTTATCCAGCCTCAAACTGAATTCCACAAAGTGGTTTTGGACTAACTAGACCTCTCTGGAGTCTCTTGTTGAAGTTGAAGTTGAATTCACTCACTTATATTTGTCTGTTTCTAATGTGTATGTATTACCTTCTGTATTTCCACACTCACATCAGTCAGAATGCAAAGGATGCAACAAATTTATGTGGTATTAATCAGTATTTTTCTATAAATGACATCAGAAATGTAAGCGGATGGTTTATAAATAACTAGGACTATCTTTTAAGAGTGGGAGCTTCTTGACATTGGCTCAGGACAATTTCCAGAAAGGTCCAGATTTTCAAACATACAAATAAGAATGTTTCCTTTCCGTTCAGATTTCTTCTTCTTGTCCTGCTTCCAGAGATAGATGAGAAGACAAAGGGTTGAACTGGCAGATTCTACTCTAGTTTAAATGGGGGCACCAAGATTTGCATTTTTAAAACAAGTCCTGGCACTCCCATCCAGGCTTATTCCTGTCCAAGGGCCAAGGTTGTTTTCTTTGGCACTGCATTCACCCTTAGAGCTTCTGGAAGATCCGCTGATTAGCCCGGTTCTACTCTTGCATGTTCCCCATGTCCAGATTCTATCCCTCAGGTACCCCAAATCAGTATGTAACCTATTCCTAATCAGAAATCTCAAGCTTTGCCCTGTAGGCCATTTCTCCTGATTTTTCCATGCTCATTCTAAACAGCAGTAGTTCTCACATTTAAGCATGCATCAGAGTCACCTATAGGGCTTGTTAAAACACAGATAACTGGGCCCCACCCTTAGATTTCAGATCAGGTAGGCTTGGGGTGGGGCTTGAAAATTTGCATTTCTAACACACTCCCAGGTTGTTGATGCTGCTAGTCTGGGGACCATACCTAAGAACACTGCAAAATGTTTCTTTTCTTCATTTCAAGCCCCACCAAACTGAGACTGATTATGTAGGTGTTGGCCTAGTTGCCCTCTAAATGATCTTTATTTATCTAAATAGCTGCTTGCAACATGTAAAAATTCAAAAGGTGAAAAGTATATAAGAATTTTCAGCAGGGATTCTTCTGGTGCCCCTGAATTCTTTTTGTTGTTGTTGTTGGTTTGTTTGTTTGTTTGAGACGGAGTTTCGCTCTTGTTGCCCAGGCTGGAGTGCAGTAGCGCAATCTCGGCTCACTGCAACCTCCACCTCTAGGGTTCAAGAGATTCTCCTGCCTCAGCCTCCTGAGTAGCTAGGATTACAGGCATGTGCCACCATGCCTGGCCAATTTTGTATTTTTAGTAGAGACGGGTTTCGCCATGTTGGTCAGGCTTGTCTTGAACTCTTGACCTCAGGTGATCCACCCACCTCAGCCCCACAAAGTGCTGGGATTACAGGCATGAGCCGCCGCACCCAACTGTCCCTGAATTCTTCCCACCATTCCTGCCAGCTCCTCTTTCCCATCCAGTCCTCTGTCCCACTACCTTTATTTCTTCTTTTTCCCTCCCTCCCCAAATACAAGCAAACCAACCAACAAAAACCCAGAACACACATAGGCTGGAACACAAGGGGATAACATGCCTTGAATTGCAATGCCATAAAGATGTACAACTCTAGGGACGGGATGGCGTCCACACAGAAGCAATGTGAACAATGCCCCCTGGAGTTGTACAACGTGGGGCCTTGTTGAGCAGTACTGTTTCGCAACACATAGTAGCAAGAATCCTCTTTGTAAGCCCTATTCCATCTGCCTGGTTGGTTTTGGCAGGATGGCTGACTAACCCACTAGTGGGAATCCACAGCTAGGATAGACCCTCCAGCTCTTTGGCTGGCTTCTAAAAGGCCACGACTTTAGAAAACCCATCTGTAATACCTGATTTACCACAAGAGGTAGCCTTAGGCCTAGATCAGTCTAGACACTTGTCAGCAGCCCCACCTTCAGTGAGAAGGACTCAGAAAACACTGTCTCATTGGTTTACTCATGGGGAATCTTCCTGGTCCCACCCAAGGAAATGCCTCCTGTACAAATTCTCTTCCCAAAGAGACTAACAGCAAGAGAATCCCAGAAGGGGTCAAAACTCAAGGGGTCATATTCCTGATTCCTTATATTCCTGATTCAGTTTAAATCAACCCCTCAATTTACACATCAATCTGTCTAATCCCTCTACAGCCCTTTGGCTCTTCTCCACACCCTTGGCTGGGAAACTTTCTTCTTCCCTCCTCAGCCAGTTCACACCCTTCATTATTCAGCACATGTTGAAATGAGCATCATCGGAGCTACCACTCCCTGGATGCTTCGTCATATCACTGGGAGAGAAGGTGGAGAATGTTCCCCCAGCAGAAAGCTCCCACACCATCCTGTGTGCAGACTTCCCAGGGGGAGGTCTGTGCTGTATATCTTGTTTTGAAATGTAATGACTTAGTATTTTCCACTGAATTCCCTTGCCTGGTCAGCTTCCACAGCATATCTGTGCTATAGACAATAATGAAAAGAGGGTTTTCGTATGTTTTTTCTTTTATTATATGGAGGATTAATATGCTGCAATGCATCTACCATATTGTGTGCCTTTTTCACAAACATTTTTATTAGAAAGATCAATTCTCAGCCTAGATCCAACTATGATACTTTTAAAATCCTGTCATTATCTCCCCTCTGCTAACGAATTCAGGGGAAGAACAGGTTTCTGGTTTCTCATTATTTCTAGGGGTAGAATTCCACATCAAATATAGAAAAGCATCTTATACATGGAACTTTTTTTTTTCCTTTGGAAGGGGGGCTTCTTCTGTGACACTATCCACACACTTTTTTAGTGACTTCTTTTTCATCAATTAATTCAGATTGTCTGAAGACTAGAAATTGGGGCTTTGGCAAGGGTGAACAGCGATTAAAATATATATCTCCGCTCACATTTCTGCCCACATGGTTCTTTTTCTGAGAGAGTGGTTAGGAACAGTGCTAGTCTTGCTAAAACTGCTGAGTTTCATTTCACACTAATAACACCTGGCATCTTTATGTGCTAAGGATAAATTAAGCACTCAGTGAACACAGGGTAGACATGGGTTTTGCTATGATGTAGCTTATTCTGCACTCATTATATAGAGAGAGAAATCTGTGTTGTGAAAATGTGTGTGTAGGCATGTATGCAACATTGCAAAAAATATTAATAGCTCTGGCCATTTTGCTGATTTTAGATAAAGGTAGCACTATCATATATTCCGATTAGTTATTAATAGAAATACTGAGAATATTAGAGGTGAAATGGCCCTTAAAAATCATGTAGTCCAAAAATCTCATTTTACAGACTGAAGAAATTGAGAACCAGGGTGATTATTTTCAGGAATTATAGAATATATTCTGTGAATTTAGGCAGAATCAAAATAGAACTCAAAGATTTAATACCCATTCCAGGGCACTTTCTACCATACCACGCTGTTCCTCAAATAATAAATAAATTATTCAAATACACGAACATTATGTCATTTTTACAGAATTCTAAGTTGTGTGTTTTTTGGGTTGTTGTTTTGTTTTGTTTTTGAGACAGGGTTTTGCTCTGCCACCAAGGCTGGAGTGCAGTGGCGCAATCACAGCTCACTGCAGCCTAGACCTCCTGGGCTCAAACGATATCGCCCACGGCCCCTCAACTCCCCATCCCACTTCGGCCTCCCAAAGTGCAAGGATTACAGGTGTGAGTCACTGCGCCAGCCTAAGTTAGGTGTTTAAATGATTCTAAGACACACATTCTTTCACATTTTGAAAATATTTTATTTTGAATTTTTAGACTTACAGAAAAGTTGCAAAAATAATTCAAAGAGTTTAAAAAATATACACCTCTCTCATCCCACTCCTTCTAATGGTAATATCTTAGAAAACCATATGACAATTATCAAGAACAAGAAATTAACAATTATACAATATCAATAACTAAACTTCAGACCTTATTTGAATTTTGCCAGTTTTTCTACTAACCTTTTTGTTTGTTTGTTTTTGAGACGGAGTCTCACTCTCGCTCAGACTGGAGTGCAGTGGTACCATCTGGGCTCACTGCAACCTCTGCTTCCCAGTTTCAAGCAATCCTCCCACGTTGGCCTCCCGAGTAGCCAGGACTACAGGCGTGTGCCACCACACCCAGCTAGTGACCTTTTTGTTGTTGTTGTTCTAGGATCTCACATTACATTTATTTGTTCTTAATCTCTTCCAGCCTATAACTGGTTCTCAGTCTTTTCTTAGCTTTTGTGACTTGGCACTTTTGAAGAGTACTCCTCAGTTATTTCTGTACAATGTCCCTCAATTTGACATTTTTTTCTAGAGAGAGAATCTCACGCTGTCACCCAGGCTGGAGTACATTGGCTCAATCATAGCTCACTGCATCCTTGACCTCCTGGGCTCAAGTGATCCTCCCATCTCAGCCTCTCAAGTACACACACATATATATAGTATTTATATATATATATAGTATTTATATATAGTTATGTTTGTTTTGTTTCTGAGACAGAATTTTGCTCTCTCTCTCTCTCTTTCTCTCTCTCTCTCTTTCTCTCTGTCTCTATATATATGTGTATGAAAAGTTACGCTATAACAAGTGTGGAAATACCAAGCAAATAAAAGTCTGTAAAAAGAATACCTCCTCTTCCTCTTTTCTTCCTCCTCCTCTTCTTCCTTTTCTTCATTACTTCTTCCTTCTTATCTTTCTTATTCTCTTCTTTTTTTTCTTTTTATTCTAACCTTTCTTTCTTCTTTTCCTTTTCCTCCTCTCCCTCCTCACCAATGCTCTTTCTCTCGTCTGTCCACTTTCCTCTCTCCATATTTCACCTACTAAAATAGTATTTATTTGGTCCACATTCCCGTAAAATTGCTGTTGTTTGGGGAAAAAAAACTCTAAGGAAACTCAGAAAGCTGTGTTACCCAAATCATTTACAATTTGAGTTGGTTGGAGAATATGCCATGGAGAAAGCCTGTTCGGAGATGATTAGCATGCCAGTCCAATGTCTTTTCCTACTTAAATTTTTAAGATAGTTTAGGACTCCGATAACTATTATGTCTTAGCTAGTGGTTATTCAGAAATAAAATAAAAAAACTGTACCATACTTTTTTTCACCAAGTAGAATTAGCTCAGAGCACAGTGCATTGGGTGTCTGGGCTTCTGGTAGGTGAGGCTGGGATGTGCAGGTAGAGATTATTGAGTACCGTAGTAGTACAGCAGCATCCAAGTTTAAATTTGAGGGTGGGTGTCAGCTTAGAAAATCTGAGTGCTTGCAAGGGCTGAGAATTTCTCCAGCCTTTCCTGCAGCTGTCAGAAGTGCCCTGTTTTGCCCTTCCCTCACACCTCCTCCCAATAATTCTATTACTCAGGGGAAGGAGACCTGGGAGGGTGAAATGACTCATTATTCTATTAGACAATGGGACGCTTGGGTTTTGACTAAGGCTGCTCAGACTGCCAGAGTCCCGACCTCCATGGCAATCCAGAGGCACAGGAAATCTGAGATTTAAAGTTGTGAACTCAGTATTGACATGAAAAATGCCACTTGTGTTGTGCTGAAACAGGTATGCTGATTATGTAACAGCTTCCAACACATTCCCTGCCGGTGGTGGGTTTTGATTGACATTTTATGAGCCTTATTACTCTTGAAAACAATACTGAAAATGCCATGACAAGCTCAGGATGGAAATATGAACACACGATCCTCTTCCTGCTGAACTAGAAAATAGCTTTTCGAAATTCTTGGAAGAAAGTGGAAAGTTCTTCATGTAGATTCATAATGATCAATCTCTTTTTGTTTCTTGGGAGGAGAAGGATCCTCAAATCTTATAGCAATTTAGCATGGTCTAGTCCCCAGAACTTTTCTTTGGGCTTCTTACAACTTACAAATAAATGTTGACTTCTAAAGTAGAGAGGGAAATGCATAGGATATCAATGGCTTGATAAATATTTACAGCAATAAATTACAGTTTTTTGCATTCATAGTAATTCCTTGGTAGAGGGAGTTTATTGTTTAAACAATATAGAGATGGAAATGCAGCAGAAATTCAGATTTTTTTCTGTGTTTTTTTTTCTTCTCTGTATAAGGTGATTTTTTTTCTTCTCTGTATAACAAATTTTCAAAGTAGAATGGAGGTTCAAGAATGTCAATGAAATATAAATGGTATGGTGCATTTGCTTTCATTGAATTGTTGGCTCTCCTTAAGTATATTAGGATAGCAAACTCTCTGAATTAGGATTTCAACCTCTTCGATTTCCTTCTGATTTTGTGTAACTAAAATATATAAATGAGACTGCACACAGGCCGGGCGCGGTGGCTCACGCCTGTAATCCCAGCACTTTGGGAGGCCGAGGAGGGCAGATCACGAGGTCAGGAGATCGAGACCATCCTGGCTAACACGGTGAAACCCCGTCTCTACTAAAAATACAAAAAAATTAGCCGGGCGTGGTGGCGGGCACCTGTAGTCCTAGCTACTCAGGAGGCTGAGGCAGAAGAATGGCGTGAATCTGGGAGGTGGAGCTTGCAGTGAGCCGAGATCGCGCCACTGCACTTCAGCCTGGGCGACAGAGCAAGACTCCATCTCAAAAAAATAAAAAAAATAAAAAAAAAATAAAGAGAGACTGCACGCACACTAGCATCCCTGGATTCCAAATACCTATCTGCTTTGTTATAAAATTAATAGTAATAATAGCAGCAACAATGGAAATAGTAGCTAGATTTATTGAGTTCATATTGTTTTTAACTTGTGAACCCAAGCAGTCCCATAGCCACTGTGCTATACTTTAGTGTTATTTTTAAAAATCACGCTCAACTAAAAATGGGAAGCCCAGGCAGCTGGTTTGGTGTCACTTCTCTGCTAAGATGAATGCCCTCTGCACCCTCAAGTGGTGAAGCAGGTATAGGCGGAATACATACAGAATGAAAAACTGTATTTGTGAAACACTTTGAAGGAAAGGTGTTGTGAAAATTGTGTTTTGTTAAGTATTGAGGGATATGGAATTAGAAATAATAGTACAGTTGAGACAGAAAGATCATTTTTCTGAAGCACATGTTTAGTGTCGGCAAAGGTTAAGCTGTTTTTGATGAACCTGTTTTCATGTGAAAATTACTATAAATGGTCAGCAGATACTTGCTTTTAAGGAGCCTACTTCTGATTGGTCAGCCAGATAAGCGTGTATGTGGTGATTGTTAAGAAGCAGCTGGTGTCAGTTTAAAAGAATGATGTTCTATCCTCTTCCGTCTTGACCAGTCTGAGAACAGTAACATCAATATTTGAAGTTATATATTCAATATTCATTACAATATTCTGAAACTAGTTGTTCATGGAAATATATCGGTAACTTAACACAATTCCAAATGCCATTTTTTATAGTTATACTTTTTTGCTGTTTCTTAAAATGATATTACTAGATCCATATTCTAATTGTTTCCAACCTAGGGACGGCTAAAAGTTATTTTTTTTTCTTTTTTTTTTTTTTTTTTTTTTTTTGAGACGGAGTCTCTCTCAGTCCCCCAGGCTGGAGTGTAGTGGCCCGATCTCGGCTCACTGCAAGCTCCGCCTCCCGGGTTCACGCCATTCTCCTGACTCAGCCTCCCTAGTAACTGGGGCTATAGGCGCCCGCCACTATGCCCAGCTAATTTTTTTTTTTTTTGTATTTTTAGTAGAGACGCGGTTTCACTGTGTTAGCCAGGATGGTCTCGATCTCCTGACCTCGTGATCCACCCGTCTCGGCCTTCCAAAGTGCTGGGATTACGGGCGTGAGCCACCGCACCTGGCCTTAATATATATTTTTATAACTTCATCATAGAGGTGATAAATTTTATCCAGTATAAAACAGTGCATTTTAAAAATCTCATTTTGCTTCAACAACATACAGTAACTGGAAGCATGGCTACTGCTATCTTATTTAAACAAGTATAAATAACCAAAATCTACAGAGCAAATTATGGTGCAGTTGAAAAATATGACTACTTTTCAGTGGGGTATGTTTATATGAATATTCAAGGAGATGACAAATATTTACATTTTTCATTCCTCATTATTAAGAACTTGAGAAAACTAACGAGTATTTATTACTCCTGAAGTGAAAGATAATGAGACAAAATCCTGAAGACATTTCTCTTTTGGATAACTGTGGTTTTAAACTCCATAAGCAATAAAGCCACTGTCAATGGAATTATTTTAGATGTTATCTTTTGACGATGGATTATGTTTTTTCTTGTCTTTTTAATATTAATTTACATTTAGTTATGTCATATAGTAAAGCATGCTAATCTTAAGCATATGTACTTGTGTAACCACCTCCGATGAAGATATGGAACATGCCTATAATCCCAGCACTTTGGGAGGCTGAGGCAGGGGGAGCGTTTGAGCCCAGGAGTTTGACACCAGCCTGGACAGCATAGTGAGACTCCATTTCTACGAAGAATAAAAAAGTCATTAAAGCATGGTGGTGCATGCCTGTAGACCCAGCTACTCAGGAGGCTGAGGTGAGAGGATTGCTTGAGGCCAGGTTGTCAAGGGTGCAGTGAGCTGTGATTGTGTCACTGCACTCCAGCCTGGGCAACAGAGCAAGAACCTGTCTTCAGATGCTTCTTCATCACCCTTCTCATTTCATCCTCTCTTCCCGTACAAAGCAGCCATTCTTCTGAGCTCTGTCATCATCCATTAGTTTTGCCTGTTCTTGAACTTCATGTAAATAGATTCATACTATATGTTCTCTTTTGCATCTAGACTCTTGCTCAACAAGACATTTTGAAGTAATCTATGTTGTTGCATATACAAACAATTCATTTTTTACACTACCATGTAGTATGCCATTGTATGTACAGGCATTTTTTTATCACTGTTGTGCCAATGGGTATTTGAATTTTTCCTATTCATAATTTAACAATTATGTATAAAGCTGCTATGAACATTCTTGAAGCTGTCTTTTCATGAGCAATTACATTCACATTTCTCTGAAATATATACAGGAATTGAATTGTTTAAACAAATAATTTATGGTATGTGTGTAATAGTGGATATGTATTGATGGGTGTGTACTGATATTTCAATGTGGTTTTAATTTGCATTTCCTTGAAAAGAATGACATTGAATACTTTTTCATGTTCTTATCAGCCATTTGAATCTTTTTTTGTAAATGCTTCAAGTCTTTGCTGATTTTAAAATCAATTTCTTTCTAAATGATTTTTGTTAGTTTTGTTTGTTTGTTTGTTTTGAGACGGAGTCTCTCTCTGACACCCAGGCTGGAGTGCAATGGTGCCATCTCTGCTCACTGCAACCTCCACCTCCCTGGATCAAGCAATTCACCTGCCTCAGCCTCCTGAGTAGCTGGGATTACAGGTATTTTTAGTAGAGACGGGGTCTCACCATGTTGGCCAGACTGGTCTCGAATTCCTGAACTCAGGCAATCCGCCCGCCTCGGCCTCCCAAAGTGCTAAGATTACAGGCGTGAGCCACCGTGCCTGGCCGGTAGTTTTGTTTGTTTGTTTGTTTTTGTTTTTTTTGAATGCTTTGGATTTGAGTCCATCATCAGATATAGACTGTGAATATTATTTCTCAGTCTGTGTCTTGCCACTTCACTCTCTTAGTGTCAACTTTTGATGAACAGAAACTCTACAAATTAGACTTAAATGTAATTTTTTAAATGATTAATGATTGTTTCCTGTTTAAGTAAACTTGCCTATTCCATTTCTTATTTTCTTATTTATCCAATTCTCTTCCATGCTAGTGCTTTTGAGTTCTATGTGAGAAGTCTGCCAATTTACTTCATATTTTCTTAAGCAAAATATTTTGAACAAAACTTAGCTTTCCTAATGACTCAGGGTCCTCATTTTTAATAGTAATTACTACTGTCCAATAAATTTTATATAACCTACCCGATAGTGTTGTTACCAGGATAAGGAAGATATGTATGAAAATTCTTGATACATGCAGGCTGTTGTCCTTTTTGTTCTACTCTAATACTTCTTATTCTTATTAAGGGTATAGGACAGTTATTAATATTTTTATGCTCAGTGGTTTTCGACAACTCTAAATTTTAAGTTATTATATCAAATTCTGGGCTGGACAGGTAAGGTGTTTGCCATACATGATTGCAATTGTGAGGTTTCTTTGTGTATAAAGTCTTTAAATTTATATGGTAGGTCAAAAAACATATTAGCTGATAATAATACTTACTTTCAAATATCACTTAAAATTTCTCTTCAAAAGCATTTTTTTAAATCTCTTTTTAACACCTTGACCCAATGAAGTAAAATAAACAAGATGATACTCCCGTTAAATGTGTGTACAATCATTCAGCTGCTGTGGCAGAATATACAACAGTTCTCAGCCCTGTGTGGTCCTTTCTCAATTTGTCACTCAATTGATTGTACTCATACATGTGTTAGACCAACATCCTCAATACCGTTTGTTGGTTAGCATCATCTGGGGAGACTGTAAAAGCATAAGAATATTCAGCTACCAACCCAGGGGGTTCTTTAAATTAGTGGGACTGGGGTGGTGTCCAGGCATCAGTTGTAAAAAAAAAGAAAAAAAATATTTTATTGTGCAACCTGGACGTGATTCTCCTGTTGGCTTGGGGCAGGGTTATGCAAACTTCAGCATGCATTAGAATCACCTGAAGGGCTTGTTCAAGCACAGACTGGGGGGCTCCACCCCCAGAGTTTCTGATTCAGTAAGTCTGGATGGACCCAAGAATTTGCAATACTGGAAAGTTTTCAGATGATGCTGATGCTGCTGGCTGGGGACCACAGTTCGATAACCTCTGGATTAGATAGCCATCACCATCCCTACCACAAGTAAAACTTGCTGGTCATTCTCATCTGTTGCTGTCTCCCATCTGCCTCTTCTAGCCCTGGGGTTCAAGTTCTGTTTGTTTGTTTTGTTTTGTTTTCACGCACAATACTAAGCTATTTATTTTCTCACTTGCTCAGAGAGAGCTTTAGGATTGACTATGTATTACTTTACCTCTTTTCAAAAGAACTAAGTATCTCCAATATGAACTGTGAGATGACTTTTGATAGTAGGTATTTCATCTCAAAGAGTGCAAGTATGTCAAAAGAGGGGAATTTGAGAATAAAACTTAGAAGCAAATAGAGATCACCTTAGAACTACTCATTCAGCCAGAAAATCAGGTCACAAAATTATAGCACCTATCTCCAGTTTATATATATATATATATAAATCTGTACAGGAATAGAAAAAAACCTGGACCCAAACATCAGAGTGTTGGTAATGGTAGTATCCAGGTATTTGGGGTTATCAATGATCTGGTGGCCTTTTGTTATCTATATCTTACGATTATTTTTTCCATAGGAAAAACTGAATAAAAGTAAAGCAATTTAAAAGCTATATAAATGCTTTTACACACACACACACACACACACACACACACACACACACACATATATAAGCATTTATTCAGCACAGATTTGATGAAACTCCTCTACCTATGACCATGCCAAGCATAACAGGGTCTCAGAACACAGAAGCTTACAGACCTGTTGAGCAGATAGGAACCCCCAGTTTATATTTTCATGAAATCTAGTAAAATGTTGAGTCTCTTTGTAGTCGTAAGAAAAATATATAAAGACATTAATGATCATTGACTGTGGGAGACAATTTCTTAGGATGTAAGTGCCTTTGATTTTTTTTCCTAAAGAAAAGTTGAAAGGACTTGGCCTGGTAAAAGCTGCTTTTAACTTGAATCTACACCTTTTATTTTTGAAGTCTTAAAGAGTTTTATTCATTTATATTAGATTCAGCTGGATAAGGATCAGTTTCTTTCACTTTGGGTCATGGGCCCTCCAAGAATGAAATGATACTTTATTCACTGGAAGCATAGAATTGCTTTAAACATAAATGAATTATGGCTCTGTTAATAACCATTAATGTTCACATCTCCAAAAGGTAGCAAGACCCTATTTATAAACTAAATTCACTGGTTGGTTGACATATGATCCTTGTCCTCTTCCATCATCGTCATCATCATCATTGTAATATATAGTTGTATTAGTCCATTCTCACGCTGCTATGAAAAAATACCTTAAATTTATAAAGAAAAGAGGTTTAATTAACTCACAGTTCCACATGGCCGAGGAAGCCTCAGGAAACTTACAATCATAGCAGAAGGCACCTCTTCACAGGGCAGCAGGAGAGAGAAAGAGAGCCAAGCAAAGGGGGAAAAGCCCCTTATACAACCATCACCCCCATGATTCAATTGCCTTCTACCAGGTCCCTCCCATGACACCTGGGGATTATGGGAACTACAGTTCAAGATGAGATTTGGGTGGGAACACAGTCAAACTATATCAATAGTATATATCGTTATTAGATTCTAAAGTCAGCCTATAAAATAAATCAAAATTCATGTTAAGTCAAAATTAACCTCGTTTAAGTGTTTTTTCAAGCTACTTTAAAAAAGGAAAACAATCTTGAAATTTCCTTAAGAGGCTTTTTATTGCAGACCTACATTTATCAATGAGATCAACAGAGCCATTTTTTCCTCCAGTGTTGAAGGGATGTATTTCTTCAGTTCACCAGAAAAAGTGATTGGTTTGTATTCATATTCATGTTGTATGAAAACTATGAATAATGTCTTTATTTTTAATGCAATTTATTTATTTGATTAAATTTTTTAAAAAATTTATTTAGTCATTCATTGATTTAAGAGAGTATCTCACTCACTCTGTTACCCAGGATGGAGTGCTATGGTACAGTCATGGCTCACTGCATCCTTAACCTCTTGGGCTCAAACGATCCTCCTGCCTCAGCCTCTTCAGTAGCTGGAACGACAGGTGCACACCAGTGAGGTCTCACTATGTTGTCCAGGCTAGTCTTGAACTCCTATGCTCAAGCAATCCTCCCACCTCAGCCTCCCAAAGCACTAGGATTACAGGCATGAGCCACCATGCTCAGCAAAAAAACAGTGTCTTTAAACACTCTGAATCACTCTTAGCTATGATACTTACACTATGAAAGGAACATGGGAACTGAATACAGGCATCCCTTTGTATCAGTGAGGGATTGCTTCCAGGATGCTCAAGTCCCTTTTATAAAATGACGTAGTATTTGCATATAACTTACGCACATTCTCCTGTAGACTTTCAATCAGTCAGTATACTCCAGATTACTTCAAATACCTAACAAAGTGTAAATACTATACAAATAGTTGTTGTACTGTTTAGAGAATAATGACAAGAACAGATAGTCCATACATGTTCAGTACAGACAGAACCATGCATGTTTTTTTTCTGAATATTTTTGATGGGTAACCGTCACCTTAAGAGGTGAGTAGTTGCATGGGTAACCATCAAAAATATTGGTTGAATCCATGGATATGAAATCCATGGATATGGAGGGCTGATTGTATGATGGAAATGGTTTATCCAGACCTCTCAGCCCATTCAAAGAGAGGAATAGCAGATTCCATTTGACATTAGTAGGTAAAGGGAGGGGGGGGACTCTGAATTACTTATTCTCTCTAACTCTTTTTCCTTCTGTTCTAAGTATCTATTGATAGTTATTAAATCACCGCAGAATCCAGGGGCTTAAAATAATGTATCATTATATCTTACATTCCTGTGGGTTGACTGGGTTCACTGGGGCAGGTCTCACTTGGGGTCCCTCATGCAATTGTAGTTTGTAGGCTGCTGGGGCTTGAGTCATCTGAAGACTCAACCTGGCTGGACATCCAAGATGGTATTTTCACATAGGGCCCAAAGATTGGTTGGATCAGGTGTGACATTTACATAGCGCATGGGGAAGCTGGCCACCCCACCCTAATCTTATAAAAATAGGTTCTTTGCTTGGCCGGCGGCATGTTGCTTGCTTCTTACTACACAAGTTGATGGCAAAGAGAAGGGAAAATGGAGCCGCCATGTTGGACATGCCTAGACCCAGGTAGCCTTTTCCTATTGGCACAACTGCCGGCATTCACCCGGGCAAGCTTCTAGCTTGCTTGTCTATGTCTGCAGCTCAGTTTTACGGGCTGCTTTTTGTTAGAAAAGAAAATGATTTGGGGGCTTCTTTTCATTAAAAGGAAAACCTTACCAAGTACTCCTCTACCCTCACTATCTGCCTAAATAATTTCTTCTTAACTCCTATATCACTGGTTTTGCCTGCTGTAAACATGCCAAGGGGCAGGAAGCAGAAAATGCCAGGCCATTAGGGGCTGTAGGTAGAACTGCCATAGTGCTCTTTCTACTCAATTCTATTGGTGTAAGTAGTCACAGAGCCTGCCCAGACTGAAGAGAGTGGAGAAAGGCTTCTCTTGATGTGGGAGGGGCAAGGTCACATTGCATTAAAACATGTGGGCTGGGAGATATTGCTGTAGCCATCTTTGGAAAATACAATCGATTATACCCTCCCTTCCTCTTTCTCACTCTCTTTCTCTCATCTCCTCTCTTTTCTCACCTTCCTAAGCATAGGGTTGGGTCTGTCTGTGTGATGTAAATTCATGGGTGACTCAGCAGCACTACAACACTTTCTAGTATATTTAGCCCTTTACATATATTTTACATGCTACATAAGTCTTTATTTACATTATACTGAAGGTCTAATGCCCAGAAACAAGTGGAATTCTTTTGTTTAATGGTTTGATATGTCCTATAAGGGATCTGAGGTGACTCAGTAATTATGATTTCAAAATAATTAAGAATATTTTGTTGAAATAATCTCTGAGATTCTACTTCAATTCCAGGGTATACAGCAGAGCACTTTGGATTCATTTAGGAGGAGTGCTTACAATTTCCATCTTACTCTCTGCACATGAAGAGAATTCTGGAAGCATAGATGCTTCACTACTTTGAGTGAATTTAGCTTGACACAGCTGATTAGGGAAGACATCACCAATGGTTGTCATTCATCTGTGCTTTGCTAAGTGGCGTGTCATCTAAAACTTAAACAGCCAGAAACTCGCTGTTATCCTTTCATTCACTGAGACAAGTTGATATAGAAGCTACTGGAATAATTAAGTGATACTTTTACACTATTTGCAGTTAGGAAAAGTTTTATATACATTTCTTTATTTGTTTCTACATCCTAGCAAGCTGTTATTTTCATCCTCATTATACAGTTGAAGAAATGAGGCTGAGAAATTTATCATAAATCATACAGTTAATTAAGGGCATGTGATTTGGTCAACCATCTGAAGTTCCATTATGCCACACTGACACAGAAAACAAATATTCTTAGGATTAGCTAGAGTGCCTAAGAGGTGAGTAGTTGCTTTTTTTTTTTTTTTTTTTTTTTTGAGGTAGAGTCTCACTCTGTCACCCAGTCTGAAGTGCAGTGGTGCGATCTTGGTTCACTGCAACCTGGGTTCAAGTGATTCTCCTACATCAGCACCCTGAGTAGCTGGGACTGCAGGAGCGTGCCTCCACACCTGGCTAATTTTTGTATTTTTAGTATAGACGAGATTTCACCATGTTGGCCAGGCTGGTCTCAAACTCTCAACTTGAAGTGATCTGCCCACCTCAGCCTCCCAAAGTGGTGGGATTACAGGCATGAGCCACCGCACCTGGCCAAGTATTTGCTTTTTATGGAGTGGCAGAGGAAGGGTTTGCTTTCATATCTTTTTGCTTAGACAATGACCACTTGATTATGAAAATTCTGCTGGAAGTGAAATCAGGGAAAGGTTTCAGAGAGAGATTATTTGGGAACAGTGTGAACTAACTCAGTCTTCACTTACTATGAAGGAAGGACAGAAAAGTCATTTTTCCATTTAATAAATACTTAATGTGTCCCCTCTGTATGGAAGATAGGGCTAGGTACTCTTGGAGTAACATATATAAAAAGCACAGCTCTGCAGAACCTCAAGGAACTTAAGTTTAGTAGAAGTCAAAGACATTTTTACTATTAAAATAGAATAGAAAGTGTCAGTTACTACCTTATGAAAGGTAAAGTGAAGTAAGATGACATAGAATAATGTTTCCAAAAAGAAAGAACATTCACTTTGGCTACTGGAAAATTATGGAAGCCTGCCTGGGATGAAAGTATTGGTGTTGGAAGGTGGAAAATATAGGGAAGAAATTGGACCTGGAAGAGTTTGGAAATTGCTGCATCACTATAGGCAATATGAAATAACAGATTGAACTAATGCAATAGCCAGTTGGAAAGGGTCAAGTGAAAGCTGAAGTAAGGAATACGTGGAAGTAGATTCTGTGGCACTTGCCAGTTGATTGGATGTAGCGGATAGCGGAGTAGGGGATTGTCTCAGGGACCCGACCACCTCTTAAAGGCCCACCTCTCAATACTGCCACTGTGGGGATTAAATTTCAACATGAGCTTTGGAGGGCACCGATGTTCAAACTATAGCAGGAATGGAAAAAGTTTGAATATGGGTCACCATAAAGTTGGTGGTGCTGTCATGAATGTCAGGAAATGACAATGGGTGGAGTATGTCACGGCAGAAAATGTATGACATACCCAGAATTGGATATTCAAGAAGTGTCTATTTACAAAGGAGCCATTTCAGAAGGTTTTAGGATGGGGGCACCACAAAGGATAGTGCAGTATCCTAGTGCAGTATCTGGGCCTTAGTGGCTGATTTTATACTTTTGCTATACGTGAATTGACAAGGGAAATAAATAATTACCTGGCCTAGAAAGGGAGGGTCATGTAGTGACAGCCACATTGCAGGAAGTGACCTCTAGTGAAGTAAAATGGACCACCTCAGGCAACCTTTCAGTAAAGGAGCAAAGGGAATACATACCTTGACTTTATTATTCTCTCCTACTGCAGTTTGCACTGCAAGTCCAAGGGCAAGAGAGTCCTGTTGACGTAGTCTGTATAATCAGCTTCTTGGGGCACTGAGCAAGGTGGGCAAGCAGATATGGATATGTGGATGCCATGCAGACTGTGTGAACTCTAGAACTGAGCCTGGGTTGGGTCTAGCAGAGCTGTTTGCACAAAGGCACACACACAATGACAGACAAGCTAGACCCTTGGATAATGGATTTATTTAGATCAGAGTTACTTTACCTTGGCACTATTGACATTGTGGGTTAGATAATTCTTTGTTATTGGAGGTTGTCCTATACATTGTAGGATGCTTATTTAGGGGCATCCTTGGCCTCTACACACTAGATGCCAGTAGCATGCACCTCCAACCCCTGACAAATTTTGGTAATGAAAAATGTCTCTAGGCATCGCAAATATCCACCGGGGTGAGGGGCAGGGTGCCAAAGCAAAATCACCCTTAGTTGAGAACCACTGATTAGAGGCTGGACAAAGGAAGGTGAGCCAGAGAAAAGGAGGCCAAGAACCAGCAGGCTGAGAGGAGGAACAGACACTTGGGGAGTGTGACAGTGGTTGACGTGGTTGCAGCCCACAGTGCGTATCCATAGAAATTCTTAATAGGGACTGGGCCTGTGAAGTGGAGAGGCAGAAAGGAGTAGATCAGACGGCAGCAGGCTGGGGCGGGCAGGTGGGAAAGCAGGGCAGCCAGCATGGGCCTAGTTTGGCAGCAGAGGGAAGGCGCAGGGAAGCAGGGTACCTTCGACAGGTGGGTTTAAGATTTGCTTGAGGACAGAGAGATTTGAACATATTGGTCAGATGAGGGGAGGAAAGCAGTGAAAGGGGAGGTTGGAGATGGGTAGTGAAATCCACCACCTGCAGAGTGCATGTGATGGCCTTGTTCTGGGGCTTTCCATGTGTTACAGCATTCGACTCTCACGACCTCTCTAGGAGGTTGTCAGGGTGGGTGCCCTTATGATCCCCATTAGCAGGTGAGGTAATTGAGGCCCCCAGTGTTTACTCACTCATACCTAGTCCACACAGCTAGTAGTGGCCAAGTTGTATTTGAACCTGAGCTGAAGCGGAGTGAGAACATTCCAGTGAGCAAAAGAAGGATGCGTGCAAACCCTTAGAAATAAGGAGGGAAGGTGAAAGTAAGCGAAGTTATGGACGTATTTGATGTTTGACAGGAGGTGGATTACAGTTCCCGGCTTTCAACGGAATTAACAGGCTCAGGAAGGTAGGCGTTAACACCCTCTGCAGAAGTAGTCTTGGCAGAGGCCAGCATAGAGGATATTCCCCAAGAGGTGGCTCCGACTTCAAAATGTCAAGAGCATGGTTGTTCCCGTTGTCTGTGCCCCAGTGCTTCTCTGATCCTTTCAAAGGATTGTTGTGCAGTTGTTTTTCTCATTTTTGTGTATAAATGTTTTCTCTTACTCTTGTAACAAATTACCACAGATTTCATGCTTTAAAACAATGCTAATTTGCCATTCTGGAGGTTAGTAGTCTAAAGTCAGTTTCCTTGGGCTAAAGGTGAGGTGTTGGTGGTGCTGGTTTCTTCTGAAGTCTCTGAGGGAACATTTGTTTCTCTGCCTTTTCTGGCTTCTGGTGGCTGCCTCTATTCCTTAGTATGTGGACCCTTCTTCTATCTTCAAAGCACATCACTCCAGCCTCTGCCCCCATCCTTGTCATCACATTGCTGTCTCCTCTATGACTTCCTGGGTCCCTTGTACAAGGACCATGTGATAACACTGGGCCCACCTGTGTAATCACTGTCATCTCAGGGTCCCCACTGCAAGGTCTTTAGCTTAACCCAATCTGCAGTGTCCCTTTCGCATATAAGGTGACATTCACAGAGTCTGGGGAACAGGATGTGGACATACTTGGGGGCTATTTTTAGCCTACCTCGGTTGGTTTCTATGTAATATTCTAGATGGATGGAAAGATGGTTTAGCCTAGAGGTGAAGGACATGACCTCTGTTGCTTAGAATCAAATCATCACTTCCCAACTCTGTGGCTTGAGTCAGTCATTTACCCTTGCTGTGGTCCCATTTCCTCGTGTGTAAAATGGGGATAGTAGCATTCACCTGTGTTATTTGGGGGATTAAGTCAAGGCATGCACAGTGTGGCAAATACAATGCGGGGCTCTTACTGAGTATTCAGTCAGTACAGTCAATTATTATTCCTGCAATTATTTTATATAAACATTTTCTTCAAAGTATTTTAACTAGAAGAGTGCTGCCCATCTGATTAGTTAATAGATTAAGCTGTTTCTCTAAAATCAATGATCACGTGATCGAAAGATGTCACTTCTTGGCTGATAGAAGAAAATGCAAAAACAGGGTTTGTGTCACTATGGTTCCCCAAATCATAGATGATTACCTTCAAGTTAGCATGAAGTCAGAACTGACATTATTGTCAGGAAAAAATCTGCTTTGTTTTCCTCTTAAGAAAAAATTGTAATCATAATAACCTTCCCTGCCCAGGGCAAAGCAAACAACTAAACTTTCAGCAAATCTTCACCAGACTCAGCACATCAGATCAAGCTCTTTTTAACACCTTGATTTTTTTTTTTTTTTTTTTTTAAATCACTGTAGCACCCAACTTAGCTTCTTCTTTTTATGCTGTTTTCTTCTGGCCTCTGAGATGTCATGACCTTTTTAGGTTCATGTTAGTAGGTAATATTTAAGTACAAGAGTTCTGAAATTTAAAAAATAAAAGAAAAAGATACACACACACACACACACACACACACACACACACACACAATTAGGGTTTAGGGTGACCTGAAGATTATCCTGGACAAGCTGAATGTGACTTGGGTAAGTCACATATCCTCTCTGCCTCAGTTTCCTCAGCTGGAAATTGGTGGTGATGATACCCACATTATAGGGTGTTATGAGAGTCAAAAGAGATAACCGTTGTACAAGTGTGTGCCTGTGCCTGGCACACTGTGAACAACAATGAACAAGAATGGCGATGATGATGGCAGCAGTGAGGATCATAGTGGGAGTAAAAGGGAAGATGAGGAAGGACCATCAGAAAACGAAACTGGGAAGCCTAATGTGGGGAGAAAAAGACAAAACATGAGGAAATTATTCTTCTTATGGCTTGGTGTATGGATAATGGCTATCTATGTATTCTGTTGAATTTTTTTTTCTAATAGCACAAATGTAATGATATTTTAGAAAACAAACACCATTCAAAAATCCTTTGTTTTATTTGGAACAAACTTTCAAAACTCATTTCTGCCTAGGTTCATATTGAAGCTTCAGATTCTTCCTTAATATGTGCTTGGAAGTAAACATGATATGGAGCTGTAATCCATGTGATTAATTCAGTGAAAACAATTAAGCTGAAACTAGAACCTAGAACCCGGTGGTCTTGACTTTTTTCCTCATGCTGCCATCATTTTAAATAACATAAGATCAACTGTTTAAGTGAGAAGCTAATTTACCTGCCAGCATATTTAGCTTTGTTGAGATTCTTCCATATCCTACAGATAAAAAATGAGATTAAACCATGTATATGTATCTATTCAGTACTAAATTATTCTGTATGAAAAGACAAGTACTGTGAAACTTCTATTAAAGTGGCCACAAGTATCCCTAACATAGAAGTAGTCCCCCTCTCCGCGCCCCGCCCCCCCCACTTTTTTTAAGTTGGCTAATTTAATGAGATATTTACATTGTTATCAGTAACCACTAAGGAGTTACAAACCATTACTTCTACAGGCAATGGCCAGTGTAATTAAACCTTTTAACCTTGCTAGTTTTCCCAGTTTGCCATTATCAGTCATTGGTCACAGTACATATTTTTTCATTATTAGCCACAAACTAGCTATGTGACCTTAAAAGGTTATTTAAAGTCTCCAGACTTTATTTCCCAACCCCCCCACCCCACCCCATGAAAGGAAGAAGGAGGAGACAATGATCCCTGTGGTCCATTTCATCTCCAAAACCCAAGACCATGGTTCTGCAACAGTTTAACAATCTGGTTAACATTTGAAAGTAAATGAAAACGAGAGAAAACATTGCAGCTCTGCCAGCAATTTTCTCTCTCTCTAGTTGGATAAAAACTATCCAAGTTGTCCCTGTTTGCAAAGGAGGGTATTATTATATATATATATAATATATTATATAATATATAAAATATATATATTATATAATATATTATATATAATATATATCATAATATATATCATAATATATATAATCATATATATATATATTTAAGAGACAGGGCCTTTGCTCTGTCACCTAGGCTGAAGTACAGTGGTGTTATCATAGCTCACTGCAACCTCGGACTCCTGGGCTCAAGTGATCCTTCGGCATCAGCCTCCTGAGTAGCTAGGACTACATGTACACACCACCATACCCAGCTAATTTTTTTTTTTTTTAATTTTTTGTAGAGACAGGGTCTCACTGTGTTTCTCAGGCTAGTCTCAAATTCCTAGCCTCAAAAGATCCTCCTACCTCGGCCTTCTAAAGTATTGGGATGACAGATGTGAGTGCCTGAGCCCAGCTGTGATTTATATTTTAATGAACAAAAGATTAGAATAAAATTTGTAAAATTTTTATTTCTAACTATTTTTCATGGCTTGACATAAAATAAATGTGCATTTGGGCAAATACTGCATTTCAGTGAGGCATGTACTTCCATTGTGTGTTGAAATGTAAGTTGGCATAAAAGAACCAACAAAAAAGTCATTACAGTTTTATTATTTGTTGACAGCAAGAGAGAAAGAAATATTCTCTCAAGATGAACAATAATGTCCTGTTAACTGACTTAAAAAGAGCAAAGTTTAAATTGCTTATTCAGAGAACTCTACCTTCTAATACTTTGAGCTTCCTGGAAAAAGAAATGGGTTCTTGATAAGTTATGTGAATTGTGCTTCGACATAAATGTCAATGTTTGATCACAAGTTTTTTTTACCAAATGCCAATCTGCGAGGTCAGCTAGTTCAATGAGTCATTTTGCTTAATAAGGAAATTTAAGTAGTTGTTTCTATCCTTTGTTGTCACGTTGGAAATGCTTCAAAGAGAAGCTACTTGTTCTGATAAAATAGAATAATATGAACTTTGGAACTAGACAAAACTGAATTGAGTTTTGCCTTTGTCACTAAATTAACTGTGTGGTGTTGATATGTCCTTAAAACCCTTGAAGCTTTTACTTCCCAATCTATAAAATAGGGATGATAATACCTTCTTGGTAGAATGGGTTTTGAGATGACTTATCTACTATGTTTGTTATCCCCTGCCACTTGGTAATAATAATGGCTAGCATTTATTGAGTGTTTACCATGTTTCAGGAAACTTGTAAGCACTTTGTAAGTATTACCATATTTAATTCTCATGACAATCTTGCTGTCATTTGAATATTTGTCCTCCTAAAAACTTATTTTGAAATTTCATCCTGAAGGTGGAAGTATTGAGAGATGGGGCCTTAAAAAGGTTAATGGGTCATGAGAACTCTATCTCATGAATGAATCAATCCATTCTTGAATTAATGGATTAATGAATTACTAGGTTAGTAGATTAATGAGTTATCTCAGGAGTGACACTGGTGACTTGAAAGAGAGACCTGAGCTAGCAAGCTCAGCCCCCTCCCCACATGATGCCTTGTCCCACCTTGGAACTCTGCAGAAACTCCACACCAGCAAGACGGCCCTCACCAGATGCAACCCCTCAACCTTCTCAGACTCTGTAACTGTAAGAAATAAATTCCTTGTCTTTGTAAATTTCTCAGTTTCAGGTATTCCATTACAAACAACAGAAAACAGACTAAGACACGCCCTACAGGTGGATATAATCATTATTCTCATTTTGTAAATGAAGAAACAGAAACAATGACAACTTATGTAATTGGCCAAGTGAAATACTACTAATCATTAAGGCCAGCATTTAAGCTCTCATGGTGTTTTGCTCTAGTGACCCTATTTGTGACACTACATTATTCTTTACCTTGGTGGATACTCAGTAACTGGTTGCCATTTTTATTGACCATGGTAGTATAAAGCATCAAGTTTAGCACCTAGCTAGGAATCCAGGTGTTTTCTTGGTTCTCTCACTTACCCAGGATAATCAGGTCTTCAGCAAATCATGTCTATTGTACCTCCTAATCCCTCTTCTTCTAATTCACTTTTTCCTTGCTGCCTTTAATCTAAGCCACCATTCTTTCTCTCTTCCAGGCTAGGGCAGAAGCCTCCCAGTAGGCCCCTCCTTAGCTCCTTGAGTTCTTCTCCTCTCTCATCCAGAGTGCAGCCAGAAGGATCCTTTACAAAAAGAAGTGTGTGTGTGTGTGTGTGTGTGTGTGTGTGCATGTGTGTATGTGTGTGTGTGTGTCCCACCTAACTTAAGAGTTTGGGGGAATGCCCCCATTTCTTATAGCTTTTAGGAAAAAAACAAGGATCCCCATCATCGCGTTCAAGGTCCTACACTGAGGTGACATAGCTAGTATATTCAGCTAACTCTGAAAGGTCCTTTATTCACTTCCTTAGCAATATTAAACAAACCCTTGGACACATTAAATCCCTGTTCCCAGCTTTTGCAAATGCCATCCCCACTGCCTGGAATGTTCTTCCTCTTTTCCATTCACCTGGGTAAGTTTCACTTTTCCTTCATTTTAGCTTAAACCTCACTCCTTTGGAAAAGCCTTACTGTAATTCCAATCATACGTGTGTGTGTATATATGTATATGTATATATATATATATATATATGTGTGTGTGTGTCTGTGTGTGTGTCGGTGTGTGCATGTTATATGATTTGGCCGTGTCCCCACTCAAATCTCATTTTAAATTCCCACCTGTTGTGGGAGAGACCCAGTGGGAGGTAATTGAATCATGGGGGCAGATCTTTCCTGTGTTGTTCTTGTGATAGTGAATAAGTCTTGCGAGATCTGGTGGCTTTAAAAATGGAATTTTCCCTGCACAAGCTGTCTTCTCTTGTCTGCCACCATATGAGATGTGCCTTTCACCTTCCACCATGATTGTGAGGCCTCCCCAGCCACATGGAACTGTAAATCCAATAAACCTCTTTCTTTTGTAAATTGCCCAATCTCGGTTATGTCTTTATCAGCAGTGTGAAAATGGACTAATGCAGTAAACTGGTACCAGTAGAGTAGGGTGTTGCTGAAAAGATACCTGAAAATTTGGAAGTGACTTTGTAACTGGGTTACAGGCAGAGGTTGGAACAGTTTAGAGAGCTCATAAGAAGACAGGGAAATGTGGGAAAGTTTTGAACTTCCTAGAGACTTGTTGAATGACTTTGACAAAAATGCTGATAGTGATATGAACAATAAGGTCCAGGCTGTGGTGGTCTCAAATAGAGAGGAGGAACTTGTTGGGAACTGGAGCAAAGGTGACTCTTGTTATGTTTTAGGAAAGAGACTGGCAGTATTTTGTCCCTGCCCTAGAGATCTGTGGGACTTTGAACTTGAGAGAGATGATTTAGGGTATCTGGTGGAAGAAATTTCTAAGCAGCAAAACATTCAAGAGGTGACTTGGGTACTCTTAAATGCATTCAGTTTCAGAAGGGAAATGGAACATAAAATTTGGAAAATTTGCAGCCTAACAGTGCAGTAGAAGAGAAAATTCCATTTTCTGAGGAGAAATTCAAGCTGGCTGCAGAAATTTGCATAAGTAATGAGGAGCTGAATGTTAATCACCAAGACAATGGGGAAAATGTCTCCAGGGCATGTCAGAGACCTTTGTGGCAGTCCCTCCCATCACAGGCCTGGAGGCACAGGAGGAAAAAATGGTTTAATGGGCCACACCAAGGGTCACCATGCTGTGTGCAGCCTAGGGACTTGGTGCCCTACATCCCAGCCACTCCAGCTGTGGCTGAAAGGGGCCAACGCAGAGCTTGGGCCATGGCCTCAGAGGGTGCAAACCTCAAGCCTTGGCAGCTTCCACATGGTGTTGAGCCTTGTGAGTGCACAGAAGTCAAGAACTGAGGTTTGGGAACCTCCAACTAGATTTCAGAAGATGTATAGAAATGTCTGGATGCTCAGGCAGAAGTTTGCTTTAGGGGTGGGGTCCTCACAGAGAACCTCTCCTAGGGCAGTGCATTGGGCAGTGTGGGGTGGGAGCCCCCACACAGAGTCCCTACTGGAGTACTGCCTAGTGGAGCTGTGAGAAGAGGATCACTATCCTCCAGACCCCAGAATGGTAGATCCACTGACAGCTTGTACCATGTGCCTGGAAAATCTGCAGACACTCAATGCCAGCCTGTGAAGGCAGCCGGGAGGGAGGCTGTACCCTGCAAAGCCACAGGGGTGGAGCTACCCCAGACTATGGGAACCCACCTCTAGCATCAGTGTTACCTGGATGTGACATATGGAGTCAAAGGAGATCATTTTGGAGTTTTAAGATTTGACTGCCCTGCTGGATTTCAGACTTGCATGGGCCCTGTAACCCCTTTGTTTTGGCCAATTTCTCCCATTTGGATCAGCCATATTTACCTAATGCCTGTACCCCCATTGTATCTAGGAAATAACTAACTTGCTTTTGATTTTACAGGCTCATAGGCAGAAGGGACTTGCCTTGTCTCAGTTGAGACTTTGGACTGTGGACTTTTGGGTTAATGCGGAAATGAGTTAAGACTTTGGGGGAGTGTAGGGAAGGCATGATTGGTTTTGAAATGTGAGGACATGAGAATTGGGAAGGGCCAGGGGCAGAGTGATATGGTTTGTCTCTGTGTCCCCACCCAAATCTCATCTTAAATTTCCATATGTTGTGGGAGGGACCTGGTGGGAGGTAATTGAATCATGGGGGCGGGTCTTTCCTATGCTGTTCTCGTGATAGGGAATAAGTCTTAGGAGATCTGATGGCTTTAAAAATGGGAGTTTCCCTGCACAAGCTCTCTTCTCTTGTCTGTCACCGTGTGAGATGTGCCTTTCACCTTCCACCATGATTGTGAGGCCTCCCCACCAACATGGAACTGTAAGTTCAATAAACCCCTTTCTTTTGTAAATTGCCCAGTCTCGGGTATGTCTTTATCAAGTGTTAAAGTGGACTAATACAGCATGCTAATATGTGTGTGTGTGCATGCCTACACTTGTGTGTTTTAAATAAATAAAGGTCCTCCAATAATGGTAAGTAGTAATGATACTGGTAATATGAATGGTAGTCTGTCAGTAGTAATGAAGCCTTTGTTCGGGAAATATGACTTTTGAAATGTAGAATTCATGTCAGTCATTGGAATAGACTAGTACCTTTGACGTGCAGAAGCCAATCTGATTGCTAAGGTGAAGCTCATAGCCTAGACTTGGTTCAGGGGGACTCCCTCCTGCTATTAAGGTTAGAACCAGGGTAGAAGTTGGCTGCTGCTTCAAAGGGCTGGAAACTCTGAATACCTACTTAAGTACAATAGCCCACTCCTCTGATAAGCTGTGATTGGTTTGCTTTTTTCTCCCTCCAGCACATGATTTTGATTTTACTCCTTTCAGCTTTAGAGCTGCCTTAAAGATTAATTTAATCTAATTTCATATTGGTTATAATTCTGGAGTTTGTAGGTAGGAGAGTACAATGAGGTTTTTAAGATGGCCCCTGGGATGTTCTTGGGCGGAGAACTAGTAGTAGCAGGATTAGTGACAAAAGGCAATAGGTTTTTGTTTGTTTGTTGGTTGGTTAATTTTTTTTCTGTTTGTTTACTAAAATGCAGATTTCACCAAAGCAAGAATATCCGGAATAGTCAGGATGTGCTTAGTCAGTTACCTCTGTGGGCGGATGCTCCCCTTGCTCTTTTTTCCTTTCCTTTTATTGGTAACTTGTAATCAGCTGCTACTTTAGTTTAATGAGAAAAATAACAGTTTACATTACATCTAGATTAAAGAAACTGCTAGACGAACAGGGGTGGGCAAGTTGTCAATGGCATCTAATAAATAGTAGTAAGTAATTAGCACAGGTCTGATGGATTTGAAGGAAAGTAAAAAACTAGGGAAGAGGAATTGTGGATTGGGGAAACATAGCTGTAATTTGAGAATAACACATCAAGAAAATAAGAATGAAGCACTGAAGTCAGAGATCTGTGGGGACTGTGTTGGGGAGAGGGTTGGGGGCATCTCGTCTGAGGAACAAATAGAGTAGAGGAACATCTCATGCTGGGTTTGTACTCTGCTCACCCTGCTCCACTCCACCTCTCAGGCTTTTGGTTTTATCAGATTGTGTCTATAACAAAGCCAGATAAAAGTGACAAAGAAGTGCAGTTCAAGGTTCTGCTGTCCTTCCCTTGTCTCTGGGAGTTAGCAAGTCACCTTTAAATGAGAAAACAGTGTGACCTTACGTACTTCACACGGCCATTCTGAGACAAAGTTGGAGAAGTGTCATGCATCACTGCACTCTTCTAAGGGGTGGAAGGAATCAAGCATATTCCAGACCTAGGAGGGATTTCTTAGGAATTCACACTGATGTAATTTCAAAACTCCCAAGACAGCCACCACTTGTCTGGCATTAGCTAACCTATGACACTTCACTCAATTGCATTTTGAGCTCCTGACTTAGTTCATTCAGTAACGTTTTTGCCCCAGGATGCCAAAGCAAACACTGGTCCTGAACTTTGCCTCTTGAACTACATTCTTCACCATGATGCCCTTCCAAATTCCCTATAGATGTTTTCACTACTGGTGTGTACAGGAAGGAAGTTCACTTTGACTAATAACCAACTCTGTTATTTCTAGTGGAGTGATCATTTGTCTCTTCTGTCCATTGGCCTCCCTTTGATTCAAGCAGTGGGGTGTGTAGAGGAAGCTCTGCATCCACTTGACAAGCCTTTTAGGTCCCAACAGCAGTGGACTCCTTATCAGGGCTACTCATAAAAGGCTAACCTTCCAAAGGAAACTTGTCAGG
The DNA here is from genome assembly GCF_000001405.40 of Homo sapiens. Taxonomy (NCBI): domain Eukaryota; kingdom Metazoa; phylum Chordata; class Mammalia; order Primates; family Hominidae; genus Homo; species Homo sapiens. Next base: position 14,985,582 of record NC_000020.11, read on the forward strand.
GCTCAGCTGTTGGCAAGATGGATTAACAAGTGCTTCCAGCTAATGGAGTAGACATTGGTGACTTAATGAGGGTAGTTTGAAATCTTAGCTGTATTCTCTTATTCTTTTTTTTTTTTTTTTTGAGGATGATAAATGAGTTTAGTTCTTTCTTAGCTAAGAAATGCCAATGATTTATTTTTATTATTCTTATTTTTATTTTTTATTTTTTAGAGATATGGGGCCAGGGTCGGGGGCAGGGAAGGAAGGGAAGTCTCACTAGGTTGGCCAGAATGGTCTCAAACTCCTGGCCTCAAACAATCTTTTCACCTGGTCCTTCCAAAGTGCTGGGATTACAGGTGTGAGCCACCTTGCCCTGCAGAAATACCAATTATTAAAAACTCAGAGGTTGTAGTGCAACATATTTGGGAGTGGTCACACCCCATGGCCTTTGATTTTAGTCTGAAGATTGAAAATAACCTTTGGATTTTACCTTGACAAGGAAGTTGTTCCTCAGTGGACACAGACATCATAGTTGGCATAGAAACAGCTGTTGGGTTATTCCTGGGCCATTGAAGACATGGCACCTGGCCCAGTCTGAATGGTTGTTCTCTCCTGGTTGCTTGTTTAAATAAAGGTTAAGCAAAAATTCTTTTTTGGTTTTGATTTCAGGAAGAAATAAGGGAGTGACTGCAATGTTATCTGAAAATGAGCATTTCCTGTTTCCTCAGGCATTTCTTTATGACCCCCATTAAAGTTAATGAATAACCAAGTGTCTGACACAGTTGAGCGTAATATGCCTCACCTAAGGTTCCCGGTGGCTGCACATTTTTGTGGGAAATGACCTTCAGTTCCTGCAGATCCATTATTAGGCAATCTCTTAGTTATAGACTTTATCTTCCCAAAACATTCAAATCACATATTAGCCAAATCACTTAGATACCGTCCTAAGTGCTGGAACTCTTTAAGTCTTGTTAGCAGAAAAGGCTAAAGTTTAGGTAAATAAGCAGATCTGTTCCACAAATGATTCCTCACCTTAGGTATTTATGAAAAAGCTCTGATAAACTTTTGAAAGCAGAAAAAGACGTTAAAAAATCTTACTGTGAGCCTGAAAACATAAACATAAATCAGCTAAAAGATAATTTGCCTTAATAGGTAGTGGGCGATGGGGGAGGAGAGTGATCAGGGCTCACCCTGGCAAAATTGTCTCTGCCGGATGTTTCAGGTTCGCCTTCTCTCCCCGTCACCTCCTCAGAATCTTAGGAGACCACATAGGATCAATCCTTGTTCAAAGGCAAAGGCAAAAAAAGTATGACTGCAAATATGTGAAGTACGATTTGGCACGGAGTTCATTTTGGGACCCTAAGTCCTCTAGGCGGTACAGCTATATATTGCAATGGACTGAGTGTTTGACACACTTGCCCAGAACTCCTGCATACAAATGAGGAGTGGCATCCTTAACCTCAGGCAGTTAAATGTTCCATTCCCCTGAAACTACCATTTTCCAAAGAGCTTTGGAATTGTCTTAGGGCCTATTTAAATGCCATAGGAAAAAAGTTAATTTCATTTCTTTTTATGGTCCCATGTCATTTTTAACCCCTAGTAGTAGCAGTATTTCTAGCTGTTAAAAGTAAGTATTTTTGAGTCACAAATCTAACAATTGATTTGTGGCAATTTGTTTAACCTCCTAGAGCCACAGCTTACTTATTTCTGGAATGGTATGATAGTAAAATCTACCTTATGGGGCCTCTCTGAGGATTATGGATAAAGCGGTTAACACAATTCCAGGCAACTAGTAAGCATTCAAAATGTGTTACTATTATTACTGGGATTGTTGCCGCCGTTGTTATTAAACAACTTGTTCACATACCTTTTTTCACTCGACTTGGCTCAGAATTCTACCAGACTGTTCAGAAAAATCAAGTGTGTGTTTAATGTACAGTATTTTAAAGTCACAAATCCAGAGGCTTTTAAGAATAAGTTACAAGGTCTGAAGTGATTTTTGAAAGTACACTGAGCGGAGTAGATCCTGTTGAATATATTCCAGGCTCTAAAATGACTATTTCTAAAGGAGATGATGCTGTGGAATATGTTATAAAGGAACAAAAAATTACTTTACTCTGTAGACACATTTCATAGTTTTTGTGCAATTTTCTAGTTTCAACAGCTTGTCCAATATGTATTGAATATATATTCTATGAATGATATGTGCTAGATTCTCCTTGGGATGCCATGTTATAGAGGTCTTCAGAACGCTTTCATTAAGATTCATTCATATGTCAGGACTTAAGATATATATATATATAAGAAATCTCATGAACAGAAGTTTCAGAAATCAGTTCATTGCTTGCCTGAATTCAAGGAGAAAGAAGTCTTCAGAGTGAAGCTCTGGATCTAGGAGAGAATTTTCTCCTCAGCCTGTTTTCAGGAAGTGGCTTCTGTGTCCTCTGTGCTTGGAAATTGGACGATTTTGGTTAATGTGGAAGATCTTAATGAATACTTTCTAAGAGTAAGGCTATATACAGGTCAGGCACGGTGGCTCATGCCTGTAATCCCAGCACTTTGGGAGGTCGAGGCGGGCAGATCACCTGAGGTCAGGAGTTCGAGATGAGCCTGGGCAACATGGCGAAATCCCGTCTCTACAAAAAATACAAAAACTAGCAGGGCGAGGTGGCGTACACCTATAATTTCAACTACTCGGGAGGTTGAGGCAGAAGAATTGCTTTTACCTGGGAGGCAGAGGCTACAGTGAGTAGAGATTGTGCCACTGTACTCCAGCCAGAGAATGAGACTCTGTCAAAAAAAAAAAAAAAAAAAGGCTTTATAAATATCAATATCAAGTCCATCCCTCCTTGCCCTGTGTTTATGGGGAACAGTAGCAACATGGCCAAAGTCTTGCCCAAGGCGAGGTTTAAATTTTGCAGAGGCATTTGACTCTCTTACAGATTGTCTTCAAGAAACAGGAAGGAAGGGTTTCTTCAGAAACTCCTGGAGGAATCTATGTTTTTAAGTGACATTGATGCTTCATATGTTTGCCTCTGAAGATATAACTTGTTTTATTGGAGACTGAAACTACCTATTTGCTATATCTGAGAGGTTACTCATCAGTACCCACATCTGGCATTCGCACTGACCATTCTTTGTACAAGAGCTTGGTTTTAAAGGCCATAAATCTGATATCTACACTAGATTGAAAACTATCTAATAAAGCTCCTTCTCAAGCATAATTTACTACGGTGGGATGCTGATGAAACAGAAGGATTTACATATGAGTTTTATTTTTAAAAATTTATTTGTAACATCAATGTCCGGAATTTCTGCAGACATTTAAAATTATTGTTTAATATTTAAATTATTTATTCTAAAAATATACTTTCACATGGGGTATATAAATAATAAAGACTTAGATTAAAAGAAGAAACACAGGTAAGATTATGTTTATAAAAATAAAAACAATGTTTATGTAAGTAATTAATTAAAAAGTATTCTGTGAATACAAAGCAGTATCAAGATGTGTGTGTTTGAATTATATGGTTTTTTTTAAAAAGTATGTTACCATATAGCGACATATAGAATTTTAGCTTTTTTGGAAACAATCCCAATTATTTCATATATTACTTTTCTGGATGAAGGGATGGTATGGAATAATGGAATAATCAGTGGATATTCCTGATAATGTTTTAAAAATAGAGAAATATCCTGGGTGAAGAAAACTTCCTTTGGTGTTGATTTGGATCTGATTAATGATTTTGATACCAGTGGGCTAGGGAAGATCCCCAAATGCCAGTGAAACCTTGGCCTCAGCTGCTGTCCAGGCTCTTGACACCGTCCTGAGAATGAATTCAAGGATGAGTTGGAAAATAGTGGAAGTACACAGATTTATTACAAAGCAAAAAGTACGCATTCAAGAAAGGGCAGTGCAGGCAGATTCAAGAAAAGGGAGTGGAGGCAGACTCAAGAGAGAGTCAGGTGCAAGGGGGTTGGGACTGCTACCTTTATGGGATTCTGTAACCAAGGGGTAGAAGATTCATGAAGATTCCTGGAACAAGGTGGAGATTTCTTGGAACTCTGGTACCACCCATTTTTGCACTAAATATGGATGTTTCTAGAACTGTCATAGCGCTGGTGGGTGTGTAATTTAAGATGTTAATGAGCATATAATAAGGTCCTAGGTGAAATCTAGGTCAAATCCAGTGCTATGTTGGGTCCGGTCCGTTTTAGGTCGGTCATAGCTTGGTCCACACCCAGATTTTTTCAGGATCTTATCTACCCCTAGCTTCTGCAGCTATTTCAACCGTTTCTTTTTGCTAGTCATGTGAAACTGCTGCCTGGAATTTTCTATGTTCCTACAATCACCCTGTATTATTCCTATGTCAATTTTAAAAGGAATTATTTGTCTCTGGGGATCTTCATGAGCTGTGGTTTCTCTGGGGATCTTGATGAGCTGTGGTTACATAGCTCTAAAATGGTCCTGAGGATGGGTCAGTTTTTACAAGTAGCCGGCAGCTTAAATGGGGTAGGCAGTTACACTGGTCATTTCACTGAATACATCAGCTGGCCTGGCATTTCACTTGAGGTCACCAATTCTGAGCCCCAGAGAGGAGCCAGCTGTTCACATTTCCAAAACCCCTATGTCAACGAATGGGTTTTGGAAATGTGATCAGCCTCATATTTAATATCGGGAGATACACAATAGATAAAAAATGTTGCCTTTGGAAGGATGTGACTTGAATAATGCTGCAAAAGGTGGAACACAATTTGAGTGAGTTAAGAAGCCCAGGGTAGTTATTTTGGAAGTTGCAGATTTGCTAGCCTGCTATGTTGAGATATCTCTGAAGACAGGGGCTCAACTCCACCAGGACCTGAGGTCTTTGCTTAAATAACCCCACATAAGGCCCTTGTTTCTTCCAAGGACCAAGAGAACTGAGAGCTCTGTTTCCTTTTTTTTTTTCTTTTTCTTTTTTTTTTTTTTTTGAGATGGAGTCTCGCTCTGCCGCCCAGGCTGGAGTGCAATGGCGCGATCTCGACTCACTGAAACCTCTGCCTCTCAGGTTGAAGCAATTCTCCTGCCTCAGCCTCCCAAGTAGCAGGGACTACAGGCACTCACCACCACTCCCGGATAATTTTTGTATTTTTAGTAGAGGCGGGGTTTCACCATATTGGCCAGGCTGGTCTTGAACTACTGACCTTGTGATCTGCCCACCTCGGCCTCCCAAAGTGCTGGGATTACAGGTGTGAGCCACCACGCCCGGCTGAGAACTATGTTTCTTAAACTTAATCTGCAACATGACTTTAATATTCTAAATCTCTAATTAGTAGCCTTGGGCTGGGGGAAGGCCCCCTGAAAGTTATTGATAAGAAAAGTTATGATATATTACTCACATGCATTATTTTTGCTCCAGGAAGATAAAGATCAAGAAGGGGCAGAATTCTGTGTCTTTCTGTGAGACTGTCTCTTTTTCAACATTTATTTAGTTTCCATGTGAAACTCCTTACACTGTTGTAAACTAGTTTCTTGCCCTGTACACAGCTTGCTGGGCCTGCTGCTGTTCTTGATGGCCTAGTAGGAAAGGAAATGGCTTGAGACACTTTCCACCTTTCCTAATCCTTCTTAAGCCTTGAATGATGTCAGTGCAAACACCAAGTGAAAAAAAAAATCTCACGTTGCCCCATTTCCCAACTGTTTGACCACTGCCTGTTCATGGACAGTGAACCCACTCATACCATAACAACTTTGCATCATTTTTTTTTTAAAGAATTGACTACACATCAAACACAAATGCCTAGGTCTTGGGTAGATTCCAACAAAACATTACAGTGAGAAAAATAAGAAAAAATATGTTACAGTGAGCAAAGCCCTCAGCCTCTGCACTGAATATCCTTAGCCCTTCATTTTCATCAGATTTTCTTGAATCACAGACCTAAGGAATTTATTTTCTCTACTTTGCAAAGGAGCTAACTGAGGCTGTAAAAGACAATGCTCCCAATGACTCTGACTTCAAGAGACAAGACTATGATAAGGACCAAGTTACTTTATTTCCAGCCTTCAATTTGATTTATTGTTTTTATTTATGCACTGCCTACTTCAAAAAGTGATTTGAGGGAGACTACAGATCAAATTCCCTTTCAAAATAGATCTCACTTCTTTGGGGGAAGATGAAAGGGTAAGGGTGAAGCAAGGTGACACATTTTAGTTGACAATCTCTAGACTTGGGCTGTCATAGACTAGAGTTGGATTCAGTTATCTAATTTGCACCGCCTTAATTAATGCTCCAGGTCTACAGGTACATAGTGTGAATTTAAAAGTTTGAAATATTCAGATCAAAATGGTTATAACTGTAACCATTCACCTATCATCCATCCATCCAACTCTCCATCCATCCATCCATCCATCCAAAAGACATTTATTGATCTCCTACTCAGTATTAAGCACTTGTCATATTGAGTGGGTGGTGGGAGGAGAGGATAGAGTCAGGTGTTAACGCATATATGTACACATAACTACAAATTATAGTAAGAGCTGTGTTAAATATGGCAACCATTTTTTAAGTCTAGAATTTATTTGAGGCTATGCAGTAGAGAAAATAACTCATTTATTTCTGGGTAAGTAGTTTAAGGATCACTTTTCCAAAGTGAAGTCTTTTCTTAAAAATAGAAATTTCTCATCTACAACATTCATCATAGAAAGAATGCAGCATTGCATCAGAACTGATGTTCTTGCTCATAAAATAAACAAAACACAATGGTGTCTCTATCTGTAGAATGTAGGTGTTGTAACACATCTGCCTAGAAGCTAGTTAAAATGCATGTTGTTCTTATATTTCAATTAGAAGTAAGCAGACTTGATTGTCTAACACAAAAACTCAGTTGCTTTGATGTATTTGTTTTTGCATATGGTTCAAATTATCATCAAAACTGTATTATCAGTGATAATATACTAATGCAGTAGGTTGACATTAGGGGCTGACTAGCTGACTGTTGCCATATATAATTAATCCAAAGTAATGTGATATGGCCTTTAAGATGTAAAAGAATTTACACAAATTATTTTCTCCCATTATTTCCAGAGATTAGATGTTATGGAAAAGACTTTTAAAAGATGACATGATTTAATAGCCTTTTCCTAAGTAGACTATAATACCTGTAATGCAGAAGAATTTAGAACTTTTAGACATGCATCTAGTTTACACATTTAAAAGCTAAATGTATATCGTATATTGTGAAGTTCCTTTCTTTGAAATTTTTTTAAAAATCAGATTTGAAAAGCCTTTTTGCCTATGATGTTTTAGAGATAATACTGCTGGAAAGCAAGAACCTGACATAAAAGTCCATAACGATAGCTTTCTAGGCTCTAATCCTGTGATTCCACTAGAAATATCTTTTGGGTGGGCATGACATTAACCATCCTGTCTTACAAATACAATAGAATATTTAATGATCTTCCATTGTATTCTGGAAAATAGACTGCATTCTCTTTCTCTATCTGCCTCCCTCTTTCTCCCTTCTCTTGTCCTTTCTGGTACTTTGCCAGAAACCGCCTGTTTCTTTCCTGGAGTCCAGTAATTGAAGGTAATTTTTTGGAAGATGGTTTCAATTATCTAAAGCCAGTGGAATGTTTAACTGCCCCTTGCTATTCGTGAACTTGTTTACAGTGGGATTTCAGATGAATTCAGATTACATGCAACCAGATGTTATCTGCTATGGTTACTTTTTTTTTTTTTTGGTGAAGGAAAATTGTATGAGGGAGGGGTCTTTGATATCATATTTAGATCAACTGCCCTCAAATTCTTGGAAGTGTGCCCCTGGGATAAAGTTTTGGGGTAAACTTTTGATCCCAACCAATGAACATCCAAATATGAGAATATACATTCTCTGTGTAATAAATTTAAGATCTTCCCATTTTCTGTGTGTCTTTATATGATACTAATCCAAAAAAATTGCCTCACAAAAATATTTTGTCATCCATCTAAGTTAGAGATAAAACAATTATAAACTGAAAGCTCATTCTATTCTTACTCTGCCTAAACATCACAGATTTACTGTCATGCTGCCCAGATAATAGAAAATAAATGTTGTGATATTTAACAAGAAAAAAAATCTGAAGTAATAAAAGTCACCTGTGAAACAACAACTAAATGCTCTAGTCTGTAGACAGTTGAAGACTAATTTCCTTAACTGACAGCTGAAGTGAAGGCTTAGTAAGATGTATTATTTGTAAAGGTTGAACTTTAAAATCTGAAAGAGAAGTTGAATACACAAATCTTAGCTTAGAAAACAGATAGATATAATCAATCTTTATGAAATAATTATTTGCCTTATTTAGGAATCCAGCATACACTTAAGAGATTTTTTTTAAAGTTGGTTTGCAATGTAATTAAAATATGATTTAATTTTCAAAGTTTAATTGCACACAAACTTTTAGAAAAATGAAACTATCTCTTGTTGAATCTTCAAGAAGGCATCAGGCATGATTTTGCTCCCCTATAGGTTGGAGAAGACATCCAAGAGTTTTAGGATTAAGAGAATACAAATGCCTTTACATACACAGACATGCCTACATGCATGCATATGTGTGTACACATACATGTACAGGATAGATATGTACATACATACATATAATATTTTTTCTTAGCACTTAGTTATATAGCACTTGCCATATTACCTGAATGTAGTTTACACTTCATTGAATAAAAAAAAAGAACAAATAAAACAATTCAAGATTTTCTGCAAGCAGAAAAGGGATGCCCAACAGGAGCTGTGGGCTTCAAGGGATGTAACCACTATCAAAATCACGCTCTGGAAGGAAAGAGTGTGTTAGGAAGGAAAAACGTTCTTGATCTCTCTTCCCACCACCTGTTCTCCCGGGGCCTCTTGTTGCACTCACCTAACAGGAAGGCAGATGGCACGGGAGCAGGTTGAAGAGTAGGGGATCAACCTCCCCAGTCAAAAAGCAGAGCAGAGCTGACTGGAGAGGTTCACTTGAAGCTAGGAGTTTGAAACCAGCCTGGGCAACAAAGTGAGATCCCATCCCCACCAAAAAATATATAATAAATAAAAAGGAAATAGAAAAAAAGCAGAGTAGAGAAATACGAAAATGAATATGGAGGAACAGAGAAACACCAGCACACCAATATCTCTCACTGATCTATGTACTACTGTTCTTATGATTTGAACTTCATGCAAAAATGCCACTGTTTCAATTATTTTTCTACTAGTGTAGATTATAGTCTTTCCAGTCAATGAATGTAGTAATTACTAATCCACATAATGTTCCATTATGACTTAGATTTGGTTGATCTGGCTGTGCATGGTGGCTCATGCCTGTAATTCCAGCACTTTGGGAGGCCAAGGAAGGAGGATTACTTGAGCCCAGGAGTTTGAGAGAAGCCTAGGCAACACAGTGAGACTTTGTCTCTAAAAAAAGAAAAAAAAGTAACAACAAATTTAGTTGTTTTTTTCAAATGAGAATTTTAATTATGAACCAAATATATAATGGAAATACAAAACTACATCATAATATTTACCTGATTTATTTTAATATATACTATATATATGGCCTTTTAGTAACCAACTGTGTACACAAAATGCATTTGATAATGCAGTGTCAAGTTGCAGAATCATTTTAGAGATAAGATATGGAATATTAAATATCATTTTTGTGTTTTACCTATTGTGTGTTTTATTTTACTTGAAAATAAAACTTGTAGAGAGATGGGATTAGTTACTTGGTAAATTATAAGAAGAAATACAGTTTCCTCAAATAATTTTACATATGAAAAATTAGACGTAAGATGAATACTTAATTGACAAAAGAAGTAAGTCTAAATAGCCATATGGGTCAGGTGCGGTGGCTCACACCTGTAATCCCCACACTTTGGGAGGCTGAGGCAGGAAGATTGCTTGCACCAAGGAGTTCAAGCCCAGCCTAGGCAGCGAAGTGAGACCCTGCCTCTACCAAAAAAAATAAAATAAAATTAATAAATAATTAATAAAATGAAACAATCATATGTAATGCTCATTAAATTTCAAGGGGCTAAATTTATATGCACATAATACATGAAAAATTCATATACAGTGTCATACGCTGTCAGTGGAATTAAGCTAAATATTGACAAAACGTTAAATTAAAAATACCAAAATGGTAAGAAATTCAGAAATGACTTAAATACCTATGGATTTAAAAATACCATAATGGACATTATAAAGTATTTTGAAAATGAATGATAAAAATATTACGTATCGAAACCTATGGGATGCAGTTAAAGATGTACTCAGAGGGAAATGTATGCCTTAAATGCATGTATAAGAAACTAGAGAAGGCTGAAAATCCATGATCTAAACTTTCAGTTGAAGAAGCTAGAAAAAACTACAGCGAAAGTAAAACAAAGGTAATAAAGGTAAGATAAAAATTTCTGCGCTGGAAAACAAACACATAATAGAGAAATTCAATACTGCTGATCTTTAGATTCAGTGCAATAAAGATTCCAACAACTGTGTTTGTGTGTGTGTGTGTCTGTGTAAGGTACCAAGGAATTTTAAAAGTAATATGGAAAATGAAGGGGCCAAGAATTGTGAAGACAGCTTGAAGTTGCACACATCTGATAGACTTGTACTACTAAATATCAACATCTATTATAAGTAGGGGGTCTCACGGGCCAGTGTGCTCTGCACATGGCTGCTAGCCTTGGCTGTGTGGCTTTTCACATCAAGGGAATGGGAACTTCCGGAGGTCAGCCAACTCTGCAAATAACCAGTACTCAGATCCACTGAAGCCTACCTCCAGGAATCTGTTACATCTGAGACCAGGAAGGAGCTGTGAACATTAACGTTGATAAAGAAAAGCCCATTGAAGAGTCTTCCAGAGAGGGGAGGCAGAGCGAGATGGCTGAATAGAACCCTCCAGCAATCATCTTCCTCCTCTACCCTTGCAGGAACACAAAACTGAACAAATATCAACCCAAGAAAGCACCTTCATGAGAACCGAAAATTAGGTGAGTGATCACAGTACTTGGTTTTAACATCATATCAAGGGAAGAGACACTGAAAAGGGTAGGAAAGACAGCCAACACCACCCCTTCCTCATCCCCCAGCAGCAGTGGGCTGCTTGGCGCAGAGAGATAATTTGTGCTTGGGAAAAGGAGAGTGCAGTGATTGTAGGACTTTACATTGCAACTCAGTGCTGCCCTGTCACAGCAGAAAGCAACACAGGGCAGAATTCAGCCAGTGCCCATGGAGGGAGCGTTTAGATCAGCCCTGGCCAAAGGGGAACCGTCCACACCAGCAGGCGGGTTTGAGCTAGCTCCACCACTACTGGCTGAAGTGCTCCATTGTAGTCCTTGTGGCCTAGACTGCCTTTCAGATAAATTTGAAATAAATTTGCCTTTCAAAAAAATTTGAAAGGCAATCTAGGCTACAAGGACTACAATTCCTGGGCAAGCCCTGGTGCTGTGCTGAGCTCACAGCCAGTGGACTTGGGTGCACATGACCTAGTGAGACACAAGCTGAGGCAGCCAAAGGAATGCTTGTGTCACTCATCCTCCAACCTCAGGCAGTGCAGCTCACAGCACTGGGAAAGACTCCTTTCCCTTGTGGAAAGGAGAAGGAAAAGGAGTGGGGAGAATAAAGAGGACTTTGTTTTACAACGTGGATACCAGCTCAGTACCACAGTAAAATAAAGCACCAGGCAGAGTCCTGAGGCCCCCATTCTGGGCCCTAGCTCCCAGATGACACTTCTAGATCTACCCTGGGCCAGAAGGGAACCCACTGCCTTGAAGGGGAAGTATCTAGTCTTGGCAAGATTCATTACCTGTTGACCAAAGAGTCCTTGGGCCTTAATAAACATCAGTGGTAGCCAGGTAGTACTCTCCACAGGCCTCGGGTGAGACCCAGTTCTGTGCTGGCTTCAGGTGTGACTCACTGCATTCCCAGCTATGGTGGCTGAGAGAGATTCCTTCTGCTTAAGGAAAGGAGAGGGAAGGTTAAGAAGGACTTTGTCTTGCAACTTGGGTACCAGCTCAGCCACAGTAAAATAAAGCATGATGTAGATTCCTAAAGTTCCCAAATTCATGCCCTTGCTTCTTGACAGCATTTCTAGACCCACCTGGGTCAGAAGGGAACCTGCCACCCTGAAGGGAAAGACAGAAGCCTGGCTGGATTCACCACTTGCTAACTAAGGAGCCCTTGGGCCTTGAATCAGCAGTAGCCAGGCAATAGTCACCATGGGCCCTGGGCAAGTCCCAGTACTGTGCTGGCCTCGGGTCTCACCCAGCATAGTCCCAGTGACGGCAGCTATAGGGGTATTTGTGTCATCCTCCATCCCAATTCCAGGCAGTTCAGCATGGAGAGAGAGACTCCATTTATTTGGCAGAGAGTAAGGGGAGAGAACAAGAGACTGCTGGTAATCTAGGGAATTCTTCTGGCTGTTACCCAAGACTACCAAGATGGCACCTCTATGAGTCATCAAAAATCATAGCATCACTAGGCTTGGAATGCCTCCTAATGCAGTTACAGCTGCAGTGACCAAAGATTAGATCACAACATTCATTTCCCTTTGAATGCTTGGAAAGCCTTCTCAGAAAGGTCGGGTACAAATAAGCCCAAACTGCAGAGGTTACAATAAATACCTAACTATTTAATATTCAGTGCTCAGACATTGACAAACAGACACAAGCACCATGGTCATCCAGGAAAACATAACCTCACCATATGCACTAAATAAGGCACCAGTGACCAATACTGGAGTGACAGTGATATGTGACCTTTCAGATGGAGAATTCAAAATAGCTGTTTTGAAGAAGCTCAGTGAAATTCAAGCTAACACAGAGAAGGAATTCAGAATCATATCAGATAAATTTAACAATGAAATGGACATAATTTTTGAAAATCAAGTAGAAATTCTGGAGTGGAAAAATTCAACCAATATACCAAAGAATTCACCAGAGTCTCTCAACAGCAGAACTGATCAAGCAAAAGAAAGAATTAGTGAACTTGAAGACAGGGTATTTGAAAATACACAGTCACAGGAGACAAAAGGAAAAAAGAATAAAAAAGAATGAAGCACACCTATAGGATCGAGAAAATAGTTTCAAATGGGAAAATCTAAGAGTTATTGGCCTTAAAGAAAAGGTAGAGAGTAAGATTGGGGTAGAAAGTTTATTTAAAGGGATAATAACAGAGAACTTTCCATGCCTAGAGAAAGATATCAACGTGCAAGTACAAGAAGGTTATAGAACGCCAAGCAACTTTAACCCAAAGAAGACTACATCAAGGCATTTAATAGTCAAACTCCCAAAGGTCAAGGTTAAAGAAAGGGTTCTAAAAGCAGCAGGAGAAAAGAAACAACTAACATACAATGGAGCTCCAATATGTCTGGCAGCAGACTTCTCAATGGCAGCCTTACAGGCCAGGAGAGAGTGGCATGGCATATTTAAAGTGCTGAAGGCAAAAAGCTTTTATCCTAGAATAGTAAGTATCTCCAGTGAAAATATCCTTCAAACATGAAGGAGAAATAAAGACTTTCCCAAACAAACAAAAGCTGAGGGATTTCATCAACAGCAGACCTGTCCTACAAGAAATGCTAAGGGAACTCTTCAGCCTGAGATAAAAGGACATTAATAAGCAATAGGAAATCATCTGAAGGCACAAAACTCATTGGGAGTAGTAAGTACACAGACAAATGCAGAATAGTATAACACTCATTGTGGTGTGTAATGGTGTGTAAACTACTCATCTTCAGTAGGAAGACTCAAAGCTGAACCTATCAAAAGTAATAACAAGAACAACTTTTCAAGACACTGACAGTATAATATGTGAACATATAGGCCAGGTGCCATGACTCACACCTGTAATCCCAGCACTTTGGGAGGCTGATGTAGGATGATGGCTTCAGCGTAGGAGTTTGAGACTAGCCAGACTCTGTGTCTACAAAAAAATAAAGAAATTAGCCAGGCATGGTGGCCCATGCCTGTGGTCCCAGCTACTCAGGAGACTGAGGTGAAAGGATCGCTTGAGCCCAGGAAGTTGAGGCTGCAGTGAGCCACTGCTCCCCAACCTGGGTGGCAGACCAAGACTCTATCTCAAAAAAAGAAAGAGGAAAAGATATACATAGAAACAACAAAAAGTTAAAAAGCAGGAGAATGAAGTTAAAATGTAGAGTTTTTATTAGTTTTCTTTTTGCCTTTTTGTTTTTGCAATCAGTGTTAAGTTGTCATCAATCTAAAATAATGGCTTATTTGCAAGCCTCATGGTAACCTCAGATTAAATGTTAAAACACAAAATAGCAATGCAAAGGCATGAACAAAATTTTGTATGCAATATGGGTAGGTTTCAAAAGTATAATCTTGAATGATGAAAAGTTGCAGAATAATGCATTCAGTATGATACAATTTAAAGATATAAAAGCAATACTGTATATTGTTCAGGGCTATATATCTGTACAAACTTTAAGCAATTGGCTGAAGGGATGCATACTAAATTCATCATTGCAGTTACTCTTGGAAAGTGGAATTTGACTGGGAACCAAGAGGACTTAATTTTATCTGTAATGGTTTCTTTCAGATGAAAAAATAAAAGGCTTAAAGCCTTGAAGGGCAAATATCAACTGAATTCATGATGATGATTGGGATAGAAGAATACTTTTCTACATTAAATTTTTTTTATTTTCCTCAGAAAGCAAAACAAAACACAAACAAACAAATAAAATCTATTATGAATGATTGGGACTGGGTATAAATGAGGTGTTTGGAATTCTGGTGATGTTCTATAACTTCATCAAGAGGTAGAAACGGCCGGGCGCGGTGGCTCACGCCTGTAGTCCCAGCACTTTGGGAGGCCGAGGCGGGTGGATCATGAGGTCAGGAGATCGAGACCATCCTGGCTAACACGGTGAAACCCCGTCTCTACTAAAAATACAAAAAATTAGCCGGGCGCGGTGGCGGGCGCCTGTAGTCCCAGCTACTGGGGAGGCTGAGGCAGGAGAATGGCGTGAACCCGGGAAGCGGAGCTTGCAGTGAGCCGAGATTGCGCCACTGCAGTCCGCAGTCCGGCCTGGGCGACAGAGCGAGACTCCGTCTCAAAAAAAAAAAAAAAAAAAAAAAAAAAAAAAAGAGGTAGAAACATGGAAATGTTCATTTTGTGAAAGTTCATCCAGCCATACAAGGTAGGATTGGTCCACTTTGTTGTATGTGTGTTATCCTTAGGTGGAAATTTCTGGAGCAAATATGGCAAAATAAGAAAATTTGACGTAGTCTGACATAAAACTTGACATACACAGATTATTCTTTATGCTTTTCTAAAAGCTTGTGATATTTTAATAACTTCAAAAGAGATGGTTCATTAATAAAAATATTTTGATTTTGGCTGTATTTTGATTGCAAATCTGTGTACTGCAAAACAATCTCATTACTTGCTTTTTCTGTACCATACCATGATTTTCACTTCATCACACCTTAGCAAAAGCTGTTGGGGAATGAGAAGACATGAATGGTCTGGTAAATGCTGTTGATTATGAAATCCTCTGTACCTATGATCTCAAGAATAATGGTGGGGTTCTGGACGGAGAAGGTTAGAATGATAGCAGGTAGGAAGTCTCAACAGTAATAGAAAATGGCTGTTTGGGAAATGCAAGGACCCAGAACCCTCCTAGTACTGCAGCTGTCGGTGAGTAAATGTTCATTTGATAAGCTACCAGATCACCTCTCAAAGTGATTTTGTCCAAGGGCAGTCCACTCAACACTCAATTACGCAGGGACTGAGTATACAGGACTTCAATTTTCTCCTTCCTTTTGAGAACCACTATCCAAAGGATAAAAGAAAAGTAGCACAGCACTCTGCTCTGTCATGATTATTGTTTACCTTTGGCTAAGAGGTGTCATCTCTCCAGCTTTCCTCTAAAACTTTAGGGTCTAATGGTCAAATCCCAGGACCAAACTCCAGGTGTTTAACTGTTGCATTTAAAATGTATTTATAACATATTATTATTATTATTTTGTCATTGGTTTGCAAGTACGCTGCAATATGCTATGTCCATTTTCCGTTTGACTAAATCAATTTGAAAACAAAAGTTTAAAAATCTAAACTGTGGGTTTTCTAGGGGGATTTATGTTTTAAGGAGTGATAATGAGGTCTAGAACATGTTATCTTATTTTTTGTTTTTTTTTAATTTTTATTTCTGTAGGTTTTTTGGGAACTGGTGCTATTTGGTTACATGAGTAAGTTCTTTAGTGGTGATTGGTGAGATTTTGGTGCACCCATCACCCAAGCAGTATACACTCAACACAATTTGTAGTGTTTTATCCCTCACTCCCTCTCATCCTTTCCCCCAAGTCCCCACTGTCCATTGTATCATTCTTATGCCTTTGCATCCTCATAGCTTAGCGCGTGTGCATGCCCACACACACACACACACACACACACACATATACACACACACACTACAATTCCTTTATCCACTAGTTGATTGATTGGCATTCGGGCTGGTTTCATATTTTTGCAATTGTGAATTGTGCTGCTATAAACATGCATGCACAACTATCTTTTTCATATAATGACTTCTTGTCCTCTGGGTAAATACCCAGTAGTGGGATTACTGGATCAAATGGTAGATCTACTTTTAGTTCTTTAAGGAATCTCTGTACTGTTTGCCGTAGTGGTTGTAATAGTTTACATTCCCACCAGCAGTGTAGACATGTTCCTTTTTCACCATATCCACACAAACATCTAGTATTTTTTTGTTTTTTTTGGCTATGGCCATTCTTTTAGGAGTAGGGTGGTATCACATTGTGGCTTTGATTTGCATTTCCCTGATCATTCATGATGTTGAGCATTTTTCATATCTTTTTTGGCCATTTGTATCTTCTTTTGAGAATTGTCTATTCATGTCCTTAGCCCACTTTTCGATGGGATTGTTTGTTTTTTTCTTGTAGAACATGTTCCCTTATTGATTGGTTTTCACATTCTTATGATCAATGACGATATCATTATCACCAAGAATTTGCTTAATACTTGGTGCCTACCCAGCCTGATATTAAACACAGGGTGGGGAAAAAGTTAGTTTTAATGTAGGTGCAGACTCAAATTCCTATGGGGACCGGTGAGGTAACCTAAATGAGCAAAATGGTCAGGGTGTAAGAAAAAAGCCAAGAAACCGCCATGATAAATGGAACTGTATTTGCCTCAGTGCCCTGAAGACAATTGGGAGTAGTGTTAAACCGGAAACTTCTGAATCAGACACGCTCCACTCTACTTCCAGCTGATTGTAGCCATACAGGAATTTGGGCCCACTATTGTCAAATCTTGATTTTTCAAGAGAAACATGGAATATCTCTCTTTTAAAAAATATGAAATTTTTCCATTTTGGAACCAATCCAATTAGAAAGTAACAAACACACATTTTACAGCATGTGTCTGTACAGTGTGTGTTACTTCCTAATTGGATTAATTTTGTTACTTTCTAATTTGATTGGTTTTGCTAACAGTAATTTTCTATTACTGTTGAGAGTTCTTACTTGCCATCAATCTAAACCTCTCTGTCCAGAACCCACCATTATTATTGAGATCATAGGTACAGAGGATTTCATAATTAACAGCATTTATCAGACCATTCATGTCTTCCATATGGGCCAAACAAAATGCTTCTAAGGGCTGTTTTTGGCATAATCCTATGAACCTCAGCTTTCCAATGTAGTCAGGGGAAATAAGACACACAATTTATGTAAAAAGGATATGAAACAACAGTAAGTGCTGCATGCATTCCTCTTTTTATTCATTCAAACAATAGCATTTATTAAGGGCCTTCTAGCTTCCTTGCCCTGTGTGAGTTACTAGGGTTACAAAAATGAACAAAATTATTTTGTATTGTCAAGCAGCCCGGTCTGGGAAAAGAAACATATCATTAGATTTGTTATTAAACAGATCATAAGAGTCTAATAATAATTGGGACAATTAGTATGGTAGAATTTCAAAGTATAGAGACTTTTGAAACTGTCTTTGCATAAATTATATCATTGAGAAAAATTATATCCAACAGTAAGCTGAGCTAACCCACTCCCTATCTTGCCTTTCCCTTAATTATTCCTGGGCTTTTGGGCCAAGCTAACTTTGGAAGACATTTGGGCTATAGTTTAAATGATAATAGGCCTTGCCCCCAAACTCAAACACTTTTATAAAGCTAATGTAAGGCTACAGGCTGGAGAGAGGAGGGAAGCCTGAGGCCTGCTAAGGTATAGACATAAATGATTGTCAGCCACTATTCCAGAGGTTATAAAACATGCAACTTCCCCAGTTACTCCTGTAATAACTTCACTATTGTAGAACCTAAGATTGGCCTTTTGAGATATCTTTTCAGGTTTTTTTGCATGTCTGACACCTGTGGTTCCATCTGGACCTGCCAATCTGACCCCTGTGGCCCCACCCAGAAGGTGTTCAGCATGTAGATGGACAGCTTTGACCTCCTGCGAGTTCATCTCCACCCCAACAAATCAGCAGCAAGCACCCATTACCTGGCCAACACCACCCCTTCCCTCAAACTGCCTTAAAAAAGGCCTAACCGGGGAGCTTTGGACAAGAATGGTTTGAGTACTAACTCTCTCCCATGTGGTGTGGCTGTCCTCATGTCTATTAAACTCTTTCAACTACCATGCCAAGGTCTTTCTTTATGCAGCAGGCAGTTACACTTCGCTGACATTTTTCTTAAGGTCATGGGAAATAATTAGCTTCTCTTTAAATTGTATAAATATATCCCCTCTATCTGGACTACACTTTAGTCAGGTTGACAGAAGCAGAAACAAGTCATAAAAGTACCTTACAGTCAACTTCTAAAGGAAGTACTGTCATAGAAGTGTGAGATTTCCTAGGAGCTGTTGTTATTAACCAATAGTTTTAACACCCTTTTAAAGCATATCATCAATTATACTAAGTACACAGGGCTATTTATTTTAAATGGGTGTACTACCAGATAGCTATCTATTTATCAATATGCACACAAACACATACATTCATTTACATAGTATTTTATTTCTTTTGCCACTAAAGACATTCTTACTTTAGCTACAAGTTAAATAACAGCAACGGCCACTTTTTTTTTTCTCACCTGCAAACTGTGGTGCAGATGGAAAGAAGGCACTTAAGTGAATAAGCTGTTTTTAATTCTAGAACTCTTTGGTTGTGATAAAAATGGAAACTATGTGCTCTAGAAAAGCTGAGTAAATTCAAACTGTTTACTGTTAAATGCAACTTATTTGTCAATTTAGGCAGTAAAGGTCTGAACACTCAAATTCTGTGAATGTCCTTATAAGCATTCACTTTGATGTGTAAAACTTTGTAGACTTGAAGGAGGGAGTGTTTGATTTCCATATACTTCCAAATATTCCCTTCAGGCAGTTTCCTCCAAAGTTGGAATATTGTGGCGAGTAAGGAGGAAGTTAAGGATTGCTCTCTGAAAGTTATTTTGTCTTTCTAGGTGGAACAACAATGTATTCATTAGTGATAACAATCTAGATATGAATGATGTAATGAAGTATCGGTTGAACTAATGAGATGGGAAGCTACAATAACCTATTGACTATTTTGCTAAATAATATCGCCACCTTCAAACATAAAAACAATTGTTGAAAAAGCTTCTGTCAAAAATAAACCCTTCAATATTTTATGACAGGTATTATTGACAGAATAGAAGAGACTGGAATTTCCTATCACTGTGGTTGGCTTTAAAGAATACAACTTTTAACACATTTTTCATCTCTGTAATAATACAGTAATGATTAAATTCCCCTTAAAAAGCCCAAGGCATCTATTTGTTTCATGGAAACTTCCAAGTGTCCTCTGTACAGACTTGTTCAAGTGGGAGTTCATAAGTGCAAGAACAGTAAACTTCAGCTTATCTAACATGGCCAAGGAATGGTATGTTCTACTTAATCAAATATTCTTGTTGTTGGAGAGCTGTTTCACATACCACGCATTTTAATTTTCAAAGAGTAACCTTTGGTTAGCATTAAAGCTGCACTCACATAGCCTATAGTTTGCTTTGATGCAGTAATAGAAGCTCATCTCCTTTATCCCCCACAAGGTAGTTCTTCTATCTTTAGGTGCTTTCCAGGATTTGGCCAGAATTTACCCATGGACCCCTCCTATTGTAGTTCTCAAATTGCGAATTCTGAGATTCACTGAGAGTCATCCAAGCTCTCAGTGGATCTCAGAATTTTTGCTCTGCCTCAAACCAGCCTACCAAACGTTTATTCTTTATGTGTGACTGGTTGGCTGCTTGTGGAACCAGTTTGAGCTTCAGTCTTTTAGTTGATAACTGTGTAAACATACTAACTATCCTTGAATAATAGTTGATTGAAAGAGCCGATTTTGCCTCTTATGATTTAATTAAAATAAAGGATTTGGAATCATATAATGATATAAACTTTTGTAATATATAAGGACTCTACCTGACATATCGTCTCTAGCCTAAATGCTTTATTATAAACACAATAGTTGCATTCTTGAGTGACTGTTGTATTCTGTGCACTATACTAGGTGCTTTACAGAAGTTATCTCCAGGACTCATTAAAAAGACACAAAGAATGCATTTTATATATATATATGTGTGTGTGTGTGTGTGTGTGTGTGTGTGTGTGTGTGTGTACGTTGGAATATTATGCAACCTTAAAAAGAGGGAAATCCTGGAGGATATTATGCTAAGTGAAATAAGCCAGACAAAGAAAAATAGATCCATGACCTCACTTTAATGTGGAATTTTAAAAAGCTGAATTCATAGAAACAGACAATAGAAAGGTGGTTATGGGGTTGGGGCAGGGGAACGGGGAGATGTTGGTCAAAGGGTACAAACTTGTAATTATAAAATGAGTAGGTTCTGGAGACCTAATTTATAGCATGGTGACTATAGTTAATACATTATATACTTAAAATTTGCTAAGCGAGTATAACAAGTATTCCCACCACAAAAAAAGGTAACTATCTGAGGTGATGCATATGTTAATTAGCTTGATTGTGGTAATCATTTCACAATGTATATGTATATCAAAACTTCGTGCTGTATACCTTGCATATATATATTTTTTATTTATCAGTTATATCTACAAGCTGAAAAAAATACACACAAATAAACAAAGCAAAACAAAACTGTAAGATAAATTTAATAGAAGCTTTGGAAATTACTGCCCTATGAGATCATCAGCAGAGGAGCGGGTCTTCCATTCTTCCTGTACAATGTCTGCTGTTGGGTCACTGCACACTGCTCTCGGGCTGGCTGCCTACTCTTTAGAAAGTCTGGGTACTTCACTCCCACCAACTGAGAAGTGTGCTTATTAAGATCCAGTTTGCTCTCAAACCTGTTTATGTCAACTGACATTGAATAATTTCAACATAAGGTGAACAAAAAGAGTGTTTTTTTAAAAATGAACATAAAGTCTAAGGCTTTGCAAAATTTTGATAAAAGCCAATTGCTTTAAAAAAAATACTGTCAAAGTAGGTTTGGGTGAGACCCCTGTAGAGGACTGGGGGAAACCATAAAAACCCAGGAGAGGCCGGGCGCAGTGGCTCACTTCTGTAATCCCAGCACTTTGGGAGGCTGAGGCAGGCGGATCACAA
Organism: Homo sapiens; assembly: GCF_000001405.40. Lineage (NCBI taxonomy): Eukaryota > Metazoa > Chordata > Mammalia > Primates > Hominidae > Homo > Homo sapiens. The sequence continues at coordinate 15,007,149 of NC_000020.11, forward strand.
GGTCAGGAGATCAAGACCATCCTGGCTAACATGGTGAAACCTCGTCTCTACTAAAAATACAAAAAATTAGCTGAGCATGGTGGCGGGTGCCTGTAGTCCCAGCTACTGGGGAGGCTGAGGCAGGAGAATGGCGTGAACCTGGGAGTTGGAGGTTGCGGTGAGCCGAGATTGCACCACTGCACTCCAGCCTGGGCGACAGAGTGAGACTCCATCTCAAAAACAAAAACAAACAAAAAAAAAACACAAAAAAGCCCAGGAGAATTCTCACACTGCCCTGTCATACATTATATACTCTCTTGTTCAATTTTAGAGATAATGGAAATTGTAATAATGCATCATGAGTGAGGTTAGTACAAGAATGAGAACTTGGAACTCTAACTGGTGGACTATGTCACTCAGGGTTCAGGTGCAGGAAACAGAAACCACTTTAGGTATTTTAAGTTAAAGGGATTTAATATAGGCAATTAGGTCCTCAGGATATAGGATTTTTAAAAAGGGCAGGAGGATGAGACTCTTTTCTGGCCTGCCAGGAATGACTCCCGGAACAAATACTCTGGAACTGGGCCACCAGGGTTGCTGCCACCTCTTTGTGATCATGACAGTGGAAAATCAGGGGGCGTCTACCTCCAACACCACATGTGCCTTTTAACACTCTCAGGGACATTGCTTCAGGAAACCCCAATAACTCTGGGGCCAGGCTTGCCCATCCAAAACAGCCAAGAGTTTCTGTCCTCCATTCATCTTCCTTGTGCAGGCCAGGGGAACCCTGATTTGCATTCAGAATCCTAACTCCAAAGAAATGTAGGATCTGGAGGGTTTTGCTGTTCATCCTCTGTAGTACAGGAAAGCACAGTAGAAGAGGTGTGGGATTGAAGCTGAGTATCAAACTCCCTATCAAATTCCCCTAGAAAAGAACTGGCTTTCTTTCTATGAAAATAAGTTGGTGAATTAACGTGCTATTAGTTCTTTATTAAAATAAAACTTTTGATATGTAGCCTATTTTACTGACCAATTATAAGATTATTTAAAATCTTATAGAATTATTAAAATGGGCAGGCTTAGTGGCTCACATCTGTAATCCCAGCACTTTAGGAGGCCAAGGCAGGAGGATTGCTGGAACCCAGGAGTTTGGGACCAGCTTAGGCAACATAGGGAGACTCTGTCTTATAGATGCTGTCTCCAAATAAGGTCACATTCTGAGCTACTGAAGGTTAGGACTTCCACATACCTTGTATTTATTTTTATTATTATTTTTGTAACATAGAGTGTTGCAGATAAGGCATTTCAGCAGGTATGTTTTGAGCACAGACTGTGTGCAACACTTTGTGTGGGATGTTCATCGGGGAGAATAAGGAAGAGGAAAGCAAAGATGACCTGATCATGGTGCAGGTTCTTGAGAAACTTAAAGTCTACTGAGAAAGATGGATGCACACGCAGATAACTGTATTACTAAGCAGAAATAATTTAAGTATGAAAGGCTCTTTGGCGCTGAGAAGGACTGTTCCCCCCTTACATAAGAGGGAGAATCAACACAAACCACAGACATGTAGTTTACGTAGTAAAATGCATGTACTTAAAGTGGATGGTATGGCATGACTGGAGCCACTTTATCTGTTCATTTATTGCTTAAAATAAACTATGTTTATTATCACCTTATTAAAGAAGTACCTATTACTTTTAAAAAGGTACTTCTTTTAAAAGACGTACCTATTACTTTGCATCATGGTTGGATGGATTTTTTTCCTTTTCTCTTTCCTTTTCTGTGGGTTTAGTGGAGGAGGAGTTGGGAAGCTTGAGTAAAACCCTTATTCTGCCAGAAAATGTAGCAGTTATATGTAATTGGCTGTCTTTACTCAGAGAAACAGGAGAACCTGTGAGGTTCAGCATGGTGGACTTTGATTAAACAATGATTATATATGAGGCAGTTGGATCCTGCTCCAAATGCTGGTTGCACAACTTCAGACAAAAGGAGGTACTACAGGAAAAAGCCAGCAAATGTACCCCATTATTGCATCCTGGTCTATTTATGATGGGTGTCCACCCAGGTCTCTGGGGACAGCCTAGGTCACACTGATCTTGGGTCTCCAAACACTCCACCAAGAGTAGTTTTAAAATATGCCCCTTAAGTTGATTCCTCCCCAAAGAAGCCTAAAACATATAGGATTCTTGGCAAACTCTGTCATCATGACATTATATAAGATTTATAAAGCCCTCCTAAAGATTGCTGTGGGATTATGGAAGCTTCTTGGGTGCCTTCTGGCCCCTCTAATCAACTTTTCACACTGTTGAGGAGATAGGGGAAGCAAACTCATCATCACTCCAGGTGTGTATCTTCTCACACTTGATCTTCTGAACTCAGAGGACAGAGATCTGATTATAAGAATTATTCTTTATTACCCAAAATTTCTATAAAGAGCATGTTTTGTTTATCTGAGCAAAACTATATCATGAGACTAATTATCCCTCTTGGGTTTTTGTTGTAATTAAGCTACACTTTTCCCCCTGATTTTTAGAAATTTAGCTTTTGAAATAGAAGATAAACTAAAGAAAACTCCTTCCCAGCTAATTTTTTTCCATAATTTTTTTCAGTCTTTGAAACACAGAGGTCTCTCCCCACCTCCCTATTTTTTTTTTTTTTTTTTTACCACTGAATACATTGTTTCGGCTTAGTTATGGATTGTTTTCTGAAAATTTATCTCCTGCCTTCCAACTAAATTTCAACATAGAAGCAAGTGCTTTTATTCTCTCTTCTTTCCCAGATATATAAAGTGTCTAGTTCTTGTGTTATTGGCAAGATTATGTTTCCTTTGTTTTCTTAACCTCAGCTTCATAAAAAAAGCTCACTTCATGCTTCTGCTCCAAGATTGGAGAGCTCAAACATTTATAACTCCAAAAACAACATGTTGCCCTACAGAAATTTACCACTTGAATTTGAGCAGTGTTGAGGGGTATGCCATGATGATAGGCAGCAATGGCAAAAGCAAAGGTAAAAAGAAGAAAAAGAGTTTTTTGAAATGTGAGCTTTGAATTATTTGTCGGACTAAATAAATAGCATTACCCTATCTTCCCTACCTTATGCAGAACCTCATTTTAGAAAATCAGCACCAGCCAAAAGTGTAATGCACCATGCCGCCACTTAGGTAGTTACACATTATTTGAAGATATTCCTTAAAATGCCTGCTAAGCCACTTTTATCTCTTCTGCTATAGCAGAGGCACAGAGCAGTAGAAAGCACCTAAATAGCTTCATGTTATTCTTTACTTGAAGAAGGAATTATAGTCCCAAGATCACTATAGCCGTGGTAGGCACTCCTAAAACAAATGTACAGTTCAGGTCATTTAATTTTATGGTTATAGATAAATGCAGCGAGATGAGAACAAATAACTTAAACAGTGATTAGCCTTAAGTCTACTTGTGTCAACACAAGATTTGAGGACAGAATGAATCTTCTATTTATTTTCTGGGCATTTCTTAAAACTATGTTTGTTCCTATTAATCCATGAAATATCCATTAGTTCACATACCCACCGTTTTTTATATTTGTAGCTCAGCAACACAAAGACAACAAAAATATAATAATAACAATAAACCAGCAAGTAAATTAACTTACTGTTGTTTGTTTTGTTTTGTTTTGAAATGAGCGTCAGTGAATCTAGTGCTATATCTGCCAATGTCTTGCTTGTATCAGGAGCTCTTAGAAAAAGTTCACACCTAAGAGCACTATGAGTTGGAAATGCCTATTTTAGATGTGTTTCTCCCATGTTTTTCCTCCAAAATCACTCAGTGAACCTGGTTTTACTTGACTTATTTTGGAGTGACATCCTCAAAGCATGCTGAGGACTGCAACTACCAAATATAAAGCTGGAAAGGAGTGATGCTGCCTGATGCTAGTGACAAGTTGTTCCTTGTGTGGCAGACAGATTCAAATGGATTAATGTTCAAGCCAAGCCCTTTCACCTCTACTTTCTCATGAGGAGTGACAGAGAAGAATGTGTGGCTTGTCCATAGACCTCCTGACTCTTCTGCCACCTTTGAGTTGACACCACTTTCTGATCTGAGACAGTTTGTCACTTAGGGTCAGTAGTTTTGCCATTCAGTGAAGTTGTACAATGGATTTCCTCTGTGGTGGGAGGAAGAGCAGGAAAGAGAGAAGGAAAGAGAGAGGAATCGGGGTGGGGTAAGAAATACAGAGAGAGAGAGAGTGAGAGAAGGAGGATCTCTTTTACTAAATGTTATCTTTGCCTTTTTAATTGGTATTTTTAGATAATAATAACTTTCCTATATTAATAGCTAAACCCTGTCCTTATTATCCATTCAGTGTGTATGATATGCTCATACCTGTGAGGCTCCGTGATGGGAAATGACATAGTACTCTTTGTTCCCCCAAGTTCTTTTTGCCACTTTTCCTGGCCATGGTCTCATCAAAGCATTTGGAAAATGTGCAGCTGTGGTCTTCCAGGAGGGGACAGATATTGTACTCATCGAGTCGGTACCTGGTGTCTCCACTCTCTCATGACTTAGCCCTTCCCCTCTCTCTCCATCCAGCCATGTGGTTTGTGTTGAATTAACTGTCCTTGCTGCAGGATGAGGCCCTAATGTGTTTAAGCTAATCACTATTTCCTATCCCTTGGGTCATGGTGTTTAGCTCAGGGTTGGTCATGTGTTTTTAGCAAGGGAGCCTCAGGGCTTTTTGTGGCCTTTCCAACTCTGGCCTCTACCTCTTGTTATGAATGAAGATGCATTGAGCGCCGTGTGCTCTTGGCACTCATGTTATGACCAGAGGACAACAGCATCAGGCAGATACAGCAGAAGTCAGAGAGGGGAGATGCAAACAAATAGGGTGTTTTGGTTGTTCCCTGTAGCCCATGCTACTGCTGGATGTTTCAGTTATATGTGATAGTAAATTCCTTTTATTAAAGGCTGTTTGATGGGTTTTTCTTATTTGTCACCCAAATGAACCCCAAAGGGTCACAAAAACCTGACTGAATTTCAAAATACTTTGTCATTAATTCTTAATTGGTGGTGGGAACTAAACAAAGAAAACACCAATTATGGCAAACCATCGTGAACAGTGAAAGTTTGACACTAACAATAATACATAAGACCTAAAAGTAAGACCACTGAAGTTTTGCATCAAATCAGCCAGATTTCTCCCTTTCTCTGAACTGAAGAAAAATAGTCTACATCATGGCTGTTTGTTTTAACTTAAAAAGTGTGAGGAAGTGAGCATCCAGCCCCAAGCTACAGTAAACAGCTCGTTCAAGCAAATTACCTAGAACAAAAGAAACACCTCTGACATAATGTGGGGGTCCAAGCCTGAAAATAATAGGGTGCTCAGCAAAGTCCCAGAACCCCTGTAACAAGAGCCCGGTAGTTCTTATAGCATTCGGAGCCAATGGGAAGGAGTACACTTTTAAAATGTGGTACAGTTGGTGCTGAAGTCTCTTTACCCTTGATTTTTCTTTTCCCTCCTGAATAGGAAAGCAGAGCTAGCTCTGTCATATTGAGCCAGTTGGTAATGGGCTCTGCCAGGCGTGGAAGAGATAAAAGCCACCACCTGCCTCACCCACGCTCCCCCTACCCCATTTCCCGGTCTCCGGTTGTCTGCACAGCTGCTGACAGCCAGTCATTGTTCCACCCCAGGGCTGCCTGGGAGCTCAGCCGTCCCAGTCTCAGAAGCACAATTGCAGTTTGAATGCAGCTCCTGGGTGGGTTTCCTGTGCACCTTGGCCATGACCCCTTGGAAGGCTGTATGCCTGCAAGTTGAGCAGAGTCTGATCATACACGGCTTAAGTACTTGCCATGTGCCAGGGCCTATGAAGAGGAGAACACAAACCAGCGTTACAGGGAGGGAAAAGGGTTTGAGCAAAAGCAAGAGAAGAAAAAGTATGTATAACAACATTTTGGGGGCATCTATTAGTTTTCTGGCTGTCCAGGGTCTACTCATCTTACTTGCTGAGTAGAACCCCTCTTTCTCCTCGAGTATTTCTCCCAGGCCTGGCCAGTGAGAGCATTGCATTCCCTCCTGGCAACTGTGATTGGGTCAGAGATGGGCAAACGACTTAGCTCAACGAAGCCCCTGAGCCTCATTGCACAGACCTAGCTTTGAGAATGAGGGAGATTCTCTTCTTTCTTTCTACTTGAGAGGAGAATTTATAAAGAGGAATAGTCAAAAGTAAGCCTGAAAGAGCATTTTGTGGCAAATATATTCTTGCTTCTTGGGCATGGTAGACACTGTGATAAGCAACTCAGAACCACCCCCTACTTTAGGAATAAAGGACTTGTTCCCCAGCAGCTGGGAGTGAGGCTGGTAGACAGTCCTCAGCTGTCAAGCCCCTTTGAGGATTGCCTCAACTGAAGAGAGCTACCGTGCGCAAGGCCATGCCACCTTTTTGGCATAATCCATATCCAGTGACTGATCAAAGTAGGGGTATAGAGGCTTGACTTTTTTGCTGCAGTTCAGGACAACTCTGGAAGGTCAACCCATCTTCAGCGTTCCTTCTAGGGCCAACTGAAACTTCCCTTGAGGTTGCATTGCAGCTCCCTCTGCCCACTCCTGCTTCTGTCCCTTCCCTTCTATGGCAGTGTATCCCAAGAGCCCTCCCTAATAAAGCTCCTGCAGGTTAACCTACCTTCCAGGGAGCCCAACCTACAACACCAAGATAAATTGCTTGTATTTTTTCCTGGCGGTGGAGCTTAGTGACTGAAATGAAGCATGATCACTCTGAGCAGAAGGATGGCAGTAAACTGAAGCATGACTTAAGAAGATGATGCAAATCATCACATTTCTCCTGCCTGTAGCTCAGGATCCAAACACCAGTGAAAGCCATGGCCATGGCCATGCACTTCTCCTTTTAGGCCATATGGCATTCAGTGTGCAGTTCACTATTCAACAAATTGACCACTTGTTTTGGTTTTATGCAGGCACAATCTGAAAATCATAGTTCTGCTGTTAACATCAAATACCTTTTAATGATGTTTGACATGAAAACCACCATATACTCTTATACTTTCCCCCTGGTTGTCTGGTGTGAAGCATCTTTTAAAGAAAATTTATGGTAGTTACCTTTATAATGGTATAACTCTTACCAAGTTTAAAATTAAAATGTTATCACAAGTGGCATTTCCCATCCCATTTCAAATGTAGAGTACGGCGAGAAGTCTCAGGAAATTAAAATATTGCCTTTAAAGCCCTCCTTTTATGGTGATGTGAAGGAAATTGCAGCACACTAGCATTTACCCAACTATCAATATTTTTTTATAGTCTAAAATATTTGCCAACATTTTCCCCACGTGAAATCTATTATATGAAATGATTAAAAACAAACATCACGTGCACTATACGTTGGAGATGCTTTTAATAACTTGGAGTCAGAGTAAATGATCACCAGGGATCAGAGTTAATACGGGTTGAAAGGATGCCCTTAAAATCATGACAGTGGCCTTGTATTAAGCTTGTGGTTTACATGCTTTTTTCTGTACTGAATCGCTAAAATAAACAGGCATTCTTCCAGTTAATTGTGTGTGAGTGTATGTGTGCATTGCATAGTCACACATTCCATATTGCTTCTGAAACATAATTTTATGTAAATGATTGTAAAAAACAGAAATCTAAGCTACCTCAGTACTGTTATATAATCCGTAACAGATTTGCCAACCCAAAAGCCTAATTCTATCGTTAAGACCTAAATTCATATATTTTATAAAATATATGATATTGATGTTGTCCATAAGCTTTTTTTGATGCGATCCCCCCTTATACAAACCCAGTTTTTATTGTACTCTTTTGTAATAATTTTGTATAATGTGGTCTCTTCAAAAGCGAGACCAGCACCTATTCGTTTTTAAGTCCTACTACATAGGACCATACGGCATGTTGCATTGCTATTTGAATCTTTTTAGAATGGATCAGGATGTCCCAAAAAATCTTAGAAGCTGTACTAATCTCAGCAGTATAAATACTATATACTTATAACACTATTATATAAATGTTTAATAATTCAAACTTCTTTTACAGTAATTTAGTTTTTGAACTTTTAATATTAATTTTTTCATTCTAGTTTTTTTGTTTTATTTAACATTTGGCTTCTTCAGAGGAACTGCAACCAAACTTTAAATTACAGATTTATTATTCAAGAGTCACAAAATTCTATGAATATAAAAGAAACTTATCTAATTGAACTTTCAAATCATAGTTTCATAAGTTTATACATAACCTTTATACATCTAAAGTTATTAATGCTTAAAACTGTACTGTGACTTTTGAGCACCCCAGAAGTCTGGTTGTTAATTTTTTTTCTACATTTTTAATCTCCTAACTATGTGTGTTTTTTTTTTTTTGGTAGTACCCCCAGCACACAATTTTCCCAGTAAGTACAAGCATGTAAAATACAATTTCCTTGCCAGTTAATGTTCCATACACTCTAATTGTGAAAGCCACTGTATTTAGTGACAAATTTAATCTTCAGTACTTGGAAGAAGGCAACATGGGTTAAGATTAAAAAAGAGGACATAATTGTTGAGTTCTAGGTATCTTCACATTTTTAAAACAAATGTTCTGGAACTGATGTTCACGAAACAGGTCAGCCCCTCACTGAACCAGTTCTGCTGTGTTGATAAATTTCTTGTTAGAACTATGGCAGGAAGCAAAGCAAAATGATTATAGAAAAACATGTGCTTTAGCAGCAAGATGGTTATTTGAGCATATAGTTTTCCTCTTGGGTGTCCTTGAATAGGCCTATGTTGAGTTGAAGGGAGCCAAGATGATAAACCAGACATAAAGAGCTCTAAGCATAGGTTTAGAAAACGGAAGCTTCTTGGAACCATTTTCTATTTGACAGAAACAAACCCTGACTCAGCCTTCTCATTTTTCCACATAAGTACACTGAATTCTCTTCCCCATCCAAGGTGTGGATCTTTCTGGAAAAACCTCTAGCTGAAGTGTTTTTACGTCTGCAAGAATTAAAGGTCACAGACTCTTGTTTCTAGACAACAAGGACAGTTCACTTTCTGGGTGTTAATGAAAATCCTTCTATCTTGAATACTTCCTGAGAATACTTAGAGTATTATAACAGTCATGAAAAGAAATGATGAAAATACAATCACATGTTATGGGTGGAGGACAGCAGGGTGCAGTGTATCACTTCTCGGTCTAGATGACACTTCAAAGTCCCTTCTTTCTTTCTAAAACTGTCCCAGGCTTCAGACTGCTGACTCTCCTTTCCTGTTCTGAGCTGCTACAGTCGATCCTGATATGGTTTGGATGTTTGTCCCCTCCAAATCTCATGTTGGAATGTGATCGCAATGTTAGAGGTAGAGCCTAGTCGGAGGAGTTTGGGACACTGGGGCAGATCCCTCAAGATGGCTTGGTACCCTCCCCACAGTAATGAGTGGGTTTTTGCTCTATTCCTTCACACAAGAGTTGGTTGTTTAAAAGAGCCTGGCACGTCCCCCCTCTCTCTCTCTTGCTTCCTCTCTTGCCATGTGTATTAGTTTGTTTTCATGCTGCTGATAAAGACATACCCAAAACTGGGAACGAAGAAAGGTTGAATTGGACTTACAGTTGCACATGACTGGGGAGGCCTCAGAATAATGGTGGGAGGCAAAACGCTTGTCTTACATGGTAGCGGCAAGGGAAAATGAGGAAGAAGCAAAAGTGGAAATCCCTGATAAACCCATCAGGTCTTGTGAGACATATTCACTACCACGAGAATAGCACAAAAAAGACCAGCCCCCATGATTCAATTATCTCCTCCTGGGTCCCTCCCACAACAAGTGGGAATTCTGGGAGATACAATTCAAGTTGAGATTCTGGTGGGGTCACAGCCAAACCATATCATGCTGCCCTTGGCCCCTCCAAATCTCATGTCCTCACATTTCAAAACCAATCATGCCTTCCCAGCAGTCCTCCAAAGTCTTAGCTCATTTCAGCATTAACCCAAAAGTCCACAGTCCAAAGTCTCATCTGAGACAAGTCAAGTCCCTTCTGCCTATGAGCCTGTAAAATCAGAAGCAAGGTAGTTACTTCCTAGATTCAATGGGGGTACAGGTATTGGGTAAATACAGTCATTCCAAACGGGAGAAATTGGCCAAAACAAAGGGGTTACAGGGCTCATGCAAGTCTGAAATCCAGCGGGGCAGTCAAATCTTAAAGCTCCAAAATGATCTCTTTTAACTCCATATCTCACATCCAGGTAATGCTGATGCAAGAGGTGGGTTCCCAAAGCCTTGGGCAGCTCCACCCCTGTGGCTTTGCAGGGTACAGCCTTCTTCCTGGCTGCTTTCACGGGCTGGCATTGAGTGTCTGTGGCTTTTCCAGGTTCACAGTGCAAGCTGTCAGTGGATCTGCCATTCTGGGGTCTGGAGGACGGTGGTCCTCTTCTCACAGCTCCACTAGGCGGTACCCCAGTAGGGACTGTGTGTTGGGGCTCCAACCCCACATTTGCCTTCTGCACTGCCCTAGCAGAGGTTCTCCATGAGGGCACCACCCCTGCAGCAAACTTCTTCCTGGGCATCCAGGCATTTCCGTACATCTTCTGAAATCTAGAAGGAGGTTCCCAAACCTCAATTCTAGACTTCTGTGCACCTGCAGGCTCAACACCACATGGAAACTGCCAAAGCTTGGGGCTTCCACCCTCTGAAGCCACAGCCCAAGCTTTATGTTGGCCCCTTTCAGCCATAGCTGGAGTAGCTGGGACACAGGGCACCAAGTCCCTAGGGTGCACACAGCATGGGGACCCTGGACCCAGTGCATGAAATCACTTTTTCCTCCTTGGCCTCTGGGCCTGTGATGGGAGGGGCTGCTGGGAAGTTCTCTGACATGGCCTGGAGACATTTTCCTCGTGGTCTTGGGAAATAATATTAGGCTCCTTACTACTTATGCAAATTTCTGCAGCCGCCTTGAATTTCTCCCCAGAAAATGGCTTTTCCTTTTCTATCGAATAGTCAGGCTGCGACTTTTCCCAAACTTTTATGCTCTGCTTCCCTTATAAAACTGAATGCATTTAATAGCACTCAAGTTACCTCTTGAATGCTTTGCTGCTTAGAAATTTCTCCCGCCAGATACCTTAAATTATCTCTCAAGTTCAAAGTTCCACAAACCTTTAGGGTAGGGGCAAAATGCCGCCAGACTCTTTGCCAAAACATAACAAGAGTCACCTTTGCTCTAGGTCCCAATAAGTTCCTCATCTCCACCTGAGATCACCTTAGCCTGAATTTTATTATCCATATTGCTCTCAGCATTTTGGGCAAAGCTATTCAACAAGTCTCTAGGAAGTTCCAAATTTTCCCACATTTTCCCATCTTCTTCTGAGCCTCCAAACTGTTCCAACCTCTGCCTGTTATCCAGTTCCAAAGATCTTTGAGTATCTTTTCAGCAGCACCCCACTGTACGGGTACCAATTTACTGGATTAGTCAGGATTCTCTTAGAGGGACAGAATTAATAGGATATATATATAGAGAGACAGAGAGAGAGAGAGAGCTCTAAGCACAGGTTTAGAATGTGTATATCCTAAAGGGCTAGGCCCGTCTCTCCTTTTCACGTTTTTCTGCCTGCTTTATATTCGCTGGAAGCTGATTAGATGGTGCACACCAGATTAAGGGTGGATCTGCCTTCCCCAGCCCACTGACTCAAATGTTCATCTCTTTTGGCAACACCCACACAGACACACCCAGGATAAATACTTTGTATCCCTCAATCCAATCAAGTTGACACTCAGTATTAACCATCACACCATGTGACATGCCTGTTCCTCCTTTGCTTTCTACCATGAGTAAAAGCTTCCAGAGGCATCCCTCGAAGCTGAGCAGATGCTGGTGTCATGCTTGTACAGCCTGCAGAATCATTGGCCAAATTTAACCTTTTTTCTTTTACCAATTACCCAGTCTCAAGTATTCTTTACAGCAACACAAAACAGACTAATACAGACGCCTTGCTAGGTTTGCTCTCCTATAAGCCATGAGGTGTAATGGGACTTTTATTCCAGTTTTCCCTTCTTCCTCTGAACACACACACACGCGCGCGCGCGCGCGGAGAGAGTTTTCTTGGAAAGAAGAAAGGAAGAAAACATTTAATTCTCATTAGGACCTAAAGCTTTACAACTACACAAAGTTATGAGCTTCTATTGTGTAAGAACGTTATATCATGTAGTCATTGAAATAACCCTTTTATAAGTCAAAAACGAAGCAAAACAAAATTTAAAACCCCAAAATGCAAAGAGGATGAGCAGTTGTTTGTAGTCCAGAAGCTGGTGGGTGGCAGGTTTGTCTAACTACAAAGCCTTTTTCCACTACACCCCTGCTGACCCACATGAGAAGCAGAGAGATGGTGACAAAAAAATAGAGATTTCTGTATTTACCAAAGCCTGGAAAAGTTGGTACCACTTATGGCCTCCTTTTCTAGACTCTTGACTAACAGACAGCTTTCCTTTTTTAATGTCCAAGGGTGGAGTTCTTTAAACCTTTTCGTTACTTCATAGTCCAGATCATACTAACTGTGTCTTCTAGAACGTAATGATACAGTTAGATGAGGGCATATTACTAATAAAAGAAAAAAATGAAGGGGAGAAGAAGAAAAACAGTTAGAGACCATTTGATTATTCTTGAATAGGATTGACAAACACTTTCTGTAAAGGGCCAAGAATAAGTATTTTAGTTTTTGTGTACCAAGAGGTAAAATTGAGGATATTGTGTAGGTACTGATATAGAAAGAGAGAAAGCAAATTTTTACGAACATTTTATTGATGAAATTAAACATAATAATAATTGAATACTTAAAATATTAACTAGTAAATAAGAAGAAAATTTATTCTAGTAATGAAAAGGATGAAATCATTTTTGGGTGGGTAACATTTTGCTTAATTGTTGTTCAAAATTAGTTTTCCCTGTCATCAAGTTGATCATAAATACGTATTGATAAAAAAGCATTCTTAGCATCTGGGTTATACTGAAAGAGATGGGAGGCTGGATTTGACCTGCAGGCTATAGTTTGCCTACTTCTGCTGCAAAATCTCCTGTGGATATTCACATCTCATGGAATCAAGGAGAAGCCACTACTGTGTTCTCTTGATTTCCCAAGTCCTCACCTGAAAGGTCATCTTAAGGAAGGACTTATCAAAATTTTTTCCTGGGATACTTCTATCTATACTTTAAGAATTATAGATAAATGGCTTGAGACAATAGGAGAGAGGAGTTAGAAGTTGTCTCAGTGAAATTTCTATAAGATCTATCTGAAAAAATTTATATGAGTTTTGAAAATTACTCTATGTTGTGATCATATTTGTTTCCTGAAGCCTGTGTCTTAAAACCAAAGTCAAAAGAAGATTCACCATATTGCTAAGTGAAGGAAGCCAATTTTAAAAGGCTACATATTGTCTGATACCAACTGCAGTCATGAGCCACTTAATAATAGAGATATGTCCTGAGAAATGCATTGTTAGGCAATGTCGTCATCATGTGAACATCGTAGAGTGATTTATGCAAACCTACATGGTATAGCCTACTACACACCTAGGCTATACTGGTATAGTCTATTGCTCCTAGGCTACAAACTTGTACATGTTACTGTACTGAGTAGTGTAGGCACATACAACACAATGTTAACGATTTGTGTATCTAAACATGTGTAAACCTAGAAAACATCCAGCAAAAATACAGTATTATAATCTTATAAGACACCATTGTCATATATGTAGTCTGATGTTGACGGAAGTGGTGTAATGTGGCGCATGACTCTATCTGACACTCTGGAAAAGGGAAAACTATAGGAGACTATATACACATATATATGTATACATATGTATACATATATATGTAATGTGTGTATACATATACACATGTGTGTATATGTATATGCATACACATGTGTATATGTATACACATGTGCATATACGTATATGCATACACATGTGCATATGTATACACATGTGTGTATGTGTATACACGTGTATGTGTATACACGTGTATGTGTATACACGTGTGTATACACATACGTGTGTGTATACACACACCTGTGTGTATGTATACACATACAGGTGTGCGTATACACACACCTGTGTGTATGTATACACATACAGGTGTGCGTATACACACACCTGTGTGTATGTATACACACACCTGTGTGTGTGTATACGCACACCTGTGTGTGTGTATATGCACATATACATATACATATACATACACGTGTGTGTATGTATACACACAGATGTATACACATGTGTGTATGCATACGCAGTCTTCTGTATATATACATATATGTGTATATGTATATGCATATAGTCTTCTATATATACACAGATACGTATATATGTATATACATATATAGGAGACTATATATATGCACACATATATGTATACATATATGCCTATATGTGTGTATATATATACATATGTATATATATGTGTATTTTTCTCATGGAATGCTTCACAAGTTTCCATGTCATCCATGCACAGGGGCCATGCTAATATTCTCTGTATCATTCCAATTTTAGTATATGTGTTGCCAAAGCAAGCACAAGAGACAATAAAAATACCAGAAGTTGCCAGGCATTGGGCAGGGAAAGAGATGGCTGGGTGGAACTAATAGTAGTGAACTATTCTGTATGATACTGTAATGGTGGATACATGTCATTATGCTTTTGACAAAACTCATAGAGCTATGTAACATGAAGAGTGAACCCTAACATAAACTATGGACTTTAGTTAATAATAATATATCAATACTGGTTCAGTAACAAATGTACCACACCAATGCAAGATGCTAATAATACAGGAAACTGAGAAAGAGGGGAGAGGAGTGTATGGGAACTCTCTGTACTTTCAGCTCAATTCTTCTGTAAGCCAAAAACTGCTCAAAAAAATCTATCAATTAAAAAAATACATACATTTATGTGCCTATACATCTACTACTGTGCATGCAAACAAGCAAAGTTAGCAGGAATAACTGTTGCATTATGTAATCCTTTCTAATATTTTTTGGTGTCTATTTTATTTATTAGTAAAGAATTACCTTGAATATGGTGAGTGTTAGCAATTATGAAGCTATTATTATTTGTTGCTGTATACAACATTGGTTGTATCCCTATGTTACACAAACATGACAGATATTTTAGCTGATTAACCTATAATTGCAGGGTTCCTACCAATGTAGGCAACTGCACTTTAAATACCAATTCACGGTCTGAAGTATTTAGGATCTAATGGCAGAAAAGCTCCATTTTCTGGCTTTCTTTTCATTGTTCCCAGTAATATTATTTGATGTTTTTATTGGTGGTAGACTTTGATTTTGTATCATTAAAGTTGGATAGAACATATTTTATGGAATTTTACTTGAAAGGGACTATTAGAAGCAGAATAGTCTGTACAATTTATGAACATGACTTAGAACACTTGTATTCATGTGACAGTCTCATTCCCATTTAATCTTTAAATCAGACATTCACAACAGAATTTTAGAGCATTCTTGCACACACTGGTGATATATTCTAAAGAAGACAAGATGACCTGGTTGTCCACAATGACGAGTAAGCAGCAATTAACTCTTCTCATTACATAGCTTTATGAGTTTTGCCAAATGCATAATGACATGTATCCACCATTACAGTATCATACAGAATAGTCCACTGCTACAAAAATGCCATGTGCTCCACCTAGCCATCTCTTCCTCTGCCCAACGCCTGTCAACTTCTGATATTTATATGGTCTCCAGTGCTTGCTTTGGCAACACATATACTAAAATTGGAACGATACAGAGAATATTAGCATGTCCCCTGTGCAGGGATGACATGGAAATTTGTGAAGCATTCCATAAAAAATTATATATATATATGCATATATGTATATATTCTCTGTAGTTTTTTCTTTTCCAGAGTGTCATATAGAGTCATGCACCACAATTCTATACCCATGTTGCAGTTACTTTTACAAGACCTTGGAGGATGTGTACTGACCACATGCCCAGATCAGGCTTCAGTTCCCTCAGGTACATTCCAGTCTCATGATGCCATCATTTGCTAGAAAGTGGCACAGAGTATTAAGAAGGCAGCTCTAGAAGAAAAAGCCTTGGGCCAGAATCCCAAGAAACACTTAGAGCCTCTATAACTGGAAATATAAGACCATTCAAATACTTTTGAGTTTTAAATGGGCATTTATATCTTCAGAAAACTCTGAGAGGCTTACTTGGGCCACCATTCATAGATTCCCCCTATGGAGAAGGGTTAGGAGCTACATATACTCCAGCCCTCACTCTTGGCTCTTAAATATGTCTTCCCAGAGAGGGCATGCTTTCCTAATCACATAGAAGCAGCACGGGCTAGGCTGGCATCACCCCCTGTTGATGACCCAAGGTATTAGTCTGTTCTCACACTGCTAATAAAGACATACTCAAGACTGGGCAATTTATAATGGACTCACAGTTCCACATGGCTGAGGAGGCCTCACGATCATGGCAGAGGGCAAAAGAGAAGCAAAGGCATGTCTTACATGGCGGCAGGCAAGAGGGTGTGTGCAGGAGAATTCCCCTTTAGAAAACCATCAGATCTCGTGAAACTTATTCACTATCAAGAAAACAGCATGGGAAAGACCTGTCCCCATGATTCAATTACTTCCCATAGATTCGCTCCTATGACGTGGGAATTCTGGGGGCTGCAATTCAAGATGAGATTTGGGTGGGAACACAGCCAAACCGTATCACCCAAGGAACACATCAGTGATCACTTCTCACACATTTTCACTGGAGCACACAGGCTGAACTCCATGAACTGTGGTGTCTTCATTGGTCAAATGGGGATAAAGGTACTACCACCTTGGAAGCCTCCTGTGAGGATTAACTGATTTAACATGTGAGTGTTCAATAAATATAAGCAGGTCCTATCCTACTCATAGCCTAGAATTTTCACAATGATTAAAGAAGCGTGTAAACTGGACCTCATAAGTCCTCAATAGTGGATACCTTTATTGCTGATAAAATTTAATTAGATTTATCTCTCCCACCCTACATCATTCTGGTCCAAAGAGCAGGAACTCTGTAGAACTAAGTTTAGTACCAAAAGAGATTTATTGAAGGTATGCCATATTCTAGGCATTAAAAAATACTACTATTCATTACTTAATCCTTAAAATTTCTCTTTGAGGTTACTATTTTATAGTCTCCATCCAGATGAGCGAATTAAGCAGCTTTAAAATCATGAATTTTAACAGGAAGGACAAGAAGGAAGAGGGAGAAGAAGAAAAAGAGGAGGAAGAAGAGGAAGGGGAAGAAGAATGAAATTAATATGTATTCTTAGAGTAACCTGTTAATCTAAATTAATTTGGTTTATTTGAGTATATACCTAATTTTCGAGTGATTTGTAGGGTTTCAAATGTGTTAGCAAATTAGTAGATATTTAATATAAATATCATAATAAAAAACATTTGTTAAAACATATGGGAATTTTTAAGTGATACTCTATATTGCATTTTATATTAATATTATATTTTTAAAATAAATTTGTAATGTTCAAAAACATGTTTTTCTCTAAACAAACGAAATACAAAGTTAACTTCTTTATAATTCTATACCTATCCTGTGGTTACTATAGATTACCACTGACACAAAACATTTTTTCCATACTACTATTTAATACAAGAATTGGAACAGACTATTGATCTAGTTTTAACAGATTTAGTGTTGTAGGTATTTTGTTGAAAAATGATTTCCATCGATCAAGAGATTGCTTTTCCCTCAAGGGAAATGAGCCCCTGTCTAAGGTACCAACCTCCTCATAAATAGAATTTGTAGGGAGTTCTTATTTCCCCCCACGAGGATGGGATACAGGTTTAAATCACGATTCTTTATCAAAAGAAGATTTCTCACCATTAGTTAAACACAAAACACTCAGAATATGATATCCTGAGTTTTCAAGTGTGGTGACTTTCCAATGTTGTTTTTTTTGTTTGTTTACACACTTAGGAATTTTAAGAAAAATATAACTACATGAAGACTATTTTTTCACAGTGGGGGTATTATTTTCACAATAAAAATTATCCATATTATTCCATCTTAGAAAATTTGAGAATTATATTTTATAATTTTTATTGTATATCAGTTTAAAGATTCTTGTTAATGGGGGAGAGAGAGGGGGTTGTGTGTGTATGTTCAATGAATCAGTACAAGCTTCCGATATTATCAGTCTAAGTCTTGGGTGGTGTCTACCTCCTTGCTTCAGAAGAGGCAGCTCTGATGGTCTCCTCAAGTTCCTTGGCCAGACCCGGAAGCCTGGGCAGTGTCACCTTCCTAAATAGGTCTGTTCTCAAGAATTAACTGCTGCTTAGTGTGACAAATAGGAAAATGAAACAAAGGGGGTGGGGGAGGGCACAGATGAAAATTCTCTACCCCTCTACCTACTCCTTTCACCATCCTCAGGGGCTCCTGATACACCAGCCAATAGATCTACACTATCATTTCTGATAGTTTTAATAACCCAAATGGGCTGAATTATCTATTCCAAAGATCTGTACAGTAGGGTTTCTCAGTTTCTGCACTGTGGACATTTTGGGCTGGATGATTCTTTGGTCTGGAGTAGGGAGGGGCTGGGGTGCTGTCCTGTGCATTGTGGGATGTTTAGCGGTATCCCTGGCCTCTACCCATCAGATGCCATTGGCACCTCCCAACCAAAACTGTGCCCAGATCTTGTCAAATGTCCTCCTGGGGTAGAGGAAAAAATTAATCCCCCTCAACCCATTGAGAGCCACTCCATATATGGTAATGCATTAGTGAGAGGCAGAAAAAGGGAAAGCCTGGATCATGAAGGTAAATCCTGTGGTGCAACTGTCTAGTGGGATGCATTTGCATGCTCTGTTTCTATGTTCCTCTGTTATAAGGAATTAAGCCTTACAAGAAGAGTATGCAACTCAAATATTAGTACCTAGCTGACAAAGAATTTATAACTCTGAAGTTACACTGTGGTAGACTAGTATTTCCCAGTCTTCAGGGGGGAACATTAATTAGTTCTCTGAAAACAAAAGCTTCCCTGGTCTCTTTCCTCTGAATGTACACGAACATATTAAAGGTCCTTGAGTATCCAGTGGTAAATAAAAGGCATTTACCATTGTTTAAGGTTAAACAAAGTTCTTTAAGGAAACAAGATTCTTTTCTAATACCCATTCAAACCCTTTTGTTTCCAACAATTTGTAAAGTTGATGAATACCATATAAACCATTCCCTCAAAATGGAAGGATTTCTAGGTATTCTCTTATCATAGATTTCCACACTAATTTAAAATATTTACACTATCATCTTGTTACTAGAGTCAGATTTAATTGGGACTCAGGGTTTTACTTGAGAATAATGTTTTGTGTTTGTAAATGATATAATAATATATATAAATATATTTTTTATTTATTTATTTTTACTATCGGTTCCCATTCAATAGCCATGAGTAGACTTATGGGCTTAGTTAACTCATATGACTCTTAATCAATGGATCAATTGCCTGCATCAAAATGTGCTTCTGAGTATTTACTTATTTATGTATGTATTTTATTATTATTATCATTTCTAAATACACCCAGGGAACTCTGCGGACTGCTGAAGGAGCTTTGGAGATATCAATAAAAGAAAATGATCTAGCACAATTGCATGGGCCTGACCAATAAGAACATGCCAATACGCATTCAGAGCCAAGCTCATCAGCTTGCTAGGGCACTCAGTCTGGAGGCAGTCTGGCCTACACAGAGGCTGATGTCTTAGTGGAAATCAGGCTCAGAGTCAAGTGCAATGCAAAGAGCCAGGGAGAATGTTCTCCTGCAAGTTCATCTTTACATGATAATAACAAGACTTAATTAAAAATCACTGGTATTTTCTCTATTTGTTTCCTAGGCAGAAAGCTCAAATACCAGACTGTCTGGTTCAAAATTGAACACCTGGCAACCCTAATGATTTGGTTTACACAGTGATTTATGTTGTGTCACAGATTCAGAAATGTGGTGTCAGTGGGGGTAGGAGTGGGGGAACACAGACACATTCAGGAGAAAAAGACCTTTACTTTCATCTTTATATGTTTAATTGGGTTAAAAAATGTTTCTCAGGAAAAGGAAATGTTTTCATCTATTATTCCATTTTATTATAGGCATGTCCATCTCTTTGTCCTATCATGTTTCCGCTTTTTGCTTTCAGTGCTAATTTCCATAGCTTTAACAGACTCTGATGTCTATCAGATTTGATTTTGGTGTTCCTGACATAGGGCTCTGTCCTAAGTCTGTGAAACAGCTACCATGTTTCAATCACTGTGGCGATATGAGTGTGTGGTCTGGAGCCAAATGGCTGTTTGAATTACAGCTCTACTATTTCTCAGCTGTGTAGATGAGACACTTAATCTATTTTAGCCTTAATTTACTCAGTCATAAAATGTGGTGGTAGTGATGGTGGTGGTGGTGGGGGGAAATAATATCTATTTGTGAAAAAAGTTTAGCCTTGGCACAGTGGCTCATGCCTGTAATCCCAGCACTTTTGGAGGCCAAGCCGGGAGGATTGCTGGAGCCCAGGAGTTCAATACCAGCCTGGGCAAGAGTAGGACTCTCTAATTAAAAAAAAAAAAAAAAATGAAAAAAAATTTCTTATGAGAGTGAATGTTCTCACCCCTAATATGTGTGGGTTTCAGGATAAGAGTATAAATGGAGCCTGAATACTCTATCTAAATATCTCAAAATTATGAATTCCCCCAACAAGTTGCTGAATAAACTGTGTGTTGTCTGCCTGCCTTGACAAACATACCTTCAACATTTAAAGGTCTGGGTTTAAATGTAGAATTCTGAGGCTCCTCAGTGTCCCATGCTGGAATGTGGTGGCCTTGGGAAAATGGACCTTAGCTTTAGGCCTGGCCCTCCTCTCTTCCCAAGCTCTTCTTCACACTGCAAGGGCCTCCCAGATGATGCATGAAGATCCTGGCCCATATATTCAGCTACATCCACATCCCTAGCAAAAGGGAGGCTAAGGCCATTCCTCAGGCCTAGGGCACTGCCCCTGGAGGGAAGACCAGTGGAAGATGCCTGGAAAGGCCCTGGAAGTAGCTTCAAGGCCATTTCGATAGAGAATTCTGGGGGCCTGAAAACCTAGAGCCAAGGGGTGGACCTGGGCTCAGGATAGGCAAGTCCCCTTGATCCAAGGTATCACTGTAGGAGGAAGGGCAGTCAGAGGAGGGCCAGAGCTGAGCCTTCTAATGCACAGGGCCCAGAGTGGAGTGAGGAACAATGCTGGGATTAGACACCCAAATCTACTGAATTAGCGAAGTCCAAGCAAAGTACTGCAAACAAGGTCTGGCATATCACAAGCAACTAATAAGTGTTACTTTTATTATTAAGCACCTACTGGATGTCACCTTTTAGCACTGAGGATGTAACAATGAATAGAAAGTGATCACTGCTCTGGGATCTGTCCCTCTAATATTAGGCTTCTGCACCAACAGTTTGGGCTACCTGCTGTGACAGGGATATGGAAGTTTGTTAGGTGGAGAATAAATGGAAACCCCTACCTCCCTGGAAGGTCAAGGGAAGGTCTTACAGAGGAAGCCATGGCTGAGCTGAGATGTGAAGGGTGAATATGAGTTTAGCCATCAGATGACTGGTAAAGGTGGACAGTCCAGTCAAAGACAACAACTTACTGGATACATGGAGGTCAGAAAGAGCATGGCATTTAGAATAACTAGAAAAAAAAATGTTTGTTTTGTGCAGAGGCAGGGTACTTAGGAGGATGGCAAGTAATGAGGTTGGAGAAATGGGCAAGGAAGAACAAGATCGTGAATGGTGAGAGTCATTTCCTTAGGGAGCTACGGATGTCACAGTGACCTTCCACATAATTCAGCATATCTGCTGCAGAGGTAGCCAAGAAACCAAGATTAGGACTTCAGCTGGACAATGTTGGCCTGCTGGCTCACAGGGCATGGGGAGCAAGTTCACATAAGGCAGTAGGGAAGAGGAGGAAAACTGCACACATCCAGGGAGATTTTAGTGCCAGAATTCCGGAAGGCTTTCTTCCAGAAGGCCCTCAACCTAACTGCCACGCCTCCTCTCCCACTTTTTTATTTAGCTACCTCTTATAGACTCATCCTTCAGAACTTAGATGAAGCATTACACTTCCTCCAGGAATCCCTTCCTAAATTCTCATTCTAATTCAGAAGACATTCTTTTGTATTTCTGCAGTGTCTCAAAAAGTAGATTGCACGAGACTTATTAATTCATTGGTCAGTTTTCCTAGAAGAGTGGTTTTTAAACTTTATCATGAATTCTCCAATGACTTGGAGGGCTTGTTGAAACACAGATTTCTGAGGCCTATCCACAGACTTTCTGATTCAGAAGGACTTAGAATTTTCATATCTAACAACTTTTCCGATGAGGCTGATACTGCTAGTTTAGGGACCACACTTTGAGGACCACTGAGGAAAGAGTTTCACAAGTCAGAGATTTACAGTGGAGGTACCAAGCTTTTCTCAAGTTAGTTTATCAGAAGCACAAACCATCACCCTCTACCAATCATTATAATGAAGACCACTTCATTTCAGTTTATGTACAAAAACTCATCTCCACAGTTATGCCAAGTGTATGAAGACAAAGAAACAATATCAGGAAAAGAGGTTTATTTGATTTTGAATCCTTAGCCCCTTACACAGTGCCTGAAACATATAAGAGGCAGTGAATAAATGCTTATTGAGTGATTACATAAAGAGATGAATGGGAGGCTGAGGTGAGCAGATTACGAGGTCAGGATATCCAGACCATCCTGGCCAACATAGTGAAATCCCAACTCTACTAAAAATACAAAAATTAGCTGGGTGTGATGGTGCCTGCCTGTAAACCCAGCTACCCAGGAGGCTGAGGCACGAGAGTTGCTTGAACCCAGGAGGCGGAGGTTGCAGTGAGCACCACTGCACTCCAGCCTGGTGACAGAGCAAGACTCCGTCTCCAAAAAAAAAAAAAAAAAAACCTGTTCATATATCTTGGACATTTCAATTTCAGTGTACTCCAGCAGATTTCTGACTGACCACATCTGCATCTCCATGACTGAGGGTTTTCTAGAACTGTGGAAGGTCCCTTTGCACAAGGCAGGCTGAATGTGCTAGGGAATTAATGTTCTCTAAAGCAGTCCTCAGCCTGGGAAATATGGTGAGACTCTGTCTCTACACAAAAATTTTTAAAAATTAGCTGGGCATAGTGGTGCATGCCTATAGTCCCAGGTATTCGGAAGATCACTTGAGCTCAGGAGTTTGAGTTGGAGGCTTTGGTGAGCTACTTTTGGGAGTTGGAGAATAACTACTCCTGCTTAATTGCCCTTCGGTAAAATTTTGAGGCATGTTCTACACAATGTCCCAGAAATGCACAGCAGCATTGAGCTCTAGTTGCCCCAGCAGTCACCTGCCCAGCTGCATACTATTTTATTGGCATCTTTCTCTCACTACTTGTGCTCAACATCTTTGCTCAGGGCATGTTTCCAAAGGCATCCAAACTGAAAAGGAGGACAAGGAGCTAAGGATAAAATATAGATAGATAGACAGATAGATAGATAGATAGATAGTCTAGGGAGTATGGCAGAGATTCCAGATAATGCAAATTCAGATGCACCTGTCAAAGTGACAAAAAGAAGATTACAGGCAAAAGTAGCAGCAGCAAAACTGGAGCTGGCTGTGAGTCCCCCATCCTGAGTCCTGCAGTTCATGATCTTCATCCCAGATCCCAGTGTCACAGGATCTCTAGGGTGTTGCTTTTCCAGCCGGAAACCTCTGAGGCTGGTAGCGCCTTTGCCCGAATTTTGCTTGGGCCTGCTGGGCTTATTCTGCCTACTCGGCCCATCAGGGTGCACTTGGCTCGCGCTACCAGCCCAGATCCCACACCTGCCAAGGGTGAGCTAGGCACGGAGCAGTGAAGGGTATGTGAGGGAGCTCAGGGTCTGGCCACTGTGCACAGCCAGGCTGTGGTGGGGCGGGCAGCACCAGGTGCCTGCACAGGCGCCAGCTCTATGCAAGGCTCCAGCTGAACCAGGCATACTGCAAATGGCTTCCGCTGTGGACGTCAGGGAACGTGGTGGCACCCCGAAGCTTGGAGACGTCAGGAACCTCAGAGACCCAAAGAGGGTGTTACAGCCCTAACTCGAGGAGGCCCTAGGTCTGAGCTCCCCAAAGGGCTGCAGCTCTTCTCTCCTTCCCGTCGCTGGCAATGTGGCAAGCGAGGGGTTGTGTTTCAGCCCTGTTTGTGTTACAACTCTTTCAGTCCTGCCATCTGGTGGGTCTGAGTTCTTGTCTGGCATCCAGGAAGAATGAGGTATGTGGACAACTGGAAGGTGAGCAAAATGGAGAGGCTCTTCCTTGAGTGACAGAACAGCTCTCAGGAAACCCATAGTGGGTAGCACCTTTCCTCAGGCAGGTCGTCCTGATAAGCGGCTAGCGTTCAGCAGAGAGGGGACCCATACTGGGTAGCTCCTTTCCACAGGCAGGCCATCCCGACTAAGTGGAGGAGACCTGAAATGGATAGTTGATTCCCGCAGCTGTTAGTACCGTCTGTGTTAATCTGGCAGAGTTAGCGGTGTTTTTATGGGCTCAGAAGGGAGGAAGTGCATGCTGATTGGTCCATGGGTAGCCATAGGCGGGCCTGGAGGGAGCACCATAAATTCTCTCTGGGCCATGGACTCCACCCAGAAATGGCAGCCTGGCTCCCAGGCTTCAGGCTGTCCCTGGCTTGAAGGTGGGGTTTCACCAGGGACTCGCGCCTTTCTCCCCAGGACCCTTTCTGCCTCCCGCCATCAGCATGCCATCCAGGGCACCCAGGCTGTTCGTGCCCAGGCCCGCACCGAGCTGACCGCCCCCGCTGGCCTCCCTCCCACACTCGTGAGTACCCAAAGTCCGGAGGGGTTGAGGCGTCAGGGGGCTGTCATGTCAGCGCTGCCTCAAGGGTGCACACACGCGGCCAGGTGGCAGGAGTGCCTGGGCTTAGCCACAACTTTGCTCTGAAATCAGAGTGGGCACTGGGAGTGAGGAGAGGCCGGAGGGCGGGAGCAGGCACTTCTAGCCTGCAGCGACAGGTGGGCTTCCCAGGCCCCCAGGAGTACAGGGATTCCTGGGTCCGGAGCTGTGGCTGGGCGACTGCAGCTCCACCTGGGAACTCAGGGCTCCCGCCCCGCCAACTTGGTAGGGAGTGGGCCTCTGGCCTGCTCCTGGCCCCCGTCGGCTCCGCACGCTGCCCTGGCGCGCCTACCCCTCTGCACCTGGCGTCGTCTTTGCAGCGGACGCTCCAGATGGGCCACTGCTGCCATTACCAGGTGGCTGCAGCTGGAGGTAATTCTGCAGGCCGATTGCCCAACAGAGTAGGATGGGGGATTCACGGAGCTGAGAGCCAAGACATCACTTTGAGACTCAAATCCACACTTCACCCTGAACTATCCAGGACACTCAGAGCTGCCGACATTTGCTCAATAATTGGTCAATTTTTGACCGTCACTCTAACCGGAAATGCACATTTAAAAACTGTACCTTCAGCAGCTGCTGTGGAAAGCAGTTTGACAGATCCTCAAAAAGTTAAACAAAGAATTGCTACATGATCTACCAATTTCACTTTTTGGCATATACCTAAAAGAATTTAAAACAGGGACCCAAATAGATACTTGTACACCAATGTTCATAGCAGCATTATTCACTATAGCCAAAAGGTGGAAACACCCCAAATGGCCATCAACAGATGAATGGATAAGCGAAATGTAGTATATCCATAAGACAGAACATCATTCAGTTTAAAAAGGAATGGAATTCTGTTATATGCCATGGATGAACCTTGAAAACATTATGCTAAGTGCAATAACCCAGACACAAAAGGGCAAATGTTGTATGATTCCACTTATACGAGGTAACCAGAATAGGCAAATTCATAGAGACAAAAAGTAGATTACGGGTTTCCAGGAGCTGGGACAGGGGAGGATGGGGCGTTATTGTTTAATAGGTACAGAGTTTCAGTACGGGGGATGAAAATGTTCTGGAAATGGATAGTGGTGATGGTTGCACAAAACCGTGGATGTAATTAACACCACTGAATGGTATGCTTAAAAATGGCTACAGTGATAAATTACATTATGTATATTTTACCACAATTAAAAATGCATGTCTTCATACTAAAACAGGTATCTTAAAATGTTTACCTCTGCTGCCAACGATGGGGAATGAAAAATCAGTCTCTTGCTATCCTTTCCCGTGGTGAGCTTTCAGCTGCCACACTTTCTCATTCTCTTCCCTCAAGCTGGGCCAGATCACATGGGCAGGCAGAGGAAGGAAGACTTGATAAAAGGTGTAATTTTGTCCTGCTGCTGCTTGTCGCAGTATATGCTTTGTCCATTTTATCTGCTTATGACCCAGTTATTTGCTTTTTCTCTTTATACACTTGAGGTAACCTTGGAAATGGGCTCTAAAATCTGAACTGAAATGAAATGGTCTTCATGTACCCCCAGTGGTGTGATGGTTTGTGCTTCTAATAAAATAATTTAAGCTAAGCTAAGCGTGCATCCACTATAACTCTCTAACTTGTGAAATCTGTAGCTTCAGAATCATCATTCATCATTTTTGTCTTCCAAGACACTAATGGAAATTAAAATAAACAAACCTGTCCATGTTAGAAAGAGAAAAGATCCTCTACAGTGACAAGTTTCACACAAATTGCAATATGCATAAAATATCCACCAGGTTTTAAAACAGGTCATCCATTAAGGGTTCAACAGACACAAGGGAGTATTGCAGTTAAAAGGTGGGTAGGGTGTTGTTTAACCAACGTTTTATTAATGAATGAGAGTTCAGACGGCAAATGATAGTCTAACAACATCAGTGTATATTTGTGAAGATTAAATAAGACTCATGTTTCCCCCGTTTGGAGGTTTGCAAACGAAATCTGGCACAAAATATACAGGAAGATAAACTCGAGAGGAACGTAGCCTGTCACAGTGATTGATGGGGCTGCTTTTCACCCAACAGTGTTTGAAAATGTAGATATCCTTAAATAAATGACGCCAAGTGAGCCATGCCAGCCTAGGGAATTAAGAAGACATTATTGCATTTTGCAGAAACAACATAAAGCACTGCTACCAAATTTGATGGTTGGAATTCTATATACTTTCCATGACACCTCACGATGTATATGCTGCACAAGAGTGTATGGTATCATTTTTAGTAATGAGGTTACCAAGGTGTTCCAAGGTGAGGCAAATAACTTTCTCTGCTGTGTTCCTGGAGGTGAATTTTAAGACTGCAAAATCAGCAGTATCATTT
The DNA here is from genome assembly GCF_000001405.40 of Homo sapiens. NCBI lineage: Eukaryota > Metazoa > Chordata > Mammalia > Primates > Hominidae > Homo > Homo sapiens. The sequence continues at coordinate 15,034,413 of NC_000020.11, forward strand.
TCTGGAACACTTTAGGAATTCACCTCCACAACTTTCCTTTCCCCCAGCCCCCTCAGTTTAGGGTACTTTGAAGAGGGACTCAACATATAGTTGCCAAAATTGGGGGTGAGGTGAGGGGATTTATAATAGAAAGTACAAAGTTTAGAAGTGATTTATTAGCAAGAGAGAAAAGTATTCTCAAATGGATGTAAATTGTGAAGCATTTTTTTGGTCAAAATCAGCAAGTTATAGCATTCAATTTGTTTGCCCATGATATATTTTGAGTTAAAAAAATAAATACTCATAGGCACATAATTAATGAAAAGAGCATAGTATTCTGCATGGTATTTTATCACCTGTTTCTTTCACTTAACAGGAATTAGTAATATACTTTGATGCTAACAAAACATTTTTATAATATATTTAGTAGTTGAAAACAATGCTCTGTCGTCAATCTACTTTAATTCATTGTTGGACATTTAACCTGGCCCTCCCATTTATACAAATAGCACTACTGAGACCATCATTAGAGCCAGATCTTGTTTTATATCTTTAATTGTTTAATTAGAGCAAATGTCTAGAAGTAGAATTGCTGGATTCATGTGTCAGTAAAAATTTTAGGTCTTTTGATATGCATTCATGCTTATATCAGCAGGATTCAAGAAGCCCATTTTCTCACTCTTTTACCACCACTGAATATTATTTAAAAAGTGGTACCAAGGCAGGGTGTCTTGGCTCAAACTTGTAATCCAAGCACTTTGGGAGGCTGAGGCTGGAGGATTGCTTAAGCCCAGGAGTTCCAGACCAGCCTGGGCAACATAGTGAGTCCCCATGTCTACAAAAAGTAATAAATGAATAAATAAATAACCGGATGTGGTGGCATGCACCAGTAGTCCTAGCTACTCAGGAGGTTGAGGTGGGAAGATCACTTTTGCCTGGGAGGTCAAGGTTGCAGTGAGCCTTGATCACAACACTGCACTGAAGCCTGGGCAACAGAGTGAGACCTTGTCTCCAAAAAAATAAGTAAAATAAAATAAAATAATAAAATGTAGGTAAAAAATTGTAGTCAAATTTGGGTATGCAAGAAATATTTTTACTTCTTTATTTTCTTTAAGTGAAATTTGATCTTATCTCAAGCCAGCAACTCACCCTTTCCCCACCCATCTGCACTGTCAGGAAAAGCAATCAGTGCCATTCTTTATGGAACCTCCTGTCCCTTGCTATGGTCACTGAGGCTCCTACTTGATACCTAGAAAATGGGCAAAGATTTATTACATCATGGAGGCTGCTGTGTCAGACCTCACAGCCCCAGGAAGATGTGGGCAGTTCATTCCAACGGACAACAGGATCTTTAACTAGACAGAGGGACCCTGTTCTTTGTTTTTCTCTCCCCAACTTGGGGCCTACCAGGAAATCCTAGGGACCTTCATCCTCTTCTCCTTTCCTAGCCATGGGTATTTTCCTCTCTGGCACTGCCAGCCCTGCTCCCCCTTTTTTTTTCCTAGTGTCATTTCTTTTAGGAGATCTGGTGTCAGTGAAAACAAAAGCCAGGCATGCCAGCTGTCTGTAGGCAACATCCAAGTCCAAGGGAAGGGGAATGGGGGGAGGATGGTCTGCCTACTTGAAACAGAGGAGCCAGAAATGAAGGGAAATAAAGCACAAATAAATACTTCAATTAAGTATTTTGACCTATGTGTATGAATTTGTCTGTGTATTTATAGTCAATTTATCAGTCTCTCTAGTTAGTTCTAATAGATTTCTTTTTCATTAGAACTTGCTTCTCAAAAATTATCACATTAATACTCTTTTTTCGTGTTTAAATGCAATCCATCTTCCTGGATTGGTGCTATCTCTGGAAAGAACACTTGTAGAACTTGGATGATAATGCTTTTATATGACCAGTCGATAATCCATAATTGCAGTACATTACGATGACCATCTATGTCCCTTTTGTCTTCACTGGTGGTTCTCAAAGTGTAGTTCCCAGATCAGTATAATCAGCATCACCTGGGAACTTGTTAGACAAATTATTGGTCACAACTCCAGACCTACTGACTCAGAAACTCTGGTATCCCCCTTCCCCCCACCAATCAGTAGTTTAACAAGCCCTTCAGCTGATTTCAGTACATACTAAAGTTTGAGGACTGCTGCTCTACATCATCATCAATCATAATCACGCACTCATCTTGCTCATGGGTACTTTAGGGTTTCCAAACCCTTTAGATGATTCCAAATCACCACCGTGATTTTTAGGGGTAAGGTTAATGCAACAATACACTAAAGTCAGTGTTTAACTGCACAAAAACTCACCATCATCTTTCTATACCCAAAGTTGTGTCTTTAGAAAACCATTTCTTTAATTGGCAGGCAACTCCAGAATTGATCATGTAGGAAAGCAAAATTCATTAGCACGAACTGTACAAAAGTTTGCACATCAAAAACCCAAAGCGTCTCTTCTTTTTATAAAGATTTAGTTACAAAGATAATTATAAAGATAATTATGAAATAATTATGATTTATATGTTATATAAATAATGTAATCAATATTTATAATAGATAATTATAAAATAATCTTTATGTGTTCTTTTAGAACTATAAAAATTATGTTTTTAATAAGTTTTTTATTAAAAATTGGTCTTTTTATGAGACTAATTACAAAGATTAAAGTCTCCTGCTTAGCTTATCTGTGGTTTGAGTAGCTCCAGTAGCTCGATGGGTTAGTGTGCAGTGGTACTTATGCGGTGGCACTTTCATGACATGTGGTTTGCCCTCTGAAGCTTTGTGATCTTTCACTGCATTCCAATACTAGAAATAACATCTTTACATTTTTACTCTAAGTCAGTTGCCGCCTTGGGAAATCAACTTGTTTTTAGGTGCTTGGTTCCCTAAGAGGGATATGAGGAGAGTAGATAATTTTAGTAGTTATTAATGAGAAATCCTCAAAAGCCATACTTTTTTAAATTCTTGTTTTTGAAACATTTCTGGCACGATAATACAGGTTGAGAATTAAAAACAAGTTTTCTCATTTGGCATGTTTAAGTGAAGTCACTTGCCCAGAGCAGGTACTGCTGTTTATGGCCTCGCCTGAATGTTTGTGGTACAACTCTTTAGGATGATGCTTCTGCCAGGACTGTCACATGTACATGATTTCAAATGTGCTGGCATTTTAGTCAGTGTATTGGAGATAGAGTCTTAAAGCGGCTGGAAGAGAACAATCTTCCTTACTTTGATTACTTTCTCTCTCTTTAACACTACCTCATGCCTTTACTTTTAACTATTTTAACTTTAACTCTTTTTTTTTTTGAACCAGACTTGATGACAATCCAGGTTGCAAATTTTAGTTTTACCATGTATTAGCTGTATGAACATGTTAGTTTCCTCATCTATAAAATGGAAATTTTAATCTATACCTCACAAAACAATCAAGAGTAAATGAATTACAATTAGACAGGAGGACTAAGGGCTACTGTTCTATAGCACAGTATGAGAGTATAGTAAATAATAATTTATTGTATATTTCAAAATAGCCAGAAGAGAGAATTTTGGATGTTCTCACTACAAAAAAAAATGAGAAATGCTTGAGGCAATGGATGTGCCAGTTACCCTGATTTGATTATTATACACTGTATACATGTATCAGAATATCATATGTATTACATAAATATGTACAATTATGTGTCAATTAGAAATTGTAAAAAGGGTAATAAATGAGATAATGTATTTAATGTGCTTAGAATATATGCCACCTAGCTAATAACATTATTAGCACATAAGAAATAATCATATAGTTCTTTTACATCGTTTCTTAATTCTTTGGTATGATCGAAAATAGAAATTATAAGATTTCAAACTGCATTTATATCTCTGGATAATTTTTACTTCAAAACTAGGTTATGTACATGATTAACTTTTATTTCCAACCATTTCAAGAAAAGAATATGGAGTAAAATCTTATTTATAAAGGAGGAAATGAGGTCTTCTGGTTGTAAATGACGTTTTATTTACAACCTGGGGACAGCTTCCAATTTATTCAGCAAGGAATTCTTTCCAAAAGTTTTTTGATGTGAGCAGTGTATTTATCTTGTGCTCTGTTTCTGGCCCCTGTTATTGGTTGTGGCCAAGAAATTATAAAATATAGGATGAATCTATCAGGAACTTTGTGAGTGTGAATGGCCAGAGGCCACCTGTCCATGTGTGTGACTCTGCTATGGCTGATTCAACAATGCAGCAAACCCCAGCAGTTTCAGTAGTTCCACACCTTCCGCTTGTTATTAAGGGGTGACGTTCAATGTGCTCATGAGGACGAGGTCAGGCCTGGCCCAACCTGGAGGCCAGGTGATGGTCCCTAGTTGGATGATCTGAAGACATCTTTTGATGCAGTTTGGGTTGAGGAAGGCAAGAGATGTATTGATGCTATCATAGGAGTGAATCAGGTGAGGTAAAGGCAAGGAAACATGATATGAAGTAGAACTGGATTCATTATAATATATGTGTGATTTAGTCACACAAATATACCGGCAAAGAATGTCAAGTGTTAATCAAATAGGTCAACTAATAATTGAGGGCCAGGCAAAGGCAAGCCACTGTCAGGGCAAAGAAGTGATACTTTTATCTCACCCCTTATAGAGTCCATGGCTGACACCCCTGTAACAAAGGACCTAATAGGAGAAAAGCATAACAAATTTATTTAATAAAGTTTTATGTGACCTGAGAGCTTTCAGACACAAAGAACCAAAGACCCAGGGAAAACTGTGTTTTTTTAATGCTTAGGACTGATGAAGAAAGGACAGTCACACAGAAATGTGATTGGACAAAAAGGGTATAATTTGATGTTAATGAAGTATAGGAGAGAACCTAGCAAAGCTTGTTTGTTCACATTCTTCTTGGCCTCTCTGTGTAGCATTCCTTTGCCCTGGTTATGGGGCAAGACACCTGGCACAAGAAGCTTATGACCTGATCTTAGGGGAGGTAGGTCAGAGAGTAACCTTTTCTAGGTTTTATGGCTTTCTTTGGGGAAGAGGAGTTGTAGTTTCTATGACACACCTTGGTGGAGAAAGGGAATGGGAGAAAGGAGGGCAAAGGAAGGTTGGAGAGACCTTGCTTTTGAAGCCCTTCCAGTCTCCTTTACTTCAAAGTATTCTGCATGGCCAGGTGCCATACTTCATGGTATTGTTTAATGAGCCCTGACATCACTTAACAAACCACAGTGGCAGATTTCAAGGGATGTTGTCAGGGAGAGTGGGAGAGGAGAGTGTGATAGACAACTAAACAGAAAGCGACTCTACAGCTTGCTAAGGGAAGAAGAGAGGGAAGCATTAAATGAGAAATCAACTGGAGACAGCAGGTACTTACGGAGACAGCAGATACTTTTAGAGACAGCAGATATTTATAGCTGGCGTCCTACACCAGGGTTTACTTTCATCATCCCTTTTGTTTTCAAAACTAAGGGTCATTTTTTTCAACACAATGTCATTATCAGAACCTAGTTGTTGTAAAGTTTTGGATGCTCCCAAAGTTTCTGGAGAGGTAGGTGTCTGAGTCCTTGCTTCCTTCCACACCTTCCACTTGTTATTAAGGGGTCGACGTTCAATTACTTAGTGGCATTTATTACCCCAAGATTTCTATAAGTGTCCTCTTGGATGTGAAGCATTGTTCATATATGAGGGGAAAAGCAGGTCTTTTTGCTGGGAACCATATAGAGGTGATCTCATAGCTTTGAAGTACCTTGATTGGCTAACACGGTGACACCCTGTCTCTACTAAAAATACAAAAAATTAGCCAGGTGTGGTGGCACATGCCTGTAGTCCCAGCTACTAGGGAGGCTGAGGCAGGAGAATGGTAAGAACCCAGGAGGCGGAGCTTGCAGTGAGTCGAGATCGCGCCACTGCACTCCAGCCTGGGCGACAGAGCGAGACTCCGTCTCAGGAAAAAAAAAAAAAAAGTACCTTAATGCAGCCCCTCTCAATAGTGTATTTGGCTGGGTCCACTCCTTCCTTTTACTTCCCAGATTTAGCTTAATTATGGTGACAATGGTTTACTCTCTCTCCATTCCCCACCCTGTTTCCTAATGTTCTTTAGCCAAGGGCTTTGTAGAAGGACTATGTTTCTACCAGTGGTATGTCACTGAAGTGGGCTATTGAGGTGACCAATTAGGACAAAGGTGAGGAGTGTCTTCAGGGGGGTCTTTATCTCATGTTTCATTCCCTTGTATGGATTGCTGCTTCCTCTACCTTTTTGGATTGCCAATTCCCCATGTCTACTTTTCTTCTATGGGTTTAACATAGTGTTTTCTCTGACCCTATCGGAACATTGTTCAGCAGATGGCTTTATATAAAGTTATTTTGTTTGCTATTAAGCATCTTAGCTATGCTCAATGTTTTGGGGCTGAATTGTTCATTGTGGCAATTTGTAATATTTGTAATATATTTAAGTAACTCTAGAGTCTTGGCTTTTAACATTCTCATTCAATTATGAGGGTCAGGTCTTGATCTGAACTATGTGTTTATGGCCTTTTCTCAACTCCTTGTATAGAGATAGTTTTCCAGAAGTATTAATGATTGATTGAAGCAGATAAAATCTTTTATGTTTTCATTCTTTTGGAACTCACTTTTTGGTGGAAATACTTGCAATTCAACTAATTTACTGGTATGACTTGTTATATGGATTCTTGACATGATGATTGGTTTTTATAAATTTGAGCTGTATTTACTCACTTCCATGAATTGTGCAGTTATGAAAATTTGAATCTGCTAGTTTCTGATCTCCATTTGTGGAAGAAAAAGCCAATAAATGGGAAAGTTATTTTAATTCTATAATGCTACATCTAGAAAGGGCGTGACAAATTTTTGTTTGTAATACAGTTCCCAGTCATTGGAAGGGGACATCTCTTGGTCTGAGTAATATTCTTCATAATATTAACACCTGCTCAATATTGAGCAAAACTTCAATTGCCCACTTCTGGCCATATATCCAACTTTAGAAAGTCATGTACTTCTAGATTTTATAGAAGAATACTACTTCTAGATTTTGATTTTTTTAAATTAATTTCTCTCTCTCTCTCTCTTACTTTTTTGAGACAGGGTCTCACTCTGTCACCCAGGATGAAGTACAGTGGCATGATCATGGCTTACTGAAGCCTCAAGTTATCCTCCCACCTCAGTCTCCTGAGTAGCTGAGACCACAGGCATGTACCAACACACCCATCACACCCATCTAAATTTTTAAACATTTTTTGTAGTGATGGGATCTCCCTGTGTTGCCCAGGCTGGTCTCAAGCTCCTGGGCTCAAGTGATCCTCCTGCCTCGGCCTCCCAAAGTGCTGGGATTACAGGTGTGAGCCACCACACCCAAACTGAATTTTTTAATTTATATTTTTCAGATTTGTTACTGTACCCTTCTTGCCATTGAGTACTTAATTTCTCCATCATTGTTTCTTGGAGTTTTAATATCGAAATGCTTCATTATATTGTTCAATAATGCAGAATGTTTGAATTTAACATAGAGATTTTTAGGCCCATAGGCTGAAATAAGTCATCAAAAGATGGAAAAACATATGGTGATGAGGCATGTCATACATGCCAAGCAGGATTGGAGGAAGCTGGAGAACTTGAAGCCATTCAGGGACAAGAAGATTAGCGAGAGGATTTCAAAGAAGTTTGGAGCCCCAAGTCATAAGAAATAAACACATGATTCCTTATCTCAGACTTTACTAGTGAAAGAAAAAATAAAAAACAAGCTCTCTTTCCTAGGGATATAAATTATCCTATGACAAATAGAAAGTGAAATTCTGTAGGTTATTTTCATAACAGACCTTCCAGAGAATTTGCTGATGACTGGAAAAGGGGAAAATGCAGGAAAAAAAAGGTATAAATCCTAAGAGTTTCTAAAGTAGCCAAACAAGGCAGGAAAATGTCTAATCTTATTGTGCAAAAGGGAGGTGGAATCTGTGTGGAAGAAACAGTAATATAAAAATAATGGTACATGTTCTCATCTGTGTAATGCTCAATCATTTCCAGTATGCCCTCACCTGGCCACCTGTAGGAGTATAGCATCCTACAGCAGAATGGGACGTGTGTTTGGCTGAGGCCTGACTCTCGCCCCTTATAGTTTATGACAAGAGTATTGGGGCCAAGCAGGGAAGAAACATGGAAGAAACATCTCATTCTAGGGCCCACAGTGAATTATGGCCACTGCCGGGACAGAGCCAGAATCATCTCAGGATAGGTATCTTTTACCCACAGATTTCTGCCTCAGGATTGTGGATGAACTTGAAGGTCCCTGTCTTAGCACCTGAAATTCCATCAGCAGAAGCTCAGCGTGCCATAGTTTGCATAGAACAGAAGCAGGAAATCTTAATGATGAACTCTACTTACATCCCTTTAATGGGATCATGGAACTGGTAGGCAAGAAGCCTAGATTGTATCTTGCAAATTTAGAGCCAAATCTTACTGAAAGGAATGAGGGAATATAGATGAGTAGTGACTACTTTATTTTTCTACAACACTGTTTCCTTTTTGAGTCCTGATTCTGCTGACATGGCACGGAACTTTAAGCTCAATGGTTTAGGTGTTTCTTTCCCTTCCTGGGGTTGTATCAACATTCCTGGAAGTTTGTGTGGAACTAGGCCTGGGTGAAAGGGACCCAGCTGTTCCTTGAACCTAAGTCTGCTTTGCTGTGTCCTTCATTCCTATCTATGTGGCCTCTCAGGTCTAGCAAACCTCCTGCTGCTTTGGTGGCTTGCTTAGGGCATAGTAAGCCACTAGGACTCCATGTTTCTATGACCAGGCAGTGGACTGAATTTGTTCCACAGACGCATTTTATTTAGCCCACAAAGTTTTAAGAATCTGGAAATTTTATTTGAATAATGTAGTTTTCAGATTTCTCTTGAAAAATGGGAAATACTGTAACTCAGTGCCTGCATTCTTGCATAGGAGCAGCCAGCTGGCTGGGGCTGTGCCTTTGCATAGGGCATTGCTGTGCCTTTGCATGGGGCATTGGCTCTCCAGGCCCACACAGGCCCCTCCAGTGTCCATTGGATTCCACCTAGCTTCCTTCACCCACTTGAGTTTTTTGCATGATGCCTCCACGCTGCACACCCACATTCTCTCTCTGGAGTTTGTCCCTCTCTGAGTGGCTTCTTTTGAAAGATTGTCTTGGGCCCCTGTACTCCTGGGCCTTCAGATCTTCCTTTACTTATCGCCTCTTCCCTTTTCTCTTTCCCCCAGTCAAAAAGAAGCTTTTGCAGTCTGGGCATGGTGGAGAGGAGCTCTTTTCATTCACTGTGCTTCTCTCTAACACTTTGTCTGTACCCCTGATTATGGCCTCCACTTCAGATGCCAGTCACACATCCAGGCTTCCCGTATTTCTGACCAACCAGCTGATCAGAGGTTCCCACGACACTCTCCTCGGGTTTGATATTTTATTAGAATGGATCACAGAACTCAGGAAGACACTTTACTTAATATGACCAATTTATTACAAAGGACACAATTCAAGAATGGCCAGACAGAAGAGATGCATGGGGCAGAAAGAGGCATGAAGCTTCCAAACCTTCTCTGGGAGCGCCACACTCCTTGTACCTGCATGTGCTCAGCACCCCTGAAACTCTCTGCACTCCATTGTGTAGGGTTTTTATGGAGGTGTCATTAAATAGGCATGATTGATTAAGTCATTGGCCTTTGGTGATTGAATTCAATCTACAGCCTATCTCCCCTCCATGGAGGTTGGAAGGTGGGGCTGAAAGGTGCCAACCCTCTCATCACATGGTCGGATCCTCTGGCAACCAGACCTCATCCTGAAGCTATTTAGGGGCCCATCAAGAGTAATCCTATTAGCATAATCTCAGGTGTGGTTAAAGAGCCTTATTATGAATAACCAAAGAGGTTCTTCTTACTCCTATCACTCAGGAGCTTACAAGAGTTTTAGGGAGCTCTGTGCCAGGAACTGGGGACTGAATATATATTTGTTATATCACACTATCAGTTTTGAAATTCAAAATGGCACAATCAAGATTATTCCTGTTTTCTCCCTTAACACACTCCTTCTCTGAGTCAATGAGTACATCTGTGCGGAGTGTCTCCCATTTGCCCTCCAGACCCACTCTTCCCATCTTTCCCATTCTCTCTGCCTGGAGAGCTGATCTGTATGGACTGTCTCAATGGACTTCTCTGCCTTCTGGCTTCTTTTTGGGTTTGGTCAATGGGCAGCTCTCCCAGGCAGTCTAAGGTAAAGAGGAGAGTAAAGGTGAGGTGTTTGCTTTTTGTGATTGTCTACATGTGCTGGGAACTACACTTTCTTTTCAAGCCTTTTGGCTTGAAAATGTTAACAGTGCCTGCTTGCTAACTTCAGGGAATGTCACTAGCTCTGGGGGTTGCTACAGCCTTCCCACATCTTTGTAAATAGTCTCTATTAAACACTCAAATTACTCTGTTTGAAAGTGCCATTTATTTCCTCTTGGGACTCTCACAGATAAAACGTTATGTGCAGTTGTTTATCCATAGAAATATTTAATAATATTTATACAGATTTTAAGTTTTGTCTAAAAATACATTCAATGTTAAAATGCAGCATCTGAACCTTATGTCAATGTAAGAGTTTTCTACAAAACAGTCATATGTGGTTCAAAACACAAGAGGCTGAATTGAAGCTTTTTAACTCCTACATCACAACCTTTTAACACACAAGGAATCCTGAGTGCACCAGTTTCTAAGAGAACCTAACAGTACTAAAGATGATCTAGAAAAAGAAAAGAAAAGAAAAGAAATGGGGATGAATTGTCTGAGGAAGAATTGTCAGTAACAAGTTCATCATGGCCGTCACCCTGCAGAAGACCCTAATCAGAAAACACAGCTTCACGCAGCTAAATTTTTAATGCTCTTCTAAATAATGTCTGAGGTTAGAATGTCAGCTTGGGAATCCCAAACATCCAGTAAAATGGGACACCTTTGCCACCTCTGTGAGAGTGTTCTGACCTTGTCTGTGTTTTTCTCCCCTTCAGTTCACTCAGCAACACAGGGAGGTGAGTAAAGGATTTGGCAGCACATTTGAGGCCCGGGGGAGAAAGAGTGCTTGCAGGCATGTCTCCACGTTGCGCGGAAAACATGATGTTTAGCTGTTGAAACTATTGTGAAACTTGGCTTTCTTCCTTAGTTTGCCTTTTTAATAAATTCCTAAATCATGATTTGATTCATAAATTACAAATATATGGTGTTTGTACATGTGAAATACAAGATCATAACCATGGAGAAAGGCCACCATTACCCATAGATTTTTAATCAAACAAATTGGTTTATTCTGATGTTTCTCTGATAATTTCTCTCCAGACCAGGGTTTTTTTTTTTTTTTTTTTTTTTTTCCCTTTCTGATAACACACCACACTTTTGGACTATCTACACAAATAGCTATGAAAAATGGCCTTGTTATAACTGAGGGAACTTCATTATATTGAAGTGCTTTTTGAAAAATATTCTAAAATATGAAAACTGGCCATCCGAACAGGAGAGCAGTATTTCTGAGGGTGTTCTGCTGGCTCGCCTCTCCACGTCTGACCTGTCTTCTTTGTGAGCTCTGAATCTTCCTGTCACCTCTTCAACAGCAGTGTGTTCTGCAAGTCCAGCCTTCTCCTCTCTGTGGCGTCCTTTCGGAGATCATCTGTACGCTCAAGGCTTCAGTTAATTACTTGAATAATGTATATATTTAAGCATCTTCTTCGCCTTTTTCTCTTCTGTTTTAGGTCTTCTCAGACTCCTCCTAGAACAATATAGAATAAATGCCACATAAGGTAAAAATTAAAAAATACATATATATATATAAGAAATTCAAATAAACTGTTTTGTAAAAGTAAGAGACAACATATGGATCAGTAATTTAAAAATATATCTCCGAACCTTCCCACATGATGACTTCTAAAGCTATAACTCTTACCTCGTAGTCTCTTTTGAACATAAGTTTTGCAAAAAGAATGGTCCCCAAAACCAAAACATTTCACGCACATGTTCTTCCATTACCGCAGATTTACCATGACCAAGATTAAACCCAATGAGAACATCTTCCTACCAAAACCCTTTAGACGGTCTGTTTCTGTCTGTGACACAATTACTCCCAGTAAACAAGTGTCACGTCTGTGTTTTTGCACATGTGTACCTAGGTATGTGTGCGCACACACACATGCATGTATGTATTAAGAAAGGAGTTAGTGTTTATTGTTTTAACCCCACTTCTTACTCTGGCTGTCCGTTCCCAGTCAGTTTCAAATCTTGGATTCTTCTTTTGAAATGACTCTTAAAGTCCCCCTTCTTCTCCATTCCAGTTGTGTTTCTTTTAATCCCAGGCTACAGTCCCCTCACTTCTGGACTATCACAACACCTGTCCAGTTGGCCTCTCTGTCTACTCTTTCCACGCCTAGGTTATAAATTACTCAGTTGTAGCTATTATACCTCATAACTTTCTGTTCCTTGACTTTGCTAATGCTTTCCTTCTGAAAAGGAATTTATTAATCTGGGCTGTTGGTCCTGTTCCTCTTAACATTTTGTCAACTATACTTCAATTACTTGCATCTGATTAACAGCTGCTGTGACTTTCCCTAAAGTAGAACATATTTCTTTATGTCTCTTTGATAACTCACTGCATTCATTGGTTGCCCTTGGCTGAAAAGCACATTGCTTATCAATGTGTTTTGTTCACAATGATCTGGCAGCCCAAGCATGATATTTAATGTAATTGATGTCTCTTATTTACTAATGGATGTTACATCATCATTATTTAGAAAATTTGCTACTGAATTGACATCTGATTGAGGATACGTGATTGAGGTTAAGAGCCTGTGAATGTTTGGAGAATACTTGTTTATAGTATGTACTGTGCAGTGTGGTGTGCTATCTACAGGCTGCAGCTGGCGTTTCCTTCTGTTAATATTCTGTACTTGATGTGGCTAAGTAGGCACTGAGATGCTCAACTTCAGTGTTTCCTCCTACCTACTGAAGGACAAAACACTTACTGGCAGCAATCATCTGATGCAATGTAAGTAAGAATGAAAAAAATACAGGACACTTATGGAATTATATAAGATAAAAATTAGTATGATACACCCATATTTTTAACTCATTTGTGTCAGGGTAGTTTTAAATGAAAGTGTTATTCTAAATATGGAGAATCTAAAGATCTATGTAGTTTTAATAATTTATTATAAGAGAACTTGAGTTAGAGGCTTTGGAGTGTCAGTCATTAAAGTTTACTAATTATTCTAGCCACCCTGCCCCTCCAATTCTGGGTATATGGTAAGACTGCATTTACTGGAGCTCTTCTGATTGGACAGAGTTTACAACCAGTTTTACCCACTGAGTTGTGAGTAGCAGTGGCTAAGGCTTTTATTACAGTGTGATTAGGTTTCCTTTGCTTTCATTGCAACGTGATGAGGTTTCCTTTGCTTTTATTACAATGTGATGAGGTTTCCATTGCCACCATGGCTAGCAATGATCTTCACAGTGGCTATTCTGTCAGCCTGGGACCCACAGTGAAGACATTATGGAACAGAGTTTAGCCACCTGTCACTAGACATGAACAAGAAAAAAGAAATACATAATTTTTTTAAAGGGCTGGGCATGGTGGCTCACACCTGTAATTCCAGCACTTTAAGAAGCCGAGGCAGGCAGATCACTTGAGGCCACGAGTTCAAGAACAGCCCGGCCAACATGGTGAAACCCTGTCTCTAGTAAATAAATAAATAAATAATAAAAAATTAGCCAGGTGTGGTGGTGGGTGCCTGTAGACCCAGCTGCTCAGGAGACTGAAGCATGAGAATTGCTTGAACCCAGGAGGCAGACGTTGTAGTGAGCCAAGATCAGATTGTGCCACTGTACTCCAGCCTGGGTGACAGAGCAAGACTCCATCTCAAAAACAAACACACAAACAAACAAAGCTTCGTGGTTTGAAGCCACTGATATGTAAAGGAGTTTTGTTACCACTGCATAACCTAGTCCCTCCTGACAGATACACTTGGTGTGATTCTGGTTATCTCTTTGACTGTTTCATCTCATGTAGGTTACTTAATCCTCTCATTCTTTTTACTTTTCTGTAAAAAAAAAAAATGAGTATAGTATCTACGTGCCTACCTTACAGGGTTATTATAAAGACCAGATTAGATAATGATGTATGTGAACGTGTTACACAAATAAATATACATACATATAAAATATCATTATTATTTTCTATGCAATCAGATAAACTTCTCCAGTAATGAACTATAGAAACGATTCCTGAAAGAGTAGCCTTTAAAATATTATTTTTAAGTGGTATTCATTTTTGGAGCTTAAAAATGGTTCTTCATTTTAAACATAATTTATGCTGGTGCTAAGTCTAAAGCATAAAGAAGGATAAATGTATAAGAAAAATCTTTCACCTCAACATACCCCCATCCACATTCTCAATTATAGATGTGCCTACTGTTAAAAATTTCTTATGAATAATCATAGCAGTATTTTTAATACATAATGTTTTTCAACATTGTTCTGTCACTTAACAGTATATTTTGAACATTTTTCTCATTTTTTTTCTTTTTAATGGTTTCATGATACTCTACTGGATAAATGAACAGTGCATTATATACTTTTTCAATCAAAATTTTCTTTTTAAAATTTTTCTTTGAAAAAATGAATAACCCTTATCACTTAACACAGCTTAAATTATTTTTTTTAATGTCCAAAAGAAAGAACATTATAGGAACAGATATAATACATGCCACTGTCTTTGTGATGGGAAGTAAAAACAGGATAATAGTAATATTTATGATGTGGAATGATAAACAGTAATGCCTATAGAGATCAGGGAGATAAATTAGTAAAATCAGAGATGTGGGCTAAGGAAAAGCATTGCAAGGAGAGAGAAGGGTAGGAAGGGAAAGAAAGAGGGAGAAGAAGAAAGAGAAGAGGGAGGGAGAGGAAGAGAAAAAAGAGGAGAGAGACTTGTTGCCACCAAGAAAATACATGTCTTTCTAAAGGCAGCTGCTACTCAGCTGAAGTCCACTGTTTTCAATAACAATTCTATCTCATCATTGGCAAATATTATTTTTCAAGAGAAGTAAAAAAAAATCAATATATGTATGATTTTGATTATTTAAAGTGAGAAGCTAAATCAGAAACTTTATTTTTAATGCATAAGCCAAATTACATTTGTTATTTGGGGCAACCAGATATAGTCAAGGCATAGTGTGCTACCCTCTAAGATAAAAAATATAATACAGGCACAGAGTTTTAACGTGTCTTAAAGAATATAGCTACATGACCGGGTGCGTTGGCTCATGCCTGTAATCCCAGCACTTTGGGAGGCCGAGGCAGGCAGATCACCTGAGGTTAGGAGTTCAAGACCAGCCTGGCCAACATGGTGAAACCCTGTCTCTACTAAAAATACAAAAATTAGCTGGGCATGGTGGCAGGCACCTTTAACCCCAGCTGCTCGGGAGGCAGAGGCAGGAGAATCGCTTGAACCCAGGAGGCGGAGGCTGCAGTAAGCCAAGATTGTGCCACTGCACTCCAGCCTGGATGACAGAGTGAGACTCTGTCTCAGGAAAAAAAAAAAAAAAAGAATATAGCTGCATATTTTGGTCTTGTCTTCATAATCTACCTGTGTTTCATACCATAGAAAGCTTCCTGCCTCTAAGCATGTTTTCATAAACCTACACAACCAGCTTCAGTTAGCAGAAATCCTTAAGAAACAATATTTTAGTGTAATTTTATTTCCAGTCTGTCTTGTGCTCTAAAGCTCTTAACAATCATACAAAAGGAGCTTTTGATGATTCTCTCTTTGACTTGCCATTTACCACCTCTTTCCATATCAGAAATCAAAGTGGAATTATGCATGTTAATATGGTTGTAATTTGACTTTCATATGGTACTGACTAAAAAGCACTCAATACAGCATACCACATTGGTGTAAAAGCAAATATTTTATTAAAGAATTTTGAAAAGCACATAATTTATCTCCATACTTTTTTCATAATTGATTAGTTGTACAACATGCATTTTGATAAATTCAATTACAAAATAAAAATACTCGATACTCATATATAAAAAGTAACATAATTTTAACATTTTTGTCTATTTACATTGGATGTTTAACACTGTTGTCTTTTTACACTTTCTATTTAGGTCTTTTTTTTTTTTTTTTTTTTTTTTTTGAGATGGAGTCTTGCTCCGTTGCCCAGGCTGGAGTGCAGTGGCATGATCTTGGCTCACTGCAAGCTCCGCCTCCTGGGTTCACGCTAGGTTTCTTCTTAAATGACCTAAATGACATGAGAGATGCAGGCTGCAGACATTTTTTAAAGTAGTGAAATGCTTGCTCTAGAGAGTGTTTTTAAGCCTAGGTTGCTTTAATTAATAAAACTTGTCATATATCTCAAAGAAGGGAAGGTATGTGAAAAAAAAAAAAATTCATCCCTGATGTAAGGTTGAATGCATAATTATTTATACATATATGTAAATTAGAATAAAGATGACTCTTGGTTGACTCAAAGGGTGTTCAAAATTGGAAGTTATTCTTTTATGGAAGGATTTTATTATAAAATGTAAAATTATGGTTGAACAAAGAGGTTTTGTTCCATTTGGTTATACATGCTGAGAAAATTCTTCATTTTTTTAATAAGTCTGAATATCTCCTTTCCAAACTTGGTAATTTTCTGGAGTCTAATAATAACTGAAATCCCTTTTTAAAAACCTGCCAAGAGAACCCACTTTTCTGTCTGATTTAACTAATGTAAGTATTAGATTTAATCTGTTTAGTTAGGGAAAAATTAGTTTGTGACCGCAAATGGCTGTCTGCATTAGTTATATCCAAATGAACAGAGTCATTTTTGGAACATTTTTTGATATCCATTTTTCGTTTACTTGGCTAGTTTCCCCCAACTTTATCAGTTAGGGTTCACAGAGTAGTTCTACAGAACCAGAAATCAGTAGGAGATGTGTGTGTGTGTGTGTGTGTGTGTGTGTGTGTGTGTGTGTGTGTGTGTGTGTGTGTGTGTCATAGCAGCTGACAGATCCAAAATCCGTAGAACTGGGGACTGGCAAGCTTAAACTCCATAGGGCAGGCAGGACAGCGGGAAACACCCTGGCAGTGGCCGAAGCCGCAGTCTACACATGAAATTTCCTCTTCTTCAGGAAAACCTCAGTTTTGCTCTTAAAGCCTTTCAGCTGAGTAGATGAGGCCCACTCAGATCATCAAGTATAATCTCCTCCACTTCAAGTTAACTGGTTGTAGATGTTAATCACATCAACAAAATAGTTTCAGAGCTGCATCTTGGTTAGTGTTTAATTGAATAACTGAGTACTAAAGTCTTGCCAAATTGACACATACAACTAGCCATTATACCATCTCTTTTTTTTTTTTTTTTTGACGGAGTCTTTCTCTGTCCCCGCCAGGCTGGGGTGCAGTGACGCAATCTCAGCTCACTGCAACTTCCACCTCCCAGGTTCAAGCCATTCTCCTGCCTCAGCCTGTCGAGTAGCTGGGACTACAGGCACGCGCCACTACGTCCAGCTAATTTTTTGTGTTTTTAGTAGAGACAGGGTTTCACCATGTTGGCCAGGATGGTCTCGACCTTTTGACCTTGTGATCCGCCCGTCCCGGCCTTCCAAAGTGCTGGGATCACAGGTGTAAGCCACTGCGCCCGGCCGGCCTATACCATCTTTTTATAATCTTCAAGGAATTTTCTTAAATCACCTGACTGAGTTCCTTCTCTGTGCTCATTCTGTGCTTGCTGCATTCATCTGTCTTGTAATTTACAACACCATATTAAGGCTAGATATTTATATGTTTGTCACGGTCCTCAAACTGTGTGTGCTCCTTGAGGTTCCAGGGAATTAGCCATCTATCTTTGTGTTCTCTGTGCCTAGTGTGATGGGTGGCATATACAGGCATCGCTTGTTTTATTGTGTTTTGCTTTATTGTGCTTTGCAGATATTGTGTCTTTTTACAAATTGAAGGTTTGTGGCAACCTTGTATTGAGCAAGCCTATTGGCACCACTTTTTAAAGAGCATGTGCTCACTTTGTGCTCCTGTGTCACATTTTGATAATTCTCTCAATATCTCAAACTTTTTTGTTATTCTTATCTATTTTATAGTGATCCGTAGTCAGTGATCTTTGACATTACTATTGTCATTGTTTTGGGGTGCCACAAACTGTGCTCATAAAAGGTCACAAACTTAATTAATCAATGTGTGTGCTCCGACTGCTCCACTGACCTGTCATTCCCCTGTCTGTCTCCCTCTCCTGGAGCCTCCGTATTCCCTGAGACATGACAATATTGAAACCGAGCCAGTTAATAACTCTACAATGGCCTTTAAGTGTTCAAGTGAGAGAAAGAATTGCAGGTTTATGTTAAATCAAAAGCTAGAAATGATTCGGCTTAGTGCGGAAGGCATGTTGAAAGCAGAGACAGCCAAATGCTAGGCCTCTTGTGCCAAATAGCCAAGTTGTAAATGCAAAGGAAAAGTTCTTGAAGGAAATTAAAACTGCTATTCCAGTGAACATAAGAATGATAAGAAAGTGAAACAGCTTTATGGGAGATATGGAGAAAGTTTTAGTGGTCTGGACAGAAGATCAAACCAGGCACATTTCCTTAAACCAAACCCTAATCCAGAGCAACGCCCTAACTCTCTTCAGTTCTGTGAAGTTTGAGAAAGCTGAAGAAGCTGCAGAAGAAAAATAGGAAGCTAGCAGAGGTCGGTTCCTGAGATTTAATGAAAGAAGCCATCTCTGTAACATAAAAGCGCAGGTAAAGCCGCAAGTGCTGATGTAGAAGCTGCTGTAGCCAGTTATCCAGATCTAGCTAAATTTACTGATGAGCGTGGCTATACCAAATGACAGATTTTCAACGTAGATGAAACAGCGTTATATTGGAAGAAGATGCCACTTGGGATGTTCATCACTAGAAAAGAGAAGTCATAGGTTGGCCTCAAAGCTTCAAAGGGCAGGCTGAGTCTATTGTTAGGAGCTAATGCAGTGGGTGACTTTAAGTTGCAGCCAGTGCTCATTGGCCATTTTGGAATTTCTATCGTCCTTAAGAATTATGCTAAATCTACTCTTCCTGCACTCTATAAAAGGAACAAGAAAGCCTGGATGACAGCACATCTGTTTACAGCATGGTTAACTGAATATTTTAAGCCCACTGTTAAGACCTACTGCTGATTAAAAAAAAAAGATTATTTTCAAAATATTATCGCTTATTAACAATGCATCTGGTAACCCAAGAGCTGTACTGGAGATATACAAAGAGATTGGCATTGATTATGCCTGCTAATACAACATTCCTTCTGCAGCCTATGGATCAAGGAGTAAGTATGACTTTCAAGTCTTATTATTTAAAGAATACATTTTGTAAGGCCATAGCTGCCATAGATAGTGATTCCTCTGACAAATCTGGGCAAAGAACATTGAAAACCTTCTGGAAAGGATTCACCATTCTAGATGTTATTAAAAACATTTGTGGTTTATGGGAGGAGGACAAAATATCAACATGAACAGGAGCTTGGAAGAAATTGATTTCAACTCTTATGGATGACTTTGAGAAGTTTAAGAGTTCAGTGGAGAAAGTAACTGCAAATGTGGTGGAAATAGCAAGAGAACTTGAATTAGAATTGGAGCCTAAAGATGTGACTGAATTGGTGCACTCTTGTGATGAAACTTGAATGGATGAGGGAATTGCTTCTTACGGATGAGCAAAGAAACTGGTTTATTGAGATGGAATCTGCTCCTGATGAAGATGCTGTGAACATTGTTGAAATAACAACAAAGGATTTAGAATATTCCGTAAATTTAATTGATAAAAGTAGTGGCAGGGTTTGAAAGGATTGACCCTGATTTTTAAAATAAATTCTACTGTGTGAAAAATGCTATTAAATAGCATTGCATGCTACAGAGAATTTTTTGTGAAAGAGTCAGTTAATTGGCTAACTTCTTTGTTGTCCTATTTTAAGAAATTGCCACAGCCACCCCAGCCTCAGCAACCACCACCCTGATCAGTCAGCAGCCATCACCATAGAGGCAAGACTCCCCACTATCAAAAAAATTTCAGCTCACTGAAGACTCAGATGATTATTAGTGTTTTTTAGTAATAAAGTATTTTTTAAATTAAGGTAGGTACATTATTTTTTAGATATAATGCTATTGCACCCTTAATCAGCTACAGTATACTACACACACAACTTTGATATATACTAGGGAATAAAAAAATGTGTGTGACTCATTTTATTGTGGTGGTCTGGAATTGAACATGTTAATATTGCTGAGATATGCCTGTATTAGGTGCTCAGTAACAGCACTCCACTGTAGTACAAAATGTCATTTACCACATTACAGAGGGAGAATAGATCACATTTAGCACCTTAGCTTACCTATACCCACAACTTTTTTTTGTTTTGTTTTGAGATGGAGTCTCACTCTGTCACCCAGGCTGGAGTGCAATGGCATGATCTCCGCTCACTGCAACCTCCGTCTCCAGGTTCAAGTGATTCACCTGTCTCAGCCTCCCAAGTAGCTGAGATTACAGGCTTGTGCCGCCACATCTAGCTTTTTTTTTTTTTTTTTTTTGAGATGGAGTTTCACTCTTGTTGCTCAGGCTGGAGTGCAATGGTGTGATCTTGGCTCCCTGCAACCTCTTCCTCCTGGGTTCAAGTGATTCTCCTGCCTCAGCCTCCCAAGTAGCTGGGATTACAGGCGCCTTCCACCACACCCAGCTAATTTTTGTATTTTTAGTAGAGACAGGGTTTCGCCATGTTGGCCAGGCTGGTCTTAAACTCCTGACCTCAAGTGATCCGCCCACCTTGGCCTCTGAAAGTGCTGGGATTATAGGCATGAGCCACCACACCTGGGCTATACCCACAAATTTTGAATAAGATATATAATGTAAATTTTAAGGGCATGGTAATATAATACAAACAAATCATCAGGAGTGAGGATTCCTGGTTTTTAATTCCAATCCAGGACCTAACCGGCTGGCTGTGTTTCAGTTCACCCATCAATCTCTGGGTCTTGGTTTTCTCATCTAAAAGCATGAAGGTTGAGTGAGATTATTGTCTCTGGTTCAGAAGTGGCCTAATGGTTTACAAGAAGACTGAACAGATGTATTTTCTCCCCCTCTTTCTTCAAATGCATTGAAATGACAGTGAAGAATTATAGCGGAGAACAAATACATGACAGGAAGGTAAATTGGGAGGCGGGGATGGGAAGGGAGGATCATCAGACCAGAGTTATGAATTTAATTTTTGATTAAGGAGAATGGATGGAATATTGTAATGGATAATATTAAGTGGAACAAGGTTTAGCCCAGAGTATATTTAGGAGGAGGCTAAATGCAAGGGCTACTGTCAGAATTGCCAGCTTCTGGAAGCTGGATTGGGTGGAGGGACAGAAAGCAACATCTTTTTTTTTTTTTTTTGAGATGGAGTCTCACTCTGTTACCCAGGCTAGAGTGCAGTGGCGCCATCTCGGCTCACTGCCTCCTGAATTCAAGCCATTCTCCTGCCTCAGCCTCCCGAGTAGCTGGGATTATAGGCGCCCACCACCATGCACAGCTAATTTTTGTATTTTTAGTAGAGACAAGGTTTCACCATGTTGGCCAGGCTGGTCTCGAACTCCTGACCTCAAGTGATCCGCCTGCCTCGGCCTCCCAAAGTGCTGGGATTACAGGCGTGAGCCACAGCACCTGGCCGAAAGCAACATCTTTAAAGTCTACTTGACAGCTGCAAGACAGCACCCGACCCCCTCCTCTGTATGCAGACTAACTGGAAGTCTGACATTTATGGCCAGGTAAAACACAGAGCACTCTTCTCTCATGAAATTAGAGGAGCTGAGGGAGCTAAGCATTTCTAAAGTGGATGCCAGCAACCCAAAGATAACTTCGCCTCGTCCTGGCTATTTGTGGGAAACCTCAGTTCAACAGCTTCTTCATCTTTCAGGGTGAAGTGAAATCTGCCAGTTTACATGCCTTGCCCCAAGCACTCAGAGCTCCCGGCGAGACTCCTGTTAACTAGACTGATGAGTTTTTTGACTAAATGCTTCATTTTCCACCCTCCCTTGCAGCTGACCATGGTCATGTGATTAGATTCTGGCCAGCAGTATGTAGACAGCAGTAATGTTCACAGCTGTTAGGTGAAGCCCTTGAAGAGATGGCACGTTTCTTTCCCCTTCCACTCAAACTACTTGGTTCAACAGTAAATAACTTTAACATGGTCCCAATTGTGTAAATTTAGCTGTTTAAAAAAAAAAAGTTTGGAATCAATCAAGGGATAATGTAAGGAAGACTAAATCATGGTTATAGGACAAAATTTAAATATTTTAAATGAAAAAGAAATGGTAAAACTAAAATAACCTGTGAAGAGTCAAATATCATGTGTAACTGATGTAACAGCAAAGAGATTTTTAAGTATATGATTGACATGTATGATCACAACAACAAATAAGAACTAATCATATAACTTTCAGATATCAGGAGAAACAGATAGGAGTGGAGATGGGGATAGTAAAAATAAGTTGTAACTTTGTTAATAGAAGCCAAAATAAATTTAAAAACTAGAAGCCTAAGTTCATCACAAAGAGTTATGTGGTTACCTGACCAACCCGAAACAGAAGCTGTTTAAGATGATTGTCTCTGGAGAATTAAATGGAATTGAGGATGGGATATATGAGTCAGAGACTTGTGTGTCTCATTTTATGCCCTACCATATATATTTTTTAAAAAAGTGTGTGTGATAGCTTTATATGATATCAATAATGACGATAAATTACATAGCCATGCTTTAAAATAATGCCATCCTAATTTTATTAAAGTAACTTTTCTTTACATGATAGGATATATGTACATGTAGTATGTCAATTTAATTCCCTCCATTTTATTCCAGGACTGCCTTCCTTAAGTGTTTTCTGTGTTAGAGGATATTTTCAGGAAAAGCAAGTGTAAAGTAAACATTTCTCCTTGGTTATTAAAAAGTTCTAAAGCCCATCACTAGTTGGGATGCTGTCCTCCCTGTGGTCATCAGAATAATTCAGAGATCAGATTATTCTGGTTTATGTGGCTTGTTCTGGGCAAATGAGCAGGCCAAGCTGCATCTCAAGGGTTGGCCAACTTCTCAGAGGCCATATATGGCCTTCTACTCAGAAGACTTCTCCTGCATATAACTACAAATCCTTTCCCATCCCACCTTGCAACCATGACACTAACCGTATTGCATTATGTATGTTTATGTATATTATGCATTGGGACATAGGTGAGCTCAGCTAGGCCATGACATCCCACAGTTGAGACAGGTTTGCTTAGAAAGCAGGTGTCTGGGTGTGAACATTTGTGTGTCCCATTAACTGCCATTCCCGATCCATTATATCAATTTCTTCCCTTCCCCTGTAGTCTTTCATCCTTGGAGCCTGGCTCAGGGGATTCATGGGACAGAAAAGACAGGATCGGAATCAGAATGTTCTTTTTTTTGATCTCTCACTGCCCCTTACGTTTTATTCAGTGCAGATAGTTTTTCCCTGCCCCTAAATGAAAACTTGATTTGTCTATGACTTTCCTGTTGATCCTGAGATAGTAAAATACCCTGTCGCTTGGCAGACAATCATGGTCTCAATTTAGAATTTATAATATCAAGTCATGTGTGTCAGAATTCTGAAGTTGATTTAAAGTTCACTTTTTCTTTCTTTCACCTTGTCTGAGGCCTGCTATGGACCGGCTGCTCGACGTAGGGGAAGGGCATAGTCTTTCTACTTTCTTTTTATACCAACCATGTCTCCTCCATTAGCTTGAAAACTGAAGTTTGTGATTTTACTAGGGGGAGTCAAAAAAAGGTTAAAGGGGGACAGATGTAGAAAAGTTCTTATTTGAAAGCTGGCTTCATGCTCTTACAGTTTCTTCATAGACTGTCCCCCAACCCCAGCAACCCCAATACCTGGTGATCTGTCCCTTGCAATTCTTTTGACCTGGGGGGTTGTGTTCTATCTTGTCACTCATTTTCTTCTCAATAGGGTTGCCAGATACAATACAGGACTCTCAATCAAACTTCAATATGAGATAAATAATATTGTCTTAGCATAAGTACATCCCAAATAATGTATGGAATATACTTATCCTAAAAAATTATTTGTTGTTTAACTGAAATTCAAATTTAACTAGGCATACTGTATTTCTATTTGCTAAATCTGGCAACTGTAGGTAGAAGATGTTTTTCAGGGATGTCTGCTTTTTTGGGCCAACCAAATCTGGATATTTAATTATGCTATGCTCTACTACTACAACATTATTTTTCCATGTCAAGCACCTTTTCACAAATATAACATCTTAAAAGAGCTTCGTAGAGCAACTGAATATGTTATAAACTTTTCCTTCTTTTTAAAAATGTAACCATCTGTCCAAAACTGTAACTCAAATGTTAAACATTTAGTACATTAAAAAAATTATATCAGTACCTACATGTGAGAGAGTGTTTTAAGTCAACTAGAGCGTCAACTTATAAGAAGCTATGGTTGGAAGGAAGTGACCCTTTCTACATGTCAGTCAGTATCTTCTGAAACAACTGGCAGACAGTAGGTGCTTAATGAACATTTGATGACTGACTCATAGTGTTATCTATGGTTTTATTATGTAAAATTATTTCAAGAATTTCCCCAAATTTAAATTCCAATGTTGCTAATTCATCACTGCTATATCTGTACAGTACTAGAATTACACACACAATGAAAAGAATCCTGGGCCAGACGCAGTGGCTCACACTTGTGATCCCAGCACTTTGGGAGGCTGAGGCAGGCGGATCACCTGAGGTCAGTCTGGCCAACATGGTGAAAACCATGTCTCTACTAAAAATACACAAATTAGCTGGGTGTGGTGGCGCATGCCTGTAATCACAGCTACTCAGGAGGCTGAGGCATGAGAATAGCTTGAGCCCAGGAGGTGGAGGCTGCAGTGAACCGAGATCACACCACTGCACTCCAGCCTGGGAGACAGAGCAAGACTTTGTCTCAAAAAAAAAGAATAGAAAAAGAAAAAAAAAGAAAAGAATTCTGGATGCACATTATGATTAAGTGGATCTCAGCAACTGATGTCTTCTGAGATGGGTTGTGAATATTTAATAACAGGGATTATTAGAACAAACTATTGCTTTCCTTATGGGGGCAGTAGAATTTTGTTTCTTTCAGGACCATTAAAGAGACAGCTGTGCCAGAGAAAGGACTAGTTTATCCCTTCTTTTCAATTCCATCAGGCCTGTTCTGAGCCAAATCCATTCCAATCAGTTTGACTCATTATTCTTCAAGATGGAAAGCTGGATATTTTTACCCAACATATAGGAATTTCATGTGACTTCTCAAATTCATACAAAACACTTGCAAAAGAGAACAGAATTTTTTAAGAGAAACTTTTAAAGCTCCTTGCCTCTAACATCACTTTCTTAGCTAGCCAATTTCATGTAGCCAAGGAGGTAAATGGATGTAGCTAAGTAATTTCCTTTCAATAAATTGAAATAAAGATTCCCTAAAGCTTGCTGTATACTACTAGAAGTCAGAAAAAGAAGATGACACTAGAAATAGTAAAGTATCTTCCTATCTGCTACAGATTAGAGGCAAATATAAATATGACCGCTGCCATCTCCCCCCAACAACAGTGCAAAATATTCTGGTACAAATATGTGAAGGAAAAGGCTAACACATGCATATACAAAATGCCATTTGATAGCATTCGTGTTACACCCTTGGGAAGGAGATTGCTAGCCTTGCTGTCCCTAATTCAGTTGTAAAGAAATTGTATATAACGTTTCAAGTTGGTTAAGCTGGAATTCCATTTCCAAGAATCCCCTGCCCTGTGTGATTCTGGTTGCGTTGGCTAAAAGAAGAGTTTTGAAGGTTGAAGTGAAGCAGCAACCATTCCTCTCTGAAGGTTGTCACAGTTCAATGTGGTGACAGTCGCAGAGATGCTGGCAAGTTCTGGCTTGATCTTACTCTCCTCCACCCTGCGTCTTGCTCTTCTTTCTACCTGCTTTCCCCGTTTACCAAGCACGGCCCAAGACCCAGCACCACAGGCTTGACTGCAGACCCACAGAGGCAACAGCCTCGGGGCATTTCCCTCTCTATGAACCTTCCCTTCATGCTTCTCTTGCATGGCTGGGCACCCTTGGCTTCTCAGATTGACTGGATGGTGACTTCCCCCATCTTCCAACTTTCCCCCAGCGCCTTCATTTCCCCAGCCTTTCCCACAACTGTATAAAGTCTGCTAGCTGTAACAAATCCCTTCTCCCATGGCTTCATGTGCCAAAGGTCACTGAGGATTACTGAAGCCCAGTTTCTCTGGACATCAAAGTTCTCATTTAGAACAAAGCTGCCATCAAAGTGTCTAGCTCTGCATTATGCAATAGACTGTGCCCTTGCTAAAGGTAAACTTGATGTGACTGCATTTGGATGTAACAGCCAAATATACACTAGCAGTATACCCATGAGTAATAGGAACTTCTTGAGAATAACAATCCCATCTGAGAGAAAAGCTCATACACAATGAAGCCGGCTCAGGAAGCTTAGCCTCATTACAATGCCGTGATTTTTAACTTGTGTGGGGGTGTTGCTGGTAAAATTGAGTAGCAGGCACCCTGTATGGGTGAAAGCTCAGAGAAGTTAATTCAATAAAAGTCAAGATGGTATGAAATTGCTGATGAGGGGGGACAGAATGATTTTACAGCATGTATTTTAAAAGGCCCTAATGCTTGTGATAGTGTATGCTCAGATATCTGGATTATTTCCTTCTTTGGACCACTACCATCAACTTTGAAGACAACCCTCATTTCTCAATGTGCAGGAGCTGTCTTGCCCTGCCCACTCCCTCCGTACTCACCTGTAAATGCTGCCTCCTAGAATAGCTGTGATCCTGCCTAAGGGCTTTTGTCAGGCAGCAGGAACCTTTCACCCACATGAGCAAAACAGAAATGCTGGAGTGTTCATGCCCTTGGTGGCATCACTCAATAACAATAAGGAATCAGTGGATACCTACCCGAGTGTGTGCCCTAGTCTGTCTCCCCAAGCTCTTCAGTGGGTTTGAGCTCTAGTAGCCTGCAGTGGTAATGCACGTGATAATGCACCCTGTTTTAGCTGCTCTCCCTTCCCTGTCTCACTTTCCCACTCCCGTGCTGATATTTCCTGGGATCTGCCTCCTAATAAACCACTTGCATGTGAGTCTGTGTCTCCAAGCCTGCTTCTGAGGGATTAAAACTAATGCCTTCTCCATGGCTCTTAGCCAGGGATGCTTCTTCCTGGCTATTTGTTCTCATTAAGGATTCGTTTAGGTTAAAATTTGTATTGGGTAAAAAGAGAAGGGGAAGGGGCTTTGCAGGTAAAGCAAAGATGTCTGATGATAAAGTGTACTATGATACTAAATTATAGATTTCCCTGGAAGCCTCCAAATGAATTTTGGGTCTCAGAGAGAGTTATGAGACCCGGAGGATGGTAGGAAGGGGCCTGTCTCTCTCTTTCTAAGCCCAGTGAGAGGGACTTCAACAAGACTCTTTGGGGAGCTTGATATGCACCTCTACAGGTGGGGAGACACGATGTTCTGGTGCCTGCCACCTCTCTAGAGAAGCTGAGAGTTAGAGGAGAGCAGGCAGCTTGTTGCTCTGAAGGCAGAGCAAGGGCAGATACTGCAGCCTTGGGCTTGCCCTGGGTCCTAGTGGTCACTTGCTAACATACCTTATATTTGCTGATGAAGAATGGGGGAGTGCTTCTAGTGGAAAGGAATTTGGCCTTGTGCGTGAGAGAGAGAGGGAGTGTGCATGTTCTCTTAGATCCTGAAAATAGGTAAACAGCCTCAGGAGAAAGAGGCTGGAGCAAATAGCTGCATTTCCAGGTGTTGAGAAATAGGATGGCTGAATTTAACAAAAATACAATATGCCCAGTTAAATTTAAATTTTAGTTGAGCAATGATTTGTTTTGAAAGTATAAGTAGATCCCATGCACTGACTGGGATGTACTTACGTAAAAATTATTATTTGTTGTTCAGGTGAAATTCAAATTTACCTAGACATCCTGTATTTTATCTGGCAACTCTGCTTCCAAACCGCCTCCATTTCCCAGCAGGACTAGAAGGAAGGTTCTGTAATTGTGAAAATGAAGTACTTATCATGATACCTGTAAAAAAAAAAAATCCTTGGAGTAGAAAGTGAAGGTTTTGCTGTGCTCCCGAACTGAGCTAAAGTGTTAATAAAAACTTAATGCTCAACTTAATTAATTGTTTTTTCTTTTAACTAATTAATCTATTGATCACATATTTACTGAGTGAATACTATAGGTCAGACATAGTTCCAAGCACTAGGCACACAACAGTGAACAAAGCAGATCAAGTTCTTGACCTCACAGAGCTTTGATTCTAGTGATGTCTGTACGTGGCAATCCGAATAGAACTTGGGACCAAGGAGGCCTGCAGAGTTTTGAAGCAGGTGATGGTTCCTGCCTTAGCTCTTGCAATTCTTGCCTCCTGCACTGGTGTCCAAAACTCCCCAGGGACACCATCAAGAGGAAAACCTCCATTATTGCCAGCACTGCTCGGCCTTGCTAAGATCTGTCTGCAGATGGGATTTGGGGACAATATGACTGCAGACTGCTCAGCTAGACCTGGTGCTATATATTTCCTTCATACCATACTTCATTTCCAAAGGGATTCGAAGCAGCAAACTCATGCAGCTTTATCTGCTTCACTCACTCATTCATTCGCTTCATTCAGTCAAAAAAGAGATGAGTAAGGCATGGCTCCCAGCTCACAGGGCCATGAACCATGATACGCTGGAGTAAAGGAAGGACAAGGCCCTCAAAGCAAGAAGCTACCGACTCTGGGAACTGCAAATTGCAATGTCATCATATATGATGCTGTCAAGAAAAAACAAATTAAGGAGAAACAGGAAATGCTTCAACTCCCTCTCCTATAATTCAATTACAATTTTGCTTCCTGCTTCTTTTCCTAACCCTTTCTACCACACTCTGTGAGGGTCATAGAATGAAAACAAATATAAATACTGAATTGCAACCACATGCAGATAGCACATGTAATAAAAGAAGCCTGCCTATCATGGAATTTAACATGACTGGCTGGGGGGAATCAGGCTCTTTGTCCTTTTAAACTTGGCTCATATTTTAAATGACGTTCCTCTGGGTACATCATGTTTTAGTCTAAAAGAAAAGTATCAGGCCAGTTTGTATACACATTCAAATAAATATACTTTACCAGGTAGGTGTCTGCATTAACCTAGGGAATGTATGAGTGTGTGAGTGTTTAGCCAGCCACACATATTGTGTGTATACTCACCATGTGTGTATAGAAAATGCTACCTGCATGGGTTGACAATTTGATGTTTCCTACCTTATGCTAACTATTCCCCTTTGGCCAGTTTTTTCCCCAACATCAGTAATATTATTCAGTTATTCCCTAAGGGGTGAAAATTAAGTGCTATTCTGTGTGCAGAGTAGGGGAAATTAAATCTAGCTGCAACAAGTTGGAGCTGCTCCATAATCCATAATCTGTAGCCATGATTTGATTTCCAAAATTTACTGCTGGAAATAAGGTTAATAGTCCCCACATGTTTTCGTTAAGTCTAAATTTCACCTCAATTATAGGTGAGGAAACTGAGACTCAGAGAAGCTAAAGCCCCCAGTTTAAGTTTGAAGGGCTGGTTAGTCACAGTCTCTCGCACCAGTGATTGAGTGACTACAGCCTGCTGCCCCCTTTTTTTAGAGGGTGGGTGTATACATCAAAGCCTGCATGTGTTAAATACATAGGAGGGGACCAATCTGAGTTGGTACGTGACCCCTTCACCAAAGTAGGAACTGAGAAAATGACCTTCTCCAGCTCACCTCTCTAGAAGGAGGGGCACTGATGATCTTTGGAGATGATTTTAGAGGCAAAGCTAGAAGCTGCAAGGCCACCCCAGAACCACCAAGCCCAGTGGAACGTCAGACGGCATCTGCTCAGATGCTGATCTTGTGTAATTCATAAATCACTGAGCCTGTTGACTCGGACTTCTGATGGGCTACATAAGCCCACCAAGGTATGTTTTAACTCTGCTGTCTTTGCCTTTCTAATATTTCACATTGAAGTTCTTATAATGCAGAATCTCCCTGAAACTTCTAATGGGTTTCATTCTTTTGTTGACTCTTCATTCATTCAGGTAAGTAACTTCGCATTTTTCATTTGTACTGGTATCAGCCATTTCCTAAACATTTTAATGTTGCTGGTTTTGAATAATAGCCACTCCACGCATAGCAATCTCAACCTCCCGCTCCACTCAGGCAAATGCAGCCATCCATTTACAGATGTGCATAGGAGCTCTTTGCTTATCAGGGCTGCCGTTTTCACAAGATCCCAAGCCTTATAGATTCCATTACACTCCGCAAAACGGCACACTTGGTCTTTGTGTTGTATGCACTTATGTCCAAGTTTTATGATTATTCAAGAGAGTGGTCGTGGCATAAGAACTCTGAATTAAGCCTGAGTGATGCTGGCATGCCAGAGGCAAGTGTGAGCACAGATCTTGACAGCCAAATAGCACATCCTGTTCCATATCACATAAAGTTAAGTGTGCACACCATATGAATAGCCACGTACATTATCTTATACTGCAGTTCAGAGTAGTTGGTAAACGGAAAAAAAAAGATTCTCTGTTTTCCTCATTTCTATGCATGATGACAGATCTTGACAGTATCTTGGAGGGTTGCTAATTTAGTTTCAGGCAGAACCATGCAATTCCTATTGTCTCAGCATGACTAGACCACCTCTTCAGATTTCATAATGGGAAAATAACACAATATCTGCATTTGTTCTTCTGGCAGCCAGCTAGTGGTGTGATTGCATTGTTTTCTCAATCAAGAAGTACCATTATTTCAGATAGACTGGTACATGGAAGAAGAAAAAAAGTACCATTGCTTTTGTCTTCATTGAGTTACATCAGGATGATTTTCTTTGGTAGTGTTATATTAGAGAAAGTAGGCAGGGCGCGGTGGCTCACGCCTGTAATCCCAGCACTTTGGGAGGCCGAGGCGGGCGGATCACAAGGTCAGGAGATCGAGACCATCCTGACTAACACAGTGAAACCCCATCTCTACTAAAAATACAAAAAATTAGCCAGGCTCGGTGGCAGCGGCTGTAGTCCCAGCTACTCCGGAGGCTGAGGCAGGAGAATGGCGTGAACCTGGGAGGCGGAGCTTGCAGTGAGCCAAGATCGCGCCACTGCACTCTAGCCTGGGCGACAGAGCGAGACTCCGTCTCCAAAAAAAAAAAAAAAAAGAGAAAGTAATTTACAGTTTTATTTTCTCTCATTTAAGCATCTAACATTATTATATGCCTAACAGAGTATATTTATCTCATAAAAGTTGCTGAGAATTCTTTTAAATTAAATTTACTCCGTAGTTGCATTATATTATAAAATAAGAGATGTATTCCAGGGAAGAAAGTTTTAAGTAATACTTTTATATTAATCAACTGTTGTTGCATAAGAAACAACCACAAAAAGTTTATTGGCATAAATCAGTAAACATTATTTTTCATCCACACATCTGTCATCCAGCTGATGTGGCTCTGCTCCAGGCTTGGGGGTTGAGTTTAGGTTTGCTCCACATTCTGGGGCCCAGCTTGGGAGTATTCTATCCGGTGGCTACCTAGGGCAGTGTTCTCATGTTAGAGGTCGGAAGCTCCCAGAGGGGAAAGTGAAAACAAGAGCTGCTTTCTTTTTTTTTTTTATTTTTAATTTTTATTTTTATTTTTTGAGATGGAGTCTCGCTCTGTCACCCAGGCTGGAGTACAATGGTACGATCTCAGCTCACTGCAACTTCCGCCTCCTGGGTTCAAGTGATTCTCCTGCCTCAGCCTCTGGAGTAGCTGGGATTACAGGCGCCCACCACAACGCCTGGCTAATTTTTTTGTATTTTTAGTAGAGACACGGTTTCACCATGTTGGCCAGGCTGGTCTCGAACTCCCGACCTCAGGTGATCTGCCCACCTCGGCCTCCCAAACTGCTGGGATGGCAGGTGTGAGCCACTGCGCCCAGCCAACAAGAGCTGCTGCTTAAGACCTAAGCTCAGAATAGGCCCAATGTTACTGTTGCCTACATTCGTTCGCCAAATCAAGTCATACGACAAAAACCAACATCAATGACACTAGGAAAAATACTTATCCCATGATTACACCTTCAGCTTTAAAAGTGCAGTGAACTCGGCCAGGAGCAGTGGCTCATGCCTGTAACCCCAGCATTTTGGGAGGCCGAGGCGGGTAGATTGACTGAGCTAGGGAGTTCAAAACCAGCCTGGCCAACATGGTGAAACCCCATCTCTACTAAAAATACAAAAAAATTATGCAGGCGTGGTGGTGGGCACCTGTAATTCCAGCTACTCAGGAGGCTGAGGCAGGAGAATCGCTTGAACCCGCAAGGCGGAGGTTGCAGTGAGCCAAGACTGCACCACTGCACTCCATCCTGGGTGACAGAGAGAGACTCTGTCTCGAAAAAAAAAAAAAAAGGAATAAGTGCAGCGAACTACAGGCTCTTATTTAAATCTAAGTTTTAAATTCGTGCAATATGAATAACAATCATATACTACAGTCAAATTTCAAAACAAAAAAAACACAAAGAATGGAAAAAAAGTAACCAGTTTGGCAGGCTGTTTCTCATTTTATCCCATTTCACATTTTATTTCCTATTTTATCTTCTAAGAGTCAGAAACAAATTCCGATAATGTAGAGAAAGTTCATTAGCAATTTTATTAAGAAATGCAACTAATTTTTAAGTGCTGTGTTAAACCAACAAATGCTCAAATTCATTTACATTAATAAGATTACACTATTTTAAATTTTCACAGGCAAATGTATTGAAATATAATGTCATGGCTTACCCTAATGCTTATTATTATATGTATAAAGACTTTAAAAATAATTGATTTTGATATTGTTTGTATTTTGTTTTGTTTTGTTTGTTTGTTTGTTTGTTTTTGAGATGGAGTCTCACTCTGTTGCTCAGGCTGGAGTGCAGTGGTGCGATCTAAGCTCACTGCAACCTTTGTCTCCCAGGTTCGAGTGATTCTCCTGCCTCAGCCACCAGAGTAGCTGGGATTACAGGTGTGGGCCACCACACCCGGCTAATTTTTGTATCTTTAGTAGAGATGGGGTTTCACCATGTTGTCTAGGCTGGTCTCCAACTCCTGATCTCAAGTGATCCACCTGCCTCAGCCTCCCAAAGTGCTGGGATTACAGGTGTGAGCCACCATGCCCAGCCTGAAATTAATTATTAAGAGCTCTTTCAGATGACTATGTTTTTCAAGCTTTGTATAAACATGGCATACACATTGTATGTAGATATATTGATTTATCAATTTATTGATTGGTGATAAAGATTGGATGGGGGTGGGGAATGGTTATGTGTGAGAAAATAATGTTTGTTAACTACTCTCTACAAATTGGTTTTATAATACATATTTTACCTAATGAGAATGTGGAGTCTCAAGGAACACTTGCCCAGAGAATTTCAGTTAACAAATAATAAATGTATCTCATTTTGTTCACATAGATAAAACCAGTAGTGAAGCTTATATTCTTCTCATGCACCATACTGCTATTCTGGTTGACACAGCTGCAAGAAGGTTAATTTCGTTCCTCTTTTTCTTCCTTAGCAATTTTTTTAAATAACAAAAGTTAAATTTTATCTGGGCATCTTCTCTTTTGAGATACACTGGATGGATATTTCTCTGCCACCCAGAGGATAAAAGATTATAATTTTCTTCAGTCTTCTGATAATATCATGCATTTTTTCATATGCTTTTGGGGATTGCAGATGGTCACTGAATAATTGTTATTGTATTATTACATATTTTAGAAGTCATAATTG
Source organism: Homo sapiens (assembly GCF_000001405.40). NCBI lineage: Eukaryota > Metazoa > Chordata > Mammalia > Primates > Hominidae > Homo > Homo sapiens. Next base: position 15,068,259 of record NC_000020.11, read on the forward strand.
TAATGACTTCTAAAATATATCACATGACTACTTGTGATTGACTTCAGCATACATTGTATATAGTTTAAAAAATATTCTCAAAATACCAATTGGTCATGATTTTGAACCATTGGTGTGCACAGAACAAATGCAGAAATGTTTTGTGAACAAATGATATAGTTTGGATATTTCTCCCCTCCAAGTCTCATATAGAAATGTGACCCCCCGTGTTGGAGGTGGGGGTCTAGTGGGAGGTGTTTGGGTCATGGGAGAAGATCCTTCATGAATGGTTTGGTGCCCTCCTCATAGTGTTAGTTCATGTGAGAGCTAGTTGTTTAAAAGAGCCTAGCACCTCCTTCCCTCTCTCTTGCTCCCTCATGCCATGTGACATGCTGGCTCCCCCTTTGCCTTCCACTATGGTTGTAAGCTTCCTGAAGCTTCATCAGAAGCTGAGTAGATATGGGTGTGATGTTTGTACAGCCAGCAGAACTGTCAGCCAAATACACCTGTTTTCTTTATAAATTACCCAGCCTTAGGCATTCCTTTATAGCAATAAAAAATGGACTGACACAGAAAATTGTTACTGAGAAGTGGGGCATTGCTGTAAAGATACTTGAAGATGTGAAAGTGGCTTTGAAACTGGTAATGGGCACAGGGTTGGAAGAGTTTGGAAGGCTTAGAAAAAGACAGGAAGACAAGGGAAAGTTTGCAACTTCTTAGAGACTTGTTAAGTGGTTGTGACCAAAATGCCAATAGAAATATGGACAGTGAAGGCCAGGCTGACTCAGATAAAAATGAGGAAGTTATTGGGAACTAGTGTAGAGAACAAGGTAGTGCTAGTACCTTGTTGTGTACTAGCAAAGGGCTTGGCTGCATTGCATCCACGTCTGAGGCCTCTGTGGAAGGTGAAACTTAAGAGTGATGACTTAGGATATTTGGAAGAAGAAATCTCTAAGCAGCAAAGCATTCAAGATGTGGCATGGCTGCTTCTGAAAACCTATACATAGATATGGGAGCAAAAAAATGACTTAAAGTTGGAACTTACAATTCAATGAGAAGCAGAGCTTAAAAATTTGGAAAATTCACAACTTGACCCTGTGGTAGAAAAGGAAAAAGCATTTTCAGGAGAGACATTCAAGTGGGCTTCAGAGCAACCACTTGCTAGAGAGATTTGCATGACTGAAAGGGAGCCAAGTGCTAATATTCAAGACAATGAATAAAAGGCCTTGAAGGCATTTCAGAACTCTAGGCTGCCCTTCCCATCACAGGCCCAGAGACCTAGAAGGAAGGAAGGAATTGATTAGGGGGCCAGGCCCAAGGCTCCACTTTCCTTGCAGCCTCAGGACACTGCTCCCTGGATCCACGCTAGCAGTGCTGTAGCTTCAGCTATAAGGGCCCCAGGTACAGCTTGGGCTGCCACTGTGGAGAGCACAAGCCATAAGCCTTGGTGAGTTCCATGTGTTGCGAAGTCTGCAAGCATGCAGAATGCAAGAGTGAAGGAGGCTTGGTAGCTTCCACCTACATTTCAGAGACTGTATGGGAAAGCGTGGGTGCCCAGGCAGTAGCCTGCTACAGAGGCGGAGCCCCTGCAGAGAGTCTCTACTAGGTCAATGTCTAGGGGAAAATGTGGGGTTGGAGCTACCATACAGAATCCCCACTGGGGCACTGCCTAGTGGAGCTGTGGGAAGGGGTTGCCACCCTCTAGACAAGAGAATGGTAGAGTCACCAGCAGCTTGCACCTTGAGCCTGGAAAAGCCACAGGCACTCAACTCCAACCTTTGAAAGCAGTCACAGAGCACAGAGGCTGCACCCTACAAAGCTACAGGGGCAGGGCTTCCCAAGGCCTTGGGAGCCCACCCCTCACACCAGTGTGCTTAGGATGAAGAGCCTGGAGTCAAGGATTATGCTGGAGCTGTAAGATTTAGTGTCTGCCCTGCTGTTGCCTCATTCTTTTGGCTGATTCCTCCCTGTAGTAATGGGATTGTTTACCCAATGCCAGTTCTACCATTGTATCTTGGAAGTAAATAACTTATTTTTGATTTTACACGTTCCTAGGTAGAAGGAACTTGCCATGGGTTTCAGATGAGGGTTTGGACTTTTGAGTTAATGCTGGAATGAGTTAAGACTTTGGGGAACTACTGGGAAGGGATGGTTGTATTTTACAGTGTGAGAAGGACATGAAATTTGGGGGATCAGGGGTAGAATGATATGGCCTGGATATCTGTCCTCTCCAAATCTCATGTTGAAATGTAATCCTCAATTTTGGAGGCAAGGTCTAGTGGGGAGTGTTTAGCTCTTAGGGAGCAGATCCCTCATGAATGGCTTGGTGTCCTCCCCATAGTTTCAGTTCATGCAAGAGTTACTTGTTTAAAAGAGCCTGGCACCTCCTCCGCTCTCTTTTGCTCCTTCTCATCATGTGACACACTGGCTCCCCCTTTGCCTTCTATCATGATTACAAGCTTCCTGCAGCCTCACCAGAAGCTGAATGGATCGTGGTACCATGCTTGCACAGCTGCAGAACCATGAGCCAAAGAAACCTTTTCTTTATAAGTTACCCAGTCTCAGGTATTCCTTTATGGCAACTCAAAACAGATTAACACCAAAAAGGAATGGAGACATCTACCCGCTTTTCACTAGGGTAAACTTGAATACCTTTGTTTTGTTTTGTTTTTGGAAAAAAAAAAAAACCCAAAAAAGTCTTAAATTATTACGAATAGCAAAAATTAGTGATCAGCAAGCAACCAACTTGTGGTTAAGTAATAAAATTTGTAAGACTATTATAGCCAGGAATTCTGTTTTTGAAAAATGACTTTAACAATGGGCTTTGGCTCTATTTTGAATCTTAAAGAGGATAAGAAATATGAGCTCCCAATATACAATGGAATTTAAATACAACAATTGTGGAAGTTTTGTACAGTTGTTGATGGATTACCCACAGCTGACATGCTTTTACTTGGTCAGAAGATAAAAAGAATAGAAACATTTAGGCCATTCGTGTGTTGTTAAAGCAAGTTGGAATTCAAGAAGACATCTGATTCCACTAAATCAGCGAGGAGTTTTCAAAAAGCAGATGGCATTTTAAGCCAAAAGACAGTCCTTTGAAGGATCTTGAGACATGTAATTTATCTGAATACATGTTGCTCTCATCTGTGATTTCCTGGAGGATAGGAACTATGTCAGATTCATGCCTTCCTTCCCTAGCTCAGTGACTGGAAAGCAGAGGGGCTCAATAAATGTCTTAAGAGAAAAGAGAGGAGAAAATTTTGTAATGCTATTTGAAACTTTATGCAAAATATTTGCTCAAGTATTTCACACTCAGTACTTTTTACTTTTTGCCTATATGCATACTAAAGTACAAATAAATTATTGCTGATTGTGTTGATTTTGCCCATTAAATTTGCATTGTATTTATTTTAAACAAGTCTATGTTTTTAGACATTAAGATAAAAATGCTACCTTATAGAAAAACAATGAACAGTGCTGTAAATTAAAATTAGCACCTTAGAAACAAAACTAAATAGATTTCAGGGTTTGTTGTTCTGAAGTAAATTCTGTGCTGCAAATTTTGAATCCTAAAATTCAGAACATAATTTTTAGGCTCCATAAAACATGTTTGTGGTTGGCTGCTTTATAGTAACATATTTTTGTATGCATTTGGCTTCATTTCTTCTATTATTGTGATTCTCATTCCACTTGTTACCTAGCAGTTGCCTTTTCTACTGTTTAAAAAATTTTTTAAGGGGGAAATGTGTTTTGTAACTCAGAAAAACATAATGTAAGATTTCTCAAAATATATGATTTTAAAACAAGGACAATAAATGATTTCCTCTTAAAACTGACATTACTTAAATTACTAACACAATAATATCTTTAAATGTCTACATACATGTTAAATGGATTGTAATGTCTTTTGAAAAATATTTACATATTTTGTTTCAGAGACTAAGTATACTCAATTTATCTACAATGATTCCTTTGTTGACAAATAGTTACAGGCGTGACTGATTTGATAGTTCATTGGAAGAAGATCTTCGGTATCTTTCATAAAGCTTAGAATTGGCCTGGTATTTAAAAAATAATTCATGTTGGAGTAATTTTTGTATGGTTAATCCATTTAAAGACAGACAGGATAATTCATTTTTCACTGAATCATCTAGATAGTAGAGGCCTATAATTGATGATGGCAAGAATAAGAATATTTAACCTTTGGGTGAACCAAATGAATAAAACTCTTTGCAACAATTCTTATGGGTAGAAACAGTATTTTTCTGACTCTAGTTTAGTATCTTGGGCTTCTTCCCAACTGTGAGCTTATGGAGAAATGATTCCTCTAAGGCAGAATATTACTTAGGTTATTGTCCTATTATTTCTTTCCTTTCCATCAATTACTTCCAGTCTAGCAGCTTTTAGCAAGATTCTTGTTTGAGGTTAGCCATCCTGCTATATAATCTGGAGTCTAGGAAAAGTACATGTCATTTTACCTGGATATTTTACTCAATATTAAACATTTATGTTCTAAGTTTGAATATCCCCCTTTCCACATCTAAAAAAGAATAAATCAAATAGTAAACCCCATTGCTATAATTTGAATGTGTCCCCCAAAGTTTGTGTGTTGAAAACTTGATCCCCAAAGCAGTGGTGTTGGAAGATGGGGCCTAATAAAAGGTGTTTGGGTCATGGGGGCACCATCCTCATGAATAGGTTAATGTCCTTATCTTATAAGTGGGTTTGTTAGCATGAGAATTGGTTCATCTTCTCTTGCATACTCTCTCTTGCCCTTTCTTTGCCCTTCTGCCATGGGATGATAATATCAAGAAGGCCTCTACCAGAAGCTAGCACCTTGATATTGGACTTTCCAGCCTCTAGAACTGTGAGAAATGAACTTTTTAAAATTATAAATTCCCCAGTCTCTGCTATTGTGTTATAGCAGCAAAAAAATGGACTAAGATACCCATGAAGGAGAAGTGATAATAAAGACAAGCTTAAAGCTATCTATATTTGAAGACTCTTGAAAAACTATGAATATGTCTCCAACTACTATCAAAGATGTTAGTTAGAATATAGATTATAAAAAAATCCCATACCTCAACCATTCTCACTACTAGAAACACATATTACTAAAACCCTGTGGCCTGCCAATTGTAAGGTAATCTTTTAACATAAGAAACTGCATTAATTTTCTATAAACCCAAAGACTTGCACAATTATTTCAGAAGTGTAATTCTCCCAACACACACACACACACACACACACACACACACACACACACACACGTACCACATTTCTTTTCAGTAGCTTGACTATAACTTGGAAAAAATGCTTTAGAGAAATCACTTCAGGATGGTGGAAAAAACAAAGAATCATAATTCTCCTTATGTGTAATCAATAGTAACACTCCATCTCATGTATAAGTTTCATATACTTTCAAGTCCAGCTCTCTGGCTTTGTTCATTTCATTCAACAGGACTGAAACAAAGGTCTTGGCCTCAGTTTTTCACATGAAGATGTTTGCAAAGGAAACAGTATTTTAAAGAGTATTTAATTCACAGAAGCTGACTATAAAAAATAACTAAGAAGCTTCTTTTCTTCCAAGACTTAGTGTTTCCCTTGTTAATGAGACATTTGTCATATAGACTTGTTTACTGCCTTGTTCAGTTTCATAGAAAAAAATGATGTACTTTTAGAATTTGATATAGAAAATATTACCAGAAAAATTATAACAAATGGCATGTTTAGAATTTATAGTCTGCTGAAATACAATTTAGGTCTTTATTTTACTATGAAAATGCAATCAATAGCCAAAATCCAACGTATTCCAGTGATTGAAGTTTATTTGAATACTGTGAAGTTGTGAAATACATATTTGGTCTTCCCTCTGTGTCTTTCTATAAGCTAATGAGTTAGCTGGTGACTGGCAGCCCCTAGGTAGCTTAAGGATGGGGGCTGGTCACAGAAAAGGCCAAAGAAGGCATGATTAGAGGGTTGAGACTTTTCAGCCCCATCCTCAACCTCTGGGGAGTGTAGAGGGGCTGAAGGTTGAGTTGATCAACAGTGGCCAATAATTTAATCAATCATGCGTACCTAATGAAGCTTGTATAAAAACCTGAAAAGACTGGGTTCAGGGAGCTTCCAGATAGCTGAACACCTGAAGACGACTGGAGGGTACCCCCCTGGAAGGGGCTTGGAAGATTGGCTCCTCCCATACTTATTCATTCCTTATCCGTATCTTTTGTAATGTCCTATAAATTGCACCCGAGGAGGAGGTTGTGGGAACCTCGATTTAGAGCTGGTGGTCAGAAGCACAGGTAAAATAACTTGTGCTTTCAACTTACATTTGAAGCCAGGGGGACAGTCTTGTGGGACTGAAACCTGAACCTGTGGTATCTGGCACTATCTCCAGGTAGAAAGTATCAGAACTGAGTTAGAGGACACATAGCTGGTATCCACTGCAGAATTGATTGCTTGCTTGGTGTGGAATGAAAATGCAATGTATTGGAAGCCCCTCTCTCCCCCATATCTGATGTCAGAAGCGTTCTGTGTGATGTGATGTGGTGGGTAGAGAATAGAAAACACACACTTCAGTTTTTACTATATCCTTCCACGTATTTACTGACAGCAGGCATTCATATGGAATGTCAGGCACTGCAAGCGATACACACATCCATAAGACAGCATCTCTTCCATTAAGAATCTTACCAACTCACAAAAGAAAAGAGATATGAATACATGGAAAGGTAAATGGCAATAGAGTATTTAAATAAGTAAGTAGAATTTGAATTTGTCTTTGATAATGGTGAGGAGGTGAAAGGAGTTCTTGAAAGTCTGGAACAAAAATCAAATCAACTTATGAGTGGATAGAAGATGGGTAGGTAATGCTAAAGCCAGTATAGTAACATATGTTAAGTGTAGACTCTAGGTGGGTTCATTGTAAAATTATTTCAGCTTTTCTGTATGTTTGAAATTTTCATTAAAAAATGATGAAAAAAGACGAGCATATAAAGGGAGAGAAGTAAACTACTTTGATGGGCATTTAATTTGATGTAATGGAAAATAAAATACGAAAGGTAAGTTCTAGGAATAATTGTATTTTATTAGTTCTCTGCTTCATTTGGTCAGAAAACTAAAGGCATTTAATGTTAGAGAATAAATTACATTGTGTATCTATCAGCTAATAATAGAATTTCCAACTCAAATTGGCTTATGTATAAGGAAAGTTATTATCGTGCCTAACAGGAAAACCAAAATTAGGACAGACTTCAGGGCTGTTTAAATCAGTTCCTTGTAAATTCTCTGAGGGGTGTAAGCACCCTCTCTGCTGTCTATAACATCATCTTCAATATGAGGCTAGTTTCTATCCACTCAAAAGATGGCTGACAGCAGTCTTCTCTCTTTCCATTGCAAAAAAATGACTGCCTTCATTTTCCCAGTTGCCCTGAGTAAACTCCTCCTTGTGTCTTTCTGTCCTAAATTGATTTAAACCTGCCCAGTTCTGAATCAAGCTCTGGTAAGAGGGTGAGGAAATACAGGCTCATGACTGGCTTAGACTCGTCATGGCAGGGGGCAGCAACACAGTGACCACTGCAGGGTAGAGAAGAGACAAAGACACCCTCCATGAGCGCTGAAGGATAAAGGGTGGGGGAAAGGCATTTGTTCGTAAAAAGTGTAAACCAGGTACTTTTAGGAAAATTTTAGGGGAAGAATATGTTATAAAAGAGAATTATCTTTATGACAGTAACTTTTTTCAATGATTATAAAGGCGATATGTGTTAACTATCAAAACTTCATAAAAGGCGATCAGTTATAACCTTATAATCAAGGTTTATGTTGACATTTCCTTCAAACATTTATTATGTGTGTCTGTGTGAATAAATATATATGTTATATACTTGTTATGATACTGCCTATACAATTTTGTGTTCCACTTGCTTTCCTTACCATTATATCACCAATATTTTTAATGTCCTTGTAATGTATTTACAAATTTTGTTTAAATGGCTGCATATCTTTCCATTACAGAAAAGTACTTCATTTGGGTAAATATTCTTATACGATACAATATTTAAAATAAATCAATTTCTGCTTTGTTATTAACACTGGTATAAATATCTTTATAATAAAACATTGTCTGAATCTCTGATTATTTCCTTAGAAAAGATTTTCAATTAGTATATCATTAAGCCAAACTGTATGAATAGTTTTAATCTCAATACATATTGTCAAATTAAGCTTGTCACATTTTATACTTATAATTGAGTGATGATTCCATGGTTTCTAAGTATTACTGTTATTATCATTACTATTATTTAGCAACTCCCTTTTGGCAGGAACAATATGCTTTCTCACTTTTCAGCTCCAAGGAGGTCTGTAGGAGATATAGCTACAAATATGTTTTCTGTCACTTTTGTTCTTCATTACCATCTTGCTGCATTTCTTCCTTCTTCTTTGGCATTCTTACATTTAAAAAGTAGAGATGGGGACATGTCTCTGTTATTTCTTCTTTTATTTATTTCTAAATCTATTTCTTGTTATTTCTTGATCTAATATCCATACAGGTTTAGGATGTAAGCATTTAAACTTTCATACGTAGAACTCCACATAGCAATGAAGGAAGAAATCAAAGAGTAAATGAATGAATTAGTGAATGAATGCAATGAATGAGAATGCAATATCTGGTAGTTCAGAATGAAATTTTCCTTATCAAGTCCATAAAATTTGCAAATTACTTCATAAAAGTGCTTTATAGGTTTTGGCATTTTAACAATGTTTACAGTGTTTTAGAAGAGACAAAAGATTTCAGTCTTGTGGCAGTTAGCCAGAATAGGGAGCAAATGTGCATGTAATTGCACTATTAAGTTATTAAGGGTGGTAAGAAATTTACACAAAACAGACCCTGAATTGTTTTAAATTCTGTTAGTTGAAAGGTTAACAAAGGAGAAATTATATTCTTTAACTCCTTTTTTTGTTTGTTTGTTTTTAATTCACCTTTATTTTCCACTTGGCCACATTATTTTCTTGTTAAATAAAGAAGAGTTATGAATTTTCTTAATGAGTTAATAATGTAAGCTGAATGTCCACAGGTAAAGGGTCTTATGTTTCAAGTTCATGACATTAGGCGACAAAAATCAGTATATCCAAGTATGAATGAGTAGGGAAAAAAAGTTATTTCATTTCTGGAACCATATTTTTAGTTCCAGGATGTAACACTGTAGGAGATAATATATGTGAAAGCGTCTTGAAATTGTAAAGCACTATCTAAATGTAAAGGATTAGTATTAGTAGTGTGGTAAATCATTTTTCTGAAGGTTGGTTTGGACCATTTATATTTTCAAAGTAGATGAATAGAAGAAAAATATGTTTTACTCCAAGAATGGCTGATTTCCTCCTCTAGAGTAGTTGTAGCACTTTTCCTGGTTTGATTTGATTAATCCTTATGCCTTCCTGGTGAGGAAGATTGGAGGCTCACGTTGCATTTTTATGGATCTTGCCTACATTAAGTTTCAGATATATAGATGCCATTTCTTACCAGTGCAGCTGACTCGTCTGTCTTTTAATTATTTCTTTTATCACTGAATTTCAGATGGACACACTAGAGGGACCATAGCAGGGAGCCCACTGCAGCGGCAGCAGTTGCTGCAGCGTTTGGAAGTGTTGATATGGCTTCTGGAGGTTTTTCCTGATGCTTTGAGCTGGGCTGGGGGAGGGGGAGGCATTCTCAGAAAGCTCACAGGACTCAATGCGGGGAAAGGGCCACTGGAAAAGGAGCTACCCAAGCCATTACTCTTCAGCTTTCACTGAGTGTTTATATGCCTTGGTTTTATTTCAGAAAACTAATTATGGAACATTCCAGCATTCTTCATAAAAAGTGAGCTTGGGGAGTTTATCGGGTCCTGGGGAGTCATAAGAAAAGGATCAATCCAAGAGGTGGAGCAGAAAACAATCAGGGGACTTGGAGTTTGCCAGCTGGAAAAAAAGTTAAAAGCGGCCAAAGAGCCCTGGAAGATAATAGAAGCTATATTCAGATTCCCAAGTTGTATTCTGAGTTTTTGCTCCTTGGAATATCCATAGTCCTCCATTTCAGTTTCCAAAGTACCCCTTCTCCTAAGAACTCAAGAGGCTACCCAATTTTTCTCACAATGTCCATACAGAGAAGGGGGATGAAAGGCCAGGTATTGTTATTTCAATGTCAGGCACACACAGAAACTCAGGCATAGGAAAGTAAACTGCTCAGGATGACAAAGTGTTGTTAGGTGATATAGGCTTCAATTTTATTTTTTACTCTTCAAAAACTTTTATTTGGTCAAGTGATATTTGAGAGAGATATAAAAAAAATCTTCTTTATAAAAATGTCAGTGCCTTCCAGGCCATGTGTATTCTTCCCTGTTTTAGGAATTATCAGGAACTATTGGGAACAACTGAGGCCTCTTGGTCACTAGTTACATACCTCCTTTGAACAATCTCTTCCTTCACTTTCTTTTTTTTTTTTTCTGCAATCTTCGACTCCTGGGTTCAAGCGATTCTCCTGTCTCAGCCTCTCGAGTAGCTGGGACTACAGGCCCTGCCACTATGCCCAGCTAATTTTTATATTTTTAGTAGAGTCAGGATTTTGTCATATTGGTCAGGCTGGTCACAGACTCCTGACCTCAGGTGATCCACCTGGCTTAGCCTCCCAAAATGCTGGGATTATAGGCATGAGCCACCATGCCTGGCCTCTTCCTTCACTTTCTTACAGTGAGGCCTGGCTGTCTCCAAAGGATTTGCTCTCCCTGCAGCCTTCTCATCCAGTTCTGTTCATTTTTCCTGTACACCATGCACCATGGGTCCTAGATGAAAGAAAGATGACCTCCTTGTTCATAAAAATCATTTGCAGACTATTTTTCCTTCTCTTCTAGAAAGAAAAAAAGAATCAACTTCTTTGAAATGTATGTTTACTTGTATGTCCTCAGATTATCCCATCTAGAGTTAACATTTTTTCTCCTGGTTGCTTCCTCTCAGTTACAGGGAATTTTAGCATTTTTTCCCCCATGACTACTTTCTTAATTCTTGGTGGCTCCAGCAAAGAATGGAAGGTTCTTGGCTGGTCCATCCATCACCTAAGCCCCCCAGTTCCTTGACTTTCTCTCCTTCACTTCTCTTCTGGTCTACCCATCCTCACTCACTCCCTGCACAGTCATACTCTTTTTGATCTTGCCATTGCAATAATTGCACCAGCTCCATAATGTTAGTTTTGAGCATCCCGTTCTTTGACTACTACTTCTTATCTTTGCAGCTCCTTCCCTGAATCCAAGAAGCCATTAATCCCACACACATCTCCACACTTGAGCCTACTATATTCCACCATTCATCCTCCCCTTAACATTCACACCTCCCTGGCATGGAGTTCACAAGCCACTGTGATGATCTCTCCAGAACACACACCCTCAACTCCCTTGACTCCCTCAAAGTCACCTAGAAAAAACTCACCACCAGTTAAGTCCTCCTTTCTGCCTGCTCTCCACCTATTTCCAGGCAGTTGAACATGACTGGGGAAAAGCTCACAACCACACTCTGGTCTCAAGTGGGTCCTCAGCCTCCTAGAAAGTCTCTTCACATTCCCTCAGTTAAGCCAGTCCCTCATCACTAAGAAAACCACTTCCTCAGTCATTAACATCATTAGCATCAACTCCAATCTACTTGTTTTCAACTTTCCCCAGAGAAAATAGAAGCTATCACCAGAGAACTTTGTCTTCAAACTACTAAATCTACCAACCTGCCTGCTTCTTTATCCCATACACTTACCCTGGATCCCTGGCCCTCACTCACTTGATGTTTGCTTCTGCCTTAGCCATATTTTTTCTTTTCTCTTGACTCTAATGCCTTCCATCTTCAAAACAGAACAGCCAAATAAATAAATAAATAAATAAATAAATAAATAAATAAATAAATAACATCCTCTCTCCTGTGTCCCCTCTTCAGCTACTCTTCCAGGCTTTTAGAGCAGAACTCCTCAAAAGACATGTCTTTGTGATCTCTCCACTTCCTCACAACCATTGTCTCTCAAACTCACAAGTCTACTGCAAAACACACTTGTTAAAGTCAATGTTAAAGTCAGCGATGAGTTCCCTCTTACCAAATACACTGGTCAGTTTCCTGATCAGTATATGTATCTTAATATGCACTGCCGCAGCATCTGACATAATGGTCACATCTTCCTTTCCGAAACACCTTGTTCCTTTGCCCTTGGACATCCTTCACTCTTATTTTCTCTTACTTTATTAGCTCCTTCCTCCTACTCTCTTTTTCTGGTTCCTTTTGAACACTGGAGTTTTCCAGGGCTCAGTTCTTGGACCCTTTTTCTTCTGTATCTTCGCTTAATGTCTTTAAGTGACATTAACCAGGTCTGTTCCACTTTATGGTTTATTTGCTGAGGAATTCAGCTCCTACCTTTTCCCTGTGTTCCAGACTCATTCATGCACTTGTCTGTTTAGTGTTTTTGCCTGGAAATCTAATAGGCATCATAAGCATAACATGTTCGAAAAGAACTATGAGTGTCCAAAATTCACCATTCCCCATTCTCTTCTTAAAAATTAGTATCCTCTTTAACTTAGTTGCTCAAAGCCTAAAACCTTAGCTTTATGCTTTACTTTTCTCCCTCTGTCTCTTCCTCTGTATCTCTTCTTTCTCGCCTTTTCTCCCTCTCTCTTGCTGTCTTATTCTCCACATCCACTCCACGAGTAAATCTTGCTTACTCTACCTTCAAATATATCACTTTAAAATTATTTATTGTTTATCTACTCCACTAGAACATAAGCTCCCAGAGGCCAGGAGCTTTTTGTCTTATTTGCTACTGTTTCTTCAAGCATTTAGAATGAGAATTGGCAGACTATGACCCATCAGCCAAATCCAGGCTTTCACTGAATGGTTTTTACATCTTTACATGGTTAAAACATTAAAAAATAAAATAAAATTTTGTAATAAAAAAATTAAATGAAATTCAAATTTCAGTATCCAGAAATAAAGTTTTATTGGAACACAGCCATGCTCATTTGTTTACATGTTGTCTATAGCTATTTTGTCATTACAACAACTGAGTTGAGTAGTTCTGACAGAGATTTTTATGGGATGCAAAGCTGAAAATATTCACAATCTGGCACTTTGTAGAAAAAAGCTTGGCAGTTTCTACCGTGGATTAACATTCCTTCACAGAAGCTGAAGCTTAAATTTATTTTTTCTGCTAGTTCCAATAATGAATTCAGAACTCAGTCTTGTATCCATGAACCACATGGCTATTCTTGAACCAACCCCTGATGAAGTGTTAGACCACAGTTAATTGTATAAATCTGGGTCCATGCCCATCTCTAAAGCTGGGGAATGGAGAAGGATTAACACTCTCTATATCATATGGGCTTAATATGGAAGAGAGGCAGTTTCCCAAGGGAAGTTGACACGCTATAACCAAGAGGGGTGAGTAGAGACCACCCCTCTGATAGGAAAAACAAAACACTTGTTTTCTACATGGACCTTCCTGCTATTTTTTAAAAAATGGCACATTCCAAAACTCTTAATCCTATCAGGAATTAAAATTTTTTGTTACTAAGTTATACATACTTAGTTTACTAGAATGTAATACTTGGTACCTTAAACCATCTGTATCTTGGATAGGATCTTTGTTTTCTTAAATCCATGGACTCCAAACATATATAACTATTACTTTTTGAAGCTAATTGTGCTGGAATGGGACATAGTCCAGGAGGTATGAAAATGGATGTCATGCCTGGGAGGCGTGGACCAATTTATAGATGTCCTAGGCAGGAGCCAGGCTACTGGTACCACATGTACACTCAGCTTCTTGGCAATGACAGAATGAGATCTCTGCATGTTGTACCTCATTCCAGCTCTCTTTCCTCATTGTGAGAATTAAGGACCACCCAGCCAGAGTGGGAGGTTATCTGCTACAAGTCCTTACTAATTTATCAGACAAACCAATTCAAGGTATCAGAATTCATGGAGAAGAGGAGAGGACAGATTTCTGACTAAACCGTGTGTCTGAATCTCCCCCTCAATAAAGGGAAGCCATTGGAGATCATTAAGAAACAAACAAAAACTTTTATATGGTCAGATTGTGTTTTAGCAAGCTTATTGGCGGTAGTTTGGAGGCTGTGTCATAGAGGAAAAAGATAATATAGAATGGATTGTGGCCATTGGTAATTCTCCTAACTCAATAACTTCTTAGTCTCGTATTCTTGAAGTCATGGAGAAATCCTTGAGTCAGTGAAATGTTCCTTTATCACAATGTCACACTGCAAGAGGTTTTTTTTTTTTTTTTTTTTTTTCCTAAGCTGAAGATAGAACTGTTTTGGAAATCATAGAAACATATTTGCAACATGCAAGATGTTATTTCTGCATTGATCATTTTAATTCAAGAAATTAGTTTGGGAATTAGACTTCAATAGTCTTGTGATTCACCCTTTTGAAATTAATGAAGATTTACAATTTTGAGTTCCTCTTTGCTAGCATTTTCCCCTTTGAATAGCAATGCTTTGTTCATAATTGTGACATTTCTTTTCTGTTCGCATTCTCTCACTGAGAATTCTCTTTGATAGGGTGGATTTTCTGCAATAGAAATAACATTTTTGTGCAACTAAAAAAAAGCCAAATGCCAAAGGGTAAAAAATAAGTTTTTGTGGTTATAAGATTGTTAAATGTAGATGTAAAATTATGTTATTTCTGATGTCCCATCCAATTGTGGCATAAGCCTGAAGTTTCGTTCACCCTGAGATCTCTTATTATCAGCCTTTTCTGGGGTGAGGTCTAGCTCACACAGAATCCCCAGTGTAAGGGCTGTGATGTTATTTTAAACATTTCATTAATTTAAAACTGTCATTTAACAATGGCCTCTAGTTCTACCAATGGACTTCCTTGTGGGTTTCTGACAAAGGTCGTGGTCTGTGGTCCCTCTCCACACCTAATTGTGATGACCTTCTGAGAATAATGACTGCTGCTTCACATCTACCTTCCCAGCTTTGTGAATCTCTGGGGTTGGCCAGCTGTCACTTAGAATCATACAAGGAAAGGGATTCTGCAAGATGTAGGCCCAGCTTAACCAAGCAGACACACACCCTATTTTCTTCTTTCACTAAAACCAATCATTCCCTATTTTATTCTTTAAACAAAGGACTACTCGACAATGCTATTAATTTTCAGCATAATTAATTACGCCTAAAAGTAAATTATACTCTTCCTTTAGGGGTTGCTTATTTGTCACAACTTGCCCCTGGCAAGTCTGCATCTTGTCAACTAGCAGTTTGTACTCTTGTCTTCTTTTTCTCTTGCCTTTAAATAGGAACTATAATCAGTTTATTTTCCCTCCACATCAACAATAATTTTTTTTTTTTACTTAATTTTCTTAGAAAATTCTAGGCTGGCATGTAAAATGTAATGGTTGGTATTAGAGCAAAGCATGTAGCACAATGAAACGCCATCTTTAATAAAGGCATATGTGCCTTTATTAAAGGTTTCTCCAAGGTTTCTGTTACAGGAAATCATACATCATGGGTGGCTAGAGGAGAGGCATCACTGTCTATGGGAGTCATTGGAGCAGAAACAGATTTATTTCATATTCTTCCTTTGACTATTCAAACATAGACCACCAGATTTATGAAATCCTATGTTCTGTATCTCTGTATCTTCCTTTCCCCTGATGTCATTTATTTGAACCACAGCACAAAATGAGATTGAGTAGGCAAAGGCCATTAAATTCAATGTCATTATAGGAGGTGCAAGGGGAAGCTTGGATTCTTATGAGCACATTCTCCACAAGTAGAAACCTTAAGAAGCAACACTAGGTTTTTTTTTTTTGTTTTTTTTTTTTAATGAAGTTTTGCTCTTTTTGCCCATCCTGGAGTGCAGTGGCGCGATCTGGACTCACTGCAACCTCTGCCTCCCGGGTTCAAGTGATTCTCCTGCCTCAGCTTCCCAAGTAGCTGGAATTAACAGGTGTGCATCACCATTCCCGGCTAAATTTTTGTATTTTTAATAGAGATGGGGTTTCACCATATTGGCCATGCTGGTCTCGAAGTCCTGACCTCATGTGATCTGCCCACCTCAGCATCCCAAAGTGCTGGGATTACAGACGTGAGCCACCACACCCGGCCAACTAGTTTTTCTTACCATCTCTCTTGCTTTTCCTCTTCACCATGAGATCACCATAGCCATGTGGAGCAGAGTCTTGGCTGACCCATGGCCACCAACATACAACATGAGTGAGAAAGAAGTCAAGGCTATTTTTATTTTGTAAGCCACTGAAATGTGGAGTCTGTTATCACAGTAAAAGCTAATTAATATGGAAGTTAGAAATAAATTGCACCAAACTGCTAACAGTGACTCTTTCTGTCATGTTGAGGAGATTAGAGGTTACTATGATTTTTCTTACTTTGTTTGTATTTTCCCTGTTACTGTATTATGAATAATTTTAGATGTGGAAAAAAGTTATTTTTTTCTTTTAAGCATACATTCAGTTCTTCCTTGGCAACAGACATTTGAAATGTAATTAAATTTGGACTATTCTTGAACAAAGGTGTTTGCCATACTCAGGGCAAACTTGTAATGCTGCATTAAAACATATATGTCCTTCAAATTGACCTACAGATTCAATGCAATACTTTTCAAAATCCTGCTGGCTTTGGAGAAATTAATAAGCTAATCCTAAAATTCATATGGAAACTCAGGGGACCTAGAATAGCTTAAAACAATCTTGAGAAAGAAGAACAAAGTTGTAGGACTCACACTTCCTGATCTCAAAGTTACAGTAATCAAGATACTGTGGTACTAATATAGAATCAAAATATAAATCAATAGAATATAACTGAGACTCCCTGAGTAAATCCTCACATAATGGTCCATTGTTTTTCAACAAGAATGCCAAAACAATTCAGTAGAGGAAAGAATGCTGCTAGAATGACTGGGTATCCTCAAGGAAAAGAATGAAGTTGGACCCTCTATCTCACATCATATATAAAAATTAACACAAAATGAATTCAAGACCTAAATGTAAGAGCCAAAACTGTAAAACTGGATTAGAAGAGAATTTAGGGATGCATTTTCATGACCTTGGTTTAAGGCAATAGTTTCTTGGATATGAAACAACAAGCACAAGCAAGAAAAGAAAAAACATAGATAAATTGAACTTCATCAAAATTAAAAACTTTTGTGCTTCAAAGGACACAAGAAAATGAAGAGCTGGCCCACAGAAGGAGAGAAAATATTTGAAAATGATATGTATGATAAGGGTCTCATACCTAGCATACATAAAGAACTTTTACAAGTCAATAATAGAAAGACAAAGAGCTCAGTTTAATCATGAGGGGGACATGGATGGTAGGATGTAAGTATATACAAGGGGAAACTGACATGTCTTTAGGAAGTTAGATATCTATTAAAAGGACTAGCATAATACTTGTATATCCCTTGTTTGGAAATGTGATATTCTTATTGATTCCTTTGGTCTACACTGATCACCACTTTTCAATATATTAGAATATTGCAAAAATCACACCACTAACATGATTCAAAACAAACTCCTATGTATTGAGTCGATAATATATTCAAAGCATTATATTGGACCTTGCAGAATTTAAAGATGAATAACACACACACACACAACACACACACACACACACACACACACACACACACACACAGATTTTTTCTTGAAGTAATGTTTAGTTCACAGAATCCATTCCTCAGGCCACCCATATCAACACTGCTTGAAACTTAACAAGTACATTCTCAGGACCCACCCACCCACCAACCAGATCTACTGAATTAGAACCTCGCTCTGGTGAGGTGGGGTTGAGGGAGTCCCAGCAATACACGTCCCACATCTTGTTAAGTCCTCCAGGTGATTCTGATGCATGTTAACATCTGAGAACCACTGGGTTAAGAGATGAAGAATTAAAAAAATTATTCAAGCTCATATACTACAAGACAGAATACAGTAAATGGCCTAAAATAGGTACAAAGTATTGCATTTCGTGGCTAACTTGCAAATTGTAACTAGTTTAAAAAATGATTTGTTATTGAATACACACTATGTATGTTATCTTTTGCTAAGTTTTATGAAAAGCATTTTGTTTTGAATAAAATTTCTTCCCATCTCTAGAATAGAGCCGTGATTATGAACTAAGTAGGGAAGAAGGAGGAATATCAGAATCAACTAAGGGTCTTTATCAGATTACCTGAGTCTCCCTCTACTCTGGCCCCAATCCCCTGTTGAAAACCACAGTTCTAGATGGTCACAATGGAGAATCTTAAATATTCAGAATGTTACTTTGATCAGATTATTTTTGGATACCAGCTAATCCAGTGATCATCATTTTGATTCTTTATTTTACCTACCCTTTAGTCTGTTCACTAACATTTGATTGCTGCTCTGAGTCTTTAATTTAAAACAAACACATGAAGTATCTTGTAGGGCTTATGGAAGAGGTGAAATCAGAGTGAAGTGACAGTCAAGTTTTCCTTCTAACTGTGACACACACTAGTATAACGTTGTACAGGCCACTTAACATTTCTGATGAGGCTTAATTTCATTATCTCTAATATTAGTTCAAGATCCCCCGCTTACTTTACAGGATATTGAGAGGACTAAAGGAGATAATATTTGTGAGGTTATATAGCACATATTAGGCCCTTTAAGATTAGCAATGATGGTCCTTCCATATTTTTCTAGAGATGTCCTTCTCCTGAATTCCTGACCTATCAGTGGATATCCATGATGTAGAAAATACTTCCAAAACATTTTTACTCTTTGATACCATAATTGTAGGGAAAATCTATTTAATTATCTATACCAATACCTATCATCTATTTATGTATCTTTATTATCTCTCTTATTTATCTTTCTATTTCTCTATCAATTATCTATCAGTTAAATGGAAGCAGACACTTTTATATTGAGAATGTATAGCTATCGGGACTCTATTCAATTAACAGAATTAAATTGATATTGACAGGCTTAAAGACAATTCAAATAACTAAGGAAATATTGACAAAAAAGAATGACTAAGGAGAGGGAAAAATTTGCCTTACCAAATATTAAAACTTCTTTCAAAGCTACTATAATCTAAATACCATGGTATTAGCACACTAGTACACACATCAGTGGAACAAAATACAGAATTCAGGCATAGACCCAAGTTTGCATGGAAATATAATATATAATGAAAGACATTTCAATTAACTGCAATTAACTGTGGTAAGAATGTTTTATTTAATAAATGGAGCTGACAGAATAAACTATCCATTTGGAAGGAGAGCAGAGCTATGTCTTGCCTCATATCAGAGATGGATTAAATACCTAAATTGTAATGGATTAAATATTTAAATGTAAAACATAAAAGTAAAACTTGGACTGTTTGTTTAACTTTGCGGTAGGAGAGGACTTATTAAGAAAGACATTGATTAAAAAGGTGCGATACATATTTGACTGTTTAAAAATTAAAATTTTTCATGGCAAATGTCAATATAAACAAAATTAAAAGACAAATATGAGTGGGAAAAATATGTTACCAATTTGAAAGAATTAGTCTGTAATATAGAAAAAGTTCTCACAAATTTGTAAAGACAATGAGCAAGGATATCTTTTCTAGGTAATATACAGAAGAAAAAAATTTTAAATGGTCAATAAACATATAAAGATATGTTTAACCTTTCTAGTAAAGCAAATTCAAATAAAAACAATAATGAAATTGTGTTCTTCATTCATAAATTGGGAAAAAATTAAAATATTGATTTTTTTCACATGCCAGGTAACATGTAGGGAAATGATCATTGTCATGCATTTTTAAAGGGAAAGTGAATTGTTTTAAAACATTGCAAATTAATCAGATAATAGTAAAATAAAATAATGCCAGTGCTCATTTGCATAACACTCACACTTTGGAGAATTTATCCTACAAAAATCAGTTTGCAATATATGAGGATCAAAATGCAAGAGTGCCTCTTTTGGCATCATATATAATGGCAATAACCTGGAAACAATCTGAGTGTCTTTTGGTAAGAGAATGGCTGAATCAAATATGGGACATCCATCCTATGGATTATGATTAAGCTGTCCAAAGCAATGAAATAGATCAGCATCTGCTGACTTGAAAGAATAACCATTAAAACATATATACTATATTTTATATATATATATATATATATATATATATATATATATATATATATATATATATAATATTTTGTGTGTGTGTGTGTGTTGCTTTAAAGTCAGGCAAAGCTACTGAGAAATGTGAGGTTATTTCATAATTGTGAAAAAATTAACTGCTGGATATGTGTATAGATGTATCTGTGAATCGATGAATAAGGAAGAAAAAGTGAGAGGATACAAATAAGGAAATGAACATCACTTATACATTTACATGGGGACTTGACTGGAAGAGAGTTGCTGGGGATGATGAATTTTTTGATTAGACATCTTTGATTTGTTTCACATGTCATAAATATATAATAACTCTAACTTAAAAATATAATAAAGACAGGACTCAGGTTAGGTGTAATCTTCTATGTATGTGCACAGTACAGGTCTGGAAGGGCCATGCCAAATTGCCAATTTTAGAACCTCTTAGGAGGAGAGTGGTATTAGGAAAAGAGGGTAAAAGAGAGTAAGCTTTTTCTTGTACATATTTCTGTATTTATTAATGACTGTTATTTTACAATGAGTACCTATTCAGGTATTGCTCATGTGATTTAAAAATAAATAATTGTTTTCACCCAAGCTTTAAATAGTTGTTTACACCCAAGCAGTAGAGTAGGACAGTTTTTTTTCTCCCTTCAGTAGACAACAGTTATTGGCACAAACATTAGCAAGCATAATGGTTGTAATTTGGTTGAAGAAGATAATCATGTATTAGCTTAAGTAAAATGCAATGCCTTGCAAAGATCTGTCATTCTATGAAAGTATTGACTTAGAGTAGTCCCAACTAGGAAATACAAGGCGTAATCCACAGATTCTTGTGCAATTCAGCTGTATTATCTCTTATAGCTCCTATAAACCTTAACACTAATTAAGGATCTTTAAGAGGTTTTTAACTAGAGGGATGGGAGAAAGGGTGTCTTTATCCCCACTTAGGCAGAAGAAATGTTTTAAAGTGGAAAATGAGCAATTGATGGTTGCCTTGCCAAGTATAATTAAGAAAATTCAGCAGCACTGATTGTACCAAGTTCTGGAAGTAAAATCTGCCAGAGGCTGAGATTTGGCCTTTATGTAATACTAATACTGTAAACTCAACATGTCAACTCTTTTATCTGATTTTAATTCTTGGAATAAGCTATAATCTCTCACGTATAGCATAATGTATTTTATGCCCATGGCCCAAAGCAAAAGGTCTCCTTTTGCTTCCCTCCCTCCTACATTATCTGGGAACTTGGTGTCAACTCCTTTACGCTCTGTACCTCCCTTTGCCCTTGAGTCCTGCTGCCACACTGAAGGCCTGCCTTCTTCTCAGCTGTTCACTAACTTCTTTTACTGCACAGTTTGCTGGTTGTGATTTCTTATTTTTTTCAAGAGGATTGAGAGACTTAGAAAAGCTTCTAGGACCCAGAGAAGGAAGCTGTAGTGGCTAAACTTCACAGACATCATGACTGGCAAGAAGTATCTGGCTCATAGGAAGTTCTTGCCTTCAGGGATATAGGAGTTTTCTTGCAAATGTAAACCCTGAATAGTTTGAAAAATTATGTAGCCATATGAAACAAGAGCATAAGCCATGTGTGATAGGGCTACGTAGGATCAGCTTTCAGAGGAGTAGTTTAGATCAGTGTGTGCTGAGATGTTTGAGAGAGAATAAAAATCACACAGGATTTGGTCTGTTGCACTGCTGGAGAAAATTAGGAGATGATATTTATGTATAAATTCTCAAAGATATATGTTGACCTGCTACAGCAGTAATATATGCTAGGACATATAATATCACTTTGGATAGATAAATGTACATATATATATATATGTGAGGGCAGGAATGAATTGTTCAATGGTATTGGTGATAGGTTTAGGGTTAAGAATGCTAATTAACTTATTTTTACCATACACTGGATGCAACTATCTCTTTCTTCCATGGCACTACACTCTTGTTTGATATAATTTATCTTTCCCAAAGATGGTGATCATTTTCTTTGATATTCAGCCCAATGCACTGAAATATTGTTTGCCCAGAGCCTATGTTTTCTTCTACCTTCCTCACTGCTTACAAGAACAAAAGGTACACTACAAATCTAATTTCATGCAATTGGCCTATTTATGAGCCACATAAATGTGGCACAAACACATTTACCGAGAACTATAATTTTAAGAATTAAGTCCCTCTGGGGGAAGAAGAAGAGAGGTAGAATTATATGCATGAATGGGGCTGAAAGAGCTGTTCAAAGTTTGGTGATGAGTGGGCAAACTCAGGAGAGCTGAGTACCCTTGGTAAGTTAAAAAAGTAAGTCAGTATTCAAGAGACTAGGAAGAACATGAAAGAAGCCCATGCAGGAGAATAAGCAGTGAGATAAACTGAGTTTTGGAGACACAGAAATGTCCTTGGAACCCAGGAATACAAAGCCTGGTGAAGTGGACGGAGATTCTAGGGATACTTTCTGTGCCCCATCCATACCCTTTCAGATATTATCATTGTCATATAAGTGGCTGACTTCCCCCTGCCATCATGTTCATTACTTGGCCTAAGGGCTTTCTCTAATCAATGGAGTCCACCTAGACCTAGCATAATGAAGAAATAGAGAAAATACAAGTATTGACCTTCCCTCCCCACCCACCTCCCCAACTATAGCATCCTTCAACCAAGGATGAGGTGTAAATGCCTCAACTTCCTCCTTGGGTGAGATAACACTGGATCCTAGCAATCCGAATTGCAATTAATCTGCAGTTATCTACAGTACTAACACCTAGTAACACATTCAACATTGACTTATCTTCCTTTCCCCACTTTACCATTGCCTCTCTGGTATGGTCTGGGATCCCCTCCCCAAAAACCTAGCTACATAAATCTAGATTTGTTCCAAATCTTACTTTGGGGGAATCCAAACTAAGATGGGGATATGTATACAAAAAGGTTAGGGAAGGACTTAAAAAATAAAACCAAACAAAAAAAAAATGAAAAATAAAAGTTTTTATGTGATCCAACTAGGACAGTTAAGATAAATGAATGAAAATATTTTTTTTTTCCTTTAACTAAAACTGTTTAAAAAAGAGTTTAGGAAACATTGTTATTTACCGATTTTCTGGATTAGTGTTTTGTGAAGGAAAGGGAAACATCATGGGCACTTTTTTAAAGTAAGCTTCTGCAAACTGTAATGCTTTAAACCAAACCGCATGTTAACTGGAATAATGGGAACCCACGTCACTAAGAGACCCATTGCCTGGTTCTCTGTGGTTTCTTACCACAGTAGTTGTTTTTGAAAATAGGTGGTCTTTTTCAAAGAGCACTTATGTTATGTGTTGAAATAATGAAAAAGCTTCTGAAACACAATATGCATTTTTTAATCTAGTAATAAAGAAAGTAATGTGGCTGAATAATGCCTGGCTAGATTAGTTTTGACACTGTATTTGCTTTGTGTTCAACTTTATCTGGCAATGCATTATTCACTAGTACTATACACAGTGCTTTATTAAGTCTTAATCAAATGCATTTTATCATAAGTGTCAATTCAGTGCTTTGCCATTGTATTTATATGTTTTTAAATACTGAGTTCTTTGTAAGTGAACGACAAATACTTAGGCTGGAAAATAAGATTGTATTTCTGGTGCTTGGGAATGAGGTCATTGTGTATGCACAGAGTGGCTTTACATTCACACTAAAGTCATTTGGAAACAGATTATATTGCCGTTTCTTTTTTCTCCTAATAAAATGAAATGTAATTTTCTTCACCAATGTGAAAGCTAAGCTGGTTTGACCAATTGTGGCCATTTAAATAGGTTTGTAGAGCAAATAGATATAAATTAAAACTTTTGCTAGTAGATTTTTATTTAATAGATTTTGGACTAAATTTTCAAATGTGGGTTAACAATAAAAATTTATGCACAAACTGACAAGTGATTACAGGTACACACATTTTCAAATATAATTAATAATATGTTTAAGTATAATAAAACTATAATAAATTTTTATAAAGTATTCATTAAATAATTTTATTATAATTAAATATTTTCATTATAATTAAAATTTATATATTTATAACATTTTAAAATAATTTATAATTATAACAAAATGTTATAAATACAAGCTGGCCTTGGAAAGCTTCTTAGGTTTTTTTTATTTTCTAGGAAGGAAATGCTTACAAAATATACTATTAAGTTAAGATCTTAGACTTACTCTTCTGATAATATTGGAAAACTTCAGTTTAAAAAGTATTGTACAAATCCAACTTCAAGTTTCTTGATATTTCTTTTATCAAAACAGCAGCTATAGATTTGTAAAAGTTCTAGTATTTGGAGAAAAAATATAAATATTATAACCCTACAACATTAGTTTGGAGAAATCTGTTTATTCCACAGGTAAATGTATCTGTAAGACTAACAAAATTCATAATTTTTGATTTAAAAAATCAGCACATAAAAATAATTGCAGGGCTTTAAATGAGCACAGCATTAAGTTGGGCTGCTGTCTCTCTCCGAATAAGTGCTAAGTGAAGCAGGAATGTTTTAATGGCATGAGGCCCTACACACCAAAATGGCATTAGCCTCTGAGTAAATATCACTAGTTGGATAGAGTTTTATTCTACAAAGTAAATACTTAGGAAATTAAATATTAATTAGTACTTACATGTGCAATACTAAGAATAAAGTAGAATCTTCTTTACCCTAAAACAATATCCCACCATGCCACATAAATGACACTGAAGTGATTATTTGTAAAAACAAAAGCGAAATAAAATTATGATAATCTCCCCAAATTATCTCCCCACCAAAGATTATTGATTTTATTTATTTATGATTTTATTTTAGAAAATCGTGGTTTGTATAAAAGGGTCCCAGGTATATCTGGATGTTTTGATAGGAGTTTAGGGAATCCTAGAGGCTTCCACGCAGAATGGATTCCATGACCATTTTTCCATGAAACCATTTGAAACCACTAATGATTGGTGGGCCGGGGTCCTTTTCCATTGTCCTTTTGTGATATCTTGCACTTTTTCATTTTTATTTTTTCTTCTTTCTCATTTCTTTGCTCCAATGTTTAAATATTCCTGCCTTGTTAGCGTGTTTCATTTTCTTGGCCTATGAACTGCTCTACTCATAGGTAAAGCTTGGTCCGTTGTGAAAAGGCCTCAGTAACTTTTTAGGTTTGTTCTGATGGATTAATAAATATGTTTAAGCTTTTGAGATTAGTATTTATTTATTTAAAAAAGCTACCTCACTAATTTTGAGGAACACTGAATTAAATTCAAAGTTTTCTTTATTATGAAAATTCTCAGAACCTTTAATATTCATTCTAATATTCATTCTGATGACATATACTTCTAAGAGAGGGATATAGGATACAATTATTTCTGCATCTTATTTGCCCACAGAACCCCTTTTGTGTGGGTAGAGGGAGCAATGGAAAACTTTTATAGTACTTAGTCTGTGTCAGACACTGTTCTAAGTGCTTTACCTTATGAGGAGAAAAGGAAAAAACTTTTTTACAGATGCAGAAATTGTGTCGAGGGAAGCTCAGTGCCTTGCCCTCTGTCAACAGCCACCAAGGGATAGAGCCAGCTTATCACCTGGGCTTCTTTAGGATTGTCCATTGAAGGGTTGGTCAAACATGGTTGTCTGGTCCAATCTTTCTGTTGACCATTTAGTTAGTGAGTATCGTATATGTCAAAATGAATTCACATTAATTCTTGATGCAGACACAGCCATAACAAATAAATCACTTCCTTTAGACTTTAACTTTCAGCTGAAGTGTCAGTTAGATATATGTTGGCTTTGATTCCTCTTATTTGCCTTCTATGTCCAAATAACTTTAATGAATACAAAGCTTTATCAGATAATAATACTTTGATGTACTTATTTGCTCACTTTGCATAATTTGTAATATAGAAAAAAAATCTTCACATGCTATTTTTTCTTACAAAGTAATAAACCAGCTGTATTTATGAACCACCTATTATGAGCATGCATTTCCAGCAGCAGTCTCTCAGTAAAAGACTCAATCAAGTTAGAAAAAAATGTATTAGTAGAGGAATAAGGTTTTCCTTAAAATTATTTTTATACTTAAATATGTCAAGCCTGTAGTCTGTGTCCAAATATTTAAAGTTAAGTATTACCCATTTAAAAAACAAATTTGACTCTTGTATACTTAAAATAAATTCAACCACATAACTATTTTATTTTGAAGTTTTTATTTGTTTGTTTTTGGTTTTTTTGTTTTGTTTTTCCTTTCTATTAAGTTAGGACAAGAAACAAAAGCCTCCCATCAAAAGATAAGGTGAAAGCCTCCCATCCACGTTTCATGCTTGTTCTCCCTGTGTATTTTAAAATCTTTTTCTTTGTTTCTTAAAACTAAAACAAAATAAAAAACACAGGAACATTATTGAGATGCTATTTAGTAATATTAAGAATGTCCCTGTGTGTAAGGTTATTGATACTGGCATTTGTGAAATTAACATAGGGACATCAATGAGAGATCTATAACAGGAAAGATTATAGGCCTGGGAGGGAGAGATCTGGGTCAAGTTTTAGCTTCTTCCCTGAGTTTGTGTGTGACCCTGAGCAAGTCACTAAGGTCTCTGGGTCACACTTTCTTCAAAGACCTGTACAGTGAGACCATGGGAGTCAATCATTGTTATATCTTTTCACTGTGGTCTCCTCTTCTTTTTTTTTTTTTTTTTTTTTTTTTTTTTTTAGACAGAGTCTCGCTCTGTCGTCCAGGCTGGAGTGCAGTGATGTGATCTCGGCTCACTGCAAGCTCCGCCTCCCAGGTTCACGCCATTCTCCTGCCTCAGCCTCCCCAGTAGCTGGGATTACAGGCGCCCGCCACCACACCCGGCAATTTTTTGTATTTTTAGTAGAGATGGGGTTTCACCGTGTTAGCTAGGATGGTCTCAACCTCCAGACCTCGTGATCCACCCACTTCGGCCTCCCAAAGTGCTGGGATTACAGGTGTGAGCCACCACGCCCGGCCTGCTGTGGTCTCTAATGAGCCAGTTTAATGTTTCTTGAACCAACCTTTGCTGTTTAACACTTGCTTATCATGTTTTTAACAGGGATTTCTGACCTCTTTGTAGAAGATTTATAGTTTTTTGTTTTGTTTTGTGTTTTTTGTTTTGTTTTGTTTTGTTTTTTGAGACAGGGTCTTGCTCTGTAGCCCAGGCTGGAGTGCAGTGGCACAATCTCGGCTCACTGCAAGCTCCGCCTCCCGGGTTCACGCCATTCTCCTGCCTCAGCCTCCCGAGTAGCTGGGACTACAGGCATCTGCCACCACGCCTGGCTAATTTTTTGTATTTTTAGTAGAGATGGGGTTTTGCCGTGTTAGCCGGGATGGTCTCGATCTCCTGACCTCGTGATCCACCCACCTTGGCCTCCCGAAGTGCTGGGATTACAGGCGTGAGCCACCGTGCCCAGCCAGAAAGGTTCTTCAGTTCTTTATGTTTGAATAACACCATGTTGTTTGTGTGTGTGTGTGTGTGTGTGTGTGTGTGTCTGCAAGAGAAAGCAAAAGAGAGATTAAAATAGATTTAGAAAACAATCAGAATTGTGAGAATATAGAAGGGATTCACTAAAAGAATTTCTAATATCACTAAAATCCTCAGCTGATGTATCAATGAGTCTGTGATTAGCTAACAAAAGAGTGTTTTTCCCCCCAGGTGGACAATTTGGACTTTATGCAGGTGTGCAGTAGTAGAACCGTGAAGGTAGATACAATTAAAGTTCTGAGAAATGAAAAGACACTAGGCCACGAATAATGGAGCTTGCCAGTAGCAGCAGCTAGTAGATCCCTTTCTCCACGGGGCCAAAGAGTTTGATTTGATTTCCAGCTCTCAACTCCTACTCAAGGTGCAATCATCAGTCCCCTGCAGGGTACTCTAGGATTCTGGAGACATTAAGAAGCACAGAACGTGGCTGCATCCCTTTTTCCGAATGGGCTTTGGTGCAAGCAGTTCGTAAGTGGCTAGTAAGAATTTATTGTTCATGTATGTTTTTTCTCTTGGGAGTCTGTAATTATTTTAAAATATTAGCCATAAATCCCATGCTAATATATATATAAATATATATAAATACGTATTTATATATATAAATATATATAATATATGTTTTTTGTTTGTTCCTTTTTTTGAGACAGAGTCTTGCTCACTCTGTCGCCCAGGCTGGAGTACAGTGGCGTGATCTTGGCTCAGTGCAGCCTCCGCCTGCCAGGTTCAAGCAATTCTCCTGTCTCAGCCTTCTGAGTAGCTGAGACTATAGATGTGCACCACTGTGCCCAGCTAATTTTTATATTTTTAGTAGAAACAAGCTTTCACCATGTTGACCAGGCTGGTCTGGAGCTCCTGACGTCAAGTAATCCGCCTGCCTCGGCCTCCCAAAGTGCTGGGATTATAGGCGTGAGCCACTATGCTAATTTTTTTTTTTTTTTTTTTTTGAGTTGGAGTCTCACTCTGTTGCCCAGGCTAGAGTGCAGTGGCGTGATCTTGGCTCACTGAAACCTCCATCTCCTGGGTTCAAGCAATTATCTTACCTCAGCCTCCCAAGTAGAGGGAATTACAGGTGCTCGCCACCACGCCCAGTTAATTTTTGCATTTTTAGTAAAGACAGGGTTTCACCACATTGGCCAGGCTCGTCTCGAACTCCTGACCTCAGGTGATCTGCCCGCCTCGGCCTCCCAAAGTGCTTGGATTACAGGCATGAACCACTGTGCCCGGTGCTAATTTTTAAAAGTATTAATTTGCTTTTGCGAGACTCAATTGTATGCCAAAAATTACCTCAATATTTGACTTGGAGACTGTAGACCAAACTTGCATCATTATGGAAAAACAATATGCAAAATTTGGCCTTGGCATTGCCCAAAGTGTGGTATTTTGCATTGTACTATTTGTTTCTGTATGTCATGGAGTATGTATAGTAATAGGAAATGATGAGTATCTTTGCACAAAATGTAATGCTTTTACTAACATCTGTCAGCTATTTTGTGAGAATATTGCCAAAATATAACATTTATCTTGGTGTATAGTTCAATTTTGCTTTTGTGAGTGTTTCTTCTATTTTATTGCCACTAATATAGCATAACAGATGTCTTTCAGATGTGAAAAATCAATTATTTTTCAATATACCTCAGTAGTTATTAGGGCAGATTAATGTAAAGTACCGTAAGAGTAATGTCCAAATAAAATGTCATAAGTGAACAATACAATTCAATGGAGAAATAGGATTGAGTTGATCTTGGTACCTTTGTGGAAAACAGGGAGAAAAAAATGAACAAGTACAACAAAAATATGCAAGGCCATGCTTTGTTGAAAGATCAAGTAGATGCTTTAGTGATAGTATTTTCAGTGGAATGGTCAGCTGCCATGGAAAGTTAGGGCAAGGCCAAAACTGTTTATGCTTCATTTCTATCGACAAACACGTAGCTGGTTTCTAATGAAGATCAATAAAAGGTAATCTTGGGAATGGGTATTTCAGTATCCAGAAGTCTTTGCAGGAGAATATGAATTATGAAATTTATGAAAGCCTGAGTGTTACCTTTTGGATGCTGGTGTTTGGCAAGTTCATAACAATCTTTATGTTACTTATCACAAATGTTATTTGTTTTCTAAAATTTTGAATTTCAAGGCCTCAACACACTTGAGAGAGAGCTGCCAAATAAACTTAAACACTGTTCTACAGCAGAACCAGTATGCCCCTGGCACCTAGGTTTAGAGGGGCCTGGATCTGGTTTCATGGCACGAGATGCATGCAGTCACACAGAGCCCCATGCTTAGAAGGGACCAATATTAAATGCTTGATTTGATGCTCTGCTCCTACCATTCTGAAATTATTAATTTTTGAACAAAGGGTCTCACATTTTCATTTCATAGCAGGTCTCACAGATTATGCAGTGAGTCCTGAGGGAAGCCATGAAAGGATAGGGCTCTGTGATGATTCCAACCTTTCTCACCTGAATTTGGGTGGCGGCTCTGTAGCTGCTCTCCTCATAACAGTGTTCCTTTATTTCTGTATCCCTTACTCTGCCTACATTTTCATTCTGATATGGAGGACAGACCCTCTGGGATGCTAAGTTCTCTGAAAGGCCTGAAGTGTCCTCCATGCTTGACTTCAGGCACACGTAATGCCTTTGTTGGACATTTATGCCATGACTCACCTTCTTGCATAGTTATTCACTCCTCCAGCTCTAACACTATGCGAGGCATCATGCTTAGTGCCGTGAATAGAGTGGTGAATAAGATTTAGTCCTTGCTATCCTAAGATTATACTTTAGAAGGATAGACAACCAAGCCAATGGTCAAATAAAAGAAGTTATGATGGTGGTAGAACAGGGCTCACAGGAACATGAAGGAGGAGCACCTAAGGTGGTGATATCTAAATAGAGATCTAAGGTCTAACTGCAGGTAGATGTTTCCCCTTTGGGGGGAAATCAGAGAGTGTTCTAGAGAGGGAACAGCATGAGCCAAAGCTCAGAAGTGAAAAGCTGCCATCTTCAGGATAATTTTCTCCGTAGAAAATTGCACTACTAGTTACATTCAGAGTAGGTACTAGCCAGAGATTCATTTTAGAGACTTACAAGTTTGCCAGCAGTAAGCCTATGAATTAGTTAATGGTTTTGGCTGAGAGGCCACCACAGAATATCCTGCCTGTACTTTAACCAGATTTTTAATCACAAAGTTCATGTAATACATGTCTGAACTGGAACATGGACATCCATGGACACATTGAAAATTTCAGTTTAGTGCTTAGAAGCCCCAAACATTGTTGACTGGAGGAAAAAATGTTATATTAGTTAACAAAGGTATATACTGCTATGGAATGAATATTCGTGTGTCCTCAGCATTCATATATTGAAGCCCTAACCACTAAAGTGGTGGTATTTCAAGTTGGAGCCTTTGGGAGGTAATAGGTTTAGCTGAGGTTGTGAGGATGGGGCCCCATGATGGGATTAGTGCCCTTAGAAGAAGTGCCCTTATAAGAAGAGTAAAACAAGAAAAAAATCTCTCTCTCCACACACCTGCAACAAGGAGAGGCCATGTGAGTTCACAGTGAGAAGCTGACTGTCTATAAGTCAGGAAGACAGTCCTTGCCAAGAACCAAATCTGACAGCAATTTGATCTTGGATCCCTCAGCCTCCAGGACTGTGAGAAATAAATGTCTGTTGGTTGAGCTACCCAGTTTATGGTGTTTGGTTATAGCAGCCTGAGCCGACTGAGACAATAATCGGTACTGAGAAGTAGGCTGATGCTGTAAACAAACACCTAAAAATATGGAAGTGACTTTGGAAGGGGTGATGGACACAGGCGGGAAAAGTTTTGAGATCCATTCTAGAAAAAGCTGAGCTTGCCTTGAATGTTAAAGCCTACTGTGGTGAGAAATTAGAAAGAAGATAGGAGAGGTACAGAGAAAACTTCCTTCTTTGCAGAATACATAAATAATCACTAACAGAATGTTGATAGAAATATGGATGGTAAAGGCAATTCTGGTGAGGTCTCAGATGGAAATGAGAAACATGTTGTTGGAAACTGGAGGAGGGATGGTAGGATTGAAAAAAAAAATTCAAAAGAAAAAGAAAAAAAAAGAAATGGGAGGAAAGTAACCCTTGTTATAAAATTACAAAGAACTTGGCTGAATTCTGTTTGTGCTCTTGTGTTTTGTGACAGGTAGAACTTGCAAGTGATGACATTTGGATATTTATTTATTTTTCTTTCTCTCTTTCTTTTTTTAAATAGAGACAGGGTCTCGCCATGTTGCCCAGGTTGGTCTTGAACTCCTGGATTCAAGCAATCCTCCTGCCTTGGCCTCCCAAAATGCTGGGATCTGTAGCAGACTATAGATAGTTCCCAACTGATGATGGTTCACCTGATTTTTTTTCTTTATGATAGATTTGTTGAGGTATTAAATGCATTTTTGACTTATGATATTTTTGACTTATGATGAATTTGTTGAGGCACAAGCCTGTTGTAAGTTGAGGAGCACTTAAAATACATATCAGTATCTAATAGTGTCCCAAGAGTTTGAAGGATTCTTTTGTAGGGGGACCCAAAACTTTATCTTGGCTACAAATTATACAAGAAACTGGACTCCCGTACAACTGAAGTCCCTGTACAGTTGAGCACCTCAAATAGGCCAAGTACCACAGCTGGCCAACACAGAATACCACATAAGCAGAAAGTTATCTCTGTAGCTAAAATTCTTCATCTAACAAATGGCTTTCCAAGAGTTCATTTGAAGGAGAAGACAGAAGTAAGTAGTTGGCTAGGTTTTTTTGTGCCTTTGTAGTTGGATAAGCATTAGAAGTATTAAAGCCTAAGCCTTTCAAAGAGTTGATCTGCCTGGAACCTTCTGCAGATCAGAGCTCTGTGAAAGCAAATGCTGACTCATTAGCTGGGATGGTGTGAATTCCAGAATTATTGCTAACAAATCTATTTCCACTTAAAATATAAAAAAGAAAGCCATGAAATGAGAACTGACTTTCCCTTAGGCCTCTAACAGTGCTGTTTGGTTACATATTTTGAGAGGCAGAAAATGAGTGAAGAAAAAGAGCCACCAAGAAAGATTCTCTGCAGGTGAACAGGAAAAAAAGTAACTTATTACCTTGCTTGGTCCATAGCAGGTTTTTCATTTCCCTTTAAAATGTGAGAATTTGATGACTAAGATACTGCTATTACTGTTTTCACTGTAAATGAGTTGATGGAAAGAGCATGTTGCCTGATAGTAATCTTTCATGTGTATGTACAGGTACAGTAAGTTGATAAAAATAACTGCATTAAAAAGGTATTTAGAAAGTTCTGGCAGAGATAGTAAAATGGATATATCCAATTTTTTGTGCTCTATTTTTGTACCTGATGTAGTCTTCATCCATGGAGACTGAGCCCTTTTTGTTTTCTTGGAAATAAGGCATTTTATCTATTGAAATGATTCAATTTCCTATCAGTCTAGACTGTGATCTTACACAGTTTAGTTTAGTTCATCTGCAGATCCTTCTATTTTTGATTTATTTGAATCCATGAAAGTTAACATGCCATTGTAGAATGCCAGACTACTTTCCTCTCCCTTTTACATGTGATAGACTATAAAAATTATAGCTTAGGTTGATTATTGCTTACTGGGCAGTCCAGCACAGATAACCCAGGTGTTGGTTCAAAAAAAAAAAAAAGCATTCTGGAGTAATTGACAGCACTAAACATTTTGCTTTTCAGTGAAATTTAAGAGTTGGTGGTTGGAAGCTATTCATATACACAGCATCAGCAGGAAATCCCCAACTCTGGATTTTTAAGCATGAGGCTATTTTTATTTTTTCATTCCTATTTAAGACTATTTCAGAATACGAATTATAGACTCCTGGTTCTCACTTTGGAGTAATTTATAATCTTAGAAGATTATAAATATATAGATTTTCTAAAAGGTCTATCCAACATTGTATTATTTAAAGTATTGATTATTTAATATGAGGTTTATTAGTCTTTGGTTTTTTCCCTGCTAAAATTATTTCATTTATTTATTCGCTTTCTCCCTTAAGCAACTTGTGTTTATTAACTGCTGAATCTACTAGAATGTCTTCCTATAAGTATTAAGAGTCCTAGTAAAAATAACAACAAAATTCATAAACATGCACAAAATGCTCAAATCATAAGGTAAAGCACAAACAAAATAAGTTAAGCCACAGAAAGGCAGAAGATATTTGCAATGCATGGACAGGTGTTAATATTCAGAATACATAAAGAACAAACTAAGAATTAATTAAAAAATTAAACAATAGATAAAATTGATAAATACAGACAGGCAAATAAAAAATCCTAACAGCTCACAAATAAAGGAAAAACGTTCGATCTCATTAATGAGCAGGGAAATGTAAATTAAAAGCAAAATAAGTTATTTCACATAAAAAATCTAACTATATGAAATATTGCCAAGCATGTGAATAAAGAGGGACTCTCATGTCCCTGGAGAAAGTTTAACTAGTAGAAATCTTTTAGAGTATAATTTAATAATGTCCAGTAAATTTGAAGACACACAAATCCTTTAAGAGAGCAGTTCCACTCCCACATATATACTCTGGTATATATAGTAGTAGTGTTTCACTATCATAATCTTGCAACTTTGGGACCTGACATATTAGTTAGTCATGAAATCAATTTTTAATTGAGTAGAATAGAAAAGAGTGGGAAGTATCAGAGTGCATCATATGTAGTAAGAATAATAATTGTTTTGTAAAACAATATTTTCCAAAAATGTATGTGTATGTGTGTGCATGTGAACATGTACATTTATTTTAAAATGTATTGATTTCTGAGAATCATAGTCAAATATACTAGAAAAGCACTATTGTAGATAAACTCCCACGTGTGAAAATTGAGATATTTTGTTTATAATAGCAAAAAATTAGAAACAACCCAAATGTGGCAGGAGAAAGGATGAGAAAGGCATGATATCCCCATATAATAGACAGCTGTACACAGTGAAAATAGATGATCTGGAGTCCCATGTATTCATAGAAATGCATATCAAAAGCATAATTGTGAGTTTGCAAAAAAAAGCAAGTTGACCAAACTATTTACATTATGATGCCTTTATAAAATGTTTAAAACATACAGTGATATGTCTTATTTAGACATAAATATATGTTTAAATTTATTAAAATATGTACTTATACATGGGAATCATAAGCACAAAATTCAGCATTGTGAAGGAATTGTGAAAAGGGATTGTGAAGGAATACACAGATCTCAATTTATGTTCTGTTTCAGGAAAAAAACAAACAAAACAGAGGAATTATTTTCTCACATAGCAAGAAGTCTAGAGGCTTAGCCAAATTATCAAAGACCCAAGTTTCTTCCTTCTTTCCATTCTACCAGTCTCAGTAGGTTTTCTTCATAGTCACACGGTGGCTACTGAGGTTCCAGGTATTACATGTAGACTTGCCAAGTCCAGTAGTAGAAAAAGGGCCATTTTTTTTCATGTGTGGGTTTTTTGAAAAAAGTGAGCTTTTCCTAGACATCCCCAGTAGGTTGACCAGATGTGCCTAATATGCTTGTTCTTATATCAGACACTGACAAGCACAATGGGACCAACATGGTTGATGTATCCAAGTCACAGGGAAGGAGGTGAGGACACTGGAACATAATTAAAGCTCTACCAGTGAGAAGAAGAAAATTCTGTTGGACCATTAGTATTGGCTGTAAGTACCTCTATCTGCCTTAGGGATACAGAGGTGAACAGCACAAGCTCCTGAGTGAGTTCTAGTGGAGTTAAAATTCTAATGAAGAAGACTGATAATCAAGGACAGTTGAATAAGATGATTTTACATAGAGATAAATCCATGAAGAAGAGAAAACACCAGGATTTATGAGACAGCAATTGGAGAGTGACCTGGAAGCCCTCTCTGATCAGACGACATTTGAGCTGAGACCAGAATTGCATGAAGAAAGCAGCCGTGAGCAGAACTGAATAAAGGGAATCCAGGAAGAGCAAATGTGCTAGTGCAGGAATGAGGTTGTTGTGTCGGAAGTAAAAAGGAAGTTTGGTATACCTGGGGCAAAGGGAGAGAAATAGAGAATGGGTTACAATCAAGACTGTGAAGCAATCTGATTTACAGTTTTAAAAGATGGCTATCACACAAGTGATGGTGATGGCTTTTTCTAGGGTTGGGACAGTGGAGATAGGGGAGAAATGGACCTACTCATGTTGAAATAGTGAAGAGAAAGTCAAGTGTTAAAGAAGGCAATGTAAAGAATCAAAGATGAGCCCAGAGTAGCAGATGTGACAAGGTTTGATTTCAATAAAGTGGCTCTTGGGACGGAACTGAAAGACTAACCTAGACAGGGACGCCACTGTCCTGTGAGTAGACTCTTCCAGAAAGAAATAGTATGATAGTAGGATAAGTTCTTTGCATTTCCAGAGTTCAGCAAGGCATTCATTTATGCCTTGGTGAATATCCACAGCAAGCAGAGTCCTCTTTGCTCAATGTTCAGAATCCAACATATCAGGTCCTGTTTTCAGGACTTCCAGCCGTGAGGTAGAAAGTGCTTTAACGTATACTTGGTTAGCATGAACTGCTATAAACCCATAAACAAATTATGGACAGAAACATTGAAGACTGCAAAAAGATGGAATGGAAAGAAGATTGCCATCAAGGGCATACAAAATGACTGTGTTTGAATAAGTGCGTTTGATACTTCAGCAGGTAATTTGGACAGCCTTTGTGCTTGTCTGACTTCACTGGAATAGTCTACATACCTGCGGATCTCGTTGTTGATACGCCCATATTGCTTCCAGCGGGTGCTTTACTTACCTGCAGGACTGGGCTTTTTCTTTTCCTGCTATTACGCTCTAATCTCCTGTAGTTGCAGCCTCCATCTTGAATATGGGATTTAGATCATTAACTTTATATGCCATATTTAAAAAGCAATTTCAACCAATAGATATTAGCTATTAAAATAACTTCTTGGTTAGTAAATAGGCCCATTTAAAACTGCATTTTGATTTCTACATCTGAAAATGAAAGACCATAGTATTGTTTTATTTTATTTTTAAAAGTCCAGAAAAAAGGTGACTATACTATTCTTTTCCTTCTTAATCCATAAATGTGCACCAATATAACATTTATTGATCTGCATGCAGCGTATTGGTAAAAGATGAATTGTCCAAGTAAACTGAAGAAGACGCACAACATATAAGTATTATATAATATAGGTTTCTTTTAGTTGCAAGTGACAGGAAACACAATTTAAACTAAAAAGGAAATTTGTTCATGTGGAACTGGAAGGCCTAGGTGCAGCTGGATGCAGGGACTCAAATGATGTTTTTTTTCTCTCCAACTCAGCTTCTCTTCCTTGTCTTGGCTCTATTTGTAAATGGTTGTCCCTTTATGGTGACAAGACAGCTGAAGCAATTCTAGCCTTATGATCTCTCAGGTTCAACTCCTATTTTCAATATTCTGGACAAAATCTCCTTGCCTATCATTGCCTCTGGTTGCACCGTTCCTGAAATAACCTCTGTGAAAAGGGGAATAAAGTGCTCTGATTGGGTCAAATTCCTACAACCTCTTGAAGAGGGTATTGAATTCATTATATCCAAATATGGGGCCTAACAGTGGAGAAAGGGTGCTTTCCTAGTAGGGTATTGGGGTGCTGATACCAAAATAAATGAGAGTGAAAGCTGAGGAGTCAGGGAACATATGTGCCCTCTAACAGTGTTAGAGGCAGAAATGTTGCCATGTTTGGTTTCTAATAATTTGTCGAGGAAAAATTCTTGTCCTCTAAGATGATAAATCATTCAGGGAGCTTCTCAGTAGTTTGCTTCTGAACTCCCGGCACTAGAGGCAGGCCTGGACTTAGAGACAGCAGAAAGGGGTTGCCTACCCCATGCCACGTGCTTGACATAGACTATCTCATTGACTACTCACAAATATTTTATTAGTAGTCCTATCTTTTAAATGAAAAACAGCCTCAGGCAGGCTAAGGAACATGTCTAAGTTCATGCGACGACAATTGAACAGCGTGGTGCCTATAGGTAATAATGGGGTTCTGTACATTTCAGTATCACTATGAGAGTACATTTCTAATGTTCTCATCACAAAAAAGTTGTGTGATGCATAACACATAACATGAGGTGATGAATGTGTTACTTAGCTTAATTTAATCTTTTCATATTGCATTAAAATTATAACACTGCTTTGCACCCCATAAATACATACAACTATAATTTGTCAATATATAATATGCTTTTTAAAGTGCCATAGTCTGTATTTGAACTCAGGTCTTTCTGAGGGTAAAGCCCATAATCTCACCTTTATAGCATGCCACTGTCTTGCCAAACACAACTCTTAACTCACTTACTGGGTCAAGCTTTAATTTATTTATATGTGGTATTTCAATTTTGTGCCGTAAGCCTAGTGGCATCAATTTTAAGATGTAGGCTTTACACATATTGTAATGTAGGTGTTAACATTCTTTAAGAGTCTTAACAAGAAAATTATTAGTTTCTCGGTAAGCTTTCATTCCCCAAATATGTAGTGAATACCTATTCTGTATAAGAGGACAAGAGCAATATGAAATGATTGGCTATGCCATTCTGGGATGGTTTTATCATAATACTAAGAAAAAAATACTCTCCTGGCATTCCACTACAGTCCAATCCAGGCTTGAACCCTCAGAAGAAATTATGAATTGTGGAACACAGCAAACTACCTCCTCTGTGCAGGGCTAACCACTTCTCCCTTAAGATCCTCTCCTAGCGTGGAACAGCGTGGTATCTGCAGCCATCACCCCAGATAGTGGTTCTTGAGTTTGCATTGTTGATATGTCTTCTGGATAGTGCTGCCCTACAGAGAACCCATCTTGTTTTGTTCCCATTCACATTTCCAGGACAGAGCACTGCCCAGATACATGTTAGGTGCACAAATATATCTCTTGAATTACATTAAGTGCCCTATTACAGTGATCTGCCATAGATATTTGGTATAGCAACAGCATTGAACATTTAACCACTGGTAAAATTAATATGAAACACATTGTATTTTAGAAAGTATATATGCATTAAATATCACACCACACATACAAACACATATTATGTATCCCCTAATGTATGATTTATATGTATATAATATTTGACATCACAGATACACACAATCCTTTATATACCTTTATGTATATAGATTGTTCTGTAATTCATAACATTTAAGGCTTTTGGGATTTTGTTTTTAAACAAGTATTACAGCTTAAAACATTTCCTGGGGTTTGAATTCTCATTCCAGCATTTTATGGAACCATAAAATATGACCAGTTTACCTCTTCTACCTTTTCTAAACTTCTCCCTGCTTTATGACACTGAAAACAAACACACATATGAAATGAATTATGTTTAAATTTCTGGGCAACATTTTCTTAGCAAGCAACAAAAATATATAATTCTATTTTTCAGAAAGTAATTTAGTTCTAGGAAGCTGAGCTGACACATAACCAATTAATAGTTGAAAAAAAAAACTACCATTTGTTGTCAAGCTCTTTTAATTTTGCTAAAACTGGGTTTGCAAAAGGATATTGAGAAAACATTGACTGTAAATCCTTAATTCCCATTTTCAAAACCTTGTGATAATGAATAATTCTTTATGATTTCTTCAACAAGTAACATACTCATCGTCTTTATGCTTCCTATCTTTTTTTTTTTTCAATCCAGAAGTGTGATCATGACAAAAGTCTATGCCAGGAATATGTCGATCTGACTTAATGCTTTCTGAGACTGTTGTTTCTCTCCCTGATTTTTGATACTTTTACAGAGATAATAGCTACTTCCTAATCTGTTTTTTACTTCCTTGTTTCCATTTTATGTTTCAATGAAACAGCAGAATACATTACTTCATCTTAATTTTCCTACTTACCTGTGTTTGTTGTTGTTGTTTTAATGTGATAGAATGTGGGATTTTTACTGTTTGGAATAGCAAGAGAGCTACAGATGAACAAATGGAGGCTAATAGATAATAAAAGACTTTTCCAAAGACATGGACTAATTGGTGCCCAGGTTCAGCTTGCAGGATTTCAGAAACAGCGGTGAGTTAAGTCAGCAAGTCCTATGGACTCTTGAGAGCAAGCTCTTTTTTTTTTTTTTTACATTTTTTTATTATTTTTTTAAAAATCAATCACTTACTAGAAGGCAGTAGAGGCTATTGGTTAAGAGCACAGACTTTGGACTCAAACAAGCTATCCTTGGAATTTAATTCTGCTGCCTCCCTTCTTAGCTATGTGATACTGGGGTAAGTCACTTAACTTCCCAGTGTGCTTCCTGTTTCCATCTGATAAGTTATGGTGACATTACTGAGCTCTTAGAGTTTAGGTAAAGATTGTATGTAGTACAGCCTGGCTCATACTAAGCAATGAATAAAGGGTGGCTAATGCTGGTTTTTATTACTATATTTTCTTCTTATACTTTGACAAGCATTAATAGAGTAAGTAAGCATGGCTATATGGAACTCAATAACTTGGAAAGCATGATGATGGATGACACTTTTTATGCTTCTATTTTAGCCAAAACAACTGTTTACATATCCTGTGGATTATTTAAGCACATGCCACATTGCTACAACTCATGGAGTGGCCTTATTCTATACCTAATGATAGCTGGCCTGGCCATGCCTCATTTCACTGCCGATTTCCTTCTAGATACTCCTAGAATCCACTTATTCTCCATTTTTACTGCCACTAATCTAGTTCAGAGTTTTTATCATTTTTCACTGGTTCTACTACACCATCTTATTGAATATCTTTTTGTTTAGCAAGGATATTAAATCTATTACCTTTATTTTGAACCAGAGAATTTTTTTGAAGCACAATTCAAATGATGTAATGCTCTTGGTAAATCTCTTTCACAGAACCCCAAACTCCCTCAGAGAAGAGTGATAGTCTCACCATGATGGGTCTTTTTCTGTCCTTCTCTGTGTCTGTAAGATAGGGCAGAGGAGGAAAGTGAGGGTCAGGAAAGTTAGATAATTAGCCTGAAATTACACAACTAGTGAGTGACAGAACAAGGACCCCATGCCAGATGTGTCTGTTCCACAGTCCAGATCTGCACAGTTATTACCACAGTTATTACATAGATCAAGGATCAGCCAACTAAAGCCTGTGGGCCAAAGGAATCCCACTCCCTGTTTTGTTAATAAAGGTTGATTGACATTCAGCCACACCCATTCACTTTCATATTGCCTATGGCTTCTTTTATGCTTCAACAGAGTTGAGTGGTCATGACAGAGACCATCTGGTTCACAGTCAAAAATATTTACTATATGGTCCTTTATAGAAAAAACATTGCTGGCACTTGACATAGAACATACTTGGATTCAAAAGAGTAAAAGTGATAGATTCCTGGATGTTCACCGTGAGGAACTCTGTGATCAGAGTCGTCTGAAACTTTAATGAGGTGGATGAAATGTCGCTTTAACAACCAGAAGAATTACTCAAGTAGTAAGACCTAAATATACTAAGAGATTTTAATTACCTAGATATCTATTGGGAAAACATCTTGACAGGATGCAGATTGTCCAATCAGTTATTTTTAAAGGGTTGCTGACAGTGCTTAATGTGGAAGAGGTAGGAAGCTAAAGAGATGGCAGGGCTCCTCCACCTGACTGTG
Organism: Homo sapiens; assembly: GCF_000001405.40. Classification (NCBI taxonomy): domain Eukaryota; kingdom Metazoa; phylum Chordata; class Mammalia; order Primates; family Hominidae; genus Homo; species Homo sapiens. The sequence goes on from NC_000020.11 coordinate 15,109,516, forward strand.
CCCCAGAAAGAAAAGACGATTGCAAACAAAATGGGATATGTCATTTGTAGAGGCAGGTACTGTGAAATAAATGGCAGAATTCACAGTGCTAAGGTAGGGGATTAGAAAAAGCAGCTGAACAAATAAAACGAATCTTAAGAAAGTAACCTTGAGTACAAAATGTTCTGAGCCCAAAACAACTGCATATATGCATAAATACGTGCACAATCACCTGTTGAATGCGCTCAGGAACTTTGCAGTTGACCTACTTGGAGGGGAAAAATCGGCATACTCAATCATTCAGAAAAGTCAAGCATTTGTTTAAATCAAATATGCCAAAATTCCAAAAAGAATTTAGCATGAATAATATTTTTCACAAAGGCGAAAAGCCTTCTCGTTCTCTGGGAGCCGTTTTGTATTTGGGAGATTGGAGAGCAAAAAGGCAAGTGCCGTTTGTGATAATAGGTTCTCGGAGGGCAGAAATAAATTATGTTCAGAATGTACAAGGAACATGATGATGGTTAAGCCCTTAGACTGTATGTAGTTGTCCTGCTAGAGAACTCAAAGTATGGAAAATTACAAAATACCATTCTAAGTGGTCTAGTGAGTGAGTGCAGCTTCCAAGTGCTATCATTTAATTTACTTTCAGGGAGTAATGTGTGTGCCCTGGGTTTGTCTTGTCAATGCTCCTGTGCAGTGGTGCCCAAGGAGAGGCCAGAAAGAACTTGAGGAGATCTGTTGGTTCCTTTGGATGAAGAAATGAAATAGACCATTTTTTCCTTGGTTTCCTCAATCATGTTTAATTAACTTTTGTCAAGGGCCTGCCGGGTGCCCTGCACTGGAATTGGGGACATCAAGATGAGTAAAGATCTATGTGCGGGAGAAAAGGCAAAATCAAATTATTGTCATACAATTTGATGAATTAATTCTAATACTAGAGGCAATACTTGGGCCAGAGGCTGGGTGAAGGGAGAGAGAAGATGAAAGACAGAAGCAGGAAGGAGAGGTTTAGAAATAGGGCAAAGTCACAGCATCTGTGTGACCAGACTCCTGTCCTCAAAGTAAGTGTTTGTGAATACTGGGCTATTTATATTTCCATATATTTTGTGGAAAACCAAAAAGTATGATGGCAGTCTTGTGGCATGTTCTTGCCCTTCACGCAGTACATGCAACAGAAGGAAATATGAGGACATAACATGTGGCCAGATTCTCCTTCTGCGAGGGACTATGCGTGTCTCTGAACATGGAGAGGAGAGGCCTCCATCAACCCTCCTGTGCACTTTCCAGCAGCTTGTAGTTGGGTTTGAGTGACAAATGCACCTCCCTAGGTCTGAGAGCCAGTTACATTGCTGCCACCAATACTCAAACTCCATTGGCTTTCTTAGTAGCATATACCATTTTTCTAAGAAAACAACCACCATTTATTGATTACTTACTATGTGCTGGACACTGTGCTCAGCACCTGCATCCAATACTTATTTAATCCTCACAATTATTCTGTGAAGTAAGAGTCATTTTACCCATTTTTGAGAATATGAAGTCACAGAGCCACAGAGTATTGAAATAACTTTCTCAAAGTCACTTGGCAATGTATCTGACTCACACATATAATCAATCTTAAGTCTGCTGTATTTCAGATATTTTTTACTTCCGTAGTGTTTTTTGTTTGTTTGTTTTTGTTTGTTTTTTTTTTTTTGCGACGGAGTCTCACTCTGTTGCCCAGGTTGGGGTGCAGTGGCGCAATCTCGGCTCACTGCAAACTCTGCCACCTGGGTTCAAGTGATTCTCCTGCCTTAGCCTCCCAAGCAGCTGGGATTACAGGTGCCTGCCACTGCACCTGGCTAATTGTTGTAGTTTTAGTAGAGATGGGTTTCACCATGTTGGCCAGGCTGGTCTTGATCTCTTGACCTCATGATCCACCCACCTTGGCCTCCCAAAGTGCTGGGATTACAGGGGTGAGCCACTGCGCCTGGCCCTCTAGTGTGTTTTCTATTATTATTTTTAAATATAGTACTTAAAACTTATTTAAAAGTTCTATGGTTGAGGCAAATCCATAATAACTACTGCAGAGTTTGAATGCTGGAATATTAGAATATTAGAATATTCTGGGTCTAGAATATGTTTGGTCCTTTCCAGGCCTGAAGGGAAGACAGTTTCCATTTTCATTATGCACTTTGGAAGATGCCAGAGAAATTAGGTGGGCATCACATACAAGTATCACTGTTTTCACTGTAGCTTTTGTTTTAGAGAGGACAACTTGTAAAACTTTCAGTGAACTTAGGCAAGGAGCAAGCCAACCCTGGCAGGGCAGGCCCTCTCTGCAGGAAACCCCTAACTGGGAGGTGCCCAGCTCTGGCAAGTCTTTGAACTGTCAGATGCCAGGTGCTGTTAGGGCACCTCCACTCAGCCCCTGCCTAATGCAAGCTCTTGAAAACTCAGAGATAGCTTCCTCCTTCATTAGCATTTGTGCTCTGTACTGAACACAGGTCAAAGGGAGATGTTAAAATACACCCCAGAGTTCACAGGGCCAGGATTTGACCCTATTGAAACCTGATAAATACCACCCCTCTATTGTTCTCTGGGTGGAATCTGGCACCAGGGTGAGAACTGGGATATGACTGAAAGATTTTGTTTTATTGCTATCTTAGTCTATTCATTGTTGCAGAGACCCTGACAGGATTTCTCTTATCTGTGATTTGACAAAATATATCTTCTTAATCATTGCACGGTTGATGTTAAGAGGGTTCAGAAGTATAAAAGGAAGGAACTTGGCTTAGAAATAAAGCATTGAGGGACTTTAAAATTAGGCCACTGGATAGACCTATTAGCCTTTAAAGAGGCTGAGAAATTTTGATGAAGGCTGGGCCTCTGAAACGGGCAACTCTTCTAATTTTAATAATGCATTTGAAATTATTCTTATCACTTAGTGAATTCTTATTTGATTGCCTTGAGGCCTTTTTCAAGTTTCAGATTTTAATTCCTCACTACTCCATTAGGAAGGTTGGTCATTTTATGTTCATTTTACTGTTAAGAAAGAAAAAAATGCAGTGAGATCGTACAACTAAGAAATGGTAAAACCCAGACTGGAACTCAGTAAATTTGATATCAAGCCCTGTGATCTTAAAAAAAGTTACTGTGGTTAAACACGTATAACAAAAATTTCCCATTTTATTCAATTTTAAGTGTGCAGTTTGTGGCATCAAGTACATTCACACGGTAGTGCGGCCACCACCATCTGTCTCTAGAACTTCTGTCTTCCTAAACTAAAATTCTGTACTCATTAAGCAGTAACTCTTCCTTAATCTCTCCACCTATCCCCTGGATACTACCATTCTGCTTTCTGTCTCTATGAATTTAACTGTTCTAGGTATGTCATATAAGTGGAATCATTATATCTGTCCATGTTGTAGCATGTGTCAGAATTTCCTTTTTTTTCCAGGCTGGATAATATTTCACTGTGTGTGTGTGTGTGTGTGTGTGTGTGTGTTTGTGTGTGTATTTATATCACATTTTGCTTATCCATTCATCTATCAATGAACACTTCAGTTGTTCCTTCTGGCTATTGCCAGTGTTTCTATGAACATGAGTGTACAGATATCTGTTTGAGCTCCTGCTTTCAATTCTTTTGAGTATATGCCCAGAAGTGGAATTGATGAATCATATAATAACTCTATTTTTAACTTTTTGAGGAAATGCAATACATTTTTTTTCCCAAAGCAGCAACACCTTTTACATTTCTGTGCTTTTTTTGTCCATATCTAAGTTGCCTTGGAATGATGAACTAGCTGAGAAAATAGCACTGCTGGTGTAACAATGCCATATGTAGCTGATCTGATGCTTTTATTGTGTATTGGTTTAACACACATGTATGTCATATGGTTCATGAGCATTTACAAATGATATGCTTCCTCTGCTGCTTAAAAGTCATATTGAATAAAGGGGCATGTTTAACTTTTTCAGAACACTTGAAATATGATGAAATGTCAGTGTTTTTGAGGCGTCAAAACAAATGACATAATGTCAGTATTTAGAAACTCAACTATGTGTAAAACAAGTTGCTTTTGTTTTCCACCAGGCACACCACAGCATGTTTAATGATGGATATTATTGTTGTGAATTGTATCTAATCTGCTCCAGACTCAGAAAGCCTCCAACACAAAGTGTCATTTGTTCATCACTTTGTGGGTTTTGCCTGTTTCTTACATACAAAGGTTCACTAGGAGTTGAACAAAAAACTTAAAGATAGGTATGGGGTTGTGTAGTCTTGAAGTGTGTGTGTGTGTGTGTGTGTGTGTGTGTGTGTGTGCTGGAGGGGTTTTTCAGCTGTTCTTTTTATTTTTATGGAACAGGATATCTCCAGATGATTTCATTTGAAGGGGGAAAGCTCCAAATTATTCCAAATGGGATGATTCCATTTGGAGATCTTTCCTCTTGCTTCAGGACTGCTAGTATAATTCCCAGAGAAGCATAAGAAGGCCACAGCTATGCCTAAAGGAGTTAAAGCTGGTGCCTAATCTTTGAAGTCTGGCAGGCCTACCTCCACCCCAAAGTCAGTGGTCACCGCTATCCAAGGATTCATCAAATTGTGACTCACAGGGTGGAGAAGGCTGGCTTTGAGAGAGGTGAATGTGCATCTTCCTCAGGACCACAGTTGTGGGGTTAGCTGTCCTGCATCAGACCTCTGTCTCATTTTCATGATGAACATCAATGTGGTAGACACACCGTAACCTGACCCAGAATGAGCAGGGCTCTTTTGTAGTCCCCTCCTCTTGAGTTTGGGCAAAACCCATGACTTGCTGCTAGTTAATAGAATATGGCAAAGGTCATGGGATAGTCACTCTTGATTAGGTTATGTTGCATAAGACTTCATCTTAGCCAGCTGGAAGAGAGATTCTTTTGTTGGTCTTGAAGCTGCCATATTATGAGAGGGGGATGCCAAGGAATGGGCCACCTAAGGAGGTGAGAGTAGTTCTTGGTTGGTAGCCAACAAGAAAGTGAGGACATCAGTCAGTCTTAACAACCACAAAGGACTCTTATTGACAGTCATGTGAGCCTGGAAGAGAACTCCAAGCTCCAAAAAGGAACACAGCTTGGCTGACACTTTGATTGAATCCAATTAAGCCATGCCCAGACTTCTGATCCATGGAAACCAAGACATACAAAATGTATTTTTCTAAGTTTCTATATTTGTGGTCATTTGTCACCTAGCAATAGAAAACTAATACAATCAAGCACACCTTTAATGTTACCTTCTCTTTCCCTGCTTGTTCCTTTCATTTTTATTTTGCCTTTTTACCTGTTTTCTTGTTCTGTGGATTCTGTCTGATGAGACCATCAATCAAGATGCCCTGGTTTCCCCCAGTGAGGAGAAAAACACATGACCCAAACTAGGCCAATCAGATCTTTCTCTCCAGGAATCCAAATCTTAAGAAGAATGAAAAAGAGGCTGTATGTGTTTGGAGCTGACTGATCCCAGCAGTGTTGCCCTGAAACACTCTTGCTACCAATTCTCCTAGAGAGTTCCTGCCACCTATCTTTGCCAATTCCTATTCCCTAACTTCCTTTTTTATTCTGTGAGCTCCACTAGATTCTTCAAATGAATTCCTCTTCTGCTGAAATTAATCAGAATCTATTCTATTTGTTGCAGTCAAAAAATTCCTATTGATACATAGAGCCCTGTTGTAATCACCTCATACATTTTTTTGTCTCTCTGGGTTGTATTATGGTCTTTTTTCTTTCTTTTTAAACTTCTTTTGACGGGGTCTCACTTTGTTGCCCAGGCTGGAGTGCAGTGGCACTATCTTGGCTCACTGCTGTCTCCCTCCCTTGGGTTCAAGTGATTCTCCTGCCTCAGACTCCCAAGTAGCTGGGACAACAGGTGTGCACCACCATGCCCAGCTAATTTTTTTTGTAGAGATGGGGTCTTCCTATGTTGCCAAGGCTAGTCTTGAACTCCTGGCCTCAAGTGATCCTCCCAACTCAGCCTCCCAAAACACTGTGATTACAGGTATTAGCCACTATATCCAGCCTATTGTCTTCTTTCTAAAAGATTTTTCTCATCACTAAGTGTTACCCAAACATGCAGGGTTTCAAGGTAATTCTTGATAGGATTTTAGAATCAGAATCCTGATTCTAAAGATAGGATTTTAGAATCAGAAGTCTGGAAATGATACATGAAAATTGTCAAGTTACCTTCTTAATTTTAATTTAAAGACCACAGTTTTTGGTTAAGTCTCATAAAAACATCTTTAGACTTAGGATAAATCAGAAGATGTATACTGTATGTAGCGATGAAAACATAATTTTTTAAACTAGGAAAATAAAGAGTACAGAATGGCTCCCAGCAGTAAATTTTCTAGTTTCTTAGGAGGAAAAGAAAGATCAGTTGGTGGTGCAGGTTTTCTTGATCTTCAAAGTGAGTGTGTAAAGACTTCTATTTCCTGGCTGGAAACATCAAAGACAAAGGAGGAATCTTAAAAGAAATAAAAACTCTAGAATAAAATTAAAAATAAGAATTGAAAAGTAGAGAGAAGTACAATTCCACTGTTAGAATTAAAATTTTTTGACTCACTTCTTGATATACAGACCTTCTTTCCTTCCTGGTAAAAGCCTATTTGAAAAGTGTTACGAAGTTTCTCCCTCTTGTATCTTGTCAGAATATACAAAAATTCAGATTACAGTTGACCCTTGAATAACACCTGTTCACACTGTGTGTGTCCACTTATATGTGGACTTTCTCCTGCCTGTTCACCTCTGAGATGGTAAGACCAATCCCTCCTGTTCCTCCTCCTCAGCCTACTCAACATGAAGACCATGAGGATGAAGACCTTTTTGCTCACTCACTTCCACTTTAGAAATTGTAATTAGGCCAGTCACGGTGGCCCACGCCTGTAATCCCAGCACTTTAGGAGGCCAAGGCAGGTGGATCACTTGAGGTTGGGAGTTCGACACCAGCCTGATCAACATAGAGAAACCCCATCTCTACTAAAAATACAAAAAAATTAGCTGGGCCTGGTGACGTGTGCCTGTAATCCCAGCTACTTGGGAGGCTGAGACAGGAGAATCGCTTAAACCTGGGAGGCGGAGGTTGCAGTGAGCCAAGATCGTGCCAATGCACTCCAGACTGGGCAATAAGAACGGAAATTCTGTCTCAAAAAGGTAGTAAATGTATTTTCTATTCCTTATGATTTTCTTAATAACATCTTCTTTTATCTAGCTGACTTTATTATAAGAATACAGTATATAATACATAACTGTATACAGTATGCATTAATTGAAAGTTTATGTTATCCATAAAGCTTCTGGTCAACAGCAGGCTATTAGTAGCTAAGTTTTTGGGAAGTCAAAACTTATACTTGGATTGCTGACTGTACAGGGTATCGGTGTCCTTAACCCCTGTGTTGTTCAAGGGTCAATTGTATATTCTTTTTAAAGAAGTTAAAATAAGACTGTTAATACTTTTATTGCACTGTTCATGACAGCATGTCAAGTATGATAAAGCATTTTTTTTCTTAGTTTAATTTATTGAATTGTAATTAAGGTATTTTTCACTGTAGTCCTAAGAATGACCATGCTAAAACTGTCTTGACAAGTCCTTTGCTAATGCCTTAATAAACAACATTCAACACTGTTAAAGTTGGGAACAAGTTTGAGGTAAAATTTGTGTCCATGAGAGTGGACGAATCATGGTAAAGAAAATAATGTGGAGAAAATATATAAGAAAAAAGTCAACAACTGAAGAGTAGATTTTTGAAAGTTCAGTGGGTTTTGCTTTGTTCTAGGGCCAATTTTAGCTTCCTTATTAAGCATTATTTTGTCAATTTTCCTATTAGAAAAACATAATTGAGATTTTGTTTTGGGATTTCTAGAAGAAATGAGTTGGTGTTTTTATGGTGTTTCCTTCGAAACCCAAAACTGAACATGGAACTGAACATGGTCCTTTACAAGATTTCCCTCTCTTTTACATACATTCTAGAGTAGATAAAAATGAAATGAATCTTAGAGCTCAGGAAATATCGCGATTTCAAATGGACAATCCTTGACTTTTTTGTCACATTGTTTCTTCGTGGAAAAACTCATTCTCTCTCCCATTCCAATTTTCCAGTAGAGATTTGATTGAGTCTTGAGCATGCGTTGACCATCTTCATATCATGTATTATGACTGAAGTATTAAGGATCTAAAAGGTACAGAGATAGATTGCACTTAGCTTAGGATTGTTACATGCACTCTCATTCAATGTTTGGACAACTTGATGGAATACCCTGGAAAGTTTGCCATTATCTTTCCCTGTGCATTGGCTCCATAGACTTAATGCACCTATCTTATGGATGGAATGACGATACTTTGTGCTTGGAGACCTGAAATTGTTGCTTTGTAGCCCTTTGCTCTTATTTAGCCCCAGAACCAGAACTTCTAGAATGAAACTCTAGTAAAGAATCAGTCAATGTTTTTTGTTTGTTTGTTTTTTCCCCACTCCAAAGAGAATGTGTTTTACTTTTTTGTGGCTCTGAAAGATATGCCAACTCAAACTCCTAGGTCTCTCAGGATTGATGGGTACCCTTTTATGTTGCATCAAAATTGAAGATATACTAGTGTAAGGTCTAGCTACCTTTCTAGAATTACCATCCAAAAAAGCTGTTAATTTAAACCCTACTTCTTAAGCCAAGCAGTGCATCTAAAGTGAGCTTTTTTTAATTTTAAATTTTTTTTTTTTTTTGAGCCAGGGTCTCGCCCTGTTACCAGGCTGGAGTGCAGTGTTGTGATCTCGGCTCACTGCAACCTCCACCTACCAGGTTGAAGCGACTCTCCTTCCTCAGCCTCCTGAGTAGCTAGGACTACAGGCATGCGCCACCACACCCAGCTAATTTTTGTATTTTTAGTAGAGACGGGGTTTCACCATGTTGGTCAGGATGGTCTTGATCTCTTGACCTCATGATCCGCCCGCCTTGGCCTCCCAAAGTGGTGGGAGTGCAAGCATGAGCCACCATGCCCAGCCTAAAGTGAGCTCTTGACTGAACCTATTACTGATTGGACTTTCTTGGAAGCACTGAATCCTGACTGTATCCAGCATTTCCTAAACCAATGAGAATTCTCCTTAAAGCATTTGTCCTCAGTTTCAAAGGAAATCAGTTCTGAGATACTCTTTTTCTCTTATAGGATACTATTATGGTCTTCAGACATTCACTGTATGAAGGGTTTAGGTTGTAGAACAAATCAAATATACTTGAAATGCATTTTGCTTTCTGAGGGACTATGGTGTGCTTTTCTTCAAGACTTGACAAAATTTACTTTTTTAAAAATTAACTTCCTCCTGTGTTTACACCAGCTTTTATACTTTGTTGGAAATACAGCCACTTCCAGAGAGAATTTGGCATTGCACTTATCAAACAGGATAACTTAATTATTGGCACAGATTATTTTTTATTTGAGCAGTGTGCACTGCCATGAGAGAGCATCCACATTTTCATTCTGGGCATGGAAACAATGTAAAACAGGTTTGGCATGAAGCATGTATGTATGTGTGTATGTGCATCAAACTCTACCCTATGTGAAAGGCTGCCAATTTTTAAAATCCTTGGGAACTAGAGTAATTAATCTCTTCTGTTGCCTATAACAATCGGAAGACCTGGGAATATTTCATCCATTTGTACCATTTGGAAACCATTATTGGCCCATAGAGATTGATACTTCAAGAGGAGTGGTCTCTTGCCAGCTTACTTCGTAAGTTTTGCCTATCTAGTTTCAATATTTCCCACCCTTCTCTACTTTATGTTGTATCTTTTCCTTGGGTTAAAGGTTTTTGTCAGCTTCTTCTGCTTTGTGCTTATATTTTTCTTCCTATTTACAAAAGCTCATCTTCCCTCGCCAATGAAACAAGTTATGGAGTGTGTACATCTACACCTAGCTGGCTCTGCTGTTGTACAGAGGTGCAAACAGGGCTGTGATTTTAGACATAGTAGTGTCAATAGACATAGTAGTGAGGATGACACAGCATCCCACGGGACAAGATTGCAGTGATGTTATCCTCACTTCAATTCAACTGCATGACTAACAAGAACATTACAGAGAAAAAAAGAAAGAAAAAAGATTAAAGATTAATGCTTCCAGTCAGTCATGTCCCATGGGGAGACATCTTAGAACCCATTCTACCCATTGTGACCACACATATATAGCAGTTTTTGAGAAGGAATCAAAACTCAAGAATAAATGACATGTTCTGATATGTTAGGCAAATGTCAGACAATGACACAGAGCCCTAAGTTAATATTTGGGAAACTAAACTTTTGAAGTACTTTTATACAAAGCATATGCTAATATATGCAGACTAATGCAAATTATCCATAACCTTGAGGTTTCTCACAGGTTGACAGTGGGGTCCTTGGTGTCACAGAAGGTGACCATTGCTGGTATAGATTCTGACAATTACTTGGATTATATCATGACTTCATATTTAATGTGAATTTTATCTACTTAGTCTGAGCAGTTGCTCATTTGCCAACAGTTTTGCTTGTGTATATAAGTAAACAAACATATTTATCACCCCTAGGATCAGTAAACGCTAATAAAGTTGCTGCTGCTTGCACTTTAGATTTGTTTTAATGACAGACACATCCTAAATTAACTAAGAATGGTTTGCTTGCTTTAGAGCTTAGCAAGAAAGGTAAAGATATTAGCATGATTCGTTGTCACCAATCAGGTTGAAATGATGGTACATGTTATTCTTTGTCATCAGCATACTCTATCTTAGACTGTATTTTTAAGGGGGAGTGTGTGTGTGTGTGTGTGCATTCATGCATGTGTGCATGTCTGTGCATATGCGCACACATTTTCTTTCATGGGAGTTCTGATGTCACTTTTTGACAAAATTCATTGTGAACTTTATCTCAGACTGCAGTGAGGAAAACCAACAGACTGAACAAATGAACAAATACACAGACTCTTCTCCCCTACTTTATGTAATATTTTATATGCGTTTTATTTAAAGCCAGCACTCTACATGCAGCCATCATGAATTATCTTGTGTGATGTGCAATATTTGTTAAGGTGTGCTTTGCAAATGCTCTCTTATTCAACTAGTTCCCTGAATGGGCTGAAACATGGTCATTTTTGTTCTATACACAGACAGTATATTAAAATAAGGATTAAAACCATGTTTAATCAATTGTTAGACTTTTATCCCTTCATGTTACTGTTCCATCTTTCTTTCTGCCCTTTGCTGATCATCTAAAAATAAATTTGTATTCTCTGACCAATGAACTCACTCCATTCATTTATTAACTCTTTTACAGTCTTGTTTCTTTCTGAAGTGGTAGAAACACTTAATAGCCTACTCTAGTGAACTTTCTTCAGACCATGTCTTCTTTAACACCTGTCACACTCAACAATGTTGACTACCCTCTCTTAGGTGGTCTTTGCTGCGTCGTTTGCTGTCAACCATTAACACCATACCTGTATCCAGAAGCGCTGTCGGAAAGCCAGGTCTGCTGATATTGATTCTTTTGGTCTTTTTCTGTCTCCACTTTGGCCTCTCTTTTCCATTTCTCCATTGCCTGCATGTTTTCTTCTTTTTCTGTTTGTCAATTCCATTTGATACAGCTATTCTATGAAGAAAATAAAAGATATTGTTTAAAACTAAAACCAGTTATATCTACTTCTATCTTTTGGAAAAGATATAATGCGTGAAGTACAGGATAGGTAGTGCTTACAATTTATTTTTGTTTTAAGAAAATGCCCAGGCTGGGCTCAGTGGCTCACGCCTGTAATCCCAGCACTTTGGGAAGCCAAGGCAGGTGGATCATCTGAGGTCAGGAATTCGAGACCAGCCTGGCCAACACGGTGAAACCCTGTCGCTACAAAAAAATACAAAAGTGAGCTGGGCATGGTGATGGATACCTGTAATCCCAGCTATTTGGGAGGCTGAGAGAGGAGAATCGCTTGAACCCAGGAGGCAGAGGTTGCAGTGAGCCGAGATCGAGCCATTGCACTCCAGCCTAGGCAACAAGAGTGAAACTCTGCCTCAAAAAAAAAAAAAAAAAGAAAAAAGAAAGAAAATGCCCTAAGGAGACGGGTAGGTCAGCTCAGCTGAACAAGTGTAGTCCCCTGGAGTCTACTCTATGTCTAGGCTAAGTTTTCTTAGGTGTTTCGCATCTATTATCTTTTTAAATCCTTACCACAGCCTGTTTGTTATTTATCTTCATTTTAAACATAAAATTACTTTATTTTTTCATTCCATTGAGAAAGTCTTCTAGGTGAATTTGAAAGCCAGGAGGAGTTGAACATGTTTGGCATTCCTCAAAAGAGAAAAGAAATGAGGGTTCAGAATGGTGAAATTTCTGAAACTAGGATGATGACTTCAAAAGATGATTTATGATACTTAGGTTAGGATGTTGCTACATCAGGTTAAATGCTGTCATTGGTTTTTGTTTTCCTTACAAAGAAGAAATAAATTTGTGGGTGGGGGTAGGGAGTTACTCAAACATACCTAATTTCTAATACTCTAAGCTACATATTTAAATACACTATTATTTGTATTTCTCAGTTTCCCATTGTTTTTAATGTGCTTTTCTTAACACATTAATGATAGCTTAAAATTAATATTTTCTTCATGCTAAAACAAACAAAATGATGAGAGAAAATTTAGGTATCCTTGTAAGCTAGTTCTCCTCTTTTCTTTCAATGTAATAAGCTTCTTTGTGACCCTGGCATTAAAATGTTTTGAAATGGTTATTGGTTCACGGACATTAGGCTCTGTAATACCATTTTCCCTATCATCTGGATGTATTGCTATTTGTTTGAAGGCACATTCCACCATTATTGGTGCCCTCACTAGCAGTGAGGGATGAGCCTGAGTGAACATTGGGAATAAAGCCAGTTGTTTCCTCTGCTGCATTACAAGGAAAGTTATTCAGGAACATGCCCACTGTGGCAAATTTACCAAGTGGAATATTTGTTGCCTTGACATTTTGGACTATCTACTGGCATGAAAAGTCAACAGAGAGGTATTTCTACACTTGCTTAGGAATTATTTGATTAAATAGCATTGGAGGATAGAAATAACTGTTTTGTTTTATTTTTTACTTAAGGTGTAATCCTCTTAGTCAACCGAAGCTTACAGTGGCAGTGGTATTCATTATTTTACTCAGATTTTTATTCTTTTTCATTAATGTAGAGCTTTGTACCCAAATGCATTCTATACATGTCTCTCATTACTTCTCTGGCAGCAAGATAGCACTTCACTCCACCCCCAAACTAAACAGAATTTAATGATGGGCACTCCTTGCCTCATGAGGGGGAAAAACACAGTTTCCTGGTCGTGGTCTCTGAACTGCAAAGACACACTTGAGGTTTATCCACTGAGTAAATAACTAGGGTGAAAAAGTCTTTGCCTCTGCAGCATGAACTAATATGACCCAGCCAAATTATGACCCACCTGTTGATACTCTTAACAAGTGTGAGTAGGTAATATCATGTTTATGGTGAGTCCATGTCTCTGAGTAATTTAGGGCTGTGCTGCTCAATAGGGTAGCCCAAGCCATATGGTTCTGTAAGTTTACATTTAAATTGATGAAAAATTTAGTTTTTCAGTAGCGATAACTACTTTTTTAGTGCTCAGTAGCCACATATGACCCAGTTTAGACCAAAGAGACTTGAAATGTTTTCTGGGGCTCATAGTTGAAGAGATTTTCCTTTCCTGCTAGACATGGACAACAAGCTGCAGCTCTTGGAAGCTGTAGGCTGCCATCTTGGGGACATGGAAAGCTGCCTTAGGAAGAAGGAAACACTAAGGGTAGCAAAGAGACCAGAAGGAAGAAATTTTGTTTTTGGTGATAGCATAGAGCTGCCACATCAACACTTGCCCAAGACCTGTTCTATTTCTAGACCTATTATGTTCAATACTGTGGCCACTAGCCTCCTGTGGAAACTGAGCAAGTAAAATTCGGCTAGTTCAAAGTGAGATGCATTGTAAGTGCACAATACACATTGGATTTTGAAGACTTAGTATATAATAATAATGTAGATTGTCTCATTAATCCTTTTTTGTATTGATTGCATGTTTAAAGGTTAATATTTTGGATATATTATGATAAGTAAAGTATGTGAAATTCATTGCACTTATTTTTTAAGTATGGCTACTAAAAAAATTGAAATCACGTGTGTGGCTCACATTATATTTCTATTGGACAGTGTGACTTCAGACATTTCAGTTACCTTAACAATAAATTCCTTTCATTGCTCAAGTCAGTTTGAATCAAATTTTCTGCTGCTTGCAACATAAAGATTTCTAATCAATGCTTGGCATAACATTTCTATTTAAACTTTATTTCTGCCCATTTATGCTTGCAACCATGACACACATACAAATGTATATGTGTGTGCACTGGCACTCACACATGCGATAAAAAGTGCTTTCCTGTGTTCCTAAATATCCATCTGAGATGCTAGCTCATTACATAAAACTTTCTGACTCTCAGCTTTTCACATCTGAAACGTAAAAAAAAGATTTGTAACTTAGATATTTCCATGACTATATTCATTCTACTGATTATTTTCTGTGTTTGATTCACTTTTATTTATACACTGAATTGTCATTAAATTGTCTTCTTATTTCAGTTTTGGGGTACTTTTCTTCTCTCTTTGATTTTTTTTGATGCCACTAAAATTACAACCATTTACTTAGCTAGTAAGACTGCATGTAAGTGGCAGTGAAGAATGAAAAAGAAAACTATCCAGTCAAAAGAAGTAATTTTAAAAATGTTGGAGTGTGAGATTTTATACTATAGGAAAGTAAGTCACTACCAGATATGTTATTTAAAGATTTTCTTTAAACTTTTAAGCCTATATATTTAATTTCCTAGTTTTTTTTTTTTTCTAAAAAAAAGGCAAAGATAAAATTACAAGCTTTAAGATAGGAATAAAAGTCATTTGGTCATCTGTTTATGACTAGAAAACCTTTATGTTCTATGAAATGCATATAGATTAAGGGAAACTATATATAGCCAACCAAAATAAAACAGCCATGCTGTGTGTTTTATCAAATTACTTCTTAAAATAGGAAAACACTCAATAATAAGCTGCATATAGCTCCCTAATTACTACAGTTTTACTTTATATGATGTTTAAGGGAATTTTTGAGATATCTCCTTACCATTTTTTCTATGAAAGTGATAATTTAAATATAATTTTATAGCATATGTTTTTATTTTTATATTTCTTCCAGTTCTTTAGGACATTAATCATTATTGAAATTTTGTCCTTCCCCCATCTCATTTCTTTGCTTTTTACCTCCCTGGCTTTCTTTGTATTGAAAAAGCTAGGTTCCTTCTAGGAGAGAAGTGTCCTATGTATATTCTGATTTCTTTTTTGTGGAGAAATGAGTGACTGTTGAGTAAAGTCATGATGGAAGTGCCATTTGAAAAAAACACAAGTTCATTATATTTCGTTATTCATCCTAATTTTCAAGTAGAATTGCAGTAAGCTAATCATTGATTAGGGTGCTGTTAGAGTTGGCAGTTAGGAAGGTAATTCTGTGAGTGAGGTGGAAATTATTTGGCTAAATAATGTGGTTTTCCACCTTTCACTATTATACCGCTTTTGTGAAATATTTTTAATTTTGATTATAGAAAGTTTTAAAATTAAATAGTTGTGTATAAACTTATTGAATGTAATCCCTATATATATATTAAGTTCTCATCGACTGCATGGCACTATGAAAGACTATGATTTGGAAAACCTTTCATTTTCCTTTGGGGCAAGTACCAATGACTGTGTTAAACAAAGTAATTCCTAAATATGGCCTTAAACTCTCTTCCCCAAAACAAACACATTCCTCAAAGTAACCCTGAGTGAGCAGAAAAGCAGTAGTTTACTAGGTATCTCTAAACCATATGCCCATATCCTAAACGTAGGGGTTAAGATGAAGATTTTATGTGATTAGATTGGACAAATATGGGAAATCCACTCATTCATTTATTCATTCATTCAACCAACATTTATCAAATACTTATCATAGTGAATCTATATCACCAAGAAGAAAGTTTGGGAACGTTTCTGCTGAGGAAAGTAGGGGTTATATTAGCAATGTTTTATTTTATGTATTTGATACCTTGAATGGATCATTTTTACCATACTTTCCTCTACAAGATAAAATAATTTACTGTAGTAATCAGTAATAACCGGTATTTTCTCTTTTCTTCTTGAGATGTAATTTACATATAGTAATACTCACCATTTTAAAGTGTATAATTCAGTGTTTTTTTACATTAAAAAGGTTATGAAACTGTTACCACTATTGAATTCCAGAACTTGCATCATTCTCCAAAATAAACCTTAGACCCATTCATATTCATTCCTCATTTCTCTTCCCCCCTGTCTTCTGGCAGACTACTTTCTGTCTCTCTAAATTTGCCTATCCTGGACATTTCATATAAATACAGTCCTACATTATGTGGCCTCTGTGTCTGTTTTCTTTAACTTAATGTTTTCAAGATTCATCTATGTTGTAGCATGTATCAGTACTTCATTCCTTTTTATGAGTGAATTAAAAATATTCCATAGTATGGATATAGTACATTTTGTATATCCATTTATCAATTGTTGGACATTTGGATTGTTTCAACTTTTTTTTTTTTTTTTTTTTTGCTCTTATGAATAGTTCTGTTATAAACATTTGTGTACAAGTTTTTGTATGAACATATGTTTTCAGTTATCCTGCATATACACCTAGGAATAGAATTGCTGGGTCACATAGTAATTTTATGTTTAATTTTACAAGGAACCACTAAACAGCTTTTCACAGTAGGTGCATCAGCAGCAGCGACGTATGCAAGTTCCAATTTGCCCGCATGGTTGCCAACACTTGTAGTTTTTGCTTGTTTGATTATAGCCACCCTAGTAGGTGTGATGTGTTTGATTTATTCTTTAGTTTAGAAAGAGTGAACAACTTTTTAATAAATCATAAATTTAAAATTATATAAATTATTTTGATTTAATAAAATTTGCATTTTTATCAAAATTATTAAAATCTTGCAGCTTACAGTAGTTCACTCAAATATTGAGCACTATTTAAAAATGCAAGAATTCAAATAGAGTAACATAATTGAAATAGCTCAAAGTCTACTTGTCTGTAAATTCAGAGGCTATTATTGTTCATTAAGAGTCTTCTGATTACAAGAGAAGATATGTAGTACCACATAGACAAAAACTATGCCTGAAACAAGTTTGAATAATTACAAAGAATTGTGAACTTACTCTCAAAACAAATGCATGTATCTGAGTCCTCATGTCCCTTGGGCCAGCTGTATAATTGGGACTTCTGTGAATTAACTTGTAAAATAAAAGGATAATTTAAAAAAAATCTAAGTTGAAGCTTAGTATCTGCTACAGTTGTTTAGAAATTAGGTCAGCAAAATATTTTGGTAAGAGGAATAGTCTATAACTGACATTTTGAATTACAGCACATGTTGACAATAAAAAGCAGACCAAATTTTTTTAGTTTTATTATTGTTTCTAAATTTTCTATATACAACAAATTCCCTTATTATGTACACCTAGGGCAGAACACTTCCACTGCCACACTCTTGGTTTTAAAGCCTTTTTGTTTCCAAAGGGAATGCTTTATGTATTACATGGAAAACATCTTGGTAAAGCAGAAAACTTTTCTGATTTGGTTTCCAATCAGGAAATAACTCTTCAACCAAAGATCCTAGCCCACCCTTTCATCAGAGTGCAGTAGAAGTGACTGGTGCAAAATAAATAAATGCTAGAAAGAAGACAGTAAAGCTTACATAGATAACCTCAGGGTCAACCCAAACTATTCCAGAGTAATAAGAAAAACATTATCTAAAACATATTCTAGAGAGCAAATTGCATTAGTTATCTACTGCTGCATAACAAATTACTCTCAAACTTAGTTGCTGAAAATAATAAATATTTATTATCTCATACAGTTTTTGGCATTCATGAGTTTAAGAACACCTTAGGTGAGAGATTCTGGCTCAGAACCTCTCTTATGAGATTGCCGTTAACCTGTTGATGCAGCAGTCATGTGAATGTTTGGTTGGAGCTGGAGGCTCTATTTCAAGGCTTACTGATGTGGTTGTTTATAGGAGGCTTCAGTTCTTCTCCTTATGGTCCTCTAAGTGAGGCTGCTCACCACTTGGCAACTGGCTTCTTCCCAATAAGTGAAGAGGTAAAGGGAGGTGGATGGGAGAGGGCACACAACCAATATGGCAGCTACAATGTCTCTTACAACTTTTTCTCACAGGTAACATACCATGACTTCTTGCAATATTCTATTGGTCACCCAGACCAATGCTGGTGCATTGTGGGAGGAAACTACATAGAGGTGTGAATTACAGAGGGTGGGGATAATTAGGGGTCATCTTAGAGGACAACTAACCCACCAACCTCCCTCTACTTACATTAATTTATAAATTTAGATGTTTATTATTAGAACACACTGCTTCTTCTAGAATGTTGCTTATTCTTGTCTTCTCTATAGTTTTCTGAGTAAAGTATTAAAGTCTTTAGGAATTGCTTTACTTGGGCTGGATGGGCTCTGCTTAGTGATTAGAGTCACCTACTCACCGTATCTTTTAACTGAAGTTGGGTGTCCAACAATTAACCTTCCAATTTTTATTTCAAGGGTAGTTTTAAAAAGAGGCAGGTGTTTTAGCTCTAAGAATACCTGTATGTTTTTAGAACAGAGAAAGTGGGAACAATGGAGAATGAAGTCACATATATTTTTTAATCTTGTTTTTACAGTAGGTGGTTTTAAGTCCTACCATATGATGGCTGGTATTTTCGAGAATTGTTTCTTTCTATCAGTAGAAAATGTGTCCCTTCCAACGTTCCATTACTTGAATGTCTGTGTTAACCTAGAAAGACAGTAGGAGACTAAAACTTGTAATATTTTCATTACTTGAAAGATTAAATTATGTTTTATTGTATGAGTTCTTTAGTATTTTCCCTGGATAGGCCTTTTCTTCCCATCACACAAACAATAGAGACAACTTTATGAAATATGAGAGAATTGTATTTTAATACTCTGAGGTAGGATCAAGCTACTTTCATCAGTTGATACAATTTTCCCCTAAAGAAATTCTAGCTGTGAGGGCCAATGGACTTGGGTTACATATAAGAATTATATATACATTATCATTTGCTTTTGAAAGTAATTATTCTAAGGCTAAGTTAGGTTTGAATTTGATTCTGAACAATGATGATGCATTTGAACTGTTAGGGTAATTAGGACTATATCCCATTCACCCACACACTCTTTTTCATGTGTAGTCCTTTAAACTGCACAGCCTTTGAAGGATGGTTAGTTTGTATCTGGGGTTTGTGTTTTGTTTTTTTTTTTCATCTACTTTTTGATTGCTATGTCATTGAAAAGTGCTTAATCACAGAGAGGATTACAAAATAAAATCACCATTAGCATAAATCATTTATACTCATTTTAATGCTTCCTTCTTGTTTGTGGAGTTGGGTATTTGGAAGAGTGGAGAATATATAACCTTCTTTTTTAGTGTATTTTGTGAAACAGTTTTTCTCTCCTATTTTGTTTTAACATTTAAAATAAGAGACAAAGTCATCAGAGTCAAATTATGTATTTACATTTTTATTAGAAAAATAATTGGTTAGATGAACTGGCTTATTAATGTAACATAATTTATTTTGGAAAATTTTTTAAAAGCTAAAATCTGTATTTAATATATGGATTGAAGAAACTGGAAATATATGAAGATATACTTTGTATTATACTTTTCATCCTTAGAAATGCACTGTTATATTGTTTAGGGAGACTTCATTCAGTTCCTAAGTAATTTGTTTTTAATTCTGGAATCCTTAGAAATACCATTTCAGTGGTATAACTAATGGGCAAACTGGAACTAACGGAAAGGAATTTTATTTCTTTATTCCTCCCACCAACCCCAATTCCTTGCACAGATTTACATGGCATGGCTCATGTAACACAATAGAAAGATTCCTGAAAATTGTATCCAACTTTTCTATCCCTATTTTAAATGCACTGAAGAATAGACTACTTAAATTAATCTAAAGGTAATTTTTCTTGTATAACTGTGGCTTGAAAACATTTAGTTTATATATCAACTGTGTTTAATCATTCCAAGTTGTTTTTATTCAGAATAAATCCCTAAAGCAAGCTTTGCTGAGTGTCAACCCTTTGCTCTCTCTTACGACTGATTACTATGGTTGCTTCTTTGCTTGTAACTTTAATTTACGGAAAACAGGCTCTTGGTGTCCAGAAGGCAGAATGGGCTTGGTGAAACAGATGCTAGACCTAAATGGCTTTTAGCATTTCTGCCTCTGCCTCCTGGTTGCTTTTGTTGTATTTCTATGGGTGCCTTGAATAATGTGAGTCACTCAGGTGGGCAGAGTTCATAGAGATTAATTTCTGGCGTGTGAAGAGGAACAGAAAGCAGTAGAGGGGTAGATGTTCTTAGGATGATCCACATCTGTTCTTCTCTTGTCCCTGTGCTTCCTGGTCACCCACCTCCAGTTTCAGTTTTATTCCCATTTTACGATGAACATTAAACAGTGTAATTAAGTTATGCAGGACCCATATTGTGTTTTAAATAACACTTCCAAAAGTATATCATGGGTCAGTTCATAATTGTGAACAAGATTCTCTTGTTTAACATAGCAAAGTGAAGCTGAATCTCAAAATATTGTTCCCTCTTAACCCAATGGTATGAACAATATAAAATTAAAAATCAGCACTGACCATTCACCATTCATCCATCCACCCATCCATCCATCTAGTCCAAGGAGGAAAAAACTCCCGATCGTCAATGAGAAGAAAATACTACTATCTAGCAAAGGAAGCAGATCTAAGCCCCAGAGACTGCATGTCTGGCTTTGGTAATAGGCAATGTGCATCTAGTTGCTCTCTGCATAAACCAAATAGGGGAGAAATAAACAAAATAAAATCCTGAAAACACCCTACTCTCATCCCAACTGTGGAGAAGCTAATGAGGCAGGCTGAGAGAAGAAACAGGGACATTTCCCTAAGGGTGGCAGTCTTCTTGCTCACAAGAGAGTAATATTTTTTCCACCTTGATGTCTCCATGATGGCATGAAATTAGGGGATAAAAAACAGAATGACCAAAAACAGTCAAAGCTAATTAACTTTTGCAATAAACAAGGTTGTAATTGATCAGTAAACAAAAGAGGAGAATGGGACAAAGGAGTTGGAATGAGTAGGGAAGTGTATACTAGAATCCCTGGGAGTTGACTTCAACCTGCCTATTGCCTTAATGCCTTATCTCTGTTATATCTGAGGAAGAGAGCAGCTAATTGGGTTAAATAAATCTCCTGAGGTACTCCTGATGGAAGTAGAGGCTCAGAGGCCCTGAGGTGAGTAAGGGAAACTCTCTGAAGCCATAGGCACTGAATTGATTCCCAATAAAGTGAAGCAGACCTTGGCATAAAATAATTACAAAACCAGAGAGGAGATGGCAAAACTCCAAAACACTAACCAAGACCCTGCCAAAGCCCAAACACTCCCCCTTGACAAATGACCCCTGGTATAAGCAGAACTCAAATTGTAGTTTATACGGGAAGCTAAATCTCAGCTAAGGTAAGAAGGGAATCAAAAAGAATTGACCCGTATTCTAATCATGCACATAGAGGTTCTAGATTAACCTGCCCAAGTTTATCATGGTTGACATGGAGACTAATAACAGGCAAATTAAGAAAATAAAATGTAGGGAATCAATGAAGAACTAAATCTGTAGAAACAAGGACACATTATGTTTCAGGGGAGAAAAATGTGGGTATAAATGAGTAACACTAAAACACACCTTTATTAAGCCATTAAGTTTCAAGTATTAATGGCAAAAACCGCAATTACTTTTGCACCAAATTAATATAAAGATGAAATTTTTCAGGATTTGGTGAGAAAAATAAACAAGTCACTTACACCACAAGCTCAAAAGCAGAAACAGATTATTTAATGATAAAACAGGGGATTACATGGGGAAATTGTGGTAAAGGGTAGAATAATCATTGATATCATTTAAGTATAGATGGAAATTAAACGATCATGAGATTGAGGATTACAGGAAGTAAATATTGTAAATTTTGACAACATACAAAATTATTATTAAAAATGTTGAGAGAATCTTGATAATGGAAGATTGAATTGCTCAACTCTCTTTTTAGACATTGAACTAGAAGGCTGTGTAGAATAGAATGACTAAAAACAGACTTTAAAACTTACAAATCACCAAGGGGAAAACATGTATGTAACACATAAAGAGGCAATCCATGTAGAAGCTTAAAAACAAAAGAAACATTACATTTAGAATGTAAAACATAAGAAGTTGATTGCATTTGTTATATCAATGAATATGAATGTTTAGTACTTGTTAAGATAATGATATATATGTAATATAAATGAGAACAATACTCATATATTGAGTTACTACATGAAAAAAGAAATCCCATCTATATACTATATACAAGAAATAATTCTAAAGATGTTACTCATTGAATTAAAAGTGAACAATAAGGTAAACAGTTAAATGCTAACAAAAATAAAACTAAAATTCATAATACTACTTTCAGACTATTAAATCCAAGCCAAGAAAAGGGCTAAGTGAGATGAAAAAACTCAGTGTATGATAAAAGTTGCAATTCACAATGTGACTATAATTGTATAAATCTTTATGGTCTAAATAACATATCTAAAATGAAGTAAAATAAAAAGTTTTCAGCTGCAGGAAATGCAAAGAGAATTTAACAAAATATGGTGGTGGTAAGAGATGTTAATTCATCATGTCAGCCATTAAAAGATTACGTAGAAAAAAAATTAGTTGCAATTTAAAGGGTCTGAATAAAATCGATAAAAAGTTAAAGCAAATGTAGATGTAGAAATAGATAACTTGATAGCCAGTTGGTTGGATGGATTGATGAAAGAATGAATTATGGCTATTTCTAGAGAATCACTTTATTGCAATACCTTAGGCCATACACGGAAATGAAACATATATTAGACCTCAAAGAAAACTTTTATATAGCCCAAAAAGGTAAAATAATATGAACTACCTCACTGGCCAATATATAATAAAACTAGAGCTTAATAGAAGGACAACAAAATCCAATCACTTAAAAAAAACTTTCAAATAATTCTTGAGTTACAGAAGAAATCAAAAGAAAAATTATAAAAGATGAAGAAAACAACAAATATTTGACAAAATGCAAGACCATTTTGCTATTACAATTGACCTAGAAAATAATATTCACGGCAATTTTGAAAAAGAAAAGTAATGAGGGATGAACTAACTTTATCAGATTTTAAAATACATCAGGAAGTTGCAATAATTAAAATAAATTGGTACTGGAGAAGAGCAAAATAAAGGGGCCACCCATAGATTTGCATATTTGTAACATTAATTTGTGATAATAGTATTATTTTTTAAATAACTGAGAAAAGAGAACCTTCAGTAAATAATGTGGAATAGCTGGCTAATTGTTGCAGAAAAGGATAAACCTGTATCCCTATCTTAATTTCTACCTTAAAATAAATTCCAGATGGAAGAAAGTATTAAATATATTTTTAAAAGCCTGAAACAATTGTTCTTCAAAAGTTTTGCTAAATGTACTTAGAATCTTGGCAGAGGGAAGTGCTATAAAAAGGATTTAAGACTCAAAATTTATAAAGAAAAGATCAATAAACTTCACAACATTAAACATATTAGAAAACAAACTTTGAGGAGAAAACAGTATGAGAAAGGACAAAAGACTAATGATAGACTGGAGAAAATTATTTGCATAAATATCAACATTAATTTTTCTTAATTTTTAAATCTCATAGACAAAAACAACCAACCTCCTAGAAAAATATGAACAGTTCATTTGTAAACAAAGAAAAATCACTGGGTATTTAAACATAAATTGTTGGTAAGTCTCATACAGAAATAGAAGAAAAACACATAAATATAAATCATAGGGAAAATCTAATATTTATACCCACATTGTTTGGCAAATAATTAAACCTGGAAATTTCCAGAGTGGATATATTGATAAAGGACTCTCAATTCTGAGGATATAAAATATGGTGAACTATCTTGTGAAGTTTCAGAATATTTATCAGAAATTTTGGTCATACTGTTTGACCAAAAATGTTTTCACTGAGAGGAATTTACCCTCAGCAAATACTTGGAGAAGTTCACCAACATGTTTGTACAATGATGTTCATTCCAGCTTTATTTATACACCCTCTCCTTCTGACACACAATTGAAAACAATGGTAGGATTCGTTAATATGAGACTGTTTAAATAACACAATATGATGAAGAATTATGAAAATCTTTTAAAATTAACTGTTTTTACTGAAAGGGAAATAGCTGTAGTATATACAATTATATTAATACTTTTAAATAATCTTTTTTTTTTTTTTTTTTTTTTGAGACAGAGTCTCGCTGTCGCAGAGGCTGGAGTGCAGTGGTGCCATCTCAGCTCACTGCAAGCTCTGCCTCCCGGGTCACGCCATTCTCCTGCCTCAGCCTCCCGCGTAGCTGGGAATACAGGTGCCCGCCACCTCACCTGGCTAATTTTTTGCATTTTTAGTAGAGATGGTGTTTCACCGTGTTAGCTAGGATGGTCTCGATCTCCTGACCTCGTGATCCTCCCGCCTCGCCTCCCAAAGTGCTGAGATTACAGGCGTGAGCCACCGTGCCCGGCTCTTTTAAATAATCTTAAAGGTCTTCCAACCTTGCCCGAGCCGGGCAGGGTGGCTCACACCTGTAATCTCAGCACTTTGGGAGGCCGAGGCGGGCGGATCACGAGGTCAGGAGATAAAGCTCTCCTCAGCAAATGTAAAAGAACAGAAATTATAACAAACTGTCTCTCAGACCACAGTGCAATCAAACTAGAACTCAGGATTAAGAAACTCACTCAAAGCCGCTCAACTACATGGAAACTGAACAACCTGCTCCTGAATCACTACTGGGTACATAACGAAATGAAGGCAGAAATAAAGATGTTCTTTGAAACCAATGAGAACACAGACACAACATACCAGAATCTCTGGGACACATTCAAAGCAGTGTGTAGAGGGAAATTTATAGCACTAAATGCCCACAAGAGAAAGCAGGAAAGATCCAAAATTAACACCCTAACATCACAATTAAAAGAACTAGAAAAGCAAGAGCAAACACATTCAAAAGCTAGCAGAAGGCAAGAAATAACTAAAATCAGAGCAGAACTGAAGGAAATAGAGACACAAAAAACCCTTCAAAAAATTAATGAATCCAGTTGCTGGTTTTTTGAAAGGATCAACAAAATTGATAGACCGCTAGCAAGACTAATAAAAAAAGAGAGAAGAATCAAATAGACACAATAAAAAATGATAAAGGGGATATCACCACCGATCCCACAGAAATACAAACTACCATCAGAGAATACTACAAGCACCTCTACGCAAATAAACTAGAAAATCTAGAAGAAATGGATAAATTCCTCGACACATACACCCTCCCAAGACTAAAGCAGGAAGAAGTTGAATCTCTGAATAGACCAATAACAGGCTCTGAAATTGTGGCAATAATCAATAACTTACCAACCAAAAAGAGTCCAGGACCAGATGGATTCACAGCCGAATTCTACCAGAGGTACAAGGAGGAGCTGGTACCATTCCTTCTGAAACTATTCCAATCAATAGAAAAAGAGGGAATCCTCCCTAACTCATTTTATGAGGCCAGCATCATTCTGATACCAAAGCCGGGCAGAGACACAACCAAAAAAGAGAATTTTAGACCAATATCCTTGATGAACATTGATGCAAAAATCCTCAATAAAATACTGGCAAAGCGAATCCAGCAGCACATGAAAAAGCTTATCCACCATGATCAAGTGGGCTTCATCCCTGGGATGCAAGGCTGGTTCAATATACGCAAATCAATAAATGTAATCCAGCATATAAACAGAACCAAAGACAAAAGCCACGTGATTATCTCAATAGATGCAGAAAAGGCCTTTGACAAAATTCAACAACCCTTCATGCTAAAAACTCTCAATAAATTAGGTATTGATGGGACATATCTCAAAATAATAAGAGCTATCTATGACAAACCCACAGCCAATATCATACTGAATGGGCAAAAACTGGAAGCATTCCCTTTGAAAACTGGCACAAGACAGGGATGCCCTCTCTCACCACTCCTATTCAACATAGTGTTGGAAGTTCTGGCCAGGGCAATTAGGCAGGAGAAGGAAATAAAGGGTATTCAATTAGGAAAAGAGGAAGTCAAATTGTCCCTGTTTGCAGATGACATGATTGTATATCTAGAAAACCCCATTGTCTCAGCCCAAAATCTCCTTAAGCTGATAAGCAACTTCAGCAAAGTCTCAGGATACAAAATCAATGTACCAAAATCACAAGCATTCTTATACACCAAAAACAGACAAACAGCCAAATCATGAGTGAACTCCCATTCACAATTGCTTCAAAGAGAATAACATACCTAGGAATCCAACTTACAAGGGATGTGAAGGACCTCTTCAAGGAGAACTACCAACCACTGCTCAATGAAATAAAAGAGGATACAAACAAATGGAAGAACATTCCATGCTCATGGATAGGAAGAATCAATATCGTGAAAATGGCCATACTGCCCAAGGTAATTTATAGATTCAATGCCATCCCCATCAAGCTACCAATGACTTTCTTCACAGAATTGGAAAAAACTACTTTAAAGTTCATATGGAACCAAAAAAGAGCCCGCATTGCCAAGTCAATCCTAAGCCAAAAGAACAAAGCTGGAGGCATCATGCTACCTGACTTCAAACTATACTACAAGGCTACAGTAACCAAAACAGCATGGTACTGGTACCAAAACAGACATATAGATCAGTGGAACAGAACAGAGCCCTCAGAAATAATGCCGCATATCTACAACTATCTGATCTTTGACAAACCTGAGAAAAACGAGCAATGGGGAAAGGATTCCCTTTTTAATAAATGGTGCTGGGAAAACTGGCTAGCCATATGTAGAAAGCTGAAACTGGATCCCTTCTTTACACCTTTTACAAAAATTAATTCAAGATGGATTAAAGACTTAAATGTTAGACCTAAAACCATAAAAACCCTGGAAGAAAACCTAGGCATTACCATTCAGGACATAGGCATGGGCAAGGACTTCATGTCTAAAACACCAAAAGCAATGGCAACAAAAGCCAAAATTGACAAATGGGATCTAATTAAACTAAAGAGCTTCTGCACAGCAAAAGAAACTACCGTCAGAATGAACAGGCAACCTACAGAATGGGAGAAAATTTTCGCAACCTACTCATCTTTCAAAGGGCTAATATCCAGAATCTACAATGAACTCAAACAAATTTACAAGAAAAAAACAACCCCATCAAAAAGTGGGCAAAGAATATGAACAGACAATTCTCAAAAGAAGACATTTATGCAGCCAAAAGACACATGAAAAAATGCTCATCATCACTGGCCATCAGAGAAATACAAATCAAAACCACAATGAGATACCATCTCACACCAGTTAGAATGGCAATCATTAAAAAGTCAGGAAACAACAGGTGCTGGAGAGGATGTGGAGAAATAGGAACACTTTTACACTGTTGGTGGGACTGTAAACTAGTTCAACCATTGTGGAAGTCAGTGTGGCGATTCCTCAGGGATCTAGAACTAGAAATACCATTTGACCCAGCCATCCCATTACTGGGTATATACCCAAAGGACTGTAAATCATGCTGCTATAAAGACACATGCACACGTATGTTTATTGCGGCACTATTCACGATAGCAAAGACTTGGAACCAACCCAGATGTCCAACAATGATAGACTGCATTAAGAAAATGTGGCACATATACACCATGGAATACTATGCAGCCATAAAAAATGATGAGTTCATGTCTTTTGTAGGGACATGGATGAAATTGGAAATCATCATTCTCAGTAAACTATCGCAAGGACAAAAAACCAAACACCGCATGTTCTCACTCATAGGTGGGAATTGAACAATGAGAACACATGGACACAGGAAAGGGAACATCACACTCTGGGGACTGTTGTGGGGTGGGGGGAGGGGGGAGGGATAGCATTAGGAGATATACCTAATGCTACATGATGAGTTAATGGGTGCAGCACACCAGCATGTCACATGTATACATATGTAACTAACCTGCACTTTGTGCACATGTACCCTAAAACTTAAAGTATAATAATAATAAAAAAAAATAATAATCTTAAAGGTAAGGTACAGAAGTGTTAAGTTTTTAAAAATATGCACATTTAGATAGATTTATTGCTACATTAATCAATCTTTTTCTCCCCCTTTCCAGAAGGAAACAGAAGTAAAATTAAATAGTGCCTGCCTTTGGAAAAAGATGGGGTTAGTTGAGTGAGAGAGAATTCTACTCTTCATTTTGCTCCTTTCTGTAGTGTTCCAGTTATCTAATCCTTCCACATATCAGCTGAAGTTTTCTAAGCAGTAGTTATTTTTAGTTTACTTCCATATATTTTTAAATACCAAACTAATCAATATTGACTGACAATATCAATCAGTTAGTAAAATAATTGAGTAACCCCTGTTTTTATATATTCTGATATGAGATGAAAATTTAGGAACTCTATCAATTTTAATACTTCTGTAGAGAGTTTTTGCATATGTATATTCACTATTAATACACAGAAGATTCCTAAGTTCAGGCTGATTCCTTTAAAGTGTCTGTTTTACCCCCACAAGAATTGAAATAGTTTCAGTATATTTTGTTTTATAAATATTTAACTTCTGTTTGCTGAGGTTGAGAAAGGCAATATTCCACAAGGGTCCATTTTCTAAATCTAAGGCATGAATGATTTTTTCATAGTTACAGTATTTATGAAATATTGAGAATTTATGCATGTGAAATGTCTCATAATGGACTATTTTAGATTTAAGCTATTCTTTTTTTAGGTCTCCAGTGTAAAATTCAAAGAGTAGAAGCTATAGCAAATGAATATGCTGCGTTTCTTGTGCTATAGGCTCCTTAATCTTTACAGAAGTCTTATTTGCTCAGCTAGATTGGTCTAAAAGAAATGGTTTAATTTTCTCTCAAATAATTCAACCTTCAAAAAGAAACCTTCCATGTTGTTATTTTTGCACTTGTAGTGCATACTGGGGGTGCTCTGCCAGCTTGGCATTGAATGTGTTTGTTTTATGTAGAGTGTGGTATTAAAGTAGTGGCTGAATTACTTGACATAATTTGCATAAAGTCATATCTCAGTGATAAAAATTAATGTGTTGAGGGCTGTGAGTGAGTTGGAATGAGTCATTTATTTCTTAATAGAAAAAAGCTTTATCTTCAGTTTCTATCACACTTGAACTTCAATTACCTGGAATATTTTCATTTGTTTGTTTATTCGCATTTACTTAAGTGTTAATGATTATTCAGTGGTTTCAGCAGGAGAGTGTTTTAGGTCTGTCTTTAACCTGAGTCTAATCATAGAAGGAGTTGGCACGTATCAGAATTGTACCGTAAAAGCACCCCTAAAGCTTGACAATGTTCTAGTGATTCCATTAGCAGCTATTAAATGGAGGTTTAATGTCTTTGCCATTTGGGGATCTGACAGACTGAAACTTAGTATTCGTTTTGGCCCCTGTGAATATCATCTGCTCATCCATGCTTATAAAAATGAAATAAAAAGTCAGTCTTTGTTCTTGCTCTTGCAGAAGCAATTGTAGATTTTTATGAGGAAAACAATGAACATGTCACCCTGGATTTGGCAGCAGGGAAGAGCAGGGAGTATATAAATTGTCTTTTTGGGTGCCAACTGTTTTGCACCAGCATTGTTTATATTAGTGAAATGGTTGTAAGTCGTGTAAATTGTATTTTTTTCCTTAGCTATGTTTTATGGTGGGGGGGTGTCGTAGGGGAATGTGCATTAAATCTGAAATGGTCTCATGCTTAAATACCGCAGTGTGGTAGACAGTTAATCTTCAGAACAAATAGTGAACATGCGTAACTGCTTTATTGCCGTCAACATATGTCACTCTGTAATTATCCTGGCTTATACCTTGGGATGGGCTAAGGATGCAGGAGCTGTCTCAGCTCAGAGAATTTTGTTTTCATTTTTTGGGTTCCAAACAGAATGTATTGGGAGAAAAAAAAATCATGTGGATTTGCCCAATATTGGTGCTCGTAAAAACAATTACCCTGAAATTATTAGTGCTGTATGTTCAGGACCTAGGAGAGCAGGTGTTGGGTAAGTCTGACTAAACAGATGTGTCAATACACCTTGGCTCATCTGAGACTGTTTGGGAAAATTCTTGAGGAGGCTCACGACACCACACATAGTCATTTCCAGTTACCTGGTGGTGACATGCACAAGTGGCATATAGAGACTGGGTTGCAGCTGACCTTCTGGTGACCAGGGAATACCTCCAGAGAGACTGCGATGCAGTTCGCAACTGAAAAAAGAGCCACTTGAATACTGATCCTTGATGATGGGTATCGCCATTGAGGCAGCAAGCCCAACTGTTTATCTTTTTTCTTATTTGGTAACTAGGTGGGATGGTTGTATAGAAAAATGTGGGTGGGAATGACCACAGACCGCAAACTCACGTTTGCAAGAAATGTAGCTGTAATTTTCTGTAGATTTTACCCATGTCGTCCTCTATACATAGAGAGATCATACATCCAGGTTTGCCCAGAAGAGTCCAGGGTTATGACTTGTCCTGACCCTCCTTTTTCCCTCCCAAGAGTTTCCCAGTCATGCCAGCATAAGAACTTTTCCCTGAGTTCGTTATGATGGAAGAACCTTGCTGCTTCAACGGAGAGAGCCATGGGGATTTAAAATACACAGAGAAAGGCCTATCAGTACATTATAATATCATTTCCTTCAAAGTATTCAAAATTTCCTTAGTCTGTCTCTAGTTCTCCAAAGGGTGTATGTAATATTATAATATGTATAACCGAGATGAAAATTGTTGGCCAGTGGAGCAGCAAGCATATTTCTTGGATAATGTAGTGCTTTATTTGGGAGGACTTGATATCCTTTGGGGAGGCTCATTGATTTTATGAGATCATTAGTTTACTTATTATTCAATAAATTTAACTCCTCTACACTCAAACCTGTAGTAAAATATGTTTTGTGACTGTGATGTTCTCTTTTCAGAAGTGAGGCTGGGCTGGCAATAGCTGGCTGGAACATGGTCTGGGAAGGAAATGGGTGAGGTCAAAAGTGGTGAGACAAGTTGCTGAAGAACAGGAATCTGCTATGCGAAAGAATCAGAGTGCTCCCTTAGGGACCTTAATTTAGGGGTCTTGAAATATATCACACTCTCCCAAAACTAATTCATGCTTCAACTGCCCTCATTAATCATAAGTCAGTTGTGAAAGACCATAATGACAGTAACTGCCTACGTGGATCACATTTTGTAAACCAGGTTTTAGTCGCAGTATGCACCATACTGACCAAATTTGTGTCCATGTAAATCACTGTTCACATCCATCCAGATTCCATTTACATGCATTCAGGCACTAGCATACATACATATAGATATACATGTGTTTGCATAAGGAGTGCATATAGTTATATATCTGCATATAGAATTTACATGCATACAGGCACTAGCATACATACATATAGATATACATGTGTTTGCATAAGGAGTGCATGTGGTTATATATCTGCATATAGAATTTACATGCATACAGGCACTAGCATACATCCATATAGATATACATGTGTTTGCATAAGGAGTGCATATAGTTATATATCTGCATGTAGAATTTACATGCATTCAGGCACTAGCATACATACATATAGATATACACGTGTTTGCATAAGGAGTGCATATAGTTATATATCTGCATATAGAATTTACATGCATTCAGGTACTCGCATACATACATATAGATATACACGTGTTTGCATAAGGAGTGCATATAGCTACGTATCTGCATGTAGAGAAGTATCTTTGAAATCAAGTGATCTGGCTCCATAACTGTCCTTCCATGCACACAGCTTGCCTCCTCTCCTGCCCTTAAATTGGGGCTGGGAAGGGACTACCTGCCTCTCTCTGATTCCAAGTGACCTCAGAAAGTACACCTGCTCTTCACATTCACATGTTTAATTCGTACCTTTCTAATGCCTGGAGGTGATTTGGATATCTGGATGATTTTTTCCCTTTTTCTTTCCTACTTCTTCAGAATAAACCACTTCTTAATATTCTTTGCCACTTTTGTTTCAATGCTGCCAGAAGGATTTTCTTAAATCACAGGCCTAATACTTTTATTTCAGTTTCCCAGAAACTTTTGCTAGATCCTTACTGTGTGAAAAATGAATGCCTCATAGCATGGCATTCAAGGGCCACTCTGATCTGACCTGCAGTTTCTTGCCTCCCTTTTGCATCATCTCTGCCAGGAAACCCAGATCGAGCTTGTGCTTCCCAAGTCTTGATGCTTCTCCATGGTCTTCTTGTGTTCTCCGCTTCTTTAAGGTTCACCTGAAATGCAGCGTTCTACCAAGCATTGGCCAGTTCTCATAATCAGTTTTTCTTTTCTGTGAGCATAGTGGATTTTTATCATTTGAGCATAACCCTATCAATGTCTTGAATTATGACTGTGTGCATACCTGTAGTACCTGTTAATTATAAACTCCTAGAAGGCAGAAGACATGTCTTTTTATTCTTTGTGTCTCTCCTAGCATCTAACGCAATACCTGGTAACTACTAAGACTCAATAAATACATGCAAAGTGAAGACAAAAATTAATTCCAAGCTAAAAAATGTTGCTAAAACTTTGAAAAGACTCCTTGTTGAGGATCAAAGGTTTTTGATAATGGCAAATGCCTAGATAACCAGTATTTCTCAAAGTAAAGCCCCAAAATTACCAACCAATCGTTCTGTCCACAGGTTACCTATCATTTAAAAGAAAAATATTTGTTCATATATATACATTCAAAATTTTTGGAAGTTTGAAATGTAAGTTTAGTTATGGTTTTCATAGGCATTTTTTTGTTATTTTCCATTTTTACTACTTTTATTTTTTTATTATTATACTTTAAGTTCTAGGGTACATGTGCACAACGTGCAGATTTGTTACATATGTATACATGTGCCATGTTGGTGTGCTGCACCCATTAACTCGTCATTTACATTAGGTGTATCTCCTAATGCTATCCCTCCTCCCTCCCCCCACCCCATGACAGGCCCCGGTGTGTGATGTTCCCCACCCTGTGCCCGAGTGTTCTCATTGTTCAGTTCCCACCTATGAGTGAGAACACGTGGTGTTTGGTATTCTGTCCTTGTGATAGTTTGCTGAGAATGATGGTTTCCAGCTTCATCCATGTCCCTACAAACGACATGAACTCATCATTTTTTATGGCTGCATAGTATTCCATGGTATATATGTGCCACATTTTCTTAATCCAGTCTATCATTGATGGCCATTTGGGTTGGTTCCAAGTCTTTGCTATTGTGAATACTGCTGCAATAAACATATGTGTGCATGTGTCTTTATAGCAGCATGATTTATAATCCTTTGGGTATATACCCAGTAATGGGATGGCTGGGTCAAATGGTATTTCTAGTTCTAGATCCCTGTGAGGAATCTACACTGTCTTCCACAATGGTTGAACTGGTTTACAGTCCCACCAACAGTGTAAAAGTGTTCCCACTTCTCCACATCCTCTCCAGCACCTGTTGTTTCCTGACTTTTTAATGATTGCCATTCTAACTGGTGTGAGATGGTATCTCATTTTGGTTTTGATTTATATTTCTCTGATGGCCAGTGATGATGAGCATTTTTTTCATGTGTGTTGGCTGCATAAATGTCTTCTTTTGAGAAGTGTCTGTTCATATCCTTTGCCCAAGTTTTGATGGGGTTGTTTGATTTTTTTCTTGTAAATTTGCTTAAGTTCTTTGTAGATTCTGGATATTAGCCCTTTGTCAGATGAGTAGATTGTAAAAATTTGTTCCCATTCTGTAGGTTGCCTGTTCACTCTGATGGTAGTTTCTTTTGCTGTGCAGAAGCTCTTTAGTTTAATTAGATCCCATTTGTCTATTTTGGCTTTTGTTGCCATTGCTTTTGGTGTTTTAGACATGAAGTCCTTGCCCATGCCTTCATAGGCATTTTTTTTTAATCTTGTTAAGTACTATTATGCTCTCCAAGGCTATGAAAACATTGCAAAGTGTTGGCCATGCTGTCTCAGCAAATATTCAGTTAATGGTGCACTTCCCCCAAAATATATGATTTCCTGTAGTTTTTTCTAATTATTTATATCTGTTAATTTTTTTCTTTTTTATTGTTAGTATTTTGATGAATCATATTCTCGATTCACAATAAGCAGATCACCAGCACAAAAACATTCACTAGAGAAGGGGTGTTCAATCTTTTGGCTTCCCTGGGCCACGTAGAAAGAACTCTCTTGAGCCACACATAAAATACCCTAACACTAACGATCGCTGATGAGCTAAAAAAAAAAAAATCGCAAAAAAAAAAAAACCTCATAATATTTTAAGAAAGTTTACAAATTTGTGTTGTGCTGCATTAAAAGCCATCCTGGGCCTCATGTGGGTCGTGGGCCGCGGGTTGGACGGTGCCAAAGCATGAATGTTGTGATTACAGTAGTAATATAAATACTACAATTCATGTATATATTTTTAATTTTAATATAGAGACATCATGTTGTCCAGGCTGGTCTCAAACTTCTGGGCTCAAGCAATCCTCCTCCCTCGACCTCCCAAACTGTTAGAATTAAATGAACCACTGCACCTGGCCTACAATTCAAATTAATGTAAAAACTGCAAGTGGTTGGTGATCAAAACTCCAATGCACATGTAGACTATAATTTGTTCATGTCAGGATAGTGTGATGGGTTTACTCAAGCAGCCACAAAAGAAAAGTTTGAATCAGAAATAAGATGTGAATGATTTTTATATTTTATTTTATATTTTTTACCCCTTATCCAATTATAATACATTTGTCACATAGTGACTTTGAAACTTTGAAACGTTCTTCCAGTTTTCAAACAAAACACAATGACCTTTTTGTTGAACTGATTAAGTTTCTCTGGAAAGTAAGATAATACTTTCCCCATCAACATTAATGTATTTTGTTGCAAAAGGTGGGGAAATCACCAAAGTCATAAGAGCATAATTCAACTTTGCACTCTTTGTTAAAAATAATCAGGTAAATGTCACACTATGACTGAGATGGTGGTAAAATAAGCCAAAAGTTTAATGACAAATGTTATGTCCAGCGGGGAAACATGATGAACTTTTGGCAACATTTCTGAACCAAATGGACACCCCTGGAATCTGCCAGCACTGGAAAAGCGGTTGCTGTCCTGGAAGAGTGGTTCTATATTCTGTTCTATAGTACTTACTATGCTTACTATAGTACTATATACTATACTTACTATATACTATATACCATACTTACTATAGTACTTACTATAGAGCACAGTACAGAAGAACGGGCTGTATAAATCAGCATTTGGCACTTGTGTGGTACATATATGAGGGAGTGGTGCCTGGCAACTGTTTGCCTTACTTGTTATTGGAAATCCAAACTCTAGCAATGAAAGTTATTTTTAACTCAGTAAATGGTTATCTTGGAGTCTGTGATGTAGCCTAGAAAACATACCCCGGGGTGAAGGCTGATGGAGCACAGCCATATGTGCAACAAGGAAATTCTCACACTGCTGTATTCACAGATGACATTTGGTGGTCAACGCTATGCTTCCTCATACTGATTTGGTGGTGAAAGAAATACTCAAAAAATTATAGCCATAGATGTAAGTCTTTGGGATTTATTTTCTGGGTTTCAAGGATAAATTTCTGCTTTTCCAAATTGAAGTTCATCAGGGAGTAGAGAAAAAATGAATTACTCTATTTTTTTTTGAAAAAGGCATGTTTTTCATACGACACCAATAATACAAATAAAGGCCACTTTTATTTGTATCAGTTATTCAAGTGACACCCTCAGCAATGTATTTGATGTCTGAATAATCTGAACCCTTCTTTTCTGGGCAGAAACATTTTATTCCAAAGACATCTAAATATTTGAAAGAAATACCAAACATTTGCCACTGTTCTTAATGACAATTAATTTTAAATAGGGCTTCTCTAGTACAGTACAAATAAAGACTAAGAAAAGAAACAAGTTGGGATGTGAAACTGGAAGCCTCTGGGAGTAACCATTACCACGACATTTAAATTGTGACTGAAAATGTGCAAATAACAGGTTCTCTTTAACTGATAAGAAATGATTTTTAATTTAAAAAAATTTTATATAAATTTGTTTTTAATGTTTAAAAATTTTACCTAAAAGATGATGTTTGCATTTCTGCCTAATGTTCATTAAGTGGGTTTTAAGTAGTGAAAAATTGAAGAAACACCACCATTGATATGAAAGTGGTGACTAGTTTTGAAAAATTTCAAAAAAATTGTTTATAATAAATGCTTTCAGGCATAAACATATTAATAGTATAAATATGTACAAATATGTACTCACTAGCAACAATGTAATTAAGTACAGATAATATAATTTATGATTTAAAACATTTAAAATTTATTTGTTACATTTATTCCCAATCTTTGAGCTTTCAATCTCATACAGCTTTGATACATTCTGCAACTTGCAAAAATAATTTTCGGTTGTTTCATAAATTGATAATGTCTTCTATATAAGTATTTTCTGCTCTTTGTTTAATCTTTCTCTTGAGGCATCTATTTTGATTTTTCCTATTTTCTCATGAAGAATGAAATGCTTTAGTGATACGGAATATAGGATTTCTAGAAATCTTGGTAATTACTGAAATCTTTGCATCATACGGAGTATCTGTGTTGAGTGTTCTGATCCTTATTTATTTACTTTTGGTAACTATCATTGTAGTAGTGAAAATGGAAATCAGGGCCTTGTTTTCTTGTCTTAATTCTTGGCTTCTCAGTTTTACAGACAGTAAAGAGATCAAATAAAGTAACATACTATTTGTCCAATGTAAAGCTAATTTTATCATATTTTGCTTCTAGAAATTCAGAATTCACCCAAAGTAGCACAATTAGAGCAGGGCGTAGTAGAGCAAGATCTCCTCAACTTTCCTCATATTTCGTTGACTGAGACATGTTGTGATCAAAGAATAGATTTCATCAAAGAAGTCTTTTTGTTTTTTACATTTTCCATCTCTTTTCCTGACTCCTTTATATGACGAACTTCATCTGTACACCTGACTTTTCATTCCTATATTTTAGAAAAGTAATAGCTTCTGGGAGAGAAGAGAGGAAAGGAAAATGATCTTTTGTTTTGGAACCATGAAAGACCAAGATGAGGCATTCTGAGATGCCAATTTCATGAATTTGTCTTTGAGAAGACAAGCAAAAAGTGATAGTAAGCTGTTCTTTAGCATAGAAATTTGTTTCTGGTTTTGTCATCATGATTAATCATTCTGATTTGCAGCCTTACTTGTTTCAATCATTGAGGCCCCATTTTAATGTGATTAACATTTTTGTTCCATTTATGGAGCAGTACTGGCCCCTAATTTTTGAGAACAGGATAACCCTTGATTGGCCTTATGTAAATAAATCGTAACTTAATGCCCTTGAAATTGGAGTATCCCCCAGGAGAACAAGCTGTAAATCAGAGTAGAAAAAAGTGAGCCTTACCCTGGGGGCGGGAGCTCCACATGGCATATTCAAGATGAACCAAATGCCTTTATTTCAGAATTTTAATTCATGGTACTTTTTCCTTTTCAAATGGTGCTGTCATCTTGAAATGACAGAGATTGAGTGCTAAATTGCTATTGCATAATTTTCCTTATCTCTCATCTATAGACTGGATTTGATTGAAAGTTCAGATTTTGTGAAGAATGTTTTACATAGGAAATTTTGAAATATGGGGAAACATTATTTTTACATAAAGGAAAGGAGAACTCTGTGTGTGTAAAACGGAGTTAGCATTTTTTTTTTTTTTTTACCCAGCCAGGGTCTTTGTGTAATTATAAGCAAATAGCTATTATCATTCCAACAGATTTTTTTTCCTCTTTGATTCTTTCTAGCAATCTCTCTCTCTATGTAGCTTCTTATCCCTTTTTGTGCCTTAAAATTATTATGCTATTTTTTAATAGTAAAGAGGCTGAAACAATGTCCTGGAATCCATATCCAGTGGTGACAGGAGACTAATCATTGCCTCTGTCTGAGTTATTTGAAAATGGGTCCACACTTTCATGTGCGTCCGTGTGAACAGACCACCAAACAGGCTTTGTGTGAGCAACAAGACTGTTTATTTCACCTGGGTGCAGGCGGGCTGAGTCTGAAAAGAGAGTCAGTGAAGGGAGCTAGGGGTGGGGCCATTTTATAGGATTTGGGTAGGTAAAGGAAAAAGGGGGGTTGTTCTCTGGCAGGCAGGAGTAGGGGTCACAAGGTGCTCAGTAGGGGAGCTTTTGAGCCAGGATGAGCCAGGATAAGG
This sequence comes from Homo sapiens, assembly GCF_000001405.40. Taxonomy (NCBI): domain Eukaryota; kingdom Metazoa; phylum Chordata; class Mammalia; order Primates; family Hominidae; genus Homo; species Homo sapiens. Next base: position 15,147,939 of record NC_000020.11, read on the forward strand.
AATTTCACAAGATAATGTCATCAGTTAAGGCAGGAACCGGCCATCTCTATGTGTATGTGCAGGTCACAGGGGATATGATGGCTTAGCTTGGGCTCAGAGGCCTGACATTCCTGTCTTCTTATATTAATAAGAAAAATAAAATGAAATAGTGGTAAAGTGTTGGGATGGTGAAAATTTTTGGGGGGTGGTATGGAGAGAGAATGGGCGATGTTTCTCAGGGCTGCTTCGAGCGGGATTAGGGGCGGTGTGGGAGCCTAGAGTGGGAGAGATTAAGCTGAAGGAAGATTTTGTGGTAAGGGATGACATTGTGGGGGGTTGTTAGAAGAAACATTTGTCATGTAGAATTATTGGTGATGGCCTGGATACCGTTTTGTATGAATTGAAAAACTAAACGGAATAAGAGAAGGAGAAAAACAGGTATTAAAGGACTAAGAATTGGGAGGACCTAGGACATCTAATTAGAGAGTGCTTAAGGAGGTTCAGCATAGCCTTGCCAGCAAAGATTATTTATTTACTTTAAGAGTTAGGAGTGGCGGTTTGGGGATAGCATCAGGAGGTATCAGCTGTGATGGCTTGGAAAAACAGTGTAAACTGGCACTGTAAACAAGAGCAGGGCATGTATGAGTAGTTGAGAATGGTGAATAGGAGTATGACTAGACAGAAAACAGCACAGATGACAAGTTTTTTGGGGCGCAGTCCAAGTTGGTCTGGTGTCTGGGATGAGACTGGGGCCTGATAAAAAGGAGTGTCTATACAGGAGCTCAAATGGGCCGTACCCTGTAGCATTCTGAGGACAGGCCTGACTTCTGAGAAGGGAAAGTGGTAAAAGTATTGTCCAGTCCTTTTTAAGTTGGTGGCTGAGCTTGGTGAGGTGTGTTTTTAAAAGACTTTTAGTCTGTTCTACTTTCCCTGAAGACTGAGGACCGTAAGGGATGTAAAGGTTTCACTGAATACTAAGAGCCTGAAAAACTGCGTGGCTGTTTTGACTAATAAAGGCTGGTCTGTTATCAGACTGTATAGAGGTGGGAAGGCTAAACTGAGGAATTACGTCTGACAGAAGGGAAGAAGTGATTGCAGTGGCCTTCTCAGACCCTGTAGGAAAGGCCTCTACCTATCTAGTGAAAGTGTCTACCTAGACTAAGAGGTATTTTAGTTATTTGACTTGGGGCATGTTGAGTAAAGCTAATTTGCCAGTCCTGGGTGGAGGCAAATCCTTGAGCTTGGTGTGTAGGGAAGGGAGGGGGCCTGAATAATCCCTGAGGAGTAGTAGAATAGCAGATGGAACACTGAGAAGTTATTTCCTTGAGGATAGATTTCCACGATGCAAAGGAAATGAGAGGTTCTAAGAGGTGGGCTAGTGGCTTGTACTATAGCATAGCCTGCCTTTGCTGGTGTGTGGCGATTAGGCCTGGTGGAGCTGCCATCAGTAAACCAAGTGTGATCAGGGTGAGGAACAGGAAAGAAGGAAATGTGGGGAAATGGAGTAAATGTCAGGTGGATCAGAGAGATGCAGTCATAGGGGTCAGGTGTGGTATCTGGAATAATGTGGGAGGTCGGATTGAAGTCCGGGCCAGGAACAATGGTAATTATGGGAGACTCAACAAAGAGTGAGTACAGCTGAAGGAGCCAGGGAGCAGAAAGTATATGCGTCAGGTGTGAGGAAGAAAATAGATTTTGGAAGTTATGAGAGCTGTAGAGAGTGAGTTGAGCGTAGTTTGTGATTTTAAGGGCCTCTAAAAGTATTAGGGCGGCAGCAGCTGCTGCACGGAGACATGATGGCCAGCCTAAAACAGTAAGGTCAAGTTGTTTGGACAAAGAAGCTACAGGACGCAATCCCGGTCCTTGTGTAAGAATTCTGACTGCACAGCCCTGCACTTCGGCTGTGTGTAATGAAAAGGGTTGGGATGAGTCAGGAAGAGCTAGGGTGGGGACAGTCTCTAAAGCTGTCTTCAAGGAATGGAAAGATGAGTGGGGAAAGGATTTAGGATCTATGGGGTCAGCTAGGTTTCCTTTTGTGAGTTTATGTAATGGTTTTGTTAGGATGGCAAAACCAGGTATCCAAAGGCAAAAGTATCCAACCATGCCCAGGAAGGAAAGGAGTTGTTGTTTTGTAGAAGGTGCTGTAGTTTGAGAGATCAGTTGGACACTATCGGCAGGGAGAGCACATGTGTTTTTATGAGAATTATGCCAAGATAGGTAACAGATGAGGAAGAAATTTGGGCTTGACTGAAGTGATGGAGGCTATCTGTGAGGGCTTGCAGCAGTACAGCCCAGGTAATTTGCTGAGCCTGATGGGTGTCAGGGTCAGTACAAGTGAAAGCGAAGAGAGGCTGGGACGAGGGGTGTAGGGGAATAGTGAAAAAAGCATTTTTAAGATCAAGAACAGAATAGTGAGTTGTGGAGGAAGGTATTGAGGACAAAAGAGTGTACAGGTTGGGCACCACAGGGTGGATAGGCAAAGCAATTTGGTTGATAAGGCACAGATCCTGAACTAATCTGTAAGACTTGTCCGGTTTTTGGACAGGTAAAATGGGGGAATTGTAAGGAGAATTTATAGGTTTTAGAAGCCCATGCTGTAGCAGGCGAGTGATAACAGGCTTTAATCCTTTTAAAGCATGCTGTGGGATGGGGTATTGGCATTGAGCGAGGTAAGGGTGATTAGGTTTTAATGGGATGGTAAGGGATGCATGATCAGTTGCCAAGGAGGGAGTAGAGGTATCCTATACTTGTGGGTTAAGGTGGGGGGATACAAGAGGAGGATGCAAAGGAGGCTTTGGATTGGGAAGAAGGGCGGCAATGAGATGTGGCTGTAGTCCAGGAATAGTCAGGGAAGCAGAATGTTTAGTTAAAGTGTCTCGGCCTAATAAGGGAACTGAGCAGGTGGGGATAACTAAAAAGGAGTGCTTAAAAGAGTGTTGTCTAAGTTGGCACCAGAGTTGGGGAGTTTTAAGAGGTTTAGAAGCCTGGCTGTCAATACCCACAACAGTTATGGAGGCAAGGGAAACAGGCCCTTGAAAAGAAGGTAATGTGGCGTGGGTAGCCTCCATATTGATTAAGAAGGGGACGGACTTACCCTCCACTGTGAGAGTTACCTAAAGCTCGGCGTCCACGATGGTCTACAGGGCTTCCGAGGCGATCAGGCAGTGTCAGTCTTCAGCTGCTAAGCCGAGAAGATCTGGGAAGGAGTCAGTCAGAGAGCCTTGGGCCAGAGTTCCAGGGGGCTCTGGGAGTGGCTGCCAGGTGAGTTGGACAGTCCAATTTTCAGTGGGGTCCCACAGAGATGGGACGCGGCTTACGAGGAATCCCAGGCTGCAGGCATTCCTTGGCCCGATGGCCAGATTTCCAGCACTTGTAGCAAGCTCCTGGGGGAGGAGGTTCTGGAGGAATGCCTGGCTGCTGCGGTTCAGGCGTTTGGAAGTTCTTGTGTGCTGGAGATGTGGCTGGGGTTTGTCTCACAGTGGAGGCAAGGAATTGCAACTCAGAAATATATTGCTACTTGGCTGTCTCTACTCTATTATTGTACACCTTGAAGGTGAGGTTAATTAAGTCTGGTTGTGGGGTTTGAGGGCCGGAATTTAATTTTTGGAGTTTTATTTAATGTCGGGAGCAGATTGGGTAATAAAATGTATATTAAGAATAAGACGGCCTTTTCACCTTTTAGGGTCTAGGGCTGTAAAGCATCTCAGAGTTGCTGCCAAATGAGCCATGAACTGGGCTGGATTTTTATATTTGATGAAAAAGAGCCTAAACACTCTCTGATTTGGGATAAAGGAAAAGGAGCATTAACCTTGACTATGTCTTTAGCTCTAGCCACCTTTTTAAGAGTAAATTGCTGGGCAGGTTGGGGAGGGCTAGTCATGGAACGAAACTGTAAGCTGGACCGGGTGTGAGGAGGGAAGGTGATAAAAGTATTATAGGGTGGAGGAGTGGAGGCTAAGGAAGAATTGGGACCTAGCTCTGCCTGGCGAGGAGGGGAGGGGTCAGATGGGTCTGTAGAAGAGGAAGATTAGAAAGACTCAGCGACGCTTGGGGTTGGGACTGAGGGGACAGGTGGGAGGGAAAGAAGGAAGATTTGGGATGAGTTGCATTGGGAACAGAGACTAGGGAGGGACCGATGTGTAAAAGAATGCCTGGACGTCAGGCATCTCAGACCATTTGTCCATTTTACGACAAGAATTATTTAGATCTTGTAGGATGGAAAAATTGAAAGTGCCGTTTTCCGGCTATTTGGAACCACTGTCAAGTTTGTATTGGGGTCAAGCGGCATTGCAGGAGAAAATAAGATGCTTAGATTTTAGATCAGGTGAGAGTTGAAGAGGTTTTAAGTTCTTAAGAACGCAGGCTAAGGGAGAAGGAGGAATGGAAGGTGAAAGCTTGCCCATAGTGAAGGAGGCAAGCCCAGAGAAAAGAGAGTAGAGACACGGAGAAGAGGTGGGGGTTCTTGCCCTCCAGAAAAGCAGAGAAGGGGTTTGGGGCATGGAAATAAGGGGTTGGGGCACAGAGATAAGAGGTTGGGGGCGTGGAAATAAGGGATTGGGGCACAGAGATAAGAGGTTAGGGCATGGAAATAAGGGATCGGGGCACAGAGATAAGAGGTCAGGGTTCCTGCCCCTCCCCTAGAAAAGTGGGACTTGCCACTAAGGGTGAAGGTGAAGGGGTTGAGGGGTTCTTGCCTCTCCCCCAGAAAAGCGGAGAAGGGGTAGAGACACAGAGAAGGGGTTGGGGTTCTTGCCCCTCCCCCAGAAAAGTGGGACTTGCCGCTAAGGGTGAAGGACCAAAGCAGGCGTCCCTGCGTGGACTGACACCTCTGAAACCTGGGTGAATAATCAGAGAGGCATCCCTGCAATGATTAAACACCAAGGGAAGGCTGCCTTCCCTAGTCCATGACTGGCACTGGAGTTTTGGGTCCACGGATAAAACGTGTCTCCTTTGTCTCTACCAGAAAATGAAAGGAATTGAAATTAAGAGAAGGGAGAGATTGAAGTGTGGTGCCAAGATTGAAAGGAGAAAGAGGTTGAGGGATAGTGAGAGAGGTTGGAGAAGAGAGTAAAAAGAGGCCGCTTACCGGATTTGAAATTGGTAAGATGTTTCTTGGGCTGGTCAGTCTGAGGACCTGAGGTCGTAGGTGGATCTTTCTCATGGAGCAAAGAGCAGGAGGACAGGGGATTGATCTCCCAAGGGAGGTCCCCCAGTTCGAGTCACGGCACCAAATTTCATGTGTGTCCATGTGAAGAGACCACCAAACAGGCTTTGTGTGAGCAACGAGGCTATTTATTTCACCTGGGTGCAGGCGGGCTGAGTCTGAAAAGAGAGTCAGTGAAGGGAGCTAGGGGTGGGGCTATTTTATAGGATTTGGGTAGGTAAATGAAAAAGGGGGGTTGTTCTCTGGCAGGCAGGAGTAGGGGTCACAAGGTGCTCAGTAGGGGAGCTTTTGAGCCAGGATGAGCCAGGATAAGGAATTTCACAAGATAATGTCATCAGCTAAGGCAGGAACTGGCCATCTGGATGTGTATGTGCAGGTCACAGGGGATATGATGGCTTAGCTTGGGCTCAGAGGCCTGACACACACTATAGCAGTTCCCATGAAAATTAGTGTAACTTCCTAGATAAATAAGGTATGAACTCACAAGGAATTGTCATAGAACAATAAGATGATTCCACATGACAACATGGACCTGTCTCATAAGCATAATGTTGAATGAATGAAGCCAGATATGGAATACATACTGAATGATTCCAATTATGTGAAGCCTTAAAACAAAGAAAAATAATCTATGTAGTCAGAAATCAGAATTTTAGGGTAGTGTCTCTATTGGGTGAGTAGGGCCTGGAAAGCATATGGAGGGCTTCTGGGGCATTGGTCACATCTTGTTTCTTTATCTGTGTGCTGGTTGCAAGAATGTGTTCAGTTTGTGGAAACCCATGGAGCTGTATACTTAAGTGTATTTTTCCAGAAGGATTTTTTATACTTTGACAGAATGTTCAAAGGATGTCCTCTTACTGTGAACAACACAAATGATTGGAGTTATAATGACACCCTTGCTGTTTGAGGGTGCATTTTTCAAAGGATTTTAGTCACAGATTCCCATGTTCACTGAAGCTCAATAGACTATCCCCTACCTGATGACAAGTAATTTGCTTCTTTCTTTAGTCCTGCTTTTACCTCTGGCCATGAAGAATCCTGCTTTCCACTGGTGAGTTCAGAAATTTCTAGCAGCGATATTTCTTCAGCCCAAAGTAAATATCCTAGGACATGGAAGAAGCAGTATAGCCCCTGCCACACTCTGACTCATCTTATCCCTGCAACTCAGTTTTCTCATTCCTCACCGTCACTTGCAGGTATGAACTGGCAGGAACCTTTCCACAGATTTTCCAGTGTCTAATACACCATCTAAGAGGTAAATAGCCTGACTGGAGAGAAGCTGACAGTGGGCAGAAAGGTCTGGCTTATCCAACTGGATGAAAGCTCTCTACCTACTTTGGGCAGATGAGTCACATGACATTAGCACTTTAAAGACAGAGTTAGCTATGCCACTTGTCTTGGTTAGCTCGGGCTACTATAACAAAGTACCATAAACTGGGTGACTTATAAACAACAGGCATTTATTCCTCACAGTTCTGGAGTCTGTTAGTTTGAGATCAAGGTGCCAGCAAGCTCAAGTTCTAGTGACCCCCTCTTCCACTTTACAGATCCCGTCTTGTTGCATCCTCACAAGGTGAGAAGAGAGTGAGAGAGTTCTCTAGGGCTCTCTGTTACTGGAGCACTAAGCCCATTCATAAGGGCTCCACCCTCAGGGCTCGATCACTTCCCAAAGGCTCCACCTCCTAATATCACATTGGGGCTTAGGATTGCAGCACATGAATTTTGGGGGAACACAAACATTCAGTCCATTGCATCACTCTCAAAAGTAAAGAGGCTTCTTATATAGGAAAGCATTTTCAGTCTTTAGAAATCATAAAGTAAATGGTTCACTTGAGTGAGGCAAGATGATCAGTGGGGAAAAGAGTGAGATCTGTAGCCAGACTCCCTAGGTTCTTATTATGGCTGAAATCTAGGCTGAATGGGTTAAAAGTTTATGTCCTTGTGTTTCTTCAATTTAAAAAAAATGAAATAAGAAAAATAATAGCAACAGATAATAAGGATATAGAAGAACTCACCTTGTTTAGGTTACTGGGGGTTATATTAAGAACTCAAAATGGTAACTGTTGCTAGTATATAGTGTAGAGTCCTCTATTCATGGTAGATAATCAATAGATGTTGCCTAATGAGTATAATTTGTCAGATGATTCTGATCTTGTGGGCACCCCTCTTTCCCTACAGAAAACTCTTCAAACTCACATAGACTTTAGGCTGCAATCCTGTCTGCCATGCAGTTTGCTCTCATCTGGCCCTTGCCTCCCTTCCAGCCTCATTTCTCACTGCTCTCTCTTGCCCTTTATACTCTAGTGGGACCCACAGGCTTGGAGCATCCCTAACAATCTGTCTGATTCTCCATGACTTTCCTTAGCCTGCCCCCTCCACCTGAACTGCCCACCCTGCTACTCTTTACTTGAGAAACTTCTCTCTTCCTTTCCTTTCTTCAGATTCATCTTCTTCAGGAACTTACTGACTCTTCCTAGTGATGTCAGGCTGAGTGAGGTGAGCCCCTTTTGAGATTCCATTGTGCTGGAGCATAATCTCTGAGCCTATCATGTATCTCTCTTTCTTCATTAGAACAGGAGCTCCCTGAGTGTAGGAACAGTGGTTTTATCACCATGGGATCCCTAATACTTAAAAGAGTTCTTGTTATTAATCTATCGAATGAATAACTGAACCAACAAATAAATGACAAAAAAGAGACATAGGTGGTGATCTTCCTTAGAACTATAATCTCTGTATTTATATCTAGCATTTTCATTTAGAACATGAGGAATAGAAAAAAAAAAACATAAAATGACCCAATGGCTTTTAGTGTGTCTCAGTTTTAATTTTGCAAATCTGGTGCTTTGCTTCTATGAGTTACCAGCAATGCTAGTCAACTCTGAGTCAGACATCCTGGTGTGTGGGTTTTAAATAATGCATTTCCTTTACCCTTAGGTGGTAAGGTGTGACATTTGCTGCTTTGATAAAATCTCCAGATGATGGTACTTACACAGGTGCAATAAGGTCCAAGTTGTTAACCTTATCTCACTTGCAAATCTGCAATTTCCTTTTTCCTCACCTTCTTTTTGAGATGTGACTAAAGAAGTGATGGCAAGGATGTGAAGGATTAGGCAAGAGACATCCTGGGTTGGGAGACTGCATTCTATAGTAAAAATCCTTTGTCCTTTATTTCCCAGGTTGACCATCAGGGTAATACTACTAGCTCATTGCTCAGCTTTTCACTTTGCTTTGATTGGAAGTCATCAGTGACTTAGAAAAAAAAGCTTTAAAAATGCAAAATTATTACTTTTCATCTTAGTAATAGAAGCAGTAGCTTTCTTAATGGTAATCCACTTTTTTTCCCCCTTTGGTTTTCTTTTTAGCAAAGATTGGTCACTGTTGACTTATCTCTCATTTACTTATAATAGGTATCATGTATCCCCTTGACTCACCCCAATTTAAGACACTCTCTGATAAAACCTGTAGTGCTTTGCACCTTCAAGTTAATTACCCAAGTATCCCTTTCTACCAGATCTCCTACCCTAAGCTCATCCTATACAGTATTTCTGGAACAACCACCCTAGGCCTGGGTGATTCATTTCAGCTTTCTTCCTCCCTTTCCAGGAGAGGGGAATAGAGTGCCTGGGGGAGAGAATGGGAAGTCAAGGGTCTTCAGAGGAAATAAGTGGTTTCCTGATCTGCTTCTTTTCCTTCTCATTCCTTCCTCTTAGCAGACCCTCAGAAAACCTGGATTTGACTCAATAGAAATACCTGTATTAGCCAAGCCATTTATACAAATGATTTTTCCCCATGCTTTTCTCTGGACCCTGGCAGCAAAATTAAACTTTAAAAGTAAAAAGTTTTAAATTTCATCATTAAATCTGTATCACATTAACTTTTTCCTGTTGTGAGCTTTTATGTGATTTCAGCGCTAAGCTGGTCAAATATGTTACAATTTCCTAGTCCATTACTGTTATCTTTCACCACTATTTAGTCACATTTTGAAAAAGTTGACTTAGTCAGATCTGGCTTCTCTAATAAAATGCCACAGACTGGGTGGCTTAAACAATGGACATTTATTTTTCAGGGTTCTGGAGGCTGGGAAGTCCAAGACTAAGATGCCAACAGTCTCAGCGGCTTGTGAGGAACGGCTCTCTGGAATTGGAGACAGCCTCCTTCTCTTTGTGCACTCACAATGCCTTTTCTCTGATGCATGCTCTCAGAGAGAAGGGCACTAATCCTATCATGAGGGTCATGCTTTCATGACCTCATCTAAATCTAATTAACCACCCCCCCCCACCTCCCCCCCCCCCGGCCACCCAGGCTTCACCTCTAAATACCATCACATCAGGGGCTGGAGCTTTGACATATGAATTTAGGGAAGACACAGGCATTCAGCCATAAAAATGGTTATGTGAACCTGTTGTGTTTCTGCTGTTAACATTGCATGGTCCTTTCATTTAGTAAGTGTGTTTTGATTAGTTGCTTCTTTTGCAGGTGTGTGTTTTGATTATTTGTTCTCTTTCTATAAGCTCAACAGCTAGTGTTGACTAATAGCATTTAAGTTAGTGTCCTGAATAGTTTCCAACTGACCCCTAATCCACACTTCATCCCTTGACACACTGACCTCTATGAATTGTATCACCTGGGCTACCCCAGCCAATGGTGGGCACTGGCAGGAAATCTGAGTACAGGACAAGAGAGAGGTCAAGGTGTTTATTATTGTACCTGCAGATGCTGGTTAGTGGTGGCTGTATCCCTCTTCAGAAGTAGCCCTCTTTCCCAGCCATATTTCTCACTGGGCTCTAATCACCACTTTCTCCCATTGCCCTGTCAGGCCCACAGGTGGCCAAGGCTCCCCATTGCTGTGAACCTCAGGGTGCTTTATCATTTTACAACTTTGAAAATAGCCCCTTCATTAAATTCTCTTCAGTTACCCCTTGGAGTGTGGCAACTCTCCCTGTGCCCCCACCACCCCTCCCATTAGCAACACATAATGTGTAGTTCCCATTATGAAATAAATGGAGGTGTTTTATCACTTTATTTTGAATCACGCCAAGCTCCCTTGGCAGTGACACATAATAGGGGATATTCTCCACCTTTGTGGAAATGGCTTCAAATGGATATGTTTTTGAAACGTGGCTTTCAACTTGCAGGTTTCTTTTCTAAAACTCTTCAAATAGGCATCTCTTCCTCTTTGTTAAAAGTAATTCAAATGATAAGACAGTAATTATGATTGTAATAATACCAATAGCAGTAGTAATAATAATAGCAATCAGCATTCGCAGTTTAGAAAATGTTTTTGCATATGTGTTTCCCATCTTATCCCCACAAAATCCTCCAGTGATAGTTAACATTTTTTTCCTGATTTTACAGGTGAGAAAATTGAATACCACAGAGAAACTCTGTTCTTTTCACACACCTCAAAATTTAGTAAAAGGCAGGCTAAATTCAAATAGGGTCTTTCAAGTACAAATCTTTTAACTCTACCACAGCAGAAGTGTGTAGTGAAAATAGAGAGATTAGGAGGTCAATGACATTATCTTCAATTTGTGTTTGTGCTGAGTTCATTTCAATAGATGTCCTTGGCCCTTTGTCACCTGTTTGCAAAGCAAATGAAAATCTCATACTCAGTTCCGGCAATATTAGTCATTTTCTTGAAGGATAGCTACTGGTTTGTCTGTTTTCCTGAGTCCATAATTCAGAAATCCTATGAAAAGATCATTAACTTGTTGAGTAGACTGCAAAATAGACACTAATGGAATATAAAGTAATTCAAGAGCTTTGACGTCTCAGTTACAGGATGACAAGGAGTTATGTATTGAATACACATTTATCACCAGGAAATCTGAAGATGTTGACCATGGTTCTGTTCTTTTCCTTTAATCTCCATTTCTTGCCAATCCAATGTATTTTTCTCCCTCAAATGCATAGGCCAGTATCTGCAATACATTGTGTTTCTACCCACAAAGTTAAAGAGGAAATTTCTTCTTCCTTTTTAATATATGTATATAGAGAGATTGAATGCAATATTCAAACTGTACTTGTAACATAATTTTATTACGTTTCAAACCCTATTAATCATAGAATACAAAAAAATTCTTTTCTAGAATCTCATTTTTCTCTTATTTTTCATAAAACAAAAAGGGTAAAGCCACTGGGGGAAAAATGTGTCTTTTGTTGTATAACGAAAGTATGACCTTTAGGAAAACTCTTCTCCCCTATTTTCTTCTGATTTAGGTTCATTCTCTGCCTTTTTTTCCCTCTCTTTGTGTGTAGTCAGTTTTGTCAAACATATGACTCTCTGGAAATTTTGCAGAAATAAGAGTTCAATCAAGACTCTTGGAATTTTCTATCTTGGTTTTTCAAAAATATGCAACTCTATATGTTGATGTAGAACTAGAGTGATTGAAATATACTCTTTGACAGAGGGTAAAGTTAAGGGTAATCCACTTTTTTTGGAAGATAAGAATAAAAATATGGTTTGCTTTATTTTGAGGAAGACCAAATGGAAGGAGCAGACAATCATTTATTTCACAAACTCTAATTATGTAAGGAGATTGATTGATTGGTTTTTGGTTGATATGGGAGAATGATTTTTTTTCCTGCCATGCACAGCACTGGGCAGTCTAGTTCCCTTATCCTAAGGGAGTTTATAATCTAGTAGAGGTGGTATAACACACATACACATGGGCACACACACACACGCATGGGCACACACACACAATAAAAATATGCACTATTAGCCTAGTAAAGTACAAGCAAGGCACTGTTGGAGAGCAGGAGAGGAAGATGCTAAATTCTCAGCGCAGTGGGAGAGGTTGGATCTTGGGGCGTTTGAGTTGACTTTCCCAGGAAAATACTGAGGAAGGAGAGGTATTTCAGGAAAATAAAATAAATGAGAACTGCTTAGAGTGTTCTCAGAGACTAAGCCCAATGGCTTAATAGGAACAAAATGTTCATGACAGGTGCAGGTAAGAGTTATGTTAGAAATGTAAATGGAGACAGGGCATGGAAAGTCACTGATACCCTTGTAAAGTTCAAACTGTATTTCAGAGACAATTGGAACCCCTTAATATTTGGCCAGGGTGTGTTGAAGGTGGTTGAAAAAGATGGGACGGTGACGATAAGGAGGCTCTTACAATTATCCAGGAGAGCATTAAGAAGAGAAACCCCCAAGCTTGGGCACTGGCAGTGGAATGGAGAAAGAGGATGAATGTAAGAGAGATTCTGGAACAAGAAATGGTGAACTATCATAGCGATTTGATATGAGGGCAAAGGAGCTGTAGACAACAATTCCAAAGTTTCAACTAAAAACATTGTAGAAACCACTCTATTGCAATTTCGGCAACTTTTCAAGTTTGATTTATTTGGAGAGTATAGTAGAGAACACACATTTTCTGAAGAAGTACTAGTCATATTTGTCCTTTGACCCTACTTTTTATAAGACCTCCTTTAGTGTCACACCTATGAATCATTTATTTATTCAAAAAATTAATGACCTCCTATTCTATGGCAGGCATAAACAGGAGAAAAATAGACACGATCCCATTTACCTTCACCCTTCCACCCATATCCTCTCCCCACTATCTGCCCCCAGTGCTTTTCAGTTTGGATAAGGAGAAAATATCAGTAGAAAAACTGACTTAACCCATTATATCCCTTGATCTAATAGTATTTTTTAAATATGTATTTGAAATTGGGTCCATTTTTTTCTGGATACATAAATTATTAGTTCCTAATCTGATCTGCAACAATTTCAGGAAACAATTACTGAATTATCTGTGCTTAATTTGAGCAGATGATAGCTAATTCCATGTGCCCAGAACCTATCTTTGTAAATTATTTTGATTATTTTTTTTACTAGAGAGATAGAAGTTTTGCAGGAAGTTAACATGGATCAAGGAGTGGATGACACACACATATGCATGTGCATGCACACTGTTATACAATTGATGAAAATGTCATAAGGTGTAAGGAGCAGTAGAAGTTTTTATTAGATAGTTCACCTTTAAATCCTGGTTTTGCCTCATTGCCATGTGGATTGGACATGTCAGTTCACCTCTCTGAGTCTCAGTTTCTACATATATACAATGGGACTAATCTTCAGCTGGCTGTAACAAGAATTAAATTAGATAAATCTGAAAATGATTAACACAACTGAGGACATAATATGCTCAATAAAAAAATCATTTGCAGGTCTTTTGGGAATGGTACAAACTGGACCTAAATCAAGTTATATTATTATAGTACGATAATTTGAGTTATATTTATATAATATGAAAATTATTAATAAATAATTGTAATAACATATAATAATGTAATATAATATAGTATAATTAATAAAATATTACCTCCTACACACTGGTTAAAAGTGTTCATGTACTATTAACTCTAGTTAAAATCTTCGTGTGTTTCTTCTGATCTTAGATCAAGAGGAATCTCATAATATTTGTACATACTGCCCATTCTAAGTGGGCTACTAGTAAATATACAAAGAAGCTGTAATAAGCATATGGCTTAGTATAGAAGAGAAGAAAAAATCCAGTAAATTACGATTTTCTTCTAAAAAACACCATCTGGATGCTGGTTCAGCTGCATTATCTCACTAATTTACATTTTATTTTCTCAAGAGACAAAGGTATATTCAATAAAAGAAGAAAATCCAGTTTAGAATGCTTGTCTCTGGAACCTGTCAGCTACACTTAATTTCTACGTAGATGCAGAAATGAGGAGTTTCCTCATCAATGTTTAAACAAAGCATAGAATTAATCACTCAACATTCAGAAGAATCAAAGTCAAAATCAAAATAAGATACTTTATTGAATTTATCTCTCCCTGCAGTTTGGAATTTAATCCTGACTAGAAGTCAAAACAAATGCACTTTTTAGATGTTGATAAGATGAAAATCAATCAATCGATATAGGTGTTGTATTGTATTAAAATGGCTTAATGGGGTTAATTAAAAACCATCTTAGAAATAAAGAAGATAAAATACAGATTACTATTCTAACAGTAGAAGGGACTAAATATCGTGAAGAGTCTTACAGCTGAAAACTACCTAGAAGCTGAGTAATAACGGACATTTGAATGACTTGCTGCGCTTTCAAGAAAGTAAAGGAGATCCCCAAGTTTTTGTTTTTGTTTTGTATTGTATTGTTTTTTAAAAAGGACTAGGAGCAGAAAGAGGAGTGGTAGGAGTGGTAAGTAAGAGCTGAGGCTCAGGATGACTTGAAGGCATTGTGAAAATTAATAGCCATAAGAGAAAATGGAAGACTAGACCTTGAACCTGGACAAAGATACGTTTGAATCTGAGATGTTTGCATAAAGTTAGACACTAAGAAGGTTATATTCGTGGTGAAAGGGTGGTCCAGGAAAAAAATCCACCTGCCAGCAAAGAGAGATGTCATAAAACCTGGCTATGTCCATGACTACTACAAATGGAAAATGAAAGTAGAACTAAAACTCAGAATTCTTCTTGAGGATTTGTAACTATCGACATTGCTTCTGTGGCTTTGTGGTTCAAACCCTTAGCACAGAAATAAAAATGATTTCTTTTTTGGAACTACCCTCTGGCAACTGACAGAAGCAACAGTAAATGCTGTGTGGAGGAAACATGCTTAGATAAAATAACTCTCAATACGTATTTGTGTATGTAGAAAAGTTATCTTTTAAGAGCAAGAATAAAATAGCATGATTTCAGATTAACAAAAACTGGGTAAGTTTATAATCAACAAGTTCTTCCTAATATAGCATGCATTCAGGGAGAAACACAATAATTGAAATAATATCAAAGAGGTTTATAAGACAAGAAAGCTTGGTGATAACAAAGGAGAAATCAAGTGTAAATAAACATGACTGTATAAAATAATATGCATTAAACATTAAATTTGGCATTAAACAAATTAGATACAACAAATAAACAGAATACCATGGCAGGTAAGCTGAAAGGTAGATGATCTAAGTTAAAGCATTTTAAAGCCCTTATATTGTTTACAAGGAGATTAAAATAATCTGTAAAGTCTAGTAAACACTGAAACTATAACATGAATTTTAAGTTTGAATTGAACAGAATAGGGTCAGGGATAATCAGTGAATCCAAAGAAAAGACATAAGACTGGAAAAAAGAGAAAATAAAAATGAAAAGACATATAGTTTAGCTACCTCAATTATCACCATAAGCATAAAAAGACTAATTTCCCTGGTTAAAATACAGAGATTATCAGAAGATTAAACTATTCAGGAAAAAAAAAGAACTTTATACTATTTACAAGATTTGTCAGAAATACTATTTAAAAAGATATGATGTTATTAGACAATCAAAGATTGATATGACTGTTAGAAGAAATGAACAAGTCTATAATTTTAGTAGGAGATTTAGAAATAGCATTCTCACTAATTAAGAGGTAAATCTAATACAACAAATTAGAAGCTTTGAATAGTACAATTAACAAGCTTGTAATTTACATAAGTATAGAAACCTGATCTTCAAAATTAGAAATTAATATTTTCTGGGATTTATTGAATAGTCATAAGAGTTGACCATATTCTAGGCCAAGGATCAGCAAATTATGGCTGACAGACCTAATCCAGCTCATGTCCTGTTTGAGTATGACCCTCAAATTAAAACCTTTTTTTTTTTAACATTTTTAATGGATTGTAAATTTTTTTCAAAAAGACAATGTATGACAGAAACCACATGTGGTCCACAAAGCCTGATATATTTACTATGTAAACCTTTACAGAAAAAGCTGACTCATGTTATAGGCCATAGAGAAAAGTCCAATGTATTTCATATGTCATCATTCAATAAATATTTATCAAAACCCATTATATGCTGGGCAATTCTTTAGGCACTGAAAATGATAGCACAGTGAATGAAACAGACAAAAATCCTTCTGAGGACACTTGCATTCTACTGGGGGAGGCAGACAAAAAGTAAAGTAAATAAATAAAATACATAGTGTGTCTGATGGCAATCAATGTTAAGAAAAAAAATCAGAGAAAATAACAATTGTTATTTCGCAAAATTTAATACTCAAAGGACATACAGTGAGCCCTCCATATCTGTGGGTTCCACATCTGTGGATTTAATCAACTGTGGATAGAAAATATTTTAAAAAAATAAAACAAAAGTTACAATAAGAAATAATTCAAATAAAAATACAGCATAACAGCTATTTAAATAACATTTACATTGTATTAGGTATTATAAGAAATCTAGAGACGATTTAAAGTATACAGGAAGATGTGTGTACATTATTTTCTAATATGCCATTTTTTATAAGGGACTTCAGCATTTGTGGACTTTGGTATGAGAAGGTGGGAAGGAGAGAGGCCTTGAACCAACCCCACAAAGACAGGAACAACTGTAATTTATTGGTTAAAAATCATAATAAAAATTTAAAAACACTTAGAACTGAATCATAATAAAATCAGTACATATTAAAATCCTTGAGATGCAATCAAGGTGTATGTTTAATTTTACATGCTATATTAGAAAAAATAAAGATTGAATATTAATGAGGTGTAAGGCTAATTGAAGAAGTAACAGGCTGGGTATGGTGGCTCATGCCTGTAATGCTGGTACTTTGGAAGGCCAAGACAGGAGGACCACTTGAGGCCAGGAGTTCAAAACCAGCCAGGGCAACATAGCAAGACCTTGTCTCTACAAAAAATAATTTAAAAAAGTTAGCCAGGCATGGTGGCTTGTGCCTGTAGTTTCAGTTACTTTGTAGGCTAAGGTAGGAGGATCACTTGGTCCCAAGAGTTAGGGGCTGCAGTGAACTGTGGTCAGGCCACTACACTCCAGCCTGGGCAAAAGAGCAAGACTGTCTCTAAAAAAATAAATAAGCCGTAAAAATATCAATATCAGCATAAATGAGCTAGAAGGAAGAAAGAATAAGAGGTAGAAATTACTGAAGTCATAACAAACTATAGAGAAAATTGCAGAGGCCACAATTCAACAAAAAAGTTGTTTCCTTAGAAATAGCAATGAAATATCTGCTGAGATTGATCAACAAATATATATATAATAGGAGTGAAAATTAAAATATAAATGAAAACAAGCGACAAAAACATTTCACATATAAAGGTAAGAAAGACTTGACACCGGCTGGGTACGGTGGCTTACGCCTGTAATCCCAGAACTTTGGGAGGTTGAGACAGGTGAATCATCTGAGGTCAGGAGTTCGAGACCAGCCTGGCCAACGTGGTAAAACCCCATCTCTACTAAAAATACAAAAATTAGCCAGGTGTTGTGGTGTGCAGTTGTAATCCCAGCTACTTGGGCAGCTGAGGCAGGAGAATGGCTTGAACCTGGAAGGCAGAGGTTGCAGTGAGCCAAGATTGTGCCACTGCACTCTAGCTTGGGTGACAGAGCAAAACTGCATCTAAAAAAGAACAACTAGACACAAATAAATTCGGAAACTTAGATATGATGAACAAATAGGATCCTTGGGGAAAAAAGTGTAATTTACCAATTGTGACTTAGAATTATTGTATCTGGTTTTGTAACCATAAAACAAATTAATTCAGTAGTACAAAAACTTTCCCCAAACAAAGTGACACTTATTATGCGCAGGCAATTTCTACCAAACTTTCAAAATCATTTCAGGATTATTTCATAAAATCATTCCAAAAATATGCACGTTTCCAAACTTATGTTAAGAGGCCAATATAATCTTCATGCCCAAACCCAACAAAGGCAGTGCAAGAAATGAAAAGTGTAAGAATATAAGGGTTTTTTTAACATTAAGAAATATATTAAATAATTTTACCGTATCAAAAATTCAAAATAATATGCTCAAACTAGAAGCAGTCCAAATGTCTATCAATCAACTGGTAAATGCAATGAAAAGGAAGAAACTATGGATACATATTACAACATAGATGAACCTCAAGGATATTACGCTAAGTGAAAGAAGCCAGATGCAAAAGGCTACATATTGCATGATTCTATTGATGCGAAATATTTATAAACGACGTATCCAAAGCAGAATAGTGGTTTCTTGCATGCAGCTGGGGGTAGGAACAGGTATTGACTGCAAATGGGCACGGAGGATCTTTCTGGAGTGATAAAATGTTCTAAAACCAGATTGGTTGGACAACCCTGTAAATTTCCTAAAAAATCACTGGATTTTACTACAGTGGACTGAATGTGTACTTCCAAAATTTATGTGTTGAAACCTTAAGCCCCAATGTAATGGTATTAGGAATTAAAGCCTTTGGGAGGTGATTAGGTTATGAGGGTGGAGGCTTCATGAGTGAGATGAATGCCCTTATGAAAGAGACCACAGAAGGCTCTCTCTTTTCTGAAATGTGAATATGCAAGAAGTTAGGCCTTCAAGAGGGCCTAGAAGAGGGCCCTCACTAGAACCCAAGCAGCCTGGCATCTTAATCTCTTCCAGCCTGAAGAATGTAAAAAATAAATTTCCATTGTTTATAAGTCACCAGTTTATGCTACTTTGTTATAATAGCCTGAACAGACTGAGAGATTTATGCTTAAAATAATTTAAAGGAGACAAAGTATAAGATCATCTCAATAGAAACAAAAAAAAAGTATAAAATACAACAATCTATGCATTTTTTTAAGAATTTCAAACAAATTACAGATAAAAGAGAACTTCTTTAACTAGATTAAGGGTATTTATTTAGTCTTAAATATTTACTGTTGAAACATTACAAGACTTTCCTTTAAAAATCAGAAAAAAAGCCATTCAAGATTATGATGTGGGTCTTAGCTAGCAAATAATTTCAAGAAACAGAAATGAAGGTTTTAAGTTAATACTTAAATTATTAAATTTAAGTATTAACTTATTAAATTTAAGTATTAAGTATTAATTTAAGTATTTAATTTAAGTATTAAATTTAAGTATTTAATTTAAGTATTAAATTATTTAAGTATTAAATTTAAGTATTTAATTTAAGTATGAAATTATTAAATTTAAGTATTTAAATTTAGGGGAAAAATACTAAAATTATTCTCTGATGAACTTATTGTCTACATAGAGCAAAAAGAATCTTCAGAAAAATTACTGGAATTATTAAGAAAGTTCAACAGAGTTTCTGGGTTAAAACACAAAAAATACATTGAGTTTCTATACATTACCAAAAAAAGTGTAAACAGTCTTTTAAAGATACAAGAAGTGTGTAAAAGTGAAGTAAACGTTATAACACTTCTGAATATAACCAAAGTATTGTATATCTCAGGCAACTACTTACTTCTCTTAATAGTGCTCTTTTAATCATCCTAGCTTTATCTGTATTTGTGAAAACTCATAACCCCTACTTAGCATTAGTTGGTAAATGTTGAAATTTAAGATAACCTTGTTTCCTGCAAAGCACTGTTAAGTGGAATGCTCTGGTTCCAGAACATTTTATTCTTCCTCCTCCTCGCTGTATTCAGTCATACATCCCAGAAGAGATCAGCAAAAAATTAGGAAGTTAGAGGTTTACATTTGTCTTTAAAACCTACTCAAAAAAATATGCTTTTTACAATTGCTCTTCAGAGGCCTCCCCTGCTCTCATTATCTACTATAATTACATTATACCTTCTGAAATTCTATATCAAAGGTCAGAGCAGACCCTTTAGGCATGAAATGATTCCCAGCTCTTCACGGACTAGAAGTTCAAAGTGCAAAAAATATAATTCACTCAGTTTATCCTCATGGCTCCACCCACCCAGGTTTTTTCTTACAAACACACCAGTTCTGACAACCTGATGTTCTTTAAACCGTGAGTAGAGATATTGAAGTAAATGAGTCTACCAGGAACAGAATTTCACATTCAGAAATATTAGGTTGTATTCTTCTTGAGAGCAGGACATCTTTTTACCTTTGCAGAGACCACAAAATCTGGAAAAATAAGCACTGGCAGAATGTATGTGGAATATGTAAAATTAGATACGAAGTATACAAGGTCTTTCCTCTGTCCCCACACCTCTCTCAATCATAAAACAAAAGTAGAAATAATAAATAGCATGACTAGGTAAACTGGCATTTGAAATACATAATTCTTATAAAAGCCAGCATGACCGTGGGGTGTGTAAGAGTGGTGTTTATGTTACTAGCAAAGCTCCTTGCTCAAAGCCTGGAGGGACTAAACAATAATACTTCACATCAGCGTGATGTGGTGGAGCGATCACTGGGCTAAAAATCAAGAGATTCTGGGCAGTTCTGACCTTGGAGACGGCACTGACTATTTCTCTGTCACCTCAGGTAAGTCACTTACTTTCCCTGGGCCTCTTGATTTTAATACATATAAATCGAGGGCATTCTAGGATCCTAGGATCCTATGCCAAGGATGAATACACTTTCTGTGCTGCCAAAAGTTTGCCGACATGGTCAGCTAAAAGCCTCTTCCTCTCTCCACATTGTGGGATGTGTGTGTGTGTGTGTGTGTGTGTGTGTGTGTGTGTGTGTGTGTGTGTTGACATGAATTATTTCCATCATTTAAAAACTCAGAAAGATGGAATTGAAAGCAGGGACTCGAACAGATGCTTGTACACCAGCGATCATGGCAGCATTATTCACAAAGGCCAAAAGGTGGAAACAACTGCTATGTCCATTGGCAGATGAATGGATAAACAAAATGTGGTAGATACATTCAATGAAATATTACTTAGCCATAAAAAGAATGAGCCAGGTGTGATAGTGAGTTCCTGTAGTCCCAGATACTTGGGAGGCAGAGGTGGGAGGATTGCTTGAGCTTAGGAATTTGAGACCAGCCTAGGCAACATAGCAAGACTCCATCTCTTGAACAAAAGAAAAAAATGAAATTCTGATATATGCTAGAACATGAATGAACCTTGAAAACATTATGTTTTGTGAAATAAACCAAATCCAGAAGGACAAATATCATATGATTCTACTAATATGAGATATCTAGAGTAGTCAAATTAATAGAGGTAGAAGGTAGAATGGTGGTTTAAAAAGGCTGGAGAGACAGAATAATGGGAAGTTATTATTTATGGGTATGAGTTCAATTTGGGAAGATGAAAAAGTTCTGGAGACAGATGGTGATGATTGTTGTACAATAATAGTGATATACTTAATGCCACTAAACTGTATACCTAAAATTGGTTAAAAGGGTACATTTTATGTTATGTATATTTCACCACAGTTAAAAAAGCAGCTCAGGAAGATGAACAAAAGTAGCTTGTGTTTGTATTTCATGCTAAGAATGCATTCTATTTCTCTTTTCCCAACTTTTTTAAGAATAAAGTTCTTCAGCATGACATCAGATGGAGGGGAAGAGGAGTGGAGGACTATTTCTTGAGCTACTCAAGTGAAAGGAAGTGCAATACTTTTCAGTAAGCTGAAAATAAGCTGGAGATTTTCAGTTTTTATAGTCTTTTTTGGCCTCTGGATTGCTAGAGTTCATTAACAGAGCCACGTTCTTGGCTAAGGGGCCACCGTTTTTCTTGAAGGAAGTAACTGCACCAGCCACTATCAGGGTACAAGACATTTATTTGCAAGAATTAAAAGAATTAGCACATCTCTGGGATGACCCAGTTATTGCAGAGGGATTTAAGCAAGGAAATTGTCTAGTTTTCTCTAAGAAGAAAAAAATCAAGTTGTCTTTACTTAATGACCACTGATGTAGTTTTAGTCATATGTCCTGTTCCAGTATATCTGTCTTTTTATTGCTATGCACTTTTAGCAAAATTACAAGATGCTTTATTGATGATAGGCACAAATGACCTGAAAGCTTTTTTTTTTCCTTTTATCAGATGTGGGCATTTCCCTCAGAGACAATTCTGGTCTTTTAATGAAGATGAATGTATCAGTGAACTTTGTTATTTATTGATGACTTTCCTATTTTCTATGATGGTTTTGTTGTCACTGTATTTTACTTAGGTTAGTTATATCCATCAACATAATCTTCTTTGTTGGAATACTGGGATTAAGATCAATCTATCTCTCTGTTAGTTTTATGCTTTTGCTGCCCAAAGAAAGCAACATGCAAAACACGGCCATGTTGCCTTACAAGCCAGATGGTAATCAGTAGTTAATAGAATTGGAAGTACAGTTAAGGTTTATTCTTGTAATTTATTCAAAACTCAACAACTCTTTAGGTTAGCTTGCTAATTTATAACTATCTAGTTTTTCCTAAATTCCTAAATTGAAGATAAAGCTGAATTCTTTTTTCAGGATAATAGAGCATGTATTGTTCAGGGTTCAATTTAGGAAGAAAAACCACATGAATATTATGCAATAAGGGACTTACTAGTGACCTAAGAAGTCATACAATATTTGAGAAGGTAGAGAAGTAGAGATTAAAGCATAGCATAGGGAGATCAGAGAAAAGTCACTACCTACCCTTCTGAAGCACTGAAGCCTACAAGGATAAATGAGAAGTCAGGTAGGACCAGCTTCTGGAGAGAAACTGCAGAGGAACTGTTGTGCTTGCATCTGATGATGGGTCTGGTGGGCCTGGTAGTCAGCAGCCCTAGAGGTCTGGAAGAAGAGCTGGCTGTGCACAGGGAGAGTTAGGACATGCTGGCTCCTCACCATCTCTGACCAGGACCATGACCACCTGAAGAGAGCAAGGGCAGCTGCACCAATTCATCCTCAGAGCTCCCACAGATTCATACTCTGGCCAACTCAAACCAGAGCCATTTAAGTTGGGGGACTCTGGGAAATGCAATTCCTGCACAGCCATGTGACACAGTACAAGCCCCAAAGAACAGTGTTTTCAGTTGTCACAGGGAAGAAACTTTAGGGTTAGCAAAGGCTTTTCAGCTTCCCCAGAGAAAAGCTGCTGAAGAGTTGAAAATACCAAGTGTTCCAGCATTAACATGGTGCTGAACACCTAGACACCAACCCACTGCTGGCTGCCCAGCTTAGAGAGAGAGATTGGCAGGGCTGTTGAGCACCAGGCAGTTAGCCTGGGTGGAAAGTTTTACTCAGTATGGCAGGGCGGTCGCTGTCATCTAAGACCATGGAAAATTTCAGAGACCCTAAGCTAGAGTAAAGTAGGACCCTAAGACGACAGCCAGAGAGAGGAGGAGAGCCAAGCAAAATCCCCCTGGGGGACCTAGCGTGGAGGAGGATCCTAAGAATCTTCTTCCCAAATCACTTAAGTTCGAGGTTTCTGTTTATTGGCAGTACTTAGACTGGCCTATTTCATCATCATGGTCTCTGTAACCTCTTCCTCCATCACTTTCCCTCCATCTCCCCCTCTATTACTCCTCCATCACTTCCCCTCTATCTCTCTCCCTTTGTCTTTCCCTCCATCTCTCCTCCTCCACCACTGTCTCTCTAGCTCCCTATCCAAATTTGCCCCTCCATCTCCTCCCCTCCATCCTTCCCCCACCTTTCTCCTTGTGTCTCTCTTTCTCCATTTCTCCCCTTCCAT
Organism: Homo sapiens; assembly: GCF_000001405.40. Lineage (NCBI taxonomy): Eukaryota > Metazoa > Chordata > Mammalia > Primates > Hominidae > Homo > Homo sapiens. Next base: position 15,171,421 of record NC_000020.11, read on the forward strand.
CTCTCCTTCACCATTGCTCTCCTACCTTCCCCCATCACTCTCCTTATCACCCCCTGACCCCATAGTCACTTTTACATAGTAACAAGATTCAATAAGCTCTTTGTAGTATTAGAATCTTCACAAGTTGCTTCCTGATCTGCAAAAACTTAACTTGTACTTTCTTTAGCCCTTACATCCCACCATCCCACTCAGTCTCTCTTCTCTCTCTCTCTCCCCTCTCTTTCTCTCAATTGTTTATACTTCAGGTCTCAGCTAAAAGTCACCTCTCCAAAGAGACTTTCTTTGAAAACACTTTAAATGAAATATGTTCTCCTCCTTCTATCCCATTATTCTCTATCACTGTGTTTTGTTCTGAAATCCTTCCTGACATTCCCACAACTTAAATGATGTAGTTGTATTTTCATGGCTCCTTTGTCCCACACACTACACTCTAAGTTCCCTGAAGACTGGACCAGGTCCCTTTATCAGCAGTGTCTACCCAGCAGCTAGCACAATACCTTGCACATGGAAGGTGCTTATTAAATTCTTCCTGAATAAATAAATGAGTGAATGAATAAAAAATGAATGAATGAATACAGTCAAATTTTAGAGCTTTCCAGAAGGGAAATATTAAATAAGCATATTCTAATTAATTTTTTTCTTAAAAGACCTAAGCTCAAGATGGTTTCCCATTTTGATTTTTGAGATCAATCATAGGAGTCAGAGAAGCATTCATAAGACAGTGAGAAGCTTCTAAGATTCTGTCATAGTTACCAGGGATCCCAAAATGTGTACAACAGTGGAGGAAGAGGCAAAAAGGAAAAATCTGCAAATCTTGTAGCCTCAGGGACTCCAGTGGAAAAAAAAATGGAGGTTGGTGGGAGTCAGTTAAAGAAGGCCAAAAATCTGGAGACCGGACAAAACAAGTTGGGGAAGGAATATTGAGATCTACCAAGAGAAATTCCACTTGCCTTTATAAAATTGGTAAATATTTCTTTCCTTCTCTTTCCTTTTTTATTTTAGAGAGAGGGTCTCAACATCCAGTTGTGCAGTCATAGCTCATTGCAGCCTTGAACTCCTGGGCTCGAGCTATCCTCCTGCCTCAGCCTCCTGAGTGGCTGGGACTATTGGCGCCTGCCACAATATTTGGCTACTGTTTTGTTTTTTTTTCTTTTGTTTTGTTTTAATTTTGTAGAGATGGGATCTCACTATATTTCCCTGGCTGGTCTTGAAGTCCTAGGCTCAAGCCATCCTCTAGACTTGGCCTTCCAAAGTTCTTACATTAGAGGCGTGAGCCCCTCACTTGGCAAAACTTGTAAATCTTTATGGAGTGCCTCTCTTGAAAAAGATCTGAACATTGACTAGTCAAGTGCAGATTAATAATTATCAGCAATTTATTAGCAACCTGCCAGTAGAGCCATACTAAAATGAAAATACAATTAATTGGGGAAGCATTACTGTGTATGTGGCTTGCTGAAAATTTACTATTTTACTAATCTGTAAGAGAAAATGCTTGAAAGCTTTCATGCATGTTATGAATAAGTTTGCCCCCATATTTCAAGTGACATAAAAACCATTCAAAATGAACAGAAACTTAAAAGAATATTAATTAAAAAATATAACGTGAACATATATAAACTGTGTGTGTGCCTGTGTGCGTGTGTGTTTGTGTGGGTCTGTGTGTTAAACTTTTTTTATCTTTTTCAGGGACTCAAATATTTTGCAAATTTTAAATAATAAATCTATGAAAATTAATTTAACCCTAGACTCAAAGAAATTATCCATTACTATTCAACTTTATCTAATATATAATTAATTTTGCACATTGTTTCTAAATAGTTGCAGGTTTGGATTATGATTTCCTGAAAATGCTTCCTTTGATATTTGCTTGGATGAGAAAGTGAGAACTCACTCACTGTATGTTTGCTAAACAGACCTATGTAGTTAAAGAGAAGCTGTCCAAAAAGATTCTCTATTTCAGCCCAATGGAGCATATTCATTATCAGATCAAAGTGATAGGATTTTTTTTATCTTCTCCTAATTGGGGGTAGGCAATTTCCTTACTCACTTTGGCAAATCGAAGGAATGTCTTATTGTAGAGAAAGAGGCTGTGATCCCTAAATGTCAATGCAAAAACCTTCATCACATCACTCTTGTCCCATGTAGCACAGAGAATCCATTCCATTAAGGTGAATTCTGGAAGCTGGCTGAATTTCAAGCTGTGTTTTAATTCAATTTTTTTTTGGCAGACAGTTTTAAAGGGAAGTCAAAGGTTATAGCTTGATAATTGGGTATAAATACAGTCATTTCAGTGGGCCTCAGATTCAGTCATGCAGAACCAATTTTTAGCATGGTGATATCACGGTTGCATATTTTTAATTGAAGCACTCATAAGGAGTCCTACTGTAATCTGAGTATTACTACATTTTTACCCCTCATGAACTCAAAGTATAAGTTAATGGTATACAATGAAATGTTGCATTGTTGACTTTATCTTTCTTACCTACATGTCTCCTGAAGCATAGACTTCGAGATAAAATGTTTTGTTCATTGGTTAAAAAAGTGTCTGTATTCTCTAAGCTACTAATCAATAATAGAAGTTTCTTTTATAAGTCTGAGTGCAGCATAATTTATCACTGAAAACTTACTTCATTGCTAAAGCCCAAACATATACACCCAAGACTTTTAAATCATGATTTTCCTAATGCTTATTGTGCATTTAAATGGTAATTTTAGACTATGTAGATTATTATATAAATGACAAATTTTTATTATTTTTACACTCAAGTGCAATGTCTCGTCTTAATATAAAATCTTTAAATGTATGGTTTCTTCATATCTGTTCTGCTTTCTTCTATTTGTAACAAAATGTTACTTGTGGCCTTTATTATTTAGGAGAAGAATTTTAAATTGATTAAGATAATAATCCAGCACATATTTTTTAAGTAAAATATATGAGCATAAAAGATTTGCATGGCCACATTTTCTTAATCCAGTCTATCATTGTTGGACATTTGGGTTGGTTCCAAGTCTTTGCTATTGTGAATAGTGCCGCAATAAACATATGTGTGCATGTGTCTTTATAGCAGCATGATTTATAGTCCTTTGGGTATATGCCCAGTAATGGGATGGCTGGGTCAAATGGTATTTCTAGTTCTAGATCCCTGAGGAATCGCCACACTGACTTCCACAATGGTTGAACTAGTTTACAGTCCCACCAACAGTGTAAAAGTGTTCCTATTTCTCCACATCCTCTCCAGCACCTGTTGTGTCCTGACTTTTTAATGATCACCATTCTAACTGGTGTGAGATGGTATCTCACTGTGGTTTTGATTTGCATTTCTCTGATAGCCAGTGATGGTGAGCATTTTTTCATGTGTTTTTTTGGCTGCATAAATGTCTTCTTTTGAGAAGTGTCTGTTCATGTGCTTTGCCCACTTTTTGATGGGGTTGTTTGTTTTTTTCTTGTAAATTTGTTTGAGTTCATTGTAGATTCTGGATATTAGCCCTTTGTCAGATGAGTAGGTTGTGAAAATTTTCTCCCATTTTGTAGGTTGCCTGTTTACTCTGATGGTAGTTTCTTTTGCTGTGCAGAAGCTCTTTAGTTTAATTAGATCCCATTTGTCAATTTTGGCTTTTGTTGCCATTGCTGGATTAAGAAAATGTGGCACATATACACCATGGAATACTATGCAGCCATAAAAAATGATGAGTTCATGTCCTTTGTAGGAACACGGATGAAATTGGAAATCATCATTCTCAGTAAACTATCGCAAGAACAAAAAACCAAACACCGCATATTGTCACTCATAGGTGGGAATTGAACAATGAGAACACATGGATACAAGAAGGGGAACATCACACTCTGGGGACTGTTGTGGGGTGGGGGGAGGGGGGAGGGATAGCTTTAGGAGATATACCTAATGCTAAATGATGAGTTAATGGGTGCAGCACACCAGCATGGCACATGTATACATATGTAACTAACCTGCACATTGTGCACATGCACCCTAAAACTTAAAGTATAATAATAATAAAAATAAAATTTAAAAAAAGATATGCATGGCAAACTTTTACAATGAATATAGAAACCATGAATAGTCATTTTACCACCCAGGTTTCTTGTATAATTACACTACTTAAAATGTTTAGTTGCTGAATGCTAATGGTAGACTTAGTCATATTGACTTAGCTATTGGAAAATTCATGAAATATAAGATGACTTTGTGCCTGCCATTTGGGGGATGAAATAGAAATTTCAGAGAGAGAATTCAAGCAAAGAGACATTACAATAATTTATGATAGGAGTTTTCATGTTTAGTTTTTTATACTGATGGCAGTGGCGGCCCATCTGGAGGAGCCACTGCAAAGACACTGGCTGCAATGGCTAGGTGCAACCATGGCTGTGTGCTCCATAGAGCCAGTGGGGGCCAGGAACAGGCGGGAGCCCCAGCCCCTACCAAGTTGATGGGGCAGGAGCCCAGTGTTCCTGGGTGCAACAGCAGCTGCCCGACTGTGGCTCCAGACCTGGGAATCTCTGCACTCTCGGAGGCCTGGGAAGCCCTCCTGCCCCAACAGGCTTAGAAGTGCCTGCTTCTGCCCCCTGGCCTCTCCCTGCTCCCAGTACCCTCTCTGCTGCAGAGCAAAGTTGTGGCTGAGGCTGGGTGCTGTTGCAATGTGGCCAGGTATGTGTATTCTCAGAGGTGCTGACACGCCAGCCCCCTGCTGCCTTGGCCCCCTCTAGACTTTGGGAACCCAGGAGCATGGGAGGGAAGCAAAGGAGGGGCTGAGGGCAGCTTAGTGTGGGCCTGCAGGTACCCCTTGGCAGGAACAGCCTGGGCGTTGTGGATGGCATGTTGATGGCAGCAGAAGGCAGACAGGCTCCTGGACAAAAAGGGGCAGGTCCCTGGTGAAATCCCACCTTCAAGCCTGAAGCCTGTGGGCTGGGCTGCCAGTTCCTGATGAAGTCTGCAGCCCAGAGTGAGAACTTATGGTGCTTTTTCTGGCCCTGCCCATGGCCACCTATGGACTAATCAGCATGCACTTCCTCCCTTATGAGCCCATAAAAACCCCAGACTCAGCCAGACTTGAACAGACCTCAGGACTACCAGCTGCAGGAAGGAGCTACTGCCTACGAGTCTCCTCTCTGCTGAGAGCTGGACACTCTTAGGGATGACCTGCTTGTGGAAATGAGCTTCCCACTTCGGGTCTCCTGAGGGCTGTTCTGTCACTCAATGGAGCTCCTCTCCACATTGCTCATCCCCCAATTGTCCATCTATCTCATTCTTCCTGGATGTGGAACAAGAACTCAGGACATGCCAAATGGCTGTAACCCAAGCAGAACTGTAACAAACAGGGCTGAAACATGCTCCCCCTCCTTCCATGTTGCAGGCAATGAGAAGGAGAGAAGAGCTGCATCCCTTCAGGGAGTCCAGACCTAGGGAATCCCCTAGCCAGAGCTGTGACACCCTCTTTGGGGCTCTGTGGTTCCTGGCATCTCCAAGGTTCCAGATGCCACTATATTCCCCTCATCTAGACATGGGTACACACAGCAGAAGCTGTGTGCAGTACATCTGGTCCAGTTACAGCCTTGAATGGAGCTGGCACCTGTGCCAGTGTCTGGAGCTGCCCACCCTACTGCCACAGCCTGCATGCCTGGCTGTGCACAGTGACCAGACCCTGCACTCACTTGCCCACACACCTCTCACTTCTCTGTGCCTGGCTCACCTTTGGTAGGTGTGGGATCCAGGACAGTAGCGTGAGCTGAGTGCAGCCTGCTGGGCCGAGTGGGTGGAATGAGCCCAGTGGGCGTGAACAATACTCAGGCAGAAAGGTTTCTGGCTGGCAAAGAGACACTCCATAGATCCCATGACAATACTATTTGAATTGTGAGGAAACACCAGATTGTTCTAGAAGGTTGAATACGCACTGGTCCAAACAGATTTCTTGCCTTCCTCCCTGCCTGTTGGGGGTGGAGTGGAAAGGGGAAGGTGAAGATTGTCATTGTGTATGCATTTGTTTTAAACCTCTGTAGCCTGACTTTCCAAATTGAAAAATACAACTCTGCCATTCTGTGTTCACACATGTCAGAGCTGCTGCAGAAAACTCCTCTTTGACTCATTCATCGCCATTGAATCTGAATTTATTTTCAGTGGTATCCTGACAGGAACTTTAAGACTGAACTCTGCATTTTTTCTGTTTTCCCAGTCATCTGCCTCATTCTATGTTGAGGGTTTCACTAATGAATGTGATGTTTGCTGGTAAATAAGTAAATAAATGCACCTGTACAATTTACTTCCTTTTCTGGAAAGACAGAAAGAACAGAATACTAGCACAAGAAAACTTTTTTTTTCCCTCCTCTTGCTTGGTTCTACTTCAGCTCAGTTACTTTTGACAAAGAAAATGAAAATTTAAATTTCCATTGAATGAATTGGTGTCATGGCTATTATTTAAGAGTATAGAAATTAAAGCTGCAATTGGGTCGTGTATCATTTGCTTACCCTAGATGCACATTATATCCTGGTATAATGAAAAATGGCATGCTTTTTTTTTTTTCTTTCTCTGTAGTGAACCATAACTGAAAGCAGGAAGCATTGGTTTACACTTTGCATCAGAGTTGTGGGATTTCTATATGGGTACAGTAGTCAGAATCCATTCTAACTGTGAATGCCAGAAACTTAATTTCTATAAAATGTAAGAAAAATATGAGAGTGAATGTACTGCCTCAGGTTACTTAAAAGCCGAAGCAGTGATTGTGACTTCAGGTAAGGCTTCATCCAGGCATAAAATGATTGTCTTCAGGTCTCCAGTTCTTTCTCTCCTTCCTTCTCTTGATATTGTATTACTTTATGGGGACTGTCTCATGCAGGTACTTCTCAGCTGGCAGGAAAGATGCCTCTACCACTCCACTCTAAAGTAACCTTAGTAGTGGCTACCACTCTGTAAGTGCATCTTATGGGCATCCTTCTTCAAACTTTAATGACTATGAGGTATTTACTTAATCCTCACAATTATTCTGTGTGGTTATGACATTTGTCCAAAGTCACAGAATTATAAAGATTGGAAGTGGATTTGCCTAGCTAGTTTGGCTCCAGCACCTATGCATGCATATAACCCTTGCTCTAAGTTGTTACGCTAGAGCTTGAGATCTACAGAGGAGAAAGATGCTTTCTCTCTTTTAACCTCCCTATCAATCCTGAAAATGGGATCTGATGTCTCTGCATGAGTCCTTGCTCAACCTGCACCAATCTCTGTGTCCTGCACCTCCTCCCATCAGCATATGATATTCATCCACAACAGCTGAGGGGCAGGTTCAGAAGGGAAAATGTGCATGGCAGAATAAAATGTTACAAATGACCACTACAGCAGGCCAAGCTGCCAATTTTCCAGAAAGGTCCCTGGCATTGCAATGTTCCATATGGAAAGCAGCTCATCTGGGTAAGCATGCTTTTCCATGGCTCTCTATGCTTTGTGGTAATGGGTAGTGACCACAGTATAGCAGGGGCAAATTGAACAGCTGAAGAAGAGGATGGAAGAGAAGACAGGACTATGAGGAAGCATAAGGGAGGATTGGGCAAGATGGAGGCAGACATGGTGTGGTTACCTGAGCAAATACTGTAGCTGCTAAAATTCTTAGATAAGCCTGAGGTTACTTTAGGCTCCTATATAACCTAGATTGAGCTAATCAGAATTTCACACAAAAATCCAGAATAGTGATTAGTTACCTTTCGTGAGAGTATTGACTGGTAGGTGGCATGAAGGGGCTCTCTGGAAATATTTTGTATCTTGCCTAGGGTGGTGGTTACCTCCATGTAAATATATAGGAAGTTATCAAATGGTACTTAAAATTTGTGCACTTTACCTCATGCTTGTGCTAGCTTATTTTTTTATTGACAGATATAAACAATTCTACCTGTGCAGAGACAAGCCAGATTGTTTAGTAAATTACCATCCAGATTTCCTGGATTGCCTAGTTAACAAGCTACTTGGAATCAAAGCCCCCCACTCCTCCCACCCTCTCCCGGAGGAGTGTCTGCACCTGAACCCAAGTTTCACAAATTGCCAGATGCTAGCAGCTAACACTCCCAGACATCAGCCCTAAAAAGGTGGCATCTGGGTGCAGACTGTTTTGCACTCACCCCCAGACTGTTTTTACCCTGCTTACAAGACAGCTCTCTTCTCATTCTAAATAAAGGAAAGTGGCCCTTCTCCAAGAACAGCCTACGGTGCATCCAGCTGGCCCAGCCCCAAGGATACCAGTCCACAGGATGCTGAGAGCACAGGGACTCTGGGTACTCTTTTTCCCTCCTACCTATGAATTACAGCATGCTGCAAGTGATGCTATTAATGTGTTTTTGGCATTGCCAAGGTCATTCTTACTAACCAACACCTAGGCCTTCTTGCATTTTGATATTATTGGACAATTTAAAGATTCCCAAATTGCATCTCTGCGTTAATGTGTTAGGGATGCCATGACAAAATACCACAGACCAGATGGCTTAAACAATAGGAATTTATTTTCTTACAGTTCTGTAGTCTGGAAGTCCAAGATGAAAGTGTTGGCAGGTTTGGCTTCCTCTCCTTGGCTTGCCGATGGCCACCCTCTTGCTTACTCTTCATATGGTCCTCCCTTTGTGCACCTGTGCCCCTGGTTTCTCTCGCTTTTGTGTCTAGTTCTTATAAAGACACCAGTCAGATTGCATTAGGGTTCATCCACCCTAATAGCCTCATTTTAACTTAACCCCCTCTTTGAAGGCCCTATCTCCATATACATTTATATTCAGAGGTACTGGGGCTTGGGGCTTCAACATGAATTTGGGGTGGGACACAATTTAATCCATAACAGTCTGTTTTGCTGGAATCAACTACAATGACTGTTGATTACAAGGAACCTGAAAATACTTTTTTTTATCCGTTTAGCTTTTTGCTCAGTCTAATTGAATTCGTAGAAATTTAGATGGGGTATAGTTCAAGCTAATTATGGTGCCTGTGCACCCAGACAAATTGTGGTACAAAATCTAAACTTCTATCTGGTGAATTAAGGATAAGTAGAAAATTAATATCATGTAATGTTTGAGAATTTCAGAAATGAATTCCCCTTTATTTCATTTGCAGCTGTTAGCCTGGAGGAATTTCTAGTTCAACAGACACACCATGCACGATCATGTCACTGGGCCTTTGCATGCACCGTGCCCTCTCTGGGAACACTTTTCCCCCTATAGCTAATTACCCAGCTTTTCTCTTCTCTAGAAGCTAGTTTTGTCCTTACATCTAAATATCTACGCTCCGTGGTTACAGGCCAGACTGGTGTCAAACTCCTGACCTCAAGTGATCCACCCGCCTTGGCCTCCCAAAGTTCTGGGATTACAGGCGTGAGCCACTGCACATGGCCAGCATACAGTTTTAATTCAACACCTCAAAATGGACAGCATCATAAAATTAAGAAAATGTGATATGTTTTTTCTAGTTATAATCATCATGTTCTAAGTGCAATTTTATATTCCAATTTTTTATTAATTATGTCGTAAACATTTTCTGTGTTACTACAGTGACTTCTTAATGATTTTATATGCAGTGGTCCCATTAATTTAGTAGAATAAAAGTTACACATGTTTTTATTGTGCATTTGGGCTGTTTTTCATTACAGTTGTCCCTCTATATACAGGGGGACCTTGACCACACCAAAATCAGAGCAGATTCAAGTCCTACAGCTGGCCCTGCAGAACCCGAGTATAGAAAATTCAGCTCTCCATATCTACAGGTTTCACATCCTACACAGACTGTATTTTCGATTCACGTTTGGCGGTGGATGCAGAATCTGCAGATACAGTGCATTGATTATATTTATTGAAAAAAGAAACCTCGTATAAAGTGGGCCTTGCCATTTAAACCTGTGTTATTCAAGGGTCAACTGTATTTGCAATTATAGCTAATGCTGCAATAGGTATCTTCTTCCTAATAATAGCTATTAATTAATAGAATAAAATATCAGGATTCAGGTTGAGAGACAGGACCATATTGATTACTCTGGATTAATATTGTCATTAATGCTTGTCCAAAGTACTCAACTGCCAAAGGCCAACAGCAGTGTGTTGGGGTTATATGTCTATCCTTTTGGATTAAATGTTAAGCAATGAATTTTAGAAAGTGTGTGTGTGTTTTCCTTCCTTTTACATATACTATGTTATATAACCTTTTTTTGCTAATTCTAAGACCGGCCCGTTAGAACTATTTTGTTGTTGTATTTGGATAGCATGCTTGGATTACTATAGATGGTGTTCCTTATTTTAGTACTTTCTAGGAATGCATTTTGATGTGAATTTTCACATTCAAGTCTGAGAAACATTCCTCTTCCTGTTGCCTTATATTTTTACACATCTCACCATGTCCATCCCTTGACTTTGCTTTTTATTGCTAAATTCAATTCCTCTTGGAAATGACGGGCCTCTGCATTTGCAGTTAGTTATGCCTTTGAAGAAGATTATTTGCCTCCCTTGAGTTTGTGATTTCCTAAATCCAGTGAATGCTCTGCTCAAAGAAAGTTTCCTTTTGTTGAGAATCAATTCATCACTTTGAAAAAAAAAAAAACTTATGACAAAATAGGTGGTCAGATCATACCCCTAGAGTACAGGACCTTCACATCTGTTCTGCTGTAGAATTGAGTAGAATGAAAATCTGAAACCAGATTTGTGGTTAGCAAAAGAACAGACCCTAAAAGGCAATAGTCTAAGTAAAACTCTGCATCCAATTTTTATTGCTTCTGCTGTTTTGCTTCAGATATCTTTTCATATTCCTAAGCTGTCTTCCCATAGTAACAAAACTATAAATTCATTTAGTGGGGGATAAGAATAGTGGAGAGAGGGAGGGGAATAAAAAATCAAATGGGTTGTTGGAGCAATAAAGCTATTGGTAAGTTTAATGCTGACTTTAATCTCCAGGGTAAATGATTGTGCAATTGTGTCTTACATTTACAATCTAGTGAGCTGTGAATAAAGGTGGTGGGGAAATATGTAAAAATGTGGGCCAGGAAACCAGCTAACAAGGTCATAAGCTCAGACACAAAGAACCTAGTTGATTTTCCTGGGGCGGAAGACCCTGAATCCAGGATATTCTAATCTTGGCTCATTAGACCTTAATGAGGGAAGAATAATTTATATCAATAAGCCAAAAATTTATCTTTTCTGGCACTCAGAGCACAGGAGCATTATTTATAACTTAGAGGCATGCAGGTGTGTTCCCCTAGGCATCTCTTTCTATCAATATTTTAGGAGACTTCCTGATTTGCCGTGGAGAAAAACTGGAGACATCTGGTATTGTGTAGGATGGTTGATACTTTTACAAAATTCATTCATTCACATAGCATTTCTTTACTCATTCATTTAATCTTCTGGCGCTGACATGGAGGTACTCTATTTAGGATGTGTTCACCGTAAGGGTACATCTTAAACATACCTATGCTTTCATTGATGTGACGTCTATAAACATGTACAGACAGGTACCTGCAGGTAAATGGACAAATTAAAATATCATTATGAGCTACATGGTCAATTCATCATTTTTTCCAGTCAGAAGCTTTACTTGGTTTACTTTGTTGTAAAATTGTAACTGCTTTTGTACAAGCTGCCTTCTGTCCTCCCATTCTCATTTCCACCACCATCTATAGAGGTATTTGGTTGCATTTCTTGCCTTTATTAGCCCACATGGAATGGTGGCCAGATCCCAGAACTTCAGAATACACTTACACTGCTTGTGTTAAGTAAGAGGGAAGATAATGCAGTGAATGGGAACTTGTTGTCATAAAAATAATCACAGAAATTCTACATTCCCATTCCTCAGCAGTTAAAAATTGGATCTTGCCAGGTATGATGGCTCACTCCTATAATCCTAGAACTTTGGGAGGCTGACGCAGGAGGATCGCTTGGGGCCAGAAGTTCAAGACCAGCCTGGGCAACATAATGAGATGCCATCTCAATAAAATAAAATAAAATAAAATAGTTAGGCATGGTGGCATGCACCTGTAGTCCCACCTACATGGGAGGATTGCTTGATCCCAGGAGTCTGAGGCTGCACACTAGCCTGGGCAATAGAACAAGACCCTGTCTCTTAAAAAAAAAAATAGATCTTATTTACTATATTGCACTCGGATAGTTATTCTGGATTATCCTTTCCCCATGCCCCATACCTCTAGTATATACTCAAATAAAGCTATTCTTTCTGAAATAATTATCTTTTATGCAGAAGTGAAGAGAGCAGAGAGTAAAACCTCCTGATGTCCATTGCAATGGCTAGACCAGCAACATTGTCTTAAGCCCAAAACAGTAGGCAGCATCCAGAATGATAGGCTTGTGGTGTTCCCAATCACATCCTGAACAAAAGCCCTTGTTTTATCACACCACAAACATTTTCACAAGTGTGCATCTTCCCCTGGAACAGATACAGCCACTACCTGGAACAAGATGAGGATAACCTATCAAATAAACACACAGTCACTGCATGGGCCTGGAGCCCCAATTCTTAATGGCTTAAAACGAAGGAGTGTCAAACTCAACTATCTGCTGGAACTAGACTGGGTGTGAGGCAGGAGGGAGTGGGGGATGCTGCATAAAGTTAAAGAACCCAGGCCTTATTTAAAGGGATCAGATGCTACTCAGTCTGAATCATTCCGGATAGCGAATGTTTCAAGGAACCCTCCCCTTTTAAAAATTATTAGCAACAAAAAATTCAACTGTTTATAATACTGTGCGGACCAACACTGCCTTAGACAAATATAACATCCAAAGGAATAGATTGGGCCCATGAGCTTACTGCCCCTGCTTCATGATATCCTAACTAAAAGTAAGCTAAGAGAACAATTCTATCTTTAGGGGAAATACTGGGGTTGGGTGCCTTCCCATGGATTTGTAAATCTAACTCATGTCATCCCCTTCAAAAGGAATGACCTGCTCTGTCCACTGCCCCCTGTTTTTACCTATCAATATTTTACCCACATGTGTCAGTCAGAACAGGGTAGTTGCTATAATAAACAACCCCAGCATCTCAGTGACCTGATAAAGGTTTATTTCTCATTCACACAAAGGCCAATGTCATCCTCCTAGTTGAGTGAGTCTCCTGTAAGCAGTAAACTTGGGGATTTAGGGTCCTTCAAACATGTGGTTCTACCCTCCCAAGTCCTCCACTTCTAGACATGTGGACAAAAGAGAGAAAATAAAGGATAACGTGGAATATTTCATGGCTGGACCTGAGAGTGGCCTTCACAGCTTTCATCAACATTGGCCAGCACTCAGCCACCTGATCTCAGCCAGGTGCGACAATTCTGGGAAATGCGGTCTTCCCAGTTCCCCAGGAGGAAAGTATCAAGTTAGTTTTCACAGGCCAGCTTAAAAACCTCACTGATCCAAGAGCACTCTCTGATAATGCTAATTAGAAATACGCTTGCCCTTCCATTCAATTAATATATGTTTAAAATACACCTGCAAGTCATATTGTTGGCCCTAGAGACAAAATGATAAGATGACCTCCATATCTTTCGGGAGCTGTTGTTTCAGTAGGGAGGCAGGCATTCAAACAACTCTATGATAATATGATGGGAGCTTTAATGGACTACTAAATACAGTGGGGGCAGATTTGAAGAAATGCTCTTTAACCATGTGGAGCTTGACACTTTGTTGATTGCATGCACATCTTGTCTTGTTACTGTATCATAGGATCCTTAAGTACATAGATCATACTCTATTTATCTTTGTATCCTCCCTATTACCAGACATCTAGGGGTTCCCATAAACATTTGTCAAATTGATGAATGAATGAGTTTCTGATGAAAAGGGAATAAACACAGACTCACCATTTGAGAAGAAAATAATTAGTCTGTCAGCTTTTAATAGTTTAAACTTTTGGTACATGAGATAATATAATATTCTTTTGAATTCTTTTCTTTCTGATGCCTCGAAATGTCTATGGTGGCTCATTCTATGATTTCCAAATAGATTATCTTCAAATAATTCACAACATTTAGCCCTAAATTACAGTTTCCTGAGTGTGTAACAAGTGGTGATTTCATTTAAGCAACATGCTGTATCATTTATCTGGGCTAAAGTGGATCAGATTAAGTTTCAAGGCAATTATGTCATATTTTTGGTGAGTATAGTCATTATTAGCTTAGGAACTCTTTAAAGGAAGTCAGTTTCAAATGTCTTCTGCCTATTATTAAATTTACTACATAATTAATTTATAAATATAACGACTTAGATGGTCTGATAACAAAGTTAAAATTAACTAGGCTGTCCCTTCTTTGTATTGTTGGACGTATTCAATAAAAGCAAAAGAAATCTCAGTTTCTAAACTATGAACCAGAGGCCATCCTCCTGCTTAGTTCAGAGTCGACTAATCTGTTGTTTGCTAAATAAGTCTTATTCTAACAGCAATACTAGAAGGAAATGAGTTTCCACCATTTATCATCAAGTTTCAAAGTGGATATTCAAACTCCTGTCGGGAATTTGGGGGAGAAAACGTTTAGGAATGCAGTATTATATATCACTCACTCATGAGAAATGACTCCTTGTTTGCCAGCCTAGGAATCAAACTTGGAGCCATTTATGTCAACAAAAGACTGGGGTATGTGTATGTTTTCACAGATGGATGGAGAGTGAATGTAAACCAAAGACAATGGGGTCTTTGCCTGAAAACCTGCCTTTATGCTTATCATGCAGTGAAAACACCTTTTTTTTCTGGAGCGCCCTGAACTTTGTCTATTTAGTCTGGGCCTTTTTGATATATTGCTTCACATTTTGGGGGTATCTGCTTTGGCTGTGTGGCTCTCTATCTAGATTTGAAAGTTATTTGTTCCACTTGTTCTTTCTCTCCTTCATCATACCTGGTGGATTAGGCAGTCAGCAGACGAACTAGCACCCAGGTTCTGTTCACCTGCACACCTGCTTTAATGCATTTAGCATTCAGTTGGCACCAGATTCTAGACAACCTTGCCCTCCAATGATCTGAAGTCTACTTTTTTCTTTTATGGAATATTTTAAAATATCAGTGTGTGTGGGTCTTGTCTTCATAATTGAATTCTAGGCTCCATAAAACAGGAACTGTTCACTGTATTTCTTCCGGACTTAAGACAGCAGCAAGGAAACAGGAAGTGCTAAATAAGTATTTGTTGGAGATGGTATACCCAAATATACAATAGTATATGTATGAATGCATTATTGGGTTAAATCTGGTAAATCTGGGGTCTGGGATTCAAAATCCTGGACCCATGAAGTAGAATAGGAAAAAAAAATTTTTATTGTTCACTAACTACTAACTGAAATTTATATGTCCTTCAATGATGAATGTAGTCCTTGAACTCCAAAAGTTAACAGCAGTGCCTGAAACTTGGCCTCCCATGGAAGTCTCAGGTATTTTTGTGTCACACTCCACTTGCGGATATCTTAGAAGTCTCATTTGTGTTCCTAACTGCTTCAAAAGTATGCTAGCTATTAAAACTTCAACTAAATTTTATTCATGTGCTAATCATGACGCATATTTTAACATCTGATAAGTTTTTAAAATATCTATGCCTATTTTTTAAGAAGCATATTTTAGTATAAATCATTTTCTTTGTAATCCTATATATTGTATTTTATTCATTTGGAAACACTACTATGTGAACAGTCCATAGCACCACCAAACTGCCAAAGAGCCAGCGACATGATTGATGGTTGAGAGCCACTGCTTCAGATCTCACTGGCACATAAGCTAGTTTTAGGAGGCTGCTTTGGAGTCCAGTGAACTGGTTTTAGAAGCCAGGATTTTCATTTTACTGACTGTGTGACTTTAGGCAAATGACATTTCCCCTTTATGATGACCCGAGGTCTTTTCCAGCTGTGAATTCTGTGATACTTGTTTTCAGACATGTTAAAATATGCCTTACATCAAACTCAATAATTTTATTAAGCACTTGAACACACAAAAAAGTAAAAAAGATTCACAATATAAATAAGTTTTAAAATGGTTTAGATAAATCCTTGGCTAATAGATCTATTATGGATCAACTAAAGTCAGCCTAGGAGGAAAGGAACCTTGTATGCACACCCAGCATTTAAGGTTACTGGACAATGAGACAGCTGTCCCCATGCACAACAGGGACCATTTCAATATATACTGGAACATCTCTCAATGATAACCAACAGCTTTTCCATGGACATTCAGTGTAGTTAAGGAGAAAATTAGCCATATTTTCCTTCAGTGCCTTTGATTAAACTCTGATGATGTTTTCTGAAAAGGAACATCAAAAACTAGGACCTCTGGAGACAGACATGTTGTAATTATTATTACAAATACTTAGCATTTTTATCATCATCATTAATTACATTTCTCCTTTAAGGGTTTATCATAATCTCCAAGCCTGCTATTTGTTCATTTGTTCATAATTATCCATGAGTAAGCAATTTGTTCTGTGTTCTCAGAAATTGGTTGTTTAATATTTGGTTCATTTTTAAAAATTGTTTCACAAGGGAGGTTCAAAAAAGTTGTGTTTTTCTTCCTTTTTCTTCTGGTATTAAGGATACTTCTGATGTCCTTAATTATCCTGGATTCTCCCTCCATCCATCCCCTACACACGAATGTAATGGGGGCTTTCAGAAACACAATCGTAGGATTTTTATAAAATTCGGCACATCAATCTAGGAAAAGAACATTCAATGGTAAGACAGCCATCATCTTTGATATATTAATATATTTTTGCATAAAGTCCTCACTTTCTCATATAAATTATTCCAGTCTTATTTGACCTTTGTTGTCGAGGCTGTCTATCATTGACAAAGCAGAACTGACCACTTGCCTCAATTCCGTATCAAAGTTTATTTTCCTTCACCTCCCTCTGCCCCCAGTTCAATGCTGAAAAGGAGCCAGGGGAGAAAGAAGTAGCAGATCAAAATAGAAAATACCTACTTTGTGCTCAAATAACAATAAAATATCCATAATGGCGTGTGTTCAAACCTCTGTATCTCCAAAGAGTCGAGCAACATGGTTAGTATATTAACCTATTAGGGTTAGCCGATTCTAATCAGGTTCAGTGTCTGGGCAGGGCCCTCTGTTTTTTGTGCTAGCAGTTTCCCTTGAAGCCAGACTATTTAGTGGATTCAGCACTGTTCATTTTGTGTGAAAGCCCGTATTCTTCTCTTCATACTTTTCAAAGATATGCTTTTCTCATTGTAAGCCCAGGTCATAAGATGATGCCTCAAGTGCATTGCGAAACATTTATTATTCTGAGAGACTCAGGTGATGAAAACTCTATGTGTTTGGTGTGTGATTCCTTAAATGAGTTGTCATTTATGACAATGACTTTATTTATAAGGCACTGTTCCTAAGGGAATATGAGTTTTTTGACCTTGAAATACATGTAGCCAATCTGCTTGGCAATTTGTAATTGTCCCCCCTAAAATAGTAAGAACTTACTCTTGCTCTTTTTTTGGAACTATATTCAGCCTTGGGCAGTAAACTATAACTCAGCTAAAGTTACATAAACCCTGAAGGGAAATAAATTTCACCACTGTTGATTGGTAAATGTCACAGACATCAGTGCTATTTATCAAACATTTCTGGTTTCCTGCCATTTAGCCCAAAGATAAGATTTTAATTTCCTATCCCCTTTAGGGTTCAGCATGGTCATATGGCTGGATTTGGCCAATGACATGTGGGTAACAGTGATATATTTCACTTCTGAGTGAAGGGATTGAGAGCTAATCCATGATTTATCATGCCACCTTTTTCATAAGGTAATAATGAAAGCACCTAGCCAACTTGGAGCCTCCATCAGGCTGAGTCCCTGCATGACTACCATGAACAGGGCAGAAACCAGGACTTATTTTTTTTTTTTTTCCATGACCAACATAGTGCTTGGCATATTATTAAAATTCTAGAAATACTTATAAGTGTATGGGGGTATATATGTATGTGTGTAAATATATGTGTGTATGTGTATATGTATGTACACGCACATACACAGAGAGAGAAAGAGAGAAGCTGAATAATTTTTCTGAGAATCAACCGGAATTCGGGCAATCTAGCATGAAAAATTTCACTTGTAGCTGTGTTTGTTTCCCTTGGTTTCACTTGGTTAACTCAGCATGTTTTATAATAACATCATAACTGCTATTATTGACTTTATTCTAAAATAGGCTATTACAATTTCTGAGTAACTACTTTAAGCTAGTGTGTCCCTCCTTTTTGATGCCTCCCTGGCTGCACTTCGGTCAGGCTGGAATATGAGAATTCAGTAGGTGAAGGAAAATATATAAAGAGAAATATAAAAATATCCTGGTGTTCAAGAAATAACTTAAGTACTTATATCTTGAGGAGAAAATACAGATCCTCTTCAGTGCATTAGTCATGTAGGTATAATAAATGAGAAAGATGGAATTCAGGGGACCTGAGATCATTACAGTGTTATCTCACCGAGATGATTTTTTTTTTCCAACGGTAGAACCTCCTGGCCTGATCCTATTGAAGAAGAGGAGATAAATTGCTCTCTTTTGAAGGTGCATTAACCTTAGGTTCATTTAATGAATTACCTCTCCCAATGCACTAACAGATACCCTGGGGCCTGAGATGAAAAATGGCCTCTCTTCTCACTGAGAGGCTCAA
The DNA here is from genome assembly GCF_000001405.40 of Homo sapiens. NCBI lineage: Eukaryota > Metazoa > Chordata > Mammalia > Primates > Hominidae > Homo > Homo sapiens. The sequence goes on from NC_000020.11 coordinate 15,190,024, forward strand.
ATACATACTACTTCCTTCTTTCTCTTCAACTTGTTTTGACTTTCATTCTTTATCCTCTTGTGATGTATATTTAACATATAACTATAATGTACTCTCAGTTTAAAAATAAGAATGGGAAATCTATCCCCTAACAAGGGCAGTATGTGTTTCTTATTTTAAATAGATTCTCTTAACTTAATTTCTTGATTTTCTTAACCTCATTTTCTCCTCTGGCATCTTATGGTGCAAGCTACCTGCCATTCATGATTCTCCAAGACACCTTAAGGAAAGGAGTGCTGGGTGATAATACAGTAGGTGCTGCAAGGATGTGAGACGTGTAGTTAAATGGCTCAGCAGATGAGCTCAGTGCTCATCCCATATTCATAGTCCCCTCAGTAGAGGCCATTCAACTGAATGCTCTTCCTCTTCCTCCTCTGTAGAATTACCTCTCGAGCATCATTGGATCGTGCATTCGTTTAGAAAATATGTATAGGTAATCATCAGTCTTTGAGTTCCTCTGAAATCAGAGCCTGAGATAAGAATCTGGGACTATTTTAAAGCATAGATTTCATTATTCAGGTATTATGAGGCCAACAGGTCAGGAGGTAACCAGCATTGAAAAGATAGTTTGTTACTCACAGTTCCTAAGAAGAGGGGGCAGCCATGCCCTGTGGGGCCACACAGGATAGCACCAGGCCCAGTCAGCAGGCAAAAGGAGTGAGGGGAAAGGGTGCACAGGAGGCCTTAGAGTGGTTTCTGCAGGAAAAGCCAGGCAAGGCAGGATACGCAGGTTTAGAATTGGCATTTAGGGACCATCTCTAGTGGTCTGGTACCTTGCCCTGGGATAATTATGGGAAAGAACTATTGACCCCTCATGTTTAAGAGTCATATAGTTCAGAGTATGCGGTCTGGATGGGTTGGTTTGGATATGAAAAGCATGCTCCCCAGGGCTCATTTGCTATCTCTAAGAACTGACTAACCCTGATAGAGGCCATCCCTCCTTGGTCAGCAAGGCCGCAGTGCCAAATTATCAAAAATATAGAAAACTGTATACATAGTTAATCCAGGGCACATATAGTTTATTTGGGAAGTGATCCCCAGAAAACAAAAATGAAGAAGTGGGGAGAGTGAGACAGTGAAGCCTGGGGCTCATTTCCACTGAGGTTCCTCTGGGCAACTATGTAGAATGTACCTCAGAATTGTCCCTACAGAGAACAGGAGGCAGAAGTATTTATTCACTGACTCCCAGCCCCCAGTGGTTGAGGGTTGTCTGCAGGGACATTCACATCTATGCACTTCTGGGATGAGCTCACACACACAGGCTGTGCATAAGGCTTCAGAGAAAGCCCTGAGATAGAAGATTTGATTGCCCTGAAGGCATTTGAGGTGGGAAGCCATTAGGATGCCAGGAACAGTTCACCTCTTGACTGCAGTTATAGTGAAGAGGTGGGCCAAAGGGTGTGGCGTGGGGCAGCCAAAACTGTGTGCTGCAGCACAAGTCCCCGAACCCAGCCCTTCACTGAGGAACATCAAAGAAGCCTGCTCTTTGAGATGTAAACCATAAGATGATCAACACAAAAGGGGTCAGAGCAGCCACATACAAAGTCACCTTAAACGACAAATGAATCCCAGGCTGCAGGGCATAAGCCATTCCACCTGCCTAAAGAAAAAACCCTCTGCCAATCAGAAATATTTTCTGTCGGCTATGAAAACAGAGAAAGAAAAAAATAAATGTGATAAATGTTATTATGCCTTTCTGAGCATTGCACAGGGAAGATAAAACCCCAGCTCAAGGATTAGGCAGGAGGTAGGGATATCTTCATTTTGAAGGTGAAATTTTGCCTGATTCATGAAGCATTTAAGTTATATAACAACAACCAAATCATCAAAAATTTAGAAAACTACACATATGTGTATATATATATATATAGAGAGAGAGAGAGTTAATACATATATACAACTTTATATAGTTAAATAAATTATATAACTATATGTGCCCTCTATTAACTATGTATCTATCTATCTATCTATCTATCTATCTATCTATCTATCTATCTATCTAAAACTCTCTCTCTCTCCATATATATTAGTTTATTTGGGAATTGATCCCAGAAAATATTAATCCTCTCTTCCCTTTCCTTCCCACCTTTCTCATTCTTCCCCTTTTCCGTCTCCTCTGTCTTCACTCCTTCCTCTCCGCCTCTTCCTTTCTGTTCATAACTCTCATTGTTTGTACATGTAACTTGGATCACCTTCTGGGTTGGCTTTCCAACACTGCCAGCAAGCCATAACATCAAGATAGTAGCTCTCTGTCAATTACATTTTAATTCACAACCTTTTCATAATTTTCACAAGAACAAGTACAACGGAACATCAAATCTTTCAAATCAAACTGTTGTTCCTTTCTAGTTGGATTTACATTAAAATTGTACTGTGAGAGTGATGTAGACCTTTAACAGGCAAATGAACTAGAAGACATAGGCAAAAAGTGAGGCAAACGTGCTCCTACCAGCACCACCTCTGCCACCTCATATGTCCACACACCTGGGCTTCAAGCTAAGAAGCCTCCAGTGCCAGGCATCCTGCTAATACTCAGGGATCCCATTATCACTTAGCCATAAACTAAATTATTAGTGACATACATCCTGGATTACTCTGTCTGTATCTCACTCCATACATCCAGACACTGACACTTAATTATGTTGTTCCACAGTAGATCAAGTTTTACAGCAGCAACAAAGATTAAAACTGTTTTATATTGGGGACATTTAGAGGATAAACAGCAGAGGGTTCTAGGAGAGAACTATAGTCAGCTTTGTGGCCATCTGGGAGAAAACCATTCAAGTGCTATTAATATTTAAAAACCTTTTAGATTTTTATAGTTTGCAATGTTCCTAACAAACTGATCTCTAACTCCGCAGTGAATTTTTGGTGTCAAAACACACTGCTAAGCTATTTCTGAGTCTTTATTAACAGAGACAGAGCTGTCAGCTTTGTGCTGTCCTGGTGGCCTGGTTGAAAGTTGGTGTCATTGAAGAAGCAAATCTGAGTTTTCGGTTGTGCATGAGAATACGTCCACTGGTCATCAGCAGGCTCTAGGTCTGCATGTTTGTGTAGTTACCTCCCATCTTCTTTCTCTTCTCTCTCCTTTATTCTTTTTCTTTACTTCTTTCTTTATCTTGTTTTCTTATAAGTTTTCTGAGTCTATAGAAATATGTATTAGAGTATTACTTTAAAAGAAGTTCTTCCAAAATCTATATCAAATTAACTTGGCAGAAAGAGCCATAGTTGCTTCTTCCCAAATAGCTCTTTCTGCTTGAACTGTAGTATAGTATCAAGACAGACTTCAGAGAAAAGAATGGTAGCTAACATACAGTTGATAGAACTGGGAGATGCTTGGAAGGCTGAGGTGGGAGGATGACGTGAGGCCAGGAGTTTGAGACTAGCCTGGGCAACATAGCAAGACCCCATGCCTACAAATATAAAAATAAAAAACTTAGCCAAGTGTAGTGGCACACACCTGTAGTCCCAGCTACTTGAGAGGCTGAGGTCGGAGGAACTCTTGAGCCTAGAAGTTTGAGACTGCAGTGAGCCCTATCACTGCACTCTAGCCAGCCTGAGTGACAGAACAAAACCCTGACTCAAGGAAAGAAAGAAAGAAATGGGAGATGAATGATGAATAAATAGCCTGCCGTCTTGCACGCTGGCTCCCACCCTCATCCTCTCATTTCCCCAGCCCCGCTGTCACTCCTTCATTCTCCTACTCTCACAGCCCTCTCTTGGTGGTTATGTACAAAGGAGCGGGTGAGAAAATCTCCAACCTGGTGTCTATAGTAAAAAGCAGCATCAGGTATTGGCAGAATCACCAGATTAGTAATGAGATGATGGTTGCTGAATCTTTCCATGCTTCAATTGGGGGAGAAAATTGTTTATACTGTGAAAGTTTAAAAGAAATCAGGTAGGCCAGGTGTGGTGGCTCACACCTGTAATCCCAGCACTTTGGGAGGCCAAGGCAGGCAGATCACCTGAGGTCAGGAGTTCAAGACCAGCCTGGCAAACATAGTGAAACCCTGTCTCTACCAAATATACAAAAATTAGCCAGGCATGATGGTGGGTGCCTGTAATCCCTGCTACTTGGGAGGCTGAGGCAGGAGAATTGCTTGAACCCAGGAGGCAGAGGTTACAGTGAGCTGAGATTGAGCCACTGAACTTCAGCCTGGGTGACAGAGCGACACTCTGTCTCAAAAAAAAAAAAAAAAAAAAAAAAAGCTTCTTCCAGAAATCAGTCAGGTAAAGCTAGATAATAAAGGGAAGGAAAAGAATTGTATCAACCATACAGTGTTAAATCAGAGTTTATTAGTGTTGTTATGGATGACCTTGATTACATGATTTCATGCATGCTTTAACTGATTCTTATTTGTGTAGCATTATTTTTAATCTTCTACTTTGAAAACTTCTAGACTTACAGAAGGGTTGTAAAAATAACGCAAACAATTCTAGTACACCCTTCACTGATTTCTCAGTGAAATCTATCTTTACCATGTTTTTTAATCATTCCATAACATCAATAATATGTATATATTATTAACTCCTGAATTATTTGAGGTAACTTGCAGAGTTGGTGCTCTTTACCCTTAAATATTTTAGAGAATATTTCTTAAAAACAATTATATTACATAATGACAGTACCATGAAATTAACATTGATTAAATGCTATTATCTAACCTTTAGATCTTAGTATTCCTTATTTTTTTCACTAATTTCTGTTACAGTGGAAGGAAGAAAAACACTTTTCTAGTCCAGGATCCACTCCAGAGTTACTGTTTGCATTTAGCTGTCATGTTCTTCCAGCCTCGTGGTTCCTAATCCTTTTTTCTTTCATAATCTTGAAATTTTTAAGAGTATAGGCAAATTATTTTGTAAGAAGTCTTTCAGTTTTAACTTTTGTGGTATTAAAGAATCGTTTTCTAAGCAATGGGGAAAGGATTCCCTATTTAATAAGTGGTGCTGGGAGAACTGGCTAGCCATATGCAGAAAATTTAAAGTGGACCCCTTCTTTACATCTTATACAAAAATTAACTCAATATTGATTAAAGACTTAAATGTAAAACCCAAAACTGTGAAATCCCTAGAAGAAAACCTAGGTGATACCATTCAGGACATAGGCATAGGCAAAGATTTTGTGGCAAAAACACCAGAAGCAATTTCAGCAAAAGCAAAAATTGACAAATGGGGTCTAAGTAAACTAAAGAGCTTCTGCACAGCAAAAGAAACTATGATCAGAGTGAACAGACAACCTGCAGAATGGACGAAAATTTTTGCAATTTATCCATATGACAAAGTTCTAATATCCAGATTCTATAAGAAACTTAAACAAATTTACAGGAAATAAAACAACTCCATTAAAAAGTGGGCAAAGGACATGAACAGACACCTCTCAAAAGAAGACATACTTGCAGCCAACAAACATGAAAAAAAAGTTCAACATGACTGGTCATTAGAAAAATGCAAATCAAAACCACAGTGAGATACCATCTGATGCCAGTCAGAATGGTCATTGTTAAAAAGTCAAAAAACAACAGATGTTGGTAAGGTTGCAGAGAAAAAGGAACGCTGTTACACTGTTGGTCGGAGTATAAATTAGTTCAACCATTGTGGAAGACAGTGTGGCGATCCTTTAAAGATTAGATGCAGAAATACCATTTGGCCGAGCAAACCCATTACTGGATATATACCCAAAGGAATGTAAATTATTCTATTATAAAGATGCATGCATGCATATGTTCATTGCATCACTATTCACAACAGCAAAGATATGGAATCAACCCAAATGGCCATCAATGATAGACTGGATAAAGAAAATGTGGTACATATACACCATGGAATATGACACAGCCATAAAAAGGAACGAGATCTTGTCTGTTGCAGGGATATAGATGGAGCTGGAAACTGTTATCTTCAACAAACTAATGCAAGAACAGAAAACCAAACACTGCATGTTCTCACTTATAAGTGGGAGCTGAATAATGAAAACACATGGACACACGGGGGAACGACACACACTGGGGCCCTTAAGAGTGGAGCAGGGAAAGGGAGAGCATCAGGAGGAATAGCTAATGGATGCCGAGTTTAATAGCTAGGTGATTAGGTGATTGGATGATCTGTGCAGCAAAACCATCATCGCACATGTTTACCTATGTAACAAACCTGCATATCCTGCATGTGTACCCCTGAACTTAAAATAGAAGTTGAAGATTAAAAAATGAAAAAAAAAAGAATTGATTTCAAAAAAACTAAAAATATAACATACAAATATAACAAGAACATACAACAAATGCATTATTTAATTCATTAATTAATAAGGAAACTAGTAAGATGTTAAAATCAGTCTTAAGGAGCATTTGAGGAGCTAAGATATATGGCAATTTTACCCGAGATGTTAGAATAAGATTTCTGGCTTAGATACAAAATTGGTGAATGTCTTAGAGGACCATAAACCATAATCCTTGGGATTATACCTTCCATTGAAAAGAAATAATTTACATCTCTACTGGACAAAAATCTATGGGTTAACGTCTGCATTCTAAGAGTTGTAAAGTAGTCCAATCAGTAGTAAGCCAAGCCAAACACTACTCTGCAAAAACACTTTCACCTGTTCCAGGTTTTGGATATGTTTTTGACAGTGGTTTTTAAATTATGTTTCATTGTTGGCCAGGACTGAGCAGAGGGAAAACTGTGAAGAAGGTACAATATGTACTTGAAATCAGGAAGTACCCACTTCAGCCACCCCATAATATTTCTCTACCCCTCCCTTCTGCCTTGAAGTGCCTGAGTCTTATCCATACCAGATATGCCACTATCGAGAAGCAGATGACAGGCTCAGGCCTTACCAGGGATGCACTTGCCACATTTTGGAAAGACTACATAAAAAACCTTTAAAAATTGGAGCCCTTTGGGCCTCAGGTATCCAAAGAGCACATTTTTTGGAAACTCAACACTCAGGAAGGTCGCATAGAGCCAGTTTATGCAGGTGAGTATTTTGCTCACTCTTATAAGGTCCTTATAAGGTCCTCTTCATGTCTGGTTTGGTTCTCCTTTTCATGCCCTGGTGAGTTTCCCTGTTCCCCATATATGAGTGACTCTTTTTTAAGGTACCTTTAATCTTTTCTTCATTTAGTTTGTCAGTTAACCATGAAGGGCTTTTTGCTCAAAGTTTGGTTTCAATGTTCATCATAAAAATGACATCCCAAAGGAGAAAATTTACTTTTCTATATTTTACACAAAAAGAGAATACTAGTAAATATTGCTAATAATTAAAATAGTATATATATATATGTGTTTTCATAGTTTTATAGATTTTTAAACATTGAATGATATTCTTAGCGTTTTAAACAGATTATATCTCATTATTGTGTGTTACCATTAGGCAACAATGAAATGTTTAAAATATTTTTAAAGTATTGTATTTTAGTTGTATCGAGACATATAAGCCTTTCTTAATTTAGGGGAACAGGAATAAGACTACCCACTAGACAATTGAATCTCTGGCCTACAGCCAAATTTTACAGAGTTTAGATTTAATGCTTATCACTTTTTTTAAGTGATTATTCTTTTTAATTTCCCTAAGTCCCCCAAATTAGTTTTTTGATATTTACTTTTTCTGTGATTATTTTGAGAAGTTTCCAATCTTTATTTTATTTTACTTTATTTTTGAGACAGGGTCTTTCTCTATTGCCCAGGCTGGAGTGCAGTGGCATGATCATGGCTTATTGCAGCCTCTGCCTTCTGGGCTCAAGTAATCCTCCCATCTCACCCTCCTGAGTAGCTGGGACTAGAGGTGCACACCATCACATCTGGCTAATTTTTATATTTTTTGTAGAGACGGGTTTTTGCCATGTTGCCCAGCCTGGTCTTGAACTCCTGGACTCAAGCAATTTTCCTGCCTTGGCCTGGCCTCCTTTTTTTTTTTTTTTTTTTGAGACGGAGTCTTGCTCTGTCACCCAGGCTGGAGTGCAATGGTTCAGTCTCAGCTTACTGTAAACTCCACCTCCCAGGTTCAAGCGATTCTCCTGCTTCAGCCTCCTGAGTAGCTGAGACTACAGGCGTGTACCACCACACCGGCTAATTTCTGTATTTTCAGTAGAGACGGGGTTTCACTATGTTGGCCAGACAGGTCTCGAACTCCTGACCTCGTGATCCACCCGCCTCAGCCTCCCAGAGTGTTTGAATTACAGGCATGAGCCAACGCACCCAGCCTCTCAGCCTCCTTAAGTGCTGGGATTACAAGGTGTGAGCCACTGTGCCTGGCCAGAAGTTTCCAATTTTTAAAAGTTAAGGTAGTTCTTAATTTTCTAATTATAAGCATTGCCAACGCGTCAGTTCTAAGTGAATATGTTTATTAGAAGGCATAATAAAAAGCAAAAATTCGTCATAAATTTACTGCTCAGAGATAATTATTGCTTACATTTGACACTTGGCATTTTTATTATTTTTTATACCTATTTATTTACATTTGTATACTAGAGATCACTGGATATACAACTGAGCGTCTTCATGTTTTCAATAAAATACTATATCATTAGTATTATCCTGTGTAAACTTTCTCATAATTATTATTTAATAATGGTATAATATTCCTTTGGGTTAATGGACTATAATTCATTTCACTGCTCCCTTGTGGTTGGCAGTTTATTTTTTCCCAATTTCTCTTTTGTATAGAATCCTGTGAGGGCAATTTTTATGAACCCCACAATTTACATTTACAAAGTTATTTCCATAGAAGAGACTCCGTAGAGTGTAGCAATCTGCTGGGAACTAGAAGCATATCAAAGGCTCTTGACATGTGACTCCACCAGTGCTTATGTGTGCTTATCTCATGGCCTCCTGACTGGGTTCGAGTTTCATAGATTGTTCAGTCTTTTCTAATAGTTGTTTTAAATTTAATGTCATTGAATAGTGGCTTCATTGAGCATTTTTTTTCAAATGTGAATTAGCATCTGGACTTCTTTTTTTTTTTTTTTTTGTACGTGATCTACATCCTTTTAGATAGTGGCAACTGGACAGATGTAACATTAATCTGCACTGTAGGCCAAGTGCAGTGGCTGATGCCTGCAATCCTAGCACTTTGGGAGGCTGAGGTGAGAGGATTACTTGAGTCCAACCCGGCCAATATAGAGACCTCATGTCTACAAAAAGTTAAAAAAGTTAGCCAGGCATGGTTGTGCATGCCTATAGTCCCAGCTACTTGGGGGACTGAGGTGGGAGGATCACTCTGAGCCTGGGAGGTCGAAGCTGCAGTGAGCTGTGATCGCACCAATGCACTCCAGCCTAGGCAACAGAAAAAGATCCTGTCTCAAAAAAACAAAAAACAAACAACAACAACAAAAACACTGTGTAAATGTATGTATGTGTGACTCCAGGTGACTTATTTAACCTCTTTGAATTTCCATTCTTTCATTTGCAAAATGACGATAATAATGAAGACTTCACAGAGTAGTAAGAATTAAATGAGATATTATAAGCATAATACTTAGCACAATTCCTGGCAGTGGTAAAGAGCCGTTAAATGACTTTGTTATAATTGTTACTAAAATTATAATTAACATTTTTTCAAGTATCTATTGGGGAAATAGATATTTTCTATTGGCGTACATGAGCTTTTTATGGATTAAATACATTATTCATTTGTCATATTTGCTTATGGAAATATTTTCCAGTTTGTTCATGCTGTTTTAAAGTTTGTTAAATTATTTTACCTCTGTTTCTGTGTTTTGTCAAAATGAGGACCAAATAAGTTGTTACAGCACTTAACAGAAACAAAAAGTAGCCACAACCCTTTGGGCATCCTCTAAGCATTTGGTCATTACTATCATTAGCATCAGGGGACAGGAATATAAAGAGCATACAGCACCTACTATTCAATAATGAGGCAGAAGTCAAGTTGAAAAGTTCAGTTCTGAAGATGTCATTCATAATGATACCAACTCAGATTGTAGTTATTTTCAAGTCTAAACACTTAAACATTTATTAGAGTAAATAACCGTTAAAAATAAGAGGAGAAAAATTATCTTCTTTCAAGAACCTGCCTCCAAATTTATCTTAACCTCTGAAATGCGGCCTTCGTAGTTTCAGCTAAGGCCTTGTTTCATCAGCATACTGGGTCATAAGTTGAAGAAGAAAAAAACTGGAGTAAAAAACTTGAGGTTTCAGATAGTCTCCCCCACCCTCTGGGAATTCACTGGTGACTGATTTAAATACTGAAACTTCACATGCTACTTTGATGACTATATATTCAGTCACCTTCCTTTGGATTAAATTGCCATACTCTTATTTTTTCAATCTGGTTTTCTTTGCAATGTTTGACCCTGTCACCCAATTACCTCATTTTTGGTGGGGTAAAGGTGAGAAAAGATCAAATCACTGTTAGTAGCTGCAGAGGCTTTAAAAGACTCATTTACCAGTATGGTTGTATCATGTTTAAATTTCTAAATGGCTAAGCAACATGTGCCACTCTCTGAGTAGACTTAAAATGATGAAACTAAGTGAAACCATATTAACTACGTAAGGGGATCACTAGGATCCCAGGTTGTGCTATTTGCTAGCAATCATTACAGTTTATTTAAACTCCGTGTGCTAGAAAGTTATAAAATGGCACAAGGCATGATCCCGATTTGTAGTTCAGAGACTAAATCTATGAGATTTCACTATAGGTAATCTAACTGGTATTTGTTTAAGTTACAGATACAATCAGAGCAGCCCTTCTCAAACTTTAATGTTTATACAGATCCTCTATACATCTTTTTAACATGCAGATTCTGATTCAGTGGGCCTGAGATTCTGCATTTGTAACAAGCTCTCAGGAGATGCCCCTGTTGCTAGACCATGGACCACACTTTGAGTAACAAGGGGTTAGAAGCAAATTATCAACTGGGAGTACATAAATAATTCACTAGGAAGCTCATTAAACACAGATTTCCAATGCTACTCCCAGAGACTGATTTAGCAGGTTTAGGGTGGGGCCCCAAGATTTCGAATTCCCAACCACCTCCCAGGTGCTGCTGCTGCTGCTGATCTGCAAACCATAATTTGGGTAGCTTTAATTTAGAAGTACTCAAACTCCCTGCATCTCGGACATAAAGCAAAAGTTAATTATGGTGAGATGAAACATGGGTTAGTGGAAAGTCTCTTAGGTTGTCTAGAAGGAAACTGGGTTCTTTGACACAGAGCTTCTCTACAGATCTCAGTTTCCTCACCTGTAAAATAAGCCAAATGATGAGTGCCCCCCTCCCCAGATATCTAACATACCAAGCAGATGAATACACTTTTAATTTGACACATAAGTTTTAACTATTTTGGCCATGTCTCCTCTAACATTCGCAGGACCCAGGACAAGAGTACAAATGGACACCTAATGCCATATGGATAAACATTTAGTAGTTATACATTAAGCCAACAAGTACATGAGACAATGATACAAATTGCTTATTATTGCAATAGGTGACTTAGCCAATACGTGCAACTGTCACACATTCAACTCTAATTCATGAATACTGCCCAAGACCACAGTTTGTTACATGAAAGAAATTGAGATGGATAGTTGTTTCTCCTAGGAAACAACACTTTATTATTTGAGAATCTTTTGCACTTAAGGTATTTTAGAGAAAGGATTTGACAGGTTAATTAATTATTTTTCCCCTTACCTAAGCACTTCTATTGCTAAGTCCTCCCTCCACTCTGAAAGGGTGTCCATCTCTGATGTCTGCATTTGCACAATCCACAACCCTTTGTGACATTCAAATGCAGTCTCCTTTTATTCTGAGATACAGGAAAAGAGATGTAAGCACCTCCCTGGGGTCTGAACAGTGTTAATGATGAGATCAGATGTTTAGGATTATACATCACATTCTGCCAGAGCTGAACACTGAATCCCAGTGACCAAAGTAAATTGGCATGTGTATAAAATACAGGACCCACGGAAGGGGCACCTATTTATTGGATCTAGGGCAGTATTATTTTGGTGGTCATAAGGGAACTGATACCTGAACCTGAATATCACTCAAAGATCACTCATGGTGCCTGATATTTGGAAGAGACATTTGAAGGACCAGACGAACCACTTATTCTTTTAGATGCTCTAAAATTGAACCGTATAAAAAGTAGACTATGCCGAAGTCATATCATTTTAGCTACATGGAGAAATCTTGTTCCAAATCAAGAGATAATGATATACCCTCTGGTTCTTTGATGACAGTGTGGTGGCTATATGCAGAATGTTTCTGCACCATTTGCATAACTACTGCTTAAGATATCCACTATGTCATTCAATATCCCTTATATGAGAGTTCAATGAGGTAGACGTCCTTAAATTTACTATCAGGTTAAGAAAAGAGCAGATTGTCTCTTTGGACAACTTCGTGTATTTCTTTCTTTAGCTGCCTGGAAGCTCAACACTAAATTTAGTATTCATCTGCAATACTTGACTCAGCCCATGGTTTTTACACATTAATATTTCTTTTCTCTAAATGCCTTGTTGGAATTGTACTTTTAAGTTCATCTATTTTTTAAAATGATTTAAAATAATCACATTAACCCAGGAAGAAGCAGCATATAAAAGAAAGGAAAGAAACAAACTGTTTAATGACCTATCTTGCTGGGTTCCTACAACTCAAGTGGGAAAATATGTGCATGGTAGAATTATGCAAATTACTGTGTAAAACTTCCTATAATTTGAAAGGTATTATGATATTTTATCTACCTCATGACCCAAGATGGCTGCTGGAGTTCCAGCCATCATCAGGTTAGAGTATGTCAGTGTAGACAGAAAGAAAAAGGAAAGTCAGAAGAGCAAAATGAAATCATTTTGATGTTTTTAGCTTTTCCAGAAGCTCTATGAGACACTTGGTCACATGACCACATCTACTGGCATGGACTACTGAAAAATGTAACATTTTATTCCTGGCAACAGTGAACTTAGCTAAATATTAAGTTTCTGTTACTTTGAAGAAAGAAGAAAAAATAGATATAGAAAATTTCAATCCCTGCCACAATTCTTTGTTCATATTGGGATGGGAACTTGTTAATTTTTTGTTGTAGAAATCACACATTTGGTTTTTCAAATTGTCATAAAGTTTTAAAATATCTGATGCCACATTGGATAGATTTTTATTCAAATATTTTCCACATTTTAGACATTCAAATCTTACATCGCAAATTAGTATAATTTTTAACAACAAAGTAAATGAGACGGACAAGACAAGAGACAGATAACTTCCAGAATTGTTCATGTACAATTTGGCTTTGTTTGGGGATTGAATCAATGGTTTATTTTCATAAATATTGATTTCTTTTCCTGGTTGTTTTATGAACCGAGTGGGAAGGGCCATTGTATTCAGTCTTTGTTTTGTTTTCATTTAGTCACAGAGTGCAGCAGTGATTGTGGATAATTCCTTGACTATTTGTACTTTAGATTCACATCAGATGATAAATTGAGCATGAGAAATATGTTATTAAATTGACTGCATTGTAAATTGGCACTTTACATTTTTTATTTATAAACATGGTACCTTTTACTCAATATCCAGGAAACTTTGGATAAATATGAATTTCCATTAACTTATGTGTTAACTGCCAAAAGCTATTATTTATATCTGAAATGAACTAAACTAAGATAATTTAATCTTCTAGTCCAAGGTCAAGTGCATTACAATAAAACATGTTTCATGAATAAACATCATTAAAAACACACAGCCATTACATAGCAGTTTTTCATAACACAAAAATCTGCAAATTGAGTAAGCAAAATCTCCACTCACTGAACTTTTAAAAATCCTATGTTAAATTAATAATCTCACTTCTTCTAAGATTATATACTTTATTTTTTACACACAGATAGTAATGAATAGATATTCATTGATTCTGATGTAGGTGGTGTATAAGTGACTACGTTTGTGTGTATGTGAGTGTGAATGGTATAAAATATTGTGCTTTGGGAAAGTCAAAATTGGGAATGGATTTAATGTCTGTGTATCAATCAACCATGATATCAATGATGCACTTATAACTCCCTTCCCCAATAATAGGTTTTACTTTATTAATCATAATTTTTTGGTGGGGGTCACTATTAGAAATTTCCATTGTCCAATTTTCTCACCATGACCAGCCAAGCATCTATCACTTGTTTTTAACTTCTCAACTAGTTTTCACAATTTGTTGTCCTGTAAAGTAATAAATGGCCCAAATTTTCCACACGCTAATTAAAATTCCATTTCTCATGAATTCTTTAATCGAGTGCAAGTCATTATGTGCTTTGTTGATATCTTAAGTGCAAAGATAATTGCAATGGGCAGCGTGAAAAGGGTTTGATTATTGCCTGTCGACGCTTGTGAATTCTAATAGGTCTAATTGCATAGCATCAATTCATCATCTCAGCATCACTTCTTTTTATTATTAGCTCTCTGAATTGTAATGTGCTCATAAAGAAGTGTTGTAGTATATCAGAGATGACATGGTACCTGGCCTATTATAATTTTCAGCCCTTACCTTGTGCAACTCTTGAAATTAAAAGTTTATTATGGAGTGCCCTTTTTCTGAAACTAATTTTAAAATGCTCCTGTATGATGAAATGAATACTGTCCAATAATCTACATATTAATTTGCCTTTGTAATAATTCCATTAAATGACTGCCAAGACCTTTTTCGCTCAGATTGTGCCTATAAATTCAGAACATAATGCATTAGTTGGAAAACATTTGTTAGGCTTTTTAATGGGAATTCCTGGTAGCATTTCTCAGAGAATTTCTATACTAGAGTGACTATCCTAAGGCTAAAGAAAGAAAAAGATTCCACTGCATAATGATGTAGAATCTTCCACGCACCCCAATAATATGACTAAAGGACCACCAGCAATTGAGTTGCCAAACACCCTATCATTTGCATGTAGGGAATAGAACAGCCCTAGTGTAGAGAAGGAAAGTAAACCTTTAATTACTCTACAGATAAAATAATGTTCTATATATGTGAGGAAGTGTGTCTAATAATAATAGACACAAATGGGGACTTACACCCTGTGTCAAACACTGTACTTTAATCGTTATCTCAAATAATCTCAGGGATTCTTATGAATAAAGTTTCAGTGTGATAATTTTACAGGCAAGTCTCAAAATATCACCGAAGATCACCAGATGGTATGTGGCAAAGCTGGAATTTAAACATCTAGACAGAAGACTCCCATAGCTTGTCTGCTATTTTCAACACACACTATGGCATGACTCAGTCAAATTAATGCCATCAGAATCAGTAACAGTGAACTTTGGAAGAAGGATGATCATACTGTTAAAGTGTGAGTCCAAGTAAACCCAAAAACTAAATCACACTTCAGGGGCTTCTATTTTTTTTTTTAGGATAATATGGTCAGAAGTAATTATAATCCATGTTAAGGAATGAGTCAAGTTCCTAGAAGGAGCATCCATACAGCAAATATTCCAAGAGATCAAGGCAAAACCGGTGAGGCTTATCACCTTCTGTTGGAAGTCTGACAACAGCCAACTTAGCTAAATACTAAGTTTCTGTTACTTCAAAGAAAGAAGAGAAAATAGATACAGGTCTGTTGGAAGTCTGGCAACAGCCAACTTAGCTAAATACTAAGTTTCTGTTACTTCAAAGAAAGAAGAGAAAATAGATAGAGGTAGAGAATTTAAATCCCTGCCACAAATTCTTTGTTGGTGTTGGGATGGAAACTTGTTAATTTTTTGCTATAGTAACAATATATTTGATTTTACAGAATCACTTCAAGATATTTTATTGGTTTTAAGTATTGGGAAGGGATTTATACTCCAGCTTTTGTTAAAGGAGTGGCAAGGCCACATTGCCAAAAAGCAAATGAGCTGAGACATATTGTTTTGGGCATCTCTGGGTAATACAGCCTGCCACAGGGAATGAGTCAACTTGGTGTTACTGCTTGTTGGGCAGTAAAGCAATTTGCAAGGAAGCAGTCCCCCAGCAGGTATAAATTATTGTTTCAAACATCTCTCTGAAAATTACTGTAATGAGAAGGTACCCCTTTGCCTTGTGTGTGTGTGTGTGATGACAAGCAAAAGTAAAACTTAATTCATTTTCTACAGATCAAATGTTTGGTTCTTTTTTAAAAAAACTTTCAAACTACGTGGTTTAGGTATAAATATTTTATTGAATATATTGGTTCATTTCCAAATATAAAAAAAATCAAGAAGCAAATATGGATTCTAAATTTGCTGTACCATAAGTAATTTGCAATGAAACCTACATCTGAATAGAGAAATAAATTACCACTCAAAAATTTCCATTACTTATGTTCTACTTTGAAAATCATAGGTTGGAACTTACATGGAGCTATTGCTTATTCTGTTTAAAAAGTATATAGTCATTCTGGTTTTAAGAATTTGAGTAAAATTTACAGAATAAAATGCAAAAATCTTAAATATACCATCTGGAGTTTTGATTACGTACATACATCAATCAATGTGGAGAATATTTCCATCACATCAGAAAGCATTTTATATTAAGTAATTTTTATTGTTCTATTTTCCCTCATGGCCAATCCAGTGAATCTTTACCTCTCAAAGGCACTGCTCTGACCTCTATCACCATGAATTATTTTTTTCTTTTCTTAATGTAAATGGAACCATACACAATGTACTCTTTGTGTCTATTTTGTTCAGCATGAAGTCTTTCATATTATCTATGTTTTTTTTTTTTTTTTTTTTTTTTTTGAGACGGAGTCTCGCTCTGTCGCCCAGGCCGGACTGCGGACTGCAGTGGCGCAATCTCGGCTCACTGCAAGCTCCACCTCCCGGGTTCACGCCATTCTCCTGCCTCAGCCTCCCGAGTAGCTGGGACTACAGGCGCCCGCCACCGCGCCCGGCTAATTTTTTGTATTTTTAGTAGAGACGGGGTTTCACCTTGTTAGCCAGGATGGCCTCGATCTCCTGACCTCATGATCCACCCGCCTCGGCCTCCCAAAGTGCTGGGATTACAGGCGTGAGCCACCGCGCCCGGCCCATATTATCTATGTTGTCACATGTATCAATGTTCATTATTCTTCATTGGTCAGTAGTATTTCATTGTATGAAGCACAATTAGTTCTTCCATTCTCCCATATTTTTGCTTTTTCTGCTATTTTTTCTAGTTTCCTGATGCCTCAAAATTATTTCCTTCATCACACCCTCTCTGTTTCAAGAACTTTAGCCATTCTTGTAGGGTAGGTCTGGTCTGCTCATGACAAATTATTTTAGTTTTCCTTTGTCTGAGAATGTCTTCATTTCCCCCTTCATTCCTGAAGGATAAGTTTGCTGGATATAGGATTCTGGGTTTGACAGAGTTTTAATTTTATCATTTGAAACATATTTTGCCACTTCTTTCTGGCCCCCATTACTTCTTTTGTTTGTTTGTTTGTTTCTGGTTTTTTTTTTTTTTTTTTTTTCAGAGATGGAGTCTCTGCTCTGTTGGCCAGGCTGCAGTGCAGTGGCATGATCTCAGCTTACTGCAACCTCTGCCTCCCAGGTTCAAGTGACTCTCCTGACTCAGCCTCCCGAGTAGCTGGGACTACAGGTGTGTGCCACCACGCCTGGCTAATTTTTGTATTTTCAGTAGAGACGGGGTTTCACCGTGTTAGCCAGGATGGTCTCAAACTCCTGACCTCGTGATCTGCCCACCTCGGCCTGCCAAAGTGGTGGGATTACAGGTGTGAGCCACATCACCTGACCCCTCTGGCCCCCATTACTTCTGATGAGGAATCCACTGTAATTTAAATGGTTTTTCTCCAATATAGATAAGGATTCATTTCTGTTTTGCTGCATTCAAGATTTTTTCTTTGTTTTTAGTTTTCAGATGTTTATATTTTGTCTTAGCATGAATTCCTTTTTGTTGTATTCAGTTAAGTTCACTAAACTTTTTGAATCTATAGGTTATATCATTGGCCAAATGTGGGAAATTTGCAGTCATTATTTCTTTGAATACTATTTTAGCCCCACTTTCTTTCTGTTCTTCTGAGATTTCAGTGATATGATTTTAGATCTTTTGTAATAGTTTCACAGGTCCCTGAAACTCTATTTTTTTTGACGTTTGTTTAGCCTATTTTCTATTTTCTCCTTGTTTTCCACTTTAAATAATTTCTATTGTCCTGTCTTCAAGTTCACTGATTCTTCCCTCTGTCCTCTCCATTATGCTATTGAGTCCAGCCACTGAGTTTTTTATTTCAGTTATTGTATTTTTTGGTTCTAAAATTTTCATTTGGTTCTTCTTTACATCTTCTCTTCTTTGCTGAGACTTTCTATCTGTTTGTTTGTTTCAAGCATGTACATAACTGTTTATTGGAGCATTTTTAAAAATGATGGTTCCTTTAAAATCTTAGTTTTAACACCTGTGTCATCTCTTTGTTGGGTCTGTTGATTGCCTATTCTAATTCAAGTTGAGATTTTCCTGGTTCTTGGTATAATGAGTGATTTTATATAATACCCTGTATGTTATAAGACTCTGGATCTTTTTAAAATCTTGACTTAGCAGACTTTCTCTGAAACTGTATCACACTCACAGGGAAAGGGGATTCTGCCTCATTACAACTGCCATGTTGTAGGGGTGAAGGTCCAGTTCCTCTTTCGGCTTCCTTTGACACTCCAGGGAGGCAGGGGTGTTTTCTTTCTGCTGAGAAGAGTTGGGATTTCAGACCCTGCTGGGCTTCAGCTAGTGCCACCTTGGCTGGGAGGGGAAACATTGTCTTGTTACTACTCCCCAGTTAGCTTCCACTGACCCAGTAGTGAGGAGGCCTGCTGGGTGGTAGTAAAAGTGCCAGCTTCCTATGTGGTCTGCTCTGACATTATATGGGGAGGGGGGTTGTTACCACCAGCAAGGGCTGAAATTGGCTTCCTAACCAGCCTCCTCTGATACCACTCAGGACAGGAAGTGCCTCGGTACAGTGAGGTGCAGGTAGAAATCTCAGCTCCCCACTGGACCTTTGATGACAGGGGAAGGGATGAAGCCTTGGCTTTGTCTGTGCTGTATGGTTGGAATAGGATAGTTTTTATCTTTCTGTTTTGTTAGGTCATCCCTTTCCTGTGGTGGTGGTGGTGGTGGTGGTGGTGGTATTTATTTATTTATTTATTTATTTATTTATTTTTTAGTCTGCTCTTGTTAGCATTTCTGGGTTGCTGGCTTCTTTGGGACCCAGGCTGAAATCTGTTAGGCAAAAAGAAAACCCAGAAAACTCATCACCGTGTTGGTCCTATGGGCTGCCTTCTTCTGTTCACCTTTCAGAGTCTTCTTATATTTGTTTTATGTATACTGTCCAGGGTTTTTAGTTATAGTTAGCAGGAGGAATAGGGAGAAGTCCATCTGTTCAATCCTAGTCCAGAGCTAGATATTTTTTGCTTTTCTGTGAGTATTTTAAATACTAGGTCTTGGTGAGTGCTAAAGTTAGGAAAAGATGAAAATAACCTTAGGCTTAGAACAGTGCTTGCCACATGTTAAGCACTCAGTGAGGATCATCTTATTCTCTTTGTACAATCCTAGTGTCTCTGAAATTCTAATCTTCTTTTGTAGGACAGGTTACGCCCAGGTTTGGAAGAGGGGTGCAAAGGGAGACATATCCAAAATCCTCACCTCACTAGTGGATGCAGAAACCTTCCCAGCATTTCTTAATACACATCACAGAGGTAGCTGTTCCTGGCCTGTTCATGCTTGTGGCTGACAGTACATGCATATGTATAAACACACATAAAACCTCCAACTTTTACATATTGATGAAGACAAACAAACCTAAGGCCAAGACATACAGACTCTGAAAATCTTTCCAGAAGGACATAGGAAGGGATCTACTTCAGTTCCTAAGAGGATGGTAACTTTTGCCTATGAATGTTTGACCTAATGTTTTCTAATGCCAGGATGGTTCTCCATAGAGTTTATTTGTAAAATAAAACATTGTGCTTTCTATGGAGACTCTTTGTAATTCTATTCCTAAAGAAATCCCTGTGATCAGCTAACATAACCACATCTGAGGGCTTCAGATCTTCTGATGGACTTGTGTCTTTTCCAAGCATCACTGTAGTTCATCTCTCTCTCACTATTTATGAACTCCACGTACATTTTCACTGCTGTCAATTGACTAGTTTGCACTGAAATATCCAAGCAAGCTTTGTGAAAAAATGGAAGTGGCTCTCAGTCCTTAGATTTGTAGGCAGTTGTGTATGGCACATAGTTTTCTTTACTATATGTTCTTTCCAGTTATTGGTAAGAAAGGCAGTCACAGAGGATTTGTCCAGTGGGACTCCAGTGGCAAAGGTTTATCTGACTCTTTCCAGTAGCACTAAAAACACCCCTGGACAGATTTCATGGAGTTAACAGACTCTGTTTTCCTGGTCTTATTTAGAAGTATTGCCTTCCGTGTTTTGCATATTCTGGGCACAGTCAATATCAAATAATTAACCATTTCATCTGTTCAAGCAGCCATCCACCATCTACTAACTGTCATGCTCCTGAATTTACAGGCACGTCCAGCACCGTTTCTTTTATTCTTTTCTTCTGTTTTTTTTTTTTTTTTTGGTTTATTTTGTTTAGCTTTTGTTATGGTTTAGACTTGTGTCTCTGCCCAAATTTTATATCGAATTGTAATCCCCAGTGTTAGAGGAAGGGCCTGGTGAGAGCTGTTTAGATCATGGGGGCAGATTTCCCCCTTGCTCTTCCTGTGATAGTGAGTTCTCATGAGATCGTTGTTTAAAAGTGTGTAGCACCTCCATACTCTCTCTCTTTTCTCCTGCTCCAGCCATGTAAGATGTACCTGCTTCCCCTTAGCCTTCCACTATGATTATAAGTTTCTGGAGCCCTCCAAGCCATGCTGCCTGTACAGCCTGTGAAGCCATGAGCCAATTAAACCACTTTTCTTTATAAGTTACCCAGTCTCAGGTATTTCTTTATAGCAGTACGAGAATGGACTAATACAGCTTTTTTCAAACGTACAATTCAGTGGTGTTGGCACATTCACAGAGTTGTACAACTGTCAACACCACTATCTAATTCCAGAATATTTTTGTTGCCTTAAAAAAGATTCTATACCCATTAGTAGTCAGTGTTCATTCCCCCTTCCCCACTCCTTGACAACCATTAATCTACATTCTGCCTCTGTGGATTTGCCTATTCTGGACATCTTATATAAATGGAATTATATACTATATTCTCTTTTGTCTCTGTTTTCCTTAACTTAGCATAAGATTTCCATGGTTCACTCATATTGTAGCATTTATCAGTACTGCTTTCCTTTTTATGGCTAAATAATATTCCATTAGATGGATATACATTTGGTTATTCATTCATCAGTTGATGGACATTGAGTTGTTTCCATTTTGAGCTATTATAAATAACGCAGCTGATGTGGTTTAGATCTTTGTCCCCTCCAGATCTCATATTGAAATGTAATCCCCAATGTTGGAGGTGTGGCCTGGTGGGAGGTGTTTTGGTCATGCAGGTGGATCCTTTATAAATGGCTTGGTGCCGTCCTCACAGTAATGAGTGAGTTATCACTCTATGAGTCCACGTGAGAGCTGGTTGTTTAAAAGATGCTGGAATTTCTTCCTCACTCTCTTGCTCTGTCTCTCGTCTCTTACCATGTGGCATACTAGCTCCCCTTTGCCTTCCACCATGATCGTAAGCGTCCTGAGTCCCTCACCAGAAGCAGATGCTGGTGTCGTGCTTCCTGTACAGCCTGCAGAACTGGGAACCAAAATAAACCTCTTTTCTTTTTAAATTACCCAGCCTCAGGTGTTCCTTTATAGCAATGCAGATGGACTCATAAAACAGCTATGAATATTTGCATATAAGTTTTTGTGTGGACATGTGTTGTCAGTTCTCTTGGGTAGATCCTAGCAGTGGAATTGTTGAGTGATATGGTAACTCTGTGTTTAACATTTTGAGGAACTAACTGTTTTCCAAAGTGGCATTTCCATTCCTATCACTGATGTATGAGGGTTTTAATTTCTCCACATACTAACACTTATTAATATCTGCCTTTTTGTTGATAGCCTTCCTAATGAGTGTGAAATGTCATCTCATTGTAGTTTTGATTTGCATTTCCGGAAGAACTAAGGATATTGAGCACTATTTCATGTACTTATTGGCCATTTGTGTATCTTCTTTACAACCATTTCTCAAACCCTTCTTTGACTCCTCCTTAAATCTATTAAAAGACAAATTACATGCTTAGCTTTTTTCCTTCATTTTGGCCTGTTCACTTTTTGGCTTATTTTAGAAGTATGCTTTCTTTAAACTTCCTTTCTTCTCACAATTAGTGCACATGCACACCCTGATCTTTTTATAATTTAAATTATTTCAACTAATGTCTCAATTAATGTCATCAATGCTCTGTTGACATTTAATCCAGAATGAGCTCTTCCTACTGCAAAATGAGCTCTTTTTTTGGCGCTTTGTTATAATTTATGAGAACTAAAGTAGAGAGTAGACAAGTTTTACTTTTGGACAAGTTTTGCTTCCACATGGAAGGATTTAAAATGATAGCTTGTCATTAGTGTGTGCGACAACAGGGCAAGGCAAGCCAGGAGAGGCAACACAGGTCAAGGTCATTAACACAATATAATGAATGAAAGATCATAGCTGTGGGTGCAGTTGGTGTGAGTCTGGTGGACAAAAACAAGGTCAGAGTCTTGGGTGCCAAGCTGACACTCAAATATCAGTGATGGGTAAAATTTTGGTAAGAGAGCTGTACACTGCCATATAGTACAACTCTACATTTGACATTTTGAGTCTAGTCTAGACTGGTAGTTTTCAACCTGTGGTTCCTAGGCCAGCAGCATCAGCAGCATCTGGGAACTTGTTAAAAATGCAAATCCTTTTTCTCCACCCCTACTCCATTCCAGACCTACTACTGAAATAGAAATACTGAGAGTGTGACCTAGAAACTCATGTTTTGTTTTACCAGAACCTTTAGATGGTTTTGATCGCCCTCAAGTTTGAAAACTACTGACCAAGACTTTTAAGGAGGTGCAAAAAGAAAAGGTGGTTGGAGATGTCGCCAGAGTTTAGGATTAAGTGAGAACACACAACAACAAGGGTATGGCTGTAGCCAAAAGCAAGTTAAGCATAGCCCATGCTACACTGCTACCATGGAATTAGGCAACATTCACTTAGCCAGAATTTACTTAGTGACTGGTTGTTGGAATAGGAGAGTGGGCCCTAGAATGAAGGAGACCTGATTATTCTGGTGCAGGGAGGTTCAAGGAGAGCAACCCACGTCCTTACTTGTCTTCAATTTGTTATCCCTAGTGTATCAGGCATTCTGCTTGTTAAAGGGATCTGTTATATTTTCTTCTTTGGACTTAAATTACTCAGTATAAATAATCAGCCTCATTCTGCATGCATTAATGAACTCCATTAGAAGGAGGGACCATTTTTTTTTTCCTATGTTGGTTAAGGAGGCCTCTTAGCAAAATCTAAAGGGAGGTCTTCTCCCCAAAGAATTGTTTTTGTAGGCCTTTTCCAGTCAAGAACTGTGACAGAGATTGAGTTTATGCTGGGTGCAGGGAAACATGGAGTAAGTCACGTCCATAAAGGTGAAGGAAGGCCAATGTTTTGGCATGGGTAAGTTGCTAAGTACAGTGTGGGTGCATCTGGCTCTCACCCTTATTCCTTGAGTGAAGTCATTCATCCAAGTTGGCAAGAGCAGGTCATAGGAAAAATGAGGACATCTGGAAGAGTAAATGGTTTGTGAGAGGGGCCATCTCTCAGATAGGCCCATAGGCTTTCTCTGGAAGGATGTCAGAAAGCCACATTTATCAGAAGCTGCAAACACAGCCAGCCATGTCCTAGGAAGGACAGTGCTCTTTCTATCACAAGAGAATTCCAAGGGCAATTTTCTGTTTTCTTTTTTTTTTTATTTTTTGTTTTTTTGTGGAGACACGGTCTCCATAAAAGAAACCAGATTGGTCTTAAATTCCTGGCCTCAACTGATCCTTCTGCCTTGTCCTCCCAAAGTTCCGGGATTACAGGTGTGAGCCATGGCTCCCACCCCCTTCTTTTCTGACAGTAGGAAAAATAAAAACACTTTTATTTCATTTCCAGCTTCTGTGCTTTCTCCAGCTCTTTTTCCTATCTGAAGAAGTACACAAAAAATATCTATGTGACAAAGCTCCCAAGCCAGGATCCAGTATGACTTTATTTTTCTCTGGCTGTGTCCAGGATCATGGTGACTTGACCCATTTAGAGGAATGCCACCATATGCTGCTAGCAACTGCTGAGGTTTGGCATTTCACAGGTTTCTCAGAACCTAAGAACTAAGTGAGGACTCCAAGAATATTCCATGGACTCTAAGTCCATGGCTAGATTCCCAGGCCCAGAGGATACATTTGGAAAAGGACCAAAGTTGTCGTCATGAAATTCTATACATTGCAAGCCTGTAATCCCAGCACTTTGGGAGGCCGAGATGGGAGGATCGCTTGAGGCCAGAACTTCAAGACCAGCATGGTCATCATAGCAAGATTCCATCTCTAAAAAAACAAAACAAAATGAAACAAAACAAATTATATAAAAAGAACATTAAAATGCAAGAAATAACAAAACATATTTGATTTAATCTTGTGAAAACTTTCATATTTTCCTACCAATAAAATTGTCTATGACAATTCCTTTAGAATGGTTAATTTGGTTGTTTAGGATTTTTATTGTATAGCAGTGTCAAACACATTCTTGCCATTCACTTATTCTGTTAAAGAGAACTATTGACACTCTCCTAACTGTTGCTCCTTCAGGAGGAGATAAGCAGTAAGACTGTTAAAATTCTATCAAAATACTCTATTGATATCATGTGCTGCGGCTTCAAAACACTACTCAGTAAGGATGCTTTGGAAAGTAACTCAGCTGCCTAATGTGTTTCTGCTTTAAAATATCTCTGGGCAGCTAAGTTTGTAACAAGGCATATAAATCTAATGTTTAGGGTAAAAATAAATATCCCTTTTGGTCCAAGCAGTTTAAATAGTACTTGTAATTAATGCATAATAATTAGGTATCTAAAAACAACTCTTCAAAACTGAACTATAGTTTTCTGGCAAATGTGTAAATCCATGTTTATTTAAAGTGTATTATATTTATAAAAGATGAGGTATAAAATAAATCGGGCTTAAAACAATGCTGTCATCAATTCTAAATGAAGCACTATGAAACAGCTAGTTCAAAGTCATGAAAATATTGAATATTTTTTTTCTCCTTTTTCTCCTGTATTTTGTGTGTGTGTGTGTGTGTGTGTGTGTGTGTGTGTGTGTGTGTGTATTTTCAACCAGGAAGCATATGCTTTTTTATCATGTTGGGAAAATAAAATCCTACCTTTTAACCTTAAAAAAACTATGAAGATCTTAGCAATTTCTACAATTCAGTTGTTTGTTAGGTGAGGAATACATTCCTTGTTAAAATATCTATTTGCATAATTTGGTGAGCAATTACATTACTAGTGTTCTTTTCTTATTTGAGATACTCTCCCAAGGAATTGATTATTTGCATTACAAATAAAACCCTGATGAAAATACATAAAATACATAAAATTTGTATAAAACTATATATTTATATAAGTTATCAGAAAAAAGTGTGAAGGCATATGTTAAGTGAATTAAAATCCACTAAGGGCTTGTTATTACCAAGTCTTGACCTAGGCAACAAACATATTTATATCCAGTCAAAAGGTTGGTAGAGAAAATAATTACATATGACAAAAGTAGAAGTTATAAAAATGATGTTCCAGTAAGAAGAGAAAGAACAACCAGAGAATAAAAATTCTTGGAAATAAGAACAAAAGTTTCAGAATGAAAGAATGCATGATGGAAAGGAAACAGCTGAAGACTTACTGTACCAGAAGAATAAGTCAAGGAAATACTCTATAATGTACAGCAGATAAAATATTTGAGAGAAAATCAAAGGAAATGAGATTTACTCCTAGACATATAAACTCGCCTATTAAGAGTTCTAGAAAGAATGGAGAAAATGAAAGAGTAGTAATAATTTTATAACTAGAAGGAGAAAAATGTCCTGTCCTGAATAAGGCATGGTGAAAGTTCAAAATCCCAAGTATAAAAAACAGTTAGAAAGAATGAATAAGACCTACTATTTGATAATAGTACAAAGGAACTATAGTCAATAATAATTTAATTGTACATTTTAATATAACTAAAAAGTATAATTGGATTGTTTATAACACAAAGGGTAAATGCTTGAGGGGATGGATACCCCATTATTCATGATGTGATTATTACATATTACATGCCTGTATCAAAATATTTTATGTACCCCAGAAATATATACACCTACTATGTACCCACAAAATTAAAAATTAAAAAATTTAAAAACTGAGAAAAGAATTTCAAGGATAAATAGGAAGTTGATAAAACTTCTGGAAAGGAGAAAAAATAAAAATAAAAAACAGCTTACTTATGGAGGTATAAAAATAAAACTGTCTTTTTCTCACAGTAGACGTGAATGAAGAAAAATCTTCAACATTCGGAGAGAAAAAATAATTTTTAAAAATTAGAAATTGAGTATCTTACATAACAAAAGAAATGAGTAGTATTACGGAAGTCTCCAATTTCTTCCCTTTTCATGTTTTTAAACCCACTCTATATTGCACTTTGTCCTCAGGCTTCGACCCTCACGACGGTAAGCTGACTGTGACAGCGACAAACTTTCACACTGAGAAGTCAAAGGCAGAAATGATGGGGATTATTTTCCTCACTCATCTTATTTTGAGAGTAAGCGCTTTTCTCAGAAGACGCCCGTGAAACTGCTCCTCACATTCTCTGCCCATTTGCTTCTCACCACAGTCTATCCTTTTTCTTTGCTTCATTTTTCTCCTTAGCACTTGTCACTGTTTG
This sequence comes from Homo sapiens, assembly GCF_000001405.40. Classification (NCBI taxonomy): domain Eukaryota; kingdom Metazoa; phylum Chordata; class Mammalia; order Primates; family Hominidae; genus Homo; species Homo sapiens. The sequence goes on from NC_000020.11 coordinate 15,216,888, forward strand.
ACACACTATGTATTTTACATCTTTCTTGAGAAAAATTAATTTTGAACCTGGAAGCATATATGTCAGAAAGACAGCATTCAGAATTGAGAACAAATTAAAAACATTTGGAAATGCAGTGGCTTAGGAAATTTCCAGCCACAGACCATCTCTGAAAGAATTACTCAAGAATATACACCACCCGCAACAACAAAAAATGAGTTTAAGAGTGAGAAGACCAGGCATCCAAGAAGTAGTAGAAGCAAAGAAACCAGTAATATGTCAGTTCTGACATAATTGGTTAATATGTATAATCATGAACTTTGAGAGTATAATGATGAAATATTGACTAAATAGAGAAGAATGTATTCCTATCCCATGTATGCACGTGGTAAATGCAACTACGTAGAAGTACTAGTGATAAGTAGTACTTCTCATCACCTCCCACATGCCAGGTACTCGACTTGATGCTTTCACATATAATACATAATTTATTCCCCACACAACAAACTTGACAAGCAGATATTATCCTATTTTTTAGAGAGGAAGAAAAGTAATTTGCCCCAGTTCACACAGTGAGTGAGTGGAGTGTGCTGTTGGGTTATGGAGACTTGTTTTTCTTGCTCTCTCCTGATATCATGCTGTCTGATAATAATTACACATTCTATTGATCTTTTTTTTCTGATATTGTCAGCTACTGCTGTGTAACATATTTTCCTACTCATACCAAATCTTCCCATTTTTACTGCCGCTAATTTCTTTCATTATAGTGCCTCTCAAGCCATTTTCTCATATCATCTCAACCACAACCCCATTTCTAAATAAAGAACGAAAATTGTTATTAATTGACCTGCATGACAACAGTATATTATCAGGGAGCCAGTCACCAGATATTATTTATTTTCAGGTTTTTTTTTCTTTTTAAACCTGATACTCATCAAAGCCTGCATGCAAACATTTCATTCTTGGCATCTGAATTACTGTGGAAAGGTCTCTTGGTTTTCTTCGAGTGCTTTTACATTAATGGTTTCTACTAAATAATCTCGCAGAGGCACATGTTGACCTCTGTGCTCTTAGTCTCGTAATGAATTATGTTGGAAAGGCTCAGTGATATATTCTCTTCCCCTCACTGATTCTATGTCAGGCCCAAAATAGGCAAAGAAAGGGAAAAGTTAAAAAAGAAAACCTGTCTTGATACTGAACAAAATGAGTTATTTTTTATTGTCCTTTTTTCTTTTACTCTTAACTAACACTTCTCTTATTCTTGTCCCCTTTCTGCATCTTATTTCTATGTTGAGGATAGGCTCTCAGAAGACCTGACAAGCACTGCAGTAACTCACACCCCAATTCTATTTCCATTCTATTTCCCTATTTCTGTTACTAACTCAGTCACTTAGAGTCAAGCTCCTTGAAATCAATTTTTACACTTTGTTTTCTCTTTTCCCATCCACTCTAAAACCATCATCACAGTTTGCCAGTTCAACTCTAAGATTCTTGAACGGTCTGCCTCTCTTTTTCACGCCTTGGACTCTGCTTTCATGTCAGCTGATCTCTTCCCTTTTGTAGCCTCCAATTCATTCTGCAAAGGAGTAAGCATGAGGAAGTAAAACTACTGTCATGATTTTGCATGGGAATTCATGTTCCCAAAGAATATCTCTTGGCTTTACTCCATGATGTCTTATAGAATTCTTGTTTAAAAAGCTGCTCCCACCCTTCTCTTCTCCATGTGAATCAGTGTATCTGATAGCAGTCATGTTGGACTTTTTTCCTTGAGTCTTTGCAAACTCTTTAAGAAGTGCTTTTCCATTCTCAAGAGGATGGTGAGTGGAAATACCCCGATTATCTCAAAGAAGAGGAAAAAGCAATTACTCCGGATTTTGAAGATTGAGCAGAAAACAATTGCATTTAGTTAAAATTACTCTTAAAAATCCCAGCACTTTGGGAGGTCGAGGTGGGTGGATCATGAGGTCAGGAGATCAACACCATCCTGGCTAACATGGTGAAACACTTGTCTCTACTAAAAATACAAAAAATTAGCCAGGCGTGGCGGCGTGTGCCTGTAGTCCCAGCTACTCAGGAGGCTGAGGCAGGAGAATGGCATGAACCCGGGAGGCGGAGCTTGCAGTGATCCGAGATAGCGCCACTGCACTCCAGCCTGGGCGACAGAGCGAGACTCCGTCTCAAAAAAAAAAAATCCCTTAACCTACATAAAAGTGAAATTGGTGACATACCAGTTCAAAATAAGTTCAATACAAATGATTCTCCCTATGGAGTCGAAAGACATCACTGTTTCTTCAAACTTGAGGACAGATAAAATAGTTAATGATGTTGCATTGGAAAAGTAAATATTATTTATTAGATCTGCACAGTGAGAAGCTATAATGTAGCAGTTCTGAAAGTGTCACCAGAAAGTTTGAAAATAGCTCTAGTGCACAGTAAACCCATTATCTCTGAAAAGTAGGTGAGGATATTGACTGATCTACTGGGCCCAGCAATGTAAGCCACCCTGCTCCTACTCCTGCTGTAACACTCACTCATTTAAATAAATTTAAATAAATTGCCCTTATTATTTAAATATTTTATCATTCTCAGTCCACCAACACTTTGTTCATATTGTTGAATTTAAATGAGTTGAACTTGTAAAATAATGTAACTTCACAGTATAGAAATTTTCACATATTCTTTTGGCTAGAAGTTATGTTAATGTAATTCTTGAAGTAGCCTCTTCTCATTTGTCTTTTCTAAATACAACAGTTCCTTAAGAAAATGAGATGTAGGGCCTGGAGTGAAGACGTAGAGCCTAGGTTTAGTGCAGAGCTGTCCTATGAATGGATCAATTTCAGAGAGAAATCAGATCCGCTTTATTTTGGTGGAGAGGTGGATTCATTATATCTAAATGCTACTTTTTAAAGAAATGTGAATAGTGAGCCCATTAATTCCTTCAGAGGGTGTCTAGAAAGTCTGTCATGTTCCATTTTGTGATTTGAGAGCCAAAACCTATCTCTAAAACAAAGCAGATTTATTCTAAAATGAGCAATATGCAGATGAGGGAAATGACAGGTTTAGAGAATGCACTTATTTAATCATCTCCTGAAAAAAAAAAAAAAAAGGCAAAGGGATCACTGCACATTTTTTTTTTTTTTCTGTTTGAGTCTTTGGATAGAATCTCATAGCTTTTGTTAAAGAGTGTGATAGTGTTAGAATCTTATTTTTAAATCTTCCATAGTGCAGTCATTAGGAGATTTTTGATGAGGTTTTGATGAGTCTTTCTATGAAGAAACAGCTTTTCAGCTCTATAAAATGTATGCTGAATGAGCTGAACCAGTATAACTAGATGCCATTGCTTGCCCAGTCTAGATTATCCCTTCTACCTCATTGTTTTCTCTAATCTGGTACATCATTCCTGATTAGATTGATTATATCGGGCCAACTTTTATTTAATCACCCACAGATTCACTAATTATCCATTAAGCAACTGTTCCCATAGAATTCTTGGCTTTGTGGGAAACACAGACATAGATTTGTCATATTCCCTGCAGTGGAAGCATCGAGTCACTGCAGGAAAACAGAAATCACAGAATCATGACATTGCAGAGTTAGCAAGAATCTTGGGACATAGGTAGTCATATCGGATTGCCTTGAATGATAGGGCATTCCCTGCTGCCTAAGGCAGGATGCCATATGATTGGAGAGCTCTGACCGATGGAAACTTCTCAGAAATGTTCGTGTTCAAAGTCATATTAATGGTTTATCGTAAGTGATATTATAGAGCAACAGAGGTGAAGTGAATTCAAACTCTGTTCATATAGAGGAATTTATGGATCTCATCTTTAAGGAAGCGAAATTCTTCACAGTGTAGGAATCTCCATGAGAAACTATTTCATAAGAAGAATTTTCAGAGAAAAAAATGGGGGGGGCTCTCCAGAAATGGGGAAAGTCCTGTAGTCAGAAAAGCACAGACCTGTTTGGTGAGAGTCATGGAACAATTGCCCTATGCACTGGCACATAGTGGGTTCTCACTAAATATGTATTATATAAAGGACAGAATTAATGACTGAGTGGATGATTGCAGAAGAGTCTTTCTTGTCCAGGCGTGTGGTGGCACGGGAGTGGTAAAGGAATGCTGACGACAAGCACATGCAACCTCAGCATCAGCCTGCGTGTCCCGACATTGACCCATCTGCACATTTCAGTCCCAGCCTAGATTCTGCATTTGTAGAATTACCCTTGCAGTGGGGACTAATATTCATTCATTTTACCCACAGTATAGAGTCTTTAAAGCCGATTTTCTCCTCACATCTTAATAAAATACTGGTTTTGCATCTCTCTGAAAAGGCTGCAAGTTGCTGACATCTCTTGAACCAGAACAAAGATCTTATTATCATCTTCCTTGAAACAGTCATATTGTCTATTTGGACCTTCACCTCCTCTCACCCCTGCTATTGAAGCACTAGAAATGCCATGCATTTGACTCACTTCCTTCTGGGATGTGTTCTCTTTGGGTTCATTCTAAAATGACATGAAATGTTGGAATTCTGCAGATAATTCAGCTTCCCACATTTCCTCTGAGACCCCTCTCTGTTGGAAATAACACTATTGTGATGCAGATGCCCCCAATACCCTGTGGAATCTCAAAACTATCAATGGCTGACCACAGGATATCCCTTTTCCATGAGTTTCAATCTGTGTTATTAAAAAGGGACCCTTACATGTAGGAGTCCAATTTGAAACAGGATACAGTCCCATCAACAAGGTCAGTCTCAAATAGATTTGTGCAGGAAAGGGAGAGCTGATAAAAAATTAAACATGAGCTTTGCCTCTTTCTTTTTTAATATAGAGGATGGCATTTTGGTAGAAATTGATTGAATGATATTTTATAACGTGGGCTTAAAACATCACAGCTTTGAAGTCAATGAAGAATAAAACATATTATCAGCACATGATGCCCCAAACATAATAACATTATCACATTCTCATGTAAAAATGGAACCAACTTTCCAGTTGAGCTGAAAGTATGCATTTGAGCTTTGGCAGTGCATTCTGTATGCCTCTATCAACTGTAAAATGCAAATGTTTAGTTGCTGTGTATGTAACCTTAGACATAGATATCTTATTTAGAGAACCATAGCATCAAGGAGGGTGAGAGAGGTAAACCAAAAGCCCTTTGTAACCAAGAACAGTGAAAAACAGCAATGGGTCAACTCACAAACTCAAAGGAAACTAGATTTAAAAATAACATTGTGAATTCTAGTTTATCCCAAACTCATGCAAAAAGTTGAATGACTATAGTCTTTCCGGACATAGACAGAAATCCTTCATACAGCTGAAGAAATGTATGAGAGTAATCCGAATTTAGAAAAATGCTGCAGGGTGTGTTGAAGTACATTTTCAATGATATCTTCGGCAGATTGAAAAGGAACATCTTATAGACAATTGATTGTTTCTTGAAATATAATAAAAACAAACTTCGAAATGTGTATATGAAAACACTGACCTATGTGGAAAGAAGAGGCAGCATTTACTTTGTAATGCTATCAGGTGGTAATTCAATTTTCTGTTAACTGAACTTCAAGTATTCTGTTTCAGGTCATAGATTGGTGGTGCTTATATAAATTGGCCAGTAAGATTTACAAATAGTACCTTTAGTGCTCAGTTTTGTGGTTGTATCTCTAAAAAAGAAAATCAGTTTAATTCCATGCATTGGTTTTCTTCTTAAAATTCATGCAATTTGATATGATTGACAAGGCACAGCATTATTATGCAGTCTGTTAGAAGGACCGATTATGCTTATGAATACAAGAATGGAGTGAATGAAAGCAATGTGTAATTGATTCTACACTTGGTCTGACTGTTCATTAACAGTTTGAATGTAGCGCAGTTGCTTCTCAAATGGAAAATGATGAGAGCAACCTATCTGTGCTCTCTCATTTGTTTTAAAATTCATTATGCTAATATTTTTTCACAGAATGTTTTTGCTGCATTTGTTTTGCCAAGGATAAGTCTGATTGAATCTTTGTAAATAATTCTACTGCTTTCAATATTTATTTGGCATTTCAATCACATATTTTTCAATTTACACTTTTGGAAATGAAAGTAGGCTCTCCCCCACACCTCTTTCAAAGAAAACCTTATATCCTATCCTCCTTTTCTCTATAATTCAGACTAATTTCCCAGGATAAATAGGAGTGGGGGAGTGCAAAGTGGTGCGATAGTTATCTCTTCAGAACAAAGAAGCTGATTTACAGACTGATTGATTTCAGAAATAGATGAGCAAAAACAGATTCCATTTGTCTTGCCACACTTTAGTCTGATGAAGCACAAAAGGGCCTGCCATCTCATTTTCCATAGCTCTTCAAGAGGTTGCATTTGAAATGCTGATTAAATGTACAAATCGCATTGCTGTTTTCGTGGCTTTCCTGAGTGCTGTAGGAGAGGGCTTCAGTGCACAAAGGCTGCTTTTCCTTTCTTGAATGTGGAGCTGGACACTTTAGGGAAATAACATCACTTTCACCACTCATAGGAAGTTATGATGCTAATTCTGTGACAGCCATGTCTGCCCTTTCCTCTGTCCACAGGTTCCTGCCACATTATAAAACAAAAGAACTAAACCAGCACTGTGCCAGTCATTTCTATCTAGGGGCTACAATTACATTCATTATTCCCAAATTAGATTGTGTTTACAATTAATACTAATCTCATGTTTCAATCTTTGGCTACCTCAGATTTTTATTAAATTAGCAGTTGACTGATTGAGATAATAGGTCTGAGAACTCCATACTGGTAAAGTTTTAATCATCTCAGCCTTTTCTCTGATTTCTTATTTATCTGCCACCTGACTTTGTACTTGGGGCTCACCAAAATAAAGCGCCAACTGTCTGGGGAGTCCTGCATTATAGCTGTTTTAAGATATGTTCAAAATTTTTTTACTGCTCTTCCCATCAAGAGGTGAGGTCTAGGTCCTTCCATCTGAAAAAATATGAGATCTTTGTGACATTGGCAACCAGTAGAATATTGTGGTAGTGATGCTGTGTGACTCCCAAGCCTGTGTTATAAAAGGCAACATGGCGTCCACCTGCTGGTACACTTGCTCTTAGAGCCCTGAGTTGTCATTTAAGTTATCCAACTGCTCTGAGGCTGCTGTGCAGTGAGGAAACCCAAACTAGCCCACATGGAGAGTCCTTGAGACCACATGAAGAGAGAAAGATGTCAGTCCAGCCTTTGGCTCCCACAGTCCTCCACTGCTCCAGTGCCAGCCACCAGTTGACTACAACCAAATGAGAGACCCTAAGCCAAACCCCCTAGCCAAGCCATTGCAGAAGGTCTGACCCATAGAAGCCAAAAGAAATAATAGGATGGTGGTTGCTGTGTTAAACCACCACGTTTTGTGGTAATTTGTTGCATATTGCAACAAATCTAACCACAAAGCTAACCAGAATTTGCATGTATACAAGCATGAGGCTAAAGTAATGAGATTCATGACAAACATGCCAAAATGTATACATACAAATGTATGCCATTCATTTCTTTCCATAAGGAGTCACCTTGAGAGGAACTTACTCATAATCATATTGTCACTGTGATGTTGTCATTGTGATGCTGTCATTATCTCCCCACATTGATCTCTGACTTTGGGCACATTATTCTGTCTCTCTGGGTTGCTTGAAAAGTAGGCGTAGATTAAATTTTTACATAGTCTTTTCTTAATCTCTAAAAATTCTTGACAATTATTCAAAATTCTTTGGTTGTTGAGGTAACCAAAGGAGGAGATAACCAAAGGAGGAGCATAAGAAGTATGCTCTGGCCGGGTGTGGTGGCTCACGCCTTTAGTCCCAACACTTTGGGAGACCAAGGTGGGTGGATCACTTGAGGTCAGCCTGGCCAACATGGTAAGTTCGAGACCAGCCTGGCCAACATGGTAAAACCCTGTGTCTACTAAAAATACAAATATTAGCTTGGTGTGATGGTGCATGCCTGTAATCCCAGCTACTGAAGAGGCTGAGGCAGGAGAATTGCTTGAATCCAGGAAGCAGAGGTTGCAGTGAGCCAAGATTGCACCACTGCACTGCAGCCTGGGCAACAGAGCGAGACTTTGTCTTAAAAAAAAAAAAAAAAAAAAGTATGCTCCTATCCTACGTTACCACTTTAATATGTAAACTGATGTCACACTCAGTGTACATATTAAAATTATAGTAAAACTTTAATGGTTGATGCTGGCCATGTAGGAAAAAAATGCCCTCTTGTTCATCATTTAAACCCTATATTTATCTGAAAATAATTTTTTAATATAAAGAAATTATTGAGGCTAGGAAAATAAAAGAAAGATATACCTAGGGGAGTCATTCTGTTAAATTCCTTGAAATTATATCTATCTTTTTCTTTAAGAGTATTTTTATATGTGTAATGATATAAGCTCATCTTTGGAAAGCACATTAATGATCTTTACATTTTATAAGGACAGGGTAAATGGGATTCCAGAATATGGATTAATAAATCATATACTCTTTGTTTAAATGTTTTATTTAATTTTTGAATAGCTAATGTATTCACATAACTTGAACATCAAAAAATAAAAGCAGTGAAAAGTTTCCTCCCCATATTCCCTCCCCCATCTTCATAGTTTCTGTCACTCTTCTAGTAGGTAACCACTCTTATTAACTGCTAGTTTATCCTTCCAGAGATGTTTTATGCATGTAGCTAAAACAAACCTATATTCTTCCCTACATCGGTAGAGGAATTTTTTTTAACACTAATGTTAGTGTGCTTTTCTGAATTTTATTTTTATGTTGTAATGTGTCTTGGGTATCTTTCCATATGCATACATGAAGGCCTTCTTTGTCTATTTTACAGAAGCCTAGCATTTCATAGTATAAATGAACCATCGTTTTACTAACATTGTTTAGTCTGTCCCCTATGGTTGGACATTTAGCTGTTTCCCATCTTGCCTTATTATATACAATGTTTCAGGGAATGACCTGTGTAAATACTGTTCTGCATATGGGCGAGCATATTATCTTTAGGATATATTCCTAGGAATAGAACTGCTGGATCAAAAGGAGTCTACATTTGTAATTTTGTTAGATATGATTAAATCATTTTCTCTGGAGATAGTGCCAATTTGCACTTCGCTGTATAATCGTGTTTGGGAAACGTGAACCATGATTGATGCTCATTTATCTGGACAAAAATGAATTAAACTTCTTAGAATCTTTAGCTCAGTTCCTGATAGACGTGTACAGAAGGAGATGCACTTGAGAGCTGCAAAAAAAAATGTTATTCTGATTTATTCCTTCTTTTGACTTTGAATACTGAAGGCCAAAGAGGAGAGTGACTTGCAGAAGGTCACGTAGCTGATTAGTGACAGATCTGGGACTTACAACCTGTAGTCAGATCTTAGGATTGGTGTTCTTTCCACATGAGTAAAGAGATGGTAACTTTCTGTCATTCCTGCCTGTGTGCTGAGGACTCCTTGTACACTGCTGCTGTTGATGATGACATTTACCATTTCTTGAGCCTTCCTATGTATCAGACTTTGAATTTAATACTTCTATTTACATTATCTTATTTATACCAAGGGATTCAAAACCCATGTGCAAGATAAAGCATTGTCCATAGACTTTGCATCCATGTATATTACATATATATGTCCACTATGAAGATGCTACAGTGTTTAATAAAACATAAATCAATACAAATCATCATTAAAATTATAATAGCTGTTTGTCTCTAACATGTTCTCAATGGATTTTGAAACTATTGTGAAAAATTAGTCATATTTTGATATTAAAAAGAATTCTTATAGTCAAAAGCCTATGAGCTGCTTAACCATGTCTCAGATCACTTTTACCTGCCCAGATATTCTATTTTCCATCCCTCTCCATTATAAGGTTAGATATTAATAATGCTACACAACACAGAAGAGACCACAGAGATAATCTAAGCAGGAGATTTATTTTATAGGTAAGGAAAAAGGCAAGCACCACTGAAAATGATGGGTTTATCTAAGGCACTTGATGACTAAGGGGCTGGAGCTGGAATTCAAAGACAGGCCTCCTGACTGAATTTAACTACTCCACACTGAGAAAATGAGAAACTCAGTGTGGAGTAGTTACTCATAAGTACTATGGACAATTAAAATAATGAAGGAGATTTCCTGTCTAGCCTCATATTGATTCACCTCCAGCTTTGTGGATCTGAGAGGTCATCATGTTGGTCGATAATAACATTCGATCTTGGATGCTATAAATTTAATATAGAGCATAAATACAAAGATCAATATTTTAATGCTGAGGAGGCTCATTTATTGGCTGTTTATCCTCAGTCCTTTAAATGAAATGGAGAACTAAAGAAATGCAAGGAATAATTTTTCATAAATTTCATTTAAGTTTTATAGACGATGATGACTAAAGGAAAGCAAAGGAAAAGTTTATGATGTCACTATTTCCTACACTTATGGGCTTTTCTCTCTTTCTCTTTTTCTTTCTCTCCCTTATCCCTCCCTCCCTTCTCCCTCCCTCTTTCCCTTCCTCCCTCGCCCCCGTTAATATCTCTAAGCCTCTTCTTTACTTTGCTCAATGTTTTTTATTACTCCAGATAAGAGGCACTTATTCTTGATCTTCTCCATCCACAAAATAAGAGAACCATGGTCATGTCCCGTTGTTCTTTCATGTATTAAGTGTTTGATGTTTAGAAGCAGTGGGGAAGGGGCTAAAAAGCATAGACTTTGTCTTCAACAATGGGAACAAGATTGCCAAAATGGCCCTGAAACAACATTTCCCAAAGGTGAAATTGTGGAAATCTAGTCCTATAAGGTGTTCTTCAAAGCACAGGTTTCAATCGTCAACTGTATTTAGGAAACAGAGCATTTTATATTCTCCTCCTGGAGACGCACAACTCCTTACGGCATTTTAAATGCCCACTGAAGTCTTGCAGTAAGGTAACTGGTGTGATAGAATTTCACCTGTTTTTTTTTTTTTTTTTTTTTTTTTTCAAATTTAATTGACCTTTAAACCCATATCATACCGAACCCATTTGGGGAAATGCTGCTTTATAGAATTGTGTGTTATTCTGGTTCAATTTTTCTGTCATTTGTATCCATCAGAAAACTTAGAATATCATAGTTGGGTATAAATAACAAGTAGCCACCAGAGGGGAAATAAAGTAAGGCTAAGCACCATCTCCTTCCTTTATGGATTCTAACATTTATTAAAGAAACTAAAGTACAATATTCATATAAATATTTACTATGGTACAGGACTTGCATTGCTTGAATTTATGCAACTCTTGCTTGTTACTTTTATTACAAAAAAATGATATCACTGTGTGCTATTTTTTTTCCTGAGTACACCTCAAGCCCATTTATCCTTCACTTCTATATTGTAGTGGTTCTCACTTTAAAAGTAAGTTTACCTGTGAAACAATATCTGCGTGAACTTATTAGTGAAGTTTTGTATGCCTCCTTTGATCACATGAGATGAGCCCCTCTTAATATCGGCTGACAAGGGTTTAAATACTGTTTCAGAATTAATCATGGAAACCAATGCTTTAGGTCTTTTCTCAAACATCAAATAGTATCAACATTTAGTGGGCAACCAACAGAGATTTTTCTTTTCTTTTTTCCTTCTTTCTTTTTTTTTTTTTTTTTTTGAGATGGAGTCTCACTCCGTCACTAGGTTGTGAGGTGCAGCGGTGCAATCTCGGCTCACTGCAAGCTCCGACTCCCTGGTTCAAGCGATTCTCCTGCCTCAGTCTCCCGAGTAGCTGGGACTACAGGCACACACCACCACGCCTGGCTAATTTTTGTATTTTTAGTAGAGATGGGATTTCATCATGTTGGCCAGGATGGTCTCGATTTCCTAACCTCATGATCCGCCCACCTCAGCCTCCCAAAGTGCTGGGATTACAGGCGTGGTCCACTGCACCTGGCGAGATTTTTCTTTTAGTGACTTATTTGCTGCTATTGAAATGCCATATGCATTTTTTAAACTGTACCATATTCTTATTTTTGTATACTCTTATTCTTCTGTCATTCTTGTTGGAATTGAGTGGTAACGATTAGTCAACACAAATAATTTCGTTATAATACTCCAATTACATTAGACTGAATTTGTCTTTGTGATGAAAGTTGATTAGTTGTTATGATTTACACCAATGAAAGGGACTAATAATTCAGTTCACCGATAAGACTGGGAAGCAAGACTTACAAGGCATTTTCAAGTAAATTTGATTAAAACGTGGGGTTTTTCTTCTGCTCTTTCTTAAAATGAGGACAGTCCCCTTTCACTACATTCCTAAAATTAAAAGTTTACGTGTGTGTAGAGATTAAAAGAATAGCACAATGGCTTGTTGTGTATAAAAAATATCAAGTTTTGTATTTTTCAACATAAATAGGAGTTGAACAGTATAGATTGCATTAAAATGTTTGAATGTTTTAATAATACAATAAAATAGATAATTAACTATTAACCTATTAAAATAGGTATGAACTATTAGCATACCTTATGTAGGTGAGGATTGGTAGGCTATACTTCAAAATTGGCAGGAATGTTTTGCAATTATTCTTCTCAAGGTTATTAATGATTATTAAAAATTCTCTTGGTATTTTTTTTCAGAAACTTGCTCTTCTTTATTGTGTACAATGCCTGAAGGTTGTCTTAGAAGTAAGCTAGGCTAGCACTGGCTCTTCCCGTGCCAATCCAGATGTTCCTTTTGCAGGCAATTACTCCTCAGTTTATTTCCCCAGTTTATTTCCCGCCAAGGATTTGTCTTTTTCCAGGGAGCCAATTATGCACGTCTTATACTATAATCTGTGTCACTTGAATCTGACCAAAAACTATGAAACAATTCACTTGTTGGGGATTCCTTTTCACAATTATCATTTTCCTGGGAAATTGCCTACTTTAGGAGGTTGTGCTACTTAAGATCTTCTACCAGAGAAATATTTGCGTCGCCAATGTATTGCTTAGCTTGCTTGTCTCCAGGCTCTAACACAAATACCTAAAATAAATAAAGTATTAATTATGTAAAAAAAGTGAAAAATACCTCGCTTATCCTCTTTTTCCTTCCTTTTGTATTTACAGATGTCATCCATACTGTAGGGCCAATAGCCAGGGGCCATATTAATGGTTCCCACAAGGAAGACCTTGCAAATTGCTATAAATCATCTCTGAAGCTCGTGAAAGAAAATAACATCCGATCAGTTGTAAGTAATTTTATGTTTTTTATTTCTCACTCTTTTTCAACCTTTATGCTTTAGTAATCTGTCTTGTCTAAAGAGAGGTAGGAAACCATTTCCAAACTTTTGAGAACTAAGTTTAAGGATCTTAGTAGCCGATTTGGTTATCATGACTCTAATCTTTGATGTGCTATAAATATTTGCTAAATTTTTCATGATGTTTCAGAATTTAAAACTATAAAACCTCAGAACTGGATTTATCTTATCTACTTTTTCCTCTTTATTTTGCCACTTACTTTCTTTTGGAGAAAGTAAATATTATGGTAGTGGCCAGCAGATTTAAAGAAGGAAAATAGCAAGTGCTGAGTTTGTTATGATAGCGCACATTTAATATATATTGGTTGTATGCTTGTGCATTCTGGAGCCATGTTTAATCTCTATGTACATGCATGAATGTGTGCATGCATTCTCATGCTAGTGTCAGACATGATTTATCTGCAGGAAATTACTCTGCGTATGTATTTTAACCTGAATGTTGTTATTCTTTTAGATTTATTTTACTCTTATTAAACTAATATTCTGTAGGTGGTAGCTGGGTATACCACAGCTCTTCTAAGTTTTATCAGTAGACAAAGGGAGTTCAGAAAATGTGGATCTAATCTATTTCCTTACCAGTAGGCTGAGATGAAAGGAATTCTCTTCTAGCTGGATTTGGAGGTATTTACTCACCTGCTTTTCTTTTGCAACATGTTCTACCTTTATTACATCTCAATTACACCAAGAAAATCAAACTATAGAAAAACACACTGTAAATATCTAATAATAAGTTAATTTGGCTGGAATCCCTTGGTTGTTCCCCCTCCCCCATATAGATTATAGCCTTGCTGAAATTGTGGGGCAGAAAAAATAGTTAAATGCTTGATTTCATAGCAGACTGAATAGATCAGCATTGCTTGATAGTTCACAGAGGTAGTGGTTTTATTATTTGCATGAAGAAATTTTGAGAAGCAGATACATTTAGGTAACCCTGGATGGTTGTTATGCTTTTTGTGCATGATTGTAATTATGAAGTGCATTTTTCAATGCAACATTGGTGATTCTGCTTGAAATAAGGAAACTTTTCATGACCTAATTATATAGCCCTTTTTAATCTTTGGATAATTATTAACAGAGCTGGATATTTTATTTCTCTCTTTGATTTTCTAAAATTTTGTTCGCAAATGGCTCAATACATAAGATCCTATTCTCTCTTAGAGGTGAAAGCTGAAGTTCAAAGAGAATGGAGCAAAGTATACCACAAGACCAGTTGGTTAATTTTGTTCTCTATAGGAAAATAAGAAAAATCAAAACAGGTATGCACATTTAGGGAATAATTAAAATTTTGTCAATATGGCTTATTGATTTAAAAAAGCAAAAGACTGAAGTGCTTGGAAAATGGATATGTAGAGAAGTTTCCAACTTGGAAAATATGGATTTTGAGGCCTGAAGAGAATTTGCTAGTGGAATCACTGGCATCTCTAATGACTTGTTTTTAAAAGCCAAGAAAAAGTAAGAAGTAAGAAGTTTGTTAGAAACAGTATAAAAATAACATTCAACCTTTTAATAGAGAAAGGAATCTCTAACTGTAATTATCTTAAAACAATCGTGTTACTCTATTTGCTACCATTAGGTAAGCAATGGAAGAATTATGGGCTAAGTTAACTTTTTAACAGATGGCATGCAGATGGGCTGAAGTAATGCTCCTGTAATACTCTAGTCATTCTTTGATAGGAATTAGATCTACCTTAACATCTTTGATGATTATTTTGAAGGGCCAATTACATATTACTTGAATGAAATTAGCAGGTAAGGCTGAACTGAATTCATCCCAATATTAGTAAATAAAAATGGAGATAGAAAATACACAAAATGTGGGAAGAAATGTCCAACGAAATTGATCATCATGTTTTGCATGGTAGACTACAGTTGCCATCAAATGTCTTGTCTCTTTTACACATAAAAAAGAAAAATATTTTTCTTTTCTTTCTCCCTCCTTCCCTTCCTTCCTTTCTTCCTTTCTTCCTTTTTTTGGAGTAAATGGGGCTCTCTTCTTTATATGGTGTGTCATGTTCTTGATCACCATTAAATAAATAATAATGCTAATCTCATCACATTCTGATTATGTAGAGGGAAATAGAAAACTTTCAGAAACATGATTATGACTGGATACATGTTTTATAGTATAGGCTTGTATTTTGTCAACTTATCACAATAGATGGTAGACATGGTTGATATAAAAAGCCTGGTTATTAGGATGAAAAATAAACTTAACTTGAACTCATTTATATACATGTCAAAAAGAATTTCTCATAAATCCTTTTATCAGAGTGGCTTAGTGTTTGCTTTGCCACTTATTACTGTGTGACTGTGGACAAGTAATGTCAACATTTTGTAACTTTGGTTTCCACTTATAAAGAATCAGTAAATTACTACTGTTATTGCAGACCTGTCCAACTCATGTGGCTGTTGTTATAGGGATCAGTCGGGATAATGTGTATAAGATAATTGGAGGAATGGAATTCTCTGAAAAGTATTTGACAATGTTACTTCAAATATAAGATGTTTTCACACCTCATGATTTGGCAATTTAAGGAAATATCACTTATTTCTTTGATATCTATTCTGAACACCAGAACTCTAGACATTTACCATGTAATTTCTTGATGTTTTTAAACAACAGGGAAATGTCCAGGAATAAATTAAATATTTGATAGGCACCACTTTTCTGCTAAGGTTAAACCAAAGGCTTTAGGATCACAGCACAGGATCCAACATATATATTCTTATTCTTATTTTACCAAAAGAATAGATTCTTCAAATATTTTTAATGGATGTAAGACAAGTAGTATGATAATTTATTTAATAAATATGAATAAGACCTACTGTGTACCCTGACGTTATCAGGTAACTTCCGTGACAAAGAGAGGATCTAGTGGTTGTTTTCTAACAAAATGTGACTCCATCTTATGACCACCTAGACAAATAAATGGACAAGATCATCATGTCCACTGTGTGATTTGAGAATACTCTGTAGTTCTCTTATCACTTTTAAATATCTTCCCAGAGATGCATGAAATTCCATAATTAATGAGTAATTTAGGATGTTAAGGCATTGTTCTTTCTCTGCAAATTTCCTTTAAAATGCAGATACTCATAAGATCAGTAGATAATTAATTTTCTAATACATTAATATGAAGAAATTTATCAAATTACTTTTCATGTTGACAGGATAAATTAGAGTATGATAAAAGTACTGAGCACCTTAGCCTGGGGGAGGAGAATTGGAGAAAGGTCTGAAAGGAGATGGAGAAAAACAGAAAAAAGAGTAGGGTATAAATAAATTTCACCTACCTCTCAGTTTTGCTAAGAGGAGATCATTCTTGAATAGTAGAGAGGGAAATGTTATAGTCATACATAATTATTTAGAAATAAGATACTGATTTGGGCGTAAGATGTGTTGTGGATAAAAATTTTTACCATGAAAAAATACTATATATTTTATTAACTTAGGGGAAAAAATTCATTACATTTCTGTTCTCCATGCATTGTTTGTAACAGCTGTTTTTTCATACCTATCCACATTTGCTTTAGGTGGTAAAGGAAAAAGATAAATTAATCAACAAATCAAATGGCTCATTTTACGATGGCATTTCTTTTATGAATGATGATTTAGTGCTTAATATCAGGAAATATTTAAATGTAAGATTTTAATCCTGATTCTCCTTCTAATCTTACCGTAAATCGTTTCAATTGAAAAAATATGACCAATCTTTCATGCCTCCTAGACCTAGTCTGTGCAAGTTTATTTCTTCCAAATATTATTCCTTATTCCAAATATTAAAGTCAGTTATTTTTATTTAACCATGAGTTACCCTTGGATCCAAAAAATTTATTTTTATATATATTTATTTATATATATATATATATATATATATATTCTTTTTTTTTTTTTTTTTTT
Source organism: Homo sapiens (assembly GCF_000001405.40). Classification (NCBI taxonomy): domain Eukaryota; kingdom Metazoa; phylum Chordata; class Mammalia; order Primates; family Hominidae; genus Homo; species Homo sapiens. The sequence continues at coordinate 15,234,032 of NC_000020.11, forward strand.
TTTTTTTTTTTTTTTTTTGAGACGGAGTCTCGCTCTGTGGCCCAGGTGGGAGTGCAGTGGCGCAATCTCGGCTCACTGCAAGCTCCGCCTCCCAGGTTCACGCCATTCTCCTGCCTCAGCCTCCCGAGTAGCTGGGACTACAGGCGCCCGCTACCACGCCCGGCTAATTTTTTTGTATTTTTAGTAGAGACGGGGTTTCACCGTGTTAGCCAGGATGGTCTCGATCTCCTGACCTCGTGATCCGCCCGCCTCGGCCTCCCAAAGTGCTGGGATTACAAGCGTGAGCCACCGCGCCCGGCCTATATATATATATTCTTGACAACCTTGAGATTGTTGATTGCAAGATAGGCAAAATTTAAGGCACCATGAAGAGGATAATTAGCAGTACAAACTGGAAATTGGAGTGGGAATAAAAGAAAACTTTAAAAGAAGACCAGGGAGCCTACAGATTTTCTCTGTAAAACCTTGGGAAAGACAAAGATATAGCTGTCAAAAAAGAAAAAAGACCCAGGTTGAATCCCAGAAGTCTAATGCATATGACCTGAGGAATGCATAGTCAGACCAGTGAAATCAAGCATCTAAATTATGTTGATTTCTAGAACAACAGTATATCCTGAAACAATGAAAACTACACATATACATGATATCCTTGGCTATATATATCTAAAACATACTAACAGAAATCGTGTATATTGGTGAAAATCTTGGTGAAATCTCGGGGTGAGCGTAGGGGTGAAGACAAGAAAGAAAAATTTCTATTGAGCCAGGGCTGGAAAATGAAAATGCCTAATTTTGTATCCAATATCACCACGCACTGATGGAGAGGATACATAGATATTTTCTTATATATCATGCTGTCTTTATTCTTTTTGTTTGTGAGCACAGAAATATTTTGTAATGATTTTTATGTGTTTATCCTGACTTCTGTTTCCCTTCTTTTAACATCATGTTCATTTTTAAAAAACTAATCCATGTCATACAAAAAGTATCACAGCAATTTCTTCTTCTAGCACCAGTTAAAAGGCATAGATTTATATTTGTCAATCATATTAGGTATTTGAGAAAACTATTTTCACTGATGAAATACAATGCACCCTGTCTGACATTCTTTGAATGACAACGTGTAATAGAGTAGATGTTTTATTTTGAAAAAAACATAATCTGCATATAAGCCAGATTTTACTTAGGTTAAAAATTATTTTCCCATGAAAATAAATACTAATTGACATAGGAATTTAGTGATTTTATGTGATTATGGGCAGACTAAAACTTGTATGTTTGTTTAAGTGGTGTATGCTACCTGTGATTTCCACAAGCATCATGCTAGATGATTTTTTTGAATGAAAAAACATTGTAAATTTTTGTTAGTAGGAACCACCCAACTTCAATAGGGATCCCTCAGAGCTAACTGATGTTCCTTCCTTGAGTCATAGATCTTGAGAAGCAAGAGCTTCCAATGGGAAAGATGATGGGCCTGCAAATTCAGTACTACCTCTAGGCATTGTGGCAATCAAGCAATTTTGGAATTCTGCATTTAGTTGTTCCACTGTAGTGTAGGTTTTCATTTTAAGGCGTAGTCAAGTGAATCTTATTTTCTTATACAAGTTCCCTTCTGAGAGGGTTGCCATGGCAATGAGTTCTCAGCCTGAAATTCTTAAATGTTGGTTTTATTTCATTATCTGAGTTTCCATTACAGGCCACATCAATCAATGCAGTTCTCTATTCAAGAACACGTCTGCAGCCTTAAAAAGCTGACCCTTTCATTTGGTACCTCTGCTCCTCTGCCTAACTTGATGTCACCATTTCCCAGACAACTCTTCATCTCCAAGAACCCTCTTCTACAGGGCTGTCAATTTGATCTTTTCCAGTTTCCTTTTAGGCAATATCTAGTCTTGGTTCTCACCTGTCTCATTTTCTCATTTATAAAGGGTAATACCAAGTCTCTATGTCTTCCCTGGTTGGGTTTCTAACAGCTGTGTGACTAACAATACTATTAATAAGTAACAAGAACAAAGGCACTTTTGCATTTGTGCATCACTCTACAGTTTACAGCAGTGTATTCCTATACATCATCTCATTTATTTTTCAAATTCTCTAACTTGCTGCCACTGTTACTTTGATTTAGCCAGTGTGGGAAAAAGCTAACTCAAGACTTTTCCTTTCTTCTTTTCCCCTACATTCACGTTTCGTAAGATCTCCTCAGAGGGCACAGAGGTACACAGGTTATTGTTACTGGGAGTGACAAGTGACAGGACAGGCAGCAGAGTCGAGGAGGAGGGCGGGCATGGAATGATAGTAAATTCACAGGCTGTGCCTTGGAAACAGATAGTTATACAACCAAACCCACATTGACAGATCCTGCACAATTTGTGTCTTCTGGTGGCCACACCAGAGAGATGATTTGAGTTAGAGGGGTGAATGAGATCAATCATTGAGCCATGAAATATAGTAATAAGAATAGCAAATGTTTCTGAACTCCCACTTGGTGCCAGGCACTGTGTTTTAGTCATTAATTCTCAAAACAATCCTGAGTTAGAAAATGTGATTTCTTCCATCTTAGAGATGAGGAATATGCACCAGAAGGAAACTGCCTTCCCTGTGGCTCAATTCCTCATCCAAGGATATGAGCCAAAACCAAGGTGATGCATATCGTGATTCTGTTTCTCCACTAGCTAAGCATTATGTTGACGACCGTAACTCCATGCATTCTGTGGGCTATTACACTAACCTGCCATCTGTAGGTTGGACCTGTAACACTACTGGTCTTAGCTCAAGTGAATTAAGGTCTTACCTTGAACAAAAAGTTGAGGTGGGATTTAAACTGAGGTAGTCTAAATCTAGTGGCCTAAGCCACTGTGAAGTTCCTTTTTCTTTCCTCCATTATTATGTGCCTTTTTTTGTCTAAACCAGTGGTTCTCAGTGGGTGTAGCACTGCCCTCTAGGGACCATTTTGTGAGGGTGGTTTTGGGCAGTGACAACAACTAGGGAGTGCCACAAGCATTTTGTGGGCAGGGACAGGGATGTTGTGACATGTGGTCTGGCCAAGCCCACATGGGAAAACTGTCCCTCCTCCCACACAATGTTTTAACGTTTTGCCAGACAGTCATATAAGTGAAAACCTGTTTATAAACACCAAGATACATCAAAACAAAGCCTCTCTCTCTTTTTCACTGTATCCTGGACTATCATGAAAATTAAAGGAAGCTTGTACTTAGTTTGCTTAGAACTTTACCAAGAGTGCCTGAGAAAATTATGCTACAGATGGCCATGCCCAAGCAGCAGGAGAGTTTTTCACACCTGGTTGAGTCCACATTTAGAGAATTTTTTTTGTAGTGATTCTACGTAGTGAAGCAAACATCTTCCTTCTTCATTGCGTGTTCTAGTGTATTCATGCCCTTGTCTTTACATGTTGAAAATAGAATTTTACTATAAATACTTTCATTTTAAATCATTTTCATATCACACTTATGGCACTCTATTGATTTTTTTTAAATTGATGTGTTGTTTTCATTTGGCTTCCCTTGGGAACAGACCCTGAGCCAAGGTGTTGTGTGCACGTGCTTTCTATAGGAGGTGATGACAGGGAACAGCGCAGAGGAGTGGGGATGTGAGGAAGGGAAGAAAAAGCAGCCAGGAGGAGTGGGAGTGTTATAAGTTGGCAGTGTGGACAAGTGGGGCTCTGTCTTGCTGGGGAGCTCTCAGCAACCATGTAGAACATGCCTAGAAGTGGTCCCATCTGAGGGAGGAGAAAAGCTGGACTATTTTTTTTTTTTATCTTTCCCCCTTCATCAGCTGGCTGAGGACTGCTCCTGGGTCATTAACTTCCCAGCATTTCTTATCTGCCCGCTTGGGCAGGCAGAAGGAAAAAGCTCAGGCAGAGAGTGACAGCAAGGGTATTTGCTAGAAGATGCTGTGGATGGGCATGTGCTAGAATGATGAGAACTGGGCAGATATGGGTGGGGCACTGATGCCTGTTTCATGTGTGCAGATGAGTGTTAATATTGATAAATGTCATTTCTGCATAGCAAGGGGACTTTACAAAATATTTGTTATAAAAGGGTTTGCTGAGCCTGATAGAATTGAGAGCATTGGTTTAAGTTAAACAGAGTTTCTAATAGAGCAAAGCTACATTGAATATGCTAAACACAGGTTGCTCAAAGATTTTTATTCTTAAAGTTAGGCATCCAAATTATCTGCTTCTTTAAGCATAGTGTGATATAGATGTCATAAAAATGGTAATTGATGTGACTGGCCTTATATCCTATAGAATACATGGTCTTATGAAAGTGAATGTAATGCTTAGCTAATAGAAAAACAATATCACGTGTTGTGTCACCTTAGTTAAAGTTTTTTCAAGATCTCATAATCCTAACCTTTGATTCATCATGCAAATTACGGAAGAGTTGGCCACCCAAGGTTGAATGCATGTAAAGTTGTCCATCAATCAGAAGACACATATTAGAGGTGAGCAATTTAAGCAGGAGTCTACCTTTGATTTTATTCTAATATAAAGTTTCTTTCAAATTATGTGTTCTTTCAATGATTTGGGAAATATATTGTCATATATTTCCTTCAAAAATCTTACTTTAGGACCGTGATCAATTCTTTTTGTAAGAGTGTCTGAAACTTTTTGCTTTATTTCATCTACAATTTGAAAGAATTATTTTTAGTCACTTGTATATTCTGCAGATGTAAGTCTACTAGCAAGACCAAGAAAACTATGTTTAAAATGAAAGTATAAAACATCTCAATTTGGCTGGATTTGTCAACATAATTATTTTCTGTTCTTTTATCAGGCTAGGGAACATTCTCAGGAAAATCATTATTGGTTTCTACAACAGTGTCTTCCAGAGGAAATACTGGCCTAGCACACTGTCAAAGAGAGTATATTACAGTGAAATTTGTATAGAAACAGTAAAGAGATTTGCAATGCAAGCTTTCATCTTGAGTGCTTTATTTTTCCCTGACCTGAGCGGCAGTTATTAGATCACTGTATCATGAGGAAATAGTCAATTGAAGACACGGACCACAGAGTCCCAAGCCTGACATTAGGTTTGAACAATTGGGCAATTTTGGCATATATCTAGAGGGTTAATAGTATAGAGCAAAGGCAATGGCTTTAAACCAAACATTTTTTCTTGCAAATGTTCAGATTTTTTTTTTTTTTTTTGGAGAGCAATTGCAATGTATGGAATCTAAGCTATTCTTAAGGTGTTGAACTCAGAAACCAAAGGAGAAAGAACAAGTAAAAACAATAAAAAATTTAAAATAAAAACAAATCTGTCAGTGGAAAGAAAGCTTTCTTGACTTGTTTATGTACAATTCAATGGAGTTGCAAAGAGGATTTTTTTTAATGGAAAACATGTCACAGATTGGGTTCAAGCTGCACTTTAGCTATTTTTGTTTGTTTATTTTATACACACACAAACACATACCCTTCAAAACTGTGCAAAGTGAAATATTTGCTTTCCTGGATGTCTTATCAAAGTGGTATAGTTTGAATTTATAATTATGAATTAAGTTCAGCAGTATATTAAACACCTAGATTTCAGCCCATACGAGTAACTTTAGTGCAGTCTCTCCATCTCTTCTGAGCCCATGTTCTGAAAATTTCCCTGCTCCCAGTATACTAGCAGGTAAGCTATCCCGGAGGATGCACAACAGAAAAGCTTATAGACCAAATTAAGAGGCATGACTCACATTGACTCAAGGAGAAAGAAGCCAGGAGAAAGAAAGAAATAGGTTAACACACTTAGACTAGGTGACAAATGTGTGGAAGAACCTCATTTTCTGGTTATGCTGTGTTTGAATGCTCTCTTTACCATCTCTACCCTCTCAATGGTGATGTGGTTATGAGGACCATAGTTGAGGTTTGAACAAGGGAGCATGGCAGATGGTGAGTGCCTGGGGCCCACTACACACACTTGCTCTATCAGAAAGACAGGGGCAAGTGGGCCTGGCCGGTATCTCATCAGTTCATTGGTGAACAGCAGGGGGGTTTACCTCCATTTCTGTCAGAGAAGATGTAAGGCCAAATGAGACTATAATGAGTATCACCAATGGGAGGATAATTTGAGGATAACATTGCTGTCACTCTAGAGGTGACATGATTCATGCTTCTGACCTGTTCTTACCATTCTTTTCCATTTTGAAATGACAGTCTTGTTTGTTCCATCCTTTTTATCATATAGCATGTCTTAGAGGTTACTTAGTACTGCATTTAACACAATTCTATGAATCCTGCCTATATCTCAAAATCTGCTCGCTTAGTTATTATCAACACTTAACACGAGTTATATATCCCATTTGTTTTTATTTTCTTCTATAGAAGAATTGAATATTCTCAAATAATACAGCAAGCATATTACACTTTTTATAAGATGGGATGACAGCTAGGTGTGGTGGTGCACACCTAGAGTCCCAGCTACTCAGGAGGCTGAGACAGAAGGATCATTTGAGCCCACGAGTTAGTTATGATCGCACCACTGCACTACAGCCTCAGTGACAGAGTGAGACCCAGATACCCAGTCTAAAAAGAAAAGAAGAAGAAGAAAAAGGAAAATGGGATAACATATATCAGTAACTAATCATTTTAACTGGGTGATGGGCAGGTTCTATGTATGGACTGAATTGTGTCCCATCAAAATTCATACATTAAATCTCTAACCCCCAATGTGATGGTATATAGAGATGGGACCTTTGGGAGGTGATTAGACTTAAATGAGTTGATAAGGATGGGGCCCTGAAGATGGAATTACTGCTGTGATAATAAGAGACACCAGAGGCCTTGCTTCCCCTGACTCTTGGCTTCTCAAGGATACAGCTAGAAGGCAGCCTTCTGAAAGACAGGAAGAGAGCCCTCACAGGGGAACAGAATTGTCCAGAACCTTGTTCTTGTTCTTTCCAACCTCCAGAACTGTGAGAAATAATAAATTCCTGTTGTTTAAGCCTCCTGGCCTATGGTATTTTGTATGGCATCCAGAGCTGATTAATGCAGTGAGTATGCAGGCATTCATTATACTATTCTCTCTGTTTGTGTATGTTTGAAATTTTCCGTAACAAAGCAAACTTAAATGTTTAAATATATAAAAGAGAATGATAGATTATAACAGTATGTACTTCCTAGGATTATTGTGAGGCTATAAAGAAGGAATATTTGTAAAGTTCTCAGTAGATTACATAGCTTATTAAAAATAATTTACCTGACAGATATGTTTTAAGCAACTATTATGTTTCAATCACTGGTCAAAGTACTTGAGATATAGCTGCCCTTGTGGAGCTTACATTCTACTGATAGCAGTTTTCATTATTGTTAATAGATGGTTTCACATCATTTCTAGATGCTGTGACATTCATTATTATTACATTCTTGGGCAATTATCTCATTACCATTGCATTTTTTTCTTATTTTTGTGATTTCTGAATCTTTAAAAAGCTAAGAAGGTGATAGAACTGAGTAGAGATCCAGCAAGTGGCAATTCTATGAAATAGTAATAATATAACCCTCAGTTAACATACATCCATACAAACAGACAACTATGTAACCAGGCCTGTATTACTGAAGATCATGTTTTATTGGGCAGTATGGTGAATCAATCAGGACGCTGTCTTGCAGAACAAGTGAAACATACCACTACATAAAGTCTTCAAAACAATGAAAATCCAGAAACAGCTTCTCAAGCATTTGATGTTTTTCAATGTAAAAAAATAGATATTTAGGGTATTTCTCTCAAAAAAAAAAAAAAAAAAAGGAATAGCTCAAATCTATGCTAAATACTTTAAATTCCTTGGGCTATTTGGCTACCCTAGGGAAACAAGGACTCATAGAAATTGTGGTCAGAAGCATGAATAAGGAATAGGTGACATGTTCTGTTGCTCACAATAGAACCAATTCTCCATTAGGTTCAGGCTTTATTTTTTTTCCTTCAACAAAATGCAATTAGATTCTCCAAGGCATGTATTAAATATGAAAGAACAGACACTGACTTTGTAGTGGAGAAACCCAGCAGATACCACCATAATCAAGTGATCAAGATTAAGATAATCAGTAATGAGATATGTCAACATTATGAACCTCTTGGTATAATGGATCAAGAAAGACACTACATCACTGCTATGGTATTCTTGCCATAGCCACAGTCCAGTCATAACCATAGTCTAATCATGAGAAACTATAGGCGGACCTCCAAAGAGGGACATTCAACAAAATAGGTAATTAATACTCTTCACAACTGTCAAAATCATAAAAGAAAATGAAAAGCTAGGTTTATTCTTCTCATATTGTTATGGCATATTACATTAATTGTTTTTCAAGTGTTAAACCAGCCATACATTCCTGAGATAAATCCCATTTAGTTGTGTCATGTAATTCATAATCATTTTTATATGCTGTTGGATTATTTTTTATATAATAAGTGTTTGAGAATTTCTGCATCTATATTCATAAGAGATACTGGTCTTCAGTTTGCCTTTATTGTGATGTCTTTGTTTTTGGTGTTATAGAATAACTTCAGAAGTGTTATCTCTTCTTCTATTTTTTGAGAGAGTTTGTGAAGCATTGGTATTCTTTAAATGTTTAGGAGTAGATTTAATAATTTTTAAGCTATCGTAAGAAAACATTTATTTAGTTCATATTTGTGGTATCTAATAAATGACCAAGAAACAGGATCTAGTAGTATATTTTTAAAAATGTAAAAATTAGAAATTCATAGCACATGCATTTTGGTTTTTAAATTAAAAATATTTGCTTACAGGTTTTATTATTTCACAGCTACTTTGCCAAGTTTTCAGGTTGTCTTTCTCAGGAACCACTCTGGGATGGAGGTTAATGTGCAGGACGCTAATATGGAAATGTTTTTGCAATCAATATCTGCAGAAGGGAAGAAGGAAACAGAATTGGGCAGAGGGAGAAGTCACGTGATGATGCAATGTTTATGGAGCATCTGGTGACCCTACTGGGAGCTCTAAAGCTGAGATGATTGTTTCAAAATGGTTCCAAGTTGGTGTGAGGAGTCTAGACCTGTACATTCTGAGACAACCAGTTATTAATGCAGGCTGCACCCAGGAACGAATGTGATCTTGGAATAAGTAGCTCCTCTCAGTCAAGGGTAATTTCTGGAGAGGGCTGACAGCTGAGGGCTGTCTTCTGGCAACATCCCTTGAAGCTGGGGCACTGTCCTGCACAGAGTCTGGGTGGTGCATCACAGCACGAACTGGGATTCTTAAACTGAGCATGATCCTGCTCCAATGCCCAATGTATTTGACAGTTATGTATTCTCTCTTGGATATGGTTTAAAATTTAACAGCTCTAGGAAAATAAGAACTGAGGCAAAATACCTTGCTTCAAGTGATGAAAAGGGTAATAGGCTGAGTATTCTGTATTTACTGGTCAGAGCAGAGTCATTTTGATCTACATGCACACAGTAGAATCGAAGGAAACAGTCCTCATTTTTCTTGGTTATCTGGCTCATTTGCAGGAATAACACACACACATACACACACACACAGGTCAATATATGTGGATCTTAAATAAATATGCAGTGGGGCCAACTTGTAGTGGTTTATGAGAACTGATTGTTAAAATGTCAAGAATTCTGTGAGCTGGCCGGGCACGGTGGCTCACGCCTGTAATCCCAGCACTTTGGGAGGCCGAGGCGGGCAAATCACGAGGTCAGGAGATCGAGACCATCCTGGCTAACACGGTGAAACCCTGTCTCTACTAAAAATACAAAAAAAAAAAAGAAAATTAGCGGGGCGTAGTGGCGGGTGCCTGTAGTCCCAGCTACTGGGGAGGCTGAGGCAGGAGAATGGCGTGAATCTGGGAGATGGAGCTTGCAGTGAGCCAAGATTACGCCACTGCACTCCAGCCTGGGCGACAGAGCGAGACTCCATCTCAAAAACAAAAAAAAGAAAGAAAATTTTGTGAGCTGATTATTAAAACACAGGCTTTATTAAAAATTAAATTTTATAAACTCACAATTTAATAAGTTATATTAAATATGAAGATAATAAGTACTCAATACACAGCAATTCCTAATTACTATATTTTACTATTACCTATGCCCTTTGGTTTATTTATGTCTATTATATTTATATGGTGGAAATAGTATATAATGGTGAATTTCTTTGCATCCTTTCCAATTCTATGTTCAGTGACATCATATAGATAGTATAAAATTTTCCATGTTGGGGCTATTTACATGGCAGAAACCAACAAATGCTAAAAATCAGGGCTTGATGTACTATTTTGCTGGTTAATGAGACTTAAGAAATCTTGTCAGTGCTATAAATATTAGAGAAAAAGTACACTAGCCATAGTAAGGTGATCATATTATTACTCATCTAATAGCAACACCAAAGCAAAATCTGCTAATTTCATGCATAAGTGATGGTTTTTGTACCTGGACAGCAGGGATACCAGGGGAAGGCTGTCAGCTGCCTAGTTTGGGTCTGGAGACATGGAAGACTTTGAGGTGGGGAGTGCCAGTTGGTTTGAGGCCCCCCTGCACCCCAGATTGCTGTTTTTTATGGTTGAATAGGCAGACACTTCTTTCCCTCTCACTACTGCAAGTGTATCATTCCAGAAGGTATGGTTTGGCCAAAAGGCATAGTATTCCTAAAGAAAGGAGTTCCAATAGCTTTTCTCTGCTAAAAGATCTCAGGGTCTGATTTTATTTTGATATTAAGAATTTTACCTAACTAAACCCTAGTACAACATTTTTTTAAATTATGGGTAATTAAAAACTTCCATATTTTAAACAGTAGTAAAGGCACACTCTGCAAACATTTCTGTCTGCATTACCTAAAATTTAATGGATCAGGCAAATGATACAAATTAGGCACACATTTGCCAATATTTTTAATTAGCCTACTGGTTTACCTGCATACATTTGTTACTGTAAGTTATTACTTATAAGAGTTACTTCAAATTCAAGATCAGCAGAACTCTCCATAAAATTATATACCTGTGGCACTATCACCAAAATATAACATCATAGACTTGTCATAAATAATTCAGAGATTTGTTGTAACCATTCAACATGGTAGTGTTAATGTGAGACATGGAGAATTAGCATTTGAAATGGATAATTCCATATTTATTTCATGCCTTCATTTATTTTACACATTTAACTGCTTTGGTTTAAATGGAAGGAGAATCCTTTCTCAAAATTCAATCTCAGCTGTCTTCTTTTCAGGTTAATGGTTGATTTCTTTCAAATTACAAATCTTGGTTCAACATAAGGATGATGACATATTGCAGAAATACCTTTCTATTGCTTGAAATGAGAAAATGTATTTACTTATTTTCTGTGACAAGTGAGGGGGATGCTGTTATGGCACTCAAAATGTATTTATGGTATTTCTATTAGAAAAAAAATCTCAGGAACTAATTATGAGGCAAGGCACTGGCAATTCTATTGTTGTATTCAAATAACTGTGTGGCAACTTTTCCAATTTTGACAAATTTGGCTTAAATAATAATTCAATGATGCCCCTCAAGTTTCAAATACAGACAGTCCCTTACTTATGATTTTTTAGTTTTATGATGGTGAGAAAGTTATATGCATTCAATGGAAACTGTACTTCAAGTGTCCATGCAACCATTCTGTTTTTCACTCTCAGTACAGTATTCAATAAATTACATGATATATTTCACACTAAATTATAAGCTAGACTTTGTGTTGAATGATTTTGCTCGACGGTTGTCTAATGTAAGTGTTCTGAGCACATTTAAGATAGAGTAGGCTAAGCTATGATGCTTGATAGGTTATGTGTATTAAATGCATTTTCAACTTACCATGGGTTTATCGGGATGTAGTTTTATCATAAGTTGAGGAACATCCAGATTTGCACTTTTCTAACAGCCTATGTTGTGAGCAAATTTAAAGACACTGTGCTTTCAGACAAATTAAGAAGCATTTTTAGGAACTGGATACTTCAGCTTTAGATAATAGTGTGCATCTTTCTAAAATAACTCATATGCAATGGCATGAGTAGACATGTCCAGATGTAACGAACCATAGGCTAGAATCATGTCCTAAAACAATCTAAAGAACTACAGACACATATGCCTTTAATGCTAATAAATCGTCTTATCTCAGTGTCAAAGCTATTACTACAATTTAAGTTTAACCTCTTTGGAAACTTTCTGTTAGTATATTGGTATTTTGGTGAGTATATCATTAAACCATTAACATAGTGAATAGGGTGCTCATACATGAATGTAAATGTGAGTGTATGTGTATGTGTGTGTGTGTCTGTGTGTGTGCACTGTGTATCCACATCACTTCCTTTCCCTGAGTTACCAAACCTGAGTTTTTTAGGGGCCAGCAATCCATGCCTTTACAACACTCTGATGTTGATGTGGTTTTATAATATCTTTGTGGTATCACAGAAAGAAAGTTGACCTAGAAATCTGAAAACTAATATTTGAGTTTTGGCCTTTCTAATTAATTGCTGTGTAAGCCCATCTTTTTATTTTTTTTTATTAGTGAAATGAGGAAAACAAGATCTTCCCTTAATCAAATCAATGGGAAATAACAAGGGTTAATGAGGATATTAAAAATTTGAAACTCTTAACCACTGCAGTGGATGCGTAAGATGATATAGTTGTGGAAAACAGCTTGGCACTTCCTCAAAAAGTTAAACACAGAATTATCTTATGATCAAACAATTCCACTTCTAGGTGTTTACCCAAATAATTGAGAATATAGGTCTGCATATAAACTTATACACTAATGTTCATAGCAGCATTATTATTAATAGCAATAGCCCTAAAGTGGAAACAATCCAAATGTCCACCACCTGATGAATAGATAAACAAACTATGATCCATTTGCAATAAAAAAGAATGAAGTACTGACACATGGTACAACATGGATGAATCTTGAAAATGTTATGCCAACTGAAATAAACCAGTCACAAGAGGCCTGATTCCATTTATCTGCATAGGAAATCCGTAGATACAGAGAGTAGATTAACGGTTGTCAGAGGCTGGGGATAAGAGATGGGAATCAGGGAATGGGGTGTGACTGCTAATAGGGTATCTTTTTTGAGGTGATGGAAATGATCTGGAATTAAATAGTGATGATGATTGCATAACTGTGAATATACTAAGAACACTGATTTGCACACTGTTAAATGGCAAATTTTATGGTATTTGAATTATATTACAATTTAAAATTTAAAAACCTTGTCCTGTTTATCCTGGAGGATTGTTGTAGGAATGAAATAGAAGTGGAAAGTTCTATAGGCTCTAAATCATATTCAGGAATCCATGCCATTGCATGGTGAAGCACGTAGGCCTCAGTGTACGCAACTTGATAAAGAGAGTTTGCATGAAAAGTCATCTTTATGTTGGGTAATTGGGGGTGTCACATGGAGGGTTATCACTCAGAATGCTTGCTGTGAAGAGCTTTATAGAAGAGTTATATAAATTACACACAAAAAAGTATTTTTTTAAATGGAAAGCACAAGAGAGATGGAGATAAATCGAACTTTCTGTTGGGACCTGCCACTTTCTGCTTTACATGTTAATAGTGACTGTATAATAACTGTCTTCCTAGGCTGCGAAACCCTGAAGGATGGAAGCTTCGTGTGGTTCATCTCCATTACTCTGCAGCACCCTGCGTATAGAGAGTGCACAGTTAGTAATAAATGAGCTTTGACAGATTTTTTTTTTTTTGAGACTGAGTCTCACTCTGTCGCCCAGGCTAGAATGCAGTGACACAATCTCAGCTCACTGCAACCTCCACCTCCCAGGTTCAAGCGATTCTTGTGCCTCAGCCTCCCAAGTAGCTGGGATTACAGACAAGCACCAGTAGGCCTGGCTAATTTTTGTATTTTTAGTAGAGACGGGGTTTCACCCTGTTGGCCAGGCTGCTCTTCAATTCCCAACCTCAGGTGATCTGCCTGTCTTGGCTTCCCAAAGTGCTGGGATTACAGGCATGAGCCACCGCACCCAGCCAGACTTTTCTTTTTAAACAATATCCTGTTTGGAATTCTAAGCAAAGTCAGCAGGCTACTGAATGGACTTCAAGCACCACCCTCTGGGACTTCACAGGCTGCTCCTCTCTTGTTTAAATGTGGAAGGATGGAAGCTCACCCCAGGACTCTAGGCAAAGCCAGAACTTGAGGTCAGCGCATCTCACACTGCCTCTAGGCCACCAGGGCATGTCTTTTCCAAACTCTCTTAGGGCTGCTCTCTGTGACTTTCCTGGTGTGATCCTCAAGCCGTCCTCCCTGCATCTGTCTGTGTTTATCTCACTTGAGCTCACTGCAGTACTTGACACTTGTGGCCATTCCTTTAGGATGCTTGCCTCTCAGCTTCCAGGACACCACTCTCCTCTCTTTCCTCCTTCCTACTTGGCTGTTTCTTCTCAATTGTCTTTGTGGCCACCTCTGGCTTAAACCCTCTGTGACTCCTTTGTTCACCCTTTGCTCTTCTTGCACAGCAGTATATCTTTACTTACCAGTACCAGTCAAACCCTAACACTGGTGGTATAGGGGCTTCAGTGACTACAAGTCCCTGATTCCCAAATCATGGCTCGGCTAAGACCTCTGTCTTGATCTCCATTACTGAATATCCAACTACCTGGTGGAAAATTCCATTGCATGCCCCAGAGTCCGCTCAGTCTCAGTGTATCTCAGGCAACCTGCTTGGACTCCTGTAACTAATGCCATTGTGAATGTCACTGACATGAGTCTTATGCAGTCAGAAATCCAGGAGCTGTTCTAGGTCTCTCTGCCTCACCCCTCTCCTTCCAGCCAGTCATCTCTTGCAGTCCTGTAGACACCCCCTCCCCCACAAGAACTCTCATATCCTTTGTCTTAGTTTCTGTTCTCTCTGAAGCAAACCCTGAGAATGAGACAAGTACTTGGTTACAAGGAATTTATTGGGTAGTTCATTTTTCCCAGGAAGCTCCATGAGGGAGTAGGGAAGTGAGACAGGGAAGAAGCAAAACCAATAAAGAGTGTGTTAACAACCAGGTGATTGCTAATGGCAACTGGGGCACAGTTTAGCTGGGGAGCTTCTGAGAAGGCACGTGGAAGCTGCTTCAGAATTGCCCCGCCAAAGGACAAGGACGCTGAGGTATTTGTCTACCAACCCCTGTCGCCTCCTTGTTCGAGATCTCCCTCTTGCATAGCTAGCACCTTGAGTCAGTGATCACCCTCAGGCAGTCTCAGGAGGTTATCTGTGGCTATGGGAGTAGTCTGCAGGGGAACGCTGCAAAGACCAGGAGCAGGGTGACAGCCCAAGAGCTTCTGTGGTACTGTCTTCTCTACTCTCTCCCAGCCACCATTTTCTGTCACTTCTCAGCTGAACCACTGCACTGGTCTCCTTGAGACTTTAAGGTTTTTAAAATTTCTTTGTAACTTTTTGCACATCCTGCCAGAAAGATTCACACACACACAACTGACCATAGCATACACTCCTTCCCTCTGATTAGAGATCTTAGAGGCTCCTCAGAGTTTTCAGGATGAAGCCTGATTACCTTAGCATGTGCTTCCCAATACTCCAAGGCACCCAAGGCTCCATAGCAATTGCATGGGGGTTGGACAGGATACTGTAACATTTGAAAAAAATGCAGTTCTTTAACATTTGTTGGGCATCCTGGTAACTATTAGTTTAAAGGCAGTCTACAGTTTCAAAATTAGATCATGCAACGTTCCTTTTCTTGATGCTACGTTATTTCCAAGTTGAGTTCATGACTATTGCTGTGATTAAAAAGCATATGCAGAATGACAATCCATGTGGAAAAGGAAACATGGGCGGCAGGGGCCGAGCTGGTTCAAAGGTTTGAGGATTTGCACAGCGCCAACAGGACCACCATCCCATTACCAAATAATTGTGGTTATTTAAGAGTGAAATGTAGGTATTATTTTTCCCTTTATATGTATGACTTTTAAAAATAGGTACTGAGCTGTTAGTATTAAACCCTTACTACGTTGTTTAGACTTATCTACTTAAGAAAAGAAACTTTTAAGGCATTTCTTTACCTAAGGCCCTGGCCACCCTCTTGTGTCTCCTCTGCTGCCACTCTTAAATACAAATTTTTGGCTACCTGGAAGGTCCAGGAAGGTCATCATGCCTTTGTTTGTGATAGCACAGACTATTCCATCTGTCAAGATTACCTTCCTCACCTCCCCACCACCTTCACCAGCCCTACACCACACAGCTTAAGGTGCACTTCTGCTAGGATGAGTCTCTGATTAGTGTTTTTTGCCCCAGGTATTATTTTGTTGCCTCTGTGTCTGCACAGCCTTTTGTACACAGCTTTTATGTGGCAATATTCTTACTATACCCCCACTGGTGATGTACTTGTCTATCTGCCACATTGTTCCACGATTTCCATGAACTCCATGGGCACAGACGTTGCATTCGCTTTGACTTTGCTGGCATTTTTTATTGGGATTATGTCCATTTAGCTTATGATAAATTAGCATGAGTGCCTAAGATGGGATATAGATTCTTGAAAAAAGGTGAACATATAAGTCAAAGGATTGAGAAAAATGTAAGAATGTATGTGAAATAATAAGCCTTTACTCTTTTTCTTCTTGTTTATCATTTCAACATTTTATGTTGTGATTTTCTGTGTATATGCCACAGGACCTTTGCATATGCCATCCTCTGTGTTTAGGGGGATCTTCCTTCTCCCTTCACCTGAGTTACCTGCCTCCCTTCTTATCCTTTGGATCTCAGCTCTGTCTTCTCTTCCTTGGGAAAAAGTTTTACATTTATATTTGTATGCTTATTTGAATATTTTTCTTCTTCCTCCCCAGTTCATGAGCTCCATGAGGGTAGGGACAAGGTCTGCCCTGCTAATTATTGGATCCATAATTGAGTATATTGCCTAACATGTAGCAGGCATTCAGTAAATGTTTGTAGAATGAATGTAGAATGAATAAATGAATGTTGAATCTATGAAAGCTTCATGTTTGCATCAAGACCTGATGACTATTCTGAAGCAGTGGGATGTAGTTTTTCCAAGAGAGAGTAGGAATGTTGTCTACATTGTGAGAACAGAAAGGATTTAGGCAAGGGCCAGCAGGGAATGGAATTTTAGTTCCAAGCTTGAAAGAAATT
Organism: Homo sapiens; assembly: GCF_000001405.40. NCBI lineage: Eukaryota > Metazoa > Chordata > Mammalia > Primates > Hominidae > Homo > Homo sapiens. The sequence continues at coordinate 15,251,118 of NC_000020.11, forward strand.
GGGAATCATTTTAGGTTTCCGAAAAAAGGGGTAGGGGTCAGATGATCAAAATTGGGCTGAATGCAACACAGAAAGTTCTGTTTATTTAACCACTTGCAATATTTCACTTCAAAATGGATTCCCTGCCACTGAGAAGCTGCCATGTTTTCATTTGCTGGAACGTGGTGAAGTTAGATAAATGATAATGCCATGTCTTTGTTCATTCCTCAGTTAGAAAGCCTCAGCCTTAAATGCTCCCCAGTGCAAATTCTCACTGAATAAACATGGAGTGTATTGTTTTACAACATGCTGCTCAATGACATTGCAGCACATTTGGCACTGCTGAGCATTTCAGGATGAGGAGGCAGAAAATAACAACAGCAAAAAGCCCATAAAACAAATTGCATCCCCTATATTCCTTAATGAAGGACTTGGGTGTAAGTTGCATCAACGTCAGAGAATACTCATTCATTGCAAAGGTTTGGGAAAATCATATTTATGCATAATCTCCTTGTTCTCAATGATATTTTATTAATATTTATTTCCCTTTTGCCTTTCATCTGGTGTTATCTTCTTTTCTTTTTCATCTTTATTTTCCAAGTGACTAGCTGAAAAGAAAAACAGTGAATCGGTGCTAAGTTGCTATTTTTTCAATTTTAAGGGACTGATTCTTAATCAAGTTACTATTTTAAATGTTTAAATTGAGAAAGTTCCGGGTAACAACCTAAAAAATGTAAATACATACCACACAGTTAATTAATGTTTCTGAATTGCTACTGTTTGAAGTTGATAAGCCCCATGTATGAATTCCTCAGCTCAAAGCTGAGGGAGTTATATTAAGAAGACAGTAGAAAATAAAAATAATTAGCTAGTGTTTTGTAAGGAGGGAACATAAATGGTATCTGTGTGGCTCTAACTTTATCAATTCAGTCTGTTGATTTCAAAATTCAGTCATTTGAGATATTTGGTATTATGCAGATTTTAGGCAGCATGTGAACAAAGGGCTAAGGTAAGGATTATTGTATTGCATGTATTTCTGTGAACTAATTTTGAGGAGCTATACTAGGCTTCTGTTTTATGTGTATCTATAAGCATTTTACAAAACAATTCCATATGTATTGCTAATTAAATAAATTCATCTCAAAGTTTGTTACAAACTCAATCAAGTGTTTGAGATGTAGAAGGAACATATAGTTTAATCCTGTACCAGTCAGGATAGCCTAAGTCATGCTGAAGTGGCAAGTGATCTCAACATTTCTGCAGCTTACAGCCACAAAGATTGAGTTCTTACTCAGGCTAGATGTCCATAGAGGCAGCTCCAGCTCCACTACACATCACCTTCACTCTGGGACTGGCTGACAGAGCTGTCTCTCTCTGGAACTGTTGCTTGTCACAACAGTGAGAGAGAGAAGGCGGTTCTTAAAGCTACATATGGCTTACTGTCACATTTCATTAACTAGAAGAAGTCATTCGGCCATACCTACATTGAACAGGACAGGGAGACAAAGAGGGATAATCCTCCCTCAGGAAAAAGGTATCAAATACTTGTGATTAGTCTACCACTCACTCCTTCATATTTTGGATATGAAAAACATCACCAGAAGGATTAAGAAACTTGGCCAAGATCACTTGCAAAGCTGGGATTGGACCACATTCCTGTGACCCAATTGCAGACATTCCTGTGACTACATCCAGTGTCTCCTTGTATGCAAATTTGTGGACACACCATGGCATCCACAGACTCACCAGAGAAGGATGCCACCTACAGAGCCAGCTGCTCACCAGAGCCTGGCTTGCATCATGGCATCACTTTGATGGGGTCAGCATATTCGCCCCTTGACTCTGTAGGTCCAAAATTTGCATCTGTTAATGTATGCTGTATCAGTCAGGATTCAGTCATGGAGGTAGAACCGTATACATTTTGGTGCAAGGAATTTATTATAGGAATTAGTACTTAAACCATGTGGGAGGAACTAGGAAAATGAAGAAACAAGGGAGGAGTTGAAGGCCAAACCAGCTACTTTGATAAGCCAAGTGTGTTCAGTCATCAAAATAGGCAGGAAAGGGAAGGTTTTTGGGAGTCCAGTGGGATGTTGGGCTTCGGTGTGGCTACCACTGCTGTAGGACCACCACTAACCATTTAGGTAATGCCTATGGCTGCTTTTGCACTATGACAGCAAAATTGCATAGTTGTAATTAAGACTCAATGACCCACAAGCCTATGATATTTACTATCTGGCCTTTTACAAAGTTTCCTGACCCCTGGTCTATAGTTCAGAAGATTGATTTGCTGATCTATAGTAAGAAACTCAGCTATGCAGCAGGTCCAGCAACTACACAGTTCCAAGATAAGATATCATTTCCCCATTGTTAAATCTATGTGCAAAGCTAACTTATGATTAAATTATGGTAAGCTTAACTGTAATACAAGGAATCATTTCATACTATTTGTAAAGCAGTGAACACTAGCGTAATAAGTTATGATCGTGGAGGCTACCACCTGCACCATCCATACCCCGAGGGCTGGACACTCATAACTATGGGTGAGGCCATTCCTTCCGCTGGGGCAAGAATAACTATAGATGCCTATGGGAAACTGATACAATCTCATTCTCTACACTTCCTTTATATGCTGAAGGTCACAATCTTTATTCTTGCTTAGTGAAGAGAGAATCGACTGAGCTACATCCACACACTATTCACCATAATGAGAATTGGAATATTACTTCAAATTCTGCAGTCACCGAAGCAAAATCTGTAACAGGGTGGATTTCAAAAATTATTTTTTATCAAGGCATAACCTCATTTATTTTAGGTTCATGGATGTAATTTTATTCTCCAAGGTAACCTTATCTTCAAATTTTATAGGTCTCATGCTGTCCCCCATCCTGTATCACCTACAGGTGACTTTTCCTTGATATGACTTATAGAACATTAACAGTGCTTTCTTTTCAATCATACTCCGATTTGGTTAGTTCCAACTTAGGGGACACTTACTTTAAAATGTCTCTTCACCCTGCAGGAAACGAGTTTATTAGTGAAACTTTCAACGGATATTTTTATTCCATTTATGCCATTTATCTCTCCATGCCTTGTGAGGCAAAGGAGTGGTGTTTCACCAGGTTAAGAGGTAATTGATCAAGATTCAGTTCAAAAAAAGTGTAAACAGTACAGATCTTAACTCTCTTCAGTACTTTTAATCAAAAAGGAAAATCAAAGCGTATCAGCCAGAATCATCAATAACTCTTGGTGGATGTTCAAATGCAGTGACCTCTTGACACTTCCACTGCCTTCAGTTTTTGTTTTTATCATTTGTTGCTTAGCAGCACGGGGGGAAAGAGCAGGACTGTAGCTTGGATTTAAGCTCCTCATTTACTAGCTGTGCCCTTTTATCAAATCGTTTAATACTGGGAGCCCCACTTTTCTCATCTGTAGACTGGGGATATTAATGGCTCCTATCTCAAGCAGTTTTAAGAGTTAGGTAAGTTGATATTGAACTAATTTGACATTAATGTTAAATACTTATCATAGTACCTGAGTATACCTGAGGGCATATCCTTCATTCATCTAACAAACAAGGTGCTAAAGACACTATTATAATTATCACAGTAGTTCTATGAGGTTGCTATGATTATCTTTTTTGTTTGTCTTTTAACAAAGAAACAGAGAATCAGAGCAGTTAAATGACTTCCTTGGTCATAATCCTAGAGAATTTTAGAGCTAGAGATAGAATTCAGATCTATCTGACTACAAAGCCCAAGCTTGTGGACTTACCCTCCATTTGTCAAACGTGAATTCCTTGAATTGTAAACCATTTGGGGCCAAAGCACACCTTTTTTTTTTTTTTTTTTTTTTTTTCAGTTAAGAAGCTGGTAATTGAGTGAACACAATATAGTGGTACTTCAGTTAACTGGAGCTCCTGGGGATACATCATTCTGGACAGCCTAGCATTCCAGAAAGCTTTGGGTATTTGCCAAAACTTTAAAAATGTTGTTTAATTTAGATAGAACCCTCCATAAAATATATATTTCTCTATCTTCTTAAACAGATTATATTGAACCTGATTTAAGATTACATTAACTCAGTCATTTATCATCGTGAACTTCATTTTTATCCTGTACTCTCTAATGTAAGAAGATTCTGAGGTTTTATTGAAATAAAGAGGGATATCATTGACCTAGTCTGTTATGCATTTTTAAGTTCCTGTGTTTGATTTGTAAAGTTTAGGTGCTTCCTGTCCAAGCACTTGCCACTTCTCTTTGCCTATTTGAATTGTCAGTCTCCCACAAGACCACCTGAAAACTCTGTTGACGAAGCAAAACTAGGTTTATTAAACCTATGGTACAATTGGCAATCATCACTTTGACAGTCTTGGCAGTATTTCAAAATGAGGGAATTAGGTTGACATTTACATGGTAGGGTATGAACTGGGTGGTTTTAAGGTGAGTCTCACAAGATAGGAAATTGTCTGGGATTGGGTAGAGTTGATAACATAAGAGCTCTGGAGGGCACAGTGAGGTGAAAGATTTAAAGCAAGTGTTGATGATCAAGTCATTGGTAGTAATAAGCAAGCTCTTTCAGTTGGGTCACAGTTATATTTTACAAGAGCACGTATTTCTTTGAGTAAGAAGCTCAGTTATTTTTGCCTAGTTCCAATATTAAAATAGGCAGGTATGTCTGATCCCAGGATTGTATGGTATAAGGACAAGAAAGCATATTGATTTGGTCTCTCACTTGACTCTATGTCTTGGTGCTTCTACATGCTATGGCATGGGACACTCAAAACTGGAACTGTATGGCAACAGAGATCCAGTAAAAGCTAAGTGGGAGCCCAGGAAACTGACTTACACACATGAGTTTTGTGCTTGGGCTTGTGACATCCATTTTTAAAATGCAGAGACTCCTTTTTTTCACTCCTTTTTTTCTTGCTTAATCCCTGGATATCTTTCTAATGTCACGTAGCCAACACCATCAACTAGGTGAGCATCAGTTAGGTATCTATTTCTGCACTGGGAATCTTGAATTTATAAATCCTGGTCAAAAGCGAGTTAAAGAGATTTTTAAACAATTACACAAAGTAATTCTTGTGTTTTATTTATTCAGTTTATATTGAGTTTTTTGCAGCTCTTACTCTCCTCTTCTTTTGTGTTTGAAAATTTAAAAAGTGATGCTGTTTGGACACGAGATTTGTTTTGTAAACATGAAATTTAGAATGTCTGGGGATTCTATTAACACTTTTTGAAAAGATATTGCCTTGTTCTAGAGTTCTTGAGCTATTATATAATTGAAGTAAATAGCCTGAGAACATAGGGATTTGGTGTGGAATACATGGAAGATAAAGTGATCAAGCAAGTTTAAAATATACAATTAGTACCTAAAATAAAGTGAGTATTGTTTTACATCTTCAATCTAGTAGTCGGCAAATAATAAAAAAAGGTCAAAAGTCCCAATTATATAGTAACTATCGAACTGGAAAAAGAAATGAATTTGACTCTTACTACTTAAAACTTTTAGCTGTTTATAGTAATTTAAACCAATTGAAAATAAATGTTCCAGCCAGCAAAAATCCTTTCTAAGAACTATGTGTGGTAAGAGGATACAATAAACTAATCAAACAAAGTTTCTGAAGTCTCATTAACCACGGAATTTTTAGTGAAATGGCATGGATATGGTATACTTGGATTTATTTGGAAATGACAGAAATTTCCTAACAATATTTGAAGCCTGTTTTGGTGAGTGCTATCAAGGGCTGTTTTTCTTTTTCTTTTTTCTAGTTATATATTCAGTACTATAAATTGTTGGCAGCTGGCCCAGAAAAAGAGCCTATTTTCGGAAAAAAAAATTATTCTGCAACTTTATGCTATAACTTAAACACACTAAAAAGTGTGTTTAAATTTTATTGTCAGATTACCAGCTTTTATGCAGGTAGACTCCGTGGAAACCATAGGACAATGACAAAGTTGCTTCTTTTCTTTCTCTTAGCTATTTTTTTACTCTGGATTACGGTGTGGATATTAATATATATACTTTTTATCAAGTATAGGGAACAAAAAGAAAACCTGCCTGCACATGTAATCTTTCTTACAATATACATACCTGTGAAACACCAGATGAGAAAAGCTATGATCTGATTTATGTCATGCGAAATGAATGTTAATAAATCCTATTTAGTCACACAGATGCCAAACTGAGACAAATGGAAGCCTCTGGGGGCAAGTGGAGGTGGGCAAATGGGCTCCACTGATTTATGAGTGCAGAGTCATGAAATTGAATTCGGCAACCTACAAATGACACTTATTGAGAACCTATCAAGTGCTAGGCACCCATGCTGGTACTTTGAATACAGAAATAAAAGGTTTGGATTGTAAAAATGTCACAGTATAATTGACAAATAAAACAAGTTAATTAAACAATATGGTAAGCAATAGAAGTGCACCCTGCATAACAATGTTTTGGTTAATATTGATGGTCCCATGGGATCATAATGAAGCTGAAAAATTTCTATCTTCTTAAGGTTGTAACACAATGCATGAGTCATGTGTTTTTGGTGATGCTGGTGTAAGCAAACCATTCTGTGCTGTCAGTCACACATTTATGTACAGCACATATATATGTATAGCACACAATACTTAAGATAATAAACTATATTATTGTTTTACGAATTTGCTATACTTCTTATCACTACTTTAGAGTATACTTTTTCTACTTATAAAAAAATACAAGTTAAATGTAAAACAGTCTCAGGCAGTTCCTTCTGGAGGTATTCCAGAAGAAGGCACTGTTATCACAGGAGATGACAGCTCCCTGCGTGTTATTGCCCCTGAAGACCTCCCAGTGGGACAAGATGTGGAGGAGGAAGACAGTGATATTGATGATCCTGACTTCTGTGTAGGCCTAGGCTAATGTGTGAGTTTGTGTCTTGGTTTTTAACAAAAAGTTCAAAAGTTTAAAAAAAAAGGTAAAAATACAAAAAAAGTTTATAGAACACATATATATAGAAAAAGTATTTTTTGTACAACATACAATGTCTTTGTGTTTTAAGCTATTATTTCCAAAAAGTCAAAACGTTTAAACAAATTTTGATTTTATAAATTTAAAAATTTATACATTAAGGTTACTTTATTATTGAAGAAAAACTTTTTAAAAATAAATTTAGTGTAGCCTAAGTGTACAGTGTTTATAAAGTCTACAGTAGGGTACTGTAATGTGTGAGGCCTTCACACTCACTCACCACTCACTCACTCACTCCTGAAGGCAGCTTCTAGTCCTGAAAGCTCCCTTCATGGCAAGTGCCCTACACAGGTGTACCCTTTAAAGAAATCTTTTATACCATACTTTTACTGTATCTTTTCTATGTTTAGATATGTTTAGATACACAAATACCATTGTGTTACAATTGTCTGCAGTATTCAGGAAAGTAACATGCTGTTCACATTTGTAGCCTAGGAGCAATAGACTTTACCATACAGCCTAGGTATGTAGTAGGCTACACCATCTAGGTTTGTGTAAGTCCCTCTGTTGATGTTCACACGATGGTGAAATCACCTAGCAAAGCATTTCTGAGAACATATCCCCATCATTAACCAATGCATGATGACAGGTAAAAAGGTTGATTACTGCCAAATAGTACTTTTGAAAAAGTTAAAACTAGGACTTTCACACAAATATGAAATGAATATATGTCAAAGATTTTGTTAAACCTATTGATAAATGAGAGAACCAGTAAAGTGATAGAACCAGTTCAAGGAACGTTTGCAGAGCTAGATATTCATAGGCAAGTTAATAAAGGAAAATTAAGATAAGATTGCTAAGTTAGAGATAAAAGCAGCTAATTTCCTACAGGACAAGAGAGCATAACTTTTGGAATTATCATTTCTTCTAGATATAAATAATTATTTTAGTCTCTGTTGAATAAAAGTCTACAAATGTAGACATGTAACCTCACTAAATCTGGACTCTTTTATCAATAGTAATTGGTAGGTTGGACAAAGCTCATCTCCATAGAAATTCAAGGATGCTTCTTTCCCCCCATACAACATTCTGCTGCTTATCTTTTGCCTTATTTTCAAGTTTTGGGTAATTTTTTAACAACAACAACAACAACAAAATTTAGGAGCAATAGCATATGAGACAGAGGAAAAACAGTGGGATTCCAGGCTTCCTCACTGGGCTTTGTTAAGCAGAAAGTTAAGGAGAGAAGACACCTGAGATAGGCCTTCTACAAATGAGAAAATTTCCAATAGGACAAAATGTGGGGGGAGCTGGCATAGGTAGAAGGAAGGCAAAAACAGGTAAATCCCAAGAACCATTTGACAGGCAATGTTGTATTTACTTTTGTAACAGATATAGCACTGTGACTGGGGGCCAGTTTATGAGAGACATTACTTTATACTTTGCTGCATTTGTTGTGGTGATGGTTTTTTTAAGTTAGAAAATCAGATCATCTGCATACTGAAGAGCAGTTATGAGTCAGTTGTTTTTAAAGCCATACATTTATATGTTAGAGAATTTAAACTCTTTCAGAGGAAAATGCAAAAGCAATGAATGTAGAAGGCAGTGAAGACAGAGATGATTTTAATGCACCCAGGTATTAAAACTGAGCAGAGCCTCTAATTATTCAACATTATTCTGAAATTCTCTTTCATCACACCATAGGCTTTTTTTTCCCTCTTCTTTTCTATTTCACCTCCATTTCTTTTCTCTCTGGCCCCAGATATGAAATGAAATCTGGGAGCAACCACAATTTCTGTCTCACTGGCTGAGCAGGATGCTTCTGAAAGAAGCAGCATCTATATATAGTTTTTCTTCTTAGGCTGCAGGTGTGGGATGGAATAGAATGAAATGGAACAGAATGGAGCAAAAAGGAATGGAATGTTATCTCTCCTGAAATTTTTTTTATTTAAATTATGGATGCATAATAGTTGTACATATGTATGTGGTACATGTTATATTTTCATATAGGCATACAATGTATAATGATCAAATAAAGGTAATTGGGATATCCAATTACCTTCAGCAATAGTTTTTTTGTGTGTTAGGAACATTCCAATGGCACTCTTTTAGTTATTTTAAAGTATACAAATAATGATTGTTAATCATAGTTGCCCTATTGTGATACTCAATACTAGATCTTATTTATTCTAACTGTACTTTTGTGCCCATTAACCATTCCCTCTTTATCCCCCCTCCCCACTTCCTTTCATAGCTTCTGGTAACCATCATTTTACTTTCTATCTCCATGAGATCATTTTTTTTTTTTTAGCTCCCACATATAAGTGAGACCATGCAATGTTTTTCTTTCTTTGCCTGACTTATTTCACTTAATAGAATGTCCTCCAGTTTTGTCCACATTGTTGCAAATGACAGTAATTATTTTTAATGGCTTAATAGTATTCTGTTGTGTGTATGTACCATTTTTCTTTATTCAACTGTTAAAAGACACTTAGGTTGATTGCATATCATGGCTGCAGTAAATATGGGAGTGCAAATATCTCTCTGATACACTGGTATCCTTTCCTTTGATTATATACCCAGTAGTGGGATTGTTGGGTCATATGGTAGTTCTGTTTTTAGTTCTTGAAGGAACCTCCACACTGTTCTCCATAGTGGCTGTACCAGCTTACATTCCCTCACAACATTGTATGAAGGCTCCTCCCCTCTCTCCAAATCTGTGCTAGCATTTGTTATTGCCTGTCTTTTGAATTAATCTCTTTCTGCTGTTAATAATGTAATAATGTATTTACTTAGCTCCATTTTTCTCTTTGATATTAATTTCCATTTTGCAAAAGAAGTCACATTAAGAAATGTTTATTAATTTAAAATCTCTTTACTAATTGGGCTTTGCCAGTAGGTAATAAACTATGGGCCATGAGGTTATTCAATCTTGCAGTATTTTTTCCAGGAAGGTGGTAAAATATGACCATAGAACAAACTATTGGCCTTGCTATATGAGCTGCTGTGATTAGACATTTCCAAGCCCAGCTTAAGGCAACATCTAACCAGAAGAGCTCTAAATATAAAATAAATGAGGTGCTGCTCTAGTAATCCATTTATACACAGCATTTATTTTAGCCATTTTTTTTCATTTGACTGTTGGCAGTCGATCATTGGATTTATACGGTTTGGCATTGATCTTGGAGAAGGCCAGTTTGGTGCCCACGTCAAACATGCCCAATATTCTATTGTCCATGTGACTCCCTAGAATTAATTAGAAAACATTTCAAAAGGGCCACTCTAGGATTTAATACTATCAATAATAGTTGTTTAACCCAAAATATGATGAATCTTTGCTTTATTTATTTCTAATTGGGCAGTTTTGCATTTTGCCGAGTAGGATTAATAAGCAGGTTAAGTCTAATTGGCTTGCTTTGACTGAAGGGCTGAATCATTTCAATATAGAAACCTGTACTTTTTATAATTTGAAAAAAATCCACCCAAATCAATCCTGAACAATTTTTATTTTACTTTCTCAATTTTTCTTTTTAGGTCATTTAAACATCTTGGGTCCTTTTACATGAACAGCAAGACTGATGCTTTTTGAAGAAAAGTCTGTCTTCAGATAGAAAAGGCTTCTGTTTGTATAGAACAATTAGCTAAAATTAGCATGTAAATTTGAACAATATTATATTGTGAAGCTGATTGGGCCTGGAGGTTGGGATGCAAGTAACTTCTCTTGTTTATTGTATGCAAATATAGCCACTTAGCTTTAATTGGACATTGAAACCCAGAACAATTATCAACAATTGCTTTAGTATTAATGCACAGTGGGAACTGCCTATCATGACTTTTTATTTTTTTCTTAACATTTAATTTTTAATTTTTGTGGGTACATGGTAGGTGTATATTTTTAGAAAGTACATGAGATATTTTTGAAACAGGCATACAATGTATAATACTCACATCAGGTTAAATGGGGTATTTATCACCTCAAGCATTTATCCTTTCTGTGTTACAAACAATCCAATTATACTCTTAGTTATTTAAAAATGTATAATAAATAATTGTTAACTGTAGTCACTCTGTTATGCTATCAAATACTAGATCTTATTTCTTCTATGTAACTATATTTTTGTACCCATTAACCATCCACACTTCCCCCTTACACCTACCCTTCCTAGCCTCTGGTAACCATCATTCTACTCTATCTGCATGAGTTCAATTATTTTAATTTTTAGCTCCCACAAATAAGTGAGAACATGTAAAGCTTGTCTTTCTGTGCCTGGCTTATTTCACTTAACACAATGACCTTCAGTTCCATCCATGGTGTTGTAAATGACAGGATCTCATTATTTTTATGGCTAAATAGTACTCCATTGCGTATATGTACCATGTTTTATTTATTCATTCACCTGTTGATGGACACTTAGGTTGCTTCCACATCTTGGCTATTGTGAATAGTGCTGCAATAAATATGGAAGTGCAGATATCCTTTTGATATACTGATTTCCTTTCTTTGAATGTATACCTAGCTGTGGGATTGCTGGATTGCATAGTAGTTCTATTTTTAGTTTTCTGAGAAACCTCCAAACTGTTCTCCATAGTGGTTATACTAATTTGCATTCCCACCAACAGTGTACAAGGACTCCCTTTTCTCCACATCCTTTCCAGCATTTTGTTATTGCCTGACTTTTAGATAAAAGCAATTTTAACTGGGATAAGATAATATCTCATTGTAGTTTTGATTTGCATTTCTCTGATGATCAGTGATATTGAACACATTTTCATTTACCTGTTTGCCATTTGTATGTCTTCTTTTGAGAAATGTCTCAAAACCTTTTGGCCAGATTATTAGTTTTATTTTTCTCTATAGTGTTGTTTGAGCTCCTTATATATTCTGGTTATCAACCCTTTGTCAGATGGATAGCTTGCAAATATTCTCTCCGATTCTGTGGGTTGTTTCTTCACTTTGTTGCTTGTTTCCTTTGTTGTACAGAAGCTTTTTAATTTGATGTGCTTCTATTTGTGCATTTTTGCTTTGGTTGTCTGTGCTTGTGGGGTATTACTGAAGGAATCTTTGCCCAGACCAATGTCCTGGAGAGTATCCCCATTGTTTTCTTTTAGTAGTTTCATAGTTTGAGGTCTCAGATTTAAGTCTTTAACTCATTTTGATTTGATTTTTGTTTACGGTGAGAGATAAGGGTCTGGTTTAATTTTTCTCTATATAGATATTCAGTTTTCCTAGGATTTTTTTTTCTCTTTCTGCAATGTTTGTTCTTGGCACCTTTGTAAAAATTGAGTTCACTATAGATGTATAGATTTGTTTTTGGTTCTCTATTTTGTTTTGTTGGTCTATGTGCCTGTTTTTATGCCAGTACCACACTGTTTTGGTTACTATAGCTCTGTAGCATAATTTGAAGTCAAGTAACATGATTCCCCTAGTTTTGTTCTTTTTGGTCAGAATAATTTTGGTGATTCTGGGTCTTTTTTGGTTCTATATAATTTTTAGGATTTTTTATCTATTTCTGTGAAAAACGTCATTGGCATTTTTTATAGGGATTGCATTGAATCTGTATCTCGCTTTGGGTAATATGGATATTTTAACAATATTGATTCTTCCAATCCATGAACGTGGAATATCTTGCCCTTTTTGTGTGTGTCCTCTTCAATTTTCTGCATCAATACTTTATACTGCTCATTGTAGAGATCTTTCACTTCTTTGGCTAAGTTAGTTCCTAGGTATTTTATTTTACTCATGGCTATTAAAAATGCTATTACTTTCTTGATTTCTTTTTTGGATTGTTCACTGTTGGTGTCTAGAAATGCTACTGATTTTGTGTGTTGATTTTGTATCCTGAAATTTTACTGAATTTGTTTATCAGTTCTAATAGTTTTTTTGGTGGAATCTTTAGTTTTTTCCAAATATAAGATAATATTACCTGCAAACAGGATAATTTGACTTCCTTTCCAATTTGAATGCCCCATCAGGACTTTTTAAATGGCAGAGACTTATAAGCAATTGATACTGCATCCAAAGAATGACAATCTTTGTGCTCATCCTTTGCACAATAAAATCAAGTATAGGCCAAAATCTGGCCAATAAGGTTTCTATCAGTGTCTTTCCATTTCCTCTAATTGTGCCTTTTTGCTTTGTGGAAATTAATGGAAGATGCCTCTTTGAATAAAAGGAAGTTCAAAATAAAATTTACTATTTTGAGAAGATCCAGAATGTGGACTGTTTTCAAGCAGATATTTGACAGTTCTTAATCTGGTGGGATTCTAAAAGGTCAGTAAGTTGGCTTCCTACCAGTTATTGCTGGGGCAAAGGGAACCTTCCTTCATTCTTTGATTCAGAATTTCAGTCTCTAGAATAAACTTGAGAGTAGACAGGTTAATAGGAGAAAAAGCATACACATTTATTATGTACATACACATGAGGTCCCACAGAGTGTGAGACTCAAAGAAGGGCAAGATGATTGAAGCTTAAAAAGCATTTTGAGCTACAGAAATAGGGTTTTAAAGACTCTTGGAGGGTGGTGGCAACAAGCTATGAATGGGTGAATGGAGGAACCACACTGCAGACAAAGGATGTCTTATTCTGCGGATAGTCTCGCAGGTTGCAGCCCTCAGAAGAATAGGTGAAAAGTCTCTCTGAGCACAGTATCCTGGGCATGGAGACCTTTTAGTCTCCTCTCCTGCCACAAAGAGTTAGAGGATGAGGGGATTAACAACAATCTCATTCCTCCTGGAGGAATTTTCCCTAGTGAAATAAGGGAACTTCAGAGAAAGCCCCCTGACCACCCCAAACTTCATGAGAGAAAGAGGATAGTGAGATGGACAGACTGGGCCTGGGGAATGGTGAGAAGTGAAGTGGGAGGGGTCAGAGAGACCTTAGATCTGAGGCTGCTTCTTTAGTTAAAAGCACCATACTTCTGGGTATTGTTTTCTGAGCCCAAACATTATTAAATCATATTATATTTGAATATCACAAATGAAAATCATTACATGAATTAATCAGATCTTGATGTTCTTTTAACAGTATGGCAGCACCTGGAGAAAACTGTGAAATAGGTATACTTGATTTAGTCTTTGGCTTTAGAATTGCAAGGAAGAGGTGCTAAGAAGTGGCTATTTGATCACCCTGCAAGCTCTCCTCTCTGTGTTTTCCTGTTCCCAGGTTTTCTCCTTCTGCTTTGGTCTGCCAGTCCTAAAGAGGAAACACATTCACACTCAATCAGGAGTAACTTACTTCCATTCACTCTTCCAGGAGTATTTGAGCATCAAAATGGGACTGTGAAAAGGAAATGCATTATCTGAAGGAATGGATGCCAAGACCCCACCAGCAAATGTGGAAATTTGAGGGGAGTGGGTTCTGTGCACCTCGAATTCAGCCACATGTTTACCCATGCTACTCTACCTAACCAATGAGCTGCCCTTTCTTGGCAATTCAGTCTTCTTTCAATATATTAAGAGCAGGGTGTTATCATGTGACTCATTTTTTTTCGATGTAACTTTAGCTGCTTGCAGAAATAAAATTGCTTCTTAATAGCAGATCTAAAGAGGGACAAATCACAAGAATGTTCCAGTTAAATTTATATTTTCTGTAAATATGCCAACTGCACTTGCACTTCTTTTTCTTTCTTCTTTTTTCTTATTTTCACATTTTCCCTGAACCTTCTCTTACTGAAAAGAAAATAAAAGGCTATAACCATGCACACAGATATTGCTCTGTTTTGAATTAGGTTGCTATGTTAACCAAAAGAAAAAAAAAGTTACCAGCTATCATTGTTCCAAAGGTTGATTTCTGATTTCTCTAACTTCTGTTGTGTCTGCATTTCTCTCCTCATTTTTCAAAGAATGACCCTCAATAGCTTAATAAATCAGCTAACAAAATGTTTTAGCATCTGCTAACATTCCCTCAGTGTGTTACATGCATGTTCAAAGGCTTTGTTAGAAAACACAATGAAGGGAAACCACAGGCAATTCTGACAGGCAATATGATCGGGTTTCAAAATACTTCAAAACCCCAATCTTTACATTAAGACTTTGCTTGTAAATATTTACATTGATTGCCCAGATGGTGGCAGAATTGGAGAATGTGGATCACTTTTTTTTTAGAAATGTCTCTTAATAAACTTAAAGATTCATAAGCCACAATTGCAAACTTTAGTAAACACAGTACTACATGTTCATGTGAAAAGTTTTGCAGCTATAATTATTATTAGTTTTTTAAATCAGAGCAATGGGAAGTGAAAAGATACAAGTTTTCTTCAGATTTTGAGGACAGCACCTTCCTGCACTATCCGTCACTAAGATAAGCCTGGGTCTTGGTTGCTTCTAAAATAGTTCAATTCAAGACAATGAACTTGTGTTGACTACCAACGATGTGACCTTCATTGTGCCAATGATACAAAATCACTCTAAAGTGTAGCCAGGCAAAGAATTACACAGTTAAAGGAGAAAGGATGTGACTCCTTCTAAGTAGGTATAATCAGGATCCTCAGCAGCTCTTCTCTTACCTGGTCAGCTGCAGTTATCTCCTAAAAGTTCTTCTTGCTTCCACTTTTCTTTCTCTCTAAACCATTCTCTGAACCACAAATGTTCCAAATCTCAATTCCATGCCACTCTCTTGCTTAACACACTTCAGTGAATCCCCATCACTCCCAGGACAAAGTCCAAATCCTAAAGATGGCTTTCAAGACCTCCCATGAATTGTATGTCTCTTGGTTACCTCAGTGACCCTGTCTCTACCACTTTTGTCCCCATCCTCTACTTTTGGGTTTAGCCACACAGAACTACTCATGGTTACCTAAATAGGGTACTCTGCTTCCGTTTCTATGCAAGACATTCATCCAGACGCCCTTCGCACAAGCCTGTATTCTAGAGGGCAGGGGCGCGGGGGGCATGAGAAGGCATTTAGAGGAATTGTTCTTGTGGCTTAGCAGCCATTGTGCAAATAATGTGGATTTTATTAGTAGGAGTGGAGAGAAACAACTAGGGGCTAAAGCCATGTGCAAGAGGGGATGGGCAGGAAGGACCAGCTCTAAGGACAAGAGCATGCAAGGCCTGCAGTGAAAAACCTCTACGTCCTTCACGATCCCTTAAAAATCTACCTGCAAAGCAGTCATTCCATCCCCCTCTCCTCTGCATCCCCACTCCAACTTGGCCAACCCCTAATAACTTTGCTTCAGAGGTCACCTCTCTCCAGAAGACTTTCCCAAGTCTCACCAGCGCTTACCTCCCTACCCCCAGGGAAGGGTCCCCCAGAGGTCTCTGCTCAAATCTGGAAGGGTGTTTCTCACAGGCCATTATAATTTGTTCTTTGCTTCTCTGCCTTCTGCACCAGACTGCTCAATTTCTGGAGGATAGGGACAGTGCCTTGTCTACCTTTGTGTCCCCAGAGCCTGGCATGCACACTGGCACAAGATAGGAGCTCAAAACCTTTGTCTCCCCAGAGTCTGGCATGCAAGCTGGCACAAAATAGGAGCCCAAAACCTTTGTCCAAGATATTGAATAAACATGGGATGGCGTCAGACATTCACTAAGCATGCCCCAGCCTCTGACTCAACCCCCAGGTAGAGACCACTATCCTGTCACTCTCCTCATCTCCCCTCAACAGATTTCTAGGCTTTTCTTGCTCAGATTTGAAAACTAGGTAGAAAACTGTCTCACTGAGACAGCCAAGTAAAAATGGCTCCCCAGAGAACTTCCGACTGACCTGAGCACTGGGAGGATGGGACGGGGCCTTGGGAAGTTCCTGCCAGTTGCGGAGGTGGGGAGGAGCCTGGCCTCTCCGGTTCCTGGGTGGACCTGGGATTCAATCAGTGAGATGGGGGCCTGTGAACAGGAATCTTTCTCGCTTTGCTGAGAGTTTTGTTTGTTTGTTTGTTTTGTTTTGTTTGGCCCAATAAATTCTGTTTTTCTCACCCTTCTGTGTGTCCACGAACCTAATCTTTCCTGGTCATGTGACAAGAACCCAGTTTTTAGCTGAACTGAGGAGAAAGTCCTAACAACATCAGTAGGTGGCAGATGAGTGTGAAAAGTTAGTGAGTGAAATCAGAATAATATATATTCAAGAGAGGAGAGAGGAAGAGAAAGAGAGGAAGAAGCTGAGGTTTGACAAGAGAGAGGGGAGAGTTTTAGTTTCTTTTGAGTTGATTTGCTTGGTTTGAGAACAGGTGTTCAAGATTAGTGCAGGATTTCAGAAATTGTAGCAGAGAAAAAAAGAAATGGAAAAGAAGTTGACTGTTGAGACTTATGATCTTGTTGATACCCAAGAAGCATCATTTCTGAATTGGAATTCTTTCAGATTAAAGTTTTATTTAAAAATAGATTGAGGGCCAGCGCAGTGGCTCACGCCTGTAATCCCAGAACTTTGGGAGGCCGAGGTGGGTGGATCATGAGGTCAGGAGTTCAAGACCCAGCCTGGCCAAGATGGTGAAACCCTGTCTCTACTAAAAATATTTTAAAAATTAGCCAGGTGTGGTCGTGGGCGCCTGTAATCCTAGCTACTCAGGAGGCTGAGGCAGAGGATTGCTTGAACCCGAAAGGCAGAGGTTGCAGTGGGCTGAGATTGCGCCACTGCACTCCAGCCTGGGTGACAGAGCGAGACTCATCTCAAAATACATAAATAAATAAATTGAAATTCCCTTCCCTTTTTCCTTACTGGCTTTGAACTGTGTTTATTTGTGTGAGTACAGAGATCAGACTATGAGAATCATGGACTCTTTCAAGAGTTATGAATAAATAAATGAGTTAACTAATGAACAAATAAATGCATGATTGACCTTCCTTCCTTCAGAGTCATGGCTGCAGTCTCCACCCATGAACTCCCCACGGGAAAAAAAACAGTCTTCTCCCCAGACTTTGGGGAATATGAAGCAGCCAACCATGAAAAAGTTGATAACTTTTCTCTTTCTGCAATTTGTCTTCTCAAAAGAGGAATGCCATCTGAATTAGCTCCCTTAACACTTCAGAGCCACAGCATCTTCTGAATAGCTGGCACAATTTTCAGCAACATTCATTTCAAATCCTGTTGACTGAACATGTGGTTCAGATGAGAGCTTATTATATATTGTTAAATGATTTCATTGGATTATAAATCACTGCCTTCACAATTCTCTGTGGGACACACATGGAATTCTGGTTAAAAGATGTTCAATATTGTAACCCTCCAGAGAGAGGCTTCCCATGACCCTTCCTCATGCAGATGATATGGTTAAGCATGCATGGCCAGGCTGGCCTGCCCAACGTGGCTTGGATGAGGTTTCTCTTCCCGAACTTGAGCAAGGTTTTCCCTTAGTACTTGACCTTGTATCATCCTCTCTTGGCCTTCAGTCCACCCATTCCTTAGCTGTCCCTTCACCTTGCTGACCCACCATCTCGCTATGGCTCCCTTGCAGCTGATTATGTCTTGTCCCTAACTGAAAAATAGAAACTAAATACATTTTGAAGGAAAATGGCTAACTACTGATAAATACTGCTTTGCCATTAGGGGAATTCTTGAGTAAGATGATAGTCAGCAGTGAATAGTCAGTGAAAAGATTATCATCTCTTCTGCAAATTGTCCCTGGTGGAGATTTGATTATATGCTTAGGGGCCACCTTCCTGTCTTTTAGAATTTTCTGGAGCAGCTGTCATTATAATTACTGAGGACCTTTATGTGACCTTGTCATCTTGGGCAGGTAGCTCCTAAAGGGATTTCTGAAGAAGACAATTCATATTTTCTGTGCACCTGCCTTCTCAATATTTTTTGTTTTCACTTAGTGTCCCTGAAACTCTTTCTCTCTTCACATTTCACTCTCTGCATCACTAATGAGGCTTCCATTTACCTCTTTAATTAATTAATTAATTCAATATTTATTTGGCACCTATTAGGCCCCCTGTAGGATAATAACACCTTAAGCTCTGGTCTCATTTAGGAGAATTTGCATTTATGACAAGACTCTAGAAGACTTAAACTTTTAAGGCCCCAAGAGGTAAATTTCTAATGGTTGGCCACCCCTGAGTTGGGAGGCACTAATGTGGACTATGAACTGGATCATCAGCATGTAGAACCCCAGAGGCAGATTTCTCCTGAAGTTAATAAAGCTCCAGCCTCGGGGTCTCACACTGACACAGCCTTTTTTTTTTTTTTTTTTGGCTGTACACAAGTGTTTTCGGTCGCTTTATTTATAATTGCCCCAAGCTAGAAAAAACCCAAATGGCTTCCAACAGAGCAATAGTTAAACATCCATATGATGGAATACTACACAACAATAAAAAAGCCAACTTTTGATACATGCAACTACTTGTATGAATTTTGAAGGTATTATGCAGAATGAAAGAAGCCCGTCTCATATTCTATGAAGCCGTTGATATAATATTAACAAAAAGACAGAAATATAATAATGGAGAACAGATGAGTGACTGCCAGGGGTTAGGTGTTAGGGGAGGATGTGACTGTAAAGGGAGTTTTTTGAGGTTATGGAACTGTTCTGCATCCTGATTATAGTGGTGGTTACATGAACCTATTTGTGTGTTAAAATTCATAAAACTGTACAACAAAGGACAAAAGTCAATTTTACAATACAATAACCTAAAGATAAAATTAAAAAAATACCTTTTGGGCAAAAATATAAATTTTGGGAACGGTATTAGAGCTTCTTAGCTGCCTCTGTCATCAGTTCTGTCTTTGGTGCCTCTCGTGCTTGATCTTTATGTACTAGAAATACCAGAATATTTATAGTACCCCAAACACACTATGCAATCTTGCCTCCATGTTGAGCCTTCTGCCTTCCTGATATGGAAAACTCCTTTTCATCCTTCAAAACCTTACTCAGAGCATGCCTCCTCTGTGCAGCTATTTTTTCTGATTTCTTCTCACCACCAGATTTAAGCACACCCTTTTCGGTTCTACTTCTGCTTCTTGTAAATTATTTCACTACTGTGTCTTACAACTTATTATAATGACATAGGCTAGTTTTTGTAATTGTTTCTTCTTTTCAGTAAATTGGATCTCCAAAACTGTGTAAGCTTCAGGCCCCACAAAATCTAGACCCCAAATGACCAATCTCTCTCTCAATTTGTTCTAGCTGCTGTAACAGAATACCATAAATGGGTGGCTTATATACAACCCAGATTTCTCACAGTTCTGGAGGTTGGGAATTCCAAGATCAAAGCACTAGCAGATTTGGCTTCTGGTGAGGGTACAATCCCTTGTTCATAGAAAGCATCCTCTTGCCTTGTCCTCAAGTGGTAGAAAGGGTGAGGCATCTGTCTGGGGCCTATTTTAGAAGGGCGCTAATCCCATTCATAGAGGCTCCACTCTCATGACCTAATTACCTTCCAGAGGCCCTACCTCCTAATACCATCAACTTGGCGATTAAGTTTCAACCTATGAATTTTGTGGGGACACAAACATTCAGGCCATAGCAGACAATCTCTTTCCAAAAACAGAAGATTTGTGAGATCAAAAGCCATGTCTATCTTATTTACCAGTTTCCAAAACAGCACAGGCACATGGTAGGAGCACAAGAAGCATTTGTTAGATGTTGAATAAGCAATTATACGTATAATGTGCATAGCTCTTTTCCTGACATGTAGTATGGGCTCAATAAATCTTTGTTAAAAGAAGGATTACTTTGATGAATGAATGAATATGAAGTGAAAGGTAGGTGAACCCTACATTTCTACACAAGGAGATGTTCTCTCTGCCTTACTCTTCCCTATTCATCTATGGTAGCAGGCAAGCTGATTTCCCTACCCTAAGACCAGTGATAGTCCAGCATGGGTGAAGCCATCCAGGAATAGTTAAGGCACCGTGCTACCTACACGTGGTTAATAAACAGGCTCTTGTTAACAAGAAACAGTTATGTGGAAATACTTCATTTCCATCTGTAAAGTTCTAGATTTCAAAGTGGAGAGCTGGGATCTCTTCCCACTTCACCCACTCCTAACATTTATAATAAAGCATTGCCTAACACAGAATTATATTTTTAGAGAAAAATGAAACACATGCTTGAGAACTCAATCCTATTAACACAATTTTTTCAGTAGTGGTAACCATTAAACAGTTATGTATTTAACCTTTGTATTCTTTAAGTCTGCTAAAATGTCTAATTAGTTAATCAGGAAAATAATTATTTGCTAAAAAAGGGAAATTTGAAAATTGTGTACAGATGCATAAAACTGAGTTCAAAATAAACTTCTATTTTGAGGCTTTAGTGCAATCCCAATGTATTAGCATTTTATGATTCTTTGTATTCATTAAAATGTTTTTCACAAAAATATTGGAAAGTTTCCCAAAGTCCTCCTCATGTTCCTCCTGGTGTATATCAAACAGAATATTGGACTCATCTACTCAAATCATAGTTAGAATTGTATTTTGTAAGAGGCTATTTCCTTGGAAGTTATTCAAAAGATACATGTAGGGAAATATTCTGATTTATAAGGTCAATCTTTCTCTGTCACAAATCAATTATAAGTAAACTGTTTTCAGAACTGTCTTTTTTGCTATTTATAATAGTCAACTTGTGAAGCACTTAACACACAGAAATGTGTCTGACACCAAGATTATTGTTAAGGGCTGTTCTTTCCTTTTTATTCAGCATTGTACGCATGTACCATTTACATTTATTACGTGGATAATGGGAATTCATGGTCTTGAAGGCATAGAGTGAAGAAATTACTTCTGAATACAGTATGCAAGCTGAAAAGTAGGGAGTGATCATTTCAAGGTTATAGTGAGGGCAACTAATTTTTTCCAATTTGGGGAGTAAAACAATTTTATAATGCATTTCCAAATAAAGTCTATTTTATATGGAATAGTCTACAGTTGCCAATCAACCTGCCCATCCAATGCCCCTTTCCATTGGCTCCCACTATCCTAATCCTAATTAGTCTCGACTTGTCCTGGTGCTTTTGGCAGGAAGAATTACGTTTGCTCATGCTGTTCCCTTGACCATGACATCTCTTAAAGGCAATTCACTATATTGTCTGAGATTCTAAAAATTAAACTTCCCTACTGGGATGGGTAATACTGAGTGTCAACTTGATTGGATTGAAGGATACAAGGTATTGATCCCAGGTGTGTCTATGAGGATGTTGCCAAAAGAGATTAACATTTGAGTCAGTGGGCTGGGGAAGGCAGATCCACCCTTAATCTGATGGGCACAATCTAATCAGCTGCCAACGAATATAAAACAGGCAGAAAAAGGTAAAAAGGAGAGACTGGCCAAGCCTCCGAGCCTACATATTTTTCCTGTGCTGGATACTTCCTGCCCTCAAACATTGGACTCCAATTTTTCAGTTTGGTGACTCGGACTGGCTCTCCTTGCTCCTTGGCTTACAGACAGCCTACTGTGGGACCTTGTGAGCATGTTTAATACTTACTAAACTCCCCTCCATATATATATATATATATGAAGGATATATACATATATGTTCTGTCCCTCTAGAGAACCCTGACTAATACACCTACCCAAGCTAATGCTTTCTCTACAATGAATTGCAAAGAAAATGAAAGCTAACAAAGAAGATGAGTTTGGCTTTTTAAGAAAACAGTTGACCAGACATAAAAGATCTCAGGGTGAGGAAAAGGCAGTTTTCTTCTGAAGGCCTACAGATGGAAGGGACAGTATGGGTAGCTAAGGTGACTGAATTCCCCTCTGCACTTAGTGTGTCTGGATACAATTATTGGCTCTGGCAATTTGGGTGCTGTGCTTTCAGGACATAGTGTATGGTGAATGGTGGGAGAATTCAAATCATAGACTCTGACAAAAAGTATGCTCCAATTCTGTTTCCCCATCTAATAACTACAACTGTGGACAATGTATTTCATTACCCTGAGCTTTGGTTTCTTTATCTGTGAACTGGAAATACTAATACCTACCTGGCCAGGTTGTCAGGATTGAAGATAGTATATACCAAGTACTTATCACAGTGGTTTGTTAGCAAATAAGCACTAAACAACAGTAGCTATTATTGTAATGACGACTACATGGTCCTTATCCTTCTATTCAGGGTGAGGTGAGCTAAGATAGTTCTAAGAGTTTAATGAAGCAGCATTGCCTCATGACTGGTAAGAATAAGAAGACATGGGGAAAGGTGTTTATCATTTAAGGAACTAAGGTGAACAGAATCAAAAAGGGGTTGTATTGTATCTTAGGAAACTAAGATAAGACTGGAATACAGCCATCAGGATCTATTTGTAATAGGATGAGAGCTCAGTTGCAAATACAAGTTCCATTCATTTGATGAAAGAGTCTGGCCTGACTGAGGCTGTGTTTTGAACTCATTACAGTTAGACTCCTGTGGCTCAATACCCATTTGTGCTGGGGCTGTATTGTTCTTCATTTCAACAGACATATGCAAATGGTTCTGAGAAATGTTAGAGCCTGTTCTTCTAAAGTGAAGTTAGTCTTTCTCCTGGTTCTTACTCTAGAAACAATAACATTGTTGGGTGCCCCCTGTCTTTCACCTCACATCTATTTCATCCCCAACTAATGTCAGTGGTGCTACCAGTGCGACAGTAGACTAACGTCCTCTGGTAGGAAGGACTCAACTATTCTAACACTCTTCCACATTTCTCTTAAGTTGTGCTGGAAGCAGAAGTGATTGAGTTTCATTCATTCAGTAGGTATTCAACGCCTACCATGTGTTAGGTGCTCTCCTTTGTGCTGAGGTAAAATAAGTAAAGCAGACACCGTCCTTGACTTCATTGAGCTCAGGGACTGAGAAAGATGAACACTAATCAAATAATCACAGAAATAAAAAATTTTAATGGCACATTGTGATAATTGAAACAGAGGACAAATTGAGAATGTTCTGAGTTTTTAAGGGGCCTCTGACCTATCCTGGAAGTTTGAGGAAAGGCTTCCTGGAAGAAGTACCACTGGAGATGAGGTGTGGAGCTATAAGTGGGCCTATAGGAGTGGGGTGGCGAGGCGTGAGGCATATTCTAGGCAGTGTGGGACAAAGTCCTTAGACAAGAAGCAGCCCAGGGTATCCAATAATTGAAAAAGGAGGCTGGGGTGACTGGGGGTGGGGGAGGTGCTAAAGGGTGAAGAATTAGGCTAGATGATCCCATAGGGAACTTGTAAAAGTTAACTATGCCCAGACCCACTCCTAGACATTCTGCTTTAATTGGCATGGGATGGGTCCATGGCATTGCCATATTTTATTTAAAAACCAAACTAAACCACAAACACACAAACAACAACAAAAACAAACAAACAAACAAAAACAACCTCCCAGGTCATTTTAACATACAGTCAAAGCTGAGAAATTCTGAGGTACAACATGCAGCACCTTGTAGCCATAGTTTTCATCCTAACAACAATGGGGAGTCCTTTGAAGATTTTAAGGAGGGGGGTAATTAGTATTAACATTATCAGATTTGCTTTTGAGAAGAGCCCTCTGGCTGAAATATGGCAATGGATATCCATGGCATCTAACAAATCTTGCTGTGCACCCGGTAAACATATAGTGGTAGACTCAAAGTAGACTGGGCATCAAATTTACTGCATGTGAAGACTCTAGATCAAAATGCAACTTGGTGGTGATAGATCCTCCTCTGTTGAATAAGCGGATCATTTCATTCAAGACTGTAATTTCTAGGTGGAATGCAAGCACAGACTTTCAAGGAAGCTTGAAATTCCTGACTTGGTTTGGGTCCATTTAGAGAGATTTACAAAGAGAAGAAGCGATATTTAGGGCACAAAGCTATATCTGGCACAGGTGACTTGTGTTAGACCTGGAGACTCAGGCCTGTCTCTTAGCATTGAAGGTTCCTGAGCTCCCAGCAGGCCATGTGTGGCTCCCAAATCTCCAGTGGGAAATATGGAAACACTTTGAACTCCCTTCACTATCACTGAAGGAAACAGAACCCGATTTCAGCATGGATATTGATTTTTAAAATGCACTTCAAATGCACAGAAACTTGTAGTGGGAATGCAAGGAGAAAGCAGGGCATCCTGAGAACCATGTTACATTTAGGTCATTAATCAATACGGGATCAGAAATTGAGGAGGTGGGTGTTACAAAACTTTTCTTAATAGAATATCATATATGTGACGTAAAAAGTCAATTAAAAATCTCATTGATGAGGCTGGTTGCGGTAGCTCATGCCTGTAGTCCCAGCACTTTGGGAGGCCGAGGCGGGCGGATCACAAGGTCAGGAGATCGAGACCATCCTGGCTAACACGGTGAAACCCCATCTCTACTAAAAATACAAGAAATTAGCTGGGCATGGTGGCAGGCGCCTGTAGTCCCGGCTACTCGGGAGGCTGAGGTAGGAGAAGGGCGTGAACCCGGGAGGCGGAGCTTGCAGTGAGCCGAGATTGTGCCACTGCACTCTGGCCTGGGCGACAGAGAGAGACTCCCTCTCAAAAAAATAAAAAAATAAAAAAATCTCATTGATCACCTTTGCTAAGAACTAACTTAACTAGTTATTTGAAAACTTTTACAAAATATTAATTATGTTTCCAAATGACCAAGATTGAAAAACAGGAAAGATGAGTAAGTCTTACCATAAAGTTATCAGGAGGCTACACAAAAACTAACAAGTAATTACACGAAAATACGGGGCCCTTTCTTCTCTCAACTTCGCAGTTTCACTCTTCCTGGTCTCTCACCTACTCTCTATGGTGTATTTTCAGTATAAATCAAATATAATTATCTAAAAAGAATGAAAGCATATATATTTCAAAATAGTTCACAGAAAATAAAAGATAGCAGATGAGAATAGAGGGAGAAAGATGTGGAAGAGAAGAGGTGATGGAAGACAAAACTTTGCCAGAAGAGACAAAAGAACTTTAAAGTCTAATTTATAAATTGCTAATCTGAACAAACTAATAGTCTTTCAATGCACTCAGTGATTGGCGTAATTTATCTTGGCTTTAACAAACATGCTGATATTGCTTCTTGTAACACATTTATTACCAGAAGAAAAATATAATTGGTATCAGTGTGAATGCCTTTGGCTGCAAGTAACATCCCAAGTCAGCTAGCTTCAACGTTAAGCAAAATTTGTTACCTCAAAGAGCAAGGAATCTTGAGATGGGGTGGCTTTGACAACTTCCGTATTTCCTCCCTGCCATTTTCAACCAGTTAGATTTGCCCCTGGCAACCATCCCATCATGGTTGCAAGATGGCTGCCATAGTTCCTATCATCTTAAGACACTGTAATATCTACTGGTAGAAGACATACAGTTTCTTCCTATATGATTCATTATAAAAAGCAAGAAATCCTTTCCCCAAGGTCCTCAGCAGACCTCTCTGATGTCTCATTGTGAAAAACTTGATCAAAAGCCGACCTGCCTGTGATCCATTTACCAGCAAAATAAATAAGATCTCTCTGATTGAAGGATTGGTGCTGATGAATGAGGTTTTAACCTTGAATAATGTAGGGGATGGGTGAACCAACAGAGTTCTTCTGGGTAGCAAGAAAGATTGAATATTTCTTAAATAGGTTGCTATAACCTGCACCAGTGTTTCTCAAACTTAATGTTTGGAATCACCTGTGATCTTGTGAAAATACAGATTCTGGTTCAGAAGTTCTAGGCTGGGGCCTGAGATCCTGCATTTCTAACAAGCTCTCTGGTGATTCTGATGCTGCTGGTCCACAGACAACACTTTGGATAGAGGATCTAGACCCTAGACAATCAGATGAGAAGCAGTCTAGTATAATATGATTGAATACAGCTTATATTAGACTGTCTAGCTGGGTGATTTGGGGTATGTTACTTAAATTATCTAAGCCTCAGAAAAAGGAAGGAATTGGGGAAGAAGAAAGAAAGGGAGAGAGGGAGGAGAAAAGAGGTGTGTGTGGGGAGGTGAGTCGCAGACTCATTGATGAGAATCTCCAAAGCAGTGGTGTTTCTGTTCGCTTTTCTAATTCATTAAGATCCCTCTGTGGTGATGAATTAGAGAACTTGGAAGAAAATAAACAGCGTAGTGTTTAATATGAGCATTCAGGAAGAAAATAAATAAACTATACTAATAAAATTCTGGGAATGGTAACAAATGTATATGTATAGCAGAATAAAAAACCTCAGGGTCCCAGTGATAGCAAGGTATATTGAAATACTGCAGTGATGTTACAGTTACAAAACATACTCTGCCTTTCTGATGCCTAACAATGCATATATTATGTTCTGAGCTATGGAGTTCTGAAGGATAAAGCTTTTTGCCCCTGAGTCATACCCAGAAAGGAACTGTGGCAGACTTAGGGATAGGTTATGAGGAAGGAGTAAAGGAAGAGGAATCCTCATTATGAAATAAGACCAAATGACACACCTAACCCAACTTCAGGGGGAGATAGGTCCTTACTTGACAGGGAGAGGCAAATGGCTGTTTCCTGTCTTGACAGATCAGATAGAAAAGTGAACAGGATGCAGTAGCAGAATGAGGGTATGTGGAAAGATTTGAGCAGGACCCCTGAGTCTAGATCCCTCCCAGTCCTGCTTTTCACTAGCCCTGAGTCGTTGGGAAGTTGGCTTAACTTATCCTAGTCTCAGGTGTCTTCCAAGAGCTACTGAAATAGTAATAGAAGTCAACGTACACATGATAAAACAGGTAGCAATGGAGATCCATTATCTCACCTACTACCTCCCTGATAATCCCATAATATTGGCATCATGATTATGTGTTATTAACTCTCTGGGGAGGGGTGGTGTTCTATAAACACATATGATTTCGCTTACTCTCCGTACCAAGTCTACTGACTCCTTTCTGCCTTCAATAGCAATATTATAATAGCAGAAGAACACTTTGCATCAGTTATTTTGTTGGTCTTCATTAGGCATTAAATTCAGTCAAATGAAGTAGTGATTTTGATTCCAAAACACTTAGTGTGACAGTCCTTACCTCTGACCTTGTTTTGCATGTGTCACAGTGTTTTGTAAACTTTTCCTGAATGTGAAATGGATGCCTCGCGTGCCCTGCTTTCGCCTTGCAGTCTGACTATTCCATTTCTGTGCACTTGAAGTGCATTCAAAATAGGCAATATCTGTGCTGAAATAGAGTTCTGTTTCTTCAATGATAATAAAAAAGAATGTCAGTTTTTTGCTTAAAACCCACAACAGGTAGTTAGTGGAAACTTGAAGGTACGAGTTATGAGCGACTTTAAAATATATTTTCTTCTGTGTTGTTAATGGCTTACATATGGGGCTTCTTGCAGGGTGTAGGAAACTTCTAAATAGTCCTAGGAGACACACATGAACAAAAAGGTCATGGCATTTTGAACCCTCACTGCTGCCTTCTTTACAATTACCCATATGACCTTTGGAGAGGCATCTCGGAGAACACCAGGGATTTGCAGGAAAGCCGGGCTGCTTGGCCTGGCTACTTTCTACAGAAGCCATGACTGCTAAAATGGACTCTCAGTCATCCCCAGGCTGAGAAGTTAGGGCTGCAGCTTGATTTCAAAGAATGCAGATCTAAGGTCCAAGGTGCAATTCATTGTCCACACATCAATTAATAATGCAATACCAGACTCCAAGAATACAAGACAGCAGTGTTTTTCAAATATAATAACTTGAGGAAGTTGGTGAGAAATTGATACAAAAAAGTAAAATATGAGTTCATATAGCAATTCCCAATCATGATAATACTTCTACTGGGATATATCCATTTGAATTTACTGAGAACCTTCTTATATTGGGGTAGTTTAGAATTAGTTCTATCTACAAATAGTAATTCATAATGACTGTGGTATTGGTGAAGATGATGATAATGGTAAGTGGTAACATCTTTTAAGCATCTACCGTATGCCAGACCCTATGCTAAGGGCTTTGTAGGTATCATCTTATTTAACCCAGTGCAAAAAAATTGACAAATTCTAGGCTTAGGATCAACATGAGGATAATAAAATTTTCTTTTGGTAATTACATCTAAGGACATAAGTACAATTCACAAACCTTGAGGTCAAGGACTTCACCTTTCATCTTTTGATGGTGCTGCACAGTGCCTAGCAGAGAAAAGACTCCACAAATATTTGTTGAAATGAAAGAAGCAAGGAGGAAAGTTTTCAAAGCCCAGAAATCTGAATTATATTTGTAAAACTAACTCAGTTTAATAAAATGTGTCAGTGTTAACTACATCATTTAAATGATTATTACTTTATTTTCTAAATTTTTATAACAAGGAGTTTAACAATGCTGCCTTAGGGAAATAACAGCACAAATGCATAAAGATGGTTGGGTAAGAATATTTGTTTCAGCACTGCGTGGTACAGCAAACATAAAACAGAGCCATTTAAATGTGTGAATAGAGAGGCAAAAAGAAAACAAGGATGCAAACTTTTTTTTTTATTTTATATAATTAAAAGATTAAATGTTGGGGTAATAGTCACAGACTAAATATCTTATATTCATTCTGCAGACATCTCAGTTAAGCATTTGGAATTATGCATGATTTTTTATTTATTTCCCTTTTTCTGTAATTTTAATACCACAAATCTTTTTGCAAAATGAAGAGTCCATATTTTTGCTACAGAAACCAGGAGATCAGAGTTGCCAATGTGGAATTATGGACATTGGTGTGTCTTTCTGAAGAGAAATCTAAGGCTGCTACGTGTACCAGCTGGGATCCTTTCACATTAGGATAATTTTAATGGTAGAGCACTTGGCACAAGTTATTTCCTTGGTCTTCATTAGGCATAAAATTCAGCCAAGTTAACTACTGATGCTTATCCCAAAACACTTTCACTCTAAGACTTCTTACCTTGGACCTTGTTTTCAAATATATCCCATTCAGATTTTTCCTAAATATCTCCCATCCAAGTACTAATCAGGGCAGACCTTGCTTAGCTTCCAAGATTAGATGAGACTGGGCACATTTAGGGTGGCATGGCCTCTGTATTAGTCTGTTCTCATGCTGCTATAAAGCAATACCTAAGACTGGGTAATTGATAAAGGAAAGAGGTTTAATTAACTCATAGTTTTGCATTGCTAGGGAGGCCTCAGAAAACTTACAATCATGGCAGAAGGCACAGGAGAAGTAGGCACTTTCTTCACAGGGTGGCAGGACAGAGTGAGTGCAAGCAAGAGAAACACTAGACGCTTATAAAACTGTCAGATCTTGTGAGAACTCACTCACTATCACAAGAACAGTGTGGGGGAACTGCCACCATGATCCAATTACCTCCACTTGGTCCCCCACTTGACATGTAGGGATTGTAGGTATTACAACTTTGGGTGAGATTTGGGTGGGGACAAAGAGCCAAACCATATTATTCTGCCCCTGGCAGAATCTCATGTCTTTTCACATTTCAAAACCAATCATATCTTCCCAACAGTCCCCCAAAGTCTCAACTAATTTCAGCATTAACTCAAAAATCCACAGTTTAAAGTCTCATCTGAGACAAGGCAAGTCCCTTCTGCCTATGAGCCTGTAAAATCAAAAGCAAGTTAGTTACTTCCTAGATACAATGGGGGTACAGGCATTGGATAAATGCACCCATTCCAAATGGGAGAAATTGGCCAAAACAAAGAGGCTACAGGCTCCATGCAAGTCTGAAATCCAATAGAGCCCTCATTAAACCTCAAAGTTCCAAAATTATCTCCTTTAACTCCATGTCTCACACCCAGGTCATGCTGATGCAAGAGGTGGGCTCCCAAGGCCTTGGGCAGCTACAGCCCTATGCCTTTGCAGGGTACAGCGTCCCACCCAGCTGCTTTCATGGGCTGGCGTTGAGTGTCTGTGGCTTCTCCAGGCCCACAGTGCAAGCTGTCAGTGGATCTACCATTCTGGGGTCTGGAGAATGGTGGTCCTCTTCTCACAGCTCCATTAGACAGTGCCCCAGTGGGGACTCTGGAGACTCTAACCCCACATTTCCCTTCCATACTGCCCTAACAGAGGATCTCCATGAGGGCTCTACCCCTGCAGCAGATTTCTGCCTGGACATCCAGGCATTTCCATACACCCTGTGAAATCTAGGCAGAGGTTCCCAAACTCAATTCTTGACTTTTATGTACCTGCAGGCCCAACACCATGTGTAAGCTTCCAACCAAGGCTTGGGGCTTGCACCCTCTGAAACAATGGCCTGAGCTGTACATTGGCCCCTTTTAGCCATGGCTGGGACTCAAGGCACCAAGTCCAAAGATTGCACAAAGCAGCAAGGCCCTGGGCCCAGCCCATGAAACCATGTTTTCCTCCTAGGCCTCTGTGTTGTTTGTGATGGGAGGGGCTGCTGTGACAACCTCTGACATGTTCTGGAGACGTTTTCCCCATTGTCTTGGTGATTAACATTTGGCTCCTCGTTACTTATGCAAATTTCTGCAGCCAACTTGAATTTCTTTTCAGAAAATAGGTTTCTCTTTTTTATCGTATTGTCAGGCTGCAAATTTTTCTAACTTTTATGCTCTGCTTCCCTGTAAACATAAGTTCCAATTCCAAACCACATCTTTGTGAATGCATAAAACTGAATGCTTTTAAGAGCACCCAAGTCATATCTTCAATGCTTTGTTGGTTAGAAATTTCTTCTGCCAGATTCCCTAACTCATTTCTCTCAAGATCAAAATTCCAGAAATTTCTGGGGCAGAGGCAAAATGCAGCCAGTCTCTTTGCTAAAGCATAGCAAGAATCACCTTTATTCCAATTCCCAAAAAGTTACTCATTTCCACCTCAGCCTGGACTTCATTGTCCATATCACTATCAACTTTTTGGTCAAAACCCATTCAACAAGTCTCTAGGAAGTTTCAAACTTTCCCACATCTTCCTGTCTTCTTCTGAGCCCTCCAAACTATTCCAACCTCTGCCTGTTACCCAGTTCCAAAGGTGCTTCCACATTCTGGGTATCTTTATTAGCAGTGCCCCACTCTCAGTACCAATTAACTGTATCAGTCCTTTCTTATGCCGCTATGAAGAAATACCTAAAACTGGGTAATTTATAAAGGAAAGAGGTTTAATTGACTCACAGTTCTGCATTGTTGGGAGGCCTCAGGAAACTTACAATCATGGTAGCAAAGAAGAAGCAGACACCTTCTTCACAGGGCAGCAGGACGAAATAAGTGCAAGCAGGAGAAATGCCAGACACTTATAAAATAATCAGATCTCATGAGAACTCACTCACTATCACAAGAACAGAATGGGGGAACTGCCCATATGATCCAACTACCTCCCCTTGGTACTGCTTTTGACACATTGGGATTATGGGGATTACATTTGAGATGAGATTTGGGTGGGGACACAGAGCCAAACCATATCAGCCCCAGACCCTAATTAATCTTGAACCTGAAATAATTTTAGTGTTGCCTCTCTAACCATTTGTGACAAAGAATGAGTTTGGTAAGACTTAGTTCAAACTTTAAGTTAACAGATATTCTTTATAGAAGAGAAAAGGCTCTAGCTGCCTCTCTTAGAAAAATACATATCAAGGCCAGGCACAGTGGCTCACATCTGTAATCCCTGCCCTTTGGGAGGCCGAGGTGAGTGGATCACCTGAGGTCAGGAGTTCAAGACCAGCCTGGCCAACATGGTGAAACTCCATCTCTACTAAAAACAAAAAATTAGCTGGGCATGGTGGCAGGTGCCTGTAATCCCAGCTACTCAAGAGGCTGAGGCAGGGGAATTGCTTGAACCTGGGAGGCAGAGGTTGCAGTGAGCCGAGTTCACGCCATTGCACTCCAGCCTGGGCAACAAGAGTGAAACTCTGTCTCAAAACAAACAAACAAAAAACAAACAAAAACAAAAAAGAAAAAGAAAAAGAAAAATACATATCAAAAATAATTATAAAAATTACTTCATTGCTTTACTTGTTTTTCTGTACACAACCCAGTGAGTTCTCTTCCAACATTTTATCATGGAAAATGCCAACTATGTGCACAAGTAGAAACAATAGGATAATAAACTCCCATATACCCATTATATAGCTTCAACAATGGTCATCTCCTTTCCTAAATGGCTTTATCTGTACCCTATCCCTTATTTTCCCAGTCCCTGGATTATTCTGAAGCAATTCTCAGTATATCATTTGACCTGTAAATATCACCGTATATATATTTCTAAAATATAGAATAGTTTAAAAATAATACTAATACAACACTGAAAATTTAATATTAAATTTCTTTTCCTTGATATAATAAGTTATTATTCATTTTTAAATTGTAACTTTTTTACATAGTTTGTTTGAATCAAGATATCTTGTGCCTTTTTTAATCTGTAGGTTTCTGTCTGTGCTTTCTCTCATTCTCCAGCCTCCCTCCCTGTATCATCGCTATGATTGCTGTTTATTTATTGAATAAATCAGATTGTTTTCCTGCCAAATTTCCTCTATCTAGATTTAGGGATTAAATATCTCGTCTGTCCATTTAGAGTCAGCTCATTGTATTCCTGTATTGTCATTGAATATGTTCCCTTTTTTCTTGTATTTTTCCTAAATTAATAGTTTTGTAGCTAATGGACTAATCACATCAATTCAGGTGAGGTTTAAATTTTTTGTGTGGGGGAGGTGGGGAGTTTGTTTCCATAGGTAAAAGTGTTCTTCTGTGAGGAAAATACATGAAATCTATTTTTCTCTCTTTCTGTGATATTTGCAGTCTTTGATAATGTCATCTTTTCCCCTGTGTATTTTTGGGTCTGGGATGAAATTTTGTCTTTGGCTACATTACCTGTCTAGGGATTATCAGAGTCCTGGCCCCTTCATTTTGCTGAGAAAATTTTGCGAGTTGCCTATGAAATGTATGCTGTAGGTAACCCAGTAGTTACTCCGATAGAACGAAGTAAGGAGATAAGTGGAAAGTGAGTTAATAATTCTACCACTGGCTGTATACCCTTGCCTAGGTTAAGCCCCATGACTGCCATTTTCATCATCTGTAAAATGGGAATAACTATACCTATGGTTTTTATATACAAACATATATGGCACAAAAACAATGTTTAATAAATGATAGTTATTTTGTTGCTATTTAAATAATAGTACTTTGATAATGATATCTTGATGAAATAATAATATAGTTTAGTCTGTCATATTTTAACACTGGTTTGCTGACGGCAGCAGGTTTGGTCCATTTCTTCTATTTTTATGACTAATGTTAAGAAAATAATATTACAAAACTTGGAAATAGGTAAAAGAATGACTACAAGTTCTTTCAATGTCACACTGGAGTATTAGTTAACAGTCCTGCCCAATGATAATTTCATTTTCTCTGGATAGCTATTTTACTATTTTCCTTTGGTTTAGATATTTTATATTTCTCTAAAGGTAAAGACTGGATTGCAGAAAATTAACAGTCACATAAATAATTTTGTCTAATAGAAATGTAAGTGAAGTTTGTCTGGTAGAAGAGATAACCTCAAAGGTTATTGTTTAATTATCCATTAGAGCAAAAGCTAGTTTTTTATCTATCTTAGCTATCTACTTCCACATTTCCTTAGAGCCAATGCAAACTCAGTCTCTCAAATTTTCTTTGAACTAGCTTTATCATCGTGCTAGTTCTATCAGTGAGTTAAATCAATCTTGGACACATGCAATTTATATTCGTATGACAGCAATGTATTTAAATTTTTGAAAATCGTACTTCAATATGAAGTTTTCAATCTCATTGGTGAATTTTGCTGGTCTGTTTGATATTAATTATAGATTCTAACTACGCTGTTGCCATTTCTCTAGAACTCATGGGAGGGTACATATTAAACCTCATTAACACATCATGAGCTAGAACCTGTACTGGTTTTAGGTATGTAGCCAAAGACTAAATATCCTTATTAATATCAAATAACTTTTATTTCGATGTATGGCAGTGGTCATGCATTATGATGTTTTGAATTTGTCAATATATTCTGTTTAGAAAAACAGAAGTTCCTACTATGAAAGTTAGCTTTCTTTGGCTCTTTATTTTTAAAGTGCTTTAAGGTGTAGATTTCCATTTTTTGGGGGGGTTGCATTTATTCATACATATGTGGCAATTCTAAATGATTAATCAAAAAGTATCATAAATTATTTTTTCATTCCTCCAAAGACTATCCTGTAATTTCCAGCCCAATACCTACCCCATCTCCACCTCTTTCACCTGAGTAAAGGAAGGAGTCTTTCTTGCTTGGAAAAAAAAATGTAAAATTCAACTATATTTTAAAATGCTGAGAGAGAAAGGGGTGGGGAAACAGATGGAGGCAAGAAATTCATCAGAGTTGAGGAAGGCGAAGAAGAGAAATTTTGTAGGGTTTTTGAGAGGAGATTATATGAGTGTTGTGGATTGAAAAGAAAAAGAAAATTTAATAAAATCAGTGAGTAATGTGTTGGATCTTTAAATATCTTCGAGAAGCTTGGGTATAGAATGAAATTACCATGAAATTAGTTTATAAATATGGTTTGACCCTAAACCATGCTTCTTGAATAAGGAAGTACTTGGGAACTAACAACATGATTCTCCAGGTTTATCATATCATGTCTTTAGTCTGAAAATATTTATTGAATACTAATGATGCACTAGGCTCTCTTCTAAAGTCTGGGGACATACACAAAGACAGAGAGCCTGCCCTTGGGGAACTTACATTCTCACTGGAGGTGGGGAGGAGAACAGAGAATAAACAAAGGGATAAAGATAAGATATGTTTTATATGCCAGGTGGAGACGAGGGCTACAAAGATATAACACAGGGTGAGCAGGCTGGAGAGAGAGAAGTGGGTTCTGTTTTATATAGTGGGGTGAAGTAAGGTCGCCATTTAGTAAATAGCACATTTATTTCTAGCCAAGAAGACACAGTTCATCAGATTGAGATCATCTAAGTAGACATCAGATTGAGTAAAAGTTTCTTAGATCTGGATTCTGGTGGCCCAGAGTACTGAATCTGCAGTATTTCACATCCCTCAGAAGCTAGTGCTGCTATTATATTTTTCTTGGTAAATTTGTAGAACCCAGAATTATTTTGAGGGGTAGGCATGGGTTGGAGATACATATTAGAGAAGAGAGAACTAGAGTGAACTCTCCCTAAAATCACTTTTTATTTAGAAAAAAAAAGAGACGCTACACTGCATTTCCCTAGTCAAGGTTTGTACAGTTCCATGCCATATTCCTACAACATGTTTGCTCATCAGAGAAATGAAATGTGAAGCAGTTCTCTTGTATCAGTTTAGAGCTCCTTTGTCAAGGGAGGGTTATTTTCCATAAATTCAATGTAAAAGGAAGGAAACATAATTCACTTTCAAGGTCATTAAAAGAATAAGAAAAGTTAGATCCTATCAATAAAACTTTAATATGCTAAACTAACTGGCAGCAAGAAAGAGAGCTATTTTCTCAATAAATATTGTATACATGTGCTTTGTCAATTAACTTTTTTTGACTGTGAACAAAATGTAAATGTCATGGATAAATGATAGCTTTAATGATGTTTTTCAGCGTTGTACTGCCTGTTACCACGGCTTCTTAACAAAGATGTTAAATCATTAGGAGTCATATTTCATGATAATTAACTACAAATCTGGTAATATTACCACTTTTCATTTGGCATGAAATGACGAGGGAGAACCATGAGGTTTATTGGAGGTACATGACAAAGGACAGAGAGACTTAATGTATGTGTATAAATCTTATAAAACTACCTATTGGACAGCATTTTATGATGGACATAAATTCCCATTCACTCTCTGCTAGTGATAGACAGGGAAGTCTGCAGTGGAAGCAGAAAGCTGAGATGGGAAGTCACCCTAGAGAATAAAGGGGGCGTATGGGTTTATTTCTTTGTCTTACTTGCTCGCTCTTGCAACAGCTAAACAGATCCTCATTCTCGCCTAAGTTTTGAACAATTAGAGTATGCACTGTTATTAATTCTCTTATTAAATGTATTTTATTATAAAGTTTGCAAAGATGCTTTTATGATTAAGGAGCTATTGGCATTTGCCATTTTACACTACTAATCTTCCATCTGCTTTTCTTTGAACCTTTTAAAATGTTCAGCAAGGTCACTCAAGATTTTATTGTAGGGAAATAAAAGATCAGGAACACTCTGCCTTGTTAATATTTTCATTCCAGCCTGTTGTTAATATAGAGAGATAGTGATATAGGGCGGAAAGGACACTTCTTATAGAGTTAGGTAACCTGATTTGATTTTGCTTATTTTGTTAATTTTGATATTGACCACTGTATCAGTCAAGGCTTTTTCTGTTGCAAGTGACTGAAATCCAATGCAAAGTAGCTTTAGAAAAGGAGAAGACACTATGTTGGTTGACATAGTTGAAATTTTGAAGAATTCTGGCACAGCTCTCAAGAACAAATCGCCCCAACAGGGCCATCTGTACCAGGCTCTCCATGCCTCTGCTTTGCTTTCCTTGGTGCAAGCTTCATTTTCAGGCAGGCTGTCTCCATGGTGAGCAGAACGGCAGTTCCAGACTCATTAATCTTGATGCCTAGAGATCCCAGAAGAAGACTGCAGTGGCTAATTTTAGGTCTCAAATTGACTGGACTAAGGGATACCCACCTAATTGGTAGAACGTTATTTCTAGGTATATCTTTGAGAGTGTTTCCAGGAGAGACTGGCATTTGAATCAGTAGATTGAGTAAGAAAGATCCACCCTTATTAAGTGTGGGCAGTTACCATCTAATTGGTCGAAGGCTTAGATAGAACAAAAAGGCAGAAGAAAGGTGAATTTGCTCCTTTTTCTCTTCCGGAACTAGGATCCCGTTTTCTCCTGTCCTTGCACATTGGAACTCTGGGTTCTCTGGTCTTCGGACTCTGGAACTTGCACCAGCAGTCTGCCTGATTCTCAGGCCTTTGGATTTGTACTGAGTCATGCTACTGACTTCCCTGGTTCTCTAGCTTGCAGAAAGCTTATGGTGGGACTTTTAAGCCTCCATAATCAAGTGGGACAATTCCTCTTATAAATCTCCTCTCTGTCTCTCTATATGTCTGTCTGTCTGTCTATCTATCTATCTATCTATCTATCTATCTATCTATCTATCTCCTCTCCATCCTATTGGTTCTGTTTTTCTGGAGAACCCTGATACAAAGACTGTTTCTGACACTATTGACCAATATCCACATCAAGGGTCTGGTTGGTCCAACTGTTCACCTTAGAGTTCATCTATGAAGCTAGGAAGAGAGAACATCATGCTTTGATTGTCCAGGCCTGAGCCTGTGCCTGCCCGCCTCACCCATGGGATGGATGCTAATCACATGGTCTTAAAAGAATTAATATGAAGTGGAAGAGGAGTGGTTATCTGAAGAAGGAAATGTCAAGCAGTCAAGTAGCATGGATCCACTGCTTGGCATTCATTCACTCATTTTTTTCTAACTAACTTTTAAAAATTATTTAAAATGTTTAGTCCTCCTTCAAGCATTGTGCTGGTAGTGACACAAGGATTTAGAAAGGGAGAACGAGCTTCTAGGAATTTAAATTTTAGAGGGAAATAGTTATGTAAGAAACATATATAATGCAATGAGATAAAGTATTCAAAGTCAATGATATATTAAAGGAAGGATCTTATGGGTTTGCTTGTTAGAGTCAGGGAAACCTTCAAAGAACAAACTTAAACTGTTGTTTGATTTCCTCTATGAGAACCGGGTGCACATCGGGGCTAGAGTGGTTCGCACTTCAGGATGAAACAACCGTGAAGAACAAGGAAGTGGCAGGAGATGGAGCTAAACAGGTCATCAGAGGTAGATCTTGAAAAGCCCTTCATGTGATCAAATGAAATTTTATTATTTTTTCTTTCTGTGAGATTGGTGATATTGATCAGATGAATAATATATATCAAATGTGTACACTAAAAAGAGCACTTTTATGGGCATGTAGAGGATCATTTGAAAGAGTAACCTCCCCAGCCTCAGAGGACTTTCTGGCTCACTCACTCAGCAAATATTCATTGAGTGCCTGCTGTGTACTGGGTACTGTGTGAGTCAAAATGTAAGGCAATGACAATGGAGGTAGAAAAGGAGACAAATGTGAAAGCAATTTCACAAAGAGTAACACATTTGATGTCAAATAGCTATGGTAGGGAAGACACAAGACTTTCTGGTTTTCCAGTCTGAGCTATTGGGAGGAGGCAATAACATTCCCTGAGCCAGGGATTCTCTGAATCTGTTTACTCATACATAACATGACAACAATAACAAGAAGCCAGAATCACAGGACTATTATGAGAATGAAATGAAATAATACAAATTTAAAAGGATTTTGTAAGCTTTGAAACATAAAATGAGGGTAAGGTGTTATTTTAAAATATATGTAACATATTTAAAAATAATCTCTGGTTGCTTTTGATTCCATGATGATGTAATTTTCTCCCCATAAGAAGTATCTATTGGGCAGAATAAATTAAACAAAATGGCTTTGCTATCTAACTAAAATAAGCATTATTTATCTCAAAATGCCAGTCTTTACCAGCCTCACTTTCTATATTCTGGCTTTTTTCCCATTATGCAGAGTGTTGATTTGGAGGGGGGAGTAAAAGCCAGTTGAGTTTCTCATAAAGTTTCACACTGCAGACTTGGGCGACAGTGGTTTTGTTTAAAGCTGATTCATTGGGATTTCCTAAGAGATGCTATTGTATAGGTACAATAACTGTTTAGTGAGGTTCTTTATGAGACACTCAGGATTATGGATCCATAATTTGCATTCATTGCAAACATTGTAACAACTTCTTTTGAGCCATTAAAATGAAGGTATTGAAAGGCTGTTAAGAACTCCACCAAGCCGTGAAATCACAACAGGTTCATTTATTGGAGAAAATATCATTAAGATACAAGCCAGCATTACAAATCCAGATCTCTTCTACGCAGTTGTCACATTTAACTTTTTTCCAGCCTCTCTGGGCAAAGGAAGGAGCTGTTATTTGAGTAAGTTGGGGCCCTGAAATCATTTTGCAATGCACCCATCCAGGCAGCCATCCATTCATCCACTCATTCATTTCAATTCCTAGGTGCTGGGGCAGACGCTGAAGAAAATAACATGCTATTCCTACAGAGCTTAATTGTAGAGACAGACACATAAAATATATTTGCAATAAAATGAAAACATGAAATGATAGGCTAAGTGTGGGGTGCTTTGGATGCTGCTGAGAAGACAGGGCGGTAGGAGAAAGAAGCAATTGCTGAAACAAAAAGAAAAAGAAAGGCTGTTCCAGGCAGCCAAATTAATAAATGAGCATTGTGTTGCAAATTTGTGAATTCTGCTCCCTGGGAATCAGTAATTCTATCAGCTAGCCTTTTCACTTCCATTTTCAGAATTTCTGATTTAAAGACAAATTAAGCTAAATGCTTAGTTGCTCCATAAGGAGTCTGATGTGAAAAACCCATCTATGCCATCACTGGGGGTTCTCATTGTTTCTCATCTGTAAAGTCTTTTGGGATTTAGATGGATCAGCTGGCTGACCTTTGCTGCTGTCCTATGAGACATAAAGATAATATTCCTCATATACCTAAATCATCTAGCAGAAAACCTGAGACACAGTAGGCCCACAATAAACAGCAGATATTATCCATTGACAGAATGGTGGCTTGGCAAAGTATTTTAAATTGAAAAGAAGAAATATGAATTGCATTCCCAATTCCTTTAAATAATTGCATTTTCTTCCATCTTGTAATTAAGGTCTCATCTGAATTTTGCCCCATACCTATAAGACATTAACAACATAGATTCATTTAAACAAATTAAAAATAATTTCAAATTTATTTTTAACAAATGGTTAGACTGTCTTTTGCAGGTGCACAGGAAATGAAGTATTATTATTAGTTTAAAGAAAAATCATGACAGTTTCATGACTAAAAAAGGGAAAAAATTGTGGAGGACACAGCTGCACCTGATATATATCAATAATTAGTTCCTAATCTCATGTGTTTGTAACATATAAATCATCTTTGTTTCCAAAAATAAGAGCATAGTAGAATATCTATGAATTAAAAATGACTAGTTTTATTACTACTACTAATAACCAATGCATTGTAATCCAAATAAAGCTATCTTTGGGTTGTAAATAAGCAAACAGAATCACAGGAAGGTACAAAACATCCCTGTGATTGTTGCATTAAGTACCAGGTCTCTTAAGTCTAAATAGATTGTCTCTTGTTTTTTCTTCTCTTTGTTTTGTTGTTGCTTTGTTTTTTGTTTTTAGAGATAGAGGTCTCGCTTTGCTGCCCAGGCTGAACTCGGACTCCTGGGCTCAAGTGATCCTCCCATCTCAGCCTCCTGAATAGCTGGGACTACAGGTGTGAGCCACCATCCCTGGCCTTTTGTCATATTTCAATTGAAATAATCTGGGCTAGTTTTACAATAGAGGTAAAAAATTCCAACTCTGGTGCTTTGGAATTGTATAACTGTAAACAAGCTAATTAACTTATCTAATCTATAAAAAAAAGGGATGATATTAATGGCCACTCATGCAGTTACTGTGAGAATAAATAAAGGTCCAGCATATGACCCAGTCTGGAGGAGGTATTTAGTAAAAAATTGTTGCACCTATCTTTTTCTTAGCTTATCACTCACCCCGTATTAGCTTTTGCAATGCTTTCCAATTTGTAACAACCCATGGGGATTATGGGAGCTACAATTCAAGATGAGATTTTGGTGGGGACACAGCCAAACCCTATAACAAAGTACACTCCTGATTTGGAATATGTAACAATTCAAATGCATAATAAAAGAAACGTGGCTCAGAGTCGAAGTGCTGACTTCTAATTCATGATGAAAATGCTAACTGCCTTATGACCTTAGGCTAGTCACTTAGCCCTGGGGCCTCTAGCTATACAATTAGCTACAGTTAAAAAATGCTACATCATTATTATAAAGTATGGTAAGTAACTGAAATAATGGATGTTACTTAAAACGTTATACTAATTTATATAATGACTGTTTTTTCTTGGTTTAATGCTTCCATTCAACTGTATTTTTTTTCATTTCCTACTTCTTTATTACTGTTAGTGGAAGATTTTCTTTGCCTTGTTTATGAATTTTAATCTCATCAAATTCTTAACATCAGGTTTGGAAGGGAACTTGCATATTATCTGATGGAGTGAGGTCCCTGAGGTGCTATTTCCTGCTTCCATACCATGGTAGATGTCATTTGAATCTCTTTAGTGACAGAGAACTCACTGCTTCTTGAAGCAGTGTGTTCCTGTGTTTGAGAAGTACTGCTATGAGATTCTTTCTAACACCAATCCATTTCTCAGCTACTTCTTGCCAAAATTCTACCTTTAAGGGCTACATAGAATAAGTCGATAATCCCTGCCACATGGCATCTCTTCAGAAATTTGAAAAT
Source organism: Homo sapiens (assembly GCF_000001405.40). Classification (NCBI taxonomy): domain Eukaryota; kingdom Metazoa; phylum Chordata; class Mammalia; order Primates; family Hominidae; genus Homo; species Homo sapiens. Next base: position 15,293,203 of record NC_000020.11, read on the forward strand.
GGGTAACATACGTATTCCTAGACTCTATTTATTCGTCATATGCAATGATTTAGGTATTTCAGAAGTATCCATTTTACCCAAGATTTATAATTAGTATGGTATTATAACACACTGCCATATCTTTGAATGAATTAAGTTTTAGAATATTGCGTTATTCATATATCTATATGCACTGCTTAAATATAGAGTTTTTCTATTTTTTCTAAAGTTACAGGAACCTTATGTTCCAATCCATATATAACATCAGCACTTCGGACACTTCTGCTGAATATAGGAAAAAAATCTTCAATCCAAAACAACTAAACAAAAAAAGAACATGTTGAAGCTTGCTAGGTCAACGTTCAAAGCAGAAAAAGTTTGCATGATTGTGCCTGAGGGCACATGAAATGGAAATAACTATTTCCTAATCAATAAGTGTGATCATACCTGGAGGTGAGGTCAGGGGAATAGGGAGCAGGTATCCAGGGCCCTGTCTAAAGGACACCTTGTAGGCCCCAGGGAAAGAGACCAAACCTCTGATGCAAAGAAAACAACATGGAGGCCAAGAGGGCCAAATCTGTCTATAGATGTACTGTTTGCATGGCACAATGTTACAAAAAATACAGGAGGCTGCTTTTAAAAATCAGGAGATTTGGCCAGGCGCAGTGGCTCATGCCTGTAATCCCAGCACTTTGGGAGGCCGAGGCAGATGGATCACCTGAGGTCAGGAGTTCAAGACCAGCCTGGCCAACATGGTGAAACTCCATCTCAAATAAAAATACAAAAAAATTAGCTGGGCGTGGTGATGGGCACCTGTAACCCCAGCTACTTCGGGAGGCTGAGGCAGGAGAATTGCTTGAACACAGGAGGTGGAGGTTGCAGTGAGCCGAGATCAGGCCATTGCACTCCAGCCTGGGTGACAAGAGCAAAACTCTGTCTAAAAAAAAAAAAAAAAAAAAATTCAGGAGTTTTTATATAAACTCTAGATTGCAACTTCTCTTGAAGACTTGGAAGTCCTGGCAATATTGGGCCTGCATTTCCACTAATCAAGCATCGGATGATAAAGCTGATGGGATGGGACATCTCCAGGTGACCTCTTTCCCACCTTTTCCTATGTGTAATGTACTGAACCCACTGCCACCATCTTTATTGTTTGCCTGATTCCTGTGGGCATTCAAACCCCCAGTTATTAGGTACCTGGGGCTATGCCTGCCTTTATTATTTCAGCCACATCCTTCTTTCTTCTAAACCTCCCGTTTTCTTTAATTATTTACTCAACCCAAGATAGCACATGTATGTGCAAGCTTTCTCAAGTGTAATTCTTCAGACAACACAGGGTGGCTTGGTGCTCAGATCTCCTCCTCTGACAAATGTTGAGACTTCTCCCCTTCACCTTTTCACCTGTAATCCAGTGGGTCTCCAGTATTTTTTCCTGCCATGCTGCCTGATAAATGGTATTCTCCTGTGGGCTACATTCTCACTTTTAACAATGCTCACTTGGGCTGCCACAAGGCCAAAAGGAGCTGCAGCTATGTGCCCAGATGTAACCTTTGTCTCTTCCTTCCCCCAACTGTGTGGAATTGACGTTCTTGGTTTTTAGTGACAGAAAACCAGAAGCCAGTTAAAATATCTTTACCTGGCCTATAAACCCATTAAAAAACAAACAAAGAAACAAAACAAAACAAAAACACTCTCTTTAGGCATCAGGGAGAGGCAAATTAAAACCATGGTGAGAAGTTTCTAGACATCGGATTGCTTATTGTATTACTCTTTGTAACTTTGTGATATGGTTTGGCTGTGTCCCCACTGAAATCTCATCTTGAATTATAGCTCCCATAATCCCCACATGTTGTGGGAGGGACCCAGTGGGAGGTAATTGAATCATGGGGGCAAATTTTCCCATGCTGTTTCATGGTAGTGAATAAGTCTTATGAGATCTGATGGTTTCAGAAAGGGCAGTTCCCCTGCACATTCTCTCTTGCCTGCTGCCATGTGAGACATGCCTTTGCTCTTCCTTCACCTTCTGCTATAATTGTGAGTCCTCCCCAGTCATGTGGAACTGTGAGACCATTAAACCTCTTTTTCTTTAGAAATCTCCCAGTCTCGGGTATTTCTTCATATCAATATGAAAATAGACTAATACACTTTGACTATCTAATATAGTTCCTAATAACAAAAATTGGAAAAAGGAAAAACACAATTCTTCCTGCCTTTCCTTTCTTGCTAAGTGCACAGTCTGTTGAGATGAGAAAGAGAATGTGTTGATGTGGCTTTGAAAAAGAGGTGCTGGGTCTGGTAACCAAAGACTAGATGGAGGGAAGTTTCTGTGTATAAGTGAAATAGCGATGATAGAATGCCATTTTGCAAACCTAATTAATTCAAGGATCTATGCAATACTTATCAATGTCTGTCATCACACACACACACACACACACACACACACACACATGCACACACCCCAGACCTTAAGTGTGTCTTATACATCATCACTTATAAAGTACTTTAGCCACCACTCACACCCCCCAACTCACCAATCCTCCAGACATAATTGTGGAGTCCTAATAAGGAAAAAGAAGTCAGGCTGGTGGGACCAGGGGAAAGTATAAAGAAAGAGCAGATAAGCTACAAGCCTGCCTTTCTTCATGGTCCAGGACATGCAGCCCTCCTGTACAGATAGCTCATAATCTTCCTGCACCTGACTTATCACGAGACCCTCGGCTAATAGAAAAATGCAAGTTAGCTCACTGCCACATTGGCATTATCAATACTGCATGTAGCCCTCTCCAGCATGAGCACAATCCTATAAAATCCCCAGCAAGCTTTTGTCTCCTGGCAGTCAGCTCCTCTCTTGATGATCTGCCTGTTGCACCCTTGCAACATATTTTCATACTTTCTCTAATAAATGTGCCTTTTGTTACCTACAACTGTCTTGGTAAATTTCTTTACCACCTACACCACCAGCCCCAGTTAGCCGCTACCCACAACAATAACTATTGATTAGGAAGTGCAGAGAAGAGAGGAACATGTTAAATTATACCATAGAGCCAGCAAAATTCCTACTGGAAAATTCTACAGATCAAATGACCCAGCTTTTTCAACATAAAAATTAGAAGAGAGGGGGATAGAAAGAGAGAGACAGAAAAAGAATCTATTTAAAATATGACTTAAAAGACATCCACCTGAAGCAAATGTAACAAAATGATCACTTATTAATTCTGTTTGATGACTACAAGGGTATTACACAGAATTGTTCTCCATACTTCTGTAGCTTAGTTTTCATAATTATATGATGTTTCTGTGGTCAAAAACAAACATAAAGACCAAATTTGGTTCAAAAAATAACAGAGAGAGGGAAGTGAGTAGAGGCATACATGGCATTTTAATTTTGTGTATATTGGAAATACTCCATATTAAAATTTGAAAAACAAACAGAAGCAGAGATGCCAATCTCCCCCACTGCACTCTCACATACCTGACTGCTAGAGGGTAATGTTCTGTCCTAATAAGACTGTATCTACCCAGTCTGGAAAGGAATTTGGTTGTTTCTGATCCCTAAGAAGAATATCTCATTTGCCTTTTTCTATGGTGTTATCAGAAAATGCTTTGCAGCAAATAAATGGCAACTCCATAAGTGGATGTTAATGAAATTTTAATGAATCTGAGGTGCTGGCACCATATATTCCTGCAGAGCTCAGTTTTTTAAAAATGCTGCTTTAATGCTGAAAGTTTACAGAAGAAAACAGCAACATTAAGGCCAAAATGAAGGTAGCCTCGGTTGGGGAGATTTTTCCCAGCGTAGTAAATTGTTTGGCCTTCATTTCCCTGGTCCCCTGGAGGTCTGCAAGCCCCATGGTCAGATACCCTGTGGTTTCCAGTGCTGGGCGGCTTACACAGGAGAAAGGATCCATGATTTCTGCTTTCGTCCTCTGCTGCCTCTTGATATTGAGGGCCCCTGCATCACTTAAAATGTTTATTGCAGATTGTTCCTTTTTGCCCTTCTAAGTAGTCTGTAAACTCTATTCCAGGCAGGGGCTGGGAGAGTTATTGCCTGTTGATACACTCACCCAAATAAGTGCTGAGTGTTCTTTGCTACACACATATGGACTTTGGCTCAGGGCCCAGAATACCTGAGTCAATTTCAGAATCCAATTGTTACAGCGGGCTTGTATTTTTAGAGAAGAAAAAGGTGTGCATCCTAAGATCCAAAAGCTGTCTACATTTACATTCCAACTTTCTTTTTAATTAAGAAGATCACAAAAATCAATAGAGAATTTACTAGCAAAGAGGGCCATACTGGAATGATTTGGGGAAAGAATTTTGCTGCATTGACAGAAAGAGGGCAGGGGAGGTGTTTACCAAACCATCTGTAACTGGCTGGGTTTTTCTCATTTATTTCAGATTCCATTCTCTCTATTCATTCTCCATCCCATCCCATCCTTGGACCCCATCTCTTCCAGAATGTTAACTATGCCCCATAGCTATGAAATGAATTTTCCATAAGAGAACAATTTCCTACTTTTATGGTGCTAGAACAATTGTGTGCATTGTTAGAGACCCCTATATGACTTTGACTTCGTCAGAAGAGAATAGTAACTCTCCATTGACAGGTCCTGGTGACCGAAAGTATAATCAAAGTCAGTGCATTATTAATGACTCTTCTTTTTAATGACTCAATCACAGTGTGAAATGTTTTTCAAACATTTTATTTTATATAATTTTTCCACTTGGGAAAGTCTGCCCACAAATTAAGGGAACACAATAGCTGAATAAAACCAGAAATATTGTGCTGGATGTTCTCCAAACAAATTGTCCTTCAAAGAGATGGCCAGAAGTTCTGATCAATTTTTTCATGACAAGTGGGGGCCAGATAAAGGATATACCTGGATCAGGTTACCTGAGAACACAGATTGAGAACTGGGCTTTGGAATCTGACAGCCCTGATACACCTGGCTTTATTATATACTAATGATATGATCTTTGGCTCCTTTTGAAAAAGCTCTCAGGGTTGGTTTCTTCCTCTGTAAAATGAGCCTACTGAAGCCTCTGGAACAGGGGTTGTGTGAAGATCCTATGAGATAATGCATGTAAAGTGTATCTCCCTGGGCCTTGGGTTGTTGACTCCTTATTCTGTTCCAAGCACCCAGAGTGGAGAAAAAGGCAGGGAGAGCAATTCCAGCCGCTGGCTGTCCATACTGCTCTGAGCTCTGTGACAGGTACCAGGAGAAGAAACAGTGGCATGGGGATGGGCAGGGAAGAGAAATGGAAGCAAGAGAGAGAGAGACTGGCTGGCATAAGAAGAGTAAGGGTTACATTCAGCACAATTACCTTTGAGATGTAAACACCAAACAACCTCCAAGGGTAAAAGAAGTTCAAGAATTCCAGACATTGGTCAAGTTTATGTAGTTATGTATGAATGACTTTAAAAGACTTTGAAACTAGTGTGTGTTTGTATTTTTAGTAACTTACTTTTTAAAAATTTGCATTTTAGGTGGGGGTCACACCAATGGTTGTTGGTTACATTCTGCATTCCCTTTAACACTTTATTTTATATATTAAAAGAGTATTTATGGGGTGCAGTCATGAAAATGGCTACCAGTTACCAGGTGCCTCCTATATGCCAGGCCTTATGTTTTGCACTCTTCACATATGAGCTCATTTAATCTTTCTGCAATCTCTCAATGTATTATTATCCTCATTTTACTGACAAAGAAGCAGAGGCCCAGAAGACTAGGCAATTTCCCCCAGGTCACAAAGCTATTAAATGGCAAAGGTGAGAATTTGAATTTAAGTTTTTGATCCATAATCTCTGTTTTGACTCCAAAACCCATTATACACCACCACCAAAATAATGGATGAGGCTACTATTTTGATATTGCTAATAACTGGAAGTGATAAACTAAGACACAGAACCATATTTTAACCAGGGTTTGCTGTCTGGTTATTTTTCTAACACTGTTGCCTCTGAAGAAAAGGCAGGTAAATAATGTGTGGGTGTGTGTGTGTAAACTAGTAAATTTCACCTAATTTATTTGCATCCTTTCTACTGCTATTTCTAACCCCCATTTTTGAGACTATCTTAAGAGTCATTGTCTAGGGATGCAGCTACTTAAGGAGCAAAACGGTCAGGGTCATTTAAAATCTCTTAAGCAGAGAACATTTAAATTTTCTTGTTTCTGGCTACTGGTAACAAATCTTCATTAAATCTTAAACACAGAATAAACAAAGCATGAACAGATTGTGACTGCTTCCTAATTCAACAAAGAGAGATTACGGTTTTGCAGATACTGTTAAATGTTGGAACAGACCCTGTGGAAGTCATTTTAAGGCCCAGAGTATTTTCATGTATTTTGGCCTCTCTAAATCAGTTTTTCCCAGAGGAACTGACATTGCCAAAAAATATGCATTTTGTTTAAAGTTGTCTGGACAAAGATTTATGCTTCTGTGACCATCTGCATTATCACCCATGCAAGGCAATCAATACTGTCCTAATCCAGTCATATGCCTACTGATGCTTTATGTATATTTCACATACCTATCTGCACAAGAGAAGGAAGTAATTGCACAGATAAGGAAAAGCAAAAGTAGCAGGACCCAGTTTGAGATTAGATCCTTTGACTGCTGGGTCCAGACATGGATGGGTATGGGAACCCACCTGGGGTCTACTTGAATGAGGGAGAAAACTTACCCAGAGAGAATCCAAATTAGAATGTGCAAGTGTCAAAGCCTCATTCTACTGAGAAGAGAGGAAGCTTTGAGTAGAAACATCTAGCTTTTCTTTGGACAGGTCTTAGATTTATTTGGAGACATCTGTTATGGCCCCTTCTTGCTTTATTTTATGGTTCCCTATTCACTTGACGTAGTCCATGATACCAATATCCCTCTTAAAATATAGCCATCCTCCAAACTGAACTTGATACGTAGGTACAGCCAGAGTATGATGGCAATTACTGACTTTTTTTTTTAACTTACAAAATTTACTGTTATTAATGTAGCTTAAGACCTTGGCTTTGCTTTTGTCTCCATAGAGAGTTTTAGTTACCTAAAGCCTCCACGTATTTGTAATTCATATTTAGGCCTTGCAAAGATGCTCATTGTTCTCAAACCATGATTCCAAACTTAGCTGCATATTGGAATCACCTGGGAAGTTTCAAAATAGTTTCCTGTATCTCACTGCCAGAGAGGGATTTTGTAGGTTCAGAGTGTGGCCTGGGTTTGGGGATTTTTAAAAGACTCCAGATGATTCCAAAGTGCAGGGAAATTTGGGAACCACTGTTCTAACCTTCCAATTCAAAGTGTGGTCCATGGCACTGGCATCACTTGGGAGCTTGCTAGAAATGCAGATGCTTGGGCTCTACTCAGACCTACTGAACTAGACTCTGAATTTTAACAGGCTAGCTAGGTGATTCATGTGCATATTCAAAAACTATTAATATAATCCTGATTACAAGACTTACTTTGAAATTTTATTAAATTCCACTTTTTTTCTTGAGCTTCAAGAAGAAGCTACAGTTTCATCACTGGGGCTCAGACCACATGTGAAGCAACTGGGTTGGGTGTCCTCAAGTGGGTAGGGTTAAGGCTGGTCAATGATAAACCTGGCATCAGTATTAGACATTCAGGCTAATTCTGGATCAAAGTGAACACAGGAATCAGAAGAAGATTAAAATATAGTTTTAGCTCTTTGCTTGCAAAGCTGGGCTGAAGACCCGGATGGAATGGGCTGTTCCTTGTCCTTTGATTTCCCCCGTCTCAGCTAGTTAGTTTCTTGAGAGGGGAGAGAACAGAGGCCTCTGCTATGAAGTGGGGAGGTCCTGCCTGCACCTTGGTGAGCTTGCCCCCACATGGCACCACTGGCAGAGAGGAGAACGTGTTCTGCTTAAGAACAACTTCAGAGGAAGGACAGCGAGCAAGGTGACAGCTAGCTGTAGAAGTCAGTGACCATTCGCCTGCCTTACTGGCCCACTGAGTCACTCCTTCCACTGGGAGGGTGGGCATGTAGTTTCCTGGCAGCTGTTGCTATTCTAGGGGGCACAGTGGAAATGTAGGAAGAGGATATAAGTCTTTTACCTCATCCCTTTTTGTTGATTGGGACCAGAGAGCAGTTACCTGGCAGGCCTGCCCAGGAGGACTGGTCAGAAGGCCTCAGAGGAGGAATGAGACAGAAGAGTGAGCCAGCACGGGGCCTGGTTGATGGGTTCAGAGAATCAGAGAAAGCAGCTCAAAGAGCAGCTGGGCTCATGGTCACCAACTTGCCTTGTTCCCAAATGATGTTAGCTTCCTAGTGTCTTCTTTTACTCAGAGAGTTGAGAGTTGAGATTTCCTTTGGTTTCTTGAATTTCAGACAGGTCACTGAAGGTATTTAAGAATCTTACTTATCAATGGGTGGAAGTTAGTAAGATGGTAGGTGGCCTTTTTTTTTTTTTTTTTTTTTTTGTAGAGACAAGAGTATTGAAGTGCCCAGGCTGTTCTTGAACATCTGGCCTCAAGCAATCCTCCTGCCTCAGCCTCTGAAAGTGTTGGGATCACAGGCATGAGCCAATGCACCTGCCTAAAATTATATCTCTTAAAGAAGTGATTTGTCTTTCAGAGATACTACCTAGAGAGGCGCCAGGAGAGAAAGGGCAATAGGCAGTTATTTAGCTTTCCCCTTCCATCAGTTCTGGAACTTAGTCATTCTCTCGCGTCTCATTTTTCCTCTAACTTTCAGATGTGCAAAGGATGTCTTAAACTCAACAAGACAGGAGAACAGAAAATCCCAAACAACCCACCAGTATAAAACACACAAATGTAACAAACACAAGAAAACTCAATACTAGCTCCTCTTTCTCCAGCCAAACTGACAATCTGCTTGTTGGCAGATCTCTGAAACGTGGTCGGTGCTCACTGGCACTACTTCCTCACCACAGCCTTGCTCTTTGGCTCCCAGCATCTGGCCCCTCCCAAAGGGCTCAATTGAAACCTGTCTCCCAAAGGGAACATGTGGCGTCCTCATTGCCAAATCCAAAGCCGTTTCTTAGCTCCCGCTCCATTTAATGTCTTTCTGAAGGTCATTCCTTTGACATCGTTGACTATATTTCATTTCTTTCTCTTCTGGTGATCAAATGCATGAGCTTAGGAATCAGACAGATCTGAACATAAATCCTAACTACTGCTAGTAATGTGACCCTGGGCAGATAAAATACACACACACACACACACACATACACACATACAGATGTGTATCTTTTATTTTGCTCTATAGAAACGGGATCATATTTTATACTCTTGTCTGCTGTTTGCCTTACTCACTTAACAGTTCATTGTGGAACTCCTTCCAAAAGAGTTGGTGTAGAACTCACTCATTCTTAAATATTATGGATGTATCACAAATTATTCAACCATTCCTCTGTTGATGGATATTCCATTTGCTTCAGACATTTTCTACTCTGGGTTGGTGATTTCATCTTATGGGATAAATCCCCAGTTGGGGGATGGCTGGATCAAAGGACACATGTATATTTAATTTACATTTAGTGGGTATATTTAATTTTAATAGATGTTGCCAGATGGCCTTCTAAAAAAACTGTACCATTTCACATTCCACCGGCAGTGTATGAGTAGCTCTTCCTCAAAGCATTATAGTCCTGTTTAATTTTTTACAAACCTGGTGCATTTCCTCAACTACTATAGAAATTGAGCATCTTTACAAACGTTTATTAGCCATATTTGGATGTTGTGTTCTGTGAACCTGCTACTTATATCCTTATTCAAGTTACTTAACCTCCCTAAGCTTCAGTCCCTTTACAAAGTTATTATGAAGATTAAATAAAATATTTATGTGAAGGCTTTGCCCAAAGCCTGGCACAAGTGACATGCTTGGTAAATAGTAGCTGCTGTTAATTCTTTTAAATTCCTTTTTCCTTATTTAGTTAATCTTCATCTTCATACCTTTAAACATGTATCTATAAGCATTTTCCAAAATTCTGCAAACTAATTTTTCTCTTTGACATCTTGCATTCTTTCTTTCTGAACATTTCAATTTTACAGTCTCTATTCTGTTAAAAGACCAATTTGAACCTCTAATCTTGACTTGTCTTTTAACAGCAGAATTGACGGTTTCAATACCTTGCTGGACCCCACAGATTTATCTTACCATCTACTCCCTGCCCCAGCAGCAAACTCTGCCTCACAGGAACACAACATTCCCATCTGTGCTCCTGTATTCCTAAAGGCACCCTTTTCTCCAAGACCTATGGGCTTGAGATCATAAAGTCATCATGCCGCCTTGCCCTAGACGTTCATGTCAGTAGAAAAGCTCCATAAATCCCCTTTACAATGGCTCTTATAGCCATCCTCTCTTTCATTGTTTTTACTCTAGTTCACTCCATCAACAACAATCAAAATAGCTAACTAACCAGTTTTTCCTCTGCCAGCGTCTCACTTTTTCAATCTATTTGTTACATTCCAGGGAAAATCTTCTAAAACAATAACAGAATCATGTCACTCACTCAGAACCATTTATCAGTTTCTTCTATTACAGAGTAACATTCTCACTGGCCTTGGAGAACACTGCCCCAATTCCTTTATGCACCGTATTTTTTTCATGCCCCCAGTCTCTTTAGTTTCTACCAACACGCCAGTTCTGATCACTCACAAGTGTTTTTTGCTCTTCTGGCCTAACAGCCTACAATTCCTCTTCCTTCTCCATCTGTTGGAATTTTATTTATTTTCAGAGCCTCTCACTCTGTTAAGATCTTCCACGTTTACTCACCTAGAATGAATCAAGTATTCTAGCAGTTTCCTATAGTATCCCCCAATTTAATTATTCTGTAATATTTATTATTATAGTAGGTCATTTTCACAATTCTTCTTGGCCTTTCCTCACCACAAGCTTCTTGAAGGCCAGAATTTACTTTTTGTTCCTTATAATATTTTCTTTCTTTTCTGTGTTTCCCAATCTATTTCTTATCTAGTAACTTTTAAGTGCTCCTTTATTTATTTATTTTAATTTTGGAATAAATGCATGACTGGGGTTGGAGATTAGGGAAAATTGAATCTGGTGAAAGAAAGGAGCGAGTTGTCTTAGATTCTCAGAGGTAGCAATGGGACCATGGGACTGGTAGCAATGGTGGCCATGGGACTGGTCCATCCCATAGTTGTCTTTTATTTGCTTCCCATACAGTAGTAAGTGAACACATGTTTTATAAGTTGGTCAACATTTACCAATCAGGATGTTTTATATAAGCATCTGGCTTCTCTTGAAATAAGGAACATCAGCAAGACTGGATTGGCATTCCTGGACGGTATATGGATGGATGTGAGGTATGACAAGGTTTCTCTTCAAACAGCCTGATCAACCTTTTGTTCTTTAATTCCCAGTACCCCTCCCCATCTCTTTCTTCTTCTTTCCTTCTTTCTGCCTTTACTACATGCCCAGGCATGCCACAGCACCAGTGGCGTTATCAGCACCAGCTCATATTCCTTTCCTTATTTGGAAAAGGACTGGCTCTCTAGCTCACTGCAGACGACCCCTTCCCGCTCTCCCCTCTCTCCCTTACGTGCCTGCCTTATCTAAAAAAAAAAGTTTAAATATTTAGCCAATCGGGTCTAGCTTAGATTGTGAGGTCTGATCCCAGCCAATGGGGAAAGGACACAGGGGCAGGATTTGCATCAGGAATAAAAACTTCCACTCTCCTTTGGTCTGTGTGCCCTCATGGCAACTGGCCATACGGGAGGCACCCCTCTCCACAGAAGTAAATTTGCTTTGCTGAAAAATCCTTTGTCTGAGTGCTCGTTTGCTTACAACTCTGAGCTTTATTTCTAACAATGGAGATGAGCAACTGTAGCCTTCCTTGGGTTGGCACAGTCTCTCATCCTTGCTATAGCCCCCACCTACATCTCATACCCATGAATATTACCTACGTGACACCTATGGGCATCTGAGTCTGTAATCACAGCACTAACTCCATGTGTGACCCTGGGCTGGCCAATGGATCCTTGGGCCTCGTGTTCTCATCTGTTCATACTTTATAATTACACAACTTTAGTTTATCAAGAGTTCCTTTTATTTGTTTTTTTTTTCCCATGGATCTCATGTTTAAGATATTTTCTCCATGAAACAGCGCACCTATTGAACATATTTACATTGTTTCACTTACACTGTCCTCTTTTTCCAAAATGATTCAGATTTTAAACAATAGTCCAGAATTATCTGGTTATAATTATATTATGAAATCTCATAATTTTTATCATGTTTATTTTGCTAACTAAGCAACAGTTAAGGCACACAAATAAATGCTTATGCACTGTTTGTTGCTATTGTTTGCTGGGGTTTTTTTAGTTCACTGCCTTCTATCCCAATCACAAGTCCAGTCGAGTTACTGTGACAGCCTGACATGGGCCTCTGGTATCAATGGCTGGGTCCACCAGGTCTGACAATTCCTGTGATACCATTAGGAGCCAGTCAGAGCTATTACAATGCTGAGTTGATAAAATTGTGTGTGTGTGTGTGTGCGCGCACACATGTGTGTATAGAGACTTGAGTAGCATGTGTGGTAGCCTTGTCGTGAATGTATGGATAATGCTTATTATTGAAATAACCAAATAAACAACTATAGACCGTAACATATAAGGTAAAATTTGAACCCTTTCCACTCTCAATCTCATTCCCAGTTATTTCTTTATTGTTTTGAATGTAATGGTCTAACCTTTTTCTTTCCCTTGTGTGCATTTAAAGAAACTGTGAACATACTATAAATTCTATCTTTTGATTTGCTCTTTTCTCATTACTTCACAATGTGAATTGGATATCCTTTCATTCCAGGACATTTTCATCTGCCTCATTCTTCTTAATTGCTTCCTATCATTCCAGTGAAGGCGAGTATCAAAAAGTATTTAGCTAGTTTCCTGCTGATAGACATTTAGTTTGTTTCCAATCCTCTTTCCAATTTAATGATCAGTTTTCTTGATGAAGAAGGTGGAGGTAAAATAGTTATTACCTGACAGTGTTTCTGGCCAAAATGCTAACTACTGATAGGTATTTGAAAGTTGACTCCCTGTATTCTTGCAATATCCTCTGAATTATTCTGTATTCTGAATTATTTGTAACTGAATTATTCTGTAGTTTACTTTTTCCTAAATGAGAATCTGGACTTAATATTGGCTACCCTTTTTATTCATAAAGCTAATAACTCAGGTTCTGAGCACTTATTATGTGCCATGCGCATGCTAAATACTTTACATACATTATCCCATTTAATCCTTCCAGTAGTCCTAAAGGCAAATACTATACTATTATGTCAATTTTACAGAAATGTAGACAACTAATTTGCCCAAAGTATCATAGGTGTTTAAGGGGGGAGAGTTTGAATACACACAAACCCAAGCTAGAAGCTATGCTCTTAACTTTGATTGATGAGAGCACAGGGTCTGTTTTCTCAGGGTCTATTTTCTTCCCTGAATCCTCGTGTATGTGAAACTCTAACAGCAGAGTGAGGAAGAGAAGAAAGGACTTCCCTGTGTGCTGGGCTAAGAGTGTAATCAGGAGCAGACTGTTCCTAAAAACAGGGTTGTAGGAGCAGCAGTAAAAGCTCATTTCTGTTACAACTTTGGAGACCCCTGTAATGCTTTCAAATTAGAAACTTTTATTAGTCCATGTTGTGTTGCTATAAAGGAGTAACCGAGACTGGATAATTTATTAAAAAAAGAGGTTTACTTGACTCATGGCTCTGCAGAATGTCCAAGCATGGCAACAGCATCTGCTCAGCTTCTGGAGAGGCCACAGGAAGATTTAACTTATGGCAGAAGGCAGAGGGGAGCAGGCATGTCACATCGTGAGAGAGGGAGGAATGAGAAACAGGGGTCTCTTTTAAACAACCAGGAAAGGGCACAAACTCATCCATAAGGCACCCCACCCCATGACCCAAACACCTCCCACTAGGCCCCCACTCCAACACTGGGGATCACATTTCAACATGAGATTTGGAGAGCAAATATTCAAGCTATATCAAAGCTCTGCACCAAAGCTCTATGCTGATCTCTTGAGAACAAATTTATGCTTGTTGCAGAAACACAGGCTATAGTAGGGAAAGCTTTGGACTCTGAAGCTATAGATTTGCTGTGGACCAGCTATGACCACGGTTTCCTCCACCAGAGGATAAGGCTTGGATCTTTTGGTCTCTGACGAAGGTTTTTATTTTGAAATAATTTCAGAATTACAGAAAATGTTCAAAAATAGTGCAAATAATTCCCATTTCCATTTACCTTCCACACAGAATCCTCAAGTGTTTACATTGTTCCATGTTTGTTATGTTGTTCTGTCTCCTCTCTCCTTACACACACACGTATGTGTTTGAGTTTAGTAAATGTCATTATCATGTTATTTCTATTTCCCAACTTTTGGGGAATAAGATATGAACATAATGCCCTTTACCCCTAAATATTTCACTGTATATTAAGAAACAGAGACACTCTCATATATAACTGTAGTTTAATTATTAACATTAATAATAGTAATCTTATCTAATTTATGCACCTTGTTCAAATTTTGCCAGTTGTCCTACTAATGTCCTTTAAAATAAAATAATTTTCTTTTTTTTCTGGTCTAGGATCCAATACAAGATAACATATTACATTTTTTGTCATTTCTTTATAGTCTTCTAAAATATGGAAAAGTTCCTCACAAAACGTATGTTTGTCTTTTGTGACTTTGACATTTTTGAAGTGTATAAGCCAGTTATTTTCTGGAATATCCCTAATTTTGATCTTAGGATATCCCTAATTTTGATCTGTTCAGTTTTTCTCATGGTTAGACTCAGGTTATGCATTTTTTCAGGGAATATCACAGAGCAATGTTGTGTCCATCTTGGTATATGACATCAGGAGGCAGGCAATGGATGTTTATTTATCTCATTACAGGTAATGGTAAGTTTCAAGACATGATATGGATGGTATCTGCTCAATTTCTTTCTTATAAAGCTATTATTATCTTTTTGTAATTAATTTATATCTTTGCAGACATACTGTGGAGACATAATGTAAATATCCTGTTTGTCATCAAACTTTTTACCCAATAGTTTTAGCAACAATTGATGATTCTTATGTGAAACATTATTTCTGTGTTGCTTATCAAATGAGTGCTGAGACTCTTGCTTTACAACTTTTACTTACAAAGCGCTTACTGAACAATAATAAAAAAATTTTAGTCACTTCAGTGCCATGTAGATAAGTTCATCATTCAACTTGGATTAGCCATATTTAACTTTGCAAGGTCTAATTATGGATACCATTTATTACCGAGATTAAGAGTAAATATATAAGAAAGATATAGTTCTTAACATACTGTTACTTTAAATAGATTTGATTAGAAATTTTGCTTTGTGAAAAACTACTCAAACTTCCAGTGTTAAAGATGAAGGTCATTCACATTGGAATTTACACTCTTTTAATGGCTTATGTATAGTTGAGGTCCACTTACTTGCCAAATTCAAACATTTAGATTCAAGGAAGAAGTCCAACTGAATTTCATGATTGTTCTCAAGGGGACAAATAAAAGAAATATAGACATTCAGCACTTCTTGGCTACAAAGTTAACCCTAGGGATTAACTTTCCACAGCACACGTAGCCTGTGCTCTCTCCAGCCCGGCTTTCATGGTCCCTACTCAGAGCTCAGCAACTCCACTGAAGTCTTCAGGAAACCACTGAATCATTTGGGTCAGACTGGCTTGACTGGGCCTCCTTGTGCTTTGCTGTTCTCCCAAAGCATGGAAAGTTTTAATCTAAACAATCATTCTTTAACTCATGAGCAGCTTTTCACCTCCCCCTTTGGATTTTGGGTCTGTCGCTTCTCTGTCCTATACAAAGCAATGTGGTAACAGGCGTACCCATTAAAACTCGTCCATATCTCTACACATTTAGCTGTTATCATTCCTACCTTACAAACAGATGGAAAACTGCAGGAGATAACTTGTGTGCATTGGAAGCCTTTTCTATAACTTCTACAAAGTTATTTTTCATACAAACTCATGTGTTCAACAACCAGTTGAGAAAAATCTTATAGATTAAATGTGAAATCAAAAGCAATGCAGAATTTCTAGAATTTGCTTCATTGATTTTGTCAAGTTATACATCTCCAAGGAAAAGGGGGTGGCCATTATCTTTTCCTCCAGGTCCTCTCTTCATTCTCTCTTCCCTCTAGCAGGGGGAAAGGCAGGACTTAATTAGGGAGGGCACTGATAGCTGATGATTACCAAACTAATGCTGGCATCACCCTAATTGGCACCTAGCACCTTGTGTTGCTGAGTAGGAGAAATTTCTTCCTCTAATTTGTGCTTCTGAAGCATCTACAGATCTGGCAATTTGCCTTGTCTTCTTTTAGTGCCAGCAAGCACTAATTACTTTATTATTTGATTTACTTCTTAATGAATTGGTGACTTGATTTAAAAAATACTTATTATATATTTGCTTGGTATCAAGAACTAAGCTATAGAGTGGAATACAATAACAAGACAGAATATCTCTGCCTTAGGAGGAAACAGACATGAGACAAATAAAATATTATAATATTCTATATAGAGTATTACGGGACCATGGAGAAAAGAACGATTTATTCTGTCTGCAAAAATAAGAGAAGGCTTCAAAGAGAAAGTGATATTTTTGCTAGGTATTGAAGAACAAGAGGAGTTCCTCAGAATAAGAAGCGAATAAAGATTTTAAGTATGTACTTAGAGGTATATAAAAGTATAGTGTATTCAGACAAAGGTTTAGAGTCCAATGTGGCTTAAGCTAATGCCATTTGGAGACTACTCAAAGCAGTAAGGATAGTTAGGTAGAGTGTAGAATCAGAATCAAGACTAATGCAGGTTTCCATTTAATGTCTGTGTTTTACTAGCATAGTATGGCCAGATTAATTTATTTAGTCTTTCTAACCCTGTATTATCTCATCTGTAAAATGAAGATAATACTCATTTCTCAGGGTTGTTGTACAGATTCAATGGGAATATTTATAAGGTGCCTGGCAGAAAGCCTGGGAAAGAGTAACTTTTTAAATTATTTTATTTTATTTTTCTTTTACTATGCTTTGGTCTACTTCCCCTACCAGGTAGAAAGGTAAGAATGGCAACTGACGAGCCTGGAAGTAGAATTGGGGCCCAATGTTGAAAGCCTAAAATGCCTTGCTCTGGGGTGTAGATTTCATGCGTCTGGTCAGCTTTCTTTCAACAAATTAGATTTGCTTGAAGCTCCAAAAGTCTACTCATTTGGTTTCACTCCAACCCAAACAAATTCCATTTCCCTGAGAGCTGCCAATCATGGCTAAGTGTATATCTGATATCTAAATAAAATGGTTCACTGGAAGGCATGACTATAGTAAAAAAGAGAATGATGCAACTCAGAAAAGAAAAAAGAATCTTCAACAACAATTTAAGGAAGTGTTAATCAGCATTCAGGAAGTGAGGATTGAGAAAATACATATTGCCACACACATGCATGAACTTGAAGGACAAAATTGTGTTAGACAAATTGAGTTAGATCCTCAGTGATTCCAAGATCTTGCAGAAACAGAGAAGTCCTCAGATAAGGGAAAGGTGAAATCCAGTCAAGCAGAGAAGGGGCTTGGTGAGTGACTTTCCTTTTACATCGCACTCAGATAACAGAAAGGAAATTTCATCCAAACAGGAAGATCAACTATGGCTAGCCCGTTTGCACTATATCCCAAAGGAACCCATATGTAGTTTATGTGATCAAAGACATTCAGGGGAAATATTAGAATCTTTTAATAAAGAATGACCAATAAATAGTGGTCGGCATTGTTTCACTTTCCATATGTTTTACTGCCCAATAAACCAAAGAGAAAAATATATTTTCAGAGCAGAAAGGGGATAATAGAATAGGTAAAGACTTAGTAAAGTAGGTAAAGTAGGTAAAGACTTAGAAGAAAATTGTAAGAAATCCAGGTGGTAAATAAAATCTATATTTTAAATTGTTTTCTTATGCATATTTTAGGATCCATGATAAAAACTATGCAGTAATGGTTAACCTGTAGTATTAATGATGAAAAAAAAGGCATAATTTTTAAGAACGTGCAGAGAATAGTAATGTTTGATAGCAAAAACATAAGCAAAAACAAAACAAAACAACAATAACAAAAACCCCTTTGCAGATAATAACAGGAAAATAGTTAAGTAAATTACTATCTCTCATTTGGTAGAATTGCATGCTGGTATTCAAATATGTTTTGCAGAGCTACCATTTGACCCAGCAATTCCATTACTGGATATATATCCGAAAGAAAACAACTAGTTCTGCCAAAATGACACATGCACTCGCATGTTCATAACAGCACTATTCACAAAAGTAAAGACATAAAATCAACCTAGGTGCCCATCAGTGGTGGATTGGATAAAGAAAACGTGGTACGTATATACCATAGAATACTATGGAGCCACAAAGGAGAACAAAATCATGTCTCTTGCAGCAACATGGATGGAGCTGGAGGTGATTATCCTAAGCGTATTAACTCAGTTACAGAAAACCAAATACTGCATGTTCTCACATATAAGTGGGAGCTAAATATCGAGTACTCACAAACATAAAGATGACACAATCGACACTGGGGACTACTAGAGTGGGGAGGGAAAGGGGGACAGGAGTTGAAAAACTAACTGTTGGGTACTGTGCTCAGTACCTGGTGATTGGATCATTTGTTTCTCAAACCTCAGCGTCATGCAATATACTCAGGCAGCAAACCTGTACATGTATCCCCTGAATCTAAAATAAAAGTTGAAAACAAAACCAAAGTGAAATTTTAAAAAAAAATTGTTTTGGAAAGTAATATTTTAGTAGCCAAAGAGAATATCATCAAATAATCTAAATAAACAAAAAAAATTAAAGAGAGATAAAGTGACTACATATAAATGAAAAACATGCATCATAGAAAATGTAACAACGTTAAAGGAAAAGTGTCAGACTAGAGAGACTATCTTTGAACTATTCTTTGAACTATTTATTAAAACTACTTGTAGGAATTTATCCTATATACATACTTTCATATGGTCTTAAAAACACATATGCACACTCACACTTTTGAGAAGATTGAACACTGGATATTTGACATGTAGAAATTGGTGTTAATTTGTTAAGATGTGATGGTGCTATTTGGCTTTGATTTTTAAAGTCCTTTTTTAGGGATATAATCAGACATATTTGTAGATAAAATAATACGATGACTGGGATTTGCTTCAAAATAACCCAGTGTTTTAAGGGCTTGGGGAGAAGCTGGTAAGTTCATAGATCAGATGATTTGATGATTGTTGAAGCTTTGTGATAGGCACAGAATGGTTTAGTACTATGTATGCTTTTTCTACGTTTGTGTATGTTGGAAGTGTCCTATAATAGAATTGTTTAAAGAAATATACAGAACCGTGTATATAGTATGCTTCTGTTTACATAAATTAAAGGAAATGTATGTTGTGTATGTATTTTTTCATTTATGCTTATGTTTATATAAAAACATAGCTGTAAGGATAGACAAGAAAGTAGGAACAGCAGTTGCCTATCAGGAAGATAGTTATTTGACTTGGAGGTGTTTTAGGAAGGAAACTTATTGTTCATGGTATATATACATCTACTATTTAAATTTTCTACCAGTATCTGTATTCCATTATATGTGTGTGTATATATGTGTGTGTATATGTATGTATATGTGATACACTGACTTGAATATACAGACACACATACATATATAATAAAAAATGATTTATTCAAGATATTAATTTACTGATTTTCTCTAGTACATGTATTCATCTATCTATGCCTTTAGTATAAATATTTGCATATATGCATGTTTGTATTTATACACATTTATATATTTATATGTTTGCATATATGGTGAAATTTGTGTATAAAACTTTTAAATATTCTCAGTTAAGATCAGAAAAAATTTTGTAATCTGCTTTTATCATTTTCTCCTTAATATATCAGTCAAAACCTGATTTTCTGAAAAGCATAAATTTCAAAAGTTTTCACTGAAAAAATGGAGAAATTTTGCCTTTTAAAAAATGATATGCGGCCGTGTGCGGTGGCTCACACCTGTAATCCCAGCACTTTGGGAGGCCGAGGCGGGTGGATCACGAGGTCAGGAGATCGAGACCATCCTGGCTAACACGATGAAATCCTGTCTCTACTAAAACTACAAAAAAATTAGCCAGGCATGGTGGCGGGCGCCTGTAGTCCCAGCTACTCGGGAGGCTGAGGCAGGAGAATGGCATGATCCTGGGAGACGGATCTTGCAGTGAGCCAAGATCACACCACTGCACTCCAGCCTGGGCGACAGAGCGAGACTCCGTCTCAAAAAAAAAAAAAAAAAAAAAATGACATGCAATAACTGAAGTTGATTTCTTACTGGAGTAATGTGTGGAATGTTTCTCTTCTGTTTTGTGGAATCCCTCCTAGTGCTCTCACCTTCTCTGGGGGTTTTCTTCTCATTTCTCTTAATGAACAAGTCAAGGAATAAGGTGTGTGTTGTTGCTCACTATACTTCTGCCTACCACCACCTCTTCCACTGGGTGTAGTGGATGGGGAGGCTTTGAAAGAGATAAATGAATGTCTATGTGTATGTTGGATACTCTAAAGCTCAAATTCCTGAATGTGGCATTTTTCCAACCAAAAACGCATATGAGCAGACTAATACATTTTAAAATATCAATTTTCAAAAATATTTTTTATTTCATGACTAAAACTCTTCTGAAAATCTGTCCCATAATTGTGTTATTATTTTTTCACTCATCCCACTTATTTTGTGGGTCTAATGAGATGATATTTGTGATGCATTAGTTAAGTTGGTAATAATGGGTAGCTCTTCATGGAAATAATGAATATCTAGGACAAAGGTAAAATATCATTAAAAGGTAAAATATCATTAGGACCAGTAAGTTTTACCCAGTGTCCTGTTGAAATTTACATGGTGAGTGATGTCAGCAAAAATGGTGGAAAAAGTAGTTTCAAGGGCCTGTTGCTTTTGGAAACCAAGAAATCAAGTAAAAGCTGTCAGAATCAACTTTGTCAGCACGCTGGAAAACAGTCAAATGTTTACAGCAACCAAGTGAATGCTTAATCGAAAAAGAAAAAAAAAAGGCAACTTTAAAAATGAGCGGACAGGCACAGTGGCTCATGCCTGTAATCTCGGCACTTTGGGAGGCCAAGGTGGGAAAATTGCTTAAGGTCAGCAGTTTGAGATCAACCTGGGCAACATGGCAAGACACCATCTTTACTTAAAATAAAATAATTGTTAAAAAATGATATAAAAACTTCAAGGTACTTTTACATACCCTTTCTATACTCCCCTACCCGGCTTGGTAGAATTTTTGAAGCCCATGTTCCCAGTGTGAGACCGTGTCCCTGATTTTGTAGGGAGAAAGCAAGACTTTATCTATTCAAACAAATCTTGGGGCTTGCCTGAGGGACTGATGCAAGTTGTTTGTCTTTATTTTGCCTAAACTTGAACTCATTCAGGGTGAAAAAGCAGTGGGTATTTCTTGAAAATATTATAGGGTCAATGAACAACCTCCAGCCACCTGGGGCAAAAGGTTGTAGTTGAGGCAAATAATGAAGAACTGAAATCCTGGGAGGAAAAACTGGAAAGATAGTTTATCTGGGAAACTAAATCATTCAAAAGTGTCTGTATATACTGGAGAGATTAAAAACCACATGCACACCCAGTGCAGGACACCTGTTAGAAATGACATGAGAAGACCTTGAGCTATCAACTCATGCTGATTGCTAGGCCAATGCAAGCAGGAAGTGAAGGTTAAGACAGAATTTTAAATAGCATGGCTAAGCAATCAAGGAGTGCCCTAACACAGAGCTAATTTCACCAGATGATTTCAATAAAAGATTCAAGTAGGTAGAAGAAAGAATCAGCAAACTGGAAGTGGGTCAATTAAAATGATCTCATTTGAAAATCAGAGAGAAATAAGAATGAAGAAAAGTGAACAGAGCCTAAAAAACCTGTAATATGTATGTATATGTAATACACTGACTTGTATATACACCTAAAGCATATTATCATGTGCATGATTGGAATTACAGAAAAATAGGAGAGAGAAAAAGAGGCAAAAGAATAGCCAAAGAAATAATGGCCAAAGCTCTCCATATTTGGTAAGATGTAAAAATCCACACATATAAGAAGCTCAATGAATCCCGAGAAGGATCGACACAAAGAGACTCACGGTGAGACACATTATAACCAAACTGTTAAACACTAGAAACAAAGAAACTCTGAAAAGCAACAAGGGAGCAGTGACTTGTGTCCAAGAGATGCTCAACAAGATTAAAAGCAGATTTCTCATTCCATGGAAGCCAGAGAGAGCAAAATGATATATTTAAAGTACTCAAATGAAAAGACAGAAACAACAACAATCAACCAAGAATTCTATATCTGACAAAATTATCCCTCAAAAATGGAGAAATTAAGACATTTACAGATGGACAAAATCTGAGGAAGTTAATAGTAGACCTGCCCTATAGGAAATGTTAAACAGAATTATTCAGGCTAAAATGACAGTAAGTTGAAGTCATATGTAGAAATAATGAACTCTGGTGAAGGTAAATGCATAGGTAAATGTAAAAGCCAGTATTATTTTATCTTTGGTTAATAACTCCTCTTTTGATTTCTTATATGATTTAAAAGGCAAATGCACAAAAAGTATAAATATATGGTTAATTGCCTCACAGTGCATAAAGATGTAATTTGTAACAATAACAACATAAAGCAGGCAAAAGCTGCATTTGGACACTCTTTTTATCTATTGAAGCTAAATTGATATCAATTCAAAATAGATTACTGTAAATTTAGGATGCTAATTATAATTCCCACAGTAACCACTGAGAAAATATCTTTAAAAAACACACAAAAAGAAATAAGGAAGAAGTAATAATGGCACACTAAAAAAAAAAAAAGTCAGTTAACCCCAAAAGAAAGCAATAATGAAGGAAATAAGGAACAAAAAAAGTATAACATATACAGAAAACAAATAGCAAAATGACAGAATTAAGAACTTCCTTATCAGTAATTATTTTAAATGCTCATGGATAAAATTTTCCCAAAGGCAGAAATGGTCAGACAGATAAAAACACGATTCCAGAGATTACTTTAGATCTAAAGATAAATGTGGGTTCAAAGCAAAAATATGGATAAAGATATTCCATGCAAGTAGTAACCAAAAGAAAGCCAGGGTGGCTCTACTAATATCAGGCAAAATGATCTTTTAGTCAAAAGCTATTAAAAGAGAGAAAGAAGGACATTAAATATTAATAAAAGAGTCTATTCTTTAAGAAGCCATAGCATTTATAAACATATAGGCAACAAACAACAGAGCCAAAAGATATGAAGCAAACACTGATGGACTTCAAGGGAGAAATAGATAGTTCTACAGTAACTATTAGAGATTTAAATATCCCACTTTCAGTAATGGATAGAACACTGAAATGGAGACCAAGAAGGACATAGAGAACTTGAATAGCACCATACACCAACTAGACCTGACAGAGATTTTGAACACTCCATTCCACAACAGCTGAATACACATTCTTCTCAATTTCTTCTGGGCCTGTTTCCAGAATAGACCATACGGTAGGCCACAAAAACAATTTTCAATTAATTTGAAAAGACTGAAATCATGTAAGTGATCTTCTCTGACCACAATGACATGAAGTTAGAAACCAATAACAACAACAACAAAAAATACTGGAAAGTCCACAAATATGTGAAAAATAAAATTAAATAACACACTCTTTAATACCAATAAACCAAAGAAGAAATCACTCTGGTAAATTGCAAAATTCCTAAACATGAATGAAAATAAAAACACACATACACAAACTTACAGGATGCAGAAAAAGCAGTGCTCAGAGGGTGACTTATAGCTGTAAATGCCAACATTAAAAATAAAGATCTCAAATCAATAATCCAATTTTGCACTTTAAGAAAGTAGAAAACAATAAGCAAACTAAGCCCAAGGCTTGTATTAAAAAAGGAAATAATAATTATTAGAGCAGAGATAAATGAAATAGAGGATAGAAAAACATCAGAGTAAACCTGGAGGACCTTGACTAATTCCCCTGACTAAACGAAAATGGTGATATTTCTATAGACCTACAACAAAAATATCATAAGAGAATATTCGAACTATTACAGAACAGAGATAAAATTGACAAGTCTCTAGAAACATACAATGTAGCAAAACTGACTCAAGAAGAAACATTAGTATTAGTGTTCTCCAGTGAAACAGAGCTAAGAAGATATCTATATCTCTGTCCATCCATCTAATCTATCTATCTATCTATCTATCTATCTATCTATCTATCTATCTGTCTATCTATCTCTATCAAGATATTTATTATAAAGAATTGGTTCACTTGATAATGGAGGCTGAAAAGATCCAAGATCTGGAGAACCAAAAAAGTTGAGAATATAAGTTCCAGTCCAATGGCTTTTTGAGTCTGGCAGGCTTCAGACTCAAAAACAACCAGTGTTTCAGTTTGAGTCTAAAGGCAGAAAAATAGCAATGTTTCAGCTAAAGGTAGTCAAGCAGAAGGGTTTCTTTTTATTTAGTTTTTTTTGTACTGTTGAGGTTTTCAGTTAACTGGTTGAAGCCCAAGCACATTAGGGAGGAAGGACAGTCTGCATTACTCAGTCTACTAATTCAAATGTTAATCTCATCCAGAGACACTGTTACAAAAACACCCAGAATGATGTTTGGCCAAATGTCTGGGACCAGTCAAGCTGATACATAAAATTAGCCATCAGAGATATAGTTAATAAAACTAAAAGTTAGATCCTTGAAAAGATCAACAAAATTGTCAAATCTTTAGCAAGACGAAGAAAAAAACAGAAGTTGCACTTAATTGAAATCAGAAGAAAACAGAAGTTGCACTTAACTGAAATCAGAAAAAAATAGAAGTTGCACTTAACTAAAATCAGAAATGAAAGTGGTGACATTTCTATAGACCTTCTACCACGAAAAGATCATAAGAGAATATTTGAACTATTGTATGCTAACAAATTACAAAACATGGATGAAATTGACAATTCTCTAGAAGCATACAAGGTAGCAAAACTGACTCATGAAGAAACAAAATTTGAACAGATTTATATAACAAGAAATTATATCAGTAATTAAACACTTCCCAACAAAGAAAAGCCTAAGACCAGATGGTTTTACTGGTGAATCTACTCAACATTTAAGCAATTAACAGCAATCCTTCTCAAACTTTTCCAAAAAATGGAAGAGGGAACATGTTCTAACTCATTCTATGTGGCCAGCTTATCCTGATACCAAAGCCAGACAAAGACATCACTAGAAATAAGAAAATTATGGACCAAAATCCCTTATGATTATAGATGAAGAAATCCTCAAGAAATACTAGCAAACTCAATTTAATAGCATATTAAAAGGATTATACATTATAACTAAATGGGATTTATCACAGAAATGCCAGAGTCATTCAATAAGATAACAGCAATCAATGTAATACACCATATTAATAGAACAAAGGAAAAAATAATTATCTTAACCAGTGCAGAAAAAGAATTTGACACAATCCAAAACCTTTCATGAGAAAAATACTCAAAAACTAGAAATGGGAGAAACTTTCTCAACATGTTAAAGGACATTTATGAAAACCTGATGATTAATACCATGGTCAATGGTGAAAGACTGAAACCTTTCTCTTTAAAATTAAGAACAAGACAAGGATGTTTGCTTTCAATATTGCTGTTCAACATTGTACTAAAAGTTCCAGACAGAGGATGTAGGCAAGAAAAAATAAGGAGCATTAAAATTGGAAAGGAAGAAGTAAAACTATTTCTAATGGCAGATAACATGATTCTCTATATTAAAAATTCCAAAAATCCACAAAAAGAGAAAACTGCTAGTGTTAGTAAACAAAGTCAGCAAAGTTGCAGGGCACAACATCAATACACACAAATCAGTTGCTTCTATATACCAGTAATTAACAAACTGAAAAGAAAATTAAGAATATACTTTTCTTTAGAATAAGAGCAAAGGAATAATATATGCAGGAATAAATTTAAATAATAAATGAATTGTACACTTAAAACAATAAAACATTGCTGAAAGTAATTCAAGAAGCTATAAATAAATGGAAGGCATCTAATGCTTATGAATTAGAAGACTTAAAATTGTTAAGATGGCAAAAATACCCAATGCTATGTATAGATTCTATGAAATCCCTCTCACAATTCCAATTGTCCTTTTTTGCAGAAATGAGAAAGTCACCTACTAGAATAGCATTAATCCAAAATCTGAAAATAGCAAGTGTTGGTGAAGATGTGGAGAAACTGGAACCTTTATGCAATGCTAATGGGAATGTAAAATGGTACAGCCTCCGTAGGAAACAGTTTGGCAGTTCCTTAAAAGGCTAAATATAGAATTACATCATCCCCTAGAATTTTCACTTCTAGGTAAATACCCCAAAGAGTGAACAACAGGAACTCAATCAATACATGTGCATTGAAGCACTACGCACAATAGCCAAACTGTGGAAATGCATGAATGGAGAAATTAATTGTGGTATACAATGGAATATTTTTTAGCCATAAAAAGGAATGAAATACTGAACATGCTATACTGTGGGTGAACCTCAAAAAAGTTATGCTAAGTGAATGAAGCCAGACACAATAGGTCCCATATTGTATAATCTCAATTATATGAAATATCTAGAATTGGTAAATCCATAGTTATAGAAATTAGTTTTTTCATTGCCAGGGGGCTGTAATCCCAGCACTTTGGGAGACCGAGGTGGGCGGATCACCTCAGGTCAGGAGTTCGAGACCAGCCTGGCCAACATGGTGAAACCCCATCTCTACTAAAAATAAATTGCTGAGCGTGGTGACTCATGCCTGTAATCCCAGCTAATCAGGAAGCTGAGGCAGGAGAATCGCTTGAACCCAAGAGGTGGAGGTTGCGGTGAGCCAAGATTTTGCCACTGCACTCCAGCCTGGCAACAGGGCAAGACTCCATCTCAAAAAAAACAAAACAAAACAAAAAACATTGTCAGGGGTTTAGAGGAGGGGGAAATAGCTAATGAAATTATTACTTATTGAGTAAGGAATTCCCTTTGGGGTGACAAAAATGTTTTGGAACTAGATAGATGTTCACATAGTTGCACACATTTTGAGTATACTAAACGCCATTGAATCCTTCACTCAAAATGGTTAATTCATGTTCTTGAATTTATCTGAATTGATACAAAAGTAAACACAATACATGTCTTCTTTACTTCAGCTTCTGTTTACCAGACTACTTGGTGAGAGGAAATAGATTCTTAGAGTCTGACAGACCTGGGTTCAAATTCCTCATTCATTCATTTTATCCATTTGATAAGTTAAGATATAAATATCACCACAACAAATTGTTGTAGGGATTAAATAAGATAAACAGGTGCATTAATGAAGGGTAAGTAATACTAGCTTCAATTGCTAGTGTTTCTTTCTAATGCAGCAGTCCATTGTGGGTATTCCTGAGTAGGGAAACATTATCTATGGTCATCAGGCACTTACTCCTTAGGTCCCTGTAGTATTCTTCTATCAACCAGCAAGCAGAGAAAGACATGGTAGATCTCTTATGGAAAGTTGTTATGAGATGGTACTGGATAATGGAATACATCACTTCTTTTCAAACTCCACTGATGGTAACTCAGTGTCATTGCCCTGCCTAGCCACAGCAGAGGCTGAGACATGTAGACTGTGTTTCAGGAAGAAGAAAAAGATTTGGGTGAGGAAAAAAACAACTCTTGAGGTATCGTACTTGTATGAAGCTTCTTGTTCAGTTTGTGATAAGCACTTAATAAATATGAACTCTCTTCTTTGTGGGTAAGTGAGAATCCCTGGCAGCTTCTGCAAAGTTGTTTCAAAATGCATGCCATCCTGATGACAGGCCACTCGTTGTGGCCTTATGGCAAAGTCAGTTGATAGGGCTGCCAGGCAGACAGTGAGCAGAATTCTTTCTGGACTCTGTTCCTGCTTGTTCTTTTTTTCTTTTGTGTTTTGGAACTTCCCTTGACTTTGGTCCCATTTAGTTTCCCAATGTCTAACTTGCATTTACCCTTCTTTCACAGCTTGCTCACCTTTAGCTTCTATCTGACTAGGTCTTTGTGTTTTCATTTTGCCCTCTCAACAAACTATTTCTAGTCCTTAGCTCAGTAGCTTCACTGAGCAGGCCCATAAACTCCCTTTTGCCATTTCCACTTCCCAGTCATATCTTGAAGACTTCCAACTTAAACACATTAATTTATGCTTGGGATGATTGTTAAAATTTCTCTATTCCTACATCTTGTAATTAGCTTAGCTGATTTTTAAAACAAATCCTCTAAGAATTATTTTTATGAAGGCCATCTGGTAAAACAAATTAATCTCCAAGGAATGTTAATCAGACTAATTGCTAATTAGGTGTCCTCCTTGATTCTATTAGTTATAGATTGGAAAGTGTTTGTCATATACATTAATTTTTGCAAAGATAGTGAGAAAACATTATTTTTTGCCCTGCAAGAGAACAAGTGAATCCATTTGCATGTATAATGTATGTGTGTGGTGATATTAAAAGATATCCATTTTTTGTTGTTGTTGTTTTTTTGAGACAGAGTCTCACTCTGTTGCCCAGGCTGGAGTGCAGTTGCATGATCTCGACTCACTGCAACCTCTGCCTCCTGGGTTCAAGTAATTCTCCTACCTCAGCCTCCCAAGTATCTGGGACTACAGGCACATGCCACCATGCCCAGCTAATTATTGTATTTTTAGTAGAGACAGGTATTCACCATGTTGGCCAGGATGGTCTCAATCTCTTGACCTTGTGATCTGCCCGCCTCGGCCTCCCAAAGTGCTGGGATTACAGGCATGAGCCACTGCACCCGGCCACTACACACAGTCTTTAAACTTAAGGGGTTGAAATTTATTCTAATTGTTAGTGTCTCAGCTTCATTATTCCTCAAATGGTTTTGTGGTTCATGGAGCTTCAGAAATATGTTTTTAAACATACAAAAAAAATGCCAGTGGATTCAACTCAATGAAAGATGGCAAATGAGTTTAATTTTATATACCAATGGTCTGATAGGAATTACCTTGAGTATATTGTAGAGAATGCCTGGGTGGGACGGGGATATTTACCATGCACTCACTATGCTCCTCTGTAATGGACTGAGTAGTGATTCACAAAAATGGAGCCACAAATAATAAAAAATCATTTGTGCTGACCCTGAAAATGTGAGCCTCAAAATAAGACAAAATTAATCAGAACCAGACAAACTTTAAGGGAAACCCTAGTTCTTTATTGAAATGTCTTTGTGCCAAGGTAGTTAAGTGAAAGAATGGATGAAAACCAAAATTCGTACTCTCCCCCGCTCAACTATTTAGCCTGAGGTAATTATTCACTTATGGAAAGGAGTGAGTATTTTTGGTCAAAGTAATTTAGGTTTTATGAATGATTTCTTCCTGTGGTTTTATACATATTTGTAGAGAGTATGAATGACATTCTCCCTGAATTTGTCTTCTATTTAGTGGTGGATTGGTTTCACAGTTGTATGAGACTTCAGGGATCTTCCTTTTTCCTCTTTTGTTGTGAATTCTCTTTTTATAATAGAAGCATGAAAAAAGTCTGCCTATTAGAAATGTGACCTTGGAATCCATGAATCCATGAATCCATATTTGGAATCCATATTTATAAGAAATGAAATGTGGTATCAAGGAAGGAATTTTGTCTGGAAAGTCAGATCTGAATTCTGGTCCTGCCTCTCTGTCAGTGAGCCCTGTGGTTGTGGCTAAGTTGTTCCATGGTCTCTAATGACCTCAACTATGAAATAAGAGCTTGGGGTTCAGTTTTTAGGTAGAATAATGCTGTATGTTGATGTTGACATTCTGCCATTCTGCAGTGATATATTGCTTAATTTGCCTTTGCCAGTTATTGAGCACGAGGGGGCAGTAATTGGCAGATTGCCCCCTTTATTTCTTCTTGACAAACAGCCAAATTTTTTGGCAGCTGGGAATTGTTATTCTTCACCATCCTGCCATCACTGACAGA
Organism: Homo sapiens; assembly: GCF_000001405.40. Lineage (NCBI taxonomy): Eukaryota > Metazoa > Chordata > Mammalia > Primates > Hominidae > Homo > Homo sapiens. The sequence goes on from NC_000020.11 coordinate 15,323,251, forward strand.
TGCATTTGACAGGACCATTGGCTTGCAATGCCATTCCACTCTTACAAGTAAAGTCTATAATGCTTAAAGAAAAATAAAAACATATGATATTCAACTTTTACAAAAGAGTACATATAATATTCTTTATCTGTCAATGTAAAAATGGTCAGAAACTTTTCAGATATATTTGATTTTCCTTTCCATGAAGGCTTCATTTTTGTAAGGATTTTTAAAAATTAATAGAGAAAAAAACCCCATAAGGACTCTCAAACCAGTGGTCTAAAATGGAATTAATTTTGTCCCCATCAATTGCTATTTCTTTGCAAATATTTCTTATCTTGGTGAATGATGAACCATTTAGCCTCTGACCCAAGCCATAAACCTGTTAGTTGTCCCCCTTAGCTTTTCTTTTCCCACACCCCTCCATCATCTTGCATTCTGTCTAATTGATTCAGTAAATCTGGTTGATTCTACTTCTTGTGTATTTTTATTATTTTTCCTTTCTTCTCCACTGGAAACTTTTATGACTCTAGTTTATACTCTCATCTAGGTCACTGCCTATGTCCCTAAGTTGTATCCCCAGTGTCTAATGCCATCACACTCCCTCCTTTACCCTCACCCCAGGCTACACTTGAACAGGTAGAGCAGGGAATGCCATGTAGACCTCATGTAGCCAAGTTGGAGGCCCTTTCCAGTTCATCCCCTTGACTTTATTTTAAATAATACATGAATAGGATTGCAGAACTTTTTTTTTTGTTTTCTGTGATGCTCATGCTTGTGCTTCTTCTGTTCAATGTGACAAGGAACAAGATCTCTACAATGAATTGTACCAATGCTCCAGGAAATACTTGCCCCATTTTTTTTTAATTTTAGTTTGGTTTAATTCCTCTAAAGTAACATCAAGCAATGTGCTATAAAACAGAAATATGTCTTGAGAGATAGTTATTCTCTCTTTCTCTCTCTCAATTTAAAAAGGGTTCAATTTTTTACTGCTTCAGGCAAGTACAATTTTCACATACTCTGACATCTCATGAAACCTATAGCCAAAGATTTAGGTATAACCTGAATTCTTCCCCTTCAGCTCAGTCTTTGATTGTATACATGCTCATCCCTATCCTCAAGAAGAAGTTTACATCTTATCTCCTCTCTGAAACCCGTATACAACACCCCAATTCAGTAATTTTGCTGGGGACTCCTAATGCTCTTCTTGTTTATATATATCAGCAGCTAACGCCTGTTTTGTATGAGCTTTCTCTATATGTATCATGATTTGCCAAAAACATTGTCAACTCTTTGATGGCATAGACCCTGCAATTAAGCCCTCAGATTCCCTTGTTTAACTGATGGCCCAGATAGCAAATGCTTGAAATTGAAGTAACGTTCTCCTTAGCCTCTAACCTGTGTCATCACATTAGCTGACCTTAATCAGGGCATTAAAAACACCTAAATAGAGACTGGTGGCCTTCGAAGGAGGTCTTTTTTGTCCTTAGAATTTTTAAATAAATCCCACTGTCAAAGTCATCAACCACAAGGGAAGTAGAAAAGGTGGTGTTGGTCTTTAGCACAATTAAAGAACCTATTAGCTAAATCCCTGGCAGGCCAAATATGAAGGCAATATAGGTAAGTCTTATTACACTCTGAAAATCAGGATTAAATATTTACAAGTTTGCATAACTTGACCTTTCTTGCAAAGAGTATTAAAACTGTTTTTAAAGAATTCCTTCTGCTCCTATGTAAAAGGGCATTCATAAGGCCTCCTTCCACAGGTGGACAAAGTGTTCATCTTTGGACTTACTGATAAAAATTTTGGCTCTTCTGAGGTAGTAGCAGAGACAGGGTAGTCAGGGTAGACAGGGTAGAATGCTAACTGTATCCTCACCACCTGACAATAGAAGTTTAAAGATGTAAAAGTATGATAACATACAATCTTTCACCCCATTGGTCCTTGTTGTCAATAGCTCTGGATAGCTAGGAATGTATTTACTTCCTTCTTTTGCCAGGGTTCATTATTTGTACCTTGCAAATCTGAACATTTGGCCAAAGTCTATGACCTTTTGAGGTACAAGGAAATGGATTTTTAGTTAAGAATATTTACAAAATTAAAATTACAAAACCTTGTCCCAGCTAAAGCTTGAAACACATCTGTGTTTGTTCACAGCTTGTAACATTTGAGGCTCCCCATCATGTTAAATCCTTCCTTTTTATTTTAAAGTTTGCCTTCTCATATGCCATTGTTCTCCTTTATATTTGAGATGATGGTCTAGGTTTTCAGACAGCTCTGGGAAGGCAGGTGTTAAATTTTAAGCTAGTGCTTGGTAACCTCCATGGTGAAATATGCCACTGTTTAACAGATGACTACTGTGCTGTGGACAGCAGTGCCCCAGGAGAGAGGAGGTGTTTGTTCCAGAATCTAATCAAGCTATGGCCTGTCTGCATCCTAACTTATGCAGTGTAATCACTTGTATCATTCGTGGCATGTCTTCCATTAATCAGAGCTAGTGCAGGTACCAAGGGAACAGGGGTTCCATTAGCATGACATATGGTGGCCTTCCCAAAGTTTTGGATGTTTTGGAAGATGGTTGCAGGGTTTGTACCAGTCATACAAGAGCTGCTTAATGACTTAGATATTAGTAAACTTTTTCCCAGGCATTTAATATCTTCCCCGTTTCCTCTTAGTAATCGTAGTTAGGTTCTTGATGTCCCCTGTGACATTTTTATATCCATCACCTTCAGGTCCAAACTGTTTGATTTGCTGCTTCATCTTGGACTCCTCATATGTGCTTCTAGAGAACAAGTATATAAAAAAGAAAGTATGTTTTCTTAATTGCAAAAGTGATGAATGAGGTAGGCAATCAGGACTGTTTTTCATATTTTCAGAGATGCTGAAAATACATTTAGATTTGTTTTCAGAACAAAATGAGAAAATTGTTTTGGAAAAAATGTTATAAGTTTGGTTACTTTGGAAATGTCTTCATAAATACTCATCTTGATAATATAATTTATCTTTGCTAGTCTCATATAACAATATTGTTGCCTTTAAAATGGAAATTTGTAAGAAGTTTAAAATTCCAGCTTTACATACAGCCCCCTTTAAACCTCCCCAGGCATTCATAGATATGTTAAAATATATCTAAAATAATACTAAAGCATTACATTTTTTTACCTTATTGGATAAGCTAATATAAAAGATGTTTTATCCATTTCACATAATTTTAAATTTTAAAAATATGAAGACCTTATGTTATTTAAAATTTATTAACAATTTATACACTCCCTTCTCCTGACAAGTCCCCATATATTCTTAAAGATAAATTCCCTATAACCATTTTTTAAAGTAAATGGTATATGCTTCTATCTGTCTTGGCTATCACGCATCTATCTTGGAAGAAAATTGTTGGGTTCCAGGACTGAATATTGTACTCACATTTGGATAAGACAAGGATGGGGCTCTAAGAAAAAAAGCAAGAGAGAGTTGTGTGCATCACAAAGATGATGCCTCTCCCGTGTCCCCATCTCCAAGACCAAGCATATACAGAAATAGCCACAGGTGGCTAGAGAAGGAAGACCAGAAGACATCCAGGAGCATATGGCAAGGCAGGAACTATTCCACATTGCAGGGTGAGGGAAGAGTTAAACTGGTGGAGAGCAAATCAGAAATGCGGTGAATTCCCAAAATATTGGGACAACAACAACATGACTTTGGCTATTGTAGGGGATGAAAATACCTTTTCCACACTCATCTTAGGTTCATGGCTGAAGCCCCTACAACAAAATACAGATTAATAAGAGAAATGTGTATGAATTTATTTAATATACATTTTACGTAATACAGAAGCCTTCATAAGGAAATGAAGACCTGAAGAAATCATAAATGTTTGTATTTTTTTGCTAGGTTTGACAAAGAGTGGACACTCACGGGCATGTATGATTGGAGGAAAAAATGTTTTAATCTAATAATAACAAACTGGGAGAAACTTAGAAAGGCCTATTTGTTCAGATTACTTTCTGTGTCCTTGTGTCTTCTGAGATAAGAATATTCCCTTTTTCTGGGTACAGGGATTGCACCTCTCACATGATGGTCACGTGACTTCACAAAGGCGAGGAGAAGGTGAGAGTGATCCCCTTATTTGTCCATTCTCATGCTGCTAATAAAGACATATCTGCCACTGGATAATTTCTAAAGGAAAGAGATTTAACTGATTTACAGTTTGGCATGACTGGAATCCTCAGGAAACTTAAAATCATGGCAGAAGGGGAAGCAAACACGTCCTTCTTCATATGGTGGCAGCAAGGAGAAGTGCCAAGCAAAAGGGGGAAAAGCCCCTTATAAAACCCTCAGATCTCACGAGAACTCACTCACTATCATGAGAACAGCATGGGGGTAACTGCCCCCATGATTAAATTACCTCCCACAACACATGGGGGTTATGGGAACTACAATTCAAGATGAAATTTGGGTGGGGACATAGCCAAACTATATCACTGCCCCCTACTTCTGCTGTTTTCTCATACACCAGCATGCCATATTTTGGGGTAGTGTGTCCTGAACCCCATCACTATCATGTGATGGATGATTGGGTTATATATTCTATCCAGCCCTTACTCTCAACCTGAGATAGCTAAAGTTCATTAAAATAGATTTTTGCTTCTACTATGTATCAGGGACTGGTCTAGGTACTTGACACATATCAGTTAATGAAACAGAATTATCACTATCCTTGTGGAGTTTACAGAAAATAAGCAGTAAACTTAACAAATAACTAAATTATATAGTATGTTAAAATTGATAAGTAGAATATATATTTTTATAAAATGAAGATGAGAAGGATCAGAAGGGTCAAATAATTGGGGCCAAGGTCCAAGGTGGGGATGTCACTGCACAGTATTTAATGGGGTGGTTGGTTAGGACAGGCCTCATTAGGAAGGTAATAGTTAGATAAATTTTTGAGAGCAGTTAGGGAATTTGACAAGCAGATACCTGTGGCAAGAGCATTCCAGGAAGTCAGAACAGTAATAACAAAGACTCAGGAAGGAGGCCAGTCTGGCTGGACACTGTGGCCAGAGGGAGAGAGGAGGGGATGAGTGCCGAGGTGCAATACCACATCTGATCATGTAAGTCCATGCAATGACCTTGACTTTTACTCTGAGTGAAACAAAGCAGTTTTAGCATTTTCAGCAGAGGAGAAAAACACTCTGATTTATGTTTTCAAATGAATCCTTCTGGCAGTTAAATGAGAATAGACATAGAGAGATTTTTGACATCATTGCTACTTGTCTGGAGTTCTCATTAAGACACAGACCTAGAATTGTCCCCATAAATATTTAAATCAGAGTCACCAAACATGACCTGGTGTCAAACCACAACCTGGACAGAAATTAATTGCATTGCACAGCTAAACCTGGGGTCTCCCTGCTGGCCATATCAGTGGACTTGCCCTGATCATTTTCTTAATCTTACATTAACACACCACATTATATGCAATTGAATTCCTTAGATGCCACTTATTATTTTATGGCAGTTTTACTGAATGTATCGAAACCCTTAAAGATGTTCTTTTTCTTTGACATAACAATTACACTCTTAGAAATTTCCTTAAAGAAAATTATCTAAAATTCAGAAAAGAATGCCAAAAGATATTTACCAAAGTATAATAGTATATAATAGTGTGCGTATATATGTATATATAAAATAGTGATAAATTAGAAATGATCTAAATATACAGCGATGAAGAAATGGTTAAAATACTATGGTGTATTTATAAGGTAAAACACTATACACCATTGAAAACAATGTTAATTATTGGAAAATTCTTATGAAATAATGCAAATAAAAGTAGGAAACAAAACATACAGAAAAAATCTAAAAGGAAATGCAGCAGATGTTAGCAGAGTCTATTCGATTGTGTAAAATATTCTTCTTTATGTTCCTCTGTATTTACCCTTCTTCCATCCACCATTTTCAAATTATTTTATGAAGTTTTCTCCAGAAGATACCATAATGAAAAAGCTTAGAGACAATCCCAAGGTCAAGTTCAGAGTGTATGATAGAGGCCCTTTGGACTTGTTCAGGGTGAGAGTGGTGTATCTGTAGGTGATTTAGGGTGACGTTTGGAATCTGGAGATCTCAGTCTACATGAATACATTGCTCATCTGGCACTTGGGTAGGTTATACTTTCCCAGGTAGTTCAGCTTTAAAGAAATGATCATATCCTTTAAAAACAATACCAGTCAGGTGCAGTGGCTCATGTCTGTAATCCCAGCACTTAGGAAGGCAGAGGTGAGAGGACTGTTTGAACCCAGGAGCTCAGGACCAGCCTGGGCAACATAGCAAGACCCCATTCTTCACACAGAAAAAATAAAGTACATAAAAATAAAAGTAATATCAAAAAATGAAAATACAATATTTTAAAACAAAATCTTGAAGTGAATTCACAAATTTTTCAGATGTGTGTTTAAATACACATCTTTCTCCTTGAGAGTCTAGCTTCTATGCTAGTGGTTCTCAAAGGGGGCTTAAACTTGTTAGTAATGCAGATAATTTTAGGATTCTATCCCCGACCTACTGAAACAGAAACGCTGATGGCAATCTATTGGTGGGGCTCAGGCGTGCTACCCCAAAATGCTGCACCTTTGGCATTTGAGAAAACAGCAGACACAGAGGAGGGTCACTCTTACTTTTTCCTCTCCCTTGTAAAATCATAAGACCCTTATTTGAGAGGTGCCTTCGCTATACCCAGAAGAAACATCCTTATCTCTGAAGACACCGGGACATAGAAGAATCTGAGCAAACAGGCCTTGCTAAGTTTCCCCGAGTTTATCACCTCCTTTGTCCAGTCATACTTCTCCGGGACTGTCCACTCTTCAAACCTAAGCATAAAAGTACACAAGCTAATCTGTTTCTTTGGGTCTTCATTTTCTCATGAAGTCTCCTATGTCATGTAAAACTTATATTAAATAAATCTGCATTTATTTAATATCTTCTTTGTATGGAGCCTCCACCATGAACCGAGCAATGGGCCAGGAAAAGACATCTTTTCCTCCCCTACAACGTGTTTTAACAAGCCCTCCATGTGATTGTCAGGCAGGGCTCTAAATTTGGCAAGCACTGCTTGGTGTTGAGTATTCAGAAGTGACAGACTTTGGTAGACTCCAGGCTCAGCAGGCAGCCCTGCCTTCAGAGCATCCGTCCATGAAAACGGATGGAAAATGCAGAAGGGCCTCTCCCTATCAGAAGGAGAACTGAGCCCCAATCAAGGTGTAGATTAGTGGTTGGGCATGTAGAGGAGGGCTGATGGAAGATTATAAGCAGACCATTTCCAGAGCAACAAAAAATGTAGGACTGCTTCCTATTTCAAGTTCTATTTCTAGTAACCCAAACTGATGTTAGATGATCACAGCAAGAAAAAAAAATGTGCCAAAGCTAATTCAGGAAACTGCCACCTGTTTGGGGTGGGGTAGTCAATATCACAGGTAGAATGGAAGACTTCCTTTGCACTTCTGACTAATGGATTAAAGTGACAAAATTCAAACTGGGCTGTTAAGTCATTCTCTATAATATTGTGGAATCGCTAGGTTTTATAAGCTCAGAAGGCATCTCAAGTTTAGAATCCAAGAGTAAAATTCTGTTCTCAGCAAGCTTCTTACTGCCCTGAAGTAATTTCTCAGATGGGCCCACGTGTCTTCTGCCCCTGGCTATCTCTTACTTGTGGCTTGCATAAAAGCCTCTACGTGCACTGCTGTCGTTATTTTTTTCTTTGAAAACGGAGGCAAAAATACTTCAGCTTTGATGCCTTATGAAAAGAGAAAATCGTGACATCTTCTTAATATGAAAAACTAGACAAGGTTGTTAATATTTAATTGTCTAAGCCAGATGCAGTAACACATGCGAATGTGTTCATAAGTTTGGAACAGGGGATGCATTTGATTTACTCTTCTACAACTTTCCAAGTGTATTTTCATTATTTTACAGAAGCTCATATAAATAACTGATAAAATCGACTTGTTAAAAAATTAATTGGATTTGTAATATAAAGAATTCTTTTTACCCATAGTAATATTTGTTCGTTATAGATTTTATCTTTAATTTTTAAACTTCTGTTATTTTGAACCTGGTGAGGTCTACTTGGTTGAACTATTAATGAACCACATGCCAACTAAAGTTGATGTGATTCTTTCATAAATCAGTATATGCATTTATAATGCACATCAATTTTTTTTCTAGAAGATACTATGTGTGAAAATGTATTAATTTAAAAGAATTAGTTAACTTCAAAGAGATGCCTTGGAAATTTTATCTTAAAAATTAAAAAAGAAAAGAAAATAAATAACTGAGCTTCAGACAATTTATGCTCAGTCCTCAGAACATAAGCTCTAAACCATATAAAACTTTATTTGGTCAGTTGCTCAAAATAGTATCAAATGGGACCATCTTCCCAACCAGACTTTCTTCTCTTCTCTTGCAAAACTTCTCTTCTCATGTCATTTTCAAGAACTTGCTTTATGAATACCTTTTCTTGTACTTTCTGAGAGTATCAGATTGCAAATACATATCCATACATGTATGCATATATGCAAACATACACACACATGCACACACACATAAAACTTCTCTAGGGTAATTTTCAGATGGCAAAACAAAGCAACTCTTCCTCTGCTCTTCACTCTATACATAATTTTTTAAAATGTGTTATTCCTGCAATAGTAGTTAAAAAGAAAATAGTATATATCGACCTGAAAGTGTATCTCCCCAGCTCACAGAGGGGTCTTATTTCACTATGATAAAAACAAAATTAAGGTTATAGTTAATAGGTGAAAGCAAAGATCTTAATCAGGATGAGTTCAAAATGCTAAAGAAATGGGTATTGTGTAGGAAATGGGAAAAGTTTGAACTGATAGTGTGGGCTCTCCAGTGCTGTTGACATGGGCATATCATTTTTGTCCAGGTTAAAAGAATATTTAAATATTCTTTTAATGCAAAATGCAAAAAATGCATTTGCTGCTAAAGTAATGTATTATTTAACATAGCTGAATAAATCCAGTTCAATCATTTGAGAAGTGCACATAATAAAATAATGCTTCAGCCTAATCAATCTAAGGCTTTTATTTACTCTAGATCTATACTTCATACGCTTAGGAGGAAGGTTTTTTGCTCTAAAAATTAGGCGCAAGTAAAATTTTTCCTAAAGTATGAAATAGGGATCTAAATTTGGGCCTCACAGGCCAGCATTACAATTATAATATATGTGATGAATTAATGTGATTAATTTATAATTGATTTAGATAAAAACAAGCTTTAAATATGGGATTCCTAATACAAATGTACAGTATTCACATTTTACTAAGGAAAGAGGCTGTTCTTACAGCCCCTTTGAAAGAGGCCGTTCCTACAGCCCCTTTGAAAGAGGCCTTTCATGAGACGATATATGACGTGAATATTGTTATTATTTATTTTGGTCTTCTTACGTCAGCATTTCAGCTATCCTTTATAGTTGCTTTGATATATGTTTCTTCTATCAGTTTGTGTAAAGAAGCCATCCCTCCATGACCTTTGTATGAATATGAGTGTCCTTTTCTGTTGGGGATAGAAGCTGAGACCACAGATTTCTTTGCACAGCAACTCAGATCACTAGTCCATGAAGTTAGAATGGAGGAGAAATTACTGGCAGGAAACTCAGAAGTCTGCCTTTAGCAAGGAGGAAGAGGAAGCTCAGCTTCTCCCTCTTGGCACCATTTCTGTTAGTCTGAGACCTGTAATGTGTGGTTAGAGGTGGTAAAACCCAATGGGTAGATGCTCTTTAGGCTTGAGTAATATAGAACTCTTGAATAATTGGAAGAAATGAAAGTAGAGTTCTTTCAAGTAGGAACACAAAGCTATTTACCTAGAGCAATGGTTCCCAGAGTGCAGTCCTCAGATCGGCATCTTCTACATCAACCTGATCTTCTTAGAAGTGCAAAATTTTCAGCCCCACTCCAAGCCCAGTGCATGAGAAACTCCAGGTATGGGACCCAGCAATTTGTTTTGGTAAACTCTCCAGGTGATTCTGATGCATACTTATATTTGAAAATCATATTCTTTAGAGGGTCAGTAGCCTCTTTTCTGCTGCCTCTTTCAGCTAAAGAGCATTCAGCCTCTTAAGCTCAGTTTCATTTCCTTTCTCCTCGAAAGCGAATTGTTTCCTTGACAGGTAGGTAGTTTAGATTTTTGAAATGCAGAATTGAGAGAAAGGGGAAGAGAATTGGATCAGAACTGAGAGAGAAATTTTCTCAAGAGCTTGGAGAAGATCAGCGCTGGAAGAAGAGTTTCAGGTAGGGGAAAATAGACATGTAGCCATCGAGTCTGAAGTCATCTGGGGTTTGAATCTTGGTTCTGCCACTTAGATGATGCAGGGCTTTGGTCCACTTATGGGGCTTCTCTAGGACTCAGTTTCCTCATATGTACAATGGAGATAAAACAACAGTAATTTCCTCAAAGGCGTGTTAGGAGGTTCAATTAGTTAATGTATTATATGGAGTATGACACGATGTTCAATATCCATTAGGTATCATTGCTGGATGAAGTATATTCTATTAATTGTGTTCAGAAAAAAGGGAGCAACGAATCACAGTGATTTGAACTTTACTTTTTGATTGCTGGACTGGTTACTTTGCTTAAAAAAATGCTTTCTGAGAACAGACCACATGGGTCACAGCTTCAAGAAAATTTCAAAAGGAATATATTTTTCCAAGTAGAGCAATGTTAAAAGACATTCAGAATCCAAGACAAATAAAATGCTCTGTTATTACAAAGCTATTGTAGGTCCTCAGTTATCATTCTCTCTGCTCCAACTCTTTGAAAAGCTCTTCCCAAAACAGAGGGACACAAGTTCTTTGTCCCCTGTTCCCTCATGAGCAAACTGAAGGCTTCTTTGCCTCCTAGTATATGGGTCTTTTATTTCTAAAACTGACTTCTTAAAGATGTCAACTAGCTTTCTTGTGTGCAGGTCTTAAAACATGATTCCTTCAGCACTGGATTGAATATCCAGTGAAGATTTCTGTAATAACTTTCTAAGTTCTTTTTTTCCTCTATCATAGAGTTCCATTGGCCAATAAGAAGAGCATTTTGACTCACCAACATAGATTTTTATTTTTGACCTCTTCACTCTATTAATGGCAAATAGTAAAAGATTACATAGTGTGGTGGAAACAGCAAGATATTTGGAGCCAGACAAGGTAGTTCTGACTCAACCTCTAATTAGCTTTTTGACTTAGGAAAGTCATTTATCTTCTTGGATCAATTTTCTCACTTAGTTCAGCTTTCAACTAGGACAATAGAACCTTACAGGGATGAAGAGACAATCAAGTGGGGGAAAAATGATTTTTTTTAAAAAAAAACTGCAAAGTGCCATTCAAATGTTAGCTATTGAGAGTTAATGATAATTAACATTCACTGAGTGTGGATGAAGAGCTGGGCACCATGGAAAGTCTCATATATACATATCTATATTTATTTACAAATAGATATAAGATTATTGCAATGTATATTATGTTCAATTTGTTAAATTTACACAGCTAGTAAATAAAACTTAGAAAATGTAATTTTCTTAGCTCATGTTTAAACATTTAAACCTCGATTAGAAACATGATCAGCTTTGGTCTGAAAATAAGAGAAAACTCTGACACAATCTGATGAAACCAATAAGGATACTTGCTATCGCTCATAACGTGAAGTTCAGAGAGACAGTGGACGCCAGAGTGTCTTTAACCATATTCTTATAGTTACCATCTTTTATGACAATCATCACAGTAGGCTGTGTTAGAAATTTCTAAAGCTGGGAAAGGCTTCAGCAGTCAGAGTCTAGACTGTTTTCTTACAGCAGGGAAAATCAAGATTGGAGTTTCAAGGAGCTAACTCATGATAGCACCAGGGGATGGTCCCTTCATCCAATCCCTGATTGGAAAACAACCCTAGGCCATGACAGTGGCAGGGACTTAGTTTGCTTAGTGACTTGCTCTTTATAATTTCTAGATAAATCTGCATTTTGCTTCACTCTTCTCTCATCAGAGAGGTTGAGTTCTTCAAACACTTTTGTTGTTATTTCTCAATTCAAAGAGCAACATAAGAAAGACATGCTCTTACTAGGTCATTCCAAGGTTTTTTTTTCCATCTATTATATGTAATCAGATTTGTATCTCTGTTGTAGAAAGTCTTATTTTTCTTTATGTCTGTTAAAATACCAGTAGGTTCTCTATTCTGCTAATGTAATATTTCTTTTTTTTGCTGTTCCTTTGAGCTGGGGCACATTTTATTGTTTTGTGTTAATTCTGTGATTTTAAGTCTGTATATCAAAATTGTAGTCCTACTAGGCATGTAAATATTATAATAAATACATTAGTAATGCAGACAGCCTACAAAATAGTTTGCTAGTTTGCTCTAAAGATATTTCTGGCTGTGATAATGATTAATTTCAGATACCCTGCATCATAATTTTCTTGAAATATGTAAATTACTTCCCTCTCAAAATTTCTTATGTAGAAACACACACACGCACAGACACACATACACACACATATTTAGCAGGTCGAAATGAGGTTCTTGAATCTGCACAAAAGTTGTTGATGCCAAGCCCAAACAGTACAATTGTGAGTGCAGCTGGTCAGGTCTTCAATACCGTTCCCTTCTCCTCACCATTCTTCATGCCCAAGGGGTCTATTTGCATTTCCTAGAACATGCCTTGCGCTTTCTAGCCTTCAGACCTTTTCTCCCAGTTTGTCCTTCACTTAGGATGTCTTCTTTTAGTATCTCCAACTAAATGAACCCCACCCTTTCACCAATAGGGTTGAAAATACATTTTCTCAATATCTCAGACAATCCCAGGCCAGACAAAACCCCAAGGGCCAGTTATCTTTTGCATTTCTTGAGCACTGGTTGAGCATCGTGTTAGTAAAATTAAATGTTAATCTCAAACACAGAGTTTGAGAGGAAGGCATTCCTGTTTTGCAAGTCATTGTAATTTCCCCCGCAGGTAGCACTGTGCTTTTAGATGAAGCTCAGTAGGTGGAGGCTTAATAAACTGTTTTTTGGATTGATGGTATGATTAGAAGTAAGAAGACAATTTTGGCTTAACTAAGAGAAAATTACAAACTAGAATTAATTGTGTGTTTTAACCAAAAAAAAAAAAGAAAAAAAAAGGTGTGGAATTGATCTTTTGTTTACTGTAAACATGTTTTCCTTTTAAAACCTTTCACAGAGACTGAGTAATTTTGTGCTATCTCTTTGACCCATCTTTTGCCTGCACCCTCTCATCTCTTTCTGCATCACCCTCATGAGGGGCCAAGCTTTCTTTTTAGGTTGCTCTCTTCCTTTTCAATGTGTTTATGTATTTTTCTTCTTAGAAGTTTTGGGAAGAATTCAGTTACATTTCAAAAGTCTTGCTCTTCAGAATTAAACCTTTAGCCCTGTGCCTTTTGATTGGCTCTAAAAGTGCGTGTGTGGCCTGCGGGGACAGTTGTCAGCGTGGCATCTTTCTTCCAGTGTGCCCCTCTCCTGCCCTTAAGCATTCCATTTTTCCTTTTAACCGTAACACTGTTGCTTTAAGTTGATTTTCAACAGGTCTTTTGACTTTGATGATTTCCCAAGATATTGCATGTGTGAGGTGAGGAGGGTGTATGCGGACTTGTTCTTTCCTGGGTTAGTGACTAGCCTGAGAGAGTTTAAGGAGCTAAACACAACTATTTCCTTGAGTATGAGAATTATGATTGAATATAGCTCTATTTTTCTCCACCCTTGTCTTTGACATAGTCTTCTCACTTTCTGCATCTTTCTGAAACATCTATAATAGTTTTGACCCTGAACTTTATTCTCTTAACCAGTCCTATCAATATTGTACCGTTTTGAAGTTAGGAGGTCATAAAGCCATTAACTAATTTGGAAGATTCATCAATGGCTTTGAAGAGCTTTACAAAATATGCTGAGTATTCTCAAAAATCAAATCAGATCAAGTTAGAATTTTAAGAATTTATTGGGCATATAAAGAACAGTTTGTGTTTTGTTTTGTTTGTTCGGTTGGTTTTGATTTTTTTTCCTGGAGAAAGGTTAGTGGCTCCCAGAGAGTCTAGGGCAAAAGGCTAGTAGGGCCTGATCTAGGAAAGACTTCTTGACATTTACTTGAGAGGGGCATGCAAAGGTAAATCAAACCATTTTTTTACACAGTTTTAGGGCTACTTAGTTTTTCTTTTAAGATTTTCTTTAAACGTCTGCATAAAGGTTTTATTTATGTTTTAATTGACTAATAAAAATTACATATATTTGTTGTTTACAATATGATGTCTTGAAATATCTTTACATTGTAGAATGGGTTAATCAAGCTAAGGAATGCATACATTACCACACATACTTATTTATTATGGTGAGAACACTTAAAATTTACTCTCAACTTTCAAGAATACAACATATTGTTAGTAACTATAGTCACCATGTTGTAATGTACAATAGGTCAAAAAAAAAGAGAACAGTTCATGAATTGGGAGACTTTGACATGGAAACATGACATGAGTCTCAATATTACAACAATTACAGTACAGCTTGTAGAACATATAGAAGGAAGGATTTTGATCTTTTTTCATGATTGGTTATATCATTTTTGAAGGCCATTAGGGCTGTTTAAGCTCATTTCTCTGTAGCTGTATTGGTTTAGTTACACTGAATCATGTTAGTAAAGGACTAAAAGCTTACGTTTGTGTTTTGTTTACATTTCACGTTAGCCTTTCAGGGAAATCAGGATGATATAAGTTTTGGTTACTTGACTATAGGCAGTTGGCCTTGGGGTAGGTAAATGGTGGCCTTCATTTTTATTTATTTATTTATTAACAGTACCCTCTCTTTTTCAGGTGAGCTAAACTATTTATCCAAGCAATGCTTATTTCTCCCTATCTGCCTCTCTCTTCTCTTCTCCTCGCTAAACACAGACACAAACCCCAATTAGACTGTAATATTACGGTATAGTTTTGATTCTACCCATCGTGACTTATGAGACATTGCTTAAATACACGCTCTTATTTTTTATTCATCCAAATCTCCTCATCCAGCTTTTCACCCATGTTTTTCTTCATATGCTGATGAATTCCTTTCCCAGAGAATCTAGCCAATTCTTTTGAGGCTGGCTGCTAGCTCCCTCCCCAAGGCCTCCACTTCAAAGTGCCCTGCTGCCATAGCGGAACCACCAACAATCTTTTTCAAAACAACCTGGATTTTTTTTTTTCTCCTTAGGTCTGGGTATCAATCAGACACAGAGGAGCTGATGAGAACTGGTAACCTAAAACAGGATGCTAAGAAGCATCACTGACATTTATCTGGGCCTTAATGTGTGGCAGGAATTTTTCTAAGGACTTTTCCTTATGTGATTTCATTTAATCATCTGAATAACTCCATAAAGTATTATTATTATTATCCTCATTTTTCAGATGAAGAAACAGGCCTAGGGGGGTAAGTTACTTGCCTAACGTCTTTTAGTACAAGATGGGGCTTGGATTATGAACACAGAGGATCAGCCTCCAGAATTTCAGTTCTTAAGCACTCTGCCAAATGGTGCATTATACAAGTAGGTACACACCCCTATTTTCAAACCTTGACTGGAAACACAAGCATTATGGTTCATTTTAAAATACAATGTTAACTTTTCAGTTTATAAGCATGATGTTCACAATTTAGATGATACACTTTGGAATGGTACACTCTGTATATTTGGGACATTTCATTTGGCAGCCACTGAAGCTTGTTAATATCAACAACTGGCTTCATTGGCTCCTTCAAATAAACCCGTTTAATCTATTATAGCTGGCCTCTAGCAAATATGCCATAAGTAGAAATAAATTTTGAGTTAAAGAATATTCACCGTGATTAGAAGCTCAAAAGAAGTATTTTAAATGTGTGTGTCTGTATTTGGGTATGTATAAATAGATAGGTAGATAGACAGATGGGTACATGATAGATACCTTTGAAAACCTTTTTCAGTTATGAAAGCATTTAGTATATAGTGTTAATAGAATTTTATCTATCATAGGTTAGGTGTATTCTGATGTTCAGTTTATGTTTTTAAAATAATTTGGCAGAAATAAAAGTATTGACAGGTGGATTGCCACTTTGGCAATTTTCACTCTAAGACATCAATCGACAAAGCACCAAACAGCAAAACATATTACTCATTGACTGGTAAGTCATAAGCCCCAGAGGCTGTTGATCATCCTGGATGCTGGATGCTTGCCTACTGTAGGACAGATGGAAGAACTGGCTGCTAAATCGTTTCTAGCACTTGACGCCCAGCATGATTGGGGATCCTGAGCACTGCTGGAAAAATATTTCTCTAGTAACTTATCTTGTGCTTATCAGTGAATTTGCAAGCCCAAGAGAGATCTGTTTTGTTGAGATGGCTTCTGAACAAGTCAAACTCATGTTTCCAAGCCAATTTCTAATACTACACTTGTTATTGGATATTACTTGAACCAGTTTCTGTTTATGGAACACTTAGAAAATTTAATTGGAAATATTCATTTTGTGATTCAAAGATTATTTATTGTACTTTTGCTGGAAAGGCTGAAGGTAAAAGTATGGCTACATATCATTTGGCCTGATTTTATGATTCAAAACCAAAAAAAGAATATGTCCTGTAATATCTTTTCCATTGCAATGTAGTTTTAATAATGCTGCAGTGAGTGGATTATTGACCAACATTTCCTAGTCCTGGAGCCACAGAGAGAAATAAGTCATGTAGGAAAGCCAGCATGGCCTCACTGGCTCCCATTATCTTGATTAGTAAGGTAGGATTGAGGGTTAGGTTTTCTTTCTTTTATTTTTCACCAGGCCCCAATATGTGCTTTTTCGTCCTTTGTCAACTTTTCTTTTTCTTTTTTCTTTCTTTCTTTCTTTCTTTTTTTTTTTTTTTTTTTTTTTTTTGAGATGGAGTCTGGCTCTGTCACCCAGGCTGGAGTGCAGTGGCATGATCTCGGCTCACTGCAACCTCTGCCTCCCAGGTTCAAGCAATTCTCTGCCTCAGCCTCCTGAGTAGCTGGCATTACAGGTGCCCACCACCACGCCTGGCTAATTTTTGTATTTTTAGTAGAGATGGGGTTTCACCATCTTGGCCAGGCTGGTCTTGAACTCCTGACCTCATGATCCATCCGCCTCGGACTCCCAAAGTCCTGAGATTACAGGCGTGGACCACTGCGCCCAGCTGTCAACTTTTCTTTTTAACTCTCCTTTGAATAGACCTAACCCACATTGTTGTGTTGAATTTTGATGATCAACAGTACTCTGCTCGGGCTTCCTGGATCCAGAGCCCTGCAAGAGATAAAGTAGCAACAGGTAATTACTTGGTGAACAGGAGATATTGAAATTGAATCAAATGTCCTAGAGCTCTTTCCGCCAGACTAACCTATCCCCAGCTTACTATGGAACACACATAGACTTTGGCTTTTAGCACCCTTCCGATGCAGTGCCTTTCTTCCCTGATTGCACTGTATAAAAGCTACAAATCATGCTTCTCTGTCTACACTCCACCCCGCAAACACACACTTTTTTTTTTTTGCCCTCCATGCTTACTATTCTCCTTCTGTTCACATGGTCTTTCTTCAAAATACAGTTATTTATTTATATATGGTAAATTTTTTGTAAAGATAGGGTCTCATTATGTTGCCCAGGCTGGTCTCAAACTCCTGGGCTCAAGCAATCCTCCTGCCTTGGCCTCCCAAAAAGCATAAAATTATTTTGAATAGAGAGTTGGGAATGAAAGGAATTCTTGGATTTTAAGTTTATAGTATTTGGGCTTCTTCTATAAATAGCTGATCCCATATATTATGGAAAGAGAGGTTACTTGTTTTATTCTGTAATGATGCATAGACGAACACCACACCGGACCCATTTCACAAAGCACGTCCTGCAAAAACCCTCACATCCACACTCATTCATATTTTCTTTGGTACATAAAACGGTTAGAAAGTATTGACAAGTAGTTTTCACATTTTGATTATGTGATTTGCTCTTTGTAACTTTTTTTTATTATTGCTCACAAAATAATTAAACACATTCCTATTCATGCAGACACCATTATCAATTCATGTTAGATTAAATAATTTTAAAATTAATTAACTTATTAACAAAATAATATTATAGTATCTTATGAATTGCCTAGATATGGCATTGTTTTGATAAGCCAAAGACTACCCCATGATAACATGTATTTAGGAGCAACCAAGAGAAGAATATAGGAAGTCTCCAGAGAATTCTATATACTTGGGCTTAACTATGGTCAAAGTATTGCCCTGAGGCCACTTTTAAAGCACATTTCTGATTCAAATAATGGTTTTGACATATGTTAAGGAAAATGTTGGCAACAAATCTAGAGATGAATTGAAGACTTATTCACTTTACAAAAATATTTCTTCAACATGCAAAAGCATACACCTCTGGAAGTCTATATTTCAGCTTTCCCTAGTATTGACTAGTAGATTCTTACTGAGAAAAAAAATGAAAGAAGTAAAAGTAGATACATTTAAAATTAAGGCATTAAGACTATGCATGGTGGCTCATGCCTGTAATCCCAGCTATTAAGGAAGCCAAGGAGAGAGAATGGCTTGAGGCCAGGAGTTCAAGACCAGCCTAGACAACATGGCAACAACCTGTCTCTACAAAAATTTTTTAAAAAATTAGCTAGGTGCGGTGGTGTGCACTTGTAATCTTACCTATTTGGGAAGCTGAGGCAGGAGAATAATTTAAGCCTAGGAGTTTGAGGCTGCAGTGAGCTTTGATCACACCACTGTACTTCAGCCTGGGCAACAAAGCGAGACCCTGCCCCTGAAAAAAACCCAGTAATAGGAAAAAAAATACAATTAAGGCATCAAAAGTGATTGATAGTTTAACATGCCTTTAACCTAAAAGTAAAAAATCTATTACATTATAATGTAAATCAATAGAAACATGTCATATAATTTACAAAATGTTGGTGAACATACACCCTTTTGAGACACATGTTTTCTGCAGATCAACGCAAGTTGCACAGGTATAACTACTGACAAATGGCCTCCAGAAGTTAGAGCAGGCATTGTTAATTTAGGGCTATATGGGTTCCAAGAGTCCCAGCCAATGTCAGACTAGGATCGGTCAACTCCTGGAGTTACGACTTGGCTTGTATTTTGACATTTTTTGTGTTCATTAGTTGGAGGATTTGGGTGGCAGTAGGAATGGAATCTCTAGGGTCAGCATCCCTGTAGTAGGAATTTGAGTCTGAAGGAATCCTTGAATGGATATCAGTGGATCTATAAAAACTTTAAAATCACGGACAAAAATGTATGGGATGGGGACAAGCCAATAATATGGTTTAAATATTTCTAATCTTTTATTTTCTGGTCAGGGAAGGTCTTTTATTAGCTTCTGTTAGATTACGACCAAGGATACTCGATTGAATTGCAAATACCAGAGGACTAAATTACTGTAATATAGTAAAAATGTGACTTAAAACATTAAATGGATTAAGGAGAAAGCAAGAAAAGAGTGAAAGTGGGGAGGGGAGTTTTCGGAGGGGTGGAACTTCATTGGTGGTACGGGAATATATGTGACCTTATTATGGAAATATTCTCTATCACACACCCACCTTGAATCTGTGTGAAGAGCAGAGGGCGCTTTGCTTTACTATTATCTTTTTTGCTGTGCGATTTCCACCGTATCACTTAATATCTTCCAGTTGTTTCTTCATTTGTGTTCCTTGTGTTTTGCTACTGACCTCCCTTGGAGGGATGTTGTAAGGCATAAATCATTAATGATTATAAAGTGCTTTGGAAATAGAAAGTATTGCTTCAGTGATAGCCCAGATGCACCTAGGAATTGCAGCATGAACAGTACAAAGCAAAAGGCATGTTGTCAGAATTCCTTTTGGGGCTCCGGATCAGCCAGGCCTTCCGCTCACATCAGGGTGAATTAGGGCCATGAATCTGAAAGTACATCTGATACTGCTTGGCTTGTACGTGCTCTTGTTACAACATTATTTTGACATTTTTTGTGTTCATTTGTTGGAGGACTTTAAACCCTTTTCTAACCAAAGGAAACCAAAGTGCCTACTGCAAGCATTTTTCAAAGATGGTGTCACTCTGATTGAGGATAAAAAATTGATCTACTAAATAAAAATGTTGGAATGGCATGTTTATCTTACTTGTTTGGCCAGATATAAGTAAGGCAGTGATTCAGAAGAAGGCTTCATTAGAATGCACCATTTATCTAATACTTTGACAGTCAGTGATATCTTCTCTCTCCCTCTGCTGTCTCTCTTTATGAAACCAAACACTGACCTGTCTTTAGCCTACAATATCAGATACAAGAAAACAGAGACCAATGGAAGTAAATAATCCATCAAGTTAGTGTTAAAGATAAGACTAGAAACTGGGTGTTTCATCTCCCAGTTCAGTACTTCTATATATCTGAGTATTCTTTGATCATTTCTAAGAAGATACCAAGCAGCTTTAATCAAACATTCATCCTTCCTAAAAGGACCTGAGATTTTTATTCAAAGATTCCAGAATACCAGTTATTCATAAAGCTGCCTGTCCATGCATTTAGAGTGTGATAGAGATCAACTGTAACATCCGTCATGTTACTACACTCCAAGATTGATTTCTGTGGTCTACTTGGTTTGATGGAAAGTCCCTTCTTCCCTTACAGTCTACATATCTCCTTTAAATATGACTTTTATAGATCGAGGTGAATACATGATTAACTACATTTTCCTCCTATTCATTTATCTATGTATAGAAAAATGTGAGAAAGGAGCAGGAATCTAAATAAACTCCTAAATTTTCAGTCGTTGAGGTATGCACAGTTCAAAAGAGATACTTGTAGACTAAATTATCCAGATGATAGTAAAAATTCCCTATTTTACATTCCAGATGCAGATCCAGCCTCAGTGATGAATACCTAAATATAATTCCCAGTCCTTTTATTTCTTATCTTTCTCCCCAAGGAACAGGCTCTTCCTCCTACTTTGGAGGCTCTTCTCTCTAATCGTTTTACTAGTTCATGCTCTTTTCTCCTTGGTACTGTCCAATCTATATACTCTGTTAGATTAGACCATCCCAACTGAGAAAGCACAGTGGGATGGAGAAGGGAGAAGGCATGGTTCATTTTTGTATGGACAGTTCTGAGTGATTGGTAGGGCCAGAAAAAGCTCTTCTGTGCTACAGGCTTAGGGACAAACAAACACTATGATTGTTAAAAGATGTTAAATAGAGCAATCAGGGGTTTGACCGCTCAAATGTAGCTGCAACCAGGACCAATTTGATGTGAGCTCTGAGGCCCAGTTTTTTTCGTATAGAAACAATTATTTTTTTTTATGTTCTCCCAGAGAACATCAGCCTTGAAAACCTGTTTGTGCTAACCAGACTCACAGAGGACTGATTTCTGAATGTGAGTGCCACTTTATTCAACTGTAATGCCACTAATCTAGTTTTGCAGCCACCATGGCCCTGCCTTTTCACACTTTCTTGGTGTTAATGGATCCAAGATGTAGAATTAGTGACTAGAAGATAAGTAGCCATAGAAAAAGAATTGGAACAGTTAGTGAGTTATTCAATCTGACCTGTAATAGAGCCTAGAAAATTATTCCTATTCCTCTCTGATTGCCCCCTTATGTCTTAGTTGGTCAGGCTGCTGTAACAAACTACCATGAACTGAGTGGCTTATGAACAACAGAAATGTATTCATCACAGTTCCAGAGGCTGGAAGCCTGAGATTAGGGTGCTGGCGTGGTTGAACTCTGGTGAGAGCTCTTTTCTGAGTTGCAGACTGCTCTCTTGTATCATCACAAAGTGGAGAACAGAGGGATGGAGAGCTTTCTCTGGGGTCTCTTTTATAAGAACATTAATTAATGAGAGCTCTATCCTTATGGCCTTGTCTAATCTTGATTACCGCCGAAAGGGCCCGCCTTCTAATGCCATCACGTTAGGGGAAGGGTTTCAACATATGAATTTTGGGATGACATAGTTATTTAGGCTGTAACACCTTATAATTAACTGAACCATGTGTGTTCATTCATTTAATATGGGTTTACTATACTTCTCTTATGTGCCAATTACTGTCCTAGGTTCTTGTATTTATCAGTGAACAAAATAGACAATGATCTCTGATTTTAATTGTCTGTATCCAGCAGCCCATGCTGTAAGAGTATTAGAATATTAGTTCCATTAGGGATAGGACCAGCATAATGGATATTGGGCACACTCCTGTTAGTTTCATGAATGAATCAAGGCTGGCTCCTACTGGCCAAATCTGTGCCCTTTGACATTTCATTTCCAGGCTGTATATCAGTGCTATTCAATAGATTATTCAGTGATAATGGAAATAGTCTCTGTGCTGTCCAATATGGTAGCCACTGGAAATATGTGGCTTTGAGAACTTTAAATGTGGCTAACGCGACTGAGGAATTACATTTTAAACTTTACTTAACTTTAATTAATTGAAATGTAAATTGAATTAGCTACACAGAGCTAGTGGCCATTGTACTGGAAGGTGCAGTCCTGGCTGATCCACAGCGCCCCAGTGTCTCTGTGAGATTAGAGACTGCTGCTTTTGAAAAGTTGCTGCTCAGAAGACAGTGCAATGGACCATTCTGGTTGTTTAGGCATCCAGAAACCAGACTGTTCCTATGTCAATGAGTAGGAGCACTTGCTTATAATAAATAGGAAGTTGCATAGCCAAGTAGGGAGACCTAGATTCCTGGAGATGATGTCAATAGGTGGCCACTTATGCAGATGTTTACTACTTAGGAGATCTTCAAGGGCTCCTAATGGGATTTCAGCTGTTTGGGAGGTCTGAAAAGATGCCATACATAATCAGAGGTCACGAGGCCTGGCCTAAGGTAAAAATTTTTTTTTTTTTTAAACAGGCCACAGTGCAGTGGCATAATCATAGCTTGCTCACTGCATCCTCAAACTTCTGGGCTCAAGCAATCCTCCAGCCTCAGCCACCCAAAGTGCTGAAATTATAGGCATGAACCAAAAGGTAGATATCTTTAAACACTAGGTTGGGTTTTGGGAGCAGAATTCCTGTTCCTGGAAAGACTGTTAAGAAGGAGGCAAGACCCTCATCTTTGAGAAATTGTGACGGGGTGGATTTTGAGCCCTGGGAACCCATGCAGGCAACTTCCCAGAGACTAGAACTGAGGGATCAGGAAAGAGGAAGATTTCCAGATAAAGGAACTTATTCTCAAAAGTATACAGTGAACAGCAGCGAAGTTCACATATTGTTGAGTCCAGTGAGCTGAACTAGGCTCTTTCCATTCTTCGTTCATAGAGCTGGCTGGGCTGGGACCTGGGAATCAGATTGTTCCATCTGTTGCCAGGGAAGGAATGTGTGTGCCGGGGGAAGGAGGAGGTCACAATGTGTTCTCTTTGTGTTTTTAGCAATTTGGTGTTTCTCCTTAAGGATATTTAGCAGAAGGACATCATTTCTTGAAAAACACTGCAATATAAAACATGTTATAAATCCTATCAAGGTAGCTTATACCTTCAGAGGTTAATAGGTTAATTCTCTCCGTTTACGATGACTGTCCTAAGCTTTAGTTCCTTGACACCAACCACGGTGAAGTCCAGCAGAGATGGAAACCTGTAGTGTGCTGAGTCAGGAGATTCCAATGGGAGTATATTTAGTCTGAAATCTCTGGGGCTGAAAATTTAACATTCAAAGCAAGTAGGCAAAGCTGGCTTGGGTAGCTGAGTGCATGGTCAGGTGCTAGAGAGAAAAGCAGAGATTCAGTTTAGGAGAACCCTGAGAAGTTCATTCCAGTTCTTTCCTTGCTGCCTTCACAACTTTTTATTGGACCAGTTCTATGCCAGGTGACTCTGTACTGAGTCATTGTAAAGTCTTTCAAGGCTACAGGTAATTTGGAACTTGCAGCTCTCTACATACTTCAAATTATTTCTCAAAAATCTTTAGACTTAAATGAGTTCTTTTTCTCAATCTACCATTTATATAGCCTTATTGTCCAAGATCTTTAATGACCCTTGGCTTGAGTACCTTCACATAGCAAAGGATTCTGCTGGAGTATATGAGTTCCAAGGTATTTTTTTCTGATGAAAAATATCTATCTTGGTTTTTACTTATTAGAAATGGAAATGTAAGCACTTTGTACTCACTATATAGGCCACTGGATAATCACCAGGTTGGTGCAGGTGTGAGGGTGAGTGTCAGAACCCCAGAGAACTGGTTATGTTTTGAGGATCCATATTCAGGAACATATAAATTTATATTGGGAAAATGTAAATCAAACCACTTGTACTGAATGCTTGACTACACTTTCCCATGGTACACATCATCATTTCCTTTTAAGACATGATCACTCCACTTAAAATTGTAAGCCATTCCTTCATGTAGTGGCATTCCCTGCCTCTCTTCTCTGTTTTCTCCAAGTTTTAATCACTTATAATATAATATGATATAATGTAATACAGTATAATATAAAATTCACTTCTTTTTAAAAAATTGTCTTATCACTCTTTATTAAAATGCAGTCTCCATGCAGAAAGGGATTTTTGTTTTTTCCACTAGTACATCTTCTAACTTCAACTGCTTCTGACACATAGTGGGCACACAATAATTAAGTGTTGAATGAAAGAATGAATAAGTGAGTGAATGAATTTTTTGGCTGATAGGAATATACAACATATAGATTCCAAGACATGAACCTTGTAGATGGCACCCTGTATGAGAATTTCTCAGGATTTTCCTTGCAAGTATGTCAAAGACTACAACGTACTCACCAACCCCATTTCGCCTTCCTTCTGGGCATCCAACCACACAATCTTTCCATCTACCTCTACATTTGATGACACTATGTGATAGTGTTCTGGCCAATTACATGTGGATGCAAGTGATGGTTGCCACATCCTGGCCTGACCATGAGAACCTGACTCCATGGTCCACCATGCTTCTCCTCTCCTATTAGGCTTGAATGAAGCTGAGACCCAGGGCATACTTACATCTCTGTGATGAAGGTGGCCAAGTGCACAAGAAGGAAGGTTCTGAGTCCCTGGGAAGAACCATCCAACCAGGAGCGCTGCCCCCTGCCTTGACACACACAATTGAGTTTTAGCATTAGCATTGTTGTAATAATGCAAGAGGTAAACTTGTACTGTATTAAGCCTCTGAAATTTGAGGTTTGATCTTTTCTAGCAGCAATTAATGTTTCCTTAACCTCCAGCATGAAATTTTCATGTTGATTAAAAGAAGAAATCAAGTTTTGGAAAAAACACTGCTAAAGAATATGAGTGTGTATATTAGTCTGTTCTCATGCTGCTAATAAAGACGTACTCAAAACTGGGTAATTTATAAAGGAAAGAGGTTTAATTGACTCACAGTTCCACATGGCTGGGGAGGCCTCACAATCATGGCGGAAGGCAAAGGAGGAGCAAAATCACATCTTACATGGTGGGAAGCAAGAGAGAGCTTGTGCAGGGAAACTCCCTTTTATAAAACCATAAGATCTCGTGAGACTTATTCATTATCACGAGAACAGCACAGGAAAGACCTGCCCCCGTGTTTCAGTTACCTTCCACCAGGTAGGTAATTGAATTCCCACTACATGTGGGAATTATGGGAGCTACAATTCAAGATAAGATTTGGGCGGGGTCACAGCCAAACAATATCATTGTGTTACCGAAATAATCTCAGTGCCCTGGTCACAGCCCATTGTGTCAGTTTAAGGAAAAAAAGAATTAACTTTAAAATACAGAGAAAAAAACATTCTGCTTTTTCTAATCAGTTAACTGACATGCTTTCATTTTTATTTTTTTAATGGGTTAATTTCCTTCACAGGACAGAAGCATTAGGCTCTGGAGAATTTTAGCATGCACCCAGATAATTTCTTTTTTAACTTGGCCTTCATATTGCTTTCAGAAACCACCCAGTGCGTTGTGTTATAGGAATGTTTTAAACTCATGGAATGTTCGTGTCAACTCTTTCAAATCAAGTGTGCCCTCAAGAGAGAACCAAAAATCATAATCTTTTTTCAGTGTATTTGCTAGAAATGTATCCTTTTTCATTCATCTGCTGGAGTTTTTTATATTTCTCTTTGATATAAGTAGTGTAACCTGTGGGCCATGTGTTATTACCTAGGTAAGCTGGCACACTGTTTTTGTGGGGACACTAATCTTTTACAGTTTTTTCTCTCCCATTAGTTTGAAATTTGTAGTTCTAGCAATATCTTTCTTGGAACACACATTAAGGAAAATTATGGGCCAGGCGTGGTGGCTCACGCCTGTAATCCCAGGACTTTGGGAGGCCAAGGTGGGTGGATCACGAGGTCAGGAGTTTGAGAACACCCTGACCAACATGGTGAAACCCCATCTACACTAAAAATAAAAAAAATTAGCTGGGCATGGGGGCACACTCCTGTAATCCCAGCTACTCAGGAGGCTAAGGCAGGAGAATCGCTTGAACCTGGGAGGCGGAGGTTGCAGTGAGCTGAGATCGCACCATTGCACTCCATCCTGGATGACAGAGAAAAACTCAGTCTCAAAAAAAAAAAAAACACACCACGAAAAATTATGGTGAAATAATGGATCTTAATTATGGAGAATGGAAGGGTCACAGTAGAGAAACTTTCGAAGAATCTGTTTTCTTCCCCTGGAGGTTTCTTTTGGGGGGACCTCATCTTGGCTGGAGCGAGATGTTATAAGGCAGTGTCCATTCCCCTGCAGCCACTCCCACCCTCTTCCATCCTGAAGCAGTGTTCTCATTGCTGATAGATGAAAGAAAACTGGGACCTCCTTGTCCATAAACTTGAAGTGAGTCTAAACGTGTAAGATTTTCAGCCTGGGTTTCAAAAATGCATGTGAAGAAAAGTCTAGTGAACCTGACTGTGGTTAACTTGGAGATTTAATTACCTGAGAGAAGAGAGAGAGTGAATACCTTTGGCTGCCAGAGGCTTGGTACGCCTTGCTTTTGGCATTTGTTTTTTCGTCATTATAGCTTTGGTTGCTAGTCTTCAATAAGGCTGCAGTGATCATAATGATAATGTTGTTCACAGGCACCCTGTAAGACCTCATTTACATAGGCTAATAGGGCTGGAGAAGCTCAAGCAAAAATTAATAATGATTAACTGTGTTTTTATTTGACTTTCAATTGTGATTTTCTTTTTTAATTGCCGATGCACTTCCATAAATAGAGTCAACTTTTAGTTCTCACCTGAGTGTAGGTAAATGGGAGGAAGTGGTGAGTGGAAGGGGAAAGCCAAATTGATATTAAATATTCCCATAACCTTTAATCACAAATGCAAATTCGTGTTTACTCAGATAGGGAATTGAAAGTTCTTGATGTCATATGGGATCACGTATTAGGATTTGAGCATTATGCAGAGTAATTTGAATTTGTATTCATCAAAATACTGTGAACTAAATATATTTAATTGTATATTATTCCAGAAACCTTCATTTTAAATCTGTAGGTACCTAAGGACAACATGTTAAAATATTCTTGCATTATGATAAAAAATGGTATTCTAGGAATTTCTAAATAGTTTTCATTGAAGCAACTTAGACTTATTACTGATTCTTGATATCACAGAAAAATTAATGTGTATAATAGTTGAGATTATTATTCTTTACATTTCTCCCTTGAACTAATTAACTGGTAACTTAATTTTTCTTCTCCTATCCTCTCCATACATTGAATTCCAGAAATTTATAATAATAGCAAAACAAAAACAAAAACAAAAAAACCTCATCTGTAACATGAGTACCATCTAGAATAATGAAAGAAATTTTACCTGTATGATTTAAGTATTTGCCTTCTTGTAAATATTATTATGGAAAGTGTTAACAGAAATGATTTCTGATGTCTAAGCAAGGACTGGTTTTCTACTTTTTCACCTTGTAGGGTGGGGGTGGGGGCAGTGGTACAGGGGAAGATGTTAATAAGTTAGGGTTAAGCAACTCTTTTACAGTTACACTATGACACAAGAGGGCACAACAACACCCCTAAATCTCTAAGGCTGGTTGTTGCCATAGGCTGGAGAGCAGAGAGGAAAAATAACTAGTTTTAGAGACAGATAAACTGGAGTTTGAATTCCATTTTGGCATTTGCAAGCTATATGATTGTGTGAAAATTAGTTACCCTTTATAACCTTTATTGTATTCATTTGTATAATAGAAAAAAATATTTTACCAGATTGATGTGAATATTAAATGAATGAGAATTTCCAGTTGTCTACCTCTGTGTGTTGTTACATATCAATTCCATGAGAGTAACACAACCTGACTCCACAGGAAAGAACAGTGGAAACCTCCTGTTTGAGATCTCCCAGGCTCCTCCCTATGCATCACTTCAATGGGTTGAGTTTGATCAGTGTCCTTTCCCTCTAAAAAGTCATAGCTGTGAGGATAGTAGCTTTCAGTGAGCTCCGTGAGTCCTACTAGCAAATTATCAACCTGAAGGTGTTTTTGGGGACCCCTCTTCCCAAACATGCAGTTGGTATTAGAAGTGAGGACCTTCTTGGAGAATGTGCCCACAAACATGGCTATCTGGCTAACTTTTAGCACAAATGAAAACCAAGGTTCTTCACTGTACCCTCTACTAGGCATGCCAAACATTTTTTTAGGCCAATTCCACAGACTTTTCTTGGAGAAACTTGCCAAAGGTTTAGAAGGGACTAATAATCTCAAATAACATGTGGCTTCAGAACCCTGATACATCTGGTACAAACAGGTGGAAGACATTTTAGTGCAGTGAAAATGGTCTAATGTGATTTGGAATATAGGCACAGAGAAAAAGAGACTCTGTTAGTTGGTGTTGGGTGCTTAAATTAGGAGATCATCTGGCCTTGAAGCTGAAGCTCAAACTGAGGCAGCCATAATGGTCCATGTGCAGCAGAGTGTAGAAACAGAGAACATGAAGAAGAAAAGCAACTTGAAGGGAGAAACAGAACCAGAAGCCAAGGCTTGGCAGGATGAGAGCAGTGCAGAATTGATCACTTTACAGGACTTGCAAGACCCATTATTTCTCCCTGTGTTTCCTTATCATAATTTTCCTCTGTCTCTTCCAAACACCCTGTACCTAAGCATAAGTGTGAGGGTTTTCTCATTTCTTGTAATCAAGAGAGTGTTAATGAAGACATTCTGAATGAGGCTTATGTGATTTAAAAATTGCTACAAAAGAGAATGTGTTAATATTTATATTCAAATTGCTAAAACACGTATCAAAATATCTATATATATATTCCAAAGATATCAGAAATAATTTAGAATGGGGGATTCTTTTTTCTTAAGTGAAAAATTTAACTTCAGAAGTATTTAAAAGAATGTAAGAAATGCATAGTAATACAGCAAGAATATGCCATTTTACATATTTTTAAATAATACATTGCATTGAAATACTGGTAATATCCTTTGTTAAAGAGGTTGTGGTAAAAACATAACTCTCAGGATACAAAATCAATGTGCAAAAATCACAAGCATTCTTATACACCAATAAGAGACAAACAGAGAGCCAAATCATGAGTGAACTCCCAGTCACAGTTGCTTCAAAGAGAATAAAATACCTAGGAATCCAACTTACAAGGGATGTGAAGGACCTCTTCAAGGAGAACTACAAACCACTGCTCAATGAAATAAAAGAGGATACAAACAAATGGAAGAACATTCCATGCTCATGGGTAGGAAGAATCAATATCATGAAAATGGCCATACTGCCCAAGGTAATTTATAGATTCAATGCCATCCCCATCAAGCTACCAATGACTTTCTTCACAGAATTGGAAAAAACTACTTTAAAGTTCATATGGAACCAAAAAAGAGCCCGCATTGCCAAGTCAATCCTGAGCCAGAAGAACAAAGCTGGAGGCATCACACTACCTGACTTCAAACTATACTACAAGGCTACAGTAACCAAAACAGCATGGTACTGGTACCAAAACAGAGATATAGATCAATGGAACAGAACAGAGCCCTCAGAAATAATGCCACATATCTACAACTATCTGATCTTTGACAAACCTGACAAAAACAAGAAATGGCGAAAGGATTCCCTATTTAATAAATGGTGCTGGCAAAACTGGCTAGCCATATGTAGAAAGCTGAAACTGGATCCCTTCCTTACACCTTATACAAAAATTAATTCCAGATGGATTAAAGACTTAAATGTTAGACCTAAAACCATAAAAACCCTGGAAGAAAACCTAGGCAATACCATTCAGGACATAGGCATGGGCAAGGACTTCTTGTCTAAAACACCAAAAGCAATGGCAACAAAAGCCAAAATTGACAAATGGGATCTAATTAAACTAAAGAGCTTCTGCACAGCAAAAGAAACTAGCATCACAGTGAACAGGCAACCTACAAAATGGGAGAAAATTTTTGCAATCTACTCATCTGACAAAGGGCTAATATCCAGAATCTACAATGAACTCAAACAAATTTACAAGAAAAAAACAACCCCATCAAAAAGTGGGCAAAGGATATGAACAGACACTTCTCAAAAGAAGACATTTATGCAGCCAAAAGACACATGACAAAATGCTCATCATCACTGGCCATCAGAGAAATGCAAATCAAAACCACAATGAGATATCATCTCACACCAGTTATAATGGCAATCATTAAAAAGTCAGGAAACAACAGGTGCTGGAGAGGATGTGGAGAAATAGGAACACTTTTACACTGTTGGTGGGACTGTAAACTAGTTCAACCATTGTGGAAGTCAGTGTGGCGATTCCTCAGGGATCTAGAACTAGAAATACCATTTGACCCAGCCATCCCATTACTGGGTATATACCCAAAGGATTATAAAACATGCTGCTATAAAGACACATGCACACGTATGTTTATTGTGGCACTATTCACAATAGCAAAGACTTGGAACCAACCCAAATGTCCATCAATGATAGACTGGATTAAGAAAATGTGGCACATATACACCATGGAATACTATGCAGCCATAAAAAATGATGAGTTCATGTCCTTTGTAGGGACGTGGATGAAGCTGGAAACCATCATTCTCAGCAAACTATCGCAAGGACAAAAAACCAAACACCACACGTTCTCACTCTTAGGTGGGAATTGAACAATGAGAACACATGGACACAGGAAGGGGAACATCACACACCGGGGCCTGTTGTGGGGTGGGGGTAGCGGGGAGGGATAGCATTAGGAGATATACCTAATGTTAAATGATGAGTTAATGGGTGCAGTACACCAACATGGCACATGTATACATATGTAACAAACCTGCACATTGTGCACATGTACCCTAAAACTTAAAGTATAATAAACAAAATACACTCATTCAGTATTGGAGATTGTAATATGACACTATTCTTTTGGAAAACAATTTGACAACATGTTTTAAGCTGTAAATAAAATTATATCTATCGGCCCAGTAATCCCACTCCTAGGAACTTAAATGTAAATTTTAAAAAAGAAAAAGTTTTAGGCATAAAGACATACAATTTAAATACAAAAATATGAAGCTACTTTATTCTCAGAAGGGACTAGAGGAATAAGTTACTTTCACTGAAATTGATGGATTATTATGCAGCCATTACATGAGAATTATTAAGATTATGTAGCAACAAGAAAAATTGCTTATATTCATGACACAAAATGAAAAATAATGGAGAATATAAAGTTGTATCTGTACCATGATAGAACTACATAGTAATATGTACTAGTACTAATTTATCAATTGTGCACTAGTTTTGTACTTTAGGTGCATGATTTACTCAAGTTTCACAACCACACTAACAGGTGACACTAATATTATTCCATTTTACAAATGAGAAATTTAGACACAGACAGTTTAAGTGACCTGAAGTTTCATAGTTGGGACTGATGTTCTGTTTCAACCCAACTGATCTAATGCCAACTGGAGTACTATAATACAATTCTGATGCATTAACCCACTGGAGTTGACATCAGACTCCACAAGTTAAAGGCTCAGTCATCCGCAAGACTCTCTTTAATTCAGATGCCATTTGTACTTTGCCATCTGTACTTGAGCCTGGGAAGGCCACTTGCACTTATAACCAACTGGCTATAAATATCGAGGTTCCCACAACCCCCTCATGTATGTTAATTTGGTAGATCAACTCAGATAATTGCTACACCTATAATTACAGTTTATTATAAAAAATACAGATGAGAAACAGCCAAATGAAGAGACATACAGGATAAGGTTGGGTGGAGGGACCAAGAGCTTCCATGCCCTCTCCTTGTAAAATCTGGGTGCATCTTCCCAGCACATCAATGCATACACCACCTGGAAAGCTCCAATGAACCTTAGTGTCCATAATTTTTATTGAGGTTTCATTACATAGACAAGATTGATTAAATAATTGGCCACATGATTAAACTCAATCTCTAGTCCTTGCCCCTTCTTGGAGATTAGGCTGGTCCAAAGTTTCAACTCTTTAATCATGTGGTTGGCCTTCCTGGTGACCAGTCCCCTGAAATAATCTAGCAGCTCAGCATGAGTGACTTTATCATTAATAATAACAAAGACAATACTATCACTTACGAAATTCCAAGGGCTTCAAAAGTTTCAAGCCAAGAACTGGGGACAAATACCATTTATATTCTCTATTATACCACAAGTCCCTTTCAGGAATTAGGAAAATTTATTTTTTATTCTTGTGCAAGCATTAGGCCCCTATAAAATAATTATGATCTAATAAACAAACAAACAAACAAAAACACTGGGTTCTAACTCTGTTCTAACCTTTCCAAGCTCTAGTTCTAGTAATTTACAAGCACTGGTGTTCTCACCTTCCTGGGCTCAGACTTTTCTTCTGTAATGACTCCTTAAATGATATTAGGTGTTGCTTCAACTTCCTATCTTCCATCACTCTTGGTTTTTTTTTTCTTTGAGCATGGCTTACATTATAATTGGATTTAGCCCAGATATCAGGAGTCACTGGGTTCAAACCTTATCTTCATCATTTGTAACCTTTGTGATCTTGAGCCAGTTACTTAACCTCTTGGTGCCTCAGTTTTCTCATTTGTAAAAATGTGAGAATAATAGTGCTTCCTTCACAGTATTGCTGAGAGAATAAGATGTAATTATGCAGGTAAAGACTTTATCACTTATTCTGGCATAAGTATAGTAAGGACTCAATAAATGTTCTCAAAAGTAATTTATAATGTATCAAAATTTTATAGGATTTTAAGTCAAATCTCTCCAGTATAAAAGTTGAATATATCAAGGGTCTATAGAACTTCATTCTTGATAAAAATACCAGGCATATTAACAATGACCTATAATTTAAACAATAGCCAGGTGTGATGGCTCATGTCCGTAATCCCAACACTTTGGGAGGCTGAGGTGGGCAGATCACTTGAGGTCAGGAGTTTTGAGACCAGCCTGACCAATATGGCTAAACTCTGTCTCTACTGAAAGTACAAAAATTAGCTGGGCATGATGGTGTACACCTGTAATCCCAGCTCCTCAGGAGGCTGAGGCATGAGAATCACTTGAACCTGGGAGGCAGAGATTGTAGTGAGCTGCGACTGCACCACTGCACTCCAACCTGGGCCAAAAAGCGAGACTATCTCAAAAAAAATTTTTACTGTAAATACATATATACAAAATTTTCAGTAGGAAAATAATGATAATTTGTCCTGTAGCCAAATACTGTTAATTCAGGTTACCTAAGTTTCTGTGAAGAAGAACATGTTATGGATGTTTTTGCTGTCATGAAAGTATTACAAACTGAATTCAGAATATAACAAACTTACTTTTGTATATAGGTCAGAAAAGGATAACTTGGAAAATCCCTTATATGAACCTTTATATGAATAGAAAGAAGATCTGAGCTAGTGACTATCCAATTAGTCTAGATGCACATGTGTACCTACTTAATGAAACCATCTCATCAAAGAGTAAAAAAAAAAGTAGATTTGTCTTAGAACAATTCTAGTTTTATCGTTATCCAGCCATGAGACTTTGACTTCTGTAACAAACAAGTTAGAAATAACAGCTAACATAAAATATGTGACTTGTGACTAAGTGAGAAAGATTATACTATATGATGCTATCCTTAAAATTCAATTATTTCTTTTTTTCTATTTGCTTGACTGTATGCTATAAATACAATTAAAAGTTTGTCTTAAAATTCAATTTTTTAAAAATAACCAAGAGAACAAGAATATGGTAGCTTTAATAGAAATTTCATTTAAAGCATTCCTTTTGCTTTTTGAAATTTTGACCTAAAACAACCAGTGTTCCTATTGTGGCAGGTACACAATTTTTAAATTTTTCTTCACTTGTGTCTATGAGATATTAACAGTATTTATAATATAGAAATAATCATCATAAATATAATATGACCAATATCCAGATAATTAATAATAATTCCTACACACATTACATGTTTATCCAGTACATATAAGGTACACTATCTTTGTACTTTTATTTCTTCTTATCCACGTTTCTTAGAATGTAATACATACAACACTTGGATAAACATAGCAGTAATCCTAATAAGCCTAAACACAATATTTTTCTGATGTTGAGATAAGTTGATCTATCAAGGTAAAAATGATGACCACATTCTTACTGTTCATTCATTCTTTTTTTTTTTTTTTTTTTTTTTTTCAAGACAGAGTCTTGCTGTGTCGCCCAGGCTGGAGTGCAGTGGCGCGATCTCAGCTTACTGCAAGCTCCGCCTCCCGGGTTCATGCCATTCTCCTGCCTCAGCCTCCCGATTAGCTGGGACTACAGGAACCCACCACCACGCCCGGCTAATTTTTTTTGTATTTTTAGTAGAGACGGGGTTTCACCGTGTTAGCCAGGATGGTCTCTATCTCCTGACCGCGTGATCCGCCCGCTTTGGCCTCCCAAAGTGCTGGGATTACAGGGGTGAGCCACCGCGCCCGGCCCTCAGTCATTTTTTCTTGTGTTCATTCAGCTAATTCAAAATGAGTGCTCCACCTTCATGATTTTGGACAAAGCAGAATATTAGTTCTGTGAGAAGTTACTGAGCATAGAGATTACCAGTTGGTAGGAGAGATAAGTAGTATATTTACACGGCTCTAATCAAAGATAGAATGCATTAAAAGATGTAAGTACAAAGTGTTGTAGGAATTTGAACATGAAGGAGACTTAGGGGGCTTAAGTGATTAGTAAAGATATCTCAATTATTGAATGACTGACAAGGGAGTTTTTAAGTGACATTCTAGAATAATCCTAACTGTTCCTGGACAAGTGTTTTATCAATTTTTTTTTTAAGTTTTTAACGTTTTATAACATTAATACTTGATCAACAAATAAATATATTGTCAATCTCTCCAAATTTAATGGCCAATAAGGAAAGAAAATGCTTAACAGTTAGTTATCATTTTGTTCATATAATTATATATATTCTTCTGCAAGAGATGCTAATTACTTAAAAGTTATCTTAGCTTGGGCTTCTAAAACAAAATACTACAGACTGGGTGACTTAAACAACATTCATTTCTCACAGTTCTGAGGGCTAAGAAGTCCAAGATCAAGATGTCAGCAGATTTAGTTCTTGGTACTGGCCTGCAGACGGTTGACTTCTCCCTGTGCCCTCCAGATGGCGAAGAAGAAGAGCTCTTGTTCCTTTTTTTTTTTACAAGGGCATTAATTCCAACATGAATGTGCCACCCTCATTATTTAATCTAACCCTAATTACCTCCCGAAGGCCCCACCTCCAGTACTCTCCCACTGGGGATTAGGGCTTCAAGATATGAATTTTGGGGTGACACAAACATTTAGTCCATAGCAAAGGTTAAGGATCATTTATTCCTCTTCAACGTGCTATTCTCTTAGTATGGATATGAAATAATTTTATGTTAGGGGCCTACGGAAGTGAAAGCTTTATTAGCAACAGCCACCGACCTGATTTTTCACTTAGAAAAACTATACAGTTGGTCTTAGAATTTAATTAAATTACATTTATAACTTAATGTAATTTAATTCAATCTTAGAGTCTACACAAAGAAGAAACTGCTCATCTTCCATAGTCGTTTCTTTATTATTTACTTGCTGACTCATTCATTCCACTGTACATGCATTGATGACTTGATCTTATGAATCAGAACCTTCAACTGAAGAAACTGCTTACTCAGAATGGTAGATAATTTGGGAGATTTTTTAATTTTTATTTTCTTGGCCATCTAGGAGAATCAATTATATTAAATAATACTCTGGCAGCCATAAAATTATCTGTAGCTCCCAAAGTAGTCAGCTTAAGGATTGTTTAAAAGAAATGCAATCTAAATATTTTCTTATTGTGTATATATTTATGTGTTAATATATACACAATAATTTCTTAATTTATTAATTTATAAGAAATTAATAAATTTTATTAATTTCTTTCCTGCTCTCAAGACTTGGAAGATTTTAGGTCAAGTTATAGTTATCCAAAGACTATATAAATCATATATATGCTTTGGTATATATCTATCATCTCTTTCTCTATATATGCACATGTAAAACTTACATCCCTTGTCACTAATTAAAAGAGAATTTAATTTTTTTAACTTTCTATTTTGAAATAACTATAAATTCACAGGAAGTTGCAAAAATATGAGAGGTTCTATGTATTCTTCAGCCGGTTTCCTTGACTGATTCATTTTGCGTAACTAGGTTTCTTTACCAAAACTAGGAAATTGACATTGGTAAAATGTGTTTACATAGTTCCGTGTCCTTTGATCACATGGGTAGATTCCTGTAACCACTACTAAACAGACACAGAACCATTACATTACCACCAGTACCTACCTCATGCTACCCATTCATAGTCAAACTCACTCCCACCCACACCATCTCTAACACCTGACAATCACAAATCTATCTACCCTCTCTATAATTTGGCCATTTTTAGAATGTTATATATAAATGGAATCATAAAGCATGTGATTTTTTATTTTGGCTTTTCTCCACTCGGTATAATGACAGAGAGATCCATCCAAGATGTTCCACATATCAGTAGTTTGTTTCTTTTATTGCAGAGTGGTAGTCAATAGTATGGGCATATCATAGTATCCTTAACCAGTCACCTATTGAAGGACAGTTTTGTTGTTTCCACTTTTTGACTATTACAAATAAAAGTTACTGTGAACATTTATGTGCAGGTTTTTGTGAAGATGTAAATTTTCATTTATCTGGCATAAATGCTTTATGAACCAGCAATCATGTGATTGCTGTAACATATGCAATGTATGGCTTTTGTAACAAGTTAGAAATAAGAGCTAACATAAAATAAGTCACTAAATGAGAAAGAATACTATATTATACTATACTTAAAATGTCAATTATGTCTATTTTTTCTATTTGCTTGACTATATGTTATAAATACAATTAAAAGTTTATCTTAACTTTTAATTGTCTTAACTTTTGGTTGCTGCTTCATATGATAAGTTCATGGTGCATTTTCTAAGAAACTGCCACACAGTTTTCCAGCATGCATGTACAATTTTACACTCCCTTCAGCAATGCATAAAAGGTCTAGTTTCTCTACATCCTTGCCAGCGTTCTTCCCCCTACCTGTTCTAATAGGTATGTAGTACTCTCTCCTCAATAGTCTTAATTTGTGTTTCCCTAATAACTAGTGATGTTGCACAGTTTTTTTTTCGTGTGTTTAATTTACCATCCAAATATACTCTTCAGTGAGATATCTCTTTATGTCCTTTGCCCATTTTCTAGTTGGACCATTTGTATTTTTACTGTTGAGTTTCAAGAGTTCTTTTTGGATACTAGATATCGGACCTTTGTCATATATATGGTTTGCAAATATTTTCTCTCAGTCTGTGTGTTTTCTCCTCATCTTTTAATAGGGTCTTTCACAGAGCAAAAATTTTACATTTTGATAAAGTTTAATTTATAGATTTTTTTCTTTTACAGATCATGCTTTTGCTGTCATGTCTAAGAACTTTTCACAAGCTCTATACCTTGATACTTTTCTTCTACATTTTCTACTAAAAATTTCATAGTTTTATATTTTATACTTAAATCTACAATCTATTTGAGTTCACTTTTGTATAGGATGTGAAGTTGAGGTTGAGATGATTTATTTATTTACTTTATCTATGGATAGCCAACTGCTATAGCAACATTTGTTGAAAAGGTTATCCTTACTCTATTGAATTGCTTTTGTACTTCTGTCAAGAAATCGGTTGGCCATACATGTATGGATCTACTTTTGGGTTCACTATTACGATGTATTGATCTTGTGTCAGCCCCTCTGTCAATACCACAGAGTTTTGATTGATGTTGCTATATAATAAGATTTAAAATCAAGTAGAGTGATTCTTCCCACTTTATTCTTCTCTTTCATCATTGTCTATTCTAGTTCCTTTGTCATAGAAATTTTGGAATAACGTTTTCTGTAGCTACAAATAATCTTGCCAGAATTTTTATTGGAATTGTGTTAAACTTCTATGTCATTTAGAAGGAAATTGATATCCTTATTATGTCGATTCTTTTAATCTATGAGCACAGTATGCTTCTTCTGTTTTTAGATATTCTTTGATTTTTTTTCATTGGTGTTTTATAGTTTTCAGCACAGAAGTCCTGTATATATTTTATTAGGCTTATACTTAATGATGTCATTTTTGAGGTGATCATAAATGAGATTATATTTCAACTTTTGGGGTCCACATGTTCATTTATAGCATGCAGAATAAAATTGATTTTTTTGTTACTCTTGTATCTTGTGACTGCTGAACTCACTCATCCTAGGAAAATTTTGGAGATTCCTTGGAATTTTCTATACACCATCATCTCCTCTCAAATAAGGACAGTCTTATTTCTTCCTTTTTTTTTTTTTTCT
The DNA here is from genome assembly GCF_000001405.40 of Homo sapiens. Lineage (NCBI taxonomy): Eukaryota > Metazoa > Chordata > Mammalia > Primates > Hominidae > Homo > Homo sapiens. The sequence continues at coordinate 15,362,025 of NC_000020.11, forward strand.
TTTTTGAGACGGAGTCTCGCTCTGTTGCCCAGGCTGGAGTGCAGTGGTGTGATCTCAGCTCACTGCAACCTCCGCCTCCCGGGTTCAAGCGATTCTTATGCCTCAGCCTTCCGAGTAGCTGGGATTACAGGCGCACACCACCACACCCAGTGAGTTTTTATATTTTTAGTAGAGACGGGGTTTCACCTAGAACTCCTGACCTCAGGTGATCCACCCACCCCGGCCTCCCAAAGTACTGGAATTACAGGCATGAACCACCGTGCCCAGCCTATTTCTTCCTTATTGATCTGTATGCTTTTTATTGCACATGCCATGAGTGGTGAGAGCGGACATCCTTACCTTATTTCAGTCTTAGGAAAAACTGTTCAGTCTTTCACCATTAAGCATGATGTTAGCTGTAGGTTTTTTTTATAGGTATACTGTATTAAGTTGAAGTTCTCCTCTATATTCAGTTTTTTGAGTTTTTAAAAAATATTATGAATAGATGTCGAATTTTGTCAAATTCTTTTCCTGCATCGATACAATTTTTTTTTCTTTAGCCTATTAACATGGTGATTACACTGATTGGTAAATCAGTTCTATTAAAAAGAACATTTTAAATAGTTATTCAATTCATTATTAGAAATTAGTCATTCTTACATAATAACCATTTAATGTAGTGATCAAATAAATTGTTGAATGTATAGGAAAAAATTTAAAAAGATATTTAAAGCTATGGAATCTGATATAGTGTTGATATGATTATTCATTATTAAAAATTAGTCATTCTTGCATAATAAACAACCATTTAATCTGGTGATCAAATAAATTGTTGAATATATAGGAAAAAAATTTAAAAATATATTTAAAGCTAAGGAATCTGATATAGTGTTGATATGAGAGAAGAAAGGAAAGGAAATGAGAGAAGAGAAGAGGGGAAAGGGGAGGGGAGGGGAGGAGCAGGAAAGGAAGGAAGGAAAGAAAGAAGGAAGAAAGGAAAGAAGGAAGGGAGAAAGGGAGGAAGGGAGGAAGCCCCTTAGGAATTCATGGTAGTACACAGTTAAGTTGATTTAGTTTCTATTCAGCTACCTGTCTCCCTGTTATTCCTTCGTTTGTTTGTTTTCTGCTACCACCTCCCACTTCCTTTTTCTTTGTAAAGCTGGGTGTTCCCTCCCTTGAGAATTCCCACAGGATTCAGATGCAGGAGACAAGTGACCATCTGCTTACTTAGTGGTGACACATGAAATCGTGTGGTGTGCAGGTAGAACCATCCTGTTAAAAAATCTAGGAGTCTCCAATTCAGCAGTCTGTTAAATAGACAAGAGTAGAGTAAAAGCAAGATGAACAATGAGGGTGAAATAGTATAATCACGTAAACCTATGCATGGTGGAAAACAGACATTTAAAACCCATAAGAGAAAGTTTCGAAAGGCACCATGGCAATATATTGCTTTTATAGAAAGATGCTATGAGTTGGTGGCAGAAGTGACCAACTGGGAGGGCTTTCTCACTCCATCAGTTTTTACCAAATGGAAGAAATAAGACAGTGCCCACTGAGATTGATCAGGAAAGCCAGCTGCACTGTGCATCATTTGACCTGCACTATATAAACTCTTCTGCAGGCAAACGTTGCCTCCCTCCAGCACTGACCTGCCTGACATGCTCAGATTGTATTGCTGCAAGAGGTAGGGAAAGAAATTTGGACCCACAGACTCATTTGGGAGCAACTAAAGCTCAAATTTAGTGTAATATAAATAAATACTATAGAAATGGAAGGCAAGATGAATTATCATTATTATCCAGTATTTTTATAGCACTTTATATTTTGCAAACGGCTTCACGATCCCATATAATGAATCTGTGGGGGGCTAGCGGATGCATATGTTACAAGCTACAAGGAATAGCAGTTAGCACATCCATTCATTATGTTTTGCTTACGTTTTTATTGTCTGATTTGTTTACATGAGCTATCCACTCTTCCTTTCTTTATACTGATTTTTGGAAACTTTGGGTAATTAATAAATAATTATAATAGATACATTTAGATGTATTTGGATTTAAATTTCCAGATGTGAGCCTGACTTTATGTGAATATACGGCTGCATAGAATGCAAGCATGAGAACTGAGTTAAACTAAGAATATTTGTATTCTTCATAAAACAACCAACATGGACTTCATGATTGTGCTTCTTATTCTTTAAAGATTTTCCGCCTTTCTTACTCTTGCTGCATTCCTCCATCCCCCTTCCTACTTAGTTAAGCACTGGATGCCCTGCAGCAGTGTATTTTAAAGGCCTTGTGTGTATTGGCCATCTGTCCAGTTTACTACAAAGTAGCTCCTCTTCGAAGATTCCTGCCCTATTGTTCCTGTGAACTCACCTGTGTTTGTCAGTACCTGTGCTTTGGCTTTTTGTATAGACCCAGGTATGCCCCTCTGTCCTTCCCTCTGTAAATATTGTCTAGTTTATTAAGCACCTAGTGTTGGAGAAATGGTTTCCCATGGTTCTGTTACTCTGGTTCTTATTGACTATCTTTCCATAAACCAGATCAAAGTCTTAATCCTCACAGGAGTGGAATTCAAAACTTTCTAGGGATTTATTTAATACCAAATTGATGGCTGATTTGTGAGTAATGTGAATGGTCTCTCAAATCTACCTTTTGATCAGAGCTTTACAAGCCTGTATATAGGCACGTTATCTCCTCCTTTTCCAATGAGATAATAGATAGCTTAGAGCCAGCACATAGTAGGCCCTTAATCACTCTGTGCTCACCAATGAAGGGAGCCCCTACTGGGATCCTTCTATGAAGTGGAGGTTGTGAAAGCATTACCCTCAAGGTTAAAACCTAGTGTAGACAATGTGACATATAATTGTGTGACCTCAAAAATACATTTGATCCAATTCTAGTAGCTGCAGAACAGGAAAAAAGAGAAGTCTAAAGTGAGTCATGAGAGAAAAGTTCAAAATCCCAAAGTTTAATTTGTTCACAGCTGTTTTACTGTCAAAGGCAGAAAGAACTTCAACAGTGCATTTGTTGGAAAGAATCACATTTTACTCTGATTAAGAATATGCTGAGACTTGCTTTTTAGGTCAACTTTATAATTGTACCACACATTAGTTTTTAAATAACTGGAAAAATGTTCTGTACTTTTAAATTATTCTTTGGGGCGGGGCGGGGGTCAGAAATTTAAGGCAGATGTTTTAAATTAAAGTTAGTGTTTTATAGTGAATATAGTTATATTTCTGAATATTGAAAGATCTATGTAAAGATGGTGTAATAAGGAAAGAAAAAATCTTGTTCTTCGTTCAGTAAGCCACAAACTTGGAGCCTCTCTATCCAAACTTCAAAATCCTAAGCCTTTTTAATAAAAATATTGGAAGAGGCCAGGCATGGTGGCTCACACCTGTAATCCCAGCCCTTTGGGAGGCCAAGGCGGGTGGATCACGAGGTCTGGAGATTGAGATCATCCTGGCTAACAGGATGAAACCCTGTACTAAAAATACAGAAAATTAGCCGGGCATGGTGGCATGTGCCTGTAATCCCAGGTACTTAGGAGGCTGAGGCAGGAGAATCGCTTGAACCCAAGAGGCAGAGGTTGCAGTGAGCCGAGATCGCACCACTGCACTCCAGCCTGGGCGACAGAGCGAGGCTCTGTCTCAAAAAAAAAAAAAATTGGAAGAAAAATATTGTTTGTAATCAGAAAGATCACTAATCTTATGCTAATTTTTAATTATATCAAAAGAGTTTTTAAATTTGATTTGATAAATTACATTTCTTTAAAAAAGAGAAAATTGATTACATAATTAAAAATTTAACCTGATTGCAGTTAAAGGAAGACAAAATGGTCTAAAATTATATCTACTAGGAAAAGCAGTTGAATATATTTCTCTTACCTTTAGCTTATTCTAAGATGAAGGAAAATAAGGAGAAGTAATTGAAATGTCAGATTCCAGAGTGATTGTTCATTTCAAGTGGACAAAAACCTTTACTTGCTTTAAACTTAAGAGGGAACTACTCAAGTAATAGAGATATAGGAATGTAAGATGATGACTGACATGTAGCCAAAGGTGGAGGCAGAAGAGAACAGAGAGGGATTATTATTATTTTTTAAATTTCAGCCATCTCTGGAACAGAGTATTCATCTTCCCACTCTTGAACATTTTCCAGCTTGGGCCAACTGTGTGTATCCAGTGAGGTCTTGTTTAAGACATTCAGAAGAAAATTAAGTTATGGAAGTTTCCAATCTCCTTTTTTTCAGTAATTTTTCCCCCCACTAGTATCCTTCCAAAAGCCTCTACCATGCTCTGGGCTTTCTGCTATTAATATCATCTACCAGAAAAATAAGGTGACACTTTTTGTGGAGAATTAACATTTTGATAGAGACATTTAAAAAATGTTCACATATTGTTAAAATAACATTGACACATCTTTTTAAAGAAAAGAAATCAAAATCATCCATATTCTCAGTATCAAAATTCAACTGTTGTCCTTTCTTTCTGGCCCTTATTGTTATAGTGTTATCTGAGCAAAGAAGTAATTGTGAGATCTAATTTTTTGTTTTTAATAGATAGGGTCTTACTCTGTTGCCCAGGCTGGGGAGTATGGTGGTGCAATCATAGCTCACTGCAGTCTATAACTCTTAGTCTCAATCAATCCTCCTGCCTCAGCCTCCCAAGTAGCTGGGACTCAGGCACCTGCCACCATGCCTGGCTATTTTTTTTTTTTATTTCTTAGTTTCTGTAGAGAAGGTGTCTTGCTATGTTGCCCAGGCTGGCATCAAACTCCTGGGTTCAAACAATCCTCCAGCCTCCACCTCCCAGTGTGCTGACATGAGCCACCATGCCCAGCCTGAGGTTTATTTTTGAATATAGCATTATTATGTAAATGCCTCCCATGTTGTCCCATCCTTCATAACTTTCCTGTTTTGTCTTGACACACTAATCCATCCATTTAATGTCTATAATCTATTAACAGTTTCCTTGTTTGGAGACATTTAACAACTTGTTTAAATTTTTTTAAAATTACTGATTTTTTTTTTTTTTTGAGAGGGAGTCTCACTCTGTTGCCCAGGCTGGAGTGCAGTGGCATGATCTCGGCTCACTGTAACCTCCGCCTCTTTGGTTCAAGTGATTCTCCTGCCACAGCCTCCTGGGTAGCTGGGACTACAAGCACGTGCCACCATGCCCGGCTAATTTTTGTATTTTTAGTAGAGACAGGGTTTCACCATCTTGGCCAGGCTGGTCTCAAACTCCTGACCTTGTGATCCGCCTGCCTTAGCCTCCCAAAGTGCTGGGATTACAGGCGTGAGCCACCGTGCCCGGCCCCAAAAATTACTGATTTTATCAGAAATAGTTTCTACTCATTTTTTTTCTTCTGAATTATTTAATTGTAATAAATTCTCTTGGGAGAATCAAAGCATGATGAATATTATTCATTTTTACCATTTTATTTTCTTCAGTGGTATCAATTTGCAGAACTACTAGGTGTTCACTGACATAAGTATCTTTAAATGAACAAATTTTCAAACACCTTCACAGCAAGCCCAAAGAGCTGATGTACTCTTCAAAGATTTCTACCAAGAAAAAACAAATTCAGGATCTTCTAAGTATAGAAGGGTTTTACATTTTTTTTTCTAATTCTATCTTCTCCTATGAAAGCCCTGATTATAAAATTATAAAAGCAAAGATTTTTTTGTTTGCTTTGTTTTTTTTAAACAATATATATTGTGGACCTGAGGAATCTGACATTCCCTTATGTCCACGAAGAAATTATGTCATTTATTTGTTACTCTGATTCTTCTGCATTAAAAATACCACATGTATACGTTAGAAGCAATTTCAGTATTTTTTGTCATAATTGCAATGAGAAGATAAATACCTTTTTAAACTATATTTTATATATTTTTTTCAATTTTAGAGGTCTCACAGTTTTTCTAAAATGTCCTATTAGAAGTGAAGGGATCACTTTGGTCCTCATTTGTTTCCACAGCATTTTTTCAACCTAAGGTTTTCTTTCAGCCAGAGGACCATAAAACACATTTCTCAAAATATATTGTAGGGAACACTACTAGTATCTTGAGATGAAATTGTCATATGGAAAAGAAAAAGATCCAATGGAACTATAAAATGCATTCATAAACTCATTGGTTCTGAAAATGTGGTTGCTGGACCATCAGAATCCATATCCCTTGGGAACTTCTTAGGAATGCAGACTCTCAGGCCCACCCCCGCCTACTGAGTAAGAACACTAAGGAGGCAGAGCCATCAATTGGTGTTCTTTAACAACCCTCCAGGTAGTTATGCTTTTCTAAGTAATTTGTAATGCCATTATCTTAAAAAAGTTTCTGAGAAGTTCCTTAGGGGAGAGAAAAAACACTACAACACGACAAAAACCTCTAAACCTTGTTTGCCCAAAAAGTTGACCAAAGAATATCTATTTTCTCTTCTACCAATCACAAACTTTTTTTTTTTTTTTTTTGAGACAGGGTCTCGCTCTGTTACCCAGGCTGGAGTGCAGTGGCATGATCTTGGCTCAGTGCAACCTCTGCCTCCCAGGTTCACAAGATTATCCTGCCTTAGCCTCCGGAGTAGCTGGGATTACAGGAGCGCACCACCATGCCCTGACTAGTTTTTGTATTTTTAGTAGAGACAGGGTTTCCCCATGTTGGCCAGGCTGGTCCCTAACTCCTGACCTCAAGTGATCCACCCTCCTTGTCCTCCCAAAATGCTGGGATTACAGGCGTGAGCCACCACGCCCGGCCCAATCACAAACTTTTTTTTTAATAGAGATACAGTCTTTGTGTCTAGGCTCAAGCGGCAGTTGCTAGTTTCAACCTGAGTTGTTAATACATTTAACGTGGGTTCATTAGTGTTTGATATATTTCTTGTGGCTAGACCATGGGAAGAACTGCTGTCCTTTTGGTAGCGGGATACGTCATTGCCTGATGAGTTGATTAATCTTTGTTATTCTGCAATACCTGTTTGTCATGCATATCTTAGTATATGTGAATAGAGTATATGTCTGGTATGAATTGTGCCATTATAATGGTTCCTGATAGGAGAGATTCTATTTTCATTTGCTAGGTATTTGAGATAACATATTTACTCACTAGAGAGGAGTAAAAATTAAGTATTAATATTTAATGAACGGATACTAAGTGAGAAAAAAATTAGAGCCTTTGGACTAAATATTTATTATCTTACAAGAGCAAATAGCTATGTTATAAAATGAGAATATGCAAATAATAAAATGGAAAATTGAAAGTAATTATCTTTACATGTGCTGTAAAGTTGCTAGTTGAATTTATTGCCTATTCTTTTTACCAGTTCAAAGGTTAGTGGGAAAATACCGTTTTGACAGCAGACTTCTGACAGCTTAATAATAATGATCAAGCTTTGTGCATTTTATTTAAACATCTATAGTCAACATGCTCTATTAGTAGCTCTCCTTGTATCTTTTGCAAAAATAAGATTTTAGGGAAAAATGTTATGTTTTATCTCAACAAAAAAGTCTAGTGTATGTTTTATATTTGCATCTCTTACCCTGTATGTTTAAATTACAAAGAAATTCCTTAGTTCAAATGAGCATGAAGTTGTTTGGCAAACTGAGATTACATAGCTACAAAACCCTTGGTAGATGGTATCTATAAATAGAAGTGTCTAACGTGGAAAGTGCTCTGAACAATATAAACGGGACTTTTGCAAAAAGAAGTGGAGAGGAGGAAAGCCTACAGCGTTGATTTAAAAGACTGTAATTAGAATTAGGTTCCGATAATTAGATCCCAGTAGACTGAGTTCTTTTTCCTCAAACAAACAAATCATAAATGAGTATAGGATGTCATTTCTACAGGAATGAAAATAGAAATGGAATTTTAAATAAAGATTGTGAAGCAAAATGTGGCATTTTAATTCTTGCACCTGGAATCATTTCATAATGAAATGCAAATTAATTCTAAAAATCTCTGACCTCTGTTTTGCTGATTGCAGCCTAAAATCACTCATCTGGTTTTGAGAAAAAGAGAAAATGCATGCCAAGATGAAACTATTTAGTATATACCTTGGAATTTTATAATGAACTTAGATGACTGACTGTGGCTAAATAAGTTTACATTTCCATTTTTAAGAAAGATCGGAAACCAAGAATGGAATACTTGGTATAAATTGGGGATGAAGCCACTGTGATTATCTGAAGTCATTCATTGGCTTAAAATTTTGTTCATCCTTCACTAGTGAGTTCTTATGGGATGTGTGCTTATTGTATACTCTTTAGTTCTAAATTTGCAAGAGAAGTAAAACTGGAATCTACTTTTTAGTTTTGAAAAATGTAAGTCTGAGCTTCATTAACTAGCACTTATAAAAAAGAAGACACACTCCAATTGACATTTTCACATTGATGTTTAATTTAAATAAGAACCAATATTTCTATGGTGGTGAGCTGATTGAGAGGTAAAAGACCTTTAAATCTCCTTCTGAAGCTTACTGCCCAATAATATTTTATTTTCTATATCATTTTATTGACCAATGTTGTCATCAGTTTATCTAACAGAAAAATAAAAATTGCAATGTCATTAAAAATATATACCACCAAAAAAATACGGTTGATGCAGTTGAAGAAGTAAATGGCAAATTCACAGATATTCATAAAACAGCTATTGTATAAGACTGAGACTAGAATGAAAATTTTGTATCTAATGAAAATAAGATGTCTTCTTCTTTATTTATACTCACATCCCCTTTCTAAAAGGAATCTGAAGCTCTTTACAATAAGACCACCTAGATTTTTTTAACTATGAATAGAGATGAAAAATCAGAACACAGGCAAAAAGAAGGAAAAAAGCATAAGGTAGGGTGGTAACCAAGAGACTCAATGTAATTTATTATAATTTTTATAGTTAGTCTCTGAGCTTCCTGGGGGCAAAAGAAAATGAAACCTGTATGTCCATATTGTCTTAAGTTTTAACTGTAAATACAGTGAGGTTTTTGTTAGACTTAATAGTGTGCATATAGACACACATTCAGTACATGTTTTCTGATGCCTTCCATCCACAGGTTACCTGGTTCAATTGTCAATGCCTAAGTCATCTTTAAAATTGCTCAGTGCTTTTATAATATTCATAAGTCACTGAAAATAGAACAAAACAAACAAAACACTGGCACTTTTTCTTCATTTTATTTCACTGTTGAACTTGATAATGTTGGAAACCTGAGCAGAATAAGATAGTTTGATGATTGGCTGGGCTCTTCATCACGGCTTGCCTTTCAGTATAAGATATTAAAATAGTGGTTTTCAAATCTTATAGCCCTAGTATCATCTTAGAGGTTTCAGAGACAATTTCCAAAGTAAGTGGGAAGCCAGTTTACCCAGAACAATTTACTCATAACTGCTTTATCCAGAATAAGTTAACTTTTCTCTACTTTACAATGTTAGATTGTATTTTGATTTGCTTTGAAACAAAGTTCTGCTGAAAGCAGTTTAATAATCACTTAAACTGGTGGTGAGTAAAGACCACCAACAGTGCTATAGTAAAAGGAACTGATAGATGACCCTCGGGGGTGAGGTTTGTGAAACCTCTAACAAGGGAATCCTAACTATGGATGGATAGTTTTTATAATGTTAGCAACCCTCTAAAATTGTAAGAAAATGCTACATATTTTACAGGCAATTAATCTAGGGGGATAGCCAAGAGTTTTCTTCGGTTCTTGTATTATCATTAAATTTTAGAAATGGATAAATATTTTTTAAAAAGCACCTAGAATGGATTTATTGAATAGTTAATAAAAGAAATAAAACATTATAGGAAACATTGAAATCCCTTTTTTAAAACCCTCCAGACATATTTCTGTTGTTCTCTTCTCAAACACAACTACTCTTTTTAATTTGGTATGTATAATTCCTGTTTTTTACGCTTTCACTACATATGTAGATCCTGCCATTAAAATACATGTTGTGTTAATTGAGTGTTTATGAAAATTTTCATAAATATTTTACCACAAATGTCATTAACCATCTTGTTTCATCACATTTTATTTTATTTTTTGTGTGAACACGTATAGTTTCTAGTTCATTTAATTGCCTGATGCAGTTCTATATTATGAATATGTCACATTTAATCAATTCATTTCATCTCTATGGAAAAATACTAAAGTACTTTCCACTCACTCACTAGGTCAAGTAGCATAACAGGGAACATCTTTGCACACATTTTTAAGAGTTGGACTAGACTGGAATGTAACTAAAAGTGTACTTGAGGCTCACAGAGTATGCACATCTCCAAATTGTGTTTGTAAAATCCAAGTTATCATCCAGAATAGCTGTACCTGTTTACATTCTCCTCAGCATTGTATGAAGGTTCAGGGTTTTTGGCATCCAACAGTGGTACTGTATATTCAGACTTTAATTTTTACAGTTGAATGGGTATAAAAGAGCATCTCACTGCTGCTTTCAAGTGCATTTCCCTTATTTCTAGTAAGATATCTTCTCACTTAATGTCCATTGGGTTTCTTTCTGTGAATTGCCTTTGTGTTCATTGCTCATTTTTTTCCCTAGTAGGTTAACATCTTTTTCTAGATGCCATGTAGGAGTTCCTTACATATTTGGTATAATAATTATGTGTTGCCAAAATACATTTATTCCCAGTCTGGAGCTGCTCTTTTAACTTTGTCCATGGAGACAGATTTTAAAATTATGTTTTAAATTTTATTGTGGAAAAAATGTGCAGATCTTCTTCTTTATGGTTTCTGCCATTCATGTCTTCACAAATCCCTCCCAGGCTGGATGCGATAATGCATGTCTGTAATCCCAGTCCTTTGGGAGGTGAAGGTGGGAGAATTACTTGAGGCCAGGAGTCAGAGAACAGCCTGGGCAACAAAGCATGACCCCATCTCTACAAAAAATTAAAAAATTAGCCATATGTGGTGATGCATGCCTATAGTCCCAATTGCTTGGGAGGTTGGGGCAGAAGGATTGCTTGAGACCCAGAGATTGAGGCTGCAGTGAGCTGTGATCATGTGATCACACCACTGCACTCCAGCCTGGGCCACAGGAGAAAACCCTAAAAAAAAATCCTTTTCTATAACAATTTTATAAAATTATCCTGTCAATCCTATACCTTCTTTTAAAAAGGTTAAAATGTTTCTATACCTACTTAGGCTATCAACCTCACCTGGCCAGAATTCTGTGATAGGCCATGTTTCTATAAATGTACAACGCTATTTCTGTGACCTCTTTTTGTTGCATTGATTTAACTCTACTCCAGATTTAAATTTTCAGTGACTGTAGTTTTATAACCTTGATGTCTGGAAGGGCAAAACCCCATATATCTTATTTATTATCTTCAAAACTGATTTAAATATTCTTGAGATTTTCTCTTCTAGGTGAATTATAGAATTATTTTCCTTTTTTGTTTTTTCTTTTCCTTTTTAGAGACAGGGTGCTGTTCTCTCACCCAGGCTGAAAGGCAGTGGCACCATCATAGCTCACTGCATCCTGGAACTCCTGGGCTCCAGCAATCTGCCAGCCTCAGCTTCCCAAGTAGCTTGGACTACAGGCATGTCACTGCACTTAGTTAGTATTTTTATTTTTAGTAGCAATGGGGTCTCACTTTGTTGCCCAGGATGGTCTCAGACTCCTGGCTTCAAGTGATCCTCCTACCTTGGCCTCTCAAAGTGCTGAGATTACAGACATGAGCCACTGCACCCAGCTTTTTTTGGGCACTTTTCAAGAAGAAACTTTCTGGATTTTTATTGAAATGTCATTGAATTTATAGATTAATTTTATGATAATTGTTACTTTTTGAACTTGAGTCCTCCAATCCACAAACATTGTATATTTATGTGTATTTTGACATTTTTTGTAAATATTTGCAGTACTTTTCCTTGTACCTTTTGACATTTTCATCTTTTACATGCATGTGTTGTAACTTCATTTTGCCACGTCTGAATTTTTTCATTTGTCTTATTTTGATGTTCATTCTTTTGTTGATTTGTTTATTGTTTGTTTGTTTTCCCTCTAATATGAGAATTCATGTCTTTTGTCAACTCTGGAAAATGCTCAGTCATTGTTGCCTTTATCTCATTCTCTATTCTCATTATTTTTGAAACTCATGGAAGACTCTTGATATGCATAAAATCTTGCAAAAGCTTCAGAGGGAAATATATGTATAATTTCTATATATATATGCACACATTATATATAGATATACGCACATACACACATATAAGTGATTTTATCATATATATAATCACATATGATTATAATACAATCCCTTATATATAATCACATATATACACATATATGTATATATACATATGTAATTACACTTACATACATATATAATCACTTATATGATTACGTATATCACTGATATGTATATATAATCACTTATATGTGTGTATGTGTATATATAGTCTTATGGTCGCCAAATTCTCTTTTCTATTTTTCAACTACACCAAGCCCACTTTCGACCACAATAATGCTATTTATATCTTTACATGTTTACCTTCCACATAAGATTCATTTGAAGAAGAGAACACAGCTTTCCTTGGTGCCAGCTTTCCCTGAGTCTATGTATTTTTTTGTTATACAGTTGTGTTTTAAGATTGTACAGACAGTTGATATAACTGATCTTTGGAAACTCTATTCTGAAAGAATAGAGTGCCACTATTCCTGAGCAAGAAAGAGATGTTTTCAATTTCATTTCCTGAACCTTCCCACTCTCCCGTTACACTTAACTTAAACAAATGTACGTACATCATTGCATTTATAACTATCAGAGATACAAGTCAGAGAACTGGCCAGGATGTTCATTAATCATGTTTGCTGGTAGTAATAAAGGGAAAATCCTTAAAAGCTATGTTGTTTGCCTTGTGGGTGTTAGTCACATAAAATTCATGGCTTTGCCCTAAACTAGTGCGCAGTAAAGACCAGACAATTGCTTATCATGAGGATGGATTGCTTTGGCATTAGTGCTTCCTGACTTAAAAGAGGGGCTTATTTGTTCAGAAAATGGGCCGGCATTGGATGAGCTTTCATTATTTCCTGCCTCTACTTGTGTACTCTTGCATTTTGCAAAATATTGCCAGTCTTCTGTTATTCAAGTAAATGTTTCAACTGTCTATATAAATCATTTCTCTTGATGCAACCAAATTATTTAACTCAGAAAGTCCATCCATCAGGTGCTTCACAATTTATCATTATTTTAAAGTAATTGGTCTACTCAGTAGCATAACACTTACTGACATAATAAAGTCATGTGGATTATAGATAAACTCGTGAGATACCTGGAACTTGGAACTATCATTCCTATATAGGGCCAAATAATCCACTATTGATTTGGAACAACAAGGTGAAGAAAATTAAGCCTCCCCAATTCCAGCTAGTATTTTAATTGAAAGAGCTCCAAGAAAGACTCAGGTGCTGTAATTGTGCGGTAATTTGGTATGGCAGCTTCTAATTATGAAGCACGAATAAGAACAACCTTGGGAAAAATCTCGGTATGCCAAGATTCACCCATTGCAGAAGCAGAATCTGAGCCAAATGGTAATTTGTGAGGTTATTAAAATGACTATTAAAGGCTTGGATCAGATACCGCTCAACTTCTGAACTTTGAGTTAACTAGAAGTTGATCAGAGTTAGCTTTCTGGAGCTTTTCATTTGTTTCTGTATTTTGTTAAAAGAAAAAAAATCTGACTTGCATGCTTATTGCATGTTAAGTACTGTGCTGGGCATTTTATACATTTTAGCTCATTTAATTAAATTATCATAATGCTATGATAGTTTTAGCATCTAAACTAGCCTAAAAAGGGCTAGTTTTAGGCCCTTTTTACAAATAATAAAATTGTGTTTCAGGGAGGTGAGCAAATTTCTCAAGGTTATCCAGCTAATCACTATTCAAAACCAGGTCTGTCTTTTCCCAACGCCTGTTTACTTCCCTCTACAACAACAGTAATGATGAATGAATGCATCGACATATGTTCATCTCAAGGCTATCTCAGTGCTCCTTAAGCATTATCTAGTTTGACTGGGAACTTTTTTGAGGCCATGTGGTCCATGTTTACCAAATGATTCAGGCATATCTAGCCATCCTTGAGAACTTGTCAGAGCAGGTTAAGAGGTTAAGAGACAGGCAATATTGTTAATACTTGTTATTAATACTTGCTTCAGTATTCTCCACTTTGTATTTGTGGCAATTTTGGATTGGTAGGTAATGAATAGAAGATAGAGTTACGGAATATTAGATAATTTTATAACTCTTTGGATGCTTAAGAGCCTAGAAAAGTATATAAATATCAGCAGTGCAAGGAGAAGGAAGCAGGTTGGATACAGAGAGAACTTGGACCCTTTGATTGCTCAGCAGGTGGTTGGATATCCTGAGATGGGGAAGAAGGACAGACCTCAATATCTCTGCATTGACTAACTGGGTCAATACAGAGCTGCCTAAAGTTGTATTTACCGCTGGAAAATAAAAGTGAAGAAATAGTAATCAAAACAGATTTTTATATGCCTTATTGCTAAAAGTGAGTATTATAGATAATGCCACTAATTTCAGTAAAGGCAGTCTTATTCCATATTATTACCTTACTCCTACCACTGGGACTGTGAGAAAACACTAAACCACTAGCATTGTCTAATTTGCTACTACAAAAATTACTTCTAACAGAAAGTGAGAGATTAGGGGATTATAAAATGTTAATGCTGGATAAGACTTTTGAAACCACTCCTGTTTTACGGATGAAGAAACTAAACTAGAGAAATGAATTAGCTAGTTCAAAGTCAGACAACTAGTTACCCATAAGACTAAGACAAAAATTCAAATGATCTGACTTCCAACTCAGTGATATACCCACAATATCATGCCAACTTCTAGTTTTATTTTAATGTTCTATTCTTATTTTTTATTTATTTATTTTAAGACAGAGTCTCACTCTGTCGCCCAGGCTGGAGTGCAGTGGCGCAATCTTGGCTCACTGCAAGCTCCGCCTCCTGGGTTCACATCATTCTCCTGCCTCAGCCTCCTGAGTAGCTGGGACTACAGGCACCTGCCACCATGCCTGGCTAATTTTTTGTATTTTTAGTAGAGATGGGGTTTCACCGTGTTAGCCAGGATGGTCTCGATCTCCTGACCTCGTGATCCGCCCGCTTCGGCCTCCCAAAGTGCAGGGATTACAGGCATAAGCCACCACGTCAGGCCTCTATTCTTATTTTTAATGTTAATTTCTTTAAGTGTATTACATTTGAACAATGTAAAACTCATTTCTATTAGAAAACAGTTAGATTTCTAGAGTCTCTTCCTACTCACTGGTCTCCACAGGGGAAAAAAAGGAAGACTGTGATAAAAAGAAAAAGAGAAAAGAGAAGGAATAAAAAGGACAAGAAAAAAGATTATTTTGCTTCATTTTTAGCTATTTATCCTCAGATAAAATTGAGAACTGAAATCTGAAAACCGTTAAACTCATGACTTACTTTTATTATGGAGGAATTAGTTTTTCCTTTTATTATGGAGGAATTAGTATTTCTCATTTATCTTTCAGCTCTCAAGTACTCCCTGTGTGAATTCGAACATTTATTCCACTTAAAAAATTCACAAGAAATGCCCAAAGTCTAACATGTTTCCAGATTGGGAATATTTTCACTAATACAGTACTTTGTCCTCCTGGGTAAGAAAGAAGCTCTCTGATTACTGGTCTGAAACTTAGAGAATAAGACAATGCTTTTCATGTAATTGATTCATATACATGGGAACGAATGCCTTTGCAAAGCAGTTATTTCTATGCCTGACCTACAGAGAGTCTGTAGTGAGCCACGCATGTGGTATCATTAGTCACTGATGATGACAACGAGAACAGGAAGATTGGAGTGGCAGGATAATCATTCTCAGCAAACTAACACAGGAACAGAAAACCAAACACTGCACGTTCTCACTTATAAGTGGGAGTTGAACAATGAGAACACATGGACACAGGGAGGGAAACATCACACACTGGGGCCTGTCGGTGGGTGGGGGCCTGAGGGAGGTATAGCATTAGGAGAAACATCTAATTAGATGATGGGTTAATGGGTGCAGCAAACCACCATGGCACGTGTATACCTATGTAACAAACCTGCACGTTCTGCATATGTATCCCAGAACTTAAGCTATAAGAAAAAAATAAAAGAAGAGAGAGAGAGAGAGAGAAAGGAACCCAAAGTCCTAGAAAAAAGCATGGGGCCAGGGGGATTCGTTTTCAACCTTGGTATGAGAAAGGCTTTCTAACTATAACTCAAAATCCAGAAGCAATAAAATTGAAAAAAAAAAAAAAAAAGGAAAGAAAGAAGGAAAGATGGGTGGTAGAGAGACCCAGTAGAGGGCAGCATCAGTAATCCAGGCATGAGGAGATGATACTGTGCTGGAATGGTGGGGGAAGAGAAAGGTAGGGGCACATGCTGGAGAAACTTTAAAGGAAAAATTGAGATGTATGAGTGATTGAATGTATTGGAGTTAAGATACTGACGATTATAATAATGTATCTTGCATTTATATGTTATGTTATGCATTTATTTGTGCTCCAATAAAGTCTATCATATCATTGATCAAAATTACTATATAGTCTTCCTTTGTTTTGAGAGGATAATTTATTTCAGGAAGAAGAAATAAACTGCACAAGGAAAGTTCTTCTAAGTCAATAGCTTATTTACCACCAAGATTAATGACACACAATCACTTTAACAGTTAAAAAGTATATGTGATTTTTATATATGTGAAACTTTAGTGCAAATCAAACTCAAACAGAATAGTAAAAACATAAGAATTTTTTTTCAACCTTAACTGATGCATAAGATTATCTGGACTATAAACTGGAAGACTACCAGTACTCAGAGGAGAGAATTCAGTGCAACGCATGCCAGATTTCATAAAACTGCAAAGATGACTGCATGGTGACTCTCGTTTCATGGTGCTTAGCTGCCACTGAGGCATGTGAATTCTAAATTGGTCTTCATAAATGTGAAGGAATGCCTGGAAGTCAAAGGAAAGCATTAAAGGAAACCCCTTATACATGTTTAATTCTCATAATCTGATTGGTTATATCAAGAGGTATGACTATATATAAATGTATTACAAATAGTTATTGAAACACATTGTTACAATAGTTATTATTGGTTATATCAAGAGGTATGACTATATATGAATGTGTTACAAATAAGCTATAGTTGCTATAATGTTTATAAATTACACAACACCTAAAGTTTAGGAAGTGGATAGCATCTTCTCATGAGATGGATAGCATCTTTATATATCTCTGACTTTTCCACTGGGCTTCAAATGCATATTAAAGGACATTCTATAAAATTACCAGTATTCCATCATTTTTGGTCTACAAAAATGTCAGTTTCACATAGTTTGACCTAATATTTGCCACTCTCAACTTGTCATTTCCACTTGGCATAGTCTTGGCATTACGTAGGCATATGAAAATCCAGGGTTTGTTTTTTTTTTCCACCGAAACCTGTTCCAACCACAGGTGGTCCACAGCTGTCCACATTTCAGCAAATGATGTGATACGATCATTCACTGGATGGCTCACGTTTCAAACCTGGGCATAACTCTCACTTCTTTTCTCCCCAAACTCACATTCAATTCATTTGCAATTGCTTTTCTCTTCACCTGGAAAATGTATGTCTAATTTGTCTACTCCTCTCTGTCTCCACCATTAGCATCCTAGTTTGTCATTATTTTTTATTGAATTTATGTAAGAGAGTCCTAGCTAGTCACTTAGCTTTCCACTCTTGCCTTCCTCTAACTCAATCTCTAAACAAGCACATGAAGAATATTTAAGAATGTACATTAGATTATGTCACTCCCATGCTTTAAACACTCCAAGGGCATCCCATGACACATAGAATAAAGTCCAAACTACATATAATAGTTACAAGGCTCTGCGTATTGTGAACCTAACTTTCTGATTTCTTCTCCTACTCCAGGATTCACCATACTCAAAGTAAATTGGAAAACAGATCTTGGGTCTCTTGGGTCCTCTTGGGTCCTGTTGTTCCCTTTTCCTGAAAGCTCCTCTTTATCTTTACATAATTGGCTCCTTCCTGTAAATCAGGTCTCAGCTTGAATGACATATCTTTAGAGAGATCTTCTCTGACAACATATTCTAAATAGCCACCCCCATCTGTCATTCTTTATCATACCATCATTTAAAAAAACCCTCAGCACAGCACTTATCACAATCTGAGTGATAGATGTCTTATTCATCTATTTTTGTAGCAGGATGTTAGAATGAAAGTTTTAGTTGGGAAATATTATTTTACAAAGTGAACAAGAGGAAAGAAGCTTTCAAAGTAGGACTAGGGAGTCATGTGGTTGACTGTAAAAATTCCTCATCCACAAAGAGGAAATAAAAGAATCAGAAAAATGAAGATTAGGAAATAACTTAGGGAAAGTTTTTTTTTTTTCAGGTAACCATTGGAGTTCCATTATTTAACAAATTGAATGATATAAACTTATAATTAATGTTATATTAAAACAAAGATAATAAATATGCAAAACGAATCACTTCTTAATTATGTTGTTATGTTTTGTTATTATCTATGCTCTTCAGGTAACCTAAGTCAACTGGTAGGAATACTACATACACAGTGATGTATTACTTGCTGCATATCTTCCCAACTCTGTTTTTGATAACATTATATTGTGCACGAAATTAGCCATGATGGAACTGTTTACACCAAGAAATTAGCAAACAATATAGATTAAGGTTTTATTGTTTGTTAATAATTTCAACTTCAAAAATTGAGAAAATATTAATAATGCAGACTAAACTTAGTGTTGTGTCAGTAGCTATAACATTGTGAATAGCACAAAAATCAAAGAAATATTCTAGTATTCTAAAGCTAGCTAATATAATAAAAACTCAGTCACATCACTGAGAACAAGTAAATTCTTGATACACTTTTTCACTCTTTCACTTTCATATTACTCATTACTGTAAATGAAAATACAGACCAATACCCACGTTGGAATTATACATGTTTATCAGTTCCAACTATAGATTGACTACAGGTACAAAAGGTTGACAAGCATAAATGTACTTCTATAAGAATTAATTAACTATGTGGAATTTGCAGTAAAGAGTATTATATATTTTATTATTGACTATGAGTTGTATGCTATACCTCTTTTTATTAGCAAAATTTATAATAAACTTCATACATGTGTGTATCCATTATTTTTAGAGAGCTCTTTGTTAAACATTTACCAGCACAGCGCTGTGATAGACCCACTATCTAGCCAAGAGGAGGCAGGTTACTTCTTTTTTCACCTTAAATCAAGAAAGGGACACTTTACTAAGGCCACCGAGAGAGCACAGACTATATCCCCCACAACTGGGGGAGGGGATACTGTGAATTGGTGTCTTACTTCACTTTAAAAATCTAGGCCAGGCACAGTGGCTCATGCTTGTAATCCCAGCACTTTGGGAGGCCGAGGTGGGTGGATCACTTGAGTCCCATCTCTACAAAAAAAAATACAAAAATTAGCTGAGTGTGATGGCAAGCGTCTGTAATACCATCTACTTGGGAGGCTGAGGTGGGAGGATTGACTGAGCCAGGGATGTTGAGGCTGCAGTGAGCCATGATTGCGCCACTGAACTCCAGCCTGGGTGACAGAAGGAGACCCTGTCTCAAAAAGACTAAAAACAAAAAATCTAAAAGGTGACAGATAGCCTTGTCTGGCTGTTCTAAGAAGAAAGGCTTTAGTGACTTACCAGCGTGGGAAGTGGTGTTGGGGCAAAGTTTGTGTTAGTGTTTCCTGTGGACCAGAGATGAGCCTCACATGAGACAGATTAGGCACAGGGTGAATTTAGATCCTCTAAAAGGAGGCTGCCCAGATGAGTAAAATGGATGTGTATAAAGGAGCTACAAATGACTCCTGGATTTCTAGAGAAGAAAAGAAGGTGGCATCAGTATTACTAAAGGGAATTCCAGGTGACAAATCCCTAGCTGGGAAGGGGGAATCTCTGAAGAAGCTTTAATATGCTAAAAAGAGAAGGGGGCAGCTTTGAACCGCTGAAAGAGGAGAGTGTACTGCCAGCTTGTGACAGTACTACTAGTCACAATAGGACTTTGCTGCTCCATTTCCTCGTGTCTGTTAGCGGATTCACAAGTTGACGAGCAGGAGGAGAAGTATAAATTGAGAAAAAAAGATTAAAAACAGCACTTCTCGCCACTCCCTCATTCCCTAGCAGCTGCTTTCCACCTACAACAGGCCTGGCAATGAAAGGCTCCTCAACTTTTCATAACGTTCACTTTTTGACCATTAAATAAAACTGGATATCCCAGGAGCAGAGGAAGACCCAGCTCCCATCCAATAAACTGAAGGAGATACTAAGAGACAAAAATATGATTGCCTTATGATTAAACTCTACAAATCATGCTTCTTTAATGAAAGAATTATATTTATTTTCCCCTTAAAATTGAAAAATTTAAGAAAGCAGGGCTTCAGTACATAGGAGACACCCAGTAAATATTAATTGTATGAATAAACGTAGACAGGAATGAATGATTGCTCATTGGTTCTTCCTTTGGCACTTGATGAAGCAGACTCAGAGAAGCTGTATATATAAATTGCTTTTAATATAAATATTCTTTTGGTAGGAAAAGGAGAAAGAATGAGAAAATTCAATTCTGAATGATTAGGAGAAAGACAGAAATGGGTGGATCTGAAGAAAGAACCACTTTCATGTGGGAAACCAATTCATATGATTTCTCATCAGTGGCATGGAGGAATAATTGTTAGACACTTACACATCCCTGAAATGTGTCGTCAGTAATTAGGACAGGCCCTAGATTCTAGAGGAGGGAGACAGAAATTTGGCCAAGAAATGAAGGGGTTGAAAAGTTTTCTGAGACTGAGGGAAAAGAAGAAAGGAGAAACATAAATTCAGGTATATACTGCAAATATGTAAGAGCAAAGAAGACTTCAGGTGAACTCTAGATTTTTATTTTCATGTGCTCCTCTCCTTCAAATTCAGAAGAAAAGGACAAAGCTAAAACTATATGAAATCCTTCGTCTAAAATGACGAATCTGAAAATTCCAGAAGGTAGGAGCTTAGTTTCAATGAGATGAAGAAAAAGCTTCTCATTCATGAAATACATTTTAATAAGTTGAAATTTGAACACCAGGTGTATGAAAAGAACTAGAATTTAACCATATGTGTTCAGAAATATTTAGCCCACATATTTTCCAGAATAATCCCCAAACATGTTTAAGGATATAATTGGTAAGTAAGAAATTTGAAATCCCTATCAGAGTTTGCCAGAGTTGTCTAAGATGCATTGAGTACTTTCAGTAAACCAGATGCTGCATTTTCAATCCTTACAGCACTGAGAAGATACTGTTCTAGTTGAAGTTGCATGACTCAAGTGGGTCAAAGCTTGCCCAAGTTCCCTGAGTTAAGAAGTAGAATTTCAAACACAGGTTGAACTAACCTTAGAGTAGGGTTTTCATAACAACATTCGCTTCCCAGTAGGAGTTTTAATTTTAACATGATGTTCCTTTTGGATTTAATGTTATTAAGGGACATAGTGGATGAGGCTGACTATAATTTGCTGGCTTTCATATAAGCATCAAACAATTGCATTTCCTTCTCCCTATCATTTTTAGTCCTTTATGTGCAGCCTTGCAGCATTGATCTCCAGGAAAGCTTGTGTTTTCTGGTGCACTTCCCAGAAACAAAATATGATATGTGTTCCCTTTTGAAAACAATTGATAAGTTTCATGTTGACAGAAACATTTCATTTTCCAAGTCATTTATCTATTTGTCATAAGAGGAATTATAATAGTATATTGGCTTCCATAATCCAAATCCATTCCCTTTAGTGTATTTTTTTAATTAATACTTCTCTACTTAAATTCTGATCTAAAAAAGTGGCCATTAATTAACTCAGGGAGCAATTCAGCTATTTTTTTTTCTAGGAAATGGGAAATCTGGTAAATGGTTTGTACTTCTACTTTGTCAAAAACATGTATTTTTCCAAACTGTATGAGAACTTTAATAACACTCCATAAATTTCATGCTTTTAGTCACACTTGGAATGGAGGCTTTGGGAACTCTATAACCTTCTTAATGACATGTTGGCTTGGCCTCAGCACTGTAGCTTCAACTTGGTTCTTAATGGACATTAACCCATAGTGCATAGCCTTCAGGTAACACAGTTGGTGATTTGTATTTTTTTTCTGGAAAGGTCCAAGACAGATCCAATATTATTTCCTTTTAAGAATTTATCCCTTTTTGAGACAGAGTCTCACTCTGTCACCCAAGCTTGAGTGCAGTGGTGCAATCTTGGCTCACTGCAACCTCCCCCACTCCCCAGGTTCAAGGGATCCTCCCACCTCAGCCTCCTGAGTAGTTGGGACCACAGGTATGCACCACCATCCCTGGCTAATTAGTTTTGTATTTTTAGTAGAGTCGGGGTCTCACCATGTTGCCCAGGCTGAATTAAAAATATTTCTCATGAACTACATGAAACCTCGTAAGTGTGAAGGCTTCTTGAGGACAAAGGTTGTATCGTGCAAACCTTTACATATCCTAAGGCACTAATTCTTTGCCCATTCTTGTAACCAATAAACATTTATTCAGCTCCTACTATATGCCGGGTGTTATATTAACGGCTGGGTCAGGGCACATACTTATGAAAATAGTGTATTTATATATACTATCTTTCAAATAATAACCAGTACATTTTTACAATTAAAATATAAAATAAAATTATTTTGGCTTGTATGTGTGTCTTTCCTAGAAAAGATTTGCTAACAGTAAAATAAACTTTATAGAACTATCATTCACTCTTAGTTGCATCTTGGCAAATAGTCAAGGGCCCTTCCAAAACTTTGCCTGTATACACTTTGGATTTTAATTAGACACAATAAGACCCCCCTCCTTAATCTGGCTCTGCTTCTTGACAAGTCATCATGAAGGTGTGATAATATCACACAGGAAATTATCAAACTGCTAAACCAAGTACAGAGGAGACAAATAAAATGTTGATGCAACAGCTGCAGAGACTGTCCTGAAGGTTCTGTAATCAATGGTGTCTTGAGAGTCGTATCTGAGGTAGAGTCTTTCCAAATGCACACAGTGGGTGGGGCAGTGGTATCTGAAGTGGAGAAGGAGGGCAGAGAACATGGTATCTACACATGGCAGATTCAAGTTCATGCAAGCACCCTGAAGACAGAGAATTTGTCTTGAATAATTTTAAATTTAGCAAGATGGAACTTTAACCTCATAAAGAATGGAACTCGGTGAGTTTTGGAACAAAATGACTGTTTTTGGACTCAAATCATAGAAAGCATTCTCCTGCAAATGTAATATATCCATTTGTCTTTAGCAGGAAATAAATGAATTTATTTCAAGATGGTGTCCCAGAGAAGGCCTGAGGCACAATCATATTTAAACTGTATGAATACTGAGTGACATGATTGCATCCAGTGTGGTCTGGATTATTTGAGCAAACCATGGGGACATACTTACCTGTTTATTTCCCTACATCTGTTTATTTCCCTACGTGTTCTTGACGTTAGTGTCGAAGGATTACCCTGAGACCTGTCTCAGTGTCCTCTTGAGAATGGATATACACATTGACATAAATTATTAACTTCTCCCTAGATAGGTCCATTAATTTTCTGTGAATTGTTATGGCTTTATTAGTTTCCCATCAGTTATTCTTGGTCTCTTTCCATTAAAGAGAAATCCACTCTTACTTAAATTTGTGTCTTGCACTAAAGTTAAATTCAGCCAACTTCGTTCTGAATCTATTTAATCCTAAAATTATTTATTTAAGTAAACTTTCATGTATCCTCAGGAGCCTCTTTTCCTGAAAAGACCAAAGAGAAACTTTCCTTAATTAGGCATAAAATAACAGTTCTAAGACTTGTTTTATAAATGACGATCTGTTCTATAAGGTTACTGGGTCACGAGAGCTAAAATCTTTGGTGGTTTTTGAAAACTGATACTTGAGGGTCTGAAAAGCTGCTCGGTTTCAGTCTCACATTGACAACGATTAAGATGTTGAGATTCCAGAAGTGAAGACCTTACACAAGGAGATGACAGCTGTCAGTGTATAATCAGAAAAGCAGCCATGAAGTGATAATTCCTCTGTTTTTCTTCTGTGATGTCCTAGTAGAGGTGATTTTAAGTAAAATAGATTACATGTCATGGCTATTAGCAAAGGCAATAGACTTCACCACCTTTGCCCTGAGCTATGTTATATCTGCAAGATCTTCAACAATAGTTCAACTTACACCAGGAATATATTAGCTCGTTTTCGTCTATATTCATACGTTCTACTCCATGTGGCTTTCTGACTTTTAAAGTTGGGAGGGAGTTTAAAAATAATTTTATATAACCCCTTCACTTTAAAGATAAAGAAAGTGAGACCCAGAGAAAGTAAGTTATCTTCCAAGGTCAAAGCACTTCTAGCAGTAAAACTTTAAGAGACCATTTGGGAAATTTCATTATGATTTCAATGGAAGTCACTAAAAGTACTATTGAGATAGTCAGGACCCTGGAGTCAGTGAGCGATGCTGAATTGCTGGGTCCAGGGCTGATGAAAATGCCACTGAAACTGTAATAGCTTAGCCAATAATTACATTATAATATCAGACCCCTTGCAATTTTTGTGTCTTGATCATTGAAATTGTAAGAATGTTAGTAACAGAATATGTTCCTTCCAGGGGTGGGCCTAACACCCTATTCATTTTTTTCCCCTTGTACAATAAAAGTGGTGCCACAGGCATATTGACCAAATCATTAGAAAATCAATTACTATTGAGTTAGAGCTGAACAAAATAGTTTGAAAAGTATTTAATTTATCCCTTGTAATATCTGTTCTTTTAAAGTTCCTGTAATCTGTGATCCCTGGCTGACTCCTCTGTGATCCCTGACAGAAAACCTCATTTTCAAATCCTTTTTTCCCCCTTTCCCCCTGCTATCCTTCCAAATGAGAAAATCATTAAAGGAAAAGAAAAAAGTATTCAGCACAGTGAGATAAGAGCAAACCAGCTCAACTATTATGAGAGAAACGCCTGTTTCCCTAACTAATCAAAATTCACAGTAAGTGTGAGGAAAACAAAGCCAAACTGGCAGAAATAATACAGTTAGACTTAGGAAAGACCTAGAATGCAGGCATATCTCATAAAAAGGTTATTTAGAAATAAATCTGATGGCTGTGAGGTGAGAAGTTAATGTTAGCATAGAGCAGAACCTAAAGTCACTTGATTTTCTGCTATTTCTGAAAAGGTCACCTAGGTTTAATCATATATTCTACTTTCTTCCCCTTGCCTTCCATTTCTCCCTTCCTTCCCTCTCTGCTTCTATTCCTCTCCCTTTCTTCCCTCTCTTCCTACCTCTCTGCAGTCTGCACTTTTCCCTTCCATTCTCCATCCTTTCTCCTTTTATTCCTCTCTTCTTTCTTCCTTCTCTTCCTCTTTCACTGTCTCTCTTTCTCCCCTTCTCCATTCCTTTTCCCCCCTTCCCCCTCTTTATTTCTCCCTCTCCTTTCTCTCTCAATTACATCTTTCTTCTCTTTTTTCTCCCCACTTCCTTCCATAAAGGAAGCTCTTTTGTTCCACCCTCTACACCAGGTCCTGGAGTTACAAAAACACAGCAGCCAGACACCCCACACTCAGACCTTACAGGCAGGGGCAACTGACAAGTTTTCAGTACTAAAATCATGTGTTAAGTACTAAAACTCAGGGATTTTTTTTTTTTTTTTTTTGAGACAGGTCTCACTCTGTCATCCAAGCTGGAGTGAGTGGGGTGATCATAGCTCACCGCAGCCTTGAACTCCAGCCTCAAACTCCTGAGATCCTCTAGCCTCAGCATCCTGAGTAACTGGGACTACAGGTGCATGCCACCATGTCCAGCTAACTTGTATTTATTTATTTTTTTTGTAGAGACAGGGTCTCCCTATGTTTCCTAGGTTGGTCTTGAACTCCTGGGCTCAAGCCGTCTTCCTGTCATGGCCTCCCAAAGCACAGGGATGTTTTAAACTGTTAGTGGAGGGGAGGTTTCGCTAAACTCCCCCAACCTAGGGTGATCTGAAAGGACTTCTTGGAAGAAATAAGACCTCAGTTGTATCTTAAGGAAGAGTAAGAGTAAGCCAATGAAGATGGGAGTTGGGATGGAAAAGGGGAAGGGGAGGCTGAAAAGGGAGAGTGGAGGTTCCTGCCATGGTAAACAGTGTGTGCAAATGGGGCATGGAAGAAGGGAGGGAGGGAGAGAGGGAAAGAAAGTAATACAGAGAGAAAAACACCAAGATTCAAAGACACCAAGATGTTTTGGTCTGGAACGTGGATTTCAGGTCCTTATGCTGATCTGTCTCCCTTAAATACAATGAGTGCCTTAGAAAGGAAACCATATTATTTATTACTCCCTTAATAGAAAGTGCTTCTTTACAGTAGTGGATATGTTTGACATATTACATACAAGATGCCCGGCCAAATTTGAATTTCAGATAAACATCACATTATTTTTAAGTATGTCTCATGTAATATTTCATGTATATTTGCACTGAAAACATGATCTATTATTTATCTGAAATTCCAAGATAATTGGGTGTCCTGTACAGTTATTTGCTAGATCAGCAACCCTAATTACCAAGCACCAGATAGTTAATAAAAGTTTAGTGAATGAATCACTAAGTCAGTCTAAGATGTATATAAGAAAGTGTCAGGAGATTCAGGTAGACAGCTAGTCAAGTTAAAGTCAAATGTTTAGGAGTCATTGCTGGTTATTAAAACTATAGGCCAGCATCACCCAAGAATGTTGTGTAAAGTGAGAGAGAATTAAGGATGAGTCCCTGAGGAACAAAAAGATTCAAAGAGAAAGCAGAGGAAAACTGGTATCCAAGGAAGAAATCCATTCATTAGGAATAGACCTTGGAGAAAGTGAGGACATGAAGACCAAGAGGAGTGCACTTCAGAAAGGAGGAAGTGGCCAACAGGGTCAAAGAATTTAGGAGTCAGGAGGGTGAAAAACGTCCATTGATCTTAGCCACGAAAGTATCACTGGTGGTTTCATCAAGTAGGGGAGGTGTGGATACTAGCCAGATTTGGGTGAGTTAAAAAGTTAAGGATGGGCCAAGTGGAGGGAGTAGAGACATGGTACCTGCAACCTGTTGCCTCTTTCAAGAACCTAGGGTTGCCAGATTTAGCAAATAAGAGGGTACCCAGTTAAATTTGAATTTCAGATAAACAGTGAATAAAAGTATAGCTGTTACTGAAGAAGAGAGAGAGGGGCAATGCCCATGGGGGCATCATTTAAAGATGAGAAGATCCAGGATGATCCTATGTGTGAAGAAGGAGAAGGAAGAGTGAAGAAGGAAGAAAGAGGAAGAAAGGAAGCAGAAGAAAGAGTGAAGTTGAAGGTCTAGAAGAAATTACAGAAAGAAAAATTTAACTCTAGGGTCACAGTCTCTCCTCTGAAACCGTTGAAGCCTGATGCCAGAATTTTCCCTGGAAAAGTAATATGGTTTATATTTTCTATTAGCACTCCCCTGGGGGTTCTGTAGAAACCCCATAATCAAATATGTTAATATTTTTAATAGAAAAGTGTGAATATTTTTACTAATTAAGATAAAGGCTGTAAAATAGCCTCGTTTCAGTTTAGATTTTGCTTTGCTGCCAATGAATTATATTAAAAGACAAACAATTTTGGTTTTCAGAGCTTTTTAAATTTTGTAATTGATGATAAGGTATTAAGAATGTGCTCAGTTCTCTTCTTGGCCCCAAGGCAAGATGAAGCAATACCGTTAATTATCTCTTAAATATATATCAGTCAATAATATAACTGTTCCTTCCCAGTCTACTGTAGGGAGTTCAGTGTTGCCTTAAATGTTCCTGGTACTAATTTGTTTTGCAAAATCAGGGTAAATAATGGAAAAACAATATTTAAAACACAAAGTAAAGAGACCAGGGAACCTTGAGGTTCTGTGTGGGAAATGGAAGAGAGACTGATGGGAAGATAAAATAATGATTCTCATGGTAAAGGGGAAAAGAGAGAGAGACAAGCACTGGTTGGGTTCAAGAGAAGTTTCTGAGGATCAGGTCAAAAGTGTTCCAGCCCCAGCCCACAAACTCCTTCAGGGTCTTAAGTCAGATATACAAGTCGTCTCTGGAAGAGAATGATGAAGGAGCTCACCGACAGTCCCTGTCACTCGTCCTAGGAGGGATGACTATTACGGCAGAGTCCCCTCCTCCTGATCCTTCTGCCATTAAGGTCCCAGGTCAATGTCAGCTTATCAATGGGATGTTCTCCAAACCCCCTATGAAATACAGTGCCCTCTCTCCACCCATCCAAGTTCATCCCCCATTACATTCACCAGTTTCATTTTTTTTTCTTGGGCAGTTATTACCATCTAAATAATGTTGCATATATATTGTTTCCTTGATTCATTTTTCTCTCACCACTAGAATCTAAATCTCTTGAGAACTGACACTTTGTAGCCTTCAGAATCTAGAACAGTGCTTGGCACATAGTAGGTGCTCAGTAACCATTTAATTAAACATAGATGCAGAATGGAAGTAGACCACACCAACGCTCCATGAATTAAATGGATATCTATTACCTGCTCTTGATTCCTATCCATTACAGAAAGCTAAAGAACTTAGCTTCCATTTTGGGGGGAAAATAAAAGTTCCAACTTTTACTAAGCATTAAAAAAAATCTGTAGGAATACAACTCATTTATGAATTTCAAAATGTTTGCATTTTAAATGCAACCAGAAAAGAACTATTTGAATAAGCAGGCATTTAGAAATGTAACTGCTTCTAATTTGATTGGTCACATAAATTCAGTTTTTTTGCAAAGCAGATTTATTTAAGTCAGAGAACTTACAAAATTGAAGCTCAGCAGTGAGAGTTCTCCATCACACTTCCTAATCCATGATATTTCATTGATGCATTGTTCATTTGGAAGATGGAGATGACACCAGTGTCTGTGTGTGGATCCAAATATCCCAGGGGGTTCAACAGCACCTCACTTCATCAAAACAGAGAAACAACGAGAGAGCTGGATGAGGCACCTAAGATGACAGCTAGAGGTAACTAGATGAGTTGATGGCAGGTAAACGCTATGATAACAAGTAGAAAGGAGCCAATAAATACTGGGCTGGAGCAGCTCAAAGACTCCTGCCTGCTTCTGAGGTTTGGATGATCCTTCTAACCTTTAAAAGTGGGACTGAGGAATCTCCCTAGACAGTTTGGCACAAACATCTGCTCGATCAGTGCAATTGCTTTTGTGTGCTGCCTTTTAAAAAGCAAAATATTTAATGGCAGTAAAAAATGTGTAAGAAATCATCCTGGAGATACAAAGTTGTATTCTGGGATTTGATGATTTTGTTATGTCACAGCCAAGTTAGTATTTTTAGTTAGCCTTGTTAAGCCCTTGAACAGGTGCTTGGAGCTGTGTAGAACATAGACCAGGTCTCCAGTGGTGAATCTGACTTTGCCAAAGGCGAGCAGGTCTCCCGGCCACAGCCGTAAGTCTCAAGGAGTCCATGTCTTATGGAAGTTTATAAGGACTCATTTCTGCCAGCCATGGGGTTGGATGGCAGTTACAAGAAGGGCATTTATTGGGATTTCTGGGAAGTCACCAAGATCTTCCATTAACCCCCAAATGTCCATTTCTTCTTTATTTTCTCTGATTCCTTTGCTTCTTTTTCACCTGTACAAGTTCTTCTTGGAAACTATGTAGAATTGTCTGGGTCTCGTTCATTAAAAGTGAAAAGGCCTTCATCACTTCCAGAGTTTTGATTTAGGCCACCGTTGAAGGGCTTCACTTTTATTTGTAAAACTTACCTATCAGTAAGAAAAAAGAATTGAGTTTTCATATTAATTTCTTATGACAAACAAAGCAAAACAAAGCCTAGAGGTTATCAAACTATTATTTAATGTAAGTCAGCTCCCACACATTGCTTTTACATCATTACCTCAGTACGCTAGGTCAAGGGTGCTTTGTTGTTGTTGTTTGTTTGTTTGCTTGTTCATTTTTTTAAGTGGGGAAAACTATGGAAATGGGAAGCAAAGAGATACTCCTAATGGTTTATTTAATTAATTTTACTATTTGGTAAATTCAGATAATGCACACAGGGCCAACTATAAGCTTGAAAGCTGGTATTAAAGGTACCATTGCAAGAAGATTCTGACAGTTAGAGGAACTACAGGAAAGTGTCTTTTCATAATATGAAAAAAGAGATCCTTATTCTTGCCAGTATGGTTTGGGTTCACTAATACCTAATTATCCACCATCATTGACTTTTATTATGATTGGTTTTCTAATAGGTGATATTAATATTCAGTGTTTGAATATGTTCCCTATTAGCATGAGGAAAAGCCAATAATGTGACACTAATATCATATTTAATGTGATTTATTATTTTAATTTTTATGATGGCTTTTGATCATTCCATATTTTTATATTCACGTTTCAAGGTTGTTAGACTTTTTTTTCCCAATTACTTCTGTTTTTGCATAATCAGTGTCATTTTACCTAATAGCATCTCTCTTAGATGAGTAATAATGCTCCATCATGCCTCTTTACCAACAGGAAGATTCAGAGATATTAAAGTGATTTACCTAATTTTTTGGAAGTTCCTAACTTCTGTTTTGAGGATTGGTGCTTTCCTTCTTCCTTCCCTCTATTTCTCCCTTCTTTTTGTTCTCTCTCTTTCCCTTGCTCTCTTCCACTCTTCCTCCTGTACTGTTATTTTCCTCCCTGTTTTTCTTCTTTCCTCTCTCCCTCCCTCTCTGTCTTCCTTTTCTTTCCTCCCTTTTTATTTTTTCCTTCTAGAGTAAATAGTATTAGAAAAATTAGTTTCTGCTTTTTTAAAAGAGGAAATTGTACAGTGTAAAGTGATCATTTATATTCAAGGAAAATGCTACCTAGGACATGCCTTATCTCACCCCAGTTCTCGGTGCTGCTAAGAGGGTTTGAGAAGCATGGGATAAGGGTGGCGGCAATGTGGCTGCAACAGTGCCAGGTGAGCAACCCATGTCCGCACGCCTCCACTCTCATTTCTTGTCTGGACTCAAGACCCCAGTCTAAGAGTGGCCTATAATTCTCCTTTCTGATTCTCTGGCAACAGGTGAATCCCATGATCCCTGATGTTGACATCAAGCAAAAGAAGCCATGGTCTCTAGCCAGTAGATTAACAACACAGCATCTTGGGTGCTACAGCACTAAGATAAGCTTAATCATCTTCCATTATTTCATGAGGTTGATTGGAATGAGTGTGTGATTGGAAGGGAACAGATGGGGACAAAGAGTAAACTCTACATCTCTAAAATCTAACTCAACATCTTTTTCTCAAACCTGACCCTTTCTCCAGATGTTTTTGTTTCTGCTTCATTTCAGCATTCTTCCTTCCAGTCACGTGTGCTCAAAGTGCCAAAGTTATCTTTGACTCTTCTGTCTTTCCATCCCAGTTTCATAAATTTTTCCTTTATTCTGTTTGTGCAATCCATCTCTTCCACTCAATTTTGCACC
This sequence comes from Homo sapiens, assembly GCF_000001405.40. Lineage (NCBI taxonomy): Eukaryota > Metazoa > Chordata > Mammalia > Primates > Hominidae > Homo > Homo sapiens. Next base: position 15,393,526 of record NC_000020.11, read on the forward strand.
TCTATTTGCTTCTGCCCTCCCTTCACCCCACACCAACTGTTGAGGCTTTTTTCTTTCTTTGGCCCTATCTCTGGATTTTTCTTATTCAATTTCATTTCAATGTCCGCTGTTAGTTTAATGTACTATCTTGGCCAAATAAGCTTTCACTCCAAATCCTTCAGTGTTTTTCTATTAGATACATAATAAAGTAAAAATTTCTTAGCTCAGAGTATAAGGTCTTTGATAATCATTCCTTACTCACAAGTCCTTTGGAACCATCCACCTTCTAACAAGGTAAGCCTGCCTTCTTGATTGCTCTCTCTCTCTGAGCATTGGCTATTACGATTATCTCTGCAAGTCATATTTTCACACCTGCCCTCTTGTGTATGCATGTCCCCCCCATGCACATATGCATGTACCCTTGCCTCTGACCTTCCCTTCATATTACTCTCTGAATTACAAGTTCCTGATAAATATCTTAATAGTGATGCTGATGAAGAGAAAGAATAGAACAGATTTAAAGGGGAAACTTCTGGGATGGCTTTCTGGCCAGAGGCTTATCGTTGGAAGTGTCATACTTACCCTTTTGCCATTCACGGGAGATTTACTAAATAAATGCAAGATGGACAATGTCAAATCATATCAACTCTCCTAACAGTGCAGCAAACGTAATATAGGATTGTGATATAGCATTGGTACCAAAAATGTGAAATTATTTATGAAAAAACATTTTCTGTCTTTGAGCTAGGAGCATCTATTAGAACAAGAAAGGAAAACAAATGCCTACAATTTTGGGTCTTTTCATATCAACTTGGAGGCAAGGACAGTGGCTTAGTCCTCTTGTAAGATAGCATCTTTCTTCCATTGTTTGTTGCCCAAGCTCTGGTAGACCTCTCAGCTTTTTATGGCCTGCCAGCCTCTACCTTTTCCCCAGGAGTTGTGATACTTACAGTATTAACCAACAAAAGGGCACAATGTTTTACATCTTAAATTATTCCTCTTGCACAGTCTGATTAAAGCTTGACAATATGAAAAGCAGATGACAGGGCCAAATAAACCAGCCATCACTTGAGGTCACCCACCATTTTCCAGTGTAAGTGGTTCTGAAGGAGTATCTTTTCTTACTTTGAGGTTGCTTTAGAGACATATAGCTCAGGTCTTAATAGTCAGTCCAAACTCTCATTCACAGAGCATTACACAAGTGTATTCCACCCTGGTACTTTGTTGGGTTTCTGTTGAATCCCAAAACACTGCTTAAACTCACCTCAATTACAGGGTCAGCAGTGCATCTGCAGGCAACATGGCTTCTTTGTTATCCCTGGTTTGTTTTCCCTGGCTCAGTGACAGAAACTTGACAGTCCAGTGTAGGTTAAACTGAATGAGCATTTTGTAGCATAGGTGCTAGTCCCAAGTCTCTCCAAGGACATAGGGCTCAAGTAGAGTAGACTTTATTAATGTCCATCAAAGGTGAACCTAGTCTTCAAAATGCTGCCTGTCCCTCCAGGTGCATCAAAGCTACTAATTACCATTCTTCCTTCCTTCCCTACTTTGGATGGGCAATGAAGAAAGGAGAGAGGGTAAATGAAAGATATTCTCTTTACTCTGTAATTTGATATCACAGTAAAATCCTGGAAAAGATGTTGTTAATATTCACCAATGACCATTATCCCTGCCACAGTCTACCCACTACCACATCCACCAATCTCAGAGTGCTTTGAACATAGGTTTCAAACATAAGCAGAACACTGGAAGTATGTGCCAAAGAAAATGCATTTGAATGTGGTCCATTATTTAGGAACAGTGAGTTTCCAACCTTATTTGTCTTTCTGTTGTCTATTTTTGTCATTTCTTTTGTCCTAAAACAAAAATTATTTTTCTTTTTTGAAACATTTTTAAAAATTCTATAATTATATTAATTCATTCATTTACTTATTTATCATTTAATTAACACAAGGGTTGGCAGGCTTTATCTGTAAAGGGCCAGATAGAAAAAAATTAAATATTTTAGGCTTTGAAGACCGTGCAGTCTCTGTCACAACTACTTATATCTACTGCTGAGCATGAAAGCAGCCACAGATAGTACATAAATGAATGAGCCTGGCTGTGTTCCAATAAAACTTTATTTACAAAAAGCAGGAAGTGAGCTGTTGTTTCCCGACCCCCAAATTAACATATTTGACTAGCTCCTATGCTTTCATTACCATGCTAGCTTCAGGGGACACAGATGAATAGAACTTTGTTCCTGCCTTAAGATGCCAATAGGTTAATGTTTCTGGAAACAAGGCAGGCCTTCGACAAAGTCACTTTTGGTGTCCTTCTATCTCTCTGCTGCTCCTTTTCCTGCCACTTTCTCAGACCTAGTACTGTCCACTCTGATATGCCATCCAGATGTTATGTAATGCCATGGTATTACATAAATGCTCTCCCATTCCTCTTCTATTGCAACTTGCTGACTCTCAGCACATTGTCTTCAACTAACTGGAAGACATAATAAAATAACGTACATCAAGGAGGGAATCACTGGCAGTAGCTTAATTTGTTCATCCTTCAGGAGTTCTTACATATTAAAAGAGGATATTTTAAATTCACAGACATCTACCTCTACTTGTAAAATTCCCGGCAGAGGACTAGAGGAAATCTTTCTGAGCAGGGAAGTCCATGACACCATCTAAATCTCACAGAAGTGAACATAAATTTCCTCCTGTGACTAATGAAGATAACTCACATGTATTGAGTCACTAGCATAGCAGTCATTGCCCTAAATCTTCCAGGTAAGATTTACTTTGAGCTCCCTAGTAGCTCTATGAGTCAGGTGCCATTATTAGTATCCCCATTTTACAGATGAGAAAACCATAGCTAAGAGGGGCTACATAACTTGATAAAAGTCACACAACTCTCATGTGAGATCGTATTTGAACCTAAGTAGTGAGCAGCCTTAATACTGTAATTATGAAGAAGCAAGTCTTCTCTAAATCAGACATAGTTGAGCTCTATTATAGAATCTTAGAAGAGGAAGGACAATTAAATATTGCTTAGTATAATCTTATTTTAAGAACAAGGACACCAGGGCTCAGAGAGCGTTTTGGATTTGACAAAGTAGCTTCAGACTGCTGGAAGTAAAATGCTGTTCTTAATGAGTTTTTTATTTTATTTTATTTGTTTTTGTTTGTTTGTTTTGGTCTTAGTACCACATGGCCTCTTGACAGTATAGCAATAAAGGGAACATGAATTGATTAGAAAATGATTCCTTCCCGCTGGGACATTAGTCTGTGGAAGACTATAACATGTGCGACTTTGCTCTTTTATGCTCCCACTCATCTTTAATCATGGGCCTACTGGGAACACCTCATTGCCCCTCATTCACTGGGTGGTTGAGTCTTCGTGAAGCAAACCCACATGAGTTGTTCTATGGAAGGGGAGAGCAGAACGGTGCATTCCATCATTAAAATTTCACATCTAAACACCAGTGCCTGACTATGCTTTCTCTGAATTTCCCATAGGGTTATTGAAAGCTCTAACAAAACGTAGTTAAGGCAAAAGATAGCTGTCTGTTTTATAAAGAATGTAAGGAATTTCCCAGTCAGATGGCTCAAGGAAAGGCTTTACCCGAGCAGTCCTACTTTCCATAGCAAATTCCAGTTGGTTAGAGCAAACACTGTGACAATATCTATTGTTCAATTAAAAGTAGCCACAATTATACAAAACATACCACCATATGGCATGTCCTTACATCTCATGTATACTGTAGATACTATTTTAGCTTCTTGCTTTTTCTTTTTCTTTTTTCTTTTTAATTTTTTTTTATTTTGAGATAAGAGTCTCACTCTGTTGCCAAGGCTGGAGTGCAGTGGCATGATCACAGCTCACTGCAGCCTCAACCTTCAGGGCTCAGGTGATTCTCTCACCTCAGCTCCCAAGTAGCTGGGACTACAGGCATGTGCCACCACACCTGGCTAATGTTTGTTTTGTTTTGTTTTGAGAGACAGGTTTTCACCAAGTTGCTCAGGCTGGTCTTGATCTCCTGGACTCAAGTGATCTGCCTGCTTGGCCTCTCAAAGTTGGGATTACAGGTGTGAGCCACTGTGCCTGGCCTAGCCTCTTGCATTTTCTATGGGTGCATTTTCATAATAGCTTTTTAAAATCAAGGTAGATCTTAGAAGTGAAAGAAGATATAAGAATTTTATATATTCTTGAGATATAGGAATCTGATAGTTTCAGTTGTCATAAAGCCAGTGGAAATTCACAGCTTCAATGCGTACATCATGTTGGGAATTTTTCTCCTCCACTGTTTCTCATGAGGGTGGGTTTATAGAGTTAAATAGCAGGGGTATCTTCACCAACTCCACTGTTGGCATTATTTTCTTTGAAAAAAGTGTGCAGAGAGATATTATATAAACAATATGACAAATCCCTTCTCCGTGGGCCAATTTAGTAAACTTAGAGCAGAGAAAAACTATAGCTTCTTGCTGCTAGAAGTATTACGCAGAACACAGATAGCTCTTTTCAGTTTCCCATACCGAGAGTCAGGTAACTGAGTGGTACTCAATTCTCAAAGCAACAAGAAGGCTGAATATTCTGGAAATCCACAATGTAGTAGTAAAAATCAGGTGACTTTGGAACTACATGAGGAAGAACAATAAACAAATTGCTAATTATTCCCTGCCTGCCATCATTTTTATTTACTGAGATTTCTATTCCTATCTACTTTTTGATTTATTGAGATTTTAAGGGAATAGAATTTTGGGGGAGGTTGTTCAGCAAATATACTGTCAACTCATATCATTCTCTTGATTTTTTATAGAAGAAATTGAGGTGCAAAAAGGTTAAGTGCTCAGTATTACATTGTTATTAAGTAGTTTAGCTGGAATTTGAATCCATGTCTTCTCATTCCAACCAAGAGACTTTGTTGACTAAATTAGGCTACTCTCTATGGTAAGTATATGGGCACAGGTAGGTGTAAGAGTACAGTTGTAGTGGTGTTAGTGGTAGTGGTGGTGAAGGAAGAAGATACTGCTCATCTCTCCTGATAAATGCTTACGAGAATATAAATAACAGGATTATTATGTCAGTTAAGAATAGGCTTACCTGTAAACAACAGTTTTCTCACAATTCCAGAGTTAAGTTATTCAGGGTTGGTATGGCTCATTAGCATTGTGAAAAAAAGATCTAAATATCTTCTCTCTTTTTGCCGTCTTCATTGTGTTGGTTGTGGCTTCATGGGGACAGGATGGCTGCTGCAGTTCCAGCAAGCACAACTGTGTTCAAGCCATCCATGTCTTTGCTTTCTTGTTTGTTTGTTTGTTCTGTTTTATTTTGTTTTGTTTTGTTTTTAAGAGATAGGGTCTCACTCTTTCACCCAGGTTGTGCAGTGGTGTAATCGTACCTCACTGAAGCCTCAAATTCCTGGGCTCAAGTGATCCTTCTCGCCTCAGCCTCCCAAATTACTATGATTACATGTGTGAGCCACTGTGTCCAGCTTCATATTGTTGCTTCTGATAGGAAAAGCTGATATTTATCTAGAGTCCCTACCAATCTCTTCTGCTTTCATTTCATTAATTATCGCTGTGCCATATGATCACCCCAGTATCATGGGAGTGGCTATCTCCCCTGGGGCTGGGCCCTTTGACTTCCCCAAGCAGACAGGGTTCAGTTAGGCTGAAAAGGGAGGAAATGGATATTAGACAGGCAATACAAATTGTTGACACAGTTCCTAATAGAATACAGTCACCCTCCTTCTACACCCCAATTCAGAGGTTTGGTTTCATTGTCAACAGCCACCATGGTTTTATCCTGGTGATTTTGTCAAGCTGCAGGGAAATAAAAGGTAGCTGCTCTGCAAAAGGTGACAGACCCTGATTTACTACCTGATATGTTGCTTACACTCCTGTGGTGTTTTTCCAGAAAGAAAAATGAACCTGGCCCTAGAAGTCTCACTTTGTGGAGCATATATCTAGCATGCAATACTATTCTACTATCCCTCCTGTTTCCTCGAGCATTTCCTGAACATTCCTCTTTGGTTATTTTATTATTTCTCTAGAACATATATAATTTCAGAAGTCATCTCCTTTTATTTGTGCCTGTTATCCAGTCTTTAGCGTAGCTAGATTTGAGCCACCCAAATGATGGCACTCTTCTTTCTGGCACAATAAGCATTTTAAGTGAAAGAAAGAGTATTAGTAGTCTGAGTGGTTGTTTTAAAACTAAGGTTGACTACATAACACCATCCCAGATTTAGGCCTTGTTGTGATTGGCTTTTTCTTGCACTGAGAAATGGATATTTAATGACCATCTCACTATGTCATAGATGCACTTCCTTAAGTTGAAAAGGCCTCCAAGGACTCTTCCCAGGAGAAAAAAGAAAATCTGAGTTGGAGCTTAGCAACATCCAGTTCTGCATCAAGCAGGCCTCTCTGCTATGAGAGGGGTCATTGTTTCAATCCCCTTTGCTGTGGTGGACCAGCAGCTGTGGAACCCACCCATGTTCAGGGACCAGCAGCAATGACCAGGAACCACGCTGGCTGACTCACACTTAACTGCCCTCCAAGAAAATTCACTATAAAAGAAGTCAGGAAGTTGAAAAGAAAGACGGTTTTCCTTCACTTAGCTTTTCTGCTTAAGGCTTAGAATCATCCTGTATTTGTCTCCTACATTGAAACAACAAACCTATTTAAGCAACCTATAAAATATAAATAGATTTTCTGTAGTGTAGTCGGTGAGCTTTCTCAGGCTGAGTTAGTGTGGCAGCTGCCCCAGTTTAGCTTCTGCATAGGAAACAAGGCTCTGCTGAAAATGCTGAACCCCAGGACACCCTCTTCCTTAGTGTGGCTCAGCACAGATGCTTGTTGCTTTCTGAAAGCATCCACTGACCCCATGACTTAGCTGCCTGACCCTCCTGGAAGTACCATGACACACTTCACTTTTGTTTTGTCTTTTTAGAACTTATGTCATCATTTGGGGTTGAGCATTTTATTGTGAAGGCTGCCTAGCTCACTGTGGCATCCTCAGTGCCTCCTATCCAATGCAAAGTCAATAGATATTTTTCAATTTAAACTGGTTTTGTAAGGGAAGCCAGGTATGCAGGATTAGGATAAAAACAGGAATAAGGGGACTTCTGGGAGCAGTTAATGGTTGAATGGAAGGGGGGTTCAAGGTGCCATGGCTTTGGGTCTTTTCTCCATTATTTTGAGATGCCATCATATAGGCTACCTTTGGTTATTCATCCTATTCCATTCCCAATAAATGAACACATTTGCCTTTGGCATATTTGAGCATGCCCTATCAAACCATGAGAGCTTTGGTATTAAAACTCTCCTGGTCGGTGTCCGGGTTTTACCAGAAAGCACTGACTAAGAAAATGGAGAAGCATAGTTGCAGGCCTCTCATTTGTGCCCCATGAGGGAGGGAAGAGAAATGACAGAAGTCTCACAGCTAGAGATCTCACATCTACTTGTGTCCCCTTTGTTAGATGTAAAGCCAGCCACATGAGATTACATTCACCGTCGGCAACTCAGGTAACGGATCTGAAGGGCAGCTTGTTCTTTTTTTTTTTTTGAGACGGAGTCTTGCTCTGTCGCCCAGGCTGGAGTGCAGTGGCGCCATCTCAGCTCACTGCAAGCTCCGCCTCCCAGGTTCACGCCATTCTCCTGCCTCAGCCTCCCGAGTAGCTGGGACTACAGGCGCCCACCACCACGCCCGGCTAATTTTTTTGTATTTTTAGTGGAGACGGGGTTTCACTGTGTTAGCCAGGATGGTCTCGATCTCCTGACCTTGTGATCCGCCCGCCTCGGCCTCCCAAAGTGCTGGGATTACAGGCGTGAGCCACCACACCCAGCCAGCTTGTTCTTAAGAAAGGAAAGAATACAAGCCAAAGCAGAGCAACTATCTTTCACGGGGGCTTTCATAGAAATGTTTTCATCGGTACAGTTTGGCAACATGACCTCCAAGGACAAGGGCCCTTATTCCACTAATATGAGCTATGATGGCTTAGTGGTTAAAACCTGGAGCCAAAAAGCCTGGGTGCAATTACAGAACCACACTTTGCTGCTAGATGGTGCTGGGAAAATTACCAAACCTCTCTGTGTTTTTCATCTGAAAAATTGGGATGTTAATGGTATCTATGTCATAGGGCTGTTAAGAGGATTAAATTATTAAACAATTGTAAAATACTTAGAATAGCAATAGGGTTATAGTATACATGTTTGTTAATAAATTACCGAGCCTGAATAACCAAGGGCTTTGAGGCCGACTATAGAAAACAATAGAGAAATTGTAGTTATAGGATCCACCAGGTAGATTTCAGAGCTGGACAAAGGTGACCAGGCGGTCAGATGGAGACCTTGGGGGAATGATCCCAGTGATGGATAGTTGAGATGCAGATCAACAACTGAGGCTGGGCATTCTACAAGTCTGAAACTAGCAAGGATTGTGTGAAGTTTGTGGATGTTAAGAACCTTAAATTTCCTAAATATCATTTATTCTTTTTGAAACAAGATTTGCCTGTGGAAATGCTGTGACATTTTCCAAGCTGTGCTTCCCCTCTGCACCACTCATGACCTCATACTCCTTGGCGGCATTTTCCAGGTCTTGGTAACCTCCCTTGAAAAGAGAAATATAGTTCAGATTCGCAGCAGTAGTCTAAGCCACACAGCTGCTATGGGTCAGGGGAGATCAATTACATTTCCTGGGGTTCTCTTCAATGGGCGGTGGTCTTGTGCACACGGCATTATAGATACTCATCCTTGGAACCTGGCTTGTTGAAGGTTCTCCAGAGGCAAGAGGAAGTTAAAAGATAAACTTGGCTGTGTATATCCTATTTCATAACTGCCTAAATAGTAAGCATGCTGACTGGCAAGAATTAGAACTATAATAAATGCAATTAAATTGCCTATTACTTGCATAATTGAGAACTATAAATATTTTAAATAATAAAATTGTGAAAAATTTCTCTACTAATGCTCTGGGAATGTCTTAAATCTGTAAAGGCCAGGGGATTCATAGGGATGGCTGAATATGAAATCTTTCCATTCATCTCTTTGAGATCAAATATTTTTCATGATTATTTCAAAAGGCTCCAAAATGGAAAAGAGTGAATATGTGAGCCGCCATGAGAAAGGAAGCCCAGAAGAGTGAGTACAGGGTAGTTTTTCTGGGAAGATGTATTTAGGAAATGGGGCAAGAGCAAAGAATAAAGAAGTGCAAAAATAGAACTAATTTGACACTGCATATGTGTCCTTCTCCGTTGCTGTACATCCTTTTTTGCTTCCAAAGGGCATAATTTGATGTGATTAAATAAGGCCTTCTGCTTTAATTAGGTATCTCAGTCCTTGAAAATTCTGATTAACTTTCTGTGTATGGAAGGCAGGAGATATTTAAATATGTTGAGAGAAATACAAGAGCAATAGCAAACTAATAATCTGAAGAGAGGTCCTCTTAACAGGTGTTTTTTTTGTTTTGTTTTGTTTTTTGTTTTTTTTTGTTTTGAGATGGAGTTTTACTCTTGTTGCTTAGGCTAGAGTGCAGTGGTGCAATCTTGGCTCATTGCAACCTCCACCTCCTGGGTTCAAGCGATTCTCCTGCCTTAGCCTCCCAAGTAGCTGGGATTATAGGCACCTGCTACCACACCCAGCTAATTTTTTGTATTTTGAGTAGAGACGGGGTTTCACTATGTTGGCCAGGCTGGTCTCAAACTCCTGACCTCAGGTGATCCACCCGCCTCAGCCTCCCAAAGTGCTGGGATTATAGCTGTGAGCCACCGCGTCTCACCTTAAGAAGTTTTTAATACTCGTACATAAATTCAAAAGGAGAAGTGGTATTTGTTCTAATATTTTCTATAATTCAGTTTTAATATATTGGCATATCCAAGTGTGTTTGTGTAGGTCTGTGTGTGTTTGTTAGAGAGAGAGAGAGAGAAAGAGAAGAAGAAGGAGGAGGAGGAGGACGAGGAGGAGGAGGAGAGAGATTGTATTATTCAATTACAGCAGACACTGTTAGTTTTCTGTGTAATACCCACTTTTACTTCTTTGTTAACAATGAAATCTCAATTTTATTTGGGATGGAAATGTACCCAGGTGTGAAAAAACACATATTTTCCAGACTCCTTTGCAGCTAGGTGTCATTGTGTGTCATGGTTCTGGGCCATGCGGTCTAAGTGGAAGTTTTCTGGAGATTTTATAAAAATTTTTGTCTCTTAATATGAGCAGTTGCCCTGATTTCTTGTCCTTTCATTCATCTTCTTGCTTGGAACTTAGCCCATGAGATTGCAGATGGAGACTATTACAATGAAAGGCCCATCCTAAGGATGGCAGACAGAAATAAGAGCAAGTCCAGGGCATTAATGAATTTGTAGAACTATGTCTTCAACCGTTATGGGAGAAAATAAATTCATATTTGTTTAAGCCACTCATGTTAACTATAATGGTGCCTACAAGGGAATGTATAAAGCAATAGAGCAAGAGGAGTATCAGCAATTTTCATTCATTAAAGATCTACTTCCAGGACTCAAATAGGCATGTCTTATATTTGATGCCTATTTTGGTGGACATAGCCATTTTGAAATTTACAGAGATCCAACCCATGCTACAATACAATATTTCCATCTTTATAGTGCTTGAGAGTACATAGATGGGCTGTAGACAACTAATATGTCTGCATACACTGTATTCACTTTTGGAATAATTCTAGTTTTTTTGTTTTTACTGAGTAGGGACATCTTGATAGAAATTTATTAACAGGATTTTGATTTTATGTAAAATGCATTTAACTTATTTTTTATTTGCTGTTTTCTCAATATCTTATATATTTAGTATTCTATGTTATATTTTAAGGGAATCTTATTGGCACAATTGTTTTTAATGCTACTGTGTATAAAAAAGAACACATTTTAGAAGCAAATTGTAATTAGTAAACCAACCAATGTTAAATGTTTAAGAAACTGTACCAGGGAAGAGGACATAGTACAATTACAGTAGTACTGACAATTACGGTAGGACCACACATGTGGATGCCAATTTATATTTTTACCCACTGCAACCTCTGGGCCAAGAGGTGAAGTTAAAAACCAGTCTCTGGCTGTTTCAGAGAGTTACTACTCCACCTGCTTGTAAAATTCTGTCTCTTTGAGGTTTTTGCCATTGAACTACCTCCCCTGTTATCTACCCACTTCTGCACACTAACTTTCACTGACCAAAGACTTTCACTTAAACCCACAGTCTTCCTTTCTCTCTATTCCAGGCCTTGCTGTCCTCCTGGGTTATTTCTGTTTTCATGTGTGCAACCCATTCAGTAGCATTGACTCTCATTTGTGGGATATCATATCGTTCCATCCATAAAGAGTTCAGAATCCACCTCCAAAAGATAGAAACTCCATGAAGAAATAGCCAAAAAGTAGCAAGAGTCTAAATATCTATCAGCAAAATGTAGTATATTTATACAATGGAATATTATTCAGTCATAAAAATGAAGTACTGATACGTGCTACAATATGAGTGAACCTTAAAAACGTTATGCTAGGAGAAAGAAGCCAGATACAAAATACCACATAGTGTATGATTACATTTATATAAAATGTCCAAAATAGGCAAATCCATACACACAGAATGTGTATTAGTGGTTGTCAGAGGATAAGGGCAGGGGGTAATGAGGAGCGACTGCTAATGGGTATGGGGTTTCTTTTTGTAGTCAAAAGTGTTATGGAATTAGGCAGAGGTGGTGGTGGTTGCACAATTTTGTGAATATACAAAAAAAAAAAACCACACTGAATTTTACACTTTAAAATGATTAATATTATCTTATCTTATGTGAATTTCATCTCAATGAAAAAGGAGATTGAGCCAGTTATGTTGCTAAGTTTGGAGGAGGTCAAAGCAAATAAGGTCTTCTCTTTACCCTCAAATAACTCATACTGCGCAGAGGGGACTTCCAATGGGCCCAGCACCGTGGTGTGGCCCAGCCTCCAGGAGCAATAGGATTTCCTCTCAGATGAGGATCTGTGTAGGATCAAGGCAGAAATCTCTACTGAAGTCTGTTTGTGTCACACACTTGTGCATGCCTGCCTTGGAGTCTGAGCTCTAGCTTTGTCCCAGTCTTGTCGCCTTCTCCACCATGGGGACTTTGCACTTGTACTCCTTTCTGTGGGAATCCTGTTTCTTTACTCCTCCTGTCTCGTTAATTCCTCCCACCTTGCAGATTTTAGCTCACGTGCCATTGCCCCAGAGAAATCTTCCTACCCCGACCTTCATAGTCAGGTTCAATCACCAACTGTCCATTCTCTTGCTCTCTTGAAATTCTCCTTTGCAACAGCTTTTACCAGTTTCCCACAGCTGTAATTCTTTCACTCAGTTGTCTTTTCCTGCCAGATTTTGAAGTTGTTGAGGGTAGGTACTCTTCAAAACAGCAGGCAAAGGTAGTACTCAGCCCACTTTTGCTCACCAACATAACTTCAGCGCTTCTTAGTGTCTGACACGCAGTAAGGACTCAGTGAGGACATGATGATCAGCTGAGTGAGTGTCTGCTACTGTCTACCCAGCTACCCAAAGACATACGCCGTTAGGGACTTCCGAGAGGAGAGGTTTTTCCCCTCTGGCCTTGACAGGTCCTTTCACTGCCACATCCTTTCTCCTCTAAGTTGCCATCATTTGATCATCTTATCCTCACAGGAACCCAGTGAGGTAGTTTGATGCCGTTGTCATTTACATTTGAATCACCTGCAATGCAAAGTGAGGATAGGATGACTAAATGATTACCGTGCTCAGGGAAAGTGTCCAGCATTATTTTATTGGGCTGTTAGGTCATGTCCAGTTTGCTCACTCGAATACTTCATCATATTCTGCTGCCAGGCCTATAAATGTCAAATAGTAACAACCCTTGACCTCCTGGCCCAAAGCTAAGCATGTTACCAGATGAGCCTCACTGACCTTCTTTAATATGAGAATCTTTAATATGGATTAATCATATTATAATTATGTATTTGTTCTTTTTATTAGAGTCCTTGGGGAATGTCTTTTACCGAAGAAATGTTATCTTACAGGGTAATAAGACCAAATGGGCTTTTATTTTTTAATTAAAAGAAGATGAAAAGTTCTGCTTAAAATACTTTTAAAATGCCTTCATCTTGAAGGTAAATGGCAGACATGTATCATTTTGCACTTATATAAACTTTACTAGGCTGGGCAATTGAACTCCAAAATGAGGCTGATAGCTAATAGAACATTTGTGGAGGAGACAAACAAATTGTCCAGAATAAACAAAGCTTATGTTTATTTTTAATTGATAGCAGCTGAGCACAGGGAGGTGTCATTAGCTCAAGGCACAGATCAAACTCATTAAGTACCCTGGCCCTCTTATAAATCATGCGACGTGTCGAGTCTTGAATTAAACCAAACAAGAGAATGGTTCAGAATTCTTCCCTTGTACCAGCAGAAGCATGGTTGGCACAAAGACCCTTGGAGAAAGATTGAGCAAGGCTGTTCCCCTTAGTAACTTCTGAGCCTACGCAGTGATCAACATAGGTGATTTGCCTGTTCGGAGACCAAGAATTGGAGCCAAGTGACTGGTTCCGAGTCCTAGCTCCTGCACTCCCCTGCCATGCGCAGCACCTGCTATCGGTACCTTCCCGTTGCCCTTCAGCCTACTCAGGGTGTTACTACCCGGCTTTTTCACTTGCTGGAGACTTCCTGCAACTCAGGCCTAGAGGTGTTCTCTTGCTGGGAGGTTGTGCTTTGTTCAGTTACAGGCGAGCCAGAAATGCAGAGTTAGCCAGCTAGGGATGGGAGTTGGTGGGTAAACACCCTTGCTAAATCACCCCTCAATGGAAAAGTTGTGTTCTACAGAGTTCCTCAGAGCACCCCCAACAGGATGGAGCACCAGCAGCCACAGTGGTAACCTGTTCACTAGTGTACACTCTCACTTTTCTTCTTCACAGTGCTTTCTGTAATTGCCTCCCAAATAAGATACTTTTTCCAAAATCCTAGTCTCAATGTCTGGTTTTGGGGATCCCAACTTGAGAAGCTCTATAACTGTTCCTTTTATTCCTAGGACAGTGTTAAGGAGGCTAGAGGTGGGTAGAGAGGCAGCCTAGCACGGTGCTTAAGAGGACATGCTCTAGAGGTGGACTCGCTGGCCACATCCTGACTGCCACTCACTAGGCACCCAGCCTCTCTGTGCCTCAGTTTCCTCATCCACAAAATGGGGTCAGTGATAATAAGAGTACCTATTTGATGGGCTTGTTTTGAGAATTAAATGAATACTAAATTTATACTTTTGAAACACTGCCTATCACATAATAAGTGCTCAATAAGGTCAGGTGTAGTTACTAGAATCACAGAACATCAGACTGGGGAAGAAGTTTACAGATTAGCTAGTGCAACCTCTTCATTTTCCATGTGAGGCAACTGAGGATCAAAGAGACATGGAGTGATTTCCTCAGGGTCACACAGCTCATCAGTGACAGCAACACCCCAAAGTCTCTCAGCGCAGTGTCCTCCATGCTGCGAAATCAGCTTCAGGACAGTCCTACTTCCAAATACTCTGTTAACAAACAGAACTCGGTGTGGTCATTTCAATTTGCTGGGCTTTTTTTCTTAATTTAGGCAATGCAAGGCAGGAATGTGCAGGCATTATGTAAGATTTTGAGGAGTCCATGAATTTAAAACCAGAAGTTTTTTAAGGGGAATAAAATAAAAATCAACTTCACAATGCCATAGGCAGAATGTCCTCTTGAAGAATCTAAGATTTAGACACAAATACTGTCTTCTGCAGAGTCCTTTACAAACTTCTGCTTAACCTCCTGGCATCAACGGACGACAGGTTCTGGCTGTGCAGAGTGGAAGTCCCTTAGAGTATTTGACAGCATTTATCTGATAACAGCTCCCAGCCTTGGTAGTATTCACTTGTTTATGGAGGTTTGTACAAGACAGAATAAAATAAAAATGCATGTTTCTATACCAGCCCTTTGCTTTTTAAAGTCTTTTTTATCTACGGTTCCATGCAAAGTCACATGTTCTCTTCTTCCTTTTGATCTTAAATGAGGAAGGGGCAAAGTGTGTGAAGATTCCAGAAGAAGTGAATCGGAGCAAAGTCCTCACTAAATGAAAGCTTCGTCTTCCATTCAGCCGCTGAGATCAGTGGAATAAAACCACATTAGAGATGATCCCCCTGGCCCTTAGCCTCCAGAGAGGGCATCTTTCAGTGACAGTGAATGTGCTGCTATATAAATACACAAAGCATTGTGGAAAGGAAAGAGCTCTGTGGTATGGAGACTTGTCAATATTTGTCCGAAAGTCATGTTTCTATTATCTTCAAGTATGTCTGGCAAAGGAAATCTGGAGGGAATCTTTTAAGAGGTAAAACACGTTGATTTGTGAAAATGGGATCATTTTATCTCTTCTGCTTCAAGGTAAGCTCTTTGGTTTCACAGTAACTAGTTGCCACCAGATCAAGTTGGGGAATATTTATTCTTTTGCTTCAATTCCTAAAAGATTGATATTAATGCATTAAGCCTCTTTTTTTCTTTATACTTTCTTCTTTTCTGCAACTGATAATTAAAGCTATAAGAAAATTAAATTACTATTATTATTATTAGAAAGCTCCCATGCTAGCCAGTTCTGGTTGGATATAGGTCAGCTGTGTACAAATGGACACACTGTGAGGCTTTGTGCAATAATATAACCACTACTTGAGACCAAATGATGGGTGATACATATCCTAAACCTCTCCCTCATCATTTTTATGGTTAAATTACAATGATTGAGCATCAAGCTTGCCTAAGATTTGACTACTCTACTTCTTTGCCTTATTTTCTGTATATTAAGTTGCAGGGAAGGTTTTTACTTTGCAATTTATTTTTCCTCTTGAATAGTGATTATGTGAAGTTCTAAGCATCACAATGCTGCAGTGTATAATTCTTCAAAGCAGGAGAATCAGAGTGTAGCAATGGAATGCAGAAAAAAGCAATACGAGAAAGGATTATTTGTTTGCATCTGTAAGAGGATAAAGATGGTTTGAACATTTGCTTCATATGGCACTGATATGAGCATACTTACCTCATTTGAGGTGAGGTTTCCCCAGAAGCAGACAGTGAGACCAGTGAATGCATGTAGTTGATTTTGGAGGTGATGCTAGGATGCACTGATAGGAAAATGAGGAAGTGATCATGAGAATGGCAGGATCCGATACAGTTGCATTATTAAACAAGTTCCTAGAGGAGGGCTCCATCCCCTTGGGATTCTTCTGATGGACTGCATGAGCACATCTAGAATTGTCCCTCTTGATATCCATCACCTTTCTTCCATCACCCATACACAGCCAGAGAGTCACAGGGGCTTGCAATGAGAAGGCACTGATGTACATGGGAACAGTGAGCTTTGAGGGGCCACGGGTGAAACATCAACAGCGTGTGTTAAGCTAGAATGATAACTGGCTGGTTGAACTAAGTAAACAAATCCAAGTGCAACCTTGGAACCTGGGATATTAAACTGGCTGCCAACATTGGGCCTACCTGTTTTCTGTCTTGGTCTGGATTTATTCCTCGTTTCCTTTTATTTCTTTTTCTTTAAAAAAAATCTTTTTTCCTTCTAGTTTCTCTATAAGATTTTTTGAGAATGCGTAGATATACATGATGGAGGAATAATAAAAACACTTTAAAGCAATAGATGATTCTTACCAAACTTACATGGATAAATGTAATAGGAGACACAATTTCAGCTGAATAAAAGCCTTACTCCACCACTCTCCAAACCCCAGAACTGTTGTACAGTTAGCTTTTTAGTACTTACGACTATCTAATGGATCTTGACAAAGAGAAATATACCATAGCATTGCATTAATTTTTGAGCAGATAGTATATTTTGTAATTAGATTTAAAAAACCAATCATGTCTTTTGTTGTTAATGGGTTACCTTCCTTCGGTATATTTGATGAATATCATCTCTCATGGCTGCTCCTGAGTCAGTCTCTTCAGCAACCTGTTCCTCCTTTGTTACTTTGTTTCTGCTCACAACTTTCAGCTCCATCAACAGTCATCAAGTCCATTTGGCAAATATTGTTAGCCTCTGGTAGTGGCGACAATACATAGAGGTGAAAATATTCTACTGATATACCACTGTCATATTAAACTCTATGTTGCAATACAAGCAATTCTCAGACTGAATTCTGTCACACACACACACACACACAAAGCATCAATGAGGAAGTAGCCACAAAATAGTCATCCAGTCTTATCCTGTAAACTTAGTGATGTTCCTCCATCTGCAAGCACGCTTGCAGGAAAACCAACACGCCTTGCAGGAAAAGTTCATTTTGAGTTGCCAAACCTCTAGGCAAACCAGGCTGTGAAGTCACCCATTCAACATATGATCATGAGACCAGACAGAGCTCTGGACCTCGGCTTGGCTCCCAAGATCTTATTGCCAGAGGCTCTAGATTCTCATATATCTCGTGCAAGAGCAATGGTGCCGTACAATCTTTTTAGGCAACAACATATCTTGAACACCAATCGTTTCACCAATTGAGGCATATTTCTAATATATCGTTTGCTTGTTAGCTAAACTTATGCTATTCAATAATAATAGTGGATGATGTAGTCATCTTTGGAGGGTGAGTACCTGATTAGAATATTACATGTTAATTAATTGCCACCAGGATATGTATTTACACACACACACACACACACACACACACACAAAGCTGAGAGAGAGAGAAAGAGATTTTTAAGCTACCAACACAGAAATTCTTTAGAAATCATGATTTACCTTTCCTGTCAAAATAATTTGAAATTTCCTATTGTTAATCTGAAGTTTCAGTAAAGAGAATTTTATTATTCTTCACATATAGTATTTCTGCTTTTACTGAAATGGCTTGCTTTAGGAATTTGCCAGAACAGATTTTATCTGCCAATGGGAAAAAAAAAATTAGATGTTGAAAGTCCTGTTTGTTATCCCGTCATCAAATTCCTCTTTTCAGGTAAATTTTGAAAGGTTGCATCCTGCCAGAGAGATTTTACTGAATTTTCTCATCTGTCTTTGAAAGCTATACTTTATCCTACAGATAAAACTATGATTGCATGGATTTGAACAAGTCTTATAGAATCCCTTACATATAATGTTTAGCCTAATAAGATTGGTATTGGAATTGTCCCCAAATTATTTAGCTAGTACATAATGCTATATCTATAAATTGTGATAATTTTATGTTTTGGCTACAGTTGAGTTTTAGACTCTGTATGCAGCTGGGGAAAAAGTATGACCTACTGGGAAGCATCAGTGTTTTCTTGCAAGCTCATTCTTCATTTTCCAACCCATAATCCCCCTCTGCTACTCAAGGAAGCTGAAGCCCAGGATTAATCCATCGGTGTCCAAAGGCCTGCAGGAGGTCAGGCGCAGATGGTTTAATCCTTGGTGCTGCTTGGAATCATGGGAGTGGGTGTTGGATGGAAGTGCCTCTGATCTAGCTCTTGCTGTGGGTGTCTTGCACCTCTTGACACACCTGTGGCTGCCTGGAGGTTGTCAGCACCACCCACCACTCTCCTCCCTGCCTTCTCCGTTGTTTAGAATTCTTGCTATCTAGTGGGTGACAAAGAATGTCTGAAAAGTTCAGTTGCTAAATGGATCAAAATTAGTTTCTCACTAGTTCTCCAAAAGGTGCAAGTGCTGTTGGAAAAAGAGCTGTAAACAATATTAGTTGTTGCTGCCAGTTGGAGCCTCATAACACCTTATAATTTTATTTCTGTTAATGAGACACATGAGGATCTGTGGAGTTCAGTGGGATATAATTTTGCATATGCATTATTAAAAAAAAGAAAAAGAAAAGCTGACATAAGGGAGATAAAAGATCAAGAAGCGAAGAATTTCCAGCTCATTTAATAGAGACATTGAATACCCTTATGCATTGCCTTTTGACTATGCCATCTCTTGTCAAGCAATTATAAATACTTGTAACTAAAACATTAAAGCATAGAGGTTAACTAAACAAAGCATCAGCACATTGCAGGCTAAAGAAAACCCTTGTTTAAAGTGATTTCCATTTTGATTAATTTATCCAGATAAACCATCAATTTCCCAAAGTTGGAGACTCCGTAGATCCAGACTTTGTTTTCTACGTGAAAACTGACAGTTCTCTGGAACTGTAGCAGAGAATATGGTACCATTTAAATTATCGAGACTGTAGGGCAAAATTTCAGGCCTCTTAAAGCCAGAAAAATGGCCCCAGTGAGCTCTCTCATGATCAGTTCATTCTTCTGGGAATCTCAGGAATTACTATGTCTAATGACTTTGCCAGTGGGTCTGGCCTGTGTAATTAAGATCTAAATATATCTCTATGTTCATTCTATAACTAAATTTCTTATCTGGACAAATGACCCATTTATGAAAGCTCATAAAATATCATAGGGAGTCATTACATACTTAAAAATCTCTCTAATAAAATGTGCCCAAAGATGGTCATATCTGCATTGCTAATAATTTTCCAAAAATATGCCTTACCATAAGTAACTAGAAAATACTGCATATTATCATTCAAGAGAAGAAAAGTAGAATAAAGATCCATTAGTATTAAAAAAGTATCTTTCCTTGCTTTAATTTAGCGAAAATACTTGCATTTTTCTTCTGCTCTTTCAATTCCTGGATGTGCTAGCACAGCCACCATCACATCAACATAATCTTGCAAGCTTGTGCATTCACTGCAGAAGGCAAAATGTCATGGCATTTCTTTATGAAAATATAAAACTTTTTTTTTTGACGGGGCAAGTTTCGCTTCACATCAAAGGTAAATGAGAATCAAGGTTGAAATTGCAGGCACTTCAGAATTCTGAATGGAATACTGGAGTGACCAGACTAAAGGAAATACACCATATGTAAAGGAAACATTAACTCTGGTATTTTATTCCCCCTTAGTAATTTCCGAAGTTATTGATTAGTAGCTCTAATCTTATGAAAATGGTTCATTGTGTCTCATTAAGGATGACTTCATCTTACCAAATCATAACAAGGAAGGAGTGGAGGTAGAGATAGTAGAGGAGGATGAAGGAAGGAAGACTTCCCCTCAGTTAGAAACTACACAAGGGAGAAAAGTTATATGTGATTGGGGAGTGTTATTTAATGTTTACTGAGAGTTCCAAGAATCTTTAGTGGGATTTTAAAAAAATTGTAAGTTATCTGGTGATTTATGGTTCAACCTGAAGGCAGGAGACAAAATTCATATGTTTGTGGGATTTTTTAAAGTTCATAATGGTCTATGCCTTCTAATAATGACAAAATTCTTGGAAGCCTCTCAGATCACTGAATCATAGTCTTTAGAGGTAGTTCTCAGAAATCACTCTATACAGCTCTCAACCTAAGAAGAGCCATTTGCAATTCTGACAAGAAACGATACCTTAGCTTTTGTCTTAGCTCACACAGAAAAGCACCTGACCAATTGACTTCCTCACCAGGTAGCATGCCCATGCTATTATATATGTATATATGTTAACGTACATGTGGTTTATATCATCCAAGTAACCGAAGTCAAATGGTCATTTAATATAGAATTGGAGGCACCATAGAGCAGCTGAGTCAAGCCTAAACTGAGGTTATATATATCATTAGATTTTTTTAAGTACAAAAGACTAAAAGTGCATTTCTTTCACTTTTACTGCCACTTGGAGTTAAGTTTCCTGTAATTTGCAGCATAGGACACTTTACTGATATAAGGGTCACCATCAGTACAGGGATCAGAATTGTGAAAGTTCTTAGTTTGAAGAATCAGTAGTCTAAAACTCTTGCTACTCAGACTGTAATCCCAAGACTGTCAGTATTGGTATCATCTGGGAGCATGTTAATCATACAGAATCTCAGACCCCAACCCAGACTCACTGAATTAGAATTTTCATTTTAACCAGATCCTCTGGTGGCTTGTCTGCACATTTATGTTTGATAATTATTCTGGCTCCAATTTTTGGAATATATTGACTGTGGTCTAAGCTGTAGACGTGTCATGGACAGGTAGAAACCGATAAAATTGCCCCACTAGGAAACAATTGAGTCTGTGATAATGACACTTTATGTGAACAGAAGGACGCATGTGCTTATCAGGATGAGAGGAGTTAGGTATTTAAAAAGGGCAGTATTGTTACAAGGTACAAGTATAGAGCACACGCTTCATCATCCAGCCTCTTCCTGGTTATCCTTAACCTCTGTGTAGCTTTTGAAGATCTGCCACTTCAGGTATCCGTATACGTGAAAATAATAATGCCCTACTCCTTGCCTTCCCAAGGTTGGAATTAATGCAATGATATCATGAAAGTAGAGCCTGAAGTAGAATTATTTTCTATTTACTTGCTTCTAAATATGTCCACAGATCAGTAACATTAGCATCACCTGGGACCCTGTTAGAAACATAATTTCAGCCTGCCCCAGAGAAACGGAATCAGAATTTGCATTTTAGCAATATGCCTAAATGATTGGATACACATTGGCTTTTGACAAGTGCTGGTCCATGGCACTTTGTGAACCAGGGAACTCCCTGTACCTGGAGAAGTTTAGATGATGCTTGGGTGAGTCCCATCAAAAATGGTGGAGAGGGGAGCCATGTATGGTGCATGCGGAAGTTAGAACAAATAACTACAGGGCCAGTTGCAATTCTGAGTTAGATATGTGTTCTTCTAGAAAAACACTGAAACAAAGTTTAAAGTGATCTGGAGTGGTCAAAGGAATAATTTACAGATTTTGCAGCTGGATGTGAGCTAGAGATCCCATGAAGATATGTTAGTTCCAAAAGGAACACATTTTGTAGGGTGGGGAAATTTTGGTCAGTTCTTTGGAGCTTGTGGGAAATACATCTCTAGTGAAGAAGTCTTGTCTAATCATTGGCTTCTTACTTGTCCTCAAAAATGTTCCTCAATTACATTAAGTGATGTTTGTTACTAACAAAACTGTCATTTTCCATGTTGAAGGATGTGTCCCACTTTCAGAGAATCCCAAAAATTAAAAACAGTGGAGGGAGAGGAAAAGTGATGGGCAGAAATCCTTCCACACACTTTAAAGGAATATAACACTTGGCTGTAGTAAGTTTTATCTGAGATAGAGTTACAATCTGCTATGGATAATTTTTATTTTGTTCATCCTTAATCAAGATGCAATCATAAGATTGTGATGAAAAATTAAATTCATCACTTTGTGAAATTAAACTTTTGATGAAGTCAAAGTCTAGCAGAACTAGTGGCGGCTAAAAGTATTCATCAAGTCAATACTTGCTCCATCCATTCAGCTATCCATTCCTCCTTCCATCTTTTCTTCCATCCATCATCCATATATCCATGCAATAAGTGACCTTATTACCTTTCTAATAAGAATGACAATCTAGTGTATGGACTAAGTTAACTCCCTAGGAGTAGAAAGAAATTCACTCTCTACTCTTAGTGAATCCTAGGTTTGTCACATTTTGCAAAACCAAATCTTCTCATCTTTATGGTTTGCTCATCTCCCAGTGTGGGAGCCAACCCTGGCCCGCTAGAGCATTTATTTAGTGAATGGCCAGCTGCTTGCTCCCCTCCTTGTGGTTGCTGGTTGGATTAATGCAGTGAACACTGAGAAATGTGGAGAAATAACTTACCTCCTGGGGCCTGAGCTGTCATATCTCCTTGCAGACTGGCTGCTCCCCATCTTGTTCTTTTTGCTCATTTCCATAATAGACTCTGGTTGATAAAACTCTTCACTGTGATTGATGGTCCACAAAGCACAGCCATTTTCAGGCCACGAGTAGCAATTTTTAACTTGGGAAATATGACTACAATCAATTTCTTTCTCCTTTTCTTTTCTTGCTTTCTTTTATTTTAGTCATTTCTACAGGGTGTGTCCTTTAGACATCTCTTTCTTGGTCATTATTCCCTAATTAATTCCCTTGTTAAATATAAAGTGTGCATTAGCCTTGACTGATGTCTTCCTTTGTGACTAAGGAAAGAAGAATTTATTACCTTTACGTATTGAATCAAGCTGCATAATCACAATTCATTTGTTTAAAGCCCTCATTCTTCATAAACCATACTAGAGTTTAGGCCCCCTGCAGCTGCCAAGAGGATCTCACCTGACTTTCATAAATATGATATGGAGTCAGGTGTTTGCACATGTAATTGGTTTAAAAAGTGGCTGTATTGGCTGGGCAAGGTGGCTCACGCCTGTAATCCCAGCACTTTGGGAGGCCGAGGCAGTCGGATCACGAGGTCAGGAGATCGAGACCATCCTGGCTAACATGGTGATACCCCATCTCTACTAAAAATACAAAAAATTAGCGGGGCGGTGGGGGGGCGCCGGTAGTCCCAGCTACTCGGGAGGCTGAGGCAGGAGAATGGCGTGAACCCGGGAGGCAGAGCTTGCAGTGAGCCGAGATCGCGCCACTGCACTCCAGCCCGGGCGACAGAGCGAGACTCCGTCTCAAAAAAAAAAAGAAGTGGCTGTACTCACATGGAAACCCATCTCTTCATTTATGTAATGATTTCAAGTTCACACCATGAAATCATGGAGGGGATGAAATGGAATTGCCCAGTTTGTTGAGAGAACATGCCGACACTTCAAGGGATAAAACAGACGTGTCAAGACTCTGCAGGCGTGAAATCTGCATATGCGTTGGTAAACTAGCAACCTGCTCCTTCTCCAATTATGTGGTTCTGTGACATTAGTAAACACAGAAAAGGACCTTAGCTCATCCCAGGGAAGAGAGACTGTGCTGGATATGAGAAGGATGCAGTCTGGGCTACAATTATCTGGTGTAGCCATACAAAAAAAGGGAAAAAAGCTTTGATTAGAAATGGATAGAGTAATGGTTCGTAAAGTGTGGTCCTGGGCCAGATATGGGGGTTCACGCTTGTAATCCCAGCACTTTGGAAGGCCGAGGCAGGAGGATTGCTTGAGCTCAGGAGTTTGAGACCAGCCTGGACAACACAGCAAGACCTCATCCCTATGAATAATAATAATAATAAATATTAGATGGGTATGCTGGTGCGTGCCTGTAGTTCCCAACTACTGGGGAGGCTGAGATGGGAGAATCACTTGAGTCCCAGCAGTCAAAGCTGCAGTGATGCATGATCGCACCACTGTCCTCCAGCCCAGGTGACAGAGCGAAACCCTGTCTCAAAAAAAAAAAAAAAAAAGAAAGAAAGAAAGAAAAGAAAAGAAAAAAAAAAGTGTGGTCCTGGGAGCCAGCAACAGCAATATCAACTAGGAGGTTGTTCGAAATGCAAATTCTTGGGCTCCACCGCAGACCTTCTGGATGAGAAACTGGTAGTTAGGCCCTCCAGGTGATTCTGATGCAGCTAAAGTTTGAGAAATACTATAACGGAGGATATTTTTCTTCTGTTTTTTTGGGAGAAAGTCACACTAATCTTCAGTTTGAAGACATGTTTAAGGCTGTTAAGATCTGGTAGGTGGCACATAGAACGGTTTTCACACTGTGGATGCTGAAAAAGAATTCTCATCTCTAACCAGTTCTTTCTCAAGGACCGAGGATGCTCAAGATGAATTCTTCTCTTTCCCTTCTTCCCTTGACCTCACTGACTCTGTTCTGCAGTGGAAAGTGCTTAGAATTCTGAGTCAAAGGATCGGGGCTTCTGTCTGAGCTTTTCTTCTTAACCACTGTGTGACTCTGGGGAGGTTACTCACCCAGTCTGGGGATAAGAATAATAATAATGCTTTCTGTCAGTCTTACTTGGTTATTATGAAAGACAATGAAGCCCACGGAAGCTGTAGAATTTACAAGGTGGTATCTTTCTTCCTACTTGTTAAGCTTTAACAGGGGAAGAGACTGATAGCTGAAGCTCCTGAGTATTCTGTCCATTTCTATGATCTTCCAGTAAATATTGTTGAATGTGTATTCTCTCTCCCTCCTAACAACTGTTCAGTTTATTAGCAGCCTGTCAGTGAGTCCCGGAAGAGGATTTGAGGCCAAGTTAGGTGAGAAATGGTTGATTGCTCTATCCATAGCACCTGGCCCATAGGTTCTTTGGAACCTCACCACTGGAGCCTGTTAAGGGTTGGGAACTATTTCTCTCTGAGACCGTCTGTGTTGCTTTGTGATTGGTTGGTTGGTGTGAATAGATTTTCTTAAAAGCTTCTCCTGGAAGTTAGACCTTCAACTTCCTAATTAAGAGACACTGGAAGGTACAACTTATTAAGAAAACCAGGGATTGACTCAAAGCCAAGGATCCATAATAACCTCCACTTGGGTTTGTTTAAAAAACCTTCGGAGGCACTGGACACGTGAAAGACAGAATCCCAAGGAACACTGCCTTCTTCTTAAGGGGCCTCTCACTGAATCCTTTCCCAGTTGTTTGTCCTTGGCAGTCCCTCCTGGGTTTTAATCCAGGTCTCAGGGGGGCCTTTCTTCCTTCTTGTGGCTTTATAAAGATTTACCTGCTTTTCCTCCTTCTTACCAAGACTAGCTGGTTATAAGCAAGTGCTCTGTTTCCTCTGAGGTTCTGCCAAAATAACCCTGCAGGTTTATTTTGCTTTAAAAGCTCTACTGCCAGCCACACCAAGGGAAATAACAATATCAAATGTCTTAGGTTGGTTTCCTCAGAAGCAGACTCTGGGATAAGGATTTGGGGGAAAGAGATTTATGACGAAGTGGTCCCAGAAAACACAACAGGTGAAATGTGAAGAAGTGAGAGTGAAAGGAAGAGTGGGTATTGGGGCAAATCCCAGGTGATTACCCAAGGCCACGGGGTTGCTCTCCAGATGGTGAAGGTCACCCTTCAACATTGTCCCCACCAGGGCAAGGGCAAGGAATTTGCACCCTCCCATTCCTCACCCATCAGTCATTGGTAAAGGGCTGCCCCTGGGGAGCATTTGATTCCCGAGCTCTATGTGCACTATAAAAGTTAGTTCCAGCATCCAGGGGCAGTCCTCTGGCAGTTGCTGTGAGGGGGGCGTATCATGGACAGGGGTGAATGGGCTTGGAGAAGGATGAGGCACCAACTGTGTCCCTTAGAGCTATGCTGAGGAATGCTCCCAGGTGTATCTGTCCTCCAGAGCTCCTGCAATCAGCCCTGTGTTCTTGTTCCCGATTCCTGTGTGCAAGAGGCTTCTTCTTGTCATTTAAACCTCTTCTTCAGCCCAGGAGGCCCCCCTCTCAGGGTCAGTTAGGCCTGGCAATGGCCATGAGCTGTGGGCCTTTTAGTCTCGAGTGGGTAATTTACTTCTCAGGGGATTTGAAAAGATTGCCTCTTATGTCAATTTTCCTCGGGCTCTGCACCAGCAAAGTCACCTAAGGGCGTCCCCCTGCACTTCCCGCCTCTTAGTGCCAGGTATGCAGAATGTGCCTGATACATGTTCCTTAATTATGAGGAAGATGGAGAGGGGATACTTACAAAATTAGAGGTGATTAAGGTCATTGAAGGGTCACCATTTGGGGAACATTTTCTTCCAGTAGAAGCTTTCATATTGCCCAACTGATTTGCCGTTAATATGAGCAGGGATTTTGTTTTGCTTTGTTTTTAATCTTTGTTTCTTCCCTTTGCTTCTATATAAAGGGAGTTTATAGATGTAAACATTCTAGAACAGGATGCACATTCTCTTGGGTCCAGCAGGTTTATGGAGACCTGTTCTCCTTTTCACATATGTATGATTTACAGTAAAACATTCCTACAAGTCACACAAGCAAGCTCAGGCAAAAATCAAGTTCTTCCATTTGCTGGTTCCAACATTTTGTATCCTAATAAATTCATGGTGAAACTAATCCAGCTGTCTTCTCGGAAAATAAAAAGTTTGAAAGAGGGCTGCTACTATTCATGGCCATGTAATAGTTTGTTTTATACTGCATGGAGTCGAATAGTTATAAACATGAAAGCAGCTGGCAATAAATGACTTTACGACAGCTATTTCAAAGGTATAATGAAGAAAACAAAAAGAAACCAAGTTATTACTTATAATTATAGTGCCTCAGTGAGTTCGCACACCACACTCCAAACACTTCACTGGCCGTTTCTATGTGATCTCATGCACAGTCTCCTACAAAGAACCTTGGCCTTTGGGTCAGTTAGCCTTGTGGGTGGGATGGGCACTGTAATAGTGTTTGCACTTTTGAATGCAGTTTTTGAAGGAGACGGCATCCTTTTACTATATTCACCCATGCGATGGGGAAAAAAATTGAATTATTGACTATTCTCCACTGTTAAAGAGATTTTATATTGAAAAAAACTTTAAGAGGAGCAATTTG
This sequence comes from Homo sapiens, assembly GCF_000001405.40. Classification (NCBI taxonomy): domain Eukaryota; kingdom Metazoa; phylum Chordata; class Mammalia; order Primates; family Hominidae; genus Homo; species Homo sapiens. The sequence goes on from NC_000020.11 coordinate 15,420,679, forward strand.
GTAGTATTTTTAAAATTTTAAATGTGCTTCTTCTTTAACCTAATGGTTAAGTGGGTTAATTTTATTTCTAGGAATAGATCCTACCAGAATATATTAGGTAGAAACATCTAGAGTGTTGGTTGTAACGCTGGATATGGGAGTTCTTGCCTGGAATCCCAGCACTTTGGCAGGCCGAGGCAGGAGGATTACTTGATGCTAGGAGTTGGAGACTAGCCTAGATAGCATAGTGAGACCCTCGTCTTTCCGAAAACTTAAAAAAATTAACCAGGCATAGTGGTGCGTGCCTATGGTCCCAGCTACTTGAAAGGCTGAGGTGGGAAAAGTTTAATAGTTTCAGTTTGAGGCCAAAGTGAGCTGTGATAGTACCACTGCATTTCAGCCTGGGCAATAGAGTGCCGTCCTTCCTCTAAAAAAAACACAAGGGTGCGGTGGCTCATGCCTATAATCCCAGCATTTTGGGAGGCTGAGACAGGCGGATTGCTTGAATCCAGAAGTTAGAGACCAACCTGGCCAGCATAGTGAGACCTTGTTTCTACAAAACATGCAAAAATTAACCAGGTGTGGTGGCATGCACCTGTAGTCCCAGCTATTCAGGAGGCTGAGGTGAGAGGATCACCTCAGCTCAGGGAGGCTGAGGCTGCAGTGAGCCATAATCCTGCCACTGCACTCCAACCTAGGTGACAGAGTGAGACTCTGTCTCAAAACCAAAACAAAACAAAAAGAATATGGGTTGCCAGGTTGCATGTTACAGCAAAATTTACACACAGCCTACATATTCATCAATGTGGCAGTAGTTAAATAAACATAGTATAATCATACCATAGACTAGAATATGCTATTAGAAACATATGAGGTAGATCAATATACACTGACATTGAATGATCTCCTAAGACCTACTACATGAAAAAAGGCAAGTTCCAGAACATAAAAACCAATGTAAGCTCCAATTTGTATAGAAGAAAAATATGGCGATGCTTGTATAGATCTTATAACTTAATCATTTATTCATTTATCCACACAACAGATATTTATTGAGTTCCAGACACCATTCTAGGTGCTGGTGATACAGCAATAAACAAAGCAAAGGTCTTCCTGGGAGTTTGCAACTCAGGAAAGAGGGAATTGATGTTGGGGAGACTGTGAACAAGCAAACAACTGTGTGTCAGGTGGTGATGGGAGTTGTAAAGAGATACAAAGCAGGCTAAGCAATAGAGAGTAATTTAGCTGGAGGCTAGGAAGACCTCTTCGAGGAGGTGACATTTGATCAAAGATCTAAAAGGAACAAGGGAGAAAACCAGGGAGTATTTGGGAAATGGAGTATGCCAGACAGAGGTGACAACAAGGTCAGTGGCCCTGGAGTAGAATCATGCTTTGTGCACTTGAAGAACAAAAGGAGACCAATGTGGCTGGAACTCAGGAGCAAGGAAAAAGTGGAAGGGAGGGGCTAAGGAAGCGAGGATTGGAGGTTATGGTTGTGATTTTGAATTTTATTAAAGCATGATGGGAGGTGATTACAGGGTTGAGTTGAGGAAGAGGACATGACACTATTTAGTCTTTAAAATGTAAATGAATGCAGCGGAAGGATTCTCACTCTACTCTTGGCAGTGATGGCCTCAAGGAGGGTGTTCTCAGCGAATTAGAGGAGAGAAAGCGTGTGGCTGTAAGAGAACTGTTCTCACTGAGATCTGCCTATACCTGTCTTGTTTTAGCCTTGTATTCATGTGTTATTTGTGTAATTAAAAAATAGAATCAATTACTCTTTATACGAGATAAAGAAATCCTTTAGTATTCCTTTCTGTGACCTTGGACAAGTTTTCTTTCTTAGCTTTTCTCTTCTCCATGTTTATAGAAAGTGGGCAATCTGTTTTTGATCACAGGCTTGTTCATGGGAATGAATCAGATAATGCACATAGAGCTCTGAGCCCAGTGCTCAGCACATTTCGGTAATTCAAGAAATGACAACAATTATTGCTGCAGTGCTGCTGCCTCCCATGTCCAAACACTGTGAGGCATTCAGGATACTATAAAATTGCCTGTCTCTCTATCACCTTTATCTTGAGCTATAGAGAAGGATAAGAGGCTGTTTCATAGCATCACAGAATTTAATAGCCAAATAAGCCATCTAGCCCAGCTCTGCTCCTTTTATAGATGGGGATAGAGAGGTGCTGAGGGGATATACTGTTGGCTCCCAGACCTGTAGCTAGTGAGTGACCTGTGCTTGTGCTTTCCATGTCAAATCTTTATTTCCTGCATTGGTATTTTCCTAACTTTGGTCATTTACATTCCATCTTCTGGTTTACCTAATATTCTAATTGACTCTTTAAGCAATTTTATTTTCAAAGGAAACTTTGTATCATTGTCATAAATGGAAAACAAGCATTACTTGTTATGATAGATTATAATAACTTATAGTTTTAGCATAGTTATATCATTGCCATTACTACAGTAATGCTATATAACCAGCACTCAAAAACTCAGTAATGTGCAATAGTAAGCATTTCTTGCTTACATGGCTATGGGTTGGTTGGGGCACAGCTGATCTGAGACTGAGTTTACTACATCTACTCCACTTGTCTGTCAGCCTCCCTGGACCAGTAGCTACATGAGGCGTGTTCTTATGGTATAGTCTTCTCATTGTTCTCCTCCAAAGACAGGAATTTAAAAGTTGAAACCTAAATGTCACGTCCATTATTATCCCATTGGCCAAATCAAGTCACATGCTCAAGTCTATCATCAGCGGGATGAAGAAAAATATATCCCCTCTGTCTTAGTCAGCTCAGGCTGCTATAACAAATACCATAGTCTGAGTGGCTTAAACAACTTATATTTCTCACAGTTCTGGAGGCTGGGAAGTCCAAGGTCAAGGTGCCAGCAGGTTTGGTGTCTGTCAAGAGCTCTTTTCTTGGTGTGTAGACTGCTGTCTTCTTTCTGTGGCCTCATATAGTGGAGAAAGAGATAATCTTCCTGGTGTCTCTTCTTATAAGAGCACTGATCCCATTCATGAGGGAAGGGCTCCACCCTTATCCCCTAATTACCTCCCAAAGGCTCCACCTCCTAATGCCATCATATTGGGAATTAGGTTTCAGCGTATGGATTTAGGGCATGGACACAACATTGCATTTATACTACTCCCCTCGTGGAGTGTCTTACTCGGTTCGGGATGCATAACAAATTACTATAGACTGTGATTTAAACAACAAGCATTTATTTCTTACAGTTCTGGAGGCTGGGAATCTAAGATCAGGGTGCCAGCATAGTCAGATTATGGTGAGAGCCCTCTTTCAGGGCTCAAGTTGCAGACAGCCAACTTATCCTTGTATTCTCACATGGTGGAAAGAAGAGCTAGGTAGCTCTCTGACCTCTAATGTCCTCTAGTGGCACTAATCCCACTCATGAGGCCTCCACCCTCATGACCTAATCACCTCCCAAAGGCCCCACCTCCAAGCACCATCACAGTGGGACCAGAGCTTCACCACGTGAATCTTGTGGGGGACACAAACATTCAGTCTATTGCAGAGGAACTGCAAAATTATATGGTAAAGGGTATGTGTAGAAGGAGGGATGAAGACTTGGGAAAAATGTAAATATCACATTTAAATGGGTAATGTCCATCTGTTTACCACCTCAAAATATCTTTCATACTCCTAGAGTTAGGCATACCATGGTTTGAAAATGCTGAAGTATATACTGCACCCTAGTTAACGGCATGATGGCACAACCCACTATGCTGATAACCAACATGTAGAGAAAAGAGTGGGGCCAAGCACAGTGGCTCATGCCTGGAATCCTGGCACTTTGGGAGGCCAAGGCAGGAGGATCAGTTGAAGCCAGGAGTTTGACACTAGCCTGGGAAACATAGTGAGACCTCGTCTCTACAAAAAATAAAAACAAATTAGCCAGATGTGGTGATGAATGCCTGTAGTCCCAGCTACTTAGGAGGCTGAGGAGGGAGAATGGCTTGAGCACAGGACTTTGAGGCTGCAGTATGATAGGACTGCACCACTGTACTCCAGCCTGGGCAACAGAGTGAGACCCTGTCTCTGAGAAAAGAAAAAGAAGGGAAAGAATGGTATTCTGAATTTCATTGTTTCTAAGATGCACATGTTCTCATATTCTAACTTACTTGAACTAGGATAACTCTTATATTTGAGGTGTTTTACAATCACACATAGTTGTGATGAAGCTTCTCTGCCTATACACATACACACTTGGTTGTCATTTCTGGCGGATTGGCTGGGCAACTGCCATCCCTTGACTTTCAGCTAACCAACCAATTAGGGGCCGCCTGAGGAGGAGGTATGTGTCTTGACTGTTGTCTGAAACCCTTTGTTGGAAGCTCTGGCATGAAAAAAGAAAGAGCTACGCGCAAAACTTTCAGAGAGGGTGGCAGTGGTTTGGAAGAAAAGTGCAGAGCCAACAGTGGGTCAGTCATTAAGGACTGGAGCAACACCATCATTCTTGAGGGTATGAGGATAAAACTGTGGAAAACTCCTATCTATGACTCTGAGTTGAAAAGTGATTCATAAGTACTGGATCCTGAATGTGAGGAAGTTTTAGGAAACAAACAATTTATCTCCTTTTTATCCATGCTGTAGAGGAAGATGTGCTTAAAAATTATCTACATAAATCAACAATAGCAATTTCAATGAGTATGCAATGAAAATCCTAAATGATAAGAAAGCATGTGTTATATTTTAACTGGTGGAGCTTTCTCTTCTTAGTGGTCCACAAAGTAACACAAAATAATGGTGTTTCTTACAATTGACAGCTTGCTTGAGTCAGTGAAATGTGATATATAATGAAAAACACTTAAATGGAAGGTATATCAGGTAGCATGGTTTTGCTTGCAAATAATGGGAAATCTAACTAAAACTGACTAAACAGTAAGGAATGTGTTGGCTAAGCAATTGAAAAATTCTAGAGGTTAAGAGCACTTTACAGTTAATTTACACCAACAGGTCAATGGTGGTCAATAAACTCTTCATCTTTCTATTCTTGTGGCTATGGAGGGGAAGGTATGCTGCTTATTTAGGTCAGTCAGCCCCTTCCGATGGAGCTGAAGGTGGAGTCATTTCTACCCAGACTGCAAGACTGCTGTGTAAAAGTGGATGGGATGACGATGGATGAGCAAGAGAGAAAGAAATTCCCACTTTGCAAGAATGCCTAAACTGAGAATCAAGGGTCAGAGAGAAGCAAGTGGTAGGGATGATGGCTTAGGGTTTATTGTGTATGTTTTGAGACACTGTTAGGGTCAAGACAGAGAAGGCTGAGGAGCATTTCCTTCCTTACCCTTAAATTACTTAGACAGAAAGGGAAGAAATGAAGACGGACTTTCAAGGGAATGGGAGACAGAGTCTACAGCCTTAAGGATTTCAGTGCTTTTCACTGCGGAAGGCCGCAGGGTCCTCTGCCTAGGAAAACCAGAGACCTTTGTTCACTTGTTTATCTGCTGACCTTCCCTCCACTATTGTCCTATGACCCTGCCAAATCCCCCTCTGCGAGAAACACCCAAGAATGATCAATAAAAAAAAAAAAAAAAAAGGATTTCAGTGTTTTTGCAAATCTGCTTGATATCAACATGTTGGGCTATAAAAGTATTTCCCACTTGGTGGCCCAACCTATAATTTCACATAAGAAAAAATTCTCCACTCTTAAGTCAAATTTATTTTTATTTTTATTTTTTAAGACACGGTCTCACTCCTGTGGCCCAGGCTGGAGTGTAGTGGTGGAATCATGGCTCACTGCAGCCTCAACATCCTGGGCTCAGGTGATTCTGCCACTTCAGCCTCCTGAGTAGCTGGGACTACAGGCATGTGCCACCATGCCCGGCTAATTTTTTGTATTTTTAGTAGAGGCAGGGTTTCACCATGTTGCCCAGGCTGGTCTCTAACTCCTGCTCTAAAGTGATTTGTCTGCCTCGGCCTCAAATGATTTTTTTTTGTTTTTTGTTTTTGTCTCCCTAGAATTTCTGATGGCTGGGTGCTCAGGCCTGATTAGCATGGAGACATATTGCTCCTGAAGTTTGCTGAAAGGAGAATCTGGAGGCTCACAAATTTGGTTGCTAATGTCATTCTCCAAATTCTAGAGGTGATTGCTGAGTTATGTGCAACACCTGGCATGGGTTTTGGTACAATTTATCATTCCTCCATGGGATAGTATTTGCATGGAAGGTGGTTATATTAAATGCAGCTTTGAAATAAAGAAATCTCATGCTACTCACTTCTGATGGCCCCATCAGAAGTTTATTATGGCAGAGAACACAAACTATGTGCTGCAAAAGTTGTTAGTTTGCTTGTTCACTTGCTCTTTCTCAATCTCTCTCTCCCTGTCTCTCTCTGTCTGTCTGTCTCTCTCTCTCTGAGTAATAAAAAATGATTAATGGAGTAGGCTTAGTTTAGATGAATTCTGTGCAAAGTTATTTTACATAAAATGAATTTTTTTCCACAATACTCTATTTCCATCTCTGCTTTATCATTGCCTTTTTGTTTGAATTAATGCAATAATATTACCAAAGTCATCCTCCATTACACTACCATTTGCTCCCACATTCAAGGCAACGATGTCATTTCCAGATGAAACTATTTGTCCTTGTTAAAACAGACAAGGCAGTTGGTACATTCAGACTCAATTACTAAGTTGCATGATTGATTCCAAGACAGAACTGAGAGCTAAGGCAAATGAAACTTGTCATTAACTGTGCAGTATGTTTTTCTTCTGCTAGATCTGATAGGAGAAAGATTCACATAGCTGGATCTAAGAGGGAAGCGAAAGGGAGTTAGCCCAGATCAGTTCCCAGAAAACAGACTCTAAGACAGAGTTTAGAATGCTAGATGTTTATTAAGGAGTGCCCTTAATCAATACCTGGGGAAGAGAGAGAGAGGAAGCAGGAGTAGGCTGAAGGAGAAGGTGAGCTGGATGTAGACCCAATGATGGACCCTACAGACACAGTGAGGAACTCTGAAGCTGGAAGGACCCTTCAGTGTTGTACTGATGAGCCAAGGTGGCCAGGCCTTATACCACTTCATTGATCAGTTACTGGTGTGAACTGTCCTGAGCAGGAGCATGATTCTGGGTGAGGTGGCTTTTTATAGCTGAGGCAGTCCTTGAAAATGTTGATAGTTGAAGGCTGTCTGCTGGGTTCTAGGTCCTAGACTCAAGGTCAGTGATTCTCAACAAGGGGTGATTTTTTCCCCCTGGGAACATTTGACAATGTCTAGAAATATTTCTGATTAGCACAACTGGAGAGATGCTACTGATATCTAGCTGGTAGCATCCAGGGGTGCTGCTAAACTTACCACAATGCACATAGCCTCCAAGAACAAAGAATTATCTGGTCCAAAATATCAATAGTGCTGAGGTTGGGAAGCCTTGCTCTGGAGCAACAGAACCTGGTGGACATCACAGCATCCATGCCAGGAGTCATCACTAATCAAGATATTACTACTTCTCAGACACAATGCTCATGTTCTTTATTTCTCTTACTCCTTCTACAAACCCTTTGAGGCAGGCCTCAGAGTTTCCATTTACTAAAGAAAAAAGCAGTGCTCAGAGTAGTTCAGTAAACTGACCCACGTTATGAATTGGAAGGACACCAAGATGTGAATTAAAGTGGGCCATCTTGTTGAAAACATTTTGCTATCTTCTGGCTTTCCCTTTGAAAGAGTTCAGAACATACAACCCAAAAATGTGCCCCTCTGGCACATTGACTATTTTGAGTCAAAGGCACGTAAAAAAAGGGCAGGTGCAAGAAGAACACTCTTGCAGTCCTTTTTAAAAGCAGGAGATAAAATTTCCAGTTGAAATATATCCTCCCTGTACTAGAAGAAAAGTGTCATTCTTATCATCAAGGATGGGAAGTTGAGGTCACTGGAAATCTGTCCAAACACACCTTGTTAAACTAACTCTTGTCTTTCTTATCACTTCACCCAATTAACTACCCTAGCCCAAGCCCCTTTACCTTGTCACATCTTCATAATCTACTACTCTTTGTCCAATTTAGTATATGTGTTTAACTTTAACTGCATCTTTCAGTCATCATTTTCTTATGAAGCCTCCAATGCCACATACAACTTGAATTAAATACATTTGTATTGTATTTTTTTTCTTGTTGATCTGTCTTGTGTCAATTTAATTATCAGCCACAACTGAAAAACTCTAGGAAGGTAGAGGTAAAATCTTGCCTTCCCTACACCTTGAGGGCTCAATGCAGAGGTTGTCAAACATTTTTTTTTTCTCTCCAGACATGAGATACATGATGCTCACATGTTCAGTTTGCTCCCATGGAATTCCTGGGGCTCAAGCTGTAAACTCACTTTTATCCTACTTAAAAGGTACAGTGGAACATGACTGGCATGGCACAAATATGGGGATGAATCTGAATCCTCTCTGATTTGTATTTTTAAGTAGACTGTTCCTGAACTCTGAGTCCTTTCTAATCGTAACAAATATATAGTAAGCTTGCAGTTGATTTTCATACGGAGAGTAACGCCTATTGATAGTGTTGGTGAATGCCTGTAAAGAGACTACATCACTTTCAGAGTCTGTGTTACACTGTTGCTTCATGATCTGTATCACTGAATGATTAAGTCATTTAAGAACATTCTTCAGATGTTATTGGCACCTCAAGAACCGTCAGAATCAAAGCATTGACTCATAAATTTAATTTAAAAAGAGCAGCTACTATGTTCCAGAAACTGTTCTACTTTCTCATTATAAACAGTAGAATTCACTATTAATAGTAAAGGCTTCCACAGGAGCAGAAAAAAGCATATATCATTTTACAGACATACAGTTGAGCTTAACAAAGTCAATTTGTACTCTCTCTGAAACAAAATCACATAAATTTTGACGTTTTTAATAGAGCATCATGCAAAGGGAATAAACAAACATAGGCTATGCAATAGTGTTAATAGAAATAAAAGGCAGTACACATTTAGCCAAAAGATATAAACAAAAAGGACTTAGATCTTTTATTATTATTGACCTCAATAGTAATGTTAGTTATTATGGTCCATAGCAGCTGCAGTTTTTAGATTCTAGCATAGTGCCAGTAACTTAAAAAAAAATTCTGTCATTAATTCCAACAGCACATTTCTTTTTTCACTTTTTATTTTATAGATTTAGGGGGTACAAGTGCACTGTTGTTACATGAATATACTGTGTAATGGTGAAGACTAGGCTTTTAGTGTAACCGTCACTCTAACAGTGTACATATACTGTACCCTTCAGGTAGTTTCTCACCCCTTGCCTCCTTCCACCTTTCTGAGTCTTCAATGAATTATTCTACTCTCTATGTCCATGTGTACTCATTTTTTAGCTACCACTAAAATGAGAACATGCAGTATTTGTCTTTCTGTGACTGAGTTATTTCACTTAAAATAATGGTCTCTAGTTCCATCTATATTGCTGCAAAACACATGATTTCATTCTTTTTTGTGGCTGAGTAGTATTCCACCTACCATCTTTTCTTTATCCAGTTCTCCACTGATGGACACTTAGGTTGACTCCATATTGTTACTATTGTGAATTTGTATTGTATTTTTTTTCTTGTTATAGATAGCACTGTGATAAATGCAGGAATAGAGGTTTTTAAAAAAATAATAATTTCTTTTCCTTTGAGGAGATACTGAGCAGTGAGATTGTTGGATGGAATGGTAGTTCTATCTTTAGTTCTTTGAGAAATCTCCGTACTGTTTTCTGTAGAGGTTGTACTAATTTACATTCCCACCAATAGTCCACAACACATTTCTGTATGGTGGGCATTATCTTCCTTTTACAATTGAAAAATACAGACCAGAAAGAGTAAAACAGCTTGGTTGAATTTACACAGAAATCCCTTGGCAGAGAAAGTTGCCATACCCAGACCACTTTCTATAGCTAGAAAGCCTAATTTAGAGTAAAATGTACATTTATATTTGTCAATTCATTTTTTTCAATCAAATTCTCTGAACACTGCTAAGCAAAATATGGCATAAGCAGTACTGTGCTGGTAAATGTTTAAAGACTGGCTGTCAAAAAAGGGGTACATATTATATAAGCTTCTTTTAAATTGTACTGACATAAAGAACATGTAGCACACAATTTACATATAATAATAAATAATATATGTAATACTCTTTATTATACATTCTAAATAGTTTTTTGATTTTCACAGAATGCTTTTGTTGAATTTTACCTAAAATGTGTATCAATAGCCAGTCTGTGGTTTTAACTGTCCCACAATATGGGTCATGAATGTTAATTGATGTTTTCAGATTTTAAGCAACTGATGTGACATCAGGTACCATGGAGCTGGAAAGAGAGACTTGTGTAGTATTTTACCATACACATACGACAGACACACATAATCTCAAGAGCATAGGTAATAGTCAAATGTGCAAAGTAATTAGAAAGGGATGAGTTCTGACTATTGGTTATCTGTGTTTTGATATAATTTATTTCATTGTAGGTTTATATAATTTAATTTCTTAATAATAACTTTAACAATTGCCTCACAAGATTCCTGAAAACTTAGCAGTTGGTTCTCGTGAGCTGATGTAACTGCTGATAGGGAACAGTTACCAGTTAATCAAATATCCCCATTTCCAGTGTCCCCTACTCCAACTCATAGCTCTGAATATGTAAGTAGAGGGCATCCCATTATCAAACAAAATAGATGTTGAGAAAGATGATGTTGCGTAGAGTTGTTTCTTTAATATTCATTGTTATTTTTGTGGTTTATTCACAGGCATTTCCCTGCATCTCAACAGGCATTTATGGTAAGTGATACAGCTTTTGATGATGTTTGTATTTCTTTATTTTGCTGTTAAATGCAGAGATTCAGTGAAAAAATAAGAGGTTCTCTGATGAATATATTTTGCTGTGATTTAGAGACTAAAAATGCTCGTCAAATCCCATTAAAGAATGTCATGAGGCTATTCAGATTCTTTTGGGTTCTTGAATTTGGTTATATCGGGTATCACATGAAATTATTTGATACATTGTGGCTTGATGTCTTTTGTTAAACAAAAAATTTGGTTCCAGTAGGATTGACTTCTAATATTGCTTTGTTTAATGAAATCAAATTTCTTCTCAGTAGAAAGCATAATGTACATAGAGTTTAGCAGTATCATTATTTTGTTGCTATTTACAAAATAATAGAAAAATTAAAATGCATACATATGCATATATCTGTGTTTTCAAATTTTAAAAAAGTCCAAAGAAGTGACTTTTACTAAATATGAAGAATTTTAATAAACTGCAAATTTTTTTTTCTGCATAGTGATGGATTGTGTTAAGTAGTGAATGCCTCACTTACAGATGGAAGCAAAATGTTTCTTAATCACTTGCTTTCACTAGCCTAAAGCTCTCTAAATATTCTTCCACCTACCTACAAGAACTTTTTTATACTTTTTTTCAGACCATTAATAAGTCTGTTTTATAATGTTAAAGATTTTCTGATCTAAGTGAAATAGATTACATTCTTTCTGAACTTAAACTTCTCACATGGAAGCTGTCAGCTGAAGCACAAAATATGTAAAAATCTAACATATATGTATATATTTTAAATTCATTATTACAATGAAGGACTACCTAGATTGATGTCAAAGGTAGGAGCTTTACTTTTTTTCTTCATCTGGTATTTCTTTTGAAGGTCTTGAGCAAAATAAAATGAGAAATGTAGGCCTGAACCAAATTAAGTGGGAAAGGATTTTGTCACACTATTTAAAAATTTAAGGTTTCCTCCTTCAATTTAAGCCTTCTTCCTCTCCAGATTCCCCTACAGCCTGTCTTTGTGGAAACAGGATGAGCACTGGGCTGGAGGGGGCTAAACTAGACCATCTGCACAATTATCCCCATCATGGCCATTCTTTCTGCCTCACAAATGCCCAATAACAAACCTTAAATATTTGCTTAAAGGAAGTATTATGTACAAAGTTATGCCTGGCAAATACCCTAACTCTTTATTTCGCCTTATGTAGAGTCAAACCAAACTTCATTGCAGAAATGGTTTTTATTATGAAAATGTTCTTTCATTGCAATCTTGATTTTCCTTGCCAAAAAAACAAACAAAAACCTAATGCCTACACCAATACTGTATACATCATTTTCTATGTTTATTACCTTGTCAGAGAGTTGAAGTATGTTTTACTTCTGAGAATCTTATGGTAATGTGTTAAGAGCTTCAAAAAGGGAATTGATGTAATATATATGGTATACTATAAGTAGGGGGGTGGTGGGAAAGGAAAACAGAAAAGCAAAGGAAAATAGGGAAGGACCATAAAATTAGAGGCTCCAATATGATCATGTCAATAGATGCAGAAAAAGCAATTGATAAAATCCAGCATCCTTTATGATAAAAACCCTCAACAAAATGGGCATAGAAGGGACTTACATTAAAGTAATAAAAGCCATATATGACAAACCAACAACCAACATCATACTGAATGGGGAAAAGTTAAAAGCATTCCCCATGAGAACTGGAACAAGACAAGGATGCCCATTTTCACCACTTGTTTTCAACATAGCACTGGAAATTTTAGCCAGAGCAATCAGACGAGAGAAAGAAATAAAAGGCATCCAAGTCAAAAAAGCAGAAGTTAGACTGTTGCTGTTCTCTATAATATGATCATTTACCTAGAAAACCCTAAAACTCACACAAAAAGCTCCTCAATCTGATAAACGAATTCAGGAATGTCTCAGGATACCAAATCCATGTACAGAAATCAGTAGCACTGCTATAAACCAACAACAACCAAGTTGAGAATCAAATCAGGAACTCAATCCCTTTCACAAGAGCTGCAAAAAAAAAAAAAAAAAAAAGATAAAATATTTAGGATTATACTTAACCAAGGAGGTGAAACATCTCTACAAGACAAACTATGAAACACTGCTGAAAGTACTCAGAGATGACACAAACAAATGGAAATATATCCCATGCTCATGGATGGGTAGAATCAGTATTGTGAAAATGACCATACTTCCTACAGATTCCCATCAAAATACCATCATCATTCTTCACAGAACTAGGAAAAAAAAGCTGAAAATTCATATGGAACCAAAAAAACAGCCTGCATAGCCAAAGTAATATTAAGCAAAAAAAAAAATCTGGAGGCATGACATTACTCAACTTCAAATTATACTACAGGTCTATAACTAACAAAACAGCATGGTACTCCTATAAAGCAGGCACATAGACCAACAGAACAGAATAAAGAATCCAGATATAAAGCCAAATACTTACAGCAAACTGATCTTCAACAAAGCATACAAAAACATAAATTGGGGAAAGGATATCCTATTCAATAAATGGTGCTGGGAAACCTGGCAAGCCACAAGTAGAATGAAACTAGATCCTCATTTCTCACCTCACACAAAAATCAACTCAAGATGGAGCAAAGACTTAAATCTAAGACCTGAAACCATAAAAATTCTGGAAGAAAACTCTTCTAGACACTGGCTTAGGCAAAGAATTCATGACTAAGACCTCAAAAGCAGATGCAACAAAAACAAAAATAAATAATTGGGACCTAAATTAACTAAAAAGCTTCTGCACAGCAAAATAAATAATCAGCAAGCAGACAATCCACAGAGTGGGAGAAAATATTTGCAAACTATGCATCTGACCAAGAACTAATACCCAGAATCTATAAGGAACTCAAACATATCAGCAAGAAAAAAAAAATCCCATAAAAAATGGGCAAAGGACATAGACAATTCTCAAAAGAAGATATGCAAGCAGCCAACAAACATGTGAAAAAATGCTCAACCTCACTAATTATCAGGGAAATGCAAGTTAAAACCACGATGAGATACCACCTTACTCCTGCAAGAATGGCCATAATTAAAAAGTCAAAAAACAATAGATGTTGTGGTGGATGTGGTGGAAAGGGAACACATTTACACTGCTGGCGGGAATGTAAATTAGTACAACCATTATGGAAAATGGTATGGAGATTCCTTAAAGAGCTCAAAATAGAACTACCATTCCATCCAGCAATCCACTACTGAGTATTTATCCAGAGGAAAAGAAGTCGTTATATGAGAAAGACACTTGCACATGCAAGTTTATAGCAGCACAATTCACAATTGCAAAGATATGGAACCAACCTAAATGCCCATCAACCAATGAGTAGATAAAGAAAATGTGGTATGTATATACCCCATGGAATACTACTCAGCCATGAAAAGGAATGAAATAATGTCTTTTGCAGCAATGTGGATGGAGCTGGAGGCCATTATTCTAAGTGAAGTAACTTTAGAAATGGGAAGTCAAGTATTGTATGTTCTCACTTTGATGTTAGAACTAAGCTATGAGGATGCAAAGGCATAAGAATGATATCATGGACTTTGGGGACTTGAGGGTGACGGGTGGGAGGGGTTTGAGGGATGTAAAACTGTCTGTTGGATGCAGTGTACACTGCTTGGGTGACAGGTACGCCAATATCTCAGAAATTACCACCAAAGAATTTTTGCATGTAACCAAAAACCACATGTACCCCCAAAAATGTTGAAATAAAAATACAATTTAAAAAAGTTTAAAAAGGCATTTTACTTAATCACTATAATACAAAAAAGCAGAAGAAAACACATTTTCCAATACAGTAGACATAACTTAAAAATATTCAAGTATCTCATGAGATCTGTGGTATATTTATGTATCTATAATTCATTAACAATTCATCTTTCACTTAATAATAATATTTATTTGTTCCACACACAATGTAATAATTTAAACACACACACAAAAGAATTGTTAGATCATATTATATGGACATGTTTAACTGTATTGTGAAATACCAAACTGTTTTCTAAAGTGATTGAATCAATTTATACTCCTACCCACTCTACCCACTCCATTTGAAGATCACCATGTTCCCTGTCCTCCCCAGTGTTTGGTATTGCCAGTCTCTAAAATTGTTGCCAATTTACTGAGTGTGAAATTTTATCCCATTGTGGTTTAAATTTGCATTTTCTTGATTATTAATAAAGTAAACTTTTTAAATATCAAAAACAAAAGAGTCTCCAGAGTGGACAGTAAGAACTAACTAAAATCTAGAGTGGATCATGGTCCATTTTAATCTGTGAAGAATAGGGATTTCACCCTAGAGAGAGTAATGTGGTTCAAAATATAATAACTGATTCAGTACACCATTGTGGCGAATGGGAGGGAAATAGTGAAGATTGTCAGGCATGGCATTAATAGTGTGAGTCACATTAGCTGGCTTGGAGGGCTGTCACCAGGCAAGTTTAGTCATTTTCACAATGCTAGGTCAAAGAAAATACTTCTTCAGTCCTGGCTACTTGTCTCTTTCTCCTCTGTTTTTTGGTAAATTTACAAGTGAGACTGATATACACAAAGGTCGCATGCCATATTGCTTTTGGTTAGTCCCCCTGGGGTTGAAACCTAACTTTCCTTTTAGCTTCATAACCTTCTGTTTCAGTAACTTTAGATTGCTATGTCTCTGTGGTTTATAGACCATTCAGCATTATGCAACTTGAAAATTACTTCATATGTCCTGCATTAGTCCGTTTTCATGCTGCCGATAAAGAAATACCTGAGACTCCGTAATTCACAAAAGAAAGAGGTAATTGGACTCACAGTTCCACATGGCTGGGGAGGCCTCACAATCATGGTGGAAGGCAAGGAAGAGCAAGTCACGTCTTACATGGATGGCAGCAGACAGAAAGAGAGCTTGTGCAGAGAAACTCCTGTTTTCAAAACCATCACATCTCATGAGACCCATTAACTATCACAACAACAGCAAAGGGAAGACCCACCCACATGATTCACTCATCTCCCACTTAGTCCTTCCCACAATATGTGGGAATTATGGGAGCTACAGGAGGAGATTTGGGTGGGGACACAGAGCCAAACCATACCATTTATGGTTTATAGACCATTCAGCATTATGCAACTTGAAAATTATTTCATATGTCCCTGGTGAAGTTACAGCTTTCTCAGTCCTTGCTTCTTTCCCAGGATCTGTGTATTACAGACTAGTTTTCTTGCTCTTATTTGAAGCCCTCTTCCTCCTTCATTAACCAGATAAGTTTTCTTTCATCTTTTTTTTATTAGGGTTTGACGTAATATTCTATTTAAAGAAAGTGGTCCATAGCTGAAAAGAAAAATTTTACAAAGCAAACACAACTCCCAACATTTTTGTAAGTCATACTAGAATGGAGGTAGAGAAGGTTTTTAGAATCATTTCCTGGTGGCACTCTTTTTCTTTCTTGTTCCATATTCCAAATCTCACTAGAATTGTTTTTCTAAAATACCACTTGGTGCGTGCTTCCCATCTGCCCAGGAGCCTTTGCTCATATTCTATTGCTTGCAGATTGATGTTCACTCTTCCTAGCCTGAACAATGGGCACTTTCTATATCTCCATAAACTAGTGCTTTCAAAATGTGTGAGAGGGAGGGAAATTGGTGTGCTAAGGATGTAAATTGGTGTGCTAAGAAATTTATATATGCCTTTTCCTTTGCATCTTTAAAAGGGGGATTTAATTTATGGCAGTTCTTAAAGTTATTTGATGATAGAAACTAGTATATCCTCAACATTTCTCTGGACTATGTTTTCTTCAGAATATAGTTTGAGAAATTTCTTGGTACCCATTCATCATGGTTATATCTTCTGTGACCCACATGTACATGATCTGATGAATATAAGAACTTGCCATTGCACAGTGAGGTCCAATCTTGGGTCCCTTCCTGAAACTTACTCCTTAACACCTCTTCCCCAATGCACACACACCAAATTCGCACATACCATCACCACCAGTGTTGTCTATCTCATGCCCCAAACAGAAACATGCCAAGCACATTTAAGCAGACTGAAACATTTTTAAAAAGTTTTATTTTAGGTTTGGGGGTACATGTGAAGGTTTGTCACATAGGTGAACTTGTGACACAAGGGTTTGCTATACAGATTAGTTCATCACCCAGGTATTGAGCCCAGTGCCCATTACCTTTTTCTGCTCCCCTCCTTCCTCTCACCCTCCACCCTCGAGTAGACCCCAGAATCTGTAGTTCCCTTCTTTGTGTTCATGAGTTCTCATTATTTAGCTTTCACTTATAAGTGAGAACATACACTATTTGGTTTTCTTTTCCTCTGTTAGTTTACTAAGGATAATAGCTTCCAGCTGCATCCGTATTCCTGCAAAAGACATAATCTCCTTTTTTTTTATGGCTGCATGGTATTCCATGGTGTATATGTACCACATTTCCTTTATCCACTCTGTCACTGATGGGCATTTAGGTTGATTTCATGTCTTTGCTATTGTGAATAGTGCTGCAATGAACAGTCACATGCATGTGTCTGTATAGTGGAACGTTTTATATTCCAACAAAAATTAGCCATGGTAGTGGGCATCTATAATCCCAGCTACTCAGGAGGCTGAAGCAGGAGGATTGCTGGAACCCGGGAGGTGGAAGTTGCAGTGAGCCAAGATCACACCATTGCACTCCAGCCTGGGCAAGAAGAACAAAACTCCGTAAAAAAAAAAAAGAATGATTTATATTCCTCTGGGTATATAACTAGTAATAGAATTGGTAGGTCAAGTGATAGTTCTGCTTTGAGCTCTTTGAGGAGTCGCCATACTACTTTCCACAATGGTTGAACTAATTCACACTCCGACCAACAGTGTGTAAGTGTTCCCTTTTCTCTGCAACCTTGCCAGCATCAGTTATTTTTTGACTTTTTAAGAATAGCCATTCTGACTGGTGTGAGATGGTATCTCACCGTGGTTTTGATTTGCATTTGTCTAATGATAAGTGCATTGAGCTTTTTTTCATTGGCTTGTTGGCCACATGTATGTCTTCTTTTGAGAAGTGTCTGTTCATGTCCTTTGCCCACTTTATAATGGGGTTGTTTGTTTATCTCATGTAAATTTGTTTAACAGGCTGAAACTTGATCTGCAGGAAGTCTTCCTTAGGTATGCCAACCCTTGGTGGTCATTATACTTTCTGAAATTTTTTTAGCATTTGTGTCAGGACAATTATCAACTGCTTCCTCATGTTGCTCCATAGATTGCTGTTTATATATTCTGTGCTCACAGCCAGTTTGGAATTTAAAGAGCAGGAATTCACTTCTGCATATCCTTTGCACACCCAGTGCCTAGCAAAGCACTGTGTCTCTAGGAGAAGCTCAGCAAATATTTGGTTCATGACAGCAGTGATTGTAATCCAAATTGTTGCCTAACTGAAGATATAGAAATCAGAATTCTTGATTGGCAAAATAACAGGTAAAGAAAGCTACCCAGTTGGTATTTTCTTAATGGGCAAACATTTCTATTCTAGGAAAAACAAATGTGTTTTTAAAAGGCATTCTCAAACTGGAAGTTTGTATTTGTAGGTATGGCAGTGTCCACCCTGTCAAGGTAAAATGGAAACTCAAGAACTTATTCAGTTAGAGAGCCAAACTAAATACAGCATTTTACTTCAGTTAAAATAGAACCCCTTTGTGGTTTATTACAGCCCATGGAACAATGGTCACTCAGGAACATACAGGTCAGCTGGCCATCCAGGAGGCCCTGTTCTGACTTCTCCGAATGTACCCCAGACCCAGCCCATCTCTCCAGTAGCTGCCATTTCTCACACACCTGTTTGCTTTGGAGTTACCTTCACTTTTAGATTTATGCCCCAAAAGTCCACTGTAATCCTAGTTCTGCTATAATGAAATTTTGAGGATGGCAGAGCTACCTTTCAAATGGATTTTGTTATTTAATCACTGAGATTATTTTATAACAGGATAATTTCAAGAGTGAGCATACCCATTTCCTGGAAACTCGGACCTCAGCATCACACTCACAGTGTGTCTGGAGGACCTGGCCAGGCGCCAGTACTTTGGGGGTGCTCAGGACCCTGGCAGCTCTCCTAGCTTTCTCTCCCTCTGCAGCCCTATAGCCACAAACCATCAATTGCAGTGAAACCACCTTAGCCTTTTTGTAAGGCACAGCCTGAGGAATATCCTCCATGTGATTAACCTGATTTAAGGAGGAGACAGGATGAGAGCAGACACTGCCTTCTTTGAAGTTCCCCTGGAAGAGGCCAGACTTTTCCACTCTGACATTCAGTGAGCACTGTTGCTACTCCAACGTGACGTTTCCAGGATGGTTCCACAGGGCACCAGACCACCTGCTTACACTCAGGATGAAAAGCCTCGTTTGGTCAAATACCAAAGAAAGCCCTGTGCTACTTTTGGAAAAATAGATCCAGATGAGGCTTTCAGGGCTTGAAATCCCTAGATTCCTGTTAAAATTTTGCACTGGCCTCTAAAGCAGTCTCTAAACAGATCTGAACCTCCCTGATGGACATTTCAGATCTCAGGCGTGCTTTCTGCCCTTTGAGCCCTATTTTGACACTCTAATGCTAATAAATTTAACAAAAGAGGCTAGACATAATACATGGCAATGGAATTTTTACTGAGAAGTGAATGGCAAAAATGATTTTAGTCAATTTTATGAGAGTCAATATAGTTAACAGAAATCGACTCCTGGCTGAAAAGTGTATTCCGTGAGTACTTAAAAATTTGGAAAATATTTTCCCTGGAAAAAAAGAAAAACTTTGAAGTTTGCTTTCCAGGTATGACGTGGCATATGTAGAGAGGAAGGAATTTCAGACATTGAGTTATTGGCTGTAAATGTGAGGAAAAATTGAAGTGCAGCATAGCTTAGCTGAAGCAGCTCTCGTGTTTATCCAATATAGTTTTGTTATCAACGTGGAGTGCCTGTTTCTATCAGATCACCTGGTCTCTTTCTGCTATCCACCACATGCTGGCAGGCTGCAACTTTCTAATTGAATCCCTCATTTGCATTCAAGTTTGCTCTGCTTCTAACTGGTAAAAAGGAGACCAGCGCAATGTTATGTTAACCTTGTATCTACTTGGCAAATATTTTTATCAGTACATCTGTCTAGAGTCACAGACATGACTTGGAAAAAAATTAGGGCATTCTCCAACGGCAATGCCAAGGGCATGCCCTTCATCAGCTTTAAATGCTGACAGATTTGAGAAGGTGTGACAATCATTGCTGTGCATATTTACAGAGGAAGGAAGAGTTCTCTTATGTAATGCATTGGGAACCAGAGCAAAACTGACAAAATTATGCACCCCTTCCTTTTATCACCCTAATGGCTCTCCTCCTTCCTTTGGCTTTTTTCTCTTCCCTTTGATATTTCCATTTGCTTTAAAAACTTACTCTCAGGTGGTCTAATGATGACTCTTTTCACTGTCGTAAAATCTCTGCTCTGGCAACCTAAGTTTTTTATCTTGTCAAATTATTCCCACTGTAAGAAATGTTATCATTCTTGGCAAAGCAAAGTAACATTAGAATCAGTGTAACTTACTTCCCTTGGGAAAATGCAGTGCTGGGGCCAAGCCTATCTCTATCATAGCTCGTTTGAATATCACTTTATGAGCTAACACTTTTGAGACAGTGGAGAGACAACTTGACAGACAGCAAAATTCTGGCTATTCAATTGTTTCTAACCCTGAGTGCTTATCATTTGGACAGACAAGTTTAGCTAACATTCTCATTCACAGAAACATTGATACATACATCCCAGAAAATATGGTACAGACTCCTCTCGTGCTCTCCATACCCTACCCACGTCTTTAATATTAAAATGACATCAAACTAAGAACCCAAAGGACTAACTTCACTCTGGAAAGTAGTCTCAAGTGACCAACTACAAAATATGCTAGTTCAGTGTACATAAAAATGGCAGTGAAACCCATGGGCAGGATTCCTCTAGGGGACCTGACAAAAGAGATGAAAATCCTGGAAACTTAGTTTTTCTGGAATGCAGAGGCAGTGAGAAACCAGTGTCAGTCTTCCTGATGTTCTGTTCCAGATGAACAATTTTGGGACTTAATTAAAAGATTAAGTGTTTCACTATGCAATATATGCATGGAAGAAACTTGTATGTGGGCCCTCTAATTATATAAAAATAAATAATTAAAAAAGAAAACAAAAATTAAAAATAATTAAGTGATTCAAAAAGTAATAAAGATCACAACTGTCTGACTGTTTCTGGGGTTTGGATGTGCACTCCCTTGTAGTTGTGTCAAGGTAAAAGTGATTGAAGCCTGGAAGGCATCACTGAATTCCCACCCACCCCTTCCTCAGATGTATCACTTATTGTTATGCTATAATTTTTAAAAAATGATTTTCTGAATAGACGAAACATTGAAACAGTAAGCCTTTTAAGGAAATAGAAAAACTATGCTAGGAAATTACAGAGCCAATCCATTGAGCAGTAACTCTGGGAATATCTTTCAGGTACCTTGAAAAATAGGAGCACTATTAAGAAGCTCCTTCTAAAGAACTGTTTTGGAGTGTTGAAGAATTGTCCACACTTGGACTTTGATCACTGAAATAATTTCTACGTCCTTGCTTGTTTTTCTCATCTAGTCTTGAATGACATTCCTTTTCCTTGCTCCTTGTACATACTTGTGTCTAAAGGGTAAACGTAAATAAACATAGCCCTCTTCAAAAAGAACTTCAAAAATAATTTGACAGGTCTTAGAGAAGTCAAATGTGTTTAGCTCCTTAGGACAATGACTTTTATGTCAAATCCTTTTTGGTCAATGATACTCTTTTAAAAATGTATTGTGAAATGTATGTGAACAAGACCATATTAGTTAGGGTAAAGTTAAACTGTTCTAACAAAAAGACTCCGAAATAGACTGGCTTATTGAATATCATGTTTATTTACCACTCTGCTAACAGGAAGCATTCTGCTTGTGGAGGATTTGTTCCACTCTGTCATTCAAGGAGCCAGGAATCTACCATGGTGTCAATGCCTTCCCGAAGGTATTGGTCTCATTTACTTACCCGCCCTGGTGCTGGCAAAAGATGTGTATATGGCAAGCACACCCTCTGTCTAATGGTCCCTCTACTCAAAGTAGCATTCATCACTTCCACTCACCTTCCATTTAAGAGAAATTGGTCTTGTGACCAATGTCTGCAAAGGAGGTTGGAAAATTTAGTCTAGCTTGGGGTCTACACATCTGACTACAATTCTATTACATGGAAAGAAGGGAATATCACATTTTGATGGACTTCCAGATATTTACCACCCAAAGAGAAAAGAAAAACAAATTAAATCAACAGGTTGCTCGTAGATAAATTAGTTTAGGGGCAGTGTCAGCCACCCGTAATGGGTACTTGCTTTGCAAGAATATTTGGTAATTTTGATAGCATATACTTTATTAAAATGTCTTTATAATGCTGAGTGCTTACAAATTTGAAAGTATGAAATTTTTAAGGCATAAGGACAGTGATCTATCTTTAGTTGTCAGACACTATATTTAGATATTTAGACCTCACCTCAATTGTTTACATTTTTTGGTACCAAAACTCCTTGCAAAATTTTCAGATACATCAGTGGAAACTAAAATCAATACATTGAGAATGAATACATAATTGCATTATTTATTACATTCTAATTCTGGCCCATTTCCATAGAAATCCTTGGAGGCATCAATCGCAATTTGTTTCTGCAACACTCTAAGGCTGTGGGGCCACAGTCATCCATAAACATACCAGGAGTCCTGAGCAGATATGGATTTACATCCTGTGTACCTAGGAACTCTGGGGAAATGTGAGTTTAGGGCAGAGTCTGATCATAGTTGAGTGGAAATATTACAGAGAAAGAGAGAGAAAATGATCATATGAATATGAATCTAAATCTCCTGGGTAGTCAAAGGAAATCTCCTTAGAATCTTTAGAGCTGAAGATAATAGTTCATACCTGTTTCCCATTTCAGCCGTGAACAACAGGGAGAGTTTCCTACAAGTGACTGCAAATTGAACTGAAATTAACAAAATCGACATGAAATTGCCTCACTTTGTACTTTATTGACCTGACTTCATTTCTAAATGTTTTAAATGAATCCAGTTTTACCAAAATGTTCCTAGATCTTCTTAAGCAATTGCGTTTTTGGTAAAATGCACTTTCCCTTTACTTGAGATTTCCATTCTGGTAATTGTGACTTAGCTTATGAAACTGGGCTCTAAGTTCTGTCACTGTTATATTCCAGCACCTAGCTCAGAGCAGGATGCAGAGTAAATCTTAATAAATATCTGTTTCATGGCTAAAAAATACATAAGCAGCTCTCCAATGTAAGGAGGCTACTGGCCTGTTCTGTCCACTCTAGAGATCATACTCTGGATTCAATAATTACTGAGTCTATGACACCCTGGTTTCTATTTTTTTACTTACTCTAAGGAATGATTTCATTCAGATTTTAAGACGATAACAGGAGAGTCAGTTAATAAAAATAGAGCCTAATCTTTTAGATGTGGTTAATTTTTAAAGCGGTTTTATTAAACTGTAATTCACAGAGTTGCACAACAACCATCATAATCTATGTTCATCATGCCCAAAAGAAATCCCACATTAGCTGTCACTCCGTCCCCTCTCTCTCAACCTTGGGCAACTGCTAATCTACACTTGATCTCTATAGATTTGCCTGTTTTGGGTATTTCATGTAAATGGAATCATAAACTATGTGATCTTTTGTGACTACTTTCCTTCATGTAGCAAAATATATTCAAAGTTCGTCCATGTCATAGCATCTGTAATTAATCTCTTTTTATTAGTGTTCCTTTGTATCAATGTTCCACATTTTGTCTGTTCATTCAGGATATGTGCACTGTTTCTACTTTTTGGCTGTTGTGAACGATGTTTAGATGCAGCTCATTTAAGCATAATTACATCGCTAAATATACGCACTATAAATGTAAAACAGTGGTGTTCTGTAGTTAATTTTTAGTCTTCCTTGCTGTTTCCATTCTTTGGTCCTCTAGTTTCTCTCAGGCCTCTCCAAAGCTACTTTTGCTTGATGGCTCTGGTGTCCTGCTGGCCTATGCAGTGATGTAGGTTTCTTGAAACATGGTCTGTATCTCTGTGTGTAGTCAGTCTGTACACATCGCCTCAGAGTTCTCTTAGAGTACCAAAGAACATCGTGGAAGGAGAGCATGTATCAAAGTGGCTTTGGGCATGGATTTCAGGCTCCGATAGATCTAGGTTCAAATTCTGAGTCTCTTATTAGCTGTGTGGCCTCATGCAAATTGCTTAATCTTCCTAGGCCTTAATAACCTCAATTCTAAAATGAGGTTAATAATGGTATAATTATTGAGGTTTTTTAGTATGAGGTTAATAATGTAAAATGAGGTTAATAATGAGGTTCATATAGGTAATAATGCCTATATCATGGGGTTGTTGCAAAGATTAATTGGATAATGCATTAAAATGCTTATCATAGTGTCATATATAAACACAAACATTTAACAATTATTTTTAATAGTAACATTATTCTTATAACTACTGCTGTCATTATTGCCCTGCCACTAGATTCTGAGTTCTTTTAGGGCAGGGACTTTGATTATTTTGTTCACTGCTATCGCTTAGATTCTAGAACTCTGTCTATACTATTGAACAAATACTTCACTATTTGAAGAAGGCTTTACTTTTGTTCTGGATGATACCAGTCAGTGGTCCCTTATCATGAGAGCCACCTTGCTTTCTGTTTGCTTGAATTTGCTGCTTTTATGAAATCCAGGTGTCTCATCTCAGCCACCTCTGAGTCCTGTGGTATAGCCTGTGAGTTCAGCTGTCTGGAAATGAAGTCTGTTTGTAACATTATCATACCACACTTTATACATAACCACTGTAGCCAATTGTTTAAAAAATAGTCAACTTGCTTAAGCACTTCCAAGCTCCCTAAAATCTAACTAAGTCCTAAGAATAAAAAGGAAACATTTTGTTTTGACTGTAAATAAATACAAGCTTTCCATAAGAGAGAGAGAGAGAGTAATTATAGTTATTTGTGGTCTGAAATGTGAAGTTATGTGTTGTAAGACAGCAGATTCTTACGGACAAAACCAAATCATGTTTCTGTACATAGATTTTAAATGCTTCCTTCCAACCCAGGGGACCCAGGGGAGTAGATAACAGTTGCCACTTAGCTTACAGAGGGAAAAAGTCCAATGCTTGCGTTTCGTTGGCCCAAAATACCCGGAAAGCTTGCACAGTTTTTCATTTCTAAGATCATAGGCTCTTAGAACTGAAAGGCATTTTGGAAATCATACTTGTCCTAGATCCTTATTTTCCTGGCTGGGAAAAATGAGACCCAGAGTTGCTGAGTGACTTGGCTAGCAACATCCAACTAGTTCATATCAGAACCAAGACCAATGTGTTGTCCAGCCAATAGGGTGAAATAGCAAGGGGAGAGGTCTGGGAATCAGACAATCATGAACCCCAGGATGGTCCACTTGCTGACCTCTTCTTTGAACTGTAGTTCCAAGCTTCCTCATATGTTAGATGGGAACAGCATTAATATACACCTTCTGCTATTAGAAGAAAAGAAAGGATTTGAATTGAGGCTTTTCCAGAACTGAGTAGAGTGCCAAAGATTTGTGTCAATAAATGTCATGATGGCAATACTTTCTCTAGGTCCCCATTCTCTCCTCTGTGTCTTCTTCTACCCAAACTGCTGCTTCTAGCCAAATCCTGTTTATATGGACTACCCCACCTTCAGCCATTGGGTTCATCATCAGTGACTTCTGAAGACTGACTGAATATAGAAAATACCTGCACACCCATCCTTCTATGCATCATATCATTGTTTCTTCCTCTTTATCATGAAAGATCCTTTATAGTTAAAGGTGATGCATCTGTATCCTCAGGGTACCAAGGCATAGGCAGCCTGTGCAAGGGAGGATTTTTGTTCTTGTTGAAATAAAACATTGTATTCTAAAGCAGAGGCGTTTTGCAACCTCATTCTTAAAACAAAATGCTTAACATTACTCACTAGTTAAGTAATTTTATGGCCCTCCCCCAATAAATCTTGTACATGAACCCTCAGGAAGGTGCACATCCCGTGGTTTATGGTGCCTCTGGCACACTGCCAACACCCCAGTTTGAAAAGCCAGGCATTCAACCAAACTTGCGAACGCCAGCCCTTGCATATAATTACAGGAACCTGTGAAAGTGATCACCGGCAGCTCAGGGGCTCCAAGCTTCCGCAAGTTCTGAATCCCTTAGCAAGCCGGAAAGATCTGCTGGCGCTGCCGTAGGGAAAGGTTAGCATCCTAAATTATGGCCTTTCAATTTTTTTTCAACTTTGCAAATATTTTATCTTCTCATCCTTAGTGAAAAAGATAGAAGTGCACAGTTGCTGTTTTCCCATGTTGTTTATAGAAGGAAAGGAGGTCTCAACAGCTTTTTCCATCCTTCATAAAACAATGAAAATGTGCCTCGTGGCCAGGATAAAACAGTGATATGCATCGAGTGATCCAGGAAATGTAAAAATACTTGACTTGAAAGACTTTTTAAAGATACCTCTGCACATGTTAAAGGCAGTGGCAGTACTGGGACCTAAGAGTGTGCGTGTGTGTGTGTGTGTGTGTGTGTGTGTGTGTGTGTCTGTGTGTTGTATAGGAAGTATCCCAGTGCAGTTCTTCTCCCTACAGGCCTCACTCCCAACTACCTGTCCAGCCTAGGAAGAGGTAAAAAATAGGAATTGTGGTGAGCATGGGAAGGTGGTGAAGGAGACAAGCAACAAGAGACAGAAATGCCAAGAAGTTAAAGCAAGCTGGCTGCAAGCTATGGCAGGGCAACAATTCCTGGGAAGGCAGAGCCTGGCTAGCAGAGGAGCTGGGGCCTGCAGATTGGTCGGTGCCTTTGCTTTCCTGCTGTTTCCACTTCGTGTTCTTTGCCTCCTCTTCACACTACCAACTCCTTCCACTTCACACGTTCTATCTCAAGTGAGGCAGTGCCCATCTCAAAGGGGCCACAGTGTTAGAGCTGCTAAAAGCAACTAGGTAAGTGGGAAGATGGGGTTCCCTTATTTTCCTACCAGGCTCTCCAGCCCCAGGGCTGCCATGGCCACTTCTCCAGCTCCCATCTCACTTCCTACCCTAGGCCTGCCATAATCTCCACCCAGCTTTCTTTCCAGGAGTGAAGTCCAGTGTCCAATCGAGTTGCCATGCTGGACAAACTGACCTTGACCTTTTCTATCCCAGTGTATTATCTTGTCTCTAGCAGTAGCCATCCTTAGGAAACCCCAGGAAATGCTATGTTTGCTTAGGACACTGGAAACATGGGGTAAAATCAATGAAGCTGTTTTGTGTTCTGCCGCAGGGTGAAGCAGGAAAGAAATCTAATGGGGGAGTGACTCATGGTAAGAGATAGTGGCCCTGTCTCTCAGGCTATTAGAAGGTACCAAAGAGGTGAATACAGACTGGTTCAGGCCTGTGTAAAGCCCAAGTATTTATCCTTGTGAGAGGCCATGACATTTTTCCTCCAGTTCCCCACCCTAGAACCTACACTCTTCTAATCCCCATCCCATCTCTGCCTCCCCTTTCCTTGGAATACAATGTTACAGGCTATGGAATTCACCATTAGTAATGTCAAGTTGTGGAACTTCCATTCCTTCTGCTTGGAAGGTAGAAGGCAGGAGAGTTCCCTAGGAGTGGAGAGGAGATGCTAGAAGCCCAATCCAAAATTCCAAGAACATTTTTCTTAGGATGAAGACTACCAGCATGGCTTTCAAGCCCTAGAGTGGTCTTACCTTGTGCCTGACTCTCTTTCAGTCTGTCCTAGCAGGCATTTTCTCTGCTGTTTGCATCCTCAGCCTGCAGAACTCTTACTGCCCATCTTCAGCTGGTTAATGGTGGTTAACAAGCAAGGCCCCTGGAGGGATGCTTGCCCTGGCGTCCCTGAGCAGATCAAACCTCCTTATTACCAGCTCTCATGGTGTTACATGGCTGTCCTTCATAGCCCTTAATACAATCAAAGCTTTATATTTATTGGGGTGATTATTTTATCAATGTCAGTGTCTGGTTTTCCTCACCGTTATGTCCCCTGCTCCCAGCACAGTGTTTGACAAATGGTAGAGAGTCAGTAAAATCTTGTTAAATAAATGCATACATGTTCCTGTAAAAAAAGAAGCACTATGGTCTATCTTCATTATAAATTAAGTCACTTTTGGGCTTGTCCTGACAACAAAATTATAATGCACAGTATTATCTTGTGAGAATATGAATTATAAGTTTCAAATAATCAAGTGGGAACAAACAGTTTTGAATATGAACAACATGTAAGTTAGAGTTCTTATATTTAATTCTAGGGATATGTTTATCTTCTTTTCTTATAGGACATACAACCAAATAAGTGTTTTGTCTTACTATAAAGATCCAGGATTTTGATGTTTGCATTGATTATCCTTACAGTCATCCTAGGCTAACAGTTCTGCAAATGGTCATCTTTTCTCTTAGGGACCATCCCTAAGACCTTGAATAACTCAGAGCAGATAATCAAACTATCTAATGATCACTGAGATCATTTATGCATCAGGATTTATCAATAAAAAATAAACCCTTTGAGGTACTAATTGATTTTTTATTCCCATCCCCAAAATGGCAGCTCATTAGTGTCTAGTCACCAGAAAACTGGGGACCATGTGGCATCCCTGTCCCCTCACCGTCTAATATGGCACCTGTTCCATGGAACATACTGAATAAATACTCATGGCATTGAAATGAATCACACCTATCCCTCACTGAGCCTTGGCTAATAATTGATCAGAGAGTTCATGATCACCACCCATCCTTGAGAGGGCTCCTATTAAAAACAGCAGCAACAACAACATGTGACTAGAGCATCTGAACGCTTATGTAGCACTGACGTTAACAAGGATAACAGGAGCTTGAGGGGCATTTTTTAAAAGGAGTGCTTTTAATCATTAAAGTGAGATACGCACATGCTAAAAAACAGTAAAGCAATATAAAAAGTCATCAAATGGTAAAAATCTCTTCCCAATTAAAAATGCCAGTATCCCTCTTAAGAGGCAGCCACTGTTGAGTTTCTTATGCATTTTCCAAAAAAATAATATTCACTTCATATATAAGCCTATAAATATAACCAAATTTTCAGTCTTTTTATTTTCATGGTTTCCAACTTAGAAAGGCCTTCTATTTCAAGATTATTTTTAAAAATTAACCCAGGTTTCTTCTAGTGATCTAGTAACATTTTAAACATGCACAGAGGCTGGACATGGTGTCTCATGCCCGTAATCCCAGCACTTTGGGAGGCCAAGGTGGGCGGATCACCTGAGATCAGGAGTTTGAGACCAGCCTGACCAACGTAGTGAAAACCCGTCTCTACTAAAAATACAAAAATTAGCTGGGCATGGTGGCATATGCCTATAGTCTCAGCTACTCAGGAGGCTGAGGCAGGAGAATTGCTTGAACCTGGGAGGCAGAGGTTTCAGTGAGAGCAAAGATTGCGCCACTGCACTCCAACCTGGGTGACAGAGTGAGACTCCGTCTCAAAAAATAAATAAACATATAAAAATAAAATAAACACACACAACAGATATTAAGCCATTGATTTATGTATATATGCATATATACACACACCATACAGGTATACATAGATATCACACATATATACCTGTATGTCTATACAAGCATACATATACATTATATACACTGTATATTATATATAGTATGTTTACTTGTCTGTGTGTGTACACATACATATAGTGAAGTATATACCTAAACTACTAAAGGAGAAATTTTATATATATTACAAAAAGTTATAAATGCATGCTCTTACCTATGTATATTGGTTTGAAGAAAAATATAAAATACTTAAAAAAGATTTTAGGAGTATACATAACTTTAAAGAAACATATAAGTACTGCCCATTTCTTTCCCAAATGATACCTATTTTTATAAATTTCTTTAGACTCAATAATTATAAGGTAATTTTTTATGATTACCTTTTATTTATAGAGATATATATTATAGTTTTAAATGCTTATATGTACACACGTATTATATACAATAAAAAATGTATTACCTATTTTGTGTGTGTATTTTTGTGTATGAATGTGAGAGAATGTGGTGTGTGTGTTTCTATATGTCAGTTTTAATATAGTCTCCAGGCAGATTTTAGGACTTTATGACTTTCTTTTTAAACCTTCTGTCTATGGAATAATTGTGTTCATTGCTTCATCTATTTCTTGCAAAATAGTGACAATGAGCTTTCTCCCACTGACTAAAACCAGACCTGTTCCACCCATTCCCACCCCACAAATGAGCAAGTCATGTAACATGAGAATAAATTAATAGTGAAGCCCTTTGACAGTTGTACCTCAGGTGCTTCTGATGTGCAATGACATCTCTCAGAATTAAACCTACCATTGTCAGTTTGTCAACGATTTTCTACAAGTACAAAATGGAATTGCGTCCATCTCACTCAGATTTGGAAGCAAGTCTGATTATGGGACATACTGGGCTTGACAAGCTAAAGACAGATACAGACATTTTCTCATTTATGAATCTATTCCTTTGGGACATTGTTAAAATTTTAAAAAGGTCGTATCTTCTAGGAGGGGATAAGTAACATAAGTTATTTTGCAATAGCTATCAATGTGAAATTTTGTATTGTCTTTTGGAAGTCAGAGGAAGAAAGATGGGCTGCCTCGGTGCATTTTCCATTTGCCCGTGATTAGCATGTTCTGAACATCTCAGTGGGAGTCAGAGGTATGCTTCTCTTTGGGTTTTTTCAGTGTGAAGGATGGAAGGAACTCTTTCACACCTTTCATTTGCACTGTTAAGACTTACATCAGAAGTACAAAGCATTTTAAACTGACAGAATAAAAAGCAAACTTCAGAGCAACTTTCCTGCCTATGGTGCTTTCCAAGGATCTAAGACACATGAGCAAATCTCCTGAAGGGTGGTAAATAAAAAAAAAAAAAAAAAAAAAAAAAAGAGTCACCTTTGGCCCTTTCTTCATCTTTGAAATACACTCGAGAATGGGCTCTCTCCCTCTGAGGCTAAATCCAGTGTGCCCTGGAGCTGTCAGACCTGCAGAAAGGCCCTTTTTGCCAAGCAGTCTGAGAGAAGACTAGCGGTAATTGGCAATCCAGTTCTCCATTTCCATTGTACAGCCATCCCTGACAAATTAATCACAATCAAATGTTGGCTGCAGCAAGGGGCACCCTACACAGCAGGAAAGAAAAATGAGGCCTCACGCTGATCTGACAGCCGAATCTTTCAACTCACCCCATTAGACTGAACAAGGGGACGCTGTGGTTTGCCTGTCACTACCACTACCCATAAACAAACTGCTCGCTCTGCATCTCAGGACTTGGTGGATCCAGTAAGGCCTTCCTTGGGGCCCACCAGGTATCTGAACAATCAGTGCTTCAGAGAAAGGGGAAGGGCCTCATCCTGGTGAGAAAGAGGCGCTAGATAGTGGCATAGTGGCATAGGAGACTGGTGAGGACACCGTGGCCCAACAGAATCCTGAAGTGATGAATCTCAGGTTTGACAGTGGGTTGAGGTCTGCTGCAGGCTGTAACGGAGTGTCTGTCTGTGCGCTTACTGCTCACCTGTTGTCTATCAGCCATCAGTCAGGTAGTGAGAAATCCAGCCCTTTCCATCCACTGTTTAGAGTTCACTTATCGGGCAAGCTTCTTTGTTCAACATAAAACCAAGAATCTGAAAATACCTTAAAATGTTATTTATATACTTGCCCAGTCTCTGTAGTAAAGTTTATAAGCCTTAGTCACAGAAGAGAGTCTGAGGCCCTCACTCTTATTTTAGGCATAATTTTAACAAGTGTGTCACAGCCTATAGCAAATTAGAAGATGGCAGGAAGATCCTGAGAGGTAGATGCTGACAGTAAACAGTGGGATAATACTGAAAGGTGACCCAAAAAAAGATAGATAAGTTTGTTTCCCTGCCTGCCAGTAGAATATAAGAGAAAATCATATTTTGAAACGCTTGGTCTTTTTTAAAAGACAAATGCTTACTCTTTGTAAAAGCTGTGTAATGAAATGTCCCCGTGATGTTAGATCTGAAGTGGAAGAGTCTCTCTTCTCTCCCATCTCCTCTGTAATATTCAAGATGTGGTATATAACTGAATCACATCAAGCAAGAATAATAACGCTGCCTCTGTTCTGATCAAGTTTACCCTTACTCCTTATAACTGTGGGCAGTGGCATTCACGGCTCTGCCATCTGGCTCTCACAAAACTCAGGGCCAGGGGCTTGTGGGTAGGTGGTGGAATGTTCTAATTCCTGGAGAAGATATTATTATTCAGACTGTATAACTGAATAGCATCAGTTTCTCTAAGTTTTTCCATTTCACCTCTCCCAGACAACTGAGTATAAAGAAGTATAATTAAAATGTTGGCTTTCATAAATGTTAAAGCCACATTTAAAACATTTCTCATCTCTAATACTAACTCAGAAAACTACTTTTCTCCCTATATATTTAGGACTAGAGATTTTGTCAATAAAAATAATGGAGAGGATTTGAGGTCCAAATTAAAGCAATGTATTTCCCAGAACTAAACTGAGTGTGTCAGTGGCTTGTCCAAAGTCTTGTAGAAGCCAGACCATGAACACAGCATCAGGACCTGCTGTTTAGTCTTTATTCAGAGGCACATAATTTGGTGTTCTTCTGATGACTGGTTTGTTTTTGTGGGAATAAAAAGAATACAGCTGAAGGGATGTACCTGAATTGCTGTTTTCCCCTTTCTCTCTCTCTCTCCCTGAGAAAGATACATAATAACTTTCTAAACCTGCTCCAGCAGTCTAAAGATTCCAGTGCTCATTGGATCATGGATTTCTCATTTTAACCTTTCTCTTTCTCCCTCCCTCCCCCTCCAACCTCCTATTCAGATGTGATCTTACCAGAAAATGCAATTAATTTAATCATTCCTAACATTCCATTATTTTGATTTGTTTTTAAAATTATGTTTACATCATGATCCAGTTCAGGTTAAAACGCTTGTACACTGACTGAATTGACGCCTATCTTTAAGTTAACAACATTAGTTACTATGTCCTGGAAACCTATAATTGTGCCTGAAATCTTATGTGTTATTTGTAATTCTCACAACAATCTTGATAGATCAGTATCATTTTCCTTATTGTACAAATGAGAAATCGAAGACCCTGAGAGGTGACATAAGTAGCTTAGGAAGGGGCTGAGGTGGGACAAGGACACCACCTGACTTCAGAGGTGTCTGAAAACAGTCCTTCTCTGGGATAAAGAATACCGCCCAGAGAAACATTCTCCTGTCCTAAAAAGCACCATGCATGTTCACCAAAGCCTACCCAGCAAGTGTCTGGTCTGAAGAATTCTCCTTTTCTAGGGTCTATGCCAGTGCTTCTAGTTATCTCATGGCGAGAGAAGCTTGTAGCCCCCAGAGTGGGAGGTCTCTAGGCAGCTGTGAGATTTGTGCTGGAGTGTGGATATTAGACCCAAAGCCATGGGCTTTTTAACATTGGCCTGTGTCTCCCACGCAATCCGAGCTTTATGCACCAGATCGTTACTCTGCTGTGAAAATGAATATTGGGTTTATGGAGAAAGCTAAACGGTTGGGAAGGTGTGTCCCTAGCCAATTGTCAATAGAGGCTGTGAGCTTCAGAGGAGGCAATTGTAATAGGTTTTCAGTTGACACACAGTTATGACCAAAGCCTTTGAATCATTTTTGTGTGCTTTAACTATTGTGTGTTTGTTCAGCTGTATCTTTAATAAGAACAGAGCATTATTAGCAGTTTTTAAATCATTCTTTGCTGTAGGTTATAAGCATCTTGCTGCGGTATTCTTTTCAAATTATTGGAATCTCTCTTTCCCTGCCTTACATCCTGCCCTAACACTGCCTTCCCCTCTCATGTTCCCCTAACAAATGCTATATCCCTCTCATTTGACATATTCAAACACACACACACACACACACACACACACACACACACACACACACACACCCTTATTATACAACTTAGTTTCCGGACTGCAACAGTTGTCTAGATGTTTCTGAGTTAGGAAACTTGTTGAATCGATATGCAGGTCTTCTCTCTGTTTAGGTCTCATTTACCCATCACACATATATTTATCAAATATATTCTTAAGGTTTCCTTCTCCAATTTCATGAGAGACAGCCTAACATTCCAGGCCAAGTTTCCAGCAGTCACGCTGGCTCTCTTCATAAATCTGTAAAATAAAAATGAGCTTTCTCCTTTGTGAAATCTCTTTTTTATAAGCTTAATAGAGACCCAGACAAGCCTGAGGGATAGCTCTGTTGACCTCATCAAGTTTCTTGCAGCAGGATGTCTCTGCGAAAGTGGGCTTTTAACCATTTCGCATACTTTGAACTGTGGAGCTGACCTAGCTGTGGAGAGGAATTGATTAATTAGCAGTGATGGTGGATACTTATTAAGCACCACGTTGTGCCTTTTGCCTTGTGCTGTGTTAGATGTTTGGTGTATATTAACCCCTTTACTGTCGAAGGCCATCTGTGTGATAAACATTTACTCTCATTGATGAGGAAAGCTGGCTTATGGTCACACAGAGACCACAAGTACCAGAATAGTGGTTGGACCAAGGCATCCCAACTTCAGGTTTCACCCACGTAGCCAACAGCGAGAATTACATCCTACCAATGTTTAGAGACTTTCTTCCTGTGCATCTTCAGAGACACTGGGCGTGCAGGCAGTAGAGAAGTATTTCACCTGTCACCAATGGGCCCATTTAACAGAAAAACAGCAGAACACTCAGCATTCCTTTTTAACCAGCTATGTCAGCCATGATTTAGATAATGAGTGTGCATATTGGTCCTACCTCTGTGTCATCTGATTTAATGGAGATTCCAGTTAGTGGCAGCTTATCCGGTTACTTTAGAGACTGATTAATGAGTTGTCACTGTTTTATTGGATATCGGTCATCAGAGGCAGGAATACAAGTGTCTCTAGCATCTGAGCAACCCAGAACATTCAACAAGTAATAAATGAAAACGTCAGGGCCCTTTAGATGTGTGATTTATGTACATACCCTTGGGGTACTACACTTACTATAAAACCTACAATGCAATCCTTATCCAAAATTCTGATGGTTTTAATGTTTAAATATTCTGCTTGTGAAATATCATATGGCTTTGAGCAAATAACTGTCAGGCCTGTCGAAATCTTTTTGTAATGGGAAGACTGTGAAATTATAGTTGTGAAATTTGATGATTTTGAAGAAGAATTAATTACTGAAGTTTTTACAGCAGATTCACTTTCATTACCCATTTTTCTTTCTATTGTAACGTCTGTGCTCGGTTTTCCTACATGGATTACAACCTTCTAGATGCTGACTGACCTCTCATTTCAGCTCATTTTTTTAAGATGGGAATTGATTGACATTTTCACCAGTCACGCTGGCTCTCTTCATAAATCTGTAAAATAAAAATGAGCTTTCTCCTTTGTGAAATCTCTTTTTTATAAGCTTAATAGAGACCCAGACAAGCCTGAGGGATAGCTCTGTTGACCTCATCAAGTTTCTTGCAGCAGGATGTCTCCGCGAAAGTGGGCTTTTAACCATTTCCTTTTAAGGAACTCTGTGTGTTAATGATAATTGTGGTATCTTGACAGTAATTGCTGGGACAACTGGAAACCTAAAGGCAAATACTGGTAGTCACAGAACTGTTTGAGTGCCTGAAAGAGAAAAGAATCTCTTTGAACTACCTGATCCAACTCTCCCGACATCATCCATGCCCCAGCCTCTAGAATGACTGACTCTTCCTAAAACACATCCTTTGCTTCAGTTCCTCTGGGCCTTTGCATACACAGTTCCTTCCCCTGGGAGAATCTTTCTGCAGATGCTATCTCTTCCACGCAAGCAGTTTGGAGTTCTCTTCTGCTGATCATCACACCCATTAATGACTCTTCCTTGTAGTCCCTTTGCTGTTTGCTATTTGGATAGACAAGAGTGACTGCCTTCACTGCATTCAGGCACAACTATTTATGATTAGGAATCAAACCGTGCACCTGCACACAAGCTCCCTGAAGGCAAGTAGATAGTCTTTGCACCTGGTAAATAAAATTAAGTGCTTCTGGTGTGAACTGAGTCTTCAGGAAAGGCTATTAATTCTTACTGCCAAATTCAGCTAGCTTTCATGGAACCTAGAAGCAGCTGCCGGGGAAGTTGTGACTTTGGCTTCTCTTTCCCTCATTTTCCCTAGAGCAGTAGTTTTCAATCTCAGCTTCCCTTTGGAATCACCTGGAGAGCTTAAGAAATACCAATGCCTGGGTCTTACCCCTCAAAATTCTGAGGTACAGTGGAATGGTTCCTTGTCGTGACCTAGACATAGGATTTGTATTGTCTCCCGGCATATTCTAATGTACAGCCAGGGCTGCGATCTTCTGAGCTGGTGAACGTGAAGTTTGGCTGTCCCTTCATGGGCTTTATAGTTTTATCTGCAGGCCTCACTTTTTATGGGCAGTTGACCTCACCTCACTTCATTTTGTGTGATCTTGGCCAGACAGGCTAGCACCTGCAAAGACTGAGGTATGAAAAGGGAATGCTATTCATTTTTCTTTCCTTTCTTCTTTTTTTTTTTTTTTTTTTTAAAAAAAAAGCATTTGACTTTTGAATATCCCTTGAGCTGGATGTATGAATTAACTAAAATTATTATGGTTGTCTTCTATTTACTGTATATATTCTGAAATTCTAGTGCTCAAATTGTTTCTTCTGTTAACTTTTGACAGTATTAGAAGATTTAGAATTTGATAAGGATTTCCTGCCTTGACTATTCTGTATCTTAGATGTTTCTATTTTGAGGAGCTAAAATGGTATAATGATAGATCTGGAAGTTATAAAACCTTTTGCTGTTCAAATTGACCGTACCAAATTGACCATCATCTCCTTGTTCTTTCTGAGAGTTAGATGCATAATCAGGCATAATCTCATAATGTTACCAATTTATTTCATGTGATTGGGTCCAAGAGTTACAGAGTAACTGAAATATCCCAGGTGGAAATATAAGGCAACTGGATTTGCCTGCCCAGAGAATGAGGAGCCTCATTCACTTGTTGGAAATGCAGTTTTATCTGAGCTTTACTCCAGTACCGTCCATGATGACTGCAAGCCAGAATATAACTTGACTCTTTTCATGTCGTTGGCAGAATTTGTTACCAAATTCCTCTGCCTTTAGTTGTATAAATCATCCCCTTTAGTTACTTCCCTGTTTTATGGCTAATGCTCTGAGTTATTTACCCATTTGAGGACATAATGCTCTAGTTGAAGCTTAAATAAATCTTGAGTCCCTAGGAGATGCCTGGTGTCCTATAATGATTCAATCTTTTAGAGTTGCTTAGACTGGGACTTGCATCTTATCTCTTGTTCTAATGATTTCATCTCCGTGAACTGTGGTTTCCCTTCTTCCATAAAATGGAGATAACATAATATAACCTAACAGGGTTGTTCTTTCTGCACCTTAAATGAAAAAAAAAAAAAGAAAAAAGAAAAACAAGTCTAAGTACCTAGGGCCGCATCTGATTCATAAGGAACCCTTCCATAGTACATCGTAGGTATTTTTTAGTTCTGTTTTTCTAAACTCAATTTCCAGTTACATTTTTCCAATTATTTCCCCCAGTAAAAGGAACTTTGGGCTATAAATATGAATTATGCTATATAATGCTTGGTTTCAAACTGTTCTGAGCATTTCCAAAGATGTTTTGGATAATAAAGCATGCATGTGTTTTCATATACCATTGCCTTGCAGATCAAGGATGACTATTCCATTCACACAAATCACATAGGAACCAACTCATAAAAAGGAAATGGACTCCACCTTTTTCTCCATAGGAAGTTCCCTATAATAGTGAGATCACAGCCTCATTTTTATGGTCAAACTCAGGACGATATTTGGATTCCCCAGGGAAGTTAACTTTGCTTTCATGAAGCTGCTGAAATATAATCCAAGAGTCACCATCAGTGATAAAATCATGGGCTTAGAATTGAAAAGCTGGAGTTAACACTCCAGGTATTTAACAGCCAGTTAAATACCAACATTCTTATTGACAAATTTAGCACTGAATCAGAGAACAGCCCTAAGCTTATAAAGATTATAAGATTCTTTGGGACAGATAAAGGCAATGAACTGTTTTTTTGTTTTTTTGTTTTTTTTTTTTAAAAAAAAAAAAGATTGTGCCATTTATTCAGTAGGTGTCCACTCAGTACTACCTGAGATTGTCATTGGTGATATTCATTTAGTTCTTTCAAAGTTCCATGGGTATTTCCAGAGTTTCTGCCTCATCGTATACAATGGCTCTTCTGGACCTGGCAGATTTGGGCCAGGATGCCTGGAGGAGGACAGCATTGGGCAAATGCAGAGAAGTACCCCTTCACCTGCACCTGGCCTTTATAATTTTAACCCCTCAGTGGTGCGTACTGTGTGAGCAGTGGAGAGTCCTTAGGCTTTCAGCAGACGTTCAAGGTCTGCTTGGCATTTTGAAGGACAAGTGAATGTTGCAGTTGTGAGCCTGATGCAGACATTTCAGGGAGTTCCTAGAGCTGCCAGTGTCTGTTTGATTGAAAGGATAGAAGTTGAAATATTATCAGAAGGCCACTTGGAGGTCTGAGGAAATCAGAGTGGAAACATTTCTTGAGGGCATAATATCTCAAAAATGTTACTAATATTTAAAGCTGGGAAATTTGCCTTTTTAAAAATTTTTCCATGATAAAAATTTGTAGAGAGAGAATAAAATCTCTTTTAGCTGCAGCCTCTTCTTCATTACTATCTATGCATTATCGCTGCTATTCGCCCAAGTCTCTCCTATCTCCTGCCCCCTCCCCGCTCTCCCCTTTAGAGTACTGAAGTATTATGGATGCTCATTTGGTGTTAGGATGTAATTATCCAAGGTGAAGAAATTTAGCAGAAGCTGTGTGCTGCCTATTTAACATCTGAAACAGCTTCTTAATACCTGCCATATTAATGGCAGCCTTTTTCCCCCCACTATCCTTGTATAGAAGCTTCCTTGATCTTTCCAGGAAGCTAAATGCTCTCCATCCTGATCATTAACTAATAATTATCCAAGAAGGTTTCAGTCTTGATTTTTTGAACTGACTAAAGAATTACGGCTGCCTGCTAAGTTTCTAAGAGCGATGGAAGAAGCTGGGCGAGGGGAATGGGAAGTGAAGTATGAAGTTAGTAGGGGTCTTCTGAGTTCAAAAGGCTTCTTGCTCCTTTTCTAGACAGTTTTCCTCTCCCGGGAGCCTATGGGAACAGTAAGAACTCAGATTATGATTAGGATACAAAGACAGTCCTTGTGGTAGATATTTGTTTCCATTTCTCAGCATTTGTCCTTGTTTTTTTTTTCTGTTTTCACATTATTGCACCAAATTTTCTTTTGGGGGCCACCCTTCTCCACCCTCAGTCCAAGTGGTTCTTATGAGTTTCTATCTCTAGCCACAAAGATGTAGTTTGTGACCCAAAACTGGCCATAGTAACAGATCCAGGAACACGCCTATGACAGAAATCTGGTCAACAGGTTGATTCTACACTTCTAGCTACAGAGATTGTTTCAGAGATGGGCACATTGATTCCCCTAGAGTGATGTTTTGGGTAACTACTGGAAAAAGACACGACTATTGTTTCTGCTGTAATTGAACCCAGGAGAACGAAGGTTTGTAGTTGTT
This sequence comes from Homo sapiens, assembly GCF_000001405.40. NCBI lineage: Eukaryota > Metazoa > Chordata > Mammalia > Primates > Hominidae > Homo > Homo sapiens. The sequence continues at coordinate 15,460,147 of NC_000020.11, forward strand.
TTCAGCCACTCTACTCCCGTTTGAACCCAAGAGTGATGTCAACATGGATAAAACAAGACCCCAGAAACTTTTCATAAGAAGGAGGTGCAGGTAACACATCCCTTTTCAGTGTTTCTATTATTTCCTGTTTACTTCCTGTTTCTGCCAGGACCAATTGGCAACATCCTTCACCCTGGCAGTGGCAGTTGGTTCCAGATTCCACCCTCCAACCCCTGTAGCACCTGAGAACCAGGCTTGAGTTTCTCCTCAAAAATATTAGCACCAGCAGGCAGCACGGTTTCCACAGAGGTCTTGGTCCCAGCTCCTTGGGGACCTCTTTCAAGTTCTAGAGCCTCCAATGCCAACTGAACAGTGCTCCTTCCTCAGTGGTCTGGGTTTCTACTGTGTGGGGACACTCCTCTAGGTTGCAATGATCAAAACTTCTTCCCTTTGATCCACCAGCCCTTAGAATGGTAGCTGCTTCCTGCTTTGACTGCCTGTTAGCTCAAGGCTCCCCTTATGCCTTTTCAGCCCTTCAAAACCTATGTAAACAATTCCTTCTATTACATTTTCTTTTAAAATAACTGTGGTGGTTTCTGTTTGCCTTTCTTGACCTGACTGACACAGCCCTGAAAAGAAGGAACTACCAATTCTATCAAATTCCCATGGCCTCATAGACATTTGTGTATGATTGGTGATCTTTTCTATGAAATCAACTGTTTTCAGAATGAGCTCTGCACACCCTAGAGAAAACCTAAGTGTGATGGAGAAGTGAGGGTAGATGTGGAGAAGATGAATGAGTCCACTTTTCTTCATTATAAATAGCTTCCCTTTAATTATCTCTCTCTCTCCATATATATATATATATATATATATATATATTTTTTTTTAATAGATGGGGTCTTGCTGTGTTGCCCTGGCTGGATTGCAGTGAGCTATGAGCATGACCATAGTTCACTGCAATCTTGAACTCTTGGGCTCAAGTGAGTCTCCTGCCTCAGCCAGCAGAGTTGCTGGGACTATAGGCACATGCCACCATGCCTGGCTCTGTATTGTATGTTTTGGTAAGATTTCATGTTAAAAGTATTCCAAGGATGTTCTCTTTGGATATTTATTTATTTTAAAAAAGTATTCATTTACTTTACGAGAATGTGTTAAAGTAACATTGTCTAGCTATTTGATTGAAGTTGTCTCTTTCTACTCCTGCCAGAAATAAATTCTCCCTACGGTATGTGTCAATAAACTATGTTTATCTTAGTCTTAACACGTTCTGTTTAATATTAGGGTTATATGTTACATTTTTCTTCCCTACTTGACTGTCCTCTCCAGGAAGGCAAGAAACTGGTCTGTATCATTAATAAGCACTTAACAAGGACATAAAAGTCCTTAGAATGAGTCTTTACATACAAGCTGGAGTACAGTGGACAAGTTAGTTAACTCTCTTTTAGCCTATTGGTTTATTTTAATACAAGGATAATAATACCTACTTTATACAAATTGTATGATCATTTGAAACTTAAATGAAATATTAATTATTCTTATTATTAGTTGTTCTGCAAAACTTCTCATTGTCGACATTCCAGCACTTCCACTCACTTGGTCCTCAGAAAATATCTATTGAATAAAATGAACTCTTGCAGTTACTTTGCCACATGACAAGCCACCCAGAAACTTGGTGGCTTAAAATAGCAAACTGAGGATTCTTCCCGAATTGCTATACATTTTGTTTATGCATTCAAGGTGTAAATGGAGCCTTTTCTATGTAAAAACAACCAAGCTGTAGACTTCTTTGTGTAAATTTACTGTGTAAAAATAAGATTTTTTTTTTCTTTACTATTAGGTCAACTAGCCTCATTTACATCTTTTATTAAACATACTCACAACTGGTGGTATTTTTTTCCTTTATGAACAAAGCGAAATTATAGATTCCACCCAAATCATGTTGGAATCCTGCTAGGTGAAAATTATATGTCTGTAAGAGCTACGTGGAATCTAGTTTCCAGATGGAATTCCCTTCTTGCCAATTTTGGGAATATTCTACAAAGTTTCCCCTTAGAAACCATTTACATGAAGTGAAAAATTTACTCTAGGAAAATGATTGGAGAGAATGCTTGTGAAATGTGAAGGCATGACTTGCATATGGACAGTATACACATTCATAGATATTTTACCCGTGCCGTTGAGATAGCTAGTAATAATGTGTGTTCTCATTGTGTTTGCTCTTGTCTGTAGAGACCACCAGAAACTGATTTAGCCTGAGGAATATATTTCAAACTGAAATTTTTATTGTAAAGTAATTGCAAATAACGTGTAATTAAAAGTGATGAGAACCCCTTACATTTGTATAGCATGTTTACTTTCCAAAGCACGTCATGACCTCTTGCTTTTATAATTCTAAAAAATTCTTGAAAGATAGGAAAGGCAAGTTCTATTAATATTATATTTGGACAAAGAGGCAAATAGATATTACAGCTGAGTATTCTTAAATATGCAAGTGATATTTTGTTTTGTTGACACCTTGGTTTGTTGATTTGAAAGCCCAGTGCTTTTGATTTAGCTTCAGGTTTGGTAAAAAAGGAGAACAGTATTTACTGAATGAATAAACTTCCCCTTTGTAACATATTTGTGTCACAACTCTGCAATTATACAAAGAGACTGATGTCTGCCTTGTGGGAACTATAATTGCCACTTGGACAAGTTTCATGTGGTTGACATTAATAGACCATGCTGATTATGACTGACAACCAGGGGTTCTTAAACTTATCCAGTAAAAGGGTTTTTTCCCCTAATATCAAATTCACAAGCCACTATTCTATAGTAATAAAAAGGCAACTATGAATTTGGTAACGTTTAAAAAGTTATTTGCATTTTATTAACTACAACTAATGTATACATTTGTAAAGTAGTAACAGATGTATGCATGAAACATGCTATTCATGATAAAAGCTAGTCTTCATACACATAGGAATTCTCAAAACTCTTGAACTAACCCAGTGTTCCCCTGGGAGATCATGGTTAATGAGTTGGGAAGCTTTGGCATAACTAGAGATAGCCATTACACTACATTCCATGTGTCAATGCCAACAGGAGGAATGACCGCCTGAAGAGGTGTGTTGAAAAGGATTCTGAGAGCTAGTTTGGGTTCAGAGCAAAGAGTACTGTCATTAATTAGTGATGTTTGCCAGAGGAGGAGGAAGTAATGGGTGGGAAGAGCCAAACATTTGCCTTACCTGACTTAGACTATGTGGACCACTTGACTCCAGCAAAGGATAATGGAGATGACCACTAATATCTAGATATAACAAAGGATTAATCTAAGAAGTCAGTTAAAATATACTTTTAGGCCAGGTGTGGTGGCTCACACCTGTAATCCCAGCACTTTGGGAGGCCAAGGTGGGTGGATCACTTGAGGTCGGGAGTTCAAGACCAGCCTGGCCAACATGGTGAAACCCCGTCTCTACTAAAAATGCAAAACTAGCTGGGTGTGGTGGTGCAGGCCTGTACTCCCAGCTACTTGAGAAGCTGAGGCAGGAGAATCATGTGAACCCGGGAGGCAGAGGTTGCAGTGAGCCAAGATTGTGCCACTGCACTCCAGCCTGGGCAACAGAGCAAGACTCCATCTCAAAAAACAAACAAACAAAAAACTTTAAAAACTACTGTAAAATATAAAGCTTATTTTAAAATAAGCACATTTAAAAACAGGTTACATTTACTGAATATTTTATTCCAAACTTCCCCTGCTATTAAGCACCTTGTTCTTGATCCTACAGCTTGAGGAAAACCTCTGTTTTTCTCTCAAGACAAATTGATGATTGAAGTATCCTAGTCCCTTCTATGATTTTAGCCATTCGATGAAGGATCTTTGCACCCATCAGTTGATACTCACTCATGTTGCAGCCATCTCACATAGCTTGTAGTTTTTGTTTGTTTGTTTTTTTCCAGAAACAAGGTCTCACCCTGTCACCCGAGCTGGAATGTAGTGGCACAATCACGACTCACTGCAACCTTGAGCTCCTAAGCTCAAGCAATCCGCATGCGCCACCATGCCTGGCTAATTTTTAAATTTTTTGGTAGAGATGGGGTTCTCCCTGTGTTGCCCAGGCTAGTCTTGAGCTCCTGGGTTCAAATGATCCTCCTGCTTCAGCCTCCCAACGTGTTGGGATTACAGGCATGAGCCACCATGCCTGACCCATCTAACTGGCTGTTCTTTTCACGAAAGACAAGTCATTCCCTGACACCATTTACTCAGAAATGGGAGGGAGTGGAGATATGGAGAAAAGTATCTGGTAGATGACTTTGCTCTATCTGTGCAATATCACTGTTTATAGACATGCATTTCCCTAATAATTTAAGTCACTTGCCCTATGAACTAGCCAACCTGCTTCCTCACTGGTTTTTGAAATATCTTTAGAGAAAAAATATTCCAGTGATATGTTTAATTTATATGTTAACCATTCTTGGAATCTCCCAGTCCCTTCTAAAACTCTTTTGCCTTAGCTTTATCCCACTCTGACTGTATTGAAGATAATTAAACATAATCACATCATCTGACCCTTATGTACCTGTTCAGATGGTAATTGTCTTTCAGAACTCCATCTTAAGATAGCACCTTCTTAGCCGTCCCTGGAAATTAATTGCTCTGCCTCTAGATCGGCTTTGTTTCTATCTTAATTATTGCTCTGCCTGAAAAGTCTATTTTTTGCTTGGGCTTTTTGAGGTGAGGATACATGTCTTAGTCATCCTTGTATCTCCAATGCCTCGAACTGTGAATAGCTCCTGGTAAATGGGCATAAACACTGGGTAGGACTGACACTCCTCTGAGGCACTTACCTCCCGTGGAGGGAGACCTGATTTGATTTTTTTACTCTCTTTCTACCCTCAGCATATTCCCCAGTAAAAGCTAGCTTGTACCTTTTTCTTTACTTGATATACTCTCTCCCTATTTTTTTGGAGATTATATCACTTTTTCAATACTCTATATAGGTAGAGTCATAAATAAAGATAACTAAGGTGAATGAGATTTGCCACATTTATATGTAGGAATTTCTAAACACCTTAGAATGAAGTGCCTTTATAAGAAGAATGAGGCCTACTTTCATGGGATATTTAAAGTATAAATGCTATTTTTTTATTTTGTTTTTAAAAAGATGTATCTACCATGATACGTCATAACTTTAGAATAGTTTTTGACTTTTAACATGAAAATGAAAACCAGCATTTAGCCACTCAAGCCATGTTCCTGAAGGGGAGCCAGGCAAGGTGGAGAGTGATGATGGGGTACAGCTCTGTCTGTGTTAAGAGCTTTCAGGTGTCCTGGCTTCAGCAAGGTTCTGGCCCAGGCCGTGAGACAAATGCTTGGCAATCTCGGGATGGAGTTTGCAGAGCAGGCAGAATTTTCTCCTCATAACTTTAGAACAGATGAATACACATTTCCTAGATTCCTTGAGGGGAGCGCCAGCTCAGGGCTATCCATAGTCCACAATCGGGCAGGGTGTTGGGCTTCAATTCTTCTCTAAGCGTGTGAGGCATGAGAAAACGGGGCAACCCTGCAGGTCGGGAGGAAGGGGTAGACATGTGGCTGGGGCTCCACAAGAGTGACGGTCATTTCATCAACATCCAAAGACCTTGCATGAAGATCTAACCTCCATCACTGTACCCACAAGTGCTCCCATGTGCCCACCTTACCTTTGGTGGCATCTCTTCTTTCGTACCCTGTGGAGGAAGGTGACTTCCATGGCCACACCTCTTATACCATCCATATTTACTGAGCCCATGCTTAATGTATCAGACAGGGTCCTCAGCTCCGTGGACACAGTGATAAGCAAGTAACACATGGCTCCAGCTGCCATAGAGTTTTTACCCTAGTGAAGGGAAAGTAAACAAGTAAGTGACATATTTTGTTAAATTCTGTGTACTGTAAAGGAAATGAAACAGAGTTATGTAATAGAGAAGGACATTATGGAGTGAGGGTGGTGGCAGGGGGTTACTTTAAGTTTGATCCCAGACTTTCTTGATCAGAAAAAGTCGTGGCTGGGCATTCTGCACAAGTCTTTGCATCTGTGTGCTTATTCTTTCATTCATTTGTTCATTCATTCATTCTTTCATTCATTCCATAACCATAAATGCTTTGATCTATTTAGCTCATTGCCTGGCATTGTTAACATATACAGATTAGGCAGGCTTCCAAATTATTTTAGCCCTGAGGATATATTAATTCATTCAATTAAAGTAATTATTCAAGTACTGTGTTGACAATCCCACCTGCATACAGCCATTGGTATGGGGCAAAGGCTGGTAAAAGAACACAAGATGGTGTGATTCATTTAGGGTCTGACAAAGTGAACGGTGGCATTTTTATGAACTGGATCAGAATCTAACAAAATGCCCGGAATTGTTAAGCTCCTCACACTGTGATTTGGCCTATGGGCATGTCACTGGAACCAGTGGTCTCATCATTCTTTGCTATTCCTTCCCTCTATTTTTCTATATCATAACAATTCCAGTCTGATTTCTCTCTAACATACTTCCTGTGAAAACCTTTAAAACAAGGGCTTGGAGAGATACTAAGAAGAAAAGAGACTGTATTATAATTACAAAGTGAATTTTATTTATTTAAACTGATTATGTGACAGTTGCTACTCTGTAAGCAGCCCTCCAAAATTATTTTTGTCCTCTGAAAGAAGGTATTTCATGGCTAGAGAAGCTCCTAAAGACTCTTTAAGGTTTCCCTAGAGCCTATAAAAATTGAAATTTTTTGTTTTACTCCTGAGGAGGAACATTCCTTAGAGGCCCAGCAAGTCTTTATAGATGCAATCATAATTTGCAGCTATTTATTGCAAATGCACTGGGTGCTGAAGTTGGGCATTGCAGCAGATACTGTTGCTGTCCTGCCCATGGTCCTCCTGTCTATGCTCACCATGTCCATACAACCTGACATCCACTCAGGAGAAAGTGTGTTGCTCTATGAAGGCATTCTCTGGCTGCTGGAACCTGCTCTGCTGAAGATCAGGCAAGTCCAGAATGCCAAGGAATTGACATCCACTACATCCCAGCTGTCCTAGATCCACGAGTGATGGGATTGGTGGATAAGTACCCATCTCCTTTGCTCCTCAGACAAGCCAACTCCGAAGTGTATGTTCTATACCATTTCCCAAAGTTTCCCAGTGGGCTGTAGCCCTAGCTGTCCACAGTGGCAACTGCTTTGTCCTTCAAATATATTTGTTTGCATTATCCTCCAAATAAATTACTTGTGCTGAAATCTCTGCCTGAAGGTCAGCTTGTGGAAGAGCCAAACTAAGACAGGTACATTGCATACATTATCTCAGTTAATCTTTCCTACCTCTCCAAGGCGAAACATTGCACTCCCCGTTTTACAGATGAGAAAACTGGGATTCAGGAGGTTATTTTTTTCTCTCTCTCTCATTCCAAATATTCTCTGTCTCTCCTCTCTCTCTTATTCCAAATCTCCTTTTCTTTATATTTTATTGTGAAGAAAGTGGCCACAGTATATGGTCTCTTAGGAAGGTGCAGCCATGTGGTTAATGAATTTTGCAGCAGAAGAATAAATCAAATATTTATTGATTCAAATTGGTGTAGGCATGGTAAAAAAATGTGAAAAGTAGAACTTTGTTTATTCATTCCACAAATGTTTATTTTCTGCTACCAAGTGCCAGGTACTCTGTTTCTTCCTGAGTGTATAGTGGCAAGGGAGAGGAGGCCCTCTGAGAACAGCAGACTGCATTCTAATTTGTATGAAGTTCTTACTGAAATGAAAGTTTCTGTGATGTTAAGATTGTATGCTACTATTCAGTAAATGTCTAGAAAGGGCAATCTGATTTCCGAGCTTCTACCATGATGCCAGTTAGGTGGCTATATGTCAGAAAGCAGAGTCCAGGTTCTCTCTTTTTACTTTCTGGATAGACCTTTACTCTTTAGATGGCAAATTTTATGTTTTCCTCCCACTAGACTATAAATGTCTTTTGTAGATAATGAATATGTCTGCCGCTGCATTGAATTTGAATAAGGACTAATGGCCAGTATCAGAACATAATTAAATGCAGGATCCACATCAACTAACAAAATTAGATGCAGGACCCCTTTCAAAAGTACTTGTGCTGAGGAAGTACTGAACATGTCAAGAGGATACTTCCTCCATACTTCTATTCAATTAAAAAAAAAAAGAAAGAGAAAGAAGCTATTGATTTCAGTTAGTGGGAAGAAATTGGGTTTAGCCTTGATGGTGTCTTAACTACAAACGAAACCAATATCCTGGTGTTGTTCCTGTTCCATTCCTCATGCTCTGATGATTTCACAGTTGACTAGTGATTTGCACCTTGCTTCAAATTACTTAGGATGTATTATGGCATTATCTATGAAAACAGTTTGACTCAAGAAAAAAAACAGCTTGTAGACAAAGAGAGAAGCTCAGTGGCTGTGCAGTCACAGAGCAGAGAGGGCTTAAAAGGTTTGTCTGGACATGGAAGCACCATCTTTGTGTCAATAAGGTGAGTTTGTTCCACACACTTTGCCTTTTGTGTGCTTCTTTTATTTTTTCTATTATCCGTCTTCTGCTGTTCTTGCATCCTTTCTCCTCAGATAGATCTTCTGTATCAAAAGGCCATGCTCTAAGCCATCTTCCTTTCTCTTCCTCCTCCCTGTCAGCAATCTCAATCTCCATGCAAAGTATCACTCTGTCATGCAATAAGACATTGTCCCCACCTTGGGAACATTTTTGCTCTCTTAGAAGTATTAGAAGATGGAAAAATATTCAAGACCCAAAGGATGAACCCATAATAATGGAATTTCTGTTCACTTTGCAAGACCTCCAAGAATGGAAGGGGGGATATTTTTGAAACACATTTCTATATAGTTCCTATCATTTTCACTGAGATCACTAGAATATAGAAGATATTTAGGAGCTCATGTAGTGAACACTAAAGCCAATTGCTGACAACCACTGATTGACAGCTATGCATTCAACACTGACATACGTTCTGTGAGGAATTAAGAAATTAAAAAGAAGAAAAAGTAATACATGGTCCTGATCCTATAAGAGATTACTGCTGGCTAGGAAATGTATATAATATGCACAAAAACGATTGATGTTAAAATCTGTTGATTGGCATAGTCAGAGATGAGCAAAAGAAAGGAGGTGGGAAATGGGGATGATCTGAAATGAAAGGTAGAATTCATTTGCAGGAAGAAAAGAAGGTAGCACAGGTGAGGGCATGGAAACTGGAACAAACAGGGTACACATGGAATACTGGGATGTGGCTGAACTGAAAGTCCATGTTGGGGAGTTGTGAAATACAAGTGGGTAGTGAGATCAATGTCAAGCTACGGAGGGCCTGGGATCCACAAAGATGATGGAGCTTATGGGAAGCAGGGCCCCAGTGTGTCCTTAGGCAGGGTCATGCCTGGCAGTTGGGTACAAAAGGGGCTGGAAGCAGAGGAGGGGGAGAGAAATCCAAGTAAGGAGACCGACTGAGCAAGAATCCAGTCCACAAGAAAGGGGCCTTGGGCCTGGGCGATGCCAGTGGGAATGTAAGGAGCCATCCAAAGAGCATGTCCAGAAGACAACAGGATACATTCAAGATGGAGAACGCATCAGAAGGGATTAAGGGGGTTTATGCAAATGGCCCCAGACACCTCATCCCAATATTACTCCTAGCAGTAATGTACCAAGCACCGACTCCATACCAGGCCCTATTCTAAAGGTTTTCTTTTTTTAACTTATTTTACCCTCATAATGATATGAGGTCTCTTTATTTCCACTTTCTAGAGGCACAGGTAAGTTAAGCAATTTGCTCTAGGCCTCACCAAAAAATTAGTTGAAAACAACTTAGTTGTCAACTTGACAATTCTATAGTTTGCCCATATTTCTCAGAAGTAAGTCTATTTATCTTTCTGTACCATTTTTATTTTATTTTATTTTATTTTTTTGAGACAGAGTCTTGCTCTGTCACCCAGATTGGCGTATAATGGTGCAATCTCAGCTCACTGCAACCTCCGCCTGCCGGGTTCAAGCAATTCTCCTGCCTCAGTCTCCCAAGTAGCTGAGATTACAGGCATGTGCCACCACACCCAGCTAATTTTTTGTATTTTTAGTAGAGACGGGGTTTCACCATGTTAGCTAGGATGGTCTCGATCTCCTGACCCCATGATCTGCCTGCCTATGCCTCCTAAAGTGCTGGGATTATAGGCATGAGCCACTGCGCCCAGCCCTTTCTGTACAATTTTGAATAAACTTCCCTTCTTCTCAGCCTCTTGGATGTTTGTTTCACCTTGTCACTGTAAAACTGAAGCCTGGCTTTCCCCTGAGGTACCATCTCCTCCTAACCTTCAACAGGGGTTGGAGGGGGAAACTACTCCTTTGTATGTCATCTCCCTGCCACCTGCGGAGTACGGAGGAAGAGCCAGGGCATCCCTTGCACTTCCGGGCCACTTTCTTGTCCTGCAGAGATACCACCAATCCCATCTTGGCTTGTGTCCACAACCCTCATGGGCTCTCCCTTTCCACCCTCACTGCCTCCATCTGTGGTGGTCCAGGGCTGTTTCTCAGTGGCAGGACACTGGCCACCTTCTTGCCTATTCTTCTCTGCCATTGTTTCTGGGGATATTACATCCTGATGTAGCAGTTCCTGTATTCTTCTGCCTCTATTTCAGCCGCCATCCCAGACCTTGCCTTACCTACAGCTTCTGCATCACTGTGATTCTGAACATAGAACTCCTCTCTGCCACCTTTGATCTCTTGTCCTCCCTCACTTCCTTCTTTGCCTTCTCTCAGTCCTTGGCTTTGCTGATGCTCTGTTCCCTGGCATGCTTCCTGGTCTCCCAACTCATCTCTATTCTTGGGCTTATAAAAAGTTTTTTCCGCCTCCTTCATCCATCTTGGATCCTATGGTTGATTATATCAACAATGGTCTTGTATGTGCCCCTTTCTCCTCTTTGTTTTTTGTCCTTTCCCTTCTTTATTAGTCACTTAGTTCTCATCCTTGGGGAAATACTGCTACTCATATTTTCCAATTCTCTTCCAAAACTATCAACATAGGGATGACAGGCCAGCTGTATTTTCCCATCACACATGCTCTCCTTCCACACTTGAACTTCTGTTGCTTCTCAGCTGGGCCCTTACCACTTATCAGTACTCCTAGGGATCATCTCTAATCACTTGCCTACTACATCCTTCCCTGCATTCAATCCCAGTGTTCCCTGCTCCACTCAAGGAATGGCAGTTCAGGAAAGAGTACTCATTATACCACCCATTGTGCGAAGCATTTGATATGATTGCATATATTCAAACCTCAACCTGGTGTAGGTAGTGTTATTCTCATTTTTTTCATATGATAACTCTGGGACTGAGACAGTAACTTACACAGAACTCAAAAAAAACTTTATGTTTCATGTCTGTTTGATTCCCACACCTGTGGGTTTTCAGGTCGTAATAAAGCCTCCACTGCTGACCTGACCTTCTGCCAAGTTTACTCTGTAGATTACTTAGTTTCTTTCTTAAATGAGATAAATGAACCTGTAACATGGGACTTTCCAGTTCCTTCTTCTTTTCCACCACATTTTTTTTGTATCTTCATCCATTTCCTTCTCCTTCTTTTCTGTCTAAAAGAAGGAATTATCCCCTAATCTTCCTTACAGTCAGCTCCTCTGCCTTTGTTATGGATTCCAACTCTTCTACCTCTTTCTCCAGATTGATGATCTGTCAGTTATCCTCCTCTTTCTGATCACTTTTCATTCCCCCTTCCAAACTAAATATTTTTCTTTCACAGCAAACAAATCTGTCCTCTTACTTAAAAACAAACAAGCAAAAAACTACTTTTCTTGACTTTAAGATCCTGAACAAGCTTATCTTCTACCTTTCCTAAAACTCCTTGAATAAAGAGACTACATTTACTGTTTTTACCATCTCCCCGCAATGATCCCAAATCATTTTCAATGTGGCATCTTCCTCTTTCCTGATCCCAAACCATTTCCTTAAAGTATATACCAACAACCACATAGGAACAGAGCCAACTTCTGTATTCTGGGTGCTCATTTTTCTTAAGTTTTCTGTAGCTTTGAGTGCTTCAACACTATCTCTTCTTTTTTGAAAAAGGCTTTCTCTTGACTTTTCTATGTTTTCTTGGTTCTTTTTTCACCTATTGGCCCACATCTTTCCCAGGTGCTCTTTCCTAGCTAATCTTCTTCCTTTATTTCCATTTTGTCTCTCTTTACTCTTTCCTTTAAGTAATGTGTCTTACTTAACTGCAGGCTTAGAAGACTATACCCTTCTCTAACTTTGACTTTTCAAGTGAATTCAGTTTGGACATCTCCTTCATTTGTTTCACTGGCCTCAGATTTACTTTGTCTAATACTAAATCTATCATCTTATTTTTCTTTCCCTTCCTGTTTTTTTTCTATTAATAACACCATTATTCAAGCCTTAAATCCCGTTGCTCATAACTATTTCTTTCACCTTGTTCCCACATGTAATTTGTTGTCAATTATTTTCCAGCCTTTTTTCTCTCCACATCTGTTGAATATTTCCCACCTTTTCCCCTCTTGCTATCATCCAAGTTTATTCTATTTCCTATCATTTCAGTACTTGTTTTATTAACTAGTTTCTTACCTTATGTTCCAATGTTCTTTCCCATAACTAAACTTGGTGCAGTAAAATCCATGCCTTATGCTTTTCGGGCCCTGTACCTATGCTCACAGTACCTCTACAGAATCTTGTTTTCTATTTCTTATTTAAATCCCATTATTCTAGGGAGTTTGCCATAAATACATTTCTTCCAGGAAATTTTTCTGGTCTTCTGTTCTCTGCTTTTTATCCCTAATCTGGTAAGAATCTTTCTTGCCCCTAAACTCCTAAAACATCTTTTTCTCATACTTCTAGTTTATTGTCTTAATCCTAATAGAAAACAATAGCAAGAATGAACTTTTGAGCCCCTCCACCCAAATTGACTCATCTTTATCACTTACTAGCTGTGTGGCCTTAAACTAGTTATTTCACATCTCTGAGCTTCATATTACTCATCCAAGTAACTAAAATAATAAGGCCTGGCCTTCAGGTATATTGGGAAGATTAGAAACAATATATGGCATGGTCCTTAACAGTGTGTTTGGCCCAGAACCACCATTCAATAGATGTTGAGTGAAACACTTTCTCTAGGTAGAGTATGGGGTGCTGAAGAGTATGTACAGACTAGGGTATAGAGTAGGCATTCAAAAATATTTGCACAGTGAAAGGGCTGGGATTATAAGAGGCAAACATCTACCATCAATCCTCTGTCAGTTTTAAAATCTGTCCACCAGATATCAGAGAAGAATAAAATTAGACTGGGTGAATGTCTGACCCATTTATCATCTATCAGGGAGTAACTTTTGCCTGAAGACATCCCCCCAGGACAATAGAAACCAGCATTCTAACATTGAATTTCAACTGTTTGTAGTGAGGACAGCCATCCCTGGTCCCATTTTCTGAGCTGAGTATTAAATTTACTGTTTCCTAAGCTTGAAGGAATTCTACACTTGCATGCATTTTAAAAAATAATAGCTATTGGTTGTGCTACAGTGACTTTGCCAATTCCCTTAGTTTCCAACTCTGCTAATATCCATCCTGCTCTTAACAGCTTCCTGACTTGTTTCCTTTCTCTAGTCCCAGTTTGCTTTTCTCTTCACAAGTGATATCCACGTGGGTTTACTAATCAGATTTGCATGTTTTTCAATAGCACACTCCTCAAAGTGTCCGTTTTCTATCAGCTAAAAGAAGCAAAATTAAGATCTTTTGTTTTCCAACATAGAAGTGTGTCTGCATGTTCCAGAGTGTGGTTTTGGAGTTCAGACTGCCTAGATTTGAATCCTGGCTCAAGCCCCTGTTAGCTCTGTGAGTCTAGGCAAACTCATGCCATTGCGGACCTCAGTTTGTTTCTCCATAAAATAGGAACGAGAATTAATTATGTCTAATCTGAAATAGTATCATTGGGAGAACCTAAATGAAATAAGGCAATTGAAAACTCTTAAGATAGTGCATATCTCATTGTAAGAGCTCGATATACATTAGCTGTTAATAACAACATTTTATCATAAATCATTTATAACTAGCAACTTCATGGTTGATTTATGCTTTAGCTTTCCAAATTGTATTTCTATTTATTCATTCTACGTTTGTGGATGTTTATTTTTTTGTTGGTTTGTTTTTATTATCCCTTAGGATGAAATTTCACTTAATGAGCGAGGCTTCATGTTGTCCCAACTACCCACCTTGCACAGCGTTGACATCTGAGCGGGGATAGTGTGAGCAAAAGATAATGGACTAGAAAGCATCTCACACTCTACAGTGGAGATCTTCTCTCAACCTCTAATTTGGTGGTTCTCATCTTTCTTTGCTTTTTCCTGCTTCAGAATGCCTAATGTACTCCCATCAATATCAGTAGCTGGCTGATTTTCATGAAGTACAGATTAAAAATGAGCAATCGGAAAACTGACTCAGTTCCAGGGTGCCTGCCAGCATACACAGTAACTTCATACAAATCAGAGAAAAACCACCCTTTGGGAACAGAGGCAACCCCATAGGTGCGTGGCTTGACAGTTTAATTGCTTTTGTGCAAGAGAAAGTAGTTCGTTCTTAGGGGTCAGAGTGGGGAGGTTGTCACCCTTGAACTTGAACACAGACCTTGGCAGCTGACCCTGGCTGGATGTCAGCCCTATCCACTCCTTGACTTAGCACAACCTGCATGGAGGCCTTGTCCTGTAGGCATATGTCTCCCCACAGCAGGTAGGAATCACCGTTGTACTCGGAGGCAGGATCGCTTCCCCCTCGCCCCTACGGTCAGCTCTCTGTACCTGGGGGATCCGCATCTGCAGATTCAACAGTTGCTGATTGAAAATATTCAGAAAAAAAAAATAAATAACAATACAGCAATTAAAAAATAGTGCAAATAAAGAATATAGTATAGCAACTATTAACATCACATTTACATTTTATTAGGTATTATAAGTAATCTAGGGCCTATTTTAAATGTTTAAGAGGATGTGCATAGGTTGTATGCAAATACTATTCCATTTTTTATCAGAGACTTGAGCATCTGTGGTTTCAGTGTCTGTGGGAGGTCCTGGAACCAATTCCCTTAGGATACCAAGGTAGGACTGTATAGTAACATCTGCTCTGCACCTCACCATCCCACCACTACAAGGTACCTCTTTGTTGCTTTTCCTGGATGATGAATCTGCAAGAAAGTTTGAAAGCCATGCTGATGAAAGTTTTTCTGCTGGCATTAAAGATGTGGCAAGCTTTCTGTTAGGTAGGAATGAAAGGTGGGGACAAATTCTTTTCCTTGGCAACTGCATGAGAGTATCCAGGAAAATCACATTCAGATGGGAGATCATTTAATGCAGCCTATGGAGGGTGAAAACAGAACTACATTTGTCAGCATTTACAGCCATCATTGTGTTCCCTCAGCAAACCTCCCCATGCTGCAGCAGCCACACCCCGCAGTCATCCATCATGCTGGCTGAAGAGCCCTGGCCGCCTGCCACACACGTGCCAAGGGGAAGCCCCATGCCCCGTTAGTGTCAGCATGTGCTGTGACTTGTAACAAAGACAGGAATGAGTCCTCGTCCAGATAGCCATGTAATCCTCAGAGAAGAGTGCACTGTGGCTGCTGCAGGCTTGCCCAGAAAGTCTCCTACCATCTGAAGGGTAATTCTGATGGCAGAAAACATTCAATCCCACTATTCTTAGCCTGACTTTCTACTTCTAGCTTTTTCAGGCTCATCAAACCCTCTAAAATCATTTGAGGAGAAGAAAATGTTCTTCGTTGCGTTCTATAAGGGAAATATATTGCAAAAAAAGGAACCATAGGCGAACAAAGAAAGGGAGGAGATGGGGCCACCCCTATTCTTCCATTAAATTTATGTCACTCAGCCTTGAGAGTCAAGCAAAATGTTTGAGGCCAAATACATCTTTTATTAAGTTGTAATACAAAGATAAGTTATCTAGATTTTTGACTGATTTGGCACTTCACAATGTTATACTTTTTCGAATCCCAAATTCTAGCAACTATAAGATGCCACTGTAATTTTGTATACCTTTAGAATACATTAAATATGATACAATGCCTTATTACCCCTTAAAATTTGTATTTTATATTTATCAAAAGAGCACTTTTAGATTCACTTTAGACACAGGCTTTTGTGACATATCACTCTTTCGCACACAGAAAAGGAAAATGAAAGTGAAATAAGGAGAATGAGGTATTCCTTAGCCTTCATAAAGTTGGAATCTTCTGAATCACTGTGCTGCTCAAAGTCACTGATAGTCAAGTTTTCTTTTGGCATAGGATTTGCCTCTGTGACATCAGAAAGTATTGATGATGTGGCCTCTCCTGAAAACAAAACAAAACAAACATACAGGCTTGGTTTTCCAATTTTAAAACTATATTGTTGTTTTGCCCCCCCCCGGTAAGTCTGTCAACTGAGCACAGTGTAGTTTTTACATCCTTACTTTGGTGTTTCCCTGAGCTGGTAGAGTTGTATTTGAGACAAAATAACTATTCATTCAATTGGATTGCTGCATTCTACTTCAGTAACAGAGAAGAAAAACCAGCAAGATATCCCTGTAAAGCATTGCTATGGTTTTGGAATCCTGCAGATAAAATGGAATGTCTTCAGGTGTTTGAAAATCTGGGTCATATGTCTCTACTTGGGAACTTGAAAAATGTTTGATAAATGTGTTTGATTTCAAGATGATGGTGTTTCTTTTGGTTTGTCAGAAACTGGCTCTGATACATATTTGTAAGAAAGAGGAAAAATCTCGAATTACTCATTAGACTATCAACAATATGCCCATTCTTTGAAGTCTGACTGAAATCCTTTCTTCTCTATGGCATCTTCTAGATTTCCGCTTGGACTGATCTCCACTGTATCTGAATTTCTATAGTGTTTTTGCTCCCCTTTTCCATTCCTTTTCTCTATTTTTAGTTTTTTTTTTTTTTTTTTTGAGACAGGGCCTCACTCTGTCACCCGTGCCGGACTACAGTGGCGTAATCACAGCAAACTGCAGCCTTGAATTTCTGGGCTCAAGTGATCCTCCTGCCTCAGCCTCCCAAGTAGCTGGGACTACAGGCACGCACCACCATAGCAGGCAAACTTCTTTTGTATACATAGGACATCACTATATTGCCCAGGTTGGCCTTGAACTCCTGGCCTCAAGTGATCCTTCTACACATATTTTACAGCTGTGAACCTCCATGCCCAGCCTGGTGTATTATTTTTTAAATCAGACTTTTAAATCAGATTTTTAATGAGGTTTTTTTTCATCAGATTCTGTCTTTGGATACCTGTTATATTATTTTTAAAATTTGACGGGTATGTGCGAGTTTTAAAATTTGAGACAAAAAGTTGGATAAAAGACATCTGAGAGGCAATCCCTCTCAGTTGGACAGGGAGAAAGGAGGGAGAGAGGAGGGGAGTAAACCCAATGAAGGGTACATTAACAAATGGGTTATTGCTGTGGCAACAAGGGTTCATTTTTGTTGGAGACTGTGGTAGCCTGAACTATGGCCTCAAAAAGAGGTCCGCGTCCTAGTTCACAGAACCTATGAATATGTTTCCTTGCATGGCAAAAGAGACTTTACAGATATTGATGAAGTTCAGGATATTGGGATGGGAGGATTCTGGATGATCCACATGGGCCCAATGTGATCGCAATGGTCCTTATATGAGGAAGGCAGGAGGGTCAGAGTCAGAGAAGACAATGCACCGTAACAGCAGAAGCAGAGGGAGGGAAGGAGATGTGATAGTGGAATCAGATGTTGCAGTGACGTGAGGAAAAAGCCATGAGCCAAGGAATGCATGTGGCCTCTGAAAGCTGGAGAACACAAGGGCATGGATTTGCTCCAGTGCCTCCAGCAGGAATGCAATCCTGCCCAAGCCATGATTTTTGCTCAGTAAAATTCATTTCAGAATATTGGCCTGCAGAACTGTAAGGTAATGCATTTGTGTTGTTCTAAGTCACTGAGTTTATAGGGGGGTTGTTACAGCAGCAGTAGGAAACCAATAGAAGGGTTCATTTTTCTGAGAAACCATATGGACCAGGCTTCATAGCTGTGCCAGTGAGGTTCGAGGAGGCTGAGGTATTTGCCCATCAATTCTCATCACTTACTGGATAAGGATTATTCCCAGAGGTGGCAGCTTTCTATCGGTTCTGGCTTGTTCAAGCTGTGCACCCTCCTGTCCCCTCTAGGGGCCAGAGAAAGTCTTTAGAAAGACAGGTCTATATAAAATAAGATGCCATAGGCTTGTCTACAACTTGTCTACTGATGATGCATGTGACATGTGGGATGGATCAAGGGAAGATGGGTGCACTGGAATTACCTGCCACCATGTGTAAGTACGTGTATGCATGGTTGCGTGCATGACTGTGTGTGTGTGTCTGTGTGTGTGTGTGTGTGTGTTTCTTCCTCCCCCTTTATTAAGTTTTTTTGAGCCTAGACGTTCTCTCCCATTGACCAGAGCCCCAAGCACAGCACCCAAATCTGGGAAAAACACTTCTTGAATGATTGGGTGGCAGAATGTGACAGCCTGTGAATGTCACAGTAAATAAGGGAGTTGGCTATTTTACAGTGATGTCTTCTCTAATTCTTAAATTAAGACTGTGCAGAGAAGGAAGAATTGCTATTCCTTGGAAAGATTCAAGAGACTCTGGAGATGCTATGTAGTTTGGTTGCAAGGTGGCTGTCAATCACAAATGCAAGTTGTCACCAGGCAAAATGGCCCTGTCCTGCTGCGTGACCAATCTGCAATCTAAGACTGGCTCATCAAGGTTAGCAGATAAATCAACACAAAAAGAGATGAACATTGCAGGCAGTGCTGATGTCAAACAGAGATTTCATGCATCTGGCAGAAAATTGAGCATATTGGTAAAGCACTAAAGACTTCCTTCATGAAAGTTCTTTGCTCCCTGGTCCTGAAAGGAAAATTAGATTAATGCTCACAAATCCTTCTTGACATCTGAAGGATGGCCTTCTCTTGACAAGGCTCTAGACAGGAAAATGTGAGGAACACCAGCATGGCCTTCCCTTTGCTAGGTATCTAATCTAACCTAGCTTTCTGGAGGCACTTGTTAAGTACTAGATTCTCGCTCTCTTTTTTTTTTTTTTTTTTTTTTTTTGAGACGGAGTCTCGCTCTGTCGCCCAGGCTGGAGTGCAGTGGCGGGATCTCGGCTCACTGCAAGCTCCGCCTCCCGGGTTCACGCCATTCTCCTGCCTCAGCCTCCCAAGTAGCTGGGACTACAGGCGCCCGCCACTACGCCCGGCTAATTTTTTGTATTTTTAGTAGAGACGGGGTTTCACCGTTTTTAGCCAGGATGGTCTCGATCTCCTGACCTCGTGATCCGCCCGCCTCGGCCTCCCAAAGTGCTGGGATTACAGGCGTGAGCCACCGCGCCCGGCCTAGATTCTCTCTCTTAACCCTTGGCATTATTATTATTTTTAGCAGTTAGCTTCAGCAAGTGAAGCACTGCTGATTGGAGATGTGTTTTGTATTCTGACTGTACTTGCAAGCTCTACCAAGTACATTAGCCTTCAAAACATATTTACGATAAAGGCTGAGTGCCTGTTCCTTAAGAGAAACCTGCAGAATGGTCTTTATTTTTCACACCAGCTGCTTCTTCAGATTTGAACATGCCAGACAAATGTTTGATGCTCTTGAATGGTGTTTGAGTAAATTAATTGACACCCACCGACTGTCAAAATGTATGTATTATGTATGTAAATATAAAAACACCTATATGCATGAATATGCAGAGATATGTTTTAAGGGTCATTTTGTGGCTAAAATATTTGAAAATAATAATATAAGTAAAGTATGATATGAAAATTAATCTTGTAGAAAAGTCAGCAGAACCTAATGGAGATTTTAGTGTAGAGAAGAATGTGATTAAGCCACAGTAGATCCAGAATTTTGCTAATGATATAAAGTCCTTATTGTTACCAGCCTCAAGGAAATCCCTGTCTAGTGCATATTCATGGAGAGTGAACGATGAGCTTGTGAAACATGTGAGATGCAAGTACAGAAATGTTGGCCCAACTCTATTAAAAACCAATGTGTCTCATAATTAAGACTCTAAACACCCCCCCTTAAAACTGGCCAAATGTTGGAATGAGCTGGTGCCCGCCGCTTCTTAACTCTTCGCTCCAGTTTTGGGGTCTGTGCCTCATAACCATAGTCACTTTTAACCAATTCTGGTTGCCTCCCTGACAGAACCTGGGATTCTGTGCCATTTCTATGTGTGCCCCTATTTTAGGAACTAGGTCTAAAGTAATTAACAGTTTAGAAGTGATAATCTAGTGAATTAGCTTTTGTGAGGGTTGTTTTATAATAGCACAATTCCCTTGTTCACTGCCTACTCCTCCTCTGCCCCCCTTCTCCACTGCCTTCTCTTCCCTGTCCTGCCCTGTGGATGGCTGCCTGAGTTCTTGCTGGCTAGCCTCTGGTTGGGTTTGTGTCATAGGGGTGGGAAGGAGTCAGGTTACCAGGAGGATGGGACATTGGGAGAAAGTGATTCGTGTATTTCTTACTTGTCTCCAACTCCCCATTTCCCAATCCTTCATTTCCCCATGCCACTCCCTTTTTTCCCCACCTGGCTATCCTTCCCACCCCTGCGTTGATACCATCTTTTTGGAATGACGTTGTCCCTCCATGACTGTGGTTAGCTGGGAAGCCTGTACTTCCCAGCTCCTGCTCTCTCTTGTTGGGCTATGGTTACATTATTCCCCCACACTTCCACCTCTGAGTGTCTCCATGTATCTTGCCTGTATTTTAACCATGCCTGTGTCTTCGTAAGTGGTCCCTTTATCAAATTTCTGCATTTAAAACATCTATGGAAATCCTATTTCCTACCTAGACCCTGATGGTTACACTTTACTTTCTCTAACCATAGCATTCTTCAAACATGAAGGACCACACGTATTTAATATTTAATCATACCATGCTTAAGTTGATACATTGGAATGCCATAGTTCTCATTTCGCTAGCATGCTATTCAAAACTTTATTTGTGAGAGAAACAAAAATAGAAGATGCCATGTAAGATAACATTATGGTCTGGGTTTATCTGCACATGTCAGTACATACCTGCAGAGATAGGATCTTTGTCTATGGAAGCAAACCAGGAAGGTATCTGAATGCCTTGGTTCAGTACCCATCACTCTGGAAATGACTGAATGACTGATGTGCTTTCTAAACATGAGGCAGAGGCTGGCCAAATTTCCTTTCAATCTGGGTGATGAAAGCTAAGATGAGGTAAATGTTGTCACATTGTGTTTACATTCTACTATATAGTATATATGGTATGTATATTTCTATGTATATGATATATATGTTTACCTACACATGTACACAATAGAGAGAGATAATCTCAAATATGAATGGTACTGCTTAAACGCAGTGTTAACTAAAAGAACTGCATTACATAAATAAATATTATGGTTATAAAAGAAAAGAAAAGCCAGAGAGCCTACTCTCATGCTTTCGTTGTATAGCTAAAGTCATAGAAAATAAACATTAAAAAAAAAAAACTAATATTTACAAGACAGCATACAAATGTCTGTAGTTTAATTTGGGTATAAACAAGCTACACAGGTGCTGAAGGAATTGCCTGCAGTTAAGAGAGAAGGTGACTATGCAGAAATAAATTCTAAGACAGGGCTGGCTTCTGCCCTTATGGAAAGGTAAATTAGCCCACTGATACATAATATTAGTGGCCACCAAACCATTGTGACATCTTGAATTTCTTCTTTTTTTTTCTTTTTCTACGGAAGTCTTTACGGGATTGTTAGAACAGCATTGGGGGGTTTGTGAATCATTATTTATTTTGGAGGTATGGAGGGAGGTAGCAAGGAATGAATTGTCATACCCACACATGCCTATCCAGGCTCGGATTTCCTCCTTTACTTCAGGCCATACAGATGATTCCACTGTCCTCTTCTCTGTTCTCTTGAAACTGCCACTGCCTGTTCCATCCCAGGCTTTCTCTCTTAAACCTGGCTGAAGTAAAAGCCAAGATTTCGTTTATTTCCTTCTTACTCTTAAAGAACAAACTCACAGTTACTTTAAGTTTTCAAGGTTTTTTACTAATAAGTATGGTATAATAAAGATTTGACAGATACCACACCAAAGAAGATATACAGATGGCAAGTAAGCATGTGAAAAAATGCCCGACATCATATGTCATAAGGTAAATACAAATTAAAACAACAGAAAGATACCCTTACACACCTATTAGAATGGCCAAAATCCAAAACACGGACAATACCAATTGTCGATGAGGATGTGCAGAAACAGAAACTCTCCTTCATTGCTGGTCTTGGCATAGGGATTGTAAAGCTTAAGAAAATACATTGAAGTCCTTGATCTACTGTCTCTAACCCTTCAAAGGGGGTAAACTCTTTTGTGCGAATACCAAGGTGTGAGATTGCTGGGTAGTGTGATAAAAGTATATTGAGTTTTGTAAGAAACTGACAAACTGTCTTCTAAAGGGCTGTAACATTTTGTATCCCCACCGGCAATGAATGAGAGTCCCTGTTGTTCCACATTCTTACCAGCATTCGGTATTGTCAGTGTTTTGGATCTTGGCCATTCTAATAGATGTGTAATGGTATCTCTTTGTTGTTTTAATTTGCATTTCTCTTATGACATATGATGTTGAGCATCTTTACATATGCCTATTTGCCATCTGTGTATCTTCTTTGGTGGGGTGTTTGTTGAAGTCTTTTGCCAATTTTTAATTGGGTTGTTCATTTATTTATTAGTGAGTTTTAAGAGTTTCTTGTATATTTAGGATAAAAATCCTTTATCAAGTATGTCTTTTGCAAATATTTTCACTCTATCTGTGGCTTGCCTTCTCATTCTATTGATGTTGTCTTTCACAGAGCAGATGTTTTTTAATTTTAATGAAATTTAGCTTATTTTTTTCATAAAGCATGTATTTGGTGTCATATCTAAAATGTCACCAGTATATCCAAAGTTGCCTAGGTTTTATCCTGTTATCCCCTAGGAGTTTTATAGTTCCTTGTTTTAAATTTAGGACTATTATTAACTTTGAATTATTTTTTGTGAAGTGTGTAAAATCTGTGTCACGATCCATTTCTTGCATGTGATTGTCCAGTTGTTCCAGCCCAGTTTGTTGAAAAGACTTGCTTCATTGTAGTGTCTTTGCTTCTTTGTTAAAGATTAGTTGACTATATTTACGAGGGTCTATTTATGGACTCTGTATTGTTTTCCATTGATCTATTTCTCCATCCTTTTGCCAATACCACACTGTCTTGATTACTGAAGCTTTATGGTAAGTCTTGAAGTCAGGTAATATCAGTCCTCTGACTGTTTTCCAATATTGTGTTGGCTATTCTGGGGCTTTTATCTCTCCACATAAACTTTAGAATCAGTTTGTTTATATCCACAAAATAACTTGCTGGAATCTGGGTTGGGATTGCATTGAAAATATAGATTCTTCTTTCCAACTGAAAAGTTGGGAAGAACTGACATCTTGACAATATTGAGTATTTCTATCCATGCACATAGACTATCTCTTCATTTATTTAGTTCTCCTTTGATTTTTTTTTTATCAGTTTTGGAGTTGTCCTCATATAGATCTTTTACATATTTTGTTAGATTTACACCTAAGTATTTCATTTTCAGGTAGCTAATATAGACGGTATTTTGTTTTTAATTTCAAAATCTACTAGTTTATTGTTGGTACATAGGAGAATGTTTGACTTTTGTATATTAACCTTCTATCTTGCAATCTTGCTATAATTGCTTATTTTCTCCAGGATTTTTGGGTCAAACCTGGATTTCCTACATAGACAATCATGTCATCTATGGATAAAGACAATTTTACTTCTTTCTTTCCCATCATTATGCCTTTTATTTTATTTTATTTTATTTTATTTTATTTTATTTTATTTTTCTTGTCTTGCTGCTTTATCTAGGACCTCCATTGTGATGCTGTTAAGTTCCTGGTCTGATAATTTCAATATTCCTTCCATATCTGATTCTGATGCTTGATCTGTCTCTTCAAACTTTTGCTTTTTTCTTTTAGTAAGTCTTGTAAGTTTTTCTTGACAGCCAAACATAATGTACTACGTAGAAGAAAAAAAAGAACGACAATAAATAAGCCTTTAGTCATGTGGTGGTTAGATGTCAGGGGAGGGGAAGTATTATATAGTTATGTGATTAGATCTCAGTCTCTTGGCAACCCTGTACCTCTGAACTGTGAACATCTCAAGTGTTTCTTAGGTCCTCCACCTCTTTTAGGTGGGGCAAGAGGGCTAGAGTAAACTGGAATTAGGCATTTCCTTTCTTCTATCTGGAAGGCTAGAGTGGGCTAGAGTTGAGTATTTCCCTTTCCCCAGGTTGGTTAGGATCTGATAGAACCCCAATAGTTTAGGCTCAGGTGAAATATTTTCTCTTGAAGGCAGGCCTTATTATGACACACAGAATGCTGTGGCATGTTTCAAGATGTTTCTTCTTTTTTCCCTTCCCACTTCTGGAAGCATGAGGGGATTTTTCTCTAATATTCATTGTGAGAACCTGGTCCAGCTCCTGGAGGTAAAAACTCACAAAAGCATGATAGCCCTGGATGAATGGATCCCCTTGGAGTTTCCATCATTCAGACTGGTCCACATGGAGCCTCTAGTAATCCGTCAGTTAGAGTTTAGGCTTTTCTACTCCAGTACTCGTTCCTGCGGAGGCTTCTGCTAAGGGATTTCTGCTCAGATAAGTTGTGATTCTCTGTACCCACCTGTCTGTCTCTCCAGTTTTGGGGACAGCAGTTTGCTCTGTGACCTCACTTCTTCGAAGGATCTAAAGAAAGTTGTTGCTTTCTTTTAGTTGGTTTAGCTGTTCACGTGTTGGCACATGTGTTAGGACAGAGTGACATCTTCCAAACTCCTTGCATGTTGAACCGCCTATATATTGTTATTCTCACTATCTAGGATGTCTAGGAAAGTAAGAAAAAGATCATGTGCTGGCTCTCATTTTGTCATCCTCCTGACTCTTCATTTTCTTTGAGCCTAGGGACAAAAATGAAGGCCTGTTACTTTGTAAGAAGAAAAATGTCACATGTTCATAAGTGAAATACTGAGCAAACATCGACTCGATTTTTCCCTGAGGAATTGCTTCAATCTACACAAAAGCTCCACCTTCCCAAAGAGGTCCATCAAAGTAAATCTCTAACATTTGTGTTTAAATGGATAGTTATTTCTACTATGAGCACATCCTGAACTTCTTTTCCTGCCCCAGCAGGTTTTCCTGGCACATTACAACTCCAGGCTATCTTGTATCTGCTTACTACAGCTCAAGCAGGAGAACAGATTGATTTTTGATGAGAAATATGCCTTTTCTGGGGTTTCCTTATTCTACCACAAACTTGGTCCAGAGCTCATTGTTTGTGAAATACTGTCATTCATTATTAAGACGAACAATGATGCCTGCTGTGGGAAATGTGCATTTTAAAATGCAGTTTTCCTCCTTTAAAATTCTGTGGCTTATTTGGTCTCTTCATTCTCCTGTCATTCGTCAAACACTTGCTATACCCCAAGTGCCTTGCTGTGGTTAAGAGGAATGAGCCAGGTTCTGTCTGTTTGAGGGAAATGGTACATGCATCACTTCCAATTACATTTCTCTAGGCATTTTCAGGAGCAGTAACTTATGTATGGGTAAAACTTAGAAATCCAAAACCAGCCAAGGGGATGTTTTAGGTAGAATAGTAAAAGATCTTGTATGCAATTATTGCATGAATCGCAGTCGATTACTCAGGTCATTCTAAATTCATTTTAGATGATTTAAAGAAACGTATCCATATTACTAGGATGTGGTGAAATCCACTGTATAGCAATTTGGGGAGTTTAAGAAGTTTCCTTTGGGAGTTGATATTATAGACAATGACATGTATTTTATAATTTCTTCAGAGGTTTGGCTATAAACAAGACAGTTTTGTTGAAATCTGTTCATCTACTATCAGTTCCTCTTCCTCAGGAAGAGAATCTGAAAAAAAAAGGTAGGTAATGTCAAGTTCCAGGGGCAGAGAGGGGATAGTGAATCCATACTTGATCTTAAAAATTGAGCCCACCTATACTTCCAGTCATCACTCTGTGGCACATTGAAGAGCATGGAGCCCCCACCTGGTTTTCCAGGCCTACTGTGCACAACAGCATTCCTGTACCTTTAGGCTTTCTTATATCTTTCAGCTTTCTCTCCTTACTAAGCAAATAAGATACATTTAGGGAAGGAGGGCTAACAAGAAGACCTGTAGGGGAGCAAAATGCTTGTGACTTGTGCAGTTTAGTCTTCACAACAAGAGAGAGTAGACTTATCCCCTCTTATATGTTACCGGTGAAGACATTGAGGAATAGAGACCTGTTTTGCTCACTCAGATTGTACTTTTCAGGGGAAGGATTCAATGCCTGGTAGGTCTGACTCTAAAGCCAGGGTTTCTCTTGAACCAGATCTCAGCTCTCTTTGAATTCATCAAATTGGTATGAAGGATTTATTATGCAGAGAATATTTTTACCTTGGACAGATAGTCAGTAATTGAAGCCAGATTCCAAAGGTGGCAAAGACCTAGATAGGAATGAAAACCATCTTCAAGTGTTGTATATCCTCAGAGGGATTTCTGAAACATTGTGTGTTCACCAGCAGCATTAGTTCTCACTCAATGTATCAGTCATATTTTTCCGCATTACAAACAACCTCTAAAACCAAGTAGCTGACAGCAAATAGCATGTATTGTCTTATTTACAAGACTGCGGGTTGGCTGTGGTTTAACTGATCAAGACTGGGCTTGGCCTAACCAAGCTGGACTCTTGGCTTCTGCTGGGCACAGGTCTTTTCCTTCTTTTTCATTTCAGGTACCTGTCTGAAAGGGCAGTAGTTATCTCGGACATTCTCTTTCCATACCAGCAAACACTTTAAAACTTCACATCTGCTCACATACCACTGACTAAAGCAAGTCAGATGGCCAAAGTCAACATTGATGGGGCAGGGAAATATGTTCCACCCAGGGTGGCAGGCTCTGCAAATTCAGATGGCAAAGATAAGCGAAGAATTGGGAACACTTATCTAATCCAGCACTCTCAGAAAGTGATCTAAAAAAGGTGTCACAAGAGTCTAATGGTGTTACTGCTCATGTCAGACTTGAAGCTATGTCCTCTGACTCAACACTGGAATTTTAGGAATGCCTCACTTGATATCTTTTGGAATGTCTTTGAAAATGAGTTTTAGGATGATGTCCTCCAGCAGATTTTAATTATATCATATAATGTACTTTTAATCACAAAATTGTATCCAATTATGTATTATTTTTAATCATAATCTTAGTCCTTCAAATTCTTTTCATCTCTGTCTCAATCAGCAATAGTGTGGCTGCCATTGTATACCCTATCTAAACCATAGAATAGAAGTCTTGCCCACTGGACCACCCTTTTTTAGGCAGATTCCACGTGCTACCAGCGGATGAAGTCAGACAGAACTCAGAATAGAGTGTCATGGCCAAGGTCTGTCTTAAGATTCAAACATGAAAAGGAAAGATTCTCCATGCCAAATGTTCACCTCAGGGGAGCTGAACACTGAGAAGTTTTACAGAGGAATTCCTAGAATTTTGAGGGCAGTTTACAAACTCAGGCCTTCAGGGGGCTTGACTATCACTGAAGAGCAAAAGCCAATAGTCAGGGGATTTGAGGGCTATCTTTCTTTCTTCTACACTAAGATAATAAGGGTGAATGCTGCTGAGACGGTGATGACGTGTTCAGCATGCCTGCCTCTGGAGAATCATGCACCTGTCTGTGCCTGTGAGAGCATAAAAGCTCCATGAGACACAAGTGGTTTACATCCTGGGAGTCAGTAACAAAGCTAAGAGACCCTGTCTGGTGCTGTGTCCCTGAAAGGGGTCCTTCAGTCTGTCCTAGTCTAGGGATCCTAGGACACAGGCCTTTGTCAAAACCCCAAGCCAAGGGGACCTAGCTGTCATTCTCCTAGGTCGTGTTTTTAAGTTGATCAAGGTCACGTGCATGGAGTGTCTAGGCCAGCAGAAACTCCAGAGAGCAGCACAGAAGTTTGTATCCTGCCCTCCAGTGAGAGGGCTTATTCTCATAGGCCTCAGGTGGCACAGAATCACTGCAGGATGCTAGGCAGCCTCCTAGGACACAGGATCAGGCAGGTATTTCTCATGTTCCCAAATGTGGCATGACACCATGTTGAGCACCTATTTTGCTTTGAGCCCGAAGGTGGAAAGGAGAACAAGACAGACAGAGCTCTGTCTCATGGAGCTTAAATTCCAGCAGGGTGGACACACAATAACCAAGCAAACAAAACGGACATCATTTCAGGTAGTGATAAGAGCAGCAAAAGACCCCTGCAATCCAAGGTGAGGAGTTTAGATTTTGCCCATAGTGCAGAGGAAGCCCCACTGGGGGGCTCCTAGCGTGGATGTGACATGGTGTGCTTTATGTTTGGAAAGATCACTAGCTACCAGGACTATGCACCATCGAATGCCACCCATTCAATAAGCAGAAACTGCATTTTCATCTCTCAGTAGATCCCAATATACGCCTTTTCTATTCAAATGTGATGTCCTCAATGAACTCCTTTGATTACCCCTGTAGGGAAAATGTTCTTTTAAAAAAGAATTTCTAAAAACCCTATTCCAGGTGATTCTATGAGATCTTTCATCTCCTGTCTCAGAAGACTTATCCAGGGGTAGCAGGAACAGCTTGCATAGAATAGAATTTGTTTCACGAACCATTTCTCCAGTCATTATTATAATTCCTTAGGCAAAAGATGATTTCAAAAATACCCTCCGAAATAGACACTGGAGCTCATAAGTTTGAGGAGCTGATGAAGCTTGCATAGATTGTAACCTTGTGTCCTATAAAAATGCAGTTCATTTATACCTGTTTTGCAGAGCAGAGGAAACACAACTTGAAAGGAAAACTTCATGTTTTGCAGTTTTTTAAATAAATGAAAGAAAAAGTGTCTCAAGACCAAAGCTGAATATAGTAGAATTTATGGAGTATCATTTGCTTTGGCACACATAATGTCAAGTGAAATGAAAGAATGGTGTGAAGAGATGAGGATGAGAAGAAGTACAGAATTTCCCTTTTCCCTTTTTATATTATGACTAATTCTAGAGGCCCTGCTAGGGACATCAGTGCTAAGTTGAATAAAATAAAGGAAGGGGTAAGACAGGACCATGGGGAAAGAAGCGATGTCACAAAAGTTCTGTAGTGAGCCAGTGGGCCACAAATTTACACGCTCCAGTCATGTCCAGAGTGATGGTACCTAAATGTTCAAGTGTAATTGAGCCATCAGAACTGCCAGCTTTTCTACCTTCTCAAGAGATTCCTTGGGCCCCACACACACTCTGCAATGAAGACATTAAATGGTAGAATGGGTGCTGTCACCTGAGAAAGAGGGTAGCACATCTAATTCCATGGGTCCTCTGGGCATAGCTTATGCAGAAGGCCATGTGTTTGGTGCTCTGAAACAGCTCCCTGCCCACAGGGGCTTCCAATCTGATTTCCTTTCTTTGGGGTTTCAAACCGTGTAACATCCAGACTGGAGTGTCTGACATAGAGGCTTTCTGGTATGTTCCATCCATTCTGAGGACCAACAACATGCCAGGTTCCAGGCTCCAGGCTAGGGTATGGAGGGGGTGTGGGCTGGTATACTGGTCCTGTCCCTTGCTTGAGTCTTCCACGAGCCACTTTTCCTCTCCTGTAAAATGGGAGATATTATATACATTTTGAAGGGAGTTTTCAAGGTTTGATTTATTTTTTGTGGAAGCCAGAGGTGGTTTGGCTTCTAAGAATAGCCTAGGCTCCCACCCATGCCCACCACAGCATATCATTACTTTCTCTTCAAGCAGATGCAAGTCCAAACTGCCTTACTGGGTTATATTGAGTCTATTAAAACTGCATGACAAAGTCACACCATACTTTGCACACCTCTTGGCATTTCCTTCCTTCCTTCCTTCCTTCCTTCCTTCCTTCCTCCTTTCCTTCCTTCCTTCCTTTCTTCCTCCCTCCCCCTTCCTTCCTTCCTTCCTCCCTTCCTTCCTCCCTTCCCTTCCCTTCCCTTCCCTTCCCTTCTTTCTCTCTTTCTTTCTTTCCTTCTTTCTTTCTCCTTTCTTTCAACAGGGTTTCACTCTGTCACCCAGGCTGGAATGCAGCCTCCAATTCCTAGTCTCAAGCAATCCTCCCATCTCAGCCTCCTGAGTAGCTGGGACTGCAGGCATGTGCCTGGGTGATTTTTATTTTTTAATTTTGTAGAGATAAGATCTCTCTATGTTGCCAAGACTGGTCTAGAACTCCTTGGCTCAAGCAATCCTCCTGCCAAAACATCCCCAAATGCTAAGATTACAGGCATGAACCACCGCACCTGGCCTTGGGAGTTTTCAATATAAATCCAAATTAATTCTGTTGAGGTGATCAGACCCAACACCAGGTCATGGGGGCGACGAAGTCCACCGGAGTCAAAGGAATGAGAAAAAGTTTGAGAGAGAAAGTGGGACCAGGGAGCCATCACGAGTGGGGAGGCTACGAAGGTCCCGAGCTCTGGGAGCCAAAGAAACAGGTAGTGAGGATGTGGGGGTTGAAAGGAAGCAGTGTATCAAGTGAATGAGAAACATATGGCTACTTGAGCTAATGGGAGTGATAGAAGCAAGGAGCCAGCAAGTCTAGCAGATATGCAAGCCCTACCTCAACTTCTGTCCCAACACTCAGCTTTTCTCCCAACAAATTATCTTTGCCTCTTTCCCTCAATACAGTAAAGTCCAATTACATTGCTGTCCATTTACAGAGCAACTCATCTTCCTTTTTCTTTTCTCTTCTACTTTCCATTGTATTCTTATGAAAATTAAACGAGGTAACACAGATAAATGCTACTAAGTAGAGTGACTTATACATAATAATTGCTCAGTAAATGCTAACAGCAGCGGCACTAGCAGCAGTTTATTATTATTTCAAGATTGCTGTCTTGTCTAGTGAGCCAGGTGTGCATGCCAATGTGTGCCTGGACTAGATGACCTTTATACTCCCCGAAGTGAAATATTATGTTACCGTCGTGCTGACAGCCAGTGAGCTCCCCAACTCCTCCCCAATTAATTAGCTATTTTATAGAACATTTCTCTACTGTGCATGTGCTAGAGGTTACAAGTAGAATACAGTGGAGAAGGGGTGATCGCAAGATCAGACATGACACCTCATTGTCTCAGATTCATCAATACATTTTGACAGCTGTCATGGTTTGACTACCCCCAAAAAGCAGATTTAAAGGCAGGGGTTTGTGTGTAAGTTGTTAATTTGGGAGGTGACTTTTGGAAAGAGAGACAAAGAAAGGAAGCAAATAAAGAATGCATTATCATGGGATTTGCCACTGTGGGCAAGTGGAGTGTGAGCTCACTGAGCAACTCTGGGAAACTATAAAGCACACACCTCAGCATTATCCCCTGAGGGGTGAGGGAGCTGAGGTGTTAGTTAACCCAACAACTCTCAGTAATCATTGGTTGAAGAATGTTTTGGGGGTGCCTTGTTCCCTGGTCCTTTAGACCTGCCCTACATGTGGCAAAGTGAGCTCTGGCCACCAGAAGGAGCCCTTGGGTAAAAGGGGCTGGCACCAGAAGGAGCCCTCAGGTAAAAGGTTTAAGTCAAAGCAGCTTGCAAGGACACAGCATATGCCAAGAAGATACATGCAGTGCATCGTCAGCATCTGCTCTTGTTACCCAACTTATGAATATGCCATGTTATGTGTATAATACTCATATACCAAAGCCAGATCACAAAACAGCTGCAACTCCACTCTCTTAACGACAGACTGTGGCCACCTCACCCTTGCCTACTAGGTGCCCCTTTGTGCTCCTGGGCGAAGCCAGTGACACCTTTTTAGCATTCTGCTGCTGTGCTCACTGCAGTAATAGGGGCAGTGTCACTCTTATTACTTCACCTGTTTTATCTTTTGTGAAACTCAGCCCTTAGCCAGAATGGTCTGAGTGGCTGGTCTAGCAAGTGCTTAACGGTGAGGCTCCTTCAGCTCATTTCTCTCAAGTAATTTGATTTCATTGCACTATCAGAATTGCTTTTATGGGTTGGAAGGAGGCCTAGGGGGAAGAGGTTGACAAAAGCTGTTTTGAGATTAA
Source organism: Homo sapiens (assembly GCF_000001405.40). Lineage (NCBI taxonomy): Eukaryota > Metazoa > Chordata > Mammalia > Primates > Hominidae > Homo > Homo sapiens. Next base: position 15,492,311 of record NC_000020.11, read on the forward strand.
AAAAAAAAAATGTATTGCCCAGTACCTGCCATCACATCCTCCATCTACACCCTCCAATCTCTCCTCCCGTGCATGGTAGGGTGTGCGTGTGTGTGTGTTCAGGAGAAATTAAAATAACAACACACAATGCATCTCACATTTGTATTTCTTTTCACCTGAGCTTGAAAAGTATACTGTTTGATTTCCTGTGATCCCCACAACAGAACTTGTGTGCTAAGATGGAAAAATATTATGGCTATGTTCTCTGAAATTATCAAGCAAAGTGTAATTTTGCATTGACAGTCAATGTTGACAATCCCTGTTCAACTGATGTCAACATATTGATCAACCCAGTGATACATCCTTCTCACTCAGGACAATCATAGGTTTCTATCAGTGCTGAAAGTCTCACGTTTGATAACTTCATAATATTTTTATTTTGAGGGTGTGCACGTGAATAAAAATAACACGGTGCCATGCTTTCCTCATTAAAGAGTTGGCAGGAATAGAGAGCTCAGAAGTGGATGTGAATTTCATGTGCAGAGTTCAAGGGAGTTTGATTTTTTTAAACTGCTGCTCCTAACTTCTGGATATTTATAACAATACAGTACCAATTTAGAGCTTTTAGTTACTTGGAAGGCTGGTTAGTATAGCAACTACTTTCTAAATAATATGCAGTCTACACAGGGATTTATGATTTCATAAAATTGCTGGTGTTTTATCACAGCTTTGGGCCCCATGCTCGGCTGGGTGGGGTGAGGATATGGATGAAAACCCTTTGAGGTTAAAACCACCACAAAATACATTTTTCAGCTGAAAATAAAATGATTGAGTGCATAAAGAATAGTTTTTAGATTTGTGAGTTTCGCCTGGACATTGGTCTCTAGAGCGCTGCCTTCTTACAAACTGCAAGAAAGGCAGTTAAAGCTGAGGTGAGACCTGGCAACAGATCTAGAAGGGGATGTTGACGGAAGCCCTGGGCAGACTCTGAATGGTGCATGGGGTTAAGGTTTTAAAGCCTGGCTTAAATATACCAAATTATTATTATACCAACATTATGTTCAATTTTATTTTAATTTTTTTCTAGTGAGAACCTCCTTGAAATGATTGATTTAAAGTATCACCATATGCCTTTCTATGATATGGTAATCTATAGCCCCAAATAGACTTTCATTTTAAAGTTTAAAACAAAAGCTAATCTGTTGCTTCTGACTCCAAAAAGGACAGTTTTACTGGCAGAGTAAGTCATGTCTATCTTTATTTTAGTGGAATATGCTAGAGTTCTAGTAAACATATTTGAATTTTATATCAGGTGAACAAAATTAGTTTCTACATGACAGCCTTTGGACAAAGTTAAAGATAATAGGGAAATATCAATAACAGTAAAAAATAAAAAGTAAATAGAGAGGAAAATTGTCCCCAGCAAAGTGAAAACCAGATTTACTGTAGCTGCATTGGAACCATTCTGGGTTTTCAATAATTCCAACAAACATACAGTTTAGACATGGGGTAGAATCTTCAATGAGTCTTTATTGCTATGTCTTTCTGTAGTGAAATTTGATGAAAAGAAACATTGGCTTAATAACCAAGTGAAAGGAAAATGTCCACCTAATGAGTTATTTGATGTGCTATGGATGAAAACAACTGTAAATTCAACTTGCTGTTTCACTTCTGTCTCTTTTATTTAAATTGTCTTGATGGTCTGCTGACAGAATTGGTCCTTTCTTGGCTTAGGAACATCACTGCTTTGCAGCGAGAAGACAGGCAAATCATAAAACTTGTCTTGGCTTCTAGTTATAAAAAGTATTGACTAGCCTAAAGCTATCTTTAATAGCTTGAAATGTGGTCAAGAGAATTTAATTAGAAAGTACATCTCAACATGCTAAATAAATAGATCAGCAGAGATTATTAAAACACATCATTTTACACTTTCATATACTTCTGGTGGGAGTGTTATTGGCACAGCTGCTTTGGAAAACTGGCAGAATCTCCCAGAGTCAAGCATAACATGGAGTCCAGCAGCCCTTCCTCCTGGATATATACTCAACAGAAACACATGCTTATGTCCACCAAGACATGTATGAGAATGTTCATGGCAGCTTTATTCATATTAGTGTCAAACTGGGAATAGTCTAGTTGTTCATCAACACTCGACTGGATAAACAGATTGTGGAATATCCATACAATGGAATGCAACACTACAATGAAATAAGCTACTGTTATATGTAACACCATGGGTAAATCAGGCAGGCATAATTTTGAACAAAATATAGACAAAAAAGAACACACATTATATAATTCATATATGTGGAGTATAAAAACAGACAAAACTAACCTTTGATCATAGAAGTCAGAATAGTGGTTATTTTGAGGGCTGGGCATTGACTCAGGACAAGGCAGCTTTCTGGGGTATTAGAAGTATCTTATACCTTGAGCTGCATAATGGGGTGTGTGTGTGTGTGTGTGTGTGTGTGCGCGTGTGTGTGTGCGCGCGTGTGTGCAGTATATAAAATATTTGCAAGCACTTTCAATACAAAAGTAAATAAGAAAAAAATCATTTATTTATCGTATAAGTCAACTTTCACATTTACAACAAAAGTTAATTTTATGAATCTATGCTAATGAGTAGAAAACTAAGCTTTGGAATGCCAGTAGAAGCACAGAATCTGTGTGCACCTGGATACACACACATGCAACTCCCTGCATGCCTGACCCTAAATTATTCATGGCTTGTTCAGCCTCATTGACCCTCATACTTGGAAGAAATTTCCCATGTCATCTAATTCAGTGATTCATCTGAAGCTTGTCTGTAGCCTCCCCTCCGGGTGGCCATTCTACTTTTGTGAACAAAAGTCCCCTGGTGACCAGAATATGTTGTGATGTTCTGAGGAAGGCCTTTTTCTCTTGGAAGTCCATCCCTAGGCTAAAATCTGTCTTTGTCTATTCATTGGTCTTATTTATAACCCCGGAGGTCTTGTAGTTAAGTGGAGAAAGAATTGTCCTGTTGCTGTTTATCCTGAACATCATGCTTTACCTTGTATATCCATGTCCACTGAAAGCAGGCATATTATCAGGGATATTCATCTTGATATTTTTCTCCCCTTTTAATTAATCACAAAACATCTTCCTATGAGGAACTAGATTTTCACATAAATCTCTATATTTTTCCCCAGGGATGAAAAGGGATATTCTGAATATAACAATCTGTTGAGTACCTTCTCAGCATCCCTTCCTCCTCCCCATACTCTAAGGCTAAACACCCCTGTGCTCCCAGGAGTGAGCCTTTTCCTGTTGTCAATATGTACAAAGATCCACAAGTCTGTAATCCAGTCAGTCATTCAACACCTAGTTATTGATCATTCTCTATGTGCCAGCAATGTTTTAGGTATCCAGTGATAAGCAAAGACAGATGTGTTATCTGCCTCCCAGGGTTTTCACTCTATTAAGGTTATTAATCACATATTTACATAAATAAATGCAGAACTGCAACTGTGATGGGTCTGTGAGGTAAAGGTACATGGTATTATGAAAACACAACATAGGGAGTCATCAGTGTCAGAGAAGCCTTTCCTGAAGAAGTGATCACCTGGCAGAGGACAAATAAAATGGATATACACTAGGAAAAAAGGAGGAGAAATGTCATTTCAGAAAGAGGAAAGAGCATGAGCAAGGCCTTATGACAGGAAGGCAAAATAAAAATACCACATTCAAAGACCAGAAAGAAGGCCAGTGTCGTTGCAGTGGAGGAAACAAAGAGCAATGCAACATGAGATGAGACTAGAGAGACAAGAAAGGGCCAGCTTATTCAGGGGAGAAATGTTGCCACTAACTTGGGGAGTGGCTTGAAGCTAGAGTCGGCTTCAAATGATTGTGATGCTTGTGATGCTTGTGAAAGAGTATTCCTTGGAAAGTAGCTGAGCAAACAAACTAACGAGAAAACAAGTTTTGAGAGAGCTGTTTAAATCAGTAACTTTGAATCGGGAATGTTGCATCAAGGTCCAGGGCACGATCCATGGAGGAAGTTGTTGTGGAAGATGAGCGGGTCAATGGACTGGCTAAGCGCGGGGTGGGTCACTCTTGTGGATGTTGAAATCACGTGGGGTTACAGCAAACCTTGAGGTTAAGATGAAAACCATAACTCAATGCCAGATGCTCTGATGAATATGAGAGAGTGACCAGGAGGTCACAAATAATTGAGAACTGACCATAGTTGCCATGGTTCTATGACAACTTGTATAATTTCTCTGTGGGGAATTATGTCTTCTAAAGGTGAATGTTAATACTGATGGTCATTGCAACTGAGTGTGATTGCAGTATTTATTCGTTTTTTATAGCCCTATAATTTTATGATGTAAGTACTTATTCAACATACCTAACATTTGGAGAAGAATTTTATGAGATGAGAATAAATAAGAGAAGACTGAGAAATAAATCTAGAAAGGCCCCCTGGGGTCATTGGAATGTGTAACACAAAGCTAAGGTGCCTGTGTTTATTCTGTGTTGGAGAGTCAACAAAGGCTGCCTCTGTTTTGTGTAAGGTTGAGGTGTAATGCTAACTATGCCTATGCCTAGGAAGAATCACTTGAAAGTGGCTTGCAGGATAGATTGGAGAAGGGAAGGAAGACCAAAGGAGCACAGCTGTCAACTACAGTTGTCTGGGTGAGGGCCGATCAGACCTTGAATGAAATCAATGGGAAAGGGAGGAAAGGAAGGGGCGGTGGAAAATAGTTCAGAGGGACAATGCCTTTAGGACTTGGTTACCAACAGGGGAGTCCGTCAAACATGGCGGTAACTAGGAGAGAGGTAAAGCCATAGACAGAAACCAGAAAGCCAGGGATGACATTTGTTTTAGGTAGGAGCATGTATTGCATTGCTGGTGCTGAAGTGTATTAAAGGGAAGTATCCAGGCGATTATAAATCTAGATGTTAAATTCAGGGCAGAGATGGACTGAAAAGGCCTCCTATGGTTAATCCCCTAACAGGAAATGCCCATCCTGGCCTCCTTCTCCTTCTTTTTTTTTGAGACAGAGTCTTGCTCTGTTGCCCAGGCTGGAGTGCAGTGGCATAATCTTGGCTCACTGCAACCTCTGCCTCGCAGGTTCAAGCAATTCCCTGCCTCAGCCTCCCAAGTAGCTGGCATTACAGGTGCCCGCCACCACGTTTGGCTAAGTTTTGTATTTTTAGTAGAGATGGGGTTTCAGCATCTTGGCCAGGCTGGTCTTGAGCTCCTGACCTCGTGATCCTCCCACCTCGGCCCTTCAAAGTGCTGGAGTTACAGGCGTGAGCCACCGCACCTGGCCGCCTCCTTCTCCTTCTTTGCAGCTCACCCGTACTCTCATTCTGCTTTTCTCTCCCGTTCATTTTTCCTAACCTTTCCCATTGATTCCTCGGGACTCACAGCTTATTTCTGAGAATAATGTCTCCTTGGTTCCCCATTTTACAGCCCTCTTCCTCAAATATTCTATTATTTCCTGCAAGCCTCACACTTCTTTCTAACTTAGTCCTCTTTATCTGTGTCCACATACCCCTAATACACTTGTCATGCTGCATTTTGTTTGCCTCTTTACTTGTCTATTTCCTCCCCTAGACTTTGGGCTTTTAGAGGACAGGGACTCATTAAAAGTATGACATAGCTACTCGTGTGGGGTTCAGTAATACTTTTTAAATAAATTAACTGACAATTAACTTTAAAGAAAATTTAAGAGTTTTACATTTTGGTGCATTCATTTAAAGAAAACGAATAGGATTAAACAATTCATAACAAATGCACAATCCCAAATGTGGTAGACATTGCAAAGGTTCAAGAACTTACGCACATTTTCTGTATAACAGTCATTGTCTCTAAGAAAAATTAAGCTTGGCTCTGATTTGTTTTGTCCCCTTTCTTAATGAACTCTCTAGCAAAGCCTGTAGAAACCTAATCAGGAAAGCAACACATATTCTTGGAAATGGGGACAATATCTGTCTTTTTCTTGTCCTCTCACTCATTTTTTTTCTGAAGACGTACTGAGATCTGAACCATCAGTTTGAACTACTAGAATACATATTTGCCCTCCAATAAAACTGGGTCTTTTAAGTCTTGGTTCTCTCCATTTCCGCAACGTCTCTCTCTTTCTGCGTCTGTATGGAAAATGTTCCAGGAGACTCTGGACCAGAAGATATCCTCATAGACAAGCCGTATAAGGAAAAAAAGAGGGCTGAGTTTAGGATGCTGGGAATGGCACACATTTAATGAATGCCGCTAGAAAGAAGCCAGGAAAGAATTGGTCAAACAGGAAGAATAAGACGTGGAAGAAGGCAGGGTTGAAAAATTCAGGAGAAGAAGTCACACATTCATCAAGACAGAAGTAGATTAATGGTTACCAGGGGCTTTGGGTGACAGATTGGGGAGTGACCGTTAATGGGTACAGATTTTTGTTTTGGGATGATAAAAATATTCTGGAATTAGTGATGATGGCAAGACTTTAAAAACATGGTACAAACCACTGAATTGTAAACTTTAAAACAATAAGTAATAAAGTTTAAAAAATAAAAATTCTGTGAGAGGAGAATAAAACATAAAAAAACTAGTCAAACACATCTAACACTAGAGAGCTTGAAGATAAATTGAAAGGTGATGGGATTTGGTGATTAGGAAGGCAGTGGTGAGCTCAAAGAGCGTAGTTTCAGTAGCATAGTTACTCCTATCTCTTCTGCTTCCTGCTCTGTAAATATATACATTGATAAGGTTATTCCTTCACATACCATCACTATTGGCAGAATGTTTGATGACTCTGCAGGTCCAGGAATGTGTTTGGTTTAGATCAGCTATGGTGACATTCTGAATGTGTTTTGGAGACTCTGAGCATGTACGCTTCTGCTCTTTGGGACAAAGCATAAGTCTGTCATTCTTGCTGCCCTTCTAAAACCAAACCTATGCAACAAGACCTGATTATCTCATGCTGTCTCAATTCCAAGCATCACCTCTGATGGCCCCAAGTGAAACAGGAAATACCCTCTTTGAATTCTGACAATAAGTTTCTGTGGTATGTTTCATTGGTGGAGTTCTGCTGGCCTTGTGACTGGCAGAACTGACCCTGGACTAACTGCATGTTTTCTCTGAGACACATGTACTTTTTTTTTAAGCTGAGGATAATAAACTTTAATCTGAGCACTTCTTACAAGAAAATAATATGAAAGTATATTGTAATCTATTATGCATATGTAAATATGTTTTTAATTGATATTGTTATAAGATTAGAGACACAATTAAATTATTTATTGTCTTTTTGTTTTTTAAACTCTGTACTGGTGTAGGACCAGCCTTCTTAATGCCTGTGTGTAGGATCACAGGCTTCATATCCATGTACATCTTACTGAGGCCTGTACTTATTGGTTGAACTGAATGTTGTTTAAATGAGAAAACTCCAGTATCATAGCGTGATTAGCCTCCCTTTTGCCTTCATCTTTCGTTGTTCATTTGTTTTTTCCTGCTCTTCATCTAGGCTTTCCCAACGAGCCTGCTGCAGTCATTGCCCTCAACACCATTAAGGAATGGCTTGCCAAGAATCACCATGAGGTAGGAGGAACGACATAATCAGTGAACATCCAAGATGATGTAATTTGATGCTCAGTTCCCCCCAAAAAAGCACATAAATTTTATAAATATCAACTACACCTAGTCATTGAGCCAAACCTAGCTGACCATTCTTCACTTGGGTTACATGAGTAATTAAATGTTTTTTGGTAATTGATAGAATGCAGCAACTCTATTGATCTATCTGGTGAAGTGACCAGATTCATTTAGCCATAATCTAATTTTTTTACATTGGTGGATAGTATGGGTTATATGTGTGAAAAAGAGAAGGGGATGGATTTCATTAAGAATAAGGAGTTTTCCTATGCTATTTTCCTTAAAGCTAAGTTATCTTTGTTGACTTGAGGTTCCTGGTGTACAGTAATTGTCTGGTATCTGTGTTCTTTGGATTTATAACTAATCACTTCCCTAAAGTCACTTCTGAGTGTGAGATTGAAGTGGGCTTGTATAATTGATCACAAAATCGTTATGAGCGGGATTTCTTATGAAACTAAATACCTTCATCAGAGTATTCATCATCCTCCTATTCTGCTTACTTAATAAGATCTTTGTGATACGTTTAGTGATGAATAGGGGAATTACTCAAGTAAACAAAGCAGCAAAATAACTAGAGACCGTGGAGCGTTAAATTTCAGAGATTTGTCAGTTTACATATTGTAACAGCTAGGAGGTTTCAGGCAATGCACAGTCTTATGCATTTTTCTTCTGATTTTGTTTTTCTCCTCAGTTATTCACATAAGGGCTATAAAAATTGTGTTTCATTTTCTGATGGACCATGAATTTAGCTATTTTCCTTGGGTAGGAGATGAATTATTTGGAAATAATTAGATATGGAAACAGGTGACGGGGTTTTCAAATGAGAAAGCACTTGGTACTTTTGTGTGTTTGAAGAAACAGCAGTGTCATTTTCTAATTATTGTAATTTCGGCATTTGTTGACCACGTGGCCAAACCTATCCATTTGGGTGCTTACCCTTTATTTTCTTCTTACTTTGAAATGTATAAATATGGCAACTTCAATTTAAAGGATATCTTAAATCACCTAAAAGAAGCAGGAGAAAAACAAATAGCTAAAATAGCCAGCTTACAAAACATGTCTTTGACACATTTTATTTTCTTTTCACAACAACCTTATGAAATCTCTAGGGTAGGTATATGTTATCTTCATCTGCATTTGCCTTCAAAAGGTTAAATGACATACTCAAGATTGGAAAGTCACAGAGCCAAGAGACTAATCCAGCTCTCATAACTCACTGGACGTTCCTCATTGGAATGCCACCAAGGCCAGAAAGAGAAACTCAGTTCCTTTAAAAGCCAGTTATCTTCAATATATTGCTTGGTCATAGTAAATGTTCCACACCTGGATTAACTGCTTTGCAAAAGTGTAGCATGTTGCATGAGTGAAAGTTGATAACTGAGCAAGCGTATCAGTGCATATCCATCATTTCCACTAGAATAGTAATCCAAGGATATGCCCCACTGGAGGAAGTTTTCATGCATCATCTTGGGATGTGATGGACATATGCATAAAGTCATATCATCGAGGATGTAGTGATGAAGAATAAACATGTTGGTCACAGGTACATCTCATCAACAAATTCTACTCATTGATTCTCTCTAGCTAAATTATTCAGAAAGTTATTTTCCATAGAAATTTTCTAATCTAGTGTTTTCTACTTAATTCACTTGCCTACCCTATCTTTGAGTCCATTCTTTTGCTTTCATATCCTTTTATTTTTCTGCTAATTTCTTGGGTCCATTGTAGAAAATATAGATAATTTGGATTGAGAAACTCAGTTATTGCTATTGCAACTGTAAACATATCCTGTACTGATTCCCTTTTAAAAAAGACCCCTAGTTTCAATATTCTAATTTAAGCAAGTCAATTTGAACATATCAGGTTTTTCTAAATAAATGAATTATAATTGGTAGGTCTTAGATAAAAGCTAAATAAATTGATTAGCAGTATTTTGATTTATTTTTTCCTCTGTTAAAACAAACAACAGACTAGGTTAAGGACTTATAAAAGAGTATTGCTTCTAATTGTTTTCTCTTCATTGCAGTATTATTTTGATGTTCTGATTGGTTAAGCTACTTATTCATTAATTCACTCATTTGATAAATATTTATTGACTCCCCCTAAGCAACAGATACTTTTTTATATTCCAGGGACAGAGCACTGAAAAACAAAATCCTTGCTTTGTCATATTGGTAGTCTAGAAAAAAAAATTATGTTTGCTTAACATAAATTAAGCAAATAAAAAATAAAGAAATAGGGAAGTTCAAAGAGTGCTTTACAAAATAAAACAGGGCAATTGGAGAATGTGTTTTTAGGTAGACGTGCTGAGGACGTAATCTTGGAATACAGATTTGTACAATGGGAAGGAGGAAGCCAAGCCATACAGAGGTCTTGAGTTAAAACATTCCACACAGAGAGAACCATAGGAGAAAAGCCTGGAAGAGAGAATGAGCTCACTGCTTGCTAGCAATGATGAGACCCAATGTGGTTGAAGCAGAGAGACGAAAGAATGGCAGGAGACAAGTTTGGAGAAATAGACAGAGTCAGATTATAGGGTCTTGTGGTTCATAGAGAGACTGTGAATTTTATTCTAGTGGGTAGTTGTTGAAGTGTTTTGGGTAGGAGAATAACACATATAATTCACCTTTTAAAAACAAGCCTGGCTGCTCTTCCGAAAAGGATATCTTATATTTATAAGATATCAGAGTAGGAAATGGCAGACCAATTAAGAGGATGCTGCAGTAAATCCAGGCAGGAGATGAGGGTGCTCTGGAATACAGTGATGGTAGAAAAGGAGGTAACAAGCGTCAAGTTTGGGGTACACTTTGATGATGCAGCCAATAGGACTAGAGGATTGTTTTCTGTTAGGATAGGGTTATGCTGCAGTTACAAACTACCCCCAAATCTTGGTATCACAAACAGCAAAGGTATGTTTCTTGCTCACACTGTTTGTACGTCTTGAGTCAGCAGAGGGAACTGACTTACAAATCCGGGCTGACAGATACTTTACCATGTGAAATATCATCTATCACATGACAAGAAAAGATAGATAATCAATTCCCTTGTAGAAATGTTTCTACAAAGGAATGATGTATATAACTTTCACTCACATTTCATTGTCCAGAAAAAGGCACCCAGGGACTAAGTTCCAGGAGACAAGAAAATGCAGCCTTTTTGTATGTTCAGAATAGAGCAAACTGAATATTGACAAAAATTAGTAATGTCTGTTATAAATGTAAATCAGATGTGATATATGACAAAAAGAGAAGAATCAAGGATGACAACTAAATTTTTGGCCTGAGCTGCTGGGTAAATTTTGGTGCATTTACTGAGATGAAGAATATTGGTATAAGAGCATGTTTATATGAAAAATATAAAGAAGACAAGAATTGTGTTGCCATGCTACAGATAGTTAAGTCTGAAATGATTTTAGATATCTAATGAAGATTTCAAATAGACAATTGGCTCTTGGAGCCTAAAGCTCAAGATAGAAGTAGGAAAGAAAGACCGGGTGATATTGATCAGATTACCATAACTTTAACTTGGGTTCGGCCTCAGTTTGAGATTGCTTGCAAGAAAAAGGAATATAGTCAAACTAGCTTACATAAAGGAGAATGTGTTGTATAAGTGAACTACATTCTTAAAAAAAGTCTTGAAATCCAAGGGCCGGAACTAGAGAGGGGTCTCATGAATTATAGAATCCCAAACTATAAATCCAATAAGAACCAAGGTAGCTCATTTTCATTCTCTCCCACTCCATCTCTATCTCTCCCATGTCTCTGTTTCATTATTATTATCATGTTGCATGTTATCTTTTATTCTCATTCACCTGCTTACGCGTGGCCCCATCATGACTGTGTCTGTCCATTCATGGGTCAATCAGCCCTGCTTGAGGCAAGGCCTGGGTTCAGTGGATAAGGTTGCATTTTCTGAAGCTCTTAGCTGGTGAGGTTCCCCCAAAATTTTCCTTTAAAAAACAAAAAAGAGGAATCTATGTAATGTGAGTCTCCCATCAGTGCTCATGCTTTTCTTATTCAGCTGAGTTTATTATTCAACATTCACAAATTTCATAGTTTGTGGCTATCATTCCCCATAAATAATTGAGGCTGTCATATAATTGATGAGCTTTTACATTTCACCATTAACTTACTCTCTGATTTCTAAACCATCAGGAATGTGCACTTTTTCTTTCCCAACACAGTAGTTGATTTGCTTATGTTTAATTTCATAAATCACCGCCAGCTGGTGTAGCTGGATACTTCCACACCCAGAGAGGTCTGACTAGAGTCCCAGTGGTCAGGAGGGGGAAAATCATATTCTGTTGCCCACCATCCACTTGTTTAATTTACCCAAAGTCTGAACTCCAAGGGCACAGCATATATTTAAGAGGACTCAGAAACCCGAGGGGAGGAACGCTGCTGCACACACAGCACAGTGGCTCAAACAGTGGCAGCTCTAGCAGAAGAGCTAAAGCAGCACTTTAACAAAAAGAAAAGAAAAAAAGGAGCATTCTCAAAAGGCTGTAATTGAGGCACAAAAATGACTTAGAACTGAAAAACATGATGACTCTTGAGTTGAAAATCTTAAAAAAACAAAAAAGAATATTCACTACTGAGAACCGAATTATTGCTATGAGAAGATCAGATAGATGAATTATCTCACAACACAGAAGAGAAATACAAAGAAATGACAATCATGACTGAAGAGGTAAGGTGGCAGAGAAACCCAGGGATCAAACATGAGGCAGGCAGGGTCTGAAGATTACCCACTGGCATTTTCAGCTAAATTAAGTATTAAGAACTTCTGAGTTCAGAAAACCAAAAGAAAAGAATATCAGAGTTGGCAGTAAAAATTGACAGCAGGTAGCATGATAACCTTTCTCTAAGTGCACCATTTTTCTCAAGTAGTAACTTTATTACAGAAATAGGTGAGCAAAATAAGGGACTGTTATGGAAATGAACAGTAGAAATGTGGCCTAGATTTCTAAGTTGGGGTGGCTGCTCTGTGTTATCAAATGCAATTTCATGCATTCCTTATTTTTCATGCAATCTAGAAATATAATTCTTTGCGGAATAGGTATTTCCCCACTCTGCAGCTCTGAGACCCCCTGCTCATATCTGAAAGTTAGCCTAAGAAATGTTTTTACAGTGCCTGTTCTATTGTTCTACCCCAGGGACTCATATGGCATTTGGCTATTGGTCTCTGAGACAATGCACATATTTGCCATTTTTTCCACAGAAAAGTAGAACAGGATGCATTTCACCCTTCAGAGCCACAAATGTCCTGATATTGTGAGACATTTCCAAGTCATGGTGGTCATATTCAATATTTCAGATACCCCAAGGGAGCAAGCATCCTACAGCACATAGCACCATGTGTTCGTTTTCCCAGGAAGTCCTGCTAGTCAGGGAATACGGCTTCTAAGATGACGATTCTGAGCTGGAGGATCAGTGGATTTCCCAGGAACTTTTAAATGTGGAACCCTAAAGTACTGATCAAGGATTAGTTGTAACATGAAGGAAACCTGAACCCCTCTCCTCCTACCATCAATTATAAAGAAGCAGATAGATGGACAGAAACCCAGCGTTCTAGGAGGCTCTAGGTAAAGCTGTGGCCACCTGCAGCTATCCAAAGGGGAGCCCCTGGTTCCCCTGAGGCCCGGCCCCAGCATCATCTCTGTGGGCTGTTGAGGATGGACTCCTTCCCGCTGCACTACTCCAAGGGAATTCCCTAATATCCTCCCTCCTATCTATACTGCTCTCCTCCCTAGACAGATCCCATTGCTCTGGGCTGGGGACAATTCAATGGAGAAGTGTTTGGTTCATCTTTGAAGGCCTTTGGCTAGGTCACCTGCCTAGACTTGGAAATCACTGGCAAGGAAAAACCCCAGCTCTGCATTTTCAAAACCCAAATGGGTTTTCTTTTATATAGGAGGAAGGTGGTACTTTTCTCTCCTCGCGTACAAGGTTTGGGTCTTTGCCCGACATAATTTTTTTTAACTATGCCTTTAGCACAAACAGATTGTTGTTCAAAATGTTAAATATCATCTACTTGTCATTTAAATAGTTTACTCTGTGCCTTCGGAGGGAAACACAACACCTGTGGTATTGCTGTTTGTCACTTAAAGTAGCAAGCCTACAGATGTGGCAGGGGATCCTGAGATGCTGTATATGTGTGGCAGCATCGCTCTGAGACAGATGTCCAGCTCGGCAAGTTGATGCCAGCCAAGGCTCCCAGACCTCACCCAGTGTGGTCTAGACCTCACCGTAAGATGCCGATAGCCAGAGACAAAATTAGCTTTGAGTTCATCCTTGATGTCCTTTGGAAGTAGAGACGTTGGTTTCTACTGCGTGGAAGCAGTTAGCCTTGTCACCCTCCCTTGCCTTCCAGTATTCAGGCACATGATTCACAAACTGCTGAAGAAGCTGAACATATTTCTCCACCCCAGAAAACAGAATTAGGAATCCACTGTAGAAATGCACGTCCAGCCTCCTGAGTGGTTCAGATGCTGCTCTCATGCTGATTTGACAAGATCGAGAACACAGCCACTTGTTTCCTCATTACTGATCACAAAGAAACTGTTGCACTTTAACTTCTGGTGCCAAGACTATTTTTCCCCCTTCTTGGCAGAGGTCTTTGAGCATATGCAGTGTTAAAAATTGTTTGCCACTTTTATTTCAGCATCACGTTATGGATCACCGAAAAAAAACCCCAGTGTGGGGCCTGCCTTATGTCTCTGACATGAAACGCCTTAGGATCTTTGTGATTCTTAAAAAGGGGGTTTAAATGAAACATGAAATGATGCTTACATTTATGATGGGAAAATTATATATTTCGAAACAAGCTCCAAATTCCTGTGGACTATTATTTACACTTATGCAAAAGGCATAATGTGCCATCCTCCAATTCTATGCAATGCAGGGGTGTGGTTAACATTCAGAGACCTGGAAGGAGCAAAGGAAATGCTCCGTGCTCTCTCTCAGGAATGCCTTTTTATGTCCACAAACATCATCTGAGTACCTATTATGGTCTTAGTTTTTGGTGGAATTTAGTGTTAAAATTTGTGCACTTGAAAAAATAAATTGCAGCTTTGAAATGGTCACATCCTATGCAGTAATGTGGTTATGGTAATAATCATCATCATCCTAATATGCTGCCGTAAAAACGTATCCTTTGAGTAGCCCAAATGTGTCGTTCAGGTGGAGCCATGACACTCATAGGCTGTGACACCACTGAGGACAGTTAGTCCCAGATTTTGCAGATACGCTGTGTCGCTTTTGCTCTTCAAGAACACTGATGACTTGCTAACATTTTATATTTTCTCTCTACCTCTTTATTTTTCTCTCCCTCTCTCCCTACCGTTCTCTTTCTCTCTCACTCTCCTTTCTTCCCTCCTTTCCTTCTGTCTCCCTCCCTCTTTCTTCCTTCCTCCCTCCCTTCCTGCTTCTCCCAATTCCCTCCTCCCTTTTTCCTTCCTTTTTCTTTCTTTCTCCTTCCTTCCCTCCCTCCTTCCTTCCTTCTTTCTTTCTCTCTCTCCTTCCTTCCTTTCTTCCTTCCTTTCTTTTTCTTTTTTATTTTCTTCTTTTCTTTCCTTTTCTTTTTTCTTTCTTTTCTTTTCTCTTCTCTTTTCTTTTTCTTTCTTTCTTTTCTTCCCCCCACCAGCCCGCCCCAGCCCAGACAATCCCTTATCACTCTGAGTCTGTCATTGTCGGGATTTGTGACAAGCAGTTATTGTTCCCACGGTTAGAATAAAAGCTAATCCCCAAGGCAGCTTCTCCCCTTCTGATGGGGGTGTTCCAGTGCTTGGTGTCACCATACACTGCCACACAAGAGTTTGCCAAGTGGACAGATCCACCGACACTTCCAGCTTCACCCTGCTTTAGCATCTCTCACAATTGGCATAATGAGGTTTTGGAGCCAGAAACTAAAGCCCCAAGACAACATCAAGGGTTGCTTTCAGGCTCCATAGCCCTGTTGTGGTCAATAGGAAGCACAGTGCATGGGAAAATATGCATTTTGCTGTTTCAGTTAGTGAGCTTATTACCAGTTAGCCAGTGATGGGGAGGGCTCTAATTACACACTTTTAGGCGTTGAGCTGAGCTTGCCCAAATGCCCTGTCACCCATTCTTACTCTGGTGGGGAGCTCATCAAAGTTCAACAAATGTTTTGTTTTATTTCCTCCCAGTAGGGGATATCAGGCAATCAAGGCCTTGGGGTGCTCTAGGGACACCAACCTACAGTCCTATGTAGATTAGGGTGGCTTGCTGTCTTCTGCACTTGCATATAATCAATATACATCCTCCTCAGCCAGCCCTCCTGAACCTAGTACTATGTCCATTATGCCCCACTGTATCTAGATAAACAGAATGGAGTGCATGGGAATGCAGAGAGAACCTAGAAAAATACTCTGCTGGGGGTGAGTGGTTTGGGGGGTTGGGATTTTGTTTAAATAGGCATGGAGGGTAATTCATATATACTGCTAATAGGTCTAGACCTTCTAGAAAGAGTTCTAGGAGGTATAGAATAGGTACATGAAGGAGTTAAAGAGGGAAGAAAGAGGTAAGGGAAATCAATATTTATCTGACTCCTGATGTGTCCCATGGCAGAGGCATGGCCCAAAGATGCATTCTGTCTTCACAAAACTCTCTTCAAGGTAGTTATTTTAAAATCTTTAATTTCCTAGATGTGACAGTTAAAGGAAATTTTAAAAGTCAACTAATAAGATACTTTCATGTTCTACTATAACCTTGCTTCTGTGGCCTGTCTAGCGTTGGGCACCTTACCCAGATTTAGCCATACATGAGAATAAAACCAAAATAGATTGATTAGGGTCTTTCCATGGGATTTCTTTGCCACCTGGAGTCAGGAATAAAAAATGGTGGTGAACCTGAGGGATGTGGAGCACAGCTACCGTGTTCCCTACCATTTTGGAAGGTTCTTCTTTAAGAAGATAATTTGAAGATGTCCCAGATTTGAGGGCAGTTGGCAAGAGTCACAGAACCCATTCTGTTGGCTCAAGTGAAGAACCAAAACTGAAGCAAAAAGCAGTATATTTTAGCAAAATGCAATGGCCACCCATTTTAAGTTTTTACAACTCAAAAAATAATTTTTAACTAGAGAAAAGAAAAGGTTGAGAATCATTTGGAGGGTTATTTTTTTCAAAAGTGTATGCTTTAAATAGTTTATTCTACTCCTTTCAGAGAACCTGTGCTATGTTGAACCACTGTTTATGATGAGAATATTTTACATCCTTCAGATGTGTTGGCTGGAAAAATTTTGAGAGTCACTGTCCTAAATAGTAAAATTAGAGTGCTTTTTATAAAATCAGTCTTTCAATATTCCCTTCATACTGGAGGACCATCAAAAGATAGTAATTAACTAATGAATTAATTTTCTGATGGCTGTATTTTTCTCCTTCTTTCCTGCAACCTGGAGGTAGGAAACACACATTAACAGAAGCCAGTGCTGAGGAGAGACTAAGAAATAGCATGAGACAGGTGAAATGCAAACTCTTTAAAATCAAACTTCAGGGTGCAGGTATTAAAAAAAGGAGAGAGAATGCAGTTTGCTCAGATGACTTGGCCAGGATGTTCCTAGGGTTGGGATTGGTATATCTGAAAAAGAACGGATCCCTTTGCAAAGTTTGGCTTAGAAGTTCCAAGCCTGCAGGAATGTACTCAGGAGCTCACTATGTAACAGAAGCTCAGCTCCTCTTCCGTGCAGCAGGAATGGGAATTGTGGCTCCTAGAAGTAGAGTGGTAAGAGGTAGGGTGCAGTTATAACCACCACTGTGTACCCTCACTCCAAAGAGGAAGTTTGGTGTTCTAATCAGAATTTTCCACACTCTTACATAGCCTTAAACAATTAACTCCATCTCTCTGGACTCAGTTTCTTCATCTGTAAAATAGGGAGGGTGGGCATGTCTCTTCTAGCTTCAGGATTCTGTGCCATTGATGTGTGTCTTCTGGAGCAGGCCCACTGATGCATCCTGGCCATGCCTTTGACCATGTCTTCATAGCACAATCAGACCTGTAAGAAGGCTTACACTCTGTGATTCTCCAGGCTCCTCCAGTGGCATACCAAAGATCAAGCAACATTTGCATGTGCTGTCTGTATGCCTTTAAGATGATTACCAACCCCCATATGGGTGTATCTTTAGAGTTGATATTAACAACCTTGACCCATTTAGTGTAGAAGGAGAGGCCGCCATGTTGATTTTCTGTAAATGATCCGGATTATATGGTGGTTTCAAAATAGCCAACTTTTAAAGCTCCTTATGAAATTAAATGTGCTGATTATCCAAATGATGTGACATTTTTATAAATAGAAAGTAAACCTCTGAGCATGTGGTTGGAACTACATCAGACACAGGGATAAAAACAACACTGGGAGGTCCTACTGAAGGACATTCTAACAACCATTTTCTGGAGATAGAAGCATGCACCTTCATCCCTTCTAGGTAGGAAGGAAAAAGAAACCTTTTCCTTGTCCTCTACCTTGATGGACTAGGACTCGTATGCTGCCCTGATTGAAGGGAAAATTAACAGTTTTGATACGGTCATCTAGCTCAACTCAGGGAAAAACAAAAAAGGCATTTCCCCTTTCTAGTGGAAGTAAATGATTTGCTTGTTGATGGGTGATGTTTTCAGCCAGGCTGCTGTTTCCGATAGAAGCTGTGACCAGAGCTGAACCATCTCATTGTTTCTCTAATCACGTCTAGGCAAAGAGGTGGCTCCTCTGGAAAGACTAGACTCCTTTGATGATGCCACTGCTACTCACTAGGGTAAGAAAACCAAATAGGTCTGGCAAAACACTTGCTTCTCCAATTTCATGGCTCAATGGAAAACATACTGGAAAAAACATCCGAAGACTGTGGGTCTCTGGCCATGCACCGCTGGAGGCTGTAACGGTGAGCCCAGTGACAGAAGGGCTGGCTAACGTGCTGTCCTGCAATCAGTTATGTCGTCTACATTTCTATTTATGAACCCCTTCGAAGTCCATGACAGAAAGCCCCAACCTTTTAGTGAGGAGACTATTCATTTGCAAGAAGCAGAGAATAGAAGAATATTGGGGGATCTACTATTAACTAAACTTGTGTTGAATAGAAGTTACTAAAACCTGGTCAGATTCACATCTGTGATTCCAGGTTAAGGGCCTCAGGCAAGGAAGCGAAGCCCCACGTGGATCCTGAAATACTGGCCTTAGACTCGATTCCACAGCAAAGGTTGCAGCCACCCAGCATCTGAGCTGCTGGGCACCAGGGCAAGTGATGGCCAGTGACAGGAAGGAGCTATGCACGCATATATCCTCTGTTGTGTGCACTCTTTAAAAGAAGAGATAAGGAGAAAAAAATATTTAAATGATATCATTTAAGTTTCACAATAAACCATTGACTGAAATAAGACATATGAATTCTCTTTTCTTCCAATCGGTCCAAATTTTCACATGTTCCTTAGCTTCTTTCTGCATTGATGTGATGCTAAGATGTAAAGACTTTTAGTTGTTGTTGCTTCTCTGACACTGCTCCTCGATATAAGCGCAAAACTTCACCTTTTGATCATGGGGTCTTTAAAAAAAGGCCCAGCAATCTCCCCTAAAGCTGGAGACAAAACTGGGTTTCCTGGACTTACTGAGATGTGATGTGTCAGTTTACAACATAAGGCCTTTCTAATGAATTTTAAAGAAAAATTTTGCTCATGTGAAATTTTCACTTTATGTGCTGACCTTAGAGCTTGAACATTGCATAAGAATAACTCAGCTGTATATATTTTGCAACATAAATGTTGCCTGTTTGTAACCAGCAGATTTCCCTTAGGCTGGGCGGCTTCTTCTGCCCTGTTACCTACTGAAGTACTCCCCTAATGACCAAGAGGTTGCTCAGCTTGTCAGTGAGACAAGAAAATTCTTGGAGATGTGACAATCATTCTGGACCTATTCCTCACCTGTAAGATAAGGTGAAAGTCATCTAGGAAAAATCCTTAAATCAGATACTGGGGCATACCCTAAATCTACTGTATCAGAATATCTGAGAAGATAGTGGCCTATATTTTGAAAATTTCTTCAGGTAGTGGTTGAGAAAGATTAGGCCAGTTGCTCTCAACAATCTTTTATGGCTAAGACATACTGCAATAAAAACTCCCATTTGTTCTCTTCAATAAGGAAAAGGCTATGTTAAGTGAGAACTGTGAGAGTAAATCTCTCCTCTCAACCAGTTTACGACTGGCCTTCTAACAAGGGGTTAGGAGTCTAGGGTTGGGGCTGTATTGTCTAGCTAGTCCTGGGGTGGCCACAGCTTACTTTCTACTCACAAGCACTTGACATGGGTTGACCAATAAGTGAGTTTGATGAAGTTTACACATAATGTAACTCAACTCACATTAAATATCTTTGGGAGTTGCTAGACAGCTTTTGTGGCACCCTGTAAACAGTAGAGGCCTTTTGCCATCTTTTAGAAAGGATTTTAGTATATTCCCAATATCCTGTTGATAGTAATCATTGTCTCTGGATATTGCCTTTGATGCCTCTATGCAAGAGATGCATTTAATAAATTACTAAAAATCATTAGCATACACAACTTAATTCTTCTTTGAGTACTTATTGTAGGCAGATTTGAAAATAAAGCCAACAGGGCTATCTCATGGATCTTATGTAATTATATTGGTTCCTGAAACAACTTTTGAGAGTCAAGTACTCAGTCATCTGAAGCAAATTAATTCTCCCTGGACATGAAGGTGCCATTAAGCATAGCGGCAAGAGATGATTTTCCGGTTGGTACCCTGTTGTCCTTTACTGAAGCCGGTTTACACCACCCTCATGTGAATCAGACCCTGGATGTGGAGATACGTGCCACCCACGGTGCTTCTAGGTCCCCCCACCGCTGGCACAATTAGATTTCTTTAAGGAATTAGGAAATGAAACTCTATATTAAAATTCATTGCTGAGAACACTACCTACCTTAATATTTTCTGCTGTTCAAAATTTTCCTCTGAAAACAATTAGAGGCTGATGGGGTGTGCATTTGACAGTGCAAATGGAGCTACAAATGACCTGGGTGGGCTTCAGCTAAGCACAGGGCAGCTTAGGAATGTATTAAGTGGAGTAATTATCTCATATGGTTTTCCCTTGGGTTCAGTGACATCTACAAAGTTCGTTTTTCTAAGTTCCTCCTTCTACAAATTTAAACTCAAGGGAAATAGGATCCATATGTCCCTGATTAATTTGCACTAACTCATCAAACGTTCTTTTCTTTGTAACTTATTAGATGTCTACAGAGGATTTCAACTGTTTTTTATAAGTTCTTTCAAGCCTTTTTGTCTAGAGGCAGGAAATGGCCATTTGCCAGCAGCAAGCGAACCCCTAAATAGTCACGTTCTGTTCGGGAGTCAAAGGAAAAAGAAAATCCCCTGTTTTCTAAGTACAGCTGGGTAATGGTTTTCTTTAGAGGTGATGATAAATGTATTCTCTGAAATGTATTATTAGACTTGTTAAATGTGTAATTAAAGGGATTCCATGAAGTTGTTGCAGCAGGAATGGGATTTAAATTGCCCCCAAACCCCCTTCCACACACACATTATTACTTTACCTGTGAAAATCTTAAAAGCTGTTGGTTTACCCAGCAGCTTAGAGCCTTGAACTAAGTGAAACATGAAATATCTTCAATATATGTACCAGAGGCTCTGCGTGTGTGTGTGTGCGTGCACGTGTGTGAGACATTGACAAGAGAAAGATTGATATACTCAAACCCTACATCATACTGTTTTTCATAAATTTCCATATTGAATCCAAGAGACCTCATTTTGAGGATTTAAAATAATGTGGCATCTTGCTTCATTACCAATAAAAGTAAGCTTTTTGGCCTACCCATAATACCCCAGGGTAACTGGATTTCAAAAGCAAATCAACTTGAGCTTGGTCTTTCACTAACTAAAAATACAGTCATGTGCCACATAATGACATTTTTTGTCAACAACAGAACACATGTAAAATGGTGATCTCATAAGATTCTAATGAAGTAGAAACATTCTTTTCACCTAGTGATGTTCTGATGATTCTGAACTGATGTGGGCCTAGGCTAATGAGTGTTTTTGTCTTCATTTTTGTAACAAAAAAGTTTTAAAAGTCAATGAACAGATTTAAAATGTTAAAAACAGAAAAAACTTACAGAATAAGGAGATAAAGAAAGAAAATATTTTTGTGCAGCTATAAAATGTGTTTCTATTTTAAACTGTGTTATTACAAGAGTCAAAAGTTTAAAAAATAAAAAATACAATAAGTTAAAGTTAATT
Organism: Homo sapiens; assembly: GCF_000001405.40. Lineage (NCBI taxonomy): Eukaryota > Metazoa > Chordata > Mammalia > Primates > Hominidae > Homo > Homo sapiens. Next base: position 15,514,169 of record NC_000020.11, read on the forward strand.
TATATTAAAGAAACAACATTTTCAAATAAATTTAGGGTTGCCTACATGTACAGTGTGTATAAAGTCCACAACAGTGTACAGTAATGAACCAGGCCTTCACATGTACTCACCACTCTCACCCACTGGCTTTCCCAGAGTAACTCCTAGTCCTGCAAGCTCCATTCATGGTGGATGCCGTATGTAGGTGTGCCATTTTTTAATCTTTTCTACTATACTTTTACTGTACCTTTTCCATGTTCAGATATGTTTAGATACACAAGTACTTATCATTGTGTTACAATTACCTACAATATGGAGAAAAGCAACATGCTGTACAGGCTTGTAGCTTAGGAGCAATAGTCTGTACCATATAACCTAGGTGTGTGGTAGTCTGTAGCACCAGGTTTGTATAAGTATACTCTATGATGTTCAAACAATAGTGAAATTGCCTAATGACACATTTCTCGGAATGTATTCCATCATTAGGTGATACATAACCATATATAAATGAAAAATAATCACAGGCATTGAAGTATTGAGTGCTTCCTTTGTCTAAGTACCTTACTTGAATTAAATAATTTAATTATCACAAAGATGCTATGTTATAGTCATAATTATTCCCCTTTTTTGATGAGATGAGAAAACTTAGACTTTAAAGATCATACAGCAAATAAATGGCAGTTGAGTTTTTAATTCAGAATTCCAAGTTCATAACTACAATCATCAAAAGCATTGTATTTTCCCTTAATGATAAAAGTAAACTACCGTATCAGAGATCTCCTTTCAATGCTTATGAATCTCACTACAGTCTAATTCAGATCTCTTCTAGCATTATCCCATGTCACCCTCCATGCTGCAGCTCATACAACTTAGAAAGAGTTGCTTGGTAATTTATTTGTGAAACCAAGATGGCAGGTCCATGGTTTGGTCAACTTTTATTGTCTTGCCTTTAGCACAATGCCAGGACCATACTCATTGCAAGTTGAATGAAATAATTTACAAATGGGACCTTTTATTATCCAGCCTGCTGCTCTTATAAGCTCCTAAGGCTTCATGTGATTAGAACTAGAGCTGAATAGTCATTTGTGGTATCAACATTTCTAAGCCATGGATATTTCCATTAGTTCATTAGTCAAACATGATCAAATGATTAACAAGCCCAGGAAATTTCAAAATCTCCCTGAGAGCAGGACCCTAATAGTGACTAATTTCTCAGCGATCAGTGCTGCCTTTGTTGCAAACACATGGCTCTTGAGATTACAGAGTAAAATCTGTACTTACTCCTGTTATCTCTGCTCAAATACTGCATCTTTGGTGAATTTTTCCTTGGCCTTAGGAAAACTTTTCCCTTCCAAATATCACTGTCTTTTACTGTGGTTGTGGATGTACCTGTCAGCTTTCCCACTGACTCAAGGACTGCAATTGTGTAAATTCATCCATGCATTGTTTTTGTTTTGTGTTTTAATCCAAGGAGCCTGGCACATAAAAAGCTTTGACAAAAATGCATTGAATGAACGAATGTTTTGAATTGTTTCTTAAATGATGGAGCTGAGCATGTATAAAGCCAGTGTATCTGTCTCATACAGATTAAGATTCAAGCCTTGAACTCTGTTCCTATCCTCAAATGAGGAAAGGGACTGAAAACCAGCCCTAGTGTGCAGAGATTCAGCCAGACTCTGGATGTAGCCCAGGCTTGGAGAAAATTCTACCCTGCTCTTTCCTTTATCTTGGACAGATGGCAGTGTGCTGGAGTTAGGCAGCTTTAGACTGTTGTCTAAAATGGGAAGCTTATCCTCAGGACAAATTGGAGACAGTCAAGACTTCAGAAAGCTCACCCCCAAGCCTGAGCTTATGATCTGTTGATCTATAGCTGATGGGCACACGGCTTACCCCGTTTGCCTGCTTTGCTTTCTCTTTTCCTGCAAAGGCTTGTGTGATTTTAAACACCAGACAACCTTGGTCTTTAGGTAACTGCATTATCCTTTTTTCAGTTAATCTACTTTTAATTTTTCTCTCTTTTTTTAGTCCACTCAACATTGTCAACACTGTCAAAGATGTCAATGTTTTCATTTCCAGTTCTGATGATACTATTTTTTAATTGTCATGTATTTCCATATGTAACCTGTTTCTGAAAGGAAAATATGCCCTTCAAAAAAAATGTTGGCAGCTTAGATTTCATGTGTAATTCTTTCAAAAGCCTCTCAGTCTTTATTTATTTATTTAGCAAATATTCACTGAGTAGCTGGCACACCCTAGGCATTGCACACTATTTATACAAAAGCAGTTGATATACAATTCCTGTCCTAAGAAAGCTTACGGTCTGTTGGAGAAAACACAAAGAGGCAATGATCACAGGATAATGTGGAAAGTGCTAGGATAAAGGGTGCCCAGGGCAGTGCGGGTGCTGGGCAGAGGACAGAGTCAAGGAAGACTCTGGGTGCGTTCTGGTTTGAACAGAAGGTAGAGGGCAGCCTGAATGTTTTTCCTGGGGCTTTTTCTTTTCCTTGGGAGTGAAATCCAAATGCCTGTCTTACCACAAGACCAAGAACACCTGATCCTCGGTCCACAGACTCAAGAGGTCTCAGAGAGTTTGTAAATTTGGGGCAAAGTTTACAGTTATTTTCACTAACCTCTAGTTAAAATTTAGTACTTTCTCCCATCATGACTGTAGCCGCAAATCACAGTGGTATCAGCAGTCTTTGTGACTTTGTTATCAGTAGAAATCACAGATATTTCCTATCACATAACAGTTGTTGCAGAGATCTCAAAACACTACTTATGCTCATCTTGACTTTGAATTATGGTAGACCCACCATAAGATCTTGTTTCAATGTGTTCATAAGTAGTATGCAACGTAACCACATAACACATTGTTTCCTTGTAAATGGTATCTCAAAAAAAACTGTTTCTTTTGTAATCTTTTGTATTTTTATTTATTTAAAAACCATATTCTGGGAAGGATCCATAGGTTCTGCTCAACTACTGAAGAGGTCCATGTTACTAAAAAGTCCCGGTGGCCACCACATACCATTTCTCCCTTGCTCCTACCCTCCAGCCTCCTTGGCCTCTGACTCCACCCGTCACCCTCATGCTCCAGGCCACCACCACATTTGCAGGTCCCCCCACTTATAAGGCTCTTCCTAAAGCTCTCTGCTCACACTGACTTCTTTTATTCAGGTCTTATCTCACACAGCACCTCTTCACAAAGACCTTTTCCTGAACCCCCACACAAAGTAGACCTGCCCTCCTTTCACTCTCCCTCACTTCACCATTTGATTTTTGTGTACAATTCATCGCTACTGGAAAAGCGTATATGTATTGGTTTATCGGCTGTCATCTTACTAGAGTGGCACCTATATCAGAGCAAGGACTTCAAATGGCTTGTTCTCTTTTATATTCCCAGAACATTGAACAATGCCTGGAAGGTAGTAGGGGCTTAATAAATGTTCACTGAACAAAAAGTAATAAATGAGCGAATGGGAGGGGGAGTAGAGAAAGGGGTATGCCAGACAGCAATCAGCGACAAAGATGCAGAGGTGACAAGAAGCCTGAATCCAGGAGCGTTTACTGCAAAGACTGACAGCAATGGGCCCCTTGTGCGCAGGGTCCCTTGGCCCTCTCACTCTTTCCTGGCCCCTCAGCAGAAATAAAACAGGCTCATAGGACTCTTTTTGATAAGAGTAGAGAATACAGTTTGAAGAACTCATAGTCTTAACAGATAAATCTGGAAAATGCTAATGGAGCAGGTTGCCGAGCCATTTCTTATTGCCCAACCCTGCTGCCTCTTTCACCTAGTAAAGATGAACAGACATGATTTGCATAACGTGCAGGCACAGACCATCAAAAGTCTGGAAATGAATAGAGCTGGCAACAGACATTCTTTTCAAAGGCATCTGCCATAAAGCTAGACTCCTGAGAGAACTTGCAGCATACAATTTTGGGTGCCCAAAGAGCATGCTTTATGAGGGAGAAAAAAGGTGATGGGTTCATTGTTGCCAGAATGTAGTGTCTTGACACACAGTTTGAGATGTCTGAATCTGACATTTAATAGCTGAGATGATAGTGGTCAAATACTTCTCGAGGTCAGATTCATGCAGAGTTCCTGAAAAGGTGAGAAATCACTGAGATCTGTAATGACAAAGCTGATGAGAAGATTGATGAAATGGTGGTGGCAACAGGACAAGTCTTCAAAATAGCTTGTGAATGATTTATTTTGTAGCAGCAGAGCCAATTGACAATAGCGGATTGCTAATTAAATACCAACCACTGGGAAAATACCATAAATTTCTTTTGGCTCAGTATTGGCAATTGTGTACTTTGAAGCAGAGGCCAAATTATTTTCCAGTGAGTGCTTCATTTTAGACCTAAATTTTGTGGGCCTCCATCTCTTTTTGCTTTCCCTTCAACCTCCAGCATATTTGATTTAAAAGCAAAAAGGAGAAGAGGGAAGAAGAAAGAAGGGGAAGAAGAGATTGAAGAAGAGAAAGAACAGGTGGGAAGAAGGGAAGAAAGAGGGAGGAAGAAAGACACTCCCAAGTGTCCTAATAACATCCTATCAGAAAGGCTTATGGCCACGTGCGGTGGCTCACACCTGTAATCCCAACACTTTGTGAGGCTGAGGCAGGAGGATTGCTTGAGGCCAACAGTTCAAGAATAGCCTGGGTAACATTGTGAGACCCTGTTTCTACAAACAATAAAAAAAAGTCTTGCTTTCATTCTTTTCCAGTCTGTGGCTAATTAGGAAACTATAATAACTACAGTTTATTGAGAACCTATCATAAGATTGGTGTTTTGCTAAGTGTTTATGTTCAGTAAGAGTTAACATTTACTATTTTCTATGTGCCGGACATTGTGCTAAGTGTGAATTCTCACCAGGACACTATGAAGTAGGAACTGTTAACTCGCTCTTTCCTTCCTTCCTTCCTTCCTTCCTTCCTTCCTTCCTTCCTTCCTTCCTTCCTTCCTTCCTTCCTTTCTTTCTTTCTTTTTCTCTTGCTCTGTCGCCCAGGCTGGAGTGCAGTGGCACGACCTCGGCTCACTGCAAGCTCCGCCTCCTGGGTTCACACCATTCTCCTGTCTCAGCCTCCCAAGTAGCTGGGACCACAGGTGCCCGCCACCACACCCGGCTAATTTTTTTTGTTTGTTTTTTGAATTTTTTAGTAGAGACAGGGTTTCACCGTGTTAGCCAGGATGGCCTCGATCTCCTTACCTTGTGATCCTCCCACCTTGGCCTCCCAAAGTACTGAGATTACAGGCGTGAGTCACCGTGCCCAGCCGTTTCTCTGTTTTTCTTATAAATGAGGAAACTGAGGCAGATAGTCTTGTTTGAAATACACTGCCATTTTTTAATGAGTGTGAGAATTTCTGTAAAACAATTTTTAAAGAAACTTTTTATATGAAACTAGTTGATAAGAATTATAGTTTGCTAAGAAATACAATTGAGGCAATTTAAGGAGAATCTGTAAGATAAATAAGCCGTATATTTAAATTAACTGCTGGCTACAGTTAGGAAATAAAAGAGATGGAGTCTTACTCCTCAAATGAGTAAAGTGCGAAGTGACCTCAGTTTAGAAAGCAGTTAAGATGGGCTGGAAGAATGAGGTAAGAATCTGGTACCTAGAGAAGCCTTATCTCCCTCTGTCCACTCTCTGGTTTGCACTAGGTTGGAGAAAGCCATTCTTGGAGTCAGGGATTAATGAATGTGGGAATGCAGAGCAAAATGAGGTTGCTCTCCCCAACAGTTCCATAATCTGAACCTCTATAGCTGATTGTCAAGGGCCGACCTGCAAAGGCTTTTGTGGCAAAGTCGAGGAGAAGCCTAGAACTCCATGCGATGCAGAGGAGTCTCTTCTGTTGGAGTTAGGGGAAGCGGCGAGAATAAAAGAAGCACTGCAATCAATTCCAACAAATAAAATGAGAACTGGGAAAACTTATCATAGAAAAATGAAAACTTATAATAGAAAAATGATTAATGATGAAAATAGGTAAATGTTTCTTTAAATGGCTTTTTGGATAGAACTGATCTATTTTTTTCAGTTAATGTAGATTACCATTTGGTGGTATCACGAAGCTTTTATGTTTAAAATCCACACTGGGAAAGGACTAAATAAAGTTCCACATGGATGTCAGGAGAAGAACCTGTCTTATAATTTTGTGAAGTGTCTAGATTGGGGCAAATACCCACAGGGAGTGGTTATGGCATGGAGACCTTCCCCAACATGGTGGAACCACACTTTCTGGAGCGAGTCAAAGTGCCAATGAACCAAAGTGAATGCAGTGATAACTGCAAGAGCAGGCCATCCATCCCTTTCACCCTGGGGTGATGACTATAGCGATGCCAGCGTGACATTGAAAACCAGGACACATTAACACATTTGTCACCCCTATGTTTTTAAAGCTTAAGAGGAGCCTAGAGCTTCAAGATTCCCTCTAGTAACAAAGACCCCCAACTGCCATGACAATTAATCCTGTGGAAAGCTGAGGGTAGAGTGAACAGAGGAACGGCAAGATCCCATTGGCTGTATGGTATGCCGGGTCCCTCTGTGGCACTACTGAGAGTCAGACGGGCCCCTGATATGCTGCATACTGAAGAGACTACACACATGTATGAAACAGCAGGTGGGGTTTAGATATTCTCTGATCAAGTTCCTTCACTTGTTTCTCTGACAGAATCCCTGGCCTGTGCCTTAACAACATCCACACATTCATCTTCCCACTACTTCTTGATAATGAGTTTGAAAACTTGCCATGGACTGCACATAGATCTCACTAGAGTTCATGGCGGAGCTGCAGCCCTCAACTTCAGCCAGCCTTTCATTCTGTTTCTCATCAGATACATTTAATGGCAAGTGGGTGTTTAAACCACAGGGAAGGGACAGCAAGAACAAATATATAATTAGACATGTTTCCTGGCTGTGTGCTTTGTGGATAGGCCTGTAGGTTTTCTCCTGGGTGACTTGCCCTAATTGTATCATCAGCTTCCCCCAGCAGACAACTGGGCTGAGTTTGATCCATGAACTTGAAGCACGAGGTGAAGAATCGTGCATCTACAAGAGCAATTATAATTATAATTAAGAGTGGGTTGGTTTTCTTTTCGGTTTGCCTTCTCGTTTTTCAGTGAGCATGGCAGGGATTTCCATTAATAATAAAGACATTCTAGAGATGTAGAATTAGGAACTGGTCGACTCTGGTTAATTGGCATACTATTGTATTCCCATAAATTCTGTCTGGGACTGCTGTGAATAGATTTAAAGCTACTAGGAAGAAATAAAATATACAGCCCTTTACAATGAAGTTGTTTTAAGCTTGAAGCTTTTGTGTTTTTAGTGACTTTGAAGCCGGATAAGTATTAACTTGAGTATTTTATTGTGGAGAATGCTAAAGTAACGGACATGATAAGAGTTTCTGGTGGATATTCATAAACTGCCTTTGGATCTGGGAGACAGAGAGTTTTATGAAACTGTGTAAAAATGTAAATAACAGTATGGCACACATTTACTTTCTGCCACCTCTTGGGTAGTCCATTCTCCTCATTTCCTCTCAGAAAAAGCAAGATTATGGACGGTAAAAACCCAACTATATTTATAATTGGGATATGCTAATTGCAGTATTTTAAAGAAGCTAACACAGCTCAAAATAAACAGCATTTTCAATTTACAAATAGTGATAACAAAGATTAAATGGGGATTTTCTTTGGAGCACAATTTACAGTGGATTTTAGTGAAAGTTGAAGGAGCCAAGTCAGTTCGTATGCAGCTTAAAAGCATGTTTTAACTGGCGTTGTCTTCAGGCCACAGGCCCTTCAGTGGTAGAAAGAACACCAGAATGGGGTCAGCAGGTTTATTAACTGGAAGTCTTTGGACTTAAGTTGCTGAAGATCTCTATTAGTTTGCCCATCTTTGAAATGGAGAAGATAATGTATAATTCACAAGGCTGGTGATAATATTCATATGCAGGGTCAGGACTAGGGTGAGGTAATCAAGGTGCTTGGGATGCACAGTTTAAGGAGGCAGGTCTCAGCCGCCAACTCTGTGCTTGCATAGCCCTCATATTCTGCACCCCAGGAGCCTCCTTCACCTCTCTCTAGTCCTAGTGCTGTAAAAGAGGTAGCCCTATTACCATGCCTGGATCATATGGAGGCTCAAAATAAAATGTTTTTCTACTGTTTGTCCTGTCTGCCTCATAGATATCTTTTGAAAAGTACATAGGGAAAAATAGAGAAATGTACTCAATGCAGTGCTCTACAAATGTTAGCTGATACTAAATCACACCAAATCACTAGTAAACCCCTGCTACAGTTATTAGTTGCAATGGTGTTCTCATTTGCAAAGATACATGTGTGTGTATATACAAACAATAGATATTATGGTCGTTTGAAGAATTTCAATGAAAAATGTGTATTACTGTGTTGAGAGTAGCCCTTTAAAGTAGGATTGTATTTTTTCCTGAGGACAAATTATAAGCTTTGTGAAATTAGGGATGGTCTTCTCTTGCCTTATTTAATTTGACTGCCAGCCCAGCACCGTAAGTATATAGGCAAATTGTATCAGAAAATTAGTAGGGTTGGAAAAATAAATCAGAACTGAACATTGTTCTAGACTTGGATGGCCTTTAGCTGGCAACTGGTGCTAACTGCTGGGTGACTGGAGACAGCAATGGGTATGGCAAGGGTTTCTGGTAGATATACGTAAGCCTGCCTTTTGGATCTAGGAGACGGAGAGTTTTATGAAACTTTTTAAAAGTGAAAATGACAGTATGACACAAATTCACTTTCTGCCACCTCTTGGGTAGTCCATCTATCTCATTACAACTCCAGCAAAAGCAAAATTATTGATGATAAAAATCCAACCATTTGGACAATTACAAGTTAAACTGGGGAAGATGCATAAGTAGGCAGCTAGAGGGACTGGTGTTCTTACCACCCAGAAACTGGATCATTTGGGAGAGAAGCGCAACAAAACCAGCCATCTATGGCAGTCTCTGACGAAGCCTTAAGCACCCTTTAAAGAGATTCTACAAGAATTGCCTGACTCCATATGATTTAAAAGCTAAATTTATTCAGAGAAAAGAAAGATTTTTTGCTGAGGGAAGGACGTTGCTGTATGTTTCATCACTTGAGTCGTGGCAGATAATTTGGGTTGAGTTCAAACACAATGTACTTTTCAAAATGTAAATCTGTGAAGAAAAGCTGAATTTTTAGAGCCATCACAGTTTTAGAAATTTTATGCTGTAATCTGATTTTGTAGTCAAGGTCAGTGGCTAAAGAATGCTGTTGGAAGGGCCTAGTCTGGGTCAGACAAAGGACCGATTTGGGGAAGATTTGGCTGATGTCTTCTTTTGTGCAGGGAGAGTTATTCTCTCACTGGGTTTTCTGTGCACCAGTAGGGAAAGAAGCTGCACACACATGGTATGTGTGTCTGTGTTACTCCAAAACCCATCCCAGGCTGTGCTGCAGTCCTTAGTGAAACGGAGAGATTTTGATGAGTCACCAATAACTGGTTTCCTGGGACTGATCATTTAACATATACAAGCGCACTCAGATTTCTGCTGTGGTTTAGAATAGACTGGGGGGTGAAAACCTGCCCAGGTCTCTGTTTCATATTGTGGGAAATGTTTGTCTTCATTCTTTCTCCATAGAGAGGTGGTTTCCATGATCGATGGACAGTCTGAAGTCTAGAATAATGGTAACTATCATGTTCTGAGCTTGTGTAGCTATCATGTTCTCTATCTTGTGATGTGCCAGGCCTTATTCCAGGTCCTTCATGTCGCACCAGCCTCGTGATCTAGGTGTTCTCTTGTCTTTATTTTCCAGATCTAGGAACTGCAGCACAGCTAAGTTCCATGATCAAGGTAGTAAATGTCCCTGCTGTATGTACCTCGCCCGGGCTCACACTCATCCTGATGCAGTAACTTGGAAGTCCTTTGTCTGTGTGCACATTCATGTTTGCTTTTGAAGAACACTGAAGAGATTCTACTTTGAACAGAAAATATTTACACCGAGGTCCTTGTTCTCTCTGTTGAGTGCTAAAAGTGAGGGCCACCAAGGCAAAGTGACAAGTGGTGCCAGGCTCTCAGATTTGATGCTTCTGCTTGGGGTAGATTTGTGAGGGGATCTCCAACTCCAGCCCTTTCAGGGGCCAAGGCAGGCCACGTGAATGAGTGAAGCAGGCTGGGCAGAGACTCCACTAACTTGCTAGTGTCCCTTGGACACAGCTGCAGACACTTGTTGCCAGGAAGGATTAGCCAGGGTTGCCTCATAGTTTAATTTTTCTGGAGAAGTCAAGCATTGAGATTAAAAAATTTTTGTAACAAATGTTGAGAATTAATTTTAAAACTTTTTTAAACAGTACAAACTAACCCAAACATATCTATGGGCCAGATATAGCTAATGGGCTGTCATTTCTATATAATTTCTGTTCTAGGTGAATGATGCGTCACCTACAAAAGGCTTTGGTTTCTTGATCTTCCTGTTAGGAGGAAAAGGAGCTATCACCTATAGGAAATCCCAGGACTGGGGAATTGTATAATAGAGGGACTTATTTTCTGTGTAGTGCCTAGGTATAGCCCTGTACACTTTATCTCTCTGCACTATACCGTTCCTTGAGCACTAGCTACATGTAGCTATTTTAATTAAAATTAAAGTTAAATAAAATTAAAAGTTCAATTACCTACTTTTACCAACCACATTTCAAGGACTCAATAGTCACATGTGGCTGGTGGCTACCATATTGGACAGAGCAAAGTAGAACATTTCTATTGTCACTGAGGTTCTACTGAATAGTCCAAGTCCAACTCTAGATTCTTAGGCTCTGGCAGCCCAGGCTATCTTACAACTAAATGTTCTTTCTGGTATTGGCTCTTCCTGGTATTGGCCAACAGTTACTGCGATTGCCCCACTGGCTTAAGCTTGTTTGCTTTGCTTAGGTCTTTCCATTAGTCCAAAAATATCTCAGCATTCGGCCATTTCCAGGTGCCTTACTGTTGGCTCATAAAGATGTGTTTGGTGATGATGTTTGGTCACCAAAGAAGAAAGGAACTCTTGTTACCTCTTGCACTTCTCCCTCAGACTATTTACTGCCATTATAATGTTATATTTGTTGGGAAGTGAATGCTTACTCTCCACTAGAATCCCACTAAGAGCCCCAAGGAAAGGGATCATGTGCTTGCCATTTTTTCTTCGGTTCCCTACAGAGTTCCTGGCAGAGTGGTCAGCCACAACTGTTGGATAAAGTTAAGCCCTGGGTAGGATAATTTTCCTTTACAACAGTATGTCCAGTGTAGGCAAAACATCATTCCCAACAAGAAAAATGGCACATCTCAAAAAAAGTAATTTCCATCATGTGTTGGCTTATAACGTGCCATGGTGAGATTCAGAACCACAAGGTCCCTGTTCCTTTCACAGTAATGAACCCAAAGCAATTGAATGCAGAGCTATCAACATGAATAAGGGCAAGTCAACTAGGACTTTCTTATGCATCCAGCATTAAAGAGTTTTTGTTAACATCCACAGTAACTAGTGAAACTTTGTGTGAAAACATTCACAGTAACTAGTGAAACTTTGTGTGTTTCTGAGGTCACATTAAAAGGCGGTTTGGGTAGGCTAATTATCCTTTTATCATCCTTTTTGGTGTTATGACTATTCAACCTCTTTTTATATAAACTTAAATATCCTTTGCTCACACAATGATCCAGACAGCTGGATACTCCTTATAGGGTAGTCAAGAGTATTCAGAGGTCCCTCTTCAACATCTACTGGCTGCCATGGCTGAGCATCACATCCAATGTAAAAAGCTGAATATTCTTGGGACAAATTAATATTGATGGTTAGAAATAATAAAATAAAAAGATGTTTTATTTTTAACATCTAATAAAATAAAAAGATGTTTTTCTTTAAGTTTTCAAAAAGAGAAAATAGATTTTTCTTTATTTCAGAAAAGGAAGGATGTACGGCATTACTGTAAGCTCCACAAAGGCAAGGACTATGGTTTTGGGGATTGTCCTTAGAATGTCTTTCCTTCAGGTCCATCTAGTGAGAGTCTTTTAAAAAATATATCAGATGCTGTGGCGGACACCAAACCAATTGTATCCCTCATTCCCTTGCTGTAAGTTAGACAAAATAAGCTAGCTGGACCCCAAATATCTGATCTTTTGAAACAATTAGATGACAATGATGGAATGATATATAATTAGGAATCACCAAAAATAGTTCAGGTATAACATAAATCCTCTAGAGAGTTGAAGAAAGATGAGAATATTTGGGGCTAAACTGATGAGGCAAGGCTTTATGGAAAAAGTGAGAAAAATTGACCCAAAGATGTGAATAGGTGAGAGAGTGGAAGGGAAGTCATTAACATTGGAGGAGAGAGAAAAAGGAGACTGAATCCTGGTATGAGCCAAGTAGCAAGAATGAGTAGACAGGATATGTTTATAGAACAGTAATGATTCTGATTTGACTTTTTACTGAGAAAAGGTGGGTTGACTGTTTTCAGCCAATTATATATGAGATGCAGAAGTTGGATCTACTAACTTGATTTAGCCAGCAACACATAGTTAGAAATGAGTAAAACCATATTGGGCGTGTGGGGGCTCTGCCTGTGGTAGTTGACACTTCTTTTTTTGGCCAGGATGGCTTGGTTGATCTGGGCATTAAAAGAGGATGCCCTTCTTTCCTAAAAGTGACCTTCCTAGATAGCAAATAGAAGATAATGACTACTGTTTAGTCAATGAAAGATGTGCAGTCCCCAAATAATCAATATTTCCTAGGCACAATTCATTTATGTTTTGTTTGTTTCAAAATTTTGCTAGCAAGTATCTCACCACGTATTGGAAATGAGAAAGATATGACCATCTTATTTTGGTAACAGTTGTCGTGGGTGAATGCCAAAATATTATGTAAAATAAAACCTTTAAGTATGGGGAAGTAAGCTCACTATCTCAGCTTTCCCTCCCCTTGTCTGAGCTCAGAGCATCAAGCTGTTAAGGACTGTACCAGTGACTGCATGTGTTCCCCAGAGAAAATGAAATGAGCCCACCAGATATCAGTAAATATTTCTTACTGTTTTGGTTTCCATGTGTCTTAAGTGTGAATTTTGAGTAAAGGTTTTATTCAAGCAAAAGGCTCCTTACTCATTTTTTCTACAATAATATTACTAAAGTTTAGTTAATGGTATTCAACTATCTGTTCTACTCAGCAACATAATGTAATCTTATGAAATAAGAAATTATCTGAAAGGGCATTTCTTTTCACATGGCTTTATAAAGCATCCGTGTTGAATGTTTGATGGAGAAAATGAGTTAATAACATGAGAGGTTTATGCATTAACTATTTAATAACCAGTGGATTCAGGTAATTCTGTTTCTCCTGCTACCACCCGAAGTCACACCGCTCCCCAGATTCCTGATGTGTTGCAGCCATTTTTCTCCCTATATCATAACTACCCAGCACTACCCTGCAAATCCTCAGAGACTGCCCATAGGCCATCTGATCATCAGTGTAAGGCTTCAGAATGATCTGAGGTCCACTACTGGCCTCTGCATTTCTTCCTTGGAGTCCATTCACACAATTTAGTAAATATCTCTCCAGTGTTTCTCCAAAAGGCAAAATCCAAACACTGATGTTTGGTGCACATGAGGCCAGGAAAGGGATTTGCGAGCTGCTCTAGATTCTCATATTTTCCAAATCCCTTTTTCTTCTCCCCTTCAGTGCCTTCTGTCTTTTTCTCCATTTTCTCCATAGCACTTATCAACACTTGACAAACTATATCCTTTGTTCATTTAGCTTGTTTGTTGCCTAACAAGTTCCCAGTAGAAAGCAAGTATTATAAAGACAAGGATTTTTGATTATTTTATCTGCTGTTATATCTCCAGTACCTAGAATAATGCCTGGCACACAGTTAGTGTTCAATAAATATTTGTAGAAAGACTAATATAGAGCAATGTTTCTCAACCTGGGGCAACTTAGCCCTCCAGGGGTATTTGGCAACGTCTGGACACATTTTTTTTTATTTGAGACAGAGTCTTGCTCTTTGCCCAGGCTGGAGTGCAGTGGCATGATCTTGGCTCACTGTAACCTCCACCTCCCGGGCTCAAACAATTCTCCTGCCTCAGCCTCCTGAGTAGCTGGGACTACAGGCATGTGCCACCACACCCAGCTAATTTTTGTATTTTTAGTAGACATGGGGTTTCACCATATTGGTCAGGCTCCTCTTGAACTCCTGACCTGCCTTGGCCTCCCAAAGTGCTGGGGTTACAGGCATGAGCCACTGCGCCTGGCCTGGATGCTTTTTTATCATGAGGATTGAAGGGATAAGCAGTGCTATTGGCTTCCTACAATGCACAGAACAGTCTCTTACCACAAAGGATTATCTGGCTCCAAATGCTGAAGTTAGGAAGCCCTGATGTGGAGCACAGAATCCTTGGGAGCCCTGCCAAGAAGGCTGGCTACCATCTCTCCTGTGGCTCTCTGGCTTATCTCCTGGACTGTGGCTCTTTCTGTCTCATCTCCTGACCACACACTTCTGTTTGCGTTTTTTCATCCAGAAATTAAAATATCTCATTTGTTCCTTTGCAGTTATGTGGTTTTTTTTTTTTTCAGTTCCTTTACCACCACTACTTTAATGTAGCTTTTTGAAGAAGAAGAAGCAAATGCCTGAGCTTAGCTGCCATCTTGAACTCGAAACTCTTATCACTTTTATCTTGTTTGAGTCACCATTTCTCTGAAGTCTGTAATATGACTGCTACCAATACAGCATTCTCTCTTCTCTGAATTCTTAGAATACTTACCATCAGTTTTGACCATTTGGGTAATGTATTAGATAGAATTACTGCTCTAACAAAGACACTCCTAATGTAACTATTAATATATCTTAAAGAAGATGGAAGTTTATTTCTCCCCAATGTAACATTCTCAAATTGGGAGGCCTGAGTCAGTAGTAGACACCACTGCTCCACGTGATTGATCAGATTCAGGCTCCTCCACCTTGCTACTCTCCCATTCTTGATCATTGTTCTCAGCCAAAAGGAGAAGAGCTGGAAGTAGACAGTTCTTGTTCTCAGTTTGAGAGAAAACGAGAAAGAAACAGTCCTGTTTAGCATTTTTCTTCTAAATATGTGCTCTGTGGGATGCGTGTGTGTGTGTGTGCATGCCTGTGTGTGTGTGTGTGTGTAAGTGTTAATATATTTATTTCTGGAAGATAGGATCACAAGATTTGTAACTTTAATTATTTTGCTCCTTTATATTTTTCCAATTGTTTTTACATTGAACCTATACTATATATATATTTGTGGCTGACATTAGATATTCTTTAACTATTTGTTAAAGAATTACTATTAAATTAAACGTCTATGTAAAGATCTTCCTTTAGAAGGGTAGGAAATAACCAAGTGGAGGATAGAGGCTTCTTTTAGACAACAAAGAACTCAAGCAACTGTAAATACAAGCAAAAAAATGTAAAGCCATGTTTGTGATTTTAAGTGAATTGAAAAAAAAATCTCTTAAAGTATATCTTTAAACTGTAATAGTTACGTATATGTTGTATAACCTTTCAAAAAACAAATCAAATGAATCAGATGTTTGACACAGTAGAATTAAAACTCCTAACTTGACTGATATCCGCCCCCCCCACCTTTGACCGATTATGTTGACATTTAACAAATTAAAGTTAAATTTAGGAGTTGGGAGAAAGAAAGGGAATATACAATGGGAGGTGGACAAAACAGTGTGGGAGAGTGGACACAGAATAAGGGCCACGGTGTGTATTCAGAGAGGTGACAGACATCAACATATGTTCATCAGCAAGTGACGGAGGTCAACAGGTAGAAGAAATTTGAGTGAGGACATGGGACATTTATCAGCAAAGACATGAAAATAAGACAGTAAATAAAGCTTGTATTTGAAACAGAAAAAATTAAGTGGAAGTAACTGATAATAAACCTGATTTAATTAGGCCTAAAAAGTTTTATTTGTTACCTGTTAGTCACCATATTTTAACCCTTCTTTGGCCATATGTAGAATTAGCTGCTGTCCCTCTACCAACCTTAAGAGATATGAAAGTGGGGAAATGGAAACTCATCCCAAGAGGACAGTTGAGGTTCATTTGATGAAGGAGACAGAAAGCTTTGGGTTAAAGATTAAGTGATCCCTTTGCAAATTAATTCTTATACTAAGGTACTGTGAACATGGGTCAGTTTTCAAGGGTTTCTTTAGGTTTAATACCATAATACTAAGATTTCAGTAGCATGATTATTGAGCAACATAAATAGTGTATACATTTTTCCAAGCTGTTTTTTTAATTAAGATATTATGGGCCAGGCATGGTGGCTCACGCCTGTAATCCCAGCACTTTGGTAGGCTGAGGCGGGCGGATCACGAGGTTAGGAAATCGAGACCATCCTGGCTAACACGGTGAAAACCCGTCTCTACTAAAAATACAAAAAATTAGCCGGGCGTAGTGGCAGGCGCCTGTAGTCCCAGCTACTCAGGAGGCTGAGGCAGGAGAATGGCATGAACCCGGGAGCCGAGATTGCGCCACTGCACTCTATCCTGGGTGACAGAGTGAGACTCCATCTCACAAAAAAAAAAAAAAAAAAAGATACTATGAACATTTTTACTTTCCATGTACGCGTATAATGTTTTTTCTGATTATGTAACAGTCTATGGAGTGGAAGTTCCAATTAATATACTCCTGACAAGATTAGCAAGGTTGGCTATCAGATGTATATTTATTGAAGAAAATATTTATTTGACACCACTTATTGGTTTATTCTTTATCCTTAGATACTTTTTAATGAAACAAAATCTTTCTACATTTTGATTGTCATAGGTGACTTATTTAAGTTGAAAAAAATAACTTCGCTTTTTTTTTTTTTTTACAAATTGCTGGAGTTGTACATCGATGAGTTAAAGCTTATAATTTTAAATATTAATAATTAAGAATAGAGCAAGTGCTGCTGCCATTTATTCAAAAAGAGGCAAGAGATGTTAAAATGAAATCGATAAATGTATTTGTTGAAAATTACCAGAATAAATAGGAAAAAAATTTTAATATTTTGAATGAAAAGGCTAGAATATGACATATTCTAAATCCCATTGTATTTTACTTCTCTGAAAATTATTTTAAGATTATACATTTCTATATAATTATTTTTACAAAATATGATTTAATAACATAAACAAAAATAAAATATAAACATGTATTATTTATGTTAATTTTCTCTTTATTAATATTTTTTCTTCTCCTCCAGCTTATTATTATAAAAATCTTCAAATATAGAAAAATTCAAAACATAGAACAGTAAACACCTGTGTCACCTCTAAGATTTAACGGCTGTTATATTGTAGGAAAATAAAAACTTATTTGCTGTATGAATATATGAAGTACTGAAATAGAATAAAAACATACAAAGTAGTATAAACACACTTTTATTTCTGTACCACATTATTGATATTGTATTGATACATTGTTATATTTTTGAAGAATCACAATAAACTCTAGATTGGAGAAATACTCACTCATAGACTCAGGCCCTGGAAACTAGGAGAGTCCAGTGCAATCGTTTTTGTTATGACTCGTTCTCTTTTATTTTTCTCCTTTCTTTTTAAATCTTCTTTGTCTTTCTATCTGACAGAAGAATAAAATTTAGCAAAATAATTATTCACTAAAGAAATATCTAAATGAATATTGGTTACATACCAAAGATCGAATAATTGCATTCTATAATAGGGAAGTCTGTTGTCTTTGTGGTTGGTTGGTCTTGTGTTATACAGTTCATGAATACATAAATAAAATTCGTGTGTCTTTTGCAAATTACTCTTTTATTGTGTTCCTTGGAAATAAATCACTATAACTAACATGTATTGAGTACTGAATGCCTTTTTTCTTTTTGTAATAGACTGGAGTGAATTTAGTTCTGCATGGTAAGAACTTAGTATATGTAGTAAGTCAATTTTAACTTACTGGTAAGTGACATTTTAATGAAACATTTTTAAATGGGCAGATCTAGTGTTGCCAGATAAGCTGAAGCATGCTCAGTTAGATTTGAATTCAGATGTACAATGAATAATTACCTTAATATAAATGTGTCCTAAATATTGCATAGGACATACTTATACTAAAATAATTACTCATTGTTCATCTGAAATTCAGATATAAGTGGATGTTCTGTATTTTGCTTTGCTAAATCTCTCAACCCTAGCAGAATGTGATATGTTAGATGTTTGGTCATCTAGGGTTTTGTTTCATATACTTTTTTTGTCTTTTTATTTTATGCCAGAATCATGATTTAGACAAAATATTTTGCAAGTTTTAGCTACCTATCTGAAATGTTGGAAGCAAACCAATCAACAAACTTGGCACCGTCACTGAGGAAGAGAGAAAAGTGAGGTATATTAAGTTACTCAACCATATTTTTTATTTTATTTTTACTCATTGATTATAATTTTTTCTCTAAGTATACCAATTATATAAACTCAATTATAAGAACAAACAAGTGAAACAAAACAAAATAAACCAAAAAATAAGCACACCTAAAAAACACAGAATGCTACAAACACACTACCTCATATTAAATGTATTGCCCTCCAGAATCAGCCTCTGTTCTCTGAAAAACACTGACCTGGGTCTTAGGAAATCTTACCCCCCATCCTGGTGTTGTCCTTATGAGCTCTCTGGCATGAGCAAGTATCTTAGTCTCCTAGGATTCTGGTTCTCATCTGTCAATTAAAGGGTTTGAAAGATTGATATCTGAGGTCATTTCCAGACCTGAGGTTAGAGTAGCCCATGATTTCAGCTTCAAGTTCCTGGACAATAATTATGTATCCATAGCACTCATGAGCCCTGTACTTGTTTAATTAATCTGTGTTTGCTTGTTTTTTAAACTGCACCATTTCTATGTCTTCATTCTTCTTTATTGAAATGGATTTAGTTTTCATCTTAATAGGTGTAATGATGTTATTCATGCAAAGCAATAATTCAAAATTAAATCCAAAGGAAATCTTTTAGCAGTATTCACATTAAGATGCTGGATGTGCCCTTTAAATAAAGTCAGCATTTCTCCCTAATGATTTTGAGGCTCATTCTAAAAGTTTAATGCCAGAATAAAATGGTATTTTCCTTGGGAAGAACAATTTTGGTGGTCCCATTGTAGAGCAATCTTTTTAAGAGAATTGCAGAAGGTAAAAAGAAATGTACATAGATCGTGATAATTTTAGGCATTAGGACAGTGCTACATAAGACAGATGCTTTCTACCGTAATTTATAAACATACGCTTTAGGACATGTAATTTTTCCCATTTGTATTACGGGGTACTTTAAGTGTAGTTGTAATACTTTAGAGTTATTTCAGACAACAAAAAAACCCTTAGAGATCATCTATCCAACTTTCTGTCTCTGTCTCTGTCGCTCTCTCTCTCTCTCTCTCTCTCTCTCTCTCTCTCTCTTTTTAAGAAGAAACTCAGTCCCAGTGCACTAGGTGACTGGTACAGGGGAAAGTAACTTAGGGAAGAAAAGGAAGCATCCTGTAGGTACTTTGCAGGCATAGCTGATGTTGTATCATAGGCACTCTATGGGCTGGCCCAGCCCCAGAATTCCTGCTATAAAAGGATTGAAAGTGATAGTGTGGTCCTGGGATGGAGGAGGGAGGGAACTTGTCTGAGATGTGCCTGGGAGGTAGGGTGGAGTGGGAGACTTGTCTGGAAGCTAAATTTGCATTTCAAGTTCATTATTTTTGCTCAGGTTGTCTAAATGTGGTACCTTGATGGGAGAGCCAGGGAAGTGGGGAGGAGCTGATGGAAATCACAGAGGGGCTAAATGCTTCCCATGCCACTTCTTGGCTATGACACCTTAGCCAAGATATTTTTTTCCCAACTGTACAGATGATAACCCTGAGGCTAAAAAGCATTTCTTTGATTTGCTGAAAGTTACAGAATAATGGGTAGGATTCAAACTCAGGTCTGTCAAGCCAGAAAATCTATATGTGTGATGCATTATACCATGCTGATGGAATAAACATGACCTCAACAACTTTGAAACCTTCCTTGAAAAGAGACACAAACCTTCAGGACCATACGTGATTGTGTTTGCTACATGTAGACACACATCCTTCTGAACATAGTAATTCAAATTAAATTTCTTAAAAGTCATTGAAAAATGTATAGCTAGAGTTATGTCTCTATGTGCAAATTAATTGCTAGAAGAAAGTAAAACATAATTAAAATTGAATATAAAGCCTATTACATTAAAGTAATGAATTATTTATTTTAAAATATCCACATTGACCCAGTTCCATTGGTTGGTTTTAAAATAGCAACATGTTTTTCTCCTGAGAAAAGCGTTTCTGTATAAATACATTCATTCTCCCTCCCTTACAGGCTCTTTCTTGACTGAACAAAAGTAATTTATGCTTTTTTTTTCTTACTTAGAAGTTTTCATAATCAAAGGGAGTCTCTAAAGCATGTAATAGGACGGTAGATATGAAGGTTGATAGATATGTTTCATCAGTTTCAAGCACATAAACAGTTCAACCCCCAATATACAAATGTTATAACCAACAGTATAATTTTTAGCAATTCATGTAGATTTGATGCCAGACCTGGCTGCAAGGTAGTGTGGAGTAAACAAAGCAAAGGCCCTGGAGTTCTGAGTTTGTCAGATCCTCAGTGTCATTGCTAACTGCTTAGGCTTTAAGCATCTTGCCAACTCTAAATTCTACTCTACATTCTTGCCAACTCTAACTGAATTCAGCTTCTGAATTCAACTCAAAATTAAATTTCTAATTAGGATTAGAAAATTCTAAATTCTTTGACCGGATTTATAAAATCAAATATAAAAAACATATATATATGTTTTTTTGAGACGGGCTCTCACTCTGTCACGCAGGCTGAAATACAGTGGTGTGGTCATGGTTCACTGCAGCCTCCAACTCCTGGATTCAAGTGATCCTTCTGTCTCAGCCTACCAAGTAACTGGGACAACAGGCAGGTGCCACTGTGCTCAGCTAATTTTTTAAAATTTTTGTAGAGATGGGGTCATGCTATGTTGCCCAGATTAGTCTTGAACTTGCTTTTTAAGCAGTCCTCCCACCTCTGTCTCCCAAATTGCTGGGATTACAGGCATGAGCCACCACATCTGGCCAAATATTGTATATAATACATGTTTCTGGTAGTTCCCAGGGACAATGAAAGCCTTTTATTCCCACAGCAGTGGTTCTCACAATGTGGTCCCTAGACCAATAGCATCAATATCACCTGGGAACTTGTTAGAAATGCAGATTCTCAGCCTCCATCCTAAACTTGCTATATCAGAAATCCTGAGGACAAGGTCAGCAACTTCGGTTTTAGGAAATTCTCCAGGTGATTGGGAACTACCGTTTTACACTATGATATTAAAGGGCGATTTCAAAGAATAGGGTAATTCCCAGATTATTATACTGAGAGCTTCACAACTCAATCTCTGCCTTGACTGTATCACGAAGAATCCTTAAACAGAAGAGAGTGAGCCACAATGGATGGTTGTGGAAGTGAACAACCAAGGCAGGTGGTACTGCCATTTCCTGATAGAACACTTTCCAATCCCGCGTCTCCCACCTCTGGGTTTCCATCTTCCTGTATCTATTTTCATAATGAGTGTTCATCTAAGCATTCCAAATAAGTTCATACTGGATAATTATGGATGAGAAATAAATTGGCAACCAGAAAAATAGGAAATCATCCCTAAACAATGCCTATTGATAAATATCTGGAAATTTTTCTGGGAAGCATAGGTATGCTGTTTCACAATATAAGACATGAAAGAATGTTCCCAGAAGGGTAGGAGTGGCTGGACTGAAATTGAAGTAGTAATTTGAGGTGTCACAGTGGACACCTCAAGGTCATGGCATTTTATTTATTGTTGCAATTATAAGAACAATAAAACTGCAACAGGCAGCAGGGTCCATGCAGTTTCACCAGCCTTCCACACGATACCGTTCCCCCTCATCAGCACTTCTGATTTCCAGAGGCTCGAATCCACTAAGCAGCCTCAGCAAGCACACACATTAATATATTTGCCCAAGACAGAACAGTTTTTGAGCTGGCAGTTGTTGATAAAGACATGTCACCCCTGGTTTTGTTCTTTACTGAAAGGCCTCCGAATAGGAATGGTGAAATTCTTTTTATCACCTCCACATGGGTTGTCTTCTTGGCACAAATGAAGAGACCGGAGCCTGCAATCATTCCTCAACTCCTAAAACAAAGGAAGGTGGATTCCATTATTCTAAGGGCCCTGGGGATTGGACATCTTCAGAAGCATTCAAGAAATAAGGAAGCTGCATGTTAAAAGGCCTCAGTGCTGATTAAAAGTAGGAACAAAGCTAGGTGCTCTTGCATTTATCACATGTATTAATTGTACTGCTATCTTTGGCTTGCAGAATAGGATGTTATAAAGAATGCAGTGACCATTTTGGCATGTTGAAAATCCCATTATTCATATGATTAAGAAACAAAAGTGAAGTCGCCAAGCACTGGGTTATGCCCATCTAAAGATTTGTTGATGGAATGAAATTTATCTTTTATTCATACTCCAACAACTTCTGAATAATAATTTCTAGTGCTGCTCTTCGGTGCGTTTCTGGTGGTTCTGAGCTTTATTATGATCGTTTCCATCCTAAGATATACTTCTCTTTTTAGTATTTTTATAAAATTTGATAAAAAGAAACCAGTGGAAGTGATCATGTCACCTCTTGTTTATAATGCTTAAGTGGAGTTTTCTTTGTATAGTCAGCAAAGGATGGATAATCTCACTACTGCTTGTTCCTGCAACCTCAGTGCATGCTGTTCACCCCTTGCCCTCTGAGTTCTGAACTGACTACCCTCCTCTGAGATGCTCAAAGGCCACTGATATGGTTTGGCCATGTCCCCACCCAAATCTCATCTTGAATTTTAGCTCCCATAATTCTCACATATTGTAGGAGGGACCCAGTCGGACATAATTGAATCCTGGGGGTGGTTTCCATCATACTATTCTTGTGGTAGTGAATAAGTCTCACGAGATCTGATGGTTTTATAAGATTAAACCCCTTTTTGCGTAGCTCTCATTTTCTCTTATCTGCCACCAAGTAATATGTGCCTTTTGCCTTCTGTCATGGTTGTGAAGCCTCCCCAGCCATGTGGAATTGTGAGTCCATTAAATCTCTTTTTCTTTATAAATTACCCAGTCTTGGGTATGTCTCTATCAGCAGCATGAAAATGGGCTAATACAGCCCCAAGCTCCTTTCCACTCATCATTTTGCACATGTTGATTAGTCACCAGGGATAGTCTTTCACTTTGCCTGGGAAATCCCACTCATCTTTTTTTTTTTTTTTTTTTTTTTTGAGAGGGAGTGTCACTCTGTTGCCCAGGCTGGGGTGCAATGACACCATCTCAGCTCACTGCAACCTCCACCTCCCAGGTTCAAGCAATTCTTGTGCCTCAGTCTCCCAAATAGCAGGGACTACAGGTGCACACTACCATGCCTGGCTAATTTTTGTATTTTTAATAGAGACAGGGTTTCACCATGTTGGCCAGGCTAGTCTCAAACTCCTGACCTCAAGTGATATGCCCACCTTGGCCTCCCAAAGTGCTGGGATTACAGGCATGAGCCACCATGCCAGGCCCCACTTACCCTTCTTCTCACAACTCTTACAAATCTCATTCTGGAGAGCCTGCCTCTGGCTCCCATGCTAGATCACGACCCCAGTCATATGCTTTCAAGGCATCTTAGAGTTTTGCCTTAGAGTAATTATTTGATTAATGCCTGTCTCCCAACATAGAGGCCATAATTTTTTCATCATTTTATCCCTAGCACTTAGTAGAGTGCCAGCCTGGCATATTGTGGGCAATAATAGCCATCAAATGTTTTGAGCAGGGAATAATATGGTTGGATATGTCTTAGAAAAATAACCCTTGTAAGTTTGGAGGTCAAATTGGGGAGTGGAACGATTAATAATAGAGACTTCTTATAGGGAACTATTGCAGTTTTCCACGAAGGAAAAAGAAAAACAACTTAAAAAAACTACCTAAACTATCAATTTTATCATCCATTCACCCATTTGCTGAACATTTACTGAGTGCCTACAATGTACATGTCAGATACTGGGCTGGGTGCTGAGACAATAAAGGACTCTATTTGGAAAATGAAAGGAAGGGGATAGATTTTAAAGGGGTCTAGGGGTAGAATCAATAGGACCCACTAAACAATTTGAGATGTAAAAGACGGGCTTCAAAAGGAATCTAAGATTTCTTGCTCAATGACCAAATAGAGGGTGATTCTATTAACCCCTTTTTAGAACTTCAGGAAGAGTAGCAAGTCAGAACAAAAGGTGGAGAGCTCAAGTTGAACATGTGGAGTTTGAGATGCTCATCAGATTTCCAGATGAATCAACTGGTTCAATCACAGTTTTTGAAATGAAGCATCATTGTTCAGTGCAAATCTTCCAGGGGAATTCAAATGTTAGATACAGAGAAGTAGAGACTGAGAAGAGAGCAAGGCCCATTTAAAAATATAAAAGTTTAGTTTTAAAAATGCTGTCTTTTTGACCTTTACAATGTGCATATTTTGAATGAGAGTAAGCAAAAACAATTGATTTTTTTGTAAAGAAATGCTGAAGAAATACATTCATCAATACTGTAGTTTGAATATAAAGAAAATCAGAATATTTATAAATAGGAATATAAATAATATAGCACTCTTATTGGATAGCAATGGATTAAATGGGTATTTGCTACTCTACTGCTTTTTTTTGAGCTGATTATAATTATATGAAATATATTTTAGGGCATGCAATTATAACTGTATGGGCATACCTAATAAATAATATGTCTATATCGCATAAAGTATAAATTATAAATATATATGAACTATATAAAAATATACTTTAGTCACTTAAAACACATAATAGAACATTTTATTCTGTTTTTTCATCTTTTTTTCTGAGTACGTAACTCTTGCACTTGTCCCTTTCAGGCAATGCTTAAGAATGTATGTAACCAACAAATACAATGATAAATGTCTTTTGCAGCAAGCTTCAAAATCTCAAGAGATGTAGGGGCAGCATAAAACTCTAACCAGATAAATCCATGGTATATTGTCTGAGCCAAATGCTTTCTCTAAAATGAGAGAGATTCAAATCAGTGACAAGAAGGAGCATGTGGGGCTTAAGCTGACTGTAGGAGGACACAGGTGTGCTTCAGCACCACAAATGAACGCAGAATTATCTAAGAACACCTTGCCTTGCCAGCTATTTAATATCACATGAAACGGGCCAAGAATGCAGTGATATTGAAACACCAATGCCAGTATTGTTTTTCCTGTGTCTATTCCAGCAATTGCTTCTTTGTTATTGTTGTTCAATGAGGTGTTATTTCAATACTGAAGTAGAATTCATTAAAGTAAGGTTTGAGTGGAGATATTTTCACTGGTTGATTGGTTAAACTGAGGTTTCTTTTTGCCTCTCTAGTTATCCAGTGTATTGACAGCCATATTTTAACAAGAAAAAAATTTTGACTTCACACATTCACTCAGTAAATAACTACTTAGAAGGTTCTTGAGCCGGGCACGGTGGCTCATGCCTGTTATCCCAGCACTTTGGGAGGCCAAGGCAGGTGGATCATGAGGTCAGGAGATCGAGACCATCCTGGCTAACACGGTGAAACTCTGTCTCTACTAAAAAATACAAAAAATTAGCCAGGCATGGTGGCAGGCGCCTGTAGTCCCAGCTACTTGGGAGACTGAGGCAGGAGAATGGCGTGAACCCGGGAGGCGGAGCTTGAAGTGAGCCAAGATCGTGCCACTGCACTCCAGCCTGGGCGACAGAGCGAGACTCCATCTCAAAAAACAAAGAAGGTACTTGATGGACAACACTCTCTAGACTTAGGTAGAGCGATAAAGTGATGACCAACTTACAGCTGAAGGGGAATTCCACATGTTGGGCATAGAGAAGAGTAGGTAAAGGTATAGGGATGACAGAGACCATGGTTGCTCAGATAATGACAAACAGCTGAGCATGGCTGGGTGCATGAACTAAAATATTGCTTGAATGTGGGGAAGTAGGATGGTGGGTTGCATAACTGGTAAGGAGCAAACCGTGACTAGCCTTAAATGTCAATCTACAGAGTTAAGATTTCCAAATTCATTAGGACATGTATCCTACAGTGTGCAAGGATTTTTACTAAAGGAATGACATGGCCAGATTTGCCATTTGGAAAGCTGACCCCGGCCATCGTGTGGAGGATAGTTTGGATGGTGAGGCAAGGAATCAGAAGAGAAGGAAGTGTGGCCAAGGAAGAGACTCTTGTAGCAATTCAAATGAGAATACTGAACACTGAACCAAGGACAAGACTTTGAATGTGGAAGCAGGGGAACCACATAAGACAAATCTCAAACTTGGATGCTGGGGATGAAGGATAAGGGAAAATCCCAGGTCAATTGGGTTGATGGAGTGTATATTGGTTTGCTAAGGCTTCTGTAACAAAGTGCACAAATTGAGCAGCTTAAACAATAGAAACAATAGAAATGTACTGCCTCACAGTACTGGAGGCTGGCAGTCTAAACTCAAGGTATCGGCAGGGTTCCTTCTTTTTGAGGGCTGTGAGAATAGAGTCGGTTCCATCACTTTCTCCTGACTTCTGGCAGTTTGTTGACAGTCTTTCATATCCCTTCGTTCTAGAAGCATCAGCCCAATCTCCTGCCTTCATCTTCACTGTGAGTTCTCCCTGTGTGCACATCTGTATCCAAATTTCTCCTTTTCTAGAGATGCCGTTCATATTGGACTAGAGGCCCACCTTACTGTATCATGACTTCATCATAAGTAATTACATCAGTGGTGAGACCCTATTTGCAAATCAGGTCACATTCTGAGGTACTGTGGTTTAGGTCTTCAAGGCAGGGATTTTTAGAGATACAATTCAATCCACAACAGGGTACTACTCGTGGAAACAGAGAATACACAAAGATAAACCAGTGTTTGTGGGAGGAAATTATTAATGCATCATTGGTTATGCTGAGTTTGAGGTACTAAGGGTTCATGCAAATAGCAAATATTTCTGGGACTGGACTTAAACAATTCTAGAACATAGAAACCAGCATCTCTCAAAAAAGAGAGGCCTTGGGTACACTGCCTACTATAATCTCTTTTATTTGTCTTTTTTGAATTTAAAAAGTATTTAAATTATATTAGCAGAGGAACAGAAATTTAGATATTGCCTGGAAATTTTAAAAATCAGAAGGAAAGGGCCAAGTAGAAAAAATAGGAGACTCTTCCCAGATGAATTTCAACAGCTTGGTATTCGTGTGATGAGTTGTGATTAACAGGCAAGCAGGCCAAACGTGGTTAATAGAGCTGGGTCTTTGAGTTTTCTTTAGAAAATGTTGATTCTATAATATAAGTGACACATCTCCATACGCCCCAAAGCAGCATCTGGTTTGATATTGAGGTTTCACCTAACAGTTTTCTTCAGAAAACTGGAACATTTGGCCAATTTCTTAATATATTAATTTTAATAGATTTTCTGTTTCTAATGAAAACATTCTTGTGAAAACATTTGTTTTTCATATGCATAACTCCTTATTGCCCAATATACATAGGACCTTATATATGGTAGATGCTAAATACATCCAGTTGCTGGATGACTGTTGTGTAAATGTTTGGGACACAACCTTTGAAAAGAATCTCAATAGCCCATAACTCCATGTAGCATACAGGCGCTCATATAATGCTCTCCCTTCCCCACTACACCACATGGGAATGTTATGGTTGCTAAGAAGCACAAATGATGCCACCAAATAAGTCTAACTTGGGTGCCAAGTCTGTTCTTCCAGTGGTATGGGCACTATCTTTAGGCAGAGGCATCCAGTAACAGTTGGAAAGAAACCCGTGTGACTGCGACCTGTACAATGCATGCAGGTGACAGTCTTCTCTGTGCCTCTAAATGTGACAGGCATCTTGGGGTTATACAAAAAAAAGTATATCAGATAGTGCCTTCTATGGAGACAGTCAAAAGCTAAGATTGTTGGAGTCAGATCGACATCTTCATATCCCAGCTCAGCCAGCTCTCGGGCTGTGTGACCCTGAGTGAGTCAGGAGCTTTCTCAGGTTCAACTTCTTTATAATGTGGAAATTGTAATAACATTACCTTTTAGGGTTATTGTGAGCACAATGATTGTATAGAGATTAAGGCACATAAAGAAGTTCACAATAGTAGATATGGTTGTCAAAATTATCATCATAATTATACCAGAGACCTGAGGTTCCTGTGTACTTCATGAATCTATTAAGAAACCATTCCAGAAAGTAGGACCAGTGGGAGATGACCATAATAGCCATCGATATTGCAAATGGAGAGGGGCAAATATGGGTGCTTCTGTGATCTGGGAGGGGCCTTGGAAGGAGGTAAGGCTTCAGTGGCCTTCAAAGATAGAGTCTTAAAAGAAGATTGAAAGGACAGAATAAAAATGTACTGTCTGAACTCCACTATTTCAAACACTTGACTGATCTTTGACTTCTCTGAAACCTGTTCCTTAACACAATTTCTGAAGAAGGATTGGTTCTCACAATATTTACTATTGTAAGCTTCATCAAACAGCCAAGTGATTTCTTTAAAAATAGGGGTTTTGACCTTTGCCTTTCCCTGGCTGGGAACTTAATCATCATTCTTTGGCCATAATAGGCCAACTCTATTTGTGGGCCTAGGACTTGATATTGGAGATC
This sequence comes from Homo sapiens, assembly GCF_000001405.40. Taxonomy (NCBI): domain Eukaryota; kingdom Metazoa; phylum Chordata; class Mammalia; order Primates; family Hominidae; genus Homo; species Homo sapiens. The sequence goes on from NC_000020.11 coordinate 15,542,865, forward strand.
ACGTGACATCCTTGTCCACGTCCTACGCAGCACAACTTGTCAAACCAGAGCAGATGGCTCTTCCGAGTCTACCCCACTGGCAGAGGGTGAGGACGTGGGAAATGAAGAGGTCCTTTACAGCCTGGGCTTCTGGGTTGCTATGCCTGTCAAGCAGCAAATTATGATAAAAAGGGCCATGCAAAATTTAACATTTTTTTAATCTCTTGAGAACTGACTACAATGTTTACTCTTTTCTGGAGCTTCCCGGAATGTTTTATATAAAACTTTTGCTACTAAAATCCTTTGGAGTTTTAGAATGATGATGGGAAGTATAGCAGAGTTTAAGTTTTGGTTTGAGTCCACTAAACCAGGTTCAAATGTATCAGTTGTGTGTCCCTGAGCATGTTACTTAACTTTTCTAAGTGTCAGTTTCCTCATCTGTTCAAGAGGAATGGATAATAAGGCCCTACTCGTAAGATTATAGTGAATATTAAGGATACAGTTGTATACTGCAAAAGGCTTTTGATACATGATAGAATAGGCCCTCAATAAACTCTAGTTATTGTTATTTTAATGGTGCCACACACAGGTGATCAAGGTTTCAGTGCCACAACCATTGAAAGCTTGGAGTCCCAATGCCAGTAATGTCATTTTTAAATTTTCAAGTCATGACAGCAGAATGGTGAGATGTTCTGCTACAGAGAATAGAAACTTTTAGAAATGGTTTCCTTCCAAGCAATGAGGTAAACCTCCTCTTAAAAAAAAAAAAAATCTTAGTTTTCCATTGTTACAATTTCAAGCAGTGGCTTAAAACAGTAAGCACTTGCAAATTATGTGGCTAAACACAGTAGGCACTTTTTGGCATGTGAATCTATGGGACTATAGTTCAGGCCAAATGGCTCTGCTAGCCTCAGCTGTGTCTGGAAGTCAGCTGGTCATTGACTGACTAAGGCTAGGTCTGGCCAGGCCAACTATATTTGTTTCACCTGTCTTTTATCCGTTTCCCTGGGACAAGCCAGCCTGCCTGGACATGTTCTTCTCATGGTAGAGGTATAAGATAGAGCAAGTCCCCAAAGCAATCACCCAAATGCTTTGCTAGACTGCTTACATCACATCTGCTAGCATCTCATTGGCCAAAGCAAGTCACATGGCTGAGCACAGCATCAAGGGGCAGGGGAGGTGACTCTCACACTGTGGGGAAGTACAGTAAAGTCCCTGAGGGAAAGGATGTGGATACAGAGTCGGGGAAGAAGAGGGAGCATCATGTGATCTACCTCAGCTTTAGAGTAACCGATAGCCAAGGGGCCATCACCTCACAGCGTCTAGACTCTGGGAAACAGACTTTTGCCCTAGTATTGATTCTTTGCCTGGAGTCGTATCATTTGCTTTAGTACCTGGCTATGGCGTTAATAATAATAGCACAGCAGAAAGGTTCAGTGATTCTTGTATAGCTACAGACTGAGCTTTATAAAATAACCTGGATGCTTATTTTAAGAATATAGACTCTGACAGTAGCAAGAATTTTTCTCAATTGTTTTGAAAAGGTTCTCACCTATTGAACAGCTAGGATGAGGAGGGTTGATTAGAATTTTCAGTGCATGCTCTGAATTATGCCATGGAGACATGTGCAAGACTAATTTGTTTGTAGCAACAGAGAAGCCAATCATGATTAGATTTCCTGGCATGTTATTCACCTGCGAGGAGAGTCAGACTTGTGTCCAAGAATCTCAATGTGAATTTGGTCATAACTACATCCATACAGTGCTGGAGGGTTTGATAAGCTCTAGGTGTCCAAGCATGCTCTTCTAGAACTTAACTGACTTCTGCATGCACGCCAGCCTTCCTAGTGTAACTTAGGGCAGAGCTATGTTTTACTTAGTTGCTATTGTCTTTGTATTTTATTTAATTATTATTAGGTAAATAACAGCTATCTGGAAGTGAAAAAGTCAACCATGATGGCTGATTTTTAGAGAAAATATATCTTGCTTTTACCCTCTGACTTCTAGCCCTTCAGTTCCTTGGGGAAATACTTGAACTCACTGAGCAGCGGTGGGGTCACAGTCTGGGCTTGTATGCCCTCATTTCCAGGCCGCATTCCTCAGAGGGGCCCTGAGTACTTTGGGAGCTGATAGAGTTTGGCTGTCATTTGAAAATGTTTTCCTGCTAAATGTTTTCATTTAGAAGCTAATTTATACTCTGCTTTCAAGTAAGCTTAACTCCATTTCACATCCCTGACATGTAGCACACACTGCAGTGACTGGGATGGAAGTAGACAATTCAATCAAAGGATGATTTCTCCGTGGAGGAAATGAATATTATTTGTTCATCTTGCAATTCAGAATTCTGAGAAAATTATGATGTTTGGCAAAGGCACTGGCAAGACAGAAAGACAAATAAATTGCATGGTGTGAGAACAGCCTTCTTAATATGAAGGTTTCCTTAAAACAGTGGGTATTGGCTGCAGGCAAAATATTAAGCTGCAAATCACTGGTTTGCAACTTCTTGATCATCGGTTGTAATCCCAAGAACATATTTAATTTCATATTTAGTCCTAATTTCTTTTTGTTCCGTAATGATATTTCTGTCACTCAAAATAAGCCATCTGTTGGCAGCAGCCCACAGGAAACAGATACTGCACACTCAGTAATCTTGGAGTGAGTCTGTTGCATTGTGAGAATGAAAAACGGGCCTCTTCAGAATCATAGGGTCACCTTTAAAATTCCTAATTTTTCTTTTTGTCTTCTCTTTGGCCATATGTAGTAGTGGAAATAAATCTTGTTTCATTGTCTTTTCTGAGATGTTTGTGACCAGAGGTCAGTGCTTTGGACTCGAGGATTAGAGAGTTTCCAGCTCTGCTTGGAGATGCATTTCCCATTTTTTTAACCCTCTATTTAATCAATACCTAGCTTTGCCATATTTTCAAGAAAAAATATACCTGGAAGTATTGACCAGAAATCAAGCCTATGGCAAAAGAATGCCTTCCATTTGAAGGTTATGAGATGGAGGGCAGGATGTAAGACAGGGAGCACCATGATGTGAGGAGTGGGCAGAATTTGATAAATTGACATTATCTCCATCTAGTCTTTGACCACGCGTATTTGAACAGAATTCCAAATGGAAAGAAGAGACAGCTGGGCACGATGGCTCATGCCTGTCATCCCAGCACTTTGGGAGGACAAGGTGGATCACCTGAGGTCAGGAGTTCAAGACCAGCCCGACCAACATGGTGAAACCCCGTCTAAAAATACAAAATTAGCCAAGCGTGGTGATGCATGCCTGCAATCTCAGCTACTTGGGAGGCTGAGGCAGGAGAATTGCTTGAACCTGGGAAGCGGAGGTTGCAGTGAACCGAGATTGCACCATTGCACTCCAGCCTGGGCAACAAGAGCAAAACTCCATCTCAAAAAAAAGAGACTCTGACCATGACTTCACATGATAGCTAACACTTCTTGAACGTCTGCAGAGACTGTGCTAAATGACTGTAAATGGATTTTCTCCTTTATTCCTCTCAACAACCCCAGCAAGTTTCTCATAATATTATTTGCATTGTAAGGATGAGAAAACAGTCTCAGAGCTCCATAGCTATTAAGTGATAGAATCTTGATGTGACAGCCAGGGCAGCTTGATTTCAAGATATCTCAATACTGAAGTTAAAACTTGGAATGGGTTAAAAATGAAGTTGTTCTATCCATCATGCCTGCAGAAAACCTCCTAAGAATAAAGAAAATAATTCAGATTCACATAAAAGAAAATGTTAGAGATATTGAAATGGACACTCAAAGCACATCAATGCAAAGGTGAGGGAGACAGAGGAGCTTTTGATCTTCCCTTTTGTTCCCTCATGTTTTGAAACATGCTTCCTTTTGATGCCAGCTCTTTAGAGGTTGCTGCACTCAAGCTTTAGATGACTCTTCTATCTCCCAGAGCAATTAAAAGGTAATGTCACTATTTTACCACGTGACGCTTGACATCTGATTCATATATCACTCAGCCTGAAGGCATATTTTTCATACTCACTTGGGTGCATGTCAAGCAGTGAATTGATCTCTTTTAGGATTCAAAAGGAATCCCCTTTTCCAAAGGAGATTCTGGTGAGTGAACAAAATGAATGTCCCTATTACTTCCCATCTCCTTTAATTAGCAAGCCAGAGAGCTAACAATTATCTCACCTGTCAGCTCTCTTGACAGCTTGCTGTTGAATCGGAACCAAAGAGAGATCACCTGCCCCAATTTCAAACCCCAGCAATTGATATCAAAGTCTCCACCACCCAAGGTCTACTTAAAGCCCATTAGTGTGGCCTTCACTATATTTCAGTTTCAGTTACCTCAAACCAATATCTCAGATTATTCCTCCTTCCATCATGGATATTCTGACTCATAAATGTCAGTACATGGTGGAGGTTGCCTCATCTCACAAATTTCCACTGTCAAAATATTCTCAGCAGTACTAGACAGATGGAACCAATCCAGGGAGCAAAACAAATGCTACCCCAGCTTTTGGCGCACTCCAAATGTAGCGGTACTAGCTGTTCTTATCTCATAATATGCCTATCGCCATCATTTTTTCCCCTAACAATCTGTCCATGATGACAAGTTCTATTCCATGTTCTTGATGAGGGATCATGTCTCTAAGCCATATGTTGTAACTGGAAGACTAGCCCAGTTGTTGCCTTTACGTTTTTAAATAAGTGGAATAATACCGCTCATATTACCTTCCATTATCTTAGTACTTATCTCAGTCTGGTTCTGTATCCTCATCATTTCCCTGACTGAGAAAACTAAAGAATAATGTGTAATGTGATCGCAAATTTGTAAGATGGAATAAAGCATTTAGTCGTTCTCCTCTGCCAAATTTTTTGATTCCCATTTTCAGAGGATGATTTGTCTCCTGCCATAAGTGGACATGGTGCCACTGAGCATGTAGCAGGACCGAGCAGCTGGCCAAGACAGATGGATTCCTGTGTTGATCTAGTGAAGTTTCACCTTTGTAAATCTTCCTTGCTTTCTCATGCCTATTAAGCGATCTTCATCTCAGAACAGCCTCTTTGCCCTGGTTTTACCCTCTCTAGTAATTGTGTCTCAGTGAACTGTGGTTTTAGTACAAGTACCCTATGAAAGATGTTTGCAACTCTGGTCATAGTTGGGAAGTCACCACATACTATGCTTTGGATTCATCCAAATAACCCTTCTCTCATTGCCATCTATCTATATCCATTTACTTATCCATCCCTATCCCCCTCCCTTCCTCCATCCATTCATCCATCCACCATCCATCTGTCCACCTATCTGGTCATTTAATATTTCTTTTGGAAACAGTTTTGGAACTTAGCTTTACCTTGTGATCTGATTATATGAAATTAATCTAGCCTTTTCTGATTTATCTAGGAAAGACCTTCTTTTTCAGAGTTCTAATTAAGGGTTTGAAATGCCACAGTTAAAACATAGTGATTTTAAAACATATCATAAATTCTCTAACACTCCTCCCTTTGAGAGGAGGAGTCTGTGTTCCCTCCCCTTGAATCGGGGCCAAACTTAGAGATGTGCTTTTTTTTGTTTTGTTTTGTTTTTTGAGATGGAATCTCACTCTGTCACCCCAGGCTGGAGTGCAGTGGCGCACTCTCGGCTCACTGCAACCTCCACCCCAAGGGTTCAAGCGATTCTTCTGCCTCAGCTTCCCGAGTACCTGGGATTTCAGGCACCTGCCACCACGCCTGGCTAATTTTTGTATTTTTAGTAGAGATGGGGTTTTATCATCTTGGCCAGGCTGGTCCTGAACTCCTGACCTTGTGATCCACCCACCTTGGCCTCCCAAAGTGCTGGGATTACAGGTGTGAGCCACTGCACCCGGCCAGTGATGTGCTTTTTACTAATAGAATTAAGCAGAAGTAGGGCTATGAAATTCCAAGCTAGGTCAGTAAAGGCCATACTATCCTTGGTTCTCATGAGTTACCTTCCTTGGGGGAAGTCAGCCACCATGTAAAACGTTATACTACTCTGAGACCACCATGCAGGAGAAGAGATACATAGACTCTCTGACCAACTGTCCAGCTGAGCTCCCAGCCAATAGCCAGCATCAACTCTCAGTCCGGGATGTGAGCCATCTTGGACATCCAGATCAGTCAAGCCTCAAAGGATTTCAGCTCCAGCTGACTTCTTACTTCATCCTCATGAGAAACCCCAGGCAAAAACTGCCCAGTCAAGCCCTTCAGACTACAACTGGGCCCTGAATCCATCATCCTCAAAATTGTAAGATAGTAAGATAGTTGTTGTAACTGCTAAGTTTTGGGTTAATTTGTTATGCAGCAATAATAGCAGAAATAAAAACAATATATGACTGAGTTACTTAGCACTTCAAGGGAAAGCCTACCATTTTGTTTTATAGAAATGGGCTAATTCTTCTTCTAGTTTTCACCTTTCTGTTTTAAACTATAGCTTGTCTTGCAAGCTTTGCTGCTAGAGATTGAGGTAGAAATGGATCTAGAAACTATGGCTGTATGTCAATTTCATTTCCTCAAAGGATCATATATTTTATGCAGATATGGAGAGAATATCTAAGCTGCAAGAGTTTGGAGGTGAATAGAAGAAAAATAGAAGATTTTGTAGGTTATCCACATCAATCTATATACTCCTAGTTTAGGTTCTCATATTGTGTTATATACCAAATGTATACATCTCTTGATGACTGGATACTTTGTGAGGCCTTCTGTTAGTCTTTGGATAATGTATAATTCAACACAGACAGAGGTTTTATTTTGACCCTTAAGTCTCACCTCCAGGGAGGGAAGAGAAGCCTTCACATTGCTGTCACAATTCTCCAGATGGTCCTAAAAGGAGCTCACTTTTCTTGTCTGCCCCAGTCCCAGTCGTCATATCCTATAATCGAAGCAGCTTCCTCTTGCATCTTCCTAAATTACCACTTAGCATATTCCCTGACTGTGGGCATATTCAGTCAGGGAACATGTTAACTCAAACCAAATATTGTCTGTGCATTTTCTATCTATGTGCATATCAACCTTTTTTTTTTCAGCGCTATCTGAACATTAAGCATTAAGTTTGCGACATTGCTGCTTCATTCCAAATGCGACATATATACCCTAAGAAAAAGGACATTTTCTTATATAAGCACAAGAGCAGTATCATACTCAAGAAACTTGGCATTAATACAGTAATATATCTAACATTCAGTTTATATTCAGATTTCCCCAGTTGACCCAATGATGTTTTCTGGTTTTGTTTTTGTTAATAGAGTATCTTTATTAATACAGTATCTAATGCATCACATTTACTTGTCAGATCTCTTTATCATCCTGTAATCTAGAAAAGTTTCTCCATCTATTTTGGAGTGGTGTTTGGTAAAATTAACATTTTTAGAGAATTCATACCCACTGTTTTATTATTTAAAATAAGAAATATTTAAATAAATATTTAAAATAAGAAATATTTAAATAAATATTTAAAATAAGAAATATTTAAATAAATATTTAAAATAAGAAATATTTATTATTCAGATAAAAATGTGTCTTATTATTTCTTCCTGATTAAATTCAGATTATGAATTTGGGGTAGGAATATTTATAGATGATATTATTCCTTTCCAGTATATCCCATCAGGAGATACTTATCATCAGTTAGTCCCATTATTTGTAATTAAAAGTTTGATTCCGTTACCAGGATGGTGTCCTCCATATTTTTTATTGTATCACTTTTTTATTCCATATTTTTTCATTTTAATAGTTTATGAGCAATCAAGAAGTGACACTCTGACACTGTGCAAATATTCAGTTCCCCAACCAGTTTTCATACTATGGTTTTCACATCCACTGATGAGTCTCACCTGAGTCAACCATTATATTGATGGCTGCAAACTGATGACCTTCTAATCCTGTTCCCTGCCGGGGTAGCACAACAGGCACTGGGCTAAATGATTGTACATGGATTTTCTCCTTTATTCCTCTCAACAACCCCAGCAATTTCTCATAATATTATTTGCATTGTAAGGATGAGAAAACAGTCTCAGAGCTCCATAGCTATTAAATATCAGAATCTTGATGTGACAGCCAGGGCAGCTTGATTTCAAGGTATCTCAATACTGAAGTGAAAATTTGGAATGGGTTAAAAATGAAGCTGTTTTATCCAGCGTGCCTGCAGAAAACCTCTTAAGAATAAAGAAAATAATTCAGATTCACTTAAAAGAAAGTGTTAGAGATACTGAAATGTCCTATGTCCCCATTCCATGTGGGTGTAGGGAAGGAGATAGGCAATGTGAAGCCAGGGAGGGCTGTGGAGGTTCAGCTGCTCCATTTATAGGCTTTCAACAGATCGCCCTGTTTTCAGCCCTAAGCCTTACCCCTTTGCTTAGGGCTACTGGGTATCTCCACTTCAGAATCCTCTACAGAGTTCCCTGGCAACAGTCAACACACTCTGACTACTTCTCAGCAGGCTCTCCTATTTCAGTTCTTCTTCCTTACTATCTGTTATCTCTCATTTAATATTTAAAAAAAAAAAAAAACTACATCTCTTGTCTTTTGTCACCTCGTTTTTCATTCTCTTTGTGGGCTTTTATTTATTTATTTATCATATTATTATTTTACCATAACTTTAGTGGACTTTCAGAAGGGACCGAAGAGAAAAAACATGTACTAAAACATGTGCTCACGTTTTGTGTATGTTGGTATTTTTATTCTTCAGTTTTACAGATGCGTGCCTTACATTTCTACTCACATCATGTTGTTTCATGTAGCAGAATATTTTCAGGCTGGGCGCGGTGGCTCACGCCTGTAATCTCAACACTTTGGGAGGCCAAGGCGGGTGCATCAGGAGTTAGAGACCAGCCTGGGCAACATGGCGGAACCCCGTCTCTACAAAAAATAAAAACTTAGCCGGATGTGATGGTGTGGGCCTGTGGTCCCAGCTGCTTTGGAGGCTGAGGCAGGAGGATTAGTTGAGCCTGAGGAGGTCAAGGCTGCAGTGAGCGGAACTAGCATCCCTGCACTCCAGCCTGGCAGACAGAGTGAGACCCTGCCTCAAAAAAAAAAAAAAAAAAGAATATTTTATTTCTGTGTAAACAGATTATTATTCCTTTTTTATTTATGATAATTATATAAGCACTTATTACTTTCATATAAGGAGAAAATCTTCTTCAAATTTTTATATGCATACATTTTTTTCTTCAAGGAAATCTATGATTAAGCCTCTTTTATAAAAAGGTATGCTTTATGAATTAATTAGAGCTAGGGAAGTTAGGTAAGTATATGGAGTAGGAACACATGTTTTCCTCCCCTCCTCATAGGTTTCTAGAAGTTCTTCTCTTTTTTGGAAGACAGAGGAATTATCACTGCCTTGCCAGAAGTAGCATCTGGGCCTTTGGTGTATTCTTCAGCTTGTTTATTGACAGCTTGTAAACGTGCATAGATGTTCACAGTCTTTCTTTAGTTTTCTTGACCATTCTGAAATCTTTAAATGATCTTTTCCTGTCCATGGCCCTTTTAGTCATCACCAAACTAGATCTGGTCCTCAGAGAATCCTGATTTCTTGAAAATCTCTCATTATTCCGCAATACTCCAATCTGCTATTAAGTGAATACTAGAAACAAAGTGGTAGGCACTCAGGATGTTAGGTTTTGGGGTGTTTTTGTTTTTAATGCTGTATGTGAAGGTGTGCATGGCAGTTGATAAGGATGCCTACTCTGTTTCCCTTGGCCCAGCTGAGTTTACCTGCAGCCTTCATGGACAGTTCCCAGATAACACAGACAGCTTCCATGTCAAAAACCTCCATCTCCCACTCCTTTCCTGGGGACTTCTACAGTGCCATGGTAGTTTTACTCAGTTCTGGTGAATAGCAGCCTAGAAGTGACAAGAATTTAATGCCTCCAAGGGCATCCCTTAATCAATATGGGAGAAGATTCACTGAATAAATAATCTGGTATCTCAGTCCCTCATTGGCACTGTTTTAAGAATGTCCTATATGAGTCCTCAGAAAAAATCTGAGCCTCAGTTGCCTACATGGGTTACCCTCTCGTTAAAACTCCTCTTATTGGATTTCTCCCTTCTCAGTTGCCTTTCCTATCACCTCCCCTGTTCTTCCTGGGATCATCCCAAATAAACTAACTGAATCCAAGTCTTTGTCTCAGGGTCTGCTTTTGAGGGAACTCAAACTAAGACAATTACAAAGACTAAAAATTTCCAGAGAAAGTGTAATTATATGTTGTTGGAAATTTACTCTGCTGAGGGGAAGTGCACAGGAAATTATTCTTTTTAGATCTATTAACAGGCAACTGGTAAATTTATGTTATAAATAACATGGTAATTTACTCAAAAATTTCTGGAACCCCTACTAGGTGCCAGGCTTTCTGCTAGGGACTGAGAACACACGAGTCGACAAAATAAACATAACCCATCCCTCTCCATCATAGAGCTTAGATTCTAATGGTGATATGGACAAATCATGTCAATTATAATTCAGATTGGGGCATGCTATGCTAGAGGAAGTCCCATTACTGCAGGAATACATAGGGTCAGAAAGACTGTGTTCACCCCTGTTTCTCAACATCTAGCACAAAACCTGGCATATGATGGGTATTTGTTTGTTTATTTGTTCGAGATAGAGTCTCACTCTGTCACCCAGGCTGGAATGCAGTGGTGGTGATAGCTCACTGCAACCTCTGCCTCTGGGGCTTGAGCGATCTCCTACCTCAGCCTCCCAAGTAGCTGGGACTACAGGCACACACCACCATGCCCAGCTAATTTTTGTAATTTTTAGTAGAGTTGGGGTTCCACCATGTTGCCCAGGCCAGTCCTGAACTCCTAAGATCAAGCGATCCACCTGCCTCAGCCTCCCAAAATTCCAGGATTACAGGCATGCTGGGCACATTGTGGACGTGCCCGGCCACCTTGGGTATTTTGGAAGTATTTATTGAGTAAAAGAAGCATATTCAAGAATGAGTTTATATTCAAAGAATTGCAAAAAAAGATCAATGTCCTACAGAATAAAGCAGATAGAGGCACGGACAAGAATCAGGACTTGTAGGCCGTTGAATACTGTTTAGGCCTGGAGACTTCATCTGAAGAGTTACAGCAGACAAGAAGCAGAGAAATTTTAGGCATTAGGACAGATTCAGTTTAGCAGTTTCACATGGCCACTCTGCAGACACTAGGAAGAATGGATCAAAGCCAGCAAAACAGGGATCAGAAAAATAAGGGAGAGGGCTATGCTGTAATCCACATGAGAAATAATGGCAAGAATGGCAATGGAGATGTGGAGGCATGGCTGGACTGGAAAGAGATGTAGGAGTTAGAATAGATGAGGCTTAGTACTTATTTGGTATGAGAAGTGGCATAGAGAGAGACAGTGCTAATATTGCCCACAGTTCTGATCAGCACAGCTAAATCTGGGGCTATAGGAGGAAGAGTAAATCTAATGGTGAAGGTGAAGAGAGAGGAATTTGCTCCGGTATAGTGCTTAAAGAAGGAAGGCAGTTTTGGCAGAGTTGTTTTGTATTACATTTCTCTCTGCCCACAAAGGACTCTTTATTTATCAAAAAGATAAATCTAAAATATGTCACTTGAATATAGCTAGATAATTTATAGCCTTGTAAATCTGAATGGACTTCACCTTAGATAAAAACTTGGTATGTTAACTTTTCCATCAAATAAGTTTCATATTTTTGGCTTTAGAACCTATACATCATGGTAGTCCTATTTGGCCAAAAAAAAAAAAAAAGAAATATCAAATTATATAATATTCATTTTCTTAAACAAAACATGGTTATATAACTTGTATGCTTAGGACTATTGTTTGTTGGAATGATTTAATGAACTAGATTATGGCCCTTTAGGTGCAGTTTATTATTTTTAAATTTCTTCTTTTGGAAATGTGAGGAAGGGTAGGAAGGTTAAATGGAACTGAAGTAGCAAGCTGGGCCATTTAAGGAGGGCATGAGTTTAAATTCTGAACGCTGAATAAAAATGTCCTAAAATACCTTCATTTGGAAGGAAATGACTTTAGCTGTTTAGCCTTGGAGGGAATAAACAGCTACATGCATACTAATCTTCTGAACCCTGTGCTATGTTCATAGCCTTATCTTTTATTCATTTCAAACCATACAAATCTTTAAGGGAGAGAAACCCCTGCTTCTTGCAGCATTGCAACTAAAATGCAGATGCTACATTTCTATCAGTGGAATTTGAGTTATTCTTGATTTTATACCTTAGGATATAGCAAATCTCTAAAGACAGAGTGTAAAGGGGTATGAGTGTGTCTATTAATGGGGGAAGAAGGAGTGTGTGAAGGGGATCCCAGTGGGTGGGTGAGGAGGGAGTGAGAGGCGGCCAGGGGTGGAAGCTTACACAAGAGCCAACTGCAGCCCTGTGGTAGAGAAGCCCTCCTATTCTCTGATATCTATTTCCCAATCAGAATAATGACCAATTCCAGTCCCTCTTTTGGAATAGGGATGTGGAGAGTCATAATGGGATTTGAAAGCTGTCCTGCTTGTAGACTATCATTTGAACTTGACATTTTCACTTGAGTGCCTTCTTCTTGCAACTAGTTTACGGTTTTATCAATACAGTTTAATACACTTTTAAAGCCATACTTCTGGCATGATCTAGCATTTTCCAGGAAAATAAAAGAGGCACATACTGTAACTGTTGATCATGGGGAGTGATGGATGGGTTCTGCCCTCTGCTAGTGCAAAACATATCACTGAAAGTCTAGAGGAACAGGTAAGGGGTTGATAGTTGGGACAATGAATTTTGAAAGATACTCTGAGCTTATCTCATTTATCTAAAAAATGACATTAGAAATAACCAGCACAACACGGTGAAACCCCATCTCTACTAAAATACAAAAAATTAGCTAGGCACCTGTAGTCCCAGCTACTCGGGAGGCTGAGGCAGGAGAATTGCTTGAACCTGGAAGGCGGAGGTTGCAGTGAGCCAAGATTGCGCCACTGCACTCCAGCCTGGGTGACAGACTGAGACTCCATCTCAAAAAAAAAAAAAAAAAAAAAAAAAAGGAAAAGAAAAGAAAAGGAAAGAACCATAAATTAACTGGGATTGAAAGTGTGTGTGACATTTATATCATGGCATAATCTCCAAATGAAGAACATGTTTATTTGATTTGGGGATAGCTTACTCAGGATTCGTTGCCTGATCTTTATTTCTCTCAGGTCCTAAATGGGACTCTTTGGAACTCATGCATTCCTGACTTATTCAGACCTGCTTCTGAACCATGCTTGGCTCAGTAAAGCAGAGAGGCTTAGAGAAGGAAAATTAAAATGGGTCATATGCATCTGTGTCCTCTTTGAGGCATGTCACAAAAACAGCCATTCTGGGAACACTGTAAACAGTTTTACCCATCTGTCTAGTTTAATCTATTTGGGGATTAAACCTTCTGGCTTCTCAGAGTACAGGGTTGTGTGAGAGGCTCGTTCATTTATGATATGTGTTTCTGGAATGCTGGTTACACCAATATAAATGATGGATTTAGGGCACTGTGTTTACTTAAAGAATCATGGATCTCTTGATTTATACTAAGACATCTGGTTTTTTTTTTCCCAAAATCTTTGCTTAAACTGAAGCTGTTTATCCACTGATAAAATAACCTCTGTGTATTCATGGTGCCCAGTTGTTGGTAACTAGCAATTATATACTACTTTCTAAAATAGTTTTGGTTAAATGGCATGCATGATTTGTAGTAATGAAGTTCTTCAATGATAAAAATATTGGAAGAGACCCATTTGAATTTTAGCTCTTATATGTTACAATGTACTTCACACTGGCTGTGTGCTTAGTATTCATGTTTTAGAAAATAAGAAAAGCATTTGGGAGATATTACCAAAAAGAATCACTGCCTCTGTTTCTGTTTATCCTGTGATTACAGTTTTCTTATTAAGAACAAATGTGGGTATAAACTCAATACATTGTGGGATTCCTCTCTGGTCAATGGACCCTCACTGTGTTCTGACTTCTCTCTCTTTCTTGATTGATGGTAATTTGCTACAGTGAACTTGAATCCAGACTTCAGTGTAAGATTGATGTGTGTTAGGAAAAAGGGAAGAACTCTTGCCCTTAGAATCAGTTTCCAACTTTATTTACTGTTTGGGGCTTTTTCCATGAATTTCAATTTTACCTATCTAGGACCCATATTAGCTTGACCATTGCAAGTAGGGAGGGCTCCAATCAGTCATACAGCCATGGATTGATGAGTCATACAATCATAATTAAAGAGGAATTGGCAGCAACATAAAATTCATATGCAAATAATTGTGCTGATTCATCATTGCAGTAAAATTCACTTCTCTGCATTTCTTCATTCAAAAAGCCACATTCAACGGGGCACTCCATTTTAAGTAGGCAAATTTGGAGATTCCTTAAAAAAAAAAAAAAAATGTTTTCCTTAGGAACAATTCTGTTTAGTAAAATTTAGCCCAGGCTATAAAATACAGGCTAGGACAAGATACGGGTTAGGACCTCTACTTTCTCTTCATTCTTTGATTAGGTAGTTTTACAGTTCCTGATTCTATTACTTAGATATAACATGTAGAAGAATATCTACACTTCAGATGCAGAGAGAGAAAAAAATAAAAGGGGTACCCCACAAGAAGAAACAGCAAACACACACACCAAAGACAAGAAATGTAAGCATAATCTTTTGTTTTTTCCCCTGACACACAGATTTAGCAAGCTTACCATTGGCCCCTTGGGTCATCCCCAAACCAGAGCTTTAAAAATCTGTGGTTACCTGAGACCCTAGAGCTAAGTCAGACATTCTAGGACCTAAGCCAAAGGGCCAATAGAAACTTTAGCCCAAGTAATGGTCACACATGTTTACTATAGAGAGCAAACTGAATTGGTCTCAGAGTTTATCTTTCTGAACTCATGATGGAACACAGAGAGTACAGAAGGGGGAATTGGGCTTAATTTGGTGCAGCTGTTAGAATATCCCCTGGTCTCTGAGCTATTTGTTTGTCTTACTGAACTCCAGCAGATTACCATTGTCGGGCAATCTGGCACATTTTGCTCCTTTGTTCATCCCCAGCCATGTTATGTAGGAGTCATCAACTTCCCCCTCATAAAGACGACCACTCAGAAAGCACTTTCAACTGGGACAAACTCACATAGTAATAATCTAATGTGTGGCTACTATATGTTAGGCACTGTAATACGCTTTACTCAAATCTCAATCAATCTCTACCCAATTCTATGTGGTAAGCATAACTAAGATATAAAAAGATGACAAGAGTCAGAAATCAGGTAAGACACTCAGGGTTTCTCTACTATCGTGTCAATGGAAATTCATTAGATCCTGGCCCAAAGCAATCAAGCCCATCTTGGGCTGCCCGTGTACTTTGGCTCTAGCCAGACTATGAGCACTTCACCACCACTAAAGACCTCAGTGGCCATTCCATTCTGATTATCCTGCTGACTTCTTGCCTACTGTGCTCTCTTCAGGACCACTCTGCCCCAGCTGCCAAACTTTCAATCTGTGGCCTGAGCCACCCCAGCACCTTCCCTCCTGCACTGAAATCCTCAGGCATTTCTATTAGGTTGTTGCAAAAGTAATAGCGGGTTTTGCTATTACTTTCAATGGCAAAAAACACAATTACTTTTGCACCAACCTAATGCTTTGTCCCACACTGGCCTGCAGAGAACAGCCTCTAAAACACTTGCCAAAGGTGCTGGGGTTCCCCCAACCCACATCTTGGTGAAGGGGCTCATTTTGGCTACATTGAAACGTGGTTTCATATGTTTCATATGAAACCAGTGTGTTATTATTTTTCCCCCTTTCCCTTATCTTTTAGTGGCCTCACCAGAATTTGAAAAGTTATATTCCTTTGATAACATAACTCTTCCTCCCATTGGCTGAGCTCAAGAAGTGTTGGTTAGGAAAGAAAACTTCAGGCAGCCCACTGAATTCTAACTCTGTGTCTGAAATTCTTTCCTACATTAAAAATGTTACTGAAGCCCTGATAGTATCATTTCTTTGATATGTGTATATGTATTTCTTATAAAGAAAAGATTAGTTTAAGTGACTATCAAAATTAAACATTTTGTTGAATTATTGCAAAACTCTGACTGAACCATTTAGTTATGCTACTAGGATCACATTTTCCTTTTTGTATAATGCATTAAAGATTCTCACTTTGGGAGGCCGAGACGGGCGGATCACGAGGTCAGGAGATCGAGACCATCCTAGCTAACATGGTGAAACCCCGTCTCTACTAAAAATACAAAAATTAGCTGGGCATGGTGGCGCACGCCTGTAGTCCCAGCTACACGGGAGGCTGAGGCAGGAGAATGGCGTGAACCCGGGAGGTGGAGCTTGCAGTGAGTCGAGATCGCGCCACTGCACTCCAGCCTGGGCGACAGAGCGAAACTCCGTCTCAAAAAAAAAAAAAAAAAAAAAAAAAAGATTCTCAGGCTGACTATCACATGTGTGGATGAAGGTAAGAGCCTAGAACAATTAGATAACAAGAGTGAATAAAATATTAAATAAAGAATAGTCATGATTAAATCAATCTCTGGAGTAGGATCACTAAATGCATCAAACAAATGTTAGTTGAGTAAAATAGAATCATTGTTATTTTTGAGTTTAAATATTGAAATCGCAATCTTATTTAAGACCAAAGTAGGTTTACATTTGCTCCATCTCCTCACCCATTTCCCATATTCTTGCCACCCCATAAAATGAGAACTTCTGTCAACCCTTGGAAGAATTGAGGACAAAGAGCTGAATTCTCTCCATTGTTCTCTGACTTCTCTCATGGGAAGAGAGATGACGGGTTGAGTGGCAAGAGCCTGACAACCATTGGTCCATGTTCTTCTGCTGAGTAAAATCAGTGCATTAAGCATCACTGCGCATGTACAGTCACTCTTCTTGGGCTCACAGTGGTCAATAAGGGGTGAGGAGATGGAATTTTCTATGAAGTTCTCTGCCTGTCTGTCCTGAAAACCCAATTCTCAACAATCTATAGGTCCAAGTTATAAACATGGAGTCAATGGATAGAAAGACTTCTGACCTTGTGTTCAAGCTACATTTTGCAATCCAGTCTTCCAAATTAGAAGGCTGATGTTTTCATCTCTGACTCTTGCACATATTTTTAATTCATCCATGGTTTGGAAGTTAGAGAGTTATGATGGTTTATTATTCTCAAACTGCAATACTTTTTATTTAGTTCATCAAAATTAAAGACACCACAGCCATAATCCATGTCACTTTCTGCCTCAAATCTCAAGATTTTGACCAAAACATATGGCTATGGTGGTCTCTTCTAGTTTAAAAGGGCAACCATGTTTTCCTATCATTTTATGCCTGTTCGCCTATTTGTGGCTGGCTAAAGAATTGTGAAAGTAAGAGACATTGTGTTGGAGTAAAATTAGGAGACCCAAATTTGACTCCCATCTCTACCAGTTAACTACCTGAGGAAATTTAGGTGAGTTTCTTAATCTCTGTACTACTCAGGTCACTCATTTGTAAAATAAGAAGAATAAAAATTACTTTGTAAAATTATAGTATATTATCTGAATATGATAAGATGATAAAACAATTATTAAAAAGAAAAGATGTAATGCTAGTGCTAGATGCTGGGGGGATTTTGCCATTGAAAAATAACCTGGAAATAAGTCAAGACTGATCATGGGCTGAGTTCAATGACTCATGCCTATAATCCCAGCATTTGAGAGGCTGAGGTAGGCAAGATAACTTGAGGTCAGGAGTTTGAGACCAGCCTGGCCAACATGGTTAAAACCTCACCTCCACTAAAAATACAAAATTAGCCAGTCATGGTGGTGTGTGCCTGTAATCCCAGTGACTCGGGAGGCTGAGGCAGGAGAATCACTTGAATCTGGAAGGCAGAGGTTGCAGCAGGACTAGATTGCACCACTGCACTCCAGCCTGGGCCACAGGGCATAACAAAGTCTCAAAAAAAAAAAAAAAAAAAAAAAAAAAAAGACTGATCATAGTCTTTCTGTATAGGTCAATTTTTTTTTCCATTCTTGGACACATAATTTTGCTTTAGGTGGTCTGGTTTATGTCTAAAACAGAAGGGGAATGGGTTGAGTAAAGGGGAAAGAATAAACTAAATGATCAAAGTCAACTTGTTTCCAGATGTCTAGATCTAAAAGGCCACAAAAGAGCTCTTACTTAAATTATTTGCCCAAACAAAGGAGAAATTTTAAAGATCCCAAGAGGATGTGGCATTAAGACAGACACTGTGATACTCTTGGTGTAGTCAGGGAACATCAGAAGCTCATACTTCCTGACATGGAGGCAGTGAGTATTGTAAGAGAACGCTACTCAATGACATCATTCATGGTCTTTTCACAGCCTTCACCTCCTTTGCCTCAATATCCTTATTCTTCAAAGTGTTGGTAAATTGGGCTTGCTGTCATTACGCATTTTATTGGAATAAGCATGAATTATGCAATTAGCTTTCTCGCTTTCCAGCAGCATATGCAAAGTGAACCAGAAAGATAAGAGAAAATCTTTTCCTCAGGATCTGTAGATTAGTTCAGCTTTTGGAATTTTGCTGGCAATTTGTAGTGATGTTGTCATTTTGACTACTCAACAGCTAAGTTTCACATTTTGGGCTGAATCTGGCTGGGTAGGGTGGTTACTTGCTTTGATGTTCTTGGAGATTCTCTATGTTGCTTGGTACTACTAGGCTAAAATGTAATACTGTTCTGTCTGTGCTACCTAAAACCAGTATGTTTGGGGCCTCATCTGCCTTCAGTAGGGTATTTTCCTTTATCCTTCGTGAAAATCAATTTTTTTTTAAATGAATGAATGAGAGAGATGAAATGAGAAGGAGAAAAATGGTTAGGGTAGATTTTTTAAGCAGTGCCTTTGGCTTTTGTTATTTTATGCTAAGTTATTTATCAGTAATTATCATTAGACAAGCTATACTGGGGTGAAAAGCTGCTGCTTTTTCTTCCGTAGCCATGTGAACCCTGGGGCGTGCCGAGGGAATTAAAATAAGAACAGAGCACACTGCTGTTTTATCTCAGCTACTGCAACATCTCTGCTTGACACCCTGTGTTGAACAAGAGACTATTTAGTAGATCTCAACAATTATGCATGTACTTTCCTGGCAGAGAACTCTTTGCTGCTTTGTTTGTCAAGATTATGTTGAATCAGCATAAAAATCAGGCCTGACTTATTTCTGGAAGGAAGCAGCCTCTCTCGTACCATTGGAAACAATATGATCATAATAAAGTTTTGCATATAGAACATTTCTTTTGAGTGTAGACAACAACTTATTCTTGTAAAGAATTTAACATTTAAGTCTCATATTTCCATACTTATTTCTATTGGGACTGCTGCCTACTGCCCCACCCCCATCCCCCACCAGCCAGCCTTAGTTTTTGGTATATTTCTAGCTCTGTCCATCTTGGAGCAGCTACGTGAGGATTTTACAGCTGTCTTTGTTTCTGATGGAATCCTAACCCTTTTGTGATGTGGGGCCTTCATATAAGTATGTGATGTGGAAAATGAAGCCCATGTGTGAATACAAAGTTAATTAGTATGAAAAGTCCCATTTTCCACCACATTTCTTGCCAGCAGCTATGATTAGGTGCACCTAAGCTTTCCAGGTCTCCTAATATTTTTTAACTAAATCCAAGCATAGAGATTCCAAAATATCCCATTCTGTGATAATATAGATGCATGACAGAAAGGGAATGAATATTGGAAGGTAATGTTTGTGTGTGTGTGTTACAGGCTTGTTGGAGTTCATCACTTTACTTTCTGTACATAAAGGTGATTTGTTCTAAATGTTTTAAGCAGCAGCAGCAGCAAACTTTCTGAAGTCTTTAATCATTGGGATGATTACTTAGGGCATGCTTTAATGAAGGACCACTTTAAAAAGTAGCTCCAGAGTAAGGCTGAAGTCCAATTGACATTTTCTCTATGTGTTATCTAATGGAAATGATCTCCATGGCAGAGATGAAAATAAGACCTTTGAATTGTGTTGAGTAAAATAAGATGGGTCAGATGGATTTGGGCAATTTGGGGATGATCCTTAGAAAGGAGATAGTTGCATCTGGATGGAGCTAGGGAGACCCAGTGACAGAGGGAGCCTGGGATCATCTTATGGTGCATGTCATGTTTGTGTAGAAACGTACAGTTTGAGCAGAATACAAAGTTATATAGGTCTAAGAAATTACAAAAGAAAACCAACAGCTTCCCCTTTATTCCTGATGCTATGGCTGGCAGACAAATGGGGTCTTCGAAATATGTGTGTGCATGCAGCCATGCACAAATGCTTATTCGCTGATGAGGATGCAGTGTTGATGCCCTTAGGAACAGCATCACTTGTGGACTGGGTGGTAACAAAGAACTAGAAAGATGTGCTTCTCATATCTTGATATCAATGTCTATCAGAGAAGATGGAGAAAGCTGAGAGATACTAGTCTAGCTTGCTGTGCAACCCCCTTCTTCTGTCCCATCCTCCTTCTTATGAAAGACTTCCTAACCCTCCTCCTAAAGCCTCTTTTTCTCTGTATTTTACACCTGGTCCATGCCCTTAATATCCAGTCCAGTAGAGATGAATATGCCTAGTTCCTGGTGTCCTGCTTTTATGGCCTTAGAAAGCCTTTCTCTAAACATCTCTACTCTTCATGCTTGCATTCAGGCTTCATGTGAAACTTGCAAACATTGAGCATAATAAGAAAGAATACATAGTAAACCATCTTAAAAGAAAGACTATAAATTATTTTGGCACTAAAACTATTAAAAAGTATATTTCACTTTAGTAGACAGCAGAGAAAAATCTCTTTTTTAAGTTTAAAAGAAAAATGCATTTTCTTAGCAGAATAAATGAGTTAACAGAGTGTGGTATGGATTGATCAAAGACATAAAATAATATATTTTATTGCACACTTCTAGCTCTTTGCTGGAAATACTTGACTATAAAAACCTTTTAAAAAGTAGTTTGAAAGACAGGGATATAGCACATTGTTTGTCTTACTAGCAGAGGAAACAAAATGATCAATGAAAGCAGGGTAAGGATGAAGGAATCCTTAAACTGTTTTCCATGCATATGATTCCATTTAATCAGCGCTGGAACAAAGGATAGCATTTTTCTTTCCTTTTTCCGTGTGTGTTATTTCATATTATTAAATGAGATTTGAGTGAACTGAAGTAAATCAGCCAAAACCCAGCTTGGATTAGATCCCCTAAACTTCCTTATGCCCAGATTTTTTCCAGATGGTTTCTCATGTCGCCAGTTTAATATCAACAGTGTGTGACACGCTAGAAGAATATTTCTTAGACCAGTTCAGTCCTTGAAAGATAATTATACTGTCAGTTGCCATCACTGTTACTGTGAAAGTGAAGATAACTGGGGTAAGTATATTAAAATCCAGCCCCAAACCAGCCTGACTTTCAGACAGTGCATCTAGGAACCTTCGCTCATTTTTGTCACTATCTGTCTATGCTACCCGACGTAACACTGGTATCTTTTTGACAGCAAAATGTCTGCAGGTCACTTTTTGGTTATATGCTGAGGAAAATATGAAGAATTTTTGCATGATGAAAAAGATGGTGTGCTCATGTCTGCTTAAAAACTCTGATTTCTCTGCTTTCCACTTTAATTTACAAGTTGAAAATGTATTTTCATGCTACTACCCACTTTGGATCTTTTTTATTGTACCTCTGACATTACTTATAGCACATTTCGCAGCTGGGTTTAAAAGCATGTTAGCAGGCAATTGTAGGTACCGTGTCAACAAATGTGGGAAATAGAACAAGACTAACACATAAGGAATGCCTGCAAAATCATGATATGAGGTGAAAATAAAATGGTTTCATGAAAATGCTTTTTCTTCTTTTTATTTTAATATAATCACAATCTTACAGAAAAGTTGCAAGAATGCTGGAGAGAAGGCTGGTAATATGTTTACCAGAGTTACCAGTTGTCAACATTTTGAACATTTTTCCCATATGCTTTTTGTCATTATATATGTATTTTTCCCTTGAACAATGACAATAAGTTATGAACATCTTGCCACTTTACTTTTAAATAATTGAGTGTTTCCTATGTACAAGAATATTTTCTTACATGACCCCAGATAAACTACCATGCTACAAAATTATAGTGAGTAAAATACTGTTGTTTAATCCACAATTCACCTTTAAATTTTGCCAGTTTTCCTGGCAAATGTACTGGATCCATTGCATTTAATTGCCATCTCCAGTTAGCTCTGGGATATCATGAAGCTGCTTTCAAAAATACAGTATTTTAAAAGACAATATGGAGCAGCTACCCCAGCAAGCCTGCCACCAAGAGCTGTTACGTGACCGCTGTGTCACTGCTCACCAAACTCTGTTGTGCTTCTGCTTTTCTGGTAACTAACTTGCATCTTACAGATTACCAACAGGAAGCATTTCAAATGCAAATGTTCATCTGAAAATAAATCCCTAGAGATCTCTGAGTATCTAAAGAGGTAAACACGCAAGGAGTCTAAAGTTGCTTTTAGGTTGAATATGCACATTTATTTATAAACATGGCTGTAACCATAAATGATTTTCTGCAAACTTCATGTTTATATGGTGATTACTTCACAGAATTTTCTTATCTACATATTTGTTTGGAATTTCTGAGATGATGAGTGAGTAGGTGCATTCACTGAAATAATTATTTTAGCATATTAAATAAAATACCAAATAGTGTGAGATCCTTTCAAACTGTAAGATACTTGTGTATGTAGTTTCTTGAGATATAGAAAGTAGACTTGTCAGCTGAGCAACAAGTCATGGGTACAGTTGGTATTCTTTTTTTGTTTGTTTGTTTAGAGACAAGGTCTCACTCTGTTACACAGGCTAGAGTTCAGCGGCACTATCGTAGCTTACTGCAGCCTCAAATTCCTGGGCTCAAGCAATCCTCCTGCCTCAGCCTCCCACGTGGCTAATTTTTTAATTTTAATATTTTACAGACGCGGTCTGGCTGTATTGCCCAGGCTGGCCTCAAGTGACCCTCCTACAGGCATGAGCCACTGCACTCAGCCTGGTATTCTTTTAGTAGTGCTGTAAGGGGAAAACCTGGTCTACTTTACCAAGCCACACTGGGTTTGCAGTTAGGACTCAGAGTACTAATCCTTTTCCTGCCATTTCTTAGCCCTGTGACCTCATTTGCCTTATCTGTGAAATAAAACGACTCAGGCACGTGATCTCTGAGCTTCTTTCAGCACTACAGTTCTGTGAAAAAGTTGGACATCTGCTTATGGCCACAGTAAAAGTAGAGGAAAAAAATCATTAATTTAAAAAGCTGTTACCATACCCAAGCTTGTTCTTAAAAATAATATATGCAGTTGATATCCATTTACTCATTAGTGAAACCCCATTAGAAATACAATCCCCAGAGGCTGGGCACGGTGGCTCATGCCTGTAATCCAAGCACTCTGGGAGGCTGAAGCCAGTGGATTCCTTGAGGCCAAGAGTTCAAGACCAGCCTGGCCAACATGGCGAAACCCACCCCCCACCGTCTCTACTAAAAAACAAAAATAAAAATTAGCCGGGTGTGGTGATGTGCGCCTGTAATCCCAGCTACTCGGGAGGCTGAGGCATGAGAATAGCTTGAACCCGGGAGGAGGAGGTTGCAGTGAACCAAGATTGTGCCACTGCACTCCAACCTGGGCAACAGAGTGAGACTCTGTCTCCAAAAAAAAAAAAGGGAACAATTCCCAGTTTGAAATTGAAACTGATTTTGCTTACTGTATGACTGGGACCTCTGTGTTCAGGACTTTTTCCAGTCTCATACGTTCCCTTCTAACTCCATTCTACCTTTGTATTTCTTGTCATTAAAAGAAGAAGAAAAGCTCTTGGCATTCCCAGTAGTTTGCCCTGTCATCATTTCCATCTTATTGCTTAGGCCAAGAAAACATCCTTCAGTTAATCATTTGTGTGAATAAGCATCACTCTGAAACTTATCTCAAAAGCCTCCCCTGTTTATCTGCAGGTCTCTTCTAATACTCCAAGTAGTTCTTTTCCAATTATGCAGTAATTTACCATAGTTACACTGTTTCCTTTCGTAGTTCTTACTGTGTCTGTCTGCTTACACTTACCTGATCAGCAAAACTAACTATACCCTGTATCTCAAATGATTCTCATACTGAAATAAACAAATAAAAATTCAGAAGTGAGAAAGTGGAAAAGCCAGATCTTTTTTTTAATGTTTTTTGTATTTTACTAAGCAGATTTATGACTGAAAGAAAAACATTTTAAGCATTTTATCCTCCTCTGTTTTAAATAACTATTGTGGGGTTTTTTTTTTCAGAAAATTATTTAAATACACTGGCTCTAGTTAAAATAACTTGGTTTTGATTCATATATTAATAGTTAAAGTAAATATTTTGAACTTTCCCATGAATAAGTACAATTTAGTTAGTCAAGACTTTATTATTTTATGAATTATATAAAAATATTGTTCTCTTTCATTCATGAAGGGAAGGAGAATCTGGTCATCTAGTTGGCCAGTGCATATAATCCACTCAGCTGATGTAGATATCTGAGTGTTTATGTCAGGCAAATGTGCTCCAGGAGGCTGGGATAAAGCCACGGATGTGGCCTCCATGTGGCTCAGCACTTGAGATGCCAGGACGCGCTGCCAACACCTGGGAATAATAGAGAATGCGAATACCTCCCAGATTATCATAGTATATAAACCACTCCCTGGGAGTAAATCAGGAACCTTGTTCATGTGCTTTCACCCTTTCCAGACTCCTGGGTACCTTTTAATGATCACTTCTGTAGTGTATTGCAGGATACTCTGGCAACAACTTGAAGGCCTTAATGTGACTGCCACAACTGCCTCGTAAGTTTTCAGTATTGGAGGATTATATCTTAGAGAGTCTGTTTAAAAGCCAGTCACTCAAATACCTACAAGGTCCAGGTGGTAGCACATGAGTGAAACTCGCACTGGGTACCATAGTGAAAGGGAAAACTTGGCCTGCTTAAAGAGGGCAGCTGTTTCTCTGCTCCAGTGAATGGTACCAGGTCAGAATGTGGGCTCAGAGTTATCACTTCTTCTTGCCTTTAAGAAGAAGCTGGAAATTCAGATTTTTTGTTGGTGAAATCTCCTGAATCTTAAATACTGGCAAATTTACTTCAAATTAAGAAAGACTGTACCAGCTAAATACGTCTGTGGGTCATCAGTTTGTGAATTCTGAAGGAGAATCCAAAAATATATTAATGTGCTTCAACAGGTAAATTTTCTGTTGACTTTAGTTGGTTATGAGCCACAGGGCCTGGGGTTCTGGCTCTAAATTTCTACATAGGAAAAGCCCTGTGTTTCCTGTGGACTTGCTATCTCCTATCCTACCATTTCTCTATCATGGCAAAGATGTCCATGGACTTCAGAAGTTCTATTGAGAGTTTCGAGGAAATCTCAGACCTCTCATCCTTTGTGTTTCTTTCCTGGTAAAATGGAGATTGCTGGGGTCCAGGCCTTCAGGGTAGAGGACACATCTGTATACAACACATTGTTTTCCTTTCTAGTTGATGCATTAGTCAGTGTAGGCTAGGCTGTGCCATATAACAAACTCACGTGGAATGTTCAGTGACTAGACACACAGAGACTTTATCCCTTGCTCTTACCCTATGTCTAACAGTGTGTGTCAACACCGTTGGCTGCTCAGTGACCTACACTAACAAATGGCTTATTTCTCTGTGATGCTGCCACCCTCAACATAGGGCCTCTAGGGACTTCATGGCTTAGGAAGAGAGCAGTAGCAGGGCACATCAGTTTTGTTCAGAAGTGATGCATATTACTCATGCTTATGGCCCTTTGATCAGAGCTAGTCATGTAGTTCCAAATGAACTGCAAGAGAGGCTGGGAAACGCAAGGTCACACATAAGATAAATATCTCACAGGAGATATGTGCTCCTACAATGATGTTTTCCTGACCATCAAACTCAGACTTGGGGCTCCTGTTAATAAGCAACTATAGATGGTTTTAGCCCCAGTCTTTCCTAGATGCCAAGATCAGTCTCTATGGGTATGATCTGTAAGTTATCAGAAGAATCTTCTAGCTTAAGTCTTGTGAATACAGGTTGGAGCTTGGGAACACCAGGATTTTAGAATCCAAAAGATTAAGGGGCCTCCTCATCCACAGCTGCTGTTCCTCTTTCCCTGCCATGTCATGATCACAGCCTGAGAGAAAGGAGACAAAAAATCTTACTGAAGGCCTTGACCAGCACGTGACTTCCCCCAATAATTCTGAAGTTAGAGTTCAACCAAGAAATTGTAGAGAAGGATGAGGGAGGGTCTTCTGGTTAACTCCTGCCCTGAATGGTTCTATCCCTCAGTTTCACATTGGTTGATCAGAAGTGTAAGTTTCCACGGTGTATGGGGGCTGTGTAGAAAAGTTTGCATTTTGGGGGTTTTGTGAATCTTTGTTTTCCTGGAAAAATGTTCACTTTTATTTCTTAATTATTTTTTAATTGACAGATAAAATTGTATATATTTATCATGTGTAACAGGATGTTTTGAGTTATATATAAATGCTGTGGAAGGACTAAATCTAGCTAATTAACACAGGTATTATCGTTTTTGTGGTAAGAACACATAACTTTAATTCTTTAGCATTTTTTAAGAATACAATCTGTTGTTATTAACTATAGTCACCATGTTGTACGATAGATGTTTAACTTATTCTTTCTATCCAACTGAAATTTTGTATTCTTTGATCACCCCTCTAGTCCCTGTTCCCCAGCCACCCAAGTCCCTGGTAACCACCATTCTACGCTCTGCTGCGATGAGATCAGATTTTTTGGATCTGCATATAAGAAGTGAGATCATGCAGCATTTGTTTTTTCTGTGCCTGGCTTATTTTGTTTAGCATTACGTCCTCCAGATTTAGCTATATTTTGAAGTGGTAGCTTCACAAAGATGTAGACCATTTGTTAGTCTGGGTCACTGAGTAAGCAACCGTGCCGACATACAGTGTTAGACAGGTTCATTCTACTGCAAATGACAGGATTTCCTTCTTGTATGGCTGAATAGTATTCCATTGTATATATATACCACATTTTATTTATTCGTTCAACTGTTGATGGGCACTTAGGTTGATTCCATATCTTGGGTATAGTGAATGATACTGCAATAAATAGGAGACTGCAGATATCTCTTTGACATATTAATTTTATTTCCTTTGGATATCTACTTGGTAGTGGGATTGCTGGATTATATGGTAGTTTTATTTTTTGAGGAACCTCAAAAAATGTACATATGTTTTCAATTCATATTGAAATTTGTATAATATATGAAACAATTCCTATTGTTTTCCGTAATGGCTGTATTAATGTACATTTCCACAGATGGTGTGCAAGGGTTTCCTTTTCTCTACAGCCTTGCCAACACTTGTTGTCTTTCATATTTTTTATAATAGCCATTCAAGCAAATGTGAGGTTTTAATTTGGTTTTGTGTGGTTTTAATTTGCGTTTTCTTGATGATTAGTGATGTTGAGCATTTCTTCATGTAGCTCTTAGAATGTTGGCACTTTGAAATAGTTTTAACCAGTCTGAGCAAAGTTCTCTAATATGTACACTGTCACAGATTTATAGGCTTGGGGATCAGTCTTGATGGGGGACGGAGAATAGAATGACTACAACTCGTATGTACATCTTTTAGTTATGAACGACTGAGAACCCAATTCAAACCAGCTCAAGCAAGAAAAGAAATTGATTGGCTCTAGCAACTAAAAGTCCAGGGGAAGGACTGGCTCCAGTTACACTTGGATTCAGCACTCAAAACACTGCATTGGCACTCACACTTTTTCTTTCACTATTGTGTTGTTCTCCATGCTGGCTTTATGTTGAGCCACTACATGTTGGCCCTAGCTTTAGAAATTCTCAGGTTCATTCAAGTTTAGCAAAAGAAGTATTAGAATCCTTTCTTGCATCCTCAAAAATCCTCAGATTCACTCGAATTGGACCAATTTAGGTCACATGCCCGGCCCTGAAGCAATGGCTATGGCTTGTGATGTGGTGATTGGTTTCATAGATCAAACTAAAAAGTAGAGGTTGTTGCCAGATCCACAGACAAAAAAAAGAAAAGAAAAGGAAAAAAAGGTAGCAGGGGATCAACACATATCCACTAAAGCACTAAAGGGGAAAATAGATAATTACCTCAGTATTTCAATTATTTAACCTTAGTATGTTTTTCTTTCTACCCACTATTATCATCTTTTCTTGTACCCGCTGGCTTGGGATACTATCTTCAGAATCCCCTAGTAGTTAAAACTCTGCTAAAGAAATTTAACTCTTAAGGTATATTTTAATCTACAATTGTAGGTCAATACAGAAATACTTTTTACTGAAGCCACTATTTTATTTTTAACATGGTGCTATTTGTACATCTGGAAGCCTGCAGATAGCTGGAAACAGTTTGGATGTCCTTGAAAGGAAAAATGGTTATAATCTCTGGATTTCTATTTAGATTTATGTAAGTCAAAGAGGTTGAGACAGAAATGATTATTTTCCAAATATCTTCCCCCATACTTTATTCCTTTTCTTTGGTTTATTTTACAGATGTATCTCTGTAGATAGATGTGTTCCTCTTGAAAATGTTTGCAGTTTCCCTGTTTTTTCTTTTTTTTTGGAAATGTTACTTTGTTAGGAAAATACACCCTACTAATTGCATTACAAATATCTAGTTTTATCTTAGTTATAAACTTTATATTTTAATATTTTTAAGTTTAAAAAGAAGAACTAAACCAGATATTGAGACATTTAGATCCTCATACTGGTGAAAAATTAAATTTTGCTTCTTGTGCCTCTGTATCTGTAGCAGATAATGGAAGGCATTTGTTTGAGAGGGCCCCAAATGATCACATGAAATATATGGAATAACATTGGCCATATGAGGATGGGAGATGGAACTTGTGTTATTTGAACTTGGAAACATACTGTTTTCCAAAGTATATTCTTAGAGAACTAATCTGCAAGGATTACTTGGTCAGACAGATAGGGGGAAATACGATGCTTTACTTTTCTCTTGAAGACTAAAAATAAACATGTCATTAAGTTTTCTGGCAAGTTCTGTAATTTTTTTAAAAAGTGTTTAACACTAACATCACATTTACGAAACTTATTTTGACCACAGTTTTTTTCCCAAACTTATTTTGACCAGTTTTTTGTTTGTTAGCATGAGCAGCTATTAACATCCCCTGGAATCAAAGGGCCAACTTTGAGAAATGTGTTCTTCACAGTATTGAAAAAGGAACCCATCATGTATGTTGGTAAACACCCCTTTCACAAAATTTAAACTCTTTTCAGTTTAATCAAAAGGAAAGGGAGCTTTTCACTGTACAAATATGATTGAAAGCCCTGTATATATTCACTCAGATTTCTCAGGTAAGGGGAAGGGTATGTATCCTGGAAATGACAGCATGAACACTTGCCAAGCCCTCATATGAATCAGTGTTCACTCTTGTAAATCATAAATCCATTAGCCACCAAGAGAATTTCTTTGTTTTATTCTCAAATTTGCAATGAAACCTGTTCTTAAAGTAATTCCTTTAGTAATATACTTGTGCAAAGTAAAATCATCTTTAAAATTAACCATTTCTCATATGTAATTTCCAAAGTTAATTTCTGAAAAGCAGAATATAAAAATTAAAAACAAACTTCAGTGAAGTTCATTGTAATCTGTCTAAGGTTTATTCACTCTGATAAGAACTGCTGGTAAATTTAGCTAATTTCTCAGAAGAGCTGAGTCTGAAAATATTTCCTTATAAATTAGTTTATTTGGTTTGTTTATACTAACAGTACAGTTATTTTGATATACCTTTAAATTATATTATCTGTACTATGATTTTATATGCTTTTAGTTTAAAATAAGTATTTCGCATGAATGCATGAGAACCCACACTTATTTTATATTTGAATGTGAAAAGCGATTCTGCTAAAGAAATTCACTGCCAACTTACTGAAATTGATGGAGTGTATGTTTTTAGTCAGCATATTATCAAAGTGACATGCAAAGCCTGAGAAAGATGTAGCCCCAGGAGGAAACTTCATCTGAGGACCCTGTAAATGCAAGTAAATCAATTTTTAACTACAGAAAAATTCAAATTATAAAGACATCTTATCCACATTACCTTATTACAAAATAGAACCAATAATATTTGTATTACCAATAAATTGAAAAGTGCCAGAATGAAAACCACAAGAGTACTTTTCAAAACAATATCATTAAATAATAAAGAAGGCTAATTGCAGAAAATTTGGAACACCGTAAGGCACATAAAGAAATACCCCACCATCCTAACACCAAAATAACTGCAATGTGTTGGCATAGTTCATTCCAGTCTCACTCATGTTATATTTCACTAAGCCATAAACTATGGTGTTTTCCCATGTCGTTTTAAACCAAGTGAACATCACTTTTTAATAGCAGCATTATATGCCTTCACATGCCAAAACAAAATAGTATTTTTCTTAATGAAAATATAATGAAAATAAACTTTTGTTTCTATTGTTTTGCTTTTTCCCCTGAGAATAAAAGCAAGTTCATTGTAAGAAGGGCTGGCATCAGCTTTTTATAGGAGTACGTGCACAGATTTCAAATTACTGTGTTCTGTTAGGAATATTTCATAGGAAAATCAGCAAAGGTTTTTCTCTAGTTTCCTTTCCTTAGTTCTCTAATCAAGGCATAGAAAGAAGACAGCCTAGGATGAGAGAGGCCAAGAACTCCCTTATAAGTAGTTGTTTGGAAGAAGAGTAGAGGAATTGTAAAACTCAGCCAGATAAACAATTCTATTGAAGAAGCCTTATCTGCTAGGTAAATCTGAAATGTGTTAAAGTGATTTTACCTAAGCCATACTCCTACCCTTTGGTTCCTTAGGCCTCATCAAGCAACCCCCTTGTGAGCCTCCCCCTTCTGAATCTCCTTCCCTATTTTCCTGATACTCTCCCCACCACACACCCTTATTCCTCTCCTGCGCTTAGGGAACTCTGGCACTTGGAATGGTGTAGCCAAACTGTAATCATGCCTTCATAACATTGTATTGACAGGCATCTGTGACAATTTCACTCTCCCACCTGATTCTTAGAGTAATGTTTAAAAATTTTTGGAATATCCACTCATGTTTCTCTTGAATCTCAACCAATCCAAAAGGTTCAGCTCAGTGTGATTTTGTGTGTGACATTTCCAATAGTTACACACCTTAGACCTTGGTCCAGCATGAGGGGATAATTAATAAGTACACTTTTTCTGCGGGTGCTTTTGGCAATACTACTCTTACCACTAATCTCTGAGCATAATTGACTACAAAAAAAATCATGTGCTATTTCATAAAATTCCAAGCATGTGCAGACACCAGGTAGTATCCACCAACTTTGGGCCAATACTGCATACTTGGCATGTCATAATGATTTTTTTTTACCCCAGGAAGCCATGCTGAATTCTGGTGATAAAACACAGTGAGAGAAACATCAGCTCTTAATTATTTTCATTAAAAAACATAATTCCAAGAACAACTCTGAAATCATCTAGAGTTTGGAATATATTCCAGAGACACACATTCTTTCTCTTTCTTCCTCTCATCTTATAAGATAGGGTTATATTTAGTTGGCTTTTTTCATAAACATGTATTTTACCTGAATTTGAAGATTAAATTTCTTAATATTTATATGAAGAATGTAGACAAGCACTAATGGTGTTTTGTTCAGTCTGAGGAGAAGAAAGTTAACACACCATGAAAGCATAGGAATGTTTTAGAAGATTTTTAGCTCTCGCAATTGGGAATCTCCTGGTTTAAATTTCTATCATTTCAGCCTCAGGGCAATCCAAATCATACAGGGCTTGGACTTCATTGCATCAATTCTAATAGTTTTTGCTTTTCTTCCCCATGAAAACCCCCGTACTTTCCTTGTATTGAGGTGTGGCTTCAGCCTTCAAGGGTCCATTCTCAGTATGCTTGAAATCTGAAGATGAAATGAATTTCATAACTGGAAAATCCAGTTATCAGGCATGAGCAAATGGCTGCATTTGTTTCAGATTCTTTTGCTAGTCGCTTCATTTTCTTCTAATTTAACAAGGTCATGTATGAAATTAGACTCAGCTGTTATTTATTTTATTACTGAGCTCCAAGGTATAAATGTTCCTCTCCTATCTAGAAATTTGCTTTCGACTTTCTTTCTCTTTATATGTACGTACCTATATCATGTTTTGCAGCCTCCATAGATATAAGCTCAAAGTTAATTTTACCACGTCTTTTACTCATCTAGAAAAGAAAGGTAGCCATTCTCTCCCAGTGAACAATCAAATTCTGCTGCCTTGAGGAACAAGTGATCAGAGCATTTCGTTTTAATAGAAAAGCTGTTTTTGTTTTGTTATATTTTTTTCTTGCAAGGTTTGCTTTCAGAGCTCTTAAATAAGGATCCACTTTCATATTTTCTGCTTGTGATTTGGACTCTGCTTCCGAAATGCATTTGAAGCTGTCTGATAACACAAGGCACATGTATTATAACATCATTAAAATAGAAAGTTAAAAGTTGTGGGTGAAGGAAGGCAAACATTTACCAGCAGAATGAATGAATACCATGAATGAATGAATACCAAGAATGAATGAATACCATGCATAAATGAATACCATGGATGAATGAATACCAGCTCTAGTGAGGACCTAGGGCTAAGCCAGAGATCTTACTGAGAGCCCTGGGCAGTGGAGGCAGAAAGGAGAAATGATGGATTACTTAGTTCTGGTTGGAGTGGTGCTGGAGTAGGGAAACCTACTGGATCATCAGGAGAGGCAACTTTTCTATAGCACTGATTTATGAAAGGCATTTGTAATATGTGTTTTTAAAGATAGGGTAGACTTTGAAATGATTTTAATGATTTTTAAAACATTTCATGGAAGCATATCATGCCCTGAGAAAAGAGCACATAAGAATAGGGCTGCATAAATTTTCACAGACTGGGCACATCCATGTAACCAGCACCCAGAGCAAAAACTGGAATGTCTAAGCCTCTCAACAGTCCCCCGTGTCTCTTTCCGGCCACGACTCCCTCCTCCCCAAAGGTACCATTATTGTTGACTTCTTAGAAGATAAATTGGCTTAAACTTGTTTACTTTATATATTTTAAAACACATTTCAATCATTTGCTCTATCTTTACTTTTAAAATAATAATTTTGTTCACTTATGGTTTCATCCATCTATTCATTCAACTTATTGATTCAAACAAAAATTCTTAAGCACCTGCCATACGAGTAACAACCATGAGGTTTAGAATATTTTAAACCTTTCAATTGTTTCCTATTTTTTTTAATTTGTATGCACTAAAATTCACTTCTTTTCTCTTTCTTTCTTTTTCTGTGAATGATTACATGAATTTTGACACATGTAAATTAATGTAACCACCACCTTACAAGAGATTCAGAACAATCTCATCACCCCCCAAAAGCACCTGTTAATACCCTCTGTAGTCCTACATTCTTTGCAGACCCCTAAGTTCTGGCAACTCCTGATGGAGCTTTATATTTTGAGTTTCAAGGCAGTAATGAGGATACATTTTTCATTCTTCATTTCTCAGCTGCAAACATTCCATTTCACCTTCCTCTATCTCTGCATCTCCATCATGCTAAAGTCATTTCATTTTCTGACTGCAAAAGGCCAAAGTTTTTCTATCCATATTAAGAAAGATATTTTTCTGGTCAAAAATTGCAGTGTTCCACCAGACTGACTAACTTTGTTTTCTGCACAAAATGTTTTTTTTTTTTCTTCCCAGAGGTTGAGTCACTTATGCTGCTGAGCACAGGAATTTTGACCTTTGGGTGAGGCTCACTCTGAATCTTCCACTGTGAATAAAACAGATCCCAAGATAGAGTGGAAAAGAAATACCCAGAGCTGAATTAGGAGCAGCTGGCAGATGGGCTCTGAAATGCAAAAATACCCTTTTGAGTTTCTCAAAATTCTAGTTCTCTAAGAAAATATTTATTTTTTCCCAATTAATCCACACTCAATAATTTCCCCAAGTTATCTTTTGATTGGGAAGTTCTGTACCACATTGTAGTAACACCGATAACAGTGAAGTAGGTGGTGCTTTGGAAGGAAATCAATCAACTTACATTGTTTTATGCATAACGGCAGTTGGAAAACTGTTCCTATGATTTCGGTGGTATTCTGCCTTCTCCATCTGAAGGGAAACACTTCATACACTTGCCTGTGTAAGAAAGGTGAGTCTGAATTGCAAAATGGGCTTTGTTGATAACTTCCTTAGTCTTTTATTTAGTATGTCATATTACGAATGCAAAATATATTCCGTAGAGAAAAGCATGAAAATACAATCAAGCAAAAGAACATTGAAAACACCCTACTCCTTTGTCTTCAGAAGCAATCACTCTTTTTTTTTTTAACTTTTTATAATGGAAAATTTCAAATGTATACCAAAGCAGAGAAAATAGTACAGTGCAGTCAACACACCTATTGCCAGCTCCACCAGTTATCGACTCACATCTACTCAGAGTTCATATCTACCCCAACCCCACCCTGCGCTGAGTATTTTCAAACAAATCCAAGACATCGTATGATTTCATTCATAATCCCAGTGCGTATGTACCTCTAAAAGGTAATATTTTAAAAAATATAACTATAATGCCATCATCACAGCTAAAAAACATTAATAACTCCTGTTTATCGTTAAATATTCTGCCAGTACAAGCTTCTCTGATTAACTCTTTTTGGCCATATTTGGGTATAAATCGTTGGAAAAACCACTATTTGTAACATCTTGGTATATATCCTTTCCAACTCTTGTCTTTCTTCTCCGTGCGTGCGTACTCCCTGCGTGCGTACTCCCTGCGTGCGTACATATTTATGTGGGCATGTGTTCCCCTCTAGATTTCCTGCCATAGATAAACACATGTACTCATATTCATAAATTGGCTTATATCTGCAATACTTTTCTGGAACATCTTTTCATAAGAGTACATGTGCTTCCCTCATTGTTTTCTCCCGTGACTATTTAGAATCTCATAGGATGGATTACTATTATTCATTTTGTCATTTCCTTTTCACTGTTGATTGTGAACCATCCTTCACTGAAAGTAAATAACATTTAAATTATCACTGAATATAAGGTCAGTTACCTTTAGATATTAGCAAAGGTAATATATTGGTGAGTGAAGCAATGAGCAACACAGAATCTGTCTCTGATGACTATTTTTGGGCAAGTGTGTTTTACTTTCAGTTAATATGCTTGAACCACATGCTCCTATAACTTTGTATGTTTTTGTAGTTTGTCTGACACCAAGTTACACTGCCAGGAAAGTGGCCACTGTTCATATTAATCTGGAAAGTCTGAGTTGCCATGATAAGTTGGGTGCATGATCACAGGTAAATAGACACAATATTTGAGTCACAGTGTTTTCAGACCCTGATGAGTTCTGATGATTCAGGACCACTTGGCCTTATTTACATTTGTGATATTCTGCATGGGTGGGACGTGTACTTTGGAGTCAGATAAACAAAGCGTGAATCCTGCCTCCAGCATTTTTTGCCGGGTGACTTAGAACATATTAACATCTTTAAGCTTGAAATGTCTTCACCTGCTTAAGGAAGATAGTAATAGTGCCTACTCATGAGGTGGTTGTGAGGATTGAATGTGGTAATGATGCAGTTATGGGGCCTTGCATAGTGCCTGGCAAGAGCTCAGTAAATGGTAGCAGCTTTCAGTTATAGTTAAAAGACCAAACTAAATGCCATATGCCAGAGACTATGCACAGAGAGATTCCATTTATGTACAGTATAACAACAAGAAAATGAATCTAAGCCATGAGAAGTCACAATGGAAGTTATCTTCCAGAGGGCAGTGGCTAGAAGGAGGAACAAGGGGCTCCTAGGGTGTCGATAATATTATTTTCCTGAATATGTGCTGGTGACTTAGTTGTATGCAGTTTCAGAAAATCCGTTGAGCTGTGACTTCATTACTTACGACTATGCATCTTCAGGTACTTTATGTTTCAGTGAAAAGCTAAAACTGAAAAAATATAAAACAAACAGTATAACATTAATCTTATTTGTGGTAATAAGGCACCTGGCATATAGTAACATAGAAGATAGACAGATAAACAGATAGATATAGCGATATGGGGAATACTAATCATTGTTAGCAATTTGAACCGTTTTTTAAAATTAAATTTTAGGAAAATTGAGTTGAAAATAATATTGATTCAAGTCAAACACTACATATATTTTGAATTGGTCGTTCTAAACTCTTCTCCCTCATATTTTCAAGACAACATTCCATATTTAAGTTGGAAGCAGATACTTGCTTTGCTTTCTCTGGTTTTCTCTCGGGAGAAAATATTAGGGGTGCAACTGTGGCATCACCAGCCTCATCTTGCCTGTCTAGAGCAGAGCAGAGCTGCTGCTTTGAAATGAGTTATTGGGAGCCTCAGAAACCCTGAAGAGGTTTGGCCATACCCAGTAGCAAGCTCTGCTTATCAAATTGTCCCAAAGAGTAATTCTTTTCTCATAATACCTCCAAGAAGCAACAATCAATTCATGACCTTTTTTTGGGTAGTGACATTTCAAGTGCTCAGAAGAACATCTGAAGTTTGAGAAAATAGACCCGAGAAATAGGTATTTAATTTACTTGTTCTCCAGCAATCACACTCATTTTGTCAAGCAGAATGAAATGAGCTAGGCACAGCATTTCATATGGTGAAGCTTGCTGTTTGGTACAGCTTTAACTGCCAAACTGAGGGGAGCCCTCAGGATGTGTTTGTGGAATTTCCTTTGTGGAAAAATTTCAGTTCTCACTGTTGTTAGTCCTTTTGTCTCACAATCATACATGTGTACTTAAAAAGCCTAAGAGGTAAAATATTTGATAATTCTCCTTTTGAAATGCAATGCATACAGTGTAGTCAGATTTCATGGAAGTCACCTAGTGTAGAGATTTTAACAATTAAAAACTAGTTTAAGCAGATGGGTCATAATCGGTATTTCCTAATGTGAATATGGATATGGAAAATATAATTATAAGGATGTTAGACCCTCTCTTTTGCTGTCACAGCACACAGCTGGAAATTGCTTATTATTAGCTTGCAAATCCTACAGGAAAACACAGAATTATTTTTAGTACTCAGCAAATTTATGGTGGTAATTATGAGTACTTGCATCACTTCCGGAATGCAAGAGTCCTATATCTTTAGTCTCCATGTTGAGAAGATAATTTTTATCACTTGTATGCCCTGCATATTGATTTCTGTGGTCACTGGGAATCAAAAGTACTTTTCTGGTAATACAATGGGTGACAGTAGTCATTTTGCAATGTAAATGGTTTGGAAGGCTCTGCAGCCGTGGGTTTCTTAAATCTTGAAAATAGATAAAGTAAAAAAAGAATTGCCTTATTTTCCCATCACCAAATTTGCCAATCTACCTGCATCTGAAGTCACACCTTCTGCCTCCTTCCCGTGACAATTTGGAGTCATTCTTCTGGCTCTGTTAAGAGTCAAATCCTTCCCTGGTGTCCGGGATCCTATCTGCCTTTAGCATTACTTAAGAACTCCACTCCCACTCCCACACTCCATCTCCCTGGGATCATCTGTGTGCCCCCATTAGTCTACATGCCGTAACTGTGGCCTCATTTACTGCAAAAGTCCTCAGAGAATTAGCTATGTTAATGGTCTCCACTTGCTCTCCTCCCCTTCTCTCCTCAGTCTAGTCCACTGGGTTTCCAAACCCATAAGTCTTCTTTATAAGTGACACCTCCATCTACTATTTCCTCAGGCTGAGAACACTGGAGTTTATAAGTTTTCTTATAAACTCAATCTCCAAAATGTAGTGGCCAATGGAAAACTTCCTCTTTACCCTCTGAAGGTTTGCTGAAAATCAACTGACAAAAGGCAGATTAATAGGTGAAAAGGCATTCACATTGGTTAACATTCCTGGGGAGAACCAGAGTGATTACCCCATCACATCATAACCATAACAAATGGTTATGGCTCTTCTTCTTAGGGGAAAGGGGAGGGAGAATTTTAGATGATTTGGGGGATTAGTAAATGATTTTTAGGGGAATTCAGTGAACTTGAAGAATACACAATGGCATAGGATAAAGTCTGTGGGGCCTGCACAACAGACAATGGTTGGGCCTGCAGAACAGACAAAGTCTGTGCAGGTGTGTTGACAGACTTCCATTTTTCTTCCTGCAACATGAGTTCAGTCAATACAAACTCAGGGAAGGGACCAGACATGACTGTTTTCTTCTTTGGCAGGTCTGGACTTTAGGCAGATAAAGGAACTTCAGAGAACAATCCATCATGTGCTTTGGGAGAGACAGAGGATTGAGAGAGATGGGGAAGGGAGATGTCAGAGAGACCTTGAGGCTTCTTTTTCAGTTCGGAAGGTGGAAACACCATATTATAAGATACTGGTTTCTAAGACCTGACAAGAATATATTTGCAATCCAACCATTTTTCACTGTCTCTGTTGATGTGTTCCCAACTCCATCATCAGTACACAGACGTCCACTGGTTGTCACCCAAGCCCTGCTTCTTGCTGAATCTAATGACTGTCAATTATTTGGTCTTTTTAAATTTGACCTCTCTTGATGAAACTTTTTTTCTCTTTGTGCCTCTGTGACCTCCAGTTATTTCAGTATGGAGAACTTAACAAAAGAATGTTATCTGGGTAACTGAAAGGGATATGTAGAATTGTGTATCCTTATATGATGAATGTGTTAACCAGGTAACTGAAAGGTGTGAAAAGAGGTCTCTAAGGCGTTATGGAGGCAGTAATTGCAGGAAAGAGCCACCAGCTTGAGGGAAGAAATCTAAATGACTTAAATGTAGATTTTCAGAGGAGCGTCCCTGAGGAGCTGAAACTCTGGCCTCTGAGGAGGGAACTTGTGTATTTGAGGTCACAGGAGGGGCCTGTGGAGCTGAGATCTGGTCCTTGAAGAAGGGTGTGCTGGCTGTTGCCAGCTCTGCAGTTGCTGAGCTGGGGACTATGTTATGTGAGTATTGGAAAAACAGCAAAATGAAATAAACCACTGGCTGGGCACAGTGGCTCACACCTATAATCCCAGCACTTTGGGAGGCCGAGGCAGGTGGATCGCTTGAGCGTAGGAGTTTAAGACCAGCCTGGGCAACATGGGGAAACCCCGTCTCTACTAAAAACACAAAAATTACCCAGGCATGATGGCGTGGACCTGTAGTCCCAGCTACCTGGGAGGCTGAGGCACGAGAATCCCTTGAACCTGGGAGGCCAAGGTTGCACTGAGCCGAGATCATGCCACTGCACTCCAGCCTGGGCGACAGTGCCAGACTCGGTCTCAAAAAAAAAAAAAAGTTCTGCCACTGCCAGGGTGGAGAAGGGAGACTGGAGGAGGCTCACGGGAGTCTTGCCTGTTCCCTCCAGCACCTCCTAGGGCCAGAGCCTAACAGGGAGCCACTCACCAATCAAGAATGCCAGGTCTTAGCCCCATCCCACAAAGCAGAGTGCAGAAGGGTGAATATACATTTATTGGATAAATTAACTAGGAATTCACCTAGTGCTTGGTCCATGACTGTATTCAGCTAGACCCTGGGAGGCATGTCATGAGTGCCTGGTGTGCATATACTTTGCCTTCCAAGCTCTTGGCATTTTCCTTGACCTCACAACTAGAAAAAAACATCAATTTGGTTGTATATCTGTAACTGAGAGTGCTTGTTTCTAAAAATGCAGATTATATAAACATACAGAAGCTTATATATACTTGGCAAGAAATGTGCAATTAGTCACGTGGTGGAAAGTCCCTCCGCACGACTCATGTAGTCTACCTGCTAGAATTCTACTTCTTTTATGTCTTTTGAAGGCAAATGCCATGCTGTCACCTGAAGAATCCACTGGCATTCTGTTCATGTAGGTAGTAGCCTTCCTGTCTTTTTGCAGTGTGGAGAAGGGATTGGGAGAAAAGACGTGTCCTGCAAACCCTGAGACATCACCAAGGTTTGCAAACTGTGGTTCAAGTTCTTCACCTCTTCACATCCACAGGAGAAATATCTGTTCTGACATTGTCTTTAGTGCTAAACTATTGTAATCAAGTTCTGTCGGGGTTGAGAGATATTCCTTACTTAGTAGAAAATATCTCCTGGAGTTCTGGCAATTGAAAATGGCCTCGGCTCTCACCTGACTTCCCCTGCAATTGCAAAAAATTCATCAGCTGAGTCGGGATGTTAAGGCAAAAATATGATTTCTTGAAGAGAGAGGGAGGAGAAGAGAAAAAAAAAATAAGTGCAGTGTGGTCTACCGGTTTGTGTCGATGCTATTCAAAAACATCTCTCAATCCATTTATCCTTTCCAAACCCAGGAGGGTACCAGTGCCATCCCCTTCCTAATTCAAGGCCTGCTCTACCTTCAATGGCCTGTGCACCTTGCCTACCTCTGGAACTAGTTCTGTGGTCTCTTTCCCTCTCAGTTATCTCTACAACTTCTTAGCTTAGAAGTCCTCTTAACAAAAGACTACATAAAGAAATGTGAAAAACGGAGAAAGTATAGGGAACACATTTAACGGGCAGATTATGTATCAAAGCTAATGTCCCTGAAGTCTCGATATTCATCCAGCCTTTTAGCATCGTTGCAAGATTCATCAGTGGAGAAATTGGGGAATGCAATCCTGCTTCATTTTCTGCGGAGTGGCTCCGTTTGGAGCAGGAACCCATGTAGCTTGTAATCTCCTACGTAATCTTCCAAAGGCTTTCTGTTTTCTTGCAGACAAGCCTTTATGCTCTTCCCAGTGCCACATTCCTGAGAACCCTAGGGCTCCAAGAAGTGTTCTGTTTGCATCCTTCATGCCATGTGTTTTTTGTTTTTGTTTTTGTTTTTTTTTCTTATTGAGATGGACTTTCACTCTGTCACCCAGGTTGGAGTGCAGTGGCATGATCTCAGCTCACTGCAACCTCCGCCTCCTGAGTTCAAGTGATTTTCCTGCCTCAGCCTCCCAAGTAGGTGAGATTACAGGTGTGTGCCACCACGCCCGGCTTTTTATATTTTCTGGTAGAGACAGGGTTTCACCATGTTGGCCAGGCTGGTCTCAAACTCCAGACCTCAAGGCCAAGTGTTTTGGCCTCCCAAAGTGCCGGGATTACAGGCGTAAGCCACAACACCCGGCCTGCTGTGGGTATTTTGTGATCACACTGTCCCCTCCAAACACACCTTGTGGAAGACACTTGCTCTGCCATTCTGGATTTAAAATAACTAAACTTTAAAAGTTAGGAGTAATTTTCTATCTGGGTATTACCCTAAAGAGTCTTCCAAACGACTCCAAAGATTTTACCCCATAGAAGTATTCCTCTAAGTGTCCCCTGCAACTTCATTAAATTTATCCGGGATATTTGTTAAAAATGCAGCCCCCTGGATCTCACTGGAGACTTCTAAAACAGTTTCAGAGAGTGGGGGCCAGGTTTACATGTATTTTTTAAAAGTTCTACAGTCTATTCTTACAGAAGCAAAAGTTGAAGAACCTCTGGTTTATTGTGTAGATTTTTGGCGTCATAGAAAGAAAGCAAATTATAGAGCTAGGAAAGGAAAATATTGCCAGCTTAACACTTGAGTTATCTGAGATAAAATGGAATAGCTTTTAGAAATAATTAAGCATCTATTTTCATGTGTTTTGGGAAAAAAATGAGATGTAATCTCAAACCAGTGATTCCATTGATATTACAGTTGACAATGAAACTGAAAAAAATAAATAAAATAAAGTGAATCTTTAAAGAAAAACCCTAAGCAAATAAAAGTAAAAGGGATTTAAATTGGTGGAAGAGTTCTATTGTTGTTTTCAAATCCCTGTTCAGCCACTAATGAACAGCGTCACATCAGACACACACGTTTCTTCATGTTCCCTTCCTTGCGTAGTGTACCCACAGGGGGCACTGGTACCCATGCCGGGGCTGGTTACCACCTTCCCGTGGGCCACAGCAGCTTCCCAGCAATGCTCCAGGAGCATGGGGCTGGCTGCTTGTAAAATCATGACGTTATTGTCTTCTGTGTCTACTTCCACTTTCCTCCTCACCCCTATTTTTCCCTACAATGTCCCATCTCCCCCCTGACCTGTCCATGCCAGTGACTATAACCTTCATAGTCCTCTAGCTTGACAGAAAGGAATAGCCATCTTTATGGATTTCTCCAACAGACGGGCTGGTTGGCACCAGTCTTTCCAGGATGGAGCTTGCTAATCAGATACACATAATGATGCTGATGTGCCAGTCTAGGGGACTACACTGCTATGGTCCAACTTGCAGTGACACAGTGGATGCAGCAGACACGGTCAGTGGGTCAGTGGTCCCCCTACCCCCTTTGATCTCTCCGTGTGCTCCATCTGACTTCCAGCCACCACTATCTGTGCTGGAGGGTTCTTTTTTCTTCTTCTTTTTTTTCTTTTTTTTTTTTTTAGATGGAGTCTCGCTCTGTCGCCCAGGCTGGAGTGCAGTGGTGTGATATCAGCTCACTGCAACCTCCGCCTCCTGGGTTCAAGCAATTCTCTGCCTCAGCCTCCTGAGTAGCTGGGATTACAGGCATGCAGCATTGTGCCTAGATAATTTTTTGTATTTTTAGTAGAGACAGGATTTTACCATGCTGCCCAGGCTGGTCTCGAGCTCCTGACCTCGTGATCCACCCACCTCGGCCTCCCAAAGTGCTGGGATTAGAGGCGTGAGCCACCATGCCCGGCCTGGAGCGTCCTTTTTACCAAGTGCAGAGAGCCTTGAAGCCCACAGTGCTCAGGAATTAACTCCCCTAGGAGCATCACTCATCCAGTGACTCTCTGAATATGGCATATAAATATCCAAGCTCTCTCCCCCAGGGATGGGATCATTCTGTGGCCTGTAGTTGCACC
This sequence comes from Homo sapiens, assembly GCF_000001405.40. NCBI lineage: Eukaryota > Metazoa > Chordata > Mammalia > Primates > Hominidae > Homo > Homo sapiens. The sequence goes on from NC_000020.11 coordinate 15,585,660, forward strand.
TTTTCCAAGAGCTTTCCAGTAGGATTAAGCTCCAGTTGCTCCCTGAATCATCCGTCTTAATAGCAGACACTTTGTTGGTTGCCTTCTTTTCCCTATTTCACTGCCTCATTTTTTTTTTTTAATTCACACTTCCTGGGACTACCTCAAAAATAAACTACTAGCCCTGAATTTGTATCTCAGGGTGTGCTTCTGGGAAAACCCATTACCAAAACCCGTCACACTATCAACAGAAACCTCATAGTGCTGCAATGCCTTTCCTTTACTATTAACCAAAGTGAGAATTTAGGATTATGCATCCAATTCAAGTAAAGGGCTGGAGTATCTTTCTGATTGGGGAAGGACAAAGTTTGTAACAGACGAAAGCTCTTAGCACCCTCCTAGCCACCCTCCAGCTGTGCCCCATATGGTTGTTAATTGAATGTCAGTTATGGCTTTTCCCTACTAATACCCTAAAATGCCCTTGTTCATCATCTATTTGATCTGTTAATCCAGCTAAGCCCATGGTTCCCAAACATTAACACACGTTGAGATCCACTAGAGGACCTTGTTAAGGCCACACATTACTGGACCACTACTTCACCCCCAGTGACTCTGATACAGTAGGTCTGGTGTGGGGCCTTAGGATTTGCATTTCTAGTGGGTTCCCAAGTGATGCTAATACTGCTGGCCCAGGGACCACACTGAGAACTGCTGGTGTGAGCCTGCATTCACCATAATCTCTTGAAACATGAAGCTTGGTGTTTGCATCTGAGATAAAGCATTAATTGATTTTTCTTTTAAAATTTTATCTATTGGTTTTGATTAGGTAATTTATTTACCTGGCTTAAAAGTCAGAGCATATAAAACAATAGATGGATTCTTTCTTAACATGATAAAACACACTGATCTCAATATAAAAGCCAGCCTCATGCTGACCAGGAAAACACTGGAACATTTCCACAGAAGGAATACAACAAAGATGCTTATTATGTCTACCTAATTTATCATTATTCTGGAGGTATTCTTTATGAATAATATAGAGAAAGAAAGCCCAGGAGAAGCAAATGAAAAACAAACTATTTGTACAATAGAAATGTTCAATAACTTGGCTGTGTACAATATTAATGTGAAAATATCAGTAAATTTTCTGTACAAGCAATAAACAAAGAGAATATATAGTGGAAACAGAAGCCCCATTTTTCAAAAATATATAATATACCAAAGAATATAGCATATTTTAAAAATTTGTGAGATCTACATAAAAAATCTTAAAAATATCCTGAAGTTTACAAAGAAAGACTTGAACCAATGAAAGAGACAATGTTCTTGAGTGGCAAGACTCAACTTCATACATGTTGCTTTCCTTTAAATAAGAAATAAATTCAATATAATTCCAATAAAATACTATATTAGTCCGTTTTAACACTGCTGATAAATCATACCTGAGACTGTGAAGAAAACGTTTAATTGGACTTACAGTTCCACATGGCTGAGGAGGCCCCAGAATCATGGCAGGAGATGAAAGGTACTTCTTACAAGGTGGCGGCAAGAGAAAATGAGGAGGAAGCAAAAGTGCAAACCCCTGATAAACCCATCAGATCTTGTGAGACTTACTCCCTATCATGAGAATACCATGGGAAAGACCAGCCCCCATGATTCAATTACCTCTGGCTGGGTCCCTCCCACAACACGTGGGAATTCTGAGAGATACAATTCAAGTTGAGATTTGAATGGGGACACAGCCAAACCATATCATTCTGCCCCTGGCTCCTCCAAATCTCATGTCCTCACGTTTCAAAACCAATCATGCCTTCAAAACCAACAGTCCCCCAAAGTCTTAACTCATTTCAGCATTAACCCAAAAGTCCACAGTCCAAAGTCTCATCTGACGGACAAGGCAAGTCCCTTCCGCCTATGAGCCTGTAAAATCAAAAACAAGCTAATTACTTCCTAGATGCAATGGACGTACAGTTATTGGGTAAATACAGCCATTCCAAATGGGAGAAATTGGCCAAAATAAAGGGGATACAGGGCCCATGCAAGTCTGAAATCCAGCAGGGCAGTCACATTTTAAAGCTCCAAAATGATATCCTTTGACTCCAGGTCTCACATCCAGGTAATGCTGATGCAAGAGGTGGGTTCCCATGGTCTTGGGCAGCTCTGTCCCTGTCGCTTTGCAGGGTACAGTCTCCCTCCTGGCTGCTTTTGCAGGCTAGTGTTGAGTGTCTGCAGCTTTTCCAAGCACATGGTGAAAGCTGTCAGTGGATCTACCATTCTGGGGTCTGGAGGATGGTGGCCCTCTTGTCAAAGCCCCACTAGGCAATGCCCCAGTAGGAACTCTGTGTGGGGGCTTCAACCCCACATTTTCCTTCCACATTGCACTAGCAGAGGTTCTCCATGAGGGCCCTGCTCCTGCAGCAAACTTCTGTCTGGGCATCCAGGTGTTTCCATACATCTTCTGAAATCTAGGCAGAGGTTCCCAAACCTCAATTCTTGACTTCTGTGCACCCGCAGGCTTAATACCATGTGGAAGCTGCCAAGGGTTGGGGCTTCCACACTCTGAAGCCACAGCCAGAGCTGTATATTGGCCCCTTTCAGCCATGGCTGGAGTGGCTGGGACACAGGGCACCAAATCCCTAGACTGCACACAGAATGGGGATCCTGGGCCCAGCCCACAAAACCACTTTTTCCTCCCGGGCCTCTGAGCCTGTGATGGGAGGGGCTGCTGTGAAGGTCTCTGGCATGGCCTGGAGACATTTTCCTCACGGTCTTAGGGATTAACATTAGGCTGCTTGCTACTTATGCAAATTTCTGCAATTGGCTTGAATTTCTCCTCAAAAAAAATGGGGTTTTCTTTTCTACCATATCATCAGGCTGCAAATTTTCCAAACGTTTATGCTCTGTTTACCTTTTAAAATGGAATGCTTTTAACCGTACCCAAGTCACCTCTTTAATGCTTTTTTGCCTAGAAATTTCTTCTGCCAGATACCCTAAATCATCTTTCTCAAGTTCAAAGTACCACAAATTTCTAGGGCAAGGGCAAAATACCTCCAGTCTCTTTGCTAAAACATAACAAGAGTCACCTTTGCTCCGGTTCCCAACAAGTTCCTCATCTCCATCTGAGACCACCTCAGCCTTTATCTTATTGTTCATATCACTATCAGAATTTTTGTCAAAGCCATTCAACAAATCTCTAGGAGGTTCCAAACTTTCCCACATTTTTGTGTCTTCTTCTGAGCCCTCCAAACTCTCCCAGCCTCTGCCTGTTACCCAGTTCCAAAGTCGCTTCCACATTTTCAGTTATCTTTTCAGCAATGCCCCACTCTACTAGTTCCAATTTACTGTATTAGTCCGTTTTCACACTGCTGATAAAGACATACCTGAGACTGGGAAGAAAAAGAGGTTTAATTGGACTTACAGCCCCACATGGCTGGGGAGGCCTCAGAATCATGGCAGGAGGCAAAAGGCACTTCTTACATGGCGGCAGCAAGAGAAAATGAGGAGGAAGCAAAAGCAGAAACCCCTAATAAAACCATCAGATCTCCTGAGACTTATTCACTATCACGAGAATAGCATAGGAAAGACTGGCCCCTATGATTCAATTACCTACTCCTGGGTCCCTCCCACAACATGTGGGAATTCTGGGAGATACAATTCAAGTTGAGATTTGAATGAGAACACAGCCAAACCATATCAAATATCAATATAAATTTTATAAAATTTTGTTAATAATAAAAACTTTTTAGGGCACTTTTATTCTCACATCAAAATCGAGTGAAAGAGAGAGTTCTCATATACCCCCTCCTCCCACACAAGCACAGCTTCCCTCATTATCAATATTTCCACCAGAGTGGTACATTTGTTACAACTGATGAACCTACATTGACATGTCATTATCACCCATAGTCCACAGTTTACATTAGGGTGCAGTCTTGGTGCTGTACATTCTATAGGTTGGACAAACATCTAATGACATGTATCCTATAATATCATACACAGTAGTTTCACTGCCCTAAAAATCCTCTGTGCTCTGCCTACTCATCCCTTCCTTCCAGCAATCCCTGGCAACCACTGATCTTTTTGCCATCTCCATAGTTTTGCCTTTTCCAGAATGTCATATAGTTGGAACCACTTAGTCTGTTCAGACTGGCTTGTTTTATTTTGTGAATATGCATTTTAATTTTCTCCATGTCTTTTCATGGCTTGATAACTCATTTATTTGTAATCCCCACATAAATTTTTGACCTAAATTTGTGGTTTCTAGAGTACACAAGGAAAAGTAAAATAGCAAGGTTAGCTAGAAAAAAATCTATAAGAGTAATGAGAAAGGACTAACATCAACAGTTATTCAAACATAATATAAAGTCATAATTATTTAATCACTGTGATATGAGATCATGAATAGAGAATAGAAAACCCAGAAGTAGCCTTAAATACATAAAAATACTTAGTATATTATAAAATTATCATTTTAATTATTGATAAAGGGATGGAATATGAAAGGTGTGGAAATTTGTGTTATTAATATTGTTACTTTCAGCACTGCTTTGGATTTGTTTACACCTAGTGTTGTGGAGAACTCACTATACGCCAGGTAGCATGCTAGACATTTCCATAGGTGTTGACTTGTTTAATCTTCATAAAAATTTGTGAGGCAAGAGTTCATATTTCCAGTTTAAAGCTGAAGAAACAAAGGCCCAGAGGGATTAGGTATCTTTCTTACAGTTGCACAGCAGTGAATGGCTCAGCTGGAATTCAGACCCAGCCTTTAACTCCCTACTTAGAGCGATTTCTATACATGGAGCTTCTAGCCTCACTAAGTAGTTTGCTGGCCATTTCTTTTACCATATGTGTACTTTCTGCTCATCATTATTTCATTTGAGTCTTTCTTTTCTGGTGCAGTCAACATGAATTTCTAGTTAGCAACTTAGATCATAGAATTGATTTTAAGAAAAGATTCGTGGCCAGGCACGGTGGCTCACGCCTGTAATCCCAGCACTTTGGGAGGCCGAGGCAGGTGGATCACTTGAGGCCATGAGTTTGAGACCAGCCTGGCCAACATGGTGAAAACCTATCTCTACAATACAACAATTAGCCAGGCGTAGTGTTGCATGCCTGTAATCCCAGCTACTCGGGAGGCATGAGAATCGCTTGAACCTGGGAGGCAGAGGTTGCAGTGAGGTGAGTCCATGACACTGTACTCCATCCTGGATGACAAAGAAAGACTCTGTCAAAAAAAAAAGAAAGAAAGAGAGAAAAGAGAGAGAGAGAGGAAGGAAGGAAAGAAGGAAGGAAGGAAAGAGAGAGAAAGAAAGAAAGAAAAAGAAAGAAAGAAAGAAAGAAAAGAAGAGAGAGAGAGACAGAGAGAGAAAAAGAAAGAAAGAGAAAGAAAGAAAAGATTTGTAACTATTTTCTTTTACAGGAAATTGACTAATTTGTTTAGTTGAGACCAGCCAGGTAGAGGAGGATTGATGGTCTTCATGGTCTGAACTAGTAGTTCAGCGGATTTGAGCGGTACCTTTCTGGTATTCTATCCCTGGGCCTCAGACAGAGAGAATGTGATCACTAGCTTGGGAAATAGCATGGCCAGTTCTGAGCAAGAGCTGGGAAAGTGATAGTGTGAGTCTTGGGTTCTCCCATTCCTGGGGCTTCTCCCTTACCTCAAGAAAATGTGGATGGGTAATGAGGCTCCTCTGTCCAGGGAATACTGGCTTTCCAGCTACTCCAGATACCTCACAGGTATTCCCTCTGCTCAACTGGTAACCAACCGGTCAACACCAACATGACAAGAACCTGACATGACACCTAATTCCTCTGCTTCCAGGGCCTGTCACTGCCCCTCTGTCCCAGGAGGAGGTAATCATAGACACGTTGCTGCTTACAATGATGCTGAGTTCATTCACAGCCAACTTACGGTTTAACTCCTAGTTCTGAGGAAAGCCAGTACTAAAAAAAAAAAAAAAAAAAAAAAAAAAAAAGACAATTACAGTTCACCTGTTGAGTAAATTCATGATTTACTAGTGATTTCTGACTTTTATTTTTTCATCTTTAACCGGAATGCAGACCTTGTTTCATTAGGTTTATTATGTTTTTAATTACTTTAGGACCTATTTGGTGGCTAATTATCTGTATGACAGGAAATTAAACTGAGCTTCCATTTGTCTGTAGGCACTGTGAAACCTGACTTCCTTCCTCCCACCCTGGCCCCTTTCTTTTTTCAAACAATGATAACATGAATTGTAAATCTGGACCAAAGTGATTTGGGTGCAACATGCTCAGGCTATGCGTTATAAAACACTTAGTGAACATTTGAAAGATGGCCAGATTTTTGTCAATTGATTATCAATTGTCACCTGTTGATCGATTCAATGTAGTTGACATAGGAGGCTCTTCCACCATCTCGGTCAAGTGTAAGACCTCTCACGTCTGACTTCTGAGGTTTAAAACCTGGCATTTGCTACTCGGTAGCTGTGAAACCTTGTCCAGTTTCTAAAACTTCCAATGTTTTAGTGTCCTTACCTATAAAATGGGGATAATAATAAGACCTCATGGGGTAGCTGAAAACTAAATGAGACAATATGTGTAAATACATGTCAAGTATTTCGATCCTGGTACATAGTCACTGCTCAATAAATAATCACTTCTATTGTTAAGACAGAGCCAAGAGTTGCAGAGATGGGTCAGCGATTTTGTTGACAGCCATCTGTTGTCTATTTCAGATAAGAGAAGAGCATTGAGAAGAGCTGCATGTTTCTGCTGACCTTGATAGTAGAGGCAGGGTTTGCCCCTTAGTCTGAAATTAGGCAGGAAGGCCTGCAACATATGGACTGTCACATGCTGCAAGCTCTGATTATGTTTGCTCTTGACTTCTCAGACTGGCCAGGAGATGCTAATTTAAAGCTCACAGTCATAAAAGATTCGTCCTTGCCTTACTTTCCACTGTCTAACTCTTGCAGAAGCTCTCAGTAATGACTTCTACAGGTGGTGTGATTCCCTCCCCAGGAAAGTATAAAAGCAAGAGAACAAAGTAAATAAAAACTCCCTAATTCCTTTAGATTTTATTTATATTCCCATAGCAAAGCTGAAGACATTCTTTATTTAGAATATTTGTCTCAGTTGTCTTCATTATTTGCAATCTCAGGTATAAAATATGCTGGAATAACTGGAGAGTGGTGAAAACATCTAAAGTGTATTTACAGGCCTAGGTTCATTTTTCAAAGCTTTCTCTTCTTGTCAGCCTTTGTCAAATGGGTTCAAGCTTTTACCAGTAAGAAGCAAATATTACATTGGTGCACTTCAATCTCGGTAGTTCAGAAGGAACCCTTATGCCCCCAAGAGCTAAATTTACCAATCTGAGTGACATATCTGCATGGAGGAAATATAGCAGCAGGAAGAGAGACACACAAGCACACACAAACCAACCCGGGCTGCAATGATAATTGCAGTGTGGCGGTCCCTGGTATCCTAGGAGTAATTACTCTGACATTCTTTATCATTGTGTGTTAGATGTGATATGAAGCAATTATCAAGTTGTTTTTTGGAATATTGATGCCTGGCCGTCTTTGCACATTATCCTCATCTCATGCTGTGACCCACAGGACTTAATTCTGACACCTTGAGTCTCTCATGGCAGATTGATAAGGAGCCCTGGCTTAATCTTCCCTTTCTTAGGATGAGACTCTGGTGTTTACCCTTGTTATTAAGGAGAAGTACTGATAACATGCGCTACTGCCATTTTCTTTTTCCACTTGCAGAATTCGATTTGTATCTCAAATTCTCTAGTGCCTGGTCTCCTACTGAAAATATTGGCACAATGGCATTTATTGCTAATTGTAAACTACCCTCATAACAAAGGCAGACATTATTGTTTTTCCTTATAATTACTTGCAATAGTCCCCGTGTTAACCCTATTTTAATAGTAATCTAAGGACTATGGAATAAGGTTTATTAAGACCACATGCTTCAGATCTGTGCAGACTTTGTTGGAATAATGCTTGTGGGTATAGAAATTTCACTCTTCAAGAGGTGGTCTATTTTCTTAAGTTGAAATTGGCATTGTGTCAGTATTTTGCTTTCATCTGAATAGCTGTTTCTCTGCTCCTTTATTTCATTTTTTTCTGAGAGCAGACTTTTATTTGGAGCATGGATCAGCATGCCCACATTTAGAATATTTCATATCATATCAGCTTGTTTGTACCACACACAATAAGAGGCATCTGGCATCTTTCAGAAAGGCTGGAGGAAGCCACTTATTGATGCTGTGTATGGCTGGCCCTCCCTCGCCCCATGTACAAGGTCTTTGGTGAGGTATGGGTTGGTAAACAGAAAAAGCAGTGGCCAAACCATGCTTATAGCTGTGGCCTGTGGTGACACAGGACACATATCTATCTGTGTGTTCTTCTGTGGTCAGTGCTGTCATCCCTGGGAAGAGATTTCAGCATGGTGGTTTGGAATAATCAAGAGTGTGGGCATTGAAGACAGGCTGCCCCCATCCCTACATGCAATAAGACCCACCCATATTTTATGACTATAACTATAATTTACACAAATATGGTTGCACTAAATCTCATCCTTTTCTCTCTTTTTTCCTTTCCTTTTTTCTTTTTTCCCTTTACTTTGCTTAGCATGATGTTTGAAAGGCCTATTTGTGTTGCTGGATGAGCCCATTGCTGCTCTGTGCTCTATGGAATTCCATGGTGTGGAATCTGACTTAGCCATTACTCCATGACAGCCACTTCAATTGGCTCCAGATCGTACTACTGCAAACAACATTCTTGTGTATGTTCCTCACAGACCTGTGGAAGAATCTCTTTGATGTACACCTTGGGTGGGGTTACTGGGCTGCCCTCCAGAAAGGCTGCACCAAGCCTCACTCCCATTCATAACATGTGCGGGTTTCCATGGCCCCCATCACCACATTCCCACCAACACTAGGCATTACTCAGCTCTCATTGCTATTTTAATTTCTGCTTCTGTGAGACTAATGACTCTTATCTCTCTGTTGACTTTTTTCCCATGATACCTTTTATGGAATGTTAACTCCTAACTTTAATGTAATCAAATTAATAAATGTTTAACATATTGATTTGTGTTTTCAAATTTTTAAGATGTCCTTTCTCACATCTAAGTGACAAAGAAGTTTTCATACCTTTTCTTCTTTTAAGTTTATAATTTTACTTTTACATTAGTTCTTTAATTCACCAAGAGTTCACCTCTACAGATGATAACAGGTAGTGGTCCAGTTTATTTTTCTCTATATTAGGTAATAATGTCACTAAAAAGTCCTTCTTTTTCCTATTCTGTTATGGTCACCTCTGTTGATTTCTTAGTGTTTTCTTTGTTTCGTGTTTCCAAACATTACTTCATTGTCTTTACTCTTCCCAGTGTTGCTTTTTGAGCTTGATACCAATCCAGTTCTTACTCTGCACTGTATTCTGCATTTCTTAGTTTTTCTTTTTACATTTTCTTTTTAGGAGCTTGGGCAAGAGTGAAATGAGAGATTATTGTTAAGGGGTACAGAGTTTTAGTTTTGAAAGATCAGAAAGTTCTGGAGGTCCACTGCACAACAGTGTGACTGTACATAATACTACTGAACTGTGCACTAAAAATGGTTAAGATGGTAAATTTATGTTACGTATAGTTCACAATTAAAAACTTGGATCTTGCAATTAGTTTAAGAAATAAATTTAGGAATCCTCATACAAAAAATTTATAGCACAGGAATAAACTTTATGGAAAGTAATTAGCAATGTATGATGAGCCTTAAGAATGTCCATTCCCTCTTCTAGGTGTGTCCTAAAGAAAAACTGAGAAAAATTTGGAGAGAGAATCATTTAAGTTTATTCATTGCAACATTATTTATGATATAAAAAATACTTAATCTAAATGTTCAACCTGAGGAATAGTTAAATTAAGGCTGGTACTTCCACAGGAAGGAAAATGCAGCTATCAAGAACTTGTTTTGAAATATATTTAATGATATGAGGAATATTTTAATTATAACATTATTTTAAAAATAAGAGGCATAACTGTGACTTTAGTATGAATCTAATTCTTTAAAAATTACACATATATACAAATAGAAGTTAAAGTGGGAGAAAATACACTAAAATGTAAACAGTAATAATCTGTTGGTGGTGGGACTATCTGTGATGTGTGTAAATGCTTTGTAAACTGTAACTTGGCACACTAATAGAGGCAGTGGTTGTAAGTCACTCAGAATGAAAAACTTGAGCTATGCCAACGTAATAGCCTAATTTAATACTTAAAAACCCATATTTAGCATTTAGCATATAGTAAAAATTTTCCTATACTATCTACATATATTATGTTACTCAGTTCTGCCAACTACCTGTAAGATAGGTACTATTACTGTTCTATTTCCTTCATGAAAAAAGTGAAACTCAGATGTCATACATAGGAAGCTGAAGAACCATGATACATGTACCCAGAACTTCCTGACATTAACCCCTACTTTTTACCAATTCCAAAATAATCTAAACAAAGAAGAACAAGAAAAGGTAGTCATAATTGCCTAAATGTTTTAGTATCTTGTTGGCTTGTGGCTCGGTCAACTCTACTGAGAGCTCCTGTTGATGGCCAGACCCAAGCCCTGTGTTGAAGATGACTGAGCAAAGAGCTCAACAGAAGAGTGGCTGCTGGGAATGCCTTCTTATGGTGGGTGTTGTAATGCTTTTATTTTGCAGACTCTACTGGGGCCAGTGAACAATGAGGGAATGAAGTACATCATTCCACATGTTAGCTGGTTAAAGTCATGGCACTTGGCAGCCTCCTTGAGAAGGTACTCAGAGGTCCGTGGTCATTCCTTAGAGGCATATTGACTCATTGATTAAAATGTGCTGGATTTGGTCAACTTCCTCCATAACAAGTCATTTATAACACATATTATTTAGGAAATCCAGAATGCTCTGAGAGCTAATTTAAATTATAAGTACTCTTGAAAGCCATGACTGGAAATGACTCTCTTAGCCCTTCAGGCCCTTGCAGTGATTGGCAGTGTACTTCCAAAGAAGGGCTTTTAAGTGGTTTGGTTCATTATATGTGCATTCTACATCCAAAAGAACCCATGCCTTGCATGGGAGGAATTATGAGGCCGGAGCACTCCTCTTTATTAGAAATGTAAAAACACACAGCCTTGCCCTGGTCAGACATTCCTACACCCCTGGAGAGTCCTAACACGGGCTTAAGGTCCACAGAATCATTGCAAATTCTGAATATGCATATTCTCTCAATGGCAGTACATATTTTCCCGGCTTAATAGGATGTTAAAATGTGGCTCTTGATTTTGGCTCAGGCATAAGACAATGCCTGCTATATTCCATGGAGATCATCCTACAAAACTTTTAAAAAGGAAAGGTATGATCCCTTAAAGAACTCAAACCCCTTCCTCATACTGTTAGTCTGAAAGGATTGTGGAAAGTTGTTTTTATGTTTTTATTTGTTTGTTTTGAGGACAAACTTTTTGAAGATAGGTGCTGGTATATGGTGAATCTCATTCTTCTCCCACAAGGAGGAGAGGTGGAGAAAGTGTTTGCTTCTCACCTTAAGCCTAGTGAGAAAAGCTTCAGTAAGGCCATTCCAAGAAAGTCAAAAACTTTCCTTGAAGTTAGGGAATATATTGGCCTGAGGCGTGTCTCCACATGAAAAATGTAAAAGATTAGAAATGGTTTATCAGCTTTTACAGTGGTGCAAAGGGTAGGTCATTGCTCTGTTAGGATTGGATTTATTGGGGCAAAGGATACAAGAGTGGTACACACAGACCAGAAAGTTGGAAAAATGCTGGTGTAGGACTATCTTGGATTCTGTCCAGTAGGGCTATCCAGAAGTGTAAACAGGCCTTAGCAGTTAGAATCTAAAGGGAGTGCCGGATTCCTTGGTCAAGTGAGAGAAAGATGATGAAATAGAGCAGACACGTCACCTGTAAAAGGCTACCAGAGGTGGGCAGTATCTGATGATGGCATGGGGTTGAGGCCTTTGAAGAATCAACAAAAATGCTTCATAAAAATTAATTAACTTCAAAGATCAGCTTGGCCCAAGGAAACAAAGCCATCTTTTCTGTTCTCTGCCCTCTGCTTCCTCCCTTCTTTTTAACCCAGAAGGCAGTAGAAACAAAAGTTAATAGGAAAAGAGTTGAGGTCAGCCGGGCACGGTGGCTCACGCCTGTAGTCCCAGCACTCTGGGAGGCTGAGGCAGGTGGATCACCTGAGGTCAGGAGTTTGAGACCAGCCTGGCCAACATGGCAAAAACCTGTCTCCACTGAAAATACAAAAATTAGCCAGGCGTGGTGGTGGGTGCCTGTAATCCCAGCTGCTCCAGAGGCTGAGGCAGGAGAATTGCTTGAACCTGGGAGGCAGAGGTTGCAGTGAGCCAAGATTGTGCCCACTGCACTCCAGCCTGGGCGACAGTGTGAGACTCTGTCTCAAAAAAATAAAAGAGTTGAGGTAAAGGAGGAAGGATGACCACACCCCACTTTCCCAACTTTCCACCTATGAAAAGCACCAGCTGGCAAAGGGGAAAGGCTTTAACTTCAAAACAAACATGTTTGAAGTTTAAATTATTATATAGTAATCAACATTCTAAATTTTGTGAAATACTGTATCTAGTGACTTAAAGTATCTTTAAGACACTTCATTTCCTAAGCATGACCAGTAAAGTCATGGACTGCTCAGAACTTTTTTAAGAAGCAGGGAAGAATGCCTTTCTCTAAACGCTTTTCTTCGGGGGATGATGGGAGACAAAATTAAGTTGCTTTGTTCCATCCCATGAGTTGTGTCTGTTGCATGTAGGTGTAATACCCTCAGATGCCCGACTGAGGTTATCCTGCCAACCCACCAGTCTGCACTTCTGATCTTGCCAGTCTGGTAACTGCTCTCAGAGCGTGGTGCTAATAAGACCTGGAAGGTGAGATCCCAGGATTCTAAAGACTAGTCAGTTATCTGCAATGTACATTTTGCAATGTGAACTGAGCAGGAGAATAGGGTTGGGTCAGGGCATTCAGAGGGAAGATAAGCTCAAAGTGGGTGCCCTTCCTATTGCCTTGGGGCCTGACAAAAATTATTTCCCATGCTCACTGGAAACAAAGTTTGAAGTTAATATCCTTTACTAGGGTTTCCAGATCAACCTTGCCATCCAATAAAAATACAGGACACTCTGTATTTAAGTATAAGCATGTTCTAAATATCACATGGAAATTCATACTACAAAATTAGTCATTGTTTACGTGAAATTCCAATTTCACTGGGTGTCCTGAATTTTAACTGGAAGCCCTAAGCGAATCCTCTCCCTCTTCTGCATAATAGGATCACATTTATACCATTATTTCTTTAAAAATGCCCAGTGCTGGAGCCATCAATATCTGCAATGATCCCAGTCTCCACATCAACATTTGGCATACGTTGTCTGATACCCATCAAGAGAACAGTTTAAAGTGTTTAAATTGAGGCCGGCCGTGGTGGCTCATGCCTGTAATCTCAGCACTTTGGGAGGCCAAGGCGGGCGGATCACGAGGTCAGGAGATCGAGACCATCCCTGGCCAACATGGTGAAACCCTGTCTCTACTAAAATACAAAAAAAAAAAAAGAAAATTAGCCGGGCATGGTGGAGCACGCCTGTAGTCCCAGCTACGCGGGAGGCTGAGGCAGGGGAATCGCTTGAACCCGGGAGGCAGAGGTTGCAGTGAGCCGAGATCGCGCCACTGCACTCCAGTCTGGCGACAGAGCAAGACTCTGTCTCAAAAAAAAAAGTGTTTAAACTGAAACCATCCGAGAATTTCAGGCCTGTGATCCTTTTACCACTGCCCTTTACACGAAACAGTGGTCAAACACCAATAACTGTTCTTGAGTAACTTTTCTGCCAAGCTGGAAAACTTCCAGCCGTGTGGTCTTGGACAAGCCACTTCACCTCCCTGAGTTCTCATCACCTGTAAATTGATAATAATAAACTCCTAATGAGAACCAAATAAGCTAATGAAGGGGAATTAGCATGCAACACCATAAAAGTCCTTACAAATGTCACTACATAGCAATAGTGTAGGAACCAATATGTCTATATTTTAAATTTTTTGCTGTTGGTATTCAGTTTACACACAGAAACACGCAAATGCATGAAAATTACTTTTTAAGGTAACATACAACTCCAGAGGACCTGACTCCCTGAGGACAGCCATGGCTATTAGAACCACCACAGAACTCCAATTAATCAGTTCAGATGCCTTCTCCATGGAATGCTTTTCCAGAACCCCCTCTAAGTATCCAGACCTTTTAAATCCCCCTGTCTTTTCCTTTGGCTGCCAACTCTAGGATGGGGCACACAACCTGAGAAAGATCTCAAAGATGATGAGAAAAGAGGAAGAAAGAGTGGGTGAAGAAAAGCTGCAGATCAGAGCTCAATATGCAGCCCTCAATGGTGCACCTTCCCCTCACCTAGAAGCAGTGCAAGTGGTTAATAGCCACTATTCTTGGGGAGCTGGCAATTCTCCACACTCCTCAGGCCAGTACAGACTAAGCCACTGGAGCAAGGCAGGCCTGTCTTTCTAGGTGACACTGCTGCTGTGCACCGAGACCCCTGGGATGGCTTCCAGAAGTTCATTCTCACTGGTTTCAGCACTCATTCTACATTTGCTTCTTCCAAGTTCCTGGCAGCCTGTCTTTACTTCCTTATTAATTCATTCATTTTTGCTGTTGTTTTTGTTGTTCCGGCTAACAAGACTTAAGAAAAGCCCATTTGATCTTAATTTCGTGTTGCTCATTATCAGTTCTCTTTTAATCGTTTTCTTATGATCTTCATCAAAAAAGTTACCTGTAAAACCCAGGAAGAAAAGTCCTTCATATCTCCCCGCCCTCCCCTTCTTCTTTCTCTATCTCTTTTGATGACAAAGTGGCAAGTGACTTTCCAGAGAGCTTTAGGAAATCTAACCAAATGACAAAATAGTTGTGTGATGTCCAATATACTGAATAAATGTCTTACAGAAAAACCTTTAGCAAAAAGCCTGGGGAGGAAGGTAACGGCATTTTAAAAAATCAGAAGCTCAGAGGAGACAAACACTGCTTGATGAGCACTTGAGATGAATACTACAAGCTAATGCGAGCAATCAGCAGGTTTGTGGAGAATATGCTGATATCTGCAGAAAAAAAATGCAGTGGCAGAGAAGAGCTTACAGATAAACACAGGAGCTCAAAAATATATATATTATTGCTAGAAAAACCTTGACATTTTGACCATCTTTTATGTTGCAACTAGAAGGGAAATACAGAGTCCAGTTCTTACAACTGAATATCCTTCTGGTAATGAATTCATTCTAAATGTTGTTTCAGAACTCCTCTACATCATGCTTCATCACATAGCAAATTAGCCAGGCAACCCCTCATTAATAAGAATAGTTAACCATAAGAACCAACAAGAAACATACATTAATAACATTTAAAAATTTAAATCAGGGATTCAACACAGGAAGGTAACTCAATTCAGGATCCATATTTGTTACCTTCTGTTGAGCATTCTCACTACTGACTCCCTCAGCCTCACTGGGGTTCCAGTTGTCAGCCCCCCTTATTGGCAAAGGAGCTGTCTATTGGACTGTCCAAGTGGTATAGGGCTCATCTTTTCACGCCTCTCAGGAGCTCCTCTGTGGATGTTTCTTGTAAAGCCTGCATTTCTTTCTTTCCTTCTGCAGAAAGCCTGAACAGTTCAAAACACCTCCACTTAAATGTGTGCGCCCATTCACCCATCCCAAATGGCATATAGTCTTTTAGTGAACCTCAGCTGAAATGAACAAAAAAGAAAATTTAAGTTCACACCTTCATGCAAAAAAAAAGAAAAAATCATACTTTGTGCTTATAGAGATGGTAATGAAAGATATGATTTAATAGATGTTTATTGGATGTTGACACTCACCCATCCCAGGATAAGAGTTCTTCAAGGCCTGCTATCCAGTGATCGGTGATCACCTTACCGTTAGTTTATTGGCTCTGACTCGCCAGGTATCAATAATAAAGCAACAAATATTCTGACCCTCAAGCATGACTCATTTATACTTTTAATTAAGGTTTAACATGGTGAAACAGGTAAATTTGTTTAAAAGTGAACTTGAGGCCAGGTGTGGTGGCTCACGCCTGTAATCTCAGCACTTTGGGAGGCCGAGGCGGGTGGATCACAAGGTCAGGAGATCGAGACCATCCTGGCTAACACAGTGAAACCCTGTCTCTACTAAAAATACAAAAAACTAGCCGGGTGTGTTGGCATGCACCTGTAATCCCAGCTACTCGGGAGGCTGAGGCAGGAGAATTGCTTAAATCCGGGAGGTGGAGGTTCCAGTGAGCCGAGACTGTGCCACTGCACTCCAGCCTGGACAACAGAGCGAGACTCAGTCTCAAAAAAAAAAAGAACTTGAACTGTTTCGATTCTTCAGTCATTACTGAATCACTAAAAATAACGTGATGGATGCCAGGATACACTGTCTAAATCCCTCACTGAAGAATGTAGACCCCAACCTCCTGCCGTGATGGGAGTGTTAAGCTGGAGCTACCAGCCTCTATACGGATTGACTTAGCTAAAGAAAGCCCGAGGTTGTATCCGCATTCTAGGTGGCCCACATCTGATGACCAATCAACCCAGGAGAACAAAGGCCTGGCCCGCTAGTTTCAACTCAGCACAGCTCTGAAAGGTCATGCTAGTTTCAGACTTTCATCAAGTTGAGTTCTGTCTCCTTTGAGACTGACATACTTTGACTTCAATCCTCTGCCCAGTTTTACTGCCCTCCCTTCCCGTCTAAGGGTGTTGATCTCAAGAGCGCTTCCTCATTATCTTTCTGCATGCATATCTTCATTTCAGAGTCTGCCTTCTGGAGAACCCAAACTTCAGTAGCTACTTCAGTTTGTTTTAGACTATTGGCTTAACACACAGAGACCTAGTGAGTTTCTTTATTAGCCCAGGATCTATGAAGAATGTGCTAAATAATACTCTTTCCCTCCAAAAACATCATACAAATTGTTCGTAGTTTTATCCAGAAAACAGAAGCCTCTTGAGGAGAGAGTAGTGGAGAATGAGTTTGGTAAGAGAAGAGGAGTCTAGAATAAAAATGCCTGTGTAATGAGGGCAGAAGTGAGACTAGTAGGAAAGTAGACATATGCATAAGATATTTCCTTCAACTACCTAAATAATTGTTGATAACCCTGCCATTTTACTTCCTGCAATGGAATGAGGTCTCTACTAATGGCTACCCTTTGGGAGTTCTTATAGTTTTTTTTTAATATGTCCCAGAAAATTTAACCAATGCCCATTTTCTTAAAAAAAAAAATCTATCCTATTTCTTGCTTGTGTTTCTGTCTAAAAATTACATTGGTGTAAGTGTGGGTGTGAGTGAGGGCATGTGAGGGGGAGGCTTTATTTATATTGTGTCTTTCAGAGCCTACAGCTACTTCTAATTGAAGCACAATAATAAATATGACTAGATCAAAGAAATGTTAATATTATCTGTGGAGCTTCCTTATTTAGACTTTGAAACACTCATTAATTTTCTTTGATTCATATTCAGAATATCAAATCAAGATCTAAAGGAAATAGGCTGGAGTGGTGGCTCATGCTTGTAATCCCAGCACTTTGGGAGGCCGAAGCAGGTGGATCCTTTGAGGTCAGGAGTTCGAGACCAGCCTGGCCAACTGGTGAAACCCCATCTCTACTAAAAATATTTAAAAAAAAAAAAATTAGCCAGACATGGTGGTACGCACCTGTAGTACCAGCTACTTGGGAAGCTGAGGCAGGAGAATCGCTTGAACCCGGGAGGTGGAGGCTGCAGTGAGCCAAGATTGTGCCACTTCACTCTAGCCTGGGTGACAGAGTGAGACGTCTCAAAAAAAAAAAAAAAAAAGATATAAGGGAAATAGCCATAAATCTATTCATAGATAAATTGCAATCTGGATGGAGGAAAGAGGAGGGAATGAAACTTACCCCTAAAGGCAGTTAAATATTTCATAAGGGATGCAGGAGCCATGGGCTTTTTCACCTTTTACCATTTGTGAAAGCCAGTTTTTCCAGTATTGCAGGAAAAATCACTACACTAGTTAGCATAAAAGGAAAACAGAAGAGAATTTCACCAAGCCTGTCAACTGAGAGAGTCACTGAAGCCAGCAAAGATTATTCATGTTCAACCTGCAGACCTTTTAGAGGACATCAAAGATCAAAGGTTTACCCAGGAATGTTTTCCTGGAAAGAGTGTCTTTAATTGTTTTAAAAAAATGTATTGAACAATATGTGTTCTGGAATTGAACTTTGGAATAACTCATCACTATTTTAAATTAGTGGTCATTCCTCTATTCCTTGTTATTTCCAAGCTTAGTATCTGATTCCTAATTCCAGTAGAGTCCAGAATTAGGCAACTGCTTTTTATGATGTCCTGTTTGTAGGCTAGCTTTCTGCATCCCACTGCTTCTACTAGATTGACAAGATGAGGCACCTTAGATCCACTGTGGAAGTATATGTACCACATGGGCTTCTATTAAGGCATGAGTATAGAAAGGGGAAATGGCCCAAACCAGAGAGTTGCACAGAGTTTTGGCATCCACAAACTCAGTGCAGAGGAGGAAGGATTGATCAAATGAGCTTATTTGGTTCCCTTCTTTTCTCCTTCCTCCCTCTTTCCATCTTTTCTCCCTCTGGCTTTTAACCCTGGTTGTGAAACAAAATTACCAATTCAGTTTTTTTATTTGCCTTTTTAATGTTTTTAAGAATGCCTGTGCCCAAGCACTGAAACAATTTCTGGGAATGGAGCCTGAACAGCTTTATTTGTAAAAAGCACCACAGGCAATTCTACAGCAGGGCCAGATTTGAGAAGCACAGAGCTCCTCTATCCAAAAGTAAAGCACCAGTGGACAAGAGGACCAAATGGGACGTGCCCAGCTGTAGGCTCAACCACAAATTGTCATCCATCTCCATTAAGTGATACCACAGAATTTGTATACCACCTCTCAGAGTCATTATTAACTTCCCAAGAATGCCACAGTGTTCTGAGGGACGCAGATACATGCCACCAACATATGAGAACATTCTTGGTGAAATACGATTTGGGGTTCTTGGTTCTTCTGGGGTTTCTGAAGTCTTTATGACACAGCAAAGTCTGTGCTACGGGGACACTATTAACTCCTTAGTAACTGGTTATCTTAGAGTTGCATATTTCTGTTATAAATCTCAACAATTATGATGAAATAATTTCATAACACATTTCAAAAGTGTCCACCCTTCTTTCCCTTTAGCAGTTCATGTTAATTTTTAAGTAGTGACCCTTTACAATTTCTCACCCAAATCTGGCCTTTTGGAAACAGAGCTATAAACGGATACACTGTGGATGGAGTTTTACTGGCAAAAGGCATTTTTTAAAAATTCCCATATGTTCCTTTAAGTGATTTTTTTTGTTCTCTGAAACCAAAAAGCATATGTTGAATGATTTTTTCCTCACACTAATATGTCGTTTCAGACCCTTACCAGGTCTCTTAAATCTTTTCACTTTCTTCTTTTTTCATCTACCTACAAGGCAACTTATGTGTAGTCCATGACTTGATCTCTTTTATTTCCTTTGTATGAGGAGAAATTGTGCCTGGATGGAAAATCATGAGTCTTCCTCTCTCTGAGCACTCTTGACTCTCCTGTCTTGGGGCATCATTCTTTGTAATATAGATTTTTTTTTCATAATTTCCCACAGTTGCCATAGACAGATGCAAAATGAAAAGAGGGTATTGATTCTCTTTCTTTTGTGGGGCATAGACTCTTTCAGATAACTTCAGTTAGAAAAAACAGGATGTAAGCGTGTGTGTGTGTGTGTGTGTGTGTGTGTGTGTGTGTATCAGTGTTGGTTCTCAACCCTGATTTTTCTTTTGGAGTAAATCAGTGTTGGACCCAAAAAGCAAAACCAAATAGAATAAACAAAATGAATAAACTAACAATTACCTAATAGCTAAGAACATGAACTCTGTAATCACATGAGGTCACATAACATGTATAAGTTTGAAAATACCTATTTGGAAAAATCTGGTGAAAACTTGGTTCTAATTTAGAAGCAGTAGTTCTAATGAGTTTTGTGTATAAGAAATAGGTGTGTCTTAGTCCATATTTTATGACATAGCCATTGTTGTCTAGAGCCTCGTGAAACTCACTTTCCATCATGTCCGCTAAAACCATTCCCTACTTCTTACACCATGTCAGACCTTCCTTGTGTTGTTCAAGGGATCTTATATTTCTATTTCTAAGTTACAGGTAAATCACGATGCTTGCTGGTATCTCTTCACAGATGTTCCACTGCCACATCAATTCAGCATATAACACAGTGAACTGATTACATACTCCCTTAATTTTACTTCCTAGATACTTGTCAACCTGTCTCTCCCCTTCTCTACTTTTAATGCCTTTGTTTGGATTTTTATAATGTCTCATTTGCTCTATTGCAAATGCTTCTGGCTTAGTTTTTCTGTCTCTAGTCTCTTACCCTCCAAATCTATTCTCCGCCTGTGTGAGCCATCTGAAAAAGGCAAATTCACTATGATACTTTTTCTTGTCAATTTTTCAGTGTCTCAGTCGCCTTTTTAGCAGAACATATAAGAATTTGGATGGCCCCACTCTCGACTCGACTTCTCTAGGCAAATCTAACCATCCCTGATTCAGACGCTAGGCTTCTGACTTCTCACACATCTCAGGCTTTTTCCTGCCTCTACTCCTGGCTTGCTTCTGCCTCCACCTGGGATGCTGTTTTTTTCTTCTTCAGTTGATTAGTTGGCGTTCATTTTTCAGGACTGAACACAGGTTTCAGCCTTCCTGTGGGTCTGGGCTTGTTACTTCTTTAACCCTCCAAGGCCTCCTGAAGATTTCTCTGTGCAGCACTTGCCACATTAAATCGTATGGTATTTGTGTCCCAACGCACTAATTTTAATGTTGAGAACAGAGCCTTGACAACTTCATCTTGCCACCCCTATCATGAAGCTACAAGTATATGCTCAATAAAAACTTTGCAAATGCTTAATCCAGAAGGAAACTTACAGATTAACTAGTAGAATGACTTTATTTCAAAAATTGGGGAACTGGCTAGGCGCAGTGGCTCATGCTTGTAATCCCATCACTTTAGGAGGCCGAGGCAGGCGGATCACCTGAGGTCAGAAGTTCAAGACCAGCCTGACCAACATGGAGAAACCCCGTCTCTATTAAAAATGCAAAATTAGCTGGGTGTGGTGGCGCATGCCTTTAATCCCAGCTACTCGGGAGGCTGAGGCAGGAGAATTGCTTGAACCCAGGAGGCAGAGGTTGCCATGAGCCAAGATCGCACCATTGCACTCCAGCCTGGGCAACGAGAGCAAAACTCCATCTCAAAAAAAAAAAAAAAAAAATTGGGAAACTAAGACTGGGCATGGTGGCTCATGACTATTATCCCGGCACTTTGGGAGGCCAAGGAGGGAGAACTGCTTGAGGCCAGGAGTTCACGATCAGCCTAGGCAACATAGCAAGACCTAATTGCTACCAACAAAACAAAAACAATGGGAAACTAACATACAAGAAACTGAAATAACATGTCAGAGGCTAAATGTGAATTTGTAGCTGAGTTGAAACTAGGGCCCAGATATCCCCATTGCCTTCTGACACATTTTATTTTGAGTTGTATAATTTGGCGTATTCATGAGAAACATTGTTAATTGGATTATATTAATTTCCCCTAATTAGGTTTGCTTGGGAAATTGCAGAGATGCTCAGTTCTTTCCTGTTCACAGTGACCCAAGAGCTTGATACTTTTCAGCCATTGGCCATTTCATCCTGCATCTATTCTGCTCTTAATGGTACTCTAAATAGCTTATTTTGCAATCTTAAAAATCTCATGCATTATGTCAGTAGAGATGTTTGTTTGTTTATTTATTTATTTTTTGAGACGAAGTCTCCTTCTGTCACCCAGGCTGGAGTGCAATGGCACTATCTTGGCTCACTGCAACCTCTGCCTCCCGGGTTCAAGCGATTCTCCCACCTCGGCCTCCTGAATAGCTGGGATTACAGGTGCTCACCACCACACCCGGATAATTTTTGTATTTTTATTAGAGACGGGGTTTCACCTTGTTGGCCAGGCTGGTCTCAAACTCCTGACCTCAGGTGATCTACCCGCCTCGGCCTCCCAAAGTGCTGGGATTACAGGTGTAAGTTACCGCGCCCGGCTGCAATAAAGATGTTTCTATAAGCCAAACTCATTGTAATTCTGTGTGATACATTAATTCAGATGGTATAAATGTTTGCTAACTAAAATCAATATCCAGAGATGGAATTCAAGAAGTGTCATCTGAGTTGGGAAAAAAATAGTGCAACTGATATTTTGGTACAACTTAGCCATGGCTTAACCCATCTCAATACAGCCACATGATTCTTCTCCTAGCATAGCTACTGAGGGAAGAGGAATATAAAGAATTCTCTACTTCTCATACTGGTTACAGGGCATGATATTCTTTAACTTTGTAGATTGCGAGATATAAGCTTGTGTCTTGGTTATATGTTGCATTATTGTCACAAATTTGTGATAACGTCCTGTATCTTCTCCCTGTTTTACCTCTGTGATTAAAATATTTTTCAAACGTGCACTCTCTCCCTGTCACCTCCATGGGAAGAGCATTTTCTTGCACCATTAAGCCTTGTGCTTGGCCACAGGACATAACTTGGTCAATGGAATGTCAGCAGATATAATGTAAACACAGGCTTTAAATGCCTTGATCTCTTATGCTTTACCATTGCCATGGAAAGACCTTTCTCTGCGTAGCTGTTATTTCCTCACCCTTGTTCTAGGAGGAGCACACGTGCAAAGACCTAGACCAACCTGCATCAAGGAGCCGAGCCTAACTAGGCCTCAGATTGAAGCAGTTTCCCAGACAAGCCCAACCCAGATCAACCAACCACTAAGTGACCCACAGAGGCAAGAATTGATACATTTAAGTCATTGACTTTTGAGTGATTTGTTTTACAGCCAGCTGATTCAACTCCTCCCTAATAGGCTACTTAATTAAAAAACCTTAAGCCTTTTGCATAATTGATCCTAGGACACTTGCTTCTCCTGCTGGTCTTCACTTCCTTCTCTTTTGCTGCTGTCTTAGGCTTTTTGAAGTCCTGTTTAACTTTAGATACCTGTGCTTGTGTTCTTTTAAGTTGCTTTTCTTCAATTTCTTTTTCTTTTCTTGCTCCTTTACCTGATCTGCTACTTCTCCTGGAATCTTTTTCTTTATGTTATATTTTATTTCTGCTTTTATCTTTTGCTGCCCCTCTAAATGTCTTTAATTTATAATTTCTCTCCCCTTATGTGCCTGATGCTGCTCATTCTGGGCTCTTCTTTTTGTTTCTGCCTCTACCCAATTCTTGTGGGATGATGTCCCAGCTACATCCTGCTGTTCTTTCACCTGCTCTATTCCTCCAGAAGCAGAAAGGCAGACTTAACAAATGATCTGAAATCCTCCCCTTGAAAATTCCAATTTGCTTTCTGGCTCCAATGGCCCACCCACCCCCAGGTGCTCTGGGATGGAGCTTATTAATTACACTCCCTTCAGACTACCCTGACTTGAACAGAGGGAAGGAAAGAGAGAAAGTCGATAGGGAAGGTGAGAGAAGGAAGAACTTGGGAATCTTATTAATGGTATCTTTGTTTTCTGAAATGAGAATTGGAGAAAACAAGGCATACGGTGCATTCATTGTTTTAGAACTGAGAAACAAGCTCCTATTCGTCTTGCCAAAAATTGCAAATGTGTGTGATTCCTCTCCATTAGCTCACAGCAATATTGGAAATGTATTTGACTAAACTGGAACACACCATCAGCCCAAGATGCCCAGAGGCAGCTCAATACAGCCATCCATATGCTTCTCTGAGTTAATTTGGAATACAGAGAATTCAGTTTCCAAACTGTCCCCATGAACATTTGTAAAATCCTGCCCATGTGAGTGGAAGGTGATCTGTACCACCACATGCAAGCTCTCAATAATGCCGGAGGACTGTGTCATGATAGAATGCAAAGGAACGACGGGAGGTATTGAGACCTGCAACTCTTAACTGCTACTGTTTTCATTGGTTTAAACATATTGCTTTATAGAATTTCTGATTTCTCAATGCTTTATTAAAGGATCAGCAGGGGTTAGGCAGTTGTAGTGTAAATTATATAATTGCAGCCACCACAAATGTATATAATGGCCCTCGGTCGCTTACCAGCCCTCTCAGGGGATACAGATTGACCATAGTTACTCAACTCACAGGCAGGAAGTCCCAGAACATGCTATTACTTCCTTCTATAGCATCATAGTCTGTGCATTCTTCTACAGATTATCCCAGGCAATGAATTGCATTTAATATTGCTGTGGGTAATATTTCTTCTTCTGTCTCCCTTTTGCTAGCACTCCTGGAAATAGCTGAAGCACAGTACAAATACTTACATTGCAAAATTATGTTAAGAATTTCACTTAACGTAAACTGCTCCCTAGCTCATATATCAAACATGAAGTGGGTAGATTGAACTTCCGTTTGCTGGGCAACCTCAGTATGTTACCCATCTACTTCTCCCACAACCGTTGCCACTTTATCTCTTCCCTTCCTGGACACGATCTTAGTTGCCTAGAGCACCACAAACTGCAAGGCTTAAAATAACAGAAATGTATTCTCTCAGTTTAGGAGGCCAAAAGTTGAAATCAAGGTGTTGGCAGGGTTGATTCCTTGCAGAGGCTCTGAGGGAGAATTCATTCCTTGCTTCTCTTCTAGCTTCTGATGGCCGTCGGCAACCCTAGGTGTTCCTGGACTTGTGGCTGTGTAACTCCCATCTCCGCCTTAGACTTCACATGGCCCTCTCCTCTGTCTGTTTCTTCTCCTTTTCTTTCTCTTACAGGGGCACTTACCACTGGGTCTAGGATCCATCCAGAGATGCATCCAGGATGATCTATCTTAGCATAATAACATCTGCAAAGGCCCTTTTTCCAAACACAGCAGCAGTCACAGGTTCCAGGTGGGCATATTATGGGAGACCACCATTCAACCTACTACAGGCATCTTGTGTAGGCACCCTGCCTGCAGCTCTCAGTATTCTCTGCATTTACCGTGTGCTTTGGATTTGGAGTTGACCAGAAATATCTCCTCACCTCCACTGCAGCCTGTTCTCCAACCTCTAAATCGGTGTTGGCAGTGGAAAACCACTGGACCAGTAAAAATAATTGCGTTTCTGGCCTGGCTGTGGCCTCATGCAGAAGGCAGAAGAGAAGCCAGATGCTCTTTCTCATTTCAGGCTATTCAGATGACTGGGACTTTCACTGACTCACTTCATCTTGTGCTTTTCTTTTTATGTCTTTTAGCCAAAAATCTTTTTTTTTTTTTTTTTTTTTTTTTGCCCCCAGTGAGCAAAGTCCACTCTGCCCTCTCAGTCTGCCAATACCCATGGATCATGATTGCTATTTTGCAATCCTAAGAGACTCATGTCAGTCTGTACAGCTAAGAGCACACTGCTCATTCATGGAGAGCCTGCTATATGTATGTACCAGACACTGCACATGATGTGAATTGTGCCTTATTTAGTCCTTGTAACAAACCTTTAGGGTAGATAGCAATGCTTCATTTTACAGGTGAAATAACTGAGTCTCAAAGAAGTTACCTGCCTCCCCCAAAAAATGCCCAAAGATAACACAATGGCAGAGTCACGATTGGAAGCCTGCCCTCTGATTCTGCCACCAAGCTGTGTCCATTGGCATCCAGCTTCCTCTGCACATCATTTAATCACTTGCTAATTTGGCATATATGCTCTGGCCATTTTTTATACCTATGGTTTTCTGACCAAGGTTGTTAATAAACACCCTGCATGCTTGCCAAGCACCTACCTGGTGCCTAGTCTATTCTTCTACTTCCAGTTGGTGTGCATGAAGGACCCTATAGTTATTTTAGTAGAGTAGGTGCTGGTCACAGTCCCATGGGAGTGAATATGCCAGCTAGCATCCCTCTGATGTTCTCTTGTGATTAATTACCTGTGACTCTGATTATTCCCTCACTGTGACCCCCTCGGCACTTACATGCTAAGGTTGTGCAGTATTCATTTGTTCTTGTGGAAATATGGCTCTGTAATTGCTTCTAAACAATTTTATTTATGCATCTGTTGTAGGCAGAGATCTAAATCTAGCAATTTAAGCCATTACTAGATGATGTCTATAAGGCTCCGAGCAAATTCCCGGGAGCTGGGCACGTAGTGGGGATTGGGCATCCTAGATCAACATGCATTTGTGTGTATGTCTGCATAACAAAGCACCTTTTAATGCAGGTCAGGGCTTTTTTCTTGTATTTATTCCCTAGTTCTCCATCCTCCTACCACCACCCGGCAACACACATGTTGCAGTACTGCCCACAGGGAGCTAACATAATGGTGACCGACTGGTGGAGTCGATTTTCATACAGATTTTGAGAAAGAAGCAGATATCCAAGCCACAGCACACTATGGGTTCATTTGCTACCTTAGTAAATAAAACCCGTGGCTTTAATTCCAAGAGGAGTTAGTCTTGTTTCAAATTATAGAATACAGCCAATACAGCTATAGCATGAGCCATGCCGGCTCATGATTGTTACCTCTTGGCTGTTGCCCAAATCTGAACATTGTCTTGTCCCCAAGACTTTACTTCTGGCCTGGTTAGAAAAATGTTCTAATCTAATTGTCTGCCTCTATTGCGTCGACTCTTCTGGGAGATAATGGTCCCTGATGCTGTTCCACATCCTCACTTTTAGCTAACTTTGCATAATGCACATTACATTATCTCTGTCTTCTCCCATTAAGGCCTGCAAAATCATGGGCGATTGATTAAGGCTGAGACTAGGCTAGAAATTTCTTTTGCAATGAAGCTCTTTCAGGAGTAACATTTTTTAAAAAACATATTCATAGGACACGTAGCAAAATAAATGAGACTGCAGACCTCCACGTTCTGCGGAAGAAATGCTCTGCTGCCACTAAAGCTTTAGCTATTCATCAGGGGCAATGGAATTAGAGTCACAGACGTTCCAATATTGTAAGAGAGAATGAATAGAAACGATGGCTCTGTTGTTTTCTTGTAGTCGTTTTTAAAATGGTCTGTAGAATGTGCCTCTGGGCAGAAAGGAATGAATGCAAAAAAGAGAAAATTTTACACATTTCTGTTAAACATCTTAGGCTTCTGGCTATAGAAAATAGGACAGCTTCTTTTGAGAGAAGTGTGTCTAGTGCATTTTCCCATCACTTACTAATAAAACAGGACAGACAGACTGACAGGCTGCCTGAAAAGCAGCCTCACAGTGGAAGGACAGCATGATCACACATTTCAGCCTGGGCACGGGAGCCAAGAGACTGTCATTTAATAAGTGGATGAAGAAATCATTTTCCCTGTGGCAAAAAGGGAGAGAAATATTCAGCTGCATCTCTAGACCTCTATCAGGTTAAAATGAATATGTTAAGAGAATTAAGCTGCACCTCCTTTATTAGTGTGACAGTACCCTGGCTAGTTGGCTATATTAAAATGGCAGACACAGTGACCCTGTTGAACTCTTCATGTTGATAGGCAGTCAGAAAATAATGGCTTTATAGTTCTGCATCTGCTCAGATCTTTCCAGATTTGCTAAAATTTCCAACGTCTTTGTCTACTTATTATGACAGCTTGTTCTCTCCTGATTGGGGTCTTTATTGGCATGTGAGCATGGCAGCATTATATTTTGGCATGTCTGTGTAATACTGCAGAAATCACCTTACTTCAAACTTATTTCGGTGCCTGTCCTTCCTGCCTTGAAAAAGGTGGATAGCAGTATAATGCTTAGACATCAAACCTTCATTTTTTCTCTCCCTATGAACTCTAAAATCATTTTAATTGAAACAAGAAGGTTTTTGCCCCCTGCATTAGCATGTGGTGTTTTTTCTTTGTATCAATCACCACATTAAGAATTTTAAGATATCATCCCATTAAAGCTTTACAATAACCATGAAAGCTATTTATAATGACCTATTCCACTGATAAGAGGACGGAGGCTTCCAGAAGTTAATCTGGCATAAGGCCACTTGGCTGGGATTCGAATCCAGTCTTTTTTGACTTCGAAATGTTTGTGGTTCCACCCACTCTAAGGCTGCCTTCACACAGTGGAACTTGCCTCTTAGTGACCCTGTTGAAAAGAATGTAGGAGGGTGGAAAGTCTGACCGTGTTATCTTAAAATTGATAAGTTGGCTGAATACAGAGGCATAGTGACTGATAATCCAAATGGCATGGATTGCTGACCTGCTGCTGTCATGGCTCAATAGAGCCACTTACTATTTTTGACTGCACCTTACACCTATGGGAGCAGGTGGTGTGAATGAGAGATGGGAAGAAGGGGTAAACTTTCTTTCTAAAGTAGGATTATATCAATAACCCAGACTCACAGGTGTAACTTGCTGCTTTTCAGTTGTCCGCAGGAAAACCAGTGTAAGTCAGTTCATTCCTGCTGTGTGATCTTGAAAAGTCACCTTAATTACCTTAATTACTTCCATATTCTGTTGGAAGAAAAGAAAATGAATGTAAAGCACCTAACGTCATGCCAAACAAATAGGAAACACTCAACAAATGGTAGATTTAGATGATTCTCTTCTTGTCTGTTATCTATTCTATTATCCATTTGTTATTCCTAGAAGTGAAAATAAGTATTACACCTTTGTTGATAATTTTCTCCCATAACCAGTTCCCCTGGTTACTCCCATTGCTTGCTGTGTTTCCTAGCTTCTAAAACACATATTTTTTTCCACATTTGGAAAATCCTGGAATTGCAATTCATTTTATAATTGGAGTAAAGGGAAGCATGCCAGCTCTCCAGAATGGCATCACCTGTGAAGGTGTGCTCCAAGCCACATGTTCAAGGTATCTCTTCTTCTGATTGTCAACTCAGGTGAGCTATTTGCATTGGCAATACCACATACATCTAAATTTTAACGTAAATTGGAATCACTACCTATTGCTCAGTATACCACATGCCCTGTTACAATAAAAAAGTATTGTATACAAAAAGGATTGTCATGGGAGTGAAAATCCAATTAAAGACAGTAGACATAAAGAATTGCAAAGCTCGAGGAGATTGATATATCTTAAAGAACCAGGACTCAGATACTCTTGGTTTTGATAACATACAGAATAATGGGTGTTAACTTTTTTATTAAGTTTCTAAGATCTCTGCCAAACTAATATATTCATGCCTCTATTCAAGAGAAAAAAAAATTCCTGCCAGATAATTCTTACTTCTTGCTTTAAAAATAAAATTCTGCATACTTCTGTTTTTAGCACATTCCCTGTTCCTCTGAGGTAACTTTGTCTCTGCTTTGCTGAGATGCTTTCTGATCCCATTTGTGGTGTGTGCAGGGTATGGGGAATGGCCCCTAAACATGCCTTCCCTGAATTCCTCATTTGCTACTGACTTTCCTCTATCCCGAAAGGGTAGCCAAGGTGAAGGCCTCGTGGTTCTGAGGAGACGACAGCACCCAATCTGCACCAAGTTCTACTCAAAACACAGGCATGCTCATGTCATCAGAATATCGAAATGCAGACCAGGATGGAAGAGCTTTTGAAGAAGGAGTGTAAGATCGCATCCCCAACCTGAGTGAATTCACCCCCTCTCCATGTGAAGAGAGAGAGAAACTTCTGCACACTGTTAACCTAGATGTGAAAGAGGAATTTTCAGAGATGAAAAACCATTTCCAGGTTTTCACAGGGTCAAGTTGGTAAGGTGGGAATTTCTAGTTTTTCAGGAAAAATCTAGAGTAGTGGTCACAAAAGGTATGTTGTCCTCTCGATGCCTCAGGGTGAGAGGGAGGACACCTTCATCAGAGCTGAGAGAGGGACTCCCGTGGGGATGTGTCCATGGAGATTTCTAGATGGCACCCAGAGATCATCTGTGATTGAGCCGGCACTCGATACTAGCAGCACAAGAACCCAGACCAGTGAAAGTATGAGCAGAAGAGGCCAGCCAAGAAGTGACCACAGGCCACACACTACCACACCCACCATGGTCCAAGGGCCTGTGTCGGACTGAGGAGTGTCCTGCTCTTTCCCAATTCCACTTTGAAGCCCTCACACACAAAAACAGACATTTATCCCTCCCTGCCACTGCCAGATGACAGTTGCAAAATTAGAAATCGGACTCGGGGAAGAAGGCAGGGAGGTACCTGTGAGAAGCATGAGGGAGCCCTGAGATGCACATTATGAGCTGCAGTGTAAAAGTATAATAATATATTAATTCCAGTGAAACTCCCAAGAGAGACTGTATTAAACCAGGAGTGACTGAAAACAAATTTGGTTACTAAATGAAATAAATAAGCTGTTGGTTCCAGGCAGATCGTAGGCCAAAGTGGAAAGCTGGTATTTGTTATGAGTAAAAGTGAGGGCAGCCTCCTAGGTATACACCCCTGGTGGGTGGAGTTTGTCTCTCACTCCATCAGTTCCCCATTCTTTTTTTTTTTTTTTTTTTTTTGAGACAGAGTCTCACTCTGTCACCCGGGCCTGGAGTGCAGTGGTGTGATCTCGGCCCACTGCGCCCTCTGTCTCCTGGGTTCAAGTGATTCTCGTGCCTCAGCCTCCCTAGTAGCTGGGATTACAGGTGTATGCCACGACACCCAGCTAATTTTTGTATTTTTAGTAGAGACAGGGTTTTGCCATGTTGGCCAGGCTGGTCTTGAACTCTTGACCTCAAGTGATCCACCCGCCTCGGCCTCCCAAAGTGCTAGGATTATAGGCGTGAGCCACCGTGCCCAGCCAGTTCCCCATTCTTTATGATAACGTACAGTCATATCAAAGAAGAAGTTCAAAGAAGAGTTCCTTTACATTTGGGCTGAAACCTACTCTTGGACCTTCACCTGGTAGCTCATTAGTGTTAACCTAAGAACCCTGTTTTTCACCTCAGCAGGCCTGTTACTCTGGTAAACGCCCCAGGACATGACTGCTCTGTCTGCCCTTCCATACCTCTAGACGCTGGCTTGGATTGTTCTTCACCCTGAATTGCCTGGTTCTAACTTTAATTCCATCTCAAATTGGATTTCCTCTCTTGCCTCTATACAATCTTCTCTACCATCCCTCGTGCTAGTAAAACTCTTCTTCCAGTTCTAACTAGTGTTGATAGGCCCATATGGTATTCTGGGCTTTGTCACTGAAAATCCTGAAATTCTTTGCTTCAGTCATTTGCAGTGATTCAGGTTTATGGAGCTTCTCATGTTACACATGGCTACTAGAGTGGTGTACCCATATGGGGTTCAATTTCCTAACTCCCTTCTCCCTGACTGCTAATGCTTTTCCTTCTGTTCAGGCTGGGCACTTCAGATCTCAAACACAATTTGTTAGTATCCATCTCCTTAGCTATGGTAGAACAGTGACTTCTCCAGGGATGTTTCTGAGTTCGAGACTAATGTTCCATTTACCACATCTCAAGATCCTGTTCCTGTTTTGCGGAATAATCCCTGCTGCACTGTTTTTATTTTGTTTTTTTCAAGTTACCAGGCTTTGTGCTCTTTTTCCCTGTAGTTTTTCTCCCATGTTTATCTATTGTTTCCTACGAATATATGCTGAGAGTCAGTGGGCCTAGTGTGCATAATTCAAATGTGGTTCGACAGCACAGGGACACAACAGACATGATTAGATCATTCATGTTTAGATCAGGAAGGATGGGGGAAAAATTTGATTTGGGGCTTGGGGAGCACAGTTAACGTTTTTCCAGGATAGCCAAGGAGGATTTATAGTAATTTTTAAAAATTGTGTCAGGCCAATAAAGTTTATGAACTAGATCCCGTCACAAAACTTAGATTGAAAACTCATCCAACAATGGCTAATAGCTGGAAAGAAAATGGTTGCCCTATGTTTCAAAACAAAAGTAGAGATTCAGTTGAACTGATAAATATGAATGTGTTTATACAGACAGGTGAACATAAGTTTTCAGATTGGGGGAAAATGCAAAGTATACACATCCCATATATTCATGGCCAGAGAATTCTATCTTGTTCATCATTCATTCATTTCATAAATAGTAGGTATAGGCATATCAACTACGTGCCAGGCACTGTGATAAGCCCTGGGGCTACAGAAATAGGAGACATGGCTTTTGGTCTCTTACTAGGAAACAGAATAGCTTCAGGCTGTGTAGTGCAACCATGGTCTTCTGTGCTGGTTGTGTTAGGTAGGGAAGGTGGGGGTGGAGAGGAAGTTCAGGGAAGGCTTTCTGGAAATAATGATAGCTGACTGAATATTGAAGGGTGGGGACAGGGTTTTAGGAACAAAGAACAATTGATGCAGGCATGGAAAACAAGCATGGAACATACCACATATGGAACATGTGGGTGTAGAAGGGAGGATGAGTGAAACAGGGCAGGTAGGATGGGCACAGATCGAGATGGGGGGTTTTTGATGTGTTAAGAGATTCAGATTAGTTCTCTGATGTCTCTAGAAGGCCATCATTAGTCTTTTTTTTTTTTTTTTTTTTTTGGTGGGGTGTATTTCAAATACTGAAAAAGTCCTTTGGGCTCTTGGGGCTCCCCACACTCATGGTTCCTTTCCCCACAACTCACTGCCCTCCTCCCAACAGAAAATCTATTTCGAGGACAGTATGCTTTTTAAATGAATAACTAACATTGTGTTCTCAGCTAACTGCAGAACCAGAGGAGCTGTTTGCATCTGTCTATGCAGATTGAGTTTCTTTAATCTCACACCAGGCCTCCAGCCACATGGAAACAAGGCAGTTATCTGCAAAGCTGAACTAGATCTCATCTCTAGTGGACTCCACTTCCCCCTCTCATATTTATCCCACACCAGCCTCATGGTTAAGAAGGACCGTCAGGAATGTTTTTATCAACTCCAAGCTCTAATTCATATTCCTCCAAGTCTCTCACCCCACCCTCCCAACCCTGCCCCCAAGATTTCATTGAGATTTCTCCCAACAGTTATTTGGAAAAAAGGTAAAACAAAACATGTTCAAGGTCTTGGTGCTTAGCCCAAGGGGCTCCATGTGCTGGGACACTGATGGGCAGGGGCTTCTGCCTCTCTAACCCATGCCCAAGCCACCTCCTGACCCCTGGCTGCAAAAGATGGGAGGGGCAGAAGCCATCACAGGACTTGTAACTGCCCAATGGGCTCACCTTACCCGGTGCCTAGACAGAGCTGATTTATCAAGACAGGGGACTTGCAACAGAGAAAGAGTAAAATTCTCAGAGCCGGCTGTGCGGAGACAGGAGTTTTATTATTCAAATCAGTTTTGCCCAAGCATTCCAGGATCAGAGATTTTAAGGATAATTTGGCGGGTGGAGGAAGGCCAGTGAGTCAAGAGTGCTGATTGGTTGGCTGGAGATGAAACCATAGGGAACTGAAGCTGTCCTCTTGCACTGAGTCAGTCAGTTCCAGGGTGAGCCACAAGATCACATGAGCCAGCTTATCAATCTGAGTGGTGCCAGCTGATCCATCAAGCAAACTATCTCAAGCACTGATCTTAGAAGAAGTTTAGGGAGGGTGAGAATCTTGTAGCCTCAGGCCGCATGACTCCTAAACCGTAATTTCTCATCTTGTGGCTAATCTGTTAGTCCTACAAAGGCATTCCAGTCCCTAAGCAAGAAGGAGGTTTGTTTTGGGAAAGGGCTGCTATCGTCTTTGTTTTAAACTATCAACTATAAACTACGTTCTTCCCAAAGTTGGTTCAGCCTACACCCAGTAATAAACAAAGACAGCTTGGAGGTTAGAGGCAAGATGGAGTTGGTTAAGTCAGATCTCTTTCATTGTCTCAGTTACAATTTTGCAATGGCGATTTCAGACCCAGAGGATCAGCATCTCAGGATCTGGCAGAGCCCCGGGCAGGATCATTCAGCTTGGCCACCCGCTGGCTTGCTGGTGATGAGTGAGGATTTTCTGGGCAGATCCTGTGTGGTGGGGATGTGGTCACCAGTCATCAGGTTCTTGTCTGGTTGTGCACTTGGCAGCTGCTTATTCTCCTATTTGGCTTTGGCCATGTTGTAGTCTCCTGAGGCAAAGTACTTTTTCCCTTTTCGGAGTCCCTTCATAAGGAAGCTGGGCCCCCAGGCCTTTGTCCTAGGCTTGGATATTTGGCCTTTAGCTTTTCCTTCTCCACTGTCTCAGGGAGAGTACATTCTTTCTCCCGCATGCCCTGCTTCTTCTTGCCTGTCTCCTCCACGGTGTTCTCGTTTAGTTTCTGGGACATTGTGGGACTGGGACAATAGAGTATAGGAGGTCCAGGAAGTCAACCAACTGAGAGGTGGGGAGGGGAAACGGGACATCCTGCGATGCTGCTTTGGTCCCTGTCAATAGGGTTGCTCCTCATCAGTCATCTTAAGCAGGGCGTGGTCTAAACGAATCTTCATTCCAGATAGCTGAGGCAGAGGCAGGGAGGCTGGTAGGAGACTGCCGTTGTGATCTAAGCAGGAAATGATGAAATGATGGCAAGGCTGAATCCAAGCAGTTCTCCAGGACAGAAGGACACTCAGAAGATATGTGACTGCATGGAGATGGGGGACAAGGCAGGGCAGTGCTTTGGATATGGCCCAGTTTCCAAGCTTGTGAAACTAAGTGGGTTATGTCCCATTCACTGAGTTAAGAAGGAACGAATGAGTGTGGGGTGGAAGAGAATGAAGTTTTTTCCTGAATGTGTTTGTGTTGGGGTTTGTTATAATGAGTCTCAGGGTCTGGGGCCATCAAAGAAGGGATGATCATGTTGCTTCTGGAGCATAAGAGAGAAAAACCCAGGTTGGATATTTAGATCATTGGAGGAAAAAAATAAAAGGGCAATTACAACATCTTGTTAGTTAACCTCTCTTGCCCCTTGCCTCCTGGTCTGCAGACTGAATTGTAATGGCTCCTACCTCAGGCAGTAATAGGACAAACTGAGATAACAATATGTCAGCTATGAAGAACACACCTGTGCAATGTGCAATGACTGCTGCTTATTATTAATATTGTTATTAATTTGTTGAAGGTGGAAGAAGCACTTAGACTATTCATGTAATTTATTTCTAAATTTAAATTTAAATGACAGTTCCTAGAGCTACTTACAGAGACTCCAGAGAGAACCCACCTTCTCAGAGGTTCCCCTGTCATCACCCAACCAAGTGGACAAAAAGCTGTTAGAGTCACCAAGCTGTTTTTTTGTTTGTTTGTTTGTTTGTTTACATCATTGCCGGTTAGATGGCATCTTTAATGTCAGGGCAGACTCACACATAACTAAGGCAGTGCTATAAGGAGTAGAAATAATAACTGAAAATGTGTTATCAAGCAGTAGATGAGTCTCAGGATTCTGGGAACATATGGTTGGTATTGGTTTGACTTTAGAGAAGGTCACAGAAAAAAAGTTTTGTGGACTCCCCGGTGATAACTGGGGGCCTGGGGGAGAGAGGCAGTGAACATCATCTGGCCCAGAAGGGAATGTTCTGGGTCACAGGCAGTTCCTGAGGATACTTGGGGATGTCACTTTGTTCATGCTGTTCTAAAAGTCAAGGTGGATGTTGGGCTGAACTTTTAGGCTGCATTCACGTGATTGGGGTAGAACATTTTAACACATTGCCGTTTGCTCTCATTGAGTCATGTGCATTTGTTCATTCTTAGTCTCTTCTCTCTATTTCAAATTATTTCTTCCCACCTGTTTGGAACAACATCAGCATTGCATATTGGCCTCAAATGAGTTAAGATTCCTAAGTTCCTAACTAGCCATAGCACAAGGTTTTTCAGCTTGACTGGTCTCAAGGCTTTTCTCAGAATCCATCGATTCTTCCAGAAAACTTTGCTCAGGACATGCAGATTGCAATAATTTGTTTTCCCCAAAATGTATTAAGAATTATTTATTTAAAAATATAAAAACTTCCTCTAAACAGTTTGAGAATCTCATTGCTGAAAATATATAAAATGGGTACACAATTAATTTCTCTCCAGATGTGATACTATAACTAGTAACTTATTTAAAGTTGAAAGAGAATAATTTGCATCTGGAGGAAGGTGTTGTAAATGCAAGTTCTGGTCCTTTCATGTTCCTGATGTCTTTGGAATTTGTCTTTGTCTTTAGAGTAGTGCTGTTTTGGACTCAGCTCCAATACAGATGACTTCCACGCTCCCCTTGGACTGATTAAGTGAAAATGAGAGAATGAAATAATATTATCCAGGAGATTCACATACCCCACCAAGCCACGCAGAATGTACTTTTAATACATAGGGGTAGTTTAGACACCTCAAGTCTGTATGGATACCTCAGGGTTTAATTGGGTTTTGTGGTGATGCCCCAAGAGCTTCATGCCATTTTTAGATATATTTGTTCAAAAACAGATCAATAATTGATTTAGATGTGGGAGGTAAAGATAGATGCGCACTAACTGTGGATGGGCTCTGCAGTGAGAAGGCAGTGCTGGGGCTGCTAATGGTGGCTCAGGTGGATGCACACTGAAGGGGAAGGACCAGGGGATGGGGCGAGGCATTGCTGTCATTCGTCTTGAACGGAACAGTTGTTTCATTCTGAAAGTGCTTGAGAATATACTCTTTGGTGCTTTGAGTTTGGCTAATGGTTCATAGTCTCATTGTTCTGATGAAATGACTTCAAACTCATTGTTGTCATTATTGAGAAACAAGTTCTCTCCAAATAAGTTTGAGGAGACATTCTCCAAGGAAACAATCTCTTAAATGTGAGATATTTGTGAACTTTTTCCATAAAATACAGCAGTGCCCCCTTATTTGTGGTTTTTCTTTTCACAGTTTCAGTTGCCTGAAGTCAACTTGAGTCCAAAAAATGGCATTACTACTCTTGCACTTTGGAGCCATGGTGAGGTAAAATACGGGTGACTTGAACACAAGCACCATGATACCATGGCAGTGGCTCTGATAACCAAGACAGCTCCTGAATGACTAACAGGGCTGGTAGCGTCTACAGTGTGGATACACTGGACACAGGGACGATTCACATCTCGGGGAGCAGGATGGCATGAGATTTCATCACACTACTCAGAACAGTGTGCAATTTAAAGCTTATGACATGTTTATTTCTGCAGTTTCCCATTTATTTCACAAGGCCTACGTCATCCACCTCACTTCATCTCCTCACGTTGGCACATCACAGGAAAAAGGGTGAGCACAGTACAATAAGGTATTTTGAGAGAGAGAGACCACATTCACATAACTTTTCTTACGGTGTATTGTTATAATTGTTCTATTTTATTATTAATTGTTGTTAATCTCTTACTGTGCCTAATTTATATAAATTAAACTTTATCTTAGGTATGTATGTATGGGAATAAGCATGGTGTATGAAGAGTTCAGTACTATCCTTAGTTTCAGATATCCACTGGGGATCTTGGAACATATCCTTCACAGATAAAGGAACTACTGTAGTGATATCAATGCGTTAATTCTGGAAAAATATTACATTTCAGTCTTGGTGTCAAATTCTAGCAAAGAATAATTTTTAGGACTATGAGTAAACCAAGGACCAACAATGAAGTAGATTCCATGTCACTAGGAATAGAAGTTTTGGGGATGTGTGTTCATGTTTTCATATGACTTGCACCTGTCTGGAAACAAAACTGTTTCTAATTATTTTTAAATAACTAGAGTTCAATCTAATGTAAACTATATACAAAAGCCAGATAGCAATCACTAACTTTGTTACATCATAGGCATAGATAATTTTAATGAAACATATCCACCAAGTATGTCCAATTTCTCTGATGACAGTGCTAACTTACATGCGCATCAAACATTTGATAAATGAATATGTTAATGACTGTAATGTCTTTTCTGGGAATGCCTTTGTTGGGGCTCAACACATTGTTAAGGAGAAGAAAGCAGATGACTGAGAGGAGGTTTGTAAAGTGGGGATGGGGAGAGTAGCTGGAAGCCATGAACAAATTCATTCTCAGAGGCACAGATCCCCCTACATGAGCTAGGACCTATGCTAGGAGCTAGATTCACAGATATGGGGACGCTATGGGCTTTGCCATTCCCAAGCTTCTTGTCCAGTAAAACCACAACTCAGAAATCTTGCTTAACTAAGTTTAGCAAGTTATCTGCCTATCTATCTATCTATCTATCTATCTATCTATCTATCTATCGATGTGTCTATGTATCTATGTATCTATCATCTATCTGCCTATCTATCTATGTGTCTATCTATCATCTATCTACTGTCTATCTCTAGATAAATATATAGATATATACACATAATGCATAGTATTCAATAGTACTATGTGAAAATTATGTTAAAGGAGATGTATTAGTCAGGGTTCTCTAGAGGGACAAAACTAATGGATACATATCTATATATGAAGGGGAGATTATTAAGGATAATTGACTCACTCGATCACAAAGTGAAGTCCCACAATAGGCGGTCTGGAAGCTGAGGAACAAGGAAGCCAGGAGTGGATCAGTCTGAGTCTCAAAACCTCAAAAGTAGGGAAGCCAACAGTGCAGCCTTCAGTCTATGGCCAAAGGCTCGAGAGCCCCTGGCAAACCACTGGTATAAGTCCAAGGGTCCAACAGCCAAAGAACTTGGAGTCTGATGTTTGAGGGCAGGAAGCATGCAGCAGAGGAGAAAGGTGAGTGCCAGAAGACTCAGCAAGCCTGCTCATTCCACTTTCTGCCTGCCTTTTCTAGCCATGCTGGCAGGCAATTGGATGGTGCCCACCCACATTGAAGGTGGGTCTTCCCCTCCCAGTCCACTGACTCAAATGTTAAACTCCTCTAGCAACACCCTCACAGACACACCCAGAAATAATACTTTGCATCCTTTAATCCAATCAAGTTGACACTTAATATTAACCATCACAGGAGATAAATCCCTGGACTTCAAGAGAACCTATTGTCACCAATCATTTTAGGCATCATTTCATATGGTGAGTAGAACTGTGCTATATATTATATTATGTGCAGACCGGGGTTAGAAAGCTATGGCCCACAGACTGAATTAGGCCCACTGACTGTTTTTATAAGTAAAGTTTTATTGAAACACAGCCATGCCCATTTTTAAAATATAATGTCTCCAGCCGCTTTCTGACAAATAGTGGCAAACAATGACAGAGTTGAGTTGTTACGGTGGAAACAACATTCTCCAAAGCCTACAACATTTTCTCTCTGGCCCTTTACAGAAAAAGTTTGCTGATTTCTGGTATAGGACAATATTATATAATATGCTTTCATTTTAAACATTGGGCACCACTGGTTAAGTCTTATTTTCTTCCAAACATAACAACTATATGAAATCTAACCCTACAGAGCCCAGGAGCCTACACACCACTATTTAGTTCTTACACCTCATTGATATAAGTAATTTTTAATATCTTGTTATTATTTCTAGAAGTCTTTTTGGTATGGTTCTTTCCATATCTAGCAGTTTGTGATTTTTTTACTTTAACTGCAATATGTAGCAGTTTGTGAGGGATAAAATAAAACCCCCTTTTCCTTCTGTTTAAATATATGGAATGTCAGCAAAAGCCTCCTGTTAGCAGTAGCTGAATCTAAGAAATGAACCTTTTATACATTGGCTTACACTATTTTGTCCAAAGCCAAAAATGGATAATGAAGGAGGAAAATGACAAACGTTCTTTCCTAAAGAGAAGCATCCAAGTGTAGAGAAGACCACAAGTGACTATAAAACGAGGAAGCCCCGTAGCTAAGGGATTCACAGGTAAGCCCAGGACATGTGGACTGTGGAAGGCCATTAATGTGACATGCTCTGTGGTATTCAGATACCTTGCTGCATGCTGGGTTCGGCTCTAGGGAATTAAGAAAAGAGGAAGATGGATATGGAAAGGTCAATGGCAATGGGTAAAGACATGGAAAACTATTTCTATAACCGTAAAGGAGACTGAGTTAATTTATCTTGAAAAATAAAAAAGGTAAGAAATGGCTTGCCGTAATTTTTCTACCATTTATATCCATTATGATACAAAAAGTAAACACTTGCTGGTTGATTGATTAAAACATATGTAAGATAGAGAGTGGCTTAGTAAAAGGTATTTTAGTTGCAAAGACAGAAATACAAGAACTAGTAAGTCTAACAATGTATCTTTATGACTCTTGAACTCCAACAAAGACTTTAACAGCAAGGAGTTAGAAAACTTAGGCTGCACATGGGTCTTGGGAATGATTGGAACAACGTTCCTAGATTCTGTCTGGATTCTCTTTCCAGCAATACATGCAAACTTTCTTCTCTCTCCTTTCAGTCTGCCCCTCTCCTTACCGCTTTGAGCATGGCAGATGATAGCTTTTGAAATTTGTATCAGTTATCCTTGGCCACAAAAAAAAAAAAAAAAAAAAAAAAAGACATATCTCAAACTCTTTTTATGATCCCAGGGAACAGAAAATCCTGGGGAAAAGATGCCCAACTTGGGTCAGGCATCTGCTCTTGGGCGAGTCACCTTAGTCCAGTGAGTGAGGCCGTGTGGTGATAGTGATAATATGCTGCACCTGCATTAACCATACAGATGAAGGAAGGAAAACTTAATAGCCAAGGGAAAACTGGCAGAAATTTCTAAGTGAACACTGCATTATTTCTTTTTGGAAGAAATCTTCACTGGAAAAAATCCAGAAGAAATAGCTCAGTCTGCAACATGAAGGATTTAGGTTAGAAAAAAATGAGATTATTCTGACATTAGAGCTTATTACACACTGGGATATGTTACTGAAAGAAGCAGTAAAATGTCTTTTCTTAGAGGTTTTTAAAAATAGAATTCATTTCTCATCAGTTGAGATGCAAATAGTTTTCAAAATGGATTAGACACACAGAAATTTTGTTTGACGTGCAAACTCTTGACAAGGTCCTGCCTCTTTTTGCCAGTAAATTCAGCTCATTCTAGCCTTTTGGTACAATTCAACAAATATTTATTAAATGTCCACTAGGTGCAAAGCATTAGGCTAGAGCTAAAAGGTTTATATTATGTTATGGAGATTTAGAAAACTGCAAATGGGGTGGGCACGCTGGCTCATGCCTGTAATGCCAGCACTTTGGGATGCTGAGGTGGGCAGATCACTTGAGGTCAGGAGTTTGAGACCAGCTTGGCCAATATGGTGAAACCCTGTTTCTACTAAAAATACAAAAATTAGCCAGGCATGGTGGTGCATGCCTGTAGTCCCAGCTACTCAGGAGGCTGAGGCAGGAGAATCTCTTGAACCCAGGAGATGGAGGTTGCAGTGAGCTGAGATTGTGCCACTGCACTCCAGCCTGGGCAACAGAACAAGACTCCATACCCCACCCCCCCAAAAAAAAATTGCAAATGACTGTAATATGTGGATAGTTGAGGCCATTGTCACAAAGGAGATTTAGATTTATTGCTGTGGAATTCTAAAGCATGAGAGAGAGTCATGAAAGAGAGAAGAAGAGAGAGAGATGCTAACAGAGAAACAAGGAAACACAGAATTAGCAAAGTGTTAGTTGATAGACTGAGATTTGAAATGCTCTTTGGGGTAAATAGGATTTCAGTAGGTAGAGATGTGTGAAAAGGCATTTGGGACAGTTACAAGTTTGTGAACAGTGATTTGGATCATGTTCAGGGAAGCAGAGAGTCATTCTTTTAAATGGAAACCTATGGTACCAGCAGGGAAGAGATAACAGAAAAGATTACCAAAAAAAAAAAAAAAAAAAACTGGGACCATCCTCTAGAAGGCCTTAAATATGCTGAGTATTAAGTTTTGTTTGTTTTGTTTTAGGAAGATTAGTATGGTAATGTGACCACCCAACAAGTTCTTCCTGCCCCACTGCACAAATAAAGACCACGGCATTGCGGTAAAGAAAGAGTTTAATTGACGTGAGGCTGGCCATGCCATACAGGAGACCAAGTTACTACTCATATCAATCTCCTGGAAGACTTGTAGGTTAGGGGTTTTTCAAAGGCAGTTTGGGGAAGGGGGTGGGTGTGGCTAAAATGGATGCTTGCTGCTGATTGGCTGGGGCAGAGATGAAATCATAGTGGGTTGAAGCTGTCCTCTTGAGCTGACTTACTTCTGGGTGGGGCAACAGAAGCAAGAGCAAGGTTGGTGGGGGCCAGGTGGAGTCATGGGTATCAGACCTGCAAAAAACCTGGGAAAATGTCTCAAAAGGCCAGTCTACAATAGTGATGTTATCTGTAGGACAGATCTTGTGACCAGTCTATGCCTTAGCAGAATTCCTGCCCTTCTCCTAGCCTGATGGCCTTTCATTAGCTTTACAAAGGTGATTGAATTTTGGGGAAAGCCTATTATCATGTAAACTATAAACTAAAGTTAGCTTAGCCTAAGACCAGGAATGATTAAGGGAAAGGCAAGATGGGGGGTTAAATCAGACTTGCACTGCCGTAATTTTCTCACTGTTATAATTCTTGCAAAGTCAGTTTTAGTACCTCTGTGAGACATGTCATGCCAAGGAAAGAGCAGAAGTTGGGAAGAAGAATTTGAAGGTCATTGCAGAAACTTATCCTGAGTCATTTAACTAGGTGGTGGTAGCAGAAATGGAAAGAAGAAACTATATGGGAGGGAGATGGTAGGGAAATAACCTACAGGGCTGATGGATTAATGGGTTTTATGTATTGTGTACTTTCAAAACACTAAGCATTAATCAAAAAATAGAATTCTTTAATTTCCTAATTCCTTAAATACTAGACCTTTATTTACATATACATTTAAGCCTCATATCAACCAAATAAATAGGTCAGCCTTTATCCCCATTTTCATATAAGCAAACAGATTTAGAGCTCTTGAATAATTAGCTGAGGCCATATTGCTAGCAATCTGCTAAGTGGGACTCTGAACCCAGGATGTCTGGCTCTATTGCTCATGTTCTTAACTACACGCAGCTCTTCTCTAATTGAAGTATAGAGGGAAAAGGATGAGTGTGAGAAAACAAGGAAGTTTCAACCCTGGTGGATTGAGAGGTGTTCCAGTTATGCATTGGTACATAATAGACTACCCAAGACCTAGTGGCTTAATACAACAACCATTTTGTTGCAGTCCGTGATTTTGTCTATTAGAAACTTGGACAGGCTTGGCTGGAGAAGTCTATTATACAAGACATGGACAAAGGACACTCAGTGCCATTCAGCTGGCAGATGGGCTAGTCTAGAAGGAGCAAGATAGCTTCATTCCCAGGTCTGGCACCTTGGTGGGGATGACTGAAAGTCTGGGTTCAGCTGGAATGAAAACCAGAGCCCTGCATGTGGCATCTTCAGCAACTGGGTCTCAGGCAGTCAGTGGATTATTTTTGCCTGTTTTGGGACTTTATGTAAATGAAATCATATGGTGTGTATTGGTTTCTTTGACTCAATATTATGGTTGTGAAAGTCATCCATGTTGTTACATGCAGTTGTACTTCATTTTCATTGCAGTATTCTATCACATTATGTAAATATACTACATTTTAATTATTCATTCTACTACTAATGGACATTTGGGTCATTCCCAGTTTGAGCTTTAATGAATAGGGCTGGTATGAATACTCTTGTATTCATACTCTTGTATATTGGGTGAAATATATTCGCATTTCTGTGGAGTTATATTCCTAGCAGTAGAATTGCTGAGTTGCAGGATATGCTTCTGTTAGCTTTAACTATTTTCTATACTGTTTTTACAAATTTGCACTCTTGCCAGCAGTGTATGAGAATTTCAGTTGTTCCACATCCACTGTTAATATCAGACCTTGTTAATTTTAGCCATTTTAGCTTTTCTGACGCGACTGTTTTGATGTAGA
Source organism: Homo sapiens (assembly GCF_000001405.40). NCBI lineage: Eukaryota > Metazoa > Chordata > Mammalia > Primates > Hominidae > Homo > Homo sapiens. The sequence continues at coordinate 15,629,324 of NC_000020.11, forward strand.
TTGACCCCAAATCAGAGTGAGGGCGTCTCTCTCCCACTGCATCATTCTCTGCTTAACTAACTCTCTATGCCTTCCCAAGAGATTATGAAAGACGCCTGTCTGATTCTTCCATTTAAGTATTTTCTTATCTTATAGAAATACGTGGGATATTTCTCTTAAAATTCTACTGAAGCTTTGAAAGAAATGGTTCAAATGGACCTTACATTCAAATAACCTCTCCTGATATTTAATCAGTGCTCTTTCCACATCTTTCAGCCAAATAACATTCACTTGCCTTTGCTGTATATGTTCTTATGTAGAAATAATAGTCTCAACATCCATCACAGTGCATTACATGTGGGAAATATACTTCCAGGTGAAAACTTGTTGAATTTTGGATATTTTGAGGATTTTCAGATTTAGTTCAACCTCATCCAATATGTTTCCTTTCTAAGTAACAGACTTAAGAGTAAATTTGGGCTCAGCTGCCAGGAAGTGAAAGAGAAAATGATCTGTACATGCAGATATGGATGTAGCAGAAGATGTTTTCCTAAATCGCAAAATCAAAAGAACGATGTCTACACAGGACTCAGAGGAATGAATGCTTTGAAGTAATTTAGCAATGTGGGAATGGTCAAACATTTTCTTCTGTAAAATCTCCTGCTCTCTGCCCTTTCATTTTTTTTCCGTTCTCATTCTTTTTCTTCCCAGGTCTGTGATAAGGCTAGATAACATAAGGAAGTCACTTGGCACCGTGTCCAGCCCATAGTGCTTCCGGTCCTGCTTTTGATGATGACGATAGAGGAGATAGTAGTATCTCCTTCTTTAAGATATTTTCAAGTATGAAAGTAACTGAGTTAGTGTATATGAAGTATCTTCTAGAAAGTTTGACATATAGTGATCTTCAGAGCAGATGCAGAGGAAGCCAGACAAGAGGGATAAATAAAGCAGGCAAGATGATATCGCAAGAGATAAGACAAAACTTCTGTGCTCTCTGCATTTGCCTTTCCAAGAAGCTGGTAGTTTAACTTTCCTTGGGCTTTCTGCAAAAATGTTGTGCATCTGAACTTGAGCAATTTTGAGTGTTTCTCTTCCTTGCAAACAAATGAGCCTTGACTTGAGCAGTCCCTTTAGTAGGCATGTCATACATTATAGTAGTTTTTGTGACCCTCTCATCTCTCCAACTGGATTATAAAATCCTCAAGGGCAGAGATGTCTCTAATATGTCTTTGTATTCTGCCTCGTACTTAGCACAGGACGGGAGAAATGTCATGTTATCCTGCTGATTAAGTCCATTAAGGATTCAGGTTGCATAACTCTCCTAATGGGGAATGGAGAATAAATTCTGCAAGTGAGTTTAATGTTCACGAAAATCATCAACAGCAAATGTAGATGCATGCCCTTTGGCCGTGCACAAAATGCAAGGGAGAGGGTGGTCTTTTCCTAACTCTTTGTGAATTACCCTCGCTAAGTTCTCACCTCAGGGGCAGAATGCAATTTGTTTTTTCTCTTATAGATTTTTTCTCAGCCTTGGTGTGAAGCCTCCAACTGAGTTGGAAGATCCAAACTGGGACAGGGAATTTAAAGAGGGGACCACAAAATCGATTCCAACAGAACTTTAAGTTTACCCCAGGTTAGCTTCATCTGTTGCACACAGAGGCATCTGCTTAACAGATCATTGTAGATATGATTGCAAATTCCACATAAAGGGAATATTTATAGGAAGGTCTGCCTTTCTGAATACGTAACTAAAAATTAGTTTGTTTTGTAAAACTGTACTTTAGGCCAAACTCTGATTCACTGTATTAAGAGTCCCAAACTAACCAAATGAGAGGGACATACTAGCAAAGACATCTTCATCCACATGCGGGAGGGAAGAGGGATACTGCCAAGTTCTTGCAGAAGGACAGCACGGTCTCTTTCAGCTCCTTAAATATGTTCTGATGAGGCACTTCAGTAAAACATGCCCATCTGCGTGTTCCACTGGACTAATGAATATGAAGTGTATGTTCAGCTATTGATCTGAATTAAGTCCTAGGACCAGAATTTAGTGTCATTAATGATCTCTTTAATGAACGCAGGCAGAAACCATTATCAAATGATGATTTTTTTTTTCATCTTGGAAAGATTATTTTAAATCCAAACACATTCTTTCAACTCTGTTTTAACCCCCCAGAGATATATTTTAAAAGCCATTGTGAGAAAGTAAATGAGAACATTGTCCAAAGCCTGGGAGTGAAGCATTTGGTAGGAACTGGAGGTGGGGAGAAGGAATGTTAAATTCCTCTTTCTTGAACCATTACAGTACTTTTTCCTTATTTGGTGCATGTCTGGAGGGACAGGGCTTGGGCAGGGGAATGCCCCTTCTACTCTGCTGACAAAAAGCACCAAGAGTGGCTGGAAAAGGCTGTAGAGCACTGGTTTCCAGATTTTGTTGCACCTTGGAACCACTTGGAGAGCTTTAAAAAACACTGATGTCCAGCTCTTACCTGCAGACATTTTGATTTCACTGGTCTAGAGGGTGATCTGGACATGGGGATTTTGAAAACAGTCAGCTGGGCATGGTGGCTCACGCCTGTAATCCCAGCACTTTGGGAGGCTGAGGCAGGTGGATTGCCTGAAGTCAGGAGTTCGAGACCAGCCTGGCCAACATAGTGAAACCCCGTCTCTACTAAAAATACAAAAAGTTAGCTGGGTGTAGTGACGGGTGCCTGTAATCCTAGCTACTAGGGAGGCCGAGGCAGGAGAATCACTTGAGCCTGGGAGGTGGAGGTTGCACTGAGCTGAGATCGTGCCATTGCACTCCAGCCTGGGCAACAAAATGAAATTTGAGCTTGAGCGAGTTTGAGCGAAACTCTTACTCAAAAAAAAAATAAATAAATAAAAATAAAAATAAAGAATAAAAATAAAATAAATAAAAAGAGTCTTGGCTTATTCTGAAGACAGTCTTTTAAAGTGGCCAAATGAAAAATAAATGACTGTGTCAATTCAGTTTATTGTAAACATTTACTGAGCACATACTCTGTATAAAGCCATATGCTATGCTTTAGTAATGCAAACAAAATGTAAAATATATACCTACCCCTGAGGAGCTCACAAGTTTAGCGGCGAGGGGGGCCAGTTACATGGACAGATAAATGCAATGAAATTACAACTCAGTTAAATACAAAACATTGTGATATATACAAAATCAAAAATTGTCCCAAAGTAGTGCAAAGTACAGAAAAAGAGACAGGACCAGGAAATACCTTACAGTGTAATTTCCAGATATAAAATAACAAATGATCAGTATTTCTGAAACTTTGAGGGCCAGAGGAAGAATGGGTTGTAGCAAAGAACTCTATCATAAGGGATTTTCTATGTTGTAATAACATGAGGTTTCATAGGAATAACCAGCATCTTAGAATGGGGTCTGTCTTAGTAATAGTCTAATGTAAAACAACACGATTATTTATTTATCTTGCCTGCCTACTTTCCGTTCTCCTTCCTTCCCTCCTCCCCTGCTGTCCTCCTTTCCTCCCTCCTTCCCTCCTCTCCTTCTTCCCTCTCTCTTTTCCTCCTTCCTTTTCTACTCTCTTCCTCCCTTCCATCCTTCTTTCGTTCCCTTCTTTCTCCCTTCCTCCCCTTCTTTCTTCCTTCCTCCCCTCCTTCCCTCTTTCCTTCCTTCTATCTGTTCATCTCCCCATGTTATACCTACCTACCTACTTCCTACAGAGGCACCTACAACTTTGCCTTTCATTGTTTAACTGAGTTATAGATTGTGAAGACTAGAGTGACTTAACCACCCACCCTCCTTTCAACTGTGTGGTTTATTACACATATGTATCTCATTGATGTTTTTTGTGGACATTGCACTTGTGTAATTTATTCTTTTCTCATTTGGGTAAATATGAATGCATTGAAATAAAGAGGACTAGTTTTTTTTTTATTTCAAAATTATATTTAAAAGGAAAAAATAATGAGACAACAGCAAGAGTCACTATTTAACTCAATTTGCTGTATTCTTAAAACTGGACCTTACAGTAAGCACTATAAGTAAGAAAACAGCTACTTTCCAATGGAGATATAAATAACAATGCCAGATGAGCTGTTGCTCTTAAATCTTACAGTGGGACTTCATTAGTGTGACAAGTGAGAAGTAACAAATTTATTCCCAGAACCAGAAAATGCCATTCAGGATAAGTGTTTTGATTAATTCATTTTTAGAGAGGTAGGGCTGTTTTAATCATGACAACTCTTATTTGCCATAATAGAAGCATCCGTGAATTTTTTTTTTTTCTGAACACTTCATGTGTATTTACCATTCCACTGTCATGATCTGGTTATTACTAGGACTGGGTTGCTATTAATAATCAACACATTATTTTAAAATTGAACAAGCTAATATCACCAGCCTGTAATTTTCTGGGTTTACACATTGAATCTATTACCATAATTAAGTTAATAGTATTTTAAATGAATGTTTATTTTTTATGGCTTTGTGTAGCAAACTACAATTAGATGTTTGTCTACATACACATGTTTTAGGAGTGTTCACTCTGTAAATGGTTTTGTATGAATCTATTGTAAGAAAAAGTTCAACCTCTTTTGCATCTCCGATGAGTTAGAATTAAGTGATACTGCTCCTGTCAATTCATTTTTTTAAACTCAAAAGTTTCACTTTATCTGTTTATGCCTCTTTAGTTTGTCTGTATACCATGAACACATATCCTTCATCTTTCCCCACCTTAGTATCCACTAGGTTTTTTCCTCTCTGGTTGCCTATCATTAGTCAATTGTTTTTCATGCTAATCAAAGAGCAGAGAAAACAAACGATGAGCATACAGGTAAAATGACATTCATGGGTTTCTTAGTTCTTTGGACACTCAGAGAAGAGAATAAAATAGCAGTTTGAATCATTTGTGGTTCTGCTGTATCTGTAATCCACCCATTTGACATAATGTATTATTGGAGTGGCTAATTGGAAGTTCATAGGGTGTGTTTCCATATGCTTATTATAAAGAACAGATGTAAGAGTCAATTTCCTGTTTGAATGGTGATTTGAGCACTGAGCAATTTATTTAATCAGAAATGTCTTTATTATTCATAAAACTGTTCCAGTCTGATCCCATGTGTTTGTTTCAATTCTGAATGTGACTCTCTACCCAGGGCTGATAAACTCTGTTGTTCACATTAGGATGTTAAACAGAAAAGGTCACGCATCTGATCCCATGTGGCCTAATTAGTGTCAAACAAAGAAAATGTCTGTAAATTGTTATAGGCTGCAGTACCAGAAACCCACGTTACTTACCTTATGGGGATTAAAATTGCCACAAACTCTGTGCCAGACCATCCCCATGGCTGTGGCAATGGTACTAAAGCCACATTCCATTGGTGGTAGAGATGGCAGCCAGGAGTAATGTGTCGGATATTGTCAGTTATCGCTCAGCATCCATTTTCACCTTTTTCAATGTGTCGTACTGTGCCACAGGGGCTTGAGGGTTAAAAATCAACTTTCCTGACTCCTTTGCAGCTAGGGTTCTAGATGTAAATGATGTTCTGACAATTAGATGCACTTGAATGAGATTTGAATAAAGTTAAGGCAAAGGCCATCTTCTTGCTGCTATTTTTGTTGGTGAAGATGGCTGCAGAAATGAGTATTTTCAGGTGTCTGTGGCTGTCAGACTTGGCCTTGTAAGTGTCTAGAAGCAGTTGTGGCAGCAACAGCAATGCCTTCCTGACCTCTGCTTGCAGCAGCTATAGTTTTATGTCCCTGTACTAATTTGTTCAGAGTGAGGCTCCTGACTCCTGATCTACCATGCTGTCTAGGAATTTTGCAGCCAGCTAAGCTACTGCATTCAATCCCATTCTACATGAAATACCAGGTTTCTGTTTCCTGCAGTCAACTTTGACTGATATGAAAATAGTCATAACCACATAAATGAAGAGTTATAGTTTACTGAGTATCTATTAAATGCCAGACAAATTGAGGATCAGTGAGATAACTTGTACAAGTTCATAAAGCTAACGAATGGCAAAACCAGTGTTTGAGTTTCGGTCCATCTGTTTGCAAAGCTAGTACACAAAGGGCAGAAACTGTAATATGTCCATTTCTATTTTCAATTTTTAAAAAGAATGAAATCATGTCCTCTGCAGCAACATGGATGCAGTCAGAAGCCATTATTCTAGGCAAATTAGAACAGGAATAGAAAGCCAAATACTGTATGTTCTCTCCTATAAGTGGGAGCTAAACATTGGGTACTCTTGGACATAAAGATGCAACAATAGACATTGAGGCTACTAGAGGGTGGGTGGAGGGAGGGAGGGGAGCGAGGGTTAAAAAACTATTGGGTACTGTGCTCACAATTGATGGGACCACTCATACCCTAAGCCTCAGCATCCTGCAATATACACATGTAACAAACCTGTGCCTGTGCCTCCTGATTCTAAAATAGAAGTTGAAATTATTTTTTAAAACCCCACATTTTAGAAATCCCCAAGGGCAGCTGGGCACGGTGGCTCACACCTGTAATCCCAGCGCTTTGGGAGGCCGAGGCAGGCGGATCACCTGAAGTCAGGAGTTTGAGACCAGCCTGGCCAACATGGCAAAACCCCATCTCTTCTAAAAATACAAAAATTAGCTGGGCGTGGTGGTGCATGCTTGTAATCCCAGCTGGTCAGCAGGCTGAGGCAGGAGAACTGTTCGAGCCCAAAAGGCGGAGGTTGCAGTGAGCTGAGATTGTGCCACTGCACTCCATCCAGCCTGGGCGACAGAGCGAGGCTCCCTCTCAAAAGAAAAAAAAAAAAAAAAGAAAGAAAAGAAAAGAAAAAAGAAAAGGAAAAAGAGGAAAAAAAAAAGAAATCCCCTAGGGCTAGGGATATTTGGAAATCCCCAAGGGTTTGTGGTTTTCTAAATTTCTATTCAACATTTTAGAAATCCCTAAGGGAAGGAGACTTTTGTATCCTCAAGTGCTTGAGGTCTATAACATCACTGACAAAAGAACACATTCTAGAAGAACCAGATAGAATATGTGCACCCTTGAGACTGGAATAGCTGCATCATTGAAGCAAGTCCATATCAGCTTCCACCTCCATGGTAATACTTGGGATGCATAGATGTAGAATCTAGTCTCAGAAGACAATGTGATTCTTTAGCCCATTCAATTTGTTCATCCATTATTTTTTGTATGCATCATCTCAACCCTATAGGGGGCAGTTAATGGGTTCGGTTTCATGTTTCAGATCCCCTTGACCTTGTTTGTATGTATATCACAGTGTTTATATAGTCAGATCTTTCAGGGACTGAAGCAAGCCCCGAAAAGACAAAGTGCATCATTAGCTGGGTTTTTCAGGATTTCGTGGCCAGTGTAAAACAAAAGTGGGAGAGTGATAGGGCAGAAAGTGCTCTATTATTTCTGTTGTCAACAAAGACTCAGTTACCTGGACTGAGAGCACTGCCCTTCCCAGCCTGCAGGAAGACTCAACGCCGGGGTCCTATGATGCACAAGTGAGAGAAGGGGGATGTTTTGCCTGAGAAGGTATGACTCTGGGGGCCAAGCAGGAGGGGATGAGCTGTCACATGGGAGAGATGCAGGCTAAGAACTAAAACTAATGAATGGAAGTTACAGAGAGGTAAGAAATTTTTTTCCAAGAACTGCCTGGGACAAACACAGCTACTCCAGGAAGCCACTTCACTGCTGAAGGTGTTTTGTGCAAAGGTGTGCTGGCAGTTAAAGAGGAATGCTGCAGATAAGATTCAGCTCCATAAAAGAGTGTGAAGATGTCTCTCATCCCTGAAGTTTATAGGATGCTCCCCACAAAGAACTGCAGATTTCCTTTCTAACTCATTGACTGGAGCTCAGGGACACCATGGGTTGAAGCTATGGCTCTGGAGGGAACTAGCCTAGACTTACATCCTGGTCCTGATATTTACTTGCTGTATTAATTCTGCACTTCAGTTTCTCCGTCTGTAAAACAGGGGAAAGAACAGTGTCTCTCTCATAGGGGTAAGTGTGAAATCAAATCATTCAACCCATGTAAAGTGAATTGAGCTTCTTATTCCTATTGGCTATGTGGTGATTGACATCGGAGCTCCCAAACAGTTCAATGGGAGAAGGTTGCAAATGAATTCTGCACTCAGATGCTCACTCAAATGTCTTGAGAACTAGGAGAACCCAGGGGACCCTGTGACAAATTTTCAACACCATTTGGTCCAGCCAAAGGGTTGTTTCAGACTGGCTTTCTCAGTGCTTGAGAGAGAATCTAAATATTTCTCAAGGCATGCATTACAAAATGTTCAAGTAGCTGCTCTATTTTTGAGAACATGCACATAAGACAGGCCCACAACATTGGGGGATGTTCGAGAAAAGAAGGGAGACCGTGAGCCCAGGTCCAATTAGGGATCAGCACCTTCTGTGTCCCCGATCTTTACATGGATAATGAAGGACTGGGGAGCCGCGGTTGTGGGCTGATACCATGGCAACCCCTCTTCCATGATTGTCACATACAGATGAGTGAGTTTTTAATCTCAACATCAGTCCTGAATCTCATTCATTATTTTTAAGCCCTAAACCAGAAAATAAATATTGCTTGTCTTTCTGCCTTTGCCTAATAAGTAACTAAAGTTTACATAAAGACTTGGCTTACTTTGGTTGTTTCTCTGTTGGGTGTGTGATGTCCAAATTTAATTAAAGGCCATGCTGTCGGCTATAAACTCCTTTAGTGAGAGAAAATGACAGGAAGGCCCAGAATTTTTTTTTACGAGGCTTGTGTTGATTGAGTTAAAGCATGTGTTCTAACTGAGCTCCCTTGGAATGAGCCGTGCATTGTTCCATGCCACCTGGCTGCAAAACAAACACAAGGAATTTGGCTCTGACATGAAGAAACCCTCAGTATTAGGGAAATGGAGCTGCATTCCACATGGAAGCATGGCAACCTCGGGCTCTGTTCCTCCCCCTTTGCCCTCTCACCAGACCCCTGTGCATCTCTGTTCTTTCCAGGAGAGGGAGAAATAAAAAATATCTCAATAGAAATGGAAACCAGTGTTGGGTTTTTTTGTTTTGTTTTGTTTTTCTAGCAGGGTACACCACTCACTCAACCATACCAAATATAAGTGTGCGAGGCTTGGAATGAAGAAAGAAATGGTTACTTTTTAAAAGCTAGCAATATTAACAGGTGAATGTCATAGGCCATGAGTCTGAATGTGTCAGAAAAGAACTGCAAGTCATTAGACAAGACCAATAGTCCTCCTGGAGGGAGGCAGTGAACCTCAGGACTGTGGGCACTGGCCTGCCTTTGTCTTGGGTATTGACTTGCTGAGTGGCCTCTAGGAACTTAATTAAGTTCCTGGATTCCTCTTTTGACAAATCCAGATTACAAACAATAACCACCATGGCCAGTGCTCTTGAATTCATATGATAGTAGAGCATTATAAAATCAGAATTCTACTTAAGAGCTGATAATTATGTAGGAGAGAAGAGCATGCTGACTGGGGCAAAGGGGCCAGGTGGTTAACTTTTCACGGTTCAAGAGTTGATAAAAAGCATATGAATTACAGGCCAGTGAGAAGGACATTTTTATGATTATTTGGAAATTTTTGACTCCATCCGGAACAGAGTTGAAATATTCAGGTCCGCAGGGTGTGAGTAGACAGTTGGCTTATGATCTCAGCAGTCAGGATGTGTCATTTCTGTTTCCTAAAAGGCTCCCGATAAATGCTTTCTGGAAGGTGCCAGTGAAAGACATTTGGAATTTAACAGAGACAGCAACAGCAGGTTCGGGGCTTATCTCGGGCTGCATTGTAGATCAATCCTGGGCACAGTGGAAGGAACACTGTTACAAAAGAGCCATTTCTAAGAAGGCTTCACTTCAAAGGAGATCACCCACAGCAGAGGAGCTGATGCAGAGCTGAATAAATAATGAAAAATACAATAAAGATCAAATCTGATAGGGATTTGAATTATATGCCAGGAAAATATTTTTGATGAAAATGAAATGGTAGGGAGGGTTAGAGACAGATTGAAGAATTCATAATCAGAACTGCTCACGACCTGCATCGCTTAGTCCTGTACAATTTTGAGGCTCCATGAGAAGGCAGTTAGTGAAAAATATATCAGTCTTTTCTCTGAAATTCGAGGTCATCCTTATCTTGAGACTGCCCGGGAGTTCCTACTCCCTACTCTCCTCAGCCCCCACTGTAGTGCAGGAAAACTCTGGCCCTGATGGAGCCATTTGCAAAGATGTTACGGAAGAAGCTGCTGTGGCCACCCCTGCAGAGCCAGGCACAGATCTAGGACTTCAAGGCAGATAGTTCCTGTTCATAGTAGACCAGCCAGAGCCAGCTTTTGGGTATCTCTCCAGCCCTGAAGTATCTCTCCATCACCAATGATGGGTATCTCTCCATCAGCAGTGATCCCCAAGAGGTGATGTCCTTCCTGGCCTTCAGCCATGTTTGTTCAGTGGGACCTCAAGCCTCTTTCCTACCACTGATGGGTTTGGGATATAGACCATGAGAAAAGAGAGTGGGGGGAAAGAGAAAAGGAAAGAAACAAAGAGAAGAAGAGAAGGAGGAAGGGGAGAGGAAAGAGAGAGGAGAGAGATGTAGGAGAAAGGAGAGAAAAAGGACAGGGAGAGAAGGAGAGAAAGAGAGAGAGGCAGAAAAGGAGAGAGAGGGGATGAGAGAAAGAAGGAGAAAGAAAGAGGGGGTGAGAGAGAAGGAGAGAGAAAGGGGATGATAGAGAGAAGGAGAGAGAAAAGGGGTGAGAGAAGAAGAGAGAAAGGGGGCGTGAGAGAAGGTGAGAGAAAAAAGGAGATAAAAGGATAGAGGGAGAGAGAAAAGGGGATAGAGAGGGAGAAATGATAAAAGAGAGAAAAAGAGATGTGAGGAAGGGAGAGAGAAAAACAGGAAAAGAGAAAAAGATGGTGAGGGAGAACACATGCTAGAATAAGGCAGATACAGATGAAATGAGAAATAGTGAAAGAGTGAGACAGTGAGGGGGAAATAAAGGAAAAGGAGAGAGGATAGAGAGAGAAGTGGATAGCGAGAGAGAGAGAGATGGTGATGGAGACTGAGACAAAGACGGTGAGACCCAGGTACAGACGCAGAGTGACAAGAGTTGGGAAGAGGCCAGAGGGGGCCAAACGTGATGCTTGGGTGGCCTCTCTGCTCTTGAGAGGATATTGGCAGTGTCTCCAGCCCTGTGCACATGTCCCACTGCCATAGCAAATCCAGAGGCTCCGCTCTGCTGTGGTTCTATCTGCCGTTACACAAACTATGAGGCAGCCCTGCCCATGCAGAGAACATAGTCATGTGGCCTTTCTTGTTTTATCATCCCTTCACTCTTTCTTACAGGCTCTCCCCCATCCTCAGCTTCTGTTTGAAGGACCTGCAAATTATTCTTGAAGGACAGATGTGATGCTGTGCTGGGAACTGCTCTTCTCCTCAAACTCTGGCCTGTTTCCTTTTCATGAAGCCTGGGAGCCTCTATTCTCCCTTTTTATGATGGTTCTTTTTCAGGAGGTTTCTGAGTCCCACCAGCAAACAGACCCGGGTGGGCTATCCTGCCAGGCTGACAGTGAGACAGAGATGGACCCACAAGGGCCCCTGCTGCCTCGTCTGCCATCCCACAGCTTACCCGCCAGCTGGGCTTATTGGAAGCTTTCCTTTAAATTTCACTGTCTCACATTCCAGACCTTCCTCATTTCCTTGGGCCAGTGGGCTCAATGCCCTGGTAGCTGGGCTGTCTCCCTCTTACATATGCACATTATTTTACAAAGAAGCAATCTAGCCAGAGCAGGTATATTGAAAATAGAGTTTATTGGAGTTGCTGATTGTGGATGCTTGCAGAGGGCTCTTTCTTATTTTTCTAAAAGTTGCATTGCTTCAGTTGCGAATCAAGGTCCCTTGATCACCATGCCTCCTCTTGCCTCATGCTCAGTTTTTCTTATTCTTTTCTTCTCTTTCATCCAACTGCTTTCTCCAGACTTCAACTCTTATATCTAAGCACTTTGGGCCTTTGGTGCTGTTTTGAGGCAGACTAACTAGAGTAGAATTCACTGGCATTAAAACAGTAGATCCAGCAAAGTCTGGTGGAAATAAATAGTGTAGATTAGTGGAAGGAATATGAGGAATTGGTAAAAGATTCATGCCTCTATGGAGGACATGCTTTGCTGAATTTCTGGAGAATCCGTGGTCTTCTCTAGAATTGTGTGTCTTTCATCATCACCCAGAGAGACAAGCTTTTTTGCTCTTCATGGAATCTGGTATATAATGCAACAGAGCTCCATTATTAGTGGAGAAGATGTACAGACAAAAATAAAAACAGGGGCAGCGTGCATTTTGGTAGGGTCTTCTATTTCATCCTAACACACAAGCGTCTTACACCTCTTTGCCTTTTCCCAAAAGGCATATATGTTTTAGAGGCAATTCCAGTGAGTAAATTATTCATCTGAAGACAAGGAAGATATAGAATAGTTAGAGTTTTATTATAATTTTTTTATACTGCAAGGGAGATTTTTCTTTGTCTCCTAACCAAAAATAGCCCAGCTATTGCCAAATGAAAATTTCTTCCACATATCCTTCTCTTGCCAAAACCCTTAATAAAATTTTGTTTAAAAAATCAGTGTGAACCATGAAACAGTAAAACTCATTCTAATGTATGAAAACATGTATATACTGCAAAGTCTTCTTCTTTTCCAAGTGGCCTGAAGGTGGCTTTGCTGCAAACAGTGCCTTTTGGGCATAAGAAGCCCTAAGAATCCAGAGACAGTTGAGAAAACCTATTTTCTTTCCTGTCTACTCAGTATTTGGGGAAGACAAAAAATGAGAACATAAAGAAAGGCAAGCTCCCCAAGCTTACAAAAGATTCCATCTCTGGTGATCCTGTGAGCCACAAAATAATAGAAGTTTTGAAATCAGTGTAGCTCATTTCTAGACAATGGAGGGGATTGTGGCAATAGTTCAGCATCTGTCCTCGGTTATTTCTGAAAGGATAGATAGTATCGTAGAAAAACAATCCATACAGGAACGCTTGAACAAACAATTACAAGCATCATAAAGCAAGCAGGTCTGGAATCGATCCCAGCAACCATTTCCCATTCTCACTCTTCTTTAACTTTGCCTGTTAGGTGGTTTTCGAATTCAACCTTCTGTGAGTGTTTTTAATGGTACACTATCAATTACCCCAGGTAAGGAATGTCTATGCCCGGTTCTCTCTCAATAAAGCAAAATATCACATCATTAAGTAGTTTTCCTCTCTGATTTGTGGTTAGAGTAACCTAAAGAGGGAGGGAAGTAGGGAACTGTGTACCTGTCATGAACACACACACACACACACACACACACACACACACACACACACACGTGTGCATGCAAGAAAAACAAACAAAAATAATACATAAATAAAAATAATCTTTTCTTTGCTAGAACATTTCTCCCTGGAGTAACTGCTGAGGAGAATCTCTATCCTGTCTTCTGTGTGTGTTTGTGTGTGTGTATGTGTGTGTGTATGTGTGCACACTCTGCTCTGCCTTCACGTTCCTCTCTGAGCACACTGTACGTCTCCTGCCACATGCATACACACGGGACATTCTGTCTGGACTCATGGGACAAGATTACTTGCATGCCAACTCACTGCCTCAGGAGACTTCCTGTTTATATTCAACCACGCATGGGCCCTTATAAAGTCATAATTCTTGCCACCAATTGAACATCTTGTTGGAATATTTATCCACTTTGCTTTAGCTGGAAAACAAGTTTTTCCATATTGCAAGAAATAAGTGCAGTAACTTGATGGTGTTTAATTGCACTAATTTTGGATTTGGGGGTGACCTGGATTATACAGATCCTACTTCCATGATGTATATTTATGGGTACCTCTTCCACCAGCTGTTCAACGTTCTCTACAACCTGACCTGCTTACATGTTAATCTCACCTTCTACCCTCAACCTTGTTCCCCATGCTGTAGCCTGGAAGGCTTATTTGGATACCATACTAATCATCTTCCCACTTCAGCATCCTCCAACTTACCCTCTTCGTCACCTGGACTGTTCTTCCTTCAAAATCTGTATCTGACTCATTTCTTATCATTCTGATGTCATTGAAATGTCATTTCCTTAAAGAGACTTTCTTTGACCACTATAATGTCCTCTCCTTCATTCTACTTTCAACAGCATAACCCCATTTAATTTTCTTCTATCAGATTTCAGTCTCTGTCAGATTGACTTATGTCATTGCACGTTTGTCATCAGTCTCTTTTATGGAATATGGTTTGTTTGTGGTCTGAGCCTTATAGTCTTATTCACCTGTGTGTTCTCAATGCCAAGGAGAAGGTTTGAAACAGAGTAGATATGATAAATATTTAATGAATGAATGAATTTATAAATACACAAAACCAAATCGTGTGCTAACCACTTTATCAAGCTAAACTTGATAAATCACTACAAAAATCTTATTGGGGAGGTACCATTATTATATTTGCCTTGTTAGAACTTAGGTTTGGCTGCATGTGACAGAAAATCTCAAAGTAGAGGCTTAAAATTAGATGGACATTTATGTTTCATTCATATAAAAGCATTTTGGGTGTTCCAGATGTCATCTGCTCTACCATCCTCACGGTCTTAAGATGGCCACTAGGGGTCCAGCCATCACTTCTGTTTCTAGACAAGAGGATGGAGGTGGGAATAAAAAAGGATAATGCCTCTCTCCCTTTAAGTTCCATGATAGTCCTCGCAATGTGTCTCATTGGCCATTATTTAGACATATACCATACCTACTTATAAGCTGGAAAACATAACTCAGGGCAGGAATGTGCTTACCCAAAACAAAAACAAGATCTTGTTCCTAAGAAGGAAAGGAACCAGCCCTCTACACTGCATCCCCATTGACTCTCACAGAGAGAAAGTGACTCTGGCAAAGTCACACAGCTAATATAGCATACAGTGCTGAGATAGAAACCCTAACATCGTTACATCCCCACCACCTCCAGCATCTAAACCTCCCCCACTTACCCAGTAATATAGTACACAGAGAATCATCCCTCTCTGCAGGGATCTTTGGTAGACTGTGGAGCCAAGGTTGAAGCTTCTTTCTTCATAGTCCCCAAATCCAGGGAGAATCCTAGTAATTGTCAGATGGGCCTGCATAGAGTCTGCATTCACCCTTCCCCTCCTCAGCCTCACTCAGCAACCTCTTTCCTTCTGTTTTCTTACATAAATTCTCTTTTGTCTTAACAGTACTAATGACAATAATACTTCTTTCTATCGAGAATTTACTTCTATTCACTATGCACTCTATGGTTTTATTTTTATAAGAATTAGTTTATACAGTTCTCACAAGCAGCTAAATGAGGTTAAGTAATTATTTAACTCATTTGAAAGATGGGTGATCTATCAGACCTAAAGAGGTTAAGTAATTTTTTATTTTTTTGACATGAAGTTTCACTCATGTTGCCTAGGCTGGAGTACAATGGCACGGTCTCGGCTCAGTGCAACCTCCGCCTCCCAGGCTCAAGTGATTCTCTTGCCTCAGCCTCCCAAGTAGCTGGGATTACAGTTGCCCACCACTATGCCTGGCTAATTTTTGTATTTTTAGTAGAGACGGAGTTTCACCATGTTGGTGAGGCTGGTCTCGAACCCCTGACCTAGGTGATCCACCTGCCTCAGCCTCCCAAAGTGTTGGGATTACAGGCGTGAGCTACCACGCCCAGCCTAAGTAATTTTTTTCAAGTAAATCCAGAATTTGACTCCAAAGTTCACCTTACAAGCCTTCTCCAATTCAAACACCACCTTGCCTTTAATGTCTTCATCACCATGTTTAAAGCACATTCTCGTGACTCAAAATAAATGATTGTCTCTGAGCTGAAGGGGAATGATGTCTTATTTTACCTGAACCACAGATCAGTTGCTGCACCGGAATGGTGGACAGTTGCCTCCTCCTAGCGTGAAATTACAGTCAATGACCCAGAGGCAAGAGGGTCCCCATATCATCACAGAGCCCTGAGACTCTCAATCTCTGTAGGGATGAATGTGGAATTTTTCTGTTGCTTCTGTGTTTCCGTAACTGTTTACATACTGTGTCATGTTAATGCATTCTGCCATACCATTTTTCTCCAATTATCTGAGCTTTTGCAGGAACTCTGAGGTAGTGAGACATACATTGAAGATGTTCCAAAGAAATGAATGGAGGAGTTTTCTCTGCAAATCCTTTTTCTCTGAAAAACTCGGAAAAGCTCACTGCCTCATCTTGCATGTGAGCACTCCACTCTGAATTCTGAAAAGCAGCAAAAGAGAAAACAGAATCTGGCAGAGGAGAGATGAATATTACAGAAATTGTATTTTAAAAGATATTGTTATCGGGGTAAAATAGGTGGGAAGAAACCTCATGAGTTCCCTAAGAAAATATCTTTCAAAAGTTAAAAAGATACTCTTACTTATAGTAAGTAAGCTGGAACCAATACAGCAAGGCTGTGTAAATATATAATATGTGGTATTAAGGACAGGCTGAATGCATGGCTAGGCCTTTATTTTTAAGAAATGTGTATTTAATGCATTGCACTTGCTCCTTCAGCTTTGTTACACTCTGTTGGATTAAGAGGTAACTTAGCAGGCAAGCTAATTTGAAATCACATACACATGCGATATAAATGGTAGACATGGCTTTCAGAAGTATTATTTGCTGTTCACAAATCCATATTATGCAAATATCAAAAGAATGACTGGTATTCTCTTGTAGTCAACATTTTTTAAATTGTACTGGTTCCACACTGCCTCAACAGCTCCTGCTTCTTTTTCTCGGGGTTTCTTTTGTGATTCACAGTGGACTGTCTCACTGTTCTGAGCTGATAGGATCCTATTATTATTTACTTCTTCCTTTCAACACACCCCTGAGGCAGTTCAAAGGTGAATTCACCATTATTAGGTATTAATTCACAGCAAAAACACAGGCTTATCATTTTTAAAATCTGTTGTCAGGACTCACACTGGTTTTACAATATCACCTTGTCACAACAAGAACTAAACCTTCTGATGAGCCCCAAGCCTGAATTTCTCACCATCATAAATAGTATGGGGACATATTTAACATTTATTGATAGAGAATGGCTAAAATGTATTAAGGTGGAAATTTGTGCTGAAAAGTCTTCGTATTTTAGTTCCTTTAATCCTTAAAACAATCTTGGGAGCTACGTGTTATTTTATGACTCCTATTTTACAAAAAGTCAACTGAGGCTTGGAGAAATTCTCTGGTTAAGGTTACATAGTGATATGGTTAGGCTTTGTGTCTCCACCCAAATCTCATCTTGAATTGTAATCCCCATAATCCATATAGTCCGCACGTATCGAGGGAGAGACCAGGTGGAGGTAATTGGATCATGGGGGCAGTTCCCCCATGCTTTTATGATAGTGAGTGTGTTCTCATGAGATCTGATGGTTTTAGAAGGGGCTCTTCTCCCTTCGATTGGCACTTCTCTTTCCTGCAGCCTTGTGAAAAAGGTGCCTTGCTTCTCCTTCGCCGTCCACCATGATTGTTAAGTTTCATGAGGCCTCCCCAGCCATGCTGAACTGTGAGTCAGTTAAACCTCTTTCCTTTGTAAATTACTCAGTGTCAGGCAGTTCTTTACAGTAGCGTGAAAACGGACTAATACACACAGCACAGACATAGTGCAGCCTTATTTGGAACCCAGACTGTTTGGCTCCAGAATCCATACTGTGTGTCCTTCACCTGACCATATTGCATCTCATTCTGTGGTATCGTTTACTTAATCATTTATTCATTCACCCATTACTTTTTCCACCATAAAAGTTCTAAATGAATGCGTACTCTTTGCCAAATGCAATACAGAACAGTCGGTGAGAATATAGGAAAAGGGAAGTAGCAGCGATGCTATGGAATCTTAGAGTTCTCCTCTCCCAGCCTGGGAGTACAAATGTCATAGAATTATTTATGGAAGAGTTGTCAGCTAAGTAGACACCAAAAGGTTAAGGAGAAATTACCTAGATAGACTGGGAAGAAGAAATGACAGGTGGAAGAAACAGCCTGGGCAAAAGCACAGGGGCAGGAAACAAAGATGGTATGTATGAAGAGTTACAAACAGCTTGGTTCTATTACGGCATAAACATGAGACAAGAGAGGAAGTCATAGAGTTAGCAAAGGGCTGAAGGATCTGCCATGCTAAGGAGTCAGCAATCCCCACATTAGGATGCACAAAATGATCCACTGAGACACAAGAAGAAAATATTAAAGTTTGTCTTTATATTTCTCTTTGATACTGTTTTTTCTTTCCGTTTTTGGTAAAGCTTTAAAATATGTATAGCATACAAATGCAATAACAGAGGAAATATAATTCTTGTGGGAAAAGTATGTGCTAAAATTATTTTACTGATAGGGTCTGGATGAATATAAGTTTGCAGGTCACTACCGTAAGTAATGGAGAGACAATAGATGATTTTTTTTTTTTTTTGAGATGGAGTCTTGCTCTGTCACCCAGGCGAGAGTGCAGTGGTGCAATCTTGGCTCACTGCAACCTCAGCCTCCCAGGTTCAAGTGATTCTCCTGCCTCAGTCTCCCAAGTAGCTGGAACTACAGGCGTGCACCACCGCATCGGCTAATTTTTGTATTTTTAGTAGAGATGGGGTCTCACCATGTTGGCCAGGCTGTTCTCAAACTCCTGACCTCAAGTAATCTGCCCGCCTTGGCCTCCTAACCCAAAGTGCTGGGATTACAGGCATGAGCCACTGTGCCCAGAGGACAACAGACAATTTTAACTGAAGGCTTTCTTGGCGTATGCATGTGTCTATAGATTGTTCTCAAAACACTGTAATGGATGACGGCAGAGGTGTAACACTCAGGGAGGGAAGTGCACTGAGGAGATTGCTGCCACCAGGGAATTTAATGTTGATGAAGATAGAAGCCAAGGCTGTGGAAATAAGAGAAAGTAATAGATTAAAATAATTTTTAGGTGGTTAACTTAATAGGGCTGGTGATAGATTGGCCATGATATTTAAGAAGCATCATCTCACTCTACATGAGCTCCAGCCACAAGCCTTCTTGCTATCACTTGAATAAGTCCAATACAGGACTCCACAGGACCTTGGGCCTCCTTTTTCTGCTCCTGGAATGCTTTCCTTCATCTTTGCCTGGCTGGCCTCCTCATTTATTTCTCATCTCTGTGGCAATGTCCATTCTTATCATTGTGGCCTTCCCTGACCATGTTATACAATTCCTCAATACTTCCTATCAACCTTAGTGAGCTCCATGGCATACACATCTGAGAAATTCTGAAATCACTTCTTTGTTGTATAATAGTGTAACATTAGGGACTTTGTCATTTGTGTTCATTGCTCTTTCTCACGCGACAGTGTTTGACACATAAAATGTGCTCATTAAATAAAGGAGCAAATAGATACATAGATGAACAGGTAGATGGATGGGTGGATGGATGGTGGATGGATGGATGGATGGATGGATGGATGGGTGAAAGAGTGACTCTTATTAAACTTATCCCTTAATGAGACCATTAGAGAGATGGAATGTTTCCACTGAGAGATGAGAAAAAGGATGTCCTAAACAGATTAGAAACTTGTCTAAATTTATCCTATCTGTTAAAACTCTTTACTTAGTCTATAAAGAGGAAACCAAATAAAAATGGCTTATGTAATAGAGGAAATTTATTGACTCAGGTCACTGGATAGTCCAGAAGTAGAACAGCCTCAGAATAGCTTGTTTTAGAAGCTGAAGAATGTATCTGGAACTGGATCTGTTTCTTTCTTTCTTTGCTTTTTTCTTTTCTCCTCCCCTCCCCTTCCCTCCCCTTCCCTCCCCTCCCCTCCCCTTCCCTCCCCTCCCCTCCCTTCCCTTCCCTTCCTCTTTCTTTCTTTTCTTTCTTTCTCTCTTTCTCTTTCTCCTTCTTTTTCCTTTCTTCTTTCTTTCCTTCTTTCTTTCTTTCTTTCTTTCTTTCTTTCTTTCTTTCTTCTTTTTCAGTGTTCAAACATTTTATTAAATCGGATAGCATTGTTATTTCCACATTGTTGCACATACTGACTTGTATTCAATTATAAGAGTATAGCACATGTTTACAAAGGTATGGCTGAGCAGTCAGTTGGTAAGTTTAAAATTTCAAGAGCGCTCCAAGAGCAAACACAGTAAAGACCATGCAAGTTCCAGAGTCGTGAATTATGACAGAGCTCACTCATTTTATTCCTTGCCTGCAGTTGTTCCAAATCTCATAGCCTCAACTCTCACTGTCCAGACACAGAGAAAACATCTGTTTCCAAAATCCCATTGAAAGTCCTAAGCTTTGCCTTACTTGGGGCCACTTCTGAGTGACTCACAGAAGTCATTAGGTTGCTATGTGGCAATTAGTTTAGGCCTGCGATTTCTTAACCAATCTCTGTGTCAAGAAAGATAGTACCACTCTGATTGGCTTAGACAAATTAGGGTCTACTTTTTGAGGAGGGGATCTTTGGGGAGGAAGCCACAATGTCCTTTATAGGCTTGGAAAAAAATCTGGGTGTGTATTATTGCAAAGCCATTTAAGACTGTGTGTTTCTTTATCAAGAATGCTTTCCATAACCCAAAGATGTCACATATACAAAATTTGAGCAGAAGATTTGCTTCTAAAATAGTTTCATATCTTTTGTAATTCTTAATTATGGTATACATAAATAGACTTACTTCTTCCCCATTGGATGCTATGAAACATACCCATGACTATTTAAAAATAATAATTCACTATTAAATTTAGATAACAAATGTTAATATTGTAAGACAATAGCTTCCCTTAAATTCTAGTTCTCTCTGCTTACTTGATGTGACTATCAGTAGATAAAGGGTCATGATTTGGATCTGGGGAAGGACTTGCTGCTTCTGGTTTGTATAAAGGAATTAAGTAGGGAATGTGTAGGAAATCTGGCTGGGCTCAGCAATGCCAGCTTTAATGGAATCCAAACAGGTTTTCTTAAAAATAAATGGTCATGAGAAAGCTGAACGTCAACCTCCTTTCCTGTTGATAAATGACAATGTATACCAGATTGTATCAACAGTTCCGTGGAGCAGGACACCCCTCTGCTTTTGAGTCTCTGAAAAAAAATTATGCTGCTTTCCAGCAACTGATCTCCTTTTTCTCCATACTACCGCCTTTCTTTGTCATTTCTCTCACACTTTTGTTATCTTCTTTAATTGCAGTATATTCTTTCGCTTGGCAAACACACATACAGCAAAGTCAATCCAAAGTGCTTCTGATTTGAGCAAGTTCCTTGCTCTAGGCTCACCTGAAAATGACCATCTGTGTTCAGGTCATAGAACTTATAAATATACATTTAATTTTTTTTCTGTTTTCCACTCACTTTTTATAAAATAAAGGAAAACAAATTTCACAGTGTTGTCTAAAGACTGTTCAGCAGTTCTGTTCATGATACTGCCTATCTGCACCACTGATGTTGGATAGCACAATTTTTTTTTGTTTTTCAATGAATTAAAATACAACCTAGTATGCAAAAGATGCTAAAATAGGAGAAACAAGGCATATAACATGTGAAACCTGAGAACCCCTTGCGCTTGCCATTCCACACCTTTTCAGAAGACTGAAAACTCTACATTATTGACCATGTTGGTGTCATCAGCACACCTGACAATGATCTTCTTATCCTTATGGAACTGGACATCCTAGCCTTTCTATCTGCTCTTGGCATAATCTCTTCTCTTAGAGGGTACTGTTTATTACTTTTTGAAATTGAAGTGAATACAAATTATTTTTGCTTGGAGAATATCTTTGAGAACTTCATGACACCCTTTGAAAATTTGAAAATGGTTGGGTTTTTGGTTTGTTCCAGAGGCCATATTTGGTAAACACCAACTTCTGAGGCAAACAACATTTCTGCACAGCTGGCCCCAGAGGCGGTCCTTGTGCCAAATCCACCCATGCAATGGTTGATGCCAAAGAGTTCAGAAACACAAATCCAATTTAATTCTGGCTCAAAAAAGCAATAAGTGTTTAAATTGGATTTCTGTGGAGTTTGTTCTTATTAAGCACAGCACGCAAACTGCTTTATAGGCATTTATTATTTAGTTATTTCTAACAAAGGATCTTATAGATCCAGCATCTATAATTAATCGGGAATGAGAGTAGATGCTAGCCAACATATGCTCTGTGACCCAGAACTTGCACTAGGAAAGCTATCAGGTTTGTACCAAACACCAGGGTCGTTGGCAAAAGTTTGCTTCATTAAATTCGGCTTTGTGGGTTTTATGCTTTTAATCCAGGCTCTCAGCTCTGTCTGTCAGCCTTACCTGTATCATATTAAACTTAACAGGGTCAATATGATGCAAAGAGGTGGCACCTGGAAAGTGGTGTATCAGTGACTCCGCTTTCAATCCAATCATCCTCCCATTATGTCTTGTCATCTTTCAACTCCAGTGGTCCTGAGGCTTCTTCCAGGCACCTCCACTCGAGATTATTCCTGGATATGTGCTCACCCCCATGTGGCCCATGCTCCATAATGATGGGTCCCATCTCGATCTCTATAAATTTCCTTTTCTGTTGAAGCACTAATGAAAAGATAATTTCATAAATGGTTATGGGAATGGCTTACTTGGTTCTCGGTTGCTTTTTATCTTTTCCTAATTACTTTGCATTTTAGTAAGAGCCTTCCAGAAACAGAGCCTAAATAAACCAGGGTTGTAATGGTGGAGATGGCAGCCCCATGAAGCTAATGAGATAGTTGGAGTCAGACTTATTGCGTGGCCATGGGAGGTCTGGCTCTGCTTACCTACATTTTATACTTGGCCCAGAACCTTGCTCACAGCATTTGATAAGCAACCCATTGTTCTGATTCCTAGACACTGATGTCAGAAACAAGCACTCACCTGCTAGTGTTGATCACATACTCCATGATTATTTATCAAAAAAGGCCTTTTCTTTATGAGACTGTTGTTCAGTAGGCCCTTTATAGTCACAAAGGATAATTCTCATAAGCTTTAATAAATTCCAAATATGAGTTTAGAAATGTTAGTGCTAGTTCTGGCTTTTCTTGGTTTCTATTTCCAATGAGAGTCATGTGCTTTCAATGCATATATTCACATTACAAGTTAATTCTTTTCATCTTTCACACTAAGCTTTTGTATTTTGTTTAGTGTATTTTTTTTATTTCACAGGAGAACAGAAAAGTTTACTTTGCCACAGTCAGTAATATAGAAAAGATCGAAAAGAGAATAAAGAAAGTGTTCTAAGAAGTGGCTGCTGTGTGGATGACTAGGTTCACTAACTAGCTGGGTGACTTATTTCTATGTCAGCCTTGCAGTGGACACTATTAACATTTGGGCATCTGCAAAATTATACCTTACTACATCATGGATTTTCAGATTAATAATCAAGATGTAAACTCATAAGTGCTAAAAGTGTGAATGCCACAAGTCTATTTTATTGACTTTGACTTTTGTGGTTTCCTAGCTCTTTTTTTTTTTACATAGTTGCCTTGAGTAATTCATCTACTCCCTTTCTGCCCTAGTTTTCTCATTCATAAAATAAGTATAACAGTACATACAAATGCTGTCTTCCACAGGGTTGGTTGTTATGGGAATTAAATATGTTAATATGAGTAAAATGCATAGAAAAATGCACAGAAGTCTTACTGTTGTAACACTAAAGCTACAACTAATATTACTGCTATAATTATTGCATTATTGTTAATTGGCCTGATAATTGCATTATCTCATTTTGTATAATGTTGGGCGAGGAATTCATTCAAGTAGGAAAGATCTAAAAGATAATACATTAGAAAAGACAAAAGTAAAACAAGTACAAATTTCTAATTTCTCCTCTAGGCCCTACACACTCTTCAAATCCTAAACTTTTGGACTTCTATCTCTTACACCTAAAGTGAACCTTCTAGAGGTAATTGCCATCTGCATAGTTAGACATGTCCAAAACAGATTAGCACTCTCTTTATTTGTGCACATAAATTGCTATGTCTTTTATTCAATAAATAATTTTTGGTCACTTATTCATGACATCGTGGATGATACAAAGATGAGAAGCACATGATTTCTATTATCAGAGAGAAAGAAGAAAAATATATGGACATGTGACTAAAGTCAAACGTGCCATGTCAACAAGTATGGGCAGAATCAGCTGTCGTGCAGTAGATGAATATTTTGGCTATATGCAAGATCAGTGGAGCATCAATCACTCAGTCTGAATGTGCAGCAATTAGATTCAGTTAGGTTAATCTGTTACTGGATTCCACCATTCCAACATCTGGTTGGCTCAGTCATAAAAGTGTTTATTATCTCCGTAAGTCAGTCTAAACTCATAGTAGGCTGCCACTTGGAGCTTCTGCAGTGATAGGACACCAGCATTCTTTCCCTCAGTGGCCTATGACTGCTGTTGGTCAGGTGTCTACAGTGACTTCAAGATGATTCCACATCCTTGAATCATTTCTCAACACTTACCAGTGCACTGGGTTGTTGGGATATAAACACAGGAACCCACAAACAAGACATCCTCTTTCTGGGACTGACTATAAATCCCTATCCCGTATTCATACTGGAAAACTGGTAAGACCTTGTAACCCTCAGCATTCTTTTGCTATCTGAGAATTAGGGGCTGGAATTTAGGCCAGCTCTTTTCTAGGCTTTCTTGATTTTTCCACTCCAATGGAAGAAAAGCAGAGGAGGAAGCAAGCAGGAAGACATGGAAAAGAGGACAAGATCTATGTCCCTCCGACTAGGGCAGAGTTTGGATAAGCATCCCATTCCAGCCCTATTCTCTGGTTACCTTGCGCTTTTCATGGTTGACAGGATGGGAACCCTCCCAAACAGCAGGCTGCGCCGGCCCTAACTTATGTGACCGGTTGTAAAGGAGAAAAGGCTAAATCAATAGGGTTATAAAAGCACATACCATGCAGAAGTTCAGAGAAAGCAACAAGGAAGAACCTGAAAAGTCAAGAGCATCACCATTATCAGAGAAGTTTCACTTCTAACCCCATTTACTTAGCATACTGAGCTCCACCTTTACCATAGTGACCTCCTGGTAAGTGGGTGCCAGGAGCTCCCCCTAGAGTTTAAAATGTGCCATTGTCAATACCTCTTAACAGCCTGGGGGAAAATGCTTGTCTGGCAGGCATAAGGCCCAGAGGAGATGGGAGTTCAGAAGTCTACGTATTAGGTTGGTGCAAAAGTAATTGCGGCTTTTGCCATTCATTTTGCACCAAGCTAATACACAATTACAAGCCAAAGTAGATATCTCTCCCTCTTCCCTAAGCACCCCTCCACTTGAAGTGATTTTGCCCACACCACATTTGAACAAACTCAAACTGCCCCCTTCAAAATGATGGGATGGGGGAGTGGGGAAATGGTTAAGTCTGTCAGCTAAGCTGTCCCAGAGTTCTCAGAGTCAGAATGGAGACGATTGCTTTGGTATCTGTTTGATGGCACACAAGGAAGAAAAGGCAGCTACACATCTTTCTCTTGCCCTTTGGCAGCAGATCACAAATGTCACAGCTTGGGAGGGTGCCAATTAGTGCCCCTTGTATCCTAAATAACCTGCCACAGAAATAAAATACCAAGCAGTCCTTGCTTTGTCCTTGTGAGTTGGGGCCCATGCTTTCCCCCATATAGAGTATCTAATTTTGAAAATGTCACTGTAGATATCGGCACACAGTGATTCTACAGCTGGAGAGATGAAGGTGGAGGCCGCATATGATTTGAGTCACCATGCTTCTCCACGGACTGCACTAAGTCTCGTCTATAGGACTCAAGTTAGGTAGCAGTTCATAGAAATGGCATGAGGTCAGATAAAGTAAACGATTTCAATCACACTTGAAAAATACAATGTGTGTGTGTGTATGTGTGTGCGTGTGTGTGTTGTGTGTATGTATGTGTGTGTGTGTAAAACACATTCTCAAAAAGGGGGTGATAGTATAATACTTAGATGTGAAAAAGGACAACTCTGATAATTGTAGAAAATTACCTTGGTATGTGCATATATACCTTTTGAAAATAGAGATGTTTAGGCATTTTATATTCATTTTTTAGAGTTCCACTTTTTTTTTTTTTTTTTTAACATTCTCTTCTCTTTCTCTGTTGATTTACCGATAGAATATGTGTGTGTCAGGACACTTGGCAAGATAGAGACAGCTGGAAGTAATAGAGCCAAGCTCTGTTTGAAAAGCTGAATTTTCACAAGTGGTTTGGGGTTTAGGTGTGGGGAGCAGAAATCCTGGGCTTCGGAATAACTTTTGAAAAGTTGCTCCCTTGACGTAAAGATTTGAAAGAAGTAATTCACAGCCTGCCTTGCACTTTTTAAAAGTTGTGTAACATTACGCCACCTACCACAAAAGAAAAAATGTATATAGGAAAAGACACGTCAACATTATTTCGAATGATGTATTTTTAATGTCATAACTTTCTATTATTATTTAATCTGTCAAGGAAAACATATACTGGAAACATTTGAGAATCCTCCCTCCCTGCCACCTTTGCAACACACACATGTCCACACGCACTTTTCTTTGCCAAAAGTAAGAAGCTGGGGTCTGGAAGGCTTGCTCCTGAATATGGTGTATATCTTATGTAAATAAAACAGAGCATGCAGCTCAAAAAGAGGAAAGTAGTTTGTTTTTCCATCTTTGATTTCTGCTGTTGTGGCTCCTCTTTGTTACGAATTAAGTCTTTACCATCATTTAGTGAAATGTTATCCTCGTAATGGTAACCTGGATTGTTACCAAGTTACTTTTACAGACACCATCTCCATTTCTCCAGTGATCTAGTAACTCCGTGGTGGATTTAACTCCCCTATTGTTTTTGGCTTATACACATGAGTCTGTCTAATGCAAGCTGTGTTTTTCTGGGGGCCGAATAAAAAGTCTTCATGAGTGATAGTGCTGGGGTTGCAGTATTGAAACATACTATTGGGATCCGTTTTCTGATTTTGACTCAGTAGCCTGTCAGAGGCAGAATGCTTCTCCTTTTGATAACAGGGCTAACTAGTTTCTGAAGGAATGCATAAAAGAGTCAGGCTGTATGAATTCCAGAGTCTTAAATTCCTTTAGCTATGCCCTGCAATCTTTAAGCAGGAAATATAAACATGTACCAGCTATAAAATGTGTGAGAACAATAATAGGAATGGCTATCTTTCTTGCATCTCTCAAGTGTGACATACAGAGGAGAGCTGTATCTTATTACTAACCTTGTCCATCAAGCTAATATTTGTATATTGCTTTTCTAGGGCCTAATGGCTGAGCCCTATCTCTGAATATTGGATAAAGGAGCAATTAGAATCGTTTGTGCCAAACCCCAGAGTTGGAACTGCAGGCCCTTTTAATATGAGTCCAATAAGGAAAGGTTTAGTGTAAATGAAGGTCAGCTGTCTTGAGGTCCCTGACCAAAGCTCTGTGTGAAAGCTAAACAGAGCCGGAGGGAGTTTTTTTCACCTGGCTATAGGCTAAATGCAACACAGCCCTATAGCATGCAGATGCTCCCAAATAACTAACTTATTTTCACAAGGAATTATAAAGCATAGGAAAATTAATAAATTAAACATAGCTCCAGTCCTGCCCCCAAGAATAGATTGCACTACTAAGTTTTGGCAAAAGTAAGAAGAGACCATAAAAGTATTAGAAAAAAAAAGAAGGAATAATTTATTAAAAGTTTCTATTTTTTAAGTAAGTATATGATAAAAATAAAGATGTTTCCAATTTGATTTCTAAATCTTTGACTCTTCAATTGCTTGGTTTCCATGCTTGGCATGGAAAGAAGAAAGGAAAGGAGAAAGAAGGAAGGAAAGAAGAATTGCAGGCAAGTAAGAATGAAAAAAGGTAAGGACAGGAAGAAGGAAGAAAGAAGGCAGAAGGAATAAATGAATGAATATGCCTGAATGGCCACATGGAAAATTTAAAAATTATCCAATGCTGAGTAAAAATCAATGACAGCCAGTAAACAAGCACATAAGCACACTCCCCTAATAATCCGTCAAATAGGATGTTTTTAAATCACAGCAATATTTGTTATTTCTTCTGATGCTTTCTATTTGTTCCAAGCCTTAGAGCATAAGGCTAGCTACTAAAGAGCAGAAAGAGAAATCGAATTCGGCTACCTGTTGTTGCTGGTATGGGGAGGGAGATGAATAAAAGCAGTTCCAAGCTCCAGTGGCTGGTTTTCATGAAAATGTATTTTCTTAAATCAATACCATTTCAGACTGGTTAGTTTTTGGACATCCTTTACCAAAGATAGATAGATAAATAAATAAATGAGAGGTCATTTTATATTTCCTTTATGAAATAAATATGCTTAAACTCTAATGGTAAAAATGTATGTGAAGATCAAAATTTATATTGTGCTTAATGATTAAATGGGCTACAGAAAAATATTTTTACCTAGTAGACAGCATCTTAGTCTCAAACTCAGGCTCTATTTAACAGTCTTAATAATTAGCTTCAGGCTGGGCGTGGTGGCTCACGCCTGTAATCCCAGCACTTTGGGAGGCCAAGGCAGGCAGATCAGCTGAGGTCAGGAGTTTGAGACCAGCCTGGCCAACATGGTGAAACCCCATGTCTACTAAAAATACAAAATTAGCTGTGCGTGGTGGCACATGCCTGTAATACCCCGCTACTTGTGAGGCTGAGGCAGGAGAATCGCTTGAACCCAGGAGGCAGATGTTACCGTGAGCCGAGACTGAGCCATTGCACTCCAGCCTGGGCAACAAGAGCTAAACTCCATTTCAAAAAATAATAATAATAATTAGTTTTGTACCCTCAGATAGTCAAGAGCAATCAGATTTTTCTTAACCTTTATTTTCTCCTTTGTCAAAGGGAGCTAATAGCAGAGCTTGTTGCCTTGAGATTAATAATTAAATAATAATTCATTAATAATTAAAAACAGTAAAATAATACTTGAAAACGCTTTTTTAAAAAATATAGACAAAACAAAAGCTTTTTTCTTTTCTCTCTCTCTCTTTTTTTTTTTTTTTAACTTGAATATCAAGCTCGCTATGCAATTTGACTTATGGAGTGCTGCGGGAAACCTGTTGGATATTTTCATGTATGTCCTTAAACACATGACTGCTTTCCTTGTATGTGCTTGATTCTTGTCAGTCCTTCTCCTCGTTATTGAAAGCATAGATTGCTGGCTGTGAGTTGGAATCATCCACTGGATAACAAAGGCAGTATCTGTTTTCTGGGCCTCATTGTTTGCAGGTCTGTGTGTGGTCCAGCCTAGAGGTTTCTCTTCAGAGATCTATGATTGGCGGTAAGAGAGAAGTGAGGTTGGTCAGGAGGGTCAAAACAATGAGGAATTGCATGGATGACCCATAGACAGACCAGTGGTCATCGTGTCAGAATCTCCCTGCAGCAGCTTCCTCCATCACCGACTGAGCAGGGCTACCCAACCCACTAGCCCCCTACGGGCTTATTTACATGATCTGATTTCCAAAGAAACTTTCTTTTCCAGATGTTGTGTGCTTTGCAAGGCTCAGCTCTGTGGGAGCTCTGCTTGACAAACTCTAATATAGTCTACATGCTCACAAGGATGGTTTTTGCTAAAGAGACCCCAGTGATATGTTGGTGCAATTCAGGATTTCTCAGGGTAGCACATCACCAAAGTGCCTGCAACAATACTGTCAAGATCTTACTGATTCTTCTAGCCAGAAGAGACTAAAACAGGTGATCCAAGACTCACTCAAGCATGCTTCGTTTCTTAAGACATATAGTAACATAGTTGCTTTTAATTTTTAAATTTTAAGGATTAAATCCAAATTTGATCTTAGGTAAATATGTAAAATCTAGTCTAATAGGTTTTGGGAGGATGGAATATAGTGAGATATAATGTTCATTGGATACCAATACCATATTTATTTCCCACTGTATATGATGTCAGAAACCGTTTTAAAATGCAGCTGGTCTAAGTGGAATGTTCAGGTCTTGGTTTGTAGGTATATGATACCTTGGTTATTTCCATTTATTTTTAAGATCTTATTGTCTGTGTGCATGCCTGCCTTCTGCAGACACAAATCAAAAGCTTGCAAGATAGCACAGCTTTTTTTTTTTTTTTTTTTTTTTTTTTTTGTCTCTTGATAGAATTAGGACAAAGATCTGTACATGGAATAGACCTGAGGCTGGGCAAGGTCTTCCTCCGCCTATCTCACCATCTTTGTCTTTGCTCTGTGCCCTACCCAAACCCACCTTCTTTTAGTTCTTCAAATACTCCATACCTGCATCAACCAGAAGTTTTTTGTTGCTTCCCATGTCGTCTTGACCACCTAGAATGCTTGTCACCTGGTTGCCTCCTGCTTCTCCTGCAGTTATTATCTGGTAATGTCTGGAGATATTTTTGTTTTTCACATTAGGGGGTAAGACACTACTCAAATCTTGTGGGTAGAGGCCAGGTGTCTTAGTCCATTTTGTGTTGCTACAAAGAATACCTGAGGCTGGGTAATTTATAAAGAAAAGAGGTTTGTATGGCTCACAGTTTGGCAGGCTCTACAAGAGGCAGGGCACCAGCAAATGCTCAGCCTCAGATGAGGGCTTTTGTGCTGAATCAAAATGTGATGGAGAAGGTTACAGGGGAAACAGACATATGAGGGAGGCCTTCCTTAACTTTCTGATGAGATAAAAGTCCTCTGTTATAGGCTCTTACTGCAACAGTTCCTGTCTGTCACTGCTGTCATTAGAATTGCAGTTTTACTTTGCTCGAGTAATATATTGATTACTGTCTACCACCCCCACCAGATTGAAAGTTTCATGAAGGTAGAGTCTGTATCTAGTTTGGGTCTTCATTGTATCCCCAGAACTTCATACAGTCACATAAAAGTGATCACTTGGTAAATATTTATTAAGTGAATGATGGAATGAGTGAATAATTGAAGAAATAAAGGCATAATGGGAGGAGAGAACAAAAAAGAAGTCAGGCAAGCTACCAAAGTGATGTGCTTATTGATTGACTAATTTTCAAACCAGTTCACATCCATCACAAGTTTGTTCATCTATTTACTTGGAAAGAATAGATGGAAACTGAAGCTTGAAAAAAAGTAATCATCGAGACTGTTTTCATTTGACATGTGTTAATTTCAGCAACCCCTTTTTCTTCAATAATTCCTCTGTTGAGAAAGTTTGGTGATGGTATCCATGCACATCATTTTTTTTTCACTGAAGCTCACTGACACCTGGAAAGCCACGTAGTTTTTCAGATTTATTTAGAAAATAGAAAGCATCTTTAAAAGTCCTTCAAAAGCACAACAGCAGGATTTTGGTGTCAGTAATCATATGCCATATTTCAGGCTTTTAATTTCCTCGGAATGGTATTTCTTATGATCTGAAAGCTTTTTTCCCTCCCCTGCATCAGATCTTATTTTAACATACTGATTGAGCCTCTTTATCTTACACTTCCTGCTGGGAAAATAGATGCTAAAATGTGTGTAATGTCACATTTACTTTAAGGCATCACCAGATAAAATTGCAGGACCCACAGGCATGAACTGTGGTGTGCATGTGTGGGATTTCTTTTCCTACAACTCCAGATCTCCATCAGCAGCTCAAGCCAAACATTCAGACCCTTCAACGTTATGTTTAATTGGATTTCATTCTTTTTCTTTTTATTAAAAGCCTTTAGTTTGTAAATTTTTTTCACTTTGTACTGAAGCTTTTAGAAAAGAGCAACCTCTTTTTTCAAAACAAAGTTTTGATCTAATCATTTGCATCTGTTTTGTACTAATTTTCTTTGCAGATGTTTCGGAGTTTGAGCTATGCAGTTAATAGAATGACACCAGATTCCAACTGGTCTCTTACTATTTGTGAGACCTCACTGTTTTCAAGGGTTTAAACCAGTGATTCTTAACTAGGAGTGATTTTACCTTTCAGGGGACATCTAGTAATGTCTGGAGATATTTTTGTTTGTCACATTAGGGGGTAAGGCAACTACTCAAATCTTGTGGGTAGAGGCCAGGTGTCTTAGTCCAGTTTGTGTTGCTACAAAGAATACCTGAAGCTGGGTAATTTATAAAGAAAAGAGGTTTGTATGGCTCACAGCTTGGCAGGCTCTACAAGAGGCAGGGCACCAGCAAATGCTCAGCCTCTGATGAAGGCTTTTGTGCTGAATCAAAACATGATGGAGAAGGTTACAGGGGAAGCAGGCATATGAAAA
The DNA here is from genome assembly GCF_000001405.40 of Homo sapiens. Taxonomy (NCBI): domain Eukaryota; kingdom Metazoa; phylum Chordata; class Mammalia; order Primates; family Hominidae; genus Homo; species Homo sapiens. The sequence continues at coordinate 15,661,408 of NC_000020.11, forward strand.
GAAGGGAAAACCTGAAGGTGCCCTGACTTTCCAACAACCCACTCTCAAGGGAATGAATTCATTACCACCAAAACTCATCCAATCTCTCGAGAGTGAAAAGTCATTCACTACTGTAGAACACTGTCAAGCCATTCACGAGGGAACAGTCCTAAAAGCCCAAACACATCCCAGTAGGACCCACTTTTCTACACTGCGGTACTGGGGGTAAAATTTCAATATGAACTTTACTGGGAACAAACAAACCATATCAAAACTATAGCACCAGGGATGCTTCTAAGCATCCTACAATTTACAGGGCAGTACCCACATCAAAAAATTGTCTGCCCTGGAATGGCAATAGTGTCAAGGATGAAAAACTCTGGCTTAAACTCAACCTTAGGCTTCCACTCTGTAAAATTAAGGTGTAATCACGTGCATCATAGCAATGTTGTAAAGATGAGGTAAAATAATGCATCCCACATTCGTAGTGTAGTCAGTAACTCATGAGCCATTGTTATGAATATGGTTGCATTATTAAGCCCTTTACGATCTGGTCCTTAATCACCTTTCTAGATTTACCTTTTCCAATTTTCTCTTATATCCTCAGGGACCTCTTAAAATTTACCACTTGTTACCCATTCTTATCTGGCTAACTTCCCACTCTTTACCCACGCTGAAGTTGGATGTCTCCCTGAAACCAATAGACTAATCTGAAACTAACCCAAAGACTCATCTAATTTTCTGGTTTACCCCATTTCAGAGCCCAGTTCCCACTGCACTGAAATTGTCTGTTTATTATTTTTCAGAGTGTGATCACCACACCTTGTGTTAAAATTACCAATACTAAAATGCCCTTTCCTGGACTTTATTCAAGATCTACTGTATCAGTATCCCCGGGCACGGGGTCTGGAAATATGGGCATTTAGCTCCTGAATTCATTGGTAGCTATACTAAAGTCATCACTGTAGATCCTGAGTTTCAGGCTGGGATTAGGTCTTTTTTTTTCTTTGCATCCTTGGTGCTTAGCATTGTGACTGGCACATAGTAGGCACTTCATAAGTAATAGCACTATTTGAAAGGATAAATGAATAATAAACAAAAACTTTTATTCTACTCTTGTCTCTTATTTTGAAAAGATAAAGACCCATTGGTATTAGCATTCAGAGGGGAGAAAATGCTACTTCTTCTGCTCTGTTCTTATATATTCTTATATACAAGCATGCTAAGGACAAGATATGCCTTTGTTTAGCAAAGTTTGAAAGTGAGAATCATTAGACTGATCAAAGACCAAAGTCATGTTTTGTTTGGCTTGTACAAGCTCAGAGAGGGTTTTTTTTTTTTCTGTCTGTTGTGGTTGTTTTTTCAAGCTTTTAATTGTTTTAAGTTTTGAATTAGTGGCCAATATTTTCATATAAAAATATGAAAATATTGCAGTTGGTATGTTGATGAGTGGGGCCTTATGGGGAAGAAAAAGGCACATTGGTATTAGCATTCAGAGTGGGAAAATGCTACTTGTTCTCTTTTGTTCTTGTAATTCTTTTATACAAGTGACTTCTGTCGCTTAAATAAGTCCTCGAATGTTTACATGATCAAAAATAACTTATTTTTGCCTATTAATGTATGGTTTATAAATACAGATGCTTAAAGGGGTTATAGAAAGAAAGGTAAAGGAATAGAAGTCAGCTGGCTGTAAGACAAACCAGCCAAACTGGTGAGCTCATGTTCTCTTATAGAAAGGATGCTGCTTCTCTGATCAGTAAATGGTTGCTGGTTGAATGGGGAAATGGATGAATGAGATCTCAGCAATGCCAGATGTTTCTGTTTCTCAAGAGAAGTCAGAATTTGATTTTTTTTTTTTTTTTTTTTTGAGACAGAGTCTTGCTCTGTCACCCGCGCTGTACTGCAGTGGTGTGATCTCAGCTCACTGTGACCTCCGACTCTGGGGTCAAGCGATTCTTGTGCCTCAGCCTCCTGAGTAGCTGGGACTACAGGCATGCACCACCATGCTTGGCTAATTTTTTGTATTTTTAGTAGAGAAAGGGTTTCACCATGTTGCCTAGGCTGGTCTTGAACTCCTGATTTAAAGTGATCTGCCCACCTCGGCCTCCCAAAGTACTGGGAATATAGGCATGAGCCATCGTGCCTCGCCTGAATTTGAATTTTTTATGTGAAAATATTGGCCACTATTTCAAAACTTAAAACAATTAAAAACTTGGAAAAAAACCACAACAGACAGAAAAAAAAAACCGTGTCTGGGCTTGTACTAGCCAAACAAAATATGACTGTGGTCTTTTATCAGTCTAATGATGCCTACTTTCAAAATTGCTAAACAAAGGCATATCTTATCCATAGCATGCTTGTAAATGAGAATATATAGGAACAGAACAGAACGAGTAGCATTTTCTCCCCTCTGAATGCTAATACCAATGGGCCTTTTTCTTCCCCACATAAGGCCCCACTCATCAACATACCAACTGCAAAAACAGAAGTCGGGCAAAAGCAGTGCGTGTTGCTTCTATGTGAGCTGAAGTTTAATCACAGTGGTGTGTATAATGATAGCTCCACAGGTGTCCTTGTCTCTGGAAATCTTGGCTGTGACCCTGTAAGATGTAACTCACAGTCTGCAATGAGAAACGGGGAATAAATCAGTTGGTCAGTCTCTCTGTATGATAAATCATGAGTGTGATGCTTTGGCAATTTAGATCAGCATTAAACTCTGGGACTAAATTAAAGAAATCACCTTCAGCTTGAGTCTGCACCTAGATTAAGTAGTTGTAACTTTCTAATAAATGTGGCAAGAGTTCTGTGAAGATTCAGACAAGTCTCACTTTGTTAAGAAAATAGGGGGGATGGAAAGCAAAGGAGGAACTGAAATATTTGGGAAGAATTGAACCACCAAGGGTTTAGATTAAATGATCAAAGACAGAAGAGCAAGTGTGATATCCTGAGTGAGCAGAGTACATATATTTTCTTTAATGGGATGTAGTTTAAGCAGCATAAAATATTTATTTCTTGTAGTAGGTAATTGAGATCCCTAAATTGGGGCAATTACTTTGAATTTAGTCAGTGTATCAATCAGCTATTTTTGCGTAACACCCCCCTAATCATCAGAGGCTTAAAGCTCCAATCATTTATTTTGACTTACATGTCTGGGGCTGGCTGGGGTTGGCTGACCTAGTCTGGCCTTGCCTCAATAGCTCCACCTCAAAACGTGTGTCCATCTGGGTTTGGCTCCTCACTGCGAGTTGTGCTCAGGTCTGATCCTCATATGCTTGGTCTGGAACCTCAGGCTGAGGAGCAACAGCTGGCCAGAAGTTGCTCTTTTTTCATGGTGTTGACAGAAGTACAAGAGACACGCACAGTGGCACAAGTGCAGACCCAGCCTCTGCTTGGATCATGTCAGCTATCATCCCAGTGGGTTCAGCTAACCTCAGGGTCAAACCCAAAGTCAGGGTGTGGGGAGGTATACTCCACCTTCAGTGGGAGGAACCACAAAGCCACAAGGTAAAGATACAGAATACATGAAAGTGGTGAATAATTGCTGGGCAGTAATTCAACTTATTGCACTGTTATGATAGGGCATCCGTGGATGATTGTATGGGTTCTGTGGAGATGGCATTATCTAGTTGGATTGCATAATGATAAAAGGTAATTAGGCAGTGCTAGGCAGATGCCAAAGGTTCACACAGAGACTTTCTCCTTGATATAATTTGAAGTCTTGATTGAGAAGTGAAAAGGGAGATGGCTAGGTTTGCTGGCCTAGTGCTGTCTGTTTTGCTTCTAAATGATTGTTGAACATTTGAATTAATGTTAATTTGGTCAAGCTTCATCAAATGTCTGTATGCCAGTTGTGAGTCTTCTTCTAAAGGAATTATTGTGCCCCCTACTTTCATTTGTTTTAAAAGCCTCATCACTAAACTTATGGTCGGCAGTATATTGTAGTCGGTACCTTGGTTGACGTGCGTGGATTCCTATCTTCAACAAATAATATGGTAATAAGAGGATATAACTCACCCCTTACATGTAAACTACCTATATCCACACAAAATTGTCTTTCATTCTCTGAGAAACCACAGGACTGGCCATGTCAATCTGAGGAGCATCCTAGGGAATTTGCAAGAGGACCTGGAGAAGCAGGGCTGCAATGTGAGGGTCACAATAGAAACTAATCAATTGAGTTTCACTCCATCTGCAGAGGATGGTCAGCAAGGAGTCAGAATTTGTCTGTGCTTCTTCAACCCCATCCTAAATCAAGCAGAACATATATTTCAGTCTCCAGAGAGGAGAAAAGAGGCCATGGGAAGGAAGATGGTGCATCAAGCCATACTTGAAGCTTGAAGTGTCCCATTCCCTTATCCTGCTTTCATGTGCATGAAGCAACCTTGGTGTTCTTGTTTATACATATGAGACTTATTCTCTAAGCATCCCCACTTCTGGGTGCCCCAAGAAACTGACAATCCACAGTCCAGCCTGTGGTGACCCTCCTAAAATCATGCCGCCTGGTGAAGCTCTGCCTGTTTTATGATCTGACGTCCCAGATCTTCATCTTTATTTTGTTTCTCTTGGAGATATGCTTGATATTTCATGCTGTAGAGAAAATAGTAAAAAAAAAAAGTGTTAGTTAAATTAAAAGAGTATAAAGATAAATGGAAAATTAAATGAGTAGCCTTGTAATTAACAAGGTAGTTAAATTATGTTTTAAATGAATTCTTATCTGCTGCCATCTGATTTCTTAAGACCTTCATAAAATTGGTCCATAGCAATAACATTACTTGACTGGAAGTTTCAGAACACAGAGTGGCATATATCCCAAAAACGCAAATAATGTGAAACTGAGTGTTAGACATCTCTTATTTAAAGAAAAACATCTCCCAACCCTCCGGCAACTCTAGAGAGGAGGAGATATCTAAATGACTAATCAATCAATTAAGTTATCTCTTCCATCTTCTATTCAATGTGATCCAATCTTCCCCCTTTAGCTCAGCTTTACCCTTCAGCAGCCTGCCCTAGGGTCTTTTTTTTGCACACATGATTATTGTCAGGATACTTTTCTAAACAAAGACTCATTTTCTCCCTGTGGAGGAATTCTGATGCCAAATGTTAAGAAAATTGTTTGACCCTAATAAAAATTTATGTATTTTTTTTCTAACCCTGTTCATTATTGATTTCAGTTTATTCTGAACACTGAATTTTTTAATGTATCAAAAGTGTGTTGTTACCTAGGTCAGCCTGTGTGGTCACTCAGTCAATACATGAGTTTTAATTCAATTCAATAAATATTTTCCATGTGCAAGGCACTGAGATCAAGCACTGGGCATATTAACTGTAAATTAGATTTAGTGCTTGCCCTCAAGAAGATTACAGTCTAGTGGAGGACCAGCACCCCTGCACAACCACAGAGTGCCACGAGCCATGTCAGAAGAACCCCCTGCATTGGTAAAGAAGCACGCCCACCTTTACAGTTGAGTATTTCTCATGGGGGAAGGGATATTTTCCCCAATTTATTATAAAAAATTTCAAACATTAAGAAAAATTGAAGAAATAGTGCAGTGAACAGATATGTTCCCCACCTGGATTCAATAATTGAAATTTGCTGTATTTTTGTTTTCTTTTTCTATCTATCTATCAATTTACTGATCTATCAATCTATCTATCATCTATCTGTCTGATATAGTTTGGATATTTGTCCCCACCCAAATCTCATGTTGGATTGTAATCCCCAAAGCTGGAGGTGGGGCCTGGTGGGAGGTGTTTTGGCCATCAGGGTGGATCCCTCATGGCCTGGTGCTGTTTTAATGATAGTGAGTTCTTGTGAGATCTGGTCATTTAAAAGTGTGTGGCACTTCTTCCCCACTTTCTCTCTTGCTTGCTCCTGCTTTCTCCATATGATGTGCACGCTCCCGCTTCACCTTCCGCTGTGAGTAAAATCTCCCTGAGGCCTCCCCAGAGGCCAAGTGATGTCGCTGCTAGGCTTCCTATACAGCCTGCAGAACCACGAGCCAATTAAACCCCTTCTCTTTAGAAAGTACCCAGTCTCAGGTATTTCTTTATTTCAATGCAAGAATGACCTAATACACTATCTATGTATCTATGTATCTATGTATCTATCTATGTATCTATCTATCTATCTATCTATCTATGAAAGCAAATTGGAGAAATTATGACAATTCATCCCAAATGCTTCAACTTGCATCTCCAAAGAATATAGACATTCTGCTGCACAACCATAGTATCATTATTATACCCCCAAAATGGACAAAAATTACATATCATCTAATACCCAGCCATATTTGAATTCCCTCAATTAATCCTCCCACCTGTTACGGCTCTTTACTGTTGTTACTGTTGTTGAAACCAATCATAGATTAAGCACTAAATTTGTTTTTATGTCCCTTCAGTTTCTTTCAATATAGAACAGTGTCCTGCTTTGGTAAAGTACTATATTTTGAATTTTTCTGATTATTTTCTTAAAGAGCTGTATAACATTTTTCTTTAAGTCTTCTATTTCTTGTAAACTACAAGTTCCATCTTGAGGTGTGATTAGATTCAGGTTGAATATTTTTGGCTAGAAAAATTCATAAGTGAGGCAGGCACGGTGGCTCACACCGTGAGTGTGTAATCTCAGCAGTTTGGGAGGCTGAGGTGGGTAGGTCACCTGAGGTCAGGAGTTCAAGACCAGCCTGGCCAACTTGGTGAAATCCTCTCTCTACTGAAAGTACAAAAATTAGCTGGGCATGGTGGCAGGTGTCTGTAATCCCAGCTACTCGGGAGGCTGAGGCAGGAGAATCACTTGAACCCAGGAGGCCGAGGTTGCAGTCAGCCAAGATTGTGCCATTGCACTCCAGCATGGGCGACAGAGCGAGACTCTGTCTAAAAAAAATATAAAATAAAAAAATGCTGGGCACGGTGGCTCATACCTGTAATCAATCCCAGCATTTTGGGAGGCCAAGGCAGGCAGATCACCTGAGGTCGGGGGTTCAAGACCAGCCTGACCAACATGGAGAAACTCCATCTCTACTAAAAATACAAAAATTAGCCAGGCGTGATGGCACATGCCTGTAATCCCAGCTACTTGGGAGGCTGAGACAGGAGAATGGCTTGAACCTGGGAGGCGGAGCTTGCAGTGAGCCGAGGTCATGCCACTGCACTCCAGCCTGGGCGACAGAGTGAGACTCTGTCTGAAAAATAAAATAAAAAATAAAAATCATAGGTGATGCTGCGCATTTCATTCACATCAAGAGGTTCCCATTGTTATTTGTGGTGCCATGTTTGGTCACCTGGTTTTGATGTTTGTCGCAAAATTATCTCGATTATGAAGATACATTTTCTCCCTCGTTTTCAATTAGTAAGTGATCTGTGAGTTGACACTGGCGTCATTGCCTAGCTTGCTTACCCAAACCTGAAGCTTGTATTATCCATTGATGAGCCTTTTCTAAATCACTCCAGTAGGGTTAGCAAAATGGTGATTCTCTAATTCTATCATTCCTTCTACATAGATTAACTAGTAGGCTCCTGTAAATAACTTTCATTTTTTAATATGCTTACAGAAAGAAGGTGTATTTGAGTGGAGCATGACCTAGAAATAGCAAATATCTAGCTACACATAAACGTTAAAAACCCAAGAACAGGAAAGAAATTTAGAGAAACTAGAGCATTTAGAGCTAGAAGGGACCTAAAACAATATATACTCCAACCTTTTAACAAGTGAAAAAAGTGAAGTCCAACTATGTTGTTTATTTTTATCTCATAACTAACTAGCTTGATGTAACAGATCTTTGAATAAAAGGAAACACATTGTACACGGGTGCAATGAGGTCAAAGTACGAATATAATTACCACTGATTTGTTGACAACATTGTTTGCTGCATTATAATTTTATAGGATAATAGGAGATTGCTTATTCCAGCCTCAGTAAGCATTATTGCACACATGAAATGTGCAGGGTATAAGTTTTTATATTTTTCCTTCATTATGTGATTGCCAAGGCTTTATTTCTAATGCTAAGATATTTTCACTGGGTTTAAACTGAGCCGACTTATGTACCCTGGTTCTTTCCTACTCTTGAAACTGTCAGTAATGTCACAGTGTCTCATAGCTGGAAATGTAGTAACCACATCACTCCCCCCAACTCCTGCTCCCTGATTTTTCATTAGGATGCAGTTTATTAATCCAAGTAAAAATATGAAAGCCTCCTATGATTAGGTTTAAGCCTAATATATGATCCTCCTTCCTGGAAGGGCACTTTGAGCTGGTCATTAGGGAATGGAGAGAACGGGTATCATTAGGGAATTTGCCTGGCAAGAGCAAGGCCAAGACTGGAAGGAAAATTGGATTTTATTTGCCAAAGCCGAGGTAATGTCCTAAATAAAAATTTCCCCAACCAGGAAGACCTAAGAAAATTGTCAAGAGGTAGAGTTTAGAACCAGGGGCACAAAGGGCAGGTGGGAGAATAGGCTGGGGGAAGACTGGAGTGCTACCAACAACTAGCTTTATGTTTTCCTTTATAAACACGTATTGAGCACCTACTATGTGACAGGCATGGTGCTGTGTGTTTTGTGTGCATTACCTAATGTAATCCTCACAACAGCCTAGAAGTCAGTACTTTTATTACCCTCATTTTAGAGATGCAAAACTGAGGCAACTTACCTATGGTCACCCTGTTAATAAGTGTTGGGGTGTCCCTGACCCCTGCACTTTTAATCAGTAGGTAATATGTAGTACCTTTCTCTGGCTTGTAAATGTTTTCTTGCAGAGAAAATGGGAAGCAACTATCTAGATTGGAAAGGTTAAAACGAAGGAATCGGAAAGCAACAGTTAAATAGAGTTAAATGGCTACTTTTCCCTCTCAGAGTTTTGGAATACCTATGAGCTTTCAGCCATAAAGCCAAGAAGGTTCTGGCTGGCACGACATTGTCCCCGACTAATGCTAGGATGGTGTTGTCAAACAGAGGCAGAAACAGAGCCCTATCCTGTTTCTGCTCAGTTGCCCATTTCAGTCTCCGTCCTGATGCAACACGAACTTCTACAGACAGACTCAGGGTCTCCAGAAAGCAAAGCCTTTAGGAATTAAAGTCATCTTTGCTTTTAAATACTTGTTTCTCCCATGTTAAGGACACTTTTCTAGGCAAAAACCTCCTGATTGCCTGTTGCTGTGGCATATCTTCACAAATTCATTTTTCATAAATGTCCCAAATACATCTGAGACATTTTTTATAACTTGTGTAAGCTTCCAGAGACAAATGTTAAAGATGACAGTTTGGAAATGAAGACACATAAAACATGCCTTGGGAAATAGAAATCCTAGGGCAGCGACCTCAAATTCAGTCCTCTGTTCCTTTTTAGTCAATATATTGAATATCATATTCATATATATCATATCAACATCATATGTATCGAATATCATTGTATGCTGCAAGTCTAAAGAAAGAGAGACTAGAAGTGAAGAGGTCAAGGTTTCAGCCATCCATGGACCTGTGAAGGCTTGACTTTGAAATAGTCACATGATCACTTTGGCTATTAGTTTTATCACTTCTCTTATCTTGGTCTGAAGATCTGAGCTGTGTTTTATGATAAAGAAAAATGTATAAGCTAGTTTTTGCTGTATAACAAAACAACTTAATCACTTAAAACAGTAACAATTTAATGTAGCTCATGATCTGGTATGGGCTGGCTCAGCTGATCTCTGCCTGGGCTCTATCATGCAATGGTTGTCAGCCAGTCCCTTAGCTGGCTGCTGGGTAATCCAGGATAGCATCAGCTCTACATTATGGATTTGGCTGAGCACGTTGTTTCTCCTCTGTTTGGCCTCTTCTCTCCAGCAGTGCTCAGACTTATTCATGTGGTACCTCAGTTCCTAAAACAGCAAGATGGCAAGCCCCAATCCTCTTTGCAAGCTTTTACTTTCATCACGTTTGCTAATGAGCCATTGACTCAGGAAAGACATGGCCAGATTTAAGAGATGAGGGAATATATCCCACCTGTTGGTGGAAAGATCTCTGACACCACATGGCAAAGATAAGAATGTAAGGGGTGGGGGGATTATGGCCGTTTTTATCGTCTCCCATGGAAAGGAAATTCACTGGCTCTGAACAGTGCTAATCAAAATTGTTACTGAACATCATAAAGAACGTGAGGAGAGGCCTCTACTATGCATTATGTTCATAGAATCCTTAATGGAAAAAAGTTTGAAAATACTGACTACTTGGTGTCTAGAGCCCCCTCCAGCTTTAGTATCCTGTGACTAAGAAATATCACTTGTCCACCAAGTGACATCTAGAGACTCTTCATCAATAATATGAGATGGAATCATGGGAACATGTGTTTGAACACAACACCTTGTGGATCAGGTTCTCTGCTTCACAGCGGAATGCTTATGCTTAGAATTTTTGAGTGCTAACAAGTGAGGTTGAGTCTGTGAGCTGCTTGTCTCAAAACTAGATTCTGAAAATTTGCAGCCACTGCTACAGTCTTGGCTTGTAGTTTTACATTGAATTATTGGACTGAATTATTTCATTTTGTCCTGGCGTGCCTTATCAACTGAAAATATTGTCCCAGAGAGGGAGCACAACAATATTTTGTAAAGAAATCATTCCTGCAGAGATGTAAAGACTGGTTAGTAACCTGAGTCTCTGACCCACTGTAGCAAACAGACACACAGGATGCTGAGAAGGATCCAGGACTCACTAAGCTGCTTAACTCAAAAGGAAATAGTAAGGTTTACACTGGCGACATGAAGCTGAGTCTCCTTTGGGTCTGGAGTAGATTTTGGTCTGTGCTTATGAATCGTCTCTGCACAGATGAAATAATAGACATTTTAATGACTGTTCATATTTATAATTATATTAGCTTTGGATCCAGGTTAGAAATTCTTCATTCCTCCTGTCAAGAACTTGCATAACCCTGAATGGTGATTAGTAATGCTAGTTAAGCATGCTAGTTCATTTTCAAAATCTGTTCTATTTTACACACACACACACACACACACACACACACACACACACGTAGAGTCATTCATTCACTCATTCATTCATTTGATAGGAAGTTAAGTGGCATGTAGTAGACATCTGTTGTTTGTTTTTGTCACCCCAAATCTGTTTGCTTTTCTCCTGACAACACCATTCTGACTTTCTTTTGGGGAACATACCCTTGCTCCCATTCTCACTCCAGGTTCTTCAGATGGGGTGAGTTCATGGGTGGGCATGTGACTCAGCCTCGGCCAATTCACACGACATATTCTCCTGGCCATGGTGGTGCATCAGAGGTGGCAAACTCTCAAGCCAAAGCCAGTGACATGCGAAAGAACTTTCACTGAGACTGTTGAGACAGAGGCCGTCTGCCCTTTCCTGCTGATTATAACTTGGAAGAAGAAAGCCCTGGAGATCTTGGCCACTGATATGGTTTAGCTGTGTCCCCACCCAAATCTCATCTTGAATTGTAGCTCCCACAATTCTCACATGTCGTGGGAGGGGCCCGGTGGTAGGTAATTGAATGATGGGTCTTTGCCATGCTGTTCTTGTGACAGTGAATAGGTCTCATGAGATCTGATGATTTTATAAAGGTGAGTTCCCTGCACAAGTTCTCTTTTTGCCTGTCACCATGTAAGACATGCCTTTTACCTTCTGCCATGATTGTGAGGCCTCCCCAGCCACGTGGAACCATGAGTCCATTAAACCTCTTTCTTTTATGAATTACCCAGTCTTGTGTATGTCTTTATTAACAGTGTGTAAACAGACTAATAGAGCCACCATCTCTCTACCACATGGAGCTCCAGAATGAACCTGATGTATAGGAAATTAAGAAAGAGGGGAAGATATGGGATCCTTCTGACATTTGATTCTAACCCCCACCCTGACCTTTTCAGATACAGGAGTCTATATATTGTCTTTTATTTTCTTAAGACAGCTTAAGTTTTCTGGAACTTGCTTCTGAACATTCTGTTACGTCATTTTTAAATACTTGCCAATTATTTTTATTAGTTACTCATCAGGGAGGGAAATCAAACCAGCTCCTGTAAAAAGAATGGAATTTCAACTATCCAGAGTCTCAAATCTAAAAATAGGTGGCTAACTCATGTCAGAAGTATGAACCCTCAGTTCCACTAAATCCCAATCTTCATAAGTGGAAGCCCAAGAATCTCTATTAAAAAATTTTAAAAGCTTGCTAGTTTATGATGTATCCTGCTTAGCACCTGTTCATGGTCTATGTCCCAGAGATATTTTGAATATCACATGTAAAGGGGAAAGGAAATAGGATATATTTTTCACTTTCTGTAGGCCAGATATTTTTTGAAGTACTTCAGCATATTTTCATGTAAGATATTTAAGAAAAACTTTTGCATGCATTTCCTCAGTGTTCTAGGTATAATACTTTAGATTACTGGTTGCTCAGTAGGGAGGAAAAAAAAAAAAAACAGCCCTGATCTCAAGGAGCTTATAGTCTATCGCATCCAATAGAAATTTCTGCCCTTAAATGTTCCACGTCTGCCCTGTCCAGTACATTAACCATGGCTATTGGGTATGAGAAATGTGGCTAGTGAGAAATGGATTTTTAAATTGTATTAATTTGAGTAGCCATATGTGGCTTGTGGCTACCGTATTGAAATGTAAAGGAGTGTACATCTAGGTTATTTCTTCTTAAACTTGCATGTGCGTATGAATCATCTATAGATCCTGTGAACCTATAGATCTGATTTAGTAGGATTTGGTGTTGGGGTGGTGGTTCTGCGTTTCTAACAATCTCAGAAGTGGCTGATCCATGGACCACACCGAGTAGCAAAAATAATCATCAAAGTAAAAAAGTTAATTACAAAATATGGTAAGACCATAGTGGGGACAAGATGCTATAAGGGAGAACGGAAGGGGAAGAGGGGAAGGGTTTGCGACTCAATTTAAACTAGGAGGGGAATTATAGAAGGCCTCACTGGAGAGGGGGCCCTGGAGTTGCAGCCTGCAGGATGCAGATGAGCTAGTTAGGATACAGAGGTGAGGGGAGGCAGTGCGACAGGGAGCAGCAGTGGGTGCGAAGGCATCTCAACCACTTTTATGAAAGAATCTGTGAAATAGGCGAGTCATCAATAATAGAATTATCATTACATTTAGAAGCCCCTTACTAAGCCATTCTTCTCCTTGACCTCCCTGACAGGTTCAGGTAGGTGCCCTTCTCAGTCCCCATAACTCAAGGCATATTTTCCCATAATCATTAACACCTTGAGTTGAAATGTGCCCTCTATCAGTCTCTGCTGCCCACTGAACTGTGAACCCTTAATGTCATTTTATTCTCTGCATCCTCGCATGGTAGGCATTTTACACATATTTGTCAAACTGTAGCCAAAAAGTGTGTTTGTGTGTGTGTGTCTATGTGTGTGTGTGTTGTGTGTGTGTGTGTGTGTGTGTGTTTATGAGGTATCAGGGATAAAAGAAGTAGATATACTGCATATATAGATGTATGCATTATTTTTCTCCTAAAGAGATGAGAAATATTTTTGGAGTTGAGCCAAGCCATTCATGGCCTCTCCATTACTTTTAGTTTTATGGCAGAGGATTGCTCTGGTTTTGACAAGCACTAATTAATTCCATCTCTGGGGAATAATGGGAAATGCAGGCTTATGCTGTTTGCACCAAGGTTATCAGTTATATTGGTTTTAATGTTCTGCCCTGCTCTAGATATAAAACATGCAGCAAAATGCACAGCCACCTCCTCATTAGCTGTAAACAGTGTATTTCAGATTTGTCAAGCATACATATTTATTTTTACATCCAAGCATTTTTATTTATCTTCCTTGCAAGTCCATGAAGTTTTTGCCAATAAATTAGGAATGCAGTAACTAGTTCTGAAAACTATGGCACACAGGAAATTTTATTGATCTCATAATTTACTGGATCTTTTGGTTAATTACAAGTTCTGTCTAGCTTAGTACACTTTTTGAGCCAGCTGCGCATCATAAATATGTAACCTCAGTACTCACCCTCCCTACATTGCTGACAGCCTCCCATGAGGTCAAAGGTGTAATAGCTACAATACCCAGAGCCTCTAACATGTTTAATTAAACTATTAATCTACTTTTATCTGTGACACTAGAAAGCCAGCTACATTGAATTTTCAGAGTTCTTCAATGCATTTGCTTACGGTAAATTTTTCCAAGCCATATCTTTAACAGTTTAGCGCTGGCAACCCTTTTAAAGGCATTTTGAAAAATTGTGAATGTTGGAGGAATTACCATATCAGCTAATAAGAAAATGTATCATTTATAATGATTCATGAATTTGAGTCTAAATGCAGTATATGACTAAGGCACTTTATTAAAAAAAGAGAAGACAGGTTTGCTAAAGGTTTGAAAATTGTAGTAGATCAATCAGCAGCAGCCTCAGAAGTACCATTATTTTAAAATTGTGTGGATGATCATTAGAAGAGAAGTCATCTTTGTTACATAACCTTCAGGAACTTGCTGAGGACAAGTGTAACCTCTTGTGGCAGTGATGACATTTTCAGTGATCAGGCCAGCTTTTGTGTTCATTAACACAACAGAGCCTCAAAACTTTAGTTTTGAGAAACCTGTGTATCCATGAAGCTTTAATTAGGTTAACAAGGTACCCATTAGTCTATCTCCTTTCTTGTGTATCAAATGGCAGTAATCTACTACAGATGTTATACAATGAAGGAAGCAATTTGCTGCTTTTCATTTTATTTCCTGTACTCACTCATGAGCTTGTGGATATAGAATTATGTGAAAAATTCAAGATTCTATTTTTATTCATGTTAAGCTCATCTTACCTGTTTGTACAATTTTTTGCTCTTTCTTTATTAAAGGAATCTGCATCTTATGTGCCTCCATAAAAGCTGTAAAAATATGACACCACGACCTTCTAACTAAAGTACCTGGCTTTAATTTTAACAATGATTAACAGTGATTTGAGTCATGCATTTGAACATTCCACTTAAAAGTCAATTTAGACAGGCAATGCCCATGCAAATATTGATTATAAACCCACTGTGTTTCTAGCAAGCTAGATTAATATCATGGGCTAAAATTCAAAAATCTATTTTTCTTTTCTACTTCATTAAAGAGTATAACCAAAAACCACATCTATTTGCAGATTGGTCATATATTTTGCAAATGCCTGTGGGACTGAAATTTAATTTACTCAACATATCTTCCCTCCCACCCTACCTCCAGTCAAAATCATCAAAACCAGAACTCTTGTTACATTTATGGGGCAGTTGAAACTGTATATTTCACTTTGTTTTATTGCACTTTAACTTTTTGCACTGTATTAGCTGTGAGTATTCCATGGATCTTGTTAAATGTGAGCAGCTTCCTTGAAAACAAGTCATTTCAATGGACATGTTTTGGCTTATGTTCAGTATTTTACAGCCAATGTATCAGAGCCATAAGTTTATAATTTTAAATGCCGCAGATCTTACTTATTCATCATGATTAGATGTTTCTATCTGCTATTCTATTGAATGGCAAGCTCTAATACTGATAAATAAAGAGAGCCAGTTCCTGATTTGGCAACAACAACAACACGTACTGAAGAAAATAAATGCGTTGGGTTCATCTCCTTGATGGGGATGCAATCTAAGTCAAATTTTTGAATGACCACTAACTATTTGCATAATATAACATATAAATTGATGACTTTGGGATATTTATATCATCCTGGTGCCTCAAGGTTAAAATTAGTAGTGTGAAAAGATAATTACTAGCTATGTTAAATAAAATGAGTTTCTAGAATGCATTTTTATGCAATTTGTGAGTACAGAGCTATTAAAGGCTGTAGTTTTGTTTTGGAGAATAAGTTGTCTCTTTGGACTATTGTAGTAATCTCTTTGTAAATGTTTAATTTTTATCCTAGATAAGCAAGATCTTTTGGGCTCTCTTTCCTACTGTTCTGGGATGAAAGCATCTAGGAAATTTAGAGGGCAACTCCAATGAGACTGTCTGGCTCACAGAAATGAATCAACGATAGAAACTCGGGCATGCGGTGGTGGGGGGAAGTGGGGTGGAGGTTTGTGTTAGGGGAGTGGCCTATCAGCTTTGACATGTGTGGCCATCACTTATGCAGTCTCCCCATGAAGGCAGGTCCAGGTAGCTCTGCAGCAGAGCTGGGGCACCGTGCCTGCTCTCCCAGGCAGAGCCTTTGGTGACTACTGCTACTACCAGGAATAGCTGTGGATAGAGAAGAGAACACTGGCCACTGTGTGGGTGACCAGAATCCCAGCCCATACCTCAGTTTCATTGTCTTCTATGGCACTTCAAACCCAACCCTCAGGAAAACCAACCAACCAACCAACCAACCAACCAACCAACCAACCAACCAAATACATCCTTAGGAGAAGGATCAGAACTAACAATACTGAAACTTTGAGATTTTCGTTTTTACCTTATAAAAATGTATTTTGGCCAGGCGCGGTGGCTCACACCTGTAATCCCAGCACTTGGGGAGGCCGAGGCAGGTGGATCATGAGGTCAAGAGATTGAGGCCATCCTGGCCAACATGGTAAACCCCATCTCTACTAAAAATACAAAATTAGCCAAGCATGGTGGTGGGCACCTGTAATCCCAGCTACTCGGGAGGCTGAAGCAGGAGAATGACTTGAACCCAGGAGGTGGAGGTTGCAGTGAGCCAAGATCACGCCACTGCACTCCAGCCTGGCAACAGAACCAGACTCCATCTGAAAAAAAAAATGTATTTCAAGTTACTGCATACTCATAGCTATATATTTCACCTGAGATTTACCTGGTTAAATAACTTGCCTGAGAACACACAAGTAGTAAATTATAGACTTAAGATTTGAAATTGAATTAGTGTGTAAACCAAAGTCCATATCTAAGCTGGGTGCAGTGGCTCACATTTGTAATCCCAACAACTCAGGAGGCTGAAGCAGGAGGATCCTTTGAGCCTAGGAGTTTGAGGCTACAGTGAGCAATGATGGTGCCACTGCACTCCAGCCTGGACAACAGAGCAAGGCCCCATCTTTTTTTTTTTTTTGAGACGGAGTCTCGCTCTGTAGCCCAGGCTGGAGTGCAGTGGCATGATCTCGGCTCACTGCAAGCTCTGCCTCCCGGGTTCACGCCATTCTCCTGCCTCAGCCTCCCGAGTAGCTGGGACTACAGGCGCCCGCCACCATGCCTGGCTAATTTTTTGTATTTTTAGTAGAGACGAGGTTTCGTTATGTTAGCCAGGATGGTCTCAATCTCCTGACCTCGTGATCCGCCTGGCAAGGCCCTATCTTTAAAAAAATAAATAAATAAAATGTAAAAAGCCTATGCCTAGTTCACTATATAATGATCCTATCCATGGTAAGGAAACACCTTTCATGATTATCAGGGCATCCTTTATGAGCCTAACTGAGAGAGAGAAAGGAAGGTATGGCAGGATGGGAGTGTAGTGGGCACAGTGGTGTGTTGGGAAACTGATAATCTAAAATAAGCAATAAAGCAAACAGCATAATGAGCTCTGATTTGGAGTGTTTTCCTATTTTCTATGACAGGAATATTCCCATCATGGCCAATTTCAAGCTTCCAAAGTGAGGTCATTGAATGTGGAGTTGAAAAGAGATTGCACAGGCTGGGTGCGGTGGCTCACGCCTGTAATCCCAGCACTTTGGGAGGCTGAGGCAGGCAGATCACCTGAGGTCAGGAATTCGAGACCAGCCTAGTCAGCATGGTGAAACCCCATCTCTACTAAAAATACAAAAATTAGCTGGGTGTAGTGGCACATGTCTATAGTCCTGGCTGCTTGGGAGGCTAAGGCAGGAGAATCGCTGGAACCTGGGAGGTGGAGGTTGCAGTGAGCTGAGATCATGTCACTGCACTCCAGCCTGGGTGACAGAGTAAGACTCCATCTCAAAAAAAAAAAAAAAAAGAGATGCACAGAATCAGCTCAGACGAACTGGCTTCCACATGCCACTGAGCAGGGAGCACACATGTGGCCAAGGGAAAGAAGGGTGAGGGGTGGTCAGGGAAGGAGTGCATTGCTCATAGCAGGTGCACCAGGCAAAGGACACTCAAGGACCCCAACTCCCTTGCCTTTACTGTGGCAGCTAGCTGCCTTGGTGGCCCCCATGAACTGCACCCCCCAAGGTTCATGCCCTATGCAGTTTTATCCCCTTGGGCTGAGCCTGTGACTTGCTTAAACCAACAGAATGTGGCAGAAGTGATGCTGTGCAGGTTCTGGAGCTCAGCCTTAAGGTGGTGTAGCAGCTTCTGATTTAGCACTCTCAGAGCTTTGAGCTGCCCTGTGAGAAGCCTATCTACCCTGCTGCAACAGACCATGTGGAAAGACCACACAGAGGGACCATGCAAAGAAGCAGAGGCCCTGACATCACATAGAGGAGAGTCAAGGAGTCCATCCATTGGAGGAAAATTGGGGCTCCAGACAGATGACCCTCGGAGAGCCATCCCAGCAGAGGCACCACACTTGGGAGCAAAGAGCCCACCTTGAGGATTCCTGCTGTGCATCATCTGAATTCCAGACCTGCAGAAATGTGAGAAAATAAAATGTTGTTTTAAGCCACTGCATTTTGGGACAATTTATTAAGCAGATATTGACAACTGAAATTATTCTTTTTTAACCAATGCAGGAATCTTATTTTTACTTAACCTATGATGTTTTATGGTCAGAGTGGAAAGGGAAGCCCTGCCCCTGAAGTCATGGATGCACCATGGAACCCGTGGGGACAGTCAAGGTCAAGTCCTCCAAGTAACTGGCATGCTATTCCCTGCTTCCTGTGCCTTCCTCCTGGTCTCATAAAAAAAGTGCATGAGAATATCATGGGTGATGGCTTTAGCATTGGATATCACCATTTCCCTTTGCAGTGACGGTGTTTCCAATTGACCAAAAGGGAAAAATTAGGTAGAGAGCAAAGAGTTCTCTACATGATTGTTCAAGAAACAGAAATAAAGTATCAAGTCTGTAAGCCCAGGGTTCTTTGGAGTAGTATCATTCTTACCTTGGTGACAGTTTGGTGAGGATTTTACTGCTGCTTCCTTCTCCTCTCATCAACTAAACAAGAAACTATGAAGTCCCTTTCCTCAAGGAAAGGGACTGTCCTGATAGAATACCCGACCTATATCATGACTTGTTGGAATATTGTGAAAGCACAAAATTGAGAGAAAAATAAAGTTATCCAATGTTTAGATGCTGAATTACACTGTTGTGTAACCTTGATTGGCCACTACCTGTGAGGTGAGACACTGGAGTTAGCCATTGTGAATTCAGGAGTCAGTAAACATCCAGAGGTGTGAAGCCTGCTGCAGGCCTCCAGTTCCCCCAGAAAACAGTATCTGGTTTTAATGATTTTATCAGAGTTGTTTTCAAGGTCAGTAAGTTTGTTGATATTTTGGTCATGAGATTAGTGCGAACCAACCACATATTGGCATTTAAATGACTAGGGAGATAAGATGAGTGATGATATCATAACAATAGAACATATTGATGATTTCAGAGCAGTAAAAAGGCTGAAAATGGGGCAATGATACTTATATTAAAGACAAAATAGGAGGAAACTTTCAGCCTTTGAAAAATTTTCATTTGAATAAAACTCATCACATGATACTCCCCAGTGTACCACAAAGGAGCATGTACATTCTGCTGTCCATTTTTAGGAGAAAGAAAAGTCATAAACTCAGGCTGCCACCTCAGTTCAATACAGTTGCAATGTAATGTTTGAAGACGCTCTCAAGTCTTTGGGAATGAAGTGAAAACGTCCACTCCAATCTTCTTACCAAGGTACAGGCAAGTGTACACTTGGGTCTTGTACTCTACGTTTAAAGCTCAAATTTACTTGGGTCTTGTACTCTTGGTTTAAAGTTTGACTTCAAGATGGCTCATGTAAACTCTTCTAGCCAAGTCTTCATATGTAATTTGTGGATAATTTTATCTCTCTTACTACCTACCTGAGGGCATTGTTTTAATGCTCAGAAACATACAGAAGGGATTGACAAAGTATAAATTGCTATTCAAAAACAGGGGGGCCTAGTGACAGGTGAGAAAACAGTGCTCCTCAGAAAAGATCACCCCCATCCTGCTGAAGTCTTTGAATAGGCAACCCAGACAATTTAGGCCTGACATTGTAGCTCTTTGGTGAAGACCAAATAAAATGGGATTGGAGGAGAAGATAACATATTTTCAATTCATTTTAGATCATTTGCATCATCTGCATTAGGTGTGGCCTAATTTGTTTGGGGCTTCAGGTGTATGAACCAGTGCTCATTTTCATATTGGACATAGAGCTGGGGAGATAGAATGGCCAGTAGTTTGCAGGTGTTATATCATTTTCCTGTGATGATAAGGACATTGCCTTTCTTATGGCCATTCAATTACATTTTTTGTTCTCATTTAAAGTAATCAGAGTTTCATCGTGACGACTTCTATGTAAATTTGAATGTTACATGAGGTGTGTAATGGAATAAAAATGGAGTTACAAGGACTCCTGTTCAATTGCCAACATGCTTCTTTTCTATTACTAGAGATCGTAGAGTGGCTTTGGGGACTAAGAAGCTTAGACATTATTTTGTACCTTATCATTGGCCATTTTTGTGATTCCCAAGGTGATAGATTGGTGGCCATTCTTCTGAATAGCCCTTCCAAAAGTCTTGGTATTTTTGGCTCAGAGTCTTTGCAGAATTGCATCATCATGAATTTTTACTTTTAAGATAGCACCTGTTTTGTCAATCCTGTGAGAATATGTATTTCATAACATGTAGCCACCTATGGGATTAAGTAAGTACTGAGGTCCTTGAGCCATTTCCAAATGAAAAGAGGGTATGATTTATCAGGGCAGATCCAGTAGTTCAGGGGCAGAGCTAAGTTCTGAGGTACAATAAAGAGAAACGTAAAAGTAGGAACCCACATTTCAACCATTTCTTCTTGTTTTTGAGGATTTAATAGGAAAGATTTTTAGACTTTAGTTGAACAAAACAGTAAGATAACATAAAATCAGACTCCACTTAAATGCTTAGTTTGGTTTTGTGGAACTGGAGCAGCTCATGGGGAAATGCTAATTGGTCAAAATAGATAAATAGGAATTCCACAGAGTCTGTGAGAATGATTAGATTTTAATATAAGGCATTACTCAATAGTAGAGTAAGGATTAGTGGAGTGGTACAAGAATTATAGCCATTGTCTAAATGCAAAGATTTTTCTTCATTTTTACAAGAAGAAACTTGTGAGCTGACTAAAGTTCAAGTTTAGTATTTCAAACCAGTGAGAGGACCATGTTTCATTCCACATGAAGCTTGGTTGGCCATGCAGGTGGAATTTTATCAAACAACACATTTAAAATTTTACTTTCTTATCATATTTGACTATTGAAAACATGACCCCTCCCTGCAACTCTGTTTGTGTTAAAGCATCTGCGGTTAATGGCTTTCTGCTTCTTGTATTGCAAAGAACTTTAAAAAGAGATCATTCTCTGAAAATAAGTACCTTGCTGGTAAAATGAGTTTAACTTGGCAAGCTCTGTCATTTTTTGTTGTTATTGCCATCTTATGTTCTGGAAGTAATTCACATTAGTCATCTTTTAGAAACTCTAAGTCATGTCTTCCCTGTCAGATATCATGCTCTGGTAGCAATTTATTAAATATTTCCTGCTAAAAATGACCCCAGGAGATAGTAGTTAACCTACTCTTGAGTGTAATAATAGAATCAGAGATTGATGAACAATTTTCGCCAAATATTTTAAGTAATGGCATAAAACTAAAAGGCCATGCATTGCTTGTCTTAGAAAAACAGTACGGAACATGTTAGAATATTACGAATAAATGAACACTTTCATTTATGAGCTGTATATAGAAATCATTGAGTTTCTCTGCCAGAGTTGCAGCCTGTATGGTAGTTAATCTTCTCGTGGCACTTACTGTATAATGCAATGCCTCTTTGGGCAATCTTTTGTGTTAAAATACAGCATTTAAGCTCCTTCTCTCCACAAAGCATTGCAAGAATGAATTGTTCAATCTCTCTTTTTTTTGACATCATCCTAGAAATTATTTCAGAAATAACCAAGATGGTAATTCCCATTTAATATCTTTCTTTATTGCTCATTGGAAAATAGAAAATACTTTCAAAGCATATAAAATTATTGGAAAATTAACATAACCCTGTATTGGGAGCAAAATTATTCCTATCTCAGCATTGCCACCCATCTGAGGGACCCAGAGCAAGTCATTTACCATCCCTCAGGTTGTTTTTTTGTTTGTTTGTTTTTTGAGACAAAGTCTCACTCTGTCGCTGAGGCTGGAGTGTAGTGGCACAATCTCTGCTCACTGCAACCTCCACCTCCTGGGTTCAAATGATTCTCCTGCCTTAGCCTCCTGAGTAGCTGGGACTACAGGCATGTACCACCACGCCCAGCTAATTTTTGTATTTTTAGTAGAAATGGGGGTTTCACCATGTCGGCCATGCTGGTCTCGAACTCCTGACCTCAAGTGATCCACCCGCCTCGGCCTCCCAAGGTGCTGAGATTATAGGTGTGAGCCATCGCGCCTGGCTGCTTAGCTTGCTGTTATCATTATTATTTTAATCATTAAAATGAAAATATTAATTTTGTTTCAAAATGAATGGTGCATGAATGAAGGAGGTAGTCCATCTTCTTCCTACCACCCAAATGACAGATGATTTCTTTTCAAAATGAAGGAAATATTAATTTGATGACCTCAGGATTACTTCCATTTTAAACTATCCTTCTGTGTGTTTAAATCGCTTTCCTCATTTTTATTTTCTTCTATCCCATTCCTTCCTATTATATTCTAATGACCTCTTATTTTAAACTCCAAGGAATGATGGTCCACCCCAGATTGGCTTGTGATTTCTTCCTATACAGAGGCTTTGTCATCCTCATTGTGGCCATATGCCATTCCTCAGTATGTAAAGAAGGTTGAATGGCAGGGATCAGCCGGGTCTAGAGAAAATCTCAGACCCCATGACAGTCAATAGATAGGAAAGACATAGGTTGAATCAGATAGTGCAAAATGCCATACCTAAAAGAAAATCCCCAGAGGCTCTTTCAAATTGTGAGGGAGATATCTTTTGATTAGAGGCAAATAGCACTGTCAGCTTGAAGTGAGCAGACTAGGACGGCTACCACAATCATCTGTGAAAATTGTTTAATACAAGTGCTACCTTCTCATAAATCACAAGGGTAAGCTCATTTAAAATGGACATTTATTCTGATTTTTGATCCATATTGGCTTAATAAAAGACCAACTCATAAGGTTTAACAGTTCAATTAAGGATTTTTCAAGATAAAGGATTATAGATAGGAAATTTCCTTGTGAGCTGGGTTAGAATCCATGGGTTGTTAAGTTTCTTTTCCGTGTGGTAAGTGGGAAAACATATGCTGTAGGAGGAGATATAGTATGCACTTGAAAGTAAAGTGTAACTATTTTTTAAATTAAGATATGACCATTTTTAAAATTTCTTGGCTTAGGAAAAAAATTGAACATGCATGTTTATATAGAAATGTTAGACCATACATAGCGTTATTATTTTGATGCGAAAGGATGAAAATTATCTGCTTTTGGTCAAAAGAGAGGAAATCACTCAAATCCTTTGGGACACTCATTTATAAGCTCTATGAAATCTTTGGTAAAATGAACTCCAGAATTTATGCGACTTCCTCAAGAAAAAGTAGCTTATTTTTAAAATAAATCATAATAAGTAACATTATTATTATTCTCACTGGTGGTATAAGGATCATTAATAAAATAGAGTCTCTGTGATATGTGCATTCTAATATAAAATATACATATATTATAAATGTTCTGCATCGAGTGAAATACCCATATTTATGAAAGGGGTTGCATGGGATCCATCAGCACCTTGTACCATGAAAGTTAAGAAACTCTAAATCTATACCACGAGCATTTGAATTTTCTGGCATTTAAGGGAGAAGGGAAGGAAGGTATCGTGATGGAGATGGGGTGGGAAGGAATTGTAATGATCTGCTTTTTATTTCTTTTATTTGTGTGCAACTAGCACTTCGAAAGAACATAAGATAGCTGTAACCTTCTCTGCTAAACCAGGAGGTGAACACAGATGTCTGAAGGAGGCTTTATAAGGAAGTGCATAAAGCTTTAGAAGGTTCAGAGGAGAATTGAGAGGTCATTGAGAGCTGAGATGGAGAGGGCTTCATGGAGAAGTCTTTACTTGAATGATTCCCAAGAACCTAGATTGAATCTAGACAAGGGGGAAGACTCATCTCTCATCACACCATACTGACCCACTCCTGCAGCTGTACTGAATCTTGTTTCTTCTAGTAAACCATGACCTTCTAACCTCCAGGCTTTCACCTGGAACTCTTTCCCTTCCACTACTGCCTGGGTAATGACTTTGCCATCACAGTTCTGTCAAGTTAGGACTTTCTTCAGAAAGTTTCCTGTGACCTTTTCCAGCCCTCTGACAATTTCAGTTTGTTGCTCTTTTTTGAGGGGCTGAGAAATCTGCATGCACCGACCTCATCACTTTGATGGGGTCAGTTTGCTACTCGATATTGAAATGGACTGTTTAGGCCTTGATTTCCTCCTATAGACTGTTGGCTCTTCCATGGCAGAGTATGTGTGTTATTTACCACTTTATCCATTGCACAGTGCCTGGCACTTATTAGTTATCAATAAATGTCTGTATATTTATGAAGGAAGGAAGTAATGAAGGATGAAATGAATAGGGCATGACCTACAAGGGAAAAGTCACACAGGTGGAAATGATGAGTTGGCCCAAAGACAATGAGATGATTGATGGACTTAAACTTTAACTCTGATGTCATTTTCTCCTAAATGTGCAATATGCCATAATTTTTTTCAGTAAACTAGGGGTTGAGACATTTTTGCTACTTAAATAGAGACAGAAAAATAGGATAAATTGAAAATATTTTCCAGTGGTAATTTATTAGATGCCTGTAAAAGAAGGAACATGAGGTTTTCAGGGTTCAAGTGGATGTCTCATTCTTCAACACAAAAACACTTGGAGAGTTGTATAAAAGATTTGAAAATCACTTTAGAAAACAGGGGCTACTTGGGGAAGGGAGTTGCCAGGAAAATGCCATTATTGCAAAAAGTTCATTTAAATAGGCTTAATATATCTACCTATCTAGTGCCCACTATATATATAAAGCAGTAGAAGGGCCAGCTGAAACTAGAATAGGTAGTAGAAAGGGGCTTTCAACCAAAAGCCACAATTATTAGTCAAATAAAATACAATTTGTTGGCCGGGCATGGTGGCTCATGCCTGTAATCCCAGCACTTTGGGAGGCCAAGGTGGGCAGATCACATGAGACCAGGAGTTCGAGACCAGCCTGGCCAACATGGTAAAACCCCGTCTCTACTAAAAATACAAAAATTAGCCAGGCGTGGTGGCGCACGCCTATAGTCCCAGCTACTTGGGAGACTGAAGCAGGAGAACCACTTGAGCCCAGGAGGCAGAGATTGCAGTGAGCCAAGATCACGCCACTGCGCTCCAGCCTGTGTGACAGAGTGAGACTCCATCTCAAAAAAAAAAAAAAAAAAAAATACAGTTTGTTGTATATATCATAATTGACAGGACAAGACCCTGTCTCAAAAAAAAAAAATCACCAAGGAACTTTCTTTCTTTTATATTTCTAAAGCTAGTTTCTTTTTTTTTTCTTTTTTTTTTGCATTTTTTTCCATTCTGTGATGGCAAAAGAAAATCTAACCAACCCCAGGATTTTCTTAGTCACTTCAAGTTTGAATGCAGCCCCTTCAGAATTGCTCCTCTTAGTCTTCTCTCTGGGACTCCAGCCCAGGGAGCAGCTCTATCACTTAATAATAGTGTGTCTTGAGCAACTTGTTTTATATATTTGTGCCTCCATATCTCATTGATGAAATAGATTTAATAATACCTTTCTCAAAAGATCACTGTGAGTATTGAATTACATGAAATTGTATATATATATATTTTATATATATATATATCGCATAGTGCTGACAACATAATAAGCACGTGATAAATGATAGCAGCTGCTGCTGCTTCTCTTCCTCTTCCTGTTACTATCACGGTGATCAACAACATCATCATCATAAGTTCCAAAATGGAAGGGCACAGTGCCTTGGAGCATCTGGACACCGGTCATTGACTTTCTATTCTGACATTGGTTGTCCTTTGGTCATTGTCCTACATTCCCATTTGCATCTGCTGAGGTTTCTGTCATGCCATACTCTGAATCTTCCTCAAACAGAACAGATGAAGCCTCCTCAGGTTGGCCAGTGCTCCCTGGGACCACAGGAAGCTTGGGGTGCAGGAAGGCTGACTTAGACTTTGTATTCTTGACATACTCTGGTTTTCAAGTTTCAGGCTACAAATTTCTGTTCCTCTGCAATTGCCCTGGACTCACTGGGAATTTCTAATGCTCCCGCCACATGCAACATTTGCTAGGTGGTGGCAGCAGGAGGTGCAAGTGTGGGGAGCAGGGTGGAAAAGGACTATACTAAACTCCTGAGCTCTCTTCTTCAGCTTTCCTCTTTTTTTGGTTAAGTTTAGGAAAGCTGGTTGCTCATCTGTTGGTTATACACTCAGGTTTTTGAAACTCAAATGTCCTTTCTCTCAACTTACTGTCTCTCTGTGGAATTTCAAAAGTGAATGTAGAAATTTCAGCAAGAATTTCCCATCATTTGCTTTCTGTCCTGCTATAATTGTCATGCCCATTGCCTGAGGCCATGGTCTCTGCCATGAGTTTAGTTTTAACAAGCAAAAAGTAATGAATTATCAGGCAGGAAAATAATTTAGGTTAATAGTAAAATATTTCCTTGCTACATGACAAGGTGAACAGCTGATTGCCATAAGAGATCTAAGAAACACTAAAAAGTACAAAAAAATAGGACATTAGTTGTCCTTTGGACATTGTCATATATTCCCATTTGCATTTTCTGAGGTTTCTGTCGTACCATACTCTGAATCTTCCTCAAACAGAACAGATGAAGTCTCCTCAGGTCAGCCAGTTCTCCCTGGGATAGAGGAACCAGGGAAGAATCAATGCATAGAAGCGTCAGTATTGGAAATGGGTCTTGAAGGAGCAATCTGATATTGACAGCAGATGTATCAGGGAGGGAACACATAAGCAAACTCATAGATAAGTGAACATGCTTTGAGATGTTTAGGAAAAAGTGAAGAATGTGGTGTGTTCAGAATGTAGATTCCCAGGGCTGCTTGATTGGCTTCAATATGTGAAGAATATTGAATGCCATAGATTTGTGATTCCATATTCTTCTAAATATAAGTTTTAAAAATACCTTGATATACGGAAGAAAATGAAAATGGCCTCTACACTTATTTTGATGCATACAATGTGCGTGAACTTTCTGAAAGTGAATTTGACATATATATTCTCAAATAAATTGCCTTTTCTTTTTCAGTGGGTCCTATGCCATATGAATGTGAAGAGGCAAGGGCAAGGAATTCACACAAAAAAGATAGAGGGGGTGTTTATGGTCATTAAAATATGAAAAACGTAAGGTGAAATCTTAACAACGGTTAGTAATGCTTTTTAATAAGCAGCTAATGCCAATCACTGACATTTATCATATGATGTGTTGTCGTGGATAACAAGTATTTATTGCTCACTTAACATGTGCCAGTCATTTCGCTGGATACTAGGAGGACATTGTTCAAAAAGGTAGATTGGGCCGGGCGTGATGGCTCACGCCTGTAATCCCAGCACTTTCGGAGGCCAAGGCAGGCAGATCACCGGAGGTCAGGAGTTCGAGACCAGCCTGGCCAACATGGCGAAAACTTGTCTCTACTAAAAATACAAAAATTAGCTGGGCATGGTGGTGGGCACCTGTAGTCCCAGCTACTCAGGAGGCTGAGGCAAGAGAATTGCTTGAACCTGGGGGGTGGAGGTTGCAGTGAGCCGAGATATTGCCACTACAGTCTAGCCTGGGTGACAAGATTGAGATTCCGTCTCAAAAAAAAAAAAAGATAGATTGGGCCCTGCTCCTTGGACCTTAGCTTTTAGAGTGTGGAGTCACACAATAAATCTGGACAAACATAAATTAAAAAGATAACAGATTTTCATAAGATCTGTGGGGGGAAAAACAGCATTGTGATTGTAATAGAGAACAACTGGGGAGCTTCATGTAGACAAGGTGATCAGCAAAGATCTGAAGGAGAAGGTTATATTTGAATTACAATCTAAAGAAGAAGGATTTAGCCCTATGAAAAATCAGAGGGAAGCATTCAGGCAAAGAAAACATCTAGTAAAATTTCTAAGATTGGAATAAGCTTATACATTCAAAGACTACATGGGAGGCAGCAGGCGAGTGAGCCCTGGGGGAGGAGTGGTCTGGAAGGACATTGGAGAGGCAGGCAGGGTACAGACCCCAAGGGTCTCAGGTGGAAGTATATCTGGGAGCAGGGGACACCTTGCCTCCTCTAAACACTTTCTCCAAAAGGAGAACTCTCTAATGGTTGGTGACGATTATGAAAAGATATGGTGGAGAAAGCCCTGTGAGATTCACAGTGTTGACATCAGAAGTCAGTCCATGGGGCCAGCAAAAGGTGTTGTCCTCTGTGATAATCAGTTCTATCCCAACCAAAGGCACAGCCCCTCCATTCACCATTGCTGATCACAATCAGGCTGTGAGAATCAGCTCGAGCTTAGCCTGCAAGTCATGGTCAGGAACTCTAGTTGTGAGTGCAATGAAAAACCATCTAATGGTTTTAGGTAGAGGAGCGCATGACCAGACTTACATTTATGAAACATCTGTGTCTGCTGTGCGCAGAATGCTTTTGGAGACAGGGAGAATGGATATAATCAGGGCAGCCAGGAAGGAGACAATTGCAGCAACACCACAGGTGAAGGCAGATGAATGGTGCTCTAGGATATTGACAATTAGTATGACATGTGGCAGATAGTTTTGTAGGTAGCATAGACAGTTTTTGCAGGATAATCTGGGATGGCAAGGGACAAAAGGAAGGGAAAAATCAAGGATGATTCTTAGGAATTTGATTTAGGAAAATGATGCACTGTGGTGGTGTGATTTACTGAGATAGAGATAAGAAACAAGTTAAAGTTCCATTTTAGTCATGCCAAGTATGGGATATCTCTAATCTGACTAGAGTAGAGACCAAGTTGGCATTTGGATATAGGGTGAGGGCAGCACCATAAGGATCTGAATGTCGAGGGACCAGACTGGGCTGGAAAAATACATTTGGAAGACATAGGCACATGGATGATATTTAAAGCCATGGGCTGAATAAAAGCACATAGAGAATCCTTTCTTTTTAATAATAACTGTGAGTATGAATTTTTGAACACCATGAACCCACCCCTTTCCCTAGTATAATGTCTCCCTGAATAAGTGGAATGTTCTGTATACACTAAATTAAACAACTGTGGTCTTGCCTCTAAAAACTCAAAATCTAAAATAGACCATGATGACATGACCAACCAAGACTCCATCTCTCCTCTTTTCCCTGAGCCTTTGTAGTAATAACTCATCCTAGTATTACAGTCTGCAGGGACCTTTATATTTATTATGTCATTTTTCTTTTTTGTCCTTGCAGCCATCCTTGAAGTGGGAAGGTTGTGTATAATCTCTTATTTGATGGACTGAGCAAGTCTCTAAGCAGGTATTTTTATTCCTACTTTAGGTATATGAGAATGCAGGCCCCAAAAGATTAAGCAACTTCTCTGGTCAAGGTTACAAAAGTAGTGAGTGGGATTGACAGAGGGAAAGTTGCTCTGACTTCAGAGTTCTAAGGGGTCTAGTTTTAGATGAAAACCTCCTGGATATGTCAATCTTCCCAAAGAAATAGAGCAGCAATTAAGAGCAACTAGACTCAATAAGAATTGA
Source organism: Homo sapiens (assembly GCF_000001405.40). Classification (NCBI taxonomy): domain Eukaryota; kingdom Metazoa; phylum Chordata; class Mammalia; order Primates; family Hominidae; genus Homo; species Homo sapiens. Next base: position 15,691,196 of record NC_000020.11, read on the forward strand.
GTCATTTCCCTGCTCTTCATTTGTTAGTTGGCTGACCTTGGATGTAACACAAGCATCATAGCCTTGATTTTTCAATCTGCTGAACAGGATGCTATTATCTACCTCTCAGGTTATTTGTAAATTAATACATCCATCTATTTACTCAACTATCCACCCACTAATTTATTTTTTCATGTATCAAACGTATTATATACTAAACTCCTACTATGTGCCAGGTACCATTTTAGGCATTGGGCTACATCTATGTAGAAAATAAAGCGCTGCCCTTCTGGGACCTGTATCCTTTGGAGGAAGCCATCAATGACTAGTCAACAAATTAATACAAACTAGAACATTAGATGGTGACAAGAGAAAATATAGCAGTCCTGTGGCTCATGAGAAATTGGGGAAAGCTTCTCTAAGTAGGGACATAGACAAGGATTAAATGAGATAATGCATGGAATGTGCTTAGCATGGTGCCTGGCGCTCACTAGGGAGCCACACAGTCCTGGAAAGAGAAGAGTTGAAAAGCAAACATGGATGTTGCCCAGTACTTCTTGCTTGCTGCCCAGCCTAGAGAGAGCCTCTGCTTTTGGGGTTCTTTCCTCCCACTGGCTAAGTTATGAGATAATTTCTGACCGCTTTATCCTATGTCATTGAGCATGTAATGACTCCAACTGCTGTTTTTCTGAATCTGTTCTCACCAAACACCTTCTAATCATGATTTAATTTCTCATGTCAACCTGCTCACCTGCAGAGAATATTCTGATCATATAGTTTTCAAGTACCGGACCTCGGTTCTTAGATACTTTTCATTATATGATCATATAGAGACACTCTAATTATAATTGGGTTTCCTGTGTAGTTTGGCCACATGGAGAGAATATGCTGATCGGATGGACTTTGATTATTCTAGTTCCTGTGACAGCTTTTGCTCATTGTACGTTAAGCAGCTGCCATCCTGATTGAACACACTCACCTCCTGAACTTAGGTAATGTCAGGGCCTGCCATGCGGTAGGCACTCAGTGAATGTCTACTGATTGATGGATTGAGACTTCTCTCAGGCCCATGGCAAAATCAAACTTCCAAGGGTAAATTCACCAGGGGGATGATGAACATAACCCTCCTAGGCCTCCCAAGAGCCAGCATGCCTGTCTTTCCCAGGCATCCACCCACTGTCACTTCATAGACTGAGCACAGGGGCCATTTTTTCTATATCAGCAATAGCTTTGAACTCTTGCTTCAACCTATTCCAGGGTTGAGGGGGAAAATTAGAAAGTCAAGCAGGGTGACAGCAGAACTGTGAAGAACTGTGCTTCTCACTCCAAGTAAGCCCAGCTGCCAGGCAAATTCAAGAGCAGAGGTCCCAAATGCAGTTATATTTCTGGGAGCAATGCTTCCCTTTATCTTCAGAGCCCTGGAAGCGCAGAGAAAAGAAGGTGAGGGCAGGGGTAGGGTGGTGGGACCCACTTGGCTCCTGTTGATGGTAAAGAAGTACAGGACCTCAAGTCCTAATGACAAAAGTAATAGTAATATGATTCACTTATGACTCAGCAGACATTACACTTCATACTTGATCCTATCATTTCCCTTAATTTTACCCACCCAAAGGCCATTGCATATATTAGCTGGTGATAGGGTTTGGCTTTGTGTCTCCACTCAAATCTCATTTTGAATTGCAACCACATGGGTAGGGAGGAGCCTGGTGGGAGGTCATTGGATTATGAGAGCAGTTTCCCCCATGCTGTTCTCATGATGGTGAATGAGTTCTCATGAGATTTGATGGTTTAAAAGTGTGGCACTTCCCACTCTTCTCTCTCTCTCCTGCTCCACCATGCTAAAGACGTGTTTGCTTCCCCTTTGCCCTCCGCCATGATTGTAAGTTTCCTGAGGCCTTCCAATCATGCTTCCTGTTAAGCCTGCAGAAATGTGAGTCCATTAAAACTCTTTTCTTCATAGATTACCCAGTCTGAGGTAGTTCTTTATAGCAGTGTGAAAATGGACTAATAGAGCTTGAAACCCTCTTCTCTTTGATTCAAACTGACAATTTTCAGAAATACATAATGACAATTTCTGGCTTTGGGGCTAAACAAACACTACGCATGAACTCATTGGTTTCTCTGTGAAACAGAGCCCAGTCACTTTATCTCTCTGCGCTTCACACCAAGAGATAGTGTCTTGTATCCTATTAGGTATGTAGTAGTATTTTGCTGTTTGCTACCTGTGGATTCATTCCTCCTGTGGTTCACTTTCTATAACTATTCTTGAGGGCAGGACTTGATGATTGGCAACTGATAGAGATTTCCATTCCTCTACTTTCCCAGCTCACTCTCTTCTCACATTTACTGCTGGCTACTTGCCCTGTGAAGCCGAGCAGAATCTGGAAACTTCATCTTCACTAAGCCATCAATAAATGGAGAAAACTGAGTAAATATAACTGAGACCCAGTTGTTAAAAACAAGAGACCATCACTGATCATCACTGATTTCTTTCCTACAGGTCATGTTGTCACTCGTTTCTTTTATTTCTTTTTTAAAAATTATTATTATTATTTTCATAAGTTATTGGGGTACAGTGGTATTTGGTTACATGAATAACTTCTGTAGTGGTGATTTTTGAGATTTTGGTGCACATATCGCCTGAGCAGTACACACTCTACCATATTTGTAGTCTTTTAATCCCTTGCCCCCCTCTCTCTCTTCCCCCCGAGTCCCCAAAGTCCACTGCATCATTCTTATGCCTTTGCATCCTTGTAACTTAGCTCCCACCTATCAGTGAGAACATACAATGTTTGGTTTTCCATTGCTGAGTTACTTCACTTAGAATAATAGTCTCCAATCTCATCTAAGTCACTGCAAATGCTGTTAATTCATTCCTTTTTATGGCTGCATAGTATTCCATCATATATATATCTCACAGTTTCTTTAGCCACTTGTTGATTGATGGGCATTTTGGTTGGTTGCACGGTTTTGCTGTTGTGAATTGTGCTGCTATAAACATGCATGTGCAAGTATCTTTTTCAAATAATGACTTATTTTCCTCTGGGTAGATACCCAGCAGTGGAATTTCTGGATCAAATGGTAGTTCTACTTTTAGTTCTTTAAGGAATCTCCACACTGTTTTCCATAGTGGCTGTGCTAGTTTACATTCTCACCAGCAATGTAGAAGTGTTCCCTGTTCACCGCATCTACACCAACATCTACTGGTTTTTGATTTTTTTATTATGGCCATTCTTGCAGGAGTAAGGTGGTATCACATTGTGGTTTTGATTTGCATTTCTCTGATCATTAGTGATGTTGAGCATTTTTTCATATATTTGTTGGCCATTTGTATATCTTCTTTTGAGAATTGTCTATTCATATTCTTAGCCCACTTTTGGATGTGATGTTTGTTTTTTTTTCTTATTGATCTGTTTGAGTTCATTGTAGATTCTGGATATTAGTCCTTTGCCAGATGTATAGACTGTGAAGTTTTTCTCCCACTCTGTGGATTGTCTGTTTACTCTGCTGACTGTTCCTTTTGCCATGCAAAAGCTCTTTAGTATAATTAGGTCCCAGCTATTTATCTTTGTTTTTATTGCATTTGCTTTTGGGTTCTTGGTCATGAAATCCTTGCCTAAGCTAATGTCTAGAAGAGTTTTTCCAATGTTACCTTCTAGAATTTTTATAGTTTCAGGTCTTAGGTTTAAGTTCTTAATCCATCTTGAGTTGATTTTTGTATAAGGTGAGAGATGAGGATCCAGTTTCATTCTTTTACAAGTGGCTAGCCAATTATCCCAGCACAATTTGTTGAAAAGGGTGTCCTTTCCCCACTTTATGTTTTTGTTTGCTTTGTTGAAGTTCAGTTGTCTGTAACTACTTAGGTTTATTTATGGGTTCTCTATTCCGTTCCATTGGTCTATGTGCCCATTTTTATACCAATACCATGCTGTTTTGGTGACTATGGCCTTATAGTGTAGTTTGAAATCAGGTAGTGTGATGTCTCCAGATTTGTTCTTTTTTCTTAGTCTTACTTTGGCTATGCAGGCTCATTTTTGGTTCCATATGAATTTTAGAATTTTTTTTCTAATTCTGTGAAGAATAACAGTGGTATTCTGATGGGGATTGCATTGAATTTGTACATTGCTTTTGGCAGTATGGTCATTTTTACAATATTAATTCTACCCATCCACGAGCATGGGATGTTTTTCCATTTGTTTGTGTAGTCTTTGATTTCTTTCTTTTTTTCTTCTTCTTCTTTTTTTTTTTTTGGAGACAGAGTCTTGCTCTGTCACCCAGGCTGGAGTGCAGTGGAGCAATCTCAGGCTCACTGCAACTCCTCCATCTCCTGGGTTCAAGCAATTCTCTTGCCTCAGCCTCCTGAGTAGCTGGGACTACAGGCATGTGCTACCACACTCGGCTAATTTTTGTATTTTTAGTAGAGTTGGGGTTTCACCATGTTGGTCAGGCTGGTCTTAAACTCCTGACCTCGTGATCCACCCGCCTCGGCCTCTCAAAGTGCTGGGATTACAGGCATGAGCCACCAAGCCCAAAAGTCTTTGATTTCTTTCAGCAGTGTTTTGTAGTTTTCCTTGTAGAGGTCTTTTGACTCCTTTGTTAGGCATATTCCTGCGTATTTTTTTTTCAGCTATTATAATAGGGGTTGAGTTCTTGATTTGATTCTCCACTTGATCACTGTTTGTGTGTAGAAGAGCTACTGATTTGTGTACATTAATCTTGTATCTGGAAACTTTGCTGAATTCTTTTATCAGTTCTAGGAGCTTTCTGGAGGAGTCCTTAGGGTTTTCAAGGTAAACAATCTTATCATCAGCAAACAGTGACAGTTTGACTTCCTCTTTACCGATTTGGATGCCCCTTATTTCTTTCTCTTGTCTGATTGCTCCCTCTAGGACTTCCAGTACTATGTTGAAGAGAAGTGGTGAGAGTGGGCATCCTTGTCTTGTTCCAGTTCTCAGAGGGAATGCTTTCAACTTTTCCCCATTCAGTATTACATTGGTTGTGGGTTTGTCATAGATGGCTTTTATTACATGAAGGTATGTCCCTTGTATGCCAATTTTGCTGAGAGTTTTAATCATAAAGAGATGCTGGATTTTGTGGAATGCTTGTTCTGCATCTATTGAGATGATCATGTGATTTTTTGTTTTTAATTCTGTTTATGTGGTGTATCTCATTTATTGACTTGCATATCTTAAACCTTCCCTGCATTCCTGGTATGAAACCCATTTGATCAAGGTGGATTATCCCTTTCAGATGCTGTTGGATTCAGTTAGCTTGTATTTTGTTAAGGATTTTAGCGTCTATGTTCATCAAGGATATTGGTCTGTAGTTTTCTTTTTTGGTTATGCCCTTTCCTTGTTTTGGTATTAGGGTGATGCTGGCTTCATAGAATGAATTAGGGAGGATTCCTTCTTTCTCTATCTTGTGGAATTGTGTCAAAAGGATTGGTACCAATTCTTTTTTGAATGTCTGGTAGAATTCTGCTGTGAATCTGTCTAGTCCTGGAGTTTTTTTTTTTTTTTTTTTGGTAATTTTTTAGTTACCATTTCAATCTTGCTGCTTGTTATTGGTCTATTCAGGGTATCTAATTCTTCATGATTTAAGCTAGGAGGGTTGTATTTTTCCAAGAATTTATCCATCTCTTCTAGGTTTTCTAGTTTATGTGCATAAAGGTGTCCATAGTAGCCTCGAATAATCTTTTTTTATTTCAGTGGTGTAGGTTGTAATATCTCTTGTTTCATTTGTTGGTAAGGTTATTTGGATTTTCTCTCTTCTTTTCTTGGTTAATCTTGCTAATGGTCTATCAATTTTATTTATCTTCTCAAAGAACCAGCTTTTGTTTTATTTATCTTTTGTATTGTCTTTTTTGTTCCAATTTCATTTAGTTCTGCTCTGATCTTGGGTATTTCCTTTCGTCTGCGGGTTTGGGTTTGGTTTGTTCTAGTTTCTCTAGTTCCTTGAGGTGTGACCTTAGATTGTCTGTTTGTGCTCTTTCAAACTTTTTGATGAAGGCATTTAGGGCTATGAACTTTCCTCTTAGCACTCCCTTTGCTGTATCCCAGAGATTTTGATAGGTGGTGTCATTATTGTCATTCAGTTCGAAGAATTTTTTAATTTCCATATTGATTTCATTTTTGACCCAATGCTCATTTAGGAGCAGGTTATTTAATTTCCATGTATTTGCATGGTTTTGAAGGTTCCTTTTAGAGTTGAGTTCCAAATTTATTCCACTGTGGTCTGAGAGAGTGCTTGCTATAATTTCAATTTTCTTAAATTTATTGAGGCCCCTTTTATGTCCTATCTAATGGTCTATCTTGGAGAAAGTTCCATGCACTGTTGAATACAATGTGTATTCTGTGCTTGTTGGATGAAATGTTCTGTATATATCTGCTAAGTCCATTTGTTCTAAGGTATAGTTTAAATCCATTGCTTCTTTGTGGACTTTCTGTCTTGATGATCTGTCTAGTGCTGTCAGTGGAGTACAGAAGTCCCCCACTATTATTGTGTTGCTGTCCATCTCATTTCTTAGGTCTATTAGTAATCGTTTTATAAATTTGGGAGCTCCAGTGTCAGGTGCATATATGTTTAGGATAGTGATATTTTCCTGTTAGACAAGGCCTTTTGCCATTATATAAAGTCCCTCTTTGTCTCTTTTAACCACTGTTGCTTTAAAGTTTCTTTTGTCTGATATAAGAATAGCTACCCCTGCTTGCTTTTGGTGTCCATTTGCATGAAATGCCTGTTTCCACCCCTTTACTTTAAGTTTATGTGAGTCCTTATGTGTTAGGTGAGTCTCCTAAAGGCAGCAGATGGTTTGTTGATGAGTTCTTATTCATTCTGCAGTTCTCTGTCTTTCAAGTGGAGCATTTAGGACATTTACATTCAATGTTAGTATTGAAATGTGAGGTACCATTGCATTCATCATGCTCTTTGTTGCCAGTGTACTTTGGTTTTGTTTTTTGTTTTTGCTTGTAACTTGTATTTTTGTTTTATAGGTCCTGTGTGATTTATGCTTTAAAGAGTTCTGTTTTGATATGGTTCCAGGATTTGTTTCAAGATCTAGAACTCCTTTTAGCAGTTCTTGTAGTGGTGGCTTGATAATGGCGAATTCTCTCAGCATTTGTTTGTCTGAAAACGACTGTACCTTTCCTTCATATATGATGGTTAGTTTCCCTGGATACAAAATTCTTGACTGATAATTGTTTTGTTTAAAGAGGCTGAAGATATGGCCCCAATCCCTTCTAGCTTGTAGGGTTTCTTCTGAGAAATCTGCTGTTAATCTGATAGGTTTTCCTTCATGGGTTACTGGTGCTGCTGTCTCACAGCTCTTAAAATTCTTTCCTTCGTCTTAACTTTGGATAACCTGATGACAATGTGCCTAGGTGAAGATCTTTTTGTGATGAATTTCCCAGGTGTTCTTTGTGCTTCTTGTATTTGGCTGTCTAGGTCTCTAGCAAGGCCAGAGAAGTTTTCTTCAATTATTCCCCCAAATACGTTTTCCAAGCTTTGAGAATTGTCTTCTTCCTCAGGAACACTGATTATTCTTAGGTTTGGTCATTTAACATAATCCCAGACTTCTTGCAGGCTTTGTTTATATTTTCTTACTCCTTTTACTTTGTCTTTGTTGTGGATTGGGTTAATTCAAAGACCTTGTCTTTGAGCTCTGGATTTCTTTCTTCTACTTGTTCAATTCTATTGCTGAGACTTTCCAGAGCATTTTGCATTTCTAAAAGTGCATCCAAAGCTTCCTGAATTTTTTATTGCTTTTTCTTTAAGCTATCTATTTCATTGAATATTTCTCCCTTTACTTCTTGTATTATGTTTTGGATTTCTTTGCATTGGGCTACGCCTTTCTCTGGTCCCTCCCTGATTAGCTTACTAATTAACCTCCAGGATTCTTTTTCAGGTAAGTCAAGGATTTCTTCTCGGTTTGGATTCATTGCTGGTGAACTAGTGTGATTTACTGGGGGGCGTTGAAGAGCCTTGTTTTGTCATATTACCAGGGTTGGTTTTCTGGTTCCTTCTCTGGGTAGGCTCTGTCAGAGGGAAGGTCTAGGGCTGAAGGCTGTTGTTCATATTTTTTCGTCCCATGGGGTGTTCCCTTGATGTAGTACTCTCCCTCTCTTCCTGTGGATGTGGCTTCCTGAGAGCTGAACTGCAGTAATTGTCTCTCTTCTGGGTCTAGCCACCCAAGGAGTCTACCTGGCTCCGGGCTGGTACTGGGTGTTGTCTGCACAGAGTCCTGTGATGTGAACTGTCTATGGGTCTCTCAGCCACGGATACCAGCACCTGTTCTGCTGGAGGTGGTGGAGGGTGCAATGGAATCCGTGAGGGTCCTTAGCTTTGGTGGTTTAATGCTCTGTTTTTGTGCTGGTTGGCCTCCTGCCAGGAGGGGGCGCTTTCCAGAAAGCATCAGAGCCGCCGCTGTGTCCCCTGCCACAGCCCCGAGTTTGTTTCCAGGCGGAGGGTGAGACGGGCCTGAAAACTTGCCCAAGGCCATCCACCTCCCAGCTGCGAAAGAAAGGGCTTTAGTTCTTCCCTCCTCCACCTGTGACGTCTGCACTCCGGATTTGTGCCCTCCCCTGAGTTCTTGCCAGGAGGCTTCTCAGCTCATTCAAATTGTTACAAAGTTCGACTAGAGAATTCCTTCTCCCTGTGGAGTTTTACCCCCTGCTCCTCTGGCCATCCTTCCAATGGATCCTTGTGGTGCCAGGCAGGAATGGGCTGCTTGGGGACCTAGGAAGCCCCCAGGGCCTTTCTGCTGCTTCTTCTACCCTCCCCCACACCTTTACTCGACTCACTAACTTGACTCAGCTCCAGGTAAAGTCAGAAATTTCTGCAAACAGACCTTCAGCTTCTCCAGTGGGGGTGTGTGTTTGGGAGAGGAGGGTCTCCCTTTCTCAGTTCCGCAGTTGGGGCACTCAATATTTGGGGGTCTCTCGGGTCCTGCAGGAGCAGTCTGCTTCCTACAGAGGGTCTGTGAGTCCTTTCGGGATTGCTGGTTTGTTCTTGCAGTTCTGAAGCTAAAATTCACAATGCAAGCCTCTGCATGCTGCTCTGTCTAGAGCTGCAATCTGGTCTTGCCTCCCGTCTGACATGATCCCAGGAGCTCTCTGAGAGAGCAACCCAAAGGAGCTGAGAGAGATCCGGAGTCCCCGATGTGAGGGAGCATCAGGCTGCAAGGACGCGGCACTGGCGATGGTTTCGCAGGGGCATCTGTTCCCTTGGGGCGTGGAATCCCTGCTCTGCCGCTGCCCCAACTCGGCTCCGAAGTGCCTTTGCTGCAAGATTTCCTGAGCTTAGCAGTCTGCCCGTTTCTTTTCTTTCTTTCTCTTATTTTTCCCCCTGAATGTTTGGTTTCTCTGGCAAGCCCAAACACGTAAGATTATATGTGAGGCATATTTATTTACATAAAGATGCGTGTTTTTTCTTAACTCAGCATTTACATGTAGCTTGGCCAAGTTAATTAACTGTAGAAGACCTCAATTTTGTTGTCTTTTAAAACAAGGCAGCTGTATTAGATTAGTGGTTTTCAAAGTCCGTTAGATGGTAAAGTGCCTGCAAGCCATGGCCTGCTTTGTGGGATACCATGAAATATTAATACCCAGAGCTAGACTTAATAAGCACACGTATAATTTTGTGATCCCAAATACTATCTTATATATGATTGTAATAGAGACAAAAGTTAGCATGTATGGAGATATAAATCATTAATTCATTCATCTATCACATAAGTGTTATTGAGTGCCTACACAAATGTTTCTCAAACCAGCATTCACCACCTGGAGAACCTATTAAAATACAGATCACTGAGCCCCATTCAGCTGTTTAACCGACGATGCTCATGTTGGTTCAGCTGATCTGGGAACCAAATTTTGAGAACTGCTGACCTCCACTAGTCCAGCCCACGAATTGGCAAACTACAGCCCCTGAGCCAAATCTGGCCCTTTCTTCTTTTTGTAAGTTTCACTGGAGCACCTCACATTTATTTATGTATTGTCCATAGCAGCTTTTGTGCCACAATGGCAGAGTTTAGTAGTTGTGACAGAGACTATGGCCTGGAAACCTGCAATATTATCCGTGATTTTCCACACAAAAATCTGCATTCTGGGTTTTGTATGCAATAAGTCATGTACAAAAGTATGGAGCTGATGTCCTGATGGAGCTTACATTCTAACAGGGCACTAAAAATTTAGTGAGATTTAAAGAAAAGTTATAAGAGAACATCTTAATTGAGGTATTCTACTTTCAATTATTCGTAACCTTATTATTATATATTTACTTCTTTTAAGGATAACATCTTCATTCATATTTCTATAACTCTAGCGCATGTTCCAATGGCTTCAAGTTTGCATGATTAAAATATCTCTAAACTATTCTTTTCCTCTCAGTACTTTCTCCTTTCAGTGTATTCTAGGTAACATTTCCAGAGAAAATATCCTTAATATAGTTATGAATTGATGATTGCCTCCAGAATAAGGTTTTTTAAAAGTAATTTTGACTTTATTTTAGATTCAGGGCGTACATATGCAGGTTTGTTATGGGAGCATATTGGGTGATGCTGAGGTTTGGGGTGCAGATGGTCTCATCACCCAGGTAGTAAATAGTACCCAATAGGTAGTTTGTCAGGCTATGCCCCCTTCTCTTTCTCCCCAACCAGTAGTCCCTAGTGTCTATTATTCACATCTTTATATCCACGAGTACTCACTGTTTAGCTCCCACTTATAACTGAGAACATGTGGTATTTGGTTTCCTGTTCCTACATTAATTTGCTTATGATAATGGCCTCTAGCTGCATCCATGGTGCTGCAAAAGACATGGTTTTATTCTTTTTTATGGCTATGTAGTATTCCAGAGTGTATATGTACCACATTTCCTTTATCCAGTCTACCATTGATGGGCATCTAGGTTGATTCCATGTCTTCGCTATTGTGAACAATGGTGTGATGAACATACAAGTGCATGCATCTTTTTGGTAGAGTGATTTATTTTCCTTTAGGTATCTACCCCGTAATGGGATTGCTGGGTCAAATGGTATTTCTATTTTAAGTTCTTTGAGAAATCTCCAACTTGCTTTCCACAGTGGCTGAACTAATTTACATTCCCACAAGCTGTGTATAAGTATTCCCTTTTCTCTGCAACCATGCCAGCACTTGTTATTTTTTTAAGTTTTTGTTAATGGTCATTCTGACTTGTGTGAGATGATATTTCATTGTGGTTTTGATCAGCATTTCTCTGACGTTTAGTGATGATGAGTATTTTTTCATGTGTTTCTTGGCCACTTGTATGTCTTCTTTTGAGAAGAGTCTGTTCATATCCTTTGCCCATTTTTAAGGGATTTGTTGTTGTTGTTGCTGTTGTTGAATTGTTTAAGTTCTTATAGATTCTGGATATTAGACCTTTGTTGAATGCATAATTTGTGAATATTTTCTCCCATTCTGTAGGTTATCTGTTTACTCTGTTGATAGTTTCTTTTACTGTCAAGAGGCTTTTTAGTTTAATTAGATCCCACTTGTCAGTTTTTACTGTTGCTATCACTTTTGGGGACTTAGCCATAAATTCTTTGCCAAGGAAAATCAACGTTATTTTTCACAGAATTAGAAAAAACTATTCTAAAGTTCATATGGAACTGAAAAACAAAAAAAGAGCCAAAATAGACAAAGCAATCCTAAGCCAAAGAACAAAGCCAGAGGCTTTACGTTATCCAACTTCGAACTATACTATAAGGCCACAGTAACCTAAACATCATAGTATTGGTACAAAACAGACACATAGACTAATGGAACAGAATAGAGAACCCAGAAATAAAGCCACACACCTGCAATTAATTATCTGATCTTTGACAAAGTTGACAAAAATTAGCAATGGGGAAAGGACACCCTATTCAATAAACGGTGCTGGGATAGCTGGCTAGCTACATGCAGAGCATGAAACTGGACCTCTGCCTTTCACCAAATACAAAAATTAATCCAAGATTGATTAAAGATTTAAATGTAAGACCTCAAGCTATTAGAATTCTGCAAGAAAACCTAGGAGATACCCTTCTTGACAGAATAAAGATCTGTTCTAATTATTCCACATTGTGACACCAAACCATGACCACTACTATATCTTCCACCTGACATTTCCCACAGTCTCAGCTCTGCATGGACCTGCCCAGAATGGAGATAGCAATGGGCTTACCATGTTGACACAGCCTCTGTCACTTCCTATTTTCTCTCTGACTCAGGAAGGAGTCACTTCACTCTTGTAATTCTTCTGCCAGAACCCTGGAGGTATCTTAACTTACAACCCCCAGTCTATAAACTCTCCACTAAAGCCACACTGATTGACTCACCATCTTCCAAATAAACTTTATTGATTATTTGCTACTAATATGAGTTACTGATGACTAATAACAGATTATCTCAAAATTGTGTTCTTAACACAATAATAGATTTTCCTTTTTAAATCTTGTAGTTTCCGTGGGGCAGAGTCTGGGGAGTGGCTTATTTTGGTAGTTCTTGCTTTAGGGTGTTTCATGAAGTTGCACTTACAATGCTGATCTGGATTATTCATCTGAAGGCTCAGCTGGGTCTACAGGATCCTCATACAGTGAATGCACCGTTGAGCTGGCAAATTGGTGCTGGTATTGCTTTGGACCTCACCTCATGCCACGGAGGCTACTCCTCACAGAGCAAGTGAGGCAAGAAAAGAAAACATAAGCCACGATGTCTTATTTTGTAAATTTTTAAAATTTACTTTACAGTGTCTTTTAAGATATAGCCCCAGAAATCACACTCTATTATTTCAGCAATATTATATTTTTGACACAGATCAGTCTTAATTAAAGTGGTAATGACACAGGAGCATGAATACCAGGGGGTGAGAATGACTGACACCATCTTGGAGCCACACCATCCTAACCCCTCCTACTCTAGTCAGGGCTTTTGCCTTTGCTATTGTTTTCCTATTTGAAATGTTTGTTTGTTTATTTATTTATTTATTTATTTATTTAATTTCCTAAATCTAACCACCTTTTAATGCTCATTTCTGTTCCATCTTCCCCGTGACACCTTCTCTGAATCCTTTAGCCTGAAGAAATTGCATCTTCCATTGTTCTCCTGTGGTCTCATTATCAATATCACACATTTTAGCAGTTACTCACAGATAGGAAATAATTCCTGTTCACAAATAAAACATTCTGAGGAACTCAGTTCTTCCTATTCGAGGAAATCCTCCACTACTACTACAAAAACCTGCATAAGGCATTGAAAAAAAACCCTCCGTTAGAGATTGAGCTGTATTGTAGTACATAATATAGTATGAGTAATATTAATATGGTGTATTTGATAGATGTTAGAGATCAGTGTCTACCAGAGCAGTACTACTCAAACTTAAATATTTATATGAATCATGTAGGGACCTAGTTAAATGCAGATTGAGATTCTGTGGGTATAAGGTGGGGTTGAGATGCTGCCATTCTAACAAGCTCCCAGGTGATGCTGAGGCTCCTGGTCCATGGAACAACTTTTGAGTAGCAAGGTGCTAGAAGATGGACATAAAATGGACATAAAATAGAATAGGAGTTGAAAGTAGATGGAAAATAAAAGTAGTGAAGAGAATCATGGCTGTGTTCAATCAGTAGTACTGGCAAGGCATAAATATTTGAAGTCACGAATCACTCAAGTATTTCTTTATTGCTCTTTGGTACTGCCCATTATCTTTATACATGCATGTATGTTTTACCTCTTCCAGCCTTGATTATAGGCCCCTTTAGGATTGAAGGTGTTCCAGTCACCCATAGAGGTGAAATATAGTTCCCTTTCTGGAGTAGTTGCTCAATAAATGTGTACTGCTTGATTACTCTGCTGCTAATTCTCACGGTCATTTATTAATTTCTATTATTACTTCCCCAAGTTTTCTCCTTTCAAAATATTATAGGAAATTCAAAATACCTTTCTATTATAAATTGATGTGTTTTATTTACAGTTCCTTATGATATATAATACAATTCCTCATAAAAAAATAAAATTTTAGTTGGTCTAAATACCAGGTAAATTAACATGATCAAATTAATAGAAAAAGTATCATGCCCAGGTAACATGTCAGACCAATTAAATCAGTCTTTGAGAGAGGATTCAGGTATTGGTATTTTTTAAAGCCCCATGGGTGATTCCAGAGTGAAGCAAAAGTTGAGGATCACCAGTTTAATTATCATCCTACTATATTTTAAGATAGAATAATTATACTTTATTTTTTATTGTGCCCCAAAGCATTTTTTTTTTAAATGGAGTCTCACTCTGTCGCCCAGGCTGGAGGGCAATGGTGCGATCTCAGCTCACTGGAACCTCGGCCTCCTGGGTTCAAGCAGTTCTCCTGCCTCGGCCTCCCCAGTAGCTGGGATTATAGTCACCCTCCACCACGTCTGGTTAATTTTTGTATTTTTAGTAGAGATGGGTTTCACCATGTTGGCCAGGCTGGTCTTGAACTCCTAGCCTCAAATCTCAGCCTCCCAAAGTGCTGAGATTACAGGCACGAGCCATGGCACCCAGATCCAAAGCATCTTTTACAACATGTAATTTGGAAATATCAATGAAGACCAATTCAGAGAAAAATGTTTACCTTCCTTTTTTTTTCTTACAGGATGTAGCTGCTTCAATTTATAAATAAGTATAGATATGCTATAGTAATTTTTGAAATTCTATAGCAAACTAACTTTTCCATAAATGAATATGGTTTCTTAATTATCCCAAGCTTGTTAATGTAGGTTGTACTTTTTTTCTTTTAGCAAACACATCAGATCATTTTGCCAAATTATCCAAGTCATTTTAAAAACATAAAGATATTTTGCAAATATTTTATATCTGCCAGTCAAAGTCAGTCTTGGTCCTAAATAGGATGTTGTTACATGCCTGCCTTATAAATGTTAGCATCACGGAAAGCATTTTTGTTTAATTTAGAAATGTTTGAGCTCAGAGGAAATAAGGATACTTATCTCGTTTACTCAGCTTTAGTAACTGCAAAAGGCAGAATAAAGGTAGCTTGCTGGAGTTGCTAGAACCCACATACAGTCAGAATATATGACCTCTCCTTTAAGCTCTGCCTCTTACTAGCTGGGTGACCTTTGGCAAGTCTCTTAACTTCTGTTAGTCTCCATTGCTTCATTTGTAAAGTGAAAGGGTTGAAGTAGACGGCACATAAGATTCTTATACCTGGAAAGTGATGGGGTGAGGGACTACTAAGGTCCTTTGAGTGCTTCTTGGTTACGCACTGTGAGAAG
Source organism: Homo sapiens (assembly GCF_000001405.40). Taxonomy (NCBI): domain Eukaryota; kingdom Metazoa; phylum Chordata; class Mammalia; order Primates; family Hominidae; genus Homo; species Homo sapiens. The sequence continues at coordinate 15,706,434 of NC_000020.11, forward strand.
TGATGGAAAATAATTCACACTCTCAAAAATTCCATGACTCTATAGGAGAATTTTCAAGTGAACAGGCACAAAGTCTCTAGATTGTTAAATTAAGCCTATGAAAAATGAAGGAACATAAAATAAAAAGAGAGTAATTGCATTGGTTCTGATTCTCTCATAGAAAAGGAATTTTACACGTCGTTAATTCCAATGCTTTGTATTACAGATGAGGAAACCGAATCCCAAAAAGTTCAAATAACTTTCTATTACTAACACATAAAATAGCACACTAATAGGGGATGAAAATTTATCCAGTTTAACAATCCAGTCCTTCATGTCAATCAAAAGCTTCTTTATCACCATCATAATTCAACATTTCATTCTGTATTGAGAAGGAGGTGGATCTAAGATTTATATTTATGATATTCATGATAATTCAGAGTTTCTGAAACTGACATCACAGGAAGATTTTCACAAGTGGGCCAGGATGTGATTCATGGGCCCTGATGTTACAAGTCCAGATTGGCAAACCAAGGGCTGCTATCAAAGGGACTAAGTTGGATGGCTTTCTGGATAAATATTTCTTTGTAGCTGGATTTACAAAGGTTATCAACCCTCCAGATAAAAAGTCATGGTTCTTCTATTGCCCTAAGAGTCATAGATAGTAAGTTACACAGTAACATATTCATTTTATGTATATACATACATACATATAGTCATGTATAGTAAATTACATGAAAACATCAGTGGTGCCATACACTCACCTGATCCTGGGTGACGGAAACGAGTATGAGGAATTTAAGTAGTCCTTCTCAAAGTCTTCCCCAGAGATCAATTAGCTCATCACCATTTTACCATGAGGGTATGCTCAGGGGAGATATGTAACTAAAGTCCTGATAACTTGTACCAGGTGACTGTAAATCATTCAGTATTCAGTTAGTCAACAAAATCAACAAATAATTATCATGCCTCTATAGTATACCAGGCACTTGCTGGGCACTGGGAATATGGTGATTAATAAATAAGACTGTCCATGCCCCCAGCTTCATATTCTAGTGGAAAGGGAAAGATATCAAAACATGTTTGCAAGGCTGGGCAAGGTGGCTCAGGCCTGTAATTCTACCACTTTGGGAGGCCAAGTCGGGCGGATTACTTGAGTTCAGGAATTTGAGACCAGCCTGGCCAACATGGGGAAACCCCGTCTCTACAAAAATACAAAAATTAGCTGAGCGTGGTGGCGGGTGCCTGTAGTCCGAGCTGTTTGGGAGGCTGAGGCAGGAGAATCACTTGAACCTGGGAGGCACAGAGTTTGCAGTGACCAGAGATTACGCCACTGCACTCCAGCCTGGGCAACAGAGTGAGACTCTGTCTCAACAATAACAAAAACAACAAATACTTACAAAACGTAAAAAAAAAAATCCCTTTAGATATTTATTAGTGTGATAAGAAAGATGAGAAAGCAAATGCCATAGAGAATAGAGGGTGAAGAGCAAAGGCTGCATGGTGTGAGTGGTCACCGAGTTCTTCTCTTAAAGGCAGTGATGCTTAAACTCAGTTGTGGAGAGGGACGCAGTGTCACCAAGTTCTGAGGGAAAAGTGTTTCAAGCAGAAGAAGCAGAAAATGCAGTGGTCCTGAGATGAGAATGAGGAGCTCTGCACTTCTGCCAGAAGAGGCATTGTAATAGTATTGGAGATTTGAAATCGTTATTTTACTCAGGCATTTATTAATTAATATATTATTTATTCATCAAAATACATGTTGAGACTACTGTATATCATGGCCTATTCAAGACCCAGTTCCCCTGCCCTTGTGCAGCTTAGTTCCTGGTGGGAGACACAGACAATAAATAATACCCATAGTAAAAAGCAAATTATATAATTTGTAGGAAAATAAGGACTATGGAAGGAAGAAAAATTTGGGTAAGGAGGACCAGGAGCCTGGGGATAGGGAGGTCAGGGAGGGCTTGGCTGAGAAGGTGACATGTGATGCAACTGAGGGATGTGAGGGAATTAGCCATGCAGGTAGGGGAAAGAGCATCCTGGGAAGTGGGGACAGAGCACAGACATGCTGGAGAAACAGCAAGGAAGTCAGGGAGGCGGAAACAGAGCAAGTGAGGAGAAGATAGTGGGAGGTCTCACCAGAGAGGGAGCCAGACCCTGTTCAATAATGCCTCGACTTGAGCCCAGCATGCTGGCTCACACCTGTGATTTCAGCACTTTGGGAGCGAGGCAGTAGGATTGCTTAAGGCCAGGAGTTCAAGACCAGTCTGGGCACAATATCAAAACCCCATCTCTACAAATAAAAAATAAATAAATTAGCTGGGCATGGTAGACTGGACTTGGTGGCTCACACCTGTGATCCCAGCACTTTGGGAGCTGAGGCAGGAGGATTGTTTAAGGCCAGGAGTTCAAGACCAGCCTGGGCAAAATAGCAAGACCTCATCTCTACAAATAAATAAATAAATTAGCTGGGCATGGTAGCACATACTTGTAGTCTAAGCAACTCAGGAGGCTAAGATGGGAGGATCTTTTGAGCCTGGGAGTTTGAAGCTGCAGTGAGCTATGACTGCACTCCAACCCGGGCAACAGAGTGACACCCTATCTCTAAAAATAATAATAATAATAAATTCATTGAATAATGCCAGGAGTTTTTCTCTGAGAGGAGTGGATAGGTATTACAGGGTTCTTTGATGGCAAAGAACCGAGGAATCTTATTATCCCCACCTATAGGAAAAGCACCTAGGGAGGCTGGCTTTCCATGCAGAGGAGGAACCACCAGGGGGCGGTGCACCGCAAAGTCGGGCTGTGGTGGCCCTGCAGATGGCGGTGAACGGGAGGAGCAGGCTGGCTTTTCCAGGCTCCCGCTATCTAATAAGTGAATAGCATTGCTTTTCTGGGAAAATCTTTTTAAATGTTTTTTAATATAGAAGACTTTTAAAAACATTGAAATAATAACTGTACCTATAGGCCAGGTGTGGTGGCTCATGTCTGTAATCCCAGCACTTTGGGAGGCTGAGGTAGGAGGATTGCTTGAGACTAGGAGTTTGAGACCAGCCTGGGCAACATACTGAGACCCTGCCTCTACAAAAAATAAAAATAAATAAATTAGCTGGGCATGATGGCACAAGCCTGTAGTTCCAGCTACTCGGGAAGCTGAGGTGGGAAGATTGCTTGAGCCCAGAAGTTGGAGGCTGCAGTGAGCTATAATTGCACCACTGCACTCCCGCCTAGGTGACAGAGGGAGACCTCATTTCCAAAAGAAAAAACAAAATATATTATAATATTTATGAGGTATGTACAGAGTTTTAATACATACAATGTATTAAAGATCAAATGTGGATAATTAGCATATTTATCACCTCAAATATTTGTTTGTGTAGAGAACATAAATCCTCTCTTCTAGCTATTTGAAAATATATAATTGTTTACTGTAGCCACCCTATAATACTATAGAACACTAGAACTTATTTGTCCTATCAGGCTCTAATTTTGTATTCTTTAGCAAGTCTCTCACTAACCCTCCAACCCTACTACCTAATTCTCAGCCTCTAGTAACCACTGTTCTACTCTCTACTTCTATAAGGTCAACTTTTTTAGCTTCTACAGACTCTGATTTAAAAACGGGCTAATGATCCGTACGACACTTCTCAAAAGAAGACATACAGAAATGGTCAAGAAATATATTAAAAATGTTCAACATTGTTAATCACCAAGGAAATGCAACTCAAAACCACAATGAGGTATCATTTCACCACAGTTAGAATGGCTATTATCAAAAAGACAAAAAAAAAAAAAAAAAAACAATTGCGGGTAAGGATGCAAAAAAAGTGAACCCTTATACACTGTTGGGATTGTGAACTAGTACAGCCATTATAAAGAATAATATTGAGGTTCCTCAAAAAACTACAAGTCTAGATGGCTCTTTGACTTCCTAAAATGACAACAGCAAGCTATACACAGAATTAAAATATAAACATACTCCCAAAGCCATATATAAAGTACCTGAGGCAGTCCATAAAATTTTAAATTTCAATAGAGTACTAATTTAATCAGGGAAACTTTATCTACGGCATTTTTTGCTGTCTCCATTAAGCATGTTATATGGGCTCTCAGAACCCTGAAGATCTTCATCCAAAAGGGAAGTTATACTCTCATTTTATCTCTAACAGATGTGGGCATCAAGTGTTTATGGGCGTGAAAAAGGCTTTCCATTAAAGGAAACCCTGTCAAGTAGCAGGATTTTCTTTTATTATGTTGTTTTACACACAAAACATTTTTTTTGAAATCACCAAGTCTGCATAAACCTGAAAAAAGCAAAGTAGTATTTTCATAACACATATTTGTCTGTCACTGCTGTTTTTGGCGGAAATTGTCCCAACGAGATCTTTGAGTTACCGGTTTCTAAGTAGCCTCCAGTCTTGACCTTCCAGAGGCCTCAAGGACAATGATGTATTGGCCCCCAGAGACTACTTTTGGGGCTCCAGCATTTTGCAAACACATGAGCAAAGTTTTCTTTTCCTGAAGTCATTTTATTTATCTTCGCTGTTTCCTTCCGCAGCCCTTTATAGAAACAGAATTAAATTGTATTGGGAATAACAAGGAGGAAAAATAATTCACTTATATTTTATTGCTTTAATATTTTGTATTAGCATTACCAGTGATTTATGTTTCCTGCTCCGGTGTCCCCGTTTTGAATTCTCCAAGTCTGTGAAGGGTGTTGAAGACAGGTAATCGGTAAATAGGCTTTCAAGGGAGAATGTGTATAGGTGTGGGTGAGGTGAATTAAGGCTTATTTTCTCATTGATCTTTCGCTTTGCTTTCCAAAGCAGCGGACACTGGGTTGCACATCTCTGTTCAGTTACAGGGAGGGGAGGGAATGCCCAGTAATTTCTTATCTCGTGGTATGTTAATTGCTAAAATATAAACAAAGGTAAGAAAGGTGCTTTGTGCAGGTGTAAGTCTCTGGGCATTTGTCCGTGACTCACTTCTCAGTATATCAAGAATGATTTCTTTCCTCCACAGACTAACCAAGCCTTAACTGTCAGGTTAGCCATTCTCATTTCTCCCTGCTTGGCCTCGATCAGCTGCTGGCCTTCCCCGGGAGAAAGAGCCTCCATTTGCTATGAGCTCCTTGCCGGATGGAGTGATTGCCAGCACATCCCAGTAAGACTGCAGCAGGTGCTGCAGCTTGGGGAAATGGCGTGTGTTTTCCTTACCAGTACATGTGGCTTTTGAGCTTTGATTTCACAGAAATGTAAAAAACAGGTCGATGCTAGTATGTACTACATTCCTACCAGCATACACTTTCAATCCACTTTCTGACAACTGGCTTGTATCACTCCCTGCTTTAGAGTAATAGCACCTTTGCTTGAAGTTTCTTAGGTGAAAATCATGAAGGTTCCCATTTTGCTGAATCTCTGTGTTACTGATTAAGAGAGAGTAACTGCGACAGGGGTGGGCACCTGACAACATTTTCTAAATAACATTAGCATGTTTTTTCCTCTTCAGCCCCCTGGGTTTCAAGCATTTGATTTGAATTTTTTTCCCTACTCCCTTTCTTAAAATGCATGACTAAGAAACTGTTTCTTTCTTCACTGATCCTTGGTTATTCGCTTTGAAAAAAGACGACAGAACAAGAGTATTTCCAAGAATACACCAGTCCTATTCTTTGGTGATGCCACTTTCTAATTTAATGTGATCCAGCAGCCAAAATGTTGTTCTAACTAACATATCTCCTTGCTAAAAGGTATAAAACAGGCATCTTCAAACTATTTCTTAAGAAGGCTAGAGTCAATATTTTAAGCTTTGTGGGTTGTACTGCGTCTTTCTCAACTGCTCAACTCTGTGTTGTGCATAAAAAAGCAGAGCTGTGTTCCAATAAAACTTTATTCACAAAAACAGATGGTGAACTGGAGTTGGCCCACAGGCCGAATGACCCTGGGTTTGGAAGATGCTTCTTGGAACTTCTGGCCCAGCTGGTTTCCATCTGCCTTTAGCTGATTAAGAAGATGTGGCCAAGGGTTCCACTGCCACCTCCCCCACCACTACTAATTTTTACTGATCAGATTACACATCTTATTTTTCACTCTATTTGTTCTAGACCTATCACTAACAGGGCAGGCAAGAGCCAGGGAAGTTGCTCTTAAAAAAAAATAAAAGACCTGGAAACCCAAACTCTCTATACTGTGGCTTTATTTTGTCATCCAAGCTTGGAAGGGCAGCTCTCATTTTGGCTTCCAGTGCCTGTCTCCATTGCCATTTCTCCCTCTTTCAGTCCTGGCAGGCTGAGAGCTTTATGGTCTCCTAACCTTGCCTTTGCAGCATCACTAGCCCTGGTAATAAGAACACCATCCATATACTAGCCCTTTGACAATGAAGAAAGCTGTCCACATGTCTTACCTGATGTGGTCCTGGTCCAATCATTTAAGTAATTTTTAAAAATTATTTTCTGTTTTGACAATAAGAAAACAGCCCTGGAGAGGCTGAATGACTTGCTTAAGATTCTGCATCTCATATGCAGTGCAACTAGGCTTCACCTCCACTATTCTCACTCTAAATCCTGGTATCTGGCCTCTACCTGGTACTGTTTCTCAGTCCTGAGTCATTAAGGGTCTGGCTTCAGGCACTCCTCTGTCACATTTTTTCTTGGATAGATTATTAATACCCTGAGATGCCAGATACCATTCTGCAGAGAGAAGAAGAAAGCCACAGAAAGCCGTTCAGGCTGAGAATGTTTAAAAATATATGGTGCTGACCACCAATACCAATGGCAGCAGAGGAGGATCTTTAGTAAAGGATTTTCAAAGATATAGAGTCTGTATCTCAGAGTTTAAAAAAGACCATTGCTATACAAGATGCTCCGATCAGCTCTGGTTCTCAGTACTTATAAAGCAGCGGAATCTCCTGCTTTATGAACTTTAGTTCTGGGCTTCAGCTCTGTATTAGTCTGTTCTCACACTGATGTAAAGAAGTAGCTGAGACTGGGTAATTTATAAGAAAAAGAAGTTTAATTTGCTCATGGTTCTGAAGGCTATACAGGCTTCTGCTTCTGAGAAAGCCTCAGGAAACTTACAATCATGGCAGAATGCAAAAGGGAAGCAGGCATGTCTTCACCTCGATGGCAGGAGAGAGAGAGAGAGAGAGAAAGAGGAGGTGCTACACACTTTCAAACAACCAGATCTCGTGAGAACTCTATCATGAGATGGCACAAGGAGGATAGTGCTAAACCACTAGAAACCACCTCCTTGATCCAATCACCTCCCACCAGGCTCCACTTCCAACATTGGGAATTAAAATTCAGCATGAGATTTGGGTGGGGACACAGAGCCACAACATATCAGGGTCTGGTCTGGTCAGGGGTAGGTTGCAGGAGACTAGGGACCAAAATGATCTTACCAAAGGGTGAAAAGGTAAACACAGAAGTTAAACAGCAACACTGAAAACTCATAGTCCATGAAATCCAAGGGGCCAGGAGGGAAGGCTGAAGGTTATTAAGATTAAGAAGATCAAAGCGGAAGACAAAGTTGGGATATGGAGCCAGCAGTAGATGTGTTCTAGTAAACACACACACATATGCACACACACACACACACACACACACACACACACACACACACACACGGTATAAATGATGGAAAAAGAGGCAGTGGTTTATAACCATGCCCCACCAGAAATTCTACCTGGCCCTAAATTAGTGTGTTTAACTATGCACATTAAAAATAACCAACCAAACAAGCAAACAAAAACCAGTCAACCCAGGCCTGCTGATATATCTGCTTATCTCCTTGGCAAGGGCCAACCACAGAACTAAGATGATTTAAGTAGATCTGTAAGGTTTCTCTTCCCCTGTTTTCTGAGTAGAGAAATTCACTGGAAATGGGATTCTTTGCTCCACTAAGAAGTCCCTGGCTCCTGCCACTATCCCTTTCCTGCATAATTGTCTTAAATCCTCTGGTAAAGGACATTTTAGCCACCTTCTTCCAGAAGCTACTTTTAAAAATATTTGAAGTAGAGATTTGAAGAAAAGTGGAATAAGTAGCCAGAAGCCAAAGATACTTAAGAAACCAAGCAGAGGCTCTTTCCTGCTAAGAAGAAAAGTTGGGGGATGGTAAGACAAACAGAGAAGCTGGGTAGTTGCTTAACGAGATATAGAGCTTTTAGGCTTGATTAGGGTCTTAACACCTTCCTCATAGGGAAGCACTCACTCTGAATCTAATGACATTGTATTCCTATGACACATCAATAAAATGCCTACAGGAGAAGCATCTTTGTACAAACTTGTGCCATATACTTTTTAAAAATTTTTACTAATAAATATGTGTCATATATTTTACTAATATGTGCCACATACTTTACTAATATGTGCCATATACTTTTTTATTCCTACTAATAAATATGCATATATAAACATGATATAGATATATGTGATCTATATATGTATAAATATATACTGTGTGTGTACAAGTATACAAATTGTGTATGTGTATCTTGTTTAAAGTTCCCCAGTTTTTTCAATTAAATACTCACGAATTTTAAAGAGATCAAGAAGTCTTCTGGCACTTAGAATTGCATTCTACTCAATGATATATTGTAGGTGGAACTACATACACATTGTTACATTGTTACAGGAAAATGCCAGTTAAGATGTTGTTTAGGAAGCAATACCAAGGGTTCACAGGTTTATATTAGAAATTAGTGTCTTTAGCTCCTTTCTGTTGGGATTTAATTTTATGTATAAAATGCCATTATGTCCAAATATTTTATAATGATGAGAAAACCAGTTCACTTTGGATTATCTTCATTTTTTAGTGTGATTAAAAAAAAATCTGGCTGCAATTCTTGTGCATTAGTTAAGAATGTGATGGTGTGCAGTCTTTTAAGTCATGTCAGCAAACGTGTATTTCCAAGGTCAGCTCTACCAAAGAGAATAGTATTTCTTTTGCAACCCTGATCTTACTTGGGGATGAAAACAATTATTGCCTAAGTTAGAAATGTAAACACATTAATGCAAAAGAAAAATCAACAAAAACTTATAGTATTAAAATGCACATCATTTTATGTGTGTATGTAAATGTATACAAATTTTACTGATGTTTTTGCATAAAAAGATAATCAAGGCTCCATCACTACCAAATTTTTAGACATTTAGAAAGGAACTAGACAGTATTTTGTGGTTTTCCTGTCTATGAGATAAGTTTTGCCAGTAAATCAAACAATAGTGCAATAGACATGTTGCATATATTTTGTTAGTTTAATACCTCTTTATCAGCACTTCATTTAGGGACACTCTGCTAATTTTACATACTGTATGTCTTAATTAAATAATGCTGATAATTGGAACGAGTACAATGTATTGAGAACTTATTTGCCTGCCAAGCCCTAATCGAAGTGTTTGATGTTTTTGTTATTGGTCATTTCATCTTCGCCATCTTTGGAGGTAGATCATTTTATCACCCTCATTTTACAGATAAAAAGATTCAAGACTTGCTCTGCCTCCTCCAAGCTTGCCATGCATATAGTGATAAACAATTTAAGGTTATATCAACTTCTTTAAAAGTACTACCCCTTCACAGTAGGTTGGCATTTTTACTCCAAATTATGCAAGGTGTTATGGCATTTTACATTATAATAGCACAGAAGGTAAATAAAACTATTAAATTATTTATCTTCATTCATTACAGATACTGCAAGAGAAGGTCAACTGCTAATTCTCTTTCAACCAGCCTGAAGTAGTGACTACCATTAAAAATAAAAACTATTTAAAAATTTGTCCCAAATATCCGCTTAAAAAATGCTTTCTGATCAGTTGATTTAAATAACGTTATTTGGCAATTGAAAGGCTTGTTTTGCAAACTGTTAGAGGAAGAATCTCTCCTACGAATGGTTTTATTCTGTAGTAAATGTCTCCTCCAGATACATGGATTTTTAAGCCAGTGTAAGGTGTTTAAGACATGGTCGATTCTAGATATGTGTTCGCATTTTGATTACAAGCAAATGTTCCAGACCCATTTCTATATTTCTCGGACTTACTTGGAAAGGCACCAACTAAAGCAGCTGGGAGCTGCTGGAGACCATTTTAAATGGTTAGTTTTCAGGAGATTAGCAGGGAGCACTGCCTTTTGTACTCAACACTGAGTTTGAGGTTTTTAAAAGTGCACAAGCTTTATACTTTACCCCCAATTCTATTTTACAGTGTTTTAAAAAACTTTTTTTGTTGAGTCACCTTATTCTTTTTCTCGCTCATCACAAGACAACCCTACTTTTAACAAGAAACAACAAAAAGAACAGAAAAGAATAAAAACTCACAGTGAAAGCCATCAACGGGTTTTCTTTTTCTGAGCACCACTTTTGGAGGCATTATCCTTTATAACAGGCCCTAAGTGAAAAGGAGGAAAAAGAAACTTTACATGATTAGGAAAGGCTGGGAATGAAAGATACTGAAAGGTGTAATGGGAAATGAAAATATAGTGATAGAAAAGGAAAAGTAATTCTCTGTTGGCGACAATGTTATGTTCCATGACCTGCTCACACTATTTTCTTGTGGACAGCTTCCTCAAATCCCATTCTGTTGATAAAAGCATATTAATATGATCAACCATGAACCAGCACCAACTGAGAATACCACTTCTCTAGGTTGGTTGTAACTGTTTCTTTCTGACTTAAATACTAAATATATCCTCTGAAATAATTACAGTTGTTTGTTACATCCCTTTAGTTTTAGAGAAAAATTAAAACTCTCATTTCTTCCTTAAGGAGGCTAGGGCTAATAACTGGAGTTGTATTTCTTTTTCATTGTAAGCCCAATCAATTTGATTTCTTTTTCTCCTAAATGAAAACATAGGCTAAGGCCAGCAAAAAGCCATAATTGGGTGACTAATTAAATAGTCAGGCATCTACAGCCTGGTAGAGTTCAGGGCTTCCTAGTTGAAGGAAATAAAACCATAAACTGCTATCTGTGACAGTGTATATGAAAGAGGTGAAGGATAGAGCTGTTGTGTTCACTGGTGGATGGAACTATGTATTCATATAACTGCAAGATTTATGGAGATAACATGATTGGGAAAATATAAAACATTAAATAGATTATGCCAGAAGTCTTGCCTCCAAATGTCTAAATCCTTCAAATGTGTCATTGCCACTACCTGTGGATCAAAGAACAAAACAGGGATGTGAGCGTGCAGCCCTAATCTAGACACCTGAGACATGAGGAGTGCCTGCCAGGAAGAATTTAGAAGGAGCAGGCCAGGAGCTAGGAGGAGAAAGAAGAAAGGGTGACGTGGATTGTCAAATGGGGCCTGAGAATTGACCCTTGCATTGGGTGAATGGAGGACCTTGGGAACAGCTACTTTGGTGGAATTGTAGGGAGGGAGCCTGATTCGAGTGTGTTCAAGAGTGACTGGAAGCAACAAGGACAGGCAACTCTTTCAAGGAGATCTGCTGTAAAGGTAGAGAGTGAACAGAAGCAATAGCTGGCATGGAAAATGGGATCAGCAAGAGTGGTTGGACACAGAAAGGCTGACAACTAGTAGTGGAAGGTTTTTGATATTGTGGTCCTGAAATGTCCTCATAGCATGTTAATGTCCATGTTTTTTATTGTGTTTTCTCTCTTTTTTTTTTTTTTTGTTTTGAGACGGAGTTTCACTCTGTCGCCCAGGCTGGAGTGCAGTGGTACGAATTTCCGGCCCCCAGGTTCAAGTGATTCTCCTGCCTCAGCCTCCCGAGCAGCTGGGATTACAGGCGCTAATTTTTGTGTTTTTAGTGGAGATGGGGTTTCACTATGTTGGCCAGGCTGGTCTTGAACTCTTGGACTCAGGTGATCCACCAGCCTCAGCCTCCCAAAGTGCTGGGATTACAGGCATGAACCACCGTGGATGGCCTTTTATTGTGTTTTCTAAGCAAACAGGCAAGTTATTCTTTAATCTCATTTCCTTGCCATAAAAATATAGCTTAATTTCTACCAAAAACATTGGCTCCCAACTGTATATTAATTATGATTATGAGTTTTAAGTGACAATTGCATTTTTACATAGAGGTAATGCCGAGGACATGAAGTTATTTTGGATTTCAGGAATAGGTAGTATTTGTTCCAAGCCCTGTGGCCATGAAAAGCCATCTTTGTTCAGTCCTCACCAAGGCAATGTAGGGTGGATAAGCAGTGTAGGGTGGATCACCAAGGCTAGGTGTGGATCAGCAAGCCTTCCTCCTTAAAACCGACTCTCAGTCTTGAACGCCCAGAGGGAAGAGGTAGGAAGTACTGTTTTTCAGCTGTGATTTCAGAAGTCCACGGATATTTCAAAATCAGCAGTCTCCATCTTAGATCCATGACTTACGGGGGAAGTTATACCCCCTAACGATATTGCAGAATAGTAGTAAATCTAATGAGAGAATATATGAGAAGAACTAAAGTCTGTCCTTCGATTTTCCTTGTGACCTTGGATAAGATTGTTGGTTATCATCTGTCAGCTCAGTGGCCCTTCTTTGGATGTTAAGATGGTGGTATTAACCACCAGAAATGTTTTCAAAAGGCACTCTGCACATTAAAGGTTCTAATTATCCTTCTTCAAGCTAGTGTCAGTGCTGATTATTAAACAGTTTTCTAATCCTAACTGGCCTGATTTTTTTTCAATGCAGTCCTTCAAATTATCCTTTTGCAATGATAAATCTTTCCTAAAGCATTTAATTCTGCACACAGAGAAATACCACTGCTTACTCACGAATGCTACTGAACAAAAGCTATATTTATTTCTTGTTCAGGTTGTAAATATTAGAAATTTATGGATGATGATTTCTTAAGAAATAAGCACTATAGGCTCTGCAATGACTGGCAGTTCTGTTAAAAGGGATTTTGAACAAGCTTTGAGGCAGAGACTCCTGCAGAAGAATTTATGCACTTTGCCGACTCTAAGAAGGTACTGCAGCAAACTAACAGAAATTTACTTGTTTTCAGCATGCTGTCATAGTTGTGAGTGAACTCCAGAGTTTTCTTTACTGTCTAAGCAGTCTTTGAAGTCATCTATTTGGTGATTAGCTGTGATATGCCTTCCTAATTAGGGAAAAGCTATTCAATCATCTCCTCACAGATTCCTCCAAAAGCTTGTTTTGAATCTCAGAAATGACCAATTTTAACTAAGCTTCAATGAAATGACCCACTTAATAAATTTAAATACAATCACCAAAAATAAATGTTGGTTTGCTTGGCATCATGTCTTTCCATCTTTTTACTTTCTTTTATTTTTAAATTTATTTATATTTTTTATTGACACATAATAATTGTACATATTTACGGGGTACAGTGTGATGTTTTGATACAGGTATGCATTGTGTAATGATCAAATCAGGGTAATTAGCATATCCATCACCTCAAACATTTATCATTTCTTTGTGATAGGAACATTCAAAATTCTCTCTTCTAGCTATTTTCACATATGCAATATCTTTTTAATTACTACAGTCACTCTACTGTACAATGGGACATCACTACTTACTCTTTTTTTCTAATTGTAACTTTGTACCCATTGACCATCCTCTCTTTATCTCCCAATGTCCCCTACCCTCCCCAGTCTTTGGTAATCACTATTCTAGTCACTACTTTGATAAGATCAGTTTTTTAGCTCCTACATATGAATGAGAAAATGTTGTATCTGCTTTCTGTGTCTGCTTATTTCACTTAATGTAATATCCTCAAGCCTCATCCACATTGTCAAAAATGACAGAATTTTATTATTTTTTATAGCCAAATAGTATTCTATTGCATATATTTACCACATTTTCTTTATTCATTCATCTGTTGTTGGACACTTAGGTTAATTCCATATCTTGACTATTGTGAATAGTGCTGCAATAAACATGAGCAGGCAGACATCGCTTTGACACACTGATTTCATTCCCTTTGTATGTATACCCAGTGATGGGATTGCTGGATCTTACAGTAGTTCTACTTTTAATTTTTTGAGGAACCTCCATACTATTTCCCATAATGGCTATATACTCAAATTTCATTTTTAAAAATTTTACATATCACCTAGTTATTTCTCTATCCTTCTGCCTTCTCTGCACTAATCACAAATTGCCCTAACCCAGGGTTTCAATTGATAGAACCAACCGCTGCATCTTTACACGCAACACATTGGCTGATTAAAAATCAATGCCTCGTTAGAGATGCAATTTGTGTTTTGATTAGTGTTTCGGTTATGGGTTTCCTGTCCTAGAATGTCTGCCTTAATCAACTATTTTTGCTTTGAATCACCCTGGACTATTGGCAGTGAGAGGTACATCTGCATGAGTCTCCACTGAGAGGCTTTTCTTCCTATTTATGATACCTCTTTGTTCACCAAAGGGACAAAAATTCTGGCAGGTCTTAATTAATGCCTGATGTAAAGGGATGATTAAGACATATAAAGCCATGGCTTCTGTTTTAGCTTTTCTAAAATGAAAATATAGTTGAGAGAAGTGCTTTTTTCAGTAGGGTGTAGCAATCAAAATCAGCCTGGTTCATTGCATAGTTGTTTGATTTCCTGGACCCATTATGTTGGGGTTCTGTGTTTTCTTTGTTAGTGCTGTCTCTCCACTGAACTTTGGTCAGATATTGGGGGGTTAATTAATGCATTTCCAAAATCCAGAAAATATTTTTAAAACCTCAAATCCATCTTCATGAAAACTTTTGGCTAATCTATGTTAAGTAAGTCTCATAACCTACACATGGGTGGGCAGATTACTCTGTAGAAAGTACCTTCATGGCATGCCATGAGCATATCACTATCCTTAAAAGCACATTCATGGTGCTGGCTTGTAGACGTGCTTCCAGGGACATTGCATTGCAATGGTCTACATATCTGAAGTCTTGTAACCCATGAGCATATGCAAGAAAGTTTTTCCTCAGAAGCAATTGGCTTGTTACTCACAGACTTCACAGAATCGTCTTGCAAATGTTGTAGGTTTGCCAAAATCTTCTGTTAAGTGATCATTTTGCTAAAAGATTAACTTCCCAAATTTCTGTGCACTTTTAAAGCTATAGTTTCATCCTTGACCCTTTCTTGATCTCTGTTGTTTTTGAAGAAGTGTATTTTTTAGTACAAAAAATATATATCATTGTAGACAACTCATAAAATACTAAAAACAATACCAACGTGTCCACAATATAAAGATAACTACTGTTAACATTTTGATTGATTTATTTTAGAATTTTTTCCTAAGTTAATGTAAATAATCATTTTTAATTTATTTTTATCACAAATGAGAATGATTTTATAACACATATTTTAGGGAAATTTTCTTTTATCTGATTTATACCCTCACAGTGTGTGTATGATTTGTGTATTTTGGGTGGATCACACAAACCCTATACATAAAAGAGTGCATAGAATGTATCTGAATAGTTTACAGAATAATTATCAAATAAATATTCCTGATAACCATCATCCTTGCCAACAATAATTAGCAAAACAGGAGCCCCTGATTGCGTCACATTTTTCTTCTCTAAAAATAACTACTGTCCTGACTTTTATATTCTACTAGGTGTCCCTAAAAATACAGCATGTTTTTATTGTTTTTGAATCTTATATAAATGAAATCATATTATATGTATTCTTTACCAAATTTCTCCTGTTGCTTAAAACTACATTTGTGAAATGTATTCAGGTTGTTGCATGCAACTTTAATTAATTTGTCTTTAATACTCTATGGTATTCCATTGAATGAATTTGCCATAATTTATATATTCAACTTTCTCTTAATAGTCATTAAGGATAATTTCAGTTTAGGGCTCTTAACTGGTAATGGGGCTATGAATGGTTTGGGACATGTCTGTTAGAGAATATGTGCAAAGTTTTACTAATGTAGATGCTTATGAGTAGAATTCCCAGGGCATAGACATCTTCAGTTTTGCTAGACAACGCCCAGCTGTTTCCCAAGGAGGTTGTACCAAATTGACACTTAGAAATAGCAGTTTCACATCCTCACCGACATTTTGCTATTATCAGATTTTTAAAAATATTTTGAGAATCTAAGGTATGTATAATTTTATTAGAAAATAGATTAACTTGGCATTCTCAAATTACTACTGAGTTTGAGCATATTTCTAGATAGCACTATATTAATCACTTGGATTTCCTTTTTGTGAAGTATCTCTTCAGGTCTTTGATCCATTTTCCCCCTTGTTGACTGTATTTTTCATATTTATTTGTAGTAGCTATTTATTTATTCTGAATACTAGTACTTTGCCAGGTATATGTGTTATAAATATATTTTCCATTTCAGTGGCTTATCTTTTTTTTATTTTACTCTTTGCATGATATCTTTGATAAAGTGAATTTTATAATTTTAATAAAATTGACATAATCCATCTTTCTCTTATTCTGTACTCTTAATATTCTATTTCAAGAGAATTTCATAACTCTGAAGTCATGAGGCTATCATTTTGTATTATTTCTCTAAAAGCTTTGCAGTTTTGCCTTTCACTTTTACATCTTTAATCGACCTACTATTGTCAAGGATGAACTAGAGATATGATTTTATTTCTTTTCTATATTAATATCCAGTTGTCCCATTGATACTTACTAATAAGTTCATTCTTTCCTTTGTTATGTGTCAAATGTCTATTTACCTGCAAACGCTCTGTTTCAGTCCTTACATCAACATCTCTTGCCCCTGAGTTTTACATGTTAATACATAGATGTTCTTTTAAATGCAGTTTACCATCATCTTAAAAAAGAAAAAACTTTATTTTTAGAGCATTTTTAGGCTCACAGCAAAGGTGAGAGGAAGGCACAGAGATTTCTTGTGTACCCACCACCCCCACACAAACATAGCCTCGCCCATTTGCAACATCTTTCGTAACACTGATACATTTGTTACAATCCATGAACCTACATTTACACATCATTATTACCCAAAATACATAGCTTACATTAGGGATTTCTCTTGGTGCTGTACAGTCTATGGGTTTGGACAAATGTCTAATGATATGTACCACCACTATAGTATCTTACAGAGTATTTTCACCGTGGTAACAATTCTCTGTGCTCTGCCTATTCACCTCTCCCGCTCCCAACCCACTGACGATCGCTGATCTTTATACTGTCCCCATAGTTTTGCCTTTCTAAGAATGTCATATAGTTGGAATCATACAGTAAGTAGCCTTTTTCAGATTGACTTCTTTCACTTAGTAATATGCATTTAAGGTTCCTCTGTGTCTTCTCGTGGCTTGGTAGCTCATTTCCTTTTATAGCTGGATAATATTTCTTTGTTTGCATGTACCACAGTTTATTTATCTATTCCCCTACTAAAGGACATCTTGGTTGCTTCCAAGTTTTGGCAGTTATGAATAAAACTGCTATAAACCTCTTTGTGGTGGTTTTTGGAGGACATAGGTTTTCAGCCCTTTGGGATAAATACTAGGGAGAGTAACTGCTGGATTACACAGTAAGAGTATATTTAGTTTTGTAAGAAACTGCCCAACTGTCTTTCAAGGTACTGTACCAGTTTGCATTCTCACCAGCAATGAATGAGACTTTCTGTTGCTCCACATCCTTACCAGCATTTGGCAGTTGTTTTGGATTTTGGCCTTCCTAATAGGTGTGTAATGGTATTTCAGGATTTTATTTCATATTTACCTGATGCCACATGATGTAGTACATTTTTCTCATATGTCTATTTGCCATTCTTTGTTGGTGAGGTATCAAGATTTTTGGTCCATTTTTTAATTGAATGGCTAATTTTATTATTATTGAGTTTCAAGAGTTCTGTGTATATTTTGGATGATAGTCCTTTATCAGATGTGTCTTTTGCAAATATATTCTCCCAGTCTGCATCTTATCTTTTCATTTTCTTGACATTATCTTTTCAAAGCAGAAGTTTTGAGTTTTATGAAGTTTAGCTTATCAATTACTTATTTCATGGATTATGCCTTTGGTGTTGTATCTGATGAGTCATTGTCATACCCAAGGTCATCTATGTTTTCTTGTATGCTATTCTCTAAGAGTCTTATAGTTTCACATTTTACATTTATGTCTTTGATCCATTTGGAGTAAATTTTTGGGGAAGGTGTAAGGTCTTTGTCTAAATTCATTTTTTTTGTTTTTTTGTTTTGCATGTGAATGTCCAGTTGCTCCAGAACCATTTGCTTAAAAGACTATCTTTGTTCTATTGTATTTCCTTTGCTCCTTTGTCAAAGATCAGTTGATTATATTTATGTGCATCTATTTCTGGCCTGTCTATTCTCTTCCATTGATCTATTTGTATATTTTTTCACCAATAACATACTGTCTTGATTACTGTAGATTTACAATAGGTCTTGAAGTTGAGTAGTGTCTGTCTTCCAGCTTTGTTCTTGTCCTTTAATATTGTGTTAGCTGTTCTGGGTCTTCTGCATCTCCATATAAACTATAGAATTGGCCAGGCACGGTGGCTCACACCTGTAATCCCAGCACTTTGGGAGGCTGAGGCAGGCGGATCACGAGGTCAGGAGATTGAGACCATCCTGGCTAACACGGTGAAACCCCATCTCTACTATAAATACAAAAAATTAGCCGGGTATGGTGGCAGGCGCCTGTAGTCCCAGCTACTTGGGAGGCTGAGGCAGAAGAATGACGTGAATCCGGGAGGCGGAGCTTGCAGTGAGCCGAGATCACGCCACTCCACTCCAGCCTGGGCGACAGAGTGAGACTCCATCTCAAAAAACAAACAAACAACAACAAAAAAAAATCTATAGAATTAGCTTGTTGATATCCACAGAATAGCTTGCTGAGATTTTGAATCTATAGATCAAGTTGGGAAGAACTGACATCTTGACAATATTGAGTTTTTCTGTCAAATAATATGAAATATCTCTTTAGTTCTTTTTAAATTTTTTTCATCAGAGTTTTGTAGTTTTCCTCATGTAACTCCTGTACATATTTTGTTAGATTTATATCTAAGTATTTCATTTTGGGGATGTTAGTATGAACGGTAATGTGTTTTTAATGTAAAATTCCATCTGTTTATTGCTGGCATACAGGAAAGCAATTGACTTGCATGTTAACCTTGTCTCCTACAAATTTGCTATAATCACTTGTTAGTTCTAGGGGTTTTTTTGTTGAGCTTTTAGATTTTCTACGTAGATAATCATGTCATCTGCAAAAAAGATATTCTTATTTCTCTTTTCCCAACCTGTATACATTTTATTTACTTTTCTTGTTTTATTTCATTAGTCAGTGCTTCCAAGAGAATATTGAAAAGCAGTGGTAAGAGGGAATATTCTTGTCTCATTCCTAATTCTAGGTAAAGCTTCTAGTTTTTCACCATTGTCATGTAAATTGTAGATTTTTTGTACATATACTTTTTTTTCAACATTTATTTTAGTTTAGAATCCAGATATCTATATGTAGGTCCTGTAAAATTCTCATTGAATAATATGCAAAGTCTATAATATGAATACTGAAATTTTATTTATTTATTTATATTTTATATTAACTTTTATTTTAAGTTGCAGGAACATCTGCGGGTTTGTTATATAGGTAAATTGTGTAAATTTACCTATCTAAAAATATATAGGTAAACCTTTATATAGGTAAATCTACATAATTTTATATAGGTAAATCTGTACATTATGGGGGTTTGATGGACAGATTATTTCATTGCCCAGGTAAAAAGCATACTACCCAATAGGTGGTTTTTTGAATCGCTCTCTTCTCTCACTCTCCACCCTCAAGTAGGCCCCAGTGTCTGTTGTTTCTTTCTTTGTGACCATGTGTGTTAAATGTTTAGTTTCCACTTATAAATGAGGACATGTGGCATTTGGTTTTCTGGTTCTACGTTAGTTCTCTTAGGATAATTGCCCCCAGCTTGATCCATGTTGCTGCAAAGGATATGATCTTGTTCCTTTCTATGGCTGCATAGTATTCCATGATATGTATGTACCATATTTTCTTTATCCAGTCCACCATTGACAGACATTTAGGTTAAGGTTTCATGTCTTTCTTATTGTGAATAGTGCTGCAATGAACACACATGTACATGTGTCTTTATGGTAGAACAATTTCTGTTACTTTGGGTAACAGAATAATGGAATTGCTGGGTTGAATGGTAATTCTGTTTTGAGTTCTTTCAGAAATTGCCACACTACTGTGCACGGTGGCTCAACTAATTTGCATTCCTATCAGCAGTGTATAAGCATTCTCTTTTTTCTGCAGCTTTGCCAGCATCTGTTATTTTTTGATTTCTTAATGATAGCCATTCTGACTGGTGTGAGATGGTATCTCATTGTGGTTTTGATTTGTGGTTCTCTAATGATCAGAGATGTTGAGCATTTTTTCATATGTTTGTTGGCCAGTGGGTGTCTTCTTTTAAAAGCATCTATTCATGTCCTTTGCCTACTTTTTAATAGAGTTATTTGTTTTTTGCTTGTTAATTTGTTTAAATTCCTTATACATTCTGGATGTTAGACCCTTGTCAGATGCATAGTTTACAAATATTTTTTCTGTTTCTGTAGGTTGTCTGCTTACTCTGTTGATAGTTTCTTTTGCCATGCAAAAGCTCTTTATTTTAATTAGGTCCCATTTGTCAACTTTTGTTTTTGTTGCAATTGCTTTTGGCATCTTTGTCATGAAACCTTTGTCAGGGCCTATGTCCAAATGGTATTTCCTAGGTTATCTTCTGGGATTTTTATAGTTTTAGGATTTAAGTCTTAATCCATAATCCATATTTAAGTCTTTAATCTTGAGCTGATTTTTGTATATGCTATAAGGAAGGAGTTCAGTTTCAATCTTCTGCATGTGGCTAGCCAGTTATCCCAGCATAATTTGTTGAATAAGGAGTCCTTTCCCCATTGCTTGTTTTTAACTTAACAAAAACAGATGGCTGTAGATAGGCAGCTTTATTTCTAGGTTTTCTATTCTGTTCCATTGGTCTATGTTTCTATTTTGGTTCCAGTACCATGCTGTTTTGGTTACTGTATCTTTGTAGTATACTTTTACATCAAGTAATGTGATGGCTCCAGCTTTGTTCTTTTTGCTTAAGATTGCCTCTATTTGGGCCCCTTTTTTGGTTTCATATAAATTATAAAATAGTTTTTTTCTGATTCTGTGAAGAATATCATTGGTAGTTTGATAGGAATAGCATTGAGTTGGTAGCTTGCTTTGGGAAGTGTGGTTGTTTTAACAACGTTGCTTCTTCCTATCCATGAGCATGGAATGTTTTTCCATTTGTTTGTGTTGTCTCTGATTTCTTTGAGGAGTATTTTGTAATTCTCACTGTAGAGACCTTTCATCTCTCTGGTTAGCTGTATTCCTAGGTATTTTATTCTTTTTGTGGCTCTTATGAATGGGATTGCATTTTTTATTTGAATCTTTGCTTGCATGTTGTTGGTATATAGAAATGCTACTGATTTTTGTACTTTAAAACTTTGCTGAAGTTGATTATCAGATCTAGGAGGTTTTGGGCAGAGACTATGGGGTTTTCTAGGTATAGAGTCATATATTTTGCAAACAGGAACAGCTTGATTTCTTCTCTTCCTATTTGGATGCACTTTTGTTTCTTTCTCTTGCCTGATTGCTCTGACTAGGAGTTTCAGTACTATGTTGAATAGGGGAGGTATTCCTCCAGGGGAATGCTTCCAGCTTTTGCCTATTTGATATGATGTTGGCTATGGGTTTGTCTTAGATGGTTCTGATTATTTTGAGGTATGTTCCTTCAATGCCCAGTTTGTTGAGGATTCTTAAGATGAAGGAATGTTGAATTTATCAAAAGCCTTTTTTAGCATCTATTGAGATAACCATGTGGTTTTTGTTTTTAGTTTTGCTTATGTAATGAATCATATATATTGATTTGTGGATGATGAACCAACCTTGCATCCTAAGGGCAAAGCCTACTTGATCATGGTGAATTAGCTTTTTGATATGCTACTGGATTCAGTTTGCTAGTATTTTATTGAGAATTTTTGTACCTATGTTCATCAAGGACATTGATCTGATGTTTTCTTTTTCAGTTGTGTCTCTGCTAGGTTTTGGTATCAGGATAATGCTGGCCTAATAGAATGAGTTAGTGAGGAGTCTTTCCTCCAACTTTTCGGAGTAATTTCAATATGAATGGTACAAGCTCTTCTTTATACACTTGGTAGAATTGTCTGTGAATTTGTCTGATCCTGGGCTTTTTCTGGTTGGTAGGCTTTATATTACTGATTCAATTTCAGAAGACATCATTGGTCCATTCAGGGATTCAGTTTCTTCTTGGTTCCATCTTGGGAGGTTGTATGTTTTTAAAAATTTATCCATTTCTTCTAGGTTTTCTACTTTGTGTGCATAGAGGTGTTTGTAGTCATCTCTGAGAGTTTTTTCTATTTCTGTGTGGTAGGTGGTAATGTCCCCTTTGTCATTTCTGGTTTTGTTTGTTTGAATCTTCTTTTTTTATTAGACTAGCTAGTGTCCTATAAATCTTATTTATTCTGTCAAAGAACCAACTCCTGGATTCTTTTCTATGTTTTTTTGTATCTTGGTTTCCTTCAGTTCAATTCTGATTTTGGTTATTTCTTGTCATCTACTAGCTTTGGAGTTTGTTTGTTCTTTCTCTAGCTCCTCTGAGTGTGATATTAAGTTGTTAATTTGAGATCTTTCTAACTTTTTGATGTGGGCATTTAACACTATAACATTTCTTCTTAACATTACTTCAGCTATGTCCCAGAGATTCTGGTATATTGTATCTTTGTTCCCATTAGTTTCAAAGAGTTTCTTAATTTCTGCCTCAATTTTATTTTATTGTTTACCCAGAAGTCATTCAGGAGCACATTGTTTAATTTCCATGTTGTTGTGTGATTTTGAGCAATTTTATTAGTATTGATTTCTATTTTTATTGTGTTGTGGTCCAAGAGTGTGTTTGGTATGATTTTAATTTTCTGAATTTGCTGAGCATTGTTTTATGGTTAATTTTGTGATTGATTTTAGAATATGTGCCATGTGAAGATTAGAAGAATGCATATTCTGTTCTTTTGGGGTGGAGAGTTCTGTAGATGTCTCTTAGGTCCATTGGTCAAGTGTCAAGTTCAGGTCCTGAATATCTTTGTTAGTTTTTTGCGTCAGTGATCTGTCTAATAATGTCAGTGGGGTGTGGAAGTCTCCTGCTATTATTGTGTGGTTATCTACGTCTCTCCATAAGTCTTTAAGAACTTGCTTTATGAATCTGGATGACCCTGTGTTGAGTGCATATATATTTAGGATATTAGGTATTCTAGTTGAACTGATGTTCGTTGTTTATTTTAATGTAGTGCCCTTCTTTGTCTTTTTTGATTGTTCTTGGTTTAAAGTCTGTTTTTTCTAAAATTCAAATAACAACCCCTCCTTTTTTCTGTTTTCCATTTGCTTAGTAAATTTTTCTCCATCCCTTTACTTTGAGCCTATGGGTGTCATTGCATGTGAGATGGGTGTCTTGAACACAGCATGCAGTTGGGTCATGCTTTTTTTTTTTTTTTGGATGGAGTTTCACTCTTGTCGCCCAGGCTGGAGTGCAATGGTGCAATCTCAGCTCACTGCAAACTCCACCTCCCAGGTTCAAGTGATTCTCTTGACTCAGCCTCCTGAGTAGCTGGATTACAGGCACCTGCCACCACGCCCCACTAACTATTGTATTTTCAGTAGAGATGGGGTTTCACCATGTTGGCCAGGCTGGTCTTGAACTCCTGACCTCAGGTGATCCACCTGCCTCAGCCTCCCAAAGTGTTGGGATTACAGGCATGAGCCACCATGTCCAGCCACTGGGTCATGTTTCTTTATTTGACTTGCCACTCTGTGCCTTTTAATTGGGACATTTAGCCTATTTACATTCAGGGTTAATACTGATATGTACAGATTTCATCCTGACATCATGTTGTTAGCTGGTTATTATGCAGACTTGATTGTATGGTTGCTTTATAGTGTCAATGGTCTATGTACTTAAATGTGTTTTGGGTGGTTGCTATTGGTCTGTCTTTTCCATATTTAGCACTCCCTTCAGGACCTCTTGTAAGGTGGGTCTAGTGGTAACAAATTCCCTTAGCATTTTCTTGTCTGAAAAGAATCTTACTTCTTCACTTATAAAGCTTAGTTTGGCTGGATATGGAATTTGGAATTTATTTTCCTTAAGAATGCTGACTATAGCCCTCAATCTCTTCTGGCTTGTGGGGTTTCTGATGAAAGGTCCACTGTTAGCCTGATGGGATTCTCTTTGTATGTGACCTGCCCCTTCTCTCTAGCTGCCTTTAACTGTTTTTCTTTTATTCCAACCTCAGAGAATCTAATGATTGGTGTTTTGGGGATAGTTCTCTCGTACCGTATCTTGCAAGGATTCTCTCCATTTCCTGAATTTGAATGTTGGTGTTTCTAATGAGGTTGGGGAGATTTTCATGGAGGATATCTTTAAATATGTTTTTCAAGTTGCTTGCTGTCTCTTCCTCTCTTTCAGGTCTGACAATGAGTCATACATTGGGTCACTTTACATAATCCCATATTTCTTGGAAGTTTTGTTTATTTTTCTTTATTTTTGTCTGACTAAATTAGTTCAGAGAACTGGTCTTCGAGCTCTGAGATTCTTTCCTCAGCTTGGTTGATTCTGTTGTTAATATTTGTGGTTGTATTCTGAAACTCTTGAGGTGAGTTTTTCAGCTCTATCAGATCAGTTTGGTTGTTTCTTAAAATGTCTATTACATCTTTTATCTCATATATCATTTCATTGTATTGCTTAGATTCCTTGGATTGGGTTTTGACTTTCTCCTGGATATCAATTGTTTTCATTTCTATCCATAGTCTGAATTTTATTTCTGTAATCTCAGCCATTTCAGCCTGGTTAAGAACCTTTGCTTAGAAACTAGTATAGTCACTTGGAGGTAAGAAGATAGAGTAAGAAGGCTTTTTGAGTTGCCAGAGTTCTTGCACTGGTTCTTTCTCATGTGTGTGAGCTTATTTTCCTTAAATCTTTGAAATTTCTGTCTTTTGGATGAGGTTTTTTTATTTTATATTCTCTGATGCCCTTGGGGGTTTGATTGTGGTATAAGGTGAGTTCAGTCAACTGGGTTGATTTCTGGAAGATTTTAAGGGGCCAAGGCTCAGCTCAGCATTCCTGGTCTGAGTGCTTTAACTCTGGGGGGCTGGTACCAGGTCCCCACACTTGTTCTCTGGCACCTTGAGGTTAGAAACCAGCTGCACTAGAAAGGCCAACGTGTTTCCAGTCCACTGGCTACAACATTCCTGTGGGAGGTACTGACCAAAGCACTTCACTGGGGCAGTGGCAGTGGGATCCATGCTCACTTACACATGCTAGGAGCCATGGCATTGCAGAGAGGTGCACATGCGTCGCCTGGGGCAGGATACTGGCAGAAACGAGTTTGCAGCATTCTTTTTTTTCTTTTTATTTTTTTTTTTTTGAGACGGAGTTTCACTCTTGTTGCCCAGGCTGGAGTGCAATAGCGCGATCTTGGCTCACTGCAAACTTCACTTCCTGGGTTCAAGACATTCTCCTGCCTCAGCTTCCTGAGTAGCTGGAATTACAGGCATCCACCACAATGCCTGGCTATTTTTTGTATTTTTAGTAGAGACGGGGTTTCACCATGTTGGCCAGGCTGGTCTTGAACTCCTGACCTCAGGTGATCCACCCACCTCGGCCTCCCAGAGTGCTGGGATTACAGGTGTAAGCCACAATGCCTGGCCAAGTTTGCAGCATTCTTGCATGCCCTTGCACCACTTGTGGAACACAGGTGGGGATGGGGTTGCTATTGTCTGTGTTTGCACTCACACCAATGGCAATGGCAGCGGAGGGTTGAGCAGGATTGCTGGTGTCCATGTGTGCATTCCCACTGGCAGAAATGACTAGGATATCTCTTTACTTTAAAGCCACTGTGGAAACCCAAATATGCATCCTGTCCTACAAGTCAGAACACTGTTGTTTCAAGCATCATATAAACATTTCCTGGCATCTTCCCAGTACCTGCAGGTCACAGAGCCACAATGACTGCTGCAGAGTCACCTAGGGTTTCCTAGGAAATGGAGCAATGGACATGGCATCCCAGCTCCTTGCACAAGAATCAATATTCTTTATCAAGGTCCGATGTTCCCTTCTATTCCTAGTTTAATGAAGCCTTTTTAAAAATATCATGAATGCCTGTTGAATTTTGTCAAATGCTTTTTCTGTCTCTACTAATTAACCGTGTGACTTTTATTTAATGAATTAGAATAATTTACTTTTGAATGTTGAATCATTTGTGAATATTTTGAATGTTGAATCATTTGTGAATATTTGGGATAAATTCTACTCAGTTGTGTATAATTTTGTAATACATCATTGGACTCTATTTGCTAATATTTGTTTAGGATTTTTACATCTATGTTTATAAGAAATAGTGGTGTGTAGTTTTCCTCTTTTTTTTTTCTGGGTTTGATATTAGGATAATTCCTGCCTCATGGAATAAGTTAGGAGGTATTCCCTCTGCTTCTGTCTTCTGAAAGAGATTGTAGACAACTGGTATAATTTCTTCCTTAAGTGTTTTGTAGAATTCACTAGCAAACCCATGTGGACCTGGTGCTTTCTGTTTTGGAAGGTTATTAATTATTGATTCATAACCTTTCTTAATAGATAAATTAACAATTTCTTAATAGATACAGGCCTATTCACATTATCTATTTCTTCTTGTGTGAATTTTGGCAGAGTATGTTTTTCAAGTCCATTTCATCTAAGTTGTCCATTACATCTAAGTTGATTTTCAATCCCTTTCATCTAAGTTGTCAAATTTGTGGGCATAGAGTTTTTCATAGTATTCTTTTGTTATCCTTTAAAGTCTGTGAGATCTGTAGTAATGTTCCTCTTTCATGTATGATATTAGTAATTTGTTCTTTTTTTTCTCTTGGTTAGCCTGGCAAAAGGCTTATCACTTTTGTTGAGCTCTTCAAAGAACCAGTTTTTGGTTTCACTGATTTTCTCTATTAACTTTCTATTTTTAATTTCATTGATTTCTACTCTAATTTTTAGTGTCTCTTTTTTCCAGGTTATTTCAGATTTAATTTACTCTTTATTCTCTAGTTTTCTAAAGTAGAAGCTTAGGTAGCTGATTTTAGATCTTTCTTTTTTTCTAAAATATGCATTAAAGGCTAGAAAGTTCCCTAAAAGCAGTTTTGTCACTGCTTTTATGGCATCATAAAAAAATTGATGTTTTAGTTTAATTTTTATTTACTTTAAAATACTTTTAAATATTTATTGAGATTTATTCATTGACGTAGACTTAACACTGAGTTAGGCTGGTGCTAGAGTCTGTGCTCTTAACTGCTATTCTATGGCATTTTTAGGCAAGTCAGGTCCAGTCCACCTGTAACCCTACACATTTCACATACATACAAACACACTAATAAATATGAGAAGTAGAATCTGAACTGCAGAAACGTTGTGTATTTTATTTTTATTATCTGTATTTTTGCCTTATTTCCTCACTTGAATTCAACTTCTTTCACCTTGACACACTGGAGAGCCAGAGATAGAAAGACCCCTCACATATGCCAGCCATTGAGATCATTAGGATGATGAACAGGACACAATTTTTATGGAGAGTTGTGTGGTCAGGAGGAGAGTTGCAAGAACCAAGAATTATGTGCTAGGAAATGTGTGTTAAAGTAGAGATGTATACAGAGTGCTGTAGAAACATGGAGAAAGATTACTTAACTCTGATCTGGGCAAGGGAGAGGGGGCAGGAATATCAGACAAATTTTACAGAGGGTGTTTTGAAGGAGGAATAGGAGTTTGACATGTGAGAAAGTAGGATACGGATGTCAGTACCCTATGCAAAGGCACTAAGACCTGGGCGAGGTTAGCATTCTGAGTCAGTGAAGAGGGTGCATTTGAAGCATGACGCCAGAGAGAAGAACAGGGTGGAAGGTCCAGATTTCATGCAGAGTCAGCAAATAGGAGTACCTTAGGTCTTGACGTCATAAACCCAAGGATCAGACAATTTTCCAGTGTCAACAAAAGCCACCATAACTGATGGAAGTTAACAAGACAGGGTGCAGAGAGGTATGTAAAGGAACTGAGAAGACAAGACATTGGTACAAGCCAGTCTCCAGTTTCCTCTATTTTCCCTTGGCCCAAAGCACTGTCACTAGAAGATTTCATGTGATAATAATAAATTTTCTGTGAAATAGTAGAAGCATTATGGAGGAGAGCAGATTCTGTGCGAGGTATCCACCTAAGACATGCATAGCCACAGCACTTTGTTCCCTGAAACTAGAGTGAATAAATAGGATGCCTCCAGAAAACAAAAATCATCTTCAACAAGATGCCTTTTACCTATTTCTTGTCCCTTTTATATAATTTCTGGCATATGTGTCTATATATAGAAATTTCCTTTAATTAACTAATTGCACAAACACACATTTGCCAATGTTTTCTTTAATAAACCTATCCTTTTCTGTGATTCAATGAAATACATTCAATTCTGCTAATTTTTCATAATGCTTTCCATTATGATAGCAAAATAACTCAGTTCTGGGAAAATATACCAATAACTATCTTGAATTGTAACAACAGTAAAAATGAGAACATTTTACCTGAACAACTTGAGTTTTGTGTTTGTTTGTTTGTTTGTTTGTTTTCAGGTAGAGTCTCTCTGTTGCCCAAGCTGGAGTGCAGTGGTGCGATCTCGGTTCACTGCAACCTCCACCTCCCAGGTTCAGGTGATGCTCCTGCCTCAGCCTCCCAAGTAGCTGCGATTACAGGTGCATGCCACCACAACTGGCTAGTTTTTGTATATTTAGTAGAGACAGGGTTTCACCATATTGGCCAAGCTGTCCTTGAACTCTTGACCTCAAGCAATCTGCTTGCCTCGGCCTCCCAAAGTGCTGAGATTACAGGTGAGAGCCACTGCACCTGACCAGGAGTTTTTTAATTGAAATATTTGTGCACAAAAGCCCATGATGTCACCACTAGTGGTTAATTTATTTGTTTGTCTGACTCATAATGAATATGAGAGAATTGTTTTAGTAAAGATAAATTGCTTTTAATAAGGACTAAAATCCCTTTAGTTTAACACAAGCCACTTTATTAGCAGTGTTTCTGGGAAATAAAAGCAAGAGTTGGTTCTTCCAGAAGTTTAATGCCAGATTTCACCACCTTCATGAGAAATCAGAAGGGTATTGTTAACATGCTGTTTCATTTGAAACAGTTTTAACTTTTGGTGGTCAGCTCAATAAATGGAATTGATTGCTTTTAACCCGGGACAATGACATACTGTACCAGGATATGCCGCTGTGTAACTTTCAATTCTACTTTTTGTATTGGCAGGACTTGGCAAAGAATTGCAGTGCATGTTTCCATTTCCTATCTTTGACTATATATTTGTTTTGTCACTTAATAGAGCTACAGAGATAACTTGAGGAACAAACTGACTACCCAGGTCTCCAGGTCAATTTTCTGTTATTTTGCATGAAATGAGAAAGTCATTTTGACCCTCAGAAGACAAATCAGTGCAGATTATAGATCTTCTCTTGATCCCCAAAGGAATACCCCAAATTCACACATTTAATGTAACATATCTTTATTGAACACCTACCATGTGCTGTACACTATACTAAACTCCTTAGGGATATATATACATATATCTGAGATACGGCATCATGGTAGAGAGAAAGGGGCTTGGGCCCTAGCATATCTAGCCCTCACAGCTTCTTACTAAATAAAACTTAGCTTATCTGAGCCTCAGATTTCTGTTCAATGGAAATTATAATACCTACATGTACAGCTATTGTGGACACTAAATAACATGAATAGCATTGCCACATTGCAGATGCTCAGTACCTGTTGGTTTCTCATTCTCTCTACATCACAAGTTTAGAGTCACATTGGAATGACCCACATCCACACTCCAACAAGAATTCAAAGGACTCTAGAGCAAGTGCCACACATATGGCATAATTAACTGTGGTGGTTTTAGGAATCGTTGGCTTGTGGGTCACTAGTATGAAGATAGTTGCTGTTTCTTGGAGTTGAGGTTGCCAGGCAAGGCTTCATGAAGTTGGCAACACTTGAATTGGGCCTTAAGTGTTTCTGGATTCCAGATGTGTACAGAGAACATGAGATGAAAATCCTGGTTGGATAAAAAGTGTGAGCAGCATCTTGGGAGTAGGACTACACATGTCACTTTACAAGAGCTGAGAGTAGACTAATTTGAGTAGAGGAGATAATTTAGGTGGGTAAATGGGAGCAGATATAATTTTAAGACACATGAAGTTGAGTGGACATTAAAAATATGTTTAGTTTGTGGACATTAAAATATAATATAGTTGGCCCTGTTGTGTCTGCAGGTTCTGCATGTGTGGATTCAACTAACTGCAGATGGAAAATACAGTATTTGAGGGATATGGGCTCTGCACATACTGAGGGCTGACTTTAAGTAGCCATTGGCTCCACAAGACCTACTGTGGGACTTCAGCCTCTGTGGATTTTGGTATCTGCAGGAGGTCCTGGAACCACTCTCCCATTGATATTGAGGGACAATTGTATTGTAATAAAAGTCACAAAAGATTTTTGAGTTGAGGCTAGTATTTTTAAGAAATCTAGTCCAGTTTTACAATGCAGAGTGAATAAAAAAAGTAAATAACCAGAGTTTTAATAATCCAGACCAGCATGAATTAGGTTGATGGCAGGAGCAATGGGAGAAAGAGGTGTAGGACTTAAATAAAGAATTGATTGGCTTTGGTTATTGATTGTATATGGAAGTGAGAAAGAAAGAAGAAACTAGTATGAATCCAACTATTCAAGGCTTGTTAACTGGGAAAATGAGGAAGGTTGAAATAATTTTTGAAGATAAAGTGTGTGCTTTTAGATGTGTTCAATTTAAAGTAATTACAGGGCATCCAAGTGGAAAGCTCTAAACACTAGTTGGCATGTGAGGGGAGAAACTTAAGACACGTCAGGAAATCAAGATGTGAGTTATACATCCTCATGGTGTTACTAAGCACCTAAAAGAAGATGAGTTTTCTAAGGCAGTATTTCTCAACTGTATCTTGTATTATTAAACACCCTTATTCAACAATAAGTACTTACTGAGACACTGATGCGTGTGCCACATGCCAAGCTCCCATCTGTGTACCAGGGATATGGTGGGAAACACCAACAAAGTCCCTCCCATCATGGAGCAGTCAGCACATGATAGTTGATGTGCATGAAAATGTTCAGGTCCATTTGTTAGCTCTTACACCGTGTCTCTCAAGAGAGCCTGTCTACATGGATGTGAAGAACAGTGGCATTGCTATGAATATAGTTCTAAATGTATTCTAATTCATTAAGAAAGTAAATCATTCACAAATATTGAGAACATTGTAAATAATTTGCCTCGACAACCATTGTATGTCAACACCTTAGATGAGAAGCTCTGCTTTAAGGAGAGGTTAGGAAGAGAGCAAAGGGGCTCAAAACTGAACCTTGGGGAATAGACATATGTAATGGACTGGAAAAGTAGCCAGTAAATAAATCAATGGATGGATGGATGGATGGATGGATGGATGATGAATGGATGATGGATGGATGGGTGGATGAATGGCGGATGGATGGATGAACAAACAAAACACAGGTAGACAGACAGGTAAATATATAGATTAAAAGAGAGCTAAAAATTAAAACAAACTCATGGAGATAGACAGTAGAACGATGGTTACCAGAGGCTGGAAAGGGGAATAGAGGGATGGGAGAGAAGTTAGAATGGGTACAAAATATAGAAAGAGTGAATAAAATCTAGTAGTATTTGATAGCACAGCAGGGTGACTATAGTCAATAATAACTGTACATTTTAAAGTAACTGAAACAGTATAATTGGACTGCTTGTAACACAAATAATAAATGTTTGAGGTGATAGATACCTCATTTATTCTGATATGATTATTACGCATTGCATGCCTGTATCAAAATATTACATATACCCCGTAAATAAATACACCTACTATGTAAAAAAGAAAGTGAGACAGAAGTAAAGATTAGAGAATTTAGAGGACTAGAAAGAGTCAATTGAGGCAGTGTCACAGAAGCTGAGGAAAGGAAAAATTAAGGAAGAGGACACGTTTCACAGAATTTAATGATATAGATAGGTCTACAGAGTGAGAGTTGATAAGTAAGAAGGAAGCACACTGATAAAACTTTGAAAGAGCAGTTCAGCAAAATAGAGAAGAGTGAAGGTAATATTGATGGGGTTATGGAAAATAACACTCATAGGGAAAAGAAAGCACAAAATGATTCAAAGTCTTTATTGGCTTATTTATAAGCAAATGACAGGTTGAATATCAGAAACAGAAATGAAGACATTGATGAAGATGGATAAGGTGTAGTTGGGAGCATACAGAATCCCAGAAGTTGAGGCACATCCAGCAGAACCACCTCATAATAGGTTTGTCACAGGAAGTGGATCTTGGGGTCAAGCAGAGTAGGTCAGTTCCTAGTACTGAAGTTTGAAACAGATGTTCTGTCGGGGAGGAGAGCTATCAACCCCAGTATTACATGGGAGAGACTTGAGAAGTTTAAAAATCCAACCAAAGTTGTTTATGGAGTTGTTTTTTACAATCATTTTAATAGCTGGGTGAAGGGTAAATTGTATGTAGCTAAAATTTTAGGCAGAGACACTGGTAAGATGCAAATCTAATGCAAATCTAGGCCAAAATGATAATTTCGAGCTAGGATAATAGCTATATGGATGGAGAGGAATGATAAGATTCTTGGGCTTGATGGGGCCTTGTGACAGTGAGGAATGAGAGATTAGGTGAAGGGAAGTCTCTGTCAATAAATATTTATTGGGTACTTAAGCTACAGATTAGTCACACAGAAGGAGTGGATTTGTCTGTGTTGATTGGAAGCAAGATGAATTACGTTTTGATGATGTTGAGTCAGAAGTGCTTTCAAAACAAACACTAAGTTAAAGATGCCCTTTCACAATTGTAAATAATTTGGAGCTCACATGAGAGATAGGGGTTCAAATCTGGATTTGGAAGTCATTGGTTTATAAATTCAGTTTCTACCCAGAGAGAACACATTCTGTGAGAAGAGAGCCAGACTCAGGCCACATTTAAAGGGTAAGGAGGCATAGAAGAGACACATGAAGATGCAAAAAATGAGCCAGCAGAAAATAGTCGTCTCTTAGAGGCCAAGAGACAGGAAGTGTAGAGCAAAAGATACAGAAGTATTAGATAAGTTAGGAGCACACATTACCCTTGAAGTTAATCTTAGTAAGGACATTTTCATCCCAGTAGTGAGAATGGAAGCTAGGCTACAAAGAGATGAAGAACAAATGGAAGTGAATATTAAAAATGTTTGTATAGACTCCTTTATGAAAGAAAATCAGAAGTCTGCTAAGCAACAAATATAGAATGAAAACAGTAGAAAGATTACATGACAGAGATGATAGAAGGGTAAGGAATGACATAAGGGAAATGCAAAAACATTTTGGAGGAAGTTAAATACAGGCTTGGAAATGCTAAGTCATCCACTGTTCTAACCTGCTGCCTTCAAGGACTGATGTAAAGTTGGCATAATAATGGCATTACATTTCAAGAACTTAGGATATTGTCTGACACATGGGAAACATTCAGTTTCTCTATTAGTCAAGATATGCAAACCACTGTAAACAAATTCCTAATTTTAGTAGCTGATCATGACAAGGTTTATGTCTACTTCAGGTCACATTCCAATGTAGATTGACATGGGAGCTCTGCTGCACACAATCCTTTGGGGTCTCAGGCGCTATGACCAGCTGTCAGACAAGGAAAGAAAGAAAATGTGGAAGAATATGTGGGAGGGTTCTTTGAGACTTGGAATGCTATCTGTGATTTCTGTCTTTGTTTCATTGGCCAAAAGTCAGTCACATGCCTCCTTCTAACAGCAGGGCAGGCTAGAAAATGCAGTCTAACTGTGAGCCCTGGAGGAAAAGAAACAAGTTTTGGTAAAAACAATGGCAGTCTTTGTAACAGCCTAGTACGATTTACTGTTATTACTATCTATAGCAGGGTCTTAGTCAAATTAATTCCCTGCAGAATGAAGATGAGAGAGAAGACAGATACACCTTGATGGACGCTGGGGATGGGAAAGTTAGACTCATAAACAAATGGAAGCCTAGGAAGTGAGGAAGAAACACTGCCATCCTGAGAAGAACCACAAGCACTGGGAAGAGATAGGGCAACATTAAAATCCTAAAGCTATACTTCTTGTCCAGACTTGCCCTGCATTTCTGACCTGTACAGTCAACTGCCACTCTATTTGCCATTTGGGGTTCTATAGATAGGTCAAGCTTAGCATACCTAAAACAACTCATTTCACTCCCCAACAAAATTTACTTTACATGGAGCCTTTTTTTTTTTAATGCAATGCATGGTGACACCTTTCTTCCAGGTAGTCAAATCACAACTCTTACTGTCACTCTTGAGTCCTCTCTGACCCTCATATCCAGTAACCAGTTAATCAGGGAATCCCGTTAGCTCAACCTTCAAATTGTATTCATAATGTGATCACTCGGCACCATCTCCACTGCTCGCGTGCTATCCTCTACAACACCTGTGCCATCTCTTTCCTCCCAGTCTCCTTTCAACCCAGTAGTGAGAGTGGTCCTTCAAAACACAATGGAAATGATGTCTCATCTCTGCTCAGAGCTCTCCAATGGATCACACCTCACTCAAAATAAATGTGGAAGAACTCCTTGCAATGGTCTACAAAACTCTCAGTTATCATATCTTTTTTTTTTTTTTTTTTGAGGTGGAGTCTCGCTCTGTCACCAGGCTGGAGTGCAGTGGCGCAATCTCGGCTCACTGCAGCCTCCACCTCTCAGGTTCAAGTGATTTCCTTGCCTCAGCCTCCCAAGTAGCTGGGACTACAGGCACACACCACCACACCCGGCTAATTTTTTTTTTTTTTTGTATTTTAGTAGAAACGGGGTTTCACCATGTTGACCAGGATGGTGTCAATCTTCTGACCTCGTGATCTGCCCACCTCAGCCTCCCAAAGTGCTGGGATTACAGGCATGAGCCACTGCGCCTGGCCCAGTTATCATATATTACACTGCTTCCGACTGATATTGCCTCACCTCACACGCTGGCCTCCTTGTCATTCCTCACACATGTCAGCCATATTCCTGCTCTGGGGCCTTTGTTCTGGCTGTTTTTACAGTATGGAACCCTCTGTCCTCTGATATGCACGTGGCTACTCCCTCACCTCCTTCACATCTTTGTTCAGATGACACATTTTAAGTGGAATCTTTGGATACTTTCCCCTGGGCACCATATATAAGAAAGCAACATCTCCCACTCCAATAGCTCCTTAATCCCTTAGTCTGCTTTACTTCTTCATTTCTCATAGCATGTTGCACCCTCACACACAAGATATCATTTTCCTAATTATTATGTCTAATGTTTAGTCTGACTCACTCCTCCCCACTAAAATGTTAAACTCCAGAAGATCAGGGGTCTTTGCATCTAGTAGAGGTTCAGTAAATACTTTGAACATAGTAGAGGTTCAATAAATACTAGTTAAATGAATGAATGAGTTAATAATAAACAAATACGTTGATTGATTGATTGACTGGTTGATTGATTTTGCCTTGAGCCCTCATACTTCTTACATTGCTTGGCAAGTAGCAATGTTCTACATTTTGTGAATGATTGTTATAGTAATGGTCTGGGCCCCACAATACAGACGGCAGCTGAATAATTTGACACTTTGGTAAGGAATAAATTTCTCCTTTCATTAATGACTGATTTATTCTATTTTCTTTATAGTATAAATATTATCTGTGTTTCAAATTGTGTCTGAAAACTTACAGGCCAGCAAATGGTTGGGAGTGGGGAGCATGCATCACTTACAGCTACAGTGATTTTCTGTCTCTGACTCATCTTAAAAAGCCTTAATTGAGTATTTATTCTTATGCTGTGAGATCCAAGAAATCTTAACTGCCATTAAGCTGTCTACAGAAGCAAAACAAAATGGAGAATTAAGGCAATTATCAGCATGATATGAACCATAGAAAACATGTTTCCCTCAATCTGGATGTTTCGAGAGAACTTATTTTTGATCTAAATTATCTGAGTAATTTCCCCTTCAGTTTTCATTTTATTTTGCACTGATAGACAATAATTTAGTATAGAAAGGGACAGCCCATAACATAGGGAATCAGCGTGCGAAGAAATTCATTATCCAGCATGTGTATGTCTGTATCTTCTATTTTTACTAAACTTTGTTGCCAGAGGAGACATTTAAAAAAACTGCTTTCTAAGGAATTGTTGAAAATTAACTGATTTACTGAAGTTGTGCTTTGATACCTGCCTGCCTTTTGACCTCAACTAAAATAACTCTTCAGTTTGAATTTCTTTTAGCTCCCCTTTTGGGCTGTAACTTTAGATCCAGCTTTCAAAAGCCAACAGGTAAATAAACAGGATATTAATCATCATACATTCATTTCAATGAGAATGCAGCCACAATCAGCATAAGCGTGGGCTATTTCTGAATTACATGAAAGCCAGCTCCCTAGGGTATGTCCAATATAACTGTGATAATGAGGAATTTGCAGGTGGACCTGCTGTTCTTGTGTACCTTATTAAGTGCCTTGTCAGGTCAATTGTATTTGTCTGATATCTTCAATCTCTTTCCCCTGAGATATTTTCCAGTAAGACTATTTATTAACTTTAACATTTCATATTCAAAGTAGCCCTCACCCCGGCCTCAACCACCACCAAGTTCTATCACATGAAGTAATGACAAAGAAGAACCTGGGTAAGTTGCTGCAAGGCTGGGCTGGCTGAGTTATTAGGCCTCTGTAGCTAACCAGGCCTGCATCTTCCTGATATATGAACATTTCAGCGGGCAAAGAATAGAATCCCCACGAGGATCTCAGATAACATCAGCCTTACCCATGTGTACCCCAATTACTCACCTCAAATGCTATCCCTCATCTATCACTTGGCTATAGATTCATCAGAAGAATTGAAAATCAAACAGAAATATTGTACAACTTTTTCAGGAAGTGATACAAGTAGACATGGAGGTTACAGCTAGTTTGACGCAGCCTAGGAAAAAAGGGTACTGGAATGCAAAAATATTCCCCATGTCTATGTCTCTAGCAGTCAAGACCTCAATTTTTCATTTTTGCTTTTAAAATCCCACTTGACTTCATCCTAACCTACCTACCATCCTAACCCATATTCTCTGTCACTCCTCTCCATTGTGACCTTTCTGCCCAAATTGACTAATCTGTTTTTTGATCCCTGAAAAATCTCTGGGCTTTCCTCCCTCCAGGCCTCTACACATATCTTTTCCTTTGCCTGGAGTGCCCCTCGCTGCACTTGTGTTTGAGCCAATCTAATCCACACTTCACAGTCTAGCTCAGAAACCTTCTCAATAAAGTTCTCTCGTTTAGCACAGAGTAATTGCTTCCATCTCTGAATCCACTCAGCACAACTCACTCTTCTTTCTCTTTCTCATTCTTTCTAGATTTTTAATTCTTTTGATTATAGAATATCAACTTATACAAAAAAATAGGCATAAGCTTAAATTTATAGTTTGCTAGGTGGTTCAAAAAGGAATGCCTGTGTAACTACCCCAGGAGAAAAACTAGACTGTTGCCAGCACACAAGAAGCACCCCAGCGTCCTGGCCAATTGACAACCCCCTTCTTTTCCACCAGAGCTAACCTCTGCCCTTCATAGTTCATAGTTTTCCTATATGTGTGCATCCCTGAACAATACAGTTTAGTTGTATCTCTTTTTTTCTTTTAAAAACAATTATGTTTATTCAAAAAAGGCTAGATGAAATTAAATCAGGCTATTTTAATT
This sequence comes from Homo sapiens, assembly GCF_000001405.40. Classification (NCBI taxonomy): domain Eukaryota; kingdom Metazoa; phylum Chordata; class Mammalia; order Primates; family Hominidae; genus Homo; species Homo sapiens. The sequence goes on from NC_000020.11 coordinate 15,744,181, forward strand.
GATTCATAATGCAATTTTAAAGATTAAAACCAAATATTGAAAGACTAAAATAGCCAAGAAATGCTGAATTGATTAGTAAATAATATGATTAGTTCAAAATGCTCTTATATTAATAACATAAAATCATTTTTTCTGCTGACATTGATTATAGCTAAGTTGACATTGTGAGAGTTAAATGCAGTTTATTGAAACCTGAAATAGTTAAGTTGCCTAGTCTAGTAATGGAGTTAAGGTCACTTTATTTGAAGGTACTAAGCTTACTGCATAAGTAAAGCTGGCAGAGTTATACTTGCTGTACTTGCAGTTACCAAATTTAAATGCCTTCCCTGGTGAAAGAGTGTTGGTTAAATGAGCCCTGTCAAATTTTTGATTCTGGCTGCCTCCATTGAAGTTGACCAAGCTTGTGGGTGGTGATGCCCCAGGCTTCCTTGTAGCTGAAGAAAACTGAAGAAATGAGGATACTACATTATAAGTAGAAGAGAATACAGTTGCAAAGAGACAGAAACCAAGTATACACACACACACACACACACACACACACACACACACACACACACTACACACAAGGTGTTTTTAGGTGCCGTTTCAGAAGCATTGTGTCTGTGTATGTGTGAATCCTTGGTTTGTGTCTCTTTGCAACTTTTTTTAAAATTTTTTATTTATTTTTATTATACTTTAAGTTCTAGGGTACATGTGCACAGCGTGCAGGTTTCTTACATATGTATAAATGTGAGTTGTATCTCTTTTTGAAGTGTACATTTTTTTATGTTCTACAAAAAAAGATAAAAACTAAATACTAACCACTCTAAAGCACATCAATACATTATGTATTTGGGGACTTTCCCCAGTCAATATTACTTATAACGTTTAAGTTTATGGTGGTAGCTACAGTCCATTTATTTTTATTGTTGTATAATTTTCCACTGTGTACATATACTACAGTTTATTCATTGTATGGTTGGGAGATAGTTAGATTGCTTTAATGTTTAGCAAATATAAATATTCTTGCTGTGAATATTCTTTGACATACATTTCTTTCCACATCATCACACATTTATATCGGACACATACACAGAACTGGAATTGTTAGGTCATAGGTAAGCATTACCTACTTTTATCAGACTTCTACATTTTGGCAACCTGGTGGTCCTGTATCTTACTGCATTTATCTAATTACTCTGAAGCCAAGCATTTTTCTGGATGACTTTAGGCATCTGGATTTCATTCGACTGAAGTGCTTTTTCAAGCACTTTTCTTTAGGATGGTCAACCTTCTTTTCTCATTGTGAGAAAAATTGTGAGGCAAGAATTCTCTCTATAGCCTGGATACTATTTCAGTCAATTTCGTGTTTGTAAAAGTCTTCAGTGATTCCTATGGCTTGTCTTTTCCATTTCTTCTGGATGTTTTTGAAGAAAAGCTCTTCGTTTTGAATTTATTAATCTTTTTTATGTTTAACACTTAAAAGTATTTTCCTATATAAGGAAATGGCAATATTCCCCTATATTGTCGTCTAATTATTTTAGGTATTTAATCCACTTAGTATCCACATCATAGTACAGTACAGGTAGTGGTATATTTTATTTTGTACATAGCTATTCCGTTTTTTCCAGCATAATATATTGAAAAGACTGACCTTTCCCCATCAGCTTCTGTGCTCTTTCTGCTGTATATTAAAGACCTATATATGTGTTAGTTTCTGTCCACTTGTATGTTTGTCTACATCTGTGTAATTTCTGGTGTGCTGATTATTTAAAATATATCTTAATATTTGGCAGAGCAAGTCTTACCTTTTAGTTTTTGTTTTTTTGAAAGCCTTTTGACTATTCTTGGCCTATGTTATTGCCACATAAGTCTTAGAATTAGTTTGTCTGCTTCACAAACAATCTTGCCTGGGTTTTGATTAGGATTGCCTTAACTGTATATAAATTTGATGAGAATTTTATAAAAATATTGGGCTTTATAATTCACGAACAATGTATATAATTCATTTAAGTTATTTTTAGTGTCTCTCAATAGAGCTTTATAATTTTTTTTGTAAAAACCTTGCATATCTTTTGTGAGAATTATTTCCAGGTGATAGATTATTTTTGATACTACTGTAAATAATGTATTTTAATCTAATTTTCTAAATATCTGTTATTTTTATGTATTGATTTTGTACAAGTTTTGTATGCATAGCCTTGGTAAACTTTCTTATCAATTTGATAAGTTTTTCTGTACATTATTTTGGAAGTTATATGAATATAATCATACTATCTTTGAAAAATGACAATTTGATTCTCCAGTTCCAATTCTATTACCATTTAGTTTTACTTGCCTTATTGCACTTATTTCCAGTGAAACAGTAAAGACTGAGTTTGGCATGGTTGTTTGGTTTCCAGTAAAAAAAAAAAAAAAAAAAAGAAACGGTGAAACTTTCATCATTTTATAATTTTCAAAATTAGGGATGATATTTGCTCTGTAAGCTTAGTAGAAAACATTTATTTCAGGCTAGGTTCCTTCTCTTCATAGTCTGCTGAGGGTTTCTGACATCGTTTGCTGAATTGTATTAAATACATTTTCTGGATCTATTGAGGTTGTGTTTTTTTCTCCTAATGTGCTAATGAACTTGTGAAGAGCTGAGCCAGACTGAGAGCTGAGCTGCCAGGGGTTCGAGTGGCCATGAAGAAAATAAGCCAAAATGAAAGTAACAGTCAAGATTTTCGTCAATAGTGCAATACTATAAGCAAGATGCTCAACTGGGGAAAGCACTGACTTCCCTAGTGTTCCATTGTTCATTTGGAATGGCACCATCCATGGTCAGATAGATCAGCATAGACATGATGAATCTCCTTATTGCTAAGAAAGTTCTAAACAAAAAGCTCCTTCTGTTTTATGGACCATAAACAGGAGAATGGGAAGGTTAGTAATGGAAGGTATTGAGTACTGAGTCAGAGTGAAAAAAGAGTATCCTCAAAGTTCCTCCCTCTACCATAATAAGGAGGTCTCAGCACCTGAGAAAAATGTCTTCTGAAGACCCCCAAATAGGAGGCCTCTGAATGTAGGTACCAGGACTAAGAATGCAGACATGAGTAAGAACATGGCCAGCTGATGGCACCTGAGTCCCTGACTGCAATACTCTTCAAAGACTGCAGTGCATTGGCTGTGCACCAAAGTAGGTGTGGGGAAGGTGGTTTTCCCTGCTGAGGCCTCTCAGGTAAACGTTTGGTAATCACCTATGGTCAGGCTTGAAGGATCACACATAGGTTTTCAGGCAGTATCGAGAGTCCTTAGTGATGAATGAAGATGACTGTGTTTAATGCCAAACTAAATTTGAATTCCTGGATGAACCCAGTAGTAACATGATACAATTGATGTTTTTAAATAGTATTGTTATGTTTATTTTAATGTGTCAGTAATATTTTGTTTAGGGCTCTTGTATTATTGCTTGTTGATGGAAAATCAATGGACTTTTGTATATTAAATTTGTATCCCGCATCTTTGCTACAATTGCTTATTATTTCCAGAATTTTTTTTTGTCAATTCTCAGATTTTCCACGGAGATGATCATAGCATGTATGAGCAAAGACAGCTTTATTTCTTCCTTTCCAATTTGTATACCCTTATTTCCTTTTCTTGTCTTATTACATTAACTAGTACTTCTAGTACAGTGTTGAAAAAGAGTGGTGAGAGGGGCCATCTTTGCCTTCTTGACATTAGCAGAAAAGCTTTGAGTAGATAATACAATTTTGTTTCTTTTTTCTAGTTTTCTTTTTAAATTCTGCTATCCTGTTTTATAGGGTTTTGTCCTCTGCAGATATTTTTAAGTTTTTCATTTATTCTTATAAACAGGGTAAGCATAGCTCTTTTAAAATGTGTTCTACAAATCCCAGTGTCTGAAGTGTGTGCAGATCTCTTTCTGCTGTCTGCCATGCTAGTTCTGGCCATGTTATTTCCTTTCTTAATGCATCTGCTTATATATGACTGCTTCTTGGCCATTGCCCTTAAAAATAACTTGGGAAGATTCCTTGAGGTCTAAAATATACCTCCTACAAAGAATGGGGCACTGTCAGTCTGGGACTACTTCAGTCAAATTTGGTGACTTAAATTCCATCACCAGTCCAGGCTCTGAGTTCAAATACATGAAAGAGCCAATCAATGTCCACAATCGCTCAAGAAATTTTCCTCTTTCCTTCCTTCCTTCCTTCCTCCCTTCCTTCTTTCCTTTCTTTCTTTCTTTCTCTTTATTTTTTTTTCTGTCCTGCCCACTCATCACCACAGAAAACTTCTCTATTATCCCCTCGGATTTGGGGCTTGTGGTGGAATATAGGTTATAATTAGTTCAGCCTTCTTTCAAAATGTAGCGTTCTGAAGCTTCAAAAGGAAGTGTTTCTTATAAGACTCCCACCTTGGGTAGGCCATGGACATTGACTTCTGTTCCTCTCACCACCTATAGCTCTGAATTGAAACCCATGTGTGCAGTATTGACCAGTGACTTCAGGACATAAGTATCTTTGTTACCTTAATATTCCACTTGTGTCTAGTTACAGGCTTCCACTCAAGTGTATTCCAACATTGTTCATATTTTATTAAGAAGTCTGATCTGAATAAATTTGCCCACCATTATTCTAAATCAAGACCCAGGAGAAATTTTCTCTAATGATATTTTGACAAACACGTATATACTGTGTGGGGAGGTGGAGGGCTATAGTAAGAAGAGCAGGCTTTAATCTTCGTTCCACCATTTGCCAGCCATGTAACTTTGGACAAGTCAGTGAAGACATTCAAACCTTGGTTTACTCATCTATAATATAAGGAATATAGAATTAGTGACAATAAATACAAAGCATAGCTTTGTATACAAATTATGTATACAAATACATAGCTCTTACCATTATTATTTTCATGTCTCCATGACATTTTTATATGTTCTTGACTTGAACTTTAATTAACTTTTGGATTAATAATTTGTCTGTTTTAACATCTTGCTTTCTTAAGGACAATGGAATATCTTAAATTGTTTTTTATAATCCTCTGTATTAGCTAGCATAGAGTAAGTACTTATTAATTTTTTCAGTTTGTTCAATACATCCAGACACTTGCTGGTCTGTTATGAAAGAGTATGAAACTTTTTGAGTGATTATGTGCAAGGATTCTCAATCACTTGCCATCACAATAGCCATTTTCACTTTCTTTATAGCACTTGTCACTATTTGAAATTATATTTCTCTATTATATATTTACTTGTTTGTTCCAAATAGAATATTAATTTTCCTCCCTAAAATTTCGGATCTATCACAAAGTGGGTGTTTAATGGATATGTATTGAATTAAAAAAAGAATAAATTTTACAGGAATCAAGGAGTGGGAGCTTTTTGTGACATTGACTTTTCATTGGTATTTGTCATCTTTCTCAGCTCCTATACTTCTGGAAAATATTTATTCTTAATTTGGCTAATTGTTTTATTTATTGAGAATATAAACTTTCCCTGAAGGCTAAAGTTTGGCCCAAAGAGTGAGGAAAATCAGCTGTTACCTGTGACATGGGTTAAAAATCTTCTTACAAAATGAGAAGTGATTACACATGTAGGGCTTTTTCATTACATTAAAACAATAACAGTCCTGGGAATACTGACTATCGAAAGGCAGAAGAAGGAGACTAGACACCTATCTCTCGCTACATACAAAAATCAGCTCAAATGATTAAAGGCTTAAATAAGAGGCTCAAAACTATGAAACTACCAGAAGAAGACACACAGGAAATGCTTTAAGACATTGGCCTGGGCAAGGACTTTTAAAATAAGACCTCAAAAGCACAGGCAACAGAAACAAAAGTAGACAAATAAGACTACATTAAACTAAAAACCTTTTTCACAGCAAAGGAAAAACAGAGTAAAGAGACAACCTACAGAATGGGAAATAAGATTTGTAAACTATACATCTGACAAGGAGCTGATACCAAGAATATGTAAGGAACTTAAACAATTCAAGAGCAAAACAACAAATAGTCCAATTAAAAGTGGGCAAAAGACGTTAATAGACATTCCTTAAAAGAAGGCATTCAAATAGCCAATAGGTACATGAAAAAGTGCTCAGCATCTCTAATCATCAGGAAAACACAAATCTAAACCACCATCAGATACCACCTCACTCCAGTGAGAATGGCTATAATTAAAAATACTTTTTAAAACCCACAAGTGTTGGCTAAAATGTAGAGAAAAGGGAACACTTACACACTGTTGGTGGGCTTGTCCTCGAGAAAACGTAGTTTTCATAATTTTAATTTGACAAAATTTTTAAAATCCTGGAAATAGTAAATATGTTACCCTTCAATAAACAACAACTGATTAATAGCTTGGGTAAGAGTTCAGTACATACTTCTAGCTACACAGGAGGTTCCTCAAAAAAAAAAATATAGAAATACAATATAATCCAGCAATCCCATTACTTGTATACTGTATATTCAAAGGAAATGAAATCAGTATGTTGAAGAAATATCTACATTCCCATGTTTATTGCAGCCCTGTTCACAACAGCCAAGATATAGAATCAACCCAAATATCTAAAAATGGATGAATGGATAAAGAAAATGTGGTATATCTATTAATCAACAATGAAAAACTATTTGGCTATTAGAAAAAATGAAATCCTGTCATTTGGGACAACATGGATGGATCTGGAGGACAGAACAAATACCTCATCTGTGGAATCTAAAAAAAACAAAAAACGACAACAACAGAAAATATTTTAAGAGGTGTTTTTTTGTTTGTTTGTTTTTTGTTTGTTTGTTTTATCACAGAAGCAGAGAGTAGAACAGTGGTTACCAGAGATGGGAGGAGTTGGGGAGAAGAGAATGGGAGAGATTGGTCAATGCATACAAAATTGCAATTAAAATAGATGAATAAGATCTGGGATTCTATTGCACAGATAAACAATAAGATATGATATATTACAAAATAGCAAGAAGATAAGCTTTTGAATGTCCTCAACAAAAAGCAATGATGAATACGTGAGGTGATGGTCACACTGAATGTCTGGATTTGATCATTTATACCACATGTATATGTATCAAAGTGTTAAAATTTACCCCAAAGTTATGTATAATTATGATGTATCAATTTGAAAACAAAATAAAAAATTAAAACAATAACATGATTCAGGTACTAATGTTTACCCACAGTAAAAGTAACATTTTATTACTTTATCATAACATGTATATTGATATTTGAAAGAGAAGAAAATAATAACACTATGTAGCTAGAAGTATGCACTGAACTAACTCTTTCCCAAGCTATTAATCAGTTGTTCATTGAAGGGTAACATATTTACTATTTCCAGGGTTTTGAAATTTTTGTTAAATTAAATCTATGAAAGCTATGTTTTCTTGTGGACAAAGACAAGAGATGCTTCCCTTTTATCCTCTTCTAAGAATGCCCTAATATTGTCTCTAGGATTTACCACTTTGGCACGTTAGTTATATTGTTTGAGCATAAATTGCTAAGATGTAACAGAAAACTGTAGCTTTGAAGGTCCTACATAAGGCCCACAATATACTATGGAAGCCTCTTCTTGGTTCAGAAATTCTCTCCTGACCAGAAGATCCAGGAATGATATAATGAGAAAGTGTCATAAAAGTGGGGGAAGAGTGACACAAAAACCAGCTGCAACCCATCCTATCTAGGTTGCAGCTGGTTTTTGTGTTAGATGCGTATGTCAGAGGTTTTTTTTTTCAGTCAGTGTACATCAAATGTGCTGTGAATAAAAGAATGAGGTACATGGCTTCCATTTCTATTACTCTCCACTCTGTAATAGAAAAGCTGAAATTATATCAAGGTTCCATAAATTCCCACAGTTCTAGAACTCGGACTGACATCTTTAACTTGGAGTATAATTATTTAGTTCAGGCTTTGTCACCTAGTTGATTATAAATACTTAATGCGTACAGAGATGTTTAATATTTGCATTAGAGTCTTTAGTTTGCAAAGATCTTCACAAATATCTAATCTTCAGAGCAGCTCTTCCCTAGTTAATCTGAACTCAAAGCTGCTTAGGTTATAGGTATTTTAGTATTTTCAACCCAGGGAAAATATACCAGTTTCCTTTTAGGAACCCTTTAAACTACCTAACTGCAACCTTTATTATTATTATTATTATTATTTTGCAGGGGAGAAATAGTTGGGAAGAAAAGGTTAGTCTATAGTGTTATTCCCATAATCAATTAGAGATAAATCAAAACCCCTGCTCCTGTCAAGACAAATATGTTTCTCTTTAGTTGTGATTTCTCTTGTGTCAGTGGCAGGAAAAGAATCATACAAACCACATACACATGAATTTCTGTTCCAGTATGAGCAGTCCAATTACAGAACCTGCCCACTCTTTGTACCAGTTTCTCTATCAAAGGTCCTGACTTTGAAGGTTGGTGATTCGCTCACTATGCAAGATTATCTTTTTCATTGCATGGTTTCTTCTTTAGTGAAAAATCTCTGTTTCTGAGCAAATGTCATTTCTTGTATTAAACTTTATAGCTACCCCTCTGTGATGTGATATTCCATTTCGCTGGAATCACTTGTATATTTTTTTATTATGTCCTCTCCCAGGAAGCTCATCTAAATCACAGTACCTCACCAAGATTTGTTTCTCTCATAATTGTTCCTACTTAATTACTGTGTGCACATTGGACCCTTCCAATGTGCTGAGCCGGTCTTAGAGATGAGAGGATGAACTATGAAAATAAGATTTAGCATATGAAGAGAATAAGGCTGAATTAGAATGGGAGAGGGAATGTGTTTGTATATGTGTGTATATTTATATATGTATGTATATGTATAGATTATACACATACATATATACTTTGTAAATGAGAAATTTATACTCTTTTGCAAAGCAAATGCAGTTGACCATGTGTAGATCTTAAGGCAATTTTTTCTGGGACGACAGCATATATGGTATTATATTAATTTTTTAAATATATTTTCAACTTCTTATTTTAGATTCAGGAGGTACACGTGCAGATTTGTTAAATGGGCACATTGCATGATGCTGACGTCTGGGATACAATTGATCCTGTCATCCAAATAGTGAGCATCACACCTAACAGGAAGCTCCGCTTCCTTCCCCACCCCCAGTAGTCCCCAGTGTCTACTGTTGTCATCTTTATGTCCATGAGTACCCAATATTTAGCTCTCACATGTAAGTGAGAACATGGAGTATTAGGTTTTCTATTCCTGTGTTAATTCACTTAGTATAATGGCCTCCAGCTGCATCCATGTTGCTGCAAAGTACAAGATTTCATTCTTTTTATGGCTGGGTAATATTCCATGGTGTATATGTACCACATTTTCTTTATCCAATCCACTGTTGATGGGCATCTATGTTGATTCCATGACTTTGCTATTGTGAATAGTGCTGCAATGAACATACAAGTACTTATGTCTTTGTGGTAGAATGATTTACTTTCTTTTGGATACATACCAAGTAATAGGATTGCTGGATTAAATGGTAATTCTGTTTCAAGTTCTTTGAGAAATCTCCAACCTGCTTTCCACAATGGCTGAACTAATTTACCGTTCCACAAGCACTGTATAAACATCCCCTTTTCTCTGCAGCCTCACCAGCATCTGTTGTTTTTTGACTTTTTAGTAGCAGTTGTTCTGACTGGTGTGAGATGGTAGCTCATCGTGCTTTTGATTTGCATGGCTCACATTTTTAAAGGAATTTGTAATAAATAAACACTTGCAAGTACCTAACAACTTGAATTTAAAATATATGAAGTAAAAATGGTCAGAATTGTAGGGAAAAGTTGACAAATCTATAATCATCACAAGATATTTTAGCACATCTCTCCGAAAATCTGATAGATCAAGCTTATAAAAAAATGTAAAAAGAGAGAAGATATGAATGACTCATGTAATAGTTACTTAACATACATAATGAATGGTATAAATCAAATTACTGCATCTATCTTAGTGCTACAGGCATAACTTGTAATAGATATTTAAATGTAAAGTATTACTTATTGAAAAGTGAAATAGCAAAGATGTTTTCTCTACATGACTCCCAACTAAAGTTTGTTTCTTTGTGTTTTTATCTTTCCTTTTACATGTAGCCAAAAATCACGGTTTCTTTAGGAAAAAAATAAATCAGCAAAATTGGTTCATTAACATTCATAAAGAGCTTAGTCTAGGCCAAGCGCGGTGGCTCACGCCCGTAATCTCAGCACTTTAGGAGGCCAAGGTGGGCAGATCACCTGAGGTCAGGAGTTCAAGACCAGCCTGGCCAACATGGTGAAACCCCACCTCTACTAAAAATACAAAAATTAGCTGGGTGTGGTGACCCATGCTACTCGGGAGGCTGAGGTAGGAGAATCATCTGAGCCTGGGAGGCAGAGGTTGCAGTGATCTGAGATTTCTGTCGCCCAGGTTTGAGCCACTGCACTCAAGCCTGGGCAATAGAGCAAGACTCTGTCTCTAAAAAAGAAAAAAAAAAAGAGCCTAGTCTAACTTGGTTAGAAAGAATCTATTCAATCTTTTTTTTTTTTTTTTTTAAGTGCCATCTAAACAGAACCCATCTCAGTGGCATGTTGTTGCCCTGGCCATTATGTATACCCTAAAGAATTATATTTCAAATGTTAATCTATGTTAGAATCACCTGGAGGGATTCTTCAAACAAGATTGTTGGGCCCAAGATGGGGCCCAGGAGTTTGCTGGGTTTTTTTTTTTGCAATGGAATCTAGCTCTGCCTCCCAGGCTGGAGTCCAGTGGTGTAATCTTGGCTCACTGCAACCTCTGCCTCCCAGGTTTAAGCGATTCTCCTACCTTAGCCTCCTGGGTAGTTGGGATTACAGGTGTGTACCACCACAGCCAGCTAATTTTTGTATTTTTCATAGAGATGAGGTTTCGCCATGTTGGCCGGGCTGGTCTTGAACTCCTAACCTCAGGTGATCCACCTGCATCGGCCTCCCAAAGTGCTGAAATTACAGGCATGAGCCACCGCACACAGCCAGGAATTTGCATTTCTAAGAAGTTACCAGGAGACAGTGATGTTTCTGGGTTGGGAGCCATGCTTTGGGAATTGTTCTAGAGCACATGAGCATAAGGCTGCTAAGTCATCAGAATTCCCCATGGTGCATTTCAGATGTGGGTTGCCATGAGTCCTGAGTGTGTAGAACAAAGCAGTGCTTTAAACTAGAACAACCTCAAATGTAAGAAGAAGTTTAAATATGTAATCCAACATTGGAGAGAACAGTCATAATGTGAACTGTAAAGAGAAGCTTGTTGGGTAGCTTCCAAAAATGAGTAGATTTTACATTTCAGATTATGTTACATTTCCTTCATCACTAAAGCCCATATGCACGTGCACTGGAATATACTCTACCCTCTGATTCCTCTACAAAGGGCTCAAAAACCTCCCAGGCAAAGCTAGTTCTTTCTCCATGCTTGTCTCATTCATGAATAACATCAAACAATATTGTACAATGACTTTTGCCATATGTTTCTCTATTAAACTGGAAGACCCTTGAAGGGAGAGAGATTTGATTTTGATTATCATGTACCCAACATTGTGCCTGAAAACATGTGCACTCAATAAATGCTGTGGCATGAAAGCCCTTCAAGAGCAAAGGTATTAAATTGTCCATCATCAGTCAACATGTCTTCCTGGCACTGGGTGGAGTGCCTCATACTGAATTAATATTTATTGGATTAAACTGAAAGGAAACAGCAGGAAACAAACTCTAACCTCTTCCTGTATTAGGTACCAGGAAAAAATAAATCCCCAAAGCAGGTATGATCTTGTTTCCTGTTGAGCCACTCCAAATGGGCAGATAAAACCATCTGCTCTTGGTCCAATGTAGAATAGATGGTACCTCAGGTTGCAGGGAGCCATCCTGGTTATGCCACCTCTGTCCCCTTGCCACATTGTCCACACACCATCCCTGCTCTTGGTCCATGCATTTTGTGTTGCTGTTCCTTGGTAACCTCTGCCACTGCCTATGACAGCCCGCCACTGGTACTATGTTATGCAAATTGCCAGCCTCAATACAAACCCTGTCTATGAAGAGGCACTTGGTTGGCAGAGTGAAAACACAGAGTAACGAGATGCCATCTGCATTTCCTACTACATAGCTCAATTAGTTGATTGATTTGTAACACTTTAAAAAACATTTTCTAGGCAAAGCACATTAGGAGAGTGTTTTATAATGTATTCAGTTTAATTAAAACTGCACTAAGTGGAGTACTTTGCTTCTTGGTTTGAGAAAAAAAAAAATTTACAAGGAGGTCACATATCATATTGATTTTTAACCCCCTAAGCAGGAGTAAAATAACATTGTTAAAGGTTGCAGCATCTAGAGCCACACAAGTGTACCTCTTTAAAAGGTTTGCTGTAATTAGAATAGAGAAGATTGGTTAGTAAGAGAAAACATGAGGATGCCGTCATAAAATGGGGGTGGGTAGGTAAAGGAGGGAAGCTGGTAACATGCTCTGAATTTGAATAACCAACAACACCTGCTCCTTTTTGCACACAAAAATGCTTTTATCATCTGAAGGGGGAAGGAAAAACCTGCAACCATTCCAGATGAATTCAAGGCTTAAAAACAAGTTAGAAATGTTTAATGTCTATGCAAGTCTTTACTATTAAGGTGAGTGCATTAAAAACCTTTTGGTAGGACAGTTTTCCAAGTTTGGATAATTTTAGATGTTAATCTGGCTCCTCCCTTTCACATCTCAGATCGTTGTTACCAGGCTGCTTTCTCCTCATTCCCACTGCCTGTCACATTACCAAATGCAAGCAGGCTTCCGAATTGTTAGTCAGCTGATTAAACCCTCAAATTATTGGAGACATTTGCATGGGTAATTATGATTTATTTAAAAGCACTTTGTTTGCATTGCTCTTGTCTCAGTTTCTTCAAAGCCAATTACTGAAAAATTGATTGGATTGGTTTGATTTTTGAAATCATTTGGAACTTCAGAACACATCCCTTTGCATAATTTTTTTGAAAGTAAAACCAAAACAAAACAAAATGGAAGGAGTTCTCTTTGAAAATCTGTATGCTTCATGTCTTTGGAACTTCTGTAGTATGCAAATAAGTGGTTAAAATTAGTAGTAGAAACAGTAATAGTTATTTTTCAATAGAAGGAGAGATCAGAGTAAATCAGTTAAATTCACTGTTTCAGCTCCATCTCATTTTGCAAAGTTACCTGTACTTAGTAGGGCAATTTTTTTTTTTCTAATTCTGTTGGACTTCTAAGAACTAGAAGGATTATTAGCCAGGATGCTGGCAATAATACTGCCCTATATCAAAGGAGATTATTTTTCTGATGAATATGTTGATACTTCATTATTTAAATCCTCTTTTGGAAGAATCCAAAACTGACCAATCTAATACTGAATTCTACCATCTACTGTAGAAAATACCTCCATGAGTGTCTTAGTTTAAGCTACTATAATAAAATACAATAGACTGGGTGATCTAAACAACAGACATTTATTTCTCATACTTCTAGAGGCTGGGAAGTCCAAGAGCAGATTCGGTTCCTGGTGAGGACCCTCTTTCTCATTTTCTTCTCACTGTGTCTTCAAATAGATAAGAGATAGAGAAGAGAGAGAGAGAAAGAACTCTTACCTCTCTTCCTCTTCTTATAAGGACACAAATCCCATCATGGGGGCCCCATGCTCAAGACTTCATCTAACTTTAACTACCTTGCAAATATCCCACATCCAAATACCATCACATTGGAGTTAGAACTTCAACATAAGAATTTTGGGAGGACACAATCATTTAGCCTATGATAATGAGGTTCTGACTTTGTATCTACTCCTTCCCAAACCATGCCCACAAAAAGTCTCAAAATATTGCCTTTGGCTTATCCATTCACTTTTTATAAGCGATTCCAAAACAGAAGATACAATTACCATTGGTTTCTTAGGATAGACAGTTGCTTTAAAAATATTGTAAGCAAATAATTGTTGGGTATTTATTACTTAAAAGTTAATAATTTATGTATAAATTACCAACAGCTCATTTCTATATGATAAGGGTGTCTCAGAAAGACATTTTGGAATAATACATTCCTGTAATTCTTTTTTTTTTTTTTTTTTTGAGGTGGAGTCTTGCTTTGTTGCCCAGGCTGGAGTGTAGTGGCGGGATCTTGGCTCACTGCAACCTCCGCCTTCTGGGTTCCAGCCATTCTCCTGCCTCAGCCTCCTGAGTAGTTGGGATTACAGGTGCCCACCACCACACCCAGCTAATTTTTGTTTTTTTTAGTAGACACGGGGTTTCACCATGTTGGCCAAGCTGGACTTGACCTCCTGACCCCAAGTGATCCGACTGCCTCAGCCTCCCAAAGTGCTGGGATTACAGGCGTGAGTCACTGCACCCAGTCTTTTTTTTTTTTTTTTAAGAAACTGGGTCTTGCTCTGTGCCTCAGGCTGAAGTGCAGTGGCACAATCATAGCTCACTGCAGCCTCAAACTCCTTGGCTCAAGCGATCCTTCTTCCTCAGCCTCCTGAGTAGCTGGGACTATAGGCATGCTCCACCACACCCAGCTAGTTTTTTAGTATTTTTTTGTAGGGATGGTGTCTCACCATCTTGCCCAGGATGGTCTTGAATGCCTGGCCTTAAGTGATCCTCCTGTCTCGGCCTCCCAAAGTGCTGGGATTAGAGGCATGAGGCACTGTTCCTGGCCTAATTCGGTTTATTAAAGGACCCCAGGCCGGGCACGGTGGCTCATGCCTATAATCCCTGCACTTTGGGAGGCCAAGGCAGGTGCCTCACAAGGTCAGGAGTTCAAGACCAGCCTGGCCAAGGTGGTAAAACCTCGTCTCTACTAAAAATACAAAAATTAGCCGGGCTTGCTGGCAGGGGCCTATAATCCCAGCTACTCAGGAGACTGAGGCAAAGAATTGCTTGAACCTGGAGGTGGAAGTTGTAGTGAGCCAAGATTGCGCCACTGTACTCCAGCCTGGGTGACAGAGCAAGACTCCATCTCAAAAAAAAAAAAAAAAAAAAACAGAAATGGACCCCATAGTCATTCTATCCTTCCAAAGACAAAGATGTTCAAAGATGCCTCTGTGGGAACCCGTTAATTCCATAAGGAGCGTTTTCACTAAGAATATAATGAATCCATGCCAAAAAAGAAAAAAGACAATATAGTACTTATGATTTTATATATTACTAATGGAACTGGAAGTAAAAATAATTACTATTTAATTACAGAAATGTGTACTCCAATGCACAAATGCCTGATAGAGGATAATGACGTTGGACACCAAAAACGTTCTGTGGCTGCTGGGGACATTTGGCAATAATTTACATGTTTAATTGAGTTGCTGTGAAAGGCTCATTGTGCAATTACATGTTCACTTAGGTGCTCAGATAGATACTGGAAATGCCTAGGTTTCACTTGTACCTATTTCCCAAATTGCGCCTGCAACAAATGTGTCCATTTGCTTATGTGGGACTCTACATGTGATTGCACTCTACCGGGAGTTTAAAGTGCCTTCTGCCCTTAGGTTTGATGGCTCAGTCTTGCTTTGAGCACTATTGCGACGTAGACTATTTATGGGACAATATTGCCCTCTGGCAGTGAGGCAGCCAGTGGTTTTAATAACTGTTTTATGTCATTTTGACAGTTTTTAAACTAGTCACACCCAGCAGTTTAGGCCAGAAGGGAAACATCAGTGAATGCCTACAGGAGTTTTCTATTACAGAACTCGTACATGCATTTGTACCAGGAAAATGCTACAATTCTTGCTTTAAAGCAAAGCTGCCTTTCCCAAGAGGAGAACTGAATTTTTGCCGCGTAAAGCTTCAGAAAAGTGCAAATAATAATGACAATATTGTGCTCACAGGACAAACAGAGAATAGAACCATTCTCCCTTTGAGAAATTCATGACTGGAGTGCCACAAAGATCAACCCCACGTGAGCCAATCACAAAACATCTTCCTGTAATGCATGTTCAGACACTCGTGGGATCAAAAAAGGACCTCAGGGTCATATCTGATCCTTTGGATTGAATCATCGTGAGGAGTGTCTCGGCTTCACGAAAATGACCCAGAGCTGCTCGCTGAAGCTGGAGAAACCAAAGGCTTGACAGCAGCTGCCAATTCCTGGAGGGGTATCTCAGCTGCTTCTCAGCCACTTACGCAAAGGGAATGCCTCAAGAGAGCCAGGTGGGCTTTACCAGATGGGGCTGAAATTACAGGGAGTAGAGGCTCTGCTATGTTGAGAAGTGCAGCTTCGGCAGACAGCTGAGAAAGACACAGCTCAGTAGGCACCTGCCTTTCCAGCCCAGTGGCTGCTGCAGGAAACATTTCTGGGATCACAGAAGGCAACTCTGGATCTCATCTTGGTCATTGGGACAGGAAAACCAGGCACTGCACGGCAACCCCACGCATTCCTTCCTTGCTTCCCACTGCGGAATAGGTCATGCATCTCTGGGGGCAGAGTGCAGGGAGAGAGGGCAGGAGGACTCCCCAGGAGAGGGAGGAGAAGATAAAAGTAGCAATTTATGCTTTTACTTCAAGCATGCACACACCGACATCTAGCAAAATGCCTGGAAGTACCCTGCACACTGTTTTTCAGCTCATATTTCCTGAGTGACCTTATGTGAATGGACACAGACACTGTGGTTCAAAAGGGACCAAATTCGCAATTCTATTTCAATAAAACAAAAATTAGGGATTTTGAAGTTAAGATGAGATATGAAGAAAGCCAAAAAGGAATATTACCACAGAAGGAGAAAAAACAAAAAGGCTAGATTCAGAAAACTGAGTTTAAATGAAACCTAGAAAGGAATTTCAGACTCTGCATATATTGAAACTATCAAGAGTCCATAACATGAATGAAATATACTGCGTACAGTCATTTAGATAAAAGTGTTTTTTGTTTCGTTTTATTTTGTTTTGAGACGGAGTCTCACTCTACTGTCCAGGCTGGAGTGCAGTGGTGTGATCTTGGCTCACTGCAACCTCTGCCTCCCTGGTTCAAGTGATGCTCCTGCCTCAGCCTCCCAAGTAGCTGGGATCACAGGCACGCACCACCAGGTCCAGCTAATTTTTATATTTTTAGTAGAGATGGGGTTTTACCATGTTGGCCAGGCTGGTCTCAAACTCCTGACCTCAGGTCATCTGCCTGCCTTGGCCTCCCAAAGTGCTGGGATTATAGGCCTGAACCTCTGTGCCCGGCCAAAAGTTTTGAATTTTTAAAACTTATCCTGTTTAAAAATAAGCTAAATTATTATCACTCAAATACAACCTCAGTGCAAAAGGGAAGAATTTAGCTTAGTAAATAATTAAGGCAATTGTTTTAATTGTGCAAGAGATAACAAAAATCGCTTCAATGATCTGATCAATTGAGGGGGAGAAAAAGGCTATTAAAGCCTATTTTAACCATCAAGAGTATGTGTTACACGTATATCCACATTTTGTTATAGGCAAAATTCAAGAACATTAAGCATGTCACTGAACATGAAACTAAGACATGAGGAGACAGGGTTGGGGCTATGGTGTGGTGACTCAGATTTTACAGAAGATCCAATCCAGAAAAGCTAGAGCGCTTTTCCCCAAAATATGTACCAGTCTCGGCCAACCGCTCAATCACTAAGCCTTGCAAATAACCTATTTTCCAAATGATTTCAAAAGAAAATAATGCCTGCCAAAGCAAAGCAACTCATTTTCCCCAGTAATGACTGCAGGAAGACCTTTGATTTCCTTCTCAGCTTCTAAAGCTTTCTTTAAATTTCCCTATTTACACACAGTGTTTCACCTCACAGATTCTCCTTTCAACAGCTGTGTGGGACAGGAATGATGCCCAAGGACATGCAGCCCATAGGTTTTATTTTGTTTTCTTTGGGTAATTTTTTGGGCAGAGGTGATATGATTTCTATCTGAAGCATTTAAGGAAGAAATTGAGTATGCCAATTTTGACAGATGATAGAATAAAAGCCCCAGCTATTTCTAGGTTTGAATAATAATAATAATGGAAATAATGGCAATAACAATAACAATGATAACAAGTGCCATAACTTCTTAGGAGAATACTACAGACTACTGTTCATACATTTTTTCAGTAATCACAGAAATCCTGTGAGGCGAATGTTACTGTTTTCATCTTACTCACGTGGAAAGTAAGGACAAGGCAGGTGACATTGATTACTCCAGGGCCAGAGCTAGTAAGCATTTGAACTCAGGTCTGTCTGCCCTCAATTCCATGTTTTTAGACCTTGTGCTACTGTTATTTCTTCAGATTAAAAGATGCATAGGTGGGCTCTGGTAGACAAATTACTAACCATTCTACCTAAACCTCCCTGTTCCTACACCCTTTGCCATGTGACCTTGGAGCTCCTCCCACTAAAGGAGCAGGTCTGTTTCCCCAACCACTTTGAGCATGAGTTTGACCATGTGACTTGCTTTGACCAATAGAAAGAAGCAGAGTTAACAGCCTCCTTGTGGCTCTTAGTCCAGGCTTTCATTGGCCTTGGTGCAGCTGCTCATCCTCTTGCACCCTGTTATGGCTATGAGAAGAATATTCCTGGCCAGTCTGCTAGTCCCAGGAGAGGGGTGAGGGACATGTAAGATAAAACTGTTCTGGTGACTTGCTAATAACCAAAGACCATCCAGATATTCATGAGCACTACTAAACGATCATTGCTATCTGAGTTTTGTCATTGCTTGTTACAATTACTGTACCATCTATAAGGTCTATTTGAAAGAATATGTGCCCAATGAGTGAGTGTACGGGCACATGCACAACATATACACATACCAAATGGAGTGGAAGTCTTGGTGTCTTACATCCAGATAACCATTTGGTGAGAATAAATTCATTAACAACAACGGTAAGGGAATTTCAGTATTTTGGTTTTCCTTTAGAAAGCTGTAACCATTCTATTTGCTGCTCAGTTCTCTTGTTAAAAGCCAAGAGGATGTTTTCAGACAGTGTAGCTGCTTAGCTCTGGTTTTGGTCTTTGATGAATTTTACCTGATAACTGATACTTAAAGGGACCCTCTGCGCACCGCCACTGACATATCTCAGTAAGAGGGAGACATCTTGACCCCTGAAGGGCAGTGACAGTTCAGTGCTCCTCTGTCGAGCCCATCCTGATTGCGCTCAGTGGCAGAACCACCCGAGATGGTTTTGACTTTGAACAACATCAGCAGTGAGTTGAATTGGGAAGTAACTTTACAACATCAAAGCCTGCCATCAAGTGGTATCATATCATTTTATGATGTAAGACACCAGACAAAGGTTGAATGAAGGAAAAAGAAGTGTGGTGTGCAAGTATATATTCACCACACACACACATACACACAAACATCACAGGCATTTGAAGGTGTTCTCAGATTGTGACTAGGTGAAAGTGTTCTTTATAACTTTGGCTTTTGATATATTTACCTATCTGGCACTAGCAATGAATATTTGATACAGTCATAGCTACATGCTTAGACTATGACTAAGTATAATAGAAGAAGTGGAGAACTGGCCTAATATGGACAGAAATCAGATCCAAATAATCTTGCCTTAAAAAAAAAACACAGATTTTTGTCTCAATGTTCTATTTAACATGCTTTCTGCTAACTCAACTGAGAAAATTGAATTTGGGTCAATTGTTACAAATACAGACCAATGCATTCAAAGGCTGTGTAGTTTCATGGCTAATTGATTCTGTTTAGGTAATATTTGCAAGAAAATTACTTTTATAATGCATGAATAAAAAGATACATGTTATGATAGTTGGAAATCTGTGAAACATACCCTAATTTTCTAATATCAAAGTAAGACATAAATATACTTTGATTTGAGCTAGATTTTTAGCAAGATTTGCATAATTTCAATAACATATTAAAGAGTTACATTTGTAAGTGGGAGGGTTGCAGGGTTTAGAACCAAACTGGAAGAAAGGCTGGAAGTGGCCAGCCAGTTGAAACAAAGCCCTGCCATTCCATAGAAGAGAAGTGTATGATGAAGAGAAAGCTGGCTGTGCTGTGCACCATTATCTGCCACTTTTGCCTTGTTAAACTTGCCACTCAATTTGATATGACCTAGTGTTTATGTTCTATTTTGAAGTTCTTCTATGTCTTCTATTTTATATTATTTTTTTCTGTTATATTGATCTGATTAAGATGAACACTGTCACATATCATTAGCAAGTTCTGATTACTTGACCATTAGAAAGAATATTTATTTGTTCTGTTCATCCATTTAATACCACCTTGAAATTCATAGTTTTCTACAGGGATGTCTAATAGGCATCTTAAAATTAACTGTCTAAAAGGAACTCTTGACTCCTTCCCTTCCACCAAACCTGTTTTGCCCAGCCTTTCCCGCCATCATAAATGGCCTCACCATTCACCCATTTACTCAGACCCAAGCCTAGGGATTGTTCTTGATTTCTCTCCTTCCCTTGCACTCCACCTCCAATCCATGTGCCAGCCACCTACCAGTTTTATTATTAAAATACGTCTTCTTCCGATGCCACCACCATAGTTCAAAACATCATTGCCTTTCATCTAAGCTGCTATAAAAGCTTCCTGATGGGTTTTCCTGATTTGACTCTTTCCCCTTATATTGGATTCTCAGGCAGCATCCAGGGTGAGTTTTTAAACACAAAATCAGATCACAGCAATTTCTTGCTCAGAACTCTCCAGTGGTTTCCAAGCACCCTCTGAATAAAGTCTAAATTTCTCATCTCAGCCTACGATGACCTTTATGATTTAGTCCCTGCTAATCTCTTGGTTTTCTCCTTCTGCTCTCTGCTCACTCTACCCATGCTGGCCTTCCTGCTATTCTCCAAATGTCCCATGCTTGTGTCCACCTCGAGCCTTTTCACTTGCTGTTCCCTCTGCTTGGAAAACCACACACAACCCCCGGTCTTTGCTGCCTTGCTCTCTCACTTCTTCTAGTGACATTTCTTCTCAAATGGCACTTCCTCAAAGAGGTCTTGTCTAGCTACCCTATCAGACATAGCCCTCCATGCTCTATAGGCTCTTACCCCTTGGCCTTCATTGCAGTGCAACCTGCTATCCATTGACAGCTGGGTTTTCCTCTCGAAGAAAGGAATTCTGGATGCAATTGCTAGCTTTTCCTTATTATTATTTTTAATGCAAACAAAACGGCCTCTGCTGCCAGTTCAAATACTGAGCTCAGAGCTCTGTTCTTTCCTGCTGAAATTTATAATTCTACTCCCATTCTTCTGGTTCTCCTTGCCTTATAAACAACAAACATGTGAACCAATGTGACTTCTATATTATACTGATGATTCCCCTATTTACCAATAAAGTGTGATCTAATTTTCATAACAGAAACATTCATTATTGAACGGTGTATTGTTCAGGTTTGTAAATGTGTAGAAAATGGCACAAGCAAACTGAAATGATACATGCAAATCTATTACGGTGGGAAAGAATATTTTTATTTTTCAATCTATAAATACTATGATTATCCTTCATATACTGTTTGCATATATTTATGTGTTTTTTGTGTTAAAGAGGGAAAACATAAAAAGTTAATGAGATCCTGAAGTGAAATAAAGTGAACATATTTACAACAGCAACAAGAAAGGAATATGTCAAGATAGACATATCACAGAGATATATACACATGTGTGTAGATAAGATTGGTGAGATAGACAGATAATAGAGCTTGTACTTGGCCTGCCTTCACCCAATGTTGCAATGACAATCTATACAATGTAAGTATTTGTACTTTTTATACTTTCAAGAAAAGCAGATATAAAATTAATGCATATACTTTTTGTTTTTGGCATCCTTTCATGGAAGCAATAAAATATTCTGGAGAGAGAGAGAAAGAGAGAGATAAACTAACTCAGGGATGTGAGAAGAAGAAAATAAATATCACTCTTACTCCTCCATCTGAAGATGATGATGGAAATAATTGTCATATTTCTCTTATGTTTTTTATTTGTTTTTTCTCCCAGCCAAGTATGCTTTTTAGTGTGGGTCTCTGTGTGTTCCCTTTGGTAATGTCTAATAACATTTCTAACCTGGAGATTTATTTCTTAGAAGCAAAGTTCTGCTCATCACAAGCCATCTCCATCAGAGCCATTTCTCCTTATGGTTTCCTTCTCATCATTTAATGCTTAGTACTTCTTCACAATAGAAGCAAGCTGCCTTTCTAAGGGATGAACTGATATTCTAGCTAGAGGACTTAATATTCCTTTTCAGAAATTGAGAGGTTCTCTTTGCTTTTCTAGGCCTTAATTAAGTGATTGGTTATTTCATAAACAGTCAGATTACATTTACCACTCACAATTGTCAAATTTTTAAAACTCAAGTAAACTTTTTTTCCTTCTTCAAACAAGTCTCTTATTCTCTCCTGAAGTTAATGGCGGGCATTACTACCAGTTTCTTGGCCAGCTGCTAAGGAGATTCCTTTCCCTTAAAAAGTTAAAGTATTTAAGAATCACCCTCAAACCCCAGGAAGGGTGGTCAACAAAAAAAGATGTCTTCATGGTCAAACTTTATGGACACAACAAGAATCCCAAAGAAGGGAGATGACTCAAGCCATCTTTTATTACTTAGACGATCGATGGCGATGATGTGGAATTTGCAACAATTCTTTTCTTGAGACCCAGTAATAGTTACCTTTTGCTACATAACAAACCGCCTCATAGTATAATGGCTTAAAAACAGACATCTATTATATCTCAGGACTCTTAGCTTGGAGTTCTCTCCATGCGGGGTCTCTATCCTCAACTGGCTGGCCCAGGCTTGTTTTCATGGTGGCAGAAGGGATCCACCTAGCCAGAGGGCGAGCCCCCTTGCACAACACTTTTCATGTCTCTGATCGTGTAAGATTTGCTATCGTCCCACTGACCAAAGCCAATTACGTGTTCAAGCTCAGATTCAAGGAAGGAGCTCTCACTTCTCAGGGCAGTGCTGCCAAGAGTTTATGTACACTTCAGCAATCTATCGATACCACAAATATGAGAGGCCAGCTTTTTCTCTTTTAAAAAAATAAAGCTTATAAAATAACACAAGTACATAATTTCCCTACACAATGAGTAACTAGATTTTATGTTTTCTCTTTCGGTTTTCCTCAAAAACTTGTATAGATCATCTTTTGAGATGAATAGCGGAGCCCTTGTGATACACCACATTCTAAGAATGCTGGGGACACTGTATTCAACCCAGGACAGCTGCCTAAGGTTGTATAGTCTGTGCACCGCATGATGCAGGAGATGCTATTCATGCCATATTCCTAAAATTTTGTATATTTATTGCAATAATTTCCTGGCAAACAATAGTTACATTTCTAGAGAGAAGGACTGCTTTTTCTGATTCTTACAAAAATGACTTGTTGATTTGCAACTCATGCTGACAAGCCATCCTTTCTTAAATGAAGAAAGACTTGTTTAACCAATGGCAAAGAATTCTCCACCTTGTATTGATTATCTTTAGCCCCTCATTTCTTCTGCCTTGAAGTGCATGATTTTTCCTGTTTTCTAGAGTATGAAGTCACTTTAGTCTTAAGTCTTATAGATTGTGTTAGATCACATTCATGTTTACAAGCCAAATATTTCACAATTTTCAAGTACCTTGTATTCATTGTTAATTTTCCAAGTCTGAAATTGTTTCTCTCTGGACTCATTTTTATTTCAAGTTCTACTCTAAATGATTTTTCTTTTTCTGTTTCACTACATAAAGTTCTTTCTTCCTCTCAGGGGATCTCTGCTAATCCCTTTAACCACCGATTGCCAAAGACATTCACAACCCCTGTGTTGGCTTATTTCTTTGTTAAGTAAAATTTTTTCATCCTTTGAAATTGAAAACCTGAAACATTTTTTCTTAAGTCTATGACCAACCATTATTTATAAAGCTGTATCATATCTTAGAATTAGCATATTAGCATCAGTTGCAAAAAAAAAATAGGCAATAGAGAAAATAAAAGATATATGTATATAGCATGAAAGTTACTGCAAAAAGAAAATGAGGCTGTGTGTGTGTTTGTGTGTATGTGTCTGTGTGTGTGTGTGTGTGTGTAGTCGTGCATCGCTTAACAATGGGGAAATGTTCTGAGAAATGTCTTGTTATGCAGTTTCATCATTGCACAAACATCATAGACTGTGCTTATACCAACCTAAATGTTATAGCCTATTACACCCCTAGGCCATACAGTATAACCTATTGCTCCTAGGCTACAAACCTATACAACATGTTACTGTACTGAATACAGTAGGCAACTGTAGTGCAATGATATTTGTGTGTCTAAACATAGCTCAACATAGAAAAGATACTGTAAAAATATGATATAAAAAGATAAAAATGGTCCACTTGTATAGGGCACTTACCATGAATGGAGCTTGCAGGACTGGAAGTTGCTCTGGGTGAGTCAGTGAGTGAGTGGTGAGTGAATGTGAAGTCCTCAAACATTACCGCACACTGCTGTAGACTTCAGAAACACTGTACACTTAGGCTACACTAAATTTACAAAAAATATTTTTCTTTCTTCAATAATAAATTATTTACTGTAACACATTTTACTTTATGATTTTTAACTTAATTTTAACTTTTTGACTATTTTGTAATCATACAATTTAAAACACAAACACATTGTACAGCTATACAAAAATATTTTATTTCTTTATATCTTTATTCCGTAAGCTTTTTTCCATTTTTAAATTATTAATTTTCATGTATGTATTTATTTTCACTTTTCAGACTTTTTCGTTAAAAACTAAAACAAAAATACACACGTTACCCTGGGCCTACACAGGGTCAGGATCATCGATGTCACTATCTTCCACCTCCACATCTTGTCTCACTGGAAGGTCTTCAGGGGTGATATACTCATGGAGCTGTCAGCTCCTGTGATAATGATACCTTCTTCTGGATACCTGAAGGACCTTCCTGAGGCTGTTTTACAATTAACCTTTTTAATTAGTACAGGAGTACACTTTAAAATAATGATAAAAAGTTTAATATAGTAAATGCATAAACCAGTAATGCAATGGTGTTTTGTTTTGTTTTGTGTTTTTTTGTTTTTTTTGAGACGGAGTCTCACTCTCTCACCCAGGCTGGAGTGCAGTGGTGCAATCTCAGCTCACTGCAACTTCCGCCTCCCGGGTTCAAGCGATTCTCCTGCCTCAGCCTCTCGAGTAGCTGGAATTACAGGCGTGCGCCACCACGCCCGGCTAATTTTGTATTTTTAGTACAGACAGGGTTTCTCCATGTTGGTCAGGCTGGTCTCGAACTCCGAACATCAGGTGATCTGCCCACCTCAGCCTCCCAAAGTGCTGGGATTACAGGTGTGAGCCACCACGCCCCACCTAATATAATTATTTATTATTAACTATTATGTATGTATATAATCATGCTAGACTTTTATGTGACTGGCTTTGCAGTAGGTTTATTTATACCAGCAGCACCACAAACGCATGAATAATTGTGCAATGATAATAGTGCACATGAGTAGTTGTGCTCTGACATTATGATGGCTATGACATTATTAGACAATAGGAATTTTTCAGCTCCATTAAAATCTTATAGGAATAACACTGAATATGCAGTCCGTTATTGACCAAGACATCATTATATGGCACATGACTATATATATCCTTAAAGTTATTATGAAAACTAACACTGAATCTCCATATTTACTTCTCTTCGAAGAGTTTAAAGGATTCTAAAATTTGTATTTGAGAGTGAGTGTGCAAGAAATAAGGAAGGTCAGAAAAGTTTTACATTTGTTAATCTCATCCTGAGAGTATTTTTTGTAAATTAAAAATACATGTATTTTCATCAACAACTGGCTCACATTCCTTAAACTATTAAAGTTCCCAGGTAGACACACATGCATGTGTGTGAGTGCGCCCCCCCACACATAATGATGTGTTTTAGTTTTGCATCTGAAGGAAAGGAATGCTAGGTTTTCTTGCCCATAAATTTATTTTTTTAATTTATTTTAATTTTCTTTTTTTTTTTTTTTTTTTTTTAGAGATAGGGTCTTGCTTTCTTGCCCAGGTTGCTGTGCAGTGGCATGATCATAGCTCACAGCAGCCTCGAACTCCTGAGCTCAAGCAATCCTTCTGCTTCATAAGTCACTGCATCCAGCCTTGCCCACAAATTTCTAATTTTACCTCTTCTTCTTTATATCTTCTGAGAAGAAAGAGATGTTTCCTCTATCAGTGGTCATTTATAGCCTTTCTAAGTCTAAGGAAGAATTGTGGCAGACATAAAGATCGTTGAATCAGGACTAAGAAAAGTAGATTCTAGCTGATCTTGAAAGACTGACTTCACTTCTCTGGGGAGATGATGGGTTTGGATGAAATAATTCCAGAAGACTTTCCCATTTTTACTCATCTCTGACTCTATTACAGCTTTTCTATTTCACCCTTGTTCCCAACTCTCATCAGGAACTTAAAAGAAAGACACAAACTCACAAACAGCGAGAAAGAGAGACAGAGAAAACAATAATGTAGGGTATCAGTCATCTATTGGCACAATAATGCTGCATAACAGACCATCCTGAAACTCAGTGGCTTACAATAAGGTTTTGTTTTTTTAATTCACGTGTGCTGGAGCAGACCTGCCTTAGGCTGTAGGTCACCCAACCTTGGCTCCAGGCTAAGATCCTGAAAGAAGGGCTCAAATCCACTCCCTGTGTCTTAATCTAAGCCCTTAGATAAAGGGGCCACCTCCTGGGACACACCCTCCTCCTGGCAAACAATACAAACATAGGTCCTGGCCAAACACCCAAGCACACTTAAACCTTCTTCTCGTGTCCAATCTGCTGACATTCCATTGGCCAAAGCAAGTCTCGTGATCAAACTCCAAATCAATGAGGAATGAGAGTGTGTTCTGTCCACGGGTAGGAGGGATTTGGAAAAGCCATAGATATTTGCAGAACAATAATCCAATTTTCCACATTCTGCTACAAATATCATACACTGAAATGCCTTCAGAAACTGACAGGAATGAAGCAAACAGCAGAGGGAACACACCATCAAAATCAGGCAGCAGGGACTCAGCCTCAGGGTCAAATGTCTCTTCTTCTTGTGTTTGTTTTTTTCTTTTGAGACAAGGTCTCCCTCTGTTACCCAGGCTGGTGTACAGTGGCACAATCATAGCTCACTGTAGCCTTTACTTCCTGGGCTCAAGTGATCCTCCCACCTCAGCCTCCAAGGTAGCTGGGACTATAGGCACACACCACCACACCTGGCTAATTATTATTATTATTTTTTTTTTGTAAAGATGGGATTTTGCCATGTAGTTCAGGCTGGTCTCAAATTCCTGGGCTCAAGTGAACCTCCCACCTTGGCCTTCCAAAGTGCTACGATTATGGATGTGAACCATCACGCCCTGCCAGATGTTTGATTTTTAAAGAGGGGAGATAGAAAGTCACAGTCTTTTGTCTAAATTTTCTATTTAAAAAAAAAAAGTTAGAAAGCAGCTTACTTTCTGTCTGTCTGTATACATATGGAAAATTACATGTATGCATATGTATGTATGTGTATGTAGATGTATGTATGCATGTATGTAATATATATGTCTGGGTAAAACAAAGCATCTGCAGACCAGATGTAATTTTGAGATTGTTATTTGCAAGCTTTGACTAGAAACCTCTCTTGTTTACCAATATATGACCCTATAATTACACATCTAAGATAGTTTTAAAATCTTTCTGGGCCAGGCACGGTGGCTCATGCCTGTAATCCCAGCACTTTGGGAGGCCGAGGTGGGCGGATCAAAAGGTCGGGAGATCAAGACCATCCTTGGCTAACACGGTGAAACCCCATCTCTACTAAAAATACAAACAATTAGCCGGGCGTAGTGGCGGGCACCTGTAGTCCCAGCTACTCAGGAGGCTGAGGCAGGAGAATGGCATGAACCCGGGAGGCAGAGCTTGCAGTGAGCCGAGATCGCGCCACTGCACTCCAGCCTGAGCGACAAAGTGAGACTCGGTCTCAAAAAAAAAAAAAAAAAATATATATATATATATATATATATATATTTCTTTTGTATTCAATGAGGCCATAATTTCATCCTGCCCCATGCAGAGTTAACACGTGGTCAAGCTCTTTGGCCTAACCTTGTGTAGATCTTTCCTAAAAACTAAGGACTGTGTACCTATGATGTTACAATGTTGCATTACTAGAGAAACACAGGATTTACTCAGCACTTTCAAGTACATACATTGACTTAATCCACATAGTAAGTGATTCTATTAGCATTTTGTAGATGAGAAAACTGGGGCTCAGAAAAATTACATGAAATTTTCAAGGTCGTAGGGCTATAGCAGAGCTAGGTTTCTAGGTCATTTAACTCTTTCTCAACTGGCAAGGAAGCTAAGTAATCACAGATTCACAGAACACCAAAAGCTGTTCTGGCTACTGTTATGATTTGATTCTAATATTAATTATGTGGTTAGAATGATTGTATTAGTCTGTTTTCACACTGCTATAAAGAAATATGCCAGACTCAGGAAAGAGGCTTAATAGTTCCTCATGGTTAGGGAAGCCTCAGGAAACCCACAATCATGGCAGAAGACGAAGGGGAAGCAAGGACCTTCTTCACATGGTGGCAAGAGAGAGAAGAAAGAAGGAGGAGCTTCTAAACATTTGTAAAACCATCAAATATTGGGTGCACCAAAATCTCAGAAATCGCCACTCAAGAACTTACTCATATAATCAAATACTACCTGTTTCCCAAAAATCTATTGCAGTACAAAATAAATTTATAAAAAGAAATTAAGCATTGAAAACAGATATTTCTTTCCTGGAAAAAAAAATCAGATCTTGTGAGAACTCACTATGACGAGGAGAGCACATCACCTCCCTCTTAACACGTGGTAATTACAATTTGAGATAAGATTTGGGTGGGGATACAGAGACAGACCATATCAGTGGTATTTCAAAATATCTTCCTTTTGAGTCATTTAAATCCCTTATTTGATGCAGAGATAGTAAAAGCCCTACCAGATAATCAGGAGGTTGCTATTATCCTTTTTTGTACTTTGTTTCATCTGCTCTTATGTCTTTGAACCTCATTTCCGTCAGATGATTAAATAATGATTATCTTGTCTACAAATAATTGGTTTTGTTTTGTGATTTCACTTGACCTCAAGTGACATGATACAGTTTTAAGAATGTCACAGATGTTAAGTTGTAAATCAGGGAGTGCTATTTTTTTTAATCAGAGAAATATGATGATTCAGTGTTTAGAACATATTCTTTAAAATGAGGGGACAGAGATTCTAAACTTGATTCTGCTGCAAATCAGCTATGTCATTTGGGGCTCTGACATCTCATTTTACTCTCTGAATCATCTAGGAAAAAGTAAGATGATGATTACAAAGCACTGGGAGCTCTTTCAAAAGGCACAGCTTTCATCTAAAATGATATTACTAATTAATTAATCAGATCAATTCCCTGTTAACTCATCCTAATAGCCCAAGCCCTGTTAGCCAAGTATATTACTGTGATTTATTTTGACACTTAATGGAACCGTGCAGCATTTCAGTCACAGGTTGATAACCTAAGCATTATAAACTTCAAGCAGTGTTTATAGTTTTGTTGTTGTTGTTTTTCCTGAAGACAGCTGATAAAAGATACCCTTTTAGGAGGTGCTAGCTACATCCCTCAAATGATAAAAAATACAAAGTGGTGAGTAGATGTTATGAACAGCATTGTCCTTAAAAGAGAAGTCACCACTGATCTCGAAGAAAAGTTTGCAAAATAAGGAAGAAGAAGATGAGGAGATGCAGTCTTCATTTCATTTCTTTTCCCAATATTTTGCTGCTGTTTTGTTTTTAATATCTTCCTTGGAGCAATGAATCAAATGTCTTCCATCAAAGAAAAGCAATATTGATATACATTTGCACATAGTAAAATCTGCATGAATTCACGGCTCCTGGAAAGGAAAATATTTTCTCTCTTTCTCTCTTCCTGTGTTTCTTTAATGTAATAAAATAGCTTCCCTTGGAGGTCAAAGGATTCTGCCATTTCTCTTTTCTGTGCTCTAAGACAGTTGCAACCACTTGTTTTGAAACTTGCTTTTGGTTTTGGGGAGTTTTAATGGAGGTATTAACTGGTGCCTAAAGGGAGCAGGTTATGTATATGTAAAAGCAGGGAAGTTATAGGAAAGTAGCTATAAAGACTCTAAGCAGTTCAAGAGAGTTATGTTAATTGCTGTTTCAAAATGCTCCCCTGTAGTGGGAGCCTTAGGCCTCCAGAACTCACTTTTCTCTCAGTGACTCTTATTTAGTTTATTTTCCTTTTTATACTGTGCTTTTTAGAGTTTTCCTGGTCTCTTTTACTTTGAAATCTCAAAGGCTGTCCCTCGGAGGATCCACTGTTTACTTCTGAACACTTTCTAGAGATTCTGATGGGTCCAAATTCCCCAAGGAGCTGGTAAAGGTCTGCTTCCTCCCTTCATGCTGAGTGTGAAAGAAGGGAAGAGTCTTTCACTTCAAACTTCAGAGAGGTCTACCTAACTGGAGAGTGAACCGAAACTCTGAGGAGCACTGGCCAGGGAGGGGGAGGGCAGCACACTGCACTGTCTCACCTGGGCATTTTCATTGTCACCCACTATGAAAGATCTGCTAGGAGAATCGAGTTTCAGAGAAAAAAAGGAATGAACATATTTTGCATGACAGCAGTAGTATTTCCCCTCTGTTCCCCTTCTACAGAGAAAAAAAAAATGTGTTAATGACTTTCTAAGAACAATTACTATATAAATGTGACAAATTTAGATTGAATTTGGATTTGATCCTCTTCTCACACCCATTTAAATTGGTTTGTGCTCCTAGCTCCTGTGCCATATCCTATGTGGAAATTTAAGAATGACAAAGTTCATAAATTTGGAAAGGAGAAGTTTGTTTCTCATAAAGGGTTGCAGCTTGCAGGGTGGCCATTCTGACGGGCTGAGAAGTGTAGCCTCCAGTCAGAAGCCAGAAACAGACACTTTGAGGGAGGGGCAAAGGGAACAGGAATTTATGCTGAGCTAGTGACTGAATATACATATTTAATAAGCTGTAGGAGGAGTCATGAATATTTGTGATAGAAGAAACATGCACAGATCCAGCGGAGCTTTATGCCCCTTCCTGAGTCTCACTACAAAAAAATGGCAGTACAAGCATGATCTGAGGGTGGCGTTTTCCATGCTCTAACATCAATAGGTGAAGCCAAGGTCGCAAAAACTCTTACTGCACATTCTCCATAGACTGGACAGAACCATTCCATGGTCAGTGTTCTCTTATCAGCCAAAAAAGGAAGGGCAGCCTCAGGCAGATCAGTAGTGTGGTCTTTTGAAAGAACTGGTTTCTGTTTAGCCCTTAGGGAATAAAGCCTAATTGTGATTAGCAAGGGAGGGGGTATAACAAGGCATGTCTGACCTCCCATTTCATTATGGCCAATAAAGCAGTTTTCAAGCTTATTTTGGGGTCCCTTTGGCCAAGAGATGATCTGTTCGGTCAGGTGGGGGACTTAGAATTTTATTTTCCGTTTACATATGGAATAGCCAAATATTTTATGATACACTTTGCTAGATTGTGAAATGTTTGGCAAATGAAAGAATGGGACATTTTCGGGGCGAGGGGAAGGTCAGCGAATTCATCTCAGGATATCCTGAAGAAATCAAATAATGAGGCAGACAAGACCACCCTTGAACAGACTGCCATATTTCTTGAGCTTCAGGAAGTTTCTTTGGAATGCCAAAGTAAGAATAAAGTTGGCCTCCCATGAATACTAGGGCAATTTGGTGATGCTTACTCAGATCCAAAGAAATAAATTATAACAAAACTGGAAAAGTACCCATGAATCAGGGCCAAATTTATAAGCATACACCTAAAAGTATGGAATTCCAGGCCTGATATGTGAAACGTAAAGCCCTAAGGCAAATATATTTCATGTGGGTTGGCATAAGGTTGCTTCCATTTTCACAGTATTTTAAAAAACAAAATGAAGTTTTTGGCAATGCTTCACAATTGTAGTTTTCACTTAAAAATACAGATTTCTGGCTTCTCTTGGAAGACTAGGACACACATGCCCAAGAATTGAATAGCAGCTACTTCTTTCGGCAGTAACATGAACTCACCTGGTCCATGTGTTCATGTCTTACCCACCATCCCCTCACACACATACTCCCAAGTATCTGACTCTTGACACTTCCCTTACTCCCTTGACCTGCTGTACCTCTGTTGCTGTTCTATTTATCAAGCAGGACCCTGTCCTCTCCCAAAATATTCTCCAGAGTGATGGACTGTGTTTTCTGGGAGGCTTCTCTCACCTGAAGGACAAGGTTGACCTGTCTGGCTGCCTTTGCTGGCTGATGCTGACTATTTCCAACTCAGCTCTCTGCTCCATTTGGTGCTGGCTTCTTCCAGTTGTGGATCCTAGTCTGTCATCTTGACGACACTCCAGACCACCCAAAATGTCAACTTGGCAGTTGTTTAAATCAAATCATATAATAAAATAATTAAGCTGTTAGGCTGTGCTGATATACATTGATACTCTTAGTACACACACCTGCAAGAGTGGTCTCTTTGTAAACTACATGACAACGAGAACATTCCCTTTTAAAAGTTCCTATTTTCAAATCTGCCTAACAGCAACATATTTGCTCCAAAACTACATTTCTATTTTACAGGAGAGAGAACAGAAACCAAAGCAAAACTAAATTTCATGTCTTGATTACTCAACAAGAGAGTGTATTGATGACACAAGTTGTCCTGGGTTAGGTAGTGATTATATTTAAGTGCCATAGAAGATTTTCTTGGAAGAGATTGCAATCACTATAAGTACTTAGCATTGCATTGCTTACATGAAAAGAATGCGACTGTTGAGAGGAAAAGAAGCCTCTTTAGTATAGATTAGTCTTCCTATTGTCCATTAATTATGAATGAAAGTTGAAATTCGGCTCATTGTGATTCAATGCTAGATTCTATAAAAACAACAGTGCTTGTTTAAGGAACTGCCTGGAAGATCTGCTTTGCTCTTTTGCTGGTGCAGTTACTTGTGGAGGTTATAGGAATTTAGGGACATGGATTTTTCCTGTTACTACAGCATAAATATGTTGTAATATACAAATATACATGTATATCTGAATATGTATGCTGTATATATTTACACACACATACATATTCTAAAACTCTTCTACTTCAACCAGGGCAGCAGCTACTCTTCTGTTTAGTTTTATATAATGAGGTTCCATATAAGATTATACTTAAAGAGAAAGTGCCGGTTTGGTTAAGTAAAATTTAGAAAAATACTAATCTAGTCCAACTGTCCTATTTTCTGCATGAAGAGACCACTGAGAGACATGTTTTTTTTTTTTCATCACACTGTTGGTTAGTGACAGAGCCAAGTTGATTCTTTTTTTTCCTTCCTTCCTTCTTTCCTTCCTTCCTTCCTTCCTTCCTTCCTTCCTTCCTTCCTTCCTTCCTTCCTTCCTTCCTTCCTTCTTTCCTTCCTTCCTTCCTTCCTTCCCTCCCTCCCTCTCTCCCTCCCTCCCTCCTTCCTTCCTCTCTCTCTCTCTCTCTTTCTTTCGAGACAGAGTCTCACTCTGTTGCCCAGACTGGAGTGCAGTGGCACGATCTTGGCTTACTGCAACCTCTGCCTCCCAGGTTCAAGCAATTCTCCTGCCTCAGCCTCCCGAGTAGCTGGGATTACAGGCATGAGCCATCACACATGGCTAATTTTTGTATTTTTAGTAGAGACAGGGCTTCACCATGCTGGCCAGGCTGGTTCTGGTTTTGAACTCCTGGTCTTGAGAGATCTGCCTGCCTCGGCCTCCCAAAGTGCTGGGATTATAGGCGTGAGCCACTGCACCCCACCAGAGCCAGGTTTAGAATACAACGCTCCCAACTCCTAGTCAGTGTTCTTTGTACTGTATTTGGCCAATATGTATTGATTGTTTGCTATGCACAGACACTGTGCCAAGATTGAATTTCCTCAGGTGATAATCCCACTAACCCCATGAGGTCAATCTTACGTATGTTAGAGAAAAGGATAAAAACCCTCAGGGAAGATAAGTAACTTGGTCAAGTTTGCACAGCTACAAAGTGCAGTGTCAAAAATTCAAGTCTAATTTAATCTAATTCCAATGTCAATAACTGTACTCTTATCCACTTCTCTCTACTTTCCTCATAACCATTTTTTTCCCAGGTTGGTAGAATAGACCACAAAAGCCAACTTTGTGTGCATTTCTATATCCATATATAAAATAATATACCAAAATACATTTGATCATGGCATATTTATTAAGTGTTCTATATTACTCTGAGCTCTATTACTCTTTAAAATTTTTTAAATTCTATTCATAAGCGACACATAATAATTGTACATCTTTCTGAACTTCATTCTTAAAGGAACAATTGTAGCTGCATCGAAGTTGACATCAGGGCAATTTCTGCTTCACAGATTTTGAGGGCCTGGAAGAAGATTTGATGAGAATATTTTAATCCCTGGATGAATTTTATTTACCTGTGTAGGCAAAAACTTAGTAAAAGATCTTTGAACCCTAAATATTTTACTTTAGGTACAGAGGTTATAAAATACCTCTGTACCTTTAGGTACAGAGGTTGAAATGAATGAACTGTTATCTTAGATAGTATGCCATTTCAGCATGAGAAGGGAATCTGAGGATTTATTATCTATAAACACAGAATATTCTTGCAGAATATCTTCAACAAGCACTTCCAGTCATAATTGAAGGAACTGACCAGCAAAGAGAGAAGGGAAAGAAAAGTGATTTATAGCTCATATGCTGTCTTGATAAAGGATCTAGGTTTTATGAAATATTATGGAAACTTTAAGTGCTGAGAATTCTATGCAATCTAATCAAAGATTGTAGTGCTGTGAGTAAAAGAAAAAAATGTAACAACAGAGAGGGATTGGAGAGGAGTGGAAGAAACAGCAAGTAGGAATCACACAGAGACTAACAATGATAATTCACAATGATAATTCAATTTAAGCTGGTCCTCTAACTATCATATCCCATGGGGATCCCAGGAGTTACCTGGAGACTCGGCATTATTATTCAGAGAACACTTGGAATTAATGCCTCTCTTATTGTTGAAATTCTCCCTAGAGTTGTTTGCATACACCTTGATATCGATGTTCTAAGAAGCTATTATCCCTTTATGTGCATTAGATCACAGAACAGCTACATTAGAGATGCTCTTGAATTTTGATTTAATCAAACAGGCATTTTTATGCTTCAGTCCTAATAATGGTTCCAGTGGTTCATCCAGTAGTTCCTGATATTTGGGTAAAGAGGTAGGCAATGTGAGCTGTCCATTGAGATATTTTGCTTTGCTTAATTCAGTGTGATGCTGTGAAACTCAACCAATAACAGTTTGAAAGTGTGCCCATGTATCCAAATACCAAGTAGCAGCAGGAAAAGAGTTCTCTGCAGCCAGTAACAATTAGAGATTTATTAAGACTCTGGAAAACTTACTGGCTGGTCAAAAAAACCAATGATAATCTCCACCTCACTCAGGGAATTTAAGGTTGTTTGTTTGTTTCTTTGTTTGTGTGTTTTCCCCTCCACAGCCTAAGGATTCAGAAAGGTCAGAAAAACAGAAGTCACTTCTCTTGATACTTCTTCCCATAAAGACTTACCTTTCTGCCAGGGAAAGATATAGATTTGTATAACTTCCATTATTGTAGAAAACACAACCAAGAACCTGCCGCAGGAGATATCCTGAAAACCATTGCAACTGTTCCACGTGGGG
The DNA here is from genome assembly GCF_000001405.40 of Homo sapiens. Lineage (NCBI taxonomy): Eukaryota > Metazoa > Chordata > Mammalia > Primates > Hominidae > Homo > Homo sapiens. The sequence goes on from NC_000020.11 coordinate 15,779,852, forward strand.
CGAAAAGACATCTCTAGTTGTGTTGGAGCCTTATTGATGTTTTGTATTGCTATGTTCTGCTGTGCCATTCTTGTATGAAAAACAGGAAAAAGATAAGTTATAAGGCATTTTAGCATATCAGAGCATGGTTAGCACATTTAGCTTAGAGGAGTTGCTCCATTACAAAATTACCTCTTTGTAAATCATATTATTAAAAAAAACACACATCTGTCTTCTCAGGGAATTGCCTTCTGAATATAAATCTTTGAGAACTGATACTTAAATTCCACTGTAATTTAAGTTTCACTGTAATTAACCAACATTTTATGGCCTAGCCCACTTCTGCCTTCTAATATATAGTTTAGTGGGAAAGACACAAGTTAAACAAACAGAAAAATAAATATTTATTTAAGATTCTAGAAAATCTTTTAACTGGACAGAGAACAGCCTTGCCACATGAGAGAATAGACTAAGAATGGCTTACATTAAGTTTACTAGTCTGGTATGTTCTCTCTGAGCAGATAGTTAAGCTGAGTCCTGAAGGATGAGACAGTAAAACCATTGGGAGAACAAAGGAAGAAGACTAGGCTGTGCAGAAATTGTTGTGGTTTGAAAAAGCTGAGTGGGGAACGGGAAGAGGCCCACCTTGCCAAAAAGGTATTTAAAAACAAGGAAGAAGAGGGCAATGACATGCAGTGGTAGGCAAGGCTTTATCACGTAAGACTTTAAGAATATTGTAGCTCTAGTGAAAGTTTGAATCAGAGAAATTTAAATACCTAAATGTCACTTTGAAAGATCATTCTAACTATTGTTTGATGAATGGTGGTTGCTATAGGGCAAGGGGCAAAATGGAAGTTCATTGGGAGGCTTCTGTAGTTGTTTACAAAGTAAACAATGATGGCTTAGACTAGGGTGGTATCCATAGAGAGAGAAGTAGACAGATTCAAGATGCATTTTTGAGGGAAAACTGAGAGTTGTATGAATTCAGTGTGAGGGATTCAGGACTATGTGACATCTCATGAATGCCCTCCTGGTTTCTGCTCTGAGTGTGTGGGTAGATGGTGACATTATTTACTGAGATGACGAGGGCATCATCTATACCTTGAATACATTGAATGTATTTCTTAATTTCTCCCTCATTCCTCCTTCTCCCTTTCCTTACCATGTTTCTCTAAATCCTAGCTATCTTTTCAGATTCAGCATGCTTAATAAACATATTGAGTAATAATTAAAATAATAAGTTTAAAATTTTTGAGTGGTTCTAAACACTGTACATGCCCAATTTATTTAATCCTCCCAATAAAACTCTATAGGAGAAATTCTCTTTACAAATAAAGAATGTGGAGACACAGAGAGCATACATAATATGCCTAAGGTCACACAGCTGTATAGCAATTGCTAGGAAAAGCAAGCATTTACCTTTACAGAGTTACAGTCAAATGCAGGTGGCAGACTTACAAACAGACTGATGCAATGCTTTGGCAAAGCTGTTTTAACAATGGTTTCAGTGGCCTTCTATGTGACCCATGCAGGGGAAACTGATCTGGCCCTGGGCAAATGTCTGTGCTGTTATAACAAAATACCACAGACTGGGTAATTTATAAAGACTAGAAATTTATTTCTTATAGTTCTGAGGCTGGGAAGTCCAAGATCAAGATGCTAGCAGGCTCAGTTTCTGATGAGGGCTATCTCTGCTTTCAAGATGGCTTCTTCTTGCTGCATCTCTGGAGGGGAAGAACACTGTGTCCCCACATGGTGGAAGGTGGAAGTGCCCTTCAAATACTGTCTGAAGTCTCTTTAATGGGGGCCTCAATCCCATTTATGAGGAGAGGAGGCCTCATGACCTAATCATCTTAATATGTACACATTGGCTAGTAATTTTCAACGTCTGAATTTTAGAGAGGACACAGTCAAATCATAGCAGCAGAGATAATGAAGACAGGCTTTCTAGAGGGGATGATACCCGAGCTACACTTTGAAAAGAAGGTAAAAATCCTGGTGGAATTAATGGGGGCAGGGAAGGCTTTCTCAGGTAAAGGAACATATATGCAAAGGACACTATGTAGTGGGGTAAGAGCAGGGAGAAATAATGAGATAGTATTGAGGGACAATTGATGGGAAATATGGCTAAAGAGATAGATTACAGAGATGAAGTCTGGTATTCATAGAGATGTACTTTAATTATTTAAAATAGATCTCTTGGCACTATATCGAGTCGATGAATTGGGGAGGGCTTAAGTCACAAGTCTAGAAATACAATTTGAAAACTTGCATTTTTATTTTTCTATTGGAGAAAAATGATGGTTTGATACAGAGCAACGGTGTTAGAGATGAAGAAAAGATGAATTTGAAGATTAAATGAGACAGGACATAGAAAGCACTCAGCACAAAGTTTGGCATAGATTACCTACATAAGAAATATCATTGTTTCAGATGTCTGTTGCTGTTTAACAATCCATTGTAAAGCTTGGTTGCTTAAAACAACAAATACTTACTATTTTCTTCTAATTCTGTGAGTTGAGTGGGCTCTTCTGGGTGGTTCTTCTAGTCTTCAGTTGCAAGTAAATTTGATTTAATTGATTATGACTGAGGTCACTCATGTAGCTACATTCAATTTCAACTGGACTGGGGCTGGAGCTGCAAGAATGGCCTTTCTCCAAGGCCTCTTTTCAGACAAGCTTTAGTCATTCACTGGTCTAGCCTGGACAACATGGCAGCTGGGTTCTAAGAGAGAGACAGTGGAAGCTGCTAATGCTCTTACTGTATGGTCCCAAAAGCCCTATAACCATTTTCCTTTCACCTTCAAATTGGTCAAATCAGTTACAAGGCCAACCCAAATCCAAGGAGAGGGGAAATAGAGGGAGACATATGCAGATAGAGAAATGGCAAAAAAAAAAAAAAAAAAAAAAGTTGTTGGTGACTGTATTTGTAGACTGCATACCAGTTATTTAAATTGTCTAATGCCAATTTAATTCCTTAAACAGCATTCTTCATTTATATTTGTATTAGTTTCTTTCTCTAGCTCTATAAGCTTCCTTTCTATCTCACACAGAGTCTTTCCTATCTTGTACTAAATCTATGTTTTAGGGTTTTTTTCCCCTTAATGTCCCGGAGAATACAAAACAGCAGTTACCGGAAATTCAATTTATTTTCCTAGCTGAGGTAAATATTTTTCAAAATTATAGTCTTTATTTATCTTTTACATTCTTTCTTTTTTAAATTTTCTTTTTTAGTTGCTGAATATTTTCAAACATACTGGTTATGCATATGTATGCCTGTATGTGGCTTGTTTATTTTTCTTGACTGACTATTGAGGATGACAAGTCTATACAGTCTATCCATGTTTTCTATTTGCATAAAAATTGTTTGTCTCGATTCTCCTTGAGACCTGGGCAGCTTGAGTTCTCCCCATTTATATGGGCATCTTTAACTCTTGAGGATTGTGTGCTGGAGGTTTCTAATTAGCAAAGTGGAAAGGCAGCTACAGTCCTAGTTGATAAATACTTTACGTCATGGTTTTTGTCTTGTTTGTTTTGCAAAGAATGTATCAGACTGCTGTGTTCACCTGACCTTATTTCTAGATACACCATGTGGTTCTCATCACTATCACTCTGGAGTTTCTACCTATCACTCTGGGGAGTCTCCAGTCCTATTGGAGGGGTATTTGTCTCATTAATTAAAAGGCTCCTCCTGGTTTAGTCACCTATATTGATTAAAAGTCATGAAAATTCCACTATCTTTCTCTTTAATGATGCCTTAGGTAAGGATACAGCTTACTATCCAAAATAGGACACTTTTAGGATAAAGATACATTGTTAATAATGTATAATAATAAATAAGACAAAAAATGTAACTATTTTGGAAAATGAGGCTATATGGTCACTCAAGTGATGCCATAACTGGAGCTTTTGCAACCAGTGTGTCTCCAGTTGCCTCTCTTTCCCCGTAGCCAGACCTCCATCCATGTCCTCCAGACTGGTGGAGTTTACCCCAGTGGGAGCAAGTTTACACTGATATTAGTAGAAACTGTGCTTGGAAAAAAATACACTTAAAATAGACTCATGCTTTCTCTTCCCACTTCACACGGATGCTGACCCACGATGAGGAAAGGGATGCGAGCTGGCTACCTATGTCTCAGTTCCCTCTTCCTTCAAAAGGTGCAAATATTAAATAGTTTGCACTTCTTCCCCTCAACATTTCTTGCGATATTCCTTGAAAGAAAAGTTAGTTGTTAGTGGATATTCCATGTAATAGTCTCAAATGTCGAATCTGTGGTAGAGAGCAAAGCATATAAAAAAATTATAGGGGATTAAGTGTGTGACTCTACAGTTTGAAAAAAGCACTGTAGCTAGTTTTAACATGCAGTATCTCTGACTTCCCCAGCGCATGTGTATTGAGAACCACTATCCTCTCTGATGTAACAGTAAGGTGTGTTGTAACAAGTGCCTGGTAGCTCATGCTACCAGGATCAAGAAAAATTAGCTCTGAGGAATGATTTTTTTCTACTTTTATTTTATATGGTATTAATCACATCTAAGTAAACTTGCTTTTTGTTTGAAGCCAGATGCCCCAACAGACCAAGTTACACAGAAAAGAAATTTATGCATCTGGTCATTAATGCATATTTGGCCCCTAATAGCTACATGTAAAATAATTCACTTGAAAACATTACTCATTTTTGTCAAAGGGCTGCACAAGAGCTTTATTATACATCTTATTTTTAAACTGACTTCTACTATAAATGAAGTTTTACTACTTCCTGATCATCTTCTTCTGACAACTTGCTATTCAGTTTTTTTGGCAAAATAAAATAACAATAAAACGTGATTAATTTATTGATGAATGGATGGAGAAATAGATGAGTGGATAGACATATGATTAAAACAAGAACAGTAAAGCTTTAGTGGTAGAATCTAGATGGTGGATAAATGGGGGGCCATGGTAGATTTCTTTCAACTTTTCTGAATTTTGAAAATTTACATAATAAAATGTTGGAAAATGATTACTTATTATTTTCTATTAAAAATCACGGAGTAGGCCGGGTGCGGTGGCTCATGCCTGTAATCCCAGCACTTTGGGAGGCCAAGATGGGCAGATCACCAGGTCAGGAGATCGAGACCATCCTGGCTAACACAGTGAAACCACGTCTCTACTAAAAATACAAAAAAAAAATTAGCCGGGCATGGTGGCGGGCGCCTGTAGTCCCAGCTACTCGGGAGGCTGAGGCAGGAGAATGGCGTGAACCCGGGAGGCGGAGCTTGCGGTGAGCCGAGTTGGCGCCGCTGCACTCCAGCCTGGGTGACAGAGCGAGACTCCGTCTCAAAAAAAAAAAAAAAAAAAATTAAAAAAAATCATGGAGTAAAGGGAAGTTTTGTAGTGCTGTCCTCTCTCTAACTGAACAAGAGCCACTAAAAGCAGTTAGAACACAAGTTCCAAGCAAAACAAAACAAAACAAAAAAACACAGCAGTGGCTCTGAAGCTCTCCCTCCTGTCAGAGATCGTGCAGTCCAGATGGATTCATGGGAACTGAGAACTGACTCCTGCCGTCTTGATTCTCTTGGAGAATATAGATTCCCTCTCCCCCAACAACAAGTGTCGTGATCCTGAAAGACGTATCTAAGAATTCTTTACATCGAGTTGTAAAACCTCAGGTCATTTAAGTGACTCAGTAGGGGAGAAAAAACATAAGGCAAACAGAAAAAGAGGGTAAGTTTAGGGAGGAATTATGCAGCAGAGTTATTTTCTATGTTCTGTAAGTAGATCTTTAAGGGGAGGAGTGTTCTCTGAGGTGAAGGGGTGTCAAGGAGTGTCAGATTGAAGCAGAGAGCCCTAACTGAAAGGCTTTTAGCTGAGTTTCCCTGAGGCAGGTCCTCAGGTGTCCAACATTCCTGAGCAGCCACTGTGCATGTTTCATCATACATATCCCACCGTGCTTTCTCTTCATCCCGATACTCTTCTGCACAAAATAGCCACCCTAACTTTAAAAATCAATAATACTTTTGGACCAGTTGAAAAAATAAGAGAAATTAAAAGAATAAAAGCAAAATTAAGGGATATTAATATAAAGCAGATGGACATCATATATCACAGAAATAATACCCAAAGAGACACAGGAATATTTTATAAAATACTTCTTCATATCCGCAGAGTTCTGGTTAACATGTTTTATCAAAAACAAGCGATCGAAGAATAGATACAAGGGTTCAAATAAAAAGTAATGGCATAACATAAAAGCGTTAGAGTTAAGCCCCGTTAAAAATAACAAAAGGAGAATAAGATGGACTAAAATTAAAGACTAAGGAGATGAATTTGAGAAAATCTTAACAATATTAAAAAAAAAAAACCCAGCAGGGGCAAATCATTCTAGATTAGATGACAGCTATTATAGACAGTCAAAAGATATCCAGTGTATTAATAATTTATGTTGCTCAGAACAAGTGGAAGAGAAAAAATTATATTTAAGATAGAATGAGAAAACATGAGTTGAGAAACATGATCCTAATTTGTAAGAAAAAAAAGTGTGTGCCAGAAAAAATTGATGAAAATTTTCAATAGCAAGGCATTATAATATTGAAGTTACTGAACTGCAAGGATAAAGAAAAAAATATCACATTTCTATGTAAGCAGAAAAAGTAAATTAAATGTGATGCTTGATGTATTATAGTATCTGATGCCAGAAGATAGTTGGCTATTGTCTACAAAGTTAAAAGGAAGAAAATTATAACAGAATAAGATAATACTCCTCCTTTTTCTTTTGAATAGAAAGTCAAATAACAAATTATCTCACATATGCAAGAACTGAGGGACGAGAGTAGACTTGCCCCATTTTTGGTGTGAAGGGCAGGTGGACACAAGGCTGTGAAGTTCAGCCAACCAAGAGATCTGGACTCTTGAAAATGAAGGGATAAAGAAGGTAAAGAAACAGTGTCACTCAATACATATATTTAAATTTAGAAAGCAGATAAAACAACAATGGGGATTATAGTTATAAATAGAATACAAACATTTTAAACCTTGACAATACAAAATAATCATATAACTATCAAAATTAAGTGATTGAGATGGCATACAAAGTGTAAGTGTCCCAATTTTTGTATCCCATACTGTAGGAATAAAGAAAATTTTTGTTTTGTTTTGTTTTTGTTTTTGTGTTTGTTTTTGAGACAGAGTCTCACTCTGTCGCCCAGGCTGGAATGCAGTGGTGTGATCTCGGCTCACTGCAACCTCTGCCTCCTGGTTCAAACGATTCTCCTGCCTCAGCCTCTCGAGTAGTTGTGACTACAGGCATGCGCCACCAAGCCTGGCTCATTTTTGTATTTTTAATAGAGACGGGATTTCACCATGCTGGCCAAGCTGGTCTCGAACTCCTGGCCTCAAGTGATCTGCCTGCCTCGGCCTCCCAAAGTGCTGGGATTACAGGCCGAAGAAACATTTTCTACTGTTGGCATACATAGTTTTATGTATATACTTATTTATTTTTTATTTCAACTTGTATTTTAGATTCAGGGGTACATGTATAGGTCTGTTACATGGGCATATTCTGTGATGCTGAGGTTTGGGGTACAATGAATCCCATCACTCAAATAGTGAACATAGTACCCAATCTGTAGTTTTTCAACTCTTGCTTCTCTCCCTCCATCCCCCAGTAGGAGTCCCCCGTGGCTGTTGTTCCTATCTTTATGTCCATGTGTACCCAATGTTTAGCTCCCACTTGTAAGTGAGAACATGCAGTATTTGGTTTTCTGTGTTAATTTGCTTAGGGTAATGGCCTCCAGCTGCATCCATGTTGCTACAAAGGAATGATTTTGATATTTTTTTATGGTTGGGCAGTGAAATACATAGTTTGCCCATATTGACTCCAACTTTTAAAATGCTTTAAAAATCTTCTTTTTTAAAAAATTTAAAGAAATATTTTAGAAAATAAAATTTTTGTGCTATGGAAATGTTATGTAAAATCTTTCAATTTAACTTTTTTATCACTTGAATTCAAGTTTAATCTTCTCTCCTGTGAATAAGCCTACTGCTGTATGAAATGCTGTTTACCAAAGGATGACAATGATTATTTCTGAATTTGGGGGAATTGCAATGTTTTTTATTTTACTTTTCTGTATTGATTTTTTAAGTCTATATCACTTTTTCAAGAAATATACTCTTTTTAATGTAATCGTTTCCATCTGGTGTTAACAAAGGCAAAGAATGACTTTGAGGATAATTCTTTAATCTTTCCATATCCACAGGCAGCTCATTTGAGCACGAGTAGTTAGTTGCTTTGACTGGATAGTGATCTCTGTTAGCCATGAAGGTGGTAAAGTCACTGGAATCATCGATTCCATTTAGATTCCAGTAGCTTAGACAAAAAGCGACCAGTTTACTAAAAACCTTAGAAAACACCTTAGAAAACACCTGGAAATGCCACACTTAACTGCCGTTGCTGAGATTATTAGAGTTTTGCTGCTGTTGTTGTGGGTATACTTTAAGGGTAACTAAATTTCCAGAGCCATAAGTATATGAAGCCTTGTCCTTCGTAATAGTGGAACTGAAGTTCTTAAGAGGGGCTCAGGAGGCTGACTCATTGTTTCCTCTTAGGAAGTATTGGTATTTAACATGTGATTTAAAATATCTATAAATTGAGTTATGACATGAGTTTTCACATGATGACCTTCTCACCAATGTATTTGTGTAATTTTGATGTTAGTGGAGTTAGTTTATGTAGTGAAGGTGGAAAAATGTGTTACTAAGAGGTAATTACTGTAAAGCTATTTAATTATTGATTTCCCCAACATAGCAGGATTGACATTTTGCAGATATAGTGAAGGAAAAGATATGCATTAACAGAATGAGAACAGAATAAATGTACGTTTTAAAAAGAAACACAATTCATTTTAATAGGTATGCAGTCATTATTCAGGAAATGTGACTGCTTCTCCATAAATGACATTAGCTGTTTAAGTTAAAATGACAGACCTATAATAAGTAAAGATATTATGAGGGCGTTTTAAACCCTAGCATTGGCGTAAGGTTATATTAAAACTTCATATTTACCAACATTGTTTTTTTGTAGTCTCTGTCTTCATTACCCTTTATGAAAAGCACACTTTATTTTGAAGTATTTATATTGGCTTGTGCTTCATTCTTCACTTAGAAAAGCATTTTGCTTTGCATATTTGTCTAATAGCTATAAATAAATGCAGCTACTTCTTCCCTTGAAATGAGCAACTTTGCATTTTAGGCTGAATGAAAAAGATCAGCTCAGGACTTCTACAGAAGTTCCAGCCTTGCTGAATCCTTGCTTTTTCATCCCTGGTTTATCTGCCTTTCTGATTTCTAGCCACAGCGAACAAGCATCTGACTACATGGTAATGAGCCCTTAAAATGACAAAAAGAAGTGCTTACACATTCAAAGGAGTTTTAGCTTCTAAAGAATAGCCTTTGGTTGAAAGCATGTTTTGAACTGTCTTTTGGATTGCGTTCAGAGTCAGTGTATGAGACCCACAAGAAACAATGCCTCATTTAATTACGGCGGCACATGATTCCTAACATAAAATCATATGACCCAGCTGGTCAACATTCATATCAGGCAAGCTTTGTTTGAAATAATATTCAGCCATTTTTCTTATATGACAGCAAAAACACAAAGGGAAGGATTTGTCACCATTTAAATAATTCAAAGAATGTAACAGCGATTCTAAAATGAGTTCCCAAAAATGAAGTTTCAGAAATATTCTGGGCCATAAAAGACTATTGAGTATCTAAGAAAAAGTTGGAAATAGAAAAGCTTAAAAAATGAAATCTGCAGAATGAAAAGGAGGTGGCAAATATAAAAATAATGAATTGAAAAGTGAAAAAATATTTTCAAATTGATTAATAACTTTAAGTACTTTTTGGAAACACTACATAAAGAAGGAAGAAAACACAAGTGCATAAAATTTAAAATGGCATAAAGGAAATGAGAGTTATATTAGAAATTAAAAGAATAATAAAATAGTGCTTCATAAAGCTCTACAAAAATGCATGTTAACAATTCTCAAAATTTGAGGAACCAAGTGTTAACAAAAGTGATTCTACAGAAGAGATGAAACTCGTTGATGAATAACTATGAAAATTATATAGAAAATTATTAAAAAGGTATAGCAAAAAGAAATTTCCAGACTCAAATGGTTTTCAAAGGGAGAATTCTTCTGAAATTTTAAAGAACCAATTTACTAATTACTTAAGCTTTCCAAAACAGAGAAGTAATGCAGCCTCCAAATTTTTTATACAAAGACAATGTAACATCTAAGTTGAAATTTGATAGAGATGATGAAATAGGACAAACTTATAACAGTCTTATGTAATATAATCGTACTACTGTTGGGGCCAAAACATTAAATGTTAGCCAAATGAATGGTGGTATATTGAAATAATTGTGTGTCATTAATCAAGAATATGTATTTTTCAAATAAATATTCAGCATCAAGTTAAATGATAAAAATTTTGAATTTTTACATTCTTATTATGAATAAGATAGTAATGCCTACTATCCCCGCCATTAAAATTATTCTAGAAATAGCACATGTAATTCAATATGAGAAATGAGAATTAAAGGTATAGGTATTGGTAAGGAAGAGACAAAAATTATTGTTAGTTCTATTCCTAAGGGACTTTATCTCAGGTATCCCTCTCTGACAACATAATTGAGAAGAGAAATGAGCAAGAGTCAGATTATCCAGGAGGCCGTGTCTAGGGTTCTTATGTGATTTATGTCTCTGATTTATGTAAATATTGACAAATATAGATTAATCTCTAGATGGTAGAAAAACCAAAGGAGGAGCCCCTGCTCACAGAGAAAATAAAAGATGAATTCAATGTTTCTTAGATCCAGCTTAATCTAAACCATGGGGCATTAAATCTTTTTAGAAAAAAAATTATCATTAGTTGCTGCTTATGTAATTGTATACCTAGTAAATGCAGTGGAATCAACTGAGAAATGTGCAAAATAATTAGTTAATATAGAAAAGTACCAGGAACAAAATCATTAGCTTTGATTCTTCATCTTTTCTATTTGGTCAGTTTAATTATATACAGAAAATAGATGTCAATGTATTTGGATGAGTTTTATAAAGTATTATGTTATCATTAATTTCATTTTCTCTATATCTGTTATTACCCTGTTATGATTTTAACTGTTGTGTACATGTCTTTGTGTTCTGCCTTTTTCATTTTTATTATGCTTCATTTTTCAAAAGGTCTAAAACTCACTGATCAATTCTACTATTATTTTTCTTTGTTTTCCATCTTTCCTGTCACCTTCCTTTTGATTTCCATGGAAGTAGTTAGTCATTCTTCTCAATTCTTTATTTGGATGCTCAATGTTCTCTCCATTGGCAAGGCCACTTCTGGAACTTGATATTTGGAGATTTCTTTGAAGTTAACATTCTTTTCTTTGGAATATTTTAAATGGTCACAAATACTCTTCTATTTATTTTCATTGGGTAATACAAAAAAGTAGTTAAGTTTATCTAAAGAAAGCTTAGCTGATATACACTGGTTGACCAAGGTAGGCCATGTCAATCTGTATAAAAAAAACCATGTGTCACTATGAAGTAAATGAGACATTGTCTCTTGTGGGCAATTTTAAAAAAAAAAGGATGTTCAAAATATGTTTTTAATAAAGTCTGATTATGTTTCTTTTCAGTAGCTAACATTCATTTAGATGTGTAAGCATCATTTGGGGGGATGTATAATTTTTAAGAATTCATTACAAGTATCACAAAAGATAAACACACATAAAGAATTATATAAAAATTAGTAGCATTGTAAACAACCCAAAGCAGTTAGAAAATACAATGGGAGAAATAATCCATTTATAATAGCAACAAGAAAAGTAAAATGCCTGGTATTAAAGTTAACCAGAAATGTGAAGGACCCATATGAAGAAAACTTGAAGCTCTAAAGATAACATAAAAGAATTCTTAGTAAAATTAGAGATACAGGTATTCTTTATAGGAAACCACAATATTATACATTGACAAACTGACAAATCTCAGTTTAGTAAGCTGCAAATTCAATGTCTTAACACTCCATCCAAATTTATTTTTGTACTTGACAAAATAACACAAAGTTCATCATGAAAAATAAAAGTGAAAAATGCTTTGAAATGTTTCGAAAAGGAAAATGAATGAGCTGGAAATAGTATTATCTATATAAAAATAGCCAACAAGGCTGTACTAGCTTAATCAGCTTGACACTAGAGAACCAATAGATTGTGAGAGAATGTTCCCAGATTCTCCAGATTCAGAGGTAATACTGGCATTCAAATCATTGGGAAAAGAGCTTTTTCACTAGGTGGTGCCGGGACAAGGTACTAACTGCATGCAAAAACAAAAATTGGATGGTAGTCTCATTTCTCTTACCAAAGTAAATTACAGAAAGTAAAAATTAAACTATGACAGTTTGAGGAAAAACATGAGTGAATTTATTTAAAATTTTGGAATTAGTGGAAAGTCTTTCCATGAAGGACACAAGACACAGAGCACAAAAGAGAAAACATTAACAAATCTATAAAGTTACAACCAACTAAAAAAAAATCTGAACTAATAAAAATACAGTCTAAACATGTGACAGGTCGAGACTAATTTTCTTAATTTGCAAAATTTTATACAAATTAGTAAGGAAAAAATACACTTAACCCAAGGGAAAATGGACAAGTTGCTGAAAAAGAAATACAAATGGACAATAAAAACGTAAGAGGACCATCTTTGCCTTCCTAATTAAAGAAAGGCGAATAAACAATAATGAGATGTCATGTTTTAATCAATCAGATTGATAGCAGTTAAAAAAAGTTAGATAATATCCAGTGTCAAATGAGGATCCAGAAAAATAGCCACTGTTAATACATTGTTGCTTGAGGTGTAAATTGGCTCGACCTCTTTGTCAGACATTTAGGTCATATGCGCAGAAGTCTGGAATATACATTTCTTCATGACTTTGTGATGCCTCTGATGGGAATTTATTCAATAGTATATTCACACATGTTTTCTAAGATGTACTAGCAAGAATGCTTACTGTAAAACATACAAACTGAAAATACTAGAAATGATCACATAACGGACCTGGCTGAACCATTAAGGTATATGGCACAACTGCTGAAAGGCTAAATAATCTTAAAACATGAAGCGTATCTCTTAATCTTAAAACATGAAGCGTATCTCTAAGTGCAGATATGAAAACACCTACAAGATAAATGACGTCATTTAAAAATTAAAGTGACGATCACTGTGTATAATGTGGTTCATTTTGTATAAAAAAAGACTGTGTGTGTGTGTGCATGCGCATGTGTGTGATTAAAATATATCTGGAAAGAGGTGAGATATTGAACTCCGATTGCCTTTGTGTAGAATACTTGTTCTCAGATTTCAGTGTGCATCACAATCACCAGGAAGGTTTGTTAAAACCCAGGTCCCCACCGTAGAGACTCTGATTCAGTGAATCTGGGGTGAAGCCTAAGAATTTGTATTTCTAACAGTTTCCCAGGTGATACTGCTGCCTCTGTTCCAGGCACCACACTATGTAGACCCTCTATGGAGAGGAACTAGGCTTTTCACTTGATATCTTCCTGTTCATTTAATTTTTAGAAATAGTATATGTATTTCTTTTGTTTTTCCTTTAAGATCAAAAGCAGCAATCTGAATTGTAAGATTCTGGGGCATTTTAATTTTTTCTTTATACTTAATCACATTTTAAAAAGCCATACTGTTAAAAAAAATTCTACCAAATAAGATCAAATCCACTGCTTTTTAGTTGCTCCTTAAATATTTTGTTTGGTAATTCATTTCCTTAAGAATAGACTTAGTGAAATATTAAATTTTTCTTATATGTATTCCTCCTAGGTAGATCCTTGTATCATAATTTGAACTCAGAAGTTAGATTGGCTTGTGTGGTATGCCAAGAAATAAAAATATTTTAAGAATATTGGGGATTTACATTATTTTATATTATATATAATATATATCATAACATCTATATTATATAAATAAATATATAATTTTATTATATTATATTAAGAATGGGGATTTACATTATTTTATATAATATATAATATAAAAATTAGTGGCAAATATAAAAGATAATAAAAGATATTTTATATATAATATATTTAAAAGAATGAAAGAACCGTCACCATTTTCTGTAAAATAAGAATGACAATATGCAGCATGCAACAGCTATCATAGAGAACCACTTAAGATGACAGACAACATGGCAAATCCTTAAGGAAGACTCCTGGCATTGGGATATGCTGTCTTATTTGTATTTCTGTTAATACAGCTTTATGATTGCATTGCATTTCTGGGTTTGAACTTTGTAAAGATTTAGAGCAATAACAACAACGACAACAAATGGATTGTCCAATTCTATCCACTCCTTTTTTTCTTTTAGCAAGTCATATTCCTGTAATCTTCTCTTGCTATTATTTTTCTTTTGTTAAGATTTATATTATTTTTTATTTATTCAGCGTTCATTATATAGTCTCCCTTAGGAGCACTGAATAACACATACAAACAAATATGAAATAGCTAAAAATTTGAATCCCTGTCTTGCCAACCCTCATATCTTCAGCTGGGGCAGAAAACCTGAGCAAACAGGCATTGCACTAGACCGTGTCGGCAGCAAAGCAAGCTGTAGTCAGGTTCCCAAGGGAATGAATTCTTATGTTTTGTTTTCCATACCAAGACCATTTTTTCTCCTTTCCCCTAAAGATCAAATCTGGTGGTTCATTAGCTATTCTGGCTGATCTCAGCTTCCTCTGTGCATGCTCTTGTCTTCCCATCCCCACAACTCCAGGGGTTTGATAGAACAAGGTTAATACTCGGAATCACGGTCAGGAGCAAATTGATTGCAAGTGGAGGATGTAAAGCTTGTCTGTCACCATCTCCTTATGGCCTCAAGTTAAGCAGGCGGTTTGCATCAAGTGAAGCTTTAAAAGTCTCTTTTTTAACTGACATCCGTAACAGAGAACGCTATTTCTCTCAAACCATATGCCACTAACGCCTGATTAGCTATGATCAGATAGACCGATAGATACACTATTAAAAAGAATTGAACCCCGTGGCTAGTTCCTATGAATGTTGAATAAGTAATTAATGTCTTCCTCTTTCCTACCCCCCACCCAACCAGTCTGCTGTTATTTAATTTAACAAGCATTTGACGGAGCATATCTTGTATGCTAGGTAGGTACTAAGAAAAGATCTCCTTGTCTGCACAATTCCAAAAGTTGCCATTTATATGGATTTTAATGTGAATAGTGCCCCCAGGGAGTTGTGCAATTGCAACCTTCCTAGCCATTCATGTCACTAAGCTAGGCCAAAGGAGGGGGAATTGTTGTGACGAGTTATAAGACATCATTTGTGCCTTGTCAGAGTTCACATAGGAGAACGGTTAGTGGGGAAAGAGGTACAGCCACAGGTTACTATAAGTCATAAATCAAGATACATTTATGTTTCTATAGATATCTGACTAAAGGGGTGTGGGATCAGCAATGAGGGTGTAGTAAATTCTGCTTGGGATGGGGTGCAGGAATCAAGAAAGGCATCAAAGAGAAGACGACATTTGATTTGGGCGTTTGAGAATGCGTCACACTCAGAGCCAAGGGGAGTGGGAGGGTAGGCCATGGTGTAGTTGGAAATAACAAGAATGCCACTGTTGCCCGCCATTGTCTGGAGTGAATGCCAGCCGGGAATCATTTAAACACTTTCTCTTGTAATTTGAAGGACACAAACCATGGCTTCTCTCTCAGTGAAAGACCATTATTCTCTAAATTGTTTAATCTGTAGTCCCGATTTATTAAGATATGTGTGGCTTGTCTTGGGAGTCTGAGTAATCACTGACATTGTATAGGGGAATACATTTGCATGGCATTATAAGAATGTCAAGTTGTCTTTCAAAACTGAGTATAGATAAAAGGCTCACCAATGCCTGGGCCATCTCTGAGTGCCGACTGTGGGAACATCCGTTGGTGGCATTCGTTCTACTGTATGCACACATTTCAATCAGCCCAAAAGGCCTCCTGTCCACAGAAGGCTGGACAGTCCTTACCTCTCACTCATAATGCCACATTAGCATTTCTATTCTCATGCTCTGTGGTCATAAGAGGCTGGGAGATCTTCGGAGAGACATTTCTCAACCTGTAGACACAAAAGGGGTGCTTTGAGCTCTTTGAAGGGCAGCATTTCAGTGGGGGTGCATCTGTTAAAAGACTGTGTTGCACCCCAACACCTCTGGAGACTGAAAGGGAAGCAATTTGGGATAGCAGAAATGGACGCAGGTATTAATGGAAGGAGATTGTAATAAGGAATGTAAAGAAATGGAATACACATACACTGCCTTATCTGAGCCATTTTCCATAGTGGTGTTAACTATAAGAAGCCCACGTTAATACTCTGAAAATCTATCCCCTTCAATCCCTGCAGCTATACTTCCTGCTAAGACGCAAGGCAGATGGACACATTTTGAGGCTCAGGCCAAAATTCATTGAGCTCTCTAATTTTAAGAATTTTGAACTTTCCTACCACACACACACAAATTTTAGAAGTCTTTTCCTCTTGATGTACACATTTGTTTCAAGATTGTGCCTTTCAAAACCTTTGCACGTAACAAATAGTTTTGAGTATGCAATTAAATAAAGAAGTTATTTAATATTAGCTGTGATTGAATGTGCAGGCTCTAAAATCAGATTCCCTGGGTTGATATGCACAGTATGCCAACTGAAACAGTCACCTCTCTTAATGGACCTTAGTCTTCCCCTCTGAGAAACAGGGATTATGGTCAAAAGTATAAGAGGTCATGTCAGCAGAGTGCCGGGCATTTGGCAAATGCTCAATAATACTTAGAATTATTATCTCCTGAAAATTTCTTTGGTGTCAGATGCCATCAAATGTAACTTCTAAATAACATGAAATGAGTACTGGTAACAGTGAATTGACACGATTCTAGCCAAAAGCAAGCAAACTTGACTTTTCACATAGTTTATAGTATCTCTTCAAGGCCAAGTTTGCTTTGTGAGATTCACTTTTTTTGAAATGTTGAGAATAACATATATATTTGAATGCCTGTTATATATACGAGCTAGGAGTGTGTTTGACTGCAATTAATAGTGTTCTAAATAATTAGCAGTATATTTTCTTACGTATCAAGGTAGGAGTTTGTTGTCCTTGATTTAGGTGCTCAAAAATGTCCTTGAGGAACCAGCTGTTTCTGTCATTTTCTTCTAGCAACCTGACCTTTTAGGGTTCTTTTTTTGTTTGTTTGTTTGTTTGTTTTGTTTTTGAGATGGAGTCTCGCTCTGTTGCCCAGGCTGGAG
Organism: Homo sapiens; assembly: GCF_000001405.40. Classification (NCBI taxonomy): domain Eukaryota; kingdom Metazoa; phylum Chordata; class Mammalia; order Primates; family Hominidae; genus Homo; species Homo sapiens. The sequence goes on from NC_000020.11 coordinate 15,797,166, forward strand.
TGCAGTGGCGTGATCTCGGCTCACTGCAAGCTCCGCCTCCCAGGTTCACGCCATTCTCCTGCCTCAGCCTCCCTAGTAGCTGGGACTACAGGCCTCCGCTACCACGCCCGGCTAATTTTTTTGTATTTTTTAGTAGAGACGGGGTTTCACCGAGTTAGCCAGGATGGTCTCCATCTCCTGACCTCGTGATCCGCCCGCCCCAGCCTCCCAAAGTGCTGGGATTACAGGCGTGAGCCACCGCGCCCAGCCTTGGGGTTCTATCTTTATGCTAGTGACCCCATGGTTACAAAGTAGCTGTGATATCCAGGCCTCCTACCAGCATCACAAGCCAAAAAGAGCTCAAGGCTCATCATCGGATGGTCATTTTTTATCAGCAAAGTAAAAGCTTCTTAGATATATCCCCAGCAGAGTCTTCCTTATATCTCATGGGCTAAAACTGTCATGTAGCCACGCATAGCTACAAGGGAAGCTGGAAAAGCAAGTAAAGAATTATCCTGAGTAGACTAATCATAATCTACCAACTAAGGGTTGGGATGTTGCAGCCTTAAAAATAATCAGGGTTCTATTAGCATAGAGCAATGGTTCTCAAACTTCAGTGAGCATCAAAATCACCTGAAGGGCTTACTAAAGCAAAATTTTGAGTCCCACTGCCAGAATTTCTAATTCAGTAGGTCTGGACTAGGGCTCAACAATGTGCATTTCTAACAAGTTCCCAAGTGATAGTGATGCTGTTATCTGGGATCACACTTTGAGATCTTCTGTATAAAGTCACAGACTTTTTCTGTAAAGAGTCATATAGTAAATATCTTATTTTTGGAAGTTATACATTCTGCACCAGAAATTTCAGTGCAAAAGCTGCCATAGACATTTCATGAATGAATGAGCATAGCTGTGTTTTGCTAAAACTTTATTTACAAAAACAGATGTGCACTGGCTTTGGAATAGAGGATGATAGAAATTAATACTGCATATTGTTTCAGTTATTGTGGTAGTATAGCAAATTATTCCACTTTATGTTCATGAATTCAGTGAATTATGAAAGAGCACAGTGGGGATGACTCTTCCCTGTCCCACAATGTCTGGGGCTTTAGGTGGGAAGATCCAAATGCCTGTGATTGGGTGCTTGGGGACTGGAATCAGCTGGAAGCTCCTTCATTCACATGTCTGGCACCTCAGCTAGGATGGCTAGGATACCCGCTCTGCCCTGACTCTGGATCAGAACACCTACCTGTTGCCTCTCTTTGGGACTGAGATTCTCACAGCATGGTGTCTGAGTTCTAAGAGGGAAACTGCCAAGAAAACCAGGGAGAGGTTTATGGTCTTCATGGACCTGCCCTGGAAAGTCACGAGCATCACTTGCATCTCATTCTATTGGTAAAAAGTAAGTCACAAGCCTGCTCAAATTCAAAGGGAGAATTAAACTTCACCTTGACAAGGAAATGACATGGTCACATTATAGAAGGGTATGTATGATGGGAGATATTTTTTGTAGCTACCTTTGGAAAATACATTTTGCCATAAGCAGACACATACCAATGTCTGTTGCCTCCCTCAGACAGATTACTGAGGCTCTAGATACCTCATTAGAAGCCTGTGTCCCAGCATCAGAGCACAGAATGTAGGTCTATCAGAGCATGATATGGGAGGATTTCTGGGTATGACCACTAAGTTTTACCTGGCCAATACAACTGCTTTTCTATGGCCCCATTGCCTGTCTAGTCAGCCAGACAGTATTGATTTTTTATTTCAGCAGGACCTTGGCTAGGTTTTCGGGGATAGAATGAAAACAAATGAACAAAGAAAGAAACCCGGGGTATGTATCATCCATCATCCAACATCATTATTTAGCAAAGACCTTTAATTTCTTTTGTGTGTAAGAGTAATGCCAAGAACTGCCAAGTTCAAGGCACCAACTCTTCTCTTCAAAGAGCTTATGATCTTTTGGGAAATTGGGCCTATAGTTTTAAAAAAGATAAATATCAATGAAGAGGCATCTGGTATGTCAAAAGAAACACTTTATATTGATATATAATAATTGTACATATTTATAGGGTACCTGTGATATTGGGATACCTGCACACAATGTGTAATATCCCTCACCTCAAGCGTTTATCATTTATTTGTGTTGGGAACATTTCAAATCTTCTAGCTATTTTTAATTAGGTAATAATTTATCATTAACTAGAGTTATTCTAATGAGCTATCAAATGCTAGAACTTATTCTTTCTATCTAATTCTCTAATATGTTTGTACCCATTAACCAACCTCCCTTCATTCCTCCTCCCACCCACACTTTCCAGCCTCTGGGAACCATCATTCTATCCCTCCTCCATAAGATTAATTTTTTAGCTTCCACATATGAGTGAAAACACACAGTATTTGTCTTTTTGTGTCTGGGCGATTTCACTTAAAATAATGCCTCCACCTCTATTCCTGTTTCTTGCAAATAACAGAATTTCATTATTTTTATGACAGAACAGTATTCCATTGTGTATATAAACATATTTTATTTATCCATTCATTCGTTAATGGACAGTAAGGTTGATTCCCCACCTTGACTATGTTAACAGTGCAGCAATAAACAGGTGAGTGCAGGCATCCCTTTAAAATATTTGATTTCCTTTCCTTTTGATAAGTAATCAGTAGTGGGACTGCTATATCATATGGTAGTTCTGCCTCTATATTGTTTTGCATAATGGCTATACTAATTTATATTTCCACCAATAGTTTATAAGAGTTCCCTTTTCTCTGCATCCTTGTCAACACTTTTTTTTCTTTTTCTTTTTTTCGTCTGTTCATTTGATAATAGCTACGCTGATTGGAGTGTAGTGGTATATTATTGTGGTTTTGATTTGTATTGCCTTGATGACTCATGATGTTGAGCAATTTTCATATGCCTGTTGGCCATTTGTATGTCTTCTTTTGAGAAATGTCCATTCAGATTTTGGCCTGCTTTTTAATGGAATTCTTTGTTTCTTTTTGCTGTTGAGTTGTTTTGAGTTCTTTGTATATTCTGGGTATTAGCAGCTTGTTGATAGTTTGCAGATATTTTCTTCCATTCTGTAAGTTATCTCTTCACTTTGTTGATAGTTTCCTTTGCTGTGCAGAAGCTTTTTAATTTAATATGGTCCCATTTGCCTATTTTTTTGTTTTTTGCCTGTGCCTATGAAGTCTGAGCCACAAAGTCTTTGCCTAGACCAATGTCCTGAAGCATTTCCCCTATGTTTTCTTCTAGTAGTTTTTATAGTTTCAGGTTTTATATCTATATCTTTAATTCATTTTGAGTTAATTTTTGTATAAGAGATAAAGGTCTAGTTTTATTCCTCTGCATAGGGATATTCAGTTTTCCCAACACCATATATTAAAGAGGATGTCCTTTCCCCAATGTATGTTCTTAATGCCTTTGTTGAAAATCAGTTGGCTGAGCCACCCCGTCCGGGAGGTGAGGGGCGCCTCTGCCCGGCCGCCCCTACTGGGAAGCGAGGAGCCCCTCTGCCCGGCCACCACCCCGTCTGGGAGGTGTACTCAACAGCTCATTGAGAACAGGCCATGATGACAATGGCGGTTTTGTGGAATAGAAAGGGGGGAAAGGAGGGGAAAAGATTGAGAAATCGGATGGTTGCTGTGTCTGTGTAGAAAGAGGTAGACATGGGAGACTTTTCATTTTGTTCTGTACTAAGAAAAATTCTTCTGCCTTGGGAACCTGTTGATCTGTGACCTTACCCCCAACCCTGTGCTCTCTGAAACATGTGCTGTGTCCACTCAGGGTTGAATGGATTAAGGGTGGTGCAAGATGTGCTTTGTTAAACAGATGCTTGAAGGCAGCATGCTCCTTAAGAGTCATCGCCACTCCCTAATCTCAAGTACCCAGGGACACAAACACTGCGGAAGTCCGCAGGGTCCTCTGCCTAGGAAAACCAGAGACCTTTGTTCACTTGTTTATCTGCTGACCTTCCCTCCACTATTGTCCTGTGACCCTGCCAAATCCCCCTCTGCGAGAAACACCCAAGAATGATCAATTAAAAAAAAAAAAAAAAAACGAAAAACAAAACAAACAAACAAAAACTGGACAGTGGATGGTATCCCAGGTTGAAGAAACAGCAGAAACAAAGACTGGGAGGGAGTAATGTACAAGTTGTGGTCTGGATAGTTGGGCTGGAGCAGAGGATGCTGGAGGAGGCTCAGCAGGGCAGGTATGACCGTCACAGCCACTGGCTGGCACTAGCCAATGCAGGGTTCTTCTGGGAACTCTGGGGTCCTGAAACTAAGGCAGCTGAGGAACTTCCAGAATGCTTTAATAAATTAATATCAAACATGAAAAAAAAAAAAGAAAATCAGTTGGCTGAAATACATGGACTTACTTCTGGAGTCTCTATTATCTTCCATTAATCTACGCATCTGTTTTTATACCAGTACCATGGTGTTTGGGTTACTATAGGTTTGTAGTATATTTTGAAGTGAGATTGTATGATGCCTCCAGCTTTGTTCTTTTTGCTCAGAATTGCTCTGGCTATTCAGGGTCTTTTGTGGTCCTATATAAATTTAAGGCTTTTGGTCTATTTCTGTGAAAAATATCATTGGCATTTTGATAAGCATTGCATTGAATCTCTAGATAGCTTTGTGTAGTGTGGACATTTTTATTATATCAGTTCTTCTGATTCATGAACAGGGGATGTCTTTCCCTTTGATTGTGCCCCTTTCATTTTCTTTCATTAGTGTTTTCTAGTTTTTATTGCAGAAGTCTTTAACATTCTTGGTTAAATTTATTCCTACATATTTCCTTTTATTTTATTGGCTATTATAAATTGAATTGCTTTCTTGATTTCTTTTTAGCTAATTCATTGTTGGTGTTTAGAAATGCTACTAATTTTTATATTAATTTTGTATCCTGCAACTTTACTGAATTTGATTGTCGGATCTCAGAGTTTTTCAGTGAAATTTTTAGGTTAGTCTGTATATAAGATCATATCATCTGTGGGAAGGGACAAATTGACTTCCTCTGTTTTCAATTTGGATGACTTCCATTTATTTCCCTTGACTGATTGCTCTGGCTAGAAATTCCAATACTATGTTGAATCAGAGTGGTGAAAGTCATCTTCCTATTGTTCTAGTTATTTCAGCTTTCAGCTTTTCCCCCTTCAGTATGATGCCAGCTGTGGGTTTGTCATATATAGCTTTTATTATGTTGAGCTACCTTGCTACTATGTATAACTTGTTAAGAGTTTTTATAATGAAGGGATGTTGGATTTTATTGAATGCTTTTTCTGCATCTATTGAGATGATCATATGGTTTCTGTCCTTCATTCTGTTGATGTGCTGTATCACATTTATTTGTGTATGTTGAACTGTCCTTGCATCCCTGGGATAAATATCACTTGATCATTGTATATAAAGTTTTCAAATAAACACCCTAATGATGTACCTTATGTTTAATCCCTTAAGATATTAAAAAAGCAAGAACAAACCGAATCCAAAATTAACAGAAAAAGAAATAGTAAAGGTCCGAGCACAACTAACTGAAATCATGACTGAAAAGCAATACATTGGATCAATGAAGTGAAAAGTCGTTTTTTTGAAAAGATAAACAAAATAAATAAACTGCTAGCAAGACTAATCAAGAAAAAAGATAATATATCCAAATAAATCACATAAGAAATGAAAAATGAGACGTTACAACTGATACAACAAAAATACAAAGAATCATTAGAAATTATTATGAACAACTATACGCTAACAAACTGGAAAACCCAGAGGAAATGGATACTTTCCTGAACACCTACAGTCTACCAAGATTAAAGCAGGAAGAAATAGAAAACCTGAACAATAATGAGTAATGAGATTAAATTGGTAATAAAAGGTTTCCCAATAAAGAAAAGCCCAGGACCAGATGGCTTATTGCTGAATTCTACCAAAGTTATAAAGAAAACTAGCACCAATTTTTCTCAAACTATTCCAAAGACTTAAAGAGGAGGGAATTCTTCCTAACTCACCCTATGAGGCTAGCATCACTCTGATACCAAAACCAGGCAAGGACACAATAAACAAAGAAAAATACAGGCCAATATCCCTGACGAAAGATGCAAAACTCCTTAATAAAACATCAGCAGAGTGAATCCAACACATCAAAAAGAGATACTTTTGATGGCTTTAAAATGAAGCTGAGATTCTTCTCAGCTGGACAGTGGAAAAAGCTACCCTAGTGTAGGATTTTATTAATTTGAACCTTGAAAGGTAAAAAGGGATGGATGAAAAGAAAGAGAAAATATATTTCAAATAAAAAGTGCCTGATGATGAAAGGGTGGGACACTATTGGTCTCATTGGAGTTGAGGAGGAGATCATTATGTCAGAAGAAAAAATGTGTATTGAGAATGGGAAATAACATTAAAAATAATGGTGGTCACTCTGTTGAAGGGGCTCCTACATAACATTTAATAATTTAGTGATTTCCCACAGTGCAAGGCCTGGGATGCTATTGTCTCTACTGTTCTATCTTCCTTCTCCACTAGCTATTTCTTACAGGGACATTCTGTCATGGTGAGCTCAGGGCCTGCTTGTCCTTCTGATTACACCAGTCATAACAAAGAGTAGACCAGGCTTTTCCATCCAACACACTCATCAAAGTCCATTACACTGAACTTTGACATAGCAATGCAAATAGAGACGAAAAACAACAATAAAAACAATAAAATTCTAGTAAAAAGCCAAAGATAAATTGCTCTTAAGCACCTACTCTGGTTATTCTAAAATGCTTCCCAATGTTTCTTTAAACTATAAGTTCTTAGAATTAGGGAAAAAGCAGTTTTTGGTTTAAAAGATTTTAGACTCCCAAAGAAATGTGTAAGCCTCATTTTAGAAGTTTCGAGTAGATGTTTGCACCTAATTTAATGTGCTAACCCAGTCTAATGAATTGAGTATTTCCCCAACTCAGTGCTTGGCTTTTGGATGATGAAGTGGCTTAAAATCATGACCTTGAGAAGTTCTATTCCATCAGATCAGGCCCTACTTATAAACTTCTTAAAGTTGGCATTTGATACATGGAGCTATTGTGAGCTGTGCTGTGACAACATCTTTGGATGGTTTTTTAAATTGTAGAGTCCTAAAAACTGGCTTGGTCACCAAAGCAATACAAATGCTGTCCTTATGTGTATACGAAATCCTTATGCTTGCCTCACTTTGTTTTAAAGGCACCTAATAGTATTCTGCTTAATACTTAACAGTTTGACAGAAAAGTTCATTTCAATCCTATAAATCAATGACCTTTCTAATTACAAATATTCACTGATTCTGTAAACAATGACAAACTTTCATTTGAATAACATTTTATAGTACATTTTTCTATGAAATGTGAAGTGCTTTCAAAAGGTTGCCTTATGCCATGGTAATAAAAACGTTTTAGAGCATGTGCGTTGTCAAAAGTCACTAAGGTATGTTCTTTGTAGAAAAGCACACAGCTGAGAGTTTACAGTGGATAGGACTCTGCCCTATCCCACCCACACATCTAGGTTTCAGGCTGTGTCTGTCTGGAGAAATGTGTCAGTGCTTACCTATATCTCTTTGGCACTCCAATCTCATGGAAGCCAGTCTGCTGGCTTCCAACTGCAAATACCTGTGACTCTTTGCCCAAGGGTCATCTTTCCCTGTTACAGCCCATTTAGCCCAGGCAAGAAAAGCCAGGAATTTAATATCTCCCACCTTCCCATGAGTGGCTTTCAACCCATGATCAATAGGGATGATTCCTGCATGCCTCAGCTCCCCTGACCAGCAGTGAGATAACGCCAAGATATTTTCTACACTGTCTCCCAGAGCTTCCCAGTAAGATTGCACTCGCGTTGCCCACAGTGGTTACGTGCTGAACAATGCATCCTTATTGACTCCCTTCTCTATCTCACTTTTCAATGTCCCTACTGGTAATTCCCAGGATCACTTCCCAAATAAACCATTTATACTTAAATCTGTGTCTTTGGGGTCTGTCTCTGGGGAAATCCAACTCAGGACATACTGAGACTGATTCCCACAAAGGCACAGTGTGGGTTAGCTGCAGATGTTGGGATCTGAGAAGCTGAAGAACTGGATAGAATGGGCAATGATGTAGAACCACTGTAGGCTTCTGAACAAGAGAAGGGCGTGTTGTTAAAGGAAAATGATCCTCGCTTTTGTCTACAGTTCACTTTGCATCAAGGGGAGGGGTGTGGCTGGGAAGAGCCTGGAGCCTAGGGAATCGAGTTTTATCACTATTGTTATGGTTATCTAGGGGCAGGTAAAGAGAGGTTGGATTAGTGGAGAGGAGGTTAAAATGAAAATAAGGAATATTTCTTTTTTTTTTTTTTGAGATGGAGTTTCACTCTTTTTGCCCAGGCTGGAGTGCAATGGCACGATCTCGGCTCACCACAACCTCCGCCTCCTGGGTTCAAGTGATTCTCCTGCCTCAGCCTCCTGAGTAGCTGGGATTACAGGCATGTGCCACCACGCCCAGCTAATTTTGTATATTTAGTAGAGACGGGGTTTCTCCATGTTGGTAAGGCTGGTCTCAAACTCCTGACCTCAGGTGATCTGCCCACCTCGGCCTCCCAGAGTGCTGGGATTACAGGTGTGAGCCACCGCATCTGGCCAAAAATACGGAATGTTTCTAAGGTACATGATGGAGAATCAGTGAGGATTGATGTTGACTGAGTTGGTAATGGAGGAGCAAAGAGGAGGGAGGAAGCAAAAATAACAGTCTTGGAGAACTGGGAGTATGGCAGTGCCCTTAGCGGTTTTGATCTATGTCTAATTTGTAGCCTCTGCTTACAGGGTAATATTTATTGGTCTTGAGAATTTCCTGAAGCAACCTTACAGTTCATCAGAATAGGGCTCATTTCTCCAAAAGAACAGACCCTGTGAAACCTCTGGAGATATAGTCAGTATTTCATATGAGTTTATGGATTTTTCTTCAGCCTTCCAATACATATAAAATTACTTATCTCTCTTTTCTCTGCACTGAAATCCTCCAACATGCCTTTTCCCTGAGTGAATAAAAAACACGAGCTTTTCTTAACAATAGACCTTCTAATGAGTGAGCAGAGCCACATTTTTAGTATGTCCAAGTCAGAATCTGTTTAACAATTGGTGGCCGTCTCTCAACATTGCAGCTAGTGACAGCCTCATTTACACTGGTTCAATGAAGATACTGAAATGTTCTCGGCCAGACAGTGGAAGTGAACTTACACTTTCACCAGTCCTCACTTAGCACAGATTTTCAAGCCACTTAACACCTTTCAAGTGTCTGAAAGCTAATAGAATGCTCAACACAAGGCTCCCCTGACTTTTACAGCTGCCCAGAATTTTTATTTATTATATGTCTGTGATTATTTATTTATTTTTGCTAAGAAGAAAACAGAGTGATCTTACACACTGATAACTGAGGAAGCATTTCACAGCTGGACCTTATGTTTTTTTTTCAAAGAACAGAGTTCTCTGAGCTCTAAACAAAACTTCTTATCAGACAATTACCAATATATTTTACTATTTTAATTTTGCTTTTCAGCTTATTGATTAAATATTCAGTGTGGAGGAATGGGCATTCAGCCTTAAAATGATGTAATTTTGTTACATATGAAAACAGCAAAGGACAATATGTCACTATTTGAATGAGCCAGGTGAAAAGAAACTCTATGACCTTAATTCGGCCATGTGGATAAGGGGTTCTAAAAAATTGAAAGGAGACGTTTAGGAAAATTTGCTGAAAGACCAAAAGAACAATAATTTCCTAGGGTGATAGGTTTGAGCTATTTTCTCTCCACCCTAGAAATGAGCCAAAGATGTATTTACCCACTGACCCCAAGAAAATGGCTGATCTCCAGTTGGAGGAGACGAGGATCTTTGCTTGGCCTTGTTTTATGGATGGAATTTTTAATATTCCGTCCATACAAACCTATGCATGTATTTCCAGAACATTTGTGATGAAAAGGAAAAATTATGTTCACCTTGATAAGGTTTCTTAATATTATCTCTTCCACTGGAGAATCCAGCTGATTACACTGACTTCCACCAATAACCAAGCTCCAACTACGACATAGGTCCCAGGAGTCTTAGGTAGAGCAGGCAGGTGGATGAAGTTGGCTTGAGAATTTTAGTGACCAAAACATGGCCTTCGTTAGGCTATGATTTTGGTGACTGAAAAAATAATAAGGCTGTGGATCATTATGTGGGCCATCAGGGAAGTTTCAAAGAAAGAACCATCTTCTGAATTCATTGTGGGTCGTATTTTGTCACCTTCTTCCTACTTTAGTACATACACACACACTTCTCCAAGTTAGAAGATTCGAGTTGAAGATATAAGCCTGCACTATCTAATTCAGTTCCCACAAGCCACGTTTGTCCATTGAGCAATGGGAATGTGGTGAGTGCAGACTGAGGGGTGTTGTAAAAGACACTGTGAATTTCAAAAACGTAATGGCAAGAAAAGAAGGTAAATTAGCTCATTAATAATTTTTTATATTGATTGTAAGTTGAAATGATAATGTTTGGATATATTGAGTTAAATAAATATAAAATTAATTTCAAATTTCTTTTTATTTCTTAATGTGGCTATCAGAAGATTTTAATTACATATGTTGCCAACATAATATTTCTATCAGAAAGTTCTGGAAATAAGGGACCTAAGTGCATGTAAGGGAGGAGACCACCCCTTATATTGTCTTATGCCCAATTTCTGCCTCCAAAGAAAGAAGAAGTAAAAACTAAAAGGCAGAAGTGAAATCCACAAGCAGACAGCCTGGCGCCACACCCTGGGCCTTGTAGTTAAAGATCGACCCCTGACCTAATCAGTTATTTGCATAAAAAAGCACTGTGAGGATCCCTGTCCTGTTCTGTTCTGTTCTAATTACCGGTGTGTGCATCCCCCAGTCACGTACCCCCTCCTTGCTCAATTGATCACAACCCTGTCACGCGGACCCCCTTAGAGTTGTGAGCCCTTAAAAGGGACAGGAATTGCTTACTCGGGGAGCTCGGCTCTTGAGACAGGAGTCTTGCCGATGCTCCCGGCCGAATAAACCCCTTCCTTCTTTAACTCGGTGTCTGAGGGGTTTTGGCTGTGGCTCTTCCTGCTACACATGGACTGATTTTCCTCTTCTTCATTACTTTGGAAAATAAAGAAACTGAACTTCTTACTTGTAATTCATCTGTTCACCCCTTTAATTCACCTAACAACATTGTACCTATGAATCTGATATAAAATGATGCCCATAAACCCATATAATTAATAAGGCCAGCTACTTAGAAATGTTAGTTCATAAATTAAATAGCTTTACATATGTTTTTGAATTCTACATGCATACACAAAATGATTAAGAAGGTATTTATTTTCTTATAAATTATGAAAATTCATATATTTCAACTTACTATTTTACTTATAAAAGTATGTTCTATTATTTTATTATTTGTGTCTGTTTTTTCCACTAAATTTGTTTCATTAATAAGCTAGGTTTTTAAAAACACAATTATCATTTGACAGATGCTAAATATCTGATTTAAATGATACATAATAAGAAATAAAGGATCTAGTCTCAAAGTAAATAATACTAATTTGTAAAAGCATCTTTGTGACATTTCAGTAATATATAATAAAACTGTATTTTTTAATCAATTAGGAGGCTCATATTCCAATATCCCTACCCTAACACATTGGCTTGGGTAGAAGAATTAGTTGGTGAGAACAGAGTCGTTGAACAAACAGTGACTAGCCATTTCCCATTTAAGTTGGGAACTCTTAAAATATATAAACCATTATCCTAACTATGGAAATATAAGGACATATGCACAAAGCATATGTCCTCTACTTCCAAGAAAGCATAATATAGTAGAGTGGAGAAACAGAGATCACTAAGCCGACAAGAACTATCACTCTTATCCAGATCAATGTACTCTTTTTCTACATAGCAGCCATTTTCTATGTAGCAGTCATCATGATTTTGTTAAAATAATCATATTTTATCCCTCCCACTTCTACCTTTTAAAATCCCAAAGTAGATTTTCAGTGCACTTATAATAAAATCTTACCATAACCTGCAAGACACTGCATGATGTGACCTCTGTTGCCTTTTCCATTTCACTCCCTGTCCCCTCTACCCTTCACACTCAACTCTCCAGCTGACTGATGCCTCCAGGTCTTTGCCTCTGGTATCCCTCATCTTAGTCTATTTGTGTTGCTATAAAGTAATACCTGAGTGTGAGTAATTTACAAAGAAAAGAAATTTATTAGCTCACGGTTCTGCAGGCTGTACAAGAAGCACGGCTTCAGCATCTGCTTCTAGGAGGACCTCAGGCTGCTTCTACTCACTGCAGAAGGCAAAAGAGAGCCAATGTGTGCAAAGATTACATGACAAAAGGAGAAGCTAGAGCTAGTATGTGGGGAGGTGCCAGGCTCTTTTAAAACAACCAACTCTCACAGGAACTAATGGAGTGAGAACCCAGTTGTTACAATGAGAATGACACCAAGCCATCCATGAAGGGTCTGCCCCTCTGACCCAAACACCTCCCGTTAGGCCCCACCTCTAACATTGGAGACCAAATTTCAACATGAAATTTGGAAAGGTCAAGCATCAACCTATTGCATCCCCTTTGCCTGGAACTCTCTCTTAAAGCTTAAGAATAATGGAAAATACAGGGAGAGTCAGTCTTGTGGGCACATCTGAGTTGCCTTCTCTGGCCACCCTATCTTTTTTTTTTTTTTTATTATACTTTAAGTTTTAGGGTACATGTGCACAACGTGCAGGTTTGTTACATATGTATACATGTGCCATGTTGGTGTACTGCACCCATTAACTCGTCATTTAGCATTAGGTATATCTCCTAATGCTGTCCCTCCCCCCTCCCCCCACCCCACAACAGTGCCGGGAGTGTGATGTTCCCCTTCCTGTGTCCATGTGTTCTCATTGTTCAATTCCCACCTATGAGTGAGAACATGTGGTGTTTGGTTTTTTGTCCTTGCGATAGTTTGCTGAGAATGATGGTTTCCAGTTTCATCCATGTCCCTACAAAGGATATGAACTCATCATTTTTTATGGCTGCATAGTATTCCATGGTGTATATGTGCCACATTTTCTTAATCCAGTCTATCATTGTTGGACATTTGGGTTGGTTCCAAGTCTTTGCTATTGTGAATAGTGCCACAATAAACATACATGTGCATGTGTCTTTATAGCAGCATGATTTATAGTCCTTTGGGTATATACCCAGTAATGGGATGGCTGGGTCAAATGGTATTTCTAGTTCTAGATCCCTGAGGAATCGCCACACTGACTTCCACAATGGTTGAACTAGTTTACAGTCCCACCAACAGTGTAAAAGTGTTCCTGTTTCTCCACATCAAGGTAATTTATAGATTCAATGCCATCCCCATCAAGCTACCAATGACTGTCTTCACAGAATTGGAAAAAACTACTTTAAAGTTCATATGGCACCAAAAAAGAGCCCGCATTGCCAAGTCAATCCTAAGCCAAAAGAACGAAGCTGGAGGCATCACGCTACCTGACTTCAAACTGTACTACAAGGCTACAGTAACCAAAACAGCATGGTACTGGTACCAAAACAGTGATATAGACCAATGGAACAGAACAGTGCCCTCAGAAATAATGCCGCATATCTACAACTATCTGATCTTTGACAAACCTGACAAAAACAAGCAATGGGGAAAGGATTCCCTATTTAATAAATGGTGCTGGGAAAACTGGCTAGCCATATGTAGAAAGCTGAAACTGGATCCCTTCCTTACACCTTATACAAAAATCAATTCAAGATGGATTAAAGACTTAAACGTTAGACCTAAAACCATAAAAACCCTAGAAGAAAACCTAGGCATTACCATTCAGGACATAGGCATGGGCAAGGACTTCATGTCTAAAACACCAAAAGCAATGGCAACAAAAGCCAAAATTGACAAATGGGATCTAATTAAACTAAAGAGCTTCTACACAGCAAAAGAAACTGCCATCAGAGTGAACAGGCAACCCACAAAATGGGAGAAAATTTTCACAACCTACTCATCTGACAAAGGGCTAATATCCAGAATCTACAATGAACTCAAACAAATTTACAAGAAAAAAACAAACAACCCCATCAAAAAGTGGGCAAAGGATATGAACAGACACTTCTCAAAAGAAGACATTTATGCAGCCAAAAAACACATGAAAAAATGCTCATCATCACTGGCCATCAGAGAAATGCAAATCAAAACCACAATGAGATACCATCTCACACCAGTTAGAATGGCAATCATTAAAAAGTCAGGAAACAACAGGTGCTGGCCACCCTATCTTAAGTAGCTCCCCTGTATTCCTGACAGTGACCTTGTATCTCACTTTCCTATTTAATTTTCTTTATATTGCTAACAACTACCCCAAATTATCTTTTACTTTAAATTTACCTAGTTATTTGTTGTCTATCCCTTTTCATAGAATTAAGAACACAAGCCTGATCTCTTTTATTTGATCTTTTTTTTTTCCCCAGACATATCAAAGGCCCTCAATAATTAAATGCTGGCTGACTGGATGGGTGAATGGATAAGATAGTTTCATAAGTGTAAAGGCAGAGAGAATTCAGAGTAGGGGAGGAAATAGAGATGGTATCTAATCCAGATTAGAAGTTTTCTGAAGGATATAGTACGTCAGCTGGTACATATGAATAAGCGGGAAGTGGCCAGGCAATCAGCAAAGGGTTTAAACTTCTGGGCAAAAGAGCAAGAGTCTGGTGGCTAAAAAGAGGCTGTCATGCTCAGAGAACTACTAAAAGTTGAGTCAAGCTGCAGTAAGAAGTGGGAGTAATGCTGAGACCTGAGGACAGGTAGCCAGGAAGGAGCCCACCAGTTCATAAGAGGCAACTGCATGAGAAGCCTGATTTGGATGGTATTGTAACCCCAAATGTCTGAACGTTCTGCAATATGAAGCATGCTTTGCATGTCAGCTTGCTTACTCCAGCTCAGTGTTTAAGCTGCTTATGAGATTGTAAACTGAACAAAATCAGGGCCGTCCCCCACCCCTTGGATTCTTCTTTACTTATAACACAATGCCTTATACAAGGTGGGCTTCCAGCAAATGCCTATTGAGTTGAATTGAGTCCTTTCTCTTATTATTTTTCACACTGTTATCTGAACTGATATTTGGGGCTGTCTAGACTATTCTGAGATATCACACAAAGTGCAAGAATAACTCATGCTCCATTGATCCTCCATAATAGTTACTTTGAATAAATATGGAGGACGGACATGCACAATAAACTGACATGCTCCACAGCTTTTGACTATGGAAGAATACCATACTGACAATAAAGAAGGCCCGGAAGGGAGCTTTCAGAGATGTGGATAAGATATTTCTCCCCCTTGAGTTGAAACAGGAAAAGGGAATCCAGTTCTTGGTATATTGGATTTAAAAAAAAAAAAAATACACTCGTCTCAAAAGTCTGCATCCTTGCAAGAATTATCAATTCTGAAATGCCTGTTCATTTTCCACAGATTAGTCTTCATTAGACACAATTTTAGCTAGGTATTCAATTGCATTTGTTTGAGTAGGTAAGTAGAAACCAAGTCTCAGTGATCAGAATTTTAGTACAGAGCTAACTTAAGTTGTTTGCTTTTGTCTCTTCAACGTTAGAAGGACAAATGGTGCCTTGATTTTACACCACTTCATAAATAATTTTCTAGAGCCACATTTTTTACAACAGACTGAAACAAACAGGCCTAGATCTGGTTCTGATTATTATGACAGAGAAATGTGAATACAATAGAGAAATGACATATTAATCATAGTGATGTTTGATATGCTCACTTGGAATGTGAACTAACAGGTTCAGGTACCCCAGAAATATCTCAAAGACTTCTTTTATAGGGCTGATTCCCCCCTTATTATGGAAAGCTATATTTTTCCTATATATTTTATTAATTCCCTATGTCTTTATTTCAGTGTAGAACATATTCCTTTAATCATTAGCATGCACCAACCCCTCCCCAAAAAAAGCACAAGCTAAAGCAAATTTATAGAAACCCAACTTGAATTCTAACTCAGCAACTCAAAACCATTGGACATTTCTAAATTTTTTATGTAACCATGACTTCATCTGAAATTCTGTTGCTTACACGTCTTGCTACTTCTTAAGCTCACTTTTCTAAAATGATGAATGCTCATATAAAAGGCAAAACAAGGCAGCCCTGTAGAGACATGTTAAGTCTACAAGTCAATTGATTTCCTATGAGAAACTTTTGAGCTAGGGAAGCAGGGACTCAGGAAAGTTTTGTTTCTTGTTAGATGCCAGCTGAATAGAATTAAATATATTGTCACACCTTGAATATTAAAATATCCTGGCTGGATGCAGTGGCTCACACTTATAATCATAGCATTTTGGGAGCCTGAGGCAAGAGGATCACTTGAGCTCATGAGTTCAAGACCAGCATGGGAAACATAGTGAGATCTTGTCTCTATAAAAAATATTAAAAATTAGCCAGGCATGGTGGCACATGCTTGTGATCCCAGCTACCCAGGAGGCTGAGGTAGGAGGATCACTTGAGCCCAGGAGTTCAAGGCTTCAGTGAGCAGTGACTGGGCCACTGCACTTCAGCCTGGGAGACAGAGGGAGAGATCCCCGTCTCAAAACAACAACAACACAATATCTTGAACTTCAGATGTTTTAATAGAGACAGTGTGATACATGTGTACATAGGGAAGAAACTAGCCCACGGAGTTCACTATTACATAAAACAGCATGGTTTACCTACCATTGCTTTTATTAAAAGTTTTTGTTTTTCCATGTTCATGTTGTTTTTGGAAATATATTGTAAAGTAATATTGTCAAGTAAATAATTTTCTCAAGGGAAAAATAACAATTAGAAAAGAGGTAAGACCCCTTTGCTCTGATACCCTTAACCAAGTTAATTGAGGAGAGAAGTAGAAATAGGAAGAGAAGAAGAGAGGAAGGACAGAAAAAAAGAAAATATATGAGGGTAAAATAACATCACTGCAGGAGATGTTGCCCGTGCCCTGTTCACATTGGACCTTAACACTTTACTATGCTCCACACAATTTTTAGCTTCCAGTATCTGCAACTCTGTTGCAGGGGTTCTTTTCCATTATAGTGGAAACCTTCCTGGTCAGCAGAAGACTACTCTGCACATGGCAGGCTGCCAGTGACAAGAAATTAACATCCCTTAAAACCTTTCCCTCAATCAGTGATTCTCTAGTGTATCAATACCCCAGCTCCCCTCCTCTTGGCTGCCATAATTCTAAGCTTTCTCTTATACACCACATCTCAGAGCTTCTCTGTAGCAGTAAGCTCCAGTGACCCATTGTAGTAGCTGGCTTAATAATTCACCCATTATTGATTGCTTTGCCTCTCTGTGTTACTTCACCACTCTTTCCATGCTCCCTGGGATCACCTCCTAAATAAACCATTTGAACTTATATCCTAGTCTTAACACTATGCCCCTGGTGGAACACAAATAAGATAACTACTATTTCTGTTCATAACAGTTTGTCCTTGGACTCCATTCATTAGAATTGTAATGGCTTCTATTATTAAGACCTGTACAAACTTTTTCATGATACTGCACTTACCTGGGTTATGCATTCTCCCTGCTTTCTTCAATATCCATCACAGGTGTTTCATAAATATTTTCTGAGTGTAGACTAATTCCACCAGTGCAAAGCTTTTGCTACAGCACAGTTCTGGCACACAGTCTGTGCTTACTAAATGTTTTATCAGATGAAGTGTGATGATTATGCCTTTGGCAGTGGAAAGGTCTTTATTCAACTTTTAATTATGTCCAGAAGAATGGCAGAATATGTAGTGTTTGCAACCATCTGGTTGAAATCCACCTGCTTACACAGGTATTTCAGGGCAGAGGGGGTACTTTATCCATCTTAGCATCTGGGAATAATTTATCATAGAGGCCAACTTGCAAAATCAGTCACTCTGGATGCCTCATCCCTTTCAAATGAAAAGGATTTGGCTTCAAGTGCTGGACATGGAAACTGAGAATGCAGTGACTCATTTCTTTAAAAATGTGAATATGAGAGAGGAAGATTTTTATCACTCAAAGTGCAGCACGGTGAGAGCTCGCCTGAGTTAGGTAAAATGCACATAACTTATTTTATGGACACCTCTCTAAAGTGCCTTAAAGCTTAAAGGATAAAGAACCCAGTGGGTTTTCGTTTTGTTATATGCCCCAAGGCTGAAACTCTGTGGCATATTTTAACAGAGTTTTTAAATGGCAAAACAATAGTTCTTTTTTTTTTTAATGTAGTCTAAAATAAAATGGAACTCCAGACCTGTGTGCGACAGCTGGTGTTCATATGACACTGTTAGATGCCTCCTTTTATCCCAATCTCAGTCTCCCTTGGGTAGACAAGAAATGGGAGAGAATAGTCAAAAGTAAGAAACACTTCTACTTGAGTGACATCTTCCTGATCGTAGCAGAATGAAATATTATGACAGTTGTCCAGGTAGTTCTAAGTTTTGAAATTTTTTACTAAAATATTCAGATATAATGGAAGCAAGGACTTCCTGGAAAAATTATCTCCTCAATTATCTTTTTTAAGTTGAAGTTATATGAGTCTGACTTTTAGACTTCTAGTCAAATTATGCAACTTTTCTTCTTCTGCCAGTCAGCTTGTTGCCACTGATAAGTAAAATGGGATTCTAGAAGTTAACAGGGTTTGAGTTTTTTTCCATGATGTTGATTATTAGATTTCAAAACTTTTAAATCTTAAGTTTATTTACATAATTAGTCAATTGTAACCTGAATATCTGAGGAGTTATTAATGTGTCAAGCTGACATTATTTAATCATCAGAAAAGCTATCTTTCCTTCCCCAGTCCATCTCTCCGTCTCCCTCTGCGTGTGTGTGTTTGTGTGTGTGTATCTCTTTCTGTCTCTGTCTCTCTCTACATATATTCATTATATGTATATAATACATATACATCACATATATGATCCTATTTGGCCTGACATACTATACCCATAGGACTAACTTAAGTAATATGAGAAGAGTGAGAAGAGTTCATGGTAGGAAGGTCAATGAATTGATATATTGCAAATTATCTGGTAGATAATGCAGCTGCTTCTTCCACTTAGCAAATAATGTTTTCTGTAAGTGTTCTGTGATCAAGACATAGCCTGCAATGACTTTTGTATGCTAGGTCAACTCCATCGAACCCCCAAATTGTACTGGAATCAGACTTTTTCATTAATTCATGCAAACCAGCCTGAATTCTACTGGCAACCATGAAACACTTACCTATCCATACATGGCATAGTCTTCGAATTCTCATTTGTTTCTGATTTTAACCAAAAAAAAAATAGATTTTCATCATTTACAAGCCATAGCAATACACGTTGCAGTCACTAAGCTAAACTCATTACATGCAAGTAGATTAATCATTCATAGACCTTATAGCTTATCAAAAGACCTTGATAACTCCCACGGCTTCTTCCTTCTGCTCCTTCGATATTTGACAAGCAAACTTATATCTGATACTGATAGATGATCAACCCTCTTGTTAGTTTGACCCCAGGCAGCAGGACTTCATTAGCTCCAGTCTGTACTAGGCATTACGATGGTAAGTCCAGATGCAAAGAAAGGATATAGCAGGATCCCTGTCTCCCATGTACTTATGGCCTTGCTGGAGAAAGAGGACTTTAACCTGTAAAAGACCAAGACAATTTTGTGAAAACAGATAGAAACTCTGGTAGTGATAAATTGATAAACCCTGATGGTAGAGACTTTGTCTAATGGCTTAAATGAGGTGCCATGTTCGTGCCAGCGAGAATTCAATACCTACTTGTCCACGCACAAAAAAAAACGATGCTCGTTACCTGATCTCATGGAGTTCAATGAGAGCGGAGGCTAAGCCTTTGTAAGTTCTCAAGATTCTTCTCACAAGTTGTGGGCTCAATTAACATGTCTTGTTATAGAACTTTTATTGGTTGGTGTTTGATCTGGTTATCCATACTGTACACAAAAGTCGCTGTCAGCTGAAGAGGGAATGCTTCAAGTACTCAGTTTTCTCTTAAATCAAAGCAAAGATAAACTTCTTATAATTATTTTTCTGCAAACCAATTTATAAAGCGCACTCATCCCAATAATAAGTGACAAGAAAGAAAGAGATAGGCTGTGTTTATTTGAAATATCCTACTATTCCTCTGATACAGCACTGTTGTTAGATTCCTTTAGGAAATATTAGAATCTTTCTCACAATTGATCAGCCTCCCTGAATGTGCCCACCAAAAAATTAGTTCTTCAGAGCAGATTTTGTATTGGCAGTTTGCTAAACACGATACTTTCTTCTGAAACTCACTTATGCAAGCTTGAATGGTATCTAATGAGTTCATACCAAACTATGCCCAAAATGAAATCCAAGCCTCATTTCTGACATACCATTGTTCACCATGCCCGATATCTTACTAAGTTCTGTTAATTTTTCTTTCCTAATGCCTCTCACAACTGTTTCTTCTCTTAATCCCTGGTGCCAGTATCTTAGGTTAGACCACCACCATATCTCTCCTGGATCACCACCACACCCTTCTAATCTCTCTGTCTATATTTTTGCCACCATCCTCCTCTCCATCTCACCCTTTAAAGTCCAGATGAAGGTTTTAAATTGCAATTTTAATTGGGTTCTTTCCTCCCTAATTAGTTTCAGAATAAAGCGTAGGTGCATCCTCAGTGTGGCCTGGCCTGGCCCTGCCCTTCCTTCAGCCTTACTTCTTGTCATTTTATTATTTGAATGCCAGTTACCTACTGGACCACTTCTTGTTCCCCCAAAAGCTATGCTTTCTTTTTCCTCGAGGATTTTCATAGCAGGGTCTCTTCTCTGCTCTTCCTTCATGCCTTGGGGAACCCTTGCTCATTGTTCAGGACTCAGCTTACATGTTTTGTCCCACCCTGTGGTGGCTTTTCCTGGTCCCTCAAGGCTGTTGCTGGAAAGGGGTCCCAACCTAGACCCCAAGAGAGGGTTCTTGGACCTTCCTCAAGGAAGAATTCAGGGAGAGTCCAAAGAGTAAAGTGAAAGCCAGTTTATTAAGAAAGTAAAGGAATAAAAAAATGGCTACTCCATCAGCAGAGCAGTGGCATGGGCTGCTCGACTGAGTATACTTATAGTTCTTTTTTGATTGTATGCTAAACAAATTGTGAATTATTCGTGAGTTTCCTGGGAAAAGGGTGGGCAATTCCCAGAACCGAGGGTTCCTCCCCCTTTTAGACCATCTAGGGTAACTTCCAGAAGTTGCCATGGCATTTGTAAACTGTCATGGCACTGATGAAAGTGTCTTTTAGGATGCTAATGTATTCGAATTAGTGTATAATGAGCAATGAGGACAACCAGGGGTCACTTTCACTGCCACCTTGGTTTTGGCTGGTTTGGGCCAGTTTCTTTACCACAACCTGTTTTATCAGCAAGATCTTTATGACCCCTATCTTGTGCTGACCTCTTATCTCATCCTGTGATTTAGAATGCCTTAACCTCCTGGGGATGCAGCCCAGCAGGTCTCAGCCTCATTTTACCCAGTCTCTATTCAGGATGAAGTCACTCTGGTTGAAACTCCTCTGAAAAGACTGGCTTTAGTATCCTGCTGATATGCTCCTGGAGCCAGTGCCCTGTGCTAATAGATTCTATCACAGCACTGACCACGCTCTAATGATAGCAATTGTTAACTTGTTTGTTTCTCTCACCAAGAAGTCACGAACTGTGGCTTTTTTTGGTTATGCATTCCCTGCAGCTGGTACTATGTGCCAGTTCAGCAAATATTTGCTTGACAAATGAAGTCAAAGCCGTGAAGTTATTACACAACTAGTAATTGGAGAAGCAGGGATTCAAAAGCAAGCTCTTTGATACCATGTGACGCAACAATCTCTCTGCCAGGTATATGCCCAAAGTAGATGAAATCACTACCTTGTAAAGATATCTGCATTTTCATGTTCATTGCAGCATTATTTGCAATAGCTGGGTTCTGAAAACAACCTGTAAATTGATGGATGAATGCACAAAGAAAATGTGGTGTAAATCTGTATCTATATATTTATATATATAAAAATATATATATTTATATATACAAACATATATAAATATTTACATAGTATAGAGAGATATCAATATATATTTTATATATAAGTATATAAATATATATACTTATATATAAATATAAATATATAAGTATATAATTATATAAATGTATATAAATAAATAAATATAAATATAGATAACATATATAAAATATTTATATATATTTATATAAATATAAATAAGTATATAATTATATAAATATATATAAATATATAAGTATATAAATATATAGTTATATTGATATATAAATATATATCTATATCGATATATTTATATGTCAATATAGGTACATAAACATATATATAAAATATACACACACAATGGAATATTATTTAGCCTTAAAATGGAAGGAGATCCTGCCATTTACCACAAAATAGATGGGCATGAAGGACATTTATGTTAAGCAAAATAGGCCAGATGCAGAAGATAAATTATTGCATAATCTCACTTATATGTGCAATCTAAAAAAAAGTTCAGATATTCAGAGAGAGATAATAAAGCTATCCAGGGGTTGGGAAGAGGGGGAGGAAATGGAGAGATATAGGTCAACAGATACAAAGTGGCAGATATATAGAATGAACAACTCCAGAGACTGAATATACAGCATGAAGGCTACAGCTAATAAAATTGAATTTTGGATTTTTGTTAAATAAGTAGATTTTTGTTATTCTCACCCCAATAAAAAAGAACTGTGTGAGATGATAGATATGTTAAATGGCTTCACTGTAGTACCTATTTTACTATCTATATGTATCCCATAATATCATGTTGCAAATCTTAAATATACACAATAGATTTTTTTTTTAAGCAGCTCTTTAAACCTCAACTATACCATGCTCTATATCCTAGGAGAAGCGACACTGTGTGCTGAAGCATGAATGGGTACAGTTAAAGTCTTTCCATTAGCCATCCTCCACCCCTCTGCCCGTCTTTTTTCTTTTTGGCAGGAGTAGGGGGTGGGGGCGAGGACAGGGTCTTGCTCTGTTACCCAGGCTGAAGTGTAGTGGCACAGTCTCACTGCAGCCTCAACCTCCCAGGCTCGAGTGGTCCTCCCGCCTCAGCCCCTTGAGTATTTGGGACTACAGGAGCACACCACCACACCCAGCTAATTTTTATTATTTTTGGTAGAGACAGGGTCTCACCATGTTGCCTAGGCTGGTCTCGAACTCCTGGGCTCAAGCGATCCTTCCTCCTTGGCCTCTCAAAGTGCTGGGATTACAGTCATGAACCACTGTGCCTGGGCCCTTCTGCCAGTTTTTAGTACAGTAGTTTGAATATTTTTAGAAGATGGGCTGTGTGTCTAACTAAAACCTAATCGAGTGATTTATGCTAAAATTGTACCTATTCTCAATGGCCTGTCAGAACTGGGAATAAGCCCTTTAAAATAAAATCAGCTTTGATATATATTTTCTTAAATGTGTTCACTGCTATCTTTTCTCTGCCTGAGAATTCTGCTAAGAAAACCTCCCAGCAAGGATAGCTTGTTTTAAGTTTTTTATAGTTTCTCCCATTGTCTTTTCATTGTCTCTGTCACTCCTTAAGATGTCATCTGAGCTTTATTAATATGTATTTGGTAATTTGTATTCATGCTATATCAACATGAGAAATAAAAGAGTCTCTCAGTTTTAGACTTCAGAGCCCCAAGTCGCCTGAATATATAGCCACCTAAATATGTTGTACTCAGCATTGGGACTAAGCCCCTGCTGTTCACATTACACAATGGAGCACCTTTCTGAGAGGCTAGCATTTACCTCTCCAGACATGTGTGCCATCAAATAGATCCACAGACACAGATCCTTGGTCATACTGCAAATATCTTCTCTGTGGTTTGCCTTTTTATTCTCTTAGTAGTGTCTTAATGACCATAAATTCTTAATTTTAATAAAATTCAGTTCTTCTCCTTTATAGTTACTTCGTGTATATATTTCCTTAAAGCATTGCTTGTCTTCATATTAAGTTGTACAATATTTTGTGTAAATTATTTTAAAACATTTCTTCATTTTACTATTTTATTTAAAATGTAGTTTCTAAATATCCAGCAATTTTCCTCCTTTGTTTTATAAGTCCCTCACTCCGCAGGACATATTACAAATTACTTGGTTGTAATTTGTATTTCTATTTAATATTTATTATAAATTATTAGATATTTTAAAATTTAGTTTTGAAGACAAGAAAGTATATTGGGTGCTAATAATACATTTCTGACCCTGACATCACCATGATAGCTTTGCATTAAATACAGTCTGGGCCGGATTTGGAAATGCTAACTTTTAGTTTTCTTATTGAAATAAATTGTATATACTTGCATGTACAGTCAACCCTCTGAATCTGTGGGCTCCATGTCTGTAGATTCAACTAACCTTGGATTGAAAATGTTCAAAAAATGGATAGTGTGTCCGTATTGACCATGTACACGCATCTTTCTTGTCATTATTCTCTGAACAATACAGTATAACAACTATTTACATTGTATTAGGTACTATAAGTACTCTAGGGATGATTTAAAGTAACAGGAGGATGTGCATAGATTATATGCAAATAGTATGCCATTTTTAATAAGAGGATGGAGCATTGTGGCTTTTGGGATCCAAGGGGGTCTTAGTCTTAGAACCAGTCCCCTGTGGATACCGAGGGACGACTGTATACCATATGAAGAGTGTGAAAACTGCATTATTTTATAGGACTGCATCTTTCAATGTAATGTCAGGACTTGAACTGTGCAACAGTTAGGACACTCAATCTAGAGCCCTGGAAAGTACATGAACTACATTGAAATTCTGTCAAATAATTATTATGCGATTGCTGTTTCACTTTTAGTCAAGAAGCATTGAAAAAACAAGTAGCCTCATTAATCATTGAAAACATCAGAATGAACTTTGAGGATCAGGAATTTAGGGACATGCAGATCTGGTCAATTGGCCATTATAATGATACAAATTAAAGCAAAGTCCAGCAGGGAAAATAATCCAGCTTGAATCCTGGGATCTATTCTTGTACCTTTGTGGCGTACACTTACCAGACAACAGATCTAAAATGTGGTGTGTATGTTTTACAATACTATATTAATATAAACTATATTAATAGTCTCTAAGCCAAATGATATGTGATACATCCTAAACTTTTGTTTGAATAGTTGAATTTTTCTTTATTGTTTTCATGGATAGTTAATGAAATAGTTATGATAAAATATACCATGTTTGAAGTCATAACTTAATTACATTTATTAACAAGAAATAGTAATGTACAGGAATGAAACTGAAAGTTATTGTGCAATTTACTATTATCTTTTATGGATAGAACTGGTTACAAGTAACAAATGTAAATTTTTACATTTGCATGTAAGAAGATAAGTCCTAACAGCATTATTGAATGATAACATTATTGAAATAACTTTAATTTCACTAAATTGATCCACATTTGCTATTTATATAGAGAGAAGACCAACTGTGATTTTTATATACATATTTGAAATTATCCATCAATATCACATGGAATATTCAATCTGGCCTTTTGCGGGAGGAAGAAAGGAAGAGATTTTAGAGACTAGGAAAGGACAGCAAATTAGGAAAGAAAACCGCAGATACAGCAGATAAGGGAGGAAGAGGTGGATTATCTACCTCAGTGACAATTTACATGCTGAATTATACTAATTTCCCTGTGTTCTGTGATGCTCAGTAAATGAGACTCTGCTGATGTTCCTATAGGCCATGAACCAGCCGGCACGTTGGTTTCCACTACAACACCTACAAATAAACTGCTGAGTTAAAATCTATTATAGCAGAGAATGGCTTATGACCCACAGACAATCATTCCTCTTCTAAATATATTCACAAATGCCTCATAAATGTTTGCTTGGGCATTTTATTTAGAAGCAACATGGATAAATATTTGAAAGAGTATTGCTAATGACAAAGCAAAAGTGAACTATAAAATAGCTTTAACGATGACTTTAAAATCTGCACTTTTCAAATCAAGCACTCACTAAGGAAAGACAGGAAAATATAAGATAGCAGCAGGTGAGCTCTTCGTGTGTGTGTGTGTGTGTGTGTGTGTGTGTGTGTGTGTGTGTGTGTCTATAGCTGTCTATGCGAAGCAAATCATATTTGCAAAATAAGACCAATATCTGCTGAATAGAAAAGAGCTGCATTGAACAGACATATCTGCCAGAAAAATCTGGGGTTGTAATTTAGGTTTTATAGTCCAAGAATGACTAGATTGCTTTTAAAAGCACTACTTCTTCAATGCTTTTATTCCATTCTTTGATCAAACATGTCAGCCAAGGAAGAAATGGTCATTTATTTCTTTTGAAAGCAGGAAAAAAAGAGATTTACATTAAATAGCGGTCATCACGGCGTTCGTAAGTTTCCAACTATTTATCAACATGCTTGGTTCGCAACTGCAATTCACTTAATTGGACTTGCATCTTCAGTAACACTGCAGCTTCCATACTGGAGGTGGTAGAGTTATTCTAAGCCATGGGCAGGCTGGTCAAATGTACATATGGCTGTGTAATTGTCAGAAAATGTCCTCGTGTCAGACGGGGCCATGGCTTATAGTGAAAACAATCCTGTTAGTGCTTCTGCAGCATATGAGGAGACAGCTCCACTTTATTAGTGAAATTACACTGGCCATGGATGACTGGCTGTCTTGATCATTTACAGGCCAATTGTGAAGCCACTGATGAAATCACTGGGCAGCCCAATCCAATTCAGTCATTAAGACAACTGGAGTAACCAGACTGTAAAATGGTTGGTCTGGTTATTTCTTAATGATGTAATTGGATAGACCAGAGGGAGATCCAATTAATTGCTGAGCAATTGGTGGCTATGGTGGTCTCACTGATAAGCTCAGCTGTCAGTGATGGACTTGAATTGACTGTACAGCTTCCTGATCAATTGTACAAGTTACTCTTACCAAGCTGGGGGTTGGGGAGAATTGATTTAATTTTGGTGATTTCATTGAGCCCACTGATAAATCACATATCTTAAGTGTCTCTCTCTCTCTCTCTCTGTGTGCGTGTGTGTGTTTGTGTATGTGAATGTGTGTGTTATTTTCTCAATTGCAATATATTTGTGAGATATCAGTGATATATAATGCTATTTTAAGATATGGTTATTTTACCTTGCCAGTGTATATTTCATTGGAAAAGTCTATAGGCTCTTGTAGAGATCTGTAGGGCAATTTGTTACTTTCTAGAATAGGAGGGGAAATGCAAGCTTGAATGAAAATTATGTGTTTAGAAGGCGGGAAAGCAAAGTATTTTTTCTTCACCCTTTATGCCCAGTCTGTGAAGTTCACTGCATGGTTACTGCAGCCTATTCATGACATAGTGATGCTAGATATTCTTCTGCTTTGCTGAGTGGCCTGTGAAAAGAGCTTAACACCAGTGTAGCCTGGCATGAGGAAGTAAATGATTGGTATAATATTTTGGGGAACAAATATGCAGCCGATGAGTATTTCAGCTCTCCCCCACCCATTAAGAGACACTGTCCATGGAAATATCCCTTCAAAGAAAAGACTTAGTTACTCATGCAAGCTCTTCTTGGCCAGGGCCTGTGTGAGGACTTAATTCACTATATCCACCACTCAACCATGCCTGGAATAGACGCTCATTAATGTTTGTTGATTTAGTGAAGGAATATGTTCTTAAGATAAATTTCTTTCTGAGAGTTGATGCCAAATAAGTATAAAAAGGTACATAACTGTGGAGTTTTTACTTATTCTAAGAAAATAAATAAATTTATGAGTTGGAAGTGTGACTTGTTGAGGTGATTTAGGCCACCTGTGATTTTTCTAATGATGGTCCATTGACAAGTGCCAATCTTTGACAATGTTCTCACCAGGCCAAAGCACAATGAGAAAAACATAAGAATAATGGTTTTGAGAGATTAAAAATGTCTGCAAATTTTTTGTCATGCCCCCCACTGAAAGGTGGCATCTCTTTCCTTTTCTCTTAAATCTGGGCAGCCCTTGTGACTACTGAACCAGGTTAAGCCTAAACTTTAGGGGGACTAGAAGCTTCTGCCTCCTATGTTGAATGCTTGCTCTTGAGACACTCCCTTCCAGGACACAGGCATCATACTATGAAAAGCTCAAGCCACATGGCAAAGCCACACATAGATGCTCTGGTCCAAGGCTGAAGCTGATCTCCCAGCCAATGCCAGCTGACTTACATTGAGACCCATTGAGACCCAAGCTGAACTCAGTCCACCCATCCAATTGTAGACATGATAAAATGGTTTTTTTTTGTTGTTGGTTTTTTTTTTTCGAGACAGAGCCTCGCTCTGTTGCCCAGGTTGGAGTACAGTGGCCCAATCTTGGCTCACTGCAAGCTCCGCCTCCTGGGTTCAAGCCAGATAAAATGGTTTTTTAAAGCCACTACATTTCAGGTCAAGTTGTTCCCAGCAATAGATAGATACTAATGATATGTATTGAATATATACTACAACAATGATGCATATTCTCCTTTGTAAGAATTGTCACCTCTGATTTTCTGAGGATTAGCTATTCAGAGACGCTGTAGTTCTTGCTTTCTTGGTGTTGGAATATCCTTTCTTTTTGGCATGATGGCTAGAGAAGATATCAGTGATGTATGTAGATGTATGTTTTTAACTGGAATAAGAAAAAGTTGAGATTCATGAAGAGCAGTCAATGTTTTCAGCACCCTTCATTTATCTATAAAATTCAAATTCTCTGCCCAAATCCAACTTCACACCCTCTGCAGGAATTCCCCCTCATCCAGGGCCATCCTGAAGATTACCAAACTTCTGCTCAACCTATTCCAGTGGAAACAACTGATTCATCAGAAGGCAGTGCTGTCTGCCTTTAAACATCTGTGATTATAAAGAAATACAGTAATATAAAACTTTGATCATAAAGAGAAGTTTTGCACAGATATTTGTAATTCTTAATTTAAAGAAATATTCCGATATTGTTAATTACACACACCAACACATTTGCAAGGAATCTCTGGACTTCAGATACCTCACTTCAAATTGTATTATTTCACATTATTGTTGTTGTCTCTGATAAGGGAATACGCATGGGGGATGGGAAGTGGCAGTGGGAGGTGTTGGGGAGGGAAAGGTGAAAAAACACCACATTTACTGAAAACATACTATGTGCTAAGTTCTACTGCATATGCCAGACTCTCAAGAACTTGGAGGTTTTAGAAGTTCTTTAATGCAGACATTTCCATAAAGATGTATGTTTTCCCTACAAATCAAACATTTTATGAATAAACATTATTTAACTCAAAGCTTTTTTTAAGCTTTTGAATGGAGAAGAAGTCTCATCTACCTTGAAACATTATTGCTATGAAATTATTTTATTCCAAAGTCAATGGATTTGTTTTTTACAAAAAGCTTAAGTAAAGGCACTCCTGAACACAAATTCTTTTATCAAACTACTTTTGTCACAAAGGTGTTTAGTATAATGCGTTATAAATTATATGAGTGCAAAATATGAAGAGGAAAATGTGTCTGTACAATGGACATTAGGAAAAATATAAGTAACAAAATAATGTGACGTGAAGCTTATCTTTGAAATGATACGGCATTTACTTCTACCATATGTGTTTGCTACGGTCCTTCTAAAGTTCTCAGCATTTTTAATAACAAAAAATGTGGCTGACATATGAACTTTAGCTCTTACAGCATTAACATATTCCAGTACTAGTGAACAGTTAAAGGAATAATAAGTGAAATAAGGTGTGTTTGTCATTATTAGTGAGAATATGGAGCCCTGAATTATGGTAAATAGTGAACTAATTGCCTTAAAAATGGTAGAACTTTTCTTTTGGGTAGCTGTTTCTTGAAAGCCATTTTCTTCCTTAGAAACTGTTTTCAAAAACTGCCATCTTCCTCACAGATATAACCTTCATTCCAGCAGTCATTGGTCTATAACAAAGCTTTTCAAAGATAAGAAGAAAAACTATGGTAGTACTTCAGTGAATGTCACTTGACTGCAGACTCATTTTTCTAATTTTTCAGAATAAAGATATCCATGATTTATACCCAATTCAAGAGGAGACTTTGGATCATTTCAATAAATATTAAGGGAGATTATGTATATAAGATATTATTTAGATAAAAGGATTATTAAATACCTCAGATACCTTTTCCTATGACACACCTGTTAAAGAAACAAAATATTCTGTACAAGTCTACTCTTCATAGGAAATAAGATGAAAATTGCAAGAAGTTTCTTCAAAACCCACCTGATGTTCTTTGAAATAAGATGAAAATTGCAAGAAGTTTCTTCAAAACCTACCTGACATTCTTTGAAATGGAAGAAAAAAATGCTATGTTTACGTACATACCTTTAGAAGAAGAATAAATATTATTCTCCTTGTCCGTTGCCTTTCCCTCTTTTGTTTATAGGGATGGGGTTGAGGGGGGACTTTGGGAGAGGTCTCCAGAATTAATGAATGGAATCAATCATCTAGAAAGTTATCAGCATGAACTAAACTCTTAACAGCAGACTGTGGAGGTGCTGACTACCTTTCATGCTAATTGACTGCCAAGGCACCCTAACTAGCCATTTGCATAGGGCATTGTGGTAGATGTGGCTCTGAAATGTGCATCTCCACAGCAATGGAGCAAGTTCACCTGCCTGAAGAATTGACAGAGTTGCTAGCCCAGAATGCATGGCTTCTGGAGACTTCTCAGGAATTTCAGCTGGATGGTCCAGCTCACTTATCATACTAATACCAGGTTAGAACAGTTACCTTAGAATCTTTGTACATTACCAGAGAAAATCTAGAAGTACAATGCTTCAGTTAGACAGGAGGAATAAGTTCTGGAGGTCTATTGTACAGAATGATGGCTGTAATTAATAATGTGTTGTGTATTTGGAAATTGCTAAGAGAGTAGATTGAAATATTCTTATCACAAAAATGATAAGGATATGAGGTGATGAATATTAGTTAGCTTGATTCAATCATTCCACAATGTATACATATATCAAAACATCACATTGTATACCATAAATGTATCTTTCTCATTTATCAGTTTAATAAAATATGGATAAAACTTAGTTTGGGGACAAGTAGGGTCATTTCACATTGCCTTGGTTTCTTTTTGGTGATAAGTGTTTACAACATATATGAAAGTAGAAAAAAGTTTGATGGCCAAATTTAAACTTACCTCTCATATGTTCCAGAAACACCACTGCCTCCCCTCAAAATGATCAGATTCTACTCTACTTCCGTTCAAAGGTACAAGGTAACAAATATACTGACATTTGCTCTTGAAGGGAAGAAAATCAGATTTCTGCCAATTTAAAGCCATGAACAAATGTCAGAATTAAGATCAGTTTGTTGGATGAGTTTGTAATTCCACATGCAAAAGCTAAAATATTTTCACGGTGGATTTTACTGTCCTATGTGGCAATGCACCCATGAGTAGATTGGGTTCACTGGGTACATTCCAAAGGGCCATCTAAAATGTGTTTTCTGGTTTTCGTCATTACATGTTAAGTTTTTGAACACTAGTGGTCATATATTACCTGTGTTCAGCAACACGCTGCTTATACTGTTGTTGAAAAACTGGTTAACATTTAGTAGGCACTTAAATATCTATTGAATAAATAGTGGGGATGCATGACTGCATTACATGCTTTAATCTCAGGACATCCTTTAAGTTCAGAAATAATCCTATGAGCTGTGATTGTTCAATGGTTTGTAAATACCATAATTTTTTAGAGAAGATTGTTATTTTAAAATGTTGGTGTTTCACCTGCCTGTTATTTACAAACAATTCTTTTCAATGATGTTCAATAATTATTCAATTAAAAATTACCTTTTGCCCCAGTCAGTATTTAGGTGGAGTAGATTGTTCTGGTATTTATCTGATTATTATCGGAAAAAAAAAACTGAAGTTGAACTGGTGTCAGAGTGGATATATATTTACAGGAAAAGGATATTACTGTTCCTCAAAAAGCATTCCTAGAACTTTGCCTATGCTGCTTGAAGCTATTGCTTAACAGTTTCTTCCCATCTTATACTCAGATTTTACCATGTCCCTTAGCTGTAAGGTTTTCTCCTTCTCTCCTATCCCAGGAAATCCATTGCAGCAACTTATCAGTAGAACACATCGTATTCCGTGTTGTCTCACCAGTTGATGGTTTAATTAGCACCTAGTTACAAACTAAGTAGAATCATTCATGGAAAACATGGATCTAAAAACAAAACACAAATCATTCATCCAGGCCGTAGATACTATAAACTACGTGTAATGACAACTGTGATCTCCTGGTCCCACCCCTTGACCAGCAAGCTGTCCTGAAGATGCTGTTTGAAGATTCTCAAGTAGGCTCCAGTTGGTTCCTTCATTCAAAGGCCCAAATTATGGGGAGCTCATCTTTGATCCTCTTTAAGTTCTACATTCAATAAACTTATTCATTCATTCATTATTTGTTTTACTCATTCAAAAAGCATATGAAGTGCCAGAGACACAGAGAAAGCATTCTCCACAGTCACACTCTTAAGTTCCTTTGGGTGAGGGTGGCAAGCAGTGGACATAACAGGTGAATGAAAAATTGCAAAACAATATGATAAGTGTTACAGCTGAGCTATACAAGGGCAATGTGAGCATACAGAAGGGATTTAACTAACTCAGCCTAGAGGAGCATGGTTAAAGCAGGAGTTGAATCTGGAAGGAAGAAATTTTGAAGGAAGGATGAAGAAAAAGACTTTGCAGACTCAAGGAATAGGATGCACACAGCTGCAAGGCAAAATGATGGCATGTTCCAGAGTCTGCAGGCAGGTGTGTATGAACAGAACGGAGGACGGGTTTGAGGGGATGGAGGAAAGGTGCCAGACAATTAAGGACATTGTATTCTCATGAAAGTGCAAGTGGTGGGCAGCCATATATGTGTTGTGGGACCCATTGCCACAGTGGACAACATAGGTGGAGATCATGTCAACGCTAAGTGTTTCTGCTTTGTATATCCATACTTCAATAAAACGTTCCCAAATCAAGGGTAACCCAGTTGGAAATAGAGCAAGAAGAGGCATCCACAGCATACAAAGTCACAAGGTGGGGCTGCTTTCATAGGATAAGTAAGTGAAAACCTTTTAAATCTCTCTGAATCAATACATGCCAGTATAACTCCGATCTTCCATAAAGCTTTCTAAATATCTAGGCTGGTGTCAATATCTAAAATTCCATAGCCAGGGTTTTATCTTTGTCTCAATACTGTTCATTCATTTAATATGGATCCCTGAGGAGTTGGAATGCACTAAATCCCATAGGTCAAGTCGTTTGGCAAAGAGAGTAAGTAAGCATTAAACGACACAGAATGAGGAGCGGAAGTACCCAAAACTATGAATGAAGACTCCCAAAGGGGAGTATTTGCACATTGACCTGGGAGAATCCCTCTTTTGTGTGTGAGCTTGTAGAATAAAAGAAATCAGTCACTCTGAGACCAAAATACCTTGTCCTGTGTTGTTTGTTACTGGATATCAAATTCTCTAAACTTCTGTTTTTTCAACTTAAGTCATATTATGAAAAGGAAATTAAATGTATCCATCAAATGAGATAATATACATCAAGCTATTTGCAAACAAAAAACACCATACAAATTTAAATGACTATCATTTATGTGTTATAGATATGTAGGCGTATATAACACATTAGAAGTTGATGTTTTTTCTTAGAATATTTGCAGTGTGATAGTCATATAGCATTCTTTTCTGTTCAGGGAAAGGCCTTTGTTGGGCCATGTGGTCTAATCAGGCTGTTTGACTAGATTTAAAGACTCAAAGTATTTATATTATTTAGGACTAACACAAATTCAAAATGGGAATTTTGAAATATGAAGACATTGGATGCTACTAAGCCAGTCATGAATGCCCTTTTAAAACATAATAATAACACCCTGGATTTCAATGACAGTGATCCTAGAGCTCCTTTATGGGTGATGTTCTCTCATGTTTCTTAATTACCACAGGTCATATAGACCCCATTTGCAAAAAGAGTTCATGAGGCTGAGCTGTGTTATGTACCTTGACCAAAGTAATATCAAGGAAGGTCAGTCCTGAGTCTATTAGATTGTTGTGATTTGCTCTTCTGCCAGGTGCAGCTAAAGGCATTTTTCCTACCTTAGTCAGAGATGTGCTGGCTTGAAGAACTAACTCATGAAACCTGAATACCTGAAGAGTTAGTGCAATGTCTGGAGGGAGGAGCCTAATGCTTGCATGTGTCTCCCTGGCTTGACCCATCCATAAAAAAAGATGTATGCAGAATGTCTTTGCTGAGCCAAGGGTGACCTGCACCAGCTCTTCCTCCACCTTCATTCATTTTGTGCCTATTCCTTTCATGGTCCATCCTCCTGACTGCTTCAGCCCCTGCCCAGCTTGGAGGTTCTGCTTGCCTGTTCTGTCTCTGACAGTCCATGCTCACAACTTGAGCTTCTCTTCTCCCTTGACATTGCTTGAATTGTGCCCAGGATTTTGTCTTCTTCCTCCTGGCCTCAGGACCTTGTGAACACACCTGACTGTTGTGACCTAGTCACTCCTCAGACTCTGCCTCTGAACTATCAGGTGCTGGATAGCAAAGCCAGTCCAGTGTCCCTGGCATTTATTTGGGAAGCAATCATGTTAAAGAAAAATAAAATCCATCTTCAGGTGACCTATTCCCAACTCCTGATTTCATGTGCTGATATGTTTGTGTTGTTTAGCAAACTCTCACAGAAAATGTTATCTAAATGTCACACCGCTATCTCAAGGGTTTGTTGGACTTAATATCTAAGCCTTACACTGAGACTAGAGCTGAGAATCCAGATTAGTTTTACCTACGTATGTTCTTTGTCGGACCTGCATGATTTGATTTTATCCAAATGGAAAAAATGGTTCAAAATGGAAAAAAGTTCCAATACTGAGAATATGGATGTCAGTGGCCAAATAATATGTTGCATTTTAATTTTTTTTGCAGTCCTCAGTGAATTTTTATGTGTCTCTCTGCGTGTGTGGCATGTGAAGGAACACAAAGTTAGAAATAAGAGAGGGAGACAACCTGTGGGGTGGCCACATTCCAGGGTCTGATCCTCTTTGGGGATACTGTGATATGCTGCCCAGATCCTCCCATCAGTGCTAAAGAAGACAGCCAAGTGGGAGACAGTGAGGCAACCTAAATGTTCTCAATGGCAGGAAACCATTACCAGCCCTGGAATGGAAAAAATACAGGGGGTGGTGCTGTCACCTGCCCAGAAGCCAAGGTCATTAGACAGGAGCTGAGACCATGAAGGGATGAACTGTCCCATGTAGACTGGAACTTCAGAAAAAGTACAGCCATTGCCACAGGTGCCCCTGAAACAGAAAGAGAGAGGAAAAAACACCCATACATATTCCCGTTTATAAATTGCCAGGCTTCTGTCAGTTATTCATGTTGTAACAGGAAGCTACGGGGCCATGTCACCAGGGACATGTGCATCCCTGGCACACAAAGCCGAACAGGGCATGGAGCCGAGGGTGAAGAGACAAGTGACAGGCAAATGGCACCTGCTCAGTCAAATCTCTGAGAGTGCAGCCTGGAACCCGCATGTTCAACAAGTTGTCCAGACCATTCTTATGTGCACCAACATTTGATAACCTTTCCGTAACATGGAAAATCCCTTAAATTGCCAGGCTCTTATAATTGCAAAACAATTATAGTCATCAATTCTGATGGAAGGAAGATGTTGAATTTTGTGAGCCTTTCCCCTTCTCTGATTGTTTTAACCAAATATGATAAATAACCTGTGGAATATACGACAAAATGTCCCTTAATAACAAATTTCTCCCTTTCAGTGTAAAATTATCTGGAAAAAAGTCTCCTTTTTGCACAGCCCCTTGGGAGCCATTAACATGGCATTCTACAGTAATCCAAAATGTGCAGAAGAAAGTGAGGTACATTTACTTAAAATTAGCTCCACAGTGTAGTACAACTATTTCCAGCATTCATCATTGTTAATGACTATAATTGATGGCTGAAAATAGAACCCTCAAATGAGAATAATGTCCAAATTCACACACGCACACTAATTGGGAATTGTTCAGCCTGTGAGCATGGCAGCCAGATGCACCCCACACTTCGACTTCTTTCTTCAATTCAGTTCTACACTGTACTTCATTAATGCTTAAGGCTTTAAACCGCTGCCCTTGTTTAACACATGACAGTTTTTATGTGTGGAAATGTTCTATGCATGTAGGGGTGTGGGAAGCAGACACAAACATTCTGATTTAATCCACTGGAATTCTGTGGCAAATCAGCTCAAAATGCCTTAGGGAAAGATCCTGTATTGGCTTTAATTGTTCCTAATATGAAGGATTGAGAAACGTGCTTTGAGTGCTTTTGGGTTTATATGTAAACTAGGAAGGGAAAATAAGAAAATGGAATGAACATAGCAAAGAAAGATATTCTTAAAACAGGGCTGTTGCTCTTTATAGAAAATAAAGGTTTAAAGCAGCCAAGTACTTGATTTACCAAGCAGGACTGACTCATCTTCATCAGTGGAGATCCCCAATACCTAAGGTACATTTTTAATATAAGAAATTAACATCATTATAAATAGATTTCTGTGTTGCTGTTCTCCAAATTCATCTCATTAAAAACGTGACCATTAATTGATGATCATCCTTGAGTCACTCACTCTTATCGTCACTGGTTTCTTGGTCTGATACTAAGAGGAGGCCAGGATGTGCAGTAAACTGTATTTATTTCCAGTGCTTCCCCTTTCCAGGTGACTTTGGGTAACTCCTGCAAAGTCTGATCTTCAGGCCCCTCAATTAAAATGATAGGATTGGAATTAGATTATCTACCCAGCTCTTTGAATACTGCAATTCAGTGAGTCTATAACACAGAAACTTACCTGTGTCCTGTAAAGTTAAATTAGATTTTGCCTTCACCGCTTACTATAAAGCATACAGAATTACTCGTTGTTATTTAAACACGCTGCAAAAATTAGCTGGGTGTGGTGGTGGGCACCTGTAATCCCAGCTACTCGGGAGGCTGAGGCACGAGAATCCCTCGAACCCAGGAGGCAGAGGTTGCAGTGAGCTGAGATTGCACCACTGCACTCCCGTCTGGGCGACAGAGCTAGACTCTGTCTCAAATAAAACAAAACAAAATAAAATAAAATAACACACCGCGTATTTTCCAGCATTTGTAGTTTTTCTCAAGCCTAAATCCCATTCCCAACTACCAAGTACCTCTTTATTTCTTAAGGCCAAGATCAAATCCTATGGTTTTCATTGCCTTATCCGTTGCCCCGGTTAGATTCACCCCTCTCCCTTTGTGCTGCCATAGCTTCCCCATATACATTGCTTGCATCTCATCATATACAAGTCTGTCCAGTTTCAATTAATTTTTGTTTATTATCGACTGACTCCTCTACTTAACGAGGATTTCTTCAATGGTTATTATTCTATCTAACCATCTTTGCAACCCTGAAGGTTGGCACATATTAGACACTCTGATGATTTAAACAGTTTCATAGATTTTTTTGCTTAAACATTTTGTAGTAAAACATTTTGTTTTGTTTTGTAAAAAATGTTTATTTTTGTTAGTTAAACATTTTGTGGTAGCCAGCCTTAACCATGGCCCCATGACTCTCCCCCACTGACATTCATGGCTCATGAATATCGCACTCCCCTCCCATTTCAATCATGGCTAACGATGAGGCCAAGAGAATATGGTAGAAGCGATGATGTTTCCTTTTTGAGGCTAAGTTATAAAAGGCTTTTGCAGCTTCTGGCTGGT
The DNA here is from genome assembly GCF_000001405.40 of Homo sapiens. Classification (NCBI taxonomy): domain Eukaryota; kingdom Metazoa; phylum Chordata; class Mammalia; order Primates; family Hominidae; genus Homo; species Homo sapiens. The sequence goes on from NC_000020.11 coordinate 15,834,989, forward strand.
CTTGTGTACCTCTCCCTCTGGAGGAAGCCAACCTTCATGCCATTAGGATACTCAAGCAACCCTGCAGACAATCTCAATTGGAGAGGATCCAGGGCCTCCTGCCAATAGCCAGCATCAAATTCTCAGCCATGTGAATACCACTTTGTAAACAAACCTTTCAATCTTTGTCAGTCCTACAGATAGCTGTAGCCTCAATATTTGACTAAAACCTGTTAGCCAAGCCATTTCCAAATTCCTATAGAAACTGAAAGATAATAAATAATAATTATTAATTCAGTAATTACTTATTGAAATTATTTATTATTTGGCAATACATAATTAATACAAATTTCTTCCTCCCCCCTTTTCCATGGGAACCAATATTATGGAGTCAAAAAAAATGGGTTTGCCATTGAAATCTTGCCTGATACTTAATATCAATATGAATAATGTATTATGAATAGTAACAGCTATTGGCATTATTATTAATGTATTAGCACCATTAACTATTATATTATTCATTCTAATTAACATAGCCAGATGATTGGTATGCAATTAATGTAGTAAATTAGTAATAATATCATTGGTATGTTGTTAAAACACTAATGTTTGGATGACAATACTAACAATAATTATTAATATCAATTATTATATCTATTTGTAAGTGATAGAATAATTATAATATTATATCTACATGTATGTGAAATATTATGATCCCTATTTGAATAATGAGGAAACTGAAGCTTAGAGCAGTTAATTTGTCCAAAGTCAATCAACTCGTATAATAATGAGTTATGACTCCAGGCTAGATTCATCTTAAGCATCAAAAACTAGCACTAGAGCTTTGAGTTTCCTCATCTACACAATTGGTACAGCAATACTTAATATGCACTGTGCTTGTGGGGATTAAATGAGATGAAACCTGTAAAGTTGCTTGCAGAATGCCTAGAAAAGCCACATGCATCAAATGCCAGTTTATCTCCCTTCCCTCCACAATCTGCTCTGTTTCTAAGAAGCCCCTGGGAACACAGGCCATTAGGCAGAGCTGTCAGAAGCAGAAGCCTCAGATCAAGTCCATTTCCACATGGGACCCCAGGTCCTGAAATTGTGCAATGAGGGTGACTCTTATATTTCCTGTGGAAGAAGTAAGGTTACAACTCAGTCTTTTGCCTTTCTCAAACTCAGGCTGAGTATCTAATAATAGTGACGTTTTACCTTTTGATAGTACTCTGGAGATTACAGAACTGTTTCCATTTTCTACTTAGGAGAGGGTAAATGGATTTGATGCAGATGTGAATCAGATTGGCCATGGAATGAAAGTTGGAAAGTATTTGTGGCAACAAACCCCTTATGACTGACACACACACTCCTTCCTTAAAACCTTTATCTTCTGCAGAAGCAATCTCATTACAACCAATTGGTGGTCAGTTACACAGAATGGAGTCATAAGAGTCATTATCTATGGGATGTTTTTTCCTTTATTCACAATGAAGGCATAATCTTTTTAGAGAGAAATACAATTCTCTCCAGATATATAACAAAATATATCTACTGATGTTGGTTTAGTTTCATGTGGTTGACAAGAAAAAGCATTCATTTACCTGAATACGCAGCTCAATTTTAAAATAATTTCTGTAATTTTATTATAATTCACAGAGCTGCTTTTATTCATTTTACAAATTGCTTTCAAAGCATAAATGATGTATTGAAAGGGATTGACTATCCGTAATAGCTCTGATGTGTGAGTGGCTGGTGGACTTACCACTTTAACATGATCTGGCATCAACCTCCATGAGCTGCGCAGTAAGAATAGCAATACCAAATTGTGGTAAACCTCAAGAGTTTTCAAGGAAGCAATATGGGTCTAATTGGGCAGAAGCTTAGCAAGTAGACCACAGCTATTTCTTTGTAGAAAGTCCAGTTGTGTATTACAAAGATTGTGCCTATAAGGTTTGCCTTGCTAAATGGAAACCACAAGGAATGGGCCTTTGGATGTCTTCTTGAATCAGAGCATTAAAGGGACTTAGCTGGAGTTCAATAAGGATAACATTTTTTTCTTTGCAAAAATATGAGCTGTGTGCACCAGCACACATATGTACTTGGTCTGCAGGCTTCTCTCTAGGTTGCCAAGAAAATAGGTTTTGATGGACAGGGCTGTACCATGAAGGATAGTAGACGAAAAAAAAGATATTAAAGGAAGCCCCCTTTTTAACCTTTAAACAAAGTTAAACATGCAGTGTTTCTTAATATTGTTTAACCATAAATGCCTTTTCAAAAGTATAATATGCACTAAGATTTGCTCTGTGGAACTTGCTTGGGTAATCGGATCTTTTAAAAGAGAGAGAAATTCTGTGGAGTGAGACACAGAAAATCTTATTGAATGGGACCCCTTTTCTCCGTGTGGGAATGAACTGGTCTCTCAACTTTCTCCTTAGCTAACTGTCTGCAACACTACAGACTCGTATCTACCTCCAACATGAGCCTCTCTTGTCCTCACAAGAACCCCTCGAGGGCTCTACTGTGTCCTCAGTAGCAGACACTGTATCATGTTCAGGTGCTTGTCTGTTTTTTTGATCACTAGCCCCATCAATCTGTTTTTTTCCAACTTGCCGCATTCTACACATTTTCCTCCTCAGGTCACCAAAGTGCAGCCTTTCATTTCTACCTCCAGAAACTCAAGAGTTTCTGGAAACTTGATTTGCCCCATATTATTAACAAAACAATTTTATTAACATATATATTGGCCTCTGAGCTGCTTCTGACCACAGACACCTTAGGTTCCTCTTGGTTACAAAAGCTGTGGTCTATCTCTGATGATGTACGAAAGAAGCTGATGCTTATCCTGTGGTTGTTGGTCCTAACCTCCTGTTTAGTCTTTTTGTAATTTGAATCTCATGCAACTTTTGTGATACTCTTAGCCCATCATCAACTGCTTAGCCCATCATCAATTGAAAATAATCAGATATCCTAAAATCATCAGCCAGCGAACTTTTCAGATTGTTGGCACTTGAGTTTTTGTAGCACTAAGTAGGAACTATCACCTTACCCCAGTGTCATAAATCTATGGGACTAAAAATTTTGAGAAAAACTCATATACCGTATTATATTCAATACTCCAGAGATCTACTCAGGTTAATTTTCTTGTCAAGATTGGGCAGCTTTTGACCTAGAATATCAAGCTTTTTTTTTACTATGGGGCTGTGGTACATTCCATTCTTTCCTTTTAATTTAGTAACACTTGGATTTCCTCTCTAATAAGGAACAAAGTAAACAATAAACTCAGAAGCTCCCAATGCTCTTCAGTGTAGGAGAAATTATTTCACATTACCAGGGAAGAGAAGGAAGTTGCTTTTATCCTAATAGTGATATTCTCATTTCTTATCTTTCTATGCAAAATGTTTAATGTTTCCATCTTGTGGAGCCCTTAATTACATCCTTACCAGATGTGATGCAAAAATTAAGCATCAATTAGCTTTTTCTGGATTGCACACATCCTTAAATTCTGTTTTCAGATCACTGCAACTTAACTTTGTGATTTATATTGGAAAGATAGCTTTGGGGGTTCATTTCACTTCATTATTCTTCAGCAATTGTATTTCATCCCCTTAGCTATTTCTATGGCAATTGTGCTCTGTTGAGAAGAGATTGACCAGTGTTGCTACATCACAATGACTGTGAGATAAAATCCGGTAGAGCACAGCTAGATTTTGATGAGTTTTTGGATCCCACACGCACAAAAGCAGCATAGGAAAATAAAAGTGATAAGCATCATTTTTTGCATTCAAAGTTGTTCTGATATAAGACAGACTGAACCTTTTAAATAAATACATCAATAAAATGGACTAATGCAACTGTAAGCTTGTAGTCTGGTTTCATTTGATAAAAGCATTTATAAAAATAAGAATGATTTCCCAGAAGTCAGTTAGTATAAGAGGTACAATGGAAAGCCCAGACAGTTTGGAGGACGGCTTTGGGTACTCAACTCATACATGTGTATGCATATGTAAACTGTGTGCTTATATATGGATATGACTATAGATATAGACATATGCACTGTCTTTTGCCCAAATTATTTCCTGTTATGTTTATTGGTAATATTTGCCTCATTCTACATGTAGAATTCCTATTTCAGCTTAAATCTCAAATGTTAGTGAAAGCCTAATTTTTTATCCATCATTTCTCAAAAAAGGCTCCTTACAATATATCTCTTCATGAAGAGAAGAAACAGAAGCATCCCTTGAGAGGAAATATAGCATTACACTTGTGAGCAAGGACTATGGACAAGATTGCCCAAGTTCGTCTCTTTCATCACATGATGAACCGAACCATTGGCCCCCGTTCTCAGTGGCTCTGTATGCCTATATCCTTGCCATGGTCTCATTGTGAGAAAAGAGTACATCCCGATTCCTTGACTTTTTCCTTGGCTCTGTGACTTCTGTCGGCTTACTGAAAGGTGACGGAAGTGAGGCTAAGTTAGTTCCAAGGCTGGGCCTCGTAAGACCTTGTGCATTTTCACTTTCTGCTCTTGGCACTGCCATGAGACTATTGACTTGATAACTCATTAGTCCAGAGGGGATAAGAAACATGTGAAACAGAATTGCCCCAGCCCACCTATGGTACAAAGCCCAGCTGCCCCAACTGTCATAGCCTAAATCAGAAGCTCCCATCCATTCTCAGTCTAGATTTGGTGAACCTCAGCTGACCACATATCATCTATAAGAAGTATAATGAAAATCCCAGATATTTGAGGGGCTGCTTTGGATAATAACAACACAAACATATATATGAATGTGTGTAGTTCATATGTCTATATATCATCATTGTGAGAATCATTCTGTATTATTATATTACATTGTAATTTTGTGATTATTTATTATGTTGCAATAGCTGAAAATGTGACCACCTGTTATCTGTGTAACTTCAGGCAACTTACTTAAACTTTTTCTGCCTCAGTTCCCTCATCTATGAAATAGAAACAAGAATTATCTACTGGCTCCTAGAATTGTAGCACATATTAATAAGTTAATTTATAATTAAATTTATTAGACTAATGCCTGAAAAATAGAAACTGATAAATGAATATTACCTATGATTATTTTATCATTCTTCTATATTCACTCCTAAAATTTTCTGTGGGACCACTGTGAAGTCAAACTGCTAGAGAAAGTCTGGCACTGTGGCCATGACAGTGGCTCAAGCCACCACAGAATGTCTGACCAGCCCATGAGGATTTGACAAGCAGCAGTTACAGCATCTATCCAGCGAGGACAATAAGAACTACTTTACCTGTTGGCAGAAAACAAAGAGGAATATTTTATTTCCCACCACATCTTCACTTCCCATGTTATGGTGAGCTGGTCAGAAATTAGTGCCATAATTCTTCAGCTTTGCAACTTGCCGGGGACAACATGTGTGGTTGGTTGACTCCAAATTTTTCTCAGCTTCCCCTGCCCTCTTAAGGAGTGGCAAAAACCAAAAAGCATCCTCCTTTAACTCAAAAATTGTTATCAATTCACAAAAAAAGATCTTTTAGATCTCGACTTATATTTGCTAATAAACTATGGCTTCAAAAAATGTCATAAATTATGCCATGCTCACCTATATCTACTTCCACAGAGTTGAACCTGGATGTAAAGGACAAAATATTATTATAAGCCCAAAGGCATTGTGACATCTTAAAATTTTATTGACTGTGAAATAAAAGAATTCCATGACTGAAGAAATGGCTACTGACTGTATAAATTTCTTAAACTAGTATCAAGTAAAATATAAACACATTGACTAACTCTACTGGAAAAAAATGGAAGCTATAAAAAAATTCATCCATAAACTCTTCCAAGGCAAGCTGTGAAAGACTCCAGAGCATGCCAAATGTTACCCACATTAGTTAAATTATAGTAAGAATCCCCGCGCACTAAGTCTGAGAGGGATTGTTTTTGTCCTTATGAAGAAAAATAAATATGTTTTTCAACAAGAAAACCTTCTGAAGGCTGTTGAAATTTTAATCTTTTAAAAAATGGTTTTACCACATAGCAAAACCTCAAAGTTGTATTTCACTTTTAAGACTCTCAAAGCATTCCATCCTTGCAATTTCATTTTATCCTCATCTCACATCTGGATATCCTGGTGAGATGGAATGTCTTTCTCTGTGTTTCACATGCTGGCCTTGATCATGGGTGGCCCACACTAAGTTGTGAGAAACAGAATGAGCTAAGCAAAGGGAAAACAGAAGGGATGTTAAGGCAGAGAATGATCAAGGGCCGTGGCCAAGGAAATACAAGCGTATTTTATTACATTTTCAGGCATCAGCATCTAATCATGATGTTGGGGTGGTCCAGGATGGGGGGGTGTATTAGTCCATTCTCACATCGCCATAAAGAAATACCTGAGACTGGGTAATTTAAAAGAAAAGAGGTTTACTTGGCTCAAAATTCTGTAAGCTGTGCAGGAAGCATCATGCTGGAATCTGCCTGGGTTCTGGGGAGGCCTTAGGAAGCTTACAGTCATGTCAGAAGCCAAAGGGGAAGTAGGCACGTCTTACATGGTGGAAGCAAGAGAGCAAGTGAGGGGGAGTTGCTGCACACTTTTAAATAACCAGAGCTCGTAAGAACTCACATTGTGAGAACAGTATTTACGGGATGGTGCTAAGACATTCATGAGAAATCCACCCCCATGATTCACTCACCTCCCACCAGGCCCTACCTCCAACACTGGAGATTACAATGCAATGTAAGATGTAGGTAGGGACACAGAGCCAAACCATGTCAAGGGAGGAGACTTAGAATGATGGTGGGAGGTCTAGGCTGTGGTGCTTGACTAGAAGATTCTGGTGACAGTTTATTAAGGGAGAGGTAGTTTGTGATGGGTTCAGCTAGATATCCACCCCTGGAAAATAGAGATGCAAAAAATTAAACAAGAGGGTTCAGTTCTACCCCATTTCCTCTTATATAGTAATGGGACTTGGACTGAATTCAAGGGGTAGAAAATAGGAAGCAAAGACCAGGGAAGAGATGAACAGGAATTGGGTAGGTGTGTTGGGCTTGGTTGGAAGAGGAGGTTGAAAAGACACTAGACACTATGGTCCCAAGAGAAGAGTCCATGAGGTGAGGAGTCTGATGCAAGACTCTATTCCTGGGGCCATAGCAGCACAATCCAGCAAGAGAGTGACACAAGGCAACATTTAACTCTTTCTTGACCCTATTTCTTAGTATTAAGGACCACCTACTGTCAGGGTAGGCTTTGTGACTTCCCAATGCCGGTGGAGCTGGACCTACAGGTGCATGCCACGTCTTTGGGGTCCCTAGGATATACACTGATGGAGCTGTTGGGAAAGGGACAGCATCCAGAATGTGAGAATAATAGGCCACAGAAACTTCATATTACGCCCATTTATTTCAAAGATGAGAAAACAGAGGTTCTTAGTGGCTCTATGATGTATTTGCAGTCAGGACCCAGAACCAATGAGCCAAAAATCCCGAGACCTTTCATCCTTTTTTTCATCTTTTTTTTTTTTTTGCCTCTGTAAGACACCAAAGAAATTGGCTAATGTTAATTTGCTTCTTCTCCAGTTCCCTTGCTTATCACATTAATGGGAATATCAGAAACCACAAAAAGCATCATGTTGGTTGCATTGCTATTTGAACATCACAAATAATTTGTTTTAAATTCTACTGTTACTCATTTTTGATGCTTGGATTAGAAAGATGGATGTACGGATAGATGGTTGGATGGGGGGTGGGTGGATGGATAGATAGATAGATAGATAGATAGATAGATAGAGAAATAGACAGACAAATCTGAATTGTAAGTGGTTTGGACACAGTGCATATACCACAGCTATAAGGCACGTAACACTTTACCTCCTTTGCCCTGGGGGGTTGTGTCGTCTCTCAAGAAGTCAACATCTGGCTTTAGTTGATAAGCTAGGTGATTAACTTTTTATATCAAGATCCACTGCCCAAAATAATTTGACTAGTGATAAACTAAATTTTTATGCAGAATTATTTAGTAGAGTAGGCACCTAGAAAAGAGACAGGAAACAGTAGACTAGATTTCAGTCACGACCCTTTTCCTCACCACTTGGTGGCACTGAGCTCACCACTTAACCTTGCTGTACCACACTCACCTCCACTCTGGACACTATGAGTGTAATAGTGACTTAAATGAGGTAATCAACATGAAAAACACTTTGACAATGAAACAGAGTTGCATGCTGATGCCAAGTGGCCTTGTTATTATATGCATTTATCATCACCATTTCCCTATTCTTATTAACTGACTGGGTTAGAACAAGTTCAAAGAAGGCAGGAGCTCATTCCTGGAAGTTGACTCTACTTTGTTATTTAGGTAAAGTGTGACTACCGCTTTTTGTAAATGTGCACTGTGAGCAGAGTGACATTTTTCATGTGGATGGTTTATACCAGTTCATGTTCGTGTGTTGACAGTTATGTTAATTCTATGTGATATTTTCCCTCCAGTGCTTTTGCTTTTGAAACAGCATAATAAAGTGACTTCTGCTAAATAAATAGGCCTGTTCACAATAACTGATACTTAAGTGAATTTATGCAGGAGGTATTTTGGTCTTGTGGACCAAACTAACTAGCTGCAAATCGATTAACTTCAAGGATCCAGCAGAGTATTTAGGATAATTTCTGAAGTGCAAATGTAAAAGTCATGGTAGAATTTTTTTTGGCATATGTGTAGAATTTCTACCATGGGCCCATTTAAAAAATCAATATCATAATAATTACATCAAAGCAAAAGTAACAGAGCATTATGTGCATGATCAGAAAGCTGCAACTGAGAGGAAAGTCCAACCACTCCAGGAAAATGAGAAACGTGTAATTAACATCTGCAATTTGCATTGCTCCCTGACACTCCTGAATTTTTATGACAAATCATGCTGTAACCTTTGTAAGTTGGACATCAGTAATGGTTGTTTTTTCATGGTTTTAAAGTCAGGAATATGAAGCATCCTCTTTCACAATCACTCATCCCTACTATTGCCTTATATGGATAATCTCAATCCTACCCCTTACAACCCACCTCACTGTAGTATTCTCTCTTGCCAAACATCTAGCATGCCTGCACATATATGAGTAGCAAAAATGTACATTTCTTAAAGAGAAAACTGTGAATAGGAGCAGAAACCTAGAACATGTAAATGTTTTGCTGCTGTTGCCAATAAAGGGACTGACAGAATCACTCAATGAATCAACTGACTAGGACTGCATTTGGTGACATTATACAAATTCCCTAGGAGGAGCAGGTCTGCCAAGAGTTATGAGAGATGCTATGGTAATATAATTATGAACTCCCTGCAGTCAGGAAGCTTATAATCCAGGTGGGAAATGACGAACACATAAAATGTCATCATCAACCTATCAAACATCCTTTCTTCCCCTGGGTCCCGGTAACTGCTATCATTTAGTGAGCATTTGCTGTGTGCTCAACACAATGCAGACATTAATTCATTTACTCCCCCAGATAGCCTAGTGAGGTAATTGAACATGTAAGCCCCATTTTTACGGACATGAAAACTGAGCTTTAGTGAGGTTAAGCAACTTGCCCAAGATTATGCAACTAGTAAGTGGTGACAGTGGGATTTGTAAGTAAGCTCCCAGACTTCACCGTACACCTAGTGTTGTACTATTTATGAAGGGTCTTATCTTTTCTGTCCAGGAAAGTCTCCTGGAAAACAAGACAATTTCTGTCGTACACATCCTGTGTCCTTCTCAACCCCCACCATTGTTTGCAGAATGAATGTATACATTCAACTTAATATTTATTGAGTGTCGGCTCTATATTTGATACACAATGGCACATAAAAGGATAAGGAAAACTACAAGGCAGTACAAAAATGCCTCATTAAAGACCAGGATGCATGCCAGCTGCATATTTTTTTTTATCAGAAATATCATGATGAAGAATAGCCTTTTTATAGAAAGCATAAAAATATGTTGCAAGAAGGTTATTTTATGAAAATAACATTAAACTGTAATTGACAATTACCTAGAAGATTCATAAGTGGCATCACACTTCATGGCAGTCTTTCACATCATACTCTAGTCAGCTAGTGAAACAACTGCTGTTAAAGTCAAGGTTTTGGAGGTATACTGAGTTGAAGAGTGTGTTCCCCCTAAATTCATGTCTACTGAAATCTCAGAATGTGACCCTGTTTGGAATAGAACCTTTGCAGATATAATTAGTAAAGTTGAGGTCACGCTGGATTAAGGTAGATCCTAATTCCAATGACTGCTGTTCTTATAAGAAGATCACCTGAAGAATCTCTGATCACCTCCATAAAAATGTCCAGGACTGAGGAATACTCCCTAAAAATTCTGATTCTCAGCACCACTTCAAACGCACAACTCATAATATCTATGAAGACGGTCAGTAACTAGGATGTTTACTAAGCACACTAGAAGTTTTTTGCTCATTACAGTTTGAAAACTATGGCTTTGGGCAGGATGAAGATGTAGAAGACGTAGTGCCTTTCTCTACTGGGTTCACCTTGATCAAGGAAATGAGTCGTGGAAAGCAGCATAGCAAGGAATAATCTTACTTGTGGCAGTAACCCCCTGTCGAAGTACAAAAGAAAGAGACCACCATGAATGGGAGCAAACTAGATAAGTGTACTAAGAATTCACAAAATTTTATCTTGGCCTTCAATTTCAGTAAGCACAGCAATCTAAACATGTCCAATAATAGTTTTGCATGCAGACCAAATTAAGCCTTGATAAGAGTGATAGCTACCATATTTTCAACAGTTGCTATGTGATAATTACTTCACACACATCATTTCTTTGAATATTCTGGACAACCCTACCCTACAGTATTGGTCTATTATTAGCCCTATTTAACTAATGAAAACAGAGTTTAGAGAAGTTAAGTGATTCACTGGAAGTGGCCAATCCCACACACAAAACTGTGACCAATGAAATTTAAGCCTATTCTCTTGATCCGAACCTCCTCTCCCACAAAACAGAACACCTCTTTTTAAGCCATGTGGCCTGTCTAAAACAGGTTTTCCACGTGGACTGGATAGACTTGAAGTCAGAGAGTAAAAATGTTATTTCTTCTAGGAGCTTCAATTTTATATAAACATTTAGGGTAAGAAACACTTTTTATCCTAACATAGGCATAAACATATAAATAATTGGGTAGAATTGTAAAATATGGAATGCAGTTTTAAAATAAAAGATGTATGTTGAAGGAAACTTTGCAATTGACCAGAACTTCTCAGGCTATCCTCCATGAACTGGAGTGTGGAAGGGTCCCCATTTAGAATATTCAGCCTTCGAGGATACTTCATGGTAAACATTGTGAAATAATCTCATAGGTTCCCTCACTGGTTTTGTCCCACACTAGACTGCTTGGGATGTCACAGACTTTCATTAGTTGCTTTAATTAGTTCTTTTCAATTGATTCCTGTGTTAGTTTGCCCCACCCCTCCAACATAGTCTACAAAGTGAAGGCAGCACACACTTTTATTGACTTGAGACAGCAGCGATTTTCTCTCATCTAGTTATCCTGACCTTTCTTTCTACTGCATTTTCACTGTGGGTGGCAATGATGATATGGCTTTAGTCCATTTTTGGCAGAACAAAGGAATTTCCTGGTTGGACACCAAAAGGAAAAAACGGTTTTTCCACGACTAAGCAGTATCAAGAATATGCCATAACAAGCCTTACGTAAGCCATGGCTCATGCAGTCTAGAGCCGTCCTGTTAACCAACTCACACCCACTGGCTAGAGAGAAAACATGGCGAAATGTCAGAGCTGCTAACTGAGATAGAAAACATACAGGCTGCCACATGACTAGAACATATGGTGACCCAACATGGCAGCAGCGAGACCCTCGGCATCAAGAAAAAACAACAAAATAACTCCTTAAAAACAAGGGCTTTTTCTAAAGTGGACCTTGACATAGTCAAAAAAAAAATTATATATATATATATATATATATATATATATATATATATATGGCTTCTTCACATCCAGGTTCCCAAAGATGTAACTTAGGAACTAGGTACATTTTAAATAATTTGTTGTCCAGAATGTATCTGTTTCACAACTCAGAAATTAAATTACATAGAAAAAATAGAATCCTTCTTAAAGTTTTTCAATGAATACATCATCAGTGGATCTTTCCAAATATTTTTTACAGCTGTTCACAGAATTAAATTTTAGCTTTCTTCTCCTCAACATTTCCAAAAGTATAACGTAGAGGATTGGTTTGTTTTTAATGAATAAATCATTCGGCTAAGCCCATGGAACAAATTCATACTTAAGGTAGATGGTTTAGAGTGGACTTTCGGCAGCATTATTTTAGGAATGTATCTCTCTAAGCAATTGAGTGGTGACTCTAAATTGTGCCAATATGCCAATTCCATTTGCATATCTTTGTAATTTGGACTCTTCCTCTCCTGCTGAAAGATGGTTGGATAAAACATTATTGGATACAGCACAAACGCAAATAAAGCATCGTTTTCCTGCTGAAATGCAAACCAAGGCTTTATTTTGACTGGCCTTAAATTTTGACCTGTAACTGGCATTGGAAACATCAGTGAAAACCGAGAAACAGCCACTGCAGCATTTAGCGTCACAGATGCTGGAGCAGAATCGAGTTTAGAAAATAAACTTTTAAGGGATTACAGCAGCAGACGTTATATAACAAGATTAGTATAATGGGTGGGACATCTGTTGGCTGTTTTCAGAAAGCCATCATTCTATTACCCTCTACTAAAATAATCTTAGTGGATACCTGACTGTTATTGTTCTTTTTTTCCATATACCCCCAGTGAGAAAGGTTGACATTTAGTTGACATTTCTATGCCGTAGTCTTCTCTTCTTTCTTTTTATGTTTTTGTTTTTATTTGGTTAGTTATTCTTTTGTCATTGTTTTAATTGTTCATTTTGCTTAAAAGGGAAAAAAAGACTGTCTTACTACAAAATTAGTATCATAATTGTTTTTTCTCAGTTAGTGTTCAGGGTGGCTTTACCTTACACATAGGAACCAACATACCTCAGAGTATAGCAGAGAAGTGTTCAATAGCTATTAATTGTTTTCTTTCCCTTTCCATTCCCTTGAGAAGATTTTGATATTCATAATAAATGTTGTTTTAAAACATAAAGCTTATAACACTGAATTTTACCTTAAGACTATAATAGCTGAAGGAGAAATTCTTTTGGAAGTTAAAATATGTTGAAACATCTGTATCAATCACTCTCTCTCTCTCTTTCTCTCTCTCTCCCATGCAAATGTACCAATACACCATGCATTCTGGCTCCATGCCACTAAGTCATGATTTTCCACCTGTAATGGATTCCCAGCCCCCGTGCAGGATCTGGTGCAGTGTGCCGAAGAGAGGCCAAAGTCACTGTACAAGCCAGGGGGAGGGGGGGGTCATCTTCCTCAAGGATTAGTAACGATTAGGAAGAAAAGCATTGTCTTTATATACAGCCAAGCATGAATATTATAGATACTACATTACTAAAAGACCATGTGACAAAACCCAAATTTAAATAAAATTTTGTAGGGGGCATTTTGGGCATCATCCCAAGTTCCCGAGGGAGACTTAATAGCCCTCAGGAATATTTGCATATAAACATTTGAAAAGCACTTAATTAATTGATAAGACCACTGGAAGTTGTGAGTTCAATTTTCAAAATATGAAGCAGACAATGTTGTGGAGGATGGACAACCTACAGAGGGTAAGAGGGAGGAGAGGAAAAGCTATTTCTTCCGCAGAGAGAAAGCCAGGGGGCCCATGTTTCTACCTTTTTCCTCAAGTGGTCTTTCCTTTTGGGGTCCCTAAGTCAGTTAGTAGTCATAATTAGGTCACTCAGAGCCCACTGATACAGTGGAGAGATATGACAGACCTTTTCTCATATCCTCCAGTTGGCTACACTGATTACAAGCTGGAAAGATGACTAAAAAGGGGTGTCTCCTCCAGGGATCTACCGTCTAGCTGAGGGGCATGTTCCTCTATCTGGCATTTAAAGAGAGAGATGATATGAAATAGCTACAAGTTCATAAAGATATAAAGCGACAATCAAAGGTTTGGAACAGCTCATGCGTGTTGGGGGAGGTAGAGGCTAGGGTGGCTAATAGGAGAGGCACAGATGTAACTCACCATTTTCCTTCCTTTCTTTTATGTTCACACATGCACACACACACTCACACACACAGCACTGTTGCCACCAGAATGCTTTTGGTTTGTGCTTTCACATTGTAGAGGACATGAACCTATGGAAAATTACTCAAGGGAGATTGTTCTGTTGAGGTTTGCCTTTTGAACGAAAAGATTCTTTCTTGCAGGAGTGGGAGGGACATCAGCTTGAGAAAAACAGCTTTTGTCCTCACAAAAATGCTCTTTTGGAAGATATGTTAATGAGCTTCCTTTGAACTGTAAATGGCATCTGCATGCACGTCAGATGCTAATGGAAATGTCGAGAAAACGATAAGGCACAGGACGATTGCACGGTTATGCAGTGGGCCCCGTTCCTTCGAGCATCGTGACCAGGCTGCGGAGCCACCTTGTGACTTGGCATAGCATTCTCATTTTGAGTGGAGATTTTTGTTTCTCCCACTGATGGCATCTTTTGAAAGTCAAGATGTGTTGGCTTTATAAAGCACTATCCTCCCTGGGCAACCTCATAAGCAGCAATGAATGACAATTCTTCCTTGAAATTTTTAATTACTTCAACAAAGAAAGTAATTATTAACTTTTGTCTCTGAACCACCTCTGCAGATATTCTTAATCAAATAAAAGAAAGAGGAAGCAGAGCTTTCTGAGAAGCAGGAGGATGAAATAGACAATAGGGGTCTGCAGCTGGATTGCGGGGTGACATGAGCGCTGCATGTGTGCTGGATAAACAATGGCTCCATGGTTGGAAGGGTAATTTCATGTCATAGACTAGATGGCGAGGAAGAAGTTTGAGTCAAGAGACCTATTCTTGGCACTGTCTTCTTCGTGTAAGGGTACCAAGGGCACCATGGGAGTGATGGCAAAGTATAGGCAGCAGCCCGTACCTTATCGGAGTGAGAAGATGAATTACATTGAATTAACACTTGATAGGCTGAATGTTGAGAGATGAAGTGGATATCTGACCAATTTTCTCCTCACCTCTTGATTTGGATTCTCCCAAAAGCAGACCCTAAGACAAGAATTAGAGTGCAGGTAGATTATCTGTGGATCATGCAGAGGTGAGGAGAGTTGACACAGAGCATGCCACCAAGAGCATCACCCTGGGAAACCAGGCATTTATCCCTCTGGAGAACTCTGGGATCTCTCCCCCAAGGGTGATCGAACAGGGGGATTTAAACATCAACTCCCGTCAGTCTTTGGTTGAGGCTGCCAGGGTGACAGGCATTAATTTTCCAAACTCCAGCTCACTAGATATTTGCTCAGAGCCTGCCAGCACTATGAAAGCCCTCAGGCAAAGAAGTGCAGGTGCTTGGCCATTGTCTGGCTCACACTTACTACTTAGACCCACGGGAACATGAACAGGGCACCTCAGTGCTGCCACACCTCCAGACTGTGTGGGCCCGCTTATCTTTTATGGATTTGCTAACAAACCATCAAGTAATCCATTTCTCACATAGAAGGAGATCTGTAACTCTTATCTAGAAGGATCTACCTAGCATTAGGCAAGATAGACATCTGCAGAGATGTGTCTTGGCTCTGGGTGGCTTTGGCCATGTGAGATTTACCCTCACAGCTGATGGCAGTCACTGCACGGTTGCCCTCGGAGCCAGTTTCCTGTCCTTTGAACAGAGTCCACAGAGAACTTTGAGAGACACGTTTCCCAATGGTCAGTGTCGGATGGGGCCCCAATCTCAACAAATCTGTTGCTGTCACTTTGTTAGGGTTACATGTATAGCGTATATTGACTTCAAGTGCTCTTTTACAAAACAAGTCCTGACTTCTTACCACTGGTCAGCCAAATGCTAAATATGGTCACTCCTGAAATTACTAGTAAGCAAGGAGCGGGTAGCAGTCACTGTTGGACAGAGCTCAGGTGGCCGGCTTCATGTGTGATTGGCTGCTGCCACTCAGAACGTTGGAAATGATGGAAAAAATGGGCATGGGAAGAAAAGAATTCAGATTGTCAAAAATAGAGCGTTATTGTCCTAGGTCAAGTGTCCATGGAAGTAGACTGAGAGGGGAATTGCAAGTAGGAAGTTTATCGGATTATGTTCCTGAATCATACCTGGGTGGAGAGGAAACATGTGAGAAGCAGGGTTGGGAGAAGTTGAACTGTGATCCGGTCACAGCAAAGGCTTCGGCTGATCCCAACAGGGGCTCAGGAGTGGGGAAAGTGTCTTAGTCTACTCAGGCTGCCATCATAAAGTACCACAGACTGGGTGGCTTAAATAACAGAAATTTATTTTCTCATAGCTCTGGAGGCTAGAAGGCAAATATGAAGGTGTCAGCAGGGGGCATTTCTTCTGAGGTTTCTCTCCTTGGCTGGCAGATGGCCATCTTCCCCCTGTGTCTTTACATGGTCTTCCCTCTGTGCATGTCCGTGTCCAAACCTCCTCTTCTGATGAGAAAACTTGTTATATGGGATTAGGGCCTATCCCCGTGACCTCATTTTACTGCATTACTTCTTTCAAAACTCTGTCTTCAAATATAGTCACATTCTGAGATACTGGGGGTTAGGACTTTTATGACTGAATATGGAGGAGACACACTTTGGCCCAGAATAGATGGCCCTTCCGAGCTGCATCAAATTGAGGGAAGGGGGTCTGGGCCTTGAGGCTACTCCGTGAGTCAGTCATTGGATGCAGGCTGACTTCAGGAAGAGAGAAGCAGCGTGGGTGAGGTGCCTGCTTCAGCAGAACACAGTCCTCTGAGAGCCACTCCTTGGAGCTGTCAGTCACCAGCACCTCCAGCAAGGGAAGGATGATGTGCATTGTCCTGAAGGGAGGGGCAGCCACCACGAGCACACGGCAGCTTCCTCTTTAATCGTGAAAAGAAAGCCCATTTTTTATCTTTGACTGGCATTTCCCCTCAGTCTCTCCCAGGATCATCTCTTTGGATACAAGGGCAGAACAGGTCATGCTTGCTGTGCTAGAATATAGAACGGCAGGCCCTAAGCCTGTGTGTGTGTGCACGTGTCTGTTCCACACTAAACATATGGAGCAGCTTCAAGGACCACGACAGATGTGTCGTTTGTGAAATTTTGATCAATATGAGGCAGGCTCGGAAATTAACTTGTGTGAATGAGCCTCCAGCTCAAGCCAAAATAACTCTTGGCTCCTCAGATGCATGGCCATTTTTCTTATTGAGTTGAAGAAAAGTCAAGAAGAGCAATTTATCAAAACAAAACAGGAAGATTCTGAATTCTGCTGCCACAGAGTAATGACAGATATACTGGCTTTGCAAAAAAGCCCCCCAAAATAAAGGATCCTTTTTATGCCCATAGAAGCAATTTTAAAATGCAAAAATGTACTTTGAGAGTTTGTGGATTATAAATGTTTTCCAATTCACCCAAACATCTCTGGGAACATGGGGAGAAAAATTTTCCCATTCTGTAATTTGGAGATTGAAGTAGCAGGTTCTGTGGTGTTGTGCACAAGTGCGAACATGGCTAATACTTTCACGAAGAAGAACAATGATATTCGGTGACATTTGACAAAGATATTAAAATCTCAGAATACGGACTCCTATGGGGTCTTGTGAAATCTTTATCCGTTACACCATCTCCACTATCAGCTTACCTGTTTCCCGTTTATCTCATTGGCTGATATGACCAGACAAAAACAGAGCTGCTTATATATACCATGGCCTATTTTCATGAATGTTTCTTTTAAGATAGAATTTCTCATAACCAGCCTGGGCAACATAGCAAGACTCTGTCTGTACAAATATTTTTTAAAAAATTAGCCAGGCATGGTGTGGCACACACCTGTAGACCCAGCTACTCAAGAGGTTGAGGAGGGAGGACTCCTTGATTTCAGGAGTTCTAGGCTGCAGTGAGCTATGTTTGCACCACTGCACTCCAGCCGGAAGGACAGCATGAGATTCTATCTCTAAAATAATAATAATAATAGTAATAATAACATGATTTTCACTATAACAGATAAAAAAGGTGCCCCTGATATTCTCATCTGGCTATACCTCGTCTTAACCTGGCTTACAAGGTCAGGGTAGAAATAAAGGACTCAGCAAGTGAACACTGATTTTATTTCCATGCCAGCACCAGGGTAGGTGTTTTAGGTACCTTATGAATAATAACTATGCAAACAAGCAACTGATGTTTATGGAGCATTTACTCTATGTCAGGCCCTTTGCTGAGGACTTTATGTAGAATTTCTATGTGGTCATTATAATCAACGGTGGCAGGCAGGATTCTAAGATGATCTTTCAGATTCCTAAGTCATGGTGTACACAGACCTCCCAATTTTCCAAACCATAATACTGTAAAGGGATTTTGAAGACGTAATTAAGGTCTCAAATCTTAAAATAGGGAGATTATCTAGGTGGGCCTAACTTCATCACATGAGTTCTTTAAATTTGGAACAGATGTGGAGGAAGTCAGAGAATCAACACTGAGAAGGAGTTGACATGCCTTTGCTGGCTTGAGGATGGAGGCAGAAATATGGCAAGGAATGCAGGAGGCCTCCAGGAGCTGAGCTGTCCTCCAGCTGTCAACCAGCAAGGAAATGAAGACCCCCATCCTGCAACTGCAAGGAACTGAATTCTACCACCAATGAAAAGGAGTTTAGAAGTGGATTTCTCTCCTGAGCCTCCAGACAAGGGCTCAATTCAGCTGACACCTTGATTTTAGCCTGTAACACCCTGAATAGACAGAACCCAGTCATGCAATGTCAGACTTTAGACTTACAGAACTGTGAGCTAATTAGTAGGTGTGTTTTAAGGCACTAACCCCCAGAGGTCAATGTCTCCATTTTAGAGATGAGCAGACTGAGGCTTACAAAACTTAAGTAACTTGTTCAAGGTCACAGGTAAATGGTAAAGTCAAGTAGGGACACAGGCAGCTGCTTCCATGGAGGGAACTGCGTGGGAGGCTGAAGTTCAAAACAGCCTCCAAGATGCCAATATGATCGCCCCTAGGTGTGCACATCTTGTTCAGTTTTCTCCCCTTCAGGGTGCGTAGAACCTTCAAATATGATGGGGTAGTCACTCTGTTGATTAGGAAAAGAGATTTCCACAGAGGGAATAAAGGTATTGAATCAGTCTGGCTAATTACAAACAGGTGGACTTGACTAATTAGGTGGGCTTTTAGAAGGAACGTAGAGGTGGGAGGTAGAGAAAGTGATAGAGGCACACTCTTGCTGGCGTGGAAGAAAAAGAGCGCTCGTGTCCTGAACTGCTTTGGGGACCATATGGCAAGGAAATGCAGGTGGCCTCTAGAAGATAAAAGCCATCCCTGGTCAACACCTAGCAGGAAAATGGTGACCTCAGTCCTGCAACTGCAAGGGATCAAATTCTGCCAAAAGCTCTAATGGGCTTGGAAGAGGATTCCAAGCCTGAGGTGAGGACTCTAGTGCAACTAACACTTTGATTGCAGCTTTTGAGACTCAAAGCAGAGGACCCAACTAGGTTGGGCCTGGACTTTCAGCCAACTGTGAAACTGTGAGATAATAAAGTGTTGTTGTTTTAAGCCATTAATTCTGCGGTGATTTGTCATGTGGCAGCAGAAAACTGACATGCTGGGAGAAGAGCAGATTGCTCTCTTTTGCCTCACTTGGTGGGAGAGGAGGGACTAGGACCCAGGCACCCCAATTTCTTGTTCTTAATTAATCTGTAGTGATTGCTTCCCTTTGCTGCTCTGTTTATCCCTGAGTTACTCTGAGTACTGGGGAAACTTCACTTATCCTGGTCCTCCAACCTCTCAAAACCTGTCTTTGTACAAATTTGATACTTAAGCTTTGAAATTTAATTCACTTATTAAGCAGCAGCCACTGTTTTATGAAATCATCCCATCCAACCCTGCACTGGTGAGACTGTTGATTTCTCTTTCATGAAGGCTGGGACTTAAGCCCAGCTGTCCATCAGGCTATATTTACCCAGGATAGCCCTCCATCAGTCCTCAGTTAAAGCAGCATTTGCATCACACCAGATCTCTAAATGTTGGTTGTTGGGGAAGCAAATTACATTCATCAGAATCCATTCATTCTCCTCGTATCACTGAACACAGGATAATCTTGGCTGTGTCAGCTGCCCTATGACTGGTGGCTCTGAAAAATGGAGGTTGGCTGCAGATACTCCAAACCTGCTTCGCTGTGTCACCCTCTTCAGGGCCAGTGGATATGATGCTGGAAAAGATTAATGGAACATATGTCATCACATTTATGGGGTAGGAAACCCCCAACTGTGGATTAATAGATATCTTGGTGAAAGACATACATCTTTACTCCTTTATGCCTCGATGGGTGAGCTACAGTTGGCTGCAGTGAAAATACACAGAGAGATTACCTTTAGGAGGTCAGCTTGTAAAGGACTTTTTTCAACCCTGAGGTCAACAAAAATAGATTTTTGATTGTTGACCAAGAGAGCTGTAACATAGGACTTTTAACCTTTAAAAAAATTCTTATTGAAGTATAACATACAGAAAAGAACACAGTTCCTGAGTGCACAGCTTGATGAATTTTCACAAACTGAACACATCCAGGGAGCCAGCATCCAGATCAAAAAACCAGGATCCCAGGCATTTCCCTAGGTCTCTTTGCACCAACCCTCCACCCCAGGGTAATTGTTACATTAACTTCTAACTCCATCGATGATTTTGCCTCTTTCTATAAGGTTTTTGAACTTTATAAAAATGAAATCATCCAGTGTGTCCTCTTTTTTTTCTGGGTTCTGTTATACAACATTATGCTTGTGAGATTTGCCCGTATTATTTTGTATGGTTATAAATTTTTTGTTCTCATTGGTTTTTAATATTCCATTATATGAGTACATCGTAATTTATCCATTCTATCATTTATGGACATTTAAGTAGCTTCCAATTTGGAGATATTGCAAATAGTGCTGCTATGAACATTCTAGTGTGTGTCTTTTGGTGAATATATTTGTAGGTTCTACTAGGTATCTATGTAGGAGTGAAATTGCTAGGTTATAAGACATGTACATATTCAGCTAATTTACTATGTACTGCCAAATAATTTTCCAAAGAGGTTTCCAATTTTTATTCTCAAAAGCAGTCTATGAAAGTTCCTGTCAGTCTATATCTTTGTCTTATATCAAGTATAAGACAATACTTGATATTGTCTTTTCATTTTAAAAAGCTGTTAGTTTTTAATACATCCTAGTTTAGAGGGCATCATTGTTGCTACTGTGAAACGATTAAGCACTCTATATGAAAACTGGGCTGAAGAGCCATTGTACTCAACATAGTATCATTGGATAAGATGTCAGTTGGTGACAATAATGCCTCATGCCCTTTATATAGTGCTTTTGTTTTTCTTTTTTATAGAGTGCTTTGCAAAACCATCTAGGTTTCTCTGTATTTCTGTTCTCAGCTCTTCTGGCAAACTTAAAGGAAAGTCCTCCGAAATATCTTATGTTTTTGGTTCTAGAACTAAGTACCCTTGAAAACTATCTGCCACATACCTACATTTTAGTCAAATCTGTTTGTCTAAACATATACTCTGTGGATATTTACAGAGCTCCTATTATGTGTCAGGACCTATGCTATGCACTGGTGATGCAAAGATGAGTGCCACCTGATTCTTCATGAGGTTCCAGTTTAAGACATAAAGTGAACTGTCAGATTGTTAGTTCTAAAAATATTAATGTTGTTTTTTGTATTATTTTCTATTACATTTTAGACTAGGGAATCATCTGAGTTTATTGACAGCTTGTTCATAAAAGAGCAAATTATTTTAAATATACAAAGTTGCTTTAATTACAAGCGGGGATGGAAACTTTAGGAAGTTAACCAAGAAGATGGGCCGGGACCAACAAAAGTTCATCGAAAAAGAAGTAATTGGAATTTGAGAAGCCTTGACAGATTGCACACCTGTAACAAAGAACATTGTTATTCTTTGTACTTCATTGCTCTTCTCTACATAATATTCACTGAAATGATATTGAAGATTACATCAGCTGGAGTTAAGTCAGATAAGCAGAATCCTTGAATGATATGGGTTAATGGATTTATTGCAGGGATTAGATCTTATACAATTGTGGGAGAAACTGGGAAAGTAACATTCCACAAGGGGATGATTGACTGAATAGAAAAGCTTCTAACCGGGGCCCATGGAATGGAGCTGGTGAAGATGTCTATGGAAGTCCCTTGCCTGTCCATCTGGACAGGGCCAGAAGTATGTCAGCAGGGCAGATGATAAAAGAGGAAGTAGGAAAGCTGCATGCAAAGCGGGAGAGAACAAAGACAAATGAAAGTCACAAGGGAAAACTGGAATCCACAGAGATCCACAGGCCCATATATCTGTCTCTCACTGATTGGAACCCCAAAGCTGTGATGTCCTGCCGAAGGATCCAGTGCTCTTGCTGCAGAACTTCATGTGGGCCCAGCCCAGCTCCAAGAACATGTGGCAGAAGAACCATCAAGAACTGGAGAAGCTGTGGGGCCAGCTGCTACTCCACACCCATGTGATAAGCAACAGCATGCATGATCGCCCAAGCCCTGCACCCACCTTCCTGGCACAAAGTCTCTGACTGCACTTCTGCCCTACAAATCTCATGGAAATTTCTCTGTGGCCAGCCCTAACCCAGAACCATTCAGAGAAATGCAACTTCAGCTTAACTAACTTTTGACATAGACTGTAACAGAGGCATAGAAAGAAAGAAAGAAAAAAACTATAGAGATGAGATAATTCCATCTTTTCTTGAGAAAGATGTAAAAACTAGGGTGAGGAGAGATGATGGCTTGTCCGATGTCACAGAACTAGTGACAGGCCTAGAAACTCAATTCTGTGTGTGTGTCTCTAGGTGATATCACAGAAAAAACAAACAAACAATCTCTGGATGTGAGGTTCATGCACTGTCTTTGTATAGTCCAAGCCACTCAAGAGGTTTGCTTGACCCTAGAAATTTGAGTCCATCCTGGCAACATAGCAAGACTCCATCTCTAATGTATTTAAAACATTAAAAATAAATTCTAAAAAAGAAGACACCTGAGTTTTTGCCTTAATTGATTGCTTGGGCCTTGGGAAAAAAAAAATCACTCGATTCCTGGACTCATGTTTTCTATAAGTGAATGGCATATAGGCTAGGCCCAACAAATTGGAAATGATCACTTTATATCTGATGAATAAATGAATGAATACAATCTCTCAAGAACCACTATTTCACAAAATTATTTTACTGCCTAACATTTAAAAAAAAATGAAACAATGCTCCTGGGCCTCAATAGCGAGGCATTCTTATAGGTTCTCATGAAATTTATCTGGGGCTAGTATGGGGCATATGGGCCCTTTTTCCTTTGTACAAGTCAGATTTCCAATCTCTCAGCCATATAACAATTAGACTTTCTCCTCACCCACTGTGACTTCTTTTTTACTTATTCAGTCTGGGCTTTTCAGTAGGAGTCAAGTACTACATAGCTGGAAAAACAAGAGACTCTGGAAAAACAGTTACAGGGAGAAGCTGGAAGAATATCAGATTTCTAGTTATGTATTTTGATGGTTAGCTCATGAATTTGAAATCAGCATTTAGCAGGATTGACCTGTTTCCCGCTGGTGTGACATTAGCTGGGATGGCTCAAAGGCCTGGAGTTGAAATAATCTAAAGTCTACCTACTTTCAGTGAGGGTAGTTGGATCCATATTGTCTCTCTGCTTCCTCATGGCATGGTGGTTGGGTACAAGAGCGAGGCTCCCAAGAAGACCAGGCAGAAACTGTATCACCTCATGGATTACAAAGTTATACAGCATCATTTCTATCATAGTCATAGGCTTCCCAGATTCAAGAGGTGGAATTACAGTTGACCCTTGAACAATGTGAGGGTGAGTGGTGACTATCCCCAGTGCAGTCAAAAATCCATGTATAACTTTTGACTCCCCAGGTACTTAACTACTAATAGCCTACTATTGACTAGAAGCCTTACAGATAACATAAAGATTGATTAACACATATTTTGTATGTTATATGTATTATATAGCTGTATTCTTACAATAAAGTAAGTTAGAGAAAGAAAATGTTATTAAGAAAATCATAAGGAAGAGAAAATATATTTACTGTTCATGAGATGGAAGTGGATCATCATAAAGGTCTTCATCCTTATTGTCTTCACATTGAGTGGGCTGAGGAGGAAGAGGAAGGGGGGTAGGTATACTTTCTCAGGGGTGGTAGAGGTGGAGGAAGTGGAAGAGGAAGCAGAAGAGGCAGGCATGATCTGCTTAACTTTTACTGAAAAAAATCCACATATAAGTAGACCTGTGCAGCTCAAACCTGTGTTGCTCAAGGAATAACTGTAGATCCCATTTCCCAATGAGGGGAGTATCATTATTACACTGTAAGAAGAGCTGTGGGATGGAAAGCGCATCGCATGCCATCTTGGAAGACACAGTCTGCCACAAGCACTGATCAGTACCCATGGTGCATTCATAAACACGGAGCTTGTCAACTATATGAGCTCTTGTTCAACAATAACCCCAGAGAATATGTTTGTGCACGCTTATAATAAATACATACACATATACATACATAATAAGTACTTAGTGAATAAGACTAATTCTTGGATTCACCTTGCTTCCAAGACATTTTCCGTGTTATGCCTAAGGGTAAGGGCAGGGAATTGGGCCACTCAATTAATTTAAACTAAAAAGTGTTTCACTGTCACCATCCCCGCGCTTTTTTTTTTTTTTCTGGGAAAATAAGTTGGGCTGCTGAGTTTTGGACTTAAATCATTTCCATGGCAACAGAGCCTAAATGATAAAAGGCAGATTATAGTTCCTTCCAATATTTGAAATGTCTGTATATGGTCTGCATGGCTGAGGCAGGCAGATCACGAGGTCAGGAGATCGAGACCATCCTGGCTAACACGGTGAAACCCTGTCTCTACTAAAAATACAAAAAATTAGCCGGGCATGGTGGCATGTGCCTGTAGTCCCAACTACTCAGGAGACTGAGGCAAGAGAATCACTTGAACCTGGGAGGCGGAGGTGGCAGTGAGCTGAGATCGCGCCACTGCCCTCCAACCTGGGCAGCAGAGCAAGACTCCATCTCAAAAAAACAAACACACACAAAAAAGTACACTTAGCAGAGAATAACATTGCCATTAACCCCCCATACACAAACACACACTCATACACACTCATGCACATATTTATACACACTCACACAAGAAACATGAGTGTTAAATTTCATAATTTATATTAAATGATTTTAAGTATGGGGGAAATGTGTAGGAATGACACTGTTCAGCCTTGTCTTCTCAGATCTGCATTAAGCCAAATTTTCTTGTTTTGATTTTTTGATCGGTTGGTTGACTTTAGAAATATTCTGATCACGTAAAGCCTGGGGGAAAAAAGTCAACAATCGTAGATACAGAAGTGAGAATAATTACGATCTTTGGAAATTCCAAGTAGTTCAATGTGGCTTGAGAGTCGTTTATGTCTGAGGGAGGATAATGAGGCTGCACAGTCTTATTTTTAATTTTAGGATTTTTGATTATGAAGTGTTTCAAATATATATAAAAGTATAGAAAATATAATAATATGAGAGCCATGTACCTATCCCCATAGTTAGCAGCTATTAGCCATTTGCCATGTTTTTCTCAAATCCCCTTTCTTTCTAAAGGAATAAAGTATTAGGTCTTCAGTCAATTCCCTACTTACCTCCTCCTTTACCTCCCCACCCTCCCCAGAACTCATCATTCTCAAAAAGTTATGTGCGATATTCCTGAGGCACTTTAAATTTTTGGAATGTTTTTGAGCAGACAGCGATTCATGAATTGGGCAGCTCCAAATTGCAGGTGATTCTGGGCTCCACTGAAGGGGCATGAAGGGCTTTTGTAGAGTTGACATGAAAACAAGTCAAAGAAAATATATGATCACTCCAAGTGGAGCAATAGCCTTATTTGTATCATTCCAGTGGAAAGACCCTAGTTAGAGATTAGTTGGCAGTGTATGACTGGCTAAGCTTAAATTCCTTTTACTGTTTACACTTTGGTTTGATTATGTAAGAATCCAGGATGCTTAAGCCACCTCAGTCTAACAGCCTCCCAATTAATTATTTAAACAGTACTTATGAATAGATCCCTACACTCTTGTATCTTTACGTTTTGAAAGTGTGCAGAAATGGTATCAGAGAGTATGTATCCTTTTGCAACTTGTTGCTGTCACTCAACATTATGATTTTGTGCTTTAGCCACAGGACATAAACATGCCATACAGAGAGTGGAGATGAGCATTCACTATTGCACAGTTTACATTTATTCAACTAAATTTAGAGTTCACCTGGGGAATGAGTTGACAATGACAGGTTTAGCATTTATAGAAAATGCTAATGATAGGCAGATAGGACTGGACACCAGACACGAAAGTGAACACAAGAAAAAAGAAATGTGGTTGTTTGTACTCTAGTTGTTCCATTTCCCGTTTCCCTTATAATCCATCCTTTGAAGGCAGTTATAAGGGCTGCATGGTCTTTGATGATTACAGGTTAGAAACTGAGTGATTTTCCAAGAGGCAGTCTACCCTAAGTGAGGTCTAGGCTTGGGCAGAGACTAAGGAGCCAAATCTCTGGTCTTCCGTCAGAAAATGTGATTGTTTATAACCCAGCCCCTACTTCTTGCCCCTGTAGATCTCCTTTTCTACTGGGAACTGTCTTACTAGTGAGATCTGCATCACACAGGTTTGGAGAGCAGGGAGGTTAGGTGGGTGACTTCCATGGGGGTTCTTTCTTGTCCTGCCATGTGTACACCCACTTCCATTTCCTACTGCCACGAGAAACACCTCATTTGATGTTCTATGCAACTTGCCAGTGAGTGCTTTTCAATTTTTTTATGTTGTTAAAACAAAATAACTAAAGGGTTATTTATTTCCAGGACACAAAATTAAGTCACTGATTTAATCAGATATATGTGAGCTATTATGTATACTCCGTGTCTCTTCTCCATTTACTATATTACTCTCTGAATGTTTCCAAGAAACTCTTTACATACAGAAGTTCCCTCAAAACAAAAAAGGGACTATGCACACATTTTACTTTTGAGGTGGCATTTACTTATTCAATAATATCTACAAAATTAAATGTTATATCGACCTTGCGTCACTGTCAGCTAGTTACTTTTTATTTCTGTTGCATTTCCAAGTGTGTTAAATTAAAGCAAGTGGCTTCATGCCAACTAAACTGCATGGAAGCTTTTTAGGCCTTGTTCAAATACTAACAGGTTTGATAAATATATTTGTCTAGCAAGAGTAGGACAATGAGCTCTTTGTTTACTGACATACTTTATTGTCATTCTGCTGTATACCTCTCGTGTGGCTGTTTTATAGGACATAAAGTCTAGCTATCCTGTCGGAATCTCAGATCTTATTTATAGCTTGCTGCAAAGTGGCTTATTGTCATTTATTATTTCTTATTTGATTTATATAGCATCTTTCCACCAAAGAGCCCATAGGTTTATTTATATACAGAGTACACACACGCACACACACACACACACATTCTTACACACATCCTTGAACTTCACTCAATGCTATGATGTAGATAGCAGTATAGAACCAAAAATCTGTATGAGGCCTTTCCATTTGTTTTTGTTCTACGGCTATGTCCTGGCAGGGCAATTGCCATATTTTTTTTCACTTTGAGTGTTTTATCTTTTGCCTCTAGGTGGATCGGATCATTTTCTGTGTCTTCTTAGAAGTTGACTTCAAAATCTACAAAAAGAAAATGAATGAGTTTTTCTCCGTAGGTGAGTAAAGCAACTTCTTGTTTTCTTTCAAATTGAGGATGGAAGAAGTGGAGCCGTCACTTCTATTCCTATTGTTTTTCATCTTCAGGACTGTTACACATGGTGATCCTGCCAACTTGTATCATAGTTTCTAAGAACTGAACAAGGTAACAGAAAATCTAGGCTGTGGAACTCTTGCCCCAAGAGGTCACTGTGTTGTCTTGGGGAAGTCAGTTCATCTCTTGGTTCTCGGTGCCTCACATCAAAACTGAGGGGCTAATTATTAATAAAAGATTTCTAAAGATGCTTCCCCTGGCCTTAAATTGCATGATGTGTGATTCCTTCTCCAACTTGTAAGTTTACCAGGCCCCATGCCTGCATCTACCATGTTAAATACCATTGTTGGAAATTGTAAGCCCATTTATATTCATAGTCAGAATTCAAACTTTTCCTGCATTCCATCCCTATTCCTTCCCAAGTTTCTCACTCCAAATTTCAATGCCTATAGTAGCACTTCTAGTGCAGTCTGAGAATGGCAGTCATTCACACTTCTTTTTAGAAAATAGGAGAAACCTCAGGGTTATTAGAGAACCTTGAGTAATGTATTTACATCGATTGAATGTGCCGTTAGTTGGATTTGGGTAATTTGGATGTTTTTCTCCACTCTCCCTCTTCCAGCCTATTAAGGCTGAGGCTTGTTTAATGCCTTGTTATTTTTATGGTGCCATTAAAGTCACAGTGTCCAAAGTGCTTTCCTTAGCCATGGCAAGAATCGCTTCCAGGAAATTTCAAGCTACTGTGAGCATTGTTGGTACTTGCCTTTCAGAGAGCTTTCTTTTGAGGTTTCTGTCTCCGTCTGAAGTAGTTTGTCATATCACAGGTGACTCTGGCAGGTGGGATGGAGTGAATGAAGGGTGCTGATGCATATTCATCCTCTTAAGCAGTCTATCAGAGCCAAACAATAAAGAGGATGCCTTGCCTGTAGATCAGAGTAGGATGTGTTCTATCCAGAACAGCTGTAGAAAACCAAAAAACCAATGGAGATGGTCAGCTCTCTGCTAATGCCCTAAATGGACTAAGTTCTTCTAAGTAATTTCAAGTTCTTCTCCCTAATTTTATAATTGAAAGCTGGCTCTGCTAAGTGCATTTAATTTAAGGCTTCAACTAAAGTATTCCTCTAACTGAAACATAATGTAAATTCCTCAGATTCCCATGTGATAAAGAAGAGGACTGTGGTTATAATCTTTTTCTCCTCTTCTTTCTCTTTCTCCTCTGCCTCCTTCTCCTTCTTTCACCTTTCTTCATTTTTTTCAAGCATCTCAGTGTTTTACAGAGTGGAAGCACATAACAGCTATTTAATAATTAGTTGTTGAGACGAGTTGAATTAAATAAATTTTTCTTGCCTTAATCTGATGACTTTTATTGTTTCAATGTCCTTGCTCCATTTTTCCTTTTGACTTGCTTTATGACAATATTGAGCTGATTGGTACCTGTATTTTGAAGTATTGTTAAAAGAAAATGCTAATTATATTTTTAAATGTGACTTGCCATGATGTGTGAAGCAAATATTCTCATGTCTTGTCAGTATCACATCATAATTGATAAGATTTTATAAACTTTAGACTCCTTGAGATGTTTGGAAATAATGACATCATATTCATTTTCATGTATTCTAAAATAAAGTCTGCAGGAAGCCATACTAACATAAGGTAAAAAATAATTGCATAATTATGATCTAATTGATATTGAAACAAATATTTCTATCAGCAGGTATTTCCAATGATGCACAGTCAAAAAGCATACTGCAAATTTTTTTTAAAATGAGACAGTTTTAGGAGGGTAAAATATATTAATACTTATGCAAACAAATTATTGTTTGAAAAATTGCTACTTTAAATACATTTTAAAATGCATTGCAGTACATGAGCAAGTGAAATAATAAAATCATCCTCAATCTCACATCAATGCTTTGAAGCACACAGTGCTCATGAAATTATTTTCAGTCCATATTTACAATAGGAAGTACATTTTAAACTAAATGTCAAAATCCTCAAAAATTGTGATTTCTGCAATGTTGAAGCATTAGGTATTTGAAAATTCTAAATATGCAATATGAAATAAGCGTGATGTATGATGGAATGTGACTACTAATATACATAATATACCTTACCTGTCATTAATTTTAACTTGTGTTTAATTCATAACTATACCATCTTTAAATTAGGATACGTTTCTTCCTACTTGCCATGTATTTCCCTATAGTGCATTATTATTCATGATATCTCTAACTAGTGTTCATAATCTTTCCCAATGCAATAATGATAATAGTTTAGAAAAGAAGTCATTTTTATAATCAAACAAAATATTTGTGTTTTGGGGTACTTTAATCCCATGTCTGTAAATTTTATAATTGGGAATCTGAGACACAATGCATGATAAAACAATAAAAGACTCAAAGAGATCATACTAAAGGTATGCCACATGCATAACTACTACAGTTCAATAATAATGGTTCAATGATAATTGCTATTACAGTTCAATAATAATGATTAATAATAATCATAATTAATATATTTAATAACATAACAATAATGGTTACTAATAATTCAAACCTTTTTGAATTGCTTTCTATTAGCCAGCCACAGCATTCATTTCTTTACATGGGTAAATCACTAATCTTCATGATAACTCTAAGAAAGGAGGCACCGTATTAACCCTGTGCTGTGGTTCCATTGTTAGGGTTTTTTCTAATTTGGTCTTAAGGTTTCTCTCTCTTGAGAATGGCCATCAGCCAGGATAGTCACTCTCCAGGAAAGCTTTGAAAAGGGTTGGGGGAAAATTGGGTTCAGATATGTATGTCAGGGGAGACACAGCGAGGAAGTAAAACCAAAATGCACAAAACAGAAGGCATTTATTACTCACAAGTCCCAGACAGGTGAGGGATGCCCACAGGAGACCAACAGGAAGCCTGGAGGTGGCAGGGAGCCCAGCCAGCAAGTGGGCAGCAAGAGAGAGCAAGCACCTGGGGGCTGTCTTTATTAGTTCTGTATGCACCACCCCTTAGGCTTTCCCATGGGGGTTGTGGATTGGCTAGTTTAAAGAAAACACTCAGGAAGCAGGAACTTACTTCGATGATTCTGACACTATTAGATTTTTACCATGATCAGCAGTTGTGGAGTATATTGGGTTTGGGGTCAGCTGGATGAGGAACAAGTGGAACATATCACAACTGATCACACAGGGAGGGAAGTTTAAGTAGGCCAAAGGTGACAGGATACAACTGGGTTTCAAACAACTTATGTCAGGCCTAAGAATGGAGGCTGGCCAGGCACAGTGGCTCATGCCTGTAGAAGGAGGATTGCTTGAATCCAGGAGTTTCAGGCTAGCCTGGGCAACATAGCAAGAACTTGGCTCTACAAAAAATAAATAAATAAAAATTAGCTGAGAGTGGTGGTGCATACATACCTACAGTCCCAGCTACTCAGGAGGCTGAAGTGGGAGAATCACTTGAGCTCGGGGATTTGAGGCTGCAGTTGGCTATGATTGCACCACTGAACTCCAGCCTGGGTGACGAAGCAAGACCCCATCTCTAAAAAATATAAATAAATAAATAAATAAATATTGTAGAGATTTTAAAACCAAAAGGAAAAAAAGAAAAAAAAATGGATGCCAAGGCAGCAACTATATGAAACAAATTTATGATACCCTATGTTTTAGGCATGAAAAACGAGGATTCAGCTAGGAAGCAACAGAGCTGTATTTTAAAATTGAGATTGGCATCTGTCATTGCCCAAGTGATAATAGGTTCGTTTTCTCAGAGCATCTTTAGAGAAGGCTGAGATCAACTTCCAGGCTGCATTTGGAGTATTGGGGAAAGTCCCATTTCATCTGCTGCCCATCATTTTTCAGAGATGCCATGCTTCTCTTCTTCTAGTACCTATAAATACCTTCATGGAAACTTCTAATATGAGTTGAATTAGTACTTTTATCATTCATCTCAAAATTGAATTCCATTCACATTATAGAGGTATTGTGGTGCTATTACCTGCAGATGAGCAGGTAAGTGGTAAACGAGAAGCCCAAAGGCCTTTATAGCATCTACAGGACAAGATGGAAAATGGCTTATATTAGTTTGTCAGGCCTCTAAAAACAAAGTACCACAGAGCAGGCGGCTTAAACCACAGAAATACATTTTCTGATTATTCTGGAGGCTAGAAGCCCAAGGCCAAGTGGAGGCAAGATTAATTTCTTCAGAGGCCTCGCTCCTTGGCTTGTAGTTGGCTGTCTTCTCCCTGTACTTTCAAATGACCTTCCCTCTGAGTCATTTGTGCTGTATCTTTCTCTTTGTATAAGGATACCAGTCAAATGGGATTTGGACCCACTCTAATTACCTTATTTTAATTTAATTAGCTCTTAAAGATCCTATCTCCAAATACAGTCATATTCTAAGATATGAGGGTTAGGCCTTCAACATAAAAATTCACAGGGCACAATTAAGCCCATAAAATTGCCCCTTGTAGAAATGCTTTAAGAAACTCCAGGGAAAGAAACCAGCATCGAATTTTTTTTCAACAGTTTTATATCTTGCTGTGGGGTAAAGCACATTTGACTTTTTCCTTCCACAAGTATTATTTGAAAGTAGAGTGTGGCAGCTTTATGGAATTATCATACACTTTGGTTGCAAATAATTTATAGTTACAGTGCACCATTACATGGCCTACAGCAAATAATATTTGTATGATTCAACTCAGAAATCTCTTTGTTCTTTACATAAAAGTGCTTGTATTTTTTCAGTGTGTAGAATTTATTGTGTGCAGTTTTCACTAGACGTAAAAAATTAAAAAAAGAAAAGAAAAGACAATTCCCGATCTGGAATGTGGAAGTCATTTTTTCTTTTTTTTCTACTAGAGTCTTAGTCCTGCTAGAGAACTGAAGGATATTAATTTTCCCCGTAATAACAATAAAGAACATACGGTTTATAACGGTATTAAAGAATCTTGACGTTGGAAGCTTAAGACTTGTCATGGTAAACCCTCCTTCACTCCTCCCTTTAGGAAAAACCAACCTTTGTTTACTGCAATGGTTCTCAACTACGAGCGATTTTGCCCTCCTGGGGACATTCTGAGGCATTTTTGTTTTTCACAGCTGAGGGATGGGAGAGGTTACTGTGCTCTAGTGATTAGAGGCCAGGGGTGCTGCTAAGCATTCTACAGTGCACAGTACAGCACCCTCCACAACCCTCCAGCAGATAATTATTCAGCCTTAAATGGCAATAGTGCAGAGGTTGAGAGGCTCCATCTGCTGGTACTGTCTCTTACCACTCAGGCCATTGCCGCAGTCTTTGCCTTTGGATTGGGGTTATTTTACAGTGTTTCGACTGCTGATGCTTTACCCATAAGTAACTATCTAGCTGGATTTGGAACATGTACCCTCAGCCTGGTCTCTGGCTTCCTGGATTCATGACCCTCCTAGTCCAGACTTCTGGTTTTGCACCCTCTCTGTTCACTCTGTACCCACAGATTTCTATATCTTGACCTTTGTTAACCACATACACCTGCCACCCAACCCCTACTCTCCAGGTCCTCCTGCCACCACCCCACTCCTGGTATCATTTATCTATTACTGCCCATGAATCTAGAGTAATAATCTCAGAAAATATGATCATTACATAGGTTTTATATATCTAATAAAAGTGTGGAACTAAAGGCTAGTATACAGAGCAATGAAGAACAAATTCACTAATTATTTTCTTTATATACCTTAAGCAAGTTTCATTGCTTCTTGGGCTAATACTTTTCTTTTTTTTTTTTTTTCATTAGTTTGGTGACCATTGGTTGATAAACTTACCTTGTGAGCTCACAAAATATGTTTTAATTTTAGATACCTTCAACCCCTTATCATTATCTGCATAGTAACTGATTCATTCACAATGAAATCACCTATGACTGAAAAAACTACCAACTACTATTTTTTAAATTTGTTTTTCAGAGTCAGGGTCGTACTCTGTCATCTAGACTGGAGCGCAGTAACGCAATCATACTGATCATAACTCACTGCAGCCTCGAACTTCTGGGGCTCAAGGGATCCTCCTGTTTCAACTTCCTGGGTGGCTGAGACTACAGGCACACTCCACCATGCCCAGCTAATTTTATTTGTTTGTTTGTTCTTTAGAAACATGGTCTCACCATGTTGCCCAGGTTTGTCTTGAACTCCTGGGCTCAAGTAATTCTCCTGCCTCAGTTTCCCAAGTCTTTGGGATTATAGGTGTAAACCACTATGCCCAGCTCTAATCTCTTTAATTTTTTAACCATAAAAACAATTAAATTTGTCAATTTTGTTTCCAGCTTTGAAATTTATATAACGTATACACAATACGCATGTCAACTTTACTTAAATGTGATTAACATATATATATATATATATATATATATATAGAGAGAGAGAGAGAGAGAGAGAGAGAGAGCAATGCTGGGAAAACTAATAAGATAGGAAAATTAATTGCAGGATATCCATGTGCTCATCCCAAACCTGACACCTGTTTATAAGAGGAAGATTTTATTTAAGATGAAAAACTCTATTTATGTCTATGAAAATAATTTTAAAACTATATTTAAAAAATTAATAGAAAAAAAGCTAAAATATTCCCAATGTTCTTGACATAAATAGTAAAATAATGAGCTATTTGACCTATTAATATTTGGGACATCTATCTGGTACAACATAAAATGATAAACCTTATAAAATTGCAAGAAGTTTGTATGCCTTAAAAATGAGCTTGCAAAATAGTAGACATAAAACATGTATAACAAGTGTTTTGTAGTTAGAACTAGGTAAACTTAATCCATAGGAGTTATAAGTTTATAAATTATAAACTTTACTGGAAATGTTTTGTGGTCTTAAATACAGATTTTCTTTTTGTATTATATATAACATAAAAGCATATAGATGATAAAGTAAAACCCTAAGTCAAGTTTGAGAATTATATCTCGGGAACTTCTTGAATATTTAACATATCTCAATGTCTAGCTAAAATGCATACATTTTATTTCTCAAATATTGACAGACATGTTATTAATTCACTTTACTTGAGTACGTGAACATATTTAGGTTACATGTATTTTACCTTCTTAGATACAGATAGCACTGAGAAAGTGTAGCTTTGCATAATCATGATAAAGAAAATTCTAAATTCATATTTTGATAATAATTTTTAATATCTTAAATGCATGCCAAAATTTTTAAAACGAAACAAATCAAGAAACTTCTCAACCACGTTTCACTTATTTTGACCTCCTTATAGTCTTCCAAACATGTAATAAATATTATTGATATGAATATATCTTTCGTTTATTTTCCCAATCATGAATTTCTGCCATTTATTTCTGTCTAAACTATACACACTCCTGCAAGGCAGCTTTAGTTGGGTTTTATATTATTATTATTATTATTATTATTATTATTTGACCTTTTTATCTTGATCTCATCAATGAAAAAATAAGTTTCTGGAGAACAGAAATTATTCCTAATATTCCATTGCCCTTTCAGAATCTGGAAAATTCTAAATATATAGTAGGTGTTTATTAATGTAAATAAAAACGTACCACGAACCTAGACTGAAACTGCTACAGTTGGAATGTGTATCTCCTCCAAAACTCATGTTGAAATTTAATTGCCGTTGTAACAGTATTAAGAGGTAAGACCTTTAAGAGTGATAGGCCATGACGGCTCTAGCCTCATGGGAGGGATTGGTGTCATTATAAAAGGGTGAGTTCAGCCTCTTGCCCTTTGCCTTCCACTTTGTGATGTCTTCCACCATGTGATGATGTAGCAGGAAGACCCTCACCAGATGCCAGCACTTTGATATTGGGCTCCTCTGTCTCCAAAACTGTGAGCCAATACATTTCTGTTCATTACGTATTACCTAGTCTGGGGTAGTCTGTAGCAGCACAAAACAGATTAAGACAGAGAGAATATTTAACCAAAGTTTCAGGTAAAAAGTCAGTTTTTCCTAGAAACTCTTAAGTATTGTTAACACAGCTAGACAAGGGTATAGCACTGCTTTTTACGTATTTATCAAAATTTTCAAAAATTGGCTGGTCACAGTGGCTCACGCCTGCAATCCCAGCACTTTGGGATGCTGAGGTGGGTGGATCACAAGGTCAGGAGTTTGAGACCAGCCTGGCAATATGGTGAAACCCCGTCTCTACTAAAAATACAAAAATTGGCCAGGCGTGGTGATAGGCGCCTGTAGTCCCAGCTACTCGGGATGTTGAGGCAGGAGAATTGCTTGAACCCGAGAGGTGGAGGTTGCAGTGAGCCGAGATCACACCATTGCACTCCAGTCTGGGTGACAGAGCGAGACTCCATCTCAAAAAAAAAAAAAAAAAATTATAAAATTAACATTTAAAGTTCTCAAAAATTAAAAATTACTTCTCTGACAAATGGGCACAAAACTTTAAAATTTTACCCAGGCAGTATTTAAATTTTTTCCTGGATTTCACTTTTAAAAATCTTAGCTCTTTAAAAGCAAACAAAAGAAAGTACTCACATTATGTCTTCTGCATCCTCCCTTTACACTGATTTTATAAGTTTATCTCATCCATTATCATTCATTATCTTTCTATCAGTTGTCAAATATTTGTTATGTGCCTACTATGTTCCCAAGGCTGCTACATTGAAGGTACTGTTCTTGTAATAGTCCTGAAGGGCACATATCATATAAAACAGTTGGAAAACAATATTAGCAAATAATCAAGTATAACATTGATACAGTCATAGCACCCAGGAATTCAGAGGCAAATGTGTATGAGGACCAGATTGATTGGGACAGTTTTCATGAAGAATGTGGCACTTTCAGTGATCTTTAAAGAATGAACAAGGGTAGAGAAGTTCACGTCTGGTGTTGGGTAAGCAACATAGAGGGAGAATGGCAGTTCAGATTGGAAAAATTGTAAAATAAAGTATGATGCTTATATCCAGTTTGTGAAGCCCTGACTGAGAAATTTTGACACTCTTGTCAATGTATTATGCAATTGAGCCTAAGAGTAAGTCCTTGGTTGAGAAATAGGATAGATTCTATATTTAAGAAGGATTAACTCAATTCACGACTTGAGAGACTGGCCTTTCAACAACACCCATGCCATGGATTCATCATCTGCTTTTATTGAGATAGTAGTGAACAAAGGCTAAAGAAAAGTCAGTAAATTGACCAAAGTCACATAGTTGGGTATGTCTGAGCTCAAATCCTTTCCACTCCGTAATGCTTCTTCCCTTAGCAATCCTGAAAACATGGACAGTTGTTTGAAGCTACTTGTCTGCTAAAAAAGCCACATATTATCCATTTGCATTAGTAGGGCTAGAGCTCCTGAAAAGCTAGAGCTCCTCCAATCATATGGTATATCCACATGTCCTCTTTCCTTCTTCTTCTTATCTCCTCTCTGGTCATCAGTTTTCCAAGAATAATAATGAAGCACACAGTGTCATGAGCTGCTAAGGTTTTCTTTCCTCTTGCTATGTCCGAATAATGATTGGAAGATAGAAGCTTGAAGAAGGGGTGGTGAATTCCTGAGAAAGGTAGCAATTGTCTAATAATGAGGTCAACAGAGACAAAAGCATCTATGGTAAAGGGGAAGAAATGCTAGGCTTGTTATTATAAGAAATGGTCTCATCTTGTCACAGCCACCTTAACACTGTGTGGCTTTGCGCATGTTGTTTAACCTTTTTCTGCTTCAGTTTTGTCATGTGCAAACATACTAATGGACCAATTCCAAATATAAGGAATAGTAATATAAATGAAAGTTCACTAGATATGTACACCAAGCATCATAAATGTTTAAATATCCATGTTTATTTCTTATTACAATTTTAAAAGTAAGTAGTTCAACTTTTGTAATCATCTTTGAAAAATATATAAAACTTCTTATCACAGAAGTAAGATAGGTTTATAGTGAAAAACAGATAAGCAAAAAGAAAAAAATACAAACTATTTTCTGTCCTATAATCTGGAGATGAATTACATTTTGTTGCTTATCCTTCTGATCTTTAGAAATGGAAAATGCAAACAGCCAGAAATTAGTCTTATAACTTGCTATATGTCATTTAACATAAATCATGAACATTTTTCACATCATTATGAATTCTTCCATAACTTAATTTTAATAGACCCAAAGTTTACTCAAAACCATACTATTGAACTTAGGAATTATTTCTGTAAATTATTTCTCTATTTGCTTATAAATAATAATTTTTAAAAATCATCTTTGTAGTTAAATATTGGCATCATCCTCATTTTAAAAAATACTTTTCTAAAAGTGGAATCACTTTTTCAAAATATATGCAAAACCAAGACACTTTTGCTAGTAATTGTCAAATTGTGCACTGTGTTTGCAGCACTGCAGTTGAATGTCATGTACTATACAACTTACAGGGATTACCATCCACAGGGACAGAAATATAAATGCCCGAGCCTAGCAGTAAGCAACCTGAGTTTACATTCCCATGAGTGGTACATGAGAGTTTATTTTTTTCCTACCTTTCTCAGTGGGTTACATCCTACTGTTTTGATGTTAGCACTTTTATACATGAAAAAAAGGTAATTAATGGGTAACAACATTCATTTATTTTATTACTAATGTGGTTTAACATTTTTCCAGTTATTTATCTAAATTTCTTACACAAAATTGCTGATCATAACCCTTGTACATTTTTATTTCATCTTTTTCTTATTGATTTATAAGAACTCTTTGTATATTAAGGTTATTAATCTTTCAAATATATGTTGCAAGTGGTTTCCCAGTTTGTCATTTGCCTTTGTGATATTCTTTTATAACCAAAACAGTGAGAAAAGGTAGAAAGATAAGATTTTAAAATATATAAAAAAGAAAGAAGGAAGGAAGGAAGGAAGGAGAAAAGGGAAGATGAAAGGACGAAAAGTCCGAAGGTTTAAAAATAGAAAGAAAAGAAGAAACCCTTTTTAATGAAAGAGTGAGGTTAAACCAAAAACTCAAAAATGACCTTGATTTTAAGCCTATGGACTTCGCCTCACAGAAAACCATTTTATTTCTAATTAGATTGTTTCTAGTTCTCCTCTTCAGACATTTTATTATTATTATTTTTTATTTGTTATTATACTTTAAGTTCTAGGGTACAGTGCACAATGTGCAGGTTTGTTACATAGGTATACATGTGCCATGTTGGTTTGCTGTACCCGTCAACTTGTCATTTACCTTAGGTATTTCTCCTAACGCTATCCCTCCCCCAGCCCCCCCACCCCCCAACAGGCCCCAGTGTGTGATGTTCCCCTCCCTGTGTCCATGTATTCTCATTGTTCAACTCCCATTTATGAGTGAGAACATGCAGCATTTGGTTTTCTGTCCTTGTGATGTTTTGCTGAGAATGATGGTTTTCAGCTTCATCCATGTCCCTGCAAAGGACATGAACTCATCCTTTTTTTGGCTGCATAGTATTCCATGGTGTATATGTGCCATATTTTCTTTATCCAGTCTATTATTGATGGACATTTGGGTTGGTTCCAAGTCTTTGCTATGGTGAATAGTGCTGCAATAAACATACGTGTGCATGTGTCTTCATAGTAGCATGATTTATAATCCTTTGGGTATATACCCAGTAGTGGGGTGGCTGGGTCAAATGGTATTTCTAGTTCTAGATCCTTGAGGAATCGCCACACTGCCTTCCACAATGGTTGAACTAATTTACACTCCCACCAACAGTGTAAAAGCGTTCCTATTTCTCCACATCCTCTCCAGCGTCTGTTGTTTCCTGACTTTTTAATGATCACCATTCTAACTGGCATGAGATGGTATCTCATTGTGGTTTCAATTTGCATTTCTCTGATGACCAGCAATGATGAGCATTTTTAAATATGTTTCAGACGCTTTGTATACAAAGCAATCTGCTTCCTGATTTACCAAATGTGGTAGGCGGAAAAATGTCCCCCACAAAGATGTCTACAATCTAAACCCCAGACCCTGTGAATATGTTAGGTGGCATTGCAAAGGGGGAAATAAGATTGGTGGTGGAGTTAGGGTTGCAGTTAGCTGACCACAAGATAGGAATGTTATTTGGGATTGATTCTAGAGGTGGGGTCAATGTCATCAAGAGAGTTCTTAAAATTGAAAGAGGAAAGCAGAAGAGGGAAGGCAGAAGGAGCTGTGACTGTGGAAGAATGTTCAGAGAACTGCACCATTGCTGGCTTTGAAGATGGAGGAAGAGGGCCTTGAGCTAAGGAACATGGGCATCTCTAGAAGCTGGAAAAGCGAGGAAACAGATTCTTTCCTGGAGCCTCCAGAAAGGAAAGCAGCCTAGCTGATATGTTGATTTTAGTCTAGTTCAACCCATTTGGGACTTCCAATGTACAGAATTGTAAGATAATAAGTTTGTGTTGTTAGTAGAAATATGTTACAACAGTAATAGAAAACTAATACGCCAGTCATCTATGAATAAGTGAAAGAAACACAAGAGAAACTTCTTACTCAGTCTGAATTGTACATTTTCCCCCCAAATGATACATTCAATGTAGAGAAAAACTAGAGTAAAAGAATTCAGTATTTTCTTTAATTATGAATGTTTACAAGTACATGGCACATTTATGTACTTTTAATGTGCAGATCACATTGATGTTTAGAATTCTGCAAGACAAGCTCTCTATAATGTAACATAAATGAGTTAACTGCCTTCTTAGGAAATAGGTGCTAACCATTTCCACTTGATGGGCCTCAAAAGCTGCAAACACATTTTGCCTTCAATGAAAATCCAGTGAAGTGTTGCTGTAACCAAGCAACCTGAATGCAGGAACAAGCAGCCGGCATAGACAGAAAGCAATCTGTCCCTTCCAACGGAGGGGAGTGTGCAGTGAGTGTAGCAAATGCTGATAACCAGCAGAACTCATGAAGACCTGGGAACATGAGCCTTGGCTAAGCAGAGTTTGATCTCATTAGGAAGTTCTGGTAAAACAGACACAACTAAATGCTAGTTGGAGAAGGGAGGGAGGATGTTGTAGTCATCTTTATAGAGACCGCTGCAGGGTGCTTTTGAAAGGCCTTTCAAACATTCTGGGTAGACTGGTTTTGGTTCTTTAGTTGAAAACATTGAGGCAAATGCAGGGGAAAAAAAAGTCTTTTTAGGAATAATATATCAATAAAATAATTCTTAAGAAGGCACAGAAGTAAGAGTAAAGACAAAAATAAACAATAGGGAAACTAAAATTTCTGCAAACTATATTCCACTTTATGTATGAACCTGACTTTTATTGTCAGCTACATGTCTTTTATATATATATATATATATATGTGTGTATTTTTTTTATTACACTGTAAGTTCTAGGGTACATGTGCACAAAGTGCAGGTTTGTTACATATGTATACATGTGCCATGTCGGTGTGCTGCACCCATTAACTCGTCATTTACATTAAGTATATCTCCTAATGCTATCCTTCCCCCTGCCTCCCACCCAATAGCAGGCCCCAGTGTGTGATGTTCCCTTCCTGTGTCCAAGTGTTCTCATTGTTCAATTCCCACCTATGAGTGAGAATATGCAGTGTTTGTTTTTTTGTCCTTGCGATAGTTTGCTGAGAATGATGGTTTCCAGCTTCATCCATGTCCCTACAAAGGACATAAACTCATCCTTTTTTATGGCTGCATAGTATTCCATGGTGTATATGTACCACATTTTCTTAATCCAGTCTATCATTGTTGGACATTTGGGTTGGTTCCAAGTCTTTGCTATTGTGAGTAGTGCCGCAATAAACATATGTGTGCGTGTGTCTTTATAGCAGCATGATTTATATTCCTTTGGGTATATACCCAGTAATGGGATGGCTGGATCAAATGGTCTTTCTAGTTCTAGATCCCTGAGGAGTCGCCACACTGTCTTCCACAATGGTTGAACTAGTTTACAGTCCCACCAACAGTGTAAAAGCGTTCCTATTTCTCCACGTCGTCTCCAGCACCTGTTGTTTCCTGACTTTTTAATGATCACCATACTAACTGGGGTGAGATGATATCTCATTGTGGTTTTGATTTGCATTTCTCTGATGGCCATTGATGATGATCATTTTTTCATGTGTCTGTTGGTCAGCCACATGTCTTTGAAGTGTTGTCTGTCTCCCTCACTTGCTGGTCACTCCATAATCCACTGCAATAACGTGACTGTCTCTGCCTTCCTACTGCAACCATCCTTGTTGAGGTTATTAGAACATTTTTGATGGCTTGAGCATGGGAACTGAAACCATTGCGTATTTGATCACATGACCCTTTAGAGCTCTTCTCACTTTGGACTGGGCACTCTTTATCCTGGCGACTGCTCTGCCATCTTTTCTTTCTGACCGTCATCTGTGTCCATCCCAGCCCTCTCTGGTGTACTTGCTTGCACACGTCCATCTCCAGCTGGGAGTCTCTCAGGCGTCTTCAACTGAACATATCCAAAATTAAATTCAAAATCTGTTTCTCCACTCCTCAATCCTCCTCTTCCTAAATCCCATATCTCTGTAACTGATGCTATAATGTGCCCAGTTGGGCAAGCCAGAAGCAGCAGCATCAGGCGGTGCCTTTTATTTATTGCTTGATTTATAAAGTAATTAGATTTGAGTGCTCATTTTGGCCAAGGATCAGTTGAAGGAAAAAAAAAAGTTCCCTTTTTTTTAAAAGAACAACAAAATTTCTCCTGGCTTTATCAATCACCTTCAAAAAGTAGATTTAGCAATTTGTTAGATGCAGTGAGTCCAGGTATTCAACTTAATGGCAGGAGTCCTACTCAGGGAGGACTCTCCCTTATCGGACATTCTTTGCCTGAAGTTTCTGCTTTGTCAAGTCCTACAAGAAGTCATGAGGATAACGACCTCTTCCCTACTACGTAGAAGCCCTAAACAAAGCTTTATTTTTGCTAATAATATTTCTTTTTTCTGCAAATCCAAATTGTTCCTAGAAGCTTTTGGTAATGAAATATTAAAAAGATGAGGAGTGCACAAGAAGCCTGTGGTAAGAAATTAAGCTCTAAGGAAGAGAACTTGGAAGCATGTGAAATAAAACCACAGCAGGATTATCGTAATTGTTCTCCTTGACAGACCTGCCCATATGTACGGATGTTCCTGAAAATTTGACAAGGGAATTTTATGATCTATTTCAGGTGTCTGTCCATTTTTTTCCCTTGGGAGTGGAGAGGATGCCGTAATAGCTCATAAGGGTAACATTCCCCTTCATAACACCCTCCTTTTCTCATGCCACCCACAGACCTCCTTGAGGCTAGTCTCCATTCATGCTCATGTCTCCTAGCCAATCTAGGAATCCTGGCCATGGACCATGATAATCTTGCCACTCAGCTGCATGGTAGCTGAGTGACTTCAAGCACATAAGAAAGCATACAGTATCTTATGAAAAGCATAACTGTTCCTCAAACCCAGCAACCATGTGGCTTGGGCACCTCTTACCACATTAGTGTTAGTGAGACATCACAAGTTAGTTCAGTTGAAATATTGGACATCTACTCTTTTGAAAGGTTCTTCTTCAACAGGCCAATATTGGTGCTTTGGACCAGTGGCTCTCAAACTTCAGTGTGCATGAGTGTCACCTGGAGGGTCCTTTCCCCAGAGCTTTGGATGCAATAGATCTTGAGTGGGACCTGAGAATTTGCATTTCTAACAAGCGTTCAGATGATAGTGGTGCTGCTGGTCCAGAGAGTACACTTTGATAATTACCTTAAATAAAGTTCTACGGGGTTTTCTTTGCTTGTTTTTGTTTATTTCACTTCCCCAAAAGACTGTATTAATTATGGTGGCTCTAGGTAATGGAGTAAGACAAATCTGAAGTCATTCCAAAACCCATAGCATACTTCCTTTTCCAAAGAAGTGTGGACTATTTGCTGTTGGGAAATGACAGGTACCTGCTCAGAAGACAAGTATAATAATTAAAACAAAAATCATTCACATTAACTCTGTCTCCAATAAAAGAAGGTGAAATCAATGTTATAGAGCTCAAAGTAGGTTAGACATTTCCTTATGAAGGGGATTCTGAAGTATATAAAGCTAGCTTTTACCCAAAACTTGTTATTCATGAGAAACTAGTTGGTTTTCACATATATTTTGTGATCAAAATAAGAACTTCGGTCATATTCATGTGTTTGTGTAGAATGCAACAGGGTAATCTAACACAGGAGATACAGTGAACAAAAACAGCGTCTATTATGAAATTAACATCAAAGAGGTCCCGTAAGATTAAATGGAGCTTTAGCCTCTGTATGGTCTGTGCCTGGGAAGGAAAGGGGATTTTTCTGGAATTGGCATTTCTGAACACACAGAACAATGCCGTCTGATTGATTGCTCTCTATTTAGAAATAGTATTTCTA
This sequence comes from Homo sapiens, assembly GCF_000001405.40. Lineage (NCBI taxonomy): Eukaryota > Metazoa > Chordata > Mammalia > Primates > Hominidae > Homo > Homo sapiens. Next base: position 15,879,163 of record NC_000020.11, read on the forward strand.
TCACTTTGGTAGAAACCTTTTATTTCATTTTTGTCCTCTAACAAAGAAGTATGATGCTTGGAGAACTGTTTAAAAGGGCTGCAACTCTGTGCCCATGCTTCATCAGTCTCCTAACTACTTTCAAACTTTGAGTGGCATGACTCCCTACTTCCATAGACTATCACCTTTTTTTAATATTTTTTTGTTCCTAGTTTTGTTAGAAAAATTCTTGCTAGCAATTTGTTGCACAAATATGACTCAAGCAAGCACATTACATAGAATAATGTTGAACTAAAGTAGATTTCATTAATATGTAATGGCACATTAGGTGCTTTGTAGAGCAAAAGGACTCTGTGCTTGATTTTAATACAAATAATTGCAAAATATTAAGGCATGTGCTTTATAATTTTCAGTAAATTTGTCTCATAAAAAGTTATCTTTCAAAAGATGGTATGTCACTCCTCTGCTCAAAGTTGTTTAATCACTCTACAATTTTTCAAAAAAAGTTTGAATGCTTCAACCTTGTATATTAGTCAGGTTTTTGCAGAGAAAATGAACATATATTAAAATACATGGAAAGAGGTTTATCATAGCAAATGGCCCATATGATTATGAAGGCTGTTAAGTCCCAAGATCTGCAGTTGGCAAGTGTGAGACCCAGGAGAGCTCATGGCATAGTTTCAGTCTGAGTTCAAAGGCCTGAGAACCAATGGAACCAACCGTGTAGTTGTAGTCTGAATGCTGGCAGGCTTCAGACCCAAGAAGAATTAATGTTTCAGTTTGAATCTGAAGGCAGGAAAAAAACCCCAATGGCCAACTAGTAGAAAGGCAATGAGGCCGGAGGAGTTCCCTCTTACTCTCCAGGGGTCAGCCTTTGTGTTCTTGTTAGACCTTCAACTGATTGGATGAGGCTCACTCACATCAGGGAGGGCAGTCTGCTCCGTACCCATTCAAATTTTAATCTCATTCAGAAACACTCACAGACACACCCAGAATAATGTTTGACCAAATGTTTGAGCACTCTGGACCAGTCACCTTGACACATAAAATTAACCATCACTCCTGGCATGGAAGGTCTGTATTATCTAGCCAGAACAGATCGGGTTAGTTGCAATTTCTCAGATAACTCTTCCTTTGGCCATTCATAGCTAGTTTTATTTCCTTAAAAACATCTTGATGATTCACGTCCACATGTTTTTACAGATGTTTTTCCCTCTGCTTGAGTGTGATTACCCTTGTCTTTGTTTGAGTTCCCCAATAAGCAGATCCTGAAACAAGGACTGAAGTAGAAGTATGTTGGGGCGGCGGGGGTGTGGCAGGGAGATGATCCCAGGAAACACCAGTAGGGAAGTGGGGAAGTGAGACAAGCAAGAGCAGTAGGCAGTGAGGTTAAGCTCTAAGCCAGTTACCACTGGACAACTGGGGCTCAATCCCAGTAGGAGTGAGGAGACTCAGGGAGATAGTACAGAACATGCTTTGAATTAGGCCACTTGGGAAGCAAGGGATCTGGGGTACTTATATGCAAATTGTCCATCATTTGAGAAAGGCTCAACCCTAAAGGGTGTTAATTCTCTAGTATTACTTGAATGGGATTCAGCAAGCAGAGAGAGCCCTCAGGCAAAGAGACCCAGGAGCTGGTGGCTCAAAGGCAGGCTGGCATGCACTGAATTGTCAAGGAACAAGGAGTTATAGGCAGGACATCCACATCTAGGCATCTACTGTAGCCTTTCTTTTTCCCTACATAACTTTAACTCACTCTTTAAGACTCAGCTGAAGTCTTGCCTCTTCTGGAATGCCTTCATAGACCTTCTCTCTGACTGAGCTGGCTCTTGTATATTTCCCAATACAACTTCTGTTTACCTCCATCAGATAATCTGTTACCTTCTTCTCTGTTGTTTTGCTTTTCTATATCGTCCACTTTGTGACCTCCTTGAGGGAAAAGATTGCTAACCTGTATCTTCGTAATGGGTACACAAGGTAGAGCTCAAGAAATGGTTATTTGACTAGCAAAAATAGTTATAAAAATGACATTATAATGTAATCACTCAATGGGTTATTCTTGCCCACTGCACAGATAAAACTAATTCAGTGAGACAGCAGTATTGCAGTAGAGAAAGAGTTTAATGCAGGGCTAGCCAAGCAGAGGACAGAAGTTTATTACTCAAATCAGTCTCCCAAAAAGCTTGGAGGCTACGAGTTTTATGGACAACAGGCAGGGGTCTAGGGATAGGGTGCTGCTGATTGGTTGGGGATGAAATCACAGGAGTGTGGAAAACTGTCCTCATGCACTAAGTCAGCCTCTGGATACGGGCCACAGGACCAGTTGAGTAATGAGGCAAAGGTCCCAGTGGAGTCAGTCAGTTGCCAGAATGCAAAAGTCTGAAAAACATCTCAGAAGTCCAACCTTAGGTTCTAGAATAGTGAAGTTATCTATTAGAGCAATTGTAGAGGTTACATGTCTTGGGACCTCTAGAACAATGGCTGGTTATTGTTTAAATGTGCCTACGTCTTAGTAGAATCCAGGCTTCTCTCATAATCATGACCTTGGGGCCTTTCGTTAGTTTTACAAAGGCAGCTTCAGTCCTCAAACAAGGAAGGGATAGTTTTGAGAAGGGCTATTATCATTCTTGCTTTTAGGTTAAACTATAAACTAAATTCCTTCCAAAGTTGGCTTGGGCTATACCCAGAAATGAACAAGAACATCTTGTGAGGTTAGAAGCAAGATGGAGTCTGCTGTGTCAAATTTCTTTCATTGTTATACTTTTTCTATGTCAGATTTCTCTCATTGTCACAATTTTTGCAAAGGTAGTCTCAGTAATAGCAATAATCAGTATTTATTGAATGCTCATTCTGTGTAAGCACTTGACATATAATCCTAACCCTAAGAAGTTGATAATTTTATTATCCCTATTTTTCAGATGAAGAAACTGACATATAGGTTATATGTTACTTGGAGGCCAAAAGATAACTTCCCCTTTGCCCTCTGAAAGTTCACTAAAAGTAAGCTGACAAAAGGCAGGTTAATAGCAGAAAAATCATACAAAATTATTTTAACATGCATAAGCATGGGAGAATCGCATGAGAATGATTATCCACTAGCTAAATTGGGCACAGAAGCTTATCTCTTCTTCTTCATAGGGGAGTGGACAGATGGGGAAAGTAGACAATTTTTTGAGGAGCAATAAATAATTATTAGGGAGAATGAATGGACCCAGGAGACAGAAATTAACTTGTAAATTATTCTCTTTGGAATTTGAATGAGCCCAAGAGGCAGGCATTATCTTGTGAAAAACATCTGTCCAGGTGTGGTTACATTCTCAGCTTTCTTTTCTGCAATAGATAATGAGATTTCAGGCAGAGGATGGAAGACAATTGTGTTCCTTTTTTGGGGCTACTGTTTCTAGATAGATAAGGGAACTGCAGAGAAAATCTTCACCCTGTGCTTTGGGAGAGACAAGGGATTGAGAGACGGTAGTGAGGGGAAGGTCCCTCATATTTCAGGGTGAAATATTCTGGTATTCTTCTTACCCAAGATTTGCATAGTTATATGTGGTTTGTCCTGGAAGTAAACCGAACCAGTCTGAGTCCAGACTCTGGACAGACTCTTAACCACTGTATGACTAAATCAGTGCGTGAATGAAGTGAATGAATGAATAATAACCCCAAGCCTGATCCTTCCACACATGGGAGTCATTCTGGGGATGACGTTATCAGGACAGTCTATGTAGTTCAAATATCAGCTTCAGTGTTATGTTCTACATACAAGAAGACTTCCAAGTAGCTTAACTAGAAGTATCAATCCTTCCTCTGACACTTTTTAATAGCATTGACTACCATATGTTGGAATGTATTTGCATGTCTTGGTTTCTTTACTACTGACAAGATTCTTAAAAAAAAAAACAAACAAACAAAACAAAAAAAACTGCTTAAGTTTCTATCCATCTTGGTGTTTTCTACAGCCCCAAACATAAAGCCTTGTACACAATAGGCTAACCAATGAGTGTTTGCCAGGTGAATAACGGAAATATAAGTGACAAGCAAAGGGATCTTTGACTCTTCCTTTATTTTTCCCCAGAAACTGTAGAGACTCTTTTTTATCTCTCTCTCTGAGATTCCAGAGAGTCTGTTGTCATACAGATTTTAGATGGCTCTGTAAAATAAAATTATATTTAAAGATGTTAAGTTCAGGGAAGAATCTATGAAGTTTACTTTGTAACATTTTGGTAATCATTTGGTTAGAAAATTATATTTCTAAGAAATTGGTATTCTTCCTTCCAAAACTGCATTCATAGAATGAATTTTAAAAATTATGTAGAAAATCATCAGTGTTTCTAAAATATTTCCATGGTAAAAAAATTACTTCTTTAAAAGTTAACCATAGTTATCAAGAATTGCCTTTCTAAAACCTCAAATGAAAGGCATTTTCTCTTTCCTCTGACTAATAAATCTCTAATCATCATTAATAATTAATAATCAATTCTTAGAAGAGGGGCAGACTGAGTAAATTTGGCTGGGATGACTAAATTACAAAGCACATATATAGGAGAAAGTTGTAAATCTTCACTGACTTCCCATTATTTACAAAGTATCATATAGCTAATATGTATAAAACACATAGAAAATAATATAAATTTAATTCAGTGGACATTTATTGATTCTAGTATATAAAATGAATGGCATTAAGTGCCAAGGAATATACAGGAACAGAAGACCTGGTCTCCATCTTTACAGAATTTATGATCTGGAGACCGATGTTTGAAAGAGAGATAAAATAACAAGTAGACTGTGTGATTTTATTATAATAACAGCTAATATTTAGCACTTAACAATGTTTCAGTAGCTGTCCTAGTGCTTTACGTGGCATTATCTCATTTAAACCTTAGGAAAGCTCTATGTAGTAGGCATTATTATTATCCCACTATACAGCTGATGAACCTGAAGCTCAGGAAGATCAAGGTAACTTCTCCAAGATCACATGCCCAGGGGATGGATGGATGGAGGAGCCAGGATGCAAACCTAAGCCCATGTGTATTTAAAGTCCATACCAAGCAGGCAGCAAAAATAAGGTACATCAAAGAGCACATGATTCATTCAAACCTGGGGAAATCAGAAGCTATGGCACCTAAGCTTGCACTTGAAGGATGAAGGTGAATAGAGAGGGAGAAGGGCATTGCTAGCAGGACCAAGGCAGGTAGACGAGGCTGAGGGAGACCTTGAGAGATCAGAGAAGAGTTAAGTGTTGCCATCCATGTGGGTGGTAGCATGCATGTAACAGAGGAGGTGAAACTGAGAAAAGTGTTTGGAACCAGGTATCATTGGCCTTGAGTGTTATCGGGAAGAGTCTAGACTTTTCTCATTAGGCAGAGGGCAGTCACTGAACTGTTGTGAACCAGATCAGAGCTGTATTTTAAGACTGATTTGGCAGTCACGTGTAAAAGGAGTGAGATACAGGAGAGAGAAAAAGAGAGGAGCAGTTAGGAAACTGCTAAAATAGCTAAGGCAAATGGCACTGGGAGTCTGAATTTGTACTGCAATAATGTGAGGAGAGAGGACCAAACATAGAAACAGGAGAAGATTTGGCGCTAGCTGATATTTTAGTCCATTTGGGCTGCTGTAACAAAATATCATAGACTCAGTGGCTTACAAACAAAAGAAATTTATTTCTGACAGTTCTGGAGGCTGGAAGTCCAAGATCAAGGTGCTGGCAGATTCGGTGTCTGGTGAGGTCCCTCTTCCTGTAGAGAGCCATCTTCTTCCTGTGTCCATGCATGGAGGAAGGGGTGAGAGGTCTCTCTTAGGTCTCTTTTATAAAGACACTAATCCCATCCACAGGGCTCCTTTCTTATGATCTAATCAACTTCCAAAGGCCTCACCTTCTAATCACCATCACCTTGGAGGTTAAGATTAAGCATATGAATTTTGGGGGGATACAGATATTCAGAACATAGCACTGGTTGTGGGGAGCATAAGGAGAGAGACGACAATGTGTCAGAAGTTCAAAAGAGCAAGCGTGTCATCTATAGTGCAGAGGAATCACATGTCCTTGTCCAGTTAAAAGGGATTATACTGGGAGATGATGGGAGCTAAATGGGAGTGGTGCAATTGGTGGGACACTTGAAAGCACATGAGTGAAGGCTGGGATTTCCAAATGCAGCAAAGCAGCACTTTCCATGGTGTGGTGCGGGGATTTGACATGTGTCGGTCTATGACCAAATAATGATGTCCATACTTCTCAGATACTTGAAGTGAGCATGCAGACCTTTAACAAAGTTAGAACATGTGGCATTTAAAGTCTGTGATTTTTAATTTTGAGCAATTGAAATGACTGAAGTGACCATATATAATTTCTATAAGTAAAACAAACGATTGCATATACAGTTATAAATATAACAATTTTTAAAAGGAAATGTAAACTCTAGGCTTTAAATTGTGCATTAATGTGTATACTTTCTTCTTAACTTAGCATGATAATAATAAGACAACAGAAATGCATGTTTTAACAGTCTGTTTTCTACTGATCTGTTATCCCTTTCTTTGATTTTTTTTAATAATCCATCTGGAACATTCTTGTGTTTCCCACTTTCATATAAGTATTTCTTTATGTTTTCCTATTTTTTAACAGACGATAATAATGAAGAAGAAGAGGATGTTGAAATGAAAGAAGATTCAGGTATTAAATTCATACTTTTATTATTAGGGGGTAGGTAGGGGTCATTTTGTTGTTTATGTACACTTCATATTTTTTCAACGAAAGACAAAATAAGATTAATAAAATAGAAATATATGCTCAGTGTTATAAAATTAAAAAGTAGTTGTTCTAACACTTAAGGCTATTGCAGTTGCTGTATTTAAGGAATAAATTTGACCTTGAGTTTCCTGACAGCGAAGGTAAAAATGGAACATGATGTTGTGGTTAATACAGTTATATAACGAATCACCCCCAAAACTTAGAGTAAGCTGAAAACAACCACTTCTTACGCTCATGAGCATAGCAGAGATAACTTAATCATCCTGTTCACAAGGTTTGGAGCTCAGCAGGAAGATTCAACAGCTGGAAGCTGGGACCATCTGAAGATTCACTCACTTGTCTGTCTAGTGATTGATCTCAACTGTCAGCTAAAATCTTAGCTGGGACAACTTCCTAAAACACTTGTTCATGGCCACCTTTATGTGGCCTGGGCTTCCTCAAAGCATGGCGGCCAGCTTCCAAAATGAGCTTCTCCTGGAAAAAGGGAGACACTGTATTCTCAGGCTTAGACATTCCATTGCATCACTCCATGTAATTCATTCTTTGGAATAGTCACAAGCCTGCCAAAATTCAAGAGGAAATGAAAATGAACTCAATCTGTTTTGGGGAGTGGTTCTATAGAGCGTGTAAGACCTAAAATATTGCTGTGGCCATCTTTGGAAAATACACTTTCCACATACTATATTTTGCTCTCATTATCAGAATTGAGATGCATGCCAACTCCTCAACAAAGCCCACTTGTTATGAGGAAAATCTAGTAGTTAAATGCACAGGTTATGGCCTAAGGTAGCCATTCAGTGTGTCTTTGATAATAAAGGCATAAATCAGTAGACCTGAATTCACTTGTAGCTCTATCAATTATTGACCTTAGGCAAATGTCATTTTCTATAAGCTGAGTTTACAATTCTGGGGGCAATAATTCTTACCATATAGTTTTCTTTGGAGGATTAAATCAGATAACATACCTAAAGTTTCATACAGTGCTTGGACCATAGTAAAGATTCAGTAAATTATTGCTTTTTTCTTTCTCATTCTAACAGATATTAGAAGGATATAGAGCTTAAGTCTATGATTAAAAGCTCCTTCTTCCTCATTTTGGCAGTCACAGTGTTCTGACCATGAAAGAGGTATCTCAGAGGCCCTGATTTTGTGTTGCTTCTCATTTGATGCCAGAATTCCCTACAAATCACTGACAGGCTCAGTCTGGGCAGCTCCATCAGCAGGGAGCTCTTTAAATTCTGATGCATTTGATCTCAATACATAAGGTTTGATCGGTGTGGTCCTTCTCTATGTTAAGTTATATCTCTCTCCCTCCCCGGACTGCCCACTATCTTCAAGGGGAAATAACACCAGTTTATTTTCTTCATAAAAGTTCATTGGAACAAGGATTATAGCTTCTATCTACTCTTCTCCAGTCCAAACATGTCTGATTCCTAAGGTTTCCTTGGACTTCCAAATGCAATGGATTCAGAGGGCATGAGAAGCAGAAGCAGAATCTAAAAGTCAGGAGCAGGAATAAAGGAGGTAGAAGAGGAACTGTAGCAGTGGCTGTTGGTGCCCTACTTATGTCTCCTTGGTGCTTGCTGTTATTTTATAGCACCAACAGCTTTCCAAAGAAAGTCCTTATGACTCTCTGCTGAGCGCTTTACTTGTCCTGGCAGCAAACTCAAAGCACCAGAGAATTAATTTCTCTGGAGCAGACCTCAACCAATAACAGACAGGAATTGGTTGGTTAATACCCACATCTGACTCATGTTCTATTCTAATGCTGTCTAGTAGAAACATAATGTGAGCCTCAAATGTGAGCCTAATGTATAATTTTAGATTTTCTAGTAGCCACATTGAACAAAGTGAAAGGAAGAACGTAAGACTAACTTTAACAATATTTTGTATAACACAATAATCCAAAACATTATCATTTCAATGTATAATCAATATAAAAATAGTCGGATATTTTACATTCTTCTTTTTTCATACTAAGACTTTGAAATTGGTGTGTGTTTTACATACACGTTCCAGTTCAAACTAGCCACATTTCAACTACTTGTTGGCCATACGTGGCTAGTGGCTACAGTATTGGACAACACTGTTTGGAGGTCCCCGATAGAACTGAGTCTTGGTTGCCCACAGTGGAATGTGCTCATGAACACACCCAGTATTGGCTGCTTTCCTTTTCCTGTCTTTCTTCCCTACTCCTCTTGTGATACTTACTAAAATCATCTCTCAAATTAACTGCTTAAAACTCAAACCCTTCTATGTTTACTTCTGAGAGAATAAGACCTAAGACAAGGACTTTGCTTGCCTTTTATAAAACATAGAGCTCAAGGTAAAATTTAAATTAAAATTTCCATTCCTATACCCATGTAGAATGTCTTATTGTTAAAAAGAACCATATGTTTAAAAAAGACTTGAAATTGTCACTCTGTCTTGAATTAACTTTCATGAAGTTAATCTTAATGCTTGCCATTCTCATTTATCCTGCTCACATGAAATGTCCTTGGAGTATCTTTTAGCTATGAGGGGTACTGCCCTTTCAAGCACCCGGTATAAGGGCCTTATCTCGCCATGGATCATTTGCCTAAGTGCTGTAAGTACACATTTCTAAGCAAAGAGAGTTGGCTTCTCAATGAGATTTAGATAGCTATCCAAACCACTGAATGATTTTAAGGAAATCATTATTAATGCTAATGCAGAGTCCCCAAGTTTGGAGTCAGCATTTGAGGTTCAGCGGCATTAATTGGATCACCATTTCTGATTTTAGTTCCACCAGGTTTCCTGGGAGTTTTGTCACCAGCAGCTGCATGCAGCTGTTCAAGTCATATTCAATGGCCCAAGGATGCTAAGCCACTTGGGCAGAATGGGCTTGGGAGCTACTCCCAATTTCCTATACCTGAGTGCTGAAATCATGGAGGATTTTTGTGCTGAATGGTTCCAGCTGGCCTCACCAGACATTGGTGTGCATGCTGGCTTCATTCAGATCTCACACTTAAGCATGTCAGTCTCGAAGATGAGTCTAAACCAGCCTCCCAAGGCCTTTAACTGCTGCCTTTCCCCCGCCCTGCATCAATTCTTCTCATTCAAATAGAAAAGCTGGAGGGATTTTTACAAATGCAACCGACACTAATGAAGGGCTACTTGAGTGAATCAACTGGCCAAGACATGCTAGTGAATGATAGTAAATAACAACTTGAATACCTAAACCCACTGGGGTGCTTGTAAATTAACTCTCTGGGTAAGAAGAGCCCCAGTGTGAAGAGTTTGCAGATTTCTATGGTATAAACACAAATACCATGGTCTTTTTCAAGCTTCCAAAGCATGAGGTCAATGAATAGGAGAGCTAGGGAGAGATGGTACAATTAGCTCGTGTGAGCTGGCTCAAGTCAGCCGCAGCACAGCTCTGCTGAGCCAGACTTTAATTGGGCATGTACTTTGTGCCAATAACGTGACATGCATGAACTCATTTAATAAACACAGCAATTCTACAAGGCAGGAACTGTTATTATTGAGGCTTAAAAGGGATTAGTTCCTTGCTTAAATAGCAGAGCCAGAATTTGAACCTGAGTTTGCCTGACCCCAAAATTCATGTCCTTTACTTTTTTGCTCCTGTCTCCAGACTTTTATAGTAAGTAGAGGCAGGAGCATTTCAGATGGTATCAGACATGGTCATCTGCAAGGGGAGGCTCTACTCCCATGGGAGGTAGAAGAAGCAGACTGGCCTAAATGCCTAGAATTCCTTGTAAGTCCTTTAATCATCTTCCTTAATCCTTAATTCCTTAATGGCAAATGTTTTCCCATGTCCTTTCATTTCCATGACTATGCACTGTTGAAATTAGCCCCAGTCTGAGCCAGCAGGGACAGAAAATTATCAACCACCTATGGAAACTCAACCACATCACAGCTGGATGCACAGTTGAGTCCCTCAGGGGACAAAGCCATGCTCCTGGCAAATCTCCAGGTTTCCACCCTCTGCCAGACACAGGGCAAGCTAGAAAACATGATACATTGTCAAGGAGAAGCATGGGGGTGCTTTTGAAGAGAAGCAGAAGCAACTCTCTTCTTCACTCCCTCAGGCCAAGAGGGAAAGTTGTTCCTCCCAAGCCACAAGTAGAAACTTGGGCACAGAGGCCATATGTATCTGTGACTTTCATTTGCATGCCCCAAAACACTTCACCTGTGGTATCATGAAATGATACAATACTGTTTCACAGAACATGTTTCATGTTCATATTCAACATGTAAGCATGCCCACTGACCCAAGGAGTGCTCTACAACTTTTTCAAAAATAAAATATTAGTACTTTAGGGGGTGCTTAGATATTTCAAAATGTGGCACATGGAAGTCTTTTTAAATAGTACCCACTCCCCAGGAATTCCCATTCTGGTGGAAAATGAAGACCTAGAAATGTAACTCACAAAAATGCAAAAAGTGATTTGGAGAAATGCTGGTTTGGAGTTGAATTTTCAGCATTGGAAACTCTCTTCTTGATCCCAGTTGCAGACGACACATTGCAGTGACATAGAAGGGTTAGATTTTTCTCCCAGTGAGGTTGCAAATGTCCCTTTGCCCATTGTATGAATCCCTTTGAGCCCAGTATTTGCACTCGGTGAGCTGCTCCAAGCATCTCATTTCTGTTTTTGCTGAACCCATTCCAAGGGTCAACATCCATCTTGCACCTGGTGACAGAAGTTTGGGGGAGTTGCTAATGTAGTCATTGGCAAAATTTTTCACCCTGGCTGTGGTAATAACCTTAGATGTGACTGACTTGCAACCACAGAAAACCTAGCCTAGTGCCCAAAGCTTTGCAGTTTATAATGCCAAAGTTTTTAATAGCACATCTATCAAATGTGGGGTTTTTTTTTGTTCTGTTCCTTTTTTAATAAATGGGAAATGAGAAATGAGTCGCCATAGCTCTGTAATGTAATTTTAGAATCCTGGCACGAAGGCGACAGCTGCTAAGAGAGAATTAGGCAGGGTCCCCATTATATCTTGGCCTTAAAGAAAGGGCTGGGGAAGTGAAAATAAAATAGAATTTGAAATGAAATTCTCAAGGCACTGCTAGGCACCAGGGATACAAGAGGGATTAGGAAAGACAAGTGCCCTTTTCTCATGGAATTTATGTTCTTGGGGATGAGGTGAGGAAGGAGACATACAATAAAGGGATACACCAGAGAGTGAGATAATTTCACATACAAGTGATGTGTTTGAGAGAGATTTCCTTTCTGGTGAGCCTTTAGATTAGGCAGTCAGGGAAGATCTTCTAGGGAGTTGAATTTGATCTGAGATTCAAAGGGTGAGAAGGGAGCAGACATATGAATATGTGTGTTGGAGGAGTGGGGGTGAGAACAGCAGGTGCAAAGGTTCTGAGGCAGGAACCAGCCTAGCAGTGATTGAGGAACACAAAGGGAAAGGAAACTGACAAAGCTAGAGCCAAACACAAGAGGGAGGTGAGGCTAGTGTGGTAAGCGGGGCCCCAATGACATGCTGTGCTAGGCCTGGAATTGGATTTGGATCTTATTCTAAGCAATGGTTTTTAAACAGGTGAGCAATGTGATCTGGTTTATGTTTCAAAAGCTCACACTGGCTGCTGTGTTGAGGATAGAGTGTAGAGAGTAAAGAGTAGAAGCAGGGAGATTAGAAGGCTAGAGGGTTATGAGATGCTGGTCTGGGCTACTGTGGTGATTCCAAAGGTTGAACACAGTAGATGAATATGAAATCTATTTTAGAATGGAGCTGATAGGGCTTATGATAGAACTTACGATTGCTTCAACTGGAAAAGTAAATGAAGAAAAATATTGAGAATGACATCTCAGTTTGGAGTTTAAATTTCTGGGTAGATAGTAATACCATTCCTTGAGATGTGCAATACTGTGGAAAGAACATGCTTATAAACATCAAGTATATGATTCTGTCTGATTTCAAATTTGAAATGCCTGATGAGGTCCTTTACAAAAAAATTGAAAGGGCCTGATGGGAGTTGAGTGCAGGAAAGGAAATTATTAGTGCTGTGAAGTGTGGGGCATAGTTAAGTACCAGCCCTGAAGGGACAATGGGAAGGAGGTGGCTACGGGAGCCAAGAAACTTAGAGGGCCACATGGAGAAGGCCAACTCTAAGATCTGTAACCTTCGATTGAGGGATACAACCAGCTCATGAAAACCACCAGGTGCCTAGAAAGTAAATGCCCTGAGCTCCCCACTGGCTACATGAACCAGGGAGTTCATTCATGCAATCCAGAAAATTCAGCCTCCCAGAGCACAGCAGGGGTGGTGAAGGTGGAGAGTGGATCTAGAGGGGCAAACAGATATCCATTCCTAAATCCCAGACAAGATGCCACGTAGGCTGTTGAAGATGTAAGTCATGAGCTCAATAGGAAGACCAGGGCTAAATACATAAATTAACACCTAATGAAGTGTTCTATATCCAAATGAAATAAACTCGGAGATGCTTTCCTGACACTGTCCTCAGACTTTAATTTATTTGCCCCCAAGGATAGACTTAGAGGGACATTGAGGAAAATAGGAAGCACAGTAATTTAACTGGGACATACAGAAGTTGTTTAGAATCTGGATTACTAAAAACAGTTTGTTAAATAGAAGCAGGGTAATTTCTAGCCCCATTCCTTTCTCCATTCCTCTAGCCCTGCGTTCAGGACTGAGTAAGATGAAATTGCACAATGACAATTGTCAATTAATCTATGAAGATTGAAATCGAACACTCTTGGAGGAAAAAATATTAACAGGGTTCCCTTATGGAGAATTTCTAAATTTATAAAAGCACATGTGTAAGATTTTACATTTGTGTGAATCACTAATGTTATCTACAAAAATGTTTTAGCTTAAGCCTTAAGTTTAAGTCTATGTAGGTTGGAGAACCACAAGTCCTTGCCAGAATTTCGCTCAGCCATGATGACAGATGAAACTGCAATTAAGATTCAGCGTGTGTGTAGGTTTACTAAGAAGAAAACATTTTTAAATTTCACATAATTTTGAACCCTACTGGTAAATATTTAAATGAGAATATTAAATCTTCGTGATTCCAGAGGGGTTAGAGCCAAAAGGCCTCTCTCCACCCTACAAAAAGAGCAAAGCAAAGAAGCCAGAATGTTCGAAAGACTCTAGCGAGGGTAAGTCCTGTCCCTCCTTCCTTTAGAAAATTATGCCATGAAAAGAAACATATTTAATTTTTAAATTATGTGTACAAACACACTCATGTTCAGATATTCCTAAGGGTTAAAATATCACAGAGAAATTCTTTTATCCCTTTCTAATATGTTTGAAGATGAAGAATCAGACTCAAGTTTATTTTGTTAAGGTAAAACCCAAATTTTAAAAGTCCATTTTGTCAGTATGTTGTATTTTCCATGTCTGCAAAGCAAAAAATTGTAGGTAGTGCTTACCAGTTACATGTTCCAAAATTGTGCAAAAGTGAAGGTCAAGATTTGCATGTGATGACCAGCTTTGCAGCTATTGTCTTACTGGGGAAATTGTTTTTCTGATAAATACATTCTGAGTCTTTCCAGATTCGGACCTCAACAACAGATGCTGGAAATGGTTCCTGTCTTTAGCATTGTCTTTCATTTTCTAAGATCCTACATACCTTTGCATTTTTGCATTGAATGGGCAGGTCCCACTGGACTCAGTTTTATGAATAAATGACACGGTCTCTCTTTTACACACTAGTACAACATACAATTCATTCAAATTTTCTTTTGAAATGTTGATGAGATGTTCTTTTCATGTGAACCTCAAACCTAAGAGTAGTACAAACTTTTACACTTGATCTTAGCCCAAAGACCCAGAAGCGATAGAGCAGTACAAAATTTTAAAGGGAGCATATTTACGCTTTGTCTTTCTTGCCTGGATCCCCACCTCCTCCACTGGGAAATGAAGAGTGTAATAATACTGATGGTGTCAGGTTGGGTCTTGAGGGAAGAAGATGCCAAGATGGAAGCAGAAGTGCAGGATAAAGGTGAGAGAAATGGGCAATGGAGCAGGAGCAGCTGAAAGGAGAGAAGAAAAGAAGGAGGCTCAGCTAGGAAGTGCCTCAGTCTGCAGTGCAGTCTGGAAGTCTGGAGGAGTCCTGCACTGGGCAGGAATAGCTGGGCTCTAGGGTCTCGCTTTCCCATGCTCAGTCACTGGCTGCAAGTAGTTTGGCAAGAAAGTGGCCGGCCTCAGCAGGAACATGATGCCACAGGGGTTCTCAACAGTGTGGTTGCTGGGTGCTGTCAGCTTACTTCTCTCCTAGCAGCAGGTCTCACTTGAAAAGAACTCTTGAGCTGCTCACATGCAGGACTGCACAGTATCCCTGTTGAGTGCCGGGGCTTCCGGTGCTAAGTAATGACGCTGCTTTTTCACCTTCCTGGGAGTTCAGAACCAATCGAGAAGCCAAAGCTGAAAGAAAGGTGGAAATCAAAGCATTAGCTTGAATACTAACATGATGAGGCCAGAGCATCTGGCTGCCCTGCTCCTAGACAGGCTTCCTAACCCTGAATTTCAGCTCTAAATAGGAAAGCTTTAATCACTGTCCCCTCACAGGCGAGTGCAGGTGTCCTCAGCTTCCTAGACCAAGACTGCCCTGATCAGCTTGTTATAGGATGAGCAGACCAGGAACACGCCTTCTCTGTAGGCAGGTGGGTCTGAGAGAGACACAAGATGGAACTGTTTCCTTCTCCCAGGCTTACTGTAAGAAAGGAGAGGTGCAGAAAGGCACAGAAACAGATGTGACCCCTCCTCTACACAAGGAGCAAAGGAGGAATATTTCCTACTGACAATGAAGAGTAGAAATAGCATGTGTACTGGCCTAGCACTGGCCTGGCCTTCTGTCAGTGATGGCTGTTGTTATCAATATGATGATCATGGCCATCGTAGATTATGCACTGCCCTAATTCAGTGAAATGTGCTTGAAAGTTTAAAATCGTTCAGAGGAGAACACTTAGAACCAGGAAAAAGGCCAGCTGCAATAATTCACCCAAGATGTTAAGCTTTGTTACTGCCTGGTTGGGAGAGTAGCTGGGGCTTCCAAATCTCCTGTTGTAGTTCGGTCATTTTCTAGACCATCTCTTAAGGCCACACTTGGGTAATGAGCTGGGGCAAAGCAATACTCACCTTTCCCCTAGAGAAACTCTACCTCACCAAATGATTCCCATCACATCCATAACCTATGTCAAAAGTTGTTTTCCAGAACCTGAGCCTGTTGTCATTTCTGAGCCTCATATAACAGCTATTAAGCTGTAGCAGTTCTTCCGCCTTTAATTAAAGAAGGGAATTCTTCCAAGTTACTCCTTCCAATGTGTGAAAACTTCATTTACTTCCTAAATCAGTTGCTTTGTTTAGGAACATCATTCCCGAATCCTAATATGACTCAATAATACAGCTTCACCTCCTGTAATTATGTGGTCTAACAATCTGCTCTGAATCATAAAGATGAAAATGTGGTAACTGGATTTGCTAGCAGGGACATTCTGTCTGTGGTGAAATGTGAATGTGAGGCACTCTCCAGAAACATAGGAATTGTTCATTTGTTCCTAAGAGGGCTTCAAAGACAAATAAAAAGTAAAGATAGCTGGGCAAGGAGTGAGAAAGGGAGCGCCATCCGGCAGGCAGCGGTGGATGATTCCATGATATGCTGTTGTGCTGAAACCCTCCCAACTTTAGAGGGGATGACACCAGGTTCGAGAGGCTGAAGAAGAGCCCCAGAATCACTGAAAGAGACATGGGGTTTTCCTGGGGGCTTTCATACAGGAGAGAGGGCCTGGTGGCGGCAGCCTGGGCAGGAGGACCACAGCCGCTTATAAAAAACATGCAATGGCAACCTTTACTTACCCCAAGACAAAGGGCCTCCATCCCTTGTACAGCCTGAGTTCCACAGGATGGGCCGGGGGCTCAGATGTTCCCTGTAGATAAGGAATCAATCTCCGGGTTGCCACTCCTGGATTCTAGTTGAGAACTTTGAACCGCATTGAGGTGCATCCACCACATGGTTCATTCTCAGGATATGGTTAAGTGATTGCTATCAGCTGGGTTTACCACACATACGGCACTTATTACTTATCAGAGTTTCTATTTTGACAAAATAACCTATGTCTCTGAATTCATGCATTGTACTCTTGCATGTGTTCCATTTCCTGTTATGATACAAAGAGTTACAATCATTCTTTCCTAGTGGATATGCAAATGAAATCTGGTATCACTGGAAGAGGGACAAATTTTAATGCTGATCATTACTCTCCTCTCTAGATCTTCTTCCCAGCTTAGAGTTATCAATGTTTTTTTAGCTTGGTCATTTCATATTTTTTTAGAAAGAGAAGCTCCTGGTATTTTTATTTATAGATCTCTCAGCTTAATGCCCCAACACTTGGCCCCATCTCTCTTTTCTCCTTCTTTAGGGTTCCCTGGCCCACTTCCCACCCTCACAGGTACTACTGATTTCCACCTTTTAACTGATAATGCACATTTTCAGAAAGGGTTGTAGAAAACAAACTCACCTAGATTTTCCAGCATATATAGTCATAATAACTGTATTTAGATTCAGAAGAAAAATTTCAAGAACATATGGTCAAATTTTCTCATTCTACAGAATTTTTTTAAAGTACAGACTGCAAATGCTTCTTTAACTTGCCCAAGTCCACGCAGTTTGTTAATGTCACAATCTTTTTTTTTTTTTTCTAGAAAAAACACAGCTTCTGTAATCTTTTCTCTTTCTCTTTCCTGGAAATTAGAACAAATTTTTTGAAGGAAGAAATATTGTCAACATTATAACCTTGAGTGAAGCATTATTACTTTAGTAAATATCTCGCTAAGATACTGAACATCAAAATTAAAAATCAAACAACTTCTAAATGTATTTATTTGCATTTTTATGCTGTGTACTTTTGAATATAGTGATTTTATTATTTTTAGTAAAATTTCATGAACTGCTGTGTACTTTGGTTTCACACACTCAACACCATACCAATAATGAAATTATTAGTAATTTCAAGTTACTAATTGATTGGCTGTCATGTGCTATAAATGATAATGCCATCTGTGAACCAGCAAGGCATAGACAGAATTGTTTGGAAAAAAGCCTGATTAGTACCAGTTGCATTAATTCTAACTCCCCATAATTTAGACCTTTTTTTTTCTTACAAAAAGTTGAAAGAATATTATTGTAGAAAACTTAGCACCTTTAATAAAGCATACTTTTCTCACACTTCTTCCTTTGTCTTTCAGAAGTAAATTATCTACAGGTTCCTTTAGTGAAAGTCTCTCAGGCCTTATTTGTCTGAAAATGGTATTATTTTGCATTATTTTCTTAAAGCAGTATTGGTGGGTAAAAATTTGAGATTGATGGTTATTTTCTTGCAACATTTTGAAGTTTTCCTGTAGTTGTTAAGGAATATTTCCGTTTGTTTTTTGCTTCTTTTAAGCTTATCTGTTTTTCCTTTCTGTCTGTTTTGACAATCTACTCATTACCTTTTGTGTTCCATAGTATCACTATGATGTGCCTAGGTATAGATTCATTTTTATATATCCTTCTTAGAATTTGCTGTACTTCTTGGATCTCGGAATGGGCATCTTTCATTAGTTCTGAAAAATTCTCACGTATCACTGCACCAAATATAACTTCTAATCTATTACTTTCTATTCTTTCTTTCTCTGTTCTTCATGACTTTTAACCCATATCGCATTTTGTCCTCTGTATCTCTTCTCTCTCTGATGCCTTCCGGTTAATTTTTTTCAAGTCTGTCATTTAACTTGCTAATTTTCTATTCAACTTTATTTAATCTGATGTTTAACTCTTCACTGTATTTCTAATATAGTTTTCTTTTTTGATAGGTTTTATTTGGTTCCTTTTCAAATATACATGGCCATTTTTTATTTAATTAACACATAAAATACCTTTAATAATCTGCATCATAAATTTAATATCTCTAGTCTGTACAAGTCTGATTCTGCAGTTTATTGATTCTGCAAACTTCTGCACTTGGTTATTTCCTCGTGTATTTTGCCTTTTTGATGATCATGTTCCTTGGATTTTTACTTATGGAAGCTTTTTTGATGTTGCTTTAAGAGCTCATTTATTTACACTTGGTTTTCTAAGATACCTGAAGATATTACCTTAGCAATACCTTAAAGTACATATTTGGCTTAGAGTTTTGTTTTTATTTTGTTGGCTAATGGTCCTTAAACCCATGTTAGTCCATGTATAAGATGAGGAAATCTCAACAGAGACCTTTTTTTCCCTTTTTTCTCACGACCAATGCTAAAACTGACATAGGCAAATCTCCCACTATATTTATGACCCTAGCATGGGCCCCTCCATGCCTCACACGTGTGGCTCATTCAAATCCAAGCTCTAGCTAGTGGTTCTCAAAGAGTGTTCTTGAATCTGCATCCATCAGCTTCACCTGGAAGCTCATGCCTATAATCCCAGCACTTTGGGAGCCCGAGGCGGGTGGATCACTTGAGGTCAGGAGTTCCAGACCAACCTGGCCAACATGGTGAAACCCCCGTCTCTACTAAAAATACAAAAATTAGCTGGGAGTGGTGACATGTGCCTGTAATCCCAGTTACTAAGGAGGCTGAGGCATCAGAATTGCTTGAACCTGGGAGGCGGAGGTTGCAGTGAGCTGAAATCAAGCCACTGCACTCCAGCCTGGGCCACAGAGCAAGACTCAGTCTAAAAAAAAAAAAAAAAAAAAACAAATTCTAGGTTCACGTCCCAGACCTTCTGAATCAGAAACCTGAAGTGGGGTCCTGTAATCTGTGTTCTCAAAAGCTCTTCATCTGAAGATGCACGCTCAAACTTGAGAACTGTTGTTCTTGAGTCTAGGTTACCTGGGGTTGGCAGATGCCTCAAAGCAAATACTGATTTCAGTGCCTGCTTAGAACTCTTGATCCTGGCACTTTATCATTTCGGTTTCAAGAATTTCCCTTACAAAAGCACCAGCTCAGCCATGTATTCAAGAAGTAGATAGATAGATGCATACATATATATGTAAATATATATAGATAGCACATACCTACTATATATATATATGCACACACACATATAGTATGTATATGTGTATACCTTATATGTATATATGTATACACATACCTATATGTGTGTGTGCATATATATATGTGTGTAGGTATGTGCTATCTATTGTATGTATGTATATATATGTACACATGTATGTATATACATGCATATATGTGTGTGCACATATATATCTGTAGGTGTGTGCTATCTATATGTATGTATATATGTATGTATGCACATACAAATATATGGGTGTATATATATCTGTAGGTATGTGCTATGTATATGTATGTATGCATCTATTTACTTATCTAATCACACAGACATATATGTATATATGTATATGTGTGTATATGTACACACGTGTATATATGTATCTTTACATACATACAGATATATACACATATGTGTGTACATATATACATATATACATATACATGTATATCTATACACATACATACATTTCTAATACATAGCCTGGAAAGATACATATCAAGTTGACCTCAGAAATTATCTTGGAGGAGTGAAGAAGGAGCACAGTTGGGTTTTGGAGAGTTTAATATTGCACTTTCTAAATTTATGTGTAATTGAATATGCATACACACATATAATGAGTTATTTTATAAAACAAACACATATTTTCATTAAACAAGAACTAAATGGACTATATGTTGCTAAGTTCAGTAGCATGTTTCAAACAGTAATTTTCTACATACCTGAGTCTCCAAAGCCTTCAGTGGCTTTTGGTAACAAATGGCACTTTCCATCATATTTTTACAGAAAGCACTAGCACTTTGACTCTTGCTCCACAATTGCCTTTACATAGAATATTCAGTAGGCATACGTGGGATGCTCATTCATCAGGAAACTGAACCCTTGCAATTCTAAATCAAGCAAACCTATATTGCACTTTAAAATATTAATGATGTCTTTTGTCAGATGAAATTATATGTGGAAACATTTTGGAAACTAGAAAGCACTATGCCAGTTTGAGGGATCTAATGATAATATTAAAGTTATTATTATTATTATTTTACTAAAATAAATTTTTCTGAATACATGAACCATTTATGGAACGTAGCTTGTATTTCCCGAGAGGCAGAATTTTCTCTCTGCCCCATTATTTTCTATGCATATTAAAGTATCGTGTGACATGCTGTTTTGTGAGTGGCTGGACAGAAGGGACATTCTATCTTTCAGAATGCCATGCAGCAGTTCATGCATTATATTCATAAGCACGATTTTTAATTTAATTTTTTTGACAAGTGCAGTGAAGGGTAAAATCAGGCAGTCATAATTTTTACTTTGCCATCACTCAAATGAGCTTAGTGATTGACCAGCTTTTAACAAAATAAGGATCCAGGAAAAGCAGCTTTCCCCTGAAGAAAAGCTTTGTTTTATCCTCTAGACTTTAAAATATCAAGAATTTAAGCAAAATGTGTAAATTTCCATGGTGAAAAATCAGAATACAATAAATGCCTATACCACCATTTTGCTTTAATCATATTTTTCTTATATTCTGCTTGATTCCAGGCCATTCTGAACTATCCACCACCACAAAGTAGTAGAAGGACCCAGTGGTCTATTTTCATTTGTACTGGTGCTCCCCATGCTTACCCATTAAACAGACCACAGAGTCCTGTTTCAGAGTCAGCTCTAGGACTTTAAATGGGACTTAGAGAATGTGAGTATTAAGGCATTTTCCATTGTGAGAAGGGCTGAATCTACCAAGGCAGAGAAACCACAGGTTCTGTTTGACTGGGAACGATCCCAATTTATGCATGTTGCCATTGGCATTTGTTAGCAATGTTCCCTTTCACTCTTGGAGGTAACCCAAGTTTGGTGATAACATATATGGACCCTCATACCCATAGAGAAACAGTTCAGTATGAGTATGGACAGAACTCTCAATTGTCCATGTTCTGCTTCCTACTTGGGCAGTTTTTCTAACCTAAGACTCAGTTTCTTCATACATTAAATGGACAGAAGGGAAACTGATCTTGCAGGACTGCAGGGCAATTTAAATAAGATGATTTATGGAAAACACCGGGCACATTGAGTAGACAGAAGAGCTGGTCAGTGAGTATATTGAATTTGAAACAAGAAGAGCTCCCTCCCACCAAAGACTCCCCTACCTTGCTTATTAATGCTTGAAATTCCTTTTAATGTGAACAAAATACTTTTGCAAGCAGAGATACATTTTTAAATGCATTGCTTGCATCGCACATCTAGCTGGGTTTGTCTCTCTCCTTTTTCCCTTAGGTTCACTCAGCACACTCTGCATGCCTCCCCACCCCAGCCCCCAGTTGCACTAATTCCAGTCCCAAAGGGACTTTCTTCCAGTCTGTCTTCATCTTCCTGATCTCTATTCCCCTTATCTTCAAGTCCAGATTCCCAAGAAACTACAGAAGGTCCACCATTTACAATGGTTTGATTTAGGATTTTTTGACTTGATGGTGTGAAAGCAATAGGCATTCAGTAGAAATCTTTGGTTTTGAATTTTGATGTTCTCCTGGACTCTCGATGTGATAGTCTTTCATGATGCTGTGCAGTGAGCCACAGCCCCCAGTCAGCCGCACCATCACGACGGTAAACAACTGATACCGCACTCTAGAGTGGCCTGTGTTGTCAGCAGTTTTTGGATATTGTTTTGTGTTTTCACATTTCATCATGTCTACAAAATGCCCATCTGTGCAAGTTAGGTGTATTAAATGCATTTTTGCTTACAGTATTTTCAACCTACAATGGGTTTATCAGGACATAGCCCCATCTTAAGTCAAGGAGCATCAGCAGCCTATCTCCAATATTTACACAACCACACATCTCAACCATTTCTCAATCTCTACTTAACTGTCTCTAAAACTTTAAGGAGGGTACCAGATTAGGTCAGGGGCATGAGGAAAGAGGTGGTCTCTAGTTATCGGCCCTCAGTTCAGAGCTTGCCACTGAGACAGTCATTGTTTGGTCCTCATGGTCCCTTGAGATCTGTTGACTCTCAGCTATTTCTGTAAGATTCTGGGACCAAGAATCTCTCTTCTGAGGCTGGGCTATTCTTACTGCCTGTAGTCTTCTTTCCCTGATAAGTGTTTCTCAAAATATGGCCAATGGAACCCTGGGGGAGGTCCCCCAAAGCCCTTCCAGCGATCCACAAGGTCAAAATTAGTTTTGCATGGAGCTGTGCTCCCAGAAGTCTCCACTCACATGGAATTCAGTGTGCATGAGGTCCTCTATAGTTGTGCAAAATGATGCTACTGCAGAAACATCCACTGCATCCTCCAACCACATCAGCATAGCTGCCCACCATCCAGTTTCTCCAAGCACTCATTCCACATACTTTTGTTAATGCCTACCATTTGACGGTGTAGGTATTGTTCTAAGCCCTGAACACAATATAATATATAATATATGTATTAATATATTATAAGCCCCTGCTTTCTTGGGGCTTATATTCTATATATAAAATAGAGGCCTCTACTCTCTTGGGGCTTTTATTCTAGGGTATGTGGCATTGGGGATTGGCAGATAAAAAATGGATACAATGTTTAATAAATTATTTATCTATTGCTGCCTGAAAATTTATCCTAAAGCTTCAACCAACGATAAGCAATTATTATCTCGGAGTTTCTGTCAGTCAGGAATTGGACAGTAGCATATCTTGAGGTTCTGGGCCACCATATCTCATGCTAATGTGTGACAGTTTAGGTCACAAAAGATGGCTTCTACCTTGCGCCCTCTCGGATCACTTGCTCTGGGGTAAGGCAGCCGCCATGTATGAGGACCCCAGCTCTGTGAAAAGGTTCTCATGGCAAGGAGCTGAGGCCCCCTGCTGGCAGCCGGCGCCAAGATATAAGTCATGTGAGTGAACCGTCTTGGAGTCAGATCCTCCAGTCCCAAGAAAGCCCCCAGATGACTGCAGACGTAGCTGACATTGTGACAACAACTTCATGGGAGACGTCATGCCAAGAGCCATGGAGAAAAATCAAGCAGGGGAGGAGCTAGGAAATGCCCAAGTGTGTATGAGTGTGGGAGTGAGCCTGTGTGTGTGGTGGGGGAAATTAGGAGACAGCTGGGTTGGGTTTTAAAATATGTTAGATCTCTCTGATTATTAAGTTTCTATTTGAGAAGAAACCTGAAAAGCATAAAGGGGTAAGCCAGGCAGCTCTCTGGGAAAAGAGTGTTCCAGTAGAGGAAACAGTAAGTGGGCCGGGTGCGGTGTCTCACGCCTGTATTCCAAGCCCTTTGAGAGGCCGAGGCGGGCAGATCACTCGAGGTCAGGAGTTCGAGGCTAAAAATACAAATACTAGCCAGACGTAGTGGCGCACGCCTGTAATTCCGGCTACTTCAGAGGCTGAGGCAGGAGAATCGCTGGAACCCGGGAGACGGAGGTTGCAGTGAGCCGAGATCGTGGCAGAGTGAGACTGTCTCAAAAAAAGAAACAACAACAGCGGAAACACAAAATGCTAAAGCCCCAATGATCGAGGCGTCTGACTTACCCTAATAAAAAGCAAGAAGGTCCATGTGACAGCAGCAACAGAGAGTGAAGGGGAGGAGAGTAACTGGAGAGGTCACTGGAGGCCTATCCTGGAGAGGGGTGGGTTCCGCACTAGAGTGTGCATGAGAATCACCAGAGGGTGTGTCAAACCCAGATTTCAGGGTCTCACCCCCAAAGTCTCTGATTCAGTAGGTTTGGGGGTGGGGCTGAGAATCTTCACGTCCAATAATCTTCCAGGTGATGCCCTACGATGGAGATTATATCTTGAGAATCACTGCCTTGGGCATTGTTGGCCACTGTAAGAACTTTGACTGCTTCTCTCAGTGAAATGGGAAGAGAGCATTTTAAGCAGAGATAGGACGTGCTCTAACTTATATTTTAAAAGAAATCTTCTGGTTATTGTGTTGAGAATAGACTGGGCTAAGGGAAGAAACAGGAAAGAGTTTATTGGAGCAAGGGATACTAATGGCTTGATCCAAGTAGCAGCGAAAGGCAGGAATGATAATTGGTCACTTTTGGACACGTTAAAGGTAAAGCCAACAGAATTCACAGACATGTTGAATGTGGCATGTGAGAGAAAGAGAGGAGGCATAGATGGGTGTTTTCATTCTCTCCGCCACTACTGAATCCAGAATAGAAGTTGTACCCTGGTTATGCTTAATTCAAACATTGCAGGAAAAACAGTTCTTCACTATTCATACAGTCTTCTTGTCCATCATGTCTTCTTGCTCTCCTCACCCCGGGAAGGCCATAGTAGCGCACCCCGAGGCCAAAGTTCCTTGTTTTACATTTTTAATTTGTGTTTGTTTGTTTTTTTAGAGACAGGGTCTCACTATGTTGCTGAGGCTGGTCTCGAACTTCTGAACTCAAGCGACCCTCCAGCCTCGGCCTCCCAAAGTGCTGGGATTACAGGCGTGAGCAACCGTGCCCAGCCCAAATTTTCCAATTAAGCAAAAGCAAAATTTTCAGGCACAAAGAAAAATCTCCTAAATATCAAAAAGAGTAAAAGCACAAAAATATTGACAAACAAGATAAACTGAGTAAAAAGATTATTTTATGTGATTTAGATAGTATGATTTCACTATGTTTCTCCCCATAAAAGGTGTTTTTTTATTGTTTTTGTCTTGTTGCTTTTCAATAAGAAACTTCCCAGTTAAGGAATGATCATGTAATTGCTGTCATTTATGATTGCCAAGCTCAAGAAGACAGTAAGAAAGAAAGAAAGAGGCCAGGCGCGGTGGCTCACGCCTGTAATCCCAGCACTTTGGGAGGCCGAGGTGGCCAGATCACGAGGTCAGGAGATCGAGACCATCCTGGCTAACCTGTCTCTACTAAAAATTCAAAAAATTAGCCGGGCGTGGTGGCTGGTGCCTGTAGTCCCAGCTACTCGGGAGGCTGAGGCAGGAGAATGATGTGAAGCTGGGAGGCGGAGCTTGCAGTGAGCCACGATCGCAGCACTGCACTCCAGCCTGCGCGAAAGAGAGAGACTCTGTCTCAAAAAAAAAAAAAAAAAAAAAAAAGAAGGAAGAAAGGGAGGAAAGAGGTGGGGGAGAGGGAGAAAAAGGAAAATAGTTGCAAGCTAATGGAAAGACCCCTGAACTAGGAATCAGATCCCTGAATTCTATTTTCATCCCTTAGGTGTACGATCATATTCTTTACCTCATGTCTCTCAGGTCCATTTAGATATCAAATTCTGTAATTCTACAAACCATCATATTCATGAAAATTGATTCTTTATGAGCTCTTTTCTTCATGCTCAGTAAATATTTCCATCCTTAATTCAAAGCACAGAATCATGGCTTTTAATGGCCAAGTGGGCCTCTGAGAACATCTAGGGCAACACTCTCGTTTCACAGATGAGGAAACTTTCTTTTAAAACTCCTCTGAAATTGTCTAGAGGACTCATGAAAGGTGATACTAAGTTCACTATTAAAAAACTAAA
This sequence comes from Homo sapiens, assembly GCF_000001405.40. Taxonomy (NCBI): domain Eukaryota; kingdom Metazoa; phylum Chordata; class Mammalia; order Primates; family Hominidae; genus Homo; species Homo sapiens. The sequence continues at coordinate 15,905,327 of NC_000020.11, forward strand.
GGAAAAGATCAGTTTATCAGGGCATAGACAGTGGATCTTTTTATAGTAACTTTAAAGGTACCTTTCTTTAAATGTTATAGATGTCTGTGAGTAATTTAGACTATGTGTTTAACAATTTGTCTATTTTGATTTCCTAAACCAAGGATGAAGAATGCATCAGTCAGATGTGTTTGCCTTTGTTTTGTTGAAAACTCAGTCCCCGGGTTTATAGAACTAAAGCATTAGAGTGATTGTTTTCAATGTTGACACCATGCCAATAGGACATTTGAGGACTTATAATATTAGGTACTAATTTTTCAACAGAGAAAGGGTTTATTTTGTCGTTAAGGAGAGGTATTGCTATTTGAACAGTGTTGAATTTTCATGTTACGATTTTGTAGTTGTATTTCAAAATTTCAGTTTTCTAATGTAACAAAGTTGTGCTTTCCTGCTATACCAGAGAGAGCCTTAAAACTGTCCACCTACACTAGAATTTCCTGGATTCACGCCACACTCTCCTAATGCCTTGCTCAAGTGTGCCTGTTCTCTCCTACCTCTTGTCACTCTGGAGCCATCAGAGACAGTCTTAGGAAATGATTTCATCTCCAGGGATCACCATGCCTGAGGAATGACATGCAGAAACCCAGGGTACTGTATTCTCCGTAGACAGAAAATGCTAGCAGAACCACTTGAATCATTTCTCAATTCTCCATCCTGAGAATTCCCCACTGGCTTCTAACAATCTTTGCTGCTGGCAGAAGGAAAGTAGATATGGGGTTTGAGAGGAAAGGGGCAGAGGGAAGGGGAGACTGGCTGTAGAATGTGGAGCGAAAGTGGAATGTTTTTGCTGAGTGCTTAGTGAACAGTTGCAAACTGCCACCCTTGGGAGAACCTCTCATTCAGCCACTTATGGTGTATCCAAAAACGCAGATTCCTGCACCTAGCCCAACCCTTCACCAAATCAGAAAGCTGCATGCTAACTAGATGCAATGCATCTTTGGAGCACCATTTCTTTTGCCTTTGTTTCTTATTTTAAACAATCTCAAACTTACAGCAAATTTGCAAGTACAGTAAAAATAACCTTTTTTTCCTGAACCATTTGGGAATAAGTTGCCAATCTACTGTTTCTATCCCCAAACATTTAACTGAGCATTTTCTACAAATTGGGCATTCATCCTGCATGAGCACAATAAAAAGATCAAAATTAGAACATGAATATGGATATATCACTACTATCTAATTTTCAGATCTCATTTAAGTTTCACCAGTTTTCCAATGATGCTCCTTGTAACAAAAAAAAAAAACGCTTTCAAACTCAAATTTCTCATTTTGCTGCCACATCTCTTTATTCTCCTCCAGTCTGGAACAGTTTCCCAATCTTAATTTGACTTTACTGCCCTTGACACTTTTGAAGATTGCAGGTCAGTTATCTACTCGAATGTTTCCAATTTGGATTGGTCTGATGTTTTCTCATGGCTGGATTCAAGTGATGCATCTTTGAAGAACTATCACAGAAGTGATACTGTGTTCTTCTCATGGCAGGCTATGAAGGGCCCATTATCTCAATTTGTCCCATTATTGACAATATTCACTCGCTTTGATTACTTGATTAAGGTGGTGTCTCAGAGGCTCCTCAACTACACAGCTGCTTTTTCCTCTGTTTGTAATTGATGAGTACCCCTTGTGGGAAGGCACAATGAAACTAGGTAAATGGCCCATTCCTCATTAAACTTTCAATTTATTCATTTGTGTACTTATTTATATCCTCGTGGACTCATCATTTCCCATTCTATTCAATGGGTTGTAATAACGCCTTAGCCTTGGTACCCACCAATTCTTCAAGGAGGTTTGGTTTCTTTTAGTAGAGAAGCGTATTTGGAAACTAGATCTGAGTATTAAGTGTGTGGATCACAATTTGAGATATGTTATTTAAAACAGAACGATCAGATTATCTTGATGGTTCAATGTGGGGAACCAGCTCACAAGATCAGTCAATCACATCTTCCTGATGAATTCATCCAATTGCCAGAATGGTTTTCTTATAGACCTTCCATTATAGCTGTGGCCAAGAGATCAAATTGTCCAACTTTGGTTAAGTTTGGCAGAGTACAGCCCAATGAGGATGGGGAGAGCATGGAAATCTGTTTGGTGTTTAGGGTTTCTAAAAGTGTTAACTCAATCCTGTTGTCAAATTTTGCTTGTCCATTATATAACACCAAATCAACTAATTAGCAAAGGGTTAATATTACATATGTAGGCATGCCCTTGAATTGTTTATGCACCTTTTTTTGTTCTCTTTTTATTGTAAGTGTTAAAATACACATGAGACAAAGGTCACATTTCTACGCTGATGACACGGTGTGCCGTGAGTGTGGACAGTCATTTTGCTAATTCTTCTCATTGGTGGTTCCGCTAGATGGATGATTTCCCTGAATTAGCCATCATAACTGCCATCTGTTCCTGTGCATAGATACAGAGATCTAAAGAGTAGAGGTCAGGAAGAATTTTAAAAAGGGCTGTGTGCTCAGTTGCCTCTGTTTGTCTCTCTAGAACATTCTCTAGACTGCTTTTTGCCTGAGACCTAAGGGGCTGCATTGACTGGACTCCCTCACCCTCAAGCTTTGGGTTGGTTAACTAATATTTCTCAATTTTATTTTCATGACTACACTCCCTAAGGAGGCTTTTTTAGACATTCTTTTTCTAATTGTCTCCACCTGACCATGAAATTTTAATACCATAAATATATTGCATATCTATTTATGAACTGTATCTTTTGGAGGGTACAGACCATTATAATAGCTAAGAGTTTTTTGCTGTGTTTTTTGTTTTTTTCCTTTTTGCCCTGCCAAGAACAAATGTTTGCTTCCCATTGAGAAGGCATGCGCTAGACCAGTGGAAGTCATTTAAGGGAGATTGGAGAATGGGGGGAAAAGTACTAAGGACAAAAAGACATTTATTCTCTTTGACCCTTGCTGCCAGACAGAAATGACTTCACCCAAGGACACAGCACTTGCGGGTGGCCTTCTCCACCTCCAGCTATTGCTTGGTTTCAGGTGACCACTCCCTTTCTCTTCTCAGGCCTATGGGTGGTAACAGCTCCCATCCACTGCTAGTCTTAGACATCTTTACTTTCCTTGATTGATTCCCTTGACTCTGCCCACATCTTTTAAAATATCCCATATTAAACTTTTTACACCCCTTTGAATGTGTCCTGCTTCCTGCTGGGACCATGACTAGTCTCTTCTAGTTGGAATCCATATCACCTTCTGTGATGTAGTCTCCAAGTCAGGCAGTCTCATTTCAACTACAGTCTTTCTTTATGCTTCTCTTTTTCCTTTCTGGACTCTTACCTTTCTTTTATTTCTTACTCAGCAACAGTGTCTGCCCATTAAAATGCACCTTTGCGGTGGTGGTTTGGTTTTCTTTATCTCTCTTATTTCTTCCCTTCCTGTTGCATTTTCACTGGCATTGCATGGGATTTTTGTTTGGATACTAAGCCAAGCATCTTATACCCTTGCATGCTTGACATTTCTCTTGCTTAGCTTTCCAAACACCCAAGTCACCCTGACAGGCTCTTGAATACTTTCTTCCCACAAGTTAGTGATCTTAGCTGGCAAGAGCAGACAATGGCTTGTTCCAGGTACTAGGGATGTATAAAACTTGTTGGCTTAAAATAATGACATTTATTTTGCTCACACATCTGCAAGCTTGGCAGGGCTCGACAGGGATAGTTGTCTCTGCTCTACTCAGCATTGGCTGGGGTGGCTCAGAAATTGGGAGGCTGAAATATCCAGGGCTTCTCTTACTCACTTGTCTGAGCCCTAAGCTTAGAAGACTCAAACAACTGAAAGCTGGAAGAACTGGAGCTCTTTGGGCATCTCTCTAGCTTGATGAAGTCTCTCCATGTAATCTACCAGCATGGGGGGCTTAGGGCAGTCTTACTTGTTACACATTGACCCAGAGCTCCCATAGTGATTATGTCAAGAGAAAGAGCTTGTTATTCAGTGTTATTTTTACCACATTCTATTGGTTGAGGTTAACAAGTCCCCAGGATTAAGGGGAGAGAACTTAGACCCTGCCTTTTGAAGGAGAATGTCAATGTCACATTGTATATTTTTAAAAAGTGGAATGAGATATGTATAGGTACAGTCATTTTTGGAAAAACAATCTGATCTGCTTCAGTATCATACACATAAGTACATAATACAATTTTTTTTTTTTTTTTTTTTTTTTTTTGAGACGGAGTCTCTCTCTGTCGCCCAGGCTGGAGTGCAGTGGCGGGATCTCGGCTCACTGCAAGCTCCGCCTCCCGGGTTCACACCATTCTCCTGCCTCAGCCTCCCAAGTAGCTGGGACTACAGGCGCCCGCCACTGCGCCCGGCTAATTTTTTGTATTTTTAGTAGAGACGGGGTTTCACCGTTTTAGCCGGGATGGTCTCGATCTCCTGACCTCGTGATCCGCCCGCCTCAGCCTCCCAAAGTGCTGGGATTATAGGCGTGAGCCACCGCGCCCGGCCGTAATACAATTTTTGAGACCTTGTGGAAGTCCTTTGGGGTTCAGAAGAAAATACTGGAAATTACTAATGGAAAACAAGCAGAGATAGGAAGATGTCAGTAAGGAGGTCTTAATACCTACTTTGTATAATAATGGGGCTCAGGATTTCTGAGTGAGAAGATCAAGAGTAGGTACAGTCAAGGAAATAAGAACTCTGGATTCCTGTCTATGCAGATTGAGTCAAGCAAGTCTCTGATCTCTATCAAATGAAGAATTAATCTTATGATTTTGATGTTCTTTCTCAAAACCCCTGGTTCTGTTACGCCATCATCAACTCACTTTTCTGTTTCCTGTTTAAAGTCACTTTCTCTCAAAATTTGCTGACTCCAAATTCTGTTGCTTTTGCTGAGAAGACAGTCACACTGCTGTCTATGCAGCTCCACTAAATCAAGTGTGAGCTTCAAGTCCTCAGTGGCACCAAGCGTTATTTCAAGAGTTATTCTTCCTTTGTGTATGAAAATTTGCATTTTGAATGTGTGTCATCAGAGAAGTAATGGGAAATTGGGGATTGTGATGTGGCCAAGTCAGAGGACATGTGTGTGTGTGTGTGTGTGTGTGTGTGTGTGTGTGTAACTATCACCATTCTTTTTCTCTAAAAGAGAGTTTTGATGGTAGATGAGGACGTAGGACCACTAGATTCAAAAGTGGAGGATGTAAAAGAATTTGGAAATAGATTAAACACAATTCTGGAGTTGTCTATGAAGCTCTCTTTATAAAGTATCTTCATATGCAACAGCACATGTAGTAGGCACTTTCTGACGATGGTCACAACAGAACGCAGAATGGCTGAAGCCCTGAAATGATGCACACTGTATATGAAATTGAACACGTCGGTCCACGAATGTTTTTAAATCTGTAATTTAAAAAACTCCCAAGGTGTCGCCAATGTGAAAATAAGTGAGAACCACAAGCAACCTACCACATGGTTTGTAGAGGCCAAGATTCTCTCAGATTCAAGGATAGAAAAGCCACTCAAAACTGTTTTAAGCAAACTTGTATCTGAAAAGTCTATTTGATACTTAATTAGCTAATTTACCAGTTGCATCAGAACTAGGTTCCTCTACCCATCTCTGTGCTCTGCCTCCCTCTGTATTGGCTCTATTTCATATTCTCACCTCTCTGGGACAAAGATGACCACTAACTGCTCTCTCATCAACCCTGGTATAAGTGGCATACTTCTTTCTCAATAGCTCCCATGAAAGATCTGAAATTGTTTCATTGTCTCCGATTGGCTAGACTCTGATCTAGCATCTGCCCTTGAACCAATCACTGTGGCCATGGACATGTACTGCCCTGACTAGGTCTAGGACACATGGCAACTCTGGGACCGGGAGGTGCAGGGGTGGAGCAACATGGTTAACTATAATTAAAACTATGGACCAAGTAGGAGCTGAGTGGTTCCCCAGAGGAAAACAGGGGAAGTATCAACAGGGAAAATAGACGGTATGCCTTCTATTCTAGTTCGTCGTCAGTAAATATTATTTGATCATTGAATTCTTGTGTCTTGTTCTTTAAAGACAGACAATAAGAGTTAGGAGGACATAATGTCATGGCTAACAATGTTGCTGTAAATTCGTTATCAATTTTTCCCTTTCCACTCTCACTTTATTATAAAAGATCAAAGGGGATTTTCAGGAAAGCGTTAACACTACTTAAAAGCCCCACCTCGAAGACTGGAGGTGTGGAGAGAAGCTATATATAAGGTGGACCCAGCCAGGATAAATGTGAAGGATAGGCAAGAAGCACTGGTAGGTGAAGGTGAATAGTGCAAGGGTATGGACTGAAAATCAGTGTGGTGGGAGAAGTGAGAAAACACCAGGGGAGGAAATAAAAGCTAAACAAAAGAGAGAGTGCCACCTCTGTATGTTGTTGCTGGGATTATCCATAGGAAACAGACATGTGGAAAAGGATCCTGTGACTAAGAATAGGGCGTACAGGAAGTAAATAGTACTGTTAGCCTCTGGAAAGCAATGTGGAATTCAACTTTTAAAATTTGCATGTTGGGCGTGTTGGCATGTGCGTGTAATCCTGGCTACTCAGGAGGCTGAGGCAGGAGAATCGCTTGAACCCCGGAGGCAGAGGTTGCAGTGAGCCGAGATCGTGCCATTGCACTCCAGCCCGGGCAACAAGAACAAAACTCCGACTCAAAAAACAAAAAACAAAACAACAACAAAAATAATTGCATGTTTGCTTTTTAAAACATTGTTCTGTGTTTCCAAGCTGTTTTGACAGTGGGTCAAAGGAATGCCAATAGTACGGATTATGACTGGCTTCATTTTAAATGGCAGCCCCAAGCAAAGTTGAAATTTGAACTTCTGTTTACATTTAGAAATTCTCTGGATTGTCTGGTAACCTTGTCTTTAGAAGCCTGATGTTTATATATTGGCAGCCACAGGGAATTATTTCCCTTTGGGTGTTCAATTGCTGTCCAATTTCCTTATCTACTGCCCATTAAATTAGGAAACGTTGGGTCTCATCATCTGCTTCACTTTCCAATCACTTTACCAGCAATAGGCTTCAATAACTAGTGCCTTGCAGTGTTGTTTTGTAAGCCATGGTGTCCTCAGGATGCATTTTAAAAAATAGATACCTGAAGTAATGTGAAGAGCCAGTTTATAGGTTTAAAACCTGATTTTGAGATTCAGACATAGTTCTTAGGAGGCTGAACCCTGAGGTTTTTCTTTTCAACTTACTCACTATACAGTGTGTTGTATTTCCAAATATGAATCTTGGTAAGGACAGGTTTGAAACAGTCTAGCTTCATTGACCACAAAAGTTGGTTATCGGTGAAACATGATGAAAACATCACATTTCTCATTTACCAAAAGGTGCCTTCAGTGGAGGTTATTGGATTGCAAAGAGGATGTTTGTTGGAACCGAGAATAAAAACCAAATAAGGTTATAAAACAAAAGGTAGTGATGATTTGACATTGAATGGTATGCCCAGAAACTTAATTAAATTTTAATTAAAATGTAATTCTGCATAAAATTTAATTATATGACAATGAGTATTCTCATAGAGTAAGTTAGGAAAGTTTTCTAAAGTCAGTTGGAAAGGCACCATGCAGTGTGTCATAATAAAAAGGACAGAGGCTACAAGGCCAGCCAGATCTGGGTTTGAATCCCAGCTCTACCACTGACTGGTTCTAAGCTTCAGTTTTCTCATCTGTAAAATGGGAATAAATTCTTACTCTGCTTACTTGGCAAAAATTAGAAGTCAAATGTATTATTAAAAAAACCATTCATAATGTTTGACATTTAAAAATATATTAGGCATTCAAAAATGGTAGCTATTATCACTATTATTATTATTATTTCTTCTGGAGAATAGATATCCATTGTCCCTCTTCTCTTCATAGAAAAAAAAAATCCAGAAAACAAATGCCTTTTTAAATAACCTGGTTGTAGAATTCAAACTGGCTCTGTCCAACAAAATTATGTTTAAGGCTGGAGAGAGTTTTGCTAGTTTCCCAGAAAAAGTATTGTCAAATTACTTTTTTCTTGTTGTGTGTATTTTTTCCCTAAATTCTTTTTTTATAACTTTTACTTTCATCTGTGTGGAAATATTCTTGGCCATCTCTCTGTTGCTATCCCTTCAGTAAGTCTGCAATTATTTTTTCAAGAGGTGCCAGCCCAAAGAATCATAAGCCCTTATGAGCTAACAGTGAAGTCTCAGCCAAGAAAAGAAATTTAAAAAACCAGTTTCCTGAAAATTGTAACATACATAAGTTTGGAATGTGCTTGTTTGTTTGTGTCTTTCTTTTTTAGTTTATAGAATGCTTTGCTCTTTATGTTGAAAAACTGTCCATTATTACTGGCTGTTGGCCATTTTTTCATCTCTAGGGTAATATATTTCTACTATAAAATTTCAACTCTGGTCAAAGCAGACAGTGTGTTATAAAAAAATATACTGAGCACAAATGCAGTCGTAAAGTCTCATATTTATTTACCTCTCAAAGTGAAAGTGCTTATAGTATTTTAGGGACACAGCATTTTTTAAATACTAGGCACTCAGTAAATATTTGTGGGTGGCCAAGTGAATGAATAAACGAATAAGCAAATGAACGATGGGAATTTACCATGACTGCAAATCATTTCTCCTAAGTGAAATATACTGTTTGTTTTCCTGTGTGTGCATGGAGGGGGCAGTGAAATTGAGATAAATCTCATTGTTTAAAGAGTTCTTTAGGGACTACCAGAGTAGTGGACATGGTAATAAAACATTGTTCTCCAAAGCAGAATATGGTAGTTACAGTTACAGGAAGACTATTAACCCCTTTCTTTTTCTAGAATGGCTGCCCTGTATGTAATTTAGGTTTTGAAATCTTCCTTTTCCTGGACAGAGAATCGGTCCCAGAATATCAGACCTGTGTTTATTGGAAAACAGCTCTATCTATCGCAGAGCAATTTCTGTTGTCCTTATTAACAAAGATCTTTGGGAGGTGAAGGTCATTTCAGGCCAGTGCTGAACAGCAATGAATTTGTTAAGTTGTTTTCCGAATGCTGAAAGGAGATGGACGTCAGAACCTGGACATGAACCTAAGGCAGTTGGGCCAGGTTTAAACCTCGCATGATCAGTGGGAATTTGTGTACTTTATTTAATGGGAAGCCTCAATTGCCTTATATAAAAAGTGAGGCAAGTGTAGCATACACCTTTCAGTATTTGGGGTGAGGATTACATGAGATAACACGTGGAAAGCATTTACCATAATGCGTAAGGACTACCACTACTATGATCTGTTTCTACTCATAATACTTCTAACATCAAATATGTGTTTTTTCCCTCACACTAAGCAATTCTCTAGTTCTCCAGACACCAATTAGTTGTTCTACAATTTAAGTCAAGCCTTACACTATCTAGAGTGAGCATCAGGTGGCACAGATTAAGGACTCAGTCCCACAAGACTCCCCCCACTTCAAGATACCCATGGCAAGTCCAGGCAACCTGTACTTCTGACAGACAAGCTACAAAGTCATAAAGTTGAGGGGTTCCCATGACTCTTTCTTGGGTTTGATAATTTGCTGGAATGGGTCACAGAGCTCAGGGAAAACAATTTACTTACTGCTACCAGTTAATTACAAAGGATGTTGGAAAGGTTGTAAATGAACAGCCAGATGAAGCAGTGCATAGGGTGAGATCTGGAAGGGTCCCAAGCGCGGGAGCTTCTGTCCCTATGGAGTTGGGGTGTGCCACCGTCCTAGCATGTCAGTGCATTCATCAACATGGCAGTTCTCCTACTCCTGTTGTTTAGGTTTTCTATGGAGGTTCCGTGACATTGGCATGATTGATGAAATCATTGGCCAGTGATGACTGACTCAATCCCCAGCACTTCTCTCCTCTCCATAGGTCAGGAAATGGGGCCAAAAGCTCTAGCTCTGTAGTCGCAAGGTTGGGTGCCCTGGCAATTAGCCCCACCCTGAAGCTATCGAGGGGCCCACCAAGAACCACCTTATTATTAGGCTTAAACTCAGGTACGATTACAAGTGACTTATGAAACAAAAGATGCTCTTATCACTCAGGAAATTACAAGAGTTTTAGAAGCTCTGTGCCAGGTACTAGGATGAAGACTAAATATATATTTCTTATTTATATCACAGTATCACACTAAAGCATAGGAAGTTCTCAATAAATGGAAAATAAATAGTGGTCAAACCCACCTTTACATATTTTGATGCCAAGTGTCAAGAAGGATTATTTATGAAACTCTTCTCACACAAGTTTCCATTTCTTCCTTTGTACACATGAGAGGGCCTGATCAGGTCAGAAGAAATCACATTTCACACCCATGGTTTTTTGAGCCAAAGGCACAGGGGTGTGGGGGTGTAGGGAGGCAGGTTGGGATGCTTCCTGCTGGCAGTGGTGTCTCAAAGAGCACAAGGCAGGGAAAATAGGGGATGGGTGGAAGAGGATAGCTAGGGTAGAAGCAAAGGAAAATAAGTACAGAGGGGAGGCAGAGAGAAAGGGAGAAGGGAGAGTGCCATGGTGAAGAGTTTGACTTGCCAGAGCTAATTCTTTGTAGGCAATATTAGGGTTTCTTGGAAGGAAATCCCCCGTTATGGACTTGGAAGGTAAAAATCAGTTTCCATAAAAGAGGGAGTATTAGATACACTAAGCTGGATCATGAAGAGGTAAAATGTATGAAGATTAAAAAGAGGATGCAGAAAAGAAAAGGACAAAAATATATTAAAAATTAGTTCAACTCCTGCTGGGTTCTTCACGCTCACAGCTGATTAGAAGGTGGGATATATCTGTGTAACATATTTGTGGAGCCTGCTTAGCTGGAAGTCCTCATATACCCCCTACCCCACCACCCACCTTCCCACACACACCCTACTTTTGGGGAGCCTGGCTCTGGGCTTTTTCTCACTGATTCTTGGCCAGAGACAGCACTCCCTTGCCATGGGGGCTCTCTATAGAGGATGCGTGTCCTCATGAGATGGCAGCTGGCTTCCCTGAGAGCAAGGCACGGGGGAGAGGGAGAGCATGTCCTGGCTTGAAGTGGCAGTCATTTTATAGCCTAATCTCAAAAAGGACATAGCATCACTTTGGCTGTGTTCTGTTCATTAGAACTGAGTCCCTAAACCCTGCATACACGCAAGAGGAGGAGACTTAAAACCCATCTCTTGAAGGGAGGAATCTCTATGAATTTGTGGGCATATTTTTAAAACCACCATCATCCCAAACAGCATTCTCTTTAGTTTCTTGTTCCAAGACTTCCTGCATCCCGACTATGTCTCTGTCTCTGCTTTTGGATTATTTGAGATCTCTTTAAATATTAAATTCCATTTACTGACTTAAGTTCGAAAGTCCTTTCCAATACCATCTGAAGTCTTGGAATCAGTGAAAACATGTCAGACACGGGCACTTTGCTGTCTTGCAGAAAGTAATGACTTTGGTGGACAAGAGGCAGTTGGAGGTTATCTTAACAGAGGATCAAGCCAATTCCTACACTACAAGGGTAATCACTCCGCAATGAGTTCAGGTATGCGGTTTCCTAGGCTGAGTCATCTCCTGCTATTTCGTCAGGTCTCCCCAAAACAGGGGTCAGTACACTTCTGTAAAGGACCAGATGGGAAATATTTTTGGCTTTGTGGGCCACATGTGGCCTCTGCCACATATTTTCTTCATTTTTATTACAACCCTTTGAACATATAAAAACCATTCTTAGCTGGCAGGCTGTACCGAGACAAGCCTCCAGGATGTAGTTTGCAGACCCCTGCGCTAAAATAATCATAGAGAGGTGCTTGTCGTGTCCTTGGAAATATTTTAGATATGCTTTTCCATACCACCCAGCCATGGTAAGAGTCTTCTTTCTGTGTCTCTCAAATTTCCTAAAAGATCCAATTTATCTTACTTCAGACAAAGAGCTGGGAGTCCTTTTATCAGGTTGGATACATTTTACATAGGATTTCTCTCATTCCTTCAGGGAGACAGAAACAGGTTCAAAAATTAAGTCACTAAAATGACTAATGTGGTACTGTCAGAGAAGAATTATGAACCTGCAGGGTTATGGTCTCAGAAAATTCATATTGCGTTTCTATGCCTCACGTGAATAACAATAACCTTCTCCAACAAGCAGAGTGAAAAATGTGAGGACTGCCAGTAAGTATTCCTTACTGCTGGCTAAATGCTGGCACCACACAGGCTTTCTATGGCAATGGGAATTTGTGTCAGAGTTGGCTTTTAATGTGGAAAATAATCCAGTTTCATACTTTGGCTTTTATGTCTTTGCTGTTTTCTAGAACGTCAGCATGCCTCGTGAATGACATTGAACACTCCACAAACCAAACCAAAACAAAAGCCTTTTCTGTGTGTCTTTATCAGCAAGTGAAATCAAAATTGTTGGATGAGAATTCTCAAAACCAAAAAAATCTACGTTTTATTTTTACCAGGGCATTAGTAAGAAATGTATTACTTAGCCCATGAGTTGACAAAAGAAAATGTATTAACATGTATGTGTGATTAATGAATTCATACTAAAAGAGGGAAAAAAGGAAAAAAAAAAAAGCTGAAGGAAGAAACTAAAAGCTGTTCATCATATTAATGTTTTGTAGCCCCAGATAAGTAGTGCTGCTTTCTTATTTTACTCCCATGCCCAAACCTGTAGTACTGCAAAATTGCTGACTCGAGGTCCTACATGAAAACTGTGCAGAGACTTGAAAACTCTTGCAAGAGTGGGGAGTTCTATGAATAAATAAATTGTTTAAAGGGTCAATGAATCAGGTATAAACCTCGTTTTGTAATCATAAAATCTGTGGTCTCAAGTCTGTTTAACGCTCTTAAGGTTTACCTCATAGGACTCACTATTAGTTGTAATTAAAACTGACCAAAAAATCATAATTTAATTGGCGTTAATAGGACAGACTTTGAAGGGTCATATTTTATTTTGGATACATAATGTTTCTTCCTGAAATTATTTATTCTTGTAAATTATTCTGATTTAAAATTTATTAGCCAGTTGTTGAAGAAATTATTTACTTGCCATTTATTTGAATGGTTCAAGTAGTATATGCGTATATTTAAGTATTTATCCTAACATTTTCATGTGATCGGGAAAACTTTTGCTCTAACTTGACATGTTTTAATTGGCGTTTTATGTCACAAGACAGCATTTGTTACAATACCATTATTTGGGGGTTTTCATAAGAAAACCTATTACAGCCTAAATGTTAAAAACTAAGATCATTTAGACACTTCTAGAAGCAAAAATCTTCTGGGTTCCATAAAACAGGGAAATTGGGTTTATCAAGTCCAAGATCATCTGACATTAGTAATGAGATATGGGAGAACTAGAATAATTTATTCTTATAAGCAAACTGCTGAGAAGATAGAAAGACCTGAAAACCTTTCTCAAGCTGTTGCTGTAAGATTGTTCTCCTGCAGTCTGCCTTACGGGTAGTGTGCTCTATCATCCCTCCACCATCGGACTGTTTCTGTCTACTGCTGCCTGCTACATCCACTGCCTCCTCATGGGGCTCCACCTGTTTAGGGAGGAAGGGGCTCTGCATATTAAATGACTGATCCTAGAACCAATGAGGGGCTCTGCATGTTAAATAACTGACCCCAGAAACAATGAGGTGCTCTGCATATTAAATGACTGACCCTGGAACCAATGAGAGGGATGAGGCATTAGACAGACCGATTCTCATTTTCAATGAGTGCAGTCACTTGCAGAGATCTCTCTTTTCATAGATCACAAGGCTGCCTGATATATTTTTTACCAAACATATTTCTGTGGAGAAAAGGCAGCTGGAATTCCTTTACATTTATCCAAAAAAAAGAACATTTGATAAGGGCAAACTTCTGCAAATTGACCGATTTGGCAGAAAGAACAAAGAACATGCTAGAATACTCCTTAGTGAGGGATTCATGTGTCGTTTTATGTCTGTACCATTGTACATACTGGCAATGCATAATTGTCTGTGGCCTACTCTGCCACCAGGAGAGAGGAAACAGATGTTCCTATCTGTCTTTTGATGTGGCTTCTGATACTTACATTGATTTGTCTAAAATAGCATCAGCTACCCTAGAAAATTTTTTTCCTAGTCCTTGAGTTGGTTGGCTAATTGTTTCAGGTGACTATTAATAATGTGGGCCAGGCACGGTGGCTCATGCCTGTAATCCCAGCCCTTTGGGAGGCCGAGGTGGGCAGATCATGAGGTCAGGAGTTCCAGATCAGTCTGGCCAACATAGTGAAACCCTGTTTCTACTAAAAATACAAGAAATTAGCGGGTGTGGTGGTGTGTGCCTGTAATCCCAGCTACTCGGGAGGCCGAGGCAGGAGAATTGCATGAACCTGGGAGACGGAGGTTGCAGTGAGCTGAGATCGCGCCACTGGACTCCAGCCAGGATGACAGTACGAGACTCCATTTGAAAAAGAAGAAGGGAAAAAAAAGGAATGTGATTATCATCTCAAGACGATCCACTGTCAGCGGGTATTGCCCTGTTACAGGGAAAAGACAGAGACCATTGGGAAGTGGACTTACAGAAAAAAAAAATCACACAGTATTTTATTTATTCAAAGTGGAGTAAGACCCCAGTAAGACTTTTTGGAATAGATCTAATGAAAAATTGAGGGTAAATTTAAATTCAACATCAGGAGGTCTTAGCACTCCCTGCTCCATACAGTAATTATAGAACTGTGGTTATAGGTAGGAAGACTAGATAATTAGAGTGTTATCAGTAGTCATGGGAGAAGTGACAGGTTCATTACTAAATAAAAGTAATTTACCCTAAATTGAAAATGACAGCTGATGCCTTCTAAAAGCACAGCTTGATTAGAAAGAAACCATGAGGATATTGGATATATGTAGGAGAAGAAGGAATGGCAATAGATCTGAAATCACAAAATATATGCAGAAAGGAGATGACGGGGGTTAGAGTTCTCCTTTTGCTTAGGCTGGTCCCGAGGGCCCACAATAGGCTATATTCTTATTTATGACATAAGGAGAACAGATATTGGAAGCAACTGTCTCAGACCATCAGTCAAAATGTACAACGCAGACAAGATCACGAAAGGAAAAAATAAGCTAACAGGGGGTATCAGGAAGTAGCATAACTATATTAAAATTGACTGTTATATGCACATTTTACTTAAGAAAATCTTATACAAAATTTCTAGAAGTTATTCTAGAGGGATTTCTACTGGGCTAATTTTTTTTCTCTTCATCTATTTGACCTCATTTTTTATTAAAAGACCTCTGTTGCATTTCTCATGGTCACTGTAAGCCAGAATGTCCCCCTTGTTCCCAGACTCCACAACATGCAGTTTTTCCAGGCTGTCAGCTAGGGTGGAATGCAGGGTGGCATCAAAGCGTGGTGACTGACAGCTTGCCTTTAGCCGGCAAATGATGAAGGCTCAAATCGTAATTCTGCTCCCTGCTAGCTATGGGTGCTTTGGAGAATTGCAGAGACTAGAACAACATTTCTCCACCTAAAAAATAGAATATTCATTATATCTGTATTATTAAGTTGTTAAGAATGTTCTTCAGGATAATTCAGAGCTTTTGCAGTAGAGGTCGACACCATTCCTCATTCTTCGCACCTCCGTCCAACCACTCACCAAAGCCAGTTGGTTCAATCTCTTGAATCTCTTTTCAGTCCATCCTGTTCTCTCCCTCCTCACCTGCTGCCCCTTTATCTCAGGCTTCTGCTATCTCTTGTGGAGTATTTCAATCAATTTCAAGTGGGTCTTTCATGCTATTACATATTCCTACCCCACAAAACAGCCAGGTGAGAGAGAACCCACCCATGGCTCCCAGCTGCCCCCGTAGACATGCCTCACTCCCAGCAAAGGGCACAAAGCCCTTTCTAATGTGACCACGGTCTTCACCTGGCTTCAATCCTTCCCCACTCCATTCGTTGTCTGCTCCAGCCGTACTAAATTACTGTGACTCCCCAAATGTACATGCTTCCTCTCACCTCTGGGGCTTGCTCCCCACCCAGTGAAACATTCCCTCTTTCCTCAACTCATCCTACTTCATTTGCGTGAATATTTCCCACTTAGATCCATCGTGAAGCACCGGCCATCGGCACTCCCGCCCCATAGGCCCCTCGTAAGTCTTTGAAGATGCCAAAGCCTTTCTCACATAAGAGTTCCTGGACGTGCTCTTCACTCCACCTGGAGCGATCATCCCTCTCTCTCCTTTTACCCCATTCATTCCTACTGATTAATTTTGCTTCACAAGTGCCTTAGGCTTATCAGCTCAAATGCCACTTCTACAGGGAAGCCCTCTCCAATACTCTTGTTTGTTAGAAGCCATCTTAGCCACCTACAACCTACATTTCCCTTCGTTAGCACGTATCATGACTGAGGATACTATATTTGCGTAATTATTTGGTTTAAAAATCTCTGAGAGCAGATCCCTCCAAGCACATGCTAAGACAAAGATTCAAGGGCCAGCAGTTGATCTGGGGAGTGATTCCCAGGAAGGGCCAGTAGAGAAGCGGTGAAGTGAGATAGAGAAGGGGAGGAAACAAAAACAGGTGCATGAACAAGTAGATTGTCCTGTGGGCAGCTGAGACTTAGTCCTGCGGGAGGACTCCGGGAAATAGTGTGGATGTGCCTCTGAGGAGTCCCACTCCAGGGGCATGGATGCCAGGGTAGGGGTATTTGTTCGCCCCCTCCTGTCCGTCATTGGTTGAGGGCTGCTTCTGGGATATTAACTCCCCAGCACCTCAGTATTGGCAGGACAAGCATCCTGTTGAGACCAGAAAAAGCCCTCAGGCCGCATATTCAAGAGAAGAAGCCTCTGGTGCATGCAGAAATCAGAGGTAAGTGCCAGGGACGATGGCCAGGGCTTTGACAGCTGTGGCTACAATATCCATCTGTCCCACTGGACTCAGCTCCACAGCTCTTTTCCCCACTAGTTATCTCTAGAGCAGCACTGTTCAACAGAAATATAGCATGAGTTACAAATGCATATGTTGTTTTACATTTTTCAGAAGCCACATTTATAAAAAAGGTGATATTAATTTTAACACTATATTTTACTTAACCCAATAGATCAAAGTAGTATCATTTCAACATACAACCAATATGAAAATCGTTCCTTAGATATTTTACATTTTTTCACACTACATTCAAAATCTGACATATATGTAACATTTATAGCACATCTCAATGTGGACTTGCCTCGTAGTCCGTGGAGTGCCCATAGCCATGTGTGGCTAGTGGCTATCACAGTGGGCAATACAGCTTTAAAGGACAGAGTCTGGGAGAGACTGAGACCTCAAAAAATACTCAGTGACAAAAGTCTCCGCTGGGGCAGTGCCTCCCCTGAGCAAATTTCACTGACTGCCTCCAGGACTGGAATTAGGTGCTTAAGAGCACCTGCTGCCCTCCCTGCTTCCTCCAGCACAATGTTAGCTGTACCTAACTGGGTCTTGTATTCACTCATCTGTCTCCCCAGCATGCTTCTGGAGGGGGTGGGCCCCCAACTTGTTCATTCCTGTGTCTGCAGCACCTGGTGCAATGTCCAGAACAGAGGGAGCTTCCCCAAAGTTTTGCTCAATGATGAATCCATTTTAAGATAAGGTGATTACATTATCATCTTTAGTGAAATTTTAGTGAAAAGGTAAATTCTATACATTGATTTTATGAAAAGTCTATTTTTGTCTACAAATATTAGTATAGCCATGAGGGATTATTCAACTCATGGCTACAGAGATTCAGAATTTGGACAATGAACAATGCAGTAATAAAGTGGGCGTTCATAGCCACATGTAATTAACAAAAATAAATCGCAGCATACTTTCTACTTTTACCTGTTAATACTCTAGAGCCTAGACCAATTGTATTAGTCTGTTTTCACGCTGCTGATAAAAACATACCCGAAACTGGGAACAAAAAAAGGTTTAATTTGACTTACAGTTTCACATGGCTGGGGAGGCCTCAGACTCATGGCGGGAAGTGAAAGACTCTTCTTCCATGGCGGTGGCAAGAGAAAATGAGGAAGAAGCAAAAGCAGAAACCCCTGATAAACCCATCAGATCTCATGAGACTTATTCACTATCATGAGAATAGCACAAGAAAGACCGGCCCCCATGATTCAATTACCTCCCTGGGTCCCTCCCACAACACATGGGAATTCTGGGAGATACAATTCAAGTTGAGATTTAGGTGGAGGCACAGCCAAACCATATCACCAATCATTCTCAAAGAGTGTGGCCACACTCATAGCAGCAGCATCACCCAGGAATTGATTGGAATTGCAGTGCTCAGGCCCTGTCCCATCTCCGCTGAACCAGAACCCAGCTATTTGTGTTTTAACAAGCCCTTCAAGGGCCTCTAATGCACAGTGAAGTTTGAGGACCAGTACTCCAGATAGAGTAATTTCCAAGTTACTCCTTTAGAAGGAAAGCAGGAGATCTTAGACAAGAGCTTCCTGTGCCTAAAATTCCACACAAACAAAACATTTGGTTTATCTGCCTAAAGGTGTGTGGTTTCTCTACTTGCAAATTAATTTCATATGAAGTAAAGAGAATATGTTGAGATTTATTCTGGTACAATGTCAAATAGCGATTAGCAAAACATTTGGCTAAACAAAGCCATTATTGGAAATCTGTAATTTTTAAAGAGAGATTAAATACACATAGACCACCCTCTTGTTTTTATACTTGTCAGTCAGCTTTGGGGTGGTTGTTGAGTTTTATCATCTATGGGATCATACTGAGGGCAAGAGCACATTTTTGGAAAAAGTTCATACAAAATCATGGGAAACCCATATATTGCTTTCATCCTGAACTTCAAAATTCCAAATCAACATCTTTAAAGTTTTATTCCTACTACTTGAAATAGCATGTCTCAACACGGAAGAAACAAGTATTTTAAAGGAAGAAAGTGGTAGAAACACAGAATTGGTTTTTGCTTCCCATGATAATATGGGGCTGCCCACAACCTCAGATATATGTGTATTGAATTATACCTTGGAGAGAAAATAAATTAGGCTATTCAGAAAGCAGGAGACTTTCCCTTTGTGAGTTGCCCCAGACAGACACTTGCACTCACACATCTACATCTTCAATCGTTGACTTCCCAAAGAGCCATTTGGACAATGCCAAGTGGAGAACTGAAGCAGTTACTCCTTTCATCCAGCAAAAATACCCAACATTTATTCATATCTACATAGAGGAAACAACTTTTTTTTATTTTTCTCTGGATGATCATCTCTAGCCTCAGTTTCACTTTGTGCAGGCAGACACATCTCATGAAACCTTTCCATTCCTCTCCCTTCTGTCAACTCCTAAAGGGAAAGGCTTTTGTCTTCTGAATAGCCTAATTTATTCTCTCTCCAGCATCTTGAACGTTGTAGGTACTCAACAAACATTAATTGATGACAAAGCTATATAACAGCTTTTGAATTTATTCATGGGATGATTCTTCTATTTAAAGAACATCTTTATATACTTTCCATTCTTCAGCAAAAAAAAAGCAAAGAAAAAAAATGTTTCATCTTGCCAGTTCTGTATTTAACATCTGCACAGAGCACAGTGTGTGCCTGTTTTAAACAAATGTGTAGGCTCACTGGTTATCTAGATTCAGGAATGTAAAGGACAATACAGAGAAATGTAATTTTTAGAAGAAAATTTAAACTTAGGGCTTAATGAAAAAAATGCAGTTGCTGTTTTATCAGAGAGAGTGAGAAAGGGAGAGAACAAGGAAATCCCATTGTAATGCTATTATGCTAACCTCATTTTGGCCATGATTTTCCCAGTTATAGAGTGGACACCAGGTTATGTGCATATCTGAGAACTGGCATAATTTATCATCAATTTGCGAGCACAGAACAACTAGTAGAATAACTGTGTCAGTATAAGTTGATTTCTAACCTCAGTTGTACCATGAAGTCATTGGAAGACTTTGGGAAAGTTACTTAATTCTCATTTGTTAGTTACTTTTAAAAAACAGCCACATGAATATATTTCTTATTATTGTCATTCCTTAATAGTTATTGATTGTGTACAGGATGCTTTGTATCTCTGCAAGGCACTGCAACTTCCCCAGGGAAGCCCACATTAATGAATAGTGTTTATAAAGTACTTGGAAATCCTTGGATTAAAAACTAACGGTATCAAAGTATTTGTATTAACATGCCATATGGGAGAACCGTATGTTATTTATTAAGAGGCTATGTGTGGTATTGAAAATAGCTCTCTGGTGCATCACTTTGTGCTATTTTTATATCAAGATATGCCACGGCAAGTTTTGGTACGCTTGGGTCATACCTTCAATGTTGAAATGCCTCAAAATTCAATCCTTCCACAGGTATTTGTTGAGCTCCTTATTGAGCACTTGACTCTCTGCTTACCATTACACAACACATATGGAAGGCCCAGTGGCACCTACAGTTTCATGCATTTCGTCTCTTTGAACACGTGTTATTAAACTGAAGTCCCCGTTAACAGACACACGGGCTTAAAAAATTACAGGTTCCATTTTTCCTCTTCCTTCTACATGGACAATGCTGTTTTGAGACACAATGATAGAGATAGGGCTGACACGATTGTCTTGTCTGTCCTAATGGTTGAAGACTAACCCATGAAGCTTGCACCCCTTCTGTTAATGGGGCATGGATGCAGCACTATTTGAGTTTATTTTGGGTAGAACTGGCAGCCAGGAGAGCACTGCCCAGCATTTCCCCAAACTGGCTACACATGCTGCACCACCTTCCCAGAAGGCTGTAAGTCATTAGTCTGGAGAACTATATTGTAACGAGTTCCATACAAAATCTGCCCCCGCCTGGGGAGGCAATTCCTTCTCTTAGCTAGTTGCTCTAATAAGGAGACGATGGCAATGGGTGTATTATCACAAGGTCCTGAGATCTTATGTCGGGGCCAGCATCCTTGAAAAATTCTGTTCTAAATGACATGTGGAACCTCATGCTTCATAAGTAACTGAAAGATCCTGGAATAGAAGATAATCTACCTCTTTTTTTCCTGATTCATTTGTGAACTATCCAGACAAGGCCAGGTAAGGCAAGAGCGTATTTCATTAACTGGAGAATATTTATTGAACCCCTACCAGGTACTTAGGAAACATTGTTTCACAAAGCAGACAAAGACCCTTGCCTCCGTGGAGCTTACATTCAAGGAGGGGCAGGAACACATAAACAATGAACATGATACCTACCTAAATTAGAGGATATGATATATTAGAAGATGATGGACAATTGAAGAACCAAAGAGAAAAAGTTGATCAGGATAAGAAGGATGGAGTGTGTGAGGGTGGGGAGATGATGCAATTTTAAATGGAAGGTTCAGTACAGATCTCATTGAAAGGGGACATTTAAGCAGTAACTTGAAGGAGCTGGAGAGAAAGCACTCCAGGTGGAGGGGTCAGGCAATGCAAAGGCCTGGGGAGAGGAGACTCCAATGTGCTGGAGGAACAGCACAGAGGCCAGCATGGCTGCAGCGACTGAACCAGCAGGATACCAGGAGAGAATGAATGAAGACAGAGAAACAACGAGGGTCTCCACCACGCAGGGTCTTGCTGCCATCAGAGCATTCAAGCAGGGGAGTGGTATGAGCTGCCTCACACTTTAAAACAAACCAGCTAGTAGGCTGAGAAGAGGTGTTGAGAACAAGAACTGAAGCAGCAAAACACATCAGGAAGCCATTGCCACCACCCAGGATAGAGGGGATGGAGGATGGCCCCAGCCGGCACTAACCATTAACTAACTATTAATACTTGTGCTCCCCACACTTCACCATTTGATTTTTGGGAACCATTAGTTGAGATCAAAGACACATGAAATGTTTAAACAAATCCACAATTTAATGAAGTTCAAGCAGAAGCTGAGATAGATATCATACTTCATCTGCCTAGAGAACTGAAATACGATTCAAGGAAAAAATAATAATGCTTTGGGGGAAAATGAAATTTCCCTCCTAATCCCTTGACATGTGTTTATGGAGCCCTTAACAGATAAGGCACTGTGCTGGGTGCCAAGGACACCACAGAAAAAAGAGACATCTCTCTGCAGAGGGCTTATGGCTTAGCTCTTGCAGGTGAGCAGAGGTCTCAGGAATCTGCAAGGCAAGAAAGAGAGACTCCAGGATTTGGCATGATCTGGACCTGTGTTTAAGTCTCAGCTCTGCCACGAACTGTGTGACTTCAGGGAAGTGACTTTGATCTCCCACAGCCTTGATTTCTTCATCTGCAAAAATGGAGATAAAGTCGAATACGACGGTATGACGTTCATGGTTATGTGTGTGAGGTGTGTGAGCGTGTAAAGGCCTGGTGCAAAGGAGACATCTGTAGGAAGCGGCAGCTATGACTCCTGCTAGGTGGAGACTATTCACTGCACACCTTTTTATCTGCACTAAAAGATGCACATGAGGCTCTTCATTAAAACAATGAGGCAGCCAACATGGAAACTTTTCTAAGAGTAAGCTATTAAAATAGATCAATCAGCTAATGACACCTCCAGACAAAATTTGTAAAGGTTTGGAACTAACATTCCCTCCCTCCTTTCCTTCCTTCTTTCCTTTCTTCCTAAAGCCATTAAGCAGGACTGAGAAAAATAGGTGTTTGCATTGGAGAGAGGATGGTGCTGAGGGGTCACAGGGTTTGGACAGAGTCGGAAGGGCTTCTCTGTCCCAGACTACTGTGAACTAAAGAGACACAACAACTGAATGCTGTATGATCCTAGATTGCTATTAGGTTATTCTTGAAAAGTGGCGAAACACAGATGTGATCTGTAGCTTAGATAGCAGGAATGTCATCTATGTTAATCTTTTGATCTGGATGGTTGTATTGTGGTTATGAAAAAGAATGTCCTTGTTTGTAGAAGATATATACTAAAGTATTCAAGGCTGATGGGCATGATTAGGACATGATTATGTCTGCAACTTACTCTCAAATGGTTCAGGAAAAAAAAGTTCTTGTCCTGTTCTTGCAACATTCTGTTGCTTAAAATTATTCCAGAATAAAAATACCTTTAGCAATAAACACAAAACTTTAGAGTTGTAGCACTGCACTCACTTGATATGAGTGCCAGAGGGGTTTGATTCTCAATATTTGTTGTGTTCAATGTTAATTGAGTTAATCCAGATGAGATTATCATTTCCCACATTTTTGCTGATTCATAATTTACATATCTTACCCAGACAATAAATAGTTACATTTCTAAGTAGGCAGTAGTAGGCCCCAACATCAGCTAAGGCTGGGTTGAAACTGTCCCCTGCTGCCATCACTTGCTAGCTGTGGAATCTTAACACGCCTGTGTCTCAGTTGTCTCATCCATGAAATGCAGATAATAAAACCTGCCTCATGCAGTTTTTATGAGAATGAAGTTTGATAACCTTTGCAAAGCATTTAGACACTGAGTGGAACATATGCAATATTCAATAAGTGTTAGCTGGTATTAGCTAATATTCTGTTGCTCATAGAGCTCTATAGTTAAATAAACCATAAACATCATTATATTGATGGCAGTGCAGACTCTTTAAGAGCATTCCTCTGTTATATCAGCTAATTTTACTTTTCAAATATGTACCTTCTAGAGAATTTTGGAACATATGAGATGAAAATATAGATGGGGAAATACAAAATTAAAGACTAGATTTTTTTATAAAAGAGTGCTAATTTTTTTTAAAGTTAACTTAAAGCCTTCCTGAGCTGACAAAAATAAACATGTGTATTAATCAGCTATTGCCATAATAATGCTGTGCAATAAATCACCCCAAAATGCAGTCCCCTACAACAAAAATATTTATTCTCATGCTCACAGGTCTGTAAGATGACTATGGTTCAGCTGATGTAGGCTGGGCTCAGTGGGGTGGTTCTACTGCAAGCTGTGAGTTGCTTGGGCTTGGTTCCAGACTGTGACTTGGGTTCAAACTTGCTCCATGTATCTCTCATCCTCCTTAAGCCAAGAGCTACAGGGGCATCTTCTTGTCATGGCAAATGTCAGGAACACAAGCAACAAATCCTTTTATGCAGTGCATGTAAATCCTTTGCTCACATTCTCTCCACTAGCATTTCATTAGCTAAATTAAGTCCCATGGTCAAGTCCAACATCAATGGCATGGAAATATTCTCTGCTCACAGTGGGAGGACACTGATTTTATATATATATATATACACATATACACACAATCTTATTATAGGGGACTGAAGAATTAAGACCAATAATCTAATCTGCAAAGCACTGGTTTTGAATTGTCCGTAGTCTGTCTGTGCCCAGAAATCTATAGACCTTTAGAAGAAAAGACAGCAGTATACCAGCAGGAAGTACACATCAGATTGTTTCCCCAGTATAGCGATGGATTTATTTAGACTTACGTCTTGTTTATCTTCCTGTCACCATGTAGCGTTCACAAAAGGAACTACAAATATCAGGATAGCAATCCGTGATCATGTTGTTGAGATTTTGCCCTTACAAAACTCTCCCATGTAGAGTCAAACATGGACTGCTTTCTTATCATAGTCACGTTGCAGCAGGAGCCTCTTATTTTATTTCTATAAAATTTCTGAAATGTTCTTGCAAACAGTACACATTTGATAAATATTGGTTGAAAGAGTAGGAGGCAGAGTACTAATATGGGAGAAATTAGAAGGACACAACCAGTAGAATTCTCACAGGTTTCTGTGCTTTTTCAGCATGGGAAAGTAAAGTGTTATATCACACTCGACATGAATGCTATGGAAATTTATCATCTGAAATAAATATGTGATCTTAAAGGAATATTAACTGAGAACATTTAGCTTCTATGTGGCATTATTTAAGCTAACAAAATAGCCTCGCACTTCCCTATATTTCTTCACCGTTATTGTAAGGCTTTTAAAATCCCTTCTGGAAACCTCAAGTTTACACATCCCTCTACTTAATTTTTCATTGTTTATGTGCTTCCTGTGACGATAGCTAGACAGACAAGGCTGATAAAAAAGAAAGCTTGTCCTTATCAAAGACTTACGGGTAACTGTGTTAATGTGCCTTGCTTTTTCTACCAGTGGAAGCCCCCTATTTCACTAAGAACTCACCCATTTGCAGCATTTAAAATGGATGGAAAGTTATAAGCCAGCCAAAATGTCCTTCTAAAAGAATGAAATGAATACTAATCTAATTGCCCAAGAATGCATATGCTGGGCTTGGAAAATAAGCCTTCTACATTGGTTCCCCCTGCTGGATTTGAGGATGCACTGTCTTGGAAATTGATGAAAGCAATATACCTGGACCGTTTTATCTGAGGACATGTTACTGGAATGGCAAATCCAGCATTCTTCTAGAAAGCATTTGCTCTGTGATAAATGTGCCAAGTGTTTCTTGAGTTTGCTTCCCCAGGGCAGAAATACTGCAAATAGAAAACAGTGCCGCTGAGACTCAAAGAGAAAACAAAAGCATGCCACTCAGATGTCTGTTCTAGGGAGGGGGGTAGCACACAAGGAACTAAGGGTAAAAACCCAGAAGCAGTAGACTAGGTAAACTGCCAGACTGGTTGTTACTATTAGAAAGCTGGATTTCAGGGTCTGACCATGGATTTCCTTCTTATGCATTTACAACTATTAGAACCAATTCCTCACCTTTCTGTAATTTAACTGCTGTTTTTCTTTCCCTTCTTATCTTCCTCACTTCATAAGTAATCTCCCTACCCCTACTCTGTAGAAGATGTGGTAACCAGAGTACTTTCAAAGGAAGCTTGTCACCTGCAAACTTCATGGCTATTGTGAAATGTGTTAAAAGGTCTGTCTTTTGAGGGAGACAGAGAAGCTGGCAGATTTTTCCTGCTTGACTCAGAGTCCATTTGGTGGGAGGAAAGGGACAGATATTGGCTAAGTTTTTGGCACATGCTCCTGCACCAACTTGGCCTTGTTAAGACAGCAAGAACAGCAGAAGTGACTATTTCCTCCCTAGAGCAAAGGCCAATGCTGTTTCCTTCATGGAGAACCAGAACAGGGAAAATATCAGATAATCATGTAGTACTTGTAAATATGCCATTTAGAACACTGAATTTAAGTGGCATGCAGAGCCACCCCAGGTTCTCATATTATATTCAGGCCAGGTGTGGTGTCTTATGCCTGTAATCCCAGCAGTTTGGGAGGCTAAGGTGGGAGGATTGCTTTAGGCCAGGAGTTCAAAACCAGCCTAGGCAACAAAGCAAGACCCTTTCTCTCCAAAAAAATAAAAAATCAGTCAGGCTTGGTGGCATGTGCCTTGTAGACCCTGCTACTCAGGAGGCTGAGGTGGGAGGATCGCTTGAGTCCAGGAGTTAAAGGCTGCAGTGAGCTATGAACATGCCACTGCACTCCAGGCTGGACAACACAGCAAGGCTCTGTGTCTATTAAAAAAAAAAAAAGTAGTTATATTGTGTCCACCGTCACAAACGGCACAGGGCTAACCCAACACAGGGGGTCCTGTACGTATATTTATTAACTGCATTCTTCGCCAACCTCAGAGTATCATTCTTTTTTCTTTTTTTGTCCTTCTATTATAAACTTTTTTTCCCCATTTAGGTCAAATCTAAATGTTTCCCCATCTGAAACTTTCTTCAGTAGGTCGTTTTCCAGAGCTGCAGGTAAAATGCTTCCCCACTGCTTCTGAGGCTTTTGTTTCAGCTCTGCTACTAGTGGCCTCCTCTTGGGAGGATTCTCTTGCCTCGGAATTAAGAGTTGGTAGGAGGAGGAGATGGCGGGTCAAAGCACTCAAGCAAGACAACGTTAAGTGATTCAGTCCTGCTTGTGGGTCAGGAATTTTTAAAGGGCTCAGCTGGATGTCTCTTCTGCTCCTTGTGACACTGGCTGAGGTCACCGCTCAGCTGCATTTGGTTGGCAGCTGGCAGGGTGGAAAGGTTCAAGAAGGCTTGGCTCACAGGTCTGGCCCTTCATGCTCCCCACACATCTTTTCTCCCTCTCTCCATGTGTCTCCCTCCATTTGGCAGGCCAGCTTCAACTTCTTTACAGCATGGGGATTGGCTTCCCAGGGGGAGAAAGTAGAGGCTGCCAGGTCTTGCAGGGTAGCTTGTAGGTCCCAGAATATCACTTCCACCATATTTCATTGGTCTAAAGAAGTTTCACAGCCAGTCAGGACTTAAAGAGAAGGAATGGGCTCCACTCCTTCAGAGACAAAGCATTTGTGGCCATCTTTAACCCACATGAATATAGGTTGGTAACTTCTGCTTCTGTTTTCTGTACTTCACTATATGTTTTATACTTTATTCTTATGTCTTTGTATAAATTCATCATTTTTATTTGCTTCATTTTCCAAACCAAAAGCAATTTGGAGACCCTCCCAGCAATGAGTTATAAAACCATGCCTATACTTAACCTTCAAAAAGCTTATTATTTCTACAGATAAATCCACAGATATAGTAGCTATTTTAAGAAAAAAGAAAGTTTCAGATAGTTGCTAATATACAGCCTTCATTGCACCTGACCAGTTATTTTTCAGATAGCTATATATGATAGCATAAACTCAACCAACATAATCTGTTCAAGACAAAATATTTTATAGCATAGGTATGTTAGACTGCCATATGGAAGTTAAGTGAAAATTGACCTTTTTTTTGCAGCATATATCATACAGAGAAATAAAGGGCGAGAAACTTAGCCAACCTTCCTTACACAGTGCATGTTACTTAAGTCAAGGGAGAAAAGTGGACTGGAGTTGAAGTTTCTATTATATTTTGGGAAATGCCGAGCAAGGAGAGACTTGTTACCGGGACTGCTGAGTGAATTTTGTTTACTGCGGTTAAACATTTCATCTAGCAAATCATGTGAGAAGGGATGAGTATAAATGCACTTATTTATGTAGGTAATTTTTCTGTTTCATGCCTCTGATTCATCTCTCTGCCTGGCTTTATGGGGAGTCATGCTACATTGGTTACAATTAATTTCAGTGCTGCATATTAGCCGTAAAGAGATATTTCACAAATTGACTTGATGCATTTTTTTTCCTCTGTGGTTTTCTTGAAAGATGAGAACGGTCCAGAGGAGAAGCAAAGTGTGGAAGAAATGGAAGAGCAGAGCCAAGATGCAGGTAGGCTCAGATTTCTTTTGAGAAGTCACCTAGGCCTCATCTGCAGAGGTGAACAGTAACTTCACTCAATGCTATTGTCTGAAAATGCTTATACATTTCACCAGATGAACTCCAGTGTTCATTCAGGGTCTCCCTCAGGAAGCCACCATCTCCGATAACTATGAGTTGAGTGCTTTCAAACAGAGTGGCACATTCTCACATCTCATTCACCAATTCAATTTTCTGCCCTGTAACAGTTTGCCTGGCAAAGCTCTAAGAGGGACGGGCGGAGGTTGAAAGTGCCAAGGCAGAGCTTGGCTGAGTTAGGTCAAGCTCAAATTAGTACATTTAGCTTGAGGGAAAAAATGAAATAAAAACTGATGAAAGGAAATGAAGAAGAGGCTTGGCCTGCACAGTGAGTAGAATGTTCTTTAGTGTATTGCATTAAATTTTGAAGAGCTATGCTTCAGGTTATTTCTCTGCATATTGCAGGAGATGGTGTGATGGGCCTGACTACCCCACACACAGAGCTCGAAGTAAGATCTAAACCCTTCCTGACATCCCCTCTGTTCACTAAAGGACAGATGTGTCCATTGAAAGTTTATATATTCCACACCGTAGATTATAAATTGAACATTTTAAAATAAAATAGCACTTAAGGCTCAAAAGGGATTGAAGTCACCTGTGATTTATTATCTCTTCCTATCCATTTTTGTACTCAGTCATGCTCTCCTTTAAAAGAATGATAGGCACAATCATTCACTCACCAACATAACCAGCAAAAAAATAAAAATAAAAATCCCTGTTCCCTTTAGTTTCCCAGTTATTCTCCCAACTCTAATAAGCCCCATGGAGGGGCACTTCTGAAGTAGTGAGCCCTACTGTTTGCCAAGCACATCCTAGGCCATATGCTGAACTCTTGGAATTAAACCAGGTAGTGTGATAAGTTTTTCACTGTAAACTTCTTACATTAACCTTGGAGATTTTGCTAGGGATCTGGAAGCTTTTATTATTAACCTGGAAGACGGAACTGAAGAAGGCCAATCAGAGAAAGCACTGAAGCAAGGCAGCAAGGACTTTGTGTACCTGTGACTGGGTCGGCCGGCGTCCTTTGCTGCAAGATAGTCCTTGCAATGAAATGAATTTCTGATGCAGAAAACTGTTGTTATCCAACCCTCCCCCACCCCCAACCCACACATTCTGCTCCATAGCAGATGAGTGAAAAGCTGTCACTGTTTTTATTGTTTGGGGCTGACAAGTATTAGTCAACAAACTGCTGACAGCTGAGGCCATTCTGTGACTGTTGAGGTTTCAAAGGTTTTATTCACTCACTATCGTGTCCCAAACTGTTTTTTTTGTTTGTTTTTTGTTTTTTGTTTTGTTTTGTTTTGTTTTTTTGAGATGGAGTCTTGCTCTGTCACCCAGGCTGGAGTGCAGTGGTGCAATCTCGGTTCACTGCAACCTCTGCCTCCTGTGTTCAAGAGATTTTCGTGCCTCAGCCTCCCAAGTAGCTGGGACTACAGGCACGCACCACCATGCCTGGATAATTTTTTTATTTTTAGTAGAGACAGGGTTTCACCATGTTGGTCTCGAATTCCTGATCTCAAGTGATCTGCCCGCCTAAGCCTCCCAAAGTGCTGTGATTACAGGCACGAGCCACCACACCCAGGCCCAAAGTGTCCTTATCGAAAAAGATTGTTTCCATCCCTGTACATACATGTACACACGCACACTCACACACACGTATGCATGCACTCACATACACATGTATGCATGCACTCACATTTGCCTGTGTTTGATTTATTCATCTTTTCCCTTTAACCAGTTGAGAACAAGTAGTTTGTAGATTTGAGATCCTTTTGCCTGTGAGGAGGGAGTGGTAGAATGTCAGCCCTCTTCTCCAGCCCTTGAATCTGATAGCGTTATCACCACAATAGGGGCACTTCTCAATGTGAAGAAGGGTCCTAAATGCATCCCTGAGTGACTCCCCTTACTTTTCCAAGTGAGCTCGCCGGCCGGCACAGAGGCCAATGGCAGAGTCCACCTATAATCCTGGCCAGTGTCAACACACATAGTTACGTTCACACTGCTCATTTCTTATCCTCCCTAATCAGAGCTCAGAGAAATCGAAGATGTGGTTATGGGTCGTTAAAGCTCTTTTGACCTGCTGGTATTTTTCCAAAATAAAAGTATCTTCTTTTCATTCAATATAATTTCCAGCTTCAATTTTGATTATATAGCTCTGCAGGCCTCTTACACGTCATGAAAAAACACAATCTTAAAACACTGTAATCCAGCAGTTTTGACTGTTGTCATGATCAAATCAGATCAAAGTTGTAGATAATATTCTTCCAAAAAATTTAACAAATACATATCAAGGGTTCATTGTGTCATAGGCACCATTCCAGGCACTGAAGAATAAACCAACAACCAATAAAAACAACATCTCTGTTTCTTTGAAATTTATATTCTGGTGGGGGTTCCAAACAATAAACAAATAAAAATGATAACATCAATAGTGATAAATGCTTTGCTGAGAAATAAGGAAACATAGAAGGAATGCCCAGAAGGCAAATTTCCATTGTCTGGGTTTGGGACGGACTCTCTGAGGAAGTGATAGTTAAAATGAGATCTAAATGATGAGATAGTGACAGAGAATTCTGTTCCAAAGGACACCTGACCTGCAAGTAATAGTACATGCATCATGGACAAAAGATAGGCTAGAAAATAAGTGATTTGTGATTTGCTTCCAAATATGTGTTAGTTTTCATGCATATATGAGTTATCTTTAGTTCCCCGACCCTGCTACTACATAAAAAACTATGAATATGTATGTGTGCATATGTACTATATATATAGTTTATATGTATAAATATACCATATATGTATAAATATACTATATATAAACTATAGAGTCCATGTAGTATATATATGCATATGTAATGTGTGTGTATATATATACACACATATGTAATGTGTGTGTGTATATATATAGTTTTTCATGTAGTATCGGAATATGTATATATAACTATGTACGTAACTATATATCGCTATTATATATAAGTATATAGCTATACATATTTTCTGCTACTATATGAAAAACTATATATATACTATATATGTATATGTATACTATATATACTCTATAATTTATATATAGTATATTTATACATATGAACTATATATATACTCTATATATACACATGTGCACACTATAAATACTTTTTTCTATAGTAACAGGGTCATAGAACTAAAGATAACTCATATATGCATGAAAACTGACACACATTTGGAATCAAATCACAAATCACATATTTTCTAGCCCATCTTTTGTCCATAATGTGTATATGTGTGTATATATATATATATATTCATTTTCCAGTTATCAGGTATTAAACATTGCAAATGATTTTAGTAATCCTGCCTGTCTAGATTTACTGTTTGAATGGGAGGGAGTAGGCTAGTTAGCTGTTATCGTGGAGGCCAAACATGACTAGAGTCACTAGGGGCTGATGACACTGAGGAGAGAAAGGTCTACTCTAATGTAGTTCATTGTTGCTGTGAGGGGAACAGAGAGTTCCATGTCCTTAGTCCCCATTTTCCCATTCTGTTCTTGGGTGACATGAAAGTTCCTGGTGGCTTCTGGTGACCTGTGCCGAATGCTCCCCTTCTTCCAGGCCTCTGTGCTGACAGCCATCAGAGCTGCTCCCTGCAGTTTGACAGCCTGGCATAATGGAGCAGAAGTGCTGTGCTAAGAAAAAAACAAACTTTAGAAACATGCACATAAAAGCACTTTGTAGGAACTTGCAAGGATATACTTTCTTTCACAATCTGTTATCAAGAAAAATAATATACCATCCTTTGAGGGATGAGGAAGAAACAAAATGCCAAAGGATACTACTAGCAACAAGTGGCATTCTTCACTAAGAAATAGATTGTAGCCCATTGGTCTCTGACTTAACTGAAGGTTCCTGTTTCACTAATTATAAAAGAGAGTCCCAAACCACTAGCCCCTTCAAAGAGCATTCAGTGTATTCAAGCATGCGGCAGGCTCATGCTTTCTTTGGTGGAGAGTGGAGGGAGGTGCAGGGCAGGAAAGCCACAGCTGGACTTCCGGAAGGATGAACTCTGAGGCAGTGTTTCTTTTCTGCTTTATAGATGGTGTCAACACTGTCACTGTGCCCGGCCCTGCTTCAGAAGAGGCAGTTGAAGACTGTAAAGATGAAGGTATGAGGCTACTAACTATATCTAATAATTGCAGACTCTTAAAAGAGACTGTTTGGGCTTGTTTACATGGAAAAATGAAGCAGCAAGTCAAATATAACTAGGTTTTCTTAAGTGTCTCTGTTTCCAATATAATTGACTACACCACCTACTCTCTTTTATTGCATACCTAGCCTGTATAGAAAATTTATATATATATATATATATGTGTGTATATATGTATATATAACATTTACATTTGTTCCTTTGGAAAATAACTGTTTATGAAATGAGAGAATGATCAGAGAAATTATGTTTAGAGATGTTTATTTAAAACACCAGAATTAATCAGTTCTGCTCTTTACAGCCACTCATCAGGAAAAGGTTTGAAAGAGTGGCATTTGAGGACCACCAACCAGGGAGCACCATTTTTCAAAAAAGAAATGTTTGAAAGGCATCCTTAGAAATGAATCTTTGGCAAGAGCATCATTCTCCATTCTGTCAGAAGTTACTATGAGAAAATGTTTCTGACCCAAGTATTTCCAGAAAAAGTAAAAAAAAAAAAACAATTTACTTTTCTAGGAGACAGTTTGAGGAAGGAAGAAGTAGGGAGACATTGATCTGGGGATGCTACAATTAAAAAAATATATATCTAAAGGAAAACAAAATAGTGCTTTTTCTTCTCTCTCTCCTGGTTCATTGGCAAGTCCCCAGATGGAAAAGTAATATAGGCTTACCTTGTTTTCTTGCCCTTCATTTTACTGTGCTTTGAAAATATTACATTTTTTACAAATTGAAGTTTTGTGGGAACCCTGCATCAAGCAAGTCTGTCGGCACCATCTTTCCAACAGCATGTGCTCATTTCATGTCCCTGTGTCACACTTTGATAATTCTCACAATATTTCAAACCTTTTTACTATTATTCTGTCTGTAATGGTGATCAGTGATCAGTGATCTTTGGTGTTACTATTATAATTGTTTTGGGGTGCTATGTACTGTGCCCATATAAGATAGTGGACTTATTTAGTAAATGTGGTTCTGACTACTCCACTGACCCACTATTCCCCTGTCTGTCCCCTTTTCTCGGGCCTCCCTATCCCTAAAACACAACAATATTGAAATTAGGCCAATTAATAGACCTACAATGGCCTCTATGTGTTCATGTGATAGGAAGAGTTGCATACTAAATCACACTTTAAATCAAAAGCTAGCTATGTTTAAGCTTAATGAGGAAGGTAGGTATGTTGAAATCTGAGATAGGCTGAAATCTAGGCCTCTTGTGCCTAGTTGTGAATGCAAAGGAAATGTTCTTGAAGGAAATTAAAAGTGCTACTCCAGTGGACACATGAATGATAAGAAACTGAAACAGCCTTATTGCTGATAAGGAGAAAGTTTTAATGGTCTGGACAGAAGATCAAACCAGCCATAACATTCCCTTAAGCCAGAGCCTAGTCCAGAGCAAGGTACTAGCCCTCTTCAATTCTACTAATGCTGAGAGAAGTGAGAAAGCTGCAAAAGGAAAGTTGGACGTTAGCAGAGGCTGATTCATGAGGTTTAAGGAAACAAGCTGTTTCCATTACATTAATGTGCAAGGTGAAGCAGCAAGTACTGATGTAAAAGCTGCAGCAAGTTATCAAGAAGATCTAGCTAAAATCACTGATCAAGGTGGCTACACTAAGCAACAGATTTTCAATGTAGACAAAACAGCCTTCTATTGGATGATGAGGCCATTTAGCATTTTCATAGCTAGAGAGGAGAAGTCAATGCCTGGCTTCAAAGGACAGGCTGGCTCTCTTGTTAGGGGCTAATGCAGCTGGCAACTTTAAGTTGAAGACAATGCTCATTTACTATTCCAAGAATCCTAGTGCTCTTAACAATTAGGCGAAGTCTACCCCACCTGTGCTCTGTAAATGGCACAACAAAGTCTGTATTATAGCATGTCTCTTTATAGCATTGTTTACTGAATATTTTAAGCCCACTGTTGAGACCTACTGCTCAAAAAAAATGATTCAAAATATTACTGCATATTGACAATGCACCTGGTCTTCCGAGAGTTCCGACAAAGATGTACAAGGAACATAATGTTGTTTTCATGCCTGCTAACACATCTAGTGTGCAGCCAATGTATCAGGGAGTAATTTTGATTTTCAAGTCTTTCTATTTAAGAAATATATTTTCTAAGACTGTAACTGCCATAGATAGTGATGTCATCCTGTAATGAAGCTGGGCAAAATAAACTGAAAATATGGAAAGGGTTTACTATTCTAGATGACATTAAGAATATTCCTGAGAGAAGGCCAAAATATCAACGTTAACAAGGGTTTGAAAGAAGGTGATTCCAACCCTCATGGATGACTGTGAGTGGTTCAAGACTTCACTGGAGGAAGTAACTAAAGATGTGGTAGAAATGTCAAGAGAACTAGAAGTGGAGACTGAAGATGTAACTGAACTGTAATCTCATGAGGAACTTGAACAAATGAGAAGTTGCATCTTATTTATTAAGAAAAAAAAGTGGTTTCTTGAGATGGAATCTGCTCCTGGTGAAGACAGCAGGTTTGAGAGTATTGAGTTCAATTTTTTGTTTGTTTTTGAGATGGAGTTTCACTCTTGTTGCCCAGGCTGGAGTGCAATGGTGCGATCTTGGCTCACTGCAACCTCCGCCTCCCAGGTGTAAGCAATTCTGTCTCAGCCTCCCAGGTAGCTCAGATTACATGCATGCACCACCACACCTGGCTCTTCTTTTTTTTTTTTTTTAAGTAGAGACGGGGTTTCACCATGTTATTCAGGCTGGTTGCGAAATCCTGACCTCAGGTGATCCACCCGCCTTGGCCTCCCAAAGTGCTGGGATTACAGGCAAGCACCACTGCGCCTGGCCTGAGTTCAATTTTAAGATAATTTCTACTGTGGGTAAAATGCCATCAAACAGCATTGCATGCCACAGAGAAATCTTCTGTGAAAGGAAGAGACAATTATTGTGGCAAACTTCATCACTGTCTTATTTTAATAAATTACCACAGCTACCTCAACCTTGAGCAACCAAGTGGTGGCCGTCAACATTGAATGGCCAGTAGTGGCTATCAACATTGAGGCAAGACCCTAACCAGGAGAAAGATTACAAGTTGCTGAAGGCTCAGATGATGATTAGCATATTTTAGTGAAAAAGTATTTTTCAGTTAGAGTACATTAACTGTTTTTTAAGACATAGTGTATCTAAAAATATAACTGATGTCAAATACCCACATAGGCTCTGATAGGAAACCCTAGGTCATCTTAGAGAGACAAATAAATGTGATCAAATGTGATCAGAGCGAAAAGACAGAAAGTGGTGTTCACCTTAAGCAAAAATTTTGGACATACCAATCATTTAGTTTGTGATAAAAATTTTAAAGTGTCATGAAGTTGAGTGGCAGAGTTTAAGAAACATGAAAGAGGGATAATTTAATTTGAATGTGACCATGTTTCAGGCTGGGATTTTTCCTGTTGAGTTGTTTAATTTGGAGATATCACACCTTCACAGAAGCACACTGTTTGTGATGTTTCTTGATGCTTTTAGGAACTCACACCATTAATTGCTTATGCCAGGATCCATGTTTTGGAATACTTTTAGGATTTTTTTTAACATAAAACTTTTAATGATGGTAACTCCATGAAGGAGTTCTGTCATGTATCACAAATGCAGTTCCTATGTAAGACTAAATGTGAAGTTTTATGAGTATTACTGAAATAAGCCATTAATATCTATTAACCTATTTACTTAGGGAAAATAGAAATGTTTTGAAATCCACACTAGTATGCAAGCTTCTTTCAATTAAAAACAGAATGCCTAGGGTATGATTTTTGCCTTTTTCTTCTGAAATAGCATGTATAGAAAACCACTGTTTTTAATTGATTATCAGTTCAGAGCTTAGACCAGCTTAGAACAAGTGTCTAATGCTTATGGAACTATCATCTTGACTGATAGATACCTAGCTTAGAAAAAAAAAATCCGTTGAAATCCTTCAAGATTGAGGTCAAGATAAGGTTAAAAGGCAGTCATATGCGTGGAGGATTCATTTCAAACATTCTCCATTATTAGCTTTCATGCAGAAATATCTCTTCTCAGTGACATCTGGGCTATTTTAGAGCTCTGCAGTTATAAGATTGCTTATAGAAATGCTCATTACACTCTCCAATTTAAGTGGCAGAACATTTTTGCTGATCAAATGTCCTGAAGAAGCCCTTGCTCTCTTGAGTTCGTTTTCAGACTTTGATCCTGACCAAGCATCTTCTTGGGCTTTAGAATCACTGATATTATGGACAGGTCTTTTTTTCTCTTTCTAATAAAACTCCCAAGGATTTTGAGGCTCATTCAGTTATTTCCAGCTTTGCTTGTTAGTGGGCTGGCTTTACATTTGTTACAACCTTGGTTTCCACAGGAAATTAGCATCTTC
This sequence comes from Homo sapiens, assembly GCF_000001405.40. Lineage (NCBI taxonomy): Eukaryota > Metazoa > Chordata > Mammalia > Primates > Hominidae > Homo > Homo sapiens. Next base: position 15,941,951 of record NC_000020.11, read on the forward strand.
TAGGGTGAAAGTATTGAAAACAAACAAATAAAAAATAAGATGGCTAATGTCACTTTGGAGACCAGATATTTAAAAAATTCGAACAGTCATGGGAAAGTTGAAGAATTTCAAAAGGAAGTATTGTAGTGCAGGTGTCCTCTTTGCCAGCAGTTTTGTTTTAATGTTCTAGACATATTTTCCACTGGGAACCAGGAACCCATGTTTGCTGCCTGCTTACCCCCATGTACTTGCTAACTGTGCCAGCTGCCAACAGAAGGAGATGCAACTGACTGGCTCATGGATCAAGAGCTAGATTGTGAGCTACACACTGATGACACCTGTTCCCAATGAGCCATTAAAGCCATAGGGTGGGCAGGAGTTGAGCTGGGAGCATGAGATACTAGCAGGAAGAATGCTGATGAATAATTCATCCGGAATGCATGCCAAAGATTTGGCAACCAGGATTGAATTGAAATTAACTCCAAGGTAAAGCTGGCCTGGGAAAAGATTTGTGGGTTGGTAGGCATTTTGAGGTTATTTGTGAAATAGGATGTGTACTTATCTATTGAGGACTTCTTTCTCTACTGGTTAAAAATACTCTGTTGATTTAATGGTAGTTTGCACTTTAAATCCTTAAAAACAAATTTAGGAGTACAAGTATTAAGGCTATTTAAGTTAACAAATATACAAGCAATCACATTAAATGGGCATATAAACACAGGAATGTCAAGTACTCCAGATGAAACTTTTACAAAGTTATTATTATTACTATTTAAGATATAGTCAACCTCTTTAAGATAAATAATATGCTCTGTTCTAGTTTTTTCAACACTTCCAATAGCTCATTTTCACCTAGAGCCAAGGCTAAGGCAGCTTTCTGGGGGAAAATAAAGTGCTGTTTAAACTCGTCTTAATCCACCTGCCTTATTATTTAATCAGTACCTAATTTAAATTTGAAGGTCAACTAGACCAAATCATATGCTCATTAATATTAAAAACAAAATCAATTAATACTCAGGTGCATACCCAGGCTTGTATTCCTTTGGAACACCATGTAAGTCATACAATTGCTGTTTTTGGTATTTATGAAATGGGATGTCACCTGGCAAAGGATTTATTAACTCTTGATCTAGTTTCAGACCTCTTAGAAGTCAAAATTGCTGTAGGAAAAGGGGAAAGCTAGAGCCAAGAGTCAGCCTTGCCAAAGTGAACAAAAGAGAAAGACTACATACAAGGAAGAGAATTCAGGAGTGTGCAAGAGATGAGAGCACAAATTATTCCAACCACTGAGCACTGTAGGCTTGGCCAGTGGTGTGGACTCAAAATTGCTCTGGAAAACGGCATTGTTTCTGTTCTTTGCCTGAACTGTTGAGGAGAAACAAAACCAAGGCCACCAATGAATTCCTCTCGAGACTCTCCAGGCTAATTTTTCTTTGTCCTATTCCCATTCTTGGTGTTCACCATCCCCCACTAAGCGTCCTCACCCCATCACTCATCAGAGTGAGGACAAGGCTGTCCTGTGCCCTGGATCTGCATTGGTAGAGTGTCTGAATATGCTTGAGTATCTCTGAGTTATCCCTCTTGGATATTAGGAGCCTTAAGTGTAGAATGAAAGTGGCTGTCCTCTGCTAGTATACTGAAGGGGAAAGAACTAAGATACATTGAGTGTCTCCTGTACACAATGCTTTACATTTATAACAATGTAGTCTTCATTTCTCAAAAGGGTCACCTGAGACTCAGAGAAGGAGAGAGGAAAAGGGTGTGTGTGTGGGAAGTGAGGATAAGAAAATGATTTTATTATGGTTAACCGCCGTACCTAATACCTACATAAGCTTATACAATCCCTTTAAAAGGTAGTATTTATCATATTTTTAATATAAAAATTATTTTTGCTTATAAGAATAATATATCTTTATTGTAAAATATTTTTTAATGTGAAAAATATACAATAAAAGCATATAGTCATTTTCCCTTTAAGGATTAAACTGTAGGAAAATAAAAGTCTTTATTCTATTGCTTCATTTAACAATAATACTGTGAATATTTGCCCATGTCTTTAGAAGTTCCTCAAAGGCATGGATTTTATTGGTGTCATAATATTTTATCATCTGGTTATCCCACAATTTACATAGCCAGTGCCCTAATGTTAGATAACTTAGTTATTTATAGTTTTCTTCCTATTACAAATAATAGAAAAATGCAGTGCCTACATTTTGGATAAATCTTTGTGCATATCTATGATCAGTTCCTCAGGACAAATTCCTGGATTTTATTGATTTACGAGGGAAAAGGTTAAAACATTTGTATTACTTACATATATTTTCTTATTTTAAAAGTAATGTGTGTTTATTACACAAAAAAAATAAGCAAAAGAAGGAAGGAAAAATATCACTCATAACCCTGGTGCCCAGAAATAAGCATATGTAATATACTGATATATAAACTCTCAATGTTTTTCTAGGCAACCTCATACATATATGGAAGGGGTTTTTTTAGGGTATTCTGCAATGCATAAAAGTTTGAACCTGTCTTTCAAATATAACAGTACATTGTAAAATTCTTCCAACATCTTTTGATAGTCTATCATCATTTAATTGTGTATTCCAGTAAATAAATGTTTATATTCTTATCCAGTCTCAATTTTGAATTGTTTCTGTGGTTTCAGTTTTAAATTCCATACTGACCAGAAACATCCTTTTAACTTTGTAAAATGATCATGATCATTTCTGTAAGAAAATTCTAGTAAATGTGAATGCATGCAAATTTGTGTGTTTTCTACAATGAATAGTTTTTTAATTTTTTTGGTTGTTTAATTAGTATATTTATTGTATAAAATTCAAATAATGGAAGAGAATAAAAAATATTACATATAATCACATCACCCAGAGACAACTACCATTCTCATTTTGGAGACTATCTATCATGCATCTCTTTCTGAATATATGAACATACACAGCTTTATGTGAAACGTATGATTGTAATGCAATTTTTCTCTTTTTGTTGCTTATGTACTCCTCACCATTCAATCACTCAGAGAGTAAAATACATGGACTAAGAGTCTAATCTCTTCTTCCAACTACTTGGGCCCAGATTCCAACCCTACCCTGACTAAGCTGTGTGATCTTTCGCAAATTATTTAGTCTTTCTACTCCTCAACTTGAGTTTCCTCATACATAAAATAAGAACACTAATAGCACCTACCTAAAAAATATTTAGCATTAAAATCATTCAGTCCATTTAAACATTTTCAAGGTGTTCCTGGTACACAGTAGGAGGCTCAATTTTTTTAGTCATTATTAAATATATATATGTTTATTTTACAAATATTGTATTATATTCCACATACCTTGCTAAATCTTGCTCTGCTACAGGCAGCCAAACTTGGTGGAAGTCTCTGCCAGTCAGTTTGCAAAGATCTAATTAATCCATTTTAAAGCTCACATGATAATCCATAGTTTGGCTGTACCATAATTTATTCAACCATTCTCCTATGATAAACAAGCACTTTTTTTCCACTCTATTGCCACATAGACTATGCTGCAATAGACATCTTTGCACACATATCCTTATATGCTGATGCTTTTATTTGTATGGAAAGATTCCAGAAATGTGAGTTCTGCTTTCAGCAGTATGTGTTTTTAATAGATGTTGCCAAATTGCTTTCCCAATAGGCTATAGCAATTCATATTTCTATCAGCAACTGTTATTTTTGTTCTTTCTGATTTTTGACAGTTCAATGGATGTAAAGCAATCTCTCATTATTACTTTTAAAAAGTCATCAGTGTTATTATCCCAATTTTGCAGATAACTGAGGCTCAGAAAGTTTGAATAGCTGGATCAGTTTCCCAAAAGCTAGAACCAGAATTTGGAAGCCAAATCTGTCTGAACCCAAAGCCCATGCATTTTCTATCCACCATGCTGCCTCCCGTATCATGAATTTGGAGCAGAGGACTTTCTTTGCCTGAGTGGGTAGGATGCAGGTGTGTCTAGAGAAGGCAGAGGGTGTCATGGGAACCCTGCAACCTGTGCAAGGTGAGCAGGGATTGGAACCACGGCAACAGGGAGGGCAGTTTGGAGCTAGCTGCTTGGTCCACCTCATGACCTTGACCCTAACCTAGGAACTACAATGAAATGAGTACACAGAAACCTCCAGTCATGCCCCTGACTAGATGTAAAACCCAAAGCACTTTGTATTATATTCCTGGTCCTTTTGTGCTTCCTTAGACCCTGCACGTGCCTTACGCTATAGCCCAACTCAGTTATTTGTCCTTTCCCAAATGCCACTGGTCTAAAGCATTCTGCCCTCACGCTGTCACATCCATTTTGTTCTTTATTCTGTATATGAAAATCCTGATCATTTTTCAGAGTCACTCTCAATATCTTTCTTGCCCTAACTAGAACCTTTACTCCATCCTTCCCTCCCTCCCATCCTTCCTTCTTCCATCACAAATTATCTGAGCAAACATTACATTGACAGAAATTATAACAGATAATACAGGTGAGGGGGGTGGTGCATGCATATTTTCACCTTTCTTGATTTCTGTTCTCTTCATTACAATTCACCCCATAGAGTAGTAACTATCCTGCTTCTCATAAATTCGTTTATAAACCTTAAATGTTATCATGAACTATATTGTATCAATATTAGTTATATACTTATCTAACTCAGTAGAATGTAGACCTCTTAAGAGTAGGTACAAAATCTCATTCATTTTTATGTTCTCCACAAAGCTCAATGCAGGGGGCCAGCCCCTCCACACCTGTGGGTATTTCTTGTCAGGTGGGATGAGAGACTGAGAAAACAAATAAGACACAGAGACAAAGTATAGAGAAAGAAAAGTGGGCCCAGGGGACCAGCACTCAGCACACGGAGGACCTGCACAGGCACCGGTCTCTGAGTTCCCTCAGTATTTATTAATTACTATTTCCACCATCTCAGCAAGAGGAATGCGGCAGGAGAGCAGGGTGATAGTGGGGAGAAGGTCAGCAAGAAAACACGTGAGCAAAGAAATCTGTGTCACAAATAAGTTTAAGGGAAGGTACTATGCCTGGATGTGCACATAGGCCAGATTTATGCTTTTCTCTACCCAAACATCTCAGTGGAGTAAAAAATAATAAAGCAGCATTGCTGCCAACGTGTCTCGACTCCCGCCACAGGGCGGTTTTTCTCCTATCTCAGAATTGAACAAATGTACAATCGGGTTTTATACCGAGACATTCAGTTCCCAGGGGCAGGCAGGAGATAGAGGCCTTCCTCAATCTCAACTGCAAGAGGCTTTCCTCTTTTACTAATCCTCCTCAGCACAGACCCTTCACAGGTGTCGGGCTGGGGGATGGTCAGGTCTTTCCCATCCCACAAGGCCATACTTCAGACTATCACATGGGGAAAAACCTTGGACAATACCCAGCTTTCCAGGGCAGAGGTCCCTGCGGCTTTCCACAGTGCATTGTGCCCCTGGTTTATTGAGACTGGAGAATGGCAATGACTTTTACCAAGCATACAGCCTGTAAACATTATGTTAACAAGGCATATTCTGCACATCCCTAGATCCCTTAAACCTTGATTCCATACAACACATGTTTCTGTGAGCTCAAGGTTGGGGCAAAGTTACAGATTAACAGCATCCCAGGGCAAAGCAGTTGTTCAGGGTACAGGTCAAAATGGAGTTTCTTATGTCTTCCCTTTCTACATAGACACAGTAACAGTCTGATCGCTCTTTCTTTTCCCTACACTCAACACAGTGGCTTGCACATAGTAGGTCCTCATATTTGTTTAATCAAAAGGAATAAAATGGTGTGTACATAACAGTTTCTATAATGCTGTTGATGATTTAACAGTTTCTTGGAGAATTTAATTGAGAGCCTTGCATAAAATTAGAGACTTCACATGACTCTAGAAAGTATGAATGGGAAATTATCTGGAATTTTTTCCACAAGAATTAACTAGAGAATTGGAGATAGAACCTATCATAGAAAATGGGCCACTTTTTGCTGGTGCATCCAATGTTGATGACATCGAAGGCACCCCTCCTGAGGAAATCTCAACTGCATGACCCCTACTATGCCCCAATTCAGCAGGAAGCAGTTAGAGCGGTCATTGGCCAACCTCCCCAACAGCACTTGGGTTTTCCTGTTGAGAGGGGGGACTGAGAGACAGGACTAGCTGGATTTCCTAGGCCGACTAAGAATCCCTAAGCCTAGCTGGGAAGGTGACTGCATCCACCTTTAAGCATGGGGCTTGCAACTTAGCTCACACCCAACCAGTGAGGTAGTAAAGAGAGCTTACTAAAATGCTAATTAGGCTAAAACAGGAGGTAAAGAAATAGACAATCATCTATCACCTGAGAGCACAGTGGGAGGGACAATGATCGGCATATAAACCCAGGCATTCGAGCCAGCAACAGCAACCCCCTTTGGGAGCTCTGTTTTCACTCTATTAAATCTTGCAACTGCAAAAAAAAAAAAAAAAAAAAAAAAAAAAAAGGAAAAAGAAAAGAAAAGAAAATGGGCCACTTTTAATTCTAATATTATAGCCACTTTCCCAAATTTGTTTTTTACTATGATTAAGATTCCTAATAAAAGAAATTCCCTTTCAGAATTCTCTTGTTTCAGAAGTAAATTTTCCCAAAACTTTCACACTGCAGAAATATAAAAGTACATTCAAGCCCAAGACTTTTCCTATTTGTTCACTTTCAGACTTTGATATTCTTCCCCTCTAAGAGAATAAAATAAACTTCTTTTAAGGAAGTACATGTTTATCTACTATTTAATATAGTTTAAAATATTCCTAAGTGGCAATTGGAAGGTAAGTGGTAGTTCCTTTCCAAATACACTTTAATATGCATATATTACTTTTCCTTACTAATTAAGTATGGCTATAATAATATATTTGTAACAGTCAATTCCATTACATGCTCTCTTGGGACATATTTCTAAAGATCTTGTGAATAAGACTTGTAAACAAAATCATCCTAGACTAGGACATGGAGATTATTTGAATGGGTTTACAATTCCTTTGTCCAACATAGTGTTTTGGACCTGAATTTACATCCAAATAGGTCCAAATTTATATGAGCATCCTTGTGATAATTTTCAAATTTAGTGGCCTTGTTTTTGAATTCCTTGGGCCAAGCCATGAAGTCTTTATGAGTCTCAATTTATTTCAAATTCACATCACCATTGCTGTGTGGCCTTAGGTAATGTTTTTAGCTTGTGCCTCCGTTTTCTGATGTGTAAAAAATGGAATTGTAATAGTATTTATATCACAGGGTTGCTAAAACTGAAAGAGTTAATATATTTAAAGTGCTTACAGCAGCTTCTCAAACATAGTAAACTTTGAGTTGGCAGCATTATTGTTTTTTACAATTATTGTTATTACATTTATTTGCTGGCTTTAAAATCCTAACTACCCCAGGTGGCACAGTGATATGTCATTGAATCATCACCAAATCAAGAAATCTATTGATATGCTAACGCAGGTTAGAGAGGTTCAGTAACAGGTAACATTCAAAATATTTAACAACAGATGTTGCCCAGCCCCTGACCATCAAGATGAGCATTCTCCAGTACACCATAGGGCGTGCACCAGTTGAGTATTGAAAAGCAACCAGAGTAAACTATGCCAGCAAGCAGAAACACCTAAGAAATCTCTACCTAGCCCCCATTCCCCAGTGGAGATTTGTTAACTGGGTATCTTCGCTTGAATACCAGACATTCCATTGGTGCCTTCCATAGATTTTTCTGCCTGCTTTGTGTTTTATTCTCTTATAGATAAGACCTAGAATGGAAGGTGCCTAGTCCATATTTTGAAATGCTTTTGTGGGCATCACCTAATAAAAGTAATCATAGATCTTCAAAACCAGCACAATTTTTAGAGTGATTCGCACTCTACTCTACCAGAATAATTATACCAGAATTGACCTGATTCACTAGGACTAGAGAAACCCAAGATGTATACTTACCCAACCAAAAATGCATGAAGTCTTTTCTGTCTACAAATTAAAATCATAATATCTCTGACTCATATTTTTAAATGTTTAACTTTGACTCCCAAAAGTGTACTATTTTTAAGAGTATGTATTTTTCTGACCCTGTCATTTCTTGTTAATTAGTATAAAAAATAATATTTGGAGTAACTCTTTAGAGTATTTCCACAAAAGGTGGTGTGTCTAGCCAATCTGAGTAAACACAAAACATTTACTAGTTAAGTGTAGTCTATTTTTCTATAAAATATCATTTAGACTAGCTCAGTGGTTCTCAAACTTTAATGTGCATTGGACTCAAATACACATTAATATTTGAATTTAAAAATAAATACTGTAATTTAAGAGTTTTTAAAAGTATTTCCAGAGTTAATTTTGAAGGTATGTATTTTTGACACTAAATAGATAGGACTGTACTCAGGGCAGGTGGATTCTGACAGCAGCAGGACTCTCATAGCAGGATGAGGAAGGAGGGTGTGTTAACCTAACAGGAGTGGCCTCTGCCCAGGAGTCTCCACAAGGCCACAGAAAGCCCAAAGATCCATGTGTCACCAACTGATCATTGTAAATAAAGTGGACCTGCTTCTTTAACCCTGTCAAAAAAGACAAAAACAAAAACTAAACAAAGAGGTGGCTCTACTGAAAAACAGAAATCATGACAATAGTTCATGTAGAATGGCACGTCATTGTATTTTGACTGGGCAAAAATGCTGGAAAACGGCACTTCCTTTGAAGTGAATTCAGATCTATAAGCAACACGGTGGGGCTCTTGCTCAGATATTCCCATGTTTAAAATTTTATAGCATCTTTGATGATATTAATAATTGTTCTTTGATAAATGAGTTCAGCAGTCAAAACATTTTGGAAACTACGAAATTAGGCAAAGTTAAGTGGTTTTTCTGTAATACAGAACTCAGAGCCTTCAGCATGCTAACATGAATTGAAATGCTCAGGGGAGATGGAAGTATGGGGCGTTTCCCACGTTAATTAACTAAATGTGATTTTGTGAAATTTTGTTTGCTTGCTCGCCCCTTTTTTGTTGGTAGAACTTTCTAAAAGTCATACAAAACACAGTTTGGGAAACCATTCCACATCCCATCTGGAAGAACTCAAGAACGCAGTTTAAAGTTTTGATTTTAAGAAATCATACCCATTGTTATAATACAAAATAGGCAATGGTAAATTACCTTTTAAAAATGGAGTCTGGCCTTCTTGAATTTATGGTTATGGAGTGGTATCGGAAAAACATTCTCTCAAGTTTCAGAAAGGGATGTAGCCTATCTTAGTTTTTGACAATAGATTTTCACAAGCAGGAATGTTTTGCTCTGACTCTTTTCTAATGACATTTGTTGTCAGCTATTCTGCCACTGTTCCTAGGAGGATATATTTATCTAGACACACACACACACACACACACACACACACACACACACACACACAAAGAGAGAGAGAGAGAGAAAGAGCACAGGGGAAGATGTCTCAACTGCTGCATTCTTTAATAAGAAGAAAGGAATAATTGGCTGGCTAGTGGCAAGACTGGAACATTTTTTAATCAAGTAAAAAGACAAGGTTTAAGCATTGATGGCATTTAATGAGAAGATTGTTTTCCTATTTCATTTTGAAATTAGCCCTGTTATTTTGCACCAGATGTGTCAAATTAGAATGGAAAGGCAAAAATTGATTATTTTCCTCAGGCACAAGGGGCAATGACACTCACATAAACATATATGTGTACTCAAAACAACATGCAAGCGCATGCATGCACACACACCCTGTTTTGAGAACAAACACAAATATGTGCAAGGCGATATTTCTCCCAGCCTGACTCATACATAAAGGTCTCATAAAGATCTATGGTTTTCAAAAAGCATGTAAACCCATTACACTGTTTCAATTTACGTAAATCACCCGTAAATGTTATCTATGCCAACCACACCTATCTTAAACACGGAATGAGGCAGAATCAGTTACTAAATATTCACTGAATTCTATCCTAAACGTGTTATGTGATATGGTTTGGCTATGTCCCCACCCATATCTCATCTTACATTACCACATGTAGTGGGAGGGACCCGGTGGGAGGTAAATGAATCATGGGGGCAGGTGTTTCCCATGCTGTTCTGGCGATAGTGAGTAAGTCTCACAAGATCTGATGGTATTATATGGGGGAGTTTCCCTGCATAAGCTCTCTCTTTGCCTGCCACCATCCATGTAAGATGTCACTTGCTCCTCCTTGCCTTCTGCCATGATTGTGAGGCTTCCCCAGCCATATGGAACTGTAAGTCCATTAAACCTGTTTTTCTTCCCGGTCTTGAGTATGTCTTTATCAGTAGCATGAAAACAGACTAATACATAATGAGACAAATATTTCTGTCAACCTCTTCCTCAGGGTGGATGGTTAAAGCCTTGAGACCACTCCAAGTACCAGGCACTGGGTTTCCCTGAATCTTCCTTCATGGTTTCAGGAAAATCAGAAACCATTTTTTTTTTTTATCAGTACTGCATCTTTCTGCATCCTGCTTCTGGCTTCCAGCTTCTTGCTTCCTGCAGCTTTCTGCCTACCAGAATCCTAGTGTAGACCACTCTAGACTTGGATATCCAACCACCTGATTTATCATCTAATACTGACATATACCAGCATCAGCAGGAGGAAAAGCAGGTAAACACCACCAAGCATCCAGCTCAAGCTTACCCTTTCGCACGTACATCTCCCTCTTCTCCACAGTATTGTCCATGGTCAAAGCCCCTCCCAGATTCTTTCCTGGGGGCTTCTCTCAAGTTGGAGCCAACAGAGCACACCAGACTTTAGGGGAACACATTAGTTGAAGAGCTGCCCTGTATCTTCCAGAGATGGATGATATTGTTTGTATTTCCCTAATTTTCTCTAATTTTATCCAACCAATACTTAGGTTGGGTAACATGCCTGAAGCCACACAAGTTGAAGGCTGAATAATAGATTTGCATCTACCACCATGCCACCCTGAATGCACCTGATCTAGTCTGATCTCAAAAGAATAGTTTTGAGAAGAGACTTTTCGAAAACTCTCCCATTTCTGTGGGGGTTTCTTTTCCTTATGAGTCTGCTCATGATAAACATACACAATGGAATATTATTTAGCCATAAAAAAAGAAAGCCTGTCATTCGTGGCAACATGGATAGAACTGGAGAACATGATGTTAAGGGAAATGAGTCAGGAAAAGAAAGTTAAACACCGCATGTTTTCACTCATAGGCAGAAGCCAAGAAAGGTTGGTCTCATAGAAGTAAAAAGTAGTTCAGGATACTAGAGGCTGGAAAGGGGAGGGGGAAGTGGCAGGGATAGAAAGAGATGTGTTAAAGGATACAAAATTATAACTAGATCGAAGAAATAAATTCTAGCATTCTATAGCATTATAGGATGAATATAGTTAACAATAATATACATTATAGTTTCCAATAGCCAGAAGGAGTATATTGAATGTTCCCAAAACAAAGAAATGATAAATGTTCCAGATGATGGATATGCTAATTACCCCAATCTGATCACTCTATATTATACGTATTGAAACATCACCATGTACCCTATGAATATGAACAATTATTTTGTCAATTTAAAAATGAAATAAATTTATTTCATGTAAAAATTTAGCTAAAAAAGGAAACACGCATACACATAAGTTAAGGCTTTTTTGAATCTCAGCTAATTCAGCAAGGAAAAAATGAGTGATAAATACTTGATTTTGTAAAAACGTTTCTGTTTTCAAGGAAAATAGTATGTTTCAGGTTGTCTGCTGTTTTTAAAGTCAGTGATGCCTAGAACTAAATGATAGTATGTTTTGATTTCTGCCTGCTCTGTGTTTTACAGCAGACTCACTCTATAATTTTTATTACATTTTCATTATTTACATCCTTATTCCAAAATCATATTTGAAGTCGTTCCCTCAAAACTGACACCTGTTATGAAGCAACAGGGTCTTTACATAAATTAATAAATGAGAATGTCACAATGGAGGTTCAGATAGAACCCTGATTCATGAATTTGCTCACTGTTTTTTCTTGTGGCAGAAAACTAATTATATTTTTGATCTTGGAGTTCACACATGCATGTGTTAAACAGATAGCTGGCTTTAATGAGCCCAAGATTAAGTGTTTATGTTTGAACCCTATATAAATGAGCAAACCTTTATATAAGTCAAAGTTCAGGGTCATATTAATATATTGCACTTGAAGATAATTTCATTTCATAAATTGGGTAAAAAGTCTATCACCATTACCAGACAAAGCAAAGTAAACAGATCCCAGCACACTCCTTCTTGAATGCCCATAATACCCTCAGGTTTCCCTCCAAGTAAAATGCAAATAGCTCACTATAGCCTGTTAGGTGCACCTTTCCATTGCAGACTTTCCCTGTCTCTCCAGTCTCATCTCGCACCTCTCCCACTCCTCTCATTGTGCTTCTGCCTCAACACAGCTTTCTCTGGTCATCTTTTTGGTAAAGCCACCTCCACTAAACCTCCATCTCAGCCTCCTATGTGTTGCTTTATAACACTCACTGCCATCTCTAACTATGTAAATCTTTTTCTGTTGTTGTTTGCATGCTTTCCTCCTATCCATCTCCCACTACTATAATTTAGGTTTCATGAGTGGAAAGACAGTATTTATGTTGTCCACCATTTTATCCCTGTGATTAGTACACAGTATGGCCTACAGAGGTACCAATTAAAATTTATTGACATCTCTTATGGCCATCAACAGATATTTATTGGGTCTTAACTTTTTTAAGACATTATGCAATATTAAAAAGAAAATACAGTTCCTGCCTTTCAAGGAATTTACAATCTAGATGGAAATATGAGATATACAAGCATGTGCTACATAGCTAATATCAGCAACAATAATATCAGCAGCTAATATTTATCAAATCCTTATTATACATCAGTTTCTATTCTAAGAACTGCACATGTTTTCATGCCTACTGCTCTCATCTATGATATGAATACAATTACCATCCCACTTTACAAATGAGGAAAGTGAAGCTCACAGAGCAATAACATAGCTGGCCTGAGGCCACATAACTAGGTTGCAGGGCAGCAAAGAAAGTCAGACAGATCATGGTAAGTGTTAAAAAAGGATTACATTGAAACATACTAAGGAGCTTAGGGTTGAGGAGCATCTCTGCTTGGGGTTGTCTGTGAAATGTGGGTAGAGAATATGAGATTTGGGCTGGGATGTGAAGGGTGTGCAAATGGAAGGTATTCTAGTTGGGAAAAAGAGCATCTTTGAAAGATTGGAAGAAGGACATCAGAAGACCTATTTTAGGTACAATGAATAAACCCAATTGACTTAAATGATGGATCCATGACCCACTCATTAATTCGTTGCTGACACACAGTCCTGATTATGGAGGACTCTGAATATCAGACTAAGAAATTTAGGTCCAATCAACATAAAGCAAAAATTTTCAACCATTGGGTATTGTTCAGGTGTAAGGTGGTTTGGGTAGCTGTTACAAATGTACCATTCTCTTTCATCCTCCAATTCCTTCTCAGAACATTCTCTAGTTAGGTCTTCTTCCCAGCCATTTCTGTCACCATTTGCAGATGCTTCTCTATAAGCCAAATTAGATTTCCTAGTTTCTAATGGATGATCCTTTGGCAAGCTATAATTTTCCATCTTCCTAATTCTGCCCTTCAAATAAACACGTATTTAAGTATTTGTATAAATCAGGCTAATGCTAAATTATCTAGAACAGCACTGTCCAGTAGAAATAAATGTGAACCACAAATGAGAACTACATATTAGTAGTTTTAAATTTTCAAAAAGGCACACTAAGAAAAAAAAGGAAAATAATTTTAATTATACATTTTATTTAACCATTATATCCAAATAGAATATTTGCAAAATGTAGTCAACATAAAAATTATTGATACATGCATCAGGAAGAATAGCTAATGGATACTGGGCTTAATACCAGGGTAATAGGCTGATCTGTGCAGCAAACCACCATGGCATATGTTTACCTATGTAACAAACCTGCACATCCTGCACATGTACCCCAGGACTTATAATAAAAGTTGAAGGAAAAAAAAACTAAAAATAAATTATTGATACAATATTTTACATTCTTTGTATGTGTATGAGCTAAGTCTGTGAAACTTGGTGTGTATTTTATACTTACAGCATATGTCATTCGGACTCACCACGTCACAAATACTCACTAGCCACATGTGGCTGGCTGGTGGCTAATGGATTGGACAGTGTCTGGATTTAGATTGATGAGAATGTGTTGTAGGAATTGTCTATTACTTTTAGTCTTTAAGCTTTGTTCTTAAGGAGTTCTTGCCTGCAGAGTTTGATGCAATCAGTAATGATATGACCTGAGCCTTTCTTGATTCCACAGATTAGTTTGTTGTTCTTCTTCTTCTTATGAATGCATGCCAACCAAAGAGTTTCAGATTTTTAACAGTAAGACCCACTAAATCTAATGTGAAGGAGAGATGCTTTGAAAATATCTCTTATATCTTCACATATTGATGGGGAGCTCCCAGATTCTGTCACTCAGAGAGCTGTGCATCCCTCCTCATCACATGTTAGAGGCTGCTCTCTCTGTAGTGGAAAATCTGTGGGCAGTCCACGTGAGGATACTTATCCAAAAGTCCTACTTTAAATGAAAGATGTCTTAGACACAAAAACGAAATGCATACAGATAGATACAAATTCAGTATATGCTAAGGCAATGGCTCTCAAAGAGTGTTCCCTGGAACAGCAGCAGCGGTGTCATCTGGGAACTTGTTAGACATGCAAATTCTCAGTCCCTACCCCAGACCTTCAGGATCTGAAGCTCTGGGGTTGGGGCCCCACAGTCTGTATGCTAGCAAGCCCTTCCAGGGATCCTACTCCTAATGTACACTAACATTTAAGAGTGGCTGTAGTAACAAAATAATAAGTTGGAGACAGAGTATAGGAGAGCGGTGAATGTTTTATGTTTGAAAAAGAAAAAAATACTATTCTTACTCTTCAAAAAAGATTTACCGTAGAATCTGCTGATGTGGCCAGCCTTCAGAGTGCAATTAAAATTCACTTTCACATGCAAAAATATGAATGAATTTCACAAACGTAATGTTGTGCAAAAGCAAGAAGACACAGAAAAGGACAGGTTATGTGTCATTCAATTTACGTCAAGTCCCCAAACAGGCACAACTTATAGATGCTGTTGAGAGTTAGAGTGGTGATGATTAGAGTGAGGGTAGTGGCTGGAAAGGAGGATAATGGGTAGAAAGGAGGAAAATGGTAGACATGTTCTACTGCTTGAGCTGGTCCTGGTTATGCAGGAGTATTCATTTTGTGATAATTCATCAAGCTGCACACTTAAGAATTTTGTACTTTAGGTATGTTTATATTCAACATACAGTTAAGAATTTGAATTTTTTACAAAAATTATGAATGCAACTTTTGGGAAATTTTTTAGTAATGTGAAAAACATGCACTTTAATTTGGCAGTCTCACAGTTGTTTCTCCTAAATAACAAATAGAGGTTTACCTTTAAAGTGACCCACTTCATACGTCTCTAGGTTGGAGCATAAACATACATAACCTTGATGCTCTCTCATGACCTCTGTTTAATTAAGATCCTTCCCTCCCTCTTGGTCCCTGCTCAATGCCATCCTCTCCTGTTCTCAGCTGACTTTGGACTAATCTTTAGCAACTAGTTATTAAGTCATTACTCCAAATGTCACAAGTGGGATCCTTCCAAGGAGCTCTGCATTTTAAAAAGTCTCAAAAGGCATTCTGCCCAAAGAAGGAAGTCTCCTCTGGGAAGTGTGAGGGGTCAGGGCGGGTACTTAGGAACAGATGGCCTTATCTGGCCCCCTTATATCTCCCAACACGGTGGCCATCAGCTTCACCTACCAACGAGGCTGGCCTGATCTGATTGCATGAGTTTTCCTCTCCAGTGATGTAGGGAGCAGTGGGGTGGTGTGGGTGTGCCAAGAGGCAGGGGATGTGCTGCTGGCCTAAAGAGATGTGGTGTTCCACACAGAAGGACTAACCCAAAGTTTTTGCTGGTTCTATTTGCAATGGTGCTTTATCAGATAAGGACCACAAAATAAGAGGTTATCACAAATATGTTTGAGGATTATTCAGTCCTTAGATTATAGACTCTTAGGGAAAGCTACTTCTTATTCTTTTCATCAATATGAGAACATCAGAGACTTACAGTTAATGAAATACTCTCATTACTTTTTGGAAAATTTATCAATATATTTCTCTATTATACACAGAACTGATATTCCGCCAGTACACTCTAATCCTGCTGCAAGCATTTTTAAAATACTGAAACATTTACATAGTGTCCGGCAAACAAAGATTAATGCCTCTCCTTTCAAGTGACCCTTCCCACCACCTCCCTGCCATCCTAGGACACCAGCAGGGCTCCACGGCCTTGCCCCACAGCTGTGGACATGTGCATTCTGATTAGCCAACACCCTACCAGTTATTAAGTGTTTTGAATATCTCTTTGGATTCCCTCATGACTACTTTATCCGTGCTATACAAACACTGACAATGTGGTGTATTTTAAGGATCAAATGAAAATGTGATGCCAGAGAACTGAAATGGAGAAAGAGAACCTTGGACTTGGGTAAAATCCCATTTCCAAATCTATTCTGAGGCCTTCTTCTGATGTGCAGCAGGTATACTAATTTGAATGGCTGACATTCAAAGGGAAATAAACCATCCAAGTATCCATGTGCACAAATGCATATGTCAGTGCTGTGGACTTCGTGTTTGTCCCCTCCACCCCCAACAAATTCATATGTTGAAGCCCTAACCTCCAACGTGATGGTATTTGGGGATAGGACCTTTGGGGAAGTAATTGAGGCTAGATGAGGTTATGAGGGTTGGTCCCCACGATAGAATTAGTGTCCTTATAAAAAGCAGGCACACACACTGAGGAAAGGCTATGCAGGAACGTGACCAGAAGGCGGCCATCTGCAAGCTGGCAAGAGAGCCTTCGCTGGAAAATGAACTGGCCAGCACCTTGATCTTAGATTTCCAACCTCCAGAACTGTGAGGAATAAATGTTGGTTAAGCCACCCAGTCTATGGTATTTTGTTGTGTCAGGCCAAGCTGACAATATAGTCATTGCGTTAGGAAAATCTATTATAATAATTTCTAGAACTCATAGTTAAGCCTACTCTAATAAAATAATAGCAGATTAAAACAAAATCCTTCTATAATTGAAAATAACACTTTTAATTTAATCTTAAGTATTCTTCTTAAGGTTCTTGTAAGTTTTTTACAGCATTTTGTTTTAACACGTTTTTCTCAGTTTATGAGGCAAAACATTGTTCACATTATACAAATACCTCTGTACACCCTATTTCCTGTAATACCAGATGTCCCCTGATTTTTTTCTACCATCAGGGTGATATTTGAAAATGAAATTTACTGAACCTGTTTTACTTTGTATGACCAGGCTGTTTCGTCTTTAATTTTCTGTAAGTTAATTGGCATAATGCCTTTCAGCCCATGTATAAGTTTCGTGAGTACTGTACAGTTTGAAATGACTAAAAAGGTGAGTGGTTTTTACAAATGGATCTAGAATAATGCCAAACTTCTTAAAGTAATATTTGTTTTTTGTTTGTTTGTTTGTTTTTGAGACAGACTCGCACTGTGTCAACCCAGGCTGGAGTGCAGTGGCACGATATTGGCTCACCGCAACCTCCGCCTCCTGGGTTCAAGCGATTCTCCTGTCTCAGCCTCCCAAGTAGCTGGGACTACAGGCACCCTTCACCACACCTGGCTAACGTTTTTTTATATTTTTAGTAGAAGCGGGGTTTCACTATGTTGACCAGTCTGGTCTTGAACTCCTGACCTCGTGATCTGCCCTCCTCAGCCTCCCAAAGTGCTGGGATTACAAGCATGAGCCACCATGCCCGGCCCAAACTTCTTAAAGTACTATTTGTAAAAAAAAACACTTTAGAAATGTTTAAAGTACATATACACATTAAAGTTAAATAATGAACTTGCAAGAACCACAAAGTGAGTTAGACTATTTCAGGTTATACAAAAGTGATACACACTGAGGTTGCTTGGTTGGCAGGAAAGTCAGAGAATGAGGAAACCATTTCAGCAGCCCCATGAACTGGATCACCCAGGAGGCAACAGCCATTCCATCAGTTCCTCTAGAGACTCAACAACTGTTCTAGTAGCCATCCACTCAAAGAGCTGATCAATTCCTTTCACAGTTAAGTGAATATTAATTCTCTCCTGGTATGTGGAGCTCTCATGTCAGGCCACCTTAGTGTCTGTTGGTCAAGCAAGAGGTGTCTGCTTAGGGCCTATTACTCACCAGTCATCTGTGACCCAGCTACTAGGGTCATACAGTGCAAAACACGGTAACCCTTTTTCCCAACTTGCCCTAATTAGGTGGCAGAAACTTTCCCTAACACTCCATAATTAAAGACAGCATGGTGTGAGAGAGCAGCAGGCTAGAAGTCAGGAGAATAGGATGAGCATTCTCATATTTGCTACTAAGTGGTAGGAGCCAGATGAAGGACTATCTTGGTTTTCTAAGTTTCGGATCCACAAAAGCAAATCGGGGACAAGATTGTGGGTGCAAAAGGTGAACCCACTTTTTATTTGGGAGGTGTTCTCAGGAAGCACAGGTGAGGTGTGAGGAAGTGGGACAGGGAAGGGAGGACAGCCCCTAGGGGATATTAATGATCAAGTTACTGCTGAGGGAAACTGAGACTCCGTTCCCCTAAGAGATGTATAGAGTGCATTCAGAAACATCTCCCTGAAGGGTGAGGAAGCTGGGGTATTTATCTCCCAAATCCTTGGGGGTCCAGAGCTGGGCATTAATTCCTGGTTACTTCTGGCCCATCCAGGACAAGAGTGCCCTCTGTACTGGCACCATCGGCTCCAACCTCAGGGATAGTCCACAGGGAGGTGGGTGGGGCACGTTGGCTACAAGGCTTAGCTTGCATGGGCTGTTTTTGTTCTCACTACTCTAGCTCTAGAAAGATCTAGCCTCTCTAGATGTCAGAGGTGGAGATAGTTGGGAAGGAGTAACAGAAGGAGAAGAGTGAATCCAGCCTTTGAACCTTTACTACAA
The DNA here is from genome assembly GCF_000001405.40 of Homo sapiens. Taxonomy (NCBI): domain Eukaryota; kingdom Metazoa; phylum Chordata; class Mammalia; order Primates; family Hominidae; genus Homo; species Homo sapiens. Next base: position 15,961,007 of record NC_000020.11, read on the forward strand.
CAATTTATAATTTTTTAGAAAGTCCCCAAATTGGATTTAATTAGAATGTCCAGAAATAGAAACGATTGTAAAATAGCATGCGGTAGAGCCACACGATGAGCCACTCTGCAGCCACCCATATTTTAAAATTATATTCAATGGCATGGAGAAAATTGAAGAAAGAAAAAAACAGAAAAAGTAAGCACATGGGGGAATGGGGGCCCATGATTTCGCCTCAGTTCTTTCTCACTCAGGTGAGTTTGTGGATCCTTCTAGGTGTCAGGAATAAATTGATGTTCGGGAGAAGTCATACAGGTCTTTGAAGCTCAACATAGTATCTCCCACAAAGGACCCAAATGCTTGTCTCACTCTCCAAACAGGTGCCTTTACATTTGGAAAAAAAACCCAAGTTCTGAGCCAACAAGGTAGGTTATATCTTAGTCCTTGAAATTCTTGGATCTCAGCAGCAACACTCAGCCACACTTTCCAAGTGTCTGGCTAAAAGCAATCTGAGCCCAGCAGTTGCTGCATTTATGAATCTGGAGAGAAATTCTGTCTCCTGCCTCAACTTCTCCGTAAAATAAAATAACTCAGAAGCAGTGACCCGATGCCAGGCTGTCGGTTCAGAGCTAAGGCCACAAAAGCCTTTATCATTTTTCCTAAGAAGGTTCTTTCAGTAATACAGTCACCATGACCTTTCATTATCAGATCAAATTAAGCCAAGCTGTAAATAAAACACTTGTACTCTCCCAGATTTATAGATGAACATTTTAACAGAATTCCAAGCCCTTTACATTCAGAACCATAGATACTTCTCACACCCATGGCCTGGTAAGATTTTATTTTTTAATGTTATCAAGAGAGCCTGTGGTGTGAGGCTTAGTAAGAGAGAGGGAGGCAAGATGAGAAAGAAATCAGAAGGATGGAGGTCAAGGATACTGAAATAACCAAGTCACAGACAACTGAAAATAAGAGCAGATTTGCCTTTGTTTACATTGCCAAATGGGAAAAATTAACTTGATTGAAAGGGTAATTAAGCATTTCTTTTTCCATCATGGTCCAAACCAGCTTCATATTCCAGCTGTTCCGTTTTACATTATGATGATTCTTTGTTGAGTCGCTGACTTAAAGACAGCCAGTGTGGCACTGGTGCACACCTTACTGCTTCTCCCACTATCAACCTTTATTTTGTAAGTACACAGTTAAAATCTCAGTGAGAACGGTCCAACTCAGGTAGGCGGATGATGAAGGAAGAGTGGGAACATTTACAAAGAAGTGTTGCTGGAACAAAGAGATAATTTGAGCAAATCAGATTAGCTTTGTAAGGTATCTTAGAGAGATTATCCAGCTCAACAGCTGTAGTTCCTAGGTGCAGAAACTGAGATTATGTAAAGTGCCTGAATTTCCCTAGAGTTATGAAGCTTGTAGCTCTAAATTCTGAATCACAACCCTATGACTGCATCTCTCATTTGCTAGTATTTTCAATAACAACTTGCAGAAGAATATCACCTTCAATGTAAGAATGAGCTATTTCACACCAGTTTATTGTTTGAAATTTGTGTTTTCTAATAGAAATCAAATTAATTGTGCATTATGGTAGTTTTCCCAGCCATGTCTCAAAGACTGTTAGCACACAGGGTGATGATCCCTAATTTGAAAATCCAAAATCTGAAGCCCTTCTGGGCCCAAGCATTTCAGATAAGGAACATCAACCTGTCCCTGAATTCCATATCTCTGGGAATGATTGGCCATCTTTTAATGGAGGTTAATGAGACCGTAATGAAGACAAATGACCAACTATAGCTCATTTGGGTCTCCTGATGCCCTGAGCAATGTCCTGTCTGTGGGCCCTGTTACCTTTCAGGTAAATATAGTTCAGCCTTATTTATCCAGCTTCACTGGGACCAAGCACAGTTCAGATCATCAGCATCAGAATAGTCTGGGAATGTGTTGCAGGATACTTTTTTCCTATATAAAAGAGTAGCCGCTGCAAAGTTTCAGTAAGAACATTATCTGCTGGAGAGACTCTAGTTTATTTAGATAAGCACCTGGTTCAGATGGAGGAAAAATTACTTTGTCCTAATTGCTCCACATAATAAGCCAGAGATTCTATAGAGCAGGCCAGGATAAATGTTTTGCATAGTATAATCAAATCAGTTAACGAGAATCAAAGAAAATCCAGGTGATGGTGTTTCTGTGCAATTTTTGCATCAAGCTCTGGTACTCATGTGTAGACATTTACGCATTACAGAGAAAGACTATTTTATGTGTAGGTTTTTGTGTATAGCAGTTTTTTTTTGGTTCAGACCCATTAGAAGTTCTACGCCAAAATGACCTGCTGTCATCACTCTGAATAATAGTCAGGGGCTTCCTCTCTTACTCGGTGCGTTTTTTAGACCACCTAGCTTGAATAGTTATCTTCAAAGACAGTGAATCATGCAGTTAGTTTTATACTTTATATTCACCTCTAATTTTGGTGCAACATGGTTTTTTGCCAGTTGGATTGTCCCTCTCATTTATTTAACACATCTCTATATTTGCTGGCTATTTCCTCAAATCAAATCTACCTTAAGAATTCAAGATTTGCCATCACTGATTAATTCATGGAGCAGGAATCAAGCTCAGTAGCTAATTCCTCAAAACTGGTCTGGAAAATCTTTTGTAAAATGGCAATGTCATCTTTCACCACAGCTTAAATCCATACATGTAATATTCTGTGTAGATACGTGTAATTGACTGCATTAAAAGTGACCTACTTTTTGGAATTTCTGTTTTATGAAGTTTTTCATTTTATTTTAATCTATTTTAAATATTCCTTTAAACCTTTTCAACTTTCTGAGTGAGGGCTTTTTCTTTTTTAATTTATGAAAGTGTTTCTTTTTTATTCTTGTTAATCTTAAAAGCACATCTATCTACAGCCCTTTGGCTTGAATATTTGATTTAATATTTGCATTTGAAAAAATTCTTTAAATATGACATTGACCTTAAAGATTTTGAAAGTCAGAAGCTACATATAAATTTAATTCCAGTTCTCTGTTATTAAAATAACATTGACTGAATCTCAGAATTAGGTGATAACTGTTTTACATGTTTTTGAACATTACCAAATGATAATTTTTAGAATTAAGTAAAATGCAAATCCAAGGTGCTGCAAGAGTTGTATATGCAACTACATTTTTCAGGGTAGTTTATAGAACTTACATGGAAATAATAAGTTATTTTAGTGACCATATACACTGGTGTCTTCGTCCAGGCTCCTACAACAAAATACCATTAACTGGGTGGCTTATAAGCAAAAGCAATTTATTTCTCACAGTTCTGGGGGCTGGGAAATCAAAGATCAAGGCACCAGCAGATTCGGTATCTGGTGAGAACTCACTTTCTGGTTCCTTCTAACTGTGTCCTCATTTGGTGGAAAGGGTAAGGGGACTCTCTGGGACCTTTTTAAATCTTTTTATAAGGGTACTAATCTCATTCATGAAGCCTCCACCTTTATGATCCGATCACCTTCCTAAGGCCCCACCCCCTAGTGCCATCACCTTAGCAGTTAGACTTTCAGCTTAGGAATTTTAGGGGGACACAAATATTCAGACCATGAATATATGCATTTTCTTTCTCCATCATTATGAGTAAGGATTTCACGTACATATTCAATGCAGCTTTCATCACCCCCTAAGCAGAAAAGCTGCACTGCCACTTCAAACCTACAACTAAATATAATGTAATGAGATCCATGATTGAAAACATACAGAATCAAATCTAGGCCTGCTAAAGGTTATGAGACTAGAAATTCAGAGAGCCCTATTAATAAAGTAACTTTCGTGGAAACCATCTTCCATAGGTACCTGCTTATTTGTGAATATTGTCATGAGGTTATATAGTACTTTTCCTTCTACTTTATTGATGTGTGTGGAGGTAGAACCATTTCTGGAGCAAAGTTTCACATACGTGACAGTGAACTTGTGGGTTTGGTGGTGGGTCGTGCTGATATGACATCCTTGTCATCACATAAAGACATGTATATTTGTGTGCACACATCGAATATACTGCAATGGCATGTTTCTAAGATGCACATTCTTTCATATATTTTATTTCTAAAGTCAGGACATGTCTTAGAATTGATAATGTGTTATAGTGCATCTGGCAGCATTTTCTTCTAATACTACATAAAATAATAGTGCAAAGAACAACTGATGGTATCTTGGACGCAATGAAATGCATTATGTAGAAACATATCAGAAGGTGCATTAATAATGTTAAAGCAACTCCCCAAGAATATTGAAATTACAAAGATAACTTATTTGCTAAAGACACAGATTTTGGTGATAAAACAGATACAGTCTGGTGAGTAATTTTTCAAATGCTTTTCGCCCATCTTATGTGACTCATTAGATCATAAACTTGTAAACTCGATGTAAATCACCATTGAGGAGACGTTTCTTATGTAATATTTGGGCAGAATCATAATGTTTATGTAACATTATGATTAACAACAGTGAATTATTATTCAGTGTAAATGAATAAATTTTAACTAAACATAAAATCTTGGATAATTCTATAACATTAATGTTGAGAGAAATTAATGTGGTACAAGACTAAATATCAAATAATATAATTTTTAATAAATAACTAAATCTAAAACACTTTCAAATTTAAAATTTAGCCTGATCTATATACCTTTTTAAATCATTGTATATTTTTAGTGTTAATGTGAGAAAAATATTCAAAATTTTTTTTTCAATTGACATCTTAGCTCCAAAATTAAAAGAGCATATTTTAATGGGAGCTGGTTTAAAACAATTTGACATAAGTTAGATAACAGTTTGGCAAATGTGTCTGTGCTCAGTTTTGCTTCCAAATTTGGACTTTTAGACTTATTGTCAGCCTCAGAAAGAAATAAGAAGCTGTGCAGATAATTAAACATTTGCCTTGGGGGAATTATTTGTAGTTAATTAAAACCACACACTTCGGGTATATATTGATACTTGCTTCACTGGTTATTAAATTTGAATCATATGTTAACTACCCAGGTTTCTCACTTGTCCATCAAATGTTGCTTGTGGCAGGTTCAAGAAACAAACTTTCTCATAATATTCCAAGCCATATTGTTTAAAGCTATCTCCTAATTTTGAGAGGAAATGAATGGAGAGAAACAGAGGGAGAAATGAAAAGGAAACAAACAAAGAATAGTTTATTTTAGACTCCATCTGATTCAGCTCTGTTGGGGAGTTAAAACTCAACCAAGTGACACAAATTCAGTAGAGAACACATTTGTAAGTAATCAAGGTGTTGCTGTACCACCCCCAGCTTTCTCCATGGTCACACGCTTACAAGATTAGCTTATGACTTTTAGATATCTTTGGATTGCTTTCCTTTCAGCAGCATGAAAAATATCTACTAGACTATAAGCTCCATGAGGGCAGAGATTTGGTGTTTTGTTTCCTGTTGGCTCCCCAACATCAAGTACAGTGTCTGGGCAGGTGTGATGGCTCACACCTATAATCCCAGCACTTTGGGGGTATGAGGCAGGAGGATCCTTTGAGGCCAGGAGTTCAAGACCAGTTTGGGCATAATTACAAAATCCTGCCTATACAAAAAATTAGAAAACTAAGTGGGCATGGTGGCCTGTGCCTATGGTCCTAGCTACTACAGAGGCCAGAACAGGAGGATCGCTTGAGCCCAGGAGTTTGAGGTTGCAGCGAGCTACGGTTGCAGCACTGCATCCAGCCTGGGTAACAGAGCGAGAATCTGTCTAAAAAAGTGTCTGGCATATACTTGGCCATTATTAAATGTTTGGAAAATGAATGAGACCTACTTGCTGTCTTCCTGTTGATCCATTCACAGGATCATTCCAGTACTTTTTAAAGAGCCTCCAGGGAGGCCTAAACATTTAGCAAGGAGCCCTTTGTAGTTTTGCAATAGCCCATAGTCACAGAATCCTTTTAGCCATGTTAAACATGGATATGTTTAACCATATCCTATAACAAAAAAAGATAAGTGTACAACGATTCCATGTTTAAATGTGCTAAGCGAGGGAGGGAATGACCTTGCAGAGACCAGAAGGTCTGCATTCCCTCTATGCTATTGTTCTACTGTTATGGTTCCCGAGGAAGATGAACTTAATTACCACTGGATTTCAAGGTTCTGTATCTGACTTTTTCAAGGACTCAAGACTCCCATATGTGAGCAACCACAGTAATGGAAGCATTAAGAACATTAAAATTAGATAGTCCTTTAATCTTCTTCATTTTGCCTTCCTTTTATGTCCTTTCCCATAGTTCTAAGACTTTCCCTGATGCAAAAAGCCTGCTTTTATTTTCTTATTTGTTGCAAAAAGACATCCCAGCTAGCTACATCTCTACCTTTGTAAGCTTTGAGCAGATATCTCACATAGTATGGGGGGAAAAAAAGCGCCTATTTATTGGCAAACATATGTATTTGAGTGGTTATTTTTAAAACGAATAAATTCTATTTTTCCTCAAACATAAATCTATCATGTTAGTGCTGAAAGCTGCTCTGTTTCCAAGTTAAAAATGCTGACCAAAGGTTTTGCTTGTTTGTTGTTAGATTTTGCAAAGGATGAAAATATTACAAAAGGCGGTGAAGTGACAGATCATTCTGTGCGTGACCAAGATCATCCCGATGGTAGGTTGTGAAATCCTTTATTAGATTTTCTTTTCTTCTGCTGGGAAACAGAAAAAAAAAAAAAAAAAAAACCCACAGACTTGAATTTTTCTGGAAAAATATTGAATTCCAATAACACTTTATTAGCACTGAATACCAGTTGATCAGTAGCTGCCATCTTTAGATGACACTTTTGCTTTCCAGAATCCTCATCACTCATTACTTTTGTGCCAGGCTGGCTTCATTTATTTTGTTTATTGTTACTTGTCTGAATTCTATAAGCACTGGGTTTGCAAACACTGAGATGAATGTGTTATAACAATGAGAATAAATATTTTCATTGAAAAACATGGAGAATAAATGCAGGGGATTAAATCCACATAGTCTTGGGATATCAAGAAGGGAGTACATAACAAACAGAAATGAAACAATCTTTAGAAAAATAACAGAAAATAATTTCCTAATGTAAACCAGTTCTTCCACCCAAAACATGACAGTACACATTATATTTATAGGCAAAGGAAAAACTCAGAACAGACATCTGCATAGCTTCATGGAATTTCTGAAGATAAATGATAAAGAAAGGCTTTTCAAGTGTAGTCAAAATCAGGTAGTGATTAAAACCACCAGAGTCAGATTAGCCTTAACCTTCTTCTTCCACAACCCTAAAAGCTAGAAGAAAATGGAGTCACAGTTTCCAGAGCTCAAAAGGGCACAGTTTCCATAGTTAATGAAGTTATTATTTATACATGAAATCAGAGCAATATTTTCTCAGGAATACAAAGATTAAGAAAACATGCCACCCAGGTACCCTTTCTGAATAAACTAACAGAAGGCCTGAGCAAAAACAATAATATAGAAAGGAAGGCAAAACTCAAGACTGAGGAAGGCACATTCGAAAGGGACTATATGGTAAGAGACTAATTAAATGTACAAAAATGTTGAAATAATTGTTCTATCAAATAATTTTGAAATAACCCTTCATAATTAGGATGAAAATGTCTTACCTAAATATATGTCTTTAACTTTGAAATTTATAGTATGTGTTGTTTGAAAATGAGAAAAAAGACAGACTAGCTTTCAATAATGAAAGTCTAAATAATTTAGATCATTTCTACTACCGAAGACAACTAGACAAAAAATACATATATTTATATATTATAAACATATAATATTATATATTATGCGTATATATATATATATATATATATATATATATATATATATATACACACATATACATATGGAGAGAGAGAGAGAGACTGTTTAAAGGCATCAGTGAGCTAATAAGATACTGAAGAACTGTAAAGCTGAGCTCTGGGAGGCAATGAATCTCCAGATATGTGAGCCCAGAATTTGAAGCTCTTTTTACCTTAGGGCATTTGCTGATTCTACAGAAGGTGTCTGGAGCTCCATTGCTGAAAAAGGCAATGACCCCGATAAACTCTCTGTTTTGGGGTTGAAACCCCAAAGATACGTAACCTAGCAGGAAGAATGAACGAGCAGTAGATTGGCGGTGGACTGCTTCCCAGCTTCAAATCATCTCAATCCTCACATTAGGTTAAGACCAGTCCAGATTGCTAGTCCCCTCAGGCATCTAAGAAAAGCAAATGTAAAATATTTACTAGGAGTGAAAAAGAGTGTTACAGGCTTCAAATCATTTATATAAATAATTTGCAAAATATAATGTCCAGCACACACATAAAAAATACCCCAAAAAATGAGGGAAAAAAGGTAACATGAAAAACAAAACAATAAGGCAAGAGAAGTTCATATGAGCTGAAAATATTAGTTATGAACACAAAGTATTAGATAAATATGTTGAGTATGTATAAGGAGATAAAGATAAGATTGGAAATTTTAGCCGAGAACTAGAAGTTCAAAACCAATTTTACAATGAAAGAGTCTAGAAGTAAATGATGCTATAACTGAAATTAAGAATTCAATGAATGAATTTATGACTGAACATCATATTAGACACAGCCGAAAGAAGATTTGTGAACTAGAAGTTAGGTCAGAATATATCCAAAATTACAGATAGTAGGGGAAGAAAGGAAGGCACACACTGAAGAAAGAGGAAAAGATATTAAGGATCTTATGATAAAGTCTATCACAAGTACAGTTGGAGTCCCAGAAAGGAAGGAGAGAGACAATTGGGCAGAAGCAATAGTTGAAGAAATGTGGTGAGAAATTTCCCACACTGATGAAGGACATCATGTTCCAAAAGCCCTTTGAACTCTAAGCAGAATAAATATAAATAAATAAATAAATCCACAACCAGGCCCATCATAGTAAATAAATAAATAATAGAAATAAATATAAATATTATAAATAATATAAATAAATCCACAACATGACCCATCATAGTAAAATTCCTGAAAACCAAAGATAAACAAAACATCTAAAAAGCTATCTTCAAGCACTTGGACTGAGAGCTGACTTTTCAATATGTATAATGAAAATAAGAAGATAATACAACAAAATAGCTGTGAACCAAGAATTCTAAACCCAGGGGGAAAAGTATGTTTCAAGAATTCAAGGTTAATTAAGGACATTTTAGACCAAAAAGAAAGGCACAGTTCATCACCAGAGAATTCTGGTGTTCTGCAAGTAGAAAGCTATTAATCCCAGATAGAAGGCCAAAGATAAAGGAAGGAATTAAGGGCAAGGTAAATGGTAGTTACTGGATAAGTCTAGATAAATATTGATGGTATAAATCAATACTGACAATGATGTCTTGTGGAGTTAAGATATGCATAACATTAAAATATACCACAATAATGGCATTTATTGGAATGAGGTAAATTAATTTTAAGTGTTCTAATGTTTTTCCATTAAGATGAAGAGTAAAAGTACCAATTAGTGTTGAAACTTTGTAAGTCTCAGTGGCCCCTGAGAGTCAGGAAATGAGGTGAGCCCTGTGATTGCCCAGCTGGCTGCCTGGAGAGTTTCCAGGCTGTGGTACAGAGAGGAGGAACCCAGGGAGAGCCCAGCAAACTCTCCACGTTGAGGAGACAGAGGTGAGAGTCCTGGGAGGCCAAGGTAGCTAACGTTTGCAAGGTAGCATTCTACAGAGAAGAGAGCTCCACAAACGGAATGCTCAGAGGTCTACAGAAGGAACTCCTCAGTCTTCAACTGGGTAGGAACACTAGAAAAGATCTGAGAGAGTGATAACTGGAGCTTACATAGGGCTAGAAGAAGTGCCTGTTCCCACCAGCAAGACTGGAAAGCCTCAACATTCATAAAGAACTCTGAAGGTTTTTGCCTTAGTAGCAGAGCAAAACAGGCAATAGACTAAATGCTCCTCATGTCCTCCCCAGTAGAGCTTAAAAGTGAGACTTGAAAGGATCAGAATATTTCTGAGTAACTTAACTGCATTTTAGAATGAAGCTCAAAAATATTTATAAAAATTATAAATATATCTCATACCCAACAAAGTAAAATCAACAAAATTACCAGGCATGCAAAGAATTATTGCAAGACAACTCTCCATGCATCTTTCATATTTCTGCATGTTTTGTGAGCAGAGGCACTGCTTGTATCTTTGAAAAGGATCATGTTTCTCTTCAAATTAAAGAGCATACATACTTATTGTGCATTTTAAAAGGTTCAGAGAATCTTGAGATTCTCTGATATGGTTTGGCTGTGTCCCCACCCAAATCTCATCTTGAATTGTAGCTCCCATAATCCCCACGTGTTGTGGGAGGGACCCTGTAGGAGGTAATTGAATCACAGGGGTGGGCGTTCCCATGCTGTTCTCATGATAGTGAAGAAGTCTCATGAGATCTGATCGTTTTATAAAGGGGAGTTTCCCTGCACACACTCTCTTGCCTGCCACCATGTAAGACATGCGGTTGCACCTCCCTTGCCTTCTGCTGTGATTATGAGGCCTCCCTAGCCATGTGGAACTGTGAGTCCATTAAACCTCTTTTTCTTTATAAATTACCTAGTCTTGGGTATTTCTTCATAGCAGCATGAAAATAGACTAATACATTCTCTAAGTTCAAGATTCCTCCTCTATGATATCACCCACTGAGTGTGCAGGAATCAGCTGGTCCACCTATGGCACCATGTGGGAATCAGGACTCAGAGAACAGACACTAATACTCTGGTTACTGTGATTTCTCTGAATAATAAACTGTCCTTTATCTTTGACCCAGAAGTCTTTGTCTTCTGTCAGCATCCATGGAACTGTGGCTCAAGCAGGGTAAAATCTCAGAGTCTTCATAGTTCTTGACAGGAAGCAGGAAAGTATGATGCACAGGAAAAGAAAAGTTGATAAATGGAACTCAACCCATAAATGATGCAGATGATAGAATTAATATGAAAGGGCATGTTAAAAGTTGTTATAACTCTGTTCCACATATTTACAAAATTAAAATTAGGACTGACCATGTTAATTCGAGACAAAGAAGTTATAGAAAGACCCAAATTGAATTTCAAGGAATTCAAAACACAGTGCCTGAATTAAAAATTATACTTGATGAGAACAGTGGCAGATTAGATACTATAGAAGAAAAGATTAATGAACTTGAAGATGAAGCAATAGAAGCTATCCAAATGAAAACAGAATAAGTGACTGAGGGGAAAAAAAAAGAGCATCCATGAGCTATGAGACATCTTGAAGGGTGGTTCTAATTACAATATAAATGAATGTGAATCTCTGAGGGTGAATGTGGGAGAAAGGGACAGAAAAAATATTTGAAGTAAAAGTGATTAAAATGTTTCAATGTGATGAAATTATCAACCCACATATGCAAGAAGTTCTATGACCCCAAAGCATAAGAAACATAATGAAAATTACACCTAAGTACATCATAATCAATTTATTCAACACCAGCAATAAAGAGAAAAATCACAAAAACAAGCAGAGGAAAATGACAAGTTACATATAGAAGACAAAGATAAAGATAAATCAGGCCAGGCACAGTGGCTTACGCCAGTAATCCCAGCACTTTGGAAGGCTGAGTTGGGCAGATCACTTGAGGTCAGGAGTTCGAGACCAGCCTGGCCAACATGGTGAAACCCCATCTCTACTAAAAATACAAAAATTAGCAAGGCACGGTGGTGGGCACCTGTAATCCCAGCTACTTGGGAGGCTGAGTCAGGAGAATCACTTGAATCCAGGAGGCAGAGGTTGCAATGAGCCTCCTGAGCTGAGACAGCACCATTGCACTCCAGCCTGAGTGACAGAGCAAGACTCTGTCAAAAAAGAAAAAAAAAAGATAAATAAAAGGTCCCAATGGAAACTAGAAACTACAATGACATGCAAAAACATGATGAATCTCACAAATGTAATATTAGAGAAGGTATGAAAGCATATATTATTTATTATATAATCTCATATATCAAGTTCAAAAAGCAGGAAAAAAATTAACATTTAGAAAGGCTTGTTTAGGTGATAAAATGATAAAGAAGACCTAGGTACTGATCACTGTGACAGTCAGGGTTTTGATTAAACTTTGGTGATTGGAGAGGAGATACTGCCGGGAGGGGGCCATGAGAGGGCTGCCTGGCTGGATGGTTATCATAAAAATATATAGTTTCTGTATTTGCATTTGGTTATTTAATTGATATCTCTATATTTTGTCTGTGTTTCTATATATTTGTCGCAATTTTATAAAATTGTCTAAAAGAGGAAGAAAGAAAAAGAGGAAATGAGGAAGGGAATGAAGAAAGGAGGAAAGAAAAGAAGCATCAGTGGCAGAGGTTGTAAAACTAGATTATAGCTAGAAGAAGGAAGAGTTGCACATTAGCCTGACTCCATAAATACCACTCAAAAACTAAAAATCCCAGTGTTATGGATTCTGACAATATGTTACCTTTCAGAATATCTCTGAAAAATTGTACAATAATCACAAATAGAATTAAATAATAATAAAATTAAAAGAAGATACCTTACTTTCTAAATTTCCCAAAGAGATCACATGACAGTATACTCAGCAATGCAAATAATAACAATAACTAGCAGTGTAACAAAAGCCTCATGTATCAAATAAGATGACAGAAACACAAGCAAATGCTTATAACAGTAAGTGTAATTAGGTTACTTTAATAAGTGTAAAAGCCACTCAGATTGACTTAAACTCAATAAAAAGGTAAAGCTTTAAAAGTATAAAGTTAGAAAAATGTATATTTGAGAAAGGAGCATCAAAAGAAAACATGAAGAACTACTTCTATTTGAACCAATCTATTCGGTTAGAAGTCTAGCAAAAAAATCTCCAGTGACAAAGAGTTGGTTATTTGATATTGATAACAATTTAAATTCCTGATGAAATATAATAGTGATGGGGCTTTTTGTGTCAGATGATATGGCAAGATACAATACAAATAAAAACCTGTTGAAAATGCAATGAGGAGTTCCCAGATACAATATTATTAGTCAATGACAGAACAAATAGACTACGGATGACATGGACTGTTTGAAAAATGTACTTAGCAGGGTAGTCCTTGCTATAGGAATAGACAGGCTGATCAATGAAACAGATGAAAGAGTTCAGAAACAGACCCAAGTAGATCTGGGATTTCAGTACATATTCTGGCCGACATTTCAAAGACAGATGACTCAATCAATGGCATTAAAACAACTAGTTGGCCATTTGGGAAAATAAACTGAATCCCAACCTCATTCCTTTCACCAACATAAATTCCAGAAGGAGCAGAGATGAAACATAGAAATGAAACTATAAAAATACTAGAGTAAAAGAACCAAAGGTTATTATTCAGCACTAAAAAGAAATGAGCTATCAAACCATGAAAAGACATGTAGGAAACTTAAATGCATATTACTAAGTGCAAAAAGCCAATGTGAAAAGGCTACATATTGTATGAATCCAATTATATGACATTCTGGAAAGGCAAAACCATGGACACAATGAAAAGATCAGTGGTGGCCAGGAGTTGTGGGGGTGGGGAGGGATGAATAGGAGGAGTACAGAGGATCTTTAGGGCATTGAAAATACTCTGTATAATGCAGTAATGGTAGATACATTTCATTATACATTGCCAAAACCCATAGAATGTACAGTTCCAAGAGTGAACCTTAATGGAAGTTATAGACTTCAGTAGGAGTTACATGGGATATCTCTGTACCATCCTCTCAATTTTGCTGTAAACCTAAAACCACTCTACAAAAATAGTATTTTTAAAAAACAACAAAATAAAACAATTACAGGCTGTTTTTTTAACTGTGAGCACATACTTGCAGACACAGGATGGTATGCATATGTTATGAAATGCAGGCATACACATATCTGTAATGTGTGTGCATATGTCAGTATATTGCATAAAAGAGGAAAATAACAAAATTGTAATAGATAAATGTTGACATAATGAGTAAAGGTTATAGTGAAATTAAAAATGAAAACTAGTGGGAAAATATTCTCACCCAAATGACAACAAAAGAGCTAATTTTTTTATTTGAAAAAAAAGTGTGTGTGAACCAGTAAGAAAAAACATAAACAATCTAAGAGCAAAACGGACAAAAGACTCCATTATAATTCACAAAAGAAGATATACAGTCATTATAAATATGAAGAGATGCCCTATCTCTTTATTATATAAATAAATGCAAATAAAATAGTATCTTCTCTTTTTGAACTAGATAAGATTAAGTGGAGTTGAAAGTACACAAAATTAGTGGAAATAGGGTTTCCAAACACGCTCGCATAATATTCGTGGGAGACTGAAAGGCATAACCTCCTCATCAGCAATTTTGGGAAAACCTAATAAAAGGTAGAATGTTCATACTTTGATGGAAAAATTATGCCTCAGAGATTTATCCTAAACTAACACCCACCCAGAGTATGGAGATATTTATTTACTGAAATGTTCATTGCAATATGATGTTTAATGGCAAAAAAAAAGTGTAAACACCTGAAAGCTCACCCATAACGTGGAATATTATGTATCTTTTAAAAACAAGATTTCCAAATTAATTGTAATGACAGAGGATGATGCTTACTAAAATATGAAATAAAAAAGCAGGACTCAAAGTGTAAATATGTTTTGATCCCAGGATATATTTACATATTTTTGCATATGTCTGCATCTGTGTGTGTATACACACATACAAGAGAAATATGACAACTCACAATATTAAAACTGGCTATCCCTTAGTTATAAAATTATCCACAATTCTCAATGCTTATATGCATTTTTAGCGTATCCATAAGGAAATTGCATTTCTTTTGTAACTACAAGGCAAAAAATAATTTTTAAAAATAACTTACAATAGGAAAGTAAGTTTTATTGGCTCTAAGAGAAAACCAAGGATGTCTAGAAGATAATCAAATTCACACTAATCTAGGCTTAACTTTTGTTCTTAATCTGGGATATTTTTAGAAATTTTTATAAAAGTACAGTTTTGAATATTAGCAGCAATCAACTTTCAAGTTTAACAAAAAGACACAATTTACATGATTTCTTCAACACAAGCATCAAAGAAACAGTCTTTGTTCTTAAGAAAACTTGAGCATCTAATAATCTGCAAGCAATAAAATTATATTGTTGTTGCTATTGTTCAGAAACAGTCCATTTACAAAGTGAGTTCAGGTTTATCCCCTAGAAATGCTTCATTCTAGACTGATGTCCCCAGACCAATTTTTATGCAAATTAATTAAAGCTAAAGCATTAGCTTGAGCCAAACTTAATTACCAAGGCTCCAAGAAACAATCATGTGATCTATTTCTAAAGAAAAGCGAATGGATTTTTGGATTATCTGTTCTAATGGTCCCCTCCCATAAGTATGGCTGATTGAGTTCACTGTATGAAAAATATATACATAAACTGTGGAATTCTTTGTGTTCTTTTGTTTCCTCAGCCAGGAGGGATTAGGGCAGAGGACAGTGGGGAGAATTCAACTAGTCCGAATGTGAAGAGGGAAACATAAAGCTTGCCCCCATGGGGCCAAGAAAGCAGGATGGAATGTGAAAGGTCTGCATGCACTGAGGAGAAAGGCAGATGGGCTGGAAGCCCTGGGAGGAGTCATTAACACACAGCAGGCCTGGGTGCGGTGCAAGGCAGTCAGGCATACCTTGTCTTTGTGCAATACGCCAAAGCCTGCCTCGTTTTCAAAGCTGGACACCTTGTTTTGTTTCTTCCCCCATTTTTAATTAACTTTATTTAAGAAAAATGAGAAAAAAAATTCTATTTCAAGAAAAGATTGTCAAAATATGTAAAGCACACAGGTGAAACAGATCAAGAGTAGAGACAGGTTTAGAGGGCAAGGAAGAGAAATATTCCAAGAGATATTTGAAATAGCACTTTATCCTCAAAGTGAAGGGTCAAGCCTTACAAGTCACAGAAACTCCCTGGTGTTCATCAACAGACTCAGGTTGCCACCTCAAGCAGGCCCACCTTTTCAGCAGTGCCCCAGGCTCTATTAAATGGGGACCTGCTCATTCTTGATTGAATTCCTCTGAAAATTTATCAAGTGGAGCACTGGGACCAGGGGACACACAGGAATACAGATTTTGGCCTTTTCCCCTCTCTGGATGCTCTACTCTTTCCCTTCATGATATAGACGAAGCCAGATCACAAATAGTACGTTAAAGGTCCTTGCAATGACCTGGTGCGATGATTAGGTTCAATGGCCAGTTCCCTATAGCAACAGTGATAGAGAATGAAGCTCACTCAGTAAACAAACAGTGAAGGTTCCCTCTCAGTATCATCCACCCAATAAACAAACGTCAATGTGACTGGAAACTTCATCTGAAGACATAGCTATGAACCTAGGAGATTATCTCGTTCCACAGCCTTTTTTCTTTTCAATAGATGATGAAATTAAAGGTCAAAGAGGTTGTGATTTGCCTAAAACATCCAGTTATCTTTATTCCCATTCCAGGGTTCTCTGCAACAAATATAATGTGTGGAGTGCTTAGTAGCATACAAGACTTTACCTTGTTGTTAAAGGATGCAAGAGAAAGTAAGTTATAGTCCTTAATAACTATTTACAGACCTTGATGAGTACTCTAATACAGGTCCAATTAAATAGACATTGATTGATGACTTCTTATTAAATGGGTGCTGGGCAGGAAAATATGAATAAAACAAAATTTCTCTCTTAATCTGGTAAGAGAGACAAAGACAGACACAACTACATCACGGTGTGATCAGGATCTGGATGGTAATTAGGAAAATTCATGTGTATATATCTAAAGAGTCATAAAGATATACACTTAAGGTTTGTACATTTTACTATATGCAAGTAGATCTCAATTTTAAAAGCTAAAAAGCAAAATAAAGACATTTCCAGGCAAAACAAAAAGAAAAGAGGGATTGTAGTCAGGTAGAGCTGGTTATGATTCTTGAAAGCAGAACTGAGATCACAGCACTTACTTTCCAGAGGTAATGTGATGATTAGAGATTACGTGTGAAGTATCTAGGGACAGTCTGGCATTTTTATGGGATCAATAATTTGCAGATTCACTTACATCTTCTAGGCCAGTGCTTCTCAAGGTTTAACTTGCATGCAAATCACATGGACATCTTGTTATACAATGCAGGCTCTGATTCTGTAGGTCTGTGATGAGGCCTGAAATTCTGCATTTTTGAAAAGCTCCCAGGTAATTCCAGTGTTGCTTGTCCATGGACCATACTTTTGTTAGGGACAAGCTGCCCCAGGACCACCCCCCTCCCCAAAAACAATGCAGCTGACCCTTACTCCGAATATTCTGCAGCTGCATTCCTGGACCCTTATCTAGGCACTACAGCAAGGTCGCCAGACTTGCTTACAGCCCTCCGGGTGGCATGGGGGAGGTCATGAGAAACGTGGATAAACCTAAGTTACACCCTCTTGTAAATTCCTATATTGTAAGCTGGTCACGAGATGATATGTGGTAAAGTTAACCGACAAAGAACCCCAGGGTCTCTCTCCACCATATAAACCCCTCATTTTGTAAGTTCAGGGCTGCCTCCGCTGACTGTGGTGGAGCAGCCCAGCAGGCTAATAAACTTACTCGCCTGACCTTGGGTCTCTCTCTCTCTCTCTCTCTCTCTCTCTCTCTCGTTCTTTCTCTCAGCTAACCTTACAACTTTGAGTGGCAATGGGGAAGAATGAGGATGAATGGGTTTTTTCAAAAGTGGAAAGGTCTTGATCAAGTTCAAATTTTAAAAGGCCTTTCTGCTATCAAATCACAAAATAGAATATAGGAGAAGAAAATGAAAGATCCAAGAGACAGATGATATATCCCTAAATGAGGAAAGAAGGCAGGAGACTAGAAAGTGGGAAAACCGAAATATTTTGCAGAACCATAAAGATGGCATTTCATTAAACGTCAGGAGTGATGGAAGAAAATAATCAAAAACAGCTTGAGGTTTTTATATTCAATGATCAAATAGATAAACATGCTTTAGTTTTAATTATTTTATTGGATCCTTTTGATTAAAATTGAGCTCAGGAGGAGTGGATATCACACAAAAAACATAATTTTTCCCTTATCCAGGTCATGCTAGCAGAGAATGAATCAAGGGGAAGTAGTATCATGGGCAGTTTAAAAATAATTGTATCAGAGAGGAAACTGTAAGATGAGGGGTTATATAAGTCAGCTTTGCTGCAGTAACAAATAACCCCAACAGTTTCACTGGGGGCTCAACAACAAAGGCTGGTTGTGTCTCTACTTAGCCCGGGTTGGCTGTGTTCCACATGCTTTCCATTCAGGATCTAGACGAAGGAACATGGTTTATTAGGAGCAAAAGAGCTGCAGGCAACATACAATGGATCTTAAGGCTTCTGCTTGGTTGCAGTACACATGATGTCTGTTCCAGTGCCATTTCTAAACAAGTCACATGAACAGGCCTGTGTCAATGTGGTGGGAACATACACTTGTCCCACAAGGGCTGCTGCGTGTCACATTGTCACAGACAGGGAAATATAATCCTCTTTTAGGACGAAGTAGAGACAAGTTGAAACCATAATGCCACCACAGGGATGGACTCAGGCAAAGAGTCCAAGCTCCTCTGAATCTGCTTTGCACCTATAACCAACCCTAGCTCTAGAATGTTTTTTAAAAAATTCCATAGTTAAGTATCCTCAGCACAAAATCTTTCATTAGCCCGAGGCAAAATGGCCAGATTTCAATTTCCTCTCTTAATGAGCACTTAAATGTTTTAAATGCTACAGGGGAGGGTAGGAGGAGAAGCCAAGGGGTGTGGAAGAAAAACCATTACTAGATAATCAACCTAAAAGTAATCAAGAGTTGGCTGAATTCTCTCCTGACCTTTGCTGTATTTAGTATGTGTCCTAAGAGAATGGTTGAGCTGTAGCAGGACGAGCCGCAGACAAAACTTCTCAGACACCAAGTTGTAGAAGGAAGGGCTTTATTCAGCTGGGAGCATCGACAAGCTACTGCCTTAAAATCCGAGCTCCCCGAATGCACAATTTCTGTCCCTTTTAAGGGCTCACAACACTAAAGATTTCACATGAAAGGGTCGTGATTGATTTGAGCAAGCAGGGGGTACGTGGCAGGGGCTGCATGCACCGGTGGTCAGAGTGAAACAGAACAGGGCAGAGAGTTTCACAATAGTCTTCTATACAATGTCTGGAATCTATGAATAACATCGGTTTCTAAGTTATGAGTTGATTTTTAACTACTGGGTTTAGGCCAGGCAGGCCCAGGCCTGGTTTCGGGCCTGGTGCAGGGCTGCCTGTCTTTGATTTTACTTCCTTGTTTTTTTCTTAAAACAGGTACTGAGTATAAAACAATATAAAGCGATATGGGAGGGTCTCTCTCTTCCCTCATTTCCCCCTTTTGAGACTCTCACTTTTTC
The DNA here is from genome assembly GCF_000001405.40 of Homo sapiens. Taxonomy (NCBI): domain Eukaryota; kingdom Metazoa; phylum Chordata; class Mammalia; order Primates; family Hominidae; genus Homo; species Homo sapiens. Next base: position 15,980,378 of record NC_000020.11, read on the forward strand.
TTAGTGGGAGTTCTCACTCTTATTTTTGCTACTTATTTTTTTTGTTCAATAGATTGATAGTGATTCATATAGTACACTTGTGCTGAAGCATTTTGGTGAACTAAGGTAGCGATGAAGATTTTTTATCATTTAAAGAAGCACAGGTAGCAAACAAGGGAGCAGTAAGCAGGTTTTTATTACTATTATAACTCCTATTATAAGAGTTTTAAGTCCTCTTAGTGCTGGGAACCACCTTCTAAACATGGCTTTAGGGTTGAATCTGTGCTACACTTGTACAGGCACATGTGTCAGTTTTGTCATATTTTTAACTATGTCTTTAACTACTTGCCTTTGATTATCTATGTGTAGACAGTAATTAGTAAGGTTAAATTTCTTATAGACTTCTCTTTTAGCTGCTAGCAAGTACTTGAGAGCTAATCCATTTTGATAGATAGCATTTCTTATCTGAGTTTTTTGCCGGGCCAGAATAGTAAAGGCTTGACCGGTTTTATTAGTGATGATTTCTAAAACAGCTTGCAACCGTATGACTCTGTTGAGCAGGTAAATGGGGGTCCAGTATTCCTATGAGCCATCTTGTGTCTAAGTGGCAGGCCTATAGTATTGTATAATTTTGTTTTTAGTGGGCCATTTATCATCTTTTTAATTACTTATGGCTATGCTTCGTTTTCCGCAGGAAGCATAGACAGGGAATGCCTAGGAGTTCGCCTGTTTTTATGGGCAGTAAAAAGAAAGATGGTTTAATGGTGCCAATAACACAACTACCTGTCCACTGGTCAGGCAGCTTAGCGTAGGCTCTATGTCTACATATCCAGTATAACCTGGTAGGGTCAGGCTAGTCCTGGTGGAATTCTGGGTGGGCCTAGACAGTCTGCAACCTTGGAAATTTACTGAATAGATCTCTTTCTGTGTAATTGGAACTCCACCATGTAACTGTTTTTTGCGGTATCGTTATACAGTTTTTGCTTTAGACAACTAAGTCATCTTACAGAATGAGTGAATTCTTTTCCTGTTTTTGTTGTTGTTGTTGTTGTTGTTTAGCTATGCAATAATTGAGACTTTTAGAACTTAGAAATGATCAGGGTGATTCTTTTGGGCTGAGAATCCATCAGGAACTGGGTCTGTAGGCACTAATTCTCGGGCTTCTTATGGCCATTGATCTCTTATTACAGTTTTTCTACAAACATAACATGAAGTGATATTTAGAGACTGGGTTACATGCCCAGCTAATTGCAAAAAACAAATTTTTAGTCTTTCCTGGAATCTTAGGTACTGGCACATTTAGTTCATCCTAGAAAGTCTGAAATACTGGTTCTGGAGAGCGTCTTTGAACCTCCTTTCTTATTAGGCTGTTTATGCTAGGGTCTAGTCTTTTTCTATCAATGCCTAATGATACATATTGTTTTTTTAATTTTATTTTGGGTCTGAGGGGTTTGTGATGACTAATTCTAAAGGGTTACAGTTCTCACTCGTGCAGGAGGGGCTGACTTTTCTTTTTTGAAGCCTAACAGGATCTTTTTAATCTTCTGTTCAAGTAGCCTAAATGACACAAGACCAGTATTGACACATTTTACATAAATATGATTCTTGACAGACATACTTTTTTTTTTTGCTGTGTAATTTTTTTTCCCTCATCAGAGAACCGCATCTTATTCTATGCTGCTTACTATCAATAGCAGCACAAGCGTCAAATTTTAAGGTTACATTTTTGGGGACCTCTCTTTCTTCTGTTCTAGCTATTACTTTACTTGTGTCACCTAGAAAAGGACTAGTCCTTAATCTTACTTTAAAGACTGTGATCATGGGGGGTTCAGAGGGGTCATAGCACACATCGGGCAGGTCACTTCCTGGATTACATACTTTGTGCTGAGTGTTATTGTACAAACAAGTTCTTTTTGGAGTTCCTAGGCATTTATAATAACTATAAAATAATAGGACTGTAGCAATCTTTTGTCTCACTTCAGTGATTTGATGTATATACTGGGAACAGTTCTCAGTCTGAGGAAGGTCAGTTGAAGTCTTTACTGTACAAGTCTAAATTTTAAGGAAAATGAGTCCTGCAATGAGTTTCTTCATGCTTCGGCCATGTGTGGACCAGTCAGCTTCTGAGTGTGACTGGAGCGGGGCTTGTCGTCTTTTTCAGAGTCACTTTGCAGGGGTGGGTGAAGCTGCTCCTATCCACGTACAGCTCCTAGTCTACTGATGTTTAAGGGTGGTCTTGGAGGTTGGGCCTACTAGAGTAAACTGAGTCTAACACCTCTACACAGTTTATGTTAAACTGGGCTCTCTGATACCAGGAGTAAGGTGGCGGGGTTAGGGTGTTGCAAACTTCAATGGTTATGTAGGGATTTTTACAGAGCAAGATTTGGTATCTAGTTAGTCTAGCATTCATTAGCTAATGGTGTCCTTTGGTATTTATTAAAATCACCACAGCATGGCAGGACTTTATGTTTAGGTTTTGCCTAAGAGTTAGCTTATCTGCTTCTTGTGCTAACAGGGCCGTTGCTACCAGGGCGCTTGGACGTGGGGGCCATTTGGAAACCTCGTCTAGTTGTTTTGAGAGATAGGCCACTGGCCTTGGCCAGGGCCTTACAGTCTGGGTTAAAACTTCAACTGCCATTTTTTCTCTTTCTGACATATAGAGTGTAAAGAGTTTTGTCAGGTCAGGTAGCCTCAGGGCTGGGGCCAACATGAGTTTTTCTTTTTAACTCATGAAAAGCTCGTTGCTGTTGGTTGTAATAGATGTAGTTTATCTAATCTACATTTTTATTGACTGTCATCTACTAAAATATTGACTTAAATCCTGTAACTATTTGATTTCAAGCTTTAAATTGATCTGGTATTCCTTGTGGGGCTCCAATTGCATCTAAATAGATGTGAGAGTTGAAAGACCTATAAGGGGCTTCTCTGGCTTTACGATGTCTTATTTTTTGTTTTTCCTCTGGTTGATGAAATGCCAGGGTGAAAGGGATAGCCAAATGGACTAAAGCACAAGTGCCACTCTAGTTATTCAGCAGAGTGCCCAGTAAAGGTCCACCACAATACCACCACACATCTGCTTGGGGATGAACAACGGCTGACTGATTGATAAGCTCTTGAAAATTCTTAAGCTTACTGCATCCCTTCAGGTCTCCAAGGAATGCTAAGTCTCCTCCTTGCTGTGAGAGACACAAAGTGAACTTAGTGTTGGGAGACAGAAGCTGGATGGACCTCAGGTGCTGATCTGCAGGGACTTTGGGATATAGCAGAGAGAGCTTGGCATGATTTATTACTCCAGGCTGTAGAATCTCAGAAAAGAGCTACCACGCAGCCTACGCCTGGTCGACTGGAGGACCACCTTAGTGGAAGGGGGACAATTAGGGCCTCTGGCCTGCCATGTGCACAATCATAACAATTGCTTTTGTTTAATGTGCAGATGGAATATTTGATCCATTTCAACCAGGCATTTGCATTCTTGGTATGCTGTCTTAATTGCCAAAGTTTGTTTTAAGTCTTTAACTTCTATGATCCTTTAGTAAAATGAATGTTTCCTTTAACACCTATTTTTATTAGTTTTTAGACTAAAGAAAGCTAAATACTATTTTATATTTAATAATGTTTCTTGTATGATTTTTATAGTAGATAAGTTAAATTTTACTTTTATATTAGTGTGTTATTAATGTTAAACTTAATTTTAATAAAACCTTGTAGACATATTTATCTAATTTTTTATGTTTGACCATAAGGTAAGATTTTATAGACTTTTTTTAACTTTTTATAATTTTTGTTAAAGAGCAGGTTGATGCTTTAAGAAAAACCTGTTGCATTTTTACTTTAATGTCCAGTTCACAGAAAAACTGGGTGATATCTTTTTAACTTTAGCTAATATGTTTACACACAGAATTTTCTTTACAATTAACGTTTTAAAACTTGCTTAAATTTTTAAAACAATAATTTTTTTAACTTTTAATGTAGGTAAAAATCCACATTTTTATGTCCCTTTATAATTTTTTTACTAAAGGTATATTTTACTTTTCTTATACACCTTGCACATAAACTGTTTCTTTAATGGTACTCAGGAGGCCTTATTACTTTTAAATTATACAACATTTTTTGCATAAATTTTTTTATAACATTTTTTCTTTCACGACTTTTGCAGACAATTTTTCAACATGTCTTAACTTTTTGACTTATTACATTTTTTTCTTTAAACAACTAGTTAATTTATTTCAGGACAAGAATTTACTATATAACACTCTTTTTACATAAATTTTGCCTCCCCCCCCCGCCCTTCTCTTTTTTAAAGCGAACTTTCTTTATGTCTTTGGACTAGACTGTCTAAGGCCACAAGATTAGAAGTTACTATAATACATGTTACACTGTTAACTTTTAGCAAACTTCACTTTTGTTGAAAACCTTGTAAGTTTGGGATTTCAATTATCCTTTGCTATTAATAAGATCTTGTTTAGTCTGAATTAACTTAGAATTGGTATAGATGGCCTCTTTTTCTCTCTGCTGGTCTTTCCTTGCCTCTGCCAGCCACTTATGCTGCTGTTCTCTTAACTGCTGTTGGGGGGAAGGGGGTCTAAAACTAGCTGTAACTGTCTATGTACGGAAACTGGCCTGGGTGCCTTGGCTTACAGGTTACCTTGTGCCATACTTTTGAAACAAGGGACCTGTCCAGGCTTCCTTCTGATGGCCAACCTACCTCTAATGCTGGCCAGTCTATTTCACACAAAGTTCTAAGTTTTCCTGGTGTCACAGTAACACCGTAATCTCCTTTAAATTCTTTCTTGAAATTTTTTAACATAGTTCCTAGTAGGGTGGGCTTACTTACACCGGACCTGTTTTTGTTTTTGTTTTTTCTCCTGAGACAAAATACCATGCTCACACCACACACACTCACCACAAGACAAAGAACGGGTATGGAGGGCACACACACACTTTTACCATTTATAGTAAGCCAAAATCACGAAATTCAAAATCCGAGTTCCAAAAGATTCAAGACAAGTCAAAACCAAAACCAAAGTATCTAGCAATTCAAGTCAAGTCAAAACCAGAACAAAAGTGCCAATGCAGGCACACTGTGGGTGATCAGGCCACTCTTCCACTCAGATGGAGTGGGGCAAGTTCCAAAGACTAGTCTTACCAAGTTTCAGATGTCCGGACTCCAAGTGCCAGTTCCTTCCCAGTGTTCAGCCACTGTGTTAATCCTCCACGGGGGCCTGCTATGCGCTGCTCTGGCAAGGCGTTCCACTGGGGCAATTTCCTACCCGGGAGTGCTCTTTGGATCCTGTCACTCAGGCTGGCCGGAGTCCCCCGCAGGATGCTCCACAGGGCAGGCCTAAGCCGCCTAAGGGGCTGCCTCGGCTGTCCATCAGTTACCTCGTTTCCCCGTCAGGGAACCAAGAAACGTAGCAGGATTAGCCGCAGACAAAACTTCTCAGACACCGAGTTGTAGAAGGAAGGGCTTTATTCAGCTGGGAGCATCGGCAAGCTACTGCCTTAAAATCCGAGCTCCCCAAATGCACAATTTCTGTCCCTTTTAAGGGCTCACAGCACTAAAGATTTCACATGAAAGGGTCGTGATTGATTTGAGCAAGCAGGGGGTACGTGACAGGGGCTGCATGCGCCGGTGGTCAGAGTGAAACAGAACAGGGCAGAGAGTTTCACAATAGTCTTCTATACAATGTCTGGAATCTATGAATAACATCGGTTTCTAAGTTATGAGTTGATTTTTAACTACTGGGTTTAGGCCAGGCAGGCCCAGGCCTGGTTTCGGGGCTGGTGCCGGGCTGCCTGTCTTTGGTTTTACTTCCTTGTTTTTCTCTCAAAACAGGTACCGAGTATAAAACAATATAAAGCGATACGGGAGGGTCTCTCTCTTCCCTCAGAGCTGTTATCCCCCCAGTTCCCTTGTGCCCACATTACTCAAGTTTTTTATGCTCTGTTGATGGAAAAATGAAAGTGCAAGTAGTGTTTTCATTTTCTAGGAATCCTCACTATGGGAAATATTTGTATCTTAAAAGGAAATTAAATGTAGTTAACCCATACAGCCCAGAAATTATTGTAAAATTTGAAAATTTCCAGGTTGTGTCCTCTATCCATATCCTGTGCATTCATAAGCTAAGTAAGTATGCCAATTTTGCATCAGTTTCCAAAAAAAAGATTTTTTTCCTAAATTATCAGGATATTTCTCAGAAAATAATTGATATAAATCTGATGATTAGAAAAATTGTATCTTTGCCCTTTGGTTTCAAAACTGTTCTCTATCTCTCCATGCATGATTAAAGCACGGTTTCTGAAGGTCAGGAATAAAGCTACGGTCATGCATATCACATTTCTTTTATTTTTCAATCACTGTTTTGAACAGGACAAGAGAATGATTCAACGAAGAATGAAATAAAAATTGAAACAGAATCGCAGAGCTCATATATGGAAACAGAAGGTACTGAAACCAAAATATATTGTTATCAGAGAATGAGATGAAACTGTGAATCATGACTTCTATATATACCTGTGTGTGTGCGTGGTGTGTGTGTGTGTTTTAGGCAATGATTACTGGAGGATAGCAATAGTGTTCAACTTGGTGTACCTATTGAAACTTGAAGGGGGAAAAAAGAACTCTAACTTTCTATACCATAGTCACAGTATTCTCTCAATGATTCCAACTAAAACAACCCTGAGTGTCCATCTGTCTCATTCTATTTAGAACTTTCATCAAACCAAGAAGATGCCGTGATTGTGGAGCAACCAGAAGTGATTCCATTAACAGAGGACCAAGAAGAAAAAGAAGGTGAAAAAGGTAGGACTGCTCTTAAATTAACCCATCAAGAATGGAGAGTTTCTTTGGATTCCTGCCTAGAATTCAACCATCAAAGTTATTCTCATGCAATTACAGTTTGTAAAGGGGGAAAACGAACATTTCCTTAACCCCAAATCTCCGTTTGAAAGTAGAGTAAAATCTAGAAGTAGCAAAAGAAAATACTCGGAAGACTTATAGCAATTACATATAGCATAAAGATGTTTTTGTTATTCATTTAGATTCAATTTAAATTTTTAAAATTACAGTATTGAGAAAGCCTATAAGAAATCAAAACTATGGACTAGAGGGATAAAGTTCATACAAAATCTGAAATGGCTTTAGAGCAAATAGACTGGCCTTTTTGTATTGATTTCATCTGTCTTCCTTAGTATAGTAGTGATGAAAGAAACAATTTATGTAAAATATGCATGTTATATGAACCTAAATTGCAATCTTGCTTGCTAATATTAGGATGCAATCATATTGAATACTGTTTTAAAAAAAGTGAGCATTATAATGATTTCTGAAAACTCAAGAGGAATGAACACTCCTTAAATATTAAAGCAGCATTTGGGGCAAAAAGCCAATGTATTGGAGTGAAGATAGAAATATTTTTAAAAATGTGTTTAAAAAAACTATTCTGGTTAATTTAGTGTTAACTGAAGAACTTAAAGAATTCAATTTTTAAATATAAAGCAATCTCTTAAAAGAAGCTAATAAAATAATTTTTGTTACAGTATATCATAAATCATACTGCTCTTAAATAAATATGTATTTGCAAAGCAGTTGCAGAGTAATAACTTGACAGGCCTTGTTTATAGAACACAGTGATCAATTTTGTTTCCAAATTAAAACTCAGACATGATCTCAATTGTAAAATCAGGTCAATAGCAACTACAGCTTCCAAATTATGAACTCTTCTTGGCAGGGGCATTGACAGTTTAATTGCTAAACCATGTTAGAGATTTTGACACTTTTAAAATGTTGACTGCATTTACAGTACAATATTCTTCCATGTCTATGCCTCTAATAAGCTTTTCGCTATTGCAAATCCTAGTTCAGACTCACGACTCCACTTTCCTGTTAAGTCAAATAAAGGGTATATTCAAAGTTATTTCATGTCTAATATTGATAACTGAGAATTGAAACAACCCTTACTCAGAATCAGATATATGGTATTGCTCTCCTCAATTGTAGTTTAAAAATGTGAAATAGACAATGCTGTGCGTGTTAGCTTAATTTCTCTGTAGCAGAAATTGTTGGCTCTGTTTATTGCATTTCAAGAAATGCAAATGGTAAAGAGGAAAATCAAACAGCTGTACGTTTTCCTCTTTTGACTTGACCTATAAGAAAAAAGCTGGCATTCGGCACATTGACATGTTTCCCTTCTCCCAGAGCCTTCCCAAGCATTGAACACTACTCTGATGACTGAAGAATTAAATATCCACCTTTCCTCTCTTCCTTGTAAATATGCCAATCTTTTTCTGATAATGGTGGAATAGCATGTGGGAAAAAAGCAAGGTGAAATTCTGCTACTTGCTTTTAGCAACGATGAGGTTGAATTTCTTTATTAAAATTTGACTTTTCACTGTAAGATGACTAATGCTGGTAGTCTTGAATTAACCACATTTTCTCTTCCCATCTTTATCATAGATATTTCACTTGGTCCTGCCTTGAATATTTCTGGTGTTTAAATTTGAAATAATTTTAAGTGCATCACATTTGTCATCTTATACTTTGCATCCAAGTGAAAAGTACTCATAGGAAAAGGAGGCAATGTAGATTCATGGTGCTCTGCAGTAGCTCTGCTCCACCATTGACAAGCTGGGTGACTTTGGACAAGTTACTTAACCTATCTGCTTCAGGTTCTTCATCTGTAAGATGATGATGGCAAAAGTACCTGTCACATATAGTTATGGTGCAAATTTAATAAGTAAAACGTGCAAAGCAATTAAAACAATGCATGACACATAGAATGCACTCCATAAGTATTTAGTATTTATCATAATTTGATACATTGATGACAAAGTCAAGAAAATCCACATGTGATTTCCCCAAGTCCATTTATCATTCTTCTTCACTATTTTGAATCTGTAGAAAGTCACATATTTTACATTATCCTTCAACAACAACAACTGGTTCTATCCATTTGGTTGGCAGCACCATCTCAGGCCAGCAGTTTTGATATGGTCTAAACTCTTTACATTGCTGCGTATTTTATTCTAAAGAGATAAAACAACTAATAGAAGGAAGCCAGGTGGAAGGCATTTCTCTCCATTCATAAACACTTCCTTGTTTGTCAGTATCTCAATCTTCCATTTGAGAAATAAACACAACCATAACTTCTATTTTTTTAAAAAAGAAACCATTGAGCTGTTGATAGATCCACAAAAGAAAACTAGTAAATAAATTCAAAGTAGCAATTTTTTTTACTTTCTTTTTATTTAGTTATTAAAAAGTCTTGTTTGAAAACATTTCGAGGCTATAGCTCCAGATTTTGTATTCACAAAATAGTGTCTTAATGGAAAGTTGTACATATGTATTAGGAATTATCTGTAAACAAAACAAATGAGTATTTTATTACATTTGTAAAGATATTCTTTATAGCTTTAGAAGTATTCCTTCTCTTTTATTTTAAGACTCCTTTTAAGGAGGCAGAAAGTGATTCCTTTAAAAAAAAAAAAATCCAGACCAGGAAAAATATATAACCTTTTTCTCTCTTTTTTGTAGCATTTTATAAGATTAGAAAATGTAGATAATCTTCAGGATACATCTTCTATGGCTCCCAGGTATATGGGCACAGATGTTGCAACATTAAGTTTTGAAGTTAGTTCTATTAAAATATGGATTTTGAAAAGAAGGAAAAATATTCAGCAGAAGTTCATGCTGATAAAATTACACAATAGCACAGTGGACATGTCCCTGGGAGACCTGAAATACAAAAATTTCAACAGGCAGAAAGTGAGGTTTCACATATGGCAGCTTTTCTGATATAGCCACGTTGCCTCTTCCTAAATGAGCCCAGTTTTATGATTTCCCAGCAGGACCTGCAACACATATGAAATCCAGTCGAATAACGTCATTTAGGTTAATAACCAAATAGGAAAGTAATATTATAGAAGATCTCCTCTGAAAAGGATCTCATGTTTTAGTATAAAATATAAAGTCAGCATTAAAACATCTTTCTTACATTTGTTATTTGGGCAAATTTAGAAATATTTGACATAAAATCTTAACTATATCAACATCGAGTTATTATTTCACAAAATTTTCATATATGTTTTATTATGATATATATTGGATATTTTTTTCTCTAAGTGTTAAACAGAATGAATACATTTGGTCCCAATAATTTTTCATATCAATTAATAAGTGTAGTGTGGAATAGTAATCCTTTGTCTGTTTACCTAAGATTGAGCAAAATGTTGACAGAGACTTAAAGTATACTATGGTTTAATGTTTTCTTAGAAAAAGATGCATATGGGCAGGCATGCAAGTAAAGAGTTAAGTGCAAGCCAGTGACAAGTGTAAAGTATCATGCCCTTAGGTTCATGTTTTGAACCAAGCATGGTCTGACCAGCATGACCTTGAGACATAGTGTACAGACAGCCATGGCTTCTAGCCCTGCCTGTGTGATTCCTGGCAATCCTTAAACTTCGAAGAATCCCAGTCTCTAGGGTAATAATGAGGGGCATGAACTCAAAATTGCAATTATAAGGTTCTCCAGTTTTATAAATTTTCTTAGAAGGCCAACTCTGAAGAACCACATTCTTGGTGAAACAAGAGCGATGGCATGGGAGCCAATGGTCAGCCATGCTGAAAGCTGAAATCATAGGTTTTCCTCAGTTTTAGTTATTGTACCCTATTGATAAAAATATAGAGGTGCCCTAGGCCAGGCAAAAAAAAATCAGCCAAATATATTAGGACTTACCAATGATTGGACAGCTAATTATTCCCTAAAGATACTTTAAAGGGGGAGGGGAATGCCTTTTAGCTCAAGGTGGGTTTACACAGAAACTCTGCTCAGAACCAAGCTGGATTTCCATCACCATCTTTCTTAGTCCATGTGGGAAACATCTTTTTTTGCAACTCCTCTGGCTACGATTTCATCTTTTAGTGAACACATAGCAAGTGAGGGACTTTCTCTTCTGCTTCTACCAATCAAATCCATTAGAGGTTTATCTCATCTACAAAGCACCCCTGTATAGCCCTTGGTGTTTTCCATTTCTCATAGGATTCTTACATCACTGGCAGAGCCCTTTCTTCTCTCCTTGAAAAGCAGAGCTTGCACTAGCAGTGTTGCCATACACAGAATACCTGTGTATTACACAATAGCACAGTGGACATGTCCCTGGGAATAGAATACCTAACACTTGGGCCATCATATACAGACTGTGTTCTTGGCTATAAAGAATCATTGCTCAGGCATATTTTTGATTCATGCAAAATACTATATACACTTGCATGTTGAGTAACAAACTTACTGGAACATTCTACCTTCAGAAAGTCTTTGTATCTCTTTTCAAATGAAGTCAAGTTTAGTAATACTATATTATTCATATTAGCAGCACAATCATTTAGTTTTCTAGGGCAGTTTTACCATTTGTTTTCTTCTTTTTTAATAATATTTTGAATCTGAAATTCAACAACCAAAATTATGTTTTAGGATATCAGTTAAATTAAAAATGCTGGTCTCTGTTTGGGTTTTATGAATATTTTAGTATCTAATGAAATTCCTCATATTGGTTAAGTACCTTGAACATAAAAATTATAAAGTTTTAAGCTAAATTGTTTAGGTTTTCTACATGTCTCTATGTATGCAATGTAAACATATAGAACCAGTTCATTCAAATTATGCTGCATAACTGACCTATAATTTTAAAGTTAAAAAACATAGAAGAATAAAAGGTATATTCACTGCACTTTGTCTTGCACTTTGATTTCTTGCTACAATAATGATGTTGGTGTGGATAGCATATATGCATGTGTATATGCGTAAAGTTAGATTATACGTGTATAAAGTTCACATGTATCTACCCAGTAAGAAAGTTATGCAGGCCTCTTGAGTTTGTTCAAATCCTCTAGCTTGCTGCAATCATCTTGTCTTTAAAGATTTAGAAAAAAATTGCCCTGAAACTCCATTTTTCATGTTAGGAGAAATCTATCATTCCTTCCAATATCTCTGAGAATTCTTTGGTGTCAGGTTTATTTCTTCTAATCTCAGGCTCCAAGCTCCTGCCTCTGGTTCTCACTTCAGCCTTTGCCATTCCTTTTTTCGTAAGCTGTCTCTAGTTCTCACTATGGCTCCCACTCAGACACCACCACCACCTCTCATCCCTTCACTCCGTGCAGTACCACAAACTCAAGGATGTGTGTAGGTTTAAGTGAATGTTAGGGTCAATACTTGTAATTAACTTGTGCTTGCCCATCTGGGGAATTTTAAGAGACCATCTCTTCTAAGTCTCCAGCATCCGGCTACATCCTGTATCGCCCTTTGTCTTCTTTGATTTCTTGCACTTCCTAACACTCCAGTTTCATTTACAGTTTAACTTTGTATCATGCCTGTGTCCTTCTGGTCTTGCCCTGAGGTGTATGATTCTACAACCATGTGGCTTATCAAACCACGTGGTTTATCAAAATAATTTGCAGAAACAAAAGATGACTCACATAAGTGGAATTCTGTCTTTAAATATTGAGCTTTTTACTCCTCTCTGCCGAATTAGAGTTCTACAACTCAACTCTCTGTGCATAAAGTACCTGAATTTTTTTCACAACTAATAAAAAGATTAATGTGTACCTTCATCTAAACATAATATTGTTTTACATATATGATCCTGAAATACTTCAGAAAATTAACCTTCTCTAAAGATAGTGAGTATAATTATTAACATTTGTTCCTTATATTTAACTTCCTTCCAAAGACATTATATAATGCTAAATTGAAATTTTCAGAAAGATAAAATTATGGCTGTCATACAACTATAAAATCAATACAAGTAAAATATTTTATTTAAATGATTAACTAGTAAGGGAATCATTAAGATGTTAAAACTGGTTCAAAGGAGAATTTGAAGAGTGTGTGTGTGTGTGTGTGTGTGTGTGTGTGTGTGTATAAAATCCATCTATCATCTATACAGTGACATTTTAGTCAACAACAGATCGTATATGTCCCGGTGGTCCCATAAGATTATGATGCTACATTTTTACTGTACCTTTTCTATGTTTAGTTATGTTTTGACATACAAATACTTACCATTGTATTATAATTATCTACAGTCTTCAGCACAGTAACATGCTGTATGGGTTTATAACCTAAGAGCAATAGACTACACCATATAACCTTGGTATGTAGTAGGCTATACCATCGAGGTTTGTGTAAGTACACTCTATGATGTTTGCATCATGAAATCACCTAGCAACATATTTCTCAGAATGTATCTTCACCTTAAGCAATACATCACTGTATATTGATTAGGAATTATGGCTATATGGATATACACATGGATCCATAATACACACACATTCAGAAACACTGAATATATCCATACAATCACACACAATTCAGGAGCACTGAAAATTTCCAAACTGGCTAATATCATACAGGACAATACAACATATCCTTTCCTTCTATCAGACAAAATTCGTTTTCACTGATATGAACAAATCTCATTTTCATTACTACAAGTTTTCTACATGTTACCTTCTACCTGTACAGATGTGTAAAATAGTCTAGTGAATAGAAAGCTGGTCAAAGGAATACACCCTCATAGAACCAGATAATCCCACAGAGGGATTATCTGGAGGGTGACACCCAACCTTCCACCCCAGTGACACCCAGGGATCTCTTTTATCCATTGTCAAGTCTTAGACAATTTTTCTTGACAGTATACTGAAGGCAAAACTGCCCTTTTTTTAACCTGTTTACCACCTCACTTATTTGTTATTGTTCACTATTTGATACATTTGATAGACAGTGATAAAATACTAGGGTAGTATCAGAGTAGGGCAGTAGCTTCCAACTTCATCTGAGGTTGTAGTTTACTTGCTATTGTTTTATGGCAAGTACTGCTATTCTACATTTTATATAGTTGTACACACACTGTAGATGAAGTTGTACTTCTAAGATGCCTCAGTTGTGAGATGTGCCATTATTTTACATATTATTAATAAATTTTCTAAAATCTGGCTTATTAAAGTAAGACACAATAATTTTGTATCATTTAGGATTTTTATTTTATGTGTTTAAAAAAACTCTTCGAACAAGATGTAGAACGTTTTCATATATCACTCTTGAGAATACATAAAAAGAAAATGTTAGGCTAAAGGAATTAGTTATGATACTGCTAAAACTTCATCAGGTTCAGGGTCCTACTTCTAAATCACTTTCAGTCAAAGTCATCAATATCTGTTTTTATTACACAATATTGTCCTCTGCCAATGTCTTTGATGGTTCAGAACTTAAGAGAATTCATAAAGAATTTAAAACTCATTGGCTTGTAAGTCTCTTAAGACTTAAGTCTGTCTTGCTATCATATAGAGAGTTAGCCTATTTTTTCTTTTTTGCTTCTACTTAGAGGCAGTTAAAACACTCCTGACTCACCACCTCCCTCCATATTTATTATTTTTCAGAGATTTTCACCTAAGTCATTGAAACTCATTCTGCAAGTTTGAGTACTTTTGGTTTTGATGCTAATGCATATATGGGTATGATAAATTGTATCATCGTGTCCTGACCAACAAAAATTTTGTAACAATTCACTGTTTCAAAGATGTTAAGATGTGAAAGCAGTGTACTTTATATTAGGAAATATAGTATTATTTATTTCACAGTGAAAACTACTACACTGAGACTAGAAAATGGAAACTTGATTACAAGTGATATAATTGAGTATATTTGATATACTCAATTGATATATAATTGAGTTATTTTTTTTCTACTAACTCTAATGACTAGCAGTGGGATCCTTACTAGCACATCAGTGCACCCTACTGCACATTGTATAACTAAGAAAGTCATAAATGGTTTTATTCATACATTCCACAAATGCTTTTAATGCACATGTAATATGTGCCAGAAATTATATAGACACTATCACTGAAACTGAGGAAAACAGACAAAGCCACTGCTGGGCTCATCCCAAGCATAGAGCTCAGGATGTAAGTCTTTTTTTTTTTTTAACTTTTTATTTTATTATTATTATTTTTTTTGGAGATGGAGTCTCGCTCTGTCACCCAGGCTGGAGTGCAGTGGCGCGATCTGGGCTCACTGCAAGCTCCGCCTCCCAGGTTCACGCCATTCTCCTGCCTCAGCCTCCTGAGTAGCTGGGACTACAGGCGCCCGCCACCGTGCCCGGCTAATTTTTTTGTATTTTTAGTAGAGACAGGGTTTCACCGTGTTAGCCAGGATGGTCTCGATCTCCTGACCTCATGATCTGCCTGCCTCGGCCTCCCAAAGTGCTGGGATTACAGGCATGAGCCACTATGCCCGGCCTTTTTTTTTTTTTTTTTTTTAACTTTTTAAGATTCCTCATATAAATGAGATCACACAGTGTTTGTCTGTGTCTTATTTCACTCAGCATAATGCCCTCAAGTTTCATCCATGTTGTCACAAATGGCAGGATTTCCTTCTTTTTATGGCTGAGTAATATTCCATTATACATATATATTCCATTGTATACATATTATGTATACAAATGTGAGGTGTGTGTGTGTGTGTGTGTATGTGTGTGTCACATTTTTCTCTATTTATGCATCTATGGGCACTTAGGTTGTTTCTGTGTCCTGGATATTATGAATAATGCTGCAATGAACACGAGAGTGCAGACATCAAGCTACTGATTTCTCTTCCTTCAGATATGTAACCAGAAGTGGGATGGCTGGATCATTTGGTAATTCTATTTTTAATTTTTTGTGGAATCTCATACTATTTTCCATAATGCTGTACTAATTTACATTTCCATTAACAGTGTAAAAGGTTCCCTTTTTTCCACACCCTCACCAACACTTGTTAGTTCTTTCTTGCCTTTTTAATGAAACTCTCCCTAACAAGTGTAAGGTCATATCTCATTGTGATTTTGATTTCCAATTCCCTGATGATTAGTAATGTTCAGCACCTTATCTCATATCTATTGCCCATTTATAAGTCTTCTTTGGAAAAATGTCTACTGAGGTCTCGGTATCAACATAATGCTGGCCCCATAAAATGAATTTGGAAGTCTTCCCTTCTCTTCAGTTTTTTTGAAAGAGTTTGAGTAAGATTGTCATTAATTCTTCTTTAAATGTTTGGTATAATTCACCAGTGAATTAACCTGGTCCTGGGCTTTTCTTTGTTGAGAGGTTTTTGATTACTGACTCAAACTCTTCATTGATTTTTGGTTTAATCAGATTTTCTTTTTTAAATCAGGTAATCTGTTTTATTATAATTCTTATATGTTTAGGATACTAACCCCTTATCATATAAATGGTTTACAAATATTTTCTCCCATTTTATATGTTGCCTTTTCACCTTGTTGATTATTTCCTTTTCTGTTTAGAAGCTTTTTAGTTTAATGAATATCTGTTTATTTATTTTTGCTTTTTTCACTTGTGCTTTTGATGTCATGTCCAAAAAATCATTACCAAGACCAACATTGAGAAGTTTTTTCCTATGTCTTTTATGTGAGTTTTATGGTTTCAGGTCTTACATTTAAGTTTTTAATCTATTTCAAGTTAATTTCTGTGAGTGGTATAAGACAGAAGTATAATTTTATTCTTTTCTATGTGGGTATCCAGTTTTCCCAGCATCAGTTATGAAAGAGACTATCCTTTCACTGTTGTGTGTTCTTGACATCCTTGTCAAGTATTAATTGACTTTATATGCATGGGTTTATTTCCGGGATTCTCAATTCTGTTCTATTGGTCTGTGTGTCTGTTGTTGTGCCAGTACCATACTGTTTTGATTACTATAGCTTTGAAATGTAGTTTGAAATCAGTAAGTGTGATGTCTCTGGCTTTTTTCCTCTTTCTCAAGATTGCTTTGACTATTTGGGATATTTTGTGTTTCCATATGAGTGTTAGGATTGTTTTCTTTTTTTATGTGAAAAATGCCCTTGAAATTGTGATAGGGATTACGTTGAATGTATAGATCGATTTAGGTATTTGGGCATTTTAACAACATTAATTCTTTTGATTCATAAGTATGGAATATCTTTACATTTATTTGTGTCTTATTCAATTTTCCCATCAATATTTTACAGTTTTCAGTGTACAGATTTTTCACTGCCTTGGTTATATATATTCCTAAGTATTTTATTATTTCTGATGCTACTATAAATGGATAGTTTTCTTTATTTGATTTTCAGATATTCATTGCTAGTGTATAGAAATGCACCTGATTTTTCTGTTGATTTCGAATTCGGCAAGTTTAATGAATTTATTAGTTTTAACAGTTTTTTGTTGGTGTCTGTAAGGTTTTTAATAAGACTATGTCATCTATAAACAGAGAAAATCATAATTCTTCCTTTCTGATTTGAATGGCTTTTATTTCTTTTTCTTGCTTAATTGCTTTGTTTAGGACTTCTAGTTCTATGTTGCATAGAAGTGGTGAGTAGGGGCATCTTTGTCTTGTTCTTGACCTTAGAGGAAAAGCCTTCAGCTTTTTACCATTGAGTATGATGACAGCTGTGGGCTTGTCATATATGGCCTTTATTATGTTGGAGTACATTCCTCTTACACTCAAATTGTTGAGTGTTTTTTTTCCTAATCATGAAAGAATGGTTAATTTTGTCAGATGCTTTTTCTGCATATATTCAGATGATCATAAGATTTTCATCCTTCATTTTGTTAATGTGGTATATCAGATTTATTGATTTCCATATGTTGAACCATCCTTGAATTCCAGGTGTAAATCCCTCCATCCTTCTAAACTGCTGTTGAATTTGCTAGTAATTTGTTGAAATGTTTTCTATCTATTTTCATCAAGGGTATTGGCCTTTAATTTTTATTTCTTGTAGTGTTTCTATCTAGCTTTGGTATCAAGGTAATGCTGGCCTCATAAAATGAATTTGGAAATGTTCCCTTCTCTTCAATTTGTTTGGAAGAGTTTAGGTAAAATTGGCATTAATTCTTCTTTAAATGTTTGGTAGAATTCACCAATGAAGTAATCTGGTTGTGGGCTTTTCTTTATTGGGAGGTTTTCGATTACTATTTTGATCTCTTTACTCATTACTAGTCTATTCAGATATTCTGTTTCTTCGTGATTCAGCCATGTTAGATTGTATGCTTCTAGCAATTTATTCATTTCTTTTATGTTATCCCATTTGTTGGCATATAATTGTTCATAGCAGTCTCTTATGAACCCTTGTATTTCTTTGGCATCACTTGTGACATCACTGTTTCATTTATAGTTTTATTTATTTGAGTTCTCTCTTTTTTTTTTTTTTTTTTGAGACGGAGTCTTGCTCTGTCCCCCAGGCTGGAGTGCAGTGGTGTGATCTTGGCTCACTGCAAGCTCCGCCTCCTGGGTTCATGCCATTCTCCTGCCTCAGCCTCCCAAGTGGCTGGGACTACAGGCACCCGCCACCAAGCCTGGCTAATTTTTTGTATTTTTAGTACAGATAGGGTTTCACCGTGTTAGCCAGGATGGTCTCAACCTCCTGATCTCGTGATCTGCCCGTCTCGGCCTCCCAAAGTGCTGGGATTACAGGCATGAGCCACCACACCCAGCTGAGTCCTCTTTTTTCTTTAGTCAGCTAAAAGTTTGTAAATTTTGTTAATTTTTTTTAAAAACCTCATTTTTGTTCATCCTTTTTATTGTTTTTCTATTCTCTATTTCATTAGAGATCAGAGATTTCATGAGAGATTAGAGATTTCAGTCCTAAATTTTTACCATTTTTTTCTTCTACTAATTTGGGCTTTATTTCTTTTTTAGTTCCTTAAAGTGTAAAGTTAGGCTATTTGATATCTTTTTTTCTTAATGTAGGCATTCATAACTATAAACTTTCTTTTTAGAACTGCTTTTGCTGCATCTTGTAAGTTTTGTTATATGGTGTTTCCATTTTTGTTTGTCTCAAGATTCTTTCAATTTTGTGATTTCTTTTTTGACCTATTGGTTGTTCAGGACTGTGTTATTTAATTTCCATATATTTGTGAATTTTCCAAAATTCTTCCTGTTATTGTTTTTTAGTTTTATATGTTTGTGATGAGAAAAAATACTTGACATGATTTCAATGAACTTAAGATTTGCTTTATGGCCTAACATATGATCTATCCTAGGGAATGTTCTGTGTGCGCTTGAAAAGAATATGTATTTTGCAGTTATTGAATGGAATGTTAGGTGTCTGTTAGGTTCATTCACTCTATAATGTTGTTCAAATCTGTTGTTTCTTTATTGATTTTCTTTCTGGGTGACCTATCTATCATTGAAGTGGAGTATTAAAGTCCCCTACTATTATTGTATTGCTATTTATTTCTCCTCTCAATTCTATTAGTATTTGCTTTATATATTTAGATGCTCTGATGTTTGGTGGATAAATACATACAATTGTACATCTTCTTGATAAATTGATTCCTTTATTATTACAATGACCTTTTCTAGTCTCTTGTGACTATTTTTTAGTTAAGGTCTATTTTGTCTAGTGTAAGTATAGCCACCTTGCTCTCTTCTGGCAGCCCAAGCTGTCAATAAAAGCTAGAATGGTGGTGCAGAATTATTAAAGTAGAAGTGATAGGGTGAAAACCCAGGGTTAGAATGAGAGCATGCATAGCCTTTCTGGCCATGCCACGGAGTGTGGAGACTCACTGCCAACTAGAATGCAGACAAATGATTTGATTCATCATTGATTCCTTTGTTTTCCACGTCATTTTACAGACTAAAGTCAGTAAGAACCCAAAATTATTACAGTTATCGCACTCTGTCAGCCTTTGGTATTGAATTCATATGGGATTATATGAAATAAATAAAGTTTTCTTAGAACATGCAAAAAATCTAGAACATTTACTACCTGGCCCTTTATAGAAAAATACTGCTGAGCCCCAGTCTATTTATATAAAGCCCAATGTTACCCTGAATGTGAACTCCCTCATTTCATACAATAACTCTCAAATTATGAATCTTTGTCAACACACACAGACATATACGCATCCACTTGAGATGTTTCCATGGAAACATGGATTTATTCTCACAATGCCATGCCCTTCTGTAAGCATAGTCTTTGCTGTGTTTGCATCCCTCCCCAACCTGATAGATTGGAAGAAAATGGTGCCCTCTGATGTCAGCCTCCCTTAAAGGGGCCCCAAGGTAGCATGTCTTGGGCCTCAAGTATTTCAGGCCATAAGTGGAATGGAGTAATCCCTACAACCCTGTACTCAGAAGCCTATTACCTTACTTTGACTTGGCTTTATCTGGTCAGTCTCATTTTGTTTGGCTCTTTCTCTCTTAGAATAATAGTTTAAGTTTCCTTTAAGTACAGTTTTCTGCCACTGTACGTAGAGTTCATAAAGTAAAGAAGGTTCTACCTACTTTCCCGCGAACTGATCTTTGCCTTCTCTTAGTATACTACAAGTCAGACTTGCATTATGACTGTGAACTAAAGATCCTAATCATAAACATTCAGACAGAAAGACCATTTCAGTGACAGAACAAGTGCAAGTCTAATCTATAATGTATGTGGAGTAGATAGTGATTGTAATAATATGGATGTTTATGTATACATTTTTTGTAAAAACCAAAATATTGTCAACCCAAAATTTAATTTGTACATTTATACAGTGGTTGGAATAGAGGCTCAACATTTACATAAAAGGCTTTATTTTAGTAAACGAATGGCCACAAACTATTATGTGATAGGTTTTGGATGACATACTTACTGCATTTGGATTTAGACTCAACCACTTCACATCAGGTGCAAGAACTTCCAGATCCTACTGATTGTGCAAAAGATATATCCATTTTGATTTGGATTTCAAATGTAAGTGCTGCTTTTCTCTCTGCTTCAGAAGGAAACTCAATTTCTTTTCATTGCTCTTTATACATCAGGTGCCTTCATTTCAGCACAGTATGTAAAAAGCAGGTGGTATAAGGAGTACTTTGAATGTTAATTATTTTTTTCATCGATTTCACCATGAGGATTTACCTTTCAATGTGTTTTTATAATCAAGATGGAAACAATTAGGGAACTTGCTGTTTGAATGTTTCACTACATTTATTTTATGACATCTGCTGCAATGATTAAGAAAAAAGAGAAAAAGGGAGGCAAGCATTTGAACAATAGCAAGGGGTTTGGATTGATTGTATGTGATTGCTTTATTTCATTGTGAAACTTCAAAGGAAATGTTGTCGAGATGAATCAGTCACGTTTCTAACCAATAATATCATCCCATTGTTTGAATTTACATTTTTTACATAGAAGCACATGAGTTCATTTTTCAGAGATGTTGTCATAGTTTATTAGCCTTCATTTTAAATTGAACCTAATTTTATAAACTGCAGAGAAATGGGGAAAAAGGGAAAAATAGATATTTCTTCTGAAAGAAAAATTTCAAAGGAGAATTTTTTTTCCATTTGTCATATTTGGTTTGTTCCTCAAACTTTAAACATAATTTACTTCATCTGTTCTTTTGTTTCATATACTTACAAACATAGTTCATAAAGTAAAAATATTCAGGATTAAGAGGTTCATTTTTCGTAACGTATTAAGATATGGTCATATAATTTCAATGTAAGGGAGTACTTTTCAAAATTAATATAGTCAATATTTTACACTTTGTTACATTACTCTTATTTTTCCATTAACAAAATATTATAGGAAACCTTATGCAATGAGAAACTAAAACTTGCGTAACATCTAGTAATTAGATAGGATAAATACTAGACAAGATAAATATAGTTATATAATATAATGTGTCTTATATATATATATATACATGTGTGTATATACATAAATATGTATATTTCATATCTCCAAAGTCTACCTGTTTAAGAGATACTCAATAAGTAGATCTCAAAGTTATCTCTGACAATACAGGAACATATCCAGAAGATATCTTACTATTTTATCACCTATAGTAAGGAATAAAAATTTTAGTCCAGTCACCAAATAAAATGTGGGGTTGAAGAGAACATTAAGGGTTACTGTTTTTAATTGCCTGGAGTAGACAGAACAATGGTCCCCCAAAGGTGTCCTCATCCTAATCCCAGGAACCTTTCCATGTGTTACATTACACAGGAAAAGAGACGATGCTGATGTAATTAAGTTGGGGGGCTTGAAAAGAGAAGAATGTCCTGGAGTGTCCAGGTGAGCCCAGTGTAATCACAAGTATATCTATAAGCAAATAGGGAAGCAGGAGAGTCAGTGAGAGGGAAGGAGATGCGTTGGTAGAGGCAGAGGAGAGACCACAAGAGAGCGATTGAGATTTGAACATGCTATGCTGCTGGCTTTGAAGATGGAGGAAGGAGGCGATGAAACAAGGAATACAGGTGGCCTCTAGAAACCGTAGTAGGTAATCAAACAGATTTTTCCCCAGAGCCTCAAGAAGGAACATAGCTCAGCTGACACCTTGACGCTAGCCTCATAAGACCCATTTCAGACATCTGGCCTCCAGAACTGTAAGAAAATCAGTTTGCATTGTGTGAAGCCACTAAGTAATTTACTGCAGCAAGTAGAAACTAGTACATTACCTCTACCGCTACTCTAGTATTTCGCATCCAAATTTAGAACACTCCTTTTGAAAATCCTAGACTTTCCCACTGTCTTCTTTTGGGTGGTGATGAGGCAAAGATGATTGACAGATGGGTAGGCAAACAGAGTACCCTCCTTCTGAGTCTCCTCAGTTGCACTTTCAATGATGTTTATTAATTTAAAAACTATCCAGCATGAATATGTACAAGGCACTGGGCTCGGGGCTGGGGCACAAACAAAAACAAAATAGAAAACCCACCCACCCACCCACACACACACACACACACACACACACACACACACACACAAACAATCTCTACCCTCAAGGGGAAGCTAAGCCCTCAGTAGTGAAAACAGATTCATCTGGATGGAAGTTCTTAAAATGTGTTCCTTGGACCAGTAGCTTCAGCATCATCTAGGAACTTGCTAAAAGTGCAAATTCCTGAGCTCCCCTTCGAGTATATTTCTTATACAATAATTGCTGTGGTTTGGTTTCTCTATTAGAATATTAGGACTTTATGAAAGTTTGAACCCTGTGTGTGTGTGTGTGTGTGCATCTCTTGTGTTATATGTAGGAATTCACATTTATATATCCTAGAGACAAGACAGTGAAAACAATAGAAAGCAAATAAGCAGAGTTTGGAGGCTCATGGTCCAGACTTCCTGGCAACAGGCTGCGTAACACTGCTTAGTCTGCCAGTAACCCTAGCTCCAGCAGGTGTAGCCCAAAGTGAGGGCAGAGGCTTTCCAAGTTGAATGTGCATGAAATCACCTGAAGCCTTTGTTAAAGCATGGCTTTCAGTGCCCTATCCCTCAAGTTTCTGGTTTAGTAGATCTGGAGATGGCAGGAGTCAAAATGTTGCTTTTTCTTTTAGAGACAGAGTCTCACTCTGTCGCCCAGGCTGGAGTGCAGTGGCGTGATCTCAGCTCACTGCAAACTCCACCTCCCAGGTTCAAGCGATTCTCCTGCCTCAGCCTCCTGAGTAGCTGGGATTACAGGCAAGCACCACCACGCCCGGCTAATTTTTGTATTTTTAGCAGAGACAGGGTTTCACCATGTTGGCCAGGCTGGTCTCAAACACCTGACCTCCTGGTCTGCCCGCCTCGGCCTCCAAAAGTGCTGGGATTACGGGCTTGAGCCACCGTGCCCGGCCAAAATTTTGCATTTTTAATGAGTTCCCAGGTGATGGTGGTACTGCTGGTCCAGGGACCACAGCTTGAGAACCACTGGCAAAGCCCTCATTATCCAAACCAGCTGGCTCACAACTGCCACTGTGGGAGAAGATGCTTCTTTAGCGTCACTGTGGACCCCCAGTACCTGCAGCTGAGACACAGGGCATTACCTGTGGTAAGGATGAGGACCTCTTCCCGACTCCAACCCACAGTATGTCGGAGATCAGCCACTTATAAGCCTCTCTTCCCGCATATGCCCTCTTTGTGGTCATTGCACAACACATTTCTCCCACAGTGGCAGGTGATATGGACAAGGGAACACAGAGACCGCGTGCCTAGGTTAGAAGAGTACAGAACCAAGGACTGTGTTTGTTTATTGGAAAGCAGCCCTGTGGTACGCAAAATGCATCCTGAGCAGCATATATTGGAGTTGTGTATACAAAATCATGTATGCTACTAAAGGGTCCTTGTTATGCCAGGGCCACGACTACTCCAAATGTCATGCTCGGGGTCAGGTTCCAGCCCCAGCTGAGGTCTGATGGGAGTGGGTGGATGGGCAGATGGCAGGTGAAAGGTAGTTTTATTTAGCAGCTCTCTTATCAGCAGCTCTCTCACACTAGCTCTCTTATACTCTCTGCCTTTATCTCGGCTGTTTGCTCCGGCTCTGCGGCCCCTGTCAGCAGCCAACTCCCACACACAGCCGCAGGACCAGCCTGCAAGGCCAGCTCTCCCTTACAGTGTTAGCAGCTTAACTCTTTCTCTCTCTGGGCACGAGTGCGAGCCATGGCTCCCTTCTCTCCGTCTTGCAGTACTCTCTCTCTTTCTCTTGGCCCCAGCACAAGAGCGCCTGTCTGGCATCAGCGGGGCAGTTATACTTTTTACAGACAGTAGTGACTCAGAGCCAAGTGTGAACTTAAACAGATTATATAAAAAGTGGAGTATACACCTGCACCCTAAACTCACTAAGTCATGCTGGCCTGGATGTCCGCCTTGGCCTATTCTTGAGCAAAGCACATCCATACACCTTACAGTCATTCTTTCCTTATTTTGATGAACAGGATATATGGGGGGAAAATGAAGATAAAAATTCCCCATCATTTTCATAGTTCTACTTGTCTTTAGACATAGAAACAAGAAGGAGTCATGTGAAAGAAGATGGCATTCTCTCTACAAGGGTTGAAAAAAGAGCAAAAATAGGATCGGGGGCATAACTCTTGCTCAACTTGCGGAAGTTCCCCACACAAAGTAAAAATAAACCCTGCTTTAGCAGCCCTTATCTGATTTAAGTCAGTTTGTCTTCCAAGATCTAACATTTCCTCCGTTGAATTTGAGGGGCTTATTTTAATAAGAAAAGAAAAAAGGAGAAGCTGAACAGGGCCTTTAGAGCAACACACATAAGCTGTTTGCCATATTGAATCAACACCTGGGGCATTGATCTGAAAGCTAAACGCAGGCTGTTCACCTGGATTGCCAAGTATAACAGAAGCAACTGGCTCACTGACATCAGAGAGAGCGTACTTCACCAGGGCTCCATCTGCAATTGCCTTTGAGGACCAGAGATAATCAGAAAAAAAGTACAGAGGTTGTTCTGAAACCTAATTCCAACTTAGGAGCATTTATTTCTCCTTTCCGTAAACTACCTGTGATTTCTAATCAAAAATGCTTTTCTAAACCCAGCTGACCTAATTCTCCTTTTCTCCCTCACAGCGTGTCTTTTTGTTGTTGTCGATCTTTGGCTTCGCTTATTCACCAAGCACAGTTGTTGTTGCCTAGCTCTCTAAGCTTGTGTGTCCTGCCTTTCCCAACATTCCAAGGAGTAATGGTCTCATTAACCCAGTAATTAAAGAAATCCTGTACCTTTCCACTCTGGCTAGCTGCCCTCTTCCTTTTCCCCTATTGTTCTCTCAGTAACACCACCAGCAGATGGTTTGAGATTTTCACCCTTTCAAAAGCTTTATGTTTTTCCCATCTCATCAAGCATATCTCAGCCAAGTGTAATTAGCTTAAGGCTTTTGAATCCTTAAGGGAGATCAGTTAAAGACTTGAGCAATTTCAATGAAGAGCTTGAAAAGCCAATCCTGGAAGGCTAAGGGTAACCACAGGAGAGCCACTATTATTTAGAAGCAAAGACCCTCTCCTCCGCCCATCCCTCCTTCTTTAGGCACTTTAAATTCTCAGAATATTCATGAGGCCTCCAGGGCTTTGGGACTCTATTTGGACCATTATTGAGTAGGTGGGATATTTAAGCTCTTACTCATCATCGGGTCAGTTGGTTCCTTTTAATTGATTTCAATCAAGGGGCCATTTTTGGGGAGCCTTAAGTTACTCTCAAATGGCCAACAGTTTGTTTGCTAAGTCTCTTAGCCTTTTCATTCCTTTCTTTATCCTTTGGTTGTTGGAAACTAGCTTTCTTTGTAGTTCAAGCAGTTCATATGAAGTCTAAATTAATTAACTGCAACACAGATTTGCACCCTACCTTTGAGTGATGGTGAACCCCCTTGATTCCTGAATAGCCACATGTATTGTGGTAGTTGATCCCACAGCCCAAGCCCTTTTTCCCCATACTTGGGAAAAAGCAAGTTGTTTTGAGACCAAATTAAACTCTATTTTTATTGAAATGGAGTGGAGTAGTGCTTAAGTGTGTGAAGCACAGATTGTTGGTGGGATGTTAAGAGAGGGGCCCAGGCTCTCCCTCGAATTGGGTGATGTGTATTTTCCCCATGCTTTCAAGTGGGAGGCTCGGAGGCTCAGGTGTTGGGTAATAGGATGATTAAGTGTGTTCTCATGTCTAGTTTCTCATTACCAAGACTTGGGTAAAAGGAGAATTACTTTTGTAAATCTACTACCATCTTTTTCAAATAAAAGGAACCAATGCCAAAACATTTGATTAGAACGACCTCTTTTTGTCTCAAGTACACTAATCAGCTTCTGTTTGAACAGTGATGCATAGGTATGGAGATGTGCCTGTATTAAATATTATACATCTACTGTACCATTAGAGGACACTACAATCACAACTTAGAGGAAAATTCCTTGTAAAACATGGGATGTGTGTTCTGAGCCGTGGTATGACATGGAATTGGCTTGCAAAGCAGACTCCAAATACTTATGAATTAATTTATTGCTGTCTGAAAAATATGACATAATGTTTGAAGTACAAATTGGCTTACAAAAAGATATAAGCAGGGTGAACATTTTTGGTAGGTAAGACAGAAATGTAGCTGCATTTTATAAATGTTTGTTTTGCATAGGAGAGTGATAAATTACAGTAGAGTTTCACTATTATTGCTTTGAATACGGTAGGCCTAAAGAAACTAGACTATCCCAGCCAACGTGGCAGTTCTGAACCACAGAAACCAGTTGCATTGGTGCAGAGTAGGTAAGACTTAGAAGAAAGAAACTGCTGACAACACCTTCACTTTATAACAACATACAGTGAGGCAGAGGACTATTAGCAAACCTGATACCACAGTGTCCAGAAAATGTGCAGAGGTCATCTTCTATAAGGTTTCTTATACAACAGTTTCACCACGGCCATGGTGCTATGGGCAGGAAAGCTTTTGTTTATTCCATTTTTCAAATAACTGATGCTTAAAAAATTTTTAGGCACAGTCAAAATAATATTTAAAAATTTTTTCAAAACAGCGGTATCTACTTTTCTTCAAACTGAAATTACAGGAATTAAGGGTATGAGGAGTAAAATATACCTGACCAGGGTCACACATTCAGTAGGTGGAGCAAGGCCCTGACATTTATTATCTAACTTGTGACCCAGCATCCTTTCCACCCTACCCTTTTCCCCTCTGAGCTGCTCTGAGGGGCTGTGGCTAACAGAGTATGACACTCGAGAGGGTATGTACCTAATTGTAACTTACCCAACTTTATATAAGTTGGGTATAGATATATAAAATCACCCAACTTTATATAAGTTTCACAGTTGGAACCTGGAGGTCACCTTGTTCAACCTCCTGCTGTGATGCAGAAAGCCTTGATGATTTCCTTCCCAGCTGATGCTGTGGCCTCTGTCAAGGGACATGCACGATGGGGAGCTCACTATCTTTCGCAGGAGTTCTTTTATCCTCAAAGATTGAGTGTTTATAAATGAACTGGATTTTCCTGACGTTTCTGCTGACTCATCCCAGCTTTGCTCTGCAGAGGGAACTGAAATGAACCTGGCCTGTATGGCAAGAGTCTCCTAAGTCTTTGAAGGCAAAGCCTTCCTATAGCGCCCCCTATACTGTCTTCTGGTTAGTCGTTTATCTCGCCTATTCCAAACGTCTCTCACGTTACATGGTTTCCAAACCTTTCATCATTTGACTATGTACTTCTAAGCAAGTCAGATTTGCCAACTTCTCTCTCAAACCGTGGATATAGATTGCACACAGTGATCCATACCTTCATTTGTCTGATTCAAAGCTAAAGATTTATTTTTAATAGAAATTGCTTCAGCCCCTGGCAACTCAGTACATGAACTTCTCCCTGGGTGAGGTGAAGAAGTATCCTGGCAGTGAGGCTAACAGCCAGCCCAATTCTGAAGCCAGACTACCTCAGTTTGCAGACAGGTTGTTCTCTAATGAGCCATGAACAGGTCATTTAACTTGGTTTCCGCATCTGTAAATGGGGATCATAATAGCACCTACCTCAGCAGGTTGTTTATAGGGATGATATGATTTAACATGTGTAAAGTTCTGGCAGTAGTGCCAGGCATATAGTAAACTCTCAATCAATATTAATTATTGTGGTTATCATTGTTCTGAGTAAAAGGCTATACTCCAAACCAAGGGAAAACCTCTCATTTGTTTGTGATGAACGGTGAGAAACCTAAGAACTACAGGAACACTGGATGAAACGTTACCTCCTGCCATATAATTACTTTGCTAATCTCCTCCCTTAGTCTAGCACAATGTGGAACCATGAGAGACATTCAAGTTACTTTCATCCTCTAAGTGCGCCCAAGCTAGAAGTCCAGTAGTTTTCCTGTTGCTGCCAACATCTTTGATCAAAAGAGACCTCATTGAAGAGATGCAGCTGATCAAGAAAAATTCCCTCCAGGCTTTGGTGTCTGGCAGATGTGCTGTGTCATGAGAGTGCATCTGTCAGAGCTGGCTCTGTCCCCATGAAGAATTGACAGGGCCATGCAAACAACCCCGAAATCTGGCAAAAATGAACCTGCTAACTTAGGGAAGAAAACACGAATGGAGGTGGATCGATGTGCACCCACTGCCTTTATTCCTAGTCAGGTACCAAAGAGTAAATGTTGCAGCATGTACCATAGGACAGTGACAGTCACAGTTGACATTTGTATAGAAGCCTGACAAAACAGGGACACAGGAGCATGGAAACAGCTACCCCTACCCCTCAGCTTAAGGATTTAAAGTTTCGAGATTTATCATTAATTTTATCCCCTTACTCATGTTCCCTGTCTTGGGGTTTTCTTTTTACTAGAACTTCTTCCAGTTGTTTCTGCTGAGATCAAAGCATAAGAGGGGCCAGGCACGGTGGCTCATGCCTGTAATCCCAGCACTTCGGGAGGCCGAGGCGGGCAGATCACCTGAGGTCAGGAGTTCGAGACCAACATGGCCAACATGTTGAAACCCTGTCTCTACTAAAAATACAAAAATTAGCCAAGCATGGTGGCGGGCACCTGTAATCCCAGCTACTCGAGAGGCTGAGGCAGGAGAATCACTTGAACCTGGGAGGTGGAGGTTGCAGTAAGCTGAGATCTTGCCACTGCACTCCAGCCTGCGCGATAAGAGCAAGACTCTGTCTCAAAAAAAAAAAATTATAAAAGCATAATATGGAGCAGGAGACAGAAACACCGCCTCCTGCCTTGCTCTGTAACATTCTTTCTGCCGCCCATCCTATTGAAAAACTCAACATCCCCAAAGGAGCCACATTCTCCGAGAGAAGCAGTGGACTAAGGAAAAACAGAAATTTAGATTCTGGCAAATCAGTAACTAGAAGAAATTGCTGGGAGAGACAGTGGTATGTCTTTATAATCCTTGTAGGTCATTCCTGATGTGCTCAACCTTAGATGATAATGGCAGAAGTCCAATTTTTCTCTTACTGTACTTGATTTTAAATGCCAGGGTGAGGGTCTTGCTTCATATAAGCTTCATTATAATTAAAGTCTTAATCATTTAAATTATTACGAAAATCACACTTCAGAAAAAAAGAAGAGAGAGGAGAGGGAGAGCATGTGAGTGAGTGGGTCAGTTGGGCTAGTGGCGCATGTCCTGGTGCATGTGGGTTACCTGTACAGCACTACACAGCCTAATTGCAGGAGTGACCTTCAAAGGCCCTTGGCTGCAGGGCTCCCACAGGACCAGCATCTTGTGACATTTTGCTCTGTGTACAAAATCCCACAGGCGCTCATCTCTTATCTCTGCATATGCCAGTGATCACAGCCACAGAAACCAGAGGACAGAGTATAAAAGGATAGTACTTTGTCTCCTACCATTTTATCTTATTGTCCCTCTAGAATTTATATTTTGTACCAGACATATTGTAACAATAAAGTCAGTTCTAAGAATAGGAAAAAAAATAACACTATGATACCACAACCTTATTACATCAAACTGCTTTGGGCTTTATCCTCTTTAAAGTGTGCTCAGGTGTTCAGCCACGAGGTTTCTGACAGCCCTCATAAGACCTCCAAGGTGTGGTGTGCTGATTCTGGCTTCCAGTCTTTGGGATCCTTCAGAGCTTAGAGTCTGTTTGGGAGACAGCATCCCCTCCATCCCTTCTGGGGAAAGATTTAGAAGCCCCTGGCAATCACTTTGTACCAAGCACATTTCAAGCCCTGTGAATCTCGATTATTTAGGATTTGGATTCTGGCAAATCAGTAACTGGAGTACCCTCTCAACACAGCACATAATCATATATGGTCTATTCCAAACCAAGACCTTTCTCCCCAAACGTGGTGTTCTCCTTTTAGAAACCAAGCCAGTGCTTTTCACATGGTGAAAATACATTTCAAATGTGTGACAGGCTGTGAGGAAAGGCTTTCCTGGGCAGACTAAATGTATAACACTTGGGACAGAGTATCTTTTCCCAAATGGGAAACAAGATGATTTGGGTCAACCTGTGCTGAGACTGTGTTGGTGATGCAGGGATGTTGGGTGTCATAGATGGCTTTGTGAGCTGGGAATCTGAAGAAGCATGTTCTAATCGAGTTTCTGGCAGTCCTCTCCCTGTTGAACAATGAAATTGTGAGACCAAATGTTGACCACGCGGCACTTCTTTGTTAAAGCTGTCAGCACTCACTGACGGGATAAAATGGCACCAGCTGCACATGGTCAGAGTCTGTGAGGCCAAAACAAAGCCACTGTTCTAGAATGAGCCAATTAACCACACCGTTTGGCTGAAAGTGGCTTCTGCCTGACATCTCTGAGGTAGATGCAAAGTCCCAGTTGTCCAGAGTTGAACCAGTGGTAAAAATGTTAGGCCCCAGTGGTTCTGAGCGGTGCAAATTGTTCTAAGGTGCAGAGTGTCAGTCCAAGTCCTGCCAGGAGCAGATGCTAAGATGGGATTTATTTGGGGGAATGCAAGGAGTTTATTAAAGGAAATGCCTGTGTGAGAGGAAAGAAAGAGGGTGCTGGAGTTGACTGGGAGAGCCATCAGCCCCAGCTCAAGCGCAAGCCCGAGTAAAGGAGACAGGGAAGGCAGCTTGTGAGGTGTGCAGTGTAGGGAAGTTTTAGCAAAGCATCCAGATGCCCTTGAGGCAAATTAGGCCAAGAACAGCCCTGTCTTAGTATCCCTGCTGTGATCAGTCCTTGACTGGGAGCTGCCTGTCAGGGGCTCCGGCCTTGGAGCAAATGCAGTGATGGATTCCAGAGGGTGATTCGTCTTGCACTTTTCAGCTCCATGATCAAGGCTCCACATCTCAAAACTCCAGGCGGCACAGTTTATTATCAGTGATGCCCCCAGTGATGTGCCTTGCATGGGCTGCACAGCTCCACACGATGGTCCTGCTTAGGGTCACTTGCTCCCCACCATGGTGACTGCTCAGGCAGACCCACCAGTCAGCACCATCAGCTACTTTCCAGGTCCCCCATTCAGGGAATGTGGGAACATGAAGAGATTCTCGGAGCCAGGCCTAATGATGCTGAGACGCCAGCTTCTCTGAGCCTATTGGCAGCTGGGGAGGGGTCACTCTCCTAGCACACATGTTCCAAATCCCAAATGAGAAGTGGGCACAAAGCCCCTTCTCAGTTTTTGACTTCACCCCACCTTGCCCCACTTATCTACAAACCTCCTTCCTCTGGGTCTTTGGCCTTTTCCCCACATTAGAGAGGACACACCGTGAGGTAGACTTTCCATTTGCTTTTCCTTTCTGAATAGAGCTGCTTCTACATTGGTGGTTCTCAGCTTTGATTGTAAATGGAAATTACCTGGGAGTGTTCAAAATTCCACTTAGGCCATACTCCCGACCAATTAAGTCTGACATTTTTGGGAAGGGAAGCAGTCATCAGCATTTTAAAAATCTCCCTGAGTGACTCCAATGTGTAGCCAAGATGGATAAATCCTTCTCTACAGTCCTCTTCTTTCTCAGGATGACGTTGGCCTTTCCCGCTTCTCAATGACTACAATGGTAATCTGTTGCTTAGGAAATGTGATGTGTAGTGTAGAAGAATGAAGCCGAAGCAGAATAATATTTCTAATATATTATCTGATTACAGTTTTTATCATACAAATGCTTAGTTTTAACATTTAGGATAAGTTATTTTGGTTTACTATGGTTATAGAGCAGAATGTCAATGTTACCATTCCTGACCATGGGAGAGCACGTGTGACAGAAGGCAGGAAGTGTAACAAGAGAAGGAAAGCTAGAGGGAAAGTGTGGAGAACTTGTACCCTCTAGGAGCATTAATTAAAGATTTACAGATAACCAATAGAAGAGCTAGAAAGTTGGCTGGGCGCAGTGACTCACGCCTGTAATCCCAGCACTTTGGGAGGCTGAAGCGGATGGATCACGAGGTCAAGAGATCGAGACCATCCTGGCCAACATGGTGAAACCCCATCTCTACTAAAAATACAAAACTTAGCTGGGCATGGTGGCGTGTGCCTGTAGTCCCAGCTACTTGGGAGGCTGAGGCAAGAGAATCACTTGAACCCAGGAGGCAGAGGTTGCAGTGAGCCAGGATCACGTGACTGCACTCCAACCTGGTGACAGAGCAAGACTCTGTCTAAAAAAAAAAGAGAGCTAGAAAGTTACGTTAGTTATCAAAATCTAGGAAGAGAAGAGGGTGGCATAAGTAATATATATCACCATTGGTTATTGCAAGAGTCAACAGCTACAACCTAAGGCAGATTGAACAAAAATAGCAACCCAATTCCATGTGGTGTAAATGTAAGATGATGAAGAACCTAAAATAGAAATTGTAAAGACTTGACTCGTAGGGGTGGACCTGGGATAGGGAAGATGTCTGTACTTTACCTTGTACCTGTATCTAAAAAAAATAACAAATTAAAAAATAGATTTGAGATTCTATACCTCAGTGCATATCAAGGGGTAGTTTGGGAGAACACCTCCAGTCAAGGCCATGTTTTCTACAACAACTGCTGCATATGAGAATGCTGCACCCTGAACCCTTGCCTGCAGCACTGTTAAATGCCCAGGTGACAGTGCTCTGACTCTCCATGGCCACGTTCTTCCATTTTAGTAAGTAAATGGCCTACCACAGTGTTGCTATATTTATTGTCTTTTAAATGTTGTATCATACCCAGGAGAGAGACAGAGAAAGTAACATTCATGGAGAATACACAGAGTGACATTGCAATTTACCACCTCGCAGATTCCTCTGACCATAGCTGTAAGTAATGGCATCCTATTACTGCCAGAAGGTTTAGCAGATGGTTTTGGTCTATGTGCCAGGTGCCTTTAGGTGTTCTGAGAATATCTGTTGAGATAGGCCCTGTGTAAATGGAGCACTGTATTGAATAGAGGAACTGTGATGTCCCATCCTGGCTATATCTACCATCAACTGGTTCCACATTTTTAACTGCGACATTTAACTTCTGTAGGATCGGCAAAATGAAGGGATCCACTGACTCAAATTAACATCCAGCCTTAACACTTTGCACATCAAGGGTTTCTTTTAGAATAGAAAGTGTCAGTGTTGGACTCTAGTCTTTGCTAAATTTTTTCCTATCACCTCTATTCAGCTTTAAAATATAGGTCTGCCTGTTATGCAAGTGAGCAACATGCCTTGTCTTCAAATAGACTAGGTGAAAATTCCAGTTCTATCACTTTTTGGCTGGATGAACTTGGACATGTTACTTAACTTCTTCAAGCCTCAGCTTCTCACCTACAAAGTTGGGATTGGGTGTTTACTATTGTTATGAGGATTTGAAGCTGCAGTGTATATTCTCCGGTTCTAAAAGATTCTCGATAAATAGCAACTTTTGTTACACTAAGGAAGAAGTTAGAAGAATACCATGCTCCCAAGATTGGAAGACCCAAGATCATAAATCCACAGGGAAAAGTCCTATGTGGATTTGCAGATTACTAGGTCAGATTTTTCCCATTTCTCTCATTTGTAAAGCAACCAGCCTTCTGTTCCACTACAGAGTCTGTGTGCTAGGGAAGACTCTGATCACCATCTGGGTTCAACAGAAGCCAAGAAAAATAACAGGACAGCAAATTAAATATCCACGGGCCATGTCCCCTTCCTGTCCCTGGCTCCCCAGCCTAAGCATCTGCTGTGGTTTCAATACACCTGACCTTCCTTCCATGCATGTCCTTTGGTGAGGGTTCCTGTCAGGGCAAGTATTCCTTTGGCCAAGTAAAGACCCCGCTCTCACCTCCCAAGGTAACTGATTTTCATCCTTTGAAGTTCCTTGACTTGTGCACCTTCTCTCTGGGTTGGGGTTAGAGCTCTCTTATAATCCATTAAATCAAGTCCTATATTCTCATCTTCTATCTATAGGAAAATGAGAGGGAGGCAGAAGAGTCAAGAAAGGAAGGCTATATCCTAATGGCAAGTTTATTTTGCTGTTGGACATCACTTACTCTTCAGTTTCCTCTTTTTTTTAATAGAAGCAATATTTATTCAGTCCTGCAAAAGAGACTTTATTATTTTAGCCTTGTGACTGTATATTGTTTGCCCTTAAAGACTAAGAAGGAATCACCTGTTTATATGTATAGAAACCTGGTCATTTGTTTTTAATTTAACAATATTGTTATAAAGTAACTTACTGTTGATTTAATTATTAAAACTAAGCAGACAATTTAAATGTAATTTAAATACCATGTGTTAAGTATACACCAAACTGAAACACTACAGCACTCTTCCCAGAAGTAACATCCTGAGTAGTGTAATTTTTTTTTCTATTTTTTCCATCTCTGTAGAAAATAAAACAGCACTGATCTGGGGAATTGGAGGTCCCCACCCAATTGTCGTTATTAAACTATCTCACCTAGTCCTGATTCAGAGGCTGCAGCTCTGTTTATCCACTTTAAACAAAAGGAGCTATCTGTTGAATAGGCTCTCTTACAGAATTTCCCTGGATATGTCAAATGTTTATTTTTCCATGTAAATTTTATAATTGGTTTGTCTTGTTCTACCAAAAAAAGAAATCACAATGGATATTTTATTGGGATTAATTAAGTTAAATTTAGGCCATCCTTACAATGAGTCTTTCTTCCCAAAGTAGCCTTTGTGATTAATCTTTTATAGAATTTACATTTTTCATTTATATAAACTTTTAATATTTTTGTTGCGTTTACTGTTGACTAAACTTTTTTGTTATTTTTCCTATTGTATAGTTAGCTTTTGGTAATTTAATAACATTATCGAAGCTGAGTGCCAGAACTATTGTGGTTATTCACTGCTATTTTTAACTTTTCTTTGGAGAATTGTATGTTAATATTCTTTGTATTTCTAGCAGTTATTCATCTTTGTTCTTATTGATTTATAAGAGTATTTTTAAATATATTATGACTTTTTTATCTTTGGTTTGGAGGTGTGAGGGTGTGAGGGAACTTATAGATTATCCTGTCCTGCCCATTTTTCCTACTAATTAAGAAACTGAAGTGAGATGACTTTTCCATTGTCACACAGAAACTTAGTCCTGATTATCCAATCAGGACTAAAAATAGGTCTTTTGGGTCCTTATTTTGAGGTTTTTCTCTCAAGTACTTGCCTCCTTGTCTACAGTTTTATCTTTTTCCTCTTAAATTGACACTATCAGGTTACTTGATTTGATTAGAAGTAACAAGTTGGTTTTCTACCTCTACAAATGAATCACCAAGAACTGATTCATTTCTTGGAAGTTATTGACAATAACTCCCAAATCTTGTCAGTGTTGGACTGTGGGCTTTGCTAAATTTTTTCCTATCACTTCTATTTGGCTTTAAAATATAGGTCTGCCTGTTATGCAAGTGAGCAATATGCCATGTCTTCAAATAGACTAGAAGAAAATTCCAGTTCTATCACTTTTTGGCTATTGCCAAAAAGTTGATATCTCCTTTGAACTCTAGATTTTTCTAAGACATCTCTCCAGTTGGATGTCTCATTGACATTTTCAACTTAACCTTTTCAAAAATGAGGGGTTTTTTTGTTTGTTTTTGGTTTACTCTTGTTGCCCAGGCTGGAGCACAGTGGCGCGATCTCGGCTAACTGCAACCTCTGCCTCCCGGGTTCAAGCGATGCTCCTGCCTCAGCCTCCCGAGTAGCTGGGATTACAGGCACCTACTACCACGCCTGGATAATTTTTGTATTTTTGGTAGAGACGGGGTTTCACCATGTTGGCCATGCTGGTCTCGAACGAAACTGAGCTTTTAATATCCGCTTCCTCATCTGCAATTCTTAGTCTCCTTCATCTGAGCAATGGCAATTCCATTGTTCTTAATGGTCAGATTCAAAATTGTGCAGTCTTTGACTATTCCCTTTATCCCAAACATCCAATTCATCCTGAAATTCTATTGGCCTATTTTCAAAATATTGCCAGATATGTTCACTTCTCCCATCTCCTCCACCCTCAACCTAATCAAAACTACCTTTCACATCAATGATTGTCATCACTTTGTATTTGGTTCCCTTGCTTTATCTGTAACTTCTTGTATTTTATTGTCTTACCACAGCTGGAGCAAGCCTTTTACAAAATAAGAATATAACAATCTTGAACCACTGCCCTCTTTCCTCCAAGTTTCTTTTTGTTTTCTGATATCAATTTCCTTAATTCACTCATGCCTTTGTTTGTCTTCAAACAGTATAAGCGTACTCTTGCCTCAGGACCTTTGTACTTACTACTACTCCTTTCCCTGAAATGCCAACCTCCACACATACTCAAATATAAGCACATTGGCTGCAAGGATATTTTCTGCTTTGTGGCTTCTGTATCCTCAGGACCTAGACAGTATCTGACACTCAGCAGGTACACAGTATATGATTGCAGAATGATTGATTGAACCATACTTACTAGCAATCATTTTTGGTGGTGTTGTGAAGGATATTTTGAGGCATCATGTGGTCTTTGCAGAACTGGTTGAATTTCTAGAACTAAGATGATACTGCTCACTTACTGATTTATTTGCTTTAGAATGAAATTCAAATTCCTGGCCTTGTCAGTTTCCCTCCTTTCTCTCCCTCCTTCTCCACTCTCCAATCACAATGGTCTCTTTTCACCTCCTTGAATAAGCCAAGCCTTTGAGCCATTTTGCTGGAGGTGCCCCCTAAGGAGAAACATCTGTTTCTGCATCTTCACATAGTTGACTCCTCAGAGTACATATATCAACAGCAAATAACTTACCTATCACTTCTACCACATATTGCCAGAGGCTCACATTTCATGACACATAGTGGGTACTTACAAAATATTTGGAGAATGAATAAATGTCATTAGCCTAGCTTCTAAAGATCATGAGATGCATGCCCCCATGACAGCACCAGCCACATGGTGCTGAAATGATATATTTGTGAGTCTGTCTCCCACAGAGTCTGGGAGAACCTCTGAGA
Source organism: Homo sapiens (assembly GCF_000001405.40). Taxonomy (NCBI): domain Eukaryota; kingdom Metazoa; phylum Chordata; class Mammalia; order Primates; family Hominidae; genus Homo; species Homo sapiens. Next base: position 16,017,949 of record NC_000020.11, read on the forward strand.
CAGATATAATGTTTAATTCATAGTCACTGCCCCACCGTCTCCTACACCTAGTGGCATCTAGTGGTATTCCATAGATGTTTGCTGAACTAACATGAAGCTACAGAAAGGCCTTTAGCCCTCTTCATCAAATTCATTTCACTTGAGAGATGGGGAATATGGAGCACAGAAGGTAAAATATTAAAAAATGAATATTATGAGATGGCTCAGGAAGGCCTTATGAGGAAGAGGACAACGCAGAGCAAAGGTGTAGAGAAATTAAGTGCCTAGAATTAGCTCCCATAGGGAGAAGAAATGCAGCAGTGAGATCATCGGTTTAGGTACTCATTTCAGAACAATGCCAACCTTCTGGTGCTAGAAATTTACAAGGCCTTTTTTTTTCAAGGCTAAAAAATGATGTTACTGATGTGCTATATGTAATGGTTCCTGTGAGTAAGTCATCCTTTTGACTACCAAAGCATACTCTTTATAGTAGCTGTTTCAATGTTCCCCATTCTCTCTCTCTCTTTTTTGCTTTTCTTCTCCAAACCCCTTTTCCTTGCAGATGGTCTTATCTCCTACTTTGCTGAGAAAATCAAGGTCATTAAAGGGGAAATCTCCTAACCTTCCATCTTCCCCACCAAAATTATCTTTAACCGGATATATGTCCCCTCCTCATCCTCTTCTGTCTTGGCATCATAGCCTTCCAATATTGACCCTAATATTACATCTGGATTCCTTTCTTTTTTTCTTTAATCATCTGACATACTGTATCCTCAATTATTTCCAGTTTTCCAGCATTATACAAATCTTTTTTTTCCACTGATTCCTTCTCTTGGACCTTCAAACATACACAAGTCTTTCTTGTCTTGCAAGGAAATAATTGTTGCCCCCCTTCAAGCCACCATATTTTCCTTTGTGGCTAGGTGTCTTATATGCCTTCATGACTTAACTCTCTCTATTCTTTCACCATATAGTCCTTCACTATCATGGAATCCTCATGTTTCAGGTCTCAGCTCTGTTAACATGAGACATCCCAGAGGCTTCTCTTCTTTTATTTAAAAAGTCTTCTTTAAGAGTTTTTCTACTCTCCCCAATAAAACAATAAATCTATTTCCAGGATCACTGAGCACATTCTGAGGGCCAGACACTGTTTGGGCATCATTCATCAAACATTTGAATGAGTCATAGAAATAGGACACTGGACTAGATGGATAAACATTGAGGCAAACATAAATATGTTTTTCCAGGGGTACAAAGAGAACCAAAATTTGAAAAACTTTAAAAAGAACAAACCAACTTAGAATAAAAGGTATAAAATGGTACCATACATATGTACACATTTTTTTATATACTGTAGAGGGTGGTAGATGGACAACTAGCCGGGTTTGCATCTGAGGAGCCACACTGGTGGAAATAAGGGCCATGCTGGGACCTGCAGTGTGAGTAGGGTTAGCTACCTTAGGATGGGGGTGGGTTGGATGTTGCAAGGAAAAGGAGGAGTACAGTCAAGCATTATAGGAAAAAATGTGGCACAGTGTGGCGCTTGCCATCATGCACCCACATTCACTGGAGACTTTCCTTGCTTGCTTCATATTCCATGGGAGTTCTGAGTTGGAGGGAGGTGTGTGAGGGACTACTCCACACAGTTATTCAGGAACCCAGGATTATTCCTTCTTGTGCATCTTGTAACTCTGTATTGTTTAGGGCTTCAGTAACCACAATGTGGTTCCTGGCCCAGCAGCAACAGCATCACCTGGTAATTTGTTAGAAATGCAGATTCTTAGGCCCACCACAAACTGGCTGAATGACAGGCTGTGAGAGGATCCAGAAACAAATGTTCTACCAAACTGTCCAGGTGGTTCTAATGCTCAGTCACATTTAACAACTCCTGCCCAAGGCCCGGCAGAGGAGGGTAGGGCACATAGAGATCACACAGGAGAGTTTTCAGGTGTCAGCCCCAGCAGTAGCACATGTTGCTTCTGTCCACAGTTGTTGGTTGCTGCTCAGTCCTGAAGCCCTGACTGACTATCCAAGAAGCTGAGAAATAGCCCAGCTCTGTGCCCAGGAAGAAAGGGCTCACCTCCCAACTGTTCTTCCCACTGCCAGTCTGTTCCCCTTAAATTCATTCACCTCAGCTAATCATGCAAATCTGTGATGACCCTGGCTGACTGAAACTTCCACGGGTCCCATGGCCTTCTGAATGACATTTCTTAGTCCCACAAAGGCTGGTTCCTGTTGCCTCTCTGGCTTCATGGTTTGCCATCCCACCCTGACCCTGAACTCTAAACTCCAGCCGTCTTAAACTATTACAAAAACACCTGGCTGATCTTTACCCAGCCCTGTGCCTTCTGCTCTGGGCTTTTGCACCTTCTGCTCTTCCCATGGTCCTTTGCTCCTGGCCATTCCCATTCATCCTTCAGGGCTCAGCCGGATGTAACTTTGTCTGGAAATATCTCCCTGAAGCCACTCTCTACCTCCCCTCCACCCAAGACAGGGTTAGATGGTCTCTACTAATTCAGAATAATCCTTAATTACTTTGGCTTGTAATCACATCAGTCTGTGGAAGGAAGACTGTTTCTTATATATAGTTGCTTCTTTGTTGCCTGTAAAGAGCTTGGCACATGGTAGATGCTCAGCGAATGTCTGCTACGTAACGAAAGCAAAGTGGCCTACTAGATGTTTAGTGGGTGCTTATCGATGAGGACATTGATTGTCTATCTCATACTTTGGCTAAAATTTATTATTAACGAATTCACTCTTCCTTAATTAGGTACTGCATCTTCATTGCAGCCAAGAACTTCACCACTGACTAAAAGCATGCAGCCACGTACAAGTGGGATGGGGGGAAGGAAATCCATCCCCATGGACAGAAAGTTAACTCAAAGCCTCGCTCGGCTCTGGTCACAGTCAGCCCATCTTTTTCACAGACAAAAATCTGCATGTCTTCATCTTACATTAATTTACATATGTAATTTACCTAATAGGAAAATAAGGAAGCACAGTGTTTGAAGTGTAATCAAATTACATTGTTTAGAAAACAGAGAAAAATAAAGCTTCCTGGTGCTGGCGGGTCAACAAAGATCTCTCAGTAGCTTACTCATCCACCAACTGAATCAGTCCCCTGTTCCTGTCAATGCTTCTGCCATGACTCATTCTGGTGGGCAAATTTTTAATAGAAAATGATAAACTCAGGGATATTCACCTTAAAAATATGACAACACTTCCCAGGGACATGAAAATAAGTAGTATTATTCTCCAAAAGTTAAAATAATACCTGTACTCAGAACGTGAGTAGCAACCACTGTCTTCCCCTTGCCCACAGCCTCCATGACTCATGACCGCATTCTCTCCTGGACATTGCCTCATCAGTGACTGCCATCTCTCCCTCTCTAACTGATTTTTGTGTTGGATCCTCCAATAAGGAGACACCTAGTTGGAGTTAGGAGAGCACAGGGCTCACTGAGGAATAAGACATGCGGAAGTTGAATGAAGCAGCAGAGTTGTGCAGGGAGAGACAGAGGTGGCATCGCCTGTCCAGGGTGCGCAGCTAGTAACTGGAAAAGCCAGGATCAAAACCAGGCAAAGCGAGCTCCAGAAACCAGTGGCCTGAACACTGCCTTGTACTGTCTGTGTCTTCCCCTGCCCAGATGGATAGTGCATTTTATTCATACTGAAATAATAGCTGTTCATAATTGGTTATTATGAGCCTAACACTCCACTAAGTGCTTTATTAAATGCATTACCTATCTATGAGGTAGGCGTGGGTTTTCTGACTTTTACCTATTAGGAACCTGAATCGCAATGAGGTTAAATAACATGCCCAGAATCACTCGGCCAATAAGTCGGAGAATCAGAATTCACATCTCAAATTTATGTTCTCCACTCTGACTCCAGGGTCTTTTATACCGCTATTTCTTTTGAGTTATTTCTATTCATCTTTGTAGTTACACAATCCAACAAAATATAAGCATTGAATAAGAGTTTCCTGAATTAATAAATGAATGAATGAATGAATAAAGTGCTTTTCCAGAAATTCTGTCCAGAATTATGGGTATTGTGGTCATTTAGCAAAAAGTAGGTCATTTTAGTAAGCAAATACTGCTCCCAAAGTTTCAGTTTCTTTTTTTTTTTTTTTTTTTTTGAGACAGCGTCTCACTCTGTTGCCCAGGCTGGAGTGCAGTGGCGCGATCTTGGCTCACTGCAAGCTCTGCCTCCCGGGTTCATGCCATTCTCCTGCCTCAGCCTCCTGCGTAGCAGGGACTACAGGCGCCCACTACCATACCCGGCTAAGTTTTTGTAGTTTTTAGTAGAGACGGGGTTTCACCATGTTAGCCAGGATGGTCTCGATCTCCTGACATTGTGATCCGCCCACCTCGGCCTCCCAAAGTGCTGGGATTACAGGAGTGAGCCACCGCGCCCAGCCTCAGTTTCTTTTTTAATTTTAGCTATAGCTTTTATGTAATTAATAAAATTTCTAGTTGTGAATACATTAAACATGCATAGTAGAAGAGGTCCAAGAACCTTAACATTGTTGTTTTGGTGAAAAGCAATCAGTAAGCCAATGACTCTCAAGCTTTTACATGTACAAGAATCACTAGGGCAGCTTGTTAAATTGCAGATTACGAGGCTCTGCCAATCACAGGTTCTTATTCTGTACAGCTGGTAAGATGTCTGGAAGTCTGCATTTTATAATTATCCTGAGTATATCCAATGCAGATGGTTCCTGGACCACATCTTGAAAAATTCAGATGGACCAGTGGGGCTGGCAGTTGTCTAATCAGCCTCCATGTCAGACATGAGAAACCTTGAAACACACGTAGCTTTTCAAAAGGATAAAACAGTGTGATGTCCGTTGTTTCCTATAACGATTTCAGAGCTATATTATAAGACCTGAGACCTGTAGCACAAATGCATGTATGTGCCAACCGAATCATACATTGTGCATGAATGCATGTATGTGCCAACTTTGCTTAACTGGATCATGCTGGACAGAGCACTTCATAACTATTTAAAACTTGGTATTGATCTTTAGAAGAAGAGCTAATGACTCATTTTGTATAATCAATGTGTTTATGGCATCTCAGAAGAGTTTTATTTTTCTACTAATGATATCTTACTGAAATTAAGGTACCTTCCACTGTAAGAACAACTCTTCTGTATATGTCACTGAGAAGGAAAATAAAAAGCTCAAAGTGGAGAGTTTAATATAAGACAACAAAGAGCACTACCCTCAGATGAGACTGAAGAAGATATAAGAGATGGTGCCATCCGGGCATGGTGGCTCACGCCTGTAATCTCAGCACTTTGGGAGGCTGAGGCAGGCAGATTACGAGGTCAGGAGATCGAGACTGTCCTGGCTAACACGGTGAAACCCCGTCTCTACTAAAAATACAAAAAATTAGCCGGGCATGGTGGCGGGCTCCTGTAGTCCCAGCTACTTGGGAGGCTGAGGCAGGAGAATGGCTGAACCTGGGAGGTGAAGCTTGCAGTGAGCTGAGATCCTGTCACTGCACTCCAGCCTAGGGGACAGAGCGAGACTCCATCTCAAAAAAAAAAAAAAAAAAAAAGAGATGGTGCCTTGGTTTATGGCCCTCTAAAAGCAGATCTATAGGCCAAATCTTGAGGGCAGGTGGGTTACCTGGGAGGCAATCCGAGGAAGCACATGTGAGGAGGTGGGGAAATGAGACCGAGAATGGAAGGCACCCATTGAAGTATGATCATGAGCAGACTGTCATTGTTAGCAGTTGGGACTCAATCCCACTGAGGCCTCTGTGAAGCATTCTGTAGAACACACCTCAGAATTGTACAGTCATGGGTAGGGAAGCTGGGCTGTTACCCAGTGACTCCCTTTCCTTATTGGTTGAAGTTTGTCTGGGGGTGGGGCGAGTAGATCTCCAGCACTTTTAGTGAAGAGCAGTCAGTAAGCAAATGATTCCCAAATTCTATGCGCTCAGGACCCCTGGGCTGTCCTCTACAAGGGCTGAACAAGCTACATTGGTGCTTTTGGTGGAGAAGTAGAAAAATGTAGGCACTTGAGGAGGGATACCATCAGAGTGCAGAGATACTGTCCCCTGCAGCTGCAGTGGAGCTCAGAGGTGGGCTGGGGTGATGGCCCAGGCATCAACAATAGCTGCTCCAAATAGCTAGGAGACTTAGGTGTCTTAATTGCGGCATTGATTAATGGAGGTTTAAAAAATGTCCCCTTAATAATTTGGATCACAGTCTAATGCTAATCATGCAAGTTTGTGTCCTAAATTCATACAAGTGTGGTTCATAGAAGCCTCAGTTAGGGACTTTAAGTGGTTTCAGGTTGATAATGCTGCCTAGTGTGACTAACAAGGAAGTGCAAATCCTCTCTGTCTGAATGTGGCTTCAATCCAGATTAATAGCAATTGTAAGGCTATTGATCATTCTATTCATTTCAACTTCTTCAATGTGAAGATGTAGAAAAAATGTCTTCAAAACAATGAAATACAGTAGTAACAAATAGCTATAAAAAATACAACTTCCTTCCTACATAATAAAAATGTAAAGAGCACTACTTTTTCACCCAACCCATGCAGCCATGTTCACACACACACACACAGACACACACACACACAGACACACACACACACATGCCAACTACCACATAGCCTCTTTGTAATGGAGGACATTGACTGGTAAAGGAGAGCCTGCCTTCTTTCTTTCTCTCAGGTCTACAACCACGCAAATGATCAATATTCTATTGAAGTCAGCCAAATAGCAACCAGATTAAATACGACAGAACCAGGAAGCTGAAAATTGAGGGTAGCTATTCGTATAACTCTTTTATTTGCTCAAAGGAAGCCACAGGGCAAAGGGGGAGGGGGTGTTCCTGCTTCTAGCTGCATTATTTTCAACTTTCAAATTTTTTTTTACGAGCAAAAATGTCTATGTAATTCTATAAAAAGAAAGAAATTAACTCTGCTGGGTTTTTTTCCTCTTTAAAAAGCCTGCTCTTCAGGTTTTTATTTGCAGACTGGTCTAGGCTTTTTGTTTGTTTGTTTGTTTGTTTTTAGAAAAGCATTGTGCCCTGAGATCAATAAATCAAAACTGGATTGCCTTCTTCTCAAAGGTGAATTGTTATCTTGCCGAAGAAGTTATGTGACAGACTCTCTAGTTTGGTAAAAATACATGAACAAGAAAAGGATTAAGGTGTCTTTGCCTGAAAGGAAAATTCTGGATGCTATTTTTTTCTATGATAGGGAAAGTTTCTTGAACTGTCTCCTGGAACAAGAGGTTAAATGTCAGTAGCTAAAGCAGCTGTGGGCCCATTATTTGGTGCTCGCAGAGTCCATTCTGTCATTGGAGGTGCTGTTTTCACACAGAGAATGAAGTCAGCTTGACAACTGCAGGAACAGCTGTGGCAGCCTGAGATATGAGGCAAGGAGGCAAAGCCCAAACAGAGGGCAAAGAACATCTGTTTGTTGTCAACATTCTGAAAAAAGCAAAAGATTCTTGACTATGGGAGAGACCAGGGTACCTGGAGATAACAGCAGTCAAGACAAAAGCAATTTTCAGCAGGCAGAAGTCAATCAAGCTTGAAGGAAAAGGCCAGTTAAGATGCTTAGCACCCAGGGGTTCTGGAAGAGTGCTGAGCCACCCAGAGATGTCAGGCCTGAGTGGAGCTGGTGCTTTGATATGAATTCAGGAAGCCGCCTGGGGATGGCGGGTTGGGGGACATCATCACAGACCCAACTGCTGTGGATTGACCTCTGCCATTACTGCTGGGACCCCAGGCCCTCTGGTGCTCAAGAAAACCATAAAGCCTTGTGCTGCCTCATTTTTAGAATCTGTTCCCTGGCATTCTAAACCATGCCATAATGCATTTCTAACCACAGGGATAAGAGATCCAAAGCAACATTAATCTGGTTTTCCAGAGCAGGGCCACAGAGTGATCCCATCTTAGAGAATTGGCCGGGCATGGTGGCTCACACCTGTAATCCCAGCACTTTGGGACACCAAGACAGGTGGATCATCTGAGGTCAGGAGTTGGAGACCAGCCTGGCCAACATGGTGAAACCCCATCTCTACTAAAAAAAAAAAAAAGAAAAATTAGCTGGGCGTGGTGGTGGGTGCCTGTATTCCCAGCTACTGGGGAGGCTGAGGCAGGAGAATCGCTTGAACCCAGGAGGTGAAGGTTGCAGTGAGTCAAGATTGCGCCACTGCACTCCAGCCTGGGCGACAAGAGCAAAACTCCATCTCAAAAAAACAAAACAACAAACAAACAAACAAACAAACAAAAACAAAGGAGAATCAAACCACCAAGCTTTGATCCTGAAACATCTGAAGGGGAATGAGGTCCATGCTACAGGGCTCTGCAGATCCTGCAGGAGGGGAGAGCCTCAGTACACCACCATTTTACTGTATTCACTGCCACAGATGGTGCAGATCATAGTGATGTCCCTGGCATGTGACAGGAACTTACTGTCTTCATTGTGAATGAGTTTACTTGACTATGCCTCCCCCAAGAATCTCAGGAATATGGAAGATGTTTGAGTCCATTACTTTCAAGTGGATTACAGTTGACCAGGCAGGCCTGTGAAAGAAAGTTTAGGGCCACCTTTCAAATTCCAGCCCCATTTCACCTGCCTCTGCAAGGCTCTCTCACCACTGTCACTAGTGATGGGGTGGAAATATCCCAGAAGTAGAGTTAGGAGAACATTTGGTCCCAACCTCATTGCTGGGTGGCCTGGAGAAGTCATGCCACTTCTCTGGGGTCCTCTGTTCACATCTCTAAGGGGTTTAATTGGACTGGGAGACAGTCAAGGAGTTTTTTTTATTTTTTGAGGAAAGTGGCCCTTTTTCAGACAACAAAAGACAACACTTGTTCATAAGCCTAAAAAGTGGAATAAAGCCCCTACGAGGAGGGTTTCGGCAAAGGTAACATCAACATCTCACAGGTAGCTTTGACTTCTCCTTAGCCAAAGTCATCTGGCTGAGTTTAGTAGCACTTTTGGTTGCATGTTTAGTTAATGTGACCTAGACACTCTTTCAGGTGTGTGTATGTGTTTGCTCTGGGAGTAATTAACTCTCAGAAGGCATAAAAATGTTTAAACCCAACAAAGATCAAAGATTAAGGCCCAAGTATGTGTGATATTGCTTTGTGAAAATAAGCTGCCTAGAAAATGGGCTTTCACTTAATGCAGATGTGTTTGGAAACTTCTCCTAGTAGGAAAAAAATTCTATCATTTTTCTCTGAAGCTGAAAGAATTGGTGTTGAGAGACTGAGACCGGAAATGGAATTAGCTTAGCAGAACCGCATGCATTTACTTCCAGTTCAGAGCCCTCAGACAGCCTTCCTCTAATGCTTCTGTAAACCAGCAAGATTATTTCTTGGATGCAGCGTACATTTCTAGTCCTTTGGTCATGGACAAAGGTGATGCACTAGATTTTATTAAATATTCAGAACAAATTATGCTATTTAGGAAAATGTGACCTACAAACAGGACAAGATATAGCGCAAATAATTAAAGACATCTATAATTAAGAATGTATAGGATTAAGTTATTCTTTGACTGAAGAGCTAGATACATAATCATGCAGGATTTCAACCCTCGCCATCAGAGATGCTTCTTCTGTGGGCCTTAAGTGTATGATGAAGTTTCAAAGAATTCAGCCTTGGTTATTTTCAGCACTAAGTTCCTTCCTTGTGAGATTTCACATAAAGAACCATTGAAAAGACAGAAGTTGCCCCCACTGTGGCTCCTTACATAGTTAAAACCCTATTAGAGTAAAAGAATCAAGAAACTCCTCTGGAAAAAGTACATATCTCTGTGTTCACTAGGACCCTGCTGTGTACAGATTTAGCTGGTTTCTGCAGAGAAACAAAAGCCACAAAAGGTGCATGATGGGGTGGAGGGGAGTGTTAGAGACACCCAATTTGCATTATTCCTGCTGGAAAGACCCTGATCTGAGATCAGCTCTGGCAGCCCCCAGCTGAGAAGGGCCTCCTTATAGTCTTCATTTCATTCCAGCCAAGCCCTGGAGGGGTGGAGAATGCATAATGAGGCTGAATGAGAATTAGATGCTTAATTGAGGCCTGGAAAAGGGAAAGAAAAAGCCAGACATGTGGAATGTGATCAGAATGCAGCTCAGTTAAGCCAAATGTGATGACACCTGGGAAGGCTTCAGTGGTTGGGACCACTATACAGAGAAGCTGGAACTCCTTTGAAACTGACTCATCCATCTAGTTCCAACTCAAATGTTATTTTCTTGTCCTCAAAGATTTTTCTTCATCCTCACAAAAGGTGGCTCACTCTCTCCTTTGTGCATCCACCATGCTTGGTTCATATGACAGTGCTTGCCATTTGGCCTCGTGGGTGGGGGATGACTTTCTCTCTGCGTTGGCTGGCTTGTGAACTCCATGAGGGCAGAGGTGTGCCTCATTCATTTTGTATCCCAGAACATAATAGGCATTGAAGTACCTGGTGGACATTTTTTTTTTTTTTGCTCTTCTTCCTAAATACTGAGTTCTCTGTAGAGTAGTTATTCTGACGATGACTGATGAAGCATTTCCAAACCATTCTCAAAGAGGCATATGGAGGCATATTATCTGGCCAAACATAAAAGTATTTCTATATATCAGGATCTCGTGCTCACCCTCAGCTATCATCACTGCCTTTCATCACTTGGTAAAGACAGTTTCTGATTTTGATTAGGGTAGAGTATTCCCAACTAATACATGAAAATTTCTGTTGCCATGGAAAGGGTCTTTTGTAAAAACAGGCACAGGCACATTTTCCACAAGTATGTTCCTGTCAGTGTAATCATTCACTATTTGACTTTGGAGAGGGGGCCAAATGTGTGTGTCTACAGTGTTTGTCCAAGTGACGAAGAGAGGTTCAGTGGTCAAGTAGCAGCTTTAGGATGGAGGCTATTTGGAAAAAACAGACTAGGTGAGTAACAGATGGCATACAATCAATTGTATCTTTGTCCTAAAGAAGCATGGACTAAGTGTAAATCAAGTGTATCCATCTGCTCGGCTGCCATAACAAAATACCTTAGGCTGGGGCGCTTAAACAACAGAAATGTATTTCTCCCAGTTCTGGAGGCTGGAAGTCCAAGATCGAGGTGCTGCTAATTTGGTTTCTGGTGAAAATTTGCTTCCTGTTTCATAGACAGCCGTCTTCTCACCGTGTCCTCGCATGGCAGAGCAGAGAGAGATTTCTCTCTTCTTCTTTGCATAAGGCCACAGTCCTATCAGATTAAGGTCCCACCCTCATGACCTCATTTAACCTTGGTTGTCTCCAAAAGGCCCTATTTATAAATACAGTAACTTGCAGGTTGGGGCTACAACCTTTGAATTTTGGGAGGACACAAATACTAATCCATCATATCAAGTCTGATCAGAACCATCATTTGAAAAATATTCTTGAAACCAGCTGCTGGCAAAGGCCAGGTGCATGTGACACCCACAACGAATACCTAGAAGAATCAAGAGCCTCTGAACACCTGATCTTGGGTGAAAGAAGGTGGTGTGTAGTCACATTTTAAAACCTTACTCTCCTCCAAACTTAACAATATGAAGGAAGAGAAGTAAAACAGGCAAGCAAGTATCATCAACAAAAACAGTAATTAAACGAAAGAAAGGGTGGGTAGCCAGCAAAAGGAAGGCACCTTTCTGGAAATGTGCGGAAGGAACGAGCCTGGTGTTGCCCTACCCCATCCCTAACTCTACAGGCTCAGAAATCATCCTGAATAAGATCACACCAGCTACCATTTACCTCCCTAACTAGGAGAGAAAAGGCCAAGGAAATTTCCACAAGAGCATGAAGTCAGCCATGAACACCTTTTACTCAGTCTTTCCCCAGAGAAACAAGAATAACCTTTGTAATCCTCCATGTCAATACCTCTGAAGGAAAACGGGAAAGAAAAAGCAGACCAATAACAAATGACTAGAACTAATTATCTCTAGCAAAATCCCGGGAATTTCACAAAATAGAAAATTTAAGAGGACATACATAAGGCAAGGTCTCTGGCGTGAACAAGAACCAGGGAAGGAGGTGCTAGCAGGCCCCAGGTGATGCTTCCTTGAAGAAGGAGCCACCTTCGCTCTCTGACAAGGCTGCAGAGGGTTTATCACCTGCTAGGGTGGAAGGCTAAGAAAGAAAACAGCAAAAGGGAACAGAGGAACTTTCAGACTGACTCTTTCTCCTGGAAAGTTCTGAGTCTCATGTTGAATTGAAGGAATTATCCAAGCCCCAAAGATAGTGCCCACTATGGGAAGTCCAAGCCCCAAAGATATCCCCCACTATGGAAGTCCAAGATGGCAACTGTGCAGACAAATTTGGGGGGAACCTGGGCTGGGCGTGGGATATGCTATATACTTGCTGAGAAATCCAACACAATGAATGTGGCTGCTTTACCCCTCCCAAGGAAAACCTCCAAATGAAAGGCTTCTAGGCAGCTGCTGGAGGACCAAGGAGCCACAGAGCAGTATAGAAAGGGAGCAGCTTGCTGACATGCATGTGGCATACACATCACCCTGCAAGCACACTGAAACCTTGACTGAGAAAGAGAGGGAAGGAAGGAAGAGAGCAAGTGAGCATGCAACCCAGTAAAGGGCAGGTGAAGAACGTACTGTGGAAGAAAACATAACCCAAGAGAAAGATCCAAATTCCCTGCAATGACCACAGATGAACTTTGAAAAAATGTTAACAAGCTTGAAGATGCAGTGATAAAAATAACATAACTGATCTGAAATGTAAGAACTAAGGAGATAAATGTTCCACTCTTAGAGAAATAAATCAGTTAAGAACAGCAAAGACCAAATTACTGACAAAGAAAAAAGGTTGAGATTTTCACAGTGAAAATATAATACATATGGAAGAGAAAACACAAAAATTGCTCTATGTGAGAATGATAGGTGTCGCTGAAATTTAGAAGTCAATGTATAGAACAGAAAATGTCTTAAAACAAAGGGAAGCTGAATTGATGATCTAATGGTCAAACCATGTTTTAAAAAATCAATACAGAAATCTCGTCCTGAAACACATCTTTGATAAGTTTAACGATTTTTAATAAAGAATTTTATGGTTATACTGGCACATGACATGTCACTTAAAAATACCTAAAACTTTTAGAAGAATACATAGTTAAATTTATTTAATGTATCTTAAAGAAAATAAAAAGATGACAATCCAGGAGAAAATATTCACAATGTATTAGACAGGGAAGGGTTAATTTTCTTAGTTTAGAATATACAAAAATCATGGAAAAAAAACAATCAAATAGGAAATTGGTAAAATATAAAAACAGATGACAAAAGACAGGGAGGAGGAAGAAAAGAAGGGAGGTAGAAAGGGTAATTTCACTCGTAATGTAAATCAAAACAATGAGGACATACTGTTTTCTTCCCTGAAAAGTTTGAGTATACTCACTGCTGGAGATTGCGGAGAAATCATTATCGTTATCATTATCATGCTCTAAGTGATCTGATTGATCTGACCTTTTTGGAAGGAAATTTTGTAACATCTATGAAGATTAACAGTTCACATACACTAGATCTAGAAATTCACTCGGAATTCATCCTTGGGAAATATTTACAAAATCTTTCCAAAATATAAGTGCAAGAACATTCACTGAAGCTGTTTGTAAAAGCAACAGTGTAGAAACACATCAGAAGTCCACTGATGTGGGCCTGGATAAAGAAATTATGATATATCTATATTTATGCAATGAGATATTAACACAGATTACAATGGCATGCTCATCGATATATAGTAAATGCATATATTGAATAGGCACTAAAATCAATGCACATATTAAAATGCAATACTAATCAATGCACATTTGCTAGTACCTGCTAATAAAGTATGTACGTATTATAAATACATATATTTATGTAGAAAATAAAAAGGCCAGACTGCAGAGAATAGAAAGTATCATCTATATTTTAAGTAAATGAAAACTGAGATGAGAGAGGGTATGAAGTAGGGCAAGAGTGGGAAAAGAGCAAAGAGAGAGAATGAAAGAGATGGGAATTGTGTGCATTATTTTTTTCTGGGAAGGTAATAGGAACATTTTAACATGGAAAGAGTTGTTCAGGGTCATTTTTCATTAGCATTTTTCTGAGCAGTTTGAAAGTGTTAATTATGTGTAAGTGTCCTTTCTGTTGTTTTTTAATGTCACTACAGTTATTTAAGGGTTAGGTTTATTGAACTTTATCTTTATTTCTATTTAGAAATAAACGCATGCTATTTTAAAAAGTTAGCATATAGTATGTTTTCACCTGTAAGTGGGAGCTAAGCAATGAGCACACATGGAATAAATATGGGAACAATATACAATGTGGACCCTTGGAGGGTGGAGGGAGTGGAGTGGGTGAAGAAACTACCAATCGGGTGCTATGCTTACCACCAGGGTGACAGGATCCGTACTCCAAACTTCAGCGTCATGCAATATTCCCAAGTAACAAATCTGCACATGTACCCCTGTATCTAAAATGAAACTTGACATTAAAAAATTATATATTAATATCTCATTAAATTGTAGTTTGTTTTGGTTAATTAAATCTTCATAAAACATGAAAGTGTCCATAATAATAAGTCTTAAATTCAAGGAAGAAAGGAAGAAAGAGGGGAGGGAAGGAGAAAGAAGGGAGGCAGGGAAGGAGAGAAGGAGAAACTAGGATGCAGGAAGGAAGGTAGAGGAAGGAGGGAAGGAGGGACAAAAAGAAGGAAGAAAAGAGGGAGGGAAGAAAGAAAAGGAAAGAGGGATGGATGAGAAGAGGGAAGGAGGGAAAAAATTAGGATACAGGAAGAAAGGTGGAGGAAGAAGGAGAGAAGAAGGGAAGAAAGGGAGGAGGGAAGAGAGGAAGGAAGAGAGGAAGGAAGGGCAGGAAGGGAGGGAGGGAGGGAAGGGGAGGAAAAAAGAGAGAAGGAAGGAAGAAACAAAAGGAAAATGAGGAAAAGGTAAGAGGAAGGACAGGAGAGGAGGGGAAGACTCTGGACACCCTATCTACTAAGAGGTAAAAACTGAAAATGCCTCTGAAGAGCAGCACAATGGGTTAAAAGCCTTTGACTTATTTTGCGTGACTGTGACTAAAGAATTTAAACATTACTTTTGACTAAAAACAATTATTCTTGGCACTTGTTAATTAAAACAGCCCATTTCCAACTAAAAACTTAAAGACTGAGAGTAAAATAGCTACATGTTAATAAAGTTTTTATATGGAATCTGACTTTTAAATAAAGACTGGACCAATTTACCTATAGTAAATTGAAAAGAATAAATCTTGTTCCAAAGTCAGAAAGAGAGACTGTGTGACATTTTATTTTTGATACTTATTTGTTCTTCATGTAGATGTAGAATGCAAGAAAGCTAATTATGGACAAGGAGAAGGAATAAAAGAAAAATACAATGCCGAAAAGCAACAGTGCTTTCTCCTCTGAGATTTAATCTAGCTACATCAGAGCTCTAATTCATTTAACTTTTTAAATTAAGCTTCATACATAGTAGGTATGCAGCACAATATGCTGGCTGTATAATAGAATAATGAATGAATGATACCCCAGAGGAGGGATATGTGGTAAATTATTGAATGATATGAAGAGGTGATTCAGCTAGGTTTGTGTTCTTAAGGGTCAGTGATAAAGAGATACCCAGAAGTAGCCAATAAATATTAATCAGGCATTTATGATAGTCAGTCATTATGTCTTTCAATCCTCCAGTTTTATGAGAGAGTTATCATTAACTCCCTCTACAAGTGACAAAACCAAGACTCTGGAAGTGAGCAGAACTTGCCCCCAAATCACATAAATAGAAATGCCAGGACTTGGATTTGAAATCAGCTCTGCCTAAGTCTAGTGAGTTAAACTTCATCCCCTTTCACTAATAGTGACACCTCTGAGAAAGATAGCCAGAAGTAAGCAGACTTGAGGTTCAGAACCTATCACAGTAGGGGGTGGGGTGGGGGAGAAAGAGAAAGGGAGAGACACAGAGAGAGAAAAAATCAAAGGCATACTCAATGAGAGAAGGAATTTCTAGAAGTTGGAGTTGTGGTTTGTTGAATGGCATTTGTTGTAGGGAAAGTGGGGTAAATTGCTACCTGTTTTATTTTGACTCCTTTCACACTGGATGAATTTTAAGAGCAAGTGTTTACCCCTTGCACCCCTATGGATTTTCACAAAATACCTGAATATGAAACCTGGACATTACTACAGCTATGTGAATGAATAAATCCATGCCATTATCAAGGACTGGAATGCTTTTTTAGAAGTTAAATTTATTTAGTTTATGGCTGTTGGAACCACATGATGATTATTTTAGATAATGCTGTTGACTTCATTATAAGGAGCAGTTTGTGGGAAAGCATCATTACGGTATAGTGTACCGTGGACTCAGCTTCTCTTCAAGCTGGTGTTGATATTGACGCTGTGTTATTCCTCATTAAATTGGTCTTTGATCTCCTTTCACTTAGTTGCACATGCATTCTAGACCTAGACAGTGAACTGGGAAGTCTAGGGGAAAATGAAATCTAATTGAGCTCATCTTTTCCAACAATCATTAGCTTAAAAAGAACATAAATTCGTGTCTGTGCATATGGAATAATAGCCTTCTTCCATCCGAGCTTGGGAGTTAAATGTACGTGCAGATGCCCTAAACTCCAAGACCAGTTTTCTTCCATTTTAGAACCATACCACAGTGAGCACAGTTTATTTTTTGTTTGTTTGTTTTTGGTATTATATTCAGTTTTAACACTTTATTATTATTATTTTATTTTTCCATAAGTTATTGGGGTACAGGTGATATTTGGTTACATGAGTAAGTTCTTTAGTGGTGATTTGTGAGATCCTGGTGCACCCATCACCTGAGCAGTATATACTGCACCATATATGTTGTCCTTTATCTCTTGCCCTCTCATACTCTTCCCCCTAAGTCCCCAAAGTCCATTGCATCATTCTTATGCCTTTGCGTCCTCATAGCTTAGCTCCCACATATCAGTGAGAACATACGATCTTTGGTTCTCCATTCCTGAGTTACTTCACTTAGAATCATAGTCTCCAATCTCATCCATGTCATTGTAAATGCTGTTAATTTATTCCTTTTAATGGCTGAGTAGTATTCTATCATATAACTAATATATAAAATATAATATAGAATATAAAATATTATATATAAAATATAATATGTAATATAAAATATTATATATTATATATAAAATATAATATAAAATATTATATATTATATATTATATATAAAATATAATATAAAATATAAAATATTATATATTATATATAAAATATAATATAAAATATTATATATTATATATATACCAGAGTTTCTTTATCCACTCATTGACTGATGAGCCTTTGGGTTGGTTCCACGATTTTGCAGTTGTGAATTGTGCTGCTATAAACATGCATGTGCAAGTATCTTTTTCAAATGTAGAACTCCCAGTTAATCCAGCAATCCCACTACTGAGTATCTACCCAGAGGAAAAGAAGTGAGCAGAGTTTAGCCTGTTAAGGGACTTCTCCTTTGTATACATTAATTCAGTGTTTCTCAAAGTTATGTACACTCACCATTTGTAGTTTGATAGATGATTTTAGGTGATGTAAAGATTAACACATTATGGCATGTTAAAAAATTAGCCACAAATGAAGCTCAAGATTTCATAGCTATAATTTCTATGGGACAAAATTAAGAAAAATTTAGAACTGAATCGATTAGAAGTGTATTATTATGTGTGTTAGTTAGCTATCACCACAGTAATGTAATGCTTCATCTCAAACCATCTTCAACCTCAGGGGATTTAGAACAGTTGTCTGTTCTTTTGCTCATGGATATTAGGATCAACTGCAACTAGTCTGGGCCAGGAAGTGTATCCATCCACATGAGCTGAGTCCTGGTCTCATCCTCCTCGGATGAGCTACCCCTAAAGCATGTTGTCCTTGCGGTAAAAGGTAGGAGAAGGAAAGCCCCAACTGTCAAATGCATTTCAAGTCTCTCCTTGACACACTTCTGCTAACATCCCATTGGCCAAAGCAAATTTTGTAATTAAGCCCAGCATCAAGAGAGAGTGAAGTAGATTCCCATGAGGGTGGCAGGTAGGAAGGAAACATTTCTGAACGCATTATCTAATCCAATTACATTAATAGTGAAGTTGGAACATAGGTATGGCAAAAGTTGTCAAGGTGGTTCAAGAAGGTTTGCTTTCGGTTGATACCACTTTAATTCAATACAATTGAATCCAGACAGGCCCTGAGCTCTGTACCTATCATGTCACCTATGCAACTACAGATTCTGCCAAATAATTACTTGTAATTCTATTTGTTGTGTGAAGTTTACTGTCAATACACATCTCAAAAGAAAAGCTTGGAGGACTCCTCCCCCGGCCAGCATCTCTCACGTTTATATATTTAAAAGTCTAATTAACTACATTCTGTGTGCATCTCAGTATCTTTTCTTCTATGATGACATCTGCCTCATTTATTACTTTTTATGTAACTCCACTAACCTAGAAAAAATTGCTATAATCAAGGGTTTGAGCAGTACAGTTGCAGTTGTTGATAGAAAATGAAAATAGTACTGAATGTCCCAGACTTTTTCTATTTCTGCATCT
Source organism: Homo sapiens (assembly GCF_000001405.40). Classification (NCBI taxonomy): domain Eukaryota; kingdom Metazoa; phylum Chordata; class Mammalia; order Primates; family Hominidae; genus Homo; species Homo sapiens. The sequence goes on from NC_000020.11 coordinate 16,036,517, forward strand.
TTTATCCCCTGCTAGGAGCTCTGGAATGTACCTCTTGTTTGTGTTTCAACCAGCAGCAATCCAAATGGAAGGAGGGACAGGCAAACTGTAATAAATAGGCCACAGAGGCCATTTTTGTTTTTATCAGATTATGTTGTCTATGTGAAATGGATTCATTTCTGTAGGGCATCCAGTTGCACTGCCCAGCGATGTAGAAGCTATTAGGATAGTACCAGTTCCACATGCATGACACAGTAAGAAATATCTGTCATTCCTCTCCCACTTTCCAAACAAACAACTCACACACACATGCACGCACGCACATGCAAATTCACATAAACATACCATTGCACACATATGCATCATATTCACAGTGCATGTCCACACATACAGGAAAACCTCATGTGCACTCATGATATTAAATTAATGAACAATCTCTACCAAACATGATATTGGAGTCTTGGAAAGCAGATCTAACAGACTATACTTCCCTCTGCTCCAGGAATATAGTGGTATACAGAGCTACAACTTTGATTTCTGTTTTTTTCTCTCTGTTTCATGGATTTCAAATCTGCCATTGAATCTCATACTAATCTATGCCAATACTGTGGCACAACCTGAGATTTCTCACACATTCCATTGTGAAGTGAGGTTAGAAGGACAAGCATAGGGCTAGAAATTTAAATGTTTACTGTTTTCTGATTTGCTATTTGCATTTTGCTTTCTTCAACTTTTTCCTCTCTCTCACCTAACTTTTGAAAGTGTTTTGTACCCTCCCTTATTTCACTAAGCATTGTTTAATAGACTAGAATTATGCCTATTAGATAGAAAGTTCTCTGTGATACCAGAGGGGTTTCCCCATAGTAATGTAACCAGGGTTATTACCATTGAGAGTAACAACTTAGAAAGATATTTCCTGAAAGAATCAGCTACAGGTACCTCTAGATCCCATCAGAAACAAGGACCCTAAGAAAATAGTCAAGAAAGTAATGCTTAGATAGAGCTTATCAATTAATTTTTCCACAGTAATCATTTCATATAAATAATAATAATATTATATTTTAAATAGGTCTGATGATGTCCCAGAGAGTTAAGATGAGTCAGAATATTTTATAATCATTTTACTAGTGAAAAAGCCAAGGCTTTTAAGTGCTATGAGATTTGGTCAAAGTTATTGAAAAAATTAAATGACCAGCCACAATATCCTCTTTTGTGACACGTCTGTTTGTGTCTTGTCCACTTTCTGTTGGGTTCCCTGTCTTTTCAAGGTTATTTTGTATGTTTATTTCTTATATATTCTGTACAGGAGTCTTTTGGCTTATTTTCCTCTCCCTTAGCATGTTTTGATAAACTTATTTTAATGGTTGGTGCTTTGTCCTGTGTAAGAAATTTTGCATAATGATGTGAAGGTCTTTGTCCACATTACCTTTCACATTTATTTCTTTTTGAGGGTAGGGGAAACTATTTCTTCAGCATAGGTCTGTGGACACCAAATTCTCTCAGTCATATTCTCTGAAAAATATTTTATTTCAAATTCAAATTTGAAAATCTTTTTTTTTTTAACACTTCAAAGATGTCATTGCATCATCTCTGGCTTCCATTATTTTTGTTATGAATTTATCTATAAGTTTTATTGTTATTTTGAAGTTAATGGATCTTTATTCACTAGATAACTTTTTTTTTCTTTAATGTTGGTTTTCAGCAGTTTCACAATGATTAGACTGAGTGATAGTTTTTTTCATTAATTTTGCTTCGGAATCATAACAGTCTTGAAACAGTGGTTTGAGATGATATCTGATATCTTTCATTAATTTTGGCAAATTATCAGACATTATCTCTTAAAATATTCCTTTTGCTCTATTTTACATAGGATAAATCCTATCTCATATGGTTCCTTCACTCTTATCTGGGGTTTTCATCTGCAATTTAGGCTTCGTATCTTTTTCCGACCTAGCTTTTGGCTTACTAATCACCTCTTCAACTGGGTCTACCTGCTGTCAAAATCACCTATTTAATTCTTAACTTGTTTTTGTGGGGTTTTTTTTTTTCGGTTCTAGAATTTTCATCTGACTTTTGAAAAAGTATCCAGCTCTCTGATAAACTACTTTGCCGTAAAAATTATTCAACTTGGCATCCAATTTCCAAAATACATTAATTGTTATTTAAGCTGCCTCTGCAATACCTGGATCTCTGATGTCTATCCATATGTCATCTCTTTTATTCTCTTGGTTTTCAGTGACTTGTTCTTGTTCCTCTGAAATGCCAGGTAATTTTCGCATTGAATTCTGGACACTGTTTGAAAAACTGTAGAGATAACTTGAGGCTTTTAATCTTCCTCCAGAGAAGATTTACTTTTGCTTCTGACAGCAGAGCACTATAATTCAATCAGGAATTGTATTAATTAAAAGTTAGACTTCAGGTTTTTTTAAAGAGATGGTCTATTTCAAGTTCATGCTTGTCCCCAGGATATAACCCTTCAGGGTACCCCACCAAAAACCTGAGGTAGTTAGCAGGGTACCTCTCCTTGGTAGAACCCAACCTTCAAGTTTTGCTCCCTGCCCCTAGCCTCACAAAACACCTGCAGGCTCTATTCAACTTCTTGACACATGTGCAATGTCAGCTTCACCATTTTGCATTTCCTCAGGTTTGTCCTGCATTCATAGCACTCTGGGGCCTTACAATGCTATTTTAAATAATATGTTCAGTGTTTCTAGCTGTTCTTGGTAGAGGGTTAGTCTGAATCATTACAGTCCACCTTAGGCAGAATCCCTTTCTCATTATAATTTTAATTTGCATTCCTTTTGTTGTTAGCAAAGTAAATTACCTTTTCATGTGTTTTGCAGGCCATTTTTATATCTTCTTTTATTAACTGTCTGTTAAATCTCTTGTCCATTTTCCTATTAAGTTGGTGGTCTTCTTCATCTCCATTTTTAAAAGGCCTTATATATTAAAGATTGTAGTAACACTTTGTCTACGATAAAAGGTGCAAATATTTTCCCTCAATTTGTAGCTTTTTAAACATTTCTTTTGGTATTTTTTCCATTAAAAAGTTTATTATGTTTATAAAGTCAAATATTTTGTTCTTGCTCCCTATTACTTCTGTGTTCTAAGGCATAATTAGCAAAGTTTTCCTGCTCGCAGGCTTAGGGGAGTTCACAAATGGTTTCTTCTGTAATTGTGTGTTCAAGGAGTATGTTGATGAACAATTGAAAAATGATATATTTCTAGAATAGGCAGTGTGAGAAAGGTATTATATAGTGTTAACAAGTCCAGTTGGAAGTTCCAAGTTTTGTTTTTCCTTTTCCACCTCATTCTCAGGAGCTAGTGAAAAGCACTGTGGACACAGTGACTTTCATCTTGTCCTTGAAGAGTTGAGGAGACCATGAGTCCTTTTTTTCCCTTGTGTTATCTTTTTCCTGAGTTCTTTCATCTACTTTCATACTATGAATGTTACCCTATCTTGGTGTCCCCCAAATACCCACATGTTCCATTCATAATTCTCTTCTCATAATTCTCTCCCCAGTGCTAGATGCAAAACTTGTTTGATATCTCACATAAATGCCCCTACACTTCAGGCTTTAAATCTAAAATGACTTTGTTCTTCTTTTCCCACTCTGCTTGTTTTATATGTCATCAATTAATGACCTCTCTGCCATTCATCTACCTAAGCTCAGAGCCCAGTCACCTTTGAATCATATTTCTTAATTGTCAACCTCAATACACCATTACCAAGAGTACAAATTCTACCTCTGAAGATCTCTTCCTTTGTAGACATTATAAACTGGATCTTTCCTGTCCTTGCTTTTTTCTCATCAATAGGCACATGAAGTTTAACATACTCTGGACACAGTAAGTAATCAGGTAATGAAAATAAATTTAATCCTCTCTTTAAAAATGTACAGGAATCATAAAACCTTTAAAATTATGGGTTTTCTAGCACTTTATGTATGTATTTGTATTTACAAATGTCCTTGCTCTTCAAGTTATAAAAACTTAAGAGAGATTTAACTAAGAAGCAAGAAATGATTGTCCTTTTGAATACCTGGAAATGTTTTTACAATATGAAACACAATTCCTTTACTACATTGAAGCATCTTATCGAAGCACCTTGTGAAGCTGTGCAAATAGAGGCCAGTCACAAAGGAAATCTACTGACGACTAAATTCTCAGCAATCCGAAATGGCAGCATCAGAGGTCTCCTAAGGAAACAACTAAACCATTTGTTTCTGTTTAAAAAACAAACAACAACAACAACAAAAACTCTCACTACCAGGAGAATGAATCTTTCAGCTTTCAGTCATGCCTAAGGCAAAATTCATTTTCTCTTTTTCTTCTTCTAAGGTTAAACTACATAAACTCTCTCTCACACCCACCCATGCATACAGACACACTTCCCTAAATTTAAACTGTAGGTTGTTCTGAGGAAATCAACTTTTCCTGCTGTCATGCTACCAGATTTCTAATTTGAGAAACTATATATGTATATATGTGATCATCTCACAAATTAAAGAGAACTTAGAAGGCCACACAAAAGTATTCAAGCAACTCAACCCTCTGTTTCCTCTTTTAACCTTTTCTGCAAAAGAAGTTGAATCCCAGGAGTATTTTTGAATTTAAAAGGGCAATGGAGGGTGACAGAAATGATTGGCCCTCAGGCTGTTATAATTCTCTATTCATCAGGGACTGTGGTCTTTTTCTCTTCCAGCTCCAGGCGAGGACACACCTAGGATGCCTGGGAAAAGTGAAGGCTCCAGTGACCTAGAAAATACTCCAGGTCCTGATGGTAAGGTTCTGAGCTATTGGAGCCCATGGAAACTACAAATCTGGCATATTTTCTATGTGTAATCTAGGATTAAGGGAACTATCTGTTCTATAAAGCAACATATTTGGTTAGAACACAGTAAATTTCAAAAACAATTTTGTGCTACAAACTAATAAAAATGGCAACCTCTTATTTAAAAAAAAAACCTGTTTCTAGCTGTTTTAAAACAGCATATGTCCTGGTTTAATCATATCTTATAATACTGAGGACTCAATAGATACTTTCAAGACTAAACTGAACTGAAGTCTATCTAGTGAACTTTATGGAAGCATTACTTACTTCTGCAAAAGGTACTTAGCCTACTTAGCCTCCTGTTACCCTGCTCCACTCAGCATTCGGGAGAGCCCTACCTTTGGTGTGGGCTAAGATTGTTCTTGTACCTTCATCACTTCACTCCACTGTATCACATCCATTGCCTTGGTTAAAAACATAGTGAGTCTTTAAAAGCACCTTAAAAATAAATTTTCAAACAACCTTTAAAAACTTACATCTAATTTTGTAGGCATCTAAAGAGTCTGAGCCTCAGGAATATTAATATCCCTTTTCCCCTGCACAAAGATGCTAAGGGCCCTTTGAAATACCATTACTTACATTAGAGAAACAACTATTTAAGCCTACCTAATGTAATAAGTATTTGATTCCACTGGCCCATAGAGTTTAGGAGAACCAGAATTGGTTAGGTGGTCAGTCATTTAAGTATCTTGCCATTTGGGTTATTTTAGCCAAAGGAAAAAAACAAATTACTTTGAGTTGATAATGACCTTGGAAAAAATTTAGCCAATGGTGGATGTTATTTATAGTTTTAAATAGAATTTCCTATACCAGGTATTCCTTGTTCCCACCGGCTTATCATCACCTGAATTGCCTTCCTTAATTATAAGCCCATCGGCTTATATTGCCCAAATTGGCTTTTTACTCATGGGCATGCATTGCCTGTGAGAACAATGTTTTTAAGCCCCAGACCCATCCCTTAAGAGCCACTGCTTGTTAGTTATGAGCAGTTGAACTAAACCTGCTTCAGCTTGGTTGTGATGCTACAGACATGGTTCTTAACTAGTTATTTACAAATCATGTTCTGAGGACTATCAGGCCCATGAATAAAAGAGAAGTAAATGTGAAATACGGAGTTTTAGTCCTCACTTAGAGATTCACCATACACAGCAGAGGATTGCAGGCCCTCAGAAGTCTCAGAGGTAAAGAGACATGTTTAACAAGATTTAAAGTTGCTTTTCCCAAACTTATTTGGTGATGGGATGCTTTTTATTGTACCATTTATTAGTAGGTTTTAGAACTAGTATCCCTTGGTTGGAAGAAGAAACAGAAAAGGAATACTCTCCTGTATTTTATCCTGCACACTCCCACACTGAGAAGGGTGAACTCACAATAACTTTGCAGAGCAGGATGGACGGTGGATGAATGCTTATACTTACATAGGGTTGCTGCATCTGGGGCCAGTTTATTTATGGGGTTTAAAATGAGTTCACACATCATTAGAAACTCAGGGCAGTTTGCAGGTGAGAACACTGAGACCTGCTTTTAAAACCTTCCTTATTGGGAGAGAGTTCAGTGGATGCCATATAAAGTCATTCTCTCTTTCAAGCCTCTTTGAAGTGTGAAAATCAGCATCTGCCACTACTTTACACTAATTTCATGTTTGTGAAAAAGGAGATACAGGCTGTTGGTTTTGTGCAAATAAATGAAAACTGCCCAAATGAGAACAAACAGTGGTTACTTATTCAAAGGTAACTATAACAAGGGTGGCCATTATCACTTGTGTTTGGCAGGCTCAAAGGCGGGCAGGGGATGGGAAACCCCCCTTTATAGGTTAGAAAAAGAGAATACTTCAAGCATGCTCTGATTGGAGGTTGTTGGCCTAGAGAAGCTGGACATGGCTAACTAGAAGTGGGGCACCTTAAGTGATTGTATTAGGGAATACATTTGGCCTTCCCTGGTTGGTCCCAAGTTGGAAGCAGAGGTAAAAAATAGGGACGCTGACAGTCACTGACCAAGTCCTGACCATTCTGAGTCAATTGCTGCAGAGACTGTGTTTTGGTTGCCTAGGCTAGCTTCTGCAGAGGTTTTACATCAGAATTCTATCATTATATATGATCTGGCCATTGTCTATTTGTATACTGATTTTCTCAGCTTATAATGTGGACTTTGATGCTTGAGAAAATATCAATCTAATTAAACCTACTGACCCTTGGAAAATTTAGAGTGAGTGCTATGCCTGCTCTGGGTTACTTCTGGAGAATGGCAGTAATCATGCATTCTATTTTTATTCAAATGCTCACATAGAATACACTGAGTCAGGTAAAAGCACACGTTTTATCACAACTACGGGATCTGGTTAGATGGTCGGCTTTTTAATTTCATGGCCGCTCACTGCCACTACAGCAGCCGTCGGCAAGTCTACAAGGTCTGTTTTGAATTCGAAATTGAAAGTATGGCAAACCAAACAGGCCTGATATTGACATTTTGGAGCAAGCTGCTTACCTCTCTGCATGTCAGTGATGTGCTTTGCTTTGCCTTCTCTCTTTATTTTCTTAGATATCTATTAAAGCCTTTGCATTTATCCAAGAATCATAATATGTACATCCAAACTGTCAACCCAAAAATCTGGTCTGAAGTGACGACTCAGTTTCAGTTGAGGGAAGAGGCAATCCTGCCCTCCCACAATGGGTTAGGCCTTTTTTGTGTTGCTATAAAGAAATACCCAAGACTGGATAATTTAGAAAGAAAAGAGGTTTGTCTCATGGTTCTGCAGGCTTTACAGGAAGCAGGGTGCCAGCATCTGCTTCTGATGAGGAACTCAGGAAGCTTACAATCATGGCGGGAGAGGAAGGGGGAGTATGCAACTCACATGGCCAGACTAGAAGCAAGACTAGAAGCAACGTGTCACACACTTTTAAACAACCAGATCTCATATGAGCTCACTCATCACTAAGAAGATGGCACTAAACCATTCATGAAGGATACATCCCTGCAATCCAATCACCTCTCACCAGGCCCCACCTCCAACATTAGGGATTACATTTCAACATAAGATTTGAAGGGGGCGTCTGAGGTATATCCTCTACCCCCACCAGTAAAAATCTACAAGAATAGTCCCCAAATCTTGAATGAATGAAAACAAATGGAAAAGAGGCATCAAATAGGAAATCAGGAAAGTATCAAATCATGGGTCATTTTAATGTGTCTCAGAGATTTAGGTTTAATGAATATTTAACTTTTTTTTTTTTTCTGGTGACAGTTGAAATGAATAGTCAGGTTGACAAGGTAAATGACCCAACAGAGAGTCAACAAGAAGATCAACTAATAGGTAAGATGCCCCTTGTGGTGAGATTTTCAATGATCAACCAGCCATAAGAACTATTTGCAAATGACATACTGGATTTCCCTTGGTTTTGCCAAGTCCCCACAGCATGGCTTGGGATAAACCTTGAAAATCTTTAAACCAAATAACACAGCGTAAGGGGAAACGATCACCCCTAGAAGCTTGCCATCTTGAAGAGGAAAAGATGAGCTACAGCACATTCAAATCATGTATACCCTGGTTTTCTGTGCTTTGACAAGTAAAAAATGTCTCCATCCATCTCACCCCCTGGCCTCCTGGAGTGGTCAAATTATTTCAGAAACTCCAAGCTGATTCTGAAGCATTGCTTTTCTAGAAGCTACCTGCTGAGTTGCTTGGTATATCTGTCTTTAAGCATAACACTCAATCTTTGCCCTGGAGTTTGTATAAAGGAATATGAGTGTGTTTGGACAGAAACAAGCCTGCCTTAGGTCCTGTTTTTTTCACACCACTACCTGTGGACCCGTGCGTCTGCACAAAGGTTTGTTATGTTGAATGAGCTTCAGGGAACTCCCAGGAAAATAAAAAGCCTGGGTTTGTTACGTTGAATGAGCTTCAGGGAACTCCCAGGAAAATAAAAAGCCTGGTCCAGATCATGTTTAGGAGTTTTTCCAGACCAACATTCTAAATCTCTCAGTAGAGACTAAAATATATTTAGAATGATGAGTGTAACTGAGTCCAAAGCCAGTACTGCTTGCTTCATGGCAGCCAATACATCAAGAGACAACGTGTTGAGGCAAGGAAAATGACTTTATTCCAAGAGCCAGCAAACCAAGAAGATGGCAAATTAATGTCCTAAAGAATCACCCTAAATTTATAGAATTTTAGGCTCCTTTTCTCTTTGAGGAAAAGGAACAGAGAGGTGGTTGAGATCAAGAGGTGACAGACATCTGGACTGCAGCAAGGGTTCAAGGGGGAGTTGTGAAACGTCTTTGCCCTTGGTCAGGTCACATTGCTCCTATAAATCTTTAACATAATGTTGTTACTTGTGTGCATACTGTCTTTATCTCTTCGGTGGTTAGTTTTGGGAAGGAACTATTGTCATCTTTGCTTTAAAGTTGAACTATAAAGTAAATTCCTGCCGTAGTTAGCTCACCCTGCATGAAGAGATGAGCAAAAGCAATCAACCTAAAAGATATCACTGGACGGGGGCAGCGGGGAGCAAAATGGAGCTAGTCATGCTAAGCCTCCTTTACACTGCTACCTGAGTGGTCTATAATCCTCTTCCATACCCTGAGGGCTGATGAGAAGAATTAGAAGAAGGAAATTATGCTTGATGTTATAACTGTTCCAAGTTCTGGTTTAAAATATTTAGTTGTTAAAAAAAAAAGAAAAAAACCTATGGAATAAATGAATCATGGGTCATCTAGTGTAAGGCACAAATAATGTGTTGACACCCTTGCCCCCTGTACCTCCTTGCACTCACTGCATGTTCTTGATGGTTCTCTACACTTTCCTAAGAGGCTTGGCTTTACCACTCTTGTGCTCCAGCATCATGGAAGAATAAAATATGGGAATGTGTGAAAGAGTACATGTCTTATTCCTGTATGGTCTTGAATATCCTATAAAACTAAATGTAATGGTATCTGTGTAATGCATGTATAGCATAAGACTGCTAAAAAGTATAAGCTCATACAAACATGTTCTTATAAACATTTCTCCTTTTTTTTTTTACTTTCTTTATATATTTAAAATACCCTGCTAAGCTGCAGAAATGATACGGTTGAGGAGTTTCCATTAAAAAGTAATGAAATGAGACTAAACTTGAACAATTTAAATGCAAGCTCCTCAGTGTTTCCTTTCCTTTTACCCTTTTGCTGCCAATAAACTATAGGCTTCTTGTCTAGACTTTTTTCTTACAGACATTATTTCTTTCCTGTGTGACCAGTGTCCAGATGAAGTGCCAGGATTAGTCTGTTTTTCTTGGTTAATATCAAAATGATATTTTTCTTGAAAATAAAAATGAACTCATATGTTAACCCAAATGAATCAGGTGTCAAAACTTTTTTTTTTTTTTTTTTTTTTTGAGACAGAGTCTCACTCTGTCACCCGGGCTACAGTGTAGTGGCACGATCTTGGCTTACTGCAAACTTCACCTCCCTGTTTCAAGGGATTCTCATGCCTCTGCCTCCTGAGTAGCTGGGATTACAGTCGCGTACCACCACAACTGGCTAATTTTTTGTATTTTTAATAGAGATAGGGTTTCACCATGTTGGCCAGGCTGGTCTTGAATTCCTGATCTCAAGTGATCTACTTGCCTCGGCCTCCCAAAGTGCTGGGATTAAAGGCCAGGTATCAAAACTTAAAGTCCAAAATTAGTTTAAGGAAACTAAATTCCAGGAAGGAGAAGTGACATGCACAGGGTCACCTGGCTAATAAATGGAAATTTAAATACTCCAATTCAAAATTCTGCTCCCTAAGCAATAGCAAGTTTCTGGACACAGTTGTCACAGAGGCAGAATGAATGATTTGTGCAACGTCACTGACTCCCACAGCAATATTTACACAGAAGGGTTTGTTAAGATGATCTGGTCGTTTGACAGAAAGAAGGAACCCTTGCTCCATGAATCATACCTTCAAGGAAATTAAAGAAATACAGTGAAATAGAATTAGAGAGCTCAAAGACATAATACAAGAATGTTTGGCGTTGTATAATTTGTAATTGTAAAAAATCAGGGATAGCATAAGGATACAACAGGGAGAGGGTTAAATGCATCAGTGGAACACTTTCCAAATGTAAATGTTTTCCAACAAGTATTTGAGGGCAGTAATGATGGTTATGGAATCTGAACCTTTGGTTCTGGAGAAACATGGCAGACTGAGTGTGGCTTCTAGGTTGAGCTTTAAGAGGCTTGTAACTTCCGTTTTTGCACTCTCGTAATGCTCGTTGCCTGGAATCCAGACACCTTGGAAGAAGCCCAGGTTATCCTATAGAATGAAGGAGGTCACATGGAGAAAAGTCCTAGAAAATGAGAATCCCTTTCAGATGTTCTGGCCCCAGCAGGTACCACCCTCAAGCAGATGAACTGTCCTGCTCAGTCCAGGCCAGATGGTAAAATCATGAGAAATAGTGAATCACTCATGTTATAAGCCACTAAATTTGGGGCTTTAGATTGTTGATACAGAGACAGGCCTTATGGCCACAGTCTTGCATTTTAATGCCCACCTTGGACCTTGAACCATTCAACGTAAGGAGTTGGAACTGATACCTCTGCATAAATAAATCTAGGACTTCTAGCTCAAGAAATTAATAGAAAGACTTGGATCTGCGCCAGGTACTGCATGGGGAGAGAAAAAGGCTCCCAAGATAGATAGAAACCGCAAATACACTGTGAGTTTGAAACATAATTTTATGTGATCCAAAGTCATGCAGTAATAAACAAATTGAAAAATGAACTTAATAATTGATTACAGACCAGTGTGATTCCTGGTGTATGTGGCAAATGGAAATATGAAACTACCCCATGGAATTTCTGCAAAAGAAAAACAAATTCTGAAGTTGAATTCATAGTTTTAAGACTTACAGAACACACAAGGAAATGATCCATTTTGAGTGAGAGTCAGTAGGTAAAATTACAGGACAATTAGCACTATGAGAACGTTAAGAGAGTAGGAAATTTTGAAGATTTTATAAAATAACTACATTTGAATGACAAAACAAATAAAAGCAGACCTAAAACAATAAGAAAAGAGCAACACTAAATAATTAACGACAATAGAAAAAACAAATTAAAATGTAGTAGTATCAAAGACACGTGAAGAGACATGAAGGAGAAGAAGAGAATAACCAAGACATGTTAAGTTCAATAAGAGTTCTACAAGGAGACTAGGCAGTGTAGGGCTGTGTATTTGATTGATACCCACCAAGCATCTCCAGGTTTAACTTAATTTGGACTGAGATTACTGAAAACCAGGGACCGCAGATATAAAATACAGAACCACAAGGAAATCCCACCACGATCCCACTAGTATTGAATTATAAAGTTAACACCACCAAATGTTACAGAGGATGTGGAGGAGCTAGAACTCTTATACATGGCTGGGGGACATATAAAATGGTTCAGCCACTTTTAAAAAATTGTTAGTTTCTTGTAAAGTATGTATCCATCCTATGGCCCCACAATTCTGTTCCCGAGTATTTGAGAGAAATGAAAACCTATATTCACAAAAGCCTTGTACAAGAATACACATAGCAGATATGCTCACAAAAGCCCCAAACTTGACACAACACAAATGTCTCGCAGCAAGAAAATGAACTTTAAAAAGTGACATATACATACATGGGAATTCTAGTTAGCAATGAAGAGGAACAGATTACTGTTAACAAAGCAGCAACATGAATGAATCTCAGAAGCATTACACTGAGTGAAAGGAGACAGACACAATGAGGTACTTGTATGATTCCATTAGCAGGGAGTCCTAGGGCAGAAAAAAACTAATTTATGGAGATAGAAATCAGATCATTTGTTCATTCCAGCAGGAGTGGGGTAGTAGGGAAGGGAACTTTCCAGGGTGATGTCATGTATATCTTCTTGGTGGTGTGGGTTTAATGTATGCATTTTTCAAAACAGATTGAAATGTATGCTTAAGATCTGTGTGTTTTCCTGTAGGCAGATTATACCTCAATTTTAAAAATCTAAAAAAAATAAAGAGTATAGGTTTTTGCAAGGCACAGTGTCTTCTTAGTGTCCTCTCATGGGTAGTGAATAAGGCAGATAATTTAATAAGTACAATCTGAAGTGGTGGCATAACCATCAATGACTTTTGCAAAGCAGCATTATGAAAATTGTTATTATTTATATGCTGATCCCTGGAAACTAGAGTGTGAGCATGGGCCTGAAAAGGGAAGCCACATCAACTCAGGGTTACAGTTTTCAACGAATACTTTGAAGAATTGAGTTAATCGTCCCCATCAGCCAAAGCTCGTTGTCAATGTGGCATACATTTATTAACAGTGATTTATATGCTCTTTAAAGATACCATGTGCCAGCAATTACAGTTCAGACATCTAAAGCTCTTTGATAGTCAAATAAGATATTTCTGGGCCTATGTGAGGGGTGAGAGACATTTAAATGGCTGTATTAAAAATGTATTCCTTGCTAAGCCTGTGAAGATGTCTTATCTTTAATCTAACAAATGGCTTCTCTTTGTCTTCAGCAGGGGCACAAGATGAAGCGAAGGAACAAAGAAATGGAACTAAATGACAATCCTCAGCATCGCAAGGCCTCTCCTGGCTCTGGGGGAGCTCGGGAAGATAGCAGCACACGCTGTGGAGGAGGGTGGGGGTGGGGGGAAGGCAAGTCCCATGGAAGGACGGGGAATCCTTTACTCTAATTTCTCCAGCTGCATTTTGTTCCGTTTATCTGCAGAAAAAGAAAGAAAAAAAAGAAAAAAAAAGTTTCCTTTAATTTGGTGGAGGGACCCATGTTGACGCATCTTTCAGGCATTATCCTTGTAATTTCTGTCTTTTCTCTTACAACTTTGCCCCAGGGTCACAGTGGCTTGATTGAACACTCACATGTGTATCCTGGCCCCTGTCTGCTTTCTTGGTTATTTCACAAAGCTGGTCACACAGTGGTTTATTCAAAGGAAGGGGAGGAAGACAGTGGTTTGATAAGCTGCAGGATAAATTTTAGGAATCAATGAGCCCAGCAGCAGTATAATCCCCAGACAGAGGAGGCAGGATAGAAAATGGGCAAAAGCCTCGGAAACCACTTGGAAAAGGTCTGGACAATGAGGTGAAAATATTTTCTTCAGGGTTCCCAAGGCACAATTTGTTCCAAGTGGCTAATGAGAAATATGGAAGCTGAATTTTTTCCAGAGCAGAGTGCAGAGGCATAACAGAAGGGTGGGCCCTGGCAGCCATCTGGGTCTCTTCCTTCCTAACCATGGTGGCAGGTGCATCCTTCTTTGACACTGACTTTCAGCAGAGCTTACTTGGTTCATGAGGTCTTCACATGGAGACTACCAGCAAGAGGTGACTCTCTGCTGCATAACTGTAAAGGATGGCCCTTTGCTAGGTGTTACAGTTAAAAGCTAAGAAAAGGGGCAGTGCATTTAGGACCCAAACATATGCCTATGAATATCAAAAGCTCCTCCTGAAATTGCTGTGAGTTTTCCATAAAAGAATATCCTGTCTTCACCCAAGGCTTGACAGCCCACAGAGTGGTCTCATTTGAAATTACAGGAAATTAGAGCTTTTGCTTGCAGTTCTGCCTTCCTGGCCTGTGTTTAAATGCTGTCACTTGTTTATGCCAAGTTCAAGGCTGATTCAATGGTTGGTCCCCTCACCCAGAAAACCCTGAAGGGGAGGATACAGCTCTGAAGGGGGGCAGCAGTACTAAAAACCCAAGATGCCAGTGGTATAGTGGGCACAAGGGATGGCGACCATGAGGATGCCAGGCATCATCACCAATATCTATCCTAGAGCCAGTATAAGGCCAGATGCCTACTTCCCACAGCCTCCCCGGGTTCCAAAGTCATGTCATTGTTTTCAGTGGAAACATATCGTTTGTTGCATATCTTCTTAAATCCATCTTCCTTGTAAGGGCTTTAGAACTAAAACTTACTTATATTGTTTTTCCTTAACAGAGGGAGAAAAATAGTGGATTATTATTTCTAAAATAAAAGGATGTTCTGCTTTCTAAATATCCCATCAAAATCTTCAGTTTTGCACTTTTTTGATGGAAAATTCATCTTATCTTCCTATGACTTTGGTTTTAGCCTTTCTGAATTTGTTACCCCTTCTGGATGGCTTATTTGATATACTGGAATAGTTAACAAGCTATACTTCAGCATATGCACTATATTCTAACAAATTTTTTTTAATAAAATCAAGACATCAGCAAGAATGACATTTACGTGACCTCATAATGTGGGATTATGGCCTTCTGTTGCTATTCCAGTTTGATATGGAAGCATCTATATCCTCTATTGCCGTTAGATGTTGTTGCTTTTCAGAAAAGTAACGAAAAGGCTCATTTTAAAGAATCCAAGAAACGATGTCATCCAAATATTGACAGTTTCTACATTTCATGCCATCTTTATAACTCAATTGAAAGTTGCCGTCATTCTTGTGAAGTATTTGACAAGTGCAATCTGCTAGAAGCTCGTTTTTCTTGTGACTCCCAAATGTTAGTGCTACTTAGCCTCAGTAATGAGTTACAGTTGAAAAAAACATGAGGGAAACAGAGGGACAGAGATTTTCTAATGAACAATGATGGAAGAGACCTAATGTCCTTGCTAGAAACAGCCAGGATGGAAATTATCCAGCCCTGGCATTCTCCTTATCATCAATGACAGTCATTTTATTCATTTATTTCAAATGTGGGTGGGCTAGAAGTGGAAGGAGGGAATTCTCTCTGCCTAAAAATTCTAGAAGAATGAAAGTAATCTTTGTATCCAGGAAACTAAGAGAATGAGGAATAAATATCTTCAGCCCGACTCCTGAATTTGTTTATTCTTCCATCTATAATTAGATTGTGTTTTCATTTTTGCTTTGTCATGCTTTTTGGTTGTTATTTGGCTATACAGTTTTATGCTTTAAAACAAATGATAAAGTTAATTTCCAATTCAATAGTGAAATATTAACAATCTAACTATAGCCAGATCAAAGACACCTGAACACAGAAAACCTTTATTTGCTGGTGCTGCCATTGCACAGGCTGTACAATGAAATAGATTTGAAAAGCTGATTGATTTTCCCGCACATAAATTCTGGATGTCAATTTCCAACCAAACTCCAATACAGCTATGTGGCATGAAGAGTTACAGGAGGGAGGGAGGAAAATAGCCCTATGTTAGTCATGTTTGCATACAGAGGATCAAAGTAGGCCTTCACCATAATAGTTCTAATTAAAATGGTCCTCGCTGTAGGAGAGACAAAGGGGCTTTTCCTCTAGCTGGTAACTATTCAGATGATGGACAAGTCTTCTTTCATAAAAGATTACAAAGAAGGCATCCGAATCACTGTCTGTGATACTGGGTCACATATTAATCACTGCAGCTAATTGTAAATCTTTCTATGAAACACTGAAAAGCCTCTTTGTGAATTAATACAGTTCTGCTTGATGCACTTGATTTGAAAAGACATTTCTCTGTATGTGGCGCATGTCGGCTTTGCTTTGAAAAATAACAAAGTTAGCAGAATATGTTCAATATATTTTCTTGGGGAATAGGGTTTTTATTACATGATTCATTAAGGATTTGCCTTACCCTGACATTTGTGATATAAAGGAAAATCAGAAAAAAAGTAATTTTCTTGATCAAGATATGTTTTTACTTAATGCAAATAAATGTAGTCTGTTGCTTGCAAGGAAAAAAAAATGGCTTCTGATATCTGGTATAAACTGCTAAATAGGATAATACGTGCCTCTTTTGTTAAACCGGCATTTAAATGCTGGACTGCTTCTAAATCTGTTTGTTTCTTTTCATCTGTGCCATACACTAAAAAACAACTGTTGCCTTCATACTATATTTGTTAGAGCAGAATACAAATAAAATTTGTTTGAGAGGATAATGTGAAATTATCTGTGTTTTGTGAAATTTGTTCTTTAGCCACAAGCAATGAGTAACTAAAACTACTCACTTAATACTATTTGACTGCAAATATATATATTTAAAATTATTCCTGTAAGTCAGCTTTAACTTACTGATAGTTTTCCCTTACTAAGACTGGTCAGCGTGTTGGCCGTGTTTTTCAAATTTTAAACTATAGAGTAGTTTTGTATAGCTGCAAATCCCAGTGTCTAAATTTTCTCTGAATACTAGATAATTACTTACCCTAGCATCAGCCTCTGAAATGCAAGTTATAAGTTGTTGAGATAAAGCCAACGGTCCTGTGAACATTGGTCTATCTTTCAGAACCCATGACCATGGCTGGAATTTTTAGTGAGCACCTTTTATGATACAGTCACTACGCTGACACTACAATCATGGCAGCAGTGATTCTCGGTCTACTGTTGGTGGAATTGACAGAATTACGGAATTGTTAAGAGCTTAGCAGTAGGCCACCAAAAAATCGCTACAGGAAAAACTCAGTGTTCTTTTGAAAATGGAATACGCTTGCCACCAAATTTAGCTCCCTTCATCTCCTACAGAAGGTATCAGCATTATTATTTGAGGAGGCAATACAGAAAGCCAACCCCTTTGTCAAACAAAGCCAGATACTTAATAGTTTAAGGATAATAAGGTTTTCCAAACTGCTGTACCACTGAAGTGTTTTTCCCATAATAAACAAGGTTGGATGAGACAAAAATTATAGATAGGACAGTCTTATGCTGCAATGGGCAACCGCAACACAAATGCTTCAGAATAGCAGTGAAGATAACGTGAAATGGCCAGGTGCAGTAGCTCACGCCTGTAATCCCAGCACTTTGGGGGGCCGAGGCAGGCGGATCACCTGAGGTCAGGAGTTTGAGACCAGCCTAGCCAACATGGTGAAACCCCATCTCTACTAAAAATACAAAAATCAGCCAGGCATGGTGGCAGGTGCCTGTAATCCCAGCTACTCGGGAGAATCGCTTGAACCCAGGAGATGAAGGTTGCAGTGAGCTGAGATCATGCCACTGCACTCCAGCCTGGGTGACAGAGAGAGACTCCATCTCAAAAACCAAACCAAACAAAAAAAAAAAAAAAAGAAAAAAAAACATAATGTGACATGAATCTAGCCCTGCTAGATGCAGTTTTTCATCTCTAACCAATTTTCATATCTTGGCCTGGCCCTCTTGTGTTTCTCCCCCAACATTCCCAACATTTCTGCCCCTGTGCCTTGCATTGACCAAAGGTGCCAACAAAGATTGCTTAAGTGTACTGGTGGTTCTCGGGGCTGAAAGGGGTAATGGTATCAATTTAAGTTGTTCTCGCCAAGACTGGCCCAGCTGTGGGGTTTTGAGAACGAAACTGCCTCAGTTTCTTTGTTTAGAAGATGTAAATACTAATACGTGCCTGAACTCTCTTACAAATGTAAACATGAATAAAATGCCAAAATATGATACTTTAACGTTTGGAAAAGCACTTGGTAAATTATTAGCATCAGATTATGCTATTTGGTGCTGTTGGCAAATGGTCCTTTCTCTAGCTGAGGCTGCTCCACCAAAAGAAGAAATGATTTTTACAATTAGTAAATATGAAATTTTATTCTACTGAAGTTGATTTAAACTTTGCCCTCAAATTAAGGACCCGTGAGGTTAAGAGAAATTGTTTTGCTATAATTTAGAGAAGTGGGAAATTTGAGGTCTTAAAATTAAAACATCTACACACTGACAAAAATACTGATGGCGTGAATTTTTAAAGTCATCTTTTCTCTGATAATAACCAGCGTATCTGTAAAGAAAAAAGGCAGTACACTTCTCTCTACTTCTTGGTTCACATGTATAGAAGGACATAGATTTGCAAGGAGATAACTATACCAATATGCACTTCCCTTCCCCAGGGAGGATTATACTTCCTCATCTTACTGAAATTGGATATGGCTGTGTAATTTCCTTTGTTCAATATATAGGCAGAAATGGCATGTGTCACATCAGGCAGAAGCATGAAGACTCACGCTCTATTCTTTCCCCATGGTAATAACCAGCAATATCCCAGACAGGCTGACCTGTCACCATAGATCCGGGAGTGAAGACATAGTGGAGTTTCAGGCAACCCCAGTGAGAAGGTGTCATGACTGAGAAATCAAACTGTGTTTTGAAATTTGGGGGTCATTTGTTACCCTATGGTAACCTGTCCTATACTAACTGATACATAGGCCATCAACATTTAAGTAAAAACGGTAAGAATCTAAATTATCCTCTTTTCCAACCTCTTCTTTGGTGACTCTCAACTTGGTTTAAGATGCTGCCAGCATATTGGCCTTCTGTCCACTGCTACAACACGCCAGGTTCCTTCCATCCTTAAGGCCTCTAAACTTGAAAGCTCTTTCTTCCCATTCTCATGGGTCTGGTACCTTGTCATCCCTGAGATCTCAGCTGTAATGTCACTTTCTAGACATGCCGTCCCTAATGGCCCAGTTGAAAATAGATCCCTTTTCCCTACTTGTGTTTGCCTATCTAACTCCTGTTTGCTACTTCAGAACACCTACAATAATTTTGTAATTGTTTATTTGTTTATAGGGCAGAGATAAAAATTATATGTCACAACTCAGATGTATAAAATAACGTAGCTGCTCTCCAACCCCTGACACCCCCACCAAAAAACAAACAAACAAACAAACAAAAAAAAACCCAAGCTTATCTTGTTTCCAAGCTCTATTCAAATGGTCACAGGGGATTGTGGTAAAATAATTTAAATTTGTCAAGTAAAGTTATCTAGTCATTTCCAGTATAAAATGCTTTGGAATAAAGATTTGGTCAGATTCAAGGTTTAAACTCCACACTAATGCTATTTCTTGCCACCTAAATTTTGTGCCCTTCTCATAGATAAAGGCCTTTCTTTCTTTCTTTCTTTCTTCTTTCTCTCTTTCTTTCTCTTTCTTTCTTTCTTTCTTTCTTTCTTTCTTTCTTTCTTTCTTTCTTTTTCTTTCTTTCTTTCTCTTATTTCCTTTCTTTCTTTCTTTTTTTTTTTTGATACAGAGACTTGCTCTGTTGCCCGGGCTGGAGTCCAGTGGTGTGATCTCAACTCACTGCAACCTCTGCCTCCCAGGTTCAAGTGATTTGCCTGCCTCAGCCTCCTGAGTAGCTGAGTTTACAAGTGCCCGCCACCACATCCAGCTAATTTTTGTATTTTTAGTAGAGATGGGCTTTCACCACGTTGGCCAGGCTGGTCTAGAAGTCCTGACCTCGTGATCCACTCGCCTCGGCCTCCCAAAGTGCTGGGATTACAGGCTTGAGCCACCACGCCCTGCCAAGGCCTTATTTTTTAATCACCATGCAATAAAACTGCCAATAAATATTAAAATAGTAGTTACTATAATATTTTAAAAGTAATTCTCTAAATGTTTTCTCAAAGAGGGTATCAAGAATAAAATGATGTATTATTTAGAAAGTAACAAAACCAAGAACACTGCTACGGTCTGAATGTTGGTGACCCCCACCCTGCCTCAAAATTTATATGTTGGAACCTAATAAATACCCATGTGATACTACTATGAGGTGGGACCTATAAGAAGTGATTAAGTCTTGAGGGCTCTCCTTTCACGAATGGAATTAGTGTCCTTATAAAAGAGATAGAGAGGAACCGCCTTGCCCCTGGTGCCATGTGAGAACACAGCAACAAAGTGCCATCTAGGAAGCAAAGAGCCCTCACCAGGCGGACAACCTGCTAGCACCTTGATTTTGGACTTCCAGCCTCCAGAACTGTGAGTAATAAATTTCTGTTGCTGGCATATTACCCAGTCTAAGGTTCCTTGTTACAGTAGCCTGAACAAACTACAACAAACACTATTAAAAACGTGAGATGAATCCAAAGCACTATTTAGAAGAAAATTTAGTTTTAAATGCTCTAATTGTGTATTACAGCATTTTTTGCATTAAAAATAAAAAAGAAAATAGTATTAAAAGCATTCAAATTAAGATTTTCGAAACAAAAAAAATCCAAAGAAAATGAGGATTTTATATATATGTATACACACACATATATGTACATAAAACTGAGAAATTTTAAAAGCAGTAAACTATTAAAATCAAACTAAATCTGGGTTCTTTGAAAGTCAATTGAAATAGATAAATAATCTGTAACTCTTATGAGTAATTTTTAAAGGATAGCAACATAGAAATTAAATTTTGAGGATGATAATATTAAATTTTATGCATAACTAACCAATAACAAGTCAAAGAAATTGGAGATTTTTTAAGATAAAATTTACCAAGATCAATATAACATGAGGCAGAAAATCCACAAAAAATTTCATAGCAGAAATGAGAAAAGATATCAAAAAGCCACCCAGGCTAACTATATCTATCTATCTACCCATATATCAATTGATCGTTCAATCGATCAATCTAGCTAAGAATTATGTGCCAATTGTCAAAAACTTAAGAACAATCACAGATAATATGCTTGATTTGTTTCCATTTCATATTATTTTATAATTGAATCATACTGTATATCATTTATGTATACTACTTTTTCACATGGTTGTACCACAAACATTTTCTTGTCAATTAAGGATTTTCCCAAGTCATTTAAAAATATTTCCTCATATGGCTGTAATTTTTACTTCCACTTCCCTATTCTGTGATACTTAGTTTCCTTGATTTTTTTTTTTTATTTTGAATGAAATGACGAATAACACTTTTGGTCACAAATTTTTGTTTACATCAGGGTATATTTCCAAAAGGGGATTTTCAGGGTTCACAAACACTTGATATTTATTATCGAATTACTTTGCAAAGTCAAACTGCTAGCAATTAAACGTGAGAATTTCCATTTTGTAGAACACTCACTGGCCTTGAGGGGCCTATAAATATGGACATTAAAACATGTCAGCATGAGAAACGTTTGTCATTATTATTTAGCATTTTTTGTTTACTAAGGTGGGTAAACAAATTTCTATCTGCTATTTTTATTTCCTGATTAAGGAATTAGTCTGTTCATGTTCTTTGGTCATTTGTCAGTTGAGATTTTAAATTTTCATTGATATTCATGTGCACTTTATATACTGAGACTATTATCTTTTTGTCATATTTCCTGCATATAATTTTCTACTTGTGCTTTGCTTTATAATTTTGATTGTGATATTTTCTGACACACAGCCTTCTTTTTATGTTTGTACACAATCAAGTCTCTCCCTTTGTGCTGGCTTTCATCACTTTTGGAGTTGACATTGATGGTTTTTGACTACTAATCATCCAGTCCTGCTGCTTCTGGGGATGAAGCCCTTCAGCCTAGGAGAAAACTCTTCTTATGCAATTTCTGGAGCTGTCCTTCCACTCCTACTCTCTGTCCAGACAGGCACACATAGGACCCAGGCTGGACAATCACAGGACTTTATCTCCCTGTTTTCAGTGACTGATTAGAGAGAACATGTGACCGAAACTGCGCCCCTCGATGTCTTCCCCAACACTTTGATTTGGGGAGCCTTTGTTCTGACTCAGGAATGTGAGCCATTGAACTCCCCTTTTAAGCAAGTTTGAGTTAGGTTTCTGTCTCATGTGACTGAATGGCTCTCCAAATCTCCCAAAGAACAAAAGTCTTACAGTGTCTTACGGGCTCCCTGTGATGTCATGGTGCCCTCCTCCCTCATACCTCTACAAACTCATCCTCTGCTATTCTCCCCTATGGGCTTCTCTACTCCAGCCACAGTGACCTCCTGAAATATGCCAGGCACATTTCTTGCCTTAAAGCTTTGCACTAGCCCTTCTAGAATTTTCCTCTTGTATATATGCATATACATATATGGCTACTTTGCTTACCTCCTTGGAGTCTTCTCAAAGCTTTCTCAGTGAGATCTGCCATCACCACCCTCTTTAATTCTGCAAACAACCCCCAACTGAGGCCGTCCTCACTGGCTCTACTTTTTTCCTTTTCCATGGCACTTACATAATTTACCTATTATTAAATTCATTTCAAAGAAAACCGTATTGAAAATCTCCCACTGCTTGATGAGGAAAAGGTAGTCCCTATGAGGACAGAGATTTTTATCTGTTTTGCTCGCTGAAGCACCAGAACAGTCCCTGAAACATATTAGGTTCCCATTTAGTGTTTACTGAATAAATGAAAGAATTCCACTGACTACTGTGTTCTGGGAAACACTTGGCAAAACCCCTTTTATGAGACTGGTGACCCCTGGCTAAGGTCTCTTGCTTTTCTCTTTGGAGAAAAATGTAGAGGAGAGATGAAATTCAACTCTGATTATTATGGAAGTTAATAGGAGGCTCTGCACCCTGTCCCAGAAGAAAAATATTAATAAAGAATGATGAAAGAGCAAGCAATGTTTGCAATATTATTGCAAAAACTCCCTTTTGGTTCATAAATTATGCCTACTCCATATTTAATTCAAAAAAGGGGGAATCTGTTCATTGATCCTTCCTCAAACTGAGCAAGGGATTGGATTTTGTTTTGATGTTACCACGTTCCATCTTTTTATCTGAGAGTTGATGATGACAAGAACTGTTTAGCTAGGGTTGGCCAGGCTACCTTGGGAAGACAATGACATCTCTATGGCTGAACACAATGAAGGTTGACTTGCAACACACTCCTTGTGAGTTGAGCAGCTTTCCTACAGGCTTCCATCCTGTGGTGCTGTTACCTTCAATGTGTGGCCTTCAAGGTCACCATGGAACAAGAAGAGAGAATGGAGATTGTTATCAGCCAGATACAGGAAACATTGTACATCTCCACTGCCCACATTTCACTGGTCATAACTCAGTCAACTGGCCCAACTTGATCTCCTGGAAAATGCAGTTTGCCCAAGCACCTAGGAAAACACATATGTTTGGTTATTACCTAGCATTGCGTCTACCTTCCCTCCTTTGAGTCATAGCTGTGGGCTGTGGACCAGCCCTCAATTTTCATTCCCCAAGACCATGTCAGCCACAGTGGCTTAGGGAAGAAGTACCACCTGGATATCTTAGATGCTCGTAGCAATCTCACACTGGGCAAAGAGCTTAATAGTAGAGTGGAAAAACCTGAATGGTGCTGTATGTTGCCTCGGACAGAAAGTTGAGGATGTAGTAAGATAAGCTTTTGCCTGGCCTTGTTGTCCTAGAACTGACTTTTTATTTGTTCTTAAGAACACCAAAAGAAAACATGGTCCAGGGGAGGTGTGTGTGTCTAATTTTTCTAAGTCCTAAAATGTGCAGATTTTGAACTTCAAAAGTCTTTCCCTGTCCAGAGATAGGCAAATGTTCCACCAGATATTCACCTATATTTTCCTTTATTGTTTAGAAATTCTTTGTGTTTGGGTGTGTGATTCCATTTTTTACACCTATATCTTTAAGGCACTTTGAATTTATTTCAGTAGTTGATATTTAGAAGGGAATGACTTGGTTGAGTAGCTTTAAAACTAATCCTAGCACCGGCTGGGTGCAGTGGCTCACACCTGTAATCCTAGCAATTTGGGAGGCCGAGATGGGCGGATCACCTGAGGTCAGGAGTTCAAGATCGGCCTGACCAATATGGTGAAACCCCATCTCTACTAAAAATACAAAAAATTATCCAGGTGTGGTGGCTCATGCCTGTAGTCCCAGCTACTCAGGAGGCTAAGGCAGGAGAATCATTTGAACCTAGGAGGTGGAGGTTGCAATGAGCAGAGATCACACCACTGTACTCCAGCCTGGGCCACAGAGCAAGACTTCTCAAAAAAAAAAAAAAAAAAAAAAAAAACCAACCAAACAAACAAAAAACTAGTTCTAGCACTAATTATGAAATAATACATCCAGATCTTTTTGCTCCAAGTTTATTTCTTTAACTTATACTTATTTTACATTTATACAAGGATCTATTTTCTTGGCAACATCTTCCTTTGGTTTCTCTAGTGCTATTCTGTTTTAATTAGTGTAATTTTAGAATATGTGCTGATGTTTATTAAGGCAAACTCAATACCTACTCTTCTTTGCTTTCAAATGTTCTTGGCTATCACTTATTGTTTAGTGGTCCAGACAAATCTTAAATTAACCTAATCACCTTTCCCTCCTACAGTCCCCGTTTTCTAATTCTCCCTCTCTCAGTATCCTCAGAAAAATGAATAAACCAGTCAGTTTAGCCAGCCCATGCTTAGTTTAAAGTGGGATGGCATCTGTTATAAATGCAGCTTCCTGAGATGTTCCAGAGAACAACATTTCTGTTCATCTCTGGTCTACTGACAAGGCTGGGCTGTGGTATGAATAATGATTGGTTTCTGAATATTCTGTTACAAAGCCTTTTCCTGACTGTCTTGGCCTCTGGTCTCATCAATCTCGTCTAAGCCGTTTGGTTCTGCATAGTGAGTCAGGAGGCAAAAGCTAGGTAAATATCACTGTGTCTTGAGTGATCACCCTCTTTAAGTAACCATCCGCTTTGTAAACAAATGCTGAAGGACTCAGCCGAGCTGGTCTACAGGACTCTCAATCTGCAGGCACGGGAATACAGCATTTGGTTACACAGGGCATAGATCTCGGTTATTCTTGAAGAAAACTGAAACAAGTTCAGCCTAGACTCGTTAGCAGCCTGGCCTTGCAAAGACTTACACACTGCAACCTCAGAGATGCTGAGCCTCTTTAAATGATCCAGGCCAGGGGGTAAAAAGTACTGTTTTTTTTTTTTTTTTAGTTTTTGGTGAACAGAAAGCATCATAATTATAGACAGAGAATGTATAAATAGCTAATGTGAAATAGCTCTTTTCATTGTTTAAATAGCTTCATATATAATTCATTTAATCTTAACAAAAATGATGTAGGTACTATGATTATCCCACTATACAGATAAGCAAACTGAGACACCAAGAGACAAAGTAATTTGCAACAAGCCCACCCAGCCAGTAAGCAGCAGGGATGTCATTTGAACAGGAAGTTTGGAGCCAAAGATTACTATCCTAACCACTATACTAAAGGCTCTCAAACTTGGGTCAGCATCAGAATCACCTAGAGGCCTTGATCAATCACAGATCCTGGACCCCAACCTAGAGTTTCTCATTCAGGAGGTCATGGGTAAAAAGCTGGGATTTTGCACTTCTAACAACTTCCAGGTGCTGCCACTTCTGCTGCTGCCCAGGGACCACACTGCGAACCACTGAAATGGTTGGCAGGTGTGGTCCCATGAAGGCGAAGCAGGATGAACAGACCGGGACAATGACTAAGCCCTGCAGCTAACTCTCAGTCTCTAAAATCAGAATATCTGTATTCTCCTAGTCCCTAAAGCAACCCAAAGCTGGCATTGCCTGCATGGTGCCAGCTTCCTCTTATTTCCATTAGGTTTATAGGCAGCTATCAAAATAGGAGACAGTATTAAGACCACTGGCTGCAGCATCAAAACATCTGGGTTTAAATCTCAGCTCCATAGTTTACCAGCTGACTTAACCTCTCCAAGACTCTGCTGTCACATCTCTAAAATACTGATGATCATTATTTATCACTTACGATTTTAATAAAGGTAAATTTTATACACACACACATTGCTTAGCATACAGAAAAAATGATGGTTAATTATTTTTATGAGAAAGAGGTATCTGATTCCCTTCCTTCCTCTCAAATACCAGCAGAGGTATTTATCTTTGAGAAGGCACTGCAGAAAGACTTGTCAGGGTCACGTGGGGCACTCAAACTTTCTTTACAGCTATAACTGTGACAAGGATAAAAGAGAAAATACACATACTTGACAACCTGCTCCCACCCGATCCTCATCTCTGAGGCCATTTTACTGTGTGCAGAAGAAACAGAGGAATTGGAAAAATGGGAAGTCCCCAAAGGAGGCGTGCAATTAACACAAAGGGAAGCCGGGCAACTGGTAAAAAAGAGAGATCACTTGAAATCATTTTAGTCAGCGTTATGAATGAAATATCCTCTCCAGCAATTATTGAACTTTAAAAAATTCCTTCTAGCTACAATTTCTTTCATTTATTTAACAAATATATATTGAGTCCCTGTTTTGTATCAGCCACTCCCCTGGGTTCTGGAGATGTAGGGATAAACAAAACAGGCTGATTCCCTCCACATGGAGCAGGGGAGGGTGATGTGAGGATGTAGGGGAGGAATTGAGCCAGACCAGGGGGTAAAGACCTGAAAGAAACGGGGATATAGCAGCATGGTCTCCTGAAAGAGGAGCATCTGGCAGTGGCAACTGCAAGAGCAAATACCTGGAGGCTGACTCGTGCCCACTTCCCAGAACTGCCGGGTGAGTGAGTGGGAAGTGGTGAGGACAGAGGGGTAGAGCAGAGACCACCTCCCATCATGGAAAGCCTTGTAGGAAGATAGGTTGCCACTCACAGGATTTTAAACGGAGGAGAAAAATGATCCAACTTTGAAAGTGACTCCATGTCAGTGTTGCATGAGGGAGCTGGGCTGACATTAATTGAGGTCTCTAATTTGGGACCTGGATATAGAGGTGGAAAGAGAGAAAAAGAGAATAAAAAACAGAGGTGCAGGAAAAAGACCTGGGGAGGGACCAAACCCGAGATGAATCCAGGTTCTGTCGACCGTTACTCTCTTCTCCAGCCTCTACCACAGTTTTCACATGACCCTAAAGGGTAATTTGCTAAGTATAATGGCCTCGTCCCCACTACATTGGATCAGAGTCCTCAATCTTAACTGCACATTACAATCATCCAGGGAGTTTTCGATTCTATTCTGCCCAAAAGCAAATTAAAGGACATTCTACAAAATCAACGACCAGTACTCTTACAAGGTGTCAAAGTCATGAAAGACAAAGATTGCAGAACTGTCCCAGATTAAAGGAGGAGAACAAGACAGGACAACTAAATGCAATGTGAGATGCTGGCAAAAAGCATGAGTGCAGCAATTGGCAAAATCTGAATAAGCTCTGTGGAACACGTCACTACATGCAATGTGGTTTTTTATTTTGATTATAGAACTGTGGCTATGCACATTATGAACACATGGGAAAGCTGGGTGAAGGATGCATAGTAATTCTTTGTACTCCTTTGTATCTTTTCTGAAAGTCTAAATTATTTCACAATAAAATGTGAAAAAAATACCACTGCTCAGGCCACACTCCAGACCCAATACATCAAGAGATTGAGGTCTGAGGTACAGGCACTTTTAAAAAGCTCTCTAGATGATTCTGAAGTGCAACCATGTTTGAAAATCACCATCTTAAAGTTTTAAAGCTTTCAGGGGGCTTTGCCTGAAAGTTTTCTTCTGCCCAGGGCAAAATGTCCGTGGGGCACACCAAGGCCCTCTCTTCTGTTGCTGTGTCAGCTCCTCCCAGTTTGCCTCCCTAGGCCCAAAAGGAACCTCTTGTAGGTAGCATCAGATATGAGGCCAGAAGGAGGGGGAATGTAATCATGCAGTCACAAGAGATGCATCCTTTGAGACTCTAGCGGAATCTGAGTCTTCCTCCTGGAGGAGATCTGCACTAAGCTAGCTAGCTATAGTTCCCAAGTCCTTCTCTGCCTCTTTGGGAAACGGAGAGAGATCAGAGGGTCTCTTAAAATCACCTCCAGCCTTGGACCAGTGTTCACCTCCACTGTCGGCTTTGGGATGTTTCTTTTTCCAACAATTTTATCTTATTGCTACAGAGTAGGATGCTCCCTTCCCTGTAGAAATTGGGAAATGCTAAATACCTATGTCTCCCAGGAAATTCAGCTGTAAGAAAATGAGGCTTAATCTGTTTTGATTAACAAGGAGGCAGCAAAAGGCTGACCATGCACTGGAGGATGCAGGAGGAAAAACAAAAGAGAGGTAGAAATGTGCCCAGAAAAGCAAAGGGAAAAATCAGGGAAGGTTAAGCAACAGAAAAAGATCTCTGGATTCCGATTCAATTTTAGTGATTGCAAAAACAAGGCTCTTGGCTATTTGCATATAAATGTGCTGGGGGCAGGGGAGCCACAGTACTCAGCTGTGCATTCTAACTTTCTCCTTAAAAATCTGTTCCCAAAGCAGCTGCAGAAATCAGCTGCAAATTCCAAATCTAAAAATGAAAGTCACATGGTTGAACTTGGGAGGAGGAGAGGAGAGGAGGGAGGAAGGGCACCACATGATGCTCCAATTAACCCATTGGGGCCTGGAGCCCATATGCATTGCCTGGGAGCTTTAAACACCCAGATAATTAAGCTGCACCCTAGAGCAATTAAATCAGAATCTCTGGGGGTTGGGTCCAGGCATCAGCGTGTCTGGAAATTTCCCAGGCAATTTGAATCAACAACCTTAATTGACTCTAGAGCAGGGGTCAGTCTGCAAACTGTTTCTGCAAAAAGCCAGGTAAGTAAATATGTTAGGCTTTGTGGGCTTTTCAGCCTCTGTTGCAACCACTCAACTCTGCCATTGTTCAGCCATAGATAACACTAGTGGATGTGGCTTAGGCAATGCATGTATTTATAAAAATAGTTTGCAGCCCCTACGCTAGGCCCTTGTTATCCAAAGTGTGGTCCTTGGACTGGCAGCAACAACATTTCATGGGAGCTTGTTAGAAATAACTAAGCTCCAAACCCACCCCAGAACTCTCCTGAGTCAGTCTGTTTTTAACAAGGTGCCAAGATGACCACAGCACATTGAGGTCAGAGAAGCAGCCATAAGGTGAGTGACACTGAGAGGTGACCAGCTGTGGGAACCCCAGAGAGCTTGGCTGTCTTGGAGCACCAATTCCTTTGTCTATAAAACTATCCTTAGTACTCCGGGTGGTCCATGTATTTAAGGGGTATTTTACCTGTATAAGGACTTTGAAAGGTACAAAGTACTGCAGGAATGTGAATTGTTGATAATGGCAGCAAAGGCCCTGGCTTCTCACCAGTGAGGGAACTGTCCCTTAAGCAGGTGCTCCGTCATCACTCAGGACAAGGCTGGGAAGGCCTGGCCAGCACAGGCTCTCATCTCAGAGGCCAAGACACTTAAAGGCCAGTCTCTGCCAAGCCCACCATTCACAGCCTCACAACTGCAGAGCCCAGGGGCAATGATTGTGAGTTTAAAGAACTCAGCCTTGGAAAAGGCTGGTGAGGCTGAATGCCACCAACCTGATTTAGTCACTCTAACATGTGGCTTCTATCCCCACCCCATGCAGGGAGGTGGCCTGCTAGCTATCGCATCCCAGTGCATGGCACAGGATCAGAGCTCAAAAATTATTACTGAGTAAATAGACACAGAGGATCAGATGCTGAATGTTTGGTGGCATCAGTCTTTAGGTCCGGAGTATCTGTAATTGACTAGTGACCTTCATATATCAGCATGCAGAAGGGGCCGGAGGTTTTTATTTGTTCCAAATGAAGTGTCTCTAGTTCCTTTGTTGTACAAAACTCTGACAAATGACAACAGAAGCTCTTTTCTTTTTTTTAATCTGTTGCTAGGGGCAGATGGCCTGAGGGTCTGTGTCCTGGCCCATAAGGGTTAATGGGACTTCCAAAGGCGCTTCAAGTACATTGTGTTTTCCTGAAAGCCTGGGCTGAGGCATTGAGAAGGAAGGTAATGAACTGAGGAGCTCTCTCCAAGTGCCCGTCTGCAGGTCAGCTGGGACTAGCCTGTTGTCAGAGGATGTTTGCCATGTCCTAGAAAAATGCTCTCCCTGCAAAGTCCTGCCAGTGATTAGAGCATGAAGGAAGTGTGTACACACCGCTTCATAAACCCTTGCACCTGCCTCTGAGGTGTCTCTGTGGAATGCAGTTTTGACACATCTTGTGTAGTGGACTTGGAGAGAAGGCACGAGGGGACATTACAAAGCACTTGAGGTCTGGGATGATGCCCTGGACCCTGGACATCCGCAGCCAGAGGAGCTAATGTGGTATAGAGAACTATTCCTCAAATCTATTGTGCAGATGCTTCACCTGGGAATCCTATTAGACTCCAGTCCCCGAGGCTGGGCTGAGAGTCTGCATCGCTAATAAGCACCAGGTGCTGCTGCTCTGTGGCTCACCCTTGGAGTAGCCCAGGCATAGACTTGTCATTACAATATCTGGACTAGTTCTCTTCCTCAGACTTCCCCCAAAACATAGGGTGTAGCAGGTGTATCTTCCAAAGATATCTCTGTCCTCACAATGTGACTTTGACTCTCCTCCCATTGCAAGGTAGGGCCTGCATGCCCTCTTTTTAAATTAGGCTGGGCTTCCAATACCAAGAAGTAATACTGTGACTTCTAAGGGTAAGTCATAAAACGTGAGGCAGTTTCCTCATGGTTCTCTTGGGACCCAGCCACCATATTGGGAGGAAGCCCAAGCATCATCCGTGGAGAGGCCATGGGGGCCATTTGCCCCTTGGCCCTGCAGAGCTCTCAGCTGACAGCCAGCGTCAACCTACCAGCCACATAAGTGAGCTGTATGTCTAAAAACTCCCCAGATCCATCTTGGAAGGGGATTCTCTGTCTCCCATCAGGTTGCACCAACTGAAAGTATATGGAGTAGCAATGTACCCACTGATCCCTGCCCAAATGGCAGGTTTATGAGCAAAAGAAATGATCCTTATTCCTTTTAACCTCAAAGTTTGGGGGTATTTTTAAATGCAACCATAGTGTTTAAAACATAGCTTTAACTACTCCCTGGGTCTTCTTTTCACTCTGTATTTTCTTTTTGTACAATCTGACCACTCCCACTATTTAAATTATTATCTGCTTGGACCCCCCACCCCGTCAAGCTACAGAGCTGTATATCTAATTGCCCACCAGATATTCCCAATATACACAAATCTTTCTCACCTCCTCCATCCTCTTCCCCCCTCCACTCCCAAACACCTTCCTCCAAGTTTATTTGGTGCTGCCATCAATTTGGTTAATTAAGCCAACATTTCCTGACCCCAACTCCATCAGGTTGGTATTGCCATCAGATTGACACTCTGGTTTCTGTTCATCGCATTGCCTTCTCATGGATGTTCACTACCTGGGCTTATACACTCACTGTCTCCATCCTGAGATGTTCCAATTATTCCTGGGTGCATCTATCATTTCTTAGACACACAGTCACTATCCTCCAGGCTATTACCTCAGTGACCTTAGCTCTCCCATTCACTGACTCCCTGTTGTTTTGAGAATGAAGTCTAAGAATTGCATGGAATACCTCTCCTTCGTGGCTTGGTTCTAGCCTATTGATCATATCTAGTGCCCAGCAGTAACTGCCTTGCTCTGAGTTGATGCCTTCGCAGTCTCAAGCTTCATAGTCCCCTAGATGCACCCTGCCCATTCATCTGTGTATATCTTTGTACATATTTTCTCTGGCTAAAATTGTGCTTCTCATGAGTCCTCCCATTTGACTTGTCCTTCTAAACCCAACTCAGACACCACCTTGACCATGAAGCCCTTTCTAACCCTGGGTCCTCTCTCTCGTTATGTCTGTACACAGTTCTGTTGTTTGCCCATATTTTACTGCAGCTCGTCTATTTACTTGACTCTCTTTGCTTCTAGACTAGTGCTTCTCAGACCAATAGTATCAGCATTATCTTGGAAATCTGTACACCGTTCTGCTGTTTGCCCCCATTTTACTGCAGCTCACCTATTTACTTGCCTCTCTTTGCTTCTAGACTAGTGCTTCTCAGACCAACATCATCAACATCATCTGGGAAATTTTTAGAAAAGCAAACTCCCAGGCCCTGCCTCAGACCTACTGAATCAGATGTTCTGGGGTTGGGGCCCAATAACATGTGTTTTGACAAGCTCTCCAGGAAAGTCTGGTGCACACTGAGATATCAGAACCACTATCCTGGATCAGTTGGATGGAAATTAGAATCACCTGGCAAGTTTTCAAAAATCCCACTCCAACTAAGCTGGAGTTGCTGGGTTTGGGACCCAGGTCTCAGTATTTTTAAAGCTCCCAGTAAATTCCAATGTGTAATCACGGTTGAGAACCTTGCTGTTAGATCGTTTCTTCTGAAAGTGTAATCTCCAGACCAGCAGCTTAAATAAGCATCAGCTGAGAACTTGTTAGACCCACAGACTTGCAGATTCCATCCCAGCCATACTGAATTAGAACCTGCGCTTTAACAAGATTCCCAGGTGATTTGACTGCCTGTTGACATTTGAGAAGCATAGTCTTGTACACCTCTGTATACCAGCCCCTAGCAAAGAGCTTGGAACATAACAGCCGCTTGATAAATTCTAGAGAAATTTTAATAACAATGTCTATTCTGATTCTCATGGTCTTGAAGAATAAGATGGAAACTTATGGTAACGTGCTTTGTAAACAGCTTTATAAATATGAGGTACTAATATTAACTGATATATGAATTCATTATGTCACTCATTCCAAATATTCAATGAATGCCTACTATTTGACAAGTATGGTTTTAGACACAGAAGATATTGTAGTAAACAGGAAAGGTCAAGACTTCAAAGTCTAGTGGGAAAGACAGATGTTAAACACTTAATTACATCACTAGTTAAAAATATACTTTTGATGAATGCCACAAAAGGGAAGTAAGCCATGTTGTGAGCACACATTGCAACCACCTCCCTGTGTCTCAGTTGAGGAGTTTTACTTCTCTGAGCTCCCTACAAGGTGCAGTGGGAATATACCAGGGAAAATCAATGATTCAAGTCAAGAGACTTAGAAAGATTTGGATATAAGACTTTGACCAAGTAAGGTTTCTTTCAAAGCAGAGTCTGAGACAAGGATGTGGGTACAGATAGCTTATGTGTGAGGAGATCTCATGAAACAGAAATGGGTGAAAGGAAAAAATGGAACCCAATAAAGGGAACATTAGTGAGAGGCTGGGGGTCAATACTATTGGGGACCCTTGGGGAAACTGGGTAAGACATACTTCATACTTCAGAGTCATCCCATGTGATGTCCAGGAAGTAGAAGCGCAT
The DNA here is from genome assembly GCF_000001405.40 of Homo sapiens. Lineage (NCBI taxonomy): Eukaryota > Metazoa > Chordata > Mammalia > Primates > Hominidae > Homo > Homo sapiens. Next base: position 16,069,984 of record NC_000020.11, read on the forward strand.
TTATCCAATGACTTCAATTCCTCATTGATTGAGGGTTCCCAGGGGACATGAACTCTCCTAAACATCCAAATTATATTTCTGAGTAGCTGAGCTACCTCACTGAAATGTGGTTCTTTTTTAAAAAAGTAATTTCAACTTTTATTTTAGGTAGGGGGTACATATGCTTGTTTGTTACCTGGGTATATTGTGTGTTGCTGAGGTTTGTGATATGATTGAACCCTTCACCCAGGTACTGAGCATAGCACACAATAGTTAGTTTTCTAACCCTTGCCCTCCCCACCTCTTCCTGCTCTTGTAGTCCCCAGTATCTATTGTTGCCATCTTTATGTCCATGAATCCCAGTGTTTAGCCCCCACTTATAAGTGAAAACATGTTATATTTTGTTTTCTGTTCCTGCATTAATTTGCGTAGGATAATGGCCTCCAGATGCATCCATGTTGCTGCAAAGGACAGGATTTCATTCTTTTTAATGGCTGCATAGTATTCCATGGTATATATGTACCACATTTTCATTATCTAATCCACTGTTGCTGGTGTCTTTTTGGGAGAATGATTTATTTTATTTTGGATATATATCTAGTAATGGGATTGCTGGGTAGAATACTAATTCTGTCTTAAACTCTTTGAGAAATCTCCAAACTGCTTTCCACAGTGTCTGAACTAACTTACCTTCTGCCAACAGTGTATAAACATTCCCTTTTCTCTGCAGCTTCACCAGCATCTGTTGTTTTCTGACTTTTTAATAGCCATTCTGACTGGTGTGAGATGGTATCTCACTATGGTTTTGACTTACATTTCTCTAATGATTAGTGATGTTGGGTTTTTTTTTCATATGCTTATGGACACTTATTTGTTTTATTTTGAGAAGTGTTCATTCATGTAATTTTTAATGGGGTTATTTGTTTTTCACCTGCTCAATTCCCTATAGATACTGCATATTAGACCTTTGTGAGATGCACAGTTGGTGAATATTTTCTCTCATTCTGTAGGTTGTCTGTTTACTCTGTTGATAGTTTCTTTTGCCATGCAGAAGCTCTTTATCTTAATTAGGTCCCACTTGTCAGTTTTTGTTTTTGTTGCAGTTGGTTTTGGGGACTTAGTCATAAATTCTTTCCCAAGGCTGATGTTCAGAATGGTGTTTCCCAGGTTTTCTACTAGTATTCCTATAGTTTAAGGTCTTAAATTTAAATCTTTATTCCATCTTGAGTTAATTTTTGTATGTGGCAAAAGGTAGGTGTGCAGTTTTATTCTTCTGCATGTGGCTAGCCAGTTGTCCCGACACCATTTATTGAATATCTCCATTGGTTATTATCATTTTCATTGACTTTGTTAAAGATCAGATGGCTGTAAGTGTGCAGCTTTATTTCTGGGTTCTCTATTCTGTTCCACTGGTCTATGTGTCTGTTTTTGTACCAGTACCATGCTATTTTGGTTACTGTAGCCTTGTGGTATAGTTTGAAGTCAGATAATGTGATGCCTCTGGCTTTGTTCTTTTTGCTTAGGATTGCATTGGCTATTCAGGCTCTTTCTTGGTTCCACATGAATGTTAGAAAGTTCTTTATAGTTCTGTGAAAAATGACATCGGTAGTTTGATGGGAATAGCATTAAATCTGTAGATTGCTTTGGGCAGTGTGCTCATTTTAATTCTATTGATTCTTCCAATCCATGAGCATGGAATACTTTTCCATTTGTTTGTGTTAACTATAATTTCTTTTAGCAGGGTTTTGTGGTTCTTCTTGTAGAGATCTTTCACCTCCTTGGTTAGATATATTCCTAGGTGTGTATGTATGTATGTATGTATATATGTATGTATGTATGTATGTATAGGCAGCTATTGTAAATAGAGTTGTGTTCTTGATTTGGCTCTCAGCTTGAATATTATTGGTATATAGAAATGCTACTGACTTTTGTACATTGATTTTGTATCCTGAAATTTTACTGAAGTCGTTTATTAGTTCCAGGAGACTTCTGGTGGAGTCTTTAGGGTTTTCTAGGTATAGAATCATATAGACTGCGAAGAGAGATCATTTGGCTTCTTTTTTTTCCTATTTGGATGCCCTTTCTTTCTCTTACTTGATTGCTCTGGCTAAGACTTTCAGAAAAGTGGTTCTCAAACTGTGATTGCCAGACCACCACCAGCAGCCACAGCATCCCCTGGGAACTTGTTAGAAATGCAGTCTTGGGTTTCATCTAAGACCTACTGATTCAGAATACCTGAGGGTGGAGCCCAGCAATCTGTATTTTTAAAAGCTTTCCATTGAATTCTGATGTCCACTGAATTTTGAGAATCATTTCAACTTAAGTTTTCAAACTCTTAGAAAGGCCTTAGGCATAAAAGAAGAGTTACCAGGAATTGAAGTGTTTAGCTGAGACTGTCCTGAGAGGGGCAACTTCAGGTGAACTCAGATGGGTCATGGGGCTATGGGCTAGAGTAGCAACCACATCCACCACAGTCTGCCTGATTTAACCTCATGTAATCTAGGTTTGTCCATTCACCCACGCAAGTATTTATTCAGCCTTTACACTTTGTCAGGTACCATACTTAGTGTTCACAGCCTATTAAGAATGAGACAGAGATGTCCCTTCCCTCATGAATTTGTAGTCTAATGGAGAAGACAGTGTATGTGATCTGGTCTGAGAGGTCAGGACAGGTTCCCTGAAGGTATCCAAACTTTATCATTCATCTGAATCACCAGTGGATTGTGTTAAACAGAGAGTCAGTTAAATAGGATTGGAGCGGTAGTATAGGAATCATATTTTGAGTAGCAAGGCCCTGGAGGACACTTAAGCTGAGATCTGAAGAATAACCAATAGATAGCCAGGTTAAAGATAGGTAGACCAGCTGTTCTCGTTTGCTTGGCACTAAGGAGTTTCCTGGGATATAGGGTATTAAGTGCTCAAACCGGACTGGATGGCCACCTGGGAAAAAGGGTGAAGGGATGAGGAGGAGTAAGCCTAGGGTTCATGAAATCCTTGAGGTGTGCTATGGTCTGAATGTCTGTATCCCCCAAAATTCATATGTTAAAATCCTAACCTCGAAGGTTCTGTTGTTTATAAGCCACCCAGTTTATGGTATTTTGTTATAGCATCTTTAGCTGACCAAGAAAAGTTGAGAAAAGCATGCTGTGTTGTAGAAATGGAATAAGCAAATAAGACTGGGAAGATGCCAGAAATAGTGTTAACATCTGGACATCAACAGTCTGCTTTAGCCAAGCTTATCAGTCACTTCGGAGCAATCCACCTGCAGCTGACAATTTCTATGCTTTATCTCCAGCTGGATGTTTCACGAGGGCCTCCATATGGAAGTCCCTACCACATGGAGATATTGATTGACCACTTGAAATATGGCTAGTGCAACTGAGGAATTGAACTTTTAACTGTATTTAATCTTAACTATAAATTTAAATTTAAATTGCCACATGTGGCTAGTGGCTGCTATATTAGACAGTGTGGGTACAGAGAACAGATTGATTCAAGATAAGCAAAAGTGGATGCTAGCATACCAGTGGGACAACTATTTCAGGACAGAAATGATGTTGGTTTGAATAAGGTGTTGGCAGCAGGAAACAGAGCAAAATAATAAACCTGGCTTAGACAGGAAGAAAACATGAGGGATGAGAGAGAAGAAGGAGTTAAGGATAACATCTAGGTGCCTGGTTTGAGCAACTGGACATGTGGCAGAGCCATACACCATGGAGTGTCAGGTTTGGAAACAGCATAAGGAAGAGATTGACTTTGAAGTACTCACAAAACATTCAAGGCAGATGTAGAATGGAAAGTTCCATGTGTAGGTGAAGAGCTCAGAAGAAAGGTAAGGTGGACATCTAATGTTTGTTCTACTAGAAACAGTCACCCCCTGGCCCCAACCTGCTGGTTTAAGTAGGGATGTCAATATCTTCATGTAGCCCTCACTCCTCCTGAGTCAAGGAATGAGGGGAAGACATGATGTGAACTGGACCACAGGCCCCTAACTACCACGATGGCCCAAGGATGGGCAGCTGACCCAAATAGAAGTTCTCAAAGCTCTTCCCAAAGCTTGCAGCTTGAAGTCAGAAAAACAGACACTCAGACTCTTAATAATTAATCAACTAAATATATGGGCATTTCCTTCTTATGAGGCACCCTACTGGACTCTGAGGGAGTAATAGAAATACATAGACCTTTGCCTTAAAAAGCTCACTGTCAATTTGGAGGAAGATAAACTGTTAACAAAAGTTCAACAGCTATAAAACTGGAGGCCACTGCAACAGATGACAGACCTGAAAGTATAGTGGGGTCTTTACGTTACTTTCTACTATATTCTCCACACCCAGTAAGTTGATAAAACTCGTCAACTCTGTGACAAAATACCTGTTAAATTCATTCCTATTTTATAACCTGTAAAAGTCTGTTTGTAATTATAAATGAACACTATCACAATGAAAAAATAAAACCAAACATTTTTAAATACCCAAATCATCGAATAAGATTAACAGAAAATGCCATTCAGTAAATAAATAAATAAGCAAGCCTAGGAGAAGGATTGCTAGTAAATTGGGTCTTTCCTACTTAGATTTTTCTCTTTCAACTCAAAGCCTTTAAAATACATGGTAATTAATCAAAACCTTAGTTTGTGTTAACATTTTTCTAGAAATAAGTCCCCATGTTAAAACCCTCCAGTGGCTCATATCACATTTGAGAATAAACTCAAAATTCCTTGTAATGGCTTCTAACATCATCTATTCTCACCATTTTCCTACCTCATTTCCCACCACTCTCCCTCTCATCTTTACTTTCCACAGTCCACCTACACTGGCTGTTTTTGTTTCTAGAATGACCTCTTCACTTGATAAAGGATTCTTTTCCCAGATATTTTCTGTTCTCAGCTTAAAAAGACACACTCGCTCACTCTCTGTGGAATAACCCTGATTTATTCCCCTTCGTAGTACATGACCTATTTAAGCATGTGTCCACTGTTTATTTTCTGTCTTCATTAACAGAATATAATCCCTCTGGTAGCTGAGACATTGTTCTCAAGAGTTCAAAGTATTCCTGGCACATGGTAGACCCTCTAAGCAATAGCGGATGGGCAGGAGGCAAAGGGTTTTATCTTGAGATGTCTCTTATCTTTTACATGGGAAGAGTAAACTCCCTAAGAGACTTCCCTCATGCCTCATTGGTTCACATTGGATCATGTGTTGATTTCTGGACCAATCCATGGGAAAAAGAAATAGTATTATTGTGAATGGATTTGACCTACCATAACTCATTCCTATGGAGAGGCTAGGCTTCCTGGAAATCAATGGATTATCACTCACTACCTAAAAACAAAGTTATAATTCTATTAGCAAGGAAGAAGGAGAGATGACCATTGGGTAGGCAAAGAGTAGAGTTGGCCATTGTGCAGGATGTCTCATTTCCATGTTGGAGTCAAATCTCTTTGAGTCTATGAAGACTATCTTTGCATATCAAGCCTATGCAAGGTTGTGTTTTCTGCAAAGCCTTTGTGATAGTTATTGTTATCAGGTGTATGTGCATGAGAACCCTTCCTTCATGGCCTTCTCTGGCTCCAATTTTCAGGGTTTTAAATCAGGTAACTTCATTCTGATTCTGACAACTTTCACGCTTCTCTCTTGATCAAGATCTTAACTCTGAAGCCATTGCTGATTAATCATTTTGTAGTTAGGTTTTAATTGTTCCTCATTGCTGGAATGGACCTGTCCTGGATTGCTGGTCTGATCCCACATCAGAGGGAGTGATTAGTGGCTAGGTATCAGTGTAAAAACAAACCCTTTTAGCCACATGTGAGCTACAAGAGAGGCTTTGAGGGAGTGGCTTTCAGGCTAAAGCTACGTGGAGCCCATTGTTAAGTTCAGTTGTGTTTGTTTCATAGGTGTTGGTTATTATGTCAAAGGGCTGGGCCAGTATTACTCTGTTAGAAGTTGTATTGCTGCAGAACTTTAACAAGTAACAGGTACAAAGCTTAAAAAAAATAAAATAAAATACGGCCGGGCGCAGTGGCTCACGCCTGTAATCCCAGCACTTTGGGAGGCCGAGATGGGCGGATCACGAGGTCAGGAGATCGAGGCCATCCTGGCTAACACGGTGAAACCCCATCTCTACTAAAAATACAAAAAAAATTAGCCGGGCGTGATGGCGGGCACCTGTAATCCCAGCTACTCGGGAGGCTGAGGCAGGAGAATGGCGTGAACCAGGGAGGCGGAGCTTGCAGTGAGCCGAAATCGCGCTGCTGCACTCCAGCCTGGGAGACAGAGCGAGACGCTGTCTCAAAACAAAAAAAAAAAAAAAAAAAAAAAAAGGAAAATTAATAGTAATAGAACGATCTCAGTTTGCGTAATAGTTTTGAGCCATGAACCTAGGCTTAAAGAAAACCAGTTGAATAAATTACGTGTCCGTGGAAAATTAGGTAAAACCTGTTGTAACCATGTGGCCTGTTCTCTTATTTTGTGTATGTGGTCTCAACTTCCCCAGAGAAAAGTATGCAGGTGCAGTAGGTAGTATTAGAAATAGCACAGATATGTCCTCATTTAGCCAATAAATAATATAGATCAATTTATCATCTAGCACCCCATGACTGGGTTGAATTAAAGCACAGTGAGCAACAGTTATATTAGGGATATTGCCAAAGTTATCCACTAGGTAGACTAAAGGATCTCATAGGTCAGGTTCTGTCAAGTTACCAGCAGAAGCTACTGATGGTGTAATTTCAATTATACCATTATCCTGCCAAGTGAAAAGGGAAGGCATTAGAGACATAAGTCATTAATATGGAGTCTTGTTCTGATGTTTTGGGAAAAGCTGTCTACAGCATGAAGCCATCAATTTCTCAACCTGGTTTGCAGTTTGAACATCTCTGACTATGGCACTGGGTAGTTTGGTGAACTCTGTGCGGTCCACACATCAGGAACAATATTTTTTCCTTAAAATTTATTTAGCTTGAGCTTATGGGCTTCAGGAGCAGAGCAGTTTCCATTCTTAGTAATTCCGTGGAGGAAGTTCGGATTGGAGGAACCTAGAAAACTTCAGAATCTAGTCCAGTCCAGATAGAAAATAAAATCTTGAAAATAATATATAGGGCTACAATTTAATAACAGGGGTATTCCAGCTTTTAAAAAAAAATAACTTTTTCTCTATAGTCTTCCATTTTTTACCAAAGATAATCAGAGTAAGACAAATTTTTTTCTAAAATAAGTTTAGTTTTCTCAATTATTTACATAAGTACAACTAGGATAGTGATTGATTGTGTAGCAATCTCGGATTTTTAAAGCTTCTTGAGGCTAAAAAGCCAAATTGAGGACTGACTTTAGATTTTGCCTGCAGTACCTTATAAACAACTTAAATATGGCATTTCAAAGCCTTAGAATATGTCATCTTTTATTGTATCCCATTATAAAGAGAGCAAGTTCTTATTGTCATAAAAATATGAATTCTTGCAAATAGTTTCAGAATTTTGGAGGGGTTAAGTAAGAAGGAAAAGTAAATTTTTTATCTTTGAAATAAAAGTTTACTTTACCAAATTGTTGTAAAGCATAGATAGCTTAAGAGGGAAATGTACTTACATTTGGAAAACATTTAAGTAAAGAACTATGTTTCAAATAAAAGTTATAAAAACATTATCTTTGTTAGTTATTTAGTTTTATGTAATTAATTTTTGTTTGACTTGATCTAGATTAGCAGTTTCATGAGTGTATAAGGTTTTTTTTAGAGTATTAAAACATTTTTATTTGGCCCATTGATCTTGTAAACCAAAAATAAAATTTGGAAGGCCCTCCCAACCCCCCACTGCACTTTAGCCTGGGCAATAGAGATACCCCATCTCTTAAAAAAATAAAAGTTAAAAAAAAAGATTTAGCATCTCTTGTAATTTGACAGTTTTTACATAATCTAATATTTTAAATAAACCTGAGTTAGTTTAATATCTCTCTTTTATAAACCTTTGAGAGGTGCTGGGATCCTCTGGAACATCCCAAAGTTAGTTCAAGATTAAAATAGTTTAGAATTTGATCCTGGGGAAGCCTGCCAAAGATGTTAAAATGTTCAAAACACTTGATTAAAACAGGATCACAGGTCACCGTGAAATAATAGTCATTCATTTCACCCGAGTAATAATCAAAGACTTCAAAAGCAATATAGAAAGTTACGTGGTTATTAAAAAAAAAAAAAAAGAACTGTAACACTTTCAAAGCTACATTTTCCTAAGCAATCAAAAAAATCCTAATAAAGTCAACATAAAACACAGGAAATTATTTGGAAAAGCATAAAATCTTTGTTTTGTAGGCCAGTTGCCAAAAAGGCAAAGAAAAACCTCCTGCAGTGTGATTTTTTTTCTCCTTATGAGAAGCCCTTTTAGATAATGGGGAAGTAAAACCTGATAAAAAGGTACTTAAATTTAATCAAACACAGAAAAAGTGTCTGTTCAACATTGTGAGTATACACCATAGTATAGAGGAAGATAAACAAGAAAACCAGTACTTTGAGCAGGAACATATATGGCATTCCATAAAATAATGGAAATTTTTCTGGTTACATACAACAATTCAGAAGCTAGGAGTACAGAATCAAGTTATACTGGAGAAAAGCACTGCTTTTCTAGGCCTTCAGTACAAACTTTTCAGCATCAGGCCATCATAGCAGAGTTAGAACCAGAGAAAAATGTTTCAGGAGGTGAGAAAGAAAATCGAAAGAGAGTATTATCACTCCAGCCAAGCAAAAAGATGTACCTTCTCAAAGAGAGAAGGAGTGGCAGAAGGCAATGATGTATGACCAGTAAATCACATGCAGTAAGATATGGCAAAATTCTTACCAAAAATACATCTTCATGCTTACAACTTTTTTCTTATCTTTCTCCTACTTATTTGTTCCTTTATATCTTGCTTGTATTTCCTTCCTAAATTTACTTTTTGAAACGACCTTAAATAACATCTGAATTTAGATAAAAGTAAGTTTTTTTAATAAAGAACATGTTTTTAATGCCTTTTTAATTTTTTAATTTTAATTTTTATTTATTTATTTATTTTTATTTATTTATTTTTTTTGCGATGGAGTCTTGCTCTTGTCGCCCAGGCTGGAGTGCAATGACACAATCTCGGCTCACTGCAACCTCTGCCTCCCAGGTTCCAGCAATTCTCCTGCACCAGCCTCCCGAGTAGCTGGGATTACAGCTGCCTGCAACCACACCCAGCTAATTTTTTGTACTTTTTTTAGTAGATATGGGGTTTCACCATGTTGGTCAGGCTGGTCTTGAACTCCTGACCTCAGGTGATCCACTCTCCTCGGCCTCCCAAAGTGCTGGGATTACAGGCATGAGCCACTGGCCTTTTTATTTTTTTTAATCAAAAACATGTCATATTTTCAGCACACTTTGTATACACAATTATATATATTAATTAGAATTTTCAACTCTTAGTAGCCTTAATTTCTGGTGAAAGCCTAGCTAGCAGGTAATTTTGAACGATCACATATCAGTATTTGGTAGATGAGACCCATTTTATAATTTTTAAAACATGTTTTCCCCATAACATCATTTGTATGTGTATTAATAGACCCAAATATATTTAGTCTTTCTGTAAAATTTAAGACAAGAATAAACTTACATATCTGTTCAGCAACAAATGTTTCAGTATTTTACCCATTCATAAATGTTTATTTCATTTATATTCACCCAATTTATTTATTTTAATAATTATACCTAGAGTATTTATAAAAACTGAGATACTAAACAAAACTAGTTATCATTTCATGTTATTTCCCTGTTAACCATTTCTATAGCCTGTGAACAGCAGGTGCTCACCTAAGTAAACAACTTAAATATATGAATATTTTGCAGACAAATCAGAAGATAACAGCCATTTCAATTAAACCAACAATATTAGTGTTATATATCCAAGAGTCACACAAAGATCATTCTGTTTGTAGGCAGAGCTTAGAGTTTTATAACCTTAAACATCTAGCAGAGAAAAATATAAAATTGACCAGTAGTAAACCCAGGCAAAAATGTATGCTGACAATTCTGAAGACATTTTCTATTTCAATTTTACCCACAATTTTAAAACCAGTTTATTTATCAAAGATATGCTTAAGTCATATGAATTAAAGGCATTTGGGTTAATTACTATACATTTTAACAATTTATATGAGCACATAATCCAACCTGGATAAAATTCATTTAAGGTATCTCTGGCCAACAACATCAGAGTCTACCATGTAAGTAAAACGCACAACCTAATACATGCACATATGCATAAACATATATAAACACACAGATTTTATAGCTTTAATTTAATAATTTTAGTCATGAGATAGTAAGACATAGTAATATAAATTTAACAGTTTATTTTTGACTAATTGGGATCTGTACACATGGCTAAGCTCTACTTGTCCCTGATTGGTAATCTAATAAAGACTGTGAACCAAAATTTGGGGTAAAGCAGTTTGCTTTAAAAAAGAAAATCTATTACTCTTTCCCCCTGCTTTGTTCAAGTTTCAGATGAGCTGTTTTAGTTTACTCTTGGATGTTAATATTGCAGTTAGGACTGGCTGGAAAACTAAACTAACTCCAAGTGACCTTGAATTTAGTAACAGATTTATTTTACTACAAGTGAAACAGATTAAGAGTAAGCAGAAAAAGAAAGAAAAAGAGAGCAATATCTTAAAATCTCTACATTTTAACCCATAGTTGTGGTTTTCTTAGGAAGTTTGAATAATGGCCACAGCCAATAATGGCAACAGCTATATTGCTCTAAATTAGAAGCACAAACTTTCTTAGGAAGTTTGAATGGAAATTGATTAAATTCCCCAATTAAAAAATATAGATTGGCTCAATGGATGAAAAAAAAGGGCCCCACTATATACTGTCTACAAGAAAATCACTTCATCTGTAAAGGTATACATAGACTGAAAGTGAGGAGATGGAAAAAAAAATATTCCACAAAAACAGAAACCAAATTTTTATTGATGCAATTTGCCTATCAGCTTAAGAATGTGCACAAGAATGAGCCATATATAGCCAGCTGGAATCCCTGAAAGAAGGCTGTACCTTGTATGCCTTCAGAATTTGAGGATTCCATTCCACTTTTTATTACTCTCTTGAGATAAAATCCTATAAACTCTGGCAGGGAATGTTGGGGGTTTGGACTAGTGTTTTAGATGATGGCACTACCTTAGTGGCTTTTAATTGGCCACCTCACATCCCTTATTTAGAATGTTTATCTTTGCTCTTAGAATATTTTCAGAAACAAGCAGGAAGAAAAATAAAAGACCCACATTATTTACAGATGTGCATAACCAAACCAAAATGAAACTAAAGTAAGAGTTCTCACAAAAATTTTAACCCAGGCATGCAGACCAAACAAAACGAGGCATTCAGAAAGAATCAGAGTCAGCAAGACAGCTGACTGGAGGCACCTGGCACTGGTCTCCCTCACAGGACAGGACCAAGGCAACAAATAAACAGCTAAGATGTGATTGAAGTGTTGAATGAAAGAGTGCTGGAGTGCAAAGGCAGATATAGAGAGGTACTTGTGGTGATTGCCCAGCATGGAGGCACCCTGCCTTTGCTGTCCCGTCTCTCTTGTCCAGATTGTCCCAGAGTCAGGAGGGACTTCCCTTGCAGAACAAAGGTAAGCAGAAGATTCCTACCAGCCCCCATTGTCACTGCAACACCTGCAGTCCTTGCTACAGAAGAATGCCCACAGTCTTCACCAGCCCTTAGCCCAATTTAGGGAGCCACCAGGAATTCACACAGCTATATTGCTCTAAATTAGAAGCATAAGGTGTGCACTCCCTATCTATCTCCCATCTACCCCCTTTGAGATAAACTGCTACAAGAGAGCACCACTGTGATACCAGAGCCACCTCTGGGATATACCCTGCTTGGAAGCCAATAGCCACTGCACCTCTCCAGCCCAGAGGGTCTATCTTCACTCTGCCAAGCCCACATGGGTAGCTGAATGCCACAACTCTGGCTACATAAAGCCTAGACCCCAAATTGGCTGTGACTCTGGTTCTATACAGCAGGGAAACCTACCCCCCCGCCCACCGCCTACACTTCCAGCTGGAGAAACAGTCTGGCAGTCCTGCTCAGGGTGAACCTGCCCTTGAGCTAGCCCACAAGCCACCACTGTCAGACATACCCCTAGGCTGAATGAGCAATGACACACCACACCCAGTGCCTGAGAAACAGCCTTGGGGGCCCATTCCTGGAGGACATGCCCTCAGGCCTGCCCAGTGGCCCTGTGCCCACTCCTAGGGCCTAAAAAACAGCCCAATGGACATGCCCACAGGTCAGCCAGGTAGTCACATACCCACCTGCATGGCTTGAGAAAGAGCCCTGTGGGCCCACTCCTGACAGACATGCCCCCAGGCTGGTGGAGAAGCTATGTGCTACACTCTGGGCCAGGGAACAGTCCAGCGGTCCCATCCCAGGCAGACACACCTCCAAGCCAGTGAGGCAGCCCTCTGACACAGTAACAACCCCAAGGCTCCAACTTCAGCAAGCCAGATCCCAAGTTGTCCAACCCGCTGTGTGCATGCACAGATCCCTGACTTGAGAAATAACTCAGCAAGCCCATCACCAGCAAAGTCATGCCACCACCACCAAAAAAACTTTAGCAGCCTAGGTCACCAAGACACTTGCAAAGATTACTGTCATATCATGGATTATAGCTGAAGAAACTACATGAAGACGACACTAGTATACCCAACTAGAACCAAAACCATGCATCCACTCACCTGATACCACCTATCCATATGAATAAATATCTCCCTACAAAACCTATTCCATCTAATTGGAAGAAGTGACTGTTTTATTGGACACATAGAAATCAGTGTAGGAACACATCAAATATGAAAAAGCAAGGAAATGTGACACCTCCAAGGGAATACAATAACTCTTCAATAACAGATCCCAATCATAAGAAAATATGCAAAATGCCAGAATAAGAATTCAAAATAATAATCTTAAGAAAGTTCAATGAGATACAAGAGAATATAAATAGACAATTTAACAAAATCAGAAAAACAATTCATGATTTGATTGAGAAATTCAGCAGATATCATTAACAAAAGAACCAAAAAAACCCTACAGCTAAAGAATTCTATCAATGAAATAAATACATTAAAGAGCTTCAACAATAGACTAGATAAAGCAAAAAATAATAACTTTTGAACTTGAAGACAGGTCTTTTGAAATAACTTAGGCAAACTAAATAAATAAAAGAGAATAAAGAAAGCCTACAGGATTTATAGAACACAATTAAGTGAACCATTTTTTGCATTATGGGAGTCATAGAGAAGAGAACAAAAAGATAAAAAAACATTTAGTAAGATAATAGCTGAAAATTACTCAAGTATTGGGAGAGCGATGGACATCCAGATCCAGGAAGCTCAAAGGTCCTTAAATAAATTCAAACCAAACAGGTCCTCTGTGAGGCACACTATAATCAAATTGTTAAAGGTCAAAAACAAAGAATACTAAAAACAACAAGAAAAACGTGTCAAGTCACATATAAGTGAATCTCTATTAAACTAAGAACAACATTTTCAGCAGAAATTTTACATGTCAGAAGAAAATGGAATGGTATAGTCAAAGTACTGAAAGAAAAAATAAGTCAGCCAATAATAAATCCAGCAAATATATCCATCAGAAATGAAGGAGAAATACAATCTTTTACAGACATACAAGCAAAAACTCAGGAAATTAATCACCACTAGACCAGTCTTACTAGAAGTTCTTCTCCCTTTAGAAATGCTCAAGAGAGTCTTATATTCAGAAATAAAAAAAAATAACACTATCATGAAAACATGTAAAATTATAAAACTCACTGGTAGAGTCACAAAAGAGAAAGAAAAAGGAAGCAAAACTTACCACTACAGAAAACCACCAAGCTATAAAAATAAATAGTAAAAAAGGAAGTAAGGAACAAAGGATACTCAAAACAACCAGGAAAAAGTTAATAAAATGACAGGAGTAAGTCCTCACCTATCAATAATAACTTTGAAGGGAAATTGATTAAATTCCCCAATTAAAAATATAGATTGGCTGAATGGATTTAAAAAAGGGCCCAACTATATACTGTCTACAAGAAAATCACTTCATCTGTAAAGGCATACATAGACTGAAAGTGAAGAGATGGAAAAAAAACATTGCACACAAACAGAAACAAAAAATGAGCAGAGTGGCAATATTTATATCAGATAAAACAGACTTTAAGTCAAAAGCTGTAAAAAAAAAAAGACAAAGAAATGCAACATGTAATAATGAAGGAATCAATTGAGCAAGAACATACAATTGTAAATATATATGCATCCCAAGGCAGAGCACCCAGATATATTAAGGAAATATTATTAGGACCAAAGGGAGAGATAAACACAACAAGTAATAGGTGGAGACTTCAACACTCCACTCTTAGCATGGACAGATCATCTAGACAGAAATCTGTAAACATTGGACGTAATCTACATCATAGACCAAATAGACCTAATAGACATGTACAGAACATTTCACTCAACAGCTGCAGAATACACATTCTTTTCATTAGCACATGGAAGATTCTTCAGGACTGACCATGTGTTAGGACACAAAACAAGCCTCAAAAAATTTTAAAAGTTAAAATCACATCAAGTAGCTTATCTGATCACAATAGAATAAAACTAGAAATCAATAACAAGAGAAACATTCAGAACTATAGAAATACATGAAAATCAAACAACTTGCTTCCAAATCACCACTGTGTAAAGTAAGAAATTAGAAGAAAATTTAAATTTTTTTTGAAGTAAATGAAACTAGAAACACAACGTACCAAAACCTATGGGACCCAGCAAAAAATAGTATTCAGGGGTGAGTTTATGGCAAAAAAAGAGAAAACTTACATCAAAAAAGAAATGATTTCAAACAAGCTAATGATGCATCTCAAGGAACTAGAAAAGCAACAACAAATCAAACTCAAAATAAGTAGAAGGTAAGAAATCATCAAGATCAGAAGAGAAATAAGCAAAATTGAGATTTAAAAAATCAGTGAAACAAAATTTGTTTTCTGAAAAGATTAGCAGAATCAACAAACCATTAACTAGACTAAGAAAAGAGACCCAAATAAACAAAATCAGGAATGAAAAAGAAGACATCAAAACAAGTACTACAGAAATACAAAGGATCACTAAAGACTATTATGAACAACTATATTTCAAAAACAGGAAAAATATAGGGGAAATGAATAAATTCCTGGATACATACAACCTACAAAGATTGAACCAAAAAGATATAGAAAACCCGAATATACCAATAACAATTATGAGATTAAATCAGTAATAAAAAATTTCCCAACAAAGAAGTCTAGGACTGAATGGCTTCACTGTTAAATTCTGCCAAACTTTTAAAGAAGAATTAATACCAATTATTTTCAAACTATTCCAAAAAATTAAAGAGGAGATTATTTTTAATTCATCCATGAGGCCAGCATAGCCCTGATACCAAAACCAGACATGGACCCAACAAAAAAAGAAAACTGCAGACCAATATCATTGAGGAATATAGAAGCAAAAATCCTCATCAAAATACTAGCAATCCAAATCCAACAAAACACTAGAAAAATAATACACCATGATCAAGTGAGATTTATTCCAGTGATGTATGCCTAGCTCAACATATAAAAATCAATAAATGTGATATATCACATAAACAAAAAGAAAGACAAAAACCATACAATCATCTCAATAGATCAGAAAAAGCATTTGATAAAATTCAACATTACTTTGTGATTAAAAACTCTCAATAAACTAGGCATAAAAGGAAAGTATCGCAATAAATTAAAACCCATATCTGATTAAACCCACAGCTAACATCAAACCAAACAGAGAGAAACTGAAAGCGTTTCTTCTAAGAACTGAAACAAGACTGGCTATTTTCCCCACTCTTATTTAATATAGTACTTGAAGTCCTAGACAGAGCAATTAGGCAAGAGAAAGAAATAAAGGACATCCAAATTTAAAATGAGGAAGCCAAATTGTCTTTGTTTGCAGATCACATGATCTTACATATAGAAAAACCTAAAAACTCTATGAAAAAAACTCTTAGAACTGTGAAACAAATTTAGGAAAGTAGCAAGATACAAAATCAAATGTAAAAATGAGTAGTGTTTCTGTACATGTACAACAAACTACTGAAAAAGAAATAAAAAAGATAATCCCATTTATAATAGCAAAAATAAAATAACATTCTAGGAATAAATTTAACCAAGGGGATGAAAGACCTCTACAAGGAAAAACTATAAAACATTGATAAAAGAAATTGAAGAAAATACAAATGGAAAGACATTCCATGCTTGTAGATCAGAAATATTAATATTTTTAAAATGACCATGCTGTCCAAAGCCATACACAGATTCAATGCAATCCCCAATAAAATACCATTGACATTCTTCACAGAAATTGAAAAAAAAATACTAAAATTCATATGGAACCACAGAAGACCCTGAATGGCCAAAGTCATCCTAAGCAAAAAGAACAAAGCTAGAGGCATGATAGTGTCAGCCTTCAAAATATGCTACAAAAGTATAGTAACCAAAACAGCATTGTTCTGGCATAAAGACAGATGCATAGACCAATAGAACAGAATACAGAACCCAAAAATTAATCCATATATCTACAGCCAACTAGTTTTGGCAAAAGCACCAAGAACATTCATTAGAGAAAGGACACTCTCTTCAATACATGGTGCTGGGAAAACTGTATATTCATATGTGGAAGAATAAAACTAGACTCCTATTTCTCACCCAATGTAAAAATCAACTCAAAATTGATTGAAGGCCTAAATGTATGACCTGAAACTATAAAAATACCACAAGAAAAGATTCGAGAAATGCTTCAGGACATTGGTCTAGGGAAAGATTTTATGAATAAGACTGCAAATGCACAGTCAACAGAAGCAAAAACAAATGAGATTATATTAAACAAAAAATCTTCTGTACAGCAAAGGAAACAATCAACAAAGTGAAAAGACAACCTATTGAATGGGAGAAAATATTTCCAAAGTATTCACCTAACAGGAGATTAATATTCAGAATATAAAAGGAACCCAAACATCTCCACAGCAAAAACCACACAAACAATCCAATTTAAAAATGGGCAAATGATCTGGACAGACATTGCCAAAAGAAGACATACAAATGGCCAACAAACATATGAAATAATTCTCAACATCATTGTTTTAACAAATGATTAAAGGAAACTTTTATACACCATTGGTGGTAGTGTAAACACACAGATTTTATGAGAACAGTATGGAGGTTCCTCAAAAAACTACAAATACAACTCTCGTATGACCCAGCAATCCCACTATAGGGCATTTATCCAAAAGAATGGAAATCAGTACATTGAGGAGACATCTACACCCCCATGTTTATTGCAGCACTATTCACAATAACCAGGATATAAACACAACCTAGGTATCCAAAAACAGATAAATGAATGCATAAAATGTGGTATATTTACACAATGGAATACTATTCAGTCATAAAAAAGAATGAAATCCTGTTATGCACAGCAACACAGAGATAGAACTGGAGAATATTATGTTAAGTGAAATAAGGCAGGAACAGAAGGTCAAACACTGCCTATTTTCATTCACATGTAGAAGCTGAAAAAAGTTAATTTCATAAAAGTAAAACGTAGAGCAGATGATACCAGAGGCTGGGAAGGATAGGAAGAGATTTGTTAGAAGATACAAAATTACAGCTAGATAGGAGGAATAAGTTATCATGCGCTACAGCACTAGAGGACGACTATAGTTAACAATAATATATGGTTTCAAAGAGCTAGAAGGAGGATAGTGAATGTTACTAAAACAAACAAACAAAAAAAGGGTAAATGTTTGAGATGATAAATATGCTAATCACCCATATCTGATCATTATTCACTGGACGTATCAAAACATCAATATGTACCCCATAAATATGTACAATTGTGTCAATTTAAAAATATTTTTAAAAAGTGAATTTACCCAAAAAGATATAAGGTCCTCACAGGCAGAATGTAATTTCTGTAGATACTAGAGTTCTCAAACCAGAAAGACAGCATTTGTCTTTATATCAGAAAGGGCTTGCCAGAAAAGACAAAAAGTCTTTTACCATCCTAGGAGGATGAAAAGTCCTTTATTAAGATGGTCTTCTCCAAATCAAATCCAAATAAAGTCAAAGAGCTTTTGCCAATAAGAGAAAGCCTTGGCCTGAGAGAAGACTCACCAGGGCCAGAAAAGGTGGGTTGTGGAAGGAGAGTGCTCAAAGGGCTCAAGTGAGCACTGCATACTTGTTCCAAGAATTGTCAATTCCTTCCAAAATTGGTCTTGTTTTAGATCTCACTTTTGACTCCAGATATGTCAACCTAAATAACAGGCAGAGAGGAGACTGTAAAACAAAAAGATATTTATCAGAATATTGCAGTGGGAATACACATGTCATAGTAAATTATGTGTGCATTCAAGGAGGTTGGGGTAAAAGAAAGATTTTAAAGGCAAAATGAAGAAGATTACATAAATTATTTTGAATCAATTATCCTTGGCTACAAACATCAATAACAAAGGTGTAATTAGTCCAAGATTAGACAGGCGGTTGCCAGACAGATGTCCTTGCAGAAGTATTTTCTGTGTAAGGTTATGGTGGTATTTGTGCAAGTTGTCATATTTGCAAATTCTTTTGTGATAGTTCTTGTTATTAGGCATATGTGAATGAGAGCCCTCTCTTCATGACTTTTCCTGGCTCCATTTGTCAGAGTTTTAACACAAGTCACTCTACTTTGATTCTGACAACTTTCACAGAAAGATAAAAGGGAGAGTTTGATGGGGAGCTAAAGCATTGCTTGAGTAAATTAAATTCAAGCTTTGCGTACCTCAGGTGGCCTAATAAAAAAGAGTCCTTTAAGAAAAGAAACTGCTGTATGTAGTGTGTGTATATTTTCCCCTTAAAGCAATTTTTTAAACTTTAAATCAATGTAACAATATCTCCCCAAAAACAATTTTCTAGGAGATGATATCTATACTAGCTAATTATGCAAGGCCCTTCCAGAAAAAATGCTATTGGTATACCAGCATTGAGTTCTTCCCGCCATACTTCTCACATTTTATCAATACAGAAAAAGACAGATCAGAAAATCAATTAATATAATACACCATATTAACAGAATAATGGGTAAATATTACATGATGATCTCAATAGATGCTTAAAAATATTTGAAAATTCAGTACCCCTTAGGATTACAAATTCTGAACAAACTGGTAATTTTTTTTTTTTGAGACGGAGTCTCGCCCTGTCCCCCAGGCTGGAGTGCAGTGGCGCAATCTCAGCTCACTGGAAGCTCCGCCTCCCGGGTTCACGCCATTCTCCTGCCTCAGCCTCCGGAGTAGCTGGGACTAAGGCGCCCGCCAACTCGCCTGGCTAATTTTTTGCATTTTTAGTAGAGACGGGGTTTCACCGTGTTAGCCAGGATGGTTTCGATCTCCTGACCTCATGATCCGCCTGTCTCGGCCTCCCAGAGTGCTGGGATTACAGGCGTGGGCCAAGTAAAGAGCTTTCTTAACCTGATAAAGGCCATCTACAAAAACCTCACAGCTAACATTATACTCAATGGTATTACATTTTAAAATGGTGTCACATAAGAAAGACTATCTCCCTAAGATCAAGAACAAGATAAGGATGTCTGCTCTCACCACTTCTATTCAACATTGTACTGGAGTTTCTAGCCAGGGCAACTGGGCAAGAAAATTAAACAATAGGCATCCAGTTTGGAAAAGAAGAAGTAAAATTATCTCTATCTGCAGATGACATGATCTTGCATAGAGAAAACTTTAAGGGATCCACTCACGCCTGTAATCCTAGCACTTTGGGAGGCCCAGGCAGGCGGATCATGAGGTCAGGAGATCGAGACCATCCTGGCTAACACAGTGAAACCCCATCTAAAAATACAAAAAATTAGCTGGATGTGGTGGTGGGTGACTGTGGTCCCAGCTACTCAGGAGGCTGAGGCAGGAGAATGGCATGAACCCAGGAGGTAGAGCTGGCAGTGAGTCAAGATCGCACCACTACACTCCAGCCTGGGCAACAGAGCAAGACTCTGTCTAAAAATAAAATAAAAAATGATAACTAATAAATAGTTCAGCAAGGTTGCAGGATACAAGATCAACATACAAAAAACAGTTTTCTTTGCAGTAGCAATAAACAAACTAAAAATGATATTTTAAAAAGTGCCACTTACATTAGTATCAGAAAGAAAAAATACTTATGAATAAATGTAACAAAAGGTGTACAACACTTATACTCTGAAAAGTACAAAACATTGTTAAAAGAAATTAATAACCCAAATAAGTAGAAGAACATCCTATGTTCATGAATGGAAAATGATATTGTTAAGGTAACACTATACCCCAAATTGATCTACAAATTCAACTCAATCCCTATCAAAATCACAGCAGGCTCTTTTGAAGAAATTGACAAGCTGTTCCTAAAATTTATGTGGGAATTCAAGATTTCCATATAAAAATTGTTTTTGTAGCCAAAACAATCTTGGAAAAGAAGAACAAAGTTGAAATATTCACATTTCTTGATTTTCAAAAGTTATTACAAAGCTATAGTAATCAAAACAGTATGGTACTGCCATAGGACAGACATATAGATAAACGGAATATAATTGAAAGTTGAGAAGTAAACCTACACATCTATAGTCAATTGACTTTTTAAGGGTATCTTGACAATTCAGTGGGGAAAATAATAGTTTTTTCAACAAATGGTGCTAGAGCAACTAAATATCCACATGCAAAAGAATGAAATTGGACTCCTACCTCATAGGAGGTAAATATTAACTCAAAATATTCAAGTAAATATGTCTTAAAAGAAAACATATGTATAAATCTTCATGACCTTGGTTTAGGCAATGTGTTTTTGGATGTGAACTCAAAAGCAAAATCAATAAAAGAAAAAATAAATACATTGGGCTTCATCAGAATTAAAAATATTTGTGCTTCAGGGGAACACTATGAAAAAAATGAAAAGATAACTTATAAAATGGGAGAAATATTTACAAATCACACATCTGATAGGGAAATTGCATCCAGAATATATTTAAAGACTTATAACTCAATGATAAAAATACAAATTATCCCATTAAAAGATGGGCAAAAGATTTGAACAAACATTCTTCCAAAAAGATATACAACAGGTCTATAAGCACATGAAAAGATGCTCAACATCATTAGGCATCAGAAAATGCAAATCGAATGCAAATCTATCCAAAAACTGTAATGAGATATCATTTCATATCCACTCAAATGACTATCATCAAAAAGGTAGATAGTAACAAGTGTTGGCAAGGATATGGAGAAATTGGAATCATCATACACAACTAGTGAGAATGTAAAATGGGGCAGCTGTTGTGAAAAACAGTCCAGCAGTTCCTCAAAAGGCTAAAGATAGAGTTACTAGATGATCCAGACATTAAACTCCTAGGTTAATATCCAAAGAGAGATAAAAACATATTTCTATACAAAAACGTGTACATAAATGTTCACAGAAGCATTATTCCTAATAGCCAAAAAGGGGAAGCAACCCAGCTGTCTATCAGCTGATAAATGCATAAACAAAACTGCACATCCATTCAATAAAATATTATTTGGTAATAAAGAGAAATGAAGTAGTGATATATATTACAACATAAATAAACCTTGACAATTTTATGCTAAATAAGGGAGCCAGTCACAAAAGGCCACATATTGTGTGATTCCATTTATATGAAATGTCCAGAATAGGCAAATCCATAGCAAGAGAAAATAAATTAGTGGTTGCCTAGAGCTGAAGTGAGGGTGTTAGAGAGAAATGGGGACTAACTTCTAATGGATATGAGCTCTCTTTTTGGAGTGATGAAATATTCTGGAATTAGTAGTGATGTTTGCAGAATTTTGTGAGTATACTAAAAAGACTGAATTATACCCTTTAAATGGGTGAATTATATGTCAATTATTTCTCAATAACACTATTGTTTATAAAAAGACAAGCCTTTCTACTTTTAGAATCTCTTTCCATGGAGATTTTGTTCACTAAAACAAGTTTAAGAGCCATATAGGTAAAATCAATGGTATGAGGCAGTCACCATGGTTGGGACCTTAGGGACTTTTTGTTTCACAGCCTAAAGCCACCGTTTAAGAAAAGCCAAACGAGCAATGCTTATTGCAGTTTTCAATTGCAAGGACTGATTTGAACCTATGTGTGTAAACTTGAGCCCTGACAGAGGAAGTCCTGTTTCTTTCAATTCTTACACCCAATTTCCTGATTTTTATTCAGCCTGAATCACTGCTCACTTTGCCAGGGCAGCCCTGTGGAATTGCCTGCTCAGG
Source organism: Homo sapiens (assembly GCF_000001405.40). Lineage (NCBI taxonomy): Eukaryota > Metazoa > Chordata > Mammalia > Primates > Hominidae > Homo > Homo sapiens. The sequence continues at coordinate 16,092,353 of NC_000020.11, forward strand.
CTTACCTCCCCATCAACCCATGCGGAGTTCTGCAGCATCCACTGCCTTGACCTCCCCATCATCCCTGATCTGCCATGCTCCCTGCCCAGGCAGGCCTTGTGCCGCCAGCCAGCTACCTGCCTGCTCATGGAACACTCTGGAAAAAAACACGCTTTTAAGTTCTTTTGATTTTTCTTCCTAGCATCAATAGTCACCTGTTTAGCTTCCTTCCTGCACAGTAATTATACTGTATTCATAGACTTATTTGACATTTCCAAAGAAAAGTGTAATTATAGCATCCTGAAAGGTGGAAATAATCTGATGATGATATTTGAGGAGAAAAAAAAAATCACTTTCAAGATTTGCTTCAACTAAATCTCGTAGAAACAGTGTTACTAAATGCTACTGAAAGCAGAGGCTTGGTCATTGTCCTTCACTTAGATATTAAACCTTTCCCAACTTCAGGCATTAAGTTTCTAAGGACTCCAAGTTAAGAGAGCTCACACTAAGCAACTTAGAACTTTAAGAAGAAAAACTGTATTTCATAGGGGATAGAAGATGAGAATAAACTGTTGAAAACACTTGTAAATTCATCTTATTCATGAAAAAAACACTAAGTGGCAATTAGAAGAATATTATTTGTATTTTCCACAGTTTTAATGAATAATAGTAGTATTATTAGGTACTATAGTATTCATTTCATTTACCATCACCTGCTCGCCAAACACTTTTTAGAATTTCAGTGATGATCTTTTACTATGCCTCCTACCAACAGATACTTTTTTCAAGCATTGAATAAGTGTCAGCATTGTGCTAGGTGCTTAATGCACAAGATCACGGCACACAGCCCTAGGTTCAAATTGGGATGTCACCACCTGTTAGTTATGACCCTCAAGTCCACAATCTCCGTTTCTTAACCACAAAGTGCTATATAAATTTGATTTATTATATTTTCACGTCGCTATACTGTAAGCCTCCCACATCTGCTTTGGTGAGAGATATGGAAGCTGTCCTGTATGAGATTTTTAGACGTCAGGGTATTATAATTAAAAGTCCTATGTAAGGCTGAAGATACTGAATCCTTGAGAACCAACCTGGGGCCCCAGAATCCTCAACTGACCAGATGCACTGATGGTATTAGCTCCTAGACGCCCTTTTAGGTATCCTTGCCTGCAAGGCCTTTTTTTGTTTTTCTTCAGCAAATTATCATTTTGGATGCAGCTCAGTCCAAGCACAGCTTTAATTAATGAGTCAGGTTTCCGGCATTGATAAGAATTGCTAGGTTAAGGTCGCATGTGGAGGGCAGTCTTTATTAAATACGCTAAATGTGGTTGCAATTTGAAATGCTATTGTCTGTCTCTTCCTGAGCTGCTGTCTTATTCTAACAGAAGCCATGGTCTTCCAAATCCCAAAGGCAGTAGTGAAAGGGCACTATGGGGAAAGACATTTACTTTTATCCTGACTATTAAAATAAAACAGTGCTACTACCTATGTATCTGGGCAGGATGGCATGACATCCCTACAGATGGTCTGCTTAAAGGCCCCTTCAGACTTCAGTGTCCCCATGCTTATTCTGGGGCTCCTAGCCTACTCTAATGACAACCAGATACCAGACGTTTTGCTTCCAACCCTAAAACCTAAAACAGAGTCACAATAGCATTTAAAAATTTTTAAATTATTTTTTATATTTATTACTTTTTATTTATAACATCTTTTGAAACATTCCATGGGGCTTTTTTTCTTTAAGAAAGGTTAATTTTATAGAGATTTTACACTTATTTTTTTCTCCCTATCAACATCTTGAACCAGAGTGGTGCATCTGTCACAACTGATGAATCTACATTGACACATTATCTTCAAAAGTCTGTAATTTACATTAGATTCATGCTTAGTGTTGTACATTCTATGGGTTTGGGACAAATGTATAATGGCATATATCCAATGGTGTAATATCTTACAGAGTATTTTCATTGCCCTAAAAATCCTCAGTGCTCCACCTATGTATCCTTATTTACTGTCGCTATAGTTTTGCCTTTTCCAGAATGGTTTCTTTTGCTTAGTAATATGCATTTACAATTTCTCCATGTCTTTTTGTGACTTGATAGCTCATTTCTTTTAGTGCTGAATAATATTCCATTGTCTGGATGTACCACAGTTAATTTGCCCATTCACATACTGAAGGACATCTTGGTTACTTTCAAGATTTGGCAATTATGAATAACGCTGCTATAAACAGTGTGTATAGATTTTTGTATGGACATCTTTTCAAGTCATTTGGGTAAATACCAAGAAGTGTGACTGCCAGATCGTATGTTAAGAGTACATTTAGTTTTGTAAAAAACTGCCAAACTGTTTTCCAAAGTGGCTGTATTATTTTACATTCCCATGAGCAATGAATGAGAGTTCCTGTTTTCCACACCTTCATTTAATTTATAACATTTTACAAACAATTTATTTAGACATATTTAAATATTCACATTTTAAAAGCATAATGAGTAAAATCATAGGCACCAAAAGAATGAGTTGCAAGAGAAATGATCATATTTTTCAATGGAAGGACCACCAGTCCATAAACACAGGACTAAGTCTCAACAATTAGCACCAAATATTGGCACTCTTAGTTCAGGGAATGAATCACTATAAGATAATAATTTTAAAAAGCAACAAATAAAAGCAAGCAGAATTGTGGCAAACACGCTTTGTTGCAGCGAAAGTGTTTAGAATTTACCCTAGACTCGCCATAACGTGCAACCAAAGAAACAGCATGCCAACATTAAACCATGACATCTCCCTGGCACATAGACAGGCCATTGGCCAGATGGTTGCAGAGGTGAAGGCACTATCCCAGTCTAGTCCTAAGCCAAAAGATGACTTAGTGAGAGCCAGTCTCATGTCTGAGAGGATGAAGATCTGATCTGAGGAAGAAACCTTCCTCTTCTGGCCCAACCACAGATGTCTGGCATTCTTATTCCTGTCTGGCTATTAAAGGCAGAAGTTTTCAGTGTGATTGTATTCAACGTGTGTTCACTAACTACAGGCTAGGGGAGTCCTAATCTCTCTGCTTTGAATAACTTGCTCAAAGCTCAAAATCCCATGGGTAACATCCAGCTGGCTGGAGGCCCTAGGCCACATGCTCAATTCTGGCGGCTAAGATGAGGAGAGAGCAAGCATCAGACTGTATCTCCTTTCTTAGTGAAAAGTGGGCTCTGCCTCTTGTCAATGGAACATTCTCCAAAACTAGGAGATGGGCTCAGTACAGGGCAGCCAACCAATGACCTGTATCCACCATACCATCTTTCTCCTCCCTGCAAATGCCAGCTTTGTCTCCTTTTCAGGATCTTTGTTCTTGCAGTTCCCACTGCTAGCTTCTGTCCCCCATGTTAATGTGGCTGGCTCTGTCCCATCCCTCGGTTCTCAGCTCCTCAGACCACATAGAATACCTGTTCTCCCTGAAGCCTCTCTGAACCACCTCTCCCTTTCTCCCTTTCTTTCCTAACTCATCAGTCCCTGACAATTACCTTGAACATTGCTTTTTCCTCATGCATTGTACATCTTGATCATTCCACCAGTATGGAAACTCCATAAGGACAGAGAGCCTGGCTGTCCTGTTGCTCAGCTCTTTCCCCAGTGTCCTGTCTGCCATGATCACAGCTCAGTAAATGTTTGGGAAGCATGAATGAACTTAATGGCTTCAAGACTCTGCCCCAACATTCTTTTGGGTCATTTATTGCAGACGCATCTGCTTCCATTTCTCAGGCACCAGGATTCTAGTTTAATGCCCTGACTTAACATTTGCCTTTAGCCACCAACTGGATATTCCAGCTTTTATCTAGGTCTTCTCCATCCCTCATTCTTTTGAGTGAGTAAACCTCCACTCCAGCCATTAGCCCGGAGATGCCAGCCTCAACCCTTTGAGCACCTATTTTATCCAGTTCCACCTCAGTGTTGGGGGATTGGGAGGGGTGTGGGGAAAGTGAGGAAGAAGGCAAGAGGAGACACTTGGATATGAAGTATGACTAGCTTCAAGAAGGGACAGATTTGTGAGTGGGATTAAGGTTAGGGGACAGATACAGAAAAGCAATGTGCAGTGTGCAGGGACTGGGGCAGGGCCCTAGAGGAAGAGAAACAGCAGGAGAGCCATGAATGGGGATAAAGAGCTTGAAAATCACTCTCGCCTAGGCTGACTAGATGGAGTTTGGGACTCACGATAAAATTCGATAAATATTTTTAAGATTCTGCTTAGAACCAGCACTGTGCTGTCTACCACAGGAGTCAGAACAAAAAGATAAAAGCTACGCCCTCTAGAATCCCCTTGGGGTTCACGATCGAGGCATTGCCTATGGGCCCCAGGGTAAGCAACTCTATGTGTTTCTCTCCCACTTTGTGGGCCAAGGTGTTCTATACATTTGAGACTGAAATTAATATAACAATAAAAAAATCACATGACATACCCTTTCTTGCCAATGGCTAAAATAGTAATAGCTCATAGTCATTGAGCCCTTAAAAAGCATTGAACTAAATACTTTTCATGCATCATTTCACTGAACTCTCAACAACCAGTTGAAGTTATTAATATTACTGGCATTTACAGGTGAGGAAACTAAACCTTGGACATGTTCCAAGGTCACACAGCTGACTGGGATGTGTATGAGGCATCTCTCTTCAATGGCCTTTTGCTGCCATAACTCATGCTGTCTGTACAGGCTTTCCCCATCCCTTTCTCTTTTTATCAAAATGATGCTTATTCTTCAAGGCTGTTCTCATTTAAGACTTCCTGGATGACGTCAGAATCAACTTCTTTTCCCTCTGTATTTGTATACCAATTCACTTGAATGGCTATTTAGCCTAATATCTAACATTGCCCTTTATTATATAGTCACATGTCACTTAATATTGGGGATACATCCCGAGAATGTATCGTTAAGCAATTATGTCCTTGAGCAAATAGCATAGCGTGCACTTACACAAACCTAGATGGTGGAGCCTACTACACACCTAGGCTGATGGTATATAACCTATTGCTCCTAGGCTATAACCTGCACAGCATGTTACTGTACTGAATATTGTCAGCAATTGTAACACAATGGTAAGTATTTATGTATCTAAACATAGAAAAGGTACAATAAAAATATGGTATTATAAACTTATGGGACCACCACTGTATATGCAGTCCATCATTTACCAAAACATCATTATGTGCACATGGCTCTAATTGGTTCATTAAGTAGTTACATGTAGGAGCCGTAGAGTCATAAGTTCAAATGTAGCTCCATCACATATTAACTGTGTGGCCCCTACTTACAAGCTGTCTAAGCCTCAGTTTCTCCACCTGTTATGCAGGACTGATAAAAACTAGCTCAAAAGGCTGTTACAGAGATTCAAGATAGCCAGGGGCAGTGGTGTGTGCCTGTAGTTCCAGCTACTTGAAAGGCTGAGGCAAGAGGATTTCTTGAGCCCAGGGGTTTGAGGCCAGCCTGGGCAACATAGTGAGACCCCATGTCTAAAAGGATTTGACTGAACGCTCAAACTCTAACAACATGATCCTATTTTTCTGGCCCCTTCTCTGCCCCACTCAATTGTAAGCTCCAAGAGGGAAAGGCCCATGTTATAACTACGTCTGTTTCTTGCCTCCAGTAACCACCACAGGCCTTGGCACCTGCTAAGCCCTCATTATGCACAGGTCGACTGAAACATGTAACCAGAGGTAGTGATGTGGAGAAGGGAGAAGCACATCCACTTGCTGTTCTAATCATTGATTCCCCACTGGCCAGTCAAGGGTCACAATATTTGCCCATCCATGTATCACCATTATGATTTGATTTTTTTCGCATCTACTCCTTTTCCTCTAAAATTTTAAGATGAAAGTTTTTATAATAAGAAAAAGGTGAAAGAATTTTATGTAAAACACCTATATACCTACCACCCAGATTCTATCATTAACATTGTATTGTATTTAATTTATCACATATCTGTCTATTCTTCTATCAGTTAATCTTATTTCTGGTTCATTTATAAGTGAGTTGCAGATCTCAGTATACTTCCCCCTTACTTCCAGCATGCATATAATTGACTAGAGTTAAATACATTTTACAATTTTGTTGTAAATTTACATAAAATAAAATTCAAAAATCTTAAGTATACTACTTTGAGTTTTGACCTAAACCACTATCAAGATACAGAACGTTACTGTCACCCCGGAGTCCCTTCATGTCAATCTCCATCCCCACACTGAGACAACTACTGTCTCGATGTTTTTCCTCCCATTGCCTGTTCTAAAACTTCATATAAATGACATTATATGGTAATAACTTTTTCAAACTAAATAATTTTTAAAGTAACATTTTACAACTAAAAGAAAATAAAAATTATATCAGTTACTATAAAGAGATTCTATCATTAACATTTATTATATTTGCTTTATCACATATCTATCCTTCTATCTTTCCATCAGTTTATCTTACTATTAAATAACACAAACAGAAAAAAACACATAAACAGGAAAAAAAAAACCACAGCCAAAAATAAGCATCTGTATACTCATAAAATTACCCTTGAACGGCCTTTGTTCATGAACCACTGTGGTTCTCACAGTGTGTTCCAGGGATCCCGGGGCCTCCAAGACCCTTGTACATTCGTAGGATCAAAACTATTTTCATAATAATCCTGAGATGTTATTTACCCTTTTCACCCTCATTAGTCTCATGAGTACAGTGTAGTTTTCCAGAGGCTGCATGATGTGATATCACAAGAGGTTGAAGGCAAAAGCAGATATGAGAAGCCAGCAGGCTGTCTTCTATTAGGCCAGACACTTAAAACGCTTGCAAAACTGTAAAACAATTCTGCTCGTTCCATAAAATTGTTTTGTTCGGAAAATGTTATTTAAATAAAATATATTTTTATGTTAACAGGTAATCAGTTTATTATTTTAAGTGAATTAATAACTAAGTACAGTATTTACATTTTTTTCTCAATGTTAAACTCTGTGAAAGAAAATGAAGTCATTAAGGCTAAGGCTTTAAAGAGGGGTTGGGAGATTTCAAGAGGATTGCACTCACACCTGCTAAAGGTCAAACCACAGGATGTTGCAATAGACTCGGAAAACAACTGAAGTCAGTCTTCGTCTGCCTTCAACATCTCTCAGCTGGGAATACCCTAAGTAATCAATAAGAATGGGTTTGCAATTTAGGATTTCTGACCAGCCATTGGACTACCTTCAGAAATAACTTGTGGTGGAAATCCCCTATTAAAAAAAACCTCTCTGTGCTTACCTTATGGGACACTATTCAGAGCTGATCTGACTCAGTTTACCTAAGCTGCACATCTTGGTTTCCTGAATAAGTGGTATTTCCTTTCACCTCTGTGTCAATTTTTTGACAGTAATATGGTGAATATTGATAAATTTAACTCATGTAAACAAAAGCTCATTGGCATCTGCAATAATTTTTAAGATAGTAAAGAGTACAGTGACAAAAATTTGGCGGCACTGGAAAAGCCAGCCTGCCCTGGTCTGCACTGCCTTTGAAGTTACCCAGCCTCCACTGGTAAATGTTAGAGCCAACCTCTTATTTGGTGAAAACACACTTCGCATAAACTGGCTGGAAACACATATTTAAACCAAACCCTTTTTTGTACTTATTTGGATTAAAAGAAAGCTTTCATTAGAAAACATAAAGCCTATTTTCTTTTTAAATCAAGCCACAATTCTAACCAGCAGAGGATGAAATTCAGCAAGGAGAGAATGAACAGAGGCAATGAGAAAGGCATCAGATCATTATGAATGGGATGCAATGCGCGTGCTTAGGAAAGATTGATTTGAGCAGCGCATGTAAACAGTCCTGGCTGTGGGGGAAAGTTTCCTTCACATTTATCTTCTCTCAAAACCAAGAGAGAATTTGCTAGTTCATTTTTTTCCTATTAGCTCTGCAGTCTTAAAAAAAGATTGTACCCTACTCTTGTGTTGCAACAACTTTCTTTCCTATTTACCCCAACTAGAAGGACAGGATCATGTTTCTGCATTTCAAAACTGTATTTCAAAAACCATTTCAAGAACTATACCATTCCAGTTCTTCAGCTTTATTTTGTAGGCTATTTGTGTGTGTGTGTGTCAAAACAGGCTAAGCTCCAATTTTGCCTTCAGTCCTTTAAAACTGTAGCACAAAATGCAAGGTCAAGAGGTAGCATTTAAAGACATCGTCCCACATGGTCTATTTTTGGTCTCTCTTTTTGATGATATATAGTTTTGGTTGATGCAACTTGAAGATGTTCACCTGGAGCCCTTGATAAAGGGACAAATGTCACAGAGCTGAGAAGCCATCTCTTTCGCATGATCCCAAGATCTCCAGCTATGCTTTATCTCCAGTAAGACTGATGAGAACTAGCTGCTTCAAATACAAATGAGAGCCTCCTTTTATCAATCTGGCAAGGTAAATTCTTGTAAAGGTGGGCATTCTCCTTCACCAAGGACAAAACAAAGGGGAAAGAACTTCAAGTGCAACTGCAGGGATTTAGGCTGAATGTCGAGCAAAACCTCTGTGAGTAAATGTTATCTACCAGCTGGGGACTGAGCCAAAGCAAAGGTCAGCGGCCATCTCTTTCAGAGAGGGAATGGTGCCTACCAGATTCAGTTGAGAGACAAAGTCAACATCAGTTGCCAAGAGCCTCTGCTTGGCAGCCAAAGTCCAGAAGATCAGTGACAAGGAGACCAAAGGAGAAAACATAGGGAGCCATGGAGCAGCCACACAGTGCCCTCCACAGCACCTCTTCCTTACCCTTTCACCTCTCTCCATCCCGATCATTCCTGGGATAATCAATTAGAGATGCGAAAAATATTGCAGTTCTCAGGGGAATATCTTAGGGTGGATTTTCAACAACACAACCTATGATGGTGTAGCTAAAGAAAAACCTTGGCCTCTCTACCTCTTCCCTCTCCCTCTCTTTCTCCCTCTCTCTCCCCCATCCTTTCTTATCCCAGGCCCATGATACCCAAGAGACAACAGAACAGATTCGTGAAATCAATCACACGGGTGAATTGCCCATCCAAATCAGGGAGCTTGATTTTCTAACTTAACGTTAAATCACCTCACACATCTCTTAAGGCCAGAGTCACTACAGAGACACAACATTGCTAAAGTTGAGCTTGACAGTGTCAGAGGGTCAGACTCCTGGCTTGGTCCTCAGAACCCCAGAAAGAAGGCAGCTGGAGGAAACCAGCAGTGTGATCTCACTGCAAGGTGCAGTAACAGCACAGGGGTGGGGCTGCTTTATAAGGCTTTTGATTAAATTCAGTGCTGCCAAAAGGACTGAGGGACTTTAGTAGGCAAAGGCATTTATGAGTAGGAACTGACTTTTCTGGGCTGGGCACGGTGGCTCATGCCTGTAATCCCAGCACTTCTGGAGGCCAAGGCAGGCGGATCACTGAGCTCAGAAGTTTGAGACTAGCCTGGGAAACATGGTGAAACCTCATCTCTGCTAAAAATACAAGAAATTTAAAAAAAAATTAGAGGGGTGTGGTGACATGCACCTGTAGTTCCAGCTGCTCAGGAGGCTGAGGCAGGGGAATCACTTGAACCCGGGAGGCAGAGGCTGCAGTGAGCTGAGATTGCACCACTGCACTCCAGCCTAGGTGACAGAGTGAGACTCCATCTCCAAAACAAAACAAAACAAAACAAAAACCTGACTTTTCTGAATTTGGCTTCTAGACAAAAAAAATACTACTTTGAACTAAGTCTCTACATTAAAACAGATTCACATCATGGCATTTGATCCTCATGAGAATCTGCCCCTTTTTACTCTCTTGCACTGGTTAGTGATTCTCCCACACCAAGAAATTGCAGGAGACTGAAAGGAAAAACAGACTGAGTTATCAGTGGGATCATCAACATTGATGAAATTTATGAGTTAATGCCAGATTCTTTGGTATACCTTGCCTATGAGACTCAAGTCGGTTTTTGAATTTTTTAGGTCTATTTGTTTGGTTTCAGTCTTTACTGTCAACCATCAGTAACAGATGCAATAGATAAAACCACTTGTTCAGTTGATTTAATTTGGTTATTTGCAGTGGTTTAAAAGAAGTGTTTTTGTTTTTGTTTTTGGGGGGTTTTTTGTTTGCTTGGTTTTTTGTTGTTGTTGTTTCTTATTTTACCCTGGCTCACACTGGAATCACCCAGAATTTTAAAAAATACTGATGCCAGGGTCTCACCCTAAGAAATTTTGATTCAGTCGGTCTGGGGTATGTCTTGGGCATGGAGAGCTTTTAAATTTCTCCAGGTGATTTTCATGTGCAGCCATGCTTGAAATCTACTGGCTAAAAGCAATGGTTCTCAAATTTAGCATGCCTCAGAATCACCCAGCATGCTGGATAAAACAGATTGCAGGACCCCACCACCAAGTCCTAGGTGCAGATGAGCCCCAGTTCCCATAAGATCTCATGAGATCCCAGGCAATGCTGATGTTCCTGGCCCGATGACCACCCTTTGTGAACCACTGGCTTAAATAATTAGTGCCAACACTTTTCTCTAAGATGATTTTCATTACATTGATCTGGCGCCAAGGAGAGTGCTCTAAGAAGCAGACATCCAATAATGACAACATCCAGTGGAAATAGAGCCTTCCTATCTCTTAGACCTCATGGAACTTCTTGGGTTCTGAGACTATTTATATGTATACAAGAGAAGGGACCAGACTGTGGTAATGGGTGCCTAGGCAAGGGGAATTTGTATCGCTTCTGCTGTGGTTTCTGGCCACAATCCCTCATTTATATGTCCTGGCTACCCCCAGCAGGTACATGGGTGAGGGTTTCAGGATCATGGGGAAGGGCTGGCTCTGGCTCAACCAGGGCTAAAGCTGAAAGCCTCTTTGGATTCTGTGACCTTCTAACTTGGGAACCTGTTGAGCATGAAATGTGTGTATGTGTGTGTGTGTGTGTGTGTGTGTGTGTGTCTATGAAAGTGCAATCTTTTTTAGGTCTTTGGGGCCTAATAAGAGGTCATCTCTATGTCCTGTCCAGATTGGCAAGAGCACAACAAAGCAGTAAAGAGCATTCCCCAGTGGCACAAATCCATCTGTACAGTAGAGGAAGAAGCAGCCATGGTGTGCCCTCACTATGCTCCAGTGCCCTCTCTAAGCAAAATCTGAAAGCAGGTCTGATGGCTTTAAACTTGGGAAATCTTAGAAGACTTCAGACAACTGGGGGCTGGGGAGGCTCCAATGAGGAACTCGTATATTCCCTTGCTACTCTGCCATGCACGGACTCAAAACAATGAATTTCTAAAAGCAAAAGGATATGATTTATAGCTTTGCTTTTTCCCAAGCGGAGGAATGTCATGCAAGTTGCACATACACATGACAAGAACAAGGCTTTTATTAATATTCTTCATACCCAACAATGATAATACACTATAAAACTGTATCTGTGAAATCTCACTTGACCTACTTAGAACTATAAGGGAGATGATTTGGTTGATGCAAATTGTGTCATATGTTTGAGATGAGGAAACAAAGACACAGAGAGTTTACACAATTAACTTAGTGCCTCAGATAGGGCTGAATTTCCCAGTCCCCACTCCATGTTGAAGGATAGAGAAGAGGGACTTCAGGGACTACCTTGAAGGCCACAGCCAGGGAGATGTTCAAAGCCCCTCCTCCATTCCAGCCTAAGAATTCTTCTTCAGTCTGTATGTATTTCATGTTTCTGTTTAATATTTTATTTCAGAGATTTTTGTTGGAACACCTGGAACCCCAAACCCTGCAAACTGCATGTCACTTCTTGAGAGCCCATCTTCCAAAGAACCCCTCTCTATGCTGAAGGTTCTCTTATGCTATAAGAACATAAGATAGTTCTCATGGGGCCCATTCATTTTTAAAAATTGGTTAACCCTACTTCAGTGCACATCAGAATCACCTAGGAAGCTTGTTAAAATCCAGGTTTCTGGGCCTCCTACCCTGAAGAACAAGGAAGGAGGCCATTTATCAGGCTTTTGGAGTACAGCCTGAGAATGTGCATGTTTAACAAATTCCCAGACAGTGCTGCTGTGGGTCTGAGGACCCACCCTTTGAAAACCACTACAATAAGATCACCCAGAAACTCAGATCACCCAGAAATCTTTTAGGTAGTATAAATACCAGCCTCCACTGAGACTAATTAAATCAGACTCTTTACAGGCAAAGTCTGGGCATTAATGTGTTTAAAATGGTCTCCAGGTACAGCCAAGGTTGAGAACTTCTGCAATAAGGGGAACCCTATGTAGAATTATATGATATTCAAACCCCTAGGTCAGGAGTTCTCAAAATGTGGTCCCTTGCCCAGCAGTATCAGCATAACCGTCAGTATCACTTGGGAACTTGTTAGAAAAGCAAATTCAGGCCCCATCCCAGACTTGCAGAATCAGAAACTCTGAGGGTAGGGCCCAGCAATCTGTTTTAACAAACACTAGGTGAATCTGAGACTTGCTGAAGTTGGAGAACTATTACTCTAAGCTTTTGGCTTCCCTGTAAATGAGTCCCTGAAAGTTGGACTCTTATCTAGGGGCAGTGACAGTTGTAGGCCCATAGCAGGCTGGATGCACCAACTGCTCCATCAGAGCAGGGGTGGCTGAAGGACAAGGAAGGAGATCATTTATCAGGCTGTCAGTGAAGTACTATGACACACAGCTAACATCCTTTCCAGGACATCTGGTTTCTCAGCTCTATGAGATAAGGCCTATAAATTACTTTGTAATGGGTTTCACCTCTGAATACTCAGATGCAGGTTCAGCTTCAGGCAAAATTGCTATGTAGGTAAACCAAGCTTGGGTCTTCCACCTTTGCCTTTCCTAGCCCCTTCTCTTTTTCTATCCACAACCAACAATTCTCCAAGGAAGGCTTTGTTCATTGCTATTAAGTTATTTCAGCCCTGGAGGACAGCTCAACGAAGTGGCTGATTGAACTTGAATGTGTCTCCACCTCCTGAGGGTACATTTATTCTAAAAGAAGACAACTAGGCTGAGCCATGCTTAATACAGCAGAATGTGTCTTCAGAGATAGAATATTGAACCCTTGACCTCATTGAAAAACAGACCATATCTTTTAGATAATTACCTGTTTCTTTGGCATCAAGCTCTCTTTAACCCACATTTTATATATGTCTACCCCCTTTTGCCTTCCATTTCCTAAAGATATACAATATGGTAGGTGGCAAAAATGGCCCAAAATGCTTCCCCTTGCATCAAGAGGTGAAGTTTATTGTAGCAGCTCTTAAATCCAGGTTGGCCTGGTGATATGCTTTGGCTTAATGGGACATTAGAAACCTTGATGCTGGAAGAGACTTGAAAAATCCTTGAGCACTGGGGCTTGTTTTCATGCCAAGACTGCCATGTAATTAAGCCCACATGAGCAGCTTAAAAATGAGAAGCCACATAGAGGGGAATCCATGTGATTTAGCTATGAGTGAGACCATCCTAGTTCATCCTACCAGACAATTTGCCAAACGACCACAGATGAACAAGCCCAGCAGAGATCAGCCAACCTGGCCTAGACAGAAGAACCACCTAGCTGACCCCCAGAATTGTGAACTAAATAAATAGTTCCACTCATGTTTGGGTTGTTTGTTACACAGCAAAAGCTAACTGATACACTTGATTCTATTGACAGAGCGAGTCTCTGTCTCAAAAAAATAAATAAAGTTATATTGATTACATCTAAAGATTATCTGAAGAAAGAAATCATCTTGGAAATGTTACCTTCTCTGGGATGCCTTCCCTGAGCATCTGTCTTCCATGTAGCCTTAGCTCCCATGTAGGTTAGGCTGGTGACTGTTCAGATGTTCTACAAAATCAGTGTTTATGTCTGCCTAACACTTGTCTCTATAATTTCCAGTTATGTTTATCTGCCCCCCTCTACTCTCTGACTGAGAAATTTTAAAGGTAGAAACCATGTCTTAATTGTCTTTGTACTTCCAGCCCCTAACTCATTTATTCTATGTTATGTTGAGCTGCACAAATGAAATATTTGACTCAGATGAGCATGGGGAGGGAGGGTAGGGAAAGCAGCCAGCAATGCTTTGCATTAGTCACAAGCTGGAGCCTAGAATCTCCCCTGGAACAATCCACACCCACCAAACTCACAAAATCCAAATAAACTAATGCTTATCTGGCCCAGGACCTTCAGAACACAGAGGTCTTTGTCTTGTGAGAGATGGATTATCTACCTCTTTCATTTCATAAGAGTTTACAGGAAAAAAATGTTTTATTCAAAGATTTCAAAGATACCCATTTTACATTGTTTTTCTCATTTCACCTCCCATGATGAGACAGGAAGGGACTCTGTATGCCTATATGACACATCACAAATCCAGGATTACCAGTTTTACTTCTTTCCCCAAACCCCAGTTTCCCTTGGTCATAGGGAATAGCTGGACATAATAATGATAAAAAATAGTTCACCCTTGCCAGTTGTCACCGGGGGACCTGCATTGTACTCTAACCTGAGTCTCCATCACCTTGCCCGGTCATTACAATGCTCTGGGAATTTATTATGATACCCATTTTACAAACAAGGGCTCAGAGAGTCTAAGATGAAAAGATCCACACACAGGTGGAAGAGCCAGATCTTGCTAATTCGAAAACTGATGTTCTTAAACCACTGTGATGCTGAAATGTATGATCTAAAGGCTGTAGAGCTATTATCTTGATATCTTGTTTCCGTCACCCACCCCATGGAGCTGACCCACTTTGCAAAGGAAAGAGACAGGTGAAAGCTTCACCAAAGGTCACCCAGCAAGGGAAGGGATGGCTTCTGGCCAGGCAATGCCGCATCATTGTTTGGGCTATTATGAAGCTGTGATGCCTGACATGGCCCCTGCAAAGCTGCCACCTAGGTACACTGTTAGCAGAAAGAGTCAATGGGCGGTGGCAGGCAGTCAGACAGGACAGCAAAGAAGAAGATTAAAATAATTACAGCTCTAATTGATCAGCTCTGCTCAAGAGGAGATTAAAAGGGAAAAGGCATATTGAAGAAGGCACTCGACATCCGCCCTGGGCCAGATTCCATCTGCTACTGTAGCCAGCTCTCTCCCCTCCCTCCTGGCTCTCTGTCCAGCAGCCCCCACTGCAGAGCTCCAGGACACAGGCTTGATGAAAGTCATTCTTTGTGGAAGGCATCAGGCTGTGCTCCCGTGAAGAACTGGTTTCACAAACAGCAGGGAAGAAGCAGCTCCCAGCAGCAGATAGTGGCCTCCGTTGGCAATGCTCTAGCACGGAATTGCCAGCAGCATGTGGAAAAGGAAGAAGGAGATGACCAGAACGAGGCCAACAAGGGGCAGGGGACTGGGGCAGAAGATCAGCCTGCACCTTGTCATCTGATAACCTCAGCCTGGCATTAACAGCCTGGGCTCCAAGCAGCACTGGCTCTGGTTTCAGCTTAGCACACTTTCTGACTTAGCTTTTGGCTTATTGTCATTTAGGAGCAGGTCCAGGGAGCAGTTTTTCCTTGTCCCTAGCACCCTTATGTAGGAATTGTAGAGGAAGGGCAGAGGAAGGGATTGGGGCCAGGAAGGATAGAGGAAGGCCGATTAGGAGGGAGTAGCAGCAGCCCTGGCTTTGCCAAGGCCATCTGTTTACACAGAGTCTGAACAAGGTCAAGAGCAGGTGATGGGGGCAAGGAGCAGGAAGAAACCTGCAGGTCACCTTTCTTACATATAGGACAGGTGATCACACCTAGTGGAAGGGGAACTGGGTCAAACACTTATCTCCTGTGTTTAGGCTCACTTCTGACAGCATGGCATGCAAGAGGACCAGAATAATCAGAGACCATAAACCTCAAGGTTCACTTTTACTTTATATTACAGGGGCTCCAGCAAGCATTTGCGCTGGCTTCCAAAGATGGTTGGGCCAAGTGGTCAGGGCAGAGTCAGACATCCATCCACCACATGGACTGTGGGAGCTGAGAAAAAAATGAATCATTTTTCCCTCTCACTGCCAAGTATAAGCCAGTGTGTCTCAAACTGCAGGGTCCATAACAATCACCGGGGGATCCTTTTAAAATGCAGATTATGATTCAGAAAGTCCAACATGAAGCCTGAGATTCTCTATTTCCAACAAGTCCTGAGAGATGCTGAATGCTGCTGGTCCAGGGATCAGTTTGAAGAGCAAAAGCCTAAACCATACTAGAAATAGATTAAAGAGCCTAGATGGGGATCACTCTTAATAATGATAAACAGGTACTGGAGATAATGGCCTGCAGTTAGAATTAAGGTTCTCCAGGCTGGGCTCGGTGGCTTACACCTGTAATCCTGGCACTTTGGGAGGCCAAGGTGGGTGGATCATGAGGTCAGGAGTTCAAGACCAGCCTGGCCAAATGGTGAAACCCTGTCTCTACTAAAAATACAAAAATTAGCTGGGCATGGTGGCAGGAGCCTATAATCCCAGCTACTCAGGAGGCTGAGGTAGGAGAACCGCTTGAACTCAGGGGGCGGAGGTTGCAGTGAGCCAAGATCATGCCACTGTACTCCAGCCTGGGTGACAGAGTGAGACTCTGTCTCAAAAAATAAAAAGAAAATTAATGTTCTTTCTGTCCTTTTCCCTCCTCCCACCAATGGGCCATCCTGACATATTCAAGGCATAGCAGGGGAAAAACAGAAGCTATAGAGGTGAGAGAGCTGAGACTTGGCTGGGTCAGCCAGATATAACCTAGGAGGACCATATACCAGTAAAGATTCTTCCAGTTGCAAATGCCAAAACCAATTCAAGTTCAGTGAGGCTGAAGGAGGATTTATTGATCCATGTAAACAGGTAACAGGTTGGCTCTTGCCTCTGGGATGGCTGGCTGCACCCAGGGTCTGTGCTGGAAGGACTCTTGTTAGTTCCTCATCTTCTGTTTCCTCTGTACTCATTCACTTCTACTAACCACAGGCCATCATTCCTTCATTCAAATAGCAAGGAATATGTAGGAGATGTTCTGGCCTTGGATCCTTCAATGCTAGAGCTCTGAGATGAAAAGAAATTTCTCTTTTTTAGGTTCAGTTTGGAAAATCTGCAAGGATGGTCTTTCGTGAAGCCTGATGGCTAATGAAACCCTTCCTCCTTGTTCAATATGTATTCTTCCCTTAAATATCTCATGGGATCAGAGAAGGTGACCCCATCCCTAACTCTCGTGGTAGGTCTATTCTTTAAGCCAATCCAAGTAATCATTTTGCTCTTGAGAATGACTGGTTCTAGAATCTCGACTGAAGCTTATCAATACAGGACATTTTGTTGGCTATTGTTATAGGTCTCCAATTAGCACCTAACTCAATCTTGGTCTATCAGGCTAAAGGAATGGATATTTACTGAAATGGAGAAGACATTTTCTCATTCACTTGCTCTCTCTTCCCTCCTCTTTCTTTCTTTCCAAACATTCACAATGAAAAATAAGACCTCAGTTTCTGGGTAACCATCTTGTGACCGTGAGAGAAGCCAGCCTGAAAACAATCATTACAGGAAGGCTGCAGCTGAGAAAATGACAGAGAGCTAGAACCAAAGACATTATTGTACAATGCCTTAGCCCTTCCTTCCCTGTACACTTTCTATTATGTGATAAAATAAACCTATTGTTCATTGAGTCAGAACAAATCATCCCAACTGAAACATCCATCAAGTTCCTGTGCTGACTGTTGAGCCAAACACAGTGGCTGGAGCAAGGGGTACTATGACTGACCTAGCAGAAATTAACGACATGACCCCAGGAAGATAGAGTTTCAGAACCGTTAAGAGAAAACACACTGAGGTGGGGCAGTTTTCCGTGAGAAGAGTGGAGTTGATGCCAGAAGTAAGGAATGAGGGAAAAATTCTAAGTAGAAAAAAACAAGTGGTCCTCTATTGTGATGCAGACATATACATCATTAAGTGTATCTAGTGTCAGAGGTGCTATTAGAGAAGTTTGCAAACTGATCCACGGTCACTTTGCAAACTTCTCTAATAGCACCTCTGATGCTGGATACACTTAAAAATGTGTAGTCTCAAAGAAGGGAGTAGTGAAGACCACATGGGAGAATCAGGCAAGGTTTCACAGAGGAGATAATGCCTCAGCTGAGTTGTATTGGTTGCCTATTACTGCATAACAAACAATACAAAAACTTAGTGATTTAAAATAACAAATAACATATATTATCTCACGTGGTTTCCGTGAGCTAGGAATTTGGGAGGAATCGCTCAATAGGTTGCAGTCAAGATGTTGCAGATCTGGTCAGACCAGAGCTGGTCATCTGAAGGCATGGCCAAGCTCGAGGATCCACTTCCAAATGGCTCATTCACATACCTGGCAAGTTGATGCCATCTGTTAGCAGGAGGACTTACTTTGTTTGCTATCCCATGGACCTCTCCATAGAGTTGCTTGAGTGTCCTCATGACATGGCAGCTGATTCATCCAATGTGAGTGATCCAAGAGAGAGCAAAGTTGAAGTCACAATCTTTGTTATGATTGAAGTCATGCTCCTTAATTTCCTCAATATCCTATTCCATATGGTAGGTGACCACATAGGGGTCAATATCAGGCAATGAAAACCACTGTGGGCCATCCTGGAGTCTGACTACCACATGAGTCTTGGGAAAGGAGTTCATATTATCCATGAGGAGGGAGTGCAGACAAAGCAAAGAAGGAGGATGTTTGGAGAGGGGTAGTCTTTGAGTGGAGCCTTTAGGGATGAGAAGGGTGAATTGAGATATACCGGGAAAGTAGAAAAGATAAAACACGTATTAAATGTTGTAAATTAATTTTTAAAATGTCATGTGTTCTGCTGGACATAGAAGTGAGGGAGAATCAATGAAATAGAAGACATGGTCCCTAAGGATTTTTTTTCTAATGAAGGGAGGGTAAGACATGGAAAATAGTTGAGGAAACAAAATTACTCTCTCCAAAAGGAGAAAGAATTTTTAGCTTTTGTGAAGATTATTGTTTGTACAAAGACAATGATCTTATTCACCAAGAGAAGACTCACTGGGCTGAAGAGTGGAGTTCATTATTCTCCAACAAAGAAGACTTGAAAAGTGGGTAAGCCTCTGGATATCTTTGCTTGGAAAGGTTCACATGGGGATACCATCAGCCTTGCCAAGAGTCAAGGGAACGAGATGAAGAATCTGAATTCCCTAGAAGTCCCATAGTTAATCACTAGCTCTCCTGTCTTGAAATTCAGTGTTTCTCGAAGACAGAGACTGGGAATTCCTTCTTTTTGTCCATCCATCACCCAGCATATAACTCCTGACATTTATTTGTATTGACTAACTGACTAAGCACCATCTCTCAGTCTCCAGGCTGCGCCCGGGGTTGAGACTCCTATAGAGGAACAGAGCAGGGTCAATCCAAAGAGCCCTTTGTACTTCCGCCAACCTCAGCATTGTTTGTGTGTATGGAGAGGCTTTGTGCACAGGGACATGAGGCCTGCATTTGCAGGTCCTTGAGTTTTCTAGCAGCATTCAGTGAGAAATCTGTATCTGGGATAATCAATCTGGCAGAACCAGTCTTGTAACCAACAAGTTCCCTCTGCCTGTGATCTTCATAGATGGAGGTCACAGAAAGAAGTGTCTTGATACTGTTTTTGAGAATAGTAATGCTTCAAATATTTGGAGCACCATTTCTCTAAAGCACTCAAAACGCTTTCCACTTGGGGCTTTCATGAGTGTTTATAGCACTTAGCTCTTCAGGTTTGCCAGAAACCAAAGAAACCAACTTAGGGTGAAAATTATCAGTATTGTTAAACATACACAATACATACTCCTGGAACACTTATCAAACATTGTTCCACAAGTGACAAAAATGTACTTTCAAGCACTCAACAAAATGAGACTTCAACAGCAGACTTCAGTCTAATTGTGTCAGTGAGAAGCCAACCTAAATAGCGTTCTTTAGAGGAACGATGTCACGCTCCATTTCCACTGCCTATTTTAGGAGCCTTGTTGTTTCTCCCCTGGACTGCTGCAGTAGTCTCCTAATTTGCCCCTATCTCAGCCCTGAGTGATAGAACTTTCTGTGATGTTCTATGTCAGCACTGTCCAATATGGAAGCTATGAGCCACATACGACCAGTGAGCACCTGAAATGGGGCCCGTGCAATGAGAAACTGAGGTTTTACATTTAAAATTTTTTAATGTAAATTTAAATGGCCACATATGCTCATGGCTGCTGCATTGAACAGCACAGCAGCAGATTCTCCACAGCTCACCTAGCTGATGTCCTCAGCCACCAGGCTTACAGGCATGAGGCCAGTGACAAAATGCACAGAATGGGGGAGCAGCAGTTTGTAGAAAACTTGAGACAGACACAGAAACCGGGATCTGCCATTCACAGATCTCCTTTTCTTTTCTTTTTTTTCTTGAAGAAAAAGTTTGAAATCTTTAATTTTTTATGATGTTAAATCTCCTTCATGAAAAAGTTAATTAAAAATGAAGTATCTTGGAGCCAAACCAACCCCTCCTGCTGGTTTCATTCAGCCCACGGGCCACCAGTTTGCAAGCTCTACTCTAGTTAACTTCCTAAGAGCAAACATGACTTTATTATACCTCTGCTCCATTACCTCTCAATAAAACCCAAACGTCCAACCTGCTACGTAAGGCTTTCCCAGCATGCCCTCAAGCTCTCCGTCCCACCTCCCAGGCACTAGCCATCCACCTGTGCTGGATTGATCTTGGGGTTAGTTCCACACTTCACTTTCCTCTACCCTTAAATAAAACTCACTTCTCCTTCCATGATGCTCACTGTCTGCCTGGCCACAGAGCCAGGGATCAACACACCTGCTACTTAGACTAGAATTTAGTCCCTGGAAGCCAAGCTCATCCAACCCTGGTATGAGTGCTGAGCCTGGCCTGTATCAGTTACTTACTTCATGAAGCCTTGTCAAAACTGTGCAGATTGAACAGAGATGGCTTAGTTTGCCCTCTCATGGCGTTTTCCAGAGCGCCTCATACAATGTTGAAGCTGCATCATTGTCTGGGTAATACCTGAGTTTTGCTGCTTCATGCCAAGAAAACTAAGGACACGGACACACATAAGGAGTGGGTTTAAGAGCTGAGGTTTAATAGGCAAAAGAAAGAGAACAGAGAACTGAGAGAGACAGAGAGAGACACCTGAATGGGACTTCTGGCCCAAGGCGGAATGCACCGGATTTTATAGACAGGCTTGTAGAGGCAGTGTCTGATTTACATAGGGCCCAGAGATTGGTTGAACCAGGTGTGATGTTTACATAGCACGTGGGGCAGACTGCCCCACCCTAATCTTATTATGCACATGGGGTCTTTGCCTGGCTGGAGCCATGTTGTCTTCTCCTTACTCTACTGGTGGTTTGGCAAAGAGAAGAGAAGATGGAGCAGCCATTTTGAACACACCTAGTCCCAGGTAGCCTTTTCCTACTGGCACAACTGCCCGCATTCACCTGTGCAAGCTTCTAGTTTGCCTTTCTATGTCTGCAGCTCAATTTTCCAGGCTGCTCTTTGTTAGAAAAGAAATGATTTTCAGGCTACTTTCATTAAAAACAAAAACAAAAACCTGACCGAGGACTTCCTTACCCTCACTATCTGCCTAAATAATTTCTTTTCGACTCATATCAACATGAGCACTTGGTGTGTTTGAGATGACAGGCAAGTCACATGAGGGATGACAACACAGCTAACTTAGGGAAGAGCATGCTGTTTGAGTTTGTGGTCACAAGGTAGCAAAATCCTTGCTTTTCATAGCTCAAAGCAG
Organism: Homo sapiens; assembly: GCF_000001405.40. NCBI lineage: Eukaryota > Metazoa > Chordata > Mammalia > Primates > Hominidae > Homo > Homo sapiens. Next base: position 16,114,015 of record NC_000020.11, read on the forward strand.
CCAGGAACCTAAAAGGAAAGAAATTATATCCTAACCAACCCTAAAGAAAATAACAAAACAACTTAGTCAATGTGTAACAACCCCAGAGGAAGTACATAAAAATGGTGGTTATTCTTTCAGAGTAAAAGAATAAACAGTAATACCAGAGGCAGTTTTTTTCTCCCTGTTTTTAAAACGTTGTTAATAAAAAACTTATTTTCAATTCAAAAGTAACCATGATTATTGAAGGAAAAAAAGAGAATGGTAAAAGAAGAAAAAAGACAGTCATTCATAGTCCCATGATTCCCCAAATAACAATAATACATGCATTGGGCTTCCCTGTATCTTCTGTATAGTATTTTCTTTTTGTTTTTTGGCTACTATTTGATATTCTGTTTTACATTATCATTATAGTAGGATAATTTTTTCTATTATTAGACATCTAAACATAATTTCACTTTTTATACTATTCCCCCAAGTAGATATACTGTTAACCACACTTTAGTTGGCCACTTAAATTATTTACAATTTGCATTCTATAAATAAAGCTTGCAGAATATCTTTATGAATACAACTTTTTCCATAGTTAGAATTATTTACTTAGAAAATATCTTAAAAAGTAAAATTCCTGTGGCAAAGAATTTGAATATTCCACTGGCCCTAATATATATATGTAAACTCACCACTTTTAGGTTGAGACCTCAGATCTGGAAAATGAATTTAGTGAAAAGAAGGAAAAGTGAGCTATCAATTGGCACAGACAGTCTTTCTCATTTTCCTTCATAATATGCCTTATTTTATGCCACTACATAGCTGTGGCACATAGCAAACATGGCCACAAATTCTTTCCATTTTTGTTTCCTTCTGCGATGTGACTTGAAAGCTCCATCAATCAAGATATGGCAGCTTTATCCATGTGGCCTGACTTGGTTAATAGATATCATCACACATGATGAAAACAGAGGCTTGAAAAGTGCTTGCTCAAGAAGCCTTGCCCACTGGCTGCCTTTGGAACTGAGCTTCCATGTGAAGAAGCCTGGAATAGAAGACACGGAGCAGTTGAGGCACCTTATCTGGTTCCCCCAAGACCAACCTACCTGCCAATCACCAGACACATAAGTGAGGCCATCCTGGACCATCCAGCTCCCACCAGGCCATAAACACCTGAAAGATCCTGGCAGATATCAGTGAAGCCACTCAACCTACCCAGAGAATTGTGAACTAAACTAAATTGTTGCTTTAGATTACTAAGTTTAGGGTTAGTTTGTCAGTTTGTTTTGCAGTGAAAGCTAATTGATACAGACATAGATTCTAAAACAGAATGAAATAATCAACATACCTGCACCATCAAGGCAGCAGAAAATGATTTCTGCATTTGCATGCCTTCAAGATCTCAAACTCATAACAAGTAGCTCCTTGCCAGCTGACAATACGTCCTTGCCATGTTACATATACCAACAAATTCATTTTAAAGCAGTGTTTAAACAAATCTGCTAACTACTTCTTCCCTGAAAACAAGAGTTCTTCCTTCAAAAGCAGAGCCTTTTGTAAATTTTAGTTTTGGATATAACAAAGGTCCCCATTTTCCTCTCATACTGTCTTGGAGTCTGGCTACCTAAGGGAAGAAAGGGACAAATAAATAACTGTGTGGACTCATATTCTGAACCCATTCAAGAAAACTCTGGTTCACATCATCAAATACAGATAATATTCCCTCTCCTTACTTCCCCACCTCCCACCAGGGGCCAGGTCCTGTGAGCTGAAGGAACCTGTTATGCTATAAAGGGGAAGAGAGAATAAGTGTGTTCTGAGCATGGGACCCATCTAGGCAATGTGCCATATTGGTGAACTCAACTTGCTGAATTTATTCATTTTCCAAAATATTACAGAGACCATTACCCTTGCTGTTTCCTCATGAGATCCCAGAAAGCAGCCCCTTTCCAACTGAGTGGAAAGCTCCTTTAAATGGGTCCCTCTGTGCTGGAAAGGAGCCACAGTGCCCCGTGCCTGTCCACACCAGCTCTGAAGGAGAGCAGCTCCTGTCACTCTGACCATGTCTTTCATAGGCTGACAGCAGGAGGTCTGGGGGTTTGGCTGGGTTACTACTCCTGTGGCACACAGAAGAGGCAGCGTCCTTCTCCCTAGAACCTGGCAATGCTCCTGGAGAATAATTGGAGTCCAAGTGCCAGTTGTCATTCAAAGGCTTTGCAACCTGGGGCAAGTCACTTAACACCACTGAGTCTCAGCCTCCTTAACTATTTCACTGATTTCCCAAGGGGACTAAGATAGCACAAAGACAATTTTCAAAGGCAGAGTGTTAAGTGGGAATTGCACTAATCTTGACAATTGGCAAAGTACTGAACAGATTCTATTTTTAAAAGCACAATCCAGTCTTCTATCAGACTTTAAAAGGCTATCCAAATTCTTTGCTGTAAAATCTTGTTGTACAGGAAATTGCAACATACAATTGGTCAATTTCAGTAGCTGGAAGTTATGGTTTTTCTTTAATGGGTTTTTGTTCTGCAACTGTTAGTTGGATCACAAAATGTGGAATGTACCTTCTGAAAAGCTCTTAAGACATGTATATTTGAGAATCCATGCTAATCAATTGTCCAAAATGGTAACAGAAGTCACCCAAACCAAATTAAGCCTGTTTCTAGCTTTCTTTCTAAACACTTTTTGTGGCAATTGTGAATGGGAGTTTGTACCTGATTTGGTTCTTGGCTTGACTGTGGGCATATAAGAATGCTGGTGATTTTTGTACATTGATTTTGTATCCTGAAACTTTGCTAAAGATGTTTGTCAGCTTAAGAAGGTTTTGGGCTGAGACTATGGGGTTTTCTAGATATAAGTTAATGTCATCTGCAAACTGGGATAGTTTGACTTCCTCTCTTCCTATTTGGAATGTCCTTTATTTCTTTCTCTTGCCTGATTGCCCTGGCCAGGACAATACTATGTTGAATAGGGGTGGTGAGAGAGGGCATCCTTATCTTGTGCCAGTTTACACAGAGAATGCTTCCAGCTTTTGCCCATTCAATATGATGTTGGCTGTGGGTTTGTCATATAAGGCTCTTAATATTTTCAAGTATGTTCCTTCAATACCTAGTCTATTCAAATTTTTTAAACATGAATGATGTTGAATTTCAATGAAAGCCTTTCTGCATCTATTGAAATAATCATGTGGTTTTTGTCTTTAGTTCTGTTTATGTGATGAATCGTATTTATTGATTTACATATGTTGAACCAACCTTACATCCCAGGGATAAAGCCTTCTTGATCTTGGTGGATAAGCTGTTTGATGTGCTGCTGGATTCAGTTTGCCAGTATTTTGTTGAGGATTTTTGCATTGATATTCATCAAGGATATTGGCCTAAAGTTTTCTTTTTTTGTTGTATCTCTGCCAGGTTTTGGTATCTGGATGATGCTGTCCTCATAGAATGAGTTAGCAGAGTCTCTCCCTCAATGTTTTTGGAATAGCTTCATTAGGAATGGCACCAGCTCTTCTTTGTATATCTGGTAGAATTCAGTTGCAACTCCATCTGGTCCTAGTCTTTTTTTGGTTGATAGGCTATTTATGACTGCCTCAATTTCAGAGCTCATCATTGGACTGTTCAGGGATTCAATTTCTTCCTGGTTCAGTCTTGGGAGGGTATATGTGTCCAGGAATTTATCCATTTCTTCTAGATTTTCTAGTTTATGTGCAAAGAGGTGTTCATAATATTCTCTGATGGTTTTTTGTATTTCTGGGGGGTCAGTGGTAATAACCACCTTGTTTCTGATTGTGTTTATTTGAATCTTCTCTCTTTTCTTCTTTATTAATCTAGCTAGCAGTCTATTTTATTTTTTTTTAAAAAAAAAACCAACTCCTGGATTCATTTATCTCTTGAATGGTTTTTCATGTCCAATCTCCTTCAGTTCAGGTCTGATTTTGGTTATTTTTTGTCTTTTGCTAGCCCTGGGATTTGTTTGTGCTTGGTTCTCTAGTTCTTTTAGTTGTGATGTTAGGTTGTTGATTTGAGATCTTTCTAGCTTTTCGATATGGGCCTTTAGTGTTCCCATTCACAACTGCCCCAAAAAGAATAAAATACCTAGGAATACAACTAACTGGGGAAGTAAAAGATCTCTACAAGCAGAACTACAAACCACTGCTCAAAGAAATCAAGGATGACACAAATAGAAAAACATTCAATGTTCATGGATAGGAAGAATCAATATCATTAAAATGGCCATACTGACCAAAGTAATTTGTAGATTCAATGCTATTTCTATTAAACTACCATTGAAATTCTTCACAAAACTAGAAAAGCTATTTTAAAATTCATATGGAACCCAAAAAAAGCCTAAATAGCCAAGGCAGAAAGAACAAAGCTGGAGGCATCACACTACCCAACTTCAAACTATGAAACAGGACTACAGTAACCAAAACAACATGACACTGATACAAAAACAGACACATAGACAAATAGAACAGAATAGAGAACCCAGAAATAAGATCACAAACCTACAACTATCTGATCTTTAACAAACCTGACAAAAACAAGCAACAGGGAAAGGATTCCTTATTCAATAAATCGTGATGGGATAACTGGCTAGCTATATGCAGAAGATTGAAACTGGACCCCTTCCTTACACCATATACAAAAATTTACTGAAGATGGATTAAAGACTTACATGTAAAACCCAAAACTACAAAAACTTTGGAAGACAAACTAGGTAATGCCATTCAGACTAGGCATGGGCAAAGATTTCATGATGAGGACAACAAAAGCAATTGCAACAAAAGCAAAAAATGACAAATGGAATCTAATTACAATAAAACATCTTCTGCACAGCAAAAGAAACTATCAGCAGAGTGAATAGATAACCTAAGAATGGGAGAAAATTTTTGTAATCTATGCATCTGACACAGGCCTAATATCCAGTATCTATAAAGAACTTAAACAAATTTACAAGAAAAAACAACCCATTAAAAAGTGGCAAAGGACATAAGCAGATACTTTTCAAAAGAAGACATACATGTGGCCAACAAACATGAAAAGAAGCTCAACATCACTGATCATTAGAGAAATGCAAATTAAAACCACAATGAGATGCCATCTCACAGCAGTCAGAATGGCTATTCTTAAAAAGTCAAAAAAATAAAAGATGTTGACAAGGTTGTGGCGATAAAGGAATGCTTATACACTGTTGATGGGAGTGTAAATTCATTCAGCCATTGTGGAAGATAGTGTGGTGGTTCCTGAAAGACCTAAAGACAGAAATAGCATTTGACCCAGTAATCCCATTACTGGGTATATACCCAAAAGAATACAAATCATTCTTTTATAAAGAAACATGCATGCATGAATGTTCATTGCAGCACTATTCACAATAGCAAAGACATGGAATCAATCTAAATGATCGTCAATGATAGACTGCATAAAGAAAATGTTGTACATATATACCATGGAATACTATGCAGCCATAAAAAAGAATGAGATCATGTCCTCTGCAGAGGCACAGATGAATCTGGAGGCCATTATCCTCAGCAAACTCATATAGGAACAGAAAGCCAAGTACTGTATGTTCTTACTTATAAGTGGGAGCTAAATGATGGGAACACATGGACACATAGAAGGGAATAACAGATACTGGGGTCTATCAAAGGATGGAGGGTGGGAGGAGGGGGAGGATCAAAAAAATAATTAATGGATACTAGGCTTAATATCTGGGTGATAAAATAATCTGTACAACAAACCCTCCTTACACAAGTTTACCTATGTAACAATCCTGCCCATGTACCCCTGAACTTAAAATAAAAGTTTAAAAAAATGCTATTTTTTCAATGCCAATAAAACAGATGTTATTACATTGAAAATATGATCCTTGAAATTTTTAAGAATAAACTTTTGTTCAAAAGCCTAAATAAAGCTTCTAAAGATTAAAAAAATAGAAATGAAAAAATACTTTATTGTCATTTTCCCCAAATTCTGGCTGGAGAAATCCACTCACTCTCCCTCAGTGCCAACTGTTTGCATTTTCTACTGCTGCCACAGCAAATTACTATGGACTTAGTGACTTCAAACAACAAAAATTTAGTGTCGTGTTGTTCTGTAGGTCAGAAGTCCAATGTGGGTCTCACTGGGCTAAAGTCAGGGGGTAGACAGGATGTGTCCTTTCGGAAAGATCTAAGGAAGAATTTATTTCTTTGCTTTTTCCAGCTTCTAAATCCACCCACATTCCTCAGCTCATGGTCCCCATTCTCCATCTCCAAAGCCGGCAATGTAGCAACTCTGAGCCTTCCTCCATCATCACATTTCTTTCTGACAACAGTCAAGAGAGACTCGGCTTTTAAGAAATCATGTGATTAGCATGGGTCTACCCCAGTGATCTAGGAAAGTCTCCCCATTTCAAGACCCTTAATCACATCTACAGAGTCCCTTTTGCCATGTAAGGTAACATAGTCACAGGTTCCTAGGATTTGGACATGGTATAGAGTAAATGCCCCTGATAGCAATAACTCAGGCATACTCTGGAAATGACCCTGTGTGGGAGACACATCTGAATGTGTGTTCCGAGCTAGGGAATCCGGGCATGGACAACCCAGAGATTCATTCCTTGTCTATGGGGGAACATCTGAGCCCCCTCAGCCAGTCCCGTGGACTTCGGGCCATACAGGGGACTGAGGCCCTGCATTTTGGGACAAACGAAGGTTGTCAGGTGGAGGTCTTTAAGGGGAGGGTGTTAAGTAAAAAATGCTATATGAACTCCACGCTGTTTGCACACAGTTGCAATTTTCCTGTCCAGCCCACTGCCACTGGACTCTCTCCCCTGTATGGGAGCCCCTAATCAAACCCCATGTCCTGTTTCCTGGATCTGGGTCTTTTCTTCAGCCTCTTGAACCTGGTGCCTTCCATATTAAGGTTAATAGGGGTTTGGCACAACACATGGACATCTTTGTGGGGCCATGATTCTGCCTACAACACCCCTTCACTCATGTCTTCTACCTCCTGAATGCCTTGACAACTACTCTTCGTCTAACAAACTGCAAACTACCCTTTCATGCCTCAAGTGCCCTCTCCTTCAGGAAGCTTTCCCTGCTCAGTCTGAATGGAAGTAATGTCTCCTCTTAATTCCTTTAGTGCCTATCTGCCCTGATCCCTTGGCAATTTAGCTTTTTAAACTCTACATCCTTCAGTTCCTCAACTCATCTTTTGGAGCCCTCTTAAAGAAAGGAGGACATCCATGTGAACATTGCAAAGATCCAAGATTCTCAATTACACATTTTTAAAGGCTCGCAATATTTAGAAATCATAACTACTTAATTGATTGATCAAAACTGCCTTGTGCTAAATGTACTTTAATTTGCAGGGCAACCTAAAAAGATTAAAAAGACATATATACTTTGCAGTAACCTGGAAAATAACTTCTTGAAGTCAAAAGACACCATGGGAGAAAGCAGTTTGTTCTCTTAAGCTCATAAAGCAATGGAGTATTGATGCAGGTTTATACAGATCACAGAAAACCCTTCTCAGCAACCTATGGAGAGGCTCTGGTATCTTCCCCAAAGCCTCACCTTCTTCACGATCCCTCTGTCAAATGGCACCTCCAAATGTCTTCTCTCCATCCTGGACTTTCTGGTAACAAAGATTTCATCCCATTTTCAAGATCTTAAGTTGTCTTAAGTTTTACATACCACAGAAAAATTGCTGTCAATCAAGGTTATAAATATTTTACGCAAGCAGGCAGTGAAAAGGAGATTAGGAAGGGCCTAGAACAATCAGCTGAACCAATGGAGAAATACAGAACAAGTCTCTATGCGAGTATGAAGAAATCAGGTGATCTGGCCTCTGGAAAACTAAGTCCCTCAGGAGAGTGCCTCGGGGTGGCGGGGGGTGTGGAATTCTAAAGTACTCCTTTTTTCCAGATCACTTCTTTTACTTGGTTTTAATATTAAATCTTTATATGCTTAATATAGGTTATCACCTAAAATGCAGTTTCCTGTGCCTAAGAGCAGAATGGCTGTGTTCTGTGTGTGCAGGACCCTGGCAGGGAAGAGTGTATGAAGCTGGTTCTACTATAAAACTACTATAAAACTTCAAAGGCTAGAACTGGACTCCCCAGGTAGAAAAAAAACATGGAATTCAGTTCAATAATAGAAAAACATTTTAAAAAGTCAGACCTGTCCTCAAATGAAGTAGGTGACCTCAGAGGGGTCACTGTGTGCATGACTGTGGTGCAGGGATGGTGGGTAACCTGATGACGTCTTCTAGATTTTGATCAAAGGGACCATTGCTTTGGAGGGAAAGGGACACAACTCTGACCCTAAGGAGGCTGGAAAACACAGGCTTGGGGTGAGTTGCAGACACCTTATCTGAGTTCAGAGACAATGAAGTGGACCCTCCTGCCTCTATTTCCTAAGAGAAGCAGGGTGTGACTGAATGGCTGCAAATATTCTGATTCTAGTGCCCTGAACTTCATGTCTGGGCCCTCCACACACTCGCACCCAATGAGGCTATTGGCAGAGCCTCAGAGGGAAGACGAGCATCTTATGGTAAGCAGCAAAGCAACTTGCTGGTATGATTCCCAAACCCTCTTAGAAGGTGCCAGCAAATAGCCTTTGCAGACAAGGAGATGGATATGGAAGTGTAGAACATCACATTACTGGACTCAGCAGAGAGCAGTGCTGTTTAAGATACCACCAAAGTTGCTTTAATGAGAGAAACCTCAATGACAAAAGCCGAGAGAACACAACAGGATACTCTAGGAGAAAATCTCCAAATGAGCTTGCTCTCCCCAATACCTTCATGCCATGATTTTTCTTATTTGAAAACAGTTTTTCTTAAGCAAAGATGCTGCATCTTTGAATGAGATTTAGGCTAATGCCTACATATCATATTATTATATATATGCAAAGCAGTGCCTGGAACATTGCAATAAATGTCACATAACATCTTTATTACATTCACCCTGAGGGAAACTAGGTAGAACTGCAAATATCTTGATTAAAACACTTATATTTAAGGACTCTACTTACTCTTTTTGATATGTACACTTTCATAGATAGATAAGGAATGCTTGGCTTTTTCATCTCAAATAAAGCAAAAGTGAGTTATAACTGTATTTCACTGTGGGCCTGGGCTGTGATTTCCACCCCAGGGAAAGAAGGAGAGAGAGAGAGAGAGAGAGCGAGAGAGAGAGAGACAGAGACAGAGAGAGAGAGAGAGAGAGAGACAGAGAGAGAGAGAAGCAGAAAGAGAGAGAGAGAGAGAGAGAGAGAGAGTATAGGGAGACAGGGATAGGAGGAATAGAGAAAGAGAAAGGGGGGAAATATTCTTATCCCTCTACAGACTTGGCTACAGGACATGGATGTGGATAAGGCCCTTCTCTTTTCAGCCCAAAACTTTGAGTGCCCAACAGTTTCTTTAGGGCTCAGCACAATTCAGATAAAAGATGGGCTGGAGGCAGTATGAATGTTACCTATATGTTCTTTGCCTTTATAGTTGATGGCACATGTGTATACTTTTAACCGATAACTTTCTCTTAGAGTGTTGAATGTGCATTTCACTGTGATCAACAAACTCAAAAAATGACCTTGCATTGAGAAGGCTAAACGGTCTCCCCAACTGAGGTTTGACAAATACTTGAGCAAAACCTCTATTTCTGCACTTCTCAAGGAGCTTGGAGCACTGGGAAATTTTTAATGAGGAGTGTTATCTGGACTATTCTCACTGGTGTGCTGGTAAATAACAGTAGCTTTCCAGGGTGGGGCTGGGGAGTCCTGATTTGTAGCATTTGCCAATTTCTATGGTTTAAATAGTCCTCCCATGACTAATTTCAAGCTACTAATGGCTCACAAATTTCCTCAAAATTCAACAGTCAGCTCTCATGAGTCAGAATGAACTGGCTCACACCACTGAATCTATTCTCATCTACCTGTGACAAAAGAAAATGTAACTGTTGGTCACCTGAGTATTCCCCCTCCCTATTTTTTTTAATGAAATGTCCTTTTTCCATCACAGCCATTGCATTTGCAAGGGTCAGCCCATGGCATTATCCAGTAGAAGCTTTTACTCAGGGCTCAAACAAGTAGTATGGAGACCCATGAAAAGCCACCCAGGCCTTCCTCTTGCCAATTCCCTTTGATTTATTAAATGCAATGTTACCCATATGGCCATGCCACAATTTGGCCAGTAGCTCTAGTTTCAAATAGATTCTCAAAATTCAGAGCACAAAATTCGTGTGTTTGAGACTTCTTCTGTCTTCTTTCATCAGAGGCACCTGGAAGTAATGTGAGGATTTGTCTATGGAATGGAAGAGGGGCACACATGGGAACACAGTGGGAGGACCCCAGGCCTGCCTTGCCTCCACCTTTGAGCTTGTTCATCCTCATCCTCTTTTCAACCAGTGTAGAGAGGACGAGAGACAGAAAAGAATCTGGGGAACCTACTATCGCATATAAACAACTTCTTTTCATAATTCTAACAAAAGAGGAAACTATTTTCAAAACTGGGAACCCAGTATTCCTTTGGATCAATATTTATTCTCATTTTTATGTTAAAAAATAGGGGAGCAGGTTCCCGGGCTTCAGTTTTTGTCCAGGTGACTGAATATTTTCTCCTTTCCTTTTTCAACTTTTTAAAGCTATGACCAACTTGTTCTTGACCAATTGATAGGGAAGTTTGTGGAAGGCAGGGCAGTGACCTCATTTGCTCATAGCTATTGATCGACTTTAACTTGTCCTCTTGTCTTTCCTATACCCTCTGAGTATTCAGGGCTGGCAATGTGGCCTTTCAGTCCTGGAGGCTCATAGCCATGATCATCATTAATCTGATACCTCAAATGCCACTTCTGATGCAAATTACTTTTTATATGTGTATTGGTGGACATCAGAGCTGAAAAGAAGTGTAAAAGGAATTATTAAGCAAGATAATTTGGCTAACACATTCCTACACTGACACCAGAGTGTCACGTTCCACACAGGAGCCAAGCAAAGAGCTTGGGTTGTTTCCACGGGATAACCAGAGTCTGTGTTTGAGAAGTGTTAAATCTGATGTGTCGGGACCAGTTCTTCTTCCCTGGCATGTTTTTGAGGAGGTAGAACAAAGGCCCACCCAACATGAACAAAGAGAAGAAGCCCACCCAGAAGAATGCAGTCACAAGGAGCCGAAAGAAAACACTCTTCTGTTGACATTTCTTCTGAAAATCTTCATGGAGTGTAGACTTGGGGAAATTACCTTAAAAATTTAATAAGTCTAGAAAAGGAGTTATCAGAAATAAAAATCAGGAATCTCAGCTTGTCTCTTGGAGACCAAAGTCTGTCTTTGAGGATGGGCTCTGAGTTCCCATGGACATCACCTCCCACAATGCATGCAGCGGGCAACATGCTTCTGGCTAGCTTTGCTGCTTTCTGATTAATACCATAAGAAAGGAAACATTTCTCCCTGGAACAACTTTGTCATCGCCTTCCCTTTTGAAGATTTTATCAAAGCAAACAAAGCAAAGCAAAGCTACCTCTGGTGCATCACATTGAAGGTGGTCTGAACAAAGGAAGCTGAAAGATACAGTTCATGGGCTCTAAAGGCCACCCTCCTGAAGCAACCCGGCTCTTCCTGTTTGCCTTTCTCACTCGCTGCTGCCAGCTGGGAAACTTTGCCCTGTCTGGGCTGGTTCACTCAGATTTCCCTGAACATGCCCTAGGATTTCAGCTGGAGTTCACTGTTCCCTCTCCATGTTTTGTTGAAAATGCCCTTCTCTGAGTATTTGTACTTAACGCCTGCCTCACCTTTGAGGTTCAGCTAATGTCCCACAATTCATGAAGCTCTCTCTTCTGTTTTTTCCTGGTCTGAACATCTTCCCATCCCACAACTTTTTGCCTCCTAGGATTTCCCCTCTGGCTATTCCCCCTCAGTTTCCCAGCCATGTTATAAGCATTCCTAGGTCAGGCTGGGCATAGCGGCCTGTCATCCAGTGCTTCGGGAAGCCAAAGTGGGAGGATAGCTTGAGGCCAGGAATTCGAAACTAGCCTGGGCAACATACCAAGACACTTTGTCTACAAAAAACTTAGCTGGACTTGGTGGCATGTGCTTATAGTACCAGCTACTCAAGAGGATGGCTTGAGCCCAAGAGTTTGAGGTTTTAGTGAACCATGATCACACAACTGCACTTAAGCCGGTGTGATAAAGTGAAACCCTGTCTCTAAAAAAAATAACAATCCTTAGGCCCTAGGTCAGAAACCAGATCCTAATGTATATTTTTATATTCTCAACAACCTAGAAAAATATCGAGTTCATAAGAAATGCTCAGCAAATCTTCCTACAGTGGGGAGATAAAAACATTGAGGGTCAGAGAGGTTAAAAACATTCTCCAAAGATGGAAAGTTAATAAATGACAGAGCCGGTATTCAAATCCATATTCTCCAAATCATAAGTCACTGAGATATTTTTCTTTCCTACAGAAAGCATATGATTTATTTTTAAAATTCTCAAAACTTGATGAATCAATACTGAGTTGGTTTAGGCAGTTTGACTATGTAACAATATACTGACAGTTGTCCTTTATTGAACACCTGCTGTATACTGCTGGCACTGTGCAAAATCCTCACAGCTGTTGTCTCTGCCCTTTTTAAGAACCACAAATCTCACCTACTCCAGGTATGATGGCTTGGTCCTCAGTTACTCATGGGAGTTCCCCAGGTTACAGAAAGGATGCTGTTCCCAAGAGTTTTTAATTACTTTTGGGCTCAGCTGGAGTCCATTTTATTACACACATTTTACAGACTATAAAATGAGTTGAGCCTTTTAGATGACAAGCAGATTAAGAATAGAAACAAGATTAGAAACAAACATGTTAGATAATAGATGCTTATAGAATGAATGAATGAATGATGAGAGGATGCTTTAAAGAAGGAGGACTGGCCGGGCATGGTGGCTCACGCCTGTAATCCCAGCACTTTGGGAGGCCGAGGCAAGTGAATATCACCTGAGGTCGGGAGTTCAAGACCAGCCTGTCCTGCATGGCAAAACCCCATCTCTACTAAAAATAAAAAAATTAGCCAGACATGGTGGCACATGTTGGTAATTCCAGCTACTTGGGAGGCTGAGGCATGAGAATCGCTTGAACCTGGGAGGTGGAGGTTTCAGTGAGTTGAGATCGCACCACTGCACTCCAGCCTGGGTGACAGAGTGAGACTGTCTCAAAAAAAAAAAAAAAAAAAAGAAGGAGGACCGTTGATCAGCTTCCAGATTCTACTGCCTAAGTTGCCATCTTCTCAGTTTTCCAATGGAGCCAAGGTAAATGGGTTTTTCATCCCCAGTGAAAGCAGAATTGGAGAAAATGGACTCAGACACTTGGGCTAACAGAACAGAAGGAAACCTTCAGCTTTAGAAAATGGAGGGCCTGTAATATTCTTTATGAACATATGGATTTTCTCTGCTTATTATATTCAGAGAAGTATACATTATCTTTATAATCTTGATCTAGCTTTCCCTGGGGGCAGGAGCTGGACCTCATGACCTTTGGAGACATTGCTTGTCCTGCTTGGTATTCTGAATGAGGCAGTGAGGTGTAGCGGAAGGGGCATGGTCTTCCTGGGTCTGAATCTCAACTGGTTGTGTAACCTTGAAGGAGTTGTTTAACATCCCTGGGCACAGGTCTTCCTCTTTGTAAATGGGGAATAACACCTACTATTTTGTAACAATTAGAAATAATACTCATAAAATACCTAATTCGTGGAACCTGTTTAGTAACTGGCGATGGTTGTTACTGGTGCTGCTTGTTAACACTACAAAGATAAAGACCATTGCTCCTAGCCTCTTGCCAGCCTGGGCAAGAAAGAGCATCAAATGGGCTTAGTGCGTGCACAGGTTTTCCTCCTCTCCTATAGCAATGGTGTTGGTCACAATGCTCAGAAAATGGTCCAGGGCAGATAAGGACTCCAGCTGCCAGGTGAGGAGTCCTGGCTGCCAACCCCTGAGTACCACCAGAGGTGACCCAGTTTCATCTCATTCTCCAGTTCCTCTCAGCCTCACTGCTCTTTCAGTTTCCCCAAGATCACCTTTAAGTGGATAAATTCAGTCTCATCTAATTAATCTTAAAAATCTCTTTCTTAACTCTGAGAGTAAAAAAGGACAGAGTCCAACTTTCTAGGCTGGAAATTAAAAAGCAAATCGAATTCATTCACTGCCTCTAAATAGCCTCTGTGTAACAACCAAGGCACCTCTAATGAAGTCTCAAATGATGATCTCCTATGAGTGGTGCTTTATTGAATATATCCTGCTCAGTGCTAATCAATCATTCCAGTGAGGATTTCTGCTGCAGGCTGGAGCTGATGAGCCAGGCTTCATAATACTTCATAAGACATGTATGAATACTCAGACTGTAAGCTGGGAAGTTTACTAAGCACAGACAAAGATTTCTACCAAAGGTCTTTGATGGATTCTTCTATGTCCCATAGAAGCTCAGGTTGCTGGGCCAACAAAATTCTTATCTGGACACAAGGACTTGTTGGTCTGCTAGACCCAAAGAAAAGACCAAACTAGTCCTTCCTCAGTTTTCACTACAGCTCTCAGACACTGGATGCATTGGAGCATGGATTATCTATGGCTGCATAATAAGCCACCAAAAACTTGCTGAATACAACAATCATTTATTTAGCTCGGGATTCTATGAGTTGGCAATGTGGGCTGGGCTCAGCTGGCTATTCTTCTGCTGGTCTCAGCTGGGCTTATTCATACGTATGAAGTCAGCTGCCACATCAGCTGGGAGCTGGTTGCTTTAGTATGACCCTTGCTGAGATGGCTCAGCTCTTCTCCCTATGTCTCATCCTCCAGCAGTCTAGCCCAGGCATGCTGTTCACATAGCTTCTCAATAGGGACCCAAGGGCCACTAGAGAGAACATGTGCTAATGCACATGTGCTTTTCAAGCCTTAGATTGCATCATATTTGCTCTTGTCCCATTGGCCAGAGCAAGTCACATGGCCAAATGCAGCATCTTTGTGGGAGGGAACTATCCAAGGGCATGGATACAAGAAGGTGTGAACATATCAGGTACACAACAACCTACCATAATTGATTACCATAATTTTCTAGCATAATTTAAGTCTACCCACACTCTCACTTCAGCTAACTTTTGTGGGACATGAACTTGAGCTCATGTTTATCTTTCATTATCAAAATACTATTTCTTGATAGTTTACCACGTACCAAGCATGACTGGAATCATTTTATCTGTGTCATGTGAACCATATAATAATCTTACACGGTAGGTATTATTGGCTGCACTTCACGGATGAGGGAAATGAGGCTTGCAGTAACTAGTCCAAGTTTGCTTCTGCTCCATAAATAACAGAGCTGAGATTTGAACTCAATGTCATCTGAGGTCAAATTTCAGCTTCTGAGCAATTTATTATACAATGGCCCCTTCCCATAAACCACTTTTTTTTTTTAAGATTTTGGTGGATTTCCTTTTAATTTTGAGGCATCAGGTAATTTATTTAAAAGCATGATAATTACTATGTACACACAGTGCCACAGGCAGCTGTGTCTCCTTCCAAGAGAACGTTCTTCCTCAATGGCTAGGGAAGCCCAACAGCGAAAACAATGAAAAGGCTCTGCTCTGCCCTCGGGCCTTTTCCGAAATAGAGCCGGTGAGCCTGTGGGAGCCACTGAGGCCAGGACAGCTGTGATGGGCAGCTGGCGTTCAGGGCTGCTATGAGTCTGCCTGAAGGGGCAGCAGGCAGTCCAAAAAATAAAAATAAAAATAAAAAAGAGAAAAGAGAGTCATTGTTCCATTTTCAAAATGTCGGAGTCAGCCTCCTAAAGTTTCCTTGCCTCACACAGAGCTTGGGAGAACTACCAATGATTGGCAGAGAGCTTGAAAGTTGAAAGTGCCTTAGGACTACTTGGGGCTCTTGAATGAGAACTTCAGATTCTCAATTGCCATGTTGGGTCTGCAGAAAAAAAGCTGCCGTTGCATCTAGGCCTACCAAATTGTGCCTTCCTCTAAGGTGAGCCCTTGGGATCTCCCCTCTTTGCTCTGTCTGTCTCAGCCTTGTCCTAGAAGTGGCCTGAAAAATTACAAGCCACTGATTTTTAACAAGAGTCTAAAAAGTCGCATGGCTGGATCTGTGGAAAATGAGCAGGGGCGAGAAGCAGAACAAGTTTGCTGCCCTAATTCATTGTACTGACAAAGAGACTTTGATTAGTGCACTGCAGCGTGTAAGGTGTTTGACTTACAGCATCTTATTATACTTTTATTACAGCCCTGGAAGGAAGGTCGGGAAGGGACAACCACCTTCATTTTGCAGATGAAGGTGCTGAGCTCAGTGGGTAACTTGCCCAGAATAACTCAATGATTGAACAGCTTGGATAAGAACACATCCAGGTCTTCTGACATTATGGTTTATGTTTTATTTTGCTCTGAGTGTTCTCCTGTGGTTGGCCTTCCTTGGACACCCTTGATTCCTGAATAACTTGGAGAAAATGTCTGTTTCTGTAATTCTAAGGGTGGCATCATCCGCCTCCCCACTTCAGTTCCTGCAGTCACAAATGAGACCCCAAATATGGTTCCTTGTGTGGCTTGTGATGGAACAGATGAGAATCAACACAGCAGCAACTGCTTGCTTCTATTTTTATAAATACTGTTTGATGCCTCGCAAAGAATAAATTACTCAGCAATTGGCCTGAAGGAGAGATTCAGTAAGAAGTTTTTGGGGTCTCATTGATTCTCAATGCTATAAAGTCCTGTTACTACAAAACCTTCCATTGTCTTCATGTGCACATTGGACAAACACCACATTCTTCAGCCTGCCACCATTTATCATGCAGTTCTGTTTTATTTTCCCTACATTTTCAGCTTTAACCAGCTGATCTTCCCAAAAGTCCCCCCAGCTCCCCTTTATTTGAGATGCACTTCCCATTTGTAATTCCGCATCTCCTCCTCTTAGGAAAATCCTGTCCATTCTCCCAGTAAAGTTCAAAACAAAACTTGCTTCTTTCTGACTTCCCGAGCCCAATCAATGGCAACTCTATCAGTTGTATGACTCAGGCAAAAAAATCCTGGAATCATCTTCGATTCTTTTCTCTCACATCCATCAGCGAGCCATGTGGCTCTATCTGGCAGCTAAGGCATTTTCACCACCCAGTAGTTCTGTGTCTGGTCCAAGCATGAAACCCTGTTAGTATTTATTATATAACATGATCAGATACTGTGCTTTGTGGTAGTTATTTTTACTACACTGGATACTCTGAAGACAGGGATCACCATTTATATATTTTTATATAATAATAATACCACTTCATGTGTGAATGGCAATTTGCAGTTCACAGACATTTTAGTTCTCATACACTGTCCTCCAAGTTTGAAAAAAAGAGGTTGAGAGATTATTTCTCACAGCCAAAGGCTCAGATCTCCCATGTGAGAGAGCCAGGCCTTTGGATTCCAAGTTCATTGCCTTGTACCCAGAAGGCACTCATTAAATAGTCCCTGAAAAATCTGTCTTTACCCTTTTTAAACAAAAGTACAAGAAAGTAGAAGGGCCTCTTAAGCAGCATTGAACCCCGAATCTGTTCAAGTGTATATTCTCAAAGCATGGAGCAAATCAATTAATTAATTAAATGAGCATGGTGACCAATCAAGATATTATTCACAATTTTATTTGTTTTTGTACAAATTCCTCAAAAGGAGTCGAGTAATTTTTTTTCACTCCCTGGAGCATACATAGTAGCCCAAATGGTACCTCTATCAACAGGAGAACAGAAAAATAAATTGTAGTATAGTCATACAACAAAATCATGCAAAGCAACAATGATAAACATAAATGAACTACTGCTATATGTAACAACACAAATGAATATCATATACGTGATACTGAGTGAAAAAAAAATAGTCGCAAAGGTATATGTGCTATAGGATTTTATTTACATGAAGTCCAAGAACAGGAAAAACAAACACTGCATATTGTGCTAAATGTCACAATAGTGGTTATTTCTGGATAGGTGAGGAGGGTTAGTATTGATTATGAAAGGGTACAAGGGAACATTCTGAAGTGCTGGGAACATTCCATATCAAGGTGCAACAAGATCTGTGATCATGAGCCAAACCTGACCTACCACCTGATTTTGTAAATAAAGCTTTATTAGACCATAGCCACATACTTTCATTTACATACGCTCTGTAGATGCTGGATTGCACTGCAATGACAGAGCTGAGTGTTGCAACAGAGACCATATGGCCTGCAAAGCCTACATTATTTATTATCTGTCCCTCGACAGAAAAAGTTTGCTGATCTCTGTTCCATACCATGATCTGAGTAGTGGTTACATGTATGTTTATGTATGAAAAATTTCATCAAGTTATATACTTTTAATTACTACACTAAACACAGGAAGGAAGGAAGGAAGGAAGGAAGGAAGGAAGGAAGGAAGGAAGGAAGGAAAAGGAAGGGAAGGGAAGGAAGGAAAGAAGGAAAAAGAAGGAAGAAAGGGAGGGAGGGAGGAAAAGAAATTTTAAACATGCAGAAATGGGTCCTAGAGCAAGTCATTTGAAAAGATCATATCGTATACCACACTGGCTAATGAAAATAGATACAACCACCTATGAGTAACCTTGTCTGTCTTGAGCTACAAGTAAGAGGAAGGTAATGTTACTTTCCAAATGGGCTTATTGAAACAAGATGTTGCAATCTTTTTTGGATAGCAGACTCTTGTGGTGCAATCTGAGTTTGAGATCTTGCTCTCTTACTTTCTCAATGTGTGACCTTACTGTCTCCAGCCCTCAATTTTCTCCCTATAAGATGGATGTAGTAATGATACACACCTCAAAGGGGTTATCATAAAAATTGAAAGGCATAAATATATGGAAAGTGCTTAGAACAGTACCTGGAAAAAAACTCAGTAACTGTTAGAAACTATAATGAAAGCTATAGATGTCCTCACTAGAAAAATGAACTCATTCACATTCATAGACTTTGAAACAGAATAATAGGAGAGTTGAGGCTGTCCCTTAAGCCCAGGGTGGGCTGGTTCTTGCTGTTAAGGCATAATAAAAGCATGGCAGGTCCTGTGCTGGCTCCAAAGCTCTGAGAATGCTCAAGGCTGACACACAGCATCCCCTCACCTCACCACAATCAACAGTCCTGAGGGGGCCTCTGCCAGACGGTGGCAAACTGACGTATAGTTGTTCCAGCTTCCACACTAATTTGCCCGGTGATGGGATCCAGGGAGTGCAGGGACAGCGCTGAATGGCACCCGCTGTGGGATGAAGCCAGTCCTCCACCTGGAGCTGTGTCCTTGCATGGCAGCTGCCTCCACGTGTGGAGATTCAGGCGGGACAGCCCATGGCAGCAGAGCTGAGACGGGGGCAGCTGGGAGAGTGTCTCTTCAAATTCATTCATCTCTTCCACCTTCAGGGAGTGTTTGTCATTTGCTGGAGCACAGCTGGCCTCCCCAGAGGTACATGGTTTTTGAGAACCAGGGGCAGTCATGCACCAGACAGGGGAGTCATGCACTAGACAGGGGTAGAGATGCAGTCCTTGGGGTAGGTGCACCAACCTTCTCCACATGCAGCTTGGAGCACTGGGCATGAGCAGATGCCTGCTGGTGCCCGCACTGCCAGGAGACGTGTGTCTGATGTTCCCTGGCACTGGGGGAACTGCTGGGGGGAGGGGGCCTCTTGGTACTCCCCACAGCCAGGCCTCACAGGAATCTGACTAAGGGCCTTGCATTGGGCACTGTCCAGGGGCCAGGTACCAGAGGACCTGCTGCCCAACTGCAAGAGGGGCTGGGGGGAGCTTTGGGATTTGCCTGTGAAGAGCAAAATAGTATCTTAACTTCTTACTGTTTCTCCAGCAGGAAGACAATCCAGATTCCTTACTGTTTCCTGATGCTTTCTTCACGTTGGAAAAGTAGGGATCAGACAAACCTTACCATCTTGGAATCATTTTTTCTAAATGGGGATCATCATTCTTGTTCTATCTGGCCTTAGGGGGTTCCTATAAAAGTCATTGACTTCCAAATTCACTCAAGTTTTTGGCAGAATTCATTTCCTTGCAGCCATGAAACAAGACTGTTGGCAGGAGGCCACCCTCAGTGCCCAGAGGAGTTCCTTGCCCTGTGTCCCTCTCCACAGGCCATGTTGCACAGCACAGAAGCTTGCTTCCCCAAAATCAGCAAAGGAGAAAAAGGACAAGTCTAATTGTTACAGGAAAGGGGTCTGGATCCAGACCTCAAGAGAGCGTTCTTGAATCTCGCGCAAGAAAGAATTCAGGGAGAGTCCACAGTACAAAGCAAAAGCAAGTTTATTAAGAAAGTAAAGTAATAAAAGAATGGCTATTCAATAGACAGGGCAGCCCTGAGGGCTGCTGGTTGCCCATTTTTATGGTTATTTCTGGATGATATGCTAAACAAGGGGTGGACTCTTCATACCTCCCCTTTTTAGGCCATATAGGGTAACTTCCTGACATTGCCATGACATTTGTACACTGTCGTGGCACTGGTGGGAGTGTAGCAGTGAGGACGACCAGCGGTCACTTTCGTGGTCATCTTGATTTTGGTGGGTTTTGGTCAGTTTCCTTACTACAACCTATTTTATCAGCAAGGTCTTTATGAGATGTATCTTGTGCCGACTTCCTATCTCATTCTATGACTTAGAATGCCTTATTTTTCCTAGCTCCTGTTCAACATGCAGTCACTTTGGTTTTCAAATGCCTCTGACATATTTTGTCAATTATACTTCAGTAAAGCTAAATAAAATAAAATGAAATTTTAAATTTCAAAAAAATTAAAAAGCCTGCAAGCAAGACAGAGTTTTAGATAATATAACATCACAGGAGTGAAGTATCATCACTTTGTCATATGGTGTTGATGAGGAGCGAGTCACAGGCCCCATCTACGTTCAAGAAGGGGGACTTAAACAAAGGCACAAATACTAGGAGGTGGGAATCATGAGGCCAACTTAAAGTCTGTTCATCACAGAGGACACAAAGAAAGGGCCAACTTTGGGAACTATAGGGGTCAAAAGGAAGAAATCAGATACTCATGGTCTTAAGGCCCAGAAAAAGAAAAGATCAATGCACTTTGAAGTGCAGATTACAGAAAGAAATATCTTGTATGTGCAAACCTCTTAGAGTTTACGTTGCATCATTGCATGTCATTTAATATGCTCACACATCCTACAGTGGAGCTTCATTTGACAGGAGAAAAATTCTGAGAGGTTAAGAAACTTTTCCAAGATCACCAGCTGATTAATAACTAAGCTAGAATTATTTTTCAGGACTTCCAATCCCAAAGCCCATGTACTTCTGTGGTTAGCTTTAAAAGGTAGATGAATGGAGAGTGACATCAGCAGAAATGATGGTGTAAGGACCTCTAAAAATCCTCCCCTCCAGAAAAACAATGAGAACACTCAAAAAATATCCAAATAAACTTTTTTAGAACTGTAAACTTTTTTTTTTTAAATCTTGCAACAATTTGGAGAGTCTTTATTCAAGAAAAAGATCTCGACCTCAGTAAGAAAACAGAGTGGTGTGGTGTTTTAATTTGTCCTATACTCATTCTCCTTCCCCTAGATCCATGGTAGCCTTGAAAACCAACATCTTCACAGTCATAGTGAAAACCAGCATCTTAAAAGCCACTGGAGAGGGCAGAATGTGGTTAAAGTTCTTCTAAATTCCCATTATCATATGACTATCATGATTTGATCTTCCCTGGAAAATCAAAGTTTATCTTTATTCGACCAGACTCAGAGCTAACTCAGTGCAAACAGCCTTTCATATTGGAGTATATGTTGGAATCAGTGGCAATTGCTTAACATTACAGCTCCCTGAAGTGGTGATAGTAGTTGGGTAAAACAGCAAGCTAATCAAAAACTTAAAACGAAAAGCTTGAGAATGAGATGCCCATGGGGCTTTGTAAAGGTCCAACATGTTCTTGGAAATCTAGACAGCCACGTATGCATAGTGATGTGCATATGACCAGGAAAATCTGAGGTCTTAAACTCTCGCCTCTAGGTGACCTCGAGTCTCCACACAAGTAAGAAGTAAAGGGTAAGGCAAAGTTGTGAACTATCTGCTGTAGCATTAAAAATGTGCCCCAATGTGCACAAAGAGCTTCTTGGTATAACCTGTAGACTTATTTGTTTCAGACATTTAAGAAAATCTGTCTAACCATTAGCTGACCACTAAACGAATGGAGCAGAGATTTCAGTGGCTATGCACAACAGATACAGATTTTACAGAATTAGTTCATGAAAAGTCACTAAAAAAAGCAGTAACAACAGTAATGACAAACAATTACAGTAAAGCCTTGAAAGAAATAAAACTGATCTACAGTTACCACATTATAATATTCAAAATGTCCAGGTTTTAGCAAAAAATTATAAAGCATGCGAAGAAACAAGAAAGTATGTTCTATTTACAAGAAAGGTAACAAAACAGTCCCTGAAGAAGCACAGACCTTTAACTCACGAAAGATATTAAATTAACTGTCTTAAATATGCTTTAAAAACCAAAAGAAACCATAGGCAGATAAAGAAAACCAATAGAACAGACTTGTTTTCTTCATCTCTTTTCAATTTGTTAACAAATTAAAAATATCTATAAAGACAGACATTACAATTAGCCAGGCATAGTGACGCATGCCTGTAGTACCAGCTACTTGGGAGGCTGAGGCAGGAGAATCTCTTGGACCTGGGAGGCGGAGGTTGCAGTGAGTTGAGATAGTGCCACTGCACTCCATCCTGGACAACAGAGCGAGACTCCATCTCAAAAAAAAAATTAAAGAAAAAGAAATTATAAAAGAAAATCAAACAGAAAATCTGGAGCTTGAAGATTACAATAACTAAAATTTAAAATTCATTAGAAGCTTTTCACAGAAAATCTGAGCACACATAGAAAGAATCAGTGGATTTGAAGATAAGTCAATTAAAATTATCCATTCTGAGGAGCCAAAAGAAAATGGAATTTTTAAAAAAGAAACAGAAACTAAGAGACCTGTGGGACACCATCTAGTAAAGAAATAAATAAATGATAGAAACTCCAGATAGAGAGAAAACAGAAAAAGGAACAGAAAAAATATTTAAAAAAAGATGAAGAACTTTTCAAATTTAATTAAAAATATTAATGCACACATCCAAGAAGCTCAGTGAACTCGAAGTAGGATAAACTCAAAGAAAGCCATACCTAACACATCATACTCAAACTGTCAAAAGCCAAGCCTTATAAATTGATCTCAAAACCAACAAGAGAGAATGATTCATCACAACAAGATATCCTCAATAAGATTGATAGTCGATTTCTCATTAGAAACCACGGAAGCCAGGAGGCAGTGGGATAATGTATTCAAAATGTTTCAAGGCTGCTGGCCAAAAATTCTATACTCAGCAAAACTACTCTTCAAATATAAAGGAGAAATTAAGACATTTCTAGAGAAATAAAACTTTAAGAATTTGTGACCAGAAGTAGATCCGTCCTACAAAACATACTAATACAAATCTTTACAGTTAAAATGAAAGAACACTAGACAACAACTTGAATCCATATAATGAAATAAAAAACACCAGTAAAATTAATTACAGAGGGAAATATAAAAGCCAGCACATGTATATTTTTTGGCTGTAAACCTTTTTCTTCTCTCAACTTATTAATATCTTAAAGATAGATGCATAAAGCAGGAATTGTAAATCCGTGTTAGGCATAAACTTTATAAAGATGTAATTTGTACAAGAATGATAGCAAAAAGGTGAGAGAAGGAAATGGAGATATATAGGAATAAAATTTTTGTAAACTATTAAAATAATTTTATATTACTCTAAACTAGATTGTTATTTGGTGTTCATTGTAATCCCATGCATGCACACACATTCACAGAAATGTAGTAAAAGAAATGACATAGGAATAAAAATGTTACACTAAAAATACTTCAATACAAAAATGCAGTAGTTAAAAAGCAGACATAAAAAAGAC
Source organism: Homo sapiens (assembly GCF_000001405.40). Taxonomy (NCBI): domain Eukaryota; kingdom Metazoa; phylum Chordata; class Mammalia; order Primates; family Hominidae; genus Homo; species Homo sapiens. The sequence goes on from NC_000020.11 coordinate 16,137,933, forward strand.
ATATAGAAAACAAATAACAAAAGGACTTACATCAATACTACCTTCTCGATAAGTACATTAGCTATAGGTTGATTAAACATTCTAATCAAAAGGCACAGACAGGGAGAATGGTTTTTTTTTTTTTTAATGTGATCCAACTGTATGCTTTCTACAAGACACACACTTTAGGTTCAAAGACACAAATAGGCCAAAAGAAAATAATGAAAAATGGTATAATATTCAAACAATAACCAAAAAAGGGTTAAAGTGGCTATATTAATACAAGAAAAAATAGACTTTATGACAAAAATTATTACTAGAGACAGAGGAAAACATTTTCTTATGATAAAATAATTAATCCACTAAAGATATACAACAATTCGGCCAGGTGTGGTGGCTCACGCCTGTAATCCCAGCACTTTGGGAGGCTGAGGTAGGCTGATCAGTTGAGACCAGGAGTTTGAAACCAGCCTGGTCAGCATGGCACAATCCTATCTCTACTAAAAATACAAAAAAAAATACAAAAATTAGCCAGGCGTGGTGGCACATGCCTGTAATCCTAGCTACTAGGGAGGCTGAGACATGAGAATCACTTGAACCCAGAAGATAGAGGTTACAGTGAACCAAAATCACACCACTGCACTCCAGCCTTGGTGACATAGCATGATTCTGTCTCAAATACATAAAACAATTATATATGCAACTAACAACAGAGTCCCAAAATACATGAAGCAAAAACTGACACAATGGAAGGAAGAAACAGATGATTCAATAATAATTGGAGACTTCAGTATCTCTCTTTCAACAATACATAGAACAACTAGACAGATCAGAAAGAAAATGGAAGACTTGAACAGCACTAGATACCAACTAGACCTAACAGAATACTCCACCCAAAAAGAGCAGAATATACATTCTTCTCAAACTCACATACAATATTCTTCAGAATAGACCACGTTAGATCCAAAAAATCTCAATATATTTAAAATAATTGAAGCTTCACAAGTATGTTCTCAATTACAGTGAAATAGAATTAGAAATCAGTAACTAAAGGCAATTTTGAAAATTTACAAATACGTGGAAACTGAAGAACACACTACCTAATAACCAATCATTCAAAGAATAAATACAAAAGAAATTAGAAAGTGCTTTAAGGTGAATGAAAATGACACTACAACAGATCAAAACTTAAGAAATGCTGCTAAAATAGTGCTTTTGGGAAAACTATCTAGAAATGCCTATATTGAAAAAAAATCTCAAATCAATAATCTATTCTTCCACCAAAAGAAACTAGAAAAAAAGAAAACTAAACTAAACCCAAAGTAAGAAGAAGGAAGGAAATAATTAAATTAAAGAAGAAATAAATGAAATAGAACATAGGAAAATAATACAGGAAATCAACAAAACCAAAAGTTGGTTTTTTGAGAAGTTCAACAAAATTGACAAACTTTTATTTAGAATAACGAAGAAGGAAGTAATATTCATGTTACTAAAATTAAGAATACAAGAAGGGACATTAATACACCTTACAGAAGTGAAAAGGATTATATGCCGATAAATTAGAGAATCTAAATGAAATGGACAAACTCCTAGAAAGAATCACACTATCAAAACTGACTTAAAAAATACATACAGAATTTGAACACATCTATAACAAAGAGATTGAACTACCTCCAAAGAAAAGCAGTAGCTTCACTGGTGAATTCTAGTCAATACTTAAAGAAGAATTAACATCAATCTTCCAAAAATTAAAGAGCAGATAATACTTCTCAAATCATCCTATGAGGCTGTGTTACCCTGATACTAAACTAGACAAAGCTATCATGACAAAACAAACTGCAGACTAATATTTCCTATGAATATAGATGCAAAAATTTTCAATGAAATCCTAGCAAACAGAATCTATCAACATAGAAAAAGGATTACACATCATGATCAAGTAGAATTTATCCCACAAATGCAAGACTGTGTGATATATGATCAATATACTAATGCAACTGTATTTCTAAATAGTAGCAATGAACAATCCAAAAACAATTCAATTAATGATAGCAACAAAAACAATAAAATAATTAGGAATAAATTTAATAAAAGAAGTGCATGATTTGTACACTGAAAATGACAAAACATCACTGAAAGAAAATAAAGAAGACCTAAATAAATGAAAAGTATCCTGTGTTCATGGATTGAAAGATTTATGTTTCCTAAGATGGCAGTACTCTCCAAATTGGTCTACAAATTCAATGCAATCTCTATCAAAAGCAAAGCTGGCTTTTTTTTTTTTTTTATAAAATATTAACAAACGAATCCTAAAACTCTTATGAGATTGCAGAGGACCCAGAATAATCAAATCAATCAATAATCAAAACAATCTTGAAAAAAAAAAACAAAGTTGAAGGATTCACATTTCTTAATTTCAAAACTTACTATAAAGCTACAGTAATCAAGACTGCAGTACTAGTACAAGAATAGACATATATATATATGGAATAGAACTGAGACACAAAGAATAACTATAGGTATAGTCGAAAATTTTTCACAAGGATACCAAGACAATTAATGGGGCAAGGATCATCTTTTCAACAAATGGTATTGAAACAACTGAATATCCATGTGGAAAAGAATGAAATTGGATCCCTACCTCACATCATACATAAAAATTAACTCAAAATGGATCAGACACCTAAATATATGAGCTGAAACTCATAGAAGAAACCTTAAATATAAATCTTATGACTGTGGATTAGATTTAGATGTAGATTTGTTTTTAGATATGACAACAAACATACAAACAACAAAAGATAAAAATAGATAAATTTGGCTCTGAAGCACAAACCAAAATTGTTTGTGCTTCAAAGGATACTATAAAGAAGTGAGAAAGGAATACACAGAATGGGAGAAAATATTGCAAAATATATATCAGGAAGGGACTTTTATCCAGAATATATAGATAATTATTACAATTCAATGATAAAAGACACCTCATTTTTTAAAACACGGCAAAGAATTTGAATAGATATATATACAAATGGCTAATAAGCACCTGAAAAGATGTTCAACATCATTAGTCATTAGATAAATGCAAATTAATACCACAATGAGATACCACTTTGCACCCACTGGGATGGCTGTAATGAGAAAGACAGATGATAACAAGTGTTGACAATGATGTGGAGAAATTGGAACACTCACACACTTCTGGTGGGAATGCAAAATGGCACAGCTGCTATGGAGGAATGTCTGGAAATGCCTCAAAAGATTAATAGTAGCCAAAAAGTAGAAACAACCTAAATGTCTATCAATTGATGAATGGATAAGCAATATTTGAAGTATTCATACAATGAAATGTTATTCAGTCATACAAATGAATGAAGTACTGATACATTCTACAACATGGGTAAAACTTGAAACTAATGCTAACTGAAAAAAAGCCAGAAACCAAAGGTCACATATTGTATGGTTTTATGTATACGAAATGTCTAAGATTGGCAAATCCATAAAGACATAAAATAGATTACTAATTGCCATGGACTTGGGGAAAGGAAGAATGCAAAATGACTGTTAATGAGAACAAAGTTTCCTTTTGGGATGATGAAAATATCTTGAATTAGATTGCAGTCAATGGCAATATGCTGAAAACCACTGTATTGAACACTTGAAGGGTGAATTTTATGGTATGTGAATTATATCTCGATAAAACGTTTGATGAGCTAATAAACTGGAAAGAATCTTAGACTGTGAGGAATATACAATCATACAATTACAAATGCTTGTTATTAGCATCAGGAACTTCTTTGAAATTACCAGTTAAATATTTGCTTGCATAGACCACTTGTGGATAGAATTTTGTGTATTTATGATCTATGCAGGCAAATATTTAATTGGTAATTTGTAAAAGATCCTAGTGCTAATAATGGGCTGTGTGTCTAAGTGGCATGTGAGGGCAAATAGCTTTAATTTTTAAAAACTACTCAAGAAATACATGTCTGTTGGAGTATAAAATGGTACAATCTTTTTTTGTCAATTTCTTATAAAATTAAACAATTTATATATGCCTTATGATCCAGAAATTTCCATAAATATTTACCCAAAAGAAATGAAGGATTATGTCCACAAAAAGACTTGTACAAGAATATTCACAAAAACCTTAGGAAAAATAGCTTCAAACTGGAAATAATCCACAAGTCCAACAACAAGACCATAGGCAAAGAAATTGATGGCATATTCATGCAGTAGAATATGATACAGCAGTAAACAATGAACTACTCATGACAATAAAATTTTATTTCATCAACATTATTTTGAATAAAAGAAGCCATATCTAATATAGTACACACTGTATGGGAACAAGCTATAATAATTTATGATGATGGAAGTCAGAAAGTGGTGGTCTCTGGGGGAGAAGGTAATTGAATGGAAAGAAGCATAAGCTAACTTTCTGGAGTGAAAAAAAAATGTTTTTATCTTATTTTAGGTAGTGGTAATGTGATTGTATAGAATAATCCAAACTTGCCAACCAAGCGCCATGATCTAAGACTTTTTTATTGCATGAAATTTATATCTCAAAGCCAAAGTGTTACAAGATTATAACTTTTTTTAATCTCAGATAATTCTGATGTGCAACCACATTTAGGAAACACTCATTTAAACTAAAAAATCTTTTTCCTTAAGGTCAAGAATAACTTGTGTAGGAATTTCTATTCATCAACAATTTTTTGTACTTCAAGGCTATAGTAGCAGGCTCTTGATAGAATCATCCTTAGCAGCCTAAGAAAACGCTGTTTTAAAGAATTAAGAGGTATATTTAATTTATTTTATAATTACAAATCCAGCTCTCTTCTAAATCTTTAATTTCAATCATCTGGCTCCTCAGGCAAAAGCCTGACTAAACTTTGTACCTATGTGATTACTGTAAAATTTCTAATACAGACAGAGAATTCGGTTCCAAGATATGATTGATATTTTGGGGAGCACACTGTCACAGTCCTGTGTTATGACTATTGTAGGTGCACATAGAATAGAACATGAGGTTTATGTTTACAAGCTTGGCAGAAGAGAACATCAAAGTGTTTCAGATAAAGCTGAAGGTCACATTTACTTTACAGAGAAGCTGGTGGTACCATGTGTGTACAGAAAATCCCACTCTACATTAGAAAGCATCCAATGCCAGAAAAACCTTGTTACTAGAGGCTCACAGATGACCTCACACATCTCAAAGTTACCCTTAAAAGGGGAGAGATTGAAAAGTTGCTGATAAAAACACATCCCAGAGAGATGAGGACTACACACCAAGAGAATGCAAAGCCAACTCCAGAGCTCAAAGTGACAACCTGGACCAAGAACATTGACAAACTGAAATGCAGAACCCCCAAATTTAAGAAGGAAGATGCAACACTCCAGTAAACTGTGAGACATTGACATTTGCTAATCCCAGAAGCAATTAACTAGACACTTCCACTCTTGGTTTTCCACCACTTAAAAAAAGAAATAGAAAGAAGGTTCATGCATGAGTCCTTGGTATTGCAATCACTGAATCACATTAATTAATAAAGTTTGTAAAGATGGTGGTCATTTTTAAAAATAAAACTGTTAATACCTTTAATTGAGTGCATACCATGTGGTAGGCACAGAGAAAGCCCTCAACATATGCTAGATATTATCATTGAAAGGGGTTTAGTGGGTGCATAGATGGTACTCAGTAGTATATTTCTTCTGCATTTTTCTTTTGTCCCTTCCTCTCCTGTGGTAAGATAAAATGGTCACAAATTCCTTGCAGCTGTTCCCATTAAATGGTAGAATCAATTCTGTTACAACTTAACCCTGATCTGGCCTTTTAACTTGCTTTGATGTCACACAGCTTCTGTGTTTAGATCTCAAGTGGTCTTTCAGTGGCTGCTCTTGGTCCTTTGGAATGCTGCTACCATGGGAAGAAGCCCAAGATAGTCTGTTGGAGACATGTGGCCCAGCTGCAAGCCAGCAATAACCAGCCAAAAATGCGAGAGAGGTCATCTTAGACATTCCAGCCCCAGTTGAGCCTTAAGATGACTGCAGCCAACAGAGTGGCCTCAGGCAAGACCACCAGAAGAACCACTTGAACGAACACAGCCCAGATGGCTGGCCCACAGAATAACTGTTATCTTAGGCCACTAAGTTTTGGGGTGGTTTATTACGCAGCAATAGAAAACTAATAACATTTCTCCTTCCTTGTTCAATACCAAGTGAGTCACCAGATGATTCAAACTTATTAGAAAGAGTTGAGTTCTAAGAGTGAGGACAATGGGAGATGCCAGAATTTTCTGAAAGGAGAGATTCAATTGCCTCATGACAGTTCTGGTAGAGCTCCTTCCACTGGGGGAATAGATGGATGCATTTGCTTAGTTGTCTTAACAACCAAGTTAAATTCCCAGCTCAGTAACTTCCATCAATAACTCTGCAATTGTGTATTATCCCAAATGAAAAACAAAATGCAAAACTGAATGGAAACCAATCAATTTAACCTCACCGATAGACATAACATATAGATAACAGCAGCTTAAAGAGCAAAATGTCAAAGTGCCTCTTAGCATCATAGAAAATTTGTACTGTGCAATTTTCATGTTAACCAATTAAAAACTCAAGCCCAATTATGCCTAAATCAATCAGTTGCCTGATCCAATAATAACAATAGTCTCATTTATCAAGATTTACTATGTATCAGGCACCACCTAAATGGTTTATATGTGATTACTCCTCCCAACTAACTATAAGATGAAGGTTCTTTTTTTGTCCATCTTAAAGATAGACAGGGAAACCAAGATGTCCATTTAACTTACCTCCCAAGCTCTTACAACTAATCACTGGCTTAAGTTAAATACAAACAATTAGATTCTTTAACTAGAGTTCTTGACCTCTTCTAAATGCTTTGACCTATGGATCCAGAACTGAGGCTTTCAGCTTATTGGGCAGTAAAAATAAAGCTCAGACTATACCCTCTATAGATGTGCTTGGAAAGATACTCAGGGGCAGCCCTTCTACCTTTGTCTGTTAAATACTCAAGCCTAAAGACAATCATTTTGCTCCACTATACAAATGGGTTGTTGATGAATCTCTGCCTCTAATACTCCTGACCTGGCTAGAGAGACAGAGGTTGAAACATGAAAGAGGAAGCCCTCAAAAAACAGTGTGCAAGCTCACAGGAGACCCACTCCACAAAATGAGACCCAAATCTACCCAGTGGATGCTCCTGGAGGCTCTGAGTAGATAATGATTTCCCTCTGGTCCTGGTTCTTTAAGAACTTGAGGGACACCACTTCCAGAGCAGTGGTTCTTAATCTTGGCTGAACATTAAAATTACCTAGGGATTTAACTGACTCAGTCTTTTTAATAATTCGTCATTAACATGTTCAACTTTCCACTCCAGGTGATGTCCTAGGCCATAGTCTATGTATTGGTCGCCCATTCGTTGAGAACCTACTTTTGATATTATAAGCTCTGTCCTTGGATGTAAAGAAAAAATGTAGCAGAAAACATGGACATCTCTTTATTTATGATATGTCCTAGAAAAGATGCACATTTGTGTAGCAGTAGCTGTGGGATTTATCAAGCAATGTATTCCTCAAAACCAGACAAGACCTGTCTTCTTACATCTCGACCTGCAGCTACATATAATGTGTGCTTGGTTTAAAGAAGTACAAAGTCCATATTCTGTCAAGAAACCTGTCATTCATTACTCCCACTGAGAACTGATGGTCATTCTGTAGACTATATCTCAAAAATATTGTCTGCATCTAGCTCTAACTACATCTCCTGGCATGTATTCACAACCCCCAGGAACAGTTTTCTCCAGACCAAACAAATAGAAGTTCTGCATTTCACCATCGCCAGAACTAGAAACAAAACCTCACAACTATACAAGCACCTAATACATAGTTGGGTTAGCAACCATATATCCCATATATTTTTATTCGTCATGGTAGACACTTAAGCTCTAGTTAAGGGGCACTAACGCTCCAGTCAAGATCTATTGCCTTGCAGTCATTGTTCTTGCCAAGACTCTCCATCTGGTACCCTAACATGTCTAATGCCTGAGATTTAGGATGGTACATGGCATTTATGGCCATATGTGAAATAATAAACCAGAGTGTTTTCTCCATGTGCCATCCTACCACACAGTGCCCAGAACATAGTAGACACTCCACAAATATTTATTGAATTAAATAGTGGTGACTGACCACACCACTCACCTCTTCACAAGCCAAAATTATGTTGCAATCACCAAGTTTCTGGACACTGGAATGGTTCCAGACAGTTTCTAGAATTAACTGTCCCTACCTAGAGTTCCCAGGTTCAGTCCTCCAGAGATTCTCCCATTATTTCAGTCTGCGAGCCCCAATCCATATTGTGATTTCACCAAAACTTCTTTTATTTTTCAAAAGGCAATACCAATGCCACCTTTTTATCTTCATAAAGAAGCTGAAAAAAATAAACCACACTTTAGAATGTCCCATCATAATTACTACTCACCACTGGATATTGATGTCATCCTCAACCATCACCCAGTCACCAGCTTGCTCTTAGTCTTCCCAACACAGATCAATTGTCTTATGTAGAGAAGTTTCATTGCCTCGATTTTAAAAATGAATTCAGGAATGTTAAGGATACTTTCAAAAACCACTCTACTAGTCTGTGATAGGATCAGACCTAGACTCCTGATCTAAAAATTCCATTGGCAATATCATGATCACTTTTCATGATCACTTGGGAAGTGTTAAAAATTAAAATATGTGAGTGGGAAAAAGCCACATATATGGTGGGTTCAGTTGTTATCTCCCCTTCCATCTTAGAAGAATATTATTAACTATTAGCTCTCGTAAGTATAGCAAGACATTGGCTATCTCATAGTTTTTTCTCTTATAGAAAGGAGAAAAGAATGCTAAAGTAAAGTATCCAGCCTGAGTAAAGAGAATGAACAAGTCCAAAATAGAAATGATCCATTTAATATTTTACCATGGAGATCCTTCTTTTTTCTCTTATTTCACTGGTGAATATTTTATTGAATGCCTAACATATGCCAGCCCAATTATTATATATGTATATTGGATATGTGTCCCCATTTTTACCCTCAAAATAGCCAATACCCTCATAATTAATGATTAATGATGCTATCATTAATCAATCCTATATATGAGGAAACTGAAGCATGGCATAGATTGTTTAGCTAACTTCCTAAAAGTAATGCTGCAAATTAATGTTGAAATTTGGATTCAAATTCAGGCCATCTGGGTCCAGAGAAGTGCTTTATGCTGATACTACTTCATCATATCATATGCAGTACAGGCCAAGGTAGATGAATTTTAAGAGACAAGATACATTATTTCCCCTGAATGTATTTTGTGCTGGCAACACAGTCAAATATGAGATTTCCAAAGTTTCATAGCCCTCAGACATGAATCGTGGTGGCTTCCATCTGACAGAGCAGATTGCACTATCTTCCAGAAATACAGTCTGTAACAGGTTTCCTGGAGAACAGGATAGGAACCACAGATGCCCCATCTGCTTCCTGCTGCCCATTTGGAATACATCCAACTTGTGTCATCTTATTTCATGAACTTTTTCAGCTTGGACTATGTCTAGGTGCCCATTCTCTCCCAAAATCAGTCCCAGACCCTACCAGACACATAAGACTTTCTACTACTCATTTCCTGTCACTGTCAAGCTTCACTGCTGAAACCAGAGTTATTTCTATTGTTATTTGCTAAATATTTCTCTTGGTGACAAATGGCATATTTCTGAAGGGCAATCCTATAAAATAAGTTAGAGATTATCTTGGGAACCCCATGAGGGTTAAGCATGATGTGGTAGATTGAAAAAATGGCCACAATTTTGTGGTTCCTCCCATCAAGGGCTGGAATTTATTTCTCTGTCCCTTTAATCTGGGTTGTCCATGTGACACACTTTGGAAAAATGGGACATTAGCAAATGTGACACAAACTGAAAACTAAAGAGTGTACATTGAGGCTTGTCTTCTCTGGTTGTGCTTGAAATCTTGAGACCACCATGTAAATGCGCTTTTGCTAGCCTGATGACATAAGAAACCACCTAGAGGAAAACCTGGCCACCCCAGCCAATAGCCACCAAACTGTCAGACATGTGAGTGAGTCCATCCTAGATCCACCACTGTCAGATGCCCACAAGCTGACCACAGATGCTTCACAGAGCCCAGCAGAGACCAGACCAGCTGGCCCAATTCAGAAGAACATCCCAGCCAAGCCACAGAATTATGGGCTAAATAAAATGTTTGCTATTTTAAGCCACTAAGTCCTGGGATGGTTGTTTTTACAGCAAAAGCTGATACACATGGCAAGCCATAGTAAGGTAGTTTGAAAGAAAAAAAGCGGGACTTCTGGCTTCTGGTTCAGCATGTAAAGAGCTTGGAAGTCACCACTCCATCCTAACAACAAGCTAAAAGCTGAACAAATTGCAAATGAACAGCTCTTCTTGCATTCATAAGAGAGGTGAGGACACAAGGCAAACTGTTCCCCCCACGTTTGGAGAGACAGGCAAACACAGGACGTCACAGCTCCTAGGGCAAAGAGCCATGAGCAGAGACCACCATGAGAACCAGTGCTGGGGTAGGAAAATCTGAACTGTAATTGATGAATGGCTGGAGGCTCAGCATAGACAAGTCTGAGAGATAAAAACTCCAGGGGATCCAGTCATAGGGGAACCTCCACATTTTGGTGAGTTTTACTTCCAAGAGTTTGGCCAGGTTCTTGCAGTAAACATCAGAGAAATTTTTTTTTCATGCTTCTGACAAGGGGAGGGTAAAAGGAATGATTTTAAAATACACTGGAATACGGTTCTTCTGGGAAGGCTTGCCTCCAGGAGAAACTATTTAACTAGAGCCTAAAATGCTGGGGTATTATCAAAGCCTAACTGACTTGGGGAAAGAGAAATATCCAAACCCACCCAGCTCTATCCACCCTCTCCCACCTAAGTGGGGAGGAAAAAGGGTTCACAGTCCAGAGGCACAGACTCACTAAATGACTGAGGCTTACTCTCAAGACTGCAGGATGCTTCCCCTCCCCTCACATCTTACCACCACATTATTAAAGGTTGATTTACAACAGTTACTTTTACTAGATACATCATGTCCAGCTATGAAGAAGAAATTACACGGCATACTAAAGGTAAATATATATATACACATATATATAATATATATTATATATATTATACATACATTATTATATATTATACATACATAATATATATGTATTATACATATATAATATATTATATATTATACATGTATTATATATAATATTATATATAATATATTATATTTTTATATATATACACACACATATATATTATATATATATGTATATATACACAATTTGAAGAAGACAGAGGTCACATCAAAACCAGACATGGCAGGGATGCTAGAATTATGAGACTAGCAGTTTGAAACAACTATGATTAATATGCCAAAGGCTCTAATAGATAAAGTAGACAGCATGTAAGAACAGATGGGCAATGTGAGTAGAGAGATGAAATCCTAAAAAAAAAAAAAAATGAAATGCTAAAGATCAAAAATACTGTAACAGAAATGAAGAATGTCTTTGATGCTCTTATTAGTACACGAGTGCGGCTGAAGAAAGAATTTCTGAGCTTGATATATCAAGAGAAACCTTCAAAACTGAAAAGCAAAGAGAATAAAATTTGAAAAAGAACAAAATGTCAAAGGACTGTGGGACAACTACAAAAGGCATAACATACACATAGGGGAATTCCAGAAGAAGAAAGAGAGGGAATATTTGAAACAATAATGACTGAGGGTTTCTCCAAATTAATGTCAGACACCAAATCAAAAATCAGAAAACCTAAAAGGACACCAAGCAGTATAAATGCCACAAAACCTAAACTTGGGAATATCATTTTGAAAGTAGAAAATCAAAGATAAAGAGAAAATTCTGAAAGAAGTGAAAAGAAAAAAACATCTTACATATAGAGGAATAGAAATAAAATTTACATTGAACTAATCCTCAAAAGCCACACAGGCAAAAAGAAAATGGAGTGACGTGTTTAAGGTATTAAAAAAGAAAACCACCAACCTAGATAGAACTTTGCGTCCTAAAAAATTATCCTTAAAAGGTGAAGGAGAAATAAAACCTTTCTCAGATAAACAAAAACTGAGAAAATTTGTTGCCACTTAATCTTGCCTCACAAGAAATGTTAAGAAAATTCTTTAGAGAAAAGGAAAACAATATAGATCAGAAACTTAGATCTACATAAAGAAAGAACATCAAAGAATACACGAAGGTAAAATTAGAACTTTTATTTTCCATATATATAATTTTGAGACAGAGTTTCACTCTTGTTTCCCAGGCTGGAGTGCAATGGCACAATCTTGGCTCACCACAACCTCTGCCTCCTGGGTTCAAGCGGTTCTCCTGTCTCAGGCTCCCTAGTAGCTGGGATTACAGGCATGTACCACCATGCCCTGCTAATTTTGTATTTTTATTTAGTATATATATATATATACACTAAGAGGCATATATATACTTACGTATGCTTATATATAAGTGAAGGAATGACAATAATGTTAAAATGAAGAGAAAAATAATATTATTTTTGTTTCTGTTTTGTTTTGAGACAGGGTCTCATTCTGTCACCAAGGCTGGAGTAGAGTGGTGTGATCTCAGGTCACTGCAAACTCCACCTTCTGGGCTCAGGTGATGTTCCCACCTCACCCTCCCAAGTAGCTGGGACTACAGGTGCACACCACCACACCTGGCTAATTTTTATGTATTTTTTGTAGAGATGGGGTTTTGCCATGTTGCCTGGTCTCGAACTCGTGGACTCAAGCGATCCACCTGCCTCAGCCTCTGAAAGTCTGGGACTACAGGCTATTTTGTTATTAAAAGGAACTCACACTTTCTTTGAAGTGGTATAATTTTATTTGAGAGTGTGTTTGGATTAGTAGTAAATGTGTATTGCAAACTCTAGAGTAACCACTTAAAAAAGGTTAAAAAAAGAAATATTACTGATATGACAAAGGAAACAATGAATCATGTGAAATACTTAGTACCACAAAGGCAGAAAAAAAGAGTTGAGGACAAAAGTAGAAACAAAGGGCAAGGTCACCAAATAGAAGACAGTAGCAAGTACACTAGATATTAATTCAACTATACCAATGATGAGTTTGAACATCAATGGTCTAAATTCAGCAATTAAAAGAGAGATTGCCAAAGTGAATTAAAAAACAAGACCTATCTCTGTGTTGTCCATAAAAAACCTACTTTAAATATAGACACATTAAGATTAAAAGTAAATTGAGAAAAATATACCATGCTAACACTGATCCAATAAAAGCAAGAGCAGCTATATTAATTTCAGACAGAGTAGACTTTAAAGCAAGGAAAGTTATCATGTATAAAGAGGGCATTATATAATGATAAAGGGATCAATTCTTCAAGAAGACAAAACAGTCTTTAATGTGTATGCACCTAACAACAGAGCATCAAACTACTACAGGCAAAAATTGATTGAACTGCAAAAAGAAATAGATAAATCCACTATTATTGGAGATTTCAACACTTCTCTGTCAGAAATGGGCAGATTCAGGAGACAGAAAATCAGTAAGAACATGTTTGAACTCAAAAACGCCATCAATCAACTTATATGCTTGTCACCTACAAAATACTTCATCTAATGATGGCAGAATACACATTCTTTTCAAGATGACATGGAACATTCACCAAGATAAACCACATTCTGGGCCATAAAACACACCATAACAAATCTTAAAAAATAGAAATCCTATAACGTCTACTCTCAGACCGCAATGAAATTAAATTCAAAATTAACAACAGAAAGATAACTGGAAAATCCCCAAATGCATGGAAGATAACACAATTCTAAATAACATATAAGCCAACTAACCTCAAGAGAAATTAAAACATATTTTGAATTAAATGAAAATAGAAACACAGCTTATAAAATTTGTGTGATGCAGTAAAATCAGTGCTTAGAGGGAAGCAATATCTATTGATACATATTTAAAAAGAAGAAAAATTTAAAATCAATAATTTAAGTTTTCATTTTAGAAAACTAGATAAACAAGAGCAAATTAATCTAAAGCAAGCAGAAGAAAAGATATAATAAAGCAGAAATCAATAAAATTGAAAGCAGGAAATTAATTCAGAAAAATCTATGAAAACAAAAGATGATTATTTTTAAAAGATTATAAAATGAACAAGCCTTTAGTCAAGCTAAGACAAAAAAGAGAGGGGACACAAATTACTAATATCATAAATGAAAGAAGAAACATTACTGTGGATCCCATGGACATTAAAAGACTAATAAAGGAATATTATGAACAATTCTATGATTTAGATTTGAGAACCTAGGTGAAATGAATCAATTATCTGAAAAACACAGTCTGCCAAAACCCACACAAGAAGAAATACACAGGCTGGGTGCTGTGGCTTATGTCTGTAATCCCAGCATTTTGGAAGGCTGAGGCAGGAGGATCGTTTGAACCCAGGAGTCTGAGATCAGCCTCGGCAACACAGGGAGACTCCGTAACTCATACGAGAAGAAATATACAGGCTGGGTGCTGTGGCTTATGCCTGTAATCCCAGCACTTTGGAAGGCTGAGGCAGGAGAATTGCTTGGACCCAGGAGTCTGAGACCAGCCCCGGCAACACAGGGAGACCCTGTCTCTACAAAAAATATTTAAAAATTAGCTGGGCATGGTGGCACATGCCTATGGTCCCAGCTACTAGAGAGGCTAAGAAAGAAGGATTGTTTGATCCAGGGAGGTCAAGTCTTCAGTGAGCCATGATCTGCACTGTAGCCTGGGCAACAGAGCAAGACCGTGTCTTGAAAGAAAGAGACAAGGGAAAGAAGGGAAGAAGAAAGAAAGAAAGAAAAAAGAAAGAAAGAAAGAAAGAAAGAAAGAAAGGAGGGAGGGAGGGAGGGAAGGAAGGAAGGAAGAGAAAGAAAAGAAAGAAAAGAAAACAAAGAGAAAGAAAGAAGGAAGGAAGGAAGGAAAGGAAGGAAGGAAAGAAAGAGAAAGAAGGAAGGAAGAAAGGAAACAGAGAGAAAAAAGAGAGAGAGAAAGAAAGGGGAGAGAAAGAGAGAAAGGGAGGGATGGAGGGAGAGAGGGAGGGAAAGAAGAGAGAGAGAGAAAGAAACAATCTAAACAGGTCTATATATGTTAAAGAAATTATTAGAATCAATAATTAATAACCTTTCAAAACAGAAAACACCAGGTCCACATGGTTTTACTGGTGAATTCCACCAAACATTTAAGGAAGAAATTATACCAATTCTCTATAATCTTTTTAGAGGATAGAAGCAGAAAAGATACTTCCTAACTTCTTCTATGAAGCCAGCATTGCCCCAATACCAACAGCAGAAAAACACATTATAAGAAAAGAAAACTACAGACCAATATCTCTTATGAATACATAAGAAATGTGTAAAAATTCTCAACAAAATATTAGTGAATTGAACTCAACAATATATATAAAGAGTTATACAGCACAAGAAAATGACACTCATCCCAGCTGTGCAAAACTGGTTGAAAAATCAAAATTAATTAATGTAATCCATCACATCAACAGGCTAAAAAATTACATGAATATATCAATAGATGCAGAGAAAGTATTTGGCAAAATCCAACAGGTATTTATAGTAAAAACTCACAGTAAACTAAGAATAAAGGCGAACTTTCCCAAGTTAATAAAGAATATCTATTTTTAAAAAATTACATCTAACATCATAACAGTGAGAAACTAAAAGCTTTTCCATTCAGATCAGGACAAGGCAAGTATATTTCCTCTCAAAATTCCTTTGCAAAATTGTACTGGAAGTCCTAGCTAATGCAATAAGACAAGAAAATGAAATAAATTGTATACAGATTAGAAAGGAAGAAATAAAACTGTCTTTTCTTACAGATGACATGATGGTCTATGTAGAAAATCTAAAAGAATCAACAAAACAGCTTCCCAGAATGAATAACTGATAATACCAAGGTTTCTGAATACAAAGTTAATATACAAAAGTAAATTGCTTTCCAATACATTAGCAATGAACAAGTGGAAACTGGCATTAAAAACACAATACTATTTGCGTTAGCAACCCCTACAATGAAATACTTAGGTGCATATATAACAAAATATGTACAAGATCTCTATGAGGGAAACTACAAAACACTAATGAAGGAAATCAAAGAACTAAGTAGAAATATTCCATGTTTATGGATAGAAAGACTCAAACCTGGTAAGTTGTCATTTCTTCACAGCTTGATCTATAGAGTCAATGCAATCCCCATCAAAATCCCAGCAAGTTGTTTTATGAATATCAACAAACTGATTCTAAAGTTTATATGGAAAGAACAAAGACCCCAAATAACCAACACAATATGGAAGAAGAACAGAGGACTACCACTGTCCAACTTCAAGATTACTATAAAGCTACAACAATCAAGACAGTGTAATATTGGTAAAATAATAGACAAATAGATCAACAGCACAGAATAGAGAGCTCAGAAAAATAGACCCACATAAATATGGTCAAATGATCTTTGACAAAGAAGCAAAGACAATACAGTGAAGCAAAGATAGTCTTTTCAACAAATGGTGTGGGAACAACTGGACATTCTCATGCAAAAAAAAAAAAGAAAGAAAAATAATCTAGACACAACCATTATACTTCTTATAAAAACTAACTCAAAATGGATATTAGAACCAAATTCAACATGTAAAACTATTAAACCCCTGGAGATAACAGGAGAAAAATCTAGATAACCTGGGGTGTGGCAATGACTATTTATATACACCAAAGGCACAATCCACAAAGGAAATAATTGATAAGCTAGGCTTCCTTAAAATTAGAAACTACTGTTCTGTGAAAGGTAGTGTCAAGGGAATGAGAAGACAAGCCACAGACTGGAAGGATATTTTGCATATGTTCCACATCATACGGCTTCAAGAAAATGCAAATTAAAATAACAATGACATACCACTACACATCTATTAGAATGGCCAAAATATAGAACACTGACCACACGAAATTCTGGTGAGAATGTGGAGCAATAGGAACTTACATTCACTGTTAGTGAGAATGTAAAATAACACAGCCACTATGGAAGACAATTTGACAGTTTTTTACAAAAATAAACATATTCTTACCCTGTGACCCTCCTTTTTGGTATTTACCCAAGGAAATTGAAAACTTATGTCCACTTAAAAATCTACACGCAAATGTTTATAGCAGCTTTATTCATAATTGCCAAAACTTGTAAGTAAGCAAGATGTCATTCAGTAGGTGAATGGATAAATAAACTGTGATACATTCAGACAATGGAATATTATTCAGTGCTAAAAAGAGAGGAGCTGTCAAGCCATGAAAATACATGGAAGAATCTTACATGCATATTACTAAGTGAAAGAAGCCAGTCTAAAAAGGCTACATACTGTACGATTCCAACTACATGACATTCTGGAAAAGGCAAAACTATGGAGACAGTAAAAAATATCAGTGGCTGTCAGGGGTTGTGGGGCAGATGAATAAAAGAATAACAGAGCATTTTTAGAACAGAAAAACACACTGTATAATACTATATTTGTGGATATTTGTCATTATTCATTTGTCTAAACTCCTATGGGTTAGAATAGAAAGTACATCCAAGAATAAACCTTAAACTATGGACTTTGGATGATAATGTGTCAATGTTGGTTCACTGCTTGTAACAAATGTACCACTCTAGTGGAGGATGTTCATAATGGGGGAGGCTATGGATGTGTATTTACTTATACATGGCTAGAGTATGAAGCTATACATGCATATATACCTAGGCATAGGTATATGGGAAATCTCTATACCTTCCTCTCAATTTTGCTGCAAGCCTACAACTGCTCTAAAAAAAGTCTTAAAAATGTGAATAGTTTAAATCACATCAATTTAAACAAACTGCAAGATATAAGAATGTAGGGAATTGTTTTTCTCCACACCTGGATCTAGTAAAAATGCAGACAGTACATTTCCAAAGCAAAATGATAAAATAATGGGAAATTTCAGAGAACAGGGCTTTCTTTAAAAGAAAAAAGTGGTATTTTCTGAAATAAACAGAGCAAGACCCTATATGCATTTTGCACATTGTCAAAAGGTCACCTCACACATTCTGGACAACAACACAGAGCTTTATATAACCCACTGGACCTTGCCCATATGAAGTACAGAAGAAAACTTTCCTGCTTAATCATGGAAACCTTGCATATTCTGTTTAGTTATTCTCACTGTCAAAAGAATCCCATCTTCATTCATTAAATCATTCCGCAAATACATATTAGCACATGTTGTTTGTTAGTTGTTTTTTTTTTAATTTTTTTGAGATGGAGTCTCGCTCTTGTTGCCCAGGCTGGGGGGCAATGGCATGATCTTGGCTCACTGCAACCTCCGCCTCCTGGGTTCAAGCGATTCTCCTGCCTTAGGCTCCTGAGTAGCTGGGATTAGAGGTGCCTGCCACCATGCCCAGCTAATTTTTGTATTTTTAGTAGAGACGGGGTTACACCATGTTGGCCAGGCTGGTCTCAAACTCCTGACCTCAGGTGATCCACCCGCCTCAGCCTCCCAAAGTGCTGGGATTACAGGCGCATGTTATGTGTTAAAGCTCTGTCCTCAATGCTAAAGCAAAGCCAATCATGGTTCTTACCCTAACGGAGCTTATGTTCTGGTAGGTAAAGTGGGCATTAAATAAATAGATTGATAAATAAGAAATGCATGTAACAAGTGCCACACAGGTTATTATACAAATCTAAAATTAGAAAACTTGGCTTCATCAGAGAGGCTGTGAAAGCCTTCCCTTTGTAAAAGCATGCTTGAGCTGATATTTCTAGGATGTGTGGCATTAAGCCTACAACTTGAAGAGCAAACACATATCTGGTTAGAAAGATGAACAAATGCAAAGGTCCTACATTGAGAGAGAAAGAGAAAATGAGTGAGGATGAGGGGCTAAAAAAAGACCAGGATGCCTGTGTCGCCATGAGATGAAGGCTACAACTCAAGAAAAGTTTAGAGAATAGCCATGGCCTTCAACCTACGTAGGAGAGGTCTCAAACACACACTGGCTTTCAACCGGCCGCATTTCTCTCCCTGTGGCAAGAAACTTCTGGAGCTAAAGAGATGATGCCTTCTCATGCTTCCCTCTTTCTAGAGTCCATGCTTCCCTCTTTCTAGAACATTCTCCAGGTACAAGATACACAGAATTCCTTCTTCAAAGTATCCCTACCCTGCTTCCAAAGCCTGAGTGACCCCTTTCTCAGCTCAATCCTCCTAAACATTGACCATCCTACTTGGTAGGTACCCTTGGGCCTGAGAAGTGATGAGCTGTGGGCAAATGTTGAATGGGTAAGTAGAATGTCTATTCATGATTAAGGCTTCTTTGGTAAGTTGTGGTGTGAAACTACAAGGATTCCAGGAATTCTTAAGGAAATCTGGCTCTCCAGATCATTGTGAAGTTATATTTGTCAAGATAGAAGGATGGAATATATCTTAACAGCTAGATTGATTTATTATTTTTAAATATTTAGGCATAGGGCATATGGGCCTCCATGTCTATTCTTACCCAGGGACCCACAAATGTGCAGGTTTGCTAAACAGGTAGGTTGCTGCTGAAGAACACAGAGCCTTGCAGTAAGTATTTCCCAAACTTTAACATACCTATGAATTACCTGGAGATCTTGTGAAAATGCAAGCACTGATATCTCCATTCTTAACAAGTTCCCCAGAGATGCCCATATTGCTTGTGTAGGGACCACACTTTAAGTAGCAAGGCTGTAGGGCATGTTAGGGAGTTTTATTTTTATCTAATTTTATCCAAACAGCCATTAGAAGTTCTTGAGGGATTTCAAGGGACAGATTTTCAGTTTGAAAAGAGTACAATAGTTGAGGTGTGAAGTATAGATTAAGTGCAGAGGAATATGCTGACAACACTGGGCAGGAGAGAAAGTAAACACATTTGGAGATATTTAGAGGGTAAGATCTGCAGGGCTCAGTGGATTGGATGCAGGAAGAAGTGGTATGACCTCAGGAAGTACAAAGTTCAAAGAAGTGAGTGGGTAAATATATAAATTAAATAATTCCTTCTCTGTCATTCTCTCAACTGAGGTTTCGGCATAGCAAGACTTGGGACAGTTTCAGTCGTGGATTATTTAAGAGAATTAAGAGGCTTTTTTCTGCCCCCCCGTAGATAGTCGGAAGCCATATTTAACCAAATTACATTTAACCTTCCTCTTCTTTTTCCTCAGAGAGCTAAAATAATAGAAGTGACAGCAGTTGTAATTATACCCATCTCAA
This sequence comes from Homo sapiens, assembly GCF_000001405.40. Lineage (NCBI taxonomy): Eukaryota > Metazoa > Chordata > Mammalia > Primates > Hominidae > Homo > Homo sapiens. Next base: position 16,158,261 of record NC_000020.11, read on the forward strand.
TTCACCTGCATTCCTTCTGCATGTAGTAAGGTCATCTGAGCAGTTTCTTCCTTTAATTAAGTGGTTGTGACCTTCACAAGTTCTTCTCAAAATGATTTCTCCAGTACCCAAGTGATTAAACATAGAACTCTGTTCCCCCTACTCTTGACAGCCTGAGAGCCCAAGCGTCCTACAGGAAAATGCTTTCTCCTTGGGGACTGGCTCTCGAGAGGCTTGCTTCCATACAGGCTGGGCTCTTGGAAATGTTTCCTGACTGCAGAGGGACTTTCACTCTGTTTGGTAAGTTGGAACAGGATTCAAGGTCCTGCTGAGCTAATCACTCAGCTGCACCAGCTGCAGAGGCACACTGTCCCGTGGGAGTCGGTGCCTCCAGGGAACTTACCGCTTTCTTCAGCAGAGGATGCCAACAATGGGTTTGCTGCTCCTCTAATTCCACCCCTATCCAGCCTTCTGCTGTGACTCACAAAAGGCAAAAGAAGCAATACTTGGAGGAGCCTCCAGCCTAAATTTAGGCAAGGTGTCTCAGTTCTCATAAATACCCAAGGAAAATTTTAAATTCAATGCGCAGCACTCTTAGCCTCGTGTATCACTTCTCATTTTCACACTGGGTAAGCTTGATTTGCATACATTTCAAGAGCATCTTTCTCTTTTTTTATCTTTATTTATTGTCCTGTCCTCGTCCTACTTGCTGCTTTGGAACTCTGTATCAAATATTTATATATCTTTATTTCCTAGCTGTAACCCACTTCATCATTCCCTTCCAGAGAGCTTTATACTTCACAAAACCTGCTTCCTCCCACAACCCCCAAGCACACCCACTTCCTTCTCCCCCTACAGCCACAGTACAAAACTGCCAGACTCAAGTTTAATTCAGGGGAGTCCTTGTTTCTCCCTCATTCTCTAATAACCTCAGAAGAAGGCATTTTTTGCTTCATCCTCAGCATCTGCTTTGCCTGGTGATGATGATTAATAGACAGGCCCAGGTGCCTGGTGCCCAAGGCGCCTAATTTAGTGTCGATCCTGCAGGGGCAGAGCATCAAGAATGACACAGGCCTGGTAATGCAGTAAGAATCTAGAGCCTGTGGCTGGCTGGAGAGCACATGTCCCACTGCTAGGGGACAGCCACTTCTCAGGTCCAGTTATTCCCACAGCTTTCAGTTTTTCACTGGACATTGAAATCCAATTTTAATGTGAAATCTCCAGATCTTCATCTTTTGGTTCAATTAAGAAAAAATCATAAAGTGCTCAAATAGCACATCAGCAAGCCAGCAGTTTATGTACTCTGGTTTGTAGTTGTCGTGGCACGAAGCAGTTCACAGACACATTCCCATTCAAAGGTATTTGGAAACACATTGTATGTGCTGTCCTGGCACTTTTTTTAAAAATTTTTTTAAGTTCTGGTGTACATGTGCCGGATGTCCAAGTTTGTCACACAGGTAAACGTGTGCCATGGTGGTTTGCTACACCTATCAACCCATCACCTAGGTATTAAGCCTAGCATGCATTAGCTCTTTTAGCTAGTGCTCTCCCTACCTCCCCAAACGGGCTCCAATGTTGTTTGTTCCCCTCCCTGTGTCCATGTGTTCTCATTGTTCAGCTCCCACTTTTAAGTGAGAAAATGCGGTGTTTGGTTTTCTGTTCCTGTGTTAGTTTGCTGAGGATAATGGCTTCCAGCTTCATCCATGTCCCTGCAAAGGACATGATCTCATTCCTTTTTATGGCTGTATAGTATTCCATGGTGTATATGTACCACATTTTCTTTATCCAGTCTATCATTGATGGACATTTGGGTAAGTTAGTTCAACCATTGTGGAAGTCAGTGTGGTGATTCCTCAAAGATTTGGAACCAGAAATACCATTTGACCCAACAATCCCATTACTGGTTATAATATGAATATAAATTACCCATTTATATTACCCAAAAGAATATAAATAATTCTCCTGGCACTTCTCACTCATAAGTGCTCTGGACATTAAAAGGGAGAGTAATTAAAAGATCCTAACCTGACTATAACTAGGCAAACTTGAGGCCTGTCTTTGCATCCAGCAACAACAATAATAAAACTCTGCCTTTTAAAACTTGAAGAATAATCGTTCTTTATTCTAGATTTCCTTAAAGGGGTAGCACAAGGGCATTACCAAGGTCATAGAATTCTTTTGAAAATTCATCTTTAGACATCTCTTTTTCTTCCCAGAGTTTCTCACTCTGCAGCTGCTAAGCATCATCCCATCTCTCTTGCTGCCTCAATGGTCCTATAACATTCATTCACCTCTTTTACATCCCTCTGCTCAGTACATGACTCTCCTATTTGGGGGAAAATACACTGCTTTTTTTTTCTCAAATACATAAGCCCTCCTGCCCTGGAATTGTAGCAAGAAAAACCATCCACCTAAAAGTAACAGTTATGCTCATTATCCTGGTATTCGGATATTTCCCCACATAACAATAGAATCTCTAAAGACTTTATCATCATCTTGCAATATTTGATCATCACTTGAAGTCCGACAGAGTATTGGCCGTGATCATGACCAATACCCAGGGAATCTTTCGGGACTTGAGCTCATTCTTAAAGCTAGTTTGCTAATAATTAGTTGTCTAATGATTAAGTTATCCAACATTTAATCCTTCTCTGAATCCTTTCCATTATCTATCTTTTTCTGAAATCTACTTGGCTTTTTAATAATTTTTAAGCACATTTGCCTAGGGCACTTCTGAATTATCTTTATATTTTAAATATCAAATTTCCACTCTTCTGTAAATCTGTCCTTGTGGTGTCTTTTGCTATTTTATGTCCATTTCAACACTTTAAGGACATTTAGCCAACTTGTCTGAAAACTTTTTATTTTTTATTAATTGATACTTTAGGGTCACAAAGGTTTGGATTCTAGACGATCTCCACATGAAGCAATACACTGTGGAACTTTCTACACTGCCAGGGGCACAGTGAGTACTCTGCTGTGATGGCCTCACCAATGTCTGTCCAGATAGCCCCTGGGGTCACAGGCATCTCTGAGGTTCTCTCTACAGAAAGGAATCTCTTCTCATTTAAAGAGGGTCCCCATCCTGTAACCTGAATCACCCAAAGTTCTCCCTGGGACCTTCTTGTCTGTTGTGGGTACCTTACTCCTACCTACCAAAATAGCCTAGTCCCTGACCCCCAGGATGCAAAACATCCATATTGATCATGGATTTCATTCCCACCTCAGTCATTTAGTAGCTGATGTCTTTGGATAAGAACCTAACCTCTCTGAACATCTGGTACATAGGTTGCACCACCCTTATTAAGAAGAATCACAATTACTCTCGTAAGTTTATGTAGGAATAGAAACAAATCTATGGATTGTCTGGATGCCTAGAAGGCATTCGATAAGGAAGGAGGAAGAGTGAAAGGAAGGGGGGGCATTTTATTTTCCTACAGACGACAACATCTGAGCAACAGAATAGGCAGAAAGATGCTGTCTAAGATTTAGAAAAAACTACATCATATCAACTGGGCCTTAGCTTTATTGAAAAATAAAAACAACAACCAACTATTCTTTGACTTCTTTGAAAATAGCCCCCCAGAAAAATCTATGAAAGCAATCTATAAAGTGTTAGTTCTAGCTGAATTAAAATTGTATGGGGAAAGAAATCAACCTTTAACCTTGTCCATTATAGCAGTAGATCTCTATGCTCCACAATCCAACTCCTTGGAAGTATTTTTGGCAATGGTCTTATCCAGAAAATTCACTGAATTACTGAGTCCAGGTTATGAGTGTTTATGCTCTTTCCGGATTTCTTTAGCCAACCTCCCTGACCCAAACAATAAATTACCATTTTCATCTGCACTTGCCTCGGGCAGCACCTCTTTATTAAAAGATTAACAAATAAATAAATGAGATGCAATTAGCCAGAAGCAACTGTATGAGACTTTTATCTCTAATGGGATAGAAATTGAAGGCAAAAATAGAGAATATTGATGACAAAATATTTGAATCTTGTGCTCTTTTCAGGGATCTATAAAGCATGTGTCTGGTAACACAGAGAGGAAAATATGTTGGGGACAGGGATGATATGTTCATTCTAAGCTGCCTTTAGATGTACTAGCACCATCTGACCCCCCCATAGACTCTTAGAAATGCAACATTTGAAGTGTGGGTTCTTCTCCCCACCTACCCCTAAAGCTGAGTGTTTCTCATTTTCCCCTTAAAGGAGGAAGCACATTGTCATTATCATCTTTCCCATTCTTCACTCTGGAGTTCAACTTATTTCAGAATAAAATTGTCACCTGTCATTGGATATGACCAGTGACTGCTAAGTTTATCACAACACCCAGTTCAACTTCCATAAAATCACATCCTCCTTTCCTAAGCCAGAAGCATCCAAGAGCTCTCAGCTACGATGCTGCAGGGAAGACGCCTACTTGAAGTAGAAATGTGTCAGTCCTTCATGTAAAAGCACAGGCAACTGATGCTTGTCAGTTTACAGCTGATGACAGCAGGTGGAGAAGAAACCATCTTAGCTAGAGACTAAGAGCCTATGATCCTGGCTGAACTTTTCCACTAACTAGATGTGTGACCCTGCACAAGTTACCCTCCATTTAATTTCCTCCTCTCCAAAGTCAAGGCCTGTGCATGAAGATTCAAAGGTCCCTTCCAGCTTCACGGTGCCCCTTAGTCTGCCCACCCACCAAAGCCCCTCAGGCTCAAGAAAGTCAGCAGGGTCTAGCTCCCTTCATGGCTTGACCCAAAACACTTTCTTGGTCTTTTGAAATTAATGCAGATGTTTTCATCTTTCCAAATTCTTTCTTTCTCTTATCTGATTAACTTTTTCCTTATTTCAAAAGCAGCATATGCTTATTGTAAAAATATCATACATACAGATAAGCAGAAGAGAAAAGTCATTCATAATGCCAAGTTCCTTCAAACTGTGACATATATTTAGAAGTTCTTCATACTATCTGTAGTGTTTTCCAACTTTATAAGCCATTGACATATTGCTCCTTCTCTTTTTATTTTATTTGAAAACATAATTTTAATGGCTACAATTGCCGTATCATATGATTGTGCCATGCATGAATCAATTTATATATACATAGTTTTTTTTTTTTGTGACAGAGTCTCGCTCTGTCACCCAGGCTGGAGTACAGTGGTAAGATCTAAGCTCACTGCAACCTCTGCCTCCTGGGTTCAAGTGATTCTTGTGCCTCAGCCTCCTGAGTAGCTGGGACTACTGGCATGCACTACCACATCTGGCTAATTTTTGTATTTTTAGTAGAGATGGGGTTTCACTGCGTTGGTCAGGCTGGTCTTGAACTCCTGACCTCAAGTAATCTGCCCTCCTCAGCCTCCAAAAGTGCTGGGATTACAGGCATGAACTACCATGCCCGGCTACATTTGCTAATTTATATTTTTTAATTTTGCTATCATTGGTATCACCCTGAACTCTCTTCTTTCAGGGATATACCTGGTTGCTCTAAAGAGTATTGGTAGATGAGGGAAGTGCTCTTACTAACTAGTGGCATTTCTTTAAATGGCTGCAAATGCTTAGAAACTCCTCCAGTTGAGACGTAGAGTGTAATTCTCCACCTATTTAATCTGGTTGTATTTATGACTCACTTGTAACTAAGACAATAAGGCAAAGCAAAGATGTGTGACTACTAAGCCTAGATCAGGAGGCTATGCAGCTTCCACCTGATTATCACGGAAGACTTGCTCTTTGGCTGCTTGTTCTCAATATACACTTTCTTGGAACCCAGCTGCCATGCTGTGAGGAAGCCCAAGTCACATGGAGGTGCTGTGGTTGACTATCCTTCAGGCCAAGCACTGGACATGAGAGCAAGGAAGCCAACTTGGAAGCCCCACTCAGCTGTCCAAGATGTTTAAGTCACCCCAGCCCATGGAGTCTTTAAAGCCTCAGTCACAATGGAGCAGAGAAGAGTCTTCCACTGCCGTTTTCAAATTCCTGGCCCACACAATCTGTGAACAAATAAATGTTGTTGATTCATACCACCAAATTTGGATGGTTGGGGGCAGCAGTAGTACCTGGAATGCCACAGACTAAACCTGCCATGATTAGTAGGTACAATGGGAAGCACATTCTAAAGCAGTGATTCCCAACACTTTTGGCCCCAGGGACTGGTTTCATGGAAGACAATTATTCCACAGGTGGGGGTGAGAGGAATGGTTTTGGGATGAAACTGTTCCACCTTAGATCATCAGGTATCAGTTAGATTTTTATAATGAGCATGCAACCTAGATCCCCCATATGTGCAGTTCACAACAGGGTTGGCACTCTTATGGGAATCTAATGCCTCCACTGATCTGACAGGAGGTGGAGTTCAGGTGGTAATGTCGCCCACTACTCACCTCCTGCCGTGCAACCTGGTTCCTGACACACCACACGGACTAGTACCAGTCTGCAGCCCAGGGGTCAGGGACCTCTGTTCTAAAGGACAATGTTAGGAGAGGAAGGGGAATAAATGAATTTATCTTAACCTGCAGGGAAAACAAAAAGACTGGAAGTTCTGGAAGTAGCAACCCCCAAAGGATTCTGTTAGTCTCCTATGTAAACCTATCAGCAGCAGCATCATCTTTTATGTTTGCAAAAAACCAATTATGGATGCTTAAAATATGACTGTTTCTTTGAAAAGAGTGTCTTACCAAAAAATTACAATGAGTTATGAAAGAAAAATATTTCCAGCATTTGTATTTGGAGTACAGTTGAGGCTTACTCTAAAGGGGGCAATTTTGCAAAGTGGTTCAGAGTAAGAGTTTTAGAAGCAGATTCACCTGGGTTCAAACTATGGCCCTATGACCACTTTGCCAATTCTGGAAACATGCATTCCATCATCTCTGAAACAGGGAGAAGGCTTCACTCACAAGGTTGCTGTAAGCGCTAGCAGACATAATGGATGTGCTGTGTTCACATGGTGCCTAGTGCACAGTAGCGCTTGGTCACCTGTCACTGTTCTTATTGTGTTCTTGTTATTGCTCCTGCTATTGCTAAAGTTGTTTCAGCCCAGCCCAGGAAGAAGGGTGATTATTTAGTTCTGAAAAAGAGAAAACACAATAAGGAATATATAATTTCATTTCTCACCCAAAGGACCATTTTATGACTCTGGTCATTGCAGTGTAGGAAAGGAATAATGTTCATTGTTAAAGAAAAAACATCATTCAGTGACATTGGATAAAGCACAGTAAGGCAGACTTTATTCATGACCATTGCAACAGGTATAGGGACCATGGTAAGGGGATTTTGCAGTGAGAGAGAGAGATTAGGCTCAACTCTGAATACAGCATGGGCAAGTGGGAATTTACAGCTAAGGAGCAGGGTGGGGATCGATGGATGAAAATGACTTAGAGGATGCATCAGGAGTAAGGGAAATTCTGGCCAAACGAACCTACAGGATTTTTATAGGTGATATTGGAGGAGGAGGAACCTGATCAGATATCAAGGCTAATCAGACAGTGAGAGAGAACGAGCGGTTCTTGCTAAACTGACTTATCAGGGTTCTTGCTAAAACTGGGTTTTACAAAAACATGTGCAGATGAGCCTAGGAGAATGTTCCCCAAGAGGCTGACTAAAGTTTAACCAAGCAAAGAATCTTTGTTATCAGCCCATTTAGAATATTAGGGCAAAGCCCTAAGAGGTTTACATTTAAGTCAGAAAACCAGAGGACTTGAATATACTCACTTTTTTTACTGCATTGCTGAGGTCTAGATTTCACTCACTCAATCAGCTATTCATTTAGCAGACATGTGTACTTATTAAGTATCATGTATGCTGGGATCCATAGTAGGCACTGACAATACAGAAAAATTAAAAACAAACAGGACTCTAACCCTCCCCCTTCATGTTCAATCTCTGCAGCTCATATGCACTGTGTCGTAAGACATTCACAATTGCATAGTACCCTGAAAGGGGAAAAATGAAAAAAAAATTTAAGAAAGTTCTAAAAGTATGTTACACTTTACAAAGCCCTTTTCACATTTGTCATCTCAATGAGTCCTCTAAACAACCCTGGAAAAGAGATACTATTATAATTAAATCAATTTTATAGATAAGAAAACTGAGACAAGAAGGCTAAGTAGCATATTCAAGATCACACAGCTAGTAAGTGACAAAGTATGATCTTGGACCCTATCTTCTCCATCTGTGCTGGGTCAGCGTGTGTCACTTCAACTCCATCAGACACATGGCTTTTTTGTACTGTGGCAAAGATACTGAGCTCTCACCAAAGCTACCCACACTTTGAAGTCTCCCTTAGAGTCAATTAGAATCACACGACTAGGACTTTGTCCTGAAGCAACATGAGTACTTCTGGGGCTAAAGCAGTTGGCAGTTGATTTGGCTCCTCCATGACCCTCTTCCTCTTTGGAAAAGAGCCTCAAAGTGAAAGGGGCTTGGATACCCAAGTACCTGCATGGAGGAGAGTCTCTGCCAGGCCATCTCAGATCTCACACCAGAGAGAAAACACCTTTTGTGTGAAGCCTTTGAGATTTCAGGTCCTACTTGTTACCACAGCAGAGCCTCTTCTACCTAACAAACACAAACCCAAGACCTCTATACCCAGCACCATGCTGGGTGCTGCGAACAACTGGAATCGTAAGATATTCTCTGCCTTCAAGGAGCTAACAAAGTTACTAGGACATTACTTAAAGTGAAGGGTTTTCTCAACAGATGGCCAGGCTCAGCCAGCAATGTACGACCCATAAATACCAGTGACAGGCTCGTTATCACATCTGAGAAGAGCTGTAGCCTCAACACTGTTTGGTGGTGGCTGCCATTTTTAAGATGTTGCTGTGCTGTAAGCTAGAAGGCCAGCGCCAAACCTGATAACCACCCAGAACCTGGGGCAATCCTTATTACCTCGATAAATAATGTTTTAATTTATTGGTTAAAGAAAACACATTAAGAAAACATGTCCCTGTAGCCTTGCCGCTTTTCAGGCCCATCTTTTAACGTCTTTTCTCTACTCTGAGAATTCGTTCCTTGATTCATTCACTTACTAAACATGTATCAAACATCAACACGGTACCAGTGCTGTGTTAGAGCTGGAGATGCACAGATAAAGAAATCATGATTCCTGCCTGGGAATCGGCAGTAACTTTTTTTTTTTTTCAGAACCTAGACCTGAACTCAGGAGGCCTTATGGGATTTATAAGATCAGATCACCAACTCAGGGTCACTTAGAAAGGGGTCTTAAGACTCAAGTCTTAAGGCATAAGTAAAAGTCCACCAATTTTTATGTCTTTGTGATTTTTTTAAAATCAACGTACTCTTCAAGGATGAACTGTCAGATTTTCTAAGGAGAAAAAACAAACAGCATATTCCTCTGATTTCTCAACTGCCTGGTTCCTTCATTTTGACATTTGAGACTCTTGTTGCACCACAGACTCAATAGCATTTATTTAGAATCCCAAAAGCCAAGAATTAGACCTTTGTTTGACTTGGAGCAGTTTTCTGTCTTCCTTTCTCTGGGTCAATCAATCTCAGCTTCTCTAGTTTTAAAAGTACAACCTATAGGAAACATAATTTCCAAAAAGAGTAATTTCATAGGATTATATTTCAAAATATTATCCCTGTTATATGGAGTAGGCCCGGTATCCATGAGGTAGCAATGTGTTCCTTTGCTAAGCCAAGGAGTCCAATCCCACATGCTATGGAACTGGCACAAAGTCAAAAATTTTAATCCTACTTGCTGTGAGGTTGTTACACAGGGAAAGTTCCTTAGTGAGGCAGGCATGGCTCAGCCTCCAATGTGTATACCAGTGGACTTGGTTTCTATCATATAAACCCATTAAGGGTCTGAAGAAGCCATTTACATTTTCAGTGCTTTTTTTTTTTTTTAATTGATTTCTCAGAGGCTCTCTCTCAGGGAAGCTGCCCTCACCTCCCTGGCCCTCTCATATATAGTACAAAGTGCTCCACCACAGTAGAGAATGTGCTGCTGTGACTCCTTGATTCTTAATTAATTTATCAAATGGAGCATCTCTGTTGAGTCCCTATGCTTAGAAGAATAGTGATTAGAACCTAGCAGGAATTCGAATGCCTTGTGGCACCACAGACTCAATGTTTTTTGAATAAACTCTTTTTTGAATAAACTGTTTTTTGAATAAATAATACATGCAAATAGAAGGATTTGTAAGATTCTTAAGGAAAGTCTAGAATTTGCCTCCCTCCTTGGCCTCCCACTGGATTCCTTGAGGATTTCCTTGGGGAAATACTTTGAAGGCTCCAGCCAAAATGCAAATATGTTTTCTGAGAGGATTAAGAGATGAAGCTGTTATTAAACTCAAGTTGTAATAACAAATACCACAGGAAGTGTAGATCAAAAATGAACCCCAAAGAGTGGAGGAGCATATGAGATCTCACCCATGCTTCATAAGGAGAGCCAGGAATAGGACAGACAATACCTGAGGGGCCATACCTGGGGATGGGAAAAGGGGCTTTCGTTCAAGATAATGGGAGGTGGAGATGGGGGAAAGGCGAGAAGTCAGAAACAAATACTAGAGAGCCAATATGGGGAGCATCAGGACCTTGTTAAATTCCAGGGTAGGAGTCCAGAGTTACGCATCCAAGTCTGACCATGAACCCAAGAGTCAGGATGTAGGAGATGAGACCAGTCAAAACCAGGTAAGAGTTTCATGGGAGGGAGTGGGGGTGGGCAAGGAGGCCGAGAGCTATCAAGGGCCTTACTGCTGTGATGCAATTACAGAGGGACCACAGAGGCTCTGCTGGCTGGGCTCTAAAGCAACGCTGTCCAAGAGAGCCACAGAAATGAGCCACATGAGTAATTTAAAATTCCCTATAACCACATTTAAAAAGAAAAAGGCAAAGGAAACAGCTAAATATGTTTAATGAGATAGATATTTTTCTCTTTTTTTCCTTTGTACTGTGTCTTCAAAATGTAGTATGCATTTCCTATGAAACTCGTTCAGCAATTTGGACAGTAGCCGCATGTGCTTAGTGGCTACCATACTGAATAGCATGGTTTTGGGGGCTCCACTCTGGTCATCTTCTGGCCACATCCCTCACCATGGTGAGAAGTTGGTGGGGCCAAGGGGATCTGCCCACCTCTATCCCCTACATCTTTCTAGATCACACACCAGATACCCGAAACCCTGAAATGCCCTGCCCAAAGGGTCCACAGCCTACTCTTAGGGGAGTGCATTGGGAGGACATTGGAATGTTCATATGAGTCCTTCCCTGGGTCCATCACAGGATAGGTCAACCTTTCTGAGGGTGAACTGTGCTGCTATTCTGTGCACTCTTAGCCTTGAGGAGGTCAAGGCATGGCTGACAGTGGAGAGGCATGGACAGAGCCTGGATGTGGGTTGGGATGCCTGTGCAGGACAGAGTTGGGGTAGGGGGAGAGAAGAGAGATCAGTCACTCACTGGCACAAGGAGCCTGGGCCATTTCTTTCCACACTCCATATGCCCATGTAAAACTCCAAGGCATCTGAGAATTCTAAATTTGAAGCTAAATTTGACAAGGTAGGAGAACAGAACACATTTTATTTAAGAGTTTGTTAGCCTAATTTATAAGTTTAAAATATTTAGATCAGAGTGAGCCTTCACTTTCACTCCTGCCAGGAACCCCACAAATGCTGGAGGCAAACCTGACCCTGAGTCTTCATTATTTACCATAATATCTGATATTTAAATTCTTGTCTTTAGGGAAAGAGTGAGTAAATTGGCCCAACTTAAAAGGTCAGAGGTACAATGAACTCTATGTAACACAAAAGGAGAATAAATTATTTAACATAAGGATCCCAAATTCAGTTTTATAGAAGGTAATTTTAAGGAGATAAATACATATCACCTCCACTGTGGAAACCACCCTCAATTCCAATTAGCATAGTTAATTACTCCTTTCTTTCTGTGCCCACAGAGCACTTTAGTCAAACTTCTTTCTGTAGAATATAAGTCTATATTTTCTTCAAAAATAATGTATTGCTTTATTTTAGGAATCTCAGATTCTTTTGAGAATGTATAACAAAAGCCATGAGTCCTCTCCCCAGGGAAAAAAATGCAGATATGTGCAGTTGGGAATATGATTTCACAGAGTTCACAGACTTGAGCCTAAGACGCCTCTGTTTGACAGGGCTGCGAGGGAAGCACTGACGCCACTCTGCACCATCTGATAAGTACTCTGCTCAGATAGGATGAATAAGCAGCATGTTCCAGGCATCTATTGCTGTATTAAAACCATCAAAAAACTTAGTGGCTTAAAAGAAGAGTAGTTAGGATGCTACAGTCCTGCAAGACACGATGGGGTTGGCTCTACCCGTGTGTTATTGGCCAGGTGCCTTCATTAAGGAAAGGAGGAGCCACAGTGGCTTCACTCACATGTCGGGTGTCTGTGGCTGCAGCACTGAGAGCAGGCTGCATTGGTGTGTGTGTCTCTCGTACTTTCCCTATAGTCTCACAGCCTCCTTGGCTTCTCTCCTCATGAACTCTTCAGCAGGACAGTCAAACCTCTCCGTGGTGGTCTAAGGCTTCAAAAGGGAGACTCTGCTTGTGTCAGGCATGCTAATTTCTCACTGGCCAAAGCAAGTCACATGACCAAGCCCAGTGTCAATGTGGGAGGGGCTTCACAAAGGTATGACTATCAGCATGCATGGCTTATTGGGGCCACCAATTAACAGCCACAGCACAGCCTTTCCAAAAACAACGCGGAGGGACAACTATTAAAAGAGCAAATAATCATAATCTCTTAGAGATACTCCACAATGGATGTGGGGTGTCTACTTACTCCCTCCATCACTTAGGCCTCAGACCAAGGTCTCTCAGAGCAGTCTTGTCTGACTAGGTCACATCTCCTGTTAGGCACCATCCAAGAACCCCATGTTTTTGGTCTTAAATACATATCACAGCTTGTAATTATGTATTAGTGTGAATATCTGATTTCATATCACCCAAACTGAATGGTGGACACTTTGAGGACAGGAACTACAACTGCTTTCTTATTATTACATCTCAGCTTCTGGCACAGTATCAGACACATGGTAGACCCCAATAAATATTTGAAGAAGGAGAGAGGGAGAGAGGGAGAGAGGGAGAGAGGGAGGGAAGGAAGGAAGGAAGGAAGGGTGGGAGGGAGGAAAGGAAGGAAGGGATGGAGGAAAGGGAGGAAGGAAGGGAGGGAGGAAGGAAGGAAGGGAAGGGAAGGAGGGAGGGAAAGCAGAAAGAGAAAGGGAACAAGAATGGAAGGGAAAGGAAATATATGGTTTAAGTTATAGGAATTCAAGGTATGATTTGATTAACAGTGACATCCATTGAATATGTGCCAGACATGACACTAAGGCAAATATCCTATTTACTCCCCAACAACCCTGTGAGAGAGTTAATATTCACCCCACTTTATGGATGAGGAGACTGAAGCTTACAGGAGTTATGTGATTTTTCTCAGGCTGAAGAGCTGGCTAGTGGTAGAGCTGGCATTTGACCCAGGGAAGCCTAACCTCAGAGCTCATACCCTTAACCACTTGTAACCATTATCTCCCCTGTAAGTACAAATTAACATTTAGAAACGAAAGGAGAGCACTTAAGAACACAAAGCAGCTTGAGTGTCTGCTCAAGGACTTATGAAGAAAAGATGTACACATAAATAATCAAAAGAAAGGGAAAGAAATGCTTTGGTGCTTTATAAAAGAGGTCACCAAAGAATAGTGGCGATCAAGCCAAAAAGAGAGAAGGAGTGAAAACTGAGAGCATTAAGGAGATAATGAGGCAGAGAGGACTGACAGAGAGAGGGACCCTCAAGTGGGTGGACTCACATTTCATCAGAAAGAGGGTGATGCAAACACCTCCCAGGAGGTGGGAGAAGGATTCACTGGCTAAAGTATTGAAATTGACCTAGCAAAAGGCATCTCCCAAGATGAATCACAATTTCAAAGCACCACGGGCAAAAATTGTGCCAAATAGGAAATTTTATAGCAGAAATGAATTTTTATTAATCACAAAACCCTCGTCTGAGACTTCTAGTTTTCTGCTTCAAGCAGAGATAACATATATAAATCTTTCTCTATAGAAAATTTTAAAAGGCATAGCCCACACCTGCGAGGAAAAAGATGTCTAAACTGAAGCATTGATGGGGATGTAGAACAATGGAATTATTCCATTCCTTGGAATACCCTTCATTCAAACAATGCTCTATTGCTGGAAGTGAAAGCCAGTATACCCACTGTGGAATACCATCAGCATCTACTGAGGCTGAACCTTCATGCATATCCTAGGACCCAATAACGTCACTCCTGAGCTTATATCCAACAGAATTGCATCCACATATTTGGAAGGTGCAAGAATGCTCGTAGCAGCACTATTCATAATAGGCTCCAAATACAAACCACGTAACTTTCCATCTGCAGTAGAACGGCTAAATAAACCTTGGTACATTCACACCCTGCAGCACTACACAGTGATGAGCATGGACAGAGTACAATTACATGCAAAGGTATGAATGAACCTCCACACATAAATATTTAAAGTAAAAAAAAAGAAGCAAACTGCACTGTGGAAAGTCAAGATGGTGACTACCCATGTCGGGAGAGAGAGGAGACCTGGAGGGGCCTGAGAGAGACTTCTTAGGTGGTTTGTCCATTCCTTTTATGGATATTATACTACAGTAAAAATTTTCAAAGAAGGTATGACACATTCAAAAGCAAAATAAATGTCATCAAGAACCCAACATCAAATAGAAATACAAGGAGATCAGGAGAGGAGCAGCAGTGGGCATGAAAAAGTCACTGAAACTTGTGCAGCAATCTCCTGTTCACAACCTGTTTAAAGGGCAGGGGATCATTCTGGAAGTTCCAGTAGGAACCCTTAGGTTGGAGATCTTGGATGGGTTCATATCCCTCCCTCCTGAGGTCCTTGTGTTAAGTCAATTCTAAGAAATAAGAAGGGGCATGCCTCTCGTCTTTTTCACTGAGCTCTGAGCATTGTACCTTACACGTGGAGGGGTCAGAGTAAATGTATGGTGAATAAGTGATGAATAAGCAGGATTACATGGCTCTCATTTTAAGGGTGTGTCCAGGTGTATTCCTCTAGCAGAAAACCCTGACACAAGGAATGCACGAGTTTATTTGGGAAACACCCCCAGGAGTTACCTGTAGTGGGTGAGGATGAAGAAGCCAGCACGGGGTGAATGAATGAACAGATTTCTACTAGGTAGATATTTTGCAATTAGAATGTTCATGAAACAGAATCAATTAAAAAGAAGACAGAAATAATTAAATGAAGGACTTTACACACAGAAGGAGGAAAGGAAGGAAGAAAAAGGAATTCTAAAATTCAACTTTAAGAAACTCAACACCATAAGCAATAGCTAGCAGAGGGTCAGTGATCGAGAGGATCCAAACACAGTTTTTACCGCTGATTATTTAATAAGCACTAATGCGGCCACAGATAGGATATTTAAATTATATGTCATATTTTCTTGAAGTCGTTATCTAATGATGTCCCACTGGGGAGCACATAGTAAAAACACACCTCAGGATGGTCCCATCCAAGGTGTGAGGAAGCTCCAGTATTGATCCTTAGTTTGCATTTGTGCTTAGCTAAAGGCTACTCCCTGAAGACTCCCTCCTGGTTCATTTGGAGTGTCCATATATTTTGGAATTGTTTAGGGAGCAGGGGTGTGCTGAGGGGAAGAGGGAGAGATACACCAAAAGTATCTGCTGAAGATGTCCATAAAATATTCTTATTGGAAACATAATTTTATTTTCCTCCAATGATGGATATGGGCCATAACCAAGGACTGGAGAGATAAAAATGGGCTTGAAGAGCTGAAAGTAAAAATTGTGAAAATCTCAGGAGGAGGCAACTTGAAGACCCTCCTCCCTGGCCGCTCTTGGATGTTTAAATCCCTTCTCCACGCTGCTCATTCAATGAACACCCCCAAAGCCAAAGAAGCCTACCTGAAAAGCATTGAGGAAGACAGCAACCGAACCTCACATGTCCCATAGCTCTCTTTCCATCTGTCCGGAGCCCCATACTTTTTGTTTGTTTGTTTGTTTGTTTGTTTGTTTTTATAGACGGAGTCTGGCTCTCTCTCCCAGGCTTGAGTGCAGTGGCACAATCTCAGCTCACTGCAACCTCCACCTCCCGTGTTCAAGCCCCTGCTCTAAGAAGGCACATGGCCTGCTTGGTCCATGTTCATATGTGACTTACAACATGAGATGCTATAGTTTTCAACAGTGAAATATTGTACAAGTGTTGGCTCCCTGTCTTTGGTTTCCATCCCAGCATCAATTAGAGGCTGGAAAAAATGCAAGATTCATTCTGAAAACTCCCTCTCTGGAAAAGTCATTCAGATGCCAAATTTTAAGATCAGTGCTTAGAAGATCTAAGCCTCAGCTGCTTTAGAAGCAAAGACTCTCCAGCCCAGCTCTCACTCGACCCCCTTGGTCTCATCAGAATTCTCCCACCATGGCTGTTATTACTAATTTTATGATGACAGTGGAGCATTGACGTAAAATTTTAACAGTTCCTCAGTTAATTATTAAAATTAGTCTATCACGGTGAAGAGATTTTCTACTGTTTCTATGCCATGTAATTTCAGGTAATAAGTGAGATGATGGGATGCAAGAGATGCAAAACTGCTTGCATAGACGTTTTGAAATGCCAGAGAGGGCCAGAAACAAAACAAAAACAAAAATCTAGCTCCAAGCAAAGCTCATTTGGATACACTTTCTAGAGAAGACACTAAAAGCATGAAGACGTGGCAAGGAAGGGTAATTTAGAGATACCCTTTTAGAACTGCTCCTTGGGAAAAAGCAGAGTCCTTGAACTACCATTTGGTTTATGGCATGGTAAAAATCTAAAGCTACCAAAGCTAAGACCAAGTTTTTATTTTTAAAAGATGTATGACTATGAATCTAAAGAAATGCACAGTACAAGGAATACCTGCCTAGTTAGACTTATTGTCAGCTCCTTAAGGTGACAGACCATACCTAAGTACCAAGAAGTATTATTATTTTTCAGCTGTAATGGTGCCCAGCCTGGTAGTGAGTACCTAATAGGTTCTCAATAAACTGTTAATAAGAGTAAATATTTTAAGGTGTTGTCCATGGGGCTACATTTTAAAATTTGTTTATCTGGAAATAATTTCAAACTTACAAAATTTGCAAAAGGAGCTACACCTCTTAAAAAGTTGAAAAAGTTTGGTATAACTGGGAAATTGTGGTGTCAGCTACAAAGCCCAGAGGTGCAATTGTAAAGGCCTTGGGAAGAGGTGCTTTCTCACCCTAGAGTTGGAGCGCTTTGCTCTGTGGTGGGGAGGAAGTGGTTCAGAAGATGTGACTGGCCCTGACAGCCCACTTTGGTTTCTTTTTCTTCACGACCCATCCACTGGGAAACTAAAAATAAGAGCATTCGAGCTGTAAGCAACGTCCCCTTTCTTTTATTTTTTCTTTTATATTTAGCTTTTAGACTAGTTGAAAAACATTTCCCTAGTGTCTATAAATCCCAGGGTTTCTGGAGGCTCTATAGACATTAAATCAGTTCCACACAAAAGATCCGAAAAACATCTGAGATAATGTGTGCAAGGAAGTTTCAATGTAGGCGGTCCCTCTTGGGTTTCTTCCTCCTCATTGCAACTGGATTCAAAGTTATTCAAATGAATGTTTTATTGTCGTTGTTTTGTTT
Source organism: Homo sapiens (assembly GCF_000001405.40). Taxonomy (NCBI): domain Eukaryota; kingdom Metazoa; phylum Chordata; class Mammalia; order Primates; family Hominidae; genus Homo; species Homo sapiens. The sequence continues at coordinate 16,175,896 of NC_000020.11, forward strand.
GATTTTGTTTTAACCCCAGTGTTCTCCCAGACTTTTGAACTTCCTTGTCCATTAAACATAACAGAGCAACTGAATGATGAGCTAAAACCCCTTTGGTCTTAGACATTTTTTTTCACCTTTGTTCCTGGATGTCATATTTTTTGTGTATTTTGCTTTGTTTTATAACTGACTTGTAGCTGAACACTGATGGAAGCAGGTAGTTGGGGGAAAGAACCCAAATGATAACACCTATGTCAATTTCATTAATGCCAGGGAAGCATGGACCAAAAAATAGATCCAGGATCAAGTCAGAGATTTTGCCTATGGCCATCTGTGGCAGACTGTATTTCCAGAGAGTCACAACAACATCTCCCACCCATAACTCTCTAATGATGTACCGGGACACTCCTCGCATTCAGATGTGTTCTCTATATTCCCTCCTCTTGAGTTAGGGCTTGTGACTATGGCAAAATGATGTTATGTGACCTCTGGGGTTATAAAAGGCTGGCGTTTTCATGGGACACTGGCTTAGAGCCCTAAGCTGCCAGGTCATCAATCTGACTGACCTGTCCTGAGGCAGCCATGCTGGGAGGAAGCCCAAAATAGCCCATGCAGGGAGATTTCATGAGAGGCTCTGAGACTACACAAAGGGAGAGAGGGAGATCTGATAGCCACCAGCTGCTTAAGGCCCTGCTGTTACTGCTCCAGCCACCTTCTAACTGCAAGCACACGAGAAACCTGAGATAGAACCACCCAGCCAGGCCCTGTCCAAATTCTTGCCCCTCAGAATCCAAGAAAGATGATGAAATGATTGTTGTTGTTTTAAGTCACTAAGTTTTGGAAAGATTTGTTATACAGCAATAGATGATATTCAGAATACCACTTATATCCTTAAAAGATTTACAATCACAAATTGAGGAAGAAATAGTAATAAATGAGACACCCATCTATCTATATAGATTCAGTTGACCCTTGAACAACATGAGTTTGGACTGTGCAGGTCCACATATTCATAGATTTTCTTCTGTCTCTGCCACCCCTAGGATAGCAAGACCAATCCCTCCTCTTCTTCCTCCTCCTCCTCCTCCTCAGGCTACTCAACATGAAGGTGATGAGGATGAAAATCTTTATGATAATCTCTTCCACTTAATTAATAATAAATATATTTTCTCTTCCTTTAAATATTTTAATAACATTTTCTTTTCTTGGCTTACTTTATTCTAAGAATACAGCACAAAATACATGTACAAAATATGTGTTAATTGAATGTTTATGTCCTCAGTAAGGCTTCTGGTCAACAGTAGGCTATTAGTAATTAAGTTTTGGAGGAGTCAAAAGTTACACATAGATTTTTGACTGCACAGGGAGTCAGTCCCCCTAACCCCCACATTGTTCAAGGATCAAGAGTGTACCTTTTCAGTGATAGTGTAATATATTTTCATATGAATGAGGTTTATCAACTATGTGATTTTAGTTCTCCTCAACTAACTTATTTGTTTCCAAATGCTTGGGTCACAAGGCCAATTTGGAAATATAAACCTAATCAATCTAAACTAGGTAGACCTAACTAAACAATCAGTTTGATCTTGGTGTGTAGGGAAGAAATTATTTTTATTCAGTCTCCCAGACACTTATGAACATGGTAACATGTTATACAATTGATTTTCAAAAAGAAACTCTCTAGGCTTTAAGAGTCTGAAGTTTCAAAAGGGTAACTCTATAGAGACCCAGTTTACTTAGTCACATGTACTTGACTCACCTCAATCTGTATTATGCAAAATGAAAGAGAAGAGCTAATGTGTATTTAACATAGATTTAATGTTGAAAGAAGCCTTAGTGACATCACTGATAAAAATATAGCCCTTGAATATAGGGGAGCTAACTTCTTAAAAGCCAACTCCTGTAGCACATGGATGTTCACCTTCTTGAAGACTTCTTGGTATAAATTGCACCCCATTTAGGTAAGCTGTCATGTGCTTCAAGAAGAGGAGCATGTATCAGTTAGCTTTGGTTGTGTAACAAACCACCCTGAAATTTAGTGGCTTTAAAAAATAACCATTTTATTTAGTCCATGATTCTGTGTGTCAGTTGGGTGATACTTCTGCCTGGGTTAGCATGGCTTATCTCTGCTGGGCTCTCATGCATCTGTGATCAGTTGGCATGCGGGCTGATGGCTGAGTGATCTAGGGTGGCCACCCTCACTTGTCTAGCAGTTGGAAGTCTATCAGTTGAATTAACAAGGGTGACCATCAACCATTGTACTTTGTTTCTTCTCCTTATCTTCTCTCATTTTCTTGCAGGCTAGCTCAGGCCGGGTAACGTGAGGGTCTCAAGATTATAGATGCAGCATGGTAAAGCAAACTCCAACAAGTGCCTTTCAAGCCTCAGCTGACATCCCATTGGACAAAGCAAATCCCATTACTAATTCCAGATTCAAAGTGTGAAATAGGGACTCCACCTGTTAATGAGAGATGTGGCAAAATCCCACTGGAAAGGGGTGTGCATTCAGGACTTGGGGGCCATTTTTGCAATTTGCTACAGGGATTTGCTTATAGTCATGTTGTAAACCCATAGCAAAAATCTGATCATCGCAGCTTTCCTTCATTCACCAGGAGCTGTCAAGAGGACACAAGAAGCAAACAAACCAACCCAATCCCCTTTCCAGTTCTCTGACAGCCTGTCATTGTCCAAAGGGGGCCAGGATGTTTAGTTCTGGACAGTTAGCTCTGAGACACAGAGCATAATTTTTTTTTTAAACACATAATGATACTGATTCAATATAACAGCTGTGAAATGATCATAAAAGGAGAAGTTAGAAAAAGGCCCGTCAGAAATAAGATTAGCGATGATGTTTCAGCTCTGCAGTTTTCACTGGGCTTTAGGAAAAGAAATACAGAACAAAAGGTTAGTTAACTTTCTCCCTCCTAATGAACATTATGAGGACAAATATTCTGTTCACATGTACCCCTCCGGCAGCCTGGTTAATTTGTTAAGCCCAACTGGACACATAAAGAGAGCTCCTTTATCTTCATTAAACCCAATAAGAATGAATGGCAAACCGCAGCATCATTACTCTGGCCTGATGGGTTTCGTCAAAGGGCCTGGAAAGCTCTTAAAACCCCAGACACTTTAAAGCTTGGCTGGGTTAGGGTTTGTTTATCTCTTGCAATAAATATTGGCTGCTCTTACCTCCATCCATAGACTCAGGCAAGCCAAAACCTGCTTCCAAGTATACACAGCAGAGAAAGATACAAGTACACATGCACATATGAGCATGCATGTGCCAGTGTATGCACACACACTAGCTCTACTACTTCCTAGCTGGGTGACCCTAAGCTGGTTATTTAGCCTTGCTAAATCTCAGTATCCTCTTCTGTAAAACAAAATAATAACAAAACTCATAAGGTTATTGTAAAGGTAGGTTAATCTTTTTAAGTGATGGAAATAGTAACTGTCTCACATTGAGTATTATATAATTGTTATTGAATAAGCACGGCTACTAGAGTTGGCAGAAAATTGCCCAGGAGTAGCTTTTGTGACTTTCTAGGTTGCTTTGGAGCCCAAGTGACAAAGTATGGCTGAAAATTGGCAATGGGGCCTCTTCCACACTCAGTCTTCAGCGGCATTGGAGTTGCCAAATCCTGAAAGCTGTTAAATCATTCCTCTTTGACAGGGACCTTGAAATGAGAGTGTGAGGGAAGGGCAAAGGCAGGGATGGAGAACCTCCAGGCAGCAGAGGAACAACAGTGGTGATGATTGATCATGTGATGACAGCAGAAACCAATATGTGAGTACATGTGAGAGATCAATTGTGGACCTCCCAGAAATACTATCCTAGGGGTGACTTGATGATTGTTGGGCTTTGAAATCATCAAGAGGTGTCTTCATTCACATGTTGGGATATTGGTGTTGACTTTTATCTGGGACCTTCTCTTTCATACTTCCTGTGTGCTTGACAGTAAGCTGAGCATCCAAAAGTGGCTTCTCCACTGGCCTGGGCTTCCTCACAACATGGCAGCCTTAGGGTATCCAAACCTTCTTGGTGACAGCACTCCTAAAGCAAGTGCTCCAACTCTCAAGTTGGAAACTGCATTGTCTTCATGACCCAGCCTCAGAAGGCACACAGCATCACTTCTACCACACTGGTTACTAATGAGACATAAGTTTGTGCAATTCCAAAGGGAAAGTCACAGATTGTACATCTTGATTGGTGACAATTCAATGTCACGTGGTAGATAAACGTGTGGGATGGGAGATACTCAATGTCACGTGGTAGATGTACATGTGGGAGGGGAGATATTGTGGCAGCCAAAATGCAGTCACCCACAGAGGCTATCAAGCTGGAAGATATTTACATTATATAAATAAATATTTTTTTTTTCATTTAAATGTGTTTTAGCTTTTTATCAGTCTTCTCAGGCTGCCATCATAAAATATCACAGACTTGATGGCTTAAACAACAGAAATTTATTTCTCACAGTTCTGTAGGGTAGAAGTCCAAGGTCAAGGTGCTGGTAGGGTTAGGTTTCTAGTAAGGGCTCTCTTCCTGGTTTGTAGATGATGCTTTCTCCCTGTGTCCTCACACAGCCTTTCCTTGATGTGTGCCTGTGGGAGGGAAGGAAGGGAGAAAGACTGTGAGCTCTCTGGTGTCTCCTGTTACAAGGACACTAATTCTATTAGATAAGGGCCCTATCTTATGGCCTTATTTAACCTTAACTACTTCCTCAGAGGCCCTATCTCCAAATGCAGCCACACTAGGGGGTTAGGGCTTCAAATTATCAGGGGACATAAACATTCAGTCTATCACATTCTTCCCCTGCTCCCCTGAAATTTATGTCCTTCTTGCATGTAAAATGCATTCATTCATTCCAACAGCCCCCAAAGTCTTAACTCATTCCAGCAACTACTATGAAGTCTATAGTCCAAACTCTCACTTAACTATCATCTAAATCAGATATGGGTAAGACTCAAGGTACAAATCCTGAAGTAAAATTTCTTTCCAGCTGTGAATCTGTGAAACCAGACAAGTTATGTGCTTCTGAAAAACAATGGTGGACAGGCAAAGGATAGATATTCCCATTTCAAAAGAGATAAATCAGAAGAAAGAAAGAGGTGATGGGTCCCAAGCATGTCCAAAACCTGGCAAGACAAATTCAATTAGATCTTAGGGCTCAAGAATAATCCTCTTTGGCTTGATAGTCTTCCAGATCCACTAGGGTGGTGGTCTCACTGTCTAGACTCATGGGGTAGAGGTTACACCCTTTGGGCTCTGCTGAGTGGGACTCTGACCCCAACTCCCCCACCCCCCAGACCCCATGTGGTGGCAGCCTGGCCTGTGGAAACCTCAGTAGTGGCTCAACCCTTGGAAACCAAGGAGGCAGCCCTGATTGCGTCTGTGTCACCTTCAGGGTTCCTCTTCCCTGTTCTTGAAGGACAGTGCACATCACAAACATAGCTCTACTGGCCTGTCCTGTAGAGTCTAAGTCCAACAGCCTTCTTTCCTTTCATCCCATCTCCCTTCTCTTCTGCTCCAACTGCAGTGTTTCTGCTCATATAATCCCACAATGCCTTTATTGAGTATTGTCCAGCTACCCTCCTGGTGTTCTCTTCTGAACATACTTTCTCATTTTTTGCAGTATGAACAGGCTGAGAATTTTCCAAGCCTTAAATTCTGGTTTCTTCTTGCCAACATTATGCTCATGATTATTTATGTATTCACTAAGAAAATGGAGGTATTCTCTCCAGCTTTCCTTTTTTCCTTTCTGTGCCTTCATGAAAATCACCTTTAATGTCAATATTTCTACCTTCATGACAATCTAGACTTTTCCCAGCATGCACCTCAAAACTCCTCCAGCCTTTATCCATTACTCAGGTCCAAAGCGGCTTCCACACTTTTAGTTGTTTGTTACAGCATCCCACTTCGCAGTACCAAAATCTTTTTAAGTCTGCTTGGGCTGCCATAACAAAATTCACAGGTTCCTGGATGAATTGAAAAACAGAACTTCGTTTCTCACAGTTCTGGAGTCTGGGAAGTCCAAGATCAAGATGTCAGCATGGTCAGTATCTAGTGAAGGCTCTCTTCCTGGCTTGTAGACAGTTGCCTTCTTGCTGTGTGCTCAAATGGCCTTTCTGTACACGTGCGTGCTCACACACACACATAGAGGGAGAGAGAGAGAGAGAGAGATCTGGTGTCTATTCTTATAAGGATATTAATCCTCTTGGATCTGGGCCCCACTCCCACAAACTCATTTATTTAACCTTAACTACTGCTTTAGAGGCCTCTTCTCCAAATATAAGCAGGGGAGGGTTTCAACATATGAATTTGGAGGAGACACCAACATTGAGTCCATAAAAAACTTTATCTAAATAAGCAAACGACCTACTTTGCCTACAGAATCTTTGTCTTTCTCTATGGCAATATTACAAAAGACAATCTCAACATTATGCTGCCGTTATGTGTTTTGTTATAGAATGGGAATAAGAACCAATGAGTTAATCATATTCTTTGGAGCATAACAATTCTATACGGTGAAAGGTTAACAAAACTCTGTACATTCGTAAAATTCTCTGATTAGTGAGAAAAAAGAAAAAGAAACTATTGGGTCCTGTAGCCAGGAAAGATGCTGAATGGCTCACAGAACTGAAAGAAAGACCTACAAGACTCGAGATCTCCAGGATAATAATTGGAGTCTCAGCCCTGCCGGCTTTCTCTTTCCCTGCCATCTCTCATCTCTGCTTGTCTCTCTCCTTATAAGTTAGTCTTGTTGTCTCCTACTGAAGACATGAGACCTTCTCTATGAGACTGGAAAAATGACCAACACAGTAAGACAGAGCTTCTTTCTTCTGGTGTCAACATATTAGTTCCAGAGAAGGACTCTGATTGGCTGTCTTGGGTCATATGACCAACCTTTGGACTTATTACTGAGGATAATGCTCCATACTTAACCAGGGCATCATATGCTCACTGCTTGACAAAGGGCTCATGATGTATTGCATCTACTGAATACATTTTTAAAACTTTAAAGATATGTGTGTATTCAAAAGCTTAGTCGTAAAAATAAACAGTATCCCAAAGTCCTAAAAAAAATAAAAACGTTCCTAAGAGTTTTCACATACTCCTGTTTTCCGCAGGAATGTTGGTTGGGAAATGCAGCTATTTTAATTATAAGAGCAGGCTAGTATTTCTGTCTGGCAGGGTTGGAAAACACCTACAGATAGCGCTTAGTGCTGGCTGGAATTCACAGGCAAGCAAATTAAATGGTTCACAAGTTCTAATTCCAGTACCTGGAATATTGGAGGATCCCTTGTCCTTTGAGAGGTTGGTTTTGGGTGTAACTGTAGCCCCTGCTTCTAGGGGCAAAGGTAACCCCTAATCCCAGCTATTATAGCTTGCTGCTGGACAACCATGGAAAAATTTCCATGGTCATTAGCTGGCAATGAGAGAGGTGACACTGGGAAATGATGGCAGGGCTAAAATAACCCTTGTTGCAACCTAATGAAACCTGAAAGTAATTTTTCAAGGTTTTAACAAAGTCACACATGTCTGTCCAACCCTGGGTGACGAAGCAATGTCTCAATAACTAAGAGTCCTTCTGGAAGACAGGAGGAGACTGACTTCAGCTCAGTATTGTTTGGCTCAATCATATAAATTCGGTTTTAATCAGTACCATGGTCTAAATGTTTGTGCCCATCTCTCAGGTTCATTTATTAAAGTCCTAACCTCCAAAGTGACTGACAGTGTTAAGAGGCAGGGTCTTTGGGAGGTCATTGGGTCATGAGGGCAGAGCCCTCATTAATAGGACTAGTGCCCCTGTAAAAGAGAGACCCCTTGCTCCTTTCACCATGTGAGAACACAATGAGGAGAGAGCTGTCTATGAACCAGGGAGTGGCTCTCACCAGACAATGAATCTGCTATGCCTTGGTCTTAGACTTCCCAGCCTCCAGACCTATGATCAATAAACTTCTGATATTTGTAAGCCACCCAGTGTATGTGTTTAGTCATAGCAGTGCAAACAGACCAAGACAATCAGCCACATCTTTTGAGAGCTATCTTGAAACCAGCTGACAGGAATACAGACAAGTGTAGGAGCTGGATCACTAGTGAGCACCTTGACCACTCCATAGCGTCCCCCTCTCCAGCATGTCGGCTTATCCCAGTGTCCGCAGTACAGTGATAACTGAACTTTGGACAGTGATGTTAGGGAAGAAACAACATGCCTCAGCTCAGCTTCTCTAACTGTGGTGTTCAGGGAGGACTGACTTCCAAACGTGGCTGAATATTCAAAAGTGATTGACATGTCATCATCTGTGGTAGATTCTTTCCTAAGAAGATGGACACATCAATTCCTTCCATCCATTATACCCTTTGCAGTGTGACATTGCCATCTCTTTACGAAGAAGTGGGGCCTATCTTCCTTTCCTTGAGCCTCAGCAGGCCCTGGGACTGCCACTGATTCAAAGAATGTGACAGAAGGGAGGTTGTGGAACTTCTGTGTACAGGCCTTAAGAAACCCGGCAGCTTCCCTTTTTGTCCTCTGGACATGTAAAGAAATCCAAGCCATCTTGCTGGAGAGGGAGGCCATGGGGGAAAAGAAGCTCTGGGGGAGAAGAGAGGCCATGCAGAAGAGAACTGAGGACCCCAGCCAAAAGCCACACCAAAGCACTAGACATGTGAGTGGGGCCATCTTGGCTTCTCCAGCCCCAGTGGAGATCCGAGCCAACAAAGCATGGAGCAGAGAGGATCCATCTCCCCTTGCTTACGAGCCCCACCCAAATCTCTGACCCACAGAATTGTGCACAATAAAATTGATGATGTTTAAACCAGCTGAGTTGTGGAGTGGCTGCATGTTAACAGAAAACTCATCCACCCTCTCTTCCCACTTGGAAGAATTAGTCCCACAAATTGGGAAGTTCTGCCCAAATCTGGGACCGTCACAAGGATCGGAACATGCTTTGTGTCGTTTTCACTAGCTTCAGAGCATTTCTCTCAGCAGACTAAAACCAAAACTAAATGAGTTGAGTTGCTTTTCTGTAGGGCTGGGCCACGCTCTTCAAATTCACAACTGGTTTATTTCGTGCTGAAAACTGTTCCAGTGGCCCTTTGGGGGTCGGTGAGCAGCCCCAGTTTCCTGAGAGCCACTGGGTGCCGTTTTAGCAACCCTGAGTCTCTTCGACCTTTATTGATCTTCTTACAGAGTTTGACAAATGGCTGTTGACAGAAAATGTTTAAAATATGAGATTCAGTCTCTCACTGGGTATACCTCTGCAACAAAGTTTCTATTGGATATCAATGGGAACATTCAGGCCGCTGAACTCAGCATCCTAATCATTTCCCATATCCATATCAACACCTACACTCTGAAAGTGATCAGTTCTGCCCATTGGTCTCTATGGACTGAGGAGAACTTTCCAGCAGCTTAGGCATGTCCTCTCATTATCAAGTGATCAATAAATCATTTGCCTAGGTGCATTTTATGGTTGCCCAATACACAACAGCGTAATAAAAGTTTGAATTAGGTAATGCTCCTTTTTATTATCAGAAATGAATTACCTCATGGGGCCAGCAAATACACAAATGTAGCATGCCCTTCCACTAAGTGGAAGGCTTTTTCAATCAGCTTCCAACAAATGCAAAAGACAAAAACAAAGTAACTGCCTTCCAAAATTGCCTTGTATCAATATTATAGGTTTATTTTATTGGGAGCATTGTTGCTCTTCATTTAATAATAAACAATACCATAATTTCCACAGCAACCACGGCAAGCCATCAGAGTAATATTAAACATCAGTTCTAAACTTGCAATGTTTATTCCTAGTCCAGAATAGGAGGGTTTCTGCAGGGCATGGTGAAATGTTCACACTGGAGGAAACATCTGTTTTTGTTCCAAGTAGACCCTGGAATGCTGGTAAAATAGCACATTATGCTGATGAATATATGTAATGATACCAGCATCCATGTTTGCTGTAAAAAGGTATATCATACCAAGTGGTGGCATATTCCGGTAACTTTAAAGCGCATGTTTCATTTTTAATGTTTAAACAAAATTCCTCACATAATAATTAAATGCCTACTGCATGCAAAGGATGGTCTCCTGATTTTCTCGGTTTTTGGAGTCTGTTAAATAGGGCCAAGATACTCTGATACCCAGCCTGCGTGTCCCTCAAGGGTGAAGCCAGGTCTTCATCATTGCCCTGTCTCCAATGTCTGGCATTCAGTAGGCATTCAGTTAATGCTTACGAATGAACAAACACTTCTTGCTGACACAGAGGCAATGAAAGTGTAGGAAGTTTTCCTAGAGCAGGAGATCCATAAATTGAGTCTGAAAGGATGGGTAGAATTTAGTCCAGAAAGGGGAAATGAAAGGACACCCCAGGCAGAAACCAGCCAGGAAGGAGGCACGGACAGGAGAAGCTGGGAGTTGCGTGCTCTGATATTCTTGGGTTAGTTGAGGGTAAAAATGAAGCTGGGTAGAGAGGCACTAGCCAGGTCATGGAGGACCACAGGGGAGTCCTGCGGGGTTTTAAGCAGAGAAGGGTCTCAATCAGTTTGCTGATTTATAAAGATTATTCGGTTTTGGGATGGAGATGGAAACATGGGAGGTACAGCTAGAGCGAAGGAGAAAACTTAGGAGGCCAGTGGGCTTGTCTGTCCTGACACCTCACGACTGCTCCTGCAGGTGCACAGCACAGGCTGACCTCAGCACCATTTCCATCCCGTGGCCACTTGATCTCAACAAGGTCAAACAAAACCACTTAGGATCTTGAGACATCTCAAGTCCTGAATGCCGTGTTTAGAGAGAGCACATTGTTTCAGAATACAGTGGCATGCTCTACTCCCACTCCCCTCCTATCCTCCTATTAGTGGGCACAGCTGAGTGATTGCTCAGGGTGGACAAAAGGGATGAAGTGTCACCATCTCTCTATTAGCTTCAAAACATTTCTTAGGATAATCCTTCCTTGGAGTTCAAGGAGTCCCTCCCATCTTCAGCCAATGTTGGGAGGACAAATCTTAAATGGTTGCATTTGCCGAAAACTTGCTTTACACCTAATGGAAAAAGGCCACATCCTTCCCTGATGATTACCATTAGAGATGGATCCAAAAACCGCAGGCAGTCAGGTTCACAGACTTTCCCAGCCAGAGCACACCATGAACCCACTTAAGTGCCAGGCACTGTTTTCAAGGTGCTTTCAAGAGCACTGGATAGGTTTTGGAAAAGAAAAGCCCAAACCTTATACTATTTTGTAAGCATCCGAAACTGCTTACCTAATGCAGGCCCCTCCTAGACTGGTCTGTGAAAATAATAGGACATTTCAGAAGAAATAGTTAAGAAATCAGAATTACTCAGAGTAGATGAGAAAAAATGTCAGCAAGGACTCACGGACTCCTCTGAACCCAGGTGGTTGATCCATATAGAAAATGGAGCCTAAGTGGTTTGCCAGCTCTATCTGAAGCTCAGAAAAAGAAACATGCTTGCTTTTTATCAAGAGAGTTTAATTTGGACAGAGGAAATTTTACTGATTTAACAACTGAGGGGTTGTTAGGGACTGAAATGGATTACGGAAAAACTGCCTTCAAATTCATTCCTCAGCAAATACTTACTAAGCACCCACTGTGTGCTGAGTGCTGTTCAGTGCTGCATGAATTTACTGATGAATAAAACAAAGATTCCTGCCTAACTGGAGCTTACAGTCCATCATGGGGACTAAGGGAGACCAACCAATGAGGCTTGATTACTGAGCTGCCTGAGCCACATGGGTAAAATATAGTGGGGGCACAGTGGATTAGCACGGTGTAGGGACAGTGGAGTAGGTACATCCCAGTGTGGGAGCAGTGAGCACAGTGCAGGGTGGGTGCAATGATGCGTAGGAACAGTGCTGTGTGGGACAGTGGGTACAGCACAGCACAGGGAGGGTGCATCACAGTGCAGTGCGGGTACAGTGCAGTGTGTGGACAGTGCAGTGTGGATACATCACTGTGTGGGTATAGTACAGTATGAGTACAGCACAGCGTATGTACATTGCAGTGTGGATGCACTGAATACAGCACAGTATGGGTACAGTGCAGCGTGGGTACAGAGCAGTATGGATACAGTGTAATGTGTGGACAGTGCAGAGTGTGTACTGTGCAGTGTGTGGACAGGGCAGTGTGGATACATCACAGTGTGAGTGCAGTAAAGTTTAGGCACAGCACAGTGTGTTTACAGTGCAGTATGTGTACAGTGCAGTGTGTGTGTGCAGTGCAATGTGTGTACAGTGTAGTGTGTGTGCTGTGCAGTGTGTGTACTGTACAGTGTGTGTGTACAGTACAGTGTGTGGGCAGTGCAGTGTGTGCGTACAATGCAGCATGTGTCCAGTGCACTGTGTGTAGTGCAGTGTGTCTATAGTACAGTGTGTGTGCAGTGCAGTGTGTGTGCTGTGCAGTGTATGTACAGTGCAGTGTGTGTAAGTACAGTGTGTTTACAGCACAGTGTGTGTGAAGTGCAGTGTGTGTGCAGTGCAGTGTGTGTAGAGTACAGTGTCTGTGCAGTGCAGCGTGTGTGCAGTGCAGTGTGTGTACAGAACAGTGTGTGTGCAGTGCAGTGTATGTACTATGCAGTGTGTGTACTGTGCAGTGTGTGTACTGTGCAGTGTGTGTGCAGTGCAGTGTGTGTGCAGTGCAGTGTGTGTACTATACAGCATGTGTGTTGTGCAGTATGGGTATAGTGCTGTGTGTGCTGTGCAGGATGGGTATAGTGCAGTGTGTGTACTGTGCAGTGTGTGTACTGTACAGTGTGTGTGTACAGTACAGTGTGTGGGCAGTGCAGTGTGTGCATACAATGCAGCATGTGTCCAGTGCAGTGTGTGTAGTGCAGTGTGTCTATAGTACAGTGTGTGTGCAGTGCAGTGTGTGTACAGAACGGTGTGTGTGCAGTGCGGTGTGTGTAAGTACAGTGTTTACAGTACAGTGTGTGTGAAGTGCAGTGTGTATGCTGTACAGTGTGTGTGCTGTGCAGAATGGGTATAGTGCAGTATGGGTACTGTGCAGTGTGTGTGCTGTGCAGTATGGTATAGTGCCTTGTGTGTACTGTGCACTGTGTGTGCTGTGCAGTATGAGTATAGTGAAGTGTGGGTACTGTGCACTCTGTGTGCTGTGCAGTGTGTGTTCTGTGCAGCATGGGTATAGTGCAGTGTGGGTACAGTGGGTACAGTCAGGTAATTGCATCACTTTGAGGGGGGCAGGGTTTTCACTTGGGAGAGACTGCTGTGTGAGTAAAGGGTTTGGCTGGGCTAACAGTTATTCCTAGGAGGCTCGGGCAGAGACTTTGCATTTAGACAAGAACAGGACATGAAGAATTCTGCAGCCCATGCCAGGGAGTCTGCCCTGAATCCTGGAGAGGAACAGAAACATCTTCTTCTGTAGACTGTGGACAAATTAATGAAATCCCTAGTTACTCACTGCTTGCTGCTTAGCTGAGGCTAGCTCAGTACTGGGGGAGAGCCTTATCTAATAATCAGAACCTGTTAGAAACTTGGTCCTCAAATCCCTCGTCTCCAGTATGAATCAAAACTCCTAGCTCTGCCTTTCTCTGGATGTCTAACAATTGCTTCACCCAAGCTCGTAGAGAGCTTGAGGGAGGCCCTATCTCAGCAGGGGCAGTTTATCCACATCCCTGCTAATCCACCCTACAAGTGATTGGATTAAGCCTTCTTCACACTCAGCCTCTCAAAACAGAAGCCTGGTTTTAAGGGCACAGTGGATAACAGAAGCACGGTGTGGCTTAGAAGTTCTCCAACTTGCAATCCTCAGTCCTCAAGGTGATGCAGTTTATAGCCAGGGCTCCCTGCTTTGTGATCTCCTTGGAGCAGACACAGTAGCTGCATAAGACTGAGTTTGTCCCCAGTTGGCGCTGGCAGTCTGGCCTCTGCTGAACCTCCCAGCTGTTTATACTGCAAAGGGATATCAGAGCTGGGTCAGGCTCTACTGGGGTTTCCAAGGATGGTCAAGAAGCAACTATATTCACCTCACCCTCTTGGCTGGGCTCAGTAACACTGATTTTCATCCCTTGCTTCTTGATGTCAGAGGTGGGGGACAGTCCCCAGAAGATCGGCACTTCTATTCTTCATAATCATAAACCCCCTTATATTCTTCACAGATTCCCAAAGGGATGTATGGGGTGGCATTATTTTCCTTTCACACACATTCACCTAATGTAAGGCCCCCCAAGGAATCTCCCAACCCCTGAGGTTCTTCATTATTTTCTTTTACAGTAACCAGGACATGCTCCCATTTGGAAGTTAAAAAAAAAAATGTAATTTCAAATAATAGCAGATACCAAAAGATGATATAAAGAATACAGCAATGAAACACATCGCTTCATTTTATCCCTCTACAATGTGGTGACACAGTCACAGATGAAGATAAAATAGTTCAGGGGTCAGCAAATTTTTTCTATAAAGGGGCAGGGATGAAATATTTTAAGCTTTGTGAGCCAGAAGGTCTCTGTTGAAACTACTCCACTCTGCCATTATAGCATAAAAACACCATAGACAATATATAAATAGGGTGTAGCTGTGATCCTGTAAATGTTTATTTACAAAAACTGGTGGTAGGCCATGTGTGGCTTGCAAGCAGTAGTTGGCCAAGCAACAGCTTGATGTACTACAGAGAGACAGAGTGGGGTAAAAAAGAGGACAAAGCCTTCAGGAACAGCAAAATTTAAAGCATCAGGAGTACAGAACGGTGAAAGCCTGATTATAGTGGGCTAAAGAGTCATGAATATATGTATATGCATATGTATAGGTACATACATACACACATAAAATATGTGTGTATACATACATATATGTATAGATATGTGTGTATATATACATATATGTATAGATATGTATGTGCACATATGCACACACATATATTTCTTTCCGTGTGTTTTTATGTATATATCATACATATGCACTTCAGGATTTCCATTTCTTGTAGTTAAAAAGATTGTGTCTATTGAATTTCTGTTTCTTGCTTTTTCCTATTGAAAAAGCAATTCTGGATGAAATAATGCATCTCTGACCTGCATAGGGAGGAAGAAATCTTCAGAAGAACATGGAAACAAGAGTGAAAGGAGGCGCCATGAGTATTTACATCAACCACGGAAAACAATGAGATCTCTCTTTGTCAGCTGCATGGTACCCAGGGAAAGAGAGGTAAAGCCCCAGCCCAAGCAAGGTAGGAAACCGAAGAGGAGGCCCCCACTGTGTTAATTACATGCCAATAACCTTAGGTGCTCCACTGCTGAAAGGACACACAAGACTCAGTTTATACTCAAAGAACAGCTTTATCAGAAAGAACCAGCACAGCAGCAGAAGCAGAAGGACGTGAATTGAAGGGGCCAGGGGACCACAGGCCACAGCTTCTTTGTCTTACCACAGCTGGGTCTTATAGGAGAGCTTGGTCTCCAGGTTTCTAGCAAGCACTGGTGTGTGTCTGTGTGTGTGTGTGTGTGTGTGTCCATGGGCCTTGTGTGTATATGTTTATGTGTGTAAAGCACCTTGGTACCAGGAAGCCTGTTCATGGTGCGGGTCTCTCATAGACACCTTCTAGCTATGTGACCAGCCTTAACCATTAAAATCCATGCCCCATCTCCAGCCTCCACCAAAACCAGGAACAAATCAGAAACACAAATATTATTGCTAAACAATGCTGGCAGACTGCTACCTTCTGCTCTGAAACAACTCCCTGATCTATAATTACAGAGCACTGTTTATCTTTAGTGAACTCACTCCAAAACCTTGGCCAAGGATCTGAAGCTCAGGAGATAAGCATGTGTCTGTACAGCCCAGTGGGTGAACCCCTGCTACTCGCCACATCAAACTGGGGATCCTGGATGTCAGGAATACCTCTGTGGTCCAAGAGACCTCAAGAGCTAATTTGACTTAATGTGGTCCCAAATCGGTAGTGCCCAGAGATAACAGGCAGAAACAAACAAATCCTTTATGGACAAACTCAACTTCAACCAGGGCCTCAAAGGACTCACACAGATAAAGTTCTAGGGAAAATGGACAGCTCACAGACAAGCTGCCACAAGCAGAGACAGCAGAGAGCAGGACCAGAACCATAAAATCTTCAGATATTGCAGTTATCAGCCTCACAGTGTAAAATAACTATTGTTCATGTTTAAAGAAATAAGAGAAATTTGAACATACAAAAAAGGAATCAGATACTGTAAGGAATGGTCAAAATGATTTTAAAAAACAAATAAAACTTCTCAAAATGAAAACTATAATATAGTCAATGTGTCATTTAGCAAAGGGGATACATTCTGAGAAACACATTGTTAGGTGATTTTCACATTGTGCAAACATCATAGTGTACACTTACACAAATCTAGACGGGGTAGCCTACTACACACCTAGACTCTGTAGTACAGCCTACTGCTCCTAGGCTACAAACCTGTGCAGCAGGTTACTGTACTGAATACTGTAGGCAATTATAACACAAGGGTAAGTACTTGTGTATCTAAACAGAGAAAACGTACAACAAAAATGCAGTATCATAATTTTACGGGACCATCGCTGAATATGTGTTTCATCACTGACTGAAACTGAAATGTCATTATGCTGCACATGACTATATTTGAAATGTTTTAAAATGAATTAAACAAAAGCTCTAACACATCGAAAAAAAGAGAACAAGTGAAGAGATAGAATGAAATTGTTCATTATTTAGCCCAAAGGTACAAAGAGATGAACCAAATAGAGGAGGGAGGTTCTCTGGGCCAGTGAATGATAAAGCCAGGACCCACTCGAGCCGTTGCCTCCAGGTTGGCTCAGTTTGCTAGATCTTCTGTTTTGTTTTGTTGGTTTTAATGAGAAAACAGAAATATGGCTTTTTTCTGTGAAATCTTGATGGTTAAATGTTGGAAACTAACTCAACTGAAACAAACAGGTGGGTCTGTAGGCATGAGCAGCCAATCGGTGACCTTGGCTTTATGGTGCAGAGGACAGCAAGAAAGAGGTCAAACTCTAAGAAAAGACAGAGGTAAACAGTGGCGGGAGATCATCACAGGCCAGGAGGGATGTGGCTCCAGGTCCCCGTGGAATGGGCTGAGCCACGGACATTAAGGGTAGCTGCTTTTCCTCTGACAGGAGGGACAGAGGTGCACAGAGGTGGAAGTTAGTTTGGTGTATCCCAATCAGCTTGAGGAGGTTACCAAGACCCTGATATTCTATGAGCAAACTGCTCTTGATCTTTATGCCAAAGACATTCTGGTCAAAGAGTTTCTATAAAAGCAAACTGAATCTTCATTCACAGCACTAGGACAGTAAACATACTAATTAAATAAAACACTGGCATGCTGGACATCAGAGCTGTTGGAAAAAAATCTCAGAAACATAGTTTCTTCTGCTGCCAGGCAGGAGATTAATTTTGTTTAACAAAAATTAAACAAGGGGAAATTATCCCTAAATATTCACCAAGGATGAAGAGATATTCTGGAACAATGTAACAAGGAAATACCTTTCATGATGCTGATTTCTGAAGGAAGACTCCCTACAGTCTAAGAAGTGAGAGAACAAGCAAGTGGCAAGCAAAGTAAGAAGAAAGAAGGGGGTAAAGGGAAGAGAATAGAGAAAATACCATCGGATGTTTTGAAAGCCACTAAAAAGCAGCAAGGTGGATTCTAAATCACAAGTAAAAAAGTGACATTGTTCACTGAAGTCCTCAAGAATTTCCAGACAACCTGGCATAACAGCAGAAACCAGGAGGTCTGTGTTTTCAGGCCTTTGTGGACGGTCTCCTTGCTGCTCTCTGTATGTAGAAAACTGAGCCTAGGGGCCAAAAATAAGAGCTCAACAAAGGTGATTTCTCTTTTCAGCCTAGACCTGCCTACATATGGGTGTTTTTTTGTTTTGTGTTTTTTTGTTTTTTGTTTTTTTGTTCTTAGGACGTTTTTGTGCCCATTCTCAGCAGTTACTAACCACCCTTTTCTGTTGCTTCAAAGAACCAACACTCCATACAAAGAGGCTGTGTGCTGTGCTACAGTCTTAAACTTAAGATGGGAGGGCATATTTGATTAAGATCTATGTAAATTCCACCCACCAACAGAGTGAATTTTCCTTTGCTTTGAAAATACAGTTTGCCGGCCGGGCGCGGTGGCTCACTCCTATAATCCCAGCACTTTGGGAGGCCGAGGCGGGCTGATCACGAGGTCAGGAGATCGAGATCATCCTGGCTAACATGGTGAAACCCCGTCTCTACTAAAAATACAAAAATTTAGCCGGGCGTGGTGGCGGGCACCAGTAGTCCCAGCTACTCCAGAGACTGAGGCAGGAGAATGGCGTGAAAAAACCTGGGAGGCGGAGCTTGCAGTGAGCGGAGATCGCGCCACTGCATTCCAGCGTGGGCGACAGAGTGAGACTCTGTCTCAAAAAAAAAAAAAAAAAAAAAATACAGTTTGCCTATGTCTGTATTTGTGTTTCTACAAGCAGCAAGGTCTTCACTTGTTTTCAATCACCATTTTATATTCAAGCTTTCTCATTCTAAATTCCTCTTTGGAAAAGTAATGTCTCCCCCAACAGATACCGGCATTTACAGAAAAAAAAAAATCAAAAAATAACTTTGTTTGTACCTTGTGTTCTGTAAGTGAGATGTTTTCAAGAGCATCACTAAGCCAAGGTCCAATTCTTGCAATTTATCTTGAATATTGCCTTGGCTACAGTTTTGAATTATATTTTGCCTGCAAAATTATTAGGCAGCTTTCTCTAAAATCCAACTATATGTAAGTAGTATTTTTAACACATGTAAACAGTGTATAATACGGAAATCATTTTCATGTTAATCTCTCTGTCACATTAAGACAAAAAATGTAGATGGCCTTTTTCCCCCTCTGAGAAGTCTTGTGACTGAATTTTCCAGAGGGACACTTCCTGAGCCTTTCTGTGCATAGAAACTAGGTGGGGATCTCATTAAAATGCAGAGTCTGATTCAGTAGTTCTAGGGTAGAGCAAAGATTCTGCATTTCTAACAAACTCCCAGGAGAGACCAATGCTACTGGTTCAAGGACCACATTTGGAGAAGCAAAGAGACCAAAGCAGTGGTTCTCAGCCTTGGCTTCACAGGTAACTCTTCCAAGGAGCTGGAAAAGCACAGTTGCCCAGGTCCCACCACAGAGATTCCAATATCTGGTCTAGAGGGTGGCCTGCCTATTAGAAGTATGTAAAAGCACCCTCAGGGGACTGGAGACAGTGGCTCATGCCTGTAATGCCAGCACTTTGGGGCCAAGGAGGGAGGATTGCCTGAGTCCAGGAGTTTAAGCCCAGATTGGGCAACATGGTGAGATCCTATCTCTACAGAAAAATCTTTAAAATTAGCTGGGCGTGGTGGTGTGCACCTGTAGTTCCAGCTACTCAGGAGGCTGTAGCAGGAGGATCACTTGAGCCCAGGAGTTCAAGGCTGCAGTGAGCTATGATTGCATCTCTGGGCAACAGAGCAAGATCCTATCTCTTTAAAAAAAAACAAAAAAGCACCCAGGTTATCCCAAAGTGCAGCTCAGGTGACAAATCAATGGTCTAAGGCAAGGTCCAACTGACAGATGTTTCACATCCTTGACTGTGAGCTTCTGCAAGGCAGGGTTTGTAGTTCTGACATCTCTTTCTCCTGGAAGGCTTTATACAGAGACTATTAAGGAATCACAGCACTGTTAGCAATGTTATCCACGTGCTTAAAATTAAACACAACCCCTATGAGGTAAATTATCAGGATCCCTTTACCACTTACATTGGGACCAGCACATTTGAGTCAGTGGCTCCTGCTGACACAATCTGAGTCAGTGGCTCCCTCTGACACAATCTGAGTGGTCCAATATGAGAGTTTTTATAGCCTTGTATCATTGATCTCCTTTAAGGGTCACACTCAAAAACTAAGAAGAAGATATAATCTGTATTCTCCATATAGAAGGCTAAGGCCAAGATAGAGTAAATATTTAGGTGATTAAGGGCTCATCTAGGGCTGTGTTTCCCAGAGGAAAGCAGTATTCTATCTCCATTTTATAGAACAGCATAAGCACACTAAATACTTTGGCAAAGTCTTAAGATAAGAACTTACATTCCTGAGGATTTTATGGGCAGCATGTGGTTGTCAAAGAGTCCCAAGCTACAACCCAGGTGATATCAAAGATGGGTCATCAAGATTATATCTCTCCCTGACTTAATGACCCACCAAGGTGCCCTCAGATCTGCAGAGACCCACCCATAACCACAGGTACTGTGTGACTATCAAGGTTCCAAAATATGTTGAAAGGAAGACAAATACAATAAAAGAAATGCATTGTGAAAAATGATTGAAGAAAGAGATGCTAAAGTCAGATCACTCCTTGGACAAATTTTCAAAACCCTCCAGGTTTCTATTTCCCTGGTTTGAAACTGGTAATAGTGATACTCCTTCACTAATTCACTTTTAGAAACCTATAGGTCTATAATTATAACTCATCATGTTACTATCTATTGGCAACTGGAGCCTAGATTGTGGTAAATTTTTAGAATATAGTTGAACTTCTGTATAAAACATCATCCGTTTCCTCCACTTATTTTTCTCTCCTCTCTGTGACCTCTAGGGAAGACTCCATAAGTACTATTGAATAATGAGATGAACTTGAAGACAACTGTCTGTCCATTTATGCTGCTATTAAAAAATACCTGAGACTAGGTAATTAAAAAAAAACAGAAATTTATTTCCTCATAGTTCTAGAGGCTGAGAAGTTCAAGTTCAAGGCACCAACAGGTCCAGTGTCTGGTGAAGGTTGCTTCCCCACAGATGGCTTCATCTGGGTGTCCTCACATGGCAGCAGGAATAGAAGGGGGAAAGGCAGATGAACACTGTGTCCTCACTTGGTGGAAGAGAACAAATCCACTCCCTCAAGCGCTTTGATAAGGGCCATGATTCCATCCATGAGGGCTCCATCCTCATGATCTAGTCACCTCCTAAAGGCCTCGCCTCTTAATACTATCACTTGGTGATTAGGTTTCAATATATGAATTCTGGGGAACATATTCAGACTGCAGCAACAACAAAGGAGAACTCTAAGGGCCAGATTCCTCTGGGTAAGAAGGACTCCAGGGCTTACTCTCATGGCACGTTTCCCACTGCATACATCCTATTCTGACACATTGATATGTTTTTAGTAAAACATGCCATTGCAAAAGGATTGCTTCAATGAAGAGTTCAAATCCAGGGCTCATTGCAAAGGCCAAGTTTAAACCAGTCATCACTAGCATGCAAATACAGACGGGGATCACAATGTCAGGGTAACTGCAGCTTGCATTTAGACCTCAGCAAATCTATTTTGCATATTTCTGAGACTTCCAAGGGGATTCTGATATATGTTCAATTGTCCCAAAGGGCACTTCTGCGGCCCTGCCAGATCTCACTCTCCTCTAACATTAAGCCACTAAGTACTGTAGATTTGCAATGTTGCTGATAGGCACCAGGTTAATTGTATATTAGAGAGATCCCTAGGCAGGGTTGCTTGAGACCCAGTGTCATTCAGTACTTCAATCTCTTTATAGAGAGCCCAGGCACTCAGGGGTCTTCTGTCTCATACAAACCAAATTTGAGTCCCAGCTCCCACATATATTCACAATGTCTAGTTCCCTCCCACATCATCTACGACTCCTGAAGCCCTTTTACATAATGAGTTTTCTTCCAGGAGACGCTGCCAAACAAATAAATGTCAGTTGAACTCTCGCACCAGTCCACCAGCCATGCTCAAGCCTTCTGGACACAAGCAGTGGGCACAACTGAGACTGAGGCAAAGATCAGTAAAAGAAAGGTGTTCTGCCATAGATCCAAGGAGACAAATGGAGAAAATGCCATTTTTTACTTAAGTCCCCTTTTTCAAAACCAACAAACATAACATTTCTACAACAATAGGAATCTACCATGTGGTGGTGTCATAGATGTTGTTGGGATCAGAATCAACTTGCCAAATGGGAAAGCCCAAATCAAATTATTATTCAAGTAAACAAACTGAAAATGAAGGCATTCCCAGACGCTTTTGACAAGGGGCAAATGGACTACTAAATCAACCATTTCATAAATAAATCAGCAAAATGCATTATGTAACACTCACATTAATGACACACACCAGATTGCCAAGATTCTTCATCAAATCTTTTCAATCTGGGTCCTTATATTGTGAAAGGGTCGATTCTTATGGAGAGCTCATAACACTAAGCAAGTCTCTCCATTGATGTTTCTGCCATCACCAAATGTTTTCCTTCTGATCTGTCTCCAGGCCTGACATTTTTGCAAATTAAACTGGATTACATTATCCATGATGGCGTAAATTCAATTATCCAAATAACTAACCAGCCAGCTCCATGACTAAATTATCCACCTGCTGCCTTGAACTTTTTGGGATTGATAATGTGCTGGTTTCATTTCTATTTTGAAAAGTAAAAGTGGATCTGAATTTCTCTTGGAAAAGAACCTAAGAATGGTGTTCCCTTCTTATGTATTTATTTAATTTTTTTGTAGAGATGGTTCTTGCTATGTTGCCCAGGCTGGCCTCGAACTCCTGGCCTCAAGTAATCCTCGTGCCTTGGCTCCCAAAGTGCTGGGATTACAGGCGTGAACCATTGTAGTCCTTTCCTCTTAAACATTATTTTACAGATACATGATCACACCCTTACTGTAAAAGAGTCAAACAATGTAGGGGTGATTAAAAGCAAGGACTGAGTGTCCCTCTTCATTTCCCTACTCCTCCCCTCCTCCCGGTGTCATTCTTCCAGTCTGCTTTTTTGGCAGTTTATTTAGGTTTCCAGTTTAACACAATCTCAAACAATGTCAGAATAGACATGCTTACCTTTGTGCATATCCTGAGGTCATAAGAAAGTCATCTTTTTATTAATAAAAATACTGTCATATCACCCAAAAGACTTTGTAGGTTTATAGTCCCTCTAACAATGTATAGAAGTGCCTTTTCCCTTCACACTCAACACTTCATACCATACTTCGTATTATACATCTTTTACCTTTGCCACATGATAGGTCAAAACAACTCATTATTTGTACTTCCATTTTTAAGGTTGTAACAAAAAAAAATCCAAGATGAAAAAGTGCCAAAATATGTTGGTAAAAAAATTTTAACTAATAAATAAAAAGTCAATTTTCCAGCAACTGCTGAATGAAAGCAAGACATGAGAGAAATATATTTTCAAGTTCCTATTTGAATAAAAGAATAAAAAAGTAGAGAGAGATTTTTTAGAGTTGAGAGCAACTCTGAAGAGTGTTTAAAGATGAGAGAATTGAACCATTTGGGCCTAGACATTTTGATTATCAT
Organism: Homo sapiens; assembly: GCF_000001405.40. Classification (NCBI taxonomy): domain Eukaryota; kingdom Metazoa; phylum Chordata; class Mammalia; order Primates; family Hominidae; genus Homo; species Homo sapiens. Next base: position 16,199,181 of record NC_000020.11, read on the forward strand.
ATAAGTTTTTATTGCTACCTTAACAGATAACCACAGATTTGGTGGCTTAGAGAAGCACAGACCAATTGTCTTACAGTTTGGTAGGTCAGAAGTCCCGCAGGGGTCTCACCAGGCTGAAATTAGGATGTCAGCAGGCTGTATTTCTTTCTGGAGTCTCTCAGGGAGCATTGGTTTCCTGCTCATTGGGGTTGTTGGCAGAATTTAGTTTCTTGTGGTTGTAGGACTGTGGTCTCCATTTGCTTGTTGACTGTAAGCTGAGGGCCATCCCCACCTTCTAGAGACTACTGCATCCCTTGGCTCAGGCCCCCTTCCCACATCTTCAAACCAGCAATATGGGTTGGGTTCTTCCCACATCACATCTCTCCAATCCACTCTTCCCCCTTTTCCTCTTTTAAGAGTGATTGTGATTACATTGGGCCCACCTGGGTAATCCATGCTAGTCTTTCTATTTTAAGGTCAGCTTCTTAGCAACCTTATTCCCTTTTGCCATGAAACATAACATATCCAAATGTTCTAGGGATTGGGGTACCTTTGGGGTGACAGATTGATCATCACCCTTTAAGGTGATGGAATGTTCACGGAAGCCCCAAGGAATGATATACTTTGTGTTTTATTGGCTTTTGCCTCTAATGATTGAATTTTTAAAAAGGAAAATATTAATAAAAAAGAAAATTAATTCTGACCCTCCTCAAAGCTCTTAAGGTAATTTTGGAAGCCCCTCATCCTGATTCAGTCAGCTACCACATGGAGGCTGCCATCTCTTTCCTTTTCTCTTTCTTTAGGCTCCCTTCCCTAACTGCGAGGCACCGGACATCATTGTGACTTCACAGTGGTCTTCCAATGTGCTGCAGTCATGCCCAGCTTTCTCTTGAGAGAAAGCAGGGGACATAGCCCACACCTCAATCTGTGGCACACTTTACTGCCTGGGTACCCCAGCAGCCCTGCCACCACTGCTGGGTCTCCCCAGGTCTCATGCTTCTTGTGAGTCTTGGGAGGAGATGAGTGATATATAGGGGTCCCTTCACCCATCTCCTTGCTCCTTTGGGAGGGGGGTGGGATGCTCAGTGAAACTGACACTGGGCAGGACACAGCTCATCAGACATGTCCAGAGGGGTCTGATTCTTATAAGTATGTACACACATACTGCACACATATGTATATGTGTGTAAATGTGTGTCTCTGTATATGTGTATACCTATGTGCACACACATATGTGATAGGCAGATACACACACAGTGAAACAAATAATCTGCTTTTCTCCCAAGGAGTTCAAATACTATATTTATTATATTATTTATTATAAATTGGTCTTGTAGGAGCCCATATAAAACAACAAATAGTCTCATTTGCCAGACTGCAACATTTAGACCTAAGAATAAAGGTATTTTTCTCAAGTTCATCAGGACAGCTATAGCCATCAACCCTGGTACATGGCAGTCCTGGCCAGAAATAGGCCATCATCATGCTCTAACCTATACCACAGCATTAGAGTTACTAAGACATTATTTTAGGCAGATAGAGAGGAAAAGGGATCCTTGGGAAGTTTTGGTTTCTTTTAAAGCAGCTCCAGAAACGTTTCTTGTCTTCAGGACAACGTTTCCTTGGCTTCAGGAAAGCCCCAGCACTAAGAGCTGGGCTGCAAGCTTTTTTTTTTTTTTTTTTTTTGAGATGGAGTCTGGCTCTGTCGCCCAGGCTGGAGTTGCAGTGGCGCGATCCAGGCTCACTGCAAGCTCCACCTCCCAAGTTCACGCCATTCTTCTGCCTCAGCCTTCCGAGTAGCTGGGACTACAGGCGCCTGCCACCACGCCTAGCTAATTTTTTTTTTTTTTTTTTTTTTTTTTTTTTTGTATTTTTAGTAGAGACGTGGTTTCACCGTGTTAGCCAGGATGGTCGGATCTCCTGACCTCATGATCTGCCTGCCTCCGCCTCCCAAAGTGCTGGGATTACAGGCGTGAGCCACCACCCCCAGCCAGGGCCAGCAAGCTTTAATGTGCAAATGCAGGCCATTAGAAACTGGGTCCAGCCAAATATGGCGGTTCCTGCATCTTCTTCTTGCCCCCACATGTGCCTGGTAACATGGCTGCCCCCACAAATACCCAGTGTATAGAACAAAATGGCAACCTGATTTTGCATATTGAAAGGCTAGGATGGGAGGGCCAGTTTTTTCACAGGCTACGTGAATGACATGCCTGGTCAAACCAATCCCCTGAGTCCTATGCAAATCAGACACCACCTCCTCTAGCTTCCTCATATAACTGGCTGTTTTCTGTGGCACTCAGGGTTTCCTCTCTGGGCTTGGAGCCCCTCTCCCTCTGTCTCTGTGCAGGGGAGCTTCTTCCTTCTTTCTTGCCTATTAAACTCTGTGCTCCTTAAACCACTCCACGTGTGTCTGTTGTTTTGTATAAATCGACATGAGACCAAGGACCCTGGTGTTCGTCTGTTCATCAGAGTTGTATCAACAGCAAGATTTAGACACTGGCTGAGATGCCTCCATTCCTAATTGTCTTTCAAACGTGGAACCAGGAAAAAGCTATGGAAATGACAAAGCACCTATGGGTGTGCCTAACTTTCGTTTTCCTAACAAACATTATCATCTCAAAAATGGCATAGGTTTCCATGTGGCATAAATGCTGGGACATTCAGTCTGGGGATGATCCTCCAGATATGGGCATCTTGGCCAGAAACCTACTTTGACCCCTGTCCTACTGTGTGCACCGTGATAGAAAACTAACTAAAATGCTATATTTACACTCAAAACTTTTATTTGACTCACTAAAGAAAAGAAGTTGACTTGATCAACTCAGAATCCTGCAAAATGGAGGGACCACGTAGAATCATTGATGGTGCTTTCATGGTTATCTAATTCAATGCCTTATTTCACAGAAACAGAAAGTAAAAGTCAACAAGAGGTAATGACTTGCTCAAGGTTATGCACCTCGTTCTTATCAAAGCTGGATCGCCAAACTCCCAGTGACTCCATTCTCCTCTGTGCTGTGCTGCATCTCTGTCACTCATGGATCACTAATAGTCAAAGAATGAAATTAGCAGGCTTCTGATTAAAGATGACACACATACTATGTTCATTTGCTTGACCATAGTAAGCATTTACTATGTATATGTATGTCAAACCATCAAGCTGTAAATCTTAAATATATAGAATTTTTATGGAAAAAAAGGATGGTACATGGAGTGTACTCCTTTAGATCCCTTTCCTCCCCAAACTGAAACAGAAAGGAAATAAGATAATTCAACAGAAACAAAATGTAGGAATCTTGAAAGCAGATGAGTTGATGTTAATTAAATCTACAAATCTGAATCCTTAGCCAAAGAGAACCTGAAATATATCACAGTACTCCCCAAAGTTTCAAGAATTGTTTGCATCAAGTGCCTTTGGAATGGGAGCTATTAGTGGAACATAGAAAAGGAGAATTCGTTGAAAGTCTGCTTAAGAGGCTATTAGAACCCAGGTCTAACTCTAACTCTTTTATATGTGATACAGCAAAGCCAGTGGCCCTCCCTCACTGCAAGTGAAGAATGGTAGCAGGTAAGTGAGAATTAGGGTTTGTATATGTTGAATAACAGTCTTGATTGCAGAACCAAGGGCTGATGAGTCTGACAAGATCAAGTGTCGAGTAGCCATAAGTAATCGTATTAAAACTGTTTTCTTCCATATTTTTCGGGTGTCAACTCCCAAAGTAAACACAAGACTCACAAACAGTGAAAACCAGAGCTGCCCCTGCTGTAGATGCACACCAGGCAGGACACTAATGGAATCTTAGGTCATCCCTCTTCTCATGGTGACTTTGAGTTAATCAGAGATTACCTTGGTAAACCTGACTCAGCCAGAGGGAACTTTATAAGAAGATGAAACACCAAAGAGACATTCTCCTGCTGAACCGAGAGAAAGTAGAGAGGCCTGTTGTGAATTATAGGTGGGGGCCATGTGGCAAGGATCTGCAGGAGGCCTCTAGGTACTGAAAGTGGTCCCCAGTTGATATCTAGCAAGGAGGCTATACAGTCATACAGGATATAGTCAGTCATGCAACCAAAAAGAAATGAATTCTGTCAACAACCAGTGAGCTTGGAAGAGAACCCTGAGCCTGAGACAAGAATCATGGCCCTGGCCAACACCTGGACTTCAGCCCAATAAAACTTGGAGCAGAGAAATCAGCCAACACATACCCAGACTCTTGAACCATGGAAACTGAGAAAATGAATTTATGTTGTTTGAAGTCACTAAGTTTGTGGTAATTTGTTAAATTGCAATGGAAACCATTACCTCTGGGCAGTATCAGTGGAAAAAAGTGGTCAAATATATATATGGCAGAAGTAGGCCACAGGCCAAGTATACTGCTACTTTAGCAGGAGTGAATTTTTCATTTTATGTTCTCCACATTTATCCTCCCATGTCTTCGTTTTGTTTAGTTTTTTTTATAGATACGTAATATTTTACATACTTATGGGGCACATGTGAGAGTTTTTAACACACATAGAGTGTGTCCTAATCAAGTCAGGGTGTTATTGTATTCATCACCTTGAGTATTGATCATTTCTATGTGTTGGTACCATTTATTTATTTATTCATTTATTTATTTATTTTGAGACAGAGTCTCGGGCTGGAGTGCAGTGGTGCAATTACGGCTCACAGCAGCCTCGATCTCCCAGGCTTAAGTGATCCTTTCACCTCAGCTTTTCAAGCAGCTGGGACTAGAGGTGCTCACCACCACACCCGGCTAATCTTTGTATTTTTCATAGAGATGGGGTTTTGCCATGTTGCCCAGGCTGGTCTCAAACTCCTAGGCTCAAGCAATCCTCCTGCCTCAGCCTCCCAAACTGCTGGGATTACAGGCATGAGCCACCTCGCCCAGCAGGTACTATTTGAAGTCCTCTCTTTTAGCTACTTTGATATATACAACATAGTGTTGTGAACCTCACTTCTAATTGGAGAGCAGACTATATTTCCCATTTTCCTGACTCAATTTGGAACAGGCTTTGAAACTTACTCATCTCACTCAGGATGGGGAAGGTCCAGACCAGACTCTTGTCCCATGGGCTCCTAGGAGGGGGTGGGCTGGGTCAAAAGTGACCAGACTAAAGGCAGAATGTTCTATACAACATGATCCTAAATGGAAGTGGCCAGAAATATGACTCAGAACAAATATCCAAGAGAGAAAAGTCAAAAGCAGGAGAACAAAACTTAGAGCCCTGATTACAGACAGGGCTAAAGCCAGGAAGCAAAAACAGAGACCGAAAGCAAAGAAAGCCTTGTGTTGTTTCTAGGTAGAGCCGTGGCGCAGTGGACACCTTGGAGGTCAGCAGGTGAGTGGTGTGGACATGCCAGGCTCCTGTAAAAGTGTAGGGCTACACAATTACTGTGGCCCTTCACTAAGCTCTAGCATACAGGTTTGGAATGTCTCCAAGGCAAGCCCTCATTGGCTCCTTTGGAAAGCTTTCTACAGGTCTGCTTTGGAATCTGTGTGGGGAAGTAAGCCAAGAACCCACATACCATGGCTGGAATAAGTGGTGTGTAGGAAACTTCCCCCCAGAAGTCACCCAGCTTAAGGTGGGCCTTGCTGGGAACACCCTGCTGGAGGTCTCTGTGGATTCCCAAAGGAGGTTTCAAATGGAGTCATTGTAAAGACAATTCATGATCTTAGAAGTGTCTCATGCAGTTTCCTCGTGATGGTCTTGTTCAATTTTCATAGAATTCCTATGTGTATATTCATTACATTCATTTTTGCAGAGTCAATTCATCCAATAATAAGAACAGAAAAATAGAAGACCCAGAATATTTTGGCCCAGGCTCACCCTTTAACAGCCCCTCATAAAATCCAAGTGTTGGAAGGAACTTTAGTCAGCATCTGTCCCAACCTCCTACACTGGTGGGGAAACTTGGGTTCGAAGAGAATATGCGACTGTGGAAGAAACCAACAACTTCAAATGTTCAAACACTGCTATAAGACAAAGTGATGAAAAAGATGAAATTGGAGATCCAATTCTATGCTCATGAGTGGTGTGATCTCAGGCAAGTTACTTTATGTCTCTAAACTTGAATTTCCTCATCTGCAAAAATGAATATAATAAATATACACATAGGAATTCTGTGGAAATTGAACAAGGCCATCATGGGAAAACACACAGCAGCATGCATGACATATAACTTTTCTATACATTTTCTTGTGGTCAACTGTTCTTGCCTCTCTTCTCTTTGGACCCATTCTGCAGAATCATCTTGGAAGAAGTCAAAAGCATTGATTTTCTGAATCTGTGCTTCTAAATCTTGAGTCTTAGAACAAACTCATCACCCTCTCCAGGCCCAGAATAAAATAGAGCTGGTGTTCCCAGCATCTCATGACAGCCTCTTAGCCTTGTAGGAAAACTCATAGCGTGGTCTGCAGGGTAGATGCAGGAAACATCAAAGCCCCAAGTCCCAGTCCTGAACACAGTGAAAGACAAGCTGTCTTGAAAGGATCAGCTTGCTCTGTTGTAGGATGCTTCAAGCATGTTAAACAGGAACTAATGGCAACAATGGAACCATGACTCATGGCAATGGAAGTGCAGCCATTAAATTTTCATGATTTCAGAGCTCAGGACACACGAGTTCATCACTATGGCACTTTTTATGTCAGTGAATTTATAATGAACATAGTTGTTGAAAATCAGCACTATTCACAGCCATAGCTTAGTACATAATGCTGCCATTTTAGAAATTGTTATCAAAACTATTTTACTATAAAAACTAAAAGAACCTTTAATAAGTAAAGGAACCTAAAGGCCCCAGCACCACAATTATTTCTCAATGGGCTAAAAAAAGGTTCATAGTTGTCAGTTAATGCTTTCAGGTTATGGTACCAGTTGGGCCTTTTTTTTTTTTTTTTGACAGAGTCTCACCGTATCACCCAGGCTGGAGTGCAGTGCTGCAATCTCGGCTCACTGCAACCTCCACCTCCTGGGTTCAAGCAATTCTCCTGCCTCAGCCTCCCAAATAGCTGGGATTACAGGCACGGATTACAGGCACCCACCACCAAGCCCGGCTAATTTTTTTTGTATTTTTAGTAGAGATGGGGGTTTCACCATATTGGCCAGGCTGGTTTTGAACTCTTGACCTCAATCGATCCACCCACCTCGGCCTCTCAAAGTGCTAGGATTACAGGCATGAGCCACTGCTCCTGGCTGGGCCATATTTTTAAGAAGACAATGTGATAGAGAAAGCTCGGCGATTTGTTTAGCTAATGGGTAATAAAACCTGAATGGGCTTCTGTTGCCCATCCCCTAGTCCAGAGTAATTTCATATGTCTGTCCCCAGCCCATCATCACACACACACACACACACACACACACACACACACACACACACACATGCAGGCACCAATTTAAAAAGAGGAACTCCTCAAGGGGCCAACTTGTATTTCCATATCATCACTGGGAGCTCTCTCTGACTTGTCATCCACTGGCTGTGCAGTTTGAGGACCTTATCAGATTGACCTGTCCCAGATCATAGATCCTGAGACAAGGATTTGAGTGTAGATGGTTTATTGCGGGGGAATGGGTGACCTCAGGAAGCACTAGTAGGGAGTGGGGAGTAAAACAGGAAAGGGAAGGTGGCCAATATAAGGTATTTTGATGTGCGAGTTACTGTGATGAGGCTCAGTCCCACTGGGGACCTCTGGGAGACTGTATAGAACATGCCTTGGAGTAGGTCCCTCTTTAAGGAGTTAAAGAGCTGAGGTGTTTAGCTAATAACTTACTTTCATCATTGGTTAAAGGCTGCCCCCAGGTGAACTCCTCTATACTCTGACCTGCCCCACACATCGACCAAGGACACACCTGCAGCCAGCAAAAGCCCTCAGGCTTTCTCAGGTGCTGGCAATGGGACGTCATTAACATGCACAGGAATGGTGAGTGGCAGGCAAATACAGGCAGGGCACTGACGATGTGTGTGTCATGCTACTTATAAACCTCCTCAGTTCCAGACTCTCTCAAGTGGCCCTACTACCACTTGCCATCTCCTTCCTAACAGGTCACTCAGAGATGGGCCCTGGCAGTTTTCTCTGGAGGACCCTGCCTGCAACCTGCCCTTGTGCACAGCCCTGACCAGGACCAGTGCAGGAAAATAAAAGAGGGGGAGAAGCAGACGGGCACCCAGTGACAGGCAGCACATGTAGTGGTTCAGAGCCTGGACACAGGTGCTCCATACCTCAGAATGGAGCCCAGATCTCCTATTTTTCACTCCAAAGTTATTTTAACTCTGGACCTTGATATTCTCCATGAGTCAATTCTATCAGCCAGGCTGTTTAAAGATACCCCCTAAAAAAGTAGCACCAAAGATATGCCATGTTCATACGAGACCCTCTACAAGCCACCACTACAGACCCAGAAGGAGAGGCCTGGTGCTCAGGGGCCAAGCCATGCAGCAAGAAAATACTGTTGTTTTCTGGAAGAGCCGGTAAACATTCTGGGAGGGAGCTGTAAGGGACAGGTAGCTAAAAATAATGACAGAGATGCACGGTTTCATTACAGTCCCACAGACCACCAGCAAGGGAAGGAGAGCCATCTGGAATTGACTGAACATAAGCAAGGTCCAGAAGATTTTAATTTTAAAACAATTTGATTATTTAAAAAGTATAAGAAGAACCTGGAGGAAAACAAAATGGTTAAGGGTGCATGTGAGAGAAAATTCTTGTGTATGTTCATCAGTGAAAAGAGATAATGAGAAAGAGAAAAGCACAGAAATAAATAGAAAGACAGAGAACTGGTCGGGCGCGGTGGCTCATGCCTGTAATCCCAGCACTTTGGGAGGCCAAGGCAGATGGGTCACCTGAGGTCAGGAGTTCGAGACCAGCCTGGACAACATGGTGAAACCCTCTTTCTACTAAAAATACAAAATTAGCCAGGTGTGGTGGCACATGCCTGTAATCCCAGCTACTCGGGAGACTGAGACAGGAGAATCACTTCAACCAGGGAGGCAGAGTCTGCAGTGAGCCAAGATCGTGCCACTGCACTCCAGCCTGGGTGACAGAGCAAGACTCCATCTCAAAAAATAAAAATAAAAAAATAAAGTAAGAGGACTAAATGGGGAGGGAGAGAAAATGAGAGAAGAAAATAAAAGGTGTATGAGGAAAAGGAAGGAGACAATTTTTCTGTTGAGACTTTTTAGTTCTAAACAACAGAAAATAAGTCTGATTGATTCAAGTTTAAAATTACCCATTGGAAGAATAGCTTATAATGCAAAAAATAGAAAATAAAAAAATGAATAAGCAGGCCTCAGGAGAATGGGGGAACAGGAATGAGACAGTTCAGCTCCCCAAATCTAGGCAGCAGGAACAAATGGGTGATCTCTCCCGGTGTCTGCACTCAACACCAACCATGTTCTATCAACACAACACTGAAGACTCAAATTCCCAGGAGGAAGAGTGTGGCCTATTTTGGTCACGTGATGTGCCTTTGATTGAAGGTTGCTTGGGAAGGGGGAGGGAGGCTTGATTGACAGTCCCACATAGATCACGTGGAATGAGGGAAGGATGCCTCTATGATGGTAACAAAACAAAGAGCAAGAGGAGCCAGGCAGGCAAAAGCATCAGCTGTCCACCACCCAAAGTGAACCCAAAAGAGAGGAAGACAGTGGCACTCAACGGAAGTTAGAAGAGGATGAGCCACAAATGTGGGAAAAACTTGGGGATAGGAAGGGGAAAGGATGAACAAAGAGAGAAAATATAAGAGTATAAGAAAATTATCCAGGGGAGAGAAGCTAATAAAGGAAGAAGAAAACTAGCTTCTGTATGAGGAGTGAGGAGCCAGACAGGAAGAAGGGAAAGGGAAAGGAGAGAGTGTCGTGGGATGGAGATGATGGCAGAGAATCACTTAGGGCTCACTCATGACTTCATGAGTCTGTGATGCTGCTCACTACAGATCCAGGCCTTGCCAGGCCTGTGAAGTTGGTGGAAAGTGGGAGGGCCCAGGCCACCCCAAGACAATGAGATTTGACATTCACTCCATTCGGCATGGACATCCACTAAGTGATTAGGTGTCCATGATTGGTATCATTCCATTTTTCCTGCCGTGCAACAAGCCACCCCAAAACTTAGTAGCTTAAAATAACGTCTTATCATCGCTCATGGATCTGTGGCTTGACTGAACTCAACTGGCTGGTTTCCACTTGGTGTGTCTCATGCAATGCAGTCAGGTTTGTCTGGAGTGGCAGTCATCTGAAGGCTTAATTGGGCTGGAGTGTTCAAGATGACCCAGTCACACGATTGCCAGACAATGTTGCAGCTCGGCTGGAGCTTTCAACTGAAATACCTCAATGTGGCTGGGGAGTTTCAGTGTAGCATCTGTGTTCTGAGAAGGGGATACCCAAGAGTGCAGGACACTATCAGGCATGTTAAGCTGAGCCTGGAATGGGCTCAGCATCACCTCTGCCATGTGCTACTGGTCAAAGCAGTCATGGGGCACACCCAGACTCAAAGGAGTACAAAGTAGATTATTCCTCTGGAAGGGAGTTTGGAAAAGTTACACTGCAGAATAACATGTGGGATAAATCTTTAGAAAATATAATATGCTGTAAGTATCTACCTTCTTGACTGTGAAGAATTATTTCTTGCCTCTTTAAATCTTTCTGAGTTGTTAGTTGCAAATCGAGCATATGAATTGTGAACTTTCAATCCCACATAACTTCCAGAATGTCTTCATTTCAAATACATGTTGATTGGTCAGAGAAAATAATATTTTTTCTAAGACTCTAATCACCACATTCTTCTTGAAAGTAATGTCCAGTGTGGGCGCACCAAGTCTGTAGAGAGTCCACATAAGACAAATGCTTGCCATACCATCTTCTCATGATTCATTCATTTATTCCTTAAATATCTTAGTCTCAGGCACCATGGTAAATATTTGGGATGCGTAGATAAAAGGCACAGTCTCTTACGCTCAAGGGTTTGGCAGCCATAAGAGAAGTTTATTCACATCTCATCTTACAGACGCCTGGGGAGTTGGAGTTAAAATTCAGCAAATAAGCTTAAAATTGCATATTTTCAAAATTACTCTTTAAAATCCCTTAGGAAGTCACCACTTTGTATACTGTCTCACAACAAGCCCAACACAGATGTTTTTCATCCATTGTTGGAAACTGATTCTTGTTTTATTTTATCAAGCACTAAATAAAACAGCCACTTGGCATATAGGAGCCACTTCTCTGCTCTCAGCACTCGTCCTCTGGACTGAACTGGCCTCCTGGTTGGTCTCCCTGCTCCCTCCCTTGCCCACCTACAGCCAGAGTAATCCTGCTTACGCTGAAGTTCGATCACTTCACTCCTCAGCTCAATAGCAGCCAATGCCCATGTTACTCAGAAACACATCAAAAGTCCTTTCTGTAGCCATTAAGGCTTCACATGATGTGACTCCTGTCTAACCTTCCAACATCACCTCTAATCATGTTCCCCTTCACTCCCTGTACTCCAGACACACGAACACTTCCTCCTTCATGCCAAACCCAGTTAGGCCTCTGGACTTTTGGATTCCCTGCTCTTTCTGCCTAGAACATCCTTTCCCCAATTAGCCCATTCACTGATTCACCTCATTCAGTTTACTATTTAAAAGGAGGCTGGGCAGAAAGCTCGTCCCTGAGCACACTATATAAAATAACCTCCTCTCTCATTTTCTGTCCTCCTTATCTCATCTTATGTATCTTCACAGCATTTGTCACTACCTGAAATTGGGCATCTGCCTCCCTCACTGAAATGTAGCCTCTATGAGGGCAGGGCTTTCATTAGCTTTGTACTTTAATGTATTCCCAACTCCTAGGATAGTGGCCAGCACATGGTGTTCAATGAATGTGTGTTGAGTGAACGACAGGATGTGTGGATGGGTTAGTTGGATGGGTGAGCAGAAAAATGGATATACATTTATGCATTGATAAATAGATACCACCTCTGGGTGGTGGAAGCTGTAATGTGCCACCCAGATCTAACATTTTTAGGACTGAGATACCCATTTCTCTAGCTACCAGGAGAACTGGTTGCTATTGGCTTCCAGCCATGGCCTCTTCAGTAATTGCCGTGAGCTAAAGGAGCTTCCTTGCCCAAATTTGTGCCCCCTTCCTAGGGTCAGCTTGTATCTATTGACTGGTTGAGTTGGAGGTGCATAAGCCTGGCCCTCTTGACTCATTTGGGGACAATTCTAAAGCCTTGGTTGCAATTGCAACACAGTTTAACTTCTCGTTACCCAATTCTGCTCCCTCACTCTAAGGATGTTGGTCCCAAGATCATTCCCCAATAAATCTCCTGCCCCCAAATCTCCATATCAGAGTCTGTGACCAGGAGACCTAACTTCGGACAGTATGGTCCAAAAATACACTTTAAAACACTGGAATCACATGCAGTTTAGGGTTTTCTCGCACCACAAGAAAAATGTAGAAACTGAGAAAATCTAAATAGTCCATAGATTGAAATCTTCCATTTTACTCTCATCCCAAGGCACTTGCTCACAAGTAGAAATGCTGGCAAAATTGCACAACTCATTTGAACTCTGCTGCTCCTCTTTCCCCTCCCTCTGTCTCCCTGTGTGCTCCTCTATTTCTCTTTCCACACAGCTCATGCAGTTGAGCCCAACTACATTAAACGTGGATATGATGCTATCTCACTGTGTCCACTTTGACCAGGAAAGGTATCTCACCCACAGTAGACAGGCTTGTTGTAGAGTCTGGAAAGAACATTTCTCTTCAAAAAGGGGCAAGCTAGACTCTGATATACATGAACTCTGCACTGCTAATGGCAGGAAAATCAGCAGGAACTCAAAAGATGTCCTAAGAGCGGCCAAGAGGCATTGCATGAGGTGAAGTCAGGAAGAAGCTGAAGCATTTGAAAGAAGAAAATACACACAGGAAAAAAAGCTATGAGACACAGAGAGAGAATGCAGGGGAGAGGGTGAGGGAGCCAGCCATTAGAAGGGGAAGAACAAGAAACATCCTTTTCTTTTTAATAAGCATATAGGGTACAAACTTTCAGTTATAAATGAGTAAATTCTGGGAATCTAAATTACAATATTGTAACTATAGTTAACCACAATATAGTCGAGTATTGTTTACTTGAAATTTGGTAAGAGCAGATCTAAAGTGTCCTCACTACATGCACACTCAAATGGTAACTATGGGTGGCCATGGATGTGTTCATTACTTAGACTGTGGTAATCAGTACACAACATATGCATGTGTCAAATCATCACATTGTATACTTCAAATATACACAATTTTTATTTATCAACTAAATACATTTTTTAAAGCATGTGTTCAAGGATAATCAAGAACATTTCAGCCAGGCATGGTGGCTCAAGCCTGTAATCCCAGAACTTTGGGAGGTAAAGGCTGGTGGATGACTTGAGCCCACGAGTTCAAGACCAGCCTGGGCAACATGGTGAAACCCCGTCTCTACAAAAACCCAAAAATTAGCTGGGCATAGTGGTGTGCACCTGTAATCCCAGCTACTCGGAAGGCTGAGTTAGGCGAGTTACCTGAATCTAGGGAGGTAGAGGCTACAGTGAACTGACATCATGCCACTGCACTCCATCCTGAGCGACAGAGTGAGACCCTGTCTCAGAAAAGATAAATTGCCAAAAAAAAAAAGAAAATTTTCATGTAATATTTTTTGTAGTAGCCAAATTATCTAATAGTCCATTGGTAGGTGAAGATTGGTTAAATATGTTACAGTATACCCATATTATGAGATGCTATGAAGCCATCAAAAATAAAGCTGCTCTGGGCGGGGCACAGTGGCTTTGGGAGGCTGAGGAGGGTGGATCACGTGAGGTCAGGAGTTTCAGTCTCCTGAACTCATGGGGAAACCCCGTCTCTATTAAAAATACAAAAATTAGCCAGGCGTGGTGGTGCAAACCTGTAGTCCCACCTACTTAGGAGGCTGAGGCAGAAGAATTGCTTCAACCAAGGAGAGGAAGGCTGCAGTGAGCTGAGATCACGCCACTCCACTTCGGCCTGGGTGACAGGCAAGACTTTGTCTCAAAAAAATAAATAAATAAAAATAAAAATAAAACTGCTCTATATGTGAAAGAATGAATAACATTTAGCATAAAATTTTCGTTCCTATTCAAAAAAGTGAGAAGCACAGAGAGGACAGTGAAGTGAGTAGGGAAGCCTTAGAGTAGGAAGCTATGGGCTCCAGCCACTCACCTCCCCAAAACTTTCTTGGGGGCTGATTGATGATCCAGCCGTATGTATGTCCTGAGGCCCAGATATACTGTGGGTCTCCTAGTCCCACTTGTTGAATTTCCCCATATTCATTACTACTCACGTGGCTAGGATTATTATTTTTCTAATTCCTGTAAATATTCTTTCAATAAACCCAGTATGTGAGGCTTTTGGGGTTCCTTAAACCCCAAAATATCTTACTGGCAAACATAATTATTACAAAATGATAATGGCCACCATTACTATTATATACTATTATTACATATGTTATCACATACCATTATTATTACATACCAGGCATTCACTATCTCATAAATCCTTATGACAATTTGAAAGAGTGAAGAACCTGAGTATTTAGAAAGAGTGTCCAATACTAGGGAATTGGTTGGATAAATTATTGTAAGTCAGGTCAGTGCAGCTGAACTGGATTCAAAACTAGCTGTATCAGATTCTATATCTCAAACCAGTCTGATTCTTAAGCATGTGTTATAGTGGCTGGGCTCTATTCTGCAGCACTAGGTACTATCAGAGGAAGTGGAAGGAAGACAGAGGAAGACATGGAGCTAGGAGGAGGGCCCTAAGCTGTCCTGAGTGTCACAGTTCTGCGCTTAGTTCCAAGTTGGAAGCCCCTGGCTGATCCCTGGTGGATCCCCAAAGGCCAGTTCTCAAGAGGGTTTGCCTCCCAGTGAACCCTTGGTCTGAGAGAATAATAATAGTACCGCTATGCAGACTGACCATGAAGAATTCAACTATGGATTCTTTTTTTTTAAACAGAGTCTCACTCTGTCACCCAGGCTGGAGTGCAGTGGCATGATCTTGGCTTACTGTAGCCTTCCCCTCCCAGGTTGAAGCTGTTGTCCTGCCTCAGCCTCCCAAGTAGATGGGATTGTAGGCATTTGCCACCACGCCTGGCTAATTTTTTAAAATTTATTTATTTTAGTACAGACAGGGTTTCGCCATGTTGGCCAGGCTGGTCTCAAACTACTGACCTCAAGTGATCCACCCACCTTGGCCTCTCAAAGTGCTGTGATTACAGGCATGAGCCACCGCACCCAGCCCGATTATGGATTCCTAAAGAAAATCAGACAAAAGACTGAAAAGAAAAGTCATCCTGTCGCTTGCTCTGCTAGGCCATATGGTTGAACAAAAACCATGCCACAGCAAGGTTCCTCTCACTCACAGGTGATTCTAACATCCATTTACCTAACCATTCTTCTTTTTCTGCATACATACATGTGCATTTTACAACTATGCCGTCTGTGTTACCATAGTTATGGTCCTGTGAGCATTTCCATAAAAATGACAGTAAATCTTTCTTTTCTGGGGTTCATAAATAGCCTATAAAAACTAGGTCTCGGTTGAAACTTATTCCCAACAGTTTCCAGCCATGACACTAATAGAGTTCATTAGCAAATTAAGCAAATATCAATTTACTTGGCAAGCTAAAAAAGCACAAACGTTTACTATTTCCAGAGGCAAACAGGCATTCGTAAAGGAGAAAAATAAACTAAGTCCCAGCATAACCAAAATTATAGACTTACCCTTAATTTTAATGTCTGTAAGTCATTCCTTTGATTAATTTAAAATGTTAAAAAGTCAGATTAGTACCGTACAATGTACAGATGTTTCCTGTTTGCATTTGCTAGAGATTTTTTTATAATAAACAACAGAAATGGGAAATGGCTACCTTAGGCCAGATGGAAATTTACCACAGGGATTTTCAGGATCACACGGGATCATTGGAAAGCCGGAGAGGATGAGGAGGAACTGAGGTTGAATTGGATGGAAAGCAGATCCAAATTGTCTTGGCAGCAGAAACTGCTGGACAGCACCTTTTCTGAAATGAAGGCATTCTAACCCTTTCACTTCTATCCTCAGCCTTTCAGTCTAGATTTAAAATCTCGTGAAAGGGTATGGCCAGCCAAGCCTAAGTTACGTGGCTGCTGCCTGTTTTGAGGGCATCTGATCTTGATGTTCCCACAATGGGGGATGGTGAGTTTCCAGCTGTGTCATTTACAAATGCCAAGAAAGAGATAGAGACAAAGAGACAGAAAGGAGGGAGGAGAGAGAGAGTGGGAGAGACAGTGAGGAAGAAAAAGAAGAAAGAGAAAAAGAGAGAAGGGGAGAAAGAAAGAAAATAGATAAAACCACATAAATATCCAATACTTGATAATTAGAGGGATAAATTATGCTAAAAATACACAATGGAATGCCATTCAATCATTAGAAATTATGTTACTAAAAAAACATGTAGGCCAGGTGCAGTGGCTCACACCTGTAATCCCAGTACTTTGGGAGGCCGAGGCAGGCAGATCACGAGGTTAGGAGTTCGAGACCAGCCTGACCAACATGGTGAAACCCCATCTCTACTAAAACTACAAAAATTAGCCAGGTGTGGTGGTGCGCACCTGTAATCCCAGCTACTCAGGAGCCTGAGGCAGGAGAATCACTTGAACCTGGGAAGCAGAGGTTGCAGTGAGCCGAGATGGCACCATTGCACTCTAGCCTGGGCAACAGAGTGAGACTCCATCTCAAAAAAAAAAAAGCAATGACTTCAAAAGCTATACTCAATACAGTGTTAAGTAACAAAGTAAGTTAACAGATAGTGTGTTCAAAATAATCCTATTTTAGAACTAAATAAATAACTGAATAAAATAAGAAAGCGTGTGTGCCTAGAAGAAAAACTGGTGATGGGATTTCAAGTTATTTCTTTCTTATTTTAGCTAATCTCTGTGATCTAAGTTTTTAAAAATAGATCTATGTTGCTTTTGAAAAAGTGATAAAAAGTGAAAAGAACTTTAGAGGTTTCAAAACTGCATCTTGAGTCTCTGAGGTAAATCTAACAAGTACTGTAGTGTTACTATCCCATTCCATAGATGGGGAAGTTGAGGTATAGAGAGGATATTTTCATACGGAATCACAAGGCCGAATCAAGATAGGAGCCAGGACATTCACCTCAATGTCTTGGTTCTCTTTCACTAACCCACAAGTGGTCGTCTTCTAGGAAACGTGGAGTCACCTGGTCGTGACCTTTGACAAAAGGGTAAGAACTGGGCATTCAGTTCTCTTCTTGTGAGTCAGGTCAGCCTCTCTACTTACTTTAGCTTTAAGAGCTGACTTGGAAGCCAGTAAAGCTTGGGCTTTTTCTCCTTTTTTTTTTTTTTTTTTTTTTTTTTTTTTTGCCAGAGAGGGCAATTGAAGTGGTATTGGAAATTCTGAGTGTTGTATCGGAATCGCCTAATGTTATCTTTCTCATGCCATTTTGAAATCATCTCTGTGTCTGAAAGGTCACAAACAGTGGCTAAATAGCATTGATTTCCAGGCACTTACAAATGTACATGACAACTCCTGAAAGGGGCTTTCATGGATTGAAGAGCAGCTGAGCCAATGGGATGCGGTTGGTAAATATCTTCTTTGAACAATGTGGACTGAGTCATTATAAAGAAAATAAATCTGTAGGCGTATGTCACCAGCAGACATGAAATGGAGCCGTGCTTTCCTGAGGTGAAGGCTGCAACATCCTTAAAGCCCAGCTGACCTGGGCCACAGCTTGGGGACGGACATTTGCCTGCACAGACACCACGACTGCCTTAAGAAATGAGCTCCTCCCTCCATGCCCCCAAGGGACTGCAGTTCCATAACGGAAAAGTGAATTAGACTTAGTCTGTGTGGGGCAGAGGCACAAGGTTGATGGATGTTGCTTTTCACTGTGAATTCAGAAAGCTCTTAGAAAACGCGGTCAAATTTAATTTAAATGCTTTTCATTTGAGATACTTCAGTCAGTGCCAGGGACCGATGGCAATTTCTGATTTCAGGACATCAGTTGAGCCATGAGCCCACCTTTTTTCCTAGCAAGAAAAGCAGTGGAGTAATTCAGCAGCGGGTCTGTCTCACGTGGCCCCCTGTGCCTTTGCACAGTGGCCAGCCCTCATGCCCCACAACTAAATATGTGTTGAGAGCCTCGGCCTTGGCTGTGTGTGAGGGCACAGTGGGCTCCAGTCCCAGGGAAGGGACCACATTGAAAGCCCAAGCAAGTGAGTTTGTTAATCCCCTTAACCAAATGCCAAATTAATCAGAAGAAATCTGTATTCCAATAGAGATGACTCCTGCCTACTGTGTGGATTTCTATTGTTTGCTTTTTCCTAAGCATTTAGGTAAGGGTACTTTCCTGGATTATTTCCTGTGTAGCATCAAGTTTTCGAGAGGAGTAAAAGGAACATTTGATCTCATGTCAGATAGGCCTCAAAGTATGGCGCAGGGTTCCTGAAGGGTCCCCCAGATCCTCTTGGGGCCACACTAAGTAAAAACTATCTTTTAAATAATGCTACAATGTTATTTGTCTTTTTCAAGCTCATTCTCTCACGAGCATACAGTGGAGTTTTCCAGAGGCTTTAAGACGCATAATGTTATCATCACTCTGATGGCCATGGAGTGTGTGCTTGTGTATTCTTGTCTTTCAAAATTCTCTGTTTTAATTTTTACAAGATAAATATTTACAGAAATCACCTGCATAAGCAAAATCTCCTTGGGATCTTCGGTAAGCTTTAAGAGTGTTTGAAAACCGTTGATCTAATGTTTTTAGACAATTAGATCTGCTTCCCAATCTGTTGACAGGCTGTGGTGAAGATTACATTAGATGAAGTTCATGGCATTGAGACAATATACCAAAATTCATCCTTCTCTGCTCAAATGCAGCCATTGTTTCAGGTTGATCTGAGCATTCAACTTTACCCTTTATGGGAGTATCATGCCTGCATGAAAATACCCATTGCCCCCTCTCCATAAGGCCATGCCCTCAGCTCCAGGCCTGCCCCTTTATCCAACTTCCTACTGCAGCCTTCTCTGGGTATCATTTCGGTAGATATTAGGTGCATGGTACTTTTTCAAGGGTATCTATCTAGTAGACACCATAAGACCATACCCCCATGGGACGCAGCCAGAGTCTTTCTGGAAACGAGTGGTCACTTCTGGTATCAACCACTCCAAGATGCAGAAGGTTTTCAGACAGCAACCAGATCTTGGAGAGGAACTTCTCAGTGTCTTTCTGGGTCTCACCTTATTGGGCTAGGATTGTTTAGGATGTAGTATATTTGTGATGGCTCCCAGATGTGGAGGTGAGATGGTATCTGGCACTTGGAGAGAGACAAGAAGCCTGGCAGACGGGACACCTACCTGGGCAGATTTCTTCCATCCTATTAATCCCCAAACACTCTGTATTAACTTCTCAGGGATCATTGGTTCTTCAGAAAAATACAGTCCCCATTTCCCTCATTCTGTCATGTGTGAGATCCTGACACACCCATTTCCTCTACAGGAGGTCAACTCTATTCTGTGTCAGAAAAAAAAATTGAGCAGGAAAAGTCTCATGGCAGGAAAACCCACCAGAGAGGGTGGGGACTGAGAGGAAATCTGGATTGGACAGATCTTTCTCAAGTAAGAATATCAGGATTTATGATCGAGTAGACGTGGGGAGTGAGGGGGAAAAAAGCAACTCTGGCTGACTCCAAGGGTCTGGCTTGGAATACAGGACTAATGGACAGAGACCATTCACTGAGGCAGAGTAATGAAAGAAGAGCTCTGGATTAGGAGGTAGGAGGAAGGACGAAGAGTCGTTAGAAATTCTGGCCTAGATTGTAGGCTAGAGGTCAGCCTTAAAGTCATAAAATGGCAGCTGAATCCCGGAGGGAGTGTGCTCTGCCTCTGAGACATTTCTGAAGCAAATTCACAGCAGAACTCTTGGTGGAAGAACCAAGGTGGCAGAAAATCAGCCATCTGTTTTGCAAGATTCTATAGAGTCCTTGTTGCTGAATCTTGTTGTTGACTGCCTTTCCTGATGGCACTTCTGGTTCCCTGACTTGATTTCCCCTTTGGCCTTCAGATCTGCTTTTGTACCCCAAAACTTGGCTCTCTCCCTCTGCTCCTCAAGTCTTCCCTCTTTCAACACTTTCCCTCCTGAATCCACTGGGAAGGCTTAGAACATCCAAGGCAAACACTCTATAACTGGCTCTGCTGCTCAGTTCCCCACACATCCTCTTTTTTTGTACACTTCCAAGACCATCTCAGAAAATCCTTTATTCTCTCTTTGCTGAGTCTCTTTATTAGAAACTTGAGGGAGGGGGAGACCACACAGGGAGGGCATGTAGAGCAAGAAGAGGAAAGGATCTCAGTAGAATATGAACAATAAGGCAACCATTAGCACACTTGAAAGACTCTCCACTTTCTTCTATTGTGTGCTTTTCTGAGTTTTGTTTTCAAGGGAATTATCTTAAATAGCAAATTTAAAGAATTTATGTCATTTGGTAAATTTGTATTAGGGCCAGATCTCTTACCCTCGAAATGATTCAATTCATTATAGCAAATGTTATTCCATTCAAAAGTCAAATGTAACAACAGAACATCAGAAAGAACAAAAATATCTGCAACCTGCACAGTGGTTTCTTTGTAACAAATGTGTGTACAAATAATGTCTTCTATTTTAAGAATGTAGGTGGTCCTTTATAATTCACTACTGACCAAAATTTGTTGTTTACTAGATATTTTACATGAAGATGAGAAATTAGATGAGGTAGGGCCAACAGTTTGTTTAATTTGGATCACTTGCAAGTTTTTGCTGAGTGATGAGTAAACTAAACGACCATACTTGCTAAATTTCCTAGGTAGGTGGTATGAAAGTGAGTTAGGAATTTGGCAGGACTTATTTCACAAGATAAAGGTCACAAAGACCCCACTGATAAAACAGCTTGTAGTAAAGAAGCCGGCCAAAACCCACCAAAACCAAGATGGCAATGAAAGTGACCTCTGGTGGTCCTCACTGCTCATATGCTAATTATAATACATTAGCATACTAACGGAATTTCCCACCAGTGCCATGACAGTGTACAAACGCCATAGCAACTTCCAGAAGTTATCCTATATGGTCTAAAAAAGGGAGAAATCCTCCCTTCCAGGAATTCTCCATCCTTTTCCCAGAAAACTCATGAATAATCCACCCCTTGTTTAGCATATGATCAAGAAATAACCATAAAAATAGCCAACCAGCAGCCCTCAGGGCTGCTTTGCCTATAGAGTAGTCACCCTTTTATTCCTTTAATTTCTTTTTTTTTTTTTTGAGATGGAGTCTTACTCTGTCGCCCAGGCTAGAGTGCAGTGGCGTGATCTCGGCTCACTGCAACTTTTACCTCCCAGGTTCAAGTGATTCTGCTGCCTCAGCCTCCCAAGTAGCTGGGACTACAGGTGCACACCACCATGCTGGGCTAATTTTTGTATTTTTACTAGAGACGAGGTTTCACCATATTGGCCAGGCTGGTCTCGAACTCCTGACCTTGTGATCCGCCTGCCTCAGCCTCCCAAAGTGCTGGGATTACTGGCATGAGCCACCACGCCCAGCCTATTCCTTTACTTTCTTAAAAAAAATTGCTTTCACTTTACTTTGTTGGCTCACTCTTGAATTCCTTCTTGCCTGAAGCCAAAAACCCACGTGGCCTCCTGAGCTGAGCTCCAATTTGGGGGTTCTCCATGTGATAAGAGTGTCAGAGGCATGGTTTATCTGTCAATTCTGATGTAAGTGACAATTTGTAAGTTCTCTGAAATGCTATTGTCAATAATCTACTTGAAATGGATGAAGAAACTTATACAAGTCAGAATAGGCTAGGTTATGCTGCAGTGACAAACAGTCCCCAGATCTCAATGGTTTGAGTAGCAAATTTAAGATTCATGTTCATTGGTGGCAGATGAAGGAGTTTACTCAATGTCGTTTACGCAGAGACCCAGGCTAGTTACAGCAGGAGGAGGGAGAGGGAAAATGAGGAATCATCATTCACTCTTAATCCCGGAAGCTACAAATGTTATTTTGCTCACATTGTATTAGCCCACAAGTCACACAGTTGGTCTAAATTCAACAGAGAACTGGAAATAGAAAGTTAAGTATTACATTATGAACAAGTGTAAAATTTAACAGAACAGAAATAAAGATGTCTTCAGTTTTAAATCCTAAGCTCATCATCTAAATATTCCACACGAAGACAAAAGCAAAGAGAAAAATAAAATATTGTGACCCTAGACACATGTTGAGAATTTGAATTATATGATGTTTAGAAGTAAGATATTTGGGGAACAAAAACATATATTCACATCTTACTTTATCGACGAAATTCAAGCAGTTTATGTGACTTGCCTAAGATCACACAGGTAGTTAGCAGTATAGCAGTCTTTGAAATAGGAACTCTGCAAAGGCTAAATTTTAAAATCACGACAATAAAGGAAAGGTTTGCATGAGAAGCATTTTATGTTTACAATCATTAATTACTTCTTTATTCTTTTTGTAAGGGGCTAATTGCCACTTACATCCAATGGGAGTAAAATCAAATCACTACTCAGCAACCCCCATGCTCTTCTGTCAACATGGACAATCTCAACAGATAAGCAGCTGCCTGTTACTTTCTCTGTGAGCTTATCCTTCAAGCAAAGCCTCAGGGTAAAGCCTAAACATATGTTTAGGCATGACATTTGAAGTTAAGTACAAGGGTTGGGAAATATTAAAGAGGCCTAAGAGAGCCTGATTCACCCCAAATAGAGTTCTCCAATAATCATGTGCTCTTAATATTCCACAGAGGAAATAAAAGAGATGGGAAATTAATTGCAGCACAAAATACCTTGACCATAAACTCTGGCATAATTAATTTCCCTTCTGAGCTTGATTAACAATCAAAAATGGAATAAGTCACCATGCATGCTTTTCTCATAAGACCTATTCTGTTGGAATAAAAAACTTGTCTCCAAGAATCACAGAGAAACATAAGGAAAAACAAAAAATAATAAAGCAAATCCATGAGAAGAAATGACGCCTCTGTGATGAAGCCTGAATAGGCTTGACTGAGGATATTTTAATTGTGTTTTGACAATGAGATTGAACATTGAGGACTGTGGCTGAAAAATAGCCCATAAGAAATCAGCCATGTTTTTAATTAAGACACTTATGGCTCACCTGGTTGTGATTCTCCTATAAGTTGTAGAGGAACAGGAGGTAAATTAGTCAATTACGGCATCTTGGAAGTTTTCTTCTCCAAACATCATTCCACTGTAGGACCTTCTCTTGACAATCTGCTTGATGTTCACTTTACTGCAGGTCCAGAGATTGGGTAGCTCACAGCAACTCGAGCTCTGAAAATTAGCAGGTTTTTCTTTAAATGAAGCTGAAATTTGCCTCACCAAAATTTTTCTACCATTTATTCTTGTCTGTGTCCCTAAGGTGAGGCAGAAAAAGCCTGTCCCATCTGCCACTACTTTTTCAAATATTTGAAGGTAGTTTTTATGTTTCCATTTGAATTTTCATAACACATAAAGTGAGCTACATACGAAAAATCTTATGGATACCTCAAGTGTGTCAAGGTACTTAAGTAGCCAGACCATGGTTCTGTACTCTACTCATCTACAGAGAGTGTGGCCCCTGAGAACATACATGCTGTCACATGTGGGAAGTTTACCCTCCACCTGGCTGGGTGTATTTCCTGGAAAAGACATTCTGGAAAGAGAGAAAGCAAGTTGGGGAACTGAGACCCTAAGGGCATAGCCATTGGTAGCAGAACTTTAATCTCCTCGAGGTGCAAGTGGAAGTTAGCCTGTCATGACAATGATCAGGACGCTTTTGGCCACGCTGCTGTTGTGGTTTGTGCTGCTGCTCTTTTGATTGTGTTAGAGGGGATGAGTCATCCCTCTCATGCCCTGTGGTCACCTGGTTGTGATGATCCTGGTGGGATCCTGGTGGCTCCTGGTGCTCCTTGGGGTTGAGAAGGATAACTCTTCCCCCTAAGCATATTGTTTCTTGTTTAGCTTTATTTATTTATTTATTTATTTATTTATTTATTTATTTTTTGAAATGGAGTCTCGCTCTGTCTCCCAGGCTGGAGTGCAGTGGTGCGATCTCTGCTCACTGCAAGCTCCACCTCCTGGGTTCACGCAATTCTCCTGCCTGAGCCTCCCCAGCAGCTGGGACTACAGGCGCATGCTGCCACACCCGGCTAATTTTTTTGTATTTTTAGTAGAGATGGGATTTCACCATGTTAGCCAGGATGGTCTCGATCTCCTGACCTCGTGATCCACCCGCCTCAGCCTCCCAAAGTGCTGGGATTACAGGCGTGAGCCGCCATGCCCGGCCTCTTGTTTAGCTTTTATTTAATAATCATGAAATTAAATGTGAAGTCTGGCTAGACTTGGAAGGAGGTAAGGCAGGTATGAAGCCTGAAGAACTATAGCAAATGAGACCTCAAAGATTATGGGATATGAGAACAGACTGGGAGTGGGGCTGCTCTCCTTAGCTGAAGAAGACATTGTTTGGTGATAAAAATAACATAAAATCAAATTATGAGAGTTACTGGTGCAGCAGTGGTAATCTTCCTGCTGTCTTGCCAATCCTAGAGCAAAAACATTCCATAGATTCCACATTATTCATACCAATGACCATAGGCTTGCCATCCAGCCTATGGTCCAGCCAATCAGTATGAATAGTGTGGACTAAAAACCAGGAACCATTTGTGTTGGGCCCATCATTTGTCATGAATAAGATCCCAAAACTCATATGATTCAGCATGAAGTTCTCATCAGGAAATTTCTTCCCATGGATGAACTTGCCACCAGAGCCATGATGGCAGGTGAATTCCCCACCCTGGCATATAAACTGTACAATAATTCTGTGAAAGCATAAATCTTATAACTGGCTAGGCGCAGTGGCCTACACCTGTAATCTCAGCACTTTGGGAGGCTGAGGCGGGTGAATCACGAGGTCAAGAGATTGAGACCAGCCTGGCCAACATGGTGAAACCTTGTCTCTACTAAAAATACAAAAGTTAGTTGGGCTTGTTGGCGCATGCCTGTAGTCCCAGCTACTGGGGAGGCTGAGGCAGGAGAATCGCTTGAACCCAGGAGGTGGAGGTTGCAGTGAGCCAAGACTGCGCCACTACACTCCACCCTGGTGACAAGAGTGAGACGCTATCTCAAAAAAAAAAAAAAAAAAAAAAATCTCATAACCAAACCCTTTTCTTCCATTGCAAAAAGCACTGACATTTTCTGCTATCCTTTGGAACCTGGACTGAAACAGCTTGAAAGAGATACAGTGTGGGTTCTCCAACAATGGGGATGTGTTGCATTATACAAGGGGATTGACCATGGCTAGGAGCAGGGGCAGAGTGGACTGCAGTTTCTGCCTGTTCTCCAGTGCCTTCAGTATACATATGATATATATGTATGTGTGTATTCATGTCACTATTGCTTAGAATCAGCTTCAAGGCAGCTCCACAGTTCAAATCTTCAATTTGATAGTTGTCTTAGTTGTGTGACTCTGGGACAGTTTTCTGAAGTATAAAATGAATAGAGTAATTCCTATCTTATAAAATCATTACGAGTAATAAATAAGAGAGTGAATGTAGTAGTCATACAATCAATGCAAGTTTACTCTCCCCACTTCAGCCCTAAATGAGCACGTGGCTAATTGTCAGATATAGACGATTAAGTCTGTCAGAATCACATGAGGAGTTTTTGTTTGTTTGTTTTTGGTTTTTAATGGAGCATTGCAAGATTCTCAGAGGAGATTCCGTAGTTGGGCAGGGATGGAGCTGAGATATTTAATGATCTTCCCCATGGAATATTTCTCAGACAGCTCAGCTATTTTTCCAGTCAAATTGATGATATACTTTCCTTTGCTTCTGCTGAAAATATTCAAGCATTTTCTGAACAATGGTTATATTCTGACTAATTTGCTGTAGCAGTTCCAGTGTCTATTTAAGGAAACAATAAATAAAAAACAGTATCATAAAACTATTTATAATAACAACAATAAATTCAATAGCATATAATTTATTGTTGAAGTTTCCTAGCAGGACTGAATGCAAAGCTGTAAGAGTATGTACAGAAATAACTTGGAGTTTGGAGTACATACACAGAAGTTTATTAAAAGGAGACCAAACTAATGTACAATTGAGCATGGGAACCAAATTGTAAACAGATCCACAATTTCTTACTTTACTTACCAGATTCTGCTTATATTATGTAAATAACCCCCTAAAGAAGACACAGCCATAAGTGAGGCAGGGTATAATGAACTAACTTTGGTGTTGCTTGGTAGCCATTGACCGTGAGGAATATATACAATAGAGTGCCTGTTCCAAGCATATTTCCTGTAAATTGCCTGTTTTCTTCTTGAAAGTCTCATTTCTTCTTATACCTGTTTTCTTCTTGAAAGTCTCGTTAGTATCTGCATAACTTGGTGACCAGTAAGTGGATTAGCGGTGCCTTTCAAAGTGGATTACTGTTCCTTATACATTTAATTAAAGTGGACCTCATTCTATCATCCTTAAGAGCAAAATTATGTAGAGAGAAATTGCGTATGTGCAGACATTGACTACAAATATGTCTCCCCCTTGGGTCCTTAATGTGATCTAGTTGGCTGCAGAGATCAAAATTTCTGGAATACCATACAAATTCTGTGCTTTTTCTCCTGAGAATAGTGGTTTCAGCTCCTCCATGAGTGGGAAGAGGTGTGCAGGGTCATGTCCCTGAAATAATATGGATCTCACACTTTCTCATAATGTTCCACTTGTAAGTCATATTGTTAAATGGAAAAAAAAATTAATATCCTTTTCAAGTTGATAAACTTGAAAAGGGAGAAGTCGATCAGGATATTTCTCTGCCTTATAGATATACTCAGGTCATTAAGCCCATTATCATCAGAAAATACCATCTCAGGACTTGTTAGTGCCAAAAACTTCAAAAGAAATTATTTTATACATGGGCTAACTTAATGCTCTGGTTGCCAGCTGGGTTTCCGTTCTACGTAGCTGATCTTACAATAGAAAACATTTTAGCCCTGAGCCATTTTATGCCCTGAAATGCACTTACTGCCTGACTTTGTTCGTAAAGACAATAGCAAATGACCATAAAATTGCTACCCCAGTGGTCTGCAACTGTGGCTACCCATTAGAATCACCTGGAAAACAATGTAAAAATCGCATGCCTGGGCCTCACTCAGAAATTCTAATTTGACTAGTCTGGAATGGGGCCCAGGAATAGTAAATTTTTTTTTTTTTTCAAAGCACCATTGATAATTCTACAGTCAAGGTAGAGAGCTAAGGTAGAGCGCCACTGTTCTCTCCAATTCTTTTTTTTTTTTTTTTTTTTTTAATTTATTTTTTTATTGATAATTCTTGGGTGTTTCTCACAGAGGGGGATTTGGCAGGGTCATGGGACAATAGTGGAGGGAAGGTCAGCAGATAAACAAGTGAACAAAGGTCTCTGGTTTTCCTAGGCAGAGGACCCTGCGGCCTTCCGCAGTGTTTGTGTCCCTGATTACTTGAGATTAGGGATTGGTGATGACTCTTAACGAGCATGCTGCCTTCAAGCATCTGTTTAACAAAGCACATCTTGCACCGCCCTTAATCCATTTAACCCTGAGTGGACACAGCACATGTTTCAGAGAGCACAGGGTTGGGGGTAAGGTCACAGATCAACAGGATCCCAAGGCAGAGGAATTTTTCTTAGTGCAGAACAAAATGAAAAGTCTCCCATGTCTACTTCTTTCTACACAGACACGGCAACCATCCGATTTCTCAATCTTTTCCCCACCTTTCCCGCCTTTCTATTCCACAAAGCCACCATTGTCATCCTGGCCCATTCTCAATGAGCTGTTGGGCACACCTCCCAGAAGGGGTGGTGGCCGGGCAGAGGGGCTCCTCACTTCCCAGTAGGGGCGGCCGGGCAGAGGCGCCCCTCACCTCCCGGACGGGGCGGCTGGCCGGGCAGGGGGGCCGACCCCCCCCCCACCTCCCTCCCGGACGGGGCGGCTGACCGGGCGGGGGGCCGACCCCCCCACCTCCCTCCCGGACGGGGCGGCTGGCCGGGCAGAGGGGCTCCTCACTTCCCAGTAGGGGCGGCCGGGCAGAGGTGCCCCTCACCTCCCAGACGGGGCGGCTGGCCGGGCGGAGGGCTGACCCCCCCACCTCCCTCCCGGACGGGGCGGCTGGCCGGGCAGAGGGGCTCCTCACTTCCCAGTAGGGGCGGCTGGGCAGAGGAGCCCCTCACCTCCCAGACGGGGCGTCTGGCCGGGCGGAGGGCTGACACCCCACCTCCCTCCCGGACGGGGCGGCTGGCCAGGCGGGGGGCTGACCCCCCTACCTCCCTACCGGACGGGGTGGCTGGCCGGGTGGGGGGGCTGACCCCCCCATCTCCCTCCCGGACGGGGTGGCTGGCCGGGCTGAGGGGCTCCTCACTTCCCAGTAGGGGCGGCCGGGCAGAGGCGCCCCTCACCTCCCGAACGGGGCGGCTGGCCGGGCGGGGGGCTGACCCCCCCACCTCCCTCCCGGATGGCACGGCTGGCCAGGCGGGGGGCTGACCCCCCCACCTCCCTCCCGGATGGCACGGCTGGCCGGGCGGGGGGGCTTACCCCCCACCTCCCTCCCGGATGGGGCGGCTGGCCGGGCGGGGGGCTGACCCCCCCCACCTCCCTCCCCGACGGGGTGGCTGCCGGGCGGAGACGCTCCTCACTTCCCAGATGGGGTGGCTGCCGGGCGGAGAGGCTCCTCACTTCTCAGACGGGGCAGCTGCCGGGCGGAGGGGCTCCTCACTTCTCAGACGGGGTGGTTGCCAGGCAGAGG
This sequence comes from Homo sapiens, assembly GCF_000001405.40. Lineage (NCBI taxonomy): Eukaryota > Metazoa > Chordata > Mammalia > Primates > Hominidae > Homo > Homo sapiens. The sequence goes on from NC_000020.11 coordinate 16,228,014, forward strand.
GTCTCCTCACTTCTCAGACGGGGCGGCCGGGCAGAGACGCTCCTCACCTCCCAGACGGGGTCTCGGCCGGGCAGAGGCGCTCCTCACATCCCAGATGGGGCGGCGGGGCAGAGGCGCTCCCCACATCTCAGACGATGGGCGGCCGGGCAGAGACGCTCCTCACTTCCTAGATGTGATGGCGGCTGGGAAGAGGCGCTCCTCACTTCCTAGATGGGATGGCGGCCGGGCGGAGACGCTCCTCACTTTCCAGACTGGGCAGCCAGGCAGAGGGGCTCCTCACATCCCAGACGATGGGCGGCCAGGCAGAGACACTCTTCACTTCCCAGACGGGGTGGCAGCCGGGCAGAGGCTGCAATCTCGGCACTTTGGGAGGCCAAGGCAGGCGGCTGCTCCTTGCCCTCGGGCCCCGCGGGGCCCGTCCGCTCCTCCAGCCGCTGCCTCCCGGGCGGTGCTCTCCAATTCTTTTTCTCTCTGGGGTTTGCAAAAGTGAGACTTTGCACGTTTCAATAAGATAAAATCTTTCTTTCTTGACTTTTTGGGTTAATTACCCTAAAGAACATTTTTACCTAGACTAAGGAAAACATCTACCTGTTGCATCTAACTTTGCCTTTATCCCTTGGCTTTCCAAATGGCAATGGGCAAGGTAGGCAAAAAGGGAGCCGAGGGGCAGAGCACTTGGGAGGAGAGTCCAGGATTTCCTCATTCCTGCTGCAGGTAAGTCAAGATCAATGACAGGAGAAGGGAGAGAATAAGGCGGGATGCTACTGTTCTAATAGGCATCAGAGGAGACTGGTTTTGGGGCGGGGGGGTTAGCTGGGAGGGGAGAATCCAACAATAAAGAATGACCAAGTGGAAAATGGCTGCAGGGTTAAAGACAGCCTGCAGACATTGGTGACCACGCCCACTGGGTGGACCACGTGACCCATTTCCCCTCCCCAACCCCACCCCCAGAGCTGTTAATGACTTGTTTCTAACTTCTGCTTCTTTAATTGTAACAGAGTTAGCAAAGCCCCCAGCTTCCTAGGCTTGTGCCCTAACAGGACACTTTGCATAAGTCTATCATGTGCTTTTATCTCACACATACACAAAATCTTTACCTTAAAGATTGGATTGGCCGGGCGCGGTAGCTCACGCCTGTAATCCCAGCACTTTGGGAGGCCGAGGCGGGTGGATCACGAGGTCAGGAGATCGAGATCATCCTGGCTAACACAGTGAAACCGCGTCTCTACTAAAAATACAAAAAATTAGCCAGGCATCATGGCGGGCGCCTGTAGTCCCAGCTACACGGGAGGCTGAGGCAGGAGAATGGCGTGAACCCGAGAGGCGGAGCTTGCAGTGAGCCGAGATCGCGCCACTGCACTCCAGCCTGGGAGACAGAGCGAGACTCCGTCTCAAAAAAAAAAAGATTGGATTGGGTTTTACAGAAACTCCCTCAGTGGTTTCAAAAATGATGTACTAACAATGGCTTCTCTGTGAGGCACACCTGAGAAAGCACAAAGATAATGCAAATGAGACTCATCTCGAGGCATTGGTGATGCTGAGCAACAAATTTAGTTCTGATTCAAGGTTTACCAGAAATAGCAAAACGCTGCCAAGGGGTGTTCCCTCAGAGAGGTCAAGACGATCAACACTGCCTCCAAATGTTGGTTTTCTCCTGCACCAGGATTGTTCTGGTTCAGATTTCCCATGTGAGCTTTAAGAACTGCATGTTGTACATGACTTGAACAGAGGAGCCAACTCAGCTATGGAGCATCTCCTTTTTCTACCTATGCCTTTTTCTACCTTACCTAGGATGGCACCCGATATAACACAAAGACAATGCAAATGAGATTCAACATGAATCACTGGTCATACCTAGGACCAAGTTTACTTTTGATTCAAACTTGATGAGCAATAGCAAGACACAGCAATTACATAGCCATGTGACATTTTCCAGTGAGCTGTGTCTCATATATCCATAGATTTCAGGTTTATTTACAATAAACAACTGACACAGACTGGGTATATATCCTGCTAAAAGTAGTTCATAGTTGAGAACTCTTCTTTATCTTTCTGCTAGTAAACACCATTTGTGGTTTGCAGGAAGTCTGCTTACTCATGAGTTTGCAAGGGAATTTTCCTGGTTCATTTCTTTCTTTCCCAGGTGTCCCAAGTAAAGGCCAAAATTAGGTGTCAGGCCTGCTGCTAACCTTTACCCTTCTGTCATCTGACAAATTTTTAAAAACACACCCATACCCATTGACGTCTTTACTTCACGAGAAACAACTCTAGCGGTCAGGGCAAGATTCTTCTTCTCTGAGTATGGGAAATTCAAAACTCAGAAAAATTAAATGAGTACTCTAGGATCTTAAAGCAAGTTGGGGATAAAGCAGCTTGAGAAATTCAGCCCTTGCTTCATAATATTCTGTGTTATACTTTTCCTTATGGGTCATGATTCTTTCCCAAGAACAAGATGTAAGTCACCCTTGAAACTCATATATGTATACATATGAATAAACCATTTCAGAAGCACTGTTTTAAATAATCATCCCTGTGTAATGTACTATGTGCTGTTGTAACTAGTGAGAGCAATAAATCCTACAGCTCTGAGCTTCATGGGTGACAGAGGAGCTAACAGATGTCTTTCCAGCCACTATTTCCAGGGAGAAGGGGACAGCCCTTTGGGTTGCAATAATAATGATCTATTATTTTATGCAAACTTGATAGTTCATCATTTAGCATATGTAGCATGTTCTTCCTGTATTCATCTTTGAGTCTTTGGTGCCAGCCATAATATACCCTGCACATAGAAGGTGCATATTAAACACTTTTGTTGGACTAAATCATCTATATTTGGAAATTCAAAATAAACTTTTGAAGTGGGCAGTTCAGAAATAATTATCTTCACCATGCAAATGAAGGAAGTAATGCTTAAGAAAATTAAATAGCATTTCCAAGTTCACAGCTAGTAGGTATCCAAATCAGGTCTCATAACCAGATCTCTAAGAAGGTTCTCCTTCCCTCCTTCTAGGGCATGTGAATACTACAGCCATGCCTTCTTGCTTATTTTTACAAGGCCAAGGTCAGCATTGCTACTCAATAATGTCTTCAATGCTTAGGTAACCTCTGCCTCTAATAATCCCCAGCTCAACTGTTGTCATTCAAAAGGCAGAAACTGAAAATGTTCTAGACCCTTATGGTCAATAAAGTTTCATGATGAGGAGTAAAAACTGCGCACTAAGTGCAAAGTTCCCTGCCACTAAATACCCCAGTGCTTTGAACAAGACCCTTAACCTAATAAGCCTCCTTTTCCTCAACTATAAAAGAAAGGAAAAATGAGATCCACTTATTTAGGTGGGTCTCAATACACTGGAATTATATTTTCTGTCTTCATGGTGAGTGTATTAGTCAGGGTTCTCTAGAGGGACAGAACTAATTTTATATATATATATGAGTTTATTAAGTATTGACTCAAATGATCACAAGATCCCACAATAGGCCATCTATAAGCTGAGGTATAAGGGAGAGCCAGTTCGAGTCCCAAAACTGAAGAACGTGGAGTTCGATGTTCAAGGGCAGGAAGCATCCAGCATGGGAGAAAGATGTAGGCTGGGGCACTAGGCCAGTCTTTTTTTTTTTTTTTTTTCACATTTTTCTGCCTGTTTTGTATTCTAGCCGCACTGGCAGCTGATTAGATGGTGCCCACCCAAATTAAAGGGTGGGTCTGCCTTTCCCAGCCCACTGACTCAAATGTTAATCTCCTTTGGCAACACCCTCACAGACACACCCAGGATCAATACTTTACAACCTTCAATCCAATCAAGTTGACACTCAGTAGTAACCATCACAGTGGGGCAGTTAAATTTCACTAACCGTAATATCCCCCAAGTAAATGCATGCAAGGTCATCATCTTCAACCACCTTCTGGATTAATCTAGAGTAGGGTCAAACCTCATCTTAACTCAGGGCATGACTAACTCAGTGTTTAATCACTTTTGTGCCATTTAGATATGTCTCTTTCAATCCTTAAATTGTGGAGAAGCAGAGGACATATTTAGTACAACTTTCACTACAGGATAAACCAGAACAACACAGAGCTTCCATGAACTAAAACAAAACAAAACAAAACAAAACAAAACCCTGCTTAAAGTTTAGCAATGAGATCAAATAAATATCCAAACATCACAAAGAAGAGGCAAACAAAATGGCAAGAATGAGAAATGGGGCAAGAGAAAAGGGAAAACAAGAAAAAAAGGAAGCGAAGAAAGAAAGAAGTCCATTGAGCTCTTGAAGTATTAGCCTGTGCTGGGCTTGTCATCCATGTTGTCACACTAGATTCTCACAATGACCCTGCGAAACAGACTTGGTTTGCATTTGACAGTTGAGGAAAATGAGGCTGAGGTGGTTACAGACTCACATTGTTCCAAGGAGGGTCAGGTGACAGACACAGATTAAGCGGGAAGGGAACGTTGAGGCCACAGAGAAGACAGGAACTGGTGGTGAACTAAAGAGGGCTCTCTGCAATAAAAAATACAATTCCACACTCTTACCAGCTAAACTGGAGATCTTTGTTGGCCAGATTCAGCTGTGGACCGACAGTTTTTTTACCTCTGGTAAATGACAGCTGGTTCATAGAAGAACCACCCTTCAAACTTGTGCTTTGGCCACACTGGGCTGCATTTTTCATCAGCAGAGGCCAGGATCAATTTTGTCAAAGTTTATTTTATTTCTCTTCCCATTCCTAGCAGCTCAGCCGACTTAGCATTTCCAAATTCTGCAAATACTCAATCATGAACATCGTCAGACACTTGGTAAGTGAGAAAAAAGATGGAAGCGCAAGGTGTAATTTTTCTAAGACCTTTAGCTACCGGATTAAGCATGGCTGGGATAAGAAAATCAGAAGCCTTTTAGAGATTCTTGCCCTGCCCACTTATTTCAATTTTTAGAGGTGGGTGGCTCTCCCAGGAATGCCTTTGCTTAAAGTCATGATTGTCCTTCATAGCTGTCACAACTCTATACTCTTGGACAGGAAAGAAGATGACACGGTCCTAGCCCAGAAACACCACAGTTAACGCACAGCTCCTCTCAGGTGCATGTCCTTATTGGCCAAAACACTGGAACCCAGTAACATGTCCTCTATGGGTTTAAGTTTTCAAATGCATGCAACTGAGCAACATGGATTTACAGGAAGGCATCTTTTAGTTCAAAGCCAAACAACATTGACTTTCAGGTAATTCAAGTGATAAAAACAAACAAGAGCCTACATAAAAAATTCTACAGGGCTCAATAAATTGTGATTTTTATCCTAAATTTCTAGCCAACCAAGAGTCTTAGAGGTCCTCCCTCCAAATTTAGCCACAGAAGTAACAATCTGTCTACCTAGAGGCATTATTTATAAATCATTAACTCACGGTAGATACATGAGTGCATTTATTTTTATCTCTTTACTTATAATCATCAGCAAGTTAGTGTAGAAGAAAGAGACCTTGGATGTTTTGAGGGAGGTGTATAATTTCAGTGTTCTTCATTCCAGCTGCACAGCTCATACTCACAGCATCAGTTTTACACCTAGAAGATAAGGCCAATTGAAGAAAATGAATTTGAGTGGCCCTGAAACCAGCAGAGCCCAACTTGGCCAAGCAATTCCTACCTAAACATTAACTATTTGTCTGTAAGTCTAAAGGTTCCAGAGCCCAGACAAAATACAAAAATTCACAGTCATGGGCTCCATATTTTGTGCTGTCATCATTGAAAAGGTTGTGAGGCCAGGCACGGTGGCTCACACCTGTAATCTCAGCACTTTGGGAGGCTGAGGTGGATGGATCATGAGGTCAGGAGTTTGAGACCAGCCTAGCCAATATGGTGAAACCCCGTCTCTACTAAAAATACAAAAATTAGCTGGGTGTGGTGGTGCACACCTGTAGTCCCAGCTACTCAGGAGGCAGAGGCAGAAGAATTGCTTGAACCCAGGAGGCGGAGGTTGCAGTGAGCCAAGATCACACCACTGCACTCCAGCCTGGGCGACAGAGCGAGACTACATCTCAAAAAAAAAAAAAAAAAAAAAAAGAAAGAAAAGGTGTGAAAGGCACATTTCCTATGAGAAAATGTAGCTTTTATGATGCAGGTCTTGTCTTCTTCTCCTCCTGATTATAGGCACAAAACAAGATATTAGTGAGCAGACAGTTTATTAGAGTTCATTATACACTGATTTACGTTGACATGCTAGATGTGTTTTATACGATCTCCTGAGCCTTCCCGCCTGCCTAACGTAAGCAAAAATTATTTGTAATTAAGCTATTCATTAAAACAAACATCATCAGTGAATGCGTACTATGTGCCAAAACTTACATCAATTCCTTTGTATCCATCGTTTCACTAAAACATCACAGCAGGCCAGGTGCAGTGGCTCGCGCTTGTAATCCCAGCATTTTGAGGCCAAGCCGGGCAGATCATTTGAAGCCAAAAGTTGGAGACCAGTCTGGCCAACATGGCAAAACCCTATCCCTACTAAAAATATAAAAATTAGGTGGCGTGGTCATGCACGACTGTAATCTTAGCTACTTGGGAGGCTGAGGCATGAAAATGGCTCGAACCCAGGAGGCAGAGGCTGCAGCAAGCCGAGATCATGCCACTGCACTCCAGTCTGGGTGACAGAAGAGTGAGACTCTGTCTCAAACAAAACAAAACAAAACAGCAATTCTATAACCTAGGGGCAATTAGAATTCCAACTATGCAGATGATGAAGAAATCAGCTTTAGAGGGGTTAAGTAATTTGTCTGAAGCTACACGTCTAAAGTTTATGAGCTGGGATTTCCATCCAGGTCTTTCTGATTCCAAAACAATGTCTATCTCTAGCACTGCTCAGCTTTATTTATTTATTTTTTAATCACTTTTCTCCCTTCTCCAATTTTAGCCACAACTTTTCAGGCACCTCAGGCCAGTGCTTTAGCCATATCACAGCTCCCAAAATATATCTCCCCCAAGGCACAATCAGTTTTTCTGCAGGCAGATAATAGTGTCAGGATTCTGACAGTGGTTACCTGACCTCTAGCATTCAAAGAAAATAAACACAAAGGAGTGACCCTTCACTGTGATACTGCCAGAGCTGTGTTGATGTGGAAGATAGTTTGGGCTTAGAAGAAATTGCAAATATGCCTACAAGGAAGGTGTTATTCAGGGTCATTTCAATGTGGTAAATCCATTGACCATTGGAACCAATTCTTAGCAAAAACCAAATGAAATGCACCTACTGAGAAATCCTGACAAGTCAATCACATTCTTCCCAAGAGTTGCTGCTAAAAATGTCTGTGACTTTGGCCAATTCTTGGTCACATGGGCAAGAAACTCCCAAAGGGGAACAAAAGTATGACAATAAGGATGAGCTTTCCTCCACGTTTTCCATACACAAACTTCTCCTATTTGGAAATGGGCTCCGTGGGTGATATAAGGAACAAAACTCTGAAGTCAGAGAGGACAGGTTGTAAATACCAGCTCAGACATTTACTCGTGTGACCTTGGGCAGGAAAGTGACTTCGTCTCACTATATTCTTTAGTTTTCTGATTTACACATCAGGGATAATATCGCAAGTTAGGTTTCCCAGAAACAGATCCTAAGATGAGAATTTGTATTACTAAGAAAGTGCTCCCAGGGGAAATTGGAACTTGAGCGGGGGATGCAGGAGGGGAAAACGGAGGAAGCTAAGCAGGTATGTAGTCTCAGGCAAAGATCCAGCAGACAGAGGATAGCTTCAGCCTAATGCTGCGGAGACCTCTGCATTGTAAATTACACCTCAGAGTTGGCCTTATCCAAAGGAGCTGGGGCCTTCACATTTCTGTATACATTAGTCATTGGTTAAGGGTGGTGGGAAAGGAGGGTAGATGTAAATTCTGAGGCACTTCCAGCTCTGCAAAGCAAACCCCACTGGTCCAAGGAAAATCTTAGGAAATAATAGCTAGAGATGCTTGCTGTTAAAAGCAAGAGCACATTCAAACCAGAGGTGCGCAAAATGGGCAAAATGGGACCCCAGGTTGTCTGAGTAAAGCACCGACATTGTCCACCACAAGTAACCATACCTCTCTTGCTGGGTTATTATGAGCATTTATAGGACACACTCGATAAATATGCATTACTGTTGTTGTTGCTGTTGTTTTACTAACCTTGCCCATAAAACCTTCTAAAGCAGGTCTCTCCACACTCACAGCTGACAGTCCCACTAACTGGACTTGGTGATGCCCATGTGCTGGGTTTGCCAGTGAGGATGGTGCCTGAATGCTGATTTCACATCATCAGCTCTCTCTAATTGGCTCTGTGTTTGTTGCCCAGTCTCATGACCACTGTCCTTTTGGGATCTCCTCTACTGAATCAAAAGGCCCCACTTCTTGCCAAGAGGGATGTTCTTGAGAGAGGGACGTGGCAGAAGTGCCAGGTGTGAGTGCTGCCTTCTCTCTCGGTGATACCACTGGCCTCCAGCAGGACTTGACAGTCCCAAATCCTCCTCTTATTAAATAAACCCTTGACCTTTTAAAGTTTTGCCTATTCATCTTCCTCCCCTAAGAGCAAGGGATTTCTTGGAATCCACAAAAGTGCTTCTTTTCCCTTTGTGCCTGAGGTTCTATCCCTAGAGAACTTGTGCACCCCCTTCCTCCCTAGGGAGCTTAAGATACCCATAGGAACAATGGGGACTGCTCTTTATTTGATGAATCTTCCCTAACAACCAGCCTTTCCCAGCTGCAGGCCAGGCAAACTCATCTGTGAGGGAGCCTCCCCTCTGGGACTAATCCTCCACGTTAAAAGATTGCGCCTTTCTCCAAAGCCACCCTTTATACACATCAGTTCACAAGAGCTGCATCTTCTCACAATGCCCGACAGCCCCCTTGGCCACACTACTCCAGGCCCTCATTTTCTGGGCTGCCATCATCCCTGAAATTAATCTAAGAGAGGCCCCTTTTACAAGAGTGGCAGCAAATATCCGATTCAATTTGCTTTCACCCAAGATTTCCCAGGAGTCATGCCGAATGAGATAATCAATGATGATTATAGGGTTTGGCCTGCCTTACTGAGCCAAAGTGTTAAAAAGGGGGGGAATTTCTGCTCCGGTGCTTACCCAAGTCAGGTGCTAATTCGGGCAGATCCATTACTTTTCTCAGCAGCTCTAAACCATATGTGCTGCAATAATCACGCTGGATAGGTAGAGGCGATCAGTCCTCCCACCTAAGCAAAGAAAATGCATTTTTGCTTCTCCACCCCAAAACAACAACAACAACAAAAATGTATAGAGCATCTGCAGCAAAAATGAGTAGGCTGTTCAAACCAATGATGCCGAAGAGATTTAATTTAGACAGGCTAAACTGTCCTCGTCTCAGCTAGAGAGACTAGCCAATGCCTTTGCTACTAATCCAATCAAGATTAAGTATTAAATTACTTGTTGCTGCCATCTTAACCCAGAGAAGACTGTTTTCTGCTTGGCTGATTGTTCTGAAAGACCACAACCTCCTGGGAAGGAAAGCAGGAGGGAATGGCCGAGGGGCCAAAGAAATCCTCCAGATTCCTCACACCCGTCCTTGTCCTCACCCCTCTCTTTCTTGCTCCTGTTAGTCTTATACTGGCTGTTTTGGGGTGGGGTGCTCCTGGGCTATGCACATTTTTGCAAAGCCTGTGTATTAGTCTGTTCGTGAATTGCTATAAATACCTGAAAGTGCGTAATTTATAAAGAAAACAGATTTAATTGGCTCACAGTTCTGCAGGCTGTACAGGAAGCATGACTTGGGAGACCTCAGGAAAGTTACAATCAAGACAGAAGGCCAAGAGGAAGCAGGCATGTCTTACATGGCTGGAGCAGGAGAAAGAGAGAGGTGTGGGGTATTACACATTTTAAACAACCAGATCTCATGAGAACTCACCATCATGATGACTGCTCCAAGGGGGACGGTGTTAAACCATTAGAAACCACCCCCCATGATCTAATCACCTCCCACCAGGTCCCAACTCTAACACTGGGGACTACAACTAGATATGAGATTTGGGTGGGGACACAGATCCAAACCATATCAGGCTGGACCCAAAATATGTGTTAGTTATCCATTGCTTTGTAACAAATGCATACCCCAAAACTTAGAAGCTGGAAACAACAAATGTATACTCTCACTGTTCCTCAGGGTCAGGAATGAAGGAGCATCTTGGCTGTGTGGTGCTGGATCAGAGTCTCTCACAAGACTGCAATCAGAATGTCAGCCAGGGCTGCAGTCGTCTCAAGGCTTGGCTTGGGGAAAGCCAGCTTCTGAGCTTATCCACTCTCCCATGGCTGTGGGCAGGCCTCAGAAGATCAGCTTCCAAGCTCACAGATGTGGGCCTTTCCACAGGGCTGCGTCACAGCATGATGGCTGGATTCTCCCAGAGTAAGCAACCCAAGAGAGAGTGTAAGAGCATGCCCAGACCAAAGCCACAGCTTTTTTATTACCCAATATCAGAAGTGACATCACACCACACCTGCATTATTCTATTGGTTAGAAGTATCAGCTAGTCCTGCCCACACTCAGAGAAGAGGATGACACAAGGATGTGAATACCAAGGAGAGTGAGTTATTAGAGACCATTTTAGTGATGACTGTGACAAACAGGAGACTTTCCCTCTTGTAGATATCATCTGCACATAAACAATGAGAAGTTTTGTCCTGTTAGATGCAGCAGAGTTCTTACATGTCTGAGGCAAGCTCCAAAGGCAGTTTCCTTTTTGTGGTGCAAAGAATGTTACATAGAGAAGGAAAGGGCATCTGCACAAAATTGATCTGGATATTCAAGATCAGAATTAGACCTGGAAGCAGGGCCTGCTTTCCCAAAAACTTCACTAAGGGCAGTGGGCTAAGGATGTGCATGTTGGCCTAGGTGCTGCCTGGGTACCCTTTCTAGCACCCACAGTCAGAAGCACACACAGGAACTGCAGGTTAGGACTGCAGAGACATCAACAGGTAGAGAAGAGGACAGAAGACCTGGGTTAGAAAGGTCTGGTTGGTGATCTCTTTTATCCTTCTGTGCAAGATGATTACAGTCATAGCCCAATGAAACACACCTCTCAGTATCCATACTTTTCTGTATTCCCCTCACACACTGACTCTGGGCTTGTCTATGAGTATTGCCAAGTTAACTAGGTGTAAGCAGAGGCTTGATTTGTGCTTATGAATTTGGGCATACCCTCTGGGAATGCTCCCCCGAGACCATCATGCCAAGAAGACTCCAGGATGTGAAGAAACTGGAATGAAAGACAACATGGAGAGGAAGATCCAGCCGACGTAGCTGAGCCCAGTCAACCTTCCAGCTGAATGCAGCTACATGAGAAATCCCAGGTGAGACCAGTGGAAGAATCACCGTACAGAATGTTAAAATAGTAAGTCACTATTATATTAAGACATTAAGTCGTGAAATGGTTTGCTAATACTGCATAGTTGGTGATACAGAAATTGATACCTGGAGGTGGATGCTGCTATTCAAAATAAAATTCAAAAAACCATCTTTATTAATGTGGCATTGGCTTTGGGACTGGGCAATGGACAGAGGCTTATAGAGAATTAAGGAAGCTATTAGTAGAATCTAGAAATGCATTGAGAAAACTGCTAGTAGAGGCTGGAAAAAGGGCAAGCCAAGTTACAATTGAGGAACAATTGGCAAAACTCTTGTCTGAAGTAATTTGAAAGACAGGAAATGTACTAATGAATGTGTGGGTCTCCCTAAGGAGATGACGAGGCAGAATGCTGACAATGGTTATTGGCTTTTTCTAGCTGAGTATGATAAGGAATGAGAGGAGAAAGAGAGATGTACTAAAGTCATCTCTATTTGTAAGCAGAATTTAAAGAAAGTACAGAGGACCTGATATATACTGAGTTTCTAAATGAAGTTGGTTTTGTTTGTAATATTTCTAGTCTTTTCAACAGGCAAAAGATTCTCAAGGGAAAAATGAAAATGCCTTCAGGATCACAATCAAATCAAGAATGTAGATATAAGACTTTCTGAAAAATTAAGATGTTGTCTAATAGACCTTCTCAGCTAGACAAAAATCTTAAGGGCCTTGTCCTACAGCAGCACCCTGAAATTCCCCATCCAAGTACAGAAGAATCTATTTCAAACATAGTTGTGAATATGGTTTTTGTTTAATGGAGTATAATGTGATGCACAGAAAACCCAAAACATTTTTAAAGGAGTTGTAGCAGCTTGGATTGAAGAAAACAAACACAGTTTAAAACACAAAGAGGACTGTGGTCCCCAAAGTTTACAGTTAGAAAGCAGGCTAAGAAAGCTACAAACATGAACCCTCTCTTATGGAAGGAAAAAGAAATTCAAAGAGTAGAGCCAAGAGACTAGAAGGTGAATTTAAGGGCTAAGGAAAACAGCTGATTTTCTGAATTTAAGGGCCAAGGAAAACAGCTGATTAGGAAACTACTCCCAGAGAGCAGGGCCTAGTAAAGGAATATTCCCTGCCTTGGGTAGAGAGCTCTGATGACATGTGACTGTGCCTGTGCCTGGCTAGATTTCAGAATTGCTATGTACCAGTGACTGTTAGTGCCTCTTGCTCTTCTCCTTTTGAATAAGAGTGACTATTGCATCATCTAGTGCCTGTCCCTTGGTGCTTTAAATTCACAAGTTTCTGGATCAAGAGGATCTGCTGCACTCAAGAGACTTTTTCTGTATCCAGACCAGATGAAGATCACAAGCTCCAGGATTCTGAGCCTTATGCTATAACTGAGTGAGATCTTTGAAGATCTTGGGAGGGGTAAATTTATTTTGTATCTGGGAAGACTACTAGTAATTGTAGTCAAATGGAAAACTGTGGTAGGTTAAATATGGCCACAGAGCTTTGCAGCTAGCTCCTCCCCTCAGAAGGTTGAATCTATTCCGACCTTTGGGTTTGGGCTGGGTTTGTGACTCAATTTGCCCAGTGGAATGTAGAAGAAGCAAAACTATCTGTGTCCAAGGTCTAGTCCTCAAAGGGGCCTTGCAGCTTCCTCCATCATCCCCTTTGAGCCTGTTATAACCTCACTGTAAGAAAGCTGGTCTATTTGGAGACTAGAATCCACATGAAGGAGCATCAGGGTGTCCTCCCTAAAAGCACCAACTGGACTCAGCAAAAACAGCTGAATTCCACTGCAAACAACTCTTTGACTTAAACAAGATTATTCTGAGAAATCACAAAACAAAAGCCCTTTTTAAAATCAGGGCTTCCTGAGAGTCCAGGGGAATTGGAATTGTGTGATTCCAGTGGCAACTGGCAGATAGGTTGAGGAAGGCCATCTTGGACCTTGCAGCCTTGCTGACTCTCCAGCTGGATGCAGTCCCATGAGTGGGGCCCAAACAAAACTGTCAGAGGATCAACCTAGACAACTCCAGGAATTATGGGATATGATAAACTGTTGTTGTTTTAGGCTGCTAAGTATAGAGGTAATTTGTTACACATAAATAGTTAAGTAGTTTACTCTCACTACCACTAGAACGGTCAGACTTACCTGGGCAGGCAACAATGGAATTTAGAACAATCCTGTGGTCCTAGAGGCCCCCAAGCCAGAAAGCAGCACCTGCCCGACGCCTGCTCTTTCTCTTTTAGTTATGTTACAGAAGTAGTTTACAAATGTCTGGTGATCCTTTTATTCCCCAGAGGCAATTGGACTCAGCAAAAACAGCTGAATTCCACTGCAAACAACTCTTTGACTTAAACAAGATTATTCTAAGAAATCACAAACCAAAAGCCCTTTTTAAAATCAGGGCTTCCTGAGAGTCCAGGGGAATTGGAATTGTGTGATTCCACTGTATGACGCTCAGTACAGTGGCTGTAGCGCCATAAGGTCACCTGCCCAGGTTGCTTTGGAGGAAAACTGCTTTTGATTTCACCAGCAGGTGAGCAGACTGGATCACTTTGGTGACTTGAATGTCTTGGGATGCTATCAGGCCATCCTTCTGCTGTTAAGAAGTGCTGCCTGGACAGCACAGTTATCACAAAAAGAAATCCTTATCCATTTTTTCCCTGGGATTAAGCCTGCTCTCTTAATCAGTATGCAGAGTGAAAACCCACTGGGACATGAGGGACAGCTCTGTCACCCTGCTGTACTGCCTGGTAAAATTCCACTAGCTTGTCAAGATCCAGCAACAGCATTGCTTCCTCTGGGCAAACATCACTTGCTTTCATTCCACTCCCCCATGTGGTAGAACAATAATGCCAGGGACTGCTATCTTTAACACTGTTGTACATCATGAGTACACTGCCTTAGGGTTGTCTGTGCCTCCATCCCACTGACTCAGGCTCACTTTAAGAGGAAGGATTTTGCTGTAACTGTCTTGATACATCCAGTGTGCACCTGACACATGGAAGACATTGGGTAAATAGCTGCTGAATTAATTCATTCAGCAACTATTTATCAAATTCCTACTTTGTGCCAGGTACTTGCTCTGGTGTCACCGCAGGAAACAAAACACACAAATTCTTGCCTTCAGAGATCCTAATTTCCACTCAAAGGAGTCAAAGGATACACAGAAAATAATAAATAAATTGTAGGGTATATTATAGGTTATATGAGAAGATAACAAATATTATACAGAATAATAAAGCAGGAAAAGAGAAAGAGGAACAGCAGTTTTAATAGAAGCTTGCATTTGAGCAAAGACTTGTAGGCATAGAGGAATTTAGCCAAGTGGATCTGGGGAAAAAGTGTCCTAGGCTCAAGACACAGTCAGTGCAAAGGTCCTGGGGTAGGGGTATGCCTGATTTATTTGAAGAACAGCAAAGAGGCCACAGTGGCTGTAGCCATGTGAACAGGGAGCACCTGTTACAAGATAAAAATAGAACTGGTAATGGTGTCGGGTGCTGTTTGTGTAGGAATTTGTAGGACAGAGTAAGAATTTTAGCAGAGGAGTGACACAACCTAATATAGGCTTTAAAAGGACCCATTAGACTATTCAATTCAGTAAAAATAAAAAGAACTCGTAGGAAGGTTTGAGTGGAAGCAGTTAGGAGGCAACAATGACAACCCAGGTGAGAGAAGATGGTGGCTTGCACCAGGGGAAGCAATGGGGGTGGTGAAAAGTAGTCAGGCTCTGGATATATTCTGAATAGTCTTTTCTAACAGATTAGGTGTGTTGTGAGAAAGAAGGAGAAGTTGTGAAGAGTCAAGGGTAACTCCAAGATTTTTGGCCTGAGGAACAGAGAGAGGACTTACTATTGGTCAAGGTGAAAAGAACAGAGGTGGATCTGGTTTTGGAAGAGATCACAAGGCCATGTTTGGAAACGCTGAGTTTGATATTTCTACTAGCAAGACATTGAGGAGATGGTGGGATATTTGAGTCTGAAATCCATGGAGAATGTGTGGGCTAGAGGCATAAATTTGAAGGAACTAATAAACTTGAGCACATTACTCTCTTGATTTTATCTCCTCAACAGTAAATTGAGGTGGCGGGAGAGGATATTAGGCAAGATATTCGAATAAATGATTATCTGCAATTCTTTCCTGTGCTAACATCAGGCATTTATCTGAAAGACAATTCAGCATCCCACATTGCTCACCTCTGGCATTCTGCCTTTGCTGGCCTCTCCGCTTGTAATTCCATTTTTCAGGCTTCTGTGAGACATCACTCAAATGAGAGCCCAGATGTGACAGCAGAGCCAGCTGGTGGCAATGGATGGTGACACAGCTCTTAGATACACTGGGCTACTGGCTGTAAAGAGGGCAAAGCAGGCAAAGGAAGATACAACTGCTTTATCACGAAACGGCAGACCCAGAGATAGCAACGGCTGCAGAGGGCAGGCATGAGGCTGCCCTCTTTGCAAAAGAAGCCAGTGCTGTCCACCAGGCAGTGCCACAAATGGCATTGTTCTTTCCAACACTGAGCAGGAGGCTCTTTGCAGGATTACTTTAGAAGCAGGATAAATATATGCCTTGCTTTGCCCAGGACAGTCTGAATTGGCATCATTTATTCCAGTGTAATTGTTAACAGCAGCTTCTTTCACTTTCAAAATTATCCCAGTTCGAATGATAAATTACATGATCGCTCATCTTATAAGCTTGCCTCTTCACATCTTTTTCCCAGAAAAGCCCTAGCGTGGTCTTTCCCTCACGACCCAGAACTTTCTGACTTTTGATCAGTTATGAATTGACTCAATGTCCATGGGCCAACCCTGGAAACATAGCAAAAGCTCCAAATTTTCTTCTTGCTGCTTCCAATTCCCAACCCACTGAAAAGCGAGGGACCCAGGCTTTGCTTCAATGGAGCGAGGATCCATTGAAGGACCCAGACAATGATTTCTGCATGTGACTCTACTTAAGAATCATTGGGGCCACTGTCGCTTTCTTGGCTCCTGAACTTACCTTTTCTGCATCTAAGCCTCACAAGAACCTTGTAGCCAATAGTGTAAAATGGCTCGGGTCACCTACACAGCAGGGATTTGACCACACTGCCTGGTTCTACATTCATTCATATCATTGCTTATTAATAAGCTCTCTTTGGCTGGGCATGGTGGCTCATGCCTGTAATCCCAGCACTTTGGGAAGCAGAAGCAGGTGGATCACCTGAGGTCAGGAGTTCGAGACCAGCTTGGCCAACATGGTGAGCCCCATCTCTACTAAAAATACAAAAATTAGCCAGGCGTGATGGTAGGCACCTGTAATCCCAGCTACTCAGGAGGCTGAGGCAGGAGAATCGCTTGAACTTGGGAGGCGGAGGTTGCAGTGAGTCGAGATCACACCACTGCACTCCAGCCTCAGCAATAGAGGGAGATTTCATCTCAAAAAAAAAAAAAAAAAAAAAAAAAAAGAGAGAAAGAAAATGAAAAAACCTCTCGTTCCATTCATGCAACAAATACCAGACGCTCCCTATGTGTAGATGCCCTCAGGTCCAGCACAAAACAGAGACATCACCATGACTTGATGTAGAAAGTAAGAAGACAAAAAAAAAAAAAAAGGAGGTCCAGCTGATCAGAAAGCCATCTGATGATAAAAGTCCTCCTGACCTTCACACCAACATTTTGTGCATTGATTATTCACTCCATAAACATTTGTCCAGCGTCATTAATCGAGTGCAGGCCACTTGACATCATTTATTGTATTTAATCCTCACGGCCACACTCTGAGGTCGATATTATGATGTCAGCTTGGTAGATGGAAGCCCAAGGCTCAAAGAAGTTAGATGACTTGCTGAAGGTCACAAGGTTGCAGCACAAGAATAGGAACCAAGGTCTGTATGTGTGCTTTTTCCAGATGCCATCTCCACACAAGGCACTGCCGAAACTCTCTTACCCAACTCTGCTAAATGTGAGAGTTCTTGGAACACACAGCTGAGACCTCGGGGAAGGACCCACACCCATGTGCTTTCTGGCTGAAGGTAGAATTAGGACTAGGGTGAGGGGGGTGAGGCACTAGTCTCAGGGGCAAGATTTAAGGGGCACAAAAACCTCGATAATAATGATAATTAATATTTTAAAGCAACATTTTTAAAAATAATGAATTGCAAATTTGTAACCTTTGACCAACAGCTCCCCATTTCCCACAACCCCAACAAACTTGCAGTTATAAGATGAATAAGTTCTGGAGGCCTAATATACAGCAAGGTGACTATAATTAGTGATAATAGATTGTGTACTTAAAACTTGCTAAGAGAGTAGATCTTAAATATTCTCACCACAAAAATAAAAAAACAGTAACTGTGAGGTGGAGGATATGTTAAATGTCCTTGAGAATGGTAATCATTTCACTGTATATATGTATATCAAAATATCACATTATACACCTTGAATATATATCATTTTAATTTGTCAATTATACCTCAATAAAGCTAGAAATAAAATTTTAAAAATTGGAAAACTACAGCCCTTGGCCCAGCTGCCTGTGTTTGTAAATAAGGCTTTATTACATTTCACATGCCAAGGCAAGTCACCTCCACTGGCCCCAGGTACTTGGTTTCACTTGCAGAATAAAGGCTTTCTGTGCCGTTTTCACTTGGAGGGCAGGGCGCTTGTCTGTAAATAAAGGCCACGTGCAAATAAAGGTCCTGGACAATCACAAAGAGTGACACGAGGAGGCAGACTGCTCTCCAATTCCTCCCCAGGGCTAGAGTAACCCTGAGGCGATTTTTAGACGTGAACAGGAGACAGGCAGCCAGGGTGCAGATAACCGGAGAAGAGGAACCCAGAGGTAGGAGGACAGCGCAAGGTGGCTCAAGTCCCGATCCCAGAGAGATGAGTTCAGCCATTGGTATGAACATGGAGGGATGCAGTGCCATTTCTTCACTCAGAAATATGATGTGTGCTGTCACTATTTTTAACGCAAATACCCTCAGCGACCTGGGCTCCACCATCCACACGCGGTGACTCCAGCTCTGGTGCAAAGCAATTATTAATGGGAAAAGAGAGTGCTGGGGCCCCCAATAGCCATTTTTAACTGTGGACATTATTGCTCAATTTTGAGCTGCACCCGGGGACTCATAAGAGGAAGACATAATGCTTGTTTGTGGAACTTTTATAGCTAATTGACATTTTTTCAGTGCTCCCCCGACAGCTGTAGTTACTCCTGATTGGAAGGGCCTTGAAAAGCATCAAGTTGTGCACCGTCTCCAGATGGGCCCATATTTCTGATGTACAAATGAAAAAAAAAAGAGTATAAATAAAAAGCCGTCAAAATAAACACACTCAAAAGTGATAAAGAGGAGCTGCAGTGATTGGCAAAAGGATTTCTCTTTGTGCAAAAATAATGAGTGCTATTTTCATACTAATTGAGGAGGTTTTACTATCTGGAGCTGTCAGACCTCCTCCTTTCTCAGAAACATTTTCCATCCTTCTACATCTGTTTTTGCTCTGCAGAGAAAGGGGAACAGGGAAGCAAATTTCCCCTTCCCCCGCCAATGTGCTTCAAACACCTGGCCTCAAGTGATCCTCCTGACTCGGCTTCCCAAAGTGCTGGGATTATAGGTGTGAGCCACCATGCTCAGCCTGAAGTTTTCTTTCATTCAGGTCAGTTCAGCAACTCTGAGACAAAATGGGCTCATTTCTCTCCATGGTTTCAGCACAAGTCCCGGAACAGGCTGTTACTGGCCCAGCTGAGGTCACGTGCCATCCCTGAACCAATTACTGTGGCTGGGGTGATGTGGCAAGCCTGGGTCAGGTAGGAGGCTGGCAAGGCGTGGTCTCAGCCCTACTGCATCATGAGCGGAGAGGTAGGGTGGTGCACCTACTCAAAGGAAAATCTGGAAGCTGCTTGTTACAAGAAGAAAGGGCAAAGGATGCTGGGCTGGGAAAAACAACTGACGTACATTGCAACATAAACTCTCATAAGAAGAGCACACAATTTTCTAGAATGCTTCAATGCCTGAGAGTTTTAGTGCTCTAGTTCCCTAGCAAACAGACTCTGAGACGAATTAGGTGCAGGTGGATTGTTGCAGATGGCTCTTGGGACAGCATCAGGGAGAGGCAGGGAAGCTGGATTGGGCAGAGGAAGGAGTAGGGCTGCCATGCAGTTACAACAGCAGACTCAACTCACCCCACAAGGAGCTCTAGAGCTCAGACAGCTCTTGCGGGTTACCCTGAACTGAACCAAGGGGCCAGCCCTTGGTACCTTCTGCAGTGATCAGTCATTGGATGCGGTCTGCCCATTGGTAAGCGTCCTAACCTTTAGTTAGGAGGCTCTCTTCAGCCGAGGGCAATTCTTGGGAGAGGGACTCAACTGAGGACCATCACTAGACAGCATTCCTAGCACTTAGGGAAAGGAGTGCCTCGTCCTGAAGGGGAGATCTGGGAGGAGCTCCTGAATGAAGAGGGTCCTAGTAGGGGGCAGTGTAGTGAGGGAGTCAAAGTAACATTCCCAAATGTGAGGCTTCAAACTCTATTTACCTGGTACCAGCAGCCAGTGCAGCCTGAACACTCTGACCTCGGGAGAGGAACTATGAGCTAGTTCCATGCCAGCTCCTGAATCTCTCACATGGGATTCTAAGAGTATCGGAGGGTGAGAATAAAGAGTCTCTGGAATTAATACTCTGTTGTTTTTTAAAAGCCTGGGGAACTTAAATGCTGGTTGTTGGGGTTTCGGTTCAAGAAAATTCTATTCAGATTTGGGTTACAGAAACTACATTAATAGCCAAGAAAAGAGGGACATGGACCTCACACTAAATCAGTTCAAGGACAGGAAAAAAAGCAGTTGTTTAAATGGGAACACTCAGGGGCCAACAAGAGTGTGTTTCTTAAAGTGTGTCAGGGGAAAATCAATTCCCAAAAAGTGGTAGGAAATTAAGAGAAAGTCTTTTAAAAAACTGTAATCAGAGAATTAGTCTAAGGCTTCTTATTAAAGAAGTCTTCTTTTTAAAGGAGAATCACACAGAAATCCAGAAAATTTGGTACAAAGAAGGTGGGGGATTCTGAAACAAAGAACAATGAGATAAATATAGTAGGACATGACCAGTTCTGCACAAACAGCTTTTCAGAGGGAGAGATGTGAGGAACAAAGTCTTCTCACTTTTCTTCCACTGCTGATCTTTTCTTGCAGGAGTTATGAACCTAACGCTTGTAACTGTGCTCAAGCTGTCCACAGATGCCTGAAATGGAATACAAATTGTATTTGCACAAATACATTCTTCTGAAGGGAGCATCTGTAAATTTCAGCTGATCCTTAAAAGCAACTATGATTCCATGAATGTTTAAGAACCAAATTCCAGTCCAAATACTGACTGTAGAGGACAAACAATTTTAATGAGAAGGAGAAAAGAGTTAAAAATACTTTTATTTCCTTTTTGAGTAGATTTCTCATTTTCATGTTTCAAAATTTAAAATACATAGCGTGTCCAGTGAATAGTTTCTCTCCCTTCCCTGCCCACTTCTCCCTGGTTTTCCTCCACATAGCAAATAATATTATCAGTTTTTGTGTAGCTTCCATAATGCATTCTCTACATATTTGCATGTTATATATACACATACATATATGGGCAAGCATGTTATATATATGCACACACATATATGGGCAAATATATACATACAAATATATACATACATCCATATATTTGCCCATATATGATGTGCATATGATGTTACATTTATGTATGCATGCATGTGTATGTGTGTGTGTATATATATATAGTTTTGTTTTGTTTTGTTTTGTTTTGAGACAGAGTCTCACTCTGTTGCCCAGGCTGGAGTGTGGTGGCGTGATCTCGGCTCATTGCAACCTCTGCCTCCCAAGTTGAAGTTATTCTCATGCCTCAGCCTCCCTAGTAGCTGGGATTGCAGGCACGTGCCACTATGCCCAGCCAATTTTTGTATTGTTAGCAGAGACGGGGTTTCACCATGTTGGTCAGGCTGGTCTCAAATTCCAGACCTCAGGTGATCCACCTGCCTTGGCCTCCCAAAATGCTGGGATTACAGGCATGAGCCACTGAGCCTGGCCTATATGTTTTTACCCAAAGAGCAGTGTACCATAGAACACTATCTCTGCTTTCTTTCTTTTACTTAATATATCCCTACCTGGGCATTGATGGACAGGTGGCAGAATACACCACCCCAAAATATGTCACTTTGGCAAAGGATTATTTTCGAGCTAATGACACTTGAAAAAGAGCAAATGCAAGAAGGGCATTCTGATCTCCCCTTTTCTTTCTGGAAACACGAGATAAAAACTCCCATGTGAAAGATGCCCTCCCTGTACCATTAGAAAGGAAACATTCTACAGTAGTAAGTCATAGCCAAGAGAATTCTGTACAAACAGGCCTTGTTAAAAGACTTCTTATCTTCCTTGAGCTTCCCCACGTACTTTACTTTTCCACAATTATCTCTCTTTGTTCAACCTAATATAAAAGCATTTAGGTTTTGCCACTTCCTTGGGTCTTCATTTTCTTATGAAGGCTCCCGTGTCACGTAAAATTTATATGCAATTGTATACTTTCCTTCTGTCAGTGTCTTATGTCAATTTAATTCTCAGACCCAGCTTAAAACTCTACAAGAGAAGAGGTAAAATTTTGCTTTCCCTGCAACTTAAAGATCTTCCTTATTATTTAAAAAGGCTCTTAGTATTCTATTGATGGATATACCATAATTTATTGAACCAGTTCCTCAATGATAAACATCTTGGTTATATAAAAATATTTCACTGCAATAAATAAGCTTGATCATGCATAAATTTGTGTAAAAATATCTGTAAGATAAATTCCTTTAAACAGAATCTCTGGGTAAAATGGTAAATACATTTGTAATTTTGATAGGTATTGCCAAATGACTCTTCATCGAGCTTGTACTAATTTAAATTCCCTACAGCAATATATAAGGGTGCCTATTACCTCATACTTTTGTCAACAGTGTATTAATAAACTTTTTATCTCTAGGATAACAAGTGATAAAAGTATCTCAATAAAGTTTTACTCATATTTCTTTCATTTTTAGAAAATAGCATCTTTTTATATAAGTATTACCCGTATTTACTTTTCTGTGAGCCACATCTTTGCATACTGTTTCCATTTTTCTATTTATTTGTAGGGGACTTTTATATATTAAGTTAATCTTTTTTTATTTGAGATGGTCATCAGAATGGGCGTTAAATAGCTTTCAAAATGTATAGAAAGAAAAAGAAGCCCAACTATAAATATGTTCTAAAAGGAATAGAAATGTGCAAAAAAAAAAAAAAAAAAAAAAAGGCAGAAAGAATTAGAAGGGATTAGGATAAGTGGGCTAAAAAGGAAGAAAGACAAAGTATTCCTGAGAGTTAAACATTGAAACCTGGAAGAGAGATATAATGATATCCTACAGAATAGGAAACAAGAGTATATATAAGTTAAGATAGGCTAAACAGCTGTAACAAATATATCCAAAAATGCAACAAAGCAAATATAGTAGCAATTTATATCTTGCCCAGTAACTGTCTGGGGCAGGTGACTCTCTCAATGTGGAGATTTAAGGACACACATCCATCCCCTAGGGTCTTTGTTGTGTTTTGTATCCACTTGCGGAAAGAAAAGAAAGTATGGAGCAGGTACGCCCACTTCTTAAAAGCATTGGCCTTCAAATGTTTTGCTTCACCTACACTTCTATTCCATTGGAAAGAAGTAGTCACTATTCTACACTTCACTGTGTGGGGAGCTGGGATAGAAAGAGCCTGGCTGGGCAGCCACTTGCAAGTGACTACTCTTTCTGTGGAAGTGGGGAACAATTTTCATGGACAGCTAGCCATCTCCAACACAACTGGCAAGAGACATAGAGAAATAGATTAGGTACTGAAGACTCAGAGAAATGAGACATATATAGTAAGCAGAAGCCCTTACCTGGCTTCACAGCCCAATATCTGAATGGTCAGATGCTTGTGGCCCACCCTGCTACTGGGAGCACCAGCAGAGCTGTCTGCTGTGTTCCCTATTTTCTCCTCAGTGTCTAGAACACTGGACCATAGCAGGTACTCAATAAATTACCTGTTGAATAAAGTTTTACACCAAGAGGAACCAAAGCTGAGGCTGAGGATGGCAAAGTGCACTGCCCTGCCCAAGACTTGCCCTGGCATTGAGGGTCACAAGGCTACTCATGGACTCAGGCCCCACCTTGCTATTCCAAGTCCCTCTTTAGTCTTGGCCTGGGATTTTCTTGTTTGACTTGGAGACTTTCTCAGCATTTGAGCTCAGTCTCCATATTTCCACAGAAGTTCAAATTGTTTGTTATCAGTCCTCAAACTCCTAAAGACATCTCTCTAAAAGTCTTGGATTTTAGTATGAGTAAATAATAATTTTGATTTTGTTTATTACTTTCCATTCCTCCAGTGACTCCTCCCAATTTCCTGTTTGTTATCCTACCCCTAATCCTTAAAGAAAAATGTAAGGCTCAAACAGACATGAAATTGGAGAATTGTCATTCCTATCCCTTCCCCCAAATACTTTGGTCCCATTCAATAGCATCATAAACTAGGGTGAGTTTATCAGCAGCAATCAGGCTAAATCCAGTCCATTCATAACTACTTCAGCTTCATGACCTACAATTGTAAACTCAGATTCATAATATGTGTAACAACTCCCCTAGGTGTTGTCACAGTCCTGGACATGACAGTGTATACCAATGCCAAGGACACCAATGGAGGGTGCCTCTGTCTCATCAGATTTACCTCTGAATTTTTAATTTTTTAATTTAAAATGATATGGTTTTACACAGAGGAAGTCATCAAGGCTGTATGGAGCAACGCAAACCAAGCCAAGACATAGCTCGTTATAGCAGAATCAACATAGGGATAATGATGCCAAGGTTTCTGCAGGAGTAGGAATGAACAGAGACATACTCTTGGCTTCTGCCTTAGCTCACTGTCATCTGGATTTGGGGCACATAAAGCTCAGGGACCACTAAGCATCAGTGCTGACCAGGTGAATGCAGTGGGGAAAGGCCACCGGAAAGTGGAAGAGAGCAGCAGACATTTCAAAGCATGCCCTGTGTCCAGAAGAGTGTTGGGTTTCTGGTGTGTTATTACTGTATTTGACCACCAATACAAACCTGGGAGGCCTCTCTGCATTTCACAGGAGAGGCAGCTCTACAAAATATGGATGCAAAACAGGTCCACAATCCTTTCTTAACATCCCTTCAAGCCATAGGACTTTAAATTGAGTTTCAGATTTGGAAAATGTAATGTGATCCAGTGACCCTAGATTATGTGATACCTCATCAGGGCCTGAGTGAAACTCCACTGTCATCTAAAAGGACTATTTCTGCAGCAAAACATAGGAATATGCTCAATGAGAGGGATACATGGAGATTATTTAAAAACCTTACATCACTCCTGGTCAGGTTTTTCTTCCTAATGAGATTGTATCAAACTTGGGGAAAAAATTCTGATTTCCAAGCATTCTTGGGCTTGGAATTATGAATTAAAATTATAGACCTTATTTTTTCCTCTTCCTATGTCATCTCCTACCAGCCTTCCTTATTTCATTACTTTCTCCCTCTCTTCCTCCCCTCCATCCTGCAATCTTTCCCCTTTTAATTACTAGAGTATATTCTGTGAGATTATAATAGATTTTATGTCTACCAACAATCACTTCCCCATCCTTCCCCATCTCAAACAAAGAAATCGAAAACAAAAAAAGATTCCATGACCAAATGATTTGAAAAAATTAGGGGATAAAAGTATATCTCTACTGCAATAAGTATACAAAACTTCAGTATTATGAAATATTTTGTTAATTTCAAAAAAAAAAAGAGAGGGACGATATATTTTTGACCAGGGACAGCCATGGTGGACTTTTGAAGATGGTGCCCCTTTCTTCAATGACCCATGGAGTAAGTTTCCCTGTGTACTAGGGATAATCCCTTTTCCATGTTCAGAACTCCAGGCTTAATTGCATGTATTAGTTTTGGAGAATTTAGCTGAGACCTCTTAGGATTCCTTTTGCATTGCTGAAAACTGATACTTAGGTTTGTCCAGAAAGATCCCATATTTTAGGAAACTTTTACTGCTAACATTATAAATTTCTTTAAAATGTGTGATAAAGTAGGAGTTCTTCATTAAGGTAAAAACTGAATTTTTCCACTTTTTTTTTTTTTTACATTTTATGCATTGCAAATGACTCAGTCATTTACAAAAATGGTATGTGGCATTTCCAAAAGAGATTTATCACCAGATTTTGGGGAGACAAGATGTTCTAATAAGGATCTCAGTCGGAAATACAGAAAATACAGATTCATCCAGGGCTTTGAAATAATATGTTTAAATCAACAATACTGAGGCTTTCTGTCAATTGTAAGGTCCTCATTTTTGGGATGGCAGCATTACATGTGAGAAACATAAACACAGACACACACACACACAGTCTAGGAAAACTTTTCATGAACATAAGTAAATCATCAAGAAGTGTGAAAAACAATGTGTTCTTGGCTTCCTTTTTAAATACAAAAATGGCTATAGAAATAAATATTGAACCCTCCATAGAAAGAAATTCCAAAAATATAATTTTCACCATGACCTAAATGGTGGCTCAGGATTCCCAGATGGCAAAAGTGGAAACCGTCAGATCTCTTAAGGCCTCCCTTCAGAACTTGCACACTTCACTTCTGCTGCATTTTATCAGTCAAAGAAAGTCTCCAAGGAAGCTGAAATGTCTGATGGGAGAATGGAAAATCACACGGCTTCAGGGCATGTAGGAGGAGAGGAATTGTTCTGGACATATTTGCAAACAATCTACTGATAAGTCGAGCTTATGAAAATTATAAAGGCTTTTGACAAATATAGTCCCTTAGAGAAAGGGCACCAGTGACATTCCTACAGGAGTGAGTCTATCTGTTCCATGCATTCTCTAGTGGTGTACCAGAAATATCTTTAAACTTTCATCAGTTCAAGGCATTGCAACTGATAGCCCAGAAGTAACTTCATTTTAATTTTTACTTCCTGGTAAAGTTGAACATATATTGGCCTGTCCATTGGCCACTGAAATTTCTTTTCTTGTTAACTGTATGTTCATATCCTTTGTCTTTGTAAAAATTAAGGAATTTAAAAAAGTAATTTAGAAACGGATTGTGTGTCCTCTTCATTAATTTGAAAGAGCTCTTTACACATAAGGTAATTCTTTATCACATATGTTGCAAACTTTTTCCAGCTTGCACTTTACATTGTTTCTGAAGTAAACACCATCTGCATCCTTTCCTGTCAACATCCCTACCTCATTCAGGCCCAGCTAATCTAGATTTTCCTATGCACTCAGTCCCGCAGGCACATCCTTAGTGCAGGTTCCTGGATGGATCAGTCACTCTGTGGTGTATCTAAAATGCTCGCTTATCCTGTATAATCCACCAATCCTTCTGTGGAGTACATATTCAAAAGAAAGGAAATCGGTGTATCAAACAGTTATCTGCACTCCCATCTTTACTGCAGGACTATTCACAATAGCCAAAATGTGGAATCAACCTGAGTCCATCAACGAATGAACGGATAAAGAAAATATGGTATAAACGTAGCGGAATATTTTCCAGCCATAAAATGAATGAAATCCTGTCATTTGCAACAACCTGGATGGAATTGGAGGCCATTATGTTAAGTGAAATAAGCCAAGCCCAGAAAGACAAATATTGCACGTTCTCACTCACGTGTGGGAGCTAAAAAAGTGGATCTCACAAAGGCAGAGAATAGTTTGGTGGTTACCAGAGGTTGGGAAGGGAATGGGTGAGGTGGGAAAGGGAATGAAGGGGGAAAAAGAATATACATGCATTTATTACCCCTGAACTGCGCACTTTAAATTGGTAAACATGGTAAATTATATATACACTGGTCTGTATATTTTACCTCAACAAAATAAAATAAAATGCTAGTTCAGGAAGCTCACTCAGGGGATTGGACTGGGGGACTTGGCTCACCATGGGCTGCGTTGCTGGAATTCAGTGTTCTCACCAATCATGTTGGATACTTTTATAGCTTAGACTGGATCTGGGAGAAGGAGTAGCAGGCAGGCTTAGGGTGTCTCAGCAGGATTAACACAGCAATCTGGATTCTTCATGATCCAGTGGGGAACCGAGTTGAGCTGGTTGTCAAGGCCCTGGGATGATGCTGTTCCTGTTTTCATTCATGCTTGAGCTGTACCTGGAGACCATCGGCTTCCCCCTCCCAGGCTCAGAGCCTGCCTAGCACCTCAGAGGAGCCTTGTTCACTGGCCTACAGAGAAGTCATACCTCTTAGAACCTTTTTAGGCTTGGAGTGGATCGAGCAGTGGCTTGAGGAGTCTGGAAGCTCTGAATTACAAATTAGGCCTCTGTGATGCGTTTTTGATGGTGAGGCTACAGTACTCAGTTAGTATCAAATGCTAACCTTTGTGGATTAGTGTTCTCCAGATTGACAGAACCAATAAGAGACAGACAGACAGGTGGATAGACAGATAAAGATATGTGAGGGGGAGATTCATTAGGTGAGTTGGCTCCCACAATTATGGAAACCAAGCAATCCCACAACAGGGCCATCTGCAAGCTGAAGACCCTGGGATGCGGGTAAAATGGCTCAGTCCAAGTCCAAAAGCCTCAGAACCAGGGAAGCCAATGGTGGAACCCTCAGTTGGAGGCCAAAGGCCTGAGAACCTGGGGGCCACTGGTGCAAATCCTGAGGTGCCAAGACCAGAGAGCCTGGAGTTCTGATGTCCAAGGGCAGGAGAGGAGAGTGTCCCAGTTGCAGGAGAGGGAGAAACTCCTTTTCTCTCCTTTTTTTTGTTCTTTTTGGGTCCCCAGATGATTGGATGGTGCCCACCCACACCGAAGGCCCATCTCCCCAACTCAGTCCACTGACACCCATGCAACTGCTCTGGAAACCCTCACAGACACAGTGCTTTACCCGTTCTCTAGGTGTTCTTTAACCCAGTCAAGTTGACACTTCAATTTAAGCATTACACTCAGTGTTGCTGTGAAGGCATCTTTCTGATGTAATTAAAACTTACTTGAGTCATCAGTTGATGCTACGGGAAATCGTCCTGGAAATTTAGGTGGGCCTGGTTAAAGCCATTGGAAGGCCTTAAAAGGAAGACTGGTGTGTGTGTGTGTGTGTGTGTGTGTGTGTGTGTGTGTGTGTGTGTGTGAGAGAGAGAGAGAGAGAGAGAATTCTACCTATGGATGACAGCTTTGGGGTCTATGCATGTGGAGTTCTATTCATGCCCCACACTCTTGCCTTCCTTAATGCTGCCTGATGGATACTGGATCTTATATGGATATCAAACTTGCTTAGCCAGCCCACAATTGCACAAGCCAATTCCTTGTAAATAATAAATTTTATATATATATATATTTATCCTCTGTGGGAGAAGGTCTTAGGTCTCTGAAACCTCAATTGGCCAGGATGCCTTTGTCAGTGGTGTTCTTGGGGACTCTGTGGGCCTGGATTTTGAAATCTGTCCCTGGGTGGGGCAGTGGAGGGAAAGAATAGAAAGGAGAGAGGGTCTGGGCCCAACCTAAGCCTGCAAGCCTTCTGATAGACTGAAGGAAGGAGGAAAGGGACAGGCTGACTCACCTCAGTCTTTATTTGATGGTGGATCATATAGGAGGCATCACCAAGTGTCAGGAGTTGAACTTGAGCAGTGGGAAGAACTGGCTCTAAGGCACTCCAGTGCTTATCTTCCCTCTCCCACATCTGTTTGGTTGTTTGCAAACCTAGGCCATCTCTCGTCCCCTACACCTCTGGCTCAGAATCCCCTCTCTGGGCCTCTGCCAAACCACATCCTCGTCTCCCTCCAAAATCCGATTTCATGCCCCAGTGTGCCATGACGGTCCCCCAGGTTGGGACCATCTGGCTGCAGTGTGCAGTTTCCAGACTTCCTAGAAACCCGCTGTCTCTCTTCTTCCATGTCCCACAGACGTGCACATGCATCCAGCACATCTGGAGTGTCTGGGAGCCTCCAGTTATAAATCTCCACTTTACCATTTGTTTGGGCCTTTCACTAGAGCAAGAAATAACAATGCATTTAGGAGCCGGGAAGCAACTCTCCACCTTTGGGGCTGGGGGTAACTCTTCTAGTCTGTTCAAGCTGAAGCAAGTCACCAACATCTTGACTTTCCCTTTTCTTTTACATATAGATTGGCCATAAATTTAGGCTAGCTTACAGTTTTAGAATGTGGTGAGCTATGAAATCACATTTGATGCCCGTCCCATGAAATCCTGTTGATTCTGCCTCTGCAGACACCCACCCTTTCTTTCCATCCCCAAGAAGCTGCCGAGCTGAGATTCCTGCCACCTTTGCCCCTTACTTTTCTCACCCCGTTCACTGAGGGCCCTCAAGTCTGTTTCTAAGCAGCAGCCTGAGGGATCCATTTTTATAATCTGAAATCAGATATCATACCCACACCCCAAAACACACACACTCCTTCCCCATCCCAAAGAGACACACCCCTTCCCCATCCCAAAGAGACACACCCCTTCCCCATCCCAAAGAGACACACCCCTTCCCCATCCCAAACACACACACCCCTTCCCCATCCCAAACACACACACCCCTTCCCCATCCCAAACACACACACCCCTTTCCCATCCCAAACACACACACCCATTGCCCATCCTAAACACACACACACCTTGCCTTCGCAAACACACACACCCCTTCCCCATCACAAACACACACACCCTTTCCCTATCCCATGCACACACACCTTCCACTTCCCAAACACACACACCCCTTCCCCATGCCAAACACACACAACCCTTCCCCAATTCTAAACACACACACCTCTTCCCCATCCCAAACACAAACACCCCTTCCCCATCCCAAACACACCCACCCTTTCCTGCATGCCAAACACCCACACCCCTTCCCCATCCCAAACACACACCCCATCCCCAATTCCAAACACACACACCCCTTCCCCATCCCAAACACACACACCCCTTCCACATGAGAAACACACACACCCCTTCTCATCCCAAACACAAACACACCCATTCCCCATCACAAACACACGCACCCCTTCCCCATCCCAAACACACACACCCCTTCCCCAATTGTAAACACACACACCCCTTCTCCAATTCCAAACACACACACCCCTTCCCATCACAAACACACACACACCTTCCACATCCCAAATACACACACCCCTTCCCATCTCAAACACACACATCCCTTCCCCAATTCCAAAAACACACACCCCTTCCCCATCCCAAACACCCCCACCCCTTCCCATCCCCAAACACACACCCCTTTCCCATCCCAAATACACAAACCCCTTCCCTAATTCCACACACACACACCCCTTCCCCATCCCAAACACACATACCCCTTCCCATCCCAAAGACACACACTCATTCTGCATCCCAAACACACACACCCCTTCCCATCCCAAACACACACACTACCTCCGCATCCCAAACACATATACCCCTTCCCCATCCCAAACACATACACCCCTTCCCCATCGCCAACACACACACCCCTTCCCCATCCCAAACACACACACCCCTTTCCATCCCAAACACACACCCATTCCCCATCCCAGACACACCCACCCGTTCCCCATCCCAGACACACACAACCCTTCCCCAATTCCAAACACACACCCCTTCCCATCCCAAACACACACACCCATTTCCCATCCCAGACACATCCACCCCTTCCACAACTCTGAACACCCACCCCTTCCCCATCCCAAACACACACACCCCTTCCCCATCCCAAACACACACACCCATTCCCCATCCCAAACACACACACCCATTCCCCATCCCAAACACAACCACCCCTTCCCCATCCCAAACACACACACCCCTTCCCCATCCCAAACACACACACACCTTCCCCATCCCAAACACACCCACCCTTACTCCATCTCAAACATGTACACCCCTTCCCCTATCCCAAAATACACACATCCATCCCTACACACCCTCACCCATTTCCCCATCCCAGAACCTATGCACCAACTCAGTTTATTTGAACATGCCAGGCACTGAACTAAGAGAACCAAAGTAGCAGGAGGAATACGGTGTTGTCCTCCCAGAACTTACCCCCTGCACGGGAGTCAGCCAGGGAAGCAGAAGGCTACCAGATAGTTGCTAAACGCCATGAGATATCCCACTGAGTCTGGAGTGAATCTAACTCCCTAGGCCCAGGCTTGCCTAACTTGGACCCAGCAGCCTCAGCTTCATCCCAGCCCTCCCTCAGCCTCACCATGTGGCCCCTGCTGGCCCTAATGCACCAGGTCACCTTCACTCCTCCTGCAGTCTCATCACGGGGCCCCTGCTGGTCCTAACACACCCAAGTCACCCTCACCCCTCCCTCAGCCTTACCACGTGTCCCCTGCTGGCCCCAGCGCACCAGGTCACCCCTCACCTCTCCCTCAGCCTCACCATGTGGCCCCTGCTGGCCCTAATGCACCAGGTCACCTTCACTCTCCTGCAGCCTCACCACGTGGTCCCTGATGGCCCCAGCATATCAGGTCACCCCTCACCTCTCCCGCAGCCTCGCCACGTGGTCCCTGCTGGCCCCAATGCACCAGGTCACCCCTCACCCCTCCCGCAGCCTCGCCACGTGGTCCCTGCTGGCCCCAATGCACCAGGTCACCCCTCACCTCTCCCGCAGCCTCGCCACGTGGTCCCTGCTGGCCCCAATGCACCAGGTCACCCCTCACCCCTCCCGCAGCCTCGCCACGTGGTCCCTGCTGGCCCCAATGCACCAGGTCACCCCTCACCCCTCCCGCAGCCTCGCCACGTGGTCCCTGCTGGCCCCAATGCACCAGGTCACCCCTCACCCCTCCCGCAGCCTCGCCACGTGGTCCCTGCTGGCCCCAATGCACCAGGTCACCCCTCACCCCTCCCGCAGCCTCGCCACGTGGTCCCTGCTGGCCCCAGCATATCAGGTCACCCCTCACCCCTCCCGCAGCCTCGCCACGTGGCCCCTGCTGGCCCTCTCGCACCCAGGTGGCCTTCACCTTCCACTCCTGCCTGGAGAGCCCCTCCTCTGTTACTTTCTGGCGAATTCCTCCTTGCATTCTCAGGTGAATTTCATGTTTTCGCCTATAGGAAGTCTTCCTAGAGGCTTGCAGGACTGAGACAAAAGCCTTTGAATCCCTCTTCCTATAAGAATCATGCTGACCTAATCTGGACCAATGCTCTTTTAGCCCTGAAATGGTGGAAACATTCTGGACACTCATGGGGAAGAGGCAGGGGAAGGAAGCAGGGAGAGGAAAGGAGGAGAGAAGGAGGAAGCAGGAGAGAGGGAAGAGAGTGTGGTGTTGGGTAAGTCACCACCCCTATCTACAACATTTACTGGGCACCTCCTGACGTTGGAACAGTCGCCAC
The DNA here is from genome assembly GCF_000001405.40 of Homo sapiens. NCBI lineage: Eukaryota > Metazoa > Chordata > Mammalia > Primates > Hominidae > Homo > Homo sapiens. The sequence continues at coordinate 16,260,713 of NC_000020.11, forward strand.
CATCTGTGTGCTAACCGGCTGTGGGAGGAGACAGCTTCTTGAACAAATTCGTGTCCCTATGCTAGTCAGGCCCTGGGTTCTAAGCTCACAACATGGATTTTGGTGGCTAAAGTTTTTTTTTTCCCCCACAGGACTATGTTAGCTGTCTTTAAAAGAAGAAAAAAGAAATAGGCACGGTGTGGAATACTCAGTAAGTAGACAAATTTTACCGAGTAAAATTACTGAGTAACTCACAGACAGTACAACTCACCCTTTCCAACATATGGTTCTGTGAGTTTTGGCAAACACATACAAAACGGTATCCTCACCCCAAAACATCCCCTCCTGCTGTGCCTCCTAGTCAACCCCCCACCCCCCGCTGCACCCCACACTGCTCCGCTGGCAACCACCGACCTGTCTTCTATCCTGTGGTTTTGCCTTTTCGAGTTTGTCATACGAATGGAATCTTATAGCAATTATAGGAAATAATCATCAGGAATTTATTGCTTGACCCAGTTCTCTAATGCTTTCTGTCCACTTTCTTTTGTTGCATTTTCTTTGATCATCTCTGCATCAGACAATGACATAACATCATCTTCTTTAGAGAAAATAGATGTTAGGATTTCCTTGACATCACAAATTCTTACTGGAAATGCCACAGCGTGTGGATGGTGCTTCCAGCCTAAGGGCAGGTCCTGGGGCAGGTCTTTGATCTCCCCCTGCCCCCACCACTCTGCAGCTGATGTGGGGATGGAAGCTTCCTGGGGGCCTCAGTGGCATCACCACCAGGGGTGGGGGGAATCCTCAAGCTGGGGCAGAACTCCCCAACCCCACCCTTCTGTGAACGGCCCGACTGCTGCTTTCTTTCCTGTCTTCACGGGAGCTCTCTGGGACCTTGGAAGGAGTCTATGCATGTGAGAGGCTTAAGCTTAAATGTCTTCATGTTAAACCTACTTCTGCCTTTGCCTTGCCCTTAGGATATCACAGAGGGGCTCAGGAAGCAGCAATGCCACCAAGCTTCCACAGATGCTTTGCAGTGTTCACAATGCTTCAACACTGCAGTGCAATGATGGCGTATCAGCCATTCTCAGTCCTTCCTGCTCACAGAGGAGGAAAAAGGGGGCACAACTCAAACACCTAGATTTGGAAGGAGAGACTTTTGCTAATAGGGTGGTGGAAAAGGAAGATGAATCTAAATGCTTGCACAGATTTTCTGGATTATCAGTGTTTTGCTATTCCCTCTTTACCAAGTAGGTGGTGGTTATAGAGATTGCTGAAAATATGTTTTACTCTATTCAGACTGCCCCTGCTGAAGAAATCCCACTGTTAGCTGAGTTCCCCTGAATTCATAGGTGTGGTTTTGCCTTGTCTCCACTGATAAGCCCTGTGACAGTGCACTTCTCAGATGGCAGGCAGAGACCATTACAGCTCCTGGCACCTTCACTGCAAACAAGATAAAGCTTTCTTTTTGATCAGATGTACTCACAACTACTGGTCATCCCTCACAACCATGAGTTGATCGTCTGTCATTGATACTAGGACATTTAATGAAAACAAATGAAGTTCTTTGAGCTTCCTGGACAGCATCCATTTCAAGAGGAAGACAAACACCAGCCCAGCCATTGTGGGCTGGATGGAGGGGTGAGACCTTAAAACAAGCAAATGCTCAATGTTCATTTCACTTCCTGAGGATTTTATTACAATATTTAGATACATTCGAGCCCTGGAGCTAGAAGCCTTTTCTATGCCATCAGAATTATTTCTTGTGATGTGGCCAGTTCTCTTCCCGAACGTTTCCTAAATAATTCCTCCACCTCCACCTCCTCTCCCACCCCTCTTATCTAACTTTTGGCATAGGTGAGCAGAAAAGCTCAAATGGGAAGTCAGCTCTTAGATTCATGGCTTGGCAAGCTGGCCTCACATCAGAACAGTAGTCATGCAGAAAAACCAGTCAGAGGATGGGAAAAACAAGACCAAACTATGCCTCCCATGTCTGCTTACGGGATATTAGTTATCTTCAGGAAATAGTTATTTACAAGTTCTGAAGCTCAAAACAGTCAGGAAAACAGCTGCTTCAGGTCTCTGAAGGTCAAAGTCACGGCCCAGTGCCAGGAATGTTATAGCTTATCTTGCCTTTCAGGATAAACACAGAGAACTAACTTACTTCTCAGGTGAGTAGCACTTCAGTTACTTGGGTAGAAGAGATGAACCTGCCCACCTTGAACGTTGAGGCCATGGGGAACAGAGACGATTCTAATACGGATTAGTAAAGGACTGTTGACAGCTGCAAGAAGAGCAAAGAAACCACTGTGTTTCATCAGCAGCATATAACTGCGTGTCCCAAAGCCCTGACCCATAGAGCTTACTCCCCAGTGGATGCTCTAGAAACATCCTCATCTTTTGCCCACAGGGCCTATCCACAACCTGGCTCTGCCTCACATGGCCATGGAACTAGAGCAAGTCCTCCCAGATCCATTTTTTTAGTTACCAAAGCAGCTTTCCTGGTCATGGAGGGAAGAATAGAGACGAAACTATCATCATAGTCCAGGAATGGGTGCCCTAGGATGCTTGGGCTCCTTTTCTAAAGCAGCTTTTGAACAATTCTTATCTCAGGAAACTAAACCCATGGTACAGTCTGGGTGAGGCAGAAGACGCAAGTGGGAGGAGGGACACTGCACCGTGCAGGCACCCATGGCCATGGCTGCTGCTTCAAGAGAAAAGTGTCCAGTCTCTTGGGCCACCTAATAAAGGTTTGGGACAAATTTTGCCCTTGCTGGGTAAGCTCCCAGAGGGCAGAGGCCATGCAGATGAACTCCCAGGCTTGGGCGTCCCTGGCCCAGCAACCAGCATAGGCAGTAGCTCGAGAATGCCCAGTGATGAACTGTGGTGTGGCTTGGAGTGTTACAGCTTCCAGATGGGTCTCCTGGAATCAACTGAGAGCTGATGAGGATTAGTCCCAGTTTCAACTGAAGCAAAAGCTCAGGGTGCCAATTAGTAAGCTCCTATCTCCCAGCTTTAAACCCATCCTTCTCTCCTCTGCTATGGGATGCTGGGGCTGGGAACTGCAAGCCTGATTCTTGCTTTGCCAGATGCTCCCTAGTAGGCTCTGCCAAGACAGGCACTCAAGGGAGAGCGCAGGGCTGGAGGAGGGAGAAAGGACCTGCTCCTTTGTATTTGTTGTCTGTTCCTGTGAGCAGCCTCCAGCAGCACTTCCTGCTTGCTTCCTTTTCCTCAGGAGATCACTTCCTGTTCTTGTCAGCATCACCTCACCCACACTTCGTCCCCCAGGCAGTGCAAGTGCCTGCCAGGAGCAGTAGCTGGGTCCAACTTGCAGCTCTCTCAACATTTGCCAACAAGCTTCATTGTGCCCTGACCCTCAGAGATGCCAGCACACCCCTTCAGGGGCCGTGGTCCCAGCCCCACAAGACCCCTCCTTCAGCTCAGAGACACCAGCACCAGCGGCTGATGTCCCCTCCTCCAGGGTGGCCTAGTTTCAGTGCTGTGGGGGCTTTTCCTCCATGTTTCTGCATATTAATAATTCCATGCTCCCCCAGCCCTAAGGGAGGCAGCTGCTTCCCAGTTATAACCTCCATGACAATTTGGAGTTCTTGTATTTTTTCCCCTTTTCAGTTAACTGTAATTATTTTAAATTCTCTTTAAGAAAACAACTGGTGTGACTTCTACCTCCTGCCTCACCCATGACTGATGTACTCAGTGTTTTTCTCTAATCCAGGCAGTGGCAGGGAGCCTGGAGTTAACAGAATGTTGAGACTCAGGTCCCAATTAGCTCTGTCACTTGGGTAAGTCAGAACCTCCTTCAGATGGTTTTACCTTTAGAGATCATTTTACATTAGATTTTGAATGGTGGCCATGGGCAGAGTGCAGCCTGTGTATGTGACAGCCTGTGTCCAGAGCCTAGGTGGACACTCTTATTATGCAACCTGAATTTCTTTCGGTGGAGCGCGTCTTCCCCATTTGCATCTATAATGTCTGTCTAGCCCCCGAATGGCCCCTGGATCCAGATTGTTTTCAAGGCTCCTTCTAGCTCTGACATTCTTTTGTTTCCAGCCAGGTGCAATGCTGTCCTGCTCATGACCTGTGCTTTTGCTGGGAGCTTGGAGAATGTCTCACAAGGCAGTATAAGTGATGTAATTGCTCCCAGTCACAGATAAATGCAAGAAATAACTGGTCCCCCGTCCCCTGTCTTGGTCACTCTGAGAAGTGCAGACTCCCGGGAGGTATAAAACAACATGCTAAAGTTGTGCTCTTTGGGGTCCTTAGGGGCTGTAGCCCATTCCTCATCTGCAGTGGTTATTGCCTTACCAGCAGATTTGCTGGAACAAATGGAGACTTTTCCCTTGACTCGAGCGTGCAACAAGAGGCTTGGCCACTGGTGGAAGAACGGTTGTAGTTTTCTGGGAAACTAATAGGGCTCCTGCCACCTCTAACCATCATCAGGATCCCTGCCTAGCTCATCAAGATTGCACCCCGTGTGTAAGGAAGTGGCATGTGGAGATGATGTGGCATCCTACTTGATGTCAAAAAGTAGCATCACGTGCAGCTGGAAAGCCCTACAGAGTCCAGCTCCTCCTTCCTCTTGCTTTTAACTTCAATAGATTTGTCCCTGGGCAAGAGCTACTCAGAGAGACTGCCTTTGAAGGATCTTCACTTCCACCAAAATAAACCCTTGCTTTAGTATACACTCTGAGAAAGAAGGCCTTTGAGGTGGAACAGCTGTGAGCATTGTCAGCATAAAGGAGAAGGTGTGTGGGCCTGGCTGTTTGGGAAACACAGAGGCTGCAGTGAAGCTAGGTACCCCTCTCCCTGCCTGAGCACGACCTGCCACCCGCATCCTGCTGCAACTTCTCCTCACCTGAGATACGTCCTCGCCCCTCAGGGCCTCTTGCTTGTGTGGGAAGCTGTCACTGGCTGCAACCACGGCCAGTGGCAATCTGTGCCCCATTGGTGAAGATGCCATTGGGAGGGACTAGGAGGACCTTTTCTGCTTGCACCAAACTGAGAAGTTAGTTCACTAAATGTTCTAGTGAATTAACACATGAAGCACAATTGTCCTTTTGACTAACAGCACTGAGTTCATACAAACTGGACCATGCTGAAATTTTTTGGAGGCCCTAGGTTAGGAGTATTGTTACTGAAATGCCAGGGTTTTGGTCTAGGTCCTGTTGCTTACTGCACAGAAAGCCAATCACTGAGATGAGTACTGCCAGGGAAGAAGGCTTTAATTGAATGCTTCAGCAGAGGAAATGGGAGATCAGTCTCAAATCCATTTTCCTGATTGACTAAAATTAGGGATTTATATAGCAGGGAAGAAATGTAGCCATGAAACAGAAATTAGGGAGAGGCAAGGAAGAGGGGTTGTTCAACAGGAAGCAGGTGATCACTTGGGTAGTCATGCTGGGTGAGGGGTCTACGTCTCATGGTCCAGATGTGGTGCTCTGGTGAAGTCCAGCTTCTTGATGCCATCTGGGAGGTCTGATGGTTGGTTTCCTGAGAAAGGAACTCAGATAAGACAAATGTAACTTTCTCAAGTTTTAACTCTGGGAGGATCATTTTCTGTTTATTCAAAGAAATCATAGACATCAGTTCTATGGGACCACTGGGCTGGTTTCAGTATCAGCCTATGAGCCATGTGCTCCATAGAAACTGACCTGCTTCACTGAACCACACACACTTAGTGTGGCTGAGCTTTGTGTTCTATTCCAGCAAAGGGGTTCTCTGTAAACGCAAGGCATGGATTGAGCAACCCATTTCTGATGGCCCCACACAGACACATCATATTAACATTAATTTATAGGCCGTCCTGTTGAATCTAAAAACAATCTTTTCATTTATGGACGGTACCGAGATGATTATGTTGAGGCCCGGAAGGTACACAGATTATCTGATGCCCAGGCATCCTGGGCTTGAGGACACAATGCTTCTGTGCAGTTGCTGGTCTAAGTCATAAACTGAGCCCCACAGCTAGCACGTAGCTTTGTGACAGCTGTGTCTGCATGGGGCTTTTGTCTTCTATTCACAAAGCAAGGATTAGGTAGGAGCCCAAAGACAGGGCGGGAACTTTACTTGGGCCTGCTGGTGCTGCAGTACGTAAGTTGGACACACCGCAGCTGGGCATCTGAGGGTCTGAGGAGATGGTCCTTCTCCATGGCAAGAGCCTCTGAAATCTCAGAGCTCCAAACGCACCAAAGGTCAAAGAAAAAGAGCAGAACAGCCAGCCCCTGCATGGCGCAGGACAGCACTCTCCGCTGCGATCTTGTCCTTCCGTTGTTAATATTTAATTCAGAAGCTTGTTTCTTTCTCCCTATTATGTGGGACTTTGAAGGCTGAGTCTCAGCTGTCATATGCCCTTATCTCTCCTCCCCCAGAGATATCCTGAAACAGTGGTAGCTAATGGGAAAACATGATTCCCTTTACAAAATTCTGGTCAGCAACCTTTCAGGCGCCTTTAATCTGGCCTGTACCTGCCTCTCCAATCCCACGCTGCCCTGTTGTTCTCTTCATATCATAGCCAGGATGGGTGATTTCTGCCATTCAAGGTCTTTTCTCAATCTGGGGTGATCTCTCTGGCACTCAATTCTCATCTCTTAGGTCTCAGCCCAAACTTTGCTTGCCAGGGAGACTCTGAGCCTCCCAGACTAGAGCATTTCCCTAGCACATGCTCCCCAGCATCCTTGACTTTTCCATCATGACATGTATCACAATTTGCAGTCATACAGTTGTGCAATTATTGGTCCATGTCTTGAGTGGAATGGGAGCTCCCAGAGGGAAGACCTGTGGCCATGATGCCCACGCTGCCTACCGCTGCGTGTCCGGCACTGGGCCCTGGGCCACGATATAGAAGACATTCGTGAATGTGTGTTCATTGACTGAATGGTGGATTGCGGGTCCCTGATGAGGAGCCAACTCTTCTCTAACAAGGAGTAAGAAGGACACAGCCAGCTTGCTCTGCACTCTCTGTGCCATGCTCCTTCTCAACTAGGTGGCCAGTGGAGCCACAAGAATGGCCAGAGTTCCTTCCCCTCTCCCACTGCAGGAGGAAGAGCTGGGGAGGCGGCCATGACATGAATCAACACAGGTGGCTTCAAGTAGGGCAAGTGTCCTCCATTCCTTATGAACTTTCTCAGGCCACCTTCAAATACCCTTGTCATCTCACTGTCTTTGTCCCTCCCAACTCCCAGCCCCCAGCCCCCAAGGGTTACAGAGTGAGAGAGGGGCCATGGGGATGGCAGGCAGGGAAGAATGGCACACGGCGTATGCTCACGAGATGAGGACCCAAGCTGGGGAGCAGGCTTGAGGTGTGCGGTAGAAGATCCTGGCTGGCACCGGTGTCTTCTGGGCAGAGCTGTACACACGGGCAAGTCTTCCGATGCCCAACTCGTCCAAGTTCTTCGGATAAGAAGTCTGAAAGAATACTCCAGTTCCCAAACCCTGAAGGGAATGCTGCACTCCTTGACCAGAAATCCTTTACTAAAAACAAACTACACATAGGTGCGCTGAGAGACTGTTGCTCTAGAAGGCACTGAAAACCCTTCATAAATGTAAACACGGCCTTTCCCATTCACTTGTAAGGGATAAGTAGCCAGTATTTTAATCACTCTGCAGCTGAAGGCTTGCACCCACTGTGGGTCAACTCTTCGTATTACAGTCATTGAAATCAAACTTCAAACACCACACCAAAAAGTCATTTGTGATGGCAGGCCACCCCACTCCTTTCTCATGGCTTCTAGCTTGTTTTTAGGAGAAAAGCTAACAGAGTTTAGAAATCAACCAAAGTGCAATTTTTTTTAAACCCTTAATTACCACAAACTGGTATTTCTTATTGTTTTCTGTGATTCTTTTCTCTGGAGATTGTCCCGGCAGCTTTGACAGAGCAGTTGCAGCCCACCCTCCTTCCTTCCTTCTGCAAGAGTGGGAAGGAACGCTGGAGTCACAGGAATAGCAAACCCCGAGGCTGTTCTCCAGTGAGATGCTCTCAGGCACAACTGTAAGTGCTACTGGAAAGACACAAACACTTCTGCAAATGTTAATTGTGCATAAGAATACTGGACACTTTGAGGAAAAGAATTCTGCTTTCAAGCAGTGATGTTTAATTATATTTTTCACATTTTCCCCACAGGATTTAATTTCTGGAGGAAGGCTTCCCTCTTTCTGGTGATATGTCTTGATGTTACCAAACCATTTCCTATATTTAATCTTGTGGGGCTTTCTGCATTTTCATTTATGCATTTCCCATTTTGTACCCAGTGCACTTCCCCATCTTTGATGCTTAGCGAAAGATAGCTTGTGCATCTTTTTGCAAACATATCCATTTGTCTCTCTCTGAATGGGGAAGAATCTGCCTTTTCGGCAATGGAGAAGGGGAAAACCAAGTCAATGAACTTCAAATTCGCAGTGTTTGGAGAGGTAATCCTTAGGAAAAAACCTCATTATTTCATTTTCAAATACAAGAGTATATTTCAAATGAGGACAGTCAAAGAAAGGATGTTTTGCATTTAGTCAATTTTGCAAGAGTCACACAGGAGACAGCTTTCTAGAAAGGCATGGGGTAACCTTGGGAGATGTGCCACAGCCTAGTGCCCAGAGTTCCCGGATGGTAAGTGCACGCATGTGCTATTTGCAGGTAACAAGGATGAACTCACATCCTTCAACCCCTTCAGTTCAGTCAACTGCCTTTTTGCTCCTTCTACCATTTTAAAGTTTAACAGGGTTCTACTGGATCCCAAATTATCATTCTCAAGGTAACACCCTGGTCAACATTAACATCACCCCTCTAACTCAAAGGTACCACTACGGGATCAATTTGAAACAGGATGCTTCAGAAATTTGTAATAATGGGCAACTTTTGTCAATTTGGAAATAATTCCCTATGTGCAAAGTTCAAAATTGTGTACCACAGAATCATTTCCTATCTAATGAACTGTCATCAGTAAAAGCAGTCTCAACAGAAAAAAAACCAAAAACCAAAAAACAAACAAACAAAAAAAAAACCAAGAAAGTCAATAGCCAGGTCTTCTTGCATGTGAAAAAGGAGGAATACACAAGGTTTAATTTGCGAGAATGAGTCTCTGTAGATTAATGGTCTTTAATTAGTTTTCCCAAAACCTAAATCACCTGTCATGATAAGCTAAGTAAAACTAAAGCAGTTAATTTTGCCATCTCACTGTCCTTGTCCCTTCCAGCCCCTAGTTAATTTTGCCATGGATTTATTTTGCCTAACTTTTCTACTCCCCTTCTTTTATTTAACATGAAAAAAGAAAGACCTTTCTGATAAAGTCGGATCTGAATCACTCCTATAGGTGTGTGTCAGATTATGGAAGGAGAAGGGTCTCCTGCGGCAGAGACGTTCAACTGTCAACTGATGACACCTCAAGGCAACATTTTAATCAAGGCAACATTTTAGGCATTTATAAACGTCAGTGTACTTGAAAACCTAATGCTACTGTTTGAAGCATGTCAGGCCTGAAGCGCTATGCACATTCTCTTTGAGGGGACAAGGCAAGCCTGTGGCAGGCTCAGAGTATCAGTAAGGAGCCACATCCCCTTAGCACGTGGCTCTGCATCCCTGACTGCGCACCTGAGGAAATGGGGTCTTGTGGTTTTGTGCTGCAGGAGATGTGTCCAGAAAAAAAAAAATCTTGTCTTTAAAAGTTGAATACAGAACACCAACGTGACCCTGCACCACAGCTGCTCCCCAAGGGTGCCTCCACCTCTGAGTCTATGGCATGTTCTAGCCGTGAAAGCTTTTGGCTGCTTCTGCTCAGACTTGGACACATATGCTGTCTACAGCTCTGAGTAGATCAGGGACCAAATTGGGCAGAACTAGCTCTTTCTGCATAGAATTGTAAATAGAATCGGCCCTGGGGTGGGATACCCTGTTTGTGTATCTTCAAATCATCCCCCATTATGAGCCACAGAATCTTCTAGATGTCAGTCATTGGGGAAGCCAGCATGACTTGGTTACTCCCTATTCATATGCCAAAATTAATCACGAGGTTAAATGTGAATCTTTCTAATTCAGCAATAGCAAGGTCTGAGTGGGAACTGGGCGGAAGGTTACAATACCAGTGATATCAACAAATTTGGTGCACATATTTATCATGCAAGCAAGACCTAGGAGTGAATGTCAAAACTACTTAAATAAAAAATTGTTTAAGTTCCTTAGATTTGTCCAACCGACTGCAAAAGTATTTATGTTCATGACACTTCAATTTGAATTGCCTAAAGTGGTCAGCTTGGCGTTACTTTGTTATTTGATGACTTGGAAGTAATAAAATATCCATTTGCTAATTTTCTTTCACTCTTTTAAATTAGTCCAAATCAATGGAGTTTCCATTTGTTATCCTAATTCTGTCATCTGTCTTATCTTCACTCCAGAAAGGAATTCTGTTGTTTAGATGTGACTTTTCATTTGCTTTTCAACTTTCCCTCATGTTTTATTCAGAATCAGCTGCCTTTAAATCAGATTGGAAGTATGTACTTCACGTACACATATGAGGGACTGTAATGAGTCCGAATGACATGGTTTATTCCTCTGCTGTAACCATGAGCTGGAATGAAACTCAAGAGACCATCCAGTACCACAGCTTCATTTTCAGATGGACAGACTGAGGCCTAGAGAGGCAAAACGACTCCCATGTTATGACCGGCCTTGGCCAGAGCTTGCTAGTAGTACTCAAACTCCAAACTCAACTATAATTACTTAAGGTGAGGATTAGAATAGAAGGATCTTCTGATTTCAGCACTTCTTACAAACACATGTCTATTTATTCTTGCCAAACCTTCTGTGTGATTTTAACAAAATGCTTACCAGGAGCCTAGTCTCCAATACCGGCCTCAAAGGCCAAGAGATAGATTATCTGGTCAGTTTGAAGAGAAACCACTTAGTTTACTCAGCAAATGAGGGACCATCTTTAGGGCTTAAGACTCCTCTTAAATAAATGACCTATGGTTAATTATTATCTACCCAGCTCTTATCCCTTAATCTCTAGTTTGAAATTCTCTGGTAGTAATTGCTCCTAAACCTATTCCTGTAATCACAACTGCAGACAAAAGCAGGTCCTTCTGCAGCAAAAATGTCCTCATTTTTTTTCACACTATACTATGATATTTAATTAGTGCAATACTAGTTTTCCTCCTTATAGGGATAATTGCACGTTTATGCATATTTTTCAGGTTGGAGAACTTTGTTGTGAAGGCATTCTCTAGAAGATGGAATGCAAACATGTTCTGTTAACCATTCATTTACGACTTCAATCATTACTATCACTGCATCTTCTGCAACACAAATGCTGAGTTATACATTATGCATATTTCCAAGAACATTAGATCAATGTTTAAACAGACTAGTATGAATGATCATGTTACAGACTTAAAATAAGCTGAGCTACAGGGTAGATGCCATAACTTCATTTAATATTGATAGCAGCTCAATTTAAATTTTGAAAAAGCAAATACATTTAATAAAATTGGTGTGAATTATTACATATTTTGATGGAACTACTGTACAGAATGTATACATATATAAATCTATAGATAGAATTATATACATTTGAGTATATACCACATACATATTTTTTCCACTCACATTTTTCTCTTTAGTAAAACAAAGCAGTTTTACTGTACACAGAAGTGCAATGCTACATTAAGTCCTGAGTAATTTAAGGTATCATTAATAAACTGCTATAAATTCTAGTTTTCCAGCCAAAGATCCAATAGATTCTGTAACAAAAAATGTGAATAATACTTAAAAATATGCATTTAGCTTTGCGTTCATTTTGTGCTTAGCAGAAAAAGCTCAAGAATGCACAGTAGCCATTTAGATTTGGGAGAATGTTCTTGAATATTCAAGGTTAAATAAATATCCTAATTGTAGGGATTTATAGAAGTTTTAAGTAATGTTGTCTACATCCAATTTGTCAAGCATGGAAGACTACAGTCATGATTGGATCAAAAAATCCCTTTTGCAGAATATGAAATTCTGTGTAAACATCAGTGTTTGGGTTTTATATAAAAGTTCTGATTCAAATGAGGGAAAAAAAGAAAAAAATACAATGAAATAATTTAAAATGCTTTTCTTGGAATATAGCCAGCCACATGGAAGAAATATAAAAAATACGAGTATATTTTGGTGAAAGAGGAAACCAGATGAAAGTCATTTAAGGGTGGTCTGGTAAGCCACCCACTTTGGGAGGTCCCAGGCTGGCTGGGCTCAGGGAACCCACGATGGCCCAACCACATCTATCTTGCCACAGGGGACGAACTTTGCTGCGCAGTGAGAAGGAAGCACTGTGGGAAAAGGCCACGTTCAACCGCAATGGAACGGTAACGGCTGCCTGTCAGGGCCACATCAGCAGGCAGAGCATCCCATCCCCAAACTCAGGCACTAGGTATGGAAACGTGAGGTGGCCCGGGCCCGCTGCTGCATGTCTGTCTTCAGCAGGAGGAGGCAGACCCGGATCCTCGCATGGGGGAGCTGCCCTGCATCGGAGCCCGCTTCGACGAGAAGGCACTGCTGTGGTGGTTCCTCCATCACCCCTGGCTCTACCCCGTCCCGTGGCTGCTGTAGTCAAAGACTCCTTTCTTGAAGAATGGTGAAAACTCACAAATGGTATGTTTCGAGAGAGTCAGTCCCACTTTGTTGATGTGGAGGGGAGATGTTGCGGACTGGAGCATCACGCTGAAAAAGTCCCTGAGGTATTTCTGTGGAAGAGACAAGAGTTAAGAACATGGTCAATTGGGAGGTCAAGGCGGGTGGGATCGCTTGAGCTCAGGAGTTTGAGACCAGTCCAGGCAACATGGAGAAACCTCATCTCTACAAAAAATAAAGAAATTAGCTGGACAGGGTGGTGCACTGAGGCAGGAGGATCACTTGAGCCCAGGAGGTAGAGGCTGCAGTGAGCTGTGATGGTGCCACTGCACTCCTGCCTGGGTGATAAAGCAAGACCCTGTCTCAATCAATCAATCAATCAATCAATCAATCAATCAATCAGAATACGGTCAAGGTACTGTTGGATGGTGTCAAGAAGAGAAAAAATTTCCAGAAACAACTTCCCACCCACCTGGAAAGTGCTATCATTGTCATTAAAACCAGCACGTGAGGAATGCCCTCCACTGTCCCACCTATCATCAGACCAACCAGAGAAGACGGAGTCACAAAATACATATGCACAGAAGAAATATCTTTGGCTCAGCACTGATTCTGGGCAGCACTGTCTCAGATCTACAGCAGACAATGCCTAGGAAAATGTCAAGGGTGCCAGGCACAGGGGATCTGCCTCTCAGCCACAGTGTCACTAGTTAATCTCTTATTTAAAAAAGTCATTTCCTCCCCGCTCCCAGTTACTCATTAAATAGAAAGATGATTAAAAAAAAAAAACAAAAAAAAAAGGCCGGCCATCTGTACAAGGTTAAATGTGCTGCTTACTGGTATTTTAAAATTGCACAGTCAGTATCTGTTTTGAATCCTTCTTATAAAATAAAGGGAAAGCAATACTGAGGACAAGAGGGTCAGTTCCAAGTACTGATATTTACAGATCTTTTTGCATGTCCTATAATCATCAACAAAAAGGAATCCTTACTACAATTACTTGCTCCAGACCCCTGCTGCATGTTTGTTGCAACATTATCTGCCGTTTTTGGCACTGAGAAAGCAAAGCATATGTGAGACTAGGCTCTGGGAACTGGGGATAAAATCAGATGTGGGAGCTGGAGGGATGTGTTCAAGGAAAAGAGGGCACACAAGAATAGTTAATATATTTTAGGCCAGGCAAATCTCATCTGTAACAGAAAATGGGCTGGAGGGAAGGGGTTAGACCCAAACCTTTATTATTGTCTCAGTGTGCTTAAAAAACCCAAACAACCCTGGCACAGTCTTAGGAATTACACATAATAATTCTGGACTCTGAGTAACAACAAAAAATTTGTGAAAGCAACATGGCCTAAGCCTGGAGCAGTAGTTCCCAACAAGAGGCAGTTCTGCCCCATAGAGTGTTCAGCAGTGTTTGGTGGCAGTTTTGAGTGTCACATAGGGGTGCACAGGCAGTGCACCTGGTGGATGCTGGCCAGGGATGCCAAAGCACAGGACAAAGAATTATCTGGCCCAAATGTCGACGATGCCACAGTTGAGAAGAGAAAGTAGAATTTAGCTACCTCTATGAATTGCCAACCTGAAATTTCCTTCTGAAAGAAGACATTCTACTCAACGAGAATTTGTTAATTCTCCTTCAAAATATTAATGAGGACTACTAACAACAACACTTGTAAAATAACTTAGTTTCTAAAAATCTTCTAACATCCAATGTTTTACACTTAATGGAAGTAAAACTGGTGCATGATAAATTGTACTTTTTTTTTTTTTTTTGAGACGGAGTCTTGCTCTGTCTCCCAGGCTGCAGTGCAGTGGCGCGATCTCAGCTCACCACAACCTCTGTCTCCTGGGTTCAAGCAATTCTCCTGCCTCAGCCTCCTGAGTAGCTGGGACTACAGGCATGTGCCACCATGCCCAGCTAATTTTTTTGTATTTTTAGTAGAGACGGGGTTTCACCATGTTGGCCAGGCTGGTCTCAAATGCCTGACCTCAAATGATCCACCCCCCTTGGCCTCCCAAAGTATTGGGATTACAGGTGTGAGCCACTGCGCCCGGCCAGATAAACTGTACATTCTTTAAATGTATAACTTCATGAGTGCTGACCCATGTGAAACCACCATTAAATCAAGATAAATATTTGCATCCCCTTCAAAAGTTTCCTAAGGCACCTAACTTTATGTTATCCTTACACTTGGCCTGGAATCACATCTTCTTCTGGTATTACCCATTTCCTGGTAAGGAAGCTATTGCCAGGAGAGGTGAGCAAGGCTAGTAATCTAGAGAGAAGACTTGAAAGCAAGTATTCTCAACTCAAGATGTTTTTTCTTGTTCCATATCCCTAACTTACTGGTCTCATGGTACCCTCTCAAGAAACGATCCTGAAATTGAAATTAGGTATTGGTAAGAAGTTATGAAAATCAACTGCTGAAAAGTGAAGATCTTAATCTTAGTAATTATTTTTATCAGAGGGGCAAAGAGAGACCTGACTTCCACTTTTCTGCGGGAAGGGACCCTGAGAATATCAACTTTAAAGGGACTTGAATTGCATCAAACAGGGTCACCAGTATATATCGTAGACTACACTCAACCAGCCAATGCTCGCGGTGCAATGCATGTGCACAACTGATTGTTCTGGGAAGATCAAGGGTGAGATGATTTGGAAAACGGGAGATGCAGAGCTTGCTGACTTGTGCATGGAGCCACTGCTCTTTCACAGTTTAATGCATGATAGAGCAAGGCTCGCTGCACAGGCCTCATCTCAGGTAGCTCCTGTGGGCTCCGGCTTCAGGTCTCCCACAGGCTGCATTAACAGGCAGGCTGATGTTTACAGCAAAGCTGACTTCAAGATGAACTCTGACAGACTGGAAGGCAATTTAAATCTGGGAGCAGATGTTATATCAGCATTTGTCATAATTAGTACACAAAGTAGGGTCCCTATAAAGGGCCAATAAAGCCTAAAGGGTATAATAAGAAGAGAAGTAAAAGTTAAAAATATAAATGAAAGGAAAAGAGGAAGTATTTGAGACACCTCCCTTCAAGAGCACCACCATAAGAAGAGAACAATACAACTGTCAGGTAATGTCTTTTTCTTTAAATAAACTCATTAGTGTTGTTTGACAAAAACTCCAGATAGAATGATCTGATTTGACTAATTCTAAACATTACAGAAGAGTTTTCTCTTCGCAAAACAAATTTCTGCTTAAGGAGAATTAGGCAGCTTTCGCCTCCTTTACATAGCCTGCTTCCTTGGCGCAAAGAAATGATTTGATTAGGAAGCGTTCTTTGCAGCGACCTCAAAGTGCTCTAAAGTCTGTTAAGATGAGGCATGACCTTTGTTGGCCATGTCCAGAGCCACATGCTTCAAATGGGCTGAACAAATTCTGGCAAATGAAAAAAAAACAAGGGACTGGGGCTACAGCTGGGGACACAAGACAGAACTAGAATTCTAGAAAGTTCTTAAGGTCACAGACAGTGTCTCATTCTTCTCTGAAGCCCCCTATCATCCCTGGAACACTGCCAAGCTTAGGAAACGTGCTGAGAGGAAACCTTGCTGATTTTAATTAGTTATCTTTTTTTGAATTAAAGTATATGCACAGAAAACCACACACAAGTGTACAGTTGAATACAGTTTCACAAAGTTAATATATCTATGCCATCAGCATCTAGATATGAATTATACAACACTTCCAGCCCCCAGGCAGCCCTCCTCGTACTCCCTCCTCCGGTACAAACCTTCCCTCAAGGGCAATCGCTATTCTGATTTCTAGCACCAGAGATTCGAATTGCCAGTTTTTGAACTTCATATGAGCGGAATCATTTGGGATATACTCTTTTGTGTCTGGCTTCCATGGCTTAATGCCGTGTCTGTGAGATGCGGCCATGCTGTGCGCATAGCTGTGGTCTGTTGAGTACCAGCACTGTGCAGTACTTCACATCTGAACAAAACCACCGATTGGCTTTAACACAGGGATAAGCGTTGGTCACCGCTTTGGTCCTTTAGTCTGAACTCTTCTTCACTAATGAAATCTACTTCCCAATATTACTGGTGTCTGATGAGTCAAGTTTATCACTATCCTTCCAATAAAGAAGTTTCCTGTAGAGATTTACACTCAAATCTAAGCTTAGCCAATGTACTTGAACTCTGCTATTTTATGTACATATTATATATATATATATATATAAAATATTTAAAATATACATACTTACCTAACAACACACATTCATATTAGTAATTTTTATTGCCTGTGCTCACAATGTTTTCCACAGCATCTGTGGCTGAAGGGAGAAAATTAAAATCCCCCTGTCAAAGCTATCCCTTGTTGTTGACCCCAAAGTCACCGTAGCCCTCCCAGGATGTGAAAAAT
This sequence comes from Homo sapiens, assembly GCF_000001405.40. Taxonomy (NCBI): domain Eukaryota; kingdom Metazoa; phylum Chordata; class Mammalia; order Primates; family Hominidae; genus Homo; species Homo sapiens. The sequence continues at coordinate 16,277,663 of NC_000020.11, forward strand.
CAGTCCAGGTGTCAAGCTGCATCTCCCCAGGTCAGCACGCTTTATAAAAGAGCATTGCGAAAACTGAAGGATATTAGGAGTTTAAGTGACTTATCCAGGTCAGAAGGGCAAAGTGGGAAAAAGATTTGTGAAATCCAATATCCAATCTGTTTCTGACTTTCACAGGACATTTTCTCCATTATAAAAAGAAATAAAAGCAGGCGTATTTAAATCTCTAGCACGTCAGGGACCACAGAAGGCCTGCAGCTCTTGTTCACCTGGTGGACAGTGACACACCTGAGTCTTTGCTTTGTCAAATGTCCTGTGTCAGGGCCACTGAGAACAGCAAAAGCACCTCCTAGGGTTGCACAACATTATGGCCCTGACTTGGATAGTTGGAGGAGGAAAGTCAGATTAAACCAAATCTTCTTTCAATACGATTGCAAACCAGAAATAAGATGGGATGGCGGAGCCAAAGGGGGCCTAGGAGAGGGTCTGTCTGACAGTGAGTGATCATGGGAAAGAGAAGAGGCCGAGAGAGACAGGGGGCCACAGAGAGACAGAGGGGGCTGTCTAGGGGAGGACAAGAGAAACAGGGCTGGGATGGAGGGGAAGACAAAAGAGGTGGAAATGAAAAGGAAACCAAACCAGCACAACAACGTTGGAGACGGGTACCCATGATTTATTTGTTTACCAAGCTGGCAAAAAGAATTTAAGAATAATAAGAAATATATCAGATATCTATCTAGGTTATTTACTTTTTGTGACTTGGACCAATACTGATGTAGGTGTTTTCTTATCAATACTTTCAGAAAATCAAATTTAGATGGCTAATCTTTACGGTATATTTCAGTGCTGACATAGAGTACCTCGATTTCATGAATTGCCTTTCTTCTATAGGTTTTGGGCATATTTTGTTGCTCAGGGGCAGTGAGCAGGGGTTACAGGTAACTGGGAGACATGGACCCCCATGGGTCTGTTCCAAAGAAAGTGTGACCCTGGCACATGATGTTTAAAATCTCCCCAAAACAAACAAACACAAAATCCTGTACAGGACTATGAGCTTTTAAAGTGGAGGCCAGAAGACACGAGCAGAAGAAGGGGGGATGTGGTGATATGAGAGACACCCTAGACTCAGGCTCCTGCCTGCTACCCACAGCACCCGCCATCCCCTGCTTCTCAGTCAGGTCCCCTCTGCTGAGCCACACGGTCTCTCACCGGGCAAGTCTGTCTACACCGGGCATCTTAGCTGCTTGGGTCAGATGCACTGCCTTTCCTAGGCCTGATGGTGCTTTCGTGGGGACCAGCAGGCACTGGTTCTTCAGAGTTAAAAGTTCTTTACAAACACGGGGAAGGTCCTGTTTCTCTGCAAGGCTCACGCTCTTCTACAGGGAGCCAAGGCAGCTCAGGGAATGCTTCGGTATCTCCCTTACAGTGCCTTGGTGGGCACTGGCCATTCTCTGACTGCCCTGTACCCATTTCCCTTCCCAAACAGCAGCCCAATCCCCTTCTGAAGAAACACCTTTCCCCTCTCTGGGAATTGGTTAACTGGTTGACTTAAGGCATAGGACAGATAAGCTTTTCCCATGATATTCTGGGTGGACACCTTACAGCCAAAGAGCTAATCAAGCTACTAGCGCTTGGAGTCTCCTGGAACCAAGGGTCCTTTGGGGGACACCTCTTCCAGATTGTGTAGCTGCTGTTATGGAGCATTTTCAAGAGTTTGAGAAATTCAGGAAAGCTGGGCAGTTTCAGGAGAGCCTTTGGTCTCTGTCCATTCCCAAGGCTAGGAGCGAATGATTCCATCTGTTTACTGTGGTGACAGTCATTTTCTACTGTTTACCATCAAGTTAACTAACAATAATCTCACAGCGCTGGCAGGGGGCAGACAAGGGTCAGGAATCAGAAGAAACCTTCCTTGTAGAACACAATCAAGCTCCTCCAGGGCTAGTCTATGCTAAGATGGAGGTATCTGCCTATCACGCTCTTCTCTTAGGAAAAGGTCGATCCTAGGAGGCTCTGGAGAATCACATTTCAGATAGGTCAGAGTATCCCGGTGGTCCATCCACAGCTAGGCCTGAAGCTGGAAGGCTCCTGCCCCAGACCCTGATCTACACATAGCCCAATCTTTAAATTTCCAATGCCATTTCAAAAGACAACTACTAAACACTATCAATCTTTTGAACCAAAACACAGGCTAATATGGTCTACTGGCTGTGTTAATAAGTTGTGAAAGGCAAAATGAACTCCCTACAGCAATACAGAGTAATTCAGCAAGAATTTAGTCCATTATATTAGAGCTTTAGCATGGCACCTCAATTAGTTTATGCATCAGGAAAAAAAATTGAAAATATAATTTGCTGCTACATGCTATTCCATTTAGACATTCTTGAAGGTCATTATATTACTATGATTCATGTGTGACCTACAATACAATTTCAGTCTGAGCTCTGCCTGAAAGGAAACATGCTTTGGAGTTACTGGAAAAATGTGGGCAAAATCTGGCCTTTAGGCAGCTTCTTTTGGGTTTTTCTTTTGAACTGTAAATCTTTTGGGTGAAATGCTGGTTTGCTCACAGGAACTAACCATGGATTTCATAGTCCATCCTGGCAAAAACCTGTGAAGTCAACAAGGAGCTGCATGGTGTGGCTTCCCCCCTCTCTTACACCCATTCCCTTTTAGGTCTGTGACCTTGAAAGAAAGGACAATTTTAGACCAGGGGATGGAGGGAAGGAGGGGTGGTGTCCAAGTTCAGCTAACAGTCTGAGCAAGAGAGCAAGGCCAAGGCCAGCCTGTGCAAGGATCTGGGTGGGAAACAGCAGGATGTGAAGCAGAATGCAGAGGGCCTTGAATATGGATTCAGCCTGCAGGTACTTCGTACAAAGTTTCCGGTTCATGAGCTTATGTGAGCCCCTAAGACACCCTTAGGAGAGGGACAAGAATGGATGTCCTTTGTTTACAGAGGAAGTAACTGAGATTCCAAGGGGCAGTGACTTGGCTAAGGTCAACAGGTCATAAGAGGCTGACAAAGTGACCAGCTCTTCAAATGTAGGAGAAAGCCATTATTGCCTAATTTAATCCCGAAGGTTCAAGCCCGTAAGCCTGAAATGTAACATGGCCTTTCTTTGGGGCTGTCCATACTATGCACATGCAGCCTCCCAGAATTTTCCCTGAATTTCAGTCAACTGCTGCGCGCGCACGTGTGTGTGTGTGTGTGTGTGTGTGTGCGCAGAAAATGCAAGCATGAGAATTTGGGCCTTCAGATGCCTTTGAAAGACCTAAGCCTCCTTATCTGCTGGCTCTCTGCCTTCTATTTTAATTATCAGGGAGATAAAATTGTGACCATTTTATGTTATTAAAAAGTTTCTGTTTTAATAGGGCTCATGACTATAACTGCAGCCTACTGCTTATTTCATGTGCAATATATCACCTCATCCATATCATTCTAATGATTTTTCCGGCCATCTCATTGTTGTGAGGTCCTCTTTATTTTACAAAATTTTAACATAAATCTATAATTTAATTTAAAGTTACTGAAATTACTAAAATTGAAATGTTCTTTAAAAATATAATGGAACTTTATCCACCTTTCCATAGTGACATATTAACAGAGAAAGGAGTTCAGTGGCATTCCTCATTCTCAGAAGTCATTAACCACGGTGGCGGCTTAAAGACAAGTATCAGTCTAGTAAGACTTAGAGGTCTCATTTAACTCGCAGTACTTGGAAAATGCATCATCCACTGATGGGCCCTGAAGATGGATCAGGCCTGAATGGAGCTACTCAGGGATGTTTCTAGACCTGAAAGAGTTCAGGTCACCCCTGGCTATGTATCACGCATCGACCCAGTGTGGTCAATATGATCCATCCAGTCAAGTCTTCCCAATTCTAAACTCCCATAAATTCAAGTCTAAATACCTCTTGTTGGCTTTTTAGGAATCCTAAAGTTTGGCTACACTGGGTCAAATAGGCTGGGTTCCCTTTCCAACATGCTCCCAAATGTGCTCCACACTCCAAGGAAATCAGGACAGCTTGGTTTGGGTAACTCATCCATCCAGCGCAGTCACTGCACACGTGTTCTCCAAGAAGCAGTAAGCCAGGCCTGGGTATTGAGCTGAATGAAACAGACACGGTGCCTCCCCTCCTCCCCTCACAGGTGCATGCTGGCTGGCACCATCCTCCACTGCTCAGAGTCTCTCCTTGTTCCCATGGGTGCTTTGCTCCCATCATCTAGATCCTTCTCATCTTCCAAGGACTGGTTCAAGGTGTGCTGTGTACTGACTCCCTTCTCTTCAGACTTCATTCATGCACCCAATAAGTACTTACTGAAAGCTTTCTACACACCAGTGTTGGGCTAGGTGCTGGGCATTCTTTTTTTTCTTTTTCTGTTTCTTTTTTTTTTTTTTTTTGAGACAGAGTCTCACTCTGTCACTCAGGCTGGAGTGCAGTGGCATGATCTCAGCTCACTGCAACCTCCGCCTCCCAGGTTCAAGCAATCCTCCTGCCTCGGCCTCCTGAGTAGCTGGGACTAAAGGCATGTGCCACCATGCCTGGCTAATTTTTGTATTTTTTAGTAGAGATGGGGTTTCACCATGCTGGTCAGGCTGGCCTCGAACCCCTGACCTCAGCTGATATGCCCGCCTCAGCCTCCCAAAGTGCTGGGATTACAGGCATGAGCCATCGCGCCTGACGGTGCTGGGCATTCAACAGCTAATACTACTCAGTTCTTGTGCCAAGTAACACAGTCCTGCCTGCCTGGGAGACAAATAGGTAAAGGAGTAATTACAATTAAAATATGACTATGAGAGAACTGCAATGAGGTGACTTGGGACCCCAGGGGAAAGGAAAGGCTGTATGCCTAGTCCTGGGAATTGGTTACTTTTATGCCAAGACCCATAGGGTGATGAGAATCAAGCAGGTGAAGACATTGGAGAAAGATACTGGAGGAAGCCTGTTCTGGGCAGAGCAGGAAGCAGGTACCAAGCCTAGCAGCTGGGAGGCAGGGCTTTGGGGCATCACCAATTGTCTAGCGTGACTAGACCAGGCCCACAGGCACAGAGCATTCAGCAGATAGGACAGACTCCTGGGAACAGGACTGCTCCTGGACCTGGGCTCTGCCAGTCCCCATGCTGGGGGCCCTACACAGTTGGGTGGTGGCACTGTGCGCTGGTGGTGGTATCTCTTCTCTATGGTGAAGTCCTGCCAGGCCTTCAGGAAGTCTCTTCCAGCTGCCATACACAATCGTTGGTCAAATGATGCTTATGATGCCAGAGGACTTTCACGAGTCTCCAAATGTTAATCCCCAACTTCTACTGAAGTCTACCACTTGCCCGAAGGTACTTGAAACCACCATAAAACGTCATTGGAACCTCCAGTGTGAGACTTTCATTGTGTTCATTGCAGCAAGTTTGGTGTGCCGACACTTGCATACCTTTTCCCAGCCTCTGTCAGTCTAACTCAGGGCAGGGCAAGCTTTTTCTATAAAAGGATGGATGGTATACTTTGGGCTTTGTAGGCAAAGAGGCGAAATTAAGGATATTATGTAGGTGTTTATGTAATAAGAGAGAAAATTCCGGCTCCACCCCATCCTGTTTTCCTGGGGTGGGCTACCCAGGGTGGAAGGCGCATTTTGCACCCAGTGCTGGGCAGGCCACTGTCATGGTCAGTTTCACGCTCTGCCTGGTGGTGCCAATCCTAGTGTGCCTCCCTCTTTGCACAGAGCCTGGCAATCTCAACTGGGGCAGCTGACCAGAGGCAAGACAACTTCCCAGACTGAGACTCTACTGCTTGGTGACTGGCAGTTGCCAACAAGTCCCCAGTGTGTAGGCGGTGACCAGCACAGGCCCTGGGGAGCAGCGAGCCGTGGCTGCCAGCTGAGTGCCAGGAAAACAGGCAGTGAGCCCGCCAGGTCTCCATGGATCACAGGTCTAGCAAATTCAGGCCATGCTCACAGACAGTATGAAAACAGGTGGCAAGGTGGGTGTGACCTGAGGGCCTATATCAGTTTTCTACAGCTGCACAACAAATTACCACAAACGTTGTGGCTGGAAGCAACACCTATTCATTAGCTCATGGTTCTGTGGGTCAGAAGTCCTGCCACAGTGCAGGTAGCCTCTGCTTATGGTCTCATGGGTTGAAACGAAGGTGTTAAAAAGGCTGGGCTCCTATCTGGAAGCCCTGGGGAAGAACCACTTCCAAACTCCTTCAGGTTGTTGGCCAAATACGGCATTCTGTAATCACAGGACTGGGGTCCTGCCTGAGGTTCCCTTGCTGACTCTCAGCAAGGGGCTGCTCTCAGTTCCTAAAGACCACCTACATTCAGTGGCACCCAGCCTCCACCACATTTGAAGCCAGCCATCAGATTCCCTTCACGCTTCTGCGAAAGTTGTAAGATTCCAAAGACAGTAACTTGTGTCAAACCCTGGCAAGCGGAGCTGGGGAAGGCCATGAAGAGAGGGCTCGCATGCTTGATCTGCCTGATCACGGGAACTATCACAAGACATGAGTCACACCAGGACAGCCACTGGGACAAGAACAGCTAGCTAATTACACAGGAACACCTGCCTGGCACACTGTTTTGCAAGCCAATCTAAAACTGTAAGGACCTAATTGTACCTCCAAGATTACAGGTCCTACCTGGCAACTACTGATACTTGCCACTCAGAACTTGCCAGCCCTTGCAAGCTGCCACCAGCACCATAAGCTTTCTTTCAAAACAACTTGCAAACCCTTCTCCTTCCCCAGTAAGCCTCAACCTTTTACTTTTTTTCCTGGACGTTGCCAGAGGCCACCCTGGTCTGCATGTATGTCCCGGATTGCAATCCTCTCTCTTGCATATTATCCCAAATGAAACAATTTTTACTTTCACTCTCTCTTTTTTCACACTGACACTTCAAATCTCCGCTTCCTCTTCTGTTACCAGGCAGAAAAACTCTGCTTTTATGGGGCTCACATGATTAGATTAAGCACACAGGGACACTCTCCCTTTCGCCATGTCGTGTAGCACAATCACAGTTCCTCACGAGCTCAAAGAGGGGAGGATTACAACGGCACCGGGGGGTCATTCTTAGAATTCTCCCTACTACAGAACTGTAGTTTGCCAATCCCTGGTCTAAACTGTAACCCAGAATATAATAAAACATATGGCAGAAAAACAGGCCACAGCACAGTAGATGCCACCTGGCAGAGAACACACCAACTCAAGAGGGACCACGCATGCACACTGGCTGGGAACACCCACGGTCCAGGCCTGAGACTCAGGGTGAGCACGCGCCCTCCCACCTCCCGCACTCACACCCACAGGCTTGTGCTGTGCCCAGTACGAAGCATCCCAGAGCAGCACCATCTTCTGGAGCTTTCTGAGAGGACGGAAGTGTCTGTTATCTGTGCTGTCCATTATGCTAGCCATGTGGCTACTGAGCACTTAAAATGTGGCTGGTGAGACTGAGAAACTAAATTTTTAAAATTTTACCTTGATTTTACCTTAATCTTCATCTTACTTTAAAATTAAATAGCAACATGTGACTGGTGGCTACTGTACTGGATAGCACAGTTCTACACTAAGATTCTGGAGTAACCATGCCTTCAAATGTGTGAGTTCTGAGCATAGAGTATGCATTAATATTCCTGTTTTTAAAATTTATTTTTAAAATGTGTAATACTTTACTGACTGAAAATGCCATACACACAGATATTTATGAGTTGAAAGGGAACTTTTCATTGTTTGTACATGCATGTGTACATGTCTTCGCTACAATGAAAAGGATTCCTTCCAATTCACCTGTGTTTTCCCAAATCTCCAGTGCATCCAAAAAAATTTATTGTTATTAGTTTTTTTGCGTATCTTTCTATGGCATTTTAATGCCTACATAAACAAGTACAAATATAGACACCCAGCCAGGTGCAGTGGCTCACATCTCTAATCCCAGCACTTTGGGAGGCTGAGGTAGGTGGATCACTTGAGACCAGGAGTTTCAGACCAGCCTGGGCAACATGCTGAAATCTTGTCTCTACAAAAAATACAAAAATATTAACCAGATGTGGTGGTGCACCTGTAGTTCCAGCTACTTGGAAGGCTGAGGTGGGAGGATCACCTGAGTCCAGTAGGTTGAGGCTGCAGTTGAGCCATGATCATGCCACTGCACTCCAGTCTGGGTGAGAGTGAGACCCTGTCTCAAAAAAACAAAACAAAACAAACAAAAAGCACCAAACCCCCAAACCCCACAAACACAGATGCCTCCATTTCAACTTACACAAGCAGGTACATAAGCAACATACTCTTCTGCACCTCACTTTGTTCACTTAACAACTTACACTAAAGACCTCTCCAGAAGTACATAGTTTCTCATTCTGAAATTGGTTGTACTAGCTCATTATTAATGAACACGTAGGCTGTTCTAATCCTTTGCAGTCCTGCAAGTAGGTAAACTATACATGGTCGATAATTTTTCACTACTTTAGTCGAATGATGTATCCCCAGAACTTAACACAGTGTCTCGTACACAGTAGGTACTCAGTCAATATTTGTTGAATGAAATAATGAAGAATGAAGATTATTACAAATAGCACTGTAATAAACAATCTTATATACAAGCAAGTGTATCACTTTACCCATAGGGTAAATTCCTAAAATGGAATTGCTGGGTCGAAGGGTATGTGCCTTTTAAATTTTGATAGATATTGCCAAATTGTTTTCCGTGGGCACTGTACAATTTATACTCTCTCCAGCAGTGTTGGAGAGTAGACATCCAACATTTCCGTCTGAGTACTCCAGAGTCTGAAAAAATCTTTGAAAGGTAACCTAGTCCTTTCTCTTATCCTCATAAAATCACAATGTTGTTGTAGCTGAGGAATCTTAGCTAGATCCTTTGAACTACAGCTGAGAGAGGTTGGATTAGAATTCTAGTATCCTTAAACATCGTCATCTTTCTCCTATACTTATTCATCTCTCTGGGCAGAATCATATCACAATTGAGATTCCTAATGTCCAGAATTCCCAGAATCATTTAAAAATAACCTTAGTCTAAGAGTGGAATCCATTTCTGCCCAATACAAACTTCCAACTAACCAGTACAAGGTCAAGCAGAGGTGAAGATGGTCATAAACAGGCAGCTGGCTGGGACAGTGGTACGTGTGATATTTGCTGTACTGGTGGCCCCAATGAACCACATCATGCTTCGTGGGATTCACACCCTGTGTGGCTCTCTTCGTTAAACCTAGGTGGGGTTTGTGACTTGTTTTAGCCAATAGAATGCACTGGCACTAATGCCATGGGTGACTTGAGAGCCCCAGCTGAGCCTAGTCCTTAGTGGAGTCATGATCAAAATGCAGGCCCATAAGTGGCGTGTCTTGATACCACCTGGAGTATATAAACCATCCAGCTGGGCCCTGCCCAAATTTTCCAGAACCAAATAATGATAAGCAATAAAATGGTGGTTGTTTTTAAGGTGCCAAGTTTTAGGGCAGTTCATTATACAATGATAGATAACCAAAATATATGGGTTTGGGAATAAGGTAAAATATGAGGGAATAAATGAAATTAGTCAAAGCAGAATGAAAAAAGTTTCTTTGGTTTCTATTTATAATTTATGACTAAACATAAATTAAAGTCCAATTCTACTTCATGCCAATCTCTCTTCCAATTCTTTTAATATTTCTAATGAATAATTCTTAGCAGGTATTTCTTTGCTATGAGCTACTTTTGCTATACTAAGTTTTAAAGTAAATACTTGAAATATGGCATTTATTTCTTGATGTTATAGAGAAGTCTGAGAGCTCCAAGTTAAAATTCATCAGGGTGAAAATGTTAGTCTGTGATTACAGAATCAGAACTATTCATTACGGCTATTCAGAGAATCTTCTTTATGAGTTTAATGACATAAGCATATTATACTGAATTATTATGGTACTGCATCAACTGGATTCATAAATTTAATATACTCAGTCTGGTTCACATATTCTAATAAAATCCAGCAAGCTTTAAAACTTTTATAGGAAATGTGCATTTAAAATCCATGTGATATTCAGTTTTTACAGGGTGACGTCCTTGCTCAGGGTATTAAGTAGTTTCAGTGATGACGATGACCCAGCCTGGCAGCAAGCTTCTGGGGAAACCTCACAAATAGACAATCCATATCAGAAAAACCAAAACCTGCTTTTCTCCAGAGCACAAGTCAAAACCATGGGGTGGAGGCGGGTGGAAAGAGAAGAATTGAGTTTATCTTGCACCTGTGGACCAGAAGTGAGGACATGTAAGGAAGGAGGCAAACAGCTTCCACATAATCTGACAGGTGCCACTCAACCTCACTTGGTTGAAGCAGAAAGTGGGAGGATGCTGGGCAAGGAGCCCAGTTCCCAGTACTCACTATGGATCTTTGACCTACTGATACGTTTGAATCTACATAAATGTTTGGCAACAAGCTCAATATAGATGCCATTAGGACTCAACTTCTTCAGCACTGGAAGAAGCCTAGGAGAGCCCTGGAGGCACACTATGGCTGTTTGAGCTCTAATGCAGCACCATGAGCAGGGATCCTAGGCACTCAGTCTTATGCAGCTACCATGCTGGGCACAAAGACATCAAAGCACTGTGGTTTGAAGTAAGCCCCTTAACTCCTCTGTACCTCAGTTTCCTCCTTGTCTGATTATAGTATTTTCTTTTTAGGATTAGAAGATTAAAGGAGCTATTGTCTACAAAATGCTTAGGACAGGGTCCAATTTAGAGAACCTTAGTAAGTACAGATGTATGGTATGTACCTCAGTAAGTACAGTATGTACTGGTGATAAGGTTATTGGGATCCCATCATAAGTGGAAGAGCATCTGTATGGTATGTACCTTAGTAAACACAGTATGTACTGGTGATAAGGTTACTGGGATCCCATCATAAGTGGAAGAGCATCTGTATGGTATGTACCTTAGTAAACACAGTATGTACTGGTGATAAGGTTACTGGGATCCCATCATAAGTGGAAGAGCATCTGTATGGTATGTACCTTAGTAAACACAGTATGTACTGATGATAAGGTTATTGGGATCCCATCATAAGTGGAAGAGCATCTGTATGGTATGTACCTTAGTAAACACAGTATGTACTGATGATAAGGTTATTGGGATCCCATCATAAGTGGAACAGCATCTGTATAGTATGTACCTTAGTAAACACAGTATGTACTGGTGATAAGGTTATTGGGATCCCATCATAAGTGGAAGAGCATCTGTATGGTATGTACCTTAGTAAACACAGTACGTACTGGCGATGGGTTTATTGGGATCCCATCATAAGTGGAGGAGTATCTGTTCTTAGTAAGTACATACTGCAGAGATGCTCCTCCACTTATGATGGGATCCCAATAAACCCACGGCCAGTTGAAAATACTCTAAGTCGAAAGTGCATTTAATACACCTAACCTACCAAACATCATGGCTTAGCCTAGTCCACCTTAAATGTGCTCAGAACACTTACATTAGCCTACAGGTGGGCAAAATCATCTAACAAAAAGTCTAGTTAGTGTTGAACATCTTATGTAGTTTATTGAATACTGTGCTAAAAGTGAAAAACAGAATGGCTGTATGAGCAGTCAAAGTACGGTTTCTACTGAATGTGTATCGCTTTTACACCATCGTAAAGTTGAAAAATCTTAAGTAGAACCATCATCAAGTTGGGGACCACCCAGAGTTGATACTGTCTATATAACTTTGTCCTCAGGGAATTGATATGCAAATATGTTAATTTTCCCCTCTTTTAAATGTTTGGAAACACATGGGCTTAAAATGTGGAAGTGTTTAATGTTTTCTCCTTCAAAGGAAAGTAAAAGCAAGAATTTGAAATGGCTTTTTTCCAAATCACCTCATATCAGATACTGGCAGACCCTTTAAAATCACCTCATATTAGATAGATACTGGCAGACCCTTTATTTAAAGAGTTGTGTTAAGGCCGGGCGCGGTGGCTCACGCCTGTAATCCCAGCACTTTGGTAGGCCGAGGCGGACGGATCACGAGGTCAGGAGATCAAGACCACGGTGAAACCCCGTCTCTACTAAAAATACAAAAAATTAGCCGGGCGCAGTGGCGGGCGCCTGTACTCCCAGCTACTCGGGAGGCTGAGGCAGGAGAATGGAGTGAACCCAGGAGGCGGAGGCTGCAGTGAGCCGAGATTGAGCCACTGCACTCCAACCTGGGTGACAGAGCCAGACTCCGTCTCAAAAACAAACAAAGAAAAGAGTTGTGTTAAAACAAAGAAGAGTAAACATGTTTCAAAATGGAAAATCACATTTAAAAATAAACTGAAAATCTAACCCATGTCAGGTAAATTGATTCTAATTGATTCTCCCCCATATCTTGTTTTAAGATACATTTTAGATGCTCTGATTCTCAAAAGTGCCATTTGGAAAACAAAAAAGATGTATTATTTTCTTTGTTTTTAAGCTCATGGTTCCTTCCTTCACTGTATAAACCTTCAGAGATTCCTGGCATTTGGAGATATAATGACTGCTCCAAACGACCAATTTGTCTGACAAAGGCTTTCAAATGAGAATCTTGCTGTGTGGTACCTCTTGGCTATAATGTACTTGAATTCAAATTCAAAGAATCAGGACCTAAAAGACTCGGCCATCGAGGAGTAGTTGTACATTATTTGATGGCATCACAAAGTCTCCCCTTCAGGGGAACTCCACAACTGGATGCATCGAGAACACTCAATGACTCTATCGTGTGCCTCTGCAGCTGTGGCTGAACAGAATGAGCTATGCCTCTAATATGTCACCTAAGGTAGTTTGTGTACTGAGGGCAAATCTCCTTCGGTTAAAATTCAGCTGGCCTTGGCGGGCTGTCTGAATAATACTGAGTCTCTGAATTCAGGGCAAGAGGGTAAGCTTTTGAGATACCAGGAGAGATAACCTGCTGCCTGTGTTTTGTTCTCTGGACGAGGGGTGCCTGATGCTCCTGTGAGACTGTTTGCCTTGGAGATTACCCTCCTGCCTTGGGAGCTCTTCCTGAGTGTCCAGAAACTGCCCTGTGTCCCTTGGGGGAGTCAGGGTCAAGCCCTAGGTGTGATGAGGACTGTGGCCCCGAGTGGTGGGCCCTGACCCCACCCCATGAAGAAGATTAGCTAGGGATTTGAATTATTTGCACCAATGATCCCCTTCACTGGAGACAATGACTGAGGCCTGAATATGTCAGGGAAGAGGGAGGTAGGGAGAAAAGCCAGATCAAAACTTCTCAAATGCCAACATCTCTAACTCCAAAAAAGAATGGGGTAGGTGTCTATTTCATACAGGGAAATGCAAATTAAAAAGTTCCTTTTTCAAACAGATATTACCTACCAAATTAAGAAACTAAGTTTTAGAAATTGGGCTAGGAGCTAAAAAAGAAAAAGAAAAAGAAACCAAAAGTATATACATTGAATACATGTACATCCAGCACAGTACTTTGCTTGTAAAATAGTCGTTGAACAAATGATGCAATGAATAGCTATAGGCAATGCTGATAGGCCTCGATAAACAATGAGAAGCATGGGTTTTCTTTCCCTAGGACCTTAATTCGAAAAATTTCATAGGTTTACAATATCTTCTTTCTTCTGTGTAAGGGAAGTTTGTTAAATTACTCTAGAGAAGAAAGTCTATCAAATCTTAATTTGTGCTTCAAAGCCACACTCTAGAAACTCTTAAAAGTATCCTGGTCATCTCGTTACTTAAGGTCTGAGAAGTTGCTGTAGACAAAAAATGAAGAATGGTGTTGATTAGGCAGCTGATTAAACATGCGCTTCCTTGGACACATGTGTCTGGCTGTGTTAAACACCAAATGAGCCTGAAAACTATGTAAGCATCAGTCTTTCAGTCATCAAAACTTTTAGGACGAGTGACTTTTTTTAGCTGCAATGCTGCAATAGGACACAGGAGTTAAAACAAAGTACTGGCAAAACCTGGATAGAAAGATGCCCCTGATCAAAGGGAAATCTCGTCATCTAGGGGATCCTGAAGGAAGCTATGTGGCCATATAGTCTAAAAAATACTGGGCTAATTGAGAATAAGTTGACACCCAGTTTCTGCCACAAGGACATTGCCTTTCAAAGTAAGAAATGTCAGTATGTATTGACTAAGCTATTACTTAAATATGCCCAGATTCCTCCAAATAAGTAAACTGCATATAAATACAATTTTGTGAACTGGAAGATAAGCACTATAAGGATGAGGAAAGGTGAACATATACTAAGTAGCATAAATACCGCACACCCTGGAGATATTAAGGGCAGAAGCAGACTTCCTGTTGCTCACAGCATTTATTCAGAGAGCTCTGAAATACAAGCCCCGGGGTCTACTGGGGCTGTGTTTCCAGCTAGCTAAAGAAAAATCCACTGAGAAAAAGGCAATGGCTTCATTTTCTACCTTTTTCAACTTTGATTACCAAATGATTTCTTGATTCCAACATGAGTTTAATTTTACTTATAAATAATATGAAGCAGGTGATCTCAATTAGAAAGCAGATTAGGCAAAGTCTTACCTTTTTTTAAAAAAATGTTTTTGGTTGCCTGGAATGAAAAGTATATATGTAAATGTAAATGCATTGCAGGGGATTGCTGGTAACAAAAATAAGTATATCTAAAAATGGATGGTAGCTTTACATGGGCAAACGATAAAGGTAAAAAGTTGTGTGGAATTGGAACAAACTGATGTTCTCATCCATTCCCCCTCTAAATACTGTCTCAAAGGATTGCACCATATGCTGTGATTCATTAACATTATGAAACATAACTGACACATATAGAAGAAAAAAGTGTTGTCAGGGGAAAAAATAGCTAGCTGAATTCTAAAATAAAGATGCAGTTTACACGGGCAACAAAAGACAGCATGAGGTTCACTCGCAAAGACCACAGTGAGCACCTTTTATCTGAAAAAAAGCACAAGGTATTTGGAAAACAAGTCTGAAAAAGAGGGAGTTAGGGGAATTGATGCATTTGCAAGAAAGCCTACTGCAAAGTGGGCAAGGCTTCATGAAAGAGGAAGGATGATTCCTGAATGTTGATACAAACAATGAGCAGAGAACTTAGTGGGCATGAGACAGACAGTGGTTCTTAAAATACATGGATGTGCAAGAAGAATTTTAAACACGTCTTTTAGGCTGTTGCAACAAAGGGACTGAATGGAGAGCAACTAAACTGACATCAATGGAAATAAATAAAATTGACTATTTCAGGAAGCAAGAAGTTAGGCCTTCAGGTTGATAACAGTACTAAAAGATGCAAAAGTAGCAAATGCAATGTTAAAACAAGCAAAGAAAGAATCAGGTGGACCACATAGTGCAGTGCTTCTCAAATAATATGCAGAAGGGAATCAGTTGTTTGATTGACAGAGATAGACGAGACAGAAAGACAAAGCAAGACAACGACAGAGATAGAAAATACAGGAGACAGAAAAATGAAAGGACCAGACCACGAGGTTCAACACTGAACAAATGGAATTCCAGAAACAACAGGAAAAACAACAACAACAAAACCTTAAGAAAGGAAATCATTAAGGCAATTTCCCAGAAATGAAGGATATGGCAGAAATCGATAGAACCCATGGGTCAGAAGAATCGACGAACTGTTTACCAGAGTAGAGTTCTATAGGTTCAGAACATTGAGAACAGAGAGAAGGCCCTATAAAGGCTGCTCTATGGGTTTTTGGTAGGGGAGGAGGAAGGGATAGGTCACATACAAAAGATCAAGAATCAAAATGGTTTTGAACTGCTTAGCAGCAGCACTGGAGTTAGAAGACAATGGAGAAACCCCTTTGAAATTCTGAATGAAAATGGTTTCCAACTAACATTTTATATCTAGCCAGTGAGTGGGTACATGAAGGCATTTTCAGACATGTTTCTAGAAACTTACCTCTCATACATCCTTTCTCAGGAAGCTACTAGAGAGGTGTTTCATTAAAGTGAGGGAGTAAATCAAGAAAGGGAAGACATGGGTACAGGAAGCAGGCGAAACAATTCAAGGGAGAGCCAAGGATGATGGAGAAGGACAATTGTGGGGTGGAAGGGAGCTGCGGTGTGGCTCAGTCTGACTAGAACAGGCAAGAGGGTTCCAGGGGAGGTTTCTGCAAGGAGGCTGTATTTATGAAACACCTGGTGCTCTGAATGTTTGAGAAGAGAATCATACAATTGAGCAATAATGTGAAGTTGAATTAGAGATGAGTACTGTAAACTAAGCAAACAAGCTGAGCTCACCACAGTCCTGACTCAGTGCATGGGAGGACCAGGCAGGGAGGGCGAGTGTCCCTGAATATATGAGGAGAGGGGCTGCGGGGGGTGCATGCTGGGGAGCCATCATCCATAGTGGGACGTTAACAGCACCTAAAATTTTTTAAAAAGTCAAGAAGAAGGAATATAGGAATGCAATTTTAGTTTGGAAGCAAATACAAAAATGGAAGAAAATACCAAAATGAAAGAGTTGCTGCTGGGGAAGGGGAAATGGAGGGCATGAATAGGGGACAGGATACTGCTCTCCAGAAAAGCCTAATCAAACTGTATGAGCATTGATTTTAAAAATGTCACTAAAATTGCATATACACACAAAACAGCAATAAGTGTAAACACATACACACACAAACACATGCACAGAAAAACAGTCAGAGAAGATACATGCCCAACCACCCCATGAGAGCAGTTACCTCCTAGCACTCAGCTTGGTTTGAGATCCTCTGAAAGCAGAGCCTGAGGCAGTATTGAGGAGTAATGGTGATGCTGGAAGCAGAAGCATGGGGGTAGGAAAGTGAGTGAGAGAAAAAGAGAAAAGCCAACAAAGGGGTGTTGCTGAGCAGGTCCCCACTGTGGGTGACTCAGTCCTGCTGGGGACCCTTTGAGAGACACAGAGCACGTGCTTCTGAATCGTTCCCATGCAGGACGGGAGGCAGGCCCACTTATCCACAGACTTTCATCCTCTCTTGTTTGAGAATGATCTCCAGGGCCTTGCCTGCTCCCAGCCTTTGGGACTGCCTGGGTCAGGGTCCATGGGGGCTGCCTTGGCTTCAGAAAAGGGTGAGGGAGAAAAGCTAACAGACCTGGTGGGGTGCAGACACCCACACCGGAAAAGCCCACCATGGCTATGGCTAATATCACAGGTAGGGCAACAGCACAGCGTATGTCAGCCTGTGGGATGGAACTGGGGCTGTTGGTGAGTAAGGGGGACTCCAGCTTTAGCCATAAATGGGCACCCTTCACGCCCATTTATCATGAGGGTGCCTCTGTTAGCCACCCTCATGAGCTAGGACAACGCAGGGAGCCATCTTTTGCTCCTGGCCTCAGCTGCTTTGTTTCCACCTGGTTGTTACCACTTTGTCCTTAGCGTCCAATTTTCTGATGAGGACTTTTTGATTCACAGCAAGCTTGCTCATTATTTTCCAAAGGATAAACAAGCAGTTTTAGGAAATTAAAATGCAAGTTTAACTGCAGCCTTGGGAGGTAAGAACCCAGGTAAACATGACTAATACACCAAACCTAAGCAAATCCATTATCAAAAAGATTCCAAAGCATCTAGAGAAGATAAAGAGCAGCCCATAAGCTCCCAGCTTGCCCAGGGTCATAGTGCATATCCCCCGGGCCAGACCATGGTGTCTCCATGGGGAGCAGGCCACGGTGGCTGCTGGCCTGAGGTCTGTGGAGCTCTGGGCTATGCTGCAATCCTTCCAGGAACTTCTTTTATGTTTTTACAACAGTGAATTAATATTGTATTCTACTGCATAACAATTCTATCTAGATAAATCTATATACTATATACAATATTGAATTATATCTATAATTGATATCTATACACATCTATAATCTATATAGCTATAATCCATATTAGTATAACTATATGACTATTTAAAGTTATACTTATAATTATATATAATCTACTGACACTTAAATCTATATATTTATATAATTATATCTTATTATACTATGTTTTATATTATTTCATAATTAATAATATATCATTATACATCTCTTCTCCCAAGAAACATTAGGCAGATATTGGCTGTATTTAAAATAATTCAATTAAGCGGCTCTAAATGACAATCCGGTCACCTGATGGTGGCAGGAAGGGACTATGAACCTTACTCATGGGCCATCCATTTATTTACACACAGGACGAGGAGTGTACTGAAGAAGAGGAGAAAAAGCAGGTTCTGGCAGAAATGAGCAGCTACAGCTGAATAATCAATACACCATCGGTGAAAAGTAATGATACTATGGTACATATGATTCAAAATGGTCACGAATTTCAAAACTATTTTCATAACTCAGGCATCACTGGAAGGTAGTCAATGTTTTTTCTACCACCAGTCAGAGCATCTTGAGTACGGCTATTCTTTTCCCCCATTTTTAGCTGTATTTCTATCTGACGCTTCTCCCAGGGGCCCAAGAGCTAATTAAGAGCTTCAGTTTCAAAGACCTTTCCTTCTCACCCCTGTTGTGCCACAGCATCTATGTGAACTGTAAAGGGCAGCAAAATGAGAAAATATTAAAAGGGTATTTAATTAAGCAAAGTAAACAGTGAGGTCAATAGCAACTGGAAGCTAACATCTGTCTTCGAACAAGGCAGGCAAGCCACCTTCAGGTACAGGCAACAGAGGAGTGAGTTTATGCAGGATGCTCCTTTTGTCTACGCCACTTGTGATATCTACTTCTGCTTCAGAGGCGATGAGACATTTAATAAAAGAAAACAAATAGTGATGCCTTGCTTTATCTAGGTGGAGAGGAGAAACAACCCTCCAGCTGTTTAGCACTGTGATGTTCAGGCTTCATTTTGCTTTTAAAATTAACCCAGGAAAATGAAAAACGTTCTACACTGAACTCCAAATAAACAGCATACACAGCTCTAAGTCTGCCATCTTGAGTCGTTCTGTGCTACTTTCTTCTGATGCTATTTCCATAGACAGGAAAGAGTTGGAGAATCCCTGTTATGTATTTGCCAAGCCTCAAACACCTTGTAAATGAGCGTGGGAGCTGGGGAGATGACAGATGTTACCAGTCTAATGGGGCTGCACATGAGGTGGGATTGTAATTGGGATTGATATTAGAATATCTAAAGCTCAACAAATGGAAAAATTACCAACACAGCCGTATCTGGGGTGAATAAAAATGGCTTCCGTGATGGTCAATTTTATGTGTTAGATTGGCTGGGCCATGGTGTCACTAGATATTTGGTCAACATTATTTGGGATGTGTTTATGAGGGTGTTTTTGGATGAGATTAATGTTTGAATCAGTAGAACGAGTAAAGCAGATTGCTTTCCTACTGTGAGTGGGGGCCTCATCCAATCAGGTGAAGGCCTGAACAGAACAAACTCCAGAGAGTAAGAGGGAATTAAATCCTGTCTTACCGCCTGAAGCTGGAACTTCAGTCTTTTCCTGCCTTTGGACTCAAACTGAACCATCAGTTCTTCTTGGGACTTGAGCCTGCTGGCTTTCAGCCTGGAACTTACACGGTCATCTCTCCTGGTTCTGGGGCCTTCCCACTCAGATTGAAACTACACCATCGGCTTTCCTGGGTCTCCAGCTTGCCAAATGCAGATCTTGAGACTTCTCAGCCTCCAAAATCACATGATCACATGAATCAGGTCTCTCCCCATCATTGCTTATTGCTTGCTGGTTCTGTTTCTCAGGAGAACTCTAACAGAGCTTCCAAACCACAATTTGTGAAGTGGTAAAAAAAGCACTACTTCAATACCATGGGTTATGTGTGGAAGTGTAAAACTCACAAATATATTTAACACTATATTTCACTGTCTAAGTTAAGATTAATGTCCAGGCCAGGCATGGTGGCTCACGCCTGTAATCCCAGCACTTGGGGAGGCTGAGGCGGGCACATCACGAGGTCAGGAGATCAAGACCATTCTGGCTGGCTAACACGGTGAAACCCTATCTCTACTAAAAATGCAAAAAATTAGCTGGGCGTGGTGGCGGGCACCTGTAGTCCCAGCTTCTTGGGAGGCTGAGGCAGGAGAATGGCGTGAACCCAGGAGGCGGAGCTTGCAGTGAGCCTAGATCGCACTGTTGCACTCCAGCCTGGGCGACAGAGTGAGACTCCATCTCAGAAAAAAAAAAAAAAAAAAAGATTAATGTCCTGGGTTTTGGGTGTCCATACCAATTTCATCACTGGTCCCCAGGTCTCATTCAGTTGAACGACAAGCCATACTGATTCTATCTCATGTGTATGTCTCTAACCTACCAGTTTTTCTCATCCCAGCTGCCAGTGCACCTAGTTTAGGCCACAATCATGTCTCCCTGGAAGATGGGAATACCCTAGTCACTGCTCTTCCTGCCCCCAGGCTCCCCTGCTCCCACCATTCTCTCCACAGTGATAAAGCCTCATTCCTCCACTTCACTGCTGACAACATTCCATTGGCTCCTGGTCCTCTGGATCAGGTCCAAAGTCATGGAGATGGCTTGTGGAATCTGGCTTTTCCTTCCTTGTCTACCCTCAACCACCAATCTCACCTTTCCACAGTAGATCCAGATTCCTGAGTCCCACCCTAGTCCTGGTGAATCAGAATATACTGGAACAAGGCTGCAGAATCTGTATTTTTCAAAAAGCTGCTCAAGATAATTTCAAAGATTAGGCCAGATAGGTTTGAGAACCACAGCTTTGGGACTCACATCCTCTGACCTTAACAAAAGAAGTCCATGACTATCCCTGCAGTTATGACAGTCTCCTGTAATGATGTGTCTCTGCTCCATTAGAATTGTGAGCTCCTTGAAGACGCAAGCTATACGACTGACTGCATGCAAAACTTGTTATTGGTTTATTCAGGGATTCAAATTCTTCCTGGCTTAGACTTGGAAGGATGTATGTGTCCAGGAATTTATCTATTTCTTCTAGGTTTTCTAGTTTATTTGTGTAGAGGTGTTTATAGTATTCTCTGATGGTAGTTTGTATTTATGTGGGATCAGTGGTGATATCCCCTATATCAGGTTCAGTGCAGTCATGGGAAGCAGTCCTGAGCATGAACGGTGACTGTCACAGTCACTGAATGGCTTTAATAAAGACAGCAAAGACCCTAAAAGAAAGACCATCAGACATCAAGTGCTTCCTGTACAATGCAATTAGAAGTATAGTCCCACCTATAAAGTGTTCTTGCAAAAAAAAATCAAACCTGAACTTAATCAAGCCTCTGGTTTTCAGAAGATGCAGGGTTAGAGGAGCACGGTGAACAATGCCACGGAGTTGCACTCAGCGAAACCCAGAACATGAGGAATTCAACAGGTAAATGACATGCTGTCCTCATCAAATAAATGGTGAGTAATAAAAAAAAAAAAAGAGAGAAAAACCTACAGATTGTAAGAAACCAGAAAGACGTATCAACCAATGCTATGTGTAAATATGTTGGTCATGATTGAAACATACATGTTGTAAGACAGAAAACTGGTATGGCTTCAACACTGACTGAATATTTGTTTATGTTGAGAGATGAATTTGGAGCGTGTGTGTCTGTATTTGATGATAGTATTGTGGTTACATTTAAAAATTAAAGTCTTGCTTTCTTAAGAGATATAGCTTAAAATATTTATAGATGAAATAATATGATGCCTGATATTTGCTTTAAAATAATCCCATGTGTGCGTGTGTGTGTGTATGTGTGTGTGCATATAAATAAGATTGGCCCCATGATGACTGTATGTTGAAGTGGGGTGATGGAGAGGGTACATTGGGGTTCATTACATTATTCATTCTGGTTTTCTACATATTGTCATAAAATGAAAAAAGAGAAAACACAGGCCATTAGTTTCTACATCACAGTATCTGAGATTCCCTTTAATCCAATGAGGCTTGGAAAGTTTGAGATGGTTGTATTACCCTTTGCATGGTAGAAATTGGCTAGTATAACAGAGTTGGATTATTTGATTTTAAGAACTCATTTAACATCTGATATTAACACATCCAACACTCTTAGGTAAAGGCAATTTGCTCTTTTGAACCAGAAAGGGTTGCAAAGAATTGCCACAGAAGGTCACTCTGTACCAAAGAGAACTTTGGCTATGTCCTTAAATGAAGACATTCACATTTCCATGAAAAATTCTAATCACATTTTGGTATTAAATTAATGTCCTCAAGTACTTCTGGCTCTGCACACAAACTAAATAGAAGATTCTGTCAACTTTTCTGTCTGACAGAACTAAGGAGAATTTAGTTTCAGTACTGTAGAAAGTTAAGAGGGGGAGGCAGGAACAACCTTTATTAGATTTCTTAAGTGACCCTTGAATAAAAAACTTTTACAATTTATACTAACAGTTAAATCTAATAATAGGTCACTTAGAATATCGCAAATAATACTACAAGATAGAAGAACATGAAGACCCTCAACCAAACACCGGTGTGAAAAAGTCTTTGCTGTAGTATATGAAAATTATAGGGGAAAAGGATCTTTACAACTGTTTGTCCAATTACATCAGTGTTCCATGCGGCCTCTCACCTACTTAATGGTTACATGTGATTACGACATATTTCCTTCTTGGCTTCTGTGTTCAAACATTTTAACACGGAAAGGGAATCCCACTAGGTCTAATTTTCAGACTTGGGAAGGCAATGATTGATTCATATAGACAGACGTTGAACTTGAGTTTGGGAAGAACAAGTGAATAAATATGGTGCTTGATAAAAGATACAACAGTGACTCTCAAATTTTAGAGTAATGAGTGAGCCACTTCTAATAAAATATAAATTATCATATGCTAAGCAGTGGAAAATACATATGAAAAACATAACTTGTTTGGAAGATGTGTTCCTTTTAATAACAATTTAAATTATACTCTCAAGAAAAAATGATTAATAGTGTCAAATCTACCCATCTGTCCATCCACCCAGCCACTGTTCTTCTCTTCCCTCTTCTTCTTTTTCTTTCTTTTTTATTTTTATTTTTTTAAGCAAAGCACTAAGGGCACAGTGGAAAAATAAGAGGTTGGAGGAAGGATAGAAGTGAAAGAGCAATTAAGAGAGAAAAGGAGGAAAGGACTATTATAAATACATAACTACCACATGATGATTTATTTTTGAACATGTACCTTTTAAAAAATAGATTTTACTTCTTAGTTTTAGAGGTTGTTAGAAAAACTGAGTGTAGTATACAAATTTCCCATAGAACACTTTACCCCCCAAATATGCAGAGCCTCCCCCGCTATCAAAATCCCACACCAGAGTGGCATATTTGTTAGGACTGATGAATCTACATTGGGGTATCATTATCACCCAAAGTCTATAACTTACATTAGGGTTCACTCTTGTTGTACTTTCTATGGGGTTTGAAAAATGTATAATGGCATGTATCTACCATTATATATCATACAGAGTAGCTTTACTGCCTTAAAAATCCTTTATTCTCTGCCTATTCATCTCTCCCCTCCCTCAAATCCCTGGCAACCACTGATCCTTTTATTGTCTTATTAGTTGTGCCTTTTCCAAAATGCCATATAGTTAGAATCATACACCATATAATCTTTTCAAATTGTCTTCTTCTACTTAGTAATATGCATTCAATGTTCTGCCAAAATCTCTTCATGGCTTGAAAGCTCGTTTCTTTTTAGTGCTACATAACATTCTATTGTTTGGATGTACCACAGTTTATTTATCCATTTACCTACCAAAGGATATCTAAGTTATATCCACACTTTGGCAATTATGATTAACACTACTATAAACATTTATGTGCAGATCTTTGAGAGGGCACGTTTCAACTTCTTTGGGTCAATGCCAAGGAGTGAGAGGGCTGGATCATACGGTTAAGAGTATGTTTAATTTTGTAAGAAATCGCCAAAACTGTGCAAAGTGGCTATACTATTTTTCATTCTCACCAGCAATGAATGACAGTTCTTATTGTACAACCTCACCAGCATTTGGTGCTGTTTATGTTCCAGCTTTTGGCCATTCTATCAGGCGTATGGTGGTATCTTGTTTTCATTTCCAATTTCCTAATGACATATGTTATTGAGCCTCTTTTCATATGCTTATTTGCCTTCTGTATATCTTCTTTGGTGAGATGTCTGTCCAAGTCTTTTGCCCATTTTTTTCTTTTTTTTGAGACAGAGTCTCACTCTGTTGCCCAGGCTGGAGTGCAGTGATGCTATCGTGGCTCACTGCAACCTCCTGGGTTCAAGCAACTCTCCTGCCTCAGCCTCCCAAGTAGCTGGGATTACAGGCATGCACCACTACACCCGGCTAATTTTTGTATTTTTAGTAGAGATGGGGTTTCACCATGTTGGCCAGGCTGGTCTCGAACTCCTGACCTCATGTGATCTGCCTGCCTCGGCCTCTCAAAGTGTTGGGATTACAGGCGTGAGCCACCATGCTTGGCCTCTTTTGCCTATTTTTAATGAGGTTGTTTGTGTTCTTATTGTTGAGTTTTAAGAGTTCTTTGTATACTTGGAATTACACCCCTTTATCAGACATGCCTTTTGCAAATATTTTTTCTCAGTCTGTAGATTCCCTTCTCATCCTCCTGACGGTGTCTTTTGCAGAGCAGAAGTTTTAAACTTTAGTGAAGTCTATCTTATTTATTTTATGAATCATGTCACTGGTGTTGTATCTAAAAAGTTATTTCCACATCCAAAGTCATCTAGGTTTTCTCCTATGTCATCTCCTAGGAATTTTATAGCTTTGTGTTTTACTTCTAGGCCTATAATCCAGTTTAGTTTTTGTGAATGGCATAAGGTCTGTGTCTAGATTGGTTTTTTTGCATGTGGATATCCAATTGTTCCATTTATTGAAAAGACTATTTGTTGAAAAGACTATCTTTACTTCATTTTATTGCCTTTGCTCCTTTGCAAAAGATAATTAATTATATCTATTTCTGGGCTCTCTGTTCTGTTCCATTATCTGTCTATTCTTTCACCAGTACAACGCTGTCTTGATTACTGCAGCTTTGTATTAAGTATTGGAGTTTGGTAGTGTCAGT
This sequence comes from Homo sapiens, assembly GCF_000001405.40. NCBI lineage: Eukaryota > Metazoa > Chordata > Mammalia > Primates > Hominidae > Homo > Homo sapiens. Next base: position 16,302,549 of record NC_000020.11, read on the forward strand.
CTTCCTAATTTGATTTGGAGTGAGTTGAATCTATAGACCAACTTGCAAAGAACTGACATCCTAACAGTGTTGAGTCTTCCTACCCATGAACATGGAATACCTCTTCATTAGTTTGTCTTTGATTTCCTTCATCAGAATTTTGTAGTTTTACTCATATAGAGCTTGTACATATTTTGTTAGATTTATAAACAAGTATTTAGTTTTGGGGGATGCTAAAGTAAATGGTATTACGTTATTAATTTCCAATTCCATTTGTTTGTTGCTGGTATATAGAATAGCTATTGATGTTTATATATTAACCTTGTATTCTACAAGCTTGCTACAATCATGTATCAATTCCAGGAGTTTTTTTCTTTGTTAATTCTTTCAAATTATCTACATAAACAATCACATCATCTGTGAATAACACAGCTTTATGTCTTACTTTCCAATCAGTATATATTTTTTCTTGTCTTATTGCATAAGCTAGGATTTCAAATGTTTACTTGTAAAATTATACTGTAAGTCACTACAACACAGCTGCAAAGTAGCAACAGCTTAAAAAAACAATAATCATTTCTAGTGTTTGCTATGTATCAGGAACCTATCCAAATATTTTATATGAATTATTTCATTAACCATTACAACTATATAAGATGGGTAATATTATTTCCATTTTATGCGTAATAAAACTGATTCACAGAGAAGTAACTTGTCCAAGATTACTCAGTCATTACGTAGCAGAGCAGTAATTCACAACCAGATCTAATGGTTCTATAGTGTATGCTTTTAACTTTATTGTATATCAACTGAGGACATATTACAGACTATATTTTCTATTAGGTACTTTTTACATACCATTCTCATTTGATCCCCTCAACAATCCTGAAAACTAGTTGTTCTTATCCTTGTTTTGCACTGAGAATAATGATGCTCAGAGGGGTTAAATAACTTGCCCAGTGGCATTTTGCAATGTGGTAGAGCAAGCACTCAAACCCATGTTTACAAATGTGCTCTCATTTTGAATTTTTTTGTATTTTTTTGTCAGAACAAATATCTGCTATTTGCTGTTCAACACGGTTTTAACTGGACACTGAACAAATATTTACTGAGGACATATTAACGGGCAGATACTGTTCTAGGTGAATGAAGCATCTGGAATCCTGTCTTCACAAACTCAGCCTCTCATAAAACATAAAATACTTTGTAACAAAACCAACCAATCAACAAGCAAAAAACTTTCCAACAACTGCTAAAATGCTGTGACCAAGAAATAACAGGGGAAATCTGGTGGATGGCATTAGGGCCAGGACTGCTTCTACTCGGTGGGCAGGGCATGCCTCTCTGAGGAGAATACATTTGAGCTGAGGGAAGTATTCCAAGCCCTGAGATGTTTTGGCCGACTAAAAACACGATCAGTAAAGAAATGAAGATCCTGATTTCCAGCTTAGAGTTTAACCTGGGAGCCCAAAGATGGAGAACAACTTCGGCTCATAGGGTGTTTTGATTCCCTGAGTGGTTAGCCATCATCTCAATACTGAATGTCATTTGGGGAATAAGAAGGAGAAAAATGGCAGAGTACAACTGTTTGATGACATGCAGGGAGTCCTCCCTTTTCTCCCCTAGACTTCCATCTGAGTTTAGAAGTTGTTATTATTCTTGAGAATAGTTGTCTTAATTTTGCTTTCCTCTTACACCAATTACTGCTCATGAAAACCAAAGTGAGATTTTTCCCACATACCCTCCAATTGGAGACTCTCGCTCATTGGTGCATTCATAAAGCACTAACACATATACATAGGATTTCTGTTGTATAAAATGATTTGACAGGCAATTAGCCTCAGGATTGCAGCATCTTCAGCTTCTCTGACTCCAAGAGCCACCAACATGGAAAAGCCCCCACACTCCAGTTCAGTTTCCTTGAATACTCCAACAGCCACTAAACATAACACCTTTCAAAAATGCTTTGCTGCTGATGATAGTGGTAATGGACTAATAACAGAAAACAGCTCCTGCTAATGTAAATAACCAGATAACCAGAAGAAAAAAAATAAAAACCTAAATGAGGAAGAAAACAGTTTTTCCTATGAGGTATTTATTTAATCTCTATGTTTGATAATGGTTCTATTATTATATGTTTTGTAAGATCAGCAGAGAATAGATGAAAAGAACATTAAATGTAGAACTGCCTAATATCTTTCCAATAGGTAAATGACTGAGAAAACTCAGAAATCCTAGGATTTTTACTTCTTGATATTTACTTTGAAACCAAAAAGGCTCAATCTATAAAAATGTCTAAACCAAATAATTCTATTATTGAAAATTTGAGGTTTGAGAGTAAAATAAAACTAAAGTAGAATGAGAAAGTGTTTTTAGTCAGGAAAAACTAGGCTGTGTGTTGCAGGCACCATAAGCCAGAAAGGTGACTGCTGGCCGTGGAGTGGTGGTGGTGGTGATATATCAATACTGACAGCCATTACTAATACCTGTATTTGGCAGATAAGTCATTTGAACTACCGAGACTTTATTTTGGAAACAGTTCTTCACTTAGTTAACATCTCCCATTAGACAGGACAATGCCTATAAACTCTGGGCATCCCTTTACTGCGAGAAAAATAAAAGAAAAGCAGTTAGGAACCGGCCTGGCATTCTCACAGCTAAGCTGTATTGTTCTCCCGTGGACCACAAACAATTTCAAAGAATATCAACGCCAGACAAGGTTACTCTGTGACCATGAAGGATCAAGCCCAAAAACTAAAAATAAAAAAAAAGACCACTCCATAATAGTGTCAGATCAAAGACAAAAACATGAACACTGTGATCAAATATAATCAAATATTTCCTCTTCTGGGCTAATATAGTGCTTTTTATCAACCATACTTTTTATTGATATGCTATAGTTGTACATATTTTGGGGCTATATGTGATGTTGATACCTGTACAAAATGTGTAATTTCAGGGTAACTGGAATATCCATCAACTCATTTTTCTTTACTTTGTGTTAGAAACATTGCAATTCATATCTTCTAGCTATTTTGAAATATACAATAAGTGATAATTAACTATAATAGCCACACTGTATTATCAAATGCTAGAACTTATTCCTTCTAATTGTATTTTTGTACCCATTAACCAACTTCTCTTCACCCACCTTCATCCCCTTCTCAGTCTCTGGTAACCACCATTCTACTCTCTATCCCCATGAGATACACGTTTTTTGCTCCCACATATGAGTGAGAACATGCAATATTTGTCTTTCTGTTCCTGGCTTATTGCACTTAACATAATGACCTCCAGTTCCATTCATATTGCTGCAAATCCTTTTTAAGGCTGAATAATATTCCATTGTGTATATATACCATATTTTCTTTATCCATTCACCCATTAATGGATGCTTAGGTTGATTCCATATCTTGGCTTATCAATCATGTTTTAAACCTCACTCTGTTCTTCCTGCTTTCTGGATAAGAATTATTAATACACTCAATCAGAGAATTGCCCCCAGCATCCAATCCAGAACAAAGCCCTGCTTTCCTGCATTCTTCCCCAAATTACCTAATACAAGTCCAAATTCTTAATAACTTCCTTTTAATACCTTCTTACTGAGAAGCTTGCATGGTTCCTGTGGTTCACATGGTTCTTCCTTGTTGTGGTAAATCAATAAATCTAACATCGCTTTAAAATACATCCCAGATGTATTCCTGGGATTTTTTGGCTGAAACTCATTGATACTTATCTATTTCTTTGACAGGCAGAAGTCCAGGGCATACACCAAGTCAGCCGGGGACTTCACAGTGGGCAGTCTTGCAGTCAATGACCTGGTAGACATGCCAAGAGAACTAAGTAGCTGTAAATAACACTGTGTCAATCTGGAAGATAATGATCCTATGCCTCTAATCTTTATCGTTTTGGACAACAGCTCCACCATGATTAAATCTTTCAGAAAGTCATTTTTATTTTTCAGATTACAATCTTACAGGTTGAAAGACAGACTGGTATTACAGCAAGAGTTCCGGTATCTTCCAGGAATCATCAAGAATAAGAATAGTGACACGATTTTAGTGTCTCTGCTGTCATTGACTTTGCAAGTAAATGTAACAAACTGAGATACTGCTATTGTTACATTTCACGATTGCTGGGGAGTGGTGCTCTTTTGCCTTCCCCTGGCTCTTAAAACAGCTCTGAAATGCACCATAAGGCTCCATCATTTTCCTTGTCATCATTATCACCATCACCACCACCACAATCATCTCTATCATCTCTATCATCACAGGACCAACGAACATTTTCGAGTGTTTTTCTTTGTACCAGATTCCGTGTTGTATATGCAATCACATTTAATTCTCAGTACAACTCTAGGAAAATGGTATTATTATCCTCATTGTTCAGAGAAGGAAACTGAAACAGTGACATTAAATAATTCCAAAGGAGCAGAATCAGTACTCAAAACTAGGATGATCTGCTCCAAGGTCCACACTCTTAGCTATCACATTTCTTTCGATCTATCTTAATGCTCAAGCTAAAGAGATGAAAATGGGGACAGAAGAGGTAGATTTCAGCTGCTGGCTGCTCCAGTTTTCTAGGCAGTTTTGAAGAAAATTTCCTAGGATGGCTCAGCTTCTTACTTCCAAAAGTGATTGTATTATTCTGGAAACTTTTGTGGTTTTAGAGGATTTCATTTTTTTCATTAATTATAGTTACTCCTTGAAATGACAGATTATTAAAATGATTAGTAGAAATATTTCCAAGTAGATAATAATGTTCTCTGAAATTAATAACCCAAAATGCACCTTTCATCAATGAACAAAAATAAAACAGAAAACTCATTAACTTGGGGCTAATTTGGGCAGATTTTCTGATAATTCAGTGAAGGTGAAGCATGTGTGAAGTATAATGGGAGATTAGGAATTGAATTAGACATCAATTCTGCCAACTTCAAGTATTGAAGAGCACAGCAGGGAAGATGTGAGACATAAACATAGCTTTTGATACATGTAAAAAGTGACAGGAGTCTTAGAGAAGTAGAGGTGAGGTTTCATGAATGTTCCAAAGCAGTGCTACTCAAAGTGTGGTCCATGTTTCAGACACTTTTACTGCAATTTAACTAATTTTATGTCTGTTGAATCTACATATAATAAAGAAAAGAATTGTGCTTCTATTTTGTATGTCCTTTTTATTTATTTTTTTCTTGTAATTAATTGTCATTCATTGTGCCAAAGTACTGGTAAGTGATGGAATTAAGTACCTGGTCCTTTACCACTGGCAGTTCGAGAAATAGAATATTCTAGAACCATATGGTTCAGCTTCAGATGTTTCAGGCCCGTGGTTAAGAAATACTATATACCACATTTATTAGAACTCAATTTGATATCCATTTGGATATACATATTTATATACTATGTATGTGTGTATATTATACATGTATATTTTATATAATACGTACAATATTTAAAGCCATAAAAATGTCTTTAAAGATATTCTAAGCTTATATTTTTCAGTAATTCACATAAAATATCCTTTTTTATACTTTAATGAATTTGACATACTCTTAAATCTGCACAAGAACAATGTGACATCTCATAAATAAACAAAGCTGTAAGCTACAGAGATTCAGAAACTTTTATTACTCACAAAGTGAATATTTGAAGTCAACAATCACAATAAACATCTTTCCTTAAACAACGAAAACAAGATTATAAATAAAAGCCATCGTTACTGCCATGGTTAGTTAAGAGATGAGGAAAGGGGCTTGTGTTATTAACTAGTTTCTTCAGTTCTAGAACACTGCTTGGCACAGAGTAGGTGCTCAATAATTGCTGAATAACTGGAATGGCATTTAAGAATAAATAATTAGACAGTGGATCTTAGTTAACACTGTAGTGATAACACTGGGAGGTGACTTTTTTCAACAGCAATGGCCTTTCTTTACAGGAAGAACCAACTCCATTCCAAACTTAGAGTATGCTGATTAAAAGAAGGGGTTTGTTCTAAAAGACAACTGAGTATGAACTGTGGCTTTGCCACTTACTACCTTTGTGACCCTCTTTCTCCTCCCCAAGACATAGGCCTTCACCTGTAAGATGAAGATAATGGCAGAACTCACCAAGTTGGTTGTGAGGAATGTATGACAGGATATCATAAGCATTTTCCACTCATGCTTGGCCTTAATAAACAGCAAGCAAATGTGGGAAAGCAGGCACTATGTGAAGCATATGAAATTGCTGATACTCCACCATTTCTGGTCTACAACACAATGGCAGTTTCTAATGGCTTGACCTAAGTTACGCTATCTCACTGAAAATACATTAAGAAGCAACTTTTGCTCAAACTAACACATCAGAGACTGGGTACATTCTTTTCCTGTTACCTCCACTGCTCTATCTGCCAACACATGTCTCCCAGGCAGCTGTCAGGGCTACCGGAAGGAATGTCTGGAGCCTGGGAAGCATGTCACATATGAGGAGTGTTGTTAGCAGAAGCCTCTGACTGACTGAGGGCAGAGTCTGCCCACAACATGCACAGTTACACTGAACTGGTTGAGCTGGGCCAGGATGGCAGTGTAGGGAGATCTACCCACATTAGAAATCTTCAAAGATTCTATAGTTCTTTTTGAACAAAAATGCTGGGAGCATTTGAGCATGAGATGTAAAGCAATTATTAGCCAGATTCTGAAAAAACTGGCTCCAGCTACAAACTAAAGTTGGCTAGGTATCAGTGGAGCAGATAGAAGTTTGGCAATGAGATGAGCCCTTATGACCCAATTTATACTCCTCTACTTACTATCTTACCATCATCACATTCTTACTCTTGCCTTTATGTGGTGCAGTATGTTAAATGTTACAATTTCCAGCCCCTACACTATCACCACCCACCACCAGACACATAACCAATGCTCCTTGCTCCAAGGTAAAAAAATTAATCTCCAAAACATCTGACGACAGTGAGAAATTTCTGTTCCTATCCATCATTTCTAAAAATAAATATTTTAACAGACTTAACTTTTATAACTTGAGAGTGCCAAAATGGTGTTTATGTCTTTAACATGAAAACATTTTACACTTTTTGCTAATAAACTCAAACACAAGGTCCAAATCTTAGAAATATCTTAATGGAAGATCAAAACACAACTGAATCCCTACTTAAAACACTATTTTATACAGCTATATCATGGTGAGGTTCAGAAAGTTGCATTTCTGGATATTAATAATCAGTTGGATAACTTCTTTTAAGCAGACATCACATTTATCAGCTAGTGCAGATGTGTCCTACTTGAATCCATATGTGTTTATGTATTTATATATATGACTAGGTAAAGTTTCATATAGGAATTTAAACATACACACTTAGAGGAAAGGAAATATCTCATTTGTCTTTGTATTCTATGTAACACCTACCACTGTCTCCAGCATGTAGTAAGGAATTAAATGAATGTTTGTTGAGTTAAATGGGAAGTTCAGGGAAAATAACTAAGTTGATTTTCATATGAAAATAGTCGCAGGGAATTAACTCGAGAAGCTCAGATTAACTTTCTATTAAAGTGAAGGTTACTTATACTTGCTCCTTGAAAAGAAGATAATATTCTAAGATTTAACAGTCAACATTAGGTGAAATGCATTAAATTTCAAAAGTAAGTGCTTATTTCCATAAGGTGTGGAAGCTGTTCTCTAGAGGATAATGCCACAGATAAATAACAGTCACAGCCAAGGGAAGGAAGGGTTCCTTGCCTAGGCAGAGACATTAACATAAAACTCTGCTCATCAACAGCTGATGGTTTAGAAGGGTTCAGTGATGAAGCAGCAGATGCCAAAAGGACAAACACAGGTTCCACCTGAAAGCATTAACAATGAAAGAGTGCCCTGAACTTTGCTCTAAGTCAGGAAGTTGGAATGGAAAACCAAGGGTACCCAGTGCTGTGCTCACAAATGCATGGCACACAAAATGCCCAATCTGTCATGGCACAGCTGTGCACCATGTGAGTTTAACAAGAGCCCTGAGTAGCCAGGGATGACAACAATCTATTTTCTGTTGGCATATAAAAACAAGTTTATAAACCATCATTCTCCATGTTTCCATTAAAGGCAGGTCTAGTTAATGAAGGCAGGGAAGAGTTAGGTAAAGAAAATCATCCCTAGTTCTACTGTAATTTTTTAATTTTTTTTGTATGATACAATCAAACCTTTGAGAAAACTTGGTCAAGCAGACTCACCGCAATAATCTTTTCCTTGAACACAAATTCTTCAGTTGGGTATCAGGATCATGCCATTCTAGGTTGAATTACTTCTTCAGATGTGTAACTCTGTAGTCTAACTCAAATGCCTCTAAGCATGGCTGTATCCCGAAACTCCTCTTTTCTCAGAGTGGTTCTATATTCAATATCTCAAAACTCTAAAATGCTCCTCATAGACAACAACCTCCCAGTCTTCAATTTCTCCTTTGCTCCCACTTCTCTCCTTCTGCTCTCACGGGAACCTCCAGCCTCTAGATATTTCCCTAATCCTTGTTCAGTGGCATTAAGTGCATGCCATGGGCAGCCAATTTTAACTGGCTGTCACCAGCAATGAGAATACCTACTTTTTATACAGCACTTCACAATCCAGAAAGGGCTCTCTCAGGACTTTCCTTATTTGACTTTATTTCCAGTAGGTCTTACTATTATTACTCTTAAAAGAAGTAGCAAAGGGCTGGGCGCAGTGGCTCACGCCTGTGATGCTAGCACATTGAGAGATGGAGGCGGGAGGATGGCTTGAGGTCAAGAGCTCGAGACCAGCTTGGCCAACATGGTGAAACCCCGTCTCTACTAAAAATATAAAAATTAGCTGGGCATGGTGGTGCACGCCTGTAATCTCAGCTACTCAAAGGCTGAGGCAGCAGAATCGCTTGAATCTGAGGGGTGGAGGTTGCAGTGAGCTGAGACTGTGCCACTGAACTCCAGCCTGGGCAACAGAGCGAGACTCCGTCTCAAACAAAACAAAAACAAAAACAAAAACAAATGAAGTAGTAAGGGGAACTCTGAGAGTCTCCCTGAAAGCTTGCTAACACTAGGTCGTCATCAGCTATTTGCACTTCTGTCCCTTGTCTGCCTCAATGGTTCACAATGGCAAGAGAGTGGCCAAGAAGCAAGGACTAGCCATGATCATGTTTTCACCATTCTTAAAGAAAACAACTGGTCCCTGCCTTAGTGAAAAGACTCAGCCTCATTAGCATCTCCAACCAAATAAGCAACTATATCCCAAAAAAGAAATACAAACTAGATAAAGCAGTCAACAATGTGCATTGGCAGTGAGGCAGTCAGAAAAACAACACTTGTGTTAAACCAGAGTTCTACATGTAGTTGGCTTGGAAGATTAAGTTAAAATAAGTCAAATGAAACCTACCCATGACTAAAATAGGTATGTGTCTTTTTGCTTCCAACTCTCCTGAAAAAGCAACAATGATGTAATACTATAAATTTTCAGTTAATTAATTCCAAGTTTTTGCAGCAAGCTTTGTACTCTCATCCTGTATCACATACCATCTGTCTATGGTGAATATTTAGTTCTCACTCACATCCTGCTTCCTAACCCTTAGAATAAATGCATCTTCTTAAAAATAAGAAAAATGTTCCGCTAGACCAGAGGAAGATAAGGACTTGTATTTTAAACAAGCTGATATCATATCTTCATAATCTACTGCTGCCATCTCCTGTGTTAATGAGGCAGCATCTTCACACTTGTGAAGAAATTTAATAGTATTTAACAGAAACAATTCTTACCGGTCAGATGGTACATTTTCTACATACACAGAGGAAAAACAGCTTAATTCTGTTACCTCTAAGTGACTTCGTCTCTCAGCAATCACACGTTCATCCTTATTTCCAAATAGTTTCTTTGGAGGAAATTCAAGGGCAGCAAGCTGAAATAGACATTTTAAAAGACATGCATTAATAGCATACCTGTTAATTGTTGGGCTATTATTAATCTATTATTTGAAATCTCTTCCATGGGGTGAAAAGAAAGAGGCTGAAAGTTTAAAGATGGTGGGTCCTGCCTTGCTTTATCACCAACTGTGTGACCTTCAACAGATAAAGCAACCTTGGGTCACATTCCCCAGTGGTCAAATGAGAAGACAGGACAATGGGAACTCCATGGAAGAATGAATCTGATTCTCAACATTCTGTCTCAGATGACATATCAGACTCTGTGCCAGGTGGTATTTTATACTTTTTGTTTTTTAAAACACATGTTTGTTCTTCTTTCAGTCCTCCCACCCTTTTTTTTTTTTTACTAGAATCCAATTAGTTTTGTGTTGAGATAAGAATTTGAAAATTCAACCTACACACTACCTGAACATTTTATAAAATCGTTTTCAGACTATTGCTAAGGTTCTCTAAATATTCAGTATTGCCTTTTCAGTTACCACCGTGAATGAAGACTGCCCATGTGAAAAGAGGACTTCTCTTTCCATCTTTTCACCTTGTTTCCTAAAAATGAAGGTTCAGATTTTGTTTAGCCTGATCTTAGCATTTCATAGTATTTCTCTTATGCTTTTCCTCTTGAATGTACAAAAATTATAAACAATAAGTTTTACTACAGATTCCCAGGCAAGATAGGATTCTATAATCTGATGAGAATCCAACTAGCCAGTGTTGCCTTGGCTGAATAAATGCTAAGTAGCAATAATTGCTGCAGTTGCAGAATTCACTATTTCCTTCCTTTCTCAATTTGTCAGGACCAGACAAATTGAAGCCAATGAAGCATTACCAAGAAAAAATGAGCATTTCTCCCACAATGTAGGGCACAATATGTCACAAAATTCCAATTTTATGCCTATGCAAATCACTAAGTTGATTTAAATTTATATTGCCACAGTGGGAGTCAAGAATTAAAGACTAGCATCTGTATATATAATACTTTTAAAACATAGTATTAAAGTATAATATACATACAGAAAAGTGCACATATCACAAGGGAAGAACTGGATGTATTTTCAAAATCTGCACACACTGTGTAACCAGCACTCGCATCAAGAAGCAGAACACTGCCAGCACCCCCAGAGCTGCACTTGCTCCCTTCCAGGCACTCCCTCTCACCCCTACAAAAGTTAACGCAGGCCTGACACTATGACAATAGCATCGCTTGGTTTTTCCTACTTTTGAACTTCATGCAAAAGATGTCATACAGTATGAACTCTTTTGTGTCTACCTCCTTTTGTTCAGCATCATGTTTGTGAGATCCAACCATGTTGTTATGCGTAGCAATAGTTTGCTCATTTTCACTGCAGTACAGTATTCCACCATGTGAACATTCCATAATGTATTTGTTCATTATCTTGCTGTTGGGCTTTTTGTTAGTTTCCAGTTTGTGGTTACTAGAATTGTGCTGCTATGATCACTTTCCTATAGATCTTCTGATAAACATATGTACGTATTTCTGATAGTCATACTCTTACGTGTTGCAAATGCTGGGTTATAGAGTGTGTGTGTGTTCAGCTGTATTTGAAACTATCAAATGGTTTCCAAAACAGTTTTAGTAACTGACACTCCTATCAGAAGTGACTGAGAGATGTGGTTGCTCCAGATCTTCACCAGCACTTGGTACAGTGGTCGTCCTTCTTAGCAATGCTGGTGGGTCATGTCTACTGTGGTTCATATTTGCATTTCTCTGATGACTGATGTTGTCAAACAACTCTTCACCTGCTCATTGACATCTGGTTAGTCATTTTTAGGCAGTGTCTGTTCAACTCTTTTGTCCATTTTTAAATTCGTTGTCTGCCTTTTCCTCAAGTAAGAATAATTCTCCCTTTTCACTCTCTTAAAGGTGTCTTTGATGACTTTATAGCCTGTCTTAAAAGTTGATTGAAGTTGGGCAGATGTTTGTCTCATTCCCCCTAGTGTTCTTTCTACCAAAGCAGAGAAACCTTGGAGTGGGTTGAAGGTAACACCAAGGGATGGGTTTCCCCATCTCTGTTTCTCACCAATGTTTAGTTGGCTGACATCCAACTTTAAAATCAGTTCAAGGTAAAGTGAAAGACCATGGGCACTGAGGCAAGACAGACCCAGTCTGAATCCTGGCTTGACCACTAACCAGCTTACTAGCTACGTTTCTCTGAGCCCGAGTATTCTCTGCTGAAATAAAACCACAGAAAATGAAACCAAACTTTAAAAGGATTCCGTGAAGATTTAGTGACTGGATTTTAGCTATATTAATAGCTGTTAGAGATCTGCTAATTACTGAGCAAGTGGCACGCCCACATTCCCTTGTGGCCTCTCTGCATCCACTGGGAAGCCGTAGTGACATGGCTTCAAGGAGCAAAGGGTTTTCCGGAACCTGGACTCAGTGGCACAAACACACTCCCCCCATGTTGCAGCTCAGAGAAGACAGGTACAAGAAGAGCTCATCTTCTGGCTCCCTCCAGCTTCCATCTCCTCCAGTACAAACGTGCCTCCCGCTTCCCCCGATGCTGTGGTGCTGAAAGCTTGGCAAGCATGCTTTCACAGTTGGTTGTTTTGTCATTTTCTTATGTGGCTGATGAGGTGATGTGGTTTCTGTCAGGGGAAATTTATAGTCACACTCACATGCTCAATCAGAAGTCGTGCAATAAAAGGACTTTAGGCAGTGGAAGCGGGGAGGGAGCAAGCATTCACATCTCCTGCTAGTCAACAGTGGCGTTCCCTCTCCAGACCCAGATGGAGGAAGCATTCTGTGCTATTAATATTCAGCCTGTGAAATAACTATGTGTAAATTATGTGCAACACTGTTGTTCAGATTTTAGGAGGAAAAGGCCAATTCTAAGTGACTTTCAGGCCTATAATCACAGGACCATGATACTCAACTAACTGTCTGACTTTAGAGTTGAAGACACCCAAGCCCAGAGCTAAGTGACTTGGAAAGGCTCAGAGTCATGGGGGCAAAGTCAGGACTGACTCCAGGCCTCTCGGGATAAAGCTGTAAGGAGCGTCTGCAGTGCATGAAAGATACTGTTGCAAAGTCTTTGGGGATCTAGGGTAAAGATGAAAAAGAGTGATTCCTCCTAAGTGTATGTAACCAGAAACATGAACATACCACTCCAAGGCAGTCATCAACAGTTCCAACAAGAGTTGTCAACGGGACCCTGCTGAGGACCTGCACCCTTGCCCAGGGTCAGCAGAGCAGTGGAGAACAGCAGGAAGCAGGATGGGGCTGGAGCTCCCCAGAAGTCCATTCCAGGACATACAAAGTTAGTTAGCAACTATCATCTTACCCCTCTCCAAGTAAAAACTAAGAATAATGGTAGCTATCCTTACAATAAAGTACAGGTAGGATGGAGAAAAGGAACAGCTGCAAAAGTTCCAATGTGGCTCATGATAGAAATGTGAGCTAATGGGCCCAGGTCCTACAGGTGGGGCTGGGGCATGAACAAGCCAAAGAAGAAAGCCAAGGCCATAATGTAAAGTATAGGAAAAACATGCCCCCATTAATATAATGATATTTCCATCGGAAACAGCTTCAACTGCAACGTGAGTGAATCCCTTCCCTCTGATATAGTAGAAACCACCTCCATGTCTCCTCTTTAGAGAATCCTAACAGTGCCACTTAGGCCTTGCTATCTATAAGCTCAGGTTGGACAAGATGAAATTGCCAGTTCTGTAAGTTAAAAACTGTTGAGTATCAGCAATTTCATCTATCTAAATCCTGCATAAAACTTCGACACTTAAGTGACTGCTAGGGTCGCTTCATTTTCCATCAGCTGCGTTATCTGCCAAGTAAAATATCTCATTTGATAGTTGCTGATCAGCGATACCTAAGCCAATCCATTTCAAAAGAATATTTTTCTTAAGGCACTCAAAAGTAAAACAAAAACTAGAAGTATCTTATATTTTAAAATATACTACATTAAAGTAGTGAAAGCATTGGGATAGCAGGGCAGGTGGCACAGGAGGCCATTTGGAGAACAATAATAGCTAACATAGAAGATATTAGAGTCACATTCCTAAGTCCATCTTCCAAAAAGAAAAAAAGAGCATCATCTTTACTTGGATGGGCTTCCTCAGCTCAAATAAAGGAGTCTCTGAAAAATGAGGGCCCTGATGCTGACCTGCTGAATGACTGGAATGAAGAAGGTGGGGAGCAGGGGCAGGAATTACCACTCCATTCGTAAAATAATAATATAGCTAAACCTCTTACCACGGGTTAGATGGCCAGAGTACAGAAGAGGGCTGGACTTTTTTTTCTCTCCACAAGTGCAAAGCTATTGCCTCATTTATTTCAAAATAGATCAACAAAAGCAATTCTCTGTAGGTTTCATTTCTGAAGTGTAAATGATTTGAACTGCCTAAATAGTTTTAAAAAATGGACAATTTACCAAGATCAAAAGAAACACTGGTCAGGACAAATAACTGTGCCTGGAAGACCAAAGAAAACAACCGAACACCAAAAAATCTCTTCCATTTTGCTGAAAGTGCTGTTTTCTGAAATGTAACACTTCCAACAAATTAAGAATATAAGAAAGGTTCAGAGAAGATGTGATTCTGAATTGTCTCTGACCTCTCTACTCATGTCCCCCACACACCAACATCTTTTATTTGATTTCTCACGTTAAATAAAAAGTTTAAAATTAAATCAGAAATATTATCTGAACATTTTCATTCCCTCTCAAGTACTTTATATTTACACATTTTCATTTTTATTGCCTCATTTTTCTAACAGAACAGATATTCTAGTTTTGATTTTCATGAGAAGTACTGTCAGGAACAGTGAATGACAATCTGTAGGTGGAGAGACTCCTCTTGGATTTCCTCTGTAGCCTCTGACAAAGGAGATACAGTGTCCTATATTTAAAGAAATTAAAGTTCCTGAAGTTCTATATATTCCTCTCAACAACTACATTCTACAGCGTCTCAGGTAAGTATTTCTGAATTACATAAAAATGTTCAAGATACTTGGGATTCAGTAATGGAAGAAAAAGAATTTCTTTCTTTCTGTAAGATTTCATTTTCGTAAAGAACAAGCATCATCATTTCCCCTTACAACTTTTTTGGAGAGAGTCTCATGTTGAAAAGCGTGACTGCACCAAAAATAATCTTTCTGCAAAACCATAAAAATTGGTGAAACCATTCTGGTTAAAGATGGTGGAGCAATGACTCGATTTGTTCCTCTCACCTTCTTCAAAAGCACTGCTACCACCGCAAACACTGTCTCTGAACTGGGAAACCGCCACAGCTCAAACTGTCGGCCAGGCAGCAGCATCCAGAAGACCATCACAGAGAGAAGAGATGACGGGAGACAAGGGTGGCCTGCCACCCTCACCCTCACCTGCATTCTGCCTATGCTAAATATGGGGATGAGAAAAAGATCAGGATGCAATTCCACTCAAGGAGGAAGGCGAGCAGGGGCTGTGAGAGGAGGAGCCTGGGGAAGTCCCTGTCTCCAGAGACAGAGGCAGGAGACGCCAGAGAGCAAGCGTTTGGCTTTATCGCCCACAGCCAGCAACTCCACAGCCCCCATGAACCAGAAAACAAGAGAAGATGTGTCTCAAAGTGAAGGAAAAAATTGGTGAAAACAGTTTCAGGACAATTCTAAGTGGTCTGCGCATGCCATAGCTGCCCTCCTCCTCCCCAGCTTCTGCCCCTCCTTGCTCCCACAAAGTACTGGTGTTTTCCCACAACAATTAGTCCACTTCCCTTAAAGATGAGAAATAATTAGAAGGAACCAAAACTGAAACTATGTGTAAAAAGGGTGAGGTGAGGTGACATTGAATGAAACATAAGCAAAAGGCAGCTCAAGAGGATACACCGTAAGTGGGATCAGCCAAAGCTACCCAGGAGGAATTCAGAGAATAAATAGTCACGTAGGAACCATAAAATCCATCTCTAAATAGAGCCCAAAGAAGTAAATAATACACACATTGAAAGAAGAGAAAATAAGGGTAATAAAGAGGAAGCAAAGCGAGCCAGTTCTTGGAGAAACGGCTGATTCCAGGATGGGGCAGGGAATACACACGACAAGCCTGAAGCAACCTATGGCGCCAGAAAGCACAAAGTGCTTGAAAACAAAAACACAAGACGCGGTGTCTCAAAGGAACACAGACATCAAGTGAAAGAGCTCCCAGTGGCCAAAGCTGAGACAATTTGAAAAAGAAAATTAAAAAGTATTGGTGGATAACCCAAAATAGAATAACTGAATAAATAAATAAATGGGGGATTCAGATTCACTTTGAAAAATAAAATAAAGTATTGGTGGGTAACCCAAAATACAATGACAGAATTAAATAAATAAATGGGTAACTCAACTATCAATTCAGAATAATTCCAAATAATTTATGTAGATGTTTCACCCTCAAGAAAGTAGCCCATTATTTCCCCACTCCTGAAATGTGTGCTATGCATAGTGACTTCCTTCCAAATAATACAGTGTGGAAAGGAAGAAAAACAAGCAACTCTACAGTAGAGAAACTTCAGCCACGTGATCAAGTATCAACAGTGGTAAGACATACTGATAGTATATATCCTTGAGATGATATGATAAAAATGGCATTTTTACCTCTGCGGTCTCCCTCCCAAAAATGCATAACAAGTCTTCCTCAAGAGTGTCAAGGTCACTGAAAACAAGGCAAGTATAAGAAACTGTCACAGTGAAGAGGGGCCTATGGAGACGTAATGACTAAATATAATGGGGTGTCCTGGGTGGGATCCTGGAACAGAAAAAGGCCATTAGGTAAAAACTAAGAAAATATCAATAAAGTATAGACATTAGTTAATAATAATGTACCAGTATTGGCTCACTAGTTATGACAAATGTACTATACTAATGGCAGATGTTAATACTAGGGGAAACTGAGTATGGTATATAAGAACTCTGTACTATCTTCAGATTTTTTTCTATTAATCTAAAAGTATTCTAAAATAGGACTTCTGGTTTCTGATCCTACACACGAGGAGCTGAAAAGTTACTCCTGTCCTCATGACAAGAAAAAAGCTGAAAAATAAATGAAGATCAACAACTCTTTTTAGATCCAGTGGAGAAGTGAGATCACAGGGCAAACTACTGCCCTCAGACTGCAGAGACAGACAGGTGGACACAGAGAATCATAACTCAGCCTGGCACTGAGGCCTGCTGCTAGAGCCAGTATTGGTAGAAACACTATGAACAGTAATTCCAGAATCTCTGGAGGCTCAAATATAGACTAGTGTGATTGTTAAAATCTCTGAGGGGGGCCAGTCTTGAGGAAGGTCTCCACGCTTTTGAGCGTTTTACTTCCAGGAGCCCCACCAGGTTCTCACTGTGAAGTTGGATTCTAGTTTTCAAATGATGTGTTCTCACTGTGACATTAGGGGATTGAGCAGGGGAAGGAAAAAGTAACCATTTTTAAATATTCCCAGAGCTCTCTGTTCTCCTTCACAAGGCTCGCTCTTAAGAGAAAGTGTTTTACCAGAACCTAACTACCTTAGGTTTTGCCAGAGCCTAACCGACCAGGGCTAAATGAAACACTCAACGCAGGCTCATGAAAAGACTGCAAACTACCCTAGGACTATAGAAGGCTTCCTCTCACCATACCTTACCATCACATCATGGGGCTGCTGTGTAACAGGGATTACAGCTGAAATAACTGTAAGCCTCAGACCCTATTTTAAAAGACTCCAGGAAAGCCCAAAGACAACAATGGAAGACAAAAACAAGGGCACTACAGGAAATTTTAGCCTCTGACACCACATCGACATCAACCAATAAACCTAGCCTATATCTTAGCCAGATAAACATAAAACCTCGCACTAAAAATCAATCTACCTCAATTCCTTTTACCCAATATATAGTGTCTAGCTTTCAACAAAATATTACAAGGCAAATTAAAAGGCAAAAACACAGTCTAAAGCTATTCTAAAATGAAAAAAAAAACTTTAAAAAAATCAGTGCCTCTGCACCCTCCTTCCTTCCACAAAAAAATGTGAGCCAGCAGGACTTAAGAAAGAGGTGGAAGAAACAAAAACACGATGGGAATGAAAGCCCCAGTAGAAGGAACAAGTGCAGAACAAGCACAATAAAAACAGATTAGCACGCAGCACACAGAGCGGAGAAAATAACAACACAAAATAAAATGTGATAAAAGAAATGTGACCCAAAAAGTTTATATCTAACCAAAGGGTCTTTCAAGTGCCACAAATACACATTCTGAAGCAGATAAGAACTCAGATAAAACACATCAAGGTGCATCTTTCAAAAACATACTGAATGACCAAAAATATCCAACCACAAGATAGCACAATGTAAAGATCTCAGAATATAACTTAAAAAATTTGGGAGGTGGGAGAAAATAAAGTTAATTTTATCTCTGTTAGAAGAGTCACTTAGTAATTTATAAAATGGAAACACATCATTTGAAAACTAGTGACCTTAACATTTCAATTTAAAAAATAATCTTAGAGTCACATATATTTTAGAGACAATATATCATGTGGTGAAGAAAATTTAATTTGAAGTTCAGCAATTTCTTCAGTTTTCATTTTCTTTCACTTCTGTTCAAGTAAAATTAAATGTAATGTTTATACTTAAAAATACCATATCTAGAATAAACACAATGTCGTAAAGTTATTTCACTCTTTTCCCTATTCTTCGATTTTAATTTCTTTTTTGTCAATCTACATCTCCATCCTCTTATCTGTGCCTATTCATTTAGATACTTAAAATAATGTTCATTAAATGGTAACATTAATCATATTTATAGAATCATTTTGGGATAATCTGTTCCTTTTTTTCTTATATTTCCTTGTATTATGTAAAATTTTTATAAATGAACATGCATCATTTTTATAGAAACAGTAAAAAGTGATTATTCTTTTTACAAATTTAATGGAAGAGTTAAATTAACACCATATGTCTTTTTCTTTTAATAACCTAAGATTTGGGGCAACTGGATTTCAAGTCTCAGCTTAGCAAATAGCTGGTTGTATAATCTGGAGCAATGTATAAAAACTTCTCTAGTTCCTAGTTTCATCATCGTGAAAATGAAGAAATTGAACCAAGATGTTTAAGTTTCATTTCAGTTCTGAAATTCTATAACTCAGATGCTGATGATTAAAATCTCCCTACACAGCGTTAGAAGTAACACTTTAGATACCATGGAGATATTTTACCTATTATCTTGGCTATACTGCTTTTGAGGAAGGTATCTTACTTCCTATGAAATCTTCACAGTATTCTCATTTGAAGTAAGGCTCAGATGTGCAGAAGGAAAATGGGGCCTGATATAATAATGAAACATATTATTTTTTCAAGAGGTTGTAGAACAGAAAAAGGACAGACACAAACAGAAATGCAGTATTCATGAGAAAACCCTTAAAATGGCATCTTTTCCTGTTATAGCTATTATCCTTACAGCAGGAGTGGGAAATGATGCAAAGATATTTGAGCTCTTATGGGAAAACTGTGTATTAAAGTTAAAAATGATGACTGAGGTCAAATAAATTGGATATTTGTGACAGATATGATAGGCCTAGAGAATGCTGAAGGAGAGCTTAACAACAGCCCTATGGCCTACTTTGTCTCATTATGAAATTTGGTTATGTAGAGTAAAACACAGGAAACAAACAAATGAGGATTACAATAGCATATTTCTTAGGCCTAAGAAAAGCATAATGGCAAGCTTGTTTTGCAATTCGGTGAATAAAATATATTCAAAAGACAAAAGACAAAATTCCTATGGAACCAAAAAAGAGCCCACACAGCCAAAGCAAGACTAAGTCACTAAAAAATGAAATCAATAATTTGAGGCCTACCGATTTCCAATGAAATTTGTCTTTCCCTTCTTCAGTGCTTGTGAAGTCTAAAAACCCAAGTAATTAGCTTTATTTTGGATGTTCAACCACCAAGCCTCTACATTTTTGGTTGAAAAATAGATCTATATGAAGAATTTTCAAAAGAGTAAGCTAAGACAATTAGTATTTACTTAAATCTTATAAGCTATTTTATAATATAAATTATTTTATAATTATTCGTGAATCCCAGGGTTGGGAATTATGAAAGCGTTGAGTATCATCCATCTAGCAAGTTAGCTAGCTATATGTATATGTATGCATATTAGAAATATAGTCAGCATTCTCTCTGCTGATACTGTAATATTTCTTAATGATCTCAGAGTGAAATTTTCATCTATAAGTTGATTTTTCTCTTTCTGATTCCCGGTGAACTGACACAGCCCAATTTTCTTCTAAGAGTTATCAGGCTCAAATCCTGACTTCAATGTTTATTACATTATAATAAGATAGGTCAGCCAGTCTGCTGCCATCAAGAAGACATGTAATGGAAAAATGTAATGGAAAAGTTTCCTGTTTTTGAAAGCCTTTTCTCTTGGCAAAGTTCACATTTTAGTTGAGCCAGACCCTGTATTAAGTGCAGGTGGTCTTGGAGGCAACAGACAGTATAAGCCATTTTGATAAATGGCATCGCTATTACTTTGGATATAAATAATGGCAGCCCTAAAATATAGAAAAGAAATTAAAATGGGTAATAAAAAGCCTTGCCTATCTTTTATGATTTTTAACAACTGAGCAGCTAAAACTGGGTTATAAATCACTGAAAGGAAATTGAGAACTAATAAAGTTGTGGAGTCTTTACTAATAAAAGGAAAACATTTGACTTCTGTTAACACCTGATAAAAGTGTACTCTGTTGTCATTCCTCATTTACTAGTCATTTTCTTTACTCCTGTGATATTTGGCTATCTAACTTTTACCCAATTTTTAAAGATTAGAAGAAAAAATACAACATAGCACTCGAATTGGTCAAATCTGCTATAACCTGTCTTTTGCAAGTAAACCCACCTACATGGTAACTAGCAGCTTTTGAAACATCTGCACCCTAAAGGTTTGTGGCTGTAAATTTAAGCCATTCTAGCTTTTGAGAAATGCAAATAATAAAAGCTCATCAAAAGGCTCCATAATTCTCACATCTGACTAGATGGAAGCATTTCTGACTACTCCAAATTAATAGCAGCTCCCAAGGCCTTATAAGAAGAGCTGTCACTGAGAAATATACTCACAAACAAATAAGCAATTCTCTTCCAAGTTTGATTTGTTAAAGGCATAAAGCAGCAACTCTTCAGGACAACCTAGCTGGATTATGAAGGGAGTGATGAGCTACCTTTAGACTCCTGATAGGGTAACTTAAGCCCATACCACACAATATTTATGAACATCTCTTCTGACCCTAGACCAGAGTCTGCAACATACTAGACCCTCCTGAAGTATCAGCTGACTGAAGGAACAGACAGAATTCATTGTTGGTGGTCAATATGAAGCAGCCAGTGATTAAAGTCAGAATATATCCCTAACAGAAGCTGCTGTCCTGTTGTCACCAAAAAGCTAAAACTTAGAGTCATCCTAGATATAAAATCAAATTTGGAAACATAGTTAGCACTACACCATCTTTCAGTTATATTTGGTATAAATATTGTAACTTTTCCACATGAAGTCTCATTTTCCCCAAAGCCCGGTGTCAGTTTCATTCAGGCATGACCCAGTGAACGTAAACTTGAGGACATTCATATGTGCCACAAACATTTTTTAAAGTGAAAGATACTTCAGATCTGTGAATATTAAATATTTCATTTTTAAGAACAAATATGCAGATGAAGTAACTAAAGTGTATTTTCCATTTCTTACTACGATTTGAATTGTTGCAGAGACAGACATGACAGGAACCTGTCATTGTTATCATCCATGGAGACTTGCTATGTAACAGATTTTTACAGGGAGCAGGCTTTCTTTTCTTTGGTCTCATCTAGAGAATTCTGTGAATTTTCCCTTTTAAAGTGAACATGGCCATGGAGAGGGAGGTTCAGACAAAGAGCATGGGACCAGGAATTAGGAGACATGAACCTTGCCCCATGTCCTAAATCTTGGTGTGACCTTAACAAAACTCTCCATAGGTATTTGATTCCTCATATCTAAAATGAAAACTGGACTATTCAGTCATTAAGATCCCTCAGGGTGCTGGCATTTCACAATGTGCAAACAGTTCCAAGCTCATTGCTGTGGAAGTTTCCTTGTTTATTGCAGAGGAAAGAGTAATAAAGTCCACATCTTTGGTGATCAAAGAGACAATTAACATTTCTTCTCCACTGTCTAGGTTTGAATGAGTCTGTCATTAATTTTGACAAGAATATTTGTCACTGGAAATCATCTTTTAGATCTGGTGCTTTACACTAATGAAAAATCAACCCGCAGCTGAATTCTATCAGACATTCAAAGAAGAAATGGTATCCATCCTATTGAAACTATTCCAAAAGATAGAGAAAGAGGGAATCCACCCTAAAGCATTCTTTAAAACCAGTATCACCCTAATACCAAAACCAGGAAAGAACATAACAACTAAAAAAGAAAACTACAGGCCAATATCCCTGATGAACATAGATGCAAAAATCCTCAACAAAATACTAGCTAACCAAATCCAACAGCGTATCAAAAAGATAATCCACCACGATCAAGTGGGTTTCATACCAGGGATGCAGAGAAGGTTTAACATACCCAAGTCAATAAATGTGACACACCACATAAACAGGATTGAAAACAAAAATCCCATGATCATCTCAAGAGATGCAGAAAAGGGATTTGACAAAATCCAGCATCGCTTTATGATTAAAACCCTCAGGAAAATCGGCATAGAAGGGACACACCTTAAGTTAGTAAAAGCCATCTATGACAAACCCACATCCAACAATATACTGAACAGAGAAAAGGTGAAAGCATTCCCACTGAGAACTGGAGCAAGACAAGGGGGATGCACACTTTCACCAATTCTATTCAGCATAGTACTAGAAGTCCTAGCCAGAGCAATCAGACAAGAGAAAGAAAGAAAGGGCATCCAAATCAGAAACAGGAAGTCAAACTGTCACTGTTCACGAGATATAATTGTATGCCTAGAAAACCCTGAAGACTCATCCAAAAAGCTCCTAGATCTGATAAATGAATTCAGTAAAGTTTCAGGATACAAAATGAATGTATACAAATCACTAGTGCTGCTATATACCAACAGCAACCAAGCGGAGAATCAAATCAAGAAATCAACCCCTTTTACAATAGCTGAAAAAAAAAAAAAACTTAGAAATGTGAATAGGAAGTGAAAGACCTCTACAAGGAAAACTACAAAACACTGCTGAAAGAAATTATAGATGACACAAACAAATGGAAACACATCCCATGCTCATAAATGGGTAGAATCAATATTGTGAAAATGACCATACTGACAAAAGCAATCTACAAATTCAATGCAATTCCCATCAAAATACCATCATCATTTTTCACAGAACTAGAAAAGAAAAAAAACCCTAAAATTCCTATGGAACCAAAAAAGAGCCCACATAGCCAAAGCAAGACTAGCAAAAAGAACAAATCTAGAGGTGTCACTTTACCCAACTTCAAACTATACTATAAGGCTACAGTCACCAAAACAGCATGTTACTGGTATAAAAATAGGCACATAGACCAACACAACAGAATAGAGAACCCAGAAATAAACCCAAATACTTACAGCCAACTGATCTTTGACAAAGCAAATAAAAACATAAAGTGGGGACAGGACACCTTATTCAACAAATGGGGCTGGGATAATTGGCAAGCCACAGGTAGAAGAATGAAACTGGATCATCAGCTCTCATCCTATATGCAAATCAACTCAGGATGAATCAAAGACTTAAATAGAAGACCTGAAACCATAAAAATTCTAGAAGATAACATTGGAAGAACTCTTCTGGACATTGGTTTAGGCAAAGCCTTCATGACCAAGAACCCAAAAGCAAATGCAACAAAAAAAAAAAGATAAATAGATGGGACTTAATTAAACTAAAAAGCTTCTGCACAGCAAAAGAAATAATCAGCAGAATAAACAGACAGCCCATAGAGTGGGAGAAAATCTTTGCAAACTATGTATTCGACAAAGGAATAATATCCAGAATCTATAAGGAGCTCAAAGAAATCAGCAAAAAAAAAAGAAAAAGAAAAAAAAACCCAAATAATCCCATCAAAAAGTGGGCTAAGGACATGAATAGACAATTCTCAAAAGAAGATACACAAATGGCCAACAAACTTATGAAAAAATGCTCAACATCACTAATTATCAGTTAAATGCAAATCAAACCCACAATGCGATACCACCTTACTCCTGCAAGGATGGCCATAATTTAAAAAATCAAAAAAATAAAAGATGTTGGCATGGATGTGGTAAAAAGGGAACACTTTTACACTTGCTGGTGGGAATGTAAACTAGTACAACCACTATAGAAAACAGTATGGAGATTCCTTAAAGAACTAAAAGTAGATCTGCCATTTGATCCAGCAAGCCTACTACTGGGTATCGACCCAGAGGAAAAGAAGTCATTATATGAAAAAGACACTTGCACACACATGTTTATAGCAGCACAACACTTCAAAATTGCAAAAACATGGAATCAGCCCAAATGCCCATCAACCAAGTGGATAAAGAAAATGTTATATATATATATATAACATATATATGTGTGTATGTGTATGTGTATGCATATATGTGTGTGTATATATATACACACACACATATATATGTATGTATATGTATACATGTACACACACACACACACACACACACACACACACACCATGGAATACTACTCAGCCATAAAAAGAAACAAGATAATGGCATTTGCAGCAACCTGGATGGAATTGGAGACCATTATCCTAAGTGAAGTACCTCAGGAATGAAAAACCAAACATCGTATGTTCTCACTCATAAGTGGGAGCTAAACTATGAGGAAACATGATACAATGGACTTCGGGGACTCAGGGGAAAGGGTGGGAGGGGGGATTAGGGATAATAGACTACACATTGGGTACAGTTTACACTGCTCAAGTGATGGGTATACCAAAATCTCAGAAATCGCCACTAACCACTAATGAACTTATCCATGTAACCAAACACACCTGTTTCCCAAACATTTATTGAAATAAAAAAAAAATCAACTAATGCTCCCAAGATAGATGCAAAAGAGGACAGCCAATGTCTTAATCAGTGGTCCAGAGAACATCCTATGGAGGATTTGCTCCCAATTACACACTCCTGAGCCCCAAGTCAGATTTACTGAATAAGAAATTCCTAGTTTGGGGCCTGAGTCTGCATATTTTGGAAAAGCTTCCCAGGTAATTTGGATGCTCATTGCGCCTCCACTCATCCTTGAAAGCAGTGATTTAAATGCTAGTTATCTACCAGTTGAAGAGAATGGTGTGATAGAAACCACACAGTGAACTACCTGGGCCTCTGATAATGTACAAGGTCAGGAAGCTGGCTGTATTCTATTTTTGTCTGCATAGCTGTTTGCTATTTAGAAATTCAAGGAGGCTGAGGGCTTGGTGCAACTGAATTTATCTAAGGCTTACTGGGTGCTCTCTGTGGCTGCAGTTGGTAGCATTATAATTTGGGTGGTGAGCAGATTTGCAATTTTTATATTAAACTTGAAATGCTAGTAATAAAACTGTTATAATGCATTTGAATAATAGATGGTCAATAGTTGTCCAAGACAAATACAAGGCCAACAGCCAAATTCTTTTCATTTCTTTCTTTGGTGCTGCTCAGAAAATAAAGAAGGTGAGAAATGGTTCATCAGCACTAACTGAAAGTCCATCTACAAATTAAATAACCTCTTGCCTAGTCGTTTTCTTCCCTCCCACTAGTATTTACTGGGTACCCAGAGAATGCCAGATGTGAGTGAACAATTGCTCTAACACAGCAATTTTCCATTTTTATGGAAGGCTCTCAAAATATTTTTCTCTCAGCTTTGTGGGGAGAAGGGAACTCCCTAGGGATGTGGCTGATTGAGGCTGATTGTGTTTGAAACTTGGGGACTCTAATGACTCACTGCGATAACTTAGTTATGATGAAGACAAGCAACATGAACTGTTCCATGTAGCTTATACTCTCATGATGCACAGGCATCCCCTAGCACTTGTTTTGATTGTACATTTTAATACATGAAATGTCTCATTTTCAAAATTCATTCTCTTGCCTCTAAGCGCAGCAGCACAAACTGGCTTCAGAATCATTTAGCCAAGAATATCATCAAAAGACCCTCAATGATTGATTCCAGTACTTCATCTGTTTCACAGTGAGATTTACGTCCTTGAAAAGTAAGGTTCCTGACTTAGTCCGTTCGGGCTGCTATAACAAAATACCTTAGACTGGGTAATTTATAAACAACAGAAATTTACTGCTCACAGTTCTGGAGGCTGTGAAGTCCAAGATCAGGGTGTAAGCAGATTCAGTACCTGCTGAGGTCTTGTTCTCCACAGATGGCCCCTTCTGTGTTCTCACATGGCAGGAGGTGGGGGCAAGCTCCCTCAGGTACTAATCCCATTTATGAGGGTCTCATGACCTAGTCACCTCCCAAAGGCCCCATCTCTTAATACCAACAAATTGTAGGTTAAATTTCAACACAATTTAGGAGGAACACAAACATTCAGTCCATAGCAGTGCTCATTAGGCTCTAGCATTTGAAAAGAAAGACACCCTGTTAAATGCATGAAAATAAAGTCTTTTTAAAAAAATCAGACAGGAGTTGGCATCTGTGAATCTCTTGGAAGCAGTAACTCTCCTGATGACCTCTGACCTTCCAGCCTCATGTCATCCAACTTTATTAAAATACCAGACCAGTCATCCAAAAAGCTAGGGGGATACTAGCTCTTCACTACTCATGCTAATGGATGAAAAAGAGATGTGGTTTTAAAAGTTTTTTTCTCTTCAGCTTGATGAGCTATGTTTCTGTTTTGCTGGACTCTTGGATTGTGACCTGGATCTATAATAGGTAAGCTTCATGAACACCAGACAGAAACAGTAACTCTATCTCCTTCTCATAGAAACAAAAAGAGAACACTTCATGGGGGCTTTGTTTCTGAGAATGTAACTTGATTGATATTTAAAAGCCTTACACTGATTTTAATAGAGTCAAAAATACATAGTTTTCATACAGAAAAAGCACTACAGAAATTATTCGCATGATAAAATTTCAAAGATCTGCTCTCTGGAAGATGCTGCATAATACTTCATAGTTGCTTTCAATAACACATTGTATCTGAGGCTCTCACAATCTTCTACAAACTAGCTGTGGCATTATCACTTTACAGACGTGAACTGGAAAACACAGGTTTAATTTGATTAAGATTCCATACAAGGTCAATGAAGGGGAACAGAAAATGAATGCCAGAAGGAGCTATTATCTTGCATAATACATGTCAATAGATGAAGAGGACAACTTAATTCAAAACAAAAGAGGAAACCCATTTGAAATCCAGAAGAAACTGCTAAGATTAAAGAAAATGAATAAATAAAAATACAACAACAATTTAAAAAACCCTGAGTAATGCAGCACCTCCAGTGAAGAACTCAGCCTACTCATACAGTGAATCTGAAAACAGAATGGCAATAATGTTCGTATATGATTGAAGATCACATGCAGCAAATCTGTCCTTCTTCAGTATTACAAAGTACAAAAAATTTAGGTTTTTTATTCATATAATCTGTCATCATACAATTAAAACAAGGACTAAATTTTCCTTTGGTTTTTGCTTTTCCCCTGCTCTCAACCCCAACTTCCCAGAATTTTATGGAACCCAGTGTCTTCTTGTCTGCTCAATTCCTAAGTTCTGTTTGTATTAACCTTAGGTTACTTCTATTTTATTCACAGACTTATCTTATATCTAATAATCAACAACTCCTTACCGCTTTAATTGGCTCACCACCCAAATGTATATAAAGTATTCCTGAGGGGTCTTCAGTTGACAAGCACATCATTCTCCTTAAGGAGACATTAAGGTAAATAATTAACCAAATGAATGTGAGTGAACAGGGGGATTAGAAGGCTTAGCTGAATGATGGTTAAGGAATTCTTAAACTTTCTCACTAGGGTGATGGCTTTCAGGACTCTCAGTCTACCTAACTTAGTGCATTCTTTACTGATCTTGGTTTTTCAGAAAGTCTTTAAGAACATTTAAGCAATTATCAGATTTCTTCACAAAGAAAGTCTAACACATGAACCAGAAGACATATAGGTATGTTCAAGAATGTTTACAGAGAAGTAGTCACAACAGCAATAATTGGGAAACTACCCAAATATTCATCAACAGGATTCTGGAAACCTGATAAGGTGACATGCCAAGTTTGTTATGAGACAATGTTGCTCATGCTTATGGTAAAAATGACACCCCTGACTCCCTGCCTCAATAAGTTGCATCTGGACAGGCAGAAATGACAGCTGTCTGGTGGGAAGCCATAGCTTTAGGATTCTCTGAGTGAGATGACTGGTAACTCAGCAGGCTGTTGGGACTCTAGAAATTCTGCCTATGGAGTTGTTATAAGAGACACTGGCTCCCTTCTGGCACGGGATTCTAGGCCAGAGTGGTTCTCACACATGCCCATGTGGGGCTCAACTCTGTACGTTAGCTATCACCTGGAGAAGTGAGGCAAGAACAGCTCTCAGACAGCCGAGTGGACTGCTCCAGAGACTGCTTGGGGGGCTTCTCCAAGCCCTTGTGCCCTGCTGGCAAGCAGTGATTCTTGTCCTGTGTCCTTCCCAGGGAAACTGACGCTGAGCATGGGCTATGGGAGTTGTGAGTCTGAATGCATAGCTGGACCCAGGAGGACTTCCTGGTGAGTGTTGCAAATCATTCCTACTGAGGGTTAGATTAAGAAGAACTTTCACATTCCATGTATATATTGTTGAATAATGTCAATCTTTTATAATGAACATGTAATTTATTATTGGGGAAAAAAGATTACCAAAAGAAAACAAATCTCCATCAAGAGACCTGTCACACCAAACTGTTAAAAGTATATCCCCCAGGAGACCACGGCTAAACTCCAGATGAAATGTGAATGGGCAGGATATCATTTTAGACAAAGTTCCAAAAGACTATAGGCTAACTAAAACTAAAGTGTTAAGGTGACAGAAGAGTCTATCTTGGCAAGCATATTCCTAATTCTGTATATTTTGAATTCCAGTGTGCTTTTCGATACTTCTTAGCTTGATTAAAATTTTGGAGCCTTGTATGGCTAGGTAAATTTAATATGTGTCATTTAAAAATATACTATCATCAAACATTTTGTTACCCTTGCAATTAAGAGAGCCAGAATAGTCTTCTACTTCCACAGAAATAATGAGCCCAATCTGGTGAAGGAGCGAAGTAAATAAAATATGTTCCCACTTGGCTATAAAATAGTCACCCATGAGAGGAAATTTTCAGGATCCTTTTGTATCAACCCTTTGGCTTTCCTGAAAGAGTTAGGTCTTTAGCAAATCAAGTGATTTCTAGGATGTTGTCAGGCCAAATAGTCCACTTGGAGGAGCAGATTAGCATTATTTACAGAGATGGTAATAATATAAGCACTAATGAGGGCAATAATAATTGACAAATACGTAATAAACATTGATCTCAAGTCTCAACAAATACTTAGCAAGTATTGACTATGTGAAGCTGAGCTGCATAAGAGTAAAAAGAACTTTACAGGAAAAGAGACAGCTGATATTCAACTTAATTTTAAGCTTTATCTTAAAAATGTTAAATGGACAATGCTGTTGTGAGTGAAATAAGATTTAGATCTAGAATGACAGGCTACTGTGTTTTTAGAAATAATTCTTTTTTCCCATTTTTATATTATTGTTGGTTTAGAAACAGAAAGTAGAGTGCAATGGCCTGGGACTGGCTTCTGCTCATCAATTGTTTGATACAAGGCAAGTTATTTACATCTCCCACTCTTCAGTATCTGTCTCTGTAAAACAAGGAGGGTAACAGCCCCCACACTTCCCAGTGATGTCCGAGAACCACATGAGATGCACAGCACAGCACCTGGCCCACGGTCAGCACCTTGTAAGTGTTGGAGTTATGGCTATGGACACAAACAACAGCATGGCACACCTCGGGGTCTGTACCTTTCAACATGTGGTGTTTGTTTTAGGAGCTTACTACAAGGTTTCAAATCACCACTCTCATAGTCTGTTTTCCTTCAAATACATGAACACACGTGTTTGTGGGTTCTCCTTTATATATAACATTCTTTTGTCCTTATGTGAGAGTAATTATAAGCCACAAAATTAAACACAACATGGAGAACCAATTTCCATTCTTAGCTAACATTGAGATCCTGAGCCTGTCTTCAGGAAAAGAGGCTTCTGCGAGCAGAAGTCGCCTATGAATAGAAATGGTCTGAAGACTGAAACTTAGCTAGAAATTGAAGCAGAAATAAAAGCACTTTACTTAGTGTAAAAGAAATAAAAAAATTTTTCTTAATTATTCCTGATCCAAACAATAACTTGTATTTTTAAGAGAAGGTTCATAATATCTTTCTCCTTTAAACTTTAGGCTTATATCCTTCATCTCTCTTGATAGTTCTAATTGGGTGTTTAAAAGTATCCTCAAATTAATGTCTAAAAAGAATTCTGGATTTGAGCTCTCTAGCACCCCAACCATCCATACTCGGTATGGCCATTAAAATGACCTTTTAAGTGTATAAATAAAACCACTTTGTTACCAGGCTTAATACTGTCCAGTGGCTTCCCATGCACTAGGAATACAGTTCAAGGCTCCACATGATAGAGTCCCTTCCTACCTCTTTGCCCACATTCCTCTACCATCCTCACCACTTTTCCAGGCCTTTTTGTTCTTGGAACAAACCAAACTTGGTTCTACTGCAGGGCCTTTGCACTTGCTCTTCCCGTGAGTTACAATGTACCCACCTCCAGATTTTCACGGCTGGCTCTTTCTCAGCATTCAGATCTCAGCACAAATTCCACTCTTTCAGAAAGGTGTGCCTGGTCTGCCCCACCTAAAGTAGTCCACTACCCAGCTCTCATGCCACACTATCACAAGGCCTGGTTTTATTCACTTTACACAAGCTGAAATTGCCTTATTTATTTGTTCACTGTTTATTCTCTCTACTTCATGAGAAGAGGGAATGCAGCTGTCTTGTTCACAATGTGTTCACCATGCAGAGTTGCTCAATACAGATGAGTGAATTAATGAATGACACCAACTTGATTTTCTTCATTTGAAGGTTTTTTAAAACATGTTTGTAATACACCCTTTTTCCTCTGGAAAATACTCTCATGTATGTGATAATCTGTGTTCATTCATTTTGCCTGGTACCAAGTAACTTCTTCGACTCACTGGTTCATGTCATTCTTAACCTTGGGTATGTTTTCTTCTATTATATCTTTAAAGATTGTTTCTGTTATGTTCATTCTGGAGTTTTCTTTAAAAACACAGATTAGAGTTGTATATTGGTGCTCTGAAAACTCTTTTAAATATCTCTCAGCTAATGTATCAACTAGAATGCCACCTTGTCAGGAGCCCAACCCTGAAACAACCTTGTACTAAAGTGTGCCCAACACCTTCTGCCCCACCATTCTTTATTGCTAATTTTCATATAAGGCATGTAACTCACTTTAAATGGTAACTGCAACACTGCATGCTTACTCTTAAAGTGCTAGCTATTATTTTCTCCTTGTTTACTGTCTGCCCCATATTTAAGATATATAGAAGAAGAAATTTTTGTTCTTGTCTGTCACAGTCTTACTGGAATCCAGAAAAATGTGCCTACACAGAATGGGTTGAAGTAATCAAATAATCAATATAAAATAAATACATCCTGGAATGAATGTGTGTGTGTGTATATAAAGTCTGAGTGCTTTTATTTCATGGAAATTGCTTTTGCTAGGTATTGCTTTGGGAATTCAGTGAGTTTAATTAAATACGCAAAATCCGTCCGTTATTAAAATACTGATGTAGTAACTTAAAACCAAGTGGTTAATGAGCTGCAAAGCTCACTTTAAAAACAAGCTGCTCTGTACATTTCATATGTACACAATACTTCTTTTAATTGTCAATATTGATTTCAGCCACGAAAATTAAACTGCAGAAACAAACTTAATAACTTGATTTTGATGTTATTACTGTTACAAGAAGCCTCTTGGGAACAAATTCCCACTTGAAGTTTCCTAAATTTTTAATAAAAGACTAGAGAGTGTGACAGCTTAGTAACAGAATTTCAGAGATAGCTTAAGATATGGTTTGGATGTGTGTTCCTTCCAAATCTCATGTTGAAATATGATCCCCAATGTTGGAGGTGGGGCCTAGTAGGAGGTGTTGGATCTTGAGGGCAGATTCCTCACAAACAGCTTGATGGTATCCCATGGTAATGAGTACCTTGAGATCTGATTGTGAAAAAGAGTCTAGGACCCCCTCCTTTCTCTCTTGCTCCCTGTCTCCCCATGTGACACACTGGGTCCCCTTCATATTCCACCATGATTGGAAGCTTCCTGAGGCCCTCACCAGAAGTGCTTCATGTACAGCCTGTAGAACTGTAAGTCAAATAAACCTCTTTTCTTCATAAATTACCCAGTCTCTGGTAATCCTTTATAGCAATGCAAACAAACTAACACAGCTTAATTCTACCTGAGCTCAAGATTCTTCTATACACCAGGGAACTATTTTATTTACAAAAAGCTATTTCTCTTTGTATTTTATATCAGATTTTAAAAAGGGTGGAAGCCATGAGAATGTTAAGGAAACATTATTTAATGTGAACCAAATTAGTGAACCAAATTTCTAACTATATTTTAAAATGTCATAAAAAACCATAAAAATAGTGCTCAAAACCAATAATTGGTGAAAGCAGGCTAGTTAGACAATGACTGTTGATTGATCTGCAGTCAGTTCAACACAAAATTCCCAGAAAGCTGGACCTAGATAATGCTTCCTTTAGTTGAAGTAAAATCATCTTCATCATCATCATTACTTGGAAAACACACATTCCTTCTAGGAATACTTTGCTTAAAATTACTTGAGAAACCTGTGTTTGTTCAAAAAGGAAAAGACGACTAATGTATTAATACCCTCTGGATATTTGATCTGATGCATGAAATGCTTTCTGGTCTCTAGATAATTCTGCATTTTCTATCTACCTTTCCCTCTACGTTCAATGGCAAAATAACTGTTATGACTTGACTTCTCATTAAGTATAAGACTAAGCATGAATGTAGTCTTTCTTTTTTAAAGAAAAAAGTGTAAATCTATATGAAGAAGTTATTTTAATTTTAATAGGTCTCATAATTGAGAAGTTATAAATTGATTAAAATATGTATTTAAAATTTACCATAAAATTTATGAGAAGGATGGAGTTCACTTACTGTCATTGTAATATCACTTTCAAAATCTTCTGTTAAGAAAATGTTTAAATTGTGTAGAACAGAAATGGAACAAAGAAGAAAAAATTTAAAGTTATCTTTGATAAATGGGTTATTGAAGTAAGACTTAGTGACACTAATAAGCTAGTATCTGAAAGAGAGAGACAGAGAGAGAGATAACATTGCTAATGCAATCAGCTCATTTACTTTATAAAATGAATGCTCTTAATCGGAGATAATAATTTCATAACTTACCTCTGCATACTTTAACTTCAATGTTTTATGCATTTCTCGAAAACGACTGTAACGCCTGAATACAGTCCATGTCTCATCTAGGACAGTAATCTATTAACCAGGAAAACCAAAATGAATAAGCATTAAGAAGCAAAAGTCACTAAAATTTTTCAAAAGAATTTAAAAATTAAATTTAAAAAAAGTGATTAGCATGTAAAATTTCTCTAGAACTGAAAACATTAATCTAGCTGCATAAATACAACTTAGAAATAATAAATGTACTTTACTTAAACATGCAGCTTTGGCTCTCAGATCTTGTTACAGGCAGCTTGTCTATGTAAAGTGAAGGGCAGATGGTCATCTCTTAATTGGTTATAAAAAGTGTCCCTTTTTATAGAAACACTTTTAAAGAAGAGGAGGTGGAAGAGGAAAAAAATCTCACTGCCTCTCAGTCATTGTTAGTATAATAACACAACAGTATATTTTGCTTTTTTTCAGAGGGAGAATAATCAATTCAGCCTTTAATAGGCTAGCTGGAGTGGAAACTCTGTTGCACATCAGCTCACATATGAAAGGTCACAGTGACAAGAAGAGGCAGGTAGACCACATCAGCCTTTACAATCACACCTAAAGCACAGGCCAATGAATCTCCAATTCCTTTCTCCACTTCCCACCTTTCTTCTGCGCTCTAGACCCACATACCCAACTTGGCACATCTTTCTTCCCATGTCACCCAGGAACCTCCAATTCAATTTGTCCAAAACCATACTCAACATATTCCCTCCAGTCCCAGCTCTGGTATTCTCCATTTCAAAGCATTCTACCACCACCTACCCAGCAATGCCAGCCAGAGATGCTGAAGTCATCCCTGACCTCCCTTCTCTTCCTATCCCTGCATTCAAGCAAGTGCTAAGTCTTGCTCCTTTTGCCTTCTAAACATTTCTTAGAACTTTATCCTTCCATCCTTTGCCATCAGCACCATTTGACTTTAGGCCTTTGGGTCTCCTGTGGACTCTGCAAGAGCATCTCCCAACTGTCCACCCCACATCTGCCCTCTCCAATCTCTTTTCTGCATGACTGAAAACAGATCTTTTAGAACTCAAATCTAACCATTTGATTTGGGAGGTGACCCTCCTTAAGGCGAGCTTCATGCTGCTCATAGAAAAAGACCTACATTTTTAACCTGCCCACAGCAGCCTGTCTGCAGGCCTCTCCTGCTAGGTGTCTTCACTCCTGCTGCATCCCTGAATGCGCATATTCTCTGCCACCTCAGGGCCTTTGCACGGGCCATGCTCCTTTATGGGAACTTAACTTGCACATAAGGGAAATGCTCTTCTCAAGCACAATAATTCAGCCTGATTCTCCCGCAGGTAAATCATAGGGCCATCAGTAGAAAGTAGAAACAAGAAAGAGAGAAGACACAGGTGGGCAGCTTTGTAAGGAGGAGTGAGTCTGAGTCCCAGCCATTCTTTCATTCGCTCACTTCCCAAAAGTGGCAAATGAGATGATCTAGGGTGTATGAGGATGTACATTTTTAAATTTTTCATCATTCTGGTTCTGTACTCATTTTTTACAATAACTTTTCAATTGTGGCAGGTTTCTTATGAGTTTCCTTGAAAAAGACATTTCCATAAGAAAACAAAAGTGAATGTATTTACAGAAAATCATTACAAACAAGAGTGGAGGTGCTCTGCAGTAGTAAGCATTTAAAGCTGGCAAGCACGTCACTTGAGCTTGGGAAACCCTGCTCCTGGCTGTGAGCTGGTTGGCCTTCCTCTCTGGCTTGCTCCTCCTCAGCAGACCCCACTGAGGCACTGAGAGCAAGGCCAGCACAATCAGTGAGGATGTGGGGGCTTCCTCCGGCCCACAGCCCAACAATCCACAGTCTTGGCTGGACACAAACCAGGTGGCAAAGACAAAACTGGAGCACAAGTGGGCCCTGCTGCCTTCCAACAGGGCATGCTGCAGCCTGTTTGCACAGAAAAGCCCAGGAAGTTAATGGAACCACTTCATGACCTGTGAGTAGTAAGATGCAGGATGTTTCACAGGTGAGACTATACTATACTGGGACTCAAGATTCCTCAGAAAGCCACCTCCAAAAGCCTAGGTTTCTCACATTCCTCAGACTGATGTTCCTGGCTCTCCTTCCTTCTCCTGAAATGCTTCCACTGCACTTCTTGGGCTCATGGGCAATCATCAGCAAAATCCCCCAGGACCTCAGCCTCTTCTGGAACATCCCTTTCATCTTTGCTGTAACTGAAACCCGGCTCTCCCGTGAGGAAGCACTTCCGTGGCAATGCTCTCCAGCCGGGACTGTCTTCTCCCCCCACACTCTTCATCCTACCGTGCTGGGATGGCGGTCGATACTCTTGTTCTTCACTCCAACTTCCAAATAACTGCTCCTGTATCCTCTCTGAACTCTCTACTCTGTGAGCATAGTGCTTTCAGACCCTGCTGCTCTACCCTCCTCCTTGCAGGCAGCCATTCACCCTGGTTGCTTCCCCAATTCCTTGAAGGTTTAGAGTCTACTCACTGTCATCTGCTTCAGCCCTATTGATCTCCTGCATGATTCTTGGTAATTTCATTAATCACCCAGATGATCCCTCCAACACCCTGACCTCTAATGTCCTTTTACCTCTGCCCTGGTTTCTTCCTCACTCAACTTGAAAACCATGAGAAATCCTCATAAGCACAAAACCTCAAATCTGTCCCACTCTTGAAATTCTCTGGACAAAAATAACTCACTACTCTTGTTAAAACCAACTGTCTGCTCACTCCCTGCCTGCACCTGCCCAGCAGAATGGGGCTGAGGAATAACACGCCACCAAACAGACTGATCTCATTTTAAAGTCACAATTGCCACCATCAAGTGGCAATTGATGACACCCACCAATCATGCCACGTTTTCCAATTCTGTGCACTCTTCCATTCTCTTACAAAATGATTACTCCTCTTTGTCCTCAAGTCTTTAACACCTCTCTCCATCCTCTCAGCTGACAACCTTAAGTCCTTAAAACAAAATTCCAGGGAATAATGGGAAGAAATTGATGACATCAAAAATTTTTCAGGAATTTTGTTTTAATGGAAAGGACAGAAGTGGAGTGGCAGACGGAAGGGAAAGGCAAGTCGAAATGGGAGTTTAAGATGAGAGAAATAATGGTGCGTTTAAATGCTCATGGAGTAATATGACAGAAAGGAGGCTGTGTTGGTGCAGGAGAGGAGAAAATTGTTAATTGCGGTGTCTTTCAGAAATCTACTCACCATTCCACCCAGACTACTCTTACCAAGGTTAGCAATGGCTTCTGTATTGCTAAATCCACTGGTCAATTTTTGGTTTTGATCGTACTCAGTCTATGGGAAGGATCTGACGTAGCTGTCTGATAGCGTTCTCCTCCTTCAAACATCTTTTTCATTTATTTCAGCTTCCACTGCTACACTTTTATCTTAGTTTTCTTTTCATCTGGGATTTCTCATCTCCCTGACTTCTAAACATCGAGTCCTCCAGGGCTCAATCTTGAACATGTTTTATTTTCTACCTGCACTCACTGCTTTGGTGACCTCATCCCATCTCACGGCATAAATTTACATGTGGATGACTCCCTGGATGCCTGTACCTCTCTCCTGAACCCAGACTCGTATATCCGACTGGCTACTTGACAAGCTGGCCTACTCAGATGTCTAATACGCATCTCACACTTATCATGGCTGCACTTACCAAAATTAATCTCATTCAAACCTGCTCCCTTTCCCCATCTCAGTAAATGACAATGCTATTCTTCTCCCTGTTCCATGCAAAAACTCTGGCATCATCCTTGATGTTTGTCTTTCCTGTTCACATCTCACATCCAGTCAGTCGGTGAATCCCTTCTTGCCAAGCTTCCAAAATAGAATGAGAAAATGGCCATTTCTCACTATCTCCACTGTTCATATGTTGGTCACCATCTTCTCTTGCCTGGATTATTTTTAACAGCCTCCTAGTTGGTCTCCTTGCTTATAGTCTTGCCTCCTTCCTTCATTTTTTTCTCAACACAGGAGCCTAAGTGATCTTGTTAAACATTAAGTGTGATGGGGCCATTTCTTTGCTCATATGAAGCATCCTCATAACATGTCCCATCTCACTCAGGGTATGAGTTCGAGTTCTTCCAGTGATCTACAAGGATTTCTACAATCTGTCTCCTCCCTGGCTCTTCCACAACCACTTTCTTCCTTGCTCATCTAGGGTATACCCAAGATGCTACACAGCAAGTATGGCCTTAGAGACTTTGCATATGCTTTTCCTCTTTCTGGAATGTTCATTTCCCACATTTTCACATGACTAGCTCCCTCATTTCCTTCAAGTCTTTGCTCAAAAGTCACTTTCTTAGTGATTTCCCTGTTGGATATCCTATCTAAAATTGCATCCTCTTTCCCATTCAACACTGCTTACTCTTCTTCCCTAAATTATTTTTCTCCTTAGCACTTCTGATTACCTAACATGGTCTGGATTTACTAATATATCTTGTTTCTTGCCTCTCTTCCCCACTAGAATGTAAGCTCTAAGGAGAGCTAAGATTTTTACCTGTTGGTCACTGCACCTTAGAACAGAACTTGACACATCACAGGCATTCTGAAGAGTTGGAAAGGGGAGCCCCCAGATGGACTTGTCTTCAATATACTCTGCCTCTTAGTGACAATGAATCAGCAATGGCTTTTTTAAATCTCTCTGTGCAGGCCTCAAACAAAATCAGGATAAAGGAACTGGACACTCAGCTTGTGGGGCTTTAGCCTATGGTGTTTTCCTCTTTGTTGCTTTCACAGCTAATTAATGTTGCACCATTTTTTGAAATCTCTGAATAGTGAAATGGTACTTCGAACCTGCCTCACAATTTTGGGTATCATTCTTCTTTCCCACAGTGGCCCCAGTGGTCCTTATAAGTGATATCAACTTCTCTAATGAACTGCATACACCAAATGCTGGGGAGAACATGATGATATAGCTAAGTGATTTCCTAGGCAATAGATATAAAAGGCATTTGGGCACAAGATGACAAGACAGCAAGAAGAAGATAAAATCCCCGTCTAAGAATGTTCCCCCAAAAGCATCCAATACACCCCCTTCTGCCTTAATACCACCCTCCACCCTTGAGTGCTTATAATAGAAGGTGGGATGCTACCATTGTGTGTGTGTGGAGCTGGGAGGAGAAAGAAAGATGGCCCAATGTGGAAAGAACTTAGCCTGCCCAAAGCTACCTTTTCTATGTACAGTTAAATCCACACTTAACATCGGCAATAGTTCCTGGAAACTAACTTTAGGCAAAACAACATACAGCCAAACCACATTTTCTCATCAACGCTGTAAAAAAATGATGTTGAATGAAATGATGTCATTTGAGGACCTGCTATAGTTGGTTTGCTTAAAGTTGCAGTTTCCAAGAACCTAACAATGATGTTATAAACTTACTGTATTCCTCTGAATTGAGCTTAGTGAGGTCAGTGAAGGTATCAGAGGAGTCTTTTTGTGACTCTTCTGGTGACTCCAGGAATCCTACCATTAATGACAGAGAGGGGACTCTCTGGAACCATTAACCCTGTGTATATAATACGGTCTCAAAAATGATGAACAATGAAAATCATTACTGGCATATTCTGGGTAGTGATTTTTGCCTCTTACCTTACTTGATATTTTAATAAACTCACATACAGACCTCAATGACTTCTGCCCTCGATATTTCAGTTTACTGTCTAAACCAGTGGTTAGCAGCATCAGCTGCACTGGGGCACTTGTTAGAAATGCATGTTCTGAGGTCTCACCCACAGCTCCTTCATCAGAAACTCTGGGCTGGGGCCCAGCAGTCTGTTCTGACCAACCCTCCAGGGAACTGTGATGCAGGTTAAGGTCCGAGCAGCCTGACTATAAACCACTGGTCATGTTGTCACTTCAAAATCAGATGTCTCACTACCCTCCCAGGCCAAAGCCCTTAGTGCGGCATTTAGGGACTTTCCTAGGCAATCCCAGCTCTCAGTGAACTAAAAATCTCACACCCCAGACAACGTGTGAATAAAGAAATATAGTATATTCGTAGGTCTTCTGAAGGGTCTTCTGAACGGCCTCCTCAACCACACACCCCTTTCTGTACCTGGAGAGCTCCTGCTCAGCCCCCAGGGTAGTGTCCAAACCATGATTTTTCCTTGGGCAGCAGCCCCATTCCCACTCCTTTCTCCCTGGAAGAATCATTTATTCCATCCCCTCCATGATCCCTTAGCATTTGGTTCACACCATGATTAGAACACACAGCACAGGATATTAATTACATAATTAATGTTGCACTAATTCATTTATGTAACTAATACTAATTATATATCTCTCTACTTAGGAGATTTTAAGCCTTCTAAGGGTATAAGCTATTTGTCTTTGGTAGTAACTGGGGTGGGGTGGGGTGGGTGGACTCTCATTGCAGAGATACACATTTACTGAGCTCCTACCACGTGCCTGGTACCATATTAGATGCCAGTAGTTTTCTGAGAGACATACTTGCCATTATTTTACTTTTCAAATTAGGTAAGAGTTCAGGCTTGACCTCAATTGGTAAAACAGAAAGCATGGCCTACTGGAGTCTTGGTTGCTGTTATTCTGTTCTGGTGGTTTCATTAAGGTTCACATGAATCAAAGATTATTGAATTAGTTACAATAGTATGACTGTAAAAAAAAACTGCAGAGAATATGGTGCACTCTCAATATATTTGTAACACGAGTTCATAGTAAGGCATGAGAGATTTAAAAATTCTTCACTCTTGAGATTTTCACCTGAATT
Organism: Homo sapiens; assembly: GCF_000001405.40. NCBI lineage: Eukaryota > Metazoa > Chordata > Mammalia > Primates > Hominidae > Homo > Homo sapiens. The sequence continues at coordinate 16,342,696 of NC_000020.11, forward strand.
CAGGCTAAATATGGGGATGAGCAAGGCTCAAGCTTCCCACTTTATATAACACATTTGAATATCCCCTTGTTTATCAACACGCAAACAAGATGAAGATGATGAGTATCACCAGCAATCACATCAGAAATGGTAGACAAGGCAACTGCATGTATGATCACGGCACAGAAAAAGCGTTAAATCCTTTCCCTTGAATGGAAAGACTCCATGCCCAGAGCTGAGGATCTGCTCATGGGAAGCTTGAGAAAAAATAGACAGAAAGGCAAAATTAAGAGACAAAATTAAAGCCCTTTTCTGTCCCAAATTAAAATTGGGCATGAAATGGGGTGCTGATGCAGAGGGGAGGAACAGAAGATCAGTACAACAAATAAGTCAGACCAAAACACTGAATTATTTTATTTAATGTTGAGAATGCAAGATATCATTACTGCATATATTTGAGGAGCAAATTCATTACTTCTCTCCCTCTGAGTGGTTTCACTGATACAAATCCTTCTTTCCTGGGCCATAAAATGATCAAGCGCAACTTAAACGCCATAAACATGTCCTCAAGATGGACTGCATTTACTTATAAACAATTCTCAATTGAGTGCTTCCCACAAATTTATGTTATATACTTATTTTGCTGGTTTAAGGATTGCCAGTGTTAAGATCTGTCATCAGTAGATATTTGGTTATGTATATCTAGCAGTGTAAAGAGGAGAATCAACAGTTTTTCATTCAAGGAATCATACTCCAACCAGCTGCCTTTACAGTTACTTGAAGAGTCCTCTTCAGCAATATTTTTTAAAGCAACATATGCGGGAGCTACCTCAAGCATATTTTTAAAAAAATCTTTGTAATTAGTAACTGTTTAGAAGAAATAGTCTAATAGCAACCTAATATATACTAAAAAAAGTTCTGTCTGATTTTTGCAAAATAAAGCTTAGGCAGTGACATAACTATGAACATGTTTGAGCAAACAAGAAATATATTCCTAAAGAACATGCCTGTATATAATAGTAACAAGCATTAATGGATAAGGTTTAATTAAAATCTCCTTACATACTATAGAAAATGAAAACTAATTTATACTCTCCCAGCTGGTGGGCCTCACAGAGGAAGAGACAAGATGCTCCATGGAGTATGGAAATAAACTATTGGTACTTCTATTTTTTTTTTAATCTTATTCTTTCTAGATCTCTACTTCTGAAAGTGTATCCTAATAAATACTATGTACAGTTAGTAAATGTTACACTATCTATACAGATAAAAATCAATATAGTGGGTGTGCCTGCTCAATAACTTTTCCAGCGATAACTATGTGTGATTTGAAAAGTTTAGGCTCTGTGACTCTAAGCTGTGGCTGGTAAGAGATGCATGCAGGAAGACCTCAATGTTTCCAAGAGAGCAGGGTCTAATTCATTAACTAATTCTACTGAAAGTCTTATGCAGCAACATAACTATGAGTGTGTCTGAGAAAACATGAAATATATTCCAAATGTATGAATCTGTATAGTAACAAGCATTAGTATATTAGATTTAATTAAAATCTCTTAGACAACTGTTGCAAATGGTACTAAGCCAGAAGTAGTAAAAGAAGCCAACACCCCATTAATCACATCAATATCCCAGAGAGATCACAGGCTGCCATCTGATTGCTCCTCGATGTGATCTGCCTCTGCCATCCCCAAATCTTTCTGAGGACAGACAGTGCCGGTGCTTTCTGATTTCTGTGGGCATGCACACCCCATAGGTGCTGACTCTGCCTGGCTATCTTCACTGTGACCTCTTCGTGGTCTCCTAGCTTATCTCCTTTCTCTTGGATCAATTACAGAGGCCGGACTCCAGGTTAGTCCTCCTGACACTGGGAGACCAGCACCTCCAAATCCCTGACTCTCTAAGCCTTCTTGTGGGTCCCATCAGAACAGTCCCCCAAACTGAGTGCCTATGGTGTCAGCCTGCTCTCCTGGGTGCTGTCCTGCACGCTGAAGACAGCCCCCTAGGAGGGTAGAATGAATTTACACTACAGGTATGCCATTTTAGCTCAGCAGTCACTCCTACTTGGAAATCCTTCCAAATTCCATTCTCTGCGATGAGTATTTCAAAATGTTCTAGATTTTTCCATCCTTATAATGAACTCGGTTTACTGAGATGATTAGAGTCACCTAAGATCAACTCCCTGAGTATCCTTTTAGCACATTTCAAAATGATGCTGTTGCTACATTCATTTCCCTTCCTTCAAAACCTCTTCATCCTCACTTAATTTTCCTGATTCACTTCTACCTGAGAGGAGAGCCCCTCTCCAAGGTTAGCCTCCTTCTGCACTGCTTCCTATTACCAAGTCATCACTTGTCCTTTTCTACCCTTGGGCCTCTGTCTTTGTTGTTCCCATTGCCCAGAACACCTCCTCTCTCGTCTGCACTCACTGAAATCCACCCATCGGTCTCAAGCAAGCAAAAATGTACATCTGCCTTGACGTCCTCCGATTATGCCTCCATGAGCCCATTGGCTCCATGCTGCTCAATTTTTCTCACGTGTTTCTCTTCCCACACTTAATTGTCTCCTGAATGGATGAACTAGTTATTCATCTTTTCTGTTCCTTGGTATCCTGATGCTTCTACTATGGTCTTTAAAAAAATTATATTACAGGTACCAAATATTTGTTAAGCAATAAAAGAAATAATGGAGACAGTGGCACTCACAGCCTCTTTTCAATATACACTTTTCTGAAACATTTTCTAATTACTTTTTCATCCTGAAGTGTGGGCAACAGTGTGACCTGCATTATAGTCCTTTTCTGACTTACCTGTAACTGTTTAAAGGTTTTAGAAAGTAGGCATTACGGGACGTAAGAGGGCAAATTGTAAAACAAAGAAAGAGAAAATCTCATTTACCAAATTCCCTTTAGAGAGAACATTGATTTAGAAAACATACTGTGATAAAACAATTTTAGGGTAGGTAGGTATGAGGCTCCTAAAAGACACGTTAAGAAACAACAGATAGTCTCTAAACTGCCTTTAGGAGGGTGGGTCCTGTTAACCTACACAGTTTAGGGATAAAGGCTGAGCCAGTAGGCTGGAGCTGAACTCCTAGGCTTAGTAAGGTGGCAGCACTTGGAGCTCCCAGGAATAGCTAGGCAGGAGGAACGGAAAGGCTGGTGCTCTTGGGAGAACACAATAGTCTAATGGGGTATTTTAAGTTATTTGCTCTGAGATGTATCTGCAATGTATCCCCTCCTCTGGCTCCATTAGGGACACTTTGGGAACGTTCACCGGCTTCTCCTTCTGGGGAGCCCAAAGGAGGGCAGAGCTCTGCAGCCAGGTGGGAGTAAAGAAAGAGAGACTTGGTCAGCAGCCATCCAGGGACACAAGGCAAGGGAACAGTTGCCATCTGGACCATGTCCGCAACTGTGTAACAGTTCCTAATCCAAGCAGGCTTCCCCCTCCAGTGCAGTGGGCCCTGTGAACCTGAAGCTTGACCAACTGCAGAAATTCTGTTCAAAGGTACTTGAGGGAAGAAGCTGGGCCTCTGCAGGAAGAGCCTGGTTCTAAAGACAGCACATTGCACAAGGAAAGGGCAGTCCAATGCCAGTCCTCGATCTGCCCGTCTGTGGGTAACACAAATGGGAGGTGTATGGAGCTTGGAGAGTGAAGATTCCTGAAAGCAGGGGAGCCGCTCAAATAGGAGATTCTACAGCCATTCGATTCAGGAAAATCTCAGACACATTTCTATGCAAATGCATCACCGACAAGTACAGAAGGTGCCTCAGAGCCTCAGGCTTGTGAACCTGGTCCAAACCTGGTGTGCTAGGAAGCAATGAGCCTAGTGATTGACTCCCAAATTACACTCACACTCGAGGCAGCTATGAAGTGCTACTAAGTCCAACAGGGCTTTCAGGCTGGCCCAAATCCTGCCTTTTGCAATAACCAGAAATAATGACTTCCCGATGCTTTAACTTCAGCATCTTCAAAACAGGCTGTAATACCGCTTATTTCAGTATACTTACCTCACAGGGTAGTTTGAAGGTAAATTTAATAAAATGTGTGAAGGCCCTGAGAATCTGGGAGATGGGGGCCTTTAAGTACAAGATTGTCACTGATAAAGTGCTTCCCCCTCTGCCAACACCTCTGTGAAGCAGGTGAGGTATACGGGGACTTATTCTACTTTAACACGGTGGGAAATTGCGAGAATGACAGTCTAAGCAATTTTCCTTTAAATTACCCAGATATTCAGAGGCAAACCAAGGAATGTAAAGTCTCCACCAGTCATCATGAGATAATAAAATAATGAAAAGCTCTGAATTAACTCTGACTTGGATCCTGACTTTAGCCCAGCAACTTATTAGTCGTGTGATTTTGGATAAATTACTCAATTCTTTCAGGTCCCGATTTCTTCATCTGTAAAATGCATTCATGATTCCTAACCTGCAGATGAACTAAAAAAAATGCGAAGAGACTAGACACAGTGCTTGGACACTCAACAGATGGTGACTCCTGGCACTGTGACTCCGTTCTTAAAAAGGCGTTATATTATTCATTACTGAAAGGTAAGCGTATCCATGGGTAGCAACTGCAAAAGGGAAAGTTCAAACGATTTTGTGATTTTAAAACAAATTTTATTCTAGGAAGAGATGCAAAACTCCCAAAATTCTGAAACCAAGGAAGGAGGAATACTAATATAATCTTATAATAAAAAAATAGGAATTTGAGTGAAATGGAAATTGAAGGCATGACCATAAAATAATAACTGCTTTTCTTCTGTGCTTGTAACTCAATCTCATTTCTTCTTAGTCACTTCTTACACAGGAAGCATTTACTTTGTGAAGATAAATATGGCTGTCCAAGGAAGGGCAATATAAAAGATCAGTTGGTTTGTGTGAAAACCGGGAAAGAAAAAAAAATTTTTTTTCACTTTTCAGTAGAAGACTGAAAGTTTGCAAAGAGATGGGATGGGTGATAAATTTTTTAAAAATCCTAGGATAAAATGTGATTCTTCAAGTCTTAGTGTAGTTACTTTCACTTGCTATTTATGTTTTAAAATAGTACAGAACCTGAAGATTTAAATCTAGGTGGACATGGCATAAGCAACACTCCATTTGTCTCGGCCGTGCTAATACACGTGCAGGGAGATAATCCATCAGTTGCTAATAAGCACAGATTCAGACGCCAACACTCTACACTTTCTGAACATCTATATTCTATCAAGTAGGGAGTATTTCCAAAAGATGTATCTGTACAGAGTTTATCTAATAGACTGGAATGGCTCTTATTTCTGTTCTGCCAAATAAAGAGAAATTTCTTGGACTGCAAATGTGATTGCTTGAACTCCCAAACTGCAATTTTTCTAGGCATTTCTTCTTCATGCTTCCTGGCAGGCCAATCTACCATCAAATTCTTCAGGTTTACCAAAGCCTTAACAACAGCCCCAATTTACAAAGTACCCATGACTTGGTCAGCATTCAAGGCAAAAAGTTAAAACATACACAAAAATAACAGTAGATTTTGAAAACAGGCAAGGATTTGAAAACGACCATTATCTCTAGGGCAATACTAAAATATAGCCTCAACTTATAAATGTGTAGAAAGTAGTGATATTTGGAAGGTACATTAAAATGAGTAAGTAAGGGAACAAGTATGGCTCAGTGCACTTAGACCTGACATGAACATTAGGTATCTTGATCTACTAACTAGCTGTGTGGCCTTGGGCAAGTCATTCATAATTTCCTAATTGGTGAAATACAAATACTACCCCCATTTTGGTACATTCTCCAAATTTGTGGAAATGTCTAGCAAAATGCCTTGGGTAAAGAAGGTGCTTGATAGATGTTAGCTTCTTTCCTTGAAGAGCTGCAATTGCCTACAGAGATCAGTCAAGAACGAAGGGCAGTGCGGTCCAGTGCATGGATGTTCAGCGAGAGCAGGAGTCTACCATACTATCTGAGAACATCCAATTGTGCTATAGAGGATGGATGCAGCTAATTAGTGTTAAATACAGCCAGTAAATAAGCAAGAAGCTTATGAGGTATAGGCAAATCTCATAGGATCTGTCAAAACAGATCTAGGATAGTAAGCAAGTAGCCTGTGAGGTACAACAAAATTCCTAAGGTGTGCAAGCTGTGTTAAATACAGGCCACAGGTTGATAAACTGTAAGACATGCCAAAGATAGAATAATTTTAAAAAACCAAACATGATGGAACAGATGAGAATGTTACTTAGGGACGGAAAGGGAGGGAAATGCTGCCTCATGATATGCACCCTCTGGGATGACAGCTAAGTCTCCCCTGAACTGACCAGCCTTGATGACAACCAGCCTGGTCCCATCCTGGTACCATATGTGCTCTACTGGAGAAGTACAGGTGAAACCCAGGACTGCTCACAGCAGGTGGCTGGCTGGGTGTGCCTGTGCCTGCTTCCTTTCATGGAGAAGGTGCACTGGCTCTGGGCACCCTTTGTCTGCCATGGCCCCTCGTCTAAAACTTCACTCTGGTCCTTTTAAGCACATAGTAAGTACGAAAGGCTGAGATGACAGAGAGGGGACAGATGAACTAGTTGTGACCAGGGGTCAGATAGAACACCCGGCCCACCTGCTAGCCCACCATCAGGGTGCCACCTACCCCTCCTTCCTCTACATCTCTGTGTGCTTTTGAATGCTCTGTGAGCCTTTCTGTACGGTGCAGTTGGACTCTGAGCATCCCTGGAGGCCACCATGTCATCAAGGTGATTTTCTCCATGACAGGAAATCCCAAGGTCTATGGCCAAGTGGAGGGCACACACCTGCCCTAAGAGGAGCTGCTGTTTTGCCCTACGAGTGCTGCCTTGCAGGAATGTTGGCCCTAGTTCCTGCTTTTACTGACTTTTCACAGGATCTTGGCAAATCTGGGTTTCTATGTCAGGTCTCCCAAGTTTTAAATACTGACAATTCATGCAAAATTTAAAAAATCTGTTCAGGCCAACAAAACCCCATATCCTCCACCACCAGTTTGCACCTGCTGCCTCGGGTTAATATTGTTCCACGACTTTGTCAGTCCCTGGCCCCACGGTGCCTGCCATGTGGTTCTTCAGTTGTAAAAACAAGATCCAATTTGAACTGCTGCCCTGCAGTTCTGCAATTTAGCATGTCTCACTTCAGGGTCTTTTAAGTTCAGGGAGGACTCAGCAGATGAGATCTCTTGGCCCTAAGTGTCTAGGGCCAGACTGACTGAAATTAGAAGGGGGAGCTCACAGACCTAAGTTCACACAATGGAAAGGAGAATGGCTGCCACTGACTGGGGTACTTGATAATTATTAGCAGATGGTCGACAAGTTTTCCCTGGAACACTTCCGTGAGGTTATACATCCTCGTTATCATTCATTACTCATGTTTTCTCTGCTTCTCCCTCCTTCTCAGGCCACTGATCAGGAGTCAGAGCAGAATGAGACAAGAGGAGACTGTTACTATGGCACCTAAACAAAACCCAGATGATTAAAATCAGGAAAGCTTTTGTCCTGGACATCATGTGTGTGACCTAAGTTGTCTGTGTGTAGTTCTGCATTTCTTGGGTCTCTAAGTGGACAAAAGTGATACTGGTCAATGGGGCTGATGCCCTGCAGCCATGTGAGAAAAGGCGGGCACCTCGGAGCGTAGCCGGAATGCAGAAGGCTCCTTAGAGGAGATGACAATGGGACACGTGCTTCTAAGAGCAAGGGGCTGGAGGGTGCCCGGCAGCCAGGACAATGTCCAGAGGGTGGGCAGGGGGCATAGAGGTCTACCTCTCTGTTAAGGAAAGCCAAGACAAAACAGATGTACCCTGCGGGTGCTGAACTCAGCCCAGAGCCAGGACATGGGTATACTGGAGCGCTGGAGGGTGGTGCTGAGAAGGCGGGAGGGAAGGTGGGGAGGAGGGAAGATGGGAGGCTTTGGCATGCTTGGACTCGGACACAATCAAGAAGCTCGACTTGCCCACACTCTCCCTGCATGACTAAGAGCCACCAGCCACATCACGAGGATGAGCAAGGGGCAGAATGGCTCATCAGTGACTGACTCCATCAGTGCGGATGGAGCATGAGGAGCTGGGTGGGGGCGGGGGGGAAGTTTACAAAGGGCACACGGTCACTCAGTCATCACCGAAGCGCCAGACAGGCTGTGCCTAATGAGAGCACCTGTGGCCAGGCTAGCATGCATCACACTGCTGGGTGATCCACTGGGTGACTGGTACCAGTCAGGCACGGGGTGGGCACTGGGGGGGGGTCTGTGTCATACAAGACTGACAAGGGCCCTGGGAGCTTGTACCCACAGGGGAAGATCAGCAAACAAGACAATGACTGAAAATAACCAGACTGAAAGCAACACGACTGTGAGCTGTGACCTTGGTTGTGAAAGAAGGGGAGTACCCCTGGTGACAGGATGGAGAACAGGGCAGGGGGCACTACTGCAGATGACCACTCAGAAAAAAGATGAGACAACAAACTCTTCTGCCGATTACTTCCAGATTTTACAAGAATAGAAACTCTCGGGAAACAAAATATTAAAAAATAAACACACCAGTGTTGGCTTATTTCTTTATGTTACCGTGTTGACATGTAAGTTAAAATGCAAGGGATTTCAAACAATGCTGGAAACACCAGCTTATTTCTATGACATGAGTGTGATAGTCTCTGCTCGTCTTAACCATCAATTTCCCAGGCCCGTGTTTTGTGCTATGCTGAAATGTGATTTCAAAATTAAATTTTACCCACTCTGGTCCTAACTAACTGAAAATGGCAAGCATAATGCAGCGTAACTGATGCCACGTGTCAGTGACTGAGAGGCATGCGAAGCGGGGTTGTAAGATGACTGCTGTCATCCGGTTAATGGCATTACTTGTGGCAGGTGCAGCTGAGCGCAGGCACAAATTTTGCAGCTTCATTCTGCTGACCAGCAGGTGACACACAGCAATTTTCAGCCTAGAACGTGCTGTTCTCAGAGAGAAGCCAGACTGGCACTGCTTCAGCTTTCCCCACCCCATCTCTATCTCTGCCACCAGTCAGCAGGACATGCATCTGCAGACACAGTCCCAGACGGATGTGCTACTAGGACCCGCAGGAAGGTACAGCTTCAAGGGTAACAGGAATTGATACTCTGACCCAGGGTCTCCTGGGAGGAGTAAAACAAAGTGGGGAGAGGGGCGACACCAAAATGATAACCTTTTGTATCATCAGGTAAGAATATTAAAACAAACACCAACAGGAAAGAAATGAATACACAAATTGTGACATATCCATACAGTGGGATGCTATTAATATAAAGAAACAAATTACTGTTATACTCAGCTACATGGGTAAATCTCCAAAACATTACATTAAAGGAATGCAGCCAGGTACAGAAGATAAATGCCGTTGGATCCCCTCTCCATGGTTTGCTAGAGCAGACACGACTAATCTGTAGGTGCAGAGGGCAGATCAGTGCTTGCCTTGGTGCCAGAACATGGGCACTGACTGCAAACGGCCACCAGAAACTTCTGGAGGGCCTGCAAAGTTCCAAGTCCTGACCAGAGGGCTAGTTACACGGGTGTATACATATGTCAACACTCATCCAACTACACTTAAAATGTGTGCTTTCACTGTATATAAATTACGCCTCAACAGAGTTAATCTTAAAAAACTAAATGAGATCAAACAACAAAAACCTGTCTACTTATATATCCTCAGTTATTTCATAAAAGAGTTGTTTTTAATGCCCCCAAATAAAGCAGGTATAGAAGACAGTCCTTTTGAATTAAATAGATTTTGGTTTAATGAAAAACTCTATTATTCTCATTTTAAAGACCAGTGGTGGAAACCTCCTCATGGCCCAGCAGGGGTCAGAAGATGAGCATCTGGGAACCCCCGTTGACTTTCTGCCCTCCCTTGAAATCACACGCCCTGTGTCGTCCCTGGAACATTCCCTTAACAGGCTCCTGACTACTTCACGTGGCAATGGGCAGACCAAATTGGAGCTCCCACACTGGGGATTAAAATGAAAATGGCCAGGAAGAAGCAATGATTTCAATGACTAATGAGTCCTACCTAAAAAAAGGTTGGCAGAAGAGCGCAGGAAGCAGAGCGGGTGAGGAGGGCGAGGGGAAGATGACAAAGGAGAACCTGGGCAGCTACACCCCTGGCGTGTTGTCTCCCTCCTGGGGCCCCTCAGGCCTCAACACCAAGTGGGCCCTGGTGTGGTCACACAAATCAGCTGGGACCCTAAATAAGCTGGCAGTGACACCAGCAAGCTATACAGCAAACAGGGGTCTTATACCAGGGGGTGTCAGACCCTGCCCTGCTGGTCACAGAGGGCACAGCGTCTCACTGTGTGTACTCAGGACCATCATGCGGGATAACGAAAAACAAAAACTGATTTTTTAAAAGAGAAGCAGCAAAGATTTTTCTAAATTATAAAGTGTAATAATATATCTATGTATGTACATTGATGTTAAATCTCCCTTCAAAAAAGCTTAAAACTGAAGAGAATAGTCTCTTTTAAAAATAATACTTTTTACCTTAGCCTCCTTAAATAGCCACTGGTTCACCAAGAGAAGAATTTAGTAGTAGCCAAAATATTACCATATATTACCATAAGCATGACTATTTGTTCTAGAAAACAGGGCCTACGCATGAAATGTCCAAATGACTGAGAGAAAAGGTCAGCAATCTAAATTTTAAATTCCAAATGCTGAGGGCAAGCAAACAACCAAAAAGAAAAAAAATCCCAACAAAATCCAAAACTCTCATAAAAACATAATTGTACATCAAAAGTCATTAAGGGGACCTCACAGTAAACTCTCACTCATCCCATTTTTATTTTTATTTCTTTTTAATAACAAACACTTATCCAACACTTAGTATGTGGCAGGCACTGTTTCAAGCACTTTACACATACAAACTCATCCACTCCTCATACCAACCCAATGAGGGGGGGGTTTATGATTCCCATTTGACAGGTGAGGCACAGTGAGGCTGTGTGACCTGCTGAGGTTGCCTGGAGATGGCAGGATATGAGGATTGTGGGGGCAGGGGGAGGGTATGCTATTTAGCAGCTACCTCTTTGCCTGGATCGAGGCTGTTTTTGTTGTTTTGTTCTGGGGAAGGCCTGTATATTCACATCATGTCTGTTTCTCATACTACCCCATGACAAGGTATCCATATGGGGTGGAAGGCTTCCACACACCTACCTGTCAAGGTATCAGGAGGCCCTGCCTAAACGGAGAACTAGACATTCTCCAAGTTGGTGCTAACACATTCCTGGTGCTCATAATTATAGCACCTAGGGACGAACAGAAAAAGGAAGCGGAACAATGACACGCTTCAGAACTTGCTTTGAGAAATGCAAAGAAAGCAGAGCTCTGTGGATTTGGATTTTATGTATCCTGAAGTGATCACCTAGATTCCATAAGGCCTCATAGAATTTTCTGTATTTGGTTTCTCTAACTTGCATGGGCAGTAGCATCTTCACAATTTTGGCCAAATCTGCACACCACCTGATTATTATTTGCTTGTAATTTTTATTTAAATCAATGCAGTTTTTAAAATATTAAATATCTTTTTATCTGAGTTCTATACATGAAATTGATTTAACAGTTATATTTTATTAACACATTTATCTGTTAAAGTAAAATAAATCCGTGTACCAACTAAAATCATTGCATGTACCTCACTGCTGTTGAGTTCTATGTGCTGGGGAATTCTAATTCTGAACTAATGGAAGCCAGTCTTCACTCTCTAATTAAAAAACACAGTCATGATGCAAACACAACTTCCGAAATTGTTTTTATATTCATGTATAATCACATATATGTACAAATGGAATTCTACACACACACACACACACACACACACACACACACAATTTAGAATGGTTGAGAACAAATGAAAAAGAAATTGACCAGGAGATAGATATTAGGTCAGGGGCAGTGGGAAGTAGTGGATCAAGGACATAGCGTAACATTTAAATAAGAACCCACATAATTGGATAAGCAAAGTTAAGAATAACAGCAAAGGCTGGGCGCGGTGGCTCATGCCTGTAATCCTAGCACTTTGGGAGGCCAAGGCAGGTGGATCACGAGCTCAGGAGGTGGAGACCATCCTGGCTAACACAGTGCAAACCCTGTCTCTACTAAAAACACAAAAAGTCAGCCGGACGTGGTGGCACATGCCTGTAATCCCAGCTACTCGGGAAGCTGAGGTAGGAGAATCTCTTGAACCCGGGAGGCGGAGGTTGCAGTGAGCTGAGATCGCGCCACTGCACTCCAGCCTGGGCAACAGAGTGAGACTCCATCTCAAAAAAAAAAGAGTAACAGCAACAACACACAGGCATCATGCTTTCTCAATGAAAACCTCAAATATATAAACTGATGCCCTGTTTTTTTTTTTCTTTTCTAACGGAAAACTTAGTATATAGAAATAAAATCCTAAAAGTCTGGTTAGCTAGAAAAGAAGTTATTTACATCATTTCCTCAGGAAGGTTGAAAGAATGTGACATCTGAAAAGAGGGATTCCTCAGAGCCCAGGGCTGCCCTGAGATGCATCAGGGGTGGGGACAGGCAGGGGAGACGGCTGGCTCTAGGCTCCTTCCTCCCTCCCCACTCTGTGTGTGCCCAGCAGCTCTAGGCTTCCCTGCCTTTTACGGTGTCCTTCCACATAAGATATTCTTTGAACAAAGGAGTTTCACAGATAAAATAAAATCTGGAGACCACTGGTACTTTCCAATTTCCTCATTGTATCAGTGGGGAAACTGAGGATCAGATGACTTATGGCTGCTCAGCAAATTGCAGCGGGGTCACAGTCTACAGAACTCAGTGTCCAGATTCATGGTCTGGTGTTGATCTGAACAAAACCACCTACAGCCTCCAAGAACACCCTTATGCATGCACACACTGGTGATCCTAGTGGACTTCATTACATCAATACCCTTGCTGATCCTTGAAGAAAAAGAAGTGTGATTTATCATTACTTTCTTGAGAAGAGGATGGTGGCCAGCAACATTATTTAATAAAGTGTTATGAGTCAATGAAAGCAAATTAGCAAAAAGATGAAGTCATTATTTAGAAAACCATGACGTAAGGAAACAGGCACATCTCTTCCTGAAAAGTTGTATAAATCAAGAAACACTTGAAACAAATGAGGAGGGCTTCCTAATTCATAATAGAAACAACAATGAAAATAGCAGTAGTAATAGCAGCAATAGCTACAATTTACTGTTTATACCAGCCACAAGATGCACACTTTATACGCACTGATATTCCTGTGACATAAATATTATTAGTCTCATTTTTATAGATGAGAAAAATTAAGACTAAGCCCATGGGGAGGGTGACCAACTGTCCTGGTTTGCTCAGGACTGTGGGGTTTCCCAAGGTGTGAAACTTTAAGGGCAGACATTAGGAAAGTCTTGGGCAACCTGGATGGTTGGTCACCCTACCCGTAGGGTGTGGGTGATAGGAATTCCATTTCTGTCTGCCTTACTAACACCTTCTATGAGGTACCTTCCTTCCATGTGTTACAGTCAAGAGTTTTACAGACTGGTTTAAAGAAGGGCAAGACCAAATATTTTACAAACAGGATATTCACATGCAGCTTCATCCCCCTTTTGAAAAAATAAAGACAGATAAAGCACTGCATAGTCTCCAACCTCCATTCTCCAGAAGAGTCAAGAAGACACTCACCTTGACCTCAAACTCGAAGTGTGCATCCTTTCCTTGCCCGCAGAGGACGTAGCGTGGGATACTAATTTTAATTGGGTCCTTCAGGTCATCTGGATTTGCGCCCAAAGAGCGAGAAACCATCCGCTATCAAAGGCATGTCAGACAGGGAGAACAAAGAGAAACCAGAATCACTCCACTGCAAATATCCTGCTCGGGTAGGAGGGAGAAAATGTGTTTCAAGTAGAGAAAAGAGCATCAAACCAGTAGGGTTTATTTAGAAAAATGATGGTTTCCTTTGAAAGAGAAAAGCTAAGCCTCTCTCATAACAAAAAGACCATTATTTTAGGTATACCGTTCCAAGGAGTTAGGGCAAAAGCACTATGAAGTGTTTGGCTTTGAAGTTCCTTCCAATTTATAAGAACAAGTAAAAACAGGGACAAATTATATTATCCTGACTTCTTAAAAAAAATCAGTGTAAACCAGATTGCCTTCTGAAAAGTCTTGACCATCTGACAAACTTTTTTCTTCACACACTATCAGACAGCTATACTTATAAAGCTGCAAAAGCTAGAGATTTTATTCAAATTTACTTCATTTTTAACTTTTAGGCATTTTTATAAGCCAGTGTAGTGTGGAAAGCTCTTTAAACCACAATTAAAACAAATCTCAAGTATTTTCTTTAGGCCCCATTTGATTACTCAACTTGGCTCTGACAAATATTTATGGCCTGGGCAGTGGGGGACTAGTGGGGTCTGAGGAAGAGGCATTATGAAAAAAATAAATCTTCCAAATGAAGTTGTCTTAAGTGTGAATCGGAAGAAATCTCTGAACAATCCTTATTGTTTGCATTAAGCTGGGGGCTTTAGAAAACATATGTTTTTGAAGTAATAGCAATAACAAAATAATTAGAATCATAATTATAGTTAGCATTTATTGGATACTCATTATATGCCAAGGACTACATTAACCAGTTTACATGAATTGGCTCAATTAATCTTCACAATCCCCCCTACGAGGTATTAACCATTATTCACCCTATTTATCAGATGAGAGGCCCAAGACTGAGGGTTGAGCTCACTTGATGGAGGTATGGGGTAGAGTCAAGATTTAAACTCAGGCCAATCTAGAGCCCACTTTCATCACACTACTCTAGATTGCAATCATGAAATTGTACAATAATTACATCCATCTGAGATACATTGAGCTAATGAACACTTCACACATATGTAGGTTTTAAGATGCTGAGAATTCCATGGTTATGCAATGGAACCCACTTATGTGACTATAAAGAAAACAGGGGGCAATAAGCTCCCTTTCTCCCAGACAGAAAGGGTTCTCAGCCAGGTGTAACTTGAGAGTGTCAACTTAGCTGTGTGCATGAAAGCTTGGACTTCCAGAGGACACAAGGACATATAATTTGTTTCAGATTGCTGCTTTTAATCTAGCTGACTATGTGTGCATTTTGGCATGAAGTTTCCGAAGCCTGTTATAGGATCTTAATTTTTCTCTGCATGGCTAGTCACCCAAAGCAAGAAGAATTAATTGTTTATCATAATGGTACACCGATTTAGCTATCCCTGATATCAAAAACCATCAAGAGGCTGGGCACAGTGGCTCACACCTGTAATCCCAGCACCCTGGGAGGCCAAGGCAGGTTGATCAAGAGGTCAGGAGATCGAGACCATCCTGGCTAACATGGTGCAGGCCTGTCTGAACTAAAAATACAAAAAAGTAGTCGGGAGTGGTGGCATGCGCCTGTAGTCCCAGCTACTTGGGAGGCTGAGGCAGGAGAATCACTCGAACCCGGGAGGCAGAGGTTGCAGTGAGCTGAGATCACGCCACTGCACTCCAGCCTGGGCGACAGAGCGAGACTCCATCTCAAAGGAAAAAAAAAATTATATGGGCTTCTGTCACTTGAGGCACATGGCAGTCACACATACACCTGTGAGGGAGATGATCTGAAAGGCAAACTTCATGTTTTTCAGTTTTGCCTAGGGATACCTCCATTTACATACTTGAACCTTTTAGGATCACGTGAATGATCGGGTTCTCAAAAAAGTGTGGACGACAGTATCCACAAGCATAACATACTCTAACTTTATCTGCTTCCCTGACCTAGTCACAGAAAATGGACATGGGATTCCAGGTGATGTTCACTTCAAGACTCAGAAGGAAGGATAAGATGTGGAATCCAATCCTAGTTCTGGGACTTGGTCTTGGAGTAAGTCTCTTGCCCGCTCTTCACCTCAGTTCCCCTATGGAAATGGGCATGGTATTTATTAGATTCCAACTACATGGGAGGGACCCAACTATGAACGCAATGGTACCCCACCCTGTGGGACTTAAGGTCTGAGGCAGACTCTTACAAGTGAACTGGTAATCACAGCAGGATTAGAAAGTTGTGATGGGGGAATGGAGTGAGAACAACTATGAATATGTATCTTGTCATCCAAATGTCAGGAATTTTACTGAGGAAGAACTATGGTCAAAATTGCCTAGGCATGTTCTGTCAGCTAAGCAATGGAGACTTACCTTTGACTTTCTAAATGCCTTTTCTTTTAGGCACCCCTAAGATATATAATGAAACATTGCTATTTTACTGGGTACCACCTATGTGCCACACAGAGGGTCAGGCCTTGGGAATACAATATAACTTTTACAAAGTATTTGTAATTTCTAAGACCTTTAGTTTTTCTCAACTGCACATGTTTGGAACAAACTTTTGATGTTTCTACTCTAGATGGATTATATTCTAAAGGTAGATTTGGGACCTTAACTTTCTCTTTTCATAAGTCAGTTTTTAAAATGAGGTAAGACTGTAACTGACGGTCTGGGTATTTTATGACTGGTGATACGGTTTGGATATTTGTCCCCATCCAAATCTCATGAGGAGTTGTAATAATCTTGGTGTTGGAGGTAGGCCCCGTGGGAGGTGTTTGGGTCACACGGGTGGATCCCTTATGGCTTGGTGCAGTCTTTGTGATAATGAGTGAGTTCTCACCAGATCTGGTCATTTGAAAGCATGTGGCACCTCCCTCACACTCTTTCTCTTGCTCCTGCTCCCACTGTGTGAGATACCTGCTTCCCCTTCACCTTCCACCATGATTGTAATCTTCCTGAGGCTTCCCCAGAATAAGAAGCCAGTGCTATACTTTCTACACAGCCTGCAGAACCATGAGCCAATTAAACCTCTTTTCTTGTAAATTACCCAGTCTTGGGTATTTATAGCAAGGCAAGAACAGACTAATACAACTGCAGAGTTCTCCATTTCTAAGAATGTACCAGGGTAAAACCAATCCCTAATAAAAGGAAAGCTGCTTGAGGCTCAGGATCATAGATTCTTTACAAAAAAAAAAAAAAAAAAAACCCTGCCTTTGACAATTTCACTGGGCAAGTGATTTGAGTAAGGACCAGGTATTTGAGAATGAGTAGATCTTATAATATTACGTAGCCTACCTCAATCTAGGGCAGCCTTTGACACACTAGCAACTGCCTGGACTAATATATGGCCCTTGGCTGGATATAAGAGCTACTGTCCCAAACGGGACCAGACAGTGAAGCATAACAGGATCCTTTGCAGAGAAGAAAGATATTTCTCTCTTCATTACATATCATACTGGGGATGAGAAATACTGCCAGAGTCCCCACTATCATCCTTGGCTACAGTTTACTTCAATCTTACTGATTTCATATGAACTAAATATTAATGAGTGTACAGAAATGAACAGCTACAGAAATGAACAACTAAAATATAAGGTAGGGATCTGAGCAAATGCATAAATAAATTTAAAAATCAAAATGTGTTCCCATCAAATCATCACTGTGGTGTGATTTGTAAACATTATTTTATGAAGTCAATTTCATGAGAAATGTGGAATTCTCAGGGTACAGTGTAAAAAATTCTTGACACTCTCCTAAACTATGTTTATACTGGACAGGAAGTAAAGTTAACATAAATGTCTCTTAAATTTATTTTTGATTTGAAAGTGGCTATATTTTGAGTATGTTGAGGTTTATACTAGACATGCAAATGTTTGCTGTATCCCATTATATCCCATTATTTATGGGAGCTTTTATATTTCGATGGCATTATTTATTTTGGAATCCATCACAGTTTCCCTATATGTGGCAAAAAAGATTCTTAGACTCTGAAGGGAAAGTTGATGGCATTGTAGTAGGAGGTGTGAGGAACACCTCTCTGCAAGCAGAACTGGTGTGGATGAGTACAGAAATAGTATAAGCAATTTTAAATGTGCCATGGAGTGATCCTATTTAGAAATAAAAAGTCAAGAAAAAGTAGATAATTGGTAACTTGAATTACATATCTGTACATAAGAAGTATCTTTAAAAGTTAAATACAAAAAATATTTTTTCTGATAGCTTTTAATGAAATAATGCTCTGTGTCAACAAATACGCTATTTTTCCATTCTTGGTGAAACACTGTAGTCCAGTCCTTAGCTGAAAGAAATAGGCAGAACATAAGGTACATTGTAAATATTCAGTTCAAAGTCTTCTTTTACTACTCAGGCTATTTCCTTCAAAAGGAACAAATTGAGGAAATGAACAGGAAGCGGCACTTACATCCACTCAGATCTCTGCGGGCTCTCAGAGAACATGAAACGGTCCAGGTCCTCAGGGAGTCATTAACAGTTGTCCCTAAACATTCTAATTATGTACCAGACGGTCAAATTCAGTATACACATCATGACAAGGTCTGGCCTAAGGACTGCCATCTAATCTCCAGAAGCCCATAGCCAAGCTTTGCTTCTGAAATACAGGCAAACCTGGCTTTTTATTAGATTTAACAAAATTACAAATTCTCCTGTCCCTGTTCCAACCATAGCACATATTTCTAATCCTTCCTTTTTTCAACTACACATACTATACTGATAGTTCTAATTAGAGCTATTATGTCTCAAGTACCTATTATGCCCCAACAATTTGAAAATGGAGATTTGGGGAAAGAGACGACGAAGATTTGGGGAAAGAGACAATGAAGATTTGTTATAGCCTCAAACATCAGCCAGGTTGTAAGAAACAGGGAACAAAGATAACATGCAGGAACAAGCACAAATGATGTATATGGTAAATAACCAGACAGGTTCCTATCCATTTCCAGTAGAGAAGCCTGCCTTTGCTATGAGGGGATCTTGTCTTAATTAACACTACACTGTCTTCGAAGGCTTGGCAAATACATCTGATTTGGATTTTGCCAAGACGTGGCCATATATGCTACAGATACATCCTGTCCATCCCTGTGAAGGATGGGACTTAACAATAGCCTGGTGTGGAGAAACAGTGCTAACCTTATCTCATTTCTAAAGTGAGTCTGGAAGACTCACATCAGGAAACAAATACAAGTTTTGATATATATCCTGAGGGATAAGTTACCCAGAAGATGGCAAACTGTTGGACATTGGTACTTGTAGAATATCTTAAGTTTAGCGGCCTTTGGATAACTCCAAAAGGTTTAGTTGACATTTCCAATCCATGATTCTCACCAGAATCAATTATTTCTTCTACATAGATCTGAGCCGACCAACATTGTTTCAAGGTTTGGAAATATTGAATATTGGATGAATGTTTCAACTTGAAACTATTAAAAGTGTCACTATTTTTCTCTAGATCACCAAAGATCATTGTATTAAGTGGTCATCATCTTTGAACAATGTATCAATTAACGGCTGATTTTAAAAAGATTAAATATGGGGTCTATTATACCTGACTGATAATGTCGCAACAACTGCTAAGTGGCTCTCACTATTAAGCATGAATGCAGACAGGTTAGGACCCTCAGGGAAAAGTGGATATTCTCCCTTCTATTATAATTGTACAATGTCATTGATTAATCATGAAAAGTACCACTGATGTTCACTCACTGATTTTTTGCTGAGCCCTGGCTTTGGGTCAAACCATGCTGAATGCTAAGGCCCAGGAGAAAATAAAAGGCAGGGATGCACTTCCAGCCAAAGAAGCAAAAGTAAACATACAAACTTATGTGCATCAAATTCACGCTATGACTGTGTCTAAGCTTTCTTTTACAGAGCTAAAAAAGCAGAGCGCAAAGAGAAGTAAGATCCATGCAAGGAAATAAAAGGAATTGAAAAGAAACTTGTAAGGCAATCCTTGAAAACAACAACTCATACAGACAGAATTATTAATGTCTAGAATTCCAAGAAAACAAATTTACAGGTCAGTTAAGAATCAACTTAGCAATACTTGGAAATATATATTTCTAGCATAGTCATTCCTATAAAAAAATCAATAAAAAATTTTACCAATGTCAAGAATAACAGTGACTATGAAATGGCTTTGGCACTGTGGACAAATATATATATTCTAGAGTAGAAAAGTCTAGATTTAAGTCCCAATTCTCAACCTAGTAATCCTTTTTGAGTCTAAATTTCCAAATCTGAAATGGAGTTCCACGTGAATTCCTACATTCCAGTAGGATCACCATAAATATCAAAAGGAACAAAATATGAGCAAGAAGTCCTACATTGTAAACCACAATATAAACAGTGACTGGGATTGCTGTCACCCCTATAACCCACTACACCTTCAGCAACAAAAGATTTTAACCAGATAGTAAAAGGCAGGAGGAGTGACTTATAATAGAATCTCTTTCCTTCTCATCAACTAGTTTATTCAATTCCATCCCTCATAAAGAAGGCATTAGCATACTACAACACTGCATCCTTAACAAGAGATTTGATGGTGATGGTTTGAAAAATGTACTGTTTAAGAAACAGTGGAGAGACGGAAGGGTGTTGGAGGTAAAGGAGAAAAATCAGAGGAGGCAGATATATGAGAAGTGTCTTCTCTGAAGGGTTGTGTATAATGCAGATTACAAAATACACTTGTTTTATTCTGCAACAGAGGGTGCCACGGATGAACAGACTCTGCAGATGGAGATCACAATAAGGGAGATTACGGAAAGAATAGTGTAACAGTAAGAGCAGCTCCCAATGAAAAAACTGCTTCAGAGGTAGAAGGCAATCAGCCCATCCATGGAGGTACTCAAATTGAATATGTAACTTAAAAGGTCCTAGGGCATACTCTTCCCGGTACCTTAATGTTTCCATTAGGGAGAAGTCCTACAAGTTTTATCTGAGTCTTATCTGTAATAGAGCTTTGGGAACCTTGACATAATACATCCATGGAAAATTAATTGCCGGTCCTAATTCTTCTCTCCCTATAGTAGTAGTACATATCCTGAGTCTCACCATGGCCTCTTGATGGACGGAGGGTACTTCCTTGCCCCTTGATTTGGGGCTTGGTCATGTGACTTGTGTTGGCCAATGAGATGTTAGCAGACACAGGCAAAGGCTTGCAGGACTGCCCTTCTGTGTTTCTGTCATCACCACGATGGCTACTGCCCCTTCTGAATAGGTCCCAAAATGATATGTGTGGAGCAGACCGACCCTGGTTGAGCAACAGATGACCTGCAGCGTACAGCACAGCCACTCCAATCTACTTGCAAAGCAGCAGAATAAAATAAAAACTTTTTTTAATGTGCCACTGAAATTTGGGGGGGTTGTTTGTTATTTGGCAATTGCAGACTGATATAACATCTGTCACAATAGATATTCTAAGGAATGAGGCAGAGTTGTCTAAGCTACATACTGGAAATTGTGTAACTAAATTAACAAAATGACCTCATTAGAAACTGGTCTATCCAATAAGCCGGGTTGATCATCAAAGGAGCATTAATAAAAGTGGCTCTAATCTATTTATCATACAAAGCTTTAAATCATCTGGGAAAGAGAATGTAAGCAAAAATTACTGTAATTACTACTGCTGGAAGGCTTAAGTACTCTCTTCCAAAGGGATGCATGCACATTTTTAAAGTAATGAGAACAGGGAGACACACTGTTTTGAAATGTTTTTCAACAAAGACTAAATAAATTCATCCTGCCAACCACAAGTCTGTAAAACAGGCAGCTGTGCACAAAATGGATTTTAATCAAATTCAGATGAAATCACTATTTCAAAAGTATTCAAAGAGCTATTGTCTAGAATGTATTAAGAAGTCCCACAATATAAATGTTTATGCCTATATTATAACAATGCAGAATGCCACATAACCAAGATGTATGCGTCTATTTTTTTCTGATTCAGAAACTCATTACAGCCGAGATGTCGTTATAGCAGGCTGAATACTCAGACTCTCATAGTTGCTCCACTCTAGGGGTGCTGTAGGCTTAGAACTCCTGAAGAAACGAGCAGAGGGAGCTCCTAGGATTGAAGCCACAGCAGAGGGAGCTACTAGGATTGAAATCACAGTGGATAATGGCACCAACAATACTCCACTGGCTTCCACAGGCATCACGACAACCTTAATACTTACTTCACAGAGAGTAAATCAAACTCTCACACAGAGGAACTATATTTTATCTCGAGGTACAAAGTATGCTTAGGTGAGAGAAGTGACATGCTGAATCTGAATGCTGCAAGCTGCTTCTATTATGTGGTACAATCTGAACATGATCCTCATTGTGGCCTTCTTAGATCATAAAGCAGACTGCAGAAGTTATAATGAGTGATATGATTTTTATACGATGCTCGTATCTGCTGCATGTTCCATCTCTGAGAAATCCTAAAGGCCATGATTTACAACATGGTGGAATTATGCTTCTGTACCTGTGCGAATAAGCACATCTGTCTAATATTTAACACTCTTTGTTAAAATTATGTACAGTTTATTTATCACTCCCTTCTTCCTGACCATGGCATCCCTCTGCTGGCATCTTAAAATTTATTCCCTCTGCCCTTCATAATCATTAATTGTTTTTCTTTCTTTCTTTTTTAACTTGGACAAGACTACTGCAGTATAACTCTTTTTCTTATCAAGAAAATATGAGAAAATACTGGATGGAACAACTTGAAAAAAGGAATGCAAAATATATTAGTTTTAAAAAGTTAAAAAAATAAAAATAAATTAGGAGAAATATTATTAAGATATTAGAAAACTATCATGGTACATTTTAGGAGTGTTTGTTCATGAGGGAAGATGACCTACCAACCAAGATAATGACAAATTAGTGACTATTTTTAATGATGTCCTCATCAAAGAGTTAAAAGCCTTTAGGTATAAGGTAATAAGGTATTTATGTGTGGGGGTAGGGGGTGCTTTGGAAATGAAAAACATGAGAATCCAATTGCCTCAAAAAACCAAATGCCTCCACTGGTCAGAAGCACACATGGCTGCAGCCACCAGTCTGTGGATCGTAACACATTCTCCAATTCCCTGTCTTTTCCTGTTCATGTCTGCAACACTAGGTAGAGGAAAATAGGTGGGAATGTAGACCCAGTGTGGGTAGCTTGTCATTTCCTCCGTCAGGGGAAAGAGGGAAGATGAGCAGTTCCTGGCCAAAGGAAGATGGTAAGTTTCTGTGTGTGTTAAGCTTTGACACCATCTCCGTCATTGGTTAGGAACAGAAATGAAGAAGGCACTACAACATTTATGTTGCACTTATCCAAATATTTGACCAGAATAGAAAATGCCCCTTCCATGCCACGAGAATCACTGACTCACTCAGCTGCATCCAACGTCCACTGAGAGCTACTGTGGGCTAAAGATGGTTTGGCTGAGAGTGGATGGAGGGTGGGCTGAGCAAGACAGAAGCACGTCTCCTTCCTTCTGAGAACTCTAGATTTAGGAGAACACACACCTGAGAGGGGAGAACAGTGGCAGAGCACCTAGGGTCAGGTGAAATTAAAAACAAATACAAAATATGTAACCTGATAGGATTTTTGGACAGAGGGGGACAGAGAGGAAAGGGTTGATCAGAGGAGCTAGAGACCCTGAAGAGCACAGTTTGCAGCCTCTTACCTAGGAGGAGGCAGCTGACTACTGGGTGGAGCTTCATGGAGAGAGAAGCTCCACCCTGGGCAGATGCAGCAGGGAACTCGCCTGAGAAGGGAGGCCAGCAAACTGACCAGCTGGGGCCAGTAGGAGACCTCAATCAAAGGTTATAAGTGGTGGCTGGGTGAGATGCCAGAGGAAGGTACCTCTAAGGGGACTATATATTTGACAAGACAGCAGAAAGAAGCCACGAGAGAAAGTGAGACTCTGAGATAAAGAGACTTACAGGATAGAGAGACAAAAGTTCTGAGAAAGAACTGGAATATGGTGGTGGTGAGGGATACGGGTTAGGTGGAATAGCCACAAATACACCAAGTGAGGAGCTGAAATCGCAAGAGTTAAAAGGGAATCATCAAGAAGTATGAAAGGAGGAAGGTAAAGGCAATTAAGTGAGGAAGAAGACACTGCAGGGCATGCATCACTGTCTCGATTCCGCATACCATGGTGATGGGAGGACACTTTCAATCCCCGGGTCCTCATAGGAAGCTTGATGCATCACTAATGTGCTCTGCTACATAATTATCCTAATCACAGCTGAAACCAAGGATGTCAATGAAGGTCACTGCTAGACTGGGCACTTTTTCAGGCAGCACAGATTAGCCTGCTGGAATCCAGTAGGCACAGACAGATTCCAAGCCACCACACTATAAATCGACACGAAAACAAACAATCAGAAATGCTTTAATCACCTCACAAATAATGAAGCAGGCACAAATTTACAAGCCTGAGTTTCAAGAAAATGAAGCAAGGTGATGATAAAGATATTTTATTGGGGCTCTGCTATTAGCTGTTTTTATTTTATTGTAGATATTTAAAATATTTACATTTTCAATTTTAGAGGTCTGCATTTTTCCAGTTCCAATTCAATTAGCTACACGGAGATATTCATATTGCCTTGACTGTTTTCACAATGCTTATTTTATTAATGATCTCAAAAAACATGTAGTGCATCTTTAAAAGTCTCCTCCTTAGAGTCTTGTCAAATGTGAGATTAGCCAAAGAGCCTCATCTTGAGAATTGAAAGTAAGTTTCCAGACCTCAGGTGCGACATTCTGACTGCCTTGAAGATACAATGGGGTGGTGAACAACTGGACATTTGGGGCTTCCTGAAGGTGCTCAGGTGGACTATTTCTGGAACCCACTGAAGGTTTGAGTTTCTGTAAGAAGACTAGTTCTACTGTTGACACATTTTTCTTTTCTGGAACAACAACACACCTGAATTCACTTAAAGCATGGCATTTGATCACATCAAATTGTGCACCCGGAGGAGGTATGTTTCGAGATCGAATGCGTGGATAAAAAACACAGTCTTCCTTCACCAGTGCAATGTGGGTGTTCAGAAGGACTAGCGACTGGCACTGGTCATGGCCAGAGTCACCCATGACTTTCACTGTTGTGTAGAGCAGTAACTGAACTTCTGCCAGGGAAGGGACATTGACTTCCATATTTCCATGAAGAAAGTAAATCATGTCAACCAAGGTAGTCTGGAATTTGGATGACACCTGAACTCCATTTGGCAAAACTAAATCAGGGATTTCTGTTTTCCAATCAAGAGAAAGCTGAACCAGATCTTGCTGGAGCAAGGGATGATTAGCGCAGGCAGCGGCATCAGGCTCTGGCATCAGGACACACAGGAGGTCACGACACAGCTGTTGAGAGAGGTATTTGTTGTAACTGAATACAGTGAGCAGAAGACCCTCTGCAGAGCTCAGGAATCGAACACTCTGTCCACCAAAGCCAATCTGAATCTCCTGTAGACCAGAGAGAGGTAGAGCATGAAAAATGCTCATTGAGCCGAGATTATCTGACAGGACCAAAGCATATAAAGTTGACTGAAGCAGGAGCAAACACGCTGGTTGAGGGTCAGGTGCTGTGCAGGCAGCAACAGCAAGCCAGTAAATGCCTTTGACTTCCTTCATGTTGCCCAAAGGTTCTGGTAGAGAACAAGTCACATGCCTAAGAAGGTCTTTTAAAGGGCACTCTTGCAGTTTCAGCATTTGGTCCGGGAATTGCACAAGGCTCTGCTTAAATGCAGAGCTCTTTCTAGCATCTTCATATTCAAGGCGAAAAACTGAGCTTGGCGAGGAACCTGGTAAACCTGTAGCTGCAAAGACAGAGGCCCGGTAAGGCGCCGCACCCTCTGCTGGCCTCAGGCTCCCTGCAGCTTCGCTCTCGCTGCTGCCAACCCGAGCTTCCGGAGAATGAGATTCTGTTGACTGCATGTCAGTCTTCAAGGGCATGTGTGGGGCTAAGTGCTTCAGAAATGGCAGGCTTCTGACGAATGTTGTTACCTGGGAGGGGAGCCCCCTCGGGGCACACAGATTCCCCACAAGCCTGGCTTGGCTGATCACCTTTGTGCCAGCCTGAAGCAGGTGACTGCTGGTATCTTTATAAAGGTCTGAGAACTTGTGGTAAAAATATCCCAGTCCATTGTTTCCTTCTGTTCTGATATTTACCAGTGACTCCGATGAGCTCATTTTTTTAGCATCCAACTCTTCCTCACCTTGCTGCTCACTATAAAACTCAGACGCCAGTACGCTCTGCGGGGCACTGCAGGATGCTCTCTCCTCATGGGAAATGCCTTCAGACAGAACCAAGCAGAGCACCTTGCCTTGCCTGGCCTGCTTGCCTCCGCTATTTATAGACACTTCTTGGGACGTATGTTGCAGCAAAGTCCAACTGGACTTGACTCTCAAGCCATGTTTATCTTTATGAGTCATCAGCTCACTGAAATTTTCTGACTGACTCTGAAAATCTTCTGCATCATCGGTGTTACTTTCGTTAAGAAAAGAGATTTTAGGTAGATTAAAACATTTTGGTTCAAAATGGCCAGCATGCTCAGGATGACCATATTTGTTTTCACTGTCCTGGAATACCTCGGGTACTGAGGACTGATCCCTCTGCTGGTGAGTTCTCTCTTGTGATGCTGAGGAAGTTGTTTTAGGGCCTGAGACGCTCCACAGCATGGGATGATCCCAGTGGTCGTTCTGATCCACCTCCCTCCTCTCCTCTTTAATGAGGCTGGAAGTGTCAGTGGCATCTCTGGGCAGAAGCGGGTCAAGATACCATGCTGGGCAAAACTGCCTTTTCTGTTCAAGGTGTCAAAAAAAGTTGAAATGGGGATGTGGTATCTCTTTCTGTGATTCTTTTGCACATGATGATTCTTGTCATTGGTTTCATTGGGTAGATTAATTCAGAGGTTAAATAAAAAGTCTAAGCCATTTGTATTGATACATGATTAAAGAATCGATTATCTGATTCATACATAGAACATCAATTTTCCATATTATATATATATTATAAATCACTGAGAATTTTGATAGAAATACTTTGTATGGGGTTGATCCACAGTACCCACGTCTTGATCTAATATTTCATTTTCCCTACAATAAATTCCAAGCCCTCTGATTCAATGTTTAGAAGGTCAAATTTAGTTATGAAAATAAGTCCATGATCATATGTCCAAAATGCAATCAAGGCAAACTTAATGAAAATCAGATGGCAAGGCCAAAAGAAATGCCCAAGTGTTCTAACCCAGGTTACATTTCTCTCTCCTTTTGGTTTGTTTCATGGGGATCAAATGTTCCCATGAACATTAACAGTAATTATCATTACTCTTATCTACAAGTCATCACCATGGAAGGACTACTGTGCACCTGCTATGTGCCAGGTACTATGGACACAAAGAAATGAAAGCCAGTGTCTTGCTCTGTAGAGGAGGGAAATGGCTATCCAGGGAAAGATCACATCATTACTGGATGACTGGCAGGAGGGTGTGGCTGCGGCCAAAGTCAGCTCAGCCTCTGTGAACATCCACCTCTTGCTGTCTGTTCAGTAATGTATGGACACCATCTGGAAAATTTCCATCACCTACTATTTTTTGGGGGTTGATTTTTTAAAATTTAGGAATATATGGGAGAGACATGCCTCTCAGTGGAGGAGAATACCAGTGAAACCTTACAAATTGCATGCCCAAATAAACCTTGGTTTGACAATCCACCAGAGAAACAAGTTAATCAATCAAGAGTATTTCCTTTATACTACTACCAACTCACAGTCTATAAAATGGACAGGAGGAGTACTGAGTTTCATTTCCAAACCCCATATCTGATTCTGATTATATAATTCTGCCTTTTAAATGCAGACCAAGGGAAAATATACTATTACAAATGAAAAACTGGGCAAAGCTCCACCACAGCTACATGCCATTCAAATAAAGTCAAAGCAGTTTCAAACTACAGGATTCCGTTTAATTTTAAGTCCATATAATAGCTTGCCTTCCCTATTAGCCATTAATCTTGCCGGGACCTCAAAATTCTAATTATGCAACTAGACATTAAGAAAATGTAATCACATGAGCATGCCATAATTTAAGGCGACCCTATCAATCTGAAAAATCATTACCTACCTCATATTTTAGTTTACGTTGAATGGTGCCATTGTGAAGTTTCTCATTATCCTGAAAAGAAAAGAAAAAGCCCTCTATATTAAATTATAGCAAGTTCACGGGGCGGGGGACTGATTCGATTACAAGTATTTATGGGAATGGAAATCTAAATAAACATACTTGTCATTCAACAATGACAACCCTTCTATATAATTTACATCCCCAAGATAAACATGACTCTATTGATCCATCTGCCATCAGAGAACTGAAACACTTACTCCTAATCTTAAAATTCTAAGAATAATATTAAAAACAAGATCTCCTTAGGGCATTTCTTAATTTGCAGGATAGAAATGCATTGTCTTTATTTCAGTATAGACTTGTCACAAATATGTATCTTCTAAAAGTCAAAATTCTATTTATATTTTGGATAATTTACAAAATAAATAACTACGGAAATTGGAAGTATTTTGGAAGAAAACAGAAGAATGTTGCATGTAGAATTAAAAAGTATTTTAGACTTTATAATCACTTAAAAGTTGTCATAATTACAAAATTATAAAATAAAGTTACTCCTGAATTCCTGAATTAATACTATTTATAAACTGTTACACTCTGCCCAAGCAATATTTAATATTTTTTTCTAGAACATTCCACATCTGAATTTTCTCACTGGAAAACAAAAGACCCCACCACTACCACCAAAAACTTATCTTCAAGGTCATCTTGAAAGACAAATGGGCTGAGTGTGGTGGCTCACACCTGTAATCCCAGCACTTTGGGAAGCCGAGATGGGCAGATCACTTGAGGTCAGGAGTTTGAGACAAGCCTGGCTAACATGGTGGTAGAAACCCTGTTTCTACTAAAAATACAAAAATTAGCCAGGTGTGGTGGCAGGCGCCTATAGTCCCAGCTACTTGGGAGGCTGAGGCATGAGAGTTGTTTGAACTGGGAGGTGGAGGTTGCAGTGAGCCAAGATGGTGCCACTGCACTCCAGCTTAGGTGACAGAACAAGACTCAGTCTCAAAAAAAAAAAAAAAAAGGAAAAAAGAAAGATGAACGAACTTGTTACTTCGTGTTACTTGGCTCCTTCAGCTTACCTTCATCGTGTCTGCAGATGTACTGCAGCCTTCACTAATCACACGATGCAAATCCTGAAGGCGTCTTTGGACTTCTTCTTCAATGTAAGCATTGATCCTGTAACACAATGGAGATGGAGTAGATCTGACACTTCTAACCACACAGGACATTCTGAGATCCTCTCTTTACTACGCCCTTCACAACAGGGAGCAATCTCCTTCTAAATACCAAACCTAACAACAACTTGAGAACTTCAACATTTTTATTTTTTTCAAGAAATCTGGTGCTACATGTTCACTATCTGGGTTTTGCCCAAATGAGGTAGAACTGAACAAGTAATAGAATATTGGGAATGGAAAGGAGACTAAGTGATCCCATCCACGTCCTTAGTGGAATGCCCGCTGCAGGATGGAAGAAAATCAGTCACTGGCTTCAGAAGGCTCTGCGGTCTCTAATCTGATGCCAAGACAGAATATTTCATTCAGAGCCTTGGGTTCCTCATACAGAAAAGGATAATACAGATGATAGTTATTTCTCACATCTCAAGGTCATGTATGAGGATTACCAAAAAAGAAAAAAATAATAAGCAAGAAATGGACATGCTCTCTACAAATCTTCCTCATTCAGATTGAACAGCGTCTAGCACACTTGTATTCCCGGTCTGTCTCGTCTCTCCAAATGGGTTCTCTGTACCTGGCCAGCAAGACCACATCGTAAAGGTCTCTACCTTCCAAAATGCCTAGGACAGGCCCAAAACAGAGATGAAGCCAAACACCACTGACTTTTGAAGCAGTGTCAACTTATTATCTGATATCTCATAAAATGTAGGTGAAGTTGTATGAAGCAAAACTATCAGCCTTGACCACCTCAGTGGATTTTGGTCTAATCTCTGGTCATTCCACCTCAATGTTTTTAGGTCATTCCACCTGGAGGAAACAGAGAGACTAGAGAATTTTATCTTCATCGAAAATCTTTGTAATGGCAGAGACTGCCCAAATGGAAGTCATTCTGTTCTAGACTCCCCTCCTCCAATTCTACAGGTACTGATTAGATGCATTATTATTATTTTTGAGACAGAGTCTCGCTCTTGTCTCTCAGCCTGGAGGGCTGTGGTATGATCTTGGCTCACTGCAACCTCCGCCTCCTGGGTTCAAGTGAGTCTCCTGCCTCAGCCTCCCAGGTAGCTGGGATTACAGGCACCCGCCACCACACCCGGCTAATTTTCATATTTTTAGTAGAGACAGGGTTTCACTATGTTGGTCAGGCTGGTCTTGAACTCCTGACCTCAGGTGATCTGCCTGGCTCGGCCTCTCGAAGTGCTGGGATTATAGGCGTCAGCCACCATGCCCGGCCGGATGGATTATTTTAAATTAAATGGTTTCCATGTTTATATCTTATCACATTCACTAAATAAATAAGTAAATCTGCATAAACACATGCATAATCCTGCAATCATTTCTATACTACTGACCACAGAGAAAAGATTTTCTAAAATGCTAGGCAAAGAGATTAAAATTTTAGGTAAAAGAGCCCAAATAAAGCACAATGTTTCTGTTTCAATATTGAAAACAAAATTGTGTGCTACTGAACATGAGTGAAGGCCATTTACAATTTATCACCCCTGATAGTCACTTAAATTTGAAAGTAACCCTGTGAGATATGAGGCTCATGCCATTCTGAGTACATTTTGATATCCAAATATATATCTCCTAATATCTAGGGTTCAAGACTGTCCGATTTCAAATGCTCCCATGTTTAAATGGAGTGAAGAAGGGTAATCATTGTTTTCTTACAGGCAAAGAATAATTAAGCTGATTTTTCTAAGGGCTCTAAGCCACAGAGCAATACACAATGCCACCTAAGTTGAAAATCACTTAACTAAAGTAACATCAGATACAGATTTATTATACTCACAATCATTCTGAATATACTAGTAGTTTTTATAACAAACTTCATCTATTTGTAATCCATGACACATAAATTAACTGTCAACACAAGGTCCTTCTTCTTGGTACAGTTAATTCTAGGTCTTCGTTTTTGTCAACCTGGCCTTGCCTCACTTTGTGCTGGATGAGCTGCTTTCCCTGCAACTTTTCATTCCGCCCTCTCACTCAAACCACACTTGACCCTTGAACAACACAGGTTTGAACAGCACATGTCCACTTACATGTCAGTTTTTTCCAATAAATACAGCTGGACCTCCCTATTAGTGGTTCCACATCCACAACTATACAAAGATTGAAAATACATGGAGGGCAACTTTTTCTAACCGCAGGTTCCAGAGGGCTAACAGGTGGACTTGAGGATGTGTGGATTTTGTATCAAAGAGCCATCCTGAAACCAATCCTCTGCAGATATCAAGGGACAACTGTACCTGCAACAAGATTCCTTGGATCTGGCTAGCCAGGTCTCAAGTCCTTGATTTTCTTGAAATGACCCCTTACCCTACCACTGGCAGGCCAATGGCAGATGAAGGCAGAGCACATCTCAAGCACGTGTATTACTTGTTGCCCTTAATAGAGCCCTCCAGATACAAAGTAGTTCAACAGAGAAACAATGAGTCCTTGAGTCACATCAAATGAGAAGCCTGGAATCACTTTCATGTCCAGTACCTGGCATCCATGAGGGGAACCAGGTGTGATTTTTCAGCACTGACTGGCAAGCTGGAAGAAGCCACCTTCCCTTCCAGGGTCCCATGATGATCTTTTTGAACACCATCGACCTCATAAATCTTCTGTTTCAGCTGCTGGATTTCATATTCTAACCTACACAGATAGGAGCCACATAATTCATTCATTAATAGTATTTCCCGAGCATCCTTACTGTGTGAGACATTGCTTTAGATAGCATGGGGGAACAAGATCTGTCCTCTGTGTGCAAAGAACTTTACCTTCTAGTAGAAAAGGTGCCACATACCCATAAGACAAGACATAAAGTGCCATGGGCCACAAGAAGGGTCCAGGACGAGCACTGCAGGCATCCAGAAGGTAGAGTAATTTTGACTACCAAGAGCAAAGATCTCTCCACTGTGCTCCAAGCAAGTCCTAGAGGTAGGTGTATAGGATTCTGAGGCCTCTAACTGCTGCTTCAAAAAGAGTTGGTTGTGGACTACACATCAGGGTTCTGGTAAATACTTACGTTTGATGAAAAAGATCTATGTTTTAAAGAGTTTTAAAAACCACCAATCTAGGAGAAATTTCATAGCCATGGCAGTTCTAAGTTGAGTCTCCAGAGGCCAGTGGGAATGTTGTCATTTGGAGATGACGGCAGAAGATTATCTAAGTGCAGAAAGCAATACGAGCAATGGGGCAAGGGCATGAAAACCAGGCATCCACTTTGGGCTAAGGCAGAGGGCATGGGAAGGGGAAGCAGAAAAGACAGGCCTAGGAAAGTAGGTTGAGTTCCATGAGAAACTAAAATAAACCATAAA
This sequence comes from Homo sapiens, assembly GCF_000001405.40. Taxonomy (NCBI): domain Eukaryota; kingdom Metazoa; phylum Chordata; class Mammalia; order Primates; family Hominidae; genus Homo; species Homo sapiens. The sequence goes on from NC_000020.11 coordinate 16,375,075, forward strand.
ATTAACCTCCAGTGATAAGTGATACATCTATATGAGGTCAAATGTGTGTAAGGTCATTCTCCCACCGGCCCAGGCATACTTGAATCCAGCCCCATCAGGCCAGAGGGCCAACCTTGCCAGTGAATTTGGCCCCAGGAAGCAGGAGACTGCAGTCCACTCACTGTGTGAGCTTGGGGAAGTTATTTAAACACGGGTCTCAATTTCTTCATGGATCAAATGAGAGCGTCAACTAATCTCCCTCAATTCCTTCAGCTCTAAAAATCAGAGATTCTGGCTTCAGATGCCAACACACCATGATGCTGTCAACCCTCTGGTGTCACCAGCAGCAATTTGACTGCTCTATCTTGAACATGAAAGCCAAGTTCTGAATTTTCAGAAATGGATCACAGGGTCATGAGGGTAAGCACTCATGGGACCCACACGAGGCTGTGCCCAGTTTAACTCAGCCCTTTCTGGGTTTATTGATTAGCAAGTACTTCTAGAGCATCAATTTGTGGAACACACAGTATTTTCAAAAGACAAGACATAAGCAAAAAAAAAAAAATGATGTCAGAGGCCTGGTGGTGGCCAAATAATTGGGGAGCAATATTAATAGGGTATCATCAATGGCCAAAAAAAAAAAAAAATGAGCTGGATGTAGGCAGGCAATTAGCAATGTTTACAGTTAAGAAAACTCCTGCTGGGGTTGTTAAGAATTGTCCTTCAGCACAGGGCCAATGGCCAGTGGAAAAGACTCCACAGAGCAAAGAAGGGTTTGAGAGGTATCCTGAAGTCTGAGTGAGATTTATATGGATGGCAAGGGACAAGCTGGCCTTCCCGTGTGGCAGATACATGGTCAGAAGACTAGAGGGCTAAGTGGATCAGAGATGGGTGATGAGATTGAGATCTGACTTGCAACTCTGCCACTTTCTAACTGTGTGACACTCATCCCCAGTGGTTATACAACCACTGCAGGCTTCAGCTTCCTCATGTGTAAACTGTAGACGATGGCACCCTTTATTGGAAGAGTAAATGACAATGCACACACAGCATTTAAAGCAGGATCTGAGGTACACAGAGTTATTCTTCATGGTTTTCATCATGACTATTATCATCGTCATTGTTAAAGGACTCTGACAAGAAAACAGGATTAAGTGTGAGTATTAACAACTTGCCTCTGTTATCCCTGCTATGGTGATGGGAGGTATTTCTAGTTGGGTTACCTGATCCATGTCAATGGGGCAGCTGGAATGAGCAGGTGGTAGGAAAAAAGGCAGGAAAATGGATTAAACCTGGTTCATAAAGCACTGAGAAGGCAATGGGAGAGCCAAGTTCAGGACACTGTTGTCCAGTCTGGTCCCACATGAATTTAATATTTCACACTTGTGGAATTTTACGAGGGGCCAAGTCAGGCTGCACGGTGAATCCTGGCTTAGCCGTGAGAACCCTGGGAGAAAATGAAGCACAACAGAAATTCCCATAGAAAGCTGCGGGGGTATCGCAGTCAGAGCAGAGAGCCCGGAATCCGTCGGCCTGAATTAGGACTTAGCTAAGTCTATTTCATCAAAACTCATGAAGCTAACAGCCCCCTTTACTTGGCTTCTGAAGGAACACTCCCATTGTGTAATCACTTCCGTGGAAACTGCAATACTGTGTCTGCTATTATACAGTATTAATACTAAATGGCCAGGTGACAAAAGCCAAGGACATCAAGCTAAAAGCTCATGCTGCATTCTTATTGCACACTACAGGCTACAAATTGAGAGTGTGCCCTCCACTACTTTAAAGTTCCTGGGGCTGGATCTTTGTCTAGCAATTTCATTTACATAACATACCTGCAATCATTTTTTTAAACCTCCAACCTATTTCTCTGAAATAACAGCATTAGGGTTTTTGATTGTTATTTTGTTGCTGTTTTGCCTGAGGGAACTACCAGACAGCGATGGTAAATGTAATCCATAGCATAAGCCAATCATTTGAATGGAGGTTGTCCTGAACTTTTCAGGCAATGTGATGGGTGAAGCTACAGTAACACTTCTGAGTAGGTCTTCCTTGTTATCAGCAACCAGCCCCATGCATCAGCTAAATGCCAAGGTGGGGTCTCCTGGCCAGTACACTGGACTTCTGTTGAAGCCCCCTTAGGAGGTGCTGTGGGTGGGGGGAGTACTGCGGAGAGGGCAAGGTTTCATCTCTCCAATCTGAGCTTCAGTTAAGATCTCAACTGAGCAGGGAGTGGTGGCTCATGACTATAATCCCGGCACTTTAGGAGGCTCAGGTGGGAGAACTGCTTGAACCTAGGAGTTTGAGACCAGACTGGGCAACACAGGGAAACCCCATCTCTAAAAAAATAAAATACATAAAATAAATAAATAAATAAATAAATAGCCAGGCATGGTAGTATGCACCTGGGGTCCCAGCCACTTGGGTGGCTGGGGCAGGAGGATTGCTTGAGCCCAGGAGTTTGAGGCTGCAGTGAGCTATGATCACACTACTGCACTCCAGCCTGGACCCAGAGCAAGACCCTGTGATCTCATCCATCCTCTTCTTGTACAAGTGGTGACACTGAGGCCCAGTGATGAAAGATCCTGCCCAAGGTAGGAACATGCTACCATCTTGATAGGAAGGGGCTGAACCAGGCCATAAATTCCTCTTGCAAGTCTCCAAATTGGGTGATGTTTGCATCACCCAGGTGGCTGTTGGCCTTTCTGTGAGTCTTGCCATCAAGTCTTCAAGGCTCCAGAAAAGGTGTCCTCAAATTCACATAATATGCATTTTGAGAACTTATGGTCTGGTAAGTATGGTGACAGAAAATAGGTGAAGGAAGATAAATATTCTTACCTTACAAGACAAGAGTGCTAATTTCCTAGTTTTATTTTTCACAACAACAAAAATACTATCAGTAAATCACCAAACATGTTCTAATATCCCACTGTGTTCAGAATTATCTGGAGTTTTGTTTGTTGGTTCGGTTGACTGTTTTATAATGCAGAGTCCTGAGGCCTTCTCTTAAATACTGTGACTCAATAGGGGTGGGAGAAGTATTGATTTTTTCATTCCCAACATGTTGCAGAAATCAGTAGCCTGTATGCAAACCATGAACCCAGGGATGATACTTATTTCAACAAGTGCTGGTCATGGAGAAGATGTGAAATCATTAGTAAGAAAGGGCAGGGAAGTAGAGATGGAAAGAGGTGAGGGAGGAGGGAAGAAAATAGGGAGAGAAGGAAAGAGACAGGGAGCAAGTCAGAGAGGGGCAAGGAGGGAAGGAAGAAAGGGGAGGGAGAGGAAAGAGAGAGGGCAAAGGAAGAGAAAGGAGGAGGAAATAGATGCAATGGAAGGGAGAGGAGGGAACTGAAGGGGAAGAAGAAAGGGGAAAGAGAGGGAGACAGGCAAGGGAGATAAGAAAGAAGGAGAAATCAAAGTGGAAACTTTCTAGTCTTGCATTTATCAAAATATTAAAACACGCACATTCCATAGGACAGTGGGATAATGTACATGGGCTTTGCTTTTGTTTGTGTGTTTTTCAACTCTAGGCTAACAATTCTAAAAGAAGGACACTAAGGAGAAATACAAGAAGTTTAGGAGTACTTTTCTCAGTTCTGGCAAATATAAGCATTTGCCTATGTATTAAAGAATATGAAGGCTAAAAGAATAAGTTAAAAAAAAAAAAGGATAAACACAACATGAGGAGTGAAAAATGAGCACTCATTTGGCACCCACTGTATGCCACACCCTTCCTTCCCAATCTCACCTCTCCTGGTCCTTCTCCAGGGCTTCCTGCTCAGCCTCCAGGCTAGCCTGGAGCCCTGACTGCTCTCTGCTGCCACTGTTCAGACTGGCAAGTTTCTGCCTCTGCTCTTCAATCTCCATGCCCAGGGTGGAGTGCCTCTGCAGCGCAGAATGTCTCCTCTCCAGCCTGGCCAGGGCCCGCTCCAGCGCCTCTCTCTGCTGCTTCTCTCTGGACTCCAAAATCTCCTTTTCCTTTTTCCTCACTTTTTCCTCCTGACGTGCAATGTTGGCAGTGAATTCAAAGGTGGCTTGGAGCTTTTGCAGCTGGTTTGCATTGGCCTGGTACTGTGCAAGCTGTTCTTCTTTTTCTTCCATTTCCTTTTCTACTTGATAAAGAGTGTTGTCTAAGCTGAGAGGGCCTCTGTCAAGAATTTCAAATGCTCTCTGCTTTTCTTCCAACAGAGTTGGCAAGTGATTCTGCAGGAGGTACTGTAGCTGGCGTTCTTTATATTGCAGCCTGTACTCCACTGGCTTTATTTTCTCGAAATCTTGAGGCACTTCCGTGACATCTGTGACACTCTCATCATGTTTTTCCAACAATCTAGATTCTTTGTCATGTTCACATTTTAAACACTCTAGGATCTCCTGTTCTTCTTGGACTTCTTTTTTCAGGATGTCTTTCTGCTGAACCAGGTCCTTCTCCAAGTTCACTAGCTTGACAAGCTGCCTTCTCTTGAATTCGAAGAAACGCAGTTGAGCCTTTTCTAACTCCTCGCCATCTTCATCCCCTCCGGCACGAGCCTCCTTCACCCGCAGGAGGGATTCCCGAATGCCTTCCAGGTCCCTCTTCTCCTCTTCCACCCACTGTACCTCCCCACGCCGCAGGAGCTGGATCATCTCCTGCTTCTCTCGGAGCTGCTCTTCCAGATGGGCCACGAGCATGACCTGCTCCTTCTCCTGCTCCTCTAGTCTCTTTTTTTCCAGTTCAAGCTTGGCATACTGTTCATCTTTTTCCTTTTGGAGCTGGTCCAGTTCTTGAAATATCTGAAACTTCTCAGCCTTCTCGTTGTTGTTGAGTTCTTTGAGTCGTTGGAGTTCTTCTTGGACGCGGAGAAAGGTCTCTTCTTCTTGTCTCTTCTTCTGCAGCTCGATTTCCTGCTGTTCCCTCAGCCTCTCCTCTTCAAATTTTTCCTTCTCCGCAAGTAAATCCTTTAGCTTGTTCTCGATGTGGAAGCTGCGGCGTTTGAGGCTCTCCTCCTGCTTGCGAATCTGGAGCTGCACGATTTCTGTCTCCTTGCGCTGGGTCTCCACCTCCTGCTGCATCCGCTCCAGTTCAGCCTTGTCTGATTTCTGCTTTTCCTCCATTTCTTCTATGAGTTTCCTGAAATGCAAAGCACTGACTGGTTGTTATCTGGTCATTGTTCAAATGTTGCTCTAACTTTACTGAAATGTTCTGAAAATGCACATACAACCAGGTCAAAGCCTCCATTAAAATAAAAAAAAGAAGAGTAACTGCTTTCCTTTAAATTTCCAGCAGCATCCTGTTTAATTTTTTTTATTTTTTAACTGTCCAACATATCACCTGCCTATTCTCCTGAAGTGGCTTCTGATATCATTTCTTTGTAGAGCATATAATCATAATGTGTTATGCATGATATAATTTTAAAAGGCCCCTGAGCTCAAAGAGAAAGAACCATGCCCAATTTAAATTAAATGTGAATAACTTTATTCAGCCCAATGACTAAAACTCAACAGAAGTTGTTACAAGACAACATTAAATAAAAATGCTTATGCTGTCCTCATCTCATTGGGGTCAAATATCAAAGTCATGATAATCGACAGTTCATTGTTCCAGCTAAAAAATACATACTATTTAGCATTTAATCACTAGTTTGGGACAAATGGTGATCACCAAATGGTCCAAAATGTTAGTTTATTAGTGCATAACACTGAAAACAACTGGAGCCTCCATTGGAATATACAAAATGCATAATTTTGCAGGCTGGTGGGGAGGTGACATGTTGTGTTTTCTGTTGGAGAACAAATGATCTCCACTGGGTACTGTACTGAAGTTTAGGGTTGGGATGGCCTCCAGAGGAAGAACACAGAGTTAGAGCAGGAATACTGGGCTTCCACCTCCTGACCCACCAAACGTCTATCTTGGATGATGCTGGAAACTAAGCCAGTTTATTTGTGACATTTAAACTCCAGGTCCTACTAAATAAACATTTACTTTGCAGATTTTCTATAGCCTTAGTTTTTACTCTAACTCTCATCTTTGGTCTACGTCTTGGCTGGTTAAATAGGACAGGAAAAACAGAAAAGGAGAAAATACAGTTTTATCAGGTAAAGAATTATTTCAGAACATATAAAGAACTGCCCAAATCAATTAAACAGCCATTTCTCCCTCCACCCTGCCCCCCCATACACAAAAGAAAAGTGAGCAAAGAATAAGAAAAGCAAATTATACATGGGGAAATACAAATGGCCAAACAATATCAGGAAAGATGTTTTAAAAGCAGGCAGGTAGAAGGAAGGCAAATTGTCATTCTTCAGGCTTTTTAAAAACTCAGGGGATATTATTAAGAGAAGATCTACTTTTGATTAAATTTAAATGAATACATTTTGGTGTATTAAATTTAATTGGTGTGTTAAATTTGCCTACTGACTCTATTTCCCATTTCTCATAAATATTTGAAGATGAACGTTTAAAAAAATTTAAACTTGAAGAAAAACCATCTACTCCAAAAAAAAAAAAAAAAGACCTGCAGTCATTAGACATGTAAATAACAGATAACAGACACAGAGCAAGGGGGAAGTATTGAAGCAGACACAGATGGAATCAGTCCAGGATATTAACACAGGAATCCAGACTACAGGAGTGTTGAAACTTGAACCCCATGTGACTTACCTTTTACTTTCTAATTTTTCAAGTTCTTCACGCTGTTGCCTCTCAAATTCAAGTCTAATAAAATCAAATGAAAATGAGTCACTTTTCTAAAGAGCTTTTCTATCTCTCTCTCACTCTCTGTATACAGAGTCACATATTAAAAAGGGCATCAGTTTTTCAAGTATTACTTTTAATTACCACGGGTTAGCAAGTTTAAAATGCATTCTTTGCTTTAGGACTATGATTAGGAATTAGACATACTTTTGGGTACTTGAACTCAGGCTGAAAAGAACAGATTTTACTTGAAGGAAAACAAAACAAAAACTGTATTGAAAAAGCAGAGTTAAACAAGACTTCTAAATGATAAGCACGTCTACTCCATGCAGCTTAGCACTGATGAGTATATAAAAATGGAGAATCTCTACCTTAGACAGATGGGTCCTTTTATAGGGAAAAGACTGCCAGGGAGGTGGAGAGAGAGAGAGAAAGAGAGAGAGAGCACAGACATCAATTAAGGAAAGCATTTAATAGGAAGGAATATCAGGAGAAAAGCAGTAAGGTACTTAAAAGGCAATAGCCATGCATGAATTGAAACATCTTTTTATAAATATCACATTTCCCAATAATTTCATGAAACAAACACTCCAAAAAGTTAGCTCTGTTATGTTTTACACTTCTCACACTTCTCTACACTTCTCATCATAATCATAGAAAATAACTGAGTACCAATAATAAATATAAACAGTAGTCAAACTAGCACCTTTACTACTTTATAGATAGTTATACTGCATGTAGGTTCATCAAGTTCCTGCTGTAATTAATGGTTATACAGTATAGGAGTTATGGGGGTTGTGAGATTGTGAACAGATTCATAGTGGTGGTACAATAAAGTGATTTAGGTCATTGGGAATTTTAAAACAACTCACTAAAATAATAACACAAGCTGATTTCTTATCAAATACTATATTTAATTATCGCAAAGTTTCACTATTCTTATTAAGCAGCAGAAACTGTATTTCTTTTTAATTTTTTTTCAGGGTTGGGATCGGAGTTGGGTCAGACACTGCCAGCTACCTCCCCCCACCCCACCACCCTTGAACTATATAATTCTTAAGCTTATACATTTTTCTGTTGCGGTAGAGGGCAGATACAGCTAAAAAGCTTGGCTACAGAAAAGTCACCATAAATCTTCTTCCTCGAATAATGTGCAAAATCCTGATTGGAAACAATTACTTAGTCATGAGTGAACAAACTTCAAATAGTTCTCTTTCCAATTTAATAATGTGGAGTAATATTGAGAATAAGATGTCTGGTGGATTTCGTTTTGGTATTGTTTTTTGAGTCAGGGTCTTGCTTTGACTTCCAGGTTGGAGTGCAGTGGTGTGATCATGGCTCGTTGCAGCCTTGACCTCCTAGGCTCAAGCAATCCTCCTCTCTGTTTCCTGAGCAGCTGGGACCACAGTATGGTGGCTTTTTTAGGCAGAACTGAGTATCTCTTACATGGCAGGTGCTGTGTGGCATGATTTACACATAACCTCCCTCTGTCCACCCAGCAAATTCTAAAGGTGGCAAACAGTATCTCCATTTTACACACAAGGAATCCAAAAGTTTGGATATGTTGAACACCTTCTCCAAGGTCACAGTGGTAATAGGTGGTGGAGCCAGGATGTGAACTCATGGCAGTCTGCTTCCAAAATACCGTCTATTAACTCAGTTTATGAGCAATGTTCAAATTTGTGATATTAAAGTATTAAATATTTCATTGAAACCTGTTAGATAGCAATATATTTATTCTACTGACAAATGGAAATAATCTGTACCTTATGCATGAGAAATCAGCCATATAAATCTAAATGAAAAGCATTTGCCAGTCATGAAGGCCAGCCCATATGCAATTGCATTAAGTAGTCCTAGGACTTCATTAAAATTAAAATATGATCATTTCTTTTTATTTAAGAATAAACAGAACCTTAGGAAGGATTCCAAGTTGGTATCTTCATACTTCAGTAGAGTTTAGTCTTTCTAGAGATATTTACATAGTCAAAAAGAATCATTGGATAAAATACTTTTTAAAATCTGAGAATTTCCCTAATGGAATGATCTGTACTCTTCATTTTTATTTTCTGTGAACAAGAGCTCAGTGTGCCCATCAGTAGAGCTGGCTTTGACAGTGTCACGTGTGCACAGCCACAAATGCTACACTGAGCACTGGGCATTCGGATGGAAACCTACCATCTGAGGATTGTTTCTAGAAACAGGTTTTGTGTTTGACAGTCGGCATGCCCTCCGTCACTTGTTCTTCCAGCCTTAGAAAGCATATTTCTTATCCCTTTTGACAAAGCAGGAAACTGAGGCTTAGAGTACATAAGCAGCAGAGGCAGGACTTGAATTCAAGTTTGGTAATGAAATCTCTGCTGCCAACCACTACAACTGTTGCTACTAGTGAGCTGCAAGGTCTCAAGGAGGTAATCAGTTCTGAGTTTTAATATCTAAAGTGACATTTTAACTGAGCACCTACTTTTTAAAAATTGAACACAGTGTCACGAACTGTGCTAGGCAAGAGGCTACAACAGTCTGTAAGAGAGATGTGGTCCCTGTCCCCACCAGGCTCCCGGTCTGTAAGTGACAGTCAGTGTGTCACACATGAGCATGGGGTACTGACCCCAGAATTTGGTAGTACCTAGGATCAAGGCAAGCTTCCTGAAGAAGCATATATCTAATCTGAGTCATTCTTTCTCTTGCATGATATAGAAACTCAAGGAAAGCTAATAAAATCAGCTTTGGGCTTGCTATAGGAGAGGTGGCAAGACATGAAGCTCAAGAGGACAACAGAAGCTGGACAGTGAAGAGCCTTGGATGTTATGTTAATGACTCTGAACTTGATCTTAAAGGAGGTGGCAGAAAAATGTCTTGGGCCAGGGCTGTTGAAGAACACATACTCTTGGTGTTTTGTAGAAAATAGATGGGTGGGGGAGCAATATGAGAAGGCAGAGACAAGTTAGTGGTAGCAACTTAAGCAGGAGATGGCAGAGCAGGACCCATGACAACTGTTTGCCTTGATCCTAGGTACTACCAAATTCTGGGCTCAGAACCCCATGCTCATGTGTGACACACTGACTGTCACTTACTGATCAGGAGCTTGGTGGGGACAGGGACCACATTTCTCTTACAGACTGTTGCAGCCTCTTGCCTAGCACAGTACCTGACACTGTGCTCAATTTTTAAAAAGTAGGTGCTCAGTTGGCCAGGCACGGTGGCTCACACCTGTAATCCCAACACTTTGGGAGGCTGAGGCAGGCGGATCACCTGAAGTCAGAAGTTTGAGACCAACCTGGCCAACACGGTGAAACCCCGTCTCTACTAAAAATACAAAAATTAGCCAGGCGTGGTGGTGGGCACCTGTAATCCCAGCTACTCGGGAGGCTGAGGCAGGAGAATGGCTTGAACCCAGGAGGTGGAGGTTGCAGTGAGCTGAAATCTTGCCACTCTACTCCAGACTGGGGGACAAGAGCGTAACTCTGTCTCAAAAAAAAAAAAAAGTAGGTACTCAGTTAAAATGTCACATTAGATATTAAAACTCAGAAATGTATTATCCTGGTGAGAGGATAAAGAAGTGAAGCTCTCTCCTGACACTCAGCAGGTTGAACTGACAAAACTTGGCAACTGGTGGCATTTTGGTAGGGGTGGTAAAGAGAAAGAAAAAGTCAAAGATGACCCTCGGGTTTCTGTCCAAGTCCTATAGGGGGGCAGGAAGGCAGAACATAACTACAAAGAGACTGAGCCCAGAGATCAGCAGGTCTGAATACAAATTCTAGTGTTCTGAGACCATGAACAAGTTATTTAACCTTGGATGCTTCATTGCTGTAAAGGCTGAAGAATGTAACAGGCCCCACCTCAAAGGGCTGTAGCCAGGATCAAGTGAGACACGACAAGTAAGATGCCTGCCTGGCACCTGGACACATCGAGGGCTGAGTGTTGCCTCGCATTGCTGTGGTTCACTGAGATGAGAAGAGCAGTGGGGAAGGAGGGGCCTGGGGAGTGGCAGCTGTAGCAGTGCTGGTGCTCAAGGTGGGAGAGGCCAGGGCAGTGGTTGACACTCACCAAAGCTAACAACCACGGGGGACTCACTCCATACCTGGCACTGTTCTAGGTACTGTGAATTTAATTCTCACAATGACCCTGTGAGGTCACTGTTCCCATTTCACACATGAGAAATGGCAATGTTACTAGTAACTGGCAGAATCAGGTTTGATTCTAGAGCCCACAATTTTAATCTCTTCTCTGTCCTGCTTTCAAGCTAAGCTCAGTTTTACACTTATAGAATCCAATGTTTACAAAGGGTCATCCAACTGAGACGTCCAGCAGGCAGCACGAAACATTCAACGAGCTGGTATGCAGGCCCTTATCAAGGCTGAAGGTATGGACTTGGCCTTCACTGGCATGTTGACAAGAACTGAAGCCCCAAGAGTGGGTGAGGTTACCCAGGACACACGTGTAGAAGGAGAATAAAGGAGCTTGCTGCAAAGTCAGAAAGATTACAGACTTCACAGTGACGGGCAGAGATAAATGGCCCTCTAATGAGGCTGGGAGTGAGCAGTTAGAGACTCAGAGAAAAATCTGGAAAGGGCAGAGGGAAGAGGGTATCTAAAGAAAGAGAAAGAGATCAGTAGCATGGAATAACCCAGGAATGCCAAGTAAAATGCAGAGCCCAAGGAGCACCCAATGACCTTCATGACGTGGAGGTTCATCTTGGAGAGACCTTTGCTGGGCTGGGGCTGGGGCTGGACTGCAGAGGTCTGATGAGTGAGTGAGAGGAACCTGGAGATGGTGAATGTAAATACAGTAGAGCGCTTTCTTGGTAGGTTTAGTTGTAAAGGGGAGGTGGTGGTTTTGGGAGAATGGGTGCTCATTTTAACAGATGAAATAGACTTGTGCCTATTTAAATCCTTGTATCAACAAGCAGGAGACAGAGAGATTGAGTGAAAAAATGGGAAGAGGCTGGGAATATCTGATAGACAGAGAGGTCTCTGAGCGGGCAGGAAAGGAAAGGGTAGCGCCATAGCTGAGAGCAAGGGTTCAGGCATGGGTGCAGCCCAGACCAAATTCTGGCTCCTATATGACCAAGGGACAATCTCTCAACCTTCCTACACCTCAATTACCTCATCTGAACACAGGCTCAAAAATAATCCTAGTCCTCAGTGGGTGAGAGGATCCAATGAGGGTACTCACAACCACTGTTAACTTAGTTAATAAATACTAGCTATTAATCCTATAGCATCCATAGTACAGGTAGGGGCAGTTAGTCTGAGAAAGGCAAAAGGGGAGTTTTTTCATTGGGACAGGAAGAAGAAGAAAAGGATGAATGCAAAGCAGACATGGGATTCAAAGGTGTTGCTCTCTTAGGACTCCTGTGTTCTATATGGAGTCAGGAACAAGCTCCTCTGCCTAATGACTCCTCTTCATAAGAGTGAGGAGAAATAATAGCAGGGTTAGAAGTAAAAGAGTCAGGAACATTATTTGTAATAATGAAGGGGCCGGTGGGCAAGAGAACTGATGGAGGAAATGAGCAGAAAGGGCTGGCTGGGCATCATTCAAGCTTAGAGACTATTAATTTACAGGGGCACTGATCTCTGTGTTGATGTGGTTTTCTCGGTTGCACTGAGCTTAGATGTCTAGGTATAGGCTTAGGGTGGGGAGATAGCTCAATGGTTCTAGAATCAATGAGACTCACATAAGTGGAAGAACAGAAGGATCATCTGATGATCTGGGAAGTGGATGGCTCAAGTGCTGGAGATGAGGGACTTAATTGGATAGGGAAGTAAGTGGCGACAAGACAAGGCTTACAGGAAAAGAAATCAAAGAAAGTCTCCATGCTGAAGAAGGGAGTGCTATTTAAGTAACTAGATTGCAAGATGAGTTAGTTTCAAAGAATCACTGAAGATAACATCACGACTTAGAATGATGAAAGGCTTAGAAGGAAATGTCTGGAAGGGGAGGAGAAGGCAACTGTACGGACAGTCAAAGAGTGCGAAAGGCAAAAAGTGGGACAGGCAGCGGTCCCAAGTGAGGCTCATAAGTGCTCCAGCAGGCAGAGGAAGGGTGGTCTGGAGCAGCTTGGAGGAGGATCTAAGAGTCTCTGGATTGGTGAAATCATAGGTCCTCCTCAGGCGAAGCCTTCACTTTAGAGTGTCTGATTGGGATGGAGAAGGGGAAGTACGTGTATTAAGGGAAGTTGTCAAGATCAGGCGCTTGAGGCTGTTGCTCTGGCCTCTGAAGGTAGTACTGTAAAGTACTGAGTCAGAAATCAGAGAGAGATTCTCATTTTAATTCTTAATGAAGACTTGTGATTTTCTTTCTGTGACCAGTCTCTAAATAGGTAGAAACTTTGGTTGTTTTCTACTGAAAGCAAAATGCCTTTAGTAAATAATGATACCTGTTTCCTCAAAAATAAGAGTAACATTTAAAAGACAAACAAAAAATGCCGTAAAGATGTTTGGTCTTAAATCACAAACAGTATGAGGGGAGAGTCATTCCAAAGTTAGAGAGATTTTTAGATATGCAGTGATATGAGTTGCTGCTCACACTGGATCATTTCTGTTAAATATTACATATTTACTAATCATACTCCAAAATGCACCTATTTCCATAATCAATGATAATTATTTGGGATAGTAAAACTCAGTAGAATGTAAAATATAAATGTGAGTGTGTCATTATCAAGGAGAGAACATCAAGAATAATTGTATTTGAAGGTGGCTTTATTTTAAATATGTGTAATTCATTATCTTACTTTACTGGAATTATCATGGCCCCCCATTCTAATTTCCCAAATGTTATAATTAAAAGGAAACCACAAAGAATGTAATTTTTGCAGGTGTTTTTAACATTTTTAAATGACACTTGGAAGTATACTTACTGTGTTAAGTCCAACAAAAAAAGCATAGCATACAACCTATTTTTTTTTTTAAATCAGAGATAGCCTTTTCTTTTACATTAAAAGAGATCTACCATTTTTAGGTATAACTGCACATACTTCAATTAATCTTCCTGTTATCATCGGCAATAAAAAAATGAGGGGGTGGGAATTTCTCAGCTTATACCATAAAGAAGGAGGGAGGGAGAAAGAAGGGAGGAGAGAGAAGTGAGGAAGATTTAAATGAACTGAAAGCATAAATACCTGCATCCTTGTGTGTCTTCATGGTGATTCGTGTTGTACCTATGATGTCGTTTCAGTTTCTAAACAGAGTATGACTGCCCAGGTCCAGTCAATGCTTGAGCAGGCAGCTGCAGTGCGGGTAGATAGGGAGGGTAACGGAAGCTGAGTCCAGCCCACAACATGCACGGAAGGGAGACCCCCTGGCAACAGAGGCGGTCTCCCTATGGGACAGTCATATTGGTAAAGTTCCTGGCATGGATATTACTCTATTATCTCAGTGGGCACATGATCAGACAAGGAAAAACTTCTTGGTCAATGCGTAGGCCTGGCTTTTTCCTAGGTGACTTTTAGGCTACTGTCAAATATAGGGATTACTTCATGGGCATGTGACCCATGCAGCTGCACAGGGCCCTGTGCTCAGACAGGTCCCATATTTGATTCTCTGCTGTGGCCATCTTGAAATTCTTAATGATATTAGAACAAGAGGCCCAACTTTCAATATGTACTGAACTCTGCAAATTATGCAGCTAGTTCTGATCAAGCATATGTCATCTTTGAAAGAACTCCTGGCCTTTTGCCTGGAATGCTCGGTAGTATTCCTCAGTCCAGAGAACCAGAAAAGGACTAGAACTCAATGGACGGTGTTTCACCTTTCCCTGATGCTTCACTAGGGTTTAGTTCCGACTACAGAGGGTTCTTCAATGGTTTAGACAAAAAATGATTGACCTTTTCACCACACTACCATCCCCTAGGAAACTTCAGCCTTCTCAAGCACCTCACAACTGAGCAAATCCCATGGAGACTAGGGGATCTTAAAGACTAAAGAGAATGTTTGAATTTGGGTGAAGGGGTTTGTGCTTGTCCTATCCAATCTTCTTCCTAGCCTTGTGAACCTAACATTCTAGATGTTCCTTGAAGGCTAAGCAGAAAGCAGTTATTTCACCCAGGGTAGGCTCTGGGAGACTGATGAAAAGAAGAACCCAGCCATCCATCAGGTTTCCAGCTCTTCATGGAAAGGCCTTGAAGTCTTTCCTGTGTGAATTAGCTCTCAGGTAAACTTTCATTAGAAAGGTAGGAATAGCTGTTTTGTAGAGACAATTAGAATTTCTACACTACTCACTCCCACTCACCCTTTTTTCAAATCATTGTCAGGGTATCCCACAGTAGGCGGACTTACATAAAATTACAATTCGAGGGGTGTGTATCAAGATGGGGGTGGGATACAAGAAGTCTCACAATGCAATTTATTCTAGAAGGTTGTGAAATTAAACCCTCTTAAGTAAACGTCAGAGTTTATAACTTAAAAATTCAAAACACTCTGGGAATGGTTTTCTAATAAATTTCCAAATTGCTGGTCTAGAAGGTACTCACTAAAGACTTTCCAAGGAGCCAGTCTTAAGCCTTTTGCATTGCAAATGGAAAGTGCCCTAAGAAAAAAGGATTGGTTTTTTAAAAAATAATAAAATTTGATATCATAAGCATTTTCACTAAGTTTCTCCCCGGCCTATTTCTCATAGCAATGGTATAACTTGCTCTGAAAATGACAGCTAGGACCATAGATGTGAAACCCAGAGGCTTTCCTAATCAAGCCAGAGGATCACAGGCAGTCTGACTGGATAGACACTTGAAATAGATCATACAATGAACTCGTACACACCCCACCTCCCCTGCCCCTCCATCCTATTTTACAGGCCAGAAGAATGAGGCCCATAGAGTGTGAGAGAGAGGGCCCAGGTGAACTCCTTTTAAGAGTCTGGACTCAAGCCCACCTCTTCCAACTCCTCATCCATTCTTCTACCCAGGCTGGAATTCTATCTCACCTTCTCAACCAAACCATGGTACTTTTTATACCAGAAGGAGCCTCTCAAAAGTTAAAAATGATCCATCATTACAAAATATACCTCTTCCCATTGGACAAACCAGAAGAATGCACCACATAATTTTCCTCCCACTTCCTTCAGCCATGCATTCTACATATACAACAAAACTTGTCCTGGCACCTGCTGTGAACAGGCAGGACTCTGAGTAGAATAAAGAATGGACAGCGTGCCTTTGGATACTCTTAAGTGAGTGAAACAGAGTGAAAGAAAACATGCTCATATATCGATCACACAGAATGTAAGGAGCCCAGTGGGAAAGGGCATGTTTTCAACAGGAGACGGGGTGGAGGGACAGCATTTATAGGGATGAGAGGAAGCCTTGCAGAGGAGGTGTTGTCTGAGCTTGGCCTTGAAAAACGGATAGAATTGTGATGAGCATAGTGTGGGTGGGGGAAGATCCAGTGGAAGAAAAACAGAAGGAAGACAAATGAGAGGTACACAGAGGAAGCTATACAGAGCCTCAGCTGGCTACTGCTCTGATTAAATAAAGGGAAGTGATGAGAAATAACAGGGAAGTTAGACTGTGAGCAGAATATTAAAGGTCCAGATGACACACTCTCGAGGGCACCTTCCTGGGCAAGCTTCTCTTCTGCCTCCCCTGCCCATGAGTCCTCTATCACAGCACGGGGCAGGACATTCAGGAACTGGTGGTTCACTCGCCCATAATTCACCTGGTCAACATGCCAGGCACTATCCTAGGCACTGTGGTCTCAGCAAAAGAAATCAAGTCTCTTCCCTCATAAACCTCTATACCAGTGTGGGGTTGAGCTAACTAATACATAATGCGTATGCCGTGAGATAAGTACTATGAAAAAGCATAAAGCTGGGGAAGAGGAAGGACTGAGAAGAGGACATTCAGGACAGAGCTGCATGAAGGAAGGGAGTGGCCATGAAGATGCATCTGGTGCCAACATGAGGGATGAGCCAGGCCACAGGCCAGGAGGGGATGTGTGCAGGACAATGGAAGTACAGAAGGACCACATGGTGCCAGCAGGAGAAGAAACCAAGGGAGGGTGGCCACAAGAGAAGAATCATGGCCCAAGAGGGAGCTAGGGTGGACACCACTCAGGGCCTTTCAGGTCACAGAGGGCAGAGGTTGTCTCCCCCTCCACTGGGGTTTTCAGAGGACAGAGATCCCCACCTGGCTGACCATGTATCCTGAGGGCTTTCTGTAAGGCACAGAGTAGGTTTCAACCGGTGATTTCTATGGGTAGTGTTTTGAAGACAGTGGCATGAGCTTCACAGCCAGAAACACAATGACAAGGAGTTACAGACCACCTGAGTGAGGAGATGGTGTCAACCGATGTCCATCTCTTTGCCGTAAGAAATAACTTTTAATACCCTGCATGCTCTCATGTTTACAATAATTCACTGCAAAAAATTTAGAAAGCACAGGTAAGTGTCCTACACCATGACTCCTTTATTTTGTTCCCAGCCCTCAGCCTTTCCGGCCATACAGATGCACTCACAGAGAAGAGCCTACCAGAGAGTCTATTATTTAATCATTTCCTCATAATATACACCTTGGACAAATCAGCAAATCATTAACTATTATTCTACAACATAGTTTAATATCATGGGATTCTATAACATAGATGCACCATGATTTATGTACACAATTTTATATTGTTGGAAATGTACATGGGAAATTATCCTGAAAAACCATTTTGGTGACGTCTATAGTGGGTGGCCCAAGAAGGGGCTGGTTTAAGGAAAGAAACACTGTGCACATTTGTGGGTAGAGGGAACAGAGAACAGAGAAGGGAAACTTGAAGATGCAAAAGAGATTCATAAAAGGCACCGCAGTTCCTCTGCCATGACGATACACTGTTGAAGTGAAGAGCTTTGCAAGTCCACCTGACACATGTGTACGCCTCTGAGATCGCACATGTGAAAGACAACATGCCGATACGCCTAACCAGGCAATGCTGAAAATGTGCGCCTCTGTATCCCAGACCAGGGCTGCCAGAGGTCTCAGAGCACCAGCCTGTCTGCCATGCTCAGCTCTCTGTTGCAGTGCATTTTCTTTTCTAGGTCTCCAACCCAGTGGTATAGTCCTTCCTTCCCTTATTTCTCTCCCTGACATTTCCCTCCTTATTCCTCCCCAAGTTGCTTTAATTTAAGCAGCAGTTGCCATCAAAGAAAGAATTCTGGGCGTGGATTTAGCTGACAAAATAACAAAGCAGACCAAGATTTATATAAAGATTAATTGAAATGTTATCAACAATTTACATGGAAAAAAAAGGAAATAGTTCTGAGTGTCTTTAATGATTAGTCAAAAGTTAAATCAATAATGATATAAACATAAAATGAAGAATCATATTCAACGGCGTGAGAAAAAGCACACAATTAAATGTTTAAAAAAAGTAGAAACTGTATATCTAGTGCAATCTCAATTCTGTTTTTTAAATACTCTATATAATGCATAATTACAATATCTGATGTACACTTAAATATATGTACTTAAAATATAAGCAAATATTACAAATATAAACCAATCATGTTTTCTTGGTGAAAAGATTATGAATACTTGTGATTACTTTATTCATTTCTGAATGTGTTACTTTTTATAATAAGCATTTCACTTTATAATGGGAGTAACTACCTATTTAAAATAATTTTTTCAATCTACACTGGTTATAGCAATTGTTTTACTTCTGCTTTGCTTCTATCAATCTGTGGTTCATTTCAATTTATTTCCAACAATGATGACAATTAACCTTAGGTCATGAGATACGGGAGTTGCTGGTGATGGTTAAACATACGGTGTCACTGACTTGGAAGCCAGCCATTGCAGGTTAAGAGTCATGGTCTGTGATAAAAGGAGGGTATGGAAGTTCCTTATCTGGAAACAGTTCACACATACACACATTCAGTCAAGAATTATTCCCTTAAACACCTACTTAGAAGTTGGAATACAGTACTGAAAAAACCAGACTCTTCCACTTACCACTAAATACAGAGACCAAGAGTAGACAGTTGTACAAACAGATATAATCACCAACTACTTAAAGTGCTAACAAGAAAAGATAGAGGATGCTATGAATAAGTAGCCCAGGAGGTAAAATTTGGACTGAGTTTGGTAAATCCTCTTTGAGGAAGTGACATTTACATGGAGATTTTGGAGACAATGTAGGATTTGGTCATGTGAAGAGCCGGTGGACAAATGGACAAGTGTTCTAGAAGGAGAGAATAGCATATGCAAAGATCCAGAAGCAAAAATGAATGTGTACAACTGGAAACCTTGACTGAATTAGCAACATGTTCTAATCAAATGAGTTAACAAATTACAGAGCCGGTGACACGTAATCAAGTTAATATGTTACTGCCAAGGAAAATCATGCTACCATGTAGGACTAGGAGGAAACCTACTTTCTCCCACCATTGCCTGTAACTGCCATTCATCATTTCACCAGAACAGTCTCATTTGCTCAGCTGACCTTGACAATTCAGTTTTAGATTGTGTGGTTATAAAATGGCTGAAGCAAAATGCATCCCACCACTCAGACAATACAATCTGAAGTAACTGAATAAAGACAGATTGTTCTTTGAATTTAAGAGCTCATCTCCCCACCTACTTTGAAAACAGAAAACACCCGAAGCTCATCAGTTAAAGTGGCTCACAGTGGAATAATATTCACGGACAAAAAGGAAAAAAGCAAGTCTCCAATTAACACTAATCTCAGTTAATGGAGGAAGAAGCCCACTTCTTTCAGTTGCTTTCATCACATGTTCCCCAAGATTGTGTATCTTAACAAGCTATTTAAGGCAATCTATAGCCAACTGTAAAGTTAGTAAATGGTCCATAAAAACGCAAGACAACTGAGACCAAAAACTGGAGAAGAAACCAGCCTTGCAGCAAACTAAACTTTTGAAAAATGGTAAGGCCCAATAAAATAAACCAGTAGAGATAAACACAGTAAATAACCATCAACTAAAACACAGGCTAACTACCAAGTTACCAGCAACATAAATACTGCCAACTCCATGTATAAAAAGTCCATGCTCAAGGTGAGCAAGAAAAAAAAAAGGATAAGACAAATTATAAAGTAGCAGCGAGTGAGTGAGAAGAGAAAAGTGTGCTTGCAAGGGAATGTGGTCTTCTTCCCTCCCAGGACACGCAGTGGGGACCATGACCTCACATGAAGGTGCAAACCTTGTTGAGAATATCTCCAGCTACCAGCAGATTCTGTTTCTGAAGCCCTTTCTACATTGTTAGAAAGCAAAGGGGAAAAGTGCATTCCCCTTAGTTCATGTTTATTAGACGTCTAAGTTCCAGGTATGCTGCTGTGCACTGAGTAAACAACAAACTAGATTCTATGTCTGTTTTCTGGAAGTGTACAGTCGTGGACAGCAAAGCTAAGGCTCAGTACAACAAAGGGCATACCCCTGTCATCGGTGTCTTCTTACTCTCTCCCTAATGTGATGTATTCATCCTCCCAGTTTAGTCAAGGCAGAAAGGAGATGAGGAAGGGGAGAGGAGGGGAGAGGAGGGAAGAGGAGGGGAGGGGAGGGGAGAGGAGGAGAGGGGAGGAGAGGGGAGGCCAAGGGAGGGGAGGGGAGGGGAGGAGAGGGGAGGCCAAGGGAGGGGAGGGGAGGAGAGGGGAGGCCAAGGGAGGGGAGGGGAGGGGAGGAGAGGGGAGGCCAAGGGAGGGGAGGGGAGGAGAGGGGAGGCCAAGGGAGAAGATATGAAAGAAATAGGGAAGGAGTGGGACACAGGGAGGAAAACAAAACTATTTCCTTTCATATAAATGTTGTCATCTGGGGAGAAGCCCTCACTATCTCCTTGGTGCCTTTGGCTTTTGGTATTCAAATCCCAGAACTCTACATTTGGAATCTAGTTCTTTCAAGCTTTACATTCCAGAAATCCATTTCCATTCTTAATCTGAAAGCACCAGGAAGGCGGATGCTAATCTCATAGAGCATTCTAGTACAGCAAGTAGCTCAGCACAGAACTAATTAGGAGCTTGGTGAGTCTTTGGTGATGACCAGGATGGCCAGGACTTGCTTTTAGAGACAGCCACTGTTAGCCAGATTCCCTAGACTCTAGGGCCTGTGAATACAGCCTAGAACTGTGTCTAGGAGGGTGTAATTATATCGACACATTCAACACTCTAAGGAGGCCCATTTTCAGCTTGAAAAAATAAATAAATAAAAAGGATAGTCTCATCTATCAGTGGGAATGATGGTGATATATGTATAAACAATCTGTAAAATAATTTGTGAACATGCATCGAGAGCCTTAAAACTATATGTACTCTGGCCTGGCAATTCTACAGCTACTTCCTCCCCGCTGAGGAATTAATCATGAGAAAATGCAAAGATTCAGCTACAAAGCTCTTCAGCCCAATAACTTGTGATAGTTAAAAAACAGACAACAAAATGCCTACCACTAGACGTTAAATAAGGTACGGCAGGGGTACCCAGTCCCCAGGCTGCGGACTGGTACCAGCATTCGATTTGCATAGGAGCGCAAACCCTATCATGAACTCCACACACAAGGGATCTAGGTTGCGCGCTCCTTATGAGACTCACCTAATTATCTGAGGTGGAAGAGTTTGATCCCGAAACCATCCATCCCCCTCCTCTGTCCCTGTCTCTGAAAAAACTGTCTTCCACGAAACTTGGTCCATGGTGCCAAAAAGGCTGGGGAGCACTGAGGTATGGAATAGTCATACAATGGAATATCATATGGACATTAAAATAATGTAAAAAAATTTATGAAAGAAAAAATAATAAGTGCAAAGAACTCTAAAGTCCAATATTAATCCATCTTGGTAAAAGATATAAAATATAAATATATATATATAAATGTGTGTACATATATAAATGTGTGTGTACATCTACACACAGAGAGGGAGAGGCAGAGACAGAGAGATGGACAGTGGAAGAAACAGAGGTATGGGCTAGAAGGTATGGTAACATGTTAACTGTAGTCGCTTTTTTTTTTTTTTTTTGCTTATGATTTCTAAATTTCCCATAATGAACACATTAAAGTAAAAAATACATTTAAGTATCACTCATTCGTCTTCTTCCCCGATTGTCGGTGACTTCAGACCAACCTCTGAGTTAGGGGCCTTCCGTGGCTGCTGGGTCTGCACTAGCCCTGATGCTAACCAAACCCCCTCAGGCTGCTGCACTCCTTGGGATGATGCTCCTTCAATGGCTCACCAGAAACAGGTTTAATCCTGATTTTTGATATTCTAACTGGGTTTGAAAGCTAGAATTTAATTATTCAAATACATCCATCTAAATGGGCTCACTACTGGTTAGTGCTCAGAGGAGGCTAATGTGCCAGTGAAAAATTCTTTTATTTTCAAGACTGAAATGAGCTTGGAAGTTATCTAATTTTGCTTTGAGCACTTTCAAGAAGCTGTGAAAGCCTCTGCATCTTGCCAAATTAGCTGCCTGTTTGCAGTCTCAAAGCAAGGCAGAGGAGGCTTGAGCAGTCGGCTTGGTTTCTTCTTAAAGACGCTGCACCAGCTGAGGAGGAATGTTTCCCCTGCAGGAAAATTATCTCCTGGCAAAGACCCTGGCTGGGCACCTCTCCAATGTGGAACTAACTCCCAAAGGAAGTCACCAGGCTTCTCTGCCTAATCCAAAAATTCTCTGGCACCAAGTATCACGCATGTGTGCGTACAAATCATGGCTTCCAGAGAGTTTGAGGTGTGGGCCAGCAGTAATTTCCCAAACTATGTTCCAACTCTATGTGCCCAGTTAGGCTGATACAATGTTCTTGGGGAACAAGAACTTTGCTTTTAAAACTGCAAATCTTACTATAATTCAGACCACAGGGTATTTTTTAGACATGGGCTGTTTAGAAAATTAGTAGATGGCCTGCTGAACAGACAAAAATCACATTGCTCTGAGGATAACTTGGAGCTTACTGGATACAATAATTTGCAAACCAGTCATTCTTTTGGAGAGCTTTGTTCTGGGAAAAACTGAGTACTATGCAGCAATTTTTCAGTCAATTGCAAAAACATACTCATGTCTACACAATACCAAAGAAACCAAGAGGTATGGTAATTGTAATGCCACCAAACTTGTAGAAACACATCTGTGTGGGTGAGAGACTCACAAAGATAGGGGCCAAGTAATGTGGAGATAGAAAACAGCACACAGGGACCACTGACAAAAGACCTGGGCAGACCTGTGAGAGGGCAGACGCATCCTTTGTGCTGAGAGCACATGTGCTGGCCAAAACCTACAGCTCAATGAATATTTGTGAGGTGCCCACTCTGTGGGGTCTTCTGGAGATTCAGAGATAAATGAAGCATAGTGCCTGCCCTCAAGAAGCCTACATCAATTAAATACACAAACATCAAATGAACAAATTTGGAAAGAGCTAAGATACAGGAATGCACAAAATGCCTGCGAGAGGATACACGGGAAGCACTTAGCTCCAACTGGAAATGCACAGAAAGCTTCCTGAGGATACGACTCTATGCTCAGCTCAAAAGAGGAAGAGGACTGGCCAAGGGAAGAAGAGGGGGAAGGCGTCACAGACAGTATTACAGATGCAGAGGCCTGGAGAAAGGTGTGACCCATGTAAATCACAGGATAAAGTTCCGAGTGGAGAGTGACTGAAAATAACATTGGAGAACAAAGTCAGAGATGATCAGGTTGAGTTGATGCTTGGAAGTCACCACCTGGTAGGTACTGAGGGGCCAGGCCAGAAGCTGAGAAGAGGAGGAGGGGGTGACCAGGAAGGGCTAAGGAGGTGTGGTGAGCTCCTTCCTCAGGTTCATGGCAGGGACAGGACTCCAGGGACAGGCCCACAAGTCTTCCCTGTGCCATCAGATAGAGAAAGTCAGGAATCACAGTGGTAACCATGCCAATCGGAGCTCTGCAACATTTGCTGCTCCTCATGTACTGACCACATTGTCCATTTAAGGAAAAAAAATCTGTCCTACATGTTCTTTGGTAGTGATGGACGACAAGATTTCCCAGAGTGAAAGATCCCTATATACTTGCTGAAGGTGGGGGCAACAAGAGGAAGAGTGCTAGGAGGACAAAGTACTCATGTAGAGCCAATTGCGGAAGGAAAAAAATTCCCAAGGGATAGAGTGGGTGATGACTGTTATCAACCGACAGGAAAGCAGGCGGCTTCACAGGGACCTGGGCAAGGGAGGGGAGTCCCAGCATTGCTAGGCAGAAGCCAGCATGAGGGCTTAGCACAGAGGAGGAGGCCAGGAGGCGTGTTTGTGTTTGTGTATACTGGGGCGGGCAGGGAAGCAAACATTTAATAGACACCTGCTTTGTATTACACAACAATTAAGAGGGTCAGCCCCTAGTTTGGCCTAAGAGGGGGAAAGTAATAAAGAGCAGAAGAAAGCTCTGAAACAAGTTTGTTTGAGTAGGAGGTGCCATCAATGCTTTTGATTCCTGTTAAAACTGGTTCTGGAGAGGTGATGAGGCAAATATGGGGTTAAGGGTCTCCAGACTCCGCACTTCTCAGCAGGGCTTGGTCACCTGCTGAAGCTACAAGACTGCTCACAGGGCTTGGTGACTATGTAGGTACCCTAGGAGGTGACTTACAATGAGATGCAATGCATTGGGAGCACAGGTCTGGGGTGACATGTGTGGCTTTCCCTAATTTAAAGATCTTCAAACTCATCCAAGTCTGGCATGTGAAAAGATAATACTACCACCGTCCTGATTTCTAACAGGCTTTACAAGTGTCTTCCCTGTTCACTAAATCATGCTCTGAGATGACTGAGCCTCGGTCTGTCTCAATCACTCAAGCCCCAGCACAGGGCTGGACAAATGATGGGCCCTCAAGCACCACTGAATGAATGATGTAAAACGGCAGGGCTGTGAACATCTATTTTATTCAACAGGGGGATTTGCCTTCATCTTCCAAGTGGAGAAATATCACCTGTGACAGGCCACACAAACCCGAGCTTTTCCCATGGGGTGTCTGATCGTTGACGGAGTCATAGTCACTTACAGGAGAAAGTTCAAGGCCCAGGGCCTAGTTTTTCAAGGTTGTACTCATTATCCTCCCTTCCTCTTGACAACCTGCTCCTCTTCCTCCCATATTTCTGTTTCAGCTGGGTGGCAAGCAGCACCCAACCAGTTACTGAAGCCAGAAACTGGAAGTCAACATCTTTTCCTTCATTACATCCCATATCCAATTCATTATCCAAACCTCATGACTTCCTGCCCTGACTGTCTCTGTAGCTCACCCTTCTAGGTTCCTCCCACTGCTGCCTCAGTTCAGGCCCTCACCTCTAGGATCCTTGTGAGCTTCTCCAGGGCTTGTGCTGCCCAGCCAATTTCTGAGAGGTCAGAGCAATGCCTTTCAATGCAAGGATGAATGACCATGCTGCTCCTTGGCTACAGGCACTCCTTGGACTGACTGGGTTTTGAGAAACATGCAAATGAGCTAGTTGAACTGAACTTGGCAGAACATGAGAGAGGTCATGTAATCATCAGGAAATCCATCCAGGTTAGATTTACATTCATCATTTATTTGCTATACTTACCAGGGGAACTACATTTTGAGATTTTCTTTCTATATTTTTAAACACCATTTTCAACAATGGACACTCTTGAGAAAATAGAAGAAGAAAATAAAGATGAAAAGAATACAATAAGATACTGCCTCACACACATTTTGATGTGTACTATAAAAACAGAAAATCACAAGTGCTGATGAGGATATGGAGAAACTGGAACCCTTGTGCCCTGTTGGTGGGAATGCAAAATGGTGCAGCTGTTGTGGAAAATAGCATAGCAGTTCCTTGAAAATTAAAAATAGGGCTGCCATATGATCCAGCAATTCTACTTCTGGGTACATACTCACAAGAGTTGAAAACAAGGACTCAAACAAACAAGTTGGACACCCATGTTCATAGCAGCATTATTCACAATAGCCAAAAGGTGAAAACAATCAAAGAGTCCATCAACAGATGAATGGATAAACAAAATGTGGTATATCCGTAAAATGGAATATTATTTGGCCACAAAAAGAAAGGAAGTTCTGACACATGCTATATGGTGGATGAACATGAACCAAAGACATTATGCTAAGTGAAATAAGCCAGTGAGAAGAGGACACACCAGTGATTCTACTTAAGTGGTTAAACTCATGGAGACAAAAGTTGTGTGCTGATTGTCAGGAGTTTGGGGGAAGGAGGGAATGGAAGTTATATTTAATGAGTACAGAGTTTTAGTTTGGCAAGACGAAACTGGTTGCACAGTAATGTCAATGCACTTCACACTACTGAACTGTACACTTAAAAGTCATTACCATGGGGAAGAATGTTAACTGAAGATTTGGCCCTGGAAACCCACCCCTCAGGCAACTAAAATTGATGGGCAATTACTTTCTACAGCAGGTGGCAAGTTGCAGGGGCCTGGGAACCAGAGAGAAAGTATGATGAAGTATTAAATAATTTTTATTTGAATTTGTGTCAATGAATAATGCAAGGGGTAGCAGAGAGAAAATGTGTACTTGAAGTCAGGTCAACAGGCTGCATAATGGTAGCGTCAGATGCATCCAGAACCACTGTAATTCAGTCTAAAACAGATTGCTTCTCCCGAATTCTCTGATTGCCTTGGCCTAGTTCTTCATTTCAAGATGAGGCCCTCTTCCCACCTATGGCTTAAAGATCCTGAACATGATTTTGAGATTATTCAAGTAACTGCAGCATCCCCTGGGACTTGCAGTATCCCCTGGGATTAGGCAGACAGATTAGGCCACAAAACCACATTCCTCTGCATAATATGTCTCATTCCAGTATTTGGAACATCCACGCCCAAAGAAATTTTAAAAGCCTTTCCCAAAGGGACTCAGGTGTCTTACTAAAATTTTATTCTTAATCTGTTTACAGAATTTTTATTAAGCATGTTATGTGAATGACACCTTATACAGAAAAGAATAACACAAGGCCCCTGACCTTAAAAAGCTTCCATTCTAATAGGAAGTATACATAAGCAGAGTTCTTACTCGACTGCTAGCCCAGGCCTGTCCTCCCTGTCTCCCCCATCTCAGGGAAGAGTGTACCACCTGCAGCAGC
Organism: Homo sapiens; assembly: GCF_000001405.40. Lineage (NCBI taxonomy): Eukaryota > Metazoa > Chordata > Mammalia > Primates > Hominidae > Homo > Homo sapiens. The sequence goes on from NC_000020.11 coordinate 16,401,736, forward strand.
TGTTTAAACCTGAATCCTGGGAGTTACTCTTAATTCCTTGATTCTACTTTGCTCCACTTCTATGGCTAAAGTGCAGATCCAAGCCACTATTACCTTTCACTTGGATTAAGGAAATAGCTTTCTAAATGGTCTTCTGCTTCTATGCCACATTCTCCAAATGGCATACATCCTGATATTTGTATTAAGTACATCTTCAGGTTACTCTCTTGCTTAAATCATTCTAGTGGTTTGCCAGCTCTCTTAAAAAACAGTCAAACCCCTTCCAATTGCCAGCACGGCCCTACATTAGCTGGCCCTTGACCTCCCCTCCCTCACTTGTACCACTCTTCTTCTTGCTTACTATATCCCATCTACTCTGGCCCTCTCTTCACTTCTCATTTTGATGCCATCACACTTGCTTTCCCCTTCAGTCTCAATGCTTTCCATTCTCCCCCTTTCTGTTTTATGAGTGTCATTTTCTCTCCATACAAGTCTTAGACCAAACATCCCTTCTTCAGGAAGCCATTCCTGATCACTCCATCAAACACTGTCCTAAGACATTTGATTTCATTTCATTTTCACTTCCTGGATTTATTTTTAAATTATCTGTTGACTGTGTCTCTCCTCCAACAAGCATGCAAGCTGACCTTCTCAGGATTACTGGCAATGGTGCCCCCGTCCTAGAATCCTGACTGGTTCATAGGAGGCATTCAGAGAGGATTTGTTGACAGATGAATATATGTTACAAAGAAGACAAAATAAGGAGGAAAGAAATGGAGCAATGTACAGTGAAGAAGGGACATTGATTTTTGGTTGTGGGGAAGAAAGTCAGGAATAGCATCCACAGCAGAGTTTGTCTGTACTATGCCCTGGAGGACGAGTAGGTAGCCAGGCAAAAATGCATCCCAGGCTCTGGAACTAGCAAAGGAAAGCCCCAGAGGCACAGGCTAGTCCACATGTGACTGAGCAATAAAACAACAGCAGAAAACTGGAGCTCAGAACACCTGGAGAGAGGTCCAGAGATGAGCACAGACAGTGGACAGCCCGAGTGACATGGTGCAGGCTGGGACTTTATTTTTTAGACCATGGAAAGTCACTGAAAAGTTCTGAGGATGAAAACTAGTAACTTTGACCTGCATTTTGTAAACACTGAGGAAAACTATTTGAACTTAAAAACTAAAAACAAAAAATGGCATTACTTTTAAGAGAACTACACTTTCTCCTGTTTTAGGGAGAAAAAAGAAAGACTTCCATCTCACGTATATATGTAAGGCAAAGAGGGGCCCATGGCTAGTGACCCTGTGCTCAAAGGAAAGGCTGAGTGAAGATAGCGTTTTGGTTTTCAAAGCCATTGAATAGCCATATTACATTAGCAAATGGCTTCACATTAAAAGGTACCACCACTGTGGAGGATAATAACGATAGTACCTGGATTCCAGGATTAACTAACTGGGTCCTGGGCCAGGAGACAAAACCAAGCCAGCACTCTTCATATCACAGACAATTTAACTAGACAAACAATATTTAACGGATGGGATCACACTATTTTAGCTGAAATTACACTAAAGATCTGTGTATTATATTAAACTTAAACATTAGTGATTCCATCTTGGTCACAATAAAAGGCAACTGCTAAAACTACTGTAAGGAATTAAAGACCTACAACAAAACGTGCCTCTGAAGTACTTACCATTTAGTTGCTCTGAGAATGTTCTCCCATTTCAGAGGTCTGATTGATATGGCTTATTTCAGGACAGAATTATTTAATGAGCACAACTTTCCTCAATGACCATGTAACAAAATGGAAAGACCAAATAGGAAAGACAAAGGCTGACACAAGGGAGTCAACTGCTGGTGCTTCCAGAAATCCTGGAAAGCGGGGGTGGGGGCGCCCAGGAGTCCACAGCCACAGTGCTGTACTACATGGCTTTTTTTCTTAAGTTCAGGCAGGTGTTGGATTTGGGCTTCAGCTTGCTGGCCCATAAAATGAGGAATCCAGAAATGTGATCAAAGATCCCTCCTATGACACTGAAGAAATTCCTTGTAGGTATCTGCTTTCCACAAACCAGAACACTGGCTTGGGCTGAAGGAGTGAATGGCTTTCAGCACACAGCTTGATGTTTGTGAGAAATCCCAGGGTTGGGGGTGAGGGAGCAATGGAAAATGGAACCAGTCCCCCAACTGCAGGAGGTGACAGAGTCAAAGCATGAGTGATGGAATCAGATAGACCTGGATGCATGCTTCAGCTCTGACTATGAAACTGACGGAGAGCAAATGTATAAATATTTCCCCACATGTAAAATGGGAATAGGTTTGTGAGAATTAAAAGATCACGGATTCAAGGTGCTTAACATAGTGCCTGGCATATAGTAACTACTAAATAAATGACAGTTCTAGAAAATGTTGTTCTTGTTACTTCACTTGTTCAGCCATTTGATTTACCTCCATTATTTTACATGAGATTATCCTGGTAGGAAAGATAAAATTATGGAACCTCTCACAACCGAAAAGGGCCCTCAAAGTTCCCTGTTTTTAGGCATTTTCATTATCACTGTCATTTTATTGATGAAGCACTAAGGACATGAGTTAAGCTGACTGTCCAAGGTCACCCAGCCACTAAGTCAATTTAAAACACTCTCATTTGTGCTCTCAGCAGTCCCCTAGTGTTCGAAGTAGTGAAGATAATTTCCTGCTCCATTGGATGGCCTAAGAATCAGGCTGCCTCTGTTATAATTTATAAAACGAGATAAAAGTGCGTAAGCCAAAGGGATCATGCACTAAGTAATCAAAGTGCCAACTCTAAAATATTAGACAGTTATGAAAATGATAATGAAGCTTGTAACAACACTCACGAATGCTTATTATGCTGTTAAGCAAAAAATCAGAAAATGCAAAACTGTTTATGTTGTGATTATAACTAAGTAAAATTATGCACATATATAGTAAGGGCTGGAAAGGAACTCGGAAAATGACGGTGGCTGATTTGATAAGGAGGCGCCGTTGCAGAAGTTTTATTTTTACCTTGTGACTATAATGGAGTTGGCACAATAAATGCAAAAGTGATCATCACAGGGAAGGAGATGCTGCTGTTCACTCACCCGGGGTTATACAACATGACTGCAGACAGGTTCTCACGGGACTTCGAGAGGTCGGTCATGGACAAGCTGAAGGAGGACAGAAGGCCACTCTAAGGGCAGACACAGGGCAGAGTGGTTACCTTAGCAGAGAAGAAAAGGCCACTGCTCTGGACTCATTGCTTCCAACATGTGAGAGACAATGAGGTGCACATGCTCCTAATTAACACGCACCACAATTAACTGGTCTATCTGAGGAAAGCAGATCATGGGCAGTAAGGCCCTGATACATTTCAAACCCGAGCCTTCTCCTAAGTACAGCAGGACCTTGGCCTTCTAGGGCTGGGGAAATTCATCAGGAATTCCACAACCCAGTTGGTCTCCCCTGCCGGTTAAAGTCAAGGAAAGGGGTCACAATATCTTTGCCATCCTCCATTACCTGGCAGGCAGCAATCTCCTATAATCAGCGATATTCCCTCACACTTAGAACGATAAAGAAGAAGGCAGGAGGGGTGAAGGGAGACCAAAAGTAAGAGCTTGACCTATTTTGCTTCCAAGGGAAGCTATTGGCAAACATGTTTTTTCCCTCTGTTCCTCTGAAACTGTGTACCAAAAACGACCCTCTAGGGAGACCCTGGGCTAGAGCAGATAAGAGGCTCCACTGGCCGGAAAAAGCCACCCAGGAGAAGGCTGAGGTTTGCAGCTTTCTTGCTATTTTCCAATTAGGGCACTGGCAACCTCGGGCATCCCTTATAAAGGAGACAGAAATGAGAGTCTGGGTAACCAGTGGTCAAGGGCAAACACTTCTGGTATTCAAGTCAGTACTGCAGCCAAAGCTCCCCATTTGCCGGCTACAGAACAAGTTAGGGAGAGTTGCTCTTGGTCTGTTTCTCATCTTGACCTGGGGGTGATAGCATGGGGGTATTAACGGCTGCTGCACAGATAAAGAGATAGAATATATGTACAAGTTTAGCACCATTCCTGGCTCGTAGAAATGTTAGCTGTAGCCTTTATTATTTTCTTCAGTCTAAGGACCAGCCACGATGTCCCTGAACAGATTTCTTTCTTTCTTTCTCTGGTCCTTAGCTCCTTCCCCATCAGCACTTAAACGTCCTGCCCTTTAGACGTCCCCTTCCAACCAAACCAAAGTCTTTCCCAGTTGTCCTAAACCCACCCCTGCTCTCGCTTCCCACCTCAATGAAAAATCTGTTTACTGTGGCTGATTTTGGATTAATGTGATTCCAATGTTGGGTTAATTCCTAACAGATGCTGATTAGAGGAAGTCACTCTCCACCTAATGCAAAATGATGCCCAGTTCCTTGGTGGGAAGGGTGGAAGGCTGAAGAGAAGGATCTAGGAGGAGCAGTTTCTCCCTGTCTGCTCTAGAATTTACTTGCTTGCTCTCTTACTTCATCAGCCAATCATCTGCTGGGAAACAATCTCCCTAGAATCAATCCAGATCACAGAACTACTTTTCCACGGTTCTGCACCCCAGAAAGTCAAAAGATTGGAACCAGAGTGACCACCACCCACTCATCCTCACATACGATCAGTGGTTCCCTCCTAGAGACGCCGTGTCCCTCACCTTCCTCTTCTCCCTGAGCTTGGCGGCTTCCTTTGGATGGTTAAAGCGAAACATATTGGTTCTTCCCAAGAGAATCACAGCACCTGAAAACACACAAAAACAGTAATGAATTTACAGTAAGCAGTCTGGTCAGTTGCCAATACCATAACATGGAATTCTACTGTTGAAATGTAATTTCCAGTGTATTATAAAATAATAAGGGAAAGCTTTAGTCTCAAAAGTCTGCTTACTTAAGACAATTTCAAATCTGGAAATACCTTTATTTTTACAGCTGAGTGTCACAACACACATTATATCCTCATATCCATAATATCCAGCAGAAGTGATGAATCTAAGCATTACAACATATTATGAGATTTAAAACTTAACAGACATATAATTAGACTTTTGATTGTCTGGAAGAAAAAAGGAAACCAGTTCTCCAAAGAGATATAATATCAAGCAAAGCATATGGTCACAACTTTAGGAATGTTTATTGATACTGGTAAAAGTAGAAATCTCAAAAGAAAAGTGCTTTCAAAAGAAAACGTATGGAATTGGCATAATATAGGTAACTATTACTAAAATCTCCCTCAGAATTTGACGGGAGAGAACTTGTGTACATTTATGGTCTATTTCCAAATAAAAACACTGCTTCTTCTCAAAACCCTATTAAAATTCCACATTAGACCCATAAGAAAGGGTCCTTTTGACTGATGACAGTCTTCCTTATTCAGAAAACAACTGCACAAGGGGCAAAATAATTCAAGGGAAATGCCCAAGGAAAACAAAAGCATGGGAAGAGGCAAATTTCAGCTTGATGAAGCAAACAAACCCATTTTAGGGTCACAGCTGTCTAAAGCGGGCACAGGTGCCTGCAGGGCTGTGAGCTCCTTGTCACCAGAGGCATGTAAGAGAAAAGATGTTGCAGAAGAGGTTCACTGTGTCTTCTGAAGTCCCATCCATGTATGAGAGGCCACGTGTATGGTCCCATCCACGTATGAGAGTCTACAATGCCTCAGGGCATCAATGAAGATAAGACACATGCACTGACAGTCAACCATGAAGAATGACAGGTGAGTGCTTAAGTGTCTAGCACACTTAGCTGAGTGTGTGATTAAGTGACGAGTGGAGCCTGGAGTAGCTGGGGACAGGCTTCTGCACCAAGGACCTAAGTTGGGTCTCACCGGATAACCAGAGGGCAAGAGGAAGTGTTCCATGTTGGGTAATTGCAGAGAGAGTCTAAGCTATAGAAAGGAGAATGGCCTGCTATGCTCAGGACAGAGGAGAGAATCATGTCCATCCAAAGTTCAGGATGTTTGAAACAGCATCAAGAATCAATACTGGATAGATGAAATAGCCTGTGAAGACCGGAGAACAAGTATGAGAGTTTAGACCAGAGGTCACAAACTGGTGGCCAGAGGAAAAACTCCAGTCTATAGATGTATTTTTTTGTGTTCCCTGTCATGTTTCAAAAACAAAATCTTTAGTTGGCAAGAGTTCAAAGTCTGGAGAGTTCACATAAAAGTCTGGGTACTTTTCTAGCATTCCTTCAAAATTCCTAAGATATGCTATCAGTAGATCTTTGTTTGCACTTAGCAAAAATCCCTGGGCTGCTGAGAGTTGCCTCCTTTGCACAGGTGACCTCTGGTTGACCACAGTCACTAGCCTCTTGCTTGGGTAATATCTTCACCTGGGCCCTGCAGGAAATATCATAATACCAGATATCTATTCTGGAGCTCAGGCCAGCATATCCACCTGCCTATTTGATGTATTGTTTTGGACAACTCAAGGGAGTTTCAAATTCAATATGATTAAAACCTAACAGGTTTAAATAACAACGACAGGGAGCAACTGATATGGGTTGGTTTTAGTGGTTGTCATTATTTAGCAGAAACAAAGTCACTATGAAAAGGAGGATAAGACAGTTTAGGAGCCCTAGTGGGGCAGCAGCAGATATTATCCACTCTACAATTTGCTTATCCCTGTCATGCAGAATTGCATTTGTATTTTTTCCAATTATGGCAAGACCATTACCATGATAAAAAAGGTGTTTCCCATGCCTTTTACGACTAGGACTACATAGTAAGCCAAAAGCTAAGCAGCCACGTCTAGGATGTATGTATATTTAATGCTGTTAAAGTTACATTAGAGATTAATAAAGCAATCACATTCCAGGTGTTAATTACATCTCCAATTCTTCTTTTTTTCTGTTAATCAAATGCCCAGTCATGCAAGTTGAAAATTGCTAAAATATGTTAATGGAAAAATAGAATGGTATTTCAGAGACATATTTCAAATTGTATTAAATCATTGAAAATAATCTTGCCACCCATGTTATCTGCATGAAATACACACAAAAAGCCCTGTAAGGAGTTATAAAAGAAAGCAAAACTATCATGACAATTCAGTGCTTCCATCTAGATAATGTTTGAGTCAACTGTCTGGCATGTTAAAAGGGGTCCATTAAGGCTGGTTTCCTTCCCTTTCTTCTTCTAAGCACCTGTACTCAACAAATCTCGTGAATTTAAAAATTTGCTTCATTTTTACATGATGCCACTGTTCATTCAGCAAATATTTAATGAACACTTACTGTATGCCAGTCACTGTGATAAACATGGGGGATACAGAGTTGAGCAATTCAGACATACGCTTTGCCTTTATGGAGCTTTAAAAAATGTCAGAGAGAGAGATAAATAATCAAATAATGAAATGATTCCACAAATAAATGCAAAGCTGCAGCTGAAGGAGAAGAACTGTGTCCTGGGCTCAAAGAGCAACAATGATAAGGGTTTATTATAGGGGAAACTAGAGAAGGATATCTTCAAGGGAGGTGGTGTCTAAAACAAGCTCTGAGAACAAGTTGGGAGAGTGTCTTGCATAAAAGCAATAATGATCATGATGATGATTGATGATAATAATGAGGAGGAAGATGCCACCAAGAATGAGTGACTGGAAGACAACCATGTGGCTATGGCAAAGGGAACAAGAGTGAGCACTGCACCAACATAAGGCTTGAGAAGGAGGGAGAAAGTGAATCAACTCAAATGTTTCAGGATGTAAAGGATCTTGTGTTTTATCTAGTTGTAAGAGGAAGACACTGAAGGGCTCTGTGCAGCAGCATAACATGATTAGATTTCAGTTTCACCAAAGATCATTCTTGCAATGGTGACTGAAGAAAGGCCAAACAGGGCAAGAGTGAATATGGCTAAGCAAGCCAGGTGGCTACTACAGTGGTCCAGGTAAGTGATGATGGCTCTGGACTGGGGGAAAGGGTTACCAAAGCAGAGAAGTAAAACAAAACTGGAAGATATGTAGGAGATAAAATCAATATGATTTGATGATGGGCTAGACACAAAGAGGAGACGGGGGTGAGGAAGATGGCTTCTGGGTTCTGGAATGCATCACTAGTTGAATGGGGAGTCTTCTGCACAGACTGAGAACACTGGAAAAGGACCAAGATGGGGTGGGGAAAAATCATGAGTTTGGTTTTGGACATAATGAATTAGAGATGCATTTGGCAAATGAAAATATGGGTTTGAAGCTCTTGAATAAAAGTCTGGGATGTCGATCTACCTTCCTACCCACTTACCTACATATATATATATATATATATACATATATATATATATATATATATGTAGGTACATATATATATGTAGGTACATATATATATGTAGGTACATATATATATGTTGGTACATATATATATATGTAGGTACATATATATATATGTAGGTACATATATATATATGTAGGTACATATATATATGTAGGTACATATATATATGTAGGTACATATACATATATGTAGGTACATATATATATGTAGGTACATATACATATATGTAGGTACATATACATGTAGGTACATATACATATATGTAGGTACATATATATATGTCGGTGTACATATATATATATGTAGGTACGTACCTACATATATATGTGTGTGTGTGTGTGTGTGTATATGTGTGTGTGTATGTGTGTGTATATATATATAGAGAGAGAGACATATACATACACACACATATACAGGTTGACTATCCCTTAGCCAAAATGCTTGGGACAAAAAGGGTTTTGGAGTTCTGATTATTTTTTGGATTTCAGAATACTGGAATATATATAATGAGATATCTTGGAAATGGGACCCAAGTCTAAACATGAAATTTATTTATGCTTCATATACACTTATAGAGAGTCCTGAAAGTAACTTTATACAATATTTTAAATAATTTTGTGAATGAAACAAAGTTAGTGTACAGGGAACAATCAGAAAGCAAAGGTGCCACTATCTGAGCCACCCATGTGGACAATCTGCAGTTGCTTAGCATCACCATCATTCCTGATTCTGAATTATATGCTGCTGATAAGCAATCACCTGGTGATCCATGTCTTTTTGTTAGCATAATGAACAAGTAGGAAATTCACTCCTTGAACTGAAAACAGGGAGGATGCAAGCTTTTGCTTATCACAGCAATTTTACATTTACGCATGCCTGCTGCATTAGCACATCTCAGCACAGTTATTCTGTCCTTGGCACCCTTAGTTCCTGTAGGGGCTGCCTCATTGTCTGCAGTCAGTGTCTTTCTAGAGCAATAATGCCAAAACGGTGATGTTTCATCAGCATTACAGACTTGGTTCTGGTGTCAGATTTTCATCACCGATGACCTTGACATACTCGTCAATAAATTTCTCTGCTGCTTCATAGTAAGCAGATACTTTATCACCACAAATCTTTAAAATGTAATGCTGTGTCTGTTCCTAAATGTCTGCAACCAGCCTGCTGAATATTCACAGTTTCCTTCAATTTTTGGTTCATTGTGATAGATTTTTGCTTGTTTTCATGATCAGCTTCCCATTAAGTGGCAAGTATTCACTGTGACACTGATGGGATCCACTCTTTTAATACACAATTGAGATCTTCACTTTTAGCTTTATGCTGTGTTTTTCTATTTTTCATTTATGTGTATTTATTACTTTGAGCATAGAACTTAGCCTTCTGTTTCTTCAGGTCATATATGATGGCCACTTCAACACTATACTCTTCTGTAAGACATTTCACACTTAACACCACCATCCTGTTTCTCTAACAGCTTTACCTTCTGTGCCACAGATCAACATAAATGGTTCCTGTGTTTCTTATCACTGTTGTCCACAGGAGTAGCTGCAGACCTTTCTGACATGTTCAAACATTATCTTTACAGCACAGAGCAGAGAATAAGTAAGAAAAAAAAACCCACAGTGAGTAATGCATGCAGGTCTTGGACCTGCGCAGGGTATCATGGGGAACATACTATTGTCATGTGTGGCCTGAACATCTGCCATTTTTTTGTCCTTTGTGGGCATACTCGTATGGGGAATCTGGACATGTGCCGAAAAGATACACTGAAGCTGAAGGGGACTAGGGGGGCCTCTTTTCCTTTGTGGATATTGAACAAACTGTGTGTGTGGTGGACCTAAGTTTTGATTGCGACCCCATCACATGAGGTTAGGTGTGGAGTTTTCCACTTGTGGTGTTATGCTGGCCCTCAAAAACTTTTGGACATTTCGGATTTCTGATGAGGAATGTTCAACGTGTGTGTGTGTGTGTGTGTGTGTGTGTGTGTGTGTGTGTGTGACTCATTGCTAATAAATGAAACTATAGGAGTAGGAAAGAAACCTGAGACAAAATACAGAGGTAGAAGACAAGAGGACCTAACATTGGGCACCTGAAGGAATGCTGACTTCTAATGGCCAAGTAGAAGAAAATAAACTTACAGAGGAAACAGAGAAGAGACCATGAGAGAGGGAGAAAGAAACCCTCCAAAGCCAAGGAAAAGAGGGGCCAACAATGCAGAATGCTTCTCAGAGGTCAACTGAGACAAAAAGACTAGAAAACACCATTGGGTGTGGTGGCATAGAGGTCACAAGTGGTGTTAGTGGGAGCTGATTTGGTAGTAGACCGAGGCCAGAAGGAAGAGACTGAGGAATGCAGAAGAGGTAAGGAAATGCAGATGTACTGGGCACAGGCAACTCTTTCAAGAAGTCTATGAATGAAGAGAAAGAGTTGGTAGTAGCCAGAGGGGATGATAGTGTATTAGTCCATTCTCATACTGCCAATAAAGATATACCCAAGACTGGGTAATTTATAAAGTAAAGAGATGTAACTGACTCACAGTTCAGCATAGCTGAAGAGACCTCAGAAAACTTAATAATCAAGGTGGAAGGGGAAGCAAACATGTCCTCTTTACATGGCAGCAAGAAGTGCCGCATAAAAATGGGGAAAGCCCCTTATAATACCATCAGATCTCGTGAGAACTCACCATCACAAGAACAGCAGAATGGGGGTAACCACCCCCATGATTCAACTATCTCCCACCAGTTCCCTCCCATGACATGTGGGGATTATGGGAACTACAATTCCAGATGAAATTTGGGTGGGGACACGGCCAAACCATATCAGATAGATCCTGCAGGATATTTTATTTTTTGTTAAAACTTATATGTATACTTAAAATGCAATAAGCAAACTGAAGGGCATAAAGAGGAATAAATGAATAAAAGAACTAATGAATGAGAATGGCTGATAATGTAGTTTCTTGATGAAACCTGAAGAGTGTGTGCTTCCCAGAAATCTCGGTGTGGTTAAGGACAAGTCAGTGCTTAATCTCTCCAGAATTCAGTTTCCTCATCTAGTTATCAAACTGGACAATTTCTAAGATTCCTTCCAGATCTTAAATTCTTGTCAACCATGAACCATTTGGTCTGAGGTCAGTGTGATTAACAGCAGCAGATGGACTTTATGTGATGCACTTAATTTGTAATTTTGCAAGCATTTCTAAACCTCCTTGAAATAATGACTTCTTTGAGATTAATTCAGAGTTTGCTAAATACCCAAAGACAGACAAATTCCAGAGAGTCTTCAGAGGGGATGGAGGGGACATGACATTGTGAAAGCATAGACAAAGACATTGCTGGTTTCACATGAGACTCTCTATTCTAATATTTCAAGTAAGCTGACAGAAGTAAATCTGCAAACGTTTCTAGTGATTCCTAAGGAATGCAGGGACAATAATCATTAATATCACCAATAATTACCCTCTTCAAGTTTTATGAGATTTTCTAATTCTGCTACTGCACAAATAAAACAACTCATTTTTTCTCCTACTGTTTTCATATGAATATTTCTGAGGTAATAATGTACCAATTATTTCATTTTGGGTTACAAATACTACAAACATATGAGACAACTGTGTTCCCACAAGTGTGTGGTTCACACTTTAGAGGCTGTGGTGTCAATAAAAATGAGAGGCCCTTTGTAATTCTGTTTCGAGACTCCTAGTTCTACATTTTACTTTAGAAACACCCCCTGCCCCCCACCAACCAAAACATACCCCCCGCCCTCCACCAACCAACACACACACATAGGATGCAATGCACTGTGAAAGCAAGCTCAGTGGAAGAAAGGTTATCATTTTAGATGTGACAGGTGGAGAAACCAAACTCTGTCAGGAACATACAATTTTCTGAAATGGTATTGAGTGAGAGGCTGAACTGAGGTAGGGCAGGTAAAGTTCTTATTTCATTGCCTGATTGAAGCAAAAAGAAACTTGCTTGTGTGTGACATTTTCCTTCTGATTTAAAATATCTTAAAGATATTTATTTATATTAAAATAAGTTATGATGATGATACCATTTAGGGAAACTGATAAGAAAACATCTAATTTCCACTAATACATGCCAATACTTAAGAACAGATTAAGTAATATGTTCTAGGGCCTTAGACTTGGTGACACAGATTTTATTATTTCAAACACGAGAATTATAGTACTTTTTCTCTATATCAAAAATGGCTTTAGGAAGCTAGATAGGAAAAGATGAAGATGGAACATGGTGTCTGTGGTGGGTAAGAAAATTTCACATAAATACTAAACAAATTCAAGCAGGACATATGGCTTGGTGTTAATGGCTGGCTTGCGAATGAATGACAGGCACTCTGCAACAAAGGCAGCAGGCATCAGTATCACATCATGCCATCAGATCATCAGTTAGTAATTCTGAAGAATAAACATGAAATGATACCTTATCAAAAAGCTACGTTGACCTTGTCCCTTCTTTTTCAATGTTTACAATTCAAATATGGATTTACAATTTCCTGCTTTAGATAAATCACTTCAACCTCTGTTTACCCTTAGTAAAGTAAAAATTGGAAACTTAGATTCTGGGACTCTGTAGAAGAAAGAAAATTGATTTTCAATCTTGGCTACTGAAGTTTCCAGCCAAATTATCCATCAAGAATGATTTGCCCAACTGTGTGCACAAACTGAGTTTGAAGCTTTGTAAAATTTCGAGATGCTCCAGTCCCATACCCAAAGACATTTTTAGATGTGTGTGTCGGAGCAGGGAGAGGGGGTGGTAAGTGGGAGCTGATATTTTTCTTAACACCTCATGCGAGAAACAAAAAGAGCACAGACATCCCCAACTTAAGACGGTTCTACTTACAATTCTTCAACTTTATGATGGTGCAAGAGTGATACACATTCAGTACAGTATTCAACAAATTACATGAAATATTCAACACTTGATTATAAACTAGGCTTTGCGTTAGATGATTTTGCCCAGTGTTCTGAGCATATTTAAGGTAGGATAGACTAAGCTGTGATGCTCAATAGGTTAGGTGTATTAAATGCATCTTCAACTTAGGATATTTTCAGTTTACAATGGATTTATCAGGACACAGCCTCATTGTAATTCAAGGAATATCTGTATATGGAATAGGTCTGTCCTTCTGCAGGAAAATGTAGAAAGCACAGGAAATGATTAGAGGGCAATTCAAGACAGTGTATAGTCACATGATAAATTCCAAAGTACTGAAGGGAAAGCATTACACAATTGGTCAAGCTATTAGTAACTTTCTTTCCATTCTTGCCCAGTAGTCCACATTCTTTGCTACCAACTTCTTATTCACTATTAGTAATCATCTCAATTATTTATTTCTAGGCTCATACGCACTCCACAGTGTCAATATCCTATTGTTCCTTCCGAAATAGTTCTTGCACAATGCCTCCCTTCCTTCAGCTCCCAAAGTCTTTTACCTTCAACCCCTTTTCCTCACGGCTCTTCTATCAGCCTCCCTTTGAGCTAAACAAAAGCTGCATCATCTTCACCTCTCAGCCCACATTACCCATCTACTGAGTGGTCAGCACAGACTTCCTTCTGCTTTCCACAGAAAATTCATGCAACTGATCTAGAACTTAAGAGCCCTACAGACCTGCCCATGACTCAGACTCAACAGCGTTGATCTCACTACTCCTTCTCCTCCCTCCATCCCCTTTCCAGTCTTAGACATTTCTTCACTACACACTTTGGCTGAAGAGCATCTAAGTCACTTTTTCACTATATGCCATTAAGACAAATACATTCACTTCAGAATTCAACTTTGGGTACATTCCCCCTTTTCAGCAGTCTAAACCACCCTCTGGGAGGAGTTTTGGTTCTGCATAAGCTGAAACAAGCACACTCCACCCTGTTTCTCCTAAGGAATGTAGCTATAGCCTGAACAAAATGCATGTAGTAGTTATTTGAGGGCCTTGGGAAGTAAAGAGTAGCTGTTGCAGTTCTCTAATAACCAGTGATATTAGGCTTTTATTCATATGTTTCTTGACTACATGTATGTCTTCTTTTGAGAAGTGTTTATTCATGTCCTTTGCTCACTTTTTAATGTTTATTTTTTCTTGTAAATTTGCTTAAGTTCCTTGTAGATTCTGGACATTAGACCTTTGTCAGATGAATAGATTACCAAAATTTTCTCCCATTCTGTAGGTTGTCTGTTTGCTCTGATTATATTTTCTTTTGCTGTGCAGAAGCTCTTTAGTTTAATTAGATCTCACTTGTCAATTTTTGCTTTTGTTGCAACTGCTTTTGGCAATTTCTTCATAAAAATCTTTGCCCATGCCTATGTCCTGAATGGTATTGCCTACACTTTCTTCTAAGGGTTTTATAGTTTGGGTTTTACATTTAAGTCTTTAATCCATCTTGAGTTAATTTTTGTATAAGGTGTAAGGAAGGGGTCCAGTTTCAATTTTCTGCATATGGCTAGCCAGTTCTCTGAGCCATTATTCTCAGCAAACTAACACAGGAACAGAAAACCAAACACCACATGTTCTCACTTGTAAGTGGGAGCTGAACAATGAGAACACATGGACACAGGGAGGGGAACACCACACACTGGGGCCTGTTGTGGGAGGGTGGGGTGCGGAGACCATCAGGAAAAATAGCTAATGCATGCCATTAATACCTAGGTGATGGGTTGATAGGTGCAGCAAACCACCATGGCACACGTTTACATATGTAACAAACCTGCACATCCTGCATATGTACCCCAGAACTTTAAAAAAAAAAAAAACAGAGTAGCAGGTGGATTGAAGAAAACCAAGATTGGAAGCACCACTGAACTAACAGTGAATTTACCATTTTTTGCCTGCAGTGCTTCCCAGCTTGGTCTAGGAAGAAAGCCAAAAGTGGACAAGTGCAAAAGAGAGAACTCCAGGAGAAGCCCCCTAGTTCAGGTTGGAGGAGGAGCAGAGAGTCCCTTAGCAGCAACAGTGGGCCCATGAGGAAAGGGAATCTTTCTTTCCCATCAGAGGAGCTGTAGTCCCCCAAGAAGGTGGGGCAGATCCCTGTTGCTTTATTCCTTCCCTGTCCTCTCATTTCTTGGCCGTAGACACGGAGACAGGCATATGAAAGAGTAGAATAAATAAAGCTCAAGATTTCCAGGGAAGGGAAGACCCGAGGGAGGCAGAAAGTGCAGGAGAGATGAAGAGGGAAATATGCAGGAAAGCAACCTCACAGAGTTGTTTATTAACTCCTGGGCTCACCCCTATGTGTGTACACGTGGATCTGATCCTCAGAAGAATGCTAAGACTTTGAGAACTGAACTAAGCGACAGACCACTGCACAGGTCCCAGCCTGGCCAACGGGTAGTACACCCACTGCTACTGGAGGAGCACTGCAAAGGATCTGAACACTGAAGCAGCAGTGGAACGGCAGACACGATCTGCAAAAGCTGATGGTAACTTATGGCCTACATCCAGCTAGGTAAACTGTCTGCTGAAACAAAGGGTATAAACATTTCCCATAGGATTTAAACAAGACCCAGGATCTCATAATATCCAAAATGTCTATGACACAATCCAATATTATTCCTCAGCACAGAAAGAACCAGGAAAATCCCAACATGCATTGCAAAAAACAATCAACAAATGTTTATACTGAGATAACAAAAAGCTCCAATAAATGTTTCAATACTCTTGAAATAAGTGGAAAAATAAAAATTTCAACAAAGATAAGATATAAAGAAGAATCCAATATTACAAGTGAAAAACAAAATATTCAAAATAAAAAACTCATTGGTAGGCTCAAAGGCAGAATGGAGATGACAAAAAAAGTCAGTGAACTTAAACACAGGTCAACTGAAATGATCCAATCTGAAAAGCAAAGAAAAAAGAATTTATCAAAAAATAAAAATAGGTAAACAGAGCCTCAAGGAACTGTGAGACAATAGTAAAATATCTAACTTTTGTGTAATTGTAGTCGCAGAAGGAGAGGGGAAAGAGTATAGTGCGGGGGAAAAAAAAATTAACAAATAATGGTTGAAAACTTCCCAAATCCAGAGGAAGACAACAGCCTATGAATTTGAGAAGCTCGGCAAAACCCAAACAGGTTAACCCCGAGAAATCCATGCCAAGGCATATTGTAAAGCCAATGTACTGAATGTAAAGCTGAAAATGAAGTTTTAAAAGGAGAAGAGAGATCAAGAAAAATAGATGTGATGAGTGAAAAAAAGAGAAAAAAAGGGGTTAAACAGAATGACAAATATATGTCTCATGTCCAGAAGTCTGGTGCACCAAGAAACTAACTCCAGTATAATTAGCTTTGGCCACTTGTTCTCATATTCAAACACATGAGAAGTCAAATTCTAAGCCATCAAACTGACTGAACAGACCCCCTCTTGGCCATGGGGACCCCACAGAAACCTTGGAAATCGAGTTCCTGGACATGACACGATAGGAGGTAGGACATGCTTTCTTATACTCCCTCCTTTGCTAACTGCCACGGCTTTCATTCCTCAAGGTTCAACAGAAACCAGCCCATTGGAAAGACTTGTTTCACTGCTGACTTCAACCAACTGTCACTGCCCCTACCTTCTGTGGTTTCCACACAATGGACCAGCATTGCCTCCTGATAAGAAACCATCGACCATGGAGTGGTTCTGGCCAATCTACAGGGTGCACAGTGAATGTTTCCATGTCCTCTGCTTCAACTCTTGACATCAGAGGACCAAAAACTCTATCCTTGCATCATGCTAACCCTGCCAGTTTTTGTTCACGCAACTCATGTAGAGGCATAAGCTCAACTGTGCATGCTCATGTTTCTCCACTCATAAATATTCATGACTTCTCCTATAGCTTATTAAACATGCACATTCAGCCACCCAGCTCAGCATAAATTCCTGTTCCCTTTCCCCCTCCCTCAATGTGTCTGCTTCTGGCTTCCAGCTGGAGGCTACACTTCCCAGCCTGTCAGAATGGCCACCCTGCAGGCCTTATAAAAAATAAAGCTCTCCTTTCCAAATTTACAAACCTTGTCATTCTTCAGTTGACATGTGCATCAGAATCACAGACATAAAAAACCCGACTGCAGGGCCTGATCCCTAGATTTGCTGGTTCAGTAGGTCTAGGTGGAGCCTGGGAATTTGCATATCTAACAAGTTCTCAGGTAATGCTGATGTTGATGACATACTTTGAGGACCACTAGCTTTAGGTATAGTCTGTTAAGAAGAGTTAGGGCTTTGACATTGAAAAATAGTTGTTGAATCAGCCCATATACAAGTGACAGATGTCATATTTGCAGGTCTCTAATCTGAGGAAGACATATGATGAATGCTTAGGGTCAAGTGCAGGTGAGTCAGTGAAGGAACAGACACTGATACCTGCTGACACATAAAAGGCCTCCTCTGTTAACGGGATACCTTGGCTAAACCACTGGGAGATCTATTTCCCTTTCTAGTTCCACTAAAATTCTTTTTTAATTTGTCAGCGAACAACTCACAGCAGCCCTCCAGCAGATGAAAATTTTATCAAAGTCTCCTCAGCTCCACTCTGCAGACAATCATCTGTTCCCTCTGAGTACTTGAATAGATGAAAATATATTTTGGCACTCAAGCATAACACATTCAAATGTGCCCAAGTATAAATTTCCCAGATGCCAATTCTGTAGCACTTCTAAAAGAAGAGATGAATAGTCAATGGATCTGACAAACAAGTAAGACCAAAGGAGTCCACTTATGTGAATGGAAAAATTAATTGCATTTAACAACTATCAGCTTTAAAATAACATATTACAGTCAAAAGAAAAAATAATAATTAAAATAAGAGAGAATAGCTCCTAGAAGTTATAGGACAAATGCTGAAATACTGTTTCAATTACAATGCATCTGACTGTTGTATCATTTCATATTAAGTATATAAAACAGAAAAAAGAAAAAAATCTAAGGTCTAAGCCACTACCAAGAGGAGCTCAAGTTTTATGGACTAGTATTATGATCAAATTCACATTTTCTTCTTGGTAAAATTCACACTTTCTTGAAGAACTGGCTCTTCTTTCTTTGGAATCATCCTATAGAATCACAGTGTGGAATGAGGAGAACTAAGCTTTGGAGAATACACCAATTGAAGAGCATGTTAGATATAATGTTACATATCCCATCACTATTTCTGGAAGAACTAAAAAAAGAGGAGAAAAACTTCAGGCAACAAACTTTATATATGTCATCACAATTAATGCTCACAGTAGCAGCAAAGCCTTTTCTTTTGAGTGAAGACACTAACAGATGAAAATATTTCCTATGGTTTAAGGTGGGGAAACAGTTTATGCAATCTGACATAAGTGAGGCAGTTAACTGATACAGAAATAGAATTTGCCCTCAATGTTGACAATCTGCTAAATTTAGATAAATCTCCGATTAGTTGGCATTCACATATATGGTAAGTAATTTAGATAAGGAAGTGGTAATTACTACCAGTGTTTTTTAATGGGACAGCCTAAATAACACATTTACAAATGAACAGAAATTTACTAATGAAAAGAGACATCTGAATACCAAATATCAGCAATAAACTGGAAAGGGGTGGTGGAAAGGTAGGAAGCTGCTGGTAGTGTAAGGTGGACCAGGAATCCAGTCAATTGTGGAGTTAATATGGCTAGGAATCATTGTGACTTGAGTTACCACGCAGCCGCAGTCTCTCTTCTTGACATCTTTTACTTCTATAAAAGGAAAATGCTGCTTGGGTCTGCCTCAAAAGGTTTGTTTGTTTGTTTGTTTGTTTTTTGATCTAATCAATGGGCCAAATACAGTGAGGTCCATTCTGAGGACCAAGACACAATGAGTCAGGAAGGGTCCTAGGCCAATAACCACTCCAATTAACCAGAAACTGGGATGAGGACAGTAAATGTGGGAAACCAGGATTACCTGGACTTTAGGATCCTAGGGCTGCAGGTATGACCTAACCTGGCTTAGAGAGCTAACGAGATGAAATAGCACACACATTAAGTTATAATTATTTAAGTTTCAGAGAAATAATGCATGAATTCGAGCACGAATGATAATGAATGGTCTGCTGTAATTATTTTTGGACAGGGGTCATGGGTGAGGGCTAGGGGATGAAGGGCTGATCCAATATGGTAAGCATATAGCTACCTAAGACCCATTTCCAAGAGACTTGGCTGTCATCTGTTAATTCAAATTTGACTTTGTAGAAATTAACTAAGTGAAGGCAGAACTATGCAGAAGTGTGCTAAAAAATTTACTTAAAAACTGTTTTATGGGTAAAAGCCAAGACAGATTTCAAAGAATAAAAATGCTACTATATTTAATGCTGTTCCCCATTTATTATATTTTAATGACGTTCATATGCTGTTTTTTTCCTTTAGCTTTTTGTTTTCTTACAGATACAGTTGAAAATCCTTTTGTAGCTCCACCTGATATAACCCCCTCCTTCTTCTCCAGTGGGTAAACACTATTCTGATATAAGAATGTATCTGTCTCATTCATGACTCTTTTATTTTTACTACATATTTTCATAACCAGAAACACTACATCACATCATTTTGTGTTTTAAAAACATGTTCCATTTCCCATTTTAATAATCCACAAACATCACGAAAAGTTAAGTAAAGAATTCTAATCCTTAATTTCTGAAGGACTATAGACTTTTTTTCTTTAATGAGATCTTTTGGTCTTAAAGTATGTGTAATTAAAAGAAAAGTTATCACCTTGCTTTTTTGTACAATGCATTGAAACAAAGTCATCTCGCATTTTACTGCCCTAAGACATGCTAATGACATTTACATTCACTGCACAGCGTTTTAACACCTTCAAACATAGTATTTTTATGTTAATTTCATTAACAGTGATACTGAGAAAGCTGTTCAGTAGCACAGCAGAATGCCAGAGGAACTCAAGCCCATCAGATCTGAAGATCATGGCACCATGCTAATAAAACAATTAAGAGCATCCCGCAGGGAAAGACAATTCCGACAATTAACCTTCAATGCCAATTAGTACCAGTACTGTCCGAGGAAAAGTCGTATCTTCAATATGAAGATAAAAAATTTGGTTCCTAACCTGAATCATTAACCAGAATAGGCATATTATTTAAATGAACTCTCAGTTTAGGTAAAAGTTTAAGATCAAAAACCACTTAATAAAAATACTGCGTGGGAGATACATTATTTATATACCATGCCTCAATTCACAAGACAATTAGAGAGGTAATCATCGCTATATAAACAATTTCTTCTAACTAACTAAATAAGCAAATAAGCTTTCCTTAAGGCGGTGGGGAAGGTAGAAGGATAACCCCAAAATTAAATTTTAAGTTCTAGACAGTGTCCGTGTGTGTGCTCTAAAAGTTCCTTTTGTCTTTTTGGTGTTTGGAATTCAGTACTGATTTTCTCACAGAAAAAGCATTACATGCTAGCTTCTCAGCAAATCCACAAGAGACTATTTTACCTATAACACGGCAGGAACATTGCTGGTCAATGTAATCTACTCAGCATCAAGTGGCCAGGGCTATGGGTGGTGGGAGCTCCAGGAGCTCCAGAGAAGAGTGACTGTGGCAGAGAACTATTCCAAAATAGTTCAAAGGTGGGGGGCAACAAAGCCAGGTGGATCCAGCAGCCAGTATGGATGTTTGGGGGCTATTTGTGATTTAAGAACTACTTATACTAAATAATTCCCCCAAAGTAATCTCAGTTCTATACAACTATAATGTGTTTGGAATTTGTATACATAAATGAACACAGTTCAACAAATGTATACATTAAAAACTTTCAAAGTTTTACTGAAAGAAATAGATGATAATTCAAACACAAGAGGGATATTGCATAAGAAGTTCCAAGATGGAAACATATTTTTCCAAATGCAAACAAATCAAACAAAATTAGAATCTAACTCCTCAAATTACATTTTAGCACAACAAAACTATCCTAATATTTAAAGAAAAAATTTCTTTAAAAAGTTAATAAGCACACATAGTAAAAAGACACTCCAATGAAAATAGAGATTAAAACATATTATAAAATAATAAACATCAAAACTGTGTGATACTGCTTCAAAAGTGAAAACATGGAGTACTGGAACAACAGGAGGGCCAAGAAATAGATATAATGCTGTATGTGTTTTCATTTTAGGTAAAGCAAGTTTCTTCAAAAGGGAGGTGGGTATAAGCAGGGAAAGGTTATAATAAATGGCATACCAATATGAGGAAGAAAAAAGTTGGAGCTACACTTTATAAACCAATGAACCCAGGTGTATTAAACAAATATTTCAAAAAAATCCTGAAAAATAAAATAATTAATCACAAGGAAAATAAAAACAAATGTTGACTAGTTCTGTGGCAGAGTTTAAAATTACCAAAGAAAACACAAAGAACAACAGATTAAAGCACATGAAAAGTTCATTTTAAAAGTAACAAAATTACATTTAAATAGAAAATACTACAAGAGTGACACAATAACTAAATCAAATATGAGAAAGCACTTACAAGGAGTTATGTTATATGGTGTGTACACTCAATCAGGGGAAAACACATGTTTTACTTCCCACGATTCTGGGAGGCAATAGTGACCTTGTTCTACTCATGTATTAATAATGATTTTGAAAACCAGTACAAGCCTCTTGTAAAAATCCTGTAACAATAAACAAAGTGATTATAACAAGGTTACTTCCTTCTGACCTAACTGAAGGAGATGCAGCCAGTACATGGATCTCTACTGTGTACGTTCCTCTCTCCCTGGGAAAAGAGGACAGTCCGTCATCATAACTCTGTACCAGCCTGTACCAGCCTCTGCTGCCTGGAGGAATAGCAGCAGGACCTCTATCTGAGGTTCCCACAGAGAACAGACAGTTGATGTGACTACAGTCTAGACTCCATACAGGATTCACTGAAGGGGTTGTCAGTGAATCGTGTTTTAACTGTGTATCTTCCCATTACTCCTGCTGTCAGCACTAGAGCCTGTGAGTTCCCAAGCAGGGACTGCCACTGAAGAGCCCTACATGGTGACCTCTCATCTGCCAACCAATTATGGTCACTTCCTGGGCTAAAGGCAGAGACAGCCTCCCACCATGACTAATACTGCTGCCTGGAAATAACCTGCCCCTCCATTCTACATTGCTAGAGCCCTTGTCCCACTGCAAAAAAGCAGGAAATGCTGCATTTGTAATAATCACTGAGGGATCACTGAGTGCTCACTGCTTTGGGTTGGTCATCTACAATTGCTGACCTTTGATCTTCCTGGCCAGCTCCAGGGTACTCAGATATTTCCCCTGCTCAACTTACCTTTATAAAATTGAAAAAACAGATGGAGAGATGAATGGGTGGGTGGATGGATGTGGATGGGTACCCAGGTTGGCGCTCCATCGCAGCTGATGTTAGAGCGTCTTTGACGGACATTATGCACCTCCTCCAAAAGCATAATGTCCCTGGTCCATGCTATGTTTCCTTCATTTCTGAGGTACCTTCCTGCAATTGACTTCTGCTTACAAACTTGGCTAACCCTGAATAAACTACATGCTTTCCAGCCCCCATCTCTCCAATTCCTATGTCACAACAGACTCAATTATACAGTGTGCAACCATTAAAAACTGTAATTATAAAGACTACGTATAACATACAAAAAGGGGCTTAAACATGCCAATGTCTTTCTTTCCCTCATTCTTACATAGTTCAGCCCAAAAACTATTACGCAGGCAAAAGCAAAGTAGGCATCAGCATGAGAGTGGAGGCAAATGGCATGGGCTGAGAAAAGTTTCTGCACTGTGGAAGGGTGAGGGCCATGACAGCCAAGCATAGCCATGCTTGTGGTCTGAGCAAGAAGAGGAGGGTCCCAGTGTGAGGAGGGGGCAGGAATAACAGTATATGGGTTACATAATGGAAGCCAGGTTCATCACTGTCAGAAAAAGGAGCTAGGAATAAGTGAGAAAACTACAATTAACCCTATGGTATTGGGTTGGGATTAGAAGTATTAGTGTATTGGTATAAACTCCTTGTTAGCAATATAGGTACTGAAATACAGATATTTCACAATACCAATATAAACAGATATAGAAGTACAGTTGTAAAGGTTGTACACAAACACACACACGTTTTCCTAGCTCTGTTCACAGAAAGCATATGGAAGCAGTGACACTCCAGTAGCAATGAACACACCTGGTTGCTAAATACCATTCTGTACTAAAAGGAACCATGGCTCCTTGGAGAATTGGTTAGTTTGAGGAAAGCACAAGATGAGTCTGGAATATCTTGTGTCAGAAAGTAACGAAGTGTTTACAGAACAGTGAGGACAGGACACGAAAGCCAGCTTGAAGAAACTCACAGTGGCCAAAATATAGGACAATTTGATATTGAAATAAATAATGATAAAAAACAGACCAAAACCTAGTAAATAAAATCGCAAGCTGTGTGACCCTTTAAATAGATAAATGACAAGAAGAGAAAGTTCTTACAATGAAAATCCAATTAATAAGTGTAGAAATAATGATGCATTCTTTTTTAATCACCATTTGGCAACCATCATAATAATAATTAATTCAGCCAAAAAGAAAAAAGAATGGATTCCTAAAACCAGTGGGTGAAAGTGGTAATATTCCATAATGGAATGGAAAATTTACAATATCAAAGTACCTTCAATCTCATAGTACTTTCCCACATACTTACTAATAACAAAGAAGAAAAGAGTAACTCCCCAGTGGGGAGGCCTGGCAGCTGCACCTTAGTTGGATGATCAAAGTGAACATCATCAGTCACGGGACAAATGGAAATCGTGTAATGAGATATGAGAAAAACAGCATCATTTCTCTGATATTCTTGCCAAAAATGCATATTAGTCTAATCATAAGGGAACATAGTCAACTCTCACACTTCTATAAAGAATACCTGAGACTATGTAATTTATGGAGAAAAGAGGTTTAATTGACTCCCACTTCCACAGGCTTACCAGGCAGCATGACTGAGAGGCCTCAGGAAACTTACAGTCACGGCAGAAGGCAAAGAGGAAGCAAGGCATGTCTTCTCATGGAGACAGGAGAGGGGGCAGGAGGGAAATGCCACACACTTTTAAATCATCAGCTCTCACAAGAACTCACTCACTATCACGAGAACAGCAAGGGGGAAATCCACCCACATGATCCAATCACCTCCCACCAGGTCCCTCCTCCAATATTGGGAATTACAATTCAACATGAGATTTGGGTGGGGACACAGAGCCAAAACATATCAACAGATGAATCCTACATTTATGTAGAGGGACATTCTACAACATATCTGACCTACTATTTTCAAAACTGCCAAAGTCAGAAAAGTCTCTCTTTGGGTGGGGACACAGAGCCAAACCATATCAACAGGTGAATCCTACACTTATGTAGAGGGACATTCTACAACATATCTGACCTACTGTTTTCAAAACTGCCAAAGTCATAAAAGTCTAGGAAAGGCCAAGGAAAAGTTCCAGTCTGAAAAAGAAGAGAGAGAGGTAACAACCAAATGCCATACAGGAAATAGAACTAAATATGGGACCCACAAAGAACACTGCTGGGACAAATGGCAAGACTTGAACGAGGTCTGAGGATCCGATGGTAGAAATGTATCAGTGTTAGTGTCCTAATGTAGATGTCAGTGTTTAAAGGAAATACACAATGAAGTATTCAAGGACGGCAGGGCACTATTTACTTTCCAATAATTTTGAAATTTAAAAGTTCTTGGTACTATTCTTGCAACTTGTCTATGATATTGAAGTTATTTCAAAACAAAAAATAGACATGATACCAAATCCTCTATGTATGTTACAATTATATCTATTAAGATGAATATAAATAATAGAAATAAAATTATTAAAAGAAACCATTGTGTTAAGGTTTTGCATTTGAGGGGTACTTTTTAAATTAAAAAATTCCTTTAACATCTCATCTCCATAACAACAACTTTTAAGATAATTCTATATATGTTCATATTTAATTAAACAAGACAATGGGTATTATAAAATAAGCCCTCCAGCCAAACAGAAGAGAAACAGCCTATTGAAGCAAACAGTCTCACCCTTTTTATACCTAATCAATAATTAATTCTAAGATGCACATGTTCCCCCATTGCCTAGCCAACTTGTTTTCTCAAACAATATATACAAAGACCTGTGAAAATTAAAACCAGATACCTTGATTTAGATGTGTGGCCTCCACGATCTGAACACCATTCACAGAGCACTGGGACCCACTCAGGGGTATCAGAGTCACTGTCCCCCCGATATTTTCAAAGATGCAATGCTCACTCTCCAAGTCAAGGCCATGAAGAACTAAAGTGGAAAAACAAAGTAGAAAGAATTTTTCCCCCTTTTCTACTGCAATGATTCCCAGCTATTTATCTATAAATTTATTTATTTTCCTTTTGAATACTCTTCCTTTTCCACATAAGTATCATGAAGTGAACATTTATGTTTAGTGAGAAAACCGAACTTCAGGAGCTCATGACGTTCAATGATAGGACTGGAAGATCCTTAGAATGTTCTTCAAGGGATCTGGACATTACCTGTGTAAGAAAATCAGTTCTGGGATGTTAACTCATTTCATCTTTGGGGAGAAAACAGTCGAGTAACTTGTTTTAACTGAATACCATGGAGTTGCCCTGTTTGATACTGAATAAATTTCCTCCATCAGCCACCCAGAGGCCACAGAGAATAAAAGCAAAAGTGCTCCATGGGTCGAGGACTTACTGAGACCTCTGCACTGACAGACACTGCACTCCAGGAGCAGAAACCCAAGGTGAACTTGGCATGACATGAATCTTGAAAAGCCCAAGAGGCCTTCAGAAGCCATACTGAGATGCCTGTTGCCTGAGCCTGTGTCAATTCTGAGACCTCTCAGGGCATGCAGCTGCTAAAGTTTATCTATTCATGTATAACTCTCCTAGATTCTTGTTTGAAGAATGGTCAAACACAGATATGAACACCTGTCAAATAAGCCTACATGATTTTAGGCACAGTTCTTGGCTAGCGTCTTGGGAGTACAAGCCAACTAGTTTCCACTGTCTCTACAAAATTGCACTACTGATCTCTGATCACAGAAAACGTGTGTTCTTACCATCATTTATAGCTACCCCAAAGATCAAACACATAATTTAACAATTAGAAGAAGAGGCCTGATGCCTACTTCTACCCAAACATAGGTGAATCTGGGGACTTCTAGAAAATGGTTTTTATCTCTCTCAGTCTCACAATAAATAGTAAATATTAGGTTGGTGCAAAAGTAACTGTGGTTTTTGCCATTACTGTTGCACCAACCTAATACATGTAGGAACATACTAGGATTGGCTCCATTAATAGCTTACACTTGGCAAGCAGGTTCATTGCCAGCAATTCTAAAAGCAGCTGAGACAATATAATTCTTCCCCTGCCAATCCCTATCTTGCCACACACATATACACACCCACCACCACCACCACCAGTTGCCTAAGTTATGCTCTTAAAGCCTGTAAGGACCTCATCTGTGTAGGCTAAGTCACTGATTATTTGCGTGTCTTGTGAAGACTTTCAGGAAACCTAAAAAGCCATGCTTCCACATGTGTGTATGCTGTGTTTTCTCCTACTTTCTGTTGTCATCTTTGTGAAGACAGTGCCTACAACCCTCTCCTTCAAAAGACCTACATCTTTTATCTGTGTCTGTTGGTATATTTCCATCAATCATTGTTCCATTGTGAGACAATGTAGAGTGATTTAAGTAACTGTGTTCCTCAAAGACCTGACAAGGAATGGAATGTAGGGTGGGAGAAAGGGTTTATTGGCCCACTTTATTCACCAAATTAGTTGTTCTGCATTATTCATTTGAGTTGTATTCTAAATTACAAAAATATATATACACACATATATATACGTACATACTGACCAACACTGTACTTGAAAAATAATTTAATTTTCTATAATTACTTCAATGTCAGTCATTCGAAAAAGTTCTTCCTTGAATACAACCTTAAAAAATCATTGGGAACAGATCACTGATAAATATGCTCACCAATATCTTGCTCCGTGGAAGCATCGTCTCTACCAACGTATGTCTGACCTTCCTGGGAAGAAAACCCAAGCAAAATGTATTAGTAAGAAGAGAAGGAATAGCTTGTTTCTTCATTTTTCATTGAAGCCCAAACAACATAGTGGCCAATGGGATGAACAACATCCTGGCAGGCCACAGCTTCAATGCATCGAGAGCTCCCCAAGGCTCTGTAAAAAAGCCCCAGTTGTCTGGAAAGGTTTAATGTACAGCAATGGTGAGGCCCTGCTTTGACAGCGTTAAATACTTTGCTCATGACAGGAATATCACTGATGTTCCTGATCCTTTCTGGGGAGGTTCTCCAGTGGCCAAGAGATTCTTTGTGTCTAAAGATATAGTTTATGTAAGTCTGCAAAACACAAATGCAGTAGCATTCTCATTGTTAAGTTATGGGTCAGAGAGAGGGCACTAAAGTCAAGGTTACAGGGGCATCCATTAATACTGATGTGGAATTCTGTACTCCCAAGATGAACTGTCTGCTTGGAACCAAGCCCAATAATGCAGGTGAGAAGCACAATTTTATAATTGCCACCAGGGACCAGGAAACTGTACATACAACAAAATCCCCCCAGCTGTTTACAACTTTTCTCCTTCAGTCTGTGTGCCTTTTTGTTCCTTACCTCCCTCTTACTAATCCTACAGAATAGAGGGCAAATCAATGGCTCATCATTTAACTTTAGATAACAAGGGAACTTTAAATACCAAAGAATCCCAATGAGCTTCTGAAAATTCCCAAAGGGCTCAAGGATTTGTTGTATATTCTTTAATTTAATTTAGTTGTGTTCATGACCATAGAATATTATAATAAACCTAGTTAGTGTCTAATGGAGAAACTGGAAACAAAATTAGAATGTTCCACTTAATCAGTTTCTACCTTTAAATGATATAAGATGATTCCAGTACTCAAAAGGTCATCATCGATGCCAATCAAATGAGGCAGTTCAGAATCCAAAACAACTCCAATCCCTTCTTTCCTGAGGGCTAGAGTTTGTTCCTGAAATTAAGAGGAAAAGAAAAAGAAAAGGTTACTTTGGGAAAAGAGAACTTCAAATTAGGTGTTCTTCAGATTGTCAGAATGGGCAATATTTTATTTCTCATCTAAAAAACTGCAAGAAAAATGGACCTTAAACTTCGTGTTGAAATCCTGGCAGGTAATAAGCAAAGTGAACTTGGAACTTATAAAAAGCGAAATATAAAACGAATTAAACTCATTGCCTGATACATAACCTCTTCAAAGCAAATCTTCCTTCAGAAAGGTTCTAGGAACATCCAAACTACAAAGTAAACTTTCTCACTCTTCAGAGCCTTTATGCCATTTAATATCAAGATGTTGCCTTAGTTGATGGCTTTTCTCTCTACTTACCATGGTTGAACTGTGCATGGTCCTGAGAAGAAGCCTTCCTGTGCATTACTTACCTTGCACCAGAGGAACCTGGTCCTCTGCCTCCTGTGCCATCAACTTCTCCTATCCACTGGATCATTCCCTGCTATACATTAATATGAATCTGCTATTCACCTCCCATCCCCAAACCCCACCACGTCTTTTGGCCTTGCCTCTCCTTATAGCTACCACCAATTTCTCTGTGCCTTTTAGAGAAAACTACCTCCAAAAAGTTCCCTATACTTTCAGTTCTTCAATTCCTTCCCTCTTACTCTCTCTTGAACTCCCTCTATGAAGGTTATTGTCTTTGGGACTCTTCTTTACCGACACTGACTCTCCTGATGGTCTCCTTCTGTCTCTTGACTTGACCTGCCATCTAGATGCTGATGACTCTCAAATTGCATCTCCAGGGCAGATGTCTCCCTTAAGTCCCATACTCAAATGTATACCGCATATATGAGTATACTGTGTGTGTGTATGTATATATATATATATATGTACACCAACCCAACTCAGTTTAGCTATGGAGATGTCAAACAGGCAGCACAAATTTAACACATTAAAAAAAACAAAAAACAAAAAACAAAACAAACAAAAAAAACCTTGATTCTCTCTGCCTCCCAAACCTGCAGACTATCCCATCTCAGTAAATACCAACCTTTCCTGTTTGGTCTAAATACCATGCTTACACTTTGCCCCTTTCTTTCTCTAAACTCTACATATGTAGTATTAACTCTACCTTCAAAATATGCCCAGAATCTGGTAACATCAAGCCACCCGCAGCACGTGCCTCTGGCCCAAACCATCATTGTCTTTCACCTGGGTTACTGTGATAATCTGGGCCACCACTCATGTCTCCCGTGATATACACTCAATTCAGCAGCCAGAAGGCCATCAGGGCAGGTCACTCTTCTGCTCAGGTCCTTTAAATAGCCTCCCATTTCAGTGAGACAAAAGCCAAAGTCTTTGTGATGTTCTACCAAATTCTACCTGATCTCATCCCATGCTCACTCACTCTCATCTTCTGCCGCTCTCCCCTTTGCTCACTCCTCTCCAGGGATAGAGGCAACTTGCTGCTCTTCAAACTTGCCAGCCTGCCCCATCTCAGGGATGCACTCACTGCGGTTCCTACTGCTTTTGTGGTTGCTGTTTCCTCTGTCACTGCTATCCTTCTCTTCCCCTACAGTAGGGTTTCTGGACTGCGGCACAGTTGTCACTTCAGACCAGGTAATTCTTTATTCTTATGCACAGTAGGATATTTTGTAGCACCCCTTGCCTCTACCCAATAGATGCTAGCAACACATCTGAGGTTCTGACAACCAAAAATGTCTCCAGACATTTGAGAAACATTGCCCTAGACACATATATAACATGGCCCCTTCCTTCCTTCAGGTCTCTGCTCAAAAGCCACTCTCCCCATCACCCCATACAAAATAGCAACCACCAATGTTCCTCATGGTGATTTCTCTCCTTGGGAATGGCTATTAGTGTGTATATATATATATACATATATATATATACTATCCATTTATATGTATACGTATACACACACACACACACACACACACACGCACAAGTTTATTACCTGTCCTCTGGCTAGAATGTAACCCAGCACCTAATTTCATGTCCCACTCATCAATTAATATTTGCCAGAGGAATGAATGAGTGAGTAGACACACAGAGTTCAGTGGAATGCAGAGGGAAGGTCAGAGACAACCCTCCGGAAGAGAATGGTAGGCCTTATCTTGACATCAGGCCCATCTGACCCCAGACAAAAGACCTCTAAAGTCAAGCTTCTGGGGAAGTCTGAAGTAGAAAGCAGACAAATTCCAGAAGGTTGAAGGTAAAAATTGCAGTCTTGAGGTTGGGCTGAACCAGGTTCAGACTAAATCATGTACAAGAGCATGACATTGTGCTCCATGACTGTACGAGCAACAGAAAACCCAGTTCCAACCACTAACTGGGGATCCTGGTCAGAGATGCTCCTGGAGAATCTCCTTCCCTCCCTGACTCCTATAGTCAAGACGCAGTGACCAAGACACACCTCTGTAACTCCAACACCCAACACAGCCCTAAACATAAATACGATTCCTTACAATCCTGGAACCAATAAATGTACTCTGTGTCATTTAAGTATTAAAACAACCTACGAAGTCTACCATTCGCTAGGTGATGGATTCAGAACTTCTCAAGCTAGTGTAAGACCATTAAAGCAAAACTCAAACCCTGTAGACAAGGGAACTCCTGGGAGGTTTCTGGGGCAGGGAGGTGGAGAGAGAGAAGTCCCTCAGGCCTCTGCAGATATTTACATTTCAAATGCACACTGAAGACCTGAAGTCATGCGAGAGGGCGGTGAAATGAAGTAACAACAACAACAAAAAAAGGATGGCTTAAAAAAATAAAAATAAAAATCACAATGTGAAAGAAAGCAATTTAATTTAACAACCATTAAATAGATACGCAGAGAAAATGACCAATGCATAACTTAGTTTCAAGAAAAGGAAATGAAGCGTGTCATTGTTCTTCAATTACCACTCTTATCAGCCAACCTCCCATTCCATGGCTCAGAACCTCAGGCTTTGAGGTCGGAGACTTCAGTAACATTGATTTACTATAGCAAGGAATATGCAAATCTCAGCTAAACTGAGCACTCTCCATAAGCTAACCCCTACTCCTACCTCTCGGATATTAGCAGAATTCATGTTTTTTCCTCCTGACCATGAAATTAAAGCAGAAATGGGATGTGATTTTTTTAAAGACATATATTACAGGGGAGAATTTAATCACACAGCTCTATTTCATAAAATGATGTCCTCATGGGAAGGTTTGGTAGCTCTGAACTGTGACCAAACTGCACACACAGTCAGTAGCCCCATGGCAATGAATTATTACAGGCCTCTAGGTCCACATGAAAAGGAAAGTGACCATTCTCGTAAGTCCACAGGCATGTGTATTTTCTTTCTGTACAGAAGTAGACAATAACCCCCCACCCCCAAAAATGCAATATTTTAAACTTTAATAGCTCCCACTCAAACTACAGAAAGTGCTTTGGACTACATCCCAGTTTCGTTTACTATTCTTTCTTTTTTTAACCATTGAGAAACACTTTTGTTTTTCCTTGAAATAAGATTTTGAAAGGCATTGGAAATTCATAGTTTCAAAGCCATTAGGTCAAAAGTCTTACTTGTTCCCACCCATCCCCAGCATGTAGACACACACACACACACACAGAGACACACACACTCACACACACACACACTCACATACACTTCCATATATATAATGGGTAAAATCTGAATTAAGAGAAAGTTTTCCAGGATTGCAAGTGGGGAAGGATGAATTTATGATTAATGCTGCCCTAAAGCTCTATGACATTCAAGCTGCATTCAACTACATGATATTATAAAAGTGTCACCTCATAAAACTGGAAACGAGGGTTTAAATCATTGCTCAAGCGAAAAAGTAATTTCAGACAAAAATATCTATCACGTATAAAATATTTATTGAGTGGCATCTACTGTTATACATAATTTATGAAATACCTCTTGGATAAGATGGAATACTTAACATAGTAGAGTGGGCCACCCTCCCCCAACTCCAGACACAGGGTCCCAAAGAAATCAATGTAAAATATGTATACTTGCATATATTTTACATTGAAACAAAGATTTTGGCAACCATGCTTATTTGGATTAAAAAAAAACCCCACAAACTGACTAAAATTGTCAAAACGTAGCATCAGTTTATTTTAAGCATCCTGTTCACAACATTTACAAATGATATGCTCCATATGTTTTTCTTCAACCTCCAGGCATCTATTCAGGTGAAATCCATCTGAATTTAAAACACATGCCCTTTGCTGGGACTCTCACAGACTCACTTCTGCCCCTTCCGGTGGCTCTGGTGATTGCAGGCAGGGCTGCCCAGATCTCGTGGGAAGAAGACCACAGGAGGACTCGGCTCAATGCGCAAGGCCCGTGTAACCACCGTAATGGTTTATGAGAGTAAGCAGGGAGTCTAGCTCTTTTAATCACAACCACATCCTTAGTGCCCAGCACTCTGCCTTACAAAAGTCAACAACTTTCTTGAATAGATAACCGAAAATGATACAAAAACTTACCAACAACAAAAATCTATTTTTTCCCCCTCTTAGAAAGTCTACCTGGGATCTAGATTGTACTTGGAAAAAACTGGGAAAAGTTTGACAGTGTGTCTGCCCCACGTAAATTAAGATCTCTTTAGGAATAAGAATTGCGTGTCTTCACAGAGTATGTTAGGTGAATATAGCTGCACCAGGCACACAGTAGTCACTCAGTAAGTGCTGATTATTTGGTTCTATAGGGAGTGATTTCTAAGTGGCACTTTTTTTTTCTGAACAGACAAGAATGAAATGTCAGGATCTTTTTGTGAAAATTTATGTTACAGAGAATTATATATTTCACTAGCGAGTAGAATTTTGTAGAGTTGACTCACATCATAAAGTGCACATAATTTCTGCAACCCTGACTACAAACACAGCAGATGTCTGGGGGCTGGGGGTTGGGGACAATCAGGGCTTAGAGCACATGCCCAGTGTGGCTGTGAGGATGGGGGAGGAAGTCAGATAGCCAGAAAGACGTTGAAAAAAAATAAAATTATCCTCTAGTAAAACTACTTTTTAACTTAAAAAAGTTGTATGTGATTTTATTTAAATTTAACAGAATGAAACTATTTCAACCATGTTTCTTTATTATTAATATAAGAGGTATTTCCTAAAATATCCTTGTAAGTCAAGAGGTTATGAAACATAATCACAGTGCATATACATTTTTCATAAGTGTTTCAGTTTTAAGCACCATTACCTGAATCTGTACCGGTTTGAGAACGTTGCTTCTTGCCTTGGCATCTGAATGACATCATAGCTGTGTCGATTTTGGGCCACATGGTGCATGTTGGGCAGTATGGTACTTACTTTCCTCAGAAGGTTAAAGACATGGCTCCACTCTTTTCAAAGCTGAATGCTACTCTAAGAAAATTAAGCTAGTCTGACTTTTAGTCCACAGCAGATAATTTGGTTTTATGTCTGGATGTTTAAAGAGTTTCTTCTTTATCTTGAAATTCAATGGCTTAATTAGGATAGATCTCAGTGTTGAACATCCTCTACTCTATATTTTCCTGGAACACAATACATTCTTCTGATCTGCAGACTCAGTTCTTTCATCTACTTATTTTTCATTTCACAAAGCTTGTCTTGTTTTATTTTCCATTTTCTATTTCATTTGTTGACCGTCTACTTCAAGAACACCAATTGTCCTTATATTACACTGGTCTTTGTCTTCTATTTCTTTCAGTTTCTGATTGCTTTACTATCTTGATCATTCCATTTGTGTTCAATGGGCCTAACAAGCCTTTATTCTCTTAGTAATTTGATTTTCAGTGGGGTCTATTCTTTTCCTTGATATTTTCTAAAATTATGTATTAGTCCTGCAATGATGTTGTTTTGGGCCTCAAAGGCTTTCTTTATTCTACAATCTTTCTTTTTTCATCTCACTTTGCTTTTTATTACCATCTTGCTTTGTTTATTGAATTCATGTTTCTCATTCATTTGTTCTACCGAATGAAACAATTGTAAGGAATTCCCTTCTCTCCCATGAAGTGTGATTTCATCTATATTGGGATCTTTTATCTTTTGCGTGCTATATTCCTCTTCTTTCTTGTTCTCTACCAGCCCATCTGCCCATCTATGCAGCCACCCATAGCTATAGTTATGTTTATATAATTGTTCTACATTTTTTTCATCTCGTATATGCTTAGGCGTATCTGTGCAAATATTCCATGTGCCCTAACATAGGATGGGAAACTCCTTGATGCTTGCCTGGCCATATCTGTGACGTTTCTAGTTGACTGAGTAGTCTGCAGTCCACCCACTTTTCTCTAGCCAGATGGAATGACAGAGGGCTAGGAGGTCTCACCTGAGGCACCACAGGCTTTGTTTGAGGCCCAGCCCTCTCTTCCTGGGCTCCCTAATGATTGGGAAGGGGTCCTCTTCCCAGGGGGAGGGAAGGGGCAGGATGCCCTCGAGCTTCTTAATGTTTCCCCAGGCCTTCACTTACAAGAGAGAGTCAGCTCAGCTCTCACTTCATTCCAGTTACCACCACTGGCCATCACTACTACTCTTCAGTAACAATAGGAAAATCAATTCTGTTCCTCCAATTTGAAGGTACAGTGGGGGGTATTCTGGAATCATCACTGATTCAGCTTCTCAGGTGCAGGTTTAGGAATATCCCCTTCACAATCTTTCCTTTTCCCCAGCAGCCACTCATGATCTTTTCTCACATGCTTCTCTTAGTGACTTACAGCAGTATTGCTGCTGCAGGCTTGTATGTTTGCTATGCTTTCTATTATTTCTTCATTTATTTGAAATCTGTGATGGAATCACCAACTGGTTTTTTAACATTGAAGACAAGAATAGCATTAAAAGGCTACAAAAAGGAAGGATGAAAACAGCGGTACTCCAGGTTTTAGGGGATTTCTTGAGCAAAGATACAAAGGCTAAAAACATGGGCAAACAGTCATCCCTTGATATCCATGGAGGACTGGTTCCCGGACTCCTGAGGATACCAAATCCAAGAATGCTCAAGTCTCTCACGTAAAATGGCGTAGTACTTGCATATAACCTATGCATATGCTTCTGCATACTTTAAATCATCTTTAGATTACTTATCATACCAAATACAATGTAAGTGTGATGTAAATAGTTATTATACTGTATTGTTCAGGGAATAATGACAAGAAAAAAGTCTGCACATGTTCAGTACAGGCAGAACCATCATAGGTCTAACATATCATACATATCAGCAATAGTACAGCATTTTCTCAATTTTTTTCTAATATTTTCAATCTATGGTTGGTAAAATCCATGGATGCAGAACCTGCACATATGGAGGACCAACTGCATACACAAGGAACCACTGGACATCCAGTTTAGCTGGTAAACCTGGAAAAATGGTCTGGCAAGCGAAGCAGATGGGTCACTATTTGATTCAGAGACTGGGAAGGCATTGACAATTTTGAAAACAGAAATTGGTTGCTACTTCATCAGATGAATCTGGCAGGATGTATAGGGTGAATAAGAACAGAGTAAAAAGGGGGATGGGATTAGAATGGAAGTGACACCCCTTGAGAGTCACGGGACAGGTATGTGGATTCTATGTGACTAACAGTTTCGGTTGATGGACATTAAGTAAAGACATTCTCCTCAAGTGTTTTACTCCTCTTAATGAGAAATACGGAAATTGGAGAACTGCAAGAAAATCTGATAGATGCCAAAAGATTTTTATTGCTAGGCAAAAAATATACTTATGTTTCCTTGTAATACTTTCCAGGGAACTCAGTAAGGAGGTATTATTCATGTGTGAAGAATCACTCATGAATTTGACGAGCAAGTGGTGTCTAGTAACTTACATGTTTTTAATAATGTACAAATGCTAAAAGTCGTTATCAGCTGGGCGTGGTGGCTCATGCCTGTAATCCCAGTACTTTGGGAGGCTGAGATGGGCGGATCACTTGAGGTCAGGAGTTCAAGGCTAGCCTGGAAAACAGGGTGAAACCCCATCTCTACTAAAAATAAAAAAAAATAATAAAAAAAAAAAAACAGGTGTGGTGGCGTGCACCTGTAGTCCTAGCTACTTGAGAGGCTGAGGCAGGAGAATCGCTTGAACCTGGGAGGAGGACGTTGCAGTGAGCCAAGATTGTGCCACTGCATTCCAGCCTGGGTGACAAAGCAAGACTCCGTCTCAAAAAAAAAGAAAAAGTCATTATCAACAAAAACCAATTAGCTCTGAAACCCTGAAAGTAAGCAACAAGCTGGCGTTCATCCAGAAGCTACTGTTTCTCATACAGTAGGCCCCCCTGTATCTGAAGTTTTGCTTTCCCCGGTTTCAGTTACCCAATGTCAACTGTGGTCCAAAAATAGGTGACTACAGTGCAGTAAGCTATTTTGAGAGAGACTATTAATACAACTTTTATTACAGTATAATGTTATCATTGCTCTATTATTAGTTATTGTTCATCTCTTACTGTGTCTAATTTATAAATTAAAATTTAGCATAGGTATATACATATAGGGAAAAACAGTGTATATAGGGTTCATATTGTTTGCAATTTCAGGCAACCACTGGAGGGCTTAGAGTATCTCCTCTGCAGACAAGCGGGGGCCTATTGTATTCTATTTTCCACATAGGAAGAATCATGTCCATCTAACAAAGGAGAAACAGTCACCAAGATTACTAGGAAGTCAGTGAAGCTCTGTCAACTGCCTCAACCACCATCCTGCCTTTCTCCTCCTTTGGTCCATAAAACCCAAGCAAGCTATGATGAAAAGATGTTAAGAATCTCCTTCATTCTCCTCCAGGAAATGACTTTTTTATTTTTGCTCTGTTCCCAGAGAGTGACGACGTGAATAAAAACAATACTGGTAGGCCAGTAACATGTTCTACATCCCTGCAAAGTTGATTAGTAATATGTAATCCTTCAGGTAAGGGCTCTATTAATTATGTTCTATGAATCACAATCAGATTTAAAAACAAACAAAAATAAAACAAAACAAAAACAAAAAAGAGAAGGGAAGGAGCGGTCTGTGAACGTTAACAAATGGAAATCCACTGGGGATCAGCCTCTGTCAGAACTAAGCTCCAGGAAGGAGGAGGTTCAGGTGGGAAGGCAGAGTTCACAATCCACAGCTTGGGAAAAAGAATCAAGTGGGTCAGCCTAGAAATCACCTTTGAATCCTCTCTGTGCTTCAGACTTCACAGAGCTCTACCCGCATGATATGGTCAGAATCATCCACAACTTTCCATCTCCACTGCTACTGCCCTGGTCCCAGTAACCTTCACAGCCTGCCTGAATCTCTGATATCCCCCAATCGGTCTTTTTGCTTCTCTTGCCACCCTACCATCTACTCTCCATATGGCAGCCAGAGCCACCTTTTCAAAATATCAAGAGACCATGCATAAAACACTACAATGGTTTCCCACACGTTTGGAATAAAATGGTCACCATATCTCACTTAATCTTGCCCCTGCCCACCTCTCCAACCTCATCTCCCCTTCACTTTCTACCTGACAATCACAGCGGCCTCCTCATTCCCACTGCAGGGCTTCTCCGTGTGCTGTTTAGTCTGCCTGGAAAATTCTCCCCTAAATCTCCATAGCTTGCCCTTTCTTGTCAGTCTGTTCTATTCGGGACCAAAGACACCAATGAGTGAGATTGTATTAGTCCATTTTTGCACTGCTGACAAAGACATGCCCAAGACTGGGAAGAAAGAGGTTTGAATGGACTTATGGTTCCACGTGGCTGGGGAGCCGTCACAATCATGGAGGAAGGCAAGGAGGAGCAAGTCACATCTTACATGGATGGCAGCAGACAAAGGGAGAGCTTGTGCAGGGAAACTCCACCTCACAATACCATCAGATCTCTTGAGACTTATTCGCTATCATGAGAACAGCACAGGAAAGACCTGCCCCCGTGATTCAATTACCTCCCACCAAGTCCCTCCCACAACATGTGGGAATTCAAGATGAGATTTGGGTGGAGACACAGTCAAACCACATCAGAGATGAACAAGGTCCCTGCTCAGACAAAGCTTATTTCCTATGCAAGTAACTCCACCCCTACTCCCAGACACACTCTATCACTCCACCTGGCTTACTGTCTTTACAGCACTTAAAGTGATCAAAATTTCTCATACATTAGTTTATTTGCTGTCTGTCCCTGCAGAAAGCAAAGAATAGGTCCAAGCCAAGATGTCAATCCCAGAGAAGGAGAGGTCAGGATGGGGTCAGTGAGAGCCAAACTATTAAAAACAATACCCAAGGCCAAGACCGTCTCTTATCAGTCCCGTTTTTAATGCTCCTTGCCAGTCAAAAGCAGCCCTTAAAACTCAAAACAATAGTTAATATGGCCAGAATAAGCCAGAAGTGAATACAGGAATTTTAATATTTAGTTCTAATAAACTATCATCATAAATAATTTAATAACTGTCCCCAAAATCTGTATCTAGCATCACATCAGACAGGCACCTATGATGTCACTGAAAATGAACTAAAAATATAAAAGCCTTGCTTTTTCCATGACTTTAAAACAATCCATATTACAATACCTATGGTTAAAACACACAAGCGCGCGCACACACACACACACACACACACACACACACACACACACACACACACACACAGGTACACATTTAGAACCAATGAGGAAGAGCCACAGGACTCACCAGGGCAGAATTAGGAGAAGAAGGGTCTGGCTACCACCACACCATGGCACCAACAAACCTAAATGTCCTGACATTACTGGCAGTCAGCCCCTAAACAGTAAATACAATTAATACTGCCCTTTTAATGAACAGAAACTCTTGGGGCAGTTCAATTTCCACTACACTTCCCATTGCAGAAACATCGATCTTTATTTAAATGCCAAACAGCTAAGTGTTGGCACACAGTTCAGAGAAGATGCTGTGTGGATCTTTTGGATGAAACAGTCCTCTCCGCTGGCTGAGCAAATCATCGAGATGTCAGGATTTAAATTATGCAAAATGCATAATACCAATTAAAGAAATTACGTGTGAAAATATGCAAGAGCAAATTTCCTCACATTAATATTTAACTAGACTTTTTAAGTAGAGCAGCATCTTCTGATCACAAGTACTTTAGTATATTTCACCTACATGGAAGACCAAAATATTCAGGATGGTTCATCAGAAGATTCTAAAAGGGCATTTTCTGTATAATACAAACATTAACACGAGGTAAAACAGCTAACGGAAAGGATTACTTTAAGTGGGATGTTGTGGCCCAGAAAGCATCAGTCTGACATTGGCCTTACACTTTGGTCTTGTAAAGCTGGCCCGTTCTTGTTTCTCACCCACGGAAATACGTCATGCTCATCTTCACCCTCCGGCCTGTGCTCTAGTAATAATGTCCTACTAGGACAACCCTCTGATTCCCAGTTACAAATGTTTCCCCTTCCCCAGGAGTCAGTTAGAGCCTACTCAGGACTACTGTGGCCCCTTCCTCTGCACTGACCAGTTATCAGGCCTAATCGCATGGATCTCCGTCAAACACAGATCAGTGACTTTACATTCATGCACTGCTTGTTTCTCCCGCTAGACCAAGAAGCTTTCAAAAAATTGGTATTTTTTGAAATGTCAAAATATCAAAAAAATATCAGGCTTGTGCCCACACCAGATCCTCTGAATGAGCATCTCAGGAGCAGGATCCAGGCATTTTTTTAAGCTCTCAGGAATTTTACATCCAGGGTTGGGCTATGATTTTCTGTATCCTCCAAATGACACCTCTATCCTGCTGGGTGCACTTTGAGAATGCTCAAAAGGGCAAGTACTGTG
This sequence comes from Homo sapiens, assembly GCF_000001405.40. Lineage (NCBI taxonomy): Eukaryota > Metazoa > Chordata > Mammalia > Primates > Hominidae > Homo > Homo sapiens. The sequence continues at coordinate 16,441,756 of NC_000020.11, forward strand.
ACCTAACTCCTTCATTTGCCAGCTACCTTCTTCTGTGATTCATTCAACCAACACCTAACGACCATCTGCTACTTGTCAGGTGCTAGTCTACATTAGGGATATATCAGTGAGTAAAGCAGGCACCCTCTTATATTTTATCTATATCTGTCTCTGTCTTTAGATCTAAGTCTATATCTGTATTATATGGAAAGATCTATCTATATTACATTAAAAAATCTACAGATATACAGTCCTGCATCACTTAACAACGGGGATGCATTCTGAGAAATACATCACTGGGTAATTTCATCACTGTGCCAACATCTAAAGTGAACTCAGACAAATTGACATGTGGTTACCAGAAGCTGGAGTGGTTGTAGGAGAGGGTTGGGGAAATGTTGGTGAAAGAATGCATATTTACAGTGATACAGAAGGAACAAGTTCAAGGGATCTACTGTACAGCATGGTGACTATACTTAATGATGATATATTGTATTCTTGAAAAATGCTGAGAGAGTGGATGCTAGGTGTTCTCACCACAAAATGATAACCATGTGAGATAATGCATTTGTTAATTGGCTAGATTTAACCATTTCACAATGTGTGTGTGTGTGTATATATATATATATATATAAAATAGGTGCCTATCTAATGCGATGCTCAGTGTATATATATACATACATATTATATATATATACATGATGAATATATACAATTTTCCACATCAATTTTAAAAATAAATAAATTTGATAAATCACACCTTGAAAAAAAATTCTATGACGGAACTTGTAATGGTGTCTTGGCATGATTCTGTGATGATAAATATATCTGGATTCCTAGCTTTTTTAATTACACAGAAAATAAAATATTAAAGCCAAAATCCTCTGGTTTATCTCTTTTGCAAGCTACTCTGCACCATTCTTTCACATAAAATTGGAGTAGGGTGGGAGGAGAACCACCAGCAGCGGCAAAATGAGGTCTTCTCTAACAGGTGAGATGTTAGAGGTTAATCCCTAAGCTTGGTGCACAGCCTTTGTTTATTTCTTAGCCAGTTGAGGAGCCAGTATCATTATCAGAAGGGAATTTAGGAAAAAGCAAGAAGGTGATGAAGAATGAGAGGGAGGAAGAAAAGAAGGAAAAGGAACAAACTTCCAGCTTCTCACAATTCCCTTCTGAAAGACGTACACTGCCCATGGCAAGGCACGCTGGTGAGTAGGTAAAGACCATCCCCTAATGAGTAGGCTCCTTGCTTCTCCTAGGATATGGGTTAAGTAACCCCAATCTGAAAATCCAAAATCCAAAATGCTACAACATCCCAAATGTTTTGAGTGCCAATGTGATGATCAATGGAAATGTTCACTAGAGCATGTTGGATTTCAGATTTCCAGATTAGAGATGCTCAACCAGAAATAAAACCTGCTTTTTATGGAGAAGAGAGAATATAACCCCCTTCCACCTTGTATTAATCAAATATTCACTCCAATCACTAAACCCAAATTTGTCTAATAAATCAAACTGTTCAAACTACTGCTTATGCCATGAGTAATGACAATATGTCAAAGAAAACACTGGTACAGAAGGGAGTTTCTTCCCTGGCTGTGCAGTAAACTTGGTGAAAAGGAGGGAAACCACAACCCAGACACAGGACAGGTGACTGAATAAATTGTCCTCTATGAACCCAAAGAGTTAATATTTTGTAAAACCATCTGCCACTCAAGTCCTGTCTCATCCCGTCCCTTTGAGAGTTCACACCATTTATATCGTAACAGAACACTTTACATGAACGCCAGCTCCAAAGGGGTCCCCAAACCTCTAATCAATTTGGCCTGGATATAAATGTGTATCTTGGTTGTATAAATACTACTATGGGCAACAATACTTTACACAAGTATTCCTGTAATTGATACACTGCACTTTGACATTATTAACATATCTTTAGCTAGATAAATTACCCAGTAAATCAAAAGGGCTCATTCACTCAGATTATGCAGGAGAGGACTGCTCCAAAGCCCAAATATAATTTTGAATGTTGACTGCATATGGCCCCAATAGTTTATTAAAATAAGGAATATAATCCATTTTATAAAGAGAAATTACATTAGAAAGACTTTTATAAGTAAAGCATATGTGGCTAAGGTTATAGAACTTGTCAAGGAAATGTGAAGTTCAAGATACAAAATAAATTGTGTTTGCTGATCTGGTCCATTAATAGAAAAGCAGTAAACCAAATACAATGTAACGTACACATGCAACACTTTCCAATCACACACATCAATTAGGTTTGCTAATATGTGCAGTGCAAGCCAGCTATCTAAACATCTAACTTCTCACAACTACAGTCAGGAGTCAAAAGGAAACAAACTCTTTCCTAAGCCATTACAAACTTCAACTATAAAATCTCACATCTTTCATTAGTTAAAAAACTATTTACATGTTGTAAACTGGATACAATCACTTTGGAAAACTATTTGGCAGTGTCTTCTACAGTGAAATAATATCCACATCACATGACCCAGCAGTTCCACCCCTAGGCCCTATGGTAGAAGTCAGCCAACTATGGCTGAAGGCCAAATAAGGCTGTCTGCCTGTTTTTGTATGGCTGGAATGCTAAGAGTGATTTTTATATTTTCAGATGGTCCAAAAAAAAAAATCAAAAGAAGAATATTACTTCATGATGTGTAAAGTGTATAAAATTCCAATTTCAATGCCCATAAAGCTTTATTGGAATACATGTTCCATGTTCATTCATTTACAAATTGCCTGCTGCTTTTTGCTATCATGGTGTAGTACCGTGGAGTACTTGCGACACAGGTGGCGCGGGCCAAGAAGAAGGAACTGATTACTACCTAGCCTTTCGGAGCAGCAGTTTGCTGACCTCTGCATTATGCATACATGTTCACTGAAAGACATGCTAAAAAATGTTCATAGTTTTACACAGTTACATAAAATTCCATTTTTTTGTATCTACTTTAATGTATGTAACCTGTCCACTGTTCGTGGGCATTTAAATTGCTCTCAGAACCTTTGCATTCATTAGTTATTGCCAACAATGCTGAGATGAAAAACGCTGCACATACCTTGAACCTTTCAGTGCTAGCTGAGAGAAAGCACAGACATTCATGATTGATTCTCATTTACATGTCAGAAACAACAAAAAAACCTTCCTTGAAGCTTCTATTCTAAATAAACTAAGTTCTTTACTGAACTCAACTGAGGGCAAAAGCCTCCTCTGTTTCCAGCGTCTCAGCATAGTGTTAGTTATCACACATGCATTTACTATAGATTGTGAACGGAAAAAGGGAAATACGAATATATTAGCAGGCCAGGCATGGTGGCATGCACCTATAGTCCTAGCTACTCAGCAGGCTGTGGCAGGAAGATCATCAGCCTAAGAGTTCCAGGCTGCAGTGAGCTATGATTGCACCACTGCACACCAGCCTGGGTGACAGCGAGACTCTGTCTCTAAAGGAAAGAAGGAAAAGAAAAAAAAAGAATACATGAGCACATATATTTATTTGTTTTTATTGCCATTTTTCCCCAAAGAAATCTATAATAAATGCACACATGATAACTAACATTCTGTACTCCTGGACCCTGGGAGCAGGAAATCTTTGGCCTCAGAAATATATATACATCTATATTTATTCATTCTTATTTATTCATTTGTATTCAGACATGTATATACGTGTGTGTGTGTGTGTGTGTGTGTGTTTTAATCTAAAGTCATTCTAAGCAGGGACTTTATGAAACTAATTTTATTTTTAAGTGAGCAATTTGAGTAACAAAAAAAAAAAAATCACAAATGGCCTAGAATTCTAAGTGCTCTCAAATGGCATAATCAGGAGCAGCCTTGATGACCTTTTTCTGAAAATGTGGACTTAAATGTCCGAATCAGGTTTTTGTCCAGGTCAGCACTTTTAGCAGGGAAAGGCATGTCAGGGCCATTTTTACAGAACCAACGAGGTGCTTACACGGTGACACTAAGTCCAGAGCAGTGTGACTCAGGACAGTGTGCAAAGTGCTTGCTGCCATTCCAGAGTAAGTGCCAAAATTAAAGGCAACCATTGAGAAACTTCAGTGCAATTTGACAGAGTAATTTTATAAACATTGCATCTAATAAAATACTGGGGCTTCCATTTTTTGTGTCTCTCTTTTTTTCTACTTTATTATGTTAGTAGTTCCTTTTTATTGTGCTTTACAGAAAAGTTAGTGTGTGATGGATTAAAATATGAAAAAATAAAACCCTGTATTTGGTCATAGACAGTGTAGACAACCTCCTCTTCCTGTTGAATTCCTCCAGAATGGACAGCCTATGAGAGTGCAGAAGCCTGCTGTTGCTGCCTTTATTTCTTCAATGTCCCATAAAAAGTGTAAGAGCCAGAAAAAAGGAAGTTGTCACCTTTAATAAAAACAAAATTTACCCTTGTGTACCACTTAAACCATGAGAAAACAATCAAGAAAGCTAAAAGTTCACTTCATTGCTAAAAGGTGAATTCAAAAGTTTAGAATAAACTATAAAGGCAGTTCCACTGTGGTCTTAATGAGAACAATGCCAAGCATTAGCTTATTCCAACTTTGGCAGACCTGTGGTCATTATCAAAACACCAGATCGGGGTTAGTTTTTACTTTAATTAATCTAATGAACCGGCTGTCTGGCTTCAGTAGACATTTTTTAAATGTCACTGCGTACCTTGAGGCTGCAGCTGAACTGGTGGCATGTTCCCCTGCACCATCTTGATTCCATTAACTCTTGCCTACAGTGACATTTTAAGTCTGCATCCTTACATGCCTTGATAATGTAGTAAATTTGTGCTTTATTAACCCAATTAAAATACAGAAATGTTAGGTAACGGAAATCAACAAAATTAAAACAATTCCTTAAAACAGACTAGATCTTTAATTCAAAAATATATATATGAAACTACAGCTTCCAGACTTTGGTAACCTAAAAAGTCCCTGGATTCTAATGTTAAATTCTAAACAGGGAAAATGCTGATCTAATCATAAGAGAATATACTATTTAAATCCTAGGTATTGTGTTAATTTAGGCTTAAACATCAGTAGGCACGCTAGGTCGAATTGTGAATTTCTGAAGACTTTGCAGAGTAAACAATAAATGCTCCTACACAAAACTTGCAGGCAAATTTGAAAAAATACTTGGACTCACAATAATCTATCCTGCACTAGAATAAATTCACCCATATTCACCAACTCTACTCCCACATTTTCAGAACAAGGACCCTGTCTTTTCTAACTTTTTCTTCCCAGTGCTGAGCACAGGGCAGGCACTCAAATATAAAATGACTGCTCCCTTGGAAACTAAGTGAGCATTTTGTAAATTGTTTAAATGACAGGCCACACTTGCAAATAGGAAATGAGAAAAGAGTTTAATACATCTCTTCAGGGGCTTATCTGATTCACCTTAGATGTGGGCCACGTAGAACATCTGCACTTTAAGTTCCTCTTGTTCTAAAAAGATCTACTATGGCCTAAAAACTCTACTCTTAAGTTAGCCAAGGAACTAGACAATTGCAGCTAAGTAATAAATCAGACTCATTCTGATGTTAAAAAAAAAAAAGTTCCTTTTTTTTAATCACTTTCTTGAACTAAGATCACAGATCTGCCACCTGCCTTCAACTCTGCAGATCGTGGGGCGTGGGGTAAAGGGGTCCTAGAGGATGACCTGCAACGTCACTAGGAAAAGAAAAGGTGTGACAGAAACTTATACTGGAAAAGTCCAATAAAAATGCCTATTGCGGCTGGGTGCAGTGGCTCACACCTGTAATCCCAACATTTTGGAGGCCTGAGGCAGGAGGATAATTTGAGGCCAGGAATTTGAGAGCAGCCTGAGCAACAAAGTAAGATCCTGTCTCTATTAAAAAAAAATTAATTGAAAAAAAATGTCTACCCCAAGCTCTAATAAAAACTCTGGCTTAAGATGGCAACTGCTAAAGCCATAAGCAGCTGTTTCATCCTCATCTATTTCTGTTTTAGATGAAATGTAAACTAAATTCAATATTTCTAACAAACTAGAAATATTGGTTATATGGGCCATACCCTGAGGAGTTTTATCGATAAAACCATTGACAAGCCAGGCATGGTGGTAGGCACCTGTTGTCACAGCTACTCAGGAGGCTGAGGTGAGAGGATCACTTGGGCCCAGAAGCTTGAGTCTAGCCTGGGCAACACAGCAAACATAACAAGACTCTGTCTCTTTAATAACAAAACAAAACATGGACAGGTGTGTGAAGTAAAACACAAAACCAGCAAGCTTAAGACAGGAAGATTTCTATCTGTGCTTCTTCCTACCTCCACTGCCAATTGTTGGCAGAAATTCTTTTCTGAAGTATCCTGGGCTAGGTCATCATCCCAACCCAACCATCCCCATTGATATTGCTCTTTCTCCACCAGTTCTCACTCAGTCATCATCACAGCCATCTCCACAGGGTGGAGGAACAGGCCATTGCACACTGTGTCTTGGCACATGGTGGAGGTAACGGGAAGGGGCGGAAAGAAAGCTGTGCACAGTGTCCTACAAAGAAGAGAGTTTTTCATGCTGTGTTTATGCTAAGATAAAAAATGCAGATGCTTCCACGTATTATGGATAAATCCTCCTTTAAATAATCCCATAAGATATTATGGGAATAAGCCTTTCCTTATGAGAAAGACAAGCCAAACTAGACAAATGAAGAATCTGGCAAAGTGTAGACCACCTAGCCCAGTCCTTCAGCTCATGACCTCACACAGATTTCTAACAGTAAGAAGGTAGGCAGTGTCAGAGAACAAAGAAAATCCTCCTGGGCCTGGACAGGCCACTCCTCAGCCAGGCAAAAGCAAAAGCAAACAACCATCAAAAGCAAAACAAACAACAAGCAACAATAATAATACCAACAAACATCAACCAACATCAATGACCATAAACAGCAAGCAACAACCACTGGCAAACAATTTAAGTAAGCAACAATAGCCCACGACAAGAGCCAACAACAACAGAGCTCTCCTAGCAAAAAGATTTTCGAAAGCAAAATAAAGGGAACAGCATATTCAAGATAGCAGAAATGAAGTGTTTTGCTCTATTCTGCTTACAATAAGAAGCTAGTCCAAGAAAACATGACCTTAAGAAAAACAGATAGAAATATGACAGAGAGAGAGAGAGAGAGAGAGAGAGGGAGGAAACAATTGACATGTGAGTGGAAACTCAGAATTAGATTCTATATTAGAAGGAGAAAGAATACAATCTACACTTCAAATAATCAAATGGGTAAAATCAGAAAGCAAACATGAAATGCAGTCATAGAATGAAAGTGTCAAGAATAAATAGATGAAAATAATGTAGGAGAAGATAACAGACACAGAGAAAGAAAAAATGGAAATTGTCAATGAAACGTAATGGGAACTGCAGAGGAAAGCGAAAGAATAAATGAGGGACAAGCTACACTGAAAGAGTCAATGGAAATGAGCTGAAAAGAGGCCAGCACCTGACCAAAAAAGGGGGTCTCTGAATAGGAAGGCAAAAGGACGGAAAGACCTGCTGAAAATTTTAAATTTTAAAAATAAAATTGTAAATCCTATAGTATCAACACAAAAACAGAGAATGTTTACAAAAGAAAAAAAATGTTACGCCAATGAAAGAATGTCCCTTGGCAATACTGAGCTCCAGAACATAAGAAAGTGACTTTCACAGCAGTTTGAGGGGAAAAGATCAAGAGCAAAATAGTTCTTCACTCACATAGTTCTTCATGTGCAAAAGTAGCAAAATCACCAAAAGAAGGTCCACAAACTTGCTCTGAAAACAATGACTCTGAGATGATAAATAACAGACAACCTAAACAAAGAACCAAAGAATAGAGGTGGGAGATGGTCTAAACCGAGTGGAAGCAAGCATTAAAACCAGTTCAAAATAAAGGCTGATCTCAATAGTTGTTGGAAATAAGGTTATAAAACTGAATGCAATGTCAAAATAGGTAAATTAAATACAATTATGAATAACAGGATATAGAACCCCTTATCAAATAAACAACAGTTAAATGGATGGAAGGTGGGTGAGAAAATTACTGGAAAAATAGTTGCTAAGACAGAGCCACCTTGACATGACTTGCTTCAACAAACATTCACTGAGCACCTCATGACACATGGGTGCACCAGGGCACATGAAAGTGAACCAGAAATATAGTTTTTAATGAGGATAACTATAAGAATGAACAGCAGAAATACTAGAAGAAAATCGAAAGAATTAAGAGGAAAAAGAAAAGACAGATCATAAAAATGCTTGCTTTCAGAAAGCATATTATATAAATTAATATACTATGGACAGGCTGGGCCATGGTACAAGAATGGCAAACATACGCTTTTCAAAAATTATAAATGTGATCCAGCCTATTTCAATATTTCCATAGATTGGTAAAGTTTATGAGCATTTGGTCAAAAATCCAATTTTATAGATCTATTTTATAGATCTTTGCTAATTTAGATCACAAAGAAAATATATAGCAAGCTAGAAAAGACACAAATACCTATACACACGCCTCAGTATTGGTGTTTATGCAACTTGGGGCTGGACTCATCTCAAAAGAAATGAACTTTACAAATAAGCCCCAACTCTACCATGTAACATCTTCACTCAGAGCTCAAAGAGCTATCAGTTGCCTTCAGCTTAAAGTACCAAAATGCCAGGTCAGCCTGAGGGTTGGCAAAGTTCTACCGCAAAAGCTTTCCCAGCATGAAGCAGACAAAGGAGTACAGAAGAGCCAAGGACCTGAGAACCCTGAGCACATTCACAGACAGACATGCACACACCTCCCCACCTGCCCCACAGGCTGTTCCTCCGCTCCAGTCCTCCACGTCCCACGTGCCTTGTTACTATTCTCCCTGTCTGACTGTATTGTCACGACGTGCTGTCTCCCTCTCTGGGCTGTGAGTTTCATGAGAAAAGGGGCAGCATCTCACTGGGGTTTGGAACCACAGCACCTCACAGTACCTGGTGTATGGTACACTCAACATGCAGTGTCAGGATGAGCTGAGCTTTAAGCAAGAAGAGATGCTCAACAGCAAGAGGAAACAAACAGAGTCATATTTGAGATCTGGATTTTGATGACAGGAGTTCAAAACCAAAGAGACTTGAATGTGCCACTCTTTGAACACAGATAAACAGTAAAATGATGTGAGCAGGTTATAGTTTACTATTTTTCACCCAAGACTGTCACAATTTGTTTTAAGTGACAGGTGATGTGAGTGTATGAAGAGAGTGCCGCGCATCTTCTGTCATACCTGCGCGTTTACAGACAGGTCTGGGTCAGTCAAAATCTCAGTATCAGTGTTTCTTCCACATTATATGGAAAAATAAGCTTGTCAGCACAGACTCTGCAAGCTGCCTTCCAAGCTCATATAGAATGTACGTCTGGAAAATACAAATGAGAAAGACTGAAATAGAGCAAGTCGTTCAGCGTCGCATGTGGCTAATGTCTTTAGGGAAAACATTTCTATAATTGTAACTTCCTTATTTGGCCTTCTGATGGGAGACATTTATAGCAGCAAATGTACGATGCTGCTAGACTTGGGAGACATAAAAACACATTTCATAGAATAATGAGAGACAGAAAAAAAAATGGAGCTCCTCTAGCCACTTGGAAAGTTTACGAAGCATACAGAACTACACTTCTCTTAGTATTTAAATTTTCACTAATGGTGATTCCTGATAAATCATAAATGGCCCAAAACAGCACTCCTAAGTAATTTGAAGACTTCTTTCTTTGGATCACTATGCCATTTGCATTAAGTTGAAATAATTACTACCATGTTAAAAAAAAAAAAACCACCACCACCACAACAACAACAACAAAATTACTCTGCAGAAGAATGTAGTCAAGTTCATTTAAGCTCTACCTTGTAGACTTGGAAAACAGAAGTCAGGAGAGAAAGCAACACTAAAGCAACATTAAACCAACTTCGTATTCATGTCACCCTATCCAGTGCTGTCGAAGATTATATATCCAATACACGCTAAAGATTCCTGGTATTTGTAGAAATACTGGGGACCAAACTTTTTTTTTATTCAGGCCTTGGTTTTATTTACTTTAATATTCAGTATTTTAAAGCTAAGCTCATGTTTACCTATTTTAAAAGGAATATGTAGAATCTATCCAGACTCTAGAAAAGGTATGGGCACTGCTCACACCTGACTCTTCCTTCTTGTCCTAAAAAGCATGAAAAGCAGCTGGAAGAGTAACTAGAACCTCTTTATGTTTACTCAAATAACATGAGTAAGTGAAGGGACACCCACAACATCAGAACTGATGGCATGGGAGGGGGGCACCAGGTAAGAATGGGTGGGTCTGTAAGTAGCAGACCCAGAAACCACCAGCAAATATTCACCAACAGGAGGAGAGGGGCTCAGGCTCAGTAGGAACTGCTCTGAGAGGATCTGAGAATGAACAGGGTGGAGAAGGGAGCAGTGAGAAAAGCAGACAGAAACGTCATGGAAAGTGAACAAAGAGTCCAGAGAAATTGCAAATTCAGCAGCAAAAGAAGCTACAGGATATTGAGAAACTGAGAAGGCTGCCCTAAGTCTTCCAACCTCACAGGACCCTCATGCTAACAGAAAATTCAGAAAAATACAAATAATTTGAATATGAGCAAAAAAGTAAGTAAAACTGCCATAACCCCTATAAGAAAAAAAAAAAAAACTATTGTTTCTCAGAAGCAGAAGAAAATGCACCAGAAAAGTATATCCACAAAGCTAGAAAGCTGCAGTGAAACATCCTAAAACTTCAAAGACATGACCGGAAACAGGGATGCAGAAGAAAATGCATAGAACTCAGGAGGCCGGGAGCAGTGGCTCACGCCTGTAATCCCAGCACTTTAGGACGCAGAGGTGGGTGGATCACGAGGTCAGGAGATCGAGACCATCCTGGCTAACACAGTGGAACCCCGTCTCTACTAAAAATACAAAAAATTAGCTGGGCGTGGTGGTGGGTGCCTGTAGTCCCAGCTACTCAGGAGGCTGAGGCAGGAGAATGGCATGAACCTGGGAGGCGAAGCTTGCAGTGAGCCGAGATCGCGCCACTGCACTCCAGCCTGGGCAACAGAGTGAGACTCCGTCTCAAAAAAAAAAAAGAAAGAAAAAAAGAAAATGCACAGAACTCAGGAAGGATGAAAAACGAAGAAAAAAAAATAGAAGAAGTGAAGAATTTCAAAACAGTAAGTAAAGATCAATCTGTAAATACACATGTGTGGCAACCAGATAGCCATTTAGAAAAAGATAAAACTGATGCCATACTTTACATATTTCACATGGGATTAACTCTAAATAGACCAAGTTCCAATATAAAATATGAAACTAGCCTGGGCAACATAGTGAGACCCTATCTTTACCAAAAAAAAAAAAAAATTACTCAGGTTTAGTGGTATGCACCTGTAGCCCCAGCTACTTGGGAGGCTAAGGTGGGAGGATAACTTGAGCCTAGGAGCTCAAGGCTGCAGTGAGCTATGATCATACCACTGCGCTCCAGCCTGAGCAGCAGTGAGATCCTGTCTCAATCAATCAATCAATAAGATAAAATATAAACTATATAAAATGAATGAAAAAATTAATTGTACTAGAGAAAAAATTTCTAATTATAATTCAAACTCCAGAAGCCATAAAATAAAATACTATAAATTTCACTATAAAAACTAATCTGAACATACTATATGTTTTAATAAATATACATACACATACATCTATAAATACAAACTTCTACATGATTCACATCCACACACATACAAACACCAAAGAAGATAAAATGGATAGACAAATAAAACACTGGAAAAAAATATTTACAATATATATTACTGACAAAAGATCACTACATGAAGAGCCATGAAAATTATGGGAAAACGCAATGATCAAAAACACAAATGGAAAAATGGGAGATTTATAGGAACATATTTCACGGAAAAGGAAATGTAATTAATCGGCCCTTAAATAAAAAGCTGTCTTATTTTCATTCATTAACATTCCAGAAGAGGAATACAAATCAAAACCACCATGATCCATTTCTGATCTATCAGACCAGCAAAATTTTTAGTTTGATAACACCGTTGAAAGGCTGTGGAAAAGCAAAATGGTACAACTCTTATGAAATGGAATTTGGCAATATCTTTCTAAACTAAGATTACTTTATCCTTGATTTGGCAATCTCACATCCAGAATTCTAGCCTGTGAACTTGCAGGAAGAAGTACAGATGACGTGCACACACACATGCACACACGCATTATTCTCATCCCTTACGACACTGCTTATCTTTCAAATAATTGAAAACAAAAATGCCTAAAACAGAGAAATCTTGGGGCGATCTACAATGTATCTACATAATAATGTACCGTGCACTTGTGAAAAAAAGGAAAATCTCTAAGAAGATTGGGGACATACTGCTACGTGAATACAGTCATGATGTAGAACAATGTATAGTTTCTTTTTTGTAGCAAGTGTGGAGGATTAAAATATATATTCATATTTGCTTACAAAAAGCATATTCATATTATTCATATTTTCCATAAGAAAAAACAAATATCAGTAATAATTAAAATGGCTCCTACTATAGCATACCAGTTTTAAATTTTAGGATTTAAAATTTTAAATTATATATATTTATATATTAAGTTTTATATATAAATAAAAATGTATATATGGATATATGTTAAGGTGCGTATATAATATATATTACTTTTATGCAATTCTACAGTCTAAGTCAACATGGAAAGGTATATACAGATAAACCTTACTTTTATTGTTGTCCCCGTAGATAACCATGGTAGTCTTAATTACATTTATTACTTATTTGATTTATTTGAAAGCTGTTTTGAAACAGCATCAGTAACATTGTAACTAATAATAAAATTACTTAATAAAGTTTAAAATATCTTTGTAGATCTTTTTACTCAAATGCTGTTATTAAGGAAGATTTGTCATCAGAGTCCTTTCAAATCAAGTAAGTAAACAGAATAAACTCTTTTGTTAATGGACTTAGGAATCAAGGCTTTCAGCGTAAAGGAAAACACATAAAATTATGAAATCGAATAAATACAAACACTGTATTTATGAAATAAATATCTTAGAAGCAATAGTACCCCAGCAGCAATGAGCACCCTAGTTCTCAGAAGTAGGAATCAGAACTCTCTCAAGAAATAGCTGGTCTCAACTCTCAGAGAGAAAAGACTCAATATGTGCATGGGACATCTTATTCTGGCAGAAAGCAAGAAAGCTTTCAGAGATTTACAAGTTTGTATAGGGACACGGGCTGAAAACAGCCCCTCAACAAAGTTGTGAGTTTGTGCATCCAAAAAGCAGAATGTCTGTCGTTAACTGAAACACACCGAATCCAGGAAATTCATGATTCTACAACGATAATCAAAGGAGAAAAAGCCAAAGATGAGGGACATAAATCATTTGTCTTCATTTGAAATGACTATAAAACCAACTTGTTTTTTTAAAATATATTTATAACAAAAACAAGAGAGACAGGGTCTTGCTATGTTGCTCAGGCTGGTCTTAAACTTCTAGGCTCAAGTGATCCTCTTGCCTCAGCCTCCCAAAGTGCTAGGATGACAGGTATGAGCCACTGCACCTGGCCAAACCCTCTGCTTATCTTAAAAAAAAAAAAAGTTATAAAAAGAAAAAAATTAAACATTATCCTGCCCTTTCAGAGGACTGACATGGACTCTGGTAATCAGGTGAAGGTTGACCTTTCAAACAAATACTGACAAATAAAGGAGGAAGGGATGACAAACTTAGAATATCCTTATCCTGCAACTTCCTATGAAATCATTGACTCAGGCAAGAATTATCAACTGTTGTCAAGACCAATAAATAGTTCATGGGCACTAAAGTGACAATGTATACTCTTTATTACTTCCATTCTAGGTCCAACACGATTTTGCATATAATAAAGACAAAAACCAGAAAAATTTAGAATAAGGAGAGAAAGAAAGAGACAAAAGGACAGTAGGTTACATTAAGGAGTGAGAACAGGCTACAAACTGCCTGCCAGGAAATCCTACATATGTATTTATTTGGGGTGGAACAAACCACTGACCCTAAATGTACCAGCCAATGCAGAGAGAATGTGCCTGGCTACCTGACTCAAGGTCTATTAAGTTTAAAACAAACCCTTTCCAGCCCTTTCCTCCATACAGTAATCAAAGACACTCAAAGACCCTGAGAGGACCGTCCTTCACGGGTTCTCACAGAGCCACACCAACCTGTCCTTGACAACACCTGAGATTATACATGGCAACTTGCTTTCTAGGGCGTTTCTTACAATGTCCTTCAATACGGTATTTTTCCAAAAATTAGTTCAATAAAAGGAATTCTTCTACTGGAGCCAATACAATACAATACAATACAATACAATACAATACAATACAATACAATACAATACAATACAGACATATAATTCTGATGATCTGGCCTAATCTGGGAAAAGATTTCTCAGTATCCTGAATCCAAATCACCATATTTTACTCACATAAACCCTTGGCAGATTCCCATTTCCTAAAGGAGACTCAGTTTGGAATACATAGTTCTCAAATACTTAAATTCTGAAATTCACATGACATTAATGTCTTTGCAATAGATTGCTTTTTTCTTTGAAAGAAAAATACCACCAGAAAAGGCCCTCCATATCCTTGCTAAAAATAGTCCTGCTGTTTTTCTTATTCCAATTAAGATACACACACACACACACGTGCACACAAACCCTTTATTCCAAAACATACATACCTTGTGTGCTCTCTTAACCAACAAGATACCTGATGGAAGGTGGGACCCTCTGAGCCCCAAAGAGGGAAACAAATAGGCACTAAAAGAGATCGCTAACATCATAAAGGCTAAAATATAAGTAATTTACCCAAATTACATAAGTGGTAAATAGTGTACCCAGATTGGACCTTAAGTAGTCTGACCTCAGAGACCATGACATTACAACGCTATGCTCTACTACTCAGTGGTACTCCCCCACTCTCCCTCCCCCGAACCATGGATTCTGTGCCTGTGTTTTTGCCACATCTGGCTTGGAGAAGAACATGAAAATGGAAGCTGAACTCGCTTGCCATGTTTAGTGACCTATGAATGCTGCACAGCAGTCAAGGCTCATCCAGTGTGGTAGGACCTCCCCACACAGCTTATAGGCTTCAGGGCATAGAACTGACTATTTCTAAAGCCTCAGGATGGAAACAGATCTATGATGCCTGAAGATCCCAATCACATATCAAATCAAGACAAAAACAATGATGATAACCTTTCCCTCCTCCTTTTCTCCAATGGCTTTTACTTACAAGCTAGCTCTGGTAAGACAAAATGAGTTCTGGGTTAGAATCTCAGCAACTCTTCTTACTCTTGCTTTATTTTGATAAACAAACAACACTTCATTTTGGTACATGTTCTGGGAGACCTTTGGTCATAGTTTACTTTAGAGACAGGTAATGCAAGTGTTTCATTTTTTTTTAAGAACAACAACAACAACAAAATAGCAAACTGTGTCAGTAACCTATTATTTCCAAATAAGATCTGTGTGGTCCACTGCCAAATGACAAATTATACATATTCTGAAAAGGACAAAAAACATGTAAAGTTGCAAAACTTCTATTAGCAATATCTCTCCCCGAAAACCATACTCATTGCTGTTTAATAACGAACGTTCAATGCTTGACTTTGCTCAAATAAAATTTAAACTTATGTTTTGATGTCAACTCAGCCTTTCATTTCTGCCCCAGGAGATATTACAAGGTGGGGACCAGGGGTGTGAGGCGGGTCCTGAATACATCCAGCTGTTTCAGGTCTTCACCTGCCTTACCCATGAAAAGCCTGGCAGTGGCTTGTAAGCCATCATCAACAGCTGAGTATGTAATATGCTGCCTAGCCTTGTCTTGTGCGGAGAATGAAGAGGATACTAAACAATCCGTTGAAAGGCCTTTGCCTCATGGAATCTTACAGTTTCCAGCTCAGTGTGTTTATAAAAAATCATAGTAAGGCCTGCCCTAGATAAGGAGCTCCCCCTTGACATCCACAAGGACTTGAAACAGGGCAAAAAAAATCAAGCACAGCTTCACAATTTAGCCACGCCGGCACACTGGTCCAAGATCACAGAAAGATGGAGGCAAAATCCCTTTTTCCTTTTTGAGAAGAAAAAAAAAAAAATCTAACAAAACTACAACTTGCATTACATAAGTAAAGCATGAGTGAGAGGAAAATTCAGAATCCGTGTTTTAGGAGGTGACAGAGAGAGATAATTTTCTTTTGGCCTCATGAAGCCCTTTTACTTTAATCAATCAAGAAATCCATTAAAGATTCTGCCACAACCCAGATCAAAACGGTATAGTTTTGCTGTGAGCCACTTTACTGCCAAAATGCAGCTGCTGTAAGAGCAACCCACAAAGGCACTGATGGCTGCTGAAGATGAATATCAATGAAAGAAAATGACAGATGCCACATAAACAACTGCCCAAATGAGCAAGTTCTAGCAAAGAAATGAAAGTAATACAAAATTAATATGCTTGCTCTATATAAAGAGAAAATGTTAAATTAGAAATAATTTCACCTTCTCACAGTTCTCACTTTTCCTCTTGATTACTTGCCTTTGTCACCTAGGCAATTGCTCAGCCCAACGGTGGGCATGAAAATAAAAGCAAGCATTAAGAAATCAAATTCTATTATAAAAGTCCAAACAGGAAGCTGTTGCTGAAATTCATGTTCTGACAGCATTTCTGATATCAATTTTTGATTAATGATCTCATGTGTATGGGTAGTATAAGCTGCATTTTTTTTCGGAAAACTCTGTCTTTATGAATAAATGTGGTTTAATATTCCAAAAATGGCATGCAATTCTTTGAAACATGAGGCTTAACAAAATGCCAATTTCTAGTCAACATAGGACTACTATCACATGAAAAGCAAAGGGAAGAAAGGAGGGAGAGAGTGGGAACAGAGGGAAAGAGAAAGGAAGGGATGGAAAGAGGGAATCCATGTACAGGTATATACACACACACATATAAACACACACACACACACATACACGCACACACACCACTCCCCATTAGCCACTCTGCAAGAAAGCCAAAGAAATTAATGAGATGATTACTGGAAAGTGCTTTGGACTCTTTGGAAGAAAGGGACTATATAAATGGAAGGTATCCGTTTTCTTATTCTAAAAGGCATTTTCATTCACATCAGGATGAAACATAATACAACTAATATCCAGTCTGCTCACTTTTAAAAATGAAAATTAATCAAATCCCAAGTCTTTTAGAACTTGCATTGAACAAACACCAGTTCTCCATTTCCCAGCTTTAATGCTTATGTTATAATTTTTTTTAACAACTGCATGGAGTCACAATTTCTTGCCAAACTAATTTAATTTCAAATTTAATTACAGGTATACTTACATTCTGACTTTTGAGAATTACACTCTCATCATCAAGACAACCAACCAGAAATATTCATTGACTAATATAGAGAGGCATGAAATGTAGTCCCTGACCTCAAGAAGTTTGCAATTATAGGGAGATAATACTTGCATAAAATACAGAAACTATACATTAATATACTTAATCAACACTGTGGCTGGGGATGGCTGCCAGTTGTTCTCCACAAAAGAATTTTCCCAAAAGCCTAGGCCTTCCTTTACAGAGTCCCAAACTGTTTTCTCAAATGTAATTATATTCAAGGGCAATTTTCCAAAAGTAGCAGCACACTTCCCCGGGCTGTGGAGTACAGCACACTGTCTCCTCTCCCTGGGTCTCTGAGTCATCATTTGGACCTCAGATGACTCAAGTGTAACAGAACTCAGTCCAGGTCTTTGGTGGGGCCTCTGAAGGCCATGTGGAGGCTGCTTTCATCCTCCACCAAGGAGTTATCAAAGTGCTTGGATTTGTTTAAATTATTCTACTTTAAAAATCAGCAGGTTGTCACTAATGTAAGCTATCTTGGGCCTGCTCCTCAGAGCTCCTATCTCTTCTAATTGGATTTTTGCTAATCTCCTGTGGGTTAGGAAACTTAAATCGAATCTTAAAAGTTGTTATGCACCAAAGAATCTCATATGAGTGAAAGTCCCTAAAACATTCCAATACTTCCCAGCCTTTCCTTTACTTCTGACCTGTGCTCAAAGGACTTGCTCTGTTTTAGTACTCATCTAGTTTCTAGATACATGAAACTGTCAAATGCATGTATGTCTCATGTCTCTACTCACAAATACCTAGTTTAAGAGAATAAGAGGACACAAAAATAGAGAAAATAAGGAGTATTACTGTGGGTAAAAAGGTAGTATCTTTTTTCAACAACAGAAATTTCAAATTGTTTTCACCAGGAACCCAGACAGAGTCTTGACTCAAGTGACCAATACCTGCACATATTATAGTAACATGCTTTTAAGATAAATAGAAAATGCTGCAAAGAACTTTAAATAAAATTTAAATGCAGGTTGGCTTCAAAGTAACAAAAATCAGGTTGGCCTAAAGTTTCTCCTCGGCTTGAGAATTTGGATGAAAAATAGAGCATATCTAAGCTTTAACAAAAACACCATGAGCACCCTGGCTGGGCACAGTGGCTCAGGCCTGTAATCCCAGCACTTTGGGAGGCCAAGGCAGGTGGATCACTTGAGGTTAGGAGTTTGAGATCAGTCTGGTGAAACCCCATCTCTACTAAAAATACAAAATTAGCCAGGTGTAGTAGCAGGTGCCTGTAATCCCAGCTACTCAAGAGGCTGAGGTAGGAGAATTGCTTGAACCCGGGTTGCAGTGAGCGGAGATCGCACCACTGCACTCAAGCCTGGATGACAGCAGGAGACTCCGTCTCCAAAAAAAAAAAATATTCGCAATGAGCCTTACAGGCAATAAAGCTGTCATTTGAAAACAAAAACCAAGGTCATTTCAGGGATGACACCTCCATTCATCCAATAGATAAATCAAAATGAAGATGAAGAATGGAGGAACCAATGGTCAAAGGCACTGATAGGAAGCAACGAAAACCAGAAAAAAAAAGTATTATGTTTATTAATACAAATATAGTCTAGATACAAATAGAAACACTGAAAAAAACAGACCATGAAAGAAGAGTGTAATAATAAATCAATAACCTCGGATGAAAATCCCCACACATCAAAAACTCAAGGAAATTCTGAAAACAAATATCCTCCTACATACCTATTGGGACAGTTAAAAAAAATTTAAAAAAGCAATAATTATAAACTTCTAGAGAATCTAAATAGAAATAAAATGTGTAAGATGCTGCCAAATTCATATTCAAAGGAAAATGTATAGCCTTAAGAAATTTCATTGTTATATAAAAAGCCTAAAATAAACTTTTTAAAATATAAAAAAGAATAAGGAAATAAGACATGCAGACGTTAATATTTTGAAACAAGATAAATATAAGATTTGAAGGCACAAACACAGGAATAAAAAAAGGCAAAACCTTTGATACATCTAATGTAAGAAAGAAAAATATAAATATATAAAATGAGTAGTAAGAAAGATATAGAATATACTTTCACGATAATATATCTTTTCCATATCCTTTGAGTAGTAATATTTCAACCTTGTTTCTTCTTTAACCCAGTTAGAATAAAGAACCCAGAAGCTCATGAAACCAATTGATTCCACTTTCCCCTGGAAAAATAAATCAACATGTAGAAAAAAGCAAAATGTCAACTCTACTTAAAATAAACAGGCCCATTTTGTCTATCACTATACATGAAAAAAATTAAGTACACATAACAAACAACGCTGATCATAATGGAGCCAAATTAAAAGTAATTTATAATTTATACATTAAAAAACAGTATCAGTGATTGAAAAACACAAACAACTCAAGACCACACTGAGGATATACAACCAGATAGAAGAGCTCTTTCTAAAAATCACAGACAGATTTCTTAATGGAATACTGACTGGCAGCCAATATTTTCCAGTAATTCCCAATTTAACACTTGGAAATACCAAATTTTAGTGACCTAGGTTATTAACAAGTAACTGTTAGATAAAAGAAAGAAAACTCACAAAAATGTGCATTATATGCCCAAAAGAATTAGAGAAGAGACATGAATTGTTAATGTTTCTAGTGATTCTCAAGTAACTAACGAAGGCAGTTATTTGAGAATCAGTGGCCAAAAGCAGCAGTCTTCAAAGCGGTAGTTTTCTAAGGGCTAGAACAGTGAATATTCAGCATGGCTAGTTTTAAGGGTATAAATTTCCAGATCTACAGCCGGGCATGGTAGCTCACATCTGTAATCCCAGCACTTTGGAAGGCTGAGGCAGGTGGATCACATGAGGTCAGGAGTTCGAGACCAGCCTGGCCAACATGGTGAAACCCTGTCTCTACTAAAAATTAGCTGGGCATGGTGGCACACGCCTGTAGTCCCAGCTACTCAGGAGGCTGAGGCAGAAGAATTGCTTGAACCCAGTGGGCGGAGGTTGCAGTGAGCCAAGATTGTGCCATTGCACTCCAGCCTGGGCGGCAAGAGCAAAACTCCATCTCAAAAAAAAAAAGTTCAGATCTTCAACTTCCATATGTACACTTTTCTAAAATGTGTCTACCTGAGAGGGCCCCTGCAATCCTCACCCGGTTCTCTCACAACTCCTTTTTCACCATTCTTCTTTCATTTCACAACAGAAAGACTTAACTGCTACCCATGCTAAATTTTCTACAGTACACTTGATGTGCCAAACAGAGAAAATTCAAATATACTGGAAGTTAAGCCTTCTTAATCAAGACCTATGATAGGACTTCTTCCCTTTCCCTGTCTTATACATATTTCTGTTAAGAATAAATCTAGTGATAGAATCTGGGTGTTTCAGCCTGTGTTGGGATGCTCTAAATTTAGATACATCAGAGTCCTTTGAGAGCAAAGCGAACAGGAGGAACTGATACAGGAGCTCAAAAAAAAATTATTTAGACAGTTAGAGAGGGTAAGAGAGTCCTTGGCAAGGTTTCCCTTTTTATTAAAAAGCAGCCCCAAAATCATTGCTCTTCTAACAAAAACGAGCCTAAAAAAATCGAGCTGCAAACATAGATAAACAAGCTGGAAGCTTGCATGGGCAAATGCCAGCAGCTGTGCCAATAGCAAAAGGCTACCTGGGAGCCAAGCACATTCGACATGGAGGCTCCACCTTCCATTTTCTTTGTCAACCACATGTTCAGTAAAGGAACAAGCAACATGGTGCTGGCCAGGCAGAGAACCCATCTGCATAACAAAAGATTAGGCTGGAGTGGCCAGTTTCTTCCCACGCTATGCAAATGGCACATCTAGTCCTAACCAGATCTTCGTGCACTATGCAAATGGCACACCTGGTCCAACCAATCTTGTGCTCCCTATGTAAATCAGACACCACCTCCTCAAGCTCATCTATAAAACCAACCGCATCTCGCTGTGAACCTAAAAGACCTGCTCAGGAGCCCCTCTCTGTCTGCAGGAAAGAGAGCTTTTCTCTTTCTTTTGCCTATTTAACCTCCACTCTTAACCTCACTCCTTGTGTGTCCACGTCCTTGATTTCCTTGATGTGAGACAATGAACCTCAGGTATTTCCCTGGACAATGATGCTGCTTCAGAACCACAAAACATGTTGAAGGCAGTTTCCTTATTTCAAGATGGCAAAGTCACAGTAAGGCACTATACCTAGTGGTCCCTCTCAAAGTATCCTAGCATTAGAAAACAGAAATGGCATAAAAATAAATATTAGCATATTTGTTTGAACCGAAGAGTGAAGTCCGATGTTTTTTAACAAAAAGCCTGATTTTTCTAACTGGAAAGGCAATAATTAATTCCAGAGCGCCACAGTTTTCTACACACAAACACACACACACGATAAAAATGCACTTAAAGTCCATAATATAAAAATGCCTTCCCAACCTTTCCAGAGTATATGGAATTTAACAAGGTGCCCTAAAGTGTAAAAGCAACAAGTATGAGTGATAGTCTTCTGATAGGTCCAGGTAAAGCCTTTTTGGTAAACTTCCCAGAAATTGAGAAAGTAAATTATTCTAATGACTGGATAACAGGGCCTTTTCAGAAGTCAGGTGGTTTCCAATTCTTGGCTCTCAACAAAATTAAAGGAGGACCAAATCTCAAGTTGCCAGCATATAGAGTATTAAAAATATTTTTTAATGACAGATCACATTAGCTTATTGCATAAAAACATTTCAAAGATTTGAGAACCACTGCTAAAGCAATTCTCCTTTCAATCTCCTCAACTCTTCTGCCTGAAAAAGTTTACCAGGGGTAAATCTGTGGCCCCATCAATGCCCTTTGGATAGTCATCCAGAGGTACGTGATTGAAATGAAGGGAAAGCCCAGTACATTTTGTTAAATGACATTTCTAATAACATTTTTAACGTCTAATAATTAGTTATCAAAAGGTACAATACTTATGTTGCTCTGAAAAAATGTGTGCCACTAATAATTATAATGATAACCCACACTGGAGGCATTTTTAAAAATAATTAGAGCCTCACCGTTACAGGAAATATTTAATTACATTTAAATTTATTTGCATGATTTAATTGCAAGGGAATATAATAGAATGATCAAAGAAAAACTTCCAAACACATTAAACAAGCAAAAATTTTATATGACAAATTGGATATAAAAATTCAAGGAGAAAACAGAATGATATAAAATTTCTGACAGTTTAAAAAACAGACCCTTAATGTATTTTTAACATTGGTGATGGTGGGTATCAAATCTCTAGGGTTTTAGATTCCACCAGATGCATTTTAAAAAGTGACATAAATTTTATTTTAAAATATCAATATTTACAATCCACCAAAAATTCCATCTCATGAAAACAAACATCAAACTTGTGACAAAACACAGATACCAACTTATAAACAGTCAAGGCGGTACACAGTTTTGCAAAATTCCTATAGCAAATATGAAGTGTGAAGGCCCCTGCCCTCTAGTTCCTAAGCACGGCTGCAGCTTATAACAGGCATATACTCCAAGTTCCAGACTCAGTCATTTTTCTGGGGTACCCAAGCGCCCATTGTTAAGTTCTTCTTCAAATGTCTTGAACTCTGAATTTCTTTGTTTACTCTTTCATACTTGCATCCCAACCGCCTAAAAGTGTTGGTTTTCAAACTAAAATGTCATTGGCCAAGGGTTAGAGATTAATTCCTTGCTCTCTGAGAACCTGTCCAAGCTGAATATTTATCAGATACAGGAGATCAGATGGGGTGAACTTTGGACCACATATAGAGAAGCCAGGGGTAAGTTTCTAACTACCATGAATTCTTAGAATGACCTTTGATAAATCTAACTGTTAAAACTAACTGTCAGATGCTTCATGCAGGTTCTCATCTATTTAAATATAAATACCAAAGAGATAAGGACTCTTACTCTCTTGCAAAGGAGGCCTCAAGTGGATTAATATATACCTGAAAAAGCATTTCCAGATCCTAGAAGAAAGAGAGGCTTAACATTGGGACAGAAAGGATTTCTAGTAGTCATTTATTCTGGTGTATTCTCTGCCTCAAGATAAAAACAAACCAATTCCACAGTGAGTACAGGGGGCTGCACTGGTATTTAATCATAATAAATGGAAAGTCAAGAGCTTTTTAATAAAAAAGACTCTTTGCTAATGCAGTTTAGGTACATACCCTCTCAAGTCCTTGGAGATGGTCAATACCAGTCCATCATGCAGCCTCTGTCCTCCGACAATGAAGCATCTCACACACCTCTGAAGTACCATGTGCAGCGATTTCAATGGCCCCCTGTGCTAATCCTTATTTCAATTCATTTTAGCATGTTATTTTAAAGCATGTGGCTATATCCACGCACATTCCTACATAAATACACACATATTTGCAAAATCTCTACATGAATTATCTTATATAATTCACCAACTAAATGTAAAAGAAAAAATCACTTGTAGGTCTTCCAACAGGAATCCAAAACACATGTTTACATATATGCTTAACATTCATTTAATCATGCATTCAGTCACATCACATATTAAGTTCTAAATAGCCAAGGCTGAAGAAAGTAGTTCTATCTCTCCTCTCACTTAAAAAAAAAAAAATTATATGTGGAATTCTTAGTGAATAGACAAATAATTCCTTCTTTATTTCTCTTTCTTCTCTTTTCTTCCTGAACACAAGAAATTTCTAAGAGAAGACAGAACCAAGCCCTTGCCTGTCTTGTTCCATATCCCGTGTCTCAGACCCTGCCTGGCATGTGGTAGGCACAAAAAAGTTACTTGTTAAACAAATAATGCAATAGTGATCCAAATACAAAGGGTGATGTCTAACCACCACAGATTTTAGAAGTGCAGGACAGGAAAATAAGTTCACAATGAGCTGTTTTAAAAGAAGTTTGTTTAGCTCATTTGTATTGAAATATAAATTATTATAATGGGCAAAATATTACTAACCACAGATGAGGACTTGAATGAGAACCCATGGCTGGGATTCATTTCAAAGAAAAAGAGAACTGAGATCTGAATTCTAGTTTCCAGTTCAGCATGTTCCACAGCTTAGAAGTCACCACTCCATCCTAACAAGTAAAAGCCGAACAAACTGAAAAAGCATCAACTTTACTCAGATTCATCAGAGAAGTGAGGTTACAAGGCAAATGGCTACCCCAAAAATGGAGAGATGGACAAGTGGTGATATGGTTTGGCTGTGTCCCCACCCAAATCTCATCCTGAATTGTAGCTCCCATAATCCCCACGTGTCGTGGGAGGGACCCAGTGGGAGGTAACTGAATCACAAGGGTGGGTTTTTCCCATGCTGTTCTCTTGACGGTGAATAAGTCTCACGAGATCTGATGGTTTTATAAAGGGGAGTTCCCCTACACATGCTCTCTTGCCTGCTGCCATGTAAGACGTGACTTTGCTCCTCCTTTGCCTTCTGCCACGATTGTGAGGCCTCCCCAGCCACGTGGAACTGTGAGTCCATTAAACATCTTTACTTTATAAATTACCCAGTCTTGAGTATATCTTTATTAGCACATGAAAACACTCTAATACAGGTGGACACAGAGAATCAAAACTTACTGGAGCAGAAACCCACCAGCAGAAAGTTCTGCAAGAACCAGTACCAGGGTAGGAAAACCTAAACAGTAATTGACAAATTGCCAGAAGCTCCATGTGGACAAGTCTGAGAGCTAAAAACTCCAGGAGTGGCTTTTCTAACTCAGTAAGTTAAACAAACACTACAGGAGGACACAGTCACAAGGGGAGGAGGGGGCATGCTTTTGTGAGTTTTACCACCAGAAGTCCACGTTCTCATGCTTTTGGGAGGCAGAGAGGAAAAGAAATCACTGTGAAATATGGCAGGGCATTCTGTTCTTGCTAACAAGGTTTGCCCTTGGGACAAAAGATTTTACCAGAGCCTAACCTGCTTGGATTACATCAGAGCCCAACCTACCTGGGGTAAAGAAAATAACCCAACTTCAGCTCCCTGCAGCCATCCTGTCCCACACTAGGGTGATGGCCAGGGCAGGGAGAGGACACTGAGAAGCACTGTGAAGTTCAACAGGGGCACAAGCTCACCAAAAGACTGAGACCTAATCATAGGACTATAGAACACTTCCTGTCCCCCCACGCCTCACCACCACCTCACTAAAGGCCTGTTTACCACAGCTCCTCTTACCCAGTACATCATGACCACCTTTGCCCAAACACTTACAAGGCAAACTAAAAAGCAAAACACAGTTTTGAAGAGACTGAAAAACATCAGAACCAGGGTTCCATAATTATGTCAGGAAGGTTGGAATTATCAACCAGGGAAATTTTTTAAACTATGATTAATACACTAAGGGCATTAATGGAAAAAGTAGACAACATGCAAGAACATACAGATCATGTAAGCAGAAAGATGAAAAAATCTTGAAATAAGTCAAAGGGGAAGACACCTTATCTATAAAGGGACAAAGACAAGAATTACAACAACTATTCCTTAGAAACCATGCAATCAAGAAGAGCATAGAGTGAAACATTTAAAGTTTTAATAGGGGGGAAAAAAAAAACCCGGCCAACCTAAAATCCTGTACCCTGTGGAACTGTCCTTCAGAAAATGAAAATAAAGAGACAACACTGGAAAAGGAATAAGTGAAGATAAAATTTTAAAGTTTATTTTCTTTATTCTTAATTGATCTAATAGTTAACAGTTGATATGCTAGGAAAGGAGAGAAAATGGAATCATATAAAATGCTCAATTAAAACCATAAAAGGCAGAAAAAGTGTGGAAGACAAAAACAGAAACAAAGAACAAGATAACAAGTAGAAAACAGTAACAAATACGATAAATATTAATCCAACTATATTAGTAATCACTTTACACATCAATGGTCTAAATAAACCAATGAAAAGACATACATTTTCAGAGTGGATCAAAAAATAAGACCCAACTGTCTATATAAAAAAAGCCCAGTTTAAATGTAAAAACAAATTATGACTGAAAGTAAAGACCTGGAAAAAGAAATACCATGCTACTCTAATCAAAAGAAAGTAGGAGTAGCTGTACTGATTTCAGACAGAGTAAATGTCAGAACTTAGAAAGTTGTCACAGATAAAAGGGAAAATTATAGGCCGGGCGCAGTGGCTCTTGTCTGTAATCCCAGCACTTTGGGAGGCTGATGCAGATGGATCACCTGAGGTCAAGAGTTCGAGACCAGCCTGGCCAACATGGCGAAACTCCGTCTCTATCACAAATACACAAAAAAATTAGCCGGGCATGGTGGTGGGTGCCTGTAATCCCAGCTACTTGGGAGGCTGAGGTAGGAGAATTGCTGGAACCCTGGGGGAGGAGATTGCAGTGAGCTGAGATCAAGCCACTGCACTCCAGCTTGGGTGACAGAGCAAGACTCCGTCTCAAAAAAAAAAAAAAAAAAAAAAAAGGAAAATTATATAACAATAAAGGGATCAATACTCCAAAACTACAAACATTAATGTGTATGGCATAACAATAGAGAGTAAATATACGTGAGGTAAAAACTGACAGAGCTGAAAGAACAAATAAACAAATCTACTATTAGAGAGTTGAAGATTTCCAACACTCCTCTATGAGAAATGCACACATCCAGTAGGCAGAAAACCAGTAAAGACATACTTAAATTCAACAGTACTGTCAATTAAGGGAATCTGATTAACACCTATAGACTACTTCATCCAACAACAGCAAATTACACATTCTTTTCACTGTCACATGGAACATTCACCAAGACAGACCATATTCTGGGCCATAAAACATCTTAACAAATGTAAAGGAACATGGGCACAGTGGTTCATACCTATAATCCCAGCACTCTGGGAGGCTGAGGTGTGAGAATCGCCTGAGGCTAGAAACTTGAGAGCAGCCTGGGCAACATAGTGTGACCCTATCTCCACAAAAAATAAAAAATTAACTGGGTGTGGTGGTGCATGTATGTAGTACCAGCTACTTGGGAAGCTGAGGCAGGAGGACTGCTTGAGCCCAGGAGTTGGAGGCTGCCGTGAGCTTATGATGGTGCCACTGCACTCCAGCCTGGGTGACAGAGCAGGACCCTGTGTCTTAAAAAAAAAAAAAAAAAAAAAAAAAATGGTCTCCTTTCAGACCACGATAGAATTAAACTAGAAATCAACAACAGAAAGATAAATGGAAAATCCTAAAATGTTTGTAGATTAAACAACACACTTCTACATAACATGTGGATCAAAGAAGAAATCTCAAGAGAATTGAAGAAATATTTTAAACTAAATGAAAATGAAAACAACACTTATCAAAATTTGCATAATGCAGTAAACACATCAAGGAAATGTATAGCATTCAATGCGTGTTAGAATAGATCAAAAATCAATCACCTAAACTTCCACCTTAACTAAAAAAAAAAAAAAGAGTAAATTAAATGCAAAGTAAGCAGAAAAAAATAAATACTAAAAATTAGAGCACTATACTAGTATTAGAAAGGTCAAAATTCAAAACATGACAACACAAATGCTGACAAAAATGTGGAGCAACAGGAACTCTTGCTCACTGCTGGTGGGAATGCAAAGTGGCACAGTCACTTTGCAAGACAGTTCGGCAATTTCTTATAAAATTAAATATACCCTTTCCATACAAACCAGTAATCATACTGCTTGGTATTTATGCAAATGAGCTGAAAACGTATGTCTACACAGAAACCTAAACACGGATGCGTACAGGAGCTTTACTCATAATTGCCAAATCGTGGAAGCAACCCAAAAGCAGGTGAACGGATTAAAAACAAAACAAACAAACAAAAAAGGGTGGCACATCCAAACAATGGAATATTAATCAGCTCTAAAAAGAAATGAGTTATTAAGCCATGAAAAGATATGGAGGAATATTTAATGTATATTAAATAAGTAAAAGAAGCCAATCTAAAAAGGCTCATATGGTATGATTCCACCTATATGACATTTTAGAAAAGGCAAAACTATGGAAAAAGTAAAAGGATCAGTGATTGCCAGGAATTAGCAGGTAGAGAGGGTTGAACAGTCAGAGCGCAAGGTGTTTTTAGGGCAGTGAAACTATTCTTTATGATGTTATAATGATGGACTACATCTTTATACATTTGTCAAAATTCATAGACTGTACAACACCAAGAGTGAACCCTAAGGTAAATTCTAAATTTTGAGTGACAATGATGTGTCAGTGTGGGTTCACTGATTGTAATAAATGTGTCACTGTGGTGAGGGATGGCAACAATGGGGGAGGTTGTGTACATATGGGCCAGGAAGTATATGGGAACTCTCCACACTTAAAGTTCCATTTTGTTCTTTTTGTTTTGTTTTGTTTTGAGACAGGGTCTCACTCCATCACCCAGGTTGGAGTGCAGTGGTTGATCACAGCTCACTGCAGCCTCCAACCCCCCAGGCTCAAGCAATCCTCCTACCTCAGCCTCCTGAGCAGCTGGAACTACAGGCATGCACCACCATGCCCAGCAAATTCTTTTTTTCTTTTTTTTTTTTTTTGGTAGAGACAGGGTTTCACCATGTTGCCCAGGCTGGTCTTGAACTCCTGGGCTCGAGCAATCGGCCCAACTCAGCCTCTCAAAGTGTTGGGATTACAGGCATGAACCAATGCACATGGCCTCAGCTCACTTTTGTTTGAACCTAAAACTGTTCTAAAAATAAGATTGATTTTTTTTTTAAGCAAAAGTTAAACACTGAGATGGTTTCCATTTCTACCCCAGGGTATGTGAACATAGCACCTTCACTCCGTTCTCACCTCGTCTTCCCTTGTTCCTCCCTCAATTCTCAGATCCACCAGTGAGACAGAAAACATAGGAGACAGGAAAAGAAGAATCAAATGGGAAGTGGAAAAAAGACAGGGAAGAGACATTGGGCAAAAACACATTCTCAAGTTATCTCTACTGAACGAGGTTTTGAACAGAGAGAGCTAACCATCATGAAATCTTGGTGCCTCTCAAACTCCACTATGATGCCCTCTGGAAACTTTCCGTCTCCATGAGTTTACAAAATTTAAAAAATTGACCCAACAAAAGCCAATTTTTCATTGAAAAGCACTACTAATAATTGACATGAAAGGGCAACACTGAAAAAATTCCTTGATTTGGGAAGCATAAAATATGAGTCCTAAAATACACTGTCACTCTGTGAAGACTAAGCCTCCAGGACCAATAGCTTTCTCTCTGATGGAAAGTGGTCCCTTCTAGCAATATAAGGGGTTCTGCCCCTTGACCAGCATATTATAAGTGCTGACACAGGTATGCCCCAATGACATGATGGTAATACGTGGTAAATGGTATAATTTTGTATCATCACAATTTGAATCTGCCTCACAATGATATAATCTTGAATCTTCCTTGCAGACCTCAAACAGAAACTCACTTCACATATTTAACCGCAAACAGCATAGACATTTCTCTTACAGAGAGGGCTCATTTTAAAATAAGGATATGCCTTAACAAGTATATTTAGTCATAAAAGCCTTAATAAAAATATGATTTTAAAAATCCATCACAGAATGATGCAAAAGCAAGCTGAGGGTTCTTTTGACCCACACACTGAGGCCAAACTACCTAAAGTGATTACTACACGTACTGAATTCACTGTGAGACAGAAAGTATGGCTAATTTACTACCTATGGTTCTTCAGAACTTTCCATATTTATTCTTTTTTCCATTAAGGTTTTTTGTTAATCATATCTTCTGAAATTCTGTGATTACACAAACACCAAAGATAATGACATGACTTACCTTGTTTCTTACATATAGCTGCAAACATTTAAACAAATATGAGTCCAAAATTCAAGAACTCCATGGCTGGCCTAATGTTAACATGAAACTAGGTATGAACAACAAAAATTACAACCATAGCTACTGTCGTCTATTGAGCACATTTGATCTGCTAAGCCAGGGGTTAGCAAACTAATGGTCCGAGGGTAGCACTCTGCTGCTTTTGTAAATAAAGGTTTCTTGGACACAGCCATGTCCCATTTGAGGTCTTATCTGCATATGCTTTCGTTCCACCTCCACAGAGATGAGTCATTGTGAAGGATCATACAGCCCGCAGGGCCTAAAATATTTACTATCTGGTTCTTCACAGAAAGTCTGCCAATCCCTCTTGTAGGCACAGTGCTAAGTACTTTATATAGATTATCTCTTTACATAGATTATTCCAGTGAGGTGGAAATGATTATTATCCCCATTTTAAGGAGGAGGAAACAGGTTTATCAAGATTGAGTCACAAGCAGCCAAGCCAGGCTTCGACTCCCAAACCCTCTAAACTGCCAAGCTACACTGGGTAGGAGCAGGGAGGACAACATAACCCTAACGTCATGTAACTGTACTGGTATAAAGGTAAAGCCTTCCAAAGCATCTGAAATTAAAAAAAAAAAAAAAAAAAAAAAGTAAAAGGACCAAGCCCATTTCAGGAACAGAGAGACTCCCACACACCCTGTGGAAACACTTCCTGAATGGTGTCATTATCATTGATATCACAGCATTACCAACTTTCCCATGATAACGTCATGCCACGCGCTCTCACTACACTGTGTTCAGAGAACAAACCTCTCGGCTGACTGACCGCCTGCCTACTGACTTTGCATTCTGCCCTTGTCAACCTATTCTATGTGCCACTACCATGCCAATCCCTTCTCTAAGTATTGAGAAAGTCATTACCTAAGAGCATACCGTTTGTTTTGAGTTAAACAGACTTTGATAGACCAACCTTAGAAACTAGCCATGAGGAATATCAATACTCAGAGGATAAAAACCATATCTAGGTTCTGAGAAACTAAGCACATCAATCATTTTTCAGAATGCCACTATCTTCTAAGACAGGTTTTTTTAGCAGAAAAATTGTTCACCATTTTAATAGGAAAAGACCAAATGGTAACCTACAAAGAATAAAAAGCAATTCTGTTATAAGGAATCCATTCAGGCTACAAGTCTTCTTAAGTCCTGGACACCAAAACCGCAAAAGAGCATTTAGCTTAAAACCCAACGGAAGTCCTCAGAACACAAGGAACTTTGGAGCAAGCAGGCCCCTCTACTCATCAAACTTAGAGCCACAGAGCACAAGAGCATCTTAAAGGCTCTCCCAACTTTTTATAAACAGGCCTGCTAAATTTTGCTTAATGTGATGTTTCCCAGACTTATTTGAGAAAGGATTTCTTTTTCTCTCCCTTTACAGAACCATATTAATACTAAAACAGTCCCTCAACAAACATTTCCCAAGGGTCTGCTGTGTGACAGGCACTGAACTAAGGGACTGGAACTAGAATCTGGGGAGGATACATATTAAACATAAAATTGCAAGTTATTAAATGAATGTTAGTACCCCATGGAAGAGATCGCAGGGACTAGAGTAGACACTTTGAGAAATGCTAGTATAGGAAGGACGCTGGACCAGGAGCCAGAAAACTATATTCCCACCTCAACTTGGACCCTAACTCCCTATGTAATCCCAAAGATCACTAAGTAAGGAATGCAGTGTGTGCAGACCTCGGATTCTCCCAACTATGATATGACAAGGTAGGATAAGATCAGCTCTAAGACTCCATCCATTTTGAATTCATTCTGTGTCATTAATTCAATGTGAAATGAGAGAAACGAATAAGAAATTTCAATACAGTACTTAGACACTTCAAAAGAAATACTGATGGCTCAGATAATGAAACTAAACTGGAAAAATGTCTTCAGAATAAATGTCCAGAATGTAAATGAGCTCTGAGTATTTTTCCCGAAGCAATAATGAAGCAGTAAGAACTTTAATGGGGAAATTAAGCTCTGACATGATCTAATCCACGCTCTTTTTCCAGCCTTGGCATCTCCTTCCTCCCTCCCTGCTGCTCCAAGCTCACTCAGTGTTCCCAAAAGCTCCACCTCCTCAGGTAATAGAGTTTTCTGAACTCAGGCCATCAGAAAGTCCTTCTTGCCCAATGCAGGACTCTTAACATCTATGTGTTTCCATGGCTACCCTCCGGGTCAACTCTCTCTGAACCCCTCCTGACATCCTTGCTGTCACCTTCCAAAATATCTAACCTGTTGACCACGCCCCCCTTTGTGACCCCACCAATCCTAACACTGGCCTTCAGCAGGCCTTGGCACTTACTAGCTGTGTCAAGTTTCTTACCCGCTCCAGCCTCTGTTTCCTAACATAGAATAACGAATTTGTACATTGCAGGATTTTTATGCAATTCCAATGTACATAAACATGTGAAGTGCTTAGGGCAGTGCTTGGCACATAGCAAGCGCTTATGCTCAGGATAGCCTCCTGCTTTCCCTTCCTTCCTTATGAACAGAAAGTTAGTTTTATTGAGGACAGCAATATACTCAGCTGAAGAAACAACTTCCTAGCCTTCCTTGCAAGCAAGAAGCATCATGTGGCATAGGTCTGCTATGAAATATAAATAGAAGTTGCTGAGCGGGGCTTAAAAGAGGAGTAAACTCAACTAACATATACTCCTTTGCCCTTCCCCATTTTTCCTGACAAATTTTAGATGTGATGATGTGGTCACAAAAATGTCTCAAAACCATAAGGGAGAGACCAAGAGAATTACATAGACCTCAGCTCTGGCAACTATGTACCACTAAACCCAGGCCACCAGCAGTCAGCCTAGTTCTGTAGTTTTTGGTGAGGGAAAAACAGAGACAACTTCTAACTGCCTTAGGATATGTTTTCTCAGGTTGCTCTTGCAGCCAAATGCACTCCCTGATCCAGTTAACTCTTATTAATTAGCACCTGCAACAATTTATTTCATTATCTGTTTATGTTTGGTTTCTCTACCAGACAAAAAGAGTCTTATTCATTTTCACACAACACCTCTCACCAAGCAAGTGTTCGATAAAAGTTAAATGAATGAATGAAGTGACAATAATGACCATCATAGTTTGTCTCCAGTTCTTTCACAAGAGAAAAACATTACTCTTAAGTTTCAGAAATATTTTTCTTCATCTCGAACTGAATATTCTTCAAAGAATTTAGCATTTGTAAAAGTTCCCATAGAGTGCCTGAACCTAAAGTTATTTAACAAGCACTGACATAAGAGTATTTAGTGTGCCAGGCACTGCTTTCAAAGCTTTCACAAAGAACTCATTTTATTCTCATAACAACCCGATGAGTTAGGTACTATTATCCCCATTTTACCCATCAGGAAGCTGAAGTGCAGGGAGGTTAAGTCACCCAAGGTCATACAGCCAGCAACCAGCAGAGCCAGCACTGGATTACATAGAATTTGGTTCCAGAGTTCATGTCCTTAACTGATATTCTCCACCACTTCTCAACCACTAACTGTGACAGTACATTCTTTCTGTTTCTGTGTAAACAAGGAAGGAGCTGGGAGAAATTCGATCTGAATATCTATGAAGATTCTTGGCTCCACAGATCAGCCGGGAACCAACGCAGAGGTTACTTGGCTAGAGTGGACGTTACCAAATGTACAACGAAGGATGACAGAAATAATTGTACAAGGAATTGTACATTTTAATTCTCTTAAGAACTTCCACAGTTGAAGATGAGGAAAATGAGAGGTAAAAGAAGAAATGATATTACAAGAAAAGTCTTTTAAGTGGCAAATACAAGTAAATGACACAAAAAGCTTTCTAATAGCAAGCTAATCAAAATGACTACCTAAGACCCAATTTTCAAAAACCTTTTAGCTGTAAGATATTACCCTGGTACTCTGCTCTTGAAGCAAGATTAGAAAAATTATTTAAAAGAACTCCAGAAATGTGAAGATGCATTTTCATCTTTCTGCAGCAATTCTCAAACTAGCTACAAGAAGACATTCCAGCTGAATGATTACTTATACTAAATTCTGCACAATTTATCTCTCACACAGATTCTGCATCCAGTAATTATCAGCAACCAGGCCCAATTCCATGGTATTGACAGTGGTATCTGTCACGTCTTCAGACAACTCCACTACCAAGGGCCCTGCAACAAATACAAACAGGCAGAGCGTGTTTTCCTATCTACAGTGACATCTAGTGTTAAGAAACTAAAACGCAGTCTGTAGAACAACATTTATTCCCATTACTATTGTATTTAAATGCATATTATAAAACAGGAATATATATATAGCTCTTAAGGTAAACAGCTTTTCCCATAATTGGGATTGCCAATTGTCAATTGTATTATACTCCAATATTTAAAATATCTCATAAGATTAACCCATTGAAAAGACACATTTGTTTTGTTAAAGTGAAGAAATCATTTTGTTCTCCAATAGTTTTGTTTTAAATGCAAACATATCTTTACTTACTAACAGCAGACTGGAATGTCAGAGGATTTTGCAGACATTAAAAGACATCTTGTTAAATTTAACAAAAAGCAATCTGGCTTAATATAATAATAAATACAAGCCCTTTATTCAAAATCAACTCGCAAAATCTCTAAAGGAGAACAATTTAAATGCAAATGAGCCCATTATAGAATGGTTTCTGATTTAGGTATATCATGGGCTAAATCTTGTCTCCAAATTTTACATCTTAAAATTAGATTCTAAAAGATGCAGGATAGCCATATTCCCCTCACCAAAGTGAAGTATCATTCCGGTTATGACAACAAAGGTGTTTGAATATCTTTTTTATTTATTTACTTTTTTTGAGACAGAGTCTCGCTCTGTCGCCAGGCTGGAATGCAGTGGCTCAATCTCGGCTGACTGCAACCTCCGCCTCCCAGGTTCAAGTGATCCTCCTGCCTCAGCCTCCCGAGTAGCTGGGACTACAGGCGCGTGCCACCACACCATGTATTTTTAGTAGAGATGGGGTTTCACCATGTTGGCTAGGATGGTCTCGATCTCCTGACCTCATAATCCGCCCGCCTCAGCCTCCCAAAGTGCTGGGATTACAGGCGTGAGCCACTGCGCCGGGCCTGGATACCGTTTTTAAAGGTAAATAAGGCATAATTAAAGAGCACTGGATTAGAAATGAGAAAACAGAATCTAGCCCTGGGTCTACCTAAAAAATTCTGAGACCAAGTTATTTAATTTCTCTTGCCTTCAATTTCCTTGTGGGTTTTTTTTTTTTCTCTCCTTAAAAAAAAAAAAAGGTGGGGAAGACAGTGAGGAGTTTAGCCTGGATTCCTTCCTGGGCTCCTTGTTCTAACATTCTATGTTCTATGAAGATGATGATCTCTAAGATCTCTCTAAACCTTGCTTTAGTTATTTAAGCCACACAGTGCCACAGTACTCTGAGGAGAACAGTGTTAAGACACCTTAAGACTCAAACAACAAACAAGGTTTGCATTGAAATCGGCATAGAGTAAAAGACCTCTTTAAGATGTTTAGATGATGACTCCTGACCTGAATCAAAGATGTACTAAATCACATCCACTATGACTCTGCACTTCCTAAACCAGCAAGTATCATCTAAAGTCTCTTAATAAAGACGTTCAGAAATCATGTTATTTAAGGGGGTTTATTGCTAAACCAAGATAGTCATAAACATTCTGGGTAAGTGAGGATTTGCCAACAGAGTAAGTTTTAGGTCTTTGTTTAGGTTACAGGGAATGTTTGCTGAAAAGTTTTCTAAGATGAAGAAAGAACTCTAAATAATTCAAAATATGCCTGGCGTTTTCTACTATAATTATGGTTATTACTCTCTTACTTGGCAGGAAGAACTTTGACCTGGCTGAAGAGAAACAGCTATGGCTTAGAGGTAACAGCTACAAAGAGATAAAAGGGGGAGGAAGCAGAGCAGCAGAATGAGTAGTCAAACTCAACAAGGAAGAGAGAAAGGAAATGAAGCAAGCAGAACCCAAAAGACTCACCACAGCTGGGATGGCTCCAGACCACGGCAATGGAATACCCCGAGGACCTCAGAAGGTACCGATGGGCATCTGCGACAAGTGGTGACTGTGTGAGTGACAGCTCTCCAAGATGACTGGGATGGCAAGTTTATGCAAAACTGAAGTGGAGTGAACAGGAGAGAGCTGGAGGAGTGCCCAGAGGCTGAGGATATTAAATACTGGGACAATTCACCTGATGACAAGGGTCAGAGGGCAAATCATTTGAAAATGATGCAAATTAAAACTAACAGAAAATTTTTTCCATACCTTCAGGAAATTCAAAATAGAACCATAACGTGATACAACTAGATACCCACTAGAGTGCATAACATGAAAAGGACAAAAAACAGTGAATGTCATGAGGATGTAGACCAACCGGGCTGCAGGGCAGGTGGGAATGCAAATGGTATGACCACGTTGGAAAACTATTTTCAGTATCTACTAAAGCTAAACATGTAATAGTCCCCCTTTATCCACGGCTTTACTTTCCAAGGTTTCAGTTACCCACCATTAACTGTGGTCCAAAAATATTAAATGGAAAATTCTAGGCAGAAACAATTCAAAAGTTTAAAATTCATACTGTTCTCAGTCGCATGATGAACTCTCTCACCTTCTCGCCCAGGACACAAATCACCCTTCTTCCAGCATATCCATGCTGTATTTCCCCCCAGACTATTAGTAGACAGTTACCAGATCAACAGGTGTACCATTTGTATTCAAGTCACCCTTATTTTAATTGTTCATGGCCCCAAAGCACAAGAGTAATGATGCAGGTATATTGTTATAATTGTTTAACTATCAGCTATTGTTGTTAATCTCTTACTGTGCCTAATTTATAAATGAAGCATTATCATATGTTTATGCATAGTATACATAGGGCTCAGTACTATCCAAGGATTCAGGCATTCACTAGGGGTCTTGAAATGTATCCCCTGTGGATAAGGGGGGACTATTGTACACCTACTCAATAACCCAGCAATTCTACTTCCAAGTATACACCTAACAGAAACATGTGCATACATTCACCAAAGACATGTCTAAGAAGATTCATGGCAGCACGATTTCTAACAGCCCAAAACAGAAAACGAGTACAATGAATAAACTATGGTATAGCCACATTGTGTTATACAACTATGTACAAAGACATAAGTAGATCTCATAAACATAATATGGAACAAATATGGTACACATACACCATGGAATACTATGCAGCCATAAAAAGGAGCAACATCAGGTCCTTTGCAGGGACATGGATGGAGCTGGAAGCCATTATTCTCAACAAACTAATGCAGGAACAGAAAACCAAATACTGCATGTTCTCACTTACAAGTGGGAGTTGAACAATGTGAATATAAAGAAGACACAGGGAGTGGAACAACACACGCTGGGGACTGGAGGCGGCGGATGGGGCAGGGGGAGGGAGAGCATCAGGAAAAATAGCTACCGAATGCGGGGCTTAATACCTAGGTGATGGGTTGATAGGTGCAGCCAATCACCACAGCAGATGTTTACCTATGTAACAAACCTGCATGTCCTGCACATGTACCTCAGAACTTTAAAAAAAAATTAATATTGAATAAATAAGGCCAAACAAAAAAATATACAGTTGTGCACTACATAACGTTTCAGTCAGCAATGGACCACACATGCAATGGTGGTACCATAAGATTATAGTAACCCCGTATTTTTACTGTACCTTTCCTATGTTTAGATACATAAATACTTACCATTGTGTGCCAACTGCCTACAGTGTTCAATAGAGTAACATGCTCTACAGGTTTGTAGCCTAGGAGCAATAGGCCATACCATATAGCCTAGGTGTATAGCAGGCCATACCATCTAGGTCTGTGTAAGTCACTCTATGATGTTTGCACAATGAGAAAGTTGCCTAATGACACGTTTCTTAGAACACATCATTGACACCAAGCCACATGTGACTGTGCTCTGTACATTCCATGTGGATAAAGTTCAAAGCAGACTAAACAACACTAAGCTTTCAGACCTCAGGCTAGACGTCTCCCTTGGAGGGAGGAGGAGTACTGCCAGAAGGGGACATGGCAGGGACTCCTTCGGGGCTAATAATGTGTTTTTCTTCACCTGGTTGCTGGAGGTATGGGTGTGCTTAGTTCCTGAAAATCTGCCAAGCAGTACTCATGATTTGCATAATATTCTGTATAGATGTAATATATAATGCCCAGATAGAGGCTGGGCTCCAAGGGCATATTCAAAAAGGAAGAGTATTCCAAAACAAAAACCCAGAAACAAGGGACAAAAAGAAAGCCCTCATTGAAGACCTTTCATAACAGAGAAACACAGCAGGGTCCTCGCACCCAAGACATGGGCCCTCTATACAGCCTCCTAAGGAAGAATCCGAGTCTTTCTTAGACAGAAGAAATCCTCAAGAGTTCACCTAGATCAGCCTACCCACTTGTGATTGAAAAAACTGAGACCAAGAGAGAGAATATAACTTAGTCAAAGTCACACAACTAGTAAGTGATAGGTCCAAGGGCAAAATCCAGGTCACCTCAGTAAACAAGACTTAAATAATGATAAAATACTCAAGATATGTCAAAAGAATAAATTAAGTGAAAACTCAGAATGAGTAGGAACTCAAAAAAGGACAAGGCTTTTGTGTATTTCATTCAAATGAGATAAGCAGTGAAGAGGTGACACAATGCACAGAACAACCGCAGAGAGGAGGAAAGAGCTAGGAAGCTGGCAATGTCTACACATCTTAATCTGGGTGTGGGTTAGATGGGGGTACACAGAAGTAAAAATTCATGAGCTGCATATACCATCTCTTCACACTTTGTGTATGTTAAATCTCAATCAAAAACCAATTCAAATAGTTTTTTTTTAATTCTGTGAACAAATAACTGCATTTAACAAAATGAATCTATTCAGTTAAAATTTCTTTTCAAATGGCATCACCCAGTGTCTCCAAATGCTTGTATGAGTGTACAACTTGGGGGCTGCAAAACATTCCAAGTTATATGAACCATTTGATTCTATGAACCTACAACCATGCAATAAACATGGAGAGATGTGTTTGAAGGGATGATCTTCCACATGCTTTAGGGCTGTGCTTTCCAACTCTTCTGAGGCTCAGGACACTTTCGTCAAAAATAGAGATTTGGGGGTATCACTCCTATTCATTCTCCTTTCACGTGTCTGCGGTAGGCTGAGAAAACTGTCTTTTTAAAAAGATCCCCAGTGATTCTGAGTGGAAACCACTTCTGTATGGAAGTGGTTTCAAGACAGGTTCTCACTCTGTCGCCCTGGCTGGAGTACAGTGAGCAATCACAGCTCGCTGCAGTCTCAACCTTCCAGGCTCAAGCAGTCCTCCTGCCTCAGCCTCCCAAGTAGCTGGGACTACAGGCGTATGCCACCTGTCTGGTTAATTTTTTTTCTGTAGAGACAGGGTCTCTCTATGTTGCCCAGGCTGGTCTCAAACTCCTGGCCTCAAGCAATCCTCCTACCTCAGCCTCCCAAAGTGCTGGGATTAAAGGCGTGAGCTACCACACCTGTCCAAAAGTCAACTTCTGAGGTGGAGAATAACTGCTATATGTGGTTTTGGATGAGAAATAGGACTTAGCAACCTAAAGAAGTGTCACGTCAAATTCTGTTGCTTGACTTCCATCAAATCTGCTGGGAATGCCAGCACACTTTCACTCTAATTACGAGAACAAAAAAGGCTTAAATGTATAATGTACTGGACCTAGAGGAAAATGACCATCTTTTGTGATGTCTGTGTGGCTAAATTCTTTCAGGGAGAATTCAGAGCTATTTGGAACCAACTCCTCTCATCCATTTGACAAAGACAACTTAGGAAGGCTGGTTTTAGCTGGAAAAGTTTCACATCAAAGAGGACAGGTTCAGAGTAAACAAAATTAATAAGGAAAAAATGGATGACATTACTGTAATGCTGACTGTGTGCTAGACACCACTGTCAGCACTTTGCCTGTCCTCGTTTCTCACTTTGTATGATAGGTACGATTACTGTCTGCATCTTACAGTGAGGTTCTGGGGAACAGAAAGTGACCTGTGACCATGGTCAGAAAGATGACAATGCTGGATCCAGAATAACAAAGGTGACATGTAAAGTACGAGATAAGATGTGAGAAGTGTATAGTCATCTTCCTCCTTGGAAATATCAGAATATCCTGGTAATAGACATCCACATGCAACTTAGGCCCTTATTCTTTTGTCAGTAGATGCCCATTTGCTAATTATGCTGATTAGCATAATCTGATCCTTACAGATACAAACTTCTTAATACCACCACTTCTGCTTGGAGCTCTGCTGCCTGGAGTTAAGAGAAACTGCTGTCATCCTTAAATAATGCAAAGGCAAAATCAACCAGGATGCTAAGGAAAAAGTAATCTCTGAAAACTGGCTGTTGTGATACAAACGGAGGGCAAGTCCAACCTGCCGCTCCTAGTAACTGTTGCTAGGTAGGCTGGGATGGAAAACAGCAAGCTAAAGAGGTCAATGAGAAATTGAGCCAAATTCAAAACTACCTATGAAAGACTGAAGAGAACACACCCGCATTTGGAGCTCATTTTAAATCATGTAATCAATCTAAAGGAGAAAAGGAAAATGACTTTAAATACACAGAATTTGTTGTGTGCCATTCTTCAGTTCTAACACCAGAAAACAGAGGGCTCTCCTGTAATGGAATGTTCACACCACAGTACAGATATTCAGCTGCTTTTATGTAATTTTTCACCTCAATACAGGATTCCTGAGTCATAAATATTTTCTCTTAAGAAGTAAAAGAATGCCTCAACTCATGTGCATCTCCTGTTTGCCTTGAATATATATGACACTATAGTAAGTGTCCAAGTTCTATATTTATGGTAGGAAATGTGAATGGTGTCACCCTGATTCACCTGCTCCCCCAACCCCAGCTCACAGAAGCTGTGGTGAATGAGCTTGACCTCACTCCAAAGGGCTCCAGAGGTGGCCCTTGATTCATCTCAATCAATCAGGGTAACCTATCCCTTATCACACTGATTGGTTTAGATAACCTAGACCTAAGCCAGTCAGCATACAGTGTCTCCTTGGCCCCAGAGACTGGTTCAGAAATGCACCATTCAATGGAGAGCTCAAAAAGTTGTTGGGAACTCAGGAATGCACACTCCTTGAATTTGGGTAATGCGTTAGGGAGATATGAATCTGTAATTGCTGCTCTCCCTTTGCATTCTGAGGGTAGACAGCCTGAGGAGTAAGTCAGTACACCAAAAAGTAGAACCAAGGAGAATCCTGGTGAGCCAGAGCCCTGATCAAACCATGCCTAAACTCCATCCCACCATCACTCTTCTGTGAGCTAATAAACCCCTGTACCATATAATCCAGTTTGGAATTGGGTTTTCTGTTATTCAATGTAAATAAACAAACAGAAAATTGTAGCTACCTGATAAAATACGTCTAAGTAACACCAGCTTGTATCTGTATAAAACTACATACCTTAAAAAGTTTCCATATACATAATTTCATTTCTTTTCTGCCCAGCTGAGAAGATAGGTATTACTGGTAACCCAGTTTTACATCAAAAAGGATAGATTCAGAGTAAACAAAATTAATAAGAGAAAATGGAACACATGCTGTAATGCTCACAGTGCTGACCATGTGCTGGACACTGCCCTCAGCCTCTGTGTGTTTCCTTTCTCCCCTTATATAACAGGAACTACTATTGTTGGCATCTTGCAGTGAGGTTCTGAGAAACAGAAAGTGAGTGGTGACCAACGTCAGAAAAATCATAAATTATTGATCCAGAGTAACACACAGGCAAAAGTCACTAGTCTAGGCAAGGAGAAAACCATCTCCTTGCTCCCTGGCTCACTATTGCTCCACCAACCACCCCCTCCTCTCCAAGCTCACAAGACGTAGAAATCCTCCAAGGTGAGTTAAATGTGTTCCTGGGTGACATAAACAATCAACTTATCTATGTCATGAAATTGTGTTTTTTTAAGCTTCTTAGCCAACTAAACCAAGTTCCTACAATGCAGCATCCGCTGAGTACAAGTGTACATAAAGCACACTTCCATATGACCAATCTTTTCCTCTCTGACCGTAGCAATAAATACGCAGTCAGAGCCCATCAGCGCACATGCCTCGCCGCAAAAGATCAGAAGGAAAATCCCTTATGCATTCAAGATAATTTATGGCATGGCACCAACATTTAACATGGTGCACATGAATTATTTCTGAGCCTTTTTGCTCCAGAAATGTTATTCAAAAGTAAGAACCAGCATATACTTGGAATACCTTTATTTATGAGCAGCCCCTTCAAGATGAGAACTGCAATGGAAAATATGGTAGGTTTGGCATCAGTAACAACATCAGAGCTGGTTATGGGAATAGCTCAGCTCAGCCTCTGACCCTGCCAAGTGCAATAGCACTGACAGTCATCTCCCCCTGTTAATTATCAAGTCCCAGTTGCAGAGAACAATGAACTTTCTTTATTACTTTGCCTTTCATCTTAAAATACAGTTGCAAGAGCAGAACTTTAGAAAAGGAAGAACACAGTTTGACAGAAATTAGCAGCCAGAGTCTAACTTTAATGAGAGGTTGACAAATTAACAACTGCATACTATATAAAGTACAGTAACGTATTTTTTCTCTTGTTTTAAGAACAAGGAAGAGCCAATGAGATAGTATATGTAAATGCATTAGAAAAAGATAAAAGGCTTTGCGTGTGATGGTACTGGTGGTGGCTTTTGTTCAAACCGACTC
Source organism: Homo sapiens (assembly GCF_000001405.40). NCBI lineage: Eukaryota > Metazoa > Chordata > Mammalia > Primates > Hominidae > Homo > Homo sapiens. The sequence goes on from NC_000020.11 coordinate 16,484,699, forward strand.
AAAATCATCCACGCTAGTCTGCAAATTAAAGCAGAGAGACAAATGATATCTCAAAATCCTCTCTCAAGTCATCTTCATTGCAACCCCTGATCCCAAATCCTTCTTCCTTTCAATACTCTCTTCTATAGGAAGACAGGAACATACACTCATACATACACAGTTGCAAACCACTGGGGCTAGCAGAAGGCAAAGGGGCAAGTAAAATAGAGAAAAAAGGATGCTCGTGGCAGATTTTTTTGCAAAAAATGACAAGAATTATTGATCTGCCTGTACTCATTCCTTTGGGTATTCCCCACTCCTACACTGTGGTTGTACCCATGACTACCTTTAGCCAATGAGGCATTAGCAAATGAGATGCAACTGAAAGCCTGAAAAATGCTTGGACACTGGGGTTATCCTTTCTTGCCATTCTTAGGATCCAGAGACCACCATGTAAAGGCCTAAACTGATGGGGATGAGGGACACAAGACCAAATCATCCCCAGCTGACATCAAGCCAACCACCAGCCATGTGAGTCCATCTTGGACCATTCAACTCCAGGGCATGAGTGAAGGCAGGAGAAATCCACCAAACCAGGCTGGTCCACAAAATTAAGAGAAATAATCACAGTCTGTTTAAGCCACTAGGTTTTAAGGCAGTTTGTTCTATAGAAAAAAACCTCAAACTTGACCTGAAACTTCTCAAAAATGGGAGAACAAGCTGAGTTCAATAATTATTCATGGAACACTTCCTATTTATAAAGAGCTACTGCACAAGACACTAGAATTTTTAAGAGATTCGAAGATGAGCAAAATGTTTTCCCTGACCTAAAGGAATTTATAATTTAACTGAGAGAATGACAAACATATGGATAGTTACAACACATGAAGGATCAAATATCATCCCCTCCCATCTCCAGGAACAGCTGTCATTCCATGTATGAACTCATTCCTCCAAACAACTTCTGCAGTAATGTACAGCCACACTGGGCCTTTAAAACCAACCATTCAGTGTTCAGACCTACTGAGCAATAAACAAAAGAGACAGAAACTGTGTCCTCATGGACTTTATATCCTAATGGATGTCAATTTACAAAATACTTTCTATATTGCAAGGGCTTTTCAAAGTGCTTTAAGTGTATGTGTGCAGACATGCACGTGTATATAAGCATGTCTCCACACATACACACATATATATACACATATATATACACACATATATATACATATATATGTGTATATAAATTCACTTAGCATAAGTTATCTTTGTAAGTAAATTTAACTAATAATAGAACTGAAAAAAATCTTATTTATTTTATATAATCTCAAGCTTCAAATATCAGAGATTCTGGGAGCAGAACTCTGATATTGCTTTATCAACAAAAGTATTTTAGGCCCGTTTTGTTAGAAATCAGAGGACGAGACTAGATGAGACTATGGGAGCTTTACAGAAGAATACCCAATTGTGGGGAAAAGTCTTCTAGCACTTCTAGAATGTAATCTCCATGAGAGCAGGGATTCTTTGTTTTGCTCACTGGGTATACCTTGTGTCCAGAACTAGGTCTACCACATAAGATGCTCTCAATAAACATGTGCTTAATGAAGGAGGGAGAAAGGAAGGGAGGGATAAAGGGAGGGAAGCTGGGAAAGAAATTCTATTATGGGGAGAATATTTTCAAACTCATAGTAATGCTAGGAATTTCCTTCTGAACATAGGTAGCAATCCTAGTTAATTGGAACGTTAGCATGTCAAAGGATGCCCACCACCTCTCATCTCTTCTTCGCCCAAAAGTTTTCAAAAGTTTGAAAATAGTTTTTTAAAATTACAAAAATAAATCTTACAGGAAATTTACTGAGATCCTACAGGCATGACCTACACATGGACTGCACTAATCCACAGGAGCTGAACTATACGGACTCGATTTTTACAATGAAAACCAAAGGGGAAAGAGCACTGACTTCTCAAATTACCACTGCAGCCAATTTCTGCCTGGATGAACACTTGGAAACTCAATATATTATCGTCACATAGCCAAATGAGCTCTCGAGTCAGTACTTTCTATCTTTAGAATGGCGATAACTAACTATAAACAATATGTGTGATTATCTGAGGTCAGAAGCATCAAATGCCCAAAGAGTTGCTGGTAAGGAAGCTGGTAACCCATGGCTGAAAGAAATGTCTCCTCCTTCATCTAAAATCTAGGAGAAATCGATGACCATAAATAAAATTATCCCCCAGATCTACTCCTAGGTTCAACGTTTGTACCAAGAAGAGGTCAAGATTAACTGCATTTAGGCCAGGCACCATGGCTCACACCTATAATCTCAGCAGTTTGGGAGGCTGAGGTGGGTGGATCACAGGGTCAGGAGATTGAGATCATCTTGGCTAACACGGTGAAACCCCATCTCTACTAAAAATACAAAAAATTAGCTGGGCGTGGTGGTGGGTGCCTGTATTCCCAGCTACTTGGGAGGCTGAGGCAGGAGAATGGCATGAATCCGGAGGCGGAGCTTGCAGTGAGCCAAGATCGCGCCACTGCACTCCAGCCTGGGTGACAGATCGAGACTCCATCTCAAAAAAAAAAAGATTAACTGCATTTAAACGAGAGAGGCCACAAAAAATGTTGTCTCTCCCATGCTTTGTCTGTAGGTTTTCCAGAAACCAGAGGATTCAGTGCCCTGGACAACAGGAATCCAGAGGACCGCAGGAAACTTGTTCCACAAACCTGACCCGCCTACAAGCCTGCTGAGCAACAGCCCCAGTTACGAGAGCTGCTTCCGAATCCATTACACTCCCAATACACATCTTCTCCACAAAATGGAAAACTGCAGGCAGCCAGAGAAAAAAATCTTTTATAGGTTGCCATAATGTTCTGGAGACAAAAAGTTCAGTGGATTGATTCTATTATAAAACAGATATAAGCTGGTTGAAAGCATGCCTCCCCATGAAATTTAAACTCAGAACATCTTAAGCCGGAAAAGAATCCCAATTTCATTTTACTATATTTCTTGTTAGTCAAAACATTTTGAAAGGGTTACAAGTTATCTTTCATCATTGTGCTATCCACCCCTGCCATGGCCCTGTAGTATCCTGCCTCTCCTACTCCCCCAGAGAAGGAATATCAAGACGCCAGCTCAATTTAAACTTCAGTCATTTACATTAGGATCCCATCATCACATGGATTCAAATATGCTCCATCCTCCAAATTCAGTTTTCGACAAACATTAATTGTTAAGTGTGTAAGACACCAAATAATTCCACATAATTAAAGTCTAAATAAAACAACTTCAATCCAACTTATACAAATTGCTCACTTTCCAAGGAAAAGCCTCTCCAGCTAGGCATCTGCATGTGAGCGCCTGCTTCTCCTCTCCCACCCGCTGCCACACCACAGTCAAAAGCCCTGTGCAGGCAATGAAAACACCAAAGCCAGCCGGACATTGGAGCCATCAAAGGATACGTTTTCAGCAAAAACAAAAGGGACCTTATTGATTAAAAAATGAGAAGAATAACCAATGCTGGAAGGATTCAAACAGCACCCTCAGGGCTGCGAGGACCACTTTGCAGCTCTGCTCTGGACAGACACTCACAGAGGCAGCTCTCCCTTCTGCCGCACCATCTGTCAAAGGGCTGCCAGCTTGGCGCTGCAGTCCAAACTGTCTGTGCGTTATTTTGAAGCACAGAGCTCAAGGAGTTATTTGGAAGCCAGATGACATACCTTGAGCATTTTTCTTTAATTGTTCATAAAACGCTGGAACAGAGAAACCAAAACGTATGCAGGACAGATAAACCCAAAAGGGCATAAAGACTGGGGTGGGGAAGGAGAACACAGGAATGGAGAAAAAACTGGGGATTCCTCCTCTTAAAGGATCACTTCAAAAAAATCATTAGCAATAAAACATAGGGGACTTGTAAAAGCCAAGCCTACAGGTACACAGGGCAGGGGGATTGAGTAGTCACTTTGTAAACCACTTCAAACACCAGGCAGTCAGCACAATATTGTAGCCACGCAAAAGGGAAACCGATATGAAGGGTCTCAAGAATCCATTGATGTCAAGGCTGGATTTATCACAACACTAACTTCCCAGTTCCAAGAGAATCACTGCAGTTTGAGATAAATTTAGCCAGGATGAAAATCACACTGAGGCAGCATTCTAACAAAGAGACCAGAAAAACCCAAGAAGAGAGCTTCCTATGTGAATGGAGCAGATTCTGAAGTGCTGGCAGTGCAGTCCAGAGCCTGCATGTGGAACACACTTGGGTATCAAATGTATCAGACAAAGCCTAACCACGAAACAGAAACTGTTTCAGTATTTAAATCCAAGGGACTTTAATACAAAGAATTGGTTACTTAGCTGAAGGAACAGCTGGAAAGCCATTAGGAACAGTAAGGCCACCCACAAACTGGCAACAGCAGAGACCAGCATCACCCTAGGCAGGAGGGGCAAAGGCATGAGGGAGTATTTCCCGAGGGCAAGGCTATGTCACCTGGCAGAACTGCTACCACAATGGGCTGGTCCTTGCTGCAGGAGCTGGGGCCTTGGAGAAGAGGTACCTGCTGCTGGGGATGCTAGGCGAGGCTGAAGGGGGAGGGCCTGGTTTCTCTCTCCAATCTCCACAGGGATCCAGGAGCCCAGAAAAGGGCGGCCCACAGGGGTCAGCCCACGAGACAGGGCAGAACAGGAGAAGGAGAAGAACAGATATGAGGACAAGGAAGCCTAAGACTACTCTGCATTTCCTCAGTGTGTCTAAATCAACACTGTCACCCCAGCACTTTGGGAGGCCAAGGCAGGAGAATTGCTTGAGCCCAGGAATTCAAGACCAGCCTGGCCAATGTGGTAAAACCCCATCTTTATAAAAAATACAAAACTTAGTCAGGCATGGTGGCACATGCCTGTAATCCCAGCTACCTGGGAGGCTGAGGTGGGAGGATCACTTTAGCCCAGGAAGTTGAGACTGCAGTGAGCCAAGATCGCACCACTGCACTCCAGCCTGGGTGACAGAGTAAAATCCTGTCTCAAAAAAAAAAAAAAAATTCAGCACTCAAACTTGAAGGTACAGACCCGTCCCCTGGGGATCTTATAAAATACGGATTCTGATCCAGGAGGTCTGGAGCTGGGCTTGAGGGCCTGCGTTTCTAACCAGCTCCCCGGTGATGTTGATGCTGCTATCCATGCTATGCTCTAAACAGCAAGGATCTAACGGATCCAAATGAAGGACTGAGCTGTACTTCAGCCATATTCCCTCCGAGAATAAAAATGCACAATCATACAAGAGCCTTTCTAGTGGGAATGAGAAAGTAAGAAGAAAAACATAGCGAAGAGCATCACTGGGACAGGACCGCCGCCTGCACAACACTCCCTGTCACTCTGCCCACTAGGTCATCAGATTTGTATGGCTCAGGGCTGTTGTTATAGGCTGGATTACGACACCCTAAAATTCATGTTGAAGCCTTAACCCCTAGTACCTCAGAATGTGACCGTATTTGGAGACAGAGCCTTTCATTAAGTTAAAATTAATTAATTAAGGGGATTAAAATGAGGTTATTAGGATGGGTCCTAATCCAATCTGACTGGTGTCCTTATAAGAAGAGGGCATGGTGGCTCACGCCTGCAACACTTTGGAGGCTGAGGCAGGTGGATCACCTGAGATCAGGAGTTCGAGAACAGCCTGGACAACATGGTGAAACCCCATCTCTACTAAAAAGACAAAAAATAGCCAGGCATGGTGGTGGACACCTGTAATCCCAGCTACTCAGGAGGCTGAGGTATGAGAATCGCTTGAAACTGGGAGGTAGAGGTTGCAGTGAGCCGAAATCACACCATTGCACTCCAGCCTGGGCAACAAAAGCACAACTCCATCTCAAAAATAAAATTTAGAAAAACACACAAAAAAGAAGAGGAACCTAGGATACACACAGGGAGACCAAGTTGCAGGCACAAAAAACAAGGCCATATGAAGACACAGACAAGAGAGGACCATCTGCAAGCCAAGGATGGGGGCCTCAGGAGAAGTTAATCTGCCAGCACCTTGATCTTGGACTTCCAGCCTCCAGAATTGTGAGCAAATAAAAGTCTGTTTTTTAAGCCATCCAGTCTGTGGTATTTTGTTTTGGCAGCCCTAGCAGATTAATACAAAGGTTTTTATTTTTGTTTCTTGATACTAACCTAATCCCATACATTCTCACCGCATGCCTGCTCTGTGAGAAGCAGAGTGCTAGGAGCTGGCTCGCGGAATGATAATGAGACAGTCCTTGGCCAGATCCTGCTCCTGTTTTTCTGTGTGTAAGAGTTGGCAGAAAGAGGAAGAAACCAATACCACCTAACTCAGAGGACAAAGAATCCTGTGGCAGAAGCAAAACCAAATACTGCAGAAGCACAAAGGAAAAGAAAATTCATCCTAACTGGGAAGTAGGGGAGAAGAGGAGTGATCGGGGGAGGCGGGCTTCAAGATGGATTTTGCTAGAGGAACGGAAAGGGGACACATCCTGAATGAAGGAGTAACACAGGCAAAGACCACAAGACACCAGGAAACCCAAAGCCCCGGTGCACACACCAACCAGCAGCAGGGCCTCTGGCAGGGCGGGGACTCCAGGGGTGGTGGGCACAGAAAGAACTGTGCTAGGACAGATGATACCGACAAGGAGATTAGTGCCTGTAGGGGCCAGGCAAAGAAGTCTGGACTTTAGAAAATGAAAAGTAATAAAAATGAGGAAGGCAGACTAAGGGGCAAGAGAGTGGAGACATAGAGTACAGTACAGAGGATAATAAAACTCTCTCTCATTACCTAACTGTCTAAGACCTGCCTCATTAAGATAAACACATGTTCTACTGTCAACTACTTTCAAAATAACTCAGAACTTAATGATGTCTTCCTCTGTTAACTTGGATATAAGGAAGAGGTTGCCATCCGCTGTGATTTCCAAGCTGGGAAGTAGGGTACGTGGCAGTTATGGATGAGTGCCATGACCCAGTGAGTCAGAAAGAGAACTGAAGACTAACATCCAAGTTCTGAGTTCTGCAGATCAAAGCCCAAGGCTCCAGCCACGATGACCATGTTGCCACCAGCTCTGCTGCAGTCAGTGCCTGCTGTCAGAGCTCACACCCACCCCACAGTCTTTCACTTCCCCTCCACCTTCATTCAACAGGACCGTGGATTCCACTCACGCAGGGCAAGGGAAGCCACCGACTAGGTAGAGAAAGAAGGGAACAAAGTCACTCCCTGCTTTTGAGTATCCAAGAGCTTAGGATCTGGTGATTTCCAGGGAAATTTAAGGAACTTTCAAGAGCAATTCTGACTTCAATGGACCTTCTCCCCACCCACTGACTTCAGCCTCCTGCCCACCATGAGAGGGGGTTTGTACAGCCACTCCTCAGGATATATGCCAATAAACCAACCTCATGGCTCATAACTCAAACAGGGAATATGAGCACACAGCTCAGGAAACTGCCACTGAGTTGGGGTGGGTTTTATGCGCATTACTGGAACAATGACTGACTGATGTAAAACGCTAACAGCAGAAATACGGGAAAGGATACAGATACAAACCCATCAACTAACAATCAATTTCTAAAGAATGTCTTCATAAAAACATTTGAGTAGCTCTCCTCTTCACCTTAGTCTTCAGGCACTGTCTTCCAATAAGAGTTTAAGGCAGCCCTTAAAATATCAAACACGAGCAGAAAATGACTACAGGTTTAAAGCACAAATACTAGCAGAAAAGTCTAAAACAGGCTTATAAGATCGAGAAAGGGAAAAACATTGAAATAGCATTCTCCTTTCTCATAAAGTTTAACACCTAGCATGCATCACATTTTTCCCTTCTCCTATGAAAAGTCATAAAAAAGAAAATAGTTAGACTTATTTTTTAAAAAAGCATTGGAATTGGAGGAGAATTTAACTTCAGGACCCAAAATCACCTTCTGAGAAAAAGCATAAGAAAAAGTTCAGGCTGTCATAGTTCTCGGTGTGGATACCCTTTACAGAAACATTATAAAAGCCCTACTACATTGACATGGAGGGACGCTGCCGCAGCAGCAGAAGAGACGGAGCTTCCATCTTTTCACCTCTTGCAGCATTGCCTCCTGTGCTAATGGGCACTATGTATACTAAGGACTTTTCAAATAGCTAACGGTTTGATTTCTTTTTTTTTCCTTAAGTAAAGTAGATTTTAGTCCTCCCTCTTTGACAAATTTCCAGAGCAACATTACATGGTGCATGAAAAGTCAAATGACTTGGGCTTCAGGGGCTGAGGCACCAACACCTCTTACAGGGAATGCAACTTAAACAACAACAAAGTCACATATTTGGTGAACTTATTCCACATCTGACTATTCTGAAATATGAACGAAGTATTTGCTCAGTTTCCTGCACAAAAATCTCTCAACAAAGAAAATACTGCAGAAGTACCTCAAAATAATATGACATTATCATTGTAATCAGGAGAAGAGAAAAGTCTGAATGCAGAAACCCTCACTTGTTGCAGTACATAAGAAGCTGGAAAGGCCATCTCTAGGACCATCACAACCTACCACCATCTAAACTTAAGCACAACCTCTGATCTCATGAGATACAATCTTTCTAACACCTGGTCAAGCCAAGTTGCCTAAATGGTGCAAGGAGAACATTACATAATATAATGCTGAGCCTGCATTCTGAAACAGTTGTCAGATGCAGAACTCACCTGCAAATCCAAGGCTGCAGAAGTTTACCCTGTGAAACAGTAATTAGGTGTGCCATTCTCACATGAAGGTGATCCACCTTAGGATTCTGCCAAGACATTCTGCCAAGACTCATCTATCTGGTCTCATCAATATCAGATGGAGATTTTTGTTCTTTGGGAAAGTTTTACCTCAACAGATGTCAAAAACAAACCTCACATTGAATAGCCTCTGAATTCTTTTCTCTTGTGCACAAAGTCAGCCAGATACCATCAAAGCACAAAACTCAAATTTGTGTCTCAAACCTGGTATGGCTGACTCTCAACAGATGACAGAGGTTGTCTGCCAACTCAGCAAAAAATGAGAACAAAAAGAAACTTGTATTTTGAAGCATTATGATAAATGGAGGCTACTGCTGACATCTTTTCACAGCAAGTCTTGCCAGAAACACAGGCCATCCCAGTCTAGTCCTTGAGACATGCAGAAAAATATTTTGATAGGAAATTACTAGCTTTGAAATTTCTGAAATCTAGCCGTGCTTTGCAAGCATATTCTATAATATTGCCACGGGAAATATTTTTTTCATTTAATATGTTGCTTTGATATTGGCTTTAACAAAAGCAGAAAAACAAAGTGAATATCCTTGAATATTAAATAGAGTTCTAATATGTGCTGAGTCAAAAATGGAAAAACCCCTAAAAGTAAAGGCAAACATCTTAAATATCAATATAACCTGTACATATTAAAACACACAGCTATAATATCTAATAGCCTTCTTTCTCACTCTTCAAAATCAAACCAGAACTCCCATCCCATGAAAGTCACTAATTGGTTCCAGTGATCTTACCTTAACAAAGTATACAACTGCCATGTTTGGAGATTAAAAAAAAAAAAAAAAGTTTTACCAGTTTAATCCACCATAGTAAGACTAAACACATTTTTCTAGTCCTTACTTTCAAAATATTTTGGGTTTCATTCCACTTATTTGTCCATTCCTTGGTCAATTCTTGAACCTGAAAAGAAAAATATACATACGTGACTGCTTCATAAAGAAAGTTTATAATTTTCTTCTAGTTTCCGAACTCTAATATCTCATGGAAAGATGTACTATAATTTTTTAAATGAGATCGCGACTTTTACCCCTGAAAGAACCATCACCAAAGATAAATCAAACAAGCTGATTTATTCCTACAACCTACATTAGGGCAAAGGAAAGAACAGACAGAAATTTGTCAATTTGCCTAGAATTTCACAACTGCCTTTTTCATGGTGTACTTAAAGCAGCTCCCTTGGATTATTAACCAAAATTACAAGTTTGAAGATGACAACGTCCCATTAAATGGATTAATTTTTCATTATTATACATCAGGTCCTAAAAAATAGTGATTTATTTTTATTTCTAATTAGATGTGATTAAATCACCTTGGATGCTGTAGTTTTACTTTAGGAGATAATTTGCTTTTGTAGCTAATTAACAGGGCTTATAAACCTCATTCTATCTTTTTTTGTTGTTGATAAAAAAAGAAAAAAAGGTGGTTCTTTAAACGACTCTTAGTAAAAGCAAAAATCTTTTGACAAAAATCACTTCTTTCCAGTTGGCTCTAACTTAGGGGAGTAAACACGCTCAACCGCTGAACACAGCACAGTTGGAAATTGCTTCTCAAAGTTAATGGTAATGTTTTGTTAGTTCCCTAAAACTTTTTAAATGATCCTAGGATTCAACAGGAAACAAAAAGTGATATTTGAGAGGTAGAAAAAATATGAATGAAAAATGCGTTCTGTGGAAAGGAAGAGCCAAGGTCTATAGGAGAGTAGCTTCAGAAAGGGGAGAACTCATCCTTTCCAAGCCTTTTCCTTTCAGCACCTTTATCATTCCTGCCACCTCCTCACTCCCAGCAGCAGACACCCTCCCATTAAAGTTACCTGGTCTCCCCAGTAAGTTTCCCTATTTAATCAGGCCAAAATAAATGCACAGAATACATCTGCCTGTACTCTCACTGCTAAGATAAACTGATTTTCTATATGCCATTAAGCATAGTAACTGGAAAGGGTATTCAAGGCAGCAAACTTAATGAAAGAAAGCATCAGTTATTGACAAATATCTGCAGTGATGGTTTATCCAAGAGGAAAACCAAAATATATCTCATTCACCTATAGTCAATCATTCAGGGGTCCTCAATTTACCTCAAATAAGACTGTGGGAATTCTAGGTTAACTTAAAGAAAATAATAATGTTGCTTCTTTTACTACTTATTAGTGCCAAAATCTATCACCTTCTTGATGAAAAACAAATGAAATAGGAGGAAGAGGCTCCCTAACTCTGTGCTTTGCTTGTTTTCTTGTTGTTGTTGTCTTTGGTTTTGTTTTTTAGAGATGGGGTCTCACACTGTTGCCTGGGTTGGAGTGCGGTGGCGTAATCACGGCTCACCATAGCCTCTACCTCCCAGAGTTTGAGTGATCCTTCCACCTTAGACTCCTGGGTAGCTGGGACTACAGGTGCACACCACCACGCCCAGCTAATTTTTGTATTTTTTGTAAAGAGGAGGTCTCATCATGTCACCCAGGCTGGTCTTGAGCTCCTGGGCTCAGGCGATCCTCCTGCCTCAACCTCCCAAGATGCTGAGATTACAGGTGTGAGCCACTGCACCTGGCCTGCTCGTTTTCACTGGTGTGGTAAGACTGTCCTGATTTATCTTAAACCAGTTCTACACTCCAGTCCTTCATTTCATCACTTGAGTGATACCAACCCTACAGACTCCTGATAGCAACAAAAGTCATGTGACTCTCCTGGCTTTTTGTTTTGAAAAAGCTTTCAGAGAAGGAATATTCTTATGCCTTCTCTCCCTACAGATGGGGAAAAGACTGGTGTACTGAATTACTAATTTATACTCATCAGTTAACAGATTGTCATTGGCAATTTATGTGAGAACACAAAGCATCCAACAATAAATGATTCTGCATTTCACCAACAGATAGTTTCTCATCGAAGAAATGTGAGCAAATCAATCCTGTTTGAATTCAAGCAATTCTAGCTTAGAAAAAGTAAGCATGCCTTGGATTTATTTTACTGTTGCATTTAAACGAAATAATATCCATTTAAAACATTAATTTAAGAATGCAAACATGTGCTACTACTTCTAACAGTGGGATCAGGTGATGAGATTTATATCCAAGCAAATTGCAAACAATTAAAATGGGTCAGCAAAAAACTAGATGATAATTTAGAAAATGTTAAGAACAAGATAGGCAGTCATTTCTGTCACAGCATGTATAATACATCCAAATTAATACGTTTATTAGTTTCCAATAACTTATTTGGTATTCATGAAAACTATTGTTAAGAAACAATTTAAGACTATATCCAGATATAGTTTAAATTATAGCACTCAAAATTAGAATTTGAAGCACTAATAAATAAAATTTCATTTAAAAAATAGGGATTAAGAAATTAATGTTTTACTGAGGCTATTATCAGGATATTCATCAGCATAATTATCCTAGATGTGTCAACAAGTTCCTAACTACACCCCAATTTTTATCTTCCATAATGTGTATTCTTGAAAAAGCTTTTACAAACAGAATCCAATTCTTTTTCAATCTGTCTTAGCCATTCAGCACCATGAACAAAATTGACTCCAAAAGTTGTTCTAATGTCTGTTTCTCTTTTCACAGAAGTTTAAAAAAAAAAAAGTATAGAACCAGGTCAGCCATAAAACTGGTTTTTCAAAGGCATGGGCACACACATTGGCTTTAGCCCATAACAGCTCCAGATCTCTTCTCTCTTTGGTTACTCACTGCCAGTCTCTCCCATCTCAAATCTCATCTAGCTTCACAGAAACTAAGCACCTAACTAGAGTAATCAGAGATTCCTCAAGTGCCACTCTTCCCACTGGGAACAACAAAAAGCTAAAGGGTGGTCATTGTTGAGGCCATGGGGACCACTACTGTTTCATGAATGTTGAACACAGACTCCCTCAAACAGGGACTCCAGTCAGCTCTGATGACCTGAGCAGCCTCACTGCTTTGCAGGATCTGCATATCCATTTAACTAACCATCATGTGCCAGACAAATCCCGTTTATTAAACCACAGAGAATGTGCTGCAATACATAAAATGTCAGCTATCGTGCTTCTTCAAAAATGATCACCAACGAGGGAGGAGGCTAAGTGCAATAAAGAAAAAGAAGGCATCTCAAACGGCAAGTCCTAAAAAAGCATGCACTTAAAATAATAGTAAAAGTTATGATTTAAAAATATAAGTCAAAGTATCACTTACTCTTGCTTCATTCTGCTGAAGTTTTTCCTCCATACTTAAAGCTGTGGGGGAGTCTAAGAGGGCAATCTACAATATAAACCATAAAAGAAATCAGCAATTAATAAACAGCAATAATCTAGGTTTTTCCCTGAATATAGTAAATTATCCAAAATTTCACAGAAACTATTAAAGGTAAAAAGCAATGTCCTACACCCTGCCAAAAAGTGTTGAATATCACCAAGTCTTTACTCCACGGGATACATCTCTCATAATATTCAAAACCATGGCATCCCAGTAAACCTACATTTGCAATACAAATCAGCAAAGCAAAAGATGTAACATATTGACATTTTACCAAAATCAAACACAGTCTAAATCCCTAGATCTTAAGGATTCGCCTCTTTTAATATGTACAGAGTCCAACATTCAAAAGGGACCATGCCTAAGTCTTGCTTAACCGCAGGCTTCTGAGATTTGCTCTTACTGATACATGAAAATGAAACGCATTTATTTTCACTGCTGATGGTATACCCCATATGGCATGGCTACACGACAATCTCTGATTACATTTCCTTATCCCTGTCGAAGAAGTGTAAAGATTGATGTGAGAATGATAAATACCAAAATCAGTTTAAAACTGAGCAGGACAAGCAGACAGAGACAAGAGAGGGAAACGGAATCAGGCTGGGGCTTAAACTGCACTCTTAACATGTGAGTCCCTGACCTGAGTGGCAGGGACACTGTGCTTCCTATTCTGCCTCCTTTTCTCATGGCCTAAGATATCCCTTGGAAGAAAAAAGAAAGAGAATATCCCTCCTATCCTACCCGCAGGCAATCACTTTTTCCCAATTTGGTTGTGTAAACTTACAGTTACTCTGGTCATATGCAAGCGTGTTTTTTGTCGTGTTTTTAAATATAAGTGGCATAAAAACACTATTCTGGACATTGCCTTTTTAACACACCAATATATCTTAGAGAAAATTCAGTAAAAATAAAAAACTGCTTCACTCTTTTTAACAATTCCAATTTAATTATACAATATTCCATTGTATAGATTTCTATGATTCATGTTAGTGCTCTCCTATTAACATAAATGTGGTATTCTTAATCTTTCAGGAGGACTATCCTTATGCCCACTGCCTACAGTATGCATGGCTCTATGAATAGAATAAATTCCTAGAAGAAGAATTTGTGAGTCATCTATACGTATGGTTTTTATTTTTTATAATTGCCAAGTTGTCTTCCCCAGAGACTGTAGCATTTTTTTAATGACTATTTACTTTTCAATTTCTCATCAAACAAAAACACCCACAAGGTGATCTTCTTCGGCACTGTTAAACATTCAAACTATGAAGACTACCATGGGCCACACCTGGTATCTGTATACTGAACGAAAGCAGAGCTGGCCAGAAAGGAGCATAAGCGTTCGTCTTGGTAGGCAAGGTCCTCGTGACAGTCTATGCAGTAGTCCTCAGAGATGTCCCCGAGCTATTGTCTTTGGCCTTCCTGAGTAACCATTCATACGTGAGGGGTCGAGATTCACATAGGCGTCTGTGGGACCCACCCTGGTTAGAAGCCCACACCCACAGAACCCAGCATCTCTTTCAAAAATGCCAAAGGCACATCCTCCAGGGGCCCCACAAGGGACACACCCTGTTACAAGAGTCACTGTCCTCCAGGAAACCCAGAGCTATGGTTTCTCAGCTGATATTAATAGTACATATGTAGTTCATCCTAATCCAGATGTAATTCACCAGTTAGGGGTCATTTTCGTCATTAGGGATGTTGCCTAGTTAGACAGGTGTCATCCCACTTTTATCTGGTTTGCATAGAATGAAGCCAGAAAGTTAACCCAAGGTCAAATCCATCCTCAGTAAAGAAAAGGGAGCTTTGTTAGCATGTTACTACAATGCATCATTGCATCTAACATGTTGTCTTGCACAGAGATGGTACTTAATAAATATTTTTCATTGAAGACATGAAAGTGGCAGATGTTAGTATTACTGCATTGTTTATATGTGGTTGACAATTTTCAAAACAAATAGAAAGCCCTTTATAACGTGGGTAATTTTACAGAATCCATTGTTGAGACTTTTATTGATAATCAAAGCTGAAACAGTTCTGCCACATCATCAAGTCAGGAGACAATCACGGACTGAATAGAAGCACAAAGACTCATGACCAGCACCCCTTCTGGAACATTATTTTTAAGCACGTGTAAAGAACGACCTTCCTAAATCCTTTTAAAAGAAATCATTGGTAAAAGTACCATTTTCAATTAAATTACTATTTGCAAGGTGTATCTTTAGAAGAAAAGTGTTTCAAATCAAATAATAATCAGATTAAGTTCATACGTTGTTAAATCAAAAGTAACACTACCTCAAAAACACTATTACAAAAGGGTAGTAATAGCAGTTCTACTAACAACTTATACAAGCACCCCTTGCCTCACACCCTCATCAATATACTGTATAATCAATTTTGTTCTTTGCCCAACAGGTGAAAAGGACATCCTGTTTTTAAAGAACTTTGAGGTATCATCTACATGCAGCCAAATACATAAATCTAAGGTCCACTGCTTGATGTACCCACGAACATGTATACGTATACCCATTTCACTATTCTTAAAATCTGCATTTATTGTATTTCAATGACATTGAATATACTTTCACATGTACAGAAAGCATTTGAAACTCTATTTCTATGGATTGTGTTCACGTCCTTTGCCCCCTTTCCTGCTGTGTTATGATGTTGTCTTATGTTTTCAATGAACCTCCTTTCCTAACATAAAAGGTAGTCTTTTGTTGCATGATCAGCAATCTTTTCCCTGGTCTGTATTGGTTAGAGCAAATTTTCATTATGTTATATAAATATGCTATGTTCTTACTTTTGTCTATGTGAGCTTTCACAGAATGAGAAAGAAGAGTTAAAATTTTCTGTGACAAATGTGTGTGGCTTTGTCTCCTGCTATTTCGAACAGTTTTGTTGTTTTTTTCAATTACGAAAGTTGATATCATGTCTGATTTTAATTGTTAGTTGCACCCTTTGTCGTGATAAAGTGCTCTTTTTTAAAGCTCACACAATGCTGTTTCTGCACCGCTTTCTTTCCTCTTGAATTCACTGGTTTGTCCATTCTTACAAACACCATATAATTGAGTTTTACTTTGTGACCCTATCTGAGATGTGTCTTCTTTAAAAGTTTACACATGATACTTTTATTATTTAAAATTTATCTTTAACCTCAGCTACAAGAGTGAGTAATTCATTCTACTTTCATCTTCCCTTTCCCATCATCTTCTTTGCTTCCCACCTTTGGTTGTGTTTTTCATTTCTATACTGTTTGATTTACTTGTTGTCTCCAGATACATTCAAGAGAGATGAGGAAGTCAAGAGACATTTTCTCTCTGCCAAATTAAATGCAGAAATAGCTGAAAATACATTTAAATATAATAAAAGAGAATAAAACCTTTAAAAAAGAAGATATTCAAATACTCAGCTTCATCAATCGCCTGAGAAGCACAAAGTAAAATTATTCTATGATTCTGGTATATATCCATTAGGATGGTTACAATGAAAACTGTACATTATCAAGTGTTGCAATACCAAGAATTGAACCAGCACTTTTATACACTGATGGTGGTCTATTAACTGGCACAACTACTTTTATACACCAAGAATTGAATTCTTGGTTCAATACCAAGAATTGAATTCTTGGTTCAATACCAAGAATTGAATTCTTGGTTCAATACCAAGAATTGAATTCTTGGTTCAATACCAAGAATTTAACCGGCACTTCTATACACTGATGGTGGTCTATTAACTGGCACAACTACTTTTAGAAAATTGCTTGGCAATATCTACTAAAACTGAACATATGTACTCCTCTGACTCACCAATTCCACTTGTAGACATAAATCTAACAGAAATGTATCCATATGTTCACTAAAAACATCTAGAGGAAAGTCTACAAAGCAGTAACAGCCCGAAATAGGAAACCCCTCAAATGCCCATCTAAAGTACAATGGACAAATGAGCTGGAATATCTTTGCATGATGGAAGACAACTTTGCAGTGAGGATAAATGGATCCACTACTACATGCAACAGCATGGGTGACTCTCACAAACATAATGTTGACTGAAAGAAGTGAGATCAAAAGAGTGAATATTTTTCATTATTTCATTTATATAAAGAACAAAAACAGGCAAAAATAAAAACTAACAAAGCCTGTAGAGGTCAGGAGAGTGGCTACCCTGGAGAGAAAGGGGAGTAGTTCCTGAAAAGAAGGATTAAGGGGGGCTTCAAGGATACTGGTACTGTACTGTCTCTTAAGAAGCAGGTTAGATGGGTGAATTTAGCTTATGAAAACTCACTGAACTATACACATATAACTTGCAATTTTGGGGGATAATACGTCAATAAAAAATTCAAATATATAAACTACTACATATATCTACATATCTAGATCTACATAGTAGAAGAATCAAATACATGTCAAAACCTTTTGCTTTACTAAAAAGGTGCTTTAAAAACTCTGATGCACATGACTTTTTGCAATGGGAAAGACAGAAAATTATTAAAAGTAGAAGTTGATTTTTATTTAGCTGTGCTTAAAAAAAATAACCCTAGAAATGGAACTCAGATTTGAATAACATTCTCAATGAACCACAGCAGTACCTGGTATAGAATATTCTAGGAATAGAGCAATACTCCCAGAAAAATGTATACAGAGATGTTTAATGGACATTTAAGAACACCTGCTGTTTTTATTAAGCTTCATAAATTTAATTAATTTAGGATAAGCCTATATTGTCTCAAAACAATTTACAGCTTCATAGCACGATAAATTATTTTAAATTGGATTCACATTTTTATTGTAATATATTGTATATCAAAAATTTTATCTGCAATGCGTTCTGAAATAGACTTAACTGTCTTTTATATCCTCACCCCCAAAATTACAGCAACAAAAATACTCCCTTAAACACAGCAGTGGTAATAAGTCATAAAAGGAAAAGGAAAAAAGACTACAAAATATAAGGCAACTATATGGCATAACAATACCTCTGAAGGCATTTTTCAGAGAGAAAATGTAAAGTTTCAATAAATTAAAGGTTTTTAATCTATATAAGATTCCTTCCAATGATGTCCTCAGTTAATTTTAAAAAGATAATATTTTTACCCTTCATTCTTTTAACCTAATAAAAGGTTAAGCACAAGAAACTGCACATAGAATTTTCCAAATACTTCCTTCACATATAGTAATTTGAGTGATCCAATCAAATCATCATTAAAGGCTTACTTTATATAAACAATGTTTTAAAAACACTGAGAAAGATGCCAGGCTGGGCGCGGTGGCTCACACCTGTAATCCCAACACTTTGGGAGGCCAAGGCGGGCAGATCACTTGAGGTCAGGAGTTCCAGACCAGACTGGTCACGTCGTGAAACCCCGTCTCTACCAAAAATACAAAAAAATTAGCCAGGCATGGTGGCAGGCACCTCCCAGCTACTCAGGAGGCTGAGGCATGAGAATTACTTGAACCCTGGAGGTGGAGGTTGCAGTGAGCCCAGATTGCATCACTGCACTCCAGCCTGGGCAACACAGTGAGACTCTATCTCAAAAAGAAAAGAAAAGAAAAAGATTCCAATAACAAGGTGTATAAATAAAAATGACTATTGTGGTTCATGTTATAAGGGCCTCATCACGTGGAGCTGGACTCTTCATTCTGACAACTTCCACCATAGAGCAAAATGCATGTGGAGATATTTTTAAGCACAATGAACAATTCCTATTCAACTGCTGTCCACCATCTTGTGGGAAAGAACTGCCAGGTACATTTCAGGACACAGGAAATTCAGTGAGGTTTTCATCCCATCAGTATTTTCAAAACATTTATGGGATGCCAAGAGCTTCAAGTGCCACATAATCCCACGTGGAAAGCACTGCTCCAACGGGACCACTCTGCACATAAAGAAAAGCATTTCTTTTCACGATATACTTAAGACATCCATTCATGAGTTAAGAAAGGAGGGTAACTCCAGTCTAACTTCAACATTTAAAAAAGCTATCCTTCATTTTCTTTCAAGGGTTGCCTTTCTTCACAGCAATATCAAAGCCTACCAGAACTTTACTTCCACCAATCATCACGGAATGTAACTCTGTACATACACCATGCAGACTATCAGGAAGCTTACTGAGAAAATCACAAAGACAAGGAATCTTCACTAGAATCCCAACAGATCCTAAAATGAGACTATTTCAACAATCAAGCGAGGGCCCAGGGACAGCATTTCAGCCAGATCACAGGTGTAATATACATGTGTCGCGGGGCCACCAGAACCACCTCTCTAATAGGTGATATGACACAGGCATTCAGAAAGGTGTTCAAACAAGTCTTTTATTCTGTTAAAACACATTTTAAAGTCAT
This sequence comes from Homo sapiens, assembly GCF_000001405.40. Lineage (NCBI taxonomy): Eukaryota > Metazoa > Chordata > Mammalia > Primates > Hominidae > Homo > Homo sapiens. The sequence goes on from NC_000020.11 coordinate 16,504,020, forward strand.
AAAATGCATGGGTGAAATTTTAAATACTATTCTAAGCATATCAATTTCTTTCCACTTAAAGAGATTATGCCATTAATCCTATTGCATAGTACATTTCCATTCATAATTGATAACTATTAGAGAGTTAATCATTTCAGGTTTAGTGGATAAAATCTTACACATGCAGCCCGTAATGAATGCAAAGGCTGACAAGAGGTTGATGTAAACGAGGGACTGGCTAACTCATTCAAAGCTTTACTTAGCACTTATTTACTCAAATCAATAGCATGAGTGAGAAAATTGTCTCATTAAGATCTAGAAATAGATGCCATTACTCAAAGAAAATTATCCATAAATCTCAGAAAAACCCAACCTGATTCCCTTGAGCAAGCAGCGTTTTCAGTCTGGCTATTTCAGCTCGCAGCTCACGGATAAGTTTGACGTTGGCATCCTCATTAATGGTAGGCTTGTTGATGATGTTTTTGGCTCTATTTGCATAGCGAAGAGTACTTAGGGTTTCTCCATAATTGACATCAGCAGGTGAAATGGCTGTGAAGAATGTATTCAAAAAATAATTTATCCAGCACTCCATGTTCCATTTAACACAAAGTTGGTTTGTAATTTAAAAGTCAGATTAACCCCAGGTCATTGGAGAGACTAAATATTCATTGCCACAGTAATGAATATGAAAAATTATCTAACATTTCTAGGAAAGAGTGTTCACAATACAAAATTAAGTGTCATTTTGCTCTTCTCAAATCTAGAATCAACCACCTAACCAAGTCTAAAATGAGATATGAGACATTCCCCTATAGTTAGGTAGTTTTCCCTGCTGAAAACGTAAGAAGAAGGTTTAAAGACTATTTGTCATCTCAACATTAAGTAGGAATTCAAATACTTTTAAAAGTTCTGGCAAAGTCTACTGTCTGGAAAAAAAAACAGAATATGATAAGTTTTGAAAAGGGTCACAAATCTATCCATTCTCTTCTTAAAGCTTGGTTAATCTTACCCACCTCCACCACTACCACTCAACTTTAAGGATTAGGTGACTATACAAATGCATGTGGGTGTACAAACCAGGGTAAATCCCGTGGCTCCATAGTTAGCACATGGCATGAAGCATGGGAAGGGCATGAAGAGAGGGGAAGGGAAGAGGAAAGAGAGGAAGAGGGAGGGGAAAGTAGAGTCAGAAGGGAAACAAGTCCTGACTTCTCCCAAACAATTATCTCCCCTTTCTACGTTTTTTTCTCTATTCTGCTTCTTTCAATTATTGGCTGAAATACTGACATAAAGTATACTGCTGTTACCATTATTTGTTTTATGCATTGGGTTTTTTTTTCCCCTCCCAATTCTTACTTTTAAATTCCGCATTTACTGCCTTAAATAAAAAAACAAAGTTGGGTTATTTTGACCTTGTGTTCCTATGATTTTTCTCCTATGAGGTAAATTTCTACCTTGCACTTTAAGCAAAGAAAAGCTGAAAAGTCTTCGTGCATGTTATCACAGCTTCCAAAATATGGCAAGGTGGTATAACAGTTAATGATGATACTATAGACTGGATCATAGCAGGATCATAGGAGGTGATTTTCCTCAAGATAGAAAAACCATTACTTTTTTAAGATGTAAAAGGTGCTATTTCCTAATAAGACACTTTAAACTTAAATATTTACAGTTAATTCACAGAAAATATTGTATGCTCAGAAAAGTAACTTAAAACTCTTACTGGCAATCATGATAGTTTTAGAGTTTCCTCCAAGGCTATCTTTTAACAACCAAGTCAACACAGAATCCCTGTAAGGCACGAAAACTTGCTTCTTCTTTGCAAGAGTATTTGCAGCATCCTGAGATAAATCAGCTATGAAAAGGAAGAAACAAAGGGGAGAAAGGACAATTAGTAAAATTTTTTTTCCTCTACTTTTGCTTCATAAAACCTTGAAGAAATTACCTCAGTTTGCAACCCAAATATTACACATGAGGAAAAAGAGGAGGAAACAGAGGAGGCAGGAGCCAGGCGTAAGCATACCTAAGGCAGAAATGACGTTCCCCAGAGTCACGAGGGACTTGTTAATATTTCCCCCTTCCTTTAGCCTAACCCCGGTGGCTCCGGTGGCATCTGCACGCTCACTTCCGGCAAGATCAACCAAGTGGATCTTACTGACGGTTTCACATGGCATTTCAGAATCAAATTTAGCCTGTGGTAAAATAAAAAAGTAAAATTGAAGAGGTGCAAAGGGCCCTGATGTTGTTGATGATATGAATTCTAACTATTTTCTGCTCCTCACTGAGATCTCTCAGGGTAGATATTTTTCAATTTTATTGTTTTACTGGCCTTCCTACTGATTACAGAAACTTCTCAAATTTAATCCAATGCAAAAGAAGTTACTGTATATGATTCTTAAACTTTCTAAAGAAGCATTTCATTCTCAACCAAGCCCTGCTGAATCAGGCTGTGGCAGAACAGAAAACTAGGCACTGAGTGGCACTCAGCAGAGAAATGTAAGTAAGCAAATAATAATTTTTATTCTCATCTAGAATCCCAGCCTTCCAAGAACAAAAGCTTTCCAAAATATGATCAATATAGACAAGTACGGAAAAGAGCATTCAACCATTATCGGATGTTAAAACATCTTGTTGCACAAATTATTTCTTTTAATGTAAAATCTTAAATACTATATTCCTCGCTTCTGAATTCTACCAAAATTTTATATTCACAAATACTTCTGATCTATGTGTTACATTTTGAACCAAAATGCGCCCCCCGCCAGATTACTATATTTTTATAGAAATTTAAACCTCTTAGAAATGAGAGATGGTGGCCAGACCCAGCAGCTTATGCCTGTGATCCCAGCACTTTGGGAGGCCAAGGTGGGAGGATCGCTTGAGCCCAGGAGTTCAAGACCAGCCTGGGCATCATAGTGAGACACCATCTCTAGAAAAAACTTAAAAAAAAAAAAATTAGCTGGGCGTGGTGTTGTGCACTGCAGTCCCAGCTCCCTGGAAGGCTGAGGTGGGAGATCACTTGAGCCCAGAGGTTGAGACTGCAGTGAGCCGTGATCACACCACTGCACTCCAGCCTGGGCAACAGAGTGAAATCATGTCTCAAAAAAAAAAAAAAAATTAGAGATGGTAATATGCTAATCAAGCACTAACCAGAAAGCAGGAGAAAAACCAATCAACTTGAGTAAATCTAAAGGAAAGGTCTAACAGAAGATTAAGATGTGGAGAATTTAATGCAAGTTGTTCTGACTGGCCTTAGAAAACTCATTTTTGTGCTCTTTGATCTCCCTCATTAATAAAATGCTGCCTCTTTGTATCTGATGTGTCCAACTGTTAACCCAGATAAGGACATCCCCAAGCTCCTAGCATATACTTAGACCCTGACAGGACCCTACATTTTTGCATTCATCTATTCTACTGGCCTCAGTGTTCAAATATTTACCCTCAATAATTTCCACAGATGTTCAAGATGCTCTCCACCTCTTGATCATAATGAATTCTTACATTAGTACTTATAAATATTCGCTGCCCTTTAATATCATTCTAATAATCATCATCAACACGGCAAGATGAGTGCCATGGAGCGGTAATGAACTGCACTGAGTTACTCACCTTGGCTTCCAGCTGGTCTGACTCGCAATCCATTATATCCCACAGAGTTTGCAACAATGAAAACTTTTGCTTAATTAAGCACAGAGCAAGTTGTTTTATGTCTAGAACAGGGTGGAAGCCTTCTAAGTATTTCTTAAGGGTACACATCAGGATATTTCAAATTACTGTGATTGTAACCACAGAGAAACTCAGCGCACAGCACATGTTCAACTCTAATTAACAAGAAAATGACAGTCAGTCACCTTTACCTGCTGCTGCTCCTGGTTCAACAATGATCAGTCCTCAGCTGGTGCTAATCAGCAAGTAAAGACCTCAGGGATGGAGCCAGCTGGTCCCGCAGCAGCCCTTACCTGAGTGAACTTGATGGTGAAGATGGCATGAGACCTGCTACTGACGTCGTTCATCCCAGTCGCTGCGGTGGTCCGGTTGATATTGCCCGCATCCATAAGTTCTTCTACGTCACCATAATTCTGTACTAAATGTTTGGATAAATCTGAAAAAGAAAATGGAAGGGGTGAAGAAATCCCCCTAATATATAGGAAATGGAATACAAAATTACCCTCTATGAAATAATACACAACTCCAAAATCTGCTGACCTGTCTGAAGACCTCACTTGTCTCTCTAGGGTGGTGGTATGTAATGCAGACCTGGGAGCTGGGTGGCTGGGGCCGAATCCCAGCTCTGCTGCTTACTAGCCGTGGACTTACATAGTTATGGACAAACTGCTTCACCTCACTGTGCCTCAGTTACCTCACGTGATCATGTGTACCTACCACATAGGGCCACGGTCCCCAACTTTTTCAGCACCAGAGATCGGTTTCATGGAAGGCCATTTTTCCACAGATAGGGGTAGGGGGAACAGATTCGGGATGAAATTGTTCCACACCTCAGATGATAAGGCATTGGTTATATTCTCATTAGGAGCACACAACCTAGATCCCTCACACGTGCAGTTCAGAATAGGGCTCATGCTCCTATGAGAATCTAATGCCACCACTGATCTGACAGGAGGCAGAGCTCAGATAGTAACGCTTGCTCCCTGGCTGTTCACCTCCTACTGTGCGACCCACTTCCTAACAGGCCATGGACCAGTACCAGTCTGCAGCCCGGGGGTTAGAGGCCTCTGACATACGGTATTTAAAAAAAGGTTAGCTATTATATTATCATCAACCTCATTCACATTAGTCATAGCACATACAAGAAAAATGCAAAAGCACTGCCTTCATGCAAAACCCAAAAGTGTTTTTTAAATCATTTTAACAAATTATTTTATTAACTTTTTTGGAACATTCATATGGTTCTAAAGTCAAAGGCTACACAGTTACACTGTGTAAAAGGTCCCCCGTCCCTATGCTATAGCTCCCCACTTCCCCTTCTGTCAGGGAACCAAATGTTACATACCCTTCTAGAAATAACCTATACATACACAAGCAATCATATTTATATATAATTATCTTTTTCCCCTTACATACAAATGGTAGCATACAATAAGCATTAGTTTGTACCCTGCTTTTAAATGGATTAATACATTAAAGAACATTCTGTATCAGTTAAGGTGTTTCCTCATTCATTTTTAAGGCTGCAGGGGATTGGATCATATGCATGTACCACGACCAATTTAACCATGGAGACTACAGCAGTTGTTCATATTTTGTTTCCAATTATGAGTAATGCTGCTACAAATCACCTTGCACATAAGTCTTTTCAAATGCCTGTGAATGTTTATACAGAATAAATTCTTAGAGGTGGAATTTCTAGACAGTTGAAATTTTGATAACTATTGCAAAATTGTTCTCCATAGAGGGCAATTTACACCCAGCAGTAGCAAGGTATAAGAGTGCTTGTCTCCCAAAACCCTCCACAATACAGTCTTATCAGGATTATTTACATCTGCCAAAGATGGGTGACAAATGTTACCTCCAAGTATTCTTATTTTGTTTTTCTTTTACTATGAGTGAAATGCTAAGCATTCCTTCCTGCATTTAAAAATCATCTGTATTTCCGTTTCTACAAACAGCCTAGTCATACATATTCTTTGTTCATTTTTCTACTGGTTGTTGAATCTGTCCTTACTGATTTATAGGAGCTCTTTATATAGTAGGAAAATTAGTCCTTTGTCTAAAACTTGAATTCAAAATATTTTTCCTATTTTGTAATTAAGCTTTTTACTTTGCTTACAGTGTTTCTGTCAAGTATGATGTTTTATTTTGCTATTCTTTGTTTAACCATTTCAAATTTAACATTGTTTATTTTATAGTTTCTGAGTTTTAAGTCAGGTTTTTAAAAGCCTTCTTTCCTCCAGGTTTCCGGGAAAAAAATTAACCCACGGATTTTTATAGTCATTTTATTATTTAATATTTTTGCACTTAAATCTTCAATCTAGTTACCATTTATCCTGGTGTAAAACTGAGTTGTGGTGCCAATTTACTTTTTTTTCCTCCTACACAGCTTAATAATCCCTCTAATAATTTCCCTAAGGTTTGAATAGCACATTGATTATAAACTAAATTCCCCTAAGTATCTAGGTCAGATTCTGGATGTTTGCTCTGTTTTGCTATTCTATCTCTTCATACACCAGTTTTATATGTTTTAACATGTGATAAGACACTTGTCAGAAAACATGAAGGCATGAGTTAGGCTAAAAACTCTTAACAGTAATAGCTATACCACACACCACAGAACAACTACATACTGGCACACCCTGCTTTGCTTTGGGCATACAAGGCAAAAGCTTAAGTGGAAATTTATTAAAATACAGATGGGCCGGGCGTGGTGGCTCACACCTGTAATCCCAGCACATTGGGAAGCCGAGGCAGGTGGATCATGAGGTCAGGAGTTCAAGACCAGCCTGGCCAAGATGGTGAAACCCTGTCTCTACTAAAAATATAAAAATTAGCCAGGTGTGGTGGCAGGCGCCTGTAATCCCTGCTACTGGGGAGGCTGAGGCAGAGAATTGCTTGAACCCAGGAGACAGAGGTTGCCATGAGCTGAGATCACACCACTGCACTCCAGCCTGGGCGACAGAGCAAGACTCCGTCCCAAAAGATAAAAAAAGGAATACAGATGGGGTCCTGTTGTTATATCTGGTATCTCCCAGGAAAAGAAGACAACCAAAACCAGGAAGAACTTTAAACCTGTGACCAGTTCTGTCCTGCATCCACAAAGACACAAATGAAGAACATGAAAGCACATCTCTATGTGCGATTCCTGCAGTCCAGCCATTCTAAGTTGCCTTATACAGAGGTGGTAAGATCAGCTTCATTATGAGGACAGTTTTAAATCCAGCCGATTCTTAAATAATTAGCAAAGGCCAATCCTGTACTCATCATTGCTTGTGGCATTCCTCACAACTGACTGTGCCACAACGAGCGTATCACAACACAGATGCTGAAACCCACAGAGGAAATCCTCCAAACACACTTCCGAAGACGCAAGAGGTTCAGAATATCTTTATTGTCATATATCACCATTAGGGTCAGTAAAGATACACTGCAAAAATGCAATGCCATTTAGAGAGACAGATTGCAGGTTTGCTTACCTTGCCTTACATTTGGAAAAGAAAATTCCAGAGATTTCTTAAAGACAGAGGAAATCTATTGGTAAGCCTCATAAAATCAACGGATGGCCAGTGAAGTATAAATTCACTAACGGAACATCATGTAGTGACAGCTCATGACATTCTTACTATAATAAAATTCCAAAATTAAATAAATTTTTAAAAGCTCACCATTATGCTATATTTTTTCATTGAAAGTGTTATTTTTACATAGATCACAAAAAGAATATGGCTGTGAAATATCTACTCTTACCCTCAACATAAGGGCCTTCTTTGGGATGCTCACGGACTCTCAAATTGAAGGTTTTAGATGACTTCCGCCGAAGTAGATCTCTCACACGTTCGTTATAAATTTCTAAGTAGCTAAAAATTTAAAATAAAATTGAATTCAGAAAAATGATTTCAGACATTAATATCAGTAACAACACATAACAGCAGCAACCTGCTGACATAAATGGCCACAGCAGCAGTTACCATTTATGAGTGGTGACTGTGTATCAGGTACAATGAGTCCTCACTTAAGGTCATTGACAGGTTCTTGGAAAGTGCAACTTTAAGGGAAAGGACATACAGTGGGTCCTCAAATAACAATGCTTCCTTCAACATCATATTGCTATAATGTTGACGAGAAAAAGAACTGGTTTCATTATATGTTGTTTCACTTAAAGTCACGATTTCCAAGACTGTATCAAGAAGCGACATTAGGCCAGGGGTGGTGGCTCACGTCTGTAATACACTTTGGGAGGCCGAGGCAGATGGATCACTTGAGGTCAGGAGTTCAAGACCAGCCTGACCAACACGGTGAAACCCCACATCTACTAAAAATATAAAAATTAGCTGGGTGTGGTAGCGGACACCTGTAATCCCAGCTACTCAGGAGGCTGATGCAGGAGAATCACTTGAACCTGGGAGGTGGAGGTTGCAATGAGCCAAGAGTGTGCCACTGCACCCCAGCCTGGGTGACAGAGTAAGACTCCATCTCCAAAAAAAAAAAGGAAGGTACATTAAGTGAGGACTTCCTGTACCATGCTAAGTACTAGACATGGATTATTTCATTGAATCTCCACAATACCCAGAGATAGGTACCACTACTATCCTCATTTTATAGGTTAGGCAAGGGAGGTTTAGTGTGATTCAAATAACTTGTCCAAGACCACAAAGCAGTCAAGTAGGTGTAAAAATCCTATATTGCCATGTCTGCCCTTGAAACTACCGAAGAGACTGGCTCCCCTCACAGGTTTAATTTCAAGGAGGAAAAAGCACCTCAACCACTCAGATTTACTTGTAGATTAGATTTATAATGATCCAACCAACACAAAGAATAATATAAACCTTACTAAGCTAAAAGAATGAAGCAAGTAATTGGTATACACTTAAAAGTCAGAAGCTCACTCCATTTGAGATGAACATCCCACATTAGTTTCTGCCCAAGCTGTTATTTCTGCCAGCTCCCAAATCTTTATCCAAACTGTACCCAAGAAAATCACTAAAAACTTATGTGTTTTAAGCTTTATCCCCAAACCATAATCACAGGAGGGGAAAAGGGAAGACTTTTTCTTTAGGAATCTAAAGACCTTATCCATTTCCAGCACCTAAATGCAGGCCAACCAGCATTGACTCTAATCAAGCTCACACACAGTTACCCAGGCCACAGGCCCTACCTGACTTCAGTTCGAAAAGAAGCTTCATCCCATCTGGTGGTTTCATTTATCCGACTGAAGAGTCCTTCACAGATCCGAGGTATTAAGCCAGAATCTCCCTGCATGGGAAAGACCAATGTCACAGCTGTCACTCAAAATAAAAGCAACTGATGACTGAATTTGCAATTTGCTGGCATGAAGTTAGACTCAAGTGACCTGTATGCCAACCCCTGGCCTACCACAGCCCACGCCATATACCCCCTCCAGGGCTGCTTTCTACTCTCTGAAATGAGATGATTGAGCCTTCTGATTTATACAGGCTGGGACTCTGATAATATACGGTTATCAGTTGTTAGTTAAATCATGGCTTACAAACAAGGAAACTTAATTTCTAACATTTAAATAAGACAGTTTATAACTGTACAATAAATGTTAAAAATACATGCTCAAATGAACAAGGTAGGTGAAATACACACCAGGCAAAAAAACACCAAGAAAAACTTAGCAATCCCCACGGTAGTTAATAATTGCCTTAAAAACTTAGGTAACAAGACCACATTAAAATCCATGCTGGCCGGGTGCGGTGGTTCACACTTGTAATCCCAGCACTTTGGGAGGCCGAGGCGGGTGGATCACCTGAGGTCAGGAGTTTGAGACCAGCCTGGCCAACATGGTGAAACTGTGTCTCTACTAAAAACCCAAAAAGTTAGCTGAGTGTGGTGGCACATGCCTGTAATCCCAGCTACTGGGTAGGCTGAGGCAGGAGAATCGCTTGAACCTGGGAGGCAGAGGTTGCAGTGAGCCAAGATTGCGCCATTGCATTCCAGCCTAGGCAACAAGAGCAAAACTACGTTTAAAAAAAAAAAAAAAAAAAAAAAACCACATGCTATGTCCCTCCTTTGACAGAGTAACCCCTACCCTGGCCTTCCTCGATGGAAAATTTTAATACACCATATTATTTATACAATGTGGGTATAACGTTCAATAATGTTCATGTTTCAGTCAACCTTAAAAAGCTGATGAACCTCAGAATATAGTAAAAATCAGGCAAAATGATCTTGCTAGGAAACCAAGGCAGAGCATCAATGCTTTATTCACATGTTCCCTCCCTACCTTCACTCAACCCCCACACCCAAAAAAATAAAAGAAAGCATGACTGTGTTCAGAGATTGTTTTTTCTTTGTACCATTAAATCAGTACTAATTCTTAACAAGGAAAAATGAGTCTTACGTCGTATTTTTGGTTCTTACTTTAAAATGAAGAAAGGATACCCAAGCAGCACTCAACTATAAGATTGGAGAAAAACACTTGTAATTTGTGAGTGCTTTATAAATGTTTGACTTACATAAAATAGTTACTAGGGAATCAACATACAAATTTCACTTTTGGAAGTTTTGTTTTTTTTTTCCAAAGGCACAGTAGGAAAGGAGGAAGTGAGAAGTAATGATAAAAGGAAATGTGAAACTCTCGAAATTAGCTGTTTGTTCCTCTCATTTGTTCTTCCCTTTTCGGAGAAGACTTCCCGAACAGCACTTACTGACTTCTTGTGTAAAGGAAGAGCCTGGATGTAAGCAGTGAGGTTACATGTCCTGAAATAATTTATTCTGGAAAGATCTGTCTTCTAACACACGACTTCCATGAACCTCCAAACCTTCAGCATTACAGACACCACATGTGTGCCAGCAGGAAGCCCTCAATCATCTTCCACTAGTGTCTCTACATCTCAAAAATGCCACAGGTTTGGCAGGCAATGAACAGAGCTCTCACTAAGAAATAAGAAAAAAAAAAAAAAAAAAAAAAAACAGGCCAGGCACAGTGGCTCACGCCTGTAATCCCAGCACTTTGGGAGGCCGAGGCAGGCGGGTCATCTAAGGTCAGAAGTTCGAGACCAGCCTCGCCAACATGGTGAAACCCCGTCTCTACTAAAAATACAAAAATTAGCAGGGCGTGGTGGTGCACACCTGTAATCTACTTGGGAGGCTGAGGCAGGAGAATCACTTGAAACCAGGAGGCAGAGCTTGCAGCGAGCTGAGATCGCACCACTGCCCTCTAGCCTGGGCGACGGAGTGAGATTCCATCTCAAAAAAAAAAAAAAAAAAAAAAAAAAAAAGAAAACAGAAGAATGATCTAAATCTGGAGAAAACACAGAACAAGAAAGTTCTTGCAATAATTCCTAGTTTTTACTCCTCTGTATTTTGGGGCAAGTATAACATTAATATCAGTTAACTTACATAGCTTATAAAACTGCATACGGTGTGTTTATAAATATGTAAATTATATAAACTATATAATTCTAACTTTTTAATGTATTTTCAGGATTTATGTAGTACCTTTCTATCAAAGAGTTAGAATTTTTTTTACATTTTTCTTGGGGAAAAATGTTTTGAATAATTTTAAAAAGAACAGACTTCAGTAATTTTATTCAAACTGTTGTGTTGGCAGAAAAGAAGAATAAATTACTTACGGGCCCAACACACTTTTTTGATAAGATTATAAGGCCTTTAAAAACAGAAAATGAGCAGGGACTTGCATCCATTATTCATGCTTATATACTTAAAACTATTTCTAATTTAAAATCTCTCAAAGGAAATTTAGTCCAACTTATTACTGAGTTTTATCTTATTACTAAAGAATAATCAGAACATGAAAAGTTAGTACAGACCAAATAGATAAAAGAGATCATTCTACCAGTCCAGAGAAAGATAATGAGAAATTTCCTTCCCACACAGTATAAACAACGTACAGAATTTCCCATCATAGTGTATGACTTTCCAGATCCAGTTTGCCCATATGCAAAGACACAAGCATTATAACCTTCAAATGCAGACTTCACGACATCTGTGCCGAGGGTTTTGAAAACCTGAAAGCCAAAAAGAACACACAAAAGATACAATTATCATAGATTTTAATAATAGCCCCTTCAGTGTTGACAATGTTCTTGAATGATACTTTCAGCTCTTAAGGATTAGACCATATAAATAAATCACTGCAGAACCATTCACAACAACATATGTAGACACCACAGTTTTTAATCAAAAATAAACTTTTTAAGCAAACAAAAAGCAGCCCCATCCTCTTTCCTACTTAAGTTTACCAAAAAATATCATGAAGTATAAAAATGTAAACAAGGCAAAGTGAAAATCATGTTTAGAAGCAAAGACTATTTTAAAGCATGATGATTAGCCATTCAGAATTATATAAATATATAAAGCTATTCATTCTATCAGAGTTTCCAGAAACAAAATACTCAAAACCTGAAGGTCACAGAAATTACTGCCCAAGCCAAGCCAAATCAATGCCATCATTTTAAGGGTCCAGCTAGTCATCAAAATCAACCTCTGCAGGTGCTCATGCAGCTGAGTGACGGGTGGCTGTAGATGAGGATGGGGTGCTGGGCTCCCCCATGTCAGTGTCCAGATGCTTTTTCCTATTTGGACATTTGCCCAGGATGGAGAGGGCAGGGAGACAAGCTGTGTGGGGCTGGGGTGGGGGTCACACACATGGCCTGAATCCACGTCCGATGTTCCATATAATTACAGTTTGGGTAGTGAAAGGAGGTGAAGTACAAATGCTTCACCCAGACAACTGATGGTAAATGAAGGAAATCAAGGTTCAAAGTCTTAGTTATAGCCAGCTGGAAACAGACAACAAAAGCTTTCATGTAGTCTCCTGTCCTCTCAGCCCAGCACACTAAGGGCACATAAAGCATCTCCCTGCTTCAAAAAGTAGGCACAACAGCAGCTGAGGAGATGCCAAACAAGGAAGCTCTGTCAGCTCCAGATGAAGGGCTCCTCTGTGGTGTCACCAACGTCCAAGGTGGGGCCTCAGCATCCCTACAGGAGCATTCGGTCTATGAGTGACACCACATCAGCCAACTCATGGGACCCAGACGGATCAACCAAATAGTCATCTCCAGCTACTGCCAAATCAAGAGCAGCAGGTCTCAAACTTTGCAGCCCATTACAATCACTTGGGAGGCTTTGAAAAGTCCAATGGCCAGGCCAGTAACCCAGCCCAGTGAAATATGAATCTAAGGGGGTGTGAACCTAGGAATCCATATTCTTCTAAACTCCCTATGTGATTTCAAAGCGTGGCAACATTTGAGGAGTAACCTAGAGCACTCACATCTGCCAGTCAGCACAGGCAGTACAGGGACCCTGCATGGAAGCCAGATTCCCATTAGGATGTGCACATGGCCCACATCAGTGCAGACATATGGAGACAACTCCCCTCTGGCCACAACACCCACACCCTAGACAGGGCCAGTAAACCTGGCCATCTCCATCTCAGCTGCACCTCAACCATCCCTGCTGATAACACAGCCTGTCATCCAAGGACAAGATGAAAATACAGCCAACTGGAACTCAGCTGTCTTCAGATCCATCTTCCCACTGACTTCTACAGACTTTGTTTCCTCAGCCTCATCAGTAAAAGATTTCAACAAACTGTTATTTCCATTGGGTCATTTCCACAAATTGCCAGTCTCACTCATTCTGAGTTAATTCTTAACCATTTTAGCTTTAAGAGCTGACAGTTTTCAATCTTGCTCTCAAATTCTGATGACTTACTCAAGTCTCAACCATAATGGCAACTCACACTTACTCCGGTCTTTCTAAGCACTTTCGTGTGTTCATGTATAATTCTCATCAAAACGCTACAGGGAGAGTAGTGTTACAAGACCCATTGATGAGGAAGCTGAATGGGGAGAAGTCAGGTAACTGGGAACACACCAGGGAGTGCCAGAGCTGGGACTGCATGCAGGACTTAGTTATCACTGTGATGTGTCCTCTTCCCACACCCTCGAAAGCAACAACCAGGCCCCAATCCTACCTGGAAGGGCCCCTCCCTGAACTTCTCTTAAGAAGCAAAAGTCAGGAACCCCAGGGGCACTCAGGACTCCAGACCACCAGTTGGAGGCTCATTTTCACCACTGTATATGGAATATGAGTAAAAATTAAATATTTCCCCAATTCTCTCAGATTAAACAAAACACAAAAGGCAAATACCATTTTTTATGAATTCACTAGTAAGGAAAAAAGTCTTCTAAAAACTTTTCAAAGAATAAAGAAGGACTGTTTCTCATAGTTTGGCCTGGGGCTAAACCAAAGTCATGGAAAATATCACATTTAAACCAAACCCAAAGGTTTTCAGAATAAAATTATTCCCTAGGGTTAAAATCTATGCCTACCACTTTGCTATTACTTCATTGCCCAGAAAGTTAACCCAGGCGGTTTTCCGGTTCAGGGGCTCAGGGGGTTTGGGGCCAGGAGACATGACTGCAAACGGGTCTAGAAAATCCAGGTCTGGAGGCGCAGAGACCCAGGGCTGGCTCAGACTCAGACTCATTCTCAGTGAGTCTCAAATAACCCACCCAAACTTGGCGCTATGACCTGGAAAAGCAGCCGGCACTGCCTGCATCTCTCCAGAGGTCTTGGCAAGGAAATCGAGATACCCCCATCACAGCTCCCACAGAGGATGCACCGAGCATCGCCCCCACAACCAAGGTGGGAAGCGGGGCCTGCTTTATGAGACTGACAACTGCTCTTCCCCGCTGGCATCAGAACCTGGCTGGCCTGGTTACCTGAAATCCACCTTGCTGCCTGTCAGAGCACAGATTTGAAAGCTGATTTCCTGGGTAATCCAAGGCATCACTGGGGCCTCACTTGAGGGGAACTGCCCACAAGAGGGCACTGTTAAAATAAAAACTCGCTCATCGGGCATGTCAACTGGGAGATGTTAGGTTTCAAGTTTCTCCTGGGTTGAATTAAGGAACAGGTTGTGTGAGATCAAAGCCTCCCTTTGGAGTTCTGAAGAACCATTAAGAAAATCAGACCTTGTTTAATGATCTTTAATTTACATGACTGTAGATTTAAGTTGCTCATTGATTTTTTTTCTAATTCTAAAATTAATTTGGGAGAAAAAATATTAACGGTCATCTTACTTGGTATTTGTTCAAGGTTAAGGGAAAATTGAACTATAGTAGTAGACATGATATATTTTCTCAATATGCCTTTACATTCAAATCACACACACACACACCATGCTACACTAGCATCTTCCCCTATTTATAGCAGGGATGCGACCTGCCAGCCACTTCCTGTGCCTGATCCATCTGTCATCGTGAACACACCACTCCTTCTCGTCCACATCCTTAAGACCTTCCAGTGGCATCTCCAGCACCCGTACAGCCCCATGGTCCAATTCTGCTACTATTAAAAGTCAATTAGGTCTACAAACCTGAGCAAGTTCCTTAAGCTTACTGAATCTCTTCAACAAAGAAAAATAGAGTTAAAATTTAACACATTTGATTCCTGTGAGGATTAAACAACATAGCACATATGAACACCAAGCAGAGTTTCTGACAACAATGGAAGTTCAACCAACATCAGTTTATCTTTCCTCTCCCAGGCCTTCTTTCAGACCAGGCACCACCTCTCTCTGTGAGGCTCCCATTCCCATCACTGCCATTCCTTCCTATCTTTCCCTAATTTTTTAAGAGACAGGGACTCGCTATATTGCCCAGGCTGGACTTGTCCTGGCCTCAAGTAATCCTCCCACCTCAGCTCCCCAAGTAGCTGGGACTACAAGTGCGCAACACTGCACCCAGCTCCTATTTTTCCCAGATGTTTGATTCAGTATCTTCTGGATATAGTCGCTCCAGTCCTCCAACTTTAACATTTACATTGTCTCAGAAAGCCAACTTCCTCCACAAACCATTTACAAATGGACTACATTTCTCAAATGTTAAGGTGCACACAGAGAACTGGGGATCTTGCTAAAAAAAAATTCAGATCTAATTCAGTAGGTCTTGGAATAAGACCTGAGATTTCACATTTCTAACAAGTTCCCAGGCGGTACTGATGATTCTGGTGCATGGACACATTTCAAACTGCAAGAAACAAGTACTTTTGGTGGCTGGCAAGATGGCCAAATAGGAACAGCTCTGGTCTGCAGCTCCCAGCAAGATCAATGCAGAAGGCAAGTGATTTCTGGATTTTCAATTGAAGTACCCGGCTGGCTCATCTCACTGGGACTGGTTAGACAGTGGGTGTAGCCCACAGAGGGTGAGCAGATGCAGGGTTGAGCACCGCCTCACCCCGGGAAGTGCAAGGGGTCAGGGAACTCCCTCCCCTAGCCAAGGGAAGCCATGAGGGACTGTGCCGTGAGGGATGGTGCATTCAGGCCCAAATATTACGCTTTTCCCACAGTCTTCGCAACTCGCAGACCAGGAGATTCCTTCGGGTACCTACACCACCAGGGTCCTGGGTTTCAAGCACAAAACTGGGTGGCTGTTCAGGCAGACATCGAGCTAGCTGCAGGAGTTTTTTTTTTTTTTTCATACCCTGGTGGCACCTGGAACACCAATGAGACAGAACCGTTCATTCCCCTGGAAAGGAAGCTGAAGCCAGGGAGCCAAGTGGTCTAGCTCAGCAAATCCCACCCCCACAGAGCACAGAAAGCTAAGATCCACTGGCTTGAAATTCTCGCTGCCAGCAAAGCAGTCTGAAGTGGACCTGGGATGCTTGAGCTTAGTGGGGGGAGGGGCATCCACCATTACTGAGACTCGAGTGGGTGGTTTTACCCTCACAGTGTAAACAAAGCCGCCAGGAATTTCAAGCTGAGCAGAGCCC
The DNA here is from genome assembly GCF_000001405.40 of Homo sapiens. Classification (NCBI taxonomy): domain Eukaryota; kingdom Metazoa; phylum Chordata; class Mammalia; order Primates; family Hominidae; genus Homo; species Homo sapiens. The sequence goes on from NC_000020.11 coordinate 16,520,436, forward strand.
ACCACAGCTTGGCAAAGCCGCTGTAGCCAGACTGCCTCTCTAAATTCCTCCCCTCTGGGCCTGGCATCTCTGAAAGAAAGGCAGTAGCCCCAGTCAGGGGCTTATTGATAAAATTCCCATTTTCCTGGGACAGAGCACCTGGGAGAAGGGGTGGCTGTGGGCACAGCTTCGGCAGACTTAAACGTTCCTGCCTCCCAGGTCTGAAGAGAGCAGCAGATCTCCCAGCACAGCACTCACGCTCTGCTAAGGGACAGGCTGCCTCCTCAAGTGGGTCCCTGACCCCTGTGCCTCCTGACTGAGAGACACCTCCCAGCAGGGGTTGACAGACACCTCATACGGGAGAGCTCCGGGTGGCATCTGGTGGGTGCCCCTCTGTGACAAAGCTTCCAGAGGAAGGAACAGGCAGCATATTTCCTGTTCTGCAGCCTCCGCTGGTGATACCCAGGCAAACAGGGTCTGGAGTGGGCCTCCAGCAAACTCCAGCAGACCTGCAGCAGAGGGGCCTGACTGTTAGAAGGAAAACAAACAAACAGAAAGAAACAGCATCAACATCAACAAAAACGACATCCACACAAAGGTCACCAACATCAAAGACCAAAGATAGATAAATCCACGAAGATGAGGAAAAACCAGTGCAAAAAGGCTGAAAATTCCAAAAACCAGAACGACTCCTCTCCTCCAAAGAATTACAACTCCTCACCAGCAAGGGAACAAAACTGGACAGAGAATGAGTTTGATGAATTGGCAGAAGTAGGCTTCAGAAGGTGGGTAAAAACAAACTCCTCTGAGCTAAAGGAGTATGTTCTAACCCAATGCAAGGAAGCTAAGAACCTTGAAAAAGGGTTAGACGAATTGCTAACTAGAATAACCAGTTTTGAGAAAAACATAAATGACCTGATCGAGCTGAAAGACACAGCACAAGAACTTCGTGAAGCACACACAGGTATTAATAGCTGAGTAGACCAAGCAGAAGAAAGGATATCAGAGATTGAAGAACAACTTAATGAAATAAAGCATGAAGACAAGATTGGAGAAAAAAGAATGAAAAGGAATGAACAGAGCCTCCAAGAAATATGGGACTATGTGAAAAGACCAAACCTATGTTTGATTGGTGTACCTCAAACTGACGGGGAGAATGGAACCAAGTTGGAAAACACTCTTCAGGCTATTATCCAGGAGAACTTCCCCAACCTAGCAAGACAGGCCAACATTCAAATTCAGGAAATACAGAGAACACCACAAAAATACTCCTCGAGTAGAGCAAAACCCAAGACACATAATCGTCAGATTCACCAAGGTGGAAATGAAGGAAAAAATGTTAAGGGCAGCCAGAGAGAAATGTCAGGTCACCCACAAAGGGAAGCCCATCAGACTAACAGTGAATCTCTCAGCAGAAACCCTACGTGCCAGAAGAGATTGGGGGCCAATATTAAACATTCTTAAAGAAAAGAATTTTCAACCCAGAATTTCATATCCAGCCAAACTAAGCTTCATAAGCAAAGAAGAAATAAAATCCTTTACAGACAAGCAAATGCTGAGAGATTTTGCCACCACCAGGCCTGCCTTACACGAGCTCCTGAAGGAAGCACAAAATATGGAAAGGAACAACTGGTACCAGCCACTGCAAAAACATACCAAATTGTAAAGACCATCGACACCATGAAGAAACTGCATCAACTAATGGGCAAAATAACCAGCTTAGCATCATGATGACAGGATCGAATACAGACATAACAATATTAACCTTAAGTATAAACGGGCTAAATGCCCCAATTAAAAGACACAGACTGGCAAATTAGATAGAGTCAAGACCCATTGGTGTGCTGTATTCAGGAGACCCATCTCACATGCAAAGACAACAAAGGCTCAAAATAAAGGGAGAGAAGAATATTCACCAAGCAAATGGAAAGCAAAAAATAGCAGGGGTTGCAATCCTAGTCTCTGATAAAACAGACTTTAAGCCAACAAAGATCAAAAATTACAAAGAAGGGCATTACATAATGTTAAAGGGATTAATGCAACAAGAAGAGCTAACTATCCTAAATATATATGCACCCAATACAGGAGCACCCAGATTCATAAAGCAAGTTCTCAGAGACCTACAAAGAGACTTAGACTCCCACACAATAATAGTGGGAGACTTTAACACCCCACTGTCAATATTAGACAGATCAACGTGACAGAAAATTAACAAGGATATTCAGGACTTGAACTCAGCTCTGGACCAAACGGACCTAATAGATAGCTATAGAACTCTCCACCCCAAATAACAGAACACACATTCTTCTCTGCACTACATCACACTTACTCTAAAATTGACCACATAATTGGAAGTAAAACACTCCTCAGCAAATGCAAAAGAATGGATATCCTAACAAACAGTCTCTCAAACCACACTGCAATCAAATTAGAAGTCAGGATTGAGAAATTCACTCAAAACCGCACAATCACATGGAAACTGAACAATCCATCACATAAACAGAACGAATGACAAAAACCACATGATTATCTCAACAGACGCAGAAAAGGCCTTCGAAAAAACTCAACACCCTTCATGCTAAAAACTCTCAATAAACTAGGTATTGATGGAAGGTATCTCAAAATAATAACAGCTATTTATGACAAACCCACAGCCAATATCATACTGAATGGGCAAAAGTCGGAAGCATTCCCTTTGAAAACCAGCACAAGACAAGGATGCCCTCTCTCACAACTCCTATTCAACACAGTGTTGGAAATTCTGGCCAGGGCAATCAAGGCAAGAGAAAGAAACAATGGGTATTCGAATAAGAAGAGAGAAAGTCAAATTGTCTCTGTTTCACATGACATGATTGTATATTTAGAAAACCCCATCATCTCAGCCCAAAATCTCCTTAAGCTGATAAGCAACTTCAGCAAAGTCTCAGGATACAAAATCAATGTGCAAGAATCTCAAGCATTCCTATACACCAATAACAGACAAACAGAGAGCCAAATCATGAGTGAACTCCCATTCACAATTGCTACAAAGAGAATAAAATACCTAGGAATACAACTTACAAGGGATGTGAAGGACCCCTTCAAGGAGAAGTACAAACCACTGCTCAAAGAAATAAGAGAGGACACAAACAAATGGAAAAACATTCCATGCTCATGGATAGAAGAATCAATATCGTGAAAATGGCCATACTGCCCAAAGTTACTTATAGATTCAATGCTATCCCCATCAAGCTACCATTGACTTTCTTCATAGAATTAGAAAAAAACTACTTTAAATTTCATATGGAACCAAAAAAACAGACTGTATAGCCAAGACAATCCTAAGCAAAAAGAACAAAGCTGGAGGCATCACACTACCTGACTTCAAACTATACTACAAGGCTACAGTAACCAAAACAGCATGGTACTGATATCAAAACAGATATATAGACAAATGGAACAGAACAGAGGCCGCAGAAATGACATCACCCATCTGATCTTTGACAACCTGACAAAAACAAGCAATGGGGAAAGGATTCCCTATTTAATAAATGGTGTTGGGAAAACTGGCTAGCCATATGCAGAAAACTGAAACTGGACCCCTTCCTTACACCTTATACAAAATTAATTCAAGATGGATTAAAGACTTAAACCTAAGACCTAGGACCATAAAAACCATAGAAGAAAACCTAGGCAATGCCATTCAGGACATAGGCATGGGCAAAGATTTCACGACTAAAACACCAAAAGCAATGGCAACAAAAGCAAAAGGTGACAAATGGGATCTAATTAAACTAAAGAGCTTCTGCCCAGCAATATAAACTATCATCAGAGTGAACAGGCAACTTACAGAATAGGAGAAAATTTTTGCAATCTATCCATCTGACAAAGGGCTAATATCCAGAATCTACAAGGAACTTAAACAAATTTACAAGAAAAAAACAAACAACCCCATCAAAAAGTGGGCAAAGGATATGAACAGACACTTCTCAAAAGAAGACATTTATGCAGCCAACAAACATACGAAAAAAAAGCTCATCATCACTGGTCATTAGAGAAATGCAAATCAAAACCACAATGAGATACCATCTCACGCCAGTTAGAATGGCGATCATTAAAAAGTCAGGAAACAACAGATGATAGAGAGGATGTGGAGAAATAGGAACGCTTTTACACTGTTAGTGGGAGTGTAAATTATTTCAACCATTGTGGAAGACAGTGTGGCGATTCCTCAAGGATCTAGAACCAGAAATGCCATTTGACCCAGCAATCCCATTACTGGTTATATACCCAAAGGATTATAAATCATTCTACTATAAAGACACATGCACACGTATGTTTATTGCAGCACTATTCACAATAGCAAAGACTTGGAACCAACCCGAATGCCCATCAATGATAGACTGGATAAAGAAAATGTGGCACATATAAACCATGGAATACTATGCAGCCATAAAAAAGGATGAGTTGATGTCCTTTGCAGGGACTCGGATGAAGCTGGAAACCATCATTCTCAGCAAACCAACACAGGAACAGAAAACCAAACACCAGATGTTCTCACTCATAAATGGGAGCTGAACAATGAGAACAAATGGACACAGGGAGGGGAACATCACATACCAAAGCCTGTCAGGGGGTAGGGAGCTACGGGAGGGATAGCATTAGGAGAAATACCTAATGTAGATGTCGGGTTGATGGGTGCAGCAAACCGCCATGGCACGTGTATACCTATGTAACAAATCTGCACATTCTGCACATGTATCCCAGAATTAAAGCATAATTTAAAAAAGAAAGAAAGAAAGAAACAAGCACTTTTTCATACCCTACTTTTCGAGATGCCATTGCATGGATTACAACCCAGGCCAGGCAGGACAGGAATTCTTATCCCCGTTTTAACATATGGAGACTTAAAGCAATGTTATCTAAAGAAGCTGTCAACGAGCCAGGAAGAGGCCCAGCAATGAAGCCTGCGTTTTTCCTTCTATACTGGTGCTCCCCATTTCTAACCTCACTCTGCTCAAATAAGCAGCTTTTCCCCACCCCGAGAAATATACTTGTCCCTCTGCTCACCTGAAATGTCAACATCAGTGTCTTGATAGGCTTTTGGGGGCACCTTTGTGTCTGTTATTATCTGTCCACTTCACATCTACATTTTAGCCCTTAAAAGCCTACAGGCAAGATTTCTTGGACAAATTCCAGCATCATTCTAGACTCTAGAAAGATTCTGAATGAACGTTCTTTCTTTCTAGAATCCACTCTAAAACCTGTAATGATCCACACAACCTGGGAACACATGACTTGGGTTTGAAGTTTCCTCCTAAATCTCCGCACTGAATAGGACTCAAGGTTAAGTGGCTTCTTTACTGTGCTTCGCAGCATACACATGTCTCCCCAGAAATGCTTTCTATGTAGAGCTCCTTCTAAACAGGAACCATATCCAAGTTTTGAAACAAATTAAAAATTATCATCATTATGCTCAAAGGTGAAAAAAAAATCAATCTTTTGAGAACTGAATTCTTCTCAGGCTTAAATAGATACTCCTACATAACACTCAGAAAGGTAAGTTAGCAAAGGCTAATTTTATACAAAAATTACATTCAGAAAGAAATTGGCAAGATATTTTAAAGTATTTTAGGGTAGGCATGTTTTTCTCAATGTGAAAATAAATCAACATAAATATTTTGAAAATATCATATACCATTTCTTGTGAAACGTAATCTGGGCTTTTTGTATCAGCAGAATAAAAAGAAAAGTCATAGGTGAAGGTCTTGGTCCGTTCTCTTCCTGAGTCCCCAGTGCCTCCTTCTGGTATCTAGAAAGAAATGATTAGAATAATAATGATAATGTAAAGAGCACTGCCATTTGACCCAAATTTCCATGTTTATACCCTGACTAAAAACCATTTCATTCCTGCTGGCTTCTCTAAAAAAATAAATAAATAAAATTTAAATATAAACTAAACTCCTTGCAGCAATCCAAGTTCTCTGTGATATGACCCAAGAATACTATTCTGACCTTTTCTTTTTATCACTATTAACTCCTAAGAACCCAACACTCCAGCCAGACTCTGTATTTCCACCTTCAGTGATTTTTTACTGTTCCCTCCACCTAAATCCACCAGAGTTGGGCTTTGCACAACTACAAGGGTGGTATTCACATAGATCATGATAAGATTGGCACCTTCTAAAGCTGTATGATTTGGTGGCCTCACTGAAAATTCTAGGTCAGATGTCTCCTCTTTCATGACACTTCCCTTGGACACTCCATGGAGAAGTAATTTCTCCTACCTCTGACAGCCTAGACTCTTCCAGGACACATCATATTGTGAGTTTATTGCGGATGTTTGCATATATCTTGTCCCCCTTGCTATATGCTTAAAGTGCACCTCAGAACCATGTTTTAACATCTTCATATGCTCCCAAAGCCTGCTTATTGGACATATGCTGAATAACTTCAATGAGCACCACGTTTTCCACATGATTCACATATTATAAAAAAATTGTTATGATTCTTATGAAAACACTAAAAGTCTAGGCATCTGTTCTGGTTACTCAAACATCAGATGATAAAATGTTTAAAAAACTCAAAAAGCAACAGAGTAATCGAGGAAAATAGATTCCATAACGCACAAAGAAAGGAGACTCATCCAGAGTCAGCGGTCTTTTACCAAAGCACTGTGAGCGTAGAAAGACACATGAAGGAAAGACAAGGTAATTACCAGCAGGGAATGGACAAGTGACAACTGGGTAGAAACATGAGAATATGCGAGAGGCCAAAGGAAGGGAAAGAAGCACAGTGCAGGCCAGATAGAGCTGGAAGGCACAAGGGTTGTGCTAAGCAGAGGAAGAAAGGCATCCAGTGGAGAATGCCTCAGGCAAAGGACACCAGCGCCTTAATGGAGGAAATGAAATGATCCAGAGGCTGCCCAGTTGGAAGATGGGAGCATTTCCCAGCTTCTACCATTGGAGATCAACTCGCACTACTTTGAAATTGGATCTCAAAGTACCCAATCCTTTGAGCCATAAATTAATAGAAATCTCCACAGATGTGAACAGGAGATAGATCTGACTTGGCCATGGAGCATCATGTCTCAGAAACCCAGACCTAAAAGTTAATGACAAATATCAAAGGAGAAAGGCATTGAACCCATAAAGTACTTCATTTCTTTCTTTTTTGTTGTTGTTTTTTTGTTTGTTTGTTTGAGATGGGGTCTTGCTCTGTTGCCCAGGCTGGAGTGCAGTGGCACAAACAGGGCTCACTGTAGCCTTGATCTCCTGGGCTCAAGTGATCCTCCCATCTCAGCCTCTCGAGTAGCTAGGACCACAGGTGTGCACCACCAAGCCCAGCTCTGATTTCTTCAATATTAATTTTATACCCCCGTTACCCTCCTCAGCGAAAAGCATTCAGTGCCCTTTAAAAATTTCCTAACCAAATAAACAAACAGGATATTTTTCAGTGCCAAAGGAGAAACTTGCCATCTTGAAAATTTTTTTTAACTTTTTTTCCAGAAAAGAAATTTGGTGGTTTTTTTTAATCTTTCCTCCCTGAGTTTTGAATAATAGTATCAGTTCTTCTTCAAGGATTACCAAACATGATCCTCTTCATTAAAAATGGAAAAAAATATAGGGGCAAAGCTTATTTAATGTTCACAGAACACAGTCAATTGCCAGGCTAAGTCCCTACTACGAGGACACAGGATGAAAATGCCCGAATCTGGGATAGACTCAGGAGCTCCTGGACCAGAGCAACAGCTTGGATTTGGCTTCCAGATCAAATAAAGCCAGGAATGGGAAAGGAAACGGGATCAACTCTTCTGCTTCAAGACTGAGCCCAAGCCAGGTGCAAGCTGACGTGGCTAACTGCACTGGAAAGGAGGGTGTGGAAACAGCAGACAGGCTTTATTTACTCATTAGTCATCCCCACAGTAAAGCAATCATGGGGCTCTTGGAACTTAAGCAAGGCCAGGTCATGACTTGCCTTTAAGTTTGTGATTGTCGTTTTGCTTTTCTCCATCTGAATAATGAACTTGGCCTCCAAGTCCTTTTCCCTGCAATACAAATAATTCAGTAGTGGTTAGAAGAGAAAAGATTATTAAAAACAAAACAAAACTAAACCCATTTGTTTTATTTACTTTTTACGTTAGGAGTTTATTTTCAAATGGCATCTGAGGAGCAATCCCAGACACGGCTCCTCCCAAATCCTTACTAATATAACATGAAGATACGCAAAATGATGCCACCATCAACAATTATGGCTGATACACAGTGTGTTGTTAAACCCTGAAAGAATTTCCAATTGTAAGCCAAAAGAAGAGTAAATGAAATAACAGACACCACAAAGAGCTAAGACTCACCAAAAAAAAGTAGCCCCCCTCACCTTGTTACAAAGAGAAAGAGACCTTAGCCCCCTACCCAAGATGAAAACCAAAGAGAAAACTGGAGTGGTTACAAGCAGGTGCTGCTTCCAGAAGCAGCCAGGGCACTGTTCCCTCCTCCTACCTTCTTTCTACATCTGTTCAGAAACTGCATTTCTCAGAAAACAGCAGAACAGGAGGACTCCTAAAGAGTACAGTTCCCTAGAATAAATGACCATACATTTACCCAATGGAGTGTGACGCCACTGAACAAGGAATGAGGAAGATCCCTATATCTGTTATGGCGTGGCCACTGGGATATACTGGGATATACTGTTCAGTGGAGACAAAAGATGGAGAAAATCTATGTAGAAAAATACAAATTATATTTAAACACTTTTTTAAAACCTATGTATTTTTCAAAAGGCTACCTAGGAAAAAAAGGGAAATTGAGGATAAGGATTTGGGGCAGACAAGGGAAGTGGACAAGGATAGAAGCTAGATTTCTGCAAATATACTTTGATCTGGAGGTCATCTTTAGAACGATAAAAATGATTTATGCAAAAATAAAACAAGAGTTTCAAAAAACAAGCTATAATTTAGAAGTAAGTTGAAGCGAATGAATCTAGCTGTGTACCACAAAGTGAGAAACTATTTCAATTACGACTCTATAGAGGAATTTGACTGTATACTATAATGAGATATATCCTAAAAAGAAAAAGAACTACAAAGAAATCTTAAAGCATTTTTAGTAATCATATTTTTGGTGGTAATGTAAGTGCCATTATTCTGAGATTTCTGTCTGTGTACTGTGGGACATTACAAGAGTAATGATGTTGGTGCCCTAGAGAACCAAGGTTTTTGAAGTGGCTGAATGAGATACAAACATAAGTTTGATGAGGTTAAGTAAAAACTGTAGTCCTGGCCGAGCACGGTGGCTCACGCCTGTAATCCCTGCACTTCAGGAGGCAGAGGCGGGCAGATCACCTGAGGTCGGGAGTTCAAGACCAGCCTGATCAACACGGAGAAACCCCATCTCTACTAAAAATAGAAAATTAGCCGGCCATGGTGGCGCATGCCTGTAATCCCAGCTACTCGGGAGGCTGAGGCAGGAGAATCACTTGAATCCAAGAGGCAGAGGTTGCAGTGAGCCAAGATCACGCCACTGCACTCACTCCAACCTGGGCAACAAGAGTGAAATTCTGTCCCAGAAAAAACTGTAGTCCTGAATCTAATTGGAAGGAGTAGCAGAAACTTCATCTTTCATCCAAAATTTAAAAAACAAACAACTCCCTTGCTTTGTCCATTGAAAAGGCCTAGAATCTTACACTCAAATTATAGCCTATAAATAACATTTTCCACTAAAATAAGTCAGGGTTCCTTGGAGAAGTGATTCAATCCAAATACTGAACCATCTCTTCACACTATAAAGCAGGAACACTAACACAGGTCACTAGGGCTGTGGCGGGCACCTTCTAACACGGCTCCCAGTGATTGCCCGGCACTCACACCCTGTCGTGTGCGATCCTTGCCCTTGACTATGGGCTGGACCTGGTGAGTCACTTCTAATGACTACAACACAAACACACCCAAGTGATGGTCTGTCACTTCCCAGGCGGGCTTTCAAGACTGTGACTTCTGTCTTGCTGGCTCTCTCTTCTGCCCTCTCTGTTTGAGCCCTGGCAGTGTGAAAAGTCAGGGACGACAGAGTGAGGACCCCTGTGGACAGACCCAGCCAGCAGGAAACAGGGGCCCGCTAGCAGCACGCCAGACAGCCTGGCAGGGCACGCTCCCCAAGCCCGCACCGGGACATGATGATGAGAGATGACTGGGAAGCCGTCTGGCACCCTGACTGCAGCGCTAGGGGAGAGCCGGAGTCAGAGGACCCTGCTCAACCCCACCCAGATTCCTGACCCACAGAAACTCTGAGATAATACATGCTGTGTTTTGTTGTTGTTGTTTGGTTTTTTTTGAGACAGGGTTTCGCTCCTGCCACCCAGGCTGGAGTGCAATGGCATGATCTCAGCTCACTGCAACCTCCACCTCCTAGGCTCAAGCGATTATCCTGCCATAGCCTCCCAAGTAGCTTTGACTACAGGCACGCACCACTGCACCTGCCTATTTTTGTATTTTTTGTAGAGATGGAGTTTTGCTGTGTTGCTCAGGCTGGTCTCAAACTCCTGAGCTCAAGCAATCCACCCGCCTCGACCTCCCAAATTGCTGGGATTACACACACGAGCCACCATGCCTGGTCAATACATATTGTTTTAAGCCCCTAAGTTTTGGGGTAATTTGTTATACACTAAAAGAAAACTAATACAAGGACCCTGTCAAAAGGACTCAGGAACCAACCTGCATAAGTTCCTGCTGCCCAAAGTTGAGAAATCTGGACAGCAAAGAAACTAAAAACCAACTGAAATAGATAGAATATATTTAAGCACATAAACTCATAACTTAAAAATAAAAACTCAGTGGTCCCCTCTGAAAGATCAAAGGATCTGTCTCATTATTTTGAAAACTGTTAAAAGAAAGAATCAAGCATTTATCTTGCATTTCCAAAACTATCTATACTTCAAGTAACCAAACAACTGTGAAAGAAAGTTTCTCCTTTAGAGATATTCCAGCTAAAAAAATAAAGAAGTAATAACAAAATATCATTTCGTCACCCCTGGTGAATTAATGGCTCTAGGGAGGGACCACCGATGGTTACCAGGCCAGCCACTGTGAGAAAACCAGGTACGAGGTGTATTCTACCTGAAGTACCAACGCGACTGCCCCAGGGTTCCTGTCCTTCCCTCCCAGGGATGGCCTGACTCTGACCTAGAGCTGCCCTATAGGGAACCAGCAGGAATGACAAGTGTAAGTGGGAACACGCCAATGTTCTCAGGTGGGGGAATCGGTAAAATCCAGCCTGTGGGAAAGGCAGCAGGGTAAATGACTCAGCATATTCCAAATTATGACAAATTGCAAAGAATATAACGATGAAAGGGAAATCTAAAGCTAGAAAAGACATTAAAGACATATCAACCAACTGGATCCCAATTCAAACAGAAAAAGCACTTTGAAAATTATAACCATTTGGGAGGCCGAGGCAAGTGGATCATCTGAAGTCAGGGTTCGAGACCAGCCTGGCCAACATGGCAAAACCCCGCCTCTACTAAAAAGACAAAAAATAGCCGGGTGTGGTGGCGGGCACCTGTAATCCCAGTTACTTGGGAGGCTGAGGCAAGAGAATCGGTTGAATCCAGGAGGCGGAGGTTACAGTAAGCCGAGATTGTGCCATTGCACTCCAGACTGGACGACAAGAGCAAAACTCCGTCTCAAAAAAAAAAAAAAAAAAATTATAACTTACGTAGGGAAATGTTAACACTGACTAGATATTTGATGATATTAAGGAATTATTGCTAATATTGTAGGTATGATAATAGTATTATGACTTAAAAAACCTTTTAGAGATACATATTGAAATATTTACAAATCAAATGATATGTTACCTGGGATTTACTTTAAAATAATCCAGGTATGGGGAAACCAGCTAAGGGGTAACATCTTGGCCAGCTCAGACGAACAGAGACAAAATAAATATCAGTTGTGAACAAACCCAAAAAGCATTTGCAGTAAACACCATTTGGGAACTACAGCAGATTCCCAGGGCCAAGTTTAACATTTCCAAGCCTGAAAAATGCTTCCACTCCAACCCACCAGGAGTTGGGCAATTCCATTGTGGACCCAAAAGTAAGAACTGCTTCAGGGACACCCCATGTTCATGTGGCTACAAAACAAATACTTCATAAAATTAAACCTTTCCTACAGCATTCAATTACCAAAGCATGTCCTGCTCAACAAGAGAACAAACCACCTGGGTTTATTTATATCACAGAACACCAAACCCAGATTCCTCCCATTCCCACAGTGGGTCCTTTTTTCTCAATCAATCACTAACCTAATGCATCTAGAGCTTTCATCTTAAAACCACTATTATCAACAAATACCTCTCAGGAACACAAAATTATCCAGCTACATAGAAATATTAGAAGTGATCGTGGTAATGCTCACATTGACTTGTCAATTCTTGCCTAGAAAACAAAGTAATGTGGCTCATACAATGCCCACCACTCCTGCTGGAAGCCAGAGACTCCATAACTCCCCATCTCAGAACCTTACACCTTTGGAGCAGCTAAATTTAAAGGGCCCTCCACATGATCATGTATTCTAACCTGCAGGTAACCAGGGCAGTGCGTTCCTAGTTCTAAATTAACATCCATTCTATAAAAGCACTAAGTGAGATACTGACTGAAAGGCTGTTATGCAATATGACTGTCTTTTTATTAGCTACTTCTAAAATGAAAACTGAAGATGCAGGTAGGTTTTGAAGGTTTCACCACCTCCCTGAAATCCTATGTACTGGGATGACTGGCTGGGAAGGGGGATCAGGAGCAGGAGGCAGTTTCACTATTCTGAGGGTCTACCACATTCCTCAGTTTCTCAAAGAGTTCCATCACCCCAAAAGATAGGAATCCCTGCTCTGACTCTTAATACTCAAAATATGCTCCAGAGACCAGCAACATCAGTGGCTCCAGGGAAGCTTGACAGAAATGAAGGTTCTCAGTCCCCACCTAAAACCTACAGAATAGGAACCTGCATTTTAACAACTGTAAATGATTCTGATGAACGTTAAAATTTAAAAAGCACTGCTCTGATGCTGTACTTAATATGACATAGTAATAGATGGGTCTTAGGTTTACCCTTATGAAATAAACTACTTCTTACACTGGAAAACTCACTAACCTTTGTTCTTTGACTTTTAAATTTTATTTTTAAAATCACATGACAGAATATGAATGGATATACCATAAGTCAGCTAATACTGTCTCCATTCTATGCTCTTAAGTTGTAAGTGGCTTCTGACCAAGAGCAATAACTGCTGACATAATCTGATGAGAGATGTCATGTGAATGTCATGACACTCAGGTTCCCTCATTCTCACCCTGCCAAACCATGAGTGAGTTTCCAGCCCTTTCTCTTCCCAGACTGTGTTTCTCAATGTCAATCTAAGGCTACAGCCAATAATTTAAAATCATATCAAAAGATAATTACAGGTCATCAACATTAAGATCGAGGCCATCTATTTCAGAAAAGAAATTTCACAAATAATTTCCTAACTTGCTTCCTTCTTTAAGCATACAAACTGAAACAGTTTAAAAAAAAATAAAAAATAAAAAATAAAGATGTGGCTGGGCACAATGGCTCCCGCCTGTAATCCCAGCACTTTGGGAGGCTGAGGTGGGTGGATCACAGGTCAGGAGTTCAAGACCAACCTGGCCAACATGGCGAAACCCCATCTCTACTAAAAATACAAAAATTAGCCGAGCATGGTGGCAGGCTCCTATAATTCCTACTCGGGAGGCTGAGGCAGGAGAATCACTTGAGCCCGGGGGACAGAGGTTGCAGTGAGCTGAGATCGCGCCACTTCACTCCAGCCTAGGTGAAAGAGCAAAGCTCTGTCTCAAATAAAAAAAAAAAATTAATCTAAAATTACTCTTAGTATTTATAACACAGATACTGGCTAGAATTTCAGCCATAAAGAGCAAATCTCTTCCTAGTTCCTGAAAACACTTATAGAAAAGCCAATATATTTTTTACTGTTGAGTTCCTTGTATATTCTGGATATGAGTCCCCTATCAAATGAGTAGCTTACAAAAATGTTCTCCTATTCAACAGGTTGTCTCTTCACTGTTTCTTTTGCTGTGTAAATGTTTTTCAGTTTAACATAGCCCCTTCTGTCTGTTTTTGGTTTTGTTGTCTGTGCTTCTGAAGTCTCATCCATAAAGTCTTTGTCCAGAACAATGTCCTGAAGAGCTTTCCCTATGTTCTCTTCTAGTAGTTTTGTAATTTCAGGTCTTACATTAAAGTGTTCAATCCATCTGGAGTTGACTTTTGTATACAGTGAGAGATGGAGGTCATGTTTCTTTCCTCTGCATATTCTTATCCAGTTTTCCCAGCATCATGAAGAGAGCCCCAATGTACGTTCTTGGTGGCTTTGTCAAAGATCAGTTGAAAATATGTGGATTTATTTCTGGGTTCTCTGTTCTGCTCCATTGGTCCATGTGTCTATTTTTATATAATACCAATACCATGCTGTTTTGGTTACTACAGACTTTTAATGTATTTTGAAGTCAGGTAGTATGATGCCTTCAGCTTTGTTTTTGCTTAGGGTTGCTGTGGCTATTTAGGCTCTTTTTTGGTTCCATACAAATTTTAGAATTTTTTTTTTATTTCTCTGAAAAACAATGTTGGTATTTTGATAGGGATTGCACTGAAATTGTAGATTGCTTTGAGCAGTATGGTCATTTTAACAATATTAATTCTTCTGATCCATGAGCATGAGATGTCTTTCCACCTGTTTGTGTCCTCCTCAATTTCTTTCATCAGTATTTTGCAGTTTTCCTTGAAGAGATCTTTCACCTTCTTGGTTAAATTTATTCCCAAGTATTTTTCTTTGATAGCTACAGTAAATAGGATTGCCTTCTTCATTTCTTTCTCAGCTATTTCATTATTGGTATATACAAATGCTATTGACTTTTGTATGTTGATTTATCCTGCAACTTTATTAAATTCATTCATCAGTTCTAAGAGTTTTTAGGTGAAGTCTTTGGTTTTTCTAAATATAAGATCATGTCATCTGCAAAGAAGGACAATTTGACTTCCTCTTTTCCAATCTGGACGCCTTGTATTTCTTTCTCTTGCCTCATTGCTCTGACTAGGGCTTACAGTATTATCTTCAATATGAGTGGTAAAAGTGGGTATCCTTGTCTTCTTCCAGTTCTAAGAGAAAAAAAATTCACCTTTTCCCCATTCGCTACAATGTTAGCAGTGGGTTTGTCATATATAGTCTTTATTATTTCAATAACTAATCCTATTAAAAATGGGCAAAGGACATGAAGAGACATTTCTCAAAAGCAGACACAGAAATGACCAACAGATATATGAAAAAAATGCTCAGTATCACTAATTATCAGGGAAATGCAAATCAAAACCACAAAGAGATATCATTTTACCCCAGTTAGAATGGCTGTTATTAAAAAGACAAGAAATAACAGATGCTGGCAAGCATGCTAAGAAAAGAGAACTCTTATACACTGTTGGTGGGAATCTAAATTAGTGCTATGGAAAACAGAATGGAGATTTCTTTAAAAATTAAAAATAGAACCACCATACAATCCAGAAATCTGACTACTGGGTATTTATCCAAAGGAAAAGAAATCAATATATCAAAGGGAAACCTGCACTCCCATGTTTATTGAAGCACTATTCACAATAGCAAAGATATTATCAACGTAAGTGTCCAACAATGAATGAACGGATCAAGAAAATGTAGTATATACACACACTATGGAATACTACTGAGCCATAAAAAACAATGAAGTTATGTCATTTGCAGCAACGTGGACAGAACTAGGGGTCATTATGTTTAGTAAAATAAGCCAGGCACAGAAAGGTAAGTATCACAAGCTCTCACTCATATGTGGGAGATTAAAAAATGGATCATATGGAGATAGAGAGTAGAATGATAGATATCAGAGGCTGGAATGGGTGTACGGGGGTGGGGGGAGTGAAGAGAAGTAGGTTAATGGGTACAAACATAAAGTTAGATAGAAATAAGTTCTAATGCTTGTAAGCAAAGCAAGCTGACTACAGTTAACAACAATGTATTGTGGTTTTCAGAATAGCTAGAAAAGAGGACTTGAAATGTACCCAACACATAGAAATGATACTCCAGTGATGGATATCCCAAATACTTTATTACATATTCTAATACACATACCCCATAAATATGTACACAAATATAAAGTTTGTCAAAAAAATGTTTAGGAGAAGTAAAACCAAAACCAGCGTGATATCTATGATGGTTGGAGCTATTAAGTGTTGCAACTAATTCTTTGTTACATGTCTTCCTTTGCAGATTCCTGGAGAACTGTCAAACTTCCAAATATTTCAAAGATGAAAGAAAGGAGGAAGGCAGACTCCAGTACTTCCTTCCCATCCACACCCTGTGGACCAACCCTACTCAGCCTCCTTCATCCACTGCAGACTCTGGCTTCTGCTCTTGGCCTTCTCTTCACCCCTAGGGGCTTTAACTGTCATAGGTGACTTCAGAGTCCATGTGACACTCCATCAAACAACCTTACCCCCAACCCCCCTACCCAACATTCAGTTACCTAGTCCCTTCCAATCTACCACCTGTTGAACTAGACCAGATCTCCCCACTTTGTAGGCCCTGTCCCAGGTCAGGCTACCCCCACCTCTAGTCTCTTTGCCTCCAGCCTCATCCTCTCTCACACACACTCCATCGTCTGCTGCCAGAGAGAGCCTTCCATAAAACACATCTCACCACGAGGCTCCCCTGCTTTAAACTCCTTCAGTGACTTCCCAAAGGCTACAGGATAAAGTCCAACTCTCAGTGCTACTATACAAAGTCCTTCATGATCTGACCCTAGTTGACATTTCTATTCCAGCACTATATCCTGCCCCATCCTCTTCCCACGGTCAACTCCCAACCATTCCTCTAAATTCAGCTCAGACTTCACATCCTCTGTAGGGCCTTCACCAAGCCCTCTATCCTATCCCCTAGTTAGATGGCACTCCTGCTTGTCTCATCCACCAGACTCTTAACTTTTTAAGAGCAAGGACTCTGCCTGTCTGGGTTTATAGCCCTCCCCAGCCTCTGGCACATTGCCTGCAACTTTGTGGTGCTCCTAAAATGGCTGTTAAATGTGATGAACTTCCTGAAATATTAAACAAATGGCTCTTACCCCAGTGTACTCTTTACCACACTCATCCTCTTCCCACGTGGGTCTCCCTATGTGCCCCCTACATTCCTGGTTCTTGCCTTCCCACATACTAAAGTATCTTCCCACTTCCCACCCACATGTTCTTTTTCTTTTTTTCTTTTTTTCGTTTTTTTTTTTTTTTTTTGAGACAGGGTCTGGCTCCGTCACTGGGCTAAAGTGCAGTGACACAATCTTGGCTCACTGCAACCTCTGTCTCCTGGGCTCAAGCAATTCTCGTGCCTCAGCTTCCTGAGTAGCTGGGATTACAGATGTGCACCACGATGCCTAGCTAATTTTTGTATTTTTAGTAGAGACGGGGTTTCTCCATGTTGGCCAGGCTGGTCTCGAACTCCTGGCCTCAAGTAATCCACACACCTTGGCCTCCCAAAGTGTTAGGGTTACAGGCATGAGCCACCATGCCCAGCCCTACCCACATTTTCAAGTAAGGCTTGTCTTGGGTCCAGTTTGACTCACCTCCTCCTGATAAACCATTAGAAACAACACCCCCTCATACACCTACCTAGTTCATCTCACCTGCATAGCTTTATTCCTGCTGATGTCATCTCTCCAATTAGTCCAGAGAACCTCAGAGAAGCCCAGCTTCCTTCACATCCACACTGAGTCCACCAAGCACAAGGGCACCACCCACAATCAGCACTGAGTGCTTTGTCTTGTAATTCTTCAGCTGAAAACTACAACGCCAGGCACTGAGATTACCCAGCCTCTCAGGTCAATTTCCTCTGACATTTAAGAAACACAGCAAATAAATCCTGACATTCTTCTTATATTGTAGAAAATAAATAATCCTAAGATATTATTTGACATTAATTTGATAATAGGGAAAAATGAACTATGCCTCTCCCTGGCCACTTTGGTGAATTGGATTTCTCAACCGAAAAGCCAATTATGGGTCCTTCATATAGATAAGTAATTTATTTGAAAGGTCTGGAAACTAGATGATAAGATGCTACAAATGAACCAGCTGGAGTACATATACTTAGTTATAGATCAATATGGGGGGAGGAGGACGAAAGGAAAGGAAAAGATTTAAAATACTCTACCAGGAAAAGAGATAAATTATGTCAGCATTCAGATACATGAGTTAGAAGAACATTTATTTTTAAAAAAATCCTATTGACATAGTTTCTACATTTGTCCCCACACAAATCTCATGATGAATTGTAATCTCCAATGCTGGTGGTGTGGCCTGGTGGGAGGTGATTGGATCACAGGAGTGGATTTCTCATGAATGGTTCAGCACCATCCTGTTGGTGTTGTCCTTGCCCTGAATGAGTTCTTGTGAGATCTGGCTGTTTAAAAGTACATGACACCTCCGCTCGCCGCACTCTTGCTCCATTCTCACTATGTGATGTGCCTGCTCCCACTTTACCTTCAGCCATGAGTAATAGCTTCCTGAGGCCTCCTGAGAAGCAGATGCCACTATGCTTCCTGTATAGCCATCAGTGCAAATGATGAGCCAATTTAACCTCTTGTCTTATAAATTACCCAATCTTAGGTATTTCTTTAGAGTAATCCAAGAATGGCCCAACACGAAAAATTGGTACCAAGCAGTAGGGCATTGCTATAGAGATACCTGAAAAGATGCACACAGCTTTGCAACTGGGTAACAAGCAGAGGTTGGAAGAGTCTGGAGAGCTCAGAAGACAGAAGATGAGGAAAAGTTCGGAATTTCCTAGAGACTGGTTAAATAGTTGTGACCAAAATGCTGATAGTGATACAAACAGTGAGAGCCAGGCTGCTGAGGTCTCAGGTGGAAATCAGGAAGTTACTAGGAACTGAAGCAAAGGTCATCCTTGTTATGCCTTAGCAAAGAACTTGGCTGCATTGTGTCCATGCCCTAGAGATCTGTGGGAGTTTAAACTTGAGCGTGATGACCTAGGGATCTGGCAGAGAAAATTTCTAAGCAGTGAGTAACTTCTCGTGAGATCTGGCTGTTCAAAAGTGTATGACACCTCCCCCGACCCTTGCTCTCATTCTTTCCATGTGATGTGCCTGCTCCGGCTTTGCCTTCCACCATGAGTAAAAGCTTCCTGAGGCCTCCCCAGAAGCAGATGCTGCTATGCTTCCTGTACAGCCTGCAGAACCATGAGCCAATTAAACCTCTTTTCTTATAAATTACCCAGTCTCAGGTATTTCTTTATTGCAATGGAAGAACAGCCTAACATACCTATGTTAATTCAAATATCTTGAAGATGTTTTTAAGTTATTCAGCAATTCAAATTGATTCCATTCCCTCAGCTGATGACATCTGGTCAATCCATAATAAACAGCTAGACTGGGTGATGTTGGGATCTCCAAACTGAGACATTAGCCTGGAAGATTCTAAAGAGTGACTTATTTACCATGAGTTCTGAAATAAACCGGCATCCCAAGTGCACCTTAAAAGTTACATACTATGAACCAATATTTAACTGCCTTCATTTTAGTGGCAAGACACTTGATAGCAAAAATGAAAATAAAAACTATACTTTTAAAAATAATACATGAGCTCCATGTATACTAATATGGAAAGAAGTCCAAGGAAGCCTGTAAGTGGAAGAGCAAGCAGCAAAACAGTGTGCAGATGACAATCAAGTTTGCAGCTCAATAAATAGATTAATAAAGCCAAAATAATATGCGCGTCTATGATTCTAGATGCACAAAACATTTCTGAACATTTCTGAAAGGATAAATAGCAAGCCATTCACAGTGGTGACCTCTGGAGAGTGAGTGGGAGCAGGGCTTCAGGGGATGAGAAAATAAACATTTCACTGTTGGAATTCATTTTAGCAAGATTTGATATTCCTTCTACAGTTAAAATAAATTTAGTTAATTAAAAGACAAAAAGTCCCTGCTTTGAAATTCTGGGTGGCTCTTCATGCTCTAGAACAAGTCTACATCCTTACGTGGCATGAAAGCAAAAGCTACTGACCCTCTTCTCCTGATGACATGGCCATGAAACAGACAGCTCCTCGTGCCCTTGCACTTTCACACCTTCCCATGGTACTGAGTATCCTCATGCACTGCCTAGATCTGCCTCTCCCCGTCGCCATCCCTCTGCATTTCCACCAGGCAAAATGATACCCACATTCAAAACTAGTCCCAGTACCCCTTTCTCACAAAGCATTCTAATACCCTGGCTCCATGAATTAGTTTCTCTGTTCCACCCAAGAGCACTTCTCTTTTCCTCTTGTATTAGGTTCCAAATAAAATATAGGAAGCCCGATTAAACTGAATTTCCCATAATAGTTAATTTTATATTATGACTGTGTCCCAAATATTGCAATATTTTTGCTTGCTAAGTCTGACACACTGTTTCTTACCCAATGGTTTGCACTCATCAAGGGCTTCCACAGTTAGATGCAGATGTATTCGCCTCCCTACCCCAAGCCCAGAAAGCAAGCAACCCAAGTCTTCAGTAACACCTGCACCCTCAGTACCCAGCAAAGTGGCAGAAGCTCCATAAGTTTGTGTCACCTCACCTGTCTCAGGGCCTGAAGACAAACTCAGGGAGGGCTAGTCTCCTCCCCGAAACCATGTCTTCCTGCTGTTCCTTATCCTTTCCTATTAGAAAAAGAAATCTGTGCACAGCCTGTGACTCCAACCACTCCTCGCTGTTCTCCATGAAATCATGAAAGCCTCCATCTCAAGTTTTTGAGAAACACCCAGGGAACACAGATAGTAAAAAATTCTGGAATGGGTTTTTCAGGCAATCACCCTGACTTCATTTTGGCTTCTGAGAACACAGCTCACCACACAGCAGTCAGCTAGAGGTCAGTGGCACCATGACCTACATCCAAATGCCAACCTCGAGCGGCAGCTTGTGAGAAACTGGCACAGCCTCCACTCCGTCCCCCATGGGCTGCCAGTACGGAAGTACGGATGAGCCAAGGACAACGATGCTATCACAGCCTTATGAGTCTCCCATGCTAAGTGAAATCCTCACTTGACCTCTGTCTGCCACAACAGGAGGCCATTAAGCTGAGCCTTTCATTGTCTTCCCTGGCCTAGGGAAACAGTAATAAACCTAAAAAATTAGGCAAAGCACCAACTCTTACGGTTTACAGGTTGGGATCCCAGAGAAGCAGACATCTGTGGGAGTATAGCAAGCAGGGTGTTCATTAAGTTATGTCTTTGGGATCAACTCCTGGGAAAAGAAGGAGACTGAGGCAGGCCCAGGCAGAGGGAGAAGTGGAGCTGCAGCACCGACCCATGGACAGCCTTGGCCAACTCCACAGGCAGTCCTGGGGCTAGCGTGGCCCTTCAGAGTTGCCACAGGTTGGGCACAGATGGCCAGGCTTTTATACCCCTGCTTTGAGCAATCAGGGACTGTGGGCTGCGGTGGAAAGAGCTGGCAGCTGAAGGCTGGGCCAACCATGCTGCAGCAACAAGCCCTCAAAGACAGAGGATCTGGGTGGCAAGCACGGTGCCTACTGTACCAACCTCCCCTTTAAAATGATGCTTTATAGGATGCACCACACCCAAGTGGCAGCATTCACCACTACACCAACTCCCCAGCAGAGGCAGAGAGGCCTGAGCTGGGGCTACCGAGCTAGACAGAAGGCAGATACTTTATTTTTTTCAGCTGAAAGGAGAATAGCCTAACAATCAGAAGTGCCTCAGTACAAAATGAGTTACCTTAAGATGTGCAGAACCATTACTGAAGAGGTTTAGTTAGAAGCTAGAGAAATCCTTATCTGGGATGTTGTATGGGGAGATTTATATATTCATTCATTCATTCCATAAATATTTAGTGAGAATTAATGCTTTCACATACCAGATAATAGCCTCAGTGCAGGAATAAAATGGTAAACAATACAGTCCCAGCCTGCATTTCACAGAGAGGCTTAGAAGAAAAACAAAATAATACTCTATCATTTTAGATTGTGGTAAATGCTATAAAGAAATAAAGGTATGTCATGGAAAAGGACTAACAGGCAGAGGCAAAGGAAGGCAAGCAGCCAGAAAAGACCTCTCTAAGGGGGTGAGATATGAACAAACACCTGAACGGGGCCAGGCAAATGGCCCAGATAAAAAAACAGCAGGTGTAAAGGCCCTGAGGCAAGAACCAGCCAGAGACTTTGGGGGAAGGGCAAGAAGGTCACTGTGACTGCAGAAGAGAGAAACGGAAACAAAGTAGAAGAAGAGGTCAGAAAAGCCTTGAGGTGGAGGCCAAATCATGCCAGTTCTTGCAGGCTTTGGCTAAATGGCTAAGACTTCGAAACTTAAATGTAATAGGAAGCCACAGCCACCAGGTTTTGTGTACAGGGGAGTGGCAAAGTCGTATTTATATTTTTAAAAGGCCCCTCTGGTTGGTGTGCATAGACTCTAGAGGGATGGCAGTCTAGCAAGGAGACCACTCAGAAGGCTACACAAAGGATGCTGGGCCAGGGTACAGGAATGGAGATGCATCCAGATGACTGGGGTGGATCAGAAAGTTCCCCAGGCCTGCTGACAAACACTACTCTCTGAGGAGCCCAAACCCGGACCTACCAAGTAAGAATCTCCAGGACACTGTATTTTAACCACCTAGGAGGTTCTGATGGTCAACTGGGTTTGGGACCACTGCGCTAGTTTATCTGTGTTGTCCTCTGAGGAACTGGGATTCTATAAGAATGTGAAAGCTTTCACAGTTTTCACATTGTGAGATGCTGTTTCAGGTCCCTGTGAGATGCTGTTTCACTAGAAGGTGGTTTCATCCCTTCTTCTGAATGGAGCCCAACCCACCTATCCCCAATTCCAGAACAAAAATCCAGAACAGACTATGCCTTTAGGGTTATCACCACTGACTTCCAACCGAGGTGCTCCTCTTCTGAGTCCTAGAACACCAAAGTTATTTGAGTGACTATTTTCCCACTTTTCCTAAAGAAAGTATATAACTAGAATTATTCCAGAAGCATAGGACAGAAGTCAACTCATTACACATAACAGATGCCTTACTCAAGGTATTAGGACTTAATTCTATCTTGGAACCCTGGTTCTAGTTGAGAAAATCTGGTGGACAACTGAAAAATTTCATACATTACAAAATTCATGTCCCAAACCATAAAGGACTAAATTTTGCTCAAGACCAAAGATAATAATGACACTTTCATGGGGAATTTTGGATACTCCGCAGAAAGGAGATTTAGGGTCAAGCAAGATGGTAAGCGGCCTGAGAGTCAAGCTGAGGCTCAAGGAATGCAGCACTTGACAAGAGATGGACTTGGAAGAAGGAGACTTAGCCCATGACATCACCTCACATGTAAAGAAATGCAGGTCCAGAAAGGTTAAGTGACTTACTCAAAGCTCCCACTACAGAGTCAGCATTGTAAAAGGAACTCAGGAACTCAGTAAGCGATCAATACTTCAAAGCCACAAAGAACTGCTGAGAGCAAAGCTGGCACTCCTAATCTGATTTCAGCTACATCTTCCTGGAGAGGGTATGTAAGCTTGGGATCCCAGGGGAACACAATGAGCCAGCCAGTATATTTAGAGAATCCAC
Organism: Homo sapiens; assembly: GCF_000001405.40. Taxonomy (NCBI): domain Eukaryota; kingdom Metazoa; phylum Chordata; class Mammalia; order Primates; family Hominidae; genus Homo; species Homo sapiens. The sequence goes on from NC_000020.11 coordinate 16,544,062, forward strand.
ACGATTGCTCTCCAAACAGGGTGGAAGTCATCAAATGCATCAGGCACTGGACAGGAGAATCGAGACGCGCACTTAGCCTCATTTCCCACCACACGACCCAGAGGCACCCAGGCTCCCCTGTCCCATTCCAAACTGTTCCTTCTTGCAGGTCTCACAAAGACCCGCCTCTGTGAGTCCTGGGCCTTGCTCATGCTGGTCCTTCTGCCTGGAATGTACCTATCTAATCCAAGTGACTTATCCTTCAAAGCCCATAAAAATGCTTCCTCAGCCGGGCACTGTGGCTCACGCCTGTAATCCCAGCACTTTGGGAGGCCAAGGCAGGTGAATGATTGGAGGTCAAGAATTCGAGACCAGCCTGGCCACCACGGTGAAACCCCGTCTCTACTAAAAATACAAAAATTAGCCAGGTGTGGCAGGTGTCTATAATCCCAGCTCCTTGGGAGGCTGAGACAGGAGAGTCGCTTGAACCTGGAAGGCAGAGGTTGCAGTGAGCCAAGATCACACCATTGCACTCCAGCCTGGGTGACAAGAGTGAAAAGCCATCTCAAAAAAAAAAAAAAAAAAAAAAAACTTCCTCTTCCAGGAAGCCTTCTCAGACCTCTCCTAGCCAGTATCTTCTGGGTGACATTCCATAACACACCACAGCAGTTACCACATTTGACCTGCTTACTGATGGGCTACTATACATTTGTCTTCCCCACCAGTGTACATGCTTCCTGAGGCCAAAGATGATGTCCTGCTCTTCATATATTTCACAACACCTAGCACTGTCCTCATATACAGCAAACACTTGATGAATGAATGAATGAATGAATGAATGTATAAGCACATGAAAGATCAAATGAAACAGCTAAAACAAGATACTATTCTTAAACTCGAGCACTAAAGTTAAACTCATACTTCAAAGCTTAAACTTTTAATTTTTAAATGCAGATAGATTTTCCCCAAAAATATCAATTAACTTGGCAAATGTTAACTCCAAAGACAGAAATGAAGCTTGTTTCTCCCTGCAGTCACAGCTGCTGACTCTGACTCCAGGAGCAAAGCGTTGGGGGCCTTCCATCTCCTTCTGAGTATCTTCTTTTGAGTCATGGAAAAAAGATACGGCTGTGCACGTGGCCAAACTTCTTTGATATGCTTCCTCAAAAGACACAAACAACATACTCATTTTTAAAAATGGAAATTTAGGCCGGGTGCAGTGGCACACACCTGTAATCCCAGTACTTTGGGAAGCTGAGACAGGCAGATCACTTGAGTCCAGGAGTTTAAGACCAGCCTGGCCAACATGGCGACACCTCATCTCTATTTAAAAAAAAAAAAAGGCCAGGAGAGGTGGCTCCCGCCTGTAATCCCAGCACTTTGGGAGGCTGAGGTGGGTGGATCACTTGAGGTCAGGAGCTTGAGACCAGCCTGGCCAACATAGTGAAACCCCAACTCTACTGAAAATACAAAAATTAGCCAGGTGTGGTGGCAAGCGCCTATAATCTCAACTACTCAGGAGGCTGAGGCAGGAGAATTGCTTAAACCCGGGAGGCAGAGGTTGTAGTGAGCCGAGATCGCACCACTGCACTCCAGCCTGGGTGACAGAGTGAGACTCTGTCTCAAAAGAAAAACGTGGAAATGTAAAAGAGGTATTGCAGAACATAAGAACATTCATACTTATTTTTGTTTTCCTGGATTCAGACATTAAATCGACTATTCAATGCCCAAAGACATCCTAGTTTAGTGCTGCAGCACTATGAAACACAAAGAAGTGTGTTTTCTCTGCTCTTCATCCACATCACTATAACCCTCTTCCCAGTTTTATCTCTATTCTAGAAAAATGTTCTCAGTGGCAGCTTACAAAAAAAAAAAATACAATTTTGGCCTATAAAATGGAGTTGATTCCTTTTGTAACACCACCAGCTAAATGCCATATACCAGCTAGGGAAGGGATACTGGTATAATTCAAACTAAATTGCAAGACTTTTTCTTCAAAAAGACTTCAAATCATAGTGGAACAAGATGGAATTTTGGTTTCTTGTCACTTTTTCACCAAGCATAGTGCCTAACATGTATATTGCCAAGCACAGTGGTTTAATAATTGGGAGAGGGGGCACTAGGTTTGGGGGACCTGGATTGAAATCCTGAGTCTTAGTAGCTTTGCGACTTTGGGTACATTACATAACTTTGCTAAGCCATGGTGTACTAATTACACAGCAACACTGTGGTTATTGAGCTGCACTGATGTACAATTTTTTGCTGAAAGATGTGATAGAAGAAAACAGACAATATAAGGCCAGCTATGGAGTCGATACTCAATCTATGTGTTCATCTTCATCATGAAATCAAGATCCCTCCATTTATTCAGTTAATGTTTACCGTGTCTCTACTATGTGCCAGCTACTATTTGCAGCACCTGGAGATAAACCAGTGGACAAAACCAACAAAATGATCTCTGGGAGCTTACATTCTGGTGTGGAGATTCACTTTAACATAACCTTTCTGACCCTTTCCCAAAATAGGTGCAAGTGGAATCTAGAAAATAAATGTTGCCAAGTCTTCTGCCCAGATATCATGAAAATACAGAAGCACCACACAGCTGACTTTGTAAAAATCTTCAAAAGCTTTGTTCATGAAATGCTTTATCTACATCAACTCAATGCAGAGGCACAATTCATAAAGATAAGGCTAACAGAAACACAAAAATTCTTTCACTTATTTTTATTTAATTATTTATTTATTTATTTACTTCAGATGGAGTCTCACTCTGTTGCCCAGGCTGGAGTGCAGTGGTGCAATCTTGACTCACTGCAACTTCTGCCTGCCAGGTTCAAGCGATTCTCCTGACTCAGCCTCCTGAGTAGCTGGGATTACAGATGCCCACCACCAGGCCTGGCTAATTTTTGTATTTTTAGTAGAGACAGGGTTTTGCCATTTTGCCCAGGCTGGTCTCGAACTCCTGACCTCAGGGGATCTGCCGGCCTCGGTCTCCCAAAGTCCTGGGATTACAGGTGTGAGCCACCGCACCCAGCTTTCACTTATTTTTAAATTCTTGTGAATTATGTCCAGTTATTCTGACGACATACAGACTGTCCCACCTAAAGACACATAAGCATGCTGTGTCCTTCCTGTCCCATGCTCAGCGTCCGCATCCATCACCTCTCCTAAGGCAAGCTGGCCATGCCCACTCACGATAAATGACAGAGCCACCATGGCCAGAGGCAGGACAAACACATGCCTCCCCTTTACAAGGCTGTGAGGGATACAGAAACATTAATATCATGGCTCATGCCCTTAGATGGCCCACAATCACCCCACATGGGTGACAGCAAATGGCTAGTGCTGTCAATCAGGCATGGGTGCCCACACCAAGGAGAGACCTGACTTTGGTAAGTGAAACAAAGTTAGTCCAAAAAAGAAGCGCAATCACATTTTTTATTCTGGGGGAAAAGGAGTATGTCACCAGAAAGTTCCTTTCCAGAATATTCTTTGAAACTGTGTCATATCACCTTCTCCAGTGCCTCCACGACCTCAGCTTGATAAAGAACTGCTCCCCACCTGCCTCTGGTCTCACTCTGAGCATGCTGCTCAGACACAGAGAATGCTATTCCCCACCTGCACTTTCTGAGGAGCGCTGCAACTCACGCAACACAAAGAAACAAAACAGGAAGAAATAGCAACACTCTAAACACATGCATTATTTTCATTTTGCTGTCATCCAGGAAACATCAGGGCATCAACTGAAGGCAAGCACGCTGACCATGGTCCACGGCATGCTGCATCTGGTGCATGTCCGGTAAACCAAATCCCAGCAGGGACCCCCAACCCTGGAGTTCTCCAGCTCTGCTGCTCACAGGAATCTCCTGGGGCTTTAAAAACCCTGATGCCCAGGCTGCACCCCAAACCAATTAAATCTGACTCTCTGGCAGAGGGAAGCGAGTGTCAGCTGAGAAGGGTGAGAATCAGCGTCCTAATTCTTGTTTCTCTAGCTCCCCCATTAAATGTTTCAGAGGCACAATTAGTGGCTTATCCCATAATGAGATGTCACTACCAAAGCCTAAAGGAGAAAACAAACTATGACACAGATCTGATCCCAACAGCCAGTTTCAGGTCTTCTATTAAAGAACTGACCAAGGCTTTGACAACCGCTCAGCCTCTGTCTACTCATCCATAAAATGAGGATGAGTCTTGCCTGCTCTACCACGTCAGAGGGAGCTACAAGGTTCGGAGGATGGATTCAGAGTGCACATAGAACGATAAAGCTGACACAGACACACGTCACCATTCAGCACTACCAGCCCAGGCTGCAGAAGCTCCTTTCAGAGCTGTATCTTGTAGAACAGGCATCCCAAAGCCCCAGGTCATGAAGCAGTACTGGTCTATGGGCAGTAAGGAACCGGGCCACACAGGAGGAGGTCAGCGGCAGGCAAGCGAGCATTACTGCCTGAGCTCCGCCTCCTGTCATATCAGCAGCATTACATTCTCATAGGAGAGCAAACCCTATCGTAAATGGCGCGTGCAAGGGATCTAGGTTGCAACCTCCTTATTAGAATCTAACTAATGCCTAATGCCTAACTCCTGACAGCCTGAGAGTGGGCACATTGCAAAACCATCCTCACCACTGTGCCCTGTCCATGGAAAAACTGTCTTCACAAAACCGGTCCCTGGTGCCAAGAAGTCTCAGGACCACTGCTGTAGAAGATCCAGATTCCTGGCTATTTCCATACCCCAGGAGACAGACCCACTTTCCTGATCTTAGTGACCAGAACAGGACCAGCTTGTTTATGCAGTAAGTGAGATGCAAGGCTGCTTGTGGCACAACGAGACGAAGACCACTGGAAGATGCCTCCCCAAAATACTGAAAACACTAATGCTGTAGAAAAGCAGCAAAGGGAAATGGTCTAAAGTAAATAAGGAGTTTTAAATAAAGTAAATAAAGGAAAAGAATTTTAAAATACTCATTTTCGGTTTTTTTTTTTTATGTTTTTTTTTCGTTAGTTTTTTTTTTAATTATACTTTAAGTTTTAGGGTACATGTGCACATTGTGCAGGTTAGTTACATATGTATACATGTGCCATGCTGGTGCACTGCACCCACTAACTCGTCATCTAGCATTAGGTATATCTCCCAATGCCATCCCTCCCCCCTCCCCCTACCCCACCACAGTCCCCAGAGTGTGATATTCCCCCTCCTGTGTCCATGTGATCTCATTGTTCAATTCCCACCTATGAGTGAGAATATGCGGTGTTTGGTTTTTCGATCTTGCGATAGTTTACTGAGAATGATGATTTCCAATTTCATCCATGTCCCTACAAAGGACATGAACTCATCATTTTTTATGGCTGCATAGTATCCCATGGTGTATATGTGCCACATTTTCTTAATCCAGTCTATCATTGTTGGACATTTGGGTTGGTTCCAAGTCTTTGCTATTGTGAATAATGCCGCAATAAACATACGTGTGCATGTGTCTTTATAGCAGCATGATTTATAGTCCTTTGGGTATATACCCAGTAATGGGATGGCTGGGTCAAATGGTATGACTTCAAACTATACTACAAGGCTACAGTAACCAAAACAGCATGGTACTGGTACCAAAACAGAGATATAGATCAATGGAACAGAACAGAGCCCTCAGAAATAACGCCGCATACCTACAACTATCTGATCTTTGACAAACCTGAGAAAAACAAGCAATGGGGAAAGGATTCCCTATTTAATAAATGGTGCTGGGAAAACTGGCTAGCCATATGTAGGAAGCTGAAACTGGATCCCTTCCTTACACCTTATACAAAAATCAATTCAAGATGGATTAAAGATTTAAACGTTAGACCTAAAACCATAAAAACCCTAGAAGAAAACCTAGGCATTACCATTCAGGACATAGGCATGGGCAAGGACTTCATGTCCAAAACACCAAAAGCAATGGCAACAAAAGACAAAATTGACAAATGGGATCTAATTAAACTAAAGAGCTTCTGCACAGCAAAAGAAACTACCATCAGAGTAAACAGGCAACCTACAAAATGGGAGAAAATTTTCGCAACCTACTCATCTGACAAAGGGCTAATATCCAGAATCTACAATGAACTCAAACAAATTTACAAGAAAAAAACAAACAACCCCATCAAAAAGTGGGCGAAGGACATGAACAGACACTTCTCAAAAGAAGACATTTATGCAGCCAAAAAACACATGAAAAAATGCTCATCATCACTGGCCATCAGAGAAATGCAAATCAAAACCACTATGAGATACCATCTCACACCAGTTAGAATGGCAGTCATTAAAAAGTCAGGAAACAACAGGTGCTGGAGAGGATGTGGAGAAATAGGAACACTATTACACTGTTGGTGGGACTGTAAACTAGTTCAACCATTGTGGAAGTCAGTGTGGCGATTCCTCAGGGATCTAGATCTAGAACTAGAAATATCATTTTCGTTTTTTTTCCCCCTAGAGAGCTTGTTAAAACACATGAAACATTCTTTTTTTTTTTTTTTTTTTTTTTGACACAGGGTTCACTCAGTCACCCAGGCTGGAGTGCAGTGGTGCGATCAGAGCTCACTGTAGCCTCAACCTCCCTAAGCTCAGATGATCCTCCCACCTCAGCCTCCCAAGTAGCTAAGACTACAGGTACATGCCACCATGTCCAGCTAATTTTTTCTATTTTTTGTAGAGACGGGTTTTCACCACATTGCTCAGGCTGGACTCAAACTCCTGGGTTCAAGTGATCCACCATGACCTCCCAAAGTCCTGGGATTACAGGCATGAGCCACCACGCCTGGCCGAAACATGCATTCTAAACTAGAAGTTTTAAAATAGCATCCCAGGGCTAGAACGGGTGTTCTAAAACATTTTTAATTAGTTGCCAACATATTTAAAATAATATTTTACATGAGAGCCTGGATTTCCCACTTCTCTCAAAACACAGGAATGAAAATGCTGGCTGATGTGATGAAAATAATCAAGCTTACTTTGAACAAAACATGATTTAACCCAGCTAGGAGCACATTAGGTTTGACTGTCCAGGTTTTCTAATTTCTTATTTAGGATTTAGTGAAGAAACCACCAGTGAGGGGCTTTCTCTTCTTTTTTTTTTTTTTTTGAGATGCAGTTTTGCTCTTGTTGCCTAGGCTGGAGTGCAATGGCACGATCTCAGCTCACTGCAACCTCCGCCTCCTGGTTCAAGCAATTCTCCTGCCTCAGCCTCCTAAGTAGCGGAGATTACAGGCACTCGCCACCATGCCCGGCTAGTTTTGTATTTTTAGTAGAGATGGGGTTTCACCATGTTGGTCAAGCTGGTCTCAGTCTCCTGACCTCAGGTGATCTCCCGCCTCAGCCTCCCAAAGTGCTGGGATTACAGGCATGAGCCACTGTGCCTGGCCGAGGCGCTTTCTCTCTCCTTTCCTCCTGTCTTTCCAGTGTGGGCCGCATCTCTCCAGCTTTCATTCCTTCTGACTCCTTGCTGGTGCCTGTACCTCCCAAGGCCCTAAAGGTGTGCAACTTTTGAAGAATGAGGCTGCCAATCCCTGGAGCTGTAAAGCAGGGACAATAATAGCAGGTTCTTATCATTGAAGAATTCATCCCAGAATCCTTGAAATCGAATACACTACCACAGTTTGCAGACAGAAATGAAAGAAATAACCTTGTCCTTAAGCCAGAAGGGCTTGAGGTAAGAAAGCCCTCTGATATCATCAGTGTTCCTTGCAATCAAGCATAGACAGAGAGCAACACAGGCCTGGCCTCATTTCTGTGGCTCAGCTGACCAAACAGTCTGTGCCCAAGAAAGCAGGCCCCCCTCCCACGACAGCTACAGGAGGGCAAAGGAAGGCTCAAGTTGCACCTGGTGGGACAGTTACACCTCTAATTTAGACATCATTTCAAAGAAGGAGGGTGGGCGTGGGGGCGCGGAGCTAACATATAATGTAATGCTACCCACTGTCTGAGGCCAAGAGGGCTCATCTTGAGATAACGTGATGACATCAAATGAGCAGTTCTACTTCTGTTTTACTCACGTCCTCAACTCTCAAGCATCACTCTTCCACTCTTTTGTGATTAATCATGCCTTTTAATTCAGCCTTGTCTCTCCTGCACATGGACACTTCCTCTGAGTCCCCCTTAGGTTTCATGGCTCTGTCTGCATTTTCAAAGCTTGACAAACCCAGCTCAGCACTTGAAATAGGAAGCTCCCTAACACAAGGAAGCCTTTAGCTTCCTATAAGTCATACAGAGAAGGGAATTGAGAACAGCTACATGTGCCTCTGAAAATAAACAAGTGGATAAAATCATATCACGCTGAAGCCAGAGAACTCAAACTGCTGGTATCATCCCAGCATATGCAATATTAACACGCAGCCATTATGAGCTTCGTTGAGGTTTTCAGGTGAGGCCTCTGGGCCTCCCACATGCTGCTCCATCCACCACTACACCTGTTGTCCCAGGCTAGTCTCCACTTCAGGTCTGTCTCTCCAAGTACCCTTCCTGATGCCACAAGTCTGTTAGACCCAACCCCCCACCATGGGCTTCCACAGCACCACAGCATCCAGTACAACAAAGGCAAGAACTGTGCCTAGCTTGGAGACCACTGTATCCTGACACGCAGCCCAGAGGTTTTTAAAGGTCTTGGGGGGCTCTGCAAGGTTAAAATTATTTTCATTATGACACCAGCATATTATTTGTCTTTTTCACACTCACATTTCTGATAGCTAAGGAAATATGTGCTTATATATTCCTATGTTTTAACTTTCTATTTTAATTTATTATTTTTTTTTAAGACAGAGTGCAGTGGTGTGATCTTGGCTCCCTGCAACCTTCTGGGTTCAAGCAATTCTCCTGCCTCAGCCTCCTGAGTAGCTGGGATTACAGGTGCCTGCCACTACACCCAGCTAATTTTTGTATTTTCAGTAGAGACAGGGTTTCATCGTGTTGGTCAGGCTGGTCTCGAACTCCTGACCTCAAGTGATCCACCCACCTCGGCCTCCCAAAGTGCTGGGATTACAGGCATGAGCCACCGTACCCGGCCTCTATTTTAATTTCTAATGTGGCCTCCCACCTCTCCAGTCTCCACTCTCACCACCCATCTGAAGTTTCAGCCATTTCGTGAGACTTTGTAGCTCACAGTCATACTCCAGAGCCTGGGGTCTCTGTACGCTTTCTGCTTAAAATGCTACTGCCAGCCTTGTCTGTTGGCTGACTCATCCTGCCAGGGAGCCCTGCCCTCAGTGCTGATGTCCTCTAGGGTGTTTCTCCAGCCCTCCCAAGGAGCTCTACTCAATGCCTCCTGACCCCCACGCTGTCACGCCTTGAATGCAACATTATTAACTAGAGAACTTGTGAGGCTTTCTTTGTTTCTGTTGTTCCCACAAGATCATGAGCTACTTGAGGGTGGGGATCGTACCCTTACTCATCTCTAGCCAAGAAAAGCTCTGTGGCTTTTATTGAGCCCAATGGAGAGACAGACATTGAGCCTAAGAGAGTATCTACTGTTCACCAGCTAAGCCTATTTGGACCTCAATAGCTCAACTTCCCCCAAAACACCTTGCTTGTAAACATAAGCTCACATTGATGTTCCTTTCTCCAGACACCTACTGTACTTTACTATCTACACAGCAGAACTTAGAACTCAGTGACTAGTAGACTTTGTCTATTCATTATTTAGTTATGTAAGATTCTTCTCCACATTCATAGCAACAGTGGTCCACCTGCAGCAACCGCTACCAAGACGCTGGCTACAGCGGGGGAGGTGCAGCTGGGCTGCATGCTCCACAGAGCCAGCAGGAGCCAGGAGCAGACAGGAGCAGACAGGAGCAGACAGGAGCCCAAAGCAGGAAGGAGTCCTGCACTGTCGCAGCCCAGCCAGGTGTGCGCACACTTAGGGAAGCACTGACATGCCAGTCCACAGCCACTTCAGCCCCCTCCAGACTTTTAGCACTGATGAGCATGGGAGGGAGGCTGAGGTGGGGCTGAGGGCAGCTCAGCGCCGGCCTGCAGGCACCCCTTGGCATGAACAGCCTGGGCACCATGAACAGCAGCAGGAGACAGGCAGGCTCCTGGGTAGAAAGAAGGAGGTGGGTCCTGGGTGAAGCCCCAGCTTCAAACTGAGGAGGACATGAAGCCTGCGGACCAGGCTGCCAATCCTGCAGAGTGGAGTGGGAACTTGTGGTTTTTTGCCGGGCCCACCCATAGCCACCTATGGACCAATCTGCACATATTTCCTCCCCTATGAGGCCCATAAAAGCCCAGGATTCAGCCAGACTCGAAAAGACAATGACCTGCCAGCTGCCGAGAGGATTTACCCACTCCAGGGTCTCCTCTCTGCTGAGAGCTGAACATTCAACAGATGACCTGCCTGCAGAGTGGAGCTACCCACTCCAGGGTCTCCTCTCTGCTGAGCGCTGAACGCTCATCGGGACACCCTGCCTGCTACCCAGTGCGGGTCTCCTTTGAGCTGTCTGTCGCTCAATAAAGCTCCTCTTTGCCTTGCTCACCCTCCACTTTCCCATGTACCTTATTCTTTCTGGACACAGGACAGGAACTTGGGACCCATCAAATGGTGGGGCTAAAACAGCTGTAGCATGAACAGGGCCAAAACATGTCCCTTGCTCACCACGTTGCAGGCAACAAAAAGGAGAGAAGAGGGGAGAGAAGAGCTGTGGCCCTCTAGGGAGCCCAGGCCTAGGAGCTCCCTGAGCCAGGGCTGTCACACCCTCTTTGGGGCTCTGTGGTTTCTGGTGTCTCCGAACTTCCAGGTGCTACCACATTCCCCAGTGCCAGCCACGGAAGCTGTTTGCAGTACATCTGGTCCAGCTGCAGCCTTGCAGGGAGCTGGCGCCCATGCCAGCACCTGGAGTTGCCCACCCCACTGCAGTCAGCACGCCTGGCTGTGAGCAGTAGCTGGACCCCACACTCGCTCACACACCCTTTGCCGCTCCATGCCTGGCTTGCCCTTGGCAGGCATGGGATCCAGGCTGGTAGCACAAGCTGAGCACAGCCTGCCAGGCTGAGTGGACAGAATGAGCCTGAGCAAAACTTGGGCAAAGGTGCCACTGGCCACAAAGGTTTCCAGCTGGCAAAATGACACCCCAAGGATCCCATACCAACATCACCACAATATTCATGTAAAACCCTAGGTACAAGACAAAATTGTAATGTTGCATTCATTGTGCTTACTCTGTGCAAGCACTTCACAGCCATTAATTCCTTAAGTCCTCAAAATAACCCTATGAATAAGGAACATATGATCCTCCTCACTGTACAGAAGAGGATATGAGACGAAATCAGAAGACAGAGTGCCACGTATAAAACAATGCAGGTGGTTAGTGGCAATGGCAAGATGTAACCTGAGAACCTACCCTTCCACATGCATGCCTCTGCCACACTCTGCACTGTACTGGGCATGATGCAAAAGTTCGGGATTATGAGGCTAATGACATCCCCAAAGAAACCTTACTGACTTAATCAAGCCATAGACCAAAGGCCATCCTCCAAGGAAAAGCTCATAAAAGGAAAAAGCAGTTTCTCACATGCAGAAAGCACTTAATGTCTGCTGACCAGATGAATAAACAAATAAAAACAAAGCAAATCAATAAATACAAATATGCTTCAAGGGCTTAAGAAGATGGTATAGAAAAATACATCACCTTTATTCAGTACTGATTAGTGATAGCTACCTCTCAAAAGTCAGAGAAGGGAAAAGGGAAAAGGGGGAAGATGGCAAAAACAAAAACAACCACAAAATTTTCTCATTCTTCAAAATCAAAACAGAAAGGAATTCAAGCCAAGATCAAATCAAAGACAATCAAATCAGTTTCATGAGCACTTAGGCTCTAGAGAAGGAGGAATGGATTATTTCTACTGACTCATTAATTCATTTATTAGTCATTAGAAAGGGCAGAAAATCTGAAAACTATTTGTTGGTAGAAAACATAGGCTATGTTACCCTGGAAACAAGGTTCCCTTGGGGAAAAGCTTGCCTTGGAGTATTCCTAAATTCCCTCCTTTACCATCCTCCCCCTTCCAACACTGGGCCACTCATTAGACACTGATAACATCAGCCCCCACCTCCCCAGCTCATCTTCAGAGGTGGTCCAGTACCAACAGAATAAAGGCTGTTCATCTCAGCACTAGAAGAAACTTACAGGTCACTTGGGTGCAACTTCTTTACATGACACTCTAGCTGGTGATCAGCCTCACCAAAAACAAAAACAAAGAAACAGCACAACCAGGTGGTATCACACCTGTCTCCTCAACAGAATGGCTCTCCACATTCTCACACCGCTCTGCCATGAACCAACTGGTCACTAACTGGCTACCCGGAGACTCCAGAGAGCAAGGACTATGCCCACTGTGGCCTCGATGCAAAACACGATGCTTTGCACTCTATATGTGGTCAGTAAATGCTTGCTGAGTGAATAATCATGACTGTATACATCCATGCCTCTTGCGCAAATCACTGTGTGTCTATTCTTGCCCCCTGGGATTCTGTTCTCCATTAGCAGCACAAGTGACCTTTTGACAACATATGTCAGGCCAACACATGTTCTCACTCCTCCAATGGCCCTACCACACTTAAAACCTAAGACTTTAGGTGGCTTAATAGGCCCTATATGAGCCACACTTCCCTATTCTGGGCCCACAGACCTCCCTGCACCCATTGCATGTTCCAGGCATGCTCCTGACACACAGCCTCTGCACTGGCTGTTACTTCTGCCTAGAATATTCTTCCCAGATATTCCCACGGTTCATTACCTTACTTCCTTCACCAATCACCTACACAGCCAGTCCTTCCCTGACCACTGTTATCTGTGGTTAGCTACCCCTTTACTGTGCTTTATTTTCTTTATAGAATGTTCCCACTTACCACTACCTTATGATCTTTTGTTCACTCACTAGACCTGTGCTGTCCAATATGGCAGCTACTAGCCACATGTGGCTACTGAACACCTGATATGTGACTAATCCAAATTGAGCTGTGCTGTAAGTACAAAATCATGCCAGATTTTAAAGATGTATTTACCATGAAAAATGTAAAATATCTCATTAATACTATATATAGTATTAATATTAATCATTAATATTAATCATTAATACTATATATATTAATACTATATATATATACACACACACACACATACTAATACTATATATATGTTTTTTGAGATGGAGTCTCTCTCTGTCACCCAGGCTGGAGTGCAGTGGCGCAATCTCGGCTCACTGCAACCTCCGCCTCCCAGGTTCATGCGACTCTCCTGCCTCAGTCTCCAACTAGCTGAGATTACAGGCGCCTGCTACTACGCCCGGCTAATTTTTGTAATTTTAGTAGAGATGGGGTTTCACCATGTTGGCCAGGCTGGTCTCAAACTCCTAATCTCAAGTGATCCACCTGCCTCAGCCTCCCAAAGTGCTGGGATTACAGGCATGAGTCACTGCACCTAGCCCACTGTGCATTTTTTATGTATAATCTACCCCATATAGTCATCACAGTAACACCAGAGGAAGAGGGCAAGAAGGGAGGACTATTAAAGTCATGTTTCAGAAGAAGAATCTGAGGCTCAGAGAAGTACAATAATACATCCAAGCTCACAAAATGAGCAAGTGGCAGACTCAGAATGCAAACCCATGTCTTCCAGCCTCAGCCCCTGGCACCTGGTCCTCCACTCGAAGCCCAGGCTGGCAGCCAGCAGACAGCATCATACCCAGAGAGAGTATCTGTTTGGCCTGCATGGTTTCCTTGTTTGGTTGTTTGTTTCCGCTAAAATCCTTGCCAATATTTGAAAATTTAGGGATTTTAACAGTACGGGTTCCCATTTTTCATTCAACACCTGAACACTTGGTACACGCCAAGCACAAGGAGCATAATCCAAGAACAAGACAGAAATGGTCCCAGTGCTCACAGAGGGACTCAGACTATAAACCAGTAAGTAAGGAAAATACCTAAGAGGCCAAATTTTGATAAGTGCTGTAAACGAGGAAAAATAGAGGGGGGACAGGAAACACCAGCAATAGGGGGCACTATTTTCAATGGAATAACTGAGAAAGCCCACATTGAAGAAGCGACATTTGAACAAAAACTCAAGAGAGAAGGAGTGGGAGATGCGGACATCTGGAGAAAGAACACCTCCAGCAGACGAGTGGCAGGTGCCGAGGTCCTGAATGGCATCACTGATCAGAATGGAGAAACATCATCTCTCTAGACACAGAGTGTGGCAGAAAGAGACAACTTCCCCTGTTGGGTATAGAATTGTTACTGGAACGTGGCTCCTAGCCAGTAACAACAGGTTCCCAGCCTTCCCTGCATCCGGCGTGGCCATGTGACTATTCTCACCAATGAAGGGTGAGCATTATTGATGTGTCTCTCCCACACCAAAGCAGCCAAGAAGAAGGTGTGCCTCCTCCACCCTCTCCCCTCTTCCGCTGGCTAAGCAGAGAAGACTGTGAGGCCCCAGAGGTATAAAAGAGGCTCCAGGATATAGAAGAAAAACCACCTGCTGACCAGGAACTGCAGATCATCATCTGTTTACATGGCAAAAGATAAACTTCTTTGGTATCTTTAGTGAGAGCCACGAAAATGTGGGGGTAGGGTGGGTGCGATGGCTCACGCCTGTAATCCCAACACTTTGGGAGGCCAAGGCGGGAGGATTCACTTGAGGCCAGGAGTTCCAGACCAGCCTGGCCAACATGGCAAAACCCTGTTTCCATTAAAAATACAAAATTTAGCTGGGTGCGGTGGTAGGCGCCTGTAATCCCAGCTACTCTGGAGTCTGAAGCACAAGAATCGCCTGAACCTGAGAGGCAGAGGCTGCAGTGAGCCCAGATCATGTCACTGCACTCCAACCTAGGCAACAGAGCAAGACTCAAAAAAAAAAAAAAAAAAAAAAAACCAAGTGGGGGTAAATTTGTTATGGAAGCTAGCAAGTGCCCTCCACAGCCTATTATCTCCCTGATTGTGAAGATGAAAATATATTTATTTTTATTTATTTTCTCCTCTCTGCTCACGGTTTCTAATGTGGAATTATTCCAGGTCTGCCTGGTCCCTATAGGCATTGAGTTTGCAACCCTTGTACTATATATTTAACTAATTCTGCCTAAAACCAATACTTGCCACACCACTGAGACCTGTCTTCCTCCAACTCACTCTAAACTCCAACCCTTTCCATCCCACCAAGAATCAAAATGCCCCACGTCTCATTTGATAAGTGAAAGTAAACAATTAATCCAATCAAGGTGTTAACAGCCCAAATTGCCTATCCATAGTCCATCAAAGGATGCCAGGAGGCATAATTCCTCAATCTTTTGAATGGACAGAGGTATTCTGGAGGAAATGCCGTCTACTCTTACCCTAAATATGGTTATCAGCATAGGCAAAGTTGCCCCTAATACCAAAAAAAGTCTTAACTAAGAATGTTTCACACAGCTGGGTTTAACAAAAACAAAACAGCAACAACAACAACAAAGACTGTTTATGCCTGTAATCCCCACATGCTGGGAAGGCCAACACAGAAGGATCACTTGAGCCCAAGGATTCAAGACCAGCCTGGGCAACATAAGGAGACCCCATCTCTACAAAAAAAAAAATTTAAATTACTAATAGCTGGGTGTGGTGGTGCATGATTGTAGTCCCGGCTCCTCAGGAGGCTGAGGCAGGAGGTTCACTTGAGCCCAGCAGGCTGAGGCTACAGTGAGCTGTGATCATGCCACTATACTCCAGCCTGGGTGACAGAGCAAAAAAGACCTTGTCTCAAAAAAAAAATGCTTTACATGATAATAAAATGAATTTTGTTATCTTGGACTGGATCCTGGACCAGATAAAAGACATTGCTGGGGCAATCTGAGAAATCTGAATAAAGTCTATTCAGATTTGTATTCAAATAATGATACAACATTCAAATAATGTTGTATCAATATTACTTTCCGGTTTTGATAATTATAAGATAGTTATAGAAGAAAAGAACATTCAAAGAAGTTGGGTAAAAGGTACATGGGAACTCTGTATTATTTTTGCAAATTCTTATAAATACTTCAAAATAAAAAGTTAAAAATATTTTTAAAAAAAGAAAGAAAAGCACCTTAATTGAATCATCACATGTGAGCACCAGCCAAGGACCACTGATACCTTCTCACAAGGGCCCATCTACCTCGTCAAATGAAAACACCAACTTTAGGGAAAAGGATGAGAACAGACCAGATATTTTCGTAAAGCCTTATCTGGCAAATTGATTGAATTTGAGCTAGTCTCCATCACCTAGAATCATTTTTTCTTGACAGTTCCCTGGGGAACTTTTAAGTCCTGCTCTGAGGAAGTTCACACAGTGACTTAACTGTGTCCCAGGCAGAATCCCTGTGATGGCTTAGACTTTGTCAATAAGAATCAGCAGGTGCAGTGAGGTGAGACCACAGGCCCCTGGGGCAAAGGACACCAAGTTCCTGAGAGCAGGCATCCCATGGAGGGTTCAGAATCCTACACTCTTAAAAGTTTAAAATCTTGATCTGAGCAATGGCTCAAGCCTGTAATTCCAACACTTTGGGAGGCCAAGGCAGGCGGATCACCTGAGCTCAGGAGTTCAAGACCAACCTAGGCAACATGGTGAAACCCCTTGTCTAAAAGAAATACAAAAATCACTCAGCTACTTGGGGGGCTGAGGCTGAGGTGGGAGGATCGCTTGGGCCTGGGAGGTCAACGCTGCAGTGAGCCATTTTCGTGCCACTGCACTCAAGCCTGGGTGACAAAGTGAGATATTATCTCAAAAAAAAAGAAAAAAAGCTCTAACCAGCTAACAAGAGGAAACGGAATTGGCAGTCACTCTGACGGCATGATGTCTCAGTGTTGTCTCGAGTAACAAAATCAGATTTTACCAACTTCTTCTCTGGATAATAAATTCACTTCATCAGTGTTTTTTTCAAACTATGAATCATAAAATCATTTTAGTGAGTAACAATCATCTTTTTTTAAAAAAATATAATAGAGAGGCCGGGCGCAGTGGCTCA
Organism: Homo sapiens; assembly: GCF_000001405.40. NCBI lineage: Eukaryota > Metazoa > Chordata > Mammalia > Primates > Hominidae > Homo > Homo sapiens. The sequence goes on from NC_000020.11 coordinate 16,561,027, forward strand.
TGCCTGTAATCCCTGCGCTTTGGGAGGCTGAGGTGGGTGGGTCACCTGAGGTCAGGAGTTCAAGACCAGCCTAGCCAACATGGTGAAACCCCGTCTCTACTAAAACTGCAAAAAAAAATTAGCTGGGCGTGGTGGCGGGTATCTGTAATGCCAGCTACTCAAGAGGCTGAGGCATAAGAATTGCTTGAACCCGGGAGGTGGAGGTTACAGTGGGCAGAGATGGAGCTGCTGCACTCCAGCCTGGGCCACAGAGCAAGACTCTGTCTCAAAAAAAAGTAGTAGAGAGTAGAAAATATCAGCATGCATTGAGCAGATGAATGTCTTACTGTGGATCTTGTTTGAAGCACATAGTTCTATACAATCATCATCAGCCTTCCAAAACATAAGCGCCCTTCATTTCAAATAATATGACAAATCCTTTCTCACTAAGTCAGTGGGAAAAAAAAAGTTTTAAATAGTTCTTATATTCACAATAACTTTTATTAGAAAATCTGAGGTGTGTTGCCATGAGGGGAAAATTCTTTTGCAAACTGAAGTCAAAAATTTTAAGTATCTCCCCCAAGATATTTATTAATTACAAACAGGAAAAAAAAAATAAAACATTACAGTGGAGAAACCCTGCAGATACCACCTTAACCACGTAATCAAGGTCAACATCACCAGTAGTAAGACATATTGACATCACATACCCCAGTAACATATGAAGGACACAAAATCACTTTTGTGGTATTATTGTCAAAAATTGCTTAACTTCAACGTATTTGTGATAAAACATCAGAGAAAGCCACACTGAGAACCATTCTAAAAAATAACTGACCAGTACTCTTCAAAAATTAAGGTTATGAAAAACAAGGAAAGACTTACAAACTGTCACGTACCAGAGAAGACTCAGGAGACATGCTACATTTAGATGCAATGTGGGATCCCGGATTGGATGCTGAACCAGAAGGAAGACATTAGTGGGAAAACTGGTGAAATCTAGATAAAATTTAGTTAATTTCTTCGTTTTGATCATTGTGCTGTGGTTACATAAGGCATAATATTACGGGAAGTTCGGTGAAGAGTTTATATATGGGAACTCTCTACTATTTTGCAACTTTACTATAAATCTACAATTATTTCAAAATAAAAATTTTTTAAAATATCTTTTCTGAAGAAAGAAACAAGAGTATTCTGCCCTATAAACTGTGTATCATTTAAACACAGTAAAGTGTTGTACCATAGTGCTGTACCTCCAACTCTCTAACCTTAAGGGATAAACATAATGTGCATTGGTGTGTAATATGAAGTAATCTTAATCTTCATTGGGAGTGTAATATTAAGTAAACTTAATACACGGGAAAGAGCTGAAGCTGTCCTTGTTTACCCAGGCTCTTGCTCAGCCCTCCGTCACCCCTCACGTCTTCCTAATACCCAATAGGAGGATTGTCAAGATGCTCTTTTCCTCCTCACGGAGAACAATGTGAGACATGCAACAAACGCCGTGACTACGGATCCCAATCCCTCACGAGCAACCACAGAAAGTAAGAGGCATGTGTGGAGGGTGAGTGGAGATACTTATAAATGTAACAAATACTTTCTGAGTGCTCAGGTCTTCCCGGCACAGTTCCAGGCCCCGGGGAAACAGCCATGAACAAGATCTACACGGTGACTGGCTCTCAGAGAGTTTAAGAGATAATAAGCAAACAAAAATATATTCACACATACACACACGTATACATTCATAAAATGGGGAATGTTAGCAAGCCAGAAAACCAGAGTGAGGTAATAAAGCCTTCTCTGAAGACGGGCATATGAGACAGAACCTGATCCTTCTTTGAGACTCAGTTTCCCATCTATAAGACGGATCTAATGATGTTCACCCCTGTAGAACTGTTGTGAAGAAGTGAATTAGATAGTACAGCGCAGGATTTAGCAGAATTCCTAGCAAGTGAATGAGTGGCCAGAAATAGTAATGAGTGACCAAATTACTGATCAACAATTACATTGAAAGCATTAACTTTCTCAATTTACTTTAAATTCTACATATCCCACTGAAATGTACTTAAAGTGTCTATAAATAAATGACTGATCACAGAAACAGCTATTTCCTATCTCATGGACAGCAACAATGAAAAATGAATACATTTGGAAATGGACAGAGCAAAAAACACAAATGCTCCGCCCAGGGATAATAGGAGTGACCGAAGGCAAGCTTCCTGGCCCCACTGGTGGTTACCTCCTTTGTGCTTGGATGAATGTGCGGGCTAAGTCCAAGCCAGTGCTGACCAACCTCCCTGGAAGGATTTTTTCCCCTGTCTTTTTATAACCTGAACGTGAGGAAAGGCAGTCAAAGCCACCAAAATAAATCTCTCAGTCCTCAGGAAGGAGCTAAAACACTATTACTTCTTTTCCCAGGCTACAGGTCTAAGTATAATTAACATATTCTCTTTCACAAAACAAGCTTCAGTAAGATGGCATCCCAATTCCAGAATCTGCAAAAACAGCCAAAGCTATCAAAATAACTTAGAAAAACAGTCAAGAAACAAGGAAGTATCACATCAATCAACTTTAGACCAAACTGCTATATATCACACAACTGGACATTTCTAAATAACTTCTCTCTCTCTGACAGGCAAAAAGAAACACATACACACTCGATCTCTGCCACTCCACTCTCTCCCACTCCACTCTCATGCTCACACAGTTTCCATGTTTAAAATAAAGCAACAGAAGTTTAAAACCAAATTATGTGACCCAAGTCACTCAAGAGCACCTTTTAAACTACTAATACACCTTGTATAAGTGTATTTTGCACACAAAGATATTTTAAAATATTGTATAAGGAAAAATACCAGACATTTGCATCATATTACTTATAAAGTTCACCTAAAAGAAAGAAAAAACTTCCATGCGCTCCCAACTCAAGGTGTCAGCAACAGCAGCAACTCTCCCCTCCTTTCTCTTTCCAGCCAGCAGCCCCTTCCCTCCCTTGCTCCTCCAGCCTTCTTTCACCAACCCCAAACTCCCTGTTTTCTTTTTCTCTTCTTCAAAACAAAAAGAGACAAACAAAAAAATCTGTCTTCTGCTGAGCCTGGGTTTGTCATGTCCAGGTAAGGGCTGGGATCCAGGGATGCAGACCAGGCCATGCCTCAAACATGGAGTAAAAAAGTTTCAAAAGATTACAGGAGTCCTTGCGGTAATTTGCTGAGAATGATGGTTTCCAGCTTCACCCATGTCCCTACAAAGGACAGGAACTCAACCTTTTTTATGGCTGCATAGTATTCCATGGTGTATATGTGCCACATTTTCTTAATCCAGTCTATCACTGTTGGACATTTGGCTTGGTTCCAAGTCTTTGCTATTGTGAATAGTGCCGCAATAAACATACGTGTGCATCGCAAGGACAAAAAACCAAACACCGCATGTTCTCACTCATAGGTGGGAATTGAACAATGAGAACACTTGGACACAGGAAGGGGAACATCACACACCGGGGCCTGTTGTGAGGTGGGGGGAGAGGGGAGGGATAGCATTAGGAGATATACCTAATGTTAAATGACGAGTTAATGGGTGCAGCACACCAACATGGCACATGTATACCATATGTAACTAACCTGCACGTTGTGCACATGTACCCTAAAACTTAAAGTATAATAAAAAAAAAAAAACTGAAAGAAAAAAAAGATTACAGGAGTCAACCTCTGCTTAGATGAACGGAAATGAGGCTCCCTCCTTCCTTTCATCTCTCCATTAACTGGAAGGGCAGCAACAGGCTACCTCCAATGCCCTCACAGCCCAATCACACTGCACAAGCCTCCCACAACCATGGCACTGCCTCCCACCCCTCCACAGACTTGAGCCCGACCACCTGACTGTGCAGCCTCTCACACTGGCGACCTTCCCTCCTCCCAAGCCTTGAGCCCCCTGGTCAGGCGTGACATTCTACTCTCCTGCCTTCCTCCCTTCCTCTCTCCATGCCCCTTCTCTCTCCAACTTGATCCTCCACTCCTACCTCCTGAAATCTGGCTGTCAGTAACCATAGTGAGTATAAAAGATAATAGTAACTATGATTTAGTGGACAGTTATTATATATTTATTTATTTCATCTGATCTCAACTACTTATACAGCATTATTTTATGGAAGTGGTTCTCAAATGTTGTGGCCTCAGGACGCTTTTATAGGCTTAAAAAATTACTGAGGAGGCTCAAGAGCTTTTATTAACATCAATTATATCTACTGATAGTTACCATGTTAGAAATTAAAACTGTGAAAATTTTAAACAAAATGCACAGCCCATAGAGCCGTGACATCATCACACACCATGTAGTTTCTGGAAAATTTGACTGTACCTTCATGAGAGAATGAAAAAATGGAATATAACATCTTAGTAGTACTGTGAAAACAGTTCTGACGTTGTGAACCCCCTATAAAAGAGTCTCACTGATACCCAGTTGTCCCTGGACCACACTTGGAGAATCACTGTTTTACAAAACAGAACCTGAGCCTTAAAGAGGAAAATCAACTTGCCCAGTCACTCGGCTAGCCCACTGAAGAGCTCCAGCCTGAACCCGGCTCATGCAGCACTGCTGTTACCCTTTCTCTTTCTGCTTTACCCTTCCTGAGAGACAGAATTCACTTCCACCACAGCAACTATCACCTTCCAGTGACCCATCTGCAAATGCGCATCCGCAGAGCTGATAACTCACCTGAGTTTCTACTGCCCGGAGTTCCCACCAGCACCCCGAAACAAATCAACAGACCAACACGCCCTTCTACCCACCCCAACCCGCGTAGGGCCAGCATCACTGCCTTTGGGAAAGGTCATTCTTCCACTTAATAAGGCCCCAAGCCACTCAGAGTCATCTTTGACTCCCCACTTCTCTATGTCCTGCTGACTGGTCTTTAGAATGTCTCTTGCAACTGCAAAAAGCAGGATATAGAAGTGTGTACATGACGACGTTCCTACACAAACAGGAAAAAGACTAGGTGCAAACGCACCAAAAGTTTATGAGTAGTTAGCTCCAGATCGTGGGATTATGAGCAATTTGCGATTTGATTTCTTCGGTATATTTTTCTGCATAACACATACGTTTCATAAGCATACATTATTTTCATAATCAGAAAATACAGTGATTGCTTCTTCAGGGCTTTGTTTATAAGTTTTGTCCCTTGCCTCTGCCTTTTCCAATTATAACCATGCCCAGAATCCAATCGCCATGGGTCATATTTCAGTTCTCTTTACTGTCTTCCTGCACTGGTTGTCAGCACTCAGACAGACATCTTGAACCTCAGTCTTGCGTCACGGAGTGGTGGCAGGAAAGTCAGGGAGATAATAATGCATAAAAGGCACTTTGCACAGCCCTTGGCAAATGGTAAATAAAAGTTCACCATTACTGGTGCTAGTATTATTATTTCCCTACACTACTATTAGATGAAACTTCAGAAAACACTAATTGGCGAAAGACAGCCCTGTTTTAGAACCATCAGTAGCTCACAATGCCTAATAATATACCTGATATTTACAGAACGCTTACTTTTGGGCCCAGCACTGTACGAAATGCTACCTCATTAAATTACCATTCCAGCCCCACGAGGTGGGTCCTATGGAGATCTCCATTTTACAGATGAAGAAACTGAGGCACAGACATGTTCAATAAAGTGCCAAGGTATGGAGGTAGAAAGTAAAAGAGCTGGAATTCAAGCCTTTATTCAGACTTGCTGCACAAGAGAATTTTCCAGGATGGTGGATATATTTATATCTACATTATTGAATATGTGTCTGTTGAGCATTTGAAATGTGCCTAATGCAATTAACTAAAATCCTTTTTTTATTTTATTTTATGTTAACTTAAATAGTCACATAGGTGGCCGACAGTTATACTGGCCAGCATAGGGATCTAGAGATCAAAAACCCAAATGCCCAGGCTTCACAAAGAAAAGTCCTCACAACACCCTGTCTACCTGCCTTGCAACTAATTCTTACAAAATCTTCAATTTGTCTAAAATCATTAGTGAAATAAACATGTTCCTACCTTCCAACCACCCCCTGCCCACCTCTCAACTAAGTCTTCTGTATAATGAAAGGACTTTAGGAAGTTAGAGTAGGGGAGACTTGGATTCAAATCCAGCATCATAGTATCTAGCTATGTGACCTTGGGCGGTCTTATTTCTTATTTCTGAATAAGAGACCTCCTTATTACAGTCTCTGAGCCCTTGTTCCTCATCTGTAGAATGGGCTGACAATGCCAACTTCCAAAGAGTATCAGCCAAGCACCTAACAGAAATTATCTATATGGTCGCTGGCAATATCCCTTCAGGGCTCAACTCAAGTTCCACCCTCTTATCTAAAGAGATGGCAGAAGCACTGGAGATCTCTTCCTCTAGCCTCTAGAATCCCCTAGAGGTTCCATCTCAACCGTACACAGATTCTATTGTTATTTTTGTGTGTTGTGTATTCTCTGATCGGCATTTCCCTGAGGCCATGGGCTTCTGTCATCTGTAAGCCCAGAGGCAACGTCACTACATAAAGGGCTCTGAAGGGAACCGAAGCAGCTGGCTCAACCCAGCATTATTATCTGAGGGGTCTCAGTCTCCCCTGGCTTTTATAGGTCAGTCAATTGGTGAGAGGAGGAAATGCAATTGCCAAGGTAAAGAAATAAGCATAGGGCTGGCAGCTCACGCCTGTAATACCAGCACTTGGGGAGGCTGAGGCGGGCGGATCATGAGGTCGGGAGATCAAGACCATCCTGGCTAACACAGTGAAACCCTGTCTCTACTAAAAATACAAACAAAATTAGCCGGGCGTGGTGGCGGGCGCCTGTAGTCCCAGCTACTCGGGAGGCTGAGGCAGGAGAATGGCATGAACCCGGGAGGCGGAGCTTGCAGTGAACCGAGATCGCGCCACTGCACTCCAGCCTGGGCAACAGAGCGAGACTTCGTCTCAAAAAAAAGAAATAAGTGTAGTACCTGGTACCTGGCAGTGCCTTGACAGATACTTCCCGTCCTTAATACAAGACATGTCTGTCCTCATCATCACAGACCTAAGAGGCTAACCATGAACTACTTTCCCTTTGACCTATCTTCTTTTTAAAAGAGGAAGACGTCAGTACACCCTAAAGATATCAAATCCAGGCAAAATGCCACTGGTGGTTTTTTTTCTTCTTTTTCTCTCCTGAACTTGATAGACTTGATACTAGATTCTACCTGAGAGGCTAATCAGGAAGAAAGGCTAGGAACAGTCAGAAAAGAGAAAGAATGGGGTGGATTTGCCCTATCAGATAAGCAAGCACATTATACAACATAGCTATAAAGCTGGCACATCACCAGCACTCAGTAAATATTTTTTGGCATTTTTTAAATACTTGTTTTTGAATAAAGTTACAATTATTAAACTGTAAAAATAATAGTAATGACAACAAGCACTCTTCAGGGAGCCCCTGCTGAATGCCAGGCTCTGTGTGGAGAGCTTTATCCACATGCGTTATCTCACTTGAACCCACAACAGTGTTTTTCACACCCAACTGCAGCTCTTTCGTGGATCACACCTGTAATCCCAGCATTCTGGGAGGCCAAGGTGGGAGGATCACTTGAGCCCAGGAGTTTGAGACCAGCCTGGGCGACACAGGGAGACCCCGTCTCTACAAATAATTTTAAAAATTAGCCAAGTGTGGTGGTGTGCACCAATAGTCCCAGCTACTCAGGAGCCTGAGGCAGGGAGATCACCTGAGCCCACCAGGAGGTTGAGGCTTCAGTGAGCCACGACTCTGCGCCACTGCACTCTAGCCTAGACAACAGGGTAAGACCCTGTCTCAAAAAAAAAAAAAAAAAAAAAAAAAAAAAAAAAGGCATAGCTGTGACTGTCTTAAGAAACTGACTTTGACTTTGAGCAAGTTAACTATGTGCTATGATCTGAATGTTTGTCTCCCCCTAAAATTCAAATATTGAAACCTAACCCCTCACTGAGATAGTATTAAGAGGTAGGGCCTTTGGGAGGTGATTAGGTCATGAGGTCCTTGTGAATGGGATTAGTACCCTTATAAAACAGGCCCAAGGGAGTCTGTTTGCTCCTGCCACGTGAGTACACAGCAAGAACCTACCATGTATGAGGACCTGGCTCTCAGAAGACAGCCAGACAGCCTATCTGCTGGCACCTTGATCTTGGATATCCCAAGCTTCAGAACTACGAGAAGTAAATGCTTGTTGTTTATAAGCCACCCAGTTTACAGTATTTTGTTAGAGCAGTCCAAACACACTAAGAAACTCTGTCTCCCAATCTGTAAAATGGCATAACAATAATGTCTCTACCTGCCAAGATGGCTGCAAAGATTAAACTGGATTTTGTACCTGGAGCTAGGACCAGAGAGTCTGGCACAGAGTCAAGTCTCAATAAAGGTGGCTACCATTTTGCCTACGTAACAGAATCACTTCCGCATTTGAAATGAGTATTACTGCCACATAATTGAAAGCCATAAGGCAATAAAAATAAACTCATCACATCTTGGCCTGAATCAAGCACTCATATTCCTTACAAGGCTGACTGATTACTGCAAAGGCCCCTAGTTTAGAAACTCAGTCAAACTCAATACTCCACCACCAGCAGTCCTTACTTTCCAATAACTCTGGGACTTGTTTTTCTGTAGGTTGCTTTCCCTTTGCCTGAGGCTCCACTACTCTAAAAATAAACATTAAAAACATTAACAACTTCCTTCAATCCTCCTCACAACCAACTGAAACTTCTCCAGTGCCAATGAATTTTGTAGGTGACTTTTTAAAATTACCTAAATAAGCACTGCTGGGTTAATAATTAATTCTAAGTATTAATTATAAAACTACGCATGAGGAAAGTAAAAACAAACAGTAAAAAAAAAGCCTTTCATCTTTGCCTAATGGATTCATCATCAGTCCTCCTCTTTAGAGGTATCAGTGTTAGGTTTCTTACAAACCATTACATATAGATGAATCTGTGTGTGTGTGTGTGTGTGTGTGTACATTTGTTAGCACACACAAACACACAACTTTACTCCACTGTGGATATCTTGCTTTTCTCAATCCTCTACCTTGGAACTCTTTTAAGATCAACACCCTCTTTTTAAGACTTGCATAATAATCCACCAAATGATTTACGCTATAACTTAACAAATTTCCCAATTTTGTATATTAAGGTCACTTATGATTTTTTGTTATCAATGATGATGCAAAAATCATCATCTTTACACATATATCTTTGTAGGCAGCAATATAATCCATATAATAAAAATTAGAAATTAGAAAAAGTAGAAATGAAATGGTCAAATCAAAAAGTTTATAGATTTCCAATTTTTTAAGGGAAGCATTTTCTGCTTAAGTATACAGATTTCTAATCTTGACAGCTACTGTCAAATTTCCCAATATGAAAGTTTCAGATGTTTTGATCCCTTATGCTTCCGTGATCAATGCAGAGGCGTCTGTTTCATCACTCCTGTACCAGCAATTGGTGCTCAGTTAATATTTATCAATCTCACTGGTAAAAAAATGGCATTTTATCACTATTATAGTATGCATGTCTTTCCTTATAAATTAGGTCAAGTATATTCAGTTGCCAATTTATATATCTCTTTCTACTCACTGCCAACTTCTGAATCATTGACTCTCCTTAAAAGTACTGTTGGGAAGGTTATCAACTAGCCTTGTCTTCAAGACCAAGGACACCATCTTATTCTCATCATCCTGGCAATATTTGACACTAACCCCCACCACCTCCTTCAGGATGCTCTTCTCCCTTTCCTGCCATGACCATTTGCTGTGCTGGTTCTCCTTTACGGACTGCAAGCCAATCTTCTCCCTGAAATCCTAAAGAGGGGCATATCCCAATGTCCAATCCCTGGCTCCCTTTTCTTCTCACGTAACATCCTTAAATTGTGGTTTATGTGCAAAAGATTTCCAAATGTCGATCCTCAAATCACCTGAGACCTAAACCCACATTTTCAGCTTTCTGCTGAACATCTCTAGCAGAGGGATGGATGTCCTTCCCACACTTCAGATAATGAACAAGGTCAACATGCGTGAAACACTTGCTCTGTGCTTGTACTTGACACTTAATACATCTCATGTAACTCTCCACATCCAAGAGAGAACATACCAACTTCATTGTCCACCTTCCTCAAACCTGTTCACCTCCTTCAGCATCAAACCTCAGTTAATGACTCTACACTCGCATTCTTCCCCCTTCTTCCCATCCAGTGAGCTGCCAAATCCTGCCAATTCTGCCAGTGAGTGGTCTTCCTGTAACTATCCTGCCTTCCAATTTCATCTCTGGCTCAAACTGCTAATCACCTGCCTCTTACCTCAATCTTGACACCACCAGAGTTCTCTACTGAGAATATAAATAACATCACGCGAATCTGCCTCCCCAAAGCCCATGGCCTCTGGACTTATTTCCTGCCATCCCTCCATGTACCTGGGCTCCAGGCCTACACTGGCAAGGCACTGAACTCACAGTTCCTGTCCCAGCAGGCCCAATACTTCACAAGATTCATGCCAGTACATAATCCCTCTCTCACCATGGCTCACCAGGTCTCATTCCCCTTGTATCCCAGACAGCACCCTGAGGAATGCTATGTGTTTGGTAGGTGCTTAACAAATACTTTTTTTTTTTTTTTTGAGAGGGAGTCTCGCTCTGTCACTGATGCTGGAGTGCAGAGGCACGGTGTCGGCTCACTGCCAGCTCTGCCTCCTGGGTTCACACCATTCTCCTGCCTCAACCTCACGAGTAGCTGGGACTACAGGCGTCCACCACCACGCCCGGCTAATTTTTTGTAGTTTTAGTAGAGAAGGGGTTTCACCGTGTTAGCCAGGATGGTCTCCATCTCTTGACCTTGTGATCCGCCCGCCTCGGCCTCCCAAAGTGGCTCCCAGGCATGAGCCACCGCGCCCAGCCTAACAAATACTTTCTAAAGTTACACAATACAATTTTCTAGCATGTGTTCACCTTTTTCCAAAAAAGAAAAAGAACTTCTATACACATGAAAATCCATAATAAAGAAAAATCGTTCTAAAGTTTATCTTCTATGATGGAATGTACACAGAAACAAAAATATTCCCTTAGAGCAAAAAAGTCAAACTCTTACTCTAAACAGCTTTAGAAATAACTCAAAAGTCACAAAAAGCAGATTCTGAAAACACTGGGTTTTAATGATTACAAACCAAAATAATGATTCCCTACTTGCCAAGAGAAGAAACAGATTTAGATGAGTCAAATAAGGTTCTGGAAATCTTTTGATTTTATGGCCTTCGGCTGCCCCAATCAGGCATCAGAACTACCAAACATTAACCTCCACAAGTTGATATGACAAAAGCAAAAAGGCCCTATGGTAAGTCAAATATCCACCAACTTGGTAGAGAAGTCAATAAAATCAAATGGCTCTGTGTGAACCTTGCCTGTCACCTTGGAGGACACATCCCATTTCTACCTCATTCTTTGAAGTCAAACCAATTTAAAAAGTAACTTTTCCAAAGAAACTTTCTAAACGGATTAAAAAGAGGTCATTGAAAAGGGAGCACAGGCTATTTTTCAGTGAATGAAGAGAAGGATTCTGAAAAAGCATTACTTCGTAGAAATATATAACAAGATTAAATTTTGTGTGTAACACTCTTCCTCTCTCTTAATATCAGAGTATTTCAAACACGTGTAAAGCGTCCCTGACTTTTTTCTAGGAGTCAGGACTTTGTCAAAGTTTTCCCATCCACTCTCTAACATGAAGTTAGGAACTGCTAAGTTATCGATTAGACATTCAGGGAATCAAAATCATCTCTAACTGAAAGATTAAAAAGTAGCATGGTTAATTGTTAAGAGAACTTCTGAGTTGGTAGAAATGAGGGGTTCACCTGACAGTTCGTGGTGCCCCCCCTCAGCACTCTCACCTTCCCCCCAACTATTTTACATCTTCATGGTAACGTTCCCTTGATGCTTTTTTAAAGGGGGAACAAGAACATCTCAAGTTAATACGATGGAGAGAGTTAATAGAATCTTCTCCTTTACCACCAGGGTCCTCTCCAGGGCAATGTGAACGGGACAGCAGTGCACGAAGTCCTCCAGGCCCCCAGAGGCCACAGCCTGGGCCCGGTGGGCCAGGGACCAGCCGGTGACACTTTTAAGTCCAGGCTGGCTTTGGGGGAGCTGGAAACAGGCTTCCTCTGGGTGGGGGCGCGACGAGGGGGCGGGGCGCGGGCGGCCCCACTCACCTGCGATTCATGGGCCGGACCCTCACGGCCACCTTGACCGATGCCATCGCTCATCCCGAACCAGCCCGCGCGGGGTCCCACTAGCCCAGAACTCCGCGGTCGCCGGCGACGCTGGCTACTCAGATCGCGGCTCCCGCCCACTTCCCTCTCGCCCCCGCCCCTCTGCTCCCGGCCGGACCTGGAGTTCCGCGGCAGCCCCACCTGCCAGGCCACTGAGCATGCCCAGAACGGCTCCGGCCCGCGTGATCCATGCGCCACGGTTTGGCGGCGGCCGGGCGGTGCAGAGGGGCGGGGCCGCGGGGCCTGGAAGCAGCCTCCGGGATCTGCAAGTCTGGAAAGGCCACGTTGTGGACCTTGGCGCAGAGGTTATGGGGGCGACCCGGAGCGGATGGTTTCAGGAAAACTAGAACCCACCCTCATGGCCTGAACAACTGGAGAGAAGAGGATCGCAGCAATTTAAAGCCAGCGGCAAGGATCACAGTCCTGGGGTCAGGTGACCAAAGCCAGTTTTTCAGCCCTTAACAAGAACCTGGCTTCACCCAGCCAAACATGAGTTAACGTATCCATTTTACACACGAACAAACTGAGGCGCAGAGATGATCACAGCTTGTTGGTGGCAAACTCCGCTAGGGCCTTCTCTGCTACCCTAAGGAGGTCCGACCGTATGTTTTGGACCCCTTAACTCGGGATACCGATAAACGAAAATTAATAGGGTGTTGGATGTTTTAAATGTGTGCGGGAATGTCATTATATTGGCTAGAATCAAACCTTATTTAGACTTGTTTTGCACTTTTGTACACTTTAGTAATTTTTAGTTTTAATCATAAGGGAGTTAAAGGCGAACACAACTGGTATTTTTTTTTTTTTTTTTTTTTTTTTGAGACAGGGTCTCGCTCGGTCACCCAGGCTGGAGTGTAATGCTGCGATCTCGGCTCACTGCAACGTCCGCCTCCCGGGTTCAAGAGATTCTCCTGCCTCAGCCTCCCGAATAGCTGGGCGTGCCACCACGCCCGGCTGATTTTTGTATTTTTAGTAGAGACGGGGTTTCACCATGTTGGCCAGGTTGGTCTCGAACTCCTGACCTCAAATGATCCGCCCGCCTTGGCCTCCCAGAATGCTGGGATTACAGGCGTGAGCCACCGCGCCAGGCCGACAACTGGTATCTTAAGGCTTAGGGCCTCTGGTAGAAGTGAGCTCCACCTCCCTTCCTGTGTAGAAGGTAAATGCATTCATTCATTCAGTGAATCGAGCATGCATGAAATCGTTTGCGCACACCCAGAAGCCCACCTGCGAGCCACAGGAGCAGCCATTCCAGGAAGCCAAGCTATAATGGGAGACGCAAGGAATGGAGGCGGAACTCCTGTTTTTAAGTCCTAGCTCCAACACTAGCCTTGTCAGCCTGTAATTCTGAATTACTGGGCGCCTCTGAGGCTTCTTGTCTCATCTGCAAATCAGGAACAACGGCATAGAGTGGTGAATGCATCAAGTGGGATGATGTCTGCAAGTACGCAACCCGCTTACACAAAGAATTATCTTTCCATAACCTTCCCTGGACCCCTAGGGCCAGCAGGGAATCATAGCCTCCCTTTGTTTCTAGAGCCCGGAAATCACTGGGTTTTCCCTCTGTCTGGAGCAGAGCTGGGTGCGAATTTGACCAACGGGTGGCAGGAACAGCCGGAGCAGGATATTAAGGAGCGGGCGAGCTTGCCAAGCATGCGCAGTAGCGGCGGGTTGGTTTGAGAAGCCGCCAGGGAGCCAGCGCGGCGACCTAGCTGGCTGGGGCAGGGGAGGGGCCCGCCTTATATGGGAGCTGCGTGGGGACAAACTGTTCGGGCCCAACGCGCGGGTCTGAGAGACAGCCACGCCTGCTCCGGGTCACTCCGGCCACCTGGGGGGCGTCGGCGCGCAGACTCTGGCCAGTTCAGTATTCAAACTCTTCAGGAGTGCTAACTTACTCATGACAGCGATTTTCTGTATCGGGGTTTCATTGGTCGGTGGTTTAGAAGGTTTTGCTCATTCATTCGTTAATGTAATTCCAACAACCTACACGTGTTTATAAGCCCCCTTTCCATCCACGACTTTGCTGTCTGACACAAAACGGACCATCGCAGCCCGGCAGACGCTTTAGACAACAAACAGCATGCCTGGAGCTTTTCAATAGGAAGCAGTAAGGCTTGATCATCACAGACGATACGGAACGGGCACTTTCTTAGCAGAAAATATTTCTATTGGGGCGTGAAGGAAGTTTCTGAAAGGGAAGATTATTATAAGATAAGGGGTTTGCTCATCTCAGACTTTAGTGTGCCTGCTTTAAAGTGTTTTGCAAACTTGAATGTTTAAAGGAATCACCTGGCGGTCTTGTGAAACTGCAGCTTCTAATGGGCAAGTCAGAGGGGAAGCCTGAGACATGGCATTTCCAGCACGTTCGGGGAGTGAAGATGCTGTCGGCTGCCACCCTCCCTGCAAGGAGCCAGGGGATAGATGACCTCTACGCAAACTGTGAGAGCTTAAAATAACTGATAGTGAAAAACAGTTACAGAAGCTCTAGGCCGGGCACGGTGGCTAATGCCTGTAATCCCAGCACTTTGGGAGGCCGAGGAGGATGGATTGCCAGAACTCAGGAGTTTGAGACCAGCCTGGGCAACACGGTAAAACCCTGTCTCTACGACAAAATAAAACAAACAAAAATAAAAGCCACGCATGGTGGCGTGTGCTTGTAGTCCCAGCTACTCAGGAGGCTCAGGTGGGACAATCGCTTGAGCATGGAAGGAGGAGGTTGCAGTGAGCCAAGATCGCACCACTGTACTCCAACCTGAGTGACAGAGTGAGACCCAATCTCAAAAAAAAAAAAAAGCAGTAAATCCAGGGCCCAAAAGGTCAGTAAGAATTCAGGGATCCAAATCAGTTATGTACTGATGCATAAAAATAATGGCCAAAAATGTGGAGGCTTAAAACAAAAACCGGTTATTATTTCTCTCAATTCTTTGGGTTGCTGGTGTCACCCGGGCTTTGTGGCTGGGCTCTAGGCTCACCTGGGGTGAGGAAAAGTTGGTGCATTTTGCTTTTTCATCCTCAAAAAGTTTAGACCAGGTTCCAGATTTCTTGCGGCGGCGAGACACCTCGCCAGGAGAGCACCGCACTATGCACAAGCCTTTGCTGGACTTCCATTGACCAAAGGCAGTCACATGGTCACGCCCAGGCAATGTGGGAGGGCCCCGCAAAGGAGGGGTGGGTACTCAAGAGAGCCACTAAATAACAAACCTACCTTAAGATCACATTTATTTCTAACATTTTAATAGTTATAGTTCAGTATAATTGATTTTCCTGGTAATCCCATTTATTTTATTTTATGCATTTTAAAATGTTATTCTGAAAATGTTACTCTCACCAAACAACCAAAAGGGTCCACGGCATAAAAAAGGTTTAAGAATCTATGATTTTAAAATTCAATTGGATGGATAAAAGACATTTTTATTTTTATTGTGTATATATACATATATATGTGTGTATATATATATATATATATATATATATATATATTTTTTTTTTTTTTTTTTTTTTTTTTTTTTTTTGAGACAGAGTTTTGCTCTTGTTGCCCAGGCTGGAGTGCAGTGGCGCGATCTCGGCTCACTGCAACCTCCACCTTCCGGTTTCAAGCGATTCTCCTGCCTCAGCCTCCTGAGTAGCTGGGATTACAGGTGCCCACCACCAAGCCCGGCTAATTTTTGTATTTTTAGTAGAGATGGGGGGTTTCACCATGTTGGACAGGCTGATCTCGAACTCCTGACCTCGTGATCCACCCACCTCTGCCTCCCAAGGTGCTGGGATTACAGGCGTGAGCCACCAAGCCCGGCCGACATTTTTATTTTCTAAGAAGGTTGAATTGTGATGGGAAGGAGAAGAGAAAATTCTGAAATCTGGGTTAAAACCCAAATGGTCTCAAGATGCATATGTGCATGGCGGGACTGTGGGGTGGGGGATGTGGTTGTTTAGTTTGTTTTGATGTAGTTTATTTTGGTCTTCATTTATTATTGAAATTTTTTTCTGATGTTTAGCAATCTCTTTTTTAAAACGTTTTTTCAAATCTTTTTTTAATCTCTATTTTGAAAACTTTTTTAATGGACGAAAACTTTTGAGTGACTTAAGCTCTCTGAGTCTTAGCTTCTTCATTTCCACGCAAAATAGCACTGTAATAGAATGTTCACTCCACCGCAAAATATTTGAATCATCAGGGAATACTGTTATCAGAAGAAAAATACTGTATTTCTCATGAGCTGTGCTTTTTCTTCATCCTAGCCTCTGAGGAATAAAATTGATTTACTTTCTTACAAACATGACTTTTAAAAAATCTTGATGAACATCAGACTGGCACGCTTAAATTGGGACGAAGGATATAACTGACACCTCATAAACCCATCGATTTCCCTATGTGCTAGAAGCACTCACCAGAAGCATTATATCACATGATACACTTAGTGTCTCCTACAGGAGTGCCTTACACCAAGGGACTTAAGTTGAATTTAAGAGCTATGTGGTGAGCCAATGAGAAAAACAAGTGTTTTCCTGGTTTTCAAATAAATGTATAATAAATAGTAGTACCAGAGACAGGAATCACAGATACCAAGTCCAAACCCAGCACCAATTTTTTTTTTTTTTTTTTTTTTTTTGATACAGAGTCTTGTTCTGTCCCCCACGCTGGAGTCCAGTGGCGCTATTTTGGCTCACTGCAACCTCCACCTCCCGGGTTCAAGTGATTCTCCTGCCTCAGCCTCCCAAGCTGCTGAGATTACAGGTGCCTGCCACCACACCTGGCTAATTTTTGTATTTTTAATAGAGACAGGATTTCACCATGTTGGCCAGGCTGGTCTCAAACTCCTGGCCTGAAGTGATTCACCTGCTTTGGCCTCCCAAAGTGCTGGGGTTACAGGTGTGAGCCACTGCGTCTGGCCTACGATTTTCATTTTCTAAGTCACAAAATTTAAAGTATATTTAGAATCTTCTAAAATACTAAACATTAAAAGCAGGAATAATTTGAAAAAGTATACTTTGGGGCTAGAGAGAAAATCTGAGCTCCAAAATCACAGTAAAGATAATTGCAAAAATCGTACTAAGTAATTTTAGTAAAGCTTTAGGCAGGTAACCATGAATGCCTGCTTTCTTTTATAGCAAAAGTGAATAAAGAAATCACATTAGATTCAATTTAATAGACGCTATCACCCTAAATCATAGTCATTTTATATACTAAGATAAAAATGATTGTTTTCAATTGCATATAACTGTATGCAACCATATATATAAAACTATGTGGTCATAAATAGTTCAGAACTGATAGACTGTAGAGTCTGTGGCCTCATTTTAACTTCGAAAGAGTGAGAAACCATGTTTATTTAAAGTGATTGGGAAAAGTTTCATGGATGAATTAGTTTTGGAGATCGGTCTTGCAGGAGGGACAGATTTGAACCCAGAAAATGGTGAGGAGGTGACTTCTAAAGCAGAGGAAATTCCTTGAACAAATGTTTAGTGTTGGAAAAGCGAGTCCTGCTTCTGGAATAGTGAGAAAGCCTCTTTACCTGAAGCACAGTGTAAAGTTTAAAAATAGTTGTAAATGCTTCTCTTCCCTGGACTCATACCTTGCGATGTCATTTTGCAGCTCCCCTCAATGGGAAGTAGAATCTCTTTCTCCACCTCTTCAATATGGCTGGCCCTGGAACTTCCCTTGGCACACAGAATGCAGCAGAATTGGCTTCATGTTGTTTCTAAGCCTTGGCCTCAGAGGCCTTGCATGCTTCCTAACCCTGGCTCTAGGAAACTTGCTGCTGTCATGTAAGCAAGCCCAGGCTAACCTACTGAATGTTGGTGTGTCCCAGTCAAATCCAGCACTGCAACCAATAGCCAGGCAGCCACCAGACATGTGAGTGGGGCCACCTCACACCAGCCAACCTCCACCAAGTCATCAGATGTATGAGTGAGAACAGCCCAGAACAACTGAGCCCGTCCAGACCAGCGGAACAACCAAGCTGACCAGTAGACTTAGGAGCAGTAAACAGATGATTGTTATGGAAGCCATTCTGTTTAGGGTGTGTGTGTTATTGCTTGCATCCAAATACATCCTATCTCATCTAATGAGAAAAGGCCCTGCTCAAGGGCTTTTGCAGCTGTAGTTGGGCGCCGGAAGTGTCTTTGTGGTCATTTCTTACTCCATACACGGGGAGATCAAGGCTCAGACCAGGTAGTGTGACTGTGGACAACACTTTCCTTACCCCTCTGTGACACTTAAATCAATGAAGCAGATTCACAGAAGCATGCATGCTCACTGAACACAGTATTTGCATTCCTACCTCCAAACCTTTGCTCCACCCATGCATCCAGTAAGAATGCCTACTTCCCTCCTCTCCTCCATCGAGTTCTTTCTTTGAGTTCTACCTTCCCTAGTCTTCCTCCACTGCACCAACCCACGGTGATCCCTGTCTCTTCCAAATGCTTTGTAACATGGTAGGCATCACTCACTTGTGACTCATTGGACCATTTTAAAACTTGGTTTTCTGTGTCTCTTTTCCAACAAAATTACAAATTCTTTGAGGGTAAAAGTCAGGCCTAATAGTTCTCTGTACTCCTAGTAGTGCCAGTGTGGTAAAAATTTAACTTGACAATTAGCAAAACCAATAAATTCCTTACACTATTCTGTTCCTGTAGGTAATCAGTATATGAATATGGATTCCTATGTGATGATTTTCTGGTCTATTTTGTCCCTTTTTTTTTTTTGTTACTTTAACCAGGCCATAACATAAAGGTTATGCCATTTGTTACTGTCAAGCTTAATTAAGCCCATTATAATTCGTTAACCCCTGTGCTTGCTTTGTAATTAACATTGATTAACACAAACAAGTACAAAATAGGCCATCAGCACTTTCCAGAAGTGCTGATTACAATTACATTGGTAATTCAATACGGTATAGAAGATGGCAGGATAGTAACTTGCACTCTGTTTACATAAGGAGACAAATGCTACCATGCAAAACTAAGCCAAGAAACAAAATACTTTCCTCATCCAACTCACTGATTAAACCCTTACCCTGTTAACTCACCCTATGACTGTGTAAACCTCCAGTAAGATTATTGAAGGCACAGCTCCAAGTAACTTGCTTAATTGCATTCCTGGGACAAAAGAGGGAAGCGCTTCAAAGCTGACAGACAGATGGTAGAGTGTCCAGTCACAGCAAAGCAGGCCCCGAGGCTCATGACAGACAACTCCAGGGCTGAGATCTCATTTGTAGCTCTGGGATAAAGTCCAGGGTTTGATGGCAGCAGGCTGAAGTGTAAAGATGCTCAACAATGCGCACCCCAGAGACACTGAATCTGAAAAAGCTTAGAGTGAATAAAAATCTGGAAATGAACTCTGTCTGTCTATTCACCATTCCCCCCATAAAAAAATTCCTATATTCCGGATGGTGTTCAAGTTCCCTTTCCACAGGACCTCAGCAGTCAGGGAGGTGCTCCTGCAATCTATGTGAAGGAGATTTCACCATGCCCACATGGGAATACAGTAGATTGCCAGTAGGGATGCCACACCTTTGCATTTCCTCGTATTTCCAGGAACAAAGCTGGGGTGCCTAGGAGCTGCAGCAGTTTTTCTTCTGTGTAAAATAAGCAAGCAGGACTCTGCCCCACTGCACTCCAGGGAAGGATTAAGAGAATTGATATCATCCAAATCAATTGGCCCTGTGCAGATGACTTGATAATGAGGCCATTGAGTTTTTATGGTTCACTATTATTGCTACAAAAATTATGCTGCAGAAATCATTCAAATGCTCAAAAAGGAGCATTAGTACGAAACTGGGTGTTCCAAAGTTGTTGCTGAGAGGTGTGTAATGTTCCTGAAGATCCCCAAGGCACTAAGACTTCTCTGTACATGAATGACTCATAGAGAAGAAATACACCAGATGAAAATATATGGAGAAGTTTGCCGAATGTCATATAACTTGTAAGTATTAGAGCCGAGGTCTGAACCCTGATATCTGTGTCCTTATAGCTCAGGCCTTTTCCTTCAGCCCCTCCTTCTCAGCAGAGATGTGTTGGAGAAATCACTAGAAATGGAAGAGCAGCTGTCAGAAGCAGAATTGAATGAAGTGATAGGGGAAAAACATACATGTTGATACAAATGGTCAGCCTTAAGCAAGACTGTGACATTGATGCAGCACAGGGAAGCCTCAAAATTGGGACTTAGCCCAGGAGGGTTCTTGGCTTCACCCAGGAAAGAATTCAAGGGTGAGCTGGTGGTGTTAGAATGCAACTATTACTGAAGTGGCAGTGTACGGCAGTAGCAGAGGCACTGCTTGCGGAGCAGGGATACCCCAGAGGCACTGTGCCCAGAGTAGCAGCTCAGAGGCAGTTCTGCACTCATATTTATATCCACTTTTAATTATATGCAAATTAAGGGGTGGTTTATGCAGAAATGTCTAGGAAAGTGTGGTAACTTCTGGGTTGTTGGGTTGTTGCCATGGAAAGGGGTGATAACTTCTGGATGTTGCCATGGCACACTGATGGGTGTGCCTTATGGAAAGCTGGTCCTCAATTTGGTCCAGTGTCCCAGCCCCACACTGGAGTTGAGTCCTGCCTTCTACCTCAACTTTGGTGACATTTGTCTTTGGTGGCCATAGCCTTTCTTTCTGCCATTATCAAGCACCATACCCAAGGTCTCATATCCATCCCAACAGGGTTGTAGACAGTCATTTGATCCTTTTCCTCAGCATCCTATTTTCTCTCCCTCATACACACACACACACACACACACACACACACACTCTCTCTCTCTCTCTCTCTCTCTCTCTCTCTCTCTCTGTTGTTGCTAGTATAAGGTACAACCAGACTTTTTTTATCATTTATTTTTTAAAATAAGATGTGAAATACATTCAATGGTGCATATAAAGTGTACAAATATTAAATGTTCAACTGGATGAATTATTTCATATGTATATACCCATGTAACCACCACAGATTCAGAATGTTTCTACCTTCCTAGAAAGCTCCCTGGAAGTACAGGCTTTTTATTTTAAAGTCAGGTGTATTGGGATATCAGTTTCATATAGTTATATTCAGAGTTCTTAGTGTACAGTTTTATGAGTTTTAACAAATACATACATTTGTGTAGCTACCAATATAGTCAAAATATAGAACAGTATCATCACCCCAGAAATGTCCCTGCACCCCTTTGTAGTAAATCTCTCCTAGCCCCTGCCAACCACTAATCTGCTTTCTGTTCCTACAGTTTGTCTTTTATAGGATGTCATATAAATGGAATCATATATTTTGTGTCTGACTTCTTTCACTTAGTATAATACATTTGAGATTCATCCATGTTTCAATAGTTCCTTTTATTACTGAGTAGTATTTAATTTACCGCGGTCTGTATGTCCATTCACAAGTTAAAGGACATTTGGGTGTTTCCAACTTTTGACAATTATGAAAAAAGCCACTACAAACATTCACATATAGGGTTTTGTTTGAACCTAAGTTTTCATTTCTTCTGGGCAAAAACCAAGGAAATCAAATTTCTTGGTCTATTCCAAGTACATGTTTAACTCAGAAAAAAAAAAAAAAGCAAAAACATTCCCTGGAGTGGGTATACCATTTTGCATTTACACCAGCAATGTACAAGAATCTTCCTTCTCCATATTCTCACCAGCAGTTGGGATTGCCAATTTTTTAAAGTCATTTTACCAGGTGTGCACAGATTTTTGAAGCTGCATAACATGTTCATAGATTTTATTGCCATCTTCAGAGAAGACTTAAGATCAGTCTTAAACATCTATTTATATAAGAGCAACTTGGCTCATACTAATTAGGCAGTTCATATTAACATTCCTAACTAGAGTTACTTTTACTTATTCAGTCAAATTGATTAGTTGTTTATATCTTAAGCAGTATCTATGCCAATTTCCCTAACACACTTAAAGGCAAAACTTCTGATTCACACCTGCTGCTGTCCTACAAGGTATGCCTGAAAGTTATGGCTCCTCACTTCTTTTTGGCACCTCTAAAACCCTCAACAACCTTCCCCTAATCACCCTTGTTTAGGTGTGTTTTCTGTACCAAGAAAATGAAACATCCCTCCAGCTTCTACGTTCAAAAATACATCTATCATGGAAATCCATTGGGGTGTCCCCATAAAAATACGTGTATGTACACACACACACACACACACACACACACACACACACACACACACACATATAAAACACTGCTAGGCTGGAGAAGAAAAAAAATGCTTCATTTCAGTAAACAAATTACCACTCAGTGACTTGCTAGAAAATTCGACCACTTTCCTACTCAGTCCTCACTATGCACATGACCACACACTGCAATTCTCTAGAAGTAACCACTGCCGATTTTTCTGTCTCAGTCAGAAGCATACATAGTCAGAAGCATACATAGTCAGAACCTGGTCTTCTCAGATTTGTCATACAAATTCCTCTTGGCCTGTTGCTACTTTCTGGATTTCATTGCTAATGCCTTATTCATTTGCATCAGCCTCTCTCATCTGCTGGTGCCAATAGGATGCTATCTCCAATTAGACTGTAATACATGTGCTACTTCCTAAAATTACTTATGTCCCTCCTTCCCTGCACCCACCCCACCAGCTATTTCTGTCTGTATCATTCCCAAACAGGTGAACATACTGGACATCTCAGCTGCATATTTTAATTTTTTAAACTTTATTATTTACTTTAAATAATACATGCAAAAGGACAAAAAGGTACAAAAAAGTCCTAGAGCTAGCAGTCTCTCTCCCATTCCCTTCCCTAGCTCTTCAGTTCTCTTGCTCAGAGGCAACTCCTGTTACCAGTGTCTTGTGCCATTCCAGAAAGAGAGATTTTATCTACTTACAGACATATCATCTTGATATTTTTATTCTTTGCACAGATGGTAACAAGCAATAACAACCTTTTAGAAACTTGTTTCACATAAAATCAGTATTTTGTAAAGCATTTCATTTCACTATATCTGGGTATTCTACATGTATACCTCAATAGATTTGACTCATTCTTTTTAAGAGTTGTGTAATATTCAATGTTGTGTACATAACATGATTTATCAAAAACTTTCAAGTATCTAAAGTAAAGATTTAGTGGCTTAAAGAAGATAGAAGTTCAGACTGGGCACAGTGGCTCATGCCTATAATCCCAGCACTTTGGGAGGCAAGATCACTTGATGTTAGGAGTTTGAGACCAGCCTGGCCAACATGATGAAACCCTATCTCTATTAAAAATACAAAAATTAGCCAGGGATGGTGGCGCGGACTTGTAATCCCAGCTACTCAGGAAGCTGAGGCAGGGCAATGCTTGAACCCGAGAGGTGGAGGTTGCAGAGAGCCAGGATCGCGCCGCCACTGCACTCCAGCCTGGGCGACAGTGTGAGACTCCATCTCAAGAAAAAAAAAAAAAGGAAAAAAAAAGAAGATAGAAGTTTATTTTGTGTACAAAATGAGCAGAGTTGGGGTAACTCAGGACTGCTGTAGGCAGCTATAGTCTCCAAAACTGAAGCTCTTTCTGTCTCATTGTTGTTCTGTTCTTGGTGTATGGCTGTCTTCTCGCATTGGAAAATGGCTGCTTAAGCTCCGGGCTTCACTTCTACATTTCAGCCAGGGGAAAACCAACATGTTCCCTCATGAGAAAGACACCTCCCAACTTTCAGTTATATCTCATTTTACAAAACACACAAGGGAGGATAGAAAATGTAGTCATAATTCAGGGAACCTATTACAAATTTGGGACTCTATTAAGAAGGAAGAAAGGGAGAATGAATATTGGGGTATAACAGTTAGTTTCTGCCCAGAATTGTTGCCTATCTTTTGTTCTTACCTAAAGTGCTGAAGTAGGTTTTCTTTGAGTGCAACATTTCTTTTTTTCTTTTTCTTTTCTTTCTTTTTTGTTTTTTTGAGACGGAGTCTCGCTCTGTCATCCAGGCTGGAGTGCAGTGGCGTGATCTCAGCTGACTGCAACCTCCGCCTCCTAGGTTCAAGCAATTCTCCTGCCTTGGCCTCCTGAGGAGCTGAGACCACAGGTGCAGGCCACAGATGTGGGCCACCATGCCCAGCTAATTTTTTGTATTTTTGGTAGCAACGGGGTTTCACCATGTTGGCCAGGCTGGTCTCGAACTCCTGATGTAAGTGATCTGCCTGCCTTGGCCTCCCAAAGTGCTAGGATTACAGGTGTGAGCCAATGCACCTGGCCTTGAGTGCAACATTTCACACTGTGTGGGGAGTCCATAGAATTTCTGGGTTACAGGGTATGTGCCTTTTAATTTTCATGGATGTTATTACCAAGTGCCATTTATTGACAAGGTACCAGTTCACATCCTTACCAACGTTATAAGAAAGTGCCTGTTTCCCCACGCCCTCAGTAGTCCTGAATTGTAGTCACACTTTTTTTATCTTTACCAATATGAGGGTTAAAATGTGGTATCCCAAATGGTGTTAATGGGACTGACTTAATAGGACTCCCTCTTACTTTTTAGTGAAGTTGTCAAATGTCTAGGAACCATTTGTATTTCCTTATCTCTGAACTGTTTTCATCACTTGCCCATTTGTTCACTGGATTACTTTCTTGTAACTCTGTAGAAATAATTTATAAATCTGGAAAAGTAGCATTTTCTGTGGCATTTGTTATAATTTTTCCCACAGTTTTGGCTGTTTTTTGTGTTCTTGTTTCCAGATTTCTGTTGTTCAAAGAAGTAAACTGCTGGGCACAGTGGCTCACGCCTGCAATCCTACCACTTTGGGAGGCTGAGGCAAGCAGATCACTTGAGATCAGAAGTTTGAAACCAGCCTGGCCAACATGATGAAACCCCATCTCTACTAAAATATAAAAATTAGCCTCGCATGGTGACACAAGCCTTTAATCCCAGCTACTCTGGAGGCTGAGGCACAAAAATCGCTTGAACCCAGGAGGCAGAGACTCCAATAAGCTAAGATGGCGCCACTGCACCCCAGCCTGTGAGACAGAGCAAGAGTCTATCTCAAAAATAGATAAATAAATAAATAAATAAATAAACCTTTATTTTCTTGTTTCATAAATAAAGCTGACTGAGTTGGTTGGTCTTTAGTGATCAGTCAAAAAGACCAAATCCCACATCCTTATTCAACTCCTCCAGCCCTTCCTTTGCTTCAACCTCGGCTGGGGAAGCAACCACCAATGCAGCCGGATCAACAAAGAAGACCTTGACCTTCTCATGGCGGGGGAAGGTGAACTCAGTCTCCATAGACAAAGCCAGGACCTTCTTGTACCCACTGATGATAGACAAGGAACTGACATCACAGGTGGATACCCAGTCGGCATGCACATGGTGGCAACATGGCAGACACCCTCCAGGAAGCGAGAGTGCAGTTTCCTCTGTAATATCAAGCACTTTGGGTGGTAGGTGTTGCCGTTGGCAAGCGCCTGCTGGGTGATCAGCCAAAGGAGAAGGTGAAGGGAAGTATGTCAGCACCTTCAGCAGCATGGCTTCACTGGCGGCCACTTTGTCTCCAGTCTTAATCAGCTGCACGTCACTCAGGATTTCCATGGTGATTTCTTTGTGTAGTTGAATTTATCCCTTTTAAAAAATTGCTTGTGGGTTTTGTGACATTTTTAGGAAGGCACTTCCCATCTCAACATTATAAAATAAATTCTCATGTGGTTTTCTTTTTGTGGTAATAATAATTATGAAGAGGCTCCAACCTGATTTATTTTAACATGACTTCTGGTTATCCTGGCCCCACTGAATCATCCATCTTCCCTCAGTGACTTGATATCTTGGCTGCATCTTAAAAAGAAGGCAGCAGTTCCTTTCCACTTAAAATGAGTACATCTTAATTCCACTTTCTATTTGATATATCTTGTGTGTCACTTATATTATTCATTACACTTTAGAGTTACATATTGCAGTGTATCCAGTTTGCCAATGAAGATAGCTAAGCACTGAGAGATTCAAGCATTCAGACTCACCTGGTCGCAGCCTAGATACTGAACCATGTAATGCTAAACCTCAGGGAGTTGTTGGGAAAGGAATTCAACCTTTGGACATTGTTATGGGCCAGATTGTGCTCTCCACCCCCGAACCCTCATTCATATGTTGAAGTCCTAACCTCAGAATGTGACTGTATTTAGAGATAATCTTTAAAGATGTAATGAAGTTAAAATGAGGTTACAACAGTGGGTCTTCACCCAGTATACTGGTGTCACAGGAAGAAGAAATTAGGACACAGGTGTGTAAAAAGGGAAGACCATGTGAAGACACAGGCAGAAGACAGCTATCTACAAGCCAAGGAGAGAGGTTTGTAGATCCTGCTGCCACCTAATGCCTAATCTTCAGGAATCTCACCTCCAGTATTGTGGGCAAATAAATTTCTGTTGTTTAAACCACCCAGTCTGTGGTACTTTGTTATGGCAGCCTAGTAAATTAATACAGAGGTACACAGACCTGGCCGAATCAATTAAAGGTCTCTGGCTGCAAGCATTAGACATCTAGTCAGGTCCAGTGTCTTAGTCCTGTTTGCTGAGTCTGCTATGGAGATCTGCATGCAGCAGGTGCATTGGGAGTGCTCACCGCAGCAATACCTGTAGGGGAGTAAAGGAGGCTGGGAAAGGGAGAAGTTGAATGTGATGTAATTGCAGCAGAGGTCTCAACTGATCCTAGGAGGAGCTCTGGAGCTGGGATGGCCCTTCAGGGTTGTCCAGATTGAGGCAAGGCTGGACCGTTGTCCCCCAGCAGACTTTCCCTAGAAGAGGGTCCAAACTTGGGCGAGGAAGCTCTGTGTGGCTGAGGGCAAGTGCTGAGAGAGACTCAGCAGTGAGCCATCAGCAGCCAATGCTGTTGGCAGCTGGAGAATGAGTATCTTTGTCCTGGAGTGGGATCTGGGTAGAGCACGCCTGCAACCACCACTCCCACCTAAGAAGAGGGATAGATATGTGGGATGGGATGGGTATGTGGGAAACTTGCAGCATGGAGGGACATCTTGAAGGAGTGGGCCTCAGGACGGACATGGCCCAATGCAACATGGGGAGTGGGAAGGCAGGAACAGAATGGACAGTTTCTCTAGCCAAAAACCACTGAAATAGATCAACTCCAATCATCATTATCCCGTTCCCTTCAACATTCAGATTCCAGGAAAGAGAGAGAGTCTACCTAGCCTGACTTTGGTCACCTACTTGCCCTTTGGACAGAACGGGGCCTGGCACTTTGACTGACAGTCCCCAGAAGGCTGCACAATGTGGGGGAAGGGTGGTTCCCAAAAGACCAATTGAGATGTCATCACTAGATGAAAGGGGATGGACACTGGGCAGGCGAAAACAACTCATGTCCATTGGGCAGGCCAGCTGCGTTGGAATCTCAGTTTTAGGTGACTTTGGGCAAATAGTTTGAGCTCATAAAACTTCAGGTGCTTCATATGTAAAATATAAATAGTACTACCAACCTCAGAGGATTTTTCAGGCTTAAATAATATATCAATATCTACCTATATGTAAGTGTGTACATATATATGTGTATATGTACACATAAACAAATTATGCATATATTCACATATATTCATGCACATAATATGTAGATGTATATGATCCCTATAAATTGAGAGCTTCCACTTATTTGATTTATGTCTATGGCTCCTAGGACTTCATTAAATTTTTTCTATAATGTTATCCATATGCATTTTCCATTCCCATCCCTTCTTGAGAACAGGAGAAGCATTTAATGTGTCTTTTTGAGTGTGCTAATTGGCTGGGTGTGTTGGCTCATGCCTGTAATCCCTGCAATTTAAGGGGCTGATATGGGAGGATCACTTAAGGCCAGGAGTTTGAGACCAGCCTGGGTAACATAGAGAGAACTACCTCTAAACAAAATTTAAAAATTATCCAGGCATGGTGGCACACACCTGTAGTCCCAGCTACTTGGGACACTAAGGCAGGAGGATAGCTTAAGCCCAGAAGATACACACTTCAGTGAGCTATGATCCTGTCACTGCACTCCAGGGTGACACAGCAAGACTTTGTCTCAAAAAAAAAAAGTGTGAATTCCCAAACTCTAGTTCTGGAATATCTTAGAAACACCGTTTCGCTTCATAGAGAGAACTGGGAAAGTGAAAAGTTTCACAATTTTATATTCTTCATTATTATTATTATTATTATGAGACAGAGTCTCATTCTGCCACCCAGGCTGGAGTGCAGTGGCACGATCTTGGCTCACTGCAACCTCTGCCTCCCAGGTTCAAGTGATTATCCGTGCCTCAGCCTCCTGAGTGTCTGGGATTACAGGCATGTGCCACCACGCTCAGCTAATTTTTGTATTTTAGAGATGTCCAAGTCTCGAACTCCTGACCTCAGGCAATCCGCCTGCCTCGGCCTCCCAAGTGCTGGGATTACAGGCATGAGCCACTGCGCCCGGCCTATATTCCTCATTTTGGATGTGGGGGTGTATATGATTTTACATTTAGAAAAATAAATAAAATAAATAAAAATAAAAATAGTCAAGAGTGGAATGAAAAAACCAAAAGGAGAGTGTGCCCTGTATGTCATCTGCCTGCTGGGAGGTGTGCAGGCAGAACCGTCTCATGGTTTCTCAACAGCAGGTGGCGCGAGGCAGGGGATAGTCCGGGCTGAGGATGTCGAAGGCTACCCCAAAAATGTCAGAGGCCAGTGAAAGTTCCAGAATGGAGTACGCAGCCCCATTTCTTTGTTTGCTTATTTTCGAGAGAGATGTTTATCATGATGCTAGGGAAAACTTGAATAGAGAAGAGGTGGTAAGGAGAGAGTGGGGTGGCATTTTCTTCCATACATCTATTTTCAAAAAGGATCCGATTCCAGCAACAAAGTGTCGACTTCACTCCTCCACAGCCACCAAGAAGAACGGCTTCTGTGGACACTTCCCAGCTTGCAAATGTTTCCTCTCCGAGGTCACACAAATAGCTGATACATCCATTTCCCTGAAATAAATGCCATCATGGAGGTCTTCTTGTAGCTGTCAGAGGTTATGAGCAGTGTTGATGGAGTGGGGTAATGACATTGCAAAGTGATTGAAAGGGTTTAGCATGTGATTTCCTATTTGGTTCAGACAAAATAAAACCATTATCTGTGCTTCATCTTTTTTAAAGAGATTGTTTCCTGAGCTCTTTCATGCTTGAAGCCTGTTGCAGCACCCAGGGACAATATTAGCCTGTCACAATTATAGATCAGTTCATCACCACAGTCAGCCTCCAATCTCCTTGAACTCTTTCCAGAGGAAATGACTTTTCTGGGTCTGTATTATCCCCGGGTATGTCGACTTTTGAAAAAGATGTTGCTGCAATCATTCATTTAACTGTGGAGAGCTGTCTGACAGCACAGACCCAGGCACATTGGCGAATTTGCTGGTAGATGCCTATGAGCAACCAAGACCTCCATTAGCTCATGTGTCAAGGGAAAGCAGACACTTGGACATGTGGATGCAGTGGGGGCAGCAGCTTGCTTGAATGGGTTATAGATAGACTTGATGTTGAAGGGATTAGGGGTTCCCTAGTGCCTTTCTTATCTGTTACTAAACTATGCCTGAATCAGTGAACTCACGTGGCCAGGCCACAGTGAGTGTTCAGGAGGGCTGTCAGTATCCTCTCTCACACACTTTTACTCCCTGCTAATGCAGGAAGCTATCTCATTAATGTTCTGGCTCGCAATCCCACTTCACTCAACAACAGCCTGTCACCAGACCTATTACCTGATTTTCAGGTGTTAGATTGCTAGCTCTACAATGCAAAGGGATTTCCATCCCAGGGACTTTCTAAGCATCAGGCTTTAACTCAGCCTCCACACAAGGGATAGAAGAAGATCCCATGGCCCAGAATGAAAATAAATCATTTTCATAGGTGAATGCAGCAAATGTATATAGACATCAATTTACCTGTTGATGCTTTTTAAAAAAATAAAAAATATAAAATTTACAAATCTTTGCCATTTTGAAGTGTAAGTGCAATGGCATTAACTACATTCACATTATTGTACAGCATCACCACCATCCACTCCAGAACATTTTTTATCTTCCCAAGCTGAAAATCAGTACCCATTAAACAACGACTCCCCATTTTCACCTCCCTGGCTATGTCGTCCTTGCCAATGACCATTCCGCTTTCTACCTCTATGAATTTGACTACTCTCTATACCTTACACAAGAGGAATCATACAGTATTTGTCTTTTTGCTTATTTCACTTAGCATAATGTCTAAAAAGTTCATCCATGCTGTAGTGTATCAGAACTTTATTCTTTTTTAAGTCTGAATAATATTCCATTTGTATATATACCACATTCTGTTTATTCATTTATTGGTTGGTGGATATTTATATTGTTTCTATTGTTTGACTGTTGTGAATAATGTTGCTATGAACATGGGCATACAAACATCTGTTCAAGTCCCTATTTTCAATTCTTTTGGAAGGCAACTACGTTCACCACTATACCACCAACGCTAGGGCTTTTTTGGGTATATACCTAGAAGTGGGACTGCTGGATCATATGGTATTTCTATGTTTAATTTTTGGAGGAACTACATACTGTTTTCCATAGTGCCTACACCATTTTACATCCCTTTCAACAACGCACAAGGGTTCCAATTTCTTCACATCCCATCCAACATTTTTTAAAGGTTATTCTAATGAGTGTCCCATTAGTGTTTTTAAATATGATCACTCTCCATTTATGAAGTTGCTTCAAAATAAAGGAAGAGAAGGAGTATGGAAAGAAAATCAATGAGGAGTGGTCACTGAATACAGAACCAAGAATTTTGTGAGATGTCAGCCACCAACATCAGAATCTCTTTTGGATCTGAGAGGATACATACTCCAGTCTTTGGTACTTCTAAAATTTTTCCTATATATTGTCAAGCTGCAACGAGCTGAGACCATTGTCATACTTTTATTCTATTAGCTCCACAGAACAAAAACATATTTATTAATAATAATATCATAAAAACAGACTGATTCTCATCTAGCAGAAAATATTTGAAATATCTAAAACTGACAAGGGTTAATATTTTAAATATACCAATAACTCCTGCAAATCAACAAGGAACATAAGAACTCCAATGGAAAAATAGGTGAAGAATATGGATAAGCATTTCACAGATAGCAAAGACAGAAATTTATGAAAAAAGTCCTCAACTTCATTAGAAATTAGATAAATAAAAATTAAAACAAAACACACATTGCACCCCTAATAACAGCAAAGTTTAAAACATTAAAAAATAAAAACAAGTTGAAAAAGATGTGGATAGACAAAGAACTTCCATGCACTACTGTTGGAATGTAAACTTAGACATTCTGAAAAACGAACTGATGTTGTTTTATGAAATTAAATATGTTTAAGCCAAAAGAGGCAGAAATTCCTCTCTTGAATATCCTAGAGAAATTCTTGGATAGGTCTGCAAGAAAATATGAATGAGAATCTTCATCACAGCATTGTTTGTGCCCCCAAGGTGTGAAGAAGGACAACTTACTGTCTATCACAATGCAGCAAGATAAAGAAAATTGGTGCATGCACAATAGAATACGATGAAGCATTAAAAGCAACCATTTAAATGTATATTCAGCAGCATGAGAGATATGATAAAGCAAAATGATTTAAAAAATCAGGAAACAGACTAATATATATAGCATATCACCTTTAATATCATTTATGTGCATTAACAGTTCACAAAGATATAGAACAGCACCAAGTGTTTTTAAAGGTACATGCATATTAGGGATGTACATCAGCACATTAGAATGGGTGTCTAGGACAGGGAGAGGAGAATAGATATGAGAATTAGGAATACAAAGGGAAAAACAAAAATAAAGCAAATGAGGGGCCTTGCAGTGGACTGCTGATATCAGCATGATGGTGATAATGATAATAGAACTGATGAACATGGTTAACTCATGTTTCCTTACCCGAGGTCCAAACAAAAAATAAAACAAAGCAAAACAAAGCAAAGAAAGTTCCAGGGATCAACAATCAATATCTTAGCTGATCATTTATCTATCTGTCTTATATCATAATATATACATTTATATCTATATCCCTCAACCCAGAACATTCCAGCATAGATAGCAAGCAATTCTACATAATAACAATAAATGCTTTCATTACACTTAATAGTGAGAGACTGAATGTTCTCCTCTTAAGATCAGAAATAAGACAAATCTGTTCTCACCACTTTTATTCAATATTGTACTGGAGGTTCTAGACAGAGCGATATGGCAAGACAAAGAAATACAGTGCAGCCAGATGGAAAAGAAGAATTAAGCTATCACTATTTGAAGAAGGCATAATCTTATATATAGAAAATCCTAAAGAATCCACTAAAAAAAATAGTACTAATAAAAGAATTCAGCAAGATTGCAGGATACAAGATTAATGAAAAAAAAATCAATTGTATTTCTATGCACCAGCAAGGAACAATCCAAAAATGAATTTAAGAAAACAACTCTAGGCAGGGTGCAGTGGCTCACACCTGCAATCCCAGCACTTTGGAAGGCCAAGGGGGGCTGACCACTTTGAGCTCAGGAGTTTGAGACCAGGCTGGGCAACATGGTGAAACCCTATCTCTACTAAAAATAAAAGAATTGGCCAGGCATTGATGGTTCACAACTGTAGTCTCAGCTACTTGGGAGGCTGAGGCTGGAGAAGTGCTTGAGCCCGAGAAGCAGAAGTTGCAGTGAGCTTAGATCTTGCTACTGAACTCCAGCCTGGGCAACAGAGTGAAACCCTGTCTCTTGAAAGAAAAAACAAAAGAAAAAGAAAAGGAAAAGAAAAAAGAGAAGAGGAGAGGAGAGGAGAGGAAGAAAGAGGAAACAATCCCATTTACACCAGCATCAAAAATAATGAAATACTTAGGAATAACGTAACATAGTATAAAAGTTATACTCAGATACAAAATATTGTTGAGAGAAATTGAAGAAGGCACAAATAAATGGAAAGACATCTCACTCATGGATAGAAACAAAAATAATTAATGGAAATATAGCTGATACAGTAGAAAGATAAGATGGCAATATTCCCCAAACTGATCTACAGATTCAACACAATCCTGATCAAAATTCTAGCTGGTTTATTTGTAGAAATGGCCACACTGATCCTAGGATTCATATGAAAATTCAAAGGACCCAGAATAGCCAAAAAATCTTGAAAAAGAACAAAAAATAGGGGATTCACACTTCACAATTTCAAAACTTACTACAAAGCTACAATAATTCAGTGTGGTACCAGCATAAGGATAGCCATATCAATCCATGGCATAGAATTGAGAGTCCAGAAAATAAACCCGTATATTTATGGTTAATTGGTTTTTAACAAGGGTGCCAAGACAGCTTAATGGGAAAAAGAAGAGTCTTTTCAACAAATGGTTTCAGGAAAGCGGATTGTCCACGTGCAAAAGAATGAAGCTGGACTCCCTCCTTATACCACATGCAAACATCAACTCAGAATGAATCATGTATGTACATGTTAGAGCTCAAAATTAGAAATTTGTTAGAAGAAAACAAACAAGTAAATCATTGTTGCCTTAGGTTAGGTAATAGTATTTTGTTGTTGTTGTTTGTTTTTTGGTTTTTAAGTTATGACACCAAAAGCGCAAGTGACAAAAGAAAACAAAAATTGTATTTTAACAAAATTTAAAACTTCTCTGCTTTAAAAGATACCATCATGAAAGTGAAAAGACAACCCACAAAATGGGAGAAAATATTTTCAAATATTTGCAAATTGTATGCTTGTTAAGGGAATCAGACAACAAGTTCAGAAATAAAAAGACATAACCCAATTTAAATATAGGAAAAGGGTCGAAATAGTCATTTCTCTAAGAAGATATACAAACATCCGACATGTACATGAAAATATACTCAACCTTACTGGTCATTAGGGAAATGCAAATTAAAACCACAATGAGATACCAGTATACACCTACTAGGATGGCTACAATCAAAAAAATTCACAATAACAAGTATTAACAAGTATGTGGAAAAATTGAAACCCACATTAATTGCTGGTGAGAATGTAAAACTGTCCAGCTATTTTGGAAAACAGTTTGGCACCTCCCTGAAATGTTAAACAGAGAATTAACGTATGACCTGGCAATTCTACTGCTAGGTTTAAATTCAAGAGATATGAAAGTATATGTCTACTCAAACTCACATCCATAGCAGTATTATTGAATAATAGCCAAAAAGTAGAAACAACCCAAATGTCTGTAACTGATGAAAGGATAAACAAAATATAATATAACCTTGCAAAGGAATAATACTCAGCAATAAAAAGAAATGAAGCCAGGTGCGGTGGCTCAGGTCTGTAATCCCAGTGCTTTGGGAGGTTGAGATGGGAGGATTGCTGGAGTCCAGGAGTTCAAGGCTGCAGTGAGCTGTGATTGCACCACTACACTCCAGCCTTGATGACAGAGTGAGACTCTGTCTCTTTAAAAAAAGTAAATAAAAAAAAATAAAAAAAAAATGAAGGACTAATATGATGATTGAACCTTGAAAACATTTTGCTAAGGGAAAGTAGCCAGTCACAAAGGATCACATATTATATGATTTTATTTGTATGTGCTGAATAGTCAAACCTATACAGATAGAATGTAGATCAGATGTTGCCAGGGGCTTGAGAGAAGAGGAAACATGAGTGACTGCTAATGGCAAGAGAGATTTTTAGGGGATGATAAAAAGGTTCTAAAATTACACAGTAAGTGAAGGTGGTACAATTCTGTGAATTTATAAAAACTATTGAATTGTGTGTGATGAATTGCTAAATCGTACAGTATATTGATTATATTTCAATAAACCTGCTCAAAAAATACAAATTCTGTTTGTTTGATGTTGTTTTTAACATCACTGTATGCCTTCTTATGCTGAAAGTCAGCATTGGAGAGGAAGAAAGCAAACTAATTCAATGCTTTTAAAGAAGCATGTTAAATACCTCACTTTAAATGATCAATCACTTGGGGGCGAAGTAACACACAAAATAAATATGGAAATAAGCGTTTTTCTCCTTCTGTTGCACACAGCATGAACACATTGACTACTATGGAAAAGAAAAAGAGAAGTCCAGCCATGTTTGGCTAAAATGTACAGTGATATTTAACAGCACCAAGAAAAATTTCAGAGCATTGGATTTGGGCACATACTGAAAAGCCCTTCGAATTACCTTTTGAGATTTGATACTTGTACTAGTCACCTCAAAGAAAGTGAGGACATAATAAGCCAGAAGGGAAATAAGAAAAGGGGCTGTTTCATATGTGACTTTGGGAAGGATTATCCCCTGGTTGGGGATACCCAGCAGCAGAAAACCATCATCAGGCTACTGCAGATCAACTTAGCTGCAGTGTACCTAGAAAGACTGGATCCAGGCTGGGTGTGGTGACTCATGTCTGTAATCTCGGCGCTTTGGGAAGCCAAGATGGGCGGATCACCTGAGGTCAGGAGTTTGAGAACAGCCTGGCCAACATGGTGAAACCCTGTCTCTACTAAAACTACAAAAATTAGCCAGGTTTCCTGAGTTCCCAGGAGCTGTCTGGTGGCCCTGGTGATGGCCCCTGAGGCTGGAGTCCCCATGGGCAGCCCAGCCTGGCTCTGTTCCCTGTCTTCTCACCCCACCCCCACTCCCTTGGTGGCCTGACTCCCACCTCCTGGTGGCCCCATCTCCCAGTTCCTCATAACATGGTTTTTACTTCTGTGGATTTAATAAAACTTCACCAGTTCAAAAAAAAAATTAGCCAGGCATGGTGGCGCACGCCTGTAGTCCCAGCTACTCGGGATGCTGAGGTGGAAGAATTGCTAGGACCTGGGAGGTGGAGGTTTTGGTGAGCAGAGATTGTTCCATTGCACTCCAGCCTAGGCGACACAGCAAGGCTTTCCCTCAAAAAAAAAAAAAAAAGACTGGATCCATTATCCATGGCCGACCTTGGTCATCTTCAACAAGATAATAAAGGAAACCTTTGTTCTAATCTTGGCTCAAAGAAAGCGATCTGTTGTGTCTCTTGTTGCATATGAAATTTCTCAAGTCCAAATAATTACCAGTGTCTTTCATTTACATGAGGCATTTCCACGGTTAATGTCCAACAAAAATCTATGTGGAGTGCCATATTTATCAGACTTGATAAATATTGAAAGTACTTATACATTTCATAATTAACAAACTGACCTTTACAGAAAAATTAACTTTCTAGTGGTGAATGTTTGTACCACATATTCCAAATTAAATAAATAAGCACTTCGGAAGATGGAACTGTGTATTTTATTTTTTAATATATTTATGTTCTCCTAACCCCATAGAACCTAGAATAAGGTCAATCTATATTTACTTAAAAAGTTGGAAAGAAATGGTACAGGAAGGATCAGGACAATAGACTTCCAAAAACATAGAAATGAAATGATATTAATAGAAGACACACCCAAGGGACATATCACCATGCTTATTGAGATACTGTGGTCCCTGGCAGCCTGAGGCTCTTTGCTTAGAAGACAAGCATTTGTTTATAAAGTTCAACATGGTAGGTGAGTGACATTATTTGTGGAACAAAAAACTTCCAAATGGTATAATTTAGTATTGCTTTATAACATCACTTGTCAAATTTGTTTTCTTCAGCCTGAAGAATTTCTAATTTAAATTTGTTGGCATCTTGTTACATCTGCCTGAGAAGTCTTTGGGCTAATCACAAATTTAGACAGAGCTGAATTCTTCAATCTGTCTTCTTTTGTGGTTTTGTGATCCTAGAAGGCTCTCGGGGGTAAAGATCCAGAAGTATCCCAGAATATCCCAATAGATACAAATAAAATAAACTAAATGAAAAATGTCAAATTAGCTGGACGTGCCGGCAGGCACCTGTAATCCCAGTTACTCGGGAGGCTGAGGCAGGAGAATTGCTTGAACCTAGGAGGCAGACGTTGCCTGGGTGAAACAGTGAGACTCTGTCTCAAAAAAAAAAGTATATTTTTTATCATTTAAAAACTGTCAATCAGAAAAACTTCCCATTTCCTTTTAAAATGTGAGATTGGCCTCACTGTGTATATTGTCTAATTTGTTTGATCATCATGCAGACAACCAAGTCAAATACTTTAAGGCAAAGCAAAACAGAAAATGTTAAAAGTCCTTTCTGGGAAGCAACCAAGCTTGAATGGACCCTGGATATATGGCCTAGCCACTACCCTATATGTATAGTTTCCTAGGGTTTTCAGTTACTCAGAAAGGCCCACATGCTTCCGCACTGCAATGCGCAAAGCTCTCTCATGCCTCTGCCATCTGCTCCTGACCCTGCACCCTGACCCACAAGCAGATATGAGGAGAAAGCATATTAGAAATCAAATCATGTCTGTTCTGCTCCCAAAACAGTGCCAAGATAACACCAGGAGAGAACGACATGTGAGAGAAATTTGAGCCTAAGATTTATTTGGGCCAGATTACCTGGCTGGTGAAGATGGGCAGTTCATCATTTCAAATTTTATTCAAAACAAATCAAGAATTGCCATTCAATATTGATTTCATTTATTCTGCACTGAATCCACACTTACTGAGAGAACTATTCCAGGTGTAGTCCTTGTTTTCATCTTCCAGTTTGTTTGTGGAGATGGGGATGGATGTAGGAATGAACGATGTCAACATCTGGCACAGGTGCTAAAGTAATAGGATACTACATTGGGGGTTCAAAGAATGAAGATGCTTTCAACTCAATCTTCAACTTCACGCCTGTCTACTAAAGGAGTCCCCAGGCCGGGCACAGCGGCTCACGCCTGTAATCCTAGCACTTTGGGAGGCCGAGGCAGGCAGATCACAAGGTCAGGAAATCGAGACCAGCCTGGCCAACATGGTGAAACCCCATCTCTACTAAAATACAAAAAATTAGCTGGGCACGGTGGTGCACGCCTGTAGTCCCAGCTACTTGGGAGGCTGAGGCAGGGGAATTGCTTGAACCCGGAAGGCGGAGGTTGCAGTGAGCCGAGATCACACCACTGCATTCCAGCCTGGGTGATAGAGTGAGACTCTGTCTCAAAAAAAAAAAAAAAAAAAAGGACTCCCAGTTTGGCTGCAGGTAAGTAGGTAAGCAGAGTGCTTTGTTCCTACCACATTAAGGAGTGGCAGATGGGATGGATGGTCGGCCTATCTTGCTGAAAACATCTCAAGTACACTGCAGAAGAAAAACACACACTGGGCTTCTGATTTGTCAAACATGTTCCAGGGTTTGTTTGATGTGGCAAGAATATACATTGTCAGGGTAGGGGGATCCCCTGCGTGACACACAGCCTCCAGGATTCAATTTCCATTCCAGTAAGCACCACTTACAAAGGTGAAAGAAGTTTTAGGTTTATTCCCTAAGTAATATTGCTAATGACCACTGACAGTGAACGTCAAATGTCTCAGACTCAGTAATTGCAGAAAAATGGTAAACCAAACTCTGAGGCTCTGCTCTCAAGTCTTAAGGAAGGGCAAGGAAACTCTGGAGGGCTCCAAAAATGCAGAGATGGAGAGCAGGTACCTGTGTGTCTGGTACCCAGGTGTATGTGCACCTGGAGGGGGGTGCAGGGGCCCCCTATTGATTGCCCTCCATATTCACTTTAATGAAGAGGGAGTTTCCATATCATGGCAGGGCTTTCCCAGGATAAGCCCCTCAGCCTCACAGTGAAGAGAGATGGTCTACTGTATCAAGTATGATTCATTCTATTCTTTAGGGTTTATTTGTTTTGTATTTTTGAGACAGGGTCTCACTCTGTCACCCAGGCTGGAGAGCAGTGGTGCGATCTTGGCTGACTGCAGCCTCCACTTCCAGGGTTCAAGGCATGCGCCACCATGCCCGGCTAATTTTTGTATTTTTTGTAGAGACGGGGTTTCACCATGTTGACCAGGCTGGTCTCGAACTCCTGACCTTGAGTGATCCGCCCACATTGGCCTCCCAAAGTTATGGGATTGCAGGCATGAGGCACTGCACCCGGCCTAGGTGGTTGGTTTTGTTTGTTTTTAGAAAAACACAGTATTTTAAAAAATCTGTTGGAATTGTACTATAGTTATGCAAGATTTTAACATTGGCAGAGGAGGAGTGAAGGATACATAGAGCTTCCCTGCACATTTCTTTGCAACTTCCTCTGAATCTATAATTAGTTCAAAGCAAAAACTTGAAAAATATCTGTTGGTACATTAGGTATAAAGTAAATAAATAAATAAATAATAAAACAATCTCCCTTTATTTAAAAGAGCCAGATGCGTATTTGTCTGGGGTGTGTGTTACCTTAGATAATGTTTTGATACAACTCTATTATATAACATCTTCTGCTCATTTATACAATTATGTATTTGCTTACTGAATTTCTTCATTCACTGAATTTTTAAAAAATGTTTCTTTCAGAGACAGGTCTTGCTCTGTTACTCAGGCTGAATTCGGACTCCTGTGCTCATTCTATCCTCCTGCTTCATCCTCTCAAATAGCTTGGACTACAGGTGAGCACTACTGTGCCCAGCTCATTTACTGAATATTAATTGAGCACCTATTACATGTCAGAGCATTACTGTAGGTGCTGGGCACGGATTTTGTCCTCATGATTCTTATAGTTTAATAGGGAAGACAGCTATTTTTTTAAATCTCGAAATGCATAATTGTCATTGTGACGAATACTTTGAAAGAGAGTTGTGTGGTGGAACAATCAGAGTTTCCTCTGGCATTTTTATAAGAACTAAATGAGATAGATACCCTATGTGAAATGCTTTTAAACCATTAAGTTCTTTACAAATATTGGTGGTCATTAATATTTGGCGCAAACATGGAAGTTTGTTTTCTTTTAAATTCAGTCTTTCCAAAAGGGTCCCAATTACTAGCAGTTTTTACTAGTCTCATCCCTCTCTCTGGCTGGACATCATTCTCCTACCTTCTGCCCTGGGAAAACCAGATGCCACCTGCCCACACACCCAGGCACATGCAGTCTCCACATCCACACACCCTGAAACATGCATTACACAGAAGTATAACTTGGCGCAGGCTCCTGAAAAGTTGGCCCCAGATTCTCTGAGCAGCTGGCTTCCCTCACAGATTATTTCAGGACAGTCAGGAAGCCTGATTCTTTGGAGGGCCTGCTAGCATGGCATTGGGGATGATCCAAATGCTTTTGAGGAATTGCCAAGTTCAATTTTCAAAGAGCAGTGCATCTACTGACACCAGCGTCTATTCCTAAAGGAGAAACTTGACCTACTTTTCTGTCCCAGAAATCCCTTGGGGTCTTCAGCTTGGCCAGAGCCTCTCACATTTTAAGCACAGTAATGGTTCTCAACACCTATGCTCAGAGGCATGAGGTAGACATCTGGATTGTCATGCAGGGACCCAGATTTTGAGGAATGGGGGGTGGGAACGTCAGTGGAGAAAGACACATCTGACAGAGAACCCTTGGAGCCAAGTCATTAGACAAGAGCCATAAGAGTGAAGAACCTTGGGGTTCAGTAGGATGTTTTGGAGATGCAAACAACTCACCTTGTGTGCAACTTCATGTTGGGGGTGGGAGAAGCTGAAGATGAACTTAAAATAAGGCCAAAAATGGCGATGAGAGAACAGGAGTGAAATAGAAGATGGAGTGCAGGTGGAGGATGATAAATTTGGTACTACTGAGCTTGAAGTGCTGGACACCATCAGTGTCCAGAATACAGTTGGCAAATCATGCCTGGAACCTTGAGACAGGGTTGAGATGAGATGCCATGTGAACAAAAGAGGCCATTGAAGTGATAGGAGCAGTCAAGCTAGTTGGTGCAGTAAGTTTCCAGCTCTACTGTTTCTCCCAAGCCCAGCTCTTGTGTTGCAGATTGATCCATTGCCACATCCTTGCTCCCTGCATCTCCATCCAGTTCCTGTACATTGCTGGCTTCCATAACATCTATTTCCATACTCTGTTTGATGCAGAGACAGAGATACAACCTGCCATGGCTGACTTTTAATAAGGTATTGAACTCCCCTAGCCTCAGTTTCTCATCTGGAAATGGGGATAATAGCAGCTCCTGCCTCACAATGCTGTTGGCTGCCTCCAAGTCTTTAACACGGTATTAGTTAGTGCTCAACAAATGTTACTATTATTAATAGTTGGAAAGGAGGAGAGATGGAATATGCATAATGAAAAAGTGATTGGCCAGGCATGGTGGCTCATGCCAGTGATTCCAGCACCTTGGGAGACTAAGGCAGGTGGATTGCTTGAGCTCAGGAGTTCGAGACCAGCTTGGGCAAAATGACAAAACCCTACAAAATAATAATAATAATAATAAAGATACAAAAATTAGCCTGGCATGGTGGTATCCACCTGTAGTCCTAGCTACTTAGGAGGCTGACGCGGGAGGACAGCTTGAGCCCCGGAGGTAGAGGTTATGGTAAAC
Source organism: Homo sapiens (assembly GCF_000001405.40). Taxonomy (NCBI): domain Eukaryota; kingdom Metazoa; phylum Chordata; class Mammalia; order Primates; family Hominidae; genus Homo; species Homo sapiens. Next base: position 16,602,587 of record NC_000020.11, read on the forward strand.
CCAGATTGCACCACTGCACTCCAGCCTGAGCAGCCAGACCCTGTCTCAAAAAAGAAAAAGTGATTGGCTACTTTTATTCCAATGTTACATAAAAGTAGCAGTTTGGTCTAGATTGTTAACTGTTGACCAGTAAAATTCATGATGCCACAAATACAAAAGCACAAGTACGGCATTTGCATATATCCATATATGTATGTAGTCACACAAGTGTGTGAACAGACACATGCATATACACATATGTATTATATATACATATATATGCCTCAGTTCTTCAGAAAAACATCACTCTCACTGTTTTTCTTTAGGGCACTTGCTATAATGACAATTTTGCCTCTTTGTGTGTGATTATTTGTGATGATTTGTCTTTCACTAGATTGTCAGCACTACCATGGCATGGGAAATGTGTGTAGTTATGCAGCACCATAGCTGCTGCATAGCACACAGTAGGAGTGCAATGACAGCTTGATGGATGGAGAGAGAGGGTGGTAATGAGTAGAGAATGGCATCGGAACATTAGCTGCAAATAAAGCCTTATCTAGACAAATATTATTTCATCATCAAATAATTTGAGGGAAAAGTGGGTTTGTTTATTTACCTGATTCCCTGACTATTAAAATGAGTGATGAATAAATCAGAATGGACTTCTAAATTATAACTATGTGCTGTAAAATCTATAAACAAAAACAAAAAACACAATAATTTCCCTCAGCCCTGTTTCTTTCTAATTTAATGTGAGCTAATTCTTTGAGAGGGGGTGTTAAAATCAACCAACTCAGCCTGTAAGTATTTACTGAGTGTCAATTATGCGTATGACATTACACTAGCACTGAGTGAAACTGGCAAGACATGTGACCCCAAAGGAGCTATAATGTTCTAAGAGGTACAGACATATTTTGAAAATTAGCATTTGCAATAACTGACATTTATTGAATTCCATATTTCAAACACTGTTTTAAGTACTTTTCAAAGCTGAGCTCTATTAAACCTCACAACTCTCTGAAGTAGGCATAAATTATTACCGTTTTATATTGAAGAAATTAAGGCACAGAGACACTAAGTTTCTAGCCCAAGATCACACAGCTAGTCAGAGGGCCAGCTCTCAGGAGCCTATGCTGTTTACCACCACTCTTCATTCTCTCTCAGAAGAGCAGCTGAAGGTGGGAGCTGGAGGCTTGTTCAAAAATTAAGTATACAAGCTGGGCATGGTAGCTTATGCCTGTAATCCCAGCACATTGGGAGGCCAGGGCAGGAGGATCGCTTGAGGCCAGGAGTTTGAGAATAGATTGGGGAAAATAGAGAGACTTCCTTTATACAAAAAAAAAAAAATTAGCAGACTGTAGTGGCAATGCCTGTAGTCACAGCTCCTAGGGATGCTGAGACTGGAGGATCACTTGAGGCCAGAAGTTCTAGACCAGCCTGGGCAACACAATGAGACTCTCTCTACAAAACAAAACAAAAAAAGCATAAAGAATTCAGCTCACCTTTTTTGTAGTTTTTTTTTTTTTAGTAGAAATTAAAATGATCTACTTTTTTTTTTTTTTAAAGAAATTGGCCAGCCTTCTTGGAGGCTCTGAAAGTTAGTCATTTCAGGGAATTTGAACATACAACGGAACATTGGCCCAAGAATATTTTAAAAATTGTTTCTCATTATATCAATAATAATCAGCTGCAAACTGATCCCTTACAACGTATATGGGTTTCATTTTCTGGCACTGAGGGTGACCATATCCCAATGAGTCATTCTAAAACTAAAGAATAACATAATTGACATAGCCAAAGAATTAAATGTCTCATTATTGACTGAGGTATAGACGTCTCCAAAATCAGCTTGGAAGTCTACAAAGAGTTCTTGACCATTTACACAGTTATTTGGAGTTTCCGTGTAACTGTTTATTAGCTAGGATACAAAATAAAAGGCATTTATTTGCAACTTATTGTGAAATATCGGTGTGCCATCTTACCTTTCTCAGCATACCTGAAGTTCTACTATTTCTTCCTCTGGAATCATCAAATATAATTTGAAGTAACCTCACCAAGCCACTCTAATATATGTTATTTTTTCAGGAGAAAGTGATCAAGTGGTTTCCTTGATATTTTAACCATACTGTTCCCTCTGCATGAAAGGTCTTTCCTTACTTTATCTGGCAACCTCCTTCTCATTTTAGCAAATGCTTGTGCAATTATTACTTTACCAAAAAAAATTACATTTCCTCCTTTCTGATCTAACTCTTTCTGATCGCTTGTGTCAGTTAGGGATTGATTTTGGTGACAGACACCACCAAATATAATAGACATGTATTTTACTGTCTTATAACTTGACATTCAAAAGGCAGGGTAGGCATGTTGGCTCCACAATGTCTCCCAGGACCTGGTATTCTTTAATTTTTCTGCTCCCTCATCCTTAATGTGTAGCTTTCCTTCTCAGGATTGCCTCATGGTCTCAAGATGGCTACTGGAGCTCCAACTCTATCATCTGCATTCCAGGCAGGGAGAATAAAGAAGAGGAGAAGGGGAAAGAGACACTTTCTAGAAGAGTATACTATCCTATGAAGATTCTTTAAAGTTTATAAAATAACTTTCCCAAAGGCTCATCCAATGACTTCTCCTTTCTTCTCATTGGACACACATCTTTTATGGAGGCCAGGAAAAGTAGATTTTAAAAAATCTGAGTTAACTGATAACATAGGGATTCTGTTACTAGGAAGGTAAAAATGGAACGTAGTTAGACAACTAGCAAGCTCTGCTTTCTCCCAAACTGTGGTGGTTTCAAATATGTCTACAAATTCTTGGACACATCCCCATTAAGAGGTGGCATCTGTGTGCCACCCTTGAAATCTGGCCTGGCCTTAGTGACTATTACAACAAATGGAATACAGAGGGATGACACTGCCAGACTTCCGAGGTTAGGTCACAAAAGGCCATGCAACGTGCACGTGCTTCTACTGGAACACTAACTGTCTTGATGTCCTTTCTGGGATGTTCTCTTTTGAGACTCAGCTTCTATGTTATGAGAAGCTCAGGCCACATTGAAAGGCTATGTGTAGGTTGTCAGTCCCAGGTGAACTCAGTTTTTGAGTCATCCCAGCCCAGGTGCTTGACATGTCAGTGAAGGAGCCTCCAGATGACTCCAGTCCCCAGCCATGACATCAGCCTCAGCCTTAGTGACTTTTGTGATGTTGAGAACCAGAGATAAGCCATTCTCACTGCACACTGCCTGAATCCCCAACCCACAGAATCTGTGAGTTTAACACAATGGCTGTTTTAAGCAACAAAGATTTGTTATGAAGTGATTGTAACTGGAACACATCCATCCTCCAGAAAAGAGGCAATTGCTTCCAAATGTTTCCATCCCACTCTAGGTCAGCCTCTACACTTTCTGCAATGTCTATTACCTAGGAAATGATGGCTCTTGATAAATGTTTCTTCAATGAATGGGCTACATACAGGACTCACATTTTGTTCTGCTTACTTGTTAACATGCCCATCTTGCAGTCTCTGCTAGACTGCAAATGCAAAGGCAGGAACTATCTCTAATGGCACATAGTGGGCTCTCAATAAAATCGAGAAGTTGAGCTGAATTTACAATGGATGACAAGGATGGATTTAGCAACTCACTGTAACGCTGACTGCAAAAAAGTTACATTTTAATTTTAGAGGAAAGCAAATAGGTTGTTCAAGTAATTTAAACCCATGGGGAAAAGCAAATTGGGACAAAGGCATGCCAATCACAATTCAGTAACCTACACAACCTGGCCTTATAGCCCAGACCATATCATCTTCTGGACCTGACCAATAGGCCCTGCCTGGGCACACTTACTCTTGGAGGTGTCTGGCCCTGGAGAAGAGGGAAAGATGTGTTTGGTGGCCTGGGCTCACTTTCCTTTGGCCTTCAAGTCAACAAGTTCTCCAGTAAGTACAACCAAGAGATGCTGGGTACACATCACGTACTCAAGACTGTGGCTTGGTGTCTGTGGTTATAGAAGAATGCTGGAGCACAACAACGTGGCGCATGGCCTCTCAATGGTCCAGGTCCAGTGCTGCTGGGCATACAATTTTCAATGCCTGAAATCCATGACATGTTTATCAGAAAGAGTATGCTAGTTTATGCTGCAATAACAAACATCCCCCAAATATCAGAGGCTTAATTCAACAAAATTTATTTCTTACTTCCCTACAGGCCTAGCATAGATCAGTATAGGGATTGTGCTCTTTTTGGCTACTCAGAGATCCAGACTGAGGGAGGTTCCATATACTGGTTCTCAAAGCTTCCACCAGAAGTGACTCATGTCATTTCCATTTCCATTATATTGGCCAAAGTGGGTCACATGGTCACCCTGATTTCACTGGGATGGAGAAATTCAGCCTACCATGTGGCTAGAAGAAGTTGGAACATGGCAAGTGAATGAATGGCTGTTCAAGGTGTGTGCATGCCTCTGCCCCTGATGAAATGCAAATATTCTTGGAACAAGGAGTCCACATTATGCATCAACTGCCATTAATAACCTCATGTGGTTATTATACCCTGTTTTTCTTGAGAAAAGTCTTGATGTGATCAGAAAAGATATCCGTGGAGACCAGAAGAGACAGTAAGCGACTCAGCTCCAGAAAACAGAAAGATCAATTTAGGAGGGGAGAGACAATGGCTTTTCACACTGTCTAGTCCTAATTCTGTCCCTAAGCAGCTAGAAGTTCTTGGACACAACCTTCAACTTCTCAGGGCCTTGGCTCCTAGTAACGTTCTGAGGCTACTGGAGGATATTATTACTAAGCCAGAGGTCACTTCACCAACATATTAAATAATCACACTCTCACAGACAAGGAAACTCACACATGGACAGACAGAGAAAGAGAGACAGGAAGAGGAGAGAAAGAATATAACAAAGCGCTAGCATGAATGCAAGTAGAGAGAAAGTCAATGTTTTAAAGGCAACGAGACGTTGTCTTCTGAGTCTCCCCAGCTCACCACTCCCTACAAGGCTCTCAGTCCTACGGGATTTACATTGGGGTCTTTCCAAATGGCAGGCTAGGTCTCAAAACATTTCCAGTGTCAATTTGAGAAAGAACAAATATTCATACCAGATAGAGAGGGAAAGAACCTGCTCTCTTTTACATCTAGAGCTGCCCTTGAAAATGTGAGTTTATTAACCTCGAAAGAGGCCGGGGAAAGTAGAAAGGGCTCTGAGGACAAAGTTCAGCCAAGAGAGACGTTGGGGGCAGGTTTTATTGGTCATATAACCTCTTCCTGCGGGAATTTTATGAGGCGCTGTCAGGCAGCAGAAGCCGCCTGACTGCTGGGTATCGGAGGGGCTAGGTTTGAAAGCATATTTTCTGTAGGGTCTTGATGTATTTTTAAGAAGGCAGGCAGGAATTATGTATTCCTCCTGGTATAGGATTTCTCATTTTTCTTCCAGCAGAAGTGGGAATGGATTGCTCTGAGATTTGCAAGCTTCCTGTGCATTCGGGAGGGTGGCAGTTAGAATGACAGTAATGACTTAGGTCTCCTCTGAGGGTGGTTCCTTCATTACTGGGCCCCTCCACTGCTCCCCTTCCCCCTCTGTTAGTCACAGCTGTACACCCTGCAGCTAGCCTGTCTCTTTCTGGGACAGCCTGTCAGCCACACCTGCTACTGCCCCAAATGGGGCACTAGAGACTGTGGGGCAAACCCTACAGGATTCCTTTCTCCTTTTACCCTGGCAGCACATGTGCATACACACATCTTGTACACGCAGACATACAAGAGAACTTGCATTTCAAAGAACACTGTGAGCAATTTGAGAAATGAATAGTGAATCCTGAAAAGGGAGGTGAGGAAATGGGGAGAGCCAGCCCCACTCACTTCTATTTGGGGAAGGGCAAGGAGCCAAGGTTGTTGGTTAATCACATGTACCAGGACAGCAAAGCAAAGCAAAGGACTGATTTTCATAATCTACACACAAGACTCAAATCTTTACCACATTTCCTTAAAAAACAAATCTGAAAGTGGCCATCTGCCACTCTACGCAGCATTGTGGAAAGAATCCCACAAATGTCACATTGAGCAAAAGACAGCAGACACAAATGAGTACTATATACACTTATTTATGTTAAAAAAAAAAAGGGAGGGTGCAAAATTCATGAGTGGCTAGAAAAAGTCATGAGGGCCTTCTGTGGGCTGGTCGTGTCCTGGTTCTTGATCTGGGTGCCAGTTATGTGAAAGTATTAAATTTGTGAAAATGCATCCCTTTTCTGCATAAAACTACAACAAAAATTTGATCATGCCTCTCCCCTGCTTCAAGGAGTTCCTTGGCTGGCCATTGTCTGTAATGACAAATGTCACTCCTCCATGAAACCTTCCTTGACCTCCTTCATCTTTCCCTACTTAGTTATAACACAGGCTGATTACCTGGCAATGTTTGATCCGTGTATTTCCTCATTAAAACATGAATATCTGTAGGGCAGTGCCTGGGTCTTACTCATCTTTTGGGCCCAGGTACCTGGTACAGTACGTGGCGTATAGAAGACACCCTATAGATGCTTGATAAATAATAGATAATTGAATGAATGATGCGCAACTCCATAGTCCGTTCTTGTTAGAGCCCCAGATCATCTTGGCGCTAGCAGCATGGGTCACGGGCATTCCAGGACTCATGGTGCTTTTGGAAAGGGAAGTGTGTTAGGAGGCAGCTTCCTGTGTTCACAGCTCCCACAGCTTGACCCACCACTCACCCCTGGACTCAGTCTGACCTCTGACCCCACCACTCCACTAAAAGATCTTTAGCTTAGGTCTATAACGACTTTCTAAATGTCAAATCCAGCAGACTTTTCTTGAGCGTTATTATGCGTGAGTTCTTTGAGACATCTGATATTGTTGAGCACTCATTTTCTTAAAACTTTGTCCTTTGCTGGCTTCTCAGACAATACTCTCTTATTCCTCCTCCCTGAAAGTTTCTCCCCAGACTTGTCTACTGGCTCCTTGTTCTCTGCTCCCATGCACTCAGGCCGGAGGCCATCGTCTCTTCTCTCTTCTCACTCTCCTACACCCACCTCCCATATGCTGAAGTCTCCCAGCTCTGGGATGCTGAGATCCAATGTCTTACTGAGGAGCTCCTTGTGGTTGCCCCACAGATGTCCCAAGACACAATATCTGACCCTGTACTTCTCTTTTTTCTCTTCCTAACCTACTCCTTTTCTTTTCTGAAGACACTAGTTTTGGGAAACAGTGTCACCATCCACCTCTTCACCCAAGCCGTAAACCTGGAGCCATCCTAGATGCTTCCCCAGCCCTCACCATCCTAACAAATCAGCTCCAAGTCCTGTAGATGCTTCCTGCTTGACATCTCACCTGCAGGTTGCCTCTTCCTCACTCTCATTCCAATTGCCTTGATGCTGGCTCCTGACATCTGTAACTCCAAGTTTTGCAGTAATCTTCTAGTCTTTCCCCATTTCTAGTGTTCCACTTTTCTAGCCATGTTTTATTCTGGGTCAGCAGGATCTTCCTAAAATGCAAATCAGATCATGTCACTTCTCTGCCTCAAATTCTTGCCTACAGATTAGTTGCAAAGTCCTAACACTGACCACAAAGGCCTTACATGATCTGGCCTGGTCTGTGATTTCCTCTCTAGCTTTCTCTCCCACCACCACCCACTTTGCCCTCAGCATTCAAGAACATATTCTTCTTCTTTTAAAAATCCAGGATGTGCTGGGCACAGTGGCTCACACCTGTAATCCCAATACTTTGGGAGGCTGAGGTGGGTGGATCACCTGAGGTCAGGAGTTCGAGACCAGCCTGACCAATAAGGTGAAACTTTGTCTCTACTAAAAATACAAAAATTAGCTGGACATGGTGGCGTGCGCCTGTAGTCCCAGCTACTTGGGAGGCTGAGACAGGAGAATCACTTGAACCGAGAGGCGGAGGTTGCAGAGTGCCAAGATCACGCCACTGCACTCCAGCCTGGGAGACAGAGTGAGACTCCATCTCAAAAAACAAAACAAAACAAAACAAAAAAATCCAGGATGTTTGGTGCCGCTGTGCCTTTGCCCTTCCTCCAAGTATTCCACCTGCCTAGAATGTCACCCTGCAAGCCACTCGCCCCAGGCCTGGGTTCCCTGCCTAACCCCTGCCTACCTTATCTTTCTAGAGACAACTCAGGCTCACCTCTTCCTGGATGCTTTTCTCAAGCCCCTATTCCTGGGTGGACCTGGCCATGCCTCCTCTGAACTCCAGTGTCTCTGTACACGCCTCTCCCGCAGCACAGGGAGGAGTTTCATCTTCCCCTTCTGATCCTTGGTGGCCATGATAATGTCTTATTTGTGCCTTTGTGTGTATAGTGACCAGCAGAGGGGCACCCAGTCAAATGCCTGTGAAATGTTGTTATTGAATGAATTACCCAGTAACTTTAGTTCTCATGGAGGAAAAGGGAAACAGAACAGAATGGCAAACCCAAAGTCTGAAGGAGAAAACCCACAAATACTGCAATATGACCTATGCAATGGAGAACCATTTTTTTCCCTGCTGCTTGGTAATGGCCTCTTATTTTTCCTTTGGGAAACCAGCCTCGCACCCTTGCATGGAGTATTGCTAGGCTCTCAGGAGTGGGTCAACCAAACCTCTGGAAACTTCAATGAAGTTTTGGTCCTTGTAAGCAAGGACCAAAAATGGTTTCTTCTGTATGGAATCTCAAGACTATGTGAATTCCTGTCCTTTCTGAAACAGGTCAGATTTTTTTTCTATTTTGTGGACACTTAAATCCCTCTAATAAATTATATTTCTCCCTTCCGTGGTCTGGGATGTATTTCTCTGGCTTGCACTTAAAGGACCTTTACAGATAAAACTGTGAAAGTCATCACAATCTTGATTTCTGCTCCCAGTCCCGCCCCAGCTGCTGCCTTCCCAGAAGTCATCCTTCAGGTGTGGTTCTGTCTCAGTCAGCCCCAGTGACTTGCCTGCGGCTGACTTCTGTGAATTCAGGCTTCCATTGTCTACCTGGCTATGACTGTCATAGGGAAGCTGTTAGGGCAGCAGAGGTGCTGATCATTTAGTGACAGGTGCAATCGTTACTACTTCTTTCTAGCATGGGTGTTGTCTGACTTGGTGGGAGTGAGCAGGAAGGGAAGATGGTGGTGTTGGGGTTGGAACTACAGAATGGATGAAGTGAGAGGAGGGCAGAGGAGTCACAAGGAAGGACAAAGTAGTCAAAGTATAAAAACATCTCAACTACCATTTGGGGCCAAGGTTGAGTCTCTTATGGATTTTGCTTGGAGGACACTTTGGCCAGCTGTTTTTATGTTACCAGAAGTGGGAAGATTAATACATGGGTATTGGTCCAGATGGAAACAGGGCATATCTGGCTTCTGCATACTTATCTTCCAAAAGCTCATTTATAAAGCAGTTGTGTGGAACTCGGTATGTGTGTTCTCATGGAAGCAAAGTAATAAAGGGTGGCCATAAAAGCTCAAGTTAAGCCGGATCACAGCCGGGCCACTCCACATGCGGAGGCTCCATCTACCACGGTGAGGAGAGCTGGCCTGGAGATAGAGCTGATGCTGGACAAGCCGGGCTTAGTGATGGAGGGAGGAGACTGAGGCATCATTTGAGCCCCTGAATCTGTCTGTGCCTGCAGCACCTCTTACAAAGTTCCTGGTGATGCAGTCCCAGCCTCAGTAGACTCTCTTGTCCAAAATCTTCCTTGCACAACCACCACAAGCACCACAAACTACTCCTCTTTCCCTCTTTAGAATCCCAATGTCACATATTGCCTGTGGCTCTCAACTCAAATCTTAAAATGGACAGAGTTAAGTACCTTGCCCTTCTCAATCAGATGCCACCAGAAAGGAAAAATGAATGAAATGCAGTCACCATCCTTAGCTCAAAGCCTGGTGAGAGGGATAGAACAAATACAACTGATTGATGAAGCACAGAGAGGAAAAGCAACTTGGCCAAAGACACACGGCTCATTATCATGGGGTTTGAGTTCAAACCCAGACAGTCTGATTCCAGAGCCTGGCAAATTTGACTGCTGCTCATATTATCTCTCTTTCAACTGTGAAAGATGTATTCATAGGCATTTTTCTCAAGTTTTTATTTGAAAAGGCTTTGCCCAATGGCCCACAAAGACCTGGGGTGAAGGCAGGAGCTGGAATGGGTTTGTCCTTACCCAAATTTATCCTTCACTGGCCTGATGCTGCATGGTGGTTCCTGGGGATAACTGTTCCTCTGGTCCAAAGTATCACAATCTAAACAGATTTGCAGATGTTCAGCTTCCGTTTTGCCTTTATCAAGTTCAACTGACAGTCCAGTGGGACTGGTTGCATTTGTGCCATGCACTCCAGCCCTCTCCCTCCCACTCCCCACCCCAGCATGTTTCCCTGAGGAACTGGGAGAAGCTGCAGCTGTTGCCTCTGGTTTCCTTCAGCTCCTGCCACAGCAGCAGTTCTTCAAAATTTCATTACTTGTCTATATTTTCAGTAAAGTCACTCAACACTCACCGTTGTCCTGCTTTCCCCAGAGCATGTCACCTTCAGTCTTCAAGCACCAGATAATTAAGTTGCTAGCAAGGTGCTGCAGAGAGGGAAGCCATGCTGGAAATCCCAGGCTGGCAGAAACCTGGAGTGGAACTCTCTTCTTAGGACTTCATTTCCATGGCCAGAAGGAAAGCAGCCTTCCCTAAATTGCACCTGCCTCAAAGCTCTATTGCCTTGACCTCAATTAAAAAAGAAATTACGACAACATCCTTTAAAGAATGCCACTAACAGCCTCTTGGCCTTCTACGGGATACAGCAGCCAATTTGCTGGTCTGTCTCTATAGAAATTGTTTCTCCACTGTGTGGAGAAAATAAAATCCAAGATGGAGATGGTTATGTAAGAGGTATCTAAATGGGATCTGCGGGGCATAAGGAGTTGGATCCCAGTCATGTGCACACCCAGATGAAATCTGACTTGTTGAACTGGGCCAAATTGTAACACCAACTGCATTTGACTTGTACTGTTTATACTGGGCCTGATCACCAGCTTCCTGGAAAGACAGCTAGGCCAAACAAGACTGAAAGACATCCTAAGCTGTTAACCAGCCATCATCAATCATGCACTATATGAAAACCTTCCAGGTATGTAAACTTACAGTAAACCTTTATAAGCCCCTGCCCAACCTTGCCTGATGGAGCCGCTTGCTAGATCTGTGTGTCCTGAATTGCAATTCTTAAGACCCTGATGAAAACACCTTTTGTTTGTTTGTTTTACTGCAGTGTTGGTTTTGTTTCTTTTTAGCTGACAACTGTCTCAACAACAGATTTCTTTTACCCATGTGATTGCTACTTAAAATGGGGTCAATGCCCACATCCCCTGGCAGCTTATTAGAAATGTAAAGTCTCCACCCCCATCCCAGATCTTCTGAATCAGAATCTTCAGTTTAAGAAGCTCCCCAAGTGATGTACCTTTAAGTTAGAAAAACACAGATCTAGACCAGTGGTTCTCAAACTTTCCTGAGCATTCAAGTCCCTGGGGGGCTTGTTAAAACCCGGATAGCTGGGCCTCACTCCAGGGTTTCTGATTCTTTTGATCTGGAGGGAGGCCCGAGAATTTGCATTTCTAACCAGTTCCGAGATGACGTAGACATTACTTGCTGAGAACCACACGTTGAACATCCCCAAGATAGATCATCACTTCAGAAACCGTGATGAAAGCTCTTTCTTCCTTCATTTTCAATCCATTGCAGACTGATTCTTTTGTAAAATATAATAAACATAAATTATAAAAAAATAGAAAAGACATGAAACAAAGCCCTGATTGATTAACGTTATTGTTAGATTCAACAGACATAAAATTACTGTCAAATTGCTGTAAGAGTTTCTAAACATTTACTCAATTTCTGAACTTATCTAACACAGACCCGTGACAAAGAGTTTGGAGATCTTGCTTTGAGTAGCACTGGTCACAGCAGCAACTCTAAAGTACAGTAGGGATACCCCTGGGGAACTCCAAGACCCCTTTGGGGGTCCACAAGGTTGAAATAATGTTCGTAATGATGCTAACATGTTAGTATTATTATGTATGGTAGAGTTTTCCAGAGGCTACATGTAATGCAAAGGATTGGACTGCTTTAAATGCAGAAGCAGATGACAGAATACCATCAGTTGTCTTCTTTCAAGCCCGACATTAAGGAGGTTTGCAAAAAATATAAAACAGGCTGAGTGTGGGGGCTCACACCTATAATCTCAGCACTTTGGGAGGCTGAGGAGGGAGGCTTACCTGAGACCATGAGTTTGAGACCAGCCTGGGCAACACAGCGAGACCTCCATCTCCACAAAAATAAAAATATTAAAATTAGCCAGTCGTGGTAGCATGCACCTGTAGCCCCAGCTACTTGGGAGGCTGAGGTGGGAGGATCATCTGAGGCTTCAGTGAGCTATGATCGTGCCACTATACTTCAACCTAGGGGACACAGAGCAAGACCCTCTCTCTAAAAATAAATAAGGTAAAACAGTGTCACTCTTGATTATTTCTGATTTTTTTGGTTTCAGAAAATAGTTATTTTTATAAAATATAACAATGAATCTGTTACTATTATTAAATTAAATTGTTGAAGCCCCTCAGTTTTAATATCTACTGTGATAAATATGGACTGTACAGCTCACATAAACAAAAGCTCTTTATAGTTCTTGATAGTTCTGAAGGATGTAAAGGGGCCCAGAGCCCAAACCGTTTGAGAACAGCTGGTCCCAGTCATCTTCTGAGAACAATTGCACTCATCTTGCTTGCGATTTCCAAATGCCTGAGTCTGCGGAAACGCAGGCCTGAGGAATTTGGAGCAGAACTGCAGTAGGCTGCCTTCTTTCTAAGTTGAACAGTAGGAAAAAGAGGGGTGTAGAGTGTAATTACGTTTTACTTGTTGGCTGTCTGCCCATACATAGGCCAGGGTAGAGCTTGTGACTCATTCTCTATTTGTTCCATTTAGGACTCTGTTGAGCTTCAAGTTACAGATATCACCAAAACCGTGGCTTCGGCAAATTAGATTTGTTTTTCTCACATAACAAGAAATATGGAGGTCCATTTTAGTGGTTTAATAATGCCACTAGTGACTGATTCTTTCTTGATTTTTGCTCCCATATATTTAGTGTATGGTCTTCGTTTCTTATGTTCATTTCATGGTTCCATCTACTTTCCAAAGATGGGGAAGGGTGAAAGGCAAAGGTGTCTGCTGATTGAGCCAACCCCCTTCAGTGTTTCCTGCTTGCAACACATGGCCTCTTCTATCTGCAGTGAGCGCTAAGACATGATTTCTAACCAGACGTGCTGCTTGCCTAAATAAAATCAGGATTTTTTTTAACAAGAAAAAGGGGAGAATGGGTATTGGGAGGCAACTGTCAGTATCTGCCACATGCCAGAATCCTTAGAACTTAGCAGAATGCCTAGCCAAGAGTAAGGCTCAATAAATGTTGGTTGGATGAATGAGTGAGCTATATTACATGCACACAATCAGGTCTAAGGGGTCACAAAATGACATCAGAGTCAGATAGAGAATGGTAGTGGGGATAGTAATTGAACTGATCCATGCACTGAAAAAGGAGGGGACCCTTCTACCCCCTCATCACTCACTTTCTCTTAGGCCTTCCCTGAGGTCTTTATGTTCTTACCTCTGCAAGTTCTTTTCCTCCGTTGGCCCCTGGTACCTATATGGTGACCCTTAATGGAGCAGTCCTGAGGCTCTAGAAAAACTTACAGCAGCCTTATCTTCCCAAAGTGCTCTAGCCCCTAAAATACTCCTCCTTTACGCCAAAAGATTCTCTTTTCAGCTGTGTTTAAAGTGAAACAATTTTTTATTACGAAAAATTTTGAAAATGTAAACATGCAAAAAAGATAAGCAAGACTGCTATAATCTAGAGCAAACCAATCTCAATATTTTGATGCATAGCCTTCTAAAATTTTTCTCTTTCTATATATACTTTCTTGTTTACAAGTTTGGAATACATACTATACTGTTTTGTAATTCCTCAATTTACTCTATCATAAACATTTTTCCATGCCAAGTAACAAATGTGTGCTATAATTCTAAGTGTTGCTACCTTGGATTCCATTGTAATGTTTCATTTGCAATTGATCTCACAAGTTCCCACAGCTCCACAAATCAGACCTCAGGATTCAGATCCACTATGTCAGCTAGGGTCCTATGAGAAGCAAATGCCAAGATAGAAGGAGAAATGCAAAAGATTTAATGGAGGAAATTCTGTACAGGGTAAAGGGGAAGGAAATGTGAGTAGGCAGGGAGACGCTTCAGAGTAGATGCAGGCCTGACTCCTGTGAAAGGAAAAAGAGAAGGAAAGAGGTTTGGGTAGGATGAGTCTATAGACTGCAGTACAGCTCTGAGAAAGTCACAGCCAGGACAGTGAGGAGCCTCACAGCAAGAATTGTCCATTAGGAAAGTCCTGATAGAAATGGCCTGGTTCTTGGACCCTCATGGAGTTTAATCATTTGCTGGCAGCCACCTGAGTGTGAACATTACAGTGGATCTGAAGTTGCAGCAGCTGGAGGCTCTTAGCCAAGGACATTCCTCTCAGTAGGTCCTCTTAGAAGTTCATGGATGTCATGTGAATTCTCACAGAGATTCTGTAATTTCCAGCAGAGTATGTAAATGGAGCAGAACCTAATTAGTCTAGAATAATGGGCCAACTATCCTGTGCCCAGAGACTAAGCTCTTTTATTAGGGAAAATGTTTAGGAAGCCACTCCCATACACTGGCCCTTTCTGGCAGTAGTCAGGGGACTTAATGCTTTCACAGTATTGACTGCGGATGAGCTGTTCGCTTAGCTGACAACAAAAGAAGGACAACCAAGTCAGTATAAGCAATAATTAGGAGAGAAGTAAGTCCATGGTGCATGGTACAAAGACTCATGTGCTTGCTAAGAACAATAACTCTCTCAGGCCAAGGCAGGAATGCATTCTGTGTCCCTCATAATATGCATCAATCTGACAGTCTGTATTGATCTCTAAAGATTGACTGTGACTACTTTTGAAGCATGCCTCTTTTGGCTAGCACTGACTGGTGGCCCTTTTTAACTGTTTCAGCACACTTTGTTTCTCCCTCTAATCCAGGGAATGAAAACTCAAATTTATATGAGAGGCTGCCCCCTAGAAGCTGAGCCTGGTACAGGAATTTTGGTGCATTTGACTTGCTGCAGATGTACTCTCTGAATAGGGTGTGAGGGAAGCAGGGTGGAGTTGGGGAAGAAGCTGAGCTAGGATATAGCCTCAGCTGTAGTCCTGCTTCAGACTGATTCCACAGGGAGCTCTGGTGCCTGAGTTGTACCACAAAGTTAGTCCCACCTGGAGACAAGGAGACCTGTTTTTTGTACATCTATATTGGTCAGTCATTGGCAAGGCTGCTCCTTATGGGAAAGAGCACAAAATCTTCTGGGGAGGCAGCTCCTATTTGACTGAAAAGGGGGCAGCTGGGAACTGTGTATCTTAAACAAAAGCCTTAGGCCAGGTGTGTTGGCTCATGCCTGTAATCCCAACACTTTGGGAGGCCAAGGTGCATGGATCACTTGAGGTCAGGAGTTCAAGACCAGCCTGGCCAACATGGTGAAACCCCATCTCTACCAAAAAAATACAAAAGTTAGCCAGGCATGGTGGTGGGCACCTGTAGTTCCAGCTACTCAGGAGGCTGAGACAGAAGAATTACTTGAACCTGGGAGGTAGAGGTTGCATTGAGCCGAGATTGTACCGCTGCACTCCAGCTTGGGCAACAGACTGCGACTCCATCTCAAAAAAAAAAAAAAAAAAAAAGCAAAACAAAAGAAAGTCTTATGATTCCAACATCAGAAGTCCTACCTATAGGAAAAATGGGGATGCAGCTGGGTGCGGTGGCTCACGCCTGTAATCCCAGCACTTTGGGAGGCCGAGGTGGGTGGATCACCTGAGGTCAGGAGTTCGAGACCAGCCTGACCAACATGGTGAAACCCCATCTCTACTAAAAATACAAAAATTAGCTGGGTGTCATGGTGGGTGCCTGTAATCCCAGCTACTTGGGAGGCTGAGACGGGAGAATTGCTTGAACAGTTGCAGGAGGTGAAGGTTGCAGTCAGCCAAGATCACACCATTGCACTGCAGCCTAGGAGACAGAGTAAAACTCCGTCTCAAAAAAAAAACTGGGGGGGAGGGGTGCAAATCGTCAGTATATATATTAATAAAATAGTTATAATTAAGCATTAATCAGGCTGGACTTTAACCCACTTCATTGTAACTGACAGTCTCACAGCACTAGATACTGGCCATTTGCATCTCCATTGTTCCCATAGATAGGATTTTTGATGTTAGAATCATAAGTCTTTTGTTTAAGAATTGCTTAAGGTGTTTTTGAGATCCAGAATTCCAGTGAAACGGCTGACACCAACTAGTCTGAAAACTCACACAGAGGAAAGAAATCAGCATGAGAGGCCGGGCGTAGTGGCTCACGCCTGTAATCCCAGCACTTGGGGAGGCCGAGGCGGGCGGATCACGAGGTCAGGAGATCGAGACCATCCTGGCTAACACGGTGAAACCCTGTCCATACTAAAAATACAAAAAATTCGCCGGGCGTGGTGGTGGGCGCCTGTAGTCCCAGCTACTCGGGAGGCTGAGGCAGGAGAATGGCGTGAACCCTGGAGGCGGAGCTTGCAATGAACGCCGAGATGGCGCCACTGCCCTCCAGCCTGGGCGACAGAGCGCGACTCCGTCTCAAAAAAAAAAAAAAAGAAAGAAATCAGTATGAGAATACAGTTTCTTCATCTCCCTGTCCTATGACTTCACCCTGCACTCTTTGACCAATCAATGATCTCCACATTTCAGCCCACTCCAAACCCCTGAAAACCTCTGTCCCCATACATCTTGGGGAGACAGATGTGAGGCTTCCTCTTGTCTCCTCGTTCAGCAGTTTTGTGATTATACCTCTTTCTCTGCTGCAACCCGGTGTCTCAGCATATTGACCTGGCTGTGCACATCAAGCAATGGACCTATTACTGCTACAATCACATCCATTCACACTCCAGCCAGCAGGAAGGAGAAAGGGCAAAGAAGGGCAAGCACCGGCCTTTGAAGGATGTTTCCTGGAAGTTGCAGAATATATAAGTGAAAATATAAGCATTTTCACTTACATCCTGTTGGTTAGGAGGTAACTACATAGCCACATCCAAGTGGAAGGAAGGCTGAGAAATGCTTTACACTTTCGGCCCAACCTACTTTTCTTATTTATTCCCTTTTACTCATCTTCATAAATTGCTCATTCATTAACTTTCTCACACATTCACCTTCACTTGCTCATTAAATATTTACTAGTATCTATTTTGTGCTATACCTTATACTATCCATTAGATAGTCAGGGGTAGATCAGGGCCATTGTACTCAAAGAGTTTCTATTTGATAGGGGTGAACAATACTATGAAATGAGTGAGAACAATACATTCTTATAGGTGCTAAGAAATATTTCTGCAGAAGGGACAAAGGCTGGAATGGTGGATTTTACTTGGGGGAACTAGAAAATATTCATCAAGGAAGTGACTTTTGAACTGCATATTGACAAAGGCTAAATTAGATATGTGGGAAGGGCATTTCAGGCAGAGAGCATAGCAGGAACAATGGCTTGGGGTTGTACACAGCATGACCCATTTCAGAAATGGCAAGACTCTGGCAAGTGAGAATCTATGGTGCAACAGGGGCTGGGAGGTAGAGGAAGGAGACTGGGGGCAGCTGAAGTTGAGGATACAGGCAGGGGCGGATTCTGGAAGATCTTAAAATTATCATAAGGCTGTGAGTTGCCAACTTCCAGCACAAGCACCTTATATTTATTTATTTATTTACAGATAGGGTTTTGTTCTGAAACCCAGCCAGGAGTGTGGTGCAATCATAGCTCACTACAGCCTTAACCTCCTGGGCTTGAGTGATCCTCCCACCTCAGCCTCCCAAGCATCTAAGACTACAAGCATGCATTTCCACACCGAGTTAAAGCATCTATTTTTTGAGGGCTTCTGTACGTTTGGGAGCTTGCTCTGTCCATATGCTTGACAGGCTAGAAATAACTGAAAAATTATCACTTCCCTCTTCCCCCAGGAATAGCCTTGAACCAATGATTAAAAAGAGTTGGTGGCTCCTTGGCCCTGAGCCCCAGTTGCCCAAATAGTAACTCAAATAGTAACTTGGTTGGCAACTTACCTTTTATTGGTCTCCATCCCTTCTCTTATTCTCTTTTCTCTTTAAGGGTATTTTTTGGAATCAACTTCTAAATATATTTCTTGCACTAGAATTCTGCCTCTGGGTTGACTTCTAGGGGAACTACACAAAACAATTGTGTGACTTTTACTAAAGGTAGATTGGCACCATGGGATGACTATTTACTAACAGCCTTAGCAAAGTAAGCTTATTGAAGTGAGGACTTGGTCTCATTTATCCTTGAACTCCTTGGCCCATAAAAGGCACACAACACACATTTGTTACATAAATGAATCAAACTTGTCGGATAACTTTAAGGTAAACGTTAGACAACCCCAGTTCAGAAATGACGCTGGACAGGGACTTTCTCACCAGCTGACTTTCTTTGTAAACTCCTCTGCCATCCTCCCTCAGGCTACCTGTTCCATCTTGAAGACCCTACTTATCTTTCGCCTCCTCAGGCTATTAAGATTCTCCAAATTCCTCTCCCTTTATGTTCAGAACTATTATCCAGCTCTCTGTTTATCTACGTTAACCAATTCTATCATGAGGCCTCTCATTCTCAGAAGCCTCAAGGTATTTTTTCCAAACAAAAACTGCCTCTCCCAGAGGTTATTTCTTAAAATTGAGTATGTTATTCCCTAATCTTGTGGTGAGTTAGGCAAAGCAGATGAAGAAAGGTTTAGCAGGTTTTGGCCTGGGTGTTGTTTCTATAATCCCTTGCTACTAGAGAGTCATGTGGCCAAAGGTCTCAAGATTTGTGACTTTCCCAATTTCTTCCTTAGATAACATCACTATTTGGCTAGGAACAGTGGCTAACACCTATCATACCAACACATTGGGAGGGTGAGGTGGGAGGATGGCTTGAGCCCAGGGGTTTGAGACCAGACTGGGCAACATAGTAGAAACCCATCTCTCCAAAACGTTTTTTGAAACCTGGGCACAGTGGTGTGTACCTGCGGTCCCAGCTACTCAAGAGGCTGAGGCGGGAGGACTGCTGGAGCCCAGGAGCTCGAGGCTACAGTGAGCCACTGCACTCCAGCCTGGGTGACAGAGTGAGACCCTGTCTCTATAAAAAACAAACAAATAAAAATCACTAATGTAAAATCTAAGATTGTTTTCTTTTTGAGATGGTTTTCAGACTGACCCCCCACACCAAGACTCGTGACTCATGACTCAACTGGTCCTGTGGCCCCACCCAGAGGTGGACTTAGTGCATGAGGACTGTTTTTCACACTCCTGTGATTTCATCCCCAACCAATCTCTAGACCCCTGCTCACCAGCTTGTCCATAAAACCCCTAACGTCTGAGCCCTCAGGGATCTTGATGTGAGTGCAATGCCACGGTCTCAGTGAATCAGTTTTGTCTGTGCACTGGGCAGGAAGAACTCATCAGGTGATTACACATTTTAGAAACAAACCAACAAAAAATTAAAGGCTGCACTGACTGATGGTCAGTTTTCTGATCTTGAGTATATATTGACTCAAAATGCAACATGAATGAAAAGGTATCTTTTATTGGTCATTATGATCCAACCAAAATAAATTTCTGTCTTATCAACCTTGTTCCCTGAGGAAGATGAAGGAGCTGAGTAATCATAGTCCAAGTCCTTCTCTCTGGGTCTGAAAGGGAGACACACCAGTGAGAAAGAAGCCCCCCTTTATTTACTCAACGCTGGAAGAGGCTAGGTCTGAAAGCAAGGGCAGGGATGGAAAGTTGGCTGTGTCCTGGGATCACTGAGCTGAAATTACAGCTCTCCCTGGTCTAGGGAGGGTGGAGGCCTGTGGGCCCAGCCTTGAACAGAAGAAGTCTGGGATTTCCTCCTCCATCCTGAGATGGACACAGCTGAGCCACTTCCTGCAGGGGCCTCAGGAGAACAAGATGGTGCCATTTTGTTCTCTTTGTCCACATGATTCACAAATGGGGGACTTTTTTTTTCTGTGAGTGCCTGATGTTAAAGAGAACCTAGGTGAACACATGTGTGGGCAGCCTAAAGAGACTTAAGGCAGGCTGGAGCATGTTGCTCCATTCTGTCCAGCCCCTAGAAGATTCCTACTGCTAGCATGGAAGTATGCCTTTCTCATTCTCCCCTCCTCCCATCCTCCCCCTTCCACCCTATCAACTACAAAAATTAGGGGCAGAATCAGGCTAGGAGGAAAACATAACTAATACATAGAACAGGCTCTTTGTCATCTTCTCATAGACTCAGAAAGACCAGCCTAAGAGGTGAGAGAAACCTTTATTCCACACAACCTTTTGGTGACCACACACACTTCCACTTTCCCAAAGCATCCTTATAACTGCCCAGTGAGTTCACTTTGCTTCCTGCGTAGGAAGAGCTGACTTATCAAGAAAAGGGAATTGCAATAGAGAAAGAGTAATTCCTGCACAGCCGGCTGTGCGGAAGACCAGAATTTTGTCATTACTCAAATCGGTCTCCCTAAGCATTCAGGGATCAGAGTTTTTAAGAATAATTTGGCGGGTGCTGGGGGAGGGGCAGTGAGTGAGGAGTGATGATTGGTTGGGTCAGAGATGAAATCACAGGGAGTAGAAGTTGTCTTCTCGCGCTGAGTCAGTTCCTGGGTGGGGGCCACAAGATCGGATGAGCCACTTTATCCATCTGAGTGGTGCCATCAAGTGCAGGGTATGCAAAATATCTCAAGCACTGATCTTAGGTTTTATAACAGTGTTTTTTTTTTTTTTTTTTTGAGATGGAGTCTTGCTCTGTCTCCCAGGCTGGAGTGCAGTGGCACGATCTCGGCTGACTGCAAGCTCCGCCTCCCGAGTTCACCCATTCTCCTGCCTCGGCCTCCTGCGTAGCTGGGACTACAGGCGCCTGCCACCACGCCCGGCTAAGTTTTTGTACTTTTTTTTAGTAGAGACGGGGTTTCACCGTGTTAGCCAGGATGGTCTCGATCTCCTGACCTCGTGATCCGCCCGCCTCGGCCTCCCAAAGTGCTGGGATTACAGGACCGTGCCGGGCCTATAATAGTGATTTTATCCCTAGGAGCAATTTGGGGAGGGTCAGAATCTTTTAGCCGCTAGCTGCATGACTCCTAAATCATAATTTCTTAACTTTTGGCTAATTGTTAGTCCTATAAAGGCAGTCTAGTCCCAAGGCAAGAAGGGGGTTTGTTTTGGGAAAGGGCTGTTATCATCCTTGTTTCAAACTAAAGACTATAAACTAAGTTCTGTCCAAAGTTAGTTTGGCCTACACCCAGGAATTAACAAGGACAGCTTGGAGGTTAGAAGCAAGATGGTGTAGGTTAGGTCAAGTCTCTTTCACTGTCTCAGTTATAATCCTGCAATGGTGGTTTCATTAGAATTTTTCAAATGTCACATGTATAGGAACACGAGTGAAGCAACAATGACCAATAGGAAAACAAGAAAATCTAGACAGGAACAAAGGTAGAGAAAGCAGTTCTGGGCCAAGGAAAACCCACTCAGTGTCACCCTCAGCTGCTAGGGACGAACATTCTTGCAGGCAGTGTAGATGAGGTGGGGCTGGAAGTGGGAGGGATGAGAGTTGTCAAGAGCCCAGAATCTGAATGCCTGAGTTCAAGGCCTGGCTATCTCATTTGTGTGACCTCAGGCAAGTCAGTAAACATCCTTTGTCTGTTTTCTTATCTGTTAATCTCAGGACACACCTATTTTAGGGATTAGATTTGTTGGAGAATTCTTTCCTCAGAGCTTAGTCACAACAAGTGCTAAATACATGTCTATTATTAGTGGTAGTACAAGTAGTAGTATTATGATATCATCATAAATGAAATTAGCTATTATTAATTACAAAAAATCAGGCAGAAACATAGTTACAGGCCCTTATTAACTCGTGCTATTAAGCCTTTCTCTAGTGGCCATAAATCCCCAAAGTTTTTTATTTTATTTTATTTTATTTTATTTTTTATATATATACCTAAAGCATCATTGTTAGGCTATGCCCTGAAGCAGTGTCAGTCTTCTAAAAACATGAACAAATAATCATCTTTGTGTGGACTTTTAGGGTAATCAAATCTTCCTTTCCAGAGTCCTATTAGAGGGAACATGCCCTCTTTCTTATAAAGGATTTTAAAGTCACTGTTGGGGCTCAGAAACTGATACCCCAAAATAAAATGCATGGACATGCTGAGCTGAAGAAAAAGCAGAAGAAGCCTCAAGGTCCTCCCCTACCTAAGATCCAGACCCACCAGGAAGAACAATTGCTTTTTCTCACCCTCCCTGCAAGACCAAGAATGTAACCACACCTGAGCAGACCCATTCTCTGTCAAAGAAAACTATTTACAAATCTTCCTTGGGGTCCATGCCTTCTCACTAGTAAATCTTCAACAGAGTTCCTCTTCTCCTCCCTTCCATAATCTGTTTTTCCAAGATGATATATATGCCTCCGAATCTCACTGGATGATTGGGTCCCCTGTATACATGTTAAATAAAAAAGGCTCACCTGTATACATGTTAAATACATTTGTGTTCCCTTAATACAATTAATAATTCTCTTAATAGGGAATTAATTCCCTATGAATTATGCTCATGTCAGTGATTTTTGAACCTCATCAGAGTGTGAGGCCCCTACTTCAAGCTCTGATGCTCAGGGCTGGACTTAGTGCCAGAAGGAACTAGGATATCAACTGGTGTGCATTCTCAGTCTCTCTTCCATGCAGCATGATCTGAGGGATATGCTGGCTTTGGCAGCTATCTCCTTCCTTGCTCCTCCCTTCTTTTCTTCCTTCCCTCCCTCCCTGTCTTTCTTTTTTCTGTTTGTTGTATTTTGGCTTCTGATGATTATTCCCGTCTTTGAAAGAGGAAGCCCTAACAGAAAGGGCCAATAGCCCATTTTCATGCCCACTGCTCTGCCCTGACTCTAAGGGCACACCAGCATGCTTGTTAAGACTCCTCACAACATCCCTTAGGCCACAAATAGCTCCTTGTTTGTGAGTTGCTCTTTCTGGATACTTAGCCATATTTTAATCTTTTGTATTCAGCCCTGGGATGGTTCAGCCTTCAGCTTTTGTCACTGTCTTCTTTCCCCGACTCTAGATGGCTTGAAGGAGACTTCTCAGTCATTTTATATAAAATGGCTCACATCTGTAATCCCAGCACTTTCAGAGGCCGAGGTGGGCAGAACATGAGGTCAGGAGTTCGACCTGACCAACATAGTGAAACTCTGTCTCTACTAAAAATACAAAAATTAGCCGGGCATGGTGGTGCGCACCTGTAATCCCAGCTCCTCAGGAGACTGAGGCAGGAGAATCACTTGAACCCGGGAGGCGGAGGTTGCAGTGAGCCGAGATTGCACCACTGCATTCCAGCCTGGGCGACAGAATGAGATTCCATCTCAAAAAAAAAAAAAAAAAAAGAAAAAGAAAAAAAGAAAAAAAGAAAAATCTAGGCGATTTCAAGGGAGTGTTTTCTAATACAGTAGTGGACTTTCCCTTAACATAGTATTCTGCAGTCAAAGATATTTGGAATTGCTGTTTAGAATAAACTTTTTTTTTGGATTGTAAAACATGCAAAATCTTTAATAAATTAATATTGAGAAATAAAATTCTAAAGGCCCCCAACTGACTGAATGAATGCCATCTTGGCCAAGAAGACTCCGGAGAAACCTTGGAAGTTGAATTCCCAGCCCTGATGGGATGGAAGGTCAGGCGACGACTCATTATACCCCTCCGCTCCCTGTCATTAGGCATTCTTCCTAAGGGCTAACCAGAAACCAGCCCTTCCAAAAGACTCCATTGCTGATTTCAACCAACTGCCTGACTGCTGCCTTTTCCTTTTGTGGTTTCCATGTAGGGACTGACCTGCATTCCTTCCAGAAAAGAGACCACCAATCATGGAGTGGTTTTGGCCATTCTGCTGAGTATGTGCAGGGAGGATTTTCATGTCCTCTACTTCACCTTTTGTGGTGAGAGTATCAAAAACTTCATGTTTCAGATTGTGCTAATGCTGCCTGCCCCTCCCCCCTTTTTTTGAGATGGGGGTCTCACTCTATTGCCCAGGATCGAGTACAGTGGTGCAATCTCAGCTTACTGTAGCCTCCACCTTTCAGGTTCAAGCCATCCTACCACATCAGCCTCTTGAGTAGCTGGGACTACAGGCGCAGGTCACCACATCTGGCTACTTTTTGTATTTTTTGTAGGCCCAGACTGGTCTTGAACTTGTGGGCTCAAATGATCTGCCCACCTTGGCCTCCCAAAGTGCTAGGATTACAGGTGTGAGCCACCATGCTCAGCCTGGGCATGGGATCCACTGAGAGGCATGAAGCTCAATTGCACATATGCATATTTCTCCCTTCATAAATATTAATGACTCCTCCTCCAGCTTATTGAATTTCAGTGTGTTGGCCACCCTGCTGAGCATAAATCAC
This sequence comes from Homo sapiens, assembly GCF_000001405.40. NCBI lineage: Eukaryota > Metazoa > Chordata > Mammalia > Primates > Hominidae > Homo > Homo sapiens. The sequence continues at coordinate 16,627,105 of NC_000020.11, forward strand.
TATCTCATTTTTCCCACCATGGAAGTGTCTGTTTCTGGCTTCTGGGTGGAGACCACACTTCCCGGCCTATCAGAATGGCCACCCTGCAGGCTGCAACCCTTTATGAGAGATAAATCTCACCTTTCCAAATTTATGAACCTCATCATTCTTCAGTTGACAATATGCACTGTAAATCTGCCAAAGATTAAACTATAATTTATAATAATTCATACACACACATGTAAAATGAGAGATAGCACACATCAGAGGACAGTTTTCATTGAACACTACTTGGGAGATGAAGTTCTAAACAATGGAATACGCCAAAACTGTTAAAAAATATGCAATGGGCTTATACCTGATTTCTTAGAAGACTGTTTATGCTATATTAGGTAGAAATACAAATTGCTAAAAAATATGTATGTTATTTTCATTAGAAAAATAGCAGGTGGGCAAATGTAAATACATGAATGTAATTATGCCTCATAGGCATAGAAAGAAGCTGGAGTTCTGTCTATTACAGTATTACAGTGGAATTATGACTCCCCTTGCAGTGGGAGGGTGTATTAGTTTATTCTCACTTTGCTATTAAAAAAAACCTGAGACTAGGTAATTTATAAAGAAAAGAGGTTTAATTGGCTCAATGTTCCTCAGGCTGTACAGGAAGCATGATGCTGGCATCTGCTCGTCTTCTGGGGAGACCTCAGGAAGCTTACAAACGTGATGGAAGGCAAAGGGGAGGCGAACACTTCACATGGCTGGAGAAGGAGCAAGAGAGAGGGGGAGGAGCCACACACTTTTCTTTTTTTTTATTTTTTTGAGACAGAGTCTCGCTCTGTTGCCCATGCTGGAGTGCAGTGGCACGATCTTGGCTCACTGAAGCCTCCGCCGCCTGAGTTCAAGCGAGTCTCCTGCCTTAGCCTCCCAAGTAGCTGGGACTACAGACACGTGCCACCATGCCAGGCTAATTTTTTGTATTTTTAGTAGAGACAGGGTTTTACCGTGTTAGCCAGGGTGGTCTCAAACTCCTGACCTCATGATCTGCCCGCCTCGGCCTCCCCAAATCCTGGGATTACAGGTGTGAGCCACCGCGCCTGGCTGCCACACACTTTTAAACAACCAGATCTCATGAGAACTCACTCACCTCACTATACAGGACCAAGGAGGGATGGTGCTACATCATTCATGAGAACTCCATCCCCGTGATCCAATCACCTCCCACCAGGCCCCACCTCCAACACTGGGGATTAAACCTGGACATGAGATTTGGGCAGGGACACAGATCCAAACCATATCGAAGGGGTGAATTGAGTGGTGGGAGAAAGGAGATAATTTATTTTATAGAAATTTTAAACTAGCGGAATTATGATTTTACTTAACTTTTTGAGGGCTTCCTGTATTTTTTAAAAGTAGAAATCTTACAAATCTCAAGGAACATGTCTAGTAGAAGTCCTTGCTCACTGTACCTTTAAGCTTCTGCTAATATAAAGGATTTAGGCGAATTGAAAAAAATATATGAACCCAGTGTTGGAGCTTTGGGCCTTATTTTTATCATGAGGAATGTTTGTCTGTCACTTAAATTTGACCATTAGCGTTAGTTTCCTGAGAGAAAAAATATCTACCTCTCTCAGCTTTCCAATTTTGGGCAAGAATGTTCGCTGGAGATAAATACGTAAGGGAATAAATGAAGAATAGGTGCTCATGGTTGACATCTAATTGCTACAGAGTTGGGGAGTAGAAAAATGAGAATGTCTATGAGGAATTGCTTTCTTCTTCCTCCACCTTCCTACCTCACATCAGCCGAAATGGGACAAGTTGTTGGTTTTCTCTCTTAACTGTACCAGGGAGATATTTTAATAATTCTTTGTTGGCAAGCTCCTGGTACCTCCAATATCTTTCCCCTATCAGCCAATTTTGTGTCCATTGTTCATAGAATTGTTGCTGTCTTTCAAGAAATGGGAAAACTGTTACAGTTAAGTAATAAAGAGATAATGCTGGGTAACAGATGTATGTGGAACAAAGAGCTAGAAAGATTTCATGCTATCCAGTGAGTTATGACTATAATAATGTTTTCTATTTGAAACAAAGAAAACTGGTGGCAGGTTCTGTCACAGACTTTTACTCGCTTACTTGTCTTTCTGCTATGAGGTGTCTGGTTCCTGTCTCCCGTCATGACAGTGAGGCTGAAGGTTTAGGTGGGTTGGGGTGGTGTCTTATGTTGAATTGGACCCCAAGGAAACAAAACCTGAGACAAGGATTTGAAAGTACCATCAGGGGAGTGGGCAAGTAAGATAAGAAGGAAGAAAATCAATCCAAGGTGTGTTAATGTTGCTTCCCCAGAGGCAACTGGCACTCAGTCCTGCTGGGGTCATCTGGGAGACTGTGTCCTCAGAGTTGATATGTCCAAGAGGGGAAACTGAGGCATTTATCCTCCAACTCTCATTTCTCTTTGGCTTAAGGCTGCTCCTGGAGCATCCCTAGCACTGACTGACAGTCCTGTGGGTTGGCTGAGCACTCCAGAGAAAGCCCTTAGAGGCCCCTAGGTGCTTGTAATGCGTGCCTAGAAAAGGGGAGTGTTAAGGAGGTCTGGACAGGGCGTGGGCAGCATCTTTCCTAGGTCAAATACATAAAGATGTGATGCTTTCACCTGGGCGCAAAAGTTGGACTAGCCTGTCTTCCTGTTAATATTGGAATAGAGCTTGGAGAAAGGGGGTTAAAAATAAGGGGGTTAAAAACAGGAGGCAAAAGAGAGATAGAAAAGGGGTAAAGAAATGTGGGAGAAGGAAAAAGAGACAGCATAAGGTAGAGAAAGCTGCAAGTGGCAGACCGTATCAGCAAAGTGTCTGGGTTTTTTGTTTTTTTGAGACAGTCTTACTCTGTCACCCAGGCTGGAGGGGTGGAGTGCAGTGGTGTGATGTTGGCTTGGCTCACAGCGACTTCCGCCTACCGGCTTCAAGCGATTCTCCCGCCTCAGCCTCCAGAATAGCTGGCGCCTACCACCATGCTGGCTAATTTTTTTTTTGCAGTTTTAGTAGAGATGGGGTTTCACTAAGTTGGCCAGGCTGATAGCAAAGTGTCTTTGTACTGGAGGTCAATGGCATTGTCTACATTTGTGCTTATTCACAAGATAATGCAAATAGGTGGAGACACAATGGAGTGAAGACAATGCTTGCAATAGAAGTAGTTGCTGCCATTTAAAAAGAACTGGGCCCCATGTAGGTTGTTTCACAAAGATTAAGTAACTGTAATTTTCATAAGGGCCATGCAACTTAGGTATCATTGCCCTATTTTGCAGATGAGCACATGGAGGTGTAGAGAAGTTAAGTGATTTGTAAGCTGCCACTTGTGAGTATCAGAATCAGCTCCAAAATCCATGTTTTTCCCCCTACAGAATGTTACACAACTCAGAATCATCAAGAAGAAAAACCAAAACTGAACTTGGAGTAAGGGCAGACATTGGCTGAGTATCCTCGACATTATATTTCTGGCTTTGACACAAGGACGTGACCAGTGTGATTTGGCAAGGTGGGTTCAGTTGGTATCAATTCCCGGGCCACCAAGGATGGAAGCACTTTGCACAGAATCAGGCTTGTTTTGCCTTCCAGGATGCCATACACTGTGGCCTACACCTCAGTTTCCTGTACAGAGCCCAGCTCCCCGAGGACTGCAAACCCCGAGGACAGCTGATGATCTCATTCTTGGTGTGGCGAACATCCTTGCTATTCTCATTATGGAAGCAACCTCACCAGCAGTAGGTGATGACTGCAACTAACTGTTTAGGGGGGCACCTATACTCTTAGGAATAACTGATCTTTTAGGGTAGGTTCCCTGAAAGCAGAGCCTGATAAGAAATTCTTGTGTAAGTTACTCAGTGGGAGAAAGTGCCCAGAAGACTCCTGTAATGGAGTGAGGGAAGGAGGACATGCAGGGGAAAAAGCTAGGCGAGGATGAGGTCTCAGCTGGAGACTAGCTTCAGCTTTATCACACAGGAAGCTCCAGAGCATGAATTGCACTTGAATGAGGGCCAGTTTGAGGCAATGGGGCTGACCATTTTTACATCCATGCTAATTGGTTTCTGACCAAGGTCTGCCCCATGGTGGGTGGGAACTTTGTGTGTGAAGGACTCCTATTTGATCAAAGGTAATTTCTTGGAGGGGCCACTGGAGGACAGCAAGCTTGGGGGTGCACTGGCCAGTAAAGGCCATTTGGGTAGGGCACTAAGAGCATCTACTTCAATTGGATGACAATTCATTTCCAGTGAGGATGGGGAGCAAGGTCCTGTGTGAATGTAAGAAAGACTACTGGCTGGGCGCAGTGGCTCAAGCCTGTAATCCCAACATTTTGGGAGGCCAAGGCGGGTGGATCATGAGGTCAGGAGTTCAAGACCAGCCTGGCCAAGATGGTGAAACTCTGTCTGTACTAAAAATACAAAAATTAGCCAGGTGCAGTGGCGGGCGCCTGTAATCCCAGCTACTCTGGAGGCTGAGGTAGGAGAATTGCTTGAACTCGGGTGGCAGAGGTTGCAGTGGGCAGAGGTTGCAGTGAGCAGAGATCATGCCACTACACTTCAGCCTGGGCGACAGAGTGAGACTCCATTCCAAAAAAAGAAGAAAGATTACTAAGCCAGAAGACATATTGGCTATAAAGTTAGTAAAAAACCTGCAAGAGCAATCACTGGAGCTGCATAATGAAGTCAAATCAATACATGTATAAAGATTGCTATGTGACTATCTGTACAAGTAATAGGCAAGAGGTAACTAGACTTTCATCTTTGCTCTGAAGTGAGACCTGCGCTTTTTGGACATTTTTTCAGGAACTAGGGAGGACCCAGGAGTGACGTGACCACACGAGTCACTGACTTTTTCAAATAAATTTGGCTAACAAGATTTGTTGGGCTAACAACTCTGTGTAGGACGCCTTCCAGGCAACTCAAATGAGCTAATCCTGCCCATCTCATAGAGTGATCCAGGGATGTCAGGAGAGCACACGGAATATTTTCCATACCTGAGAAGACAGCCAGCATCTCAGTGTCATAGCAAGCAATGCTGTGCTAGCTTCATTGCTCTATCTGATACCTGGAGGAGACGACTTCTTAAAACAGTCCTGAATCTGATCCCAATATCCAACTTAATACACTCACCAAGACCTCTACGTAGCTTGCTTTATACTTTTCTTATTTAGCTTCAGCTCTTTAAGGACAAGAGCCTTGCCTAGCTGAGTACCTGACCCTCAACAAATGTTTATTTAGCAAATGAATGAGAGCTGAGTATATGCCTCTGATGGCTATATAAGTTCTCTGCTCAAACCCATCTACACTGTGACTTCTGACGCTGAGCCCCACACCCTTCATGGTTCCCTTGTCAGGTGCCTTCCTGGTACATTATACCACTAGGAGATTCCAAGGGAGATTGGAAGACTGGAAGTGGGGCAGAGGGATGGGGAGAGACTTTATCACTCTTGTTTTGCTGCTGTCCTGATCAGCATGGCTCCAGCAGTAGCACTTTCCCTGGTGGCACCATCTGGCTCTCCTTTTCAGCTTCTGTCTCCCAGGACCACCCCCATATCCCCATAGAAGGACCAGCAGCAGCTAGGTGATACATCCTCTTCATCGTTCTATCTCCATGGGGCTTGTCCTAGGTTTTAGATTCTATCAGAACTCAAATTTCTTCCCTTTGTTCGCCTAGCCATTAGGGTGGAAGCTACTTCCTGCAGTTACTACCTTAGCATTTCCTTTTTGCTTTTCTCCAGTATCTATGCAATTATATTCTCTTTGTTCAAATACCTTAGGTGCCTTTGGTTTTTTGACTGGCCGCTGACTCTTTTCCATTATCTTTTAGCAAAACTGTGATGTAGACATTGCTATCTCCATTTTGCAGATGGGGAAAGTAGTGCAAAGAATTGTTGAGGAGTGTCCTCAAATTTACACATCTAGGACATCTTAGAAAAGGTGATATGCTTTAGTCCAAGAGACTGCATTGGAATCCTGCCCTCATTATTTATATCGTTCTATAGTTTTTAATTTACATGCAGCAAAATTCACCCATTCTATTGTATGGTTCTATGAGTTTAGACAAACACATAAAGTGGCATAATCTCCACCACAATCAAGATATGGAATGGTTCCAACAGTTTAGAAAAATCATGCTGTTCCATTACAGTCAATTCTTCCCCTACCCCCAGATCTTGACAACCACTGATCATTTTCTGTTCTTAAAATTTTGTCTTTTCCAGAATGTCGTATAAATATAACTTTTTGAGTCTATCTTCTTTCATTTAGCACAATTTATATGAAATTCATCCATGTTTTTGCATGAAAAGTCCATTCTTTGTTGCTGAATGATATTCCTTTACATGGATGCACCATAGTTTTCCCATTCACCAACTGGGAGAAATTTGGGTTGTTTCCAGTTTTTGGTGATTATGAATAAAGCAGCTACAGAAATTCACATATGGTTTTTGTGTGAATATAAGCTTTTGTTTTCTTGGGCAAGTACATAGAAGTGGGAATTCTGCATCATACAGTAACTGTATATTTAACTTTATAAGAAGTGACAAAATTGTTCCAAGGGGCTGCATCATCGTGCATTCCTACCAACAGTATATGAGAGTTCTAGTTGCTCCACAACCTTGTCAGCACTTGGCACTTTCAGTTTTTGTTTATAGTCATTTCAACAGGTGTATCATGATGTGGAATATTGTTAAAACATCTGGAAGAGACTTTCGGTCACATAAGTTCATCTTGAAAGACTGTATAATGTTGTTGTTAAGGAATTCAGACACTGCAGCCAGCTTTGGTGCTCACTACCTTTATGAACATGGACCTCAGTTTTCTCATCTGTAAAATGAGGATAATAATAGGACATCTATCTTAAAAGGTTGTTATGAAGATTAAATTAGTTAATATATGTAAAGCACTGATAGAGAATAAGTAGCACCTAACTGCTAATTATTATTGCTGTTATTTTTCTCAGCTCTGGCCCATCCTGCTTAGCTACATGATGCCAAAATTTGCAGAAAGACAAAGTTGAGAGGACACTTCTTGGATTCCAAACAATAAATCTTAAAGTCTTTTAGTTTGCATCTTCTATCTTTTTTTTTTTTTTTTTTGAGATGGAGTTTTGAGCCCACGCTGGAGTGTAATGGTGTGATCTCAGCTCACCACAACCTCCGCCTCCCAGGTTCAAGCAATTCTCCTGTCAGCCTCCCGAGTAGCTGGGATTACAGGCATGTGCCACCATGCCTGGCTAATTTTGTATTTTTAGTAGAGGTGGGGTTTCTCTATGTTGGTAAGGCTGGTCTCGAACTCCTGACCTCAGGTGACCCGCCCACCTCGGCCTCTCAAAGTGCTGGGATTACAGGCGTGAGCCACCACGCCTGGTCACATCTTCTATCTTTTCAAATCACTGCACCATAGATTTGTCTTAAAGCCATTTCATATATAATGCAATGCCCATCCTTACTTTGCAAAAGTCCAATTTTAAAGACAACATTTGAACTTCAGTGATTAAAGACAGCTTTTGAATTGTTATAGATTCCCATCTCCATCCAAACAATATGCTTTTAATAGGAACACAGCTTGTGATTTATACCACTTCACTCTGCTCTGCAGTGTGGTCTGCATCATCAACATTAAGATGAAATTACCCTGCAATCACAAACATGGAACTCATACTTGTAGTAATTGCACAAAGAAAAACCTCATTATCCTGCAATATGCACTTCAAAAACAAACATACAACCTTTTCTCCCTCTAGTGGCACATTTAAAAAGCAACCTCAACTATCACAGAGGCCAGTTTTGCCTATTACAATCGAGAGAAACAAATAGTTTACACTTGGGAGATTCATAGTATTTGTTTATCGTCGATTGTAGTAAAAATTTTGCAGTTTGTTTATGTAAAATGATATTGCTGACAAGATAACAGGCTAGATCATAGCCATAGGAATTCTGTGGTTTATCCTCACTTGGCGCTTTATTTTTCATCAAAAACAATAAAGGGAAATCTACAAGCACTAGGTAGTCAGCTGTTCCGATTCCTGGTTACCTCTTGGAAGAATGACACCACTTCCAGTTCCTCGCCCTTGCCCTTTATGTGTTTATGGGCTCTAGAGCTGAACAATAATGCCTTACTGCAGAGGTTGAATAGTGCGCCAAAATTTATGTCTACCTGGATCCTCAGAATGTGACCTTATTTGGAAATAGGGTCTTTGCTGAAGCAATTAGTTAAGTTGAGGTCATACTGGATTAGGTGGGCCCTAAATCAAATAACTTGTATCCTTATAAGAAGAGAGAACATACAAGATGAAAAACACACAAGGAAAAAATCCATGTGGAGATGGAAGCAGAGATTGGAGTCACTTATCTTTTTTTTTTTTTTTTTTGAGACAGAGTCTTGGTCTGTTGCTCAGCCTGAAGTGCAGTGGCATGATCTTGGCTCACTGCAACCTTCACCTCCTGGGTTCAAGTGATTCTTCTGCCTCAACCTCCTGAGTAGCTGGGCCTACAGGCACATGCCACCATGCCTGGCTCATGTTTGTGTTTTTTGTAGATGGGGTTTCACCATGTTGGCCAGGCTGGTCTCGAACTCCTGACCTCAAGTGATCCTCACGCCTTGGCCTCCCAAAGTGCTGGAATTATAGTTGTGAGCCACCGCGCCCTGCCCTGTAGTGCTATATCTACAAGCCAAAGGATGCCAAGTGTTGCCCATAACCACAGAACCTGGGAGAGGGGCATGACTAGACTCTCTCTCTGAGTCTCCAGAAGGAACCAACTTTGGCAGCACCTTGATTTTGGACTTCTGGCCTGTTGCACTGTGTGAGAATAAATTTCTGTTGTTTTAAACCACCCAGTTTGTGGTAATTTGTTATAATAGCCCTAAGAAACTAATATACTTACTCCAATGGATAAAAACAACAATGACCATGATTTCAAAAATTTTGTGTAAATTAACTCATTTAATTGTCACCATAACACTGACATAGCTACTATTATTATACTCACTTTACAGATGAGTAAAACTGAGTTTCAGAGAAGTTGGGTAACTTGCCTAAGGGTGTATAATTTGATATTATTTAGGTGTGGCAGCCATATGTTCTCTCATGCCTTCCAAGTGCCTGAGATTGTCATATATTTTCTGTTTTCTTTTCAATTGAGCCTCCACCTCTGAGGCTTAATTCATCTTCCCACCTCAGCCTCCCAAGTAGCTGGGACAACAGGCACATGCCACTGCACCTGACTAATTTTTTTATTTTTTGTAGAGATGGGGTTTCACCATATTGCCCAGGCTGGTCTTGAACTCCTGTGCTCAAGCTGTCCACCTACCTCAGTTTTCCAAAATGCTGGAATTACAGGAATGAGCCACTGCGCCCAGTCTTCTCTGTTTTCTTTACGTGTTTGCTAGTTTAAAATTTTGCTTTATTGAAGAATAAATTTAAACTACTTAACAGTTTAAGATACAGTAAACTACTCAAATCTTAAATGTACAATGTGATAAATTTTTACACGTGTAGATATCCGTGTAACCACCCCTGGAAGACCTGCCACGACTCTTCTTAGAGAGTATGATTTCCAGGCTTTTTAATATTATAATATCACACAAACTAATATAGGTTCTTTTCTTTCTTTTTTTTGGGATGGAGTCTCACTCTGTCGCCCAGGCTGGAGTGCAGTGGGGCGATCTCGGCTCACTGCAAGCTCCGCCTCCCGGGTTCACACCATTCTCCTGCCTCAGCCTCCCGAGTAGCTGGGACTACAGGCACCCGCCACCATGCCCGGCTAATTGTTTTCTGTATTTTTAGTAGAGATGGGGTTTCACCGTGTTAGCCAGGATGATCTCGAACTCCCAACCTCAGATGATCCGCCCGCCTATGCCTCCCAAAGTGCTGGGATTACAGGCAGGAGCCACCGTGCCTGGCCGTAATATAGGTTCTTTATAAGACTTTCGAACATTATAAAGCTACGACAATGGAAAATTTCTCCCTCACATTATCCCTTATTCCTCCACCAAGGGTTAATCATTGTTAATGCATAGAGTGTGTGTCCTTCCGGACCTTTTCTATGTTATGTTTGTATTCATGTCTGTGGATACACACATAAAACTTGTATAAGCATATGTGTTTTTTTGTTTGTTTGTTTGTTTTGAGACGGAGTCTCGCTCTTTCACCCAGGCGGGACTGCAGTGGCGCTATCTCGGCTCACTGCAAGCTCCGTCTCCCGGGTTCACGCCATTCTCCTGCCTCAGCCTCCTGAGTAGCTGGGACTACAGGCTCCCGCCACCGCGCCCGGCTAATTTTTTGTATTTTTAGTAGAGACGGGGTTTCACCGTGTTAGCCAGGATGGTCTCGATCTCCTGACCTCATGATCCGCCCGCCTCAGCCTCCCAAAGTGCTGGGATTACAGGCGTGAGCCACTGCGCCCGGCCAGCATAAGTGTTTTTGCACACGCGTATTCAAGCATATGCACACACATGCACACACAGAAACACACAGTTTTTCTAATGTGGTATAATTTAATAAATATCATTCTGAAGTTTGCTACATTTTCATTTAAGAAAAAAGTTCTGCCTTTTAGAATGTTCAGGATAGAGCTCTACCTGGAAAGAGCAGTACTTTTCCTGCTATCAGTCATTTCTACTTTAGTGTGAAAGAAGTTTCCAAATGAAGAAAGGTGGAACAGACATTCCTGCTGGGCCCACTCCACTCCATTCTTCCTCCCGGTAGTCTTATTGCAGCAGGTAGCGAAGCAAAAGCTCACATTTAGCAGACTCCGTGCAGCTCAGGAGCCACATTTCTTCCCAGCAGACAGCTGTGGGATGTGGAAGGTGGCAGTGAATGAGAGACTGTTCTGCTCCTGGTTGTGGCCAATTGTGCTTTGTCTGTAGCTGTGGAGCAGAGGTCTCCCGCTCTCCAAAGGCAGCGTATGAGAAATCCATTTATCTGATGAGTTCCTGCAGCTCAGGCTGTGACATGGCTTCCCGGCCCCAGATCGTTACAGAGGCTGTGTGGCCTGGGAGCCAGGAGAAGGGTATGTGGCTTCCTGATGGTGGCCAAGACGCGGGGTGGTGTTCTGGGAGTCACCCCCGGGAACTCTGTCCAGAGCCCGGCTGCTGTGCTCCAGTGGTTTTGCAAGACCCTACTTTCCTGTAGTAAATCCCTTTCTGTTTAACATAGGGTGGCTCTGACATCTGCGATTAAACTGCTACTGAATCAGGAAAAAAGGAAGCAGGACAGAGGAAGGCAACGACTGGAAAGTTCTACTTCGGGACAACATCTCTGAATTATTCACATACATTAATGGAAACGAATCATTCTGACTCATTAATCAATGCTGAAATGAACGATAAGCAACCGAGGATGACCTAAAACATTTATATTTGGCTTATATCATGTTAGAACTTCTAATTTAACAGAGATGTTTCATGCCCTGGAAGTTCATACTGCTGCTGGGAAATCACAAAGCTACGTTGGGAGCGTGTGACATCCTCTTTCCCAACTCTTCTCACTGAGCATCTCCCTGGAGGAGGCCAAAGTCATCTCTCAGACTAAGCTCAGAGCTCAGTGAAGCTGTAGGGACATTGGCAACAACTGCAGCATCATAGGCATGGCTTGAATGAGAGCTGTGATTGTTAGTGATGTCCAGGTATGTGTCTGCCATCTCAGAGTGACCCTGAGAAAGGCATTCATTTGGAAGCTTTTCTCCCCGCACTCTATTCTAAGTGACCCATTGCTCAGTGCCTATTGCCCAGTGGACATTATGAAGTCCTGGAGGCTGCCAGTCTCCTCACTGTGACTGGAGTCATGGCTCCAGGCTCTGCCGGCTTCATGCACCTGGGGAGAGTGACCAGCAGCACTGCCCAGAGTCCCGTGCTGGCCCTGCAGGAACAAAGGCCTTGCAGGATACGCAGTCGTCGTGACATGCTGATGGCAGATTATGTGCTATTTGCACTTTTTTTTCTCTCTCTTTCATGTAGGGATGCCCAGGTTGGTCGGGACATTTCTGATGCTCCACCTCCATCCCTCAGTGCTCGCTAGTCTGGGCCTGCAAGCAGTGTTATTGAACAAAACTGGGGTTCGCTAACCCAGCGCAGTTAAATCCAAACATCCACACTGAGGTTTGCAATGGGAGAAAGGAGAGCATTTATTGGCAAGGCGCCAAGCAAGGAGAATTAGGCAGCTCCCATTTAAGATCTGACCTCCCCTGTGACTTGGAAGTAAGGGTATTTAAAGGCAGAGGGAAATTTCAGGAAAGCAGAAGTTACAGGCAAAGTCATAAATCAATACATGGAGGTTGTACTTCAGTTTGACCGAAAAAGGTGGGGTATCTTGAAGTGGGAGCTTATAGGTCATAGGTAGATTCAAAGATTTTTTGATTTTCAATTGGTTAAGGAGGCAAAGCTTTGTCTAGACATGCGAGGTCAGCGGAAAAGAATGTAAGCTCTGGCCTGTGGCGTGACCTCCTCCAGGCCCCTCAGGAAGAAATCTAGAACAAAGAGCAGTGGTTCCAGTTCAGTCCTCAGTTCCCCTCAGGGTCTGCAGGCCAGCAGATCCATCTGATGGGGGTCTGGGTTTCTGAAAAACACCTTGGGAACATACGTTAAGATGTTATCTTTAGCTTCTATAGGGAACAAAACATCTCATGACTCTAACCTCCCTGGTTATTGTTTTAAGCTACTATTTCCTTCTTGCTTATCAGGTTACTCATTTACTTCTCAGGGCTACCTATGTTCTTTTCCCTTGAAGGAACTTGAGATTTTCCTTTATTTCTATGCTTAGGGGGATCTTGCAGGCCCCTACCAGGGGTCCCTGCTCTGTCTCAATGTCTTCCTACTTTCTATGACGAGTCTCTTGGACTCTCTTCCTGAGGCCTCTCTGTGGTGTTAGGAACAGGCCTGGCCTACTTGCATGGCAGAGGGGAATGTGTGGAGGAGTTGGTGCCCCAGGAGTAGCCCACAGCCAGTGGATACCCCAGCTTCCTTGGCCCTGAAAGGAGAAGTCTCTAATGTGTGTCCCACAAAATCTCCCAGAGTTTGCCAGTAGTTTTAAGCCCCATTTGCCCATGTCTGTAACCTGCTCATTAATTCACCCATCCTTTAATGCTACAAGTCTGGCTGAAGTGGGAGAGATCATGGAATAAATATTGAAACTTCATCCTTCGTTTGAATGTTTATAAATATAAATAGTTATATTGCATCATAAAAGTGTTGAATAGAAGTCATTACTGAGAAGTAATCTTACGGATTTTTAAAAATCTTTAAGATGTTTGAACTGGAAGGCATCTTAGCATTATTAGCCCCTGTTTTAATTTATGAGAAAACTGAGTATCTTTTGAGTTTTTTAGGGAGGAAAAAGGCTTTCCTCTATACTCTTAGGTTTGGTGCCTGAGGACTGTAAATTGAATGGACAAAGATACATTAATAGGAGAAGAAGTACAACTTTTATTGATGCTAAGATTTTACGTGCATGGGAGCTTCTCAGAAAAGAAATGAAAACACGAACAAGAGGTTAGACTTGGGGGCTTACATAACATTTTAACAAGGAGTGATAAATTGTGGAAAAACAACTACACAAAAAATGAGAATTGAGGGTTTTTACGGGTGATAAATTGTGGGAAGGTGACTAGGAAACATATGGAGAAAACTAATGGAAGATCAGGGCTATTTATTTATTTTAATAGAGATGGAGTCTCACTATGTTGCCCAGGCTGGTCTCGAACTCCTGGGCTCAAGAAGTCTGCCCATCTCAGCCTCTCAAAGTGTTGAGACTACAGGTGTGAGCCACGGTGCCCAGGACAATAAGGATTATTTCAGTAAGGTCTGTTTATGCACACTAATCTTTGTGTGACTTTCCATTTCTGGTAATAAAAGTCAGTGTCCTTTTCCTGGTACAGAAGAGCACCTTCCTCAAAGGAAAATTTGGTACAGAAGAGCACCTTCCTCAAAGGAAAATTTATGCTCTGCTTTGGGGCAGATAAGGGAAGGCAGAGAAATTTTCCTGCATTTGTTGTTTCTCAATTGCCTTCAGTTTAAAATAATACTCATGCCAAAGTTACATATTTTGGGGTGGCATATTCTGATCCCCTTTACATTCTAAGAGAACACATGAGGATCCAAAAAGGAATGAGTTATGTAATGGGTAATCCTGACATATAGAACATTTGATTCAAACCTCAGAATTAAGAAGCAGAGGGGAAAACTAATGACCTTGAACTGAGAGTACAGAACACAAAAACCAGAGGTGTGTCAGGGATTTCTACATTGTATGCCATGGAAGAGAAATCAGAAACTCTGAATGTTAAAGTCAAAAGGGAAGGCAGAAAGCCTTCCCCTTCAACTTGTCAGCTTTAATGATAAAGAAATACGGGTGTAGAAAAGTTAAGTGATTTGTCCACCATGACATAGATAGATAGATAGGTAGGTAGGTAGCTAGATAGATAGATAGATAGATAGATAGATAGATAGATAGATAGATAGATGGAATAAATGATTATAGGGCAAGATACCAGTTGGAAGGAACAGAAATCTCAACTCAGAGTGGCTTAAACAGTAAGAAGATTGCTATTTCTTAGAAGTTGCTGGAGAATAGCATCAGGGTGATTAATTCAGTGATTCCACAAGGTCATCAAGGATCACATTCCACCCTTTTTCAGCTGCTCAGACCTCCACAAATCTTAAGATTAACTCCTTTATGGCTCTCAAATGGCTCCCTAGTTCCATGTGTTGTTTGCACTTGGGTATCTGTCCAACAGAAAGAAATAAAGCTATTTACTCTGAGGTTATTTCCTTTTGTCAGTAAGACACTGACAAAAGACTCCACCCAGACTTCTCTCCCACTTTATTAACCAAGATTACACAGATCACACATTTTATCGACTAACATTAAGAAAACCACTGACTAGGAGATTCCCCTCCTTTCTACCCTTTTGGGCTGGAGAGACTGTCGCCTGCCCTGTCTGCGTGATTGCACAGTAAGGTAATACACAGAGGAGGGTAAATACAGGAAGGGATTAGATTAGGAACCAATGTGGTCTGTCTGGAACCCAGCATCCAGGAACTCTTGGGACCCAAACCAGGTTTGCTGCAGAATTTGGAGACATGTCCAGTAAAGGTTGTTGAAAATTAAGAATGATGGTATGGATGATGAGGGTGAGATGCTCCTTAAATTACTGTAAGAGATCAAGGCTGTCACCTAGACTCTCATCAATAAAGTGTTGACTTCATAATAGAAGATGAATCACATTCTTGGAGACTGTAAGGAGTCCATGAGTAGGGGCTGTTTGTGGCCAAGAATAATGCAAATTAAAAATGAGAGTAGAAATTCTTCCAGGCTTCCCCTGTATGAAAGAGAGAGGGGTGCTTACTTTATCTCACTACAATTTTGTTCATGGAAAGAGACCTTTTTGTGGCAGAGTAACTCTGCTAGATTCTGCCACATGCAGAATAGATGATCACACAAGGCCTCCTGTGTTCCTTTGCACTGGTGTTCTGCCTCTCTGCAATGACTGAAAGCAACACTTTACTGATTACTTTGGCTTTCTAACTACCTTTGTCCTAGGAAAGAGGTGTCTTGGATGAAGAATTTGAG
Organism: Homo sapiens; assembly: GCF_000001405.40. Lineage (NCBI taxonomy): Eukaryota > Metazoa > Chordata > Mammalia > Primates > Hominidae > Homo > Homo sapiens. The sequence goes on from NC_000020.11 coordinate 16,642,662, forward strand.
TACTTTGAATACTGAAAAGACATTTCCTCTGCTGCAGATTTATAACCTGGCATCATTCTAATGTACAGATTAGTCTTCGACGGGGTGGGTCTGTGTATTAGTCCCTCTGATCAGAACTGGAAAATGAACAATTTTAATACTGGATGTGCGACGACGAGGCCCAGACCACAAGCGCATGTTGTCCATGCCAAGGGATGACTTTGGAGGCCCTGTCTGGGCTATCAGCTGGCCAACCCAGGAACCCAGCTATCTCCCCTCCCTTCACCTACTGTCTAGTTATCACTGCATCTCAAGTCAGGGCTCTGTGAGCTGACACATATCAAACCCGATGAGCTGCTCATGGGGAGGTTTCCTGATTCCCTCCTGCCAGCTCCCCTGTAGTCCTTCAGCCAGCTTCAGACTCTCAATTCCCCAGCCTTCCCCTTGGGCTGTGCAGACTTGGAGATTGATGAATGCACTGGGCCACAGGAAGCTGCACAGAGTTCTGGCCTCCTGGAGGACATCAATTTGGCTCCCCCTTTTCCCTTTAGTGGTAATTGAATGTCAGGATAACAGATGAAGGGTGGGGAGAATAAACCACATTCTCACTTTCCACAAGTGGGGGGAAAGGCTTTGTGGAGAAAGGAAGGGTTAAAATGTTAAGACCTCAAGACTTAAATTTCAGTTAAGTTTGGTGTTTGTTGTTGTTATTAGTTTGGAGAGAATTTGGCAAGAAAATGCAAGTACATCCTAATTTCTCAACTATATGGTGACTAAAAAATTTCTTTATAAAACTGGATATTGGACCTGGCGTGGTGGCTCATGCTTGTAATCCCAGCACTTTGAGAGGCCGAGGCGGGCAGATCGCCTGAGGTCAGGAGTTCGGGACCAGCCTGGCCAACATGGCAAAAACCCGTCTCTCCTAAATAATACGAAAATTAGGGGGGACATGGTGGCACTTGCCTGTAATCCCAGCTACTCGGGAGACTGAGGCAGGAGAATCGCTTGAACCCGTGAGGTGGAGGTTGCAGTGAGCTGAGATCACACCACTGCACTCCAGCCTGGGTGACAGAGCAAGACTCCATCTCAAACAGATAAAAAATAAAATAAAATAAAATAACTTGATATTGGCCAGGCGCCATGGCTCACACCTGTCATCCAAGCACTTTGGGAGGCTGAGGTGAACCCATCACTTGAGCCTAGGAATTTATACCAGCCTCGGCAACATGGCAAAACCCTGTTTCTAGAAAAAATACAAAAATAAGCTGGGTGTGGTGGTGCACACCTGTAGTCCCAGCTACTCTGGAAGCTGAGGTGAGAGGATGGCTTCAGCCCAAAAGGTGGAGGCTGCAGTGAGCCGGGATCACGCCACTGCACTGCAGCGTGGGTGACAGAGGAGTGAGATTCTGTCTCAAACAAAACAAAACAAAAACTGGAGATAGACCCATCCAACGAGAAACCTCCTAGATAGTAGGAAACCAGAAAGAATTCTGAGACAGTGGTTAGAGCACCTGCTTAGACATTTATTTACTATTATGATTCTAAGCAAGTCAACTGAACATGTCGGTAAATACTGAAATACTTCTACTGACATTACTATATGAAACTTTGTTTTTTGTTCTTTTGTTGTTTGCTACATAAAACTTTGATAAACTTTGTTTAACTTTATCTGGCCATCCTCCATCTCCCTCCAGGTGAAGCTTCTGTTTTTTAGGAAACCACTCCCCCAACTCTTGGTCAAATTTCATGTGAAGATGACCCCAACCACCCCTGGATGTAGCAGTGGTCAGATGATCCAGTATTGGAAAATCCACATATTCAATAGATCCCCAAAGAAATTGGTCCAGCAATGGGGACAGGACCCAAGCAAACCTAATGACTTTATTCTGTGATGCCTCTTTGACCACTTGGAAAAGAGAAGTCCTCTTTCCTAGGGTATTGCTAGCCATAGGAAGGGTATAAGCCTGAAGATACAGTGGCCAATCCGATAATTATGTCACTATAAAGGAAAGCAGTAATGGGCCATGTGGAAAGAGGATGAGGACCCATGAAGATGTTGTTTGAACTGAATCTAGCCATGCCTATTATGTGAGTTAATAAATTCCTTTTTGTTTAACTCTATTTAAGTTGGAGAACTTATACATGAAAGAATTCTAATGCCATCAACAAGTTATGTCAGCTTTAGCTTCAGATTTTATCCCAATCAAATCCGTTACTCATCCGCTCTGCTGTTTCCATCCAAATCCAAGCCAGTATAATGTGTCCACATGTTGTAGTTTCCAAAGAGTAGCTTGTAGCCTTTTTTTTTTGCTAGATTTTTTTAATTTTTTTTCTTTTTAAAATTCTCAATTAAAAATAATGTATAATTTACAAAAAATTTGAAAAATCAGTACAAAGGTTTCCTGCTTACCCTTTACCCAGCTTCTCCAAATATTAACCTCCTAATCCATCGCAGATGATGTGTTAATTCCATGAAGTTAATACTGATACAATACTGTTAATTAACCTACAGGCTTTAATCAAGCGTCACCAACTGTTGCACTAACATTCTGTTCCTGGACAAGGTTCCAATCCAGGATCACAAGTTAATATAGTTGTCTTGTCTCCTTGAGCCTAACTTAATCTGGGACCATTCCTCAGTCTTCATGATTTTGTGGCTCTGAGAGTTTTGAAGAGGCTATGTCAGTTATTTTACAAAATTTCCCTCAATTTAGGTTTGTCTGATGTTTCTTCAAGATTAAGTTCAGGTCATATATTGTTGGCAAGAAAGGCACAGAGGTGACATTGTGTCCTTCTCGGCACATTATATCAGGAGGTACATGGTGTTGCAGAGCAGGGGTCAGCATATTTTTCTGTAAAAGACCAGATAGTAACTATTTCAGAGTTGGGACAACACATGCCATCTCTGTGGCATATTTTTCTTTGTGTTTGTCCCGGTGCATTTATAACGTTTTAAAAGTGTAAAATGTATTCTTAGTTCCTGGTACACAGAAGTGGACTGAAGGCTGGATTTGGCCCATAGGCCAAAGGACCCCAGCTGTAGAGGAAACCTTGGAAAACATAAGCTGTAAGGGCATGCCTCTGCTTCAACTCCTCTTCCCCCACATTTGTTTTTTTACTTCATTTAGTAAAAGCTTGAGTCCTGTATTAGTTCTCTGCAGAAACAGAACCATGGAATGAAAAGCATGTGCGTGTGTGTGTGTGTGTGTGTCTGTGTGTACAGAGAGAGAGAGACAAAGAAAGAGTGAGAGAGATCTACTTTGAGGAATTGGCTCACTTGATTATGGAGGCTGGCAAGTCTAAAATCTGTAAGGTGGGCTATTAGGCTGGAAACCCAGGGAAGAACTGATGTTGCAGTTGAAGTCAAAGGTTGTCTGCTGGCTGAATTTCCTCTTGCTCTGGTGAGATCAATATTTTGTTCTTTTCAGACTTTCAATGGATTCAATGAAGTCCATCCACAATATGGAGGCTAATCTGCTTTTCTCCAAGTCCACCATTTAAATGTCAAGCTCACTCAGAAATACCCTCACAGAAACATTGAGCATAATGTTTGATGGAATATCTGTGTGCTGTCGCTCAGCCAAGCTGACAAATAAATGTAACTATCATCAGTTCTTACCAAAGCTTGTAGGGCCCTTCGTGATCCAGTCCCAGTAACTTCTCCAACCTTCCTTTCACACTCTCCTACTTGATAACTGTGCTAGGTCTAGACCAGTACTTCTCAGACTCTCCTGTGCCTCAGGCTCACCTGCAGGGCTTTTGAAAACAGATTTCTGGACCCTATACCCAGAGTTTCTGATTCAGTAGGTCTAGGGTGGCGCCTAAGAATTTGCACTTCCAAAAATTTCTCAAGTGATGCTGATGCTGCTATCCTATGGTTCACACTTTGAGAATCACTGTTGTAGATATGTTCTTCTTCTTTCTCAACAAACAAAAACAAACAAAGCACTCTTTCAGCCCAGAGCCTTTGTCTGGATGTTCCTTCTGCCATGAAGAATCTTTCCCTAGATAGTTGCAGAAAGTTCGATATTGGTAAATGGTTAATGACTGACTCTAAACAAACAAACAAACAAACAAAAGCCTCTTTCACAGCATTTGCTGGTTTCTAGTGTGTAATTCCTCCTACCTGATTTTGAGATACCAATATGATGCCCCTGAATGTGGAGTTGGGAAGAGATGTTTTCCACTGGTTCTTGAGGTCCAGTGTGAGCTGGCTCAGCACACCACTGTTTGAGTGACACTTTCAAGTCTCTGCTCAATGCAACCTCCCCTGAGAGGCTTCCCTGACCATCTGATAAAACAGCACAACTGTCCGCCAACCCTTCTATTTCTTTTTATTTTAGTTCATTGCATTTATTTCTACCTACTGTAGGTTTCTTCCCCTACTAAGTAGTAAACTCCAAGAAAGCAACATTTTTTTTTTTTTGTCTAATTCCATGCTGTATTGTGACCTCAGTGCCTAGGTGGCAGTAACTATTTGGTTCAATGAATGAATGAATAAATTTGTCTATGTATTTGGTGTCAGTCTCCCATATTAACCCACTGGTAATTCCACTAGGGTGAGGGTTTTGTCTAATTTTCTTCACCATTGCATCTTCATCCCTGACACACAACAAGTAAGGAAGGCATAATTTTTGAATATTTTATTTCTTAGAAATGGAGTCTAACTACACTTCCCAGGCTGAACTTGAACTCCTGGGCTCATTTAATTCATCAAGTTGTGAGAATAACAAAGAAAGTGGGAAATTATGATACAAACGTATAAAGAGCTTTACACCTATCCAGCCTCTAAACATGTGGAAGGAAAATGTCTAGCTCTGTGATGGAGGGAGCAGAGACAAGGAAGATCTTGGGACACCTCTCCCATTTTAATAATCCTATTTGCCAGTGGGAAGAAGCAAACACTTTAAGTGGAATCTGTCTCAGGGTCTGCTGGTAGGAGAACCCAAACTGAGGCACAGGGCTATGGGGTTATGATTACTTTTCTTGGTTGCTACTCTTCAGTTTACAGTTGAAGAAGCTACAACCTTCACACAAGTTATGAGAGCACAAGATTGACAAGGCTACCTTCCTCCAAAGAAGTGTTTGCAGCAGCTATTTGGAGGGAGCTCCAATCCAAGAAGCCAGAACTTAGCAAAACATTCTAAGGATCAAGAGCAAATACCCTGTTACAGAAGTAACCCTTTTATAAGTTGGCTTGTCAGACCATGTCCCTGAAAAGGCAAAACTATTCAGGGAACCTGGTGAGTGTCAGCCCGAGAAATATGGGCAGCTCATCTACATATCTTTTAGTGACCTTCTGGAATGACAGCCAAGCCACCAACGCTTCCCTGTTTGCAAATGATAGAGATCTCATTTCTGGGGACGACAGGATTGATGTGGCAGCCGCAGTGCCATTAGACCTGGAAGATGCTCTTTTCTCATTACTGTCTCCTGGCAACATAGCACCAGATGCCGCCGTGAATATTAATGATCCTCATTCATGTAACCTTTAGTGCCTTCCTTCAAATCACCCAGGCTGCAGCCGGGGACTGCTGCTATCTGTTTCTGCTGTTTCCATCTCAACAAATCTCTTCTTCTCCTCCTGTTTGAGAAAAGAATTATTAATGAGATTTTTATCTAAGGAGAGGGTTTCTGCCTCTTGATGGAGATGCTCACTTTCCAAGCCATACCCATATTTGCTAACAAAGATAACGGCATCCCCATTCTGCTGGAGCTTGTGACGAATCACTTTCATTGACTTTATCTGCTGGATGGAATATGTAATTTGTCTAATATCTTTGCATCTTCAAATGCAGGGCTTAAAACTAAACATGGAATTGGGCAAAAGCGGAAATTAAATATGACCAGACTCTCAGTGGGGTTCATGCTCTTTATCAGCTTTCACCAACTGCAGGGCTGGCATCATGCATGTAACGATGGGTCACCCCAGACTCTGTCTAACTCGAGTTCCTTGGCTTCTCACACAAAGGCCTACCCTTGGAAAGGCAAGGAATATCAAATTGCTTCCACCCGGGCTGCCTAACTCCTTTAGCCCTTTGCTTTGTTTCTTTGGATCTCTGAGATATTGGCCAGAGGTTCTTCCTGAGGGTAATTTAAGGCACTTCAGATAGTAGAATATCCCCACTTTTCCCTCTGTTTCTTCCCTTCCTCTGGTATTTTGTGATAGGTATAATTAGTGGTTTCAGAATACAAACTTTAGAGGGAGCCAGGTGCATGCATGAATCCTGGCTCTGGGATCCTGAGCCTGTTCCTCAAACTCACTGAACCTCGGTTTCATATCTGTAAAGTGCGAATAAAGGCACCTAATGCACCCGGTTTTTCAACACATTAAGTGATATAACATATGTGAAATGCTTAGTCCAGTGTCTGGTATATAGTTAGGACTTTAAAAATGGTTGCCTGGTGTGGTAGATTGTTTTATCAATGGCCCTTGATGAAACAGTCTTCCTGGTATGGGGCATGACTCACCTTGACTTTATTTTTTTTTTAATTTTTAATTTTTTTTGAGACAGAGTCTCGCTCTGTCGCCCAGGTTGGAATGCAGTGGCACGATCTCGGCTAACTGTAGCCTCCACCTCCCGGGTTCAAGCGATTCCCCTGCCTCGAACTCCTGACCTCAGGTGATCCACCCACTTCGGCTTCCCGAAGTGCTAGGATTATAGGAGTGAGCCACCACGCCTGACCTCATCTTGATCAGATCCTTAAGATAGTTGCTAAAGAAGATGTGCATGGTGCAAAGCATATTTATACACTGTTCTTAGGGGAACAGTGTTCTACTCAGATGGAACCCTATGTTGGCCTCTTGATACTTGTTAGCTTTTCTAATGTGCATTCAAGAAATCATTGAGCTGAGGAAATGAGTTTACGAACCAATCCAGCTCTTCTTTCCTGCCTTAGATGGAGATTTGTGGGTGTTCTAGGTCATCAGAGGGATAAAAGCTTCTGGAATCTCCTGTTCCTGAGAGCTTAGATAGAGGGCAATCTTGTTGATGCCTTCTTACTCCCTCAGGGCTGACTTTGTCTCCCAGTGGAGTAAGTTACCACACACCCGAAATGGTCCCCAAGTTTCCATCATTAGAAATATATTTATTGGCCAGGCATGATGGCTCACGCCTATAATCCCAGCACTTTGGGAGACCAAGGCAGGTGGATCACCTGAGGTCAGGAGTTCAAGACCAGCCTGGCCAACATGGTAAAACCTCGTCTCTACTAAAAATACAAAAATTAGCTGGACATGTTGGTGTGTGGCTGTAATCCCAGCTACTTGAGAGTCAGAGGCAGAAGAATCACTTGAACCCAAGAAGCAGAGGTTGCAGTGAGCCGAGATCACTCTATTGTACTCCAGGCTGAGCAACAGAGCAAGACTCTGTCTCAAAAAAATATAAAAAACAAAAAAACTCCACTCACATTTGTTTAGGTTAAACTTTGTAGACTCTAAAAGCCTCCTAGAAAATTCAGATATCCTCAAAGGATGTCACATTCATCCAGTTAACTCCTCACTGTGAGACAGGACATTTATATTGTTGGGCGGCCAACATGGAGGCATTGCTCTAGGGCAGTGCTATCCAACAGAACTGTAATGCGAGCCCCAGGTGTAATTTTAAATTTTCTAGTAGCTGCATTAAAAAGTATAAACAGGTGAAATTAATTTAAAAAAATTATTTAACCTGTTTCAAATGCTTGTTATTTATTTTTATTATTTTTTTTTTTTGGAGACAGGGTCTGGCTCTGTTGCTCAGGCAGGAGTACAGTGGTGTGATCATGGCTCACTGCAGCCTTGACCTCCTAGGCTCAAGCAATCTTCCCACCTCAGCCTCCAAAGTAGCTAGGACTACAGGCATGCACCGTTGTGCCTGGCTAATTTTTAAAATTACTTGTACAGACTGGGGGCTCCCTACGTTGCCCACACTGTTCTTGAACTCCTGGGCTCAAGCAATCCTGCCACCTTAGCCTCCCAAAGTTCTGGGATTACAGATATGAGCCACCATGCCCTGCCTTCTTTCTATTTCAATGTATAATCAATATTAAATAATTATTAATGGCATATTTTACATTCTTTTTGGACCAAGTCTTAAAATCTAGTATGATGTTTGCACTTACAGCACATCTCAATTTGAACTCCCCACATTTCTGGTTTTCAACAGCCACACAGAGCCAGTGGCTACTGTGCTGGACAGACAGATTCAGAGACCCAGCTTGGTGGATTGCATAGTGGGGACAATAATCCTAATTGCATAGCATGCTGTGCTCATTAAATGAGATCATGTGTGAAAGTTCTGTGTTATCCTTGTAGAACCACACAGGGTGTTTTAAAAGTCTTTGTGCAGTTTCAAGCTTTAATAACTTTAGAAGTTGCAAACTTACAAAAACCAGGTTTTGAAAGTTTGATTGTTTAAATTTGTTTGACACATATTTACTGTAACAAATTTTCTTTTATTATTCATTTATTTATTTTGTGGAGACAGGGTCTCACTATGTTGCCCATTCTGGTCTCAAACTCCTGGCCTCAAGCAATCCTTCTGCCTCAGCCTCTCAAAGTCCTGGGATTACAAGTGTGAGCCACAGTGCCCTGTCATGAATTTTAAATAATACATTTTAAATTAAATTTTTTTTTGAGACAGAGTCTTACTCTGTCACCCAGGCTGGAGTGCAATGGCATGATCTCGGCTCACTGCAACCTCTGCTTCCCAGGTTCAAGTGATTCTCCTGCCTCAGCCTCCAAAGTAGCTGGGATTACAGGCGTCCGCCACCATGCCTGGCTAATTTTTGTATTTTTAGTAGAGATGTTGTTTCACCATATTGGCCAGGCTGGTCTCGAACTCCTGATCTCGGTGATCTGCGTGCCTCGGTCTCCCAAAGTGCTGGGATTACAGGTGTGAGCCACAGTGCTCTGCCAAATTAATTTTTAAAATGTGCAACAGTTTCTGGGTGATGCTTTCCAGACTGTGGATTGGTAGCAGGTTCTGTTGCTCTTAGACTGTTTTTGGTGGGGACAGTGACATCAAAACTGTGATGTATGTATGGAAGCCTCAATTTTTGGATGATCACTAGCAGCAGCTGCTGAAAGTTTACGACATTTGATAATTGATGAGAGTGATACATAGCATAAGATGATGGTAATGTTGAATTTAATAAAAACATTACTATTTCAACATTTTCATAATTAACCTTTCTGGTGCTCTTTGTTGTAAGTTTGTAGATTTATACTTCTGAAATAATAAAAGCTTAAACTTGTGCCAGCCTTTCAGGCATCCTGTATTTATGTTACTCACCATCGAGGTGGTAAGAATTGCTTTTCCCCAATCACTCCTAGCCTGTCTCCACAAAATTATCCCCAAAAGAGCTATGCTGCAGAGATTGTTATGCCAGCTCTGACGGTCAAGCAGTCTGTGATGGTGGACAGCCCTTAAGTGACCTGGAAAATTCCTCATCCTAATTTGTCTTTAGGAAGTAGGACTTTCTATCCACCTCAGAGAGGTGGCAGACATTTTTCCTGCTCTGTGGGACAAAGAAACTGCTTTGCATTTTTCTGGAAGCACTGAAGGGAAGAACTCTGCAACTATGCACAGTGTTCCTGTTCCTGGACATTTATATAAACCGCCATGTCTTGGTGAAGCATAGTAGTAAAATTGATAATAATGAAAAACCTACAAGGAATGTGTAAATAACTTGGTTTCAAAATCAGTAGACTCCATGAATTTGAAGGCCGTGACTAAGATTCACATTCGTCTATTCAGCTAACTTTGTGCTTATTAAGAAAAAGCGTCCCTTCTTCTGAAACAAATAGCCCTGCCCCAGTATACATGGATTAGTAAGTGGAATGTGACTGGATTTCAGCCTCAACTGAACTATTTGATTGGGTGTATTTGTAGACAATCTGTACAACTGTACATGGTGGCCCTAGCTACTACCTCTTGAGACAGAAATAGTACAATGAATAGGGCAGAAATCTAGCTGGCTCATGAACCAGTTTGGATAGACCAGGTTTCATTGGTTGGGCTATGGTCCATTCCCTTGCCTTTAAAAATTAAACAAGTAAAATACTCAGCTTTTGAAGACAGGAAAAGTGAAAAACACAAAATGTCCTAATTTTATTTATTTATTTAGAGACAGGGTCTCGCTCTATTCCCAGGCTGGAATACAGTGGCTGATCTCAGCTCACTGCAGCCTCTAACCCTTGGGTTCAAATGATTCTCCTGCCTCAGCCTCCTGAGTAGTTGGGATTGCAGGCACCCACCACCACGCCCAGCTAATTTTTTGTATTTTTAGTAGAGATAGGGTTTCACCATATTGGCCAAGCTGGTCTCAAACTCCTGACCTCAGGTGACCTGCCCTCCTTGGCCTCCCAAAGTGTTGGGATTACAGGTGTGAGCCACTGCCCCTGGCCCTTAATGTTATTTGGAAGCAGTGAAACTCAACTTCTGACCTCTGCCACTAGTCTAAAGACATTCCATTTCATTAATATTTTCTGTCCTTTCCCCAGAGCAATTGACTATATCACATGTCACGAGACCAAATTACATTTATTTCCCATAATTTAAAACTGGAATTTGAGCCAAGAGAACCCAGAAAGGAAAAAATGATTTCTTAACACTGTCTAAATGGATTGCACTGTTCCCAAGTGAGGCCACAGCCCTTCAGACCAGAAGAGTACACACATGTACCCAATGAATGAAGAAATAACACTGAAATTATGTCGAGTTCATTTTCTCTGGCTTTGATTGGAGATTAAACAATTCCCAAAGAATGGTAAAAACAAGAGAAAATATACATTCCCCATGTGTTTGAGCAGATGGCATACGAAAACTCAATGAAGTGATGATAAAAATACATACCCATAGTATTGACAGTTATTGGTGTAAAGAGAATTTGGAAAAATCTAATTGGCTTTGATGATGAAGACACTATTTTTTGGCTTCATTAGTCTAACTGAAAATGGAAAGAGAATTTGTTCCCAGTTTCAGAAAGAATTTCAGAACTATCCAGACACTTCCTATAATTGCACCATTACTTTTAGTGAGGATGACAGATCAGGAAATCTTCATTTTCTAGTGCCTTTCCTTTTTCTCTGTCACCTATGCATGCAAACACATATATTTCAGTCTGTCACAATTTAATGGAACAGTTAGTTTCCTTTCAACTTAATTCTCTCCCTCACAGCCTGTGGTCATAATCTGGACTCATTCAGAGAAATGAGTGGAGACAAAGCTAACTTTTCATCTAACCTTGCCCACAAGATTTCAGAAAAGCTCCTGTTTCAGGGGCTGTGTGGAGCAGACACCATTGGTATATCCTGCCTATATCCCGTCACACTTACCATTCCAATGCCAGCTGAGGGTATCCTCCTACAACATCGCTACTCCACCTGATGGCTTTCTCTCAGCCTATGACTGAACCAAGTCAGAAATACCAAAGAGTAAATGCCATCAGGAGCATCACTCAGTCAGTGATGGATAACAGCTGGAGGATACATACCTCAGCTTCCTCCCCCTTGAGTGGGACAACTTTGAAGTGTGCTCTAGACTGTTTCCTCTCCTGGAAGAGAAAGGTTGCTAGATAAAGGGTGTCCAGTGAAATGTGAATTTCAGACAAACAACGAATAATTTTTTAGTTAAATATATACTAAATATGCATGGGTCATTCTCATACTAAAAAAAAATGCATTGTTAATTAAAAAATTCAAGTTTAATGGGGCATCCTGGATTTTTGTTTGCAAAATGTGGCAACCTCACCTCAAAGGGATTGAGTCTCAGTTGCCCACATGGTGACCTGCTGATATTGTAGCCTGTTCTAGCATCCTTCGCTGCACCATTTCACTTCTCTCCTGTGGAGGCTTCCTGGGCTTCCTTCCTACCTGAGGTCAGGTTCCCTGTAAGCTGATCTGGGAATGGGGATTCTCACACAAGTGAGATATGGAGGAAGTGCTTCAGGAGAAACCTGTAAAGAAGGTCAGGGGAAGGAACTGAGCAAGGACCTGGTTTTAGGAGAAGTCTGGCTTCTGCCTGATCCCATGGGGCACTGGGGAACATGACTGACATCACAGAGTTGTCATACCTCAAGTTTGAAGGGACTGACATTTGCCCCATCCCCAACTCCTCACATTAGTCAGTCAGTCACTGGCTGTGGTCTACCCAGATGGGGTGTAAAATGGAGGGGACACAGGAAGGCACCAGCAACATCTACAACACCTCCTAAACAACTTGCCCTCAAGGTTTGTTTCTGGGCAAGCTGAAGCTAAAAGCATTGAACTGCTGGTAAAGTCCTTAATGGCACCTAATTCCACAAGGATAGTCATTCCTCTAAAGACTAAATTCCATGAATTCCCTGAGGGCTGGGACTGCAACTTATTTGCAATACTTCACACATAATAAATGGTCAACAAATATTTGGTGAATTGAATTGTACATAGAAACAAAACTGATACATCTGTAAGATAAACACTAATACAAATCATATGTTTGTTTAGTACTTACTGCCATGTAATAAACTAGGCACTCAAGTTACTCCACTCTTTTGTGTGTGTGTGTTTGGCGGGGATTCCGTTTTTATTTTTGATTCTGGTTGTTGTTTTGGGGGTAACTCTTTTCCAAAATTCAGTGAACAAAAACCATTGCAATCATGTCTCAGAAATACCCTGGAACTAGTCCCAAGTTTTAGTGAATTAGCAAAACACAGGAACTCAAAATGTCCTGCTGAGTGTCACTGAAGCACAGATGGCAGCGGCTAAGAGTTGGAAGTTGAGGGATGATTAAAGACCTGCTTTCCTGAAATAGTTCCCCTGGTGGTCTCTCCTTTTTGTGTAGGCAGCTAACTATGTCAAGGAAATGTGTGGCACCACGGAACTGTTGGTGAGGGCCAGAAAGCCCACTTGTCGAAGTTTCCATTGCTTAGAGCTCAAGATGCTGCCTCTCCCAAAGAAGCCACCTAACCCGACTGACACTGCTTGGTGGGCACTGAATCTCCAGGGTATGGGCACCAGAAGAGGAGGAGCAACAGATGGGATATGGCAGCACAAGTGTTGACGTGCTCATCTTGGGCAGGGGCAGTGCCACCCAGCTCTTGTGGAGGGAGTCTCAGAGGGAACGGGATGCTGGATAAACTGGTTTTCATGGAACTCAGTCAGCACTGGATCACGTCAGTCATAAAAGAGAATGGCCAGATTTCCAAGCATGGGAACCATGGCAAAAGCAGACACAACGTGCCTTTGGGTCTTTAAGTGCCCCTGTTTAAAGACAGAATTGGTCCCAGAGGCAGTTAGCCCACCATCTTGGTGACTGGAGGAATAGAGGCAGGAGCCCAGAAAATGATTTCCTTTTAAAGGGAAAGGTCTAGGATATTTGATGCTGTGCAAGGTTGGGATGGGGGCGTGTGTGCACATTCAGCCAAACCCTGGGCAGACAGATTCAGTAGGCAAGCTTCAAGTTCAGAGCATGGAGTTGGTAGTGGGAAGCGGTGAGGACTGGATAAAAATATAGAAGCTGAAGCAGGAATAAGGGAGCATTTAAGAAAAAGCTAATGGTCAACCACTTTGGAAAACTCTTTGAAAACATACATGAAAACTACGCATTTGCGTATCCTGTTTTCTGGCAATTTCACTGGTTCCTACATACCTAACAGAAATGTGTACATGTGTTCAGCAAAAGTTATGTGCATGGAGACCATAGCAGCATTATTTGGGACAGCACAAAACTGAAATAACCCAAATGTTCTTCAACAGTAGAATGGACAATTGTGGTCTGTTCACATCATAGAATACTACTCAACAGCAGAAATCTATTATTAAAGGCAAAAGCATGGATGCATCTCACAAGCAGAATATTATGTGAAAGACTCCAGGCACCCAAAAGTTTGTACTTCAGGATTCTGTTGATAATGAAGTACAAGAGCAGGCAAAGCTAACCTACATTGCTAAAAGTCAGAAGAGTGGTAATCTTGGTTTGGGAGGGATTAGTGGCTGGAAGTGGGCCCTGCAGGCTGCTGGTGAGCTGGTGATGTTCTATTTATTTATCTTGTTGCTGTTTACGTTGTTACAATCATGAGTTCTGTTTGTGAAAAGTCCCCCCAGCTATACACTTAAGATTTATTCTGTATGTATATTATTCTTTTTTTATTTATTTACTTTTTTTTTTTTTTTTTTTGAGATGGAGTCTCGCTCTGTTGCCAGGCTGGCATGCAGTAATGCAATCTCGGTTCACTGCAACCTCTGCTTCCTGGGTTCAAGTGATCCTCCTGCCTCAATCTCCTGAGTAGCTGGGACTACAGGCACACGCCACCATGCCCAGCTAATTTTTGTATTTTTAGTAGAGACGAGGTTTCACCATGTTGGCCAGGATGGTCTCGATCTCTTGACATTGTGATCTGCCTGCCTCGGCCTCCCAAAGTGCTGGGATTACAGGCGTGAGTCATCACACCTGGTCTATTTATTTTTATTTAAGCTCTGAGGTACATGCACAGGATGCACAGGTTTGTTACATAGATAAACGTGTCACGGTGGTTTGTTGCATCTATCAACCCATCACCTGGGAATTAAGCCCAGCATGCATTAGCTATTTTTCCTAATGCTCTCCCTCCCCCTACCCCACCTTCCGACAGGCCCCAGTGTGTATTGGTCCCCTCCTTGTGTTCATGTGTTCTCATTGTTAAGTTCCCACTTATAAGTGAAAACTTGCAGTGTTGGTTTTCTATTCCTGCATCAGTTTGCTGAGAATAATAGCTTCCAGCTCCATCCAGGTCTCTGCAAAAGACATGATCTCATTCCTTTTTATGGCTGCATAGTATTCCTATGTTCTGAATGGTATTGCCTAGATTTTCTTCTAGGGTTTTTATAGTTTTGCATTTTACATTGAAGTCTTTAATCCATCTTAAGTTAATTTTTGTATAAGGTGTAAGGAAGAGGTCCAGTTTCAGTTTTCTGCATATGGCTAGCCAGTTCTCCCAGCACCATTTATTAAGTAGGGAATCCTTTTCCCATTGCTTGTTTTTGTCAGGTTTGTTGAAGATAAGATGGTTGGAGATGTGTGGTCTTATTTCTGAGTTTTCTATTCTGTTCTATCAGTCTAAGTGTCTGTTTTTGTACCAGCACCCTGCTGTTTTGGTTACTGTAGCCTTGTCGTATAGTTTGAAGTCAGGTAGTGTGATACCTCCAGCTTTGTTCTTTTTGCTCAAGATTGTCTTGGCTATAAAAGTTCTTTTATTGTTCCATATGAATTTTAAAATAGTTTCTTCTAATTCTGTGAAGAATCTCAATGATAATTTAATGGGAAAAGCATTGAATCTATAAATTACTTTGGGCAGTATGGCCATTTTCACAATATTGATTCTTCCTACCCAGGAGCATGGAATGTTTTTCCATTTGTTTGTGTCCTCTCTAATTTTCTTGAGCAGTGGTTTGTAGTTCTCCCTTGAAGAAGTCCTTCACTTCCCTCGTTAGCTGTATTCCTAATTATTTTATTCTCTTTGTAACAATTGTGAATGGGAGTTCATTCATGATTTGGCTCTCTGCCAGTCTGTTATTGGTGTATAGGAATGCTTGTGACTTTTGCACATTGATTTTGTATACTGAGACTTTGCTGAAGTTGCTTATCAGCTTAAGGAGTTTTGGGCCTGAAGTGATGGGGTTTTCTAGATATAGGATCATGTCATCTGCAAACAAAGACAATTTGACTTCCTCACTTCCTATTTGAATACACTTTATTTCTTCCTCTTGCCTGCTTTCCCTGGCCAGAAATTCTAGTACTATGTTGAATAGGAGTAGTGAGAGAGGGCACCCCTGTCTTGTGCAGGTTTTCAAGCGGAATGCTTCCAGCTTTTGCCCATTCAGTATGATATTGGCTGTCGGTTTGTCATAAATGGTTCTTATTATTTTAACATATGTTCCTTCAATACCTAGTTTATTGAGAGTTTTTAACATGAAGGGATGCTGAATTTTATCGAAGGTCTTTTCTGCCTCTATTGAGATAATCATGTGGTTTTTGTCATCAGTTCTGTTTATGTCATGAATTACATTTGTTTATTTATATGCGTATGTTGAACCAACCTTGCATCCCCTGGATGAAGCTGACTTGATCATGGTGGATAAGTTTTTTGATGTGCTGCTGTATTTGGTTTGCCAGTATTTTATTGAGAATTTTTGCATTGATGTTTATCAGGGATATTGGCCTGAAGTTTTCTTTTTTTGTTGTATCTCTGCCAGTTTTTTGTATCAGGATGATGCTGGACTCATAGAATGAGTCAGGGAGGAGTCCCTGCTTTTCAATTGTTTGGAATAATTTCAGAAGAAAGGGTGTCAGCTCCTCTTTGTACCTGTAGTAGGATTCAGCTGTAAATCCATCTGGCCCTGGGCTTTTTTTGGTTGGTAGGCTATTTCTCACTGCCTCAATTTCAAAACTTGTTCTTGGTCTATTCAGGGATTCAGCTTCTTCCTGGTTCAGTCTTGGGGGGGCATATGTGTCCGGGAATTTATCCATTTCTTCTAGATTTCCTAGTTTATTTGCATTGATATTTATTATGATGTATACTATTCTTCAATAAAACATTAAATGAAGGTAGAAAAAAATAAAAACTATTGAATAGAGAAGACAAAATTCATCTGTGTCCTAACTTTGCTGAGTGCTCCTTGACTATGTCATTTTATTTTCTATAGAATGTGCAAAAGGGGGATGTGAGACTGAATTTGGGTAATCAAATTGCATTTACTTTTTTTTTTTTTTGAGACAGAGTCTCACTCTGTCACCCAGGCCGGAGTGCAGTGACATAATCACAGCTTGCTGCAACCTCAATCTCCTGAGCTCAAGTGAGCCTCTCACCTCAGCCTCCCAAGTAGTTGGGACTACAGGTGCGCACTACCATCCCTGGCTAATTTTTTTGTATTTTTTGTAGAGAAGGGGTTTAACTGTGATGTTGCCCAGGCTGGTCTCAAACTCCTGGGCTGAAGCTATCTGTGCACATCAGCCTCCCGAAGTGCTGAGATTACAGGCATGAGCCACCATGCCCAGCCTTCACTGACTTAAAGTGTGAAGAGACAATAGCTTGCTCTATCTTCCTCTTCCCTCCCAAAGCAGATATCCCTACTATTCAATTCCTGCAGATGTCATTCTGATCCAGGCAACCTACAAAATTGGGGCTCAGCCTGTGAGGGTTTGTGGCTTTGCTCAGGAAAGAATTCAAGAATGAGACAACAGTGAAAGAAAGCATGTTTATTAGAGCAACAGTGTACATAAAATGGCTGCTCTGTAGACAAAACAGGGCTATCCCATAGGCAGAGTAGCACAGAAGAGCATCTGTGGATTGCTGGCTAGCTCTGCTTATACCGACTCTTATTTACATGCTAAATAAGGGACAGGTTAAGGTTATTCATGAACAAGGGGTGGAGGGTTCCTGGAATCACACAAGGTAACTCCTGGATCATTGCCACAGCATTTGTAAACTGTCAAGGCTCTGATGGGAGCATCTTAGGCAAATGCAAATAAGCAGTGAGGGTAACTGGAGATCGCTTTCATTGCCATCTTGGTTCTAGCACATTTTCTTTGCCACATCCCGTCTTGATCAGCAGCAGGGAGACTGAGGCTCAGAAAACAAGTCCAGCTGATCTCCTACCTCAATCCCAGGGATGCATTAGGTCTTCTGCTGTTTTTGTGATAATCACTGGAAAATTGCACAAGCACAAATACAGACATTTTAAAACCTTTTTAATTAAATTAATTAATTTATTTTTTGAGATAGGATCTTGCTTTTTTGCTTAGGCTGATCTTGAACTCCTGGCTCCAAGCAATACTCCCACCTCAGCCTCCCAAGTAGCCAGGACTACAGGCAAGAGCCCATGCACTCAGTTAAAAATGCAGATTATTGGTTGGGTGTGGTGGCTTACACCTGTAATCCCAGCACTTTGGGAGCCCTAGATGGGCAGATCACTTGAGGTCAGGAGTTTGAGACCAGCCTGACCAACATGGTGAAGCCCCATCTCTATAAAAAATACAAAAATTATCTAGGCATGGTGGCACACGCCTGTAATCCCAGGTGCCTGGGAGGCTGAGGCAGGAGAGTCACTTGAATCCAGGAGGCGGAGACTGCAGTGAGCTGAGATCACACCACAGCATTCCAGCCTGGGCAAGAGTGAGACTGTCTCAAAAAAAAACAAAAAAACAAACAACAACAAAAAAAATTGCAGATTCTTAAGACAGGCCACAGAGATACCAACAACAGGGATTTCAGATCTTTACATTGCCATTAATACTTCATTATATGCTAAGAAGCTGACTTTTTTCATCCATTATTTTCATCAGATTGTCTACTCATTGTACTTTCTGCTGGAATGTGGCCCAGTTTTTAAATTTTTATTTAAAAATTTTTAAAAAGAGAGAAGAGTCTCCCTCTGTTGCCCAGGCTGGGCAGGCAGTGGTGTGATCTCAGCTCACTGCAATCTCTGACTCTTGGGCTAAAGCAATCCTCCCACCACAGCCTACTGAGTAGCTGGGATTACAGGTATGCACCAACACACCTGGCTAATTTTTGTAATTTTAATAGAGATGAGGTTTCACCATGTTGGACAGGTTGCTCTTGAACTCCTGACCTCAAGTGATCCACCCACCTAGGGCTCCCAAAGTGCTGGGATTGCAGGCATGTGGCCCAGCTCTCTTCCAGTTTTCTTAATTCAAATTCCCAAGAATCCCCAGGCCCAGTTTTTGCTAGGCTGATGAAAAGCCCATGCACTGACTAAAGGGCTGTTGAATTGAGTGGCTTCTCCTGGACTCATCAAATGTGGTGCTGGTGAGTCAGTGCCATATGACAGAAATCTTTTGGCAACTTTAGCATTAGGGGTCTGTGGGCAGTTTTTTCTAGAAGAGGGTGGTCTGCTCAGTACACAGACCCACTATTTCTCCATCTTCCCTTCTTCCTTCAGTCCCGAAAGTCAAATTCTCAAAGCAATCGCTTAGTGTAAACTTATTTTTTTACCTATCTTCTTCTGAGTTCCACCTTCCTTCTGATCTAGGCATAGTCAACATTCAAATTTCAATTTTCTATGCTAGATAAAGATAGGATGAGCCCTCAGAATTCTCAGCATATCCTGAACCTTCACTTGGGGCACGAATGTCCACTTCCCTTTCAGCCCAATCATTCATGACTTCCGTTTGGCAGTTGCAACAATGACTGTTTCATTAATTTTCCCTGCTGCCTGCTTTCTGGCAGCAATGAGAGCAAGCAGTGAAATGGCCAAACAGTGGTAGACAGGAGGGAGCAGAGTGGAGGCAGAAGCCAGGGTGCTGAATAATGAGCCTATGAATAGCAAGACCTGACCGCACCAGGCTTCCTGAGCAGCCTGGAGGAGAGGATGGGCCCCCCCTTGGCTGGGAGAGTGGATGCTGAGCCATGAGGAAACACCACAGGATTCAATGGCCTTGGCAGAGCTATAAAGACTCTGCTTTCACTTGAATAAACTCTTCTTGAACACATCTCCTATGTATTTCCACAAATCTGTTTTCTCAGGGTGTTCAGAATTCATTCCTTTTTGGTTCTTCTGCTGCTCAAAGGAAAGAGAAACCCAAGGGATCAAACTTCTCAGTGTAAAATAAACACAATTCTTTTTGGACCTGCTAAGCCAGAAGAAAATGAGGCCAAAGAATGAATAAGACACACAGCTAAAACAAATCAAACTGTAGCAAGCCTTCTCTCACACTCTCCTTTCTACCTGGTTGAATCAATGGATGAACATGTCACATCCTCTTTTCTCAGTTGCCAAGAGTTGGTTTATATGTTCTTACTTATAATGTATTTTGTTAGTTTTGCTTTTGGCTTTCCTGTCCAAAATCACTGTCCCTTCACTTTACCCACAAACGTGTAGGCTTTCTCCATCTGCCCCACATCCCTTCTAAACTCAGTGATGACCTAATAAAGATTTACACACAAAGGTGTCAATGACACATGATGTTAGAAAAGGTTACTGCCTCAGGGTCACCCCCATCATGTTGGTCCCTGCCAACTGATATTAATAATAGGGCCTTGACCCTCCAACCCTACCTGCTAATGACTAAGACACTCTATACGGAGCCCACTAAATATGTACAGCCAGCTGCAGCTGGGGTTCAGATTTCAGCCAAGCTCTGAGCACACATGTTCCCTTAAATCAGAGTGTCTTCCCCTTCACCAGAGAGAATGCCTGAGGACTAGCCTCCACTCCTCAGTTTCACCTTGTTTGCCCCATAAGTTAGCTGGAAGCTGATGTCTGGAGTCTTCAGGTACAGCACGCTCTCAGCTCCTGAGTTAGTTCCAACCAAGGGTGGGCAGATAGGCTGTCAGCAGCCTTGTCCTGCTATAGGGGAGGAAAACTCCCTCTGCCTTCCTAGGTTCTGGTGTTTGGTCTGAGAATTAAACTAACATAAGACAGATTAATAGTAAAAAGGCATACAAATTTTATTTAATATTTTTACATGCACAAGGGAATACTCATAAGAAAAATAAATGCCCAAAGAAACAGTCAGAGCACACCAACATGGCACATGTTTACATATGTAACAAACCTGCACGTTGTGCACATGTACCCTAAAACTTAAAGTATAATAATAATTTAAAAAAAAAAAGAAAGAAACAGTCAGGACCCAGAGCTTATATTATAGGATTTTTTTTTTTAAAGCAAAGGATAAATTTGTGGACAAGTGACAGGACAAATGGGTTTAGGCAGTAAATTGTGGAAAAGTGTCTACAAAATATATGGGGTTAATGGACAATAAGGGTTATTTTAGTAGGTTCATTTGTACAGATCCATTTGCCATTGACTCCCAATCTCTGGTGATAAGAATGCTCTTTTCTTCCTGGTACAGAGAAGGCACCTTTCTTATGGGAAACTTTATGACTTGCTTTTACATCAAAAGAGGGAGTGAGATCAGAAAGCCCTTTCTGCATCTGCTGTTTCTCAAGTTCCTTTAGCTCAGAA
Organism: Homo sapiens; assembly: GCF_000001405.40. NCBI lineage: Eukaryota > Metazoa > Chordata > Mammalia > Primates > Hominidae > Homo > Homo sapiens. The sequence continues at coordinate 16,663,570 of NC_000020.11, forward strand.
TAATTAATACGCCAAAGTGGCATATTTTGGGGTGGTATGTTCTGAACTCTTTCACTACCAGGAGCAGGTGGTTGGATTTGTTGTCTTGGCCAACAAACCAAATAAGAATCCCAGTCCTCTCCTCCCGTGGGGAGGTGGCCCTGCACCCGTAGCATGTGCCACATGCCTCCCATTGTGGGCTCCACTCAGTGAATGTGGATGATGCAACAGTGAGTAGAGGAGACAAGCTTCTGCCTTCTTAGAGCTCATGAATGTAAAGTCTATCTAAAACGTTTTCTGGTTAGGAAGAGAGAGAGAGGCCTTGGCCTCCCAAAGTGCTGGGATTACAGGCGTGAGCCACTGCGCCTGGCCTGAACAATTTGAGGTAAATTATACACATCATGGCCCTTTACTCCTAAATACTTTATTTATTTTGTAAGAATAAGGATATTCACTCTTGTTACCACACTATAGTTATGTAGTGCTAAGAGGGCTCAGAATGAAGGGATTTGATCTGCCTAGGGAAGCCAGAGGTGCTTTCTTGCAAAAGTGGAAATTGAGCTAAAATCTGAAGGAAAGGAAGAACGGGTTAATAGGGATTGCAGAGGGAAAGAGCACGAAGCAGATGGAACAGCCTTCCCCATGGAGGGATGGGCACAGCTGTTTAAGAAGCTGAAAGCAACAACACCAGCTGGTGCACCCAGAGAGAGGAAGGTGGGGCCACACCACCAAGGGCCTTTCTTTCAGGCATAGGGACTGGACTTTATCATAAAGCGATTTTGCTAAGTGGACAAAGACAAGGGGCGGGGGAGTTTCATGTATAGGAATGAACACTGTTGCAATGAAGGGCCATGGATATAACATGGATAAAGAGGGGAGTGAAGGAATGGGAAGCCTGAGGGGAGAAAACATTTGGTCTGTGCACTCCATGACCCCATGAAGTAGAAAGCTCAAGAAGCCACCTGGGAGGGTGGGGCAATTTCTGAGCTTGCCTTGGTCTCCTGGGGTGTGCTGTTGGGACAGTGGGATCCTGGATCAGGGAGATTCTGGGCTGTGGGTTTGGGAGCCAGATCCAGAAGAAGAGGAGGTGGCATCAGGAGGTGTGTGTGGGAAGTCCCCGAGAAGCTAGAACCTGGAGGCTTGGGAGCTGGCGTGGGCTGTGGAAGAAGGTCAGAGCAGGAACCCGTTTACTGGCCTGGCTGATGCTAGGAATACTTTTTAATATTTTGCGTAATATTACAAGTAAATATAAATATACTTATTTTCATTTACATACCGTCTTTGACTATTTTTTTCCCTGAGAGGGATTCTTTTAAAACAATTTTGGAAAAATATCAAACTTAAAAATGTTAAAGAAGTAAAAATATTAAAAGGAGTATCCATAAACCCTTTTCCCAGATTGACCTCCTATTAATATTTTACCTTACTTGTTTATTGACATTTATTTTTTGAGACAGAGTCTTAGTGGCACGATCTTGGCTCACGGCAGCTTCCATCTCCTGGGTTCAAGCGATTCTTGTGCCTCAGCCCCCCAAGTAGCTGGGATTACAGGTGCACGCCACCACACCTGGCTAATTTTTGTATTTTAGTAGAGACAGGGTTTCACTATGTAGCCCAGGATGGTCTCAAACTCCTGAGCTCCAGCAATCTGCTCACCTTGGCCTCCCAAAGTGCTGGGATTACAGATGTGAGCCACTGCGCCCGGCCTGAACAATTTGAGGTGAATTATATATATCATGGTCCTTTACTCCTAAATACTTTATTTATTTTGTAAGAATAAGGATATTCACTCCTGTTACCACACTATAGTTATCAACCTGCAAACATATTAATATATTGCTTTATCTGATCTACAGTGAATACCCGAATTCCAACAGTTGACCCAGTAATTTCCTTTATAGCAGTAGTTTTTTTCCTCCAGTACAGGATTCAGTCTAAGGTCAAATATTGCCTTTAGCTGTTATGTTTCCTTAGCCTCCTTTAATTTGGATAATTTCCATATATGTTTGGCTATCATTTTTAATATCCCAGTGTTTTCCTAGTTATCTTCCTATTTTGTAGAATTATTGGAGCAAAGCTATAAACATTTGAGCACCTTTTGTAAAATAGACTGCCGTATTTTTCCCCAAATGATTACTAGTTTATGTTAATGTACTATGTGACTATATCTGTTTTCCCACACATTTGACAGGAAACGTCTTTTTTTTTTTTTTTTTTTGAGACTGAGTTTCAGTCTTGTTGCCCAGGCTGGAGTGCAGTGGTGCAATCTCAGCTCACTGCAACCTCCGCTTCCCAGGTTCAAGTGGTTCCCCTTCCTCAGCCTCCCAAGTAGCTGGTATTACAGGCGCCTGAAACCACGCCCAGCTAATTTTTGGTATCTTAAGTAGAGACAGGGTTTCATCATGTTGGCCAGGCTGGTCTCAAACTCCTGACCTCAGGTGATCCACCCGCCTCAGCCTCCCAAAGTGCTGGGATTACAGGTGTGAACCACTGTGCCCGGCCAGCTGTGTCTTTTTGTTGGTGATGTCCATTCAGCAGATATCAAATGGAATGGTACCTCGTTCTTATTCTGCTTTGCATTGCCTTCTGTATAGGCATACGTTTCCCACAGCCTTTGTTGTCAGATTCCCTCTTGTCTGAATTCTACCTGTCCGTGTCTTCTGAGGCTTGTTCTTAAAAGCAGAAACTGATTTTATTGTTGTTGTTGTTGTTAGTTTTTGGACTTTATTCCCACACAAATACCTATCGGAGTATTACAGAATAAGTGTTCTTAAAAAAGAAGTATATTTTTAGAAATTTTTTATTTTTAAAATAAAGACTAGTAGGCATGGGGGGAGTGCACTAGCTCTTGTGGATGAAAACAAAACAAAACAAAACACCACAAATCAGACACATTTCCTATTTAACGTAGCTGGAGCTGGCCAGCTGGTGGCAGTTTGACAGAATTGCAAGCAAAGTGGAAGAAAATCAAGAACTTGCACCTCCACGGATTTTGTTTTGACAGAATGTTACATATAGAGATACAAATATTTTTAAAAGTTATCATCTGTCCAACAGTTTTTTTGGGGGGTTTTTCACTTCTTTCTTCAAATTCCATGTTACTAATTTTCTCAGAATCTTTGTAAAGAGATATCAAGGTAAATGTAAATTATACAGTTGTAGACTGGGGAGAGGCGCTAACCTAAGAAAACTTCCCTGGTGGTAAATAAGAACTATTTTTTGAATAAATGCTTTTTATTATTTCTTATTATATATTTTGAATAAATGCACTCGTAATATTCCAGGGAAATGCGTAGGTTGAACAACATAAAATCGACATCTCTAGGATCAAAGCTACTTCTTTTGGAATTGTATGAAACACAAAGGATGTTTCATGAACTTTCTCAGCCCCACCACTCACATCCTTGCCCAATTCTCTTGCAGGAAACTTTTTTTTAACTTTTTTATTTTTGAGCGCAGGCTGGAGTGCAGTGGCGCGATCTCGACTCACTGCAAGCTCCGCCTCCCGGGTTCACGCCATTCTCCTGCCTCAGCCTCCCGAGTAGCTGGGACTACAGGCACCCGCCACCACGCCCGGCTAATTGTTTTTTGTATTTTTAGTAGAGATGGGGTTTCACCGTGTTAGCCAGGATGGTCTCGACCTCCTGACCTCTCGTGATCCGCCTGCCTCGGCCTCCCAAAGTGCTGGGATTACAGGCCTGAGCCACCTCGCCCGGCCTGCAGGAAACTTTTTTTTGATGTACTTATACAAAAAAGGAAGGAGATAATTAAGTGACTGATAACATATTCATGTTGTGGAGATTTTATTCCTATTAAACTGAGTCAAAGAGTATAAGAATTTCAAATTTTGGGGTGGCGCGGTGGCTCATGCCTGTAATTCCAGCACTTTGGGAGGCTGAGGTGGGTAGATCACTTGAGGTATGGGGTTCAACACCAGCCTGAACAACATTGCGAAACCCCATCTCCACTAAAAACACAAAAAATTAGCCGGGCATGGTGGTGGGTGCTTGTAATCCCAGCCACTAGGGAGAATCACTTGAACCCAGGAGGTGGAGGTTGCAGTGAGCCAAGATGGCGCCACTGCACTCCTGTCTGGGGGACAGAGCAAGACTCCATCTCAAAAAAAAAAAGAAGTTTACATTTTAATAAATGTTCTAAAATTGTTTTGCCTGTCTACCAAGTTCATGGCAACTTATGATTTTATCAGACATTTTATTAGGCTGCCTGTTTCACCATACTCTTCCCAGAGCTGTAGGCTTTTAATCTTCCTATTTTTTTAAGCCAATCTAAGAGTTGGTTGATAGACTAAAAATCCATTCTAAATTTTTCCTGCTAACTTTGCTAAATACTAACTAATAATAGGCCTCAAAATAAGTAAAACACATTATGGTGTTAAGTTAATCTACCTTTCTTGTGTACAGAGATTTCAATGTATTAGCTGCCCAGGATCACCAAATCAAATACCATTTACAAAATTAGGAAATACAGAAAACAAATTTGCATGCAATTACAGCATGAGATAGGATTACTGATCATTGCTACTCTTGGTGATAAAGATGCAACAGAGACAGATGGCATATCTCTAATCAATAATTAAGGGTGAGTCAACATCCAAGGTCAATTTGAAACTATCATACTTAAAAGCTGTTTATCAAGTACCAGCTAGATATTCAAATCTATAATATATGTAGGGTTGAAGTGAAAAGATAATTGTGAAGATTACTTTATTTCACTGAAAAATAAAACAAGTTATTAATGATTAACTTTATTTTCTAGTATTTTAATAATCTCAGCAGCAAAGACAGAGAAAAGAGCCAATTTTCTCTTTTCTTTCTTTTCAAAATTACTCCCAGGGATGCTGGCTTATTAAAATATTAACAACAGTATCTTTTGGGTCTTCAAGTCATCAAGGCAAGTATGTTCTTCTTAAATCATATCTATTGCTTATTTATATTTCATTGATTTTGCAAATGCTTCATGAATGGATCTTTTTTTGCAAACTTTAATGTCTTCCTCTTTAAACAGAATAGCAACATTCAAAAGGATATTAAAATGAGAATCTCTGTCTTGCATTTCCAGCAATACCTCCATAGGCTTAAAACAAAACTACAAATGCTGAGTTCTCCCACATTTCATGTTGAGGTTGTAGGTCATCCATGAAAAAGAACTGGTTGCTGATCCAACCAACACCCACCTCTTAGGTATGAAAGGGATACACATTCTTTTCCCCTACATTTCATCAACACCTTGGAGAAAGGAAAAGTGTTGCTTACCCTCATCTCCAGCCTAGTGAGAAGTGTACTGAGTGGGATCTTCTCAATACATTTGTTTGGTGGAGTTTGAGGGTAATAAACATGTGAATGGTGACTTTAAAGTTCCAGTTCTTGTCACAAGTCTCTGTCAATACATAAAGGCTGCCCTCTCCTTACATATTATCATCACCAACTTGTTAGGGGTTCCTGGTTTACAAATCCACAAAACCTGTGGCGAATTAGGGAAGGTGGGCAGCAGAGCCAGCATATGCACTAATCATATCTAAGGTCAATATAGATTAGGGTTGGCTAATTTGAATATATCCAATTCTAGCCAGGATGTGAATGACAAGACCCATGGGGGTATCAATAACAGAGAATCTCCTCATACAGAGAATAAGAACCACGGGTATGTATAGCTTGATGGGACTTTCTCTCAACACAAGGGAGTGTGTGTTACAGCTCTGCTTGCCTAATGCTGGTTGGCCAAGTTGCCAGCCAGAAGTCCTGGACCTCCCTTATACGAAGCCCTTGCACAAGATCCAATCCACAGTGATGGCCTTGGCAGATACTAGGGAGGGAGGGAATGTCCATACCTACTGATGCTCACCTACTGTGCCGGTCCATCAGTCACCAACTAAGGTGACTAAGGCCCCACAGAGATTAAGGCACTGTGGCCTCTACTCCACCCCAAATAGACAGTTATGAATATTAATTAATATGGAAGATTTAGTTTAGATAGATTAAAGTGAATAGCTCTTTGATATGTTGAATAACACTACAAGTGTCAGTCATTGGGAAAGGCTACCTCTGGTCAGTTTCCTCTCACTATGTCAAAGCTGGTAGAATGACTGTACCATTTACTGGTTCACTGAAGGTCTTAACCTCCACAGCTTTGACAAAGAGGCCATGTGTCCCATGCTGAGAAGATTCAAGGCTGAAAGTGGAAGTGGAGCTTCCTGTTTGGTGGAAGATGACTCCAGTGGCTGCATCAGGAAACAGAGAAGCATAAGACGGTAGAGGGCATGCTTCCTGTGGGTAGAGGTTATTCCACAGGAGCGTCTGGCCTGGGTTCATGTTATAATAGATCCCATTGAAATTATTTCCTGGCTGGAGCTCAGTGACTAGACCTGGACGTGCTTCAAGGTGTATCTTAGGATGCAGAAGCTGAGGAGGGTTTCATGAGGGAGGCTGCTGGTAGAAGAGCATGGTCCAAGTACAGGGAGCTGCAGCCTGATATTCCAAGGGAAGAATCAGTAAGAAACCTAAGGAAGTGCCCCTCCAGAAACCAAGTCAGCTTTGAAAATCCTGCAAGTCCAGAGAGCAAGGATGTGGACTTAGGGCAGGAATGCAAGGTGGTCAGCTCCCCAGATTCTTGCTCCTCATGCCCCTCTCAGTGGCCAGCAGGCTGCAGGTGGGGCAGGCGGGGACAAAAGTAGAAGAGTAGAAGGTGGAGGACAGAGAGAAAGTATTGACTACTTCTCACTCCCCCACCAGAGAGGAAACTTTATTTTTTTCTTTTCTTTTCTTTCTTTTTTTTTTTTTGAGACGGAGTTTCGCTCTTGTTGCCCAGGCTGGAGTGCTGTGGTGTGATCTCGGCTCACTGCAACCTCTGCCTCCCGGGTCTAGCAATTCTCCTGCCTCAGCCTCCTAAGTAGCTTGGATTACAGGCATGTGCTACCATGCCTGGCTAATTTTGTATTTTTAGTAGCGACGGGGTTTCTCCATGTTGGTCAGGCTGGTCTTGAACTCCCGACCTCAGATGATCCGCCCGCCTTGGCCTCCCAAAGTGCTGGGATTACAGGCGTGAGACACCGCGCCCGGTCTTTCTTTTCTTTTTTAAAGACTAGTCAAGTGAAGCAGTGGGAGTGGAGAAGGAACAAAGAAATCTGTAACTGGTTGTGATCAATTAGTTGTAAACACCACTGCACTCGAGCCGGCCACAAAGGTAACTTTAAATAAAATTTAGAGTGTTGGTTACTATCCTGCAATAAGAACTTTGCATTTTGTAGAGACAGTTTGAACATGTGACCCCATGTTCTCTTTTTACTCTCAGAAACTCAACAAATATAGCAGATCAATTGTTCAGACAATATAGCAGATCAATTGTTCAGACATGTAATTACAGGCAGAGACTTAGAAGTAAGGAAACCTGGCTGGGCATGGTGGCTCACACCTGTAATCCCAGAACTCTGGGAGGCCAAGGCAGACGGATCACTTGAGGTCAGGAGTTCAAGACTAGCCTAGCTAATGTGGTGAAACCCTGTCTCTATTACAAATACAAAAATTAGCTGGGCATGGTGGCATGTGCCTGTAATCCCAGCTACTCAGGAGGCTGACATGAGAGAATCACTTGAACCTGGGAGGCAGAGGTTGCAGTGAGCTGAGATGCCACCACTGCCCTCCAGCCTGTGCAACATAGTGAGACTCTGTCTCAAAAAAAAAAAAAAAAAAAAAAAAGCAAGGAAAGCCATACAGGCTTAATCTCTGAGTAGCATGCATATAGTAATTTTATCGTTTTGCATCTTTGCATTTCTATTAAAATATTATAATTATTCCTTTTGGGGGGGAGTACATAGACTATCCTTGATATGGGAAGATACTTGTTTTGTCCTTACCAGATGTATACATCTTTAAAATATTATATTTTAAAGCATTAATCATTGATGCTAATTATATTAAAAAGTATGTTGGGAGGCTGTAATTAGTTTTGAAGGGTATATCCTAATCTTGGGAAAAGGGGAAGGTGCTTACTTATCTAAGCTTTCATAAATACCATGGATAAGTAGAAATACCTGTGTACCTATGCTATATCCGCCCAGCCATACACACATAGACACACACACACACACACACACACACACACACACACACACCCAACACATTATAGGCAAAGGCCAGTCTGAACTTAGGAATTAAAAAAAAGTTAGATGTGGTCCCCACCTAGAATGAATAGACAAATAGACAGAAAGCAATGGTCGCTACTGCAAATTGAATTAGTGGTTGCAGAGATGAAGTACAAAATGAAAAGCTCTTTCTCAAAGCAGAAAGAACAACACAGAAATAGAAATCATGAGGAGAAAAAAAGATTTGGAGGCCAGATCTCAGAGACCTAAGTGGGACTAATGGGCATTCCAGATGGAGAAATGGAACAGATGGAAGGGAGTTAATCACACTCATAATTGAAAACTGTGCTTGTTTGACAAAAGACTTGGTTTGCAGATAAAAGTGCTCAGAGCTCCAAACGTGATTAACGAGAAAAGACACACTTTAGCACATCCTGGTAAAATTATGAGTTAAGGATAAACAGTAAAATGTTACTTTTCTAAGCAGAATAGAAAAAGATAACGTTAGCATCAAACCGTGGCTTCATTCCTGATACAGGCCAAGTCCATATTCCCCATGTTTCTGGAACTTTCAGGATCCAAAAGAGAGATTTTGTTCCTCTCCTATTTGGCTTCACTCTGTGTGGTAGATTAAAGATGACTGCAGATTCTTTTTCACTCCCTACAGAGAGGTAGAATTTATTTCCCCTGCCTAGAATCTGGGGTGGCCCGAGGATTGCTTAACCAATAGAATGTGACGGAGCTGTTGCTGTGCCAGTTCCAAGCCTAGTCTGTGGAGGGCTAGCGGCTTCTGCCTCCTGCTTCTTAGAATGCTTGCACATTGGCTTCTCATACTCCCAACTCAGCTGCCATGCTGTGAGGGAGTCCAAGCCACACAGATAGGCCAGGAGGAGGCTTTCCTGTTGACAGCACAAGTAAGTTTAGTGGTCAGAATCTAAATCCCGGGCAAATTCTAGAATAGAGAGACTCTAATAATCCTATCACACTTCAGTCTCTGGTCATGCTCAGTGAACTTTCTTAAAAGAGGTATCCAGTAGATTCTATAAGCAGAAGATTGCCTCCCCTTCCCGTTAATTCTCTTTTTTTTTTTTTTTTTTTTTTTTTTGAGATGGAGGAGTTTCACTCTTGTTGCCCAGGCTGGAGTACAACGGTGCAATCTCAGCTCACTGCAACCTCCACCTCCTGGGTTCAAGCGATTCTCCTGCCTCAACCTCCCGAGTAGCTGGGATTACAGGTGCCCACTTCCATGCCTGGCTAATTTTTGTATTTTTAGTAGAGATGGGGTTTCACCATATTGGTCAGGCTGGTCTCGAACTCCTGACCTCAGGTGATCCACCCACCTCGGCCTCCCAAAGTGCTAGGATTACAGGCATGAGCCACTGCGCTCGGCCCCCAGTTAAGTTTTTATAATGGAATAATGTATGTGTATATATATATATATATATATATATATATATATATATATATATGGGTTTTTTTGGTGTACTTCTGGAGACCTTGCTATAGCATTTAATCCTCTCCGTTGCCAGACCTAAATCTTCTGTTTGGGTATAAAAAAATGTAGCTTTGCGGTGAGCAGCCAATAGATTCCCTAATTGTTTAAGATAAAGAAGAGTGTCAGCCTATTAGGCCATGAAATGGCAGGGGTTACTAACCAGATGACTGCATGACAATTGTTACTATGAGATTCAAAAAACAAAAACAAAAAAACTTCAAGGAGGACATGGATCCTACTGAAGCTTTATATTAGCCATGTATGTTACTTTCTAGATACCAATGCTCTGAGGTCTTGCTGGCCCCTGGAGGGATTGCTCCTCCCGGGGGCAAATAACTTGCTTATGAACATGTTTTTCAAATACAAATTGACAATCCAGAGCCTATACCTCAGCCACCTCCTTTATTAGGATCTCACACTCCAGGCCACTATCTACCTGCCCTAGTAATCCCAGGGCCTGGTACCACACAATCAGGACAGCCCGTATGCCCCAGAGCCTGCTGAAATCTTAAAACTAGCAGATCTTAAACCTGCGTACCCTGTCTCAGTTGTTCTTTTCTGTAGAAACTATAATAAAGTCTCCTGCCCGCAGGAAAATTCTCTGCCTATAACCAACTTTGGTGTTTTCTTGAGTGGTCTCCTGTGATGTGTCTGCTCTGTCCTCTTGGAACTGTGAAAAGCAAACTAGCATTTCAAAGGCCTGATTTGTTGGCCTTACTATACCTCAGATTCTCCATTGATACACTATGTTTTAGAGGAAACCTCTAGATATTGGAGTCAGACTTCACTTCTCTCTGGATATTGAACAATTTGTGTCTTAGTGATTATGCTGATGGGGCGGCTCTGCCACTGATCATTTTATCATCACTCAAACATGCTCTAGGTGGCCTATGGGAGGTTATATTTTTCAAAGATAGCTACAACACTGTGTTTCATCCCACATGCTGTTTTGTATAATGTGATTTTATAGTCCTCCCACTTGTTTCCTCCCCTTGAATCTTGTGATTATGGCAGAAGTGATGCAATATGACTTCTGAGGTTAGGTCACAGAAGGTGATAGAGCTTCACCTGGTTCTTTTGCGGAACGCTCACTCTAGGAGCGCAGCTGCCATGGAAGCTCAAGTAGCCCATAGAGATGACCACATGGAGAGGAGCCAAGGCTTCCAGACCACCACGCCGGCTGAGCTCCCAAATAGTAATAATTAAAAAAAATTTGCCAGCCATGTAAGTGTGCCTCCTTGGAAATGAATTCTGCAGTCCCCAGGTGGACTGTCCCAGCTGATGCTGAGTGGAGCAGAGATGAACTGTCCTTGCTGAGCCCTGCCAAAATTGCAGTCATGAGCTAAATAAATGTTTGCTGTTGTTTTAAGCCACTGAGCTCTGGAGGGATAGCTTGTTATGCAGCAATATATAGCTGGAAATTGGCTTAATCACAAAGCCTCCCTAAAAGGAGCACATGCTAAAATACACAGCAGGTTTATGGAACCCGGCCACGTGGCCAGGTCTGGGGTTGAGGCAGATTTTCTAAACCAAACACCCACCCTAGAGATTCTGATTTAATTAGTCTGTGGTGGGACCCAGGTGATTTTAATGTATTAATACAATCAGGTAATTCTAATTTGCCTGCACCAAGAACAGTTGGTATAGAAACTGTGAGGAGTTGGGGGACCCAGGCATCTGCATGCTTTAAGATTCTCAATTGGTTCAAATGTATAGCCAGGGTTAAGGACACTGTAGCTAAACTATCTATAACGTGAATGTCAGAGCAGTGCTTTTAAAGCTTTAATGTATACCTACTCACCAGCGGATATTGTTAACAATGCAAATTCTGATTTATAAATCTGAGGTGGGGCCCCAGGTCTGCATTTTTATCAAGTTTCCATGGGATGTGGATGCTGCTGGTCCCAGTACCACATTTGGAGCAGCTGGGAGTTGAAGCACTATGCAAGAGCTAAACAGAGATGTCTGGGTAAAGTATCCACAGTGGCTTATAACATCTGCCCAAAGGCCTCAAACTGGCCCTAATGCAAGAAGTAGAATGAAGTGCACTAATGAGGGGTGTGGGAACTCAGTGGTTGCATACTCGGAGGATTCTGTGAATGAGAAGGCTGTCTTCCGGCTCCTGGGCTTAGAATTGATTGAAAACATTACCATCTTAAAGTGGTACTAGGGTGGAACACCTGGTAATCTGAATGAGCCATCTTCCTGTTGATATCACCCCGGACACATTCTGTTGCAACAGGGCTTTGGGGAGTTATACTTCATGGGTTTGGTGGCCCATATCAACCTATTATGAGGCAAGGGCTGTTATGAGCCACAGCAACTGTTTATCTGCCTGTGTAGGCTCTTCACCAGAAATCTCACTCAGGAGTGGTTGTCCTGAGAAGCTGAAAGAGAGCCACGTTAAGTTTCTAACAGCATCCAATGAATGACCTCCATTTAGTTTTGCTCCAAGTTATGGATTGGGTGGCAAATTCTTTCCATAATCCTGCCAATTCCAGAGAAATAAAGATCCAGATTAAAGTGAATAATGTTCTAGAACAGTCTTGGCACACTATGGCCCACAGGCCAAATCCGGCCTTTTGTATCGCTTTTATATGGCTAAGACTGATTTTTACATTAAAAAAAATTTTATTTTTTTCTAGCAGCCTCCCAAGCCAGAGTAGACTCAGACACTCCCCATTTTTAAAGGTTTATAAAAAATTAAAACAAAAACCAAAGATGAATATTTTACAGTAACTGTATATAGCTTATACAAACTAAAATATTTATTACCTGGCCCTTTATAGGCAAAGTTTTCTAATCTCTGCTCTAGATTAAAAGCCCAAATATCCTTTATTAATTGCCTTCCCTGCCACTAAAAGAATATGGATCCCTACACATATTTTTCAGAAGTAAATAGGAGGTCTACCTCCAGGGAATCCAGAATAATCCCTGTACCAACATCATCTGCTATGGTCTGAATGTGTCCTCCAAAATTTATATGTTGTAACTTAATCGCCGGTGTGATAGTGTTAAGGTGGGACATTTAGAAGGTGATTAAGTCAGGAGGGCTCATGGATCCCTCATGAATAGGATTAGTGCCCTTATAAAAGGCCTGAAGAAACATAGGTAGGAGCTTTTGCCCTTCTGTCTCTTCTGCCATGTGAGGACACAGCATTCATCCCATCCAGAGGACTTGATAACAAGGCCCCATCTTGGAAGCAGAGAGAGCATCCCTCGCCAGACACCAAACCTGCCAGCACCTTGATCTTGGACTTCCCAGTCTTCAGAACTATGAGAAATAAATTTATATTATTTATAAATTACCCAGTCTGTGGTATTTTGCTATAGCATCACAGATAGACAAAGATATGATCTCCAAGTAATCTAGAAATAGAGGCCTAGAAGAGAAGATTTTTATTCTTTAATTACAGAGGAAGTGAGAAGAGAACATTTTTTCATCATAATCCAATCTTGCATTTCTGATCTTTCATCTATTCACATTTTTACTCCTCTATTTTGTAGCTCTTGTTCTTTCCCTCCTATTCTCCTGACATTTCCTCAATTCAGCGGGTTCAGTTTACTTCTCCTATGCTGAAGAAATCATTTCTTTAAGGAGGAAAAAAGAGACAAAGGGAAAGTCCTGAAAAGTAAAGGGACCCAAGAAATCAACTGTATCAATCAGGATAGGCTGCTGTAACAAATAATCCCCACATTTTCATGGCTCAGCCCATCATACGTTTATTTTTGGCTCACACAAGTGAAATGTCGATGCTTCCAGTTAGGTTGCCCTCCTTGTCTAAGCAGTGTCTTGGAGATTCAGGTTTCTTCCAGCTTGAACTCTGCCACTCTCAACACATGTCCCCAAGGGTCTTCACAGAAGTGGTGGAGATATCATGCAGAAGACACCCCAGATTCTTAACCACCTAGGCTGGGTGGAGACACATGTCACCTGCCCTCACATTCCATTGGCCAAAATTAGTCACATGGCTCCACCTAACTGCAAGGGGGTGTGGGAAATGTTGTTCCTGGCTGGATAAATCTCATGATATAATACTATATGAAAGAAGCCAGCACAAAATAAGTACATTTGGTATGATTCCTTTTATATATTCAAAAGTATATAAAATGAATGCATTCCATTAGAAGCTTAGGTAGTGGTTACTGTTAGGTGAGGTGGTCATGGGGAGGAACATGAGGGAGCTTCTTGGTTTCTAGTGTTCATTTTCTGGATCCTGTCTCTGGGAACATGGGTGTGTTCATTTTGTGAAAATTCATTGAGCTGTGCACATATGATTTATGTACCTGTGTGTTTATATGTTAAACTTCATTTAAAATTTTTACACTAAATGCTGATAGTAGACAGGATGTTTGGGAAATAAAGGGAAAAACCAACCCTTAAGCTCACTTTTTGCTCTTTTTCCAATAGTAAGATATTGTATCTCTTAAACTCAGTTTTCTTGTATGTAAAAAAAAAAAGGTTCATAATAATTGCTTTGCTTGGCTTTTATGAGGAACACAGGACCCTAGAGACACAGTTTAGAATACAGCAGACAAGAGTTCTCAGCTACTATAGCCAGGACACGTTTTTATTAGGCATCTTATTGTGGCTTTGGTTGGGAGAATACTAATGGCTGCTAGACAGAAAGGAAGGTGAGAAAGAGGAGAATTAAAGGTAATTTGCTTTGCAGAATTTTGGCTTTGAGAAGTTTAGGGTTGATTAAGATTATGAAAAGGCACTTATAATCTCAGAGGAGAGAAATATATAGTACATAGAAATAATCACTATAAGAAAAATTATAATGTTACACATCATATTTGCATTTAACTTATGTGAATTCAACTATACATATTTGGCACATACCCCAACCCCACAAACACACCCCTCTTGAAGAGAACATGAATTAGATGATGTGCATCATCATTTCTTAACTCCCACTCCACTCTCCATGTGAGACTTCTCAGTGACAAGTGTAATTCTACCTCTTAAAGACACAATTATTTTCTTACCACACAGCTCCTAAATGCATGCTAATGACTGTATGTCAATCACCTATGGCCAGGTGGCAGTGGTGAAATAGGCATCGCTCTCTGACGCACGTATTAAAACTTGCAGAATTGGTAGATGAGAGAAGGTTTATCTTTATAGAAAGTTTCCAGTTATTAAGTGAGGGAGAATTATAGGATTGGAATATCATCTTTTCACAACTACTAATGAACTAATGAATCTGGGCATTAAACATCAATGGCTGCTAACATCACATGAAGAGACACCCAGACATGACATGCCTCCTGGTAGAAGAATCCAACATTACCTATGACGTGTTCCTGCCAAAAAACTCAAACCCAACTAAGATCAAACCTCTCAGTTCAAATTATTCACATACACACACACACACAAAAATAATTTACATAAAATATAAGGGAGAAAGGAACATTGTAAATTACACCACAGGGTTGAAATCAACAAAATCCAGACAGTGACAAATTCCACATGGGCAAACAACCCTGTTTCTTCAACAAATAAATTGTAAGGAAAGAAAGAGAGAGAATGAAGGGGAAACTTCAGATTAAAAGAAAAGTAAAAGACATATCAATAAACCATCATGTGTGGGCCTTGTTTGAATTTTCATTTTAAAAAATTTAAAAAATATTTATAAGATAACTGGGACTTTGAACATTGCTTGGATATTTTATTACGTTAAGGAATTATCAATCACTTTTTTTAGGTTTGGAAAGATATTCTGGTTATATTTAAAATAATCCTATCTTTTAAAGATATGCACTGAAAGACATGGATGAATGATGTGACAGACGTTTCAGACAAATGGTATGTCAGATGCTTGGTTCAAAATTATACAAGAGGGGAGAAAGTGAATGATGGTGTATGTGGGTAGGAATGGCTGTAGCTGATGATCCGGAGTGTGGTTCATTATTCGTATTCTGTTGCTTTTGTATTTGCTAAACATTCTGCATAATAAAAAGTAAAAGAAATGGCTTATATAATGGTGTCAGTGGCTTGGAAGAAAATTCCATAGACAGCAGCAGTGCACACATTTTAAGAAGCATGATATTATGTGTGCTCTTGCCAGAAAAGACAATATCTCACAGTCACTGGTACCATGGAGTTCACCGTGATTCAGGATTAAACTCTAAATGTGAGGAAGTCTTTATAACCCCTTAAATAATTTTTCCTGTATATTTTGCTTTTCTAATGTATGAGAGTGACAGATGACGTAAAAATGTTGATATGAATCTAGTTCATTTAATAGGGACAAAATTTAATCAATAGGGATAAAAAAATATTTTTCATTGGGATAAAAATTCCAACTGATATGTTTGCATCATGTCTGAATGCAAATTTTTTTTTTCCTTGAGTTGTACATAAACAGCAGAATGTCTTATTATTGATAACTTTTTAGTTTTGATGAAATACAAAACTTCTTCTAGTGGCCATGTTAGCCTCAGTGATTTACTCAAATGCAGGATAAGGGAAAAAAACTGGATTTACTGGATGGATTAACAAATGGTCCTGTGTTATTCTTAGTAATTTAATAGTTTCTGAGGGATTCTTTTTCCAGTTGCAGATTGGAGTGTGTATAATGGTCTGACTTAAAGTTTGGTCAAGATGAAGAGGGAGGCGTGGGAAAGCTGCTGCGGCTGGCAGCATGGGGGCAGTTTTTCTGCAGCTGCTTATCATTTTCTGTCTTGTTTAACCATTTAAAATAGGAGAAAAAACATACAGGAATGGGGGTTGTTGTCAATAAGGGCTCCAATTCGGTAAAAATAGGCTTTGCAGTGGATGCATCAGTTGTGACAGAAATATAGCAGCACTGAACTGGCTGGTTTCAGAAATGAAGTGCCCATAGGAGCTGGCAGGAACTGCAGAGGTCACCGAATCCACCACTGTCATTTTGTGGGTGACGATGCTCAGGTTATCCAAGTTTACACAGCAAGCGGGACCCATGGCTAGAAACTGGGTCTCCTGGATTCTAAGATTTTGATCCATGCTAAAAGAAAATGCTCCGAAGGTCGCCTAGAAGCAGAGCCTGAGATGGAGATTCTTGTGAAAGAGATTTGTTGGGGGAACAGCTCTCAGGAAAAAGGAAATGAAAGGGTCAGGAGAGGGCAGGGGAATAAAAGCAAACCAAGGGTGTGGTTTCAGGTGTAGACCAGCTGCGGCCTTATCCTCAGGCAAGAGGGCCAGCCTTCTGAACCCCCTGTCAGCCATAGCTCTTTTGTTATGAGCTGAACTGTGCCCACCCCTCTTCATGAGCTGAAGTCCCAACCCCCAGTACTTTAGAATGCAACTGTATTTAGAGACGAGGTCTTTAAAGAGGTAACTAACCTGGATACCCAGAAGATATATATAAGGTTAGCGTATGTCTATAATTTATATCTTTAAAGAAAAAAAGACAAGCATTGTTTGTTCTCTAATGCCAACTCTGAAACTACAAGAAGGTCTGCACCAGAACAACTCTTCTAAGAATGACTTAGATCAACAGTACAGGTTATAAATTAGAAGTGCTGGTGGATGGTTTGGTGGATTGTTCAGAAGGTCATTTAATCCCTGAACAACTGACATTCTTTTACAAAAATGAACAAGACACTACTCCTTGTTAGGTGCTGAACTGAGTCTCCCAAAACTACTTATGTGGAAATCCTTACCCCTAGTCCTTAGAATTTGACTGTATATGGAGACAGGATCTTAAAATCCTGTCCTCATTTTAACTTAACTATTATATTAAAGTTAAGTGGAAATGATGACATTAGGGTGGGCCCTAGTCCAATATGATGAGTGTTCTCACATGAAAAGAAAATTTAGAATAGGCACACAGAGGCCCAGCATGGTGGCTCACGCCTGTAATCCTAACAATTTGGGAAGCCAAGATGGGCAGATCATTTGAGGTCACGAGTTCAAGATCAGCCTGGCCAACATGGTGAAACCTTGTCTCTAGTAAAAATACAAAAAAATGAGCTGGGTGTGGTGGCATGTGCCTGTAATCCCAGCTACTTGGAGGCTGAGGCACGAGAATCACTTGAACCCAGGAAGTGGAGGTTGCAGTAAGCTGAGATCACACCACTGCACTCCGGCCTGGGTGATAGAGTGAGACCCTGTCTCCAAAACAAAAAACAAACAAACAAACAAAAACAAAAAATAGGCACACAGAAAGAAGACCATGTGAAGATGCAGAGAAGGCTGTTACCTGCAAGCCACAGAGAGAGGCCTCTGAATGAAACCAACTCTGCTGACACCTTGATCTTGGACTCTCAGACTCCAGAACTGTGAGGAAATAAATTTCTGTTGTTTAAGCCCCACAGCCCTCGGTACTTTATGTCAACGGAGCAGACTCATGCACCTTTGACCAAGGAAATCCTCTGGAGAAAGAAGCAGCTGTGCATTGTGTTATCTACCAAGACTCCCAGCAAGCAGGGGAAGGATGCCCTGAATTGTGAAGGGATCTATTCTCTAAGGACATGGAGGAATACCCAGAGATCTCTTAAGAGGTGCTCTATTAGAACTTTTAGAAAGCAACATTTATTTAGAATGACCCAACTATGGGTCATTCTCAGAGGATACAGGGGAAGAAGAAGAGATTGGATTGCTGTGATTTTATAGCTTGACTTTTTATATTTTTTTCCAAAGCAAACATGAAAGGAAGATGGAGTCTGACATGAAGCAGGGGAGGAAAAGAAGACTATGGTTTGTCTTTCTTAATTGGGAAGGATAGCAGGATCTGCTGGGTAGAGAGGGGTGCAATAAAAATGTGCTACCTCTTCTGAGATCACCAAATGAAGTATGGATTGCATTATGAGACAGGCTGCATTTCCTCATTACTCTAATCCAGTCTTCACCAACACTTTTTACCAGATTTTTACTCTTTCCTGCTTTTAGAAATTTTATTTAGTTTTTATATTTATTTATTTGAGACAAGGTCTCACTCTGTCACACAGGCTGGAGTGCGGTGTCATTATCTCATAGCTCACTGCAACCTTGAACTCCTGGGCTCAAGCAATTCTCTGGACTCAACCTCTCGAGTAGCTGGGACTATAGGCATGCAACACCATGCCCAGCTAATATCTCTCTATGTTGCCCAGGCAGGTTTCCAACTCCTGAGCTCAAGCCATCCTTCTGCCTTGGCCTCCCAAAGTGTTGGGATTACATGCTTGAACCACTGCACCCAGCCAAGAAATTTTTTAAAACTCAAATGAAATTATTGCAGGGGTTTATCAAGTTGATTTTCACCCCAATCATTTTCTGTACTTAATAAAGTGAAAGAAAGATCACTGATGAGGAAATTTCTGTAGGACACTTGATGAGCAGGGAAGTAAAACATAATTCTTAATAGTCAGGAAGTTGGCTCCTTCAAACCTGTAGTATGACTTTTATCAGGGAAATGGAATTCAATTTCTCAAATATTTACTCCTTTTTACTTTCCATGAGCTGTATTAAACAGCTACTAAGCAAGAAAATGCCCTTCCATGATTTGGATACCACATTTTTGGGCAATATCACATAAACCTTGGTGTGACAAGGAAGCCTCAATTGCCCTTTTATCACAAGGCCATGATAAAAGAGAAAATGGTTATGTTACCCGAGTGGGGAAGAATGCTAAGTGATGACACCAAACAGAGTCAAGCTTCCTACGTGTGAGTAAAACAGGTGGAAATCTAAGACCTTGCCTGTGTGCACAGATGAAATAGCAGATGAAATGTAAGTTTAGGGGCCCCTCACTTACATAAGCACTTCCAAGGCCCCGCACCGAATTTTTTATCCATAGAAGTTTTGTATTCCTTGTTTCTACAACGGACCCCCACATAGAATCATCTCCAGGCTCCCATAACCTGCAACTTCCTCATATTGGGTATAATGTTGTCAGAAGAAATGATTATGGATGGGACATTTAGATACGTGCCTGTGGGGCTCCACAGTGATCATGTGAAAAGGGACAATAGTCAGTAAATCACCCAGTTGGTTGAGTGCACAAGACAAATGTCTTTCATCAATGATTTCCCAAAGTGACTCTTGTATGAGGCCCTCCATTAGCTGGTCCATGATACGCGTCCATTTGGGCAGCTACGTGGAGATAGCACACCATAAAATAATTTTATGAGTACTTCATCTGTCTGTTGATCAGTGTTTCTAAATGGGGACAATTTTGTCCTCCAGTTGACATTTGGCAATGTCTGAAGACTTTTTTTTCAATTAAAATAATGTTTTTTTAAGAGACAGGACCTCACTCTGTAGCCCAGGCTGGAGTGCAGTTGTGCAATCATAACTCACTGCAGCCTCAAACTCTGGGACTTAAGCGATCCTCCAGTCTCAGCCTCCAGAGGAGTTGGGACTACCCATGATGCCATCACTGGGCTAATTACAAATTTTTTCATAGAGATGGGGTCTCACTATACTGACCAGGCTAATCTCAAACTTCTGGGCTCAAGCAATCCTCCCGTGTCAAACTCCCAAGTTGCTGGGATTACAGATGTGAGCTACTGTGCCTGGTCTGGAGACATTTTTGATCATCATAACTGAGAGGATGTTACTGAAATCTAATGGATAGAGGCCAGGCATGCTGCTAAACCCCCTACAATGCACAGAACAGTCCCCCGTAACAATAATAATCTGGTTCCAAAAGTCAGTGATGCCACAGTTGAGAAACTCTGCTCTAGACAATAGAGGTTAAGATCTTGGTATCAGGGTTTATAGATCTAAGTGCATGTTCTTCCCCTGCTAGATCTTGAAGACTCGGCTTCCTCATCTGAAAACAAAGAACATATTGGTATCCATCTCACAAGGTTGTTAAAAGGGCTTTGTGAGGTAATAGAGGTGGAGGTAAGATGCTTAGCACAGTACCTAGTAGAGAGTAAGTGCCCATAAAGTGCTGATCATTATTGCTATTATTATATTTATACCCTTATATACACTGTTTTGGAAGGGGAATTTTTAAATTACTTTTATGTACAGAAAACTCAACAGTGTACATTTAATTCAGCTTAGTGGCAAATCTGTACCCTTTGCCATTTCCAGCTTGGCAATGTGAGCCATGGATTTTGGGCCTGGGACATTGCTTCCCCCGTGATGATGGATCTCATCATATTTGTTGT
This sequence comes from Homo sapiens, assembly GCF_000001405.40. Taxonomy (NCBI): domain Eukaryota; kingdom Metazoa; phylum Chordata; class Mammalia; order Primates; family Hominidae; genus Homo; species Homo sapiens. The sequence continues at coordinate 16,684,230 of NC_000020.11, forward strand.
TGTAATTGGTCTTGGTAGCTTCCACCAGCTTAGCCAAAACTCCTTTGTCTTCTAAGTTAACCTGCATGAAGGTGACAAAGGCGCAGGTCATCTTGTGGATCAGACGTCCCATTCTTGCCTTCCTTTTGTTAATGCCGTAAGGGACCCTTGTCTTTCAACACAAGGCAGGTGGGAAGTGTTTTATATACTCTGAATAATAATAAACCTTTACTCCTTCTAAGGGTTAACCTCTTAAGTACTCAGTTTCTCTATCTAAAATAAAAAGAGGGAATTTGGTCAGTGATGTTTAAGTTTGGCTCAAGGAAGTAAAGAGACTTAGTGGCAATATCTCTTTTTCCCCTTTCCCAGATATTTCTTCCCAGGGGCGATGGGAGAGCGGGAGCCAGTGAGTGAAGATAGGAATCTCCAGCTCCAATTCAGATAAATCAACTCAGCTTTTATCTGTTTTACTTTTGCTTTGAGTCAGGCTTTAAAAAAAAAAAACCTTAAAAAATTATTGAAGTAAAAGATTCATTCCAACAAAACATTTGACAATTTAAGATAGTTTCAACATCTGTAAGCTGAAATAAATATCTGAAGCATTTGAATAAGGCATAAAATATTCAAGACATCTTTTTCCATGGAAGTTTAACAGGTTTTCATGTGACACAGAATAAATCCAGACGCAGAAAGATCTCATTACAATTGAGTCTGGAAGAGGTGTTCTTTGGATTTTCCCAGTCTTGGCCAAAATCTTGAGTCTTATATTCATTCAGGAACCACCTCATTCATCTATCTATGTATAAACACACATGCAATGGTTCCTCAACACATGGATTTGTTGTCTGGGGTGAGAAATCTGTGCCTTGCATTAGGCAAACTTTCGTATCAATAAACAGAAAGTCCTACATTGGGTCTTGACACACATCTACAGTCTTTAACCGGGGGCGGTCAGAGATGTGCTCTGGGGCTGAGCTGGATTTCTTGAGCCTTTTCCATGATGCTCTGGTCTCACAGTTTGTGTGTCCTGGAAGCCATTTGTGTTGCTTATTTTCCATATTGGGGTTGTGCCTGTAGCTCCAGGAAGGACTAACTGCAGAGGCTGGCTACTCTGTCTCTTTGGAGGGACAACTGTTCTGCTTGATGGGCTGCATCTTCTCCATGTGCAATGTTCTAAAGAGCCCCTTCTCGGAACAGTCCCCTCTGCCTGAAAACTGAATGGAAAAAGAACCATACATTCATACAGAACCTGACACCACCCAGGCAGCTACATTAAATACCTTCCTAGCAATGTTTGCTTAGAGTGTCTTTGTCGTGGCCTAATGCATCATGTCTGCGGGTGGCCTGCCCTTCATAGGTGCAGGACTGGGGCAAGAATACAAATGGAGGCCATCAGCTTATGGTCTACCCCCTTCTCTTCTTAGCCCTGACTCCATCTTTGTGCATGTACACATGGACACTTCAGCCTACAAGTTCAAGCCCCATCCATATTATGCGCAAAAAGTCACCCTGTGGCCTCTCTTTGGGCCTAGGGGTGTGTAACTTAGCATGGTTACCCTTGAGAGGAAGGCTCAAGGAAAGAGGTCTGTGCAGACGTTGGAAATGGGTTCAGAGCTGTTTGGAGAAGAAATTACAGGGTCCCAAAGCCTGAATGAAGGCACGGGGTCTCTGGATGATCATGTCTCCTGAGCTCTGCACACCTCCACTTTCTGAGGAGGGATATCCCTGGAAAAGGGCCAGAACAGAGCCTTCTAAAGCACAAGGTCCAGGGCAAGGGATCCTCTTTGCTGGGCTCGAGGATGGTTCTGCATTCCAAAAATGAGATCATGTGTACCTATTTTCTGCTGTTTACCTAACTCATTCAATAACACCACAATGAAATCTTTGTTCTTTTTTATGTCTGTATAACCTGTCACGATATATATATGACAGTTAATTTTATGTGTAAACTTGACCGGGTCACAAGGATCTAGATATATGGTCTAACATTTTTCTGGGTTTGTCTGTGAGGGTGTTTCTGGATGAGATTAGCATTTGAATCAGTAATCTCAGTAAAGCAGATGGCTCTCTCCAGTGTGAGTAGGCTTCATCCAACCTGTTGGAGGCCTGAATAGGACAAGAAGGAGAAGTAAGAGAGAATTTGCTCTCTCTGCCTGTCTTCAAGCTGGGACATGGATCTTCTCTTGCCCTTTGACTGGGACTTACACCCTCAGCTCTGCTGATCCTAGGCCTTTATATTTGGACTGGAACTTATCTTCTCGCTTCTCCTGGTTCTCGGGCCTTCAGACTCAGATTGGAGCTGCAGGACTGTCTTTCCTGGGTCTTCAGCTTGCAGACAGCAGATCATGGGACTTCTTAGCCTCCATAATTACTTGAGCCAATTCATTATAGTCTATCTCTCTCTCTCTCTCTCTTTCTCTATCCTATTGGTTCTGTTTCTCTGGAGAACCCTGTCTAATACAGTATAGGTGTACCATAATTTAGCCAGCCATTTCTCTTAATAAATATTGACTTTGTGTCCAAGTTGTAGCTATGAAAAATGCTACTATAAATATGTCTGCACATATCATGATGTTATTTCCATAGGAAACATTTCCAGGAAAGCAACTGCTACACCAAAAATATATAATTTAAACTCTAATGGATGCTGCCAAATGGTCAACAAACATGTGAAAAGATACCAAATACACCAAATCCTCAGGGAGATGCAAATTCAGCTAACAACAAGACATTACACCTATCAGATGGAAAATTGTAAGGAAGAGCTATAACATCAATATCACTCTGGGGAAAAGTATAGTCTCATGCATGGCTGGTGGAAATATGAAGTGCCCAGTCTTCCTGGAAGGCAGTTTAGAGCTTATTTATAGGGTCACAAAAATAAAACAGAAGTTCCTCTTCTTTTCATATTTCTTTCCGTTTCTGTCAAACTAATACATACATGATGACACTATGAACTCACTCCCTCTTAGATTATTCCCTCCACGCACAGGGAGGAGATCAGGAAGGCTGAAGAATTATGGGCCTTGTATGCTTTCAGCAAATCTCGGGGACTCTTAGAACCTTGTCTCCTGGCTGTGGCTGAAGCTGCCTATCTTGGACACAGCATGCTGAAGTGGAAGTGAGGGGCTGTTCAGGAATGAATGGAGACCCACCAGTAAGCACTGTGGAAAGCCCCCTTTACTTGGTTTAGCGAGTTTTCTGTTCAGAGACCCCCAAATAGGCTGTCTCTAAAGTCTCTATCTGGAAATGCAGAAACCCATGATTCTTTTCCTGAGGACTTTCCCCAGCTAAGAAATTTCTAGCCATAATGTAATGAAGACCTGTGTTTTCCTCTGGGTCAAACAGGCTGCTGGGAGCCTTGGCACCCCACCTCCTGGAAACACTATTGATTTTCAGCATGGTTGATAAAACAGAGAGATAAAAGGCCCAATTTCTCTTTTTATGATGGATATGACCAATTAGCTATAAATGTCAAGTATCCACAACTTAATTAATTCCAGTTCATTTAACTACTGTAATTAGATTTTTTCCCCAAACAAAGCAACAGTATGTTTTCGAAGGTCATAGACTAATACTATAGTGAACAAGGCTGAAAGACCTGCACTTTGGATGGAAAGTAACTGATGGCTGGCTAGTGCCTGTGGGGAAATAGACCACACAATATCAAAAATAATTGGCAGGCTGATTAATAGAGTTTGTTCGAAATATATACATAATACATCTTTGATTAATAGCATCAATGAGCATTTGAACTTAAACCTTTAAAATTTTTAGACATTTTTTAATTTAATGGAAAGACTAGAAAAAAAATCTGACTGGAGTTTGAGTCAGATGGTCCAACGAGAAACCAGAATCCCAATTAGAGAGGAACGTCTCTTTTGCTTGAGAAAAGCAACTTAAACAGTCATATTCTATTGTATAAACCAAGTTCTCCAGGGGATAATATGGGTAGGAAGAGATTTAATCCAGGAAGGGTTAACTGTTTGCCTTAAAAAGTCAAAAGCTTCAGAAAGTTTGAAGAGTTTGGTAGTGGGTGCTGGGGTTGGGAGAGGTGTTTGGTGGGTATTTGAAGGTAAGAGAAAGGGAGACCCAAGCTATGTGGATGGTGGCAGCAAGAATCTGCAGAAGGTGAGAGGACTTCCCCAAGGAGTGAGGGTGTCAAATAACTTCCATATGAAGATGTCTAATAACTTACACGTGGAGACGTCTGTTACTTAATTTTGTTTTCTGTGCTTCCTTCTGCCACCATTTCCCCAAGAGTCCAGTTAAAGTCTTCCAAATGGAACTGGCTTGTGACAGTGGTGCTTAGAGGACAGGAAGAAGCAGGCTTGCACTGAAGTATCCAGCCTGGACTGAAGTTGTGTGGCAGGAAGATGGCTGCTGTGGGCGCCAGGAGGAGCTGGGTGGAGTAGCAAGAGTGGAGAAGAAAAAGCACACGGAAGAGGGGAGCACTCCAGTAAAAAGAACGGCTCTCCAGCACCTTTTAAAGGGAACTGGTCAGGATCTGGATCTCTGTTAGTGCATAGAATGGGGCACGGGGCACAGGATTTTTTCATATCTTTTTAAATTGACTCATTCCCTTTCATTTACCAGTTTTCAAAATGATGCATTAGTTCACTTCCATCCTCCAATGGAGTCCCAGGAATTATTATAAACTCATGTATTAGTTAATTCTTTTTCAATTATTATGAATGCATATATTTAAATGCACTTGTTACATTTCTTTTTATGTTTTGAGACAGAGTCTCGCTCTGTCTCCCAGGCTGGAGTGCAGTGGTGCGATCTTGGGTCACTACAACCTCCGCCTCCCAGATTCAACCGATTCTCTTGCCTCAGCCTCCCCAGTAGCTGGGATTACAGGCATGTGCCACCACGCCCAGCTAATTTTTGTATTTTTAGTAGAGATGGGGTTTTGCCATGTTGGCTAGGCTGGTCTTGAACTGCTGGCCTCAGGTGATCTGTCCACCTTGGCCTCCCAAAATGTTGGCATTATAGATGTGAGCCACTGTGCCTGGCCCACTTGTTACATTTCAACCTTTTGCAGTTATTACTTTTTTTTTTTTTTTGAGACAAGGTCTCTATCACACAGGCTGTAGTGCAGTGGCACAATCAGGGCTCTCGGCAGCCTTAAACTCCCAGGCTCAATCCTCCTGCCTCAGCCTCCTGAGAAGCTGGGATTATAAGTGCATGCCACCATGCTTGGCTAGTTATCTTTAATAGTGCTCAGATTGTCCTATCTATGGCCTAAAGGAGCCTCTTCAAGTTTCACAAGCCATCTTTTATTAATAATACATAGAAAAAGGGTAACTGTAAAAGCCCAGAAGTCTCAAGGATATTGAGGCAGCAGACACTTTGGTTGTCTTATTTTTCTGTAAACTGAAATTCTGGCTATTTTTTACCAGCATCTCCCTTCAACTCTCTTCTTTCAAAATTAGATCACTTGGACTTCATTCAAACATCTTATCAATTCAAAGGAAATCTATGACTCAGTTTTCTTTATGTGTATTTATTAAGTGCCTACCATGCTCCCAGGCTGTGCTGGGCAATGCTCCCTTCTCTGGGGATTTCGACTTTCATTTACTGATGTTGTGTTGTTTGTGCAGGCAGTCACAGCAGTGACATTCTCCACATGTAGATCGGAACATCCAAATGAGAGCTGATACATCAGATTAAATTGGGTGAGGCATCAACAGTAAAAGCCATGGGAAAGGTAATCAGTCTTCAATAGTTTGGGTAAAGCTTTCTTCCTGAAATGGCTTGCTGTGATTGATTTATAACGGAACTTCATTCTTGCTGGGAGTTTCCAAGCATGGGTAATTGGGTTCATGGCCCATGACCAGAGTGGACAAATGGAGATGCCACTGTTGATGGCATTGCTGGCCATGGTATAACTGTGATTTAAGTGGTAACAGCTGAGTAGAATTTCTTCTCCTTAACTACCCTAGCTTTTTATAAATGTGGCCACCTGAGCTGCATTCTGAGCTCTCAAGATGAGTCACGTTTTGGAGTTCCAGAAAGCTTTTCTCCAAACTCTTCTTGGATTTTCAGGAAGTATATCTGTCTGCCGTGGTACCCACTTTCTCCTATGATCAGAGGCCATGATGTCTTTCTGAGGCAGATTAGAAGAATCAATTCAAAGCTGTTGGAGCACATGAGGTCTTTAGTGAAGACAATGACTTCCTACCCTAATTTTCTTTTATTTCTGTGACCTGTTCAGTGTCCACCACAATGGCCCTGAGTGGAGATGAGAGACTGTTTGAAACATTCTCTCTCATCATTGATATAGAAAGTATAGAGTCAGACTAGTTTGAATATTGGCTCTAGCACTTGTTAATTGCATAAACTGGGACATTGTCTTATGTTGGGCTCTTTCTAAAGTAGACTCGGAGAAAAAGTTTTGAAGGCAAGTCATTTACTTGGGAAGTGATTCTAAGAAACACTGGTGGCTGGATGTGGTGGCTCATGCCTGCAATCCCAGCACTTTGGGAGGCTGAGGTGGGCGGATTACAAGGTCAGGAGTTTGAGACCAGCCTGACCAACATGGTGAAACCCCGTCTCTACTAAAAATACAAAAATTAGCCGGGACTGGTTGCACGCACCTATAATCCCAGCTACTTGGGAGGCTGAGGCAGGAGAATCGCTTGAACCTGGGAGGTGGAGGTTGCAGTGAGCCGAGATTGCACCATTGCACTCCAGCCTGGGTGACAGAGTGAGACTCTGTCCAAAAAAAAAAAAAAAAAAAAGAAGCACTGGTATGGGGGTGTGTGGAAGTGAGACAGGAAGGGAAGGAAGCCTATAGAGATGTGTTAATGAGCCATTCACTCCTGTGGCAACTGGGGCTCACTCCTGTTGGGGAACTCTGGGAGGCCCTGGCTCAGTGTTATCCCATATTGTAGGAGAGAAAGCTGGGGTATTCATTCAGTGACACCCATCCATGGGGGTGCTGAGCACCCACCCAGGTGCTTTAACTTTCCAGCTTTTCTATTCTGCTGTGTGTGTGGGCTGGGCTTGTTTTTGAAACCAGAAAAAGCCCCAATCAGAGGGTAACAGGTGCTTGTCATAGGAAGCCCCTGGCCTGGAGGTAGATGGGAACATGTGAATGGTGACTCTGTTACACACATGTTATGCCACATCTCTAAACCTTGGTTTCCTTGTGTGAAAAATGGAGATAACGGGAGCTACTTCTTGGGGTTTTTAGGAAGATTCAAAAGCTAATGTGAAGGGAAGAGGCCTAGCATGTAGCACTCAAAGTAGGCACTTCACATGTATTTATTTCTTTCATTTTTCCATGTGAATACTTCATTGTTATAATAGCAAATAATAATACAAACAGGCTCTGTTTTACAGGATTGGGTGGCAGGAGGAAGTGAGGAGGGAGCAGTGGGTGGACACTGGGTGAAGCATTGTGGATGAATAGTAGTAAAAGCATCAGGCACAGTATTGTATACTCATCCATGGGGACTCTTCCATGTATTCATACACAAAGAGAAGATTTCTGCAGTTTCTTCCCAAAGTTTTCCCAATGGCACCCCTTTAGTATAATATTCAACGTGTTTCAAAAGTGAAATTGCTGCCTGGGTTTTTAAAATAGAATCTTTGCTTTGTGATTAGGCAGCAGAACATGGGTAATTTGTACCAACATATCTCCTTTCATTCTTCAAAAATGAAGTACCTTCTGTCATTAACTCACCACATCCTGTGCTTCCTTTCAGGAAGGAAAAACCTTCCATCAATGTATGAGATGGCTCGCGCTCTCCTTGCTTCCTCCATTTCACAGTTGGAGAGACCACGACCAGAGGTACATTTTGGAAAGAAGTGTATGAACCTCTTTCTGGAATATCCAGGTTCCGGTTACAACAACTCTAGTCCTCATGAAATTGTACTATTCAGGGCCTCCCAGAAGAAAATGAGAATGTTGTACTGTATTCTAAAATTGGGTGGTGATAAATGAATTACACATGGCTTTGAATCTCCTTTTGGCAAGGAAGTGAGGCAGAGCAGCTTGATTGCATTCGTTGGGAGGTGGGGCTGTGCTATATCCTTTTTGTTCTGTTCTGTTTTTATTACATGTACATGTGGGTCTGTATGGGTGTGTGTGTCTGATGAATGGCCACAGCTAGAGAATAACTAGGATTAGAGACCTAGCTAATTATGTCTTTTTTTGTTCTTACCTCAAGATTAATGTATGAGTAAGGATTGGCTAGCCTATGCCAAAATAACTGATAGCCCCTAAATTTCTATAGCTTCCACCAACAAAAGTTAATTCTTGCTCCTTCTACATGTCCATCAAGGGTCAGTTGGGAACTAAACTGTGCTTCTGTGTAGTTCTCCCTGCAGAACTCAGGCTGACCAACAGCCTGTATCTGGGATGCTTCCAGTAATGACAGAAGAATGAAGCTTTGGAGGGATTCCCAGCAATGATTAAGTGCTCAACATGCAGGTGATATACATCACTTGTGCTCAGAGCTCATTGTCCAGAATTGGCCATGTGTTCCCAATCAACCAGAAGAGCTTTAAGAAGTGCAATGTTAACAGGTGCCCAGGAGAGAAAGAGAATTAGCATATGTGGTGAGCACCAGTAATGACCACCACAATTTGAGTTAAGGTTAGACAGCTTAGAGTCCTAATGACTTTTCTGCTTTTATCTAGAAATACTCCCACTTCAAAGACATATTGTCACCATATTCAAGATATAAAATGTCAATCACTTATATCTAGACCAGCACTGCCCAGTGAAACTTTCTGTGGTAATGGAAATATTCTTTGCATTGTCCACCGCAGAACCTACTAGCCACATATAGTCATTGAGCTCTTGAATGACTATATTTAGGTTAGGGTAAGTGAGAAACTAACTTTTAAAATTTTTATTCAACTTCAATTAATTTAGATTTAAATAGTCATTATTGGCCAATACAGTTCTAGATCACTGAAGTCACATTGTGGATTTATTTTTTGTCCATCAGCAATAATAACAATGTCACCTATGCCCTTATATTTGTACTGCATTCTGTAGTTTTCAAAATGCTTTTCTATATACTTCTCATCTCATTTGATTCTCCCAACATCCCTAGAGGGTATACAAGGCAGTTGATACTGTAATGCCCATTTTATAGATATAAAAGCAAAGATGCAAAGACATTAAGTGATTTGCTCATGACTGTGGGACAATTAGTGGTGTGGGGCTAGAAACTAAAAGTCTAGGCTAGTTACGCCCTGTTTGACATTATACACCCTGCTCAGCACCATGCTTGTCTCACAATAAATATTTGACTCAACACTTGAAAAATCCCACAAACATTAACACAAACTTACATTTCTTTCCTTTGAAGCACTTATTTCCATAAGCACTTGCATAGCACTTATTTTTAATATTACTCCATGTTAAACATGGACTAGGCTTACATGAATCATACCCTTTCTTGAATATAAACTGTCAGTATCTGACAGTTTAATATATGAATTTCCTTTTCTCCAATTAAATTTCCCCAGCGCTCCATAAATTCTGGAAATTTTCCTCTTTGGTAACTTCTTCAGTGTCCAGTAGGGTCACCAACTGTCCCAGTTTGCCTAAGACTGAGGAATTTCATGGGATACAGATGTTCAATACCAATGCCAGGACAGTTCCAGGCAAACTGGGACAGTTGGTCACCCAGGTGCCCAGCACAAAGCTGTATTCCTGGTTTGAATTGAATGGAATATTAAAGTTGCGAAGATGTGTTTCAATCACAGCCCTTAACATAGTCACTTGAGAATTGCAGGTACTCCATAAATAATTTTATGACAAAAATGAAGGGTAACAAATTCTGGATATACTTTCTTATGTTCAAATAGCAAACTAAGCAAGTGAATTTTTTTAAGGAACCGTGTGATGTCAGCACATCTCTTTTCTTATATTTCCATGTCTAGTTTGAATGATATTTCTGTTAAGAGTAAAGAAAAATTATGTATTGCTGATCTTGGATAGAGTAGGCCTTAATAGCAGGAGTTCACAGATGCATGGCTGTGCACGCACATCCAAATACACTGTCAAATTATGGACTTCTCAAAAGCTTCCACTGACTTAAGATAGCTATTCTAAAGTTCAAATGCCTATTTTTAAACTTTCTGATGCTCTCTTTCATTCCTTGAAATAACCACAACCTTCTGTGTCTCTGGGGAACATGGCCAAGCTCTTGCTGTGTGGATTTTCCAAGCCTCCGCTCTTACAAGCAGGGCCAGGGCTTTGATTTTGATCTGTGGCTTTGGGGCGGAGGACTCACTCCCTATTGTGTCTTGAGCCTTTGAATGCTTCAGTCACTACAGCATATTGATTTTCTCAACTTCTTCAAATGAGAAAGTGCCTTTGGAATAGCAATAAGGTAGCTCTTTACACACCTCCTGAATAACAATCTCCTTCTGTATCTGTGTGTAGAATAGCCATGCCTCCTTGACTGTTTGTCATTACAACAGGCAGCTTTGCTGTAGTTCACATCACTGTCACCTGGCAAACTTCATGATGCCCTCAGGTTGCCCACACTTTACCCAATAGATATGTTTTTGAAAAGCTGAGGGTTAAACTAATTTATGCAAATCAAATGCTTCTGGTCATATATCTGCGTGGATGTTGTAAAAGAGAACTCATGCAAGGTGGAGAGGGATCCATCCAAGTGATTCACCCCTCTCCCCAGCGGCTGAGATCCTGTGACTCTAGGTTCATTTAATTCTATATTTTATTGATAATTTTAGATATTTTTCATTTTCACTCCTGAGTGATCTTCAATTAGCAATCGTTCCTATAATTTTATTTTTAGTTTAGATTTATTCCTAGGGTTTAGATTTATTTCTAGGGCAATGCCTAGAAGAGGGCCACAGTTCGCAAGGGTGTCATTCACACATACGGATGGAAATACCTTGAGTGTATTGCCTGCCATGAAGTTGGTAGAAGCAGAAGCATCTTCCTTGAGTCTTCTTGACCCATTCTTACTGTCTATGAACATAAATATAGATTTGGATAAGGGAATGAGAAGAAAATCAGGGCACCTTTGGCCCAGGCCATGCACAAGGTACAGTCATAGTGGAATTTGCAAGCAAAATGGGTCCAAGGAGTTGAACCGAGAATAAAATCAAGACCAATTAAAGAGACCACAGGTTTTCAGTTTGGCATTTAAGCATTTGTAATCATCATGCCAACCTTCCTTTGAGATCAGTGGATGTCCAGGGTATACCCCAAACTAAATGAGCCAGAATCACTGGGGTGGGACCCAGATATCAGTATTTTAAAAAATTACCCAGGTGTGCAGGCAAGTCTGAGAATCACTTCTGAGTAAAAGATGGTAAAATAGTCTCAGTTTCTGGAGAAAAGGCCAGCGTACTCTGTGGTACAGTGGAAAGACTATTGGAAAGACTGTAGAGATAGCTGCCAGTAATGGGATTTTCTTTTGGGTTTGGTGCTTTATTTCTACTCCTCACAACAATGGCATGAGATAGATATTCACATTAGGTCCAATTTATGTACCTTTTCACATTTCCTCAGTTTCAAATTTCTCTCCCTGGAGAATCATGCTGCCATAACCATTAACTTATCTTTTGTTAATCCACGAATGTGTTCTTGCCAACTCATCAAGGTTGCCCTACCCTGGGCGTGTGAAGATAGTGTGTTCCACACCATGGACTTGGGATTGTGACCTTAACTCTTTGCTGCTGCTGTGCATCCTCTGTGATTGAATGACTGGCTGTGTCCTTTTGTGGTCTGCTCATTAATTCACCCCCTTGTATTTGCTCTCCTTCTATGCCTCTCTCACTTTTTTTTCCTCCTCACTCTTACGGCCCTGGGATTGGAACCCACAGTAAAATGTTAAAAGGAATATTTGTCACATGTTTGATTTTTGAAAGGGCCCAAGCTAAGACAGTATTATTATCCAATAAATACTCATCTGTCAATTTCCAAAGTGCATATCCTTTTTATTATTTTCCTTCTTTGCTTTTTATTATTTTCCTTCTTTGCTGCCTTCTAGGAAAGAGAACTGGATCCTGACTTCTGCTTTGCCACTAACTTGTAATATAATCTTATGCAAGTCATTTTTCTTCCCTAAACCTCAGTTTTCTCATCTATAAAATGAGAAGGTTAGACTCTCAGATAGTCTGAAATTTTTGGATTCTATGATTCTATGGACACTTTGAACAGTTGAATGAAGCCTATGGATCTTTTTTCACAATTATGTTTTAAAATGCACTGAAATACACTTGTTAAGATATTATATAGGTAAGTGTATATCATAAAATGTTTTCTATTTCAAGCTAGACAACACCTAGCATAAAATATTTTTGGTATGGTAATATATGTACTTCTTTACTCATATATTAAATAGCCACTTATTTAATAACTATGATAATGTTCTGTAGTGATGAGAATAAATGATATTTCAAGATGACGATAAGAAAGCAGCCCTGAAAGCAGCTAGGCTGTAATGATCCAGTTGAAATAAACAAGACTCACAAAATATAAATGATGATCAGATAAGTTCACTGTGTGACCATAATTACAGAAGATAAAGACAAGGATACTTTCTAGAGCCACAAAACACCTTCCTCTTACAATGGACGCAAGTGACTGCTGCTTCTTGATCAGTTACAGCCCTCACCTTGCTTTAATAAAAATTACCTAGATACCCAATCACTGAATTATTTCTCTTTACAGTACCCAGTTCAAAACCTGTCCCTGTCCCACTCCTTAAGACCTCCTAGAAGCACTCACAAGAAGCACAGTCCCACAAGAATCCTTCTCTAACTCCTGCTTGTCCTGACATCCCACGGCTCCCCTGGCTTGGTCTGCCCTTCAGTGCAGCCATCTAAATACAACTAAACATTTGGACCATGGTTGTGTTCCTGGTGGGCTTTAATTTCTGCAACAACCATAATGTGATGTGAGAATACCTGATTGATTTCTACCAAGGACAATATAATTGTGGAGGCGAGATTAAAATCTAAGCACTCCAGCTTTAGAGATTGAACTCTTAATCCTCTGTGCTCCCCAGCCTCTAGGCATACAAAACTTTAAAAATACACAAAACATAAATAATCACAACCAGTGATGAACTATTCCATACACAACATCCGTAAAGGCATGCTTGAGTTAGGGGAGAGATCTTAATTGGGACCAAAATAACAACCACAAAAACCAGTCATGGTAGAAAAGGAAATAATGCAGCTATATCAATAACAACAATAACATTTTCCATTTGTATAGTCCTTTCTACATTACTGAACCCTCTGTATATGAGTCTCAGCATAGTGAGGGCAGACCCTCCATCCAGGTTTTCTGGGGCATAGCCTAAGTCATTCTTTTACCTACAGGATCTAACGTAATAATTCCCATAGAGAGAAGACGGCTTCTTCTCAGCTCATTGTTGAAGCTTCACTATTTAGATTTATATTCAGCCAATATTTACTAAGTGCTATTATGGACTAAATTGTGTACCCCTCCCCTGGCAACAAATTCATATGTTGAAGCCCCAACTCCTGATATGTATTTGGAGGAAGAGACACCAAGGATGCACACATAGAGAAAAGGCCATGTGAGGATACAGCAAGAAGGTGGCCATCTGCAAGCCAAGGAGAGAGACCTTAGGTGCAATCGATCTGCCAGCATCTTGATCTTGGACTTCCAGATCCAAGCATTTCTCAGAACTATCAAAAATACATTTCCGTTAAGTCATCCAGTCTGGTAGTTTGTTATGGCAGCACGAGCAAACTAATACAAATGACTAATGAAAGTGCTAATAATTTTACAAGTTACTTCTTTGAACTATTGAAACTGACCCCGTTTTCTCATAGACAGTTTTTGTTGTTGCTGTTGTTGTTGTTGTTTTTGGATAAGCATAGAAATTGATCCTCCTCGTCTTAAACCTGAAACTTACAATTACTTGTCTTGTCTGAGCTTCTTCCTCTGGAAACCAACCCTCATGCCTCCCAGATGGTATCAAGGAACTGAAACTCCTTTTCCTTAATTCCTGTTTTCCCAGACATTTCTGCATTCCTTCTCTGCTACATAAATCCCCAGTTTTAGTCAGTTAGGGAGATGGATTTGAGAGTTATCTCCCATCTCCTCAGCTGCAGCACAGGAATAAAAAGCCTTCCTCCCTGACAATACTCGTGATCTCAGAGACTGGCTTTCTGTGTGGCAAGCAAGCAGACCTAGACCGAACCCCTGGCATTTTGGTAACACCACTGCAACCAGAGTATAGTCAAACCAGTTTCTACTGGCTTGTGAGAGCCACTTTTTAAATTTAAAAAAAATTTTTAAAAATAGAGACAGGGTCTCACTGTGTTGCCCAGGCTGTCCTTAAACTCCTGGGTTCAAGCGATTCTTCTTCCTCAGCTTCCCAAAATGCTAGGATTATAGGCATGAGCTACCACACTCAGCCTTTTTTAGGAATCTTGTGAGCTGGTTTTTAAAGCAGCCATTAGGAAAAAAACTACCTAAACTTACAATCAAGTAAGTTATATTAAAAACAAAAGTAAGGCTGGCACAGTGGCTCACGTCTGTAATCCCAGAACTTTGGGAGGCTGAGGTGGGTGGATCACGAGGTCAGGAGTTCGAGACCAGCTTGGCCAACATGGTGAAACCCTGCCTCTACTAAAAATAAAAAAATTAGCTGGGCATGGTGGTGCATGCCTATAATCCTAGCTACTCAGGAGGCTGAGGCAGAAGAATCGCTTAAACCCAGGAGGTAGAGGTTGCAGTGAGCTGAGATTGCACCACTGCACTCCAGTCTGGGGAACAGAGTGAGATTCTGTCTCAGAAAAAAAAAAAAAAGTGATAAATACTCAAAACTCACCACTTCCTAATTGTTTTACTACATTTTGTATTTTACATATTTGTATTTTTATCTATGTTTATATTTTACTACATTTTACATTTTTTATTCTGCATGTGCTTGAAGTTATTTATGTCTATTGTGTCTGAAATACTACATAGTGATGTGCTACTGTGCACCTCTTCTCAACTCTGTGTTCAATAATATCGGGTGAGTGGTTTGAAACAGGCCATGGTGGGAGTATTTACACCATGGAAATGGACAAACAGTACAAATCAGGTTTTGTTTTGTGTTGTTTTTCCCCAGAGAGCTATTGTTAAACACTTACAGCATGTTCTTGACCCTAACAATCTCACAAGAGAGACGGTGTAATTCCAGATTTACAAATGAGGAAACTCCAGCCCTAAAACTCAAGACTCGGGCGCAAACTGGGGTCTCTTGGCTCCTGGACTAGGGCCTTTTGCATGATACCACACTGCCTCTCCATGCATACATGAGGAAATGCTGTTGCTCTATTTATAGCTCAGCCTGGCTGCCCAGAAGAATCAGATTAAAAGGGGCCTATGCATTTGGTGAGGGTCTTGCCCTGCCTCTTAAATTTCTCTGCCCAGCACAGGCGTTGTGTCATTCTAATAACCAATAGGATGAAGGCCACTTGCTATAAATTCCAGGGCACTGGGAAAAAGCCATGGGAGGAACACTCTTTTATAACCACAATTTGCAGTCTATTATAAAGTACTTTAATTGCTACTCAGTGTACGATTTTTCTGCGTGTTTTTCCAGCATGGTGAAAATTAATAAGGAGAGGGGTGCCGAGTCCACCCTGCTGGGTTGTGGGAAGCAGAAGCCCTGACCATTCAGAGATGGATTTACAGAAGCAGGAACTGAAGACAAAGCAGGAGGTCTTCAAAATAACTCTCAGAGAAGCTTCTTTGATGAGCTGAGGCAATTCAGCAACTTCGGCACTGCGCACTCGTGCTCATAAATCGCCAGTATTTGCAGGCGTTGCAAGATGTCTCCCAATATGCAGTTAAAAAAACATTCTCACTGCAGTAGCACTAAAGATCTACTGCCAGTTATTTTGCTTCAGTACCTTGCATCTTAAGGGACAATTTGATTTTTGCAGTTGATTATTGGGTGCACACAGGTTTAAAAAGGCTAAATATTGAACTACTCCAAAAAGAATCTTAGGAAAGTCATTTCCCTATTCGAGAAACCTTTGAAGACTAAAATATGTTCTTTAACCTCTGAAAGTGAGAGAGTCTAAAGCTGATGTGAACCTAGGCTGTGCACGTGAATCTCCTGGAGAGTTTTAGAAAACCTCATGCCTGTATCCACTACCCTATAGATTCTGATTTCAGTGGCCTGGCCTGGGTATTTGGATTTTTAAAGACTCTCCAGGAGAGTCTCATGCACAGTCAAGTTGGAAATTTTGAAACCTTGATACTCAAAGTATGGTCGATCTGTAGGCCAGCAGCATCAGCATCCCTGAGTACTTGTTAAAAATACGGAATTTCACCCCAGATTCACGGAATCAATCTGTGTTTTAACAAGATCCCCAGGTGATTCAATGGTGCAGCCAAGGTTGAGACCATCTAGAACCTAGAAAATAATCTGAGAAGCTGTCCTTATGAAAGACACCACGCCGTCTTCCTTATTTCCATTTAAAGGTGGTTTTTGCCTCTCCTTCCCCATATCTAGTTAGGTATCAAGTTCTGTTGATTTTCCTTTCAAATCAAATCTCCCTGTGTCTCACAATGTCCAGAATTCCCTAATGTCAGGGTATTTGCTGCAGCAGCCTCCAGGCCCCCAACCCCTTCCATCTCCCTTGCAGGTTACTGATAGAATAAGTCCTTTAATTTCCTCTGCTCAATGACATTCCTGGCCCCGGTTTCCTACACATCTCAAATGTGCATCTCTCTCTGTCTGACTCCAAGGCCGTCCCTCACCTGGCTCCTGGTGACCTGTCGAACCTGATTTCCCACTGCTTTCCTAATGGTTCTCTCTGGCTTCAGCCTGTCTTTTCACCCAGACACAAGGTGCCAGCCCAGACTTCTCTCTCTTGGCTCCTGGAAAGCCATGTGCTTTCAGTCTTCCATTTGCCTCTCCAAACCTCATTCATCCTCCCAGGCTGCTTTCTTTTGCTTTGATGCCTCCAGTAATTATAATCTGAACGATTAATTATTAGCTTCACATCATATTGGTCATCAATTTTCATGCACATAGAACCAAGCTGAGCATGAAGGGCTAAAACAGAATGAAATGTAGCGTGGAGATGAACCCAGGCACTCCCTGTTCAAGATAGGCCTGGCCTCTTCAAGAAGGCACCCTGGTTGTGACCACATCTTTCTGCACTTAGGGCAGGCCTAGTGGTTTTGCCTCTTCCATTGGACTCTTGGCCTTCAGGTTGGTCTTGTAGCCTCTCTGGATTAAGTGTTATCATCACATCCAGCAGTTGGGTCCTGGTGCTACCTGTGGGTAGACCATCATGCCACATGGTGGCAGTGCAGATGGATAAGAGAGGCAGGAAGAATATGTAATAATAGCAATAGTTTAGGGGTTTCTACGTGCCAAGCACAATTCTGAGTGTTTCATATGTGATTCTTTAATTTTTTTAATTTTTAATTTAATTAATTAATTTATTTTTCTGAGACGGAGTCTCGCTGTGTCACCCAGGCTGGAGTGCAGTGGCACAATCTCGGCTCACTGCAACCTCCGCCTCCCAGGTTCAAGAAATTCTCCTGCCTCAGCCTCCCAAGTTAGCTGGGACTATAGGCATGCATCACTACACCCAGCTAATTTTTTGTATTTTTAGTAGAGATGGGGTTTCACCATGTTGGCCCGGCTGGTCTCCTGACCTCAGGTGATCTGCCTACCTTGGCCTCCCAAAGTGTTGGGATTACAGGTGTGAGCCACTGCACCTGGCTTGATTCTTTTATTTTAAAAAGCCCTTTTACTATAAAATAAAACATAGATACCAGAAAATCATGAAGTTTTATAAGGCAATACCTGTGCAAACAGCCAGATCAAGGGACAGAACCTCACTAAGAACCCTAGCACCTTTCTGATGCATCCCATCCTAATCAGAGTCCCCTATTTCCCTTCCCCCAAGAAACAAACTCATCATTTTGATTTTTTAAAAATTATGGTAAAACACATAACAAAATTTACCATTTTAACCATTACCGAGTGTACAATTCAGTGTCATTAAGTACATTCACACTATTGTACAACCATCAACACCACCCATCCCCAAAACTGCTTTTATCATCTCAAATTGAAACTCCCATTACCCATTACACAAGAACGTTCCATTCCCCTCCCCCACATACTTAGTAACCACCATTCTGTCTACTGTGTCTATGAATTTGACTACTCTAGGTACCTCATCTAAGCAGAATTATATAGTGTTTATCCTTTTTGTGACTGGCTTATTCACTTAGTATAGTATCTTTAAGGTCCATCTGTGTTGTAGCATGTGTTAGAATTTCTTTCTTTATAAGACTGGATAACATTCTATTGTATGCACATGGCCCATTCTGTTTGTTCATTCCTCTGTCAGCGGACACTTGGGTTACTTCTACCTTTTGACTGTCATGAATAATGCTGCTGTGAACATGGATGTCCAAATATCTACTATGATTTACTATTTATACTTTTATCATCCAATTTTGCATCTGCAACCAAGCACTTTGTTTGGTCCCAACTCTTCCTTAAAACTGATATTCCTTTTAATTCAATTTTAATCTTCAGTTTTTTGTTTTTTTTTTTTTGAGATGGAGTCTTACTCTGTTGCCCAGGCTGGAGTGCAGTGGCACGATCTCAGTTCACCACAACCTCTGCCTCCCGGGTTCAAGTGATTCTCCTGCCTCAGCTTCCCAAGTAACTGGGACTACAGGCAGGTGTCACCATGCCCAGCTAATTTTTGTATTTTTAGTAGGGACGGGGTTTCACTATGTTGGCCAGGCTGGTTGCGAACTCCTGACCTTATGATCCACCCGCCTCGGCCTCCTAATGTGCTGGGATTACAGGTGTGAGCCACTGTGCCCGGCCTAATCTTCAGTTTTAAAATGTTATCTCTCATCCTGACAAGCTGTACGCAATAGGACTATTACTGGTCCCATTATGCAGACGAGGACATTGAGGTTGCTCAAGGCCACCAGAGGAGTGATGGGTAAAGCTATGAAAGACATATGCTATGTCTGAGAGACAAAGCATATTTAGAAAAAAGTCAAACTATTTCATCTATATTGGAGAATGTCTGCATTTGGGGACACGAGAAGAAGGAAGACAGTGTCAGAGACTAAGAAGAAATGGACAATAGGCTATGAGGACCAGGACAGGGTGGCATTGTGAACAGTAGATTGTGTAGTCCTTAAAGTTCACCATTTATAGTTTATTTACTTTGGTCCTTAGCTAGAGTGGGTTAAGTTAACCACATTCTCAGGTCACGGAATGTATGTTTGTATGAGGCCCTCTTGTTTTATGACTTTATTCTCTTTTACTTCTGCCTCCACTTCTACCTCCACTTCAATCTATCTTCCCTTAATTGCTATAATTATCTCTGAAAATAGCCAAAACATTGAGAGGTTAATCTGGTAAGTGAACTGGGTGGCTGGTCAAAACAATGACATTCATTCCAATACTGGATAAATTACCTCTTTCAGTGATGGTTAGTTGAAATCCGAAATCCTTCTTCCACTCATATAACACATATTTATAGAGCATCCCCTCCATGCCAGAAATCCTTCTAGGCACTCAAGATTTGGCAGGCAGCAAGGTAGACACGATGCTTGTTCCCATGGACCTATGTTGTTTTGGAGCTATGTGATGAAATTATAAATGGATATATCAACAGAAGAAATTCAGAAGAAAATTAAAACAGGTAGAAAACAAAGCAGGAGGTTGTGACTGGGTTGGGGTGCACGTAACTTTAGACAGCATGGTCAGAGAAAGGCTCTCGGAGGTGGTGACATTTGAACTGAGACCCAAATGGCAAGAAAGAACCATCATGGTTCTTTCAAGCCCCCCAAAAAAATAGGTTTGAAGCAGAAATATTAGCAAGTTCAGATGTCTTGAGATGACAGAAGAGGCCCACTCAAGGAACAGAAAGGTTAGTCTCACTGGAACAGGCTAAATAGATGTCAGAAACAGACACTTATAAGGATGACATGTTTACTGCACCATTGTTTACATGTTAAGTGATGAGGAATGGGCAGTTGGTTTTATCATTTCAACTCAGAATGAAGACTATGATGTTTTCAAAGAGAAGTGAGGCTGGGCACTGTGGCTCATGCCTGTAATCCCAGCACTCTGGGAGGCCAAGGTGGGTGGATCACTTGAGGTCAGGAGTTTGAGACCAGACTGGTGAAACCCTGTCTCTAATAAAAATGCAAAAATTAGCTGGGCATGGTGGCGGGTGCCTGTAATCCCAGCTACTCAGGAGGCTGAGGCAGGAGAATCGCTTGAACCTGGGAGGCTCTGCAGTGTCACGATCTCAGCTCGCTGCACTCCAGCCTGGTGACAGAGAGAGACTCTGTCTCAAACAAACAAACAAAACAAAACAAAGAGAAATGATTATGTTTGACAATGAAGGTCTTTAAAGTTTTATTTCTGAGCAGAATAAAATGGAGAGTAATTTTTCAAGTAGACTTTCCCCCTTCATTCTTTAGAGAAATTAATGCTGCTCAGTGATGTTGCTATGGTCAAAAAATAAATAGGGAAGTCAGTGTGATATGACTTGGATTGAGATTGACTTGCTTTCTATACAGACTATGCAAGTAGTTGAGCACACAGTCAATAGACTGACCTCCTCATATAAGTGTGTGTTGTCTCTTGAGGCCTGCTTTGTGGCTAATTTCGTATGATTTGGCTATTATACTTCTTGAATTCAAAAAACAGGATTGATATTGTTTGGCTCTGTGTCCCCACTCAAATCTCATCTTGAATTCCCATGTGTTGTGGGAGGGACCCAGTGGGAGGTAATTGAATCATGGGGGCAGGTCTTTCCCATGCTGTTCTTGTGATAGTGAATAAGTCTCACAAGATCTGGTGGCTTTATAAGATGGAGTTTCCCTGCACAAGCTCATTCTCTTTTTGCCTGCTGCCATCCACCTAAGACGGGACTTGCTCTTCCTTGCCTTCTGCCATGATTGGGAGGCTTCCTCAGCCATGTGTAACTGTAAGTCCAATTAAATCTCTTTCTTTTGTAAATTGCCCAGTCTCAGGTACGTCTTTATCAGCAGCATGAAGATGGACTAATACAGTAAATTGGTACCAGTAGAGTGGGGTGTTGCTGAAAAGATACCTGAAAATGTGGGAGTGACTTTGGAACTGGGTAACAGGCTGAGGTTGGAACAGTCTGAAAGGGCTTCGAAGAAGATAGAAAAAATGTGGTAAAGTTTGGAACTTCCTAGAGACTTGTTGAATGGCTTTGCCCAAAATGCTGATAGTGATATGGACAATAAGATCCAGGCTGAGGTGGTCTCAGATGGAGATGAGGAACTTGTTGGGAACTGGAGCAAAGGTGACTCTTGTTATATTTTGGCAAGGAGACTGGCGGGATTTTGCCCCTGCCCTAGAGATTTGTGGAACTTTGAACTTGAGAGAGATGATTTAGGGTATCTGGCAGAAGAAATTTCTAAGCTGCAAAGCATTGAAGAGGTGATTTGGGTGCTTTTAAAAGCATTCAGTTTAAAAAGGGCAACAGAGCATAAAAGTTTGAAAAATTTTCAGCCTGACAATGCCATAGAAAAGAAAATTCAATTTTCTGAGGAGAAATTCACGCTGGCTATAGAAATTTGCATAAGTAACAAGGAACTGAATGTTAATCCCCAAGACAATGGGGAAAATGTCTCCAGGGCATGTCAGAGACATGCACAGCAGCCCCTCACATCACAGGCCTGGAGGCTTAGGAGGAAAAAGTGATTTCATGGACCAGGCCCAGGGTCCTTGTGCAGTGTGCAGCCTAGGGACTTGGTGCCCTGCATCCCAGCTGCTCCAGCTATGGCTGAAAGGGGCCAACATAGAGCGTGGGCCATGGCTTCAGAGGATGCAAGCCCCAAACCTTGGCAGCTTCCACATGGTGTTGAGCCTGTGGGTGCACAGAAGTCAAGAGTGGGGTTTGGGAACCTCTGCCTAGATTTCAGATGATGTCTGAAAACTCCTGGATGTCCAGGCAGAAGTTTGCTGCAGGGGTGGGGTTCTCATGGAGAACCTCTGCTAGGGCAGCATGGAAGGCAAATTTGGGGTCAGAGCTCCCCGCACAGAGTCCCTACTGGGGAACCACCTAGTGGAGCTATGAGAAGAGGGCCACTGTCCTCCAGACCCTAGAATGGTAGATCCACTGACAGCTTGCACTATGCACCTGGAAAAGCTACAGACACTCAATGCCAGCCCATGAAAGCAGCCGGGAGGGAGGCTGTACCCTTCAAAGCCACAGGGGTGGAGCTGCCCGAGACCATTGGAACCCACCTCTTGCATCAGTGTGACCTGAATGTGAGACATAGAGTCAAAAGAGATCATTTTGGAGCTTTAAGATTTGACTGCCCTGCTGGATTTCAGACTTGCATGGGGCCTGTAGCCCCTTTGTTTTGGCCAATTTCTCACATTTGGCATTCCAATGTCTGTACCTCCCTTGTATCTAGGAAGTAACTAACTTGCTTTTGATTATACAGGCTCATAGGTGGAAGGGACTTGCCTTGTCTCAGATCAGACTTTTGACTGTGGACTGTTGAGTTAAAGCTGAAATGAGTTAAGACTTTGCGGGACTGTTGGGAAGGCATGATTTGTTTTAAAATGTGAGGACATGAGATTTGGGAGGGGCAGCATGGAATAATATGGTTTGGCTCTGTGTCCCCACTCAAATCTCTTCTTGAATTCCCGTGTGTTGTGGAAGGGACTCAGTGGGAGGTAATTGAATCATGGGGGCAGGTCTTTCCCATGCTGTTCTTGTGATAGTGAATAAATCTCACAAGATATGATGGCATTATAAGGTGGAGTTTCCCTACACAAGCTCATTCTCTCTTCACCTGCTGCTATCCATGTAAGATGGGACTTGCTCCTCCTTGCCTTCCACCATGATTGTGAGGTTTCCCCAGTCATGTGGAACTGTAAGTCCGTTTAAACTCTTTCTTTTGTAAATTGCCCAGTCTCAGGTATGTCTTTATCAGCAGTGTGAAAATGGACTACTGGCTGGGTGCGGTGGCTCACGCCTGTAATCCCAGCACTTTGGGAGCCAAGGCAGGCAGATCACGAGGTCAGGAGATCGAGACCACGGTGAAATCCCATCTCTACTAAAAAATACAAAAAAATTAGCCAGGCGTGGTGGCAGGCACCTGTAGTCCCAGCTACTCAGGAGGCTGAGGCAGGAGAATGTCGTGAACCCAGGAGGCGGAGCTTGCAGTGAGTCGAGATTACACCACTGCACTCCAGCCTGGGCAACAGAGCAAGACTCCGTCTCAAAAAAACAAAAAAAAAAAAAACAAACAAAAAAAAGAAAACGGACTACTAACTAATACATGCATAAATATTATATTAAAACATTGTGATTAAAACCATTTCACTTGGACACAATCTCACTTTTGTGGCAGGCCTCCCATAAATACTTAATGACTCTCATCAAAGGAAAACACAAATCAAGTGACAAGCAGCCAGTACTCTTCAAAATGGCAAGATTATGAAGAACAAAGAAAGGCTAAGGAGCTGTTCCAGATTAAAGGGAATTAAAGAAAATTATCAAGTGTATGCAACATTTGATCTGCGATGGCAGGGTGTGCTGTCTTCTGGACATGAGTAATTTCCACTACCCATTTTGGTTACCACCCCCTGAGTATGTTCCTGCCTCTCTCCTCCAGGTGCCAGATTCAGTTCCTCTGCTTGGACTAAGTCAGTCCTGTTGAGCTCCCTCTAGCCCTGCACAGAGGTGGAAGGGGAGGAGGAGTCACCTCTTTGGCTTGTCTTGGTGGTAGTTTCCCAACCAGTGATTCAGGTGCTTACATACCCAGATCCTCCCGTACTCCCAGTTTTGCTAGTTCTGGGCTGGAAGCACCCCCGAAGACACCCTACATTTTACAGCAGTCCTCTCTTATATGGGCTTTTGCTTTCTATGCTACAATCCCACCGTAGTAGCAAGCGTACTCCTACAGTTTGGATGCTTGTCCCCTCCAAACCTCATATTAAAATTTGATCTCCAATGTTGGAAGTGTTTGGGTCATGGGGGTGGCTCCCTTATGAATAGATTATGCCTTCTGTCCCTCTGGGTGACTCCTCACTCTATCAATTTCCACAAGAGCAGGTTGTTAATCCTTTTTCTCACTTGTTTCCTCTATTGCTTTGAGTGGAACCAGCGCACATCACTCCCCTTTGCCTTCTGCCATGAGTGGGAGCAGCCTGTGGCCCTCACCAGAAGCAGGTGCTGGCACCATGCTTCTGCTAAGCTAAATAAACCTCTTTTCTTTATAAATTACCCGCCTCAGATCTTCCTTTCTAGCAACACAAAATGGACTAACAGCTACCAAAAACACCTTTTCTTCTTTTCTAATCTAATTACATATTTGTTTCCAAATAAATATCTCTCTTGCAATGTCTGAGATTTTGCAGTGAGAAGGAGAAGTTACAGAATATTCTCAGGAGTCTATCTCTTCAGAACAGACTTGCAAAGTGTTTTCTTTCAAGTTTTCTTGCCCCAAAGTACAGGAAATAGTGCTGAATCTATTCATTACTAGGAGTTATCTTTATATTCTATCAAGGTTATATTTCAGCTCCTTGAAAGCCTATTGTATTATAGAGTTGCTCTTGTTAAAAGAGAAATCTTTGAAGGATGCCAAGGGTTATCTTGGCAGGAATCCATGGTAAACAGAGCTCTGGCTCTAAGAGATCACAATATGCATCCTCCTGGATAGATGGTCCTGTAAGAGGAGGCACAATTCTGCATTTGGTAGCATAATGTGCATGTGTGTGTGGGCTTTTATTTGCAATTTTTTGTTAATTAGTGAAGAACTATTGGCCAATATTTGGAATTAAATTATGAATAAGTGTAAATGAGAACTTGTGTCCATCACATGAGGAAGATTCTCCTAGGGATGAACAGATAAAATATAATTTCTGCCTTTATTCAAAAAAAACAGCAAATTCAGCATTAAAGTTCTGCTCTGTGGTATGTAAAGTTTAGGTTTCAAAGAAGCCACAAGCCATTTCCTGTGGCTAGCAACAGAGCACTCTCTTCTCTTGAACTCACTTGTTCTATGCTCATCATTCATTCTTATGTTCATTGGATTAGCTAACTTTTGCTTTGCAATGAACTACTCCAACTATCAAAGACTTAAAAGAATGGCCATTGATTTAGCCTAAGAGTGGGCTGGGCAGTTCCCTGTCTGGACTGGGGTTGGCTGATCTCAGCTGGGCCCACTCATGCATCTGCAGTCAGTTGGTGAGTTGGCCAAGGCTAATGGCTGAAGTGGCAGGGGCAACTGCTCCAACTGGCCCACCTGTCTGTCGCTAGCCTGGACTCCATGTGGGGACTGGGCTCCAACGGCAGCCAGAAAGTATGCCCCAGATCCTAAGCACACTGAGGCCTCAGCTAGCTTCATCTCATTAATGTCCCCTTGGTCAAAGCAAGTCAGAAGGTGAAGAATATGTTCAAACAGTGAGGGAGGGAAAGAATTTGTGGCCATTTTGCAACTACCAAGCCACATTTTCGTTAATTTTTTTTTTTTAAGATGGAATCTCACTTTGTCTCTCAGGCTGGAATGCAGTGGCACCATCTTGGCCTACTGCAACCTCCGCCTCCTGGATTTAAGTGATCCTCCCACCTCAGGCTCCCAAGTAGCGGGATTACAAGTGTGCA
Source organism: Homo sapiens (assembly GCF_000001405.40). NCBI lineage: Eukaryota > Metazoa > Chordata > Mammalia > Primates > Hominidae > Homo > Homo sapiens. Next base: position 16,709,853 of record NC_000020.11, read on the forward strand.
CCACCATGCCCAGCTAATTGCTGTATTTTTAGTACAGACGGGGTTTCACCATGTTGGCCAGGCTTGTCTCAAACTCCTGACCTCAAGTGATTTGCCTGCCTCAGCCTCACAAAGTGCTGGGATTATAGATGTGAGCTACCATGCCCTACCTAGTTAATTCTATCAATGTGGTTTATCTATCCACCTGGACAGATTTCTACACAGAGTTGAAAGTATTAAAGAAAATACATAATGGGAAAATAACATAAATTACATAGTAATTTCTTATTATGAAGCAACATGAGATTAGATAAGAAACTGAGTTCTAACCACAGTCCATTTTGTAGCAATGTGACTTTGAGCAAATAATTTAGGTTGGGAGTTAGTGTTTTTTACCTTTAGAGTGAGGAAGTTGGTTTATCTCTGAGGTTTCTCTTGGATTACCAAGATGTTGGATTATCTCTGAGCCTCCTCTTATCACTCCATTATTAGTAGAAAGAAATTTGATATGAGATGGATAAAAGAAAGCAGCTTTATCCTGAAGAATTTACCAACAAAATTTGTTTAAATCCAACAAAAATACAGGAATTTCTAGCCCAAGAATATGAGCTCTAAGTATTCCCAGATTTGGACTTTGAGTATTTAATCTCCAGAGAACTTTTGTCTTCTCCCAAAACTTCTCCTACCTGTCCACTCAGTCTTTGACCAAATGTTCAGGTTTACTATGAAGCGCTGACACAGAGGGATTGGGGCTTCACATCCTTGCCTTGCCATGTTGTTCTCCTGACTTCCCCCCACTAAAAGTTTGACCTCACTGAGGCAGACTGCAGTCTTCTTGTTCCTAGTAGTTAGTAGAGTGTTACATATCAATAATCACTAGACACTAGCTGAATGAATGGACTACAATTGAGCTGATTTTTCATGAATAGCAGAGGACTATGTTTCTTTGAGGACTGTAACAGTATATTTTTGGAACACTGGAAAACAGTGGAGGCTGCACTTAGAGCTAGAGTTAGTGGTTTTCTACTTTAAGCAAAGTGATTTAATTTGCTTTGGCTGTGAAGAGGGGATGCAGGGGCGCTGTAAGGTGGTGGATGCCTCACCTCCTCTAGAAGGCAAATCAGAGATCCTGTGCTGCTTGGAATAGAAGAAGGCAGTGAGGAAGTGAAAGTTCAGCCACCTCTGGGGCAACAGTGATCTAGAGGGCTCAAGGCACTTGAATGGGGGACACTCTAAGGTCAAACTTAGACCTGGTGCCACCTTTCCCAGAAGCGGGGAGGCCAGACCATTAACGCAGCCCTATTGGGCTCCATATCCTGCTCTAGCCCACCTTTCATGAACAGAGTGAGCTCCAGGAGGGAAACAGAGAGGAAAACAGCTCCATCATGAGCACCCTTGAAAACCAGCACTTGGATAATCACATCAGCAGCTGATCGCAGACTGTTTTTAATCATTGACTTTCCATTGAGCGTCTGTCGTTATACGGTCCTGGGTTTTGGCTGAGATTATCTCTGAAGAAAAAAGATGAAAAGAAGCAAATCCATATTGGACTACGGAATTTCTTCCATTTACCATAAATAAGCAATAATAACAACAATGATAAAGAATATTAAATAGCAAAGAAAAAAGTCCTTGTCATTTTATGGATTCACAATAGAACTACTACATTTACTATAAGATATTATATTGATTAACTCAGTGATATGATACTAGAAATCAGTCTTGCAGGGGAAAAAATCTGATTTAGAAAAAATTATATTAGAGATTCATGTTCATTTTAAACCTCAAAGTGTGACTGGTAATGAAAAATTGAGGCCCTATGCTTCTGATTAAAACTGATTTAGAGGTGGCCTTGCCTGAAGCCTAGAAAATTCAGTAGAAAAATCTCTAAGATCTCTCTAATGTGGTTTTTCTCCAATTAATTAATTAACCCTTAATTATTCCACATAATGCTCCTGTGATGGAGGAAACTGGTGAAGTTACTGCCGTCTTAATGAGAAGGAACACGAGGCAATGGGATGTGAAATGATCTCTGGAGTCACAGAGGGAGCCGACACTGAACTCAGGAGAGAATGCAGAAAGCTGGGAATCTTCCTCTTCTGTGCAAAGAGGGGTTTCTCACAAATAAGCAGACTACTGCTTTTCATTCTCCATCAGAGTCAGCCTCCTTAATTTAAAGCAGGAGGAAGTTAAACTCTGCACCCAGTTATCTGCAGGCTTTCAAGACAAGAAGCTATGACGCAATATAGTACCTGCATTTCCAAATCTTGAATATTACAAAGAGTTTCAGAAAAAGAGAAAAACATGGTTATATATAAACATACAATAATCTTCATCTTAAGACTGGCTGCATCTGAACTGTTTATTTTTCTGTCTTCCAAAAGGATCCAGAAATTTTAAACTGGGAACATATTTTCAAAGCACAGTACAGGCAAGGCATTGTGATTGCTCACAAATATTCCTTTTTAAACGTTTAAAAATGGTTCTTCCAAACAGTTTTGAGAGATTGAACTAAATGAGTGTTTTAGTGGCTACAAAACACTTCTGGGTCCTAAAGCACTTTATTTCAAGATTAAGAAGACTCAGAGAAAATATAATCAGAATAAATTCTGAAAACTGGAAGGAGTAGGTGCTCTTAATAAGCGGGCAGATAGACTGTGAAATCCTATCTGAAGAGCAGGAACAACAGGCTTCTGCAACGTGGTCCTCATTCAAATTCATGGAAGAATAAATCAACAGCATTTGAAGTGCCTCAGAGCAAGGATGAACGTGACAAGCACGGAAGGGCTCACTGGAGGCATGAATTCAGCTTTGTGTGGCAGGGTTGCCGAAATCCAGTTTATTTACTTTTGAACCATTCAGAAGAAACCATTAAGAGGGGTAAAAAAGGAAGAAAAACAGAATATAAGCAGATATTTCCTTTTTAATTTTTTTTAACATGCACTCTGGGTGACTGGACACAGTTGCTTCCGTTGGTCCATAAAAGCCATCATTGTATTATAGCTGGTGGGTTGTTGGATGACAAACAACAGGAGCAGATTGCCTCAGTGGAGTTCCTCCCCTGCACGCAATGGTAGTCAGGGTTTAGACCTTGAGAGCTTCCCCTTTTTGTGAACATTGCTTGGGAAAAAAAGCCTTCCAGCCCCGACTTAGAGGGATGAAGTTCAAATCCATGATATTGGTAGAGGAATCAAATTGTCTTCCCAGCTGTTATGGACTAAATTGTGTCAAATTCACATGTGGAAGCCCTAACCCCCAGTGCTTTAGAATGTGACTGTGTTTGGAGATGGGGCCTTTAAAGATGTAATTAAGTTAAAATGAGGCCATTAGCATAGGCCCTGATGCAACCAGGCTGCTGTCCATATAAGAACAGGAGAGTAAGACACTCCTGGAGAGACCAAGGGTGCACATGGAGGAAAGGCCCCTTGAGGACACAGTGAGATGGCAGCTGTCTGCAAGCCCAGGAGGAGGCTTCAGAAGAAACCAAACCTGCCAACAGCTGGATCCTGTCCATCCAGACTTCAAAGCTGTGAGAAAATAAATTTTTGTTGCTTGAGCCACCCAGTCTGTGGTATTTTGTTAAGGCAGCCCTGGTGAGCTAGAAGATCAGCTTTGGACCTAGTGCTGTTCAGTGCTCATCTGGAATTGAGTAGACTTTCTATGTCCAGACATGCAACGGCAGTTCAGTGATACGTGTTGAGTGAATGAATGGATGATCTTCCTTTTCACACTTTCCTTATTTTTGGAAACAGGCCTAGTTGTAATATCTCCATCACAGGGTTGTAGTCGGAAGTACCTGTAAAATGCTTAGCGCATCCACTGGTGCACGGTCACACCATAACAGTATTTGTTCCAATGATTTTTACTATTAAGCTTTATATTCATTTTTAGCTTTTAGTGGTGTTATAGACAGTGATTCTTAAGCTAGGCAGTGGGACACATTCATGAGCACCATGAGTATTTTACTTCCTGCAGTTTCAACAGAACTTGGGCTATTTTTCTCTAATGTACTGAATTTGGTTTGTGGACCAGAAAATCATAGGAATTAGAAACGGATGGGACAGGCCCCATCACACTGGGCTTATCTTTTAATGGTTGGATTAGGTGGTTTTATGACTCTTTGGTGTTTTATATCAGGGGTGGGAATGGAGGGTGGAAGGAACAAACCGATGTTCTTCCCTTTTCTCAGTTTCCCACTTCTGAAGTCCCAGCAAACACATCGGACTCAAAGCAGGCAGAGCTTGGGCCTAAACTGCACTTTAGGGTGAAGGGAGCATGGAAGGCTATGTTCCTCAGGTATAATGAGTGATAGGACTTCCATAATTTGTGTCTTAATAACTCTTCCACTATGGACTAGATTTTACTTCTCTGGTCGAAAATTTTCTTAGCTTTATTCAATTACCTTCAGTTAGTCCCCTTTTCTCAGAAATAATCTTCCACGGTAAAAACCCCCAAATAAAGTGCATAGAGCTAACTTTTGTGCTCTCTGTACTTCGTGATTATTGAGCCAGCCTTCTGCATGCTGCATTAATCTCTCAAACCAGCCTCAGACTTGGGCTGCAAGGAAAGTGTTTCCAATTTTAACCTGTCTGCATTCCATAAGGCTTTGTTTATGAAACTGACACTGTCCCAGAGGGCCCCACGGCCCTTCAGTGTCCCTTGCGTAAATTCCATTTCATCACTGTGTTATTATTAATTTGAGGCTTCTCATTGTTGATTACTTATGCATTTGCCCTCATCTTGGAACCCCTGTAGGTGGGGAGCTGTGGACAGTCCGCCTGGTGTCCTTTGTGCTTCTTGTAACCTGTACTCCTGCATGAGCAGAGCATGCTCCATAACGAGCTGATCGGATGGGAGCAGCTGGCCACACGTCCATTTTCACCTTCCATCAGTCTGCGCATCCATATTGTCTCTTTTTTATTTTCTCTCCTTGATTATGTTTTTTCTGAGCTGTGTAGTGTAGCACTTCGAGATTGACAAGTATGCCATCAAGAAAGCAGGCAGAGAGGGAGAATGTCTTAAATTTTTAATTTTGAAATGCTCTGCACCACCAGAAACAGCAAACAGGGCAGGTTCGGCAATTTGGGGGTGGAAAACAGCACACAGAGGATGCATGAGCTCACAGCAGCAGCTGCGATAAGGAGGGTTAAGACAGATGCCAATGAGAGAAGAGAAATACAGGCACTTTTCCCAGCCAACTGTCAGCCCTGAAAGCAAATGGTGCCAGCCCAGAAGGCCGCTGACAAGGGAAGAAAGAGAGAAAAGGGCCTCATGCAAGAGAAGATGAGGAAGAAATCTAGAAAATGTGGTTATAGCAGCAGCCTTCCAGTCTCTCATTCTTCTGTAAAGGATGCTCTGCCCTGCCACACACATGGGGGATGGTCAGCTCCAGCACAGCGGGGTGGTTCGCCCCAGAGCCCCCTCCCTAGTGACTGGAATTTCCTCCAGTGGCCTAAAATGAAAGAATTTTTCTCTAGTCTTTTTTCAGTGGGATTTTAATAGACGCTTAGAACCATATTAGAGCGAAAGGGTGTTTGGGGATTTTACAGCGTGCAGTAGTAGCATGCAGAGACCTGAGCATGAGGGTTGCCTACTTCGTCCCACAGCTTGCCATTTTTTGTGTTTGTTTTCTAGCGAACTTTTTATTAAGTATAACATACTCAGATAAAATGCACAAATGATAAATATACAGATCAGCGTCTTTTCCACAGAGCGAACACATCATATCCCTGCAACCAGAACCCAGATTAAGAACTCCACATTCCCGTCGGCCCAGAAGCCCTCATTGAATACTGCTCCTTTTCTTTCCCAGCAAGGATAACCACTACCCTGATTTCTAATAAGATAGATTAGTTTCACCAGTTTTTGAAATGTATATAAATGAAACCATACAGTAAGGCCAATTTTGGCTTCTTTCACTCAACATTATGCTTGTGAGATTCATCCAGGCTGTTTGTGTGTAGAAATAGTCTGTTCATTTTTGTTATTGTCTTATACTCTACTGTATGAACGACCTACATTTAATGTTTATCCATTATACTGTTGATGGACCTATGAGTAATTTCCAGTTTGGGGCTATTATGAATATTGCTCAGAACATTCTAGTGCTTATTTTTGTTGTTTTTCCATGTGCCTGTGCATTTCTGATGAGTATTTAACTTAAAGTGGAGTTTCTGAGACATAAAATATACCTATGTTCAGCTTTCTTTTTTTTTTTTTTTTTGAGGTGGAATTTTGCTCTTGTCACCCAGTGGAGAGCAATGGCGTGATCTCGGCTCACTGCAACCTCTGCCTCCTGGGTTCAAGTGATTCTCCTGCGTCAGCTTCCCGAGTACCTGGGATTACAGGCAACCACCACCATGCCCAGCTAATTTTTGTATTTTTAGTAGAGACAACATTTCACCATTTTGGCCAGGCTGGTCTCAAACTCCTGACCGCAAATGATCCACCCATCTTGGTCTCCCAAAGTGCTGGGATTACAGGCGTGAGCCACCACACCCAGCCGTATGTTCAGCTTTCATAGATAAATGTAAATAGTTTTACACAGTGGTTGTAAAAATTTGCACTTCCATCAACAATTGTCTTCCTCATTTTAGCCATTCCGAAAGATGTGATACAGTTTGCTTTTGAGATTCAAATAACTGAGGAATTTTTTTCCTTAGTGGAAACATCCAATGAGCTGGTTGATATATGTGCCTCTTGTTCTGCTGCTTGCTGCCAGGGCAACCTGTAGGACTCTATCTGCCTGGAAATAATTAATGCCTAAAATGGAATGATATAAAAAAATATGAAGCAAGGACTCTGACCTCAAAGAGCTCACACTCAACTTGGAAAGATAGTAACTCTACACACGACACTAGCAGGCCACAATGAAGTACTGAAGTGTTTGGGAGTACTGTTAAACGTTTGCTTAATGTTTCTGAAATGTTGGTACTAAGGGTAAAATGCAAACAGTGGAATCAGTCCCCGAGTACAAAGAAATGAGAGATGGCAGAACATTGGCACTGGGAAAAGCCTCAAGAAAGAAATGGAACTTTGCTGAGCTGTTTGAGTGTAAGATGAAGAAAACTGAAATATTTCAAAACATTTTTTTGTCATGCACATTGCTATGTATATGACACTGAGCAAATATCTTAATATTGACAATGGCCTAAATTGCTGGCTTTGTCACTTAACATCAGAAATACAAGTTACATTGAATGTTTCAGAACCTCTTGAAGTTTCTAATCATCCTCTTACCTCTTACATTAGCTGTAACTTTAGTGATTATGTCAAGAGAGTGAATTGTGCTTTGAAATTAGGGGAGGTTGAAAACATGGTTTGTGTGCTGTCAACTGTTTAGGGTGGAGAAATGGATTCTACAAAATCTGCTTCCCACCTCTGATTTCAAAATATTGAAGTAAATTTCACATTTCTTGTAGGCAATTAAAAAGGACAAATGTTGAAATTATATATCACTAGAAAGGTCTTTATGATCCATGTAACTTGGTGGGTAAATATTTTAAAAATCTCTTAAGTAGTAAATTTGACAGAGAGGGCTTCTTGCTTCCAAATATTAATTTTTACTCTTCGCCTTCAGATAGCAAAATCTTGGGCAACATCTCCTGCCAAGAAACTACATTTCCTGGCCTTTTTGTTTTTTAAACTTGGTGAGCCCATGTAACTGAGTTCTAGCCAAAGTAATACAGATGGAAGTATAGTTTTGAAGCCTACCTAAAAGAGTGGGGGCTAGGCACAGTGGCTCACACCTGTAATCCCAACATTTTGGGAGGCTGAGGCAAGAGGATTGCTTCAGGCCAGGAGTTTGAGACTAGCCTGGGCAACAGAAGGAGACCTCGTCTCTACAAAACAGAAAAAGAAATACAAAAATTAGCTGGACATGGTGGCATACGCCTGTAGTCCTAGCTACTTGGGAGGCTGAGGAGGAACACCTGAGCCCAGGAGTTCAAGGCTGCAGTGAGCTATTATTGCAGCCTCGGTGACAGAGCAAGACCCTGTTTCTAAAAAAAAGAAAAAAAAAAAAGACAGTGGGCAAAGCCATTCTCCTTCCTTCCTGCCTGGAACTTCAGCAGCCATTTGGGACTGTGAAGTCACCTTTTGAATGAAAGCAGAAAAATAGACCAAGAAAATAAAACGGAAAAGTAGAAGTTCTCTCAGTCCATGAAGACTTTGTGGAACAGCCTTGAACTGCTGATCTTCAGGTGTCTTTTACATAATAATCCTTTGTGAGTTTCAGCCACTGCAAATGAGTCTCTGTTGCTAGTAGTTGAACACAGCTCCCCACTGATGTAGATGGATAGAAATGTAGAATCCATACTTTCTCGATCTAAAGATTAAGAAGTCCATGGATTCTGATGGCGTTTTCTTCTTCACGGGATCCCCAGTGGAGAGGGATGTGCAGTCTACCTCTGTGCTTGGCTTCCTCCACTATTTGTGACTGTAACTATCAGGCTTGTCCAGTTTATTCCCCTTCCCTTCAGTTCTGGGTTGATCGCAAGACTGTGGGGAAAATAAGATGTATTAATGTCTCTCTTCACATAAAAACTGCAGACTCTGTTATGGCCTGTATATCAGAGGCATCCATGGAACAAAAGGCTCGAGGCACCTTGAGGAAAGTCATGGTGACCCCCACCCATGAAGAAGTGTGAAAAAGCCATTCCTCTAGAAAGCCCATGAAACAGATGATATTTTCTAAAAGTGGCTATAAGAATATCTCTGGTCCCACGCAAACTTCCAGAAATGTTCTACTTCCCTCATCAAGACTAGAATCTACGTCCCCTCCCTTTCAACCTAGGAAGGTCTTTGTGACTATCTCAATTAATAGAAGACAGCAGAGGAGATACTACATGACTTTCAAGACTGGGTCATAAAAGACAATACAACTTCTGCCTAGCTCTGTGTCTAGGAACAGGTATGTTTCTAACCCTGTAAGAAGCCTGCTACCATAAAGTCACCATACTAGAAAGACCACACAGAAGTAAAGATGCCCATGAAATTCAACTGCTCCAATCTGTTTAAATATTGATGGCTCAGATACCAAACATAGGAGTGAGGAAGTCAAGATGATCCTAACCCCAGCCACTGTCTGACATGAGAGATCCTGAGCACCAACCACCTAGCTGAGCCCAGTCAACCTTCAGAACTATGGTCAGGTGTGGTGGCTTATGCCTGTAATCCCAGCACTGTAGGAGGCCGATGGGGAGAATGCTTGAGCCCAGGTGTTTGAGACCAGCCTGGGCAACATGATGAGACTCCGTCTCTACAAAAAATTAAGAAAATTAGCCAGGTGTGATGGTGTGTGCCTGTGGTCCCAGCTACTCAGGAAGCTAAGGTTGGAGTTTCCTTTGATCCCAGGAGGTCAAGGCTGCAGTGAGCCATGATTACGCTACTGCGCTCTAGCCTGGGTGACAGAGGGAGGCCCTGTATCAAAAAAAAAAAAAGAAGAAGAAGAAAAAAACCAAAACTCCCAGAACAATGAAAGATAATATAAAATGATTATTATAATTTTGAATCACTGATTTTTAAGATGATTTGTTCACAGCAATGTAAAACTAGATCAGCCCAACAAGCTGAATGCCAGGTCTCTGAGATGCCATTTCTTCCTGCCCTACATCTATGCTTAGATACCTGCAGAGGTGTCTCTGGTAGGTGGTCCTTCCCAGTTCACCTGAACACCTCCAGTAACAGAGATTCACTATCCTTGGGAAGCCTGGATAATTTTTTATCTTCTCTAAAAGCTGAAATTCTGTCTCCCTCTGGCATCCACCTCTTGTTCTTAGCTCAGAGGTGTGGGCCCATTCAGAGCAAGCCAGATTCCTCCTCCACAAGCAATCTTGAAACTACTTAAAGACATCTTTCTTGCTTCTTGTGGGTTTTTGCTTCTTTAAATACTAAGTATGCTTTTTTATGTCATTAATCTCTTCGTGAGCACCCCTGAGGAGCTAAGAGTGAGAGAAAATGGTATGAAACAAAAAGCTTTTTGTGCAAAGAAATCTCCAGATTTCTAGATGTAATAGAAGGTGAAAAGGCAAGATGTGAAATTATGTATTCACTAGAATTATAATTATGTAAAATAAACCTATGAAATAGGCTTCAAGGAAATATCCCCAATAGAAATATTTAACTGAAAGTGTGATTTGCTGCCTGATTTTCGAAACTTTTTATACCATTGTTAAATTACTTACATATAATGCATTTGAGATCTTCTGAAGAGGGAAAGGATGCTTTTCAGCCTAGGGAAGGTGAAGACACTAATGAAGTCTTTCATTTCATCCAGGCTTTCCAGGCTTGCCAAAGTGTGCCACACTTACTCTCAAGGGCTTTTACCACATCTACAAAGAAACAAAATGAGTGTATTTAGTGCCCTTGCTCAAGGTCAGTCAAGCTGACCTATCAGGTGACTGCCCACAAGTCAGTTTATCCAAACAAGTAAACCAAATTCACTGTTCCAAGACCATCCGATTTTTCTCTCCCTTTTCTCCTTTCTCTTATAAATCCTGTATTTGCCTTGGTTCATTGGACGTCTATGGATTATCTTCCTTGTAAGAATAAAATTTGCAAGCAAAAAACTAAAAATCTCTTTTTAAAAAAAATATAAAAAGAAAAGCAAACCTTCAATGACTCCCCCTTTTTTAAAAAAATTATTTTACTTTAAGTTCTGGGATACATGTGCAGAATGTGCATGTTTGTTACATAGGTATATGAATGCCATGGTGGTTTACTGAACCTATCAACCCATCATCTAGATTTTAAGCCCCACATGCATTAGGTATTTGTCCTAATGCTCTCCCTTCCCTTACCCCCCACCCCCCGATAGGCCCTAGTGTGTGATGTTCCTCTCCCTGTGTCCATGTGTTCTCATTGTTCAACTCCCACTTATGAGTGAGAACATGTGGTGTTTGGTTTTCCGTTTCTGTGTTAGTTTGCTGAGAATGATGGCTTCCAGCTTCATCCATGTCCCTGCAAAGGACACGGAACTCACACTTTTGTATGGCTGCCATGACTCTCCATTTTATAACATCAAAAACAGAAGCTGCTCACTACTATTTATTCAAGTTCATTTCACATTTCTTTCCGACTCTAACATTCTGGCAAAGTTTATTCATTTGTCCCCTGAATGTGACCGACAAATTCTTATTTGTCTCTATCCGTCCTCAACATGCCTGTGTGGTTTTCTTTAATGATTCAAGCTCAAATTCCTTCTGTATGTGTGTGTATATAAATTTATAAGCCAAGACTTGACAGTCCATGAACAGAAGTGTCACTACCCATTCAACTGTTTGATTGTAAAATATCACATACTCTGTTCAAAGGGCCCCTTTCATTGCTATCGGGTAGAACCAAAGCTTTGCTATTGGGATTTATGTGATGTGAGAGCAGGAAGGAACCTTGAAGAGACCATTCAGAGCAGCCACTCATTTTATAAATAAAGGCCTCAAGGCCCAGAGCCGGTAAGTTAATTGTTCAACTCACACAATTAGTAGCATGAAACAGGGCCTTGAGTTCAGTGCTGTGCTGGGACAGCTTGTTCTAGCTTGAGACTCAGTTTTCAAGTTTTCAGCAATTTTTTCAGCCAGCTGGGGTATTTACACCATAGAAATTGGCAGACTAAAAATTGGGGCATTCTTCTCTTCTCCTATCCCTGGAGAGCTGGTTGTCGAGCATTTATCAGCACATCATTGACCTTGATTTTTTCTCCATTTTCTTGAGAGGTTGAATGGAGGTCCCTTGGGTCCCTCTTTTTTCTCTGTCATAGTAGCCAGTTATCCTGCGCTTGCTTGTCACTCAGCAGGGTACAGTTTCCAAAACATCCAGGCTCACCTATCCATCTGTCTGCTTCCCATCTCCACCTGGATATCTTACAGTCAACTGAAACTTAAGCTATCCAAAATAAAACACCTGATTACCTACCAGCCGCCTCTAGCCTGCCGCTGCCCCAACACTATCCATTACTATTCCCCAGGTATTTGCTTTGGAAACCTGGAAGGTGCCTCTTGATTATTCCTCCCTTTTCCTTATGTTTTGTGTTGAATTGTGCCCCCGCACCCCTCCTAAAATAGGTAACTGTGACTGTGACATTATTAGGAAATAGGGTCTTCGCAGATGGAATTTGATGTAAATTGAGTTAATTCTGGAGTATGATGAGGCTTTAATCCAATGTGACTAGTGTCCTTATAAGAAGGGAAGAGACACAGAAAGAGATACACATGTAATGACAGAAGCAGAGACCAGTGTGATGTATCTATAAGCCAAGAGATGCCAAAGATTGACAGCAATCATCAGAAGCCAAGAGAAAGGCACCGAACAGATTCTCCCTAGAGCTTTCAGAGAGAGCATGATCCTGCTGACACCTTGATTTCAGACTTCTGGCCTCCAGAGCTAAGAGAATAAATTTCTGTTATTTTAAGCCACCCAGTTTGTGGTAGCTAGATATAGCAGCCCCAGGAAATAAATACACCTTCCAACCCTCACCCCCTCCATGTTCAATCCATCAGCAAGGCTTTGAATCATGTCTCTAAATAGAACTGGGATCTATCTACTTCTCTGCTGCCACTTTAATTCAGGCCACCTTCATCTCTACCTTGGACACTGCCACCATTTCTTCACTAGCCTAGACTTGACCCCTCCATTCCATTCAGAAAGATCCACACATAGCATTATATCATGTCTTCTCCTGCTTAGAAGTCTGATTTCTATTGCTCTTAGCATAACCCTCAAATGCCTTAACATGGCTTACAAGATGCTAGCTGATCCTGGAAATCTCATCTCAGTCAACTTTCTCTCTCATCTCCTGTGTTCCAGCTGTAACTGTCTGCTGCTTTTTTTTTTTTTCAGTTCCTCAAATTTGGCAAATTCCTTTCCATCTCAGACCTTTGCAAGAAGTATTCTCTGCCTGAGGAACTCTCTATTGCCTTCCTCCTACTTACTACTTTTCTAACTACCAGCTCCTTCTTACCTTTAAGTCTAGAAAGCCTGCCCCTCCACCAGAATAGTCTCTTCCTTCCCAGAAGTGGTCTACAATGTAAATTTTCCATTCTCACATCAAGTAATGGAGTCCAATTCCCTTCCCCTTGAATATAAGCTGGCTGGCCTCATAGCTCACTTGCAGCCAACAGAAATTGCTAGAAGTTTTGTTGTGTGACTTTCCAGGCAAGTTACAAAGCATCATGAAGCTCCCACCTAATGTTCTTGGAATGCTTGGTCTGGGGGAACCTGGCACCTATGTAAGAAATCCAACAACCCTGAGACCACCAGGCTGAAAACAACCTGTGGAGCTGCTCCAGTTGACAGTCCCATCTGAGCTTAGCCTTTTAGCCACTGCTACCACTAAACATGGGAGTGAAACTGTTTGGATCCTTTAGACCAGGCTGTTCACCTGCCACAGTCTGACTGAATTCCTGATCTACTGGATTCATAAGGCATAATCTAACAGTTGTTGTTTTAAATAATAACTTTCTGAGGTAGTTTGTCATGCAGCAATGGTAATGGGAGCACCTCCATAGTAGTTATTCAGACTCCCAAATGTTGACATGTTGGTGTGACATCTGTGAGATGGGAAGCTCTGTGACAGCAGGGACCATGCCTATCTTCCTCACTACTGTATCTCCAATAGCTAACATAGGATTTGCTATGTTGTAGGTGCCCAATAAAGGTAAAACACTAAAGGTGCCCAATAAAGGTAAGATGTAGGATTTGCTATGTTGTAGGTGCCAAATAAAGGTGAGACAGTCCCAAAGTCTTAGTATGGTTTTAGGTTACTTAAAGTATTTAAAGCTTGACGCTGTACAAAGACTTCTGGGATATCCTATGTTAACCGAAGAAAGGAATGAGCTCTTTCCATCTCAGCCTCTTGTAATGGAATCTGACATTTGCAATTTCAGTCACGAGGAAATAACTTAGAACTAATTTCTTTCAGGCTTCTAAACTGACCAGTCTTATTCATAATCTTCTACTGAGATGACAAAATGTATTATAAGTTATATTAATATCTTTGGAAAGCTGAAGTAATTTGGTAACATTAAATGTCAGGAAGTAGCTTCATATTAAAGCTGAACAAAGACTATGATTACAGAGAGACCATCCAATATCAATAAGAGACAAACACAATTTCTTATTTTTTCAGCACCAGTTTTAATAAACTCATTAACTCTTGTGATGATGTTTCTGCCAGTGAATGATAGAGAAATTTACAATACTTGAATTGACCCACATTCACCTTAAAATAGAATAGGAAATATCAGCCTCAATTACATAATTGTTTTGGATTCTCTAGACAGAAATAATTTTCAGGGTTGTCTTGTCCGTGCATAATCTGCAATTCAAACTAGAGGCTTCATAATTTTTCTTTCAACTTCTTTGTGATAAGAATCCAACCTGTCTCCTGAGTTTAAATCTTGCCTGATATGTTTTATAAATATCTGATCTTGTGTTGCAGGATGATTCTGACCAACCTAAAATTAGACTGTGAGCATGATATCTCTTTATGTCTTCAGAATCCTTCTCTAAAGGTTTGTGAAAATGCTATAACCACCAATTCTTCTCTAAGCTTGGCCCTAACATATTTTCTCACATATAGTCATCTTATATAGGTGCTTAATAAATGTGGGGTTAAATCACTCGATAAAGGTCACTCAGAAGATGGATCATATAGCTAAACATTGATTACTTTGGTTTTTTTTTTTGGAATGTCAATTAGGCAGAAAAACATTGATTACTTTGACTTTCCCTTTAAAAGGTATGAGTCACCTCAGATATATAACCTCTTATGTACTAAAAACAGTTTATAGTTGTGAAATAGTCCAAAATTCTTTCTTTCTTTTTTTTTTATTTTTGAGACAGAGTCTTGCTCTGTTGCCCAGGCTGGAGTGCAGTGGCACGATCTCAGCTTACTGCAACCTCCGCTTCCTGGGTTGAAGCAATTCTCCCTCAGCCTCCCAAGTAGCTGGGATTACAGGAGCATGCAACATGCCTGGCTAATTTTTGTATGTTCAGTAGAGATGGGGTTTCACCATGTTGGCCAGGCTGGTCTTGAACTCCTGACTTCAAGCAATCTGCCTGCCTCGGCATCCCAAAGTGCTGTGATTACAGGCTGGGTGTGAGCCACCACGCCCAGCCAAGAATTATTTCTCAGAGGTGATTTTGATCAATGTATAAAGTCAGGAGGCGCTAGGCTATGCTGCATTAACAAATATCCCCTAAATATCAGTTAATTATTTCTTGCTTTTATTACATGACCAGTTTGAATTTGTGTGTGTGTGTGTGTGTGTGTGTGTGTGTGTGTGTGTGTGTGTGTGTTGGGCAGGAGGAGGGTGTCCTTTAATCATTAGTGCCTACACTTGACAGAGGTTCCATCTTGCAATATGTTTCCAAGATCACAAGGACAGGAAAAAGGGCACCTGGCAAATTGTGCACTGGCCTGTGATGCTCCTACTTGGAAGTGATGCATGTCTCATGCTCTCACAATTCATTAGCCAAAGCAGTGACTTGGCCATGCCAATTTTCAAAGGATGTAGAGTAGTGCAAGCCCTCCATGAGCCTGGAAGGAGCAAGAATCACAGTATTTGTGAAGAGCTGAAATGACTACCACAAATTAGAAAGTGACCCAGGGCTCCCCAAATAAGCAATCACCTGTTAAAAAGAATAAATATTCCAGACTTTCTTTCTCTCCAGGTTTATGTCTACATGCCCAGTAGAAGACAGTTAAAATAAAGTTTCAAATAAATACGAGCTCCTTTGAAAGAAATAGTTGATTTGTGTTTCAAAAGGAAGATAGTATTCTGTATCTGGTAGTATCTCTATGGCTCTAGAGATAACTACAGTTTGATACTAGAATAATCTACCAACCATTTTTTTCTTTTTTCTTTTCTTTCTTTTTTTTTTTTTTGAGATGAGGTCTTGCTCTGTTACTCAGGCTGGAGTGCAGTGGTGTGATCTCAGCTCACTGCAACCTCCACCTCACAGGTTCAAGCAATTCTCCCACCTTCCCACCTCAGCCTCTGAAGTAGCTGGGACTACAGGCATGCACTATGGCACCAGACTAATTTTTGTGTGTGTATATATATATTTTTTTTAATTTTTTATTTTTTTAATAGAGATGGGGTTTCACAATGTTGGTCAGGCTGGTCTCAAGCTCCTGACCTCAAGTGATCCACCCACCTCAGCCTCCCAAAGCTCTAGGACTACAGGCATGAGCCACCATGCCTGGCCTACCAACCATTCTTTTTTTTCTTCTTTTTTTTTTTTTTTGAGACAGAATCTGACTCTGTTGTCCAGGCTGGAGTGCAGTGGCATGATCTTGGCTCACTGCAACCTCCACCTCCTGAGTTCAAGCGATTCTCCTGCCTCAGCCTCCAGAATAGCTGGGATTACAGGCGCCTGCCACCACGCCCAGCTAATTTTGTATTTATAGTAGAGACAGGGTTTCACTGTGTTGGCCAGGCTGGTCTCGAACTCATAACCTTGTGATCCGCCTGCCTCGGCCTCTCAAAGTGCTGAGATTACAAACTGAGCCACCGCGCCCGACCCCAACCATTCTTAAAAAAGAAATGCTTAGGTTCTTGCTACCCAAAATGCGGTATGGGACCAGCAGCATCAGCATCATCCGGGAGTTTGCTACAAATGCAGCTTCTCAGCACTGGATTAAGATATCTGGGGAATGCCCAAGAAATCAACAATATATCACTTTTGAAATTACACAATCAGGGCCTGACAGTCTTTTTTTTTTTTTAAAGCTGTTCTTTTTAAATTTTGTGTTTTCAAACTGTCCTAAGGCTTAAGACTCAAAAAAAATTACAGGGATTAATCATAGGGGAAGCAAAACCCATTATATTTAAAAGTTGTGTGTGCATAATATTTTATTTCATGGGAGCATCTCATGGGACTGAAATCTTAATTTTCTAGTCTCAAAGAGAACGACAGTTGTATGATGCTACTTTAGCTCCTTTAGGGAAGGGCAGGTGATACAATACTGAGCACAACCTACATGTCTCACAAAAAGTTCACCAAAAAAGTTCAGGTTTTCCCCACACTTCTTTGGATTAATGATCAGGTCCTCAAAGAAAAACTACCATTTCCAAACTTTATGGAATGTGCACATTCTCATAGCCTATCTGAGACATCACCCATTCTGGGGAGAGGGTATTTTGCTGCATGTGAAAGACACACTATTCTTAACATTAATACAGTAGTGAACATCAGAGGCAATAGTCATATTTGGGTTTCTTTCATTCCTAAAAGCAAGAATGTATCCACAAAGAATGAAATGTAAGAATTAAGTAAAATGAAAGAAAATTGCACAAAATTATTTCCTCCCTGAATTGGGGGTGGGAGAGTGGTGCTTTTTAGGAAGTTTCAGTCAACATTATCCCAACCTCCCTGGAAAACATAAACCTGATTTGGTGCTCAACAATAACGCCTAGATTTGTTTAATGCTTGTTGTGAAAATAATTTCACTCTAGATACATTTCTTAATGTAATCACCACCTGGGGAGAGAAAGAAGATACAAACGAATTGCCATACATTTTGTGACTCTATGTAACATAAATAAGACAAAATTTATCCACCAGTTTTATGGTGCATTTTCCTTTATACATGGCTCCTTCTTAAAACTACTGCAGCAAGATACCAAAAACAATTAATGAGAAACATAAAACACGTGCAGATAAGGTAGGGAAATGTATGTGTATTCAGAGTCACTAAGAGACACCTCAGTTATCTTCCTTATAATTTAGACATCTTGGCACAGTTTTATTCCCTACTGTTTGTAGTAATTTTTCTGCTACTCCCAAAATAAGCAAGTTTTATCATCTGCAAATACATGACACTTGGATAGGGTGGTTATAACGCTGCCTCCTTGTTTCTCTCGATTAAAAAAAGCCTGTTTCACAGGAAAATAAATCACGATACCTAACCCAAATGTGAAAGAACAGACTGAGCAGAACTAACAAAACTCATTTGCTCTTCTAGTTTTTAAAAATGTGAGTTTTGGACATCTGATTCCTGATCTCACCCTCAAGAAGTGGATCTGGTTATAAAGTGATGATGTTTTACAGTACATGTGACCATAGTTTAGCTGCTATAATATTCTTAATATAGTTACATAGCCAGGCTATGCAAGGTTTCTCACAAAACCAGAAAAGCTATTCGATCCTTATCATTCCCTTCCTGTACTGTTCTCAATAACTGGCTTCTCAAATCGTTCAGGAAACCACTGAGAATCATTAACGGGTTATTGGAATGCCCAGAGTGACTGCCCAAGGACAGGAAAATGCACTGGCTCTTTTTAGAAGAACCTGGAAAAGTGCATGCAGACCATTGCGGCTGAGTTGGCAATGGATGATTTCCTTCTCACAGTGTAATGTACAATAGCTGTAATTTAATTGTTAATAGAACACAACATGCAGTCTGTCTTCAGGCCTCTGTGTTTCTTGTGGTATTTTCTTCCCAGGTTGGAGTGTTTTTGTATAATCACATCTTATTCTCTTTTAACAGTTATCAACTCTTGGCTAGATCCCCTTATACAATACAGAGTATAGTTTATTCTCAGTAGTGTAGCCATCCTCATTATTATCAAACAGAACTAATTGCTGAGATGCTCATAGTAATATGCAAAACAGCTTGTCCTTTGTTATTTAGAAATTGTTTATATTAAGTTTATATTCTCTTTTAATTTGTTAAAGATATAATTCTTTGACTGAGATAGGACATTTCTTCTCATTGGTTTATTTATTTTAGAGATGAGATCTCACTATGTTGCCCAGGATGATTTTGAACTCCTGGACTCAACCAGTCCTCCTGTCTCAGCCTCCCCAAATGCTAGGATTACAGGTGTGAGCTACTACACTCAGCCATTTCTTCTAGTTTTAGATCTATATAATAAAACGATGCTTTTCTGTGATCCCTTAACATTCTCTACACTCAGGTGCATGTTCAAAGCATATTTGTTTTACTGTTGCCTAGTTTTCCATGTCATTCATTGAATTATCCAATGCATATTAATTATCAGTCACTTTTCCCATTACTAAGGGTACTTGAGTGAACAGAGCAGACAAAAACCCCACCCTTAAAAAGCTTATATTATTTTCAAGTTGTTGCAACTTTGGGTGTTTTTAAAAAATAAAAATTCCCAGCTGATAAAACCAACTTATTTGACAGCTACCTGCCTCACCAGTAGAACCAAGTTATAGCCAGAATTCAGAAATAACATTTTTGAGCATTTATTGTGTCTGACAATGTGCCAATCACTTTACATTTATTTTAGCTCATTTAATGCTTACAACAACTAGAAGGAGGTACTATTAGGATCCCTATTTTACAGATGAAAAAAGTGAAGGTCAGAGAGATTAGTTAAGCAGAGGGTACAAGATTAGGTTCCAGTTGACTCTTAACAACCATTTCATATTCCAGGTGATGCTTTACAGACATCTGATGAATGGATGGATGAATGAATGCATGCACTTTGGGAACTCCCATTCAGCTTGGCATAAATACTAACTCCTTAGAATACCCTAGAAAAATCTAGACCTTTTGTTGGAAGAAAAGAGTGGGAAGGGTGGTAGGGAATTATTTTTTCGAGTGAATTGAGGCAGATGATCTTACAGATGACTGGGTTCTAGTCAGCATGGTTGCCTTATCTGGTGAGAGATGAGAATTGGGCAGACACCAGTTCTGTCTGCCCTGGGCCCTCAAACTGAGTAGCCTCTGAGATTCAAGTTCATCAGCACAGTGTTGGAGGACAGTTCCTGCAGAGCCCCATGAATCAGAGGAGACTCGGAGGCAGGAGGAACTGGCTATCCTAAAGGTGATTTTAAACCGGGGTAGCTAGAGCCCAAAGAAGGGCGAAACCAGGACTAACTGCCCCATAGCATGAGGGGCAGCGCCTGTAAAATTACATAGGATTTGTAAAGGTGGAAGGCACTGTTGCGCCGGGTAAAGCTTCGCAAGGTCGTGGTAGGGGAAATGATTCACTCCCCTTCACTATTCCCTCGCAGCATGGTCCTCACAACCCCCTTCTCTTTCCCCATTTCCATTTCCGGACTCTTCTCCTGCCCGCAGGGCAGACGCACGCGCAGAGAGATTGCCAGCCCTGGCTGCCAGAGACCCGGAAGCATCGATCGGCTCTGTGCTCGGCTTCTAGACTTGTCGGCGCTCGATTGAGGAGCGTGGCTACGTTGCTTCCGGTGCCTGGCTCCGTTTCCTGCTTTTGGTTCTTACAGTAGTCGGCGTAGGCCTTAGGTGGGTTCGTGCGCCTTCTACCTCGCTGTTTCGGTTTTCCTGGCTCCTCGGCCCTTTTCTCCCCTGTTGCAGCTGGGAGCGGACGAAGCGCGAAGCTGGGGTGGGTACGCGTTTGGCCCGGGTTTGGATCTCGGAGGGGCAGGCTTGGGGGTGAGGAGACTGACTCTGGGGCCGGGCATCGCGTGGCAGCTCCCTTGGACTTCGTTAGGGGGCCTTGGGCGAAGGTGCTTGTGTCTGGAGAGGCGGGAGGCTTGCGCGTACGAAGTAAAGGATAGTTAATGTCAGTCTGCTCGTGCGAGGCGTGGACAGTTCACTGCGCTTTCAGGTGTCTTCCAGCGGCTCCCTTTTGGTGGTGGCGGGTAATTCAGGGTGTCCCTGTAACAACGCAGCCCACGATCAAACCTCGCATGAAACCCTGCAAGAGCCTCCCCTTTGTCCCCCTACCTTCACTTTGACCTCTGCCTCAGTCACTTCCCTTTCGTCGTCTCCTTTGCGACCCCTGCCCCTTCTCCAGATTTCGATTTAGGGGGTCGCAAGGCTTTGAGAAGCGTTACGTTTTACCTGTTACCTGCACAAGTGCAGCCCCTGCTTGTAGGCTCTTCCCTTGTCAATCATCCAATGCAGTTCACATACAGTGGATGCTCTGTAAATACTGTGAGATAAAGGAATATGTGGGGCACACAAGGAAATCATCCAAGTTCACAATTTGCAAGTAAAAACCATGTAAAAAATGCAATAGTGTGGTATATGAGGAAGACAAGTGTAGAGGAGAAAGCAAGGGCTGAATTTCCAGGCCTGATGCTTATTAGCTGTGTGACCTTAGGCAAGTTCCTTACCTGGTAATAGCTGTTAATAATAGCTACTCTTAAGTGTTTACCGCTGATGCAGAACTGTGCTAGAATTCATTTAGTCTTCTGAGTTCTATTGGGTAGGTTCTGTTACCATTCTTATTTTACTGATGAGGACCTGAGAGGTTAAGGAACTTCCCTCAGGCAAACAGCTAGTAAGAAGCATAAATAGGATTTGAATTCACATCTGGCTGATACTGGAATCTGAGTTTAATCGTCATGCCACACTGCTGTCATTGAGCTCCTTTCTTTCAAGTCGGTTAGAGATAACCTTGGAGTCCAGACAGCTTGGTGATGCTGTATACAAATTAATAGGTATGGAAGGACTTTGTAAGTGCACCCATTAAGTAGTTGGCAAACTTCATTAATGTCTAACCTTATGATTTTTACTGGATGTACATTTGCTACTTTGGTCATTTTTCTTCAAATCTACATTTTAAAATTATTTCATTGAGGAGGTGGAAAGAAAATGTCACGTGTCATAAGTGAAACGTAAGTGTAAAAATAAATGTGTTGAATTAAATGGTGTTACTAAAATCTGGCTAGGTATTGGTGCTCCAAGTTTTGAATGTGAGAAACTGTTCTTCTTCTGTATGAAAAGGAGGGCTAGTAGGTGCTGGAGATACAATAAAGGCTACAGCCAAACTGACATTTTCTGACAACTGGGATTGAAAGAGAAATGAAAAGTTAATAATTCTTGTGTTGTGTCCTTATGCCACAGTCCAGTATAATTTACTCCTTCCTTTTTATAACAGATTTTTTACTGTCTCCTGAAGAATTTAACACAAACATGGATATCAGACCAAATCATACAATTTATATCAACAATATGAATGACAAAATTAAAAAGGAAGGTAAGTGCTTTTTAGAATACTTGTTCACTACTAAAATGTGTTTATTTACTACTGTCTTAAAAATTGTACTGCCTCAAAACCTCTTACCTCATCATCTTAGTGCCTGAAATAATGGTTTATCCCATTTCCTATAGGGATTTGAAGGCTTTTAAAAAACAAAAATAGGTAGGAACTGACAGTGTGTACAGTCTGTTTCTACTCATAGATATAATGGTTTCATATAACTTTTAAAATTACATATAGCCAATGGGAATAGTATATGTTTTTATAAATATTAAAATATATAACTGTATAAATAAGTGAATGGTGGGGGGGGCAACTCAATGCAGTATCATTTTATGAAGACTTTTGTCATTACTTTATTACCAATAACTTGTTTCTTTTCTAATTTGGACAGAATTGAAGAGATCCCTATATGCCCTGTTTTCTCAGTTTGGTCATGTGGTGGACATTGTGGCTTTAAAGACCATGAAGATGAGGGGGCAGGCCTTTGTCATATTTAAGGAACTGGGCTCATCCACAAATGCCTTGAGACAGCTACAAGGATTTCCATTTTATGGTAAACCAATGGTAAGCCAATTCCATTATTTCACTTTAATCAAGAAATTAATGATATTGATGGGACAGTAGATTTGTAAATATGCTTGAAACTGTGGCTATTGCTTTCTGCTTTTAATTATGTGTGTTTGGGTTTATGTATTTTTATAGAAAAACAGTAGTGGTAGAGTTTAATTTATGACAGTTCAGATGGGCAAAAACAAAATACATTGAGATGTAGAATATTTTAAAAAATAATGGCAGTCTAGGCAATAGTCTTATCTCAAAAAGTTAGAAATTAATAATATCCTGGAAGACTTGAAAAGAAACCTGTTTGTAAACTTGTAAAACATTACGAAACAAAAGTCATGAGTCAAAGAGGAAATTCAGTCTGAAGTTTTAGAATATGTCGTAGTGAAATACTATGTGTCAGAAGCTGCACAGTCTAGATGAAACAGTGATCTAAGGAAAAATGATAGGTTTAAACTCATAGGTTTTAGGAATAACAATGGAAATGAAATGGTTATGAATGGAGAGTTTTAAACTCAGGAATGACATAATGAGATTCACATCTAGCTGCTGGATGAAGGTCGCATTGTGGGAGGGACAGAAAGGAAGTGGGAAACTCAATTAGGAGGCCCTTGATGTAAGTCAGAGATGGTAGAGGATCAGATAAGGGTGACCACAGAGTGTGAAGCAAGGGGTTTCTATGTATGAGTGAATACACCATATCTTAGGTGTGGATTCCAAACTGCTTTTTTTCTGCGATTAGAATGTGATGTGAAGGAGTGTTGGACAGAGAGCCAAGGGCCAGGGTTTAGAGGAGCTGGGTCTTCATTCTGGTTGTACTATTAACTGGCTCTGTGCCCGTGGTTAGTTTTACCACCTCCGGTAAACAAATTGGTTGTTCTTTGGTCTAATGCAGGCATCAGCAAAAACTGTAAAGAAGTACATAATACCTTAGGCTTTGTAAGCCATATATGGTTTCTGTTACCTGTTCTTTTATGTACTTACGTTTTTTAACAACCCTTTAACATTATCTAAGAAAATTCATGTAGGCCATGCTAATGCAGGCCTGTGGGCAGGGTTTGGCTCACAGACTGTGGTACAGACCGCTGATCTAACCCATTCATTTTGCAGATGAAGAAACAGGCATAGAAAGTTTAATTGTTCATCTAGGTTATAGTAATATAACCAGTGGCAGCCTCAGGAGTTGACAACTAATCTAACAGCTAGTATTGTGATTTTTTTTCTGCATTACAGGTCAGCAAACTTTCCGTAAAGGACCAGATAGTAAATATGTTACACTTTGCAAGCCAGATAATCTGTGTTGCAACTACTACTCAACTCTGCTTTTATAGCAGGAAGAGCAGTCCCAGATGAGAACAGGCAGTGTTGGCTACAGACAGTAGTTTGAGGACCCCTGTTTTATACCATGATGCTTAATTCAAGCCTCAGCACCTTTTTTTCTGTTATTAGAGCAAGTTCTTCTCATCCTCTATCCAGCTCTCCTTTTCCCATCACTTCCCAGCTGACTGGACACCATTTTTGTGGAAAAGCCTATCCCAGGAAACTGTGGGATGGTACCTATGTAATGTAATTTTTAGTATATTGGTGTTTCCTGAAACCAGGCGGTCTCTCATAGTAGTATAAAGAAACACCATAATTGAGATCTCAGTTGGCAGCAGCATAGGGCCTGGGTTTTAGCTTACATCTAAAATTATATTAACTTGAAAGTACAGTTTCTTCCCATAGAGGGTTTAGAGCTATTTTGCTGAGTTGAGATGACAAGTTTGCATGTGTCTGTTACTCAGATACAGGAAAGGAAATTGTTTGCTGTGTTGGGCACCAGCCTCACCTTGCCAACTAATTATTTTTTAAAATTAGTGGGAAAGTGTATTAGATTGATTATTATATTGAAGCATTTTGGGAGGTCTATTCTTTTCCTACAGAAAGGTAACAGATACTGCCAAATCTCCATCTTAGAAGAGGGGAAATAGAGTTCTTTGGGCTGTCTTGTTTATGTCTTACTGTGGTTGTAGTTGCTCTTCTGTTTTAACTCCAACATACCGATCAGAAATGAACAAAATTTGCTATAACTTGGAACTCAGAACAGAATTACTCTCTCTGATTCAAGGGCATTTAGTTAATGCCAAAAGTACCTTAATAAAGTAGAACTGTCTTCCTAAGGGCTTCGTCATGAAAACTTTGGCATAAGTGTAAATCTTGCCCTTCTCTAAGTTGTGGTTAGACTTTTATCTCTAATAGGTATTTAGCCTAGACTAGCGTTTCTCAACCCTGTCACTTTGGACATTTTGAAATGAGTGAGTCTTTGTTGCAGGGGGCTGTCTTGTTCATTACCCCGTGTTTAACAGCATCCCTGGCCTCTACCCACAGGATGCCAGTAGCATAACAACGAGTAATGTCTCCAGCTAGTGCTAGCTGTGCTCTGACAGACAAAATCACCTCTGGTTGAGAACCACTGGTTTAAATGAGCCAGCTAAGAGCTATTGCTGAGATCAGGTGTTTTCACAGGTGACTAGGTCATAAGGACAGACAAATCAGGTCACCGAAGATCTATTCAGGTCAGGCACGAGGTTGCAGAGCCAAGGGAGTTGTGAGGGAACCCTTAGGACCAAGTCAGAAGTTAGTCTAACCCTTCAGCCTGTCTCCTTTTGGTTAGATGATGATGGCAAGACTAGCAGAGTTGCATGCAGGGATAAGCACACTTAGAGCCACTGTGGTACGGCAGCCCAGACCAGCCAGAAAGAGCCTGGGATTCTGAGGTGTGGGTTTAGGCCTACTCCCTCCCCTCTTGTTTCCCCAGTGTAGTCATCTCTAGCTGAAGTAAAGGAAGAGGAAGAACTGATCTTGGTTTTGACAAATTCTTTGCTTTGTAATCCACACTACTTTAAAATGTTTCTTGTTCTCTTCAGATCAAGATCAAATTCTTGTTATACGAGGCAATAAAATTTTGCATACCTATTGTATACAAAGTAATTTGTACAGATTACTACAAAGTAGTAATTTGTAGGATTATTGCATTTTGATCAGAGAGGCAATAATTCTTTCAGCTCCAAGGAGGAAGAGTTTGCTTGAAATGGAGGTTGGAGATTGCAGATAGTCCTACCTAGATAACGGTTTAACTTATGGCAGAAATATTCAGACAGTTCATTGGCGCTGAGTATAGTTATGTGATAATGCTTTAAGCCAGGGCTACTCAAAATGTGGTCCCCATGCCAATAACATTACCATCTTCTTTGTGCTTGTTACAAGTGCAGAATCCCAGGTTTGCCCAGACCTACTACATCAGAGCTTTTACCTACTTTCCAGGCATTTGGAATGCAAACTATAATTGATCAAATACTATCTTGGACAAGTTTTTGAACCCTTCCCTGTTGTAACTGTTGCCTCTTGGTGCCAGCATGAAAGGCATATGCAAGTGGTCCAGTCACATTATCTGTGATTCCATTCTTTTGTTTCCTTTTAAAACATTTTAAAATTTAGTAAGTTGATTCCACTGTTAAAGTCATTTCATGTAAAGGTGATAGATTCAAAGGAAAGTCATTCCCAGTCTTCTGTACTTTTAACTATTGGAAGTAACATTCCATATGACACATTCCACAGCTGCGACACATGTCAATGCTTCTATTGAGAGTCACTGGTAAGGGGAAGGCAACTCTCCAATGCATTTTTGTTGTTGTTGTTTTTGTTCTGTGTGTGTCTGTTTTTTTAAACACACGTGCTTATAGCAGCTTTATTCCTAATCGCCAAAAACTGTAAACAAACCAAGTATCCTTCATTGAATGATGTAAATCAAATTGGTACATCAATACGATGAAATACTACTCGCTGTTAAAAGCAACGGCATAGATGAATCTCAAAGACATTATGCCAAGTAAAGGAAGGCAGCCTCCAGGTTATATCATGTATGATCCTATCTATGTGACATTCTGGAAAGGGCAGCAGGGACAGAGAACAGATGAGTGTTTGGAAGAGGAGGGGTGGGGTAACAAAGGGGAAGCATGAGGGGATTTTTAGGTGATAGAACTGCCCTGTGTCCTGATTGTGGTGGTAGATACATTAATCTTTACAAATGTTACAACTCAGAGCTGTACATCCAAAAAGTTACGATGCAAAAAAGTTTTATTTAAATCCTCACATTTATGATGTTTAGAATTCTAAAAAATGAAAAAAAATTCAAATAAACTCATTAAAAATGGTTTAAAAGAAATTTTCCATCTAGTTTTCTGCCAGAAAAGTTGTTCTGTGGGGACTCTGCCAAACCAGCCCTAGTGTTCTGTGGGCCTATTCTATCTGTAAAACAGGATTAGTCTAGAATGGCGATTTTCTTTATTTTTCACCAGCTCCCTCAAATTGCATCCCTAGGTGCTCCCTCTGTGACTGTGGGGTGAGGGTAGGTTTGGAGAGGAAAGGGCATTTGGCCTCCAGTGGGCTCTGGAGCCACAGTTCTATGTCAAGCTGAGCAGTTTTGCTTTTGTTTGTTTTATATGTTGTTTGTTGAATACCTCTGGATTAGAATAGCTGATCTTGAGCCAGATCCTCAGGCACTGAGGAGATTTGAACAGTTCAGGATTCCAAAGCCCGCTGGTGGAGCCCACTCATTTGTTCCTTTAACACTTCAATGCAGTTTTCTCTATTCTTTGATTAAATGGAGAGAAGCCGTGGTACAGATATTTCAAAGTCCTGTGTTTCTCACATGAAAATATATGTTTTTTTAATCTAATAAACACACTTGAATCTAACTTTGTCTAAATTATGAATTATAGCCCACAGTTTACTTCCATTTGGCACTCAGTATATTCTGACAGATTTTCTTAGGGATATGTTTAAAATTAGCTTGTAGTGTATTTGCGTAATGAAATTTGAAATATTAATGACTAGTGTAAACATCCTTCAGCATGAGAAGTAACCTGTTTTCAAATAATTAAAACAGCGAATACAGTATGCAAAAACAGATTCGGATATAATATCAAAAATGCGTGGAACTTTTGCTGACAAAGAAAAGAAAAAAGAAAAGAAAAAAGCCAAAACTGTGGAACAGACTGCAACAACCACAAACAAAAAGCCTGGCCAGGTAAGAAAGACCAAGAAAGTTCCTGTTTGTATTGGTGTTAAAAACTTGATAGATGCTTGTCTTACAGGTAAGGAATGATCTTAGGCTTGTCTGTATATGTGCATAAATGTGTGTTTAAAAGGTGGTTTTAAGAAGCTAGAATGGTTGACTTATAAAATTCAGTATTAAGAAACAAAATATAAACCTTAACATGGAGATTTATATTAAGCAGTTTTATATTTGCATGGCATTTAATTCGATCATTGTTTAAAATATGTTAATACCTTTTGGTTTATTTCTCAAGTTTTGCTGCCTATAAATAATACTGTAGTTATTATCTTTAATCATGAGTACTTCACTCAAAGTATCTTTCTGGCTGGGCGCAGTGGCTCTTGCCTGTAATTCCAGCACTTTGGGAGGCCGAGGCAGGAGGATCACGAAGTCAGGAGATCGAGACCATCCTGGCTAACACGGTGAAACCCCGTCTCTACTAAAAATACAAAAAAAATTTAGCTGGGCTTGGTGGTGGGTGCCTGTAGTCCCAGCTACTCTGGGGGCTGAGGCAGGAGAATAGCATGAACCTGGGAGGTGGAGCTTGCAGTGAGCCGAGATTGTGCCACTGAACTCCAGCCTGGGCAACAGAGTGAGACTCTGTCTCAAAAAAAAAAAAAGAAAAAAAAAAACCCAAAAAACAAACAAAAAAAACAGTGTCTTTCTTTGAACAATTCAGTAATGCAAAATATAATTTGAAATACCAGATAAAAGTGAAATGAACTGCTTGGCGCCATGGTGGCTCATGCCTATAATCCCAGCACTTTGGGAGGCTGAGGTGGGTGGATCACCTGAGGTCAGGAGTTCAAGACCAGCCTGGCCAACATGGTGATACCCCGTCTCTACTAAAAATACAAAAAATTACCTGGCCGTGGTGGTGGATGCCTGTAATCCCAGCTACTCAGGAGGCTTGAAGCAGGAGAATTGGTTGAACCTGGGAGGCAGAGGTTGCATTGAGGCAAGATTATGCCATTGCACTCCAGCCTGGGTGACAAGAGCAAGACTCCATCTCAAAAAAAAAAAAAAAAAAAAGTGAAATTCACCAAAAAGTAATTACTTCTGGATTGAAAGTGATTAAAAGTCAGTTTTATTAAATGACTTATGTCCAGTTGTTTTTAAAAGTAAGACTA
Organism: Homo sapiens; assembly: GCF_000001405.40. Lineage (NCBI taxonomy): Eukaryota > Metazoa > Chordata > Mammalia > Primates > Hominidae > Homo > Homo sapiens. The sequence goes on from NC_000020.11 coordinate 16,738,562, forward strand.
GGCCTTGGTTTTCTCTTATATATTTCTCCATAATTTTAAAGCTAAGAGGTTAAATTTTATAATATACTATTTAAAGTTTAGGGCTGGTCTTAACAAAAATAACCGACAAATTAAGAACATGAGTGTTTGAGTCAGTGTTAAGATATAAATTCTTAAAGTAAAATTAAATGGAGTAAGAAGGATATCTCTTGGAATTAATGTTATTTTTAATGCAGTAATTATAAATATAAATACCTGCTGCGTTTTTGGAGGGATTGGATATTTAAACTCTCCCTATTTATTTTGCTTAGGGAACTCCAAATTCAGCTAATACCCAAGGAAATTCAACACCAAATCCTCAGGTAATTTTTTTTCCATGTCGTGCTTACCTTAAAATAAGATTGTAAAAATTACAGCAGTGGTATAAAACAATTTCCATGTCTCCAAAAACAAAATGATTTCATCTACAAGACACAGTGCGTTAAATTGTCTGCCACTGCAATGTAAGAACTCAACTCCTGAAGAACATTTTAATTCTTTTTTAGAGAGAGAAAACGACACCTGACTTTATTTCTTGTTTTCCATAATGAATCAATGACAGAATCAAAATGACAGACTTTAAACTCTAAGGGCTGGGAGCAAACATTTTGGTTTCCTCTACAGTACCTAAAGCTTTACACAGTTGCATGGGTAAGGGTAACTGGCAGGGTCAGGGGCTCTCTTCCATTCCAGTTGGTTGAAACACTACAGTGTTACACTCTTTGGGCACATAGTTTTATAGTTAACCTTTGCTCTCACTTCCTGAACACAAATAAATTCCAGCCTTTTTTTTTTAAGCCTCCTTGTACAAATGTTTTAGAAACTCCGTATTAAATCTCCCCATGACATACCTCAAAGAGAAGGCCTCAGTAATGTGCTGATGGTTTCATACTTTTTTTTTTCCAGATGGCGGGGTCTGGCAAGATCCTTAAATCCATAGAATTCTCTGTACCACTGAGGTTTTTCTCCTCTTGTTTTAAGTTACTTGGGTTTTTTATCTCCTCAGCATTTATAGTCCAGTTCACAAATGCCAGCACTTAATCCTCTAAGCCTTGAGTTGTTCACTAATTATTTTTTATACTTGCTCTTTTCTCTTTTATGACAGTAGCAGGAAGACAGAGCTCTTTTCTTATATAGAAGACCCTTTCTTTAGTTCCCCATAACCTCTGGGTGGGATATCAAATGAGTAATATCTAATAAACTAAGTGTTTGTTACTGCTTGTTTGTATGTAACTAGATGCTGTGTATATCTCATTTATTTGCCAAAAATAAGTAAATTAAAAGTCCCTAAGCAGTGGTTCTCGGTGGTAATCTTTCTAGTTCCAATTTTTTTTTTTTTTTTTAGTATGCTGGGAAGTAGTAACAGTACAGAGGAATTGAGTATCTGAGTGATACTGAGTGTGGTAACCAGCTACGGAGGGGTGACATTGCTGGCCATCTCTAATTTTATTAAGATCTTTGATTATGTTATCCAGGTGACAAAATTCTCCAATCACGACTCACCTCCAGAAGCTTAAAACATAATTGTTTCATATACTGTTAAACACTTAAGAGATTTGTAATTTTCCAGACTTTCAGTGTCTTTACTTGAATGTCTGCCTTGCTTAGTTACTGTAAGGTTTTGATTTATTTCTCCAGTGTCATTGTTTTTCAGCTTTATTGTTTGATATAGTAAGATTTCACATGCCTAGCTTACGATGCTGTTTAAACTTACAAGCTAACTTTGCCTTTTTACTTTTTAATAGGTCCCTGATTACCCTCCAAACTATATTTTATTCCTTAATAACTTACCAGAAGAGACTAATGAGATGATGTTATCCATGCTGTTTAATCAGTAAGTTTTTTCATAAATAAGTCTGTTTCTGAGAGCTTCCTCACAGGACAAGTAGTACTTCCGTGGGTTGAATCCATTTATCACACAGCAGTAATTCCTTACAGGTTCATTGATTTGGTTTGGGATGAATCATGAATTGGAGCCAATTTGCCGATTTAGCAAATACAAAGCTAAATTTCCTCTAATGTTTGAATTCTTAACTCTGATTGATGTAATAACAAAGCTTTGATATAATATAAAATAGAATTAGTTTATTCTTGCAGTTCTTCCATGGTATTAATTACACATGAGGCTCTTCCGTCTACTCAGTATTCTTGGTTAGAGTATGGTTATTTTTCTTGGACTAGTATTAGGAAGTTGCTTAACAAATTTTAACACAAAGCAAACATTTATGTACTTGCTGTATACATGAATTGTTTTTCTTCTTTATAGGTTCCCTGGCTTCAAGGAAGTACGTCTGGTACCAGGGAGGCATGACATTGCTTTTGTTGAATTTGAAAATGATGGGCAGGCTGGAGCTGCCAGGGATGCTTTACAGGGATTTAAGATCACACCGTCCCATGCTATGAAGATCACCTATGCCAAGAAATAACATTTGGGATAGTCGTCTTTAAAAGACTTGGTGTTATTTACAGTGTTTGTTTTGATAACATTTGGCTGGGTCATTTTAATAGTTAGAGATGAGGAGGAGTAAAAGTGAAATTTTTGTGAAGGACTTAAATTATCCAGTGTTTCTTTAGCCTTGGTGAACTATGAAATACGAAGGCCTTAATTTTGTACAATAAACTTTTATTTGTATTCTGTGTATATAATGCTTTCTTGATTGACCCATCTCCCTATCATCAAATGACTTCTAGTCTAGAACACACTTAAGGTTTATAAACTTGTGTAATAGGATGCTTTTCTAGTGTTACTTTGGAGGAGCTAATTATACAACATCATTGAACCATTCAATAAAAGTTAAGTAAAATTAGATCACAGAAGCTAGTAGATGACTGTTGTATTAATGGTAACAATGATTGTTCTGGGTATTAGAAGAAAATGAGACCCAGGCAGGATCTAAATTTGATCTTTGTATCCTTTTAAGAAATGAATATATTATTTTGCTGCTAGTAGGGATTCCACAAGTTTTCTTCATTCAGTATTAAATAAAGGCTGTTCTTACTGTTTACTGAGAAAACAGAAAGGGAATGCTATCTTCACACTTTGCATTTAATGCTGTTTCCTTCATGAGGCAGGACTGTTCTAAGGTTAATATGCAATCTCTTTATTGAAAGACCTCCAGGGTAAAAATTTTTTGATCTATAGTCTCTTTTCCCCCTTAAGACAAATAGACTGATTAATAAAGAGTTGCCAGTGCTAAGCTTGCTACTTCTTTGTAATTCTTAAACACCAATGTTCAAATATTTCCAAAGCCCATTTTCTTTAGCTTTTGATTTATGTTTAAGGCTATTGATTCAGTCCTCTGCTGAGTAAACCATGGGTATCTCCAGAAGTGGACAATTTGTTTTTACAAGTATGGTACATATTAATAGTAACAACAACAAAAAAGAAAACAGTACTTATTTTTCTGGTGTTCCTGTTTTAGTATTCCTTGAACAAAACCTTTATCACTTGGAATTTTTATTGTCTACTTATGGAAAGACTTTTAGACTTACGTAGACAGTATCACATCACTCTTATGCATACATAAAGAGGAAAAAAATGTTTCCTATAACTTTGTCACAGTTAGTCTGACTCTTCTGAATAACTTTTTTAATCCCAGTAGTCAAGCTCCTGTACTTTTGTAAAATATATTAACAGTGAATTACTAGAAAATGGGCCATGTTCTTGTATATTACAGTGATGTCAATTGCTGATAAATTTTCTAACTGCTTACTCTCGGATACCGTACTTGTCTAAGAACTGAAAATAATTCACAGACTGATCCCATGCCCAGTCCTGGCCATGCTTTGAGTGGCTGTATTGGAGCAGAAAAGCCAGGGTGGCTCACCTGGGGTGAGAATGAGGGGGGTGAATAGTAAGAGGGGTCGTGTAGGTCTTCTTCAGGATTTGCTTATACTCTGAGTGAAATGGGGGACTATTTTAGAGAATTTTTTTAAAGTGGGTTAGAATTTACGTACAATAAAGTTCACCCATGTTAGTGTTCCATTTGATGAGTTTGGGCAATTGTATATAGTCATGTAATAATCAGTACAGAGCATTCCATCACCCCCAAAATTTCCCTTGTACGCCTTTGCAGTCAATCTATTCCCCTCTACCCTTGGCCGTAGTCAACTACTGATCTGCTTTCTGTCCCAACAGTTTCGCCCTGTCTGGAATGCTTTGGAAATGTATCTGCTGTTGCCTATATCAGCAGTTCCACCAATGAATGGGCATTTGCGTTCTCCAATTTGAGGCTATTAAGAAAGTGGCTATGAAAATTTACATACAAGTCTGGGCATATGTTCTATTAGATTTCAAGCAGAAGAGTGATAGTTTGATACAATTTCTAATTTACATAAAAGTTGCAGAAATGGTACACAGAACTTTCATAACACTTCAAATTAATCATTAATGTTTCTAGGCTTCTGGGCTATTTGAGGTTGTGATTACATTGACCTGATACCCCATTATTCCATGATACTTCAATGTGTGTTCTTAAGTACAAGACCACCCTCCCACATAACCACAATAATGACCATCAAAACCAGGGAATGTGGCTGGGTGCGACGGCTCATGCCTGTAATCCCAGTGGTTTGGGAGGCTGAGGTGGGAGGGTCATGTAAGACCAACTGGGGCAACAGTGAGACCTTGTGTCTACAAAAAGAAAAAAAATAAGCTGGATGTGGTGGTGTGTGCCTGAAGTCCCAACTACTGGGGAGGCTGAGGCAGGAGGATTGCTTGAGCCCAGGAGGTTGAGGTTACAATTATGTGTGATCATGCCACTATGCTGCAGTCCGGGCAACAGAGTGAGACCCTGTCTCAAACAAAACAGGAAATAATCCCATATTATCATCCAATCCAAGTTTTGTTTATATTCCAATAATGGCTCAAGAATCCAATCCAGGATTGTGTTGCATGTAGTTGTCATGTTTCTTTAGCCTCCTGTTGATTCCTCAGCTTCTCCTTGTCTTTCATGATGTGAATTTTATATAGAGATAGTCTGTCTACCTCTGGATATATCTACACAGTTATGTTAAAAACTATGAATGTCTAAGAATGTCTCTGCAGTCTTAACAGCACTGAGTTCATCCTGGCTCTCCCCCTTCCCCTGTGTATAAATCACTTCTCCACCAGTCCCATTAACTTCAATATATTATATTTGCTAATTTTCCCAAATCTTTCCTGTGCAATCAAACTCTATAAGGCTTCAATAGGGAGCAGGGGAAAGGAAAAAGGAGACAGCAATGCTTTAAAGAAGATTTGGTCAAACCAAGATCTTTTGACCTTCCCTATCTCATCCATCTTTTGGGAGTGTGAGTTTTGAGGAATGATTGAAGGGAGTAGATGTTATTTAATATAGTGGTTCTTAACTTTGGCTGCATATTAGAATCATCTGGGAGCCATTTTCAAATACCCATGCTCAATCTACACCCCAGATCAATTAGTCTCCAGGGATGAAACGTAGTCATCAATATTTTTATAAACCCCCCTCCCCCCCCAGGGTGATTCCCTTGTCACCCAAGATTAAGAACTAACAAAGCAGGTTTCTACTTTCATGAAGTAGGGCATCATAGATCATTGACTCAAATGGTGTTTTTCAAAAGTAGTATATTGATAAATAGAGGATAATGTTAATTCTGGAAATGGTTGTGATGCAGGGCAGGCAAGCCTCAAACTTGGGGCTTAGCCCAGGAGGATTCTTGGCTTCATCCAGGAAAGAATTCAAGGGTGAGCTCATGGTGGTAAACAGCAGTCTTTTGGTAAATAGTGTTGCCCCTTGCAGAGCAGGGCTAATTCATACACGGTGTGCCCAGAGTTGGCAAAGTATTGGCTCTTGGCAACTGCATTTATACCCAGTTAAACTCACTTTCGGTCACATGCAAATTAAGGGGAGGCTCAATACAAATTGAGGGGCAGATTATTTAGAACTTTCTAGGAAAGGAGTGGTAACTTCTGGGTCATTGCCATGGAAAGGGGTGGTAATTTCCAGGTTGTTGCCATGGCATTTGTAACTGTCATGGCACTATGGGAGTGGCTTATGCTAATAAACAATGAAGACAGCTGAGGATCGCTTTTCTTGACATCTCCTTGTCCCTGCTGGTTTCTTCACTTTTTACTGCCTGGACCAGATCCTGTTCTGGTCAGCAGGGTGGTGACCAGAAAACAAGTTCTTCTGGTCTCCTACCTCAGTTGCAAGAAACTCAAAACTCCATTTTAAACTTTAAGCCTTATAGTATCTTCTGTTTGAGTATTTAACAAGCATTTGTTTTTCCTTGAAAATATATCCAGCCAAGACCTTATGAAGAATGTGAGCTAAAATTACGGTATTTTACTTGCCTGGAAACAGTACTTCTCAAATGTTAATGTGCATACAGGTGACTTGAGTATCTCATTAAAACGTAGATTTAGATTGTGTCTCCGGGGTGAGGTCTGAGAAACTTCATTTCTATAAAGTGATGTCAAAGTTACTGGTCTGGGGACCATGTTTTGGTGGCAAGTTGCAAGACCCCAGAGTTTCTACCCTAATGATTTATTCAATGACTCTTAGAGGTGTTATCAATCTGTTTTTAAAGCCAGGGACTTTGCCCAGGGGAAAAATGCATGCATACACACACACACACACACACACACACACACACACCCCTATGCGTACAATTTCGGAGCAATTGTGCATTCATTCAGTGAATACCTATTTAATGCACACCAAGTATCTTTCCGGGTGCTAATGACAGAGTGAGGAACAAGATAGCAAAGATGCCTGCCTTGTGGAGCTTTCATTATACTGTTGGTTGGAAGACAAACTAAGTAAATAAAGCAGGCATGTCAGCTATGATACATGCCTTAGGACAGTGTACTGCAGCCACGTGATACAGGGATTGGGTGGAGGAAGGTTTGAAGTGGCTCTTTTAAATTGTTCTGTCTGTGGAGGCATCTTGGCCAGGAACCTGAATGCCAGTATCTGGGGAAAAGCATCCTAGGTGGTAAGTTCGGAGCACCTGAAGCAGAAATGAGTTTAGTGTTTTCAAAAGTTAGAGAGAACTGGTATGGGAGGAACAGAGCGAGTGGAGGAGAGAGCAAAAGGTGAAATCCCAGAGGTAGAAGGGCCTGATCCTACAGGAGCTTGTAGGCCATGACAAGGAGGCTGCCTGCACTTGACCGAGCCCATGCTTAGATCCTAAAGGAGCCATGGCCTCCATTTAAGAACTCCAGACAGAGAATCTAATTTAGGAACTGAAGGGGAAAAATGTCATTTAGGGATTGAATGTTTGGAGAATACGTCTGAAAATCTAGAGGAACGAGTATGAAAACTGGGGCCAGAACCCTCACTGAACCCCCAGTGGCCCCAGTGTCTTTGGCATAACTGCCAGACACAGCTACTTGCTGAATTATTGCAAGTTCAAATTCCTATTTGCATGCAATTTTACCAAGAAGCCTCTAGCTTCTGTCCTGTGTCTGCCACTTTAGAATGCCAGAACACCACAAGCTTTCCCAGGCTGCACTCAGAAGGCTTGGTTATCTCATTACTTTATTTCTTCACCTTCAAATGTCCAATAATGGCTTCACGTTAGCATTAGCCTGATTTTCTAAGTTGTGATAGCTTGAATGTCACATTTTGCTTTTTGTTTTTAATCATTTTATCCTGCTTTTGGGGATCTGTATATGCTCCCCAATGGGGAGTTTTTGCAGTCCCCATTTCTTCAAGTGCCTCTTAAATGACAATTGTCTTTTAACTCTCCTATGCTGAGGGCTGGTTTGAGACTGGAACAGTCCATAAAACAGCTGCGCAATCAGGATTAAGAAGATTTAATCAATGCTTTAGTTTTCCCAGAAATTTAGACCTTTAGATTGATTACAGGGGAAAAATTGGAAAGGCATTCTGCTTTCAAAAATAATATCGAATTCAATCTTTCCTTGATGTGAAACAGGAAATAAATGATTTATTCTAATTTGTCAATTCCAAGTTGACAACAATGAATTGAAATAGCATTGAACCATGATCCCTCTGGTAACCTTTAGATAGGATGGTTCAAAATGACCACTTTAGGACAGGTGCGGTGGCTCATGCCTGTAATCCCAGCATTCTGGGAGGCTGAGGAGGGCGGATCACTTGAGGTCAGGAGTTTGAGACCAGGCTGGCCAATATGGTGAAACCCCGTCTCTACTAAAAATACAAAAATTAGCTGGGCATGGTGGTGCACACCTGCCAGCCCAGCTACTTGGGAGGCTGAGGCAGCAGAATTGCTTGAACCCTGGAGACAGAGGGTGCAGTGAGCCGAGATTGCACCAGTGCACTCCATCCTGGGTGACAGAGCAATACTCCATCTCGGAAAAAAAAAAAAAAAAAAAAAGCAACAAAAAACAAAAAGACCACTCTGGCATTTGCTGTGCCTCAGTTTCCTTGTCTATAATGAAGGTATGAATAAAACAGACTTTCCAATCAGGACCAGCTATATAAAAGATCCTCCCTTGAAAGTCACACACACATACACACACAGCCACACACACACACTCACACACAGCCACACATACCCACACCCATACCCACACCAAAACTCTTTTACATACACACACAGATGCACTCAAACCAATACAACTCTATCACACACACACATATACCCAAAACAAAAAACCTTTTTATTATATTTTGCCTTACCCATTTATCCCTTGGGAAATTGTATTGCACAAAATTATTTAGTAAGTTAAATTCTTGTCCCTCATTTTATGAGGTTACGACTTTGGGGTTGGGGGAGAAGGCACTGCTCCGAAGTCACATCATCAACCAAGGTGGAGAAGGCATCCTGAGAGGATCTCTATTCTAGAAGCAATGGATAAGAACAGGGGAAGGGCCACCTTATGGGAGAGATGCCAGCCTCAAACACCCTATAAAAAGCAGTAACTTACTGTCTGTCTCTTCTAATAGAAAGCAACACTTGGGGCCAAAATATTTTTTTTAAATTTACTGCTATATCTTTAGTGCCCAGAACTATACCTGGCACAGTAAGTGCTCAGTAAATATTTGCTGAATAGACGGAGCTAGGGACTGGCGGTTCCACTTTGGTGCCTCTAGGAGTGCTCCTCTCCCCATGGGAAACATGCTCAGAAGCAGGAAGTTCCAGGTAACATAAACTTGTAACTTCACTCTCTTCTCTTTGACCTGTCACCCTTGAGCATTTGAGACTGAATTGCAAAAGTCTTAGAGAGAAGAGGTAGGGGAAAGATTGACCTATTTTTCCCAACCCACCCATCTCTTTCCCCACTGGTAGGGTCTAAATGGGGCATCAATTAGTATGTTAGAATTCATCTCTAGCCTGGGACAGGCATGCCTTCTAAGAATCCTATCATGAAAGATTTGTAAGCATAAGAATCTTTCATTTATCTATTACGTAAATCCAGATTTATTAATTGAATTTGTTTAAATCAAATTATTTGTGCTATAGATCTCACATTTTCAACAAATTCCTACAACTAGTATGTCTTTGCTCATAAGCTGAAGGAAAATTAGGGGTGAATTAAAACTAAAAATGGTTTGAAATTCTCATAGTCCTCTCAGCAAAGCCCTACTGATTGATACAATAGACCACTGCTAAAGCGGCTTTAACAATAGTGGACCATTTTGGATATTATCTGTGTATAGAAAGACACAGAGTTTGACTCTGTTTGGAAAATCAGACGCTAAATAGCCCCTGAAGCCGAGCAGCCTGTTATGAAAACGGAGGGGTGGTAGGCCCTTCTAATTGGCCAGGGTATTTACCCAGAGCTCTGGCTTTCACATAAAAGGCAGGAACCACTGAAGTCAGTCCCCGCTTCCAGTCAGAGTTCAAGTTAAAACAGAAAAAAGGAAGATGGCAAGAATATTGTTACTTTTCCTCCCGGGTCTTGTGGCTGTATGTGCTGTGCATGGAATATTTATGGACCGTCTAGCTTCCAAGAAGCTCTGTGCAGATGATGAGTGTGTCTGTAAGGACTTTTTTATGCTTTTCATTATCTTTCTATTACATAATTGAAAATATATCCACTAATAGCATAAAATCGAATTATACTTTGAAGTGAATCTTCTCCAATGTGTATGTTATCAGCTTTGTTTCTTCTGGTCTGCATGTTTGGTATCTTACTACGGAGAATTCACTTGGCTGAGTTTTGTTGCAGCTTTAATATCTTGGCTGTCTTCTTTCTCTTGGATAGACACCAGCTATGAACTGGGAATTATCAGTCACTCTGATTTTCTAGTTTTTCTAATATACATTGCCTTTTACTGTTATAAAATTCAGGAGCCTAAAATGTAATCATTTAAATTTTTTTTCTTCCAGATACTATTTCTCTGGCTAGTGCTCAAGAAGATTATAATGCCCCGGACTGTAGATTCATTAACGTTAAAAAAGGGCAGCAGATCTATGTGTACTCAAAGCTGGTAAAAGAAAATGGAGCTGGAGAATTTTGGGCTGGCAGTGTAAGATAATTTAAACACCTATTGACGAATATTGCTCTTAACCTTTCCTTGATTACCTACCTTCAACCTATTTTAATGCTTAATACTAGTTGTTAAGAACCATGTAGTGATTGTAGATGGAAATGCAAAAATTCAGGTATATTTGCTATTGCATTTTAAAGAAAGAAAGATCAATTTCGTAACAAAACCAAATGTAGGTTAATGTGATATTTTGGTAAAAAAAGAGTCAAATACATGGGGGCTTAAACATCCCAAAGAATTTGAATCTTATCCGAAAACGTCTGAGAAGATTTGCCAAGTAGAAGGCATGTGTGTTGGCAGTGAGTCTAAGTATCAATATTCTTTTAGGAAACTTTGCACCCTAATTAATTCGAAAGAATCAGCGTTCTTCAGTTAAAATATACAGGGGCGGTCCCTGGGGAGGGATGAAGCAGGGATGATTTTCTGTCCTCATCTGCAACCCTAAAGGTAAGTTCTAAATTAATGAAGGATTAAATTTAAAGCCATTTAAGTCTGTTCATTTGAATTGTTGAAAACTGAGAAATTTGCATCATTTAAAATAAGTGTCTACAGTACTTTAAAAAAATGTACTGTCTTTATATATTTATTTATGGGTTCAAAAAAGATTTCAGGCAACTCACAAGATTGCGTAAAATAAAGTCATGCTAAAGTAGCGAAATAAGACTGGGCCACTAAACAGTAGATGCACAATTCCTGCGGGTTAACTTAGTGCTCCAAGTAAACTTCGGATTTGCCGCAGCGCCCCCTGGACCCCGGAGTGAAAGGGAGGTATTGGCAGCTATGATTCTCACTATCAGCAAAGAGGACGCCTGCGAGTTTCTCAGAAGACACTCAGCATCAGCTTTTTCCTGATTGCTATTCTTCTGGGCACTTAGGTTTATGGTGATGGCCAGGACGAGATGGGAGTCGTGGGTTATTTCCCCAGGAACTTGGTCAAGGAACAGCGTGTGTACCAGGAAGCTACCAAGGAAGTTCCCACCACGGTAAGCATCTCAAAAGTGACTAGACAAGGACTCAGATCTTGGGGCAATGTAGGCCGGTGTTAAAAATGCATCATGCAACTTACAAGTTGTATAGAACAAAGCCTCCAACTTTCAGTGGCGACTTTTCTGAGATAATGAGGTTTGGGGGACCATTTATAACTACTGTCAAAGTTGAAAGATGAGTAAACTTTCTCTATACCACCCCCTTTTGTTTTATTTCAGTTTACTACTTTTTGTCTCATCTTTTTTCTATATTTTTTCAGCTTTATTGGGTTATAATTGACAAATAAAAATTGCATACATTTAATGCATACATTATGTTTTGATATACATTGTGAAATGATCATCACATTCAAGCTAGTTAACACATACATCACCTCACATAGTTACCTTTGTGTGTGTGTGTGTGTGTGTGTGTGAAAACATTAAGATCTGCCCTCTTAGTAAATTTCAAGTATACAATACAGTACCTCTTTTGTTTTAGATGCAAGTTGTCTTGCAAAGCAGTCTATGTAACAAATAAAGAAACCAAAGTCAGCACTGACTCTTACAGATGGTTTTCACTAAAGATAGGCTGAAAAAAAATTATTATGTTTTTGATCAAATCGAAATATTCTAGAACAATCTTTGAATGTCTTATTTTTGTGGTAAATAGATTCTATTTATGTATGAAATAAAGTTATACTCTTCCTAATGCCCTGGGGTCCTGTAAACTCAGGACAGAAATAAAAGATGCTTTCTGAGCTACTTTGCAAGGTGCTTGTTTTGAAGTGATTCTTCTGGAGCTAATTGTTGTGCTTCAAACACTGCTCATCCTACACAAATGGGACTCACTTGTCATCACTTCTTAGCATTATGCTGAAATCTGTCAGATAACTGCAAATTAAAGGTTCATTTTAGGACCTTCATTGTAAGTAGTTTTTGACTTAAAGTGGTAAATATTTCATATTTTTTGGGGGTCAACCTTTACTTACTTTAAATCCAAATTTCTCTGATTAGATATGACTTTAAATACAGAATCTACATCTGTTTTTTTAGCCTAGGCTATTTCGTTCAATCTTTTTTTGTTTTTGTTTTTTTCCAGGATATTGACTTCTTCTGCGAGTAATAAATTAGTTAAAACTGCAAATAGAAAGAAAACACCAAAAATAAAGAAAAGAGCAAAAGTGGCCAAAAAATGCATGTCTGTAATTTTGGACTGACGTTTTAAGAATTTGTTACCTTACAGAAGAGCAAGGGCTTAGGGGTTGGAGGTGGCAGATAAAAGAGGATTTTCAACTCAAATCTTGTTTCCTGCTGGCCTGGTCTGCCCACGAGCTAGAGCGGGGAAATGTTGAGCTCAAATGGGTAAATTGAGACCAGAAAATTATTTTTTCAACCTAGAGAATCTCCTCTTACAGGGGGATGCATATAACAGATCATGTATGTGTAGTTATTTCTAAGTAGTAATTCTTCCCAGCTCTTTGATTTGCCATATATAAAATAGGTGGGTCGTATGTCTTCCCTTTAGACATGATGTTTTCTACTCATTTGTCTCTCTGGCCAATTGAATTATTAATAAAAGGTCTGTATTATCAAAGAGTATTCTAGTATTTTTGTTACTTTTAATATTTGATGCCTTTTGGAGGTAAAGCTGTTGGGGGAAGAAGAGTTTTTGGACCCATAGATGTTTGGATGATGTCTCTAATTTGTCATTTAGAAAAATCTCAAAAATGATTTCAGTTGAATAACTTGCCTTCTAAATGATCAATTTACTTCTCCCCCAATTTTAAAGAAGTATGTGTATATTTAATAGGGGAAGGTAGTTTATGGAAATATTTTTAATGGAATAGTTTTCCCTTAATATGTATCCTTGCTGGATATTATTCAAGCTGCAAGTCATCAAAAGACCCAGAAAAAAAAAAGTCTGTAGGTTATTTTCTCTACTTCTATTTCAACTTTGAATTTCCTCTTCCTGTGCAAATTCCTCTAGTCAAGTGTGATATATCAAGAAATCTGAGGAGGATGCAGGTTTTGTGGTCCTGATGGGCCCACAAGTTTTTCTATATTTAACTGGAAATATGCTTTGATTTTGTGTTATTAATATAATTCTTTTGATGTAGTCATGAGTTTTTCTTTGTTTGCATATAATTAAAATGCCTCTACTTAATGTCACAATTCTGAGTTTTTTCTAAAACATTTTTCACCTTAGAGAATGAAAGTGTGGGGGAGTTGGGAATGAAGCTTGTTTTTCAGTTCTCTGTGATCTGGACATCCCCTAAGCATGAAGAAGAGAGCAGAAGAGGGCATTTAGGGTGAGCCACAGACTTGGCCCAGGGTCATTTTTTAGCTCTGTCAGCTGTGATTTTGGGTGAATATCTTTTTACCAAATTCTTATGTAGGTCGGTCAAGTAAAGTACCAAAATGCAAAACACAATAAAATAAAATACCAATGTTTATTTGTTTCTATTTTACTTTATTCCAAAGAGGTTTCAAGTAGCATCTAGGGCTCTCGACACAACTTTAGACTAAGAGGTATTTATCCTACTTCTGCTTCTATCTGCCTCTCACTTCCTGGCCTTTCCATTCCAGAAACACCCAGAACACCTGAGGTGCCCAGCAACCCCATTGCTCCCACCTGGCCTTAGGCACACAGCTTCACTCCCCATGCATGGGGCTTCCAGGGCAGAACTCCCTCCTTAACTCAGTCAGCTCCAACCCATCAAAACTGAGCTCATCCAGGAGTTGGAAGGTCATTGACTGATTTCTATCTTCTGGGGCCTATCTGCATTAAAAGAAAGCAAGCACTTGCAGGACTTTAAACATTCATCTGTCCTCTAAAAATGCAAATGGCCAACCCTGGACCAGCAGCAGCAGCAGGTGGTCCTCACCTGGGAGCTGGTTAGCAGGCAGAATCTCTGCCCACTGCATGCCTTCTGTGTCAAAATATGCATTTTTAACAATAACTCAGGGGGTTCCTGTGCTCATTAAAGATTGAGAAACACTGATTTTAGTTCCCTCTACTCATCTTACAGAAAAAGAAATAAACAAAAGGCTAGAGTATATAGGAGATACAGCAACTCTCTCCAAATTAAACAACAGGATTGCAACATTCCTATCAGTACTTTCCCAACCCTATCACAGCACTGTCTTGATTCTCCACTGATGTCTACCCAGAGAAAAGGGGGCAGAATGGTGCCAGGGTGAGAGTTTGTGGGCAGTGAGGCCTTTGGGACTCCTTTCCATTTGATGAATTGTTTTTCTCCCTTTCCCACTAAGAGAAAGGGCATCTTCACACCTCTAAAAGGTTGTCAACTGTTAACATAAAAAGAATTTTAGTCTAACCCTAACTTGTAGGCTTCCTTGATACCCCAAGCTAAATGATATATATCTATATCTCTCTCTATTTATCTATATTAAATACGTATATATTTTAAGCAGCCCAAGTCTTTGCCTTAGTTTATTAATCATGTACCAGGTAGTTGGGCCTGGCCACTTGAGTACCTGTGACCCAGCTCCATTGTGGAGAGTCCCCAGCTACGCAAACTCATTCTGTTTTAGCCAAGATTAAACAGAACAAGGGCGCTGCTACTGTTTATCTTTTAGTCTAAAGATAGTTAATTTCGTGTAGGAAGGGCTTAAGTTTTACTATGCAGCTCGTCCTGCCTCCTTGTGGGAGAGAAAGAAGACATTTAATCCTCCATCTCTGACCTCACAGAGTATGGGAAGTAAGACATCTACCTATAGAAGAATAAAGAACCATTGCAGAGCAGTGGATGTGGGGAGGAAAGGCAGGTAGGTTTCATAAGCCAGCTAGGGGCAAGTGGTAGACTTTGCCTACAGCAGAGCCCTTGCAAGGCATTACCAGGGCAGGATGAGGCAAGTTAAGAAACTGATCAGAGGTGAGAGGAGTCAGGGCATGGCACATGATAGTTGGCAACAAAATGAAATCATGTTGAAAGGAAATGCGTTGGGTGGCACTGGTGGCTCAGAAAAGCGAGGTGACGATAAAAGATCCCAGGGCATCTTGGAGCTTTAAAATAACTGGGCTGCCGTTTTCTAGCTGTGTATACTTAGATAAGGTTCTGACTATAACTGCAGGACCAGCCCAAACCGGACCCACTCTGTCGATAACAAAATGTTGAGTTGTCTTTTAAGTATAACAGAGCCCAAAACTGCAAGTCCTATTGCCTAGGCCTGCACAATACAAAAAGCTTTGACCTCTAACAATACTCAAAACCAACAAATCCTCCCTTTGGAGCCAAGAAGACCAGGACAGGACTGGAACATGAATGCCAGAACACTTTCAGAAGTGAGGGGTCTGTTGGCCCTAAAGATCTGGGGTTAAAATCCTCCTTAACATACCTTTCTGTAAATGGTAAAATTTAAAGCCCTCCAATCAGACCCAGCCAAGCCAACATTCCCAAATCCTTTCTCTTGCCCACTGTGATGGTTAATATTGAGTGTCAACTTGATTGGATTGAAGGGTGCAAAGTATTGTTCCTGGGTGTGTCTGCGAGAGTGTTGCCAAAGGAGATTAACATTTGAGTCAGTGGACTGGGAGAGGCAGACCCACCTTCAATCTGGGTGGGCACCATCTAATCAGCTGCCAGCATGGCTAGGATAAAAACAGGCAGAGGAACATGGAAGGACTAGACTGGCTGAATATTCCGGCTTTCATCTTCCTCTTGTGCTGGATGCTTCCTGCCGTCGAATGTTGGGCTCCAAGATCTTCAGCTTTTGAACTCTTGGACTTACACAAGTGGTTTGCCAAGGGCTCTTGGGCCGTCGGCCACAGACCGAAGACTGCACTGTCGGCTTCCCTACTTTTGAGGTTTTGGGACTCAAACTGGCTTTCTTGCTCCTCAGCTTGTAGATGGCCTATTGTGGGACTTCACTTTGTGATCACGTGTGCCAATTCTCCTAGTAAACTCCCCTTCATATACACATATACCCTATTAGTTCTGTCTTTTTAGAGAACCCTGACTAATATACCCACTGGCCCCCAGAATCTCATGTTCTTCTCACATTGCAAAATACAATAATCCCTTCTCAACAGTCTCCCCAAATTTTAACTCATCCCAATATTAACTCAAAGTCCAAAGCCCAAAGTCTCATCTGAGACTCAGGCCACATTCCTCCCATCTATGAGCCTGTAACATTAAAAAAAAAATTATTTACTTCCAAGCTACAACGGTGGTACAGGCATTTGGTAAAAATTCCCATTCTCAGAGGGAGAAATAGGCCAAAAGAAGAAGGCAGCAGACCCTACACAATTTTAAAACTCAGTAGGGCAGACTTTCAACCTTAAAGCTCCAAAATAATCCTTGACTCCATGTCCTGTATCCAAGGCACACTGGTGCCAGGGGTGGGCTCTCAAGGCCTTGGGCAGCTCCACCCCTGTGGTTTTGCAGGGTATAGCCCCCATGGATGCTTTCATGGGTTGAAGTTGAGTGCCTGTGGCTTTTTCAGGCTCAAGGTGCAAGCTGCTGTTGGCTCTATCACTCTGGGGTCTGGAGGGTGGTGGCCCCATTCCCACAGCTCCACTAGGCAGTGCTCCAGTAAGGACTCTGTGTGGGAGCTCCAACCCCATATCTCCTCTCAGCACTGCCCTAGTAGAGTTTCTCTGTGGGGCTCTGGTACTCCTGCAGCAGGCTTCTACCTGACCACCCAGGCTTTCTAGTAAATCCTTTAAAATCCAGGTAGAATCTCCCAAGCTTCCTTCACTCTTTTGCTCTGTGTATCTGTAAGCTTAATACCACATAGAAGCCACTAAGGCTTACAGCTTATGTCTTCTGGAGCAACAGCCCAAGCTGTATCTGGAGCCTTCTGAGCTGCAACTGGAGCTGGAGGAGCCAAGGTGCAGGCAGCAGCATCCTGAGGTGGCACAAGGCAGCAGTACCCTGGGCAAGGCCTCTGAAACCATTCTTTTTTCCTCCTAGGCCTCTGGGCCTGTGATGGGAAGGGCTGCCTCAAAGGTTCCTGAAAAGCCTTCAAGACTTTTTGCCTGTTGCCTTGACTATTAGCATTTGACTCCCTTTTAGTCATGCAATTCACTCTAGCAAGGGTTGCTTCCCAGCCTGCTTGGATTCCTTTCCTGAAAATGCTTGTTCCTTCTTTAAGAAATGGCCAGGCTGCAAATACTCCAAATTTCTACGTTCTACTTTCCTTTTAGTTATAAGTTCCAACTTTAAGTCAGTATTTTGCTTCCATCTGTGATTGCAGGTTGGTAGATATGGCAGCCATGCCATATCTTGAATGCTTTGCTGCTTAGCGATGTCTTCTGCCACGTACACCCTAGGTCATCATTTTTGAGTTTACTCTTCCACAAATCCCTAGGACATGGACACAGTGCAGCCAACTTCTTTGCTGGGATGTAACACAGATGTAACCTTTGCTCCAGTTCCCACTAAATTCCTAATTTCCATCTGAGACCTTGTCAGTTTGGCCTTCGCTGTCCATATTTCTATCTACATTTTGGTCAGAACTATTTAACCAGTATCCAAGAAGTTCTAAATTTTCTCTCATCTTCCTGTCTTCATCTGAGCCCTCCAAACTCTACCAATCTCTGCCTGTTACCCAGTTCCAAAGCCACTTCCACATTTTCAGGTATTTTTATAGCAATTCCAGACTCCTTGGTACCAATTTTCTGTGTTAGTCCATTTTGCATTGCTATAAAGAAGTATCGGAGACTGGATAATTCATAAAGAAAAGAGGTTTTTTTGGCTCCTGATTCTGCAGGCTATATAGGAAGCATGGCACTGGCATCTGCTTGGCTTCTGGTGAGGCCTCAAGAAGCTGGTACTCAGGTGGAAAGTGAAAGGAGGGCAAGCATGTCATACAGCCAGAGAGGGAGCAAGAGAGAGGAGAGGGGAGGAGGTGCCAGGCTTTTTAAAACAACCAGCTCTCACACAAACAAATAGAGCCAGAACTCACTCATTACCTTGGGGAGGGCACCAAGCCATTCATGAATAATCCACCCCCATGACCCAAACACCTCCCACCAGGCCCCGCCTCCAACATTGTGGATTACATTTAAACATGAGATTTGGAGGGGACAAACATCAAACCATATCACCATCTTAGCAAGGATCACCATCTTAGCAAGGATGGTGATATGGTTTGGATGTTTGTCTTCTCCAAAGCTCATGTAACAACATCTCTGGGGGAAACAATCTCCAAAAGAGAGTTTCTCACCACAGTGTAAGCACCTTGAGTTTCCATAGCTTGATGACAATTGCTATGAGGACAGAAGTGTATTCTGTCCCTCTGCTTTCTTGATGCTAGAAGTCCAAGTCTCTGGTTAGAAATTTTGAACCTCACTCTGATAAGAGTCTTGTGCAAGATCCAAAGCACAGTGAAGACAGAATGCCTCCATAGACCACAACAGGTGCCCATCTGGAGACTGAGGTACTGTGGCTTTTACTCCTTTGTATTAGTCTGTTCTCACGCTGTTAATAAAGGCATACCTGAGGCTGGGTAATACATAAAGAAAAAAGGTTTAATTGACTCACAGTTTCACACGGCTGGGGAGGCCTCAGGAAGTTTACAATCATGGTGGAAGGGGAAGCAAACATGTCCTTTTTCACATGGCAGCAGGAGAGAGAATGAGAGCCGAACAAAGGGGGAAGTCCCTTATAAAAGCCTTATAAAATCATCAGATCTCATGAGCTAGCGAGAACTCACTCACTATCACAAGAACAGTATGGAGGAAACTGCCTCCATGATTCAATTATCTCCACCTAGTCCCGCCCTTGATGTGTGGGGATTATTACAATTCAAGGTGAGATTTTGGGTGGGGACACAGCCGAACCATATCATCCTCTAAAAAAGTATACATGGGTGGGGGATGCATGCCAATGAGAAGTTTATTCTGGATAGATTACGAGATTGCGTGATTTTATATTGGATACAACTTTGTTAAGTAATCCTATAATAAATACGAGTGATTTGAATAGGCTATGTTTTACTGGTTTCCTTATATTACGTAAATGTCAGTGGAATACATGAAATGGGGATCATTATAGGTCTCAGAACTTCAGGAATTTTTCCACATTGTGAGGAATGATGGCTCAGGCTTCTTTTGTTTGTGGGACCATGTTCAACTAACCACTTGCTTACCAATTCACTTATCTAAAAAATGGGTAATGCCTTTGGAGGGTAACTATCTTTGGGATAATTGTGAGCATTAAGTTAGATACTGTATGCAAAATCACCCAGCACACTACACAGTACACGGTTGTATGTAATAAATGGTAGTAAAATTAAACTTTAAAATGAGAGGGTTTTAAAACATTTTGAAATGTTTGAAGAACTAGACTTCTTTTTAGTGAATTAGAAGTATATCTTGAGCATCTTTTCCTTCTAGAACGCTCTTGCTTTTCTCCACAGTTTTTTTCTGAAATGGTCTGCAAGGCATGTTACTAATACTTTGCATAACAGTGAAAACTCTCTTTCTCTCTCTCTCTCTGTTTCTTGACAAATGTTATTCTTAATGTCTGGGTGGGCACTAGGCAAAAGAGATCAAACCAGGAAGGTCTTGTTCTCTTATATGCTCCCATGTTCCTACCTTAAGTCCTTCTCTCCCTCAGTCTCTTGGATCCTGGAATGAATAACATTGCAAATGGCAGGAGGCCATTCTACTCTCCCTGCTGTCCTACACCCAGCCAATGGTGACTTCACTCGACTTTAGCCAATTCTGTGAGCACTTGTCCTTGGGATGACTAATACAAAAGTGGCCAGTGATCCTTTTGAATAAAACATTTATAGTGCTGTAGAAATTATTAATAATGACCTAGTTTATGGGTCTTTACATCTGCAGAACACCTCATTTTCAGTGTATGGGCTTTTGAGTTCCCTTTCTTGGCTACTTCATGGAAACAAACCTTCAGGAAATAGCAGGAAAGAGCAATTTAAGGCAGGGCTTCGATTACCTGCTGAAAGCCACTTAAGCTCCTCCCTGAAGACTGGGCAGCATATTGTTGCTGTAATAGCACTCCTTTTGTTAAAAGTTATATCTCTTTTTCAAGGGGCATGTGGTTGAAACTGCTACTTTTGCTTTCTGTAAAACTGTAAGAGGTAAGTCAGAAATCAGAATCCCCATCAGATATTAAGATTAGAAACCAATCCTTTAAATGCCTGGCCAGGAATTCATAAGATCCTTTCTGAAGCAGGCCTAGCAAGACTTTTTTCAGAATTGCTGTGTGAAATGGCAAAATGAAATGGAATAACTGAAGTAATTGTTGGAATTGTCAGTAGAGTTTTACCAGAAACATTTGGGTTATTGTAGTCACCATCCCCCTACAATCCCTCCTTCCCACTCCTGAACTGCTTTTGTGAAGACATAGTCTGTGTGAAAAATATTTGAGTCACAGATGACTTAGTTCATTGTTCACAATGAACATTGTGACTAAATTTAGCAGCAGTTTTTGTGCAGTAAACTTTTAGAACACCATGGCGTATTTCCTAAGCTTAGAAGATGAGAGTGTCATTCTCTCTAGCATCACCCACTTCTGACCTCAGATAAATGGGGCCCATCACTGCTTCTAAGGTTTATTGGCTGAGGGGATGTGAATATCCTCAGGGATCAGGTTTAGTACAGGGAAATGTTTAGCTTATTCATGTAGTATTTAAACTAATCTCTGGAGGAAGTGGGTATTTCTGCTATGAGTGGAGAGAAGAAATAAGATCAAATGCACTGGGAAAAAAATCTCATTTCTTCAACCATCATCCTCATCTATCTGAAAATGGTGGAAAAAATAAGAAAAAAGCTAATAATCTTCCTTATGATACCACTGAAACACAATTTCACCACATAAAGGTCTTCTGGGCTGCATCCCCTGCAAATACCATAGTATATCAGTAACTTAATCAGAAAAATGATATATTGATCCACACACTTTATATAATCTACCCTCTATGTAATCTAGCCCATTATTAACAAAGAGAATGCTCCCTGTCTTTTGATTTAAATATTTTTCTAAATGGAAATTACTTTTCTGTCACACGTGAGCAATTGTTTTAATCATTTTTCTCAAGCGCACGCTATGCTAAAGTCAGCATGTTGTGGGGGTAAAAAATTAGGGTAGTGCTGCTAATACCCCACCAATTCTCCCTCCTTCCATCTCTTCCAACTCTCCCTCCCTTTTCTCTATTCACTTCAGCTTATGAATTTACAATGGCCAAATGAATCAGTTGAGATGAGAATGCTGATTTGCTTGAGCAATGCTATGTTGAACTGGGAAAAAAAAAATAAAAAGCCAATGTTGGGGCTTAGGTTTCTACAAACCAAAGGCAGAAATCCTGAGTCACAGCCAGGTTTTTCCCCCGTGAAACACCCACCCAGGTGTGCACCCTACCCTCTCACTGGATCCATTCATGGCTTGTCAGATCTCTTCCAGCTCCTTCGCCTCCCTTGCCCCTCATGACTCTGAAATAATTTAAGGATCTTTTTATCTGCTCCTAGATCTTTCCCTGGGCTTTAAATTACTACTCTTAGTGCTGCTACAAATGGATTAGCAGACAGATTCAAGCCTGGATTCCCAGGAACCGCAAGCAGACACATAGGTTTCTGCAAACCACTTTAGCCAATGTTGCGATGGACAGACACGGAGAGGTCAGCTGAGCCTGCTGAGGCCCAGGAATAGACTTGCAATACCGGTCTGTCCTGCAGGAAAATGCCAAGGGGCACGGAGGCTACTCTAGGTAATATGTGTTCCCAAATCCCACGGTTACCTGAAGCAGCCAGGTAGACGACCATGGGGGAAAAAAATCAAAAGTTTTGAGCATCAAGTTTAAACCAGTGTCTTGGGTCAGATTCCCCAGAAGCAGACCCTGTAATGAGGATTTACGTACAATGATTTGTCAAATAATGACTCCCAGGGAAAATAGGTAAGGCAGAGAGGGACTGCAGGACACGGAAGGGGAGGAATCTCAGACAAGCTGCAATCTCAGGCAAGGTCCTACAGTGGCTGGTTGGTGCCTGATCCCACAGGGGCCTCTGGGAGCTGGAAAGTTACATCTCAGAGTTGCCTGGACCTAAGGAGAGGAAGCTGAGCTTTCTTGTGGCCTGTCAGTTATGGATTCAGGGTTTTGGTGAGAAAGCATAATTTTTAGGCAGTTTTGCATATAGATAAAGAGGTCTCAAGGCAGCTGGAAGTTCTGGCATTGGCAATAAATACCACTGAAGCCAGGAGGTGTGTGAAAACACTACAATGGCATTCAAGGGCATTTGGGTGTTGCATTGACTTTACTAGCTCCGCCCAAGGTGGCTTTTCATTTCATTTCATTTCGTCCTTTCACAATCTAGTCCCTGCCACAACCTCTGTGGGTCGGGTCGCTAATACAGCCTCACATTTTCTCCTTGATTTGCTTCTGCTGAAACTTTCTGCTGTGCAAGTTAGTCTTAAGTGAGAAGCTTTGGTGGGACAAGGATGACCTCCAGTGGTCAGTTTGAGATCTGGCATCCAGAGAGACATTTCTGGACTAGAATCAACAACCCAGGGTGTGAGTGGTTCTCAACAGCATTTGGAATTGTCACTGTCAGGGCTGCCTTCTCAGGTACTCTCCATACTCCCCCTCACTCCCAGCACACACGAATTTAAAATCTGCTTGACACATGGCATAGATATGGGTATTAATATGCCTTTATTGCTAACCTTATAGTCACTTTGATTGATTCTGAAAATACACATACTAGGGGAAAGCTGACATTTCACTTTCAAACCTACTTGTATGTTTGTTTTGATATGGAGCCCTGCAGAGTTTGTAGATAGTTTTAGTTGATTTAATCCATTTATAGAAAAGCAGCAATAGCACCTTGAGCTCAGAGAGTAGAAACTTCCTAGAAAACAATTAACACAACCTGTAGTTCCCTCCAGGGGCACCATGGGGTGGCTGGAAGGCACAGAACCTGGTGTCTCAAGTCATTCACTCTAGGAGCAGGAATTTGAAGCCAGATAACCTGGCTTCAAGACCCACAACCTGTCCACAACACCCTGCCAGAATATGATTAAACAAACGTAAATCTGGGTTTCTACTTCGTCTAACAGGGTGGTTCTCAACTCAGGGCTACTTTGACCTCTCATTCCTCCCCTCTTCCCCTCTCCCCAGGGTCATTTGGTGATGTCCAAGGACATTTTTGCTTGTTCCAACTGAAGGGGATCACTACTGGCATCTAGTGGGTAAAGGCCAAGGATGTTGCTAAACAACCTACAAGCACAATACAGCTCCTCACAAAGAATAATCAGGACCCAAACGACAATGTGCCAAGGTTAGGAAACCCTACTCTAAGAGATGATATTAATCAATAGGTGAATTTTGAAAGAATGAAGAATGATGAATGCTGGAGGACCTAAACAATTATCTGGGTGTGCATTTGTTTTCTAAGTCCATTCTGGGGCATATTTGCTCACTAACAAGCCACTGGGTAGAGCTGGTACCTGAAAAATAGGTTTGTTCAGGCTTATCCTGGCACACATCTCATCACACTGGCCAGAGCTGTCAAGACAGAACCTTCATGCTGCTTGTTGCAAATGAGCCCTGGTGATTCCCTTTCTCCATGATTTTAAGCACGTTCCTTTTGCTTCATGCTTGAGTTGTGCACATCCTGGCTCCTGATTTAGCATTTCACCAAATGCCCTTCATGTGCTCCAGCAAGCCTCCCAGTGTGAAGGGTTGACACATGATGGGGTCTGAAGGCTTATTTTCATTTCTTCTTGGGTCTGTTTTCTGTCTCCTCTAGGAGATTGCTTAATTGCTTTTCAAACAGCTATCATGTGCTCCTAGCTTTACAGCTTCTTCCCAAAGATGATTACAACATCTTATTATTTTTCAAGTAAAAATAGTGCTTCTTTACCCCTCTGTAATGTATGCAGTGTCAGTTTCAATAGCACCAGCTGTCTCTCCCCAACATGGATCTCTTTTTTTCTTTATTTCCCCACCTTTGCTATTGTCATCCTGTTTAACCTTTCTCAGAAGAGCTTCCTAGGCACACAATTATATTTATAGAGTCTCTGTGCATCTGTGGATACAATTAAAATTTAAACACTGCATATTTAGTCTAATGTTGACACTATTCATTTTGTAGAGAAAAATTTATTTAAGCGTTAATAACTAGATGTGCAAAGTACTTTCCAGTGCATCAATTCTAAGACAGGGAGAAAGAGATCATGCAGTTCTCATCTATTAGAATTGTGAGTTTGTTTGAAATATATGTGTAATTGGAGACCCAAAGCCTCATTTCAAACGTGCTACTTTATCTCATATTCCAAGCATCCGTGAACGTAGATTTTTGAATGAATCCTAAACTTAATCCCTGGTCTAGGCCAGCCTGTTACTGGTTTTGAGTTTGAATAGGGCTTGCGTGACATTTTTTTGATGTCGCTATCAAATTTAAGTTTACAATAAATAAAATATTCCCCGCCCTTCTCCCAAAAACCTCCCACCCTACATTTTTCAAAATAGACAATCTGAACTAAGAAAGTAAAAGATGGCTAAAATACATACCAGGGATTGGAAGTCGGTTTGATCACCCCAAACCCTGCACTCTCTGCCTTCACTGCTCCTGAGACCTGCCCAGGGAGGGGCATCCACAAGGTGAAAGAACCCAGTGGGCTGCAAACTGTCACCTTAATTAACCATTAGGTAAGCACCCAAAGATGCCAGCATCTCCCAAAAAAGGGCTTCTGTGGCATAGGCTGGACTCGATGATGGGGCTCAGCCTGGGAAGTAGACATGAGGTTTTCTTCTTCCGGCTTCCTTGAATCTAAGTCACCTGGTCTGTGAAACAGGATTCAGCTAGCCATTTAGACCAATGGCTGATGCTGTCAACTACAGATGGAGAAACTAAAGCAATAGAGAGGAAGAAGATTAGGTGCTATTGATACCTGGTCCACACCTCCCACATCTCTTTGTCTGATGGCATTTATGGTCATCGGAGTTTGCTCTATTGTTTCATGGCAGTTTGGAAGTGCAGGCAATGAACACTCCCCTGGGAGGGCTCTTAAGCAATGATTGACAGGGGTTGGTGGATAATACTATATTATCACACTCCACCCTGTGAGGGGATACCTCTTAGGTGTGCAGTCTTCTCTGTCTCCCAGAGGTCTGGAGTGAATTGAGCTTCAGGGACCCACAGAGATGGCTTTGCTGATAACACATCCACCCTTTGTGGCTTTTTTCTCTTCCCTGCCTCACTTTGCCACTCTCCTACTGATGTTTCTTGGAATCACCTCCCAAATACATTATTTGTACTCAGATCCTTATTTCAGTGTCTGCTTCTTGGGGAAGCCTGTACTAAGACCAAATGTATGACTGATTCTGTCCTTAATAGGCAGATCCTGTCCGAAGCTGCTGAAAGCATGGAGCATGGGAAGCACCTGGGAAGAACACCTGGCACTCAAAAGCACAGGAGGTGAAAGAAATGTGTCGACCTAGCTGCATGCCCTCTCAGCCCTGTAGTGTCCACCTGCTATGGTTTAGATGTTTGTTCTCACAAAACCTCAAGTTGAAATTTGATCCCCAGTATTGGAGGTGGGGCTTAAAGGGAGGTGTTTTGGTCATGGGGGCAGGTCGTACATGAATAGACTAATCCCCTCCTTTGGCTGGGGGAGCAAGTGAGTTTTCATTCTATTAGTTTCTGAGAGAGCTGGTTGATGAAAAGAGCCTGGCACCTCCCCTCTTCATCTTTCTTTCTCTCTCACCATGTGATTTCTCTGCACATAGTGACCCCGTTTCACCTTCTGCCATGAGCGGAAGCAGCCCTAGGCTCTCACCAGATGCAGACACCCGACCTGGAACTTTCCAGTCACCAGAATCATGAGCCAAACAAACCCTCTTTCTTTATAACCTAGCCTCAAGTATTCCTTTATAGGAACACTAAACAGAGTGAGACACTACCCACTAGTGGAACTTGGCCCATGAGTTTCTCAGATTCTGATCAACAGGGTTTCCAATTCTTTCTTCACTGGGGAAGTGACAGTGGAAAGCACAGTAGTAAAATAATTGCAAAATTTATTTTCAGGTTTCCATTTCACACTCCACACTCCAAATAAAAGAATAAACCTGAAAAAAATGTTTCTCCTCGCTATAGTTCAGGTTTATCCCAGGCCACTTCCACTTCAGAGTAGCAGACACTTCAAGCTGCCCTGGGTCAGAACTCTCTGAAAGCTTCCTTGCAGGAAGAAGAAATACTATTTGTCTCTATTTCATATTCAAAGCTTCTTACCATTCCCAGCTACCCGTCACTTTCAAATTCATCAAGCTAGGACTGACTATTCAAACAAGACAGTTCTTTAATTCCTCACTTTCTGGTAGGAACATGACTCAGAGCTACGAAAACCTTGTAGTACAGGCTTTTGGGTGCATTTTATTAAAAGGTAAGATTATGCTCGAAGCAAAGGTTAGGCAAACATTTGCTTAATGCCTTAGAACTCAACAAAGAGGGAACATTTTCTCAAGTCAGGAAGCTGAATAAAATGGCTGCTAGGTTGAGAAAGGTCTTTACTTAAAGGTCAAACTAAAATATAATGGGAAAGAAAAATAGTTTAAAATAGTTTTTTTTTTTTTAAAGGGAGACTGGCGGTTCTAAGTGGAGATTTGCTTCTTCTTTCAAAATTTCAAAAATTCATATGTCAGTTTTGAAACACAATTATTCTTAAAAACAAATACATAATTGAAGCAGTGCCACTAAATTGGCCCCCAGCGCAGCCTCCAATTTAAACAGGAGGCAAGTTCTCAAGCATTTGGAGGTGCCAGCCGCCCTCCTTCCCAGCAAGACCTAACCAGCTCCTTCACAGCACCTGGCTTCTCCAGGCAGCTCCATGTTCCAGATTGCCAGACTGTGCCCTGTTTGCTGCCATTTCACCCTTTCCATCAGATCCCATTTCCCAAGGACACAACTGGGTTGGGAAATGCAGCAGCAACTCGAACTTTTTCTGGGGCCAGAAACATTACATTTCACAGATGCAGCTAGCACAGTGCCTTTCTGCCACAGGGAGGAATTGTGGGGCTGGCAGGGAGCTGGGTGCAACACCCAGGTCTGGGAAGCTTCTCAATTTTCTGGAAGCCCCACATGTAGGAGGCCACCAAGATTTCGAGCAAGCACCAGGCAATACATTCTTGTTTCATGGTCAAATGAAGAGTTGGGGATGCTCTTTTTTTCCCAAGCTCTTAACGACGCTCTCTAAATTTCAGCAAATTTTCTCATCCAAATCTGACTTAATCAAACCCTCTCAGGAACTTCTTTGTACTTGTTATATTGTGTAGAAGTGACATTTTGAATATCTGGATTTGATAGACGTTGTTGCATCTGTGAGATGTATGGAAGGTAGATTAATTCTCCTAGATACATGGGTACTAGTTGTACCCATATATTTTGAAACACTTCTTTACTAGTTGGTAAATAGTTATTTCCCTGAAGCCCCCAAGAGTGTTCCTTCACTGCCACACCTGCCTCATAAGTCCCTCCCCTGTTATCACAAGGACCTCAAACAGTTAGAGGGTGAATGCCCGGAAGAGCATCTGTCCTTCAGGACTCTGCTCTGTTCTAATGGGCTGGTGCCTGCTCTCTCTCTGTTGTACTAATTCAGTGAGACTGTGCTTCCTTCTCTCTGGGATCTGGTTCTTCACGACCTCACTGCTTTGGTAGCTCTCTGAAAGCACAAACATATTCATATATTTTGTGCAGCTTTTCTGTTTTCTCTTATTGAGAGAGTTGGTAAGTCATAAGCCAGTCTATCACCACTGGCAGCTGGAACCATCAGTGTATTATGTGAAACAGATGTGTCTCTACGGGTTAAGAGTTTGATTACTTGCAGCCAAATGAATTCTTAACTGTTAAGCTTGTTACGGCCAGGACTGTGCTATGTGTGGATCTATGCTATGTTGATGTGTGTAACGACTTGGGTGTATGATCTAAAGGAAAGAGACTGAGCAAGCTGCCTTGATCAGAGAAGAGAACTATAACAAGCAGACTCCAGAACAAAGTAAATACTTAGGGTAATCAGAGAAGGATAATTTGGATTTCTTCATTGAGAAACAAAAGGCTAAGAGATCCATAAAGTATACTAACAGGATAAAACGGTTATTAGAGAGAAAGGTTTGGAAACTGCTGAATGGTAATATTTCTAAGTTAACAAATTGCTGAAACTCAAGAGGAAGTCATTTTGTTTTAGCTTTGCCATTAAGCACAAAGCCGAAACTTTTGGCACATGATTTAT
Organism: Homo sapiens; assembly: GCF_000001405.40. NCBI lineage: Eukaryota > Metazoa > Chordata > Mammalia > Primates > Hominidae > Homo > Homo sapiens. Next base: position 16,767,209 of record NC_000020.11, read on the forward strand.
AACACTCAGAGCTCTGCAGATTTTATTAAAAGTATTAAATAAAGCCTGAAACCTCCCAAGGTGTCCCACAGCCTGCAATATGGAGAGATAAAGGGCTTTTTCCATGGTCAGACATTAGGCATGGGTATAAGTGATTAAAGGAGACACACAGTTAAAATGCTTATGAACGCACACATACACAGGTATTTGGTAGGAATAGCCTGTCTAAATCTCATGCCTTCTGTGACACATTGAATTTTCCAAATATGGCCCTATCAGCATGTTCCATCACCCATGTTCCTTTTCTTGGCACTGGGTGGGCCTGTGACTAGGTGAACAGGATACTGTGTGACTTCTAAGAATAAAAGTCCTCGGAGCCATACAACTTTCAGTAGCCCTCTTGGAACTCTTGACCTTGGATCCTGCCACCCACCACATGGAAAGGCCACTATAGGCTGTTCTGGCCACAGGCCTTATCTGAGGTCCTAGATGACAGCTCACATTGGCCACCCATTATCTATACCATCTGCAGCAGCCATATGAGTGAGACTGCAGAAGATCCCTGCCCCAGTCTTTGAGCATGCCACATGGAGCTGAGATGAGCTGTCCCCATTGACAAAACTGCTTTTTCAGATTCATAGGGAAAATACATGCTTTAAACCACTAAGTTTAGGAGTGGTTTTTCATGCAGCAACAGCTAACTCCTCTTCCCTATATCTGAGTGTAATGCTTATGAGAGTTGCTGAGATATCGCTTAAGACAGAGAAAGAACCTGGAGAGACATAGAGTGTACCAGGAACATTAGCTGATCCAACAAACATTAAAGGCAAAGCTCTGGCTTAATAAAGCCTCTATCTAGATCTGGCATGAGGTCTTTCCTTGTGGAGATGATTGGCAGAAATATAAAGGCAGTTCTGGCCCCAACCTTTAAATGATACTGGTTTTAAGGTCCCTGGGCATGGCTTTTTTGAGAAAAAAATTAAAGATAAAAGTAAAAGGGTATTTGACAGAGACCACCAATTGAATCCCCAAATTTGTTTTCTCCTTCATCCTTTAGTAGTAGTAAGTTCCTGAATTTTAGCAATGCACAGACCACTCAGAATCAAGATTCCTATTTCAGGTGCTTGTGATGCTTCATGCTGCTGCCCTGCAGTCCCTGTAACCTCATGGCAGCCCTGGACGACAAGTTCAGGCATCAGGCACACATGGAGTCTTTCTATTCTTTCTTCTCTGAAGCTGTGGAAGGACAAGTGTGGGCATAACCTGGACCTGTAGGGACAACTGCCCTCGGCCAATGGGGGATGGTAGTGGGTGGATAGAGGCCGCCACCTCCTCTTCCTTAGATGGACTAATTCTGAGCTGTGTTCTACAAGGTTCCCCAAAGGCCTCCTGTGGGATTGAACCCCAGATGCCTAGAGCAGCAAGAAGCTCAATGACACTCCCTCTACTGGCTTTTCTTCTTCCCTTGACTCACTTTTATTACTCAGTCACTTCTATATTTTGGAAGTATCTCCTAAGTAAAGTACTTGTGCCCAAGTCCTTATTTCAGGGTCTGCTTTTGAAGAAACCCCAACTAACACAATTATGTTTCCCAGCTTTTCTTGCAGCCAGATGTCACTATGAAACTCTGATCTGCTTCCCTGTGCTGTTACTCTATAAATTGTGGTGACTCTTTTGTTTCCCTTAGTCAACAGTGCTAGAATATGGCCTGTTGTCTCAACTTTCTTAGTATAGCAGTTAAGATTTTGAACTTTAGAGCCCTAGAGCCAGATTTCTAGGGTTCAAATCCTGGCTCAGCCACTTGTCAGCTGTACGATCTTTGGATGGCAGCTTAATCTTGCTGTGTCTCAGTTTCTTCATTTGTAAAGAAAATATATATAATGATGATAATAGTAATCTTGTTGTGGGTGCTAAGTAAGGAAACATATGTAAAGTAATGAGAAAAATGCCTGATAGATTGTAATAGTCTGTTTTGTGTTACTGTAATAGAATACTTAAGCTTGGGCAATTTATAAAGATAAGAGATTTATTCAGTTTATGATTCTGTAGGCTGGGAAGTTCAAGATTGGGCAGCTGCATCTGCTGAGGGCCTCAGGCTTCCACTCATGGAAGAAAGTGGAAGGGGAGCGGGCATGTGCAAAGAGATCACACAGTGAGAGAGGAAGCAAGAGAGACAAACCAAGGAAGCCAGAACCTTTTTAACAACCTGGTCTTTCAGGAACTAATTCATTCTTATGAGAACCAGAACTCACTTACCCCTGCAGGAGGGCATTACTCTATTCATGAGGGATCCACCTCCTACTAGGTCCCACCTTCCAACACTGCCACATTGGGATCAAATTTCAACATGAGTTTTGTTGGGGACAAGCCACATCCAAACCATAGCATAATGTTAAATCATAAAAATACTGTTATATATATTCTTAATAAAATATCTAACCACTTCTTGATAAATAAAAATGGTTGATTCCCATACTTGCGCCCAGGTCACCAAAGTGTGAATGATTTGGAGACCAAGGCAAGAACTCTGGCTCTGGAATCAAATCAGGAGAATGCCCTAATTGCGACTGTACTGCTATTGTTGAGAAGACAACTTGACAACTCACTGTTGGTGAAGTAACTTTCTGAAGACTTGAACCTCATGCATTTCCTCCAGAAACAGACACAAGTGGAGGACCCAAGGTTAGGGATGAGGAGCACATGATGATAGGGCCATGTGGCACCTCAGGGACTTGTTAATCGGTCATGTAATTAGGAGCCTCTTGCTTGGCTCTGCTTGCATTAATGTTTGTGTGGTTTGTAATGTCTGTGTAATGTGAGAAGAGACAAGCCAAATAGAAAATAAAGATGGTTTCTTGCTTCTCATGAGATGCTTATACCTTGTCCATAGGCACTGAGACACACTCATTCAGCTTAATTTTAAGAAGGCTTATTTCGTGTCTATATTAAACCCATCAAGAATCTCAGCTTAGGATCCCTAAACTGAAAATGAAACTGTCATTGGATAGATCTTTTAATCTTGGAAACAAATTTGGGGAAAGAAAAGCCTTTTTTTAAAGGCGGAATATGTTTTGAAAATGTTGCAGACAGGGCTACAAGACATGAACAAAGACTTAAGTATCAAAAGATAATATTCACTCTGTGTTCCTAGTTTGGACCACTCAGAAATTTCCATCTCAAGAGTGATTCCTTTTCAATGAGGAGTTGGAAAAAGCTAATTAGGTGAATGGGGTTCTATTGTTTTTGTCATGTGAAAATAATGGATTCATTTTTAATGCTTTTTTAATGATAATTAAAAACATAGCATACTTGCTAAGTGTCAGTACTGCCTTGCCTCATTGAATCTCAAATTGATCTGATGAGATGAACAATTTTATTTTCCCATGTTACAGATGAGAGTATTGAGGCATAGAGAGGTTAAGTAACTTAACAACAACACCAAACTAGGATTTGACTTTGGATAATCTGGCTGGAAGCTCACTATCATAACAATCATATTATGAGACAACTGTGGCTCAAAGTTTAAATTCGTTTATTATATTTCCTGAAAAATCTAAAATTTGGAATTTGGGACTTTAAAAAACTTTTATTCCTAACAGACACTGATGGTCTTCTAATTGTTTTCTCCTCTATGTTATATTCATTTTTACTCTCTGTTTTTCTAATTGAAATTAGAAATAAAATTCTTATAACTGAAAATTCACCATTTTAACTATTTTAAGAGTATAACTCAGTGGTTATACTCTTAAAATTTGTAATATTATGCAATCATTGCTAACATCTAATTCCAAAGAATATCACCCCAAAAGAAAACCCTGTGCCCATTAAATAGTAACTCTCCATTCTACCTTCCCCTTAGCCTCTGGCAAACTTAGTGTACTTTATGTCTCTACGGATTTGCCTATTCTGTACATTTTCTGAAAATGGAATTATATAATATGTGGCCTTTTTAGCCTGACTTTTTTTAGCTTAGCATAATATTTCAAAGGTTATCTATGTTGTAGTATATATTAGTACTTCATTTCTTCTTATGGCTTTATAATATTCCATTGTATGGATATGACATATTTTGTTATCCATTGATAAGTTATGGGGCATTGGCTGTTTCTACTTTTTGGCCATTATGAGTAATGCTTATGTAAACATTTATGTACAATTTTTATGTAGACATATGTTTTCACTTCTCTTGGATATACATATAGGAGTTGAATTGCTGAGTCATATGATGATACTATGTTTAACTTTCTGAGAAGCTGCCAGAATATTTTCTAGTGGCTGTACCATTTTATACCCTCATCAGCAATGTATAAGGGTTCCAGATCTTTTCTAACACTTATTATTTTGTCTTATAGCCATTCTAGTGGATGTAAGTGGTATTTCATTGTGATTTTGATTTGCATTTTCCTACTGACTAACAATGTTCAGAATATTTTCATGTGCTTATTGCTCATTTGTACATCTTCTTTGGAGAAATGTTTATTCAAGTCCCATTCTCATGTTTTAATGAAGTTGTTTGTCTTTTTGTAAGAGTTCTTTATACATTCTGGTTACTAGACCCTTATCAGATACACGGTTTGCAAATATTTTCTCCCTTTATGTGGATTGTCTTTAGACCTCTTAGTAGTGTTCTTTGATGCACAAGACATTTTAGTTTTAATGAGTCAAATTTATCTCTTTTCTTTGTTATTGCTTGTGCTTTGGTGTTGTAGTTAAGAAACCATGGCCTAATCCAAGGTCATAAAGATTTGCATCTATTTTTTCCTTCGAAGAGTTTTATCACTTTCATTGAGGTCTTTGATTCATTTTAGTTATTTTTTTATATGATGTTGAGGAAGGGGCTCAAATTCATTCTTTTCTATGTGGATATTCAGTTGTCCTAGAACCATTGTTGAAAAGAATAGTCTTTCCTCATGAAATGACTTTTGTATCCTTGTTGGAAATCACATGATGTATGGGTTTATTTCTGGATTCTTGATTTTATCCCATTGATACATATGTTTATCCTCATGCCAGTAACACATTTTTGTTTACCGTATCTTTGTAGTAAGTTTTGAAGCCAGAAAGTATGAGTCCTCCAACTTTATTCTTTTTTTTTCTTTTTTGAGATGGATTCTTGCTCTGTCACCCAGGCTGGAGTGCAGTGGTGTGATCTCGGCTCACTGCAACTTCCACCTCCCAGGTTCAAGTGACTCTACTGCCTCAACCTCCTGAGCATCTGGGACTATAGGCGCCCGCCACCACACCCGGTTAATTTTTTGTAACTTTAGTAGAGAAAGGGTTTCATCACGTTAGCCAGGATAGTCTCGATCTCCTGACCTCGTGATCCACCTGCCTCGGCCTCCCAAAGTTCTGGGATTACAGGTGTGAGCAACTGTGCCCAGCCCTTCCAACTTTATTCCTATTTTCAAACATTATTTTAGCTATTTGTATTATCCTATGATTTCATATAATACTTAGGATTAGCTTGTCCATTTCTATACAAAAGAAACCTGGAATTTTGATAGGAATTGAATTGAAAATATAGATAAGCTTGGGAAGTATTGCCATTTTAAGAATATTAAGTCTTTCAATCCAGGATTATGAGGCTTTTCTCCAAGTTGTTTAGGTCCTCTTTAATTTCTTCGGACAATATGTTGTTGTTTTGTTCTAAAGTTTTTGCAATTACTTTGTTACATTTATTCATAAGTACTTTATTTCTTTTGATGATATTGCAAATGGAATTTAAATTTTGTTTGTTCACTGCAAATATATAGAAATCAATATTTGAATATTGATCTTGCAACCTGCAACTTTGCCAAACTCACTGATGGTTTGGATATTTGTCCCCTCTACATCTCATGTTAAAATGTAATTCTCAGTGTTAGAAATGGAGCCTGGTGGGAGATAATTGGATCATCGAGGCAGATCCCTAATGAATTCTTTAACACCATCCCTTTGGTAATAAGTTAGTTCTTGCTCAGTTAGTTCATGTGAAATCTGATTGTTAAAAAGCATGTGGCACCTCCCGCCTCACTCTCTCTTTCTCCAGCTCTTATGATGTGATGCAACTCTTCCTCCTTTACCTTCTGCCATGATTGTAAGCTTCCTCAGACCCTCAGTAGAAACAGATGCTGGCACCATGCTTACTGTACACCCTGCAAAACTGTGAGCTAACTACACTTCTCTTCTTTATAAATTACCCAGTCTCAGGTATTCCTTTATAGTAAAGTCAATGGCCTAATACAGAAAACTAGTATTGAAGAGTGGGACATTGCTATGCAGATACCTGAAAATGTGGAAGCAGCTGTGGAACTGGGTAATGGACAGAGGTTCATAGAGTTTGGAGGGCTCAGAAGAAGACAGGAAGATGAGAGAAAGTTTGGAACTTTTTAGAGACTTGTTAAGTAGTTGTGACCAACATGCTGATAGGGATGTGAATAGTGAAGGCCAGGCTGATGAGATCTCAGATAAAAATGAGAAACTTATTGGGAACTGTAGTAAAGATCACCTGTGTTATACCTTTGCAAAGAACTTGGCTACATTGTGTTTATGTCCTAGGGATCTTTAGAAGTTTGAACTTAACAGTGATAACTTAGGACATATGGTTGAAGAAATTTCTAAGCAGCAAAGCATTCAAAGGCATTCAAGGTTTGGACTGGCTGCTTCTAAAATGCTATATTCATATGTGGGAGCAAAGACATGACTTAAAGTTGGAACTTACATTTAAAAGGGAAGCAGAGCATAAAAGTTTGGAAAATTTGAAGCCTAGTTATGTGATAGAAAAGAAAAGCCCATTTTCTGGGGAACAATCCAAGTGAGTTGTGGAGTATTCACCTGCTAGAGTGATTAGCATGACTAAAAGGGAGCCAGATGCTGATAGCCAAGACAATTAGAAAAAAGCCTGGAAGACTTTTCAGAGATCAATGAGGCAGCTTTTTTCATCAGAGGAAAATAGGCCTAGAAGGAAAGAATAATTTCTTAGGAACCCTAATTTCCTAGGGTTCTGCCACCCTGTGCAGCCTCAGGACACTGCTCCCTGTATTCAGGCTACTCCAGCCTCAGCCTCAGATCAAAGGTCCCCAGGTACAGCTTGGGATACTGCTTCAGAAGGCACAAGCTATAAGCCTTGGTGGCTTTCATGTGGTGGTAAGCCTGTGGGCCCACAGAATACAGGAGTGATGAAGGCTTGGTGGCTTCCACCTAGATTTCAGAGGATGTATCAGAAAGCCTGGGCTGGGCATGGTGGCTCATGCCTGTAATCCCAGTACTCTGGGAGGCTGAGGCAGGTAGATCATTTGTGATCAAGAATTTGATACCAGCCTGACCAACACAGTGAAACCCTCTCTCTACTAAAAATACAAAAAAAAAATATTAGTGGGGTGTGGTGGTGCACGTCTGTAGTCCCAGATACTTGGGAGGCTGAGGCAGAAGAATAGCTTGGACCCAGGAAGCAGAGGTTGCAGTGAACCAAGATTGCAGCACTGCAACTCCAGCCTAGGTGATGGAGCAAGACTCTGTCAAAAAGAAAGAAAGAAAGAAAAAGAGAGAGAGAAAGAAAGAAATAAAGAGAGAGGAAGGAAGGAAGGGAGGAAGGAAGGGAAGAAAGGAAGGAAGATAGAAAAGAAAGAAAGAAAGAAAGGAAGGAAAGGAAAGAAAAGAAAAAGAAAGAAAGAAAAGAAAGGAAGGAAGGAAGGAAGAAAGGAAAGAAAGGAAAGGAAGGAAAGGAAGAAAGGAAGAAAGAAAAAAGAAAGAAAGAAAGAAAGAAAGAAAGAAAGAAAGAAAGAAAGAAAGAAAAAAGAAAAGAAAAGAAAAGAAAAGAAAAGCAAAAAGAAAAGAAAAAGAAATCCTGTTGTCCAAAAAGAAGACTGCCACAGGGGTAGAGGCCCCACAGAGAAACTCAACTAGAGCAATGCTGATGGAAAATGTGGGGCTGGATCTCCCACACAGAGTCCCCATTGGGGCACTACCTAGTGGAGCAGTGGGAAGAAGACCACTGCCTTTCAGACCCCAAAACAGTAGATCCATTGGTAGCTTGCATCTGGAGCCTGGAAAGGCTTCAAGGACTCAATTCCAACCTGTAAGAGAGCTACGTGGGCTGCATCCTGCAAAGCCACAGGGGTGGGGCTGCCCAAGGCCTTGGGAGCCCACTCTTCACATCAGGATGTGGGATATGGAGTCAAGGATTATGTTGGAACTTTAGGATTTAATGCCTGCTCTGCTGGGTTTCACACTTGTGTGTGGTCTATTATTCCTTCCTTTTGGACAATGTCTCCCTCTTGGAACAGGAATGTTTACTTAATGCCTGTATCATTATTGAAACTTGGAATTAAATAACTTGTTTTGATTTTACAGGTTCATAGGTGGAAGGAGATGAGTCTCAGATGAGACTTAGGACTTTGGATTTGATGCTGGAATGGGTTAAGACTTTGGGGGTCTGTTTGGAAGAGATGATTTTATTTTGCAATATGAGAAGGACATGAGATTTGGGGGACTGGGGGCAGAACGATATGGTTTAGTTATTTGTTCCCTCTAAATTTCATATTGAAATGTAATCCCCAGTGATGGAGGTGGGGCCTTGTGGGAGGTAATTGGATCATGGGAGTGGGTCCCTCATGGATGGTTTAGCACCATTCCCTTGGTGATATGTTAGTTCTTACTCATGCAATATCTAGTTGTTTAAAAGTGTGTGAAACCTCTCCCCTCATTCTCTCTTGCTTCTGCTCTTGCCATGTGATGTGCCTGCTCCCCCTTCACCTTCCACCATGATTGTAAGCTTCCTCAGGCCCCAGCAGAAGCAGATGCTTCCACCATGTTTCCTGTACAACCTGCAGAATTGAGAGCTCATTAAATTTCTGTTCTTTATAAATTACCCAGTCTCGGGTGTTCCTTTATAGTAATGCAAGTGGACTAATGCACTTACTTATTAGCTCTAATCATTTTTTCATGAATTTTTAAAAAGTATTATTTCTATATAAGATGATGTCATCTTATATGTAGAAAAGACATAGTTTTACTTCTTTATTCCCAATCTGCATGTGTCTTTCATTTCTTTTTCTTGCCTAATGGCCCTGGCTAGAGCTTCAAAGACAATGTTGGATAGAAATAGGGGGAGTAGACTTTGTCTTTTTCCTGATCTTAGGAGGAAACCATTCAATTTTGTCACCATTAAGTATGACATTAGCTGCAGGTTTTTCATTGATGTCCTTTATTAAGTTGAAGAAGGCTCCTTCTATTCCTAGTTTGTTGAGTTTGTTGTGTATTTTTACAGTAAAAGGTTGTTGTATAGTAAAAGGGTGGTGTATATTTTCTGTATCTTTTTTAACACACTGGTCAAGTGCTCTTGTTAAAATTCAAAGTAGACCATGCTACTCTTGTGTAGGGATATCCAATCTTTCTTAGATTAAAACCAATGTCCTCATCATTGCTTACAAGGAACTAAAAGTTTGGTCTTCTTATCCCTCTGATATCGTCTCATTTTTCTCTTTTCCATGCTCTCTCCTTTCCATTTACAATGACCTTCTCATTGTTTTTCAAACATTCTGGGAAAGTGTCTTTCTCTATGCTGCATTGTTTTTGCTTGAAACCTTCATCCCCAGAGATCCTGTTGGTGAAGTTCCTCTCCTTCCTGAAATCTTTGCCCAATTTTCACCTTCTCATTGAGGCCTTCCCTGACCCCTTTATGTAAGTTTGACCATCTTCACAACATTCTGAAACCTTCATATTCTATCCAGCTTTATTAATAATTGTTATCTTCTATGTGCTGCACAATTTATTTGTTTATTGTGCTTATTGTCTACTCTCTATTTCCTCCAGTAGAATTGAAGCTCCACCAGGGCAGGGATTTCTATCTGTTTTGCTCACTGAATGTAACCTTAATACTTAGAAGAAGGTCTGAGACATAGTAAGTGCTCATTTTTTGGGTGAATGTTCTAGGCAATAGCGTGTTGGTAAATGTTTAACAACAAGCTCTTCAGGAGAAAAAACAAACCCTGATTTGTAGCATTTGTCAATTTTCATGGTGCAAATACTCCCACCCTTGCTGATTTCAAGCTACCAACAAGATGTTACTGAGTGAAGAGTTAGGAAGATGTGAACACAGCTGGCTTTACCAGCACAACACTGGTCCTGCGCCAAGGATAACATATGGAATTTATCTCCTGTGAAAACTCTGATCAACTGGCAGAGTCTGTATAGACACATTGTTGAAAAGGATACTGAAACTTGGCCCAGGCTCTGCAGGAAAATGTGTCCCAATAATTGGGAATGCTGCATAGACATAGGAAGGGCATTTGTCATTCCATTTTAGAAAATTTATTTAGGAAAGAGATAATGGGGATCCTGAAATATCTTTATTTTTCCAGTTTGCTTTTTGCCCCTTTTAAAATGTTTTCTCTCTTCTTACAAGCCCCCATGTTGTCAGCTGTACCACAGATGAGAAATTTTCCTAATGGGAGAAGCATTTATTTATACAAAAAATAGTTTTAAAATACTTTTAATTTCTAAGCCAGTGAAATACTGTGAGTATCATGGTTATTGTGGCAGTATTCGTTGTATAGGAACTCTTGTAGAGGTCAAGTGTTTGTGTCAAGCAACTGTCAAATCACCATCTCCATTTGTTTTGTGAGTTAGAAATGCCTTCAAAAGTGGATGATTCTTTTTCTTTTTTCTTTTTCTGTTTTGATGAATGAGTGCCTGAAAAGCTAAGGAAAACATTTATTTGGGATCTCAGAGTACATGGAAAACCTTCAAAATAACATAATGAAGTCCTACTATTTTGGTAAATTGGCTGCCCAGGTAGAAGAGAAAGCAGGTGAGACATAAAAGAGATAGGCAGCCCTTTAGGATGGCACTGCCACAGGCATCAGCCAGCAGGTGGTAAAGGTGCTGCCCCCCAGGTCTCCAGATAGCAAATAGCTGGTTAGGAAGCTGATTGATGAGCCTCCTGAAAAGATGAAAGAGAAGGGAAAGAGAAAGGAGGTGATGACAGTTTCTGATGTTATAATTTTTATCCCTAAAAGCAGAACAAAGACTAAATTTATAGTTCTTTTAAAAATATGCCTCTTTCTTCTTTTATTTTACTACTAGGGATTGGGTAGAATTTATTTGACTCTATTTGAGATCAGAGAAGGCCATGCATAGAAAATGGTAGTGGATGAACCCACAGTTGCTCCAACATTTTTTTCAACAAATGCTTATTCAACAAATATTGAATGAGCAGGTACGCTGTGTGCCATTCTTCTAGGCCCTAAAAATATGATGGTAGAAAACAGTCCAAACTGTTAAAGCACAACCTTATTGAAGGTAAAATTATGACTCTTCAAGAAATATAAAATGAGACTGGGTCTAAGATTTTATTTAACTGATTTATTAATGAGAGAACCAATAACATACTACCACTGGTTCAAAAGAGAATTACAAGAACTTAATGTATATAAGTAGTAAGGAATGCTGAAAAGAATTTTCAGATGGATGCAGAATTGATCTGTCTATAGGGAATAGCTAATTACATTCCACAGAACATAAATCATTTGCACTTCTATGGACAAAAATCATTTGTTTTATTATCAGTTTTCTACAACTTACAGAGTTATAAACTACCTCAAAGTCAATAAAAGGCAGGCAATTCCAGAAGCAGGCTCTGAAAGGACACCGGGAATCTGCATTTCTCCTATTTCAAAGTATGACATGATTTTCTCAAGTAACACTCAGTAAATATTTGATCAATGAATAAATAGTGAACCAGAAACAAAGGAAGAGCATATTTCAAGAAGAAAAGTGTGATCAACTGTGTCAAATGCTGCTAAGAGGGCAGGAACGATGAGAATTAAGAACTGATCACCGATTTGGTAACATGGAGGCTTCAGTGGAATTCGGGGAGGCAAAAGCTCAATTAGAGTGGGCTCAAGTGCCATTGGAAACTGAGGAAGCAGAGAGAACTAGGCCGTTGTTTGGGAGTAGCTTTACCAGAAAAGGGAACAGAGAAATGAGGGTTTAGCTAGCGGAAAACATGAAGTCAAGGGAAAACATTTGATTTATTAATTTATTTTCTTTTTTAAAATTTTTTTTATTGTACTTTAAGTTCTAGGGTACATGTGCACAATGTGCAGGTTTGTTACATATGTATACATGTGCCATGTTGGTGTGCTGCACCCATTAACTCGTCATTTACATTAGGTATATCTCCTAATGCTATCCCTCCCCCCTCCCCTCACCCCACAACAGGCCCTGGTGTGTGATGTTCCCTTTCCTGTGTCCAAGAGTTCTCATTGTTCAATTCCCACCTATGAGTGAGAACATGTGGTGTTTGGTTTTTTGTCCTTGCGATAGTTTGCTGAGAATGATGGTTTCCAGCTTCATCCATGTCCCTGCAAAGGATATGAACTCATCCTTTTTTGTGGCTGCATAGTATTCCATGGTGTATATGTGCCACATTGTCTTAATCCAGTCTATCATTGTTGAACATTTGGGTTGGTTCCAAGTCTTTGCTATTGTGAATAGTGCCACAATAAACATACGTGTGCATGTGTCCTTTATAGCAGCATGATTTATAATCCTTTGGGTATATATCCAGTAATGGGATGGCTGGGTCAAATGGTATTTCTAGTTCTAGATCCCTGAGGAATCGCCACACTGTCTTCCACAATGGTTGAACTAGTTTACAGTCCCACCAACAGTGTAAAAGTGTTCCTATTTCTCCACATCCTCTCCAGCACCTGTTGTTTCCTGACTTTTTAATGATCGCCATTCTAACTGGTGTGAGATGGTATCTCATTGTGGTTTTGATTTGCATTTCTCTGATGGCCAGTGATGATGAGCATTTTTTCATGTGTCTGTTGGCTGCATAAATGTCTTCTTTTGAGAAGTCTCTGTTCATATCCTTTGCCCACTTGTTGACAGGGTTGTTTGTTTTTTTCTTGTAAATTTGTTTGAGTTCTTTGTAGATTCTGGATATTAGCCCTTTGTCAGATGAGTAGATTGCAAAAGTTTTCTCCCTTTCTGTAGGTTGCCGGTTCACTCTGATGGTAGTTTCTTTTGCTGTGCAGAAGCTCTTTTGTTTAATTAGATCCCATTTGTCAATTTTTGGCTTTTGTTGCCATTGCTTTTTGTGTTTTAGACATGAAGTCCTTGCCCATGCCTATGTCCTGAATGGTATTGCCTAGGTTTTCTTCTAGGGTTTTTATGGTTTTAGATCTAACATTTAAGTCTTTCATCCATCTTGACTTAATTTTTGTATAAGGTGTAAGGAAGGGATCCAATTTCAGCTTTCTACATATGGCTAACCAGTTTTCAAGGGAAAACATTTTAACAGATGAAAGATAATTCAGCATTTAGTATGCTAGAGATAAATTGATAAAATAGCAACAGTAGGGAGGGAATGACTGTGAGAGGGAAGGTCATGAGTAGGTGAGAGGGAAGCATGTGCAGCTTAAGTGGAGAATTGCCTGAGGTCAAAGAATGGAAAATTCATCTGTTCACTGGGAGTTTTCTTCTTCTGTCTGAATTAAAAAACAACAATAACAACAAATCTAAATCTGAAAATAATTTAAGAAGAGCCACCAGACATACCCCACAGAATTTACTAAAAGGTGGCTAAAGCAACTCTACATGGTGGCTGTCATCTCATCCCTACTTGGGGACTGTGCTGTGTAATATGGTAGCTACCAGCCAGATACAGCTATTTAAATAAAAATTAATTAAAATTAAATACAACTGAAATTTTCAGTTTCTCAATCATTCTAACTATATTTGAAGTGCTCAATAGCCACATGATGTTAGTGCTATTGCACTGGACAGTACAAACGTAGCATTATTTTCAGCATCACATGAAGTTCTGTTGGAAAGAACAGAAGATTAATCTCCTGTTAATAGCTTCTCTAATAATATCAGCTCTTCTCTTTCATGGCACAGATTTTCTTCCAATGTCTATTTACATTTGGATTTCATTAGCATTTTAAAATAAAAAGCGGGAAAATGGCAACTTGATGAATATGGATGAGACATTGTCTACTCAACTTTGGAATGAGAATAATATATAATTATGCTAATTTTCTGTGGTTTAGAAGCATTGGTGGAGAATTGCTATAGTAGGCAGTCCCCCATCTATGTGTAAAGTGCTATCATTTTCCCCTATTCTGCTGCTTCAATTTTTTCCCCCCAACTGTATATTTAGGCATGCTTTAAATATGTTTCTCTGTCCTGGGCTGATTTGAGCAGAAAAGAAGCTAGAGAGATGGTAGGTGGTGAGAGAACAAGGAAATAGCAGCAAGACTACACTGGAGAGTCCTTCTTTTCCAACTGCCCCTCAAATATGGATTAGTGCAAACTTCATAGATGTATTGGTATGTGCTGATTCTCTTTCAGCTTTTAATTCCTTGAATTATCTTTTCATTACATGAGTAAACACATAAACACATTTAAAAAAATAAATTTTAAAGTTTTTTCTTATTCCTTATATTTATTGTCATTTATCTTACACAGAAAACTAATTTGAGCATCATCCCATGATGTCATTCTTTTTCATGGCTGTGTGGTATTCCATGGTATATATGTACCACATTTTTTTAAATGCAGTCCACCATTGATGGCCTCTAGGTTGATTCCATGTCTTTGCTATTGTGAAAAGTGCTATGATGAATACACGCATGTGTGTGTCTTTAAGGTAGAACAATTTATATTCCTTTGGGTATACACCTGGTAATGGGATTGCTGGGTTGAATGATAACTCCATTTTAAGTTCTTTCAGAAATTGCCAAGCTGATTTCTACAGTGGTTGAACTAATTTACACTCTCACCAGTAATGTGTAAGTGCTCCCTTTGCTCTGGAACCTCACTGACATATGTTATTTTTTGACTTTTTAAAAATACCCATCCTGGCCTGGCACAGTGGCTCACGCCTGTAATCCCAGCACTTTGGGAAGCTGAGGTGGGTGGATTGCCTAAGGTCAGGAGTTCGAGACCAGCCTGGCCAACATGGTGAAACTCAGTTTCTACTAAAAATACAAAAAGTTGCCGGGCATGGTGGTGCACACATATAGCTACATCTACTTGGGAGGCTGAGGCAGGAGAATTGCTTGAACCTGGGAGGCGGAGGTTGCAGTGAGCAGAAGTTGTGCTACTGCACTCCAGCCTGGGTGACAGAGCAAGCCTTTTCTATCTCTTGCTTGATTGCTCTGGTTAGTACTTCTAGTACTATATTAATAGGAGTGGTGAGAGTGGGCATCCTCATCCTGTTCTGGTTCTCAAGGGAAATGCTTCCAGGTTTTGCCCATTCAGTATGATGTTGGCTGTGGGTTTGTCATAGATAGCTCTTATTATTTTGAGGTACATTTCTTCAATGCCAGTTTGTTGAGGGTTTTTAACATGAACGGATGTTGAAAACCTTTTCTGTGTCTATTGAGATGTGCTTTTTGTTTTAAGTTCTGTTTATAGGATGAATCACATTTATTGAGTTGCATATGTTGAACCGACCTTGCATACCAGGAATAAAGCCTACTTGATTGCACTGGATTAGCTTTTTGATGTGCTGCTGGATTCAATTTGCTAGTATTTCACTGCATCTATGTTCTTCATGGGTATTAGCTTGAAGTTTTCTTTATTTGTGGTCTCTGCCAGGTTTTGATATCAGAATGATGTTGGCTCATAGAATGAATTAGAGAGGAGTCCCTCCTCAATTTTTTGTAATTGTTTCCGTAGAATTGATATCAGCTCTTTTATGTATGTCTGGTAGAATTTGGCTGTGAATTTGTCTGTTCTAGGGCTCTTTCTGGTTGGTAGGTTTTTTTATGACTGACTTGGTTTCAGAACTAGTTATCGGTCTTCTCAGGGTTTCCATTTCTTCCTAGCTCAATCTTGGGAGGTTGTATGTTTCTAGGAATTGATTCATTTCTTCTAGGTTTTCTAGTTTGTGCATAGAAGTGTTTGAATTAGTCTCTGAGAGTTTTTATATATTTCTGTGTGATCGGTGGTAATGTCATCTTCATCATTTCTGATTGTGTTTACTTGAATTTTCTCATTTTTCTTTATTAGTTTAGCTGGTGGTCTAACAGTCTTATTTATTCTTTTAATGAACAAACTTTTGGTTTCATTAATCTTTTGTGTGAATTTTCATGTCTCAGTTTTGTTCAGTTCAGCTCGGATTTTGGTTATTTCTTTTCTTCTGCTAGCCTCAGGGTTGGTTTGCTCTTGTTTTTTCCAGTTCCTCCAGGTGTGATGTTAGGTTTTTAATTCAAGGTCTTTCTAACTTTTCAATGTAGGCATTTAGTGTTATAAACTTTCCTCTTAACACCATGTTAGCTTTGTCTTAGAGATTCTGGCATATTGTATCTTTGTTTTAATTAGTTTCAAATAATTTCTTGACTTCCGCCTTAATTTCATTCTTTACCCAAAAGTCACTCAGAAACAAGTTGTTTAATTTTCATGTAATTGTATGGTTTTGAGAGGTCTTTTTGGTATTTATTTCTATTTTTATTGTATTGTGGCCTGAGAGTGTGGCTGGTATGATAATTTCTTTTTTAATTTGTTGAGTTTTGCTCTATGGCTGAGCATGTGGTCTATGTGAGAGTATGTGCCATGTGAAGATGAGAAGAATTATGTTCTGTTGTTGGGTGGAGTGTTCTGTAATTGTCTGCTAAGTTCATTTGTTTGAGTGTTGAGTTTAGGTCCCAAATGTCTTTGCTTTGTGCCTGATGATCTGTCTAACATTGTCAGTGGGATGTTTAAGTCTCCTACTATTGTTATGTAGTTATCTTAGTCTCTTTGTAGGTCTCTAAGAGCTTGTTTTATGAATCTCAGTGCTCCAGTGTTGGGTGCATATATATTTAGGATAGTTAAATGTTGTTGTTGAATTGAAGCCTTTATCATTATGTAACGCCCTTCTTTATTTTTTTGATCATTGTTGGTTTAAAGTCTATTTTATTTGAAATAAGAATAGCAACTCCTGCTCTTTTTTATTTTCCATTTGCTTAATAGACCTTTCTCTGTAGCTTTACTTTAAGCCTATGGTTGTCACTGCATGTGAGATGGGTCTCTTTAAGACAGCATACAGTTGATTCTTACTTTTATATCCAACTTGACACTCTGTACATTTAAGTGGGGGCATTCAGCCCATTTACATTCAAGGTTAATATTTATATGTGAGGCAGATCTTGTCATTTTGTTGTCAACTGGTTGTTATGTAGACTTGATTGTATAGTTGCTTTTTAGTGTCAGTGGGCTATGTACCTAAGTGTGTTTTTGTAATGGCAGGTAATAGTGTTTCATTTCCATGTTTAGCACCACCTTAAGGAGTGCAGGGGTTGCTATTTTTATTTTAGGCGAAACAGACTTTAAGCCAACAATGGTCATAAAGGACAAAGAAGGGCATTACATAATGATAGAGGGTTTGATTCCACAAGAAGACCTAACTATTGTAAGTACATATGCACCCAACACTGGAATACCCAGATTGCTCCTTAAGTTCCGTTACCTCTTGTAAACCAGATCTGGTGGTAAGAAATTACCTTAATTTACTTGTCTAGAAAGGATTTTATTTGTTCTTTGCTTATGAAGGTTAGTTTGGCTGGATAGGAAACTCTTGGTTGGAATTTTTTTCTTTAAGAATGGTAAATATAGGCTTCTAATCTCTCCTGGCTTGTAAGGTTTCTGCTGAAAGATCTGCCGTTCACCTGATGGAATTCCTTTTGTATGTGATCTTTCCCTTCTGTCTAGCAGCCTTTAATATTTTTTTTTTCATGTTGGCCTTGGAGAATCTGATGACGATATGTCTTGGGGATAGACATTTTGTATAGTATCTCGCAGGGGTTCTCTGAATTTTCCAAATTTGCATATCAATCTCCCTAGTAAGATTGGGAAAATTTTCATGGATAATATCCTCAAATATGATTTTCAAAATGCTTGCCCTCTTTTCCTCTCTTTCTGGGATGCCATGCATTGTATGTTTGATCTCTTTGCATAATCTCATATTTCTTGGAGCTTTTTTCTATGTTTTACATTCTTTTTTCTTTATGTTTGTTTGATGGAGTTTTTTTTTTCTTTTTTTTAGAACTGGTCTTCTAGCTCAGAGACTTTTATCCTCAGCTTGGTCTATTTTGCTGTTAATACCTCTAATTGTGTTATAAAATTCTTGTAATGAATTTTTTAAGCTCTAGAGGATGTTTTGTTCTTTCTTAAAATGGCTATTTTGCCCTTTCAGCTCTTGTATTGTTTTACTGGATTCCTTAGATTCCTTGGATTGGTTTCAACTTTCCCCTGAATCTCAATGATTCTTGTTGCTATCCAGATTCTGAATTCTATGTGTGTCATTGCAACCATTTTAGTCTGGCTCAGAACCATTGCTGGGGAGCTAGTGCAGTCATTTGAAGGTCAGAAGTCACTCTGGGTTTCAGAGTTGCCAGAGTTCTTGTGCTGGTTCTTTATCAATCGTGTGGGCTGATGTTCCTTTAATGTTTGAAGTTGCTATCCTTTGGATATGGCTTTTTGCTCTTACATTCTTTGATACCCTTTAGGGTTTAACTGATATATAAGTTGGACTTAGTTGATTGGCTTCATTTCTGGATGACTTTAGGGGGCCACAGCACTCCTGGGCTGTGTGTGCTAACACTGGGTGGCTGAGACCAGACACTTGGTTTTTTCTCTGGCTTCTTGAGGTTAAGCACCCTATGTGCTGGAGGGGTTAAGGTGTTTCCAGTTTGTTGACAACAACACTCTGATAAGGGGTGACAGCAATATCACATCAGTGGGTGATAGTGAGGCAGGAGGAATCCCTGCAGGTGAGTCCTGCATGTGTGTGCAGGCAGAGGGTAGCAAATATTTATCTATTTATTATGTTTATTGGTAATTTTCTTCTTCCTTTATAAAATATAATACCCATGAAGTCAGGAATATTTGACTATTTGTTTCTTGCCTGATACTTGGTATATACTTAATACTTATTAAATAAATGCATACATAATTTAAAATCAGAACAGCATTAAAAAAACTTTTGGAAAATAATATAAACAACCAGATCAGGAAGTAGAGGTCCAAGTATGGAGGAAGCTGAAATTCGGCATGATTTTTAAGAAATAGTAGAATGTAATAAGGGACTCCATTAAGCATTGATAGTTGTGTTCTCTACTTACAAGAGTCATGAAATAGGAAAAAATAGAGATGGTATACTACGTGGCCTCTGATGAAAGAAAAACAGTTGTAATTATATAGATGCTTATAGTTTTACACTTTTAGAATAAAATATGCAAAAAGAATAAAAATAATTAGGGCTAATACCAGAATATTAATATTACCAATCTTGATAGTGTAAATCTATAGGTAGGGGGATTGGGAAGGTAGAAGAAGGTAAGGTGGA
This sequence comes from Homo sapiens, assembly GCF_000001405.40. Taxonomy (NCBI): domain Eukaryota; kingdom Metazoa; phylum Chordata; class Mammalia; order Primates; family Hominidae; genus Homo; species Homo sapiens. The sequence continues at coordinate 16,786,509 of NC_000020.11, forward strand.
ATGAATTAAAATGGGCCTAATATCTTCATCTTCTAATAAGAGGAACTAAGATATACTTTTGAAGGTTTATAGAACAAGAAAATGTCTTTTAAAATGCAAATATGTTTGCCAAATTTTACTCACTTGAGTTTTACTGTATCTTACAAAATCTGTATTTTATTTACTTAAATTTTCTTTTGTTTAAAATAATTTATCACTTAAACACGTTTTTATAATCTTCATATCAGTGAAACAAAAACCTCATTTTTTATGTAAGTAGGAGTTATTTATAACAACAGTAAGTTGATTTAATTAATTCTATTTATTTATATTTGAAACGAAGTTTCACTCTGTCACCCAGGCTGGAGTTCAGTGGCGCCATCTCAGCTCACTGCAACCTCTGTTTCCTGGGTTCAAACGATTTTCCAGCCTCAACATCCCGAGTAGCTGGGATTACAGGTATCTACCACCATGTCCGGCTAATTTTTGTATTTTAGTAGAGATGGGGTTTCACGAAGTTGACCAGGTTGGTCTCGAACTCCTGACTTCAAGCAATCTACCTCCCTCGGCGTCACAAAGTGCTGGGATTACAGGAGTGAGCCACTGCACCCAGCCAATTTATTTTTTATTATTAACAATTTTTTAATTTTTAATTTTTGTGGGTACATAGTAGGTGTATGTATTTATGGGGTACGTGAGATGTTTTGATACAGGCAGAGAACATTTATCTTATTTTATTCATTTATTTTTAAATTTATTTTTTATTTCAATAGGTTTTTTGGGGAACAGGTGTTGTTTGATTACATGAATAAGTTCTTTAGTGGTGATTTCTGAGATTTTGGTGCATGTATCACCCAAGCAGTGTACACTGTACCCAATGTGTAGTCTTTTATCTCTCACCACCCTCCCACCTTTTCTCAGAGTCCCTGAAGTCCATTTTATAATTCTTATGCCTTTGCGTCCTCATGGCATAGCTCCCAATTATCACGGAGAACATACAATATTTGGTTTTCCATTCCTGAGGTACTTTGCTTAGAATAATAATCTCAAATTTCATCCAGGTTGCTGTGAATGCCATTATTTCATTCCTTTTTATGCCTGAGTAGTGTTCAATAGTATACATCTACCACATTTTCTTTATCCACTTGTTGACTGATGGGCATTTGGACTGGTTCCATATTTTTGCAATTGCGAATTGTGCTGCTGTAAACATGCATGTGCAAACATCTTTTTCGTATAATGACTTCTTTTCCTCTGGGTAGATACCTAGTAGTAGGATTCTGGATCAAATGATAGATCTACTTTTAGTTCTTTAAGGAATCTCTAGATTGTTTTGCTTTTTCTCTTTTTTCTTCTTTTTTTATTATTATACTTTAAGTTCTAGGGTACATATGCACAACATGCAGGTTTGATACATAGGTATACATGTGCCACGTTGGTTTGCTTCACCCATCAACTCGTCATTTATTTCTCCTAATGCTATCTCTCCCCCAGCCTCCCACCCCCCGACAGGCCCTGTGTGTGATGTTCCCTGCCCTGTGTCCAAGTGTTCTCATTGTTCAATCCCCACCTATGGGTGAGAACAATGAGTTTGGTTTTCTGTCTTTGTGATAGTTTGCTGAGAATGATGGTTTCCAGCTTCATCCATATCCCTGCAAAGGACATGAACTCATCCTTTTTTATGGCTGCATAGTATTCCATGGCGTATATGTGCCACATTTTCTTAATCCAGTCTATCATTGATGGATATTTGGATTGGTTCCAAATCTTTGCTATTGTGAATAGTGCTGCATTAAACATATGTGTGCATGTGTCTTTATAGCAGCATGATTTATAATCCTTTGGGTATATATACTCAGTGATGGGATTGCTGGGTTAAATGGTATTTCTATTTCTAGATCCTTGAGGAATTGCCACACTGTCTTCCACAGTGGTTGAACTAGTTTACACTCCCACCAACAGTGTAAAAGCGTTCCTATTTCTCCACATCCTCTAAAGCATCTGTTGTTTCCTGACTTTTTAATTATCGCCATTCTAATTGGCACGAGAAGGTATCTCATTGTGGTTTCGATTTGCATTTCTCTGATGACCAGTGATGATGAGCATTTTTCACGTGTCTGTTGGCTGCATTTCAAATGTCTTCTTTGAAGAAGTGTCTGTTCATATCCTTTGCCCACTTTTTGATGGGGTTGTTTGTTTTTTTCTTGTAAATTTGTTCGATTTCTTTGTAGATTCTGGATATTAGTCCTTTGTCAGATGGGTAGATTGCAAAAATTTTCTCCCATTCTGTAGGTTGCCTGTTCACTCTGATGGTAGTTTACTTTGCCGTACAGAAGCTCTTTTGTTTAATTAGATCCCATTTGTCTATTTTGGCTTTTGTTGCCATTGCTTTTGGTGTTTTAGTCATGAAGTCCTTGCCCATGCCTATGTTCTGAATGGTATTGACTAGGTTTCCTTCTAGGGTTTTTATGGTTGTAGGTCTAACATCTAAGTATTTAATCTATCTTGAATTAATTTTTGTATAAGGTGTAAGGAAGGGATGTAGTTTCAGTTTTCTACACATGGCTAGCCGGTTTTCCCAGCACCATTTATTAACAGGAGATCTTTCCCCATTTCTTGTTTTCGTCAGGTTTGTCAAAGATCAGATAGTTGTAGATGTGTGAGGTTATCTCTGAGGCCTCTGTTCTATTCCATTGGTCTATATATCTGTTTTGGTACCAGTACTATGCTGTTTTGGTTACTGTAGCCTTGTAGTATAGTTTGAAGTTAGGTAGCATGATGCCTCCAGCCTTGTTCTTTTGGCTCAGGATTGTCTTGGCAATGCGGGCTCTTTTTTAGTTCCATATGAACTTTAAAGTAGTTTTTTTTCCAATTCTGTGAAGAAAGTCATTGGTAGCTTGATGGGGATGGCATTCAATCTATAAATTACCTTGGGCAGTATGGCCATTTTCACAATATTGATTCTTTCTATCCATGGGCATGGAATGTTCTTCCATTTGTTTGTGTCCTCTTTTATTTCGTTGAGCAGTGGTTTGTAGTTCTCCTTGAAGAGATCCTTCACATCCCTTGTAAGTTGGATTCCTAGGTGTTTTATTCTCCTTGTAGCAATTGTGAATGGGAGTTCACTCATGATTTGGCTCTCTGTTTGTCTGTTATTTGTGTATAGGAATGCTTGTGATTTTTGCACATTGATTTTGTATCCTGAGACTTTGCTGAAGTTGCTTATCAGCTTAAGGAGATTTTGGGCTAAGACAATGGGGTTTTCTAAATATACAATCATGTCATCTATGAACAGGGAAATTTGACTTCCTCTTTTCCTAATTGAATGCCCTTTATTTCTTTCTCTTGCCTGACTGCCCTGGCCAGAACTTCCAACACTATGTTGAATAGCAGTGGTTAGAGAGACCATCCTTGTCTCGTGCCAGAAGGGAATGCTTCTAGTTTTTGCGTATTCAGTATGATATTGTCTGTGAGTTTGTCATAAATAGCTCTTATTATTTTGAGATATGTTCCGTCAATACCTAGTTTATTGAGAATTTTTAGCATGAAGTGCTGTTGAATTTTGTCATAGGCCTTTTCTGCATCTATTGAGATAATCATGTGGTTTTTGTCATTGGTTCTGTTTATGTGATGGATTGAGTTTATTGATTTGCATATGTTGAACCAGCCTTGCATCCCAGGGATGAAGCCAACTTGATCATGGTGGGTAAGCTTTTTGATGTGCTGCTGGATTCGCTTTGCCAGTATTTTATTGAGGATTTTCACATTGATGTTCATCAGGGATATTGGTCTAAAATTCTTTTTGTTGTTGTTGTTGTGTCTCTGCCAGGCTTTGGTATTAGGATGATGCTGGCCTCATGAAATGAGTTAGGGAGGATTCCCTCTTTTTCTGTTGATTGGAATAGTTTCAGAAGGAATGGTACCAGCTCCTCTTTGTACCTCTGGTAGAATTTGGCTGTGAATCCGTCTGGTCCTGGACTTTTTTTGGTTGGTAGGCTATTAATCATTGCCTCAATTTCAGATCCTGTTATTGGTCTATTCAGAGATTCAACTTCTTCCTGGTTTAGTCTTGGGAGGGTGTATGTGTCCAGGGATTTATCCATTTCTTCTAGATTTCCTAGTTTATTTGTATAGAGATGTTTATAGTATTCTCTGATGGTAGTTGGCATTTCTGTGGGATTGGTGGTGATATGCCCTTTATCACTTTTTATTGCATCTATTTAATTCTTCTCTCTTTTCTTCTTTATTAGTCTTGATAGTGGTCTATCAATTTTGTTGATCTTTTCAAAAAACCAGCTCCTGGAATCATTGAGTTTTTGAAGGGTTTTTTGTGTCACTATCTCTTTCAGTTCTGCTCTGATTTTAGTTATTTCTTGCCTTCTGCTAGCTTTTGAATGTGTTTGCTCTTGCTTCTCTAGTTCTTCTAATTGTGATGTTAGGGTGTCAATTTTAGATCTTTCCTGCTTTCTCTTGTGGGCATTTAGTGCTATAAATTTCCCTCTACACACTGCTTTAAATGTGTCCCAGAGATTCTGGTACATTGTGTCTTTGTTCTCATTGGTTTCAAAGAACATCTTTATTTCTGCCTTTATTTCGTTATTTACCCGGTAGTCATTCAGGAGCAGGTTGTTCAGTGTCTACGTAGTTGTGCAGTTTTGAGTGAGTTTCTTAATCCTGAGTTGTAATTTGATTGCACTGTGGTCTGAGAGACAGTTTGTTGTGATTTCAGTTCTTTTACATTTGCTGAAGAGTGCTTTACTTCCAATTATGTGTCAATTTTAGAATAAGTGTGACATGGTGCTGAGAAGAATGTATATTCTGTTGATGCTGGGTGGAGGGTTCTGTAGATGTCTATTAGATCTGCTTGGTCCAGAGCTGAGTTCAAGTACTGGATATCCTTTTTAACCTTCTGTCTTGTTGATCTGTCTAATGTTGACAGTGGGGTGTTAAAGTCTCCCATTATTATTGTGTGGGAGTCTAAGTCTCTTTGTAGGTCTCTAAGGACTTGCTTTATGAATCTGGGTGCTCCTGTGTTGGGTGCATATATATTTAGGATAGTTGGCTCCTCTTCTTGAATTGATCCCTTTACCATTATGTAATGGCCTTCTTTGTCTCTTTTGATCTTTGTTGGTTTAAAGTCTGTTTTATCAGAGACTAGGATTGCAACCCCTGCCTTTTTTTCTTTTGGCTTTCCATTTGCTTAGTAGATCTTCCTCCATCCTCTTATTTTGAGCCTATGTGTGTCTCTCTATGTGAGATGGGTCTCCTGAATACAGCACACTGATGGGTCTTGACTCTTTGTACAATTTGACAGTTTGTGTCTTTTATTGGGGCATTTAGCTCATTTACATTTAAGGTTAATATTGTTATGTGTGAATTTGATGTTGTCATTATGATGCTAGCTGGTTATTTTGCCCATTAATTGATGCAGTTTCTTCATAGCATTGATGGTCTTTACAATTTGACATGTTTTTGCAGTGGCTGGTACCAGTTGATTCTTTCCATTTTTAGTGCTTCCTTCAGGAGCTCTTGTAAGGCAGGCCTGGTGGTGACAAAATCTCTCAGCATTTACTTGTCTGTAAAGGATTTTATTTCTCCTTCACTTCTGAAGCTTAGTTTGGCTGGATATGAAATTCTGGTTTGAAAATTCCTTTCCTTAATAATGTTGAATATTGTTCCTCACTCCCTTCTGGCTTGTAGGGTTTCTGCTGAGACATCTGCTGTTAGTCTGATAGGCTTCCCTTTGTGGGTAACCCGACCCTTCTCTCTGGCTGCCCTTAACATTTTTTTCTTCATTTCAATCTTGGTGAATCTGACAATTATATGTCTTGGGGTTGCTCTTCCCAAGGAGTATCTTTGTGGTGTTCTCTGTATTTCCTGAATTTGAATGGTGCTCTGCCTTGCTAGGTTGGGGTAGTTCTCCTGGATAATGTCCTGCAGAGTGTTTTCTAACTTGGTTCCATTCTCCCCGTCACTTTCAGGTACACCAATAAGATGTAGATTTGGTCTTTTCACATAGTCCCATATTTCTTGGAGGCTTTGTTCATTTCTTTTTACTCTTTTTTCTCTAAACTTCTCTTCTTGCTTCATTTCATTCATTTGATCTTTAATCACTGATACCCTTTCTTCCAGTTGATCGAATCGGCTACTGAAGCTTGTGCATTTGTCATGTAGTTTTCATGCCATGGCTTTCAGCTCCATCAGGTCATTTAAGGACTTCTCTACACCAGTTACTCTAGTTAGCCATTTGTCTAATCTTTTTTCAAGGTTTTTAACTTCTTTGCGATGGGTTTGAACTTTCTCCTTTAGCTCGGAGAAGTTTGATCATCTGAAGCCTTCTTCTCTCAACTCATCAAAGTCATTCTCCGTCCAGCTTTGTTCCATTGCTGGTGAGGAGCTGTGTTCCTTTGGAGAGGAGAGGTGCTCTGATTTTTAGAATTGTCAGCTTTTCTGCTCTGTTTCTTCCCCATCTTTTTGGTTTTATCTACCTTTGGTCTTTGATGATGGTGACGTACAGATGGGGTTTTGGTGTGGATGTCCTTTCTTTTTGTTAGTTTTCCTTCTAACAGTCAGGACCCTCAGCTGCAGGTCTGTTGGAGTTTGCTGGAGGTTCACTCCAGACCCTGTTTGACTGGGTATCAGCAGTGGGTGCTGCAGGACAGCGAATATTGCTGAACAGCAAATGTTGCTGCCTGATCATTACTCTTGAAGCTTCACCTCAGAGGGGTACCTGGCTGTGCGGGGTGTCAGTCTGCCCCTACAGGGGGGTGCCTCCCTGTTAGGCTACTCAGGGGTCAGGGACCCACTTGAGAAGGCAGTCTGTCCATTCTCAGATGTCAAACTCCATGCTGGGAGAACCACTACTCTCTTCAAAGCTGTTAGACAGGGACTTTTAAGTCTGCAGTGGTTTCTGCTGCCTTTTGTTCAGCTATGCCCTGCCCCCAGAGGTGGCATCTACAGAGGCAGGCAGGCCTCCTTGAGCTGCGGTGAGCTCCACCCAGTTTGAGCTTCCCAGCCACTTTGTTTACCTACTCAAGCCTCAGAAATGGTGGGCGCCCCTCCTCCAGCCTTGCTGCCACCTTGCAGTTCGATCTCAGACTGCTGTGTTAGCAATGAGTGTGGCTCTGTGGGCGTGGGACCCTCTGAGCCAGGCACGGGATATAATCTCCTGGTCTGCCGTTTGCTAAGACAACTGGAAAAGCACAGTATTAGGGTGGGAGTGACACGATTTTCCAGGTGCTGTCTGTCACAGCTTCCCTTGGCTAGTAAAGGGAATTCCCTTACCCTTTGCACTTCCCAGGTGAGGCAATGCTTTGTCCTGCTTCAGCTCACGCTTGGTGGGCTGCATCCACTGTCCTGCACCCACTGTCTGACAACTCCCAGTGAGATGAATCCGATACCTCAGTTGGAAATGCACAAATCACCTGTCTTCTGCGTCGCTCACGCTGGGAGCTGTAGACTGGAGCTTTTCCTATTCGGCCATCTTGGAACTGCCCCCCACTCTTTGTCTTTAGTTACCAGGGTGGGTAGGGAAGAACCATTAGGTCCAGGCAGAACTAGGCATGTTTGAGCTCAGACTCTCCTTGGGCAGGTCTTGATGATGATGCTGTGGGGGATAAGGGTGAGCTTCACAGGTCACTGGAGGTGTGTTCCTAGGAGGTTTATGGCTGCCTCTATTGTGTCATGCAGGTTGTTAGGGAATTGGGTGAAAGCTGACAGTCATGGGCCTCACTCATCTCCCATGCAACCCAAAGGGCCACTCTCACTCCCACCCTGCCTCCACCAATAGCACCAAGTCTGTTTCCAGGCAGTGAGCAAGCAGGGCTGAGAACATGCCCCAGGCTACCAGCCTCTCAGCTGCAAAAGTAAGTAGGGCTTTCATTCTTCCCCTGCTTGTGGAGTCTGCCCATCAGAGTCATGCCTTCCCCTGAGTTCTGGCCAGGAGACTTCTTGATCGATTCCAGTTGTTACGAAGTTCAGCCGGAGGTTTTCTTCTCCATGTGACCTTTGCCCAGTGCCTCTGGCCACCCTCCCTAAGGACCCCTTCGAGGCAGGGCAGAAATGGTTTGTGCTGGGGGATCCAGTGAGCCCTCAGGGCTTTTCCTGTTTCTTCCTCTACCCCTGTATTTACTTGGCTCTCTAAATTGACTCAGCTCCGGGTAAGGTCAGAATCTTCTCCCATAATCTAGACCTTCAGGTTCCCCAGTTGGGGTGGTGGATGATCTCCCTTTCCCACTTCCATTGTTTGGGCACTCACAGTATTTGGGGTGTCTCCTGGGTCCTGCAGGAGCAATCAACTTTTTTCAGAGGGCCTGTGGGTTCTCTCAGCTTTCCTAATGAATTCCTGCAGGCGTTCTGGAGCAAAAGTTCACAATATGAGTCTTGACACACTGCTCCTCTCCGAGTGGGAGCTGCAATCTAGTCATGCCTCCTGTCCACCATGATCCTGAGTGCTCCTTTTTTTTTTTGTTTTTGAGAGGGGGTCTCACTGTGTTGCTCAGGCTGGAGTGCAGTGGCACAACCTCGGCTCACTGCCTTATTCTTTTAAAAGCATTTAAGATTTTCCAAGAAAGTGAAGGAAAAATCTTTAGGGCACAAAACAAAGAGGAAAATGGAAAACTAGGGTGCTAATTTTGAAGTGAAGCTTCACTGGTGTGAGGGTAACAAAGCAATTTGGATTTTAATGGCTATGAGTAAACCAGAAATGATCAGTGGTTTTAGTCTCTTCCTGGGAGACTTGAAAGTTGGAATCTCACATAGCCAAGACTTTTGAAGAGCTATACCTTTGGATTTTAAGAAAAAAATGTAGTCTGTCCATCAACAAGGCAATCATTACAATTTAAAACAATATAGCAGATGAGTTAAATGACATTTAAAGCTGTCAAAAAGAGAATTAGTAAAGTGGAAAAGAATATTGAGAAAATAATCCAGAATGCAGCACAGTGCTGCTAAAGCTCTTGCTATTGGAGGTCTCTGCCTAATTAGGAGCCCTGGATCCTCTGGTCCCATCTTGTTGCAGCCCCCATTGCTGTTACTAACTGAAACTAAACAGGAAGGAAATTTATCACCTCCTCCTGCCTTTCAATAACCTGCTGGTGTTTTTCACTAACAAAACTCTCTGGAATCCAGCAGGCAAGGAAGTCAATTATGATTGGAAGGATCTACAATACTTAGCAAAGCACAGAGAAAGGGGACTACTCATTATGTGGAAATAGATCAGCATGAAGGTCTTCATCTTCAATATTGTCACACTGCATAGGCTGACAAGGAGGAGAAAGAGGAGGGATTGATCTTGCTGTCTCAGGGGTGGCAGAGGCAGAAGGAAATCTACATACAAGTGGACCCACACAGTTCTAACCTGCATTATTCAAGGGTCAACTGTACTGGGTTTTAGTTTGTACTCTTCAAATTTATTTAGGTGGACAGAAAGAAAGATAAGTGAAAAGACTAATCAGATACATGGTTTTCAAGAATTAATGCAGGCAGATGAGAGACAAGATGAAAGCCTATTATGAATAGCCAACTAATTCACACTCTCTCTGCTTCTCTCTCTCTCACTCCCATCCTGAGTGCTCATCCCATCTGCTTTGTTATTATTTCTCTTCAGACATTTCTTTTCCCTCTGACTGTCAGTGTTCATGGCTAATGGTGAAAATGGCACAGCTTTGGAATTTACATGCCCTATGATCAAATCAGCACTAGGAATTTGTGGTATCTCTGAATTCTAGTTGTAAATTTTTATGAGAGAGACTATCTCATTGATCCAGTTTGGCTCCACTGGTAGACCAGAACCTAAACATCTATGGCTATCCAGGGTGATGGTGGTGGTTACGAATTTGCCTGCTACAAAGAGAGCATACATTTGGGTACCAAACACACACTTCAAAATCCATCTGCTGTGTTTGTGTATATTGCTTAGGTGTATGAATATGCAGTATAGATGGCCCAGATTGATTTGGACAACTCCCAATGTGTTTTCTTGCAATTTGCTGAGCTTATGCGTGATCTATGGGTTGCAGATTGATTTAAAGTTTCTCTGGTGATTTGTGGTGTCAGCATACATAGGTACGCTTGAATATTTAAGCAGTGTCAATATGGGGCAGAGAAAGGCATAATCTACATGATGTTATGGAGCTAATTTTAACTTCCTTTGTTCTACTGAAGACAAAATAGATAATTTTGTTTTTAGAAGATAAAAAAGAGATAAACATAGTTTTAAAATTTTAACTGCTTTATTGAGACGTAGTTGACATACAGTAAAACACATATATTTAATGGATAATTCGATAAATGTTGACACATGCATACATTCATGAAACCATCATTATAATCAAGATCATGAATATATTCATTTCCAAAATTTGTGTTCATTAATCTCTAATAACAATAAAACTCACCCTAATTGTAACAAAATTTTTTATATATTTTAATTTATTTTTCTTTCCTTCTTTAGCAAATGCTATTGAACACTGAGATGAGTAAATGCTTATTTAGTGATAATGTCACTTAATCAAGCAGTATAAATTTAGCCAGAATAAATATTTGAAGTTCGGGGTACATATGCAGGATGTGCAGGTTTGTTACATAGGTAAATGTGTGTCATGGGGGTTTATTGTACTGATTGTTTCTTCACCCAGGTGTTCAGCCTAGTATCCATTAGTTATTTTTCATGATCCTCTCCCTTCTCTCACCCTTTATTTTCCTATAGGCCCTAGTATGTGTTGTTCCCTTCTATGTGTCCATGTGTTCTCATCACTCAGCTCCCACTTATAAGTAAGAACATGACTTATCTGATTTTCTGTTCCTGCCTTCACTTGCCAAGGATAATGGCCTCCAGTTCCATCCGTGTCCCTATCAAGGGCAGGATCTCATTCTTTCTTATGACTACATAGTATTCCATGGTATATATATACCACATTTTCTTTATCCAGTCTATCATTGATGAGCATTCCATGTCTTTGCTATTGTGAATAGCACAGCAATGCACATATGCGTGCATGCGTCTTTATAATAGAACAATTTATAGTCCTTTGGATATATAAGTAATGGGATTTTTGGGTTGACTGGTATTTCTGTCTTTAGGTTTTTGAGGAATCACCACACTGTCTTCCACAATGGTTGAATGAATTTACACTCCCTCCAACAATATATAAGCATTCCTTTTTCTTTACAACCTCACCAGCATGTTATTTTTTGACTTTTTATTAATAGCCATTCTGACTGGTGTGAAATGGTGTCTCACTATGGTTTTGATATGCATTTCTCTAATGACCAGTGATGCTGACCTTTTTTTATATGCTTGTTGGCTGCATGTATGTCTTCCTTTGAAAAGTGTCTGTTCATGTCCTTTGCCCACTGTTTAATGGGGTTGTTTGTTTGTTTCTCATAAATTTAAGTTCCTTATAGATGCTGGATATTAGACCTTTGTCAGATGCATAGTTTGCAAAAATTTTCTTACATTCTGTAGGTTGTCTGTTTACTCTATTGATAGTTTCTTTTGCTGTGCAGAAGCTCTTTAGTTTAATTAGATACCATTTATCAATTTTTGCTTTGCTTTTGGTGTCTTTGTCATAAAATCTTTGCCCATGCCTATGTCCTGAATGGTATTGCCCAGACCCCATTGTCTCAGTCCAAAAGTGTCTTAAGCTGATAAGCAACTCCGGCAAAGTCTCAGGATACAAAATCAATGTGCAAAAATCTCTAGCATTCCTATACCACCAACAGTCAAGACAAGAGCCAAATCACAAATGAACTCGCATTCACAATTGCCACAGAAAGAATAAAACACCAAGGAATATAGCTAACAGGCGAAGTGAAAGATCTCTACAAGAAGAACTACAAACCACTGCTCAAAGAAATCAGAGAGGACACAAACAAATGGAAAAACATTCTATGCTCATGGATAGGAAGAATCAATATTGTTAAAGAATCAATATCATGAAAATGGCCATTATTCTCAAAGCACTTCATAGATTCTGTGCTATTTCCATTAAACTTACTGTTGACATTCTTCACAGAACTGGAAAAATTATTTTAAAATTCATACGGAACCAAATAAGAGCCTGAATAGCCAAGACAATCCTAAGCAAAAAGAACAAAGCTGGAGGCATCATGCTACCCAACTTCAAACTATACTACAGGGCTACAGTAACCAAAACAGCATGGTAGTGGTACAAAAACAGACACATAGACCAATGGAAGAGAATAGAGAACCCAGAGATAACACCACACACCTACAATGATCTGATAACATGAGTAGCAATTCTAAGTAAGGGGACAGAAGGAATAAATAAAAAGCCTGAGAAGTCTGTTAGACCTGATATAAAATAATAAATCAAGAGAATGAAAAATCAATATGGATTTACTGCACAAGCTCATCTGGAATAAAAAAGAAGCAATTAGTGAAAAGAGCCAGTACAGTTTTAAAGAGACAAAACAATGAGAATAATGTGCTCCTCCTTCTAATATAAAAATAAACTGGATAGCTATTAAGATTAGAATAGCATTTCTCTGGTTGGAACCCTGACGAACAGCTCAATAAAAAATAATGAGTCCCAAAAGACACCCTAATTTAAAAAAAATGCTCAAAATAGGATAAAGGAAACATCACAAATCAAGAATGAAGTAGCATAGGGTGAGAAAGCAGATTGTTGTTTCACATTATATGCCCAAATAAAATCTAACCAAAAAGAATTAATGGAAACAAAACAAAAACAACAATTTTGTGATAAACTAGAACAGTATATGACTTTTAGCTGGATTTCAGTGGGAAATGGCTTCTTTAGCTTTAAAGTGATGGAAGAATTTACCACCACTCAGCCTTGCTGCGTTGCTCCGGCTGTGTTGGTCCACTCCGGGCACAACTAACTGATCACAAGGTGTCAGGGACTTTATTTCATCTTAATAAATTGTCTCCTGGCAAGTCTGAATGAACAGATTAGGACCTGATGTCTTAAAACAATGTTTATCATACTGTGATCAGTAAACCAGCTACATCTGAATGTCCTGAGGTAAACTGTTACATAAATAAATAAAAAGACAGAAATGTTTTAAAAAGATAAATTTTTAAGGAATTCTAGATTCTGTCTTAGGTATGTTGAATCATTATCTCTTGGACATACAAAATCAAAATAAGCTCAGGACACTACGCATTTTAACCACATTCTTAACACAATAGCAAGTTTTGAGAATTACTGGCTTGACAGAAGCACTGTTCAGTGGACCAGAAGGAGAGGCTTTAACAGAGATACTAGAACATAGTGGTGGTATCTCTATTGTGCCCTCCTAGGGATGCCCGGAGAAAGGTCCTGGTTTCTCATCAGGACAAGTCAGATTCTCTCTGAGTATGATAAACCTGCCCAGTCCCTGTCTCCCCTGCCTTTCTTTCTGGGTTTACAACCTGCAATTGGCATGGTTTGCTGAAAACCAATGGTTAGAGCGTAAAATAGAAATCTCTGTATATATTTTCTAGAAACAGCCTCCATCATTTGGATAAAAAGTGGTAATCGGCCATTTGTTACCACTGACTTTTGTGAGAAAATTACTGTTGAGTACATCTAGAACAATGAATTGACTTGCTCAATCTTCGTTTAACCTTCCTTCTAAGTTTGAGAGGTTTGAAAGCCAAACACTGTATTTTTCAGATTTCTTTGCCGTTAGAGTTCTGGAAGCAACTTAAGCTTTGTGATTAGATTGACTCACATGATGTTTGGATCATAGGAATGAGGTGAAAGCATCTTCCTGCATACGTGTTGGCTGAATCTGTTGGGAAACAAGGAGATTCTGAAGCATCTTGCCAAAAGACTACTGAGTTTTCTGGCCCCATAGACACCAGTGGCTTCTCGAATTTGGGAGAACTCCAGGGGTGGTCTCTGGGCCGGTAGTTTCCCTGGTGGGTCGCTTCTGCAATGTTCCAACAGCTGATGATTCCTGAAGCCCAGCCCAGAATGTGCTCCTTTAGGTTCAGCAGTGACTTTGTAAATGTCTGTATTAAATCCTTCCCTGCTTAAAATAAGCAGGGTGGGTTCTGTTCTTACCCCAAACTGTAATGGATACAACAATAATCAAGGGTTTGGAGAGTTCATCGTTGAGGTGTCTTGACTGGGTTTTAAATTTGTCAGTGAAACTGACAAATTTTCTTGAAGAAGTGGTAAAAGCTATTAATTTTATTAAATATTGGTCCATAAATATGTATCTTTTAAATTATCTGCATGATGAAATGGGAAGTGTGCAGAGAGCACTTCTGCTGTACACCAAAGTACAACATTCATTCAGAGGAAAAACTCTTGTCTGGTTGTTAGGGTTGTGAGGGTTGTAATCACTTTTTTTTTGGTGGAATGCTATTTTTACTTGAAATAACTGACAGATAAAGTAAGGTTATTCAGATTTGGGTGTTGGGTGTTTTCTAAAAAATAATCAGAATGAATGTGTCATTTCGAGGAAAACCAGTTGGTACTTGGTGAAAAAATACGAACTTTCAAGCAAAAACTAGAATTGTAGGAAATGTGTATTCACCACAGTGAGCTTGACATTTTCTTCACTTAAAGACTTTTCTGATATGATTAGTGATGAAATTACTACACACATTTTTTTTTTTTTTGAGACAGAGTCTCGCTCTGTCGCCCAGGCTGGAGTGCAGTGGCACAATCTCAGCTCACTGCAAGCTCCGCCTCCCGGGTTCACGCCATTCTCCTGCCTCAGCCTCCAGAGTAGCTGGGACTACAGGCGCCCGCCACCACGCCCGGCTTTTTGTGTGTGTGTGTGTGTGTGTGTGTGTGTGTGTGTGTGTGTGTGTGTGTGTATTTTTAGTACAGACGGGGTTTCACTGTGTTAGCCAGGTGGTCTCAATCTCCTGACCTTGTGATCCACCCGCCTTGGCCTCCCAAAGTGCTGGGATTACAGGCGTGAGCCACCGCGCCCGGCCACTAAACACATTTTTGATTGCACAATGTAATGTAGTACGTTAACACTTGGGAGGTCTACATAACTCAGTAGCCCATATTTTCCTGAGAAGTAAGGTTACAAAATCATGCACTGGTAAATATCTATGCAAAGTGGAAGAGAAACCAATAGATTTTAATGTAACTGTGAAGAAAAAGTTCACTGACACATTTGCAGATTTCACAGTGCAGCTCAACTTCAAGAAACTATCACTCGTCAAGTTTTGTTGTAGTATCCAGAAAGAATATCTACAATTATTTGAAAAGGCTATATATTTGTGGAGGTTGAAATTTTCTTCATGTAATCAACAGAAACAACATATTTAGATTTAATGTAGAAGCATATATGAGAACCCAGATGTCTTTTATTAAGCCCTATGCTATAGATATGCAGGATTTTAAGACAATGCATCTTATTGTTTGGAAAGCAACGCTACTTTTAATAATATATGTTATTCACCCTAATATGTAACAGGTTTATTGTTATTTTAATACATAAGAAAATACTAAAATTTTCTGCTTCAATTTGTAATTCTATAAATATCGATAGATATGGCCCATTTGCACAGAAATTCTTTACGGCCCTCGATAATTTTTAACAGTATACAGGGATCTTATGAACAAAAAGCTTGATAACTGCTGTTTTAGAGAACAAGCAAGTCAATACCACCTTCCGCCAGGAGATGCCGCCACTAACACATGTTGCACACTGACGGCTTAAATTTGAGGCTTCAGGGTCTGCAATACACACAGGTGACTTACATCAGTTTAATTTTTCACTTAAGCTAATGGTGAGAAGAAGACAATAGAGAGAGGAAGACCATCTCTAAGTCTTAATACAATTCAAAATGAACTTCTGATCAGACCTAGGCAGGGAAACAAGAAAAACAAAAGAAAGGATGATCTCAAAACTGCAGAGGGGAAACAATCACTGTTTATTGGCACCGCCTGCAGCAGCGAGCGCTGCCCTCTCCGCATCGGACCTCCAGGCTGGAGAGCACCCCTGGATTTCCAGCTATAAATGAGGTCAAGCTTTTTCCGGAAGGAAACTTTTCCACTGCTCTCGTTGCTCTTTACATAAAGAGCAAAATTCCTAGCCACGAACTTCAAGTTACTGTGAGACTTGGCCCTGACCCCAGTCGTACACCCTCCAATGCCCACAGACTGAATCTATTTCACCAAATTTACAGAAGTGGTTCTCTGAGCAATACTTCACAGCCATGGAGCTGTCTTAAACATGATGTCATTTCCCTAGTATCATGAAATATTATATAATATTATTTATGTAGCTTGTTCTCTGGGAAATCTGTTCTGAGAAATTGCGTCATCTCCAAAACGTAGTGCCCAACCACCTGGAATATAATTATGATTATTAGCGGCTAAATATTGTGAAGTCTCTGTTCCTAATTGTCCAGAACCATTAGCAATGCCTTAGAATGTGTATATTTCCCTCCCATATTGATGTCCCCGCACTTGAAAATAATCAATCCCTTCTAATTTACAGTTGCTGTGAAATATGAAATGTAATGATATCACTACCAACTGATATCAGTTCTGGAGCACAGTCATATTCTTTTCTGATTTTTCTTTCTTTGTTTCCTGTTCTTCATGTGAATCCTTTTTGCTGTGCTGATTTGGGCTCACTAATTTTTCCTCTGGATTTTCATTTCTCTGCCTTCTTCAAGGGAATCCCTGTGCCTTCTGCTGATTTCATATCTCCAGCCTTACTCTGGCTAACTCACACTCACTCCCCTCCTACCCACTGCCAGCCGAGAAAGGGTGGTGGCTCTTTCTTCATCTGCAGAAGAGGAATCTCATGTGTGTATGGGAGAGGAAAGTTCAATGCCCTGGTATGGGTCATTCATCAAATTGTCTTCTATCCTGCCTTCCAGAGATCTAGGTAAACTAGCTTGGCCATCAATGCCATGGCTCATCAATGTCCAAGACCCAATCTAAAAGATTGGCTAAGAATTTTGGGAGGCTTATGTTCACAGGGCCTTCTCAGTCTCCAGGCTTCTTATACTTCCAGTCTCTGCTTTGCCCTAGGATGCGTGAAACAACACCCCCTTTGAATTTTGCCTGAAGTCCACTGGCTGAAAGCATTGATGAGCATTGTGCACTTTGTGGGGTCATTTCAGGGGAGTTCAGAAGACAGCAATAGAATCAATTTTGCAATGGAATGGCAAGCAATACTATTTTCCTTTGTCGTCCCTCCCCTCACCTAGTCCCAGCCGCCTTTTGCTTTGCTGGCTGTTTTTATCCATCCTCCCTTGGCTCTCATCTCTTCTCTCATCTCTCCTCATCTTCCTGGATCGGTAAGTCCTCCCTTCTGCAGCTTGGCACCAGCAGGCAGAAGGCTGCAGAAGGGAGGGCAAAAGACTTACTGATCCAGCCTTCAGCAGGCATTTTCTTTTGGAAATTGATATGCTAATTCTAATATTATATGGCGATGCCAAAGACCTGGAACAGCCAGAACACTGAAAAAAGAACAACAAATTTGGAGGGCCAACACTCTCTGATTCCAAGAATTATTATAAATCTGGGTGATCTTTAGAAAACTCTGATGCCCAAGCCACACTGCAGAACCATTAAATTTCCATCTGTAAGTGTGGGGCCCAGCAGCAGGAGTTTTTAAAGCTCCCCGGATTATTCCTCTGTGCAGCCCAAATTTAAAGCTGCCCCAAGCCGGCGTATTTCATTAGTCCTCTAGAGGGCGCCCCAAGCTCGCAACTGACCGAGGAATGGCGCTTGCAACTAAATAGATGGTCACCAGACCTTCTGAAGCTGACTTTATCAGACAATCAGATAATGTGGGGAAAGAAGGAAGAATAAAGAATAGAAACAGCCGAGCGCGGTGGCTTATGCCTGTAGTCCAGCAGTTTGGGAGACTGAGGTGAGAGGATCGCTCGAGGTCAGGAATTCAAGACCAGTTTGGGCAACATAGCAAGACCCTGTTTCTACAAAAAAAAAAAAATTATCTGTGCATGGTGGCATGAGCCTGTAGTCTTAACTGCTAGGAAGGCTGAGGTGGGAGGATTGCTTGAGCCCAGGAGGTCGAGGCTGCAGTTAGCTATGATTCTGCCACTGCATTCCAGCCTGGGCCACAGAGTGAGACTCTGTCTCTAAATATATATATATATAAAATATTTGTATAAAATATATTACTATTATTTTAATATTTTATTTAATATTATTTACTATTTATATGTATTATATATATGTATGACTGATGAACACTACCACTGGCAGTATTATTTTTTTAGTTACATTAAGTATTTGTCATGTAGGGGAATTGAAAACAGTTTAACCGCTTTTGATTCTGTATCAATGGCATCCTTGTATGAAAAGAAACACTAATTCTAAATTAATCTTTGTGGCTAATGGGACTTTAGATTTAGCCTGGCCGTTGGAACCTCATCAGTCTTGGCTCTGGTTTAATCTTCTAAGCAAGCACTTCCACGGTCCTACATGTCCCTTTTGTTTCAGCCGTGCTGGTCTAATCACCTTTTTCCAAACTTGAGGTCCTACTGCCCCCCTAGGTTAAGTGGCACCTCCCTAGGCTGACTTCGACATTCCCCAGCCCTGTCACAGCTCTGGTCTGGATGCTGATTAGGAACTTGTTAACATCTTCCTGGCTCATCGATACCCCCTGTAATTTTGAATTGTTTTATGCCTTGACCGATCAACTAGAGTGTATACTTTGTGAGTCCCAGGACCTCATCTTTAATAATCATGAGTAGTACTTGCATATAGATGGTTGATCCATATTTGCTTGATGAAAATATTTGTTCTGGTTTGATGAGCTTAAAGTGAGTTTGAGAAAAGGGTCCAGTTTTACCATTTTCTCCCTAGGTCTTAGCATCCTGCCTGGAACAGAGAAAGCACTTAACACACCATTGTTGACTGAGATGTATGTGTCCATGTTCAGTACCTACTTGCACAGGAATGTGATTTTCCTTGAGCCTATTCCTTTAGGCTGAATCTTGCTCCCCCTCCCTCTCCTCCTCCTGGCCCTCCCACTTCTCATTTGCTTTTGCGTTCAGCTCTCTTAAAGGAACTACTCTGAATACATAGTATTTCCTCCCTTTATGCTGTGGATTGCCTTCCCTCCCTGCTTCTCCCCTCTTATCCTCCCCATCTTTCCCTTGTCTTTCTTATACATGTGTTTTTTGTTTTTTAAATTAATACATTAAATAAGATTGAGGTAGTGAGGAGTTAAGTAATATTTTAGATATTTGCAACAACTCTAATGCATCTGCATATATCTGTGGTTTTATTGGTGACAAAATCATGGGAATGGCCAGTACTGCTGTGGTTTATCAACCTACACTCAAATTGAACAAAATGTTACATTTCAGTAGAGTTTAGTGAAAATAAAAATGTGCTTCTCCCTCATGAATTCTCTTAATTCTGTTCAGAAACCCATGGTGGCAGGAGAGGTTTGTGATTCCGCAGGTTAAGAACCTCTTTTCTACAAAAATATGACAAACACAAGATTTATATTTAATGGTCAAATGAGTTCCTTTTCTTTCCTTGTTCCCTCCCTCCCTTCCTTCCTTCCTTCTTTCCTTCCTCCCTTCCTCTTTCTATTAAAACCATTTAAATTTTCAGAAAAGTTTCTAAGTTGCTATCTTTAAGTGCAAATTTCTATGGGAAACACCAGAGACTGCTCTCAGTAGTTCTCAAACTTAAGTGTGCATCAGAATCACCTTCAGAGCTTGTTAAACTTCAGATAACAGTTCTCCACTCCCAGCGCTTTGATGCAGCAGGAGCCTGAGAATCTGCATGTCTGACACGTTCCGGTAATGCTGATGTTACTGGTGTGGGATGCCTCTTTGAGAACCACTCCCTTTAAACCTTCAAACTCTCTCACACAGAGCCTGACATTCCGATGTTCTGGTGGTTTGAGTTGCAAGTGACCATCTTGGAAGGAGCATTTGCTGTAGTCAGGGTGGAGCAAGAAGCACCACTGGTGTGTGATCAGGAGGCGACAGGACTGTGGGAGACAAGCTTGGGGCAGACCCCGTGGGCACTGGAGGCACAGCTGATGTGGCAGATGACCAGGGTGTTTTAACCCGCACCCCTGGTCCTGCTGAAAGCATCCCTGTAAGCTTTATAAAATCAATCAAGGAAGAAGGGAACAACGATAAACCAAGCTTGCAGCACACTCAGCACTAATCAGTAGGTCAGCTTGCCTTCTGCCCGGCTTCCTCGTAGTTGTTTTCCTGTTGTCCTAGAATCATGTAAACCCTATCATAAGATTTTAGCTCCTCTTGCCGGGGGCGGTGGCTCACGCCTGTAATCCCAGCACTTTGGGAGGCCAAGGCGGGCAGATCACGAGGTCAGGAGATAGAGACCATCCTGACTAACATGGTGAAACCTGTCTCTATTAAAAATACAAAAATTAGCCGGACGTGGTGGCGGGCACCTGTAGTCCCAGCACTGGGGAAGCTGAGGCAGGAGAATGGCGTGAACCCCGGAGGTGGAGCTTGCAGTGAGCTGACATCATGCCATTGCACTCCAGCCTGGGAAAAAAAAAAAAGATTTTCGCTCCTCTTAACTGCTCTATAGATAACAACAAAAGGTTAAGTTTTCTATTTGAGATATTCTTTCAGGTCCTGCAAACTCGTGAAACTACTGACGCCAATGAATCTGAAGGACCCCACGAGGAGCTGACTCACCAAAGAATGTAGTTTCCACATCCTGATTATTTCACTCCTGTTATCACAACCAAACAGCAACCCCAGTTTTCTAGGCCCTTGCCCCCATAATCCCCTTAAAAACCCCAGCCAAGACCTCCATGGGGAGATGGGTTTGAGGGCCCCCTCCCGTCCCCTGGCCTGGCCTCCCTGCAATCACTGAACTCTTTCTCTGCTGCCATCCCTGCTGTATTGGGCTGTTATGGCACAGCAAGCATCCGTGCCTGCCGATTCTGTAACACCACCTGAGTTTGCCAGTGCCTGTGGCAGTCAGTCCTCAGCATGCTGACATTTTTCAGCATGTGGGGATTTTCCCCTGCACCCCCAGAGGGTGAAATGACACCCCTTGGGGCAGCAGCTGCCAACCCATAGGGTTTGTGGCGATATTCCCCAGCCTTCCAGTTCTGGGTGCAGTCCACACCCTTCCACAGAGCTGGCTTGAGACTCTGTTGCCCATAGCAGTCATCACTCATTAATCTTGCTTCAGTGGCCATTTCCACCCTCCCTGCCTCATTCTCTCCTCTTTCTCTTCCCTCCTGCTTCCTGGAATCACCTTCCAAATAAACCTACTTGTTCCCAAGTGCTTGCCTCAGGAACTGCCTTTCAGGAAACCCAGTCGAAGATGTGTGTTCACATCCTAGCCTGCCACTTCCCTTCTGGGTGACCCTGGGCAATGAAATAAATCTCTTGAGCCCCATTTCCTTGCAGTGCCATAGGACAGCACTTCCATCTCCCAGAGTTATTATGGAGACAGACTGAAATAATATTCAAGAAGAATCCTGGGCTAGTTCCTGGCCCTGCAGTGTAGGTGCTCAGGAGATATTAGTTCCCTCCACCCCTGAGGTTGGTTGCTTTCTGAGAGGAAGAGGGAAGAAGGCAGAGGAAGAAATTAATTTGCTAGATCCATGAAACATGCAGGCAAGGGGTTTGCCTTAGGCACAGTGAGACGGATGAGTGGGCAGATCAAGTCTTCATCCCCAAGAATGCAGCTCTTACTCTTGGAGAGTTCTACTGACTCTAAGTAAAGATGTTCCTGGTGGCCATGGATGCTGTGAGCCATCCTGCTTCTGTTCTTGGATTTACCAATCTTCACCTGCAACACCTCCTCCACAGAATCTATCTGATTTCGGCAGTTGGGTTTTGGATCGAGGGGACTACCTCATTAGCTATATGACAATATTCCTCTTGCCCTTTTCCCTCCATCTCATTTCAGGAAGTGGTTTTGTCTTTTTATTACTTTTAAAAGTTTACAGCAGAAACATTAAAGAGATGGTTGGTGTTCATTGATTAGTTTGAATATGGGGCTCAATTTATTTATGGTTTCATTCTGTAAAATAGGAAGAGAAGTAGAAATGCCTTTGAACTAATTTCAGAATTCTTTGCTCAGCAAACCTTGTCATTCCCAGGCAATAACACAACGTTGCAACAGAATCCAAATGAGAGACACTGATGGGGAGGGGAGATCAATATAGGTTTTCTCTCATTTCTCGACTCACTTTGTTGAGTTTCCTGCAGGCTCTGTCTGTGGAAATACATTTCTAAGTACATTTGCTGCAGGCAGATACATCTAAGGGGCAGAAATAGAGCAAGACGGAGGTAGTAGATATACGAAGAAAAGATGAAATGCAAGAGAAACCAAAGCAAATACAAATTTAGAGTGACAAATTAATTCTTTTGGTACTTAGAAATGATTTTAAAAGTCAGCTTTTAGAAATTCATATTCAAAAGAAAGCATCCTTTGGAAACAATTTTACATGTAATTCGAAGCTGGGAACTGTGGCCTCTGAAGCTGGTCTTCTCCAGCATTCTATCCCACCACTCTCACTCAGCCAAAAGAGCTGGCACAAAGCCGGGCTGCTCATCTTTCCAGCTCCTGGCAGAGCAGTGGAGGATGACAATGGATCACGGAGATCAGGGCCCATTTAAAACAGACAAATAGAATTTGAGATGCAGACCACTAAAAGCTCAAGAGCTGAGGTGAATCAATTCTCCCTTTGATTGGTCATGGCAAGCTGTTTCCTTAACCACAGTAGACTACGGGCTACTTGTGTCCAGAATCATATTTGACACATTGTTATTTTTTGCATAGTACCACTGGGGCTTTGAAAAAGCTTTTTTCTTTTTTTTTTTTGCAAATAGTTTTAACATTCAGATTTTATTGCATGACTCTTTGGTCTTGCATTGTGTGTGTGCACACACGTGCATGCATGTGCATGTGTGTAAGTAAGGTGTCATATATCAAATGCATGCATGTGTGCATGTGTACACACACACAGTATTGGGGTGGAGAGAGAGAGAAATCCTAAACACAGAGCTCAGAAATTTGCATTTAATTCAGCTGGTTAAAGGAGTCACTGAAAGTTTGTGAACAGCAGACTGATAAAGTCAACATTTCCCTTGAAGAAATTTATACTGGTGAAGTAAGGATCAATTGTCTAAGAACTGGTTATGCTGGAGGTTGGTGATTAGTAACAGAAAGAATAGTTTGGAAGTTCTTGAAAATCGGATGGATAAGAGATAAGAAGAAATAACCCAGCAATACCAGCAATAATAACAGACATGAAGTAATGTATGTGAGAGACATTTAAGAAGTGGGATGTTCATGATGTGGCAATTCCATGCGGAAGGGAACGAAAGAAGGAGCCACAGAAATCTCAGAAATGCAATGTATCTGTATTCATCTCTGGGTCAGGACCTCATTAAAAGACAACCCCACCCAGTTATTCCTAATGTTCGATAGAATTTCCAGAGGAAATTCTGCTGCCTTTTCTGATGGCTGTGTCTTCCAGCCACTGCTTTCCTAATATTCTTCCAACTGTCTAACCTGAGCATTCTCACATCCAATAGAACTTCTTCCTTATACGCAATTGGTTTGAGGATTACAAAATTATTTCATAAAGAAGGCAGCCTTTTAATATTGAGTATATTCTGTTTAATAGGGAATTTGGTTTCACTTGGAAGTTCAGCTGAATCATCTCAGAGAGAGAAGATGGCCTCCTCATCTTTAGGATGAAATAAAAGTACTTTAGAACACACAGAAAACCTGAACTCTGGGCCCTCAGGCTCTCCTGGGATGGCAGGACCCAAGAAGAGAAGAGGGTGTCAGTGTGGATGCCTTTGATGGCTGGACATTAATTACTGTGGTTTCTGGAAGCAGTGGGTCCTCAGCAGTCCAGCCTGTGGTCAGTGGGGAAGACACTTGTGAGGAATGGCCTTGTGGTTTTCCTGAGCCAGACTCCTTTCTTATTTTCTTGATGTCATATAAATCAGCTCTGGGTTTTTTATGATCTAATAGAGGGGGCGGGGGAGCCTCAGTTAAGGTCTGATATTGGATATCTCATTGTCTTTGGTGAGCAGAAGCTGGGTGCTCAGCTTAATTTGTTTTAAGGAAAAAAAAACGGAGTGATTCATCTACCAAATATTGTGAACCACAAATACCTGTTTCAGTGATTAAGATGTAGGGCTCTGTACTTTTATTCCGCTGGTTATTCAGAGGTGTCTTCTAGAGCTAATTTAATTAGATTTACCTTGCTGTGAAACTCTCGATGTCAGGGACTTGCTGATGCTGGAGTGGAAATTCACCACTGTTAGTATTGTCAGTGGCCTGGAAAATGTAAGATAGGTTGTGGGTTATTTTTTTGGCCCTTGTTAAAGGTGTATGTGCCTTCAGGATAAGTTCTTTATGAGGCTCACCCGTGATCATTTTGAGCTAGTTATACCATCCAGAAGATTAAAATTGGGCATCCTTCACAGCTGGTGTAGGTCCCGTATTGGGGAAGTTCAAAGTAAGCCAGATAGGACTAGAAACCACTGGAGATGGGGATCAACCCAAGCATGAATCTGAAGCATGTTTCTAGCTATTGCCTAAGTGCAGGTAAGTGAACCACATGTTATCTAATGAAATCTGAATGGCTAAGTCCTAGGACACAACATTCAAAACACTCTAGCCCACCTTCACGCAAGGAAATGTGGCCAGGGCCCACAGGATGAACGTGACTCTAGCCCACCTTCAGGCTGTGGGCACTGGCCATATTTCCTTTATTTTGTATCAGGAATATCTTCCACTTGCTGTCTCCAAGAACATCAGAGGTTGCAAGAATCAAATTTCAGTTTGCCCTATGCCTACTGAAAATTACTTTCTTCTGATAATTTCCCTTTTGTATGTCTTCTGTATCTTTAAACTAGCATCCAATATCTGTAAGTGAAGAAGTGTGTTTTACACTTTTTCATCATCTGTGTAATGTCTGACATGCTTAGGACATTCCTGTTGAATTGATTGAAACACAAAGAGAGTTTGTAAATGTTTGAGAGGCTGTCTTTGCCATCATAAACCCATGGCTTTCAGTGTATAAAGGACTATAATTTCAAGAGCTAATTTAAGCTTTGTCATGCTCTATGAGGTTAGTATTATCATCTCTGCAAAATAAGAAAGCCACTTTTGGGCAGAAATCTATAAACAGGAAACTTTTTTTACTGAAAGAAAAGAAGAGTTTGATAATCCCTGTACCTCTCAACTGCCACGTAGTAAGAGGTAGCTTTGTCCCATAGAAATGCTGTGATAATTCTTAAAAAGAAAAATGTGTGTGTGTGTGTGTGTGTGTGTGTGTGTGTGTGTGTGTGTCTGTATCTATATGGGTGAAATGGTTTGGCTGTGACCCCATCCAAATCTCATTTTGAATTGTAGCTCCCATAATTCCATTGTATTGTGAGAGGGACCCAAATGGAGATAATTGAATCATGGGGGCAGCTTCCCCCATACTGTCTCATGGTGCTAGGTCCCATGAGATCTGATGGTTTTCTAAGAGGTTTCCCCTTTCACTTGGTTTTCATTCTCTCTCTTGCCTGCTGCCATGTAAGACATGGCTTTCACCTTCTGCCATGCTCGTGAGGCCTCCCCAGTCATGTAGAGCTGTAAGTCCATTAAACCTTTTTTTCTTTATAAATTACCCAGTCTTGGGTATGTCCTTTATCAGCAGCATGAGAACAGACTAATACAATGGGTATGTATCATATATATGATACACATAATATGACACACATGTTCAAAAAAACCCCTAGTCATCCAAATAGTGAAATGATTTGCTTTGAGTCTTAACCAGGATTTCTGAATAAAACTCTTGAGAATCTGCACCAAGCCTTGGAATTTGTTATGTAGATAAAGAAGGTAGATCATTCTGTATCAATCTAGAAGACACCATAGATGAATGAGTAGAAATTACTCCAGAAGGCAGACCTAAATGTGATATATGAAACATCTTCCCTAAAAAGATGGCATAACTACACATTCACATTTAATAAAATTCCAGTCTCCCCAGCGGTCTTTATGACATGAGACAATTTCTACCCAAACAAAAAAATAATGCATACATGCACAGTGAAAATGTTTGGTAAGACTGAGTTTAAAATGGCAATAGTGTGTTTTTCTTTCATTGTACATACCTGTGTTGTGTGATATTTATCAAGGAATCCATATCTCACGTTATGAAAAAAATAATGTGGAAAAGTGAAATGAACTTGGAGGTGTTCAAAGGTGTGGTTGGTTACAAGCCAATACACCACCTATCATCAGAGGTAACAAGTAGAAGTTAGAAGGTTAATAGACAAGGACTCCATAGATGGAGAGACTCCCATTTAATTGTCAGTGGGAGAAGATGGCTTCTAACTCCCAGCTCAGTCCTAACATTCTGTAACTTGCAATTTTTCTCATATTGGCCATGTTTTCCAAACCTAATTATAAAAACTGAGACAATCATGGCTCCTGGTCACTGAAAGTGTTAAGATATTTTTAACCAGAGTAAAATATAAAATAACTGGAGTAGGTACTTTTTTTCCTATGTGAGCAAAATGAGAAAGGTTCCAAGCTTTGTGTAGGAGCTGGCTGATTGCATAGTCACTGTCAGCCCCCCAAGTAGACCTACCTCCTTCTGCAGCTGGGTTTCATTACCTCTGAGGGCAAGCTGAGTTAGCAACTTCATAGTGGCAGATTGCTAACCCCTCTTTCTTTAGAGTAAATAACATATTTGGCAAATAAAGGGTAACCTATATTTTCCTCAGAAGATCCTTTTTCCTCCTGAAAACATTTTAAGTGGTAATCATCTTCCTATCCAGCTAGGTTTAAAAAGGAAAAGGAAGACTCCACACCACTGCCTGTCCATGGGGAAGCCATTAAGGCGAAGCATTGACTTCAGCCACTCTGGCTGGAGCAAACACCTTGCTCTTCTATAGAAAAGAGAGAAGCTATTTGTAGAGGATCAAAGCAGATCAAAGCAATGCATCCTCATCAGGGCAAACATGAGCTGAGGGATCTCTCCGAGAGATTTTAACCGGGTCCTGGGTCACCCAAGCCTCACATTATGAAATGAAAGAAGCCTTCTGAATAGAAACACCAGCTCATAAAGCCCCATCAAAGACAGAAAAGACACAAAATACTGAACACATTTTCCTCACATTCCTCCTAGTTTTTTCTCTTAGATGATTTGTTAGGTGGCTAAGACCTGAAGGGCTGGCTGGCTCCATACCTGCAGGTCCGTTGGATCTTGAGCAGTTCTCTGCTTATTCTGAGTAAGCTATCAAAAGATAATGAGGAGGCTGGCAGTAGCTGCTGTGCAGGACATGGTCTGCAGAAAGGGGATCTGTCCTTGGGTAACCCCACATGGGTTCTGAAAAATTCCATAAGGAAAAAAGAGATGAAGTTCAACCAATGAGATTTTTCTTTTTTTTTTTTTTTTGCATCACAGTTACCTTTGCCTTTCTTGTTATCTTTAGGTGAGGAGGGGAATATTGCACAATTTTGGTTAAATAATTATTTACAAATAATCCAATTATTCGCATTAGGACATTCCTGTTGAATCAATGGAAACACAGAGGGAGTCTGTAAAAGTGTTGATTTTACACTGGGATTTTCAGCTACAAAGCATGATTTTAACACAACAATTTTAACTATGTTCATTGATTGCCTCAAATCACAGCTCTGAACTCAACATGCAGTCTTTTAGTGTGTCTAAGTCTTTATGCATGGTTAGTTTTCCATTTTTTTCTTTTGTGTACAATGTATTACAAAGACAGCATAAAATATAAAGGAAGAAATGTTTTTTAAGCAAAAAATATGACATCACAGTAAGTGTCAATTATTTTTATATTGTTATGCTCTCTCTGGTCCTTATGTATATTACATATGGATCCTAGTTATTTTAGAGATGTATTTGTAGAATGCAGGATAATCTGATTGTCCAGGGTTTTATAGTCTGCTATTCTGAGTTAACTTTGTGTCATAAACACCTTCTCCCATTTATAATGGTTATTTGTAATTGGTCTGTTACATAATCTAATAGGATGTGCTGTACCATAATTTCCTAAATCTTCTTTTATTATTGAATTTTTGGGTCATTTTGTCTTCACACTATTATAGATAATGATGTAACAACAGACTCTCTTTACATTTTAATAAAGACCCAAACTATCATTTGGCTCCTTAATAGGTTACTAAAGATACCACTAGCTGTGTGGTTGTTTGCTAGTGTCCTTTCTACATGATTATAATACCATTAGCCTGTTGCATTAAAGGCATATGCTTTCTATGGAGTGGCTTTCAGGGAAAGCAGAATTGAAACACTGTACCAGTAGTGCCTCTCAGATCTGAAAATGAAGTTCATTAAAAAAAGCAATTTAAGAAAGTTCAAAAAGACCTTGATTAACGAGAACATTTGAGTGGAGAATATTCAATGTAATTGAATTTCCTGATATTTGTTACTGCTGTTATTATTAGGTTATTTTTAGATTGAAATTACACGTTGAAAAACAATTTTCATGATATAATGTTTTATGTCATGTACCTTCAGATTAGTTAAAAAAATAACAACCCGTTTCTTCTTTATCCTGGTTCCCAAAAACATATGTGAAATATTTGTCTCTTTGTGCCATGGAAGTGCCATAAATTCTCTCTCAGAAAGATTTCAGCCCACTGAAATTCCATCTCTTTGGAAAAGTGCCTCGTGGACTTACCTGGTGTCATTCTGAACACTGTGATGGTATAACATTGTCCATGCAATTGGAGTAGAGTGGCTGCAGTATGGTGAAATTTAAGAATTATCTACAGAACCTAAGGCACCCCTTTGCAGGTATAACTATTTTAACAAAATTCCAGATCTGGGTATTTGGATCTGCCTGTTTGCTCTTTCGTATTAAAGTAGATTGCCACGAAAATTCCAGTCAACTGAGGACTTCAGCACTTAAGATCCACAGAACTCCAGAATTTGTAGAGACTGTGATGATCTTGTAGGTGATAAACTCAAAGTCCAGAAGCGTTGTGAGTTTTCTTCAAGGATTGGGACTTGACTCAAAACCCTAGAGTTATGTTTTATTATCCAGCTCTCTTTTTCCTACCTCAGGGTTATATTTAAAGTTTTGTTGTACATACTTTTGGGTCTTTCTTTGAAACACCAGGAGCAGTTGATGGAGTATCACTCAAAACACCCACAGACCTGACTCTTGGTTTTGCTGTCAACTCACTTAGCAAGACTGCATTACACAATAAAGCAAGGACATTTGGTTTAGTGACATTCTTTCATTCATTTGCTAACCTTTCATTGTATACCTACATTTTATTAGGTATTGGATATGTGCTAGATGCTCAGAACACAGAGACAAAAGAAGCAATAGTGAGGCAGTCTGGCATGGTAGTCAGACCTCAGGGCTTGAATCCTAGCTCTGCCGTTTATTAGCCATAAACTTGGAAAAATTACTCGACCTCTCTACCTATGTCAAGTAAAAGAAGAAAGGCCAGAAGTCCCTTTTATTCTTCTCCAGTGCTCTATACTCCTCATCTTATGTATTGAGAAATATCTGAGTCCATGAGTCTCTAGAGGAGGTAGATTCAAGTCTGCCCCATCTCACTTTAAGAACATGGTAATGCTTGGATATCTTTGATAATAAGAATAGGGGGTGGGATGGTTGTGGACCATCCCACCCTCTCCTGTGTAGCATTGGCCCCTCTCCTGTGTAGCATTGAGTCCCTCTCCTGTGTAGCATTGGCCGCAAAGGGGAGAATTACTTACGGTGCCAATGAGGCCATTCCTGCAGGTCATTTCCTATCTACCAAGAGCTCTACAGGCCTGTTGGACTTAATTGTTGTCTCACTTGAATCTAACCCAGAGACAATGCCTCTTAAAGGACGCTGGGCTGTTGATAGTGAAACAGGAAAAGTTCCCTTGCCCCCTTCACAGGGCCTGCGATGGGGGGTGTGGCTCACCTCTTTGGTGCCCCGCTGCTCAAACCCCTAGAGGGAGCAGGCAGACAGGCAGGTTGTGGGGCTCTGATCCCAAGGCAGTGTCTAGGGTTGAATGCTTACAGCTCCTGAGGTCCCAGTGGGAGTGTGTTATAGTGTGTTCTTTCAGTTTAGCCATCTGTAGGTGACTTGTGTTAGCTCAATTAGACTCCCTGCCTTATCTCAAGGACAGAGGCTTTCTGTATGCCCGGGTTTCTTGCCTTAGTGTACCAGAAGAATCGGATCATATGTGGGCTTGGAGAATGAGTGCAAGGCTTTATTGAGTGGAAGTAGCTCCCAGAAGATGAGCGAGCAAGAAGGGAGTGGGAAGGTGGTTTTCCCCTGGAGTCTGGTTGCTCAGCAGCTGGAGCTCTCTTCTGACCACCCCTGCCAAACTCCGCATCGTTCTGCCTGTCGATGGCCTTCCACATGCCGGTGCCTGTTGGTGTGCTCTCGATGTCCTTTTGACGTCCAGCTGCTTGTGTCTTCTTCCGTCTATGTGTTCCTCTCAATGTCCAGCTGCTTATGTTTCTGCCCGCTAGGGTCTCAGGGTTTTTATAGGCATAGGATGGGGGCATGGTGGGCCAGGGTGGTTTTGGGAAATGCACCATTTGGGCAGGAAAACAAATGTCTGTCCTCATCTAGGTCCATGGGCACAGGCCCGGGGGTGGAGCTCTAGCCAGGGACTCGCTCTTCCCTTCCCAGTACTTCCCTGCTCCCCTTCCAAATGATTAGGATTCCGTCACAGCTCTTATCCACTAGAGTAGCTAGAAGGGGGATGTATTCTTAGTTTTCTGTGATTATTCTCAATGTAGGTAGAGCAGTCAAGTAATTTTTTAGCTTTTTTAAATTTAGGGAGCATAGAAAGAATTTCATAGTCATTAGAGAACTTTTATAATTTTCTCTTTTATAAATTTGAGAAAAACCTGCCTCACCGTTTACTGTGCAGAGCTGCCCAGTAGGGTGAAGTTCAAAGCTCTCAGAAGGAGTACGGGGGCCTCTTGGAATTAGAAGAACTCCTGCTTCTTCAAATTCCAAATTGGATCACCTGTCAAGGTGAACCACAGTGACTGGCCAAAACTGTGGACAAGGACATGTTACAGAGACTCAGAAATAAAGGCCAGTGCAAGAAGGACAGATGGGTTGAACCTAGCATTGACCCAAAAGTGATGTGGGGTCGGGGAGTCATTCTGGGCTCTAAAAGTGGCACATGCAGTGCCCTGGGGAGCAAGATTTGAAATTCCAAGGTTATGTAATGCTATAATTTTATAACCGTGTGTGTGTGTGAGTGTGTAACAGAAAAGTTCTGTTTCAGGAGTTTCTGCCACAGCCCATATTAAGATATAACTAGCAACTTTCCTCATGAGGAAACCAAAAATAGCCATGAAGATCGCAGAGTGTAATCTTTGGCAAGGCCTTTCTTTGGGAGGACACCTTGCTCCCCAGATCTTGAGCAGTGGCTTCTGCATGCATTTATCTCATCACCAAGGCTCAAAACTTAGAAGCCATCTTGCATACTCCATTTTTCTTACCTCACCTTTCAGTTACCATTCCTTCAGTGATTCTTTATGTTCCTTTGCCAGGGTCCTGCTGCCCTCTCACCAGGCCCATTCTACTTACCCCCAGCTTCTCTTCTCTTCACACCACACTTGCTCCTAATATTTGCTGTAACTTACTCAAATCCAGATATAATATCTTGCTAAGGAATCTGTGGTGAATCTTGACTGCCTAAAGAAGAAACTCTAAACTCCTTTGTCTAACATTTTGTTCCCATTTACTTCTCTAAACTCATAGCCTGCTACTTCCCAATACTTCCTCTACCGTGCTCACAGGCTGCCTAAACTTCTACTAGGTTTTCCTGATTTTTTCCTGTAGTTCTCTCCTACTGGGGTCACCATCTTTCCCCTTAATTTGCCTTTTGAAATCCCATCTTCAATATTCTGTTTTCCCCCAAAAGACTCTCTTTGATCTGCATCTCCCCTCTGATTTGTAATTAATCTCTCCCCACTTCATATTCTCATTCTAAGTTGCTTGAACATTCTCTCCTATGACTAGTTGGCTGCAAGAGCCAAGAACCCAGAAAAGAAGTCTATACTAGGAATATCTTTGAGAGTTGTTAGCCTATAGGTGGTGTTTATGTCATGGGATTGGATGAGATTATTTAGAAGAAAGTATAGCTAGACAACAGAAGTGGGCCAGGAGAAACAAATAGCATTTAGAAGCCCAGGGATGTGGATCTGACTGTCATCTTTTTATGGTGATATAAATCCAGCACAGATTCAGCATCAATAAGTAACCAGTGAATTGAATTAAAAATGGTGCCAGTGTTCCCTGAAACTGATGTTATAAATGTTTGGATTTTCCTCTATTGGGGACAAGGTATCAATTATACGCTTTTCTGGAGTGCTAATTCATAAGCCATGTTGTTCCCACCTACCACTGTCCTAAGGAAAAATGGGTTATTGATACATTCATGAATTCACTCACAAACATTCAAAGATCCCTTCTTTTTTAAACATGTACTGGTGATAAAATACCTAATATAAATTGAACTGATGAGATGCTTACATGAGTGTGAAAAAGGCACACATGGAAATAGTCCAAAATTTATAATACAATGCAATAAATGCTACCACTGGGGCAAGAATGAGCCAGATTGTCTCTCATCCAGTTACCTAGAGGAGAGAGAGATAAGCAGTTTGGGTTTTCTCTGAAAATTAGTGTGGAAACACTATTATCCAACAGACTAGTGAAAAAAATACACCTCAAATCCTGATGTTCAGTCTTCCTTCAGGTGCTGAGAGACATCATGGTGTAGTGATAAAAAGGCTGAGCACTAATCAGAGAGATCTGAGTTTAATACCTGGTCTTGTCACTTACGTGTACCTGTGTGAGTTAGTAAACCTTCTCAAAACTCAGCTGTCATATGGGGATAATAATACTTTCTCCTTTTGGTCTAAGATGGAGATAAATTGCAGTATAAGAGCATATCTCTTAATTTTGTCATTGTTGTGTTGTTATTGCTATTCTTTTTACTTCTCGTGTAGCAAGAAGAGTGGAAAATGAATTACAGACCTTCTTAACTTCCAAGGATGTAGTTTTGTCTACAAATGGAAAATTACCTAACATCTGAGAAAGTGAAAAGAAAAAGAGCTTTTAACTCTCTCTAGTGGATTGAGGAGTAAAGAGTCTTCTTCCTTATATGTAAGCACACCCAATGCCAACTAATAGAAAGTTTTATTATATCTATATGTGAAGTTAAATGAGTCACCTCAGGAAGCAATGGGTGAAATGAATGATGGTGAGGCTGGCAATCTGTTTCTGTATATCTCTTCCTATTTTTCTATTAAATGAGTCACAGAAAGGAAATATGAAACTGACTCCTCAAAGACCAGCCTGTTAAATAAAAAACCTAACCCAAAGCTTAATAACAGAGAAAAAAGTCCCTCGTATTACTCTCCCAAATGGGAGCTCGATGACATAGTTGGGGCTAATGTTCATTGTCTTTGAAAGCAAGAAAAATTGAACTACAACCTCTCCTTATTCTCAGATAATGAAGAATGAAATTGAGGTTGAAAAGGAAGTCAGTTGACTTTCTGAAGTCAGTTGACTAAATAAATGTGATGGTGCTGTGCAGACTCAAATGCCAGAGACCAGCATCCTACCAGATTCATGATTTTGATGATTTTGATTATTTATCACTAGGTAAGAATTAATCCCCAGTCTTGATGGCTTAAAACAATGAACTATTGTGTCTCCTGATTTCCTACATCAGGCATTCAGGAAGAGTTTGGCTGGGTCTCTGTTCCATGTGGCATCGAGTGAAGTCTTTTGCTAGTATTCATCTAGCAGAAGGGCTAGTGTGGAGGGTCTGAGACGGCTTCACTCATGACTCATGTATCTCGCACCTTGGAAAGCTGAGATCACCTGGGACCCTAGAATGGAGAACCTACATGTGACATCTCCAAAAAAGTGACCTCAGGCTAGTCATATTTCTCCCATGGTGGTCCAGGGCTCCCAGAGTGAGCACTCTAACAGGAGATAAATTGCAGTATAAGAGCATATCTTATACTCTTATAAACCCTGGATAAAAGATGCAGGGTTTCTTATGACCTAGCTCATAAGTCCTAGGACATCAATTTCACCACACTCTATTGGTCAAGCAAATCATAAGAGCAGCCCAGATTCAAAGAGAGGGAAATGAGACTTGACCTATTAATGGCCAGAGTAGCAAAGAACTTGTGATTATCTTTATTCTCTTATACAGACTTACACCTGGGTTATAAATACTAGTGACACTTCAGACTAAGGTGTCATGTAATATACTATTGTTTAGCTCTGGATAAACACATTTCTGTGTACTCTCATGTCCTATGGCTTAATCTTATAGTAACCATATAATAATCATTAAAAGAATTATTCTCTTGACTTAATTGAAGAACACCTGAGAGTTTTTTTCTGGCCACAATATTTTTCTCAGATCACTCAAAGGTCAGGCTGGAAAAGCTAGGTACCAATGCTTGCCGAAGGGGCTCTCAGCTAATTATGGATAGGAGGTGGGGAATAAATGCCCCACTTACTTGCTCCTAAGGTAGGACAGCTCTAAAATCATACCACGTCTCTTTAGGATGCAATTGGACCATTCATAATTTAAAGGGTCATTGACCTGATGTTGAATAAAGTGAGCCTTGCTTTTTTTCAAGGGATTTGTTCAAGGTCACATGGCGAGTAGGTGTAGCAATGGGTCAAGACTGGAACTCTGGGTCTTCTGACTCCTGGGTCACTGTTCTTGCCTCTGCAGGTGCTGTAGGGTATTGAGCTGGTTGCCTTAGCTTTTACTCTTGCCTGTGTGCACACCAGTATGACTGGATGACACAATCAAGATGCGTTAATGTACACCCAACACACTCATACATACTTGACGCCAATAAGTAACCTGCCTTGGTCAGTTCACTGATCAAGGCTAGAGAATATCCTAGAAACCATGAAATGAAAGATTGTCCATCTCACATGATTCATGGTTTTTTTTGTTTGTTTCCTTTTTAAACTGGATGACTTATCTAGACACACCTCTGGGTGCTTGGATTCTCGCTCGGCACTGGTGTTTGTGCCTGCCATGTGGGACGTGTAGGCAGGCCTGCACAGTCTGGTCCAGCCCCTCCCATCTTGCCCCAAGCCCATCTAGGGCTAAGGCAAGGGAGAGCTTCTCCCAGTAAATAAGGATCAAGTATATGCCCAGCAGCAATGGCCGCATCCAGCTCTTACCCAGGAACGCCATCTACTGGCTGGTAAGCTGAACTGCACAGCCTGATATAAAACCTGCCAAAAGAAATCCACGGGGCTATAGAAGCAGAAAAAAAGACCCTATCCAGCATTCTCTACAGTCACAGCCCCTGGTCGGGGGTGGGGGGTTAAAGTAAAGGGAAATAAAAAAAAATATAGGAAATAAAAGAAAAAGTCCTACCTGTGCCAAAATAATTACAAAAATTAGAATACCAGCATCTCCAGATGAGAAGGAACCAGCTCAAGAATTCTAGCACCATGAAAAATCTGAATGAAATGGCACCACCAAAGGATGCCACTAGCCCTCCAACAACGGTCCCTAACCAAAGTGGAAACTTAGAGATGACAGGTAAAGAATTCAAAGCATGAATTGCAAGGAAGCTCCATGAGATCTATGACAATGTTGAAAATCAACACAAAGAAACCTCTAAAATCCAGGAAATGGAGGAAGAGATAAACACCTTAAAAAGAAATCAGCCAGAGCTTCTGAAATTAAAAAGCTCACTTAAAGAATTTCAAGATACAATTAGAAGCTTTATGAATACACTAGCAGAAGAAAGAATTTATCGATAAACAAGCAGAAGAAAGAATTTCTGAGCTTGAAGAGCAGTCTTTCAACTGAGTCAGACAAAAATGGAAAAAAAAGAATTTTTAAAAACGAAGTCTTTGAGAAATATGGGATTATGTAAAGTGACCAAACCTATGAATTGTCTCTGAGAGAGAAGGAGAAAAAGTAAACAACCTAGAAAACATATTTGAAAGAATAATACAAGAAAATTTCCTTAATCTTGCTATAGAGAGATAAAAATCTAGATACAAGAAATCCATAGAACACCTGTGAGATACCATACAAAGTGAACATTACCAAAGCATATAGTTACCAGACTGTCCGAGGTCAATGCTAAAGAAAAAATCTTGAATGTAGCTAGAGAAAAAGGGCAGATAAAACACAATGGGAACTGCATTAGGCTAACAATGAACTTCTCAGCAGAAACCTTACAAGCAAGGAGAGATTGAGGGCCTATTGTCAGTATTCTTAAAGAAAAAAATTCCAACCAAGAATTTCATATCGCACTAAACTAAGCTTCATATGTGAAGGAGAAATAAAATCTTCTGCAGGCAATCAAGTGCTAAGGGAATTTGTTACCACTGGATCAGCCTTATAAGAGATCCTTAAGTGATTTCTAAACATGGAAACAAAAGAATGATATGTGCTATCACAAAAACACACTTAAGTATATAACTCACAGACCCTACAAAGCAACCATACAATAGAAACCATAAAGCAACCATCTAACAATTTCATGTTAGGATAAAAAAAATCATATATCAGTATTAAACTTGAAGTAAATGGTTTAAATGCCCCACTTAAAAGGCACAGAGAGGCAAGTTGGATAAAAAACAAGATCCATCTGTTTGCTGTGTTCAAGAGACATATCTCACATGTAATGACACCAATAGGCTCAAAGTAAAGGGCTGGAGAAAGATCTATCATGCAAATGGAAAACGAACAAGAGCAGACATTGTTATTCTTATTTCAGATGAAACAGCAATTAAACTAACAACAGTAAAAAAGGACAAAAGGTATTATTACACAAAGATAAAGAGTTCAATTCGGCAAACTTAACTATCCTAAATACACACACACACCCAACATTGGAGCACCCAGATTCATAAAACAAGTACTTCCAGACTTGTGAAAAGACTTAGAAAGCCACACAATAATAATGGGAGACTTCAACACCCCACTGGCAGTGTTAGATCTTTGATGTAGAAAACTAATAATAAAATTCTGGACTTAAATTCAACACCTGAATAATTGAACCTAATAGATATTGACAGAATACTCCACTCCTCAACCACAGAATACACATGCTTCTCACATGCACATGGAACATATTCCAAGATTGACCGTAAAGCAAGTCCCAGTAAATTAAAAAAAAATAGAAATTATACTGACCATACTCTCAGACCACAGTGGAATAAAAATAAAAGTCAATAACAGGAAAATCAAAACCACACAATTACATGGAAATTAAACAACTTGCTTCTGAATGACTTTTGGTAAATAACAAAATTAATGCAAAAATAAAAAATATCTTTAAAATAAATGAAAACAGAGACACAGCATGCCAAAACCTCTGGGATGCAGCAAAAGTATTGTTAAGAGGAAAGTTTATAGTGCTAAACGTCTACCTCAAAAACTTAGAAAGATCTCAAATTAATGGTCTTACATTATACCTAGATGAACTAGAAAAACAAGAACAAACTAATCCCAATCCTAGCAGAAAAAAATAAATAACTAAAACTAAAGCTGAATTGAGTGAAATTGAGACCCAAACATCCATACAAAGAATCACCAAAATCCAAAGTTGGTTTTGAAAGGATAAACAAGATCAATAGATCTCTAGCTGGATTAACAAAAAAAGGAGAGAAGATCCAAATAAGCATAATCAGAAATGAAGAAATAACAAAGGTGACATTGCAGCCAATCCTACAGAAATATAATAAAAATCAGAGACTATTATGAACACCTTTATGCACACAAAATAGAAAATTTAGAGGAAATGAATCAATTCCTGGAATCACACAATGTCCCAATATTGAATTAGGAAGAAATTGAAACCTTGAACAGACCAATATTGAGTTCCAAAATGGAATCAGTAGTAAAAAAAAAACTACTAGCCAAAAAAAACTCCCTACTGGATGGATTTACAGCTGAATTCTGCCAGACATACAAAGAAGAGCTGGTGTCAATTCTACTAAAACTATTTCAAAAATCAAGGAGAAGGGGATCCTCCATAACTCATTTTACAAAGCCAGCATCACCCTGATGCCAATACCTGGAAAACACACAATGGAAAAAGAAAACTACAAGCCAATATCCCTGATAAACATAGTCACAGAAATTCTTAACAAAATACTAGCAAACTAAATCCAGCAGCACATCACAAAGTTAATTTACCATGATCATTTCTGGGATGCAAGGTTGGTTCAACATATGTAAATCAATAAGTGTGATTCACCACATAAACTGATGAAAAACAAAAACCATATGATCATCTCAATATATGTGCAAAAAGCTTTCAATAAAATCCAACATGTCTTCATGATAAAAACCCTCAACAAACTAGGCATTGAAGGAACATACCTCAAAATAATAAGAGCCATCTGTGACAAAACTACAGCCAACAACATGCTGAACAGGCAAAATCTGGAAGCATTCCCCTTGAGAAATGGAGCAAGACAAGATTGCCCACTCTTACAATACCTATTCAACATAGTACTGGAAGTCCTAGCGAGAGCAATCAGGCAAGAGAAAAAAATAAAAGGCCCCCAAATAGGAAAAGAAGTAGTCAAGCTATCTCTCTTTGCTGATGAGATGATTCTATACCTTGAAAATCCTAAAGATTCTGCCAAAAGATTCCCAGACCTGATACACAACTTCAGTAAAGTTTCAGAATACAAAATCTATGTATAAAAATCAGCAGCATTTCTATACACCAATAATGTTCATGCTGAGAGCCAAATCAAGAATACAATCCCATTTACAATAGCCAGAAAAAGGATAAAATACCTAGGAGTTTAACCAAGGAGATGAAAGATCTCTACAAGGTGATCTACAAAACACCTCTGACAGAAGTCATAGATGACACAAACAAATGGACAAACATTCCATGCTCATAGATTAGAAGACTCAATATTGTTAACATGGTCATACTTCCCAAAGCAATCTACAGATTCAATACTATTCCTATTAAACTACCAAAATCATTTTCACAGAATTAGAAAAACTACTCTAAAATTCATATGAAACCAAAAAGGAGCCCAAATAGCCAAAGTAAATCTAGGCAAAAAGAACAAAACCAGAAGCATCACATTACCCGACTTCAAACTATACTGTAAGCCTACAGTAACCAAAACAGCATGGTATATGCTACACACAGACCAATGTAACAGAATAGAGAACACAGAAATAAAGCCACATACCTACAACTATCTAATCTTCAACGAAGTTGACCAAAATAAGCAATGAGGGAAAGACTCCTTACTAAATGGTGCTGGGATAAGTAGCTAGCAATATGCAGAAGAATGAAACTGGATTGCTACCTTTCATGATATTATAAAAATTAACTCAAGATGGATTAAAGATTTAAATGACCTCAAACTATAAGAATCCTAGAAGAAATACTAGGAAACACCATTTTGAACATTGGTCTTGGGAAAGAATTTATGACTAAATTTTCAAAAACAATTGCCACTAACAAAAAATTTACAAGTGGGACCCAATTAAATTAAAGAGCTTCTGCACAGGCAAAGTCAACAGACCACCTATAGAAAGGGAGAAAATATTTACAAACTATGTATTCAACAAAGGACTAATATCTAAAATCTATAAGAAACTCAAACAATTGAAGAAGTAAAAAACAAAAAATTTCACTAAAAAGTGGGCAATATGAAGGCAAAATAAAGCAAATAATAAATAAAAAATAGGCAAAAGACATGAACAGGCACTTCACAAAAGAACACATTTATTAAATAGGGAATCCTTTCTCCATTGCTTGTTTTTGTCAGGTTTGTCTAAGATTAGATGGTTGTAGATGTGTGATGTTATTTCTGAGGCCTCTGTTCTGTTCCATTGGTCTACATATCTGTTTTGGTACCAGTACCATGCTGTTTTGGTTACTCTAGCCTCATAGTATAGTTTGAAATCAGATAGCATGATGCCTCCAGTTCTGTTCTTTCTGCTTAGGATTGTCTTGGCTATACGGGCTCTTTTTTGGTTCCATATGAAATTTAAAGTAGTTTTTTTTTTCTAATTCTGTTAAGAAAGTCAATGGTAGCTTAATGGGAATAGCATTGAATCTATAAATTACTTCGGGCAGTATGGCCATTTTCATGACATTGATTCTTCCTGTCCATGAGCATGGAATGTTTTTCCATTTGTTTGTGTCCCCTCTTATTTCCTTGAGCAGTAGTTTGTAGTTTTCCTTGAAGAGGTCCTTCACAACCCTTGTAAATTGTATTTCTAGGTATTTTATTCTCTTTGTAGCAATTGTGAATGGGAGTTTACTCATGATTTGTCTCTCTGCTTGTCTATTATTGGATACAGGGAGGGGAACATCACACACTGGGGCTTGTTGGGGGTTGGGGGCAAGGGGAGGGTGAGCTTTAGGACAAATTCCTAATGCATGCAGGACCTAAAACTTAGATGATGGGTTGATAGGTGTGGCAAACCACCATGGCACATGTAAGCTTATCTAACAAACCTCTGCACACGTTCTGCACATGTATCCCAGAGCTTAAAGTAAAAAATAAACAAAAAAAACAAAAAAAACAAAAAACACACACATATATGTGGCCAGCAAACATGAAAAAACACATCACTAATCATCAGAGAAATGCAAATCAAAACCACAATGAGATACCAGTCAGAATGGCTATTACTAAAAAGTCAAAAAACAACATGGCCGTTGAGGCTGTGGAGAAAAGGGAACGCTTATACACTGTTGAGGGGAATGTAAATTAGTTCAGCCACTATGGGAAGCAGTTTGGCGATTTTTTAATGAAAACAGAACTATCATTTGACCTAGCAATCCCATTACTGGGTATACATGCAAGGGAAAATAAATCATTCTACCAAGAAGACACATGCACCTGTATATTGGCTGCAGCACTTTTCATAATAGCAAAGACATGGAATCAACCTAGATGCCCATCAATGATGGATTGGATAAAAAAAATGTGGTGCACATACACTGTGGAATATTGTGCAGCCATAAAAAGAATGAAACCATGTCCTCTGCAGCAACATGGATGCAGATGGAGGCCATTATTCTAAGTAAAGTGATGGAGTAACAGAAAACCAAATATTACATGTTCTCACTTATAAGTGGGACCTAATCACATGTGGACATACAGATGTCAACAAAAGACACTGGGACTCCAAAAGGGGGAAGAGAGGTAGGGAAGCAAGAGTTGAAAAACTATTGGGTACTATGATCACCATCTGGGTTATAGGATCATTTGTACCTCAAATCTCAGCATCATGCAATATACCCATGTAACAAACCTTCACGTGAATCTAAAATAAAAGCTGAAATTACCAAAGAAAAATACTAGATAATTTTTCAACTTGCTTTATTTTCAAAAGAACTATGGGAACCTTTTTATGTTACATCCAGTGACATACCCAGAATATTTGAAGCTGGAGCAAAACATTTTTTTTTTTAAAACATCTCCTCTCATCTATATAACAAAATTATTTTCAATAGTAACCATGTAATAATCATTAAAATAATTATTCCCTTGACTTAATGTTTATTATTTCTAGATGTAGTCTTTAATTTTAAAACAACTAACAAAATAAGAAAAATAACGTTTAATTTAAAAAATAGTCCTTACAGCCAGTAAAACGTTTCATGAACAAGCTAAAATTTGCCCTTATCAAACAAAATGACTAACTTTGCAGTTTGTGCACTGTTTCGCTGTTTTAAATTTCAACCACAAATAAAAACTCCAAGGAGTCACATAAAATGATAGAATTGAAGTAACTCAAATTGTTTCTTTGTCTTTACCATGATTGTGCTATCCTTGTTTATTTTGACTCTTTTGTTTAACTGAGACTTATGTAGTGTTGTGGGAGTCATATTTGTGATCTGTGCTCAAAGCAGGCACCCAAAGGAAGCTGCAAATCTTATCTAACATTACGAACTTGCTCTCAAAGCAACTGTATGTAACTGAGTCCTTGTGTGAGAGCTGAAGGTACAGCTGAAGTTCTTTTAATTAATTTCCATGTGGAATATAATGTTTATTAAAGGATAAGTAATAAATACATGTGATTATTTTTTATTTTGAAATTTACATATACATTGCCCAAGCCCAACAATTACTGCAATGACTGTTTAGAACTTAGAACAAAAAAGATTTTTTTTTTTTCAGGGAAGAGTATTGTATCACTGACATTATTTAGCATCCCCTGCACAAGGAGGCACATGGCAATGAATGGAATGGAATCAGATGGACTTTTGGTTACTTTTAGCATTGCTTTCAAATTCTCTTAGGTAACACACCACTCATTGTCTGCACATGGGGAAGGCCTTGCCCACCACCCTGGGCCTGCCATTGCTTGCAGCTCTGATGGGCCACTTGTCTCTGCATAGGGGAAGGGAAAGGAGCTTAGGCTGCAGTCTGAATTTCAGTGGGGAAGTGGGAAGGGGAAGAGAGGTGGAGAGGGTAGTGGTGGTCGGTAGAGGAGGAGACTAAATCTGTGAGTTCAGTATATGTGTGTGTTCTCAACTGTGAGCTAAGGGCTTGAGTAGGCAAGCAGCAGATTAGCCTGTTTCTGTCAAATCCTGACACTTGAAGAAAACACTGTAATTTGATACAATGAAAAGGTCTTAGATTTCACTAAAGTCTTTTGAAGAAATTGCGACACAATCATTGGCGATTGAGTGAAATCTTGGAAATGAACTAGGCAGCAGAAGGGTGGATAAATTCGGGCCCAGGAAGCACTCCCTGGACTGTGGTGTTGTTGCTGATTTCTGCTGTTTGTGGTGAGAAACAAGGTTGGGCCAATTAACAAAGGGAAAAAGTTAATTCCATGTTTCTTAATCAGTTTACATGTTCATAATTGTTTCGTGGACATGTGATGATTTGTTACTTGACTGATACTTCCCACACCACTTCCTCAAGTTCAAACTGCAATGTCCCACATCACTTCTGTTGGTCAAGTCTTAGGCACTGCCAAATCTTGATCCACTCATTCCCTCTCTGCTTTTCCTCCATCTTCCCTATTCCAGTCAAAGACACCTTCCATTTCACCTTTGTGACCTCTTAACCTCCTAATCACCACATCCAATTTGTGAGCAAGTTCTGTTTGCTGCCTGTAAAACATACTCTAGATCTGACTCTTACCTCCTCTACCCTTATCAATCTTGTACCATCCTTGATGTCTCCAGTCTGGACTCTATCCACGCCTTCTCTCTGGTCCTTCTGCTTCCGTCCTTACCTCCCTGTGGTAATTCACCATGGCATTCATTAAAAATTGAATCCCTTGGCCGGACATACTGGTTCACACCTGTAATCTCAGTACCTTGGGAACCTGAGGTGGGGGGATCACTGTAGGCCAGGAGTTTGAGACCAGCCTGGGCATCATAGTGAGACACTGTCTCTACAAAAAACTAAAAATAAAATAAGTTAGCCAGGCATAGTGGTTCATGCCTTTAGTCCTATTTACTCAGTAGGCTAAGAGGGGAGCATCTCTTGAGCCCAGGAGTTCGAGGCTGCAGTGAGCAGAGATAGTGCCACCGCACTCCAGCAAAAGTGGCAGGGTGAGACTCTGTTTCTTAAATAAAAGAAAAAAAAAATGAATCCCTTTATGTCATTCCTCAGTTCTTAAAACCCTCAAGTGTTTTCTACTGCACTTGGAATAAAATCTAGCTTCTTTACTATCACCTAGAAAGCTGCAAAGCCTGCTTCTTCTCATTTCCAGTCCTCTTCTCAAATGCTGCCTCTAAGATGCTTTCTGAGCTTCCACGACTCACTCTATAGCTAACCCCTTGGCCTGCTTTGCTGTTCAGAGAGATTTTTCCAGTGGCTGAAACTGTATTTGTTTGCTTTTGGTCTCCCCATA
This sequence comes from Homo sapiens, assembly GCF_000001405.40. NCBI lineage: Eukaryota > Metazoa > Chordata > Mammalia > Primates > Hominidae > Homo > Homo sapiens. The sequence continues at coordinate 16,830,306 of NC_000020.11, forward strand.
CTAGACTATGAGCTGTATGAGGGCAGGGCTTTATCTTTGCCACTGCACCTCAGTAAATATAATAGTGCCTGGCCCATAGAAGGCATTGAATCAATACTTGTTGAATGAGTGAATGTGTGAATGATGAATACATAAAGGAATACACAGCCTCCTAATTCCTTTACTTATGTCAAGACGCAGGATCAAGGCTCTCATTCTCCTGCAATCTTCCCCTATTTCCCTATTGATATTGACTTGCTCCTTTCTCTGGACTAATTTATACTTACCTGTAATGTGCTGCTTATTTTATTCTGCCTTATGGAAGTATTTGCTTACTTTTCAGTCTCCCTTCCCAGCTGCATGATCCAGAGAGCCAGGCCTCTCCTTTGCCATCTATATATCCTGAGCAGGCCCTGCAGATGGGTGTGCAAGCCACATGTTTCAATAAAGGGCTTAACTGATGTTAAAGGGTTTTAACCATTTAAAAAAGAATTTATGTGCTGCAAAAAGAACCTTACACAGATCTGCATTCTGAAGTGTATTTGAATTGCATAAAGCTATAATTTGGCCTTTAATTTTATTCTAATGCCCACTTTTAAACTCTGCCTAAGGAGTGTTTTTTGTGTTGTGGCTTGGTGGCCCCATGCTGACCTATTTCATTTCCAGCTGAAGGGACGCTGGAATCCTAGTTTGAAAATTCAATTAGAAAGAATTAAATTTAAATATATAATATCAACTAAAACCATATTTTTTTCTCATTATTGGAAAGCCCAAGAGAGCATAAAGCCCATACTGATTAAAGATCTCTGCTCTTATTGACAGGCAATGTCAATATATAACTGCACATAACAATATATAACTGCATATAACAAACAGTTTCCTAGAACAATCTCTTATCCACAAGGGGGGAAAGTCATTCCCAGATTGGATGTTTTTTGTTTGCTTATTTGTTTATTTAGCAAATCTAAACGTTCATTTGTTGTCTTAGGATCTCAAACATTTTAACTTCATTTCAATTACTGAACTTAAATGCATTTCTTTTGAAAGCAGGGCAAAACATCCGCGATAGAAAGTGCACAGCACCAACAAAACACACCTGCCTCACAGAATCTTATATCCAGCCCAAGAAAATCATGCATCATTTAGAACCATTGTGCGTTATGGGCTACATATTTCTGCTGTTCTTGATGCTAAAATGAGATGTTTAAGATGTTCCCTAATTCTTTCACCTGGCTTTGGAGGGAAGGTAAGCAAAGGAAATATCACCTCTGCGTAGTACACATGGACATTTATTTTTAAAATAGCTTTGATTTTTGAATAACCAAAGGGAGTAATAGAAGTACAGGGATTTCTTTTTCTCTTTGATATTTTCTAATAGGAAATTTCAGAAAAACTATGAAGAAGGAAACATAATTAACTTTTCAAGCCACATTTCAATTATTTTAACAATCAACTTGGGTTTCTTTCTTTTTCCCTTGCGTTAATCTGCCATCCTGTAAATAGGGCAGATAATTAGGTCATGAGAAAAAGAAAAGAAAGTCTGAGATAAAATCCATTAAATTGCAAATTTCAATATTACTGCAAGTATAAAAAACAGCAAAACAAGTATTTTATGTGTATTTATTTTAAGCTCATGCTATTTTAGAGATAATAGCCCTATCTATAAAATAATGTGAGACATACAGATATGCCTGAAACTTTTATAATATCATATTTCAATTCATTGAGTTATATTTCTAGAGCCAAATTAATACATTTGTGCTGAAGTTTAAAAAATGACATTAGCTTATTATAAGACTAATACTGCAACAATGAACACTTATTTGTATAATTTTACTCCAAAATTTAGATATTTACAAATAATGGGGTCTATGTATAACAGAATAAGTACATATCTAGTGGTTAAAAGCACGTTTTTCTTTTGCTGACAGACAATTTATTCCAGTTCTGGCCTCACCATTTACTAACCATGTAAAGTTGGGTGAATTACCCAGCTTTGGTTAGCGTTTTTGGTTGTGAGCCGCTAAGACTCTGGCTTACTTAGGGATAGAAGGAATTAATTGAAAGGATGAGAGATGGGAAAACAGACAGGTACAGGGAAACGAGATAGCAGAGCACAGCTGGGAACCTATGCCCGGCACATGTGTCTAAGGGCCGCTGTCATCATACCCGGACATGGTTGCCTTTACTGCACTAGACACTACCATGGCCACCCTTGGCAAATAGGATGGAGGCCTGTAGTGTTGGAGAGCCCCAGGATTCAGTCCTTGGTCCTCTTCTCGTCACCATTTATGCAATTCCTTTGTAATGTCACTTGGTTTTAAATATTATCTCTTTGATGCTAACTCCCAAATTTAAACCTCTGTTTGGACCTCTTCTCTGAACCCCAGACTCACATCCATTCAGTTGCTTACTTCAACGTCTCCACTGGGCTATGCCAGAGAAAACTCAACACAACATGTCCAAAAAACTTCTTTTCTTCCCCTCCTCCTTCAGCTTGCATCTGTCATTCTCATTTCAGTTGAGTGACTCCACCCTTCCCCTTCTTCACTCTTTTCTTCTTCTCACATCTCACCTGCAGTCCATTAGAAAATTCTCCCGGTTCCATTATTAGAATGCATCCAGAATCTGACCTCTTCTCTCCTCTACTGCTCCTGCACTGATTGGAGCCACCATCATCTCTCATCTAGGCTGTCGCACTAGCCCCTTGTAAAAGGCTTCTTGCGTCTATCTTTGACTCCATCCACCTCTGTCATATTCTATTTTTAGCACAGCAGCCAGAGTGATCATGTTAAAATGCCAATCAGGTTTTTGTTTGAAGATGATTTTCATTGAACTTGGCTAAATAGCTAGGAATGAGATTTCTGGATTGTATGATAAGTGTATGTATAACATTATAAGAAACTGCCAAATTGTTATCCAAAAATGGCCATACATTCTGCATTCCCACCAGCAATGTATAAGAGTTCCAGTTGCTCCAATTCCTCCCCAGTGCTTGGTATTTCCAGGCTTTGTTTTGTTTTGTTTTCCATCTAATAAGGGCATAGTGATAACTCATTGTGGTTGTAAGTCGCACTTCTCTAATGACAAATGATCTTGAGCATCTTTCCATTATGGTTATTTGCCATTTTGTATCTTCCTTGATCACATATTTACTGAAATCTTTTGCCCGTGTAAAATTTGGGTTGCTTTATTATTATGGAGTTTTGAGAGTTCTTTGTATATTCTAGATATGTCCTTTATTAGATATGTTATTTACAAATACCTTCTAGTCTGTGGCTTGTCTTTTTATTTTCTTAACAGTGCCTTTCACAAAGCAGAAGTTTTTAATTTTGATGAAGTTCAATGTATCAATTTACTCTTTTATGGATCATTTTTTTTTCTGTTATAGCTAGGAATGTTTGATCAACTAAGGTCATACAAATTTTTCTAGAAGTTTTATAGTTTTCAATTTTACATTTAGATCTGTGATCCATTTTGAGTTATGCAAATTTTTATAGCAGCTTTATTCATAATTTCCATAACTAGAAACAACCCAACGTCCTTTAACTAGACAATGGAGAAACAGATTGTCGTATATCCATACAATGGATATAAAAAAAACTAAGTATCACTACACACAATGGAAGAAATGAATTTCAAATGTATTACGCAAAGTAAAAGAAGTCAGACTCACAAGGCTGCATGCTATATAATTCCATTTATTTTGTATTCTGGAAAAGGCAAAGCTATAAAGATGGGAAACAGGCCCTTGCCAGGAACTGGAAACAGGGGAGAGGGGTTGACTACAGAGACAGGAGAATTTTTGGAAGTGATAGAACTGTTCTATATCTTGATTGTGGTGGTGGTTGCATGACTGTGCTTGTTTGTCAAAACTCACAGAATTGTACACAAAAAAGAATAAACTTTATACTATGTAAATTATACCTTAATAGAAAATAACTGAGTTGTACATTTGTTACATTTGATGAACTCCCAATGACATGTCATTGTCTCCTAGACTCCTTAGTTTACCCATAGTCGAACCCATTAGGGTTCCTTCTTGGTGCTGTACAGTCTATGGGTTTAGACAAATGTGTAAGGAAAGTAAGTTCATCAGTTGTAACAAACGTACTAGTGGGGGATGTTGACAATGGGGGATGCTATGCAACAGTGGAGGCAGAGTGTATATAGGGTATTTATGTACCTTTCTGTCAATTTTTCTGTGAATCTGAAACTGATCTAATAAAGACTTTTAAAAATAACTAAAATAAATCTTAACTTGGTAAATAATAAAGTGTAAATCAGATCATTAATACCTTGGCTCGAAACATTTCTTCTGGGAATGAAATTTTAAAAATTCAAAGAAAATACAGTAGCATCTGCTGGACACATCATAAACTACTAGTTAGGTAGTTAATAGTTTTAGCATTAGACTGTGTGACATTACTTTTGATGATATTACAGTTTTGCAAAAAAAAGGTACAATCTTAGAAATTAACAAGGAAGCACTGCATGAAAATTAAAGTAGACTAGGAAATGAGAGTGGCAAGGTCCAATCTGATTGTAAGAATCGAGAAGTTGTAACATTGCCCAACAGGACACCTGTCAACCTTAAATAACGAGATTCAGAAAATATGATTAAGTATGGAGTTTATTTGAGCACAAAGATTGAGAATGGCCTCCACAGAAACACCAATTCCGAATAAATGGGGTCAGCATTCCAAAGTGGAAAAGTTAAAGTTTTACTTACATAGGCAGAGACAGAGAAGTTCCAGAAGGATTACAATTTCTTTCTTCTTTTTCTTTCTTTCTTTCTTTTTTTTGAGATGGAGTCTCACTCTGTCACCCAGGCTGGAGTGCAGTGACACAATCTTGGCTCACTGCAACCTCTGCCTCCTGGGTTCAAGTGATTCTTATGCCTCAGCCTCCTGAGTAGCTGGGACCACAGGCACACACCACCACGCCTGGCTAATTTTTGTATTTCTAGTAGAAGCGGAGTTCCACCATGTTTCCCAGGCTGGTCTCTAACTCCTGACCTCAGGTGGTCCGCTTGCCTCGGCCTCCCAAAGTGCTGGGATTACAGGCATGAGCCACCACGCCTGGCCAGGATTACATTTTCTATACAAGATCAGTGTGTATGCTATGGTGATTCGATTGATTATAGATTGCTATGTTCCAAGGAAGATCAGTTTATTACTCCATGAGGAGGGGCAATGATCTGAGGAGGTCTCTTTTCTCTGGTGCCATTTAATCTTAATTGTTTACAGGAAATAAAAAAGGCAGAGGTTGCAGCCATATGCCATGTGACTCAAGCTGCATAGCTATATTCCTCTCAAGGCTTGGAATGATTTAAGTTCCAACAGCTTTAAGTTTGAATATTTAATTTCACATTTCCCCCTTTTTAATGTTTTATTTTTATGGGTTTTTGAGGAACAGGTGGTATTTGGTTACATGAGTAAGTTTTTTAGTGACAATTTGTGAGATTTTGGTGCACCCAGCATCTGAGCAATATACAATGAACCCAATGTGTAGTCTTTTTATCCCTCACCCCCTTCCCACCCTTTCCCTTGAGTCTCCAAAGTCCATTGTATCATTCTTATGACTTCACATCCTCATAGCTTAGCTCCCACTTATGAGTAAGAACATATGGTATTTGGTTTTCCATTCCTGAGTTACTTCACTTAGAATAGTAGTCTCCAGTTACAGCCAGGTTGCTGAGAGAAATGAGACAAGAGAAAGAAATAAAGGCCATCCAAATTGGTAAACAGGAAGTCAAACTGTTGCTGTTTGTTGATGATATTATTGTATACCTAGAAAACCCTAAAGACTCCTCCAAAAAGCTCCTAGAATGAACAAAGGAATTCAGCAAAGTTTCAGGATACAAAATTAATGTACACAAATAAGTAGCTCTTCTATACACCAACAGTGACCAAGTTGAGGATCAAATCAAGAACTCAACCCCTTTTACAATAGCTGCAAAAAAAGTAAAATACTTGGGAATATACCCAGCCAAGGATATGAAAGACCTCTACACGGAAAACTACAAAACACTGCTGAAATAAGTCATAGGTGGCACAAACAAATGGAAACATATCCCATGCTCATGGATGGGTAGAATCAATATTGTAAAAATGACCATACTGCCAAAAGCAATCTACAAATTCAACGCAATTCCCATCAAAATACCACCGTCATTCTTCACATAACTAGAAAAAACATTTTCCCCTTTAAATTGAGATCTTTCAAAGAAAGGATTTTAGATGAACTCAAATGGTTTTGGCTCGTATTATGTTCAGGAGCTTAGTCCGTGTCTTCAGGAATGCTCATTCCCAGTGTCATGTTTCAGAGTAGGGGGCTGGGGGAGAAGGAAGTTTTCAGGCTGCAAAGCTGACAAGATACAGATCAAATTTAAAGTAACAGGAAGGAAGTGACTTTGTGATCTGCATCTTTCATTAATGCAATTATTTGAGTGACCATTATTTTAGTTTGTTCATTTGTGTGTTGTGTGTTGACTTCATTGTGAACAAGTGCCACAGCAGCAATAAAGACAAAAGCAGGACAAAACACACACATAATTATAATTCTGATAGTAAGTAACAGCTAGTGCCACCAAGTTTCACAAGATCCAAATGAGCTTCTTAGCCAATTATTTAGGGTAGTTGTTGGATCTGAAAGGTTAGTTATTTGGGCTTCTGTATCAGCCATTAATTTAGTGATGCTATCTGATTCATCTAGAATATAGATGCCAGACTCAGTCTTTATGACAGTGCAGGCTTCCTTACGGCTGCATTGAGGATGTCTAAAGTGATACAGTTCTGTAAGACGACCTTTCTCATAAGAGCAACTTCATTATTTAATAATGAGATAATGAGAGACCCACGTAGATATTATTTAGGGTCTTTTTTGTGTAATTGGTTGGGGCCTCTTATGCTAGTTGTGGCTAGAAGATGGAAGCTAAATGATCATCTCAATGAAATACATAACAAACCCACTGAAATTGTAAATATGGAAGATTTGCAGGCTTTAAGAGGGTATGAACTGTTTGACTTTGTGTCCAGGCAAAACTCAAAAGAATACCTTCCTTACATCCTGGGAGTAATCATGGCCATAGATTGGTACCACATACCCAAGACATTTCATTTGGAGCAAGCCAATAAGTACGTGGTTATTGTGCCCATTTAGGGACATGCCAATTAGCACTGTGTAATATAATGGTGTGTGAACATACTGTTCCTTGGGTAACTACTCCATGTCCCTAGTGCTGTTGGGCCATGTGTTTTTGGTGTAGTTCTTTGGTCTCTACCATAAAAAGGAGAGCTGACTAAGCTGACCAAAAGAGGGGGTAAGCCAGATACAGCCATTTGTGTTATATTATCAATTTGTGTTATACCATCCCCAAATTGAAGTGTCTTATCTCTAAGTTGGAGCGATGCCAGCATTAAAGCTAACAAACTGGGTCTCCTTTACCAAAAGGCTCTTCCCACGCCATTTGCTTTGTAAAGAGTTATCAATAGGGCAGTGATGCACACCATCCTTAGTCATACTAGTGCTAAGCATTGGTGACTCTTCTTGAGAAACACAGGTATATTTCTGATATTTTATCCTATCTTGTCTTTGGAAAAGAGATACACACATAGCAGGCCAGAGCCACTAAGAAGGGGCATGAGGTTGAATATTCAAAATGTGACTTTAAAAAAATTTTTGTTTTATTAATATTATTTTTCTGAGACAGGGTCTTGCTCTGTTGCCCATGCTGGAGTGCAGTGGTATGATCTCAGCTCACTGCAGCCTCAGTCTCCTGGGCTCAAGTGATCCTCTCACTTCAGCCTCCCAAGTAGCTGGGACTGCAGACACACATCACCATACCTGGCTAATTTCCTTTGTATTTTTTTGTAGAGACAGGGTTTCACCATGTTGTCCAGACTAGTCGTGAACTCCTGGGCTCAAGCAATCCACCCACCTCAGCCTCCCAAATTTCCGGGACTACAGGAATGAGCTACCGTGCCCGGCCAAAAAAGTGCTTTTTTTTTTTTTCGGTAATTTATTAGCACAGTCGTGAGCCTGTTGCCAGTAGAGGTTTGCTTAATGGGCAACAGCTGGTAATAGCAGCAACAAAATATGAGAATTAGGGATGAAAAGAAAAATATTTAGTGGGAACTTGCACAGGAAGACTTTCTCCATCTATTGACAAGTATTAATATTAAGCAATAGTTTAGATGCTGGTGTGATCTGGTACCTTGGGAACGCTGACTAGCTCAGATGTTGTCTTCTTATCCTTGCTGCTTCTGTAGAATTTTAATTTTAGTTCACCTGTTTGAGATGAAGTCCAAATTGGACTTACGACTTCACATCCTCATAGCTTAGCTCCCACTTATGAGTAAGAACATATGGTATTTGGTTTTCCATTTCTGAGTTACTTCACTTAGAATAGTAGTCTCCTGTTACAACCAGGTTGCTGAGAGCAATGAGACAAGAGAAAAAAATAAAGGCCATCCAAATTGGTAAAGAGGAAGTCAAACTGTTGCTGTTTGCTGATGATATTATTGTATACCTAGAAAACCCTAAAGACTCCTCCAAAAAGCTCCTAGAATTTAAAGGCAGCTCTCTTTAAATGGATGATGGGCATCCAGGAATTGATACCTTTTAGCTTAATGACAAAAGGTTTGGTTAGGAGCAACTCATAAAGTCCCTTTCACCTTAATTGGATGAAGTCCTTTGAAAGACATTGTTCCCAAAAGACAAAATCTCCTGGTTGAAGTCCGTGGCCCTTGAGTTTTTGGTCTCCCAGGAGCTCACTGTGGAAAGAGTCTTTTACTTAATTATAGTTTTTAGTTAGCTGCCTTATAAAGCCTCTACAATAGTAAAACATACCTCCTTTGAGTATCATAGATTCGCAATTTCCTAGAGACAATTTTATAGGTCTGCCTGTTATAATTTCAAATGGATACAACTGGTGTTTATAAAAAGGGTCACTCTTAGGTTAAGCAAAACCAATAAAAGGGTCTTTGGCCAAAAATTGTTAAGACCTCAGTTAATTTTGCCAACTGAATTTTGATTGTTCCATTTTTTGTGTTCCACTAACCCATATGACTGGGGGTGATATGCACAATGGAAATGTTACAGAATGGGCCAGATTTTGATTGTTTATCCAGTAAAGTGAGTATCTCTGCTAGTTTGAAGTTCTAGGTTAAGTCCCCAAGTTGTAACATTTTTTTCTTAGAGAATTTGACTTACTGCTAAGGTTTTTGCTATTCTGCATGGATAGCTTCTACTCAAAGAGAAAACATGCAGGCAATCACTAGACTGTACTTGTATTCTTGTGAGGGTGATAGCTGAATAATATCTAGTTGTCATACCTCAAAAGGGCCTTCTTACAAAGGAGGATGACCTTAAGAACTATGTAAAGGTTTCCCTAAATTATGTTTTAGGCAGATGTGGCAGCGATTCATGTACCTTATGAGCAACAGTTGAAGATTTCCAATAATATTGTTTCAATCAACAATAATATTTCCAATAAACAACATTGCAATCATCTTATCGGGGCTCCTATGAATTAACCCATGCACATAAGCTAGGAAAGATGACAGTAACTTGGCTGTGAGTATGGGTAAACCATTTGGTCTTTACCATAGCCCAGTCTCAGAGGAGTACATTTGCCCAATTTTCTTGTTCTGTTTTTGGAGCTTTGGATTGAGCTAATTGTTTATTAAAAAATCAAGTGCTTCCTTAAAAGCTAAAATGGGTTGATTTTCTTATTCAGATACATTTAGGGCAGCCCTTTCTCTTATACTATCTGCCAATTGATTTCCATTGCTTTTTGGCTTTCTGGGATGCTTTACTTTGAATGGCCTGGAAGTTTGACAATGACTAATGATTTTGGCAACAGTATGGCTTCCAATATTTCTGAAACAAGGTGTCCATTTTTAATGAACTGATTGGAAAAGGCTAAAATACTCCTTGTTTTCATAGCATTCCAAAGTCACAAGCAACTCCAAAAGCGCGTCTGCTATCTGTATAAATATTAGCAGTTATTTCTTTTGCCAATCGACAGGCTCTAATTATATTGATTCTGCTTGTTGAGTCAAGTTTGTTCCTGAAAGATAAGCGCTTTCTATTTCTTCAGTCAAAAATGCTATAGCATAGCCTGCGTGAAAAATTCCAGATTCATCCTTTAAGTGAGAGCCATCTGTAAACCAAATAATATCAGTAAGGCAGGATTCTTACAGGTCAGTCCTAGAAGAGAGAAGCTGGTTGGTTAAGACTATGCAATCGTGTAACATTTCGTCTGAAAGCAGGAGTAGAAGTGTGGCAATATTTAGATTATTACATCTGGAGGCAGTATTACGGAGAGCAGAAAGAAGAACATCATGAGAAGCCAGTATACTAAGTGAATAGTGTTGAGTGTGGTGTAAATTTAGAAGCACTTCCATAGAATGTGGAACATAGACAGTGAGGGGATATCTTATCACTATTTCTTTAGTTGCTTTTATTCATAAAGTAACAATTATTGCTTTCATGCAAAGTGGCAATTCTTTAGCCACAGCTTCAGTTGTTGACTATAGCTACAGTTCTATTTTGATCTCTGTGTTTTTGAGTCAAAATGCCTAAGGTATTTCCCTGATTTTTCATGAACGATGAAAATGAAATATTCTAATTTGGATGTCCTAAGGCTGGGGCATCTATAAGACTTTTTAAAAATTTCTTTTGATGTCATCTGATTTTTTTCTGTCCATTCCAGGGCGTCTGGCTTGTCTTGTTTTAAAAGAGTTTATAAAGGTTAAGTTTTTAAGGAGAAGTTTAGAATCCAATTTCTGCCGTATTCTGCCAACACCAAAAACTTTCTCACTTGCTTCTTAGTTTTTAGGGTAGAGAAGACCAATATTCCTTTTATTCTACCCATATTAATAAAAAGGGCTTCCTCTGATATTAGGTGACATAAATATTTTACTTGTTTTTGATAGAACTTTAGTTTTTCCTTTGAAACTTGCATCACTTTAAAGCTAATTGTTGTAATTCCAACCTCTATGGAGGCTTTCCTATCCCCTGAGAAGTAAATTATCTACATACTGTATCAAGGTGGATTTCTTAGGAAAGTTGATATCTGATAGGTCTGCTTTTAATATTTGTAAAAAATAAGTTGGGCTCTCACTATATCCCTGAGGCATAACTTCCATGTGCAGTGTCTGTCTTTTCAAGTGAAAGCAAAGAGAAATTGACCATCTTTATCCACAGGAGTGCTGAAGAATGCACTATCTAGGTCTATCACAGCAAAGAATTCACCTTCAGTTAGGATGGCAGTCAACAACATATAAAGGTTTGGTACCACTGGATTTTGAGGAATGGCTACATTATTACTTGCTCTCAGGTTCTGTACAAATCTCCACCTTCCACTATTTGGCTTTCTTATGGTGAGAATGGAAGTGTTACATGGGTTTGTACAATGAATAATCAAGCCTCCTTTTATGTAATTCAAAATTATGTTTTTTCCCTTCCAAGACCTCTGAGAGGGTATTGCTTAAGGTTTGAAAGAGGTTCCGATGGACTTATTTACATTTTAATTGGTACTATTTTTATTTTTTGTAAAAACAGGAGCTTGCTTTGTTTGCTGGTCTCAAGCTCTTGGCCTCAAGCGATCCTCCCACTTTGGCCTCCCAAAATGCTGGGAATACAGGCATGAGCCACCACACCTAGTCTATCAGGTACTATTTTTAACAGCCCTTGTCATTCTTCTAAAACAATTTAGTTTCCTCCATGGCAATATGAATTGCAATTTGTGAATTGGAAGAATCAGATTTCAAAATTTTTTTGAACCTAATAATTCTATTTTATCTTTTAATTCTGGATACATTTCCCCCCTTTTGAAAGAGAGAGATGTGGGTATTTATTTGTAAAATTCTTAAAAGTCTTCATCTATCAAGTGGATGGGGAATGAGGAAACCAAGAGGGAAACATATGTTTAGGAGATCTAACTGAAAAACTATAGTTTGAGATTTTTGTGTAGATATAGGGGTATTTCTTAAACCTACCACTTGTATGGCTTTTTCACTCCAAGGAATGGGACCTTGTATAAGGTGGGATTTATCACTGATAATGTAGCTTCAGTATTAAAAAGAGCTGATGTTAGTTCTTCATTTAAATTAATTTCAATTTTCCCATGGTATTACTGAGGATAAAAGAGAAAGTCCCTTTGATTTCCTTGGATCATTCCTATTCTTCTCTTCCTTTGACCTGTTGCTGTTCTATTTAAAATTTCTATAATCCTTTTGAAATGTTCAGGCTTTTTTTTTCAGTATTTGGAAAATGAGGGATTAGGTCAGCTTTGGAACTTATTAGGCTGTTTAGGGGTTAAAAATTTGTTGGATTATTGTTTTAGTCATAAACTCATGATCTTATTTGCTTCTTCTTTCTGTTTAACTTCCCCTTTCTTTCCTTCCTTACTTAGGGTACAGGGTATTTGATCAGCAAAATTAACTAGATCATGAGTTTGAGAAGTAGCCCAATGAGTGATGTCTCTATTATAGTGGCCAATTCTTCATGTAATCCATTTATGAGTGCATCATTTTGATGGTTAGCATAAATTTCTTCTGATAGACCCAAATATTGTTTAAACGTTGTTTTCAAATATTTTCTAGTATGATATTACTGACTCATCAAGATTTTGTCAACATTGTTGTGTTTTGTTCCAATCAACTACTCTTTGGAAAATTAACCCATTATGCTGGAGATTGCAATTTTTCAAATGTTTGCATGAGTGAGAAATCAGACCTTGGCAATGACCTTGAGCAATAGGATATAAAAAACTCCCACATCCCTAACGTTCCAATAATGGAACACTAGGCATAAGGGGGTCAAGGGGATAATGTGTAGTGAAGTTTTGGCAGCCTTGCAGGTGCATTTACTGCCTGCTTCAGAAAATTCACATAAGTCCTCTAAAGGATTCCTCCAATTTTCCTTTGCTATCCAGTCCTTGGCTTTACTTTATGACACTAACATGTGAACCAATTGATATAAATCAGAGAATCTGGGGCCATAAGTTCAAGTGTTTAATTCACATTCTCCAGAAAATTCCTTAGGGTCTGGAAGAGAATCTGAGAATTCTTTAATTATTCCTTTAACAACAACAACAACAACAACAAACCATTAAAAAGTAGGCAAAGAACATCAACAGACATTTCTCAAAAGAAGACATTCAAATGGCCAATAAACATATAAAAAATCCTGCAACATCACTCATCATCAGAGAGATGCAAATCAAAACCACAATGAGATACCATTTCACATCAGTCGGAATGGCTATTGTTAACAAGTCAAAAAACAACAGATGTTGGCAAGGTTGTGGAGAAAAGGGAACATATATATACTGTTGGTGGGAATGTAAATTAGTTCAGCCACTGTGGAAAGCAGTTTAGAGATTTCTTAAAGAAGTACCATTTGATGAAACAATCCCATGGTGGAGTATATATCCAAAGAAAAATAAACCATTCAACCAAAAAGACAGCTGTGCTCTTATGCTTATTGCAGCACTATTCACAACAGCGAAGACATGGAATCAACCTGAGTGCTCATTATCAGTGGACTGGATAAAGAAAATGTGGTACATATACACAATGGAATACTATGCAGCCACAAAAAGAATAAAATTATGTCCTTTGTAGCAACATAGATGGAGCTGGAGGCCATTATCCCAAGTGAATTAATGCAGAAACAGAAAACCAAATACCTCATGTTCTCACGTTTAAGTGGGAGTTAAACACTGGATACACACAGACATAAAGATGGGAACGACAGACACTGGGGACACCAAAAGTGGGCAGTGAAGGAGGGGGTAAGGGCTAAAAAGCTACCTATTGGGTACTATGCTCACTATTTTGCTGATGGGATCAATAGAAGCCCAAGCCTTAGCATCATGCAACATACCCATGCAACAAACCTGCACATGTGCCCCCAAGTCTAAAACAACAACGACAAAATATGCCTTTAAGTTCTACTTTTGACAGTGGTTGGTAAACCAAGGCAGATTCTCCCTACTCGACACAGAGTATTCCTGAAATACAGCCAGAACAGCAGAAGGAAGAAAAGGAGGAGGGAAGGTAAGTCTGGACAAGGAAAAGACAAGAGGAGCTGAAGAAGGGGAGAGATTTTAGGCAGTCTTTTTAAATTCAGAAACAGTTTTAGACAATCTTTCATGTTCTTCTTGCAAAGAAATGAGTTCTGTTTTTTGTTTGTTTGTTTGTTTTTGTTTTTTTTTTGTTTTTTTTTTTTTTTTAGACAGGTTCTCATTCTGTTGTCCAGGCTGAAGTGCAATTGCACAACCACAGTTTACTGCAGACTTGACCTCCTGGGATTAAGCAATCCTCCCACTTCAGCCTCCCAAGTAGTTGGGACTGCAGGCACATACCATCACACTCAGCTAAGTTTTTAAATTTTTTGTAGAGATGAGGTCCCACTGTGTTGCCCAGCTGGTCTCAAACTTCTAGGGTAAAGTGATCATCCACCTCGGTCTCCCAAAGTGCTGGGATTACAGGCTTGAGCCACCATGCCCAGCCAAGAAATGACTTTATCAGAACCTCTTTTAGAAGTTTCCAAGTCCCATTTAAATAGTTTTCTCTTCCAGTAATCACCTACGAAGCAGGACAAGAAAAAAATAAATAAAAATAAAATAGCTCTCCAAGTTATTTTGTTTCATTTTAGAGCTGGCCTTTTCTATTTGAGTGTAAAGGTAAATTAGGTATTCAAAGGTACCCCCTTTTAATCATTGTAATTTGGGGTCATCATGAATTATGTGAGACCATTTAAAAATATATTTGCATGTATGAAACACAAATCTAGCTGGTGTTTCCACAGGTGGATCTTTTCTGGAGGAAGAAGACATGCTTTTAGAAGCATAATTGCTCATAATTTAGACTCTTCTTTTGAATTACCAAAATGACCTCGGGGGTATGTCTTGAATCGAGTGTGATGCTTGTGAGAATAGCTCCTCAAGGGGCCATCCTTGAGTCAGTTCTTTCCTTTTACATGTCTTGGTGGTTCCAAGAGACTTGGGTGCTTAAGGCACCAGGTGCTCAACCTTTTTGTGTGCCCACTGGATTAAGCAAGGTTCCCTGCATATTCTTCCTAAGGGATTCTCCGTGAGAACATTTTACATTGAAAGCAATAAACTCCCATAGTTCCAGGAGATTTTAGTCACCTAAGGTGCCTTTTGGTCAGGAGAAAGTGTCTCTTATCTTCTAGGCTCATAGCCTTTTACTATTTTGATCACTCAAAAATTTGTCAATTGAACCAAGCTTTAGAATCTGGCCAGTTTTAAAGATTAAATTTTTTTTTTTGCTTAAGTCACAAAGATTCATTTCTACTTTTCAAAGAGAAACTGTTTTTTCCCTGACTATGATTTGGAATGAGAGAAATGGTTGAAAAACTCTAAGGAGTAATTTCAAACAAAATTTTAATTTCAGAGAAAAGTGAAAGTTACAAATCCACAATTAGCAGACTTTTTAGAGAATAAAAAATGAAGCTTCTACTTTGCAGTAGAACTTCAATTTCAACCCCACTAAGTTAGAAATGTGTGTAGCTCAAATAAAGTCTGTATCTTCAACCAAGGCCAGGAGAATTCACACCTGAGAGGGCCTTACCAGAGATTTGTTTTGACTCTGGTGAAGTCAGATGAACAAAGGTTGGTCATCCTGGTACCAAGGCTTCAGTTGTCAGTGAAGTGACGGGGGTTGCTGGAGGGCTGATTCAGATCCCTTCATGGTTGCCAAAATGTCAACCTTAAATAACAAGACTCAGAAAATGTGGTTCATTGTAGAGTTTATTCTAGTGCAAAGCTTGAGGATGGCCAGCCAGAAACACAGACTCCAAATGAATGGAGCCAGTGTTCCTAAGTGGAGAAGTTACGGCTTCATTTATATGGGCAGAGACAGAAATTTTAGCAGCATTACATCTTCCATAAAAGACCAGTGTGTAAGCCATGGTGATTTGATTGGTTACAGATTGCTACATTCCAAGGAGATTACTTTATTACTCTGTGAGGGGAGAAAAATGGTCTGAAGGAGTCTCATCTCTGGTGCCATTTAGTCTTAATTATTTACAGAAAAAAAAAAGACAGAAGTAGTAGCTGCATGTCACATGACTCAGGTCACATAGCAACATTATTCTCAAGGCTTAGAATAATTTAAAGTTTCAGCAGCTTTAAGTTTGAATTATTTAATTTCACATACCCATTCTGTTAAAAAGTAATTTTGATTCTTTAGACTCCTTAGTCTTTTGTGACTAAGGAGTGCTGGTGGTGTGATTAAGGACCATTATTCGGGTCAACTCATTTTAATTCATACGACAGGGACTTTCCTAAACTTAGGAAGAGGGCAGAGACATTGACTAGCCAGAACAAAAGAACAAATGTTCACATTTGTAAACAGAGATGTAAGCTCCACACGCTTCAGTTTACTCATAAAGTGGAACTACCAATAGCACCTACATTTCAAGGGTATGTTGAAAATGAAATGACCTAAAGCCTAGAAAGCAGTTAGCTGAGTGCCACATACTCAAAGTGCTCAAGGTAATCTAAATAGGTATCTTATCTTTAAGATGAAAATAACCCAACTGAAATGTATAGGAGCTGTAGATGGTTGAATTCATCAAGAACAATTCATCAAGAATTCTTAAATCTCATACACATCTTAGCTACCTTCACATGTTAAATTTTCATAAGGTCCTTAATAAATTAGAGTTGAATTTAATTATTTTTTAAGTATTCTGTTAAAATGAAGAATAAGACCATCTCTTCCATTAAATGTCTTATCCCAAAGGGGTGATAATTAATACAAAAAGTAGAATCTGACTGGGTGCTCATACATGCAGAGTACAGAAGAAGAATGAATCAGCTTGGGTTGGGATGGTGGAAAAGGTGTTAGTGACAAGCTCATCCTTAAGCTGACTCCTGTATCTAACACTGTGGGAATTTGGAGATACTGATTTTTAAGGTGGAGGGGAATTGATAATTTAGTGGTGTGTGTATAAGGTGTGTGTTTATAATTTAAGGTGTGTATAAGGGATTTATAACTTAGAAGTTGAAAAGGAAGCCTGAGAATGTCAGCAGTTCACCTGTTGGTCTTCTGCATACATTCTGGTTAATCCTAGGCTGACTAGGCTGACTACCTTTTTTTTTTTTTTTTTTTTTTTTGAGACAGAATCTCACTCTTCTTGCCCAGGCTGGAGTGCAATGGCACAATCTCAGCTCACTGCAACCTCCGCCTCCTGGGTTCAAGCGATTCTTCCACCTCAGCCTCCTAAGTAGCTGGGATTACAGGCATGCATCACCATGCCTGGCTAATTTTGTATTTTTAGTAAAGACAGGGTTTCATCATGTTGGTCAGGCTGGTCTTGAGCTCCTGACCTCAGGTGATCCACCTGCCTTGGCCTCCCAAAGTGCTAGGATTACAGGCATGAGCCACCGCACCTGGCCTGACTTCCCATTTTTTTTTAAAAACAGCATCATCACTTTCCTGGTGCACAAAATTGTCACAGCATAATGTTTAATTTGATTGGTATGACTTCAGGGCTACCATTTGTCTCATCTATTTTTCCTTTCCCTTCAAAAGGTTTTTTTTGGTAATATTTAGAATTGTGATGTAATTTTCTCTTGCTCTATCTAATATTCTAGTTACTTCTGTTCTTATTTTACCCCCCATTTTCCTTGAAGGCAAGAATACTCATGAACCTGCTGAAATGTGGTAACAGTCTTGCCCATGTTTGATGCTAAATAAGAATTTTTTGGTTATAGGAGAATAATTTATTACTGCCTTTTTTTTTGTTAGCTGATTTCTCTCCTTTGTGCTATTTCCAGAATTTGCACCTCTACTTATTTTGCTGTTTTATTCTATCACTTCCTAATCCAGAGCTTTGCTAACAAGATTCCCAGCTGCTTTAAAAAATGCTTTGAGTAAATGCCAGAAGGTACAAGTGGCATTTACTCAGAAAATATTTTTAGAGCAGCTGATGGTGTTTACAGTTAGAGTGATAATTGAAGGCATCATTTTCAATTCAGAAGCAAGTAAACAAAAGGGTCTTCTCAGCTTGAAATGTGTTGTCTTTTTAAAACATTTGTCTAGCCTGGAGGAGAACAGCAGTATTAACATATTCTCACTCTCCACCTTCTACTTGACACCATCAGCCACATTCTTACCTAGAAGAAAAGCACATAGTCAAACAGTTTGAATTTAATTTGCTTTTCTGTTGATTTTTTTAATTAAAAAACGTTCTTAGTAGGTAACATATGTGCATGGAACAAACACAAAAAGTGAAAGATACTACACAGGGAATAGGAAAACTATTTTCTACCCTGTCTTCTAGCAATCTAGTTTCTTTCCCCCGAGATAACCACTATTAGTGAATTCTTATATAGTCTTTCAGCTAAATTTTAAATATACACACATATGCATGGAGTACATATTTTACCCAGATGGCACACACCATCATGCATCTTGCTTCTTGTCAGTTAACAAGAAGAGTTGGAGAGCCTATTACATCTTTATATGCAGACCTGGTTTATCTTTGCAATGCTGGTGCAATCTTTTATCATGCAGATAAATTCTCATTTATTGGATGTATCTTTACTGATAAACATTTATGTTGTTTTACAATCACAAGTAATGCTGCAATTCATAGCCTTGCACACATGTCATTTTGCATATCTATAAAATATTTAAAGATGCATTTTATCATTTATTTCTGAGTCAATGGCATGTACCTTTTTAGTTTTAACAGACAGAGCTGACACACCCTCACTAGGTACTGTACTCCTTTGCATGCCCATTAGCAGACCTGTTTCTACATACTTCCTGCAAACTTGTTATCAAACTTACTGACTTTACCAATCTGATAAATGAAAAAAAATGAATTTCATTGTAGGTTAATTTTTTTTGTTATTGAGAATGAGATTGAACATTATTCATATGCTTAAGATTTCCTACCCTTTTTGCTCACATTCTTTCTCCATTTTTATATGTTATTACTCCTTTATCAACTTGATATGTAGTAATCAAGAAAATGAGTTCTATCTGTAATATGTGCTGCCATTTTATTCATAGATGATAATTTGCATTTTGACTTTTTTTTTTCTTTTTTGAAATAGGGTCTCACTCTGTTACCCAGGCTGGAGTGTGCTGGCACCATCTTGGCTCACAGCAGCCTCAACTCCTGGGCTCAAGTGATCCTTCCACCTCGACCTCCTAAGTAGCTGGGACTACAGGTGCACACCACCATGCCTGGCTAATTTTTGTTTTCGTTTTGTTTTTTGTAGAGATGGGGTTTTGCCACGTTGCCCAAGCTTGTCTCAGACTCCAGGACTCAAGCAATCCATCTCCCTTGGCCTCCCTAAGTGCTGGGATTACAGGCATGACCACTCAACCCAGCCTCATTGGGACTTTTTAAAGAATATTTTTGTGTTGCTGAAATTATGATTTTTTTTGTGATCTTTTATCTTCCGTCTCTCTTTTTCCTGCCTCTATCCTTCCCTTCTTACCCTAACACTCTCTTCCTCTCTCCATTCCTTCTCTTCTTTATGTCTTCGTGCTTAAAAAGACTTCCTTCATTTCAAGATTATGAAAAATCATGTTTTAGTTTAGTGCTTTTGGGGCTTTGTTTCTACATTTATATTTTTTATTTTTCCAAAATTTATTTAGCACAGGCAGAGACGCAGATATATATCTTTCTCCAGAAGCCACTTAGTTGTTTCTGCATCACTCAATGGATAATTCATCTCCCCCGCTGATATGCAGAATTGTCTTTGTCATATACCAGCTGCCAGTAAAATTTGGGTTTACTTTGTAACGCTTTTTTTCTGTTTCACTGGGTTTCTGTATTTGAGGGCTTTTATTATACCTAAAAAATATCTTGTAATACCTGGTTTAAACAGTTCTTCATTCATATGCTAGTAATTTTTGCTTGTTTATTTTTTCATAAAATTTAGAATGTTTTAAATAATTAAGAATTCATTCTGTTAAAGAAATTCTATTATATATAAAATTTGCTTTGAAAATTTATTTCTTATATTTTTGAATTAATTTATTTTAACTTTATTCATTCAATTCCTTCATATTTCCTTAGTATTAGTATTCCTATTTCAATGAATTAAAAAATGTTACTTATCCTTTCTACCTCAAAAGAAGGTGTGCATTTTTTTCATATTCTTAAGTAACATTTTAATATTCTCTTCATATACATGTTGTACGTTTGTTGTTTATTTCTATCCACTATTTCTTCTATACTCAACATATATTACTGCTTTAACTGGGATCATTTCTTCCTCATAACTTCTGTTTTGGTGTTATTTATGTAGGAGTAGAGTATTTTTGCATATTTTGTCCCCAGGCAGTTTCTTAATTCTGGTTCTAATAGTTTTCCAGTTTATTCTCTTGGGTTTTCCAAGTATACAGATCATATCATATACAATCCATAATAATTTCACCACCTTCTCTCCAATTTAAAAATATTTATTACTTCCTCTTGCCTAAATGCAATAGCTAGGCCCCCCAAAACAGGGTTAAATAACAGCAGTGGTTGTGGACATCTTTGCCTTGTCACACATTTCTTACTTTCCCATCAATCAGGAGGTTTCTATGTTTGTATGAGATAGATAATCATATTAAGAAGGTAGTCTTCTAATCTTAGTTAATTAGGAGGCTGTTTGCTTGTTAATAAGAATAAATATTGAACTTTATTAAATGCTTTTCACTGTCAGAGACAGTCATATTTTCTAGTCATTTCTATTAATATGTTGGAACGTAATGATAAATCTCCTAATATTGAAACAACCTTGAATTCCTAGAGTAAACACTACTTATCCTTGTGGTGTTGCTATTTAAATGTGCTGCCAGTTTCAATTTGGTAATATTATATTAGGATTTATGCATTGGGTTTTGGCACTGTTCCTTGTAAGAATTTAGAATGTTCTCTGCTTTTTCAGTGACTTGAAATAGTTTACATACATGTTGAGCTATCTACTCTTGAATGGTTTGGTAGAATTCTTCTGTGAATAGACCAGAGCCTTGAACTTTTTGGGGGGAACATAATTCTTTGACGTTTTTCTCAATTGTTTCTATAGTGCTTAGTCTGGTTGCATTTTTTACTCTTCTAGGGTCACTTTTGACAACTCACATTTTTTAGAGATGCATCAGTTTCATATACATTTTGCGACTGAACAAAGTAATCACTTATGATTCTTTATATTTCCTTTAATTTGTATTATTTACCTACTCTTGTTATTTTGAATATTTGTACGTTCTCATTTTCATTCTGGATAGGGTTAGCTAATAGTTTATCTATTTTATTATGTTCTTCTCCAAAAGAAAATTTGCTTTTAAAATTTACTTATTTATGTGTTATATTTTTGAATTAATTTGTTTATTTTAATTTTATTAATTCAATTCCTTCATTCTTATTTCCTTAGTACTAGGTTTTTTCTTTTTTTAAATAATGCTCAACTTTATTTATTTATTTATTTATTTATTTATTTCAATAGGTTTTTGGGGAACAGGTGTTTTTTGGTTACCCGGAAAAGTTCTTTAGTGGTGATTTTTGAGATTTTGGTGCATACATCACCTGAGCAGTGTACATTGTACCCAATGTGTAGTCTTTTATCCTTTACCCTCCTGCCATCCTTCCCCCGAGTCCCCAGAGTCCATTGTATTATTCTTATCCCTTTGCATCCTCATAGCTTTGCTCTCACTTGGAAGTGAGAACATATGATGTTGGGTTTTCCATTTCTGAGTTACTTCACTTAGAATAATGATCTCCAACTCCATCCAGGTTGCTGCGAATGCCATTATTTTATTCCCTTTTATGGCTGAGTAGTATTCCATGGTATATGTGTGTGTATATATATACACACACACACACACACACACACACACACATATATATACACCACATTTTGGGCTGGGCCCATATTTGTCAATTGTGAATTGTGTTGCTATAAACATGTGTGTGCAAGTGTCTTTTTCATATAATGACTTATTTTCCTCTGGATAGATACCCAGTAGTGGGATTGCTGGATCAAATAGTAGATCTACTTCTGTTCTTTAAAGAATCTCCATACTGTTTTCTATAGTGGTTGTACTAGTTTACATTCCCATCAGCAGTGTGGAAGTGTTCCCTTTTTGCCACATATACACAAACATCTATTATTTTTAAATTATGGCCATTCTTGTAGGAGTAAGGTGGTATTGCATTGTGGTTTTGATTTGCATTTCCCTGACAATTACTGATGTTAAGCATTTTTTCATATGTTTGTTGGTTATTTGCGTATCTTCCTTTGAAAATTGTCTATTCATGTCCTTAGCCAACTTTTTGATGGGATTATTTGGTTTTTTTCTTGCTGATTTGTTTGAGTTCCTTGTAGATTCTGGATATTAGTCCTTTGTTGGATACATAGTTTGTGAGGACTTTTTACCACTCTGTGGGTTGTCTGTTTACTCTGCTGTTTATTTATTTTACTGACCAGGAACTAGTAGTTTAATTAAGTCCCATCTATTTAGCTTTGTTTTTGTTGCATTTGCTTTTGGGTTCTTGGTCATGAAGTCTTTGCCCAAGCCAATGTCTAGAAGGGTTTTTCCAATGTTATGTTCTAGAATTGTTATGGTTTCAGGTCTCAGGATTAAGTCTTCGATCCATCTTTACTTGATTTTTGTGTATGGTGGGAGTGGAGGATCCAGTTTCATTCTTCTACATATGGCTTGCCAATTATCTTGGCATCATTTGTTGAATAGGGTGCCCTTTCCCCACTCTCTGTTTTTGTTTGCTTTGTTGAAGATCAGTTGGCTGTTAAGTATTTGGGTTTATTTCTGGGTTCTCTATTCAGTTCCCTTGGTCTATGTGCCTGTTTTTATGCCAGTACCATGCTGTTTTGGTGACTTTAGCCTTATACTGTAGTTTGAAGTCAGGTATCTTTTTCTTAGTCTTGCTTTGGGTATGTGGGCTCCTCCTTGATTCTGTATATATTTTAGGGTGTTTTTCTAGTTCTGTGAAGAATGATGATAGTATTTTGATGGAAATTGCATTGAATTTATAGATTGCTTTTGGCAATATGTCAGTATGGTCATTTAGACAATGTTGATTCTACCCATCTGTGGGTATAAGATGTGTTTCCATTTGTTTGTGTCATCTATGATTTCTTTCAGCAGTGTTTTGTAGTTTTCTTTCTTTCACTTTCTTGATTAGGTATATTCCTAAGTATTTTATTTGTTTGCAGCTATTGTCAAAAGAGTTGAGTTCTTGATTTGATTCTCAGCTTGGTGGTTGTTGGTGTATAAAAGTGCTACTAATTTGTGTACATTGATTTTATATCTTGAAACTTTATCAAATTCATTTATCACATCTAGGAACATTTTGGGTGAGTTTTTAGGGTTTTATAGGTATATGATCATATCATGGGTGAATAGCAACAGTTTGACTTCCTCTTTACCAATCTGGATATCCTTTATTTCTTTCTCTTGTCTGATTGCTCTGGCTAGGACTTCCAGTACTGTGTTGAATAGAAGTGGTGAAAGTGGGCATCCTTGTCTCCTTCCACTTCTCAGGGGGGATGCTTTCAACATTTCCCCATTCAGTATAAAGTTGGCCATGGGTTTGTCATAGATGGCTTTTGTTACCTTAAGGTATGTCCCTTCTATGCTAATTTTGCTGAGGGTTTTTATCATAAAGGGATGCTAGATTTTGTCAAAAGCTTTTTCTGCATCTCTTGAGATAATAATGTATCTTTTGTTTTTAATTCTGTTTATGTGGCGTATTACGTTTATTGACTTGTGTATGTTAGATCATCTCTGCATCCCTGGTATAAAACAGACTAGATTATAGTGGATTTTTTTTTGATATGCTGTTGGATTTGGTTAGCTAGTATTTTGTTGAGGATTTTTGTGTCTATGCTTATCAGGGATATTGGTCTGTAGTTTCCTTTTTTTATTTTATCCTTTCCTGGTTTGGTATTAGAATGATACTGGTTTCATAGAATGATTTAAGGAGGATTCTCTTTTTCTCTTTTGGAATAGTTTCAATAGGATTGGTACCAATTCTTCTTTGAACGTCTGGTAGAATTCAGCTATGAGGTCCTGGACTTTTTTTTTTGGCAATTTTTTAATTACCATTTCAATCTCACTGCTTGTTATTGGTCGGTTTAGAGTTTCTGTATCTTCTTGGTTTAATCTAGGAGGGCTGTATATTTCCAGGAACTTATCCATCTCCTTTAGGTTTTCTAGTTTGTGCATGTAAAGGTGTTCATAATAGCTTTGCATATTCTTTTGCATTTCTGTGATATCGGTTGTAATATCTCCCATTTTGTTTCTAATAGAGCTTACTTGAGTCTTCTTTCTTCTTGATTACTCTTGCTAATTGTCTATCAATTTTATTTATCTTTTCAAAGGACCTGCTTTTTGTTTCATTTATCTTTTGCATTTTTTTGTTTCAATTTCATTTAGTTCCGCCCTGATCTTTCTTTGTTTTTTTTTTTTTTCTTCTGCTGGGTTTGGGTTTGGTTTGTTCTTGTTCCTTTAGTTTTTTGAGGTGTGACCTTAGATTGTCTATTTGTGCTCTTCCAGACTTTTTGATGTAGGCATTTCACACTATGAGCTTTTCTCTTAGCACCGCTTTTGCTATATCCCAGAGGTTTTGATAGATTGTGTCACTATTATAGTTCAGTTCAAAGAATTTTTAAATTTCCATCTTGATTTCATTGTTGACCCAACAATCATTTAGGAGCAGATTATTTAATTTCCATGTATTTGCATTGTTTTGAGGGCTCCTTTTGTAGTTGATTTCCAATTATATTCCACTGTGGTCTGAGAGAGTACTTTGATATAATTTAGATTTTTAAAAATTTACTGAGACTTGTTTTGTGGCCTATCATATGGTCTATCTTGGAGAATGTTCCATGTGCTGATGAATAGAATGTATATTCTTCAGTGGTTGGGTAGAATGTTCTGTAAATATCTGTTATGCCCATTTGTTGTAGGGTATAGTTTAAGTCCATTGTTTCTTTGTTGACTTTCTGTCTGGATGACCTGTCTAGCACTGTCAGTGGAGTATTAACGCCCCCACTATTATTGTGTTGTCATCTGTCTCATTTTTTTAGGTCTAGCAGTACTTGTTTTATAAATTTGGGAACTCCAGTGTTAGGTGCATATATATTTAGAATTGTGATATTTTCCTGTTGGATTAGTCTGTTTACCATTATATAATGTCCCCCCTTGTCTCTTTTAACTGCTGTTGCTTTAAATATTGTTTTGTCTGAAATAAGAAATAGCTATTCCTGCTTGCTTTTGGTGTCCATTTGCATGGACTATCTTTTTCCACTCCTTTACCTTAAGTTTATGTGAGTTGTCATGTGTTAGGCGAGTCTCCTGAAGACAGCAGGAACTTGGTTGGTGAATTCTCATCCATTCTGCTATTCTGTATCTTTTAACTGGAGGGAGCATTTAGGCCAGTTACATTCAACATTAGTATTGAGATATGTGGTGCTATTCTACCCATTATGCTATTTGTTGCCTGAATACCTTGTTTTGTTTTGTTTTGTTTTGTTTTGTTTTTTCATTATGTTATTTTATTACAGGCCCTGTGAGATTCATGCTTTAAGGAGATTCTATTTTGGTGTATTTCAATGTTTTGTTTCAAGATTTAGAATTCCTTTTAGCAGTTCTTGTAGTGCTGGCTTGGTAGTGATGAATTCTCTCAGCATTTGTTTGTCTGAAAAAGACTGTATCTTTCCTTCATTTATGAAGCTCAGTTTCACTGGATACAAAATTTTTAGCTAATTGTTTTGTTTAAGGAGGCCAAAGATAGGACCCCCATCCCTTCTAGCTTGCAGGTTTCTGCTGAGAAAACTGCTGTTAATCTGATAGATTTTTCTTTATAGGTTACCTGATGCTTTTGCCTCACAGATTTTAAGATTCTTTCCTTTGTCTTGACTTCAGATAACCTAATGACTATGTGCCTGGGTGATGATCTTTTTGTGATAAATTTCCCAGGTGTTCTTTGAGCTTCTTTTATTTGGATGTCTAGATCTCTATCAAGGCCAGAGAAGTTTTCTTCATTTATTCCCTCAAATAAGTTTTCCCAACTTTTAGATTTCTCTTCCTCCTAGGGAACACTAATTATTCTTAGGTTTGGTATTTAACATAATCCCAAACTTGTTGGAGGCTTCATTTTCTTTGATTCTTTTTTCTTTGTCTTTGTCACATTGGGTTAATTCAAAAGCCTTGTCTTGAAGCTCTGAAGCTCTTTCTTCTACTTATTCAATTCTATTATCGAGACTTTCTAGTATATTTCATATTTCTCTAAGTGTGTCTTTCATTTCCAGAAGTCGTGATTGTTTTTTATTTATGCTATCAATTTCTCTGGAGAGTTTTTCATTCATATTCTTTACTAACTGCTATAATATTGCCTTGTTTAAATGTACACTGAATTATTTGTATTTTTCCCCTGTAGTTGGACATTAAGTTGTTTCCAATGTTTTACAACTATAAACCATACTGATGTATTTTGTTTCTAATATTTTAGTGATGACTCTTTTTTTTTTTTTTTTTGAGACGGAGTCTCGCTCTGTCGCCCAGGCTGGAGTGCAGTGGCGCAATCTCGGCTCACTGCAAGCTCCGCCTCCCGGGTTCACGCCATTCTCCTGCCTCAGCCTCCCAAGTAGCTGGGACTACAGGCGCCCGCCACTACGCCCGGCTAATTTTTTGTATTTTTAGTAGAGACGGGGTTTCACCGTTTTAGCCGGGATGGTCTCGATCTCCTGACCTCGTGATCCGCCCGCCTCGGCCTCCCAAAGTGCTGGGATTACAGGCGTGAGCCACTGCGCCCGGCCTTAGTGATGACTCTTAACCAGAAAATAGACTTATGCCTAAGTGATCTATATCTCCTTCCCTCTCCTGAACAAGCAAGTACTTGCAAAGGCTTCCTTGTGATCCCACCCTCATGACATAAATGATGTTGTGCTTCGTAATTTAGTTCCAACCTCTTTTAACCCTCAAATTTAGCCATTGTTGTTCTCATTTTATAAACTAATGCTTTCACAGATATCCCCTCATGTTCTGTAACACTTTCTTAGATTTATCTTCATGTTCAGCAACTTTTTTTCTCCCTATTTATTCTTGCATTTCATTTCTTTCTTCTGATCCACTTCTCTTTTTCCTGGAGTTTATCCTTTAGTAATTATTTCAATGACCATCCACTAGAGAAGCATGAAGCATGTAAAACTACACAGTTTCCTGAGTCACTTTCCAGAGTCTTACCCATGCTGTCTTTTCAAACTTTATTCCTTGTCCCTAGGAGTTCATGAGATTTCCTTTTCTTCTACTTAATAAAACTCAAGTTGAATTGAGTTAGTGCCTGTTCTGTGAAGCCAGTGTCCTTTCTAGAGAAAATGGCATATATATATCACAACTTTTTTACTGCATGTGACAACAAAACCTGTCAAATATGCTAATACCAAATAGGAATGTGTGGTTCCAGAGGACTCATTTGATCCAAGTCAAGTAATGCTCTTCACTTAGTTGTCTATTGTTTCTTATGTCAATTTGCTAAGTGCTGGCTTTGTTGATGGGCAACTATCAAATATAGTGTTTCAAGATAACTTCCAGGTTTAATGCTAGGAGAAAAATGAAGACAATTTTCCAGCAATCTTCATAAAGTCTCCCTGCATTTCATTAGCTATGATTTCGTCACTTACTCTTTCTGAACTGATTACTGTAGTCAGAGAATAAAATACTCTAACTGACTGGACCTGATTTCCCTGCCCACCTCTGGAGGCAATTCCACGGAATTCACAGTGGATTCAATTTCACTGGGAATTCATGAGCTAAGAGGGGGAGAGAAAATGACTTCCCAGAAGGAAAATGGGATATAGGTTTCAAAATGAATTCATGCATAGATTAGTGAAGAACCACCAAAAGGTGAAGAAAAAGCAAACACAACAGACGTCTCTACCTCCTAGAACTCTGCTGGGCACTGTGGAGACAGATGGGCACCCATTATACAATCCCTACTTCAAAACACTCGATAAAAACTTGAAGGACCAGAGTAGCAAACACTGTTGTTCCCCACTCCATATCTTCTACATCCACTGAGTTAACTGCAGCTGCAGCCCATATCTCCCATCAAGCTGAGAACTTCTCTCTTTGATTGTCTTCTTTTCTTTTTCTCCTGCTTGAGGGTTTTCTTCATCCTCATTGTACAGGGGTTCCTGAAAAGTGAGAGGGTGAATGCCTTCAGGGGCAACTTTCAGACAACAGGGGACAGAAGTTGATGGATAACACTCCAGCCTCCCTATCCTCCATCCAGTTGGCTCCACACAGTATCTCAGAAAGTCCCCAGCAGTGTGAAGCCTCAGTTTCTCACAAAGTAACCCATTTACTAACACACTCTTTCTTGGCTTTCCTCTCCTGTTTCACTCTCCCCCTCGCCCTCACTTGTGCTTCTGAAGTTATCCCCACCTCACATAGATTTTCTGTAACCAGTCCCGTGTTGGTGTCTGATGTTGAGAGAAATCAAGGTAAGAATAAAGTATCCTATGAGAAAACACTGGAGAGTGATCTCATGTAGGATTTGCTTGTCATAGCGGGGTGGAAGTGAATGCTGGCTAGCAAAAGAAAGAAGAAAGTACTTAGAATGACTAGAAGTACTAGAAAAATGGGAAAGGGGAGAGAGAGTGAGTGTGCGTGTGTGTGTGAGAGATTGATTTAGCTGTTAGCTGCATCTTAGTGGCTAAGAAGGAATATTCCAGAAAGGCAGAATAGCATAAACTGGATGAATAGCAGCAGGAATGTGTAATGCTAGGAGTGAGTGAAGTTACTCAGAGATTAGCACATGTTTGTTGAGGGCATACTGAATGTCAGGCCTTGTTCTAAGTGCTAGACTGCAGTGGGGAGAAGTCACAAAATCACTCCCCTTTTATGTCTGTATTCTAATATGGCAGAGGGGCAAGAGAGAGTGAACATTGAATTCAAGAATTAATCCTACCTGCTACCCACCTCGACTCCAGTGACTTCCTACCTACTTCTTGTAGAAAGAACATTGGTAGTGTGGGGACTGGCTTGCAAATATGGTTGTCATCCTTGTCTTTGCTGGACCTTGAAGGGCATTAAAACAATCCACTTCCTGGGCTAGATGGTCACTTGTCAACAGCCTTTAAAAATGTGGACAAAGAAATATACAACATTTTGTCTGTAGAATTCTTATTAAAAGCGTATACTCTTAAACTAATCATTAAGAAACATTAAACAAAACCCAAATGAGAGATATTTGACAGCTGTCTTGTCCAATACCATAGCTACTAGCTGCATGTAGCTATTTTAATTAAAATTAAATAAAATTTAAAATTCAGTTCCAAGGGTAAAAAAATTTCAGGTAGACAGGAAGAATTTTTTCGTAGTTCTATTGCACAACATAGTAAATATAGTTAATAATGGAGTATTGCACATTTCAAAATTGCTAATAAATTTTAAATGTTTTCACTATGAAAAGTGTTAAGTATTTGAGATGATGGGTGTATTAATTAGCTTGACTTAATTATTCTACATTGTATTTATAAATCATTACATTACTTTGCATTCCATAAATTTATAAAATTATAAATTGTCAAGATTGTCAATTTATAATAAAAAATTAACTAAATAAAATTTAAACTGGGTATAGTGGTCCACACCTCTAATCCCAGCAACTCAGGAGGCAGAGGCAGGAGGATTGCTGGAGCCCAGGAGTTCAAGTCCAGCCTGGGCAACATACCAAGACTCAACCTCTATGAATAAATAAATAAATAAATAAATAAATAAATAAAATTAAATTCCTAAGCCCCACTAGCCACATTTCAAATGCACTTCCATGTGATGAATGGCTGTCATATTGGTCAGCACAGATACACAGCATTTCTGTCATTGCAGAAAGTTCTACAGGATGGCCCTGATGTACAGAATAGCTTTTCTAAACGTCAAGGTCAGGAAAGACTGAGGGACTATTCCATAGTAAAGTAGACCAATGTGACATGACGACTGAATGCAATGTGAGCTCTTGGGTTGGATCCTGAAACAGAAAAAAGACATCAGTGGGAAAAATAGAGAAATCTGAATAAGACTTGGATTAGTTAACAATACTCTATTGGTGTTAATTTTATGGTTTTGATTATTATACTGTGGTTATATAAGATGTAAACATTTGTATTATTTTTGCAACTGTGCTGTAAGTCTGAATTTATTTCAAAATTATAAAGAAAAATAAAATAAGAAATCATCTATTGGCCCCATCTGGCTATTTATATTATTTTATCTTTTATTATTTATTGCACCCCACCATATTTTATGAGTACAATTCATTGATTAGTCCATTTATTAGTGGGGCGAGTCATCCACTCCCTGCTTGGCAATGAGGACTCTATTGCTGGAGATGGGCAGAGCACTGAAAGTCCCCATCACGACATGTTGCAGTGGTACAATTGTCAACATTTTATTATTAGTGACCTGGAATGTGATTCTTGAACAAAATACTCAAGTAGGTGCAAGATGTCAGGCATCTGAAAAGCACAGAGGAAGTAGTAATTATAACTATGGAATTGAATGCCACTTGCTAAGTACAAATGATGCATAGGAGAAATTCAGTGAAAGGTCAAGAATGATTAATCATCAGTTTAAGGCAAAATATGAAAATCAGAGGACCTCCTTATCATTGTGTAAAGTAACTCTCATATCCTGCAGCTGGAAGATGACAAAAATATGAGAACCAGGCCTACGATGTAATTAAGAAGGTAGCAGAGCTTCAGAGAAGGTGGTCAAATTATTAGTCATCTTGAGATCCTTCAGCACACTGGTCCACCATATTGATGATGTCATGCTGGTTGGGCTAAATTAACAAGAATTAACAGGTGCACTAGAGTCTTGGTAAGAGACATATGTTCCAGAGAATGGGAGTAAACTCTACAAAGATTCCTACATAAGTAAAATTTTGGGGGAGGTCCAGTGGTGTGGGGCATGCTAGATATTTCACTCCAAGTATTGTGCCTCCCACCTTTGACCACTAGGAAGGAAGTTTCATTCCTGGTAGGACTCTTTAGATTCCAGAGGCAGTTATCCAACACTTGGCATACTTCTCTGACCCGTTTACTAGGTGACATGGAATGCTGTCAATTTCAAGTGGGTTCCAGTGGGAAAGGACTATTGATCTAGACTGTGGTGTAAATAACCCTGCTGCTTAGCCTACATGTTCCATCAGACCCTAAGGCATTTGAGGAACTTATGAGGGCAAAAGACACTATCTGGACCTTGGTAAGCCCTAATAAGAATAATCACTTTAGACCTAGGGTTCTGGGGCAAGGCTATGCCATCTTCAGCGGAGAATTATACACATGGAAGATGGCTCCTTGCATGTTACTGGGCTTGGTAGGGAATAGTACCTAACCGTTAGGACATCTCTGTCCATTTCTGTCAAATCTACCAAGTTATCAGGTTGCGTGAGCCCGGCAGCAATCCACGTTAAGATGGAAGCCACACAACAAGATTGGGTATAAGCATTGACAGAAGCTTAAGTAAGCTGGATGAGAAAGGGACTCATGCCATTCAGCACTATTGCACCAGTTCCTCTCCCGCAGCTCACACCCATGGCTGGGTGTGTATGCATGTGACTCACATATGACCCGACCAGTGGACAGAGGAGGAAAATGGTAGGGCTGGTGGCCCTGAATGACAGCTATGAGAGTGAAATCCTCCCAGTGACCACAAATTTGGGCAGTGACCTTGTTGTCTACTTTCTGTGGAAAGAGAAGTGCCCCAACATAATATGAATCTTCTGTTACATACATACAATTGTGTGATACACATAATTCATCAACTATGGGAATGGATTTTCTGCTTGCTGTGGAATGTGGGAGGAGGAGGATTGGAAGACCAAGGACAAGAAGGTCCGGGTAAATGCATGTTAATAGACAGATAAAGTAGGCACAAAGTAGGAAACTTTTTGTTTTGGATAGAGAGTGTTCTCTATGGAAGAGGCACAAAACAACAAAGTGAACAGAATGACTCAATCAGTGTAAGTCGGCCAGCCTCTGACTTTGGCCACTCCACTGTCAGCATGGTGAACATGTGAACAGAGTAGCCAAGGATGGACTCAACAGCATGGAGTCCCACATGGCAGCTCATTGGAAGGTGCCCATTGTACAGCAAAGAGCTGCAGTAGTGAGTCCATGCCCTTGAGATCCACGTGTCCTATCACGTATCACTTCACCCAGAGGCTACCAGCCTCCTACAGGCATCTGAAGATATAGCTGAAGAGTGAGCTTAGAAATGATGGCCCCCAAGCATGGGGCATCATCTTCCAAGATGTGGTACATAGCCTCAATCAATAATCATTTGATGGTGCTGTGTTCCTCATGGGCAGAACACATGGGTTGGAAAATAAGAGGAGGATATAGGAGTGGCCCCACTTTGCCATTACTCTGGATGATCCAATTGGGAGATTCGTGTTTTTTGTCCCAACCCTCATTTCTGCAGTTTCTGTGATAATACTTCTACCAGGAGATAGTCAGAGTACCATTAAATTTTCAGATGCTGCCGTCATATGGTCACTTCTGGCTCCTCGTGTCAAACAGCAGGCAAAAAAATGAGTCCCCACCTTGGCAAGAATAAATGGGTTTGATTATCACAGGAGGTAGGGCTGCTGTGACACAATGGGAAAAATATATTTGGAATTCAGGTGATCCTGTTATTGCACCCTAGACCGTGATTTCTTTGGCTCTTGTGTAAGCAGAAATTAACACCAGGCCTAATGGAGATTTGTCTCAGGCAAGGTTTAATAGGCTTGTGCCTCCAGCACACAGAGGAACAGTGCATAGGGAAGGGATCCTGGTACCAGCTCATTGAGGGGCTCGGTTCTTATCATTTTAAGGAAGTTGAGGCAGGAAAAGGAATGTTAAGGTGGTGGTCTTTCCCACACTTGTGTAGTGGGACATCATGCTGTAACATATATCGCATGACCAGAAAATGATGGGTAAGCCCCACCCTGGGCAGATATTTTAGTATTATAATGAAATTATAATGAGGAAAAAGTCAGTGAAAGGTCTTCGCTGGAGTCTACTTTGCCTTCAGGCAGCTGGATCTGGTCAGGTTTTTATCAGGAATGCCAGAGTCTTGCTTCAGTGACCTTAGAAGGCATTACTCAAAGATATAAATGGTTAGGTTCTTCCTTTTTTGCTTAGGAATTAGGCCTGGTCAGCGAAATTAGGAGAGGCTCCCTTCCTGCTATGTGACTTGGGTCAGCTTGTTAAGGGAGGTAAAAAGGTAGGGGAGGAAATATGCCTGAACATGTAAAGCCCATCAGTACCTAGGTTACCATGCCATCTGTGTGCCAGGACCTAGTCTCTTCCTTATGCTGCCTCAATCCTTTGGAGTGTCTCTTGGTGTACTCTGCCTATTTGTGACTGTGAATGGCAGAGTACGACACTGACCTCAGAAGGACTCATACCCTTCAAGGACGAGAGTCTAGGGCACGCCACCAGGTAAACCACCTAGACCATCAGTGATGCTCACTGATGGTGGGAAGAGAGTGGACAGGGTTGGGAGGTAGAACAGGTAATAGAGGAGGGAGACAATATCACCTGCTTAGCACTAACCTGCATCCTGCATATTTTCCTCTAGAAAATTTACTTCCATTACTAGGAGATGCAGGCATTAAAAGGCTGGCCCCTTACCTCATTTTGGGACCTTTCTGAAGGCACCATCCAAGCTCCAGGACTCCCCTGGGGTCAGCCGAGCACCGTGAAGACTGAATCGGTATTTAACTTCTCCCTCTGCCCATCACTGCTTCCCTTACTCTCTGGTGGCTTTAAGATCTGTCCGTACATTCTTTTGTGCTCCTTCCCAGTAGAGATGCAGTTTCATTTCTCTCCTCTTGTGTGTGGGCTGAACTTAGTGACTCATTTTAGTGAATAGATTACGGCAGGCATTGCAAGATGTCACTTCCTAGTGGCTTCGGTCTTGGTGTACTCCCTCCCTCACTCTGTCTTGTCACTCATTCTGGGGAGAGCCAGCTGCCATGTCACGTGAACACTGTTAAGCGGCCAGTGTGGTGAAGAACTGAGTGCTGCCAACACCATGCCCTGAGTTCAGGAGTGGATTGTCCCTTGACTGACAGTGTGACTGCATCCTCATGAGGAACCTAGAGCCAGAACCAGACAGCTAAGCTGCTCCTGGATTCCTGACCCCCAGAAATGGTGGAGATAATGAATGCTTATTGCTGCAAGCTGCAGAGTTTTGAGGTAATTTTTCACATCACAATAGGTAGCTAATATATTCCCTTACAACTGCTGTCCTCAACAAAACTCTCCAATGAACTTCCTGCCTGAAAATCTTCCTCTCAGACTCTGTTTCTTGGGAAATCCATCCTAAGAGAGAAAGCAAAAGCATGTATTAGGTAAAGGGCTTGCTTTTTCTGTGGAATGCTGTATTGTTGAGTGTAGAAAGACAAACATATGGCCATAAAGTGGTGTGAAGGGAGAAAGAAGGTTTTCTAAACCAGGCTAAGGAGATACAACTTCACCTTTGCCTTGTAGGCAAGTGGGAGTCTGTCCAGTGTTTTAGGGCAGAAACGGCATTCTAGAAGCAGAATGAAGAATGGATAAAATGGAGGGACTAGCTACAGGGAGACAAAACTGGAGTTTACTATGTTCTTTGGACAAGAAATAAAAATCATGGACTACCTCTAATCCCTGGTAGGTGGGACTAATAAAATAGAGATAATAACAGTACTTACTTTATAGAGGAGTTGTTAGGGCCATATGAGCTAATAACTATAAAAGGGCTTAGAACAATGCCTGGAATGTAGACTCACTATGTAAGTGGTGGTTAAAGAAGTATGTGTTAAGTCAGTGGCACCTCCAGGGCCAGAGAATTTACCAGTCAATGTTGGGACAGCCAAGGGTTGGAGAGGAATGGAAGAACATCCCAAGTAGTTCAGTTGGGCAGACAAAGGAGTGATTCAGCACTCAAGGAAACTTCTCATTAAGCGAATTTATGTTGAGTCCATGGCCATCATTCTGAGTTCAAGGCCTTACTCTCTCTCTCAAATGTGATTTGTGCTCTTGATAATAAGGGTGACTGTCAAGAGAGGGAATAACCTATCACCATGAGAGTGAAAATAAACTCAAGCTTGTGCTCTGCTAACATCAGATCAGCAAATGCAGTCTCCTGAGAAGGGAGGAAGACTGTACCCTGCCCCGGACACCCTGTACTTGGCTCACAAAATGGATCCATTATGAGAGACTTCTAATGCCTTCAGGGCTTCTCTGTGTTTTCTCTGTGAATGAGAGAATGGACATTTGATGCTGTAATCTGACAAGTTCCTGCTGCCTCATCTTATAGGCCACAATAGATTACTTTCCTGAAAGGCAATTTCCCACTTACACAAGATCTAAAAGGCTTTCCCTGATATTTCAGCTGCTGGCTCTAGATAATGGGCCCAGTTAGACAGAGTGGTTATTGAATATCTATGTAATTAAGAAAGTATCAGATGTCGTGTGGAATAATGAGGAGGAAATTTGTAGCCAAGAAGACAACATGGCCCAGTGCTGTATGAATACTCACTCAGAAATAAGTCTCTTACCCAAAATAAGGGCAGTGTCCTGAAATAAGGCTCCTTACCTGTTTTTTCCCACTGGCCTCCAGATTCTTGACTTTGCACATACCAAGATTTTATATGCAGAACCACTTAATGGAAGTTCTTTAACTTGGGACTTTTGGAAGATGACAACAGAATTTTTGGAGAACTATTGAGCTCAACATTCTGAAATGGAAAGGACACACAATTGTTTCAGCTTGGGTGACCTCCCTGAAGGAGATCCTGAGTCAAGGGCTTTTGAACAGAGGGTTTATCTAGGAGAATGAGTCCAAAAAACAGGAATAGGGCCTGAGAAGAGTACTCATTTCCAGCATCAGTATAGATACTTCCGCACTGTGATTTTTTATGGCTGCAGCCACAGGGATGTGTCACAATTCATTTAACCACTTTTCAATTGTTTGGTACTTAGCTTGTTCCATTTTTTATTATGTACTCTTGAAAACAATATCTGAAACATCCATGTGCATTAATCTCTGCAAACATAGCTATTTCCCAAGAATAAATTGTGACACTGAAGTGCTGAGTCAAAAGCTTTTGATGCATATTGCCAATTTTTCCTACAGAAAGTTGTACCAATCTACATATTCACCAGCAGTGTATGAGAATGCTTGTTTCTTCATAAGCCAGGATATTACTATTTTAAAAAATCTCTGCCAGATAGAAAATAAGATCTCATTTTGTCACATTTTTCTGAGGTATAGTAATGCTGAACAGTTAAAATATATTTATTGGTCATCAGAGTTGCTCTTGTTATGAATTACCTATTCATATCCATTGTTCTTTTTTCTAGCAACTGTGCTACAGTATTTTTTAATATTTATTTGAACAAATTATTTATATATTAAGAATGCTATTCCTTTGCAAAAAATGTATGTGTATATACTTCACCAGCTTGTTGCTTATTTTAAAATGTTGTTTATAACTTGATGTATGTAAGTTTACAAAGCTTATGATATGAAATCTAACAGATTGGGTTGGGGGGCAGAGCAACATGGCTGAATAAAAGGCTCCAAATGGCAGGAGTAAGTCCTTACTTATTAACAATAACATTGAGTTTATCAATAATAAAATTTAGTGTAAAAGGACTAGACTCCCCAGTCAAAAGATGTAGAGTGGCCAAATGGATAAAGAACAAGACCCAGTTATCTGTTGCCTGCAAGAAACACCCTTCACCTATAAAGACACAAATACACTGAAAATAAAGGGATGGAAAAAATATTCCATGCCAATAAAAACCAAAAAAGAACAGGAGTGGCTACACTAATATGAAACAAAATAGATTTCAAGACAAAAACTATAAGAAGAGATGAAGAAGATATTATATAATGGTAAGGGGATTGATTTAGCAAGAGGATGTAACAATTATAAATATATATGTACCCAACGCAGGAACATCCAGATATATAAAGCAAATATTATCAGAGCTAAAGAGAGAGATAGACCCCTATACAATAATTGCTGAGACTTCAATACCCAACTTTCAGCATTGGACAGATCTTCCAGACAGAATATCAACAAAGAAACATCAGAGTTAATCTGCAATATAGACCAAATGGACCTAATAGATATTTATACAACATTTTGCCAAACATCTTCAGAATACATATTCTTCTCCTTAGCAAATGGATCATTTTCGAGGATAGACTCTCTGTTAGGTCACAAAACAAGTCATAAAACATTAAAAAAAATTTAATATAATCAGGCATCTTCTCTGATCACAATGGAATAAAACTAGAAATCAATACCAACAGTAATTTTGAAGACTACACAAACACTTGAAATTAAACAACATGTTCCTGAATGACCAGGGGTCAAATGAAGAAATTAAAAAGAAAATTGAAAAATTTATTGAAACAAATGATAATGGAAACATGACAAACCAAAACCTGTGGGCTACAGCAAAAGCAGTACTAAGAGGGAAATTTATAGCTAGAAGTGCCTACATCAAAAAAGAAGAAAAACTTCAAATAAACAACCTAAAAATGCATCTTAAAGAACTAGAAAAGCAAGAGCAAACCAAACCCAAAATTAGTAGAAGAAAAGAAATAATGAAGATCAGAACATAAATAAATGAAATGGAAATGAAGGAAACAACACAAAAGATCAATGAAACAAAAAGTTGTTTTTTGGGTTTTTTTTTAATTGTTTGGGCATCTGAATTGGAAAATAAGAAGTCAAATTACCCTTGTTTCCAGATGACATAATCTTATATTAAAAAAAAAAAAGATTCCACAAAAACCTATGAAAACTGATAAACAAATTGAGTGAAGTTGCAAGGTAAAAAATCAACATACAAAAATTAGCGTCATTTTTATATACCAACAGTGAACAATCTGAAAAATAAATCAAGAAAGAAATTCATTTACAATAGGCACAAATAAAAAATATCTAAGAATTAAATAAAGAAGCGAAAGATCTTTACAATGAAAACTATAAAACATTGATGCAAGAAATTGAAGTGGATACCAAAAAATGTAAAAATATTTCATGTTTATGGATTGGAAGAATCAATCTCATAAAAATGTCCATATTACCCAAAGCAATCTACAGATAAAATGCAATTCCTATTAAAATGCCAATGACATTCTTCACAGAAATAGAAAAAAATCATAAAATTTATGCGAAACCACAGAAGACCCAGAATAGCCAGTTATCCTAAGCAAAAACAACTGTAGGAATCACAGAGTTCTAGTAACCAAAATGGCTTGGTACTAGCATAAAGACAGATACATAGACCAGTGGAGCAGGATTGAGAACCCAGAAATAAATTCATATATGTATAGTAAACTCATTTTTGACAGTGGTGCCAAGAACATACATTGGGGAAAGGACAGTCCCTTCAATAAATGGTACTGCAAAAACTGGATATCCATATGCAGAAGAATGAAACTAGACCCGTGTCTCTTGCCGTATACAAAAATAAAATCTAAATGGATTAAAAACTTAAATCTAAGATCTCAAACTATAAAACTACTAAAAGAAAACACTGGAGAAACTCTCCAAGACATTGGTCTAGGCAAAGATTTTTTGAGTAATACCCACAAGCACAGGCGATCTAAGCAAAAATAGACAAATGGAATCACATCAAGTCAAAAAACTTCTGCACAGCAAAGGATACAATGAAGTTAAGAGGCAATCCATAGAATGGGAAAAAAAAAATTTGCAAAATACCCATCTGACTGGGGATTAATAACCAGAATATTTAAGGAGCCCTAACAACTCTATAGGAAAAAATCTAATTATCTGATTTAAAAATTGGCAAAAGATTTGAATAGACATTTCTCAAAAGAAGACATACAAATGGCAAACAGGTATATGAAAAAGTGCTCAACATAATTGATTATCAGAGAAATGCAAATTGAAGCTACAATGAGATATCATCTTACCCCAGTTAATATGGCTTTTACCCAAAAGACAGAGACTAATAAATGCTGGCAGGGATGTGGAGAAAAGGGAACCCTTGTATACTGTTAGTGGGGATGTAAGTTGGTACAACCACTATGGAGAACAGTTTGAAGGTTCCTCACAGAACTAAAAATAGAGCTACCATATGATCCAGCAATCCCACTCCTACGAATTTTGGGTATATACTCCTAGGTATATATACCCAAAAGAAAGGAAATCAGCATATCAAAGAGATATCTGGAGTCCCATGTTTATTGCAGCACTATTCACTATAGCCAAGATTTGAAAGCAACCCCAGTGTCCATCAACAGTTGAATGGATAAAGAAAATGTGGTACATAATCACAATGGAGTACCGGTCAGCCATAAAAAGAATGAGATCCCTTCATTTGCAACAACCCAGATGAAACTGGAGTTGTTATGTTAAGTGAAATAAGCCAGGTATGGAAAGACAAACTTCACATGTTCTCACTTATTTGTTGGAGCTAAAAATGGAAACAATTACACTCATGGAGACAGACAGTAGAAGGATGGTTATGAGGCTGGACAGGGTAGTATGGGGTTGGGAGGAAGTGGAGTTGGCTAATGGGTACAAAAACTAGTTATAAAGAATGAATAAGATCTATTATTTGCTAGCACAACAAGGTGAATATAGTAAAAAATAATTTAATTTTACATCTAAAAATAACTAAAAGAGTATAATTGGATTGTTTGTAACACAAAGGATAAATGCTTGAGTTGATGGATACCCATTTATCCTGATGTAATTATTACTCATTGCATGCCTCTATCAAAATATCTCATATTACCCATAAATACATACACCTACTATGTACTTACCAAAACTAAAAATTTAAGAAAAGACCTCAAGGAAAATAAATAAAATTTATCAGATTAAAAATGTTATACTTTTCTATTATAATATGTAAATACTCACCTTATATTCAAAATACTTGCTTTCCTTCATAAATAGATGTTATTATTTTCTGAGCCCACTTTCCTTTCTCCACTGATCTGAAACGTTATTTTTATTATAAATTCAATACAAACATTTCAGTCTATAAAATAACCACAAAATAAGAAATATGAACATTTTGAAAATGTTTTTTAAAAAACTTCATATAACTCCATGAAGATAGATGTGTAAATATTATTGAAATGGACAATTTTATTAGTCAGGGTTCTTCAGAGAGACACAAGCAATAGGAGATAGAGATAGAGAGAGAAAGAGCGACAGCAAGAGAGAGAGAGGGAGGATTTCATATGGAACTTGGCTCATGTGATTATGGAGGCTTAGAAGTTTCACGATAGGCTGTCTGCAAGCTGGAGAACCAGGGAAACCGGTAGTGTGGCTCAGTCTGAGTCTGAAGGCTTGAGAACCAGGGGAGACAACAGTATGATTCTCAGTCCTGGGGGAGCTTCTGGCACAAGTCTTAGAGTCTGAAGTTCTGGACCCGGAGTCCTGATGTCTAAGGGTGGGAGAAAACGAGTGTCATAGCTTTAAGGGAGAAACAGCAAATTTGCCTTTCCCCACCTAGACTATCTATCTGTGCCTCAGCTGATAGATAGTTCCCACCCACGTTGGGTGAGGGTGGATCATCCTTACTCAGTCCACTAACTCAAATGCCAGTCTTTTCCAGAAACACCCTTGCGGACATACCCAGAAATAATGCTTTACCAGCTATCAGGGTATTCCTTAATTTAGTCAAATTGACACTTAAAATTAACCATCACAACAATGTTCCATGAGAGCATGAACTTCCAAAGTTAATTCAGATAGAAAATCTGAACAGACCAATAACCATTTAAGAATTTTTAAAAGTTATCGAATGATCATCTGTTTAATAACAAACTATTAGGAATCACAAACTATAATTTTTTTGGAACTTAACACAAATTTATTTGGTTTTCATGTAATGGGGTGTGTGTGTACTTTAGTTTCTTTTTCAAAATTTTATTTTATTTTATTTTATTTGAAGTTCTGGGGTACATGTGCAGGAAGTGCAGGTTTGCTACATAGGTAGACATGTGCCCTGGTGGTTTGCTGCACCTAGAAACCTATCACCTAGGTATTAAGCCCAGCATGCATCAGTTATTTATCCTGATGCCCTCCCACCCCCTGCCTCCTGACAGACCCCAGTGAGTGTTGTTCCCCTCCCTGTGTCCATGTGTTCTCATTTTTCAGCTCCCCATTATAAGTGAGAACATGTGGTGTTTGGTTTTCTGTTCCTGCCTTAGGTTGCTGAACATAACAGCTTACAGCTCCATCCATGTCCCTGCAAAGGACATGATCTCATTGTTTTTTTAATGGCTGCATAGTATTCCATGGTGTATATGTACCACATTTTCTTTATGCAGTCTATCATTGATGGACATTTGTGTTGATTCCATGTGTTTGCTATTGTGAATAGTGCTGCAATCAACATACATGTGCATGTATCTTTATAAAAGAATAATTTATATTCCTTTGGGTATATACCCAGTAATAGGATTCCTGGGCCAAATGGTATTTCTGGTTCTAGACCTTTGAGGAATTGCCAA
The DNA here is from genome assembly GCF_000001405.40 of Homo sapiens. NCBI lineage: Eukaryota > Metazoa > Chordata > Mammalia > Primates > Hominidae > Homo > Homo sapiens. The sequence goes on from NC_000020.11 coordinate 16,871,852, forward strand.
ACTGCCTTCCACAATGGTTAAACTAATTAACATTCCCACCAACAGTGTAAAAGCATGCCTATTTCTCCACAGCCTCGCCAGCAACTGTTGTTTCTTGACTTTTTAATAATCACGATCTGACTGTCATGAGAGTGTGGTTTTGATTTGCATTTCTCTAATGATCCGTGATGTTGAGCTTTTTTCATATGCTTGTTGGATGCATATATGTCTTCTTTTGAGAAGTGTCTGTTCATATTACTTGGCCCAGTTTTTGATGGGGTTCTTTGCTTTTTTCTTGTACATTTTTTTAAGTTCCTTGTAGATTCTGGATGTTAGGCCTTTCTCAGATGGATAGACTGCAAAAATTTTCTCCTATTCTGTAGGTTGTCAGTTCACTCTGATGATATTTCCTTTTGCTGCGCAGAAGTTCTTTAGTTCAGTTAGATCCCATTTGTCAATTTTGGCTTTTGTTGCAATGGCTTTTGATGTTTTTGTCATGAAATCTTTGCCCGTGCCTATGTCCTGAATGGTATTGCCTAGATTTTCTTCTAGGGTTTTTATAGTTTTGGGTTTTACATTTAAGTCTTTACTCCACCTTGAGTTAATTTTTCTATAATGTATAAGGAAGGAGTCTAGTTTCAATTTTCTGCATATAGCTAGCCAGTTTTCTCAGCACCATTTATTAAATAGGGGATCCTTTCTCCATTGCTTGTTTTTGTCAGGTTTGTTAAAAATCAGATGATTGTAGATTTGTTGTATTATTTCTGAGATATCTATTCTGTTCCATTGGTATGTCTCTGTTTTGGTACCAGTACCATGCTATTTTGGTTACTATAGCCTTGCAGTATAGCTTGAAGTCAAGTAGTGTGATGTCTCCAGCTATGTTCTTTTTGCTTAGGCTTCTATTGGCTATACAGGCTCTTTTTTGGTGCCATATGAATTTTAAAGTTTTTTTTTCTAATACTGTAAACAATGTCAATGGTAGTTTAAGGGAAATGGCATTGAATCTATAAATTACTTTGGGCAGTATGGCCATTTTCACTATATTGATTCTTCCTATCCACGAGCATGGAATGTTTTTCCATTTTTTGGGTCCTCTCTTATTTCCTTGAGCAGTGGTTTGTAGTTCTCCTTGAAGAGGTCCTTCATTATCCTGTTAGCTGTATTTCTAGGTATTTTATTCTCTTTGTAGCAATTGTGAATTTGAATTCATTCATGATTTGGCTCTCTGCTTTGTCTATTGTTGGTGTATAGGAAAGCTTTTGATTTGTGCACATTGATTTTGTATCCTGAGACTTTGTTGAAGTTTCTTATCAGCTTAAGGAACTTTTGGGCTGAGACGAATAGGATTTTCTAGATACAGGATCATGTCATCTGCAAACAGAAATGACAAACTATAACATTTTGATGCTAGTACAAGATTGAAAAGATAGAATATAAGGACTGGAAAGAATATTCAAGGTAAGCTATAGACAATGTATTATTTATTTATTTATTTATTTATTTATTTATTTATTTATTTATTTTGAGATGGAGTTTTGCTCTTGTTGCCCAGGTTGGAGTGCAATGGCACTATCTCAGCTCACCGTGACCTCCACTTCCCAAGTTCAAGCGATTCTCCTGCCTCAGCCTCTGGAGTAGCTGGGATTATAGTCATGACCCACTGCGCCTGGCTAATTTTTTGTATTTTTAGTAAAGACGGGGTTTCTCCACGTTGGTCAGGCTAGTCTCAAACTCACGACCTCAGGTGATCCGCCCACCTCAGCCTCCCAAAGTGCTGGGATTACAGGCGTGAGCCACTTCGCCCGGCCTAGACAATGCGTTTGACTCCAAGAGAGCCTCAAGCCACTACAAGAATGCCAAGTAACCACTGAATTCTGTCAGCCTTAGAGCTAGGGTCTTCTTGTTTCTATAGATGGCACAGCAACAGCAAACACAAATCTACCTGCAGAGGAGGAATCCTGCGTTTTCCTATTGTATATACAGAGATCTCTAGAAGAACCCACAAGGAGCTGGTAACAGTGGTTACCTCTGGGGAGGCAACCAGGTGACTGGGCAAAGGGGTGTGAGAGAGACTTAATTTTCACCTTACATGCTTCTGCTTTTTAAATTCTGAACCATGTATCTATATTATCCATCCACAAATAAAATAAAATAAAATAAAATATACCCCCAGTGAAAGAAAATAAATTTTAAACCACAGGCAATAAGAACTAACATACACACACACTCACATACACACATATAAATATATACAGACAGTCCCTGATTTAAGATGGTTCAATTTACAATTTTCTAATGTTATGATTGGTACCCATATAACTATTCTGTTTTGACTTTCAGTACAGTATTCACTAACTTACATGAGACGTTCAATACTTTATTATAAAATAAGCTTTGTGTTAGATGATTTTGCCCAACAGTAGGCTAATGTAAATGTTCTGAGCTTGCTTAAGGTAAGCTAGACTAAGCTATGATATTCGGTATATTAGGTGTATTAACTGCACTTTTGACTTAAAGTATTTTCAATTTGTGACAGGTTTATCAGAAGTAACCCCAGTGTACGTTGAGGAGCATCTGTATTTGGTGTACTGAATATAATATGTATTGAAATATACACTATGTATCCAACACAGTAGATAATTAAAAGTCTATTTATAGGCAAATGATTAAAAAAATTGGTGTTGAGACTCAATGAAATATTATGCAACAGTGACAATAAATGGGGTAGATACACTTGTACACAGAAAAATCACCACACCTGCAGTTAAGGGAGCTATGAAGATTGTCTAGCAATATATTATCATAAATGACAAGCAATTCTTCACACAAAACAAAGCTATGCCTAGCTATATACAGTTGTACATGTGTAAATGGGGTCCAGAAGTTCTGGAAAGATTCACATCAAAATAATAGCAGTTACCTTTACAGAGGGTATTAGGATTAAGATGAGCTTTGATTATGCATTTTGAGAATATATATCCATGTCTTACTTATATTATAGAAATAAATAAATGTTTAAAAAATAATAAATCTTTGCATTTGTGTTTAAAAATTTTGTTCAACAAATGTTCATTTGTTGTTGTTCATGGTATAAGTATTGGAGACAACTTAAACCGTCATCAGTGAAAGAGTGGCTAAATAGACTATGCCATATCTGTGATATTTAATCACATGCCGCTATTAAAGACAATGAGGGAGATCTCACCCTGATTACATGTATGGTTAAATGCATTGAAATTAAATTGTCAACATACCAAATATACCAAAATATTGGCAATATTTATCTTCAGAAAGAAGAATAAAAATGAAGGTATAAATTAGGACTTGATGGTTTTTTTTTTTTTTTGAGACGGAATCTCGCTCTGCCACCCAGGCTGGAGTGCAATCTCGGCTCACTACAACCTCTGCCTCCCAGGTTCAAGCGATTCTCCTGCCTGAGCCTCCTGAGTAGCTGGGATTACAGGCACCTGCCACCATGCCCGGCTAATTTTTTGTATTTTTAGTAAAGACAGGGTTTCACTATTTTGGCCAGGCTGGTCTCAAACTCCTGACCTTGTGATCTGCCTGCCTTGGCTTCCCAAAGTGCTGGGATTACAGGCGTGAGCCACCGCACCCGGCCAGTTTGTTTTTAATATATATGAGTGCCTGTAGTGTTTGAACCTTATAAGAACAGTGTTTTTATTTATTATTGTGTAATTAAAAATCTATATTAACAGAACATAAGATCTGTAGTAGCAGAGTAACAGTATATTTGTGTCTTGAAAATGAAAAGACAACATTTACATTCATGATTGATATGGCCGATCCCCCCCCATTATTCTTCTTAGCTGTTGACATCCATTCAAACTTTCTTTCATTTGATTGATGCAACTATTTTTTGACTCTCTCTTCTCATTTTTGAGACAGAGTCTCACTCTTTCATCCAGGCTGGAGTGCAGTGGAGTGATCTCAGCTTACTACAACCTCTCCTCTCAGGTTCAAATGATTCTCCTACCTCAGCCTACTGAGTAGCTGGGACTACAGGTGCCCACCACCACACTCAGCTAATTTTTGGATTTTTAGTGGAGGCCGGGTTTCACCTTCTTGGCCAGGCTGGTCTCGAACTCCTGACCTCAGGTGATCTACCTTCCTTGGCCTCCCAAAGTGCTGGGATTACAGGCATGAGCCGCTGCACCCGGTCTGACTCTCCCTTTCATAAACCAGAGGATGACACCTCCTAATCTCTCCACCTTCCTCTTTTAGTCAGTGTTTCAAATGGATTAAAAACAAGGGCTGCTTGCTAAGGACTACGCTGATCAAAAGAAATACAGACGTTGCTCTATGTGTCAAATAAAGCACCTGTTTGTTCACTTTCCAGGAAAAATTGCCATGTGGTTGATACTGTAGGAAACAGGAGACTGCTATATTTGTTGGAGTTGGATGCAGACCATTCTTACATTGCCAAGTGTAGGGGCAAAGGGGGTGTCTAGTCTCATGTTATTTTCAAACCTTAAAAGACATAGAGAGTGAGGCAGTTCTTCCAAATCATTTTACCAAAGTAAGTTCTCATTTGTTCTGCATTGACAACTTCACATGATTAAAAGAAAGGAAATTTCCCCAATATTCCACTTGTCACTTCTGATAGCCCGATTCTCTACACAGCTAACTCACAAGTTTACCTGGGAAGCCAAGTTCTTTACTGACTTTGCAGCTTTGAATATTCCAGTAAAAGATGTAGGGTAGTACTGCAAATAGCCCTAAATCTGCTATTTAAACTTTGAAACATTTTATTCAAGACCTTGTTTTTCCTACTGAATTTCCCTTGAAGCTTAAACCCCATTCCCTGTAGTGCAAAATTTCCATTAACAACGAGAACCAACGGCTTAAATCACTGGATCTGAGTTACTTTCTTGTTCCTGAGCATGAAGAATGCTTTGAATACTGCTAAAGGGCACATGAATATTTTCAATATCCTTGGGTAACATTTGAAGAAATACTTGTACATAGGATACAGTAGTATCTCATGTAATTAAGATGCAGGTGAAGTGGCTTAATGAGGAAGTAGTTCAATTTGTATTTGTGGGGAGTTTGTCTCAGACTGCCTGCCCAGATTTTTAGTAGAACTGAACTGGCAAATAGAAGCACAAAACAGATCTCCAATTTTAGTAGCTGATAGGGTTTGGCTGTGTCCCCACCCAAATCTCATCTTGAATTCCCACGTTTTATGGGAGGGACCTGGTGGGAATTGAATCATGGGGGCAGGTCTTTCCCATGCTGTACTTGTGATAGTAAATAAGTCTCACAAGATCTGATGGTTTTATATAGGGGAGTTTCCCTGCACAAGCTTCTCTTCTCTCCTCTTCTCTGCTGCCATGTGACAAATGCCTTTTACCTTCTGCCATGATTGTGAGGCCTCCCCAGCCACGTGGAAATGAGAGAGCATTAAACCTTTTTCTTTTGTAAATTGCTGAGTCTCAGATATATCTTTATCAGCCACGTGAAAACAGACTAATACAGTACTTATATTAAAATGTCCATGTGTCACACTTTTGACAGTTGGCTGCAGTCAATGTCAGCTGGAAGGTGCACACACACACATATGCACATGCACACTCACACCATACATTTATAGATACATAATTTTAACCCTACATGATTTTTCCTCATAAAACCTTGCAGAAAGTGGTCACTTATATTTAGCATTTTTTAAGTTATAAAAGTGATTCATGTTCAGCAAAGAAAATTTATAAAAATCAGAAAAATACAAATGAGGAAATTCAAAATCATGGATTATCTTACTATCCAGAGATAACTACAATTTAATAAATGCAGAGATCAAAAGCAAGATATAAAACTATATATAATGATTTCAATTAAGTAATATGCATCTTGCTTTTCTTATCTTGAAAGTTATAGCATTAACATTTCTCTATGTAATTTAAAAATTTAGAAAACCAACCTGTCAGTTAAGGGCTGAAAGGTGCTTTATTGTAATTCTATGGTTTTATTAAACAAATCATTTTCTTATCACCAGGTATTTAAGTTGTTGCCAATTTTTTTCTACATTGTACACAATCCTATGATTAACATATTTTCTGTCAATCTTCACTGCACCTCTGATAATTTTATTACTGTATGTCCTTAGAAAAAAGATTATTGGGTCAGAGAATATGCCATGTTTTTATATTTTTAAAAATGCGTGTTTTCAGGAGTCTTTGAAAACTGGCATGTAGCAGGTGCTCAGAAAATATTTGTTAAATGGGTATGCATATTTTAAAGCTCCGATTCATAGTTCCAAATTGCTGTCCAGACAAACCATACTCACTTACGCTTCCATCAATACAAAAAAAAAGTTTCATGGCACATTAATCAATATCTGTATTGCAATTTACATTTTTTTTTTTTTGAGATGGAGTCTTGCTCTGCTGCCTGGGCTGGAGTGCAGTGGCATGATCTCAGCTCATTGCAACCTCCACCTCCTGGGTTCAAGCAATTCTCCTGCCTCAGCCTCCTGACTAGCTTGGATTACAGGTACCTGCCACCAGGCCTAGCTAATTTTTTTATTTTTTGTATTTTTAGTAGAGACAGGTTTTTGCCATTTGGCCAGGCTGGTCTCCAACTCCTGATCTCAGGTGATCCACCCTCCTTCATCCAATGAAGAAAAAAAAGTTCACTGGACTTACAGTTCCACATGGCTGGGGAGGCCTCACAATCATGGTGGAAGGCAAGGAAAAGCAAGTCACATCTTACATGGATGGCAGCAGGCAAAAAAAAGAAAGCTCGTGCAGGGAAACTCCCATTTTTAAGACCATCAGATCTCGTGAGACTCATTCACTATCATGAAAACAGTGGAGGAAAGACCTGCCCCCATAATTCAATCACCTCCCACTGGGTGCCTCCCATGACACATGGGAATTGTGGGAGTTACAATTCAAGATGAGATTTGGGTAGGGACACAACCAAACCATGTCAATATCTCTCTCTATATATTCTTTATTAATCCTTGGTCTATACTTTTTTGTAATATTTTCCCAAGTTGTCATTTGCTTTTAATTTCTTTTAATTTTAGTTTTGAAATGAATAGAATTAAAATTTTAAAATTTAAACAAATCTAGCAGATTTTTTAAAATCTCTTGCTTTGCTTTTGGACTAAAAAAGACAGCTCTTACCCAAAAATTGATGAAATGTTTTCCTCTAGAATAATTAGTGGTTTATTTTATTTTATCCATCTGGAATCTAATTTGTGTAAGGTATGGCATGATATTTTCTTTTCCAAGCAACCAACTTCTAAACACCAGTTTTGAATCATCTATCTTTTTCTGTTGTTTTGATGATGATTTCTTTATTGTGCACCAGATTCTTACACATTTTAGGACCCGTTTTAGGGCTTGAACTTTGCTGCCATGGGACTCAAATAGGTGTCACACTTCTTAATTTTTAAAATATTTACAATACCAAGTAGAAAATTTTCATTATACTTTTTTTTTTTTTTGAAATGGGGTTTTGGTATGTTTTCCAGGCTAGCCTTAAATTCCTGGGCTTAAGCAATCCTCCTGCCTCAGCTTCAGGAATATTTCATTATACATTTTTTAGAAATGAGCAGGTATTTTATCCTAGTGTGTGGCATGAAGAGTTGCACAGTGCAAAGTGAACAGATGACTCAAACAACTACACCCCAGGTCTGTTGTCAAGTGACTAGGTGGCCCCTGAGAAGCCTCGAAATCCCTGTGGCCCCAGTTTTCTCATTTATTAAATGCACATAATTATACTGACCTTCTGGTTGGTGGACTTAATTTAGGTTATGTTAGAGAGTCCAGCATAGGGCATTCTTAGCTTTAAGTGCCCAGTAAATATTTGCTGTTAACATTAATGTTTTAATTGTCATTTCTTTATCTATGTAATTGAGGAATTTGGCATTATATTAATCAGTATTAATCAGGGTTCTCCAGAGAAACAGAACCAATAGGATCAATAGGATGTCTAAATAGACATAGTGAGAGAAAAAGATATTTCGTTTAAGGAATTGGCTCGTGACACTGTGGTGGCTGACATGTCCAAAATGTACAGAGAAGTTCAGTAGGCTGGAAACTCAGGGAAGAGTTGAGGTTGCAGCTCAAATTTAAGGCAGTCTGAAAGCAGAATTCCTTTCTGCTCAGGAGAACTCAATGTTTTGTTTTAAAGCCTTCACCTGATTGGATGAGGCCCACCCACATCATGAAGGGTACTCTGCTTAAAACTCTACTGATTTGTTAATGACTTCTAAAGAATACCTTCACAGAAACATCAAGACTGCTCTTTCAGCAAAAACTGAGTACCATGGCCTACCCAAGTTGACACATGAAATTAACCATCACAGGCATATTGCCTTTTAGGTAAGTTTAGCTTTAAAATTCAGTGGTTCCATGAATTTTAAAGTACTACTTGTATATTAGGTATATTCATAATCTTAAATTCTTTCTTTCATTTGATCTCTTTGTTTCAGTACCTTCTCACTACAGTTCCTTCTTTATCCTACACTTTTGGGATTATCCAATTTTATTTTGCAAAGGCAACATCTCATTTGAATTCTGACTTCTTTTCTCCCAACAGTGTTTTGTATCTGAAGGTGTCTAACATTTCTGTATGAAAAGCTTTGTATAACAAGCATAATTTGGGGGACAGATTTGAGTTGCTTTGCAAGAAACACTTCTTCCTTAGCTTTCTCAGGACAAACTCCGATATTAGGAGGGGTCTCCCTCTGAGGGAAATGTGTCAAGTGGCATGTTCATTGCATTATATAAGGCTGCCTTCCTGACAGTTCAGAATGCTTGAGAGTGGAATAGGATGTGGCAACTTGCCTCCTGTTTATCAAAGTAAACTAAATACTTTCCTGAATTCTTGAGACCCTCTTCCCAGGACATCCTGTACACAATAATATTCCACTCTTCTCAATTCAAATCAATTAAACTGACTTAAGGCTCGCTATTCACAGCTTCCTACATCGAATTCAAGATGTAATAGTGAATGCTAAAAGTCCTGCTTTCCAAAAGTGTAGGGGAAGAGACAGGCAGCCACATGAACAACTTAAATAATATCGCATTTAGAAACTCTGATAGAAAAATTAATGCAATGCTAGGGGAGTAGGGAGGATGGAGGATTCCTTGCAATTATTGGGGCAAGAATTAGAAAATAATTCATGAAAGAGGTGATGTTTCAGCCAGGTGATGAACTGAGAGGACATGACATGTTAAGAGAATATGAAGAAGATTAGAGAAGCTCTACAGTGGTATTTAAGTCTTTAATTCATTTTGAGTTGATTTTTGTGTATGGTGAGAGATAGGAGCTCAATTTCATTCTTCTGCAAATGGCAATTCAATTTTCCCAAGCACCATTTATTGAAGGGGGTGTTCTTTCCCCAATGTAACTTCTTGTCAGCTTTGTCAAATATCAGTTGGCTGTAAATATGTGGATTTATTTATAGTTCTCTATTCTGTTCATTGGTCTATATATCTATTTTTATTCCAATACCATGCTGTTTTGGTTACTCAGGTTACTTGTTAAATATTTTGAAGTCAGATTATGTGATGCCACAAACTTTGTTCTTTTTTGCTCAGGATTGCTTTGGTTATTCAGGCTGTTTTTGGTTCCATATAAATTTTAGTAGTTTTTAAAAAAATTCTATAAGGAATTTGATAGCGATTTCCTTGACTCTCTAGATTGCTTAGGTAGTGTGGTCATTTTAATGATATTGATTCTTCTGAACCTTGAGCATAGAATGTTTTTCCATTTGTTTGTGTCCTCTTCAACTTCTTTCATCAGCGTTCTGTAGTTTTTGCTGTAGAGATCTTTCATTTCCTTAGTTAAATTTATTCCTACGTATTTTATATTTTTGTAGCTGTTGTAAATGGGATTGCCTTCTTGATTTCTTTGTTGGCTAGATCATTATTGGTGTATAGAAATGCTACTGAGTTTTGTAAATTGATTTTTTATCCTGAAACTTTACTGAATTTATTTATCAAATCTAAGAGTGTTTTGGTGGAGTCTTTCGGGTTTTCCAGGTATAAGACTACATCATCACCAAAGAGGGACAATTTGTCTTCCTCTTTTCTAATTTGGATGTATTTTATTTCTCTCTCTTAACTGTGCTTTGGCGGGGACTTCCAGTACTATGATAAATAGGAGTGGAGTAAGTAGGCATTCTCGTCTTGTTTCAGTTCTTAGAGAAAGGGCTTTCAACTTCATCCCATTTAGTATAATATTAGTTGTGGATTCGTTGTATATGGCCTTTATTATTTTGAGATATGTTTCTCGTATGCCCAGTTTTTTGAGGGTTTTTTTTGTCATGAAGAGATATTGAATTTTATCAAATGCTTTTTCTGTGTCTATTGTGATGATTTTTGTCCTTCATTCTGTCTATGTGATGTGTCATGTTTATTGATTTGCATATGTTGAGCTATCCTTGCATCCCTGGTATAAATCCCACTTTATCATGGTATATTATCTTTTTGATGTGCTGTTGCATTTACTTTGCTAGCGTTTGGGCAGAATTTTACATCTGTGTTCATAAAGAATATTAGCCTGTAGTTTTTCTTTCTTTTTTTTTTTATTTTTTCCTTGTCTGGTTTTGGTATTAGGGTGATGCTGGCCTCATAGAATGAGTTAGGGAAAATTCTCTTCTCCTTTATTTTTTCAAATAGTTTCAAGAAGGTTGGTATTAGTTCTTCTTTGTATATTTGGTAGAATTCAGCTGAGAATCCATCTGGTCCTGGGCATTTCTTTCTTGGGAGACATTTTATTACTGATTCAGTCTCACCACTCATTATTCATCTGTTGAAGTTTTCTAGTTTTTTATGATTCAATCTTGATATGTTTTCTGTTTCCAGAAATTGATTCATTTCCTCTAAGTTTTCCAGTTGTTAGCATATAGGTGTTCATAATAGTCAGATGATTTTTTGCATTTCTGTGGTATCAGTTGTAGTGTTCTCCTTTTTAATTTCTGATTTTATTTGGGATTTCTTCTTTTCTTGGTTACTCCAGCTAGTGATTTACCAATTTTATTATCTTTTTGATGAGCCAACTTTTCACTTTTTAAAATCCTTTGTATTGTTTTTGTAGTCTCTATTTCACATGGTTCTCCTCTGATCTTTATTATCTCTTTTCTTCTGCTAATTTGGGGCTTGGTTTGTTCTTGCTCTTCTAGTTTCTTGAGGTGCATTGTTAGATTACTAATTTGTAATCTTTCTACTTTTTTTGATGTAGGTTTTCATTGCTCTAGCTTCCTTCTTTGTATTGTTTTTACTGTATTCCACAGGTTTTGTTACATTGTGTTTCCATTTTCATGTTTCAAGACATTATTCCATTTTAATTTCTTCATTTACCCAGTAAACATTCGGAAGCATTCTGTTTAATTTCTGTGTATTTGTATAGTTTACAAAGTTCCTCTTGTTATTGATGTCTAGCTTTATTCCACTGTGGAAAATTCTTGATACGATTTTAATTTTTAAAAATTTAAGACTTGTTTTGTGGCCTAACATATGGTCTATACTGGAGAACATTCCATGTGCTTATACAAATAATGTATGTTCTGCAGTTGTTGGATAGAATTTTCTGTAAATGTCTGTTAGTGCCATGAGTTCTAAAATCCAGTTTAATTCCAAAGTCCCCCTCTATTATTATATTGCAGTTTAACTCTCTAGATCTAGTTTAACTCTTCTCTTTATAAATCTGTGTGATTCAGTGTTGGGTGCATATGTATTCAGAATTGTTATTTTTTTGGCTGGTTTGATATTTTTATCATTATATAATCTTCATTGTCTTTTTTTTGACTAAAAGTATCTTTCATCTGATATAACTGCTCTTGCTCACTTTTGGTTTCTGTTCATATGTAATATCTCTTTCCACCTCTTTACCTTGCATCTGTATGTGTCTTTATATGTAAGGTGAGTATCTTGTGAGAGCATATAATTGAATTATGTTTTTTAACCCATATGCCAGTCTATATATTTTAAGTGAATAATTTAATCCATTTATGTTCAAGGCTATTGATATGTGAAGCTTTATTCTTGTCATATTGTTTACTGTTTTCTGGTTGTTTTACATATTCTTTATTCCTTTCTTTTTCTCATATTGTTTATAATTGTGATCTGGTGGATTTCTGTAGTGGTACCACTTGAGTCCTTTCTCTTTCTTCTTTTTGTGATCATTTTACCAGTGAATTTATACTTGTGTATTTTTTTTATGATGGTAAATGTTATCCTTTCACTTCCAGGTTTAGGACTCCCTTGAGCATTTCTCATATTGCTGGTCTAGTGGTGATGAATTCCCTCAGCAATTGCTTTTCTGGAAAAGACTTGATTTCTTCTTTATTTATGAATGTTATGAATAATAATTTTGCTGGATAAATAGTATTCTTCATTGATAGTTTATATCTTTCAGCACTTTGAATATATCATCCCATTAGCTTCTGGTCTGTAAAGTTTCTCCTAAGAAATTCACTGTTAGTCTGATGAGGTTTCCTTTACACATAACTAGGCACTTCTCTCTTGCTGTTTCAATAATTTGCTCTTTATCTTCGATTTTAGATTATCTGATTCTAATGTGCCATGGAGAAGACCTTTTTACATACTCTCACTGGGGACCATTGAGCCTTCTGTATCTGGATGCTTAAATCTCTTTCTAGAGTTGGGAAGTTTTTACCTATTATTTTGTTGAATAAATTTTCTAATCTTTTCATTTTTACTTCACCCTCTGGGATACTGATAATTCAAATATTTGATCATTTATGTTGTCACAAATGTCACAACGGGTTTGCTCATCCTTTTTTAAAAAAATTTTTGTGTGATTGAGTTATTTCAAAGAACTGTCAAGTTCTGAGATTATTTATTCTGCCTGATGTGATCTATTTATGAAGGTTGCACAAGTATTTTGTGTTTCCTTCAATGAATTACCTAATTCCAAAATTTCTATTTTGTTATTTTTAAAAATATCTCTCTGGCAATTTTCTGATTCATAACCTGACTTATTTTTTTAAAATTTCTTTATATTGTGGTTCAGAATTATTTTGTATCTCACTGAGCTTCTTTAAAATCAATATTTTAACCTAGGCAACATGGCAAAACCCTGTCTCTACAAAAATAACAAAAATTGGCTGACCATGGTGGTACATGCCTTTAGTCCCAGCTACTTGGGAGGTTGCAGTGGGAAAATCACTTGAGCCCAGGAGGTCGAGGCTGCAGCGAGCAGAGATTGTATCACTGCACTCCATCCTGGGTGACAGAGTGAGACCCTGTCTCAAAAAATTTTTTAAATTAAAAATAATAAAATCAATATTTTGAATTCTTTATCTGGAATTCCAAAGATTATTTTTTTAAATTTCTCTTCACAAATGTTGAAGAGATTTCTTTTTTAAGATCTTTTGCTTGAGAATTATTGTGTTTCTTTGGAGTTATCATATTTCCTTGTTTTTCATGTTTCCTATATCCTTATAGTAATATTTGTGCATCTGATATAACAGTCACTTTTTTTCTATTTTTGAATTTACTTTTCACGTAGGGGAGGACGTTTTCCAGATTTTTTTTTTTTTTTAGACAGAGTCTTGCTCTGTCACCCAGGCTGGAATGCAGCAGCATGATCTTGGCTCATTGCATCCTCTGCCTCTGAGGTTCAAGCAATTCTTGTGTCTCAGCCTCCCAAGTAGCTAGGATTACAGGTGTGTGCCACCATGACCAGCTAATTTTTTTTTTTTTTTTGTATTTTTAGTAGAGATGGAGTTTTGCCATGTTGTCCAGGCTGGTCTTGAACATCTGACCTCAAGTGATCCACCCACCTTGGCCTCCCAACGTGCAGGTATTACAGATATGAGCCACCATGCCTGGCCTTCCTGAAAATGTATCTGTGGTGTTGGTTGGGTAGGGTAATTTGGCTTCAATTCTGGGTGCATGCAGTAGTGTAGTCTCTGTATGGTTTCTTTGCCTATAAACAGTATTAGTGCTTTCTCTGATTTCCTCAGAGGGTTAGTGTGTGGTTATTAGTGGAAGCTGTGGTGAAGTTGTGCTACAGACTGGGAAGACAGGTGGGCCAGTCTTCAGGTCCCAGTCATGTTAGTAGTGAACTGAGCATGTCTGTCTTTGTGCCCTAGGGCAGTGTATGCTGGTATCCATGTTAGTGTTTATTGGCAGGCCAATTATTGGGCCTCCAAGTGGCTTGCTTGGATGCTGGTAGAAGCAGCAATAGATCAGAATGGTGATCAGGATCTCAGGTCCCTGAGCAGTTGGTGTGGTGTGGGAAACAGCAACAGCAGTGGTGGGACATCCCTTTGGGTTCTGAGTGGTGCAAGCTAGTGGTGGTGATGATCATTGTGCAAGGTCACCTCCAACAAACCCAGATCTGCTGCTCTGAGGCCCTCTCTGCAGCAGTAGCACCCAAGTACCGCAGATGATGGGGGAAGGGCCCCTGCTTCTAGTGTGATCTTGGGCATGGAAATTACACTGCCAGCACAGTCGTAGTTGCCACTCCCTGCCCCAGACAGGTAGCCCTCTGGCTCACTGGCTCCAGTCTCTGTCAGCAGTAGGAATAGGTATGCAAAGAGGGAGGAAGGGTTCTGTTCTCTACATGAGAGCTCCAGCACAGAGGCCACTCTGCCAGTGGGAGGGGATTTCACTCTTGGCTTGCAGAGCTGAGCACAGAGATTGAGCCACTGCTTGGGGGCAGAGTCAGAGCCCTAGGGTCATGGGCTCTGGAAAGTACACACTTTGCTTTCCTTTGTCCTGGAGTCGGGGAGGGGATGCCTTCTGGTGCACTGCACACCCTATTCCCCAAGATGTAGTACTTCCTATGAGCTAAAGTACTGGGGACTCTGCAGCACCTTTGGGACCAGCCAATGCTGTTCTGCCAAAGCCCTCTGTGTGGACACTGGGGAATGTCATCAGGAGCTCCTGAGATGTGGAGATATGAGGGCTGTTGTTCCCAGCGCAGGATGCAGTACCATGATGCTGTGCTACCAAAAGGCTCTGTACAGCAGCTGTTCAGGTCTTGGAGAGGTAAGTGACCCAGCGTGAGTTCCCTGCCTAGTGCAATGCCCTCATGGGGTCTCCAAATCACTCCTCACACTAGTATCAGGGTTTGTATGGGTAGAGAGCTCTCTAGTGGTTTGGATTGCAGCAGGCCACAGCAGGAAGGTGGAACACTGAAGCTTTTTCATTTATCTTTTCCCCATAATACTGAGTCCCTTGGGGCACCCACCAGTCTTGGCTAAGCTGGCTGCTTGCTCCCTTTTCCTTCTGTGCCTCAGATGTTTCCCATCAGTTCTCCATTGGACTCTAGTGTTCTCTCTAAGGTGTTCTGTTCAAAGAATGAATGTCTATTCATAATTTTGCTTCATTTTTTCTGGAGAGAGTGGGTGTCTGATATCTTTAGGCAGCCATCTTGAACAAGGATCTATATACAGTGTTTCTGAGTTTATCTTTGTGTGTGTGTGTGTATATATATATATATATATATATTTTTTAGTGGTTGCTCTAGGTATTATATTATACATACCTATTTCTCACATTCTACTGGTGTTATCATTGTATCAGTTCTAGTGAAGTATACAAACCTTACCACTTTTTATATTATTTTGCCTTTTCCCAATTTATAATATAATCATTGAAATATTTCCTTTACCTACATTTAGGACTACACTAGACAGTTTTATAATTTTTGCTTCAACTGTCCACTATAATTTAGAGGTTACAAGAGATAAAAACTCTTGTATTTACTAATATTTTTGCTTACCATGTTATTTCTTCTATTATTGTTTTATTTCCATTTGAAAACATTATTGAGCCATTCTTTCAAGATAGGCTTGCTTCTGACAAATTATCTTAGTTTTCTTTATTTGAGACTGTCTTGATTTGTCCTTCATTTCCAAAGGAAATATAGGAAATACATATACATATATAAAATTTTGAGACGGAGTTTCGCTCTTGTGGCCCAGGCTGGAGTGCAATGGTGCTATCTTGCCTCCTGCAACCTTCGCCTCCTGGGTTCAAGTGATTCTCCTGCCTCAGCCTCCCAAGTAGCTGGGATTATAGGTGTGCACCACCACCATGCCTGGCTAATTTTGTATTTTTAGTAAAGACAGGGTTTTACCATGTTGGTAAGGCTGGTCTTGAACTCCTGACCTCAGGTGATCCACCCGCCTCAGCCTTCGAAAGTGCTGGGATTACAGGAGTGAGCCACCGTGCCCGGCTCCAAAGGACATTTTTACTGGATACAGGATTCTGTGTTGACAGTTCTTTTCCCTAAGCACTTAAAAAATGTATTACTTTTGGCCTTTACGGTTTCGAATAAGAAATATGCTGTCAATCAAATTGTTTTTCCCTTATAGATAAGTTTTCCTTTTTCTCCCACTGCTTTCAGAAGTCTATGATGTTTCTTGATGTGGACTTCTTTGAATTTATCTATTTGAGTTTCACCTGTCCTCTTGTCTTTTTCTAATTATGGAAAGTTTTCAGACATTTGTTTCTTCAGGTACTTTTTCAGGCCTGCTTTCTTTCTTTTATCCTTCTGGAACTCTGATGACATGAATGTTATATCATTTTTATAGTTTCACAAATCCCTGTGGATATGTCAAAACATTTTAGTCTGTTTTCTTTCTGTTGTTTATAAGAGTAATTTATATTATTCTATCTTTCAACTTACTTGTTCTTTTCTCTGGCTCCTACAATCTGCCATTGAGCCAAGCCATTGGGTTTTCTTTTGATTTCAGTTATTCTATCTTTTAGTTTTAAAATATCAACTTGGTTATTCTTTGTATCTTCTGTTTCTTTGCTGAGAATTTATATTGGTTATTCTTTGTATCTTCTGTTTCTTTGCTGAGAATTTATATTTTTTCATTTGTTTCAAGTCTGTGCGTAATTGCTCTTCAAAGTATTTTTATGTTGGTTTCTTTAAAATCTTTGTCAAATAAGCCTAACATGCCTGTCAAATCCATATCGGCATACAGTGATTACTTTTTTTATTCAATAGAATGCTCTAGGAAGAAAATGCTCAAGGTGTGACCATTAGCTAATGAGGAAAGGAGTCACTGGAAAAATATCGCTGTTTCCTCTTCCTCAGCTGTGCTTCATGTAGACTCTCAGAACGTCTCCAATGAGACTGACTCTCATTACTCATAGTGGTAAACTGCTAATTATTTTTCTTTTAATTAACTGTTCTCCTTTCCTTGTCTCAGTTTCACAGTTTCTTACCATGCTTCCAGTGATCACCTCTCAAATAAACAATGTATCTTAAAGTCTATGTCTTAGATCTGCTTTTATTTTTTCAGTGGTGGCATAGATGGAAGGTGAGGGCAGATGAAAGCAAACAATGAAAATCCTCTATATTCTCTTTTTAATACAGACAAAGTATATGCAATCAGGATAAGAAACATAATATTTATATATTGATCTATGTAGCATTCCCCCACACATGTATTTCTATCTTATAATACTTTGTCCACTTCCGATTGAAGTCATGTTATCTGTGATGTAACCTACTTTGCTTTGAGAGTGGCTCTGTTTTCACTGTCTAGCTAAGCAAAATCAGAATTACATGTATTTTATATTCTCAATTAAAATGAACATAATGCAAGGGGGCCAAAGTAGCCAACTAAAAGCAGCTACAGTGCATGGCTCTCAGGGAGAGGAATGAAAGGGGCAAGTAAATACAGCATCTTCAACTGTACATCCAGCACCTTCAACTGAAACATCCAGGTACTCCCATTGGGATTAATCAGAGAAATAGCTCAACCCACGAAAAAAGGGAGAAAAGCAGGACAGGGTGAAGTCCCAACCATGAGTTACATGGAGCCAAAGGAACCCATCCAAAGGTCAACAACTACAAAGATTGAAGGTAGATAAGTCACAAAGATGAGAAAGAACCAGGGCAAGAACACTAAAAACTCAAAAAGCCAGAGTGTCCTCTTTCCTCCAAATGACCACATCACCTCTTCAGCAAGGATTTGGAACGGGGCTGAGGCTGAGATGGCTGAAATGACAGAAATATAATTCAGAATGTGGATAAAAATGAACTACACTGAGCTAAAGAAACATATTATAACCAATGCAAGGAGACTAAAAACCATGATGAAACACTGCAGGAGCTGACCAAATAGCCAGTATAGAGAAGGACGTAAGTGACCTGATAGAGCTGAAAAACACACTACAAGAATTTCATAATGCAATAGCAAGTATTAATAGCAGAATAGACCAAGTGAAGAAAAGAATCTCAGAGTTTAAAGACTGTATTTTTAAAATAAGACAGGCAGACAAGAATAGAGAAAAAAGAATGAAAAAGAATGAACAAAACCTCCAAGAAATATGGGATTATGTATAAAGACTGAATCTATGACTGATTGGTATACCTGAAAGAGATGGGGAGAATGGAACCAATTTGGAAAACATATTTCAGGGTATTATTCATGAGAACATCCCCAATCTAGCAAGACAGGCCAACATTCACATTCAAGAAATGCAGAGAATCCCAGCAAGATATTCCATGAGAGGATCATTTACAAGATACACAATCATCAGATTCTCCAAGGTTGAAATGAAAGAAAAAATGTTAAGAGCCACCAGAGAGAAAGGCCAGGTTACCTACAAAAGGAAGCCCATCAGACTAACAGAAGACCTCTCAACAGAAACCCTACCAGCCAGAAACAATAGGTGGCCAATATTTGACATTCCTAAAGAAAAAAATTACAATACAGATTTTCATGTCTTGCTAAATAAACTTCATAAGTGAAGGAGAAATAAGATCTTTTTCAGACCAAATGCTGAGGGAATTTGTTGCCACCAGACCTGCCTTTCAAGGGCTCTTGAAGGAGGCAATATATATGGAAAGAAAAAAATGTTACCAGCCACTACAAAAACATACTGAAATACAAAGACCAGTGACAGTATAAAGCAACCACATAAACCAGTCTGCAAAATAACTAGCTAGCATCATGACAACAGGATCAAATCAACCCATAACAACACTAACCTTAAATGTAAATGAGCTAAATGCCTCCAAATAAAAGACATAGAGTAGTAAGCTGGATAAAAAAACAAGACCCATTGGTATGTTGTCTTCAAGAGACCCATCTCACATGCAATGACACATGTAGGCTCAAAATAAAGATGGAGGAAAATTTACCAAGCAAATGGAAAGCAGAAAAAAGCAGGGATTGCCATCCTAGTTTCTGACAAAATAGACTTTAAACCAACAATGATAAAAAAAGACAAAGGACATTTAATAATGGTAAATGGTTCAATTCAACAAGAAGAACTAACTATCCTGAATATATATGCATCCAACACAGGAGCACCCAGATTCATAAAGTAAGTTCTTGGAGACCTACAAAGAGACTTAGACTCCCACACAATAATAGTGGGAGGCGTTAACACCCCACTGACAATATTAGACAGGTCACTGAGACAGAAAATTAACGAAGATATTCAGGACCTGAACTCAGCTCTGGGTAAAATGGATCTGATAGATATCTACAGAAATCTTCACCTCAAACCAACAGAATATACATTTTTCTCATTGCTACATAGCACCTACTCTAAAATCAATCATGTAATTGGAAGTAAAATACTCCTCAGCATATGCAAAAGAACTGAAAACATAACAGTCTCTCAGACCACAGCACGATCAAATTAGAACTCAAGACTAAGAAATTCACTCAAAACCATACAATTACATGAAAATTAATAACATACTCCTGAATGGCTTTTGGGTAAATAATGAAATTAAGGCAAAAACCAAGAAGTTCTTTGAAACTAATGAGAACAAAGATACAATGTACCAGAATCTCTGTGACACAGCTAAGGAAGTGTTAAGATGGCAATTTATAGCACTAAATGCCCACATCAAAAAGTTAGAAAGATCTCAAGTTAACAACCTAACATCACAACTAAAAGAACCAGAGAACCAAGAGCAAACAAATCCCAAAGCTAGCAGAAGACAAGAAATAACCAAAAGCAGAGCTGAACTGAAGGAGATAGAGATGCAATAACTCTTCAAAAGATCAATGAATTCAGGAGCTGACTTTTTGGAAAAGATTAATAAAATAGACAAATAACAAAAGAGAAGATTCAAATAAATACAATCAGAAATGATGACGGGAACATTACCACTGACCCCACAGAGATACAAACAACCATCACAGAACATTATAAACACCTATATGCGCATAAATTAGAAAATCTAGAAGAAATGGACAAATTCCTGGACACACACACTCTCCCAAGACTGAGCCAGGAAGAAATGGAATCCCTGAATAGACTAATAGTGAGTTCTGAAATTGAGGCAGAAATAAATAGCCTACCAATCAAAAAAAGCCTAGGACCAGACAGATTCACAGCTGAATTCTACCAGCTGTACAAAGAAGAGCTGATACCATTCCTATTGAAACCATTCCAAAAAATTGAAAAGGAGGGGGACTCCTCCTTAACTCATTCTATGAGGCCAACATCATCCTAATACCAAAATCTGACAGAGATTTAAAACAAAAGAGAACTTCAGGCCACTGCCTGATAAACATCGATACAAAAATCCTCAATAAAATACTGGCAAACCAAATCTAGCAGCACATCAAAAAGCTTATTCACCACGATGAAGTAGCCTTCATCCCCAGGAAGCAAGGTTGGTTCAACATAAACAAATCAACAAATGTGATTCATCACATAAACAGAACTAAAGACAAAAACCACATGATTATTTCAATAGATATGGAGACAACTTTTGATAAAATTTAACATCCATTCATGCTAAAAACTCTCAATAAACTAGGTATTGAAGGTACATACCTCAAAATAATAACAGTTACATGTGACAAACCCATAGCCAACATCATACTGAATGGGCAATAGCTGGAAGAATTCCCCTTGAAAACTAGTACAAGACAAGGATGGCCTCTCTCACCACTCCTGTTCAACACACTATTGGAAGTTCTGGCCAGGGCAATAAGAAAAGAGAAATAAATAAAGGGCCTTCAAATAGGAAAAGAAGCCAGACTATCCCTGTTTGCAGATTACATGATCTTATATTTAGAAAACCCCCTTGTCTTATCCCCAAAACTTCTTAAGCTGATAAGCAACTTCAGTAAAGTCTCAGGATACAAAATCAATATATGAAAATCACTAGCATTCCTACACACTAACAACAGTCAAGCCAAGAGTCAAATCATGAACGAACTCCCATTTATAATTGCCACAAAAAGAATAAAATACCTAGGACTACAGCTACCAAGGGAGGTGAAAGATCTCTAGAAAAACAACTACAAACCACTGCTCAAAGAAATCAGAGATGACACAAACAAATGGAAAAACATTCCATGTCCATGGATAGAAAGAATCAATATTGTTAACATGGCCATACTGCCCAAAGCAATTTATAAATTCAATGCTATTCCCATTAAACTACCATTGACATTCTTCATAGAATTAGAGAAAAAACTATTTTAAAATTTATGTGGAACTGAGAAAGAGCCCAGATAGCCAAGACAATCCTAAGCAAAAAAGAACAAAGCCGGAGGCATCACCCTACCCAACTTCAAACTATACTACAGGGCTACAGTAACCAAAACAGCATGATACTGGTTAAAGAACAGACACATAGACCAATGGAACAGAATAGAGTTCTCAGAAATAATACCACACACATACAACTATTTGATCTTCAACAAACCTGACAAAAACAAGCAATGGGGAAAGGACTCCCTATTCAGTACATGGTGTTGGAAGAATGGGCTAGCCATATGCAGAAAATTGAAACTGGACCCTTTCCTTACACCATATAAAAAATTACCTCAAGATGAATTAATGACTTAAATTTTAAACCCAAAACTATAGAAACCCTAGAGGAAAACCTAGGCAATATCATTCAGGACATAGGCATGGGCAAGTATTTTATGACAAAGATGCCAAAAGCAATTGCAACAAAGCAAAAATTGACAAATGGTATCTAATTAAACTAAAGAGCTTCTGCACAGCAAAGGAACTATCAACAGAGTAAGCACACAACCTACAGAATGGGAGGACATTTTTGCAAACTATGCATCTGACAAAGGTCTAATATTCAGGATCTATAAGGAACTTAAACACATTTAGAAGAAAAAAACAACTTCATTAAAAGGTGGGCAAAGGACATGAACAGACACTTCTCAAAAGAAGATATACATGCGGCCAAAAATCATATGAAAGGAAGCTAAACATCACTGATTATTAGAGAAATGCCAGTCAAAGCCACAATGAAATACCATCTCACACCAGTCAGAATGGTTGTTATTAAAAAATCAAAAAAGTCCAGGCATGGTGGCTCACGGCTGTAATCCCAGCACTTTGAGAGGCCGAGGCAGGTGGATTGCTTGAGCTCAGAAGTTCAAGACCAGCCTGACCAACATGCTGAAACACCATCTCTACTAAAAATACAAAAATTAGCCAGGTGTGGTGGCAAGCACCTGTAACCCCAGCTACTCCGGAGGCTGAGGCAGGAGAACTGCTTGAACCCGGGAGGTGGAGGTTGCAGTGAGCCAAGATTGCGCCATTGCACTCCAGCCTGGGCGACAGAGTGAGACTCTGTCTCAAAAAATAAAAATAAAAATAAAAATATAACAGATGCTGGTGAGGTTGTTGGGGAAAAAGGAATACTTATACACTGTTGTTGGGAGTCTGAATTAGTTCAACTATTATGAAAGACAGTGTGACAATTTCTCATAGACCTAAAAACAGAAATACCATTCAGCCCAGCAATCCCATTCCTGGGAATATACCCAAAGGAATATAAATTGTTCTATTACAAGGACTTATGCACATGTATGTTCACTGCAGCACTATTCACAATAGCCAAGACATTGAATCAACCTAAATGCCCATCAATGATAGACTGAATAAAGAAAATGTGGCACATATACACCATGGAATACTATGCAGCCACGAGAAAGAATGAGATCATGTCCTTGGCACAGACATGGATGGAGCTTGAGGCCAGTATCCTTAGAAAACTACCTCAGGAATACAAAACCAAATCCCTCATGGTCTCACTTATAAGTGGGAGCTAAATGACGAGAACACATGAACACACAGAGGGGAATAACACACACTGGGGCCTATCAGGGAATGGAGGGTAAGAGGAGGGAGAGGATGAAGAAAAATAACAAATGGATACTAGGCTTAATACCTGGGTGATGAAATAATCTGCACAACAAACCTCCATGACACACATTTACCTATGTAACAAACCTGGACTTGTACCCCTGAACTTAAAATAAAAGTTAAAAAATGAATATAATATGTTGACAACATGATTTTATGAAGCTTACTGTCAAATGTTATCAAGTTGAATCACTAGTAACTCACACTAACTTCCATTTCAATCTGTGACTCCTCAAGGTTACCTTATTCTCCTCCTTGAGCTCTGAATCTGCTGAGATTTATAAAAATTCTGACTTGATCACAGGGAGATGATCAGGCTCTGGGAGTGGGAATTTGAGAGCAACACAAGCTGCTGCATGAAATGAGGGTAAGTGCTTCTCGAAGTTGCTTCTGATCATACTGCTTCTACCCAATGCTCCAGGAACTAAAATTCTTCTTGATTAGGGGAGAAAAAATAACCATTTTTTACCAGTGCTTGTTCAACATAGGTTATTTTGACAAGGACATAGTTGAGTAATTCTGGGTTATGGAGTAAAAATGACAAGTTTTATTTATTAGTCTCAATTGTCAATAAAATATCCCACAGCAAATATAGCTAACGTTCATGCAGGGCAGCTGCAGAGAGAGACTGTACATTTTAAGCATATTCTCAAGAGTCCAGTTATATTATGAAACCAAAAGAAGTGATATATATAAAATTAAGAAAAGCAACATAAGAGATATGAATCCTAGTTTCCAAACTCAAGTGTATAATAAATATATTTGATTTGTTTTGCCATGACTCAAATTAGTATTTTAATCCTATTTCTGCCAGAATGACAGAAACTGAGGATAGAGCACTTTTGTTTCCATGAGAAATTTCTGTCAAGAAGTGAGAAGAAAGAAAGAAATAGATAAAACACATGGTGAAGAAGAAATAAGAGGATAGTCTGCAGGGCTCAAGGACTCTGTTCTGGGCATGTCTGGGACAAGAAGGGATAAGGTGGGTACCTCAAAGACAACCCCCAGGGCAGAGAGGCTGCTGAGAGACCTGTTGATCTAGCCTTGGAAAGTAGCAGCACAAGCTTGGACTCCCAGCTCTGAAAACCGGTGGGATGGGCTATCTGTGAGTTGGTATTTCAAGCCACCATTGCCACTTTGACCCTGTAAGGCACCGGCTGGCACTGGCAATCCAAAGAATTTGCCTGAAGGAGCTATAGAATTTGATGTTATGGATTTATCATTTGAGCGCATCCTGATTACATCACCACCCTATTGTGGATTACAGAGTTCTCTCTCAAGTATCTTTTAGAAAATCATTGAATGTCAGAGTTGGAAAGTGGCAGTCGTGCTTCCATGATTTTCAATCTCTTACTTTCAGTTCAGTTATATGGAATGTGATCACTGAAATCTTACCCAGAACATCAATCCATAAGAAAGATGGAGGTTGAGCTTCCCTGTGTGAAGGCAGACAAGGACTGTACTCGGGAATCCAGACAAGCTGGAGGTTAGGAGCTCCAGGCTCCTCTGCTGGTCCAGGCCCTATGGAACCTCCCACTGGTGGGCATTTTGTAAAGTGATTTCACATAGAGCTAGCCCTTTTATTTTCTTGTCAGTCCTAGGAGAGACGCAGGCAGTGCCAATGTTGAGTTTTGCCTGAAGGTTAAGAAATTACCTTGCCTTTTTGTGTTCAGAAAAGACTTTCTGCAAAGAACCCTTCCCCATAAGATTTAGAAGAGCCTCCCAGATGCTCCCTTGTTTACCTGTGACAAGATCAGCCACAGACCCTTCAAACTCCCTTTCTTTACCTCAAAAGTGATTAGCCGAACTGCTTGTCTTCACTGATTGATCAGAGCACAATGCATCTTAATCAAACTTTGATTAAGCTCCTCTCCATCCCCCAGTTCCCTCGACTTTGGCCTGCCCTCAGCCTGAGCCAGTACAATCTCTCCCTAAGGGTCTGTGCTGAAAATAGACTGGCCTCAGGGTAGAATATTCTCT
Source organism: Homo sapiens (assembly GCF_000001405.40). Classification (NCBI taxonomy): domain Eukaryota; kingdom Metazoa; phylum Chordata; class Mammalia; order Primates; family Hominidae; genus Homo; species Homo sapiens. Next base: position 16,896,934 of record NC_000020.11, read on the forward strand.
GATTTGCCCTCGGATCTTGCCTCCCTATCATCCCACTTCCCCATACTGGGTTCTTTTTAGCCTGATTTACTGCTCTATAAAAAGAAACCCTTTTTGCCTAACCCTTGAGAGGCTTGCAGACCTTATGTTCACAGGGTTCACCATATTGCAATAACAAGGAGGTAACACTCCCCACCCCAAGCTGCAATAATCCTTTGAATAAAATCTCTCCTTACTAGGTCCAGGTTTTTCATTTGTTTATTTGTTTGTTTTCAATTTGACAGTGGGTATCTTGATGTCCATTCTGTGGAAGTGGAAATTAAGGTTTGACGTGTATCTTGGTCTGGTTGTCAGGTTCATGGGCAGTGGCAGAAGTTGAATTCAAACTCAAGTCCTCTTAGACTTTAGTCCTGGAACTCTCCATACTGCCATGTGGATTCCTTCTCAATGCATGGGCAAAAGACTTCACTTCTGTAAGCAGAGGAGGTTGGAAGAGAAGTTCCTCTCAGTTCCACCTGATTTAGGGATGAGACTGAGAGGGCCAAAAGCTCCAGGTTACTGCCCAAAATAGCTGCGTTAAATGGGAAGCCCAGATATTTGGGCACCTGGGGTCTTCCTAAGTGGGGCTGTCTTGGTAGAAAATATTCCTATAGGAATACAGACACAAAAAGGAGATTATAGGCTCAGCAGACGCAAGGGAAATGAATTTCCCCATCCAGCCTAAAATCTAAAAGTACAAATCCATTTGCTAAGGTTTCATATAAAAGAATCTATCAAATGAAATCTTATCCAGGGCATATCCTGGCTTGTTCCTCCTATCATTGAGGTTTGCATCTGCCTCACTCTGGATGCCTGAAATTATCTTCTGTCTGTCCTGTCAGAGTGAATTATTTCTAAGGAAAATCCAGAGAAGACATAAAGAGAGTCTCTGAGTTAAATGAAGATTTAGGCAGTGCAGCATGGTCCCCCATCCGTGGCAGCTGTAGCAGCAGCATCACTTTGGAACTTGTCAGAAGGGCAGATTCTCAGGCCCATCCAGACCTCCTGAATCAGGAACTCTTTGTAGGCCCAGCCTCCTGTGTTGTCATAAGCCCTCCAAGTGATTCTCATTGCACTCAAGGTGACCTGGGGTCTCAGGTGGGGCCTGGCCCAGGGAACACTCCTGAGGGTGAGGACAACTCTGCTATTCCAGACTCCTCCTTCCTCCAGCAGCTATGCCCTATAGGCAGCTACTCCTCACCCTCTCTCAATTCCTCTCCCTTCCCAGGTGTTGTTAATAACTGGGTTTTTTTGGCAGTTCCTGTATTCAAAGAAAGAAATCAAAATGTATTGAGCCCCATGAATGTGCCAGACACTTGGGCTTGGCATTTCTGATGAGTTATTTATGTGATCTTCATAAAAACCCAAAGAGAAGAAAAACATGTCTTGTGTTTCATACAGAGGGATATTTGAGTTTTGTTAGAAGAACCCTTGAAAGGCTAAAAGACTTTATGACCTAAAGGGATTTCTATTGGTGGAATTTCCTGCACTTTATGGGGGTGGGAGTGATATTTTCATTGAGGAGGAAAGCAGGGATGGCATGTGCTGTAAGGAGACTGCACTTCTGAAGGGCAATCTGTCAGGACTCTGAAAACAGAAGTACTCTGAAAACAGAAGTACATTCCTATCACATAACTCAGCAATTCCACTCTGGGTCATAGGTCCCAAATAAACTGTCCCCAAGGTCCACAGGAAACAGGAAAGATGCCCCTGCAGCATTGTCTGTGGTGTTGGTGGGGCAGTGGTTTAGAGATCATCCACATGCCCACCACGGGACGGATGAAAAACACGATCATGCCGGCTTCTGGGAGCAGAGGCCTGGAGGTGCCTCCAGCCACACAGGGAGCTTACAAATATAATGCTGTGTAAAATGAGACTTATAAGCCCAACTCCATTTATATAAACATAAAAACATTTCTTGCATTTTACAAGAACACATACAAACAAAAGGATGGATGTCAAACCATTAGCATGTTTGCCTATGAGGTGGGATAGGGAAATGAAACTGGCGAAGTAGGACAAGAGGAGATTTAATAAAACAAGACGAGGGTTTTGCACCATCAATAAAGAGAGTTGCCATGAATTCAGGAATATTAGTAAAGAAAAGCAAGATACAGAGATGAGTAAAGGAAATCACATAACAAATGACAGTCCCCAGAGAGCTTCCTGATGTGCCTTCCAGGGCTGGGACCAACACAAAGATGTTGTAGCCTCTGTGGGCTCACGTCCAGGGGAGCAGCATGTCCTTTCGGTGCATGAAAGTCAGCTATGGCTTCTGAAGACCTCATAGCTGAATCTCTGTTCTGATAGCACTAAATTTAGTGCCTTTTTATCTGCCTGCCTCAGGGTGGATCTGCGATCTTTAGGCAATAGCAGAAGAATTTGCCTGCTCTCTATCCTGGAAAATCTATACATAGGCTGGATTATTTACTGGCATCAAAGAAATCTTTGAGGTGGCTCATTTGACTCTTCATTTTATGATAGAAGAGTTGAGGCACCAAGAGGAAAAATAAGGTGAGTGACAGAATGAGACTAGAACGTGACATCTTGATTCCTAGTCAAGGACCATTTCTGAACCCCTGTTGCATAGAGTCACTCAGGGAGCTATTGAGAAACAGGATTCTAGGGCCCCCTGTACCTGAGGTTTGGATTAAATAGGTCTGGGGGAAAGCTCAGGAGCCTGTATTTTCTAAAAGTCCTCTGTTGATACTGAAATGAAGCTGGGTTCAAAAACCACACTCTCCTATCCTCAAATACATCCACAAAGGACAGTAAAGGGAGAGGGTATAATACTGGCCAGTATGTTTAGAACATTTTCAATCTGAGAGGCCAAGGGATTTCTCTTGTGAGAAACATCTACAGGGTACCCCAAACAGGTAGAGAGGTTTTTGGAGGTCCTCTTATTTTAGGGACAGTATAATCCAACTTCCTGGCATCCTGCTCCCCACTCTTTTGCTCCCCAGGTGGGACAAGCCACTTGGTGACAATCAACCGATTTCCACTCTGTTCTTCCTTAGCTAATTAGGTACTGCGCCACTATTGTGATGCATCCTACCCTGGCTACCAGGGAAGATGTACATAAAATGAGATGGGGAACCATCTCTTAAAGTCATCCCAGGCCAGGTGCAGTGGCTCACACCTGTAATCCCAGCACTTTGAGAGGCCCAATCGGGTGGGTCGCTTGAGCCCAAGAGCTTGAGATCAGGCTAGGCAACGTGGTGAGACCTCGCCTCTAGAAAAAAACAAAATGAAAATTAGCTGGGCATGGTGGCATGTGCCTGTAGTCCCAGCTACTCGGGAGATTGAGGTGGGAGGATCACTTGAGCCCAGAAGGTAGAGGCTGCAGTGAGCTGTGATACAGCCACTGCACTCCAGCATGGGTGACACAGAGAGACCCTGTCTCAAAAATTAAATTTAATTTAATTTAATTTAAATTTAAAAACTTAGCTGGGGATGATGGTGTGTGTCTGTAGTCCTAGCTACATGGGAGGCTGAGGCAGGAGGATTGCTTAAGCCCAGGAGGCTGAGGCTGCAGTGAGCTATGGTTGTGCCACTGCACTCTAGCCTGGGTGACAGAGTGAGACCCTGTCAACCCTGTCTCAAAAAAGCCATCCCAGGCCCATGGGGGAGGTAGGGGAATGAATCACTACAACGACAGAGAACTGGAAGACAAGCGGGGACTGAAGAACTGAGATCTGGATTGGCAAAATAGTTTTCCTCAGGTGGCATTTTTATTGCAAACTAAATTTTATGTATTTATTCTTCAATGTTATTTTTTGTCTCCCAAAACTGTATATAACAATTTCACAAGTAACATAAGAATGTCTCAACTTTGAGATTACAAGGTTATTATGGGTATTTTGAAAGCTTAAGATGGTCACTATAGATAAATGACCAGTTTCTAATTTGGTGTTAAAAAGGATTCTCATGAATCATAGTGGATGTCAATTGGATTGTCTGGCTCCAGCTTCTCTTCCTCCTCTCATTACAGCTAACGAGAAGCAGGTGTTTTATACAGCATACCTCTGTCCTTCTGGCCTCAGTTGATTGGTCTAAGGGTGGGCACCTGACCCACGTTGGGCCAGTCAGACCCTTCTCTGTGATTTTTGGACTTCTTAACAAGAAGGATGAGACAATCTTGCTCTACTTTCTGAAGCTGAGGGCTCCTCTGCGTCGGGCACTGTCCTAGACTCTGAGGCTATGGCACTGAATAGAGAAGATGATGTGTCTTCTTTCGTGGTAGGCAGTTAGAATCTGGTAGATGTGGGGAGACAGATAATAAATAAACACACACAAAAAATATAAAACGCATAAAGCACAAAATTGGTCACCCAGGCATCATCATTATAAAAATTGTTTCATTTATAACAATAATAGCAAACACTAGTGAACCTCTATTGAGCACTTACTATGTATGAAACACAATGCTAGTGGCTTTATATGTATTAACTCATTTAATCCTCAAAACCACCCAAGGAAGTGAGTTCTGTAATTAATCCCATTTGGAGGGAGGCTCTTATTTTATCAAGAGGCAATGATGAAAACTATAGAGAAGAGCAGAGGTGAGACTTTAAGTTAATGGTTCCAGATTTTCCTAATGCCCAGCTGTGTTTCTGCCTGTACAGTTACTTATGTTGTTCGTTTTTCTTCATTTCATGAGTTAATAAATTTTCCTCTGTCTTTAAACTTTCCAAACTGAATTTCTGTTATCTGTTACCCCGAACTGCCAAGACACTATGGAAACTTATCAGGATTAATCAAGTGACCTCTACATGCGTGGCAAGGACAGGTGTTAATAAAATGCCAAGGATGAGCTGACATGGACACAGCTCCAGCCCTCGAGAAGCAGCTTGCAATTCAGTAAAGACACTGAGACAGCAGGGACAGAGGCTGCAAGAGGAAAATCAGTGATGTAATTCATCTTCTCTCTTCATTTTGCCCTCCTTTGTGGCAGGCACACCATGCATAGCACACCCCTTATTTGTGCAACCCTGATCATTCTGTGAGCTCTATGACCAAAATGCCGGCTCCCGGACAGTGGGGCCCCAACTGCCCTGACACCTGGTGGGCCCCTGATTCCAGCATCCACCCTACACACAATTTCAGATTAACGAAGAAAAAATTTCGAGGTCTGACTATAGCTGTCAGCTTTCAACTTTTGTTTTACAGCTTGAGTTACCCATAGCTTTTCACTCAAGTGACCCACTGTCTTTTGGGTGTGTGTGGAGTGGTGCAGATGACAGTGGACAACTCAGGAGTACTAACTGCTGTTTTCTTCCTCCTCTGAAAGTCTACCTCAATGCCAAGTGAGTCTACATAGTGGAATGAATGGACAAATAGCCTGTGGAATGGGCAGGATGGCCTACGAATTAGATCTTGGGCTTTGGAGTCAGACTCCAGATGAGACAATTACTAGCTCTATGACCTTGGGGGAATCACTGCCCCATTGCACTCCCCAACTTCCTCCACCTGTAAATGTACATGCTTCCCATGTAACACTGTTTCAAGGATTAAATAAAGGAATGCACTTAAATGCTTAAATAGTGCCTGATACACAGAAAGCACTTCATAAATGGCAGTTATCACTATGCCCATACGAAAGCAGAGTGAATGAATAAGTAGAGCTATATGTACAGTAAAATAAGTCTCAAAAACATAATGTGTAAAAAAAAGCAAAAGAAAGTTGCAACAGGGGCCAGGTGCAGTGGCTCACACCATAATTCTAGTACCTTGGGAGGCCGAGGCAGGAGGATCACTTGAGGCCAGGAGTTTGAGACCAGTCTGGGCAAAAAACTCTGACCCTGTTGCTATAAAAAATAAAAAATAAAAAACAGCCAGTCATGATGGCATGTGCCTGTAGTCCCAGCTACTCAGAAGGCTGAGGTGGAAGGATCACTTGAATCACTTGAGCCCAGGAGTTTGAGATTGCAGTGAGCAAATATTGCAACACCGCACTCCAGCCTGGAAGACAGAGTGAGAACCTGTCTCAAAAATAAAATAAAATAAAATAAAATAAAAAGAAAGACAGGTGCAACAGGATACATAAATACAGTGTGATACAATGTATGTAAAATTTCAAACACAAAATAGTATATGTTGCTAATGTCCATATATCTCTGTATATTACATAAATATAATTGTGTATATAAAGTAGCATTATATAGTGCTATATAGGCATAAGTTGTATATCATGCTACTTTATATATACAATATATCTTTTGTATATGTAAAATATATATATACACACGGCTGGGCGTGGTGGCTCACGCCTGTAATCCCAGCACTTTGGGAGGCCGAGGCGGGTGGATCACGAGTTCAGGAGACCATGCTGGCTAATACGGTGAAACCCCATCTCTACTAAAACTACAAAAAATTAGCGGGGCGTGTTGGCAGGCGCCTGTAGTCCCAGCTACTCGGGAGACTGAGACAGGAGAATGGCGTGAACCTGAGAGGCGGAGCTTGTGGTGAGCTGAGATCGCGCCACTGCACTCCAGCCTGGGTGACAGAGGGAGACCCTGTCTCAAAACAAACAAACAAACAAACTATATAGATATATATATATACACACACACATATATGTACACATATATATACACATATATACGCTTATATATATACATATATATGTATACACACACACAAGTGGGGTGTGTGTGTGTGTGTGTATAGTATATGCAAAGTAGCATGATATACTGCTTATGCCTATATATGTGAGCTACCTCCAAAGGGGCAAGTGACAAAAATGAAGGCTTCTTATACTGCTTATGCCTATATGGCAGTATATTATGCAATTATATACATATATATAATACACACACAGTTGTGGTTTTATATGTGGGTGCTGCATGTGTGTGTGTGTATGTATGTATATTAGAAAGCACAAAACCTTGTAATAGGAAATAGATGTACTACTTTCCAGATAGTAGTTACCTCTGGTGGTGATGGTCTGGTCATGGTAATGGTGTGTGTATGTTCACAGAGAAGTGGTAGTCTGCACGCTTGAAATGTTTCATAATTAAAAATTTTGAAAAATGCATTAAAAAAACTTCCATCTGATAACTAGAAAGCTGCCTTCTTCATCTGTATTCCACTTGGCTACTCGAACTCCCTTTTTGATATGCAAGAGAAGTTGCAATGTGATACCCATCTGAAATGTGAATTTTTAATAAGGATTTGGGAACTGGGATAGTTCCAAATTGGGGTAGTGTGGCTGGAGAGAGAGGGTGAGGTGGGAGAAAGACCAGGAGCCTGGAGACTGGTTTTTATAAATTTACATTGTTCATTTTTATATGATTTGGAGAAAGAAAGAGACTTAGAGGGAGACATCACAGACAGGTTGTGTAATCTTTCTTGGTTCGTGTTCTCAAGTATGAAATCGGAATAATAAATCGTATTTTACGAGGTTGCTGTGAGAAGTAAATAAACACAGAACATGGCACTTGGTAAGCATACCAAATACCTAGTGTTATGACATTCAATTTATATTTGAAGCTTATATGTGACAGACTTCAGGGAGGAAAAGAAATCTATCATTGCCAAGCTGAAAGATGGTTTCTGCAGGAGTCAGAGCACCCAGTGGAATCTCACTCCTCCAAATCAATAGATGCATTCAAAATACCAAAAATAAAACATCAAACGAACTCTTTCCAGTGTGGTTCTGAAACCCAGCACATATTTTCCTACCCTGGGATTTGTCAGAGCTTCATGCATACAGTGCAGGGAGGGAAAGTAGGAAGCTCCTATCACTCTGTTTCCAAGCAAGACTAGGTTGGATGTGGGGAAGGGGTGAGTAGCTCAGCAAAGCTAAGGGAAGGCAATATTTAGGAAAGAAAGTGTTGCAGGTAAAGGAGGGAGATGCTGCAGAGAGAACAGCGAGTATGTGAGGTACCCCCAAAGCAGCAAGTGACAAAAAAGAAGGCTGAATAAGTCCATCCATCTGATGCCATGGATGAAAAAGCTTGGCAACGAACGGGGGTGAGAAGTGGGAGCTCCCTCGTGTGGCAGCTCCATACTGGGGAGACCTCTGAGTCTCCTAATCCAGCTTGTGACTTTAAGGTGAACTGAAAGAAAGATGTAGTCAATCTATCCATCAGGGAACTAATGTAATAAGGAGACTTGAAGACCATAAATGAATCTTCAGTAAGGGGATAGGGTGCTCCTTGCAACTGGAAAAGTCAAAGCTCCTCGATAATGCCAATTCTGCCAATTATTCAGTTCCTGTACTGTTAGACTCTTGTTCTCTATAGACATGGACATTTAAATATATAGTAAAACAATATGTTGCCATTTTGGCTCAAACTTCACCAAAAATCATTTTTGTTGCCGTAATCCCAGTGCTTTGGGAAGCTGAGGCCGAAGGATCACTTGAGGCCAGAAGTTTGAGATCAGTCTGGGCAACATAGTGAGATCCCACCTGTACGCAATATTTAATTTTATTTTTTTGAGACAGAGTCTTGCTCTGTCGCCCAGGCTGGAATGCAGTGGTGTGATCTCAGCTCACTGCAACGTCCGCCTTCGAGGTTCAAGTGATTCTCCTGCCACAACCTCCTGAGTAGCTGGGACTACAGGTATGTGCCACCACGCCTGGCTGTTTTTTCTAAAATATTTAAAATTTTTAAAAAACTTAGCCAGACATGGTGGTGAGCATCTGTAGTCCTAGTTACTTGGGAGGCTGAGGCAGGAAGATCACTGGACCCCAGGAGTTCAAGGCTGCAGTGAGCACTGATCCTACCACTGCACTCTAGCCTGGGCTAGAGAATGAGAGAGACCTCTCTCTCTCTCTCTCTCTCTGTCTCTGTATATGTGTGTGTGTGTGTGTGTGTGTGTGTGTGTGTGTGTGTGTGTGTGTAGTTACTGCTGCTTTTAGCATAGTTACTGCTGCTTTTAGCCACAATAGATGACAAAGGGAATGTTTGTAGACTGTAAGCCAGGAGGCAACTTGATATGGTGAGAAAAGCATGGATTTGATGTCAGATATACCCAGGCACAGTCATTCATTCACTCAGTCAATGAATATTTATAGATTATGTACTATGTGTTGGATTTGCAGCATTTACGTTCTCGTGGAGGAAGGCAGGAATTAGGAAATGAATGGCAAGATGATTTAAGGGTGTGGTGTGTGCTGTGAAGAAAGTAAAGTGAAGTGGTAGAATTCAGAGTGGCTGGGAAGAGTGGGGAGCCTTGGAGTGGACAATTAGGAACGGCTTCCCTGAATGCTGAGTAGCCAGCTGAGTATAGCAAGAGCTCAGGCCCCTGCTGGAGGCAAAGCCCTTGACATATTTAGTAGAGTGAAGGCTGGGGTGGCAGAGGGCTTATGAGTGAGGGTGATATGAGATACTGTCTCAGAAGAAACTTTAAGTACGAGTTTCATTAGTTATATGATCTTATCAAGTTTATCTGCTTTAGGTTCAGTTTGCTAAACATAAGAAGACAATGGTAATACCCACATCAGCGTGTTGTTAGGATTATAAGTACTAAATAAAACATAAAGGGCTTGGTTCAATGTCTGAAATGTAGTTAGTGTTCAATAATGAGAGTTATTGTTATCACTCTATTATTTGGTTCAATTATTTCATCAAGTTTCCCAATAAGTTTGGATTTGTATTGGGCTTTTGGGAATTTGCCAGAGGTTGAGAAGTTAGAAATACTTTGTATTTTTGGAGAATTGAGAAAGCATCTATCTGTTGGAAAGGTTTTCTGGTGACTTAGTATTGTGGGGATCAACAGCAGGATAACCGGATAAATTAATGGTAGGGGCTTAGAAAGGTTGCTGAAACTGAGGATAAATGGTAGAGTCCAGTCTGTATTTCCCTCAAATTCTTTCAATAGGAAACCTTTTTCACCATTCTAGATTGATGTGAACTGGATCATGTCGCTCCTCCGCCCAAAATTCCCCAGTGGCTTCTCATCTCAATAAACTCTGACGTTCTCTCATGGCCCCCAAATCCCTGGGTGATGTAGCCTTCTTCAGCCGTGGGGCCCTTGCTGCTTCTCAAACACACTGAGGACCATTCCACTTCAGGACCTTTGCATGCGCTGTTCCCTCTGCCTCAAAAGCTCTCCCCTACATCCCTGAGTGGTCCACTCCGATTCCTAAAACATGGATTGGATGTTACCTATCCAGAAAGGCCTTCTTCAATCACCACATCGAATAAGACTTCTCCTGTTCTCACCCTGCCTTAGTTTTCTTCAGACTCAATATTACTGCATAAAATGTGATTTCTTTGTCTATTTAGCTATTTACTGCCTCCTTCCATTAGAAAGTTCTCTCCATATGGCAGGGACTGGGTTTTGTTCACTATGGATGCTCCAGCTCCAGGAATGCAGTTAGATTTAGAATAAATATCTGCTCAGTGAATGGATATACAGTCCTCATGGCTGGGAGCTTTTCCCAAAGTCTATAACCAACTTTGTCATTTCTTTACATGCCACTCAGCAAATCTCGTTATTCATTCATTAAACTCTTTTTTTTAAATTTTATTTTTTATTTTTATTTTTGTTATACTTTAAGTTCTAGGGTACATGTGCACAACGTGCAGGTTTGTTACATCTGTATACATGTGCCATGTTGGTGTGCTGCACCCATTAACTCATCATTTACATTAGGTATATCTCCTAATGCTATCCCTCCCCCCTCCCCCCATCCCACGACAGGCCCTGGTGTGTGATGTTCCCCTTCCTGTGTCCAAGTGTTCGCATTGTTCAACTCCCACCTATGAGTGAGAACATGCGGTGTTTGGTTTCTTTTTCCTTGTGATAGATTGCTGAGAATGATGGTTTCCAGCTTCATCCATGTCCCTAGAAAGGACATGAACGCATCCTTTTTTATGGCTGTATAGTATTCCATGGTGTATATGTGCCACATTTTCTTAATCCGGTCTATCATTGATGGACATTTTGGTTGGTTCCAAGTCTTTGCTATTGTGAATAATGCCACAATAAACATATGTGTGCATGTGTCTTTATAGCAGCATGATTTATAATCCTTTGGGTATATATCCAGTAATGGGATGACTGGGTCAGGTGGTATTTCTAGTTCTAGATCCTTGAGGAATTGCCACACTGTCTTCCACAATGGTTGAACTAGTTTACCGTCCCATGAACAGTGTAAAATTGTTCCTATTTCTCCACATCCTCTCCAGCACGTTGTTTCCTGACTTTTTAATGATCGCCATTCTAACTGGTGTGAGATGGTATCTCACTGTGGTTTTGATTTGCATTTCTCTGATGGCCAGTGATGATGAGCATTTTTTCATGTGTTTGTTGCCTGCATAAATGTCTTCTTTTGTGAAGTGTCTGTTCATATCCTCCGCCCACTTTTTGATGGGGTTGTTTGTTTTTTTCTCATAAATTTGTTTGAGTTCTTTGTATGTTCTGGATATTAGCCCTTTGTCAGATGAGCAGATTGCAAAAATTTTCTCCCATTCTGTAGGTTGCCTGTTCACTCTGATGGTAGTTTCTTTTGCTGTGCAGAAGCTCTTTAGTTTAATTAGATCTCATTTGTCAATTTTGGCTTTTGTTGCCATTGCTTTTGGTGTTTTAGACATGAAGTCCTTGCCCATGCCTATGTCCTGAATGGTATTGTCTAGGTTTTCTTCTAGGGTTTTTATGGTTTTAAGTCTAACATTTAAGTCTTAATCCATCTTGAATTAATTTTTGTATAAGGTGTAAGGAAGGGATCCAGTTTCAGTTTTCTACATATGGCTAGCCAGTTTTCCCAGCACCATTTATTGAATAGGGAATCCTTTCCCCATTTCTTGTTTTTGTCAGGTTTGTCAAAGATCAGATGGTTGTAGATGTGTGGTATTATTTCTGAGGGTTCTGTTCTGTTCCATTGGTCTATATCTTTGTTTTGGTACCAGTACCATGCTGTTTTGGTTACTGTAGCCTTGTAGTATAGTTTGAAGTCAGGTAGTGTGATGCCTCCAGCTTTGTTCTTTTGGCTTAGGATTGTCTTGGCAACACAGGCTCTTTTTTGGTTCCATGTGAACTTTAAAGTAGTTTTTTCCAATTCTGTGACGAAAGTCATAGCTTGATGGGGATGACATTGAATCTATAAATTACCTTGGGCAGTATGGCCATTTTCATGATATTGATTCTTCTTATCCATGAACATGGAATGTTCTATTTGTTTGTATCCTCTTTTATTTCGTTGAGCAGTGGTTTGTAGTTCTCCTTGAAGAGGTCCTTCACATCCCTTGTAAGTTGGATTCCTAGGTATTTTATTCTCTTTGAAGCAATTGTGAATGGGAGTTCACTCATGATTTGGCTCTGTGTTTGTTTGTTATTGATGTGTAGGAATGCTTGTGATTTTTGCACATTGATTTTGTATCCTGAGACTTTGCTGAAGTTGCTTATCAGCTTAAGGAGATTTTGCGCTGAGACGATGGGGTTTTCTCGATATACAATCATGTCAACTACAAACAGGGACAATTTGACTTCCTCTTTTCCTAATTGAATACGCTTCATTTCTTTCTCCTGCCTGATTGCCCTGGCCAGAACTTCCAACACTATGTTGAATAGGAGTGGTGAGAGAGGGCATCTCTGTCTTGTGCCAGTTTTCAAAGGGAATGCTTCCAATTTTTGCCCATTCAGTATGATATTGGCTGTGGGTTTGTCATAAATAGCTCTTATTATTTTGAGATATGTCCCATCGATACCTAATTTATTGAGAGTTTTTAGCATGAAGGGCTGTTTAATTTTGTCAAAGGCCTTTTCTGCGTCTACTGAGATAATCATGTGGTTTTTGTCTTTGGTTCTGTTTATATGCTGCATTATGTTTATTGATTTGTGTATGTTGAACCAGCCTTGCATCCCAGGGATGAAGCCCACATGATCATGGTGGATAAGCTTTTTGATGTGCTGCTGGATTCGGTTTGCCAGTATGTTATTGAGGATTTTTGCATCAATGTTCATCAGGGATATTGGTCTAAAATTCTCTTTTTTTATTGTGTCTCTGTCAGGCTTTGGTATCAGGATGATGCTGGCCTCATAAAATGAGTTAGGGAGGATTCCCTCTTTTTCGATTGATTGGAATAGTTTCAGAAGGAATGGTACCAGCTCCTCCTTGTACCTCTCGTAGAATTTGGCTGTGAATCCGTCTGGTCCTGGACTTTTTTTGATGGTAGGCTATTAATTATTGCCTCAATTTCAGAGCCTGTTATTGGTCTATTCAGGGATTCAACTTCTTACTGGCTTAGTCTTGGAAGGGTGTATGTGTCCAGGAATATATCCATTTCTTCTAGATTTTCTAGTTTATTGGCATAGAGGTGTTTATAGTATTTTCTGATAGTAGTTTGTATTTCTTTGGGATTGGTGGTAATATCCCCTTTATCATTTTTTATGGCATCTATTTGATTCTTCTCTCTTTTTGTCTTTATTAGTCTTGTTAGTGGTGTATCAATTTTGTTCATCTTTTCAAAAAACCAGCTCCTGGATTCGTTGAGTTTTTGAAGGTTTTTTTGTGTCTCTATCTCCTTCAGTTCTGCTCTGATCTTAGTTGTTTCTTGCCTTCTGCTAGCTTTTGAATGTATTTGCTCTTGCTTCTCTAGTTCTTTTAATTGTGACGTTAGGTTGTCAATTTTAGATCTTTCCTGCTTTCTTTTGTGGGCATTTAATGCTGTAGATTTCCCTCCACACACTGCTTTAAATGTGTCCCAGAGATTCTGGTACATTGTGTCTTTGTTCTCATTGGTTTCAAAGAACATCTTTATTTCTGCCTTCGTTTCGTTATGTACCCAGTAGTCATTCAGGAGCAGGTGTTCAGTTTCCATGTAGTTGAGCAGTTTTGAGTGAGTTTCTTAATCCTGAGTTGTAGTTTGATTGCACTGTGGTCTGAGAGACAGTTTGTTATAATTTCTGTTCTTTTACATTTGTTGAGGAGTGCTTTACTTCCAACTATGTGGTCAATTTTGGAATAAGTGCAATGTGGTGCTGAGAAGAATGTATATTCTGTTGATTTGGGGTGGAGAGTTCTGTAGATGTCTATTAGGGCTGCTTGGTGCAGAGCTGAGTTCAATTCTTGGATATCCTTGTTAACTTTCTGTCTGTTGATTTGTCTAATGTTGACAGTGGGGTGCTAAAGTCTCCCATTATTATTGTGTGGGAGTCTAAGTCTCTTTGTAGGTCTCTAAGGACTTGCTTTATGAATCTAGGTGCTCCTGTATTGGGTGCATATATATTTAGGATAGTTAGCTCTTCTTGTTGAATTGATCCCTTTACCATTATGTAATAGTCTTCTTTGTCTCTTTTGATTTTTGTTGGTTTAAAGTCTGTTTTATCAGAGACTAGGATTGCAACTCCTGCCTTTTTTTTTGTTTTCCATTTGCTTGGTAGATCTTCCTCCATCCCTTTATTTTGAGCCTATGTGTGTCTCTGCACACGAGATGGGTCTCCTGAATACAGCACACTGATGGGCCTTGACTCTTTATCCAATTTGCCAGTCTGTGTCTTTTAATTGGAGCATTTAGCCCATTTACATTTAAGGTTAATATTGTTATGTGTGAATTTGATCCTGTCATTATAATGTTAGCTGGTTATTTTGGTCATTAGTTGATGCAGTTTCTTCCTAGCATCAATGGTCTTTACAATTTGGCATGTTTTTGCAGTGGCTGGTACCGGTTGTTCCTTTCCATGTTTAGTGCTTCCTTCAGAAGCTCTTGTAGGGCAGGCCTGGTGGTTACAAAATCTCTCAGCATTTGCTTGTCTATAAAGGATTTTATTTCTCCTTCACTTATGAAGTTTAGTTTGGCTGGATATGACATTCTTGGTTGAAAATTCTTTTCTTTAAGAATGTTGAATATTGGCCCCCACTCTCTTCTGGCTTGTAGAGTTTCTGCCAAGAGATCCACTGTTAGTCTTATGGGCTTCCCTTTGTGGGTAACCCGACCTTTTTCTCTCTGGCTACCCTTAACATTTTTTCCTTCATTTCAACTTTGGTGAATCTGACAATTATGTGTTTTGGAGTTGCTCTTCTCGAGGAGTATCTTTGTGGCATTCTCTGTATTTCCTGAATTTGAATGTTGCCCTGCCTTGCTAGGTTGGGGAAGTTCTCCTAGATAATATCCTGCATAGTGTTTTCCAACTTGGTTCCATTCTTCCTGTCAATTTCAGGTACACCAATCAGACATAGATTTGGTCTTTTCATATAGTCCCATATTTCTTGGAGGCTTTGTTCATTTCTTTTTACTCTTTTTTCTCTAAACTTCTCTTCTCGCTTCATTTCATTCATTTGATCTTCAATCACTGATACCCTTTCTTCCAGCTGATTGAATCAGCTACTGAAGCTTGTGCATTTGTCACGTAGTTCTCGTGCCATGGTTTTCACCTCCATCAGGTCATTTAAGGACTTCTCTACACCAGTTATTCTAGTTAGCCATTCGTCTAATCTTTTTTCAAGGTTTTTGGCTTCTTTGCAATGGGTTTGAACTTCCTCCTTTAGCTCGGAGAAGTTTGATCGTCTGAAGCCTTCTTCTCTCAACTTGTCAAAGTCATTCTCCATCAAGCTTTGTTCCATTGCTGGTGAGGAGCTGCGTTCCTTTGGAGGGGGAGAGGCGCTCTGATTTTTAGAATTTTCAGCTTTTCTGCTCTTATTTTCCCCATCTTTGTGGTTTTATCTACCTTTGGTCTTTGATGATGGTGACGTACAGATGGGGTTTTGGTGTGGATGTCCTTTCTGTTTGTTAGTTTTCCTTCTAACAGTCAGGACCCTCAGCTGCAAGTCTGTTGTAGTTTGCTGGAGGTCCACTCCAGACCTGTTTGCCTGGGTATCAGCAGCACAGGCTGCAGAACAGCAATATTGTTGAACAGCAAACGTTGCTGCCTGATCATTCCCCTTGAAGTTTCATCTCAGAGGGGTACCTGGCCATGTGAGGTGTCAGTCTGCCCCTACTGGGGGGTGCCTCCCAGTTAGGCTACTCGGGGGTCAGAGATCCACTTGAGGAGGCAGTCTGACTGTTCTGAGATCTCAAACTCTGTGTTAGGAGAACCACTGCTCTCTTCCAAGCTGTCAGACAGGGACATTTAAGTCTGCAGAGGTTTCTGCTGCCTTTTGTTCAGCTATGCCCTGCCCCCAGCGGTGGAGTCTACAGAGGCAGGTAGGCCTCCTTGAGCTGCGGTGGGCTCCACCCAGTTTGAGCTTCCTGGCCACTTTGTTTACCTACTCAAGCCTCAGCAATCGTGGGCGCCCCTCCCCAAGCCTCGCTGCCACCTTGCAGTTCAATCTCAGACTGCTGTGCTAGCAATGAGCAAGGTTCCATGGGCGTGTGACCCTCCAAGCCAGGCACAGGATATAATCTCCTGGTGCGCCGTTTGCTAAGACCGTTGGAAAAGCGCAGTATTAGGGTTCTAGTGACCCGATTTTCCAGGTGCCATCAGTCACAGCTTCCCTTGGATAGGAAAGGGACTTCCCTGCTCCCTTGTGCCTCCCGGGTGAGGTGATGCCTTGCCCTGCTTTGTCTCATGCTCGGTGGGCTGCACCCACTGTCCTGCACCAACTGTCTGACAAGCCCCAGTGAGATGAACCCAGTACCTCAGTTGGAAATGCAGAAATCACCCGTCTTCTGCATTGCTCACGCTGGGAGCTGTAGACTGGAGCTGTTCCTATTCGGCCATCTTGGAACTGCCCCCATCATTCATTAAACTCTTAAAGATCTTTTGTGTTTATACAGATTTGGCATTTGCTGACCTTAGCTCAAGATGATATTAATGCAGGCAATGATGACGCTGGAGACTGCAGTGAGAGAAGGTGTTACCCCTCATCCGAACTGCCATTGCCAGGTGTTTATTACAAAAAAAAGAATCACCTGAGAAATATGTGAATATACCCTCCTTACATTAAGTTGAAACATTTCCCTTTCATCACAGCTCTCCCCAATCCCCAACCCCTTCAACCCTCCCCAAAACAACCATTTTTTTTTAAAACAGTGTGGATTATAAACTCCCAAATCTTTTTCTGTTCACTTGAACATGTAAAAATTACCTGGAGAAAATGAGTGCTATTTTACATACATGTTATTATATTTGGATTCAAATTTATGTATTATTTTCCAATTTAATTTTATTTCACACAATCTTATGTTCTAGAAAAATAGCTATGGTAATACATGGAGGCTGACCTCATTTTTGTTGATTAATGTTTGCATACACACCTTTTTTCATCCTTTACTTTCAACTTATCTATGCTGTTGATTTTGAAATCAGTTCCTTATCAACAGCATAAAGTTGGTCATTTTGTTTATCCATTTTGCCAATCTCTGCATTTTAATCAGTTTATTTAGATAATTTACATTTAAAGCAATTGCAGGAGGACAGGTCCCTGGATGGCAATGGCTGATCCAGCTCTTCCACTTTTGCTTGCAATCCTCAGGTAGTCTATATTAAGAATGAGGTATCTTGAGATAAGGAGATCATGTCTGGAACAACCCAGACTGTGTCCTAACTCCTAGAACAAGGTGTCCTGCAAGGCTTGAGCTCAAGATACCAAGTGTCACCCAAGGAATGTAAACCCAGGGCACAGCAGGTTTGGGTCCCTCAGCTGCAGTGCAATGTGGAGCAAATGCAGTCAAGACTCCATCTGCCCTGGGCAGCTTTCCTGGGCCGTGGAGGACCTGCTTGTCATGGATCCTAGGCTCCAGTTGACCCTTGCTGCCTATCTGTGAGTAATAAATCCAATCCACTTTGCCTGACTTGTGTGAGTGTCTGCCTCATCAAACCAGATCCAGTCACTAGGTAGAGAACCTTTGTGTGATTATTGACACGTTAGGACTTAAGTCTGCCATTTCGTCTGCCCCCACCCACCCCTGCCATCAGGAGCATCAGGGCCACAGGGGGAGCTGATGGCAACATCACCCCTGTCCCAGATGCTGGCCCAGGCCCAGCAAGGACTTGGAGCCCCCACCCCAGACTGTGAAGGGGCATGGCCAGGGGTGCAGTGTTCCACAGAGGTAGTGGGAGCTGGGGAAAAGTGGGAGCCCTGCTCCTTCCAAGTTGGTGGGGCGGGAGCTCCCCAGGTATAACTGCAGCTGCCCAAGCTGTGGCTGCAACCCAGCACCCTTGTGCTCTTGGGAGTTAGGAGGAGGCAGGGTACTCACCCTCCTGGGAGGTGCTGCTGCCACCCAAGTCATAGCTATGGATTCGGGCCTCCAGCTCCATGCAGCAGGCAGGAGCCCTGCCTCCTGAGGTACAGCTGCAGCTGCCCAGACCAGGGCTGCAGACCCAGGCATTTCTGCATGCTTGGGGGGCCTGGGAAGGCACCCCACACCATTGCAGACATGCAGGTTCCTGCTCCCACTGCCTGGCTTCTCCTGGCTCCTGGCACCTGCTCTGATCTTTGAGCAAGGTTAAGGACAAGCCCAGGTGCTGTCACAGCCTGGCCAGGTATGCCCAGGCTTGGGGGCAGTGTTGACATGCCAACACCCTGGCACCCCAATCCCCTCTGGACTTTGGGCACCTAGAAGTGCAGGAGGGGAAGCTGAGGGTGACTGGGTGCTGTCCTGCAGGTACCCTTTGGTGCCAGCAGCCTGGCCACCATGGATGGCTGTGGGAGACAGACAAGCTCCTGGGCAGAAGGGGGTGGTTCCCAGTAAGGCCTCACCTTCAGGTCTGAAGGCCAAGGGCTGGGATCCCAGTCCTGCAGATGGGAGTGGGGACTTGTGGTGCCTCTTCCAGCCCCACCCATGGCTGCCCTTGTACCAATCAGCACACACTTTCTCCCTTCTGAGGTTCATAAAAGCCCCAGGCTCAGGCACAGCAGGGCAGAGGATGGAGAGGATGAAGAGACCTCTGGACAACCAGCTACAGAGAGGAGCAACGCTCTCTGCTGAGAGCTTCAGAGACCTGCAGAGACAAGGGAACTACCAGTTGCAAAGAGAAGCAATCCTCTCTAGGGCCTCCTCCCTGCTGAGAGCAGCAGATGTGGGGAAGACCAGTAGCAGAGAGGAGCTACTCTCTCCAGGGCCTCCTCTCTGCTGAGAGCTGAACACTCCATGGGACAACCTGGCTATAGAGAAGAGCTACCCACTACCCACTGCAGGTCCTCTGAGCTGTCGTAACACTTAATAAAGCTCATGCGTGTCTTGTTTACCCTTCACTTGTCTGTGTACCTCATTCTTCCTGGATGCAGGGCAACAACTTGGGCAAAGGTGCTGCTGGCCACAGAGGTTTCTGGCCAGAAAATCAGCACCCCAAAGATCCCATAGCAATTTTATTATGTGTTTTCCATTTGTTTCACCTCTTTTTCGTTCCTTTCTTTGTTTTTTATTGTTTTCCCATGGGCTGTTCAAACCCATTTTAAGAAATCTATCTTGACTTGATTTTTTTTTTTTTTTGTCAAGAGGAAGGAAGCACCAGAAGGGGGAGGAGGTGTCAGGCTCTTTTTAACAATCAGTTCCCTCAGAGTTAATAGAGCAAGAACTCACTGATTACCATAAGAATGGCACCAAGCCATTCCTAAAGGATCTGCCTTCAGGAAAGAGACACTTGCCACCAGGCCCTACTTCCAACATTGGGGACCAGATTTCAAGAGGAGACTTGGCAAGGCCAAACAAACCATATCCAAACCACAGCAAGCAGCCTGAATGCATGCAGGCACTCTGTTTAGGTTTGGTGTGCAGGTCTTGGTTTACCTTTATGGGCTGTTGGTTTCAATGGCAATTTAATTTTCAGAGACTGTATGGTGATATTTTAGTCTGTGTGGCGTGGTGATTTGGGCGCTCCTCAAAATGCGACATTAGTAATCCCTACTAGTGCCACTTGATGGGGTGTAGGAGTTTCCCTAGGCCAGGCCACCTATGCTCTAAATGGGGCAATAAAGTATCTGCTGACATTGATGATGATGAGTGCTTCCTGGAGTGGGTGCTTGTTTTGAATCTTCTCATTGGTGGTGACTGGCTGCCCAGTGTCTCTAGGTGGGGAAAGAGAGTGTCAGGACCATGAGGACAAATAGGTGTCCTGGGTCAAGTGCTTGTTATAGTGGTCTCTCTCTTGCCTGGGCTGCCCAGCCATCTTGATACCTCCCAGTAAGGGAAATAAGTCTCAGGTTCAATGGGGAAAGGCAGCACTTCATTTGCCCACTTCCTTTAGCAGGGCTCCCTGTCAATCACCCTCGCACTTGCTCTCAGGCTCACCTAGTGTTGTCAGCAGTGCTCCAAGGTGTCCTGGGGGAGGAATGAGACCACCTCAATCTCATTCTGTTGCTAAGTTGGGTTGCCTTCTGCTGTTGTGGGGGTGGTCCTAAAATGTCCTGCTTCAGTGTTCTTCCCCCAGTTCTGGGGTTCCTAACCAGACTCCTTTGCCCTCTTGCCTTTCAGAGTTGTCCTCTGGTTGCCCCTTGTGTCATTTCTGGGCTCATACTTGCCAAAGGTTCATAGTGTTTGAGTAGTCTTCAAAATATACATTTTTAGTTATCTTAACTATATTTCATTTTTGTTATGTTTTGTATCTTACTACTTTCTGCTTTTATCTTTATTATTTTATAGCTCTATTCTCTTTGTTGTTCTTTTTTTCTACCTTCCTGTGTTGATAAAAAATATTTCGTGCTAAGTCACAAAACCTGCTAACAAAAACCAATAAACTAAGAGATATTGATGTTTTACTGAAAAAATTACATGACCAATTTTAAACATCCTAAATTGGATCTGTTTAAAAAAGAAAACTATGATTTGTTATCAGTTTAGCTACATATATAATTCTAGGATTCACATATTTTCTGTCACCACTTTGAAGATATTAATCTACTGTCATCTTGAATATAAAATGTTTGAATATAGACCAGCTTTATTGACTTCCTTTCAATGAATAGAAAGTGATGCTGCTTTACTTGTGAAGTTTGGAACCTTGCCACCATGCTATGAGGAGGCCGAGGCCACATGATGAGATCATATGTGGCTCCTTTGGCTGATAGTGCCAGACTGAAGTCCCAGTCAAGAGCCAGCATCAAGACCAGGCATGTGTGTGAGGAAGCCTTTGAGATGACTCTATCTTAGTTAACATCTGACTGCAGCTGCATGACTACCCCATGTGAAAACCACCTAGCTGAGCCCAGTTAGCCCCCAGAAATCATGATTTGGGTCCCTCAGCTGTGCCATTAACTAGCCATGTGACTTTGGGCAAATTATATGACTTGTCTATAAGATGGTCCTCGTGATACCTACACTACAGAGTTATTCTGAGAACTAATTAAGATAATAATTCCCCAAGGTAGGTATTATTTTGATCATTTTACCCATGAGAACATGTACTGGGAAAGGCCAAGTAAATTGCTGAAAGTCAGCTAAACATATAACAAGTGACATAATGTGATTTTGGACTTTAAAAAATCTGACTCTAAAGCATGTTCTCTTTACCATTATTCATTTTCATTGCTAAAAATGATCACCATAGCAACCCATTAACCTACCTAATTTCACATTAGGACCTAGAGAAACAATATCATCTTTTTGCATACCTTACTTTAACTTAAGTCCGACTTGGCAACAGGCTAACGTAGTGATGCCATTTAAAGCAAAATAGAAAAAAGTGTACCATGGTTTGAAATACCTGAGCCCATAGGCAGGTTAAGCAGACACCTCAATGTGCCAGTGTGAGAGAGAACAGTGAGTTCTTTTTGGCCTCACTTTCTGATAATGCTGTTTTTGGAAAATGAATTTTACCAAAATAGCATGCCATGCATGAATCTTATTCAAATGCCAGGGTTGCTGTTGGAGCTAGAATGTAGATACGTTGCAGATTATCATAGCGATATAGAAGGGAAAAGGAGCTGAGTAACAGGGAGAGAAGTGTGGTGAGGGTGATGGAAATCTTAAATGTTTTCACACTCTCAAAATTCTCATATACATTTTCTCTCCACTGGTGGATCATATACATCATCAGGGATTAAAATGTTGTCACAAAGTCAAAATGATCAGAAATAGCAAAAGCCATGTATTCTCTGGACATATGTTTCCGGAATTAATCATAATATGAATCCAAAAGACAATGTCATGGTTCTACGTTTGACACATCAAAGAATAGTGAGAATTTGTTTTAGAAGGAGAAGTTTACTCAAAGTCTCTTTCTAAACAATGGTTTGCTGCTGCTACATTGATTTATCTAATTATCATTATTATTATCATCATGGGTTAATGTTTGTTGATTACTTATGCAATCTTGTTATTGCTATGCAATATATTTACTAGGTACTAGACAGCATTCTAAATACTTTCATGTATTACCTCCATTAATGTTCCTTTGATGCAAATACTTTTTAATGCACATTTTACAGTTGAAGAAATTGAGGCACAGAGAAGTAAATTCAGTTGTCAGCCTAGGAAGTTTAGGATGGGCAGGGGGGACAAAATTCACATTCAGAGCCCAAGTTCTTAACCTGCTCTACTATTTAATATTACCATTTTCAATACTAACTATAGATGGCATTTATTGTTACATGTGCTGGGCTTAATGCAAAACACTTCACCTTGACCAAAGCAGAGGGATGGAAGAGAGTGAAAACTGAATAATTTTCTCCGTGTGTAAGTCAATGTTCTTTAATTCCTTGCTCTCTTCCTTTATTATTCCTTAGTGAATTATTTGGGTTCTTTGTGCTACAGCATTGAAACTCATGGGGTCATAGAAAGGTAGAACTTGGGGTGGGATGGATTCTGGGCCTTTTATACCAGTTCCCCAATTTAACACATGAGATCTGGATGTCTATAGAATTCTGAAAGCTGTGTTCTCTGTCCTCTCGTGGCAGGAGTGAAATTATTCAAAATTATTTTTTTACATGTGAGGCTTTGCCTCGGACTCCCTGAATGGCCCTGGCCAATGTCTAATCTCATTGGGCCTCAGTGTTCTTATCCATGTGATAAACTTGTTGGTTTGCAGTATCCCAGAGCCCTCACAGTCATAGGCTGGGTGAATGCCTACAGTATAGCCCAAGCACTCTCAGATTTATGCCATTTCATTTTCATATTATGATATAAAGCACTCATCTACTGATATGGTCTGGCTCTGTGTCCCCACTAAAATCTCATCTTGAATTGTAATCCCTGTAATCCCCATGTGTTGAGGGAAGGACCTGGTAGGAGGTAATTGGATCATGGGAGCGGTTTCCCCCACGCTGTTCTCATGATAGTGAGTGAGTTCTCACAGATCTGATGGTTTTATAAGTGTTTGACAGTTCCTCCTTCACATGCTGTCTCTTGCCTGCTGCCATGTAAGACATGCCAGCTTCCACTCCCGCCATGATTATAAGTTTCCTGAGGCCTCCCCAGCCATAAGAAACCGTACGTCAATTAAACCCCTTTTCTTTATAAATTACCCAGACTCAGGCAGTTCTTTATAGCAGTGTGAGGATGAATTAATACATCTACATAAAGATACAATTTTTTCTGCAAGTGTGATGAGATCAATGCTTTCCAAAATGTGGGCCAAGACCACCCACTGAGACTCCTGCTTATAAGAGGAAAAGGAGCAGGAGATGAAATAAGGTTGAATCACACACTTCTATCTCGGTCCCTCTGCCTTTATCAAGGTGAAGTCTCACTTGGGAGGCAATGTGTCTTTATCACTCTCCAGCACTTACTCACCTCTTTTTTTACTTAATAAAGAGCCTTCCCAGACAACATATCTATCTAGCCAAAATTTAGTAACAATACTTAATGTTTTCCTTGTATTTGTTTTTAGTTTGCTTCTATTTGAGTCAAATAAAAATGTTTTTCTATTTGCTGTAGTGCAATAAAGACTGTTTAAACATTGATTTATTTAAGAGAAAAAGTTGATTTCGAGAAAAAATGTTAAATAGATATTAGTAGGGATACATGCCAGTTATTTATTGTGGTTTAATCAAGCACCCCCAAAGTTAATGGCTCAAAACAACAGTATTAAGATTACTATTGCATGGGTGAACAATTTTGGCTGAACTTAATTGGCTGGTTTTTCTGGTCTTAACTGGTTCTCTCATGCCTCTGAAATCTGTTGAAGTCTGTCAATCTCTTCTCAGAATAGTATTTTTACAGTAAAAGTAACACATGTAGAATTGCAAAGGAAGCCAATTATACTAAAATACAGGTATCAAAATATACAATTTTTGGTATTGCAATATATTGATTTCTTATTAACACATTCATTAATGAGGTCTAGTGGCAAATCAATCAACTACCATAATTTTGAATAGTGGTAAATGTGAACAGTGTTTCAAGATCCCTGCAACAACTGTGATGTGATATAAAAGTATCTGTTATTTCCACTGGCTCCAAAGTCATGGATTCTAATAAGATAATTGTCATTTGTTGCCTAAATTAATTATCAAAATAAACGTCAAATCTCATTCAAAAGATAGCAAAAAATAACAATTTTTTTCCATATAGGTTTATAGGTCTTCTCTATCTAAAGGGTAAGTCTGCTCATTGGTTATGGCCACGCTCTTTGCATTATTTTTTCCTTTAGAAAAGGATAGTTGTGAATGTCAAAAATCTGAGGATACAGTGGTTCTATGGTAATAAATATTTGTTCCTTCAAATTGTTGTTGGCTTTTATTACTTGGGAAATTTTATAGGCTGTGTGTTGTTCAGTTGTGTTTAGTATACCACAATGTTCTTCCTAAATCAGATCTCAGGCTCTTTGGCATTCTGCTAGCAGAAGGCTGTCTTTAATCCTTCTCTTCGTTCCACAGGACCCCTGTAGCCTTCCTTGATGTTATCAATTTCTTAAATTTTTCCACAGGATTCTCTGATACCTAAATGTTCTGACATTCTAATACATCTACTTTTTATATGTAATTGGTGGTTTGAGAATGAAGATTGTGAGGTGAAAGGGAGTGATAGTAGGAAGTAAATAAATAAGGGGGAATGAAGAATGGTGAGCTGAGATCCAAAGATGGTTTTTTGTTGGTGCTTAGGAAATGTTGGAGTGTCCGAGTGACAGGGTTGGTATTGTAAACCCAGGAAACAGCTATGTTTTATCCCATTTCTCTGCCTTTCCTGGGAAAAACTGGGTTCTCTCCTTTTTGAGTAATTCTCTAAGTATCATGAGAGATGTCACAAAAAGATTCAAGAAATGAACACAGCCTAAAATACCTTGTCCACTTCCAAGGACTTTAAATATGTATTTATCATGCTTTGCTATGTGGGATTGATTAGGGTGTAGAGACCATTTATGCAAGAACATCTGAATACTACATTATTACATGTTTGCAGTGCACAAAAATATTTCCATTTAGAGCAGATTTAGGAAGTGAAAATCTGAGAATTAAAAAAAGCAAAGACAACCAGCCCAGTTATGCATAGCTGAGTGACCTATATTGGTTACAAAGTTTTTATCTCTTCATTAGAATTGTAAACAGAACTCTCTGCAAAAGAAAGGATGATGCTGTAAATACAATGGTATATAGCCAAGCAAGTCAGCCAAGAACACTGTTATTCTGGGGGAAGTTGAGAATGCAGAGGTTCCAATGGCTTTCATAGGGATTAAAAAAAAATGGAAGTAACAATTTTTTCCATGCAGAATGAAATGAGAGATGGTACCTGACTGATTCAGTGTCAAAGCTAAGTATTTATTTGTACCCATTTGCCTGTTTTCCTACTGTATCATCAAATACACATGATTAATTCAAAGCATTATTTCTTTTACTTGTTCATTTTTATATTACACAAGTAATAAATATTTGTTTAAAAAACACAAACAGTACAAGTAAAAGGAGAAAATTCTTTCGCCTTCTACCAATCTCATCCCTGGAGATAATAGCCTTTGTCAGTTTACTGTGTAATCTTACCTGATAGATTTCTAAATATGCATATCCACCTACATGTGTGTATGAACATGTAATCAAAATAGGATTTTTATACACATTTTTCTGCAATGTGTTTCTTTTACCTAAAATAACTGTCTTCCTTCTTCTTATATCTGTATTAGAAGAAAATTCTTATTTTTTTAAGAACTGTGCTATGTGAAATTCCATTGTATGGTTGCCCCATCATTTATTTAACATTCATCTAACGCCTGGCATTTAGGTTGTCTCCTACTCAATAAATATTGAGAATTTGTAATCCTCTAGGGATGCCGTGGAGGAGTACAAACCATATAAGGAAATTCCTCTCCTCTCAAGTAGTTTGAGGCTGGATATGTGAGTCAGACATATTGTGTAACAAATAGGCTTCAGATTTCAGCAGAGAATGCTAAGAATTCCCAATGCAACAGAATCTAATAGCCAACTGAATCAAAATAGTCTAAAAAAGAAAGATATTGTGCACGAGCATTTCTCAGTAGAAAATCCAACATATCACAATAGAATGGTTAAAGGGCAATTATTCATAGTAGAGATTTTTTCTTACAAAATATTTGATTTGTTAAGCATCCCTCTAGTACTTAAATCTTGATGTTTTTATCAGCAGCTTTTTGATACCCTTTAGGACACCTGCCAAGTAAAAGAAAGCTTGAATGTTAGGAACTCCTAAAGGTTGGAGCTATATCTTCATTTCCCAGATATTTAAGTGGAAAGATATAATTCAATATATTCAAAAGAGGTTCCCCTAGTGTGCTAGGAACTTTTAGCGTCTCTTCAGATCATCCCAGGCTCACCTGTCTCCAGGACTCTTGCTTCCTGGCTTTCACTTTGGAGAGCAACTTTAGGTAGACTCTCATCACTGTCAGTGCCACAGCAGACATTGTGCAGGAGCTGCCTGGCAGTACCTTGTCTCAAGCCCACAGCTTGAGCCTCTTGTCTTCAATACAGGGCTGTCTTCCATCTTGCCACTGAGGCTTAAGATATATCAAGACCTGCCTGGCACTCACAGGGGTGCATGGCAAGGTGAAGAAAAGTTAATGCCTGATGGGGTAGACTTTTGATCAGTGGGAGATGAAAGCTAGTGGATAAATTCTCCTCTTATTCCTTTGCCACCCTGCCAACAGACTGTCTTGAGACTCAGTAGCCCTTAAGGCCTCTCAGAAGCAGGATCCATGAAATAGTACAGTTAGCTGGTTTTATTATGAAGCAGTGGCCATCTCTATAGTGCCCTAACTCACACTTGCTCTGTTGTCTTCTCTGCCCTACTCCTTTCCCTCACTTCTGCTTCCCTGGAATTGTACTCCGTAATGCAGGAGTTTTCAGCTATGTTGATAAGCTGTTGTCTCAGAATCTGCTTTTGCAGAACACAGGCAAAGACAACATAAATTGCACAAAACATTATATAGTGCACATCGTCTGGTCATTACCTAGTACATAGCAACCATTTATTGAGCACCAACTAAGTGTGCTGCAATAGGGCCAAGTGCTTTATACGCCATTGAATAATCACCCTCTCTAGGAATAGGCTATTGCTATTAACTAAATTTTGTATTCTATAGGGAAGAAAACTGAGGCTCAAAGAGTGCCTCACTCAAGGTTGTATTAGATCACTTTCTAATTTGTTTCTTTCTTTATCCTAGCATGTTATTGTGATTGGTGGAGAAAAGAGGAGGTGGGGGATGCCTGCTCCACAAGATCACTTTAGCCTTCTTTGACCTCAAGATTCTCCATTCCTCAAGCTCTCAAGTGTGTGCATCAAGTTGCTAAAAATGGAGTCACTGAACAAGAAAGATAGGTTTTGAACTTAGAGTCGTATGCATGTGGCAAAGTAGCAGTGATGTTAGCTCAGAAAACCACTGATGCCCAATCAGGAAGGCTTGGCTCAGCCAATGTGTGATGCTGTTGTTCATGGCATAACGGCTCTCACACCTGGGGGATGAGAAAGGTTAGCACATGTTCTCCACTAAAACCATCCCCGACTTCGCCAAGTGCCACACAGGAGAGAGGGTCAAAGCTCTGCAACGAGGATCTTCAACTCTGGCCATTCTTGCTCGCTCATTGTAATCTCTGCTTCTGCCCTGTCTACTTTAAGGTGGGCCCAATCCTACACCAAGTTGTCGAGGAAAATCTTCCCTCCTCAACTGCTTGGCAGCCTTCTAAAAATAAGCCTTCCAACCTACCAGGGCCACCACACTGCTCAGCAATCATTTCTCTTGTCCTCAGTGCTCCCTATCATTCCATTCTGCAATGTAGCTGCTCCAAGCTTTTACTACTCTTCCGCCTTCTCTCACATTGTCCCCAGCCCAGCCCCACACTCTCAAGTGAAGGAAGACGGGAGCTCTTTACATTATTTCCTCTCCACAACACTAAATTTACCTAGGTCTTCCCATTTCTGCTAACTCAAAATTATGCTCTCTGTGGTGCTCCCAGGTAGCCTAGTGGGATGCAGGAGAAACCACAGAACTTCATGCTGGGCACTTTCCCTCCCTTCATTTTATATGGTACAAAATGTGTAAGAAAAAATACCATAGGATTTTTGTTGTAATCCTTTAAAAAATAATTAGCAAGCTTTTTGTGTGTGTGTGTCAGTCTTATTTATAAAAGTTGCTGCTGAGGGCAGTTACTTCTTTCATATGGATTCCTTGTGGAAGAGATGGACCCTCAGGTCAGGTCACTTCAATTGTGGTCACACCTAAGAAGTCAGGAACCTAGAAGTGAGAGAGATAAGCATCCAGTTTTTTTATTTTTCTTTTGAAATCAAGTCTCACTCTGTTACCCAGGCTGGAGTGCTGTGGCACAATCATGGCTCACTGCAGCCTCAAACTCCTGGGCTCAAGCAATATTCCCACTTCAGCTCCCAAGTAGCTGGGACTACAGGCACATGCCACCACACCCAGTTAATATTTTTACCTTTTTTGTAGAGATGGGTCTCACTATGTTGCCCAGGCTGGTCTTGAACTCCAGGGCTTAAGTGATTCTCTTGCCTCGGCCTCCCAAAGTGCTGGGATTACAGGTGCAAGCCACTGTGCCCAGCTCAGTTCTGTTTTAATTAACTATATAAATTGTACAAAATTTTTATAAAAGTTATCATCTCTTGAGTCACAGTAGGGTATAAAACATGGCACAGAAAACCCTCCGCAGCCAATTTATTTCTATGTTCATCTATTGCAAGAACAAATTGAGCACAGCAGCAGCCATGATAATAGCAGGCATCTGTGCTTTGGGCTGGTGAAAATAAATTAAATTTGAGGTTGGTCATGAGAGCATGTCAACAGCACTGCCTGTGAATTATTAAAATAAAATTCAAATAAGAGAAAGCAAAAGCCCTTTCCACAGAACTAAATTAAAGTTTAAATTAAAGCAACATTTTTTTCTTGGCAAAAATTTTCTAATTATTTTCTACCTCTAAGGTTTATTTCCATTAATCCTTCCTCTATGCAATTAAACACATGGAAAAATGCACAGTAAAATTTCACTAGTCTAGTTTAAAAGGAAGATATTTGTTTAACAAGGTTTGCAGTGGGCTTGACAATCAGATGCTTTAAAATGGGTTGACAGAGTGCTGCTTCATTGAGTTTCAGTGTCAGCAAATACTGATAGCTCACCTATTATGTGCTAGAAGCAGTATTGAGTGACTTAAACATAAATATCCAAAACAGTCCTCCGAGTTGGGTATTATCATTTACATTTTATAGAGAAAATCACAAAACTTCTTTAATATCTGACATTTAGTAAGCAGTAGAGATGGAATGGGTTCTGTTAGGGGTTAGATTTTGTTCCTTCAAAATTCATATGTTGAAATCCTGACTCCATGTACTTCAGAATATGACTGTACTTGGAGAATCAGTTTTTAAAAAGATTACTAAGTTAAGATGAAGTAATTAGGGTGGGTCCTAGAGAAACCAATCCAATTTTCCTCCCAGATAATATCAAAAAACTGAAACTTCCTAGATCACTGCGTCCAGACAATAAGACGCCAGGTCCCTTGTCTGAGCACCTGCTGTCTGTTGACCGACTCCTGTATAAACCCTTAACTTTAATTGGTTGGAGAAACAGATTTGAGACTTGTCCCCCATATCCTGGCTGATGTCACCTGCAATAAAGCCTTTCGTCCTTGGCAACGCTCATTTTCTCAGTGATCGGCTTTCTTTGTGGTGAGCAACCGGACCTAGGCCAAACCCCTGGCGTTTGACAACACTAATCCAATATGACTGGTGACCTTACAAGAAGAGGAGATTATGATACAGACACACAGAAGGCAGATCTTGGGAAGGCACAGGGGGCGGGCGGCCATCTGCAAGCCCAGGAGGGAGGCCTCAGAGGAAACTGATCTGCTGACACCTTGATCTCAGGTTCCTAGCCTCCAGAGTTGTGAGAAAATAAATCTTTCCTCTTTAAACCACCTACTCTGCGGTACTTTGCTATGCCAACAATAGCAAATTAACACAGGTTCAAACTCCACTCTCAGCACCAAAATCTATATTAGTTAACTAATGCTGCAGAGGAGATTACCACACTGTTAGTGGCTTAAAACAATAAATATTTATTGCCTCACAGTCTCTGTGAATCAGAAATTTGGGAGTGGCTTAAATGGACAGTTCTGGCTCATGGTCTCAGGAGGTTGCAGTCAAACTGTCACCTGCAGGTGCAATCATTGGAAGGTTTAACAGTGGCTGGAGAATCTGCTTCCATCATGGCCTCTCCATGGCTGTTAGGAGGAGTCCTTAGCTCTTCCTCACATTGGGTATCCTTCCTAGGACTGCTTGAATATTTTCAGGACTTGGTGGCTTCATGTAATTTAGAATTTCTTAACTCTCCATGATAACCAAAATAACAGAGTTTACCCTAGTTTTCTGACACTGGCATCCTTAATTTCCTTTCCAAACTTTCTTCATGAAAGTAGAAAGAAAATTTTACCTAACCTTGACCCACAAAAAGGGGTGACTAAGTAACTGAGATTTCTGGGCTTAGCTTAACATAGACATGGAAACTGCTCTCTTCCACCTTTAGGGTGTACACGGTGTAGCTTTGTAGTTAGGCTGTTTTGGTCCAAATCCTGGCTCTGCTTCTTATTAGGTCTTACAGCTTGGACCATTTTTAAAAACTTTTTTTGTGCCTTGGTTTCCTCATCTATAAAATAGGATGATAATAATAATAATTTTATACAGATGTAGCAAGGATTCTGTAAGCTAATACTTGCAACTTATTTACTTCCCAAGACTTGCTTTTCTTTGTGTTCTTTGGATTTTTCCTCCCTTTCCCTCCCTTCCTTCCTTCCTTCCTTCCTCCCTCCCTCCCTCCCTCCCTCCCTCCCTCCCTTCCTTCCTTCCTTCCTTCCTTCCTCCCTTCCTTCCTTCCTTCTCTCTCTCCTTGGTCCAACCAATGGTTTCTACTAGACACTGTAGACATGTGTTAATTTGGTTGTATCACTAAGGTCTAAAAAATATCACTGTGAATTGAATGAAACCTAGAGCATAAAAATCCAAGGGTTCTTTCTAAGTCAGCTGTTGGTTTTGTGCTTGCTATGGTGTTTGATTGCTCGGTGCTTACTCTTGCTACTTGCTATATGAATATGCATATATAAAAGGCCCAGGGCTTGGGGGTTCAGGCTATATTTTACTTTACTCACCATAAATTCCTGTGAAGTTTATATCTTAAAAAAATTCACTAAGAACAGTCAATAGTCACCCTGAATTCAAAGTTATAAAAAAAAATTCAATTAAAAGACATCAGTAAAGCACGTGTTAATTCAGACGAAGGTAAGAAAGCTCAACAAGAAAATGGTGATTAGGTAGGAACAGAACCAAACTAGTCTTTTGTTATTTTCTTTTTAATAGAGAGAGGGTCTTACTCTCTCACCCAGCCTGGAGTACAGTGGCACAAACATAGCTCATTACAGGCTTGAACTCCTGGGCTCAAGGGATCCTCCAAAGTTGGTGGGACTACAGGTCCACACCGCCACACCCAGGTAATAATTATTCTTCTTCTTCTTCTTTTTTTTTTTTTTTTTTGTAGAGACAGTTTCACTATGTTGGCCAGGATGGTCTCAAACTCCTGGACTCGGGTGATCCTTCAGCCCTGGCCTCCCAAAGTGCTGGGATAATAGGCTCACTCCTGTTAATAGAGGCTAAATGTGGATTATCACTTGATATGGTTTGGCTCTGTGTCCCACCCAAATCTCATCTTGAATTGTAATTCCCACATGTCTAGGAAGAGACCTGTAATCCCCATGTGTCAAGGAAGGGAGGTGATTGGATCGGGGTTGGGGCGGGGGCAGTTTCTCCCATGCTGTTCTCGTGATAGTGAGTGAGTTCTCATGAGATCTGATAGTTTAATAAGTGTTTGGAAATTCCTCCTTCATTCTTCTCTCTCTCCTGCTGCCATGTGGGGAAGGTCCTTGTTCCCTCTTCCACCATGATTATGGGTTTCCTGAGGCCTCCCCAGCCACGTAGAACTGAGTCAACTAAACCTCTTTCCTTTATAAATTACCCAGTCTCGGGTAGTATCTTTACAGTGTGTGAGAATGGACTAATACATCACTTTAATCCATATTTAACCTTGATGGTACCTGCATCATATGAAAGGGCTGTGTATTTGGTTCATGTAGGTGCCTATGTTATCAGGGGTTCTGGAGCCTGCAAGTCTTATCTTGGGTTGATCTCCAAAAAGAATACTTGCCTACATAAAAGTGAATTCAAGTAGCTTATTTAGCAGGTGATCCCAGGCAGCACTGGTAAGAGAGGGGAGGAGTGAGACAGGAAAGAGAAGGAGGGCAAGGAAGAGTTTGAATTCAGCACATTATCACTGTGGGCAACCAGGAATCAGTCCTGATGGTGACCTTTGGGAGACAATATAGAACATGCCTGAGAGCTGTCCAACCAAGTGGCAAAGGATCTGGGGTGTTAACCTACTGATTCCTGCCAGTTACTGGTTGGAAACTGCTCCTAGGGAGCATTAGCTCTCCAGCATTCCCAGTGAACCCCACACTTGGATTCTCAGGGCTACAGAAAGCCCTCATGCACACATAGGTGCTATGCTCAAGAATTGTGATTGTGAAGGGGATTGTGAAGGGGGTGCTTCTTTCCTAGAGTCAGGCTCTAATAGATATAATTTACAGAGATTTATCTTGTTTCTTACTCAATAATTAGTTGATACACAGTGAAAAAACAGGTAAAATGTATGCAGCCTAAAACACTGTGGTCATTAGTCACAGAGCACAAATATCCAGAAATTCTAAGAGGCAGCCAAGGCCACCTGAGTCATGACTGTGGCTGGTTCCACCCACCACCCTTCTACTTTCCTAATGCTGGGAGATCATTTTTCTTCTTCAAACATTGTATCATGTCTTGCATGGGATATTTGAAAACACTAAAATTTACTCTTTTTCTGCACCTGGAGATTTTATAGTTATTTTTCTAGTCTACAAAAGTGCCACAATTATAGAATATAAGGGTTTTTTTTAAAATGAATTCTGTCCTTGTATCAAATATTCAAGCCACAATAAATGTTTCTCAGAATTTCCCTGGTCATTCAAATGTGCATCTTAACTAAAGGTCTGTGACAACTGTTTTCCTTTTGAAAAATTATTTTTCTTCTTTTAATCGCCTATTTGAAAATATACGATAGTTTAATGTTGAAAAGCTCTTAGTAGGGGGCAGGGCCAAGATGACCAACTAGAAGCAGTGGTGATCAAAGGCTCCCATCAAAAAAACCATAATAGCATGTGAATCTTGCACCAGCAACTGAGGTAACCAGGTTCTCTCATCAGAACAGTCTAGATGACTGGCATTACCTGCGGAGAGGAAAGAAGAGCAGTGTGGTGCAGCTGCCCACCTGACAGCCACACAGGGTCGTGGAGCCCACATCCCCCAGCCAAGGGAGGTAGTGAGTGAGCATGCTACCCAACCAGGGAAACCGTGCTTTTTCCACGGAACTGTGCAACCCATGTATCAGAAGATCCCACTCATGAACCCATGCCACCAGGGCCTTGGGTCCCAACCCTGGAGCCATGCAGATTCTCAACAGCCTCTCAGCTAGAATCTGCTTAAACCTGCTGAGTTTCTGCGGGGAGAGACGACCAGCACCACAGCTGCAGCTGCCTGCTGTCTAAGCCATTTGAGCCCCTTCGGGGAAGGGCAACAGCCAGCTCTGGGACAGAGAGCTGCCTGACACACTAAGCTCCCTAGGCAAAGGAAGGGCGTCATCCCTCTCTGCAGCTCCAGGCTGTGCTTTTCCCCTGCTGGAGCCAGGGAGGCTGGATAGCTTGTCCTAAGAAGTGTCCCCCATAGCCCAACACACCAGCTGTGGCAGACTACAGCCAGAGTGCCTCTTCAGGCCTGACCCTGACCCATCCCTTCTCACTGGGCAGGGACTCCCTGCAGGAACTCCAACAACTCCAGCCAGGGGCTCAGGGACAGAACTCTGATCTCCCTGGGCCTGAGGCCCTAGAGGGAGGAGTGGTTGCAGTCTCTGCAGACCAGAAGACAGCATTTCCTCCTGCTAGCTCTGAAGAATCTGGGCAGCCAAGATGAGTGGGTTTCCCCACAGCAAAGCACATCCCCTCCACCAAGGGACAGCCAAAGTGCTTTGTTAAATGAGTCCTGTTCCCCATGCCACGCAATAGGGTTTGTCAGACACCCTATGCAGGAGCGATCCTACTGTCATCGGGTTGGTGCCCCTGGAGGTCAGAGATCCCAGAGGAAAGAGCAGGCACCCACCTTTGTTGTTCTCTAGCCTCCTTGAGTGACATCTCCAAGCACATGAGCAAACCAAATGAATAGGGCCTGAAGTAAACCCCCAGGAAACCGCACCACCCCTTCAGAAAATGCACCTGATCATTGAAGGAAAAACAAACAAACAGAAAGCAACAACAGCATCAACAACAAAAAAAGTCCCCACAAAACCCCATCCAAGGGTCAGCAGCTTCAAAGATCAAAACTAGACAAACTCATGAAGATGAGAAAGAATCAATGAAAAAATGCTGAAAACCCAAAAGGCCAGAGCTCCTCTTCTCCTCCAAATGATCACAATGTCTCTCCAGGAAGGATGCAGACCTGGATAGAGGATGAGATGGATGAACTGACAGAAGTAGGCTTCAGAAGATGGGTAATAGCAAACTCTGCTGAGCTAAAGGAGCATGTTCTAATCCAATGTAAAGAAGCTAAGAACCTTGATAAAAGGTTAGAGGAGCTGCTAACTAGAATAACCAGTTTAGAGAGGAACATAAATGACATGATGGAGCTGAAAAACAGCATGTTAACTTTATGAAGCATACACAAATATCAATAGCTGAATTGACCTAGCAGAAAAAAGGATATCAGAATTTGAAGACCATCTTGCTGAAATAAGGCATGCAGACAAGAATAGAGAAAAAAATGAAAAGGAACAAATGAAGCCTTCGAGAAATACAGAACTGTGT
The DNA here is from genome assembly GCF_000001405.40 of Homo sapiens. Lineage (NCBI taxonomy): Eukaryota > Metazoa > Chordata > Mammalia > Primates > Hominidae > Homo > Homo sapiens. Next base: position 16,932,126 of record NC_000020.11, read on the forward strand.
AAAAACACTGAACCTACGATTGATTGGAGTACCTGAAGGAGATGGGGAAAATGGAAACAAGCTGGAAAACACACTTCAGGATATTATCCAAAAGAACTTCCCCAACCTACAAGACAGGCCAACATTCAAATTCAGGAAATACAGAGAACACCACTAAGATACTTCTTAAGAAGATCAACCCCAAGATACATAATCATCAGATTCTCCAAGGTTGAAATGAAGGAAAAAATGTTAAGGGCAGCCAGAGAGAAAGGCCAGGTCATCTACAAAGGGAAGCCCATCAGACTAACAGCAGATCTCTCTGCAGAAACCCTACAAGCCAGAAGAGAGCAGGGGCCAATATTCAACATTCTTAAGGAAAAGAATTTTCAACACGGAATTTCATATCCAGCCAAACTAAGCTTCATAAGTGAAGAAGAAATAAAATCCTTTCCAGACAAGCAAATGCTGAGGAATTTCATTACCACCAAGCCTGCCTTGCAAGAGCTCCTAAAGGAAGCACTAAATATGGAAAGGAAAAGCAAGTACCAGCTACTGCAAAAACACACCAAAATATAAAGACCAATGACACTATGAAGAAACTGCATCAAACAGTGTGCAAAATAACTAGATAGCATAATGATGACAGGATCAAATTTACACATAACAATACTAACCTTAAATGAAAATGGGCTAAATGCCCCAATTAAAAGATACAGACTGGCAAATTAGATAAAGAGTCAAGAACCTTTGGTGTGCTGTATTCAGGAGACCCAGTTCACATGCAAAGACACACATAGACTCAAAATAAAGGGATGGAGAAAAATTTACCAAGCAAATGGAAAGCAAAAGAAATCAGGGGTTGCAATGCTAGTCTCTGACAAGACAGACTTTAAACCAACAAAGATCAAAAGAGACGAAGGGCACTACATAATGGTAAAGGGACCAATTCAACAAGGAGAGCTAACTATCCTAAATATATATGCACCTAATACAGGAGCATCCAGATTCATAAAACAAGTTCTTAGGGACTTACAAAGAGACTTAGATTCCCACACAATAATAGTGGAAGACGTTAGCACCCCACTGTCAATATTAGACAGATCAATGAGACAGAAAATTCACAAGGATATTCAAGACTTGAACTCAGCTCTTGATCAAGTGGACCTAATAGACATCTACAAAACTCTCCACCCAAATCAATAGAATCTACATTCTTCTCAGTGCCACATAGCACTTATTCTAAAATCAACCACACAATTGGAAGTAAAACACTCCTCAGCAAATGCAAAAGAACTGAAATCATAACAAGCAGTTTTTCAGATCACAGTGCAATCAAATTAGAACAGGATTAAGAAACTCACTTAAAACCACACAATTACTTGGAAATTGAACAACCTGCTCCTGAATGATTCCTGGGTAAATAACGAAATCAAGGTAGAAATCAATAAGTGCTTTGAAACCAATGAGAACAAAGAGACAATGTACCAGAATCTCTGGGAAACAGCAGTGTTAAGATGGAATTCTATAGCACAAAATGCCCACATCAGAAAGCTAGAAAGCTCTCAAATTGACATCCAAACATCACCAATTAAAAGAGCTAGAGAAGCAAAAGTAAACAAATCCAAAAGCTAGCAGAACACAAGAAATAACTAAGATCAGAGCGGAATCAAAGGAGATAAAGACAAGAAAAACCTCCAAAAAATAAATGAAACCCGAAGCTGTCTTTGGAAAAAATTAACAAAATAGATAGACCACTAGCTAGACTAAAAATGAACAAAAGAGAGAAGAACGAAATAGACACAATAAAAAAACGATAAAGAGGATAGCACCACTGACCGCAGAGAAATACAAACTACCATCAGAGAATACTATAAATACCTCTATGTAAATAAACTGGAAAATCTAGACAAAATGGAGAAATTCCTGGACACAAAAACCCTCCCAAGACTAAACCAGGAAGAAGTGAAATTCCTGAATAGACCAATAACAAGTTCTGAAGTTGAAGCAGTAATTAATAGCCTACCAACCAAAAAAAAAAAAAGCCCAAGACCAGGTGGATTCACAGCCAAATTCCACCAGAAGAACAAAGAGGAGCTGGTTTCATTCCTTCTGAATCTATTCCAAACAATTGAAAAGGAGGGACTCCTCCCTAACTCATTTTATGAAGCCAGCATCATCCTGACACCAAAACCTGGCAGTGATACAACAACAACAAAAAAAACCTCAGGCCAATATCCCTGATGAACATCAATGCAAAACTTCTCAATAAAATATTGGCAAACCAAATCGAGCAGCACATCAGAAAACTTATCCACCACAATCAAGTCAGCTTCATCCCTGGGATGCAAGGCTGGTTCAACATACACAAATCAATAAATATAATCTATCATATAAACAGAACCAAAGACAAAAACTACATGATTATCTCAATAGATGCAGAAAAGGCCTTTGATAAAATTCAACATCCCTTAATGTTAAAAACTCTCAATAAAGTAGGTATTGATGGAACATATCTCAAAATAATAAGAGGTATATCTATGACAAACCCACAGCCAATATCATATTGAATGGGCAAAAGCTGGAAGCATTCCTTTTGAAAACTGGCACAAGACAGGATGCCTTCTCTCACCACTCCTATTCAACATAGTATTGGAAGTTCTGGCCAGGACCATCAGTCCAGAGAAACAAATAAAGGGTATTCGAATGGGAAGTGAGGAAGTTAAATTGTTTCTATTTGCAGATGACATGATTGCATATTTAGAAAACTCCATCATCTCAATCCCAAATCTCCTTAAGCTGATAAGCAACTTCAGCAAAGTCTCAGGATACAAAATCAATGTGCAAATCTCACAAGCATTCCTATACACCAATAACAGACAAACAGAGAGCCAAATCATGAGTGAACTCCCATTCACAATTGCTACAAAGAGGATGAAATACCTAGGAATACAATTTACAAGGGATGTGAAGGACCTCTTCAAGGAGAACTACAAACCACTGCTTAAGGAAATAAGAGGGGACACAAACAAATGGAAAAAACATTCCATGCTCATGGATAGGAAGAATCAATATCGTGAAAATGGCCATACTGCCTAAAGTAATTTATAGATTCAATGCTATCTCCATCAAGCTACCATTGACTTTCTTCACATAATTAGAAAAAAACACTTTAAATTTCATATGGAACAAAAAAAGAGCCCGTACAGCCAAGACAATCCTAAGCAAAAAGAACAAAACTGGAGGCATCATACTACCTGACTTCAAGTTGTACTACAAGCCTACAGTAACCAAAACAGCATGGTACTGGTACCAAAACACATATATTGACCAGTGGAACAGAACAGAGGCCTCAGAAATAATGCCACACATCTAAAACCATCTGATCTTTGACAAACCTGACAAAAACAAGCAATGGGGAAAGGATTCCCTATTTAATAAATGGTGTTGGGAAAACTGGCTAGCCATCTGCAGAAAACTGAAACTGGACCCCCTCCTTACAGCTTATACAAAAATTAACTCAAGATGGATTAAAGACTTAAATGTAAGACCTAAAACCATAAAACTAAAGAGCTTCTGCACAGCAAAATAAACTATCATCAGAGTAAACAGGCAACGTACAGAATGGGAGAAAATTTTTGCAATCTGTCTATCTGACAAAGATCTAACATCCAGAATCTACAAGGAACTTAAACAAATGTACAAGAAAAAAAAAACAACCCCATCAAAAACTGGGCAAAGGATATGAACAGACACTTCTTAAAAGAAGACATTTATGCAGCCAAGAAACATATGAAAAAAAGCTCAACATCACTGATCGTTAGAGAAATGCAAATCAAAACTACAATGAGATACCATCTCATGCCAGTCAGAAGGGTGATTATTAACAAGTCAAGAAACAATAGATGCTGGTGAGGCTGTGGAGAAATAGGCATGCTTTTACACTGTTGGTGGGAATATATATTAGTTTAACAATTGTGGAAGACGGTGTGGCAATTCCTCAAGGATCTAGAACCAGAAATACCATTTGACCCAGCAATCCCATTACTGGGTATATACCCAAAGGAATATAAATCATTCTGCTATAAAGACACATGCATACACATGTTTATTGCAGCACTGGAACCAATCCAAATGTCCATCAATGATAGACTGGATAAAGAAAATGTGGTACACCATGGAATACTATGCAGCCTCAAAAATTAATGAGATCATGTCCTTTGCAAGGTCACGGATAAAGCCAGAAGCCATCATCCTCAACAAACTAACACAAGAACAGAAAACCAAACACCACATGTCCTCACTCATAAGTGGGAGTTGAAATACGAGAGCACATGGACACAGGGAGGGGAACAATACGTACTAGGCCCTGTTGGGTTGTGGGGGGCAAGGGAAGGGAACCTAGAGAATGGTTCAATAGGTGCAGCAAACTAACATGGCACACGTATACCTATGTAACAAACATGCACGTTCTGCTCATGTATCCTGGAACTTAAAGTAAAAGTAAAAATAAAAATAAATAAATAAAGCTCTTAGTTTATCCTGTAATAGAATATTCTCTCACCTTCTTTTTATTGTCTTGATTAAAAAGGACAATTATCATAATTTAAATATGTGTATATAAGAATATTCTCCTCTCAAGGCATATCATCAAATAAAACAATTTTATCAACTTTTTCTATAAACACATTTAAATATACAGAAAGTCAAAAGAGAAGTTCAATGAGCACATATAACCCCACAACCTGGACTCAGCAATTATTAACCTATTTCCATATTTGTTTTATTTCTTTTCTTTTCTTTTTGTTTTTTTAGAAGGAGTCTTGCCCTGTTGCCCAGGCTGGAGTGCAGTGGCACAATCTCCGCTCACTGCAAGCTCCACCTCCCAGGCTTACACCATTCTCCTGCCTCAGCCTCCCAAGTAGCTGGGACTACAGGTGCCTGCCACCATGCCCAACTAATTTTTTGTATTTTTAGTAGAGACGCGGTTTCATCATGCTAGCCAGGATGATCTCCATCTCCTGACCTCATGATCTGCCCACCTCGGCCTCCCAAAGTGCTGAGATTACAAGTGTGAGTCACCGTGCCCGGCACCTATTTCTTTTTATATATATATATTTTTAGTAGCTGACATCATGAAACATTTTCTCTAAGTATTTTGTCATTTGTTTTCTAAAATAAGAATATTCTCCTACAAAATCACAATATTATTATTCTACCTAAGAAAAGCCACAATCATTTAATAATATTATCTAAACTAGGTAATATTAATATTATCTTGATTAGATAACTAGACTATAGTCATATTTCTCCATTTTTACGTGTCTAAGTCTGTTTTATGTTGCTGTAACATAATATCACAGACTGGATCATTTATAAAGAGTAGAAGTTTATTTAGCCCCCATTTCTGGAGACTGGGAAGTCCAAGAGCATGGCACCAGCACCCGGTGAGGGCTGTCTTCCTATATCATAACATGGTGAAGGGTATCACATGGAGAGAGGGCGAGAGTGTGCCAGCTCAGATCCCTTGTCTTCTTCTTATTAAGCCACCAGTCTCATCATGGGGGTCCCACCCTGATGACCTTATCTAACCCTAATTAACTCTCAAAGGCCCCACCTCCAAATACCATTAATATGTGAATCTGGGGATTAAATTTCCAACACATGAAATTTGGGAGACACATTCAAACCACAATATTACCTAAAATATCTTTTCTAGAAATATTTTTTCAAACCAGAATGTTTAATCTAGCGTGATCTTCCTCAGATATGTTTTTTTCCCCATAGCATTTACTTCTTTAAGAGATCAAACCAGCTATCTTGTGGCATGTCTCTTATTCTAGATTTCTCTCATTGTTTCTTCAAGGGATTTAATTTGTTCCTATTTCTCTTGTATGTCTTACAGGCTAGAAAGAAAATCCAAAGGCTTGATTAAATTACAAAGATATTAAACATTGTTGGTAATAATTCTTCATAAATGATGCTGCCTAATTCATTTTACATTACATCAGGAGGCATATAAAATCAGATGGTCCCACTATTTGTGATAAATGCTGTTGTTGGTTAAGGTGGTGGCTTATGGATTTCTCTACCAGAAAGATACATTTCCCATTGCCACTGCCAATCTATGGAGTGATATTCTGGCATAAGTCCTAATATAGTTTTAACTTATATTTTTATAACTAGAGGTTGATAAACAATATTGAAGTATATAACTTCTGATTTTTACAAGTTGCTATTGTCCACATAGCATTCATCTCTTTGTTTCTGTATAATAAATGTGTTCAACTACATTACAGTCAGCAAACTAAAGCCCATGGACCAAATCTGGCCCACTTCCTGTTTTCATAAATAAAGTTTTATTGGGACACAGCCACTCTCATTTATTTACATATTATCTGTGACCTTTTTTTTTTTTGTATCGTGTCAGCAGAGATGAGTATTGTAACAGAAATCCTATGGCCCACAAAGCCAGAAATATTTACTCTTTATAAAAAAAAATTGCCCCCTTCCCACCCCAGAATTAGACGGTCTCAGATCTCTCTGAGTGCTAGCATTGTATTTTGCATATTCCTGCCAGATTATCTAGCACCAAATCTGGCTGGTGAGTACCTAGATTCTTACAATAGCTTTATTGAGGAATAACTGGCATACAATAAGTTGCACATATTTAAAGTGAATAACTTGAATAGTCTGACATACTAATATATCTGTGAAAACATCACTATGATCAAGATATTGAATAAATCTGTCACCCACAAGTTTCCTTACATCCCTTTGTCATCTCTTTCCCACTCCACAGTAACCATTGGTCAGCTATAGTTACCATAGATTAGTTTGCATCTTCCAGAATGATATATAAAAGGAGTATATACAGTATGTACTCTTCTTTTGTTTGGCTTTTGTCACTCAGCATAATTATTTTGAGATTTATCCACGTTCCTGCATGTGAAGGAAACCAAAATATTTCACAACATCCTAAGCCCCACCTGCAACCAACTGAAGAGACCCTTTCTTAGCCAAGAGGAGCCCAGAAAAACCTTAAAAATGGAATTCCCAGTCACGATGGGAAGGGAGGTTGAACACACTTCATTATACCCCCTCTCTTTTGGAATTTACACACAACTGACCAGCATTAACGTTTCAGTAGAGATCACAAGACTGACAGAATGGACTCTTTGTGGCAGTAAGATACCAAAGTATAAAAGACCTAAGGCAATGCAAGGCCAGGATTAAGTCACACCCTACAAACCAAAAAATCTTGTTAAACTTTTTTAAATTAACCTGATACAACGTAGCTTAATATCCAACCTGACTATGGTATAGCATCACATGACAGACAGTAGGACCCCTTATCTTAACATAAGCATTCCTTTGTATTGACTTCAAGTCTTTAGACAAAGCACAACTCTTTCAACCAATTGCTAACTAAAGATTTCCTAAAATCCACCCATGACTGTATAGCAGGTAGGCAGACATAAGCAGGGAAGGAGAGCACCCCTGTCCCCAACCAGGAATGTCAGGCGATCATCAGGTGATGGTCAGGCAGTTGTTTACTGTCTCTAAAGTAATAACTGGTTGCAGCCAGTGCCAGGGAAAGGCAGTCTCCCTGTAGATAAAAAAACCCCTGAATCTGGTGATCAGCAGCTTCCTGATAAGAACTCAGGAGTTGGGTGAGTGGGCTCACACATGCACATTAAGAGGCAAAATGGCAGAGTGTAACTGGTATATGACCTCCTAAGGAAATACAGCTGGTAAGGGAAGAACATCTTTGGTAAGCATTCATACAACTCCGGGAAACACACTGTGCTTGCTCCCCTCCCAAGTGCTAGCAAGCACTGCACATGCAGACAACCCACCCCAAGGGAAGAATCAGGGGAGAAGGGACACAAGACCCTGGAAGTGTGCCAACATATAAAACCCCAAGTCAAAAGGTCAAACCCCGCGCTTGCCCTCCAAGGTGCCCATGTGGCCCTCATCTAATTGTGCTTTACTTTCTTTTCATTCCTGCTGTAAAGCTTTTTAATAAATTTTCATTCCTACCCTAAAACTTGCCTTGGTCTCTTTTTCTGCCTTCTGTCCACCAGTCGAATTCTTTCTTCTGAAGAGGCAAGAGTTGAGGTTGCTGAAGACCTGTATGAATTTGCCACCAATAACTAGACTACCTGCCACCACTAACATGACTTGTAAGCTTTGAGATGTCCCATATCTGTGGGCTAAACCAATGAATGCTATCCATGTATTGATGTATAATTTTACCTACAATTCCTCTCTTCCTAAAATGTGAAAAACCAAACTATAACCTGACTGCCTTAGGACCAGTTAAGGTTTCTTTGATTTGTGTTTTCTGTGGGCTGTGGTCACTCATATTGGCTCAAAATAAACCTCTTTAAGATATTTTACAGAGCCTGTTTTTTCATTAACACCCCAGAATATGCTTCTCTGATGTATTTCAAGATGGCTATTCAGGAGGTCTGGAAATATAAAAATGGCTGAAAAGCCATCTTTTGTGGGGGAGATTTGCATCTGTAGAGAAAATCTGCACTGGCACAGCCAAGCTTTCTCTGAGGTCCTCCCTTGTCCAATCTAGGAAAGATGAACTGAGACATTGACACCTTTAAAGTCTGAAAGAAACCTATACCATCTATTCTCTCTGAGGGCTGCCACCTGAGAGGTTTCATCTACATAACAAGACCACCTTTGCTAGCCACGTCTCCTCTTCTCCCACTGCCATAACCCACTTGCCACCATCCAAGCCCTATTCTTTCTGTAACCTCAAGATGGTATAAAAGCTCAACCATCTTGCCTTTCTTTAAGATCTTATATATTTTGTTCCACAAGATAATGCCTGCCTCTCAGGCTCATTCAAATTCAAAAGAGAATCATTTACAAGTTAATTCCTGTCTCCCTGGTTCATTCTTTCTCCCTAATACTCACTTACTGTCCTGCAAGAGAATTGTCTACATTCCTCATATCCTCCCTCCCTTATGAAAAAGGTATATAAGCTTCTTCAACTCATTTAGGGGGTTGGGGTAAACACTCCATGGTTCTCCTCATGCATGTTAATAAATCTGTATGCAATTTCTCCTATTAATCTGCCTTCTATATGTTGATTTTCCAGCAAACCTCCAGAGGGCAAAGGGGAAGCTTTCCCTTGGCCCCTATACCTGTCTCCTTTTTTATTGCTGAGTGTTATTCCATTGTAGAAATATACTACAATTTATTTGTTCGGTCACCTGTTAATGGACATTTGGGTTGTTTCCGGTTTTACGTTACTACAAATCAAGCTGCTATAAACATATTGTACAAGACATTATATGGACACATGCTATTATTTTTCTTGAGTGAATATCTAGAAGTGAACTGTCTGGATCATATGGTAGTGTGTGTTTAACTTTTAAGAAACAGGGCAGGTCTTTAAAAATGTTTATAGTGACTTCACATTCAGAAGCCTCTGTCATTTAGGGTTGTGTTTCATTAACTTTTTATTGTTTTTAAATCCCAAGATAGAAAATTATACCAACAGTCAAGAGAAATTCATGAACTCTGATCATTTATATTAGTAAACATAATGTACATATAAATAAACTGGCACAAAGTACATATTGCAGTCATTTTCAAATGATACTTTGAAATTAGTTAATTCTAGTTTAAGATACTTTGTAAGTAATTATATGTTTCAAGGATTCTCTTCCTTCTCAGAAGCTACTTCAGTGATTAAAAAGCTTAAAAGGTTGATGTCTATGTTTTATATTTCCAAAAATCTCAGAATACAACCACAGGTTCTGAAACTTCATGGTATTGAGGATCCTTTTCTTTGAGTTGGGAGCCACTTAAGGGTCTTCTCATTATTTTGGAGGATTCAACCAGATCTTTTTAATTGTCTGGTGGCAAATAACAGGTGGCAACTCTGGCTAGCTTTTTAAAGGAAAATGTATTGTCAGGGTGTGGTCCAGCTCCCAGGATGAAGAAAGTTGAAGAACTGGGTTTGAAAGAGGTGAGACCCAGGGAATCAGAGTGCCTTCTCCAGGAGCATCTCCACAGCCTCCCAGGGCTACAACACTCAAGGAATTCAGCTGCAGCAGTTTCTTTCCTCCTTGCATCTCTCAACTCAAGTTTCAAAGTCTGAGAATGAAGCAACCTCTGCACCAACATCAGAACATGAGCTATGCACGTGGATGCACCAGGATAGCAAAAGGAAGGGTCTAGCAAAAGAAGTCTTCAAACTTGCCATTAACTATTAGCATGCCTGTGCAAGCAATTGGGTGTGCCATCCCACCAAGACTGCACAGAGTGGAGGAGAGTTCATCACCCCCAGGAAACTGAAACTGTCAGAAAAGGCAAATGAATGCTGCTCTGCCTAAAGGCTGACAACCCCTTATATAGGCAAGTGGTGTTAGAAGAGATGCATTCTATTCTCTTCAAGTTCAATCAGATCTTAAAACCCACTTTAGCTTTCTATCTAATGGTTATCAAGAAAAATGTGTTCTTTCTGCTTGACCTTCACTTCTTCAAACAGAAAACAAAACCACAGTGTCTGAGGGAGCTAAATAGAGCTCAGATACACATGAGAAATCCTGGCTTATCATTTTAATGGAAGACTGACCCTGTGCAGGCCAGCATTGACAGTAGCACCAGACTATTGGCTGTTGTACAGAGTCCTGACTCAAGCAGCAGGTACCTTATTTGCAATTAAAACCCTTGACTGAGAAGAATAACCTTCCACTTTCAGCAAACCGCAGGTAGCTTCTATTCTGCAGCATGTGGGACTGCACTAAGACTTGTGAGAATTGCACAATGTTGATGGCATGTGGAATGTTGTGCAATAGCACAAGTTCTCATATGCTAGGAGAGAGTTTAGGTTTGAGACCCCTGAGAACTGGGAATGGATGAGATGACTGTTAAATATATAATCCTATGATGTTTAAAGACAAAAAGATAAGGTAAGAACATGTTTCTGTCCTACGAGATAACTTTGTTGCTCCTAGTTACAGAAACTCTTAACTGCACTTTGTTCAGTCTGAGGAAAGACTTGAATAAATAAAAATAGCTAGCAGTAGAAGGAATGTCCTTGTGCACAGTTGTATAAAGTTTTAACATTAGCTTGCACCTTTTCAGACAACATTTTCTAAGTATTTGAAAAACTAAGTTTAGACTTACAGAAAAGTTGCAAATATACAAAGAGAGCTCCCGAATATCCTTTACCCAGATTTCCTTAAGGCTAACATCTTATGTAATTTGGTACAACTATCAAAGTCAAGAAATTAACATCAATGCAGTACTATTAACTAATCTACAGATGTTATTTGAATTCTGCCTGTTTTCCCACTAATGTCCTTATTGTGGTCCAGGATCTAATCCAGGATTCCACATTGCAATTAGTTATTGCGTCTGCTTGGTCTCTTCTAATCTATGACAGTTTTTCTTTTTCTCTCATGGCCTGGGAACTTTTGAAGTATACAAATCAGTTGTTTTGTGGAACACTCTTTAATTTGGTTTTGTCTGATATTTCTCTCAGAATCAGAGTGAGGCTATGCATTTGTTATGAATTGAATGTTTGAGTCTCCCCCAAATTCACATGTTGAAATCCTGACTTGTAGTATGACGGTGTTAGAAGGCCAGGCCTTTTGGGAAGTAATTAGGTGATGAGGGTGGAGCCTCAAGAATGGAACTAGTGCTCTAATAAGAAGAGATTGCCAGGCGCTGTGGCTCATGCCTGTAATCCCAGCACTTTGGGAGGCCGAGGTGAGTGGATCACCTGAGGTCAGGAGTTTGAGACCAGCCTGGCCAACATGGTGAAACCCAGTCTGTACTAAAAATACAAAAATTAGCCAGGCATGGTGGTGCACGCTTGTGATCCCAGCTACTCGTGAGGCTGAGGCAGGAGAATCACTTGAACCCGGGAGGCGGAGGTTGCAGTGAGCTGAGATCGCACCACTGCACTCCAGTCTGGGCAACAGAGTAAAACCCTGTCTCAAAAAAAAAAAAAAGAAGAAGAAGAGACACGGGAGCTTGCTTCCTCCATTTGTCTTCTCTCTACCATGAAGGGACACAGCAGGAAGACAGCCATGTGCAAACCAGGAAGTAGGTCCTCACCAGACACCAGATCTGCTGGCACCTTGGTCTTGGACTTTGCAGCCTCCGGAACTGCGAGAAATGAATACTTGTTATTTAAGCCACTCCATCTCCTGCAATTTGTTATAGTAGCCTGATCTAAGCTAGCATCTGTGGCAGGGATACCACGGAAGGGCCACTGTGCCCTTTCAGTGCATCACGTTGAGGGCACCTGGTAACAACCTAACTTCTGGTATGACTCATTTTGATCCCTTGATTAACGTGGTGTTGGTGAGGTTCCTGCACTGTCGTTCCTGTTTCCCTGTGCTAAAATGTTTTAAAAAGATACTTTGTGACTATGCAAATACCCTGCTTCTCATCATACTTTTACCCATTAATTTTATCACCCATCAAAGATTCTTGCTTCTCAATAATTGTCACGGTGGCGTTTACTTGAAAGTAGTTTTCTATTTTTATCACTTCTACGTTTTCTATGTTCATCACTGGAATTCAACTGTGAGGCAGAATTTAGCAAGACTTTTCTAAATGTCTATGCTGTGAGGGCACCGGGTCAGGGGACCAGCCTTCCTTCTGTTCTTCTAGGGGGTCAGTGCTGGTCAGACAAGCTCTGTCTGGCTGTTTGATCCCCCCCACAGCAGCTGCTGAGGGAGGAGGAGAGGATCCACTCCCCTTGGCTCTTTGCTGCCCCTGTGTTTTTTCTCCTGCTGTTCCTTACACCGGAATGCCTTCCCCCTCACCATCTAATTGTTCTTCAGGCCTCAGCTCCTATAAATCCTTAGCAGGGAGCTTTCCTGTGCTTCTTCCTCCACAACCTTAGCACTTCTGTGTGCTCTCTCTGTCACAGCAAAGAATATGCTATCACAAAACAGCCACATTTTCTTTTACGAGTCTCACCACACTGTGAGTAAGATCACATTATCTCTAGATTCCTGAGCTATCTGGCAATGTCTGACTTACAGGACCTCCCTGGGAAGGGTTAGATGAAGAATGAATGAATGTAAAATGGAGTATTTGTCACAACCCCCTTTTTCACATTGAACATTGCAACATATTTATTAAGGTATAATTCATACAGAAAAAAATTCACTTTTGAGGTGTGTAGTTCTATAAATGTTGATGAATGTATAGTGTCAGGTAGTCATTACCACATTAAGATACAGAAATTTTGCACCACCCTGATAAAGTTTTCTTGTCCTCTCTAAGGTCATTTACCCTTACCTCCACCTTCACCCCTGGCAACCCCTGATCTATTCTCTACTAATTTAGTTTTGCCTTTTTCTGAATGTCATATAACTGGAATTGTAAAATATGGAGCCCTTAGAATTTGACTTGTTTTAACTTACCATAATTCTTGTGAAATCCATCCATATTGCTGTTTCTATCAGTACTTTAGTCCTTTTTATTGTTGAGTAATATTCCATTTTATGGATTTATTATGGTTTCTCCATTCACCAGACACTGGACATTAGGTTGTTTCCAGTTCTGAGGATGACAGCTAAAGCTGCCACAAGCATTCATGAACCTTTTTTTTTTTTTTTGCATGTAGACTTATGTCTTCATTTCTCATGTGAACATACCTAGGAATAGAAAGGCTGGGTCATATGGTAAGTAAATGATAGACATCAGAAAATGCTGCCAAACCACTTTCCCAAGTGGCTGCAGCTCTTTGCATTCTGACCAGCACTATGTGGGAGTTTCTCCTCACTCTCACCAGAACACTGAAAGCTAGGGTGAGTGTCCCCCCCTGTTATTTTAGACAAATTATGTTAGCTCTCTTTTCATGGGCTTATTGCCTTTTTATTTTTTTTTTCATTCCTGAGACTACTGGGGAAGTATATCTTCTCTGCTGAAGCATGTATTCAGATCTTTTGCCCATTTATTTTTCCGTCATTTTTTATTATTGAATTTTGAGACCTCTTTATATATTCCGTATAGAGCAGAACTTTTAAAATTGGATGAAGTCCAATTTATTATTTTTTTCCTTTTGTGGTTTGTTCTAACATTTATTTGTTTTGGTTGATTAGTTGTTGGTTAAACCTCCTTGTCTGAATTCTTTTCTTCACCTTGGTAAGATTATTTTGGAAAACAATACAAGTCATGGTTTCTAGGCAAGTGACGTCATTTTCTTATAGGTTAAATGGGAAGAAAAGTTTCTTCTTTTTGGGAAATTTTTGTGTTGTCTCTGGTAAAAGTCAAGATATTTGCCTGCAGTGAGAATGAGAAAATGATTGGGCTTTTAGAGTTTTATGTTAGTAGCAGCAGCAGGTGGAAAAGGCAAGAAGGAGTGAGGATATACAGCAAAAGACCTGACAGAATAAAGTGATGTCAGGGGCTCCTCGCCTGGAGGGAGAGAAGGAGAAGCAGCAGGAGAGGGAATTCGGAGAGGGACCACCTTTCCATTGACACAGACATGCCCTCAAGCAGGAAATAAAAGTTTGAGAAGAAGGTAAAAAATTATTATTCAAATTTGTATTATTCAATATAAAATTATTATTATTCAGGTTTTTGTCTAAAAACAGGAAAGAAATAGAAAAAAAACCCCAGATGTTTCTATGTATTGATGGTGTCATTACCACTTCCAGAGGAAAGGTACCTTTTTCTGGAAGTATTTTCTGGCCTCGGTTCCCTTTAGAAGGTCAGTTTAAAAAAAAAAAAGGAAAGGGAATGCCATACAACAGAGTCAAGTGTCTCTTACAAGGAGTGCCTGCTATGTGCCAGCATTTGTGCCAAGAACTATACATGCTGCCCCCCAGCCCACCTTATTTGGTGTTTACACCACCTTGCTGAGGACTCAGCATGCAAGGAGGCTCTGGTCCAATAACTGCAGAATATAATAGAATATAAGTGACCCAACAATACAGTATAACTGAAAGTCTGTGTTGACTCTCTTGGGAAAGTCAAAGTTTGTTCTTCTTTACCGTACTTCACTGCATCAGCCTTCTCTTTCTGAAGACAAATGAATTCAGAGAGAAACACTGGGCTCTCAAGGTAGTAACTGAATAATGCTCTGCTAAGATAGAGTGACTTCGCAACATCCTGTCCCATCACATCCTGCGCTATAATATAGGTACATCTTAGGACAAAAATGCCCTTCTTTGACATTGTTTGCATGTATCATTGCAGATTCCCTTGACTCTACTTCCCTTCCAGACTGGGGAGGTTTTAGGTACACAAGGGTGGCCCTCCCCAGCCCAGCCCATCATAAGAAGCTTCTGATAGAGTCATTTTTCACCACCTACCTCACAAGTAAATTGTGCATCACCTTTCAAGTAGGATGGGATAAGATCTTATCAGACAGGCCTTCACTAACTGGAACCAGAAAAAAAAATCTGTCCATCTGGCCTGGGCAATATGCCCTCCTGGAAAATTACTGGATAGCTCCAAACTCCATAAAAATACATTCCTTAAAATGCCAGCAGAAGGCACAGACTTATGGAGAAATGAAGAAATTATGCAGCCTGCACAAAGCTCCATTCATCACAGGCCTGGGGAACAAGAATAAATGCCCACCCAGACTTTGTGCCAGGAACATTAATAATTAGTTCATAGGAGCTGTCACTCAGGAATGCCCCGGCCCTGATTCAGATTCTAGGCATGGGAGAATGTAATATAAACACTCTGAGACTAGAGCAATGGGACACTTCGTCCTGTGTGGGTTGAGAATCAGAAGCAACCCTCCTGCTACCAGGAGGCAGTGAGAAGTGATGGCTTTGGGGATGTCTCTATGGGCTAAGGAAGGCTTGCCAAGTTAATTCCAGCTGACTTTCCTTTTCTCTTACTGAACTTTTTACAGAAATTTGTTGTTGTTGTTGTTGTCTTCCTGGCAGAGGGGAAAGCTATCAGACTAAGGTCCACCGTGTGCCTCCTTATCTCTTCCACTGCCACCGTCTGCTCTCAATTGCTGTGACGTCCCTTAACCGGCCTCCCCACTTTCTCCTTCTCACGATCCTTCATACCTGTGTTATGGGCTGAATTTCATATACTGAAGTCCTAACTTCCAGTACATCAGAATGTGACTGTACTTAGAGATAGGGTCTTTAAAGAGGTACCTAAGTTAAAATGAGGTCATTACAGTGGGCTTTAATACAATATGATGGGTGTCCTTATAAGGAGAGGAAATTAGGACACAGACACACAGAGAGAAGGCCATGTGAAGATGCAGGTAGAAGGCGGCTGTCTACAAGCCAAGGAGAGAGGCCTGAAAGAAACCAGCCCTCCCACCACCTTGATCTCAGACTTCCAGCCTCCAGAACTGCAAGAAATAAAATTCTGTTGTTTAAGCTCCCCAGTCTGTGATAGTTTGTTATAGAGCCCTGGCAAACTAGTACACACTGCCACCTCACAAATCACTCCATGCCCTTCCTCAGGCACTGACAGTGACCTTCTGCTGCCTAATGATTAAAATGCGAAGGTCTGGCCCTGGCAATGAAGTCACTTTTATAACGATCCTCCTTCATCTTGCCTTACAGTGCCCTACTTACTTCTACGTTCAGCTCCCTTGAGCATCAGTTTTTAACCCACACTTTCTCATTCCTTGGCCTGTGCCTGTGCTGTTCCCATGCTGACATCACTCTTCCCTCAATCTCAAGCATGGGCCCCCTTCTCCATGGAGATTTTCTTACTCTCCCAGCTGAGACAGCCCTCTTTGATATTTCTTCTATGATGTGTATAATTTCCACTCACATTCTAAACATTTATGCACATGTTCTGTGTATCTAGGAGCCATGCCGGATTCAACTTTGCATTTCTTCTAGTCCCAACATATTTCGTTGCACACTAGAAGTTCTCTACCAATATTTGTCGAATAACTAGTAGAAATAACATGTGAGTGTTAATGTCTGTATGAACCCCTGCTAAGAAATATTTGTGCTTAAATGTATTTTAAAAGGTAGAATGGGGTAATGAAAATAACCAGCTAGTGATGAAACAAGTCTGGCTACAAATGTTGGCCAGACCACCACTTAGTGTCTTTCTGCATGTCCCTTGACTTTACTGTCTCTTTGCTACCTCTAAAGGGGATATTTCTACCTCTTCTATAGGATTGTTATACGGATTAGAGACAGTAAATGTGCAAAGTTGTTACACATACTAGACCCTCAGAAATGTTAAT
Source organism: Homo sapiens (assembly GCF_000001405.40). Lineage (NCBI taxonomy): Eukaryota > Metazoa > Chordata > Mammalia > Primates > Hominidae > Homo > Homo sapiens. The sequence goes on from NC_000020.11 coordinate 16,949,290, forward strand.
TTCCCTCCTTTATACTCATCTGAAAATACTTTACCTAAAGAAATAAGGTTCTAACAGGAGAATTTTAAACATTAGAGGCAACTGACTGGGCCAGCCATCTTTGTAGGAAGCTCTCACTGTCTGAGGAGCCCACACACAGTCCTGTACCATGCTAGGTAAACAACCTGCTCCTCTACTCCCCACTTAAGTCATGAATACTGAGAACAAGGTGATCAGAAGAGATTCTCATTCATTCTAGTCATTAGATCTGACATGAGAACTCCACATACTGTTTAAGGGCTTCATTGTGTGTGTCCAAAGGGCCAGGGGCTGTTATACCTCAATCTGGCTTGATGGGATCCTGGCTGGCATATTGTGAGAATACAACACCTGTGAAGTTTGGTTCATTTCAGCAGATATTTAACAAGTGCCTTCCACTTGTGGATCTACAGAGTGTACTTCCTCACCTTCCGTCATTTTCACCCCCATGTGGATGTAAACAGACACACAGGCAGAGCACTGTGAACTAGAGCAGGTGATTGCAAGTTCAGTGGGTCCTCATTATTAGTGTATTCTGTATTTGCAAATTCACCTATTTGCCAAAATTTATTTGTAACCCCCAAATCAATACATACTGCACTTTCACCATCATTTAAAGACATGTACAGAGCAGCAAAAATTTTAGCCACCTGACATTGCTGTTCCCAGCAGAGATGGTGCTCTGTCTCCTCATTTTAGCTCTCATACTGTAAACAAGTGTCCATCTCAAGGTCCATGTAGTGCCACATTTTCCACAGTTTTGTACTTTTTGTTGGTGATTCTGCTGTTTAATACAGATCCCAAGCATTGGCTATGCTGTCTAATATTCACAGGTGCAAAAAGGCTGTGACATGACTTACAGGGAAATACATGTGATTGATAAACTTTGATCAGGCATGAGTTCTAGTGCCACTGGCTGTGAATTCAATGTTAATGAATCCACAATGTATATTAAATAAGGGGTTTTTAAGCAGAAACACAAATAAAACAAGGATATGTCAATTGGTTGATAAAAATATGACCAGAGGCTCTTAGGAACTTAATCTTATATTTCCCCTTAGGAACAATGGTTCAGTATTTACTAATTCACCTTTCACAGTGACTTTATAGAACATAAATACAGCAAATAATGATAACTGACTGCATTTGGTATAAAATTCAGTTTGGAAGTTGAAAGTGGTAGATGAGGTTGGAGAGACACAAGCAAGGAAGTTTCTTAAATGGCAGGACTGGGCTTTGTCTTGCTGCTGGAGAGTCAATGGCAGGGAAACATGATTAAATCTTTATTTTTACATTCTGGTGCCCATGAAAGGAATGAGTTTGAAGAAGGGTTTGACAAGGGGTGGTGGTGGATAAAACAGCTTTCCAGGATTCTTTTCCCTGCATCAGCTGGTGGCACAGGACTTCTAAGTATAACTTCCACTTCTAAAAATATAACATTGTGCATGCAATGGACTGGAAAAATGAGAAAGCTTGCTCCAAAGAGCCACATAAGCCATGGTTAGCCACACTGAGTGTGTGGCTGAGCAAACACTTAGTAAAGATCTGATGGTGTGGTACATGCAGAAACACTGCCAACATGGGGATGGAGACATAATGAAGGAAGGCTGCAGGACTTTCGGGCTTTGACAGGACAGGGTCATGGAGTTATTTGCCTGTGAACATGCCCTACTCTTCAAGAGAAGTGGAAAATAACCCTGAAGGCAATTCAGAGCTAATCAGGGCCACCACCTCAGTTTCAACAGGCAGAGGCCCTCCACCTGGAGCCTTGGGGACAGAGCTGAAGGGGCAGGACCCCTATCTAGAGCTATGGGGTGGCATTGACATGCCAGTGAGCCTGGAAGGTGAGACATGGAGCCAAAGAGAATTATTCTTGAGCCTTAAGATCTCATGGAATTTGACGTGCTAGGTTTTGGATTTGCTTGGGAACTTCTGCTACTTTCCTTTTTGAATGTGAAGGTTTATCCTATGCCTGTCCCATGATTATATTTCAAAAGCACATAACTTGTCAGTTTTCACAGGTTCACAGCTGGAGAGGAATTTGGCCTCAGGATGAACTGTATCTTGAGTCTCACCCCATATGATTTAGATGATATTTAGATAAGACTTTAAATTTTAGATTTTAGAGTTAATGCTGGTATGGGGTTGTCAAAATGGAAGGCCAGGCACGGTGGCTCAGGCCTGTAATCCTGGCACTTAGGGGAACCAAGGCATGTGGATCACGAGGTCAAGAGATCGAGACCATCCTGGCCAACATGGTGAAACCACATCTATACTAAAAACAGAAAAATTAGCTGGGCTTGGTGGTGCAAGCCAGTAGTCCCAGCTACTTGGGAGACTGAGGTAGAAGAATCACTTGAACCCGGGAGGTGGAGGTTGCAGTAAGCCGAGATCATGCCACTGCACTCCAGCCTGGCAACAGAGTGAGACTCTGTCAAATAAATAATTAAAAAAAAAAAAGAAATTTATTTTACATGTGAGAAACATATAAATTTGGGAGAGGCAGGGCTAGAATGCTATGAGTTGACTTGTGTCCCCCCAAAATTTGTATGTTGAAACACTAATCCCCAGTGTGATGGTATTTGGTGACAGGGCCTTGGGGAGATAATTAAGTTTAGAAGAGGTCATGAGTGTGTGGGACATAATCTCTTTGTGACTGTGTTAGGATTACTGTCCTTCTAAGAAGAGACACCAGAGAGCTGGCTCTCTCTCCCTCAACCCTTACCTCCCACCACGTGAGGACACAGAAAAAGGCAGCCAGCTATAAACCTGAAAGACAGGCCTCACCAGAAACCAACTATGCTGTCACCTTGATCTTGTTCTTCTAGTATCTAGAACTGTGGAACAATACATTTCTATTATTTAAGTCACTCCATCTATGGTATTTTGTTATGGCAAATGAATAGTCTAAGGCAGCCTGCAAGCTGTAAAAGTTCTAGAGGTGATTTCGGGGACATAGTAGAGAGATGTTTTTATTTTATTATTTTTGTATGTGGGGACAAAAATCAATTTGGGGATTGTGTGTATGGTTATCTTTCTACTGGAAAATTTATTATGAGGAGAAAAAATCAGATATTTCAAAATTCAAATTCCTTCCTTTATCTGATTAATGAAACAATGCGTACATGCATTTCATGCATATATAACATACATATATGTATACATACATTCTTACACTTCTCTTTACTTTGGAACACATTAGAAAGAGCTATAAATTGGGAGGCAGAAGATTTTGTTTCAAGTCTCGATTTTGCCACCTACTAGATGGGATCTCTGCCCCTCAGTTTCTTCAATGGTTAAATAAGGACAATACTATTGTGTTAGCTTTACCCAGATCATAAGAATCATTGTTGGAAGACAAATAGACCATATACATTTAAAAAAAGTTTAAAGGCTATGAAGATGCAAAGTATGAACATGGCAGAAATAGAAATTGCTTCTGAATTGCTGGGAACCCAAGCCTGAAATAATTCTTGGAAGGAAGAAAGTCACTTAGGACTTTATAAGTGTCACATTGCTCTTCATGGTTTAAGAACACCAAAATAGCTAAGAAATGTTACATAAGGAAAATCACTTCTACCACTTGATAATAGTAGTTTTTATGGAACTCTGCTTTTGCTCTCATCTGCATGAACAAATATATCCACATGCAAGCTAGGTCCTGCTTCAACTAAAATTCTAAAACAACATAAAACAACAATAGAAAATCCTTGTATTAGAAACTGAAGTGGCCAACTAATTAATTTATCCCTCCCACAATTATCTGTGTACCCATTATGTGCTTAGCATTGTCTAAAGGTTTTAGGAGGTGCCCAGCAGCATCCAAGCTTCCTTTGAGATTACAATGCAGTTGGGGATAAGAGAATGACACAAAAGAGCTGTTAAATAGAGCAGGGAAAGTAGTACAAGAGATGTCACAGGCAGATTTGTGACAAGTGCTGACAGCGTGTCAAGATTTCAGAGAATGAAGAGATGAGAGAAAGCTGAGCTAATCATTGAATTTCCTGTTGAAAAGAAAGGACTTGAGTTGGATATTGATAATCAACTAGGATTTGGATAGGAGACAAAGATGAGGATGGCTTTGATTATAGAAATATGAGTTCAGGAAGTCCTGTACAAATCCACCAGCTGGAACTATCTAGGCAGAATAACAATCTTTATGTACAGTGTAATCCATAGTACAATGGCAACTGTACTATGGATTACACTATAATCCAGTGGTGATCATGAATGCCCTGATAACATAGCCCAGGCCACTACATCACCAATCCTGCTTCCTTTTGGGTCACAGGGCCTTCAAAGTATATGAACCCTTGAAATTATAATTTAAAACAATAATGCCCAAAATGAGTTTCATGAAACCTTGATACCTTTTGACATGTATCATCAGTAAGTGTTACCTCTAAAAATGAAGACATGTGGTTAAAAAAGTTCAGGAAACACTAAATACTGTATCTCCACTGGAGAGCTTCAATACACATTATTAGCTGCACTAGATTGATTTTGGTAACTCTGCTCCATTCCTGCCCCCTGCTTTATAAAATCCAAAAATTCTTTAATGGTGGGCACAAAACAAAGATACTCAACTAAATGAAGGGCAGAACTCTTAGTTACTTACATCTCTGAAGGAGAGAAGGCTGCCACGCAGGGCCACACGGGGAGTTGCAAGATGCAGAGAGCAATTTATGTCTGGTGTATGGCAAGCCGGGTTTCACAGGCTTCCTGTGAATTGACTAATTTGAATAATTTTGTGGACTCAGTACATAGAGACTGTCCCTAATTGTCTGGGGTCTGGCCCCAGGCTAATTGGGTGAGTGCATAGTGGTCTGCAGCGTGAGAGCCCAATAAGGAAAATGCTTAATCAGTTGCTCAAGGAAGGGAACTGACAGGCTTCTGGTGGGTACCTCAAATTGGGTGAAGATAACATTTCCAAAAGCAACAATAAACAAAATAGACCACTCCCTCCTGTGATCGCTACTGCATTCTAGGGTCTAGAAGCCTGATAACTACATTACTAAGATTCCAGAGGGAACAGAGTTCAGACTAGACGCTGCCAATGGAGAAGCACTTACATGAAAAGTAAAAGGCAAAAGGGAGAGAGCTACTGTTGTTTCTCCAGCAAGTGGCAGGAGTAAATCTGAGATTTGTGAGATGCAATGTTTTCTAGTCCTTTCCAGACATTCCCCTGAACATTAGTCACCTCAGGTCTGGAGACAGTAGTGATAGCGACAGCAGCTTCCTAACTGTGGTGCTCTTTGGATCTAATGGTGGCTTTACCTGATCTTTGCGACTTCAGGCCCTTCCAATAGAGTTGTAAGCTCCCAATCTTCCGCATTAAATATTTTTATGCTAGAAATCTACAGTTATTGCTGCTTTCCTGACTGTGTCCCAACAATATAGCATAGTTAAATTTCTGGGAACCCATGCTATAAAACAAAACAAAACAAAATAAACTAGCATTTCCCAAATATGTTTGACCATAGAACCTGACTCCCCATTTCCCCTTCTCCCCAAAACCACCTTCTGATATCTTGAAAAATTCGTTTCGTGGTGCTCCCTTTGGAAAACATCCATAGACTTATATGTTGAGAACTAGGAGTCCAGAAATGTGGGCTTAGTCTCAGCTGTGTGACCTTGGGTAGGTCACATCATTTATCTTGTTTTTAGTTTCTCTGCTAGATCAAAAGAAGAGTTGAATGAAGATAACCAGGAATTTTAGCTCTAATTTGTTTCCATTCTGTGAGAAATGCTGTCCTTAAAAACTATCATTGTTCAGGTAGAAAAAAATAAAAATTAAAAAAAGAACTACTGTGTTTTCCTTTGCCTTCTCTTCCTTTTTGGCTTGGTTTGCATGAATATTTTGAGTCAAGCTAGGAAAATTCCAAGAAAACTGGCAGCAAGTGAATAAATGCTGGATAGCTCTTACTAAAGTGATGTGGTGTTTTTAGAACTTTAATATATTAATGTGGATCCTAGAAATGGTCCCTTCAGAAGTGGGTTTCCTTTTGTACTGACACTGCACAGAAAGGAAGAGATACAAGAAAGAAACCTCCAGCACTCAAACTGAGTCATTTTAAAATGTAGCAAACTCCCTGTCACTGGGAACATTCAAGTAGAAACTAGATGTTGGCATGGCAGGGATAACATAATTAGTTTTGTCTTTATTTTGCTATTTTTCTGAGAGGGATGGCACAGACCATTTATACAGATCCCCACATTTTACAGACAAGGAAACAAAAAGTCATAGAGGTTATATGGATTTCCCTGGGTCACACAGCAAATCCATGGCAGAACTGGGAGAAAGACACTAGACGTCTCCTCCCTATTCCCCACTGCACTCTTCTGTACATCTGGAATTCATTTGGGCTTCTTTGAGGAGTAATGTTCCATCACTCAACCTTCATTTTTACATCTCTTTAAAGAAGCAGAGTCATTTTAATGTGAGCTGAAAGAGACTCAAGGTTGCCAGATACTGTGAGAAGGTGACGAAGTCGGAAAGTTTGAAGTCAACTTTTTGCCCTCAGAATCCTTTTATTTGGGCATCCATGGCAGGGAGACCCCATGCTCCAGCCTTGCTGTGCCCACTGGTGTCAGACCAGGCACCAGGATTCTGAACATCCCATGGCCCCGTCTACCCTCAGACAGTCCCTCTTGTCTCATTTTTGAAACTTCAGTCCCTGCAGACAGCACTGAAAAACCAACCTGAATACTAGCGTCATCTACATAGTTTGAAAACAAACTACTCACCTCAGAGAGGGCACAAAATACAGCCTGAATGTGACGCCATTTGTGGTGTGGCTGCTTGGAGTTGGGAGCTAGGCTTCCTCTGCCAACTACTTGACAGAATCCACATTCGTGTTCTCAATGCAGCTGGTAGTGGGTGTGTGTGTAGGGTAATGGCCTTTTCTTTTATTATCCAAATGCTCTTGAGGAGGGAACCAAAAAAAAAAAAAAAAATGCTGCTAAAGCAGAGAGCTATGTCTGTGACTTTGCAGAGAAACAGGTGCTTAATGCAGATCTGATTTTATCCTGAGCTTTTTCACCAAAGAAAACCCAAATGTGGTGAAGAAGAAAGAAAGCCACTGAGGTTTTCTCTTTTCCTAAGGATGGTAGAAAGAAAAGTAACATCGTATTAAAAAAAAATCTGAATTTTTACCTATGGGGTTATATGTTTACTGATTGGGTGATGAAATTATTGGAAGCCCAAACATAAGCATCATGCAATACACTCATGGCAAACTTGCACATGTACTCCCTGAATCTTAAAAAAAAAAAGTCTGAGTTTTAAGTTAGCTATTTGTTCCTTTTGCTTTACATTATGTGGGATTCATTTAGACTTCTGGGAGAACTTCCAACAGTGAGGAAGCAAGGGACAGTTGCAAAAAGGCAGCCCTGATTTTCCAAAAAATTGTGCTTGGAGATTGTGCTAGAAGTCAAGAGGGCAGTTTAGATTAGGACGATTTGAGCCTTGCACTTTTTTTTTTTTTAATAGTTAACACTAAGCAACACTTTTAACTCTACTCTGCTCTCTTGGCCCCCATGCTGAATTGATTGCAGATTTTGTTGATGATTTCCCTTTGATTCCACATCCACTGTCACTCTATCACTATTCCTTGCCTTTTACTCTTGTTGTTGGCTGCTATAGTCTAAATGTTTATGTACCCTAATCACCAATGTAATGATGTTAGGAGATGAAGCCCTTGGAGGGTGACTAGGTCATGATTAGTGCCCTTACACAAGAGGCCTCAGAGAACTGTCTTGCCCCTTCCACCATGGGATGAGAGTAAGAAGGCACCACCTATGAAACAGAAAGCAGGCCCTCCCTAGATTCCAAATTTTCCACCACCCTGATCTTACACTTCCTAGCCCCCAGAACTGTGAGAGATAAATTTCTGTTGTTGATAAGCCCCCCAAGGTATGGTATTTTAGTATAGCCTGGACCAATGGACTGAGTGGACCAAGACATTGACTTCTTACTGGCATGCTACTTCCACTCTCAACTCTCTACAATTGGCCCATGTGGCCCCTGAACACAACCTTCTTAAGCCCAGATATAATTCTATGAGTCCCTCATTCAAAATCCTATGATATATCTTGACCCTCAAGTCCCTTCATGACTGTGATGGTTAATATTGAGTGCCAACTCGATTGGACTGAACGATGCAAAGCATTGTTCCTGGGTGTGTCTGTGAGGGTGTTGCTGAAGAAGATTAACATTTGAGTCAGTGGACTGGGAAAGGCAGACCCACCCTCAATCTGGATGAGCACCATTTAATTAGCTGTCACCCTGGCCAGAATAAAAATAGGCAGAAGAATGTGAAAATACTAGACTGGCTTAGCCTCCAAGTCTACTCCTTTTTCCCATGCTGGATGCTTCCTCCCCTCAAACATCCAACTCCAAGTTCTTCAGCTTTGGGACTCGGACTGGCTTCCTTGCTCTGCAGATGGCTTATTGTTGGACCTCACCTTGTGATCATGTGAGCTAATACTCCTTAATAAACTTCATTTTATATATACATCTGTCCTATTAATTCTGTCCCTCTAGAGAACCCTAATAATGACCTAACCAGTTCTCTTCCCTCCTGTTCTAATCTTGAAGCAGAACACATATCCTTGTTTCTGTTCTTCATGTGAGACCTGCGACATTTCAGAGGAAAGTTGTGACATAAATCTACACTTTTTATACCTGAGGTTTGTCAGCGATGTGCTCAAGGCTTATGCAATGTGTCCCCTCTCCTCGTTGTCTTCCTCTGTATGGAGCAAAGGGAGTGTCTATGATTTCTCCTCTGAGCAGGACAAGTATTTTGTAAAAGGCACATTTATTCATCTGCTAGACGTTTGTTTAGATAGCAGGTTCTCTGCTAGGTTCCCCAGATACATTAGTAAAGAAGACAAGCAAAGTTCTTGCTTGTGGGGAGCTTAAATTTTGTGTGAGATGCAGATAATAAACAACTAACTAAATAAAAATGATAATTATGGTTAAAAATTTATCGGGGGTGTGGTGGATTGCACACACAATATATAGAGGGATGCCACTTAGATAGGGTTGTCAAGTAAGGAATCTATGGGAAGATGTTATTTAAGTTGAAATATCAAGGATGATAAGGAGGTTCTTATAGGGGACTGTGTTTTGGAAAGTGAATGGGCTTGGAGGTGTAGAAAAGGTGGCCAAGCAGACCATACACAGTAGGAAAGGGTGTGTTCCAGCTGACCTCTTCCCTCCTTCTGGGAGGACAGCAAAGAAATGTCCGGGGCACTCTTTGTTGTCCCTCCTTCTTCTATTTAACATTGTATTGTAAGTCTTAGCCAACACATTAAGGCATAAAAAATAAATAAAAATTAAAGATATTGGAAAATAAGAAGTAAAACTATTTTTTATTTGGAGACAGCATATTGTATATGTAGAAAATCTAAAAGAATTAATAAACTATCAGAACAAATATGTTGTTATCAAGATCACAGGATGTAAGTTTAATGTAAAAATATCAAATGTATTTCTAGGCCAGAAACGTCAATTTTGAAAATGACAGTAAGAATAACTGTATTATTTACATTATTATCAAAAAAACATTACATTGGAATAAACCTAATGAAAGATTTGCAAGACATCCAAAAACTTATCCACCATGATCAAGTAGGGTTTATTCCTGAGATGCAAGGTTGGTTCAAAATACACAAATCAATTAATGTGATCATCACATAAACAGAACTAAGACCAAAAACCACATGATTATCTCAGTAGTGCAGAAAAGGCTTTTGATAAAATTCAATATTCCTTCATGTTAAAAACTCTCAGTAAACTAGGCATTGAAGGAACATACATCAAAATAATATGATCAATCTATGACAAACCCACAGCCAACATCATTCTGAATGGGCAAAAGCTGGAAGCATTTCCCTCAAAAACCAGCACAAGACAAGGATGTCCCCTCTTACCACACCTATTCAGCATAGTATTGGATGTCTTGGTCACAGCAATCACACAAGAGAAAAGAATAAATGGCATCCAAATAGGAAGAGGGGAAGTCAAATTATCCCTGTTTGCAGAAGGCATAATTCTATATCTAGAAGACCCCATAGTCTCTGCCCAAAAACTCCTCAAGCTGATAAACAACTTCAGCAAAGTCTCAGGATACAAAATCAACATAAAAAAATCACTCGCCCTCCCATACACCAACAACAGTCAAGCCAAGAGGCAAACCAGGTGCACAATCCCATTTCCAAATGCCACAAAAATAATGAAATACCTAAGAATACAGCTAACTAGGGAGGTGAAAGATCTCTACAAGGAGAAGTACAAACCACTGCTCAAAGAAATCAGAGGTGACACAAACAAATGGAAAAACATTCCATGCTCATGGATATAAAGAATCAATGTTGTTAAAATGGTCATACTGTACAAAGCAATTTATAGATTCAATGCTATTTTTATGAAACTACCAATGACATTCTCCATAGAAATAGAAAACACTATTTTAAAATTCATATGGAACCAAAACAGAGCCCGAATAGCCAAGGCAATCCTAAATAGAAAGAACAAAGATGGAGGTATCATCCTACTTGACTTCAAACTATACTACAGGGCTACAGTAAGCAAATAGCATGGTACTGGTACAAAAATAGACACACAGGCCAATGGAACAGAGTAGAGAACCCAGAAATAAGACCACAAACCTACAACTATCTGATCTTCAACAAAGCTGACAAAAACAAGCAATGGGGAAAGTATTCCCTGTTCAATAAATGGTGCTAGGATAACTAACTAACCATATGCCGAAGATTGAAACTGGACCCCTTCCTTACACCGTATACAAAAATCAACTTAAGATGGATTAAAGACTTAAATGTAAGACCCAAAACTATACAAACTCTGGACCACAATCTAGGCAATACCATTCTGGACATTGCATTGGTCCGTTTTCATGGTGCTGATAAAGACATACCCAAGACTGGGCCATTAACAAAAGAAAGAGATTTATTGAACTTACAGTTCCACATGGCTGGGGAGGCCTCACAATCAAGATGGAAGGTGAAAGGCATGTCTCACATTGGCAGCAGACAAGAGAAGAAAGATTATGCAAAGAAGCTACCCTTTTTAAAACCATCAGATCTTTTAAGATTTATTCACTATCAAGAGAACAGTATGGGAAAGACCTGCCCCCGTGATTCAATTACCTCCCACCAGTTCCCTCCCACAACACTTGAAAATTCAACATGAGATTTGAGTGGGGACACAGCCAAACCATATCATTCCACCTCTGCCCCCTCCCAAATCTCATGTCCTCACATTTCAAAACCAATCATGCCTTCCCAACAGTCCCCCAAAGTCTTAACTCATTTCAGCATTAACTCAAAAGTCCACAGTCCAATGTCTTATCTGAGACAAGACAAATCCCTTTGCCTATGAGCCTGTAAAATCAAAAGCAAGTTAGTTACTTCCTAGATACAATGAGGGTACAGGCATTGGGGGAATACAGCTCTTCCAAATGGGAGATATTGGCCAAAACAAGGGGCTACAGGCCCCATGCAAGTCTGAAATCCAGTGGGGTACTCAAACCTTAGCACTCCAAAGTGATCTCCTTTGACTCCATGTCTCACATCCAGGTCATGCTGATGCAAGAGGTGGGTTTCCATGGTCTTGAGCAGCACCCCCAACTGTGGCTTTGCAGGGTACAGCCTCCCTGCTGGCTGCTTTCATGGGCTGGTGTTGAGTGTCCGTGGCTTTTCCAGGCACAGAGTGCAAGCACTCAGTGGATCTACTATACTGGGGTCTGGAGGACAGTGGCCCTCTTCTTACAGCTCCACAAGGCAGTGCCCTCTTAGGGGTTCTGTCTGGGGGCTCCAACCACACATTTGCCTCCACACTGCCCCAGCAGAGGTTCTCCATGAGGACTGCACCCCTGCAGCAAACTTCTGCCTAGATATCCTGGAGTTTTCATACATCCTCTGAAGTCTAAGTGGAGGTTCCCAAACCCCAATTATGACTTCTGTGCACTGGCAGGCTCAACACCACGTGGAAGCTGCCAAGGCTTGAGGCTTGCACCCTCTGAATCCACTGCCCAAGCTCTAAGTTGGCCCCTTTCAGCCATGGCTGGAGTGGCTGGGACACAGGGCACCAAATCCTTGGGGTGCACACAGCACAGGGACCCTGGGTCTGGACCACAAAACCACTTTTTCCTCCTAAGCCTCTGGGCCTGTGATGGAAGGGGCTTTGATGAAGACCTCTGACATGCCCTGGAGACATTTTCCCCATTGTCTTGGGGATTAACATTCAGTTCCTTGTTACTTATGCAAATTTCTATAGCCAGCTTGAATTTCTCCTTAGAAAATGGGATTTTATTTTCTATTGCATTGTTAGACTGCAAATTTTCTGAACTTTTATACTCTGCTTCCCTTACAAAACTGAGCATCTTTAACAGCACCCAAGTCACCTCTTGAATGCTTTGTTGCTTAGAAATTTCTTCCACCAGATACCCTAAATCATCTCTCTCAAGTTCAAAGTTTCACAAATCTCTAGGGCAGGGGCAAAATCTTGCCAGTCTCTTTGCTAAAACATAACAAAAGTCACCTTTGCTCAATTCCCAACAAGCTCCTCATCTCCATCTAAGATCACCTCAGCCTGGATTTCGTTGTCCACATAATTATCAGTATTTTGGTCGAAGCCATTCAAGAAGTCTCTAGGGAGTTCCAAACCTTCCCACATTTTCCTGTGTTCTTCTGAGCCCTCCAAACTGTTCCAACCTCTGCCTGTTACCCAGTTTCAAAGTCACTTCCACATTTTCGGATATCTTTTTAGCAATGTCCCATTCTTCTGGTACCACTTTACTGTTTTAGTCCACTTTCACACTGCTGATGAAGACATACTCAAGACTGGGCAATTTACAAAAGCAAGACGTTTAATGGACTTACATATCCATGTGGCTGGGGAGGCCTCACAATCATGGTGGAAGGTGAAAGGCATGTCTCACATGGCAGTGGACAAGAAAAGAGAGCTTGTGCAGGGCAACTCCCCTTTTTAAAGCCATCAGATCTAGTGAGACTTATTCACTATCATGAGACCAGCATGGGAAAGACATGCCCCCGTGATTCAATTACGTCCCACCAGGTCCTTCCCAAAACACATGGGAATTCAACATGAGGTCTGGGTAGAGACACAGCCAAATCACATCAACATAGGGATGGGCAGAGATTTTATAATGAATATACCACTAGCAGTTGCAACAGAAGCAAAAAAAAATGACAAGATCTAATAAAAATACTAAAGAGCTTCCGCACAGCAAAAGAAACTATCAACAGAGTGAACAGACAACCTGCAGAATGAGAGAAAATTTTTGCACACTATGCATCTGACAAAGGTCTATATATCCAGCATCTATAAGAGACTTTACCAAATTTTACCAAAATTACCAAATTTACCAAAAAAACCCCAAATGATCCCATTAAAAGGTGGGCAAAGGACATGAACAGTTTTCAAAAGAAGACGTACATGCAGCCAGTGAGTATATGAAAAAAGGCTCAACACTGATCATTAAAGAAATGCAAATCAAAACCACAAATGAGATACCATCTCACACCAGTCAGAATGGCTACTATTAAAAAGCCAAAAAATAACAGATGCTGGTGAGGTTGTGGAGAAAAAGGAACACTTACACACTGTTGGTGGTAGTGCAAATTAGTTCAACTATTTGTGTAAGACAGTGTGGCGATCCCTCAAAGATCTAAAAACAGAACTTCCATTTGACCCAGCAATCCTGTTACTGAGTATATACCTAAAGGAATATAAATCGGTCTATCATAAAGACACATGCATGTGTATGTTTATTGCAACTTAAATGTCCATCAGTGGTAGACTGGGTGAAGAAAATATGATACATATACACCATGGAATACTATGCAGCCATAAAACAGAATGAGATAATGTCCTTTGCTGAAACATGGATATAGCTGGAGGTCATCATCCTTAGCAAACTAATGCAGGAACAGAAAACCAAATACTTCATGCTCTCACTTATAAGTGGGAGCTAAATGATGAGAACACATGGACACATAGAGGGGAACAACACCCACTGGGGTCTATCAGAGGGTGGAGGATGGGAGGAGGGAGAGGATCAGGAAACATAACTAATGGGTACTAGGCTTAATACCTGGTTGATGAAATAATCTGCATAACAAACCCCCTTGACACAAGTATACCTATATAACAAATCTTCACATGTATCCCTGAATTTAAATAAAAGCTAAAAAAAGGATGTACAAAACTATACTATGCTGAAAACTACAAATATTGCCGTGAGTAATTAAAGAAGTCCTAAATAAATGAAGTGATATGTGTTGTTTATAAATTGGAATACTCAATGTTGTTAAAAATGGCAATTCTTTCTAAATTGATCAATAGCTTTGATGTAATCCTAATAAAAATCCAAACAGAATTTTTACAGCAATTGAAAAACTAATGCAAAACTTTTATGAAAATAAAAACCCTACAATTTTGGAAAAGAACAAAATTAGAGGACTTAACACTCCTTGATTTCAAGGCTTATTATAAATCTACAATAATGATTGACACATAAATAAATGAAACACATTAGAGAGCCTAGAAATAGGAATGTGCATATATGGCAAAACGATTCCAAACAGAAGATCCAGCAAGATTTAAAAACAAAGGAAACTCATTTCAACAAATGGGGATGGTACAACTGGATATCTGTATGGAAAATACTTTGATCCCTACCTCATACATACCTCCAAATTAGAGATTGTTTATAGACCTAAATGTAAAAGCTAAAACTATAAAGCTTCCAGAAGGAAAAACAGGAGAATATTTTACTGTTTTGGAGTAGCCTATTTTTTTTTGTAAAAGTACTAAGTATAAAAGTTAAGAAAAAAAGTAAAATTTAATGTCAACAAAACTACAAACTTCTCGACAAAGATGTCATTAAGAAAGTGAACAGGCAACCCATAAACTATGGAAAAGGATGAAGTACTTGCCATAGAACACCTACAGATTAATAATAAAAAGACAACAACCCCATAAAAGTGGTCAAAGGCTTAAATAGCCACTTTACAAAAGAAGATGTAAGAATGGCCAATAAGCGCATGGAAAAAGGGCTAAATATATATTAGTCACTACTGAAATAAAATATTTAAACCTCACTGAAATACCACTACACCAATTATAAAGACTAAAAGTTTTAAGAGACCATTCACACCAAATCTTGTCAAGGTTGTAAAACAACTGGAGCTCTCATTTAATTCTGTGGAGGAGGTTGTAAAATGCTAGTTATCTTGGAGAATTATTCGGCAATTTTCATATAGTAATCATGTGAACCAGAAATCCCATTTCTAAGCATTTACACAAGATAAACTAAAACACGTGTACACTCACATGCACAAACTGCAAGAATATTCATGGCAGCTTTGTTTGTAGTAGCCCCAAACTGAAACCAACTCAAATGTCCATCGACAGGTAAATGTATAGACAAACTGTGCCATATTCATAAATGGAAATCTACTCAGCAATAAAAATGAGTGAATTACTGATGTGAACAACAACACAGATGAATCTTCAAAATGCTGAATGAAAGCAGTCAGATCTAAGGGGTATACAGAATGTGAATCTGATTATGTGATGGTCAAGGACAAAACTAATTCATAGTGATACAGATCAGAACAATGGTTGACTCTGTGGACCACTGGCTAGAAATGGGCATGAGAAAATTACCAGAGGGGACAGAAATGTTCTATATTTTGATTGGGTAATAGTTCCAGAAGTGTTTATATTTTGCAAACTTACACTGTACACGTAAAGTCTGGACATTTCAATAAACATGGAAAAAAGTTCAATTAAATAAAAACTCTACTTTTCCCTCCTAACTGCCCAAAAGGTAATGAAAGCATCCTTTTAAAGATTCAGAAAGCCAGAGTGGGAAAAATATTGGATTTGGAAGTTTAGTCTTTTGTATCGTTTTTATCATACCTTCATTTCTGCAAATTGTCTTAAGAACTAAACTTTGACCTTTTTTCACTTCTCCAAATTCCTGTCAAAGGGACATGGGGAGTCACACCCTACAAACCATAAAATCTCATCAGATGGGTTTTATTAACACTATATAATGTGACTTACTTTTCAACCTGACTCTGGTATAGCATCACATGGCAGATAGCAGATGCTGAAAGAAATAAAAAGATTTTACTCCAAAATATATTTCCTTGACATATTTCGAAATGGCTGCCACAGAGTTAACATATTCAAATGGCCTTGCAAAGCTCTTTTGTGGGGAAAATTTGTTTCTGTAGAAAATCTCCATTAATTTAGCCAGACCTCTCCCATTCTAGGCCGTTCTTGGGTGTGGGAGAGATTAACTGAGAGTCTGACACTTTCAAAGTCTGAAAAGAGACATTTACCATCTATTCTCTTTGAGGGCTGTTACCTAGGAGGCTTCACCTACATAATAAAAATCTTGGTCTCCACAACCCACATATCTTAACTCAGGTATTCCTTTCTCTGATTTCAAGTCTTTAGACAATAGCTTAACTCTCCCAACCAATTGTCAACTTAAGAATCCCTATAACTCACCTATGACTTGTAAGCTCTTTCTTCGAGATGTCCCACCTTTTTGGGCTGAACGAATGTGTATCTACCTTGTGTTGATTTATGATTTACCTGAAATGTATAAAACCAAACTGCAACTAAAATACTGTAACTAAAACCAAACAGCACACTTTCTCAGTATTTCTTGAGATTGTGTAATCCACCCTGCAGTCACTCATATTGTCTCAGAATAAACCTTTTAAAGTATATTTTTCAGAATTTGTTTTTTCCATCATCAGTCTGGATTGCTTACAGTGACAACATCAAAAAAATTCACAATAATAATAATGCCATGTGTGTGGAAGGTGCACTTCTCTACAGATATTTTTTAAAGTGTTTTTCAAGTTATTTTCTTTCTGAGCAGCACAGAATCTGACATAAGGCCCACAGATAGGAGCTGGTTGCTTTGGTGGAGGCAGAAGCAGGAGAAAGAGAAGAGTAGGAGGTTCACTCTTTCCTTCTCTCCCTCTTTCTCTCAGCTAGTGTACCCTGAGGCATCTCTGCTCAGCAGAAAATAGTTTGCAAACCACAGATGCAAGGGATTCTTCTGTGTTATACTTGCGACATTGGCTTCCATTAGACGATCTTAGTAAATACTGTTATATGGTCTCTCAGTCTCACTGGAAACACATCATTTCTCAGCTTGTGACTAGTTTAAGAATAACAGAGGCAGAATTCCTTAACTGGTACTTGTCCTTAACTATTCATGCATAGCACAGCCTCTGTTTACAGAGGATTCAAAACCTTGTGTTTGTACTTGTACTTCCACCATCTCCCAGGACCATTGGGAGCTGTTCCTGGCCCTTGTATACCAAGGTCCAGGTATGGTAGAACTAAATAAACACTACTGATTCTTGCCACATTTTTTTTCATCCTTAGCTTTGTTTTTTGCCTTTGTTTTTTAACTTTCTAACTCTTTTTCTGTCTTTATTTAATGTTTTTTGTTTTTTTTTTTTTCCGTGCTCTCCACTTGCTTCCCTGATGTTTTTTCCCTTGCTTCTTCTGGGCCTCAGAAAAGGAAGGAATATATTTATGACCACAAATCTCTTTTCCAGGAATTCATCACTGTGCAATTCTTCACTACATCTCTGATAATGGACAAGTAGTCATGGGGAAAAGGCCACCAGTAAGGACAAACACAATTGAATAAATACAAAGCAAATGCTGAACTGATTTGAGAGAAGTGTCCCAGCAGGGTGCTGCTTGGGGTACACATTCCACAAACTGCATTGCAATTACTCTGAGAACACCTTGCTTCTTCCATCTCAAAAAAAATGTTAAGTATTAATTAATGAGCGATTAGTTCAGCCTTATGAGTTATTGCTCTAATAAAATGGCTGTTGAAGCAGGAATCATGACCAGTTTGAGTATATTATCGCTATTCTAAGAGACCTCTTTAATTCAACAATTAAGAGGCATGAAATGTACTTTAATAGACATAATTCAATGATATAAAATTGTTCATCTGGTGTGAGCCATTCATCTTTGTTAATACACCTCAGGTCCTATGGAAAATGACTCTTCAAGAGGACTTACAGAGGCTGTTTTTTTCTCCCTGTCCTGCAAACTACCTGTGCTGGGAAAATCAATGGTTTTTTTATATAGTCTCTGTTACCAGCTTGAGACCTTGACTGCACAATAAAAGCAAGTTCTGGGGTAGAATCACTGTCTTATGCTCTCCTGTCTATTCCCATAATGCCTAAGAGTTCTGATTAATAAGTATTTTAAATCAAATTAAAATTGAATTTCAATTGTTGAATTAAGTATAAAATTAGAAGACCTTCATGTGGAATTCAGTATATTTACAGAAACTGTAAATGGTTTATTGAATTATGCTTTTTACCTTTTGCAGTGGTTCTCATTTTGTTACCAGCAGCAAGTCTAGGAGGTTTCTTCAGTCATTGGTTCTTGTCTTCTTGGATTTGACCAAGAGACAGACGTAGATTTGAGGCAGAAACGAGAATTTATTGAAGCAAAGAAAAGTACACTTGGGCAACTAGGAAGGTTGAATGCCCCCCATCTTTGGCTCAGGAATCTTATAGATTTACTATTTCCTATTTATTTTTCTTGGTCTTCTCCCTTCCTCCTTCCCCTCGGGTGGGCTGTTGGCTAGCTGCTACATGTGCAGTGACTCCTCAGTATCTGGGAGGGGCCGCATGTGCCATTGGGTAGTTGAAATTAAAGACATGCTCTCTTAGGGAAATTTTCCCTTACTGGTCTAGCGCTCCCAGAGGAAGGTCATATACCAGTCAAACTGCCATTTTGTCCCTTACTGTGCATGTCTGGACACACTTGCTCAATTCCTAGGATCTTATCAGAAAGTCATTGCCCAGAAGCTCAAGATGTTTCCTGTTTGTTAGGAAAATTTCCCCTCCCTGACACCAGCTGTGACCATCAGTCCTGAAGAGGCCGCCTCACAATGGCATGACAGTCACCTGATGGTCACCTGACATTCCTTGGGGTCGTATCCTGCCCTGCTCATATCTGACTATCTATCTACTCCAAAACTTTCATGTGTTCTAAGAGAGTTAATGCTTTCATAACTTCTTTCATAGATCCTCCCACTTTGCTTCCCAACACTGCCACCACCCAACCCTAGCCCTCTCCTGCCTCACTCACCTGCATCTGAGTTTCTGTTATTGTGTTTGTCATACGTAAATTCCTGGTGAAGCTTCTCTTTATTTTGGCCTCTTCTTCAAGTCCTGGTTTTATAGTTCATGACCCATTTGAAATTGCTACAAAATTTTGATAGTTTAATAAAGGGTTCTTATTTTTTTACTTGAAAGCACATTAGTTTAGATAACTGTTTTATTTGTTCTTCAAGAACTTCACATTATTCTTTTTTTTCAATGACTATTGGCCAAATCAGCAAAATTTTACGTTATTCTGAATTTGAACATTAAAGGGAGCAGCATGACAAGAGTAGAAATTAAAATTGATTAGGAAGGAAATATTCTAGGTTCCTCTTCTTATTCTGCTGATAACTCAGCTCTTTAGATAACTATGGATGAGTTTCTAAGCCTCTCAAAACCTCACTTTACTTATCCATAAATTGAAGATTATTATACCTCCCAGGGTTTCTGCTAAAATCAAATGGGTATAATTGATGTGAAAATGTTTTGAAAAATAAGAGTTCTATACTAAGCCAGTTTAGCAATGTAGTCATGCATGAGAAAGCCTCAAGGGTTGGCCTTTCTCCTGCACTGCTGGTTTGTATAAAACTTTCCTGAGCTTCCACCTTCAACTCTAATTAGGTGAATATCCATTAGTGTTTCAGTCCTCAGTGTCCAAAATCCAACTCAGCATTTTTTTTTTCTGCAGAAGCTGTAACTCTAGTTGGTTCAAAACATGGCTAATATTGTTATCATATTGGTCACGCAGACCTGAAACATGAAAATTATTTTCAACTTGGATGGCCATGCCCCAGTATTGGTAGCATTATGCTGGTTTACAACGATTCCCAAATACCACATCAGAAATTTATATTCCTAGAGTTCTGGAGTTTGGAGCTTTGGAATCTAGGTGTCAGTGTGGTTGTTCCTTTTGGATGTCCTAAGGCAGAGTGTATTTCATGTTTGCCTCCTGGCTTCTGGTGGTTGCAAGCAATCTTTGGCACCTGTAGACACATCACTCTAATCTCTGCTTCCGTCTTTACATAGTGCTCCTGTTGGGTGTCTCTGTCTCTTTCCTTTCCTTATAAGAACACAAGGTCATTTGGTTTGGGGCCCACTCTAACCCAGTATGACCTCATTTTAACTTGAATACACCTACAAATGCCCTATTTTCAAATAAGGTCATATTCACAGGTAGTGGGGACTAGGACTTGAACATATCTTTTGGGAGGATATAATTTTAGTCACTATACCCTGAAATATTACCAAAAGTCCACCTTTAAACTTCAAAGTGTCCTGGTTTGGATGATAAATTTGATTGTCACCAAAAACTTTGACTCTTGGTTCTCCTCTCCAGCATCTCATCTTTTTGCCAAACCAGGAAGGAATGGTTTCTTGCATTTCAGCTATCTAAATCTGTAAATGCACCATGCCCCTTCATTTCTGACATCTCTCACTCTATTATTTTCCTCAACATCTGACCCTGTTAGCCTACCTCTACTGACCTAGTCTGCTATCATCCTCAAACTGCAACTTCAGCCTCTGGCTATCTCCTACATGTCAATTCCTCATTCCCAAATTTAACTATTAATATGTCAGCAATCCGTATGCCAAATCACCCTCTTAAGTGGTCTATTTGTCCATACAGATCATTATTTCAATAGGGTGAAAACAATTCATTCTTTTTGTAACATATAATTTGGAATTCATGTATTTTAATTAATTTATTTATTTTGAGACAGCATCTTGCTCTGTCACGCAGGCTGGAGTACAGTGGTGTAATCTTGGCTCACTGTAGCCTCACCTCTGAGGTTCCAGCGATTCTCCTGCCTCAGCTTCCCAAGTAGCTGGGATTACAGGTGCCTGCCACCACACCCGGCTAGTTGTGTAGTTTTAGTAGAGAGGGGTTTCACCATGTTGGCCAGGCTGATCTCGAACCTCTGACCTGAAGTGACCCACCTGCTTCGGCCTCCCAAAGTGCTGGGATTACAGGCATGAGCCACCGCACTCAGCTACATTTATGTATTTTAATCTCTTTCTTCTCTTATGCGGATAATGTCTAGGACTATAAAATATCTTTTCTGCCTTTTGTTCAAGACTAAGTATATACTATGTTTGTTGATATTCATCCTTATGTTCATAGGGCTTTTTAAAAAATCCTTGAATTAAGGGTAGGGATGAGGAAAAAAAATTCACAAAAGAAGAGGAACAATCAGCTGAAGCTCAGACATTTGTATTAATACATTGTTTTATAAGTACTGTATGATGTGCTTCTTTGGGTAAATATCAGAATTTTGAGTAAAGGGCACTCATGATTTTCTTGATTCTACTCTTAGTTTTGTAATAACTTGGTGTAGATTGCTTTGTGTTCGTACAAATCAGTGAGATCCTGTGGGAGAAAATTATTTTGGAGCGTGAGTGGGTTTTCAGCCAGAGACTGTGGGAGGCACACATGACGTCTGTCTGCTTTTTCCTTCTCATAACTAAAATTGTAGTATTTTTGACAGACTTAAACTCTCAGGGATGGTAGCAAATTAAAGTGGTTTCTAAACAGCCAAGTCTGGCCTGAATTCTGCTACACAAATGTGTAACAGATTACCATCAGGCAGGACATGAAAGTTGACTGTTTTAAAAATCTACAAAAGAGAGGTGAATTTCTCCCATTTAGTAGCTCAAAATGAATGCTTGTGAGAGAGCCAGCAAGCTCGGTGTGAAACCTGTACCATTTGAACATATTAAAAATAGAAAAAAATCCCGGAGAAACATCTTTTCAGAACAAGTTTAGGTTGGGCTGTAGGATTCTGGCATGGTTAAAGGTTAATCTTTGGCATTCAGAGCAGAGAAATTTAATCTGTTTAAGCTTCAAAGGACAGAAAACTCAAAGATTCCTATTTATTCCGGGGTGATTTTCTTTTGGCTCTGGCTAAATCACTTGGGGCAAAGGGGTTTTCTTTAAAAAACAAATAAAAGTAAGAAGGAAAAGGAAGAAAGACATAGTTCTGGCATAGCCAGGAGAAAATGCTAATAGGAAGTATGGAGGCAACCCTTCTCTAAAGAAGAAAGTGAAAGCAGATAAATGCTAAATTGGAGTTTGTCTGGGACAATAGAGAAATGGAATCATGTTTCTAGGTCTTCATTTTTCTAGTATACAACAAACACGGTACAAAAATTTTTATCACGGTGAGCGCCAGAGTGATTGGACTTAAGTAAAGTTTGGTATGAGAAAGACAGCAAATTGTAGTGTTGGTCTTAACTATATTCTAATGTTTATATTTGTGTATTTATACATAGTAATTAGACATAATTAAAATGTGATGCTAATTATGTTGATAAATAATTATATACTTAAAGGAAATACAAAGTTGACAAGATGGCAGGCCATCTTCCTTCCACTTTTCTCTTTTATTGCCTACGAAATACTTTCAGGTTGGGGTTGGCCAGTGCAGCTGTCAGGCACCACCCTTACCTTTCCAGGAGGTCCATCCACAGAGCATAAAAGGAGACAAATGCTTGGGAGGCATTCTTGTAAATATGGATCTCAGTGCGATAGATTGCAAATGTCAGACTGCTAGATTCCATCACTGGATTCCATCACTGGATTCCTAAGATCAGTGCAGAGATTAAAAAAAATACGTTTTTTTTTCTCCCTTAAAGAAGAACAACTTTCTAATTTTCAGATCTTTATAATTAAGGAAATTTCCAGAAGAAGTCATAAGAAAAGGCAGCATCAATAGCAAATACTTTCCTGGAAATTGATTTTAAAACATTTTTTATTTTCCACTATTTTTGTCTTCTTTCATTGGAATGAGGCTTTAAGAAAATGTCTCTGTGTTCCAGAGAGATGTGAAGCAAATAGAAACTCCGATTAAAAAGCACAGCTTCCCATCTGGAGGATAATGTTTGTTCAACTCAGCTCAAGATCCTCTAAATTTGCTAGTGATGATGCTTCATGGAAATTGACAGCTGAGGAACCCAAAGAGCTGTACTCAAATAACTGCCTCCTCCGTCTCTTCTTTCCTCTCTCCACGTCTGGTGCCCCTAAGAGCAAATGACAATGTGGGGGCGGGGGTGTACATATATCTCTGAGGGGCAACTTAATTAGCTCCCAAATAAAGAAAAAACTTCAGGGGCTGCGAAGGCAGTGATTATGTTAACCCTTGGATTGATAGGAAAACAAGTGAGGTTCTAAATCTCCTTTTTATGGATGGTGATAAAAGGGTCATCTTGTCCGTTTATTAATGAAACACCAAGACTCTCCAGGCAAGATTTTCATCAGGTTACTCACCAACTCTGCAATGTTCATGGGAACAGCATCCTTCTCAGATAAATTCCTCCTTTTCCATGTTGAACTACAGCGGTCTGATCTGAGGTGCCACTCACTAGCCAGTCCTGTGGCCTCCTTCCTGTGGCCCTGAAAATCTGTATCTGTGTTCTGTTCTGGCTGTAGAGAAAACATCAATATGTTTGATAAGACTAACGGGGATGACTTGAGTGTGAAGATTTGGTCTTGTTATTCCCTGGCAGCAATCAGTCACCCCAGAATATTCCAAAGGGACTGAAACAGTACTAACTGTGTCCATTCCATTTTCACTGCTGTTCCTTTGCCAAGGGAGTTTTCAGCAAAAATAATCAACAGAAAGAGCGAAAACAAGCTGGACAGAGCAGTCTTACTTCCAGTTGACTGACAACATAGCTACCCTAAAACTGACAACTGTGTCAAGAAAACAATTACTCACCATGTCATGACTCAGAGTAGAATTTTATTGTGCACTTGTTCTGTACCTGAAAATTTAAATATGTGTCTGTCTCTTCTGTTGGTTTCAAAATAATTGTGCATGTTGACCACTGCTACCTTTGCGATCACTTACTTCCTGCTTTTGAGTGTTGAAATGTTTCCTTTTTTACAAGATAATGTTTATAGTAGATGACTTTTTTGGTTTTATGCTTACTTTAGGTAAAATTAAAAAGTTGATGACCACATATTAGTCTCCAAATTAAAAAAACAACAACATACTAGACAGTGAAATTCAAACGTTTTAGAATCTCTAGAAAAAAATGCCCACCTTATTAATTTAGTCATCAAATATTTATTGAGTATCCACTTATATGTGGCTTTTCTAAGGCAGCACCCATCCAGGAGAAATACAATGTGAGCTATAAATGTGAGTCACCCATATAATTTTAAATTTTCTAGTAGCCACACTAAAGAAAAGGTAACAAGAAATAAGTGCTGGATTTTAATATAATATATATAAACTTTTATTGTAAGTTCGGGGGTACAAGTGCATGTTTGTTACATAGGTAAACTTGTGTCATGGAGGTTTGTTGTACCGATTATTTCATCAACCAGGTATTAAGCATAGCACCCCTTAGGTATTTTTCCTGATCCTCTCCCTCCTCCCACCCTCCACTCTCCAATAGGCCCCAGTGTGTGTTGTTCCTCTCTATGTGTCCATGTGTTCTCATCACTTAGCTCCCACTTATTAAGTGAGAGCATGCAGTAATTGGTTTTCTGTTCCTGTGTTAGTTTTGTAAGGATAATGTTCTCTAGCTCCACCCATGTTCCTGCAAAGGATAAGATTTCATTCTTTTTATGACTGCATAGTATTCCATGGTGTATATGATGGCAGCGGTGGGCGTCCAGAGTGGCTGCTGCCACCGTACTGGCTGCAGCAGGGAGGTGTGAGCAGTGGCGGCAGGAGCGGCTGCGGGAGCAGCAGTGGAAGCGATGGGTCCCCTGTGCCTTGCATCCCCAAGGCAGCTGACTACACCGCCATCACCCTCACACAGCCAGGTTGGATCTGCCACCAGACCTGGAGCCTCTGCCGCTCCAGACCCTGGCTCCCTGTCACCACTGTCACCCGCTGCTGCTGTGGGGAAGGTGCAGGGTGGAAGGCAAAGCTGGGTCCCTGACGCTGCCATGCTCCATGGAGCAGGTGGGAGCCAGGGACAAGTGGGAACCCTCCCAGAGCCCGCCGTCATGGTGGCCACCATGATGGAGCCCAGCCGAGCCATCAGCCAGTTGGGGAGCAGTGCGGTCAGGTATGGGCGGGCAGAGAGGGACCAAGCGAGGACCTGGAGCCCTTACCCCAGGCTGCAAGGAAGCACAGCCAGGGCTGCCTGTACATTCCATGGAGCGGGCAGGTGCCCCACCCTCCCAGGTGCAGGACCTGGATGTCTCTGCATTATGCACCCTTGGGGGCCCAGGAAATCCCCCACTACCCCTGCAGGCTTGAGGGTGTCTGCTCCTGCTGCCTGGCCTCTTCCTGCTCCTGGCGCTCGCTTCAATCTTGGAGCAGGGTTAGGGCCAAGCCCAGGTGCTGTCACAGGCTGGCTGGGTTTGCCCATGCTCATGGCAGCGCTGACACACCAACCCCCTGCCGCCTCGGCCCCCTCCAGACTTTGGTTGCTGACGAGTGCCGGGGGAAAGCCAAGGTGGGACTGAGGGCAGCTACCTGCTGGCTTGCAGGTGACCCTTGGCGCTAGCAGCCTGGGCGCCACGGACAGCGGCAGGAGGCAGGAAAACTCCTGGGTGGAAGGGGACGGGTCCCCGGTGAGCCCCCACCTTCAAGCCAGGGAGGGCCTGAAGGCT
The DNA here is from genome assembly GCF_000001405.40 of Homo sapiens. Lineage (NCBI taxonomy): Eukaryota > Metazoa > Chordata > Mammalia > Primates > Hominidae > Homo > Homo sapiens. The sequence continues at coordinate 16,975,103 of NC_000020.11, forward strand.
GGGGGCCAGGCTGCCTGTCCCGCAGACTAGAGTGGGAACTTGTGGTGCCTTTTCCGGTCGCCCGTGGCCGCCCATGGACCAATCCTCACACATGTCCTCCCCTCTGACCAATCCTCCCCTCTGACCAATCCCGCCCATGGACAAATCCTCACACACGTCCTCCCCATAAAAAGCCCAGGGCTCAGCCAGAGCTGAGCAGATGATGGAATGACTAGCCGCAGAGCAGGAGCTACCCTCTCTGCTAGGTGCTAAACACTTGTTGGGACAAGCTGCCTGCAGAGAGGAACTACCCTCTCTACTAGGAGCTGAACATTTGATGGGACACCCTGGCTGCAGAAAGGAGCTGCACCCTGCGGGTCTCCTCTGAGTTGTTCTATTGCTAAACAAAGCTCCTCTTCATCTTGCTCACCCATCACTTGTATGCATACCTCATTCTGCCTGGTTGCAGGGCAAGAACTCCGGACCCACTGAATGGCGAGGCTGAAAGAGGTGTAACACGAACAGGGCTGAGTCGTGCTCGTTGCTCACTACATTGCAGGTAAAGAGAAGGAGAGAAGCTCTGCGGCCCTTTGGGGAACCTGGACCTGCGAACTCCCTGAGCCAGGGCTGTGACTCCCTCTTTGGGGCCCTATGGTTCCTGGCGTCTCCAAGCTTCCGTGTGCCACACATTCCCCGGTGCCAGCCGTGAAAGCTGCTTGCAGTGTGCCTGGTCCAGCCGCAGCCTCGCAGAGAGCTGGGGCCTGTGCCAGCACCTGGAGCTGCCTGACCCACTGCAGCAGCCAGCATGTCTGACTGTGTGCAGTGGCCGGACCCCACACTTGCTAACACACCGCTCACCGCTCCTCACCTGACTCACCCTTGGCAGGTGTGGATCCAGGCCCTTGGCAGGCATGGGATCTAGGCCAGTAGCATGAGCCAAGCACAGCCTTCCAGGCCAGGTGGGCTCGAGCAAAACTCAGGCAAAGGAACCACCGGCCACAGAGGCTTCCAGCCAGAAAAGTGACACCTCAAGGATCCCGTAACATATATGTACCACATTTTCTTTATCCAGTCTATTATTGATGGGCATTTAGGTTGATTCCATACCTTTGCTATTGTGAATAGTGCTGCAATGAACATATGTGTGTGTGTGTCTTTATAATAGAATGCTTTATATTCCTTTGGGTGTATACCCAGTAATGGAATTGCTGGGTTAAATGGTATTTCTGTCCTCAGATCTTTGAGGGATCACCACAGTCTTTCACAAATGGGTGAACTAATTTACACTCCTATCAACAGTGTATAAATGTTCCTTTTCCTCCATAAACTCACTCACTAGCATCTGTTTTTTTTTTTTTTACTTTTTAGCAATAACCATTCTGACTGATGTGAGATGAGATCTCATTGTGGTTTTGATTTGCATTACCCTAATGATCAGTGATGTTGAGCTGTTTTTTCATATGATTGTTGTGAAGATAATTCCTAAACACATGTGGGGGATGGCTTGCTGTGTGGGGGATGGCTTGCTGTTAGCTGATCAAAACTGGGTGACCTGGCTATGCTCCACATCTTCCATCCTTCAGCCAACTAACCCAGATGTCCATGGCAATGATGGAGCTGCAAGAAAGAGCAAGCTCCAATATACAAGCCCATTTCAGTCTTCTGCTTGCATCGTGTATGTCAACATCCTATTGGGCAAACCAAGTCACATGGCTGAGCCCAGAGTCAAGAGGCAGAGCAGGTGTCTCACAGTAAGTATTAATAATAGCAAGTAATAGGTTGTCACCTAAACTTCTGGCGGACTGGTTGTGACTTGGTTTCCACAACCCCCTGCTCAGGCTTGATTAATTTGCTATAGTGACTTACTGAACTCAGGGAAACATTTTACTTAAGTTTACCCATTTATTAATAAAGGGTATAATAAACAATACAGATGAACAGCCAGAAGGAAGAGATATATAGGGTGAGGTTATGTGGGAAGAGGCACAGAGCTTCCCTGCCCTCCCTGGGCACACCACTGTCCAAGAATCTCCATGTGCTCGGCTATCCAGAAGTTCCCCAACATCAGTCCTTTTGGGTTTTTATGAAAGCTTCATTATCTATGCATGACTGATTAACTTAATGGCCATTGGTGATAAACCCAAACTTCACCTCCCCTCCCAGAAGTCTCAACCCTCTAATTTGGCCTAGGTCTTTCTGGTGAACAGCCCCCATCCTAAAGCTATCTCGGGGTCCCCAGCCACCAGTCTTTTCATTATCATATAAAAGACACTCTTATCACTAGAGATTCCAAGCGTTTTGGTAGCTCTACACCAGGAAAGGTGGACTAACACATATATGTATGTATATATGTGTGTACATGTATATGTATATATAACTGAAAATTACAGTATTATAAGTGGCCTCACCTCAATCTTTGCCTTGGGGACACAGGGATCCCTCTGCTTATTCTTGGTTCATTCTCTAGCTACCTCTCTCCCTCAGCCTGGACAGTAGCTGCATTTTGTGCTTGTACTATTGGATTACATTTCCTGAAATTATTGTCTCAGGACTGCTTTTGGAGGAACCCAGTATAAAACAGTATAATAACCCAAGCTCACTGGAGTTATATATTTTAGGTCATAGAGTGATTCACCTCATCTACAACCTATACATCATGAGTTGTAATACTGACTTGTCTGTTGCAATCTGAAGCAAATAAATAATTGTTTTAAAAATTCTTACTATGCTTCGAAGCTGTGAAAGCATGTTGCTAAAACATCTGTTTAATTTATTTACTTCAGTCCAATAATCAGTCAGTTCAGCCAGAAATATATTTGCTTGTATAAACTGAACACTCAGGGGACCCTTGAAACTGTCCATATTTTAGTTACTTAGTTTGGTATTGTTGGTACACATCTGCCATCTCAACCACCTCCACAATAAACTGAAATAATCATACCACTGTGCTCTCCATGCTGTTGTGAGGATAATTCCTAAATATTGCTGTGAGACTCATGGCACATATGAAATTTTTAAATAACAAACATGAAATGCTTTATTTAAGGGTACCCCCAAGAAAACAGATTGAGGTGAATTCATGTTTTGAATTTATCATCATTTTAATTATTATTCTCCTGTACACTGCTGGTTAAAAATGCCTTTCATACAATAGGTTTCTCAGCTTTATTCTAAGCATTAACTGTACCTGATAATGGTTTTGCTCATGAAGTTCTGATAACACAGAAATGACAAATCAATATAAGCCCAGAATGACTAATGGGCTAGAGTACAAAGATAACCCAGTACTTTTCTCTCCTTGTTCCCATTCCTTTGCCATATGACTTTGTAATATAATTTCCCATTGTGGGAAACCTGCTCTGCCCCTTGACTCTAGGCTCAGCCATGTAACTTGGTTTGCCCAACAGGATGTTGGCATACACGATGCAAGCAGAGGCATGAAATGGTCTTGTTCTCTCTTGTAGCTCTATCATTGCCATAGACAGCTGGATTAGTTTGCTGGAGAATGGCAAATGTGGAACATACCCAGGTCACCTAGTTTTGATGAGCTAACAGCAAGCCATCCTCTACACAGCAAGCCATCCCCCACACATGTTTAGAGCCAAGCTGAGAGCAGAAGAACAACCCAGCTGAGCCCAGCACAAATTCTCAACTCTCAGATTCAAGGACTAAACATATGCTTATTATTTTAAGTGACAGAGCTTTGAGGAGGTATGTTAGGTAGTGCTGTTACTACTTCTAATATGGTCAAATTCATGAGATACTTCTGCTATGGCATTGACTAATCTAGTTTCCTACCTCATTTCCTCTGTGTTGATGGTAGTCTCAGACTTTCTGACACTATCTTACTGACTGATTGCCAAGATTTTCTTCCTGACTCAAGAATTCTAAGGCTTTTCAACATTTTTCTTCTCTTGACTTCATCTCTCTTTCTATCCTGCTAGGAGTCAGACTCTGTCTTTGCCATTAACTGAATATGGAAGCAAATGGTTCCATCAATTTTTTTTTTTTTTTTTTTGAGATGGAGTCTCACTCTGTCGCCCAGGCTGGAGTGCAGTGGCACGATCTCGGCTCACTGCAACCTCCACCTCCCAGGTTCAAGGTTCAAGTGATTCTCCTGCCTCAGCCTTCTGAGTAGGTGGGATTACAGACACTCACCACCATGCCTGGCTAATTTTTGTATTTTTAGTAGAGATGGGTTTCACCATGTTGGTCAGGCTGGTCTTGAACTCCTGACCTCATGATCCACCTGCCTCAGCCTCCCAAAGTGCTGGGATTACAGGTGTGAGCCACCACACCTGGCTGGTTCAATCTTATGATCCCTCAGTAAGTTTTCTGCCTCCTTTTACCCTGTATAACTATAGTTTATTATGACACAGCCAGCAGCAACAAAAGTATTTTATTACTGTGACAGACAGTTTGAAATAAATTTCTTTTGACATTCTCCAAGCCAGTGTGGGAGCTGGAGAAACACACATTGGGTGGGAAGAAGCTGATTGAAAGGGGTATTTTCAATATATTTTTGCACAAAGGGATGCATCTATAGTTTTTGTGGCACTTGACACTTGAGTCTAAACTGCAATAGCTGTTTTTCCCCAAAACTGTGTCAATACTATATGCCAAAGAAGACTTTCTTATTTCCATTAACGCATTTACTCAGAAAGCGCATACATAGTGGGATTCTCTTTGTGAGGCCTATTTGTGCCCTGTAGCACTTTCCAGTATGTTCTTTTGCTTCCTTTGTCTCCTCCATCAAGGCTCCAAAGTAACCCTAAAAGTATTGGGACTTAGTGAAGACTTACTCCCTACTTCCCTAGTGAAATCTTCACTAAGTCTCTTCGCTTTCATGAAATCTTTTCTGGTTTACATTCAGATTCTTGCCTCTGTTTTTATCCTGGGAAAGAGAAGTTTCATAACTTCTGGGATGAATACTAAAGTTTCATAACTGGGATGAATACTAAAGCTCCAATATTTAATATTACTTGAGGGCTCCCAGAGTATCTGGTACTATCTCACTGCCTCCTGAGTTTGGTTTTGGGGAGGATTCCTGAACATTAGCCAAGACACAACAGTATATACAACAGGAGTGTATATGAAGGGGATCCCAGAGATGAGACCAACATCTTTCTCGAGCCTCCTCAAACTTGAAATTACTCTGAGGAGGCTTGGAGTGAAAGAAAAAGGACATGGAGGTAGCCGCTCAACTTCTAACAATATTTGTTTGCGAGCAAGCATGGGGCACATCCAGAAATATGTATGGGGCTTGTTCTATGCAGGGCTTGCTATATTAGACAGGATGAGAGCCAGTGAAGTAAATACTATTCCTGGTTCTAAAGGAAAGTATGAGTTATATGTGAATAAAAAGTCCTGGACTGGAAATTCAACCTTTTCAAGCTTCTTTAGTTTTCAATAGTATTACTTTCTCAAATATTTCATTTGCCTTCATTTAATTGCAAATACTTTGTATTATGCATAAGAGAACCAAGAGACAGTGTGGGCCATAAAATATTCATTGCAGATTTTAATTTTGATTCTGGAGTCAAATAATAAAATGGAAATAAGGGGAAAATATTCCAAAATGAGTCACAAGATCCACAAAGGTCTGAAGAAAGTGATCTTACCACTCAAATTGTATTAGAATATACATAAGCTAATGAATCATATATCAATGCTACTTTTTGGAGTACTAACAGATGGCACTTCTACTGGAGGAAAGTGAAATACTCATCCCTGTAGAAATCCACTTGGGTGCAAGCAAGTGGCACAGAGTCCATTGGCACTCAGGCAGCTAGTTTTGCACCTCTGTGTTCAGTGCTGTGAACTGGCCTCTCCATAAAAGTCCATCCCAATCTCTGCACAATGCAAACACATAATCATATGATAAAAATAAGATGTAGGAGTGGATTGTTGCAAAGAAGCTATTATATCCAGACTCAAAGAGAAGAAACTGTAAAAGCAATGCAACTATACTAAAAGCATTTGCTCCTTTATGAGGAAGAAAAGTTACATTTGGTTATATTGAACCCATTTGCATAGGAAAGGGATAGATATTATTGGAAGTGAAAGTGGAGAGAGACTGAGCTACATGCTCATGGCCTAGATGCAATGGTAGTTGACTTGGTAGGGGTTACATGGGGCTCTACACAACTTTCTATAGACACTCTAGGTGCCACGCCTACATCTTGTTAATCCTCTTTACCATTCCTTTACTGCTACTTTTGCTTCTGTTTGATTTTGCTTTTAATGTCCTTTACCTTGACACTGTCAAGGAGTGTCTATTTTTGGAGGCCTGTCATTGTGCTACTGGAGCCAATTTGCCCACATGTGTGGATTTTGAAGTGCTCTGGGTTTGAGACCCTTTGGGATGGCCCTTAGCCAAAGTTGATGAGTATGGAGATATGAGAGCCTAGCTCCCTTGCCTCCTGTCAGTACAAACTCTGAGATGTAATTTATGCTCTAGAGCTCTCCTGCAGGATGAGCAGAGGCTGGGATCCTCCCTAGAATTGTACCCTTGCTAAATGACTTCCCCTTCTCTTGTCTTGCTTCTCCATTCCCTCACTGGTATCTCCTGGGGCACTTCCTTAATAAATTCCTGATGAATTCCTGTTCAGGATTAGCTCCTCAAGACTCAGTCTAAGATACTCTCCAATAGATAGTTTAATCTATCCACATCCTCAGCAGAGCTTCTCTGCTCAGCATTGGTGACCAGCTTCAGATTGTAAACACTCTTACAGATAGTGCCCACAAACATTCCCTCAGAACACTCAAGGAAGGTGTAGATAGCAACAGTATTCTGAACTCTTTTGTATCCGAAAAAACAACTGGAATGATAATAAGCCACAATCTTCCAATGACAGCAATAAAAAGCAACCTTTTTACTTTAATAAATACATTTAGGGAGACAGACAAATTGGCTCTTTTGATAAACAAGATAATAATTCTATTTCTTCTCAGTCAACAGAAGTTAATAGCTTTCCTACTGAAACCTATTTAAGTTGACAATAAGTTGGAAACTAACCTGAGTTTGTGAAAAAGGTGTCATAATTAACTTACTCAGAACGTTTCTTGATGTATTGATTACCATTTATCATGGGCGGAGGACATTTGCCCTGAAAATTGGGAGGTACCAGGTGGCGAATTTACACAAACACAGTGAAGAGATCTGGATTCTCCTGATCTAGAGCTCAGAGACATGGTTGATGTTAGGAGAAAATTCAATCCTTACGTCCCTCTCTTTTTTCTTTTCTTTTCTTTTGTTTCCCCTCTCTCCCTCTCTCCCTCCCTCCTTCCCTCCTTCTCTCCTTCCTTCCTTCCTCCCTCTCTTCCTTCATTCCTTCCCTCCTCCCTCCCTTCCCTCCTGCTTTTCTCCCTTCCTCCCTCCCTTCCTTCCCTCCTTCTTTCCCTACTCCCTCCCTCCCTCTCTTCCTTCCTTCCTCCCTTCTTTTCTTCTTTCCCTCCTCCCTCCCTCCCTTCCTTCTTTCCTTCCTTCCTTCCTTGCCCCCCCTTTTCCTTCCTTCCTCCCTTCCTTCCTCCCTTCTTCCTCCCTCCCCACTTCTTACTTCCCTACCTCCCTTCTTCCTTTCTTTCCTCCCTTCTTCCTTTCCTTCCTCCCTCCTTTCTTTCCTCCTTCCCTCCTTCCTTCCCTTACTCCCTGCTTCCTTCCTTCCCTCCCTCCCTCCTTCCTTCCTTCCCTCCCTCCCTTCTTCCTCCCTCCCTTCCTGCCTTTCTCTGTTTCTTTCTATAGCGGAAACCACTCAGACTGCATCATCCTCTCCCTCTGACTCTCCACAATCACGAATGGCAAATAGCAGTTGCAGGAAAGCAGCGCCAAGAGCCAGCTTCACACTCAGGAGAGAACCCTGTGCCTCTTCCTCATGTTTCTGGTGCTCTACACATTCAGAGGAACTTCCCTAGTGACAAACTATAGAAATGATCCCTGAAAATATAATCTTCATTTTACATTTCTTAATGCAGGGGTCCCCAACCCGAGGAAACAGTCCACACAGTAAGCCCCACAGAAACAGGGGGCAAGCCAGCATTACCGCCTCAGCTCCACTTCCTGTCAGATCAGCTGGGCATTAGATTTTCATAGAAGCAGGAACCCTATTGTGAACTGCACATGCGAGGGATCTAGGTTGCCTGATTCTTATGAAAATCTAATGCCTGATGACCCGAGGTGGAACAGTTTCATCCCAAAACCTTTCCCCCACCCCCACTCCGTGGAAAAATTGTCTTCCACGAAACTGGTCCCTGGTACCAAAAAGGTTGGGGACGCTGCCTTAATAAAAGTTTTTTTAATCTGACTGGCCCCAGTCAAATTTACATTCTGTGAGAATGTAAATAGACTTCACATGAGGAAACAGTTCTGTTTATTTAATCTGCAGGACTTCTCAGAACCTTTATTTTGCTGATGTATGGTGCAAGTCTCTCAATGCTACATTTTCCAAACTTAGTGGTTGTAACATCTTTTTTTTCACAACATCTCTGCTGCTGTAGACAAGATTGTAAACTAGTCAGATTTCTCTTTGCCTTCCTCCACTTTATTTCTTTATCTCCCCTTTGATTCCTTACCTGAATCATCTTGTATGAAAATAAGTATGAGAAATATAGGTGTCTATTAATTAATATCTTATTCATCTATTATTGTGAACTCAGGCATCTGCTCTATAGAAACTCAGAATGTATTTCTTGGGAGGAATGCAGTCGATTGCACTCCAAAATGGCCTATGCTTCTTTGTTCTTCCATGCATGTCTATCTCTGTCTCCAACTAGATCAGAAGACCCTGGAGAACTGAGTAGAAGTTAAAATGTTTTGAATGAAATTAAACACTGATATTAATATTCAATTAGTTCAATTAACGTTATAGGTCTAAAACTTACCAAGCATTCCCACCAAAAAGAAAATTTGTCAATAACTTTGGGAAATAGTCTTAAAATATAAGATTTTAGCATTTGCTGTTTAGTGTCCGTGGGACAATCCTCCTAGAGAGCGCTTATCACTACATCATATATGTATGTGTTGATCTCTCTCTCTCTTCTCTTTCTCTCTCTCTCTCTTTATCTACAGGCATACCCCATTTTATTGGTGCTTTGATTTATTGTACTTCACCAGTATTAGTTTTTTTTTTTTAAACAAATTAATGGTTTGTGGCAACCCTACTTGAGCAAATCTATCGGCACCACTTTCCCAAAAGCATGTACTCACATCATGTCTCTGTAGCTCTCTCGATTTCAAACTTTTTCATTACGATTATATCTTTGATGGTGATCTGTGATCGGTGATCTTTGATGTTACTATTGTAATTGTTTTGGGGTGTCACAAACTGTGCCCATATAAGAAGGTGTACTGAATTGATAAATGTTCATGTTCTGATTGCTCCACCGACTGGCTGTTTCCCCATCTCTCTTGCTTTCCTTAGGCTTCACTATTTTCTGAGACACTACAATATTGAAATTAGGCCAATTAATAAACCTACTATGGCTTCTAAGTATTCAAGTGAAAGAAAGAGTCACATGTCTGTCACTTTCAATCAAAAGCTAGGAATGATTTAGCTCAGTAAAGAAGGCATGTTGAAAGCTGAAACAGGCTGGGCCTCTTGTGCCAAATAGTTAACCAAATTGTGAATGTAAACAAGAAGCTCTTGAAGGAGATTTAAAGTGCTTCTCCAGTTAACATATGAATAATAAGAAAGCCAAACAGTCTTATTCCTGATATGGAGAAAGTTTTAGTGGTCTGGATAGAAGATCAAACAGCTAGAACATTCCCTTAAACCAAAGTCTAATCCAGAGCAAGGCCCTAAATCTCTTCAATTCCAGAAAAACTGAGAGAGGTGAGGCAGCTGCAGAAGAAAACTCTGGAGATAGTAGAGGTTAGTTCCTGAAGTTTAAGAAAATAAGCCATCTTCATAATATAAAAGTGCAAAGTGAAGCAGCAAGTGCTGATCAGAAGCTGCAGCAAGTTATCCAGATCTTGCTAAGATCATTGAAGAAAGTGGCTACAATAAATAAAAGATGTTCAGTGTAGATCTAATAGCCTTCTGTTGGAAGGAGATGTCATCTAGGACTTCCATAGGTGGAGTGGAGAAGTCAATGGCCAGCTTTATAGCTTCAAAGGACAGGCTAGCTCTCTTGTTAGAAGCTAATGCAGCTGGTAACTTTAAGCTTAAGCCAATGCTCCTTTACTGTTCCAAAATTCTAGGGCTCTTAAGAATTAGGCTAAATCTACTCTGTCTATGCTCTATAGATGAAACAACAAAGTCTGGATGACAACACATCTGTTTGCAGAATGGTTTACTGAATGTTTTAAGCCCACTGTTGAGAATTTCTGCTTAGAAAAAATGGTTCCTTTCAAACTATTACTGCTCATTGACAATGCATGTGGTCACCCAAGAGCTCTGCCGAAGATGTACAAGGAGATAAATACTGTTTTCATGCCTGCTAACACAACATCCATTCTGCAGCCCATGGATCAAGAACTAATTTTGACTTTCAAGCCTTACTTAAGAAATACATTTAATAAGGCTATAGCTGCCATAGACAGCAATTCCTCTGATGGATCTGGGCAAAGTAAACAAAACCTTTCTGGAAAGAATTCACCAGTCTTGATGAAATTAAGAATATTTGTGGTTCATGGGAGGAGGCCAAAATATCAATATTAACAGGAATTTGGAAGAATGAGATTACAAGCCTCATGGAGGACTTTCAGGGATTCAAGATTTCGGTGGAGACAGTCACTGTAGTTGTGAAAATACAAAAGAGCTAGACTTAGAAGTGGAGCCTAAAGATGTTACTAAATTGCTGCAATCTCATTATAAAACTTAACAACTGAAGACTTGCTTCTCATGGATAAGCCAAGAAAGTGGTTTCTTGAGATAGAATCAACTTCTGGTGAAGATGCTATGAACATTGTTCAAATGACAGCAAAGGATTTAGAATATGAAATAAACGTTGTTAATAAAGCAGCAGCGCAGTTTAGGAGGATTGACTCTAGGTTTGAAAGTTCTTCTGTGGGTACAATGCTATCAGACAACATTTTATGCTATAGAGAAATCTTTCACAAAAGGAAAAATACATCAATGTGGCAAACTTCATTTTTGTCTTATTTTAAAAATTTCCCACAGCCACCCCAGGCTTCAACAACCACAGCCCTTATCAGCCTGTGGTTATCAACACTGAGGCAAGACCCTTTATAAGCAAAGAGATAATGGAGATAATGAAGGCTCAGATGATTTTTTTAAGCAGTAAACTATTTTTAATTGAGGTATATGCATTGTTATTTAGACATAATGCTATTGCACATTATTAGAATACGGTATAGTATAAACATAACTTTTAAATGCCCTGGGAAACTAAAACCTTATGTGACATGTTTTATTGCAATATTTGCTTGATTGCAGTGGTCTGGAACTGGACCTGCACGATCCCTTAGGTGTGGCTGTATACTGTATATCAATTATTTCTTCCCTCTAGAATGTAGGCTCCAAAGATTAAAGGCTTCATTTTGCTTGCTGCCATATCCTCAGTACCAGGCACATATCAGATGCTTTGATGTGTACCATTGAAAAGAAGGAAGGAAGAAAGAAAGGAAGGGAGGGAAGGAGAGAGGGAAGGAGGGAAGAAGGCAGGAATCCAGTGTATACACATGCTCATGGTACTTTTTTGCTTTTTGCCAGAGTGTAGCTGCTACCTTACACTCATATATAAAACACAAGGAGGTCATTAAATAGTGTCATAAGTGGTCTTCAGGAACTGAGTGGTTTGGGGGTTAGGATAATTCTCTTGGAAGAATAATGATAAGGCACTAAGTATGTGTTGGAAGCTGTGGTGAATATTTATTTTGGCCAGCTCAGTTGAAACATATTTATTAAAACAGAGTTTCATTGATACTAATTCTATTCAACATGGAAGCAAACAGGATAATAAGAGATGAGTTAGGTTCTAGTTTGGGGAACCAGAGGACTGGGACTTGGGGTGGGGGGCTGACTGGTGGCAGTAGAGGGGAAATGTTATTATCGGGAAGAAGTTTCAAGATGTTCCAGGCATTTACAACATTCTTATTTCCCAAAATACCCAGAAAATCAGGTCAAGTAAGACATTCTGGCCCTTCCTTCCTATAAGAACATACTTCTTACTTTTTAAAGAAAGTCTGTGAAAAGCAAAAAAGGGACCTTTTTACCAGAGCTGACTGTAATGTCAGCTACTTGCGGAATGTGACAACTGCTTGTCATTCTCAATGTCCGATCACCAGAAGGTTTCTCCCCAATCATGGATTCATGTAAGAACTTGGCTCTAAATGTTTCCAACACTAAAATTGTCTTTTCCAATAATTCATTTTTTTTATTGAGTACACTAATCTTCCTTTCTTCGAACTTAGAAGACTCTTCTTTGACCTTTGCCTCCCTTCATTGCTATGCTCAGCCTACAGTCACATCCTAATAATTTCTTCCTCATTATGCCTCTTCTTTCACCTCAAATGACTTAACCCCATCATTCAAGGGCAGGTCCCCATCACTGGTCATCTAGATAGCTCTGACAACCTGCTAGCTGTCTCCAGCCTAAGTGAGGATACTGTATCCTCAGTACCAGGCACATATCAGGTTGCAAACCCAGATTTCTTTGGGGGACTCTCAGTAGAGAGAAAACTATAGAGATATAGAGGGCTCCATTATAAGTAAAATCAGCTGGGAATAAATGTTTTCAATGTAGCTTACTCAGGAGACCCTTTGTTTTTCTCAAGGAGCACTCAGAGTTTTCATTACGTAGTTATTGTACCAGGGTGCTCAGTGAGGAAGAATTCAACACAGAAATTTTTTCAGATATATATATATATATATATATATATATATATATATATATATATATACACACATGTAGGCAGAAACATGGGGTCACCTGAGAAAATATTATTTTCTGTTCTGCTGTATACTTATGGAAATCTGGCACCCTTATACTGGAAAAAAGCTGTATGGTACATTGTATTTTTTGTTTACAATTCCATCTCTCCATGGCCTTGGTATGTCTTCCTTATGGGAGCACTTTGCTTCCAACCCTTTTGATGTGGGGTTTGACCATGTGACTGTCTATAATGACAGCTCTGCATAGAGGCTTCAAAAGACCTGCCATGTTGCAGCTTGCCTTCTTGAGTCCACCATGAGAAGAGGATGCCCCACACAGCTATGGCTCATTCAACTCATTCCCAGAGTGAAAATATGAGGAGCAAACCTGAAACTGACACAAGCCTAGAGTCCAGCCCAGCCCAGCCGATTGACCTACGGCTGATCCATGGACCTATAAACAAATGAACATGTATTTCAGATCACTGTGTTATAGGTATGTGTGTTACGGAAAATCATGGCAGAACGCATGAATACAGGTTATAAGGGGAATATGTGCCGCTTTATGTGCGGGGCCAACCTAACGCTGCTTTGCCCTTAAAAAGGACTTTTCTGCCCCTCATTTTAGTTTTCACCCCACTGTTATTATTATTATCTTGAGATGGAGTCTTGCTGTGTCACCCAGGCTGGAGTGCAGTGGCTCGATCTCGGCTCACTGCAACCTCCGCCTCCCGGGTTCAAGTGATTCTCCTGCCTCAGCCTCCCAAGTAGCTGGGATTACAGATGTGCATAACCATACCTGGCTAACTTTTGTATTTTCAGTAGCGACTGAGTTTCACTATGTTGGCCAGGCTGGTCTTGAACTCCTGACCTCAGGTGATCCGCCTGCCTCGGCCTCCCAAAGTGCTGAGCCACCATGCCCGGCCTCATCCCACAGTTCTGATTTCTGCTCTTTGCTCTTGTGTTATACTAACATCACATGGAGCACTGTAAGCGATCTGCAAAATGATCAGAGTTATACCAAAGAGTTGGATTGGGAATAAAATAGGTTAATCCTGGACAGAAGAGAAATTCTGTCACAGGTGAGGACATTGATCACATTTTTTAAGTGGGTTAGGTGAGAAATAAATTTAAATCATCCAATTGACAATGGCTATCACTGGCAGAAATTATCAATACAAAATCAACTTGACAGTGGTGGCAACTTCACATTATAACATTTGCTCTACAGGAAAAACTAAAAAAAAATATAAAGGAAGTCTTATTCCTATTAGATTTAATAGGAATAATCAGTAGAAAATAAGACAATGACAAATGGAATAAAAATTGACCCAAGAATCAAATCATCTCAAGGAATACTAATGTGAAATGACAGCCTTGGAAAAATTGGACTTGCTATGAATAAGGACCGCAGGAACAATGAGAACACATGGACACAGGAAGGGTAACATTACACACCGGGGACTGTTGTGGGGTTGGGGGAGAGGGGAGGGATAGCATTAGGAGATATACCTAATGCTAAATGACAAGTTAATGAGTGCAGCACACCAACATGGCACATGTATACATATGTAACAAACCTGCACGTTGTGCACATGTACCCTAAAACTTAAAGTATAATGATAATAAAATTTAAAAAAAAAAAAGGAAGATACTCTCAATAGGGAAACTGTGATTTGAGGATCTAGACCACCATGGCACATTCCTGCAGTGTTTTCCCTGTGGATTCCATGTCCCCTTGGCCATCAGCATGTGTGCTGTGGACCTGATCCCCACCTCCAGCCTGGCTGCCTCCTTGGAGTGGAGAAAGTTCTCTGAGGTGGCCAAGAGAGGAAATGGGACAACACTGATGTCTCCAGCAAGTGCAGCACCCACCAGTGGGCCCCGGCTGCCAGTGCTCTCCTGGTATAGCTTTGGATCTTGTATCCAGGGTGAGTCCATGCATCCAGTTCAAAGGGCTACCCTCTCCCTTCCAGGTAGGTTTCATTTCATGAGGCCACACTTCAGAGTGTGGTGAAGGCAAAGCATCCGTGTGCTTTCTATGTCCAGCTCCATCAGTGGGATTTCCTCAAATTCTGGCATTTTATTGACAGAGGTTACCTCCTGAAAAGGTGTTACCATTTTATATCAGAGCTTTCTGAAACAGTGCAATTACTCTTTGTAAGGAACTGTTGCCTTGTCTGGCATATATGTTAGCATGCATGTGTGTGTGAAAGCACATGAACTCTTTATGTGTGTGTATGTCAGCATGTGGATGTGTGTATTTATCTGTGTGCATTTATGTGTGAATGTAGGTGCATTTGAGGGTGTATGAGTGTGTGAATATGATTATGATTTTCAGTGTTTGCCGGTGAGTGTGTGTAGGAGTGTATATACTTATGCATGAGTGTTTCCATATTGTATGTATATGTATGTGTGAGTATACTGGGTGTGTGTGTATATGTGTGTTTTTGTGCATTCTGATGAGAACTTTTTCAATTAGAATACACACTACTTGTTTTGGTCATTAATATCATTTATTGTATTCATCTTTTGGGGAGTTTAGCACTTTTTGTTTTATTTTTTATTTTATTTCATTTATTTATTTATTGAGACAGAGTCTTGCTCTGTTGCCTAGGTGAAGTGGGTGTGATCTCGGCTCACTGCAACCTCTGCCTCCCGGGTTCCAGTGATTCTCCCACCTCAGCCTCCTGAGTAGCTGGGATTAAAGGCACCCACCATCATGCCCGGCTAATTTTTGTATTTTTGTAGAGATGGGGTTTCACCATGTTGGCCAGGCTGGTCTTGAACTCCTGGTCTCAGGTCATCCACCTGCCTCAGCCTTCCCAAGTGCTGGGATTACAGGCGTAAGCTACCGCGCCCAGTTGGCACTTTTTGTTTTAATCATACCCCACCACTTTCTTCAATGAGCATCCCTATTTTTTCTCTACTGGATTCTTTTTTCTTAAATGTTTTTAATATCTTTGAAATCTCTCAACAATTTGTTTCCCTTCTAAATATTTCCACTACTTTTCAAAATTTCCCTTATTAATCCTCTTGTATTCTATAAATTTTACTGGCTCACTTTCCTTTCAGAGAATTAAAGCTGATTAGACTTTAGGAACTGGGAGAAAAGTGGGGGATATTTGTTCACTTGTTCATTTAGTAAATATTAATGGAGCAACTGCCAAATGAGATGTACTGTTTTAAACACTACAACTATAGTTGTAAATAAGATTCACCTTTCTGAGACTTACATTTTAAGGCCATTCCAAGCAGAGGGAACAGCATGTGCAAAGATACAGTTGTCTGCCCAGTAAAGGCCTGGTTACCAAGCTAAGGGATTGTGTCACACTGTCATTTTGCTGCATTGTATTGGTTATGCATGTCACAGGCACAGACCAGGTACAAGAGGAGAGAACACACAAAAGCAGGAATACCACGAGGTGCAGTTCGTTGTGGACACCAATGTGACAGACATTTGCTCATACCATGCACCAGACAAATATGCTAAGTTGTGAGGTACGCCTGCCCTTCAAGAGACTGAAGGATCCTGAGGGACTGAGGGATCGAGAGGGGAATTCATTCCAATGTCGCACCAGGAACTAAGTGAAGATGTCTGGTGAGCAGTGACATGCATGCTACAGAAGCATTCGGGAAAGATCAGTACTGACAAGAAGGGGCCTGTTGGTCCATAAAAAGCTGCTGAAGTCACAGATTGACCATGGTTGTTCCAGGAGTGAGAGGAGGATGGAAGATCAAAGCCTAAGAAACACAGACATTTAAAGAACAGACTATTCCACAAAGACCATGAAGCAGAGTTGCGGGATTAAAAACCAAGAGAGGAGAATGGATAAATACATTGTAGGTGTTAAAAATTGAGAAATAGAAATTACACACACACACACACACACACACACGTAGTATACGACATCATGCTCTGAAATATGCATACATTGTGGAAGGTATCAGTTGAGCTAATTAACATATGCATTACCTCAACTACTTATTTTTTTGTGGTGAGAACACTTAAAACTCACTCTCTTTTAAATTTTAAAAACACAATACAGTGTTATTTATGACAGCCACCATGTTGTACCACAGATCTCTTGAACGTATTCCTCCATCTAACTAAATGTTTTTCTCCTCGGCCCTCCCCACTAACCCCAGCCTCTGGTAACCGACATTCTACTCTCCACTTCCATGGGATAAACTTTTTTAGATTATACATATAAGTGAGACCATGTGGTATTTGTCTTTCTGTGCCTAACTTATTTCACTTAACATAAAGTCCTCCAGATTTATCCACATTGTGGCAAATGACAGAATTTTCTTCTTTGCTAAGGCTTAATATTATAGTATTCTACTGTGTACATCTACCACATTTTATTTTTCCATTCATCCATCAACGGACACTTAGGTTGATTCCTTGTCTTAGCTATTGTGAGTAATGCTGCAATGAACATGGGAGAGTACAGATATCTCTTTAACATATTGATTTCATTTTCTTTGGATATATACCCAGTAGTAGAATTTCTAGGTAATAGGCCAGTTATATTTTTAATTTTTAAAGGACCTCTGTACTATCTTCCATAATGGCTATCCAAATTTACATTCCCACTAACAGTGTATGAGTTCTCTTTTCTCCACATCTTCCCCAACACTTGTTATCTTCTTATTTTTTAAAAAATAATAGCCATCCTGAGACTTTGCTGAAGTTGCTTATCAGCTTAAGGAGATTTTGGGCTGAGACAATGGGGTTTTCTAGATATACAATCATGTCATCTGCAAACAGGGACAATTTGACTTCCTCTTTTCCTAATTGAATACCCTTTATTTCCTTCTCCAGCCTAATTGCCCTGGCCAGAACTTCCAACACTATGTTGAATAGGAGTGGTGAGAGAGGGCATCCCTGTCTTGTGCCAGTTTTCAAAGGGAATTCTTCTAGTTTTTGCCCATTCAGTATGATATTGGCAGTGGGTTTGTCATAGATTAGCTCTTATTATTTTGAGATACGTCCCATCAATACCTAATTTATGGAGAGTTTTTAGCATGAAGGGCTGTTGAATTTTGTCAAAGACTCCCATTTACAATTGCTTCAAAGAGAATAAAATACCTAGGAATCCAACTTACAACGGATGTGAAGGACCTCTTCAAGGAGAACTACAAACCACTGCTCAATGAAATAAAAGAGGATACAAAGAAATGGAAGAACATTCCATGCTCATGGGTAGGAAGAATCAATATTCTGAAAATGGCCATACTGCCCCAGGTAATTTATAGATTCAATGCCATCCCCATCAAGCTACCAATGACTTTCTTCACAGAATGGGAAAAAACTACTTTAAAGTTCATATGGAACCAAAAAAGAGCCCACATCTCCAAGTCAATCCTAAGCCAAAAGAACAAAGCTGGAGGCATCACACTACCTGACTTCAAACTATACTACAAGGCTACAGTAACCAAAACAGCATGGTACTGGTACCAAAACAGAGTTATAGATCAATGGAACAGAACAGAGCCCTCAGAAATAATGCTGCATATCTACAACTATCTGATCTTTGACAAACCTGAGAAAAACAAGAAATGGGGAAAGGATTCCCTATTTAATAAATGGTGCTGGGAAAACTGGCTAGCCATATGTAGAAAGCTGAAACTGGATCCCTTCCTTACACCTTATACAAAAATTAATTCAAGATGGATTAAAGACTTAAATGTTAGACCTAAAACCATAAAAACCCTAGAAGAAAACCTAGGCATTACCATTCAGGACATAGGCATGGGCAAGGACTTCATGCCTAAAACACCAAAAGCAATGGCAACAAAAGCCAAAATTGACAAATGGGATCTAATTAAACTAAAGAGCTTCTGCACAGCAAAAGAAACTACCATCAGAGTGAACAGGCAACCTACAAAATGGGAGAAAATTTTCGCAACCTACTCATCTGACAAAGGGCTAATATCCAGAATCTACAATGAACTCAAACAAATTTACAAGAAAAAACAAACAACCCCATCAAAAGGTGGGCAAAGGACATGAACAGACACGTCTCAAAAGAAGACATTTATGCAGCCAAAAAACACATGAAAAAATGCTCACCATCACTGGCCATCAGAGAAATGCAAATCAAAACCACAATGAGATACCATCTCACACCAGTTAGAATGGCGATAATTAAAAAGTCAGGAAACAACAGGTGCTGGAGAGGATGTGGAGAAATAGGAACACTTTTACACTGTTGGTGGGACTGTAAACTAGTTCAACCATTGTGGAAGTCAGTGTGGCGATTCCTCAGGGATCTAGAACTAGAAATACCATTTGACCCAGCCATCCCATTATTGGGTATATACCCAAAGGACTATAAATCATGCTGCTATAAAGACACATGCACACGTATGTTTATTGCGGCACTATTCACAATAGCAAAGACTTGGAACCAACCCAAATGTCCAACAATGATAGACTGGATTAAGAAAATGTGGCACATATACACCATGGAATACTATGCAGCCATAAAAAATGATGAGTTCATGTCCTTTGTAGGGACATGGATGAAATTGGAAATCATCATTCTCAGTAAACTATCGCAAGGACAAAAAACCAAACACCGCATGTTCTCACTCATAGGTGGGAATTGAACAATGAGAACACATGGACACAGGAAGGGGAACCTCACACTCTGGGGACTGTTGTGGGGTGAGGGGAGGGGGGAGGGATAGCATTAGGCGATATACCTAATGCTAAATGATGAGTTAATGGATGCAGCACACCAGCATGGCACATGTATACATATGTAACTAACCTGCACATTGTGCACATGTACCCTAAAACTTAAAGTATAATAACAATAAAATAAAAAATAAAAAAATAAAAAATAAAAAATAATAGCCATCCTAACATGTGTGAGGTGATAGCTCATTGTGGTTTTAATTTGCATTTCCTGGCAGTGCTACTGAACACTTTTTAAAACATACCAGTTGAACATCTGTATGTTTTCTTTTGAAAAGTGTCTCTTCAGGTCCTCTGCCCATTTTTAAATTGGGTTATTTGTTTTATTGCTATTGAGTTATTTGAGTTCTTATATATTTTGTATATTAACCCCTTATCAGATGCATGGTTTACAAATGTTTTCTCCTATTCCATAGGTTATCTCTTTACTCTGCTTATTATTTCCTTAGCTGTGCAAAAGCTTTTTAGTTTGGTGCAATTTAATTTGCCTATTTTTTGCTTTCATTGCCTGTGCTTTTGGGTTGACATTCAAAAGTCATTGCACAGATAAATGTCATGGAGATTTCCCCCTATGTTTTCTTGTAGTAGTTTTATATTTTATACTCCCTCACGAATGGGATTAATGCCCTTATAAAAAAGGCTTCAGAGAGCTGTCTGGCTCTGCCATCTTTTCTGCCATGTGAGGACACAGAATTCAGCCCTTTTTACCCTTCCCTTCATGAATCTTGCTGTCTCACCCAGGTTGAAGTGCAGTGGCATGATCATAGCTCACTGTAGCCTCAACCTCTCGGGCTCAAGCAATCATCCTGCCTCAGCCTACCAAATAGCTAGGACAGTAGACACAGGTGTGCACCAGCATGCCTAGCTAATTTTTAAAATTTTTTTGTAGAGATGGGGTCTTGCTATTTTGCCCAGGCTGGTTTCAAACTGTTGGCTTCAAGCTATTCTCCTGCCTCAGCCTCCCAAAGTGCTGGGATTAAAGGTGGGGGCCACCATGCCCAGCCAAATTTACCTTCTTTGAAATATTTCTTTACCCAGTGTCAGGTATTACGTTATAGCAACCAGAACAGACTGAGACAAAGTCGGTGCTCACGTCCCTCCCATCCCCATGCTTAGGGGATCTCTCTCTCAGGCAGTGCTGCTTGGGGTTAGCGGAGGGGTGATGCAGATAATGTGAAACTGTTCTTTCTATCCTCTTCAATGCATCTTTTCTTATTTCTGTGCTATACTCAGGTGTTGTAATCTCTCATCTGGTTTCCCTGGCTCTTGTGAAGGTATTTTAATGAATGGATTGTTGTTTAAATTGATGTTTCTACGGAGGGTGGCTGCTGGAATGTCCTATTCTGCCATCTTGCTGATGTCAGCCTCAATAAATTGTAGTTATTCAAGAATGGAATACTACTCAGCAACAAATGATCTACTGATACACACAGCAACATGGAGGAACCTCTAGAATGAGCACATTTAATCTAGGTGGGTTTCTGTCAGAATAGTAATTGTTTTTATGGGGTCGAGGGGGGAATTTTCTTGAGGAAGGAGCACAGCTAACTTCTGGAGGGAAGGAAATGTTTTGTATCTTGATTTGAGTGGTGATTACAGGAGTGTATATATTTGTCAAAAAATCAAACTATACATTTAAAATCTATGCATTCATATTATACAAATGATACCTTAATAAAACAACACAAAACATGAAACAAAAACAATATATACTATACTGCCTCTATTGAGAGATGTTTTAGCAATCTCCAGGTTTTCACAACCAAAAATGACCCTGAAGTAAAGAAACACTTGGGCAAGAGCACTTATTTGCCTCCCTAAGTATTTCCTAAAGATAGATCCATAGATGGGAGACTAAATGTTCCAAATTCATGAGCACTTTTAAAGATCTTGATCTTATTTGCTTTTAGCGGATTTGTTAATACCTACCCCATCCTCTTTCCTTCCCTCCATCTCTCTTCCTTTCCTCTTTCCTGCCCTCTAGCTTCTTCTTCCTCCCACTCCTCATGTATATAATATACATTATATACATATATGTCTTTTTTGATGGATCACCCTTTGCAATAGCATTATTTTCTTTTGGTTTGTGTTTCTTTGTAACAACACCACACTGCTTTAAATACTATTGGTTTCTGGAAAGCTTTGATACCTGTAACACCTTTTAAATCAGATCAAAGTATCATATTACACTACTGAAGAGACCATTCGAAGTCTTGATTGCTATTTTTTAAAAATGGAAGTATAATAAGGTTTGTGAATAGCCCTAAAATTGTGCTTAAGGTTTGCCTGAAGCTTACAAATTTCGAAATGCTTCCAAAGATGTTAAATAATTGCACAAGTGTAGTGGAACATTATTTAAGCCTAAGTCCTTCCAGCACCAGCATGTGAAATGTGCATTTTCCATCTCACTTGGTCCATGCGACTTAGAGTGCATTCCATGAGCCAGTAATGTTGGCATCACCTGGAAGCTTGTTAGAAATGCAGAATCTCACACTGTACCCAGACTTACTGAATCAAGCTGGCATTTTTACAAGATTCCAAGATGATGCATATAAGTAGTAAAATTCAATACTTAAAGCCCTCTGTGGTTGCCAATTCTGTGTGCATTAAAAACCTCTGGAGATATTTCCAAAATGTAGAACAGGGATAAAGTGTGGATTTTTGGTGAGGCCAGGCAGGTAGATAGGATTCCACTATGACCAGGGAGAAAGTCCACACACAGGGAAGAGCTGAGGATGTCTAGATGCTAAATGTAGTATAGTACCTAGTAATAACTAATACAGTAGTCCAAAGAAGCAGGGAAGATTCCAACCTAGAACCCATGATCAAGTCAGAAGGAGGGAATATGACCCAAGAGAAGCGATTATGGGGAGGGAAATTGCCTTCTGAATATCTATCCATTTTCTGGTTGTTTGTGGTTGCTAACGAGATTGAAACATTCTCCTCTGAGTTCTGCACAATCAAGCAGCCTGCATGAGACTGGATCCTTATCATAAAAAATCTCCATATTTTCCTTTCCACCTTGCATCCTTCATTCACAGGTAATCCTTGCAAATTCTAACTCATCTAAAAGATAAATTCCCAATGAAAGGAATTAGGACAGCATAGTTAGTCTTCCTATATTATAGATGTGAAAACAAAAACACCAGAATTTTATTAGCTTCCTAATTTTAATAGAAAACTAGGCTATAAGGTTGACCCTAGTTTCTGAATTTATTGATCAAAATTCCAGGTACTTACGGTGAGTATACACTAGCAATCTTTTTTGAAGTTTAGAGTTTATATCAAACCAATATTCCTACAGCCTCTCATCACCAAGTAACCTTCAAAAGTGCTGTTCAAAATAACAATATTAGTTGGGTTGTTTTGGGCACATTGCATTGAATATAATTTTGATGGCATAATACTGCACCAAGTAAATGGCACAACTGAATTAAAATAATAAGCTGTGAGTGTGAATTGTGTTTGGCAATGGTAAGCTATAACAGCTCATGTGTTGATATATCATTAGTTTAAAATGATTAATTTTGCATTCCCTAAGGTAAAATGGCAAAATGATGCTGTATACAAACTCTTTATTTTTTACACCTACAGTTTGTACAAAGATTGAAAATATCAAGACAGGTGACCAGCAGAAGTTCAATGAGAAAACAGGACAAAACTTTACACTCTATTATTTGAAAAATGGCAATGCTAGAAGTGATTGCTAGAATACTAGAATGGCAATGCTAGATCCCGCCATAGCCTAGTGCTCCTAACCCACCCCAAAACATGGTGGAGGAATGAAGTTTTGTGGGAAAAAAATATTTAGAAATGTGCTCAAATTTTGAGAAGACTGAATAAGAAAGATGTGTAGGTAGTCCAGAAATAAATGAAACATCTGTGAAAATAAATGCTCCATCCACCCACTTTGAGGTCTCTACAGAGACAAAAAAAAATCTATCAATCTTTGCCATTTTGTTTCTCTCCTGCTGGGAGGAAAGGAGAAATAGGAGCCTAAATTACCCTAAACTGATTATTTCCAAATGTGAATAGGAAGCTAGCAGGGTAGAAAACTAAAGGGGAAATAAATATGCCAGAGGTGGGTAATCAGAACTCTGGGACAACTTTCCTTCACACTCTGGAAAACTCACAGTTCTCACCTGTACTTTCCCTACATATGTTGGAAGGATGTGAAATGGACTTAGAGAGAAGCGAGGGATACTGGGGAAGGGAACAACTGCAGCTCTTTGATGAAAGCGAAGGCCCTGAGGCCTGGTTTGAATTGGGAAAGGGATCTGAACTGTGCAGCTATCTATATATATCTCCTAGACCAGATTGAATGAACCTTGGCTCATAAAAGTTACAATTTCAAAAGAGAGAATAGAAACTAGAGTCTCCTACCCCCAACCCACTAAGCTATAGAAAAGTCCTCAATACACAGCCCTCCAACTGAAGGTCTGAGGGCAAGAGAAACCGGCCTCAGGGATCCAAGGAAAATTCACCAACATCATTTAAGAATAAATTGAAAGTTTTGATATAGGTTGAATTTGATCTCACTTGCAAAAATGATGAAAAAAGTCATAAATGAAAATAAAAGCCAATAGTCTATAAACACTTTAAAATCAAGACGTTCATCCCTAAAATACGAGTAGCTAAGAATTAATAAATCTATTACTATGACATATGCTACAATAAGAGTAAAATATGTATTGTATACATTATATACTATAAATAAACATGATACAAGTCAATATTAAATAGTAACAAAATAAGTCAATCAATTAAAGGAGAAAATTAAGCAAATTCAATGCCCATTTTTTGGAAAACCAAACAAAATTGCCTTATAACATACTTGACTATTACAAAATGATTTTAAAATGTATCAACCAATGCCAGGATTTTGCAAGGTAATATTTGTTAATTTAGGGGAACTTCATGTCTAGACGTTCTCCCTATTTGGGAAAATTTTCCTATTGAGTTAGTCAGTGAAAAGTTCCGTCCTTTCTCCCACATCAGAAATCCAGGGAATGAGATGTTCATTCCTTTTGCCGGTAGGTAGAGAGATTGCAGGTATATAGCCTAAGCTTAGCATTTTTTACACTTTTATCTAGGAATTTAAACCGTGAACCAGAGGCTGGGGCTGGGGCTCACACCTGTAATCCCAACACTTAGGGAGGCTCAGCCAGGTGGATAACTTGAGGTCAGGAATTAAAGACCAGCCTGGCCAATATGATGAAACCCCATCTCTACTAAAAACACCAAAATTAGCTGGGTGTGGTGCCGTGCGCCTGTAATTCAAGCTGCTCAAGAGGCTAGGGCATGAGAATCGCTTGAATCCAGAAGGTAGAGTTTGTAGTGAGCCAAGATGGTGCCACTGCACTCCAACTTGGGGACAGAGTGAGACTCTGAAATAAATAAATAAATAAATAAATAAACAATAAACCACGAGCAAGAGACAAACAGGAAAAAAAAAAAGAATGAACAATTATTTATTTTGGAAGAAACATCTGAGATGGTAGGTAGTGTCAAAGATAGCAGTGCCCAGTGGTGGAGGTCTCAGAAATGGTATAAAAGTCAGACAAATCTTGGTTTTGCATTCTCCAAGTCTGGTTTTTTAGCCTCTGCTGACTGCTGGAACTACTTGATAATCTTCCAAAAATTACTTCTTGACTAAGGTCACCAAGGCCAGTTTTTGTGGCTTGCACCTGGACTCTTGGCTGGCACTGGGACATGCTGCTTAATGGCGGGAAAACAATTAATAATTCCCATTTAAGTCAGGAAAAATACAAGATTGTATATCACCATTACTATTTTTAGCATTGTCCTGGAAGTAAAATGTAATTATACAAGAAGATTATGTTTGGTTTACATATTGAAAAGAAGGCAGAAAATTTATCATTATTTGTAGACCATCCTATTATCTACCCAGAAGATCCAGGAAAAAGAGAGGAACAAACAAAATATATCATAAGCAATAAGATAATTCAGAGAGGTTGCTGGTTACAAAATTAAAATGCAAAAATTAAAGTTCTCTAGCCACACATAGTAGCCAGCATATTTAGGACAGCAAAACAAATATACCTGTGGCCTGAGAAGATCATGTTCAGAGGTGAGCAATGCAGACACTAGTATGCTCTGTCTTATTGGGGAAGTTTCTATTGGTAAGAAATAAGAGGAGGTGATATACTGGGGGACGATCTGCTCTAACAAGCTTGAAAATATAATTGAAGTATAGATCTCATTTAAAAGAGAAACTTAGTTTTAAACTATAAGTAAACTTAATAGGATGCATAAAGTATTCTATTCTGAATAGAATGCATAAAAGTTATATTATGTGAAAATGCAGAAGAAATAGTGGAAAGTTTGCTAGAAATAATTGTCTTAATCCTCAGGTAGCATCCTCTAGAAGCACTAACTAACAACAAAATAAAACATAAACCTTTAAAATGGCAAGATCACCTGGACCAACTGCTGAAACTGAGTATCACTGGCACTGTAACAACCTGATGCCAACCTGAGCCAGTCTGAAGGAGACAGCATCTTCTATTAAGTGCTCTCACCAAAAATGGTGAGCCTAGCCAAGCCTTTTGACTTAACTTTAGGTTTACATGAAATAGCGATGAGAAAGTAAAACAACTCTTTGATAAAACAATCATATATTCCGCAGGAGACTTGGCCTGGTCTTTTCAAAAGTCAATGTCATAGACAATTTTTTTTTTTAATGGTGAGAAGCCTGTTTTGTATTAAAGAGATGGGAGGCATACAACAGTGAGTAAAATGAGTGTCTTTTGATTTGATTTTTCTTTTAAAACAAACCCAAATCTTCATCAATTGATGAATAACTAAATAAAATGTGGTATATATTCACACCGACTGATTCATGCTATAACATGGATGAACCTGGAAGATATTATGCTAAGTAAAAGAAGCCATACACAAAAGCTACATACTGTGTAGGATTCCATGGATAAAGAATGCTTAGAATAGGCAAATTCTTAGAGACAGTAAGTAGATTAGTGGTTGCCATGGATGAAGAAGGGGAAATGGGAGAGTCATTGCTAATGGGGATAGGATTTCCTTTTGTGTTAATGAAAATATTCTGGAATTAGAATTAGATAGCAGTGCTGGTTACACAACTGTGCTAAAAACCGCTAAACTGTACACCTTGAAAGGTTGACATTTACAGTGTACTTCAAAATAAATAAAAAAAGTAATGAAGCTGCAAACAATAACAAAACCCAAAAGGTTTATAAAAGGCATTTTTAAAATATGTGGGGAAATTTGAGCATAGATTGCATAGTTAACATTAAGGAAATTATGTAGGCGTGATAATGGTATTGTCGTTAATAGAACAATGTCTTTTTTAGGAGACACATGTTGATATATTTAGCACTTAAAGTATCATGATGCCTATAATTTGTTCTCAAATAGTTCAGCAAAAATATAAATGAATTAAATAAAAATTCATAAATATAAATAAAACATGGCAAATAACAATATATGTATTTAAATTGTGAGTATATGGCTTATTGTTGTACTCTTAATTTAACTTTTCAATATCTTTAAATTTTTTCATGAAGAAAGGTTTGGAGAGTGACTGAGGTACTTAAGACATCACTCAGGTTACTAGAAGGACACCCAGAAGGAACTGGTCATACGGAGATATCGAATCTATTGACATTATCTAGACTTTCAATGTCCTCCCTATGAGAATACTGTCAGCACTGTTTTTAGAACTTGAGCTTATGATAGGAAAGGTCAGCTGGAGAAATAAACATGTAAAAATAGCCAGAGAAATTTTAAAAATGAGAATGAAGAAAGTGGTCACCAACCTTATGAGCTATTAAAGCATTATATAGCTGGGTGTGGTGGCTTGCACCTGTAATACCAGCACTTTGGGAGGCTGAGGTGGGCAGATCACTTGAGGTCAGGAGTTAAAGACAAGACTGGCCAACATGGTGAAACCCTAACTCTACTAAAAATACAAAAATTAACCGGGCATGGTGACATGTGCCTGTAATCCCAGCTACTCGGGAGGCTGAAGCATGCATGAGAATCACTTGAACCCAGGAGGCAGAGGTTGCAGTGAGCCGAGATTGCATGACTGCACTCCAGCCTGGGGGACAGAGCAAGACTGTCTCACAGAAAAAAAAAAAAAGGAAAAGAAAAAAAGAAAAGAAAAACCACCATATAAATCAGTTTGATATCAGTGAAAATGGTCATTTTAGAGAATAAAATAGGAAGCTCAGAAACTGACCCAAATATATGTAGTTATCGCTTATATTTAAAGGTGGTTTTAAATATCAGTAGGAGAAGGATTATGTAATAACTTGCTCTGAACCAAATGGCTAGCTGTTTGTAAAAAGCACATGTGGATCTTTTATTCCTTATTCTAAATACATTCTAGATGCTGTAAATCTTTAAGAAATGAAACCATAAAAGATTAGCCTGCAGGTAATGGTATCATAGATTGTGTTTTCATAATTGAGTAGCAAAAACAGAGATTGAAAAATCACTACGTATCTGATATTTCCTCAGTGGAAATTGATACCATTGTTGCCATTGGGAAAACGAGTCGTGAGTCCCCAAGTTTAATGGTGCTGGGGATGTTCACTGCATTGCATTTGTTGAAGGCAGACTTTGTGGAGAAGTTTGCTGTTCTGAACATCATTGAATGAGGAACGTTACTGTTACTCCCTTGTTCAGAAAGAGAGAGAGAGTGTATTAGTCAGGGTTCTCTAAAGGGACAGAACTAAGAGGATAGATGAATATATGCAGGGGAGTCTATGAGGAGAATTGACTCACACAATCACATGGTAAAGTCCCACAATAGGCCATCTGCAAGATGAGGAGCCAGGAAGCTAGTCCGATTCCCAAAACCTCAAAAGTAGAGAAGCTGATAGTGTAGCCTTCAGTCTGTGGCCGAAGGCCTGAGAGCCCCTGGCAAACCACTGGTGTAAGTCCAAGAGTCCAAAAGCTGAAGAACTTGGAGCCTGATGCTTCAGGGCAGGAAGCATCCAGCACAGGAGACAGATGAAGACCGGAAGACTCAGCAAGTCTGCCCTTTCCGTTTTCTTCTGCCTGCTTTTATGCTGGTGGCTGATTAGGTGGTGCCCACCCAAATTGAGGGTGGGCCTGGCTCTCCCAGTCCACTGACTCAAATGTTAATCTCCTTTGGCAACACCCTCACAGACACACCCAGGAACAATACTTTGCATCCTTCAATCCAGTCAAGTTGACAGTCAATATTAACCATCACAGAGAAGGTCTCACTTTGGGCCAGGGGTAGGAAAGGGCAGCCTGTAGCTAGAGATGCTTGTCCAGATAGTTCAAGGTCAGCAGAGCTTTGTGAGCAAGTGTACGTGGTTTCAAAGGCAAAAATGAGTATCTGACACCCAGCATTTCGCAGCCTTCAAGGGACATGCTGGGGACCTGCATACTTAGGCGAGTTACAATAATAATGCCACTTTCTTACTTCTGAGTTGCACTGTGAACATGGAAATTGATCCTAAGAATGAGCCCTCTCTATCTTTGGTTTTAGGATAAATCCAATGTTTGTTCCAAAGGTTTCTCCAAATCCTGGAGAAGCTTATATTCTCTTGTCATTTCTGTGTCGGGCAGGCTTTACTGAAAACTTGGGAAGCAGAGGGATTTTAAATGCCCAAATAATTAATTGTCCTAACCCCAAGACTTGAAAGGTCACAAAAGTCACATCCCCCTGGTTGTTTCAGGTCTCTATCCTCTGACTTTCCTTGAAACTCAACTCCTCTCTTTCCAGTATGCAGCACAGTCTAGATAGGACAGCTCCTACTCAGCCTAAGGGTGACTTTTGCACATTCCAAACCTGATGTCCTGACCAAAAAACAGAAAGAAAGAAAGAAAGAAAGAAAGAAAGAAAGAAAGAAAGAAAGAAAGAAAGAAAGAAAGCCAGTTGCTAGCTTTTAGCAGTACCAAAAATAAAATTAGAGAAATCTTCAGAAACTTATTTTCTTTTCTTCCTGCTCCACACCCCTCCACCCCATTCTCTGTAAGTGAAAGGGAAGGGGAGAGGGAAAAACAGGTTCATTTTTTACCACACATTAAAATTTTGCCACAAACTTTTAGGAGGCAGAATTTTTGTTTTAAATAGATTTCTTTTTCTGTATCACATCACTATTCTCATTCACACACTTAGGGTTATTGAAACGGAAATAGATACTTCTGCCCCAATATCCATTCTTCCCTTCTTTCTCAAAAAGAGAAGCTCAACATTTTAGCTCAGCTTACCTACCAAGAATAAAAACATTTCTCTGGTCTACTTTAGAGTTGGGTGTTACTGTGTGACTGTTTTCCGGCAAATGGGACAAGCTACGCAAAAACACCTTGTGACTTCGGGGGAGTACATTTAATGGAAAGGATGAGCACTAATTTGCTCCTTTCTCCATCTGCTATTTAAAACATCACTGTGATGGCTGGAGATCTAGAAGCCATCTTGGAACATGAGTTGGAGTCAGCGTGCTGATGATGACAGCATAGCACAAAAAGGACTGAGTCCTTGGGAAACCATGAAGCTGCTTGCCCTGAAATGCTTCCCTCCAGACTCTATCTTTATGGAATAGAAACAAATTCTATTTTGCTTATGTCACTGTCATGTTGCATTTTCTGTCATTTGCAACCAATTTATTAATAATTTATATGTCTTTAACTATGCTGGTTTGTTTGTTGTTTTGGCCTGCAAGTCTTTATTTTCTCACGAATACATTGTATCCTACCAAGACTCTTACAGAAAAGTAACCTCCATACTGAAGGTTGCCCTTCTTATAGCTCTAAGAGGACATTCATTTCCAAGCTCCTAAAGCAATTACAGTATACACATCAGTAGGTGTTCAGCTGCAAGCAAGAAAATTCCTCACTCAAACTACCCGAACCAAAAAACAACTTGGTCATAAGTTGATGTGAAATTCAGATGCCCAGCAGGTTGCTCAATTCAGTGGCTCCATTATGTCCAGATGGACCCAGGTTCTTTTCCTCTCTTTATTCTCCCATATTCATTGTCAGCCTCAGCCTCAAGATGGTGCCCAGATGCACTTCTAGGCATCATATCTAGTCACTGTCATGTCCATAGAAGTAGAGAGACTTTGTGTTTCTTTCACGAAACAAGGTTCCTCCAGTTGACCAAATTGGGTCACATACCAGAAACTCATTGTCAAAGATAAGGGATTATCCCTAGAGGATCTGGAACTAGGGCAGTGACAAAGGGTTGCATATGAAGAACTAGATAAAGTCCCATCTGGATGAAATTTGGGTATCTAAGCAATTTAGGACTCTTTCAGTAAAGGATGGATGTCAGGCAGACAATCAAGGGCAGCCACCAGAAATATGAACCAACTACACAATTATATTACTTCTTGATCATTAATATAAAATCTTTATGTTAAGTCCAAAGATAGGAAGAGAAATACAACTCTACTTCACCTATTATTCATCTTATAAAGTAACCTTCAGTAATACAGTTGAGACCCTCTCTCTAATTGCATCCACTTTCCCTTCCTCATACACAGATGCCTACTCTTCAATATTTAATGTTTATAATGTCTATGTATTTATATAAGAATTAAGTATATGCTTGTATCTCTAAGAAACATTTGGGATTACCTAGCAAACATAAAGATTAGCATACCCTAGGACACAGCAATTTTATTCTTAGGCACATAGTATTTTGCATGTTCTAAAAATGTACATAAAAGCATAAAACCATTATATATTTTTTGCAACTTGTTTTTTTCTCAATATTATGTTTGTAAGACTTTGCCATATTGTTATGTGCAGCTTCAGCTTATGTATTCTCATTGCTGGCATTGTATTTCATTGTATAAATATGCCACAGTAGATTTACCCGTACCCCGGATGATGGAATTATGCTATTTCCAAATGTTTGCTATTATAAAATTCTCTTATGAACATATTGTATATATCTTCTTGATCAACATGTGCAAGAGTTTCTCCAGATATATTCCTAGGAGTAAAATTGCTAGGTCATCAGATAGATATACCTTTTCAGTTTTACTAAATGCTGCCAAATTCTTCTCCAAAATGTTGGTGCCAATTTACTCACCCAGCAGCAATGAATGAGAGCTCTTGTTGCTCTGCATGTTTTCCAAAGCTTGATAGCCTCAGATTTCTCATTTTAGCCAGTTGATGGTTAGGAAATGCTACTGTACTGTTTGAATTTTCATTTCCTGGATTAGTAGCAAGATTGAGTGTCTTTTCACATATTTACTGTTCTTTGCTGTTCTCTCTTCTGTAACTTTTCCTTTCATATACTTTATTCATTTTGCTGTTAAGTAGTTTGTCTTACTGATTTGTAGAAGTTATTTATATATTCTGGATTGTACGTTCTTCCTTTGTTACATGAGCTGCAGATATATTATTTCTGGCTGTGGCTTGCCCTTTCACTTTCTAATGGGATTATTAATGAACCGAAATTATAGATTCTGGTATATTCATGTTTTCTTTCAAAGTTTGCACTCTTTTTCATAAGAAATTGTTTCCTGCTTTGAGGTTGAGAGACTGTTTTATTATATGTTTCCTTCTAAAGTGTTAAGGATTTAAAACACCACGTTATCCTTATCTGTTATGTTACAGAGAGTTTTTATGATTCAGTTCTAAGATTTTGATTTCTTCTTTTACTTCTAAGAAAGTTAGAATTTTAAAAAATTTACAAATATGTGGGGCTTTTATGTGGCTTAATTTTTTAAAAAAGTATAGTAAACATAAACATAACAAAATTTATTATCTTAACCATTTTAGGTGTATAGTTCAGTACATTTACATTGTATGCAACCATCATCACCATTTCCATAATTCTTTTTATCTAGAAAAACTGAAGCTGTTCTCATTAAACAACTCCCATTCCCTAGCCTCTTACATTCTCCATTCCCCTACTCTCCATCCCCCATTCCCTAGCCTCTTACGTTCTCCATTCTCCTTTCTGTATCTATGAATTTGACTACACTAGGTACTTCATATAAGCAGAATCCTACAATATTTGTACTTTTGTGACTGGCTTATTTCACATAGCATAGCTGTCTTCTGGTTCATCCATGTTGTAGCACGTATCAGACTTTTCTTCCTTTTCGAAACTAAATAATAGTCCATTGTAGGGTAGAAATTTTGTCCATTCATCCGTTAGTGGACATTTGGTTGTTTCCACCAAAATGAATAAGGGCTGTTGTGAATAATGCTGCTATGAACATGGACGTACAGGCATCTGTTTGAGCCTCTGATTTCAATTTTTTGGAGCATATGCCTAAGAGTGAAGTTGCTGGATGATAAATGGTAATTTTATTTTTAATTTTTTTAGAATCTGCCCTACTGTTTTCCATAGTGGCAACATCATTTTACGACTCCACCAACAGTGCACAAGGATTCCAATTTGTCCACATCCTCACTAATATTTGTAATTTCTGTTTAACAGTAGTCATCCTAATGTGTGTGAGGTGGCATCTCCTTGTGGTTTTGATGCGATTCTCTAATGATTATTGATGTTGATGATTTTTTCATGTGCTTATTCATCATTTATATGACTTCCTGGGAAAAAAGCACCAAATCATGTCCTTTGACCATTTTTTAATTGGGTTGTTGAGTTGTAGGAGTTTTTTAAAAAAACATTCTGGACGGTAATTTCTGTCACGTGCATCCATGTGAAGAGACCACCAAACAGGCTTTGTGTGAACAATAAAGCTTTTTAGTCACCTGGGTACAGACAGTCTGAGTCCAAAAAAGGAGTCAGCAAAGGGAGATGGGGTGGGGCAGTTTTTACAGGATTTGGGTAAGTAGCGGAAAGTTACAGTCAAAGGGGGTTGTTCTCTGGCGGGCAGGGGCGGGGGTCACAAGGTACTCGGTGGCAGGAACCTGCCATTTTCACTTCTTTTGTAGTTCTTCAGTTGCCTCAGGCCATCTGGATGATTACAAGGAGGCTTGGGCTCAGAGGCCTGACAATTTCTTATCAGATATAAAGTTTGCAAATATTTTCTCCCTTTTTATAGGTAACCTTTCCACTCTGTTGATTGTGTCCTTTAATGCACAGAGGTTTATTAATTCTTACGATGTTCAACTTTTTTCTCTTGTTGCCTATGCTCTTGGTGCCATATGAAAAAAAAAAATATATATATATATATAGCCAAATCCAATGTCTGAATCTTTTCTCTCCTTGAAGAGGCGATGGTAACAATACTTGCTTGTATGAGTCTGTTTGGGCTGCCGTAACACCACCACAGGCTAGATGGCTTAAACAACAGGAATGAATTTTCTCACAGTTCTAGGGGCAGGAAGTTCAAGCTCAAGGTGCCGACAGTGTTGGTTTCTTGTGAGGGCTCTCTCTTTGGCTCATAGCGGCTGCCTTCTTGCTGTGTCCTCTCATGACCTTTCCTCTGCACGTGCACATTCCTGGCACCTCTTCCTCTTTAGGAAGACACCAGTCTTTTTGGATTAGGGCCTCACCTTTCTGAGTTTATTTAACCTTAATTACCTCCTTAAAGGCCCTGTCTCCAAATGCAGTCACATTAGGGTTAGGGCTTCCATCTATCAATTTTGAGAGGACACAATTCATTTCACAGCACTGACTCAAAATTCTGTGAGATAATAAAAGTGACTCATTTAGCACAGTGCTGCTATACATTTTATAGTCAATTAATGTTACCAGTGGGTATTTACACCACCACTATTATTGTTTAAGAATACAATCAAGGGTGTGCGAAAACTGAACTGAGAAGTTCAGTATGACTAAAAGTTTATGTCACTTTTAAATGCTTGAAACTCAACTTAATTCTACCTCTTAATAGCTATGTGAACTTATGCAAATTACTTAGTTCTTCTGAAACTTAGCATCTTCCACTGTAACATGGGATAATAGCAGCAGCCTCATTTCAGGCTTTTTTGGGGGATGAGGGTGTGAATTAAATAAAATAATGCATTTAAGGTGCTAAGCACATGCCTGGCAGATAGAAATCACTAAATAAATGGTAGCCACTATAGCACCCAAGATAGAGTGGATTTATAATAAATGAAATATCTGAGGCAACTGATAATTACATGTAGTGAAAATGACAGAGCCAGGATAGTATGAAAACTTCCAGACACACAGTTTATCCATTTGCCAGAGATGAGCCACTAACACAGTTTTAAACCTTCTAGGAACCATCCCAATAAAGGAAACATGAGCAGTTAAAAATTTCACAACATCTACAAGGCAAAAACCAACCAACTATTCGTAAGAGGCACAACTATTTATGATTTTACAAATGGATAGCATTTTATACTGTGAATCCTCAAGAGGCTCTCCATCTCCTTCTGCTGTCTGGGTTCTCACCGTTGCTGGGTTCCTGACCCTCCCCAGGCTATCAAGTTCTGTGAGCTTCTTTCCATTAAGTTGCCTTTTCTGCTCAATTTAGGAAAAGTAGATTTCTCTTGCATGGAACCAAAGATACCTGTTTGATCTAAATACCATTATGGGGCACACATTTTGCCTCAACTCTGTGAGAGCTACTATCCCAGGTAATTGACATATGTTAACTTTTAATCATATAAAGTAATTACTTGAAGTAGGTACCACTGGGGCTCAGAAAAGTTACATGAAGTAAATACTATTTGGGTTTGGAAAACAATGCCCTAAAGTATGGCGGTTTGGAATGCTGAATGCTTTGATCTAAAGGAGAGCCATTCTCTCTCTGACCTTCTCCCACCCCCTGTCTCTCACCCCTCTTTCCCTTTCAAAGTGCAGGGAGGGGCTTTCTCTGAAGTTCCCTTATCTGACTACAGGAAGTTCCTCCAGAGGCATGTAATTTTCATGAGCCTTCCCACTAGAATGTCATCAAACAGAGTAGATAACTCATAGGAAAGGAGACTTCTGAGGACTACTATCTGAGGGACTTTGTCAGTAGAATAAGACAGGCTATGCTCATCATGCATTTCCTCCCTTAACCCACCCATAGCTTGAGTCACCACCTCCTCACCAGAAGCCTCAAGATCCTATTTCTTTCTGTAGCTCAAAAAGCTATTTAAGCTTAACTGCCTTGCCCATCTTTAAGTCTTTTGATATTTGTCAGGCTCCTGTGTATATGCATGTTAAATCTGTGTGCCTTTTTCCTATTAACCTGTCAGCTGTCAAGTCTATACTACAGGCTCAAATTACTAAGACTTCAGAAGGTGGAAAGAAACTTCCCCTCACCCCATAGTTCAGTCAACACCTGCATTTTACAGATGAGGAAATTGAATCACAGAAAGGTTAAAACTTTGTCCAAGCTCACCCAGCTATAAGTGACAGAGCAAGCATACAAATAATACTGTCCATGACCTTGACCACTGCCTTTCCATCCTGGAAATCAAGATCAGTGCCCCCAGGCTCTTTCTGACAACATCCCTCAATGCAGGCTTAAGGCATCATGCCACAGCACACTTAAGAATAAGCAGTCTTTGTGGGGAGCAAAGTGATCTGGATCAGGTGTGTGGCTGTTTATAAATCTACCTTAATCCAGGGATACTTCAAAGTATCTAGAGGAATGAAAGGATTTCATATCCATCATGCATTTCTAATTAAATCCTGTTTTTTTTTTTTGTCGAACATTTGAAGATGTTGAGCCGCTGAGCATTCCAAATTATACACCCCATCAAGTACCAGGGAGCCAGAGGAGAGTGAGTATTAGTGCAGGTCGGCCTAGTTAAAATCACAACTCCATCATTTCCCAGCTCGGATATCTAGAAAGGGTTATTTAAGCTCCCTAATTTTCTCACCTGTAAAATAATATCTATCTTACAGGGCTGTTGTAATAATTAAATAAGAAGAAAATTTTGAGTAAGCATAGCTCCTGACAAACAGCAAGTGCCTAATGCACATGAGCTCCTGTTACTGTTGTCCATGTGTGCTACTGTTACCTGCAGGGCAGCCATCCTGTGGTGTTAGTTAACTACAGGACCATTGATTAAATGACTCAAGAGCTTGGGGGTAGGATTGTTATCGTCTAAAAGACAAGGAAAATGACATGTTTCTGGATGAACGTCTTCTCCATTTCCCCTTAAAATTGATCAGAGGAAGCATTTGTCATCCGATCCGCAAGTTCCCCAGAGAATAATCTTTGGTTGGTTTAACCACATGGAAAACCAGGCAAACTATATCTTCCAAGCATGGTTACAGAAAAATTCTAAAGCTGATCTAACCAGCAGTCACTTTGGCCATATAAAAAGTAAAATAAAGCTCAACAAATTCATAAATAGAAAGTCCAATTTTGGAAAGTCAACTTCTTCCAAAAGTAACTAACTGCAGAGTGCACACTTGAATAGGTGGTTAGTTTCATAGGGATGTTAAATATGCAGAGCTTGAAGGAAGGTAGGTAGAGATGGAGTGGTTTGACAAACCAAAGACTTTGGCTATAAATGATTGCTCTGTAGCCCTTTATCCTTATAATAACCTGTATAGGTGGTAATAATAAAACCTTGCCATCTGGAGATAATAGAATGCTAATCCTTTTATATTTACATTACCACCAAACGGCATGCACTCAGTCTAGCCAAGTATTTATGTAATATTACTAAATTGAATAAGCACCTAGGAGATGTTTCCCCAGTAAATATAGGTGGATCACAAGCATAAAGTAGACATGTGGAGCAATTAGAACCCTCACACGCTGCTGTTGAAAATGTAAAATAGGGCAGCTACTGGAAAACTATTTGGGAGTTATTAAAAAATTTAAACATAGAGTTAAATTTGACCCAGTAATTCTACACCTGGGTATATCCCCAAGAGAAATTAAAACACACATGCATGCAAAAAAACGTTGTGCATGCATGTTTAAAACACCATTATTCATTATTGAAAAAAAAACACCCTGGAAATGACTCAAATATCCATGAACTAATGAATGGATAAACAAAATGGTACGTCTACACAATGAAATATTATTCAATAATAAAAAGGTGTGAAGTATTGACATACGCTACAAAATGAATGAGCCTTGAAAGTATTATGCTGAATGAAAGAAGGCAATCACAAAAGATCACATATTGTATGATTCTAAATATGCGACAATTCCAGAATAGGCAAATCTATGGAGATAGAAGTAAAGTAGTGAATGCCTAGGGCTGAGGAGAGGGTGGAGTAGGGAGTGAATACTAATGGGTAAGAAGTTTATTTTTGAAGTGATAAAAATATTCTAAACTTACATCGTGGTGATGATTGTACGACTCTGTGAATGTACTGAAACCATTGAGCCGTACACTTTGGATTAATTCTGTGGTATGTAAATTATATATCAATAAAGATTTAAAAAGAAAGGATTAACTAGGTAGTTTGGTGGAGACTAGGGAGGGAAACATTACCCTAAAAGTAGCTATTGGGATGAATCACAGATGGAATATCCAGGCCAATAAACTCCAGAGCAGTGCCTCCCATCTGGGAGTGACGCTGCCCACCAGGGGACATTTGGCAGTGTCTGGAGACATTTGTGTTATCACACGAGAGAGGGTTTCTGCTGGCACCTAGTGTGTGGAGGCCAAGGATGCTGCTAAATAATCCTACAATGCACACAGGACAGCTCCCAACAACAAAGGCTTCTCAGCCCAAGATGTCAA
Organism: Homo sapiens; assembly: GCF_000001405.40. Classification (NCBI taxonomy): domain Eukaryota; kingdom Metazoa; phylum Chordata; class Mammalia; order Primates; family Hominidae; genus Homo; species Homo sapiens. The sequence goes on from NC_000020.11 coordinate 17,013,209, forward strand.
CAGTGCTGAAGTTGAGAAACCCTGCTTAAGGTGAAAGGAGTTAGGCAAAGCACCTGCTTCATAGGGTTGTTCTTCTCACCTCCACCCCACCAAAGGAGTCTGGGTTAAGTAGAGGTAGGAAGCTGTCACCTAATGTATCATTTATACTAAGAATTTCACAGTCTAACTGTCTACAGTCTGATTTTTAGAGTTGCTTACCACCCGGGGTCTGCCTTGTTAGAAATTGACCACCATTTGATCAGTTTCCAAGAGCTGGTAGTTTAGAAATAAATAGAAAATAGTTTATTATTCATCTGCTCCAACCAGCGTGTTCTGTGTTTAGTGCATCTTTCATACATTCTCAGTAACAAAGAAAAGTTATTGGTCATTTATTGCTAAAGACTGGAAAATAAATCTGTAATAGTTTACAAATAATCAGAATCCACTGTCTCTGTGTTATTTCTGAATCCAACTTCACAGGATCATAAGAAATTGGCAAAGTGGAGGAAGGGATTTTTAGCCATTAGGTAGACCAGAAATATTTATTTGATAGAAAATCTATACTGAAGCCAATAAAAACACATGGCAGCTGGAAGACATCTCATAGTACTTCTAGAGATACTTTATAATTAGCCACACTTAGAGACAAGCCAAGCAGCCAGTCAATCAAGCAAATTAGTGGCAAGGAATTTGGGAAAAGGATATGTTATAAAACTGGGCACATAACAAGCACATGCAGAGAATTCTCCCAGAACTTGAGAACATTAAATTGAACTCAGTTTGCCTGTCAAATATAAATAAATTGCCAGGGGGTCAGGAGGTTTGGTTCACTTATCTCCTAGAAACTTTAGGATCTCATTTTCTTTATGGTTAAAATAAAAGGGTTGAAGTAAATGAGCAGCTCTCAAAATTAGTGGAGCTTATTAAATATGTCCAGATTTTCAAATGGAATTCCTAGGAAGTCTGAATCCACTGGTCTGGAATCAGGCATAGGCACCCATGCTTCAAGTTATGAATGATTTTCATGTACATCCTGGTTGAGGAATAACAGGACATAGTCATCATATTGATCCTGGATGCTTTACCTACCCAGAGGTCCAGGGCTTAGCATAGTGAGGCAGGAATAGTCCCCTGCAGGTAAATCATAAAGGAAAATTAAAGAAATCTGCCAGGGAAGATGAGGGCCTGGCATAGAGGGTGCTAAGGGGAGGGAGGATTCCCGAGTGCTGGATGCTGTTGCTATGGCAACCCCATCTTTTCCCAGCATGTGTTCTGAAAGGCTGCCTGTGCTGTGCGGGGCGGTGGGTGGGGGAGGCTCCAGGTCTGACGGGATGCACATTGTTCATGTCATAAATTTGGAGATGAGGACTTGTGAATAGAGCAGGATAATCAAATAAAAGCACGTCTTAATATTAAGAACCAACAGCATTTCTTAGTAATCTTAAATGTTTGGATGTTTGGTTCATGTTCGTTGCAGGTAACCCAAATAGAAACCTGTTTTCTACTTTGATTTGTTTTCTAGAGATTTTTCTGAGTTTGAAACTTTAATGCTTCTCTCCACCCCAAGCCCCCACCTCACGGAGGTTCATTGTATCCTTATTTAGAAGAACAACAAAAATGACCCAAAAAGTTTAAACTAATTGGAGTGAAGCAGCATGCCTGCCCTCATAGTGAGCCTCAGGAGGACAGACTCCTCTTCCACTCTGAGTCAGTCCTTCTGCATCATTTGCTTTCCCCTCATGCTCCTTGTAAGATGGCAATGACAGGAAGGGAGGAAATTAGCTGTGGAATGGAATACTAAGTGTGGGGAATGAAGGTCCCTGGGAGATCCTGACCTACTCAGAGTTGTTTCCTCACTGATGGATCAGCAGTACAAGGTGATGGGCAGGAGGATGTCTGAAATGCACATTGCAGTCACAGCTTCTCTACTGACCCATGAAGTCTAGTGTTTATTACAGCCTGCATTATACTGAATGCTGAACTCAGCATTTTACATGAATTACTTGTTTAGTCCTCAGAAAAACCCTCTGGTTTATGTTCTATTTTTTATCCCATTTTACAGAAGGAATGTTGAGATTTAGAGGGTTGAAATTTAGAGGGTTTCCATGACTTGTTCGAGATCTCGCTGCTAAGTGTGTGATATAACAGGCCCAGACACGTGTCTGTCAAAGCCTCTGTTCTTGACTACCACTGTCTTCTAATGAGCCACACAGTTTTTCTTGTGTCTACATGAAAGGGTTGGCTTAGACAATGGCATCTTGGAGTAGGTGTCACTTGAAATAAGTTTGGGGAGTACACAGGGAAATAAATTAAATATTTTTTACAGGACTTCTCAAAGCCTATATATTATGCTGATATGTACTGATAAAACATTCATCCATTTCTCACATTTATTTGATCTTGGAATAGTTTGCTCTCATCTTACAGGACTATTGTTGAACACAACTCACTTTAGGAAATACAGAATTTGGTGATTTTTAAGAGTCCGATTAGTATTAAAGTAAAGGCTCTTCTTTCTCTGCTCATTCTGGCTGTGTTCTTAATCTGTCAAGCTTTCTCTATCCTTATCCCCTCACCTTTTTTTTATGACAACTTTATGAGGTACTTTTTGGTAATAGCCATTCTTACATGTGTGAAGTGACATCTCATTATGGTTTTGATTTGTATTCCCTGATGGTTAGTGGTGTTGAGCATTTTTCCATATGCCTACTGGACATTTCTATGTCTCTCCCACCCCAATGTCCCAAAATAGACATTTTGAGGAATGTCTATTTAGGAACTTTGCCAATTTAAAAATTTTTTGTGCTGTTCTATTGTTATAGTCCCTGACATATTGTGGATATTAAACCTTTATCAGATGTATGTATGGTTTGCCAATATTTTCTCTTACTCTGTAGGTTGTCTCTTCACTCTGTTGATTGTTTCTTTTGCTGTGCAGAAGCTTTTTAGTTTGATGCAATCTAATTTGTATATTTTTGCTTTTTTTCCTGGGCTTTGGGGTCACGTCCAAAATCATCATTGCTGAGACCAATGCTAAGAAAGTTTTTCATGTTTTTTCTTCTAGTAGTTTTATAGTAGTTTCAGGTCTTACATTTAAATCTTTTTAAGTTGATTTTTTATATGGGGTGACATGAAGTTTAAATTCCATTCTTCCGCATGTGGATGTCCTAGTTTGCCCAACACCATTTATTAAAACTCTTTCCCTCATTGTATATTCTTGGCACCTTTACCAATGATCAATTGACTGTAAAGGCATGGCCTTATTTTGGGCCTTCTATTCTATTCTATTGGCCTATATGTCTGCTTTGTTCCAGTACCATGCTGCTTTGATTAGTATAGCTTTGTAGTGCATTTTGAAGTCAAATAGTGTGAGGCCTCCAGCTTTGTTCTTATTCCTACAGATTGCTTCAGCTATTATGGATTGTTTCTGGTTCCAAACAAATTTTAGGATTTTTTTTATTTAATTTCTATGAAAAATGTTATTTGAATTTTCTTAGGGATTGCATTGATTCCATAGATCACTTTGTACTATGGACATTTCAATAATATTGATTTTTCTGATCCATGAACAAGGCATGTATTTCCATTTATTTGTGTCTCCAACTTATTTCATTTTTTTTTTTTACAGTTTCAGTACACAGGTCTGTATATTGGCTAAAGTTATTTCTAAGTTTTTTTTGGATGCAACTATAAATGGAATTGATTTTTTAAATTTCTTTTTTCAAGTAATTCATTGTTTATAGAAAGTCCATTTCACATACACACACATGTGCACACACACATACATACACATACATTGTGTATTGAAACTTTGTTGTATATAGACAGCTCATTCGTGTATAGAAAGGCAACTTATTTTTGTATGTTGATTTTGTATCCTGCAACTTTACTGAATTCATTCATTAGTTCTACTGATTTTTGGTGGACTCTTAGGGGGTTTCTATGTATAAGATCATGTCATCTTCAAACAAAGACAATTTTGTTTCTCCCTTTCTGAATTAAATGCCTTTTATTTCTTTTTCTAGCCTGAATACTCTAGCTAGAACTTCCAGTGCTATGTTGAATAGAAGTGGTGGGCCTGGAGCTCAGGACCATGGGGGCCAGCCTCACATTCACTGGGGACAGGCCTGTGCTGGGGTCCATGGTGAAGTCAGGTGCTCACTCTACCCCCATGAAGAAGGCATCTCCTTGTGCTCTGCTGCATGAGCTTGAGACAGAGGTGATGTGGGTAACATGAAACCATCCTTCCTACCCTCTTCAAAGCATCCTTCCTCATTTGTGCTCCGCCAAGGTGTTTTAATCTCTCACCTGAATTCCTTAGCTCTCCCGAAGGTATTTTAACTGTGAATGGTTGTTTAAATGGATGTTTTTGTGAGGGAATAAGCTCTGGAAACTCCTATTTCACAATGTTGGTAACATCACTTCTGTCCCTCCAGTTTTAAAGTCAGTATTCTGACTTCTGATCAAATTGAGATTTATTCCTGGGGAGGGTCAAATGTCACATGGTTTCTCAGTTGTTTTACCAGCCAATAAGAAGCTTTTTGTATTGAATTAATTTCCAGGCCTTTTTTTTTCATTTCCCTTTCAATTTCACTAACACAAAATAATGTACAACCCAGACCGCACCAGACATGTAAGTGAATTTGGCATGAGAGCTGTCATTTTGCCTGTCACTGTGACAGGTAGTTCATCAATACTCTGACCTGCAGAGGGTAAATCTAAAGCTTCCAATTTGAGGGAATTAGGGAATGTTCATCATCATTAGCAATAGTAAAGAAATTGGAGATAATTCACTGAATTCTTAAAAAAGATGCTTAGCATTTCACAGATATTTATGTAAAGATAATTAATTGTGCACTCTCCTTTTCTTTGTAGAGAAACAAGAATTTGAGAATCTGTGTCATTCTGATGAGCTGTGTGGCCTGGAGAATGTTCCTCAATTAATTCAAGAATTATCTGTGGGCTTCTATTTTGGAATTAGCACTTTGCTAGATCCTGGGGAGATGGAAACAATAAAGTAGTCCCAGCTACCAAGGAGTTCAGGTCTAATGTCTTCACATTATTAATTTTCATCTCACCATTTACAGTTTCTAGTTTTCTAGAGAGAAATGAATACAGAGGAGGTTTTACTTACCAAGTTTTCTTTTATGACAGAGCCAAATGTTTAGAGATCATTTAAACTAATACTATTAAATATCTCCTCCAGTAAGTCTGATAAAACTGATCCCTTTGAAAATAGTTTTGTCAAAAATGTCTTATTTTGATGTTGTATAGTAATATCAATATCTTCAACAGCCTTTGGCATGAATTAGCTTATGTCAATCCCCAGATAACCTGGTCCTAGGTAGCGCAGGTGTTACAATTACAAACCAGTGGGTATCTTAGAAAAATCTCCGAAGAGATAGAGGGAACTTTTCTAATGCTGGTTGAAGGATTGCACCTTACAGCTCTACAGCACCGGGAGGTAGCTGTGATCATCTCCACATGACAAAGATAAATGGTGTGTTTTGCCTAGGATCACATAGCAGGTTAGTGCTAGAGTAAAGCAAGAATTTATCACTGGAAATGAAGCAAAATATTAATATAAATTTGCTGCTCTGGGGTAGGATGGAATCAAACACCGTAAAAATAGAGGGCATGAATCAACATTAGAGGAGCCAACCCCACACCCAGAAAGGAGTGAATCTGCGTGGGCTGACCCCCTGGTTATTCCCCCACCACATTCCACCAGGCCTTCAGAGAGTGCCTCAGAGAGTGCCTGTCTGGCTTTCAAGGTGCCAGAAACCATGCTTGTTCCCCTTTTAGATTTTGACTTTTAGGCAGCATGTGGCTAGACAGAGCACTCATGCAGAACCAAGGGAAACTAAAAGGGGTCGACTGTGCCATGAATTATATGCGGCATTAAGGGAGGTTCATCTCCAGTATTTTAGTTCCAGATATCTCTACTTAACCATTTTCATTGTATTATTCTTTACTTTATTAATTCACTCACTTCACTCCCTTATTTATTTACTTTTTCATTCATTCATTCATTTACTCATTTATCCACTGTCTCCTTATTTTTGAATTCCCATATATACATAGCAAGAATAACTTCAGTATTAGTATAATGAATCAAGTTGCCTAATATTGCTCCATTTGTCAACTAACTAAAATTTTTCCACCGTGGGTCTTTTGGCTGTTACACAATATTTTTGAAAGGTTGAGGATATTTATTTTGAATGTGAACTCTAAAATTTAAATATATATGTTTTATCTGAGGTTTTCTCAGATTTAAACTATATCTTTTTCCCACACTGTCTGTTTCACTTGAACATTTAGATATCTTGAAATTGGCTTCCATTGGTTTTATTATTAGTTCTGCTTCCACACTTAAAAAATATCCTGAGCTGCTGGCTCTAATATGGTTGCGCCCCAAATATATTCTAGTTATTTGGAAGAATGTTGGTCAAAACTCAGACATCAAGGCAGTAGGTGACTTCAAAAGAAGCCAGCCAGTGAGCCGTTAGAGCACCTTTTCCCATTAAAAGCATATTGTTTGTTCCTAATCAAATTACCGTAGGCTTGTCAGGTTGTTTCTTTCACACAACTGTTTCTAGTATTTTCTTATGAATGATGTTAAGCTGGCTAGCATGTAATTAGTTACTCCAGCTTATATTCTGGTTTAAAGTAATGATATTTCTTTTATATATATATATATATTTTATTATACTTTAAATTCTAGGGTACATGTGCACAACGTGCAGGTTTGTTACATATGTATACATGTGCCATGTTGGTGTGCTGCACCCATTGGCACATATACACCATGGAATACTATGCAGCCATAAAAAAGGATGAGTTCATGTCCTTTGTAGGGACATGGATGAAGCTGGAAACCATCATTCTCAGCAAACTATCACAAGGACGAAAAACCAAACACTGCATGTTCTCACTCATAGGTAGGAATTGAACAATGAGAACACTTGGACACAGGAAGGAGAACATCACACACCGGGGCCTGTTGTGGGGTTGGGGGAGGGGGGAGGGATAGCATTAGGAGATATACCTAATGTAGAGTAATGATATTTCAAAAATTTTAGAGCCAGATAGTGTCTGTTATGAGACACATGGTTATTTAGCATTCGGGCTGCAAGACTGTGTTTTCTTCATCATCCTTGGTTCTCTAGAACCCAGCAAGTGCTGTGAATATAGTGCACACACACTTATGATGGAAAAATTATATTATTTTCATCATATTTTAGTTCTGTGATGTCATTTTCTTTGTCCCCTGGCTCTCACCATAATGGAGGTGAACTCCAAGATTTGCTTCAGGTGTGTTAGACTGGCTTTGCCTCTCAAAATGTCTTCTACACCTTCCCGCTGGCCCCATTTCCAATCCTGGGACCCCAGTAGCCATCTTATAGTTTCCTTCTAGGAGGGAAGGATATGGATGAACAGCTACAAGGTTATGTATGGTATCTCATTTTATCTTCCCAGCTGGTGCTTAGAAATAAGTCCCCTTATTGCCTTTTTACAGATGAGGAAACCACAGAGCTGAAGGAGCTGGCCTGATTTGACTCCAATAGGCAGTGGGAGACCCAGGGTCTCAGTACAGTTGTCTGACTCTGAAACTTATGCTCTTTATTTTACATAATTCTGCCTCATTTTCCAAGGATAACTTCTTCAATTTTAGAGATCAGAAGCTAGCTTTCTCTGTTCCTTTACTTCCAAACCTCTAACACTGCCACTGCTAATAAATTTCTTTCTCCAATCTCTTTATCTAGATCTACCAGACTTGTTCCTTGAGCCCCCATACCCATGTAAGTTGCTGGCTGAATATCCCACCTCTACCCAACCTCTTCTGCCTGTTGCCTCCTCCCATCTACCTTCCATTCTGTCCAACAGTCCATTGCTTTTCCTACCAGAGGTGAAGGCTACTCTCTCCATCTAGTCATGCTGAAGGCAAAAGTTGCCTCAAAGAACTTCCAAAACTGGATAAAGAGACAAGGATGCTATATACAGAAAGTTAAAATATGATTCAAGATCTCAACTGTCATTGAAGATTATCATGTGAGAATGACCACGTGAATAGGTATGATAACTATCTTTTGAATGGACCATTTGTGCTATGGAAGGTGGTCAGGGAAGAACACCTGGAGGAAAAAAATTTAGCTGGACTGTGGAGGAATACAGGACCAAAATAGGCAGAGGACAGTGTCAGGGGCATGCCAGTCAGGGACAATGGCAGGAGGAAATGTGCCAAGGCCCAGGTGAACACAGCGAGTTCAAAGAATGAGTGGGGAGCTTGAGTCAAAAGAGCTTCAGGATCTTACTATGGGAAATGATGCTTTCTTTTGAAGAACAGACTTAAAGACCATTGAGGTTTCAAGGATAATGTTCTGTTTTATTATTTTCATTATTCAGTTCAATCTTTTTTTGCAGATTGTTTAGAACATTGCTTTAGCATCTCAGAGGACAGATAAATTTAGAAACTATGATTTAAATGCTGACTTAGGTATTTATCTGGTTCTGTAGAAATGTACCTTGCATTTCTGTAACAATTATTATTTTTCCTTCAATTATCTGTAGTTTCAGCTTTGCCTCTGCTGATTCTTTTTTAGCAATGACTGAGTTGTATATATTAAAATGAAATTCTTCTCTGTCCTTTTGTAATAAATTCAGCTGCAGCCTGAGTATTCTAACTGAATAGCCTGACTGTAGCTGTGACCTGACTTCATTTTTGAGGCTGTCAAAAGTAATTAGGGACAGACAGATTTTCCCACTCAGCATCTGGAAATGCAAAGATATGGAGAAGGAGTTTCAAGTATCATTAACATCTCCTTTCTGCCTGCTTTTTATATCTCCATGTGAAATAGTCTATTTCACAGTTGGCAAGATCTATTATGGGAGCTGTCCTTCCCCCTATGGAGCATCAGATTTTCCCTCGATTGGGAAGAAGGAAATGGGTGCACATCTTTAGAAAATAGGATGGGTTTTTTTGTCACATTGGCCTGCCACTGAAAGCTGTGTGACACTGGGCAATTTGCTCATTCTTGCCTGTGTTAGTTTCCTCATCAGGGATTAGTTACTTCTATAGATTTTGTGAGGATCCCATGAAGTAACACATGTAAAACAACTTGCAAAGTAATAGTTTCCTTTAATAAATTGGACAGAAATTGTATTTCAGAAAGACTTCTTTGCCCCCAGGAACAATATGATTAGGAGTAGCAATATTTTTGGATGAGAAGAGGTGAGACACAGAATGTCAGAAAAGTGAAAAGGTATATGGGTCACTGTTGGAAACTATCTTTCATTCAATAATAAAGTCAAAGTATATTTAAATTTTTTATTTTTTAATGATTTAAATCTTACAGAAAAGTTGAAATTTGCAGTGCACCTCAAAACTCAATCAGGTAAGGGTAAAAGATGAAAAAGGAGGCTGAGGACAAAGATTATCTTTTGTGAATTCACAAATTTGCCAAGGGCTGTTCCTTCTCACCATCCTCTTCTTCAATTACTTTGCAGACATTTATTGGATAAATAGCCATACATTTGCAGGACAGTTTTGGCTAGTGGAATCCAGCAATGCACGCTCAGCTAAGCTTTGCCTCTGGGGTGCAAGATAATCCAGCTTCTCAGGATTTAAGATGGACTCTTTTAATCACAAATCCCTTTTTGTTGAAAAGGACTTAATAACAAAGCTATTCCTCCCTGTAAAACCCAACTAACTGGGCTAACCTCAGGCTAACACTATTAACTGTATTTTCTTTAGGGGCATTCCATTTTTAGAAGAAGGGACCAAATGACAAGAAGAAAGTTTAAGTTATTCTAAATGGCATTTGATTACAAGGATTCTTCATCTGAGAGTCATGATGTCTCATGGACTCATGTAATCAAACACAAAAAATTTTTGGTTACTGATATAACCCTATACAAGATAAATCAGTGTAAATTGAGCCATGAAGTACATAAAGGAGTATTTAGTTTTGGCAGGAAGCAGCATCGGATAAGACACACCTCAGCCAATGGAAAAAGTGGTTGCCATGGTGACACTGGCCAAGATTGGCAGATGTCAATCATCAGGGTAAGCTGATGGTTACCAGGGCTGCAAAGAGAGCTCACAGTGAGGAAATCCCAAGGTCTTAGGAGGATTCTGGGAGGTTGACATCTAGACAGAGTAACTGATTCATATGCCCTTATATTCTCCCTGTCTCAAAATTACCTTTATTTTATTCTGCATCTAAAAACCCTTGAAAGTTAAAGGTACATTTCCAGTTTGGCTGGACCCACCATCATGTGTCCGGACTGATCTTTTTTTCCTTTACCTAGAAAGATCTGCAAACGTTGTCCAAGAGAGACAGTCCTGTCTTCTGGGAGGATTTGAAGCCAGTTAGGGGCTCTGTATTTCTGAATTGGATTAAATGCCACCTTCCAAAATAAAGTAGGATAATCAGGTGTGCTATCACCTTCCATCCCCAAGTCTTCCTCGGTTTGCCTAGAAAATTAGAAACAGCTGAGGCTGTGGTGGTGAAAACTGAAAAATAAGCCCATTTATAGAAGACAATGTAGGATCAGCACACACACACACACACACACACACACACACACACACACACACACGGCTCTGTGATTCAGTCTTTAAATTTAAATTCTCTAAATTTGCATGTAGAAATACAAATTCTCAGGCCTCACCGCAGATTTCCAAAATCAGAAAGTCCAGAGTGAAGCTCTGCAATTTGTGTTTCAATGAGAACTCTAGGGCAGGAGCCTCCAACCCCTGGGGTGCGGACTGGTACTTGTCCGCGGTCTGCTAGAAACCGGGCCGCACAGGAGGCGAGTGTCAGCTGAGCAAGCATTGCAGCCTGAGCTCCACCCCCTGTCAAATCAGCAGTGGCATTAGATTCTCAAAGGAGCAGGAACCTTATTATGAACTGTGCATGCGAGAGATCTAGATTGTGCACTTCTTATGAGAATCTAACTAACTAATGCTTGATGATCTGAGGTGGAACAGTTTTACCCCAAAATCATTCCCCTCACCCCCGACCCCATTCCTGAAAAAAATTGTCTTCTACAAAACCCGTCCCTAGTGCCAAAAAAGTTGGGGACCACTGCTCTGGGACATTCTGATGTGTGTGGGGGTTGGAGAATTACCGTGTTAAAAAAAACTGTAAGTGCTATGAGCCAGTCCCCAGAAGGGTTCTCTTCTTTAGTTTTAGTTATCCAGGAAATTAAAGTAACGTTGGCATTATAGTTAATTGTTGTGCCTTGGGGAATGAAGGCTTGGATGTTTATTTTCATGTAGAAATGAGGCTCATATTCTCTTTCAGGTGACTTCAAGAGGAAAAAATGTTATAACCTGAAAAGTTTACATTAATCCTTTTTAACTCCCATACTCTGAGATTCCAACTTCTGTGTAGAGTAGAACTGTGGGCTCCTGTCCACTGCATGCCCTTTCTGTGAGTCAGAGGACATGCTCTCCTTGACTCCTCCCATGGAGGGGCTCTTCCATTAGCATACCACAACAGAGAAAAGAATCTGCACAATCATGCAGTCTCTCCAGGGTTCAAAGAAAGCGGCATTGTGCTGAAGTATGGAGGTGAAATTCTCATTCTCTTAGTAACTGCTACTAGAATGTTTCTTATTTGGGAAATTAACCTTTGATCTGGTAGCTGAGATCGTGAGGATAAAAACGTGCTATCTGAAGGAGGTGGAACTATAAAATAGAACCAAAGGACTTTGCATGATTCCAGAGGCGGAAACCCTGCTGTGCCCGAGGGAGGAGAGGAGACCAGAGAAAGCAGAAGAAGGTGGGAGGGGTGATGCTGAAAGTGATGCACAGGGTGATGCCAAAGCTCATCTTCAGGAAAGAGGCAGTGGTGAATCCTCTGTGGTTGGGTGGGTGAAGGAAATTTCTAGATGCCTAAAATTAAATTAAAGAACATTTGTGTTACTGCACTAGAAATACTCCTTCTCTCCCCCACTCTACTTGTAAACATTTTCTGTGTGCAGGATATTTTGTGTGTGGAAGACAAAGTGAAGAGGTCGGTTGGATTCTGAGGCAGGAAAGCAGCAGCCAGGAGACAGAGGTTGCCACGAACGTAAACATGCCGTGAATATGTCCAGAAATCCTGGGCAGGACTTTAAACTTCCACAGAGTGTGGAAGTGGGATTTGGACTGTGATTTATTCAGGTTTCTAAGGCAAAGATACCTCAGTGGATGACAAATTTGCATTTATTTGTGATGGTATTTGTTCATAGTCATCATTCCAGGCAACAATTTTACACTGACAAGTGCAGAGAGAATTTGCTGTATTGCCCTTGACAAATGAAAGGAACAACAGTCTTCTTACCACCCTGGACTTCCCTCCTCTAGGTCAATATTTGTGCTGTCTTGTCTCTAAAAATGTAGTCAAATCCACTGTGGCCCTAATTTAAACCATGATCAGAGAGCTCATATAAAGAAGACCTGGGCTCAGTGTACTCAGAACCTGTCTTCAAAATCTCTGTACATCTTGCTACTTTGACCTTGAACATTTTATACAATCCATATGCTCTTGATCCCAAGGACCTCTAAAAGCAAGTCATGAATATCCAGTGATAACTATCTTGGACCCCCTACAGTCTATTTCCAATGGCCACCATTCTGCTCAGCTTCTGACCCCTGAATTCCTTTCCTATTTATGCGTATTCTTCACTTTGATCCTTGAGCCAGGGGCTTACAAACTCACTACCTCAATGGTACAAAGTAGATAACACAAATGAGTGAAATGAGTTGGGAGTAAGCAATACAGAGTGGGAGGGACTGTGGCAAACTGGAGAGTTCATGCACCATCTAACAGGTAGTGGTTACCAGCTCCAGCAATGTGTTCCCATAGGGGAAATGCAGACCCAGGCTGATAGATCTTCCAATCTTTAAATGCTGACAACTCATTCCAAATTATTACGAATTAGTGCTTGAGCAAAAAAAAAAAAAAAAGAAAAAAAAAGAAAAAAAGAAGAAGCTGTAGAACTTAGGATCCCAAGCTTCAGAGACTTTCTGGGTTCAATTTCTGAGTCCTTCACTTCCTTACTGAGTGACCTTGGCCAAATGGCTTAACCTCCATGTGCTTCAGCTCCCTCATCAGCAAAATGTGGAGAGTAATAATCTTCACCCCTCAACGTGGTAATGAAGATGAAGTACATTAATAGGTAATATATGTGAATTCCTTAGAGGCATGCCTGGCAAACAGAGGCATGATATAGTTGCTGGCTGTTGTTATTAAGCCTAGGGGCTGGTTTGATCTATGGCATTTATGACCTCTCATGTGGAGGCTTTGGCTCTACACTTTGTAATGCCCCTGGCTGCCCTGGAAATACACTCCGCATGCCTGGCGCTCCAGCCAGAGTGGAAATGTTGGTCATCTGCTATGAATCACTCTGCAGCTGGATCCTGATGCCATTGTTCAGGCCTCTTGTGTCCTGATCCTGCAGTATCTGGACACTGACTCCACTCTTCAGTTACTTAGGACCCAAGTTTCTGCCCCCATACCCCAGGTCCTTAGCAGGGCTTCCTTAACTTTGTGACATTTCACATTCCCTCTGCTCCATTGTGCTGCTGTCCCAGACTTGAAACCTCATTTCCTGAATGGACTTGACCAGGCTGCATGGCCTTGTGCCTCTCTGCCCTGTGTCTCCCATGTTGACCTACTCTAGCCTACTTCTGCCTAAACCATGGCTAAAGAAAAAAGAAATAATAAGCTGCTAAGAAGGTAAGCTCAGCCACTGATTTTTCTACACCTACAGTTTAGTGTTGCGGGAAGTCAGGGGCCCCGAATGGAGGGACCTGATGAAGCCATGGCAGAAGAACATAAATTGTGAAGATTTCATGGACATTTATTAGTTCCCCAAATTAATACTTTTATAATTCCTTATGCCTGTCTTTACTGCAATCTCTGAATATAAATTGTGAAGATTTCATGGACATTTATCACTTCCCCAATCAATACTCTTGTGATTTCCTATGTCTGTCTTTACTTTAATCTCTTAATCCCATCATCTTCGTAAGCTGAGGAGGATGTATGTCACCTCAGGACACTGTGATGATTGCATTAACTGCACAAATTGTTTGTAGAGCCTGTGTGTTTGAACAATATCAAATCTGGGCATCTTAAGAACAGGATAACAGTGATGTTCAGGGGACAAGGGAGAAGTCTGGCTGCCTGTGGGCCGGGCAGAACAGAGCCATATTTCTCTTCTTTCAAAAGCAAATAGGAGAAATATCGCTGAATTCTTTTTCTCCGCAAGGAACAGCCCTGAGAAAGCGAATGGGTGCCTAGGGGCAGGCCTCTAAAATGGCCGCTCTGGGGACGTCTGTCTTTTATGATTGTAGATAAAGGATGAAATAAGCCCTGGTCTCCTGTAGTGCTCCCAGGCTTATTGGGACGAGGAAATTCCCACCTAATAAATTTTGGTCAGACTGGTTGTCTGCTCTCAAACCCTGTCTCCTGATAAGATGTTATCAATGACAATGTGTGCTGGAAACTTCATTAGCAATTTTAATTTCACCCCAGTCCTGTGATCTTGCCCTGCCTCCATTTGCCTTGTGATATTTTATTACCTTGTGAAGCATGTGATCTCTGCGACCCACACCCTATTCGTACACTCCCTCCCCTTTTGAAAATTACTAATAAAAACTTGCTGGTTTTACGGCTCAGGGGGCATCATGTGATGTGGGAACCCGCCGACATGTAATGTCTCCCCCAGACACCTAGCTTTAAAATTTCTCTCTTCTGTACTCTTTCCCTTTATTTCTCAGACTGGCCGACACTTAGGAAAAACAGAAAAGGACCCACGTGAAATATCAGGGGCTGAATTTCCCCTAATAGTTTAGGAGCTTTGATCCCAAGTAAGAGAACATTTTCAACTTTCTAACATTTTCAACATAACATTTAACATAAGACCTCCTGGCCACCTCCCAACACACACATATACACACACATAATATTAGACAAACCTCAAGGAAAATAAAACAGCCAAAAATAAGATACACAGTGACAAGATATTTATAAATATGAGAAAGGCAAACACATGTAGGAAGAAAAGCTGGATAGGGAAGACAGAGAGAAGTTGGTAGCTTTAGTATCTAAAGAAGTAATAACCAAACTGCCGTACAGCACCAAGTCTCCAACAGCTAAGAATAGAACTCTGTGAATGCACGATTACATTGAATATTGGACCCCAAAGATTATGAACAGTATGGCTGAAGGTAAAAGCAGTGAGAGGAAACTTTGAAAGCTAGACTTGAGGCCATACACAGTAACATTTATATTTCATTTTGCAGGTTATAAAGCAGTGTCCCCTCATGAAATTATAGTCATCTATTTCCACATCTGTCTGCTAAATCAGACCATTTGCTCTTTGAAAGCCAGAACCATGCCTTTCCGATTTTGATCTCTGTGCCAAGTGCATAGCACATCTTCCACATAATTGTTTCCTTCTGCCTTCACAATAATCCCACAAGACAGGCAAAGCTGCAGTTATACCAGGTGTTGACTTTGTTATCATTAAACTTCCTTCATGCATTGTGCCTTGTGGAAAGAAATATGGTTTCTGATCCCACAGAAAATGAGTTAGGACAGCGTAGAAACAGAGAAACAAGATGTCTTCATCCAGAAGAACCTTCAAGTTCGCTATTTATCCTCCAGTTCGGTTGCTTTAGAGGGTGTTGAGCAAAGCAAAAGTTGGGCAACAGGAATAAAACATGCTGTTAGAACAAGACAAATGAAATCAACGTTCTGTCCTGTTCTTTTGTATGCTTTGGGCTGTCTTGGAAAATACCCTATCTGCCGAGGGTCCTGGTAAGGGCCCTTCTTGCCATTCTCCTTGAGGAATGGAGAGACTGAACACCTTTATGGATCACTCTGTAGCACCAAAATATGACTCTAAATAAGTCACCCCAAATAAACCAATAGTAAACTCATGGGAAATGAGCAATCCACCTATGGTCATGCTCACCTTCTCTACTTCTCTTGAACTTCTATAGGCCTCCACTGTTTTTCCATCCATGTTTCTCCACCGAAGTCTCCACAATGATGAAGGAAGGCAGAGGAATGAGAATTCATTGGAACTTGAAGCTTGCCTTAGCAGAGATACTCAAAGTCTCATTTGAATTGTCAAAATGAGGTGGTTGTGCTGTTTATTTATTTTGTCAGCAGATTTAAATTATTAGCACTTCTTCCATCCCATGGGTAATTTAAATTTGGCCATAGAAAACAGTAAGTACATAGAACAGTTTTTGTCTTAGAGTGGTAAAGAAGGATAAATATTAAAAAGTGGACAGGGTTATTTTACGAAGGTGGAATGAATTGATCTTAACTGCATATATACTTTCCAATTGCTTCATCCCTTGGGCCTTCCATTTGCTTTTTATAATTTATAACTCACAACTTAAACATTTAGCCATGAAATTAAAATGGTCTAAAAATAAAGCAGTACATTTTGGAGCCAAATAAATCCACTGCCATTAGCGCACAGAAATTTGTATGCTGCTAATTGCTAATTATTCATATGGCTAACATAATCCAAGCAGAAAGAAAACAAAGACAAAAAGAAGGAGATCTGGGGAGGACTGAAAAAATAAGCCCCGAGTCAAGCAGAGCAACTTCATCAAATTTCCTGACAATAAATTAACAGAGCTACCTTGCCTACTCCCAGTTTCTCTTGAGAAGCCAAACTGGTTGTGTAATCTAAAGACAAACAACAGGCAGGAGAGGAGGGCACCGGATGAGAGCTCTTCTTTTAGCCTTTTCTGGGCCCAGTTGTGAAGAGGTGCGAGTTTCAGGGCCCCCCCAGATGAGCAATAAGTTGGTGTCTTTATCAGGTTGTCATTAGGGAGCACTTTTTCTCCTTTCATGTCTTTGGGCTCATCGTTGGCAAATGGAATGACTCAGCATGCATCACTAATTATCTTTGGAAGAAATTTGTGTCCAAGGAAGAAGCCAGGCCGAAGTAGGGAAGTGATGTCTCCTCCTACCTTTCTACTCAGGGGCTCCTGTATGCTTTTGTTCTTGGAGTGAGTGTCCCCAGCCTCCCATTGAATGAGGTAGACTTTCAGAGCTGAGTGGGAATTAAGAAAGCATCCACTTCAATTCTCACAAACAAACTGAAGACCAGAGAAGGGTGATGATTTACCCAGGGCCACATGGCTACTAGGAAGCAGAACAGGGATTTCAAGCCAGATTCGCTGATGTCTGGACCAAGGCTCTTTCAAGAAACCCCTGTGCCTGCCCCACCTCCCAATAAAAACATGTTTCTGTCCAATGCCATGAGGTCTTTGATACACTTTCTGTGTTTTAATGGGTGACAGTTTGTATGAAAAAATAATCTGTACTGCCATGTGAATATGGACACGTGCATTTTTTTCTTTTGAATAACAAGCATTGTTTGTCTAAATATTGCAAAGCACAAACAATGTGGTCTGAGAGCTCTACTCCTAGATAACTCCTGCAGATTTTTAAAGTACATGTACATTTTTGGTAATAATAAATATAACATTTATTAAATTATTATTATGTGCCAGACATATATTCATATAGTTCTAAAAACAGCATTCTGAAGTAAAAGTTATTATTCCTGTTTTATAAATAAGAGAACTGAGGCATGCGGAAATCACACAGCTGTTGATGGAACCTGGATTTAATTCCAGAAAGTTTGGCTTTAAGGCTTATGCACTCATTGATCGGATGTACCAAAAGTTATAAAATGTATATCAAAGCCTTCTACCATGCCCTGCTGGCTTTCTTCCCAAAAGTTAGCCAATTTTTAGTCTCTTACCAGGAAAGAAAGTAATGCTTGTACCAACATGCTATATTAATACACAGACGCACACACTACCGTATTAGGAGGTCCTCTTCTGCATGGCTGACCTCTGCCTCGTGGTCCTCCGGCCTTTGTCTCTCTCTCTGGATCACCACAGTGCCTGGCCCTGGAGTCTGGAGATTTCCCAAGCTGCAATCCCTTAGGCTGTATGAGTAGGGGTGGGAGGGGGTGGTATTCATTCCCTCTCTGAGTCAGTCAGGGGCTCCATGAGAAACAGAAGGCAGACTCGTTGCATTTGCCCGGAGAGAGTTTAATGAAGTGAGCAGGACTAAGGACCCCAGAAAGGCAGGGTGAAGCCCTCAAAGACCAGCAGCAGTAGGAAGCCGTTACCATCTCAAGGGTGGAAGGAGCAAGGGGAGAGATCATGTTATTGGAACTTCTTCCAAGGAAAATCCTTGGAAGACGGGGTTCTGGACAGGAGCAGTGGCCACAGAGGGATGCAGACAAATCTCAAAGAAGCTACACGGAAATAGGGGGAAGGAGTATAAGGACTGTTCTCTTCATCTCCACCCTCCAGTTTCCCGAGGAAGGTTCCTCTCACTGGCTAATCCAACTAACGCCAGGGGGCAAAGAAGCCCAGGAGATGCCGCCCTAGAGGTCAGCCACCCTGGGACTAGAGGAGGATGGAGATAAGCAACGAATAGAAGGGGAGCAAGTGAATAAGAACTAGCCATGGAGCCCCACGATGATGGGGAGGGCCAGGAAACCCCAGCTTTCTCTATGGAGACCTTCAGCCAATCTCCACGAGCTCAGCTGCGTCCAGCCCTGATCCCTGCTCTGCCAGATTCCTCTTTGTTGAGAGTCTGAGCAGCTCTTGAAGGCCTTTCGGCCATGCCCTACAGTGTAGATGGCGTTTCTGCTCCTCTCCCATCTGCTTCTTTCCTCCTACACTCAGTGGACACTTCTCATCCAATGAATGTTGTTTCTCTCTCATTCTCTTTGAATTTGTGGGTTTAAAGAGTCATCTTTTTTTAAAATGCCATTTTAGTAAGGTCTTGAGAAGGAGAGAATTAAAACGCATGAGGTCAAACCACTAAGTTTAACTGAAAAGTTTAATAGAGCCTTGAATCTTTAAATATATGTTTTTCTGGATAAGTTTATTTCTAGGTATTGTATATTTTAGGTTGATAATTAATTGATTTTTTAAAATTTATTTTCAAGCTAAATTCTTAGTTTTCAGATAAGGATAAGATTTTTAATATTAATATTTAATATAATATTTTGTACATTAACTTAGTTACTAGTCATCTTACTAAATGAGTTTATTTTTTAAATTGTAATTTATTTGGCTAGAGTAATCTAGGTATATGTTTTCTATCAGAGCAAATGATACATGTTGCATGCTTCTTTCACACACACACACTATATATACATGTATATATGTATATATACACATACACACATGTCTATGTATATATACACATATACACACATGTCTATGTATATATACACATATACACACATGTCTATGTATATATACACATATACACACATGTCTATGTATATATACACATATACACACATGTCTATGTATATATACACATATACACACATGTCTATGTATATATACACATATACACACATGTCTATGTATATATACACATATACACACATGTATATGTATATATACACATATACACATGTGTATGTATATATACACATATACATGTATGTATATATGTGTATATATACATATATGTATATATATACATATGTTTGTGTATATATATACACATATATGTGTGTGTGTATATATATATATATATACTTAGTATATTTTTCTTGTTTAACTTCTTTGGTTAGTACTTCCAGAATAATGTTAAATAAGTTTTAATAGCATTCTTGTCCTATTTATAAAATAGAAATATTTCTATTTTTTACCTTTAAATATGGTAATTCATATTCTATATGTGATTATTCCACTTCATGACTCATATGCCATCTATTCTTATTATACTGTTTTTCCTTTTAAATGAGAGGGAAATGTAGGATATTTGCAACTGCCTTTTTAAATTTAATGAGCTAATCTTATGTTTTATATCATTTGATTTACATTATACTATGTTAACAAGTTATGCATTATATTAGATTTTTGAATTCCTGGAATAAATATTTGATTACAATTCCCTGTTATTAACAATATGCTCCTGAGTTTTATTTGCTAATATTTCATTAAGATATTGACTTTAGTAACCATTTTCTTAGAAAACAGTTATCTTAATCTAGGCTTTCGATTTTATTTCTAAAGTTGTTATACATGTTCTGTTTTGTGATTATTTTAATTTTGTCTGTATCAATTAGTGTTTCCTTTTTTACATTTTTTTTACTTCTTGTGTGTTTCCACATTCTTGCCCCTTTTTTTCCTAGTTAAGTTTTTCATTTTCATAGTTTATTATTGCTATTATTTAAATATAGTTTTTCTTTTAAGTTTGTTTTGGTTTTGTGTATAATCTCTCCTTCCCACACCCCTGCTCCAACATTTTCTAACTCCTTATTTTATTCTATTTTCATTATTTCCTCGCTTCTGTTTTCTTTAGATTATTTTATTCTTCTTTGTCTTTTTTATTTAGATGCTACATTTATTTAATTTTGTATTTCCTAATGATTATATAGCATTTAAGACTTTAAAATGTGTTAGGAATTAAGCTTTAGCTATAATAAGTTGTGCTGATTCTTAAACATTTCTTGCTCTTTCATTCACTGAAGTTTTTTCCCCAAAACTGCCATAGTTTTGACCCTTTAATAATTTATGATGGCATCCTCTTTGTTATTATAATGTTTACTCTTTTATTCTTGGGAGTACTGTTATTATTTTGTGTGGCAAAAAAAAAAAAAAAAAAAAAAAAGAGTTTTAGCAACATGCTCTCAAACTGCCCCTGTGAGCCTCAAGTCCTGGGCATGTGACTTTTTGACATGAGTAATTTGATCTGCCACCAAGTCAAAAGTTTTTTGTTGTTGTTGTTGTTTTGTTTTGTTTTTTAACATGAGGACATGGTGACAAGTGCAAAAGAATTAAAAGATTTAAAAATATACACTGGATTGTGAGCCAGAGTCTCAAACACAGATGTGTCATATAGGTAGTGTTCTCTGATTTTGTAACTGAAAAACTTTGTGGCTCTCCACCTGTCTCTCTAGTACCATTTGATCTAGCCTATTCCTGATCTTCTCCTTGTTGAATCCAGTGATTTCTTTTCATTTACTTTTGTGTACAAGTCACAGAGTAGAACTCAGAATTTCTAGCCACCTAGATGGCTCTCATATCCCAAGGAAATTAACAGGGGCATCAGTAGGGACTGGACTGTGTCCACTGCTCCTTGGCTGAAGTGATCTTCTTGAAGCCAGTAGTGCACATGTCTTTCTCAGGAAGAGTTTCATGCTCACTCTGGCTTCTGGCTGTACTCAGTCTTGGAGCTCTAACTACATTTACCCCTGGCTTCTATTATGACATATGCAGCATGAACTTTTGATGAAATAATACATATCGTGTTGCTTAACCAAATGACCCCAGGAGCAGGCACACAGCTACTTGCTCTCTCTCTCTCCCTCTCTCTGCCAACCTCATACCAGACTTGGGGTCATGATAAACTATAGGAACCTTGTGCACACCACTCAAATCCAAGCGAAGTAGAGGTGTCTTTGACACCAAGAGGTGCCATAATGTCATCTCTCTAATGCCCTCCTTCATAAGGATGAATTGGGCAGAAAATGCAGTGTTTCCATCCACCAAAGGCCCAGACAAGAAACAGAAGCAGAGCAGTGGTTCTCTTCCACTTTTGCTTCCCCCAGCATCAAGGTGTGAGTTCACTTTGCCCACTTCCTTTTTCTAAGCCTTTCCTCTCCTTTTGTCTTTGAAACTCCCTTTTGTCTAGTAGACTGTGCCCTACAGTAGAAGGGATTTCAAATCACCATGCAAATCTGCACAACCCTACATGTGAGAATGATGGATCACTGAAAGATGGATGTAGTATCTCTGCATTAGCTATAAATTATAACTGCAGCTACCTCTTACTTCTCTGTAGAGGGCAAGTAGGAGAGAACCTATAACTACACCATGTAGGTTGAAAATTGAGCATCAGTGGATACTTCGAAATATCCTACTATGCAAAGTAATATGCTAAACAAACTCCCCCCAACCTTAAACTTTTACTGTTCCTTATCACAGACTCTTAGATTTATGTTAGGGATAGGGCTGTGTAATCTCAGAGTGGGGAATGGTACAGATTTGGTCCAGAGACTGGGGTAAAAGTTCAGAAATGGAATTAGGTTGGAATTAAAGTGGTGTCGTTGCCTTGGGTAAAAATACCTGGGTTTCATTGTCTCACTCCAAGAAGATTAAAAGAAGATCTCCCAAATAGGAGATCCAGCTTGTGGCAAGAGAACCAGATATTATAGGCAGGCTTGAGGAGGCGGTGTCTGATTTATGTAAGGCCCACAGATTGGTTGGACCAGGTGTGACGTTTACATAGCCAGCAGGGAAGGCTGCCCACCCCACCCTAATCTTATTATGCAAATGAGCTTTCCACTTGGCCAGTGTCATCTTGTCTGCTCTTTAAAGGTACACATGGCTGGCAAAGAAGGGAAGATGGAGCTGCCATGTTTGATATGGCTAGCCCCAGGTAGCCTTTTCCTATTGGCACAACTGCCATCATTCACCCTTACAAGCTTCTAGCTTGCTTGCCTATGTCTGCAGCTAAATTTTACAGGCTGCTCTTTGTTACAGAATGATTTGGGGACTGCTTTTCATTAAAAGGAAAACCTTACTGAGGACTCCTATACTTTCACCATCTGCCTAAGATTTCATCTTAACTCTTACATCAGAATTAGGTTGCACCCGAAAAGTGTGTGATGTAGAGTCATCTGTTTACCACACTTGAGGGTCTCAGGAATGGTCCTCAAGTGCCATGTTTGTTTATTCTCTGAGCATTTACAAGAATCTTGAATCATCTGCATCTCTTTTGAAACTACAATAGGTGTCTTCATTTGATTTCTGCTAATAAATAGACTTAGCTACTTATTATTAATTGAATTCATTTTATTTTCCACTTGAAGTTTGCAGAGTGTACACAACATTCTTTTCAAAGACTTTCTGGTTATGCCAACCTTATTTGGTATAGTATTTTTAGACTGTGAGGGCATTGGAGGAGTTAGTTCACAGTGGGATCTCTTATTCTCAGCTCCAGGGTAGATCTTTATCTTTTTAATCACAAAAAACACAAATTGTAAATCATTTAACCAGTACAGGAATGAATAAATAAAGGTCTTTATACTTGGATTTGGAGTTAAGATTGGGGTAAGAGACAGGCACAGAGTAATATTCAGGTACATCAACCATGTGCATTAACAGGTAATAAGAAACAGTGATTTCACATTTTAACTGGACTGAAAATGCAGCAAGTAAATGACTGCACTAACCTAACCCATCATCAAACAGGAATGCTTTTCTTGGAAACTTGGTTGTGAAGGTGAGAAGGGCAGTAATTACATGGGTCTGCATGGTCAAAAGAGTTTAACTTTTTTGTTGTTATTGTCAATTAAAGGCAACTCTTGGGATTTGTAAAAGCTGATAAGAGGAGAGATTCTTCCAACACAACTGGGACTAAATCTGCAGATGGCACACCAAGCAGAGCCAAACCCACTCCCACCCTTCTGTTGTATAGGGCTGATGTTCCTGGCTTTCCTTCAGGTACCAGATGGAAAACACTCTCGAGCAACCCTCCTTGGTGACTCACTGGCTCATTATCCTACAACCAGCTCAAGTATTTATACACATTGTCATTTGATCTGGTGAATTCTTCAGAACATTTGGACTTGATTGGTCATTTTATTGACCCCATTATTGACTATCATGTGTGGTATTTAACTGAAGAGGTATTTTTGAACACTCACATATACTTTTCCTACATAAAGGCAAGCATTTGTCCAAGGCAGCCAGTCATAGGTAAGGTAGTAAAGACTTTTGCTTCTATTCTCTCTAGAGTTCTTGCAATAAGCAGTCCCTTAATGAAGCCAGATGCATCCACTTGTACTTGGCTACAGCATGATCAGTGAAAATGACTCAGAGCTGTAATTTTAATATGCCAATTATTTTCTAAAGAAAAATATAGGACTGCTTTATATACAAAAAGTCATTTGTGTCTATTTCACACATTGTAAGTTCTTTGCACTGGGTTTGAATGTTTACTCTAGAATAAAGCCATCATATTTATAAGGTTTAGTGTTGCTGTAAAATTTCTGGCTCCAAAAATATTTGTAAAGTCTTTGTCATAAATCATTTTTAACTTTGTAAATTTGTCAATTGTATAACATATGTCAGGTAAACTGCACATGACCAGACAGTTTTATGAACATAAGCTGAGGCCAGCCTATTGTATCATGCCAGCTTATGCACAGGTTGGCAGTAGACACCTTCATAAAGAAAGAGATAAATCTGATTCAAGCTTTAAAATAGATTACTCATTTATTGGCCCCTTTTACTACCATTTATAAGCTCACAATTTTTGAAATAAAAGGGAATCAATCTGTCATTTAAAACTACATGTTTTATTTATTTATTTAAAATATCATTTCTTAGGTTTTGGGAAAAGTTTCTAAGTAAAAATCACTCAAAAATCCACCCTTCTAAAGATAACACTGATAGCATTTTTATTTTTCTTATGGTTTAGTAGTAAGAATTGGACGTGGAATCATTGTGTTAGGGGAGGGTAATGTATTTGCTTAAGAATAAACATAAAATATAACTGGTAGATTGAATTGGGTTTAGGTATGTTTCAATATGCTCTAAATGTGGTGCAACTAGAAATGATATGCGTCAAGAAAAGGACACACTGGGAGGAACAGACTGGCAAAAAGGGACTGCGCAATATTTACATTTTTGAAACAATAAAGAAGTAAGCCAAGAATTCATTCTGGAGTTCAAACAAATAAAGCAGAGGTCTTGCTAACATGCAACTGAGTAGGAACGACCCCTTTTTGTCCCAATTATGGGGGACCGCTTCTTAGGGTAATGATATTATTAGGCTGGTGCAAACATAATTGCAGCTTTTGCCATTACTTTTAAATGGCAAAAGCTGAAATTATGTTTGTACCATCCTAACACAATGAGAAATGCTGCATGCAATTGAAGTAAGCAGTAATTAGGGACAAAGGTATGTGTGTTCTAGAAAGCTCTACCAAGGGAAGGTCAGGAAAGGAGTTTGAGAGGTTTGCTCAATGGGAAAAAGAAGAGATCATGAGGGGAATGGACTGGGATTCTAAGTAGAAAAAAATGTTATGGGGCCCTCAGGTCAGAGAGGCAGATTCAGACGGTGTTTAAGTGGGTGGGCTTTGAGTTCAGACTCCCTGGGTTCAAATCGTGGTTGAGCAAGCAACCTAGCCTCTTAGTTTCCTTGATAGAAAAATGAGACTGGTAATGGCTGTGGTGAAGATTGTGAGAATTAAAGGATGTAGAATGCTTAAAACAGCACTTTATTTGGCTCATAGTAAAGTAACTGGATAAATATTAGCTATTATTATCCCACAGTGACTTGATCGTGTGCTTAGTGTAAACAAGCTGAGGTGTTGAAGCATTTCTTGGCCATTGCTGCATGGAAGAAACCTGAGGATTAAGACATGGCCAAATGGGTTTTCCTGCAGGGTTTATGAAACGGCTTGCATTAGTAACAAGGGGAGGGGGCTTTTTCTATTTCAATAACATTCTCTGCACTTTAGAAAATGTATTCTGCTCTATTTTCTACCTAGAGATTTAGGACTGGGAGATGAGAGTCAACATTTGTATATTTTTACATTTGTGGTGCCCTAACATGTGATTTGCCTTTTGATTTTTTATTTAATATTGTCATAAGCCTTTTCCAGTTAGATCTTTTTATACTGTTAATGCTTAACTAATATTAATATTATAATATTAACATGCTTATTATTAATGTCCACATGATAGAGTATTATATGATTGTATTATGATGTACTTAACTATTGTTTACTATTAGAAATTTTATGAATTCTGATATTTTCCTGTTATAAATGATGTGGCAATGAGCCTTTCTTACTCATTCATTTCCTTAGGAACTACTTATTGAACACCCACTATATCCCAAGCTCTCTGGGAGGCACTGGGAAGAGCAGTAAACTTGAAATAAATCTTGGTACATCTCTGATGTTCTTTAGGGTAGATTGCTGGAAGCAAAATTGCTGTTCAGAAGAAATGAACATTTTAAGGCTCTTGATATCTATTGCCACATACTCCTTAGAAACATGCTGATTTACAGGTCTGTAGTAATAGATCCTACAATTCATCTTGAATCAAATATAATGTTTGTCTCTCTTTTCCTTTCTTTCTTTCTTTCTTTCTTTCTTTCTTTCTTTCTTTCTTTCTTTCTTTCTTTCTTTCTTTCTTTCTTTCCACTTCCTTCCTTCCTTCTTTCCTTCCTTCCTTTCTTTCTTCCTTCCTTTTTTGAGTCAGGGTCTTACTCTGTCTCCCAGGCTGGAATGCAGTGGCTCAATCATGGCTCACTGCAGACTCAAGATCCTGGGCTCAAGCAGCCCTCCTGCCTCAGCCTCCTGAGTATCTAGAACCACCAGTGTATGCCATCGAGCCTGAATAATTTTTTAATGTTTTTTTAAGGTAGGGTCACTATATTGCCCAGGTTGGTCTTGAACTTCTGGCCTCAAATGATCCTCTTGCCTCAGTCTCCCAAAGTGCTGGGATTACAGGCATGAGCCACCACACCTGGCTAAATAAAATGGTTTTTTAGGTATTCACATAAGTTTAAAAACATCTCCACCCACTTCAGAAAGCAGATGGAAACTCAATTCTGAGAAATGGTTTTCCCTTTCTACATCAGGACTTTCAGTATAGTGAATAAACTACAGCAACTCATTTAACTTGGTGAAATCATTTTAAAAGAATGGAAATAAGAATGAGAAAGATGGAGAAAGAATAAAACATTTGCTATTGATTAACCAAGGAATATACTTTTATAAAACACATGTTTCCACATTTTGAAAGCAAAGGGACATGATTTGAGGATAAGTGTTCAAAAGATTATGACAAAAACAATACTATAGTGAGATTCTAAATGATTTCAATTTTCCCCTTTATTTTAAACTATTGGATATGTGGAAATAGGATGCATCAAAGATTGGCCACATGGAAAAGGGAAAAATGGAGTGATGGGGCAGAACACATTAGGTGCCAGCAACGCAATGAAACTCAATAGGCATTAAAAACAAATGCAAAACTTGGTCCACTGATCAAGCTATAAGCCTTGTTTCAATGTGCTTTTTATTAAAATGAAAATCTTCCTTTACATCAATGGAACCATAGATTAATTCCTGTCTTTATTCTTGTGGATTAAGGAGCTACCTGCTCAGGATTTTAAAACAAGATCACAAAAAACAGTTTCCTTTGAAAAATTTTTGTTGGAGAACATTTTCTTGGTGTTAAATTTAGAGCCTTATCAGTGGCAGAATAGGTGAAAATGACCCCTAGGCTCACAGCACATAATCAGTGTAGGTTCCAGGAGAAGACAATGAGTTGGTACCCTCCTTAGAGGTCCAGAAAGAGGTCACTGGCTCATTTCCTGAGAGGGGAAAGTCTGATACCTGCAAAAGACTACCTACAAGGCTTGGCTCAGAAGCAGGATTCCTGTTTCTGAAATGGTTAAGTGTTCAGAATCACCATACTCTCAGGAATACTGCTACCACTACCGCAGCTACCATTTAAGCTGTTACCGTATGCTGAATACTCTAACGACTTTCGTACACAAACTTGTTATACCTTCCCAAAAGCCAGGGAAAGATATTCTATTGACCTCTATAAGGCAAAGAAAGTGAGCCATGGAAGGGTTTGATTGCATGTGTAAGATCATACAACTCCCATAAAAGGGTTTGAACTCAGAACTTACTTTAAAAACTTTGAATGGAGGATTGCTCAAAGAATGTACTTGGAAAACAACGTAAGAGTCCAGTTTCCCGACCTGAAATACAGGGTGAATAGGAGCACCAACAAGGTAACTTAATGCTAAATGGATGAGATCTAGAATCCTGAAATCCCTACCAACTCAGAAGAAGGTCAGTCTCCGACCCTAGGGAATTTGTAAGGATTAGATCTTAGTTGTAATGGTTAAAATACATCATAGGGAAACCTGAGGTCATTCTTGAAACTATAAGCCTGTGCCTGTGTTCTCCCAAAAGAGTTGACGTGCCAGGCACAGTTTTCCTAATCAAAATCCCCTTCATCTTAGCTGAGTTTAAAATGATACTTCTTGGTCACTCAAACCACTAAAAAGAAACTAAAACAGGCCAAATTTGTCCTGAAGTCCTCTCCAAGTAACAAATCTTAGAGTGAAACTTCAGAAAGCAAAGAAAGGAAGCCCCTTTGAGTTGATAGTATAGAGGATACCCCCTGCAGATTCTAGTCATTTCTATAACATGCAAGGCTCAGTACAGAGAGGCTCAAAGAAAGCTCAGGTAAAGGCAACGCTCATCTCTCTCTCCTTTTCTAAGTCTTGCCTGGATTCTGTATAAGCAGATAAGCTGATCTCACTCAAAGTGGAAGTCAGTGCTTATTAACGGCACACAGTGAGAGAAGTACAAAAACTGAGAGTGTTTTGACATTTTTATGGAAATTTGCCATTGCCATGTGTTCTGGTTAACAATTGCTGTTTAACAAACATCCAAAATAAAACAAAGTGGTCTAAAACAAAAATGTATTATCACATTTCATGGTTATGTGGGTTGATTGGGCTCAGCTGGGCATTTCTCATGTGATGTCTGTCTTGTGTTTGCTTTTAGAAGGCAGCTGGAGCTGGAGTTAACTAACGACTCAGTTGAACAAGGTCTCCAGAATGGTTCCTTCATTCACATACTGGGCACCTCTTCTGAATGGCTAGAACAGCTGGAGGCTGGGTGGGCATGTGTCTCCATGCAGCCTCTCCATTTGGATAGGTTGGGCTTCCTCTCACCGTGGTGGTCTCAGAATAGTCCTACCTCTTAACTGGTAGGTGGCTTCTCCTAGAGAACACACAGCAAGAGACCAGGGCTGGGAACTGCAAGACTTCTGGTGAACTAGCCTGGAAGTCACACAGCATCACTTCTACCACATTCTGTTGCTCACACCCACAGGCACAGCCCAGATGTAAGAGGAAGAAGGGGAC
Source organism: Homo sapiens (assembly GCF_000001405.40). Lineage (NCBI taxonomy): Eukaryota > Metazoa > Chordata > Mammalia > Primates > Hominidae > Homo > Homo sapiens. The sequence continues at coordinate 17,042,176 of NC_000020.11, forward strand.
ATATAGGGATAGGAATACCAGAAAGTGTTCTTCATCAGGGTTGTCTTTGGAAACTAGCTACCACAACATGATATCCAAGTGCATGATGACCAAACTCATCTTGTTGAGCTCTGCATAAACTGGTTCAGGAGTACAACTCACATGGCAATTTGCACATGACACGTGCTGCCTACTGGTCATATAGATTGGATTCAAGCATTACCACAAACAGTTTGAGAACTCTAACCTCTTAATCTTTGCTTCTGCCCAATCTGTCCTTATTTCTACAACTACACTCAACATTGGTTTTCAACCTCAGTATATTCCTTTGATTCTCACATATTAAATTAACTTTTTCTTCAGCAACTCCCTGGAAGCAGTTTTTTTTTTCTAGCCACATACATTTGATCTCAAGCTCTCCTCCTGCTCAACCCTCTTCTTACTTTGGCTCTGCTGTATTTTTCTTCAACCAAGCCTTGCTTTATAGCATGAGCAGCTCAGTACTACCAAACAACACTTGCAGACTTATGTGATGTTCACTTTTGCCTCATGAAATTTACATTATAAAAAAGAAAACCTTTACAGATTGACAAGAGTAAAGAAGCAGGCTTCTTTAATATCATTAATGTCATTTTTCTCTCTTGTCAGGGATTTGGAGATGCAGAGATTTCCATTAAAAAATTATTTTGAAAATGTCAGAACACCCAATAGCAGAAGAGTAAAAACACCTTTCCCCATTATCCATATTCAGCAGTCCTCAAGACAATTGATTTTTAAGAAAACCCGTTGATTTATTAGAAGACTCCATAGTCAATTTCTGTTGGGTTGGAGGAGAGAGCACATTCAAAAGTTCTGAACTATTCTGGCCTTATTCAAGGACAGAAATTTCATCTCTTGAACTTTTGGGTAATTTATCTTTCATCATATCTGGTTACCGCACAGCAAAATGTTTTGAGAAACACACCCCTAGAAAGGAGCAAAATTCCTTCCCAAGGATCAATTCAGCAGATAGAGTCCTGAATATGGGTTTTTATAAAGGTGTTAATGTAATGGCGTTGTCAGGGATGGTCAGTGTTGCAGAGAACAACTTCTGGCATCCTCAGATAGGACACACCAGAATCAGTAGAAGCATGGCTTAATCTCACACTGGCTGTACTAGTTGTATTTCTAGATGTAGACAGATTTGGTAGAGTTAAACAAAAAAATACTTGAAATGTGAAACTATTATAGATCCTCTTGCACAGTGAAATGACTTTGCGTAAATGATTCTTAGATCAAAACATGTTTAAACAGTCTTGTTTTCTAAGGCAAACATTCGCGTTGTAGTGCATAAAGAGAACACTTGGGGAGAACACAATGTTGCTCTTCAAATATTTCAGAGTCTGTCCTACAGGAAAGGAATTACACTTACCCACTCTTATTCCTGAGGTCAGAACTAGGACAAGTGGGTAGATATTGCGGGGAGGTGGACTTCACATCAACTTAACAAAACTATATTTAAAATTAACCTTTTTTTCAAAGTCGAGAGAGCTTCCATGTAAGATAGTGAGCTTCCAGTCATGGACAAAGTTAAGCACACATTGGGTAACTGCCTTCGGGGGAGGCTGAAGAGGGATTTTTATAATACAAGCGTTTATTTTTAATTATAATACCTGTGTGTGTCCAGGTTATGTACATGTAATTGTGTATTCATGGCAAACTTTGAAAACTAGAATTTTTGGTAGTCCCAGAAGAGATTAAAAGACTCAAAACAGCTTTAAACACATCGGTGATAATTATAGTACTATCATCACTGTGGCACAGTAATATCCCAAAAGCTCTATAAAAGTTAGACACAGTTTGTATGTTACTCTCTTCACTTTTCTTCTAGTACTGTGTTGAACTTTTGATTGTCACAAGAGACTCTCGTCTGTATTCACAAGCAAATTTTTAGCATGTTGTGGTATTTTAGTAAAAGCTTCATTTATCTCTAGTGTTGGGCTGATGCTACTCCATACCTTGTCAAAAACTCAGTTGATCTTAACTTTCCATCAGTGGCATTGCTATAATTATAATTTAAAATTTTTGGCAGTACACATGAAGGTTTCCAGTACACTGGTATGCCTTACCACACCAGTTGCTATGGAAGGTACATTGGGCCTGGTCATTTCTAAGGGTTTGAAGTTACTTCTCTCACTTTGTGTTACATTTGTTTTTAGAAAGTAAACTAGTAATGAGCAAATAGTACCAACATCTTATGAAAGGTGGGAGATTTTTCTCCTGCAAAGATAGGTTTATTTTAAAATTAACAAAGGGAATCCAAGAAAGCCTTCTAATTTCTTTCCTTTTTCTTCCCCCAGAGGCCTAGAATGTTATTGAGTGCCAGAATCTCAAACACATGTTTTACAAATAAAATAACATCTGTACATAAACCATTAATCATTATATTAATCATTACATGATTTGCCTTGTTTTGAAGGGTAGACGGTACAGCTTTCATGAGCAAATAGTCATAAAAGAATCATATTTGCTATGCCCATGCCACTCTCTTGAGTTGAATGCACGTGTCCTTAGAAAACTGCAGAGAATTAGCCCATTGTATTTGATGCTTTTTATGTGACTGCCTGACAAGTTTAATTTTTTTCTAATGACAGAAGAGATAAATCATCAGTGCATAAAATTTGAAAAAAATACAGATAAATGCAAAAAGGAATCACTACTAACCCAGATAATTTTTGTTAACATGTTAGTAAATTTTCTTAGGTATTGCAGCTAAATTTCCCTGGGACTGTAGGAATAGATCACATGAAGGAAAAAGAGTCACTAATAAGTCAGAAAGCCAAATCTTCTGCATATATGATCACTGTTACTATGGAAACCAACACTTTCCTGGATGTGACAAGCAAGCATGCTGAGGAAATGTGAGCTGATAGCATCATAGTAGGAAGCTGGGAGGAGGAGGCCTGTCCCTGTTGGAAAGCTGTGCCCGAAATTAGGACACCAACAGGAACATGCAGTGCACATTGGTGTCACCACCAGGCTAAAAGAACCTCCAAGGCCTGGACGTGACAGGAGACAAACCTGTCTGACCTCTCACAATACCCAAGCCCTAGCGGCAACCCAACCACAGGGGACTCTTCACTGTTGTATCTCAGCACCCAGAGCAAGGCATGGCAACAGACAGGCAGGGAAGATGCTCCCCAAGTATCTGTCAAATGTATGAGCAAAAAAGTTATGGTGCTCAGCACGGAGGTGGTCTTTCTCCACACCTTTTCGTTCACTCATAAATGAGCCATAGTGAGTATGTGTTTGTTATCATAAATACAAAAGACAATATAACAAGCTGGTTTTGTTTTTCCTAAAAACATATCTCCTTGGCTCCAGGAAAGCCCCTAGAACCAGGAACTTTGAGCACAGTGGAATTTTGCACTGAGATGCCAGTTAGAGAATCACTAGGCATGGATAACCTTCCTACTGGAAAAGTAATTTAATCATAGCATGCTCTGGCTTTGGGCTATTTGCTGTAATCCGAATAGAGAAAGCATTTTAGAAACTGAGTGACAGTCTCCTATATTTATCCTGGATCCCTCTTTCTATGAAGCTGCAGGTAAAACTACTAACTACAATTGTAATAAGACCCTCCGTGTGGTCTCTGTCACTGACAAATACAAAATTTCTATTCGAAGAGAAGAGAATGAGTTTTTACATATCCCTCCAATTTTCAAAAACTACAGCATCTCTTATAGTCTTTTTTCTCAGTTTTTTCTCCAGTTGAAGGTGATCTGTTGATGAAGTCCAGATAACAAGGCCCACAATTTTACCATAATGTTCCAAAACAAGTGAAACAACTCTTTTTAAAAACAATTTATTCATTAATTTTTATTGTCCTCAGCTTTATTAAGGTATAGCTGACAAAAGTTGTATATATTTACAGTATAGAGTATGATGTTTTCATATATGTATACATTGTGAAATGATTAAATCAAGTTATATACTAATTATTTTATAAATTAGAGCAATGAGTTTCCTAGAGATTAAGAAAATGCAGTTAATAGGAAAATGTGAGCTACTGATAAAGACAGTAACCTGAATAAAACATATTATGGTCAGATCTATAAGCTTTCATGGCTGGTTATTAGGAATTTGGGAGCCACCAGTTCTACGTTCAAGATGAGATCCAGCCTCACTTGTCTTACTTCATCTGTACTGTGGGAGTTACAGCTCTTTTTCTTCTCATTGAAAGGATCCACCCATGGTCTTGACAATTATTTTCAAGGTTCTCCCAGTCATCTACAGGTCAGGATTTACAAGTAAGATTCTCCTTGTGCATTTTCCAAAGCAGTAAATAAAATTCTAACTCTAACTGACCCTTCTCCATGATTATGTGGATCTGAATAAAACACTCACTGTAGTCAGCATCCATGTGTATTTGAGTCCCTGTTGAAGGGGAATGGCCCATTTCATGTTTTATACTATATCCGGAGCAGACATCACAATGTCACATGACAACGTTATGATCCAGATGTCAATTATATTTAAATACAGCCCTTTGAACTCAACAATTCTCTTTATTAGGAAGTTAATAATTTTGTGGGGTTTTTTTTCTGTTCTTCTCGCATGGTAGGCAGAATTCTAAGATAGCCTCCAATATTCCTGATTCCTGGTGTAAACAACTTGTATAATCTCCCCAGCCTTGAGTGTGAGCAGAACCTGTGAGTATGGTAAAATATTACTCCTATAAATAGATATATTCTATGGCAAATGTGGAGAAATTTAGAATATATAACTAAGGTCACTAATCAATTGACTTTGGGTTAATCAAAGGAAAATCATCCAGGATAAACCAGATTTCATCAGCTGATCTCTTAAAAGCAAGGTTAGAGGTCAGAGACAGGAAATCAGGAGACCTGCTTTTGCTGGCCTTAAATAAGATGAAATCTGCCATAAGTTCTATAGGCAAAAGGAACTGAATTCAGTTAACTTAAATGATCTTGGAAGAAGATCCTACACATGGCAGTCTTGACTGACACTGCAGTTTTTTGAGACCTAACTGGCGGATTCAGCTAAGCTGTGCCTGGACTCCTGACCCATGGAAATTGTGAAATCATAAATGGGTCTTGTTTTAAGCCACTGAATTTGTAGTAATTTGTTAAACAGCAATAGAACAGCCTCCTCTCTCTCTTTTTTTTTTTTTTTTTTTGAGATGGAGTCTCGCTCTGTCGCCCAGGCTGGAGTGCAGAGGCGCTGCAAGCTCTGCCTCCCAGGTTCACGCCATTCTCCCGCCTCAGCCTCCCGAGTAGCTGGGACTACAGGCGCCAACCACCACGCCATGCTAATTTTTTTGAATTTTTAGTAGAGACGGGGTTTCACCATGTTAGCCAGGATGGTCTCGATCTCATGACCTCGTGATCCGCCCACCTCAGCCTCCCAAAGTGCTGGTATCGCAGGCGTGAGCCACCGTGCCTGGCCAATGTCTCCTCTCTTACACATGTGCACGAGAACATACAGACACACACACCAATGTCTAAGCTGGCCCCTGGCCCCTTTTATTTTTAAGGAAACGTTTGTTTGGTAGGGAACTTTTCCTTAGAAGATTCCCTAAACTTCCCATGTCTACTAGGGAAAGGCTCTCTCTCTCTCCTGCTGTAGGCACCTCTGTCCCAGTCGCAACTATGAGCAGGGTGCACCTCTGTTCTCTGTGATGTCTTAGGGCTCTAGACACACACCTGGGAGCCAATGTGAGCCAAAGAGGTCCCCTGCAGGAAACACAAAAGAGGATGATAAGGAATGCAGGGTTGCACTGGAGTTTAGTCTTTTATGTCTTCCTCCTTGGAATCCAGGCTGCTCTCAGAACTTCCAGATGCTCGCCCTTGTTTAGACCTTATATACGTGTCTGACCCTTCTGCCTCAGTCTGACACCTGGAAGATTTGGTTGATAAAACTGCCTAACCCTGATGTCCTTGTTTGTTTTTCTGCCATTGCTCCAGGGCCCTGCCCTTTGACTAAGTTTGTGACTGTATTGCCTTCAAAAAATAAAACATCCCCTGGTAAGGCCATCCTACCAGGTAGATTTGCAACAAGTGAAGCCCTGGGTGAGTGGGGAAAGAAACCCCACTCATCACAAGATAGTGTAGGAGTTATAAATAAGAGCCTTGGAGTCAGACAACATTGAATTTGTGCTAAGTCTCTTCCTGAGAAATTGGAATTATTTTCTGTGCTCCAGTCTCCTCATCTGCAAAATGAGATGCCTACCTCATCTGGTGGATGGAGAATTGAGTGGAGAATGCTTGTGTGACTCTTACACAGAGATGACGAGCCATTTAGGAAGTCTTCATCAACTACTGCTGGTTCCACTTCAGCCCTGACTTGGTTTGGAGGCCACATTCCTCTCAACCTCAGTCTTCTAGAGCTTAGTCATGGCAGGACTTAGTGCCTGGATCTTTCTGACACTGGCCATTGACTGCCTCAAAATTAGAGTCAGGAAACCATTGCTTCAATAGCTTTTTGTCCAAATAGACAATAAAGTCCTGAGGATGAAAATATGGAAGCTATATTTGTCAATGTGAGTTGTATGAGGAAAAAAAATATGGATACACACACACACACACACACACACACACACACACACACACACAAGAGAATATCCCACGGAAGTAGTCAAATATCAGGTGAGTCATTGACATAGCCTCATAGTCTCAATCACTCTGCTCTATCATGGACTTACATGTGAACAATCTGGGGCCATTCCATGAAAAATCATCTAACTGGAGTCATTTTTCCAAAGTTTCTAGGGAAAATGAAATCATTTGTAGTAATAACTTTTAACATATAATTTGTTAATTTTAGCCATCTGTAACTATCAGTAGCTATAGAGAAGGGTTCTTAACTAGGGGTCTCCAGATCCCTAAGGCATCCACAGATAGAAATTGGTAGGGAAGTCGGTAGACTTGGATAGAAAGAAAGTCTTAAAAATCTTTGTTTTCCTAGCTGACATTTTCCATTTGCTTCCAATTTAAATCTAGGCCACAGTCCATAGCACTACTAGCAGTATCCCTGACTTGTCACCAACAGAAGTCATAGATATTTTCACACCATGTTTCAGTTGTTGCAGTTCACAAATCATCATTTTTACCCATCACTGCTTCAAACTTAGGGTGGTTATATATCAGGGTAGGCAGTTATTTAATACATTAAATGGGTAGTTATTTACTGCATTTATTAGGGCAGCTAGTTATTAAATGCATGTATAAGGAAACATATTTTTGCAAAAAATGTATAACCACAACCTAATCATAAGAAAAATGCCAGGTAGACCCAAACTGAAGGACATTCTAAGACCAGAACTCTTCAAAAGTAACAAGATTGTGAAAGACTAAGGAGACACAACAGCTACATGCAGTGTCAAACCCTGGATTGAATCCTGGGACAGAGAAAGAACACTAGTAGAAAAAACTGTTGAAATCCAAATAAAGTGTACAATTTTGTTCAGAGTATTGCCTCAACATTAATTTCCTAGTCCCTAAATGCGCCATGGTTATCTAAGTTGTTAACCTCAGGAGAATCTGGGTGAAGAGTGTACTGAAGCACTCTATATTATTTTTGCCACTTTTCTATAAGTCTACGTTTATTTCAAAATTAAAAATTAAAGTATTACATTCGGGAACTGAAAAAATAAAGAATCACACATATTACCCTATCATATATTTTTATAATATTTTGGTAAAGTATTTCAAAATAATTATTTTCATTTGAAATCCTGTGTATTTTATGATTTTAAAAAGCTATCCTAAGAAGGGGCACACCCACCGGCTTCCTCAGACTGCCAGAGGAATCATGGCAGATAAAGATGAAGAATCACTGATTGAAGGCAATTGAAAGTTGCAGATACCAAATGCCAAGGCTACTGGATTAAGATCTATGAGGAATGCATTGACAGAGGAAACTCATCACTTTGGCTTTAGTTTGGAATGAGTTGGTCTTTTCTTTAGCATCCTTCAATGTCATTCAACATACGTGTCCTGGAGGGAAGTCTACCTAGAATGACAGGCGAGACCAACCCACTGAAAGCTTCTGGCCATGAGTCACATACCCCATGCACTGGACACTAGCATCCCACTACTCTCCCTGCACAGCGGTGCAGAGGCTCATCTTTCTCTGTGATAACACATTTGTTTTGCACTTGGGTTAGGGTTATAAGATTAATTACTTCCTGGGATGTTTGTTTCTCAGATATGTTTCCAAACCACTAACGTGCACACACAGGCTCTATCCTTCTGCCATGCAGTTATGAAAAAACAAATGAACAAACAAACCTTGTAGATGTTACTGGCCACCTCTGCAGGTGCTGGTGATGAAGTCAAATCAATAGCAGAATCTCACTGAAAGCAACATGTTAAGAGGCATTTAGCAATGGATATTTATCCGAATTGCTGTATGATACAAGAGGCAGAGAGGAGAAAAGAGGGGTGCCAATAAAGAAAGTGGGATAAGGAATTTGGCTGCATCATCAGGTCTACTCCAAAGAGAGCCACAAAGTCTGCCTCCAAATAAGGGACGAACACCTGAAAACCAAACCTACTTCCTTCTTTCCTCTTCTGACCTAAAGAGGCCATGGAGCCCTACTGGAATAAACTTCAGTGGCTGAAAATGGAAACATAGGTTTGCTCTATTTCATGCTAAAACCTCTCTTTAGAAATAATCTAATAAAATGGAATGAAAAAGTACAAGCTGTTTTGGTGGCAGTGAATTATGTTTTGGTCAGCTTGAATGGAAGTAGGGCAATATTAAAGCACTATGTCAAGAGACATGGGGATGTTTACTGTCCTTCTGCACTTAGAGTAGGCGCTCCCACTCAGACCTCTGGAGCAGAGATGCCACAGAATTTTGCCTGTGTCTGGCCAGTTAAATGTTTTGATGCTGCCCATGTAAGGGCCATTATTAAATGTGAGAGCTAGCAATGTTCAGACAGATTTGGAACTCAGAATGGCAGAGGGAAATCTTAAAATCATAATTGAGTGTAAATGTTCACTGAGGGTTTGGAAACATCTCATTGGGGGATCTTGAAGAAAGTATTTGGAGGAACTCCTGGTAATTTTATTTAGGGATGAACAGAGGTTTAGGACATTTCTAGGCCCTCAGCAATCTTTCATAAATACCATAAGGCTGTATAATCTAGCTATGAGCTTTCTCTATTGACCAGAATTAAAAACAAGGCAAGTGTATCTTTGATTCCCTCCAAGAACTTCCTGAACTACTAAATAGAAAGTGACTTTGAACACCTACTATGTACCAGATGATATTCTAAATGCTTTTACTTCCTTTAATCCTTGCTATATTCTTAAGAGTTGAGTACTACTGGTCCTATTTTACATTTGTGAATTCTTTGTGGAATAAGGGTTTTTTGTTGTTGTTGTTGCTGTTGTTTGGTTTTTGAGACAGGGTCTCACTCTGTTGCCCAGGTTGGAGTGCAGTGCTGTGATCAGAGCTCACTGCAACCTTTACCTCCTAGGCTCAATGATTCTCCTAACTCAGCCTCCCAAGTAGCTGGGACTACAGGCACACACCACTATACCTAGTTAATTTTGAAAAATTCTTTGTAGGGATGGGGGTCTCACCATATTGCCCAGGCTAGTCTTGAACTGTTGGGCTCAAGCAATCTTTCCATCTCAGCCTCCCAAACCACTGGGATTACAGGAATGAGCCACGGTGCCCAGTTAATTTAGCAGCAAGCTACAGGACCCTGAGTATTGCTTCCTAGGCTCTGTCTTCAAGAACAGAAATTGTTCATCTGGTTGGAAATTGTGAATTTCGTTTCATGGAAATCCATGCTACTTTTCCCTAAGAAAATAATAAAGTTAGTATTTTTGGAGAGGAGGAACCATAAAATTTATGTTATATTTAAAAGCCTATCAGGATTGCCTTCCTGATTTGGCTCTTGACTTGGCTGTTGTTGCTGTATAGGAATGCAAGTGATTTTTGTACATTGATTTTGTACTCTGAAATTTTGCTGAAGTTGTTTATCAACTGAAGGAGGTTTTGGGCCAAGACTGTGGTTTTCTGGATATAGAATCATGTCATATGCAAACAGGCATCATTTGACTTCCTCTCTTCCTATTTGGATGCTCTTTATTTCTTTTTCTTGCCTGATTGCTCTGGCTAGGACTTCCAATACTATGTTGAATAGGAGTGGTGAGCAAGGATATCTTTGTCTTGTGCTGGTTTTCAAGGGAAATGCTGCTAGCTTTGGCCTATTAGATATGATGTTGACTGTGGGTTTGTCATAGATGGCTCTTATTATTTTGAGGTATGTTCCTTCAGTACCTAGTTTATTGAGAGTTTTTAATGTGAAAGGGTTTTGAATTTTTTCAAAAGCCCTTTTCTGCATCTATTGAGATAATCATGTGGTTTTTGTCTTTAGTTCTGTTTATATGATGAATCACATTTATTGATTTGTATATGTTGAACCAACCCTGCATCCAGGGGATGAGGCCTACTTGATCGTGGTGGATTAACTTTTTGATGTGTTTGCAAGTGTTTTGTTGAGGATTTTTGCATCAATGTTCATCAAGGATATTGCCCTGAAGTTTTCTTTGCTTTGCTGTGTTTCTGCCAGGTTTTGGTATCAGGATGATGCTGGCCTCATAGAATGAGTTGGTGAAGAGTCCCTCCTCCTCAATTTTTTGAAGTAGTTTTAGTAGGAATGGTACCAGCTCTTATTTGTACATCTGGGAGAATTTGGCTATGAATCCATAAGTTCTTAATTTTGGGGGTGGGAGGGTAGAAGGCTATTTATTACTGATTGTAGTAGTCTGTTTCCACACTGCTGATAAAGACATACTCGAGACTGAGTAATTTATGAAGAAAAAGATGTTTAATGGACTCATAATTCCACATGGCTGGGGAGGCCTTACAATCATGGCAGAAGACAAAAGGCATATCTTACATGACAGCAGGCAAAGAGGGAATGAAAGCCAAGTGAAAGGGGTTTTCCCTTATAAAACCATCAGATCTCGTGCGACTTATTCACTACCAAGAGAACAGTATGAGGAAAACCACCCCCATGATTCAGTTATCTCCGACCAGGTCCCTCCTACAACACGTGGGAATTATGGGAACTACAATTCAAGATGAGAATTGGGTGGGGACACAGCCAAACCATATCACTGATTCTATTTCAGAGTTCATTATTGGTCTGTTCAGGAAATCAATTTCTTCCTGGTTTTCTTGGGAGGAATGTTTCTAGGAATTTATCCATCTCTTCTGGATTTTCTAGTTTGTGTGCATAAAGATGTTCATAGTAGTTTCTGATGGTTGATTTAATCTCTGTGGGGTCAGTGGTAACATTCCCTTCATCATTTCTAATTGTGTTTATTTGGATCTTCCCTCTTTTCTTCTTTATTAATCTAGCTAGCAGCCTATCTATCTTATTAACTTTTTTAAAAAAACCAATTCCTGGATTCATTGATCTTTTGAATGTTTTTTTTTTGTTTGTTTGTTAGAAAGATCTTAAATTAACAACCTAACATCACAGCTGAAAGAAATACGGAAGCAAAATCAAATCAACCCTAACTTTAGCAGAAGACAAGAAATAACCAAAATCAGAACTGAACTGAAGGAAATCAACACACAGACACAGGCAAACACACACACACAACATTTAGTGCTATGAATTTCCCTCTTAACACTGCATTAGCTCTGTCTCAGAGATTCTGGTATTTTATATATCTGTTCTCATTAGTTTCAAAGAACTTCTTAATTTCTGCCTTAATTTCATTATTTACTCAAAAGTCATTGAAAAGCATGTTGTTTAGTTTCTATGTAATTACATGGTAGGGACCTGTTGCTGGCCGAAAAGTACATGTAGGAGGTAGCTGGAGACACTGGTTGTGAGGCACTACCTGGTACTGAGGAGCAGGGTTGGGGACCCACTTTAAAAAGCAGTCTGGCCACATTTTCACAAAGGAGCTGTGCTCGGGGGTCCACTTTAGCCTATGATTGCCTTGGACTCTCCAAAGTCTGAAGGCTGGAATAGCTAAGTCACTGAAACAGCAAAGATAATGGCCCATCCCCCACCCCTCTGGGAGCTCTGTCCAGGGAGATTTCAAATCTCAGTTGGCTGAGAGCACTGGCAGGGGTGGCTAGGGACCCTAGTTGGGAGGTCCCACCCAGTGAGGAGGAACAGAATTGGGAACCCACTTTAAAAAGCAGTCTGAGCTGGGTGTGGTGGCTCATGCCTGTAATCCCAGCACTTCAGGAGGCCGAGGCAGGTGAATCACCTGAGGTGAAGAGTTCAAGACCAGCCTGGCCAATGCAGTAAAACTCCATCTTTAGCACAAATACAAAAATTAGCTGCATGTGGTGGTGTGTACCTATTGTCTTGCTACTTGGGAGGCTGAAGCACGAGAATTGCTTGAACCCAGAAGGTAGAGGTTTCAGTAGATTGAGCCACTGCACTTCAACCTGAGTGACAGAGCAAGACTCCATCTCAAAAAAAAAATTAAAATTAAAAAAAAAAAAAAGCAATCTGGCCACATCTTCACAGAACAGCTGTGCTGTGCTGGGGGATCCTTTCCAGCCCTGGTTGCTTGGACTCTCCAAACCCTGAAAACTGGAACTGCTAAGTCAGCCAAACAGCAAAGGTGGCAGCCCATCCCTTTCCTGGGGAGCTCCATCCCAGGGAAGTGCAAAGCTACCACTGCTGGCTGGCTAGAATTCCACGCCAGTGGGTCTTATCCTGTGAGGTGCTATGGAAGTGAGGCCTGCAGACAGTCTCTGGTCAGTTCCCTGGATTCAGCCTCTTTCCTAGGGGTATCTATGGCAGTCTAACCTCCTGCTTTGTTGGAGCTGCAGCTACTTTTGCTGGGAAGCCCGGAGAGCCTGAGTATCTAAGGCTCCCAGGTCTCCACGTGTACCAGATGGCTGCTCTGCCAAGGCTCCACTTAGCTCTGAAGACCCCGGTGGTGTGAGTTCATGAGGGGATCTCCTGACCTGAGGGTTGCAAAGATCCGTGGGAGAAGCGTGGGTTCCCGGGGTCACACATTCACTCACAGCTTCCCTGGGCAGGGGGTGTTTCCTTGGCTTGGTGTTGCTCCCAAGTGGGCCATCATCCTGCCTTGCTTTTCTCCATTCTCCATAGGTCAGGTTATTTCTTTGATTAGTCCCAGTGCTTGCACCTGGATGTTTCAGTTGAAGGTACTGTATTAACTCACCCCTTCCATTCCTCTCGGTGAGAGCCACACACACTAGCTGCTTCTAGTCGGCCATCTTGGCCATGGCGACCTCCCCCAACTTTTTTTAGTTGTGCAAATTTGTTGTAAATATTATTTCAGATAAATATGATACAGGAAAGAGTTAAAGAACATGCCAGTTTATGGCAGCAAAGATAGTAAAAGTATTTCCAAGCCAGATAGGAAGATTCTAATTTAGAGGACATCTCTGAATTAATTAACAAAGGGCCATGAACTTTTAAAAGGGTGTCTCTTCAGAAATACTGGTGCTGGTGAAATGTCATTGTAATAGGATGTAAGAGGATAAACACCTAATTAAGAATTCCCACTAACTCTGAAGCCAATAAAGGGTGATAGACGGTTAGGAAGTCCAAGCTTAGGGCAGTAGATATTGGTGCTGTCCTAGGAAGCTTCCTTGGGGACCAGCTCGGGGCAACAAGCAGTGGGCTGAAAAGAGGAACCTTCAAATCCAAGGCCAGGATTCGTGTCTGGAGGCATCAAGGGCCCTGTAGGATAACCACAAAGTTTTGTTCTTTGGTTCTCTTTGTCCAGAGCAATCATCTAAGGTAGTAAGGTAGTGGTGAAGAGCACAGTCTTTAGAGTTTGAAGAAGTGTGTTCAAATTTCTACTCTGCCACTTAATAGCTATGTGATATTGGGCATGTAACTTTACCTCTCTGATCCTTAATTTCTCATTGTAAGACAGGATTATAATACTATTTACTACAGAGACTGTCATGAGGCTTAATTAGTAAATATATGTAAGGAACATGGCAGAGTTCCTGGCATGCAGTAAGTGTCCAGTAAGTATTAGAAGTTACCATTATTATGGCTCCCTGCCTAAATTCCCCACCATGGGCTAGGCAGAATGAAGGGGGACAGGGTTAGAGAAATAGAAGAAATTTACAAGAGTTACACCAATACACAAATAGGTAAATGTCAAAATGTGTTGAAGCCACAGGAGTCAACAGGAGTCAGGTTAATACAAAATATCATTATATTTTCTCATTAAATATTTTATTTACTACTATATTATAGCAAATGCAAAATAAAATGCTTAAATGAAAAAAAGTCATAGGTTCTCAAATAAACTTTTTTCTCATAAAGTTTAAAGTTCCTCAACGTTGTATTTAGAAGAACAAGACCCTTAAGATTGGAGAGCAACCCTAGTATTCATTCCCCTCAAAGAAATGACAACGCAGTGCTACATCCACACTCACTGAGGACAAAAAATTCTTTCTCCAAAGCACTTATACATGAGGTCTATATTTATATTTTCCTCCTCTAGAATGATTCTATTTTCTTTCAAATCATTTAGTACCCTTTATGCATGTTTACTAAGTAATGTACTTATTGATTTATTATTACCAAATAATAAATTTCTCAGGAAAGTATAGCCTGGCAAAACTGTCATACATAGCTGAAAGACTTGTCATTGGTTGTGATCCCTGTTAGTTTGAATAATTCAACAGCCATTTATTGTGCAACGACTATGCTCTAGTCACTTTGCAGGTGCACGGGTTAAAGAGACAGACCAGGTCAACCTGCATGCACAGTTCAGTGGGCAATACGGAGCAGCTCTAACAGCAAGTGCTGCATAGTACCTGCTGTGTGCCACACATTATTCTAGCACCACTGTAGGCATCCACACTGCCTCTGAAGAACTGCCCATCAGGTAGGTACTGTCACATACCCATCTTACACAGGGGGACACTGGGGCACAGGGAGCTAAAGTAACCTACCCAGAACCCTATAGCTAGAAAGTGGCAGAGCTGGAAGTAGAACCAAGTAGTCTGGTTGCAGAGTCTAAAGTCTTCACTATTAGTCTGTGCTGTCTATTTAAAAGAGAGAAGAAATAGGCAAACAAGGAAACATAAAAAAGACACTTTCAGAGTGACAGTGCCATGAAGTGAAGGAGTCATAGCTGCCATGAAGAAATTAAACTGGACATTAATAAGGAGGTTGGTGGTAATTTCTTGGGTGTGGGCATGTTTGCACTGAGATGGGGGACTGAGCATGAACCAGCCATGGCCCAACTGGCCAGGGAGTGGTGTGTGCAGAAGAAGGGATAACACAAGGACAAGGGGTTCCAGGTGGGAAGAGGTTTGCTGCATCCCAGAAGGCTGGTGGGGCTAGAGCATCAGAAGAGGTGTCAGATGGGGTTGAGAGTTAGAGCCCTAAAGATTATTCTAAGAAGCCCCTTTTGGAGGGTTTTCACATGATGAGGACATGAACTAGCATGCACTACAGAGTTGAGATGCTGTATTTTGTCTTGTGACAAATTAAAGGAGAAAGTCATACTAGTCTTGGTACTTTTGACTTAGACACAATCCACCCTACAGGAGCATGGTCCCTCTCCCTACATCAGTCACGTGTCACTTGACCACAGGTCTTCTGCTCTGGGCTCATTTCCACTGGCTAGCAGACATATATTATCACCCCTATATACACTGCTCCACACAAAAGCTTCTTGCCCATAGGGCAGGGATTATGTGTTTTTCAGTCACCATTCTCATTCCTGCACCTGGCATGGTGCCTGGAGTACAATGAGCACTCTGGAAATACATGCTATGGAGAAAAAAAGTCAGAGAAAAGACATGGAGATGAGAAAGGAATGATGGAGGAGTGGTGGAATAAGGGAGGGGAAGAAGGAAGGGAAGGGAGGAGGGTGGGCAAAAGGAAGTGTAACCGCCCAAGGGGCTCACCTTGCCTGCTGCCTAGACAGAGCCAATTTATCAAGACAGCAGAATTGCAATAGAGAAAGAGTAATTCGGCTGGGCACGGTGGCTCATGCCTGTAATCCCAGCACTTTTGGAGGCCCAGGTGGGCAGATCACAAGATCAAGAGTTCGAGACCAGCCTGGCCAACATAGTGAAACTCCGTGTCTAGTAAAAATACCAAAAAGAATTAGCCAGATGTGGTGGCATGCACCTGTAGTCCCAGCGACTTGGGAGGCTGAGGCGAGAGAATCTCTTGAACCCAGGAGGCAGAGGTTGCAGTGAGCTGAGACCACACCATTGCACTCCAGCCTGGGTGACAGAGTGAGACTCCATTTCAAAAAAAAAAAAAGAATAATTCATGCAGAACTGGCTGTGCAAGAGGCAAGAGACTGTAGTTTTATTATTACTCAAATAAGTCTCCCTGATTTGAGTAGTAATTTAAATAAATTGGGGATCAGAGTTTTTAAGGATAATTTGGTGGGTAGAGGGCCAGTGAATTGAGAGTGCTGATTAGTTGACTTGGAGATGAAATCATTGGGAGTTGAAGCTGTTCTCTTATGCTGAGCTCCTGGGTGGGGGCCACAGATCTGGTTGGCAGGTCTAGGTGGGGCCATCTAATTGTTAGAAATGCAAAAACCTGAAAAGACATCTCAAAAGGCCGACCTTAGGTTCACAATAGTGATGTTACCTTTAAGAATAATTGGGGAAGTTGTAAATCTTATGACCTCCAGAATAATGGCAGGTAATATTTAGAATTCCATACCCTCCTATTCTAACTTGGTGGCTGGTGGCCTTTCATTCATTTTACAAGACGTTTTAGCTTTTGGGAAGGGCTATTATTTAAACTATAAACTAAATTTCTTCCCAAGGCTAGTTCAGCCTATGCCCAGGAATGGCTAAGGACAGTTTCAAGGTTATAAGCAAGATGGAGTTGGTTAGGTCTGATGTCTTTCACTGTCATAATTTCCTTAGTTATAATTTTGCAAAGGCAGTTTCAGAAGCAGGCAAGCAGGTTGCCCCTGGGAGTGGGCATACCTTGTCTCCTACACCTGGCCTCTTAGTTCTGCTGTCTTTTGTAGGCATTCCCTATTCAGTTCTTCCTCACTGTAGTCTACAGCAGAAGTAGTCTAAAGCTGACCACAGAGGGAATTTCTTTGCCTTTTATCTCTGCTGCTTTTTTGCCTGGACTCCAAGGAAGCTGATCTTTCCTTGTGTTTACTGCTTTGTGCAGACATCAAAGAAAGAAGAGCAATGGTTTCTGGACCAGCATTTCCCAAATGTGCTTGGCTGAAAATTTTGTTAATTACATGACAAAAATGCCCTGTGAATGAGCTGGCGGCCTGGTGGGCCTGCAGGATTTGTGACACAGCAAGGGAGACTCTATGGAACCACTGAATTGTCTTATTGCAATGCCTCCTCTGAACAACTGACACCGAGACACTGGAGCCTGTCTCCTTTGTCTTTGAGGGGATCTAGAAGGTAGGCAGGGATCAGTGACAACGCTGCTGCTGTATCATGCCTTCATGGTGGCAGGAGGCCAAATGTGACTCACACACACCGCAGCAGGCTCTTCCCATGCTCTGGTCTATAAGTTGGTCACATGGCCTTTTCGGCCTCAGTATCTTGGCTCTTCACAGTTCACTGGAGTAGCTCGCACTTCCTGAGCACGCTGAGTGCTCTCAGCATGCTCATGTTGTCTTGTGTAATCCTCAGGACTGCCCTATGAGCTAGGGACGATTTCCATCCACATTTGAAAGATGAGGAACCTGTGCCTAAATCACATCTTAAGTCCAAATGGATGGATGAAAACACTTTCATTACTGGGCTCCCTGAGTTGGTGTGAGAAGCGGAATGACTTTTCAGAAGGCCTCTGGCTGGCATCCGCTATCCGCTTCCCTTTCTAACAGATCCTGGATTTGCTCAGTGTGCCTGGTTACCAGGTATCAGCTTGCCAGACTCCATTACCACTGAGGGTGCCTGTGGTAAAGTTGATATTACTAAAATTGCTGTTCTCCAATTCCCCATTTAGGAAGATTAGAGCCTTGATTTACCCACACCTAGGAGAGGACAAAACAAGGATCACCCTGAATGGTGTCCTCATCCATGCAAACTACGTGGAATTGATCATATTCTCAATTCCACTGCCTTCTCTCCCTACCCTCTCAGAGTTAATACCTGATGGGGAGATTGCGCATGTGACAATCAATAATAATACAAGGCAGGATGTAGTAAGTATTTTGGGTGTGACCCAGATTGCTAAGAGGACACAGAAAAGGAAGAGTTGTTCTGACAGGAGGATCTGAGGACACATCATGGCTTTGAAGGAGGCAGGGAGGCAGAAAAAGCCTCCAGGAGGTAAGCTCAGTATGTGCAAATGCACAGAGGTGGCAGTATTGAGAGATGGCAGGGCATCGGGGGCCAGCTCCATCTATGCACACACAGCAGTGGGAGGGGAAGGGGATTTTCTCCAGTTTTTCAATCAGTACATGTTTCCTTTTTCCTCATGGTGTGCCCTTCATCTCTCCCACTCTGAGAACATCCTTCTCTTCCTCTCTAGCCACTCTAAAACCACAATGGATGCTTTTTCCTGGCTTTGGTTAAAAATCCTTATCCCAGCACACTTTCTGTTCTGAGTCAGGTAGCTGCCTGAAAAAAAGACAGAGAGCCCAGATTCCACTTGGGGAAGATTTATCTGCATGTTATTTATGCACCTCGGTTTTCAGAGTGCAACAATTTGGTCACAAACCTGGCCCAAGCCACATCAAAAGATGGGTGGCACGACCCTGGGAAGGGAACTGGGAAGGAAACTGACAAGGATGCACCAGAGCCCAGGAGCCCCATGTGGGGATTTGGTGTGTGCTTCGGTTTTGTGTCTGTTTCTCTGTGATAGTGTTGTTTTCTGTCCCGTGAGGAAGAAACCATGGCTGATGGCAGCTCCCAAGTTTTGTATTTCTCAGCTTCAAAGAGAGATTTTGAATTTCTCTTTTTATCCTTCTGGAAGGATTTGTTGTCCTAGCTTGGGTTAATTGAGGGACCAAAGTAATACCATGGCAGCCCAAAGTTGCCAGTTGGATCATGGAGTTCAGTGCCACTTGATCCTGCTCCCAAGAGAAGAAGGTTGCAGGGAAGATGGAGCCCCAGATATCTATGACTCTTATTTTCATTATCTTTCATCGTCATCTCAGTGCAGCCTCTAAGGCAAATACATTATGTAATTTACCAAATATTAAATGATGTCTGGACATTTGAGCTGTTGCTTATTGCTTTCTGTTTTAATGCTAAGTGCCTTGGCCAAGATCCCAAGGCCTCCTGCTTCCACCTCACTTACCTGCCTGTTTCCTGTGTCTCTCCCTGCCATGTACCTCCCTAGGTTGCACTAATTCAAACCTTTCTTCTCAAAAGATACATCATTAGCTGATACCTTTTACTTCTTTCTCACTTCCTGCTTATACCACCTAATTAGCACCTTTTCTATAATTTATTAAGCCAGAATACAATGGTGACAGACATCATGCTGCCTCACTGACTAGATATTTTATTCTATATTCTTTGTTTTTCAACCAGATTGTAGGTCCTATTGGCAAGGATCTTGTTCTACACTTCCTTCTCCTGGATCTCATATCATAATGTCAACCATATCTGTTAGGTTTTGCTGCATAACGAACTGTCCCAAAGCTTAGTAGCTTAAAATAATAGCCATGGTATTTTTTTAAGCTCATGCTTCTGTGGATTGTCAACATGAGCTGGGCTCAGCTGGGCTGCTCTGCTGGCCTTGACTGGGCTCATTCATGCATTTGTGATTAGTTTCTTGTCATCTAGGCAGCTCTGCTTCTGGGAGCTGGCTAGTTACTGACTGGGGTGAAGAGGTGGCTGGGCTGCCTGTCTCTCATCATCCAGCAGGCTAGCCCTGGCTCATTTACATACAGTTAGCAGATTTCCAAGAACAGCAATAGAGGAAAGCTCCAATGTGCTAGCACGTTTCATGTTTCTGCTTGTGCCACATTTACTATTGCCTTGTGAACCAAAGCAAGTCACATGGCCAAAATCAGAGTTAGTGTAGGAGGAAAATGATGGCATGGCTATAGAGAGGGAAAGAACTTGTGCCCATTTTTGCAATATATTACGTTAGGTATATTCTATTTTTTAATTTAAAAAATTTTTATAAATATACATCTGCCTGCTTAAATTGTATAAATCACTCTTCAAAATATCATTAGAAGTGATTATCTTGAAATGTTTTCCTTCTGTAGCTGTATTCTATTTTTTACTGGCCTTTTAAAATTCTATTTGCTTTCTCTCTCTCTCTCTCTCTCTCTCTCTCTCTCTGTCTTCCCCTCTCACTTTTCTTTTTGGTCTCATTTGATCATTTCATTGAATGGCTAGAATATGTTTATCACTATGAAGTTGGATCCTGCACTGTAGATTTGTGTGCATGCATGTGCACATGTATGGTAAATAGAGAAGTCTTTCTCTTATGCTAAGTTTTAATTTCTCATTATTCAAGATCATGCGCTTTAGACAAAATCAAGTAAGGATGACAATGAACTGAACACACAATTTTTACCTGTGCCAATTTTCTCAATGTTCTGTGCTACAAAAAGCAATGATACTAAAACTGATTGGACATGGCATTCATCACTTAGAATGTAAAAGTCCTGTACCTTCTTTGAAGCACACTTGGGAAAATCATTTTGAGGCAATAATGCTTCAAGAGTGGCAAAGAGCTGTGGTCTATTAGCTTTTCCATTGGGCAACCAGGGATGTTGCCATTTATCTTCATTTATGATGCCCATTCCTCCCAGAGAAGGCCCAAGCATGTCAACTGACATGCCAAGTCAGCAAATTACTTCAACTATTTTGACCAGTGGTTTCCCAATATAAATTTTATTCACTTTATTTAATGCCTTTATTTGGAGAAATGTGTTGTACATCTAGAAAAACTACTCGGACCTCTTTTTGTGGAGGAGCTGTATCAAATTGTAAATTTTTTGAAATAAAATGCCAAAATAGCAGCTTAAGAGATTGCCTTGAGAAGAAGAGCCAGAGGTGACAGACTTACACAGACTGCTCAACCAGCTCCTAGCACTGCAGAAGGTTTAATCCCCATCATAAGCCCTCATTTTATATCATGCATAGTAGTTCTGCTTCTCTGATTAAACCATTACTAATACAGACATTTTTCCCCTTGCCCTCTCAAATCTTACCAATTCCTGTTGCCTCAAGCACTGAAGAGAAGTGTAGTTGGCTTAGTTTGGGTTCTCCCCGAAGCAAATTTTGAGAAAAGGACTTGAGAGTAGATCATTTATTTGGGAGATGGCTCCACAAAACACAATGAGGGAGTGGGGAGAGTGTGACGGGGAGGAGAGCAGAGCCAATAAAGAGTATATTGATGGGTGTTACCCCTGGGCTCTATACTGATGAGCAATCAGCCTCAGAGTCAATATCCCAGTGGGCAGAAAGGCTGGACCTCTGTCCACTTCCTTCCATCCTCTGTTGGGTGAGCATTGCCCAAAAGGTATGAACTCCATTGCTCTTCTTGTGTGATCCTGCTTGTAGCTCCACGAGCTCCAAAGGTGCCAGACAGAGCCCTCAGGCAGGTGGAGACAGGTAGAGCTGCAGGTGAACTCAGGGGAACTGGGGGATGTGAGGTGTGGCATCAACAGCATCAGCTACATAAAACATGCCCTAATGAATAAACCCAGGACAGAGGATCAGCAAACATGGGTTTTGACTTCCTCTCTATGGTTCAGATATGAGCTTTGCAATGGTGGAAAACTACCTACTCTCTCTGAGCCTCCAACTTTCCACTTGGGAAATGATGTCATTGGACTATTTTTCTAGGCCAGGTAAAAGTATACTAAACAAACACCTATAAGGAGGGATGGCATTATCAGGAGATGGAGAATCACTAACTCTCTCCCCTTCTTCAATTTGTGTCTTTAGTATGGCTGTCCTAATAAAATCTTAGTTCCATTTATAAGAGTGAAATGTTATAATCTTTTCCTCTTGTCCTTTAAAAATCCCCATCACTATTAGTCAGATTTTGCTGCCTACAAAGCAGTTGGTTTACAACAACATTTATCTTCTTGTTTATAGTCTGCGGATCGGGTTTGTCTCAGCTGGGCTTGGTTAGAATCAGCTGGACTTGGCTCATGGCTGCAAGTTGGGTTTATGTCTACTCCACATGATTCTCTTTGACCAGCTACTGGGGATATGCTCTTCTCATAGAGATTCACAGCAGTGGGAGAGGCAAGCCGAAGCGCATAAACACGTTTAGCGTCTCTGTTCCAATGGAGTTCATTAAAATCCCATTAGCCGAAGAAAGTGGGCATGGGTCAGGACCAAATCAAGGAGTGAAAAAGTGCACTAAGCCCACCATGAAGCCATGGAAACTGCAGGGATGTTTAATTCTATCACTCACATAGTAAAAAATTGAGAGCAATAATGCTACCCACCGCACGGTTGTTGTGCTCAAAGTCATCTTCCATGTGAGCCTTAATAATACCCACTCTCTTGGCCTTTCTTTAACCATTGTAGTATTGCCCGGTGTCTTAGTCTGTTTTGTGCTGCTATAAGAGAATACTACAGACTGGGCAATTTATAATGAAATAAAATTTATATCTTACAGCTCCAAGATCAAGGGGCTAACATCTGTCAAGGACATTCATGCTGTGTCATCCCATGGTGGAAGGTCTAACACGCAAGTAGGGGAAGGGAACTGAACTCATCCTTTTATCAGGAACCCACTTCCGTGACAACCAACCCCCTCCCTCAATAATTCATCACAAGGAAAGATACCTCATGACCTAATCACCTCTTAAAGGTTCCTCATCTTAACACTGTTGTATGGGGATAAAATTTCCAACATGTGGACTTTGGGAGACACATTCTAACTGTAGCACCTGGCTAGGTCTGTCAAATAGGACTTATTTGTCCTCACTTGTCCTGGCATTTTCATTCCTGTGGGGAAAATGCTTGTAGTCAGTGATCTGTGCACACTGTCATGCAACCATTCTCCAGCTGCTGTGGGTGAGTGTTGGCTGTTAATGGTTCATGGTGTTCCCCTTCTCTGGGGTTATTAACAGATGGAACATTTTTCTACTGATGGGACATCCTACCCTGGAAGTGGCAGCCCAGAGACATAATTGATTTATATGGAGTACAAAAGTCAGCCTCCTTGCCTCAAGGGGAGGGTAATTTGGTAGTATAATTTATGCCCTAGAGCCCCCTGTGAATCAGGCCAAGTCTAAATTTTCTTTGACATCACATTCTTGATTATCTCCTTTCTATCTTGCTTCTTTTATTCCCTGCAGTTTTCTCCTAAAGTATGTCCTCATAAAATCACATGCACCTAAGTCCTTTTTCTCAGGCTCTGCTCCTAGGGAAACTGACCTATCTTTTGATGTCTCTTTTAGTACCTTCTCTGTACCCTGCACAGGTCACAAACTGTAACTATACATGGAATACATAAAAATTTAGATTTTTTTTTATTTAGGATGGACACCAGAAACCACCTCAAGGTCTACTCCAATATCCCCAGTCATCTGAAATAGTCACTTCATCTTGACCACGTGGCCATCATGATTTCTTATCCAGTATCTTACAAGATATGCATATGTCTGTAGTGCCTCCTTATTCATCACTAGAAAGAATTGTGTCTGGTCAGATGGGCCTCGACCTGGTGAGCCCTGAGAGTTTGTAGCACCCACTCTCCCTTTTCTTTACATGAAGATGTTAACCTGGGGCCCCAGGAGAGTTGACATTGATGTTCAGGGAAGGAGAAGGGCATGAAGTAAGCATGGTCTCTGGAAATTACCCATCTATGTTCAAATCATGGTTTTGCTGTTTGTAAGCTGTTTTGTTGGCCAAATTTGTTAACAATAAGCCTTAATTTCTATAAATTAAGGACAATACTTCAAGAACAAGAACGTTCTCCTTTATACCCAGAAATAATGCGCGTTAATAACTCTGATTTCCTACAAGACTGTGAACCACTGGTTGTCTGGCACTTTTTAGTAGTAGCCTGAATCTGAAGTTTGTTTCATGTGGAGCCAATGAGATTATGCAAGACTACGAGGCAGACCTGAGCCTGAAACATTATGGCAATAGCTTTCATTCATTAAGAGCTTCTTACATGGCAGCCCCTATGCTCAGCCCCTTGCCTGTGTTGCCTAGAAATCCCATCAACAACCTTATATTATTCCATCTCCTGCCTCCTTGTAACTATGAGCAGTTGATTAATCAAGTGACCTTGAAAATGTTTGCAGCTGCTAACTTCCAACTCAGGAAATCAAGATTTAGAAGGTAGAGGAATTGGACTAAAAAATATAGAAGTGTGTGGACTGGAAGGATTGTATGTTATGAAAAAACTCAACATGTGCACTCAGTGAGTGCCCAGTTAGAGCATCTAAAATATTTGGAGCTAAGAGGCTTGCAGGGTTTGTACCCCAATTATGCATTGAATGATGCATTTTTGTTTTCTTTCTGCAGAAGTAGGTCTTTATCATCACTTCAAGACCCACTGGTTCCATCAATTCTCCTAAAAGTACATGATGTCCTTATTTCAGTTTTCTTCTGTATGTCCAAATTCTTTCTCCAGCTTCTTCTTCATGTTCAGATTTCTGCCTTACCCCATATAAATTGCCTGGACTTTGGGGGCCTAACCCTGATTTAGAGGAACAGAGATAAAAAAGATAAAAATATCCTCCTCTCCTTTACACCCAGGAAAATGTGTGGTTTTCTACAAGGCTGTGAGCTGCTGGGTGCATAGTGCTTATTAGCAGTGCCCTGGCTCTGAAATGATAGCTCCGTGGGTTTTTTCCATATCCACATCTTACACTGGCACCAAATGCAGCTGTATAAATCTCCAGCCACTAAATTCTGCTCTGCAATTCCCCCAGGCTGTTCATTTATTATTAATTATAACCATTATTTACATAGAACTGGAGAGTTTTACGTCAAGGCTGAGGCCTGGCTGGGATGTAAAGCAGTATGATGAGCTCAGCGGCAAAACACTCCAGAGATCAGTGGTCTTGTCTGTCTGCACCGCCACCATCCCCTACTAAAGGCAGAGGTGGTGAAAGGAGGTGTGAATAGGTACAGACAGGAAGTCAAGGGAGGAGCAGGCCTTGCATGAGCTTTTGTTCTCTGACAAGTTTTCTTTTGAGGCACAGGGAGCTGCTGAGAGGCAGGGGGGTGATGCATTCTGAAGTTTTGTGGTTGTAATAGTAGATGATTTTATACAGGAATTTATTAATTTAATCTACAGCCAATCATTGAGTTTGATTATGTGCTAGGGTATAGAATACAGAGATTCACAAAGAAGAGATGGTCTCTATCCTCCTGGAATTTACATTCTCTTGAATTCAAGGTCAAAAGTGAGGTTGGGACAGGAGTCTGGGTGTTGGGAGAGGGGAGGGCTGTGGAGTGGGGTGGCCAGGTGTCGGGAGTAGAAGCAGAAGCAGACAATGACTCAAGAGCAAACAGCGTGAATGTTCTTTTTTATGAAGAGCCATTCCATCTCAGCATGGCAGTTTTCTAGTCCTAGATTTTTGTTCTGATTCTCTCTTGGAAGATGAACTCGCAGGAGACTCCGACATCAATGGAGTATGGCGTCAGTTGCATTTAACACTCCCTACACCAGCTTTCTATGTGCTAGGCACTGTTCTGGGGGTTTTCCACACATTAACTCATTCAATTGTCACAACAGCTTCTAAAGGTAGATACTATTATTGTTTTTATCTTGTAGGTGAGAAAATGGAGTTACAAGAGCTCAGCTATCTTGCTGAGCTATACAGATGACAAAACTGAGGCAGTCTGAATCCAGTGATTCTCTCACCCATGGGGTCCCTTGACGTGAAGATGCTGCCATACCACCCCCGGCCTCTTCTCACATCCAATTATCATTTACTTGCCCCCCCGCCAAAAAAAATTGATTGAATACTGACAACATACCCAGTGCTAAGAATACAGGGACAGAAAGCAGATTGGTGGTTGCCAGGGGCTGAGGCCCTGGAGGGGGAAGAGACAGGAACTGCCTAATGGATTATGGGGTTTTCTGCTGGGGTGATGAAAATATTTTGGAACTAGACAGAGGTGGTGGCTACACAACATTGTGAATATACTACATGCTACTAAACTGTTCACTTTAAAATGATTCATTATGTTATGTAAATTTCATCTCAATGAAAATAAAATATGGAGGAGGAGGCAGGGAGAGGCGAGGGAGGTGTCCCCACTGCCTCATAATGATGGATTCTAATGGCATCTTGCACATTTCTTATATGTTGCTGAGAAGACCCAGAGGAGGCAGGGATTCATTCAGCCTTAGTAGTCAGGAAAACTTTCACTAAGAGTTTCTATTTGAGCTGAGCCTTAACAAAGATTATAAGCTCAGGAGCCTTCGCAAGCCGGGACAGTCATGTATGTGTGTTGTCAGCAGAAAGCAGCAGGACATGGTGAAGACTTTGCCAGGCTGAAGTGTCCGGACTCCTCCCAGGGATATTCAAAATTAAAAAATTTTAACATGTGATGGCCAAAGAAATGACCTTGTTGACTTCAGTTAAGCACATTAGGGGTGGATTTTTAACCACCCCTTTAAAAAGGGGTGATCTTTTTTTTTTTCAACAAAGTTATAAGTTTTATTAAACAGTGTTGGTGGGGAAAACATTTCAAGGGTTCCAAATAGGCACAGTTGTCTTGTATTTTTTGTCCAAAATTCAACCCAGGAAAGACAATTCAGACAGTTACATATCATCTTGACCTGTCTAGTGAACCTTTTGAGATTTGGCAAATGGAGTTCATCCAGCCTCTTCCCATTCAAGGTTGTAAATATGTTCTTGTTATGATTTGTTTTTTCTCATTAGGTAGATGGTTCACTTGCTGACATGCCACAGTCTCAGCTGTTATAAAACTGTTATTAGAAAAGGTTATTCCTAGATGGGGCATACCTTCAGAGTTACATAATGACCAAGGAACTCATTTCACTAGCCATGTTATAAAACACATTTGTGAAGTATGCCCCACATAACAACACTTTTTATTGTACCTACCATTTCCAATCTTGCACATTAATGGAAAGAACAAATGGCATCATTAAAACTCAATTGGTGAAATTTGTGGAAACTTTACAATTGCTTCTGGTCCTGTTAAATCAAAGGTCTGCATTTTTTTGGAAAACATGAGTTGTTACCTTTTGAAATAATCACTGGATGGCAGATCTTTTTAGCTTCCTCTGCCTTTGATATTCAGTCGATTAAAGGAGACATTCTCCAATATAATAAATAATTAAGGCTAAAGGCAAAAATCATACTCTGGTAGCACAATCTTTCCACAGTGTGCTCCCAGGAGACAAAGACACAAAACATCACAACCTTTAGCCTAGTGATTTTTCTCTGTTGCAAGAGGCATTTACATCAGGATTTCCTTCAACCTCGATGGAAAGGTCCCTCTCAGATGCTTCTTACCAATTCCAGTGCTGCCAAACTAACAGGTATTGGCTCTTTTATTCATGTTTCTCACTTAAAGAAATCTTCTACCGCCTTCTGGAATTCTCTTATACAAGCTCAGGAAAAGTTTTTTTTTTTTTTTTAATGTGGGCCCTCCATAAAAAGTTGTTTTCAAAGACAGTTCATTGGCTATGCAGAAATCCTAAATTGCAAACCTATTCTGAGTGTTTAATTAGGGTACTCCCAGCTGAGAGATGTTAAAGTCTGGAGTATACTGACTTCTGTTATTATCCAAGTCTATTGGAATATCCTGTGGTTTGACTCAGCAGGTGTGGGTGCAATCCTCTCACAATCTCCTGACTCCACTTTAAAGTCTTAGCCTTAAGTACATTCTTTTCTTTCACATTTGCCTCTTTTGATCAATATTTTTTCCAGAAAACATTGGAGATCAATTAGTGAGTCTGATTTTGTCCTTCACTGCCTGGATGGGCCTGTTTCAGGGAGTCATGTCCTTTGTTGAAGTATCTCCAGGTCTAAAAGTGTGTATGGCTAGATCGGGCCACATTTGAATAACGAGATTTTGAGGGGAGTGCTCTCCAGTCTGCTTAAGTCCCAAAAAAGTTGTCAAATCAGATATCTTTTCTGAACCATAGGCTTGATTGACCGTATTGAGCATCTTGGCAACCATTACTTTGGTTACACTGTTATTTCTAAGCAAACTCGTGTAAGGAATAACTTGAATAACTTAAATATTACAGCAAGAACAACAATGGCAACAATAATTGCAATAGTGAGTAACAAAAGTTGAAGACTGAATTTTGGCCATGTTCTGACTTTAGAGGGTAGTCAGCTGAAGAGATAAAAAAGCCAAACATTTTAACACTGGTTGCTCTAATTTACTATTTAGTGTGTGTACGGATTTTTCCAACTTGATCTCTACTTTGTTAGAAGTACTTATCCAAGTGTAACAGTGGGTATTGGCTACGGTGCAAACACCTCCTTCCTCAGCCATGATATAATTCAAGGCAACCATTGTACAAGGGAATAGAAGGCAAAAACCAGGAGTATAGAGAAAGCAACATATAACAGGCTGAATATTTCAGGGAGTTTATTCATATACAGGGGGATGTTGGGTAAGCAGTCAACTTCAGCTGTTGTCTGCTTCACTTCCAGGTCAATGTTAGCTTTAAGTTTCTGATTGCTTCTGAATTTAACCCTGATCTTAAAGGATGAGGAGAATTTTAATGGGAGAAGACACTTTCAGGTGGATATCTTAACATGAGTTAGCCCAGAAACAGACCCAGAGACAAGAATTTGGTGGCAAGTGGCTTATTCAGGAGGTGGAGGAAGAGCAGTGAACCTGGGAAGGGGGACACAGAAGGGCAGGGGCTCAGAAAGGGTGGACTTACGTTCCAGTTGCTTCTTTGGGCAACTGGGACCTGATCCCTGTGTGGAAAGTTAGGAGCTTGTGTAAGACACACATTTCAGAATCATCCTAGTTTGAGGATGAGGGAGCTGGGGTGTTTATACACCTGTTACTATCAGCCATTGGCTCAGGGCTGCTGTCAGGGAAAGGAAGTCCTCAAAGACAGAAATGCAGAGGCTGACAGTTGGTCATCCACTTGGCTCAAGAAATGGTAAGGCTAGAGGGATGTGGGAAGAGCACCAACAGCATTTGATATAGTGAGTGTCCTTGCTGCAGAAGGAACTAGAAATATCTAAGCAAAAGCAGAGAGTTAATGGCTTGTTAGCAGAAGGTCAGGATCTGGGCTACCTGACAGAGAGTCAGCCAATTGGATGCTCTCAGCACCTTGAATCCAGTTGATGATCAATTTATGGCTGCAGCATTTGGTGGGAGTACTGAACCCATGGTGATTGGTAATATAATAACCAGCCTGCTACTAGACTCCTCATTATCCAGTGTTCCTTGAGCTTTTCCATCACCTGAGCCTGGTTCTTCAGTTTTCCCTTTGATTCTAGAGAGTTGCTGATATCCTTCTACTAAAGTTTGTTCTCCACTTAAATTAGCCCAAGTCCATTTCTATTCCTTGCAACCAAAAACCTCACCAGTACAAGTATGGAATCGAATAACCTGCTTTAGGAAAAAGATTATGCTTAATGTGGGTGTCAAGACATAAATACGAGAAGAGATGGAGAGCATAACTGTAATAATATAATACCAAGCAATAATATTGGATGAGGTCTAAAGAAAGAGAGTGAAATTTTGACAGAAAAGAGAAATAGGCCCTCAGTGCATAAAGCTTAGATGTCATCTGGGGAGAATTCTTGGATAAGAAGGGACTTGAGCTCTGAAGAAAACCACAGGAGTTATCATGGGAAGACTTGTCTTTAATCAAGATATCAAATGCCAAAATGCCTACAAGAAACACTGCTATCAGCTTCCTAGGGAGTGACCCTGAATTGACAGCTAAAAAGTGTGATCCATCTTCCCTCATCCAATTTCCCCAGAGGCCTAGCTTGGGTATTGCTGGTATCCCCAGGGTCCTTCTTAGTGCTTTGTAACTAATGGGTAAGATGGTTCCGTTCATTGTTTCCTCCTGTTGGTGTTATGTATTCGCCATTTCAATTCCTTCTGGCTTAGTGCTGAGAAACTGACTAGAGAAGGCAACAGGGCAGGATTAGCAAAGTGGCTTGAAATTTAACAACCACTTCTTACGTGATGCATGAAAGATTACTGTTGCAGTCTTAAGGTTCATTGGCAAAAAAAATGCAAAATGGCCACCCAGAGTGGAAACACTGAGATATGATTAACAATCGATTATGCATTCATGTGAGATTTAGGTGCCAAACAAAAATAGATGCTGGCTACAGATCACAGGTGGATACTTTGATTAGAGATTACAGAAGATAGTCCTTAGGAGAGGAAAGATAAAACGAAGAATGGAGAGAAAGTCTGGATGTAGAGGGAGGAGGTGAGGGGCTCACTTTCGGTTCTGCTAACAAGAAAATAATTGAGAAAAATCACTGCACTCAATGGACCTTGGTATCTGTATCTGATAAGTCTGGTGGACAGTCAGCTACAGGAAGTGGACCTTTTGAATGCCATTCTCTCCCCAATATCCAATAGTCCTCATCCTTCCTTTCCACCAAGGTTTGTGCACACACCAACACTCACTCATCTGAGAATTACTGAATCACTGCGGAAGTCACCATTTTCCACAGGATGTGTTGGAAGCCAAAGGAAGGTAAGTAAGAAGCTCTGAGACACATTGGGATTGAACAAGAATGTTTTCTAAATTTCCTCCTATTTTAACTCTTGCTTTTACAAGCTGATGTTACTGAAAAGGTACTCCTCAGTTCTTCCAGGGTTTGGGTTATGTAGAGGGGGTCTGCCCACCTCTCAGGGAGTTGAGCCACTCTCTGCAGTTCCTTCCAAAGCAGCATCCTTAGGGGGCACATGTTGCACCAGAGATCTGGGTCTGAAACACAATCAGGAACTACAGTGGCTATCCCAGGACTTCAAGTATGTCCTGCAAGGTAAAATGTGTTGAGATCAAGCTTAGATCTCTGGACAATTCTTGACCAAATCATGATGAACTTGAAGTTTGCCTTTGTCTCAGTGAAATTGTGGGTATCACATGGGATCCTTAGGAGCAGAGTATAAGCACAGATAAAATCAAGTCCAGGTTTGTCAAAGATCAGATGATTGTAGATATGTGATGTTATTTATGAGTCCTCTGTTCTGTTCCATTGGTCCATATATCTGTTTTGGTAGCAGCACCATGCTGTTTTGGTTACTGTAGCCTTGTAGTATAGTTTGAAGTCAGGTGGCATAATGCTTCCATCTTTGTTCTTTTTGCTTAGGATTGTCTTAGCTATGTGGGCTCTTTTTTGGTTCCATATGAAATTTAAAGTAGTTTTTTCTAATTCTGTGAAAACAGTCAATGGTAGCTTGACAGGGATACCACTGAATCTATAAATTACTTTAGGCAGTATGGCCATTTTCATGATATTGATTCTTCCTATCCCTGAGCATGGAATGTTTTTCCATTTGTTTATGTCCTCCTTTATGTCCTTGTGCAGTGGTTTGTAGTTCTCCTTGAAGAGATCCTTCACATCCCTTGTAAGTTGTGTTCTGATCTTTGACAAACCTGACAAAAACAAGCAATGGGGAAAGGATTCCCTATTTAATAAATGGTGTTGGCAAAACTGGCCAGCCATATGCAGAAAACTGAAACTGGACTCCTTCCTTACACCTTATACAAAAATTAACTCAAGATGGATTAAAGACTTAAATGTAAGACCTAAAACCACAAAAACCCTAGAAGAAAACCTAGGCAATACCATTCAGGACATAGGCATGGGCAAAGACTTCATGACTAAAACACCAAAAGCAATGGCAACAAAAGCAAAAGGTGACAAATGAGATCTAATTAAACTAAAGAGCTTCTGCACAGCAAAAAAACAAAACAAAAACAAAAACAAATACTATCATCAGAGTGAACAGACAACCTACAGAATGGGAGAAAATTTTTGCAATCTATCCATCTGACAAAGGGCTAATATCCAGAATCTACAAAGAACTTAAACAAATTTACAAGAAAAAAAAAACCATCAAAAAGTGGGCGAGGGATATGAACTGACACTTCTCAAAAGAAGACATTTACGCAGCCAACAAACATATGAAAAAAAGCTCATCGTTGTGCACATGTACCCTAAAACTTAAAGTATAATAATAATTTAAAAAATGGAAAACTGAAAAACAAACAAACAAACAAAAAAACAGTCATGCAAACTGAAAGTGTGCAAAGCAATCTTCACACTTGAACTGGTCTTGAAAGATGCCTATTAGATTGCTGGGTGGGAGGCATTTTAAGCCAAGTGATTGCTCCAAAAGCATGCATGCATAATTGCAATTGTTCTGTGACTTCTTAAATTTTTATCAAGACATTAAAAATTCTCTTCCTGTTGGCTAAAAAAAAAAAAGCTCGTCATCACTGGTCATTAGAGAAATGCAAATCAAAACCACAATGAGATGCCATCTCACACCAGTTAGAATGACCATCATTAAAAAGTCAGGAAACAACAGATACTGGAGAGGATGTGGAGAAATGGGAATGCTTTTTCACTGTTGGTGGGAGTGTAAATTACTTCAACCATTGTAGAAGACAATGTGGCAATTCCTCAAGGATCTAGAACCAGAAATGTCATTTGACCCAGCAATCCCATTACTGGGTATATACCCAAAGGATTATAAATCATTCTACTATAAAGACACATGCACATGTATGTTTATTGTGACACTATTCACAATAGCAAAAACTTGGAACCAACCCAAATGCCCATCAATGATAGACTGGATAAAGAACATGTGGCACATATATAACATGGAATACTATGCAGCCATCAAAAAAGGGTGAGTTTGTGTCCTTTGCAGGGACATGGATGAAGCTGGAAACCATCATTCTCAGCAAATTAACACAAGAACAGAGAACCAAACACAGCATATTCTCACTCATAAGTGGAAGTTGAAGAATGAGATCACATGAACACAGGGAGGGGAGCATCACACACCGGGGCCTGTCAGGGTGTGAGGGACTGATGGAGAGATAGCACTAGGAGAAATACTTAATGTAGATGACAGGTTGATAGGTGCAGCAAACCACCATGGCACGTGTATACCCATGTAACAAACCTGCATGTTCTGCACATTTATCCCAGAACTTAAAATATAATAAAAAAAATTTTTTTTAAATCAAATGCAAGCGGTTTTCCAGGAAATACCAGTAAGAAATGAGAAAGTGATGCAAACCAGCAAGAGGAGAGGAAGCTGGAGCATTTTCCTCCAAACCCTGGCCATCAATGGTTGAAGGTTATTTCCAGGGATGCCAACTTTGTGGCACTTCTGGCTTGTCCTGAGTAATTGTAGAAAGGGCTCCTATATCCAGAGACAAAACATACAAACAAAACCCTCTCAGCAGAGAGCCTTAGGTGTTTGAAATAAGCAGCCTTCAGTGTGTGTAGGTGACTACCACAGGAATCTCGGCAGGGCACTGGCATCATTTGCACTTGTGGGGGGCTGCACTAAACTCCTTTGTAGTTTATAAAGCATTGAACACATGATGATATTTCTAAGCTCCTTTCACCATTCTTTTTCTCTGCTGCCCCCACAAACTACCATAGTAATAATCTATCACAAGTATGGAATGCTGCTGCTGGTGTATAATTTATTGTGCTCAGCTCTTTCCTTTCATCAGTTATTTCTTTATTCAATCATTCCACCAAAATGTATAGAACATTCCCCAATCCCAGGAGCTGCAATAGGTGCTGGGGGCAAAAGCATGAACCAAACAGGTGCTACCTCTGCCCTTATGGGGAGGATAGACAAGTGAGGGGCCAGGCAAGGGTTGAACAATTGTATAAATAAATGTGTATACCGGGATGAGGCTCCTGATGGATAAACTGCACCTCTCAATGATCTGATTAATTGGTAGTTCAGAGAAAAATGCCCAAGAAAATGACATTCAAGCTGAGACTTGGAGGATGAGCAGAAGAAAACTAAGAGAAAAGAAGGAGCAAAGTATTCAAGTAGAAGTAATAGTAGGTGCAAAGTTTCTGTGGGAAGACAGAACACATACACTTGGAGGAACTCAGAGTAGATCAGTGTAGCTGGGCCATGAGGAGTCAGGCAGGTGTGAGGTGAGAGTGGTAGGGAGAAGCTTGCAGACCAACAAGGATGCATGAAGGGTATGTGTAGTGGGAAGCCCTGAAAAGTTCAAGCTACAGCCAAGGGGTAGAGAAGGGTGAAGAGTTGAATTACGTTTTAAATGATTGTTCAGGTTCCAGAGTTCTAAATTGTTGCAGTAGGTCAGCTACAATCAGGGAGACCAGTGAAGAGGCTATTCCAGGAACTTAGTGATGAGGGGAAAGTAGCCCGGGAGGATGGCAGGAGTAGCAACAGAAGACATGAGTGGAGGAGGGAAATCCCGAGGAGGAAAAACAAAAAGACTTGAGTTTATGAGTGTGAGGAGTGAAGAGAGGAAGGTGCCAAGAAGGACTGAAGTTCTGTGTTTCTGAGCAGGGCACTGGCATCATTTGCATTTGTGGGGGGCTGCACTAAACTCCTTTGCAGTTTATAAAGCATTGAACACATGATGACATTTCTAAGCTCTTTCACCATTCTTTTTCTCTGCTGCCCCCACAAACTACCATAATAATAATCTATCACAAGTATGGAATGCTGCTGCTGGTTTATAATTTATTGTGCTCAGCTCTTTCCTTTCATCATTTATTTCTTTATTCAATCATTCAACCAAAATGTATAGAACATTCCCCAATCCCAGGAGCTGCAATGGGTCCTGGGGGCAAAAGCATGAACCAAACAGGTGCTACCTGCCCATTTCTGTGCTACTCAAATGAAGCAGATGGCATCATTAATTTGTTTAACGCTTACTCAGCTTCTAAGGATGGGTACTAATAGTATCTTGCTCATTTTATGAATAAGGAAACAGCAGCTCAGACAGGTTAAGAAATGTGCCCAAGGGCATACAGCTAACAAGTGGCAAAGCAAGGCCGTAAATGAAGGGCAGGTGGGCATTACAACCGAGACTCTATCACCCTCTTCATGGCACCTTCTCCATTACCCGTCCTATGCTACTGGCTTCCTCATGGTGTCTTTGTTTGTCTATATGCTTTCTCTCCAATTATACACAGCCACTGTGTAGCTGTTATCTTCTTGGGAACCTTCTCAGTACTGGGCGCCATCCAATAAACTAATCAATAAAACTAATTTGTGCCAACGGGGGCCAGATGCACATATTTTATTACAGGCTTTCTGAACAGTGCCTTTGTGTGACACTTCATGAACAGCACTCAGGACTTCCACACATGACCTGGTAGCTGGTGGCCTCACTAAAAATCTTGCATGGAGTTTCTCTCCCGACCCATCTACTGCAGCACTGGCTCTGTTGGAAGGAAAGGGCTTAGGGTCATGTCAGAGTCCCCAAGCAAACTGCCTTCATCCCTAAGATCAGGTTCAAGAAGAAACAGAATGAGAAGCCCGTGTTGTTCATTCTTTGTAACTTTAGCAGCCGTCCTACTTAAAAGCACACTCTAGAAAGAGACTCTGATGGGCCTGGGATTTTCTAGAAGCTGTCAGCAAGCTCTCAACTTATAAATCAGGAATTTTAAATGAAATCTGGACTCCTAGGGAATACTCAAAACAACTTTTATTTCCAAACATGGTTCTTTATATTATAAAAAAGTAATAGTAATTCTAATAAACCCAATGTATTCACATATTGCACTCATGAAGATTTTTTTCATTCTCAGAAATCACCTAAAGTGAGCAACACAAGAAATCTAAAGGAAAGTTGTTGTCCAAATTTAATGCAAACTTGTACAGATGACCCAGCCCTGTTAACTCAGTACCACAAATATTCTCAAGAGTTTTCAGATATTCTCTCTCCTCCTGTGGAGACTCTGTGGCTGGAGTGGGACCTCACCACAAAGAAAGTACCAAACACTCTTTTGTTTTAGATTTTTTTAATTTTTAATTTTTGTAGATACATACTAAGTATATATATTTATGGGGTATAAGGGGTATTTTGATACAGGCATACAATGATTAATAATTACATCAGGGTAAATAAGATATCCATCACCTCAAGCATTTATCCTTTTTGTTACAAACAATCCAATTATACTCTTTTAGTTACTTTTAAGTGTACAATTAAATTATTATTGACTATAGTCACTCTGTTGTACTATCAAATATTAAATTTGATTCATTTTTTCTATTTTTTGTACCCATTAACCATCCCTACCTCCCCCTGACCTCCCCCAACTACCCCTCCCAGCCTCTGGTAACCATTGTTCTATTCTCTATCTCCATGAGTTCAATCGTTTTAATTTTCAGCCCCCACAGATAAGTGAGAACATGCCAAATTTGTTTTTCTGTCCCTGGCTTATTTCACTTAACATAATGACCTCCAGTACCAAGCACTCTTAAGTAGCTACACGTAGTTATGTGTCAAGAGAAGCTTTGTGCCTCACTAAGACCCTGATGAGTTAATCTGCTCAACACCACTGATATGCAGTCAGTAGGAAGTGCCATACCAAAGGGCAGTGGTCAGGGCGCTGTGTTTAATAATCACCTCCATCTCAGGTACACACCCTGTGAGCTCAGAAGCAGGTGCAGTCAGGATGAGAACTTCATTTGGCTGCTTGTTTTTGAGTGCATAGCTTTCCTGCCAGCCTTTGTCTTCTTTTCCTTCAATGACTGGCTTACTGTCAACAGATAGATAAAGAAAAACATTCCCAATAAAGTCCCTTTTAAGTATTTGATCCTCTGAATAGATGAAGAATGATGTTTAAAAAGACACCCTCCATCAGACTTCTGCAGAGGAGTTATTTTGTAACAAAAACCTATTCTGATTGAGAACATTACAGAAACATTAAAAATTCTTCCTCCAAAGCTTGGAAATTATGTTTTTCAAAATCCCTCAGAGGCTTTGATAAAGTCTCTAAATCTGAGCCATCTTGAGTTTGCTATTGGTTCTGATTTTTAGAAAGACAAATTGTCATTCTAGGGCCATAGCAAGTTCTTTTCCATTTCCCTGGAAAACAGAGCAAAGAAAAAGTAATGCCCATTTCAGCAAGGATCATATTTTAGTGTTTTAGGAAAAAGTTGGAAATACAAAAATATAAGCTGGGCTAAATTTTCATAATAAATGCCTTAAATGGTAACATGAATACTTTGTGTGATGGTAGAAACACGGGCAAGATCTCATTTACCACTGGAAAGGTCTGCCAAAGGAGTGATCTCCACATTGAGTAGGCTCCATATGCTTAGGGCATATATGGTATATTAGCCAGGATTCTTCAGAGAAACAGAACTAACAGGACACGTATACACACATGTATGTAAACAAAGCTTTTTATATAAAATATATATATATCCACAGATATTGAGAGATAGATTAATTGACTGATTGATTGGTGTAAACAAATAAATTGGCTCCCACAATTACAGAAGCTAAAAAGTCGCACGATCTACTATCTGCAAGCTGTGTATCAGGAAAGTTGGTGGTGTAGTTCTAGTCATCCTGAATATGAAAGAAATAGCACCATACTTTGGATGCTGATTTGGAGGATATGTAGCCTTGTGGAGTACCTTGCCCCCTAGCTGGTGCTGTAATTAAATCCTCCAAAGGCCATTTTGTCATTTTATCAAGCCAGCTGCTTCAAGATGGTGGGAAACATGGTGAGACCAGTGAATTCCATAAGCATCGGCTCATTGTGACACTCCATTGCAGTGAAGTTAATTCCTTGATCAGAAGCAATGATGTATGAAATACCATGGAGGTGGACAAGGCATTCACATACAGTCACTACGCTCTTTGCTTCTTATAAGTGATTGATCAGTAGCATTCAATCTTCAATGAATATTTTGCATATCTCTAGGAATAAAATAAAGATAGCCATGTCGGTAATTTCCACCTAAATTGTTGATAGTCAATGCTGTAAGTGAATGAAATTATTGCAAGCATTGAAGAGGAAGAAATAAAATAGTCATTATTTACTGATGATATGATTATCTACATTGAAAAATATCCCAATATACAAACTATTTATTACTACAAATTCAGAAAGATTGAAAGACTGCTAGATATCTGATCAATATGCATCAGCAGCTAATTAGAAAATATAATAATGATGATAATAACAGTAATAAACCCATAATTAAAACCAACAAAAATGCTTTGAGATAAGAAATATTTATCAAAAGGAAGAGATCATGTCTTTTGTGGGAACATGAGTGGACTGGAGGCTATTATCCTCAGCAAACTAACGCAGAACAGAAAACTAAATATCACATGTTCTCACTTATAAGTGGGAGCTAAATGATGAGAATATACGGACACAAAGAAGGAAACAACAGACACTGGGGCCTACTTAAGGGCAAAGGGTGGGGGGGGGAGAGGAGCAGAAGAGACAACTATTGGGAACTGGGCTTAATTCCTGGGCGATGAAATAATCTGTACGACACACCTCGAGACATGAGTTTACCTATGTAACAAACCTTTACGTGCACCTCTGAACCTAAAATAAAAGTTAGGAAAAAAATAAATATTTATCTATCAAAATACGTATAAAACCTTCATGGGGAAAAACGTAAGACTTTAGTGAAATATATACCAAAAAATCTAAATAAAAGGAATGATTATAGCATGTTCATAGATAGGATGTTGAAATTGCAACTACTCTGTAACTCCAGCAATTTTATTTCCAGGCATATACCTTAGAAGAATTATCAGAAATGAACACTGAGAGATGATTTAGAATATTCATTGTAGAACTGTATATAAAGGAAAAATAAAAATCAAGTAGCTTAACTGTCAATCAATAGAAGAAATGTATGTATGTGTGTATATATACATATATATGTGCCACATATATATAACAGTATTTAAATAAAATGGGAAAATATACCACAATCAAAACATATGCACAAATATGTGTGAATTTAAAACAACGTTGATTCAGAAATGAAGATTGGGAAGAAATATACAGAGTATGATGCTGTGTAAAATTTTAAAACAAAGAAAATGAGACTGTGTACTTTCAATGAATATTCTTTTATGTAGTAAAAGTATAAAACTATGGCTGGTAAAAATGCATGCCACATTGTGGATCATGACTACCTCTGGGTCAGAAGGAAATGTGATGGGTAAAGGAATCAACTCCATGTGGAATTTTATTTTATTTTATTTTATTTTATTTTATTTTATTTTATTTTATTTTATTTTATTATTTTATTTTATTTTATTTTATTTTATTTTATTTTATTTTATTTTATTTTATTTTATTTTATTTTATTATTTTATTTTATTACGACAAGGTCTGGCTCTGTCGCCTAGGCTGGAGTGCATTGTGGTAATCTTGGCTTACTGCAACCTCTGCCTCCCAGACTCAACCAGTCCTCCCACCTCAGCCTCCCAAGTAGCTGGGACTACAAGTACGTGCCATCACGCCTGGCCAATTTTTGTATTTTCAGTAGAGAAGGGTTTCACCATGTTGCCCAGGCTGGTCTCGAACTCCTGGGTTCAAGCAATCCACCCTTCTTGGCCTCCTAAAGTGTTGGGATTACAGGCATGATCCACTGTACCCAGTCAGAATATTTTATTTCTTAAGAAAAAAGAAAAAAAAGGAGAATCTGAAATAAACTATGTTGATATTTGTTAAATATGAATGGTGTGTTAGTTGTGCCATTAGTTAAATTCATAATCAATTATTGCTCTCAATTTATTTCATCCCTGCTTGTTTCATTGTAGAAATTAACCTTCCCATAAGTGATAGTCACCTAAATGGCAGGAACTGTATCATATACTTTTGTTTCTCCCAAAGTCCTTAGCACAGTGCTGTACTCACAGGTAATATGCAGTGAATGCATTTGTTTTAATTCTGATGAAAAATAGGGAACACTCTAAGTTACAATGAAAACCAGCAGAGGAAACCTCCTGGAAGTTATTAGCTGCATTCTCACTGTATCCTGGCAGAGCTTTGCACTGAGATCTCTCAAGAGTTCTTCTCACCAAAACTTTAATTCCAAAATAAGTAATCAGCCACCTCTATAGTGCAGACCAGAGTGTGGTGAGTTCTCTCAAAACACCTCTTGAGTGTTTAGAAACGATGTACCTGATCCTAAGCACATCCATATAATCTCCCTGACAAAGGTGCCATTTTTTTATTAACCCACTTTATAAAAACCCTGAATATTTGTTCCCTTTCTTAGTCTCCACTCAGTGGTTTAAGAATTAATTACAAATCTTTTACCAGGCCTCATAGCAGAAAAATAGTAAGAAGTCCTCTGTGCAGGTAAGCCTACTAGAAACATAGTTGGCTCCAAATGCAGTTTCCATAGTGGGCCTCCTTCTGAATGTCTGTGCTGATCTCATGGCCTCATACCACCAGAAGTTTGTAAAAAAGGACAACTAATCACTTGCTACAACTTGTCTTCAAGCAATGATAGAAGGAACTAGATCATCAATAACAAGAATTCAAGAATCACACACACCCCACTCCTTGGGAGGATACAGGATGGGTATATAAATATGCAAATAATGAAAGTGAACCACACAGGTGAGCATGGGCACCTGGAGTTTAAATGTAGACCCCACCTGTGGAAGCCAAGAGATAGGATTGTTTGATGGAGTAGTAGATACGAGAGACAGGGGAATTCTCAGTTTAGAGAAAAAGGCCAAGAGCCCAGTTACTGGTTTCATGAGGCAAGGCAAGAAAGTAGATGAAAAGGTCAACTTTTCTTTTTTTTTTTTTTTTTTTTTTTTTGAGAAGGAGTCTTGCTCTGTCGCCCAGGCTGGAGTGTAGTGGTGCGATCTCAGCTCACTGCAAGCTCTGCCTCCCGGGTTCACGCCATTCTTCTGCCTCAGCTTCCCAAGTATCTGGGAC
The DNA here is from genome assembly GCF_000001405.40 of Homo sapiens. Classification (NCBI taxonomy): domain Eukaryota; kingdom Metazoa; phylum Chordata; class Mammalia; order Primates; family Hominidae; genus Homo; species Homo sapiens. The sequence goes on from NC_000020.11 coordinate 17,082,957, forward strand.
TACAGGCACCCGCCACCAAGCCCAACTAATTTTTTTTTTATTTTTATTTTTAGTAGAGATGGGGTTTCACCGTGTTAGCCAGGATGGTCTCGATCTCCCGACCTCATGATCCACCCGCCTCGGCCTCCCAAAGTGCTGGGATTACAGGCGTGGAAAAGGTCGACTTTTCATTCCATGCAGAGAAATGAAAATCAGAGACCAGTAATTTAATCTAGCATATTGGGCCAAAACTACCTCATTCTCCAAAACACACACACACACACACACACACACACACACACACACACACGCGCGCACACCAGACAGCACCCCCCGACAGCGGTTTCCAGCATCTGAAATTTCACCAATGCTTAACAACTTCTTTGGATGAGAAATTATTTCTTTGGATGAGAAATATCTTACCGTGAAGTTAACAAATGAAGCCTTTAATAGTTATAAATAAAAGGAAAGTAATATTAAGTCTAGTCTGTATTGAATAAAACTCTATGAGGTAGCTCTTGTTATCCTCAGATGAGAAAACTGGTTCAGCACAAAAGGTCGTTGAATATTGCTGAAGGCCTCATGGTTGTCACTGGGATTTAAATCCACATCCCTGTGACAACAAAACCCTTGCACTTTCCACCACTGCATGCGCTTCGTTATCAGTTAATGGAGAACTCAGTAGGCCCTGAAATTGGCACCTCCGAGAGCAATTTTGATGAGGAGTGAAGAACAGACCACACTAGGGAGCCGCCAATTGTGGACATGGGCAGATTCTGCAGCAAGCCTAGACCCCTGGTGAGGGGACACAATGGGTGAAATAAGCCTACCTCACAATCTGGTCTCTGGCTGGTCCCACTGTCGAGCTTGTTAATCTTCCAGATTTGCCAGGTGGCTCTTCATCCAAGACATCAAAGAACAGCCATATATAAAGTCACATTGGCCCCACTCCTATTCTGATAAACTTCACTTTGCCCACCATTTCAGAACCCAGGACAGCTCCTCCTTCCCAGCCTACTCTGCAGAAGAAATGGTGCCCCCAGTAGGTTTTGAAAACTCCACATATAGCTTCCTGGCAATAGTCTAAATCTATAGACAGCAGACAGCATCTGAGAGTGGAAATTTAAAAAGCTATTAGTTGGTTCTGGTTCTGAGATTGGCATCAAAGGCTAAGTAAATAATGTAATGTTTCTAATCAGAGTCATGCAGATAGCAATTAGGACAGCATTACAGGGATTACTCATGTCGATCTCTGTACCTGAGATCAAACTCGGCTAATTTGCCACTCTTATTTTAATTCCATCAATTACAGAAATAAATTGCCAATAAAAGCTTATCTTTTGAAAAGGTTTGTTTTAACCTTTTATAAAGCACTTGGGGAAAAGCTAAAGAAGAGCTTCCTAAGCGACTGGTAATTGATCAAGTTTGGGAAAGAGATGCTGTGAAAAATACTACTTCAAACAACAGCAGAACACTAACAAATGGGGATAAAAGAGGGAGGGAAAGGTTTCCTGGAGTCTTCTGAAGCAAATAATTTCAGCTTAAAATGGAAATACATGTGGACCAGGCACGGTAGCTCACGCTTGTAATCCCAGCACTTTGGGAGGCTGAAGCAGGCAGATCATGAGGTCAGGAGTTTGAGACCAGCCTGACCAACATGCTGAAACCCCGTCTCTGTTAAAAATTCAAAAAATAGCCAGGCCTGGTGGTGTGCGCCTATAATCCCAGCAACTCAGGAGGCTGAGGCAGTAGAATCATTTGAATTTGGGAGGTGGAGGTTGCAGTGAGCTAAGATGGCGCCACTGCACTCCAGCGTGAGAGACAGAGGGAGACTCCATCTAAAAACAAACAAACAAAAAAAAAACAAAAAAAGAATGGAAATACATGGGAAAACTGAAAATTATGTTTAGAACATAATATAAAAATGACCTAACGTGAAGAAATTGGTCTTTTCTACTCATCATCCATTCTGTCACCAAGTATTTGTTGAGCTCTTACTAGGTGCCAAGTTCTAGAAAGACAGCAATAAGCTCCATAGCAAGGTCCTTGCCTTTGAGGAGCTTGCAGCTTTGTTGGAGAGATGGTCATTAGATAAATATACACATAGGCAAGTACAAAATTATTGTATTAAGAAGAGGTGGTAGGCGTGAGGGCAGCTATGATGTCATGCAATAAGATGATGTAAGCTAAAATGAAGAGGTCAAAAGAGTGAACCTTCGGGGTAGAGTTGCATAGTGGATTAGAGCTAGTCAGGTGGAGGAGAGGGGGATCATTCCACGCAGAAGGAATGGCCTCCTGACCTTGTCACAGGAGGGAGGAAAAACATCAGAAGATCTGAAAGAAAGTCAGACTGCCCACATACAGTGGCTGATATTTACTAAGCCCTGACTTCAAATCAGGTTCCATATAAAGCACTTCTCAATATTATCTCATTTTAATTAAATTATTCTTAATTTATTTGGCTTCATGAGGTTAAGTCACTTACCTAAGGACAAAGAATCAGTAAGTTTTCTATTTTAGTACCAAGGTATGTCATAAGGCTCTGGGGAGAAATCACCCAAGTTTTCCTTTTGAGGTGAGGGGTATGTAGTAGAGAAAAGTTGATGGCAAAGGTGGGATCACTGAGGTCTCTTTCAGACCCTTAATGGATATCCACTGGCCCAAGGGTTTGTGCTCAGCACTGTGTGATCAGCTGGTGAGACACAGAGAATTCCCAGGTTCTTTTATTAATCCACTAAGGCAAATATGCAGTTGCTGCAGTCCAAGAATAATGCCATACACATCACAAATGATGGACTAAAAAGAGAGAAATGAAAGGGACAGAGTAGGCTGTTGCAATAATGCAGGACTGGCAGAAATGGGAATACCAAGAAAAGTGGTGAAAAGAAGGACTGTGAAGGAAGGTTGGCTGGAATTTAGCAACTGACTGCATGGGGTGGGGCAGGGGCCAAGGAGGGTTCTAAGTCTTGATGATTTCCAATGAGAGTGATAGGTCTTTGCCATTTCCAAGAAGGGTGATAATTCTTGGCCATCTCCAAGGAGGGTGATAGGTGTTGACCATCTCCAAAGAGGGTTATTAGTCTTGACTATCTCCAAGGAAGTAGTTCCTTCAAGGAGGGTGATAGTTCTTGGCCATCTCCAAGGAGGGTGACAAGTCTTGGCTATCTTGAAAAAAAACTGATATGTCCTGACTATCTCCAAGGAAAGTGATAGGTCTTGGCCCTCTGCAAGGAAGTTTGTAGGTCTTGGCTATCTTCAAAGAAAGTGATAGGTCTTGACCATCTCAAAGGAGGGTGATACATCTTGACTATTAACTATCTGCAAGGAGAGTGATAGTTCTTGGCCATCTGCAAGAGGCTGATCATGACCAAGAAAGATGTAACACAGTGGAAAGAGAAAAGTCAAAGGGGAAGGCAGTTTATCTACAGGAAGGAAGCAATGTGGAAGGTCACGGACATGAATGAGAGGTTAACCAACACAAGCCCAGGGATCTCCAGCCCTGGTGTTAATGGTGCTGCTTGGACAGCAGATGAGGTATTGTACCGCAGCCACCACATTCTCATCCCATAGTCATTATGTTACTGTTTTCAGGCCAAGATAAATGTAAGACTTAGTGGATGCCCCAGGTCCATGTGGCCCCCTGGTTGAGGTGTGGGAACCCAGAAGAGTAGTCCAATAAGCAGCAGGCAGGCCTCCTTTTGCTTCATGGACCTTGAATGTTCCTTCCTCATAACAATATGTGCCATTTTGTCCTGAAATACTTTCTATTTGTCTCGGTCTTCCCAGCTGAACTGAAGTTTGCTGAGGGCAACAAATGTCTCATGTCCTACTCGCAGTTTGTTTCCCCAGTGTTTGGCACAGATCCTGGTATTTGTCAACTTGAGCCCACACTAATGTCTAAAAAAGGCTCACTTATTCAAAGTCTGTCACTCACTACACTTACTTGGAGGGTGGATTTCAGGAGAAAGTCTAAAATATAAACATTGTGGTTTGAGACAGAGAATCTTAGCTCTGGAAGGAGCCTTAATCACCCAGCCAGATTTCTTGATTATACAAGAGACAAAATTCAAGTCCCCAAGACAGGAATGAATTATCCAAGATGGCAGAGCTAGGGTAAAAAAATCTAGCTTGCACAACTCAGTATCTCCCCATGCCCCATAGTAACACCTAAGTATTCTTTCCAAGCTTATTGCTGCCTAACTTTTATCGTGATTTTCACCATGATGTATGTCTTAGAAGACCAGTGTGCCTAAGGTGTAAGTTAGAGGGCCTAGAGAGAGAACACAAGACCAAGAACACACTCTCTCAGCCTCTGCTTCTGCCTTGACCTGCCCTGGTGCACTATAAGTGCATACATATGTGTGGGGTTATGAATTAATGATTTCTTCCCAAATAGAGTGCTTAGCATCATGAAGGCAAGGACCAGGTCTTGGTTGTTGACTTCTATATTTAGGGCTATGGCATATGGTAGACAACAAAAAAATATTTGCATGACTAAATAAATAAATGGATAAATAGCCTCCCCTATTAATCTTCAGTTCAGGAATGCCATCGTAGCTAGGGAATTCCAAGCTTCTCAACCTCTTTTGTACCCACTGATCTCTATATCCCAAACTTCTGGGTAAAGAGCAACTGGTTAGACCCAGTGCTGGGATAACTGATATGAATTGGATTAGTATAGGGCATATAAGTTCTCCTATTTTGTTGAATGCAGCCAGAACTAAACAATTTCTTTTCATTTCAGGCTTTTTGAAGAAACAATATGTATCATTTAAAGAACAACAACAAAAATAAACCCTTGTAAATATTGCACTTCCATTTGCAAGCAGAAGATTAATACAATAATAACACCTTGGATATGAAAAACAAACACTCAGTGAAATGCAAACCTGGCTAAAAGAAATTGCCTTCTTTCTTGGAGAAGAGTCACAGGAGACTAGAACACAAATTATTTTTCTTAGCTCTGGGCCTTTAGGGTATCAAAGCTTCCTGAAAAGGATCATGCATCACGGAAAGTGTTAATGTACCTTATTATTCCATTTCTCTCTGATGAATTCTTTGGAATCAATAAGGTACTTAACAGTTAAGAATTTCATTAGGTTGCATTGCAATACCAGGAATCTCTTAGATTTATATAACACCTATCTTCAGCAAGTTCTTTTAAAGCAATCATAGAGGAAAATATGTTCTCCTGCTGTGTGAACTCAGTGAATCATGTCGACATAGGGTATTTTTCTCCTTGTGGACTCATTGAGTCTTGAGTAAGACAGAGTTTACGCAAGCATTGCAAGTTTTCTGTATGTTTATCTTGCTGTTTGTATGTTTCTAAAATATATAATTCCACTAAGTATGTGTCCAAAAGTGGCCTGAAAGATGAGGAGGAAAATAACTACACTGTTTGACAGAGAACTTGACTTGGTATTTAGCTGGGAAGATCAGACAGGAAGACAGGGAAAGTTGACTAATTCTGCAAAACAATAATGCAGAAAAAAGTCATAAGGTAGCCCTTTGCACAATCACTTCATGAAGGGTAAATCTAGAGGAGCTGAGAATTCAGGGGTGGGCATTTTCCATTGAGGCTGAAGTGTTCTGAGAAGAAAAGAGTTGACCTTGAAGGATTGGCAGAAAAGAGCACTGAGACTATTCCAAGAGGCATCCCAGAGTGGCACAGTATTTGTGTTGATTATGCATTTCTTGTGATTCTTGTCTATTTCAAATCCATTCATGAAGGCAATGATCAATGTAAAGACCTGAGTGGCTATGATCGATAAAGAAACAGAAATGAAGGTCAATGTTCTACCAATGCTGATGTACCGGTCTGAGCTGCAGAAGCACCTGCTTTGCAATGTTTCTCCATCTTAATTACTTTGTAAATCTCACAATCATAGAAGATCCTGCAACTAAAACATTCTATTGCTTTGCGATTTAACCATCCTTTGATCTCTTAATTATACTAAGGTCCTTTGATAAAATAACCTGCTTCAACACAAGACTTAGCACGTTTTCTGTGAGCCCTACAAATTATATATAGCTACCAAAGAGTACAAAAGTTTCCCATTTATAAAGCTGATCCACATATACCGACTTGAACCCATCTATATATTTGTGTTCATTTGGCAGAACTTACAATGAAAATCAACTTCTCTGAAACCCTGTATGGTGCTGAGTGTTGTGAGAGATATCACAGCCTTGAGTCAAGCTAATTCATTGGAATCATGAATAGTCTCTAAATAGGCACATGCCAGGAAAATAAAAAAGGCTATTAAGAGAATGAAAATATCCAAGAAAGCCGTCATGGGGTAACGGTGATCAGGGGTTGGGAGGGAGGAAGACAGGATAGGTCAGTTCAATCCATGCATGTTTGTTAAACATTTGGGGTTCTCTTTGCTTGTATACACAGGACTTCCTTAGAGTTTACAAATTTAGAGAGACATAGTACATGTGATTCATTTTAGAGAGTTTTTTTTTCTCAAGTACAATGAAATTCTTTTACTGTGCAATGAAAATTCAGCAACCATTCTGATCATCTTTCTGGTTTCTATTCCACATGCTTGGGACAGGTTTCTTTGAACCATTCTTATCCCAGTGCATTATAACTTTGGTTTTACCTTATTTTTCTCCTCTGTGCATGCCAGCATATCAGTCATTTTCCTAAAGTTAATAGGAAGATTATACAGTAGTAAAATCTACTGGGAAACTTCTATGCCTTGATAAACACCCCCTCTTCCACCTCCATACTAATTAATTTCAGTTCTAATCACTTTATTCTTTGTGTGAAACAAAACATCTAAATTTGTTCCTTATAATCTGTCTACCTTCAGATTCCTAAAAATATCTCAAAACATGCATAAACATAAGGTTCTGAGAAGCAGGCTTTATCTCTTAACCCTTAGCATTTTTCAACTTGAAAACTTCATTGTCAGAGAAATCAGATGCAAAACATTATCTTTTTAGCCAAAGAAACATTTCCTATATCTTTGTGATGTTGCTTATTCAAAGTAGATTTTCTTATGTTGGTTTCAGATCACATTAATTGCACTATTTATTTCTTTTCCCTTTGAGATTGTTATTTATCTGTTCTTGCTGTCTCCAGAATACATTTCCTACTAGCAGGAAGCCCTGAATGATGAATAAATATAATTTAAACTTTACCAGGCTTGAAGGCACTGATATATAAATTTTTTGTTTGCTGATAGCAATAGACTTTTTAGTAAAAAAAAAAAAAAAAAAAAAAGACAGAAACGAACAAACAAAAAGTAAAATGAAGCATCAAATTGGAAAAAAGAGGACATTGTCTCAAGTTCAGGGGCTTACATCAATCTATGGGTTCTAGGGAAGTTTGTGGGCACCTTTGTTTGTGCACTAACAAAGGAAAGTAGCAAGAAGGCATTATGGCTGCCTCTAGGACCTTCATAGAAGCCCTAAACAAGGTTTCATTCAATCTTCCTATTTTTAAATAAAACACTGGGGAAGCATATGAGTAATGATACATAAAAAAGTATGCTGTAGTGGAAAGAGCATGGATGGAGAGTCAGGGAACCTGGATTCTTGTCCTTGACTTACCTTCTCCGGAGGCATTTGATTTTTGACTGACCTTGTCCTCTTTATATGGCTTGGCTACTTCATTTGTGGAATGAGAAGTTGAATAAAGAAAATTATCTTTTCTAGTTCTAATGAATAATGATGCTATAATAGTAAGTGCTTGCCAATAAAATGGAAGACCTGAATTCTCAGTGTGAGCTTCTTTCTCCTTGTGTTATACAGATCTAGAAACCTCAGCATGCAGACTGTAGAGCGTCACGTTCTACCTTCAGGTTAGTTGTCCTACTTTGGGTATGGTGAGACAGTGCAGAGAGCTGGAGTAGGTAACATTGTAGAACTACTCCTGTGCACTCAAGAGAAGGTGCCAGAATCGGGACTGTAGTGATCGCCACAAGGGTGGCCATTTGCTGGGATTCTGAATCAATGTGTTTCAAGGTTGAGAAGGCCTTCTGGAATATCCAAATGGATTCCATTAATGGTTGAATGAAGGGTTGTTTTAATGGAACTAATTTTATTACTTGTCTGCAAATCTATAATTTATATGGCTCTACCTTGTATTGTTCTATGGAAATTTTTGTTTTACCTCTTTAGCATACCCTGAAGGCACTAGTACTTCTTATTCAATGCATGTATGGATGTTTGTATTTTCCAAGAAAAATACTATAAATTTTGTAAAATCCTGCCATAGTCAGCTCTAGAGCAATGGAATACCTGTGTGTATGATAACCTGAATGATAAGGCCATTTCTTTTTAAGACTTTAAGCCTATTGCTTTCTCTTTCAGCCCCTAGATCAGTGTCCTTTCTAATTGAACACATATCCCTTCTGTCTTCCCTCAAATTGTTGTCTCTCTTAGAAATGGAATAATGTGAGAATGCTGGCCACTATAGGTGATATGTCTGACTTCATCTTCTGTTATTTTTATTATCTTTCTTTGAAGGCTTCAAAAAGAAATGCTATCTTGTACATGGTAAGCCTCAGGCTGGTGAATGCCATTTCAGGCTCATGGGAAGGAATTTGTTTCTTGTCTTGAACCCTTTTTGCTCCTGCCGGAGGCTGGATTTATTTACGATGTTATGCACTAACCACAGGTCTGTAATACATTTGAAAATAGGAACGCCCTTGAGATGCTTGTCTTATTAGTTTGGCAGGTGGAAACAATCTTGCAGCTGGAATCCCTGGAGTACAGGGCAGGGCCATTGGATCCATTTGTTCTGAACCATCTACTCATAAATACCATTTATGAAATTAAGTTCTTACACTATGACTGGAGTTTGGAAAGAAATGGAGGGAGGAAGTTGGAAAGGAATATTCTCATAAGGGATGAGGGTGAGCTGTCTGGGAAATCATGTTCTTCATGTGAGAAAACGAAATAATTGTCCACACATGTTCACACACATAAGAGCAATTTACCCCTTTAGGACTGTGTTCTATTTTCATCCATCCCCTCAATGACATACCTGATGCTCTTTATCTAATTGATGACATGTCAGTCTTAGGATGTTTCACACCTTCTTTCATGAGTAGGGTAGTGTTAGAACAGTTAGAATGGAAATTCTTTACCTTCCCATTATTTGCAAAACAGGCTTTACTTGGGATCTTACCTATACATCTGGTTGGCCCAAAATGGTGTTGGCTTATGTCTGTTGTCATGGAATACTTGTTAATAGCATCCCCTTTCCCTGTGAAAAGGCCATGGTTTGAATGTTAAATGATAGAGGCACCGCAGCTTTGCCATGCTGGTACCAAGATGTCCTAATTACATGGACCAAGATGTTGACTTTAAAGTATTTTTTGGCCTGTGTCTATAAAGAGCTCATGACATCACAAACTGAAACAACTGGCTTATCATGAAGATTCATTAGCTAGGTGCAAAGACAAGTCAGAAATAGGGTTCATTTCCCTCTACTTTTCATGATGATCTTCTGCTTAATATGAGGTATGGGTTATTGTGGGGATGGAGTGAAACTCATCTAGAGGATAATTGTAAAGAGTGCTGCACTGTGATTTTGAGATGTCACATCACATATTCCCATAATGTTTGTGGTCATTAGATGCACAAATAAGCAGTCATGACTACCTGTAGAAGCCTTGGTTCTGACCACATCAGTGTACTGAAATGTAGAGCTTGTGTTAGATTGACCTTTTCCAGTTTCTCTTCTTAATTCTCTCCACCCCATTCTTCTCTCTCCACCTTCTACCCAGAGGTAGCGAGAAGCCTAGCTCACTGTGTTTTGACTAGTGGTTAAATTAGAAATATACCTGTAGAGGTGAATCAATTACGTAAGTGTTGATTTGTCATGGGACAGCTTTATGGTTGATGGAGTCTAATTGGTTCTTTATTTCTATATTTGGTATTCTGCCACCAGATAATACGAAAAACTCAATTAATTGCCATGGGATGATTAAGTCAATTGCTTTATATTCTAGTGTTTAATCAGTCAATGTTCCTGTACATACCACTGACATTTTGGCAGCATAGCAATTAAGGCACTACTTGCCCTATTTATAGGTAATGAATGCTTTGAGTTATACAAAGGCAATAATCCTCAATTACTGCTTTCCTAAATTCAATTTAATTAAAAATTTTCCCAGATTATGTCTTTTTCAATGGGAGAACATTAAGTATTCATTCTTATAGGCCCATGATTTAACATTGTAACTTGGTCCAATTCTTTAAATAGTAATGTATAAACTAGGATGCTTAGTAGTTAGTTTATGGGTGCACGTTTGAAGATTATGGAATTGATGGAACAATAAACAAATGCATGTGACTGAAAAACACCCAGCCCACTTGTGTAGGAGCACCTTCCAAATCACTGTCATATGAAATCATGCTGGAATATTTGTGAGCTTTGTCTTGACACTTTGTGAGGCCAAAAATGCTGGACTCTCTATACTTTTCATAAATGCAGATCATGAACTATCAATGCTGATTATGAAGTCAATGTTGGAACTGCCTCATATTTAAGTAGTGATGATCAATGATGATCAGTTGATATAAAGATTGTTTACAGATATATCTGCATATAATTCTGTCAACTACATGACAAGGTATTATTGTCTCCATTTTGCCAATAAATTGAGAAGCTGGTTTGAAGTTAGAGATGTAGATTTAAGAGTTATTAAGGTCCATCTCGTTTTGGAAAATAATAGACTATGCCACTTTCCAGAATCTTAGAAAGGAGTAATGATAAGCTGTCCTAGAAACCATTTGAAGGAAAGGAATGTCATTTCCTTCAGCTTATCATGAGAACTAGCCTTAGCCGAAGCAAGGTCACTTTTTTGAAATGCACTTGTTTTGTAAAAAGGATGGCTAGACTGACCCAATGCATTGAAATGTCCAGGACTCAATCTCCTGTCCACCAGCTCCTTAGGATCTTTTCAGCCTGCAGACTGGACGTGCACACAGTGGCAGGCAATGTATCTCTGGATTTTCACGCTCCTGGAGTAGATGAGCTGTGTTTGCTATAAAATGTCATGTTTGCTGTGTATCTGGGAAGACTTAATGAAGCATTGTGCACGCAGAGGCAGGATGATGCTGACATTAATCATTGCTGCTAACTTCTGGATGTGAAAGCAGGTGGCGACACCCATGGCTTCTCAGACAGCACAGGTTGAGGATGTGAGTTGATCCTACTGGTTTTCCTTTAGGAGCCTATTTTCTTTTTCTGTTGTCATTTCTATATTCCTACTGAAGGAACAACTGTTACAGAAACACTTAAGGAATACATGGAAACATGTGTGAGTGTGTAAAGCTGTGTGAAACCAGCTTTACTTTATTCATCCCCTTTTTTCAAAGGAAGTTAATAAATATGATCAGAAACACTCTCTTGAGGAACAAGCAACAGGAAAAAAATAATACTTTCCAAGAAGAACCAAAATATTTCAGTCCTTTGAAGGGCTAAATTCTGGGATCCCTAAAACTCTTTCCCTTCTATTAGACCTGTCCTGTCTTTTCCCAGTTTATTTCCTTTGTTATGAAAGCACCTGGAGAAAGGTGCTAGGTTCACATGGAGCCAACCAGGCATGGCACTCCCATGCCACTTTACTGTCAACAAAAAGGTTGACTGTGTTATCTATTCCATTCTTAAAGTTCTCCAGGCAGAGGTTTGTAAAACAGCATTGGGACTGTTGGTTTTGTGACACTGGGAGTCTTCTTGCTCTCTCTCCCATCTTCTTCTTGTCCAGAGTCACCATTGTAGTATTTTTTAGGCATACTGAAAACATTTAAGACCATGTTAGATTTTCAAGAGCCACTTGGTTGATAACTCATGGCAACTGTTTTCAGAACACCAATGCAGTTGCCAAGTGGGCTAGCAGTAAGCCTTGACCTATTTCAGTACATAGGTACCTGTTTTGTTTTAGAGTTAACTGTTTACAAAAAAGTTAGAATTCCAGAACCAATACTTTCCTACATGAAAGTGCCATGGGATCTGGGCTTAAATGACCAGAGCCAGGCCTCTGATACTTTGGAGAGCAGCATACCCAGTCTTGGGATCATGCTGACAGGTTCCCAAGCACACTTCAAAGTGAAGGGGCTACTATCATCAGTCCCACATGCAGTTCTTATAAAAGAGACGACCCCAGGACATAAAAAAGCCTTTTATCACTCTGAAAACCTTTATTACTGTTGAGAAGCAGACCTTTTGCACCTTCTAATGATTTTATTAAGTACTAAGCTAACAGAACAAGCCCCCTTTTAGTGCCTGAAATAAATCATCTGACTTTTAAACCTTTCTTAAGAGACTATATAGATATGAAATTATATATAATGTTAAGAAAAACAAGGATAATTAAATGCTCTTTTATTTTTCAAAGGTGATAACGTTCATTTGTAATTCTTACAGAAGGTGCAAACTGTGAGTTGAATCTCCCAAAGAACCAGATCCGAAATAATTATTCTAAAAATATAATAGCATCCAGCCAATAATCTAAGCAAATAGAGACAAGGTAGCATTATACAGCCAATTAAGCTATACACTCTTCATGCGGCATCCCAGGAGTTAATCAAACACCCACTCTAGATGACAGACCAACAAGTGAAGGGAACTGGAAATCTTTAGGACCACCTTTGCATTTTCTGTATAAAGATGGGCACACTGCCAAGTCACCAGCAGACATGCATGTTAAGTTGTTTGACTAGCAATGGAGATTAATTTTCATTAAACCATCTGCAACAGACCAAATTATTTGTGTCTCTCCAAAATTCATACGTTGGAATTCTAATCCCATTGTGATGGTATTTGAAGGTGGGGTCTTCGAGAGGTAATTAGGTCATGAGGTTGGATTCCTCATGAATGTTAGTAGTGACCTAGTAAGAAGGGAGCAGAGAGCTAGCTCACTCTTTTTCTACCCTGTGAGATACAAGAAGACAGCAGTCTGCCACCCAGAGAAGGGTCTTTACAAGAACCTGATCCTACTGGTACCCTGATCTAGACTTCCAGTCTCTAAAACTGAAAATAAATTTCTGTTGTTTATAAGTCTATGGTACTTTCTTATAGCAGTCTCAACTAAGACACTACCTGAATTTTCCTCCCTGATCCCAGTTGTGACCAGCCATACACATTTGTAAATGTGTTCATGGTAGAGACTGCGGCCTTAAGCCTATAGGTGTAGATTTCATGAACTTGGTCTACCTCAACTTTGCTATTTTTGCAGAGAAGAGTTGGGCCGCTCTATCTATTTCTGTACCCATCACCAATCTTTCTATCTCCCATGTGATTCAAAAATCATTAGTGTCTGGCAGATTGTATTTTCCAAACATGACTGTGCTTATATCTCCCATTTTATGTGATCTTCTTACACTGTAATTTTGACACTCCTCCCATTGAATGTTAGAGTTTATGTGCCCTGTCCTTGAACATGGACAGAACCTTCTCATTGCCATGACCAATAAAGTATAGTATACATGCTATGTGATACCCAAGAATATATCATAAAAATGCTATGCATTTCTGTCTTTGGAACACTTGGTCTTGGAACCCAGCTCCATGCAGAAGAAACAAACTAACCCACACAGAGAAGCTACATGGAGATTCCATGTATAGGTGTTCCATCCAACAGCCCAGCTGAGATCCCAGTCAACTGCCAGCAAAACCCACCAGACATGTTGATCCCAGCCCAAGCTATCTAGTCACGCTCCTTGAAATCCCACAGCTTGGCCCCAGACATCATAGAGAAGCAGATAAACCATTCTCACTGTGCCCCATCCAAACCCCTGACCCACAGAATCTATGAGCAGAATCAAATAGCTGTTCTGTGCTATTAGGTTTTAGGGAAGTTTGTTACACAGCAACAGTAACTGAAACACTGGCAAAGCTTAGACTTGGCTTGCTTGCGAGCCCTGAAACAGAACATCATATTCTATCTTGAGAGATATTCTACGGCCCACAAAACCTCTCAAATTTCCACAATTTGCAATCTTCAGTGAGAGCCAGTCGGGGATTGTATGAGCTCAAAGTGGCTCAAGATGAACTTGGCTCTTTTCTGAAGCACACATTTTAAAAAGTAAATAAAAGTCTACTTTATCCTTTTTTAAAGCAATTTTTCAATCCTTTGGTGCCTCAAAGGATTGTATTATCTTACAGGAAAACCTTAAGAGGGAGATATGTCCTCCTTGCCTTGTACAAATTTGAAAGGTCTCCTCTATCTTTAGGATGACCTCTTCTACTTCTTCCCACTCCCCTTCTTCTATCTACAGAAGACAAGCTCTCATCCAGACCCACAGAAGATGATCTACTAATATTTTATTTTGTTTATTTATTTTGAGACAGAGTCTCTCTCTGTCACCCAGGCTGGAGTGCAGTGGCACAATCACAGCTCACTATAATCTCTGCCTCCCGGGTTCAAGCAATTCTCCTGCCTCAGCCTCCTGAGTAGCTGGGACTACAGGCATGCAACACCATGCCCAACTAATTTTTGTATTTTTAGTAGAGATGGGGTTTCACCATGTTGGCCAGGTTGGTCTCGAACTTCTGACCTCAAATCATTCACCTGCCTCGGCCTCCCAAAGTGCTGGGATTACAGGCATGAGCCACTGTGCCTGGCCTGATTTACCAATGTTTTAGACTAACTGAATGCCTCAAATACTCTGGAGACCACTCATAGCATTCACAGTTTCATTGCTTAAATAGTCACTAGAAAGAGCATTCATCCTTCTCCCAGGGCCATCAAAGCTCTGCTCTTGACAGAGCTTCCTGACATGAACCTTTCTCCATGCACGTATCTGAAAAGGAAAAAAGAGAAGTCACTAATTCAGGTGATTAGATCAGCCTCTACTCCTGGAGCTTGTCCCAAAGTCCACATTCTGTGGAGTTCAGTGGTAAACAATGCCCATGCACCCAAGTGCCCGTTATCAACCCAAACAAGGAAAAGGCCTCTTCAATTTCCTTTCCTCATCAATCTGAGGGAACAGACAATACATAATTTCCTCCTACATCAGGCTACAGCGAAAACACATCTTGTTCGGAACTAGACACTTACTCCTAAGAATGACAGTTTGATTCTAATCCACAGGAGTAACAGAAAGCAATCAAAGCAAAAAGCAGATGCAAGGCCCTCAAACTGCCATGCCCTGAAACAGGGTCACTCCAGGGATCAGCTTGTCCTGAGAGCAGGAGGGAAACATTTGATGAAATGTAGGATTTCTGTGGCAGCAGAAAAGACCCCTGCATTATGGATGGAAGTCACCCTGGGAAAAGCACCAAAAATGTTCAAAGGCCAAGGAATGATTTGTGACAAAGAGAGAAAAAAACAATAAGCAGCATTAAAACCCAAAATTACTAGCTACCAAGCTGGTTATTGATTACCAGGGTCCCATCTGAATTCAGCCAAATCCTTAATCAAAGGGTTTATAGATATTATGCATGTTACAGTCTACAACAGAAAAGTTACTTTTTCCAAAGGTTTTATCCACTTTTGGGGTCATACTTGGGCATTTTCAGCCACGTTTGACTTACAGAAAAGAGAACTACACCAATTGTCACAATATTCTGGTACTTGGAGAGAGCTTTAAACTACATTCTGGATCAAATGGACCAAATAGAGATTTGCAGAACATTTCATCCAACAACTGCAGAATACCCATTCTTTTCAATTGCACATGGAGCATTCACCAGGATAGATTATGTGTTGAGCCACGAAACAACTCCTAACAAATTTAAGAAGATCAAAATCATATCGAGTATCTTTTTTTACCACAACGGTATAAAACTAGAAATCAGTAACAGGAGGAACTTCAGAAAATTTACAAATACATGAAATTACAACAGCATGCTCCCAAACAATCACTGGGTCAATGAAAAGTTTAAAGGGAAAATTTAAAAAATTTTTGAGACAAATGAAACTGGAGACACAACATACTAAAACCTATGGAATATAACAAAAGCAGTTGTAAGAGGGGGGCTTCTAGCAATTAACATCTATATTATAAAAGAATGATTTCAAATAAGCAAACTAACACTGCACCTCAGGAAATTAGATAAACAAGAACAAACTAAGAGCCACCCACTGTGGCTCAAGCCTGTAATCCCAGCACTTTGGGAGGTTGAGGCAAGCGGATCATGAGGTCAGGAGTTCGAGACCAGCCTGGCCAACATAGTGAAACCCCGTCTGTACTAAAAATACAAAAATTAGCCAGGTGTGGTGGTTCATGCCTATAGTTCCAGCTATTTGGGAGGCTGAGGCAGGAGAATCACTTGAACTCAGGAGGTGGAGGTTGCAGTAAGCCAAGATTATGCCATTGTACTTCAGCCTGGGTGACAAACAGAGACTCCATCTCAAAAAAAAAAGAGAACTATCTAAGCCTAAAGTTCATAGAAAGAAGGAAATAACAAAGATCAGAGCAGGAAATAAATTAAATAGACACTAGAAAGATAATAGAAAATATCAATGGAACTAAGAGTTGGCTTTTTGGAATGACGAACAAAATCAACAAATATTTAGCTAGACTAAGAAAAAAGAAAAAAGCAAGAAGACTCAAATAAATAAAGTCAAAAATGAGAATGTGGTCATTACAACTGATACAACAGAAATATGAAGGCTAATAAGAGACATTATGAACAATTATACACCAACAAATTGGATAACCTAGAAGAATCAGAGAAATTCCTTGGGTATACAACCCACCAAGACTGAATTATGAAAAACTAGAAAATCTAACAGACAAATAATGAGTAAGGAGATTGAATCAGTAATAGAGTCTCTCATCAAAGCAAAGCCCAGGGCATGATGTCTTCACTGCTAAATTCTATCAAACATTTAAAGAAGAAATATTACCAATTTTTGTCAAACTCTCCTAAATAATTAAAGAGCAGAGAATACCTCCAAACTCATCTGGACACTATGTTGTACAAATTAAATACATACAATTTTTTCTGTCAATGTAAAAATTAAAATACAAAGCAAATTAAAGTTTCTAAAAAAGAATATTTTGTTACTAAACCAATTCTATTACAAAAAACCCACACAGTGGAACCTGGTATCCACTGAGGGCTTCTAGTCCACTGAGACCTCTATTCAATTGCCTCATCTCAATTTTCCACAGACTGAGGAAGTCCACAGTCTACCAGATTTTTTGTGAATTTCTGGAATGTAACAATGTTCTTATGGTACCTCTGACTTGAGTTCATCTTTCAATTCATATTGTCTCTTCTAAAGCCTCCCAACCCAAAGATAAAACCCAGCCTCTTCCCCAGAATGCACATAAAATAACTACTGTCTTCAAGCATTTTGTAGGAGGAAGATCACCATGCATCATGTAGCAAGCAGTGTTGAAGCACATGGCAAGTGTTCCCACTCTGTAAAGTCTTTCTCATAAGCCTACTACCCCTAAAATCTTCCTGGCTCTCTGCTGTTACCTTCGACTATGGGCTGGGCCCTCTATTTGCTCCTCCCTCCTATCTCCTCTTTTCTGCCGTCTTTCTCTTCTAAAGAACAACTTCCCACCCTTCCGCCACTGCATTTTCTCCTACAGACCATTTAAATCATTTCTTTTGTTTTCAAGCTCCTAAAGAAAGTTAGTTCTGTACCTAACTGAAATCATGATGGCAACTAGTAAGATAAGGTAAGACTTGCCTCTGTATAGCAGCAACAAGAAAGACACTTCTCATCTTGTTGCTTGAGTTTCTCATCCCTGAAATGCCAAGGTTGGATTGTGATTCCCCACTTTGGCATTTCCCTGAAGCCCACTGGGGAGCCAACATTGTGCATGTGGAAAAGAAATGTCAGCATATTGGCATCTGGGCTAATGAACAGATCTGCTAATTATGTTTTATGTGAAATGTGAAATTCAAAGAAAACATTAGGGGATATTAGCATTGCTAAACACAGTCCTATGCCATTTAAAAAAATATGTTTATTACTGCTCTGCCACTAATCTCTTATGAAACTTCAGAAAATTAGTTAACATATTTAAGCTTCGTTGTTTTTCCAATCCTGCATTTGTAACATGCTGCAATCAGTGTTGGTGATTTCCAAGGCACACTGCAACCGCATTGGACAACTGTTTGATGGGAATATGCAAAAGGTAAACCAACATGCTATGACTTATATTACTATGTTTAGGTATAAGCCCAATAGAAATGTATATATGTGCCCACCAAAAGACATGTATAAAAATATTCACAGCAGCACTATTCAGTATAGCTCACTGGTGAGATGAATGATGCCCTCCCTAAAAGATGTATCTGCATCTTAACCCCCAGAACCCGTGAATGTGCCCTAACTTATCCTTGAAGATGTTAATTAAGTTATGGATATTGAAATGAGATCATCCTGGATTACCTGGATGAACTCTAAATCCAATAACAAGTGTTCTTATGAGAGACAGAAGAGATCAGGGATAAAGAGGAAGAAGAGGAGATGATCTTGTCAAGACAAGCAGAGATTGGAATGTTGCACAGCCATGAAGTGAATGGAACCACCAGAATCTAGAAGAGGCAAGGAAGGATTCTCCCCTAGAGCCTTCAGAAGGAGTGCAGCCCTGGCCAACACCTTAATTTCAGACTCCAGGCCTCCAGAACCGAGAGAGAATACATTTCTGTTGTTTTAAGTCACCAACTCTGTTGGTGACTTTGTTGCAGTAGCCCCAGGAAAGAATACAAGTCCCAAACTGAAAACTGTCCACATGTTCATTAATAGTAGCATGAATACAAGAATGGTAGTGTAGTCACAAAGCAGAATACTTTACAGCAACGAAACAAAACAAAGAGCATGGATGAAGCTTCATCAACAAACACCAACGTGGTGTTAATGAAGGAAGCCAGACTCAGCGTGCATAATGCATGATCTTGTTCATATGAAGTTCAAAAACAAGAAAAGCCTCATTTTGTGAGAGACGTCAGAATTGGATCTACCTTTTAGAAGGGGCATTGATTTGGAGGGGGCACAAGAAAGCTCACTGGGGTGCTGGAAGTGTTCTACTTCATGATCTGGGTAGTGATTACATAGCGTGCTTGTTTTGTATAAATACTTTGAGTTGTATACTTAATATTTGTGCACTTTATTGTATGTATGTTCATTTTCAAAAAGAGTTTTTAAACTATGTGTTTTTAGGCCGGGCATGGTGGCTCATACCTGTAATCCCAGCAATTTGGGAGGGTGAGGCGGGCAGTTGGCTTGAGCTTGGAAGTTTGAGACCAGCCTGGGCAGCATGGCGAGACCTCCTCTTTGCAAAAAATACAAAAATTAGATGGGTGTGGTGGCGCATGCCTGTAGTCCCAGCTACTTGGGTGGCTGAGGTGGGAGGTTCACTTGAGCCCAGGAGGTCAAGGCTGCAGTGAGCTGTGTTTGTGCCACCGCACTCCAGCCTGGGTGACAGAGTGAGACCCTGCCTCAAAAACTAAATAAAAATAATTAAACTTTTTTTATCTTAAAATCTTATTTACAGAATTAAATATTTTGTTCATATAAACAGAGAACATTTATCAGGGTTTATTATATGCTTTGGACTAGGTTAGAGAGAGGATGGTTGGCTATGGTATTTATATGAGGAGCACTTTGTAAATTTAAGACCGAATTGTTGCAAACTGATGTAGCTAAATTCATATGTTCGGTGACTGTTACAATAGTTATTTAGGTTTCAAATATTCACATCTAAATATTACAAAAATTCCTCAAGTGTGAATTCTACTTTAAAGTCATTCAAACATGACCTTACAAAAGCAAGTTGACATGAGCTATTTTATATCCCCCACTCTGTTCGTGGCATTCATTTTAGAAGCCCGTAAGCTCACCTCCTCCAGGGGATTCCCCTTGCTTGCAGTTACATGTGATATAGGTGACTGTATCTACCTAGTGCTGATGGATTCATCTTTAGTTTTTATTTTATTCCTCACAAGTCTCTGTTTACATGCTATTTTATAAGAAGCTCTAACTAATTTTCATATGTGTATGATACACAGCCTGTGTAGGTCTTAAGTATTTTTAGCATTCAGGCATCAAGACAAGAGCTTCAGGTACTGATGTCCAAATTGAAGGTGGGTTCATATGTTATAATAATAAATAATGCTAGTAGTTAGTTATAATAATAAAGCAGTTTGCTTGCTATCTCGTGAACTGTGAATTTTTGGCTGATTGGACATAGGAGAGTGTCTACCAAAATCAACTATGTATTGAAATAATTAATATGAGCCTTTCTTTCTGGTAGAAAAAAATTATTTTGCTACTCCAGATGTACAGCCTTCTAGATTCAGTTATCACCAATTAAGCTCAAAATGTAAGAAATTGAATCTGGTTTTCTCAGAACTTGCTTCTGCTTCCCGAAAGCCAAGTAAGTGATTAAACAAACAGTTCAGTTAATTGAGGAGTTTGAGAAACTCTGTTTCTGTTCTGTTCCATGTATGGAAATTCCTCTCTTGCCCTCTTGTAGCTTTACATTTTCATCAAAATAACATCAAAAAGGATACTATAAATTAAAATTTCCAAACTTTTAGCTTTTTTTGCTTGTTTACCTGAAGCTCCAGTCCTTCCCAATTAGAACTTTATAACAGTGGGCACTGCCCCTGGACACATTTTCAGATGTAGTCTTGGTATTCAGAGGACTTTGGCAAGAAAGTGGCTGCCAGTGACTATTAAGAGGCATAACCACTTTGCTTGGCACGATGGGTTATAATGTGTCTCTGGGGTGCTAGGATAGCCTATCTTGAGTGGGCGATTAAAGAGTATGTGTCAGTATTTGTAGAAGGGTTGTTCCTAAAGAACTAGAGTGCATGCCACATGGGCACGTGGGAGCAGATGGACCCTCAAGCGGTCCAATCCCTTGAGTCCTAAGGTTTTTTTATTATTATTATTATTATACTTTAAGTTTTAGGGTACATGTGCACAACGTGCAGGTTTGTTACATATGTATACATGTGCTAAGTTTTTTTTAAATCAGTCCATGCCCTCTATGATTTTTTTAAGCCACTACTTATTGAACACCTCCTAGGTTCCAAGCACTGTCCCCATGGCTTTATTTGTGTTGTCTCATCTAATTTCCGTAGCTGATGCTGCAGTGTCCTGTGCATATACCTAAACACCCACCATCCTTTACACACTGTCAGCTTCCTACCAAAATCACATGCATCTCTCTATTTGGGTTTTTTTTTTAATTCTTTGGCCATAGGAGCATGATAAACCATGCATAGATCAGACCAGATGTGCTGGAGAGTTACCACCCTTGAGGTCATCTCCCAGCCAATAATAGACAGGACATGATGAACAATATCCTAGCTTCCCAGCCTTTCAGGTGGGACAAATCTTGAGCGTGTTCTGTAATGTCTCCTAGAAGTCTCAGCAGGCTTTTTGCCCCAGTGCCCTCAGCATATCCTGTCCACTCATGCACTCTATGTTGACTTCCTTCGTCCTCTGTCTCACTTTCTACCTCCCTACTCTCCCAGTTTCTTGAGATCACCCTGCAGATAATCCTTGTTTTGAGATGAGCTTCTGAAGGGAGAAAAAAATAAGACAATCTTCATACACTTTTGATAAACCATTTTTATTCCCATTTTATAGACAAGGAGACTAGGACTCAAAGTGCTGTGGACTGAGTGTGCTCCCCTCAAATTCACTGTCGAAATCCTAACCCACAATGTGGTGGTATTAGGAGGTGGAATATTTAGTGGGTAGTTAAGTCCTAAGGGTGGAGCCCACATGAAAGGGATTAGAGTCCTTATAAAAGAGACCCCAGAGAGCTCCCTCACCCTGTTCCTCCATGCAGGGACACAGTGAAAAGGCAAATGTCTGTGAACCAAGAAGCAAGACACTGAATCTGCCAGAGCCTTGATCCAGCACTTTCCAACATCCAGAACTGTGAGCAATAAACTTTTGTTGTTTCTAAGCCACTCTGCCTATGGTATACTGTTATAGCAGTCTTAATGGACCAAGACACAGAGTAATTAAGTAACTTGCCCAAGATCGTATCACTAATAAGTAGGAGAACTGGATTCAGTTTCACCTATACCTGTAGTTTCACTACAGCACACTGCCTTATACAATTAAAAGAGTTACTTTTCCGTGGAGATGGCACACAGATATGGATTCATGGACACAAACATCTAGAATCTGCACGTTCTTTCTTACTAAACTGATTTTCCAGTTTTTACATCTTCACGGGGAATTTTCTTGTTTCTTGCTCATTTGTAACATAGTAAGTTTGGTTGCAGCTTTGTGCATGATGCATACATGGTCGCCCAGTTAAGGTGACCACAATCTTATATTATCACAATATTCTATACATGGCATGCTGGCTAGCTTCCCTGTCTCCTGAAGATCTGCTGTCTAATCCCCTTCACTCTACTCTCTGTTGCCCTATAAAACTGACAAAATCCCACACGTGAGCAAGAAGTCATGGAACCCAAAGGTCCCAAGTTCTGCTTTTTCCAATCATACTGTGGTAGTAACTGAAATCAGTTTTTCAAAAGAGTCAAAATTAGGTAGTGGGATATGATGAGCAAATACCTTTTGGATCCTTGATATAAAAACAAAATTCTCTGTTTCATATTGTAATAAAAATGCATTTAAAAGGAGTTAAAGAAAAATATGACCAAAGAGAGAGAAGTCTGCATTTTTAGATGCCCCAGAACAGAAGCACATGTTAAAATGTCATATTTTTCAAGTTCTCAAGATAAAAAGTAGGGCTGAATGCTTAAAAGTACAAAATGGGTATTTTTAGCTGTGGAAATGCGTAATGGAAAAAAAACAGATATGGGGAAATTGATAAGGTAAGCAGAAAGAGAGCAAATATCCAAGTAAATACAGGACATTTGCATGAGCAGAGCCAGGGAGAGGAAAGAGGAATTAGAAGGTAAAGAAAAAATAAAGTCATTTTTTACAGGCTCCATAGATTATGCCAAAAGAAAAAAGGGAATTCTGGCAGGGTGGGTGGGGGGAGGGGTATGACTCTTAACAATGTCCTTCCTTGTTTAATAAAATTTTACCCACATTGAAGGCTCAGATCCACAGCCTTTTCCTCAACTAACTGACATTGTCTTAGTTAACTAATAACTTTGGGATTCACTTTTCCTTGTCTTTCAAAATAATGTCCACCTTCTTAGTTTTAGATGAGCACTTTGAAGCATGGGTACCTCTCTGGCTTGCCTTCCAGCCCCACTCAAACACCCAATCCTCTGGTATAGTCCTTTTGCATATTGTCAATTCTATATAGGGGTCATGCAATGCTTGACCTGGTCCATTCCCTCACCACCTCTCATCCCATCCATCTGGTTTACACCCACTTGTTCTTTAAGAACAACCAATGAGCCAAGGCAGGGGGGTTGACTGAGGCCAGAAGTTCAAGACCAGCATAGGCAACATACTGAGAACCCCATCTCTACAAAAATAAAAATTAGCCAAGCATGGCAGTGCATGCTTGTAGTCCCAGCTACTAGGGAGGCTGAGGCAAGAGGATCACTCGAGCCCAGGATTTCAAGGCTACAGTGAGCCATCATCACACCACTGCACTCCAGCCTGGACAAAAGACCCTGACTCATAAAAAAAATAATAAAAATTAAAAATTTTTTTAAAAAAGAAAAAAGACCAACCAATGACATATTTTATGTTAAGTCTCCTTATTAGCTGCACTCAACAAGCCCTGTACCATCCTAAGTGGAGGTTAATATAGAGATTATCACATGGGATCTCAATTGCCTGTTTACTGCTCACTCTCATTCAATAAACTAGAAATTTCTTAAGGGTGTCAGGCTGTATTTCATTTATTTTTGTGTATCCAGAGCTTGACTGAGACACTTAAGGAGGTAGCAGGGGATTCATGTTAAACTGAATCAAATTAAATATGTTAAACATGATATTTGATTGAATAGATTTCTAAAGTCTTCCTTGGCTCCACAGTTCCCTAATTCTTTGTCCCAGGAGGTTTCCAGACATCATTTTGGATATTTGTCCTTAGATGTCTCAACATGAGGTAAAGTAAGGCAAGTGGGGTTATACAAATTGTACCCAATATAACAGAGTCACCAACAGGCCAATATCTGTGTAGCCGCCACAGCCCAGTAAGCCTGGCAAAGCTCAAACAGGATCTCTTTTTAATGAATCTAAGTGGATGCTTCACACAATCAGGTTTAATTTTTGTGGATTAGTACTTATTTTATGGCGATGGTAGGCTGAATCACCTGCTTTTCTCAGATGTGTGCCTTTCAGATGGCCCAGGCTGGCAGAGGGTCCAGCACTCAGCTCACAGGAAACTGGGTCGCCTATGATACGATGTCACATCTTTTAAGATTTGGCAGTTTGGGAGGGAGCGGGTTGTGCACAGCAATCAGATGGAATTTACTGCTAGTAGATGGCGATTTGTTGCATTTTGCATTCTCCGTTGTACAATGTCTTTGATTGCTAGCACTGCCATTTCAGGTTTGACATCTTTCTATGGGGAACATCTGTGGCATGTAGCATTTTCCTCCGTACTGACAAGAAAGCAGACAAGACACTGCTAATTTTTTAAAATCACATGATACAGTGACATATACAGTAACAGTTATGCTGTATCTAGGCTTGAATTATTTTTCAACATTATTTGACAGCTACTAGTTTCTTATCTGGCTGCTTTCTCTAAGTTGTTGGGTTTTTTTATTTTTATTTTTTTATTTTATTAATATTATACTTTAAGTTTTAGGGTACAAGTACACAATGTGCAGGTTTGTTACGTATGTATACATGTGTCATGTTGGTGTGCTGCACCCAGTTGTTGGTTTTTTTTGTTTGTTTGTTTTAAACTTACATCTTTGTGTCAACCTGGACTTCCTGGACTCTGATCTGAGGCTAAAATGATAGTTTTATTTTTCTCATTTCCTCTGGGGACATGGCCTTTTAAATGTGGCCCCCAGCCATGCAGAAAAGCCACAAAAGGGTCATCAGGGCCCATTCTTCTCCCAGCCCTCCCATTTCTTCTGTACGTTTTCCTTTTGATGTTTACTGTTATAATCTCCATCTCAAAATCTACCATGGTTTTTGTGGTGTTCCAGGTTGTCCCGGATAGGAAGCATGGTTCGGCAAACCGGTCTACACCAAACCTCAGTCATTTTGTGCTTGAATTCCTTTCCTTTCCTGTCATACACAATGAAATTATCTCTGTGTAATTACTCTCAATTAGGAGTAGCATCAAATGAGTCCCTACTGGAAAAATTTCAGGCATCAATGGTAGTTTTGGGGAATGAAGGATTAAAAAGTCTTCCACATACCTCCAAATAAAACTGGTCCTACCTTTTCCTACAGTACCTGATGTGACTATAGAGCACTGAACTGGCTGTCCAAATATTGGTTCTAGTTAATACACTACAATGCTGTGGGACCCTGGGCAGGATGACTGACCACTTTGGCCACAGTTTTCTCAAGTGTGAAAGAAGCGAATGTATATTAAATGGTAAACACATTGCTTACAGATCCAAAATGCCACATAGTAGTGAATGGAATTTTCGAGAACATTTCAAAAACTTTCCCACACTTTGACATAAGATGACAAAACTAATGACAAGGCAACTCACTCTGGAGATTTATTATAATAATGACATTCTATTTGTTTTCTACCAAATAAGACATAAATACAACAAAAAACAAACAACAAAAATAAACATAGAATACAGGTCTCATTGTGGTGTAGCAATTTTTTTCCCACCAATATTTTGGTCGAGATTATTTTAATTGTTACCCATTTTGTACCAGACTTTGTGGATTTTTTGGTAAGATATTCCTAAGAAAAATAGTATCTCCTTGGAAGTTTGGTTTCTGGTGATATTTATTTCAGTTTCTAACATAAGATATGTGTTGGCTTAGACCAGGCACTGCCATCTTTACAGCTATGTAGGGTATTGGATTCCGTGTGACAAATTATGACAACTCATTCTCTGACATTCCTCCCATGCGGAAATGAGGTCTGTGTTCTCCTCTCCCTGATCTGGGCAAGCTCTGGGACTCCTTTGAGTAACAGAATGGAGCAGAAGCGACACAAGATGCCCCCAGACCCATCCCATAAGACACTGGCAGCTTCTACTTCCTGTCTCCTGGAACACTCACTCTAAGACTGCTCTTCCCAAGGAAACCTTGCTGTCATGTAAGAAATAGAAGTGTGACTGCCCTGAGGCCACCATGCCATTAGAAGCCCAAGCCACATAAAGAAGCTTTTGATGAAACACCATGTGAAAAGAGAAAGAGGCCAAGGGATACTAACACACGAGACATGTGGATGAAGAAGTCATCTGTGATCTGATTGCTCTAGCCCCTGCAGCTCCAGCTGATGTCACATGAACCAGAGAATAAGCACTTAGCCAAACTCTTCCTAAATTCCCAACTCTCAAAAACATGGGCAAAATAAGATGTTTAACCACTATGTGCGGAGTAGATTGTTAAACAGAAATGGGTACCTGGAACGAGCCACCAGGACCTCTGAGAAAGATGACAGTTCTCCTTTTTATGCAAAAATTATGAGTGGTTAAGTGTAAATCCATGACCTTCTGCTACAGGCAAAAACAGCTGGCCCTGTGACCAAGAGCCTCTTTTAGTGGGAATCAACAGGACACTGCTCCTTCATAAAGTCAAATATTTGCCTCTGCTAATGAAGCTGTGGAGGCTCTCTTTTACCAATTGTTTGGAAGAGCTTAATGGATCTAAAATCTCAGGTGGAGTGTGTTTGGACAGAAATGTGGGTAACGTTCTTTGAGCAGTGTTGTAAAAGCATGAATCAGCAGAACACCACTTCACTTGAGAACAGGATTTGGGGAGTAGAAATAACTGATAAAGCATCACAGATGGCCATAAGTAACCTTCTTCTATCCTAGGATGCCCCGTGATGCACTCTGTTTTGCAGTGCAGAACCTCATTGCTAGACTTCATTTTGGAACTAGAGGAATTTTGGCCAGCTTGAGCCTATGCTATAATTATTTTTATAGTTCTTTCTATGTTGCTTTTTTCTCTCTACTTAATTTGTGGGAGTAATTCCTTCTAGTTGCCAGTTTTGGGGGCTTGTAAAATTTATTAGCTGTTCGCTATTGTGAATAGTGCTGCAATAAACACACATGTGCATGTGTCTTTATAATAGAATGATTTATATTTTTCTGGTTATACACCCAGTAATGGGTTGCTGGGTCAAATGGTATTTCTGTTTTTAGATCTTTGAGGAATTGCCACACTGTCTTCCACAGTGGCTGAACTAATTTACACTCCCATCAACATTGTATAAGCGTTCCCTTTTCTCCTCATTCTTGCCAGCATCTGTTATTTTTTGACTTTTTAATCATAGCCATTCTGACTGGTGTTGGATGATATCTCCTTGTGGGTTTGATTTCCATTTCTCTAATGGTCAGTGATATTGAGAGATATTGAGCTTTTCTTCATATGATTGTTGGCTGCATGTATGTCTTCTTTTGAAAAGTGTCCATTCATGGCCAGGCACAGTGGCTCACACCTGTAATCCCAGCACTTTGGGAGGCCAAGGCGGGCGGATCACGAGGTCAGGAGATCGAGACCATCCTGGCTAACACGGTGAAACACCGTCTGTTCTAAAAATACAAAAAAATTAGCGGGGTGTGGTGGTGGGCGCCTGTAGTCCCAGCTACTTGGGAGGCTGAGGCAGGAGAATGGCATGAACCCAGGAGGGGGAGCTTGCAGTGAGCCGCGATTGCACCACTGCACTCCAGTCTGGGTGACAGAGTGAGACTCTGTCTCAAAAAAAAAAAAAAAGTGTCCGTTCATATCCTTGGCCCACTTTTTAATGGGGTTGCTTGTTTTATAGTTGTAAACTTAACTTCCTTATAGATGCTGGATATTAGACTTTTGTTGGATGCATAATTTGCAAAAATTTTCTCCCATTCTGTAGGTTGTCTGTTTACTTTGTTAATAGCTTCTTTTGATGTGCAGAAGCTTTTTGGTTTAATTAGATCCCACTTGTCAATTTTTGCTTTTGTTGCAATAGCTTTTGGCATCTTCATCATGAAATCTTTGCCCATTCCTATATCCAGAATGGTAATGCCTAGGTTGTCTTCCAGGGTTTTCATAGTTTTGTATTTCACATTAAGTCTTTAACTCATCTTGAGTTAATTTTTGTATGTGGTGTAAGGAAGGGGTCTAGTTTCTATCTTCTGCATATGGCTAGCCAGTTACCCCAGCACCATTTATTGAATAGAGAATCCTTTCCCCTATTGCTTGTTTTTGTCAGGCTTGTCAAAAATCAGATAGTTGTAGGTGTGCGGTCTTATTTCTGGGTTTTCTATTCTGTTCCATTGGTCTATGTGTCTGTTTTTGTACCAGTACCATGCTGTTTTGGTTACTATGACCCTGTAATATAGTTTGAAGTCAGGTAGCATGACGCCTTTAGCTTTTTTTCTTTTTGCTTAGGATTGTCTTCATTATTCAGGGTCTTTGCTAGTTCCATATGAATATTAAAATAGTTTTTTCTAGTTCTGTGAAGAATGTCTGTCAATGATAGCTTAATAGAAACAGCATTGAATCTGTAAATTGCTTTGGGCAGTATGGCCATTTTAATAATATTGATTCTTCCTA
The DNA here is from genome assembly GCF_000001405.40 of Homo sapiens. Lineage (NCBI taxonomy): Eukaryota > Metazoa > Chordata > Mammalia > Primates > Hominidae > Homo > Homo sapiens. The sequence goes on from NC_000020.11 coordinate 17,111,465, forward strand.
TCCATGAGCATGGAATGTTTTTCCATACCTGTCATCTCTGATTTCTTTGAGCAGTGGTTTTTAGTTCTCCTTGTAGGGATCTTTCACCTCCCTTATTAGCTGTATTCCCAGGAATTTTATTCTTTTTGTGGCAGGTGTGAATGGGAGTTCCTTTCTGATTTGGCTCTTGGCATGTCTGTTGTTGGTGTATAGGAATGCTGGTGATCTTCACAATAGCAAAGACATGGAATCAACCTAAATGCCCATCAGTGATAGACAGGATAAAGAAAATGTGGTACATATATACCACGGAGTAATATGTGGCCGCAAAAAGAATGAGATGATGTCTTTTGCAGGGATGTGAATGGAGCTGAAGGCCAGTATCCTTAGCAAACTAACACAGGAACAGAAAACCAAATACTGCGTGTTCTTACTTGTAAATGGGAACTAAATGATGAGAACACATGGACTCATAGAAGGGAACAACACACACTGGGGCCTTTTGGAGGGTGGAAGTTGGGAAGAGGGAGAGGATCAGGGAAATTAACTAATTGGTACTAGGCTTAAAACCTGAGTGATGAAATAATCAACAAACCCTTATGACACAAGTTTGCCTATGTAACGAACCTGCACTTGTACCTCTGAACTTAAAAGTTAAAAATATGATCAGCTCTTTTTGATTTGTTTTTTAATTAATAGACTTTTTGATAGAGTTTTAAGTTTGCTGAAAAAAATTGAGAAGTAGAGTTCCCGTATACCCCTCAATCTCCACCAATATATTTTTAATATCTTGCATTAATGTGGTACATGTGTTAAACTGATGGGCCAATATTGATTCATTATTATTACCTAAAGTCCAGAGTTCACATTATGGTTTAGTCTTTTGTTGTACAGTCTAGGGGTTTTGAAAAATGCATAAAGACATATCCACTATTATAGTATCATACCGTTTTAGGTTTACAAAATTAGGGCAAAGATAGTACAGAGAGTTTCTGTATATCTCACAATCAATTTAGCTTTTTATAAACATCATACATTATTATGGTGTATTTGTCACAATTATTGAACCAATATTGATACTTATTATCTGAAGTCTATTCTTTATTGATTTCCTTAGTTTTTACCTAATGTCCTTTCTTCTTCTTGTTTCAGGATACCACATTACACTTAGTCTTCACATCTCCATTAGCTTTTCTTGGCTGTGACAGTTTCTCAGACTTTTCTTGTTTTGATGATCTTGAAATTGTTCAGTATTTTGTAAAATGTTCCTCTCTTGGCATTTTTCATCATTAAACTAGGATAATGTGTTTTCAGGGAGGAAAACCTCAGAGGTGAAGTGCTATTCTCATCACATCCTATCAAGGAACATACTATCAGTGTGATTCATCACTGTTGACATTACCTTTGATCATCTGGCTCGAAATATCTTTGCCAGGTCTTTCCACTGTAAACTTACCCATTATATCTCCCTGCTTTTCCGTACTGTACTCTTTGGAAGAAAGTCACTATGTAAAGGCCACACTTAAGGACTAGTAAACTATGCTTTACCTTCTTATGGAAAGAATATTTACAGAAATTATTTAGAATTCTTTGGTGCAGGAAATGTATTTATTCTCTCTCATTTATTTGTTTATTCATTTCTTTATATTCATATGGATTCAAGGACTTTTATTTTATTTTATATGTTGGATTATAATCCAATGCTACTTGATTGATTGCTCAAATTTTTGCAACTTTGACCATTGGGAGCTCTTTCAGTTGGCTACTGTGCACCTTGGCATACCCCATCCTTATAGGTTTGGATTTTTTGTTTTGCTTTGTTTCTTTTTCATCACTTCCTTACTTTCTGCACTGCAAGATGCTCTAGGTTATCTTGTGTATTTTATTCCCCAGTCCTAGAATCAGCTATTTCTCCAGGAACCCTTTGTTATTTTTACAGGAGAATGATATTAGAAACCAAAATCTGGACACTAACTTGCTCACTACTGCTGAGATGCCATTGCTTCTGCTTGCTCCCTGTGGAAAGAGATATATGTGTATATACTAACCCATGTATGTAAACATATCTATAAATATTTCTATATGTAACCATCTGTGTCTATATTGACCTAAACATAAGTTCATACTTATGTCAATACTAATCCATTACCATATGGATTGTTCTAGTCTCTTTCTACTTGCTTATCTATAATCTTTAACACCAATAATGAGAAACACAGATCCCATTATTTGCCATCCATTACTTGTTTACTTCTAGTATACATGTGTAGCAGTTTCAGAATTGTTAACCTATGCCTGTACAGAAAATAACTTTATAAGTTAGAGCACAGTTTTAATGTACAGTTCCTTTTGCCTTTAGTTTTACAGGCTCCATCATTTCCAAAGTTTTCCTTGGTTTATCATTTTACCCAACCTCTTTCAGTGAGATTTCATATATTCATACTTAGATATTTTTATGACATTCTGCATTGTATCCTGGGATCCCCTGAACTCCTAAATTATTTTTAAAATTTGTATACTTTAATATTTAATCATTATGCTGTGAAGTTCTGTGAGTTTTCAAATGCTTAATGCCTTGTATTTACCATTACAGTATCATACAGAATAGTGTGACTCCCCTATAAATTCCCCTGTTCTTCACCTGTGCAACCTCTGAAATCCCTGGAAATTACTGATCTGTTTGCTATCTCTACAGTTTGCCTTCTCCACATTGTCATCCAGCTGGAATCACTCAGTATACAGCTTTTTCAGACTGGCCTCTTTCACTTAGCAATATGAATTTTAAATTTATTGATCTTTTTGGTAGTTTGAACACTCACTTATTTTTATTGCTTTGTAATATTCTATTGTGTCTATGTACCAGAGTGTGTTTATGCATTTACTTCTTAAAGGACGTTTTCTTTGCTTTCACTTTTGGGCTATTTTGATAAAACTGTTTTAAAAACTCACATGCTGGTTTTATGTGGACCTAAGTTTGCAAACTTAAATACATAGGAGCATTATTTCTAGATTGTTTGGTAATCTTTGTAGCCATTTTGAGAAGTTGCTGTATCATTTTCCCATTCCCACCAATGAATGGAAATTTCTGTTGCTCCACATCCTTGCCAGTAGCAGGTATTGCCGTTTCATTTTTCACTTTGCTTTGCTTTTGTTTTTGCCATTCTAATGGGTGTGTACGTAGTCATATCTTATCATTTTGTTAATTTGCAATTCCCTAATTATAGTTAGTTAAGCATTTTTCATATGCTAATTAGCCATCTACATATCTTCTTTGGTAAGGTGTCTGTTCAGATATTTTGTCCACTTTTTTACTTGAATTGTTTGGTTTTTATTTTTTTGTTTTGTTTTTGTTTTATTATTATTATACTTTAAGTTTTAGGGTACATGTACACAATGTGCAGGTTAGTTACATATGTATAAATGTGCCATGCTGGTGTGCTGCACCCATTAACTCGTCATTTAGCATTAGGCATATCTCCTAAAGCTATCCCTCCCCGCTCCCCACACCCCACAACAGTCCCCAGAGTGTGATGTTCCCCTTCCTGTGTCCATGTGTTCTCATTGTTCAATTCCCACCTATGAGTGAGAATATGCGGTGTTTGGTTTTTTGTTCTTGCAATAGTTTACTGAGAATGATGATTTCCAGTTTCATCTATGTCCCTACAAAGGACATGAACTCATCATTTTTTATGGCTGCATAGTATTCCATGGTGTATATGTGCCACATTTTCTTAATCCAGTCTATCATTGTTGGACATTTGGGTTGGTTCCAAGTCTTTGCTATTGTGAATAGTGCCGCAATAAACATATGTGTGCATGTGTCTTTATAGCAGCATGATTTATAGTCCTTTGGGTATATACCCAGTAATGGGATGGCTGGGTCAAATGGTATTTCTAGTTCTAGATCCCTGAGGAATCACCACACTGACTTCCACAAGGGTTGAACTAGTTTACAGTCCCACCAATAGTGTAAAAGTGTTCCTATTTCTCCACATCCTCTCCAGCACCTGTTGTTTTCTGACTTTTTAATGATCACCATTCTAACTGGTGTGAGATGGTATCTCATTGTGGTTTTGATTTGCATTTCTCTGATGGCCAGTGATGGTGAGCATTTTTTCATGTGTTTTTTGGCTGCATAAATGTCTTCTTTTGAGAAGTGTTTGTTCATGTCCTTTGCCCACTTTTTGATGGGGTTGTTTTTTTCTTGTAAATTTATTGGAGTTCATTGTAGATTCTGGATATTAGCCCTTTGTCAGATGAGTAGGTTGCGAAAATTTTCTCCCATTTTGTAGGTTGCCTGTTCACTCTGATGGTAGTTTCTTTTGCTGTGCAGAAGCTCTTGAGTTTAGTTAGATCCCATTTGTCAATTTTGGCTTCTGTTGCCATTGCTTTTGGTGTTTTAGACATGAAATCCTTGCCCATGCTTATGTCCTGAATGGTATTGCCTAGGTTTTCTTCTAGGGTTTTTATGGTTTTAGGTCTAACGTTTAAGTCTTTAATCCACCTTGAATTAATTTTTGTATAAGTGTAAGGAAGGGATCCAGTTTCAGCTTTCTACATATGGCTAGCCAGTTTTCCCAGCACCATTTATTAAATAGGGAATCCTTTCCCCATTGCTTGTTTTTCTCAGGTTTGTCAAAGATCAGATAGTTGCAGATATCCGGCATTATTTCTGAGGGCTCTGTTCTGTTCCATTGATCTATATCTCTGTTTTGGTACCAGTATCATGCCGTTTTGGTTACTGTAGCTTTGTAGTATAGTTTGAAGTCAGGTAGCGTGATGCCTCCAGCTTTGTTCTTTTGGCTCAGGACTGACTTGGCGATGCGGGCTCTTTTTTGGTTCCATATGAACTTTAAAGTAGTTTTTTCCAACTCTGTGAAGAAAGTCATTGGTAGCTTGATGGGGATGGCATTGAATCTACAAATTACCTTGGGCAGTATGGCCATTTTCATGATATTGATTCTTCCTACCCATGAGCATGGAATGTTCTTCCATTTCTTTGTATCCTCTTTTATTTCCTTGAGCAGTGGGTTGTAGTTCTCCTTGAAGAGGTCCTTCACGTCCCTTGTAAGTTGTATTCCTAGGTATTTTATTCTCTTTGAAGCAATTGTGAATAGGAGTTCACTCATGATTTGGCTCTCTGTTTGTTATTGGTGTATAAGAATGCTTGTGATTTTTGCACATTGATTTTGTATCCTGAGACTTTGCTGAAGTTGCTTATCAGCTTAAGGAGATTTCGGGCTGAGACAATGGGGTTTTCTAGATATACAATCATGTCATCTGCAAACAGGGACAATTTGACTTCCTCTTTTCCTAACTGAATACCCTTTATTTCCTTCTCCTGCTTAATTGCCCTGGCCAGAACTTCCAACACTATGTTGAATAGGAGTGGTGTGAGAGGGCATCCCTGTCTTGTGCCAGTTTTCAAAGGGAGTGCTTCCAGTTTTTGCCCATTCAGTATGATATTGGCAGTGGGTTTGTCATAGATAGCTCTTATTATTTTGAGATACGTCCCATCAATACCTAATTTATTGAGAGTTTTTAGCATGAAGTGTTGTTGAATTTTGTCAAAGGCCTTTTCTGCATCTATTGAGATGATCATGTGGTTTTTGTCTTTGGTTCTGTTTATATGCTGGATTACATTTACTGATTTGCATATATTGAACCTGCCTTGCATCCCAGGATTGAAGCCCACTTAATCATGGTGGATAAGCTTTTTGATGTGCTGCTGGATTCGGTTTGCCAGTATTTTATCGAGGATTTTTGCATCAATGTTCAGCAAGGATATTGTTCTAAAATTCTCTTTTTTGGTTGTGTCTCTGCCCGGCTTTGGTAACAGGATGATGCTGGCCTCATAAAATGAGTTAGGGAAGATTCCCTCTTTTTCTATTGATTGGAATAGTTTCAGAAGGAATGGTGCTAGTTCCTCCTTTTACCTCTGGTAGAATTCGGCTGTGAATCCATCTGGTCCTGGACTCTTTTTGGTTGGTAAGCTATTGATTATTGCCACAATTTCAGAGGCTGTTATTGGTCTATTCAGAGCGTCAACTTCTTCCTGGTTTAGTCTTGGGAGGGTGTATGTGTTGAGGAATTTATCCATTTCTTCTAGATTTTCTAGTTTATTTGCATAGAGGTGTTTGTAGTATTCTCTGATGGTAGTTTGTATTTCTGTGGGATTGTTGGTGATATCCCCTTTATCATTTTTTATTGCGTCTATTTGATTCTTCTGTCTTTTCTTCTTTATTAGTCTTGCTAGTGGTCTATCAATTTTGTTGATCCGTTCAAAAAACCAGCTCCTGGATTCATTAATTTTTTGAAGGGTTTTTTGTGTCTCTATTTCCTTCAGTTCTGCTCTGATTTTAGTTATTTCTTGCCTTCTGCTAGCTTTTGAATGTGTTTCCTCTTGCTTTTCTAGTTCTTTTAATTGTGATGTTAGGGTGTCACTTTTGGATCTTTCCTGCTTTCTCTTGTGGGTATTTAGTGCTATAAATTTCCCTCTACACACTGCTTTGAATGTGTCCCAGAGATTCTGGTATGTTGTGTCTTTGTTCTCGTTGGTTTCAAAGAACATCTTTATTTCTGCCTTCATTTCGTTATGTACCCAGTAGTCATTCAGGAGCAGGTTGTTCAGTTTCCACATAGTTGAGTGGTTTTGAGTGAGGTTCTTAATCCTGTATTCTAGTTTGATTGCACTGTGGTCTGAGAGACAGTTTGTTATATTTCTGATCTTTTACATTTGCTGAGGAGAGCTTTACTTCCAAGTATGTGGTCAATTTTGGAATAGGTGTGGTGTGGTGCTGAAAAAAATGTATATTCTGTTGATATGGGGTGGAGAGTTCTGTAGATGTCTATTAGGTCCGCTTGGTGCAGAACTGATTTCAATTCCTGGGTATCCTTGTTAACTTTCTGTCTTGTTGATCTGTCTAATGTTGACAATGGGGTGTTAAAGTCTCCCATTATTAATGTGTGGGAGTCTAAGTCTCTTTGTAGGTCACTTAGGACTTGCTTTATGAATCTGGGTGCTCCTGTATTGGGTGCATATATATTTAGGATAGTTAGCTCTTCTTGTTGAATTGAGCCCTTTACCATTATGTAATGGCCTTCTTTGTCTCTTTTGATCTTTGTTGGTTTAAAGTCTGTTTTATCAGAGACTAGGATTGCAATCCCTGCCTTTTTTTGTTTTCCATTTGCTTGGTAGATCTTTCTCCATCCTTTTGTTTTGATTCTATGTGTGTCTCTGCACGTGAGATGGGTTTCCTGAATACAACACCCTGATGGGTCTTGACTCTTTATCCAATTTGCCAGTCTGTGTCTTTTAATTGGAGCATTTAGTCCATTTACATTTAAAGTTAATATTGCTATGTGTGAATTTGATCTTGTCATTATGATGTTAGCTGGCTATTTTGCTCGTTAGTTGATGCAGTTTCTTCCTAGCCTCGATGGTCTTTACAATTTGGCATGATTTTACAGTGGCTGGTACCGGTTGTTCCTTTCCATGTTTAGTGCTTCCTTCAGGAGCTCTTTTAGGGCAGGCCTGGTGGTGACAAAATCTCTCAGCATTTGCTTGTCTGTAGAGTATTTTATTTCTCCTTCACTTATGAAGCTTAGTTTGGCTGGATATGAAATTCTGGGTTGAAAATTCTTTTCTTTAAGAATGTTGGATATTGGCCCCCACTCTCTTCTGGCTTATAGAGTTTCTGCCGAGAGATCCACTGTTAGTCTGATGGGCTTCCCTTTGTGGGTAACCCGACCTTTCTCTCTGGCTGCCCTTAACATTTTTTCCTTCATTTCAACTTTGGTGAATCTGACAATTATGTGTCTTGGAGTTGCTCTTCTTAAGGAGTATCTTTGTGGCGTTCTCTGTATTTCCTGAATCTGAATGTTGGCCTGCCTTGCTAGATTGGGGAAGTTCTCTCGGATAATATCCTGCAGAGTGTTTTCCAACTTGGTTCCATTCTCCCCGTCACTTTCAGGTACACCAATCAGACGTAAATTTGGTCTTTTCACATAGTCCCATATTTCTTGGAGGCTTTGTCCATTTCTTTTTATTCTTTTTTCTCTAAACTTCCCTTCTTGCTTCATTTCATTCATTTCATCTTCCATCACTGATACCCTTTCTTCCAGTTGATCGCAACAGCTCCTGAGGCTTCTGCATTCTTCACGTAGTTCTCGAGCCTTGGCTTTCAGCTCCATCAGCTCCTTTAAGCACTTCTCTGTATTGTTTATTCCAGTTATACATTCTTCTAAATTTTTTTCAAAGTTTTCAACTTCTTTGCCTTTGGTTTGAATTTCCTCCTGTAGCTCGGAGTAGTTTGATCGTCTGAAGCCTTCTTCTCTCAACTCGTCAAAGTCATTCTCCATCCAGCTTTGTTCCGTTGCTGGTGAGGAGCTGCGTTCCTTTGGAGGAGGAGAGGTGCTCTGCTTTTTAGAGTTTCCAGTTTTTCTGCTGTTTTTTCCCCATCTTTGTGGTTTTATCTACTTTTGGTCTTTGATGATGGTGATGTACAGATGGGTTTTTGGTGTGGATGTCCTTTCTGTTTGTTAGTTTTCCTTCTAACAGACAGGTCCCTCAGCTGCAAGTCTGTTGGAGTTTGCTAGAGGTCCACTCCAGACCCTGTTTGCCTGGGTACCAGCAGCAGTGGCTGCAGAACAGTGGATTTTCCTGAAACACGAATGCTCCTGTCTGATCGTTCCTCTGGAAGTTTTGTCTCAGAGGAGTACCCAGCCATGTGAGGTGTCAGTCTGCCCCTACTGGGGGGTGCCTCCCAGTTAGGCCGCTCAGGGGTCAGGGGTCAGGGACCCACTTGAGGAGGCAGTCTGCCCATTCTCAGATCTCCAGCTGCATGCTGGGAGAACCACTGCTCTCTTCAAAGCTGTCAGACAGAGACATTTAAGTCTGCAGAAGTTACTGCTGTCTTTTTGTTTGTCTGTGCCCTGCCCCCAGAGGTGGAGCCTACAGAGGCAGGCAGGCCTCCTTGAGCTGTGGTGGGCTCCACCTAGTTCGAGCTTTGTTTACCTAAGCAAGCCTCGGCAATGGCGGGCACCCCTCCCCCAACCTCACTGCCGCCTTGCAGTTTGATCTCAGACTGCTGTGCTAGCAATCAGTGAGACTCCGTGGGCATAGGTCCCTCCAAGCCATGTGCGGGATATAATCTCCTGGTGTGCCCTTTTTTAAGCCCGTCGGAAAAGCGCAGTATTGGGGTGGGAGTGACCCGATTTTCCAGGTGCCATCTGTCACCCCTTTCTTTGACTAGGAAAGGGAACTCCCTGACCCCTTGCGCTTCCCGAGTGAGGCAATGCCTCGCCCTGCTTCAGCTCGCGCATGGTGCGCTGCACCCACTGTCCTGTGCCCACTGTCTGGCACTCCCTAGTGAGATGAACCTGGTACCTCAGATGGAAATGCAGAAATCACCTGTCTTCTGCATTGCTCATGCTGGGAGCTGTAGACCGGAGCTGCTCCTATTCAGCCATCCTGTTTTTTATTGTTAAATTTTAAGAGGTCTTTGTATATTTTGGACACAAGTTATTTATCAGATAAGTGTTTTATAAACATTTTCTCCCAGTCTGTGGCTTGTATTTTTTCTCTCAAAATAGTCTTTTTCACAGAAAATAAGTTTTTAATTTTAATGAAGTCCAAAGTATCATTTTTTGTGTGTGGATTATGCTATTAGTATTGCATTTAAAACCTCATCTCCAAACCTAAGGTCATGTAGATTTTTTCTTATGTTTTATTCAAGAAGTTTTACAATTTTGCATTGTACAATTACATTTATTGTCCATTTTGAGTTAATTTTTTTGTGGGGTATATGTGGTTTTGGTGTTAGGGTAACAATAGCCTCCTAGAGTGAAGTAATAAGTATTACTTCTGCTTCAATTTTCTCAATGCTATTGTGGAAAATTGATATCATTTCTCCCTTAAATATTTGGTAAAATTCACTAGTGAAACAATTTGGGTCTGGTTATTGATTCACTTTACTTAATAGACACAGGGCTATTTATATTATTTATATCTCCTTGTGTGAATTTTGGGAGTGTCTATGATGGAATTGGTCCATTTTATCTAAATTGTCAAATTTGTAATCACAGTGTTGTTTGTAGTATTCCTCTCTTATCCTTTCAATGTCCATCCTTTATTTCTGATATTGGTAACTTTTCCTCTTCTCTCTCTTTTTTCTTGGTTAGTCTGGCTAGAAGTTTACCAATTTATTGATTTGTTCAAAGGACCAGCTTTTGGTTTGTTAGTTTTTTCTATTATTTTCCTGTTTTCAATTACATTGATTTCTGCTCTATTTTTTCCTTCTGCTTGCTTTAGGTCTGAATTCCTCTTCTTTTCTTGTTTCCTATGGTTGAATATTAAGTTATTCATTTTAGATATTTTTTATTTTCTACCATATGTAGTTAATGCTATCAAATTTCCTCTAAGCATTGCTTCAGGTACATCCCACACATTTTAATAAGTTGTATTTTTATTTTAATTTAAAGTATTTTTAAATGTTTCTTGTGACATCTTGACTCATGTGTTATATAGATTTGTGTTGTTTAGTCTCCAACTATTTGGTGATTTTCCAAGTATGTTTCTATTATTGATTTCTAATTTAATTCTATTGTGGTCTGAGAACATGCTTTGCATGTTTTCTACTCTTTTAAATTTTGAAATGTGTTTTATGGCTTAGAATGTTGGCTATGTCTGAGAATGTTCCATGTGAGCTTAAGAAGAATGTGTATTCTACTATGGTTGGATGCAGTATTCTATGAATTTCAATAGAGCAAGTTGATTATAATGCTGTTCAGGTAAACTATATTTTGTTGCTATTTCTGCCTGCTTAATCTCTCAATTACTGACAAGGGGTATTAAATTCTCCAAGCATAATAGTGAATTTATCCCTCCTTCAGTTATATGAGTTATTGCCTCATGTATTTTGATGATCTGTTTTTAGATACATACATGTTTAGAATTGTTATATCTTCTTCAAAAATTTACCCATTCATAATTACCCAGTGCTGCTCTTTATCTCTGACAATTCTCCTTGTTTTGAAGTCTGCTTTGGCTGAAGTTAATATTTTCATTCCAGTTTTCTTTCGATTAGTATGGTTTCTCTTTCTCCATTGTCCATTTCTTTAATTTTAGCTTATCGGAGTCTTTATATTTAAAGTGAATTTTATGTAAACAACATATACTTGGGTCTTGCATTTTTATCTGACAATCTCTGTCTTTTAGCTGGTATATTTAGACTACTCATTCCAAGGGATTATTCATATATTTGCTTTAACATCAACCATGTTTGTAGTTGTTTTATGCTTTCCGTTGTTTTAATTAAGTCTCTGTATTGTTCCATTTTATCTCCTCTCTTATTCACTTCTTTTTTTTTTTTTTTTTTTTTTTTTTTTTTTTTTTTTTTTTTTTGAGACGGAGTCTCGCTCTGTCGCCCAGGCTGGAGTGCAGTGGCGGGATCTCGGCTCACTGCAAGCTCCGCCTCCCGGGTTCACGCCATTCTCCTGCCTCAGCCTCCCAAGTAGCTGGGACTACAGGCGCCCGCCACTACGCCCGGCTAATTTTTTTGTATTTTTAGTAGAGACGGGGTTTCACCGTTTTAGCCGGGATGGTCTCGATCTCCTGACCTCGTGATCCGCCCGCCTCGGCCTCCCAAAGTGCTGGGATTACAGGCGTGAGCCACCGCGCCCGGCCTCTTATTCACTTCTTTAAAAAAAAAAAAAAAAAAAAAAACTGTGGTTGCCCTAAAGCTTACAATATACATTTTTAGCTAATCTGATTCCACCTTCAAATTACATGCTTCTGCTTTATGAGTGGTGCAGGTACATTGAAAAAATATTCCCAATTTCTCCCTCCCATCCCTTGTGATGTTGCTGTCATTTAATTTCTTTTATTCTATGTTATAATTACCCAGTACATTCTTACTATTATTAAATTATACAGTTACATTTTAGAATAATAAAAATGAAATATTTTATTCCATTTTCATTGATTCCTTTTTCCAAGATTCTTCATCTCTCTTTCTTTAAATAGACAAGTCTCACTTTGTCACCTAGGCTACAGTGCAGTGGTGTGACCATAGCTCACTGCAGCCTTGACCTCCCAGGCTCAAGTGATCCTCCCACCTCAGCCTCCCAAGTAGCTGGGACTACAGGTGCATGCCACCAGGCCCAGCTAATTTTTTAAAATTATCTGTAGAGATGGGGTCTTGCTATGTTGCCAAGGCTGGTCGCAAACTCCTGGTCTCAAGCAATATTCTTGCTTTGGCCTCCCAAATTGCTGGGGTTACAGGTGTGAGCCACCACACCTGGCTCTCTCTCTATATATATATTCATGTATATGTTGCTTACTGATAGTGATACATTCTGGGGAATTCACCTTTAGGCAATTTCATCGTTGTGGAAACATCACAAAATGTACTTAAACTTAGGTGATATAACCTACTACACCTACTACACATCGAGGGTGTAGGATATAGCCTATTGTTCCTTGACTACAAATCTGCACAGTATGTTAGTGTACTGAATGCTGTAGGCAATTACAACAACATGATGTTTCTATATCTAAACATATATAAACATTTAAAAAGTACAGTGAAACTATGGTACAAAAACTACCATTGGCCCCAATTACTTAATGGGACCCAGCAATCCCATTACTTGCTATATACCCAAAGGAATAGAAATCATTCTACCAAAAAGGCACCAGCATATATATGTTCATTGCAGCACTATACCCAAAGCAAAGACATGGAATCAACCTAGATGTCCATCATTGGTGGACTAGATAAAGAAAATATGGTACATATACATCATGGAATACTACACAGCTATAAAAAACAATGAAATCATGTCCTTTGCAGCAACATGGATGCAACTGGAGGCCATTATCCTAAGTGAATTAACACAGGAACAGAAAACCAAATACTACATGTTCTCACTTATAAGTGGGAGCTGCACTGAGTACATATGGACACAAAGATGGGGACAATAGACACTAGGGTCTACTTGAGGTTGGAGGGTGGCAGGGATAGTGAGGGTCAAAAAGCTACCTATCAGGTACTATGCTCACCACCTGAGTGATGAAATCATTTGTACACCAAAACCCAGTGACACACAATTTACCCCTCTAACAAACCTGCACATGTACCTCCTGAACCTATAAGTTGAAAAGAAAATACAGTATAAAAGATTTTAAAATGGTACACCTGTATAGGACACTCACCATGAATGGAGTTTGCAGGACTGGAAGTTGCTCTGGGTGAGTCAGTGAGTGAGTGGTGCATGATTCTGAAGGCATGGATATTACTATATACTACTGTACACTTGATAAACACTGTACACTTAGGCTACACTAAATTTATGAAAAAGTTATTTTTTCTTCAATAATAAACTAAATCTTAGCTTACTGTAGCTTTTTAACTTGATACACTTTTAATTTTTTTTTTTACTTTTTGGCTGTTCATATAATAATAACATAACTTAAAACATGAACATATTATACAGCTGTTCAAAAATATTTTCTTTCTCTTTATCCTTATTCTATAACCTTTTTTCTATTTTCAAAATTTTTAATTTTTTTACCTTTTAGGCCTTATTGTTAAGAATTAAAACACAAGCACGCACATTATCCTAGGCCTACACAGAGTCAATATCATCAATATCACTGTCTTCCACCTCTTGTCCCACTGGAAGGTTTTTAGGGGCAATAACAGGCATGGAGCTGTCATCTCTTATGATAATAATGACTTCTTCTGGATACTTCCTGAAGGACCTGCCTGAGGCTGTTTTAAGTTAACTTTTTAAAAAATAAGTATAAGGACTATGCTCTAAAATAACAATAAAAGGTATAGTGTAATAAATACATAAACCAGTAACATAGTCTTTTATTACTACTATCAAGTATTATATACTGGTGGCCAGGCACGGTGGCTCACACCTGTAATCCGAGCACTTTGGGAGGCCGAGGCGGGTGGATCACGAGGTCAAGAGATCGAGACCATCCTGGACAATATGGTGAAACCCTGCTCTACTAAAAATACAAAAATTAGCTGGGCATGGTGGTGCGCGTCTGTAGTCCCAGCTACTTGGGAAGCTGAGGCAGGAGAATCGCTTGAACCTGGCAGGCGGAGGTTGCAGTGAGCTGAGATCGTGCCACTGTACTCCAGTCTAGGAACAGAGCAAGACTCTGTCTCAAAAAAAAAAAAGTATTATGTACTCTACATAATTGTACACGATAGACCTTAGTACAACTGGTAACACAGTAGGCTTATTTACACTAGCTTCACTACAAACACATGAGAAATGCATTGTGCTATAACATTAGGATGGCTATGACTTCACTAGGTAATAGGAATTTTTCAATTCCATTATAAGCTTCTGGGACCACCACTGTATATGCAGTCTGTCCTTGACTGATACATCCATATGCAGTACATGCCTGTAGATTCAAGATTCTGACCTATGTTATTTCCTTCTTCCTTAAGAACTTATTTTAACATTTATTGAAGCACAGGTCTGCTGGGGATAAATTCCATCAATATTTGTTTGTCTGAGAAAGTTGTATTTGCTCCTTCACTTTTAAAGGATATTTTCATTGGGTATAGAATGCTAGATTTTTGTTTGTTTGTTTTGATTTGTTTTTTATTTTTAGAGACGGGGTCTTGCTATGTGGGCCAAGCTGGTCTTGAACTCCTGAGCTCAAGAGATCCTCCCACCTCGACCTCCCAAAGTGCTGGGATTACAGGCATGAGCCACCACACCCAGCATACTTTGTTTTTTTAATTAACAATAATTTAAATACTGCATGCCACTCTCTTCTTGCTTTCATGACTTCTGATGATAAATGTGATGTAATTCTTATCTTTACTCTTCTGTTGATATGGTGGTATTTTTCTCTGGCTTCTTTTAAGATTTTTCTTCTTTGTCTTTGATTTTCTGTGGGTTAAATATGATGCACCTAAATGCAGAGCTTTGGTTTTGGGGCTTTGTTTTTATTTATTCTGCCTGATGATCTCTGAACTTCTTGGATTGATGTAGGCCATTAACTTTGGAAAGTTCTCAGATATTATTAGTTTAAATCTTTCTTCTGTTCTGCTGTCTCTTTATTCTTCTAGTATTTCAGTTACATATATATTACATCTTGTGAAATTGCCCTATAGTTCTTGGATGTTCTGTTTTTATTGTTCTTTTTTTCTCTTTGCAATTCAGTTTGGAAGGTTGGTATTGACCTATTTTAAAGTTCACTGATTCTTTCCCCAACCTTGTTACGTTCATTCATGAGTCCATCAAAGGCATTCTTCAGTTATGTTACAGTGCTTTTATTTCTAGCATTTCTTTTGAGTTCTTTCTTAGAATTTCCATCTTTCTGCTTTTACCATCCATCTGTTCTTGTATCTAATCTTGTCTACTTTTTCCATTAGAGCCCTTTACATATTAATCATAGTAATTTTAAATTCCCTATCTGATAATTCCAAAATCTATGTCTCATGAGTCTGGTTCTGATGCTTGCTTTGTTTTTTCAAATAATGTTTTTCTTTCTCTTTGGTATGCCTTGTAATTTTTTGTTGAGTGATGGACATATCATATCAGGTAATAGGAAATGAGGTAAACAGTCCTGTAGTGTGAAGATTTATGTTACTCTGATTAGGAGTTGGGTTTTGTTTAATGTTCTCTATAGCTCCAGGGCCAGAAGCTTTAAATTCCTTAGTTTCTCATGATTTCTATTTCTCTCCCCTTGCCAGAGCCACAAGGGGATCTTTCTCAGTTCTTCACTATGAGAACCTGGTGGGTTTCCTCTAGGTCAAGTTCACAAAAGTGAAAGGGCCCCCTTAAGACCTGGGAATTTCTTCTTCTCATGCTAGTCTTATACTCAGCCTCCAGAGATTTGTCAATTTTACCATTTAAGTGTTTTTTAACATTTAACCAGTTTACAGTTTTCAACTTCTGCTCTAGGTAAGCAGATCTCATCTGTGACTCTCAGTCTCAGCATTCACCTTTCACTACAGACTTTTGGGTGGTGAATTTGCCCTGAAAAGTCAGTTTGCAGTGAAACTCTTGTGAATATACAAATCTACAGTGTCAACCAATACAGTGAACTTAACCAAGAAATTGTTCTAATAATTTTTTTCTGTTCATTAAAGCAGATATTATTCAGGCACTATTTTTAGAAATTTAGTAGGAAAATAATAATTCCTATAAAAACATATGGATGTATATTCAATTTAAATAAATCTAAATGTGCTCAGAGAGAACATTCTTTAAAGAGAAGTTTTATTACTCACCAAAGCCTGAATACAGTTTCCCTTGAGAAAAACCATGGGAATCCTATAAACTAAATGACTTCCAAAGGGCTTACCTGATCATTTCTTTCTTTCCTTTTTTTTTTTTTCTTTGAGACGGAGTCTCGCTCTGTCACCCTGGCTGGAGTGCAGTGGCACAATCTCGGCTCACTGCAACCTCTGCCTCCCAGGTTCAAGCAATTTTCCTGCCTCAGCCTCCTGAGTATCTGGGATTACAGGTGTGCACCACCACGCCCAGCTAATTTTTGTATTTTTAGTAGAGATGGGGTTTCACCATGCTGGTCAAGCTGGTCTCGAACTCCTGACCTCATGATCCGCTCGCCTCAGCCTCCCAAAGTGCTGATATTACAGGCTTGAGACACTGCACCCGGCCTTACCTGATTATTTCTAAGGCTGAATTATAAAAGAAAAAATAATACACTGTTACATATGAAAGGTGCCCCCCTTTAATAAACTAGCTTTAAGTTTATTGTGCCTTTAATTGCCATTTCACTCAATAATAAAATCAAAAGTGATAACAGAGAACAAAAAACAGTAGGCTTTTCCATTTCAGAAAATTTTCTTTTTCTTTGAACCTACTAATGAGTAGGAACTTTGGAATTATTCTGTATATGCACATGAAAAGACACCCTGGAGATGCTGTCTATGAGAGAACAATGGACATCTTGTTGACTTAACTTCCCAAGACTTCAAGGAAGGAATGAGGAATTGAAATTGCTGTTTATTCTCTATTCTATGTATTGGCTTTGAGCCACTGACAATTGAGAAAGTTACATGGATATATAATTTTTTTAATGTCTGTCTCAGCAGAAATAGAAATCAAAAAAGCAAAAGGTAGTCTGTGGGAAATAGACGCTGGGAAGGACACCTCAGGAAGATGAACCATGAACATAGCCCATGTCCACTCACCTGGGTTTCTCCTCTGCGGGCACTCTTTCTTTGCATTCGTTTATCACAAACCTTCTGCTTTCTCTGGTTGGACTCTGGAAAATGTGGCATTATCAAGTAAAATGATTTCTGGAATTTAACTATTCAACTAGAAAAGACCTCAGAGATTTGGGGGAAAAAAATCCCTTACTCATTTCTCAAAAGAGAAGCTGAAGCTCTGCAGGAGATAAATGACCTGCCCAAGATCACACAGTCAGAGCAGATGCAGGCTAACACCCTCTCTCTTTGCTGTCATCTTCTTTAGGAAGAGCAAGCCAAAAGAGAGATCAGAACTGTATGACATCTATGTAGACTTGCCTGATCCTCTAGATTTATTTTATTGGCAAAGAGAGAGGTTAGAGGGAAGCTTGAATCACTTTTCATTTCAGCGTATTCTCTTCAGTTAAGCTGTCCTTTGAGTCATGGGTTGTTTTTCTTTTGGGCCTTTAATTGCCATTACACGGCACATAAAAATAACCCAAGTTCTTAACATGCGTATTTGCAGCAAGAACACTTGATTATATCTCTTCATCAGTCCTACCTGCAGAGGCCACAGGCCTGCGCTCTGCAAGGACTTTTTCTCGCTGGGGCTTTTCTTCTTTGTGTGGGGAGTTAGTGTTTCCCTTGGTGATGGGCCAGGTGTAAACACCCTGCTTATGTAACAAGGCCCCTTTCCTCTGCAGACATGATGAGCTCTGAGGCTCTATGGCAAGACAGTGACCGCACTAACCATCCTTTGGCTGGGGTGACAGTCAGGCAGTCTCTCTATCAAGATGCTCCCAGCTCCCAGGTGATCCTGTCCCAGGACCCCAATTCAAGAGCTGGCTTTCCCTGTTTATTGCATTTGGAATCTTTCTCCTTATGGGTTTGGATGTGTCCAGCTTTTATCTTGGAAATTTTTCCGCTCTGCAGTCAATCCTCTCTCCAACTCAGTTAGTATGTGCTTTCTGCATCACCATTATTCCCTTGCTCGGCGTTTACCTCATTTTTACCTTTCTTGCTCACTTTCACTTCCTTTTAATTCTCTCACTGTTAAATTCTTTTTTAAGCTTCCCATAACCAAAATTACCATTTATTAATATTTCTCCCAGGGTCCCTTCTGCTGGCCCCTGACTGAATCCTCCTTGCTTCCTATTAACAATGCCTCCGCGCATTTCAACGTCATCTGATAGCACAAAATTACAAGCTCTTTGACACTCAAGTATTTTTTTTTTTAAATAAGACTACTTAATGAATTTTGCCTATTGCTAGACATAGAATCTGCCTGAAAAATACCAGGAAAATAAGATGAGGATGTCACTTAGCAACAAATGCCCCCTAAATTATGAACTTCAAAGAAATATTGCTTACTTTGACAATGGTTAAGCGATGCATCTGGAATCAAAGACTTAAGAAATTCCCCACCTCTGACATCAATAAGAAAAGGCTCAGGCTTCACACCTGTTGTTCCCTCTACATGGAAGGCTCTTTCTTCCACTCATGGCCTCACTATTTCCTGCTCAGACTTCAAGTGGTGAATGAATATCACTTCTTCAGGGAACTATGCCCTGACCCTCCAGTCTAAATTATATTCTTTGATTTGATCCTCACATCTGTAGCCCAAACTTCTCATCTGAATTTCCTGCTCTGATATCCAGCTGTCTGTTTGATGTCTCCATCAGGTGTCATAGACATCTTAAACTTAGCAAGTACAAACTGAATCCTTCATTTTTCTCCCTCGCACCTGTTTATACCCTGGTGTTCCCTATTTCAGTAAATGTTCTAGGTAAATGTTAACTATTTACCTAGTTACTCAAACCAGAAACCTTGGAGTCTGTCTTAGGTTGGGTTTCTTAGACACAGAGGCTCAGAAGGGGACTTCTGTCCAATTGATGCATTGCAAGGGAGCCCTCAGGAAACACCAGGCTATGCAGGAAGCCAGACAAGGCAGAAGCAAGAACGTGGCAAAAGACATGGGTGCAGCTGGAATCTAGCATCAACCTGATGCCATGGACATCTGTGGAGCATGAGCAACACAAGAGTTGGCTTACTTTGAGACAAGAAAATGGGGCTTTGTTACTCTGGTCTCAGTGAGTCATTGGTTACAAGCTTCCCACTCCCACCACTTTTCTAGGTGAGTATGCTCCATTGCCTGAGGTCAGAGAAGGAGGACGCTGGGAGCCATTAGCAAGCAACACTCATACCCACTGGGGATAGAGGCACCAGCATGGTGAAGGGGCCTGCATGGAGTCCTGACAGACCTGACTGTACCATCCTGAACTCCATTCTCTCTCTCACTGAACCACCCTCCATCCCACCAACATCACCTTAGTCCAAACCAGCTTCTCCACCTTGACTACTGTGCATTCTCTTGTCAATAGTTGTACTCCTCCTCCCTCCCACAAGAAGTAAGAAATAAAAGGATTAAGGTTGCTTTCTGAGATATAAGCTATAAGACCAATCAGAAAAGAAAAGTGGAAAGTCGCACTTGTAGGAGCAGAATGGCTTCCCTCTGCAAACTCAGACTGATCAGGTTAAGTGGACAAGCACACCCAAAGAAAGACCATTCCAAAGGAGCAGTTGTTCCTACAACTGGAAGCTACGCAAAGGGGAATAAGGGAGGGATGCACTGAGAGAGACCCCAGAAGTGTCAGTCAATGAATATCAATAATTCACATCCGATTGACAAGATAGAAATTCAAACCTCATTTTGACCTGCTGCTATTCAAGTCATCAACTCAAATCTCTCACTCCTTTGTTCTGATTCTGTGCTCACCAAGTATCTGGAAAGCATAGAGAATTTGAGTAGTTCTACGTCAGTGAAGTTTTTTTTCTCACTGCAAATAATAAATGGGCATTCCAGCCTCATACATCAGTATCTTGATTCAAAAAAGCCAGCCAGTGGTGAGTTTCACAGCCTGCATGTCTAAGAGCCAAGACCCTGGACCATGACACATTTACCAAGTTGTATGAAAGATTGCATTTTCAAAAAAAAAGAAAAGAAAAGAAAAGAAAAGATAAAATGGCCACAGCAAGATCTCTGGTTCCACATGGTCTTCCAGAACTTTTCCATTCCTCCATCAAGAAATGAGAGTCCATTTCCTCTCCTCTTGAATCTGTGTGGGCTTTCAAGACTGCTTTCATGAATAGAGTACAGCACAAGTGATTCTGTCTAAATAAAGGCTAGAAAGCAATATGGCTTCCACTTGGCCCTCGCTCTTTTGGGATGTTTACCTTTTGAATTTGTCGCCATGTTACAAGAAAGTACAGGACAAGGATATGAGTAGGTGTCCTGGAAGAGAGCCCCAACTAAAATCCTAGCCACCAGCTACCATCAACTGCCAATCATGTGAGTGAAAGAGTCTTCATATGATTATAGCCCCAAGCTTATAGCTACCCAATGGATGGGGAGTGTAGAACAGATGAACTGTCCTCACCTAGCCATAGCCAAATTGCAGATTCATGAGAAAAATAAATGCTGTTGTTGATTTAAGCCACTAAGTTTTGGGGTGGTTTTCATGTGACAATAGATAAACAGACAGAAAGCAGCCTGTCTAATATTAGCAGATGGGCCTAACATTGCCATGCAACTACACGAATCTTTTTATTCATTCTTTATGTTCCTAGTTACTATGGTTCTTGGTTTCCACTCTCTGACATGGGATATTCATACCTGCTCAAGACTAGTCTTACATGCTGGTTGACTCTACTCATTCCTGTGGCTCCTGTGCCCAAATATGAAACCTGGCACCATCTATAGCCTTGCCTGGGTTCTTCTCTCATGCTCCATTTTATTAATTTATGCATATTCCTGAGTACAACTTTTCTATTTATCCTCATTCCCTTGATGATTTCACTCAGTCACATAGATTTAATACCATTTTTATGCTGTAGACTGTAACATTTTTATCCCCAGCCTGAATCTTACCCTGAACCCAAAACCATACTGCTTACTGGATCTCTACACCTAGATGAATAACGGACAGCTCAAACTTAGTTTCCAAAACTGACCTCTTGATCTCCTACCACCCCAAAAATGTTTCCCTCAATCTTTCTCATCTCAGTAAACGGCAAGTCCATATTTCCAGATTGAAAATCCTAGACTCATACTCTCTACCTCCAAGCTACCAGAAAGTCTTCCATAGCATTATCTTTAAAATATGTTCGGAATCTAACCACTTCATATCACCTTCTTGGTCACCATCCTGACCCAAGCTACTATCATCCCCCACCTAGATTATTGACATTGCCTCTCAGGTGGCCTCCTTGCCTTCATCTTTGCCCCCCACGCTGTGATCTATTTCCATCGCAGTGGTCTGATCACACTTCTTCAACCAAATCCTACCTTACTAAGGATTAAAGCTAAAGACTTTTTAATGGCAAATAAGTTATTACATGATCTAGCTCCCTATTTTCCCTCAGACCTTATCTCTTACCACTTTCTTTCTAGATGACTATGCTGAAACCACACTGACCTTCTTGCTGCTCTTCAAATATGTTCTGCTGCTTTCCACCTGAGAACTTTTGCATTTGCTCTTTCCTCTACTGGAAATGCTTTCTCCCCATGTATCCACATGGATCAAACCAGGAATGCTGTCTCCCCATTTGTCCACATGGATCAAACCTTCTCCTCAAGGCTTTGCTCAATATCACCTTTAGGGCTTTGCTCAATATCACCTTCTTAATGAGGCCTTTCCTAACCATCCTTCCTGAAATTGCACTTGCAGCCCAGCCTATCCATGCCCCACCCCTACTTTACTTTTCTCAAGGGTCCCAACCACCATCTGACAGTCTGTATGTTGTATTTGTTTGTTTATTACCTGACTCCACGTGCTACTATATAAGTTCCACAAGACAGGGAGTTTTATGTATTTTGTCCACTATTGTGTCCCCATGGCCTAGAACAGTGTCTGGTATATAGCATACTCTCAGTAAATGTTTGTTGAATGAATTAACTGTTGCCCAATACTGATGACTTCCAGATTTCCAGCTACAGCCAAAAACACTCTTACATTTTAGACCTACATATCCAGCCACCTAATAAACATCTCAAATTTGAAGTTCCAAAGGCACTTTAAACGTTACAAGATCAAAACTGAACTTGTCTTCTCTGTTTTAGATCTGCTTCTATCACTGTATTCACTCTGTGAGTGAATGATGTCACCCTCTGCCAAGTTTCTCAAACCAGAAACCTTGGAGTCCATGCCAACAACCACACTGTCTCTACTCCCCTCATCCAATTGGGTGCTAAGAACCTGTCTTTTGAATCATCTTCTCTCACTGCTCTGCTTTAATCATTTCTCACCTAAATAATTACAGAGGCTTCCTCCAAAGCACACTCTTGGTCCACAGGATTGCCCCTTCTGCTACCCTTCCAAGTATCTCCACAGTGATATAACTTAAAGGCAATATAATCAAACCATCTCTCTCTTCAGAAGTCATGACTGGCTCCTCCATCTTCTAGATATTTAAGCCTGCAATTATTAGCATGGGGTTAAGGGGATCATCTTTCTATTCTAGCCTGATCTTCTGTCCCCTTCCCTTTTCAGTACTCCCACCTGGCTGCACTCTTTTAGGTTTCCCAAGCACAACCCTCCTTCCCAGGCTGCCTTTATTTCTGCATTCTCCCCATCTGTCTAAAAAAGCCCAGATCATATGTCACATCTTTAAGAACGTTAACTCTCCCACCATGGAATATCAATGGCTCTTTATCTGTACCTTCCTTTAGGTACTCACTGTCATGGCTGTTCCTGTGTTCCTCGGGTCAGGGAGACAGATCCTCCACTTTCTCTCAGAGTGCCCTGACCCCAGCCAATGCTGTGACCTTGAATAAATGGGAGCTCAGTGAGAACCTATGAAATGAATGAATGACCTCCACAGTCCCAGGCATTGAATTCCATGCAGCTACTTTTAGTCACCAAATCTATCTTACCAGTCCCACTTTTTATCTCATTCTGTTCCCTCTCTCCATTCATTTAAAGAGTACTAGCATTACACTATGCAGTTTGCATCCAAAGAATCACAGGAGGTTCAGACAATATAAGAAACCAATTGCATCTGAATCCTCAGAACAAAATATTCATCCATTTAGAGTCAAGTTGGAAGGTCAAGTCTCTCTCTCACACACATATACATATGTGTATACAAATTATATAATAATATAGGTGTGTGTGTGTGTGTGTGTGTGTGTGTGTATGTATTACATGAGCCAATTGAGTTTATGTAATTATGAATGCAGGCAAATCCCAGGATCTGCAGTATGAGTTCGAAAGCTGGAGACCCTGGAGAGTCAAAGGTTTAGTTCCAGTCTGAAGGCCAGGAAGCTCAAGACTCAGGAGGAGCTGCGGTTTCAGTTCAAGTCCAGAAGCAGGAAAATTTCTCTTACTTGGGAGAAGATTTGCCTTTTGTTCTACTCAGGCTTTCAATTGATTTGATGAGACCCACCCACATGAGGGAGGACAATCTCCTTTCCTCAATCTGCTGGTTTAAATGTGAGTAGTAATACCCAAAAACATCTTCACAGAAATGCCTGTAACGATGTTTACCAAATATCTGGGCACCATGGCTCAGCCAAGTGGACACACAAACTGTCACAGAGGGCAAGTGTACTACACTCCTTGGATCCCTTTTTACTAGTTTTGTGAGCCCTTCCCTTGGCTTCCTAGTGTTTGGGTTCCAATGGCTTGCATCTGTGCCTCTCTTCAAGGCACTCCCTGAGACTACTGGCACCACACTGCACACATGGAGCAGAAAGGCAGCAAGCACAGAGAGCAGGGGGTTCCATGGAAATTATCTTCCTCACGGTAGCCCTGGCTGATGACTGACTAACTGATGGTGCAGGAATATGGAAGCCCAGCACCCTTATTTCCAGTTGGGACTTTATTCACTCACTTACTGTGTCCTTCTGGGATTTTTTTTAATATATATAAAACATTGCACATGAATTCTTATTTCAGGTTCTGTTTCTTATGGAAACTGGCCTAAGTAAGCAACCTTTCTCATAGTACCTTGTTGGCTTTGATAAGTGTTGTTTTTTTCTTCCTGAAGTCAATCCCTACTCAGAGTTCAAGGAGACCATCTAAAATTTCCTAAAGCTTTTGCATCATCAAGTGGTCTATTAAAAGCCTCCTTTCTGTTTGGAATCACTAAGAAGCAAACTTCTGAGTTAGGAAAGTGTGAGCTCTGGAATCACACCTAGTTCTGGTCTCCTGTGGGCACACAAAAAAAAGAGTCAACCTTGCTGCAATGTCCTGAGGGGAAGATATTGCCTTTCCTTCAAACCTTCCAGAATGAGAATTTGGAGCAGCCTGCCATTTGCTGAACTGCATGCTTTACTGTAAAATGAGAGCACAGGAAGAAACCAGCTCTAATAATAATAAGATCCATTTAGCATTTAATCTACACACATGCTGATTTATATTATAATTGCAAGTTGCTAGAGAGGTATGTCTCCCTTCCCAGAGCCCCCAGTGACTGCAAAAGGTAATTACCAAAATGGCACAAGTCTGCTTATCATGTGGAAGCCTCATGTTTTTTGAAATAACTTAACCCTGGGTGTCACTGAGCTTTCCCTGAAGAGAATTGGGAGCAGGAAATCCACTTCAATGAGTGAGATATTCCTTTTTCTTCTTGTAATATATGAACTTATTTTAATCACTTTTCTGCTTTTTTCAGTACAAGTAGGTAACCAGGAGAGTGGGAAATATAGTCCTTTAAAAAACCTGATGATAAACACTGTCAAAGAAAGTCCTTTAGAAAATGGCTGCAGGATGTTCTTGTTTGTTTTGTTTTGTTTTTGATACGGAGTCTCACTGTGTTGCCCAGGCTAGAGTGCAGTGGTGCAATCTCGGCCTCCTGAGTAGCTGGGATTACAGGCACCCACTACCACGCCCGGCTAATCTTTGTATTTTTAGTAGAGATGGGGTTTCACCATGTTGCTCAGGCTGGTCTTGAACTCTTGGCCTCTGGTGATCCACCCGCCTAGGCCTCCCAAAGTGCTGGGATTACAGGTGTGAGCCACCACGCCCGGCCAGTATGTTCTTGAAACCAAGGCATTTCAGGGTATTTTCTGCTACTCGAGAATTCTGGCCATCAGGCTATGGAACGTTGAGCATGGTTGCACACACTCACATGCACTCACGCGTACACACACTTTCATAGAGTTATTACTTTTTTAAAGTCTAATGCCTAGAGTGGTCTGGAATGAATGCTGACATACTGTGAGAAATAAAGAATGAGACCGGACCCACGAGTAACCAAATGAGCATTTCACCAGTCAGAGTGAGTGACCAAAGGACAGCTAAGACCGTTGCATTCCACCTTCCCCTCTGGCCAAGTTTGCTTCCCAATCTAAGTTTGGCTTCTCGGTCTTCCCTGACCTTCACTATCAAACCAAGTCTTCACAGGAGATGAAACACCTTTCTGTGAAACACAGTAGATGTTCACCAGGTAGATGCAGGGAGAGGGATTGCCAGCCAAAGCAGCAGCAATGAAGTCACGGGGCTGGGAATGGAGCCACATGTTGGGGAGTTATAATTAGTTCATTACTCTAAAAAATAGAGTTACTCAACTCAAAAAAAAAATAAGGATGGACAGATAGACCAAGTTCACCTCAAGAGGAATTCATATGTTAGGTAGGAGTTTGAAATTAAATAGCTATCAAAGGTTTCAATCAAGGAGGTGATACGATTCCATGATGTTGATAGAAGCTCATTTGGGCAGCAGTGTGGACAATGACCAGATGGATCAGTAATGGAGGCAAAAACACTAGACAGAGCTGTTGTGATGTAAGTGTCCAGGTCAGAGGGTAAGAGCCAAAATATAGGATGAGAAGAGAGGGTGGATCACAGTCCCATTGGTTGGTAGAACTGGCAGGAAGAAAGGGTTTCTAGTGGATATGTCATTGTGCGTACACATGGTGCTGTGGCAGTCGTCTACAAAGCCGGTCTCCTGGGACCTGTCCTCATCTCTGAAATGAGGGCCAGTTTTGTTATGGGTGCTCACTAATTACTTGCTAACTCATTTGATCTGACATTCATCCCTCATCTCAACCATTCTTCAGGAGATGCCCTTACAGTCAGTAAAATGATGAAACAGCGAATAATGTAACTTCAGTGAGTCTCCTAATTTTTTTGAATCTCCGTTTCTACATTTATAAAAGGAGGCTAAGCAAGAATCCTTACTGATCGCTTCCAGCTCAAGTACTCCAAGTCAGCCAGTTCTCAGGAGAGTGAGCTGGCAGCTGCCTCCTGGGGGAATATTGTTGGAATTCTTGAGAGATGATCAGGCTGGGGGAGCATCTCCCCACAGCTCCCCTCCAAACCCAGGGTTAACCAAGAGACAGCTACACTTAAGAACTGTATTTGTATTATTCACAGGCACTGAAACAGTCATTGTTTTGGCAATTCCCTTTAGTGGAGGAAATAAAATGAGCCATATTGTGGGGAAGGTGGGGCTGTGTTTCCAAGGTAAGCTTGCTGGTAGTATAAAATTGTGTTTTTATTTAAAGTGAATTTCCAGTTGGCTGAATTTATGCTGCCTTTGATGCCTACTCAGTGCTTTGAATACAACCTGCTTGTCCTCGCTTTGTTTTCCCCACGCCCTGAGAGGGGATCCCTAGATTGCTGATTAAAAGCTATTCAGCAACAGCCTGCAAGTGCTACACCGATAACATTATCTTTACTGATTCATCAGGGCTGCCCTGGTGCAGGTGGGAGACTGTGGCTGAGTCTCTCCAGACAAGTGTTGTCAGCTCTGGCTTGAGCCTTCAGAATCTTGTGGACAAAGAACCTTAAGGGAGGACAGAAAGTTTCCGAGGGCGGTCTTGTCCCAGACTTCACCCTTGCTTGAATCACCTTCCCATTTTGTACTTGGCTCACCAGAGCACTGCTTTCCCTTGTCAATTCCGTGAAGTGAGTAGGAGGCTCTATGGTGAACACTGTGTGCTCCTGCTTTGAAAGAGAAAGAAGTGAGAGGTTCTGTACAGTTCTGCAGGGATTTCAAAGCTAACACTTGATGACTGTGTTAAGGGAAGGCAGGGCTCACATGCAAGTGAGCCCTCAGGGCTAGAATTTCCCTTGATCGAAGTGCTGGCCTGAAAAGACCACTGGACTCAGAAGCTTTGCTTCCAACTTCATAGCTCCTTCATCTATAAAATCATGGAGAAACATTACTTAATCTCCACTACCTCTTACAGGTCTGAGTCTTTTAGAAGCATACCCCTAGTAATTAATAGTCCTCGTTCTTGATTGGTGAAGTGAGCACAGAAGCCAAGGGAGAAATACATGAGTGCCCTTGGGTCCTTCTACCTCCATGCTTTAATCATGCTCATGGATAGGAAGAATCAATATCGTGAAAATGGCCATACTGCCAAAGTAATTTATAGATTCAGTGCTATCCCCATCAAGCTGCTATTGACTTTCTTCACAGAATTAGAAAAAACTACTTTAAATGTTATATGGAACAAAAAAAGAGCCTGTATAGCCAAGACAATCCTAAGCAAAAAGAACAAAGCTGTGAGCATCATGCCACCAGACTTCCAACTATACTACAAGGCTACAGTAACCAAAAGAGCATGGTACTGGTACCAAAACAGATATATAGACCAATGGAACAGAACAGAGGCCTCAGAATGTCACACATCTGCAACCATCTGATCTTTGATCAACTTGACAAAAACAAGCAATGGGGAAAGGATTCCCTATTTAATAAATGATGTTGGGAAAACTGGCTAGCCATATGCAGAAAACTGAAACTGGATCCCTTCTTTACACCTTATACAAAAATCAACTCAATATGCATTAAAGACTTAAACATGAGACCTAATACCATAAAAACCCTAGAAGAAAACCTAGGCAATACCATTCAGGACATAGGCATGGGCAAAGATTTCATGACTAAAACATGAAAAGCAATGGCGACAAAAGCCAAAAGTGACAAATGGGATCTAATTAAACTGAAGAGCTTCTGCACAGCAAAAGAAAATGTCATCAGAATGAACAGACAACCTACAGAATGGGAGAAAATTTTTGCAGGTGGATATCTGACAAAGGGCTAATATCCAGAATCTATAAGAACTTAAACAAATTTATAAGAAAAAAACAAACAACCCCATCAAAAAGTGGGCAAAGGATATGAACAGACACTTCGCAGAAGAAGACATTTATGCAATCAACAAACATGAAGAAAAGCTCATCATCATTGGTCATTAGAGAAAATCAAAATCAAAATCAAATGAGATACCATCTCATTTGAAATCAAAACCACAATGAGATACCATCTCACACCAGTTAGAATGGTAATCATTAAAAAGTCAGGAAACAACAGATGCTGGAGAGGATATGGAGAAATAGAAACACCTTTACATTGTTGGTGGGAGTGTAAATTAGTTCAACCATTGTGCAAGACAGTGTGGCAATTCCTCAAGGATCTAGAACCAGAAATACCATTTGACCCAGCAATGTCATTACTGGGTATATACCCAAAAGATTATAAATCATTCTACTATAAAGACACATGCACACGTATGTTTATTGTGACACTATTCACAATAGCAAAGACTTGGAACCAACCCAAATGCCCATCAGTGATAGACTGGATAAAGGAAATGTGGCACATATACACCATGGAATACCATGCAGCCATGAAAAAGGATGAGTTCATGTCCTTTGCAGGGACATGGATGAAGCTGGAAATCATCATTCTCAGCTAACTAACACAGGAACAGAAAACCAAACACTGCACGTTCTCACTCATAAGTGGGAGTGGAACAATATGAACACATGGACACAGGGAGGGAAACATCACACACTGGGACCTGTCGGGGGTAGGGGGCTAGGGGAGGGATAGCATTAGGAGAAATACCTAATGTAGATGACAGGTTGATAGGTGGAGCAAACCACCATTGCACATGTATACCTATGTAAAAAACCTGCATGTTCCGCACATGTATCCCAGAACTTAAAGTATAATTTTTTTGAAAAAAGAGCTCTCTAAGGTGCTGAGGAGCTGGAGGAACCAAAATAATTTATCTTGCAAACAGGGAAACTTCAGAAAATGAAAAGTTGTGCTCTTAATATTTCCGCCAGGACAACAGGCCTGAACTAGAACAACGCAATGAACAGTGTCTTTGAGTACAAAACTGCTTATTACTAATATATGAACATTCTCACTGAGGCTTCTTCACAGTTTGTACCTGAAGAACAGAAATGATGATTACATGGAGAACCTTGTTCTGACCCCTAAGATGAAGTGGGTGGGTTTTGATTTCTTGTTACCAAGGTAACCTCTTTCAATGAGCCTTGAAAAGATAATTACTCAGTGTGAAGACTTTTGCTTTGCATGGCACACCAATACAGTTCACAGACAATCATTTACATAAGAAACAACCGGCACACACAGATTCACCTTGATTTTATGAAGTGCAACTATTCGGAGCATAAACATATATCTATAAAAGAACTTAATCAGCATTAATTTATAAGTATCTCATCTTAACATTTAAGATAAGTTTTTAGAGCTCTAAGGATTCAAAACAACAAGCTTGCCCAATTTCCCCATTTTATAAATGATACCGGGGCCTAAAAATTAAATTATAAGCCCAATAATCTCAGAGCATATTAACAGCAGAAATGGGACTAAAAATTAGGTTTCCTGACTCCTGGTCCAGTGTTCTTCTCATCACTTTGTGTATTTTTTATAGCTCTCCACCAATGAGGCAGACTATATTTTTAAAATATTATTTTTAGTTATTTCAGGTAGAAATTAGTAATTGACAACACTTCAAAAATAAAGAGAAGCTCAAATTACAATAAAATATCATGTAGTCTTTCCATCCATAAATAGCCATGTTAATTTTCCATATACATCCAGGCACCTTTCTACAGATGGATCCTATATTTTTAAAAAAGGAAGAGAGATCACATTGTACTGTATTTTAACCTACTTTTTTCCTTTAATATTTTATTGTAAATATGAGTTCCATGTCATTAAACTTGCATTTGTGGCAGCATCTTGCTGACATAGTTTATTTCCCATCGCAGTAAATTTTACACATGCAGACTCAGTGAAATTGAATCTCAAATTGGGCCTACCCTGAATTTTTTATGCCCAAAAGTCAGCCTCAATTTGCTCCAGACACAACTCTAGTAAATCTTGGAATCCAAAAAGAGAAAAACTGTCTTAGTCACGGCCTAAGGAAAAACAGTGAAACCCACAGCTCTTAGACAGCGGGAAAATTGCTCAGTGCTGTTTATAAGAGAAATGCATATTAAAATTGCAATTACCGTTTTTCTATTATTAAATTGGAAAAGGTCAACAAGCCTGACAACACATTGTATGAGAGAGCACGCAGCGTGGGGGGAAATCAGCACTCTTATGTATTGCTGTGGGAAAAAAAATCAATACAGCCTCTATGGAGAGAAACTGAGCAAAATCTATTAACATTACAAGTACAAACATCCTTCAATTCAGCAATATCTTTCTAATTCTAGGAAATATTACTCATATTTATCTTCCAAAGTGCAAAATGATATGTGCTTGAAGTTAATGATTGCATCACAGTTTCTAATCAAGAAAGACTGAAATTATCTTAAATACCTATAAATAGGGGATTGGTGGGCTTATCCATAGAATGCAAAACCATGTAGCCACAAAGAATGTGGCCTTTTGCATACTCATATAAGGCAAATTCCAAGAATTAATGTTAAGTGGGAAAAGTAGAAAAGCAGGAAAATGCACAGTGTGTTGCCATTTATGTAAGATAAGAAACGCATTAAATATCTCAAGAATACACAAGAGTCTCCTTTGTCATCCAGAATCTTGGGCACCATGGAAACTGATATCCTTGAACACGCAGAAACTTGGGTTCAAGTTTTGGCAAATCTCTACTGATTAGCAGCAAACAAGTTGTGTTTCTCATGTCACTTTTGTTGTTTATTGTTTATACAATAGTCTGCCTTTTCTCTTCTCTCTCCTTTTTCCCTCCTATGGGTGGCTGCTTTCCTCATCAAGGAGATTGGTCAAATTCAATAGTGTTTAATAAAAGCTAGAAAGTGGTAATTTCTGTGTGAGCATAAGACTGTGATTCTCCAGTTCAACACTTGCATTTGTCCTTTTATAAACAAACCTTTTGACCTGAGCCCTAAATTAGCCCACCGGGCTCCAAACAAATAACGAGGTTGAAAACAAAGGGGAGGTTACTGTCATAATCTTCTCAATTGCTGCTCATTACTGGACATCAGGGACTTGGACAAATATGTTCTGCAGATAGAGATTGAGTAACTGAGACTGGAACCCTGGACTTAGAACCTTGCTACATCCTGGGGATAATGAGCCAAGTGCCTTCCCTAATGCCTTTCATAGCCACACATAGATGTTTTCCAAGCATGTTCTGAACTTTAAAGTGTAAAGCGTTAGGTCTCCTGTTATAAGAAAGAATCCAACTGGCTGCAGCCAGTGACTGTCAGCTCCGTTCTGCAAAAGGATGGTCCATGAGTCAGGGCATCAGGCCTGTTGCTATCCTTCTCTAGTTATCATGGCTTTGTCTGCTTTCTTTACATCATCATTCTTGTAGCACATAATTTGATGTCTTCCACACTTTCATATCTTGTGCTAGAAGTATAAGAAAAACAGATTATACCTTTAGATAGCTCCGCCAGCTTTTCAGAGCTTTAGTGATCTTGAAGTCTATTCTGTTTGATTTTTTAAAAAAATGTTTGTACTTCTATGTGTCCATGAATTGCTGAGGGCAAGAAACTCAAAACCCAAGTTCTCCCAGATAAAGGTTCGCATTATTCTTTGTGCCACCTGATGTCCTGGCAGATACTGTCAGGATCCCTTTCATAACCTCACAGCACTCACCTTTACAAAATGAAAGCAAATACCAGTGATTCTCTGCCTGAGAAGTTTCTCTTGCCTGTGTATAAGGAAAACCAAAGCGTCAGTTATCTCCAGAAGCGGTCTCTAACCAATGATGAACAGGAAGTTGGGTCCTAACGATCTCAGTTTCCTCATTCTTCATTTGTGATTACTTAGGCATGTTCTACACCATCTCCCAGAGTTCTCCACTGAATTACACTCCAGTTGTCCAAAGTGGGAACCTGCTGGATCATACACATTTTTACAAATGCAGCAGAGATGAATGAGATAGTGAGAGTTTCCTTTCCAGTAATGAGATAATAAAATATCAGAAGAAATCCTAGTTAATAATACACATCTCAACCAATACTGGATTTTTTAAGCAATTTTTTTGTAAAATCTATGGACAAACTAGCCAGTGAAAAAATAAGACAATTCCTTAAAAAGTGGAAATAAAGAAAAAGCCAAATTCAAAGAAGTAAACAGTGCTGGAACTAGCATTCTCTCTATGTGTCTCTGATCTCAGGCACTCTCAACCTTGAATTTTAGTGAGACATGATGGGGAACAGAAAACAAAACTCGGACCCAAACTGGGTGGGAGTCCTGAAAAAATATTCAACATAAAGCTGCGACCTTCAAGAGATAATGCTCTCAGGTGTAGACAAAGAAAAAACCCTTCCAAGAGGAGAGAGGATGTTGATCCATTCATGTCTCATGTCTTGGCCTTGGTGATGGGAGAAACATTAATAATAATAACTTTTTAAATAAACTTCCTTAGAAATCTCTGACCATAACTACCACCACCAGGTTGAGGGCAGAATTTCCTTAACCTATGAGTTCTGAAATAATCCAAGCCCTGACTGTAAATTAAAGTGTTCCTGGGTTAGTAGTATGTGTAAGAAACCAGCAGAAACAATTGCACATCCTTTTTAGAGGACTATCATCTTGACTCAAAACTCCAAAGCATTCCTAGAGACAAAGCTCCAAGAAAAATGAGCTCACAATCAAATATCACCACACACGGAAAACAAGGTAACGTGAGTGACAGGAAAGACAACAAGATAATCATACTGGCAATGACTACAGATATTGGAATTAACAGAACACAAAATAATTACGGATGGGCAGATATAAAAGCATTGGAAATATGATGAAGGAATAAAAAACACCCAACATTGACCAGGTATTTTTGAAAAAGAAACAAATAGAACTTCTGAAGAAAACTGTCAGAATTAACATCAGAAGTTCCATGGATGGGGGAAGCAGCAGGTTAGAGACATCTGAGATGAGAGCCCATGCATGAATGGGAAAGTGGATCTGAAAAAAAGTACAAGGAGATATATGGAAAAATGCAGTGCAGAGAGACGACAGGAAGGAGCATAGGATGAAGAAGTCCAACATGTGTAATCAAGGTTTCAGAAAGAAAATCAAGAGGCAGTGGGCCAGAAGCAATAACTGAAGAGATAATGCCTGAGAAATTTCCAGAACTGCCTGCTGAAAGGATTACATTATTCCTCAGATGCAGAAACCGTATTGAACCCAATGAGCAGAAATAAAAAGAAACTCATAAGTAGACATATCCCTGTAAAATTATATAATAACATATTTTTATTTTTAAAAAATCTTAGAAATAGCCAGAGAAAAAGACAAATATATGAAACTAGAAAGAAAGCTGCTGTGTCAATGACAGCCAAAGGCACAGGACTGTGGAATACAATTTCAAAGTGCTAAGAGAAAAATAACTGTGAGCATAGAATTGTACAGCTAGCAAAGATAAACTTGCAGGGGGCAGTGGAAATAAGGTTAAAGACATTTTCAGACAACCAAACTGGAGACTATTTTGCTAAAAGATTTTTACTACAGAAACCTCAAAAAGAAAGAAAATGATGCCTGGAAAATCTAAGACACAAGAAGGAATGGTAAACAAAGAAAATGATAAGCATGTCATAGTAAATGTTTGGGGTTAAAAAATAAAGTTGAATTGAAATCCTTGACAGCAATAGTACAGAAACTAGGAGCTGGTGAATGGAAGTAAAACATTCTACAATAAAATCTTATTTTGTTTGTGAGAAGCCTAAAGATTATGCTGAATCTTAGATCTTGTTAAACTTACATTCAATAGGTGTAGCATTTTCGAGGGGGCATGCAGAAGCCTTCTGAGAATGGGGGTACTCTGTTTCTTGATCTACATGCTGGCTATAGGAGGGTGTTCATTTGTGAAAAGTCAGTAAGCTGCACACTTGTAAGATATGCATTTTTTCTATATGTAAATTATACTGTAGTAAAAATTCAAAACATAAAAGAGAAATCACTAGGGTGACCATTTAAGTAATAGACTTAAGTAACAGGACTTACTGTTATATACAGGGTATATAAATAGGATATACAACTTCAAAACCAGGAGAGGAAATAAGTGAATTAGAGAAACACACACCAGATCCAAAAGAAAATTAAAAAGTTAAAAGGTCAAGTAAAATAAAAAAAGAAAAAATGAAAAGGGCCAAATTTTAAAAATACATAAAAGTGTATCCAAATATATCTGCAGTCATAATCAATATAGATTTGTTAAATGACACAAATTTACGGTCTGGATCTTTTCAAATGTGAAGAAAATGGTATAATAAATACTTAAAACAAATGATGAGATACCATAAGAATACCAACTAAAGAAGAGTTAGTGCAGGTATTAATAGTAAGCAAAATAGACTTTCTAGACAAAGCATTAGAAGTGTTAAAGTGAGGCACTAAAAACTGATAAAGATTTCAGTGCACAAAAGCATTACAGGAATTCTAAATTTCACAATAATGATATTATAGCTACTAAAATAAATATATTCACCCTAAGACTGGAAAAAATGATAAAGCCACCATTCTAGTAGGAGCTACTTAATTCTTCCTTCTCTGTAATTGAATGAAAGAAGATTTTTTAAAAGGCACAGGATAAAGATTTGAACAATGGCAGAAATCAAAACTTCCTCTTTAAAAAATACCATCCTTCCTCCAAAGGACATGAACTCATCCTTTTTTATGACTGCATAGTATTCCACGGTATATATGTGTCACATTTTCTTTATCCAGTCTATCATTGATGGGCATTTGGGTTGGTTCCAAGTCTTTGCTATTGTGAATAGTGCTGCAATAAACATGCATGTGCATGTGTCTTTATAGCAGAATAATTTGTAGTCCTTTGGTCATCTACCCAGTAATGGGAGTGTTTCTGGTTCTATATCCTTGAGAAATTGCCACACTGTCTTCCACAATGGCTGAACTAATACACTCCCACCAGCAGTGTAAAAACGTTCCTATTTCTCCACATCCTCTCCAGCATCTGTTGTTTCCTGACT
The DNA here is from genome assembly GCF_000001405.40 of Homo sapiens. Classification (NCBI taxonomy): domain Eukaryota; kingdom Metazoa; phylum Chordata; class Mammalia; order Primates; family Hominidae; genus Homo; species Homo sapiens. Next base: position 17,146,842 of record NC_000020.11, read on the forward strand.
TTTTAATGATCGCCATTCTAACTGGCATGAGATGGTATCTCATCGTGGTATTGATTTGCATTTCTCTAACGATGGATGAAGCTGGAAACCATCATTCTCAGCAAACTAACACAGGAACAGAAAACCAAACACTGCATGTTCTCACTCATAAGTGGGAGCTGAGCAATGAGAAAACATGGACACAGGGAGGGGAACATCACACACCATGGCCTGTCGGGCATTGGGGGACTAGGGGAGGGATAGCATTAGGAGAAATACCTAATGCAGATGACGGGTTGATGGGTGCAGCAAACCACCATGGCACATGTATACCTATGTAACAAACCTTCACATTCTGCACATGTATCCCAAAACTTAAAGTACTTATATATATATATATATGGAGAAACAAAATCATTTTAAAATGTGACTGCAACCCCTGAAATAACAAAAACACCTTCAAATCTCTGGACAAATTCATTTAGAATGCTCTTTAAACAAAAATAAAACCTGTATTTTTTCTGATTCCAAAAACAATATAAAATGCTCATATAAAATTGCAAGATCTCAAGTATGATATGACTCTCATCATCACACATCTCAGATAAATAAATGCACTGTTAGGTGTTTGGTCTTCCTTAGATCTCCTTAATCTCGATTGTGAGGCAGGAAGCATTTTTAATGAGTCTGTGTTCTAAGAGTCATGCTCTTTGTCAAATCCACTACAGATGACCATAGTTTTACCAATTAATTAGGCCTCTCCACTCTGCTTTGATACCTGAAAAATAACTGGTTTGAAATCATGGAGGAAAAACCCAGGCCAAGGTATTAATTGATGTTTCAGGCTGCAATAAAGAGATGACTTTTTCTGACCAATGAGAGGGTAGATTAATTAGCAGGATAAAACTTCAATACTGTTTTAATTGATTGGAACTTTCCAGTGTCCCTCCCTGAGCAATAATGTGGATATACATTAAGCTTTTGGGTACACAAGAGTAAGAAAAAGAGAAAAATGAGATAAGATGAACAGTGAGGTGTATGTTCTGGTGTTGCCCATTTAGAGGCAACAATGAGAGTAGATGCATTGGCTTCCAGTCACACGCCCTGATGTTCTCCCTTTTTCCCTGATAAGCAGCAGCTCAATAAGAGATTTGCCCAAGTGTTTGTTATTTTGCAGCCTGACAGGGAGGCACTTTCAAAAGGTTTGCTTTCTTCTTTTGCAGGACTACTAGGCATGTAGAGAAACTCTCTAGATGCTCAGTGTATTCATTTGTTATTACTTCCATAACAAATAACTGCTAATGGAGTGGCTTATATAACACAAATGCATTATCTTTAAGTTTTTAAAGTCAGATGTGCAACATGGATCTCACTGGGCTAGAATCAAGGTGTTGTCAGGGCTATGTTCTTTTCTGGTAGCTCTAGAGGGGCATCTGTTTCCCTGCTCATTTGGTTTTTGACAGAATTCAGTTCCTTTTGATTGTGACCAAGATTCCTTGTGACCTTCCAGCTGAGAGCCATCTCCAGCTTCTAGGGGCCCCTGTCTTCCTTGACTTGTGGCCTCCTTTCTCCATATTCAAAGCCAGCAATGACAGATTGAGTTCCCCTCATGCTTCAACACCCTTCTCCTTCTTCCAGCTTATCTCTCTCTCCCCAGCTGGGAAAGATTCTCCACTTTTAAGGACTTGTGTGATTAAAGTGGGCTCACCTGGATAATCCAGGATATTTTTTCCCTGTCTCAAGTTCTGTAACCTTAATCACATGCCAAGTCCCTTCTGCCATACATGTGAAGTGACACGTTCATGAGTACCAGGGATTAAGGCATGGACATCTTTGGGAGACCTTTTTCTGCTAACCACAGTGGGATAGAGAGGCGGTTCTATCACAGTCTGGTTCTCACAGTTTGGGAACCAAGTGAGCACTTCAAGCTGCAGAAAACCCTTGCATGGGGGAAGGAAAGAGGATGGCTCTGTTCTTTCCTTTTTCCTGCTCTCCCTCCCCTGCCTTCACTGTCTAGATGCCAGGATCCAAGCCATGGGCTGAGGAAAGTCAAGAAGGCATAGCAGTCCTTCCTAACTGGGCTGTGGGATATCTGAGTGCATACCAGTGTATTCAATGCTTAAAGAACGCTTTTGTGGTTTCTTCAGGGTTCCCTACAGGGTATTTCTCTCCTACAGCTCTCTAGCAGAGGAGGTGCATCTCTATCCAGATGACAAATGCACACTGAGAAGAAATGCAGGAAGTCAGCCTGAAGGGCTCAAGTACATGGCAATAGGTGGAGTTGCAAGTGAGGACTCAACCATATGAAATGGGGCTGTGTAAAGAGTGGGAGACAGCAATGGGGGTGCTGTGGCTCAGGGACTGGGAAGAGGCTCAACTATCCAATGCGCTCTAACATAAGGTCTTAATCTCAGTGGGGGGCTTCCCCAGAAGCAGACATTGAGAGGAAAATTCAAAGGCAAGCAGTTTACCTGGATGTTTCCTGCAATACCAGCAGGGAAGTTGGGATGTTATATAAGGAAGGGAGGCAGCCTATAAGGCATGCATTGTTATATCAACTAAGTGGTGGACAACTGAAGCTTCATCCCATGGGAGAGCCAGGAGAAGCAGTGTGGAACACACTGCAGAGCTAGCTAACCTGAGGGGCAAGGGACCTGGGGAACTCACACACTGTCTGCTGTCACTCACTGGCTGAGTTTCCTCCTGGGGAATGTTTAATGCTCCAACACTTCTGGCTTGTGTGGGCAGAGCATCCTTGTTAAAAAGTCCCCTGTCACAGAGTGGCAGGGCAGGCATCTAAAGTTATCAGCTGTACACTGGCATAGTAGCATTCTAGACAAACAAATGATGCATCCAGGCCTGGGGTGAAATGAAAGGGAAGAGTAAGAGAAAAGTATGCATGCTGTTGTTGTGCACTTTGAGGAATAGAATATATCCCACAATCTGGATAGGGATAAATCTAGAATGGAAAAGAGGGTTTCAAAAGATATCAGGTTCAAGAGACCAAGAGTATCATAGTGACTGGGGTGCAATGACTAGTATGCAAAACAGTAGCAATAGAAACCAGTATGTACCAAAAGCTCATTTACATGGCATAAGAATGAGGGCAAGACTGTGGGGAATGGGCAGGGAAGAGGTGAGCAAGCCTTTATGGAGAAAGACTGGCTGAGACCATGTCTTCAAGGATGGATCAGAGCTAGAACACTTTGCATCATTTGTTTTGGTAACCTCTTTCTGCTGTGACATTTAATTAAAGCCAGAAGGAAAGTGAGAGGGAAAATGGCCATGTCCATTGCATGAGGGGAAGGGGTATCTCCCAAAGTTCATTCTAGGCACAGCCATGGGGCTGTCCTGGAGCACAAGATGAATGCTCTTTGCTGTATGCTGAGATCGTCTCAGAAGAAAAGATCACACAGTGGTATTTCAGAGCTGAAATGGTTTTCTCAGCTCCTTTTTCCTAATTTGCTGGAGACTAGTTCAGAGAAAGTAATTAGAGTTGCTTTGGTAATGTGTTTGCTTTACCACTTTCAATTAAGGACAAGAATAAAGTGAGAGAAAGAGAGAGAGAGAGTGCACAACAGTGAAAGTACATTTTAATGCTCCCACCAGTCCTCCATGCAAACTTGCACATTATTTTCTTGGTTATTTTAAACTAATGAGTCCCCAAGTTGTTTCATTTTAAGCAGCTTTGTTAAGGTATAATTAACATATAATAAGTTGCACATACTTAAACTGTGCAATTTTGATAAGTTTTGACATATACATAAATGATGAAACCACTACTGCAATCAAGATAATGAATATGCCCACGATTCTAAAAGGTTATCTGTGTTTTTTGAAAACCCATCCTCTAGCCCCTCCTGCCCCTACAGGCACTCTGAAACAGACAACCACTTGCTTTCTGTCGCTATAGGTTAGTTTACATTGGTAGAATTTTATGTAAATGCAGCCATGCAGCATGTACTCTTTTTTGTATCATCTGGAATTATCTTGAGATTCATCTGTGGTTTTTTATGTATCAATAGTTTATTACTTTTCATTGCTGAGTGGTCTTAAGTTTTCAAGATTACAAAATCAAATATTTCTTTAATTTTGAGACGTGGTCATTGTATCATTTTCTTAGGGCTGCCTTAATTAATTACCACAAGCTTTAAAGAACAGAAATTTGTTTCAATTTCTGGTGGCTTTAAACAACAGAAATTTATTGTCTTGCATTTCTGGAGGCTAGACTTCAAAATCAGGGTGTCAGCACATTCCCTTGGAAGGCTCAGGGAAAATTGTGCCCTTCTCTGAGCTTCTGGTATTGCTGGCAGTCCTGGGTATTCCTTAGCATGCAGGCACATCACTCTCATCTCTGCCTGTATTGTTTATGGTGTTCTCCCCTGACTGTCTCTGTCTCTGTGTCTCTTCTCCTCTTCTTAAAATGATACCAATCATACTGGATTAAGGGCCCACTCTATTCCATTATGACCGTATCTGAATTAATTACATTTGCAATGGTCCTATTTCCAAATAAGTTCACATTCTGTGATTTCAGAAAGGACTTGAATTTGTAGGGGACAGCATCCAACCCCGGACAGTCATCCTACTTCACGAAATGTTGTATGGCTCTGTTGAATTAAGTTAGGAAAGGAGTGAATAATTTTGTTTTAGAATTCTTGACCTATCTTGAGATCACGTGAGCTAGGAATCACATTTCCCAAAGTGTATTCCAAATAATTACACATAAAATCATATTCTCTAAAAGTAGGATAGTGTGGTCAAATAAGTTTGATGAAGGCTGGTTTTTTTTTAAGTGTCTTTATTGAAGGCTTGTCAAATCTTTAACATGTACGACTAGAATAAACTTGGCTCTTTTCATTGCCTTTCTCAGCACAGCGTTGCTTTCAAGAGCTACAAATGAATTGAAAAGCAATTTAAATCTGTATTGCAGAACTCTTAACCAGAGGGAAAATACACTACATTATGTACAGTAAAAATGCCCCCAAGATCCCTATGCATTCCCACAAAGCCAACTGATCACCTTGCAGCAGCTGCCCCCAAATTATAGAGTCATCTGCTTAAAAATCCTCCCCAAACCTTTCTTCCAAAATATAATCTGAGCTAACCTTGTCTCTTCTGTCCCTTCCTCCACTCCCACCTTCCCAAATTCATTTTTTAATAGAAAAATGGAAAGTTGTCTGCCCTTTCTAACTTAGAAAAATTCAGCTTTTAGGTACTCTGTGGTTTTCCTTCCTAATGCAAATACACTAAAACTGTCTTAGAATGGATAAAAGGAGGGATGGTAGATGGTTTTCAATCATGAGAAAATCTGCTGAACTAAGTGGTGCAGGTTGAACCAAGGAAGAAGTTATGAAGGGAGGACAATGGCAGACATGCCAGGAAGATGGTACCACTATTTGTTCCAAGCTCAAACCTCAAAGCTTTCTGGTAAATTCCTGAACAAAGAAAATTGTTATCTTTGATACCTCTGGTTGGCCTACTCAAAAAGAGACTGCCAGGTGGACCTTTCTCTGCTTACTTCCAGATCATCAGCTTAGGCAAAAATTGTGCAAACAAGATTCACTGTGTCCAGACTACCAACAGTTTTATTTTTCTCCTGTCTTATGACTCCCGTTTTTGCCTTTGTTTCCTGGCTCATTCTACCAACTGACTCCTCATGTGAGTAAACAATATGAGTGCAAAATAAACTAATAAGCATGCTGCAAAATAACTACAAACGTCTCTGAATTTTTCTTTGATAAAAAACTTTTTCTGGTCTCTGTCACATAAATGATACTTCACAAGGAATACCCAAGTGGGGTATACCACGTACTCCAGCTTTTCTGGAAGCTCTGCACTTGCCTTTGAGAGGCTTTTCAATGACAAGGCTTCAAATGTTTACGCACATACATTCAATTTGCCAGTGTTCTTACCAGCCAGGTCTGCGGACCCCAGTGTTTCCAGTTGGAAGCCACTAAAAGGTAGGCAAGCAGCCCATTGAATAACTACCAAACACAGGATATACTCAAAGCAAAATATAATTTTTCCCTAACATCTTCCCTTTAATAGAAATTCTCTGCTTCTGGGTGAAATCTTACATAGGTCCAATGAGTTAGGCTACACAGTATCATGGTCACTTTAGCACATAAAGCCTCGATTTGGAAGTTAGACTGACCAGTTCTTGATAGTAATGAGATGTTTGGGCAAAAGTTAGTGTCCCATCTCCCATTCTCTAGCTAGGCCCACTGTGGCCTGTCAGTTTCAGGCAGTGGAGGCAGGGGTGGTTCCCCTTCATTCTTTCCCTACAATATTCCTTCCTCCCATAGCAGCTGACTGCAGGAAAGAGCATGGGCTGTGGAAAAGCCACCTTCTGACATACGGGGTCTGTTCTTCACCTTATGTCATGACTCTGGTATCAGGTATCAATACTTTCTCTTACAGATGCACTTGTGGGCTCTTCCAGATGCAGGTCCCATAATGTAGACCATGTTTCTTCTTTGGCTAGTCACAGTGTGTCCAGTTCATGGTCAGATGCTCACTGTTGGGGTTCTCCTCAACTCTTTGAGGGAGTCCCCTTGCCAAGGGTCTGAAATAGCTCCAGAGGCACTCTCTTTCATCCAGGGTCAGTGGCAGGTCCACGGGACACACTCATACTCGCTGTGACCCATGGTGGACAGGGAACACGCTCATTTCCCATATGCAAAAGCCACCCACAGACAACCACAAAAAGGTGTCAGCATCCCTTCCCTGACCTCTGAATTTCTTGGGTTTGGAGACAGATTACCATCTCCTGGGTCTCCAAAGTTTGGGGGGGCTGCGTATCAAGTTCTGAATGGCCCCATTGAGCTCTTCTCCCCAAACACTAAGATTGAGATGAAGGAACAGGTGATGTTTGTACACCTCCCAGCAGCACAACTTTCTCTAAATACTCATTAAAAACTCCTCTTTCGAGAAGTGTCTGAAGACATTTATGCAGCCAAAAAACACATGAAAAAATGCTCATCATCACTGGCCATCAGAGAAATGCAAATCAAAACCACAATGAGATACCATCTCACACCAGTTAGAATGGCGATCATTAAAAAGTCAGGAAACAACAGGTGCTGGAGAGGATGTGGAGAAATAGGAACAATTTTACACTGTTGGTGGGACTGTAAACTAGTTCAACCATTGCAGAAGTCAGTGTGGCGATTCCTCAGGGATCTAGAACTAGAAATACCATTTGACCCAGCCATCTCATTACTGGGTATATACCCAAAGGACTATAAATCATGCTGCTATAAAGACACATGCACATGTATGTTTATTGCAGCACTATTCACAATAGCAAAGACTTGGAACCAACCCAAATGTCCAACAATGATAGACTGGATTAAGAAAATGTGGCACATATACACCATGGAATACTATGCAGCCATAAAAAATGATGAGTTCATGTCCTTTGTAGGGACATGGATGAAACTGGAAACCATCATTCTCAGCAAACCATCACAAGGACAAAAAACCAAACACCGCATATTCTCACTCATAGGTGGGAATTGAACAATGAGAACACATGGACACAGGAAGGGGAACATCACACACCGGGGACTGTTGTGGGGTAGGGGGAGTGGGGAGGGACAGCACTAGGAGATATACCTAATGCTAAATGACGAGTTAATGGGTGCAGCACACCAACATGGCACATGTATACATATGTAACAAACCTGCACGTTGTGCACATGTACCCTAAAACTTAAAGTATAATAAAAAAAAAACTCCTCTTTCTACATCTCACTGTCTTGAACCTCCAGATGAGGTGCTCAAAAGTTTTGAAGCTGATTTTTCTTTGTAAATGCTGCATGTGATGAGCTGGTGCCTCACTTTGGAATTTCATTTCTATCATATCTTGGTTCCCATTAGAAATTTTAAGATCCTGTTAGAATAAGACATGTGTTAAAGGGCAAAAATGATGGCTAGCACACCCTTTCTCTAATAAAGAATGCCAGAAATCGGACAGGCCTACCACTGTATGATTTTTCTCTTTGATGCTGTATTGACCTGATTTTCTACGTATACATCATGTAGGAAAAAAAAAGAAGACCCATGCAAATGTAAAAAAAAAAATCATGACTCAGAGCAAAAATAAAAGTAGCAAAGTTAAATTTTAAGTGCCTCTTTGAAGTTTTAAACAGTGCATTCCAAATTCCAAAATAGTTTTTGAGATAAAACATTTTTAAATAATTAATTTTAAAAACTACTTTAAGAAACAATCCAGATGTTCAAAATAAGTGGCTTATTAAACACATAAGTGTAGTTTATATTTTGGATAACTTGACAGTAATTACAAATAATCATCTAGATCTAAACTTGTTTTCTCTTTTAGTCATATAAAATAACTCTACATATTTATGCATTACATGTGTTTGTTACATGCATAGAATGTATATTGATCAAGTCATCACCTTGAGTATTTCTCGTTTTTATGCGTTAGTATCATTTCAAGTCCTCTCTTCTAACTACTTTGAAATATACATAATCTTGTTGCAAAGTATAGTCACTCTAGTCGGTATTAAACATTAGAACTGATTCCTTCTATCTAACTGCATGTTTCTACTCATAACCAACCTCTCTTTAACTCCCCTCCCACTCAGCCCATCTTCTCAGTCTCTCGTATCTATCACTCTATTCTCTATGTTCACGAGATACATTTTAAGTGCTCCCTGAAATAGCTCCAGGAACACTCTCTTTTTTCCAGGGTCCATGGCTGGTCCACGGGAGACACTCATACACGCTGTGACCCATGGCAGACAGGAAACACACTCACTTCCCATATGCAAAAGCCACTCACGGACAACCACCAAAGGTTCTCAAGAGCCCTTCAAGATCTCTGCATGAGTGAAAACATGCAGTATTTGTCTTTCTGTTGCTAGCTTATTTCACTTAATATAATGGCCTCCAGTTCTATCCACGTTGTTGCAAATGACATTATTTCATTCTTTTTAATGGCCAAATAGCATTCCATTATGTATATATACTACTTTTTTAATCTATTCATCCATTGATGGACACTTATGTTGACTCCATAACTTTGCTATTGTGAATCAGCCTATGATAAACATGTGAATGCAAGTGTCCCTTTGACAGGGTGATATTTTTTTCCTTTGGAAAAATACCCAGTAGTGAGATTGATGGATTGTATGATAGTTTTAGTTTTAAAGAAATCTCCACACTGTTTTCCATATTGGTTATATTAATTTATATTCCCTCCAACAGTGTATAAGTGCTCCCTTTTCTCCGCATCCTCACCAGAATCTGTTATTTTTTTCTTTTTATAATAGCCACTCTAACTGGGCTGAAATAATATCTCCTTGGGGTTTTGATTTGCATTTCCCTGATGGTTAGTGATGTTGAGCATTTTTTCATAAACCTGTTGGCCATGTGTATGTGGTCTTTTGAGAAATGTCTATTCTCAAAATATGTCCTGTGCCCATATTTTAGTGACTTTTTTTGTTTTCACTGTTTAGTTGTTTGAGTTCCTTGTATTTTTTGGATATCAGTCGCCTGTCTGATGAGTAATTTGAAAATATTTTCTCCCATTTAATAGGTTGTCTCTTCACTCTGTTAATTGTTTCTTCTGCTGTACAGAAGGTTTCTGGTTTAATATAGTTCCATTTATCTACTTTTATTTTTGTTTTCTGTGCTTTTGCAGTCTTATCCATAAAATCTTTGCCTAGAGTGATTTTTGAAGTTTTTCCTATGCTTTCTTCTAATAGTTTTATAGTTTTGGGTCTTACATGTAAGTCTTTAGTCCATCTTGAGTTGATTTTTGTGCATGATGAGACATAGGGACCCAGTTTCATTCTTTTGCATATGGTTATCCAGTTTGCCCAGCGCCACTTATTTAAGAGGGTATCCATTCCCCAGTTTATATTCTTGGCAGCTTTGGCAAATCTCAGTTGGCTGTAAATACACGGATTTATTTATATGTTCTCTATCCTATTCCATTGGTTTACATATCTATTTTTATAAATATGGTTTTCGTTACTACAGCCTGGTGATATGTTTTGAAATCAGACAGTGTAATCCTTCCAGCTTTGTTCTTTTTGCTCCAGGTAGCTTTGGTTATTTGGGCTTTTTTTGGTTCCATACAAATTTTAGGATTTTTTTTTCTACTTCTGTGAAAAATGATACTGATATTTTGATAGGAATTACACTGAATATGTAGATTGCTTTGAGCAGTGTGGTCATTTTGACTAGATTAATTCTTCCAATCCATGAGCATAAGATGTTTTTCCATGTGTTTGTGTTGTAGATTTTTTAATAGCGATCTTTTACCTCCTTGGTTAAATTTATACCTAGGTATTTTGTTTTTCTTGTAGGTGTTATAAGTGGAATTGCCTTGTTGATTTCTTTTTTGGTTGTTTCATCCTCATTGGTGTATAGAAAAGCTACTGACTTTTGTAAATTGATTTTGTATCCTGCAACTTCACTGAATTTTTTTTTATCAGCTCTGGAAGGTTTTTGGTGAAGTCTTTTGGTTTTTCTAGGTATAAGATCATACCATTTGCCAAAAGGGACAGTTTGATTTCTTTTCCGATTTGGATACCACTTTTTTTTTCTTGCCTGATTTCTCTGGCTAGGACTTCCAGTACAATGTTGAACAGAAGTGGTGAAAGTGGGCATCCTTATCTTGTTCTAGTTCTTAAAGCAAAGGCGTTCAACTTTTCCCAACTCAGTATGATGTTAGCTATGAGTTTGTCATATATGGTCTTTATTATTTTGAAGTATGGTCATTCTATTCCTAGTTTGTTGAGTGTTGTTATCATAAAGGGTGATGAATTTTGTCAAATGCTTTTCCTGTGTCTACTAAGATGATCATATGGTTTTTGTCCATTTTGTTGGTGTGATGTATCATGTTTATTGATTTGTATATGCTGAACCACTCTTGCATCCTTGAGATAAATCCCACTTGATCATGGCGTATTATCTCTTCGATGTGCTATTGGATTCAGTTTGCTAGAATTTTGCTGAGGATTTTTGGATCTATGTTCATCAGGAATATTGACCTGTAGTTTCTGTTGTTTTCGTTGTGCCCTTATCTGGTTTTGGTATCAGGGTAATACTGGCCTTATAGAATGAGTTAGAGAGAATTATCTCCAATTATTATGAAATTTTGATTGTTTTATACAGTTAAAAATAAAAATAAACCAAACATTTTTATGGCATGCCTTTTAGTAAGTGTATTTGTATACTCACAAAAAAGTCTGAAACAATTAACACCTATATATTGAGAAAAGTCATTTCTGAGTGGTAGAATTGTAGGAAATTTTCAGTGTTTACTTAATTTAGTTTTAGTTTACATTTTTCTGCATTACCTGATTTCTTTAAAATGAATATTTTTATCTCTTATAGTAAGAAGAAAAATTAAAAAGATGTTTTAATTGAAATAAAGTATATTTCTTTCAAAAATGTGCAGTCTTTCAACTAACATGGTTGTGCTTGAGTTGTTACAAAATGCAGCAAGAATTTTTCATATTAACCATAATTTTGTTTCAATTCTGAATTGGGTGGCTTTGCATGTAAATATGTCTTTAAAAATTTCTTAAAATATTGATGAGCCAAGCCACTTGTAAATAAGTCTGTTTATAGTCTCATGATTTAATACATATTTCTTTGATTCAGTGGTTGTAAACCAATTGTATGCAAAAAAAAACTATGAAATTTCAATTTGCAAACATTTTCCCAATCACACAATAGAAAAATAGCCTTAAGAATTGGGCAGCTTAAGTTCCAATTAAATAGATTGCTTATCCATATTAGATATATGCATTGTGTCTGTTTTCAATAATATATACAGATTTCTATTCTGCAAGCTTATTTAAATATATATATTCTATATTCATTATAATATTACTATATGCTTCACTTATATCAATTCTTCCTAGGCCCCATAGGAGGAAATTTATCTGCTAATGTTACAGATTGAAGAGAGAGGAGAGAGACACAGCAGGGCATAATACGTGCAATACATTCTTAATCAGTCTTCCTTGGGAATCATAGAGCTTATGGATATAGAGTAAATGTGCAGCAAGAATGATCTGGTATACCATTATCTTTTAATTGGAGTTTCTATTTCTGTCACTGTTTCATTTGCTCACCATAATAGCTTAAACCGTAGCAATTGGCAGAAGCAACATTGTTGGTTTGGACTGTAGACAACAGGACACATGCAAGTCTTTTATTTCCAAAGAGGCTTGGAGAGGAATTTTGGATTTTGCATAGATTTTGCTTGGGGAACAAACTGAATCTGAAAATAGCTAACTGCATTTAAATCAGATTCCTGAGAAGTCTTTGCATCCAAGCAACACCTGATGAGTCCTTCCCAACTCCTTTTCTTATTTCTTCAATTTCTAGCTGAAGGTTAATTTTTTACAAGTTTAAAGATGTATCTTCCTGCAAATGTTATATAAGAAGACTGAAAAATGGAAGGCTTTGTGTTTGTTGGGAGCTAATGACCCAACACATCAATCCATTCATACATAAAATGTGAGCAGACAACTTTGTCTTTGCATAATAGATGGTGAAATTTCTGATAGTACTTGTCTTTGTTTGGAGGCAATTCACAAATGGAAATGGGAAATGCTGAGCCTGGCTAGCCTAGACAATTACATTTCTATTTTCTAAGTTGCCTGTCTCTTTTTGCTCCTAAAAGTTAAGTCTTATCCTTATAAACAGCAACAGTGTTTGTTCCCAAACTTGTTTATACCACTTTCCAATTTCTGAAATTATGCACTCTTTAAATGTCATGTGAAGACAATAAAATATGAGTGCAAAGAGATTTCTTTTTTATAAAACTTAGTTGAATACTTTGGACAATCTCGATAAAGGTGAATAACTTAAAATTTGCTATGAATTAATTTACACTCCCCCCAACAGTGTAAAAGTGTTCCTATTTCCCCACATCCTCTCCAGCATCTGTTGTTTCCTGACTTTTTAATGATTGCCATGCTAACTGGCATAAGATGGTATCTCACTGTGGTTTTGATTTGCATTTCTCTAATGACCAGTGAGGATGAGCTTATTTTCATATGTTTGTTGGCTGCATAAATGTCTTCTTTTGAGAAGTGTCTGTTCATATCCTTTGCCCAATTTTTTATGGGGCTGTTTTTTCGTGTAAACTTATTTAAGTTCCTTGTAGATTCTGGATATTAGCCATTTGTCAGACGGACAGATTGCAAAAAATTTGCTCCCATTCTGTAGCTTGCCTGTTCACTCTGATGATAGTTTCTTTTGCTGTGCTGAAGCTCTTTAGTTTAATTAGATCCCATTTGCCACGTTGGGCTTTTGTTGCATTGCTTTTGGTATTTTAGTCATGAAGTCCTTGCCCATGCCTATGTCCTGCATGGTATTGCATTAGGTTTTCTTCTAGGGTTTTTGTGGTTTTAGGTCTTACGTTTAAGTGTTTAATCCATCTTGAGCTAATTTTTGTATAAGGTGTAAGGAAGGGGTCCAGTTTCAGTTTTCTGCAACCATTGTAGAAGACAGTGTGGCAATTCCTCGAGGATCTAGAACCAGAAATACCATTTGACCCAGCAATGCCATTACTGGGTATATACCCAAAGGATTATAAATCATTCTACTATAAAGACACATGCACACGTATGTTTATTGTGACACTATTCACAATAGCAAAGACTTGGAACCAACCCAAATGCCCATCAGTGATAGACTGGATAAAGGAAATGTGGCACATATACACCATGGAATACCATGCAGCCATGAAAAAGGATGAGTTCATGTCCTTTGCAGGGACATGGATGAAGCTGGAAATCATCATTCTCAGCAAACTAACACAGGAACAGAAAACCAAACACTGCACATTCTCACTCATAAGTAGGAGTTGAACAATAAGAACACATGGACATAGGGAGGGAAACATCACACACCGGGACCTGTCAGTGGGTAGGGGGCTAGGGGAGGGATAGCATTAGAAGAAATACCTAATGTAGATGACAGGTTGATGGGTGCAGCAAACCACCATGGCACGTGTATATCTATGTAACTAACCTGCATGTTCTCCATATATATCCTAGAACTTAAAGTATAATTTAAAAAATAAATTTATGCCTGTAGTCCCAGCACTTTGGGAGGCCGAGGCGGGCGGATCACGAGGTCAGGAGATCGAGACTATCCTGGCTAACACAGTGAAACCCCGTCTCTACTAAAAATACAAAAAATTAGCCGGGCATGGTGGCGGGCGCCTGTGGTCTCAGCTACTCGGGAGGCTGAGGCAGGAGAATGGCGTGAACCCGGGAGGCGCAGCTTGCAGTGAGCCGAGATCGCGCCACTGCACTCCAGCCTGGGTGACAGAGCAAGACTCCTTCTCAAAAAAAAAAAAAAAAAATTGGCGAAAAAAATGCTATGAATTAAAAATGATATGACTGTAAAAGATTAGGGAGAAAAGTGTTAAAAGTAGGAAGATTCTGTACTCAAATTATTTCCCCTTTTTTTTTCTACTGTCATCATTGTAATTTAATTATTGTTTCTCTTTAAAGAAATTTTAAAAAATCAAAACTCATAGGTGAGTCAGAGGATAGTTTATGCAAGAGACATTAAGCATTCCTGACCACTGGGGATTGTTAACTCATCCATTTGTAAGACTCTTTCTGAATCCTATGCCCAGAGATTCTGATTTAGGCGGTGTAGGCACAATGAGATACAGGCATCTGGATTTTTAAAATTTTCACAAATAACTCCAATACACAGATGAGCTTGAGAATTGCTGCATTAAAACAACATTTCTCAAACTATACTGTATACACTGTCACCTGAGGATACTGTTAAATGCAGATTCTAGTTCACTAGGTCTGCAGCAGTGATGTCCAAGGTTCTGCATTTCTACCAAGCTTTCAGATGATCCTGATGCTGCTAGTCCAGGGAACACATCTTGAGTAGCCAGTACCAAGGCCAGGATCTCACCACATGGTGAGACACACATGCATGTATCTCATTGTGCCTGCACCGCCTCAATCAGAATGCTGCTCCCAGGACTTAATCTTCTGGACCCAGCCGCAGTGATTTCCAGGAAATTGCATTGTGCAACTGAAGCTGAAAGCCACTTCCCTGGAAGGTTATATATTAAACTTGGCATCAACATATGTTGAGGCACCCTGCCTATAAACTTCTGCTAAAATATGTTGTTTGGTTTCTGTCCTCAGAATGGTTTCCCAGTTCTTCTCCATTCTCTTCTCTTTACTTATAAAGTTAAACTGTTGATTGAGGATCCTTCTTGAATAGATCATATCATTGACACCATTATTTCCACAAGACTTGCCTTATACAATAAATCAACTCTAAAAACTTTGACACGATGAACAAGCCATTCATTTGAGAACAGAGACCATGTGTTAAACTTACTCTAATCCTCCAAATTCGGCTCCTGGAGCTGTAAAAATAGCACATGGATTGAGAGCCAGATGTCGTGTTCTGCAGAGAGCTGGTTTGGTAATAAGTTTCATCTGTGTGAATGTTCAATGCCTTGATGAGCTGAGAGGCCTGGTGTGGAGGAAGGCGGGAGGAAGGCTAACCCTTTCTGGAGAGGATCTTTGGGAATGCAAAGAACAACTTAAATATCAAATTCCACATCAAAAATTAGAAGTGTTGAATTTGATATAGCTGTTGGAATGACTGAATCAGAGCTTATTACCAAACCAGCAAAGATTTGCACAAATATGGGATTCATTGAGCAAATCAAGTGCAGAAATCTTTCAGACATTGAACATGTGAAAGGAATGTGAACATTTACTATATATAAAACACTGGGCTGTTCATAGGAGAAATGCAAATGTGAACCAGAGGTGCCCCCACTTCTGGCATACAACCTATAGAAAGAATCACATCTCATCTTTGCACAACAGATGATACTTATCTTACTCTGAGCATTTTACATTTTTCTACCATTTAAACCTCCCAGCAGCTCTATGAGATGCTGCCATGATTCCCAGATTATTCTGCATAACACTACAGATTTCCAAATATATTCCCACAAATTATCTTATTTGATCCTCACAACAGCCCATGGGGTAAATTATTTTCCCTTTGCACACAAGGAAACCAAGACTCCAAGAGGTTAAGTAACTTTCTCAAGATCACACAGCTAGAAAGTAACAGAGTTCAGGATCCAGATCTGGCCAAGTACTTTTCCCCTCACACTGTGATGAAAAGCTGGCTTACTTGAAGTGACCACATTACTTGTGTCTGTTCAGGCAGATTTATAAGGCTAAACTCACCATTTTTTTTCCTTCTATCACAAAGTACCCAGCATCTTCCTATGACAAATGCAAATGTGCTCAGGGCTTCTGAGAAACCAATTGTTTTAGAAGCCACAGGGAAGGAACAATGTTATCTTTTTCAAAAATCTATACCTTATTCCTAATTTCATGGGTTCCAACCCTCTGCAGATTGTGGAAACATTGATTTATAGTGGCTGACCTCATGGTGCTCTCCACTTACCTGCAGGCAATACTATCTTTGAAACAAACAAAAAATATAAAAACTTAAAAAATTATTCTAGTTCCAAAGACTAGTGAAAAAAAATCAGAATGAACTGTAGGTGTGTGGCTGGTTGCATTTCCCCAAAACAGCCACATCAATAAATCCTTCACATATGCTCCTCTTACAAGGTGACTCGACACTCCTCCTATGGAGAGATGGGTCTATGTCCTGCCTGATGCTGGGCAGGTTTTGTGACTTTAGCAGAAGTGCCACTGCATGACTTACAGGGCTAGGTCATAAAAGGTGACGCAGTTCCCACCGGGTCTCTCAGGATGTTCCTATTGGAACCCAACCATCAAACCTGCCAGATGAAAAAAATCACATGATAAAGCTCTGCCTAGATGCTCCAACCAATAGCCAGTATCCAGCATCAGACCTGCAAGTGGAGACACATCCAGAGGATTCCAGCCCCATCACTAAGACATGCCTCTCCTTCCAGTCTTTTCAACTGAGCTTCCTGACATCCAGGAACAGAAGCCACCTTGCCAAACCTATGCCCTGGCCAAACCCCTTACCGACAGAACCCATAATCATAACAAAATGGGTGTTTTCTGTCACTACATTTTGGGGTAATTTGTTAGATAAAAATAGATATCTATTGGGCAGCAATACATAACTAATAAAAGATGATGGAGCTTTCTATCATTCATTATGACTTTAATATCAGGCTTTCAGGATAATTGAATCATTAAATATGAGGCTGTTACATGTAATTTAATGGTGTTAGAAGTCCAGACTTACAGTTTCTAGTCACTGTAGTAAAATTAAAGTAATAGGTGTGTTTGAAATAAAAAGTGAAAAAAACTCTTAAAATACAGTGTGTAATTGCTAACCATGCATCACTGAATGAGCAGGCACACAATAAAAAACAAAACAGTGAAAATGAAAATATAATTCAAACTCAGTATATTATAGAAAAATAGAGAAAATGCCTTTTTTTAATGACCTACCAACGGACATCAAAGACACAATTATAGCTGAAGCTTAATTTTGAAATGACAAAACACCTAATTACATTGTATTAAAGCAAAATGCAGACCAATTGGTAAACTAATTAGAAATGGATTTCATTTTCATATCATTTGTTCATGCATGTAATGTTATTCTGTTTCTTTTCCCTGCTCATTAATATGGGAAATGGAAAAATTACAAGAGTTGAAAAGAACTTGGAAAAAATTCATTTACAGAAATATATATAAATATATATAATATATATTACAGAAATATATAAATATATCTAATACATATATTATAGAAATATATAAAAATATATTATATATTACAGAAATATATATAAATATATATATTTCATAATATATATTTCATTATATATATAACAGAAATATATATTTTATATATATATATAACAGAAATATATATTATATATATATATATATATTAGTTCTGTGTGTGGATTTTAGCTGCTTCAAAAACTTAATGAGTTGCCAGCATCTCTGGTTTCAAAAAAACTGCAATTCTAAGAGTACCTTAGATTTGTGACCTCGTTGTCCACTCCACTTACCTACAGGGAAGACTATCTTTGAAATAACAAAAAATATAAAAACTTAAAACGTTATTATAGTTCTAAAGACTAGTAAAAAAAATCAGAATGAACTATAACTGTGTGGCAGGTTGCATTTCCCAAATATAATATAATAAACATACAATTATTAAACAGAACAATCAACTATGCCATTACTGTGTTGCAAGATACCTGCTGTGTAACTCTCTTGTTTAACTGTCTTTTCTCAGGGATAGAGATGCATGAACTTTGGAGAAAATGGGCTGAAGAGGGAGACAGAATCATAACAGTCTGCTTCTCCTTTATTCATCTCTCCACTTAAAGCCCTGGTATTGATGGATCCCAATGCAAAAGTTCCATTCTCTTTGTAATCTCTCTTTATGGTTTTCTAATACTCAATTAATATTAAGAAAATTTTTTTCAGCAACTTACTTCTAAATTTGGTGTCTAAGATTTTTCTCTCCTCAGAATTTACAGACAAAATATAAAACTTTTGGAAGATGCAAGTGTTCACAGCCTTCCTGACACTTTTACAACACTTCATGCCCTCAAAGCCCAGGAACAATAGTAATTTTCTTGTTTATTAACATTTCCAGGAAAGAATCACTACTTGCTTCTGCACCTCATCTCTGTTTTCAGATTCGCCAGATTCCACAAAGTCAAATCTAAAACTTACAGATAATTCCTCTTTCTTCACTAAAATGCTTAAATATATTAAGATCCTGTCTTTAAAAAGAAAGAATAGAGTTTCATGTGGCTCAATAGAAAAGACATGTTCAACAGGATTAATTTAATTAAAAAGCAAAACCAAAATATGAATAAAGGGGAAGCCCAGTTATTAGTCAGGGCCTCCTCTTCCAAGTCAAGAGACAGTAACGCTGACACATGGTGTCCACAGCAATAACCCGGGAACATTTGAAGATAACCTGCCTGTGTAACCAAACCCAGGTTCAACTGCTTGCCCCTAGAAAACCAGATTTGAGAGACAAAGGTTGGTGGGAGGAAAAGCAGGTTTATTTGGAGAGCCAGCAAACTGACAGGGTGGTGGACTATTGTCTTAAAGCACCATTTTAAGTTAATATAAGTTGCAGCCTCTTTTTATGTTAAGGGCAGGGGGAAAAGGAGGGAACTGGGATCAATGGGTAATCCATGAACATGGACAGCTGTGTGCCAGCGAGGGTCTGAGTAGGTTGGGAACTTCTTTATCCTTGGTCAGGTCACAATGTTCCTGTAAATCTTTAACAAAACATAGTTGTTTACATACTTCTTTAACCCTAGAGTTTAAAAAAACTACATAATTGCTGTTTTGCATATTATCTCAGTGCACTAAACTATCCTAGCTTATGTGCAGGAATAGGTAAAGCCCCTTAAACAAAAATGGAGTTAGTTGTATTAGTCCTTTTGCTGTTTCACTGTTATACCTGGACCTCATGCACTGAGATACAGATTGAATAGAGCTGGGTCAAGACCTGAGTGTTGGACTCTTGAGGCCACATGGGTGATTTTAATGCCCAGACAGGGCTGAGGTCTTGATTAAGTGAGAGGAGTCTTTCTTCCCTTCTACAGCGACTACAGGAGTTGGGAAGAAGCAAACATTCTAAATGCCACTTTTTTGAGCAGTGTTGTGTTGGGTATGGTAGTAGGTATGTAAGAAGAGGGTAAAATTTATATCTCTTAAAATTTCTTTTTTTACTTACAGAATTTTTCTCTCCCACAAGCTACTTGCCTTATAGTCTAGCTTGTTGGGGAAATGCACAGAGTGGAGCAAATCTTGTTTTTCTTTTCTTCATTTTGCATCTAAGATCAGATTCAAATCTCTTTGAATCCCAGTAATATAAACTCTGGGTTTTGGTGGATCTGAGAAATGACAGGAATAATAAACATTTATGAAATATCCAGAAGTTGAACCAAATAGCAAATTTGGGTGACAAAGCGCCACCTCTAGTCTAAGCAGGTGTAGAGGCTAAAATCTGCAAAAACATCTAATGAAGGCAAGGTTTGTACTTTATTTTCAGGAAGCAGAAAAGCACCTGCTGTTTATTTATGCTTCTCTAAATGCAGGGTTGTTTTGTTTTGTTTTGTTTTGTTTTGTTTTGTTTTGTTTTTTGAGACGGAGTCTCGCTCTTTCGCCCAGGCCGGACTGCAGTGGCGCTATCTTGGCTCACTGCAAGCTCCGCCTCCTGGGTTCATGCCATTCTCCTGCCTCAGCCTCCAGAGTAGCTGGGACTACAGGCGCCCGCCACCGCGCCCGGCTAATTTTTTGTATTTTTAGTAGAGACGGGGTTTCACCGTCTTAGCCAGGATGGTCTCGATCTCCTGACCTCGTGATCCTCCTGCCTCAACCTCCCAAAGTGCTGGGATTACAGGTGTGAGCCACAGGTGTTCTTAATCTAAATATGAGTGGGCTGGCTTTTCTTTCAAACAAGCTGTATTCAGCAGCTCCTGGAGGCTTAAATAACTTTTACAGGTAAGGCTGTAAGCTAAGCCACAAATCAAACTTACCGCCATTGCAGTCTTGGCTTTATAGTTTTGCCTTTTCTAGAATGTCATGTAGTTGGAATCGTGCAGTATGTAGCCTTTTTAGATTGGACTTTTTCACTTAGTAATATGCATTTAAGGTTCTCCTATGTCTTTTCACGGTTTGATAGCTCATTTTTGTCAGCACTGAATAGCATTCCATTGTGTGGATGTACCATAGTTTATTCATGCATTCACCTACTGAAGACCACCTTGCTTTACTTCCAAGTCTTAGCAATTATAAATAAAGCTGCTATAAAAACATATGTGCAGGTTTTTGTGGGGACATAAGTTTTCAACTTCTTTGGGTAAATACTCAGGAGTGTGATCGCTGGGTCATATGGTAAGAGTATGCTTAGCTTTGCACGAAACCACCAAACTGTCTTTCAAAGTGGTTGTACCATTTTGCATTCCCACCCGTATTAAACAAAAGCTCCAGTTTCCTCATGTCCTCACCAGCATTTGGTGTTGTCAGTGTTCTGGATTTAGGGCATTTTAATAGGTATGCAGTGTTATCTCATTGTTTTAATTTGCATTTCCTGGATGATAAGCATCTTTTCATATTTATTTACCATCTGTGTATCTTCTTTAGTGAGGTGTCTGTTCAGATCTTCTGCCCTTTTTTAACGGGGTTGTTTTCAAAACTCTTCAAGAGTTCCTCATATATTTGGAAATAGTCCTTTATCAAATACATCCTTTGCAAATAAGAAGTGTGGCAACATAGTAAGGGCAGAACTGCAAAATAGAAGAAAACCTGAGTCTGTAATGATCATGAGATGTCTTAACGGGCTCAGTATCTTAACTCTGCATATCTTTTATGTGATAGAGAAAAATGTCTGTCTGCTTTTTTGCATTTTTTTTTGAAAGAAAAAGAAAGTTGAAAGAAAAAAAGAGGAAGGAAGGAAGGAAGGAAGGAAGGAAGGAAGGAAGGAAGGAAAAAGCAGCATGGTGCTATTAATTTCCTTCCAGGCTGGGAATCTTCCTCCCCTCACCCAGCATCCAGGACATAAGAAGTAATCAATGCACATATGTTGATTGTGTCCCAAGAAGAAAACGTATTATAACCCTGTGTTCTTTGTTATAACGCCACAGTGATTATGTGAGAAAATAATTTTGAGCACAACTTTTAGTCTCAATACCTTCTCTTCTACTCTTTGTTCCCGTGGTGCTTTTTGTTTTGTTTTAGAGTTGTCACATTTTATCTTGGCAACAGTGTGGTTCACATCCACTGTTCATGCTTTATCCCCTTCCTCTGGGGCAAAGCCTCTCCTCTCTGGGTCACATTTCAAGGAGGAGCTGCCATCACAGAACCCTGACCTTTTGGCTATAGCTAAGTGAACTGGAGTCCTTCCCTGGGATTTTTCAGAATCTTACCCCAAAGCCTATTACAAGCCTCCATTCTCTCTCTCATGTGCTGTTGAATAGCCTCCAATTAGATGCCTTGTTTCCTTCCCCCTCCTGACCTCCCACAGACTAGTCTCAGTCAGTTTCTCCAAAACTCTATTCAGATCGTGTCAATTATCTTCTCGATTCTCTCTTTTGACTTACCATCTCACTCTGGATGAAATGCAGGACTTTCATCATTTCCCACGAGCTCCCTCACTTCATTTCCAGCCACTCTCCTCTTGCTGCCATGATGTTCCCTGTACATGCTGGGCACACTCCGACCTTGGGGCCTTGGCATTTCCTCCACCTAGAACCTTCTTCCCACCACCCTTCTTCCCAGCTTACATCAGTGGCTTACCCCTCACATAAGTTTCAGCTTGAATGGCACCTTAATAGAGAGGCCTTCTCTAAACTTCTAACACAAAATAATCCCCTGCCGGCACTCTCTAGGCACATAGCCTGCTTTTTTTATTCTTAGCACTTAACACTACCTGATGTTCAGGCATCTTCTTTATTTGTTATCTGTCTCCTCCCATGAAATTTTAGCCTTTACGAGAGAAGAGACTGTTTTTGTTCACTGCTATTTCTCCAGCATTGAAGATAGTGTAGGTCCTCAACAACAAACATGTTGAATGGCTGTCTTACTAACCCATTCCCTTGTTGAATACTTCTACGCTAATGTTTTCAACCAAGTCCGAAGAACTTCTGAACGGACACATTTATAAATGTCTTAGGTAATAAAGGAACACGAAGAAGCTCAAAAATAATCTTATAAAAGCCCTTCTTTTTAAAGATGAGAATCTGAAACCCAGGGTGGGCTGAGTGAAGTCCCTAAGAACACACAGCTATTCATTGCACAGTTGCTTTGGCAAAAAAATAAAAACCCCGGCTGAAGCTGTTTACCAGCCTCACAAAGGAAGGCACCCATGCTGCATGTGAGCCTCTCCTGATTTCAATTGCATCTGGAAAGCTCTGAGCAGGAAGCAGGTGCAGCCAGCTGGCTTTGTTGTCTCACAGGCCAAAGCAATATATGGCCTTGACCTAAGCATGCTTTCAAAGAAGGGACTGTGGAAGCCGTAGAACAGAAGGTCTCCCTTCCCCTCCTCCTGTCTCTCATTATCTTTGACTACACAAATGGATTCAATAAATATCTGTCAAGTAAACAACTCCCAAGTCCCCGGAGCCAGAAGTGGGACAGCATGAGGGAACATGCCCGAGGGGCACAGATCCTCATGCCTGGTTTCTTTCTCCCAGTTTCTGTTCCTTCCCCACCTTCTTACTGCATATCCACACTCTCAAGAGGACAGTACGTTACAATGATAAATGATTCCCAACTTGTTTGATAGCAGAGCTCTGTTCTCAAGGAATCCCAATTAGAATCTCATGGATTTTTTCCAACACACTTTGAGAAATGCTGGCATAACATAGAATCGTAAAGTGTGAGGCAGTACTGGTTGGTCTTTTGTAGGATTCCCTCCATTTACAAGTGAGGGAACTGAGGTCTAGAGAGGTTTAGTGAAAAGCCAGAATCACCCATCCAGTTACCACAGAGCACACTCCATGTGTTGGCCTTTCTACTAACCCAGGCCACCTAGTTAATTATGCCAATGTTGATATCTGGTGAAGAATGAAATTCAATTGCATCATTCCCATACAATGCAATTCTTAAGTAAGGTACTTGTGTAGATAATTAAACCCTGCAAAGAGTTTATACGAATTTATTTAATAAAACACAACTTGTATAGTATACTTACATATATACACAATGCATGTTTATATATGTATATATGTATTATATATACATATATGTACATATATAATATATATACATACATACATGAAGATATCTCTGTGAAGCTTCAGATATATAAGGCATACAGAATAATATAAGAAACACTGTGCACAGACCATCCAGTTTAAGATGTAAAACATTCAAAATACTGGTGAATCCTTCTATTTAACCCACCTTAGAGCATTATGACTTTAATATGAATTTCCTAATTACCCTTAAGGTTGAATGCATTTTTGTATGTTCATTGACTATTCATGTTTCCTCTTCTAAAAATTCATAATGTAACTAGCCAATTTTTCTATTGGAGTGTTCATCTTTGTTAGAGTTCTTTATATTTTCTGGAAATGAATCCTGATCATATACACTGATTATATATATATTTATGTGTGTGTGTATATATATATACATATATATATATGATTTTTTTCCAGACTGTGGCTTGTCTTTTTAATTTCTCATTTTGGCCTACAAGAAACATAGGGTTCTAGTAAATTTAAATTTATTACTTTAAGTTTTGTGATTTTTAACTGTGAGAAATTCTTCCCTACTCAAAGTTCATAAAGATATTCTTCTATAGTTTCTTCAAAAAAACTTAATGATTTGCTGTTTATGTTCAGGTCTTTAATCCAACCTGGAATTTATATTTACAACACAGATTGTGAAGGAGGGATCCAAATTTATTTTTTTCATATAGTTAAGTAATGATCTCATCACTATTGAATATTTCATCCTTCCTCCATAGATTTGCAATGCCAGGTCTGCCATTTGTTGTTCCCATGTCTGCATGGACCTGTTTCTGAGTCCTCTCTTCTGTCCCATCATGTGGTCTCCTGAAGCCATAAAGCTGACAGCAGATCTGAGTTTTCTTTTTCCTAATACAAAATCACAAAAGCTGGGTTATGGGCCTGCAAGACCTTCTTTTACTATCCCCCTTTACTTGAGTGTACATTCATTAATTTCTACAATAAAGAGTTAAGCAAACAGGTAACTACATTAGTAAATTATCAAATGCATTGCTGTGTTGCAGTTGCTTATAGGTTATAGTGCTTGGGGCCTCCAAATCTCTGTTTTTTGGTTCTTCTCTTTGAAAGAAGGGTGTCTTCTTCTCATCCACCACCCATTGTCCTGGCTAACGACATTCAGCCCTAATGACTGACCCATTGGGAGCATTTGCTGACTGCCCTCAGGCTGTGCTGGCTGGTTGGCCTTTATCCATGTCTCCCTCCAACAAGGCTCTTATCCCAGTGTATCTTGGGCCTGGATTTTCCTGTCCATTTTTGCCTTTACACTGAGCTCCCTGAGAGTAGGAATGTTGTCATGTATATTTGTTTATCCATAATCTAGCAAATTATAGACAGTGGCGCCTTATGACTATTGGACAAAAGACAAACTGGATAAGTAAATAAATATGAGTAAATGCTTAAATATTCTGTTAGGACTCACGATAAGTCAATAGAAAAAAAATGAAGAAACAAGCAGGTTGCTGACTCATAAATTTGGCCCTTAAAGTCTAATCAGTGCTGGGATGATTCCAAATGCTAAGACCCAGATTCCATCAGCAGAAGGACTGGAAAAAGCCCATCCTAAAAAGTAGTGTGTCTGGGAATATCAGCCAAATATGTTAACTAATGCATGTGAAAGCATTTTGCAAACATAAAAGCCCTACACTCCTATACAAAGTAACGTAGCAAAACTATTATTAATGGCAACTTCTGGTAACTCTTACAATATTCCTCATTGCCTTTTGCATTTCGAAAACAGTAGCTTTTTAGAAATCCAAGCTGCATGGGAGAAATAATCAAGATCATTTCCTAAAAACATGAAGAAAAACAGAGTATGGATCTATCAACAAAGCAGACAGCGCAATTCAGCAAAGAGCTCAAAGATAATATGACCTGCATGCCCCACCTTGATGACAGTTTGAAATGCACTTAGGAAAAATGAAAACCTTTTAACAGCAGTACTGATTATTAGTGAAAGCATATAGATAGTGTCTGTTTTGAGTGGTGCAACATTTTCTTTTTGTTTTCTGGATCAAGCACAAGTAGTTTCATGTTACTGCTACAAGTTGTTTTCAGCAAGAGAGGAAAAAGCTTCCATGGAATAGGAGTCAGCAAGACGATTCTCTTCCCCATTCTACCACTTACTATTACATAATATCTCCTCTACTTTTCTTTTTTTTTTTTCCTTTTATTGCTCTGAAGAAGTAGCAAGATGCTAATTCCAACAGCACAAGGAAAACGACCTATAATCTTAAAAATTAAATACCAGGAAGTAATGACTAACGATTATCTTTACAGAGAAGAATCTGGAGCCCAGAAAGGTGAAGCGATTAGACACAAGATCACATGGCCAGTGAGCTGCAAGCTTTCCTGACCTTAAATCAAGTGATCTATCCCCTCCTCTGTGGATTTTTTAATTAATCTGCATTACAACCCAAGTAGAATGAGTCAAGCGGATAATATGTAATGCCTTTTTGGACCAGAAAAAAATTGGGGCAATTTGGTAATTGGACCACAGATGGCTTTGGTGATAAATTAGCAAAAGATTCCAGGCATTCTTGCTGCTGGATACCATGCATTAGATGGTGTCACCGCAGAAGCTTAAGACTAAATTTTCTACCCAGAAGATTCTGGGTAGAATTATTTTTCAGATAAAAATGCCTTTATTTACTTAGCACAGTATGAGACTACAGAAGGCAGTGAGGTGTGGCATGTGGTTTTATAAAAATTAATAAAAAGAGTGTCAGAGGAGAAGGAAAAGCAAAAACAGATGTGTAAGCGTGTATAATCAGAAAGGCATTATGTACATAATCCTAGCAGCTTTATTCAATGGTTTATTCCATCTCAGTAATCATGTTGGTAGATGAGCTAATTGCAAATTTGTTAAATATTCATAACCAACGATTTCTGCTAAGTGACAATGAACTGTCACAGTTGAAAGGATTACAGATCCTACTGTGACATGATTTCATAGGCCGCTTCCTGTCATTGCCCCCATATCCTATCGATCCACTTTCTACCTATGACACCGATATTAAAAAGTAGGGCAAAGTTGTCACAAGTGCCCAGGTATGGAGAAGCAGACAGCAAGCAATGGCCTGTCAGTTCGACAGCAAATGAAATACTGAGGCTAATGCCTGCAGGTTTCGAGCTCAAAGCTCTTCTCCAATGCCCAAGATTTTGCAAGTAGGCTTGAGGAATACATTGTTCAGAGATCTATTCCATTCTCAACTCCTTTATGTAAACACTGCCCTACTGAAGTAGAGAAACTAGAATAATGCTTAAAATTATTTTCACCAGTGAATTTCTTCTGACTCATAGAGCCTCGCTACTTAAAGTTGTGGTCTTTGGACCATGGGCATCAGCATCACCTGGAGTCTGTTAGACATGCAACATCGCAGGCCCCACTCCAGATCTGCTGCCTCAGGATCTGCATTGGAACAGGATTGGCATCCCCAGGTGACTATTATGCACTTTGAAGTATAGAGGAAAGCACTTCAACTTTTTCAAGAGAAACAGTATATTTTGTGACTGCAGATCACATGGGCATAGAAGTTTAGATGAAATAATCCAAAGACACGGGATTCTGATTTTTCAGGTGATCTGTTAATCCCTGAAGTGCATCTGGAGGTTAGCCCATCGGTTCTGCAAATCTTCATAATTTCCATAGTTACTGTAGTAACCATGGTTAGTATCTTTCCTTTGTCCAGCAGGTGGGAATTTCGGTCTTTTACTGCTCTCTGTCAGCTGTCATGACATGCCACATGAGTTGAGTTTATTCACAGGTTTTCCATGTGACCCAAAGTACATTTTGTAGGTTAATTTCTTGGAATTCTTACCTTTTGTTGGGCGGTTTCCTCATTCAGTCAGAATCTGCTTACATCTCCACAGACACTTCAATCTTTCTTATATACCTGCTCATTGACAAGCCTACATTTGCCAATATCTGGTTATTCTATTCATAAAACAGGTTTTTCATTTCACTCTTACATTTGCCATGACAGTCATGATTGATCAACTAATTCCTTGCCTGTGTACTCACAGTCATGTGATCAGTCACTCTTTATCAAACATCTAAGTGCCAGGTTCATTGCTCAGTACTGTACATATATTATCTCTAATTTTCTCAGCAAAACAGTATAATAAGTGCTGTTTCCTCCATATACAGATTAAAAAATAGTTTCAGAAAGCTTAAGTTATTTGCCCAAAGCCACACAGCAAATAAATAATGAAGTCTAGATTAAAATACAGGTGAGCCTGAGTCTAAACTGGTTTCGTCACACTCTCCTATTACTATTTGGCAATTTGCATCATTACAATCACAATTTTGCATTTGCACAACAACATTATTGATCCCTCCTAGATGTTATAAGCATTGATTTCAGATTATGTTATGTCCATACTTTTTATTTGAAAAAGAAATGGCAACAAATTAACCCATGTTCCAGTAAGGTCTCTTTAGATTGCAAGAAAGAGAAACTCACTTAAAGTAGCTTAAATAAAAAATAAGTGAAAATGTTCAGGGACAAGAAACCCACCTGGGCCCCATGGGGACCAAGGCAAGGAACATGGAGGATGGGAGCCATGAGCCAGAAACATCTCCCAGGGCCACAGTGTCTGTCTCCAACTTGTTCTCTGGTTGAGCCTTCCTGACTCACAGCTACACAGCACACCAGCCTCCTCTGGTTAGAAGAACACTCCCAACTGCAAGAAACAGCCTTTTTGTGTCCAAGTGGAAAGGGCCCCACTGTGAAAAGCCTCCTTTTCCACAGCCCACCCAAACCTGCTGAAGAGACCACAGTCCCTAATGAGAAGAAGTGAGACACAGAAGTGTTTTAACTTTTAGCAGACTCGATCCTTGCTTCATTAAAATATTATAAAACCCAGCACCAGAGAGCTATGGAGGAATATCTGGTCCTGTGGTCCTTCACCCCTGGGTCTAAATATCTGCATTTGATTCTTGCTGGGGTTCTCCCACAAAACCATGACTTTTCAAGCAGGAGAATTCTGGCCCAAGTTTCAAGATATTGTTGTAAAATTAATGTCTTATTGCCTTCTTTCTCAATAGTTGATGGCCCCCAACTGGTTATCTTGACCTTAGATTTGTATAATGAATCAGAAGTTTGTGAAAGAGAGATGCTTAGGCAGCTGAAATGTTCATGAAACTATACTTGTTATGCTTTCAGATCTACAGGTTCCAAGCATATCCTCCTAAATGTTGTAGCCCTCACAACTGGTCATTCTAGAACACTTCTGCTTAATTGTTTTGAACATAGCCGAGTGTGACCACCTGGCCAACTGTACACAACTCTTCAGGTCTGAAACCTGGCATCAGTCAAATTTCCCTCTGTGTTTTCTAATCCAATTATGGGAAGACCAAGCCTGGTCCTTCCTTGCGTCTGTCTCCATCCCTAGTCAATTACCTGTGTCTATGGGCATGTTTAACAAAATCCCTTAAAACGCTGTTTGTTAGAAGCCATGCAAACTTGAATATTTAATTCAGTCAACAATCATTCATTCATACATAAAATGAGCATTTACTCAAGGTATATTAATCTCAACAAAAAAATTACATAGACCTGGACCCTGCCATGAAATCCTGTGGACTTATGCAAGGCGGGAAGTGACATGGGGTCATGGAACAAACACATGTTTGGTAGTACAAAAAAGTGAACTGGGAGAATTATGTACAATAAGTGCATGTCAGTGTTAACACTGAATCTAGAAGCAGACTTGAAGGGGTCCAATGTAAAAACTCCTTTTTCTTTTTTTTAATTTGTAATATTTATGGAGTAAATGAGAAATTTGGTTACATGTATATAGTGCATAGTGGAAATTTTGTTTTCAAGCATAGTAGTTGGTTCCATTTCTATGTTACGAGACCACCAAGATGCATATTTGAATAGTGTATTGCTGTTCCCAGTATCAATATGTCAAATGCCTAACTGCAGAGATGAGTATCTGGTATCACAGATGAAACAGGCTGCTATAGATAAATGATGTTTATATCAATTTTTCATTAAAAGAAGTCTAAACACATGAGGATAAAGACATCTCAAAAATGTCTCATACACTTCTCTGCCTTCTAAAACATGACACATTAAATATTTGAAAACTGAGAGTCAATGTGCAAAAAATTGTACCTTGCTAAATTAAAATGATGACCTCAAGGGAAATAAAGAATTTGCTCCTTCACTGGGTTTGTTGTTACTATTGTTCTTTTTAAAATGGTTTCTATGCCTTTCCTTTTGTTGGGAGTTGTAACTTTCTTGCTGCTTTCATTGTCTTTATGCAGTTACTAGATTTGCCTCTTTCCACTTACAACTGGCTGCTTCTAATCTGCTAAGGGTGGAAATTAGGTCATAGGGACTGTTACAAACATGAGTAAAGTGAGGGATAAAAGACTCAGAATTAGGAACTCTGTGTTCTCTTGTAAATTAAAGGCAGGAGATTTAGATAATAAACATTCTCATATCTACTGTGGATATTCAAAATGCCTTTTGTATGCTCATTACAAGTTTCCAACTGTGTTCCAGCTAGAAGGTGTGAGGTACGTGATAGCTGTACTACTAAGGATTTGCCATGAAGTACAGTGATCTATAAAAGAATATTCCAGACAAGCAGTTCCTTACATCCACCTCCATGCCTGAAGAAGGGATGTTAGTCCATAGCTCTTAGAGCTGCAGCCTTGTGGAGAGGACAGTGCGGGCAGTGAGGGGGATCCCTTCCCATTGCAAGGGGGCTCTGTTCCTCCTGCCCCAAGGCAAGGCAGCGGTGTGAGCTTCTCTCAAGATTCAGGGAGATGGCATCGCATGCCTGAGTTGCAGTCTGGTCGTGCAGCAGATCTGTCACTTACTTACTAGAGCTGGGAAAGAACAGAATTGGAGAGAGATGAGAGGACAGAAGGGCAGTCTCCCTCCCACTGGTTGCTGTGTCAGCAAGAAGCAGATTTCCTATCAGTCAAGTGGACAGTAAAGAAAGTAACTGGTCTACAAGAAGGCTGCCGCCTGCAGTGTACAGCTACCAGTGGCAAGATCTGAGCAGGTACAGAGAAACTGAGCTGGGCAGGGAGCCCTGTGTGAAGGACAACACAGCAGGGGAGACGTAGACCATGTGGTGGACAACAAGGGCCAGTCAGTACTAGCAGCAGAAGTATTTTTTCTTGAACACGCACTGATTTTTTTATTCAGATCTTCAAACCCTTTGTTTTTAAATAAGAAACAAATCCACATGGTTTTAAATTTAAAAGTTTATAAAGGGAATAGTATGAAAAATAAGCCCTGCCTTCTACCCCATCCCCAACCATCCAGTTCCCCAAGCCCCCTCTCAATAGGCAAATACTGTCACTAACTTCTTGTGCATCTTTTCAGAAATATTCAAAACATCCTCAAGCATATGCATAATATAAGTAAGTATGTGGATATGGGGGAGTCTGTATTTTTTACCAGTGGTAGCATACTTCACACATGTTTAGTACTTTGCATTTTTTCATTTAAAGCAACATCTTGTCAACCTTTATGTATCAGAAATGACATAATATCCCATTTTATGGGTATGCCATAATTTATTTAATCAGCTCTCCATTGATGGGTATTTGGGTCATTTCCAGTCTTGAATTATGACAAACAATGCTGCCATGTATAACCTTGACGTGATAGGCTGAAAAATGATCCCCCAAAGATAATAGTCCCGATCCCTGGATCCTATGAATGTTACTGGATATGACAAAGATTTTGCAGTTGTGATTAAATTAAGGTTCTTGAGGTGAGGCAATTACTCTATATTACCCAGGTTGGCCCTATGCAATCACATGTATCCTTATAAGAGAGAGACAGAGGGGAATACATGGAAGAAGAAGATGTGGGAGCAGAGTGAGAAGAGATTTGAAGATGCTATTGCCTCAAGACCACAGATGCCAGAAACCCCCAGAAGTGGGAAGAGGCAAGGCACAGATTCTCCCCTAGAGTCTCCAGATGACGTGTGGCCATGCTGACACCTTGGTTTTGACCCAGTGATGCTAATTTCAGACTTCCATTTCATTCCATTTCATTCAAATATCCATTTGCATCCATTGCCATTTGTCTGTTGTGGTTTTGATACTTTGTCTAATCAATTTACAGGAATGGTCATGTGTTCAGGTAACTAACTCTTTGCATCTTAGTTGCAATTTGTTTTTTGTTTGTTTGGTGTCTTTTTTTTTTTGAGACGAAGCTTCCCTCTCATTTCCCAAGCTGGAATGCAGTGGCATGATCTCGGCTCACCACAACATCCACCTCCCGGGTTCAAGAGATTCACCTGCCTCAGCCTCTCAAGTATCTGAGATTACAGGTGTCCACGACAACGCCAGCGAACTTTTTGTATTTTTAGTAGAAATGGGGTTTCACCATGTTGGCCAGGCTGGTCTCGAACTCCTGACCACAGGTGATCCACCCACCTCGGCCTCCCAAAGTGCTGGGATTACAGGACAATTTGTTTTTATTTATCATTTGGCTTTTGACTTTGCTTGTCATAATTTTTACCACACAAGATTTTAAAATTTTTATGTAGTTAAATTAATACTTCATAGCTGCTAGCTGTGGGGTCATGATTTGAAAGTCTTCCCTACATCAAGATTTTAAGTATTTTTTCCTAATTATTCATGTTTTCAGTTTTCATATTTAAACCTTTGATGCTTTGAAAATTCATTTTGGTGTAAGATGTAAGAGGTGAATTAAATGTAATTGTTTTTCCACTCATCTATCCTGGTATCCTAATACTATTCAAAATGATTCATCTTTTTAACCTTTTTATGTATGAAATGTGTATATGTATTTGGATCTATTTCTAGACTTTCTCTTTGGCCAAAGGGATCTTTCTGTCTACACGTTTTCAAATAATAAAATAAATCATGCTGTAAAACGTGAATTCTGAGTTCCTGTGTGCTACTCTCACAGAAAGGAAACAAAAGAACTAGTGAACACTGACTCTGCAGCTGATCATCTGAGAAACCATGTCGGGATCCATCAAGGCAGTGGGGGACACAGCAGAGAGGAGCCACGCCGGGCAGCAGCTTGTATGAGCTCAGCACAGAGTGAGGAGAATTTCTCCGAATGAGTGAGTGAGTGAGTGACTGAGTGAGTGAGTGAGTGAATGAGTGCCCCTGGGGGATGCGTGCTCTCCACGGGGACTAGTGCAAGACTGGGAATGGGAGAATCCCCTGGCCCTTCCACAGCCCCCACCACCACACGGCTTCTAGACTGAGGCAGAGAGCCACCTAGACATTGTGCGGGGGTAACTCTCAAGACAAAAAGGGACCTCTACAAGCCTTGGGCCCCACAGCAGACCAGCACCAGCACCAAGCCCCAATAGAGGTCACAGTCATGGTACCCGGGAGCAGTAGGGTTGCTCTACCACCCCTCACTGAACAGGGCTTACTGCCAGGCTTCTGGTCCAGCAATCCTGCTTCTGCCTGAACTCAGCCAGCAGCTGCAGCTTCCTGCTGTCCTGGGAAGTATCCGGATGTCAAAGCAGGTGACTCCACCCACCCCTGTCACTGACAGCCAGACAGGCAATGCCTGCTAGCGTTGCTGGTCCAACCGTCCCACTTCTACCTGAACTCAACTGGCAGGCACAGCCTCTGTTGTCCTGGAAAACACCTAGACAGCAGGAAAGACCACCACACCCACCCTCAGCACTGGCAGCCAGGAGCACAATGCCTGCTAGAGCTTCCAGCCCAGCAGTCCTCTTTCTTCCTGAGTTTGCTAAGGGATGTAGCCTCCTGTTGCCCCAGAAACACCAGGATGGCAGGGCAGGTAACCCCACCCACCCCACCTCTCTTAGCCAGATAGGCAACACCTACTAGAGCCTTAAGCCCAGGGGTCCCACTTCTGCCTGAACTCTGCAGCAGGTGCAACCCCATGTTCCCTTGGGAAGCATTCAGACAGTAGATTAGGACCAACCTGGCTAGGATACAGCCTGTCTGCCAACTACACTCCTTGCCTGAGGAAGCCTTGTGGCCCAGAACACCCAACAAAAGAAACATGGGCACAGAGACAGTAATTGAATGGGGCACCTTCAAGACCCAGGAGCAGACTAGAATAAAAGCCAGTTGAGTGAACCCACCTTATACCACAATCAAATCCCCAAGGACATCCAAAACAATAAAAGCAAAAAAACAATCCAAAAGACAGCAACTTCAAAGACTGAAGGAACATCAGCCCACACAGATGAGAAAGAACCAGTGCAAGAAGTCAAGGAATTCAAAAAGCCAGAGAGTCTTCTTATTTCCAAACAACCACACTTGTTCCCAGCAATGGTCCTTAACCAAGCTGAAATGTTAGAAACAGAATTCAGATTATGGATAGGAATAAAGATCATTAACATTCAGGAGAAAGTTGAAACCCAATCCAAGGAATCTAAGGGGTACAATAAAATGACACAAGAGATAAAAGATAAAATGGCCATTTTAAGAAAGAACCAGATTAAACCAAGAGAGCTGAAAAATTAACTGAGAGTTGAAAAATTCACTTTAAGAGTTTCATAATACATTGCAAGTATTAACAGCAAAACTGGTGAAGCTGAGGAAATAATCTCAGAGCTTGAAGACTGGTCTCCAAAATAACTAAGTCAGAAAAAATAAAATAAAATAATAAAGAAGAATGAACAAAACCTCTGAGAAATATGGGATTATGTGAAAAGACCAAATTTATGACTCACTGGTGTTATTGAGAGGGAGAGAAAGCAAGCAACTTGGAAAGCATATTTGAAGATATTATACATGAAAATTTCCCCAATCTCACTAGAGAGGCCAACATTTAAATTCAGGAAATGCAAATAACCCCTGTAAGATACTACACAAGACGACCATCCCCAAGACAAATAGTCCTCAGATCCTCCAAGGTCAAAATGAAAGAAAAATTGTTAAAGGCAGCTAGAGAGAAGGGTTTGGTCACCTATAAAAGGAATCTTATCAGGCTAACAGCAGATCTTTCAGCAGAAACTCTACAAGCTGGAAGAAATTTGGGGCCTATACTCAGTATTTGTAAGGAAAAGAAATTCCAACCAAGAATTTCATATCTAGACAAACTAAGCTTCATAAGGAAAGAGTAATAAAATTCTTTTTAGAAAAGCAAATGCTAAGAGAATTTGTTACCACCTGACTGCCTTACAAGAAGTCCTTAAGGGAGTGCTGAATGTGGAAAGGAATGATTGATACCAGTAACTGCAAAAACATACTTAAATACATATAGCATTGACACCATAAACACACACACACACACACACACAATAAAATCATCCAAATAACCAGCTAAGAACATGAAGACAGGATCAAACCCACACATATCAATATTAACCTTGAACATAAATGGGCTAAATTCCCCCAATTAAAAGGCAAGTTTGATAAAGAAGCAAGACCCAACTGTATGCTCTCTAGAAGAGACTCGTCTCACACATATGGATATGAATGATATCCATAGGTTCAAAGTAAAGAGATGGAGAAAAATCTACCAAGTAAATGGAAATCAAAAAGAAGCAGGGTTTTCTCTTCTAATTTCAGACAAAACAGACTTTAAGCCAATAAGATTGATAAAGACAAAGAAGGGCATTACATAATGGTAAAGAGTTCAATTCAATAAGAAGATCTAACTATCCTAAATATATATCCACCCAACACTACAGCACCCAGATTCAGAAAGCAAATTCTTAAGAGACCTACAAAGAGACTTAGATAACCACATAATAATAGTGAGAGACTTCAGCACTCAACTGATAATACGAGGCAGATCATCAAGGCAGAAAACTGATGAAGATATTCAGGACATGAGCTCAACATTTTACCAAATGAGCCCAACAGATATCTACAGAATTCTCCACCCCAAAACAAAAGAATATACATTCTTCTCATCTGCACATGGCACATACTATAAAATAGACCACACAATCGGCCATAAAACAATCCTCAGCAAACTCCAAAAAACTAAAATCATACCAAACTCACTCTCAGACCACAGTACAACACAAATAGAAATCAATACCAAGAAAATCACTCAAAACCATACAAGTAAATAAAAATTAAACAACCTGCTCCTGAATGACTTTTGGGTAAGCAATAAAATTAAGGTAGAAATCAAGAAATTCTTTGAAATTAATAAGAATAACAATGATACAACATACCAGAATCTCTGGGACACAGATAAAGAATGTTATGAGGAAAGTTCATAGTGCTAAAGGCCCACATCAAAAAGTTAGAAAGGTCTCAATTTAACAACCTAATGTCACATCTAGAGGAACCAGAAAAATAAGAGCAAACCAACTGAAAGCTAGTGAAAGAAAAGAAATAACCAAAATCAAGGCTTAACTGAAGGAAACTGAGATGTCAAAAACCATACAAAAGATCAACAAATCCAGGATATGAATCTTTTAAAGAATAAATAAGATTGACAGGCTGCTAGCTAGACTAATAAAGAATAAAAGAGGCTGGGCATGGTGGCTCATGCATGTAATCCCAGCACTTTGGGAGGCCGAGGTGGGTGGATCACAAGATCAGGAGTTCAAGACCAGTCTAGCCAATATGGTGAAACCCCATCTCTACTAAAAATACAAAAATTAGCTGGACATGGTGGCACATGCCTGTAGTCCCAGCTACTTGGAAGGCTGAGGCAGGAGGATCACTTGAACCCGGGAGGCAGAGGTTGCAGTGTGCCAAGATTGCGCCACTGCACTCCAGCCTGGGTGACAGAGCAAGACTCCTTCTCAAAAACAAACAAACAAACCAACAATAAAAGAGAGAATATCCAAATAAACGCAATCAGAAACAACAAAGGGGACATTACTATTGACACAATAGAAATACAAAAAAAAAAAAAACTTCAGAAACTACTCTGAACACCTCTATGCATGTGAACTGGAAAACCCAGAAAAAATGGATAAATTCCTGGAAACATACAGTCTTCCAAGATTGAACCAGAAAATACTGAATACCCGAACAGACCAATAACAAGTTCTGAAACTGAATCAGTAATAAAAAGCTTGCCAGACAGAAAAAGCCCAGAACCAGACAGATTTACAGCCATATTTTACCAGATATATAAAAAGGAGTTGGTACAATTTCTACTGAAACCATTCCCAAAAATTAAGGAGCGGAGTCTCCTCCTTAACTTATTATATAAGACCAGCATCATCCTGATACCAAAACCTGGCAGAGACACAACAAAAAAAGAAAACTTCAGGCCAATATCCTTGATAAACATAGATGCAAAAATCCTCAAAAAACACTACCGAATCAAATCCAGCAACACATTGAAAAGCTAATCCACCACCATCATGTAGGCTTTATCACTGGGATGCAAGGTTGGTTCAACATATGAAAATCAATAAATGTGATTCACCACATAAACAGAACTATAAACAAAGGCCAATAACCATCTCAATAGATTCAGAAAAAGATTTTGATAAAATTCAACATCCCTTCATACTAAAAATCCTCAGCAAACTAGGCATTGAAGGAACATGCTTCAAAATAATAAGAGCCATCTATGAAAAATCCACAGCCAACATCATACTGAATGGGCAAAATCTGGAAGCATTCCCCTTGAGAACAGGAATAAGACAAGGATGCCCACTCTCACCACTCCTATTTAACATAGTACTGGTAGTCCTAACCAGAGCAACCAGGTAAGAGAAAGAAATAAAAGAAGAAATGAAAAGAATCCAAATAGGAAGGGAGGAAGTCGAACTATCTCTATTTGCATGTGATATGATTCTATACCTAGAAAACCCCATAGTCTGCCTGAAAGCTCCTAGAAGTGATAAACAACTTAAGATTTCAGGATACAAAATCAATGTACAAAAAACAGTAGCATTTCTATACATTAACAACGTTCAAGCTGAGAGCCAAATCAAGAATTTAACCCCATTCACAATAGCCACAAAAAGAATAAAATAACCAGGAATATAGCTAGCCAGGGAGGTTAAAGGTCTCTACAACAAGAACTGCAAAACACTGCTCAAAGAAATCAGAGATCGGGCGTAGTGTCGGGCGCCTGTAGTCCCAGCTACTTGGGAGGCTGAGGCAGGAGAATGGCGTGAACCCGGGAGGCGGAGCTTGCAGTGAGCCGAGATCCCGCCACTGCACTCCAGCCTGGGCGACAGAGCGAGACTCCGTCTCAAAAAAAAAAAAAAAAAAAAAAAAAAAAAAAAAAAAAAAAAATCAGAGATGACAGAAACAAATAAAAAAAATTTCATGCTCATAGATAGGAAGAATCAAGATTTTTAAAATGGCCACATTACCCAAAGCAATTTACAGATTTAGTGCTATTCCTATCAAACTACCAATGACATTCCTCACAGAATTAGAAAAAAAAAACTATTTTAAAAATCACATGGAACCAAAAAAGGCTTGAATAGTTAAGGTAATTCTAAGCCAAAAAAAAAAAAAAAACAAAGCTGGAAGAATCATGTTACCCAACTTCAAACTATCTTACAAGGCTATAGTAATCAAAACAGCATGGTACTGGTGCAAAAACACTCACATAGACCAATGGAAAAGAATAGAGAACCCAGAAATAAACCTGCACACCTACAATCTTCTGATCTTTGTCAAAGTTGACCAAAAAGAACAATGGGGAAATGATTTTCTATTCAACAAATGGTGCTGGAGTAACTGGCTAGCCATATGCAGAAGACTGAAGCTAGACCTCTTCCTTACACCATAAACAAAAACTAACTCAAGATCAATTAAAGACTTAAATGTAAAACCTGAAACTATAAAACCCTGGAAGATAACCTAGGAGCCTAGCAAAGATTTAATGACAAATACACCAAAAGCAATTATGACAAAGACAAAAATTGACAAAGAGGACCTAATTAAACTAAAGAGCTTCTGCACAGTTTAAAAGAAACTACCAAGAAAATAAACAGACAACATACAGAATGGGAGAAAACATTCACAAACTATGCATCTGACAAAGGTCTAATATCCAGTATCTATACGGAACTTAAACAAATTAACAAGCAAAAATCAAACAACCCCATTAAAAAGTGGGCAAAGCACATGAACACACAATTTTCAAAAAAAAGAAAAAAACAGGCTGGATGTGGTGGCTCGTGCCTTCAATCCCAACACTTTGGGAGGCCAGGGTGGGCAGATCACAAGGTCAGGAGTTCCGGACCAGCCTGACCAACATGCTGAAACCCCGTTTCTACTAAAAATACAAAAATTAACCAGGCATGGTGGCATGCACCTGTAATCCCAGCTACTCAGGAGGCTGAGGCAGGAGAATCGCTTGAACTGGGAAAGTGGAGGTTACAGTGAGCCAAGATGATACCACTGCAGTCCAGCCTGGGTGACAAAGCGAGACCCTGTCTCAGAAAAAAAGAAAGAAAAGAAGAAAAGAAAAGAAAGAAAAGAAAGAAACTACCATCAGAGTGAACAGGCAACCTACAGAATGGAAGAAAATGTTTGCAATCTACCCATCTGACAAAGGGCTAATATCCAGAATCTACAAAGAACTTAAATAAATATACAAGAAAAAATCAAACAACCCCATCAAAAAGTGGGCAAAGGATATAAACAGACACTTCTCAAAAGAAGACATTTATGCCGCCAACAGACACATCAAAAAATGCTCATCATCACTGGTCATCAGAGAAATGCAAATCAAAACCACAGTGAGATACCATCTCACACCAGTTAGAATGGCGATCATTAAAAAGTCAGGAAACAACGGGTGCTGGAGAGGATGTGGAGAAATAGGAACACTTTTACACTGTTGGTGGGACTGTAAACTAGTTCAACCATTGTGGAAGTCAGTGTGGCAATTCCTCAGGGATCTAGAACTAGAAATACCATTTGACCCAGCAATCCCATTACTGGGTATATACCCAAAGGATTATAAATCATGCTCCTACAAAGACACATGCACCCCTATGTTTATTGCAGCACTATTCACAATAGTAAAGACTTGGAACCAACTCAAATGTCCATCAATGATAGACTGGATTAAGAAAATGTGGCACATATACACCATGGAATACTATGCAGGCATAAAAAAGGATGTTTCATGTCCTTTGTAGGGATGTGGATGAAGCTGGAAACCATCATTCTGAGCAAACTATCACAAGGACAGAAAACCAAACACTGCATGCTCTCACTCATAGGTGGGAATTGAACAATGAGAACACTTGGACACAGGGCAGGGAACATCACACACTGGAGCCTGTGGTGGGGTGGGGGGAAAGGGGAAGGATAGCATTGGGAGAAATACCTAATGTAAATGACAAGTTAATGGGTGCAGTAAACCAATATGGCACATGTATACATATGTAGCAAACCTGCAAGTACTGCACATGTACCCTAGAACTTAAAGTATAATAATTAAAATAAATAAATAAAAATTAAAAGAACAGAAGTACCACTCAACCCAGCAATCCCATTACTGAGAATATACCCAGAGGAATATAAATCATTCTACCATAAAGACACATGCATGTATGTGTTCATCACAGCACTACACAATAGCAAAGTCAGGGAATCAACCTAAATGCTCATCAAGAGCAGACTGGATAAAGAATATGTGGCACATATACGTCATGGAATACTACACAGCCATAAAAATGAATGAGATCATGATCTTTGCAGAGGCATGGATGGAGCTGGAGGTCATAATCCTAAGTCAACTAACATAGGAACAGGAAATCAAGCACGGCATGTTCTCACTTGTGAGATGGAGCTAAACACTGAGTACACATGAACACAAAGAAGAGAACAACAGACATCTGGATCTACTTGAGGGTGGAGGGTGAGAGGAGGGAGAAGATCAAAAACTACCTATCAGGTACTATGCTTATCACCTTGGTGATTAAATGATCCGTACACCAAACCCCCATGACCCGCAATTTACCTATATAAAAAACCTACCTGCACATGCACCTCTGAACCTAAAATAAAAGTGTTTTTTAAAAAAATGAATCTGGTGCTCCCCTCCGCAGCACATATACTAAAATTGGAACGTTACAGAGAAGATTAGCATGGCCCCTGCGCAAGGATGACATGCAAATTCGTGAAGCGTTCCATATTTTTGACACCACCTGCAGCCTCTGTAAACTTTAAAGGGCCTGCAGAGAATGCCATGCTTCTGGAAGATGATTGGTGGTCTTGTCTTCAGATGAAAAGTATTTGTGTTGTGATAAGGGTGTTGGGGTAAGGGACTCTGTGTGCTGTGCTTTTCTCTAGCCAAGTGGTACTATAATGAGTCTAGGAGGAGAAACATCAGCATTAACAGGAGACTTGCTATAAGAAGCTAATTCATGGACTCTTTTCAAACCTGCAAAATTTTATTACAGTGAGGCCTAGAATATCAAATAATTTATATGCACATTGAAGCTTGAGAGGCAGAGCTTAGCTAAGTGACTCTCAGCCCAGTCTTCCAATAGGATCACATGGACAATTTGAAGATAAATCATCACCTGTGCCCTCCCCACAAATCCTGTTTATTGTTCTGGGTGGAAACACTTCTGTTTTTTAAATTAAGCTCCTCGCATATTACAGTGAGGCCAAGGTCAAGCATGAGGACTTCCAGATACTTTAATGAGAGGAACTATTAACATTCAAGGACGTGGCCATAGAATTCTCTGCAGAAGAGTGGAAATACCTGGACCGTGCCCAGAAGAATTGATATAGAGATGTGACGTTGCAGAACTACAGAAACCTGGGTGTTACTGTCTGTAACCCAGACCTGGTCACCTGTCTGGAGCAAAGAAAAGAGCCCTACAATGTGAAGATATATGAGACAGTAGCCAAACCCCCAGGTAGGTGACAGTGAATGAAATAGAGGACACAGGCAAGGGGACTAAGGTCAAGGAGGAAGCCAGGCCTTAAAATGTAGTTTGGGAAGCTCTGCTCCAATGAAAATAATTTCTGAAAAGGCTGCATTTTTTTCTCATATACACCAATGGGGCATCTTCTGTCT
This sequence comes from Homo sapiens, assembly GCF_000001405.40. Taxonomy (NCBI): domain Eukaryota; kingdom Metazoa; phylum Chordata; class Mammalia; order Primates; family Hominidae; genus Homo; species Homo sapiens. The sequence continues at coordinate 17,188,506 of NC_000020.11, forward strand.
CATGCTGTTAAATCTTCTAAGTATCCTCTTTTTTCTTTAGTGATCTCCCTTCAAGGTTACAGGGAAAACCAATGTCCGCTTTACCATTTGTAAGGGGCTGCATGATCTGACTGTGGTTCCATTGCTTTTGGAGACACAGGAATATTTGTATATTGAGGAGCTCTATGTCGAAGTATTTTTTTTCAAATATTCGTTTTGGATGATGTCTAAAATGTGTAAGGTGAGTAGTGGACATATTGGAATTTGGTTCAGAAATCCCGGGAACACTAGGGACAGATGTTGTACCTCTTCTGCTTTGTGATTTTTACTCCTATAGAGGTTACAAATATAATTCTACAAAAATTCTTACTCGGCAATTTTATCAGAACAATAAACGTTTTTCTAAATATTAAAAAATGTACTGTTATTTCAAAATGTTATTGTTTTAGTATAAACTGAGATTTGTGATTTAAACTCTGTAGGTGCAAATTCTCAAATTAAATATAGTATAAAGCACAGGTTTCCAATGTTTTGGCTTCCCTGGGCCACATTGGAAGAAGAATTGTCTTGAGCCACACATAAAATACACTAACACTAATAATAGCTGATAAGCTTAAAACGAAGTTTCATGAATAATTTTTGTGATATACGCCACCATAGATAAGCAAAAAAGTCCTTGCATTCAAAGGGTTGGTCACCGGTTTAAAGTATCTACTCACCTTCTAGATTTCTTAAGTGCAGTATGTCATTAACCAGCTTAGAACATTGCTAAGTGTATATTATGCTCTCAATCATTACCGTATTTCTTAATAACTATTATCTTATAATTTTGTCTTATTTAGTAGGAAGCCTAACTGAGATTCTGTCATCGAGATATATCTATCTATATCTGTATAAAAATGGCTGTCACACACACACCTATATGTTATATATGTGTATAGTAAATTCTTAACATTGTTGATAGATTCTTGGAAACTGTAAGTGAAGCAATATATAATTAAAGAAAACTAATTTTAGGGCTGGGCACGGTGGCTTACGCCTGTAATCCCAGCACTTTGGGAGGCCAAGGTGGGCGGATCAGGAGGTCAGGAGTTCAAGACCAGCCTGGCCAACATGGCAAAGTCCTGTCTCTACTAAAAATACAAAAAATTAGCCGGGCATGGTGGTGGGCACCTGTAATCCAGCTACTCGGGAGGCTGATGCAGAAGAATCACTTGAACCCCGATACTGACATAGTAGTTAAAGTGTTTGCAGAAAAGAATGCAGGGAATAGTTTAATTACAACTTCAGCAGGGGGGTAGAGGTTGTAGTGAGCCGAGATCGCACCATTGCACTCCAGTCTGGGTGACGAGTGAAACTCTGCCTCAAAAAAAAAAAAAAAAAAAAAAAAAAGAAAGAAAAAAGTAAACTAGTTTTACCAGCGTTTAATTGATACAAACAAGAGTTACGTTTAGTGTATAGCAATATTGTTTCATTTAAAGTTGCAGTTTTCAAGAACCTCTTTTGAACATTAGGTGAGGACTTACTGGACATCTGTGTTTGTGTGATATGATTTTTCTGATAAATAAAAGTTGCATAACTATACAAAAAAAAGTAAATCTGGTTCATGTGTCCACTGAGTCTCCTGGCTCCAGGCCAGAGGTGAAGGACATTGTGGGAACTGTAGCCTTGGAACCCCACAACAGAAGCCCCACACTACACTGTAACACCCATCTCCTGCTCCTGTCTGTCTTCCATGTGAGGTTAAAACACAACTGGGGGGCCTGTTAGTGGGGGCAACTAAAAGACACCCCACTAGAACCAGGGAATAAGACTTCCATTGAAGGGCTCAGGAGGAAGACATATCAGGACAATGCAGGGCACTTGCGATGGAAATGAATAAAAACCATCACGTTTTTGCCAAAATGGTTATGTAGATGCAAAGTTACAGTTGGGCTGGTGACCCAGAACAAGCACAGCTGCAGGATGTCTCAGGAATCCTCTAAGCTTCCCATCACAGAAACCGTGAAATCTCTGAAGCCGTCCAGGGAGTGAAAAATAAGCTGGCACATAGGGTCACGAGCACCCAGCATCAAAGACAGGAATTGTGTTCAGAACAGCAGCAGACGCACTGCCCCCTTCTTCCCACAGATCCAAACATGAGAGAGGAGATGTAAAGAATTTTATCTGACATATCCCTTTCCTGTGATTATTCACAAATTTTGCCACATTTGCATGCTGTGTGCAGCACTCTTAAAGTATTTGCATCTTTGTTTATTCATTTCTTTAAACCTTTTTAAATGCACCACCAGCAGGTCTTCCAGTTCTAAAAAATAAAATAAAGTCAGTGAAGTAGATGCCAGTGGCAGGCAAGAGCAGAAAGGCCAGAGAGGCCAGCTTTTCTCTCATCATATTCGTGGTAGAAGAAGTTCCTGTCAATCAACATTGTGATAGCATCAGTCTTAAGCATTGCCTCAGACACCAGAGGCTCCACACAGAGATATCCAGGTGTTGCAGGACCTGTGCAGGCTGAAAAACCTTCAGAGCTCATAAGCAGAAAGTCGTCTACCCTTCTAGTTATTCTAGATGGGCCCCCATCTCAGGGGGAGCCCCAGCAGCAGAAAGCCTTATTAAAATTAAAATTAGCTAAGAAGGAAACAAAAGATAAACTTTTCCTCCTTCTTCCTCTTTAAAGCAGAATGAGTTATCCACTGGATTCGGAATGGTACAGCTCCCAAGGAACTGTGTGACAGGAAGGTCTGCCTGTGGCCGGCTGAGGGAGGAGGAAGAAAGCAATGAGAAAAGCTAGATCGAGACCACAGATGCTGCAGCTGAGGCTCATCCAGTCAAGTCTCAGACCTAGCAAGAGCAACTTCCCACAGTAACATTTTTAATCCCTGGCAGCACTTCACATTGAGCTAGTAACTCTTCCTTTAAGAGATTATATAGGTTTTGATAAAGATGTGAGGAATGTGAGCTGGAGGGCTTTGGACACCTGGAATAAAAGCTGCAGGCAAGATGGGAAACTCTACAACTTGTAATCTGAAAATAGTCCTAGTGATGTGTTCCTACATGTACATGTGCATATATGGAGAGTGCCTTTTCTCCACTCTGTATCTTGCATAAACAAGAACTGATTGAGTTGGAGAGTACTTTTCAATTACAATCCATTCCATTTAAGAATTCTGAGCTGTCGGGCCTTCTTTTCTTTTAATGGAGCAAAGATAAGTCATATCCTTTCACAGGAAGATGAAGAAAAAAGTGTGAAGATAACATCAAAGCATAATAAAATGTCCAAAGCACTGATACATCTACACATTCAATCTTGCAGACTTTGATTATTAGGAAAAATGATCAAGGTAACAGAGAAACGAAGAAACTTACTAAGTGTTTCTCATAGGTACAGATTCCTTCTTATCTAGCTGTATTACCAGACACAATGCAATTTGCTTTTATTTACTGATCTCTCTTTTAAGCATCACACGTTAAAACTGCAAGAGGTAAAGATGAAATAACAGGTACTGGATTTATTTTTCTGCTTAAAACAACCCCCAAAAGGTAAAATTTGTTGAACAATGATTTTCAAAATATTGGACATCAGGCAATGAAGGACAGTGACCCCTGAGAGATGAGGGAAAAAAAAGTCACCTCTACAATAACCTCAGCTACTACCTTGAGAGAGTTCCCATCCTTGGCAGAGTAATAAAGAACCAAGGTAGAGGCCAGCAGACTTCCTCAGTTTAAAGGATGGAGTTGAGGGCCTGGGAAGGACAAGGCAACAGAGTTCTCAGGACAGAGTACCAAAGAGGAGAGAGATCTGCAGAGGGTCTCACTCAAATATTCAGCAAAGTACCAATAAGCACATACATGAGATTTCCTGAGGCCAGGGAAAGAAGCATTCCAAAAGGTGTAAAGGGAAAAGGACTCAAGGCCAGGAATAGTGCCTTTCCCCCAGCCAGACGTTCCAGTCTCATAATTTATAACTACCTCATAATTTATGTGTTTTCTGTTCACAAAGAAATAAATTAGAAATCAATAAGAGAAAGATATTGAGAAAAATAAGTATTTGGAATCTAAATAATAAAGAAAATCAATGATAATAAAATTAGAAATCAATAAGAGAAAGATATTGATAAAATACTTAAATATTTGGAATCTAAACAATAAAGAAAATCATTCTGTAGTGTGCTCAGGAGGATTTTGCATTGGTCATGGAGAAAAATTAACTGTTCTTGTCTTGCCTAACAAATTTTAAAAGTAAGATGCAAAAGAATAAAAGTATTTCCAAGTAAATGAACTGCATCCTAGAAAAAACAGCTCAAGAAAATGTGTAGAAATAAAAAATACCTATCATAAAACCAGATAATGCCTGACATCCAATCAATGATAACAAGCCATGGATAAATCGTGGAAAATATAATCTATAACAAAGAGAGAAAAATCAATCAATTGAAAGTGACCCAGACCTGACCCAATGCTAAAATTAGCATTTGAGAACAACAAAACAATTATTATAATGGTATTTCATATGTTCAGAGATGAAGTAAAGACATAGAAATTTTTTTTAACCCCAGTCCAATTTTCTGGGGACAAAAACTATAATATCTGAGATAAAAAATACACTGGATGGAATTAATGGCAGATTAGACCTTGCAGAAGAAAAGACTGATAAACTTGAAAACATAGCAATAGAAGCTATCCAAAATAAAAGAAAGAAAAAATCAATTTTCTCATATTCTGTTGGGTAGAAGCAAGTCATAAGTTTCACCTGCACTCATAGGATGGCATCATACAAGGGCATGACAATGGGGGTCTCCTTGGGTGGGTCAATCACACCATTTAAAAAAACAGATGTGGGCCGGGCATGGTGGCTCACGCCTGTAATCCCAGCACTTTGGGAGGCAGAGGTGGGCGGACCATGAGGTCAGGAGATCGAGACCATCCTGGCTAACACGGTGAAACCTGTCTCTACTAAAAATACAAAAAATTAGCCAGGCGTGGTGGCAGGCACCTGTAGTCCCAGCTGTTTGGGAGGCTGAGGCAGGAGAATGGCGTGAACCCGGGAGGCGGAGCTTGCAGTGAGCAGAGATCGTGCCACCGCACTCCAGCCTGGACGACAGAGCGAGACTCCGTCTCAAAAAAACAAAACAAAACAAACAAACAAAAAAACAGATGTGGCCTGATTAATATAAGACAAAGTAGATCTCAAAGCCAAGAATATTATCAGAGATAAAAATGGTCAGGTCATAATGTCAAGAGGATCAATTAGTCAAAGAGATATGACAATCCTATACATTTATGCACTTGCTTTTCGTCATATTTATTGACATATAATTTAAATACAGTAAAATTCACCTGTTGGTATACAGTTTTATGAGTTTTGACAAATGCATAACATCATATAACATAACTATCACCACAATGGAGATTTTTAAAAGTTCATGACCCCATAAATTCCCTTGTACCCCTCTGTAATCAGCTCCTTTCCCCACACCAGTCCCTGGAACCAGTAATCTGGTTTCTGTTCTTACACTTTTGCTTTCTCCAGGGGTGCAATATAAACGAAATCACACATTATGGAGCCTTTTTTGTCTAGCTCTTTTCACTTAGCATGATGATTTGAGATATAGCCAAGCTGTTTCATGCATCAGTAGTTCATTCCTTTTTATTTTTCATTCATTCTTTCTTTCTTTCTGCCATATCCACTTAAGACCTCTCCTACTACAATAGCAAGTGAAAGCAGAAAATGTGAACATCCATGTTCTGATCTTCATCTTGAAAGGAAAATTTCCAGGCCTTCACCAGACAGGCTGATGTCTGCTGTAGGTTTTTGGTATAGATACGTCTCTAACTGATTAAAGAAGTTTCCTCTATTGCTACTTTGGAAAGTGTTTTTGTTTGTTTGTTTGTTTTTAATCATGAATACTTGATGTATAAAAGACTTTAAAATGAGTAAAAGGATTAGTGGGATCCTGACTTCCTTATTCATCTGGGTTAATCTCCACCTTTCCTCATCTTTGAGTTATTTCACAATTCTGAAGTTGTAGAAAACTGATAATAATGTGAATCGTTTTTACCCATGAAATACAAATTGAGTTCCAGGGAATGTAACTGATTATTGCCCTGGGAATGTAAGTGATATTGGCCAGTTTTGCATTTGGTTGTAAATTTATTTCAGTATTTTTCATTTAACTATAAATGTGTTTGAACTAGTTGTAGCATGTTACCAGATCCTCAATAATTAGTGAGTTAAATTTTTGACAGGTGCTCATTTTTATCTGTATAAGGATCATTTTATCCTTTTTTAAAATTATTCCTTAACAGGACATTTAAACAGTGCTTGGCCAGTAATAAATAATAAATATTAGCTCTTACTACATTAATTGTATTAATATTTAAAATGACTCTTGAGTCACACTTTAAGTTCATCTGGGGAAGGTGTGCTCTGAGGATACACTCAAGTGTCCAGTCATCTCAAGTGTTCATCCAGTCATTACTGAGCACTTCCCAGGAATAAGACAGTGCTCACTGTTAGAAATACAAGAAAATAATCATTTCTCTCCCCATTTTCTCTTCCACTGTGTGGAATGCTGGTTCCTGAAAATATCTCCAAAACAATCTGTTGAAAAGATAAACCTCAGTTTATCCTTCTGCAGTAAGTGAAAGCACTACTTTGAGAGTCATACTAGCACTTCACAGAGGGGCAGGGCAAAATAGGGATACTTAGGAGATTTTGAAGTCTGGTTTAAGGTGTGTCTTTCAATGGGGTTGGTGGTTGTAGGCTTGGTTAGGAATGGGCAATAATCATGTCAAAATCACTTAGGATTCATGAATTTGTGATGATGTGTTCAAAGACTTGGGGTATAAACTGTAAGGTGGTGCTTTCTACTGAAGAGGTGATAGATCTTTCAGGAAGTTTCTGGAATGACCAATCAAGTTATTTGCAACTTCCTGGGCAAGAGTTGCCTAGAAGAGTGATGGCATATTGTTGAAGATAGTGGAATAGTGAAGCTGCATTGAGGTAGACATTAAGCTGTATGGGTAAGGACAGTTCGGGTCTCAGATGCCATCTTTCTTCTGTACTTCTCATCAAGCATCTACATTTATTGTCTTATTTTGATTGTTATATTTCTGGTGCAAGTGTCTAAATAATAATATAATGACATGAACAATAACAACAACTACAGCAAATGTTGTGTGTATTTTAGGCTTACTTGAGTCACGTCCCATCCTAATCTTTCAGAAATAACCTCTGTAATTCCAAAAGCAGCCCTATAGGATAGGACTCATTATCTCCACTTTATAGATGAGGAAATTGGGGTTCAAAGAGGGTAACTTGTGAGTCCTGCCCCCCAGGCCACTTACATCCTCAAGGCAATTGCCAATCCTGAAAACAGAGCTGATGATCCGAAATGCACTACTGACAACCTCATCAGGTTAGGAGAATGCATGCCAAGGTCCTGGGCCTGTCAAGGTAACCCCCCTGGTTTCGGTCTAAGATTCCAGGAGTCAGGGTGAAATGAAAGTAAACTAGCTCTGACATAGACTGCAGACTGCTATAACTCTTCTGGGTAATCCAGGAAATTCCAGACCCTAAAGCTGGATTAAGATTATCCCTGATTACTAGTACCTATAGGTACCTAGAAAAATCCATGGAAAATCTTTGGAGAAAAAAATAAGTTCTATACTGTAAGTTATTTCTACAAATAATTTTTAAAATGCAATATCCAGCACATAGTCAAAGACAGATAAACAAATACACAAAAAGACAAGACACTATAAGTAAAGATCAGCAGAAACAATAAACAGGAATAAGCAAAAATACATGAAAATTGAAGAAAGCGATCAATGTGTGGGTAATTCTAAGTAACAATTGACTGTATAAGACAGTAATGATGATAATATTATTTGTAATAATATTATGTACATCATAAAGAATCAAGTGAGAGCAATGAAACTGTCCTTCAACTCTAGAGTTACATGTTGAATCATATGGTAGATACTACAGGACCAAGGGGCAGCCAGCCACGGTCCATGAGCCACGTCTGGCCTGTGGCCTGCTCTTTTTTATGTCAAGCAAGCTAAGAGTGTGTGTGTTTTTTTACATTTTTCAAGGCTTATTTTACAAAAAAGAAAGAAAAATATGTGATAGACTTTATATGTTCTGTAAAGACATATGCATTTACTTTCTGGTCCTTTACAGAGAAAGTGTGGCCCTTGCTATGGAGAAATGACAATGAATGAACTGCAGTGACACACAACAACAACATGGATGGACCTTCAACACATATCACTGAGCCAAAAAGAGCAAGATCAAAAGAAAAATCTCTAATATGATTCCACTGGCATAAGTTTTGAAAGCAGACAAAATTATAGTTTGAGGATCCACTCTTTGGTGGTGAAACTATAAAAGAAAACAAGGAAATGGTTACCATAAATATCAGGAGAATGGCACATCTAGGTGAGAGAAGGGAATGTAATTGGGGAAGGGGCAGGTGGAGAAGTGAGCTTTAGAGTAGTGGCAATGATCTATGTTTTAATCTGCATGGCTGTTACTTCAGTGCTTACAATAATTTGTTAAAATGTATATTTATATTTTGTGCATTCTTTCTGTATCTGTATTCCATTTCAAAATAAGAGGGGTTTAAAAGGTAAACTTTATACAATTATTTTTTAAAGTGGAGGAAAAGAGGGAAGGAAGGAGGGAAGAAGGGAAGGAGGGAGGGCAGGAGGGGAGGAGGGGGGAAGTACTGTAAAATTTGGTCCACCAGGCAAGATCTATGTTCTTCATCTAAGTGAAAAGTAAAAGATGTTAAGCAATATTTTCAACGACCTCTTGATTTGATAGGTAATTTTACAAGAACTGACTGCCCATTTGTATGTTTTTAAAGCACTTGGCTTAAAGAAAAGGTCAACGTTCTTACTGTGAATAAAATATTTATGAAAGTAGCTGTGGCTTTTCTTTCTTTGTTTCCCCACCTGTGCCCAGACACCCCACCTTGCAATGTGTTAATGACCTACCTTGCCCATGCTGGTCTTAGTGCCTTTCAGGGGTATTTTCACCACATCCTCTCTCAAAGAATTGAGCCTTTTTTCCACGGTTGTCAAGGCTTTCATTCTTTTTCTATCTCCTCTTTTTCTCTGAAAATATTCCACTTACCTTTTCTTCCCTAACAGGTGGTAAGTATAGTGAATGACAATTTTTTAGAACATGTGTCACAAAAATTGTGGAGCTGCCATATTGCACAGCTCCAGCAGGAGCATTCACATCATGGCAACTTCCTCTAGTTGTGGAGTGCCCAGACCATATAAAACAGGCAGCAGCCTGGCCAGCACTGCTTGAAGGAGTTGGGATTCAGATTTCTACGGGTTTAGGGTAAAAGGGAATGGGTTAAGTCCATTGCATAGAGGATTCAAGTTAAACAACAAATTAACTTCTTGCTCTAAAAAGAAGGAGCAGGGCATTTGCAGTGCTGTTCATAATGCAAAGCTACATCTGATTCGTGTATCTCCTAAACTTCCATATAGATTGTTGGAGTTGATTTTCACACTTAAATCTAATAGCAGTAACCACAGTAACTTACGTTTACATAAACTGCATTAGATCTAGGTTTAGGTTGAGACTCTGACTCTTACTGATGTGTGAGCTTCAGCAAGTTGCTTAACCTCCTTGAGCCTCATATTCTTCATCCTGGAAAAAAAGTGATGATGATAATGATAAGGGTAAGTACCTATCATACAGAATGAAGTGAGAAATACACTTAATGCACAGTGCCTGGAACATTAGATAATGTTCTTATTATTTGTTCTCTGACCATTCCTGCTTCCCTCCGAAAATATGTCCTGCAATCATCCAGTCCTCCAGTTCAGACCCCAGGAGTGACCCTCTGCACCTTCTAATCCCTCAGACTCCCCACACCCATCTCTGCCCTATCCACCAAGTCCCATCCAAGAACCTTAATTCCCACATATTTGTATTAGCTCTCCTCAGACTCTCCCAAACCTCTTGTGGGACACTTACCGCCTTTACTGTCCCCTCTATTTACTCATCCATTGATTCATTCCTTCCCCCACTGTTATATTGAGTGCAGAGTAGCTGGAGAAGACTTCTTGGAAAAGGTGACATCTGAGCACCTGGGTCAGCTGAAGGAACAAGCATGGAGATTTCCAGAGAAAAACTATTCTAGGAAGAGAAAATGATGTGCACAAAGGCCCTGAGACAGATGAGTTTGAGGACCAGAAAGGAAGCAGAGAATCCTTGTTGAGTACTAGGAGATGTGGTTCTATGTAACAGGCCTTCTCTGGGTTCCATGAGGAGCCATTGACAGGTTTGAGCAGAAGTGTGACATTTTTGGAGCATCACACTCTGGAGGCAAGATTGAAAGCAAAAAGACAAGGTAAAAGAGCATTGCATGGGTCCAGGTAGTGAAGACTAGGATGGTAACAGGTGGTCATTCTAAGACACGATTCTGATCAGGTCACTCTCCCTACCTGGCCCATGCACACACCACACATACACACACTTAAAACCAGCCAGAATTTTCCCTCGCCTGTGGAATAAAGTCCAGACTCTGGACCCCTCTCCCAACTCGTGTCCTACATGCAGTCATGATTCTGTGCCTTCACACCTCTGTTCCCTCCCCCTGGAATGCTCTTCCCTCCCTTGTCTTTCCACTTATTCTTCAAAACTCTACTCTTATTTGAGCTCCCCTTAGAAGCCATCCTTGATCCCATTCTCTCTGCTCTTCCCAAAAGACTGAACTGCTTTCTCCTCTGAGCTGTCTTTGCCCTCTGTGCCATAAAACTATTATCACAATTATCACTGTGTCCTGTAATAAGCCACCTTCATTTCCAACCTTTCATCCTGTAGGTTGTGAGCATTCTTATGTGAAGTATTCCCAGATTTTAAGTTTTTCTATCTTGGGCCCTTTGCACAATAACTGGCGTAGGGTATGTGTTGAACTTGTAACTAATTTAATGCCATTGTAAGTAGAATCTTCTTTCTGGTTAATTTTTTCAAGTAAAGCAGATTACCTCAGGTTGATTTGCTACATCTTTGCTAGGATGTCAAAAATGTCTGTTGACATCTCTTTTGATACTTTTATCTCACCGTTCATGTGTCAACTGCCAGTTGCTATGTGAGCTCTGATTCTGAATTTAGCAATAAATGCTCTTCACATTACTTTTCTCTCCACCGTCTATCTCTTCTGGGCTTTGAGTTCAATTCGAGCAGTGAACTTTGAGTTCTCTGACATCAGACTTCTTGACCTCCAGTCAATCATAGAGTAACTCCTCCCTCTCAATCAAAACCAAATAAAAGTTATATACCCTAGTTGAGTCAACTTGACTGCAGCCTTAAGAAAATCTCACCAAATGCAGCCTTACATGTTCTGACTTGAAATACATCATGTGTTTCCCTTCGGTCCTTCAGCAGGGGTTTGTTCTATTTCAGTGGGCACTAAAATACTGTCTTTCACAGATATTTCGCCTTGGAAATTTCATGGAAAGTTAGTAGAGTGATGCTACCAACTGTGTGATATGGTTTGGTTTTGGCCTTGCCACAATTCTTAAGGCCTGATGTGAATTTCATTTCCTATTGCTTATCCTGTGTGTGTTAACTTTCTGCTTGGTAAAATTGCAAGTTCCCAATGAAAGCATTCTACAATTGATTAGACCTGGGCCACCTGGCAATTTCTTTCTAATCTCTTTTATTGTGCTTTCCATAAAAATGACAGCCCTGGTATAAATCCTAGTTTAAATCAATACCAGTAAGTGCTAATCTCTTCACAGCACTGGAGATGAAAATGTCAAATGGTACCTGCTGGGCATTAGAACTCCTACTGTAAATCATCAAAAATTAAAGCAACACCAAATTGATTTTATTTTCCTCTTTTAAAACATCATTTTAGATTCATTATTTTTTACAGTTAAGTTATTCTTTTTTCTTTTTGCTTATGCTCTGGTTAGATGAGATTGATGAACTGAATTTGGCATGGCAAATGTGTTGATGTCCCATGACACAATATACAAGATCCATACCTGAATTAGGAAGAGCCTGAGGATGAAGTTGATATTTTAGAGTGTGATGTATATATTTAAGTGACATTTTAATCCTTCTTCATGTGATAACACCACGATAACATGGAATCTTGGTTGAAGAAGCTAAACCACAAGAAGGTATCTAGTAAAACTACAGTCATGGAATAGAATTTCTAGTCCTTTGTAGCCCCTCCTTGAGACTATTGTCAAAACTACCACAAGCTACACTAAAGGATGCTCTCAGTAGGAGTTAGCTGCCTGGAATCTGAGCATCTTAACAACAAGATATAGAAAAAAATGCATAGATAAATTGCTAAGTTTTCAAGTGATCCTGGAAGAATTGGGCAATAGTTTTTAAATCCAGGAAAAACTTAACTAAGAATCTTGCCCAGCTTCCTACACTAGTTATTTTATCAAATAAGAAACCAAAACCTTGGGAAATTTAGTGACAGTCATGGTCACAGGTTTAAAGGCAATGCAGTAGATCTCTAGATATTTAATTAGGGTTTCTTCTTGTTTCATCACAGAGAAAATACAAGGACTACACCCACATTGAGCATGGGACATGGAAAAATCTGATGTGTGTGTGTATGTGTGTGTTTTCATAAAAATAGTTAATACTCAGAGAATAAAGTCTTAATATGTGCTAATAAAATGGAGGAGTGACAGGAAGAAACAAATGTTACAAAGTGAAGACTTAATTTAACTATAGATGCTTCATGACTTATGATGGGGTTATAGCCAGATAAATGCATCTCAGGTTGAAAATGCGTTTAATACACCTAACCTACCAAACATCATAGCTTAACTAGACTTAAACATGCTCAGAACACTTACATTAGCCTATGGTTGAGCAAAATCATTGAACACAAAGCCTGTTTTATAATAAAGTATCATATATCTCATGTAATTTATTGAACACTGTGCTGAAAGTAAAAACAGAATTGTTGAATGAGTATTTGAAGTATGATTTCTGCTGAAGGCATATCACTTTCTCACCATTATAAATTCAACCATCGTAAGTCAGGGACTGTCTGTAGTTAGTTTCAGATTTACTTCTAGACAAAATACTTTTTATGTTGTGTGGTTCTCTTCCATCTCTCATAGAGGATGCTAATTGGCAAGGAAATGCTTAAGAAATATGTAAGCCAAAGGAGTGGCAGAAAAAGACTCATTCAGTTATACAAGGTAGTCATCAAGCAAGGAGCCCACCTTTGCATAATGGAGAATTCGGGACAGTTTCATGAACTGACAACAAAGATTTCTCCAATCCTTGCTTAGTTCATCAAGTTATTCATCAGTTTAAGTTCATTAACAGTACTAACTAAAGTGCAAGGCCCTCAAAATTACTTGTCTTTCCTCCATCAGTTTAAGTCTTGCAAGGCCAAGCAGATAACAGAAATGAGCAATGTGGACTCAGTAGAGACTGGCAAATTGTGAAGCATATGGAAAGGAAATAGCCTCTGCCTAGCTCTTACAAGCTGGGAGCAGGGGAGAATGAAGACACAATGTAACTAGCTGAGCTCACTTTTGCAGAGATGCCAGAAATCCAAAAATTGATGCAAATTATAAATTTATAAATTTGACAATTCAAAATCATGGAAACACATCTGGGGCTGCTAATGTGAGAGCTTTAACTAAGAACGAGAAACCACTTTAGGGTTTAATAAACAGGAAAGGGTAAACCATGGAAGGTTACCAGTTTCAGGGACACCTGTAGTTTCTCTTAACAGTTTCCACTTACCAGTGAGCAAATGGTCACTGATTTCAGAGGTATGTGTCATATAGAAGAATGAATTTACATCAGAAACAGAGAGGTCAGCGTCTGATTGCAGGTTCTGAAGAGAATGCTACAGTCAGTGGGATGAACAATGATAGGGGAATCAGACTGGAGTTGCCACTAGTTAAGCTATAGAAACCTAAGTGAATCACTCAACCTCTCGTGAAGAGTCTTTCTCATTTGTGAATTTTAGATTAAAAAATACCTGATTTACCTGATCCACAGCTTTATCATAATAGACAGTGAACAGGAAATAAAAATAAAAGTTTCATTACAGAAGTGCGTAAGAGAATTCACATCCTGATCCCCTCCAGAACTGAGGTCCAAAATTCAGAAGGAATTAGAACTTCAGTGTGCATTCTGAGAAGAAACACAAAGGCATAGAGGATGGAAATAAGAATACTGAGGAATGGTGAAGTGGACAATGTCCGAGCTCTCTGCCCAGAGCCCTCGGGAACCCGTTTTTATCATTTCTGTGTGCCGCTTCCCAGCTTTTGTGTCCTTTTACTTCTAAAAGCTGCAGTGGTGCCGCTTACGGTGACTGCTCCAACGGTATGAGAGCTGCTTTGCTTATACAGGGAACCTGGGGTTTGTACTCCCATGATTTGGTCCTTAGCCAATGGCAGCTCCCTCAGAACAAAATTCTAGGATGTAATTGGACACTCTAGAGCCGCCCTACAGGACCAGGCTGAAGTGAGGATTTTTCCTGAAATCACAACAATTGCTTTACTTCTTTCCTTTCCTTGTCCTGCTTTCTCCACTCCCTTATCAGAGTTTGTGGGAGCACTCATTCATAAATCACGTGTGAATCCTTCTCTTTCGGTGTGCTTCTAAGAGTCTGTACTAAAACATCCACACATTTATCGAAACTGGCTTACTTTATTAAGAACTATGTTTCCATTAAAAAATAAAGCATGTCTACTGTAAGCAGCAAAAAAAGAAAAAAAAAAGGGAAAAAGCTACATTTTTCCTGCAAAAATTTAAGACATTTTTACAAATAAAACAAACGTTTGTTTCAGAGCTGAGGATTTGGGGGGTGGTGTGTGTAAGAGTTACACTTCAAAAGCTACATAAGAAATAGTTGCATCCTTCATGACATATCCAACTAAACAGTAATGAATGGTGTAAATCTCACTGTGCAACTAGCTGTATTTAGGCATTAGACAGGATATAATGGCCAAGAGACAAAACAGAACAAAAACTGTTTCAACTAAGACATTAAGGGTGAGATGTTACTATGTAAATCAAGATCTATCATTTCTTGTATTTGGGGATCAGATATGTTACTTCTTACAAACAAAGAGATAAATAGGGTAACATTTACAATTGTGTTATTTTCCCATATCCCAAAATTAAAAAAAAAATTCTTTAACATCACAAGCTACATCAATTAACAAATTCCACTGTAATTTACAAATGCACAGATACATAATTGGGCTAACAGATATTTATGAAGCTACTTGTAACAGAAACAGTACTAAAATCATAACACATTTTTCAAAAATAACTTAGTTGAGTTCTTTATATCCGGTGATATTTCAGATACATTTGGTAATGAGTGCAAAAATCAGTAAGTAAATTAAATCTCAGGAGTTTCTACTTTGTGCTTAAGCACTGCGGGCTATTTGTTTTATTTTAGTGATCTGTTCACTAAAATAAAAATGGAGGTATATCAGAACTGAAAACAGTATTCTCATAGATAATGTAATTTTAAGTCTTTTTTATTCGAAGACAGTATAAATAGGAAGAATATTGAAAAGTGAAAATTATCTTAGGCTGTTGAAGAATATCTTAGCATGCTGAAGGACTTTGGCAAGTCATATTGTAGGTAACTTCCCTCAATTATGGTAAACAACTGATTTTCTAAGGCCATTTTTAAAATACAAGTAATTTAGTAAATATGAGCCCAAGTTTTGTATCATAGGAAAACTTTTGCCTAAAAATCTAGTAAGAAGATGGAATATCATTTTGAAACTTAAAACCTAGATGCTTATATCCAATAAAACTAAAATTTAATTGCAAAACAAAATATCAGTATTCTCAGGTACATGAGGTCTCAGGGAGAATAGCATGCTACAAAAGCACTGAGACATTCTCCAGAAGAGAGAAATTAATCCGACAGAAGGCAACGGTCTATGGGAAGAAAGACTGTGCAATGTTTATTTCTAATTAAAAGGTAATAAATGAGTATATCTCTAAGAATATTCGATCAAAATTCCAAATAATCCCAATGTGGCTGGAGGTGAAGTGAGGAACAAAACAAGAAATTGCTATTCTTCTTTTTTCCTCCAGAGCAATGACACAGTTATTGACAGCTTCAGACATTGATGGAGACAAATCAGCTGGGTTGGTCTTAACATGTTAGGAGAAAGCCCCTAAAGAATAAAAATAGTGCTGCACTTTCAAATCAATAGCATAGCATTAAAATTATTTTTATAAAAGAAAAAAGTTCAAATACAAGACTATTCGATATATGGATTTAAATCCTTTATTTCATAACAATGAGCATTAGCTGAAGTATGTGCTGGTCACCTTGATTTTCAAGACATTTAAAACTATTTCATCTTAATTTGTTATTTTCAACTATTATCTTGGGGTATGTTTCATAATATATATAATGTATTACTACATATATATCGTATACATACACCGTAGGCACAAGTCAAAGTATTTTACAGATAGAAAATGTGATCAAGAAAACATAGTGTACAGGATAAAGGCCAACTTTCTCTCCTTGGCATTTACAGCCCCTTCATATTCTGGCCAAAAATCCATTTCCAGCCTGATGACCCTCTATTTCATTCACTGACACCTCAGTTCTAACTGAGACATCTCCTTGGGCATCTTATTGCCCTGCATTGATATTCCCTGCATCAATCTTCTCACGTCTGGGGCCTTTCTTCCCTTCCTGGCTCCTATCAAGGTTTCCCTCGCTCAGGAAGCCTTCCCTGCCCTGCCATGCATTAGTAACACACTAGGCCACTGAATATTCAGTGTCTAGGTTTCAGGGAGGGTCTTGTGATACATTCGTGATTTGCAAAGGTATGATTCATGATTGCAAAAGCAATGTCTTCTCTGCGCTGATTTAATCTACAGCACTTTCAAATTTCAGCCAATGGTTACCTTGTCATGTATCCAAACTTTCTCCTCCCAGCTAAATATTGAGCTCCCAGGGGTATGGACAGACCATGGCTGATGCCCTTCTGAGTGCTTTCCCCATGCGGAAAGAGACACACTACAGAACCATAAATAAATATTTGTTAATGAAAAACTGACTTGTGGTCAGTTTATTTATCCAGAGGATGTAATGAGCCTCATCCTTCACTTTTCCCATGAGTGTATTGCTGACTACACCCTACGGAAATTGGGGCTTTAAGGCAAAACCTAATATAAGAGTTTGGAGATCTGGAGACCTTGTTTTGAGTCATAGTCTGTTGCTGTTAAAGTCCACAAAGCCTGTTTTCTCACCAACAAATGAGATAATAATGACCAACGCATGCAGTTGTAAGGATTAAATGAGAAAAATAATATAATAAAGATGCTTAAGATGTCTTTGTTGTTACTCTATGTTCATCTCCAAAGCAGCTTCTGTTACCAATCTTTAACCAAAACTCAAGATAACAATGGTTTGCATGCTATCAATTTCCTGGAGATTAGAGAGCAATTCTAATTGGAAGGTGTCCAGCAGACCTAAATGGTTCTAGAGAGAAGGTCCCTCTGTCACTATGAAAAGTAAACCGTAAGTCCCTTATGCCCCCTAGTTAGTAGCTTTTGTATTCTAATGAGAAAAGTGAAGTTTAGGGTCTCAATCCAATTCTACAATCATTTGTTGAGCAATTACAAAATTTAGAAATCACTGGTTTTGCCTTTACCTCTCCTCCAAGCCAGGCAACCCACACTCTCTCCTCTGCCTCCCTTTAAATTCTATCCCACATTCGATTAAAGTACTTGCTTTTCTACCTGCCAATTAACAGCAGCTTTTGGGCTTGACCTCCTCTGAAGGCATTACTAGGTCCTCCTGTTTTCCTCCTACAGCATCCAGTGGAAGTGCCAATCCAGTACAGACCACCACGTGGTCCATGCTAAACCTCATGCAAAGGCAGGGGCAATGTGGATGGGAGAGAAGAAGCTTTAAGGGGAAGAAGGGCGTTAAAGTTGACTTTCCTCAATTTTCAGATTCCATTATGAGGATTCCATCCACATAGTGGAGAGGAGTTTCCACTGCTGGAAAAATAGAAGGATGGAAACCATAGTATTGAAAAAATGATTCATTATTTAAAGGAAAAGCAACCGGCCTTGATTTAAGCCATGCTGAGGGATGCTCAGCCTCAAGGCAAACTTTCTGCTGTTCAGTTTGTGTCCACTGATCATGAACCCAGAAGCCTCAGATTGCATATTTGTTTAAGCCTTTCTTTTTCATTTTCCCTCCCTTGATCTGAAAAGCTTTGGTGATTATACAGATTGAGACAGAATTCTGTCACCAGAAAGAATTGTGTTCTTTGTTCTGTGGCTTCTCTTCATTAGATGTGTGTGTTGCCTTTATAAATCCCAAAGATTGTTTAGCAACCTGAGACTGTGATCCGAGTGGGTGATGCATGTCATGTGCTTTATTACCATCAAACTCAAGGACGACAGAAAAAAGAACAGTCACAATCTGTTTGTTGGAACTGTTGCCTTCCCCTTACCCAGAGCCAACACGTAGCTTCTCCTGTCTTCCATGCTAACACAGGCAACCAACTCACAGCCAACGAGACAGGAATAATGCAGGGTGGATGCAGGAGAATAGAAAACTCCAGGCAGCAGTTTCACATGACTAGCAAAAGGAAACTATTGAAATAGGTTCAGAAGCTAGGGACTGATAAGACCCTGAAAAACCAGGGTGTAGGCCAAACCGGCTAAGACAAACTGGATGCACCATGGCACTGGATTTGATATAGGACCTCATTATATGCTTGTGAACATATTGAATCACATACCCACCAGTGCGGTAAAGATACAAGCCCGAAAACCTGCAGCGTGACTCACTCTCTTGATATTCAAGTGCATGCTACCCTTTACTGAGTGTGTACTTTTACTTTGCTATAAATCTCAGTTCTTTCACTATTTTCAGGCGTATCTTGAATTCCTTCTCACCTAAGAGCCTGGACACCAGCTAAGGTTGAGGTTGCACTGACATTCGGGGACCTCGTCCAGCCCATCGGTATCATCAGAATGCTCTTTTCCCAGTGGTACCAATGTAGTGATATGAAAAAGCAACTTTCCTGCCCTGCCATGCATTAGTAACCCACTAGGCCACTGAATATTCAGTGTCTAGGTTTCAGGGAGGGTCCTGTGGTACACTCGTGATTTGCAAAGGTAACTATGGATGGTAGATTTTCAAAGGAGTTGCCTTTACCAAAGAAATATAATAAAGAAAATTCCATTAAAAAAGGATACAATAGGACACAGGGAGAAAGTGAAAAGCAAAAAAGATGAGTTTCTCCAATAACAGCCTTTCTTGTCTTCTTAAGGGAAGCTGGAATGCTTGAGGGCCATCTGCAGGAAAATTTATTCCAATTAAGCAAGTCTTTTTTAGCATCTTTATGCTTGTGTCTGCGAGCAAAACCTTTGAATGGTGGTATAATTCTCTGCCCATAGGTGTTTTAATTTAATAGCACCTAGCTTAATTCTAAGCTCATAGGCACTCAAAAAATAAGTAAATGATTGATTCAAAAGAATTGTATCACTTGGACTTAAAAGAACTCTCAGAGAAACTGATGCTTAAAGAGGTTAAGTAACCATCTCAAGGGCATATAACTGGGAAGTTATGGAATCCAGATTTGAATCCAAGTGTGTTTAAGAAGCACACGCTCTTTCTCCTGATTGTGGAGATAGGACTAATAGGGGCACAATATCATGGTCAAGAGCGCGGGCTCAAGGGAGTGTTCGGTGTGGCAGACTCCATGCATTTGAATTCTGGGTTCACAACTTAGTAGCTCAGTGATCTTGCTCAGGAAAACAACCTAATCTCTTTGTGCCTTAATTTTAGCATATGTAAAATGGGGATAAGAAAAGTATCTACTTCAAAGCCTCATTTCAAGTATTAAAGGAGTTAACATGTGTAAGGAACTAAAACAGTGCCTGATATATAGTGAGTACTCAGTGGATCACTTCAGCTATTTTACATGATTATTGAAGTCAGGGAATACATTTCATCCAGTAATAAAACCTTCAATTTACATTATAAGTTGTTACGTGCTGGATCTCTTGAAAACATAATGCACGATGAGAGAGTAGAGGACAGTGACTGAAAATCATCACAATCTTCCTTTGCACAAGAATGATGCATTACTATCATCTCCATCACCACCTCATTTTCATTAT
This sequence comes from Homo sapiens, assembly GCF_000001405.40. NCBI lineage: Eukaryota > Metazoa > Chordata > Mammalia > Primates > Hominidae > Homo > Homo sapiens. Next base: position 17,208,646 of record NC_000020.11, read on the forward strand.
CTTCACCACCAATTCCATTTCATAACACATTTGCTTCATGTCTCACTTACAGTCACAAACTTCTTTGATAGACAAGAAAGGGACCCATGTTGAGATCTACATTCTCAAATCAGGTTAAGAGGGACAGCGATGCTTATTTCACTGTCTATGTGTTTATACCTGATTCTTTCAACCAGGGAGACAGCCTGACCCATGGAGAAAGCACGAGTCAAAGGTCAAATGCATCCACCTGCAGGTCCTGTCACTGACCACTTAGCATCCCACAATATCACTGAACCTCAGTTTGCTCATACGTAAAATAAAATTTTAAAAAATAGAAAATGTAGGTAGCGTGTCTAGCTCAGATGGCTCTAGTCCCTTACTGTGACCCAACCATTTCTAATTTGGCACAAGTTACAATAAAAAACAAGCGTGATACTTACCTGGCAGGGCAAATACCATCATCACAAAGGTGGTTTTCCCAGGGTAAGCCTTATCCATTGCACTCTGGATGTACAAACTCCTGCAATTTCCCCAAATATGGGAAACTCGACTGCATCATTTGTTGTCATGGGGACTGCATTTGCACTTTCCCCTAATTTTAAAAAAAGAAGACAAGCACAATTCAGATAAGTAAAATAGAATTAATTAAATGCACGAAAGAGAGGAATAACCAAATACTTTGAGAGCTGAGCTAGTTCCTATAATTAGGCAATATTCATGACTCTGAGCCTCCTGGAAGTGAGGGCAAAAATGGAAATAAAAGAGTTTCCCCAAAAGGAAGAAGCATACCAATGCTTCAAAAGAAATAAAGTCTAAACTGACAACAGGTAACGAGATATTTCTCATGTAAAACCTTATAAGGGTAACATTGAGTGCCATGATAGATAGGTCTTCTGACATCAGTTTCATTTAAAAAATGCAGGCCAGATTTTTACTTGGATGCTTTAAAAAGGAACTTGGATAACAACTGAGAGGTTAACATCAAAATCCATTTCAGTTCAAGTGATTCTGGAGGGGATTAAGCTGATATGGTCTCAGAATGATGCCTGACAGTAATTAAACATAATACAAGTGCAGAATCAGGAAAGCATAACCACTCTGAGTGCTATGGAATAAGAAATTTTTTATAGGAATTCAACTTTACACAATTGTGGAAGGTGCTAGAGAATAAGGGTCCAAAAATGGGAGTTGGAGAATCAGGGGAAGGTCATCAGCCAGGCCTCCTGGAGCACTGACACCAATGGACACATCAGAGGTCCCAGGAGAACTTAGAAGCCAAGCATGCCTAACAACCAGAGTGGGCCCCTAGCCGAGCTGGTGGAGGAGTTTATGGAAGTTCTTGCCACTTCACACATAGTGCCTTTGTGAGTTTGCAGCCAAGAATCCAGTGGTCAGCCTGGAGTTGCTCTTGGTCAACAGGGCTAGGAGTTAATAGGGAGAGTTGGACATGAGGTTGGGAGAGGCAGTGGTAAAACAGAACCCACCTGTGCACCTGTCTCTCTCTGCAAACGACAACCATGACCTTCAGACATTGTAACTGTGTCCTCGCATTGCTTCTTCAAACCACCACAAAGTTCTCTTTGGCCAACTGCAGTCTAGAAACACACAAAGAAAAGGATTCTGGCAAACTTAGTAACAGGTGAGCCAAGTGTTTCCTGAACAAAAACCATGCAGAACTGCATTCCAGCCAGCGAAAAGGAGAAAGAGAAAAAATGGAGAAATAAGCTAAGGGTGACTTCCTCCCTTCTCATAGGATTGTTTTTGTAAGCTGCTCGTGGCATTTCTTCCCTCATTTCAATGGCCAGCAGTTAAATCATTCTGTGGCCATATATCATCCTGGTTTTCAGGTAAAATTCCAGGACGTGGCAAAGAAGACCCAGATAACTGCGTGCTTTAATGCTTGACCTAACCAAAACCTCTGGACTGCATTGAAACTGATTCACCTTCCATGGCCTGTCTGGATCTAGCCAAGTCAAAAGATATACTTGAATAAAAGTGACTAACACAATGGCAACCCAGCCCAAAATGAGGCTTCTAATGAGAGGGTGATAATACTAGGTGGGGCTGAAAAACTTGGTCTTCTAGTCAGTAATATGATTATGCTTATAATAATATGATAATTTTACTGAGGATTCACTCTATACAAGGCACTGTGTATGTTTTATCCTATTTAATTCCCACAATACTAAAAGGGTTCACAAAAGACTATATGGAGTCACCATAAGTTTAAAATCTTGCTCTAAGTCACACCTAGATTGCTAACAAGGACCAATCTAGGTTTTGAACTCTGACCTGACTGACTCTATCACACTCACCCTCATTTTCCTTGTCTCCTCCCACACTGATGTTTAGAAAAGCAACAGAGCGAAGTGCTCAGCATGAAGGAGAGGCATTATGCAAATTTTAACTCTTAAAGGTATTCGCAATTTGCCCAACTATATCATGAGTACTGGCTTTTACCTGGTGTGTAGCTATAATGTGCAAGTTGCATATTAACTCCATTCCAGAGATGATCTCATGGCTCAAGATTGCTGCTCTGGCTCCAGCCATCAGCAGTAGCTCTCAGCTAATGCAGGTGGCATCACCCTCCCCACTTCCTCACCCTTCCAGGGTTGCATAATAGTAAGATGAGTAATTTGCTTAGAGCTCCCACACACTTTGCAAATAACATCCTGAGTTTCAGAATTCATGTCAGTTTGCCTGTGAGGCTAAACACTTGAAGTGCTCCTCCTTCAAAGTCACATAAACCATAAACCCAGTCCTGAGAGTTGGTCTTTTGGCCAGGACCTTATATACCTATTGATCTAGCCACTTAAAGACATCTTTGTTAATATATTGTTCCTAATGCTGTTGGGTAATTGAGGTCTTTGTTTTTCAAATGTTTATTTATTTATTATTTTAATAGACAAATTGAAACTTTAATTGACAAAGTACAATTGTATATATTTTATATCATTTTTGAAATATGTGTGTAATGTAGAATAATTAAATCTAGCTACTTAACAGATGCATTACCTCACATAATTACCATTTTTGCATGTGTTGAGAGTGCTTAAAATCTACTCATTTAACAATTTTCACAAAGGACATGAACAGATACTTTTCAAAACAAAACATATATGCAGCCAATGAGCATATAAAAAAGCTCAATATCATTGATTGTTAGAGAAACGCAAGTAAAACCACAAAGAGGTACGATCTCATACCAGTCAGAATGACTATGACTACAAATTTTTAAATAACAGATGCTGGTGAGGTTGTGGAAAAAAAGGAACACTTATACACTGTTGGTTGGAGTATAAATCAGTTGAACCATTATGGAAGACAGTGTGGCAATTCCTCAAAGACCTAAAAACAGAACTACCATTGGACCCAGTAATCTCATTACTGGATATATACCCAAAGGAATATAAATCATTCTATTATGAAGACACATACGTGTGTATGTTAATTGCAGCACTATTCACCGTAGCAAAAACATGGACTCAACCTAAATGCCCATCAATGATAGACAGGACAAAGAAAATGTGGCATATATACACCAAGGAATACAAGCAGCCAAAAATAAAACCACAAAATCAACAACAACAACAACAACAAAAAAGATTATGTCCTTTGCAGGAACATGGATGGAGCTGCTGGAGGGAGCTGGAGGCCATTATCTTTAGCAAACTAATGCCGGAACAGAAATCCAAATGTCACATGTTCTCACTTACAAGTGGGAGCTAAAGAGAACACATGACACAGAGGGGAACTACACACACTGGGACCCACTGGAGGTTGGAGGGTGAGAGGAGGGAGAGGATCAGGAAACATAACTAATGAGTATTAGGCTTAATACCTAGGTGATCAAATAATTTGTACAACGAACCCCCATGACAGGAGTTTGCCTATATAACAAACCTGCACATGTACCCCTGAACTTAAAAGTTTAAAAGAAGGATACAACATGATTAATTATAGTCACCATATTGTACAATAGATCTCCTGAACTTATTCCTCCTATCTAACTAAAATTTTGTACCTTAAGGTCTGTTCAAGTATTAGGCTCTGGTGAACAGGTAGAATTTTTTTTTTTTTTTTTTTTTTTTTGAGATGGAGTCTTGCTTTGTCACCCAGGCTGAAGTGTAATGGCACAATCCTGGCTCACTGCAACCTCCGCCTCCCATGTTCAAACGATTCTCCTGCCTCAGCCTCCTGAGTAGCTGGGATTATAGGCGTGTGCCACCACGCCCAGCTAATTTTTGTATTTTTAGTAGAGACAGGGTTTCACCATGTTGGTCAGGCTGGTCTCGAACTCCTGACCTCATGATCTGCCCACTTTGGCCTCCCAAAGTACTAGGATTACAGCCATGAGCCACTACGCTCAGCCTAGAATTTTTTCCTGATTGTGAAAATATAGCCTCTTTTTCTACTAATGGGTTCAAACTACCAATGATCTGGTCTGAAGCAGGTTAAAAGAGTCACAGTTTTTGTTTTGCATCCTCCATAGCACCATTATCCAAAAATGATGACCAAAATCATCAAAATAGACCCTTAGCAAAGATTCCAAGAACTCCTAAAGACAGACCAATTTTCAAAATAAAATCTGTCAGATGCATTTTGCTTTATTTTGTTTATGAGTAAAGAAGTATCTAATAAGTCAAACTTCTGGTAGGGGAGGGGCATCTGTTGGCTAAAAGCAACATATATGTTAAGTCCAAAGCCTGTGCCAGGTGCTTTGAACCTACTTTTGCTTTAAAATATCTGATGAATATTTAAGGATGGCTACATCACAGGTTTGTTCTAGTTCACCTCTACTATATGAACAAACCATCACAGAGACGGAATAATTCTATCTCTAGTCTTCCATGTTTTTTCCCTCTAACATTTCACTAAACTATACCAATTAATATTTATACCACATTATTTGAATGTGGCCTGTGTATTACAAGTATTTATTTTGGGACCACTTTAAGGAAATTTCCATAGTTACATTGTTGTGTGGTCTATTTATTGATGCTCATTAAAACCAATGTAACTGGAAAAGTATTTTTACTTTCTATAACTAACTCACCTGCTTTCCCTAAAGAGTGCCTCCTACTAACTCCAGAGCAAAAGTACTCCTGAGTATCTTTATGGGTTTGATATGTAGGTTTGGGACTGGAAATTTGAGGGGGCCTTGAGTTCCACGTCTCAGTTAATGAAATTCTTTCCAGACTAGCCAATCAGCACACAGAAAGCCCAGCAATAAAGGCAAGTAAAACTGAGTAATCTCCAGAAACTTTCAGATGCCATGGGGAGGATTAAGATTTCTCCAGGCCAAGCCCAGTTAGGGTTTGGAACAACTCAATTCGGGTCCCAAGGACTTTAATAAAATCTTCTGATCTCTGGGTCCTTTTTATTTATACATATATTCATGCATGCTTATTTAAAACCCAAAATAACCCTGTGGACCAGATAGCTCATGTATTATTTTTGATAAAAATCTGGGTACCAAAAGGTTTTGCAGTTCATCTATCACCATTTTGATAAGGGCGACAATCTGTGTCCCAAGATCCTTTAATATTCTTGTCATCGAACCCAGAGACTTTTCCAAAATCAGAATATGAAAAACAAGAGGTAGAACACAAGGTGAATTTCAAGTGCTTGCATTTCCAAGTGATGATTGTTGGAAATGTGATTGTAAGTCTGTACTGTGCTTTTTAATAACTTGATTGTGAAGCTGGAAAGACACTTCCTGCCTCTGCTTGGTGGTCTCATTAGATTACCATTCTCCTCAATGTTGGCAATTTATTGCAGTTTCCCTTTCCTATCTTTACACCATTCATTCCAATGCAGGGAAAAGATTTCAAAAACCACTGCAATGCTCCCATTAGTATTAAATCTTACACTTTAAATTTAAGTTATTTAATATCAAAGCTGTGAAACTGCCAGATGGATAGATTTTTCTTATTGATTATACATTTAATAATTTTATGAGAAACTACATATTTATTTCTGTTAAGAATGATTGGATTGAAGATAGCTTAAAGAAAAAAACAGCCCAAATTCCACCACTATTCAATACATTCATGTAACGAACTTGCACATGTACCCCTGAATCCATGAAAATAAAAAATAAGACATTTTTAAAGACCTATTTCTTTGGTTAGTGTTCTTATAATCACAGAGTAAAACCTTATTTTTAAGTTGTGATTTCTTCCACACGTAAAAAAAAATTCTTTGTTGTATCAGCTAATTTATTCTCATCCTATTCATTTTAATAATTTTTTCTCATACTTGGAACATATCATTACATAAAATAATCACCTTTTGCCCAGGATAAAGTAATAAAAGAATTAGAAGAAACTTAGCCCAAAATTTATGCACAGACATTTGGAGTATTTCCATCTTGTGAACTTCAGATTTATTTTCATCCTGGCCTCTTATTTTGAAATTGCTTCTCAGAGTCATCACATTTGTGCCTGTCTTCATGGTAAATTGTTTTTAGCATAGCAATATTCTCAGATCAATTGCTGGTGGTAGTAATGTTAGTATCAATCATGTACAAACACGTAATAGCTGGGAGACAAATGAGATCTACCTCTCCTTCTTCTTTTAGCCAGGTACAATTTGCTCTTCTGAAAGATGTCTTTACTACAAAGTAATATCCTGGGAAGTCTGAAAACACATCAGTTAGGCACTAAGAATTCTTTCAGCCCACCTGGTCTGCAGAGGCAGGAAGGTTCATCTCTGTGAATTGGCCAAAACCATGGACAGATCCTCCATACTACTGTACCAGATGGTGGTTCTGAGTGCTGCCATGGAGAAGGGTCCTATAACTTCTATCCTGCCTTCCTAAGCCTTCATATTTTTCTCCTTCAGTAAGTCCTTCTCCTCTTCCTCCTCCTCCTTGTTCTCCTCCTCCTCCTCTTCCACCTTTTCCTTTTTTGTAATTTCCTAGCCCTTAGATATTAGGATTTCCTGGTTGTTCACAATTTGAATTCTAGTTGTTTGGCCCTGAGGACTTTTCCCAAAATTGCTAATGGATTTTGCAATTTTTTCCTTGCCTCTTAATATGACTTTCCTTTGTATTATTTCTTTTGCCCAAATATATGTCACATTTTTGTTCTTCTAAGTTGTGTTCTTCTGTTTTGTTTTGTTTTGTTAATGTTGGCTACTGTGTTCACCCAGCCAGCCTCTCAGAAGGCTGTTTTTGTTATATTCATTACAAATGCTATACTTAAATATGTCATAATTTGAATGTAAATGTATCCCTTGTATAGCATGTGTCATATTTTACATAGGTGATATGTCAGTCAGGATGTCAGTATGAAAGAGTTGGTTTACACAGATGGAGTAATTGAGGAGAGTCTGTTGAGGGACTACTTACAAATGTATGGAAGAATAAAGCAAATGAAGCATAGTGAAGTCCATGGGACTAGCAACAGATTGGAGTCATTATCCTGCTAGGCCTAAAGAGACAAGGGAATGGCAAGGTTAATGGAATCTGGAGAGGGCTCCCTGATGGGAGCTACAGCATTTGGGACAGGAATGAAGTTAGTATGTAATGAGCCAGCAGGAAGGGAGCCTGGAAAATGAAAATCCTGAGATGACTCTCCCACCCAACTCTCCAAGTTTTTAAATGCACTTCCTGTTGGCTGAATCCAGTGGGAGGCCATAAAGCAATGAATCTCATTGATGTGGTCCATAAAAGCCAATCTCCAGGCACAGCACACAGTGGAGAACCATGGAGAGGAGATCTGAAGGGAAAACAGAAATAACCAGACACATATAGTATGCATTGTTGGATCTACAAAATAATGTTGAAAAAATTGCAGAGGCATTATAAACCCAATATGATCTATATTGTAGAACCCAATTTATCCATATTGACCACTTGGTACTTATAGCAAGTGACTGATCTTCAGGGGTATCTTGCTCAGATACTTTGTCCTCTCTTGAGGATTAAAGCCAATTATTCATCATGAGATTCCTCACTCAATGCCACTCACCACTCAAAACATTAGACAAACATGAATAGGTAATCGTCATTGCCTAACACTAGCATAGCTTGGAAAAACCTTCAGGTGAATATATTCAGCCATACGTGAAAAAGTAACATCATGTTCTACCAAATTTTTTTCCTCAATTTATTTGATGATTTATAACAGCTTTCAAAACTCCCCTTGATTGAGGTTGAACATAACCCTTAAAATCTGAAAACAGCCACAGTGCTGTGGTTTTTGACGAATCACCCCAGCTAAAAGTCGCAAGCTCATGCTTCTTATTTATTCATCTGTTCTTGCCAAGGAAATTTGCCAGTTCCTCCTGGTGCAAGTCTCCTGGGAAAAATGAGAGGAGAAATAATAAGGGCACCTTGAAGAAACAATGTAATTATACATAAAGTACTGTAGGCAATGATGAAAGTTTAGACGATTTTGCCATCTCATGGAATTAAGAACAAGGGCCCTCCTTTCCCTGACAGTAGAAAAAAGATATGAAGACACATTCTGGCACAGATATGAATCTTTTTAAATATTTACTTTTAATCACCATTTTAATCCTGGCATTTATATACAGCTACATGGTAAAATGACTGACTTCCCTCATGAAGGCTGAACCCATTATTTGGCTATGTCACCCCCATACTCTAGTAAGCTGAGTCAACCCATCATCAACAAGTCACCAGATACAAATTAGTGACATGTTGATGCTATTGGCTAATAGTTAACATTGCTGTTGGGCCCAAATGGATGAAACGTCCTTCTTAACATCTACAAATAAATAACCAATTCATCAAATGTCACTCTCTCCACCTGGCACTTAGAGGATACGTTAGTATAGCACCGTACCGTTTACAACATTTTAGCTTTCTAGTTAACACCTTTCAATATACTCCTGCTTCATAAATTGTCCCTCACCCTAACGCATTGTTCATTTTGATGAACAGATATTGTAATAGACATCTGTTGTTTTTATCTGTCCAACATCCTCGCACCTTTCTCTGGAAAAGAGCCCCCATATTTTCCTCTGTATAATAAAAACTTCTCCTTTCTTAGTCCACGTGGTTTAGCTTAGTCTAACATCCCATGTCAGCTCCAGAAGGCACAACACACAGGCCTGGCCAGGTAGCTGATTTCAATACTTGAACCCAATTGGGAAAGAATTGGTCACATGCTACAAGCCAAATTAATGAACTGCTATTCCAAAATTTTATAAACATTACAGGGGAAAAGAAACTTTCCTTTGGGGTTAAGCCATCAAAGAGGGTAATGGACTGTACAAGTGAAGATGGTGAAAGCTCTGCATCCAGCCATACCTGAATCTGTAGCCACCTCTGGACCCTTGAAAGATGTGAAACCAGAAATTTTCTTCATTGCTAAAGCCAGTTAGAGTTGTAGTTCTATCCCTTATAACCAAAAGAAAGAATTCTGATTAATGCAAGCAGGAAACTACAATCTGGAATGTGTCCAAAAATCTAAGGATAACATAACTAAATTCTGTTACCTATACTCAGGGCTTCATATGTTTGTATTATAGTTGAGTCTGAGCTGATCCAATTTTGAAAAAGATAAGCCTTCCTTCTGTTGTCATCACCTTGAACATTGCCATTTGTGTCAGATTCAGCCCCCAGCAATGCTTACCTAGCCATTCTTAAGAAAATATCCAAAAGCACGCCCACTCTAATCCTCCAGTACTCTAGGGGGAGGGTGGTTCATTTTTCCACGCACAAATGAGATTATTAAAAGTTTTTTTCTCAACATTTTAGAACAAGACTCCCCACGTGTATTACAGATATTAATCTTAAAAAATCAACCCTTTAAAATGGTTCCTGAGCCAATTGTTTAAATTATACTAACTTGTGAAAATACACTTTTTAATAAAAATATCTGTAGATGGCGGACCTTTCTTGGTATGTAGTTTAGATTACTGTTCAGCAAATATTCTCTTCCTTCACCCTCCCTATAAACAGTGTTGTGCTTGGCCATGTGATTTGCTTTGGCCAATACATTAGTAAACATGATGCAATAAAAGCCTTATTGTTTTTGCATGGCTTGGCTTGGATTTTAAGCTCCAGTATTAAGCCATGATAAGAGCACGTCTTGGGTAGGTAGCTGCTACCACTTTAGCCTGGGCTACAGAAAAAAATATGTGTGGAACAGACAAAAACCAAACTCAGCCTGGAACCTAAGCTGAGCCAACCTGTAGCATGAAGTAAAACTACTCAGCCAATCCCATTCTAGATCAGCCAAACCACAGAAAACTGTAATGTGAGAATAAAATACTTATTGTAAGCTATTACAGTTAAGATGATTTTTTCCACAGCACTACAGGGGCACTATGTGACTGCTATACTTTGTATAAATGCACTTCCATGTTTCATGTGCTATTGTATAACTCATGCAGCCAGTATTCCTTAAGAGATAGGAGATGCACAAGAGAAGTGGGTCCTTGATCTAAAATATTATCATTGAATGTCAGCCCTTAATTTGATCTCAGACACAGTCTAAGCAAATAATCCCCATCCCAATTTACGTTGAGACCAAGAGGGTAAAATGGCTTCCTTCAGGTCACATGACTAAAATGACCTAGAGCCGACGTCAAACAAAAGAATCTTTACTTCCAGCCTCACGATCTTCCCATAATGCCACTCTAACCTTTCTTGGGCATTTATAGATAAATTCCTACTTTACTTTAACATCTCACTGTCCTTGCATTGATAATGCTGTTTCCTCTAAGGACTAGCTTATAGCAAAATACAGAACATAAAAACTAATGATATTGGACGTTTGCAAAGGTTTTCACTACCAGAGAAGGGAGGTAATGCCAATTTGTCTATTCCTTGTCCTCAGAGGTAGGCAAAGAGTAGCTTTGGCCAAGACTGCTTCCATTTCTTGCAAGTCTGTATTCTGAAAGTCTGAGTTTATTTTTTCATCTATGCTAATAATTATTTAGAGAATATACTTCTATTTTCATCTTTTTGAATGTGTTCTATTAAATACATTATTTTTAGAAGAAAAAAGAACTATTGGATACTAGGTTTAATACTTTGGTGATGAAATAATCTGTACAGCAAACCTCCATGACACTAGTTTACCTATACAACAAACTTTCACATGTACCCCGAACCTGAAATAAAAGTTAAAATAAAATAATAACAATAACTGAAAAAAATCGCTATAGCAAAATGAGCTGAGACCCTGTAGATCGTTTAAACCAGAAGTCATAAACTCAGATGACTTTAGGGTGAAAAAAAAATCTCTATAGCAAAATGAACTGAGACACTGTAGATTGTTTAAACCAGAAGTCATAAACTCAGATGACTTTAGGGTGAAAAAAAAATCTCTATAGCAAAATGAACTGAGACACTGTAGATTGTTTAAACCAGAAGTCATAAACTCAGATGACTTTAGGGTGAGAAAAGTAAAACACATGAGTCAGGAGGCGGGATGAGGATTCTTGTGAACTGAGCATATCAGGCCTTGTTACATGGGGTGGGGAGAACAACAGCTACTAACTAGCTAATTGTGACCAAGTTGCCAAATCTTTGGTTATTCCAAAAGAAGTCACATCTCTGAATTTTTATGGGAAATAATAATTTTTAAAGGATTGTGACTATTTTTATTGACACCACATTTCCTATAAAACATACCTGTGAACTGGATGTCACTGGTATGTAACTTCTGGCATAAATTAATGTACAGGGAATAACACTGCAATAAACATGGATGTTCAGATGTCTCCTCAACATACTAGTTTCATTTTCTTTGAAAACATATAACCAATAATTGGATTTGTGGATCACAGGGACATTTTATTTTTAATATTTTGGGGAACGTCCACATTGTTTTCCATAATAGCTGTACTAATTTACATTCCCACCAACAATGTATATGAGTATTCGTTTCTCTACATCCTTGCTAGCAATTGTTATTTTTTGTCTTTTTGACATTTACCATTCTCACTGGGATAAGGTGGTATTTTGTCATGGTTTTAATTTGCATTTCTCTGATGTTCATGTTGTTGAGCAGTTTTTCATACATCTGTTGGCCATATATATGTCTTCTTTTGAGAAATGTCTGTTCAGTCCTTTTGTCCATTTTTAAATTAGTTTATTTGATTTTTTGCTATTGAGTTGAGTTCCTTATATATTCAGAATATTAACCCTTTGTCAGACACATAGTTTGAAAATATTTTCTCCCATTCTGTAGGTTGTTTCTTCACTCTATTGTTTCTTTTGCTGGGCAGAAGCTTTTTAGTTCAATGTAATTTTTTTGTCTGTTTTTGCTTTTGTTGCCTGTGCTTCTGAGTTTTTATTTAAAAACTTCTTGTCTAGCCCAATTTCAAGATGCATTCCACCTATATTTTCTTCTAGTAGTTTCAGGTCTTACAATTACATCTTTAATACATGTAGAGTTGATTTTTTTAGATGCTGAGAGATTGGAGACTAGTTTCATTCTTCTGTATGTGGATATCCAGTTTTCCCAGCATCGTTTATTGAAGAAACTATCGTTTCCCCAACGTGTGTTCTTGGCACCTTCATAAAAAATGATTTGGCTATAAATGCATGAATTTATTTCTGGGTTCTGTATTCTGTTCCATTGGTCTATGTGTATGTTTTATGTCCATCAACAGGTTAGTGGACAGACAAACGGTTAGTGCTATCGGTCATGCGATGAATACTAACCAACAATAAAAAGGAATAAAATATTGTTACACATTACACCATGGAAAATTTCAAAATAACTGTGCTGAGTGACAGAATCTAGACCAAAAACAAGTACACATTATGTTATTCCCTTTATATAACATTCAGGAAATATGCAACCTCATCTATAGTGGTATAAAGCAAAGCAGTGGCAGACTGAGGATGGGTGGTGTGAAGGGGTGGGAGAAGTGTGGGAGGGAGCCATAGGAAAATGGCATGAGCAATCTTTTGGAGAAAATGGATATATTCATTATCCGACTGCAGGGATTATTTCACAGGTGCATACATATATCAAAACTAGTTAAATTGCAAAACTAGTCAAACTTCACAGTTTACTATATGTTAACTATACCTTAACAAAGCTGTTTTGAAAAATTAAAAAGAAATTAATGCATAGTGAATGTGTTATTAGAACTTTAAAATAATCTAACTAGGTCCTATATTAATTATAACATCTGGATTGTAGGATTTTAAAAGAGAAAATAAATCTACAAACTAGGATTGAGTGACTAATTCTAGAAATATCTGTTTGTAAGGGTGTACTTTTTGGTTCACTCCAGTATCATAAGACAATAAAGTAAATATCATATAGTGAAATTCCCTAAAAATAGACAATGCCACGTTTTGCCAAAACATCTATGAAAGTATAGAATATTTTCAAAAGAGTGGAAAATATCTGAGAGCACAGCCATAAATTTATAACTGTTCCTCTAGCATGTTAAGTAACATTATACATCAATTTATCTACTCGGGGTAGGTCGTTCAAACTGATACTAAATAGTGTATAATTATCCAAAGCATTCAGATCAAAGTAAGTAGTTTCCTAGAATCTTATGTTTCATTATAATGGGCAGAGTTTACCTTATAAAATTAGTGTACACGTTTGAATGTATTAAATTTTATTTTACACATAAAATTTTTATCTTTTAAAATTCCTGTTTATATTTGCTAACAAGGCATATACTTTGTTCTCTCTGAATTATTTCTGAGTTATAAGTAGTTTGAGAAACACAAAAAAACTCCTTGTTGAAGATAATTTCCATAATTATTTAAAAAGTACATTGAGAAAGATTTACTATGGTTTTTAAAAGATCATGAAAAAGGAAAGAGAAATAACACAAGGTAGAGAATTCATGAATAGATAATCACTTTCCGCAGACAATAAGCAATGTTCCAATAAACCCTGAGAAATAACTAATTACTTTTCTAAGTGAGCAAACATTATTCTGTAGTCCCGTAGACCTGAAAAGGAATCTAAAGATAGTGAATAGCAATGTGTTCCTAATTTTCAAAAGAAGATTAAAAGGGCCGCTCGTCCTCATTGTTTAGCTGCTTCAAATCCTATCAAAATAATAGAACCTAAATTAGCAAAAGAAGCAAATTTTCACTGTCCTGGAAAATAAGGAAGTGAGAAGTAGCTTTTGTTTGTGAAGAGATGATTGGTCTGAGTAAATTGGATGACTTTGATGAAATTACAAAAGGAATATAACCCAAAGCACTGTAGATTCAATACTTTGATAATAATAAACACTTGAAGCCATATAAATTCTCTTCACTATATTAATTTAAGATGGCTTAAATAATAAAAATCAGCTGAGAATTTTCAACTGAAGGAAAAACAGAGATAGGTTATTTAAGGAAAAGATACAAGTTGGTGAAAGCTATAGGAATTGGAGGTAGGACCAACTGAATCACAGTGATTTAGAAGTGGGTGCATACTGAGAAACTAAAATTTCCCAAGTATCTGAATTTTTAGTTATAGCAAATGTGAGAGTATATGTAAATACTAGAGGAAAATGAGGTGAGTTCTTGGAAAATAAGAATAGTCTGGTGGAAAAAAAAAGACTTGATCAATGCTGAGTTCAAAATTGGGCAAAGATCTGTAAAGTGGTAACGATATTTCAGAAAGCCTGCATATGGGCTGGAATGGAGGGAACAGACAGGGCAGGGTCTTTAGGAATAATCCATTGAAAGGGTTGACAGTCAATATGGTTTGGCTCTGTGTCCCCACCCAAATCTCATCTTGAATTGTACTCCCATAATTCCCACATGTTGTAGGAGGGACCAAGTGGGAGGTAATTGAATCATGAGGGCAGTTTCCCCATACTGTTCTCGTGATAATGAATACGTCTCATGAGATCTGATGGTTATTATAAGGGGGAGTTTTCCTGCACAAGCTCTCTTTTTTTGCCTGCTGCCATCCATGTAAGACCTGACTTGATGCTCCTTGCTTTCTGCCATGATTGTGAAGCCTACCTAACCATGCGGAACTGTAAGTCCAATAAACCTCTTTCTGTTGTAAATTGCCCAGTCTCACGTATGTCTTTATCAGCAATGTGAAAACAAACTAATACAACAGTACAATATGACAGTAGAGAATTGTTCCTACCTGATTAATGTACCATTACTGCATTTAAAATGTTTGCAATGAATGCAGCAAAAATGGCAAAGCCCAACCTGATTTTTAACAAGGCTGTATTTTAAATTGTGATTTTCAGTGGTATATACCCTATTTCTCTCCAGATTACACATCCCACACAATTGAAGAGAAATCAACAGAAAAATTAGATCTTTCTCCAGTAGTCCAAAGAATATTCAAAGGTTTGGGGGACTCTCCTACGGCTGCTTCTGGCTTGCTCTGTACCCCCAGTGGTAGGTTTTCCTTGGCATGATGCTCTATGAATCCAAAGTTCTCCTTTTAGAAGTACATCTAAATGTGAGTATCCCAATCATGCCTCAGGTGGTTTTGGTTTTTTAAAAAATCACCCAAGGTCTCTTGATTTCTAGTATTAAGCCATAAAATGGGAGAGTTCTAGTCTTGTTTTGCAGGACAACATCTTCAAAGAGACTCTGGGGGCCTGTGGCACATCTGAGCCAGAACCAAACACCCGACGTCATTGTTACAGATACAAAAGTAAATAAATGAAAAGAAGCTCCAGGTATTGGTGATTTTTATATCTCGTGCTGTCAATCTGTTTGTGTCAGTTATTATTTTTTCAAGTACACAAAACTGATAAATATGAGACCATTTGGGGGAGGTTACACAAAAATAAGTATGCCTGTTGGCCACAATATGTTATTAAATAGTATTGTGGTCCTCAGCATTTCTCAAACTATTGATGATGCTTCCTACATTACAGCGTATGTTTTCACAACTCTTTTGAAATTATAGACTTTGGCTCTGAGGTATCTAATCCAACAGTCTCTTTTCACAGATAGAAAGATAGAGACTTTGAGAGGTGCAATATGTTGGCCCACAGCCAAGTGGTATACATACCTAGTACTAGCAGAGCCTGCAATAGGGTCCCTGGCAACAGGCTTCTAGGTCTATCCTCAAAATGTGCTGCTGCCATTCTCTCTACTGTCCACCTTGACTATTGTTATTGGAAAAAGGAGTTTGAGAAATAGTTGTCTAAAAGAGCAATTTGTGTGCACACATGGGTGTGTATTAGCATTTCAAATAACAATGTATCAATAGATATCCAAGGGATAAATACATTTCCTCTTCCACTTGCTTACTACATTGTTGTGTATTGAAAATTTAGTATTTGAATAACCAAAAAAATTATCTTTCCATTTGCTATTCTGTCCTGACAATATTATGATGAGCTGTATTTTATGTAAACCACTAAAGAGGACTTATTTTAATTAGTCATTCAGGTTTTATATCATTTCTGGCCAATTTTACACAGTTTTAGTTATTTAAAATGTAGCTATATGAGATTCAACATTTACCAGCATTTCATATTTGGAAACTATTTAAGAAATGAAGTGGCCAGGCGCAGTGGCTCACGCCTGTAATCCCAGCACTTTGGGAGGCCAAGGCGGGTGGATCACAAGGTCAGGAGATAGAGACCATACTGACTAACACGGTGAAACATGAAAACCTTGTGTTATAATCAAACGGATGGACTATGAGGGGGTAAGCTGTTAAACAATAGAGTAATAGAAAGGGGGAACAAAGGCAGAAATGAGCCTCTGAGCAGTAGTGAGCTGAGGGGCCCAGAGTTGATCTGTTTCCCTTTATTAATACTTTCACCGTGTTAATACTTTTCCAGAAACCTTGCCTCCACCATGGCCCTAAGTCCTAACAGATAGCTTAATTTTCTTAGAGGAATTCAAATAACAATAATAAATAATGTCACATAGACTTCTAATGTTTTAATAAAAACCTTCAGCAACGCCCACATTTTTACGTGACAATTTTTTAAAGGGCTATGAGGGAGCCAACTATGTCAGCAAACAGACATGCTCTGAAGACAGGGTGGTCCATGGCATTCAAAGTGTATTCATTTCTACCGATGGTGCTTTTCTTGCATAGGTTCTGACTTGTGTAGATTTGGACTTCAAGCTAAAATAAAAAGAGAGGAATATGTGTATACATGAGAATGTGTGTGTAACGTGTCGATGGTATAAATAGTCTCTTCCTCTCTCTCTGAATTGCATGCACTTAAGCCCCTAAGAAAAGATCTCTTACCTCTTATCTAAGTAAAGCAGAATTTTGAGCTTTGAAGCTAAATGATACAATGAGATCAGTGTAAATACTCTTTAACACAACAATATTTGAGTAGCTTTGAAACAGTCGTCCTCATTTCGTTACATACAGAACGTTCGTGCTTCCTCCCTCTCAGGCAAGAAGCGGAGTCCGTCGTCAGCAGTTAGCAGAGTCCAGTGCGAGTGCACGTTTCTTAACCGGATAACTTAGTTGCCCCTGCCCCCCGTCGCTGCGCCCGAATTCGCCTCCAGTAGAAGACGTTCAGCGGGCGACTTGGCCCGGCGCCTGGGATCGGTGGCTATGCGTTCCCCAACTAGCACCCTCGCTGTCCTTGTGCAGTGGAACGTCCCCAGGTCTGAGAATGCACCTCCCGCCGTGTCCACCCCGGCCGCGTCTCTCCTGAAGGCAGATCTTGGAGGTGCAGCCAGGACTCCTAGAGGAGCCTCCTCCAGTCACCATCGCGGGTGGGGCGAGCCGGGTCTCCTGCTGGGCTTCCCAGCCGCTTCGCTCCGGACCTGCCTGGAGCCTACAAAAAACAAGGGCTCGTCCTTGCACTCTCGCCCCCCATGGATCACCCCTAGAAGGTGCTTTCCCCAACCCTCCTGGTGCCAAGGAGAGCAAACCTCCCCGGGGATTTGCCCAAAGTGGTGGGAGGAGGGTTAATATTTGCTTTGTTATTCGGATAAGGGGAGGCAAGTATGCCTTGGGTGTGTGTGTGTGTGTTTGAGAGAGAGAGAAAGAGAGAGAGAGAGAGAGAGAGGTGTTTTTGCAGCGGGAAACAAGCAGGAAGAGGCACAGAGGCCGGCGCCCCTGCTCCCCTCGGGGCCTCTGAGAGCGGCACACACCGTAATTCCCTTCCCAGAGCCTACAGATTCCCACAAACAATGACATCACTCCGCCGCCGCTGGCCTGATTACAGCTGGGGGGATTTTCCTGGGCGCGCGGCGGGCCAGGCTGAGATGGGGGAGCTCTCCGGTGCTGAAAGGGGCGGGGGCGCGGGCTCGCTGCGCTGCGCTGCGCTGCGCTGCGCCCCCAGAAGGCGGAGGCGGCCGGGCCGGGCCGGGCCGGGGGTGGGCGGGGGCGGGCCCGGGGCGGCCCAGGGCGGGGCCCGCCGCTTCCCCCGCCCTCATTGGCCGCTGGCGGACTCACGTCACCCGAGCTGGTGCTCTCCCCCAGCCCCTAGGGAATTGGAGCTGAGGAGGAGCTGAAAATGCAGATTTAGCATCAAGCACAGACCTACACTCGCTCTTTCTCTCCGGTACACACAGCTCCCCACATTCGCACCCCTGCCCGCGCGCCGGGCCGCCTGACTGCACGGCTTCCCCTCCAGCCAGATGCTGGAGAACACACACTGATTCGCTGCTTTCCAAGACCCTGTTCAGTCTCTTTCTCTATACAAAGATTTTTTTAAAAACTATATATAAGAATTCTTTATTTGCACCCTCCCTCCGAGTCCCCTGCTCCGCCAGCCTGCGCGCCTCCTAGCACCACTTTTCACTCCCAAAGAAGGATGAAGGGTGGTTGTGTCTCCCAGTGGAAGGCGGCCGCCGGGTTCCTCTTCTGTGTCATGGTTTTTGCATCTGCTGAGCGACCGGTCTTCACGAATCATTTTCTTGTGGAGTTGCATAAAGGGGGAGAGGACAAAGCTCGCCAAGTTGCAGCAGAACACGGCTTTGGAGTCCGAAAGGTAAGCTCTCCCATGCATTTCGCATGTTGTTTCAAAACGGGGGGACGGGGGGGCAGCCCTGCGCAATCTCATTGCAGATTTGCAAGTTTTCTCTCTTTCTCATGCGATGCAGATATTCTGCCATGGGCTCTTTAACACGATATTGCCTCCGGTGATCTTTCACCGGTTATGTAATTAAAATGTCCTTCATCTGTACTAGTAAGGTCATCAAAATAATTTACTGCTCTTTGACTTGATGGCGAAAATAGGATAACACCTTTCACAGGATGCCATGCTCCGGGGATGCTGTCCGAGGTACCAAGTTCTCGAGGCTGCCTGGGGATGGAGGGATGAAGCCCTGAACAGCTAAGCCTGGCGTTGGCTACTTGGCCAGGGAAGTCTCCCCCACCCCCATCCCCCGGAGAAAGAATAGTTTCCTACAGACGAGGCTGGACGTTTGGACACTGCAATTCACCTCGGTGTTTCTCCCACCCCGCGCCGGGAGGACTTCCCTCCCAGGGACTTCGGTCCCTGCTCCTCTCCGGGAACAACGGCTTCCTGACTCTAGATTTGGAAAGAAACTGGTCTCTAAAATCGGGGCGGAACTTCTGCGCCCTCACCCCCGCCCACGACCGCCCACCCCTGGAGCGCACTTCTGGTTGGCTCCCTAGTTCTCAACTCCCGGCTACAGGAGCTGGAGAGGTGGATTTTGAGGGGGATTCCCTACGGAGAAGTCGAGGTGTCCTCTCCTGATGCGTGGGCGGCCAGCCTGGCTTTCCCACTAGAGCGTGGGGATCCCCATTCCAAGAAGTTGCCAGAGTTCGACAGTTTGAGCAGATAGGTGAGCCTCCCAGCTTTGGACACCTTGGATCTCCTTTGGAGACTCCAGGGTACTCATCCTGGGAGGACAGAGAGAAGGGCGCTGGGTGGGGGCTGTGGCTGACCTGCGTGTCTCTCCTGCAAAAGATGTATCAGGGTTCTCCAGTGTCCTTAGGGGACCTGGCGCAGGCTGGGGTGGAGTGTGGGTGCAGAGAGAAGGTGGGGCGAGGGGAACCCAAAGGACAGAGATGTGGCTACCAGAGGGCTGGGTGGAGGTCCCTGAGATTTTAGGCTCCATCTCGCTCCTGATCCCAGGAAGAGAGAGGAGTGAGATGAGCGGTGGGTGCTTTTGGTTATTGGTTTTGCCTTGAAGGGCCGCGCAGACCGAAGCTCTTATTAGTCTCTTCTGTCCTGACTTCCCAAGCCTCCCGCCTCTCTCCCAGCCACCGCCAGGGCTCCTCCAGGTGTGGGGGCCTCTCCCTCCTCCTAAGGGCGTAGGCAGTACCGGAATTTCGACCCCAGAAGGGTCTGGCGACGAGTTTGACAGAGGTCTGGGAAGAGGCTCTGGGTCCGCCGGTGGCGCGCGGGCGGGTCTTGCGGAAAGGAACTTGTTGCTCTGGAAAGCGTGGGTGGAGCAGGGGAAAGAAGGCGCCGGCGGAGGGAGCACCCCGCTGTGGTTTTGGCCCGTGGCCTGCCGGCTGTTTTGAGAGACACCAACACAATAAAGAAGCCGACCTTCCTTCTTCACTCCCCCCCACCCCAAACTTGGCAAGACCCAGGACCCAAACGCCATTATAAAATATAATAGTGATTATTATTAGTTATACGGAAGCTTACGTGCTGGAGTCCTTACATAGATTTTTACTTAATCTTCTCAACATCTCTGAGGAGGCTACTATCATTATTGAGCCTATGGCCCCGTTGAGGAAATTGGTTCAGAAAAGGGTGCGAGATAAAAACAGGCAAGGGCTTCAATCCAGATCTTTCAGAAGTGAACCCATGCTCTTTACTCCTTAGTACCCACCCAAGCAAGCTAGGTGCTTTCAGGGGATGTGGGGCATTGAGATAAGTTGAAAAGGGATTTTAATTCTTGAGTGTGATCTTGCTGCAGAAACCTGTGGCTCCCTCCCCCTCCCCCACACCTTTTCATGGGTGCGGGGGAGTGGGAGGGAGCCATAGGTTTCTGAAAACCATTGTTCTCAGTGGTTTTCTCTTCTCTTTGCTGCCCCCTTTGAAAATGTGCCCTTAGGATCAGAGATCAGATAACTAGGCCTCTTTGTCCTTCATTCTTTCTTGGAGAGGAGCACACTGATTTTGCATCACAACCTGAAACCTGCAGTTCCCATCTGAGAGACCTCTCTCCTTACTTCTCCATAACCTCTCAGGTAGTACCCCACAACCAAATCCAGTGATTTTTTTTCCCCTTTTACACGTTTAAGTAACAGGGACTGCCTGGTGCAACATCTGCCTAGAATAAACCTCCTTTTGGATCCATGTCTTGTCCATTCTTCAAGACCTAAATTCAAACCTTTCCTGATGCTACAGACCACAGTGAGCTTTCCCTCCTCCAAATTTTTATGCGACTGATAGGCAAACACTGCACTACATAAGCTAATAAATGCCATCACTTTTCCTCATTATTTCAGGTATATAAGTAAATATGGGTTCAGTTGTTGTATTTCTACTTAAAAGGTAAATATTCAGGGATGATACCTCCTATATTTCTCATTTCCTCCCTGTAACCAGCACATTACTGTTTTGCCAGCCTTGAAGGAAACTTCCTTGTCTGTATTTATTATCCCAGGTTTCCCAGACACCGTCCTATCTTGCTTTCATCATACTGTTTTGTACTTTTGCCAACATTTGTTATTGTGCATCTTAGAGGCCCTTATGTCCTTCTCCTTCCTTGCTCTGATGCTTAGCATGCTTCCCAACTCCCTACTGCTCCCTGCTCCGAGGCTCAGTGTCAGACACAAAAGATTCTCAGTGGTTATTTATTCATCCATATGAAAGGTCAGCAATGGAGGCTAGAAGAACATGCTTTCTTATTAAATTATCTCATTCTAAGCTCACAAATCTATGAGAGAAATTACTGGCATCAGCTGTAATTCTCAGATGAAAACCTTAAGGCCTTGAGAAGTTAAGTATCTGCTTATATCTGAGAAGTAAAAGAACTCAGACTTAAAACCAAATTTGCTTAACTGAAAAATAATTGCTTTTCTACATCATGCTGCCTCCAGGAAGCCTTCCCTGACTGCCAAGAACTCTTCCCTTGAGACACAATTTTAGAGCTCTGCTATTTTCCCTTTTCTTTTTACTTTTATTATATTTATCATTTATTTTCTATTAACACATGAACATGTCATTAGCTAATGGGTACGTGTATTTATGTCTTCAGGTAGACTATAAATCTTCCAAGAGGAGAAATGACATACTATATCTTTATATAGTCTCCATATCTAGCATGGTGGCCTGTATATGAATATTTAATTGTTTGTCAATTATTTGATTGATTCTTATAAGACCATGAACAAACATTTGTTTTCTCTCTAAAATGAAATAAAAGCACCTATAACTTTACCTCTGAAAAGGTTATGGAGATTAAAGCTTTCTATTTTATCATGACCTGGCCCTGGCCCAAAGACCTATGTCTATCAGAAAAGATACTTAAGTCTAGGAGAGTGAATGAGTTTACAGTAATGACAAAAGCATTATTCCAAAGAGTGCCTTAAAATTCTCAAAATGCTACTAATTTTAATTGATTTGAAACAGAAAACAAAAATTATTTATTGAAGCAACCTGTTGAAGATTAACCAAAAATCAAGTGAGAGTTAGGGTTTAAAAAGAACCTGATATTATCCTAGGGGTTTCATTGTATTATGGTGTGTTTTATGTTTTATCCACAGAGGACAGATGCTGAAATGATTACACAAGTAAAATCATGTGACCATTTTTATAATGTGTGAGAATTTTTTAATTTTGAAAACAACCTAATAATCATTATGCTGCCAGGTAGTAAAAAATTAATAAATTTCTGGTCGCTTCACTTTTATTAAAGTATAATTTAGGAAAGAACACAGCTTAGGGAATTTTCACAAACTGAGCACACATGTGTAACCAGCACCCAAATCAAGAAATAAAATATTACCAGTATCCCTAAGTCCTTTTCTCACTCACTTGCTTTGTTTTCAGGTTTTAGCTATTATAAATATAGCTTTTGTGGATATTAAAGTCTACGTATTTTGGCAAACACATATATGGCCTTCTACAGGGAATCCTAGAAATGGAATTGTTGAGTAAAAGGATATGCATGCATACAGCTTTATAAGACCATCAGTTTTCTATTGCTGTGTATCACTAAAAAACTTAGTGGCCTAAAACCACACAAGTTTGTTATTTCACAGTTTTCATGGGTAAGGAGTCTGGCACATTTTAGTTGGGTCCTCTGCTCGAGTCTTCACAGGCTGAAATCAAGGTATAGGCTGCTGGGTCCCATCTAGAGGCATGACCAAGAAACAACCCTCTTCTGAGCATTTTCACGGCTTTAAAGGAATTGAGTTTCTTGTGGTTTTAGACCTGAAGTCTTTATTTTCTTGCTGGCTGCTGGGCCAGGACCACTCTCATCCCCTGGAGACCTCTCCATAGCCCTCTCACACCTCACCCTTCAAATATCTGCCTTCAGGAAGAGCCCACTCTCCTTGCAAGGTTAACCTGATTCGTTCAAGCCCACCAGGATTGTTTTCCTTTTGGTTCTTCTGATGAACTCAGAGTCAACTGATTTAGGACTTTAATAACATTTGATAAATCTCTTCACCTTTGCGTAATCTAATCACAGAAGTGAAATCTATCATCTTCACAGTCCCACCTAGGCTGTCCACACTCAAAAGGAAGATGATTACATAGGGCATGTACATCAGGGAGCAGAAATCTTGGGGGCCATCTCAGAATTCTGCCGGCTACAGACAAACAGCCACATGGCTTTCCTAAGTAGTTATACCAATTTACATTCCCTTCAGCAGTATGTGAGAGTTCCAGCTGCTCCACATTCTCACCAACACTAGATATTTTACATCTGTTTTCTTTTAGCCATTCTGGTGGTATGTAGTAGTGTCTCATCGTGACTTTAATTTGAATTTCCCTGATTATCAACTGAAGTTAAACACCTCTTCATATGCTTATTGATGATTTGGATATCCTCTTTTAAACACATTTGTTTCAGATGCTTTGTCCTGAAAAGTTTTTCTTTTGGGTTGTCCATCTTCACTTTTTATTTGTAGGATTTCTTTACCTATGATGGATAGAAATTTTTGGTCAGATATATGTATTTTGAATATTTGATACCACCCATTTAATGATATCGTAATGTCACAACAATGTTCAATCCAGATTATATGCTTTTACTTCTACTTTGTCAGGCAGCCAATTGTAAGTCAAAGGAAGAATTATCTTGCAGTATTTCCACATCCCCTATCCCAAAGTTCTTTAGATCAAAATTGACAATATTTGGAGGAAAAAAATAAAAACAGCATATAGATTTGATCATAAGCATTCCCTGAAAGATTTCAATCTAAGAAGACTTTAAGGGACAGTTCTTCTGGAACTAAAAGATTTTCCACAGTAGCTAAGGGAAAATAGCAACCTGTAACCTTGCTTCCCTAGACATGGCTGCCATTCATGTTGTGCCTTAGATCGAATCCAAGCTAATCCCTCAAGACCTGTCTGGTTGACCTAGACCACAGTGTTCTCTATCCATTTGGTGCTTTGATGATGTATAATCGATTCCTTTCCCTGATACCAGTCATAGCCATCAGAACGCTCACTGTCCCCAATACACCTCTTGTGGCTGAAGAAAATGAGGAACAATAATGTTGAAAGGTAAAGATGACAGGATTTGGAATCAGATAGCACTGGAAACTTGGCTAGGTTACTAAATCTCTCAGAGGCTCATTGTCTTCTGAAAATGGTTAATAAAATATGGTGGCTGTGAAAAATAAATAATGTAGTTAGTGCATGTAAAGTTCTGGGCACAGCACTGAGTGCATAGGATAAAATAGCTATTACTGCAGTAGTAACAATAAGCTGGTTGTGCACTAGTGACACTCTTTTCCTCAAAAAAGTAGCTGTGGGTTATACTTGTGAGGGAGTGACAACTGATTGAGTAAGGAATAGGAACCCAGCCCAGCAGCAATCCACCCATGGGCTAGTCATGACCCATGAGATGACCTGGCCCAAATTCAGTAAATTTAATTCATTATAGACCATGGTAATTATCTCAGCCAATTATACTGGATTCCTCAGGAAATCTGACTGGCTAGTTGCTCTAGAGAGGAGAATGCAGTACAGTTACCATGAGAAAGCCCATTCAGGCCATGGGAAACTCAGACATTTTATCTAAGTTTCTAATAGCTTTCCAACCCCAGTTTCCAGCAAAAGACGCCTGTAACAGGCTGAAGAGCTAAGCACCAGATTCATTGCTCCTTCTTCATGGGCTGCAGCAAGACCACATTTCCCAGCCTGCCTTGTAAATAAGCGTGATCATGTGACAATTCTAGCCTGTGTAATGCAAGCAGAAGTCATGTGTACTTCTTCCATGCCTGATGCATAAGAATTCTCTATCGATTGTTTCTCTGTGTTCTGCTCTCCTCTGGGGCTTGATGTAATTGAGAACAGTACATTTTGACACCAAATGCCAAAGCAGCATCACAAGATGAAAGGAGCCCAGGTCCCTGGTCCGTGAATTAGAAGACCTTATATGAGTGAGAAATAAACTGCTATTACATTAAGACACTGAGATTTGGGAGTACTGCCCAAACTAATATGCTGTCAGTAAATATCCCTTTGCTTAAGTTGCTAGAGTGAATCTCTAAACCTCGAAGGCAAACCGAGCCAGATCACAACAAAAATTGTTCCAAAGTTCTGTGAGAGCACACATATTTTCACAATATACTACCAAACAACTTTTCAAATATTTGTGATTTGTCTTCTCCAGCAACAAATAGAACCCATTCTACACACTGTTCTTCCTGCTGGCAACCAACGTGCCCTACTCATAATAGGTGTTTAATATGTGCTCCTTGACTATGACTACAGTTGGACCACAAGGTGGTGATTTGTCCATAATCTCAGGTTGAAGGTGCTGGAAAAACTATTTTTTAAGAAACTGTTCCTGTAGAATCCATTTCTCTATAGGCAGCCATTCAGCTAGGAAATAGAATTAAGTGACAACCAGCAAGTGGGCAACTGGCATGCTTCTTTGTTTCTCTAAAATTCCCCAACTTCGATATTATCAGTAGTAGAACAGATGAGCTCTTTGAACAAAGAAAGTAAAGTCTGCAGTTACAACCTGATCAAAATCCAAAAGAAGGGAAAGAGGGGAAATACACCTTTTTTTCTCAATTGAATGAATATCTAGAAATCAATTTCTATTTCAGAAGGTCTTATTAGCTATAGATCATAACGTCATAGCACATCAGATAGTGATGCTATAGTTAGGTTCACAATAATTATATATTCCACTCAAACTAACTGCTCAAAGAGGTCTGGCTTTAAGAATAAAACATGAAATCTGAAGTTCAATTTTTCATTGAGTTCAGATCCAACGTTTCAAAAAGAAACTCTGTGCTGAATTTGTGAATTATTATTTGAGATACAAATAATCACGGGACAGCTCAAAAACTGACATTTCTATTTGACTTTCCTTATTAAGGTGTATTTATTTAGCTAAAGTCCACAAGTGATTAAGAAGTCAAGAAATTACATCTGAGTCAACACTTCAGTCTGAAATGTATAGTTGTGTATTAATGGATGGTTTATATGCGAGACACATATGAAAATAATTTAACTGCCTTGACAATTTTTTGTCACTGAAGCTAATTTGACCACAACTTTTTGGAAATTGTTGTGATGTGCTGAGATTGTCGATAAAAATAATTGAATAAAACAAGTTCTTACATTGAAAGTAGAACAATGACACACTCTTAATTTCCTGACATAAAGTAGACTTCAGACTGTTACAGCGTATTGGCAGTTTCTCCATTAGAAAATTGACAAGAATGGGGAGAAAACTGTAGGATCCTGGGGTTGCTCTTTGTTTACAACTTTAAATTTGACATTAACTTCCATAAATATCCAATTGTTCTCCTAGTTTTTCCTAAATAGATTCATTTCATGCTCATTTTGTATCAAAGGCAAAAGAGTCCAAAGAAAAGTGAACAATATACAGAATCACTATTGGAAGCATCAAGAACATAAAGATAATAACTTAGGTTTAAAACATTTGCAAAGTGTTGTAAGTCATTAGAGAAAAAAGTTTTGACCTGGAATATTTGGGTTTCACTCTTCTAAAGTTTTAAGTAGAGGGCAAAGAGATGGTCAGCCTTGCTTTCTGTGTAAACACAGTGTCTGGCAAAACTAAGTCTACAGGAAATATTTGTTGAATGAATTACTTGATTGATGTTGGTATTAGATGTAGTAGACAATTGAATATCTTTCCTCTTAAGATTTAAACAATGACACACACAAACAAAAAAGTGAATCCTTCCATTTGTGAGATGGTAAACATCTCAATGTCAAGACAGTATTTTTACACATTGCAATATTCATGAATACCGTGAGTGGACATAATCAAATTAAATCACGAGATAAGTTAGGAACCCTGATAATATGAAAAATGTAATAACTTTGATATTTTTGTCAGAATCACTCATCATTATTTTAAAAAATACCAAGTAATAAAAAAATACAAGAAGGTCTTTTTTAATTATCTCAAATCTCATTATTCAGAAATAACCATTACCAGCTTTAGATAAACTCTATTGCAGATACTTCTGTATGAATATGTATAGAGAGAAGAGAGATATATAAATTGTTTTATAGAGCTGAGATCTCATCATATGTGCTATTTTAAGTTTTAAATCATTCAGTTTAATTATTATAAAATTTAACAGAAGAGAAAATCAAAAGAAAACTATGGAAATTGTTAAACTTCAGATAAATATGCTATACAAAGGAGATATTATTTCCTAATATACCTCCCTAAAATTCATAAGAAATTATTGTGTCTCATATTTAGGAGTTTGTAGTTACATATTTTATACATACATGGTAGATAGGTTACATATATTTAATTACATGTTTACTTATTTAATTACATAATTCAACTTTTGTGAGTTATGGACTCAGTGCTTTGTAAAATGGGGAAATTAGCATCCTGACACTTTCTCTCAGCTTCCCTACTTCCACATTCCAATGTTTGTTAGGTATATCATTATTTTTGCATTGTGTTACATATAAATATTAACCTTCTACTAATAACCATAATTTATAGTATTGCTTATATTAGTTCTTTCTTAAAATTCTAATGTTACCACAAGTCCTTTTATCAGAACTTCAATTACAAATTCATTTTTATTCATCTTTTGAGTAGCTAGGTTTTACTGAAACATGAAGAAATTAGCCTAAGCATGAAAAAGGAGCTGTCTCAGTTTCAGATTAAAGGGGAAAAAATTGGCAGGGGAAGTCCTGTTTTTAGGTCACAGAGGAGAATGTGGTGATAATATCCACTTAGGAATCACAATTATTTCAGAGGATTAAGAGGCAAGGTCAATGTTCAGAGGGAAGGAAGAGGTGTTAGGATGGGGGCTTCAAGGAGATGGAAGTTCAGACACTGCTAGTAGACATGAGAGAGGGAGTGGACAAAGGACAGATCATGATTTCTGGGCAGTACTGCAGAGGCAAGTGGGAAAGAATGGATTTATGGTGGCACCAGCAGACATCTTAAGAATGTCTTAAGCAACATTCAGATTAGGGTTGAGAGGTGAGAGAAATGGAATCTTCCAAATAATAGAGTGTCAATGAAATAGAAGAATAGGTAAATTGGAAATAACAGTGAGAGAGATGAAAGGGAGAGAGCTATGGTTGGTGAGTGGGATATTGAAGCTCAAGGCTCCAAAAATTGAGCACTTCCAGATAATGATGAAGTTCATGGAAGTGAATTATCAAAGTAAAAAGGAGATGAAGGTGATCAAGACACTAAAAGTAACATGCACAAGGATTTGTTCACATACACCTCATTCATGCTATGGCAAGAAATAGGATTGTCAAGGAAGACTGTTGAGAGAAAACAAAGCGAAGTCCTAGGACAAAATGTTGGAGAACTTTGGACATGAAAGGAGAAAGAGGAACCAGGAGAGGAGTCAGAACTTGGACGGTTAGAGATATGGAAAAAGAATCAAGAGCACACAGGCCTGTGAAAGGAAAGGAGGAGAGAGTTAAGAAGGAAAGAAGGAAGCAACCTCAGCCACTGGTTTTAGAGACAAAGTCATTGTTGAAATAGGAGGAGTCACCCTAGCACAGTGGAAGAGGAGACGAGTGTTAATTTGGGTCCCCAGATGTAGGCCCTGGAATAAGGACTTAAATGCAAGTAGTTTACTTAAAGAGTGATTCTACAAAATACTGGTAGAGGAGTGGGGAATTGAGATAAGGAAAGGAAGGCAGGAATAAAGGGTACATCATAAAGCAAGTTGTCACTGTGGGTAACTGGAACTCAATCCCACTGGAAAACTGGGAGCTGGTGTAGAATATGTGCTTCAGAGTTATCCTGCCTGAGGGGTGAGGAAGTTGGGGTATTTATACACGCATTGCATTGACATATTAATTAATGATTGAGAGTTACTCCAGGCTGATGTTAACACTCCAGCATTTTGTCCTGGCATATGCTCAGACAGAGCAGAATTTGGCCATCCAGAAAAATACTTGCAAACAGATGCAGAGGCTGGCACCCACAAAATGGTAAGGCCTATCCAAGAGGATCTGAGTGTGAAAGTAAACATGTCTGCTACAGGAAAAAAGCCCAATCATGAAGGAAAGCATCAAGTGTGATGAAGTGGAGGTACCAAATATAGACCATCCCTTCAAGAGGTATAGTGGTTAAAATAGAAAAATAGTGTTACAGTCACTTGATGTGGTTTTAAAGGTATTTATGAATTAATAATTTCTTAGCACTTGTCAGACCACTGGAGATTGCTATCCCACCAGAATATTGTGACATACCTAGCCAATCAAGTCTGCATTACTCTAACTGGTTTTTCCAGTCATTTACATTTTTACAAATGATAATTATAATTATGAAATTACAGCCTTTCAGAACAGGAAGGGATCCTAGAAAGACATTAATTTAACCCTTCATTTAATAAATGAAGGAAATAAATGAGGGAAAGGGCATCGAACACTATGTTTGTATGCTTAACTATTCCAAAAAGCATTTGAGCCTTGTTGCTCATTGGCGGTGGTTTAGACAATGCATTATTGATATCACTGAACCAGCTTTCCAGACTGGATGAGATAGACAACTAGATTGGGTGAGACTCCTATAAGTGATTAGCCACATACACCAACTTGGTCTGACCATACTAATTCATTTCAGGTCCTCCTGATGTGCTTTTTTGGTTTGTTTTTTTACCATTTTACCCGTAGAATTTTTATAAATTCTGATTTTCCAAACAAAGCTATTCATAGACTCAAGGATTCCACACCAACAACCATTGGGTTTACACTTGGTAAAAGACAGAATAGGAATTTATACTTCCTTGACTACTCCCTTAGTGACTAAACAGTGCTATATATTTAGTAAGCACTCAATAAATACCAAAATAAATACTGAGAAAAAAATTTAAAGGCTTAGCATCATCATTAGATTTTCACTGCACACCCAGCCGATGTCTCATGAGATGGTGCAATCAGGAAAACCAAGTATGCTAGGAAGGGTTATAGGAACATCCTATTTAGTGCCTGTGTTAAGTGGATTTCCTTAATTGCCCTTAATAGCCTAAAATTTTGTGACTTAATCATTAAGAATCCAGTGACAGAGGAGAATAAGGTGACCCACAAATCCTATTCCTCTTTGCCTTTAGCTTCTCCTCTATTTCTGTGGGAAGAAAAAATATCACTTTTATCAGGGCACCACCAATTCTCTTCAGTGATGATGGAAGCTCAAACCCAAGAAGGTAGTTGACATCCAAGAGTCAATTCTAGTCAGTTCCAGCTGACTATGTTTCTAGGAACTGTCAGCCAAGAATGGGAGACCAAGAGAGACCTTGAAGAACCTAAAATGTGGGAAGAAGGATGGGAAACAAGCCATTTGTGATCTCTTGAAGTTCAGTAGCAGCACTTTAGGCAGAGGAGAAGGGACAGGGATCCTTGGAGAGTTGTGTCTTAAATGAGGTTTGTCATTAACCCAAATTTGGACCCAGCAGCCGAAGCCAGAAACAAACCATTCTGGCCATAAACTAGAAAATGAGGAGAGGACCAAAGAAGAGTTATGGGAGTTTCAAGCCAATGGACCAAGAAATTAGCAAGAGCTACAGTCATACCACAGGGACGTATAGAAGGAGAAGATTATTAAGGTCATTCAACAAACATATACTGAGTAAGTTCAGTAAACAAACATAATGCAACACACTAAGACATGGATTTGGGAACAAGTAAGCAACTGGGATTCAATCTTACTGGCCTAAGATGATTCCAATAGATAGATGAAAAATCAAACCCCAAGGTGAAAACACTTTTTTTTTTTTTTTTTTTTTTTTTTTTTGTGAGATGAAGTCTCACTCTGTTGCCAGGCTGGAGTGCAATGGCGCGATCTCAGCTCACTGCAACCTCCGCCTCCCGGGTTCAAGTGATTCTCCTGCCTCAGCCTCCCAAGTAGCTGGGAGTACAGGCGCACACCACCATACCCAGCTAAATTTTGTATTTTTAGTAGAGACGGGGTTTTACCATGTTGGCCAGGATGGTCTCGATCTCCTGACCTCGTGATCCACCTGCCTTGGTCTCTCAAAGTGCTGGGATTACAGGCATAAGCCACTGCACCTGGCCCATGAAAACACTTTTTAAGTCTCTGCTTGTGTTGCATTTACTAAGTTTCATTGGCCAAAGCAAGTCACATGGCCAAGTTTAGAGTCAGTGTGGGAGGAGACTAACCAAGGGAATGGATACAGGGAGATATGAACAAAACATGGATCCAATTTCCTACTACAGGCCCCTCTGACAGTTACAACTTATCTGTGTTGTCCCATCAAAGGGTGAGGAGGCTGGGATGTTTAACCTCCAGCTACCATTTCTTCTTGGTTGATGGTTGCTCCTGGGGAACTTCAAATCTCTCATACTTCTGCCTGCTGTAAGTAGACCAAGCATGCTTCCACTGCCAGAGAACACCCTCAGGAGAGCGGTGCCTGAAAGACATTGGCATCTGTATGTACTCTGTACAGGTGACCTCCAGGGTGGACCAAGGGAAGGCAGGCAGTGCATCAATATCATGTGCTACACAGAGGACCTAAAGTTACATAAAATTGAGGTTCGTCAGAGGCTAGAAAGAAACAGTTTGTGAGTGAGGCTGTATGTCAGATCCCCTCTACGTGTCTCATTACCTAGGTGTCACTCTAGACTTGATATAAATCAGTGGTTCAGTCTTTAGGGGGTACATCATAGTTTGAATCCCATTGTGGACTGTTAGCCCAGCCCTAAAATAGTTGGTGTTTGTGGCTAATCCCTCATAGGAGTGTCACACAATCTAGTTGTCTGTCTCATTCAGTCTGGAAAGCTGGTTCAATTGTATCAACAATGCATTGTCTAAACCACAGCCAGTAAGCAACAAGGCTCAAATGCTTTTTGCAATAGTTGTTAGGCACATAAACATAGTGTTTGATCTGCTTTCCCTCACGTATAAAATGAAGGGTTAAACGAATGTCTTTCTAGGATCAGTTCGCGCTGATTACAGACAAATGGGAGTGCTCCATGTAAACAAGTCCAGAAAGTTTTTGTGATAGATTTAATATATAGTGCATGTGAGGCCGTGACTGTCAGCAGAAGGAAAGTCTTCACAAAGCAGGCAATAATACATTGAGGTAAATTTACAATGAGGCTTATAATTTCAAGAGGTTTAAAGGAAGAGGTTTATAAAGAAAACCACAGGATGTGCAATGAAATGGGCACGGTTTTTCGGAGGATTGCAAGTAGTTTTGTCTGTCTAGATGACAAGAGACTGGGAGATGAGGCCAAAGAAGTGACCTGGGGTCAGTTCATGACCAGTCACCCATACTATGCTGAGGAATTTGGATTTTGCAGGTAGGTGGAAGGAGGCATCGAAGGGTACTTGGGAAGTGTGGCAGGATGGCCACATACAGGACATCCTAGGATAAGAAGTTGAGCTAATAGTGACTTGGAGAAGCCTTGATCTCTGCCTGGTTTCTTTGTCCTGTGGAATCACTAATTCTGGCAACAAGTAGCACATCATTTAATAGATGATGCCACTAGGAAGTCAGGTTATATGTCTTTGATTCCATTGTCACTGGATGATGGCATCAGTGATACTAATGGCTTGATTAATTATTGTCCTTGTAGTCACACTGAACGGCTGGTAGAGCAGCCAGTTCTATCCATGAAGATTAGTCCAGCTAAGAACAAAACAATTAAATGCACCTCCCCTGACATATAAATATATGAATGCAGAACAAATCCCGTAACTTAGAAGCCAAGAAGAAAAGAAAGAACAGTGGTGTATCACCATGATCCTAGCTCACCTAATAGGCACATTACTCCCTGATATTCCAAAGAAATAATGCTCATTTTTAATTTTTTCTTTCTGGAATGATATATGGAAATGTTGCCTGAGGCTAGAAAGAAAGTTTGTGAGTGAGGCTGTATGTCAGATAACCACTACCTGTCTCATTATCTGGGTGTCATTCTAGACTTGATATAAAACAGTTGTTCAGTTCTTAGGGGGTACATCATAGTTTGAATCCCACTATGGACAGTGAGCTCAGCCCTAGAATAATGGATAACCATGGACAACACAAGCTGCTTCATACTGTTTTCCTGCTTATGGGGAAGAGTGGATCCTGGAATTACAGAAGAGAATTGAGCATTATCCGTGGAGAACAAATGCTTAGGAATGGCATAGGAGTAGGCAGGGCTGGCTTACAGCCAAGTGTACTGAGTGCTAAGTCAGTGACTTACCCCTCTCTCCCCTAGTTTCCCTTCCACACAGCCTCTTACAAATCAGCTAATTACAGAAGAACATTCATACATGAGTTCTTATTTTATTAACAAGTGTGTGTTGAGCCCTATGAAGATGAGGCACATTGAAAGGGGTTGATTCTACAGACAGAAAGATAACAGGTTCAAGTTTATGCCCAAGGACAAGCACACTTATAGTTCTATAGTTCTATAGTCTAGTTTATAAGAATTCATACAATCTGAGGTCTCTATTTTGCTATTGCAAATGTCTACTTTATGTGTTGGGGTGTGACAAACTGTTTTAGCAATTGGTCTCTCGTTCTAAATGCAAAGGACCTTCTCAGACCATGCTAACCTGGTGACACATCCTAATAAGTTGAGGCTGAATGAGATCTTTTGTCACATCTGGTTACTCAAAGACATGATGTCCTCACTCCACAGGCCTTGTGCTATTGAGAGAGGAGCTGAAGTCACACATAAATAATTTAGGCTCCTCCACTGCATGAAAAGCATCTGTTTAAGGAGCTGTCAAGCTGTCCACCTCTCTAGTGAAATCATATTTACTTTATTCATCTAAATAATGTGGCTTGTTTGCCTTCTGTGTGAAATTGTCTTGCACTGTTTCTCATTGGTGGGTTTTATGGGACAGCATATGATTTTCTGTGCATCCATATGCCACTCTACCTCTGGGAATGGAATGGCTTCTTGTTCAGTAGTTTTGATTATTATAGCCCTTTATAGCTTATGAGTCATTGGGTTTACTCAAAATGTCCAGCTCCTCATTCTCATTTTTTTCTCTATGGCCCAGCCATGCCCGTCCTGAAAAATTTTTAAAAAGGAATAATAAAAATAAATAAATAAAAGTCATGTACTCTATATTTCATTTCCAATGAGTTGCTTCTTGTTTGGGTAATTTTTTATTGTATTAGAGACAAGGCCTTACTCTGTCACCCAGGCTGGAGTACAGTGGTATGATCATAGTTCACAGCAGCCTCCAACTCCTGGGCTCTAGTGATCCTCTCACCTCAGCCTCCCAAGTAGCTAAGACTACAGGCACACACCACCTAATCTGACTAGGTTTTTATTTTTTCTAAAGACAAGGCCTGGCAATGTTGCCCAGGCTGGTCTCAAACTCCTGGGCTCAAATGATCCTCCTGTCTCAGCCTCCCAAAGTGCTGGAATTACAGGCCACCATACCTGGCCTTGTTTGGATAATTATAGCAATAGGAGTCCACCGAAGTAAGTTGTGTTTTTTTAGTTATTTGGCATTCTCACACTTGGATGCTCAGAAACATGTGAGCAAATAGCACTGAATGTACCCACAATTATGTCTTGTGCTCAGTTTGTAAGTCACTATTACGTAGGTGAGACCAGAGCAGTTACTGTGAAGTGGAGGTAGCTGCATTTAAGACTGTGAACAGCGCATCAAGAAGCACACACCACAACGTGTGTAATGCCCCTGCCATGATACATCACTTCAATCTAATGATGAGAAAGCAGATGATCCCAATTGAGAGACAGTCTGCAAAATAACTGGCCTGTACTCTTCAAAAGTATTAACGTCATAAAAGAAAGACAGATAGACTAAGAAACTCTTCCAAATTAAAAAAAGAAATGACAACCACATGCAACATGTGATCTTGGATTGAACTTTGGGCCAGATTTTTTATTTTTTTTTCCATAAAGGATGCTATTAAGACAGTTGGCAACATATCAGTGATGTCTGTAAATTAGAAAATGATATCACATTAGAGTTAACTTTCTGATGTTGATACTTATACTGCCTTGTTCTTAGAAAACACACACACACCATCTACAACTTATTCTCAAATGATTCACCAAAGTAATACGTATATGTAGGAAAATAATTTTTTAAATGCAGTAAAATGTTAACAATTGGGGACTCTGGGTGACATGGCTATATGAGTTATTTTCACTATTCTTGCAACTTTTCCATAAGTCTGAAATTATTTCAAAAGTAAAAAAATTACTGCTAAAAGAAAAAATGTGTACATTGATGCAAAACTAACATTGAGGTCTCTCCCTCTATGAAATAGAGCTGGGTTAAACTTTGTCACCAACAATGGGTTTCTGTCCCAGCTCTGCCACTATAGAGCAGTGTGACCACATCCACATAATTCAACTTTTTGAACCTCATTTTTCTCATCTATGTAATCCAGATGTCAACTAGAAATACCTGGACCCTTGAGATGTAGATAAGATCCACTCAAATCCCCATAATGTACCCTGTAGAAGTCTTAACCCTTCCCAATATTCCTTTAAATTCTAGGAGTGGAGCTAGATTTTCGTTTTACTTCTGGATACAGTTTTCTACTTCTACCAAAACTTTCCAGTTAATAAATTATGTCTCCTTCCTACCCAAACAATCATTCTTCACAATGGTTACTCAAGTGTAAAATTCAGCCAACTCCCTTGATTTCCCTTCACCAAAAAACTCTTACCATTCACCCAAGGCATCTGTGACTAGAATGTATTTTCCTGAAGATGTCACAGGTGCCAGGAGGGGATTTATGTTGCAAACACAAAGAACTTTAAGTAAGCACTTGCTTTGAGGAGTCATTTCATCCCCTCATCACTGGGCACGGGCGGTGGCCTCTTCCTGCCCAGCCTCACATTTCTTGCCAGATCCTCGCCACCTTCTTTTATCTGCCCCTTGGTTTCTTTAGTATCTCCTCCTCTCATGGGTGTGGGCAGATTCTTCCCAGGCAGAGCAGGTCAGATCTCCTTGCTCTCTAGGCACCCATGACCTCAGGTACCCACCAACCATCACAGAATTATCCCAAATAGAGACAGTTTCCTCCCGAAGAAGAGCTCAGATGATTACATTCTCACCCTCAGAGTCTCTGCAAAGTGAGACATAGTGCTAGATACACGTGGAGGTCATCTCCAGTGGAAATATGCTGAGATTCTATGAAGTGCACCTGCTTTAAAAAAATGGAAATTACTTTTTCAAGCAGACAGATATCAAACACAAGTTCCTTTCCTCTAGCCTTGTTATCTGTGTGGAATTTAATAGGGTACCAATAAGGTTTCACTAACAAATTACACTTTATACGACCTTGCCAAATGCAGCATTCTTGTGGGTTATTCTAGCTTTTTAAAGGGATATCTTGCTTGTGAAGATACTAGCATGTAATTTTCTAGCTTAGACATCTACTTTTCACCCCCTTTTCTCCTTTATTTAGAAATAACTCTGAACCCAAAGCTGATGTTTGGGAGTAGTTAACTTCTTCTCTTGTTTTCTATAGCTGCTCCAAAGAGCTTGGACCTGACTACAGACCAAAGTAACAGAGAATGCTAGCCTCATCTGTAATTGATAGGATTTTTTTTTTTGCTAGAATATCTGAGAGTATTTTTACCTCGTGTTCAATCTCATGAGTTTCTTTTCATTCCATATCTCTTATGATGTGCCTTCTGTCTTGTGCTTAGCAGAGTCCTAGACAGCTCAGAGCTAACAAGTGCAATGTGCATCACTCATTGGATCACAAATTGAGTTTGGCCAGCACAATGCTTTCAATCTGTTTGACTTGTGGAGGAGCACGTACCCTCCAGTTTACCACAATCCTCACCACTTTCTATTGTCTTTTACCTGATTCGCTTAGTTAGACAGCCTGCTTGACCCCCAATATATTAAATGTCTTACCAATGCCCAAAGAACTCCATAACCTTAGTCATCCACACTGAATAGCACAACTACTTAATAACTCTTGCTAGAATCTAGAACCTCCTGATCTTTTTAATTTACTCAGCAGGTATCTATGACATGATACTCTGCACCTAGGACATGAGCAAAACCGGTGTTGTCCCCATAGAGCTTGCAATCCAGGCATTCCGAGGACTGTGTTCTGAGAGATAATTCTTTCCAGCATACCAAGATAATTTTGAAAGATGAATATTTAGGCAACATGTCAGTACCTCAATTTTCTTTTTCATTTAAGATTCTTCTGCTCCCTACTACTGTATTCGAAACCAGCCTAGTGGATGGCTCTTCCTATAAGCAAGAACTATTTCCTTACTATAAAGTGTGTACAATCCACTTGGCTGTGGGTTGGAGCGGCTCTATTAGAATTGACTGGGGATATTCAGTTGGAGGTTGACAATGAGAACACGACAAGGCAGATGATCAGAGAAATTACAGTAATTACTCACAATCAGTCTTCGATAGTAAGTCACAAAATTAAAAAGGAGAATGTAAGTCACAAACGTAAAAAGGAGAATGTAAAAGTATGAACCAAGAGAGGTTCCATGTTCCTGGTTTAACAGTGGAATAGTAAATGCAGGATATCCTCCAGAAAATGCCTGAATGAATGGTGCCTCTACTCTCTGCTATGGAAGTTAGTTGGGTCCAACGCATTCCATGGGGGACGTGGTCCAAAGTGGACCTGAAGAGTGTGGTCTGTCCCCTAGTGGTCCTAGGCTGTCAATCAGACTATCCCATCCTTGCCTGGGAGAGCAGCTGTTGTTTCACTGATGATAAATAATTCTGCTTGAAAAAAAAAAAGTGGTTTCTCTTTAGTGATGGAAATAGATACTTAATTTGTGTTTTAGATTAGACATAGTCACTCTTATGTTGTTGATAATTAAGAAATAAAATCACTCTGGAAGTTGTTCTTCTCTCTCCCTTTGCTCTGAAGTTGAAACTCAGGCCTGTCTATTAGGTACCTTTAGAATTATCACTGAGATCATTTTACCTTGCACACAATCCAGGGAAACCAGTAATCATCTCTGGGCAGATATCAGTAATGTGCAAAACCCATTTCCTACTTGACTTGGAAGGAGAAAGAAATGTTAGGAAGAGTGAAAAATGAATGGGGAAAAAGAACACATCAGTTCTTCTCCACATGGTCTCTCATCCTCCAGCAGCCTACCCCAGACCTAAATTCAAATGAGCTTCCCTTTCTCTCCCATCCCTACTCCTGGGCATCATGTTCTGCCTATAAGAGATTGCATGCAATTGAAGGAAATAAAGAACGGTCTCTGAGAAAGTCAATAAAATGCAGAGCTTATCCCTGTTGGTAAAATTCAGGTCCCCAAATGAAATGGACAAGCAATTATCAACTGAGCCAGTTTTCAATCCTTGGTGATTGTTTCGTCTGCCAGTTTTTGTTTCTTAAACCTCTTGACAGCAGTCCCTCTTACAAATAAAATTATAAAAATCCTATATAGCAAATGATGTCCAGTGTTCTACCAAACTAGATCCCGACTAAGCCTGACTGAGGACCATGAAAACCAGCACAGTGGACAAACACAAAGAAAGCAGCCAAAGGAAAAGTGAAGAGTCTGATCCGGGAAGCCTTAACTGTTCTGAGGGTTCTGAATCCATTTGAGAATCTGTAATAAGCAGTAGACTCTCCTGAGAACAAGCGAATGCACAGATGCACAAAATTTGGAATGGAGGCCATGCCAAGGTCACAGACCCTCTGGAGCATCTACAGATTCCCTAAGGGAAGAGAACTCTAGTGTTTAAAAGAAGCAGGAAATAGGCTCCATGAGAATTTAACACTTCTTTTTATCTGTTCACAATTGGTTGCCAGTTCCCTGGAGTTCCCTACTGCTGGGAAAATGGAGTGTGTGGGTTCAGAGAGGTGCTATAGCTTGGAGCCATAGTTTTCAATGGGAAAAGGAAGTAAGAGGAAAAGAAAGAAGACAATGAGAAGTGTTGCTGAGATCCATACATTTTTGTGGCATAATGAGAATTTCTAAAAACTCTGCAAGTCTGACTTAGCAGCATTATTATACTGTCACCCAGCCTGAATCTTCAAGCTGACAATTTGCTGCGAGTTCTTCATTCACTTCTTTTTCTCCTTCCTTCTGGAACCATGCATATTTTGCCTTAAGAGAACAAAGTGATGATATAAAAAAGGGTGTGTGTGTGTGTGTGTGTGTGTGTGTGTGTGTGTGTGTTTCAATGAAGAAAACATTTCAAAACATACTAAATGCCCGCAGTATGAGAGGCTTCTTACTAGGATACTCAGGTGAATGTTTGGGAATCTACCACTGTGTTCAATATGTCTTTGCTATTTGCAAGATTTGCAGTCTACTTAAGAATCTCAGGAATGCATCGATCAGCCTTACATCCTTGAGGTCTGTGTAGGCAGCAAGTACCTTATACTACTGTAAGTCACATAGCATCTGTCTTTCTCTCCCTGCGGTGGAGCTTATGATTGCACAAAGCTCTTAAGCAGCTGCTTCTCAGATGCTCAGAAGACAGTGGATCTTGGGTCTGCACTCCAAAAGCAAGAGACAAAAAAGGCCCAGAAAAATAACCAATGCCTACAGGTTAGTCTTTTGTTAGGTTCATGATCAGTCAATTTACCTGTTTATTGCATAAGAGTAAGCTCGTCAGAGGTTCAAATTTTAGCTTTATGAGACCAATTAGCTCCATTTTCTTTCATAGCCAAGAAAGAATCCCAAAGAATCCAGACTCAAGGGTCCCAAGATCACAGCAGTGGGGATGTCACCCATCAACCTGGCTGTCCTTGAGTCCCACTCATCTCCATCAGGAATTCCAGGCCAAAATCTCATGGATTCCTAGTCATGGTTACAAAGGGGCTGGGACGTAGAGTAGGACCACCACACAAGCAGTGTGGATTTACACTCAGGAGAGCTGGGATTTCTGCAGAGAGCTCCCATTCATCTGGTCAGGCCCTGGCACCCCCTGAGCCACAGTGTCTTCTCTAAAAAAATGAGGCAGCTAGACCAAGCCAGGTATGCAACTCAGTAGCCTAAGGTAACACAACCGTGGAAAGGGAGCTTAGTGTGTGACCATAGGAAGTGCAGGGGTAGGTGGGTTCTGATTTGAAACTAGGAAATACATGACCTTTCTGAGGTCATTCAAATTTAAATTTTAAAATATTTTTACATTTTTAACTTGCATCTTGGAAATAATTTAGACTTTAAAAATGTTGCATTAAGTCGGGCGCGGTGGCTCACGCCTGTAATCCCAGCACTTTGGGAGGCTGAGGCGGGCGGATCATGAGGTCAGGAGATCGAGACCATCCTGGCTAACATGGTGAAACCCCGTCTGTACTAAAAATACAAAAAAATTAGCCAGGGGTGGTGGTGGGCGCCTGTAGTCCCAGCTACTCGGGAGGCTGAGGCAGGAGAATGGCGTTAACCTGGGAGGTGGAGTTTGCAGTGAGCCGAGATCGCGCCACTGCACTCCAGACTGGGAGAGAGCGAGACTCTGTCTCAAAAAAAAAAAAAAAAAAAGTTGCATAAATAGCACACAGGTACACCTATGTTCATGGCAGCATTATTCGCAATAGCCAAAAGGTGGAAGCAAATCAAGTGTCCATCAACGGATGAATGGATAAACCAAATGTGGTATACAGGGTGGAATATTTAACCGTAAAAAGGAAGGAAATTCTGACACATGCCACAACATGATGAACCTTGAAGACATTGTGCTTAAGTAAAATAAGGCAGGCACCAACAGTCAAATACTGTATGATTCCACTTATATAACCTAATTCGAGAAATCAAATTCATAAAGACAGAGTGTAGAAAGGTGGATTCCAGGGCTGGGGGGGGAATGGAGAGTTACTGTGCAGTAGGTACAGAGTTTCAGTTTGAGATGATTAAAAAGTTCTGGTAATGGATAATAGTGATAGTTGCATAATGTGAGTGTACTTAATATCACTGAACTATTCACTTAAAAATCATTAAAATTGAAAAGTTGATGTTATATATATTTATCACAATAAAAACATTACTTTTAAAAAGAAGCAGAGTTTCCATATACCCTTCTTTATTCAGCTTCCCCAAAATTAACGTCTTAGGTAAACATAGCAAAATTACCAAAGGCAGGAAATAAACATTGATATAATACTATTAGCTACAGGCCTTATTCAAAATGTTCCAGTTGTCCCACTAGTGTCCTTTTTTCTGATCCACGATTCAATCCAAAATATGATTATATTTAATAGTTATGTCTCCTTAGTTTCCTCTAATTTGGAAAAGTTCTGCAGCTCTTTTTTGTCGTTTATGAACATGATGACTTTAAAGAGTACTGGTCAGTTATGAGTTTGTCTGATGGTTCTACCTGAATAAATACACGTTATGTATTTTTGGTGAGAAAATCACATGAACAATGTGCCCTTCTTAGTGCATCATAGCATGACTCATCACTGGTGAAGTTAACTTAGATCGCTTGGGTAAAGTGGTCTCTGCCAGGTTTCTCCACTATAAAGATACATTTCCCATTGTTTATTATTGTATCTCACCTATTAATTTTAGCATCTATTGGAGATGTTTGCCGGCCACAATTACTATTATTATGACATTTTCTGAATGATGATATTCAATGTCCATCATTTCTTCTACATTTATTAATGGCAATTCCACTGTAAGGAAGAGTTTTCCCTGCACCTCAGTTTACATTTAATTTCTTATTTTAAAAAAACACTAAAACAAGCCAGAATCATGGTAAGATATGTTCCTCTGATACCCACTGGCACTTAACAACTCCAAATTTTCTTTCTAGTGTTAAAAATTCTAAGTTCTAGGCCAGATGCAGTGGCTCACACCTGTAATCCCAGCACTTTAGGAGGTCAAGGCGGGCAGATCACTTGGGGTCAGGAGTTCAAGCTCAGCCTGGCCAAAACAGCAAAACCTGATCTCTACTAAAAATACAAAAATTAGCCAGGTGTGGAAGTAGGTGCCTGTAATCCCAGCTACTCGGGCGGCTGAGGCAGGAGAATTGCTTGAATCCAAGAGGCGAAGGTTGCAGTGAGCCAAGATTGCACCACTGCACTCCAGCCTGGGCAAAAAAGTGAGACTCCAAAAAATTAAAAGTAAAAAAAAAATTATCAGATCCATAATGCTTCCTGCAATAAGAAACAAAAGGTCAAATTTCATACTACCTGATAGTGTTCAAAGTAGAAAGTTTTTGGAAAGCAAAATACAGCACACATACATTTTCTTCCTCTCCCCTCACTTTTTTTATTTTATTAAATCTTAATATTATCCAGAGTATATCAGCAGGGTTAAGTAGAGAAAACATTTAAGAACCATTGAGCCTGGAATTATCACACGAAATATTTATGTTAAATTTGCCATGGGGAATATGGCTTTTAGTGAACAGGAACTAAATCACAAAAGCTACAATGTTCTAAAAAATTTTTATTCACAGAAAAGACCCCTGGTTAAGTTGGCTATGCCTTGAAGATCATCCAGTATCTGCTGATCTGAGTCCAGGCCTGTCCCCCTGTGCCAGGGATGTCCCTTGAGAGCCTTTATCTGAGCTGCTCCAAGACGGTGTCATCAGTTGACAGACAGAACCAATATTATTGTAGAGTTTTATGTTAACACAGCTGTGAAAGCTGAAGAAATAAAACTTTTTTTTCAGCTAGCTACTTGTTTCTGTAGTCCATTGCTG
This sequence comes from Homo sapiens, assembly GCF_000001405.40. NCBI lineage: Eukaryota > Metazoa > Chordata > Mammalia > Primates > Hominidae > Homo > Homo sapiens. The sequence goes on from NC_000020.11 coordinate 17,251,691, forward strand.
AGTAACAAACCAACCCAAAATTTGGTGGTATAAAACAGCAATTTTATTATACTCATGAATGTGGGAATTTGTAATCCAGGCAGGGCACAGTGGAAATGGCTTGTCTGTGGTCCACGATGTGTGGAGGCTCAGTTGGGAAGACTCAACAGCTAGAGGATGACTGGTATGGCTGGAGTTGGAATCATGTGAAAGCTTCTTAATATGTGCATTTAACACCATAAATGGGATGACTTGAAAGCTGCGCTCTTCCAGGATTGTCAGGCAAAGCACTACACATGCTTCTCAATGTTGCCTGGGCTTCCTCATAACATGGCAGCCTGAGAGGAGTTGGACTTCTTAAATTGTAGGTCAGGACTTTAAGAGCAAGTGTGTTCCAGGGAACAAGGCACAAGTCTAATGGCCCCTTATGACTTAGATTCAGAAGTCACATGGCATCACTTCCACCATACTCGTAATTAAAGTGATCATGTTCCCCAGATGCAAGGGCTGGAATCATGGACCTCATTTCTTGATATGGGGAGTGTTTAAAAAAAAGCTGTGGCTTTAAACAGCCACACTCTTCAAAATTAAAACACTAGAAAAATATAATTTTTAACAGAAGTGGAAAAGAGTCTCTTAAGCTGACTGCCCTCCCCTTTCTCCAAAAAGTCTAAGAAATATTCCCCAAGTATCCCTCTGATTGAAATAACCTCTCCTTTGGGTTTCCATAGCAGCTTGTGAATAACTCTGCTACAGCACATTCTATTCTAACAATAAAAAGAGTAACTTATGCTTGAGTGCAAGATATTATTCCAAGCACTTTTCATGCATTATCTCACTTAATTCCCATAACAAAAACATTTTATAAGTAAAAAATCTGAGGCCCACAAGGGTTAACTAACTTGCCAAAGGTCATAGCGCTGTTACGAGGAAGAGCGAGAATTTAAACCAAGGCAATCTGGCTTCAGAACTCATGTTCTTAAACCACTCCACCACAGAGTACTGTTAATAGATTGCTGTGTGCAAATCTTCCTTCCCTGTGAATTGTGAGCTATTTGTAGGCTGAGACCATATCATCATTACCTTTGTCTCTCCAGCACCAAACACAGTGCCTGGCTTATGACAAGGAACACAAAAATACACAATAGAAAAATGCACAAAAGAGAAGAAACTAAAATGTCAATAAACATATGAAAAGATGCTCAAACTTTCAAAACAATTAAAAATATTCAAATAAGATGAAACATTTTGCCTATAAATTGGCTGCAGTTAAAATATCATTAATAAATGTCAATCCAGTGTTACTTAGAGAATGGGAAAAAGGATATTTTTATTCTTATTTACTTTTCGGTGAATCTTGGAATATACAACCTTATAGGGAAACTTTTCTGAAGTATCTATCAAAATGATAAGTGTTCATAATCTACGACTTAGAGATTGAATTCCTAGGATATATCCTACAGGAAAACTCTCATCTATACAAACAGTGATAATCACAAAGCTGTTCATCATAGCATTTTTAATAGCAAATTGATTAAGATATAGTTCACATGCCATAAAATTTATCCTCTAAAAATTTGCAATTCAGTGATCTTTAGTAGAGTTGCAAAGTTGTGCAATCATTACCAGTATCTAATTTTAGAATATTTTTACCACCCTTAAAATAAATCCTGGACCATTAACAATCACTCTTCATTTCTGTCCCCTCTCAGCCCCAGGCAACCACTAATCTAATTTCCAGCTCTATAGATTTGTCTATTCTGGACATTTCATATAAAGAAGTGATACAATATATGACCTTGCTGTCAGGCTTCTTTAACTTAGCATTAAGTTTTCAAGGTTCTTCCGTGTTTTTACCATGTGTCATTGCTTAATTCCTTTCCATTTAGAAATAATATTCCATTGTACATATATATCATTTTGTTTACTGTTTTATCAATTGATAGCAATGTGGGTTGTTTCTAGTTTTTGACTATCATGAATAATGTTGCTATAAACATTTGTATACAAGAATTTGTGTAAATGTATGTTTTCATTTCTCTTATATGCACCCGTACATGGAATTGCTGGGTCATATGACAAGTCTATATGTTTAACATTTTAAGTAACTGCCAAAGAGCTTTCCAAATAGGCTGTACCATTTTACTATCCCACCAACAGTGTATGAGGGTTCAAATTCCTCCCTATCCAGGTCAACACTTGCTGGTTTGGGTGCAGTTGGGCAGGGGTTGATTTTACCCATTCTAGTGTGTGTAAAGTGATATCTCATGGTTTTAACTTGCATTCTCTGATGTCTAATAATGTTGAACATCTTTCTGTATGTTTATAGGCCATTTTTACTTCTTCTTTGAAGAAATGATTCCTCTAATTTGCACATTTTTAATTGGATTTCTTGAATTTATTGTTGAATTGTAAACATTTTTAAAACATTCCTGTGCGAGATCCTTATCAGAGATATGATTTTCAAAATTTTTCTCCAATCTGTGGGTTGTCTTTTCGTTTCCTTCGCTATTTCTTTTGAAGTACAAATATTCTTAATTTTAATGAAGTACAATTTATGTTCTTACACTTTTGGTGTTGTATCTAAGAAAACATTGCCTAACCTAAAGCCATGAAGATTTATTTATATGTTCTATTCTAAGAGTTGTACAATATTAGCTCTTACATTTGGGACTACTAATCATTTTGAGTTAAATTTTGCATGTGGTATGAGATAGGAATCCAAATTCATTTTTTTCATGTGAATATCTAATTGTCCAAGCACAAAACTGTGCTTGAACAGACTATTCATTCTCATTGAATTGTTCTAGCATCCATGTTGAAAATCAATTGACCATAAGTTGATTATCATAAATTATTTCTGGATTCAGTTTTATTCCATTAAACTACTATATGTCTCTCCTATGCCAGTACCATACTACTTTGATTACTTTAGCTTTGAAGAAGTGTTGAAATTGAAAAATGTGAGTCTTCCAACTTTGTTCTTCTTTATTAAGATTATTTTGGCTATTCTTGGTCTCTTGAGTTTACATTTGAACTTTAGGATAAGCAAAAATGACAGCTGAGATTTTGAAAGTAATTGTATAGAATTTACAGATAAGTTAGGGAGCATTGCCATTTTAAAAAATCCGTGAACATGAGATGCTTTTCCATTTATTTAGATCTTTAATTTCTTTCAGTGATGCTTTGTACTTTTCAGTGTATACATCTTGCACTTCTTTTGTTAAATTTATTCCCCAGTATTTTACTTATTTGATATTATTTTAAATTGACTTATATTCTTAACTTTATGCTTGGATTGTTCATTGCTTGTGTATAGAAATATAATTGATTTTGCATGTTAATCTTATATTCTGCAACCTTGCTGACTCTTTTGTCAATTCTAATAATTTTTCTGGATTCATTATAAATTTCTATGTACAAGATATGTCTTCTGCAAATAGAGATAGTTTTTCTTCTTTCTTTCCAATCTTGATGCCTTTATTTCTTTATCTTGCCTGATGGCATTAGCTAAAATCTCCAGTACACTCTTGAATGGAAGTGGCAAGAGCAGATAACTTTGTCTTGTTCTGGTCTTAAGAAAATCATTCAGCCTTTCACCATTAACTATGGTGTTAGCTGTGAGTTTTTCATAGATAGATTTATCAGATTGAGAAAGTTCCCTTTCATTCCTAATTTTTTTTTTTTTTTGAGACGGAGTCTCGCTCTGTTGTCCAGGCTGGAGTGCAATGGCGCAATCTCGGCTCACTGCAAGCTCTGCCTCCCGGGTTCATGCCATTCTCCTGCCTCAGCCTCCTGAGTAGCTGGGACTACAGGAGCCTGCCACCACGCCCAGCTAATTTTTTGCATTTTTAGTAGAGACGAGGTTTCACTATGTTAGCCAGGAAGGTCTTGATCTCCTGACCTTGATATCTGCCCACCTCAGCCTCCCAAAGTGCTGGGATTACAGGCGTGAGCCACCGCACCCAGCCTTCATTCCTAATTTTTTAAAACGTATTTATTATAAAAGAATGTTGTATTTTGTCACATGTTTTTCTGCATTGGGATGTTCATGTGGTTTTTGTTATTTATTCTATTGATATATTTATTATAGTAATTGATTTTCAGATGTTAAAACAACTTTGCATTCCTGGGGTAAATCCTACTTGGTTATGATGAAAATCCTTTTTATATGTGACTGGATTCAGTTTGCTACTATTTTGATGAGCATTTTTTTGCCATATTTGTAAGGGATCACAATCTGTAGTTTTCTTTTCTTGTGGTATTTCTGTCTTTTCTTCATGTCAGGGTGACACAGGCCTCAATGAATTAGTTGGGAAGTGATTCTTCCTCTTCCATTTTTTGGAAGAGTTTCTGAAGGACTGGAATTATTTATTTAAACATTAGTAGAACTAATCAGGATTAGTAGAATTCATCAGTATTTATTTTGCAGAAAGTTTTAAAATTACTAATTCAATCTCTTTACTGCTATTGAGGCTCTCTGATAAATTTTTAAATTCTGTTATGTACTTTTTAGCTCCAGAATTTCTGTTTGGTTCTTTCTTCTTATTATTTTTATCTCTTTATTGATATTCTTTATTTGATGATTCACCATTCTAACACTTTCCTTTAGTTCTTTAGATATGGTTTCTTTGAACATATGTCTGGGTATAGTGATATCTATATATAATATCATGTGAATATTTATAGTTATATAGTTTAGTCTTTGTCTAGTAAGTCCAACATCTGGGCTTCCTCAGAGAGTTTTTATTATTTTTTCCTCTATGTGTGGAGCATATGTTCTTATTTCTTTTTGTGTCTCACAATTTTTCTTGAAAATTTGACATTTTAAATACTGTAATATGACAGTTTGGAAACCAGAGTTACCTCTCCCCAGGTTGTTTGTTGTTGTTTCTAGGTTTTGTTGTTTTTACTATTGCTATTTGTTTTCCTGCACCCCCACCCCTGTTTTTTTTTCTTTTTTTTTAATTATACTTTAAGTTCTGGGATACATGTGCAGAACATGGAGGTTTCTTACATAGGTATATACGTGCCATGGTGGTTTGCTGCACCCATCAACCCATCATCTACATTAGGTATTTCTCCTAATGTTATTCCTCCCCTAGCTCTGCAACCCCACAGGCCCCAGTGTGTGATGTTCCCCTTTCTGTTTCCATGTGTTCTCATTGTTCAACTCCCACTTATGAGTAAAAACATGCAGTGCTTGGCTTTTTGTTCCTCTGTTAGTTGACTGAGAATGATGGTTTCCTGCTTCATCCATGTCCCTGCAAAGGACATGAACTCATCCTTTTTTATGGCTGCATAGCATTCCATGGTGTATATATGCCACATTTTCTTTATGCAGTCTATCATTGATGGGCATTTGAGTTGGTTCCAAGTCTTTGCTATTGTGGAACTTAAATAAATTTACAAGAAAAAAAACCCATCAAGGAGTGGGCAAAGGATATGAACAGACACTTCTCAAAGGAAGATACTTACGTGGCCAACAAACATATGAAAAAAAATGCACCACCACTGGTCATTAGAGAAGTGAAAATCAAAACCAAAATGAGATACCGTCTCACACCAGTGAGAACGGTGATCATTAAACAGCCAGGAAACAACAGATGCTGGAGAGGATGTGGAGAAATAGGAATGCTTTTACACTGTTGGTGGTTAGTGTAAATTAGTTCAACCATTGTGGAAGATGGTGTGGCAATTCCTCAAGGATCTAGAACCAGAAATACCATTTGACCCAGCAATCCCATTACTGGGTATATACCCAAAGGATTATAAATCATTCTACTCTAAAGATACATGCACACATATGTTTATTTCTATTTGCTTATTTAATGTCTTTCTGGACTAATTCTATAAAGTCTGTAATTTCTATAATGTGCCATTGAATCTGCTTGGTTAACTTAATAGTTAGCCAATGACAGGGCAGAGGTTTTCTTAAAGACCTTGAATCAATAAGGCTTTTTGTTTTTACCCTTTGCTAAGGGGCTCTGTTGTGTATATCGGGACATATCCTCAATTCTCAAGCAGGCAGTTTTAAACTCTGCTATGGCCTTCACCTCCTGTTTTTAAAGAGACATCAAGTCAACTAAAGGTGAGCACTTAGGGCCTTCTTAGATATTTCCTGGTTGTGTGTACAGCTCTGCCCATGTGTATGGCCTTCTAAGTGTCCAGGAATATATTAGAGCTTTGTAAAGCCTTCAATGGACATCTTATTCCCTAGATTCTTTTACAAAGGTTTTTGTCCAGCCTTTTATTTGCCCCAGTTCATATTGCTACTTCAGGAAATTGCAACCTTAAAAATTTGCCACTGATTATTTTTGACAAATTCCCTGGGGAGTAGGACTTTTCCAACTGAGCAAACCCTGGGACAGATCAAATAACAACAAATCCTATAAATGGAACTTTTCCAGATAGCTTCCAGGCAATTATTTAGGGATGGAGCTTTTTAAATAACTCTAAACCCAGTCTGCACCCTCTACTATGTATTTGGCTACTGGTTTTCACAGCTGCTGTGATTGTGAGGTTGTTCATGTTCAAAGATGCTGCAGAGCTATGAAGAAGAGGATGGTCATAGGGCAATCTAAAACAGCACAGAGTTTGCCATTATCACTGAGATTCAACTTTTTTATTGAATAAACACCCTTCGGGTTGCTGCAAACCTCTTGTCAATTTCCTGTGTTCTGAATAAGTTGATTTGGCAATTTTTTTCAGAGTTCTATTTGCTTTTCTATAGCAGTAGATTTTTGAAGGTTCTTATTCTATCATACCTGAAGTTTCCCCACCCCAACACACAGCATTATCTTTGAATGTAAAAAAAAATGGAAGCATCTTAATATGCATCAATAATGGAAAGGCTAAATAAGTCATGGTATAGCCCATGTAATGGAATAATATGCAGCCATTCAAAAGAAGGAAGTAGTCTAGGTGATGAAGTAATATGTACCATAAACCCCATGACACGTGTTTACCTATGTAACAAACCTTCACATGTACCCCCAAACCCAAAATAAAAATTTGAAAAAAGGAGGTAGTAAGTGAAAGTCTGTGATAGCATCTGAGTGACAAGAGAAGAACCACTTTGCATAATATGTAGTGTGTGTGTGTGTGTGTGTGTGTGTGTGTGTGTGTTTAAGCAAGGAAGAAGATCTAAAACTCACTCATTTGACTATTAAGGAAATAATCATTTGCTCTTACAAGTAGGTAGGCCTAGAGGAAAAAAAACAAAAAGGTAACCTAACTCCAATACTGCCAAAAAAGAAAACATGAAGAATTTTTACTTTGTTATCTGTGTTTTTCGGTTTTCTAAATTTACTCTACATTTTCTTTATATTAAAAATAAAATAATAATAATAAATATTCTTTAAGAAATATTTGAGCCACACTGAGGTTCTATGTGATCTAAAAATCTCAGATTGGCCCCATCTATGTTAGAAAACTTTTCTATCAAATCAACCACATCTGCTTCCCTTTTCTTCCAAACACTGGATGGCAACACACACACCAAAACTTTCAATAGCCAATACTTTGAGTAGTGGAATGCTTTTTGATTTAGGGACTCTTTTGAGAATCTGATGAAATCATGTGTCCTATTTCCAAAAAAAGTACATATTTACATTATTTGTCTATAATTTGTAAGCATTCAATTAAATTAATTAATCAGGTTAAGAACTGCAAACAGCATGTCTTCATCAATGTGAAGACGTGGAGAAAAGGGAGAGATCTGGGAACTTCAAGCCCCTATATTTATACAGAAGAGAAAAAGATGCCCAGAGAGGAAACCACTTGCCCACAATCATACTGATGGTAACAGACCTGAGCCACATCCAGGCCTCCAAACTCCCAGGTCAAGGCTCTTCCCACCAAGTTACCTTGAATCATAGAACAAATGATTGGCCTGTTTAGGTTCTCCAAGACTCTTAGAGGCCCTGTGCCAAAGACAACCTCTCATTACTGTGACTTCTCTGACTGGTTCTGACCTGATTTCAAGGATCCTTGAGATAGGAAGGTAGAGGGAAACCAGACCTGCCATCCAACTGGTATTTACTAAATTTAGATGTTCACACTGTGCTCAGCCTGATAAAAGGCACCAAGGGTTCACAGAAAAAGCCCAAGACACAGACAGACAGTTGAAGATCTGTCACAGACAGCTATGAAGACATGACTACAAAACATCGCAGCATAATTCTGAAGCAACCAGGTGGTACCTGGGGTATGCACACTAGACCAAGGAAGGCAAGGAGAATCTGATGCAGGTGTGAATGTAAAGGCAAGGCTCCATGGAAAAGGAAAGGGAATCAAAGGATGTGCAGAAAGTTAAAAAATGGGGGAAAGAATAGAAGGTATTTGGGGAGCAGGAGGAGAGTGGACACCACATGAACAAAGGCAAGGAGAAGAGAAGGAGGACATTGATAGGGAAATAGAGGACCAGGACTGACAGGAGGTTTGCCAGTGGTTTCCTTGCATACTTCCCTACCCCATGGAGCCCCTGCAAGCAGCCCCAGCTTTGGTGTCCCTGTCCCTGGGCCAACCCCAGAAGCTAACTATGCCTATGTCTACTTGACTCTCCACAGCTTCCCTTTGCTGAAGGTCTGTACCACTTTTATCACAATGGCCTTGCAAAGGCCAAGAGAAGACGCAGCCTACACCACAAGCAGCAGCTGGAGAGAGACCCCAGGGTGAGTTTTCCCCAGAAACCTGCCTCCCAATCTCTGCTGCCATGGCTGAGCCCACCAAGGGGGTGTGGAGGGGCTGGCAGGGAATTTTGAAGTAAAGGCACTTAATGTACTATGATAGGGCAAATGAATGCTTTGCAGAGTCATATCAGGGACTCTCTGCTCCTTTGTCTCTGCATAATAAATAATCACAGGCCCCTTTGTATGGCTGGAGGAAGAGGAAATTGGGATACCACCCTTTTACTGGCTATCTTCTCCTGAGTTATTATTGGGTGAGGACTTCGGGTTGCCTGGGAACATGTTTTGGCCTGTGATGGATGGGAAGACAACAAGCAGTTTAATGAGTCATTTTACGGAAGGTTTCTACTGGTGAATCCACATGCTCAGAGGAGGTTGCCATGCCCCACGTTGTGAACGGAAAGAATGAGAGAGCCAGTCAGTGAGCAGCTCACAGCAGGCAGTGGACTTCTCAGTATCCATGCATGACTGTGGCCATGAGACTATCTCAGCCTTTCTTTTTATCCTATATTTTCTAGCACTGATCTAATTTGCCTTCATGTCTCAGCTGTCTACTTGATGTTCATCACCCCCATTTTTTTAATCTTCAGTCTTTACCTTGCTCTTGGACTCCAGGTCCCATTTTCTACTCCCTGTGATGGCTCAAATTCAACTTTCCCCCAATCAAACATATCATCTTAGCAACAAAGTGGCTTCTCTCCCAGTGTTCCCACTTCTTGCCTTTCAGAATAGGACCTTTAGTAATCATATTTTCCACCATCCCCCATACCTACACACTCATCCAATTGGGTAGATTCTGATTTCTGTTACAAGAATCACTAGGAAGGAAAGTATGTAATAACTCAGACAAGTTGTTCTCTGTACATTGAAGGCAGCGTAACCTCTTTCTCAGGACTCTCAGGGACCAGCTGATGAAAAGCGTGTCAGATGTTTGAGTTAAGGACTTTCACATGAGATTCTTTTGAGCTGATAGAATCTGAAAACTCATTCTTGTGGGGCTTTTCATGTGAACATTTCCCTGGGTTTAATTTGGGCTTCAATTAGGAATTCAGATAAAACAGTCTCTCAGCAGATTGCCAAATGACAGGCCACAGGCAATTTTTTCTTTAACTTCTCAAGAGTTCCCACCTTCTCTAAAGAGGAATTTCTGCTCTAGGAAGCCACTTTAACTTTACTTTTGCAGTAACAATTAAGCTGCCTGTGCTGCCAGCCAAGGCCAAGTATTCTTAAAGGATCTGTCATAGAAGCCGGCACCAAGACCTAAGGGAGAAGCTCTCTATTCTATGTGATAATAACCTTGGCCTTGGCTATACCAATTCATTACCTGGGGATACCCTTGGGCAGTCATATGGACAGGGATCTTGCCCTGAACCCAAGGTGGGCACCAGTAGACAAAGATCACCCTGGTGCACCGTGACATTTGTCTTCCCTACACTTCAACCCTATGCCATAACCTTGCCATTTATGGCCAGTTGTTTTCCTTTTAGTTATGTATTTTCTTAAAAGTCCCATTGGCTACTCTTCTTCCACGATTAAAGGCGTTGCTCCAAGATTATTCAGAAACATATAAACTGGGGGCAGAATGAAAGAGACATTTAAAAGGCTTGGGCTGGGAAAGAGAACTGAGGCACAGTAGAACTCAAAAGTCCCTGTTTGGTCAGAGAGACTATTTAGCACCACTGGCCTGAGCTTTTCCCATTCTAACACATATGATCTCTGAAATGCTGATTCTTGAAGTATACAGTGACACTTTTAAAATATAAAATGGGACTAATTGGGTAATAAAAAGAAGAGATCAGTCACTGGTGATTCTAATCATTTGTCTTTCTCTTCAAAATATTATCTGTTATCACCAAAAGGGGTGCCTATTTCCCCTTCATTATCTATTATAAGGATCCAGGTAGCCAATTGCCTCTATCTGGTAGTTGTAACCATCTGCCTTGCCCATGAAGACCAACAGAAAATAGCAGAAAAACTAAAGAAGACCAAGTATCCTATATCTTTTCCCTATCTTGTCATCAAGGTTAAATGCTGGGGATGTTGTCAATAATAAACTCATTCTAGGAAAATAAATAAAGCACAAAAATCTCATAATTTTTTTCAAAACGAAAAAAAAAACTGCTAATGATGACTGCCTTTTTCCAAAATATTAGATTAAGGTCTGAGTCTTTCCTGCATGATGTTCTCGTGGTTGTCTAATTTTGGCATCTGCTGATAGAAAAATAGAGTGGCAACTATTCTGAACCAAAAATCATTGACTATGAACAGTGCAAAGATAGTAAACTAAAGATTCTGCCTTGTGGGTTTATAGCTGTTAAACAAAAGGGTAAATAAGTCTAGAGTAGGAATACCCCAATTTGGGGGTTCTCAAACACATTCAAACAGGTTGCAAAAAGAAAAGTAAATGAAAGAAAAAGGGAGAGACCAAGTAGCCAGAAGGAGGTCCAGGCTTTTATGTCTTACATAGATGTGGCAAGTTATGCTTTATAAACACAGAATTTAAGAGTAAGTTGTTTTAGCATTCCCTGAAATGTACTGTCTCCTAGAACTGCTAACGTTAACTACGGTTGCAGCCCCAGCCCCCAGCTTCCTTCTCCTTCCTGTCCCTGCACCACTTCCCAGCCTGTCTCACTCACTGTCTACAGGCTTGTGGTAAGGAACACAAAGCCCAGGGAGGGTGGTCTGAGCTGCTATTCGCTTTCAGGGCTTCATCTACTGAGGTAGCTTTTTGACCAAAGAAACCTCCAAGCTCTGCTAGCAACCCAAGAAATAAAAAAGAAAAAGGTAGAAACCCAAGGTACTTTTTGGCTTTTTTTGACTTCAGACCAGAAATTTCAATGATGTTTGCCTCTCATGTAACAACTAATTTTTATGCTAAAAGGAAAACAGAAAAAAAAGGACTAGAAAGAGCTAAAGTGCTACTTTCCATGTGCTCATCTTTGTTCATCAATATGCAGACAATAGCTAAGAAAACAGATTCTGATGTAGACTGTGTTAAAGATGTTCGCTTCTCTTTCCAGTTCTTCCTGCTAAAAGATTAGCTGACTGCCAAGTATCATCATTTAGATGCTAAAAAGCAAAAGTTGTGTCTTGTTTATTTCAGTAATATCTTTGCACAGTGAGATGTTCAGGAAATGACTGAGCATGTCAAATGAATGAATGATTACTATTTTTTCTTCAGGGTTTTAATCCATGTAATAGTATTGCCCTTCTCATTTTATATTTTCCTCCGTATCCCAAAATTTGTCTCCATTAGGAAATAAAAGTACTATATAGTCTTCTCCCTAGCACCTCTTTTACATACATTCTTAATTGTGGGTAACAGAAACCAATGACTGTTTCATTACTTCCAAGTTTTATCACAAAGAATCCCATGAAGAACCAGTTCTTAATTTCCAAAACCCAATCTGCCTTCTTCCTAATCATATTCACAGTCGTGGTACAGGCACCAAAGCGGGACAATGTGTCTGGAAGGTTTTGATAATGAAAATAATTTGAAGAGGTAATAAATCAATTCAACACTGAAATGAAATAATGAAACTAAAAATACCTTCTCAACATCAGGGTCAAAAACAAATATTTTATGCCCAAAAGCTCTGTAAGATTTGTTCAACATTAGCTAGAACAATACCAACAAATCTTAAAGCCAAACCTATCTTCAGTCCCTGGTCAACATATCAAAACCTCATAAATTCTACAAGTACCTGAAAAGCTTCCGAAGAGTAGATTTATTTAAGATAATATTTGCTTCCCAGCTCTGTCAAACCATACTTGCACATCTGAAATAGAATATTAAAGTGAAATATATTTTAAAAACATGAAGGACTCATAATTCTATGAGTAACACACACTAGTCTTATGGAAGCAAAATAATTTAATTAAAAAATAACCTGAACTTCATTTCTTGAGAGAGGTTATATTTGAGAATTAAAAACATTTATTTCCTTTACTAAGCAATTTTACTAGACCATACAATTATTCCTCATTTTTAAACATGTTTCAGTTTTACAAGTCAGAAACTTCTATCAGTCCAATAAAAACTTTCCTTGCTTCTCTCATCTCAAAGAATGGATGATATTTCCTTTGTGTTCTATATTTAGAAGCTATATCTTTCTAGCTTCTTTCTTATCCAAATGTATCCACATGTTTAATAACCATAAAAGGCAGCCACACGTTCTGGTAGTGATCTGTTTTTGGTCTTTAAGGGTCTATTCTTGAATATATCTGTGGAGTTTTCAAGATACTGCCAATAACCCACAAAATTTAGCTTCACTGGATAATATAATCACTTCAGAAATCTCATAATACCACTGGAGCAAAAGAAAAGTTTCCTATTCTTTAAAATCAACTGGACATGATTTATATGATTTGTGTGTATTGTGGCCAAACTCTTCTTTCCTTTCAATTATAGTAGTTAATTATTTGATTATTTATTATAAATTAAAAGGGAAGAGAAGGGAAAATGCTGTTATCTTTTGGAAAGTCTATTTTCTTTTCTTTCTTTCTTTCTTTTTTTTTTCCTGAGATAGAGTCTCACTCTGTTGCCCAGGCTGGAGTGCAGTGGCACGATCTCAGCTCACTGCAAGCTCTGCCTCCCGGGTTCAAGTGTTTCTTGTGCCTCAGCCTCCTGAGTAGCTGGGATTATAGGTGCGTGACACCACACCTGGCTAATTTTTGTATTTTTGGTAGAGATACGGTTTCACCATGTTGGCCGGGCTGGTCTTGAACTCCTGACATCGGGTGATCCACCCGCCTTGGCCTCCCAAAATGCTGGAAAGTCTACTTTCAAATTGAAAATGTCACGGAGAAAAATCTCCTCCCCCTCTTTTGTCTTGACCACACCTTCCTCCAGTGGATAACTAATGGAATTTGAGGTGACCTCTACTTACCATCACCATGACTGCATGAGAGCCTCACAGTCTGGGGGCTGGGTAAAAATAGAAATTAGATAGTTTTAGTGCCTTTTTAAGGGATTTATACCCAAAGAATAGGCTGTTTTTTATCCTTATACTTGTTAACTCTAAGAGGATAAGGTCTGAGGTTGTGAGGTGCTGCTCTGAGAAACATATAGAAATTTTCCAATTTATCTTCCAAATGTTTTATTGAAGGAAAAAAATAAAGCATATAGATTTGATTATATTTTACTTATTAAGAAACATAGTCATGGTAAGTTTATTAATATTATGAGAAACACAAAAGGGAAAATAGCATTTTGTATTTTTCTAGAACTTTTTATTCTACAGGGCATTTGTGGCTGCTATTTCTTCATATTCTCATTTCCTTGTAGCATAAATTGGACAAAGGGTGGATTCTGAGTTCCCCAAATTCTCATGGTTTGTAAGGAGACTTAACCACTCCATGGTGCTGCTCTACACTGATTTGTATTCCATAATTTTCCCTGCTCCTCTGCACAAAGAGAATTATAGAGCAGGAAGAGTCTTAAGGAAACATTGATTCAGCCCTTGACCTTGAAGCATTAAAATATAATTTTACCATTGAGGCAAAATAGACCCAGAGAGAGAGAAGGTGACTTCCCTGGGGCCACACAGCTATAACTGATAGGAAGAAAATAAAACTCGTGACTCCTCTCAATACGAAGTCTGATTTAAATAAAAAACTAAGTGAGAATTGATACTGCTTATGAATCTGTCGTTCTTTAAACAATTGTTTGCACTAATTAGTCACTGAATTTTCTCAATTAAAAATAATGTGCTGAAAAGAAGTGAAGTTGCCTCCTGAGTTTATGTCACTTATGTGAATTCAGTGAGCTCAGCTATAAATGGAAAAGTGAAAAAGAAGAGGGAAATAAAAAGGGCGGCACTTGAGCTCACTGTTCTGCTCAATTTGCTTATGCCCTGGAGTGGCCTTGAACTGAAGGCAGCTGAGTATGCAGTTGGCCTCGGTTCCCTGGTGACCCTCACAGTGGAAGCATTTCACCTTTCTGGGGGTGAGCCTGTAGCATTTAAAGTTAATACTTTTGATACAAAATATTTCCTAAACGCAAGCTGACTTCTTCATTTGCTGTGAGAACAATGGGACACGACCAGGGTCCATTGTGAAAGGGAAATTCCACCCTTGTGATGTATTGAGACACAATATCAGTTTCTAACCCTTAAGGAGTTTTCAAAGTTAATTTTAACCATGCATAAGTTCCACTTTGCACACTTTAGAATTCACTCCCTAAGGCGTGATTCTTCTAGGAGAAATTAAACAAAGATGGGGTCTTCATTTTGGATTTCCCAGAAACAGACTCTGAGATGCAGAGTTGTATGCCAGAGACTTCTTGGAGAGCAAGGAAGAGAACACTGGGCAAAGGGAGAAGCTGAGCAAATGGGCTTTCAACAGGGGCCTCAGTCAATTTTACAGGAAACTCAGAAACAGGGGTGGCCCTTCAGAGTTACCCCAGTGTGAGGCAAAGGAACCGGACCTTTGTGCCCCCATAATGACCAGTTATTGGCATGGGTACTCCCTCAAAGGAAACATAGTCTTAGGTAAATCACGTCCTGCTACCAAAGGCAATTCTCAGTGAAAGAAACTCTGAGCCACATTTAGCAGCTGGAGGAAATGTGTGAGGGCCCTAAAGAGGAAATCTGGAGAGTGCACCACAGTTTTCATTACACCTGCCATGCCCACTTCACTCAATTTGTCTGTAAATTCACATTTGATTCAAGAGGCATTTTCTGGGATCTTTGACCTTTCTGGAAGAGTGGACATGGCTTCCCAGATCAGGAGCTCTCCGTGCCCAATCCAGCTCCCCATCCACCCCTGCTGCCCTTTTCCAGAGATTGAACTGAACTAAGAGGGGAAAACATGAATCTGTAGGCACATGAGCTGGACCATATTTTGAACACAAATAGTGAAGCCAAGAGACCCAAGTGAAACAGTTTCTGACCTAGCCTCCCATCTGTGGCCAAATTCATTTTCTAGATAACATGCCAAGAGGTCAGCGGGTGTAAACCATTCATGAGTGATGCAAGTTGAGAGTTACTTGACAGCATCAGGAAAAGGAGAAATGCAATGGGGGAGGTATGCATAAGAAGCAGGGCAGAGGTATCTTCATGGATGCCCCAACCTGTGGGAAAAATTCATCTGTTCTAATCCTCTGCTTTCAGAATGTGGCAGGGAGGACTTTCAGCATCTCCTCTGGGCATTGCAGATATGCCTGGCTTCCCAACTCAAAGAGCTGCTGCTGGTGCTATAATTAACTATTTGTGGGGAACAGGGGAGAATTATTTACTACAGCTACAGAAAGGCACAGGGAAAGCTGCTAATGAGTAAGCCTGGTTTTTTTCTAGATGCTGTTTTTTTCTAGATGTTCATTTTTAAATGATGGGTACTGTTCGTGCTGTCATGCTTCCTAAAGGAAAAGTGGGAACTCTCTGGGAGGCATCATGCTAGCAAAGCCAGAGATCTCTTGGAAGTTTTAACTTTCTTTGGGAGAATTCTTACAAGCCCTGGTATAGAGAAAAGTTAACACAGAGAAAATTGGTGGCTCTGTATCGTCTTTACAATTCACAAGGTGAAGAGTCTCTAATGGTGGGCTAGCAAACCTTTAGGACTTCCTGGGAAAATCTTAGATGTTTGAAGGGCAAAATTCTCCTGATCTGCCTCACCTGATTCCCTCCCCAACCTTCCCCAAGATGCAAAAGGAAATGCATTTATATATCCAATGTGTATATATATATATATATATATATATATATAATGCATTTATATAGCCTCTATTATATCTTCTAAAAATGATTATATGTGTATGCTTATTAAATTCATAATGTAACTCTCTTATTTAGTTGTTGGCTAGAAAACCAGCATTCATTCAGCAAATAGTTATCAAGTCCAAACTATATACAGGGCACTCTTCTGCATACTGAAATATAACAGTGAACAAGACAAAGTCCTCCTCCCAGGGGGCTTGTATACTAGTGGCAATGAAGGAGAGAAACAAAAAACAGATGACCAAGCAATTGTATGAATGGTGGTCAAAATGCTATGAGAATGAGTAGAGCAGAGTATGGGAAGAGGGAGAGCCATAGAGGGGTGTTTCTATTTTATAAAAAGCATCCAGGTTTGGCTAGTCTGGGAAAGTGGCATTTAAATATAGACCTGAAGGAGATGAGGAAGGTATTCATGTGGATATCTGGAGAAAGGGCACTCCAGACAGAGGAACCACCAAGGAAAAAGGCCTGGAATCCAAGACACACCTGGTGTGTTCCAGGAACAGCAAGAATGCGAGTAAAGCTGCAAAGGAATGAGCCAAGGACAGTGGGGAAGGAGATGAGGTTAGAGAGGAAAAATAAAGCAAGATCATGGGCGACATGATAAGCTGGGGAAAGAACTTTGAATTGACTCTGAATGAGATGTGGCTTCTGTGCCTATGGGCAAATAATAGACAATGGGGTAGAGGTATGGATGAGGGACAACTGGACTAGAGAGATCCATGCAAGGCGATTGCAATATTTCAGAAGAGAAAAGCCAGTGGCATAGGCCAGGATAGAAGTGGTGGAGGCAGTGAGAAACAAATCAGATCTGGGAGTATGTTGTGAAGGTAGTCTTCAAATTCGTTGATGCATTTGCTGATGGATTAGATGAGGAATGGGAGAGGAAGTGAGAAGGCAAAGGTGACTCCTAAGTTGTTGGCCTGCATTACTATAGAATGAAATGGCACTTATGCATATGGACAAGATGGTGAGAGGAGCAGGTTGATGGGGAGTGGTTAGGGAATTAAGAGTTTAGTTTTAAGCACGTTAACATTTGAGATTTGTATTAAGTAACCAAGTGGAGATGATGTGAAATGAACAGATGGACTTAAGGATCTAGGAGAGAGGTCAGAGTTGGAGATATAAATTGAGAGGCATCCATCTATTGTTAGTGTTCAATGCCAGGAGACTAGTTGAGCTTACCTACGAAATGAGTGTAGATATAGAAGAGAAGATTTGTGGGACTGAGCCCTAGGGTACTCTAAGATTTAGAAGTCAAAGAGATAACTGGGGACCAGCAAAGGAGACAGAAAAGCAGCAAGTAATCTAGAAACAGGATCAGAGGTCAAGAGAAGACCAACTTTAGCCATTGTGTTCTAGCTCGTCTACATTTTACCATAGTAACTTGGCCATCCCTATAATTATTTCTTATTAGAGGTATCAATGTTTCTTCACTTTTCCCCTCTCTGATCTATTTTTCAAACGCTTTCTCAACGGATATTGAAATACATGGTTCACACATGAACTTATGAAATTAAAGGATACTGATGTGTTTGGGCTGGGTAGTGTGCTTTAAAGCAGCAGGAGGTCACATTTGACTCAGAATGTTGAGAATCTAGCTCTTAAACCTGCAATCCCAACTAGGCACTAACTCAGAGCCAAGACCGCGTTCTGCAAGCTGCCAGGTGAAGTTACCAGGAAACAGCCTCTGTTTGACATGTCAAGGGAAGAACCTGAATTGGGCACCTCTTTTTAATTTTGAGAAACTATAAAAGCCATGAGAAAGATCATGTTTGACTGTAAACCAAAAAGAAAAAACCTTACCCTCCAATTAAGGAAAATAAAATTATAAGTTGTTGTTGATTTAATTCTGATCATATTTTCATAGATTTCAGAAAGATATAGTTTTTAAAAGAATTTCCTGTTAAGATTCAAAATTTTTTCTAGGATATAATTTCTCACTCCTCAAACCTCTGCTTCAAAATAAATTTTATTCAATATTTAGCATAAGGAGACTATAAAGTTCCTTAATGGTGACATAAATGAACAGTTATAATCGTATGTCTATCTAGCTACTGAATATTTCTAAGATAACGTTTTGTGAGGCAAAAGTGGTTTGAAGTTGGTGATGCCTCAAAAAAAATTTTTTTTAATACTCTTTAGAACTCTTTCTGGGTATTTTAAAATTGGTTTAGCTATTTTTCCTTTTTGATGCCTATTGACATGTTTGTGATCACATCTCTTTCTATAAACAGGTTTCACGGTCTTAAAGCCAAACCAAGGGAATTTTGAAAATGAGTGGAATTGAATTCCTGCCATTTCCAGTAATTTCAAAGCTTTATGGGTTCAGGAGAGGATAACAGTGCAGCCAGGTCTAGAAATGAGTAAACAGCAGTTAGGCAAAGAGATTCATGTCTGAATAACAACCCAATTGCTGGAGTTTATCTAATTGGTTTGCCATTATCTGTACCAAAAACATTGTGTTTTTCATCTTCTCTACGATGAGCATGTCCCATTTAGCAATAAAGAACTTATTGCTTGAGAGAAAACAGGTAAGACAAAATAGTTTTCCATTCCCCCTGAAAAGGGAGAGCAGTCCATCCCAAGTAAAGAATAGTTTAATGGATGTTAATTTTTAAGGACAACTTAGAGAATCAACATGAGAAAGTTTCTTCTCCCAACAGAAGCAAAGAAAAGCAATTAAAACCTATTGTGTGGAAAGAGACCCAAATAATTGTCTATTAGGGAGAAAAGGAACATGATAGAGTCCAATTTGAGGTCATTCTTGAGTTCCAATACTTACACTGACACCAATTAACTGTGCTCTCCTTGAACAAACCGTTGTTTCCCCCAGTCTTCAGTTCTCTTGTCTGTACCATGAGGAGTGTGGACTAGTTAGTCTGTAAAATGCCCTCTGAGGTCCTAAATCTGAGATTCCAGGGACTAACCTGAAGCCTCTCCAACTGGTTAATATCAAAGCCACGACTAAAACCCAGCAATTCTAACCAGTTTGTGATCCTTCCTTTACATGTCTTTCTTTTCATCTGAGAAATAGGGCTTTTTCTTTAAACCAATGCTATAAAGTGTTTGCAAGAACTAGCATTTATATGTTGGTATCCTCAACTTATAGAACACAATTTCAAATCCTGTACTGTTCAAACCAATTCAATAGTACCCTAAAATTCCATTTCTTGTCTCGGGGGAAATATTAGATTATGAGATAGAGGTTATTCATCCACTTCAAAGATAATAGCTCCTCTATCATGTTTTATAAATTGGGATTTGGTTTAAGATTTCCCTGGTATCATGGGTGTGAAGGAGTGGGGGTCCTTAAAATAAAAAATAATGTTTGAAAACCTTTGATAGCTAAACAAGTTCGATTCTTTAGCCTAGTCAATCAGTGTATCCAACAGGGATAACAAGCTTGATGCCTACACAGGCCATGCAAATAAATTACAAATTGAGGTGGGTCAGTTGTAAGCAAAACAGCTACTCAAGCAAGAGAATAAACGGCAAAATGATCTTCTCCTCTGTGTGAGGAACACAACAGAGAGTGGTGGGGACTGTGGTGAACCTGAGTGTACACACCCTCTTAAAAGGAGGAAGCGGATTCTTATTCTCAGCTAATTGTTACCTCCAATAATGGACGCCCTGGTTGCCACATCTACAATTTTGAAGAAAAGTAGCAACTACCAATCTTTGTAAAGATTCTTTTATCTTTTTAAAAAAATTAGTGATTAAATTAAAATTTCTTAACACACTGTCCAATCTAAAGAAAATACATCATCAGAACAAATTTTTCCATGCACTACCATTTTGCAGTCCCTACTCTACAACACCCCAGGACAGGATGAAACCTGATAGAACACCTCTATGACTAGTCCGTGACTTCATTATTTGCCAAGGTAGTCCACATAAAAGTTCTTCCTTAAGGGAATTCCAAAGCTACTTCCTTGTAGCGTTGGTTCATAATCCACATTCTCCTTTCTGAGGCCAAATTAATCTATCTTCCATGTGAGAACCCTTCAAACATTTGAAAATAGTTATCATGCCCCCTGGACCTTCCTAGAGTAAGCATTCTTAGTTCTTTCAGATGTTTTCATTGAATTTGGCACTTCTTTCCCATGCCTTCCTGATTACACCTCTCTGAACATTACTGGAGAACAATACATTATAACATCCAGGTCTGCTCTGATTATTTCAGAGTAGTATTGCATGCTCACTTCCCGTATCTCCCACATTTTAAAAGCTATTCTTCTATTAGCACATCTTAAAATCATTTTAGCATTTTGTGGAAGTCATAGATCTCACATTGATTAATAGTGAACCTACAATTAGCTAAAATTTCTAGGTTCTTCTAAAATACACTCATAATCCATCCTTGAAGGATCGAGGTATTGGTTCTAAAACAAGGAACCTTTAAAAAGGATTTATTTTTTGAATTTTCATCTTATTAGAGTTCATTCTGACCTGTCAAGATTTTATTAGATTTGGATTCAGTCTCCTTTCCACTTTCTTGTCATCTATGATTTTGATCAGCATCAATATCTTCAACAGTTCTTAAGAAAAAAGTTAAATAGTACAAAGAAAAATGACAAAGTTCAGAACCCTCTGCCAGGATGATATGAATCTATTAATATAGACTCTAAGGAGTATTTCACACTGACCCCATATTAAAAGGAAATTCTAAAGCACCCAAAGTTCTGAAAAATCATTCAAGTTAAATGAAAAAACAGTGTCTCACCAGGGAGGCTATTTGAAGACTGTTTATATGGCTTAACTCCAACACTCTGAATCTGGTTGATTTGTGTGTGTATATGGCTCTCTGAGAAATCAGTTTATTTGCCATGGAACAATCTAATTTGGTCATTCACATGACTAAAAGTACCAGACCAACATGTTTTCAATCCAGTCCCTTGAGGCAATTTGAATTCTGTTGATAACTTGTCCACACACCTGCTACTGATGGATGTTTCGTCATGAAATTTTAATCAGAGAGCCAAAATCAATGGGTAATTGTTAATTTCAAGGGTGCCAGGTGACACTCAAGTGTAGACCAAACCAAATTTTTATAAAACTTAATAAAGTGATTTCCTTTAAATGAGTAAGTCAAGATATCTCAGACATAGATTAATTCAGCTAAGGATCATATTCTCCAGAGCTGAAATATTAACTATCATTGAACTTCTATCAGTGCTTCCAAAATAATTATTCTAACACTTATTCATGTGACATGGGCAAGTCATTTAACCTTCACTAATTGTCTTCATTTTATCATCTCTACCATTAAATAACAATGAAAGTCCAAATGACTGGAAATAAATTGCCTTAATTTTTAATCCCTATCATGGAATTACAATGAAAGTGCAAATGTCTGCCAATACATGCCTAAGACTTCAAAGCTGGAAGTATGACTCCATCTAAAGTACATGTTAATTTCACAAATACATTATAACTTTGCCAAAGCAGAAAAGGTGATAGTGTCACCTACTCCTTTTGCATCTTCTTAGTTCTCTACTTGTTTTCCTTGCCTGCCCCTACTCCATGAAAAATATGGGTGTGAATTAAATCAGTGTTCCTTAAACTGTGTTACGCTGGAGTCCTTGGGTTTTCTTCCAGAACGTTGTGAATAATAAAGATATTAGTTAGGATAAACTAGATTACGCTGCAGTAACAAATTAACTTTTAACTCCCAATGGTTTAATATACAAATGTTTCCTTTTCACTGTGCTACAAGTCACAAGTCCAGCATGAGCTGGATAGATTTGATTAATATAATGCTGTTGAAAGTTTCACCATCTTGAAACGCCACTATCCTAGCACATGAATTCCAGGACACTGGAAGAGAAAGAGGAAGTGAAAGCATAATAAGCTCTACCCACTTGTAAATGCCTCAGCTTGAAAATGTTACATATCACTCTGCTCACCACCCATTAGCGAGAACTAGGCAAAATGAATGTCTTAATGAAAAGAAGCTAAGAAGTGTGGTTCTCCCATGTGCTCAGGAAGGAGAGACAAACTGGATTTGGGGAGCAGTAGAAGTCCCTTGCATAGTGTATTTTTTATTCAAAACAACAATAAACATGTGAATAAAAGCCCATATTCTATTATTCTGGGTGATCCTTGGGATTGAGACTTTCCCATAAGTTCAGCACTCATGTTTATAATTGTATTGGCAGCAATACTGCCATCCAGTCTCTGGCTATTGAGAAAGGGTGGGATACACCCCGGGATGCTTCTGTTGTCCTAAAATGATTGGAACATCTCTCTTCATGTGTGACCTTCTGCAATAGGGCCTGGCTCCTCCTCTATCCATAGGTAGAGTCTATTTATTCACCCATGTGAAGGCTCTGTAACATTTTATCTGGTAGAACGTGGTGGGAGTGATACTGGGCCAATT
This sequence comes from Homo sapiens, assembly GCF_000001405.40. NCBI lineage: Eukaryota > Metazoa > Chordata > Mammalia > Primates > Hominidae > Homo > Homo sapiens. The sequence goes on from NC_000020.11 coordinate 17,274,457, forward strand.
CTGGGCATAGCCAGCCCCTACCTGACCTGGTAGCTTCTACTCCTTCCTCAGAGAAGCTAAAGAATTGTGATTACCCTGAGAACTCCATGCTGTGAGTAGGCCAAGCCAGGTGGAGAGATTGATATACCGTGGGGAGAGAGAGAGGCCAAGGAGCACCAAGATACCAGAACTATGAGTGAAGAAGCCATCTCAGAAGTGGATCTTTTAGCCCCAGTCCCAACTGCTGTTACCTGGAGACAAACTACCCAGTCATGTCTTTCCTGAATTCCTGACCCAAAAAATCTTGAGCCAAATAAACTGGTTGTTTTAAGCCATTAGTATGTGGTGTAATTTATTATGCAGCAATAGATAACAAGAAGACAAACGAATTTTCCCAGCAGTGCAGAGGGGATGAGTGGTGGAGAACTGAGTCATGGCATAAAGCACATTAAAATGAACCCCAAGACACTACACCCCAGCAGTCTACAGCATAGTCACATTGTGTTTTAATCAGCATTGCTTCTTTGGCTATTATTGTTTTTGTGGTGTTTATATTTAACTCGTAAACTTGTCTTAGTTTTATAGTTGTATAGGAACCATAATCATTAGGAGTTGTTATTCTATCTTATTTTGTGCATATTATTTATACATATATATATATATATATATATATATATAATGTTGGGCGACTAATGAAAAATGGTTTTCTTATAAAAGAGTCCCTTTCTTGTTTAAATTTATTCGAGTTTAAGAAATCAATGCATTTGAAAAGATCTAAAAGAAGTAGGCTTTTCCAAAGTATAAACTTTGGCATGAAACAGAAGCAATGCATCCCTTTTGGTGCAGTGATATCAGCAGGTAACAGCATACGTAGTGAGAGGAGAATCAAAGGAAGAATTAGGAGTTCCGAGTTCTAATCACAGCTCAGCCATTTATTGTCTATGTGGGCTCCAGGTAACCACTTAGTTTTATGGTCCTCAATGTCCCCATCTGTGAAATGATTAATGACATTACCTGTGCTTATTACATGGGGTTACTCTGGCAATCAAATATGATAGAAAGAAAGGTTCGAAAACTGTGGACTTTTACTATTGTTCATAGAGATTCAGGCTAGAGTCTTAAGTTTTGTGCTGACAAATCTAAAAGTAACCTGACTAAAAATGTGTAGCAACTGAGTTTAAAAGAAGCTCAAATAAAATTATCTTTAAAAACTCAATCCAATGTAAGATTAAATAGGAAATACATTGGATTTACATTTTCTTTGAAGTATAAGGAAACGTGCAGTCTGCTGGGATCCATCACACTGCTTGGTCTGGAAAAAGAGGAGGGTGAATTCAGAACTCTTGTCCCTCTCTAAATTCTTGTAACCTTCTAATCTCTCTGGAGTGTAAACTTGTGGCCAAGATTTTGAGCTCTGGATAAATTCTAGTTTTAATCTCAGGTCCACCACTCACTCACTTGCCAGTTACATAAGTTTACGTTGTTATTTAACATCTCACAACCACATCTATACAATGTGGGTAATAATAATATTACTTATCTGAAAGGTTGATGTGAGCATTAAATGAAATGATGCTAGGGTAAACGTTCAAAAGATGACAGCCATGACCAATAATATTTTGTTCTCTAGCATTCGATTACATGGTGACTGATACTGATCTCTGAAACTTGCCTATGTAGTAGCATTTTTGTTCACTGCTGTCCTTTAGTAATTCTACATACCATAAAAAAATTAGTTATGCATGGTGGTTTTATTTTCATCTTACCAAAATGATAGTTTACAGTTTTAAAAATCAAATGCAAGCCTTATAATTAAAAACAGAAGCATTTTGCTCCAGCTTTCTCAAATCCCTCAGAGGCATTATCCACCAATTCTTTAAGTGTTTCTTGTGCTAATTAACTCCACATTTTAAAATAATATGTGTATGCTGAAATGTGTGGATTTGCTTCATTTCAGATGTTGTCTATGGGCTTTCTTCTATGGAAGATGAGATTTAACTTTTAAATTCAACACACACACACACACACACACACACACACACACATACCATGTTTATATTTTTTCTGGCTTTTGAATATAGATGTATCACAAGATGGGGCTAGGTTAATATTCAGTGTTCATATTATTGTGAGTCCTTAAGTACTATTTACAGCTGAGCCATTTATACCAATAACATCCCTTCCTCTCTCAAACAGCTTTTTGTTTCCCTGTAGTTAATAATGGCCCTGTGATGCCCTCTCTCACCACTCCTATTCAACATAGTGTTGGAAGTTCTGGCCAGGGCAATCAGGCAGGAGAAGGAAATAAAGGGCATTCAATCAGGAAAAGAGGAAGTCAAATTGTCCCTGTTTGCAGATGACATGATTGTATACCTAGAAAACCCCATCGTCTCAGCCCAAAATCTCCTTAAGCTGATAAGCAACTTCAGCAAAGTCTCAGGATACAAAATCAATGTGCAAAAATCACAAGCGTTCTTATACACCAACAACAGACAAACAGAGAGCCAAATCATGAGTGAACTCCCATTCACAATTGCTTCAAACAGAATAAAATACCTAGGAATCCAACTTACAAGGGATGTGAAGGACCTCTTCAAGGAGAACTACAAACCACTGCTCAATGAAATAAAAGAGGATACAAACAAATGGAAGAACATTCCATGCTCATGGGTAGGAAGAATCAATATTGTGAAAATGGCCATACTGCCCAAGGTAATTTATAGATTCAATGCCATCCCCATCAAGCTACCAATGACTTTCTTCACAGAACTGGAAAAAACTACTTTAAAGTTTATATAGAACCAAAAAAGAGCCTGCATTGCCAAGTCAATCCTAAGCCAAAAGAACAAAGCTGGAGGCATCACGCTACCTGACTTCAAACTATACTACAAGGCTACAGTAACCAAAACAGCATGGTACTGGTACCAAAACAGATATATAGACCAATGGAACAGAACAGAGCCCTCAGAAATAATGCCGCATGTCTACAACTATCTGATCTTTGACAAACCTGACAAAAACAAGCAATGGGGAAAGGATTCCCGATTTAATAAATGGTGCTGGGAAAACTGGCTAGCCATATGTAGAAACCTGAAACTGGATCCCCTCCTTACACCTTATACAAAAATTAATTCAAGATGGATTAAAGACTTAAATGTTAGACCTAAAACCATAAAAACCCTAGAAGAAAACCTAGGCAATACCATTCAGGACATAGGCATGGGCAAGGACTTCATGTCTAAAACACCAAAAGCAATGGCAACAAAAGCCAAAATTGACAAATGGGATCTAATTAAACTAAAGAGCTTCTGCACAGCAAAAGAAATTACCATCAGAGTGAACAGGCAACCTACAGAATGGGAGAAAATTTTTGCAACCTACTCATCTGACAAAGGGCTAATATCCAGAATCTACAATGAACTCCAACAAATTTACAAGAAAAAAACAAACAACCCCATCAAAAAGTGGGCGAAGGATATGAACAGACACTTCTCAAAAGAAGACATTTATGCAGCCAAAAAACACATGAAAAAATGCTCATCATCACTGGCCATCAGAGAAATGCAAATCAAAACCACAATGAGATACCATCTCACACCAGTTAGAATGGTGATCATTAAAAAGTCAGGAAACAACAGGTGCTGGAGAGGATGTGGAGAAATAGGAACACTTTTACACAGTTCATGGGACTGTAAACTAGTTCAACCATTGTGGAAGTCAGTGTGGCAATTCCTCAGGGATCTAGAACTAGAAGTACCATTTGACCCAGCCATCCCATTACTGGGTATATAACCAAAGGACTATAAATCATACTGCTGTAAAGACACATGCACACGTATGTTTATTATGGCACTATTCACAATAGCAAAGACTTGGAATGAACCCAAATGTCCAACAATGATAGGCTGGATTAAGAAAATGTGGCATATATACACTATGGAATACTATGCAGCCATAAAAAATGATGAGTTCATGTCCTTTGTGGGGACATGGATGAAGCTGGAAACCATCATTCTCAGCAAACTATTGCAAGGACTAAAAACCAAACACCGCATGTTCTCACTCACAGGTGGGAATTGAACAATGAGAACACATGGACACAGGAAGGGGAACATCACACACCAGGGACTGTTGTGGGGTGGGAGGAGAGGGGAGGGATAGCATTAGGAGATATACCTAATGCTAAATGACGAGTTAATGGGTGCAGCACACCAACATGGCACATGTATACATATGTAACAAAGCTGCACGCTATGCACATGTACCCTAAAACTTAAAGTATAATAATGATATAAATAAATAGATAAATAATAATGGCCCTGTAACCCCAACACTTTGGGAGGCCAAGGTGTGTGGATTGCTTGAGCCCAGGAGTTCAAGACCAGCCTGGGCAACAGAGCAAGACCTCTGTTGCCTTTTTTTTTTTAACTTGCTCACTTTCCTATCTCCTTATGTCTAATTTTTCCCCTACATTGTCTAATAGTTTCCTAAATTTTTTCAGTATGGTCAAACGCATCCCCTAAACGATCCATTGCTTTATTTGGTTGTCATCCACCCTAGAGATACCATCCTTTGACTTCACGATGTAGTGGTTGCTTTCTGGACCAGCTCACACCTCTTACCCTAGCACTTCCTTCACTATTATCCCAGGAATTCCCTGTTGGCTGGATAGTGTTGGATTCCTCTTTCCTGGAACCCCTTCATTTCCCTTTCTCAGATTATTTCCGCATTCCGATGCAGAATGTCCTTCATGAGAGGCGACTTTTTAGGACTTTTAATCTGCGTTCAAATCAATTAATAGTTTGACGGTTATCAACTATTAGGTTGGGAATAAACATCTCTCAGAAATTTGCAAGTGTTTCTCTGTTATCTTTGCCTACAATGGTGCCATTGGGAGGTCAAGATCATTCTAATTCCTGTTTCCTGGTATTCCTCTTTCTCTCTAGAATTTGCTCTTAGTTCTCTGCATTTTGTAGTGAAACTCGTTTCTCTTATTTGATTTTTTTGTTTAAGTTCATTTTTTTCCATGAAAGCTATGTTTCTATTGACATGACATTTGAGTATTCATTGCAAAGCTTTAAAATGTGTGTGGCCCAGTGGTGGCTCACGCCTGTAATCCCAGCACTTTGGGAGGCCGAGGCGGGTGGATCACCTGAGGTCCAGAGTTCGAGACCAGCCTGACCAACATGGAGAAACCCTGTCTCTACTGGGCATAGTGGTGCATGCCTGTAATCCCAGCTACTCCAGAGGCTGAGGCAGGAGAATGGCCTGAACCCGGGAGGCAGTGGTTGCTGTGAGCCGAGATCGCGCCACTGCACTCCTGCCTGGGCAACAGGAGCGAAACTCCGTCTCAAAAAAAAAAAAAAAAAAAGTGTGTGGCCCATCCACATGCAAATATCCTTGTTTCTCTGATAAAATTGCTGATTGTATTCTTGAAGTGTTGATTCAATAAGTGTTTTCAAAACAACACTTTTTTATTTTTTTATTTTATTTTTAATTACAAAAGTAATGCATATATGCATTTTTATGCTAAACATCCAAACAAATGTAGAAGACAAAAAAAAAAAACACACTTGTTCCAAATCAAGCTTATATCCTCCGCAGAAGAAAACACTATTATCAATTTAATGTGTAGCTTTCAGACATTTTATTATATGTCAACATGGTTATACATGCACATATGGAAATAGAGAGTTTAATTTTTGTGGTAAGAGTTTTTTAACCAAAATTGAATTGTATAGTATATACTATTTTGCAAATTCCTTTCTTCCATTTAGTAGTATATCTTAGAGAATTTGACTTATAAGTACACACATATTGAATTTTTCTTATTAATGACTGCATAAGATTCCAAAATGTAGATATACTATGGTGGAAATTTCTTTCAAACTTTTCACTACATAAACAACATTGCATGCTTCTTTGTGCACAAATATAATTGTTTCTTTAGGATAGCTGTCAGAAGTGAAATTGATGGGTCAAATTTGTGTTTTGGTCTTGTAATTATGCCTTATCCCAGAATGATGCCATGTGGAAGTTAGACACAGGCCCTTGTGTTTTAGAAAGTGTGGCAGAGCCTTCTCAACTTCAGAGTCACCCAGAGGAAGTTATAAAAGTCAGAAGGGACCTATGGCTACATATAGTGGGCCATGTCTAATAAGAAGGTAGTTTTGTTCCAGAATTCTTTAGGTAGGGAAATGCTCTAACATCTGTTAGCTCTACCTAAGACAAATAGAAGATTCTCCATTAATTCCCCAAGTCAGGAAGTGATAATGAGGTACACCTAGTGCCTGGGTGTTTAAGATCAAAATGATAGCTGAGTAATTAATTGGCACTTTCCATGTGCCTTTTGTCTTTCTAGCTGGCCAAATAAGCATATCTGACAGTGTGTGGCAAATGATAAACTCCCACACCAACCATGTGGAGGCCCGTATCTGCTGCAAAAATCAGTTGTTCCGATTTGCTTTTCAGCAACCTCAGTGGATTGTTCCTTTCTATCCACTGCATTTTCACTTGTCTGGAAGGTCTTTCAAGCAATATGACTATAATTTGCAACCAAATCTGATCTCCCGCCATATTTGCCTTCTCCTTCTTTTTCCTGGAGACTTCTTTCTTCTCCCTTTAAAAGCAAATATTTTTACTTGAAAGTATAGTAACCCAGGTGAGGTTCACCTTCAAGACTCTCCATCTGAGGTCAAACTGGGCATGTGACATTTCTCAGTTGATTTACCATCCACGTTGACTACCCATCTATTAGGCAGATTTTGGAGACAACCTCTTTGTCCTCCTAACTGTGCAATGGAATTAGGCTTCTCCCTTATCGACAATGACCCCATACCTAACTTCAGCCTTCCTGGAACTCCCTTTTTATCTAAACACTTCTCCTGGCCCTGATGAAGAATGCAGTCCAGAAGGAAAGCCAGTGAACTTTAAGGTCAGGTGCTCCTGTCCCTTGGGAGCAAACCTCGGTAAAGACTAGATCCCAAATGTGGGTGCTATATACAACTAGTTCCACCCCTTACTATGTTACCAGTGTTCCCATGGTGATGCTGAGAATGTTACAAGGACCTTTCACTCAGCTATTGTATCAGTTCAGGCTGCTTGGTCTGGGCATGCCAATAACCATATATAAATGTTTTGTTTCTCTTTATTCTAATTAATCTGCCCACTTAACTTGGCTGGTATGGCTTCTCATCCCTGGCCCACCTTTTATCATACTCTCACCTTTATGTTTGCTGCCCCCTGTTGGTTGCTGTGAATCCCAGTGAATGCTGTATGTTAGCCAAGCAATTGCAGGCCATGGCCAGCCTATGCAGCAAGCCAGGTGTTCTGATACCTTTTCTTGCAGGAATGGGAATGTTTCTGAACCCTCTGGAAAGTGCCCTGCCACTCTCACCTGATTCTCATGCTTACTGGTCCCACCTATGGATAAAGATTCTCTCTGGGAATTGCAGGGAAGCTGCCATTCCTACCTAGTATGATGTCCCAGTAAGCCACTTGACTGTTGCCCTTAGGTACCTCCCCTTCCCCATATTATTCTTAATCTTTGACCTTCCCAGTGCCATTCACACAATCCATAACAGTTCTCTCCTACCCTGGAATATTCTCTATTAGTCTGACTCCACCTTTCAGGAGTTTCTCATGGTGTATGCTCCACTGGGGGCACCCATTTTGCTTTCTAATGCAGTTAAGGATGTCTATATAGGCATGTATATATTTACATATATATATATGGATTTATGTTTATATAGCTGTGTATCTGCACAAATGGCAGACAGACAATCCCTACCTCTCTCTCCATACACACACACATAAACACACACACACACATATGTATATATATGTATATTCTGCATATCATATTATAGGATGATACATATGTATGTTAATATCAAAGGGTTCAAAGAAGGGAGAAGACATGGGAAGTGGCTCTTAGTCTGCCATTTGCACTGAGTCCTCTGTAGCTTTAAGAAGAAATATCGATTTATTTCATTGGTTGTGCTTGTTTTTGACCCAAATGTTCACTTTAGCCCATGGTCTGATCTTTTCAAAGACAAGCTTACTCAAGCAAAGAAAGAGGAAAGCTCCCCATTGTCACGTCAATTATAGATAAGTTCATGCCAACATAATACCTCCTCCTCATCTTATTTCTGTAGCTCAGGATAAAAAGATAATCTCCAAAGGAGGCCTAAAAAACAGCCACATTAATTAAAGGAAAGAGATTTTTTTTTTCTAGGAAGTGCCTAATAACTAACGGACAAGCAAAGGAGACTCATTAGTGGAAGTATTTCCTTTGAAAGGGCACACACGCTGTGAAAAAAAAAAAAGAAAGGGTTATGCCAGGCTTTTCTCTTTGTAAATAAAGTGACACCTTTTATCTTTTTTTCTGTTAATAACACAGGCTGGGGAGAATGAGTCTGAGGGAGGCTTGTAGATAAGCTGGCAGGATTTGAAGATTATTCAGATCTTTAGTTTCTTATTTCTCTATGTTCTAGGGTAAGACTTTTCTTCATTGTTCATGGCCTTGTATAAAGAATGGTTAGGATTGGGGATCTTAGGGAGTTAGGCTTAAGAGTGGTGGCTTAGACTCCATTATCCCAGTTAACTGATGAACCATTTGCCATGAACACCTTTGGTAGGTCATGCTCCATTTAGCAACTGGGCAGGGAATCCGATCACCTCAAACACTACATTCAAACAGAAAGGCAAAAGATGCTATAAAAGCTAGATGGAGAGATAGGTGGATACACAGATAAATAAACCTGATAGAAAGATGATAGATAGAGATATAAATAAGTAGGTAGATAAATGAATAGATAGGTAAAGAGACTACAGAATAATTAGCTAAATTCTGTAGAAAGACCTAAAAGGGAAAAGATATTCACAAGCGGGGGCATTCAGGGTGAGTTTGAATCTTTAAGGAGATTTCAAAAAGGCACAGAGTGATGTCTAGGATTTGCATGATAAACTGGAATCTTACTTGGAGCACATTTTACCAACACCCCATAATGAAGGTTACACACAGAAACAGCCTCAGACTCTCCAGAAGGAACTGTCGAATTTGATGAGCACACATAGAGCTAGACTAAATGGATGGGGTGCTGAGGCTGGGCTTCCATACCTTAAGTACCTACGAATCATGTGAGTGATTAAAAGATTTCTTAGGTCAGGCCTAATTTCTAATCATCTCTCACTCAAGCCAGCATATGGCCACTGTATGAGTTCAAGAGTGAGCATTTTTTTGAAACGCAGTTAAGACTTCAGTTTCCTGCACCGAAGAACTAAGTCACTGGCAACTTGTCATGCTAGAGAAAAAGGCAGGGGACAATTCCATCTCAGGTATCATCACTTCACGTTGCTTACCCTACCTACCTAAATCCAGCTAGCATGTTTGCTCAGCCCCACGTCAGCTAGAGTAGAAATTACTTATCCACTTCTCCTCTACACAAACCTCTCTTTATGAGTACAAATAAGGAAAACAAGCCTGCCAAATGACAGTTTGTCATTGCAGGAGCCATGGCCAGAATCCACATTTCCCATATCTAATGAGTGTGACTCCAGCCATGTTCTTCATTTACATTTATATCGTTCACAGGAATCCATGTAGCCCTGACTTTTGTGGGCATTGTTATATCAACTCCACCCCCACCATTGCCATCTCATCTGGTTTGGGAGTTAACAAAGCTCTGTCATCTTCTGAGTACTGTGTGAGATGGCCCAGAAAGGTATCATTGTTCTCACTTGGGAACATTGTTCCCACTAAATGGAGAGATGGAGGTTTATGGAGCTAACAGTCAAAGAGTAGCAGTCACATCCAGGTCTTCAGCAGCACCAGGCTTGGCCCCGTATACATGAACTCTGACTGCTCCATCACTAACAAGGCACATCTAATCTGGAACTGTGCCTTATGCTTTGCTAACTGTGACATACAGCACACTATTGGCAATGGCTTTCGTCCACTCCATCCACCATCACCACTGGCTCTACTTTGCAGGAGTTATCTGATCCATTTTCTCTGTTGTTTCCTTGTGAGGGAGAGCAGACATGCACAAGCTATTGTCAAAGGACAAATTACAACAAATTTAGTTTAAAGATCTCGCTGGGCTTTATAGCAATTTTAGAATTGGTCAACACTTAATTCCATAAAATAGAATAAGTGTTCCAATGAGCCTAGCAGAAGAGGTTGGCTTTCTAGACAGAGAATGTAATTGTACTAGGTTTGTTGCCCGATGTGCATGGCAAATCAATATGCCAAGACACTGGATTGTGACAGAGAAGAGATTTAACCATAGGGCCACCAAATGAGGAAGAGGGAGGGAAAATCAAATCTGTCTCCCCAAGGAGTTTGGGGATAGAGTTTTTAAGGGTTATGGAGTGGGCTGAAGCATGGAGATTGTTGACGGGGTGAAGAGTACAGAGTGAAGTCATGGGACAGGGAGATAAAGAAACTATATTCTCACTCTGATTTCATTACTCTGTGGGGGGTTTCAAACTGGTTGGCAACAACTGTTTTGCTGGAATTCAGGATCTGGAAAACACCTTAAGCAATTCTTAAACAAAAGTCTTGTGATTTTAATGTCAGAGATCTTATCTATAGGAACAATGGGGATGCCAGTGGTCAGGATCAGTGCTCTGTGACTATCAGGTTCAAGGAAGTGGGTAAAAGTGAAGGCTGATTATTTACTCTTATTTATAACTATATTTCTGTCCAGAATTCTTCTTAACCCTGTGAGGATGGCTTCAAGAAGGGTTGAAGAAAGCAGAAACAAAGAACAAAGGATGTATTCATTATTTTTCAAAGTTACTTTTTCTTGTCGGGTGGGAACAGGGAAATAGAACAATAGAAAAATAACTGATTAGTTAACATCAAGTCATGTCAGGCTACTTATTTTGTGTAAGGAATACAGCAGAAGGAACTTTATTACCATGTCGATTGATAATTAAAACTGACCTGCTTGGAAAATGGCTGTTATTTCTGTCTCCCGATTTCTCAGAAGGCTGGATAATGTCATAGTTTAGGTTTGGTGATGTAGAACTTTAGCATGGGTGACTCTATTTTGATCTTTAGTCTGGTCTGTTGAAGTCTAGTGCAAAAGTTTAGTCCAAAACAACAACCTCCTATAATTTTTAACACTGTAAATCTCTCACTAGCCCTGAATTCTTCAGTAGACTGTATTTTGAGCTCCTGCTGCAGGCAACTGCAGACAGATTGGCCACATAAGAGCAGTAGCCTTCAGACCAAAGCTCAGAGGAAGTGCCAAAACATGTACAAACCCTGGATGGGTTCTGGCCTTGGCAATCATGAGCCACCATTACTGTTAAGGAATTAGGAGTGGAATAGTGGAATTTTCCTTGCTCCAGATTTTAAGGACACACTCAACTTCATCCAGGCCCCAGCACATCACAGACCCACCTATGAGTCAGTACTAATGGCAGTACTAGTGGCCTCAAAGGACATTTGAAGAAAAATTGTTACTTACCAGACCCCACCAGAGCTGCTGAGATGATCCCATGTAACCCTAACTACAGAGTTACCTTTAGCTTTTTTCAGTTAAATTGTATTTTATGTGAGTTTTAATTGACACAAAATATAATTTTGAAAGCCTGCAAAAAAATGCATAAATGTAAGGCAGAAATGGCCAGGACATTCCTCCAAATAACTCTGCCTGGAAAACAAAATCTTGCTGTCATTACTGGATTGTTCTTGTTTTCTCCACATGAACAAGGTTTGGATAATGAAGTAACAGCTCTTCCTGGAGCCCCATTGCCAAAAACTAGCAATAAAGGAAGACCTTACTACCTAACACATGTGGCTACTTGAAAATTATCTGAAATAAAAACAAGCCAGAATCAACATAATAGTGTATAACAAAACCCAGATGTCTCTTGAATAAAAGGTTAATCAAATGCTAATGTTAAACGAAAGAGTTTCAAAGGCAGGAGGAAGAATGTTAGAGATAAATGAAGAAATTAGGTGCAGCCTCTGTATGACTTGGAAGAGCAAGCTCTCTGCACAGGATCGTTTTTTTGTTTTTTTTAGGAAATTAAGCTTTTCTTTCACACCTAGAATGTGTCAGATGCTTTATAAGAAAGGCACTAAATACTTTTCCAGGAGCTTAATCTTCAAAGTACAATCTACTAAGATGTACCTGGAGGAAGAAAAATGTAGCAATTCTTGCAAAGCAATGCTTTGGATATTACCTTTCTGCCATATTTTGGTAGACGTTTATATATAAATCCTGGTTTGGTCAGGAATCCAGTAAGAATTTGCAATGTTTGTAAAAGCCCACCTGCTTTGCTCATGAATTGCAGAACAGCTCATGCCTCCCTCCACAGCACCCTCTGCCCTGGTCTCCATCCCAGTGAAGGGGGTTGTGCTCACAGTCTGTATCAGAATCAGTCAGGGTTCTCCAGAAAAACAGAAGCAATAGGGTGTATACATACAGGTTGTATATGTAAAGAGAGATATTTATTTTAAGGAATTGGCTTATGCAATTGTGAAGGCTGGCAAGTCCAAAATCTGCAGGGCAGGCCAGCAGGCTGGAAATGCCAACAAGAATTTATGCTGCAGCTCGAGTCCATGGCAGTCTGGAGGCAGAATTCCCTCTTCCTTAAGCGGACCATAGTCTTTTCTCCTAAAACCATAAGATAAGACCCACCCATATTTTGAGGGCAATCTGCTTTACTCAGCTCTGCTCACTTAAATGTTAATCACATCTAAAAAAAAAAAATACCTTCACAGCAACATCTAAACTAGTGTTTGACCAAACATCTGAGCCTCGTGGCCTAGCCCAGTTGACACATAAAATTAGCCACACATCCAGTGGGCAAGACAGACAAAGTCACAATAGACATCGAAGGCTACTGGCGGGGACTGAGAGAAAGTGGGGAGTCTACAAGGGTGAAGGAGAGGAAAGCACCGTGAAAAATACTTGCAAATATTTATTCATGAGGTCGGGAGGCATTTCAGGGATCTTGCACCAGCATGTGCGTGTCTGTGTGTGTGTGTGTGTGTGTGTGTGTGTGTGTTAAAATGGGGAGGAAATAAGAGAATGATACAAATGAAGCTGAGGAAGTAAACAGGTCAAGGAGGGGAGGGTGGATTCTTTCTTGTCTGCTCAAGCATAGGAGCAAGTGGGGTCATGCAATTTTATTTTATAACTAGTGGCTAAGCATCCACTTATCTTATGGAAGAAGGTCCTCAATTCTCCAAGAACCCTGGTGCTTCAGAGTCAGCAGTGCCATTAGCAACCACAGGTGGCGCTGTCCTTTCTCAGGAGAGCACCAATCCTACAACTCCTTTGGTTAAGATTATAACCCTGGCCAGCCAGTATTCCCCCAAGCCACCCTAGTGGGAGGCCTGGGGAGCCTTCCTAAGCCCCTGGGCTTTGTGTCATACCTGGCCATAAGGCTTGCCTGCCTTCATGCTCCAGATAGCTTTACTCTGGTGGCCTCGTTGCCCTTGCCTAACACCTGACCTTGATGTACCCTCCCCCAGCTCACCCTGAAAGAGCAGCCTGACTGGGAATCTGGGGATGGGGTGTTTTTCCTTTCTGTCCCAGAACGCCCTGTCTTCCTCATGCAAGGTGATGAGCTCTCACCCAAGGGCTGGCTCTGCAGGCTGGATCACACAGCTGTACATGCCCTTCCCCACTTCCCATTCTAAATCCACCTGATCAAGCTGGACTCCTTCACCAGGCCCTTCCAGGAACGGACAACTCTGCTCTGAGGAGATCCCTTCTCATGGAGGATGACTCAGCATGTCCTTTCATGCAGCTTCCATCTAACCTCTACCTCAGCAGGTGTCTGCTACCCTAGGGCACATGAGGATGCTCCCAAAGCCAGCAGAAATCCAGGACAGCATTTCAAGAAGGGGAGAGGCCAGGGATTCTGCAACATGGTCTGTCACAGAGGAGGGTGGCTTCGATGGACAGCAATAGCAAGACCAGAGCAGGTGCAATTCCAAGGGTGCAAAGACAGCTCTGGATGCTGGAGAAAGTCAATGACAGTGAGTCCCTACTCACCTGCTCCACCACTAATGGCTGCAGCAATGCCACGGCTCATGTTCTGGGCTGAATTGTTTCCCCCCAGATTCATATGTTGAAGTCCTAACCCCCAGTACCTCAGAATTAGACTGTAATTGGAGATTGGGCCTTTAAAAGGATAACTCAAATGAAGTCACTAGGGTGAGTCTTAATCCAATATAATGGGTAAACACCCATGAGAAGGGCAAATTTGGACACAGACACACAGAAGAAAGACCACAAGAAGACGTAGGAGAGGAAGGCCATCTGCAACCCACAGACAGCAGTGTGAGAAGAAACCAACCCAGATGACACCTTGATCTTGAACTTCTAGTCTCCAGAATCGTGAGAAAATAAATTTCTGTTGTTTAAGCCCCCCAGTCTATGGTACTTTGTTACAGCAGCCCTAGCGAACAAATATACTGGCTTCAATCTAAATCAACTTGCAGTTAGCAATTTCAAAAGACTGCGTGAAGCTATCCCAAAAGGCTATCCGCAAAGGAAAGCTGCGTTCTTGTGCAGTACTATTAATAGATTATAGAAGGAAATAAGGATGACAGATGTTACTGGAAACCACCTTGTGCCTAGAAAGAAGCATTTCCTTTCTCTCAACCGAAGGACAGCAGCAAGGTCCCAGATGGTGCTGAATAAGCAAGTGATCAAATATCTTATCATTTTGGATATAAATCAATGCAGTGATATTACCTCTCAAACTTTGCTCAATCACTTAGCCTTGTTAGATTAGTCAATATCTAGGTTGAAGAGCAAAATGAGAATTGGAATTGGCCTTTTCAAAGTCAGATTTGTGTACCTAAAACAAGCCAAATTAGTTTTGCATTAAAAAAAATAACACAGCAAGTCACATATGCATATTTGAGGGTCACTATGAAGCTCCTTGTTTAACAACTAACACTGATTGTAATAATTGTGCCACTGTGGTTCTGAATGTCAATAATGGGAGAGGTTCTGTGGAGATGGGGTATATGGGAACCCTCTGTACTTTCCACTCATTTTTGCTGTAAACCTAAAACTATTCTAAAAAATATAGTTTATTAATTTTTAAAAACTGAAAATAGTAACTATTTAAAAATACTTTGACTATTCAAAAAACCAACACATCAATTAGTCTGTATCTATCAATATATATATTTTAGAGAGTATCACTTTAAAAATAAAAATTACCCATACCCAAAGCTAAACATCACTTAACTTTTTTTGTTTATATCTTTTCAGTGTTTTGTCTCTATTTTTTTTATTTTACAAAGCTGACTTTCTATTGTAAAATCAATGTTTGTTTTACTTTCCTTTATAATATAGCTTTTGAAAGCTGCAATGTTTTTCATTGTATGGTTATAGCATCATTTATTTAACAATTCCTCTATTTAGGAAAAATGGCCATTTCTAATTTTTTGTAGTAAATGAGATTCAAAAAACAGTGTCAAAATAAATTCTCTTTTGTACTCTTTAATGTACATCTGATTATTTGCAGAAGATAAATTTCTAGAAGTAGAATTGGTGCATTCATCAGTTTGCTCATTGTTTAGGTTTTTTAATACATCTCTGTCAAGAGGGTATTATTAGCATTTTTCCTCTGTCATCAATTTGGCAGGTCAGAGATGGCATCTTATTTTATTTTAATTTGCATGTACTTGATTTTTAGTGAAAGCAATTTTTTTCCACATATTTCTCAATCATTTATAGTTTTCTTTGGTGAGAAGACAGGTACCTTGAGTGTGTGGCTTACAGCATCTATCACAGATCACTGCCTGGCACACAGTAGGTCTTCAGTTAGTGACTGAATTAATGATTTACCCTGTGTTCTTGTCATCTTTTGGGAAGTGCTCCACTTTTCCCTAAGGATCTGTATGATCCCATTTTGTCATAAGAATATCAGCCCATTTTCTACCATTCATATGGAAAATGGTTTGTTCTCTTTTCTCATTTAAATTTCTAATAATCATATTTGTCCCTGCTAATTATCACCATGTGCCCAGCCTGGAATGTGTACTTTACATATTTTATCTTGCTTAATTCTTACCACCACCCTAGGAGGTGGATGTTATCATCCTGTTTACTAATGGAAATATTAAGACTACTCCTAGACGTTAAATAACTGGCCCTGGTCATACTCTCAAGAGACAGTAGCACCTAGTTCTGTCTGATATTCCATAAGCCTTCACCTACAGTGCTATATCGCTTCCTTTTAAATTATATTTATGTGGGATTTTTGAAGGAGGTAATTGTCTTTGTCTATTTTCTGCTGCTGTGGCAGAATACCAAAGACTATGTAATAAAGAAAACAAAGAAAAGAAGTTTATTTGGCCTACAGCTCTGGAGGCTTGGAAGTCCGAGAGCATGGTGCTGGCATCTGGTGAGGACCTTCTTGTGTTAACCCATGGTGGAAGGGCAAGCAAGCATGTGAGATAGCGAGAGGAAACGGGGACCAAACTATACTTTCCTGAGGAGCCCACCCCCACGGTACCTAAACCATGCCCTCAATAATGGCATTTATCTATTCATGAAGGCTCCACCCTCATGACCCAATCACCTCTTAAAGTTCCCACCTCTTAATATTGTTACAGTGGCAATTAAATTTCAACCTGAGTTTAGGAGGGGACACTCAAACCATAGCAATAATATATTCACCTGCATCAAAAATAATATATATAGGTGTGAAGTTTAAAAAAAAAAACTCCTTCCCTCATTTGCTCATTTTTACCCCTACTTACTTTAAATAACCACTATTACTAATGTTGCACATACAACCTTCTTGAGCCTCTTTTATGTATATACAAAATATGCATATATATTCTTCTCCCATCTTTTTACACAGATGGCAGCACACTATAAACACCATTGTGTACCTGCTGTTTAGACCTTTCTTATTAGTACATGAGCAGCTTCCTTGTTTTTGTTGTGTTTTGTTTTGTTTTGTTTTTGTTTACAGACAAATGATATTCCATTGTATGAATTGATTACATTTTAGCTAACCAGTTCAAATGTTACTTAACATTTGGGTTCTATCAATCTTTTGCTATAACACAGTGTTACATTTATTGTTGACCACATATGCAGGTATATCTGTAAGATAAATTCCCAGAAATAGAATGGTTACAGCAAAGGGTATATATATTTGTAATTTTGATGGATGCTACCAATTGTCCTCCACAGCAATTGCAGTACTTATATTTATGGTACTTCTGAGGTATAGAAGGTTTTTATTTTATCAGTTAGAAATTGTGTTTGGCTGCTAGGAACAGAGACCTAACCACAGCAGCATAAACAGATAAGGGTTTTCTTTTCTCACAGAAATGGAATCTGGAGGCAGGCAGTATAGAGCTGATATGAGAGCTCCACAAAGTCATAAGGAACCTAGGCTCCTTTATTTTTTTGGCTCTGTCATTCTGAACATATAACTTCCAATCTCGAGATCACAAAATGACTGCTGAAACTCTACTGTCACATCCCTGTTCCAGACAAGAAAATCAAGAAAAATCTAGGGGTAAAAAGTGTCTTTCATAGGAGTCCAAAAATATCATTGCCCACACCTTTTGGCAAGAAATATTGGGAAGTATAATTTTGTGACTGAGCACATTGCAGTCCTCAGTAATATAAGGGTTCTATTAGGAAGGTCGAATACAGCGCATGGATATTGAGTAGATAAGCAGCAACCTCTAAATGTGTCCCATATCTTGATCTTTTTATTCATAGAGTCCTCACTCCAAAATCAAATACATATTACCTGCATTTCTTTTTATTTCTTTCATGGCCTCAATTTTAACTCTAATTCATTTTGCATTTATTTTAGTATGTAGTATTTTAAAGCATTTTTTCTTGTTTTAGAAAGAAAAGAAAGGCCTTAAAGATCTGCCCCCATTCCATCTTTCCAAAAGAAAGAAAAAATATTTCTATATTTATAAGATAAAATTACAAAAGTATTAGGCAAATTAATTAACAATATGCATCTACATGGTTAATCTATTTGGAATTTATTTTTGTGTATGGTGTGATACAGGAATTTCTTTTGTAGTTAGCTAATTGACTCAATATCACTTACTGATTAATTTATCTAGACCTGATTGTTTGAATTTATTATATACAAATGGTTTAAAATCAAATATTTGGATTCAATTTCCATTAAGCTTATTGATTATTAGGAAGAGGAGAAATTGATACCTTTACAATGTTGGGTCATACCCTTCAAGAATATGGCATATCTCAATTTATTCACATCTGGTGGGTTCTTCAGCAGAATATCATCATTTTCTTTATTTAGGTCTTACATATGTCCTGTAGGTCTAGTCTCAAGGCTCTTATAGCTGGGTTATTATTGTGAATACTTTTTCTTATTAAGTTTTCTGGGGTGTTTTTTTTTATTTTTGTTTGAGAGTGTCTAGCTTTGGGGCCCAGGCTGGAGTGCAGTGGTGCTATCTCAGCTCACTGCAGCCCCTGCCTCCTGGGTTCACACGATTCTCCTGCCTCAGCCTCCCGAGTAGCTGGGACTACAGGCACGCAGCATTATGCCTGGCTAATTTTTGTATTTTTAGTAGAGACAAGGTTTCACCATGTTGGCCAGGCTGGTCTTGAACTCCTGGCTTTAAAGGATCCACCTGCCTCGGCCTCTCAAAGTGCTGAAATTACAGGCATGAGCCACCACACTCGGCCCTTATTACATTTTCTAAAACTTTATTGCTAATACATAGAAAAGCTATGAAGTTTTTACATGTTGATTTTCTCCAGCTTGCTGAACTCTTATTAATTAAGGCACCTATAAAATGATTCTCTCAAATTTTCTAAGAAGAAACTCTCATAAAGAATAAATAATGGTTATTTAACTTGTGTTTTATAATATATTTATATCTCACACATTTTTCTTGCTGTTGTTTTGGCTACAACCTCCAGACTAATGAATAATAGCTGTCAGTGTGGACATCCTTGTCTTGTTTAAGATTTTAATAAGAATGCCTCTATTTTGTTTTTATGTCCTTTGGCTTCTAACAAATTCCCATTATCATGTTTCAGAACATTTTTTATGTTTCTAATTTATACAGAGATTAATCAGACATGGAAATTTTATCAACTATATCAAGTATACTTGAAACATGTATCCACATAATCACGTTGCATTTTCTTTTAACGAATTAATTTAATAAAGTGTATTATATGAATAGATTTCTTAATATAAAATCATTTTGAAATGACTAGATTAGATTTTACTTTGTCATGAGATTATGTTTTATTATTCTTTGGATTCGATTTGTCAATATTTTATTTAGAATTTTAAAAATCTATATTCCTAAGATATATTTGTCTATAGTTTCCTCTTCTGGCAGCCTTCTTCTCAGGAATTGTTCAGCCCAACAAATGAACTGGAACCTTCGTGTTTTTCTGTGCTTCTTTACAGTTTAAATGGCAAAGAAAACATGCCTCTTGATGGTCAATGTAACTCATTTTTAAAATGGGCTGGTCCAGTCCCTTTTTGAAAGTGTATCTTTGGGGTTTCAATTTCTTTTAAGCTTACTGTCTATTTAGGTTTCTACCATTTCGTTAGTCATTTTTGGTAATTTACATGTTCCTTGAACGTACTTATTCACCTCAATTATGAAATTTGTTGTTGTAAACTTGTATAAAGTATTTTCTTTTTTTTTTTTTTTTTTTTTTTTGAGACGGAGTCCCGCTGTTTAGCCCAGGCCGGATTGCAGTGGCGCGATCTCGGCTCACTGCAAGCTCCGCCTCCCGGGTTCACGCCATTCTCCTGCCTCAGCCTCCCGAGTAGCTGGGACTACAGGCGCCCGCCACCGCGCCCGGCTAATTTTTTTTGTATTTTTAGTAGAGACGGGGTTTCACCGTGTTAGCCAGGATGGTCTCGATCTCCTGACCTCGTGATCCACCCGCCTCGGCCTCCCAAAGTGCTGGGATTACAGGCGTGAGCCGCCGCGCCCGGCCTGCAGTCCTCATTTTAAGGCCTGCGTATTTTATGCTTCTCCAGTGTTTTCCTTTTTCCCTTTCTAGTCTTCTGCTGGAATAACCAACTTTACTTTATTTCTCCTGCCCTCACACATGAAGGTTAGACAGTTTCATACTGAATTCAGAAGCCACAATCCATTTTCCTCTGAGCTCTGTAAAATATATCACATGTTCTCTTAGCATTTGGTATTTCCACTGGAAAGTCTAGTACCTGGGAAGCTCCATTTGATCCTCCTTCCTTTATAATGTTTTTCCCCCTTGTCTAAAAGTTTATAGGACTTTTCCTTTATCCTATAAATTCAGAAATTTCACTAGATGTGATTTATTTTCAGTAATCTTGTCTGTCATTCAGTGAGAGTTAACAATCTGAACACTAAAACTTTTCTGCAAATCAAAAATATGTTTGCCTGTTTTCCTCCATCTCCTCTGTTCTCTTCTTCTCAAACTCTTATTACATAGGTATAAGACACTCTAGGTCTCTCAACACTTCTTACCCTCCCTTCCTTTACTTCTTTCTCTTTGCTCTGGGATAATTCCTTGAATTCATTTTCTTATTTATTAGTTTGGTGTTTAGCAATGTCCATTTTATTGCTAAATTAAATCTGGAATTTTAATAGTTTTTAATTGCTTGGAGAGCTCTCTTTTTCCTATCTCTTGTTTTTCTCATAGCAAATTGTTCATATCATAGTGATAGAAGCATCCCTCACATTTCACTGACATTCAAAATTGTAATAATCTTCCCTGCATTTTCAGTTGTTTCAGTGAGGTCTGCATTTATACGCAGTTAACACACACACACACACACACACACACACACACCTCTCTCAAGAGTTTAATGCATGCCAGATATTGTTTTAAATGCCATTATTACCACTTCCCAAGCAAGGAGACTGGGCAGAGCCTGGAAGCCAACCCAGACAGTCTGATTCAGAGCCAGGAACACTCTACCACCGTGCAATACCAGCATTTGTTCTTTACGCTCAGCTGGGTCTCCTATTTCAAGTTGCTACTTCTACAGATTTGTCCCTAATTTTTCTATCTGCCTCATTTTTATTTACTTATTTATTTATTATTTATTTATTGTATATTTATTTTTATATATATTTATTTATTTATATTATATATATTTATTTATTTATTTATTATTTATTTTAGAGACAGAGTCTTGCTCTGTTACTGAGGCTGGAGTGCAGTGGCTCACTGCAGCCCAACTCCTGGGCTCAAGCCACCCTCCTGCCTCAGCCTTCCAAGTTGCTGGGACTACAGGTGTGTGCCACCATGCCCAGTTAATGTTTTAAATTTTATTTTTGTAGAGACGGGGGTCTTACTATGTTGCCCAGGCTGTTCTGGAACTCTTGGCCTCAAGTGATCCTCCTGCCCCAGTCTTTCAAAGTGGTGGGATTACATGTGTGAGCCACCGTGTCTGGCCTCTCACTTTTACAAATAAAGATAATGTATCCATATTGATAACCACTGTGGCCTGCACCCAGCCCCTCCTCAAGCAAGCTGATAGCAGGGCATCCACAAATGTGCTTGTGTGAGGGGTGGCACAGACCTGGGGTTCAAGCCATGCCAGCTTCTAAGGGTACACAAAGTTATAGTTCCATAACCTCAGAGGGTGCAGGACTCTGATGTGTTTCAAAGCCCCAGAATCTGGTGTCTGTCCGATTTTACTGCTCCAGCCTCTGATGGCCAATGAGCAGAAATGTGACTGCCAGTGTAAAGCAGCAAGACAGCCTAAGCAAAGCAGGCTCCCTTGGGCCACAGACGTGGCTTGGCAATGGTGAGTGCCAAGGGCCTCTGAGCAGGACACAGGGTCCGCTACACAGCTCAGCGTCTCAAAAACTCCCAACATCCCAGAACAAGACAGAGTTAATCAGCTACATAAATTGAGTTAATTAGCTACATAAATCATGAAATATAAGTTGTTCTTATCTAAAATTATAAAGAATTACCAACTTTTAAAGATAAACATTAAATAAGATGACCTTTTGTAGACATCCCTACTGCTGACACTGCCAAACCACTCGCGCCCCTCTCAGCACTTCACCTGTGCTCACCTGGACGCCATCTGTTTCCTGTCTTCCAGAAATTCTTCCAACCTGGCCTGTCAAACTCAGCCTTCTGGGTTTTCCAGCTCTGTTGCATATTTTATCCTAAATGAACATCCCTTCAGTTATTTCAGCAGAATTTTGATAGGGAAGGAAAGAGAGCACGTGAGCTCAAATCACCTTAAAAATGAGTCTTGTATTTCTGGCAGATTTTATGCTGCATATTTTTAAATTAATTATCATAATTTTTTATCAGAAGAAAGTGTGAGAAGGATTTTTCTTGGTGAAGTCACTTCAACCCTAAAAGTTTGGGTGAATTCACGGCTACTGTAAAGGTAAGCCACAAGCCCACTTACGACAGCTCTTCACAGTAAGATAATGTATGTCTAAAGATCCTCCATTCGTTGGACTCAAAGATATTTATTTTTGTTAAATATCATATTTCCTTGCAGACCAGAGAGCAGCATATCTAGAGAGTAAGCTAAGCTTAAATGAGCTTCAGAGTGGCCCCTTTATATATTTATTTTTAAGGGCATTTAAAAAGATTAATGTATCCATGACATAAGAATACAATTATAATCGTATAACCTTCATTAATTAAAAGAGCTGACGTTTAAGCAGAGAAGTTAGTAAACAGGGTATTGTATGCAGTGGGGACAGCCAAGTTCAAAGTCAAAAAAGGAGCTGTTTACATTAGAGAAATAGCAAAGAGTCCGAGGTAGCAAGAGGAGAAGGAAGCAGAGAGCGATACAGAACAGTGCCAGACAGAGACGTGGAGTCCAGATCCTGTTGGGTCTTGTAAACCATGGCAGTAAGCTTGCATTTCCTTTGAAGAGGGAAGTGAGAAGATCTGGGATTTGGGAGAGTAGTTTGGTAACTCCATTGAGGTGGTGTTGGTGAGTGTCAGGTGCTATGGTGGAGTTGCCTGGGCAGAGAGAGCTATGCATCCTCGAGCATCATCTGGGGAACTAGGAATGGACTTATCATGAATGGATCCAGATTCAACACTACCGTCTGAAGCAGCACTAGCTCAGGTTGACTGGACTGTGCACTTCAGGCTGCAGGAGGGGCTCAGGGGGTTGCCATGGGTCTCTTTCCAGGACTAGCCCCTCCCTGGAGCTTGCTCATTACATGGCAATGGCAAGAGCGGTTTATATACTTTGACAGGATATTATTTGGTTCAGAGTCATCAGGGTTATCCTCTTCGTGAATGTCCTTCCTTATCAATATAAAATCATATCATGTAATGGTTTTTGCCTTTGAGTCTACTTCTTCCAGGATAAACACTGCCACCTTTACTGTCTTATTATTACATCAGCCTGATACACCTTTGCTCATTCCTTCATTTTTTGCCTTCCTATGTCAGTTATTTTTAAGCTAATTTTTTAAAATAACATACAATTGGATTTTGCATTTTGATTTAAGCTAAAAGTATTTTTATTTTAGTAAAGCACTTTAAGATATTTTCTATGTATTATCAAAACAAATACATTTGCTCTTATAACTTCTAGACTAGCTCCTTTTTCCGCCCTTTATTTTATGCATTATATTTTTATTGCTCTTTTCCTTCCTCTTACGCTTTGAAAACTTAATCCATCTTTTTATTCTTCTCATGGTTGTCATAAAATATAAACATATTTTAACCCATTTTCTCTAATTATAAAATGTCAACTATCAAACAATATTTATTATATCAATCCTGAGTAAGATACTAAATTTTAGCACACTGTTACTTCCTCTGTACTTGACTACTTTTCAATTTTAATTGATAGAGGTGGGGTTTTTATGCTTTGCTTTCAGCCACCCTCCTCCACAGTCTACATTTTATGACTCAGCTTAAAAGGAATGGTTCTCACCACATAGAAATGGGGTGATTTTGGCCCCAGGGGACACTTGGCAATGTTGGGAGACAGTCATGATTGTCACTGGTGGGAAGGTGGGTGTTTGCTACTGGCATCTAGTGGGAAAAGACCAGGAATGCTGTTCAACATTCTACAATGCACAGGACAGAGTCCACAACAAAGAATTGTCCAGCCCAAAATGCCAATAGTGTTGAGGCAGGAAAATTCCATTTTAGAGGTTTTGTGGCTCTTATGATAATTGTAAGTTAATATTACTCATTGTATTTAAATTATTTTTACCACCAGTACTTTCATATCCTCACTCTTAAATTTTTAAATTCCTGTTTATCCCTCGACGGGCTAGAAAATATTTTTAAGTAATTTTTTTTTCAAGTAGACTCTATAGAAAGGAGGAATTATACTTCCCTAAGCTGCCAGTATTTGAGCAAATCTTTCTAACACTCTCAGACACACTCACTGGAAGCAGATGAAGCTATTAGTCAGTCATTCCCCAGCCTCTGAGAAGGAATATTTTTCTTGTAGATGTTTTCCCTCATATATTTGCACATGTTACACTTCCATTTGTTAATCGCCTGTCCTTATCTTACCCGTTTACCTATTCCTATAGTCTATGATGCAATACTTTTATGCATTTTAGCTCTTGCATAATGTATGTGTTACAAATATTTAACCTATAATATTTAAGATATCACTGATACTTAATATTTCTAATTTTTAATGTACAGAAAGTTTAAAAGTTTATTTTTTTAAAATTTACCTCACTGTCTCTTCCTTCACTTTTTTGCTAGAAAGGTCTTGTCTATTCTGAGATCAACATTTTCCTAAGTGCCTCATCTATTTGTTTTCACATGCGATCATTTTAAGCCATGAGGATTTATTTTGGTGTTTGAAAATACCCTCAAATTGTTAAGCAATTCTCATAATTTGGTTTATTAAATAATTCATCCTTTCCTCTCTAATATGAAATGCTACTTTTATGGTGTACCAAACACAAGGGCCTGTTTCTGCAGTTTATGTCTTGTTTCATCAAATCTATCTTTTCTTACCCTAAATTTTATTTCAATTATTTTGGCTGTATAATGTTTTTATATTTGCCAGTTTTCCTTCATTACAATTACTTTTAACAACCATATTTTTAATTTTCCTTGCCCATTTATTCTTTCAGAAGAATTCTGGAGCAATTTAATCCAGTTTCAAAAAAATAGCCCTTGGGACTTTTGGTTAGAATTGTATTACATTTCCAAATACCGGAAGAATTATTGCAATACTAGATATCCTCAGCCCATCTTCCATTTCTCTTTTCTTCTACAATTTTTATTTCTTTATTGTTTCCTCTGAGTTCTGGAAATTTTTCTTAAGTTTACCTTTTCCTTCGCTAATCCAATTTTTCACATAATCTGCCATTCTTCTGGTGCAGGGGTTTTGAATGTAGTAATCCTATTTCTGTTCTTTATGTGATCCTTACTGATATCAAATCATTTCATTTTGGGGACTCTCAGGTCTATTTTCATAACTTTGGGAAGTAGAAAAACACTCTTTCCCCTATCCCTTGCTATATGTCTATTTTGGTGAAAAGCATTGACTAACTCTTTGGAATGAACAAAGCTAGTCTTCTTAGAGTCTAGGGATGTCTCTGTTTTTCCTCGCAGAGACAGGTCTGTATTTAGCCCCCTTGCTCACAGTTGAGAGATTGCTGTCCACATACTTCAGGCCCAGAAAAGGAAGGAGTGAAATGCTGAGATTTGCTCTGGTTTTATTTCACCTGTTCAGAGACCCAGGGGACAGTGTCAGAGTTCAAGGGATGGTCACAACATCCAGCCTGACTCCCACCCCTTCTGCTGAGGCAGCCATGAGTTAGCCCCAGCAGTCTCCACAGTTCACTGGCTACACCTGCCCTCATTAGAAGTCCACAGCCCTGTCCTCCCAACAGAGCCATCTGTGTCTATTGAACCCAGTGTGTGCACTGCTGTGGGCGCCTGTTACCCAGTGGCATTGATGGAATTAAAATGCATCTCCCCAAGGCCTGGCCGGCTGAGTGACAGGGCATAGATGGGTTCCCCAGAGGTCCTTGCCCATTCCCCAGAGGTCCTTGCCCAGCCTATCTGCATGAAATATGGAAGAAATGCTAGCTAACTTAAATTATGCATGTTGTCTGATTTACAGCCCAAGTATAGGTTTCAGTTTTTGCATCCCTTTTAGTTCCTTCTGCAGTTTAGGAGGATGACATTGACATCTGTGTCCAACTCGCTGTCTCTCTGGATATTTAAGAAGTAGAAAGGTGGTCAAGGGAAAGTTGAACTTTATTTATGTCTCAGTTTTTATAGTGAGAATATTTTTATTTTTCTCATTTCTCATTTTCATATTTTTTAGTTAATAAAAATAGAAAGGTTTTAAACAATAAAGTCCAAGATAATTCCTAAAACACTGAATTTTTCCTAATGTGAGTTGAGACTTTACCAAAATTACCCTCAAAAGGAGCAAGTTGCCTTCAGGCGAAGTCCTCACAAAGCCTCTTATAATAGTGTGTAATAGTAAGTGCTCTCAAAATTATATTACTCATAAAATAAATTTGTATTTAGGAGAGGCATAATTTCCCTTAACCTTAATCAATGCTAATTGAGCTCTTAGGGAAATGACCCAATGAAATAAGTATAAAAAGGATGAAAAGAAACTTAATGAAGATGTAGTCACTATTGCTTGGGAAGGGGCCTGCACTTCAAGAGTGGGGTGTCGTTGTTAAAAAGCCTTCTAAAATCAATTTAGAAAGCAAGACACTAGGATTGCAGACCATCATCTACAGGATAAGCAAAGAGAGCAAATGTATTTGACGTTAGAAATTTGGGAATGTGAACTTAGGTCTTAGGATAAAATTTCCAGCACTGGCTGGATGTGGATGCCAAGAGTTCTGTATCTCATCATTTTGGTGGAGGAGACATTGCTAGCAGCTCTGCTCTGACAACTCTGTGTGAGACTCAAAAAGCAGCTGGAGGAGGAGGAGGGCTCTGATATCAAAGGCCCCTTGGAGGAGTTAGGATAAAATAGTGTCAAGAACTGTGAGAGTAAAAAAGCAGTGGTTTGAAATCAATATTCCATATACATAATTTTAAATGTGTGTGAGTAAACAAATAAATTAATTTCCATAAGGAGACATTTGACTGATTCATCTACAGTCCAAAGAGCTTTGATATTTAAGTTGCCTATAAAACATTTTTTGGATAGTCTTCTTGGAGAAAATGGGATATCACCTTATATTAGAGATTGGAGATCACCTTTTATTTGGATTTTTATTTATATAAAAATACATATATTATGACCAGGCACGGTGGCTCACGCCTGTAATCCCAACACTTTGGGAGTCCAAGGCAGGCAGATCATGAGGCCAGGAGTTCGAGACCAGCCTGGCCAACATGGTGAAACCCAGTGTCTACTAAAAATTCAAAAATTAACCAGGCGTGGTGGTGCACACCTGTAATCCCAGCTTCTCAGGAGGCTGAGGCGGGAGAATTGCTTGAACTGGGGAGGCAGAGGTTGAAGTGAGCTGAGATCATGCCATTGCACTTCAGCCTGGTGACAGAGCAAGACTCCATCTCAAATATATATATATATTATTATATTTTTTTCTCCTCTTCAATTTACATACTTGGTACAGCAGCCTTGACCTTCACACCAAGTCAAAGTGTGTGAACCCAGAAATACCAATGTTTAGGATGTAGGCAAGTAAAAAAATCACACGTTTTGTCTAACATCTCTCCATAGGCTGTCCCTGCTTAACCCAGAACTTCAGGCAACCCCAGGCCTTGAGAAAACAAGAATATTCTTATTGGGTTACAGTAGGAGTTTTGTGCTCAAGTCAAAACAGGTGATACTAAATTTTTCTTAATCTTCGAATTCCATGACCCTATATCCACTCAACAACTCCCTCCACCAACCCATGTCAGTTTCTATCAATTATTCTTTGTCATTTGCCCTGAGCATGTTTAAATTTACCAATTTAAACATGCTGGTAAATGGTCTGAACCATTTGAAAACAATCTGAAAAACAATTTTTTCAGATTGTTTTGTTGCTGTTGTTTACTATTGCTTCTTATGTCCCATTCCTTGCCTCCAGGCCTCATTTTTCTTCTTACTGAAGCACACCCCTTGGTAGCTCTTTCAGTAAGGGTCTGTACCGAAAACACTTTTGGAGCCCTTTATGTCCGAAAATGTTCTTCACATCATGTTCACTCTTGATTAATGTATTAGTTGGTAATAAAATTCTAAGTTCACTTCCTTTACCTCAAGAAACAGTGGAGCTATTCTCTTTATCTTCATGGGTAGACAGCCCTGTTTCAACTCCTGAATTCACACAGAGAACCAGGATCCAGGCCGTGCTGTGAATGAGATTTGTTTGACCCCAGTCATCAGAAAAGCTTTGAGGAACGCACTGTGATGTTGTTATTCAGTACTGGTTACGAATAGCATGGAAAGCTTCAGATCTCACCCTTTTCCCAATATGTTGTTGGTGTTGTTATTCTTGTCTCCTGTTTCTGGTTGAAGAAGAGCTCCCTTCCTTGTTTTTGAACATGGAGATATATTTAATATTACCCTTTTGTATTTGATCTATGTTTGGAATGAGAAGAAGGCTCAATGTGAGCTCACTCTGACATCTTGAACCAGAGAACTTGAAAAAATTTAATAAATCTATAATCCATTTTTCTCCTAAACTTTTTTCTATAAATTCTCATCTTTTCTCATTTGAATTTCCCCACATCTCTAATGTCAAGTTGCTTTTTCCTATATTGTTCAATCTCTTGCCAGGCAAAGGGATGGGTATAGCTCAGTGATTTAAAAATATATACATATATAATATATATATTTATATTATTATAATATAACCATACATATCTATTTCATATATTATAGATAATTATATATAATATATATTAGTATAACCATATATGTCTATTACATGTATATTATATATTACTATATTATAACCATATATATCTATTACATATAATATATAATATAAACATACAATATATGATATATAATTATATATTAATATAATATATAATATATGTAATATATATGTATGGTTATATATTTTTAATATATAATATAATATATATTATATTAAATATAATATATATTATATATAATATATATTATATTTAATATAATATATATTATATATAATATAATATATATTATATTATATATAATATGATATAATATATATTATATAATATATTAAAAATATATACTTTTTTTTTGAGATGGAGTCTCACTCTGTCACCCAAGCTGGAGTGCAGTAGTGCCATCTCAGCTCACTGCAACCTCTGCCTCCCGAGTTCAAGAGATTCTCTTGCCTCAGCTTCCTGAATAGCTGGGACTACAGGCACGTGCCACCCCACCCATCTAATTTTTGTATTTTTAGTTGAGGGGAGTTTTCGCCATGTTGTCCAGGTTGGTCTTGAACTCCTGACCTCAGGTGATCCACCCCCCACCCCGCCCTCCCAAAGTGCTGGGATTACAGGTGTGAACGACCGTGCCTGGCCTATATATATATTTTTAAGTGAGACCTCTCAATTTATGACTATATGTATTGGAGGTCTCTTTCCAGAACCATATATATATACATAATATATAAATATATATTATAACCATATATAGCTATTACATAGCTATATATGGTTCTGGAATGAGACCTCTCAATTCATGATTATCCAACTGGGAGTCTTTTGGGAAAGTTACTTCACCTCTGTAAGCCTCAGGTTTTTCATCTACAAAATGGAGATAATAAGCATAACAATTTCTTAAGGTGGTTTTGGAGAATTAATGATACTTGGTAAGGAAAGTGCTTAGCACAAAGTGAGCACTAAATAAACATTAGTTATTTTATTATGACCTATTGTAAGTTTTTGTGTTTTTATTCACATTATGCAGGATCCTAATGTCTAGATATATTTCTGCCACATAATAGCCATTCAATAAATACTTATGAAGGAATTAATAGCAGTAACAGCTCAAAAGCCTAAAAGAGAGAAAGTAACAGTATATTTTGAGTTGGGGAGATGGAATTTCAGCATAACATTCTTTAATCAGCTTTTCAATCCATGATTTCTTATCTTTTTAAGAGCCAATTACTGGTTAATAGATAGAATTTTCTGAAACGGAGCACAGGAAGCTATTGTAGGGACACTGGACTGGCAATCTGGGTAGAAGATTCTTTTCCTCACTTTTTCTTGTTTACCTATTTTCTCTACTTAGAAACTTTTCTGTGTTGTGTAATTTCCATAAGGCAACTTACACATTTTTTTAAAATCTGTGAGCCTGATGGGATAATTGATTTTGAAGTCACTCCTTCTGAGTTTTAATTGCAGCTCAATTCTTAATTGTGTGACCATGTACAATTGAGCTTATGATTCAGTCTCCCCATATGTAAAATGCAGATAATAATAGATAGCAAAAGTTTTTGCTTATTGTTTTCAAAAAGAAGCCATAGTAGGGAGAGAATTTTTCAGTACCCAGAAGCTGCGACAAGAATATAGTTAAAAGCAATTCCACCTGGCCTCCTATTGTGTTTTATTTTGTTTTGTTTCTGACTGAATCATCTGCTACGGTTAAGCCCACCTCAGCAGGCTGCAGCTCCTCCCAGCTCTCTCTCCTTTCAATCTCATTTCACAAGCCTAGTAATGCTTCCATTGCCTCCTCCTGTTACCATTTTTTTGTTTCCTACAGGTTGAGATTCAGTACGTTCTAAGAGGGAGTTCAGTTTCTGCTCCATTGAAAAATAATTATGACAAAGCAGCATTTTCCAAAATATGTTTACTAATAAATGTTAGGCAAGAAAATGTTTCTATGGCCCAGGAATTTAGGGAAACACTCGTATAAATAATATTAAACAGATGTCTTTATCTTAAGACTATTTGACATTTTAAATATCAGAAGATTCTGTCGCTTTTCTGAAAAAGGGGACAGGATAAGTCACTTGCAAAATGAAAATGTTTTTTTTTGAGGCATCTGGAGAACTACTTTTATGAAAGGCACATGTTGGGAAATGTTCTGATGGAGCTAAATCCAAAGAGGATAGTAAGACAAGAGGGATGATTGGAGGGAAGAAGGGAAGGAATCGTGTGTAATCTGGTGACAAGAGCAGCACCATCAAAACCCCAGGCTTGGCTGCAAATCTCGGCTCTCTGCCACTTCCCAGCCATGTGATTGAAACTGGTCACTTTAATTCTTTTACAAGCTGTTTTCTCATCTTTAAAATGGGTATAATACTACATCTCTCAAAAGGTCATTATGAGAATTTAATTAGAAAAATCAAGCACATAGCCTAATAAGTATGCTTTCAAGACAATAAAAAACATAAACACAGAAAAATGTCTTATTTTCCTTATGTATTTTTTGCATTCCTAGCATTTGCAATGGCATCAATCATAGTAGGCACTCATTAAACTTTTGCTGAATAAATAAATGAACAAAAAAGCTTTATCAATTCACTGAATAGGTAATTAATCAAACCTTTGCAGGTTTAGCACTATGCCATATACACAAAAACTAAACAAAATATTATCATTGTAATTAAGTTGAACAGGATGCATTTTGCTACTGTTAGGCATTCGCATTGTGAGTGCTACAGTCTTTTCTTAGCCTGACATTTTTCTGCAAATGTGTTACTTCCAAAATGAGGGCAGAATTTGCATGAATAACGTTTTGGTACTAAACACTGTATTTATTAGGATGAACCATTTTTATAGGGCTTTCTAAAACACAATTATATGGACATAAAGATGGACAATACAATCTTATCTCCCTTTAGCCAAAGAGTATTGACAATGCAATTTGTGCAAAGTTTATGTGAATTCCTGTAGTTCCTCAGTCGTTTCTTGGTTTGTAGATAAATTATCATGTTGAGTAGATTCTTTGTTTTCAACTTGGCATTTTGATTTGTTTTCTTACTTGTTTACTTGACACCAAACAATTAAATTATGCCCCCCCAAAAAAACGCATAAAAATAAGCCCTTCGGTGACTGAACCTGCATACAGACTGATGCAGAAAAGGCTGAAGCTTCCCAAAGAGGATTGTTTGAATTCTCAAACAGAAGATGGTCCCAGGCAGGCAATAACTGCTTCTGTCTAGTGGGCATTAGATTTATAAAGTGAAACTGCTTTTCTCCAAGTTTAAAAGTATAACATGTAAAAGTTTGACCAGGCCTCATTGCACAAGTGGAGTGCTAATGAGAAATGGGAGGACTCACTGAAGGGAGGACACTGTTCGCATAGGAACAGTGACTCAGTGCCTCGCAGTACCCTTCCCTGATTTCTCATTATTGCTCCATCTATGCAAGACTGGGTTAAACCACTGGGTTCACTAACAGAAGCATTTCCAGTGACTCCAGAATCTTTTTAACGTCCTATGTAAAGAGTTCAGAGCAATACATGATGAACTGCACACAAACTCTTTCGGCCTTGGTAACTTTCCTGAGGAAATAGATGTCAGACCTAATCACAACTCTTTTGCCATTAAGTCTTAGGGGAAAGTTTCTCTTGAAACTATATTGGTATTTAGAAAAAGCTTTGAATCTAAATGTCATGCATCTCTCATTTAGATAGATAATTTGTGAGGGAAAATAGTCTGGATGCTATTGGCTCATTCATTCGTTCTACTAAAGGTGGAATGATATGTTAATGTCTTATCAGCCAAGTCAACCTAGAAATAAGAATGTCAACCATGTTAAATTGTAAGATTATTCAATCTTATAGATTATAATTCCCTATAGCATGCAGAGTTATTTCACAGGCTTTATCTTCTTAATTTGACAAATTTTTTAGAGACCCTACTTGCCAAGCACTGAGAATATGAAGTTGAATAAGGAATAGTCTCTAATCTCAATCAATTTTCAGACTAATGGAAAAGTCTATCATAGAAACAGTTGTTATGAGCTCTAAAATCATAGATGAAGAATAATTAATTCTCATTGCTGACCAGAGGTAAATAGAAAGAAGAGTCAAATTTGAGCTGAGAGCCCTAGAGGGATGAAAGAGAGTTTGTCAAAGCCCATTCTGAAGTGAATAACACGGTCATAAGAATGAGCCATGGGGAATATGACAAACAGCCTGGTGTGGCCAAAGGGTGGTGGTGGCAGTGGCAGAAGAGAAGCAGCCTGAGAGATGGCTAGGGCCAGAACAAGAGCCATAGGATCTCTCCTAGTACAGGTGGGCTTCAACTATCCGCGTTTTTACATGTTGCTTTGGCAAACTTGAGAGAATTGATGAATGCCTTCTATCCCTTCACCAAGATTGTATTGAATCCTCTTCCATATACCTACCAGCAGTGTTCTAGGCTCTGGGGATACAACATACTCCCTGATTTCATAGAGTTTACATTCTCTATGAAACAGATAATTAATTTAAAAAGCAATAAATAAAAATCTATATATCAAGAAATAAATACTCTGCAGAGTATTAAAGCATGGAATATTAGTCTTTTCTCACTTTGCTATAAAAAAACACCTCAGACTGGGTAAATTATAAAGAAACGAGGTTTAATTGGCTCATGGTTCTGCAGGCTGTACAGGAAGCATAGTGGCTTCTGCTTCTGGGGAGATTTCTGGAAGCTTCCAATCATGGCAGAAGGTAAAAGGAGAGCAGGCATCTTCCATGGCAGGAGCAGGAGCAAAAGAAAGAGTGAGGGGAAGGTGCTACACACTTTTAAACAACCAGATCTCACAAGAACTCATTCACGGGGAGCAGGCATCTTCCATGGCAGGAGCAGGAGCAAAAGAAAGAGTGAGGGGAAGGTGCTACACACTTTTAAACAACGAGATCTCACAAGAACTCATTCACTGTCATGATAATGGCACCAAGGAGATGGTGCTAAACTGTCCATGGGAAACCCACTCCCCTGACCCAACCACCTCCCACCAGGCCCCACCTCCAACACTGGGGATTACAATTCCACATGAGATTTTGGTGGCGAAACAGATCCAAATCATATTACATGATAATGTGATAGAAGATAAATAGGTAGTACAATTAGAAAAGATGGTCAGAAAAGGCCTCTCCAAAGAGCCTACATTTGGGCTAAGACTTGAATCCCCCCAAAAAAGAACTAAACATGCAAAGATCTGAGGGAAGAGCATTCCAGGCGGAAGTGCAAAGGTCCCGAGGACAGAACAAATTCTCTGTGTTTTAGGACTAGAAATAAAGCTGGGTGGCTGTAGTGAAGGGAGTTCTGTACATGTATCAAGTAGCTATTGTTGCATAATAAGCCATCCCACAATTTAATGGCTTAAAACAACAATGGTTTATTTAGCTAAGTATTCTTGCATGTCATTAATTTAAACCGAGTTCAGCTAGGTGGGTGTCTCATACATCTATGGACAGCTGTGGGTCATGGAGGCAACTTTGCTGATCTTAGCCAGGACCTCTAGCATTTCTGGGGTTTTCGTGGGAGCATTTGAACTGACTCAACTCTGCCCCATGTGGTCTCCCATCTTCCAGGAGGCTAGCCCGGCTTGGTGACTATGTAGGATCCCAAGGAGAGCAGAGGCTCCCAGGCTTCTTGAGGCCTAACCTGAGAACTCACACACCACCACTTCTGCCAAACTCTATCACAGAGTAAATATCAAAGGAAATCAAAGGCCAGCCCAGATTTAAAGGGAGGGGAAACAGACTCTGACTCTTGATGGAAGAATCTGAAAAGTCACATGGCAGAGGGAGTGAATGAAGTAGACGGAGCAGTGGAGTATTGTGGCCATTTTCGCACAGTCCACCATAAAATTGAAAAGATTGACCAGAGACAGATCATGGAGGGCTTGGCAATCTGTACTGATGAAGCCATGGACCAGAAGAGAAGTGAGTCAATGAAGAGAGTTTCTCTTTTCACATGGCCATAAAATAATAGTGAGGGCTATGACAGCAAAGAGGAAACAAAAGCTGTAGTGATGAGTGTTAGACAATTGATGAGCTGGGAGAGAATTTGTTGATCCAAATGCAATCTTCTCATCCTTACTGTGTTCCAGAAAGTTAATAGGAAAGCTGAAGTTCAAAAACAGTCTCCAAAATTTATTTAAAAAGCAATGAATAAAAATATATATGTCAAGAAATAATAAATACTCTGCAGAGTACTAAACCATAGTGTATTAGTATGTTCTCACATTGCTATAAGGAAATACCTGAGACTGGGTAAATTATAAAGAAAAGAGATGCTGGGCATGGCGGCTCATGCCTGTAATCCCAGCACTTTGGGAGGCCAAAGTGGGCAGATCACTTGAGGTTAGGAGTTCAAGACCAGCCTGGCCAACATGGTGAAACCCCGTCTCTACTAAAAATACAAAAATTAGCCAGGCCTGGTGGCAGGTGCCTGTAATCCCTGCTACTCGGGAGGATGAGGCAGGAGCATCACTTGAACTTGGAAGGAGGAGGTTGCAGTGAGCCAATATCATGCCACTATACTCCAGCCTGGGTGACAGAGCGAGACTCCATCAAAAGGAGAGAAGAAGAAGAAGAAGAGGAAGAGGAAGAAGAAGAAGGGGAAGGGGAAGGGGAAGAGAAAGAGGAGGAAGAGGAAGAAGAAGAAGAAAGGGAAGGGGAAGGGGAAGGGGGAGGAGGAGAGAGGTTTAATAGGCTCATAGTTTTGCAGGCTGTACAGGAAGCATAGTGGTTTCTGCTTCCGGGGAGGCCTCTGGAAGCTTCCAATCATGGCGGAAGGCAAAGGGGGAGCAGGCATCTTCCAAATCAGGAGCAGGAGCAAGAGAAAGAGCAAGGGGGGAGGTGCTAAAACACACTTTTAAACAACCATATCACATGAGAACTCACTCGCTATCATGACAATGGCACCAAGGAGTGCCATTTCCATACACGAGTCATTCCAACCACCACACTGTCCCCCTGATAAGACTTGCTGAGACATTTGCTGATACCTAATTGGCTTAGAAATGCAAAAGTACACCTCTAAAGATGAAATTTGACCCTTTCCCCCAGGCTCTGTCTGGAGGTTGGGTTGCTATCACGAGGTTAAAAAACATTGATGATAATAAACAATCATGATAATATTTTCTTATGTGGAAATTTTATTACCTGATATTTGCAACATTTAAAAGAGCTAATGAAAATAATAATATATTAATAGCCAACACTGGTTGAGAACTTGCCTTGTTCCTCTTATCTTGACCTCTGAGATGCCAAAAATAAATGTTGCCAATCCATGCATGTGCAGTTATTCAAGCTATATTTTCTTGAATTGAAATATAAGTCTTAAAACCAGTCTGTTCCCTCACAGCAGATTGATTTCCTTGAGATTAGAGAGTAGGTTTCATTTATCTTTATGTATCTAGTAGGTCATATAGCATCCTGCACCAAGTAGGCCATCAAAAAATATTCATGGAGGCAGTGGCTGACACCTGTAATCCCAGCACTTTGGGAGGCCGAGGCAGGTGGATCACGAGGTCGGGAGTTCAAGACCAGTCTGGCCAAGATGGTGAAACCCCGTCTCTACTAAAAATACAAAAATTTTTATTTTT
This sequence comes from Homo sapiens, assembly GCF_000001405.40. Lineage (NCBI taxonomy): Eukaryota > Metazoa > Chordata > Mammalia > Primates > Hominidae > Homo > Homo sapiens. The sequence goes on from NC_000020.11 coordinate 17,310,852, forward strand.
GTATTACGGGCGTGGTGGCACACACCTGTAATTCCAGCTACTCTGGATGCTGAGGCAGAGAATTGCTTAAACCTGGAGGGGCAGAGGTTGTCGTGAGCCAAGATCGCACCACTGCACTCCAGCCTGGGCTACAGAGCAAGACTCCGTCTCAAAAAAAAAAAAAAAAATCATGGAAAAAGTGAATAAATGGTCTTCCTCAGGGATAGAAAGGGTAAAAAATGTTTTTTAATTAGAAAGATCAACAACTAGAGTAGTTTGAGCCCATTAAACATAGAGCAAACCTCCTTGGACACCCTCCATTTTCATGTCTGTGTATAAATTGAACAAGATAATGAAACCTTCTGCTTATAAGAAAAAATGTTAGTTTCTATTCTGCATTGTAGTAGATTTTAAAAAGATTTCCATTGAAAACATCTACTTTTTAACATTTGGTGCTAAATTTGTAAGTTCCTGTTTCCGAAAAAAATTCACTTAAGTTGACTAATTTATTTCCTGATAAATATTACATGAATATCTCATATGAATATATTTCTTTAAAAATTTAGGCACCTATAACCTGATTCTTATCCCAATAGAAGCAATTAAGGGGCAGGTGGTGGTATCACCTTTAACTGAAGTAGTAAGCTGTTGGTCTTCCAAGGTGACCCAGCAAGCAGATGACTGAATCCAAAAGTGGGTGATTTATCATGTCATTCTGGGAGAACATGAAGAAGTTCTCAGCTTTTAGAATGTACCTTAGGCCAATTACGTGCACGTTGACAAAGATGGATGTGTCTTCATTATGTAGTTTATTATGGATAGATCAGGGCTGGGACAAGAACCTACATCTTGTGATCCTAGTACAGTACATTTTTAGGAAGCACAACCCCCATAGATGACCCTACAAGGAGCCTATACTGGAGTGAAATAGGAGGCTGTGAGTTTTACAAGACATCAAACAATGGCTGCAAACTTGATTTTATAGGTTTAGTAATATCTCCAGGGAATAATTCTCTTTCCCTTTCCCTACTTCTGTAATTGGTATATACTCTAAATGCCATTAGACCCAGCTTGCTCTAAAGATCTGTAGGGATAGTATTTCTCTCTCTCCCTCATTCAGTATGTGCCCATGTCAGGCCTAACTGAACACAGGGACCAAATAAATAGAAGATATTCCATTCAGATTTTATAGCCTGACTGCTTTACTCTGCAACCTCTATTATTGAGAATTATCTATTTTGACTGCAAACACGTCATTTCATCAAAGGTTCTTTACAAAGCAGATGACATTGAAAAGCAGCCTCACATTTTTCAGGTTTAGAGACTAGATTTTTATGGACTTGGAAACTTGGAAGTCAGCTCACCATTCTGGCATAGTCTTCCTGCCAAGCCCAAATTCTGAAATCAGTGTGGGAGCAATCAGTGGGTGACATCCATCTCAGAGTCAAAGAAACAGGGGACTTCTGATTCCTTGTAATTTCTCTAGAAGTAAATCCTCTTTTCCTTGACTGGCACTCTTCTCTTTTGAGGGCCAATAACAACCTACTCATTAAGAACCATTTAACATTTTCCAAAAATACTTCCAAAACCATTAACTCATTTGATCCATGTATCAATTCTATGAAGTCAGTAGGCCAAATATTAATATTTGTAGTGAACAAGAAAGCCAAGCACGAAGTGTTCAAAAAACTAACCCGACAACAAACTGAAACCCTGGATATTATCAGGATAACAAAAAAATCACCTGACCTGACCCCCAGTTAGGAAATTTCCCACTGTCCTATGCACTGTTCTGCACACAGTAGGAAATTTCCCAATTAGGGGCCAGGTCAGATGATTTTTTTTGTTATTCTGATAACATTCTTCTCTTCTAGACTATGAGAAGAGAGGTGCTGTAGTGGTGGAGAAGCGAGTGTGTGTGTCCCCAAGAATATTTTAGGTATGGCCACCAAGTTAGCCCTAAAGAAACTACAATTAAACTAGGAAATAGAGCAGATAAACTCTGTGTCTAGAATTCTAAACTTCTTAGATTTATATGTCCTAAACCCAAGTCTTTCCCGTCTCTTTTCAGGCTGTTCCCACAAGTACTGACATTACTTCCAAAGAGGAGAATTTGGGTCACTAATCTAGCGAAAGCATCTTCCCCTCTGAATTCACCATCAAGATGAATGCTATCCACTAGAAATATAAAGGAAGCCACATAGGTGATCTTAAATTTTCTAGTGGGCACATTTTAAAAAGGAAGACAAGGCAATTAAAATATAATTTTAATAATATATTTCACTTAACCCAACATATCCAAAATATTACCATTTCAACACATGATCAATATTCTAAACTACATTAGTGAGATAGTTACACTCTTATTTTCATTCTTAGTCTTCAAAATCCAGTGTGTATTGTCCACTCACAGCACACCTCAACTCAGACCAGCCACGTTTCCAGGGCCTCAAAGTCCACACCTGGCCAGGAGCTGACGGTCTAGCTCCTGTGAGTAAGCTAGTCCTCAGATTTTATAAAACTCTCTCTTCAGGGTTGTGCTCACCTTCCCCCTCCCACTCCTGCTGCTCCTGACCTCCATCACCAGAAGAGACCCCCAAGAGCAAATCATATTTTTGTTTCCAAGAGGGCCCACTGACAACACTAAAACCCAGGAGGAAGCAGTTGACTTAAGACCTTCGAGTGACTCACTTTGTAGGAAAAGCAGAGAAAGGCTGGCAAACAAGAAAAACATAAGCTCATTTTTCTCCCCCTCATCAACCTCATTCCCCAACCTGTTTGCATCCTGAAGAGGGCAGAGGCCTCCAAAGTTGCTTTAGAGGGCAGAGGCCTCCAAAGTTGCTTTCTGGGTCACTGCGGGGTGATTCACCCAACAATAGGCTATAATTTACAAGGTTTTTCTCTGCAAGTCAACTCTTGCTAATGGAAGGACGACATGAATGTTGAGGCTGACAGGCTGGAAGATAAGAGTAGTTGTTTGTTCCCTCAGCCCATTGAAAAATCCAGCCCCAAACCCATTTGAAGAACAGTTCCTAATAGATAATGAGACACAAATCGTGTGTACCTGATTGTAAATGAATAGCTCATATGCACAAAGCAAACTGTAAAACCTCCATTTCTCAGCCAGGATAGCACTCCATTAATGATGTGCTTTTGTTTCTTCCAAAGACTAAGTGCTCCTTTCCAGGAGAAAATAGACCTCAACCTCACCTCCCCACCCACCATGTCCCTACCCCCACCCCAAAGAGACTGCATTACCCTGAGTATTAATATACATTGCCTAACAAATAGGCAGGCAACCAAAAACTGAGCAATTTTAGCCATTTAAACCCTGTCTTGAAATAGCAACTCACTGGATAAATGGACCTACCATTTAGCAATTTTCAAGATTTCCAACCTGCTTTGATTTCCTCTCTAGGTAGTTTTTTATTTTGTGTTTCAGCGGGCATCAACTTTGCAATATCAGGAAAAACCAGAGCCAGGCTTGAAAATAATGCTGAGACATCTAGACTCAAACCCGGGACACAAGTGGGAATGAATCAAGCCGGGAGGATTTTTCCAAATCTACAGGAAGTGAAATTCTTCTGCTCCAGGCAATGTTTATCACCCATGTAGAAACCTCATTGGTTTGGCAATTGTGAGCTAACAGGGTATGGCCTGAGTTATGCTCTGAATAGCTTACAGTTACTGCCTTGGATGTGAACGATTTGGGAGGGACAAGTCTGTGCAGTGGCCTAAAGTGAGGCGTGAGTTTGTGCCTAGCTTGTCTGTGAAATTGGGTTTGTTTTTTCTGCTTTTACTACACATTAAGCCAGATGAACACAAGGACACCAGTTGTTACTTTTGAATGATTTTTAAAATTACATCTCTAGTAGGGAATATTGATTTACTTTATTGATTTTTTAAGATCCTTTCTATTTCTTTAGTGTCTGCTAGTCAGTGGCCTCAAAAATTGAATTTTCACGTGTTGTCTTTGCCACTTAACATTATCAGAAGCTTCTTGAATGTTTACTAATAGAAGTGTGACTCCTTTCATGCTTGCTGTGTCTAATGTTATTTTTGTGTTAGCAAAATTGCTCTTCAGGAATATGCTGATGGCTAACTTGCAGAAATAGAGATTTAGGATAGACATAATGAAGGACTTCCCTACAACACTGGATATTAAATGCTGAAAAAGGCTTTTCAATTCCTTCCTGAAATAAGCCAGGGCCATAAGCACTTAGCCCACTCTATCGAAGTCTCCCCGAGAAAACCCTGCGGCTTTCTCTGCGGATTCCTCCAGCCCAACACCGAGGAACCAGGGCCTGGGACTTCTGGAGTCCCTCCCAGGACTAATTCCCGCTCTGATGCCCAGCACAAATTTATCATAACTGCCTGACTCTCTCAGTGTGGTGTGGTGGTGGTGATGGTGTGTGTCTTCCTGAGTGTGTTGGTTGGGGATGTGGTGGGAGGGGTTGGCCAGAGAGTTGAATAAAGAGGAGGAAAAAAAAAAAGGAATTAGATTTTTCAGAACTGCACAACCAAAGATTTGCACACTTATTTATAGAGGTGACCCGTGAGCTTGGTTGACCCTGGATGCTTTTCTGCGCTATAAGGGAACCCGTGGGTGGCCGATCACTCTCTGGCCCTCCAGAGGGGGCCTCCCTCCTGCGCGGAAAGCGTCCCGGTGCACAGCGCCCAGCTCCCGGGTCTCTGTCGGACCTGCGACTCCCGGCGCCTTTCTGGTGCCCTCCACGCCCTCCACGGGCAGGGGCGGAGCTGAGGGGCCCACACAGCTCCCTCTGCCCCAAACGGGGCAGAGAATGAGTAGGTGCCTGCAGCCAGGGGCGCGCCCATCCTTTCGCACACAACAGGCTCCTGTTCTCTAGGCAGTGATTAAGTGAGAAAAAGAGAAGCCTGGCTTGGGGGTGAGTCTGGCGCTGGGTGAATGTGAATCGCCGACACGGTCTCCTGCAGGGCTGCGGCGTCCTGGCCCGTGGCTGTCATTCTGTCCCGGTGCTTCACCCCCGGCCGGTGTGAAGCCAGTGTGAATCCATGGCCCGCGCGGACACACCCGCCAAGCAGGCACAGGAGCAAGGGGCTCTAGCTGCGTCCACTCCCCAGGGTTAAAAATTAACTGTCCGGCCTTGCTGGCATCTCTGTTGACAACGCGATCATTCCTGCTGGGAGCGAGTGCGCCACAGAGATTAACTCTGCCTCTCCAGTCAGGCCGCCTGGGTTCCACTCCTAAGCCTTACCCTCTTTAAGGCTCGTTCTTCATAGGTCAGATGGATCTCAGTCGTCCTGACCGCATAGGGTTGCTCAGGCATAGAAGGCACTGGGCACCTGGTGTGGGCAAGTTGTGCCTGCTCAGTAAATATTAACTACCGACTCACAGGACATGCCTCTCTTTTTGCTACCCTCGCACGTTTCTTTTCTCGTTTCCTTCTCCATTGTCACTGACCCAGGGTTGGCTGATATAAGTGAAAAACACCAAGGGTGCCGTCTGTTATCTAAGTCATGCAAATGCTTTAAAATTATATGTCTGTGTATGTATGAATATATGTATCAGGCTCTGGGCACATAGAGGTGAAATATCATGTAAGCAAGCACTTGTATAATTTTCTTCAGATAACAAGCTTGAAAACACAGCCTCTACTTGTTTCCTTCCCTTCCCTGTCTCCCTTTCTCTACCAGAGCTTTCTGGACCATCTCCAAATAAACTACTTGCTCTCAAATCCCAGTGTCAGAGTCTGATTCTAAGTGAATCTAGAGTGCTGGCAACCCAGAATCCTTTTCCAGGATTCAGGATGGAATCTTACAGGAGATACACAGTCCTATAAAAAGTTAGAATAATAACGCAGCATCAATTTGTGCTTGATCATTAAGCTAATAATGCCTCCTTTCTCCACCAGCCCCATGTTTCTGATACTGTGATGTGTGATGTTGTAGTTGTGAAATGTAATATTGTGATGTGGCAGACAGATTATAAGAGTTGAATGCACCAGGAGATTTCCTGTGGCATTATAAGAGTTGAATGCACCAGGAGATTTCCCGTGACATAAGTAATTCTCAGGCCCTATGAAGTGCAGGCTTTAAAAAAATCTGGTTCAGCAGCCAAAAGTCATCAAAAATTAATGCTAGTATTTTCTCTCTCAGAGAATGCTAATGGGAACATGTTCTAAAGTCCACTTTTCTTTCCTTCCTTGTTTTCTCAGCTTTTTGAGAGTGCCACATTCTCTCTTTTTGCCCTGACATCTCCCAGCTTCCCAAACATTCTGACTCAGTCTTTTCTTCTCTCCCAACAGATGCTCCTGCTAGCTCTTAGTTAGGTAAATCAACTTAGCCTCTCTATATGCATTAATTCTCTCTCAGTTCCCAAACTCTCCCTAATAAAGAAGAACTTGAGAGTTGACTCAGCTGTCCCCCAGTATAAAGTGGTGGGCATGAGGGAGAGAAATGTGAATTACTGATACATAATTTTCCCCCTATTAAACTTTATTCCTTGGAACATCTTTGTGAATTCTGCAAATTCACAAAGATATTCATAGTCCTATATTCATTTGAATTATCCAAAGCTCCTTCCAGACCCAGTTGACCCATCTTTTCTTTCCTTTTCTCACTGGAGTGGGCATAATTTCCTGCCATTTCCCACTGTGCTGCCGCCAATTCTGGCTGTGTCCATTAGTGTCCCTCTTGACAAACTTGGATTTGAAAAATGGGCAACTAAATCTTCATTTATTAGACGTGTTTTTCTTTTACTAACAGCTGCCATCTGTTCCTCTCCACCTCAATACAACTCCCCCAATCCCTCCAGCATCCTTTTTGGACATTTTCATTCCAGTTCCTCTTTATTCATGTGCACATTCAATTGCCAGACAGTTTTTGAAAGAGTAGAAATAAGAAGTAACAGAAAATAGAAATAATAATAAAATACTACCCCCAAAATAAAAGAGACATGGGAAGAGTTTCTTTTTTCAAAAGGGAACACATAAACAACACATGAAAGGTTGGAAAATAACAAAGAAAATAATTTTTTAAAAAAAGATGTAGACGCAGGAAGGACAATTATGGAATGGCTGGAAAGATTAATAATAACCAAATAGCTTGAGGGTTGCCTGCAGCAGAGATGAAGAGAATAAATCAGAATAGAAAAAAGGTTTGCCTGATTCTATTTTACAGACAGTCTCTTAAAATGTATGTGTCATTCAAATTTGTTTTGATGTGTCAGTCATCTCCAGCATTCATCCTGGGCTTTGGATGCTACTTAGTTGCACGACTGGATGTGTTCTAAGATCTGCCATGCAGGTTATATTCTGATTTACTTGCTTACAGTGAGCTCCTATTTGGAACATAGTTCTGAATGCCAAAGAAAACCAAAGACAGAACACTTCCAGCTCAATTTCCATCTATAAAGTGGTCAAAGAAAACTCCAGTCCTTGAACTTGTGTTCTAGTCTTTTATGCACTGTTTAGAGGTTCTGCAGGGGCTTTATGCCTGCCCTCTGTGAGAGATGAAGCATGTTACCGGCTCCTGATGAATGGACATTTAAGATCCAAAATGTATTGAAGTCGAGTTGTCATCACGTTTTTCATTTGCCCAAGTCCTATATCCAAAAAAAAATGATGTTTTTCATCATTTCATATAGATGAAAAACAACATTACCAGCCCCTGTTTCAAAGGCAAAATGCATTCTGCATTGTATATGAGTTGGGTAATGTCAAGTGTCTGTGATTGCAGCGTGGGAGTTGTTTTGGTCTGTTTTATTTTGACTTAAGTCAGGAAACAATAAGTATGTTTGTCATTTTCCAAACAATATGGTCCAAAACCACTTGTGGCTGGTGTTCTTTCATCTCCACGGGGCATTCCACCCAACAATCACCATCTGCCAGGGACGCCTATGAATGTCAAAGTTCTGCTAGGTTTCTCTGAAGCCTGCTTCTGCTTTCAGCAGCTTTGAATAAGCTACAGGGCCACAATTTACTTCTATTGTCATTTCTTCAGGGAGATAGAGAGAAATACATCTGCCACTTTAGACAAGAAGCCCATGGGAAGAGTACACACACAATCAGAACAGCCAGAGCAGGATTATTCAATTCAGCTGCAATCAGAAATGGGGGAATAAGACAGAGAAGAAAAGCCCCATCTTGTTATGTGTAATGCTCATTTCTGAGCCAGTGTTTGAAGACAGATCATGCTTTGTGAGAAAAACATATTTTTTCATCAGATAGGATGTAATCAACCAAGAATTAATCATTAGTGAGCCATTAAATAATTAATTGTAAATTGTAACTAATTTCTGATTATTAAAATGACTTTTTTTTTATACCTGGGCTCCTATAATTCCCCATTTTAAATAGTTACCAAGCTACGCCCCGATAAGATAAAGACAAAAAAGTTGCAATAAGTTAGCTTTGGCTATGTAACAAACCATTAAGACATAATAGATTACCACAAAAAGTATTTATTAGTTCACTATAATCTGGGTCAGGCATTTAGGATGAGTTCCGCTAGGCGGATCTTCTGCTTGTCTTGCCTGGGGTTCCTCACGCAGAGGCAATCAGCTGATGGTGTCAGTAGGAGCCGATTGGTCTTGAACGGCCTCACTCACATTTCTGGTTTTAATGCTGGCTGCTGTCTGGGAGGTGCAAGGGATTGGGCCCTGTATATCTCCAACAGAGTAGCCCAAGATTGTTCACATGCTGGTGGTCAACAGTGTTCCAAGATGCAGCAAGACAGAACAAGCCCCAGTGCAGAAACATTTTTCAAGCATCTGCTTATAGCATGTTTACTATATTCCACTGGCAAAAGCAAGTCACTTGGCCAGGTCTAGGGCCAGTATGGGCAGGAAATCACAAGGGGGTGAACACTGGGAGGGGGGTATAAATCAAGGACGTTACTGCAACAACCTACCACAGACGTATCCTTGAAAATGCTTTTATCCGTATCACCAGACCAAAACTCTAGGGACTTTGAATCATGTAAGCATGTGCCAAAATGGATCTCAGCTATCTTCAAATCCTTCTTTGGACAACTTAAATTCAGAAAGGTGACTTTTTTGGGCCCAAAGTCACATGACTAACTCAATACTACATTAATTATGAAGGTATTGGCAAGCATCTGGAATCACTGATATAGTAGTTTCACTTAATTTTTAGGATAGGAAAATTTATTTATAAGGGGAAAATCTATCAGGACTAAAGAGTCTAGAAAATATTTTCAGAAAGAAAAGACAGAGCTCAGGTGGGCAGGTAAACAAGCAGATGTAATGAGGGAAAACCAACTGAAGCTCAAGGTGTTATGTTTTTCTTATATTATTTTCAGATTCATAAGGCAGTACTTCTCAAACTTCAATGTGCACATGAACTGCCTTTCCAGGGAGAACTGTCCTACTGCAAAAGGTGTATGCCCAGGAGACACTTAGCTCTCATCCATGTTGTTCCCAGAAATCATATAGAACTCATAGGACATACTCTGAAACCTGAATTCCTCCTCCTACAGTGCACCTTAGGGAGACTCGTTCCCTTGGTCGCAAGACACATCCTCCTGGAATCAGTGTCTTCTTTTCATAACTGCAGTTATCCACTGCAGCAGAGAAGAGCTGAATTCTCATGTCTCCCCTCCCTAGCCAGCCCACTTGATCTAAAAGTGTTCTGTACCCAGGTCAAGTTCCTCAGGCAGCACCAATGTGAAAGTGAGGAAGTGAGACAGGAAAGGGAAGAAACACCATAAAGTGTGTGTTTTCAAGGAAATTACCAGTGTGGGCAACTGGGACTCAGGCTTGCTGAGCACCTCTGGGAAACTGTGGAGAACATGACTCAGTCATCCACCCAATGGGAAGAAAGTTGGGTGTTTATCCACAAACTCCCTGTCAGAGACCGCTGGAGGGTGCTCGGGGAGGATTAGTTCTCCAGCACATCACTCTTCCTTAGGCACACAGCTAGTGAGTCAGAGAAAAGCCTTCAGGCAGAGACAGTATTTTGGGGTTTCTAAAAGCAGCTTCAAGCTTGTACAGGAGAATGCAGAAGGAATATGGGAAAGGCTAGAGTCCTTCTGCCTTAACCATCGCCGGAGTACTAACTAGAAAGTCAGGACTAGCTTAAATGTATAATGGTTGTGACTAAAACCAAGGCAAGCACATGAAAAGCAACACATTAGTAAAACAAGCAAAATGTTAGGCATCAAACAGCCCTGTCGGTTATTTCTGCCTTTTCCCCCTTCTGTTGACTGGTTGGGTTATGTTGTTGTTGTTATGCCAACCAATAATGTCTCAGCTGCCTTAAATAAAGTATTTGTTTTCAACATTATTCACCCAAGTTACTCAACAGGAAAGCAAAGATTTTTTCCTTGCTTTCCATTAGGAAGCAATATTAGTTAGATCTGGATTTCATTCTGTCCCTGTCGTCTCTCAAAACTGTGACCTTGGCCAAGTTATCCTCCCTCAACTTCAGTTTCCTTATCTGTTAAAAGACAATAGCAATTCTGACCACATAGGATTGCAGTGACAGAAGTATGTAAGCAGCCCATCCATGAAAGGCACACAAATGTTGTCCTCCTTCTTCCCCACTCTCCAATACTCTCCTCACTGCTGAGGATTAAATTCAATTCTACTTAATCAATTTATGTTGAAGTTTTACTGTGTGTAGACTCTGTCTTGGATTACATAGCAAGTATAGAGCTAATAATCCTTTCTTTCTAATAGCTTTCCATTTTGGGGAAAGACAGGCATATAAAGCTCTAACAAAATCAGGTAATGATAAGTACTTCTTTCAATGTGAAGAGCATCATGCTCTGATCCTACAGGGAGAAACAAATTATCCTCTATTTTCTTGTAATTTACATAACAGTAGTTGATTCCATAATTCACTCTCAACTGCTAGAGTCTGCAAGATTCCCACCAACTGCCATCTTCAGCAGAATTGTATTACACATGAAAAAACCTTTGACTAACCTCTAATTGATTCCGACATTCCAAGAACTATTAAAAAGAGTTGAAAATAATCTAGAAACTGCTGACTTGTATCAGGCATAGATTTATTCAGACAAAACAGAGAGACAGAAGGATTTTGAAGTGAGATGGTTTTGTCAATTGGGCATAACAAAGGAAGAAAAATAAAAATTATCGTTCATGCTTTGAAAATCTCTCTTGTGATGTACCTCTCTGCTACAGTACCTGGCATTTAGAGGTGTTTAACCAATGTTAGGGAAGAAAACTAACACTGGTTAAACACCTCTAAATGCCAAGTACTATAACAGAGTACTCATTGATCATTTTATTCAATCTTATCTACTCTTCAAAGCCCACAAAAGAAACCTGTTGATCAAGCAAAGCTTATCACACTTCCTGCAATAAGAGAGAACATTGTCTTAATGGAGAATGGTTTTAGGGCCTGAGCTGGGTGATTTCGAAGTTGGTCTTGCAAGGCAGGGCACTTGTTGGGACTGGAAAAGTTTATGAAAAGTTTCTTTGGGTTGGTAAGCATATGGAGGTAAGGGTCTTGAAAGGAGTATTGATGAGTAAGTCATCAATCTTGATAAGTAAGCTGTTTCATTGGTGTTATGGGATAAACTGTGCCCCTCTAAAATTCATAGGTTGAAGGCCCAACCCCCCTTCCTCAGAATGAGACTGTATTTGGAGATAGGCCTTCAAGGGGGTAATTAAGGTTAAACAATGTCATATGGTTGAGCCCTAATCCAATATGACTTATGTCTTAGTTCATTTGTGCTGCTATAACAAAATGCCATTGACTGAATAATTTATGAAGAACAGAAATTTATTTCTCACAGTTCTGGAGGCTGGTAGGTCTAAGATCAAGGCCAAGGCCAGCAGTTATGGGGTCTGTCAGGAGCCCAGTCTCTCCTTCCAAGATGGCACCTTGTTGCTGCATCTACCACAGGGAAGGAACACTGTGTCCTCACATGGTAGAAGTGATGGAAGGACAAGAAAGGTGAACTCTCTCTGATGCTTCTTTTATAAGGGCATTAATTTATTCATGGAAGTGGCACCTTCATGACTTAATCACTTTCCAAAAGGCCCCAGTTCTTTTTTGTTTTGTTTTGTTTTGTTTTTCTTGAGATGGAGTTCACTCTGTCACCCAGGCTGGAGTCCAATGGCGTGATCTCGGCTTACTACAATCTCCACCTCCTGGGTTCAAGTGATTCTCCTGCCTCACTCTCCCAGAGTAGCTGGGATTACAGGTGCATGCCACCACGCCTGGCTAATTTTTGTATTATTAGTAGAGATGGGGTTTCACTATGTTGGCCAGGCTGGTGTCAAACTCCTAACCTTAGGTGATCCGCCCACCTCAGCCTTCCAAAATGCTGGGATTACAGGCGTGAGTCACCGCACCCAGCCAAGGCCCCACTTCTTAATACCACCATAATGGGAAGTAAGTTACAACACATGAATTCTGAGGGACATTCAGACCATAGCAAATAGTGTCCTTATAAGAAGAGGAGATTAGGACACAGACGCACACAGAGGGATGACCATGTGAGGAAACACAGGGAGAAGACAGCCATCTGCAAGCCAAGGAGAGGTGCCTCAGAGGAAACAAAACATGCCAACACCTTGATCTCGGACTTCCAGCCTCCAGAACTGTGGGCAAATAAATTTCTGTTATTTATAGCCACCTGTTCTCACAGCCCTAGCAAACTAATATAATCGGTTCACAGTCATCTTTTTGGTACTTCCAGAAACAGGAGATTAAGTAACATACCCAAGATTACAAAGCTATTAATGTGGAGCCAGGGTTCTAACTTCAGTCTACTGAACTACAAAACCAAGTTCTGCATATTTTAAACTTTCCTCTGAAGCAGAAACAAATTATAAATAGGGACTAAATAGAAAGTAACTAAAGCTTTGTTATATGTTTCTTCAATTGCTCAGTTTTCCATGGGCAGCACAGGGCACTCATTGCTGTTTCTTTTCTACAGCCTCCAGCCTAGGACAGCATTTTTGTTTATAAGATATAAAAGCCAGCCAGTGTTTTATCCAGGTGAGCTGACACTCTTGTGTCCCACCCACTGTCCTCAGGCCTGACCATTTCTGGGAGCAGAGATTCTGTGATTTCCAACTGCCAATACCTGCAACTCTTCATCTTAGGCAGTTCCCACTTGGCCCTGGTTCAGGGCAGATTGGAAGTTCTGAGTAGTGAATGCTCCCCACCAGAGAAGCCCTCAACCAATGATTGATGGGAGTTGGTGGACAAATACCCCAGTTCCCTCCTCCCTCACGTGGGATGACTCTGAGACATGTTTTCTGTACTATTCCCAGAATTCCCCAATGGGATTGACACCTAGTTGTGGACAGTAGTAACAAGCCTGATAACATACCTTGTATTGGCTGCCTTTTCTCCCCATTGTTGCTTTTTGGGATTGCCTCCTAGATAAACTATACTCAAGTCTTTGTCTTGGGGTCTTCTGGAGAAGCTCAAATGATACCAGGCTATAACCACTGGCTCCAATCTGACAGTCACCTCCCATCTCCAACACCTCTGTATGGATCTCTAGGTTTCTTAAGCAAGAGGCCACTTTCTTTAACATGACCTGGAAGAGCTGGCATGATCTGGCACCTACCTACCTATTCTTATCAGGGTTCTTAGGTTTAACAACAGAAGTAGAATCTGGGTAACTAATGCAGAAAATGAATTTATTACAAGGGCATCTCTCACAGAATCAGATTAGCAAGATGGGAACCAGGCTGATTTAGAGACGAGTAACCAAGGCCCTACCATAAGAACCATCGACTTAGGACACTCCTGCAGACCCTAGCCCACCTTGGTCCTGATCACCCTCTTCCTGCTGCCAGATTCCACAACCCAGATACTCCCCCTACTGCTGAATGTTCAGCTATCAGTAGCCCCCATGGAACTCTCTAACCAGTATGTACCCTCCTGGCCCTCCCGAAAGACTTACAGCCTGAGAAGGAGCTGTGGGCTTGATATGCTTAAAAAGCATGCTCCCACAGTGCATGGAGAAAGGTCTCTTCCCCTACTTCAGCATCTGCAGAAGGAAATGGGGATGTCCCAAATAATCAGGGTGCTCAAATACTGGGTTGCCAGAAGACAGACCCCCTACTGCCTCACAGCCCCCTCCTCATCCTGAAGTCCAGCCCTACCAGGCTTTGTGCAGTGTCGCGAGGCCACCATGCTTCTCCTTGCCACACAGTGTGCATAGAAGGCTCCCCTCTTCTGCCCAGTCAAACTCCTCTTGGCTGCAGAATTCAGGTCAGCCTTCCTCGTGGAAGATTTCCTGAGACCACAAACATGTCAGATCCCCCACAAATGCATGCACAACAGCTTTCCTTTGAGAAATTCATCTCCCTTGTAATTGCATGTCATTTGCCTCCCTCCCAAGAAGTCAGCTCCCTGTGGGTCCAGGCTGTCTCCACTTTTACTCACCCTGTGTGCTCAGCACCAAGCAGAAGGTCCAGCACATATTAGGTACCAAATAAATAGCTGTTGAAGAGATGAATAAGTGAATGAACACATTTATAAGCAGCTCAATTTTGGTTTTTCACAAATCACTACACAGTTTGTAAATAGCAAAAGACATTGTCCTTTTGGCTTAGAGGTGAGGCAGCTCATATTTTCAATGAGAAAGATGTTCTCTCATGACAGACACTAAAATAACCCAATGGGGCGTGTGATCACCTTGATTACATGTTCCCAAAGAAATACTTTTTTAATACCAAATATTTTTCAAAGTTTTTATAAAGCCTTCCATCTACTCAATGGTAGGTCATATCTCAATTAACTATTGCTACGTAACAAATGTAACAAGTGTCTCCAAAGCTCAGAGGATAAAAACAACAATCATTGGTTATTGTCCATTCATCTAGACGTGGGCTGGGGTAAACTGTTCTAGATGAGGCTCAGCAGAAAGCGACAATGCTCCACGTGCCTCTCATCTTTCTTAACTACTAATGGGCTATCCCAGGCATGTTCTTCTCAAGCCACCAGTGGGCTAGCCCAGGCATGTTATTCTCAAGCCACCAGTGGGATGGCCCAGGCATGTTCTTTTCAAGCCATTAGTGGTATAGCCCAGGCATGTTCTTCTCAAGCCACCAGTGGGCTAACCCAGGTATATTCTTCTCAAGCCACCAGTGGGCTAGCCCAAGTATGTTTTTCTCAAGCCACCAGGGGCCTAGCCCAGGCATATTCCTCTCGCTGCAATGACAGAAGCAAAAGAGGTCAAGTGGAATCACAGGAGTCCTCTTAAGGCCTAAGCTTAGTCATGGCCCACTATCTCTTCTGCCCCCATGCCATTAGCCAACACAACTCAACATGATCAAGTCCAAAGTCAAGAGTAGGTTAGTACCTCCACCCACAATGGGTACAGCAAAGGATGAAAATTCAAAGCCAACGAGCAATCTACCTCAATATTAGAGGTCAGGTGAATGATAAGAAGCATTTAGAGAAGCAAACAGCCAAATGGCAATCAAGCCCTCCATCAGCGTGTATGTTGTATGCCTTTGAAAAGCTGTCAGAGACAGTACTTGTCAAAACTGTCAAAGTCATCAAAAGCAAGAAAAGTCTGAAAATTGTCACAGCCAAGAAGAACCTAAGGAACTATGATGAATAAAAGTAATATGGAATCCTAGATGAGATTATAGGTCAGAAATAAGACATTAGTTAAAAACTAATTAAATCTGAATAACATATGGGCTTTAATAATAATATATCAACATCGTGTCATTAGTTGTGAGAAATGTACCATACTAATGGCAGATGTTAATAACAGGGGAAATTGGGTAAGGAGTATATGGCGACTCTGTGCTTTCAACATTTTTATAAATCTGAAACTATTCCAAAATAAAAATAAAATGGTTTTAACAAACACAGCAGTCAGAGATGGAATGTGGTTTATGACAGCAAGAATTATTGCTTGTCTAGACTCAACAAGTTCTTAACCTTATTACAGTCTTACAAATGACGGATTTGTTATCTAGGGAAGAAAAAGCCCTCTTCTGGGACTCTGAGACAAAGGATTTATTTGTACCCACCTGAGACGTGCTCAGAGAGGGACTGGAGGTGCATGGAGAGGGCTCCTGTCAGAATCTTCAATCCGGGGGAGGCCAGCTGCCTGGGATGTGGGGCTGCCTGCCCTCAGTCCCTATGCAGCCTCCCTTTGGGCTCCTTCCAGCCTCACTCCACTGTGATCTTACTCTTCTCAGTATATCTGTAGTCTTCTCATCCTCCCCCTTCTTCTGTCTCCTCATCTGTGTGAAAAGACTGGATGAATTCTAGACCCAACTCCAAGCTTCTATACGTTTGCAGTAACACAATGTAAACAGGCTAACTTAAAAGTCCACAGCTACAAGATCATTTATTTTTCAAAATCTAATTGAAGTCACAGCTCCTTTCAAAGAAAGCACTGTTCACCTCAAAGAAGGTATCCTGAGACCACGAACAGATCAGATCCCCGACAAATGCATGCACAACAGCTTTCCTTTGAGAAATCCATCTCCCTTGTAAATGCTGTGTCAATCACATTCCTCCCAAGAAGTCTGCTCCCGGTGGGTCGGGGCTATGTCAACTTTGGCTCACCCCTAAGTCCTCAGGACACAGGACATAAGCAGATGCATTTTCCGAGGGCGCCCGGCCTAACTGTAAGTCTCGTGAAGGCAGGGGCCAACATGAATACATCCTGTATCCTCCAAAGATTTAGCAAAATGCTAGGTCCTGTGCCCTACCCCGACCCCCACCCGTAAATACCAAGGAAGGAAGACGCCCTCTGCCCCTTCCCCTCTCCTCCCTGGGGCAGAGCGGCGCCCGGACCTGCTCGCTGCCATGGCAACGCGGCGCTCCCTCCCATAGACAGTGCACCCTCCACGAAGTCACCGAGCAGCTGCTACCGCTGTGTCTCCGCCAGTGCCATTTCTGCTTCCTCGAATTTTAAATTGGCCAGAATAATACAACAAATTAAGGTATTTGCTGGTTTCTATTACCATTTTTTGGTAAATCACTTTTTCCCTATTAATGCATGGGAAAGAGATTGCCAGCAAACACACCATTAATTTCACTGAGAAAAAGCTTTAAATGCTCAGTCATGTTTTTCTAATACAATTCAGTGCTTCCAAATTTATTTACTGCTGCCTCAAAAACACCAAGTAAATCATGCTTTTATACACGCACGCGATGCCCATGTTGAGAAGAAATTTGCTAAGCGGCTGTGTTTGTTGAATCCTGAGCCTGCCTCTGCACCTAGAACAATCCCACCATGAAATGAAATGAATGCTTGCAAAGATTTCTTACTTCCTCCTTTAAAGAGTGGTAGGAAAATGAACAAAGAGGATAAAAGGAAGCAAGCTCATCATGCATTCACCAACGTTAAATTTCCAAACGGTAGTTACAAAGCATTTTTAAATTTAAGTTTCATTAAAGATTTGGAAATATATTGCTTTTTTTCTCTGACTTCTCCCAGAAAAGTTTTTGGGATTTGGGAATTTTATGTGTAGGTTTTCCACAATGGAGTTTCCTTCCCATGTATGTGTGTGTGTATTTTAATATATATATAATTATATGTTACACATACCATATGCAATATATAAATATTACCTAACATATATTACATAATTATATATTATGCAATTATATATATTATAAAATTATACATAATTTTATATATTGTAGAATTACATATAATTATAGAATTATATGCAATTTTATATATATTAAAATACATAGACAAACATAATTTAGTACATATTTATTAGCAGTGGGGATATTTGTAATGCAGATAATTACCTGCAGCTTTAAATGACAGTTTTACTGATACACTGTATGTTTGGTGAGAAAGGGTGCTATGTATGGTAAACGGAAGAGGAGAGGAGGACACAAGTTCAAAGTCGAAAAAGGTTTTGGAGATTATCTTCCAATCTAATGCCCTATTTTACTTGCCTAGAAGATGAGGACCAGAGGAAAAACTGACTTGGCTAACAACACACAGTCAACTTGTGGCTGAGCTGTGAGTTAAATGATGAAACTGAAGCAAAATCACTTGGATTTCTGCATGGGAGTTGTCGACAGTCATGAAATTACACTCAAAGACTCCAGTGCATTCAACTAAATGTCAATTAGTATCTAAACTTTGCCAGAACACAGCAAACAGCAGAGCTAAGACATCCTGTGGGTGATCTTCCCTCCCTGCAGCCTGGCTTGATGAATTAGAGTTCTTTGGTTTTCAGAACGTGGTTGCTATTTTCTTCTCCAGCTCCATTAGCAGGTTGGGAATGGCACACTAGCTTTTTAATTAAAAATAATAATAATTAAAATACCAAACACAGTGTTGACTAAAAACAAACCATTATTCTTCCTTAATCACTTAGGCTTAGTAATTTCTCTTTGTATTTGGCAAAACTTCAAAAGGAGTAAATCAATGTTAAATCCAAAATTTAATGACTCGAGGGTTTTTGGAGAAAAAGAAACCTAGCAGTACATCACAATAAGGCAGGAGCCAGAATAAGTCTGGGCTGTTTTACAAGATGCTGTGTTCTACCACTAAAAAGAGGGTTATCATAAATATTATTAGTTATATATGAGCTAACCCCAAAACATCTTGATTGCCTTACAAGTCACCTTTTATTTTTAAACTTATGAAAATGTTCCCAATTATTCAGAAGCAAGATCATTTTATATAGAGTTCTACTGTTAAAAACAAACACATTCTGTTTTATTACTGCAAACCCTACATGTTTCTCCACAAGCTTTGTCTAATATTTAAACTGAAAGACTTATTACACGTATTGAAGTGCATATAATGTTCCAAAATAGACGGTCACCAAGTTTAAAAACTTCGCTCTCTCAGCTAACACGTGCATATCTTTAACAATTGACAAATTACATATGCAGGATTGTTACACAAAATGAAAATTAAAAAAGAAAAACAATTGACAAAGCGAAGCATATTTGCATGTATTAACTCATTTGTTTTGATCTTGTCCTATATTCCTAAAAGTCACAGAAGATAATCTGTTACGTAAATATATGGTCAGTGTGGAAAATTCAAGAAGTATATGAAGGAAAAACAGAAATCTCCCTCTATATCGAGCCCCTCTTTCATCTCCACACCCCGGAGGTAATCATTATTATCATTAGTTTGGTATCTATCTTTTTATAACAGAACTGGCCAATAGAAATGTAATGTGAGCCACAACTGTGTACATAATATGAAGTAGCCACATTTCTATAATAAAAGCAAAGGAAATGAGAGAAATTAAATAATAATATATTTATGTAACATAGTATATCCAAAATATTATCATTTCAACATGTTATCAGTACAAAATTATAATGAGATATTTTACATTGTTTTCTTGTACTAAGTCTTCAAACACCAGTGTGTGTTTCACACTTAGAGCACAAATCAATTCAGACTGCCAAGTTTCAAGTACTCAGTAGCCACACAGGGCAGTGACTACCTATGGGACAATACAGCTCTAGACCTTCCTTTCTATGTGAGAGAGAGACTGTGAGATAGTATATCAACTAAGAATTCTTGGCCGGGCACAGTGGCTCACACCTGTAATCCCAGCACTTTGGGAGGCCGAGGCGGGAGTATTAAGAGGTCAGGAGTTCGAGACCAGCCTGACCAACATGGCGAAACCCCGTCTCTACTAAAAATAAAAAAAAATTAGTTGGGCATGGTGGCGCGTGTCTTTAATCCCAGCTACTCAGGAGGCTGAGGCAGGAGAATCCCTTGAACCAGGGAGGCAGATGTTGCAGAATCAGGGAGGCAGAGGTTGCAGTGAGCCAAGATCGCACCACTGCACTCCAGCCTGGGCGACAGAGTGAGACTTCATCTCAAATAAAAATACATAAATTAAAATAAAATAAAATAAAATAAAGAATTATTTTGCTGCCAAGAACAGAAGTAATAATCACTGAAATAATAAAGGCTTCAATCAGCCAATGTAACAGGAAGTCTACAGGTGGCCAGGTCTGAGGCTGGACCAGCAGCTAACAATCCAGGCCTCAGGATGCTCTCTGCAATTGTCTCAACCATCCCCTGTGGTTGTAAGATGGTTACTGCGGGTCCAGAGAGCACATCTTCCTACTCCAGCTTCCAAAGGCAGGAAGCAGAAGCATAGCTGAGAAAATGAGAAAGAGCTCTTTCTTCACTCATGAAGGGGAAAAAAATCTTTGTCAGATGCCCCCTTTATATCTTTTGCTCAGAACAGATCACATGGCCTTCCCAGGTTACAAGGGAAGCTGGGTAAGCAGCTGTCTGGCTCTTTTAGTCTCCACAGTGAGAATCAGTCATAGGAGATGGGGATTGAAAATGTTTAAAAGGTAAGCACCCAAAGAACTGACATGGATAGATCTAAAGGTAGCGCTCCTGACTCAAACAGCGTTCCTACTTCAGAGCTGGATGGACTCTTCCAGCCCACTCCTTGTGGGCTGTGCTGATCACACTTCCTTCATAAAGTATGTAAAAGAATGTTTCAGCACATCTGCAGCACGTTGGACATTATTAGATTCTCAAATAACCCCGTACAGTTTACACTTTCATGAGTGTCACCTTCATTTTACCCAGAAGTTAAATAACTTTCTGAGGTCACAGCCAAGAAGAACCTGAGTCATGAACCATCTATTAAACCCAGGCCTTCTGTCTACAAACTCACTGCTTTTTCCATTCTCAGCTGCAATCCACCTGACAAGTAAAGAATACTTCATGAAAATTGAAAGTATAATTAAAGAATCTCAAGTTGAATTTTATGACAAGTTTGAAAACCCAATGTAAGACCCTTCCCAGGATAAGCTCTGGCATTTATAAAAATCCAAACAGCCAGTCTGTGACTGACCACCAGAAAAACAGATCTTGGGGCACTTAAATGATCTCTCTACTGTGAACCACTCAGAATTGCTTTTATTATTGGAGAGAAGGTAAAAATAATGACAGCAATGGTGGTTCATAATCTTCAAAGTATTTTTATGCCCATCATCTCGTGTGATTAAAAAAAAAAAAACCTCTGAGGTTGGCAGAAGTGTGCAACCTTATTTGATAAATGGTAACTAAGACTCAGAAAAGTAAAGTAATTGGGTCAAAATCAAACCTGTAGGCTAGGACCCTGGTCTTGGATGCTAGGAACTATGAGAAAGATGGATATCAGAAGTCATTAGAAGCTCTTCTATTATCAAAACTTTCTCAGTGGTCTAGGCACTGGTTATAATAATAATTATAGTTCACACTTACAGAGCATTTATTACATGCTAAGCACTGTTCTGAACCCTTTACATTTGTTAACTTATTTAATTTCACGAGAATCCTATAAAATTGTGCATCAGTGCTATGTCTTCATAACAAACTAACGAAACTTGCAGGTGTTCACAGCAATATAGACAGTTACTTCTCATTAACAGCTACTAAATGACTGGTTGAGGTTTGGCTGATCTAGGGTGGACTCAGCTTGGGATGGCTTTGAGCCCAAGGGTTGCGTTAAAGTTTACTTCTGATTCATACAAATAATACCTTGCTTGTAAATTTCACACTCAATGGACCTCACACACAAATACTATTTTCTTAGTCCTCCTGAGTGGGAGTTGGAGTGTCTTGGTGGAAATGGGAGGATTCTGACAAGTAGAGAAATGCCCTGATAGCCACCTCTATCAAAAAGCCAAGTGGAGTTGAAAATAGGGCACTGGATTTGATAAGAAAGAGATCACTGATGAAGCTGTCACCTGAAATCTGGGAGGGACACCATCAAGCACAGCTTTCTCTAGGGCAACAGTTCTCAAATTGTGTCCCCTGAACCAGCAGCACCAGTGTCACTTGGGAATTGGTTAGGATTTTCTAAGACCCTGCTCCAGACTTACGGAATCACAAACTCTGAGAGTGGGGCCCAGCAATTTTTGTTTTAATAAGCTTTCCTGAGGATTCTGATGCTGCTTCTAAATGTGAGCACCACTGCTCTAGAAGAACACCAAGAAACTGAGCTGTGCACAGCATTCACCATTGCTGACCTGCTAGAAGGTTGATGGTTTTCACCGTAGCATTTGTAATCTTGGTTGTATGCACCCTGCCTTTATTTTACTATATATGCAATATAGTCTTTGAAGTCCCTGTCCTACCAAGAGAATCCTACCTTATTTTGGGCTTTGGCTGCTCTAAAAATGAAAAGTTTTGAAAAGCACAAGTCACCCTAAATTGGATCCTGGGTTGTTTTTTGATGGGGGCATAAAGAACATCATTGGGACAATTGATCAAATTTGAATAAGGTATAGATTAGATAATAGTATTGTATCAATGTTAATTTCCCAATGTTCACAACTGAACTGTGGCTATGTAAGAGAAAGTGACTGTTTCTAGGAAACACATACTGAAGTTTTTTAACTTCAGAGAGCATACTGTTTGCAACTTTCAAACAGTTCAGAAAAAAATGATTTTGCATATGTCGTATGTGTAGAAAAAGAATGATAAAGCAAATGTGGTAAAATGTTATATTTAGAAAATCTGAATGAAGAGTATGTAGGAATTCTAAATACTCTTTTCCCAATTTTTGTATTATTTCCAAATTAAAAGTTTACAAAGAAAAAGCAAGTAGATCCACCATGACTTGTGCTCCAAATGTATGCAACTGATTTTGCAGAATCTCATGCTTCATGCTCTATCCTGTTTTGGAGCATAACTTTCCTCCCTCCAAAGGAAACAAGAGACACCTATGGAAATGCTGATGGAGCGAGGGTGGTCACCAGGCATGGAGCAGCACAGGAACACAAGCTTCTTGAGGCCTCCCAACTTGATAATCTTCACAGCTGGAAATGTCCCCCTTCCTTCAGAATTTCTCTGACATTATTGTCTGTCCTGGGATATTATTGCTCATTTGTTAGTACTAAGAAGTAGTTTAAGAGAGCAGTCTCTGGGGCCACTTCATGTATTTATGGCTTCAAACAGCCAGGGTTCAAATTCTGCCTCATCCACTTTCTACCTGTGTGACCTCAGGCAAGCCCCTGTGTCCTCATCTGTAAAATAGGGATGATAATAGTAACAAGGATTAAATAAGTGTAAAGGGCTAAGAACCGTGCTAGCACATGGAAGTTATTCAGTAAGTCTTCACTGTGCTATTATTTCCATACATTTCTTCCTTCTAAGTCACTGCATATATATATATATATATATATATATGGCTTCAAATCTAGATAGTTGTGTATTCATAGTATGTTCACAACATGTTCAATTCATCTGGCCCATTCTCTCACTTCACACCTGAAGAAGCAGAGACCCAGAAAGGTTAAATAACTTGCCCAAGTAACACAGCTTGTCAGTGTTACTTACCAGCTCAAGTCACTTGTGCCTGGAATCATTTCTCCCAGCATACTCTCCAGATTGGGGATCTGAAAGAGCAGTGGAGTGGGCAATCTACTTTTCCAGAGAAGGTCTTTATATAGAAAACAGTTTTGCCTGGAGGGAGCCAGAAACCTCCTGATGTAGGAATAACGCCTCTCACTAGAGTCATCAGAGTCACTGGAATGAGAAATTACCGGGTACCACAGGCACACTGAATTGTAATTTATTTTTCAAATGTGTGGTAAGTTGAGGACACTGGAAATGAGCATGGTACAATGAGAATCAGAAAACAGTGGGTTAAAATTTACCAATTAACTTGGGTATGCCACATAATTCCCACAAGCCGCATTCTCTGCATCCACAAAGTGCAGTTAGTGGTGCTTCTCTCTCAGTGTGGTGACAGCGATCAGAGCGGATTCTTACGGGGGGGCAATGAGTCCAGGGCCACGGATGGCCAAAAAATGTTCTTTGCTTCAAAAAAGGTGATGGCTGACTTTGGGGCAGAGAAACTGGTGGTAAAGTTAAGGCTGGGGAGGGCCAATAGGAAGGGGCCATGAGGGGTGGAGAACAACACCTGGAAGAAAATGTTCCTGCTCTGAGAGAAGTAGAAGACCTGGAACCACAGGACCAGTACTTCTCACCCACACATCTATTGTATGGGCCTGGGATGGAAATCTGCGCCACCAACTGAATCTTCAAGCAAGCACATAAAATAGTGGTATTTCATTTCTAATTACACATTCTGTCAGTCATGTTGGGTTTCCCCTGCAATTAACTGGCTCTTTACAAACGCATTAGCATATACAGCCAAAGGCATTGGTTTCAGACTGAGGCAAATCTGGTGTAAAACCGGCAACTCAGAAATTGTGTGACTTTGGGCAAGTTACTCAGAGTTTATGAAGTTCAATTTCTTCATTCGTAGAATGGTGGACAATTATTCAGTTACTATTGCTGTGTAGCAAATTACCCCAGAGCCTAGAGAAGAAAGGAAACCACAGTTTTTTGGCTCACTATTTTGTGGTTCAGGAATTTGGGAAGGGCTTGCGGTTCCCACTTGGGATGCCATATACTTGCAGTCAGACGGCAGCGGAGATTGGGGGGGTTGTCTGAAGACTCAACAGGGCTGGATGTCCAAGATGTCCCATCACATGGCTACAGGCTGGGAGCCCAGCTGAGGATCAACCATAGGACCAAAGCTCAGCCTCTCCAGGACCATAGCCTCAGGGGGCTCAGACTTCTTTACAGGCTGACTGGCTTGCCCTAGGCCAAAACACAAGATGTCCTTTTCTGACGTATTCTTGTAAGTCAGACAGCATCACAGCATCACTTTGTGTGTGTGTGTGTGTGTGTGTGTGTGTGTGTGTTCCTTGTCTAGTTTTTATTTGTTTGCTTGTGGGCTCTTTTATTTATTTCAGTAGGTTTTGGGGAAACAGGTGGTGTTTGTTTACATGAAGAAGTTCTTTAATGGTGATTTCTGAGATTTGGCACACCCATCACCCGAGCATTGTACACTGTCCCCAGTGTGTAGTCTTTTATCCCTTGCCCCCTCCCATCCTTCCCCCTAAGTCCCCCAAAGTCCATTGTATCATTTGTATGCCTTTGTGTCCTCATAGCTTAGCTCCCACTTATAAGTGAGAACATACGATGTTTGATGTTCCATTCCTGAGTTGCTTTACTTAGAATAATGGTCTCCAGTCCCATCTGGATTGCTGCAAATGCCATTATTTTTTTCCTTTTTCTGGCTGAGTAGTAGTCCATGGTGTGTGTGTGTGTGTGTGTGTGTGTGTGTGTGTGTATCATATTTTCTTTATCCACACATTGATTGATGGGCATTTGGGCTGGTTCCATATTTTTGCAATTTTGAATTGTGTGGCTCATCACAGCATCACCTATTTCATGATAAATCAGTGGTTGAATCAGTCACATGCTCATCCAGGTCAAAGAGAGGAACACAGGTTCTACCTCTTGATGAGAAGAATATCAAAGAACTTACAGATATGTTTTAACACTGTCACAATTGTAATACCACTTTATAATATTGTTGAAAGAATTAGATATATAATCATTGTAAAGTATTTTGCATTTGGTGCTATTGTTAAGATTTTTATATTTGCATATAGCAGGGAAACAGGTTGCTGCCTCTGAGCTGGAAAGATGCAGGTTTTAAGAGACAAACACAGGTATACACCATCCTTTCTTTAAGCCACAGCTTTATAAAAACCTAGTCACTCAAACCCAGGCTAGCAACTAGTTGAATGCCATTGATTTCTTAGAGGAATTAACCAAATACCTTCTCTGGGTCCCTAAGATGCATTGATCTCCTGCTTTCCTCCCCAGCACTGTGCGAATGTCACTGAATGATGGGAGGCTGTTTAAATGGGTAGAAATATTGATTTTCTTTTCTACCTTTTTGAAAGTTCTTTGCTTACCAGGTGCTGAGCAAACATCAGGCAAACGGCAGTCCACATAGAAATAGATGATGTGAGGAGCAACAATGGCAGTTCTGGCTTCTGAATGTGAAGCTGGTTAAGCAGCAGGTGCCCCCACTACACACTGTGGTTTTAGATTCAAAAACTACACATCATTGTTCACACTTCGTCATTTGCTAATTGATAATACAGCTCGCCCCTGTGGCACTAAGTAGCATAGTGGAAAATATTTCCAACCAATCCATGGAAACAGCTCCATCCGTGTCTGAAGAGGGTCGACTGAAAGCTGAGATGAACTGAGGGCCAGTGACGGGGTAATGAGGTGCATTTCGGAGGCTGGGGTCTGCATCCTAGGTGTCCATGTGCAAAATTGGTTATACCCTTGGAAATGACAACAATGTTCTGTCTTAGTCTGTGTCAGAGATGACAGATAAACACAGGTTAAGAAATTTCTGGGTTTCTTTGATATAGAGGACATCCAAGAAACCATGCATCAACATTAGGTTGCTATTGACACCCAAGGAAACTGATGTGTGGTTAACTTCTCCGAAAGAAAAAGCCAGGGGTTCCCTCAGGGAGCCAAAGGGCAGCAGATTGGAAATCACTCGCAATTCACACCATTGGAAGGAAACCAATGATGGAGGATGGAGAAGAGCCCTGTTTCCAATATGTGCTTCCTAAAGGATACAGTCCCAGAGAACTTGCCTCAAAGAACAACAAAGGAGAATCCCCAGAGAGTGACACTTTTTCATGATTTTGTCAGATACTCTGAATTTAAGTAGATTACTGCTTTCAACAGAATATGACGAAAACCACAGTGGGGCATTCTTGGGCTTGCTTTTCAGTTTTTGCGATGTTCTTAGGGAAAAGGTCTTACTGGGTCAGGTTTGCCAGGCTCTGCCCTTGGAGCACATTTTCAGCACTTGGTTGGAAGAAGATTCATTTAACCCTCAGCTGTAGATGAGAACAGGATGCAGCAAATTTACTGCAAACCAGAAAATAAAATTGGCTTTTCTATCCAAGAAGGAAATAAAGAAAACTCTGCCTTATCTTACTTTATAAAGATAATTCTTTTGTTTTCCCTGAAATAAATAATAATCATTTAAAAGCATTGGGAGAGGTGTGCAGTGACTCAGGCCCGTATCACAACATTTTGGGAGTCCGATGCAGGAGGATCACTTGAGCTCAGGAGTTGGAGACTAGCCTGGGCAGTATAGGGAGACCTGACTCTTTAAAAAAAATGTTTTTTTAATTAGCCAGGTATGGTGGTGCATGCCTGTAGTCCCTGCTACTCAGGAGGCTGAGGCAGGAGAATTTCTTGAGCCTGGGAGGTTGAAGCTGCAGTGAGCTGTGATCATGCCACTGTATTCCAGCCTGGGTGACAAAGCAAAAACCCATCTCAAAAAAAAAAAAAAGCATTAGGAGAAGAGAAAGAGGGAAATAAGGTCTAAATGTCCCCTTTCTGCATACAATGTGCCTGGGTTCAGGTCAGATCAGGCAGGTACTGGAACTTGGGTTCAGGTCAGGCAGGCCCTGGAACTTGGGCCAGTTGCTCTTACCTGTCCCTGAACTCAAGCACTTCCACACCTGCATTCCCTCCAGACTCAGGTTCTTTCTTCTGAGAAGAAACCTTACATTTTTTTTGGGGGGGGGGGTTGTGTTTTTGTTTTTTGTTTTTTGTTTTTTTGAGACGGAGTCTCACTCTGTCTCCCAGGCTGGAGTGCAGTGGTTCCATGTCAGATCACTGCAACCTCCGCCTCCCAGGTTCAAGCAGTTCTCCTGCCTCAGTCTCCTGAGTAGCTGGGATTACAGGTGGGCACCACCAAGCCTGTCTACTTTTTGTATTTTTAGTAGAGATGGGGTTTCATCATGTTAGTCAGACTGGTCTTGAACTCCTGACCTTTTGATCCACCCATGTCGGCCTCCCAAAGTGCTGAGATTACCAGTGTGAGCCACCGTGCCCAGCTAACCTTATGTTTTTAAAATTGTTGTTGTTGGTTTTGTTTTCAAGTGAACTTTTTGCCTGTTCTGTCAGGATCATTTCAGGAGAGTAGCAACCCTAAAGAAAACTCTCTTTTTCTTTGACATAAAACTTATTTTTAAAAAATTAAATAAATACTTAGTGAGTTCCTACTTTGCATCTGGCACTTCCGGGAACTCAGAAACAGAGTGAGAGAGGGGTCATTCCCAGGGAGAGGGATGGTACTAGGAGATGAGACAGGACTGGGACCTTCCTAGAGCTCTGGGTGCTATTGGGAGGGCAAACAAATACATGTCATTCCTGGAATGATTAGGAGACACTGGCAATTCAAAGGGAAGACAATCTCAACACACTAGTGCGATGGGTGAGTCCAAATTGATAGCAGAACTTCCAGCAAATCGACCCTCCTTAAAATTCAAGATAGAACTCTTAGAAAGGATATAGGAATGTTCACATAGCATCTTGTTTTTGAAGTGATTTTGTGGCCTCATCAAGGAATCCCGTCTAGTTTTCATTAAGAACAGCACACATTTTTAGGGAGATTTATTCAACAATTACTATAACAAGACCCTCCCCTAGAAAGCTTCTTAGGGATACACAGCACTTTTCAGACCCCATACAACAGTTCCATAAAAGTGATCAAATTTCACATTGTGAAACGAGACACGATGCAGCTTTTTAAAATGCTGACGAGGCATGAACAACCTGGTGGCTTTCATTTGCTTTTTGACCTGAGCATGTTTTGAAGTGGAGGAGACAAGTGAACAAAGTGAACAGAAATCAGTGAACTCCATCAGAGAACCACGGTAGGCTTGTTCACAAGCTGCTGTGAGCCACCACGTCCTGGGTTTCTTTGTTTTGCAGCAACAGTAGCTGGAACACAAACATTGAGCTCATGATCCGTCGACATTTCCTCATTGGCTTTGGCCATTTAGCATTGCAGGCCCAGCCCATGTTGATTTTTTTATTCCTTTACAATTAAAATGTTTTGGTTGTTTTTGTTGTTGTTGTTTCTGCTTGAAGGCTTCTGGAATTTTGTCTCTATCACTGCAATTTAAATATTCCCTGGAATATGGCTAAATACAGATCTCATGTTATTAATCTTGCCTAGAGTGAAGTGAGCCTTTCATTCTCTACACTGAAGTGTTTTGCTTCGTGGCTTTTCCAACGGTTCTGTTTATTTGTTTGTTTGTTTTCCAGGAATATTGTTAGGAATATTCCCAAGCTGAGGAGCTGGTACACACTGATAAATCTGGAACTGCCCAGCTCCCCTGTCATTGC
Organism: Homo sapiens; assembly: GCF_000001405.40. Lineage (NCBI taxonomy): Eukaryota > Metazoa > Chordata > Mammalia > Primates > Hominidae > Homo > Homo sapiens. The sequence goes on from NC_000020.11 coordinate 17,339,790, forward strand.
TGCCCTCGGTCTAAGGACCAGCAATGGAAAAGAGTAGAGTGGCCTCCTAACTATGCATAGACTATGGGCTCAGTTTACTGTAGATTACAGTGAACACTAGCAATGGACATGTCATAAGTTAATGCTTTGACCTTCGGATTTTAGGACCTAAGACTCAACATTTGCCTTTTATAACATCCATGCAACCCACCCCTGCCTGTTATGTGACGCATTCCCCCTCTCAGGCCTAAGTTTATAGCTCTCTGGCTATAAATTCCTAAGCATGGGGTCTACCCCAAATGCTGGCATCACTAAGAACAAATGGGACAAGAAAACCCACCCTTTACTTCTACCTCCTGAGGCTCCTCAGTAAGGAGATATTGAAGCTTTTAGAGTAAACACACAGGCGGCATGGAGGAAGAGTCATGCAGGTCCCCATGAAAAGATATCTGACTTGAGATCACTCCCATTTGATAGCAGTAGCATTTGCTGTTGAGAAGGCATTCAGAAGTATTCCCATCCCCCAAACTAACTAGCTTTATTGTTGAATCTGTTTCTCTGCTCTGTGTCCTACACGCCTATAATTTTCCCCTTTTGACATTTTAATCTCTTTCTGGTAAAACTGCTAAAATTCACCTGTCATTACCAGTCCATTTCTGCATTGTGAATTCTGCTCTTTGCTGCTTTCAAACCAGATTTAATTTGGGTTTTGTGCTGGGCATCCTCTTCTTGTCTCTATGATTCTTCAATTTACCTTTTGTTCCTTTTTACCTTTTGTATCTTTTGTTTAAAAAGGTAAAATTCTTCAATTTTACTGCTTATCTTGTGTTTTTTTCCTCTCCGTCTTACGGATTTGGGCTCCTATTTTGTTACAATCTTGATGTACATCCTAATTAATACACCAAGGAATTTCTTCTGGTTCTTACGCTTAGTTATTTTGCAGTGCAGTGTTTTTCCCTGAATCTTCAGCAGAATGTTCCCCTCCCCTGTTCCTTGCATTTTTCATTCCAGCTCTCCTATGTGGGCTTCTTTTTTCTGGCTTACTTATTTTTAAATGAGATAAGCTTTACCCAAACCCAGAATTCACCACCAGACTCACTGCTGGGTTGTCCCTGATCTGTCCATTAACTAAGTCACCTCCTGAGAGATAGCACTGGAAGAGCATAGTTCTTTGCCAAATTCCCAATGTTTAAAGGATTGGCCGGGCGCAGTGGCTCATACCTGTAATCCCAGCACTTTGGGAGACTGAGGCAGGTGGATCACTTTGAGGTCAGGAGTTCGAGAGCAGCCTGGCCAAAATGTCTCTACTAAAAATACAAAAATGAGCTGGGCATGGTGGTGCATGCCTGTAATCCCAGCAACTTGGGAGGCTGAAGCAGCAGAATCACTTGAACCCAGGAGACAGAGGTTGCAGTGAGCCAAGACCGCACCACCGTACTCCAGCCTGGAAGGCAGAGCGGGACTGTCTCAAAAATAAATAAATAAAATAAAAGATTGCAGGGTTTAAATTGAATCTCTTCCTACCCTTACTGCATATTTCTCTGACATTCTGAACAAATAAGTGATTAAAAAATGACAATCCACCAGGGTTCTTATGTTTCCACTCACACACTTGAAAGTTGTGATTTATAGCTCCCGAAGTGAAGCGGGCCGCCCCCAGTATCTACCTCCTTTCCATAAGCTGTGTATTTTGGAAATGTATATGTCTACGTATTATTTTATGTTTACCCTTTCAAAGAAGGGGTCTTGCTGAAAAATTCCCTTGTTTTCAGGAACCCTGCAGAGATGGACCGTCAAATGTGTTTATCTATTCAGCCGCACTGAATAGCTACACTACTTAGCAGCAATTCTTTTGAATTCTAGCAGCAGATGGACTATGAGTTCTGCTTTTCATGGCGTGTCTTGAGTACTTCAGTGAGAAACTCAAGAGCACTAGGCAAGGAGTTAGTATCCAGAAGCCTCTTTCAGAAAAATGATTCTGGCAGAAAACTGTTTTTAAGAGGGACAGACACAAGAGTAGAATAACCACATGTGCTCTCAAAAGTCAGACTTGTTTACAGAAAAATCTATCTCCACAACTTTTTTTTTCCACAGTGTTCCATGAACATGCTCCAGGGCCACCTCTCAATACTCACATGTGCAATATGCATTTTTGCATCTTTCCAATCCTGTCCAGCCTGCTTCAGCTGCTGTTCAGTGAGAACCATGTGTTCCCAAAACTGTAAGTTTAGCCTGGCCACAGGGGTAATTGATTTTCTTTGATTTGTTTGTATGAAGCACTATCCAGTCCCATTTTACAAGAAGGAGAATTGGAGTAGACAGTTTAAGGAGTGGACTACATACTGTAAATGTTCTTGAGTGATAAGGTGTGTGTCACACCCAGCACCAGCAAATTACACATACACACACACATACAGCAAAATTAGCATCATTCAGAAGTTCTTCCCACACATTCCAAGAAACATTGTTGAGATGGTGTTATTATTCCATGCTTACTTATTTAGAATGCATTTAGTGTTAAGCAATCTATAACGCTCTTGTTTGTTTCTTTGCTTGTTTGTTTGTTTGTGACAGAGTCCTTCTCTGTCACCCAGACTGGAGTGCAGTGGCGTAATCTCCGTGCACTGCACCCTCCACCCCACTGAGGTCAACCAATCCTCCTACCTCAGCCTCCCTGGTAGCTGGGACTACAGGCATGTATCAACATGCCTGGCTAATTTGTGTATTTTTTGCAGAGATGGGGTTTCACCATGTTGTCCAGGCTGGTCTCAACTCCTGGACTCAAGCGCTCCACCTGCCTCAGCCTTCCAAAGTGCTGGGATTACAGGCATGAGCCACCAGGCCTCGCCTATAAAGCTCTTTAATAAACTTTTTTTTTTTTTTGAGACAGGGTCGTGCTCTGTTGCTCAGACTGGAGTACAGTGGCACGATCATGGCTCACTGCAACCTTGACCTCCTGGGCTCTAGTGATCCCCACCTCAGCCTCTCAAGCACCTGGGACTATAGGTGCGCACCACCACACCTGGCTAATTGTTTTCTTTTTCTTTTCCTTTTTTTCTTTTTTTTTGGTAGAGATAGGGTCTTGCTATATTGCCCAGGCTTGTCTTGAACTCCTGGCTTCAAGGAATCCTTCCACCTTAACCTCCCAAGGTGCTGGGACTACAGGCATAAGCCATGCACCTAGCCAACAATTATTTTTTATCACAACACAGCGAGGTTCCTGCTATAATTATCCTGACTTTACAGATGAGAAAACAAATGTACAGAAAGCTTAAAAAACTTGACTAAGGCCAAACAACTAGCAAGTGGTAGATTCAGTATGTGGGCCTAGACAGTCCTTCTCCAGAGACTGACTCTCACTATCCCTTTATTCAGCACTCTCTGTATTGCATGAGAAAAAATACATGTTGCATCTGTAGCTGAACTTCATACAACGCACACCAACTACATTTGGGAGACAGATTCATTTATTTACAAATTCCCAGTGGCCACCAAAACATCTGATAGTTAAAAAGCCCATCTTAAATGTTTGTGGAAATGAATGGAATTGGATGGTTTTAGTAGCTTCAATTTGACTCATCTAAGAAAACAGTATAACCCACATGTAGCTGTCCTCCTGAGGGTGGCCTCTGTTTTCACTATCTGCCAGCCATGAAACAGGGCTGCTTCATCCCTGCACAGATATCTTCAGTAGAACTTGTCAGCAACCAACCTCACTTCTCCAGCATGAATATTAGCTCTCTCTCTGCATGCGGGAGGCAGAATAATGACCTTCTCAAAGATGCCCACATTCTAAGCCCTAGAACTTGTGAATATGTTATGCCACATGGCAAGGTGGGGTTAAGGTTTTAGACGAAATGAAAGTTGTTAATAAGCTGGCTTTGAGACAGGGAGATTATCCTGAATTATCTGAATGGCCCCAATGTAATCACGAGTATCCTTACAAGAGGAAGGCAGAAGAGAAAGTCAAGGTGATATCATACAAGAAATATTTCATCCACTGTTGCGCCGTTAATGATGGAGAAATGGGATCATAAGCCAAGGAATGAGGAAGCCTCCAGAAGCTGGAAAAGGCAAAAAAAGAATCCCTGCCCCCTACAAGAGCCTCTAGAAGGAGCACAGCCCTGCTGACACCCTGCTTTTAGACCTCTGATTCCTAGAACTGTAAGAGAATGAATTTGTGTTGTTTTAAGCCACTAAGTCGGTGGCCATCTGTTACAGCAGCCACAGAAAACTGCCCACTGCAGGATGAAAAGCCACTTTCTCCTGGTATTTCTCAAAGGCTAATCTAAGAGCATGGATTGTTCTGTATCTTCCAGGAGCACTATTGCAAAGTCGATTCATTACTTTTTTCATTTGTTCCGCATCACCGTGCTGGGGCTCATTAACGCCCTGTCATCGGGTGCTCTGTGCGTAAGTAGAAGTGTGTTAAGAATCAATCGCTCTGACCTTTATTCCCTGTTGGTGTTTTGTCATTCGTGGGCTGCTTGGCTTGACATATGAATTACTCTCCAGCTGCCTGGTGCTGGGGAGGCACAGTCACCAGCCCCCAAATATTTCAGACATATGCCAATTGCAATTTCAACACACATTTTTTTTCTACCGTCACCCTGGAACTGTTCCATTGGCAATGCATGAAATATGAACAAGAGGAAATAATTGACAAGGCACCACTGTTGACTAAGGGGCTAACCTTTGAGGAAGATTAAAAACAGATGTCCTTGAAGAAGAAAGAACTGAGGAAGTGAATCTTCTCTCCTCTTAACTCTTTAGTTCATTGTCCTCATCCAAAAATTAAACTAACACACTCTGAAGAAGGTTTAAGGAGATCAGGAATTTTCAAGAATTCATTTGTATTCTGTAGCAGACAGCTTGTTTGTTCCCCATTGAAAACCTACAAGAAACAATACTGCAACCTTTGTTATAGCAAATAACTGGTGGGTGTATCCCTCCATGCCAAACACATGCCAAGCATAAAAAATGTGCCTAGAAAAACAAATAACTTTGGAAGGCTCTTTTCCCAGTGCCTTCTTACTTCCTTTGTCTTAGTCCTCCTTTCTGTGATGGTGCCCAACCTAAGCCCTGGATCCTTTGCTGTTGATTTCAGTAGCATTTCTCCCTGACTTGCAGGAAACTGCCCAAGGCTTTCAAAATTACCTTTTCCATAAACTCCTGTTCCTTCCTCGAACAATCTCAACCAGCATCTTTGCAAAAAGCTGCCTAATTAATGACTTCATGCACAAGTGTGGGTAAGTGATAACACCTGGATGTGTTGCCCTTCCCAGAGGACTTGTTTTCCAAATCTTTTCAAATAGAGACATAATCAGCCTGGATAATGAGTGCTCAAAACTAAAGCTTAACCCTTCATGGCAGGAGTGTGGTCAGTGTGCGTGTGCTCAGGGGAGGTGATATGGGTCATTGGAGGCTTTCTTTGTGCCCCTCAAATCACATGATTTGTACTACCCAAATGCTGCCCCTGCTTCCACTCTGACGATGAAATGATTTCATGAATATATTGACCATTATAATTATAGCCAGTGACATTTATAGTATGCTTCATTATTCTCAACAAGAAAAGTTTATTTCATGTCATCCTCACCAATAAGCCTGTGAGGTCAAGAATTCCATCATGTCCGTGCTATACACCAGAAATCAACAAACTTTCTGTAAAGGGCCAGAGAGCAAATATTTCAGGCTTTGAGGCCATATGGTCTCTGTTGCAATTACTCAACTCTACGGCTGCAGTGTGAAAGCAGCCATAGGCAGTGTATAAACAAATGGGCATAGCTATGTTCCAAAAAATTTATTTACAAAAGCAGTCAGCAGACTAGACTTGCCAAACCCATGGTCTGGATGAAGAAAGCACAACCTGGAGAATTTGAGGCCCTACCTCAGAACATGCACAAATCAGAAGCAAACCACCTCAGAACCCAAACCCAGTTCTTTCTTACTTGAAATTCGGTGCTCTTTCACTGAACCACACGGTTTGGGGCATAGTCTTTAGCATTCAGGAGAGTCATGACTTTGGATCAAATCAAGAATACTCTCCACCCACCCATCTCCCCCGTTTTCATCACACACACCTGTAAAGGAGCAGCTGGGGCTGGGGTACCATCATTAGCCTGTGGCCATGGAAACAGAGTCAAGGTAACTGACCCACAGGACCAAGACACATGACCTTGATGCTATTAGCTCTTTCCATTGAAGCTTGCTGGCCATATACAGCATAATTGAATGAAACTGCAGAACTTCTTCAGTCAGATCCACCTGTGCCTTCCAGAAGCACATTAATGAGGCCCCCCTCCGGCACAGAATGGGAACTAGGCAATCCAGACACATCCCCACCCAGCATCCTCCTTCTGGTTCACTAGCAGAACTGGATCATGAATCAACAAAATGAAGGAGGCTTTGCAAGAACAAAGCTTTTGGAACCTGTATTCCTGGGTGGTGCTGGAGCCATTCATTCCTAGCCAGGTGCCATGAGCACTTTCTCTGTGGGCGCTGTTGGCTCCCCTTTACCTCTCACCCCCAAACGCCTTTCCAGGGAGGTGTAGTGCTGAGTGCACTGGTCAGATGTGGGGACACTGACTGTTCACAGCTGGAGTGAAGAGGGACAGAGACTTCTCCTCGTCTCCCCACCATCCTTCTGTTCCTCCTCCCATTTGTCCTCCCAGGAGCTCTCCTTATTAGACTGAGGCCCTTTAGCCTGCCTGCAATGGAAAACAGAGCCATTCACCTGGCCCAGGCAGGCTCTTTGGGGTGCTACAATGTGCATGGCCAAAGCTATTCATGTATTAAAGAGGCTTAGCTAGCTTTGCTTCTTTACTGCACTTACATCTCAGGAGACACTCATTGAGAGGAACATGTCATTTTGGCCAAGAACAGCATTTAGGGACTTTCTAGCTTCTCTGGAAAATTGTCCTGTCAAGTACACCCCAGTCTAACCATTCCTGCCGTAATATCTGGCATAGAGCCTCCATCTTTTAATATCCTTTTCCTTAATATAATTTCCTAAATCCATCTCCTAACATTGCCCCACCACCCTGGAAACAAGCATAGCCCTGGCTGCAATGCACATGTTCCAACCAATATAGAAGCTGAGATTTCACTTTCTCGGGGTTCTCGTTGGCTGCCTTGGCACCTCGCTCCACAAGAAACATCTTTGATCCCTCCCTAATTACATTGATTTATCTCACGGTATACCTTGTATCCAGAGCTTTAGATGATAGATAGCAATTTGTTAATACTTGTCACTAAGACTCAATGACTGGAACTGTGGTCAGAGGCATGCAGCCATATCCTCCCTCCTCAATTGATCATCTTTATTCTTGCAAGATGGTCCAACCTCTCTAAATGAGGGCAATCAATACTGTGCATTCAGCCATAATCGTGGCTTAACTTGGTATTCTTTGAAAACTTAAGCTGTGTAATTTGCCTGTAATTGGGCTTTCCAAAAAGTCATATCTCCTGCTCAAGGAAGCAATTAAGCCGGCACACTCCCTGTCTGCTGCCTGCTCCCTCCCTCCTGGCATCTGACTGCCATGGGCCAAGTCTTCCCTCCGCAGACCTCTCTCCTCTCCAGATCCCTGTTTGGATCTCGACAACCAAAGCCAGCAGTTGGCGGCAAAGCAGATGAACTAGAATATCTGAGCCCCTTGGAGAGGCCTTTTTCTTCCATAATCTCCCACATCACTTCCATCAATCGCTTTTGGGGGTTTCTCGCTTGATGAGCTGTGTCCAGCTCATCAATTCAAACACTGAGATAACACACCGCATTGCAAAGGCAAAGGCAGAAAAGCTAGAGCCCCAACAGTGAACCCTCATGTAAACCATGGACCGTGGGTGATGACGATGTGTCAGTGTCGGTTCAGCACGCGTAACAAATGCACGCTGTGCTCCAGCAGGGATGTTGATAATAATGGGAAGGCAGTGCATGTGAGGAGACAGAGGATATGTGGAACTCTCTGTGCCTTCTTCTCAATTTGCTGTGAACCTAAAACTGCTGAAAGACACATAGACGAAAGAAAGAAAGAAAGAAAGAAAGAAAGAAAGAAAGAAAGAAAGAAAGAAAGAAAGAAAGAAAGAAAGAAAGAGGAGAGAGAAAAAAGAAAGAAAGAAAGAAAGAAAGAAAGAAAGAAAGAAAGAAAGAAAGGAGAGAGAAAAAAGAGAAAGAAAGAAAGAAAGAAAGAAAGAGAAAGAAAGAAAGAAAGAAAGAGGAGAGAGAAAAAAGAGAAAGAAAGAAAGAGAGAAAAGAGAAAGAAAGAAGAAAGAAAGAAAGAAAGGAAAGAAAGAAAGAAAGAAAGAAAGAAAGAAAGAAAGAAAGAAAGAAAGAAAGAAAAGAAAAGAAAGAGAGAGAGAAAAGAAAGAAAGAAAGTCTAACAAAAAGATGTGGAGACATGCCCCTCATGCAGATGGGGACTTGTGTTGCATTTAGGACACACTTAGGAATGGACTCCAGCTGGCTTCTCTTCTCACATTTGATTTGCTTTGTCTTCAGTTAGCTAAGAGCAAGAAGATTAAAGTCCAGGCATCTGGGCAGCTTTGGAGTGAGATGAGCCTAGCTTGAGGTGTTTTGGAACAAGGGAAGTCACTACCCCACTGCCTTTCTACATTACAAAAACATTAGCAAAATTATAGAAGTAACTGCTGGCATTTCTTGAGTTCACACAGTGGGCCAGGTGCTTATATGCACCATCACTTTTGATCCTCACCACAACCAAAGTACACATGGGAGTGGAGGAGCAGCACAGTACGCTAGAGAAGTACCTAGCTAGACTGCTGGAGTGTCGTGTCAGTTTGCGAAGGCTCTCATATGGGGGGCCACAGCCAGGGTGGCTTAAAGAACAGAAATGTATGGAGGTAAAAGTCTCAGATGAAGGTGTCATCAGGGTTGGTTTCATCAGGGCCATGAGGGAAGGACCTGTTCCAGGCTCTTTCCTTGGCCTGTAGATGGCCGTCTTTTCCCTGTGTCCTCACACCATTCCCTCTGTTGGTAACAGTGCCTGAATATGATGACACCAGTTATATTGGATGAGACCCCACCCTAATGGCTTTAATTAATGACCTCTTTAAAGACACTATCTTCAAATGCAACCTCATTCTGAGGTACTGGGGGTAAGGACTTCAACATTTGAACTTAGAGGGAAGAGAGTCCAGCCCACAACAGGCATGACCCGTGGCTCTGCCCTTGGCTAACCATAGGACCGTTAACCAGCCACTTGGTGTCTTCATGCCTTCACTCCTAACCTCTCATGTGGTTGTCGGGGAAAATAACTGAGATAATGTACATGAGTACTCAGGGCACTGCCCAGCGCAACAGTCAGCCCTCAGTAAGTGTCAGCCATCACTAGGGTTTATCCTTATTTTACAGGTGAGCAAACTGAGTCTTAAATGGGCTCCACAGCTTGCTGGAGACCCCACAGCCAGAGAACAACAGGTATAGCAGGGCCTGTAACTCATGTCTGCCTGTCCCCAAGACCAAGCTCTCATCCACAATCCTATGCTGCCTCCTTCACAATATTACACAGAAGGCAGCTGTGTGCCTACAAAGAAGTCAAGCTATATTCCCCTTTCTGTGAGATGAAGGATACACAACCCAATCCATCTCAATTCTTACCAGCTTCCCAAAGCGTGAAACGAAACTTCCCAGCCCTGCCTCTAACACCTTGTGAGAGGAAGAACTTACTCTGTCACTATCTGGTGCCCAGCTCTGTGAGCACACCCCAGAAATGCCTCAGATCCTCTACCCTCCCCAGGAAGATAACAGTGACAAGGATGACCAGGCCAGGGCCCAGAGGTAACTTCTATCTTCAGCCCTAATCCTGTGTCCCATATGGATGCGTCCTCAAGCCCATCCATGGGTGTTAGAGCTAAAGTGTTTTAACCTACCAAGAAAAAAAAAATCCTCAGACTATAATAAAGGCAAGGTATCTTACCATGCAAATTAAGAGGTTTTTCATAAATAAAAGATTCATGCTCTTTGGGTACTTTTGCTACATTTTTAATACTTCCTCCAGCACACTGGCTCACTACGCTGGCTGGTCATTTGAATTACCTGGAAAGTTTTAAACACCGCTGAGGCCAGGGCCCATCCCTAGCAACTCTCAGTTCCCTGCTCTGGTGGTTGGCCTGAGCACAGGGCTTTTGCCACCTTCCCAGGTGATTGCACTGTGCAGTCAAGGCTGGGGACCTCTGCTTCGCGAGGACACCTTGTTTTCTTGTAGTGATGTTAACTCCAGTCTCTGCCTCCTCCATCTCCACATGCCTTTCACTCTGTGTGTCTGTATGTCTTCACATGGCATTCTCCTTGTTTCTAGGCCCTCTTAGTATAATGACACCAGCTGTATTGGATTGAGAACCCATCCTAATCTAGTATGACCTCATCTTAACTAATTACACCTGTAGTGACCCTATTTCCAAATAAGGTCACATTCTGAGGTACTGGAGGTTAGCGCCTTAATATATCTTTCAGGACAGCACAATCCAACCCATCATAGTGGTAAATAAAATAATTCTCAGTGGCACAAGAAATAATTTTACACAATCAAGGACATCATAGATTAATAAACCAGTATTTTTAGCAACATGTTAGTTTTGTGTTTTATGCTCCTTTTCTTGCTCTCACTTCAAGCAAAGACGTCCCTCACCATCTTTGGAGCAGGTTTCCCCTTTGCTCCCCTTTCTCCTGGCCCCTCCCACCCCAGCACAGTCAATGCTAATTAACAGCTGTTTAATTATCAGCCCAGCAGGGAAGTGATCATGGCCCAGGTCCTCAGAGAGTTATATGCACAGTTAAGTTGTCCCAGATACTGGAAGATTGACTGTGTTATGTGCCCATAGGGAGAGGCAATGCGGCTTAGTCGAAAGTTCATAGCATTGAGAATCCATCAACCTGATGACTCTGCCATGTTTTAACTGTTAGACAATGGCTTCCAAACCTTTTTTTCCTCAACCGTAACAATACCAACCCCACAGTTTTGTTGGGAAGATTAAGGCCAGGCGTGGTGGCTTATGCCTGTAATCCCAGCACTTTGGGAGGCCGAGGCGGGTGGATCACCTGAGGTCAGGAATTCGAGACCAGCTTGGCCAACATGGTGAAACCCCATCTCTATTAAAACAAAAATTAGCCAGGCATGGTGGCGAATGGCTGTAGTCCCAGCTACTCGGGAGGCTGAGGCAAGAGAATCGCTTGAACCTGGGAGTCGGAGGTTGCAGTAAGCCAAGATGGTGCCACTGCACTACAGCCTGGGTGACAGAGCAAGACTTCATCTAAAAAAAAAAAAAAAAAATTAATGTAGTAAAAGTACCTTGTTAAGTATACAATCATATGCAAATGCACAGGGATGTTTTCTGCTTCATCTTAGCATGGTCATAACTGGCACATCATAGAGAGACTAGAGGTGGGTAAGGGATGGGTAGAGTTGCTTGAGCAACATTTGTGCACAAATGTCAAATTAAGGTTCAAAAGTTGAACTGGAATTGTGAAATAGCCATCTGTTCATTTTAAAGAAAATATTAACTAGTACCAATTCTATGAATCTATTCCAAAAAATCAAGGAGACTCCTCTCTAACTTATTCTACAAAGCCAGCATCACCATGATACCAAAATCTGGTGAAGACACAGTGAAAAATGAAAACTACAGGCCAATATCCCTGATGAACATAGATGTAAAAATTCTCAACAAAATACTAGCAAACCAAATCCAGCAGCACATCAAAAAGTCAATTCACCACAATTAAAAAGGCTTTATTCCTAGGATGCAGTTAGTTCAACATATGCAAATCAATATATGTGATCATCACATAAAGAGAATGAAAAACAAAAACCATATTATCCTCTCAATAAATGCAGAAAAAACTTTTAATAAAATCCATCATGCCTTCAAGAAAAAAACCCTCAACAAACTAGGCATTGAAGAAACATACCTCAAAATAATAATAACAGCCAGCTATGACAAACCCATAGTCAGCATCATACTGAATGGGCAAAACTGGAAGGATTCCCCTTGAGGACAGAAACAAGACAAAGATGCCTACTCTCACCACCCCTATTCAACATAGTACTGGAAGTCCCAGCCACAGGAATCAGGCAAGAGAATGAAATAAAAGGCATCCAGGAAGGAAAAGAGGAAGTCAACTTATATCTCTTCATTTATGATATGATTCTATACCTAGAAAACCCTAAAGACTCAACCAAAAGGCTCCTAGAACTAATAAAAAAAGCTTCAGTAACATTTGGGTTACAAAATCAACGTGCAAAAATCAGTAGCATTTCTACACGCCAATAACGTTCAAGCTGAGAGCCAAATCAAGAACACAATCCCACGTATAATAGCTATAAGAAGAATAAAATACCTAAGAATACATTTAACGAAAGAGGTAAAAGATCTCTACAAGGAGAACTACAAAACACTGCTGAAAAAAGTCATAGATGACACAAACAAGTGGGAAAGCAGTCTATGCTCATGGATTGGAAGAATCAGTATCATTAAAATGGTCATACTGCCCAAAGCAATCTACAGATTCAACGCTTTTCCTACCAAACTACCAATGTTATTTTTCATAGAATTAGAAGAAACAATTCTAAAATTCTATAAAACCAAAAAGAGCCCGAATAGCCAAAGCAATCCTAAGCAAAAAGAACAAAGCTGGAGGCATTGCATTACCCAATGTCATATTATATTGTAAGCCTACAGTAATCAAAGCAGCATGGTAGTGGTACAAAAACAGACACATAGAACAATGGAACAGAAAAGAGAACTCAGAAATAAAGCCACACACCTACAACCATCTGATCTTCAAGAAAGTCTACAAAAGTAAGCAATGGGAAAAGGGCTTTTTATTCAATAAATGATGCTAGGATAACTGTCTAGCCGTATGCAGAAGAATAAAACTGCACCCCTTTCTTTCACCATATGCAAGAATGAACTCAATATAGATTGAAGATTTGAAAGTAAGACATCAAACAATAAAAACTCTAGAAGAAAACCTAGGAAATGCCATTCCAGACATAGGTCTTGGTAAAGATTTCATGATGAAGACTCCAAAAGCAATCACAACAGAACAAGAATTGACAGGCGGACCTAATTAAGGTGCTTCTGCACAGCAAAAGAAACTATCAACAGAGTAAACAGGCAACCTAGAGAATGGGAGAAAATATTTGCAAACTATGCATCTGACAAAAATCTAATACCTAGAATCTATAAGAAACTTAAACAAATCAACAAAAAAAAAATCCCTATTTTAAAATGGGCAAAGGACATCAACAGATACTTCTCAAAAAACACACAGGTGGCCAACAAACATATGAAAAATACTCAATATCACTAATCATTGCAGAAAAGCAAATCAAAAACCACAGTGAGATACCATCTCACAACAGTCAGAATTGCTGATTAAAAGTCAAAAAATAGGCTGGATGCGGTGGCTCATGCCTGTAATCCCAGCACTTTGGGAGGCCAAGGCGGGCGGATCACGAGGTCAGGAGATTGAGACCATCCTGGCCAACACTGTGAAACCCTGTCTCCAAAAAAAATACAAAAAAAAATTAGCTGGGCGTGGTGGCACACGCCTATAGTCCCAGCTACTCGGGTGGCTGAGGCAGGAGAATCGCTTGAACCCGGGAGGTGGAGGTTGCAGTGAGCCAAGATCATGCCACTGCATTCCAGCCTGGTGACAGAGCAAGACTCCATCACACAAAAAAAAAAAAAAAGTCAAAAAATAGTAAATGTTGGCGAGGCTGTGGAGAAAAGAGAACACTTATACGCTGTTGATGAGAAAGTAAATCAATTCAGCCACTGTGAAAAGCATTTTGGAGATTTCTCAAAGAACCTAAAACAAAATTATCATTCAATCCAGCAATACTATTACTAGCTATATACTCAAAGAAAAATAAATCATTCTACCAAAAAGACACATGCACTTTTCTGTTCAGTGCTACACTATTCACAGTTGCAAAGACATGAAATCAACCTAGGTACCCATCAAAGGTGGACTGGATAAAGAAAATGTGGTACACCTCATATACACCATGGAATACTATGCAGCCATAAAGAAGACCAAAATCATGTCCTTTCCAGCAACTTGGATGCAGATGGAGTTCATTATCCTAAGCAAATTAACACCTGAACAGAAAGACAAATACCAGGAGTCCTCACTTATAAGTGGGAACTAAACATTAGGTACACATGGGCATAAAGATGGGAAGAGTAGACAATGGGGACTACTAGAAAAGAGGAAGAGCAGGGAAAACAAGGACTGAAAAACTGCCTATTGGGTACTATGCTTACTACCTGGCTGATGGGATCATTCATACCCTAAACTTGAGCATCATGCCATATATCCATGTGCCCCCTGAATCTAAAATAAAGTTGAAATTACAACAAAATTTTTTTAAATGTTTAAAAGATATTCTCATAGAAATAATAGTGATACCCAGTAACAAAGACTTCTACTTTCTTATGTTTTTTATTTGTACAAACGTGTAAGCCAACGGTCCTATTTGAGGAAGCGTTCTAAAACTAAATACAGAAGTGAACTATACGTTATTTTCTGAGAAGGGGAATAATTAAGTTGTATGCATGTTATTCGTATCACATCTAAATGGTAATAAAAGGTATAGTGTATGGAAGGCTAAAATTCAGAGAAGGAGGAAGAGAGAATAAGTCAGTGACCTTTTAGTAATAATGTGAAAATATAGTTTAGACACTCGGAAATATTTCTCTGACATTAAGGGCTTTATCATACATGGAATTGTAACACTGCAGTCTTTCCCAGAGGTCTTCTAAAATAGTTTATAACCCAATCTGTCCGGTCATGGTAATTTTATTTATAATGGAAAACAATCTAAATGACTAATAAGAGGGAAATGGATAAATTGTGGTATATGACTCTGGAACATTTAGGTAGCCATTAGTATTTAATTTTACTTAAATTTTAATTTTAATTAAAGTATGATAGCTAAGTAGCAGCATATTACAATTCTTATGGTAGGATACTCAGTGAAAAAAGAATTCACAACTTTATAGTATGATTACTACTCTTTAAAAATTAGGTATGAATATGAATTAAGATTGAATGAGAACCCAGAACAATAAACATGATTAATGGGGTTACATGGTATCATTGTGGGGAAAAAAAAAAGTTTTCCAGTTATTTGTGTGTAACAAGTGAAAGCATATATTGTTAAAGGTGTTCGTCTCTTTCAAAGTGTAACTGTGGACAAGAAGATAAACTGACAGACTCAGAAAGCCCCCTTCAGTCTCAAGACTCCTAAATTGCTGAGTTGCAAGGAGGCAGTGCCCAGAGAATGCAGCATTCCTAAGCATCACTAGTTTCCATTAAAACCTAATTTATGGAATTAAAAATTAATTTCATGGAAATGAATTTGAGCAGTCTTTTCATTAGAGCACACTTGGTCTAAATGAGTTTGGAGTGGTTGTAATAGCCATTCCTGCACTGTTATTTATAAAGGTGAAATCTGATGTGAGTATTTTTGTTCTTACGCTACTGAGAAACAACATATTGCTTAGAGTTTTCAAACTTCCATGTGATAGTTGCTCTTGCTCCCCGAAGATCCTCTCAGGGAAGTTATTTACGACAAGGAGTCCCATAGAATGGGAATCCCTCAGTGAAAGTCAACCAAGGCCTCCGATTAGTGAGTAGAGCAGATAAAGGCCTCTCGTTGTGGAACCAAAATGGGAAGAGGCAATGGCCAAAGTGAGACACCTTCTTTCCCAAGTGCAAGAGGCACTCTTGCTTCCATAGTGAAAGAAGTTTGCGAGATGGGTGTATCTGATGGCTATGTTTCCAGGTGGAGAACTATACATTTACTTCAACATTTTAAACATTCTGTTAATGAATATGCACATGTGTGCACGCAAACACACACACACACACACACACACAGAGAGAGAGCTATGGGAATATGCTGCAAAAATCTCTGACTTCAGGGAAAATAATTGACCAAGGCCCCCAGCTGCTGCACTCTGAAATCTGTCACTGTGCCAACAAGGCCACACTCCCCCCAGTGACTGCGAGCAGCAGGGGAACTCAGGCAGGCCCATTTCTGGGAGACACAGGGCTCCTCAAATTTAATCCCCAACAGTTTTACCAAACCATCCTTAGAGTACAGGGGAATCAAGGATGAATTTGCCCAACTTTGTTCACTGTTCTTTACTTGGGGTCAGACTTACATCACAGTTTCTTGTATTTTTCTCTCATAAAATACTTGCACATTTAATCCCATCTTGGCAATGGCTTCCTAGAGGATATACATGTGTGTGTGCATATATATGTACATATGTGACAGTATGACACACACATATATACACACATACACATATATATTTATATATATACACACATACATGTGCATAAGTATATATATATATGTATATGTACCTTTGAATCATAATT
Source organism: Homo sapiens (assembly GCF_000001405.40). Taxonomy (NCBI): domain Eukaryota; kingdom Metazoa; phylum Chordata; class Mammalia; order Primates; family Hominidae; genus Homo; species Homo sapiens. Next base: position 17,356,186 of record NC_000020.11, read on the forward strand.
TATCTCCATTTGATGGGCACTAGTTAGGTCCAAATTTTTGCCGTTATAAAAATACCCATCTATCCCATTTTTCTAATTATTTCACATTTCTTTGGGGAGATTTTTTTTTAAGCTTGCCACAGTGACTGTGACTGTCCTTTGTTGGAATACCTCCAAAGAACTCCCAGAGCCAATGCCACACTTAACACTTGTTTTCCACATGTATAGATTTTCTGGTGTGGCTTCAATTTCTCTGGTAAATGAGCTTCAGGCCTTCTCATGTCAGTGTGCAGAGTAAAGAAGTGAGGATCTAGCCTTTCACAGGATCCTCTGCAAGGCAGTGCAGTAAGGAGGGGAAGGGTTTTCTGCCACGTCTGTGGTCTCTTCATTCTTCTCTTCCTGCTGTCATTCTCGACCTGGGCCCTGCTGTCCTTCTCTCATCTGGTATCCATTAGAGTTCTTGATTACAAGCAACAGAAATGGATTCTGCTTCACTTCAACCAGAGAGAAGTTGTCAGGAAGATATCGGGGGCTCACAATCAATGGGCAGCTGGAGGATCAGTCTTGAAAGCTCCGGGGCTGGGTTGCAGGAACATAGTGAGGATCTTTTACTAGAAGAGCCTGGTGAGGGAACCTCCAGGATAAATGGGCTCCAGGGGATCTTGGTCCTTGCTTCACCTTCCCAAGATTCAAATCCTGGGAAAGAGACACCCACAGAGGCACCCCTAAGGCAGAGGGAGACTCTAATGCCTGCAGCAGGCGGGCACCTAGAACTTCACTCCACCAACACAGAACCTGATGGATTGGAAGTAATTCCCCCAAATACACTGGGGAGATTTGGGAAGAGGAAAAAAAATGTTGGGCTACAAAATATAATAGTAATATCTAGCAGCACCCTTTTATATATGTGCATAATCCTTGAGTTTGTACATGTTCGGAGACTGGCCACAACTGTTGCATGATAAATTAGTCTTTGTCCAAGTGAAAACAAGTTTCCTGATTAAAACAAAGCCTAGCCATTGCCAGAAGCTGCTTGAACTAACTCAGCTCCTAAATTGCATTTACATCCAAGAGCTTGGGGTTCTTTCTGGCTGTCCAAAATTGAAATGTTGTCAGTGCAAGGACACACCATCCATCAATTTCTTCTCAGAGGTTCCTCTCTACCTTCTAGGACTTTGCTATGGCATTTGTTGGCTCTCCATGCTGGCCTCATTGTTTGTCTGTTTGTTCTTGTCTTGGGGAAGTTTTCTTTTTCAGCAGATTCTCAAACGTGATAGCACTGTCAACAAATTAAAGACTGGGAAGCCATCCAGAAAAATTATACATGCTGTTTTCACTCTCTCTCTTCCTGAATCCACATCAGTCCTCTCTCCTTAATAGAAATGTTCCATTGTTTTATTTCACTTAATGACCCCTACCACATTATCTTCTTTAAGAATACTTTACTCAGCCAGGTGCGGTGGCTCATGCCTGTAATCCCAGCACTTTGGGAAGCCAAGGCTGGTGGATCACCTGAGATTGGGAGTTCAAGACCAGACTGACCAACATGGAGAAGCCCTGTCTCTACTAAAAATACAAAATTAGCTGGGTGTGGTGGCACATGCCTGTAATCCCAGCTACTCAGGAGCCTGAGGAAGGAGAATCGCTTGAACCTGGGAGGCCAAGGTTGCAGTGAGCCAAGATCATGCCATTGCCCTCCGGCCTGGGCAACAAGAGCGAAACTCTGTCTCAAAAAAAAAAAAAAAAGAATACTTTTCTCTATCTAATTCTTACTTTAGGGAAACTCACTTTGAGTCATCACCAAAGCCTGTCTGTTCAGTGCAACCATAAGTAAATGCTCTCATAAAATAATGGTAACGGGTCAGGCACAGTGGCTCACGCCTGTAATCCCAGCTCTTTTGGAGGCTGAGGCAGGCAGATCACTTGAGCTCGGGAGTTCGAGACCAGCCTGGGAAACATAGCGAGACCCCCCCTAATCTCTACAAAAAAATACAAAATAATAATAATAATGGTAAGGTGAGCATGTATATGAGATGAACTTGCTTTTGCCAAAGAAAAAAATACACCTGATATACAAATGAAATTTGGATTCATGGAAACAAATTCCAGAAGACAGAATGTTCAGATTATATTCAGGTAATATGTCAGCATTGTCATTCCAGGTAAAGATGGCTTTGCAGCAGGAAGGATTTGACCGAAAAAAGCGAGGTTACAGAGACATCAATGAGATCGACATCAACATGAACGATCCTCTTTTTACAAAGCAGTGGTATCTGGTGAGTGTCTTTATGTCCTTTTGGACATTTCCCATCTTGAGACTCTGGATAAAAGATGAATTCCTGTATCCTCATTATTCACTAGGATGTTAGCCAGTATCCAACCCAGTGACCCTCTCTGTCCCCTTACATATGTATTGATTTTCTGTCACCACCTGTGCATCTAGTTCTCTAATCTGCTTTCTTCTGGAACTGCTAAGTAGCCCTTGTCTCCTAGGGTGGAGGCTATGACCAACAACTAGTGGAATTCTCTTCAGTTCTGAAAAAGTGCACCAGTGTATGACTGAAGATTAGCAAAACTATATAAAAGTCAAATCAGAGGTCTGGGAAGAGTAATGCAGGGGTTTCAACAGACAGAGTAACAGGGGACATAATGAAGTCACAGGCCTAAAAGAAAGGATCCAATGACTTTGCAAGGGGCTAGCAAGAAAGCTTGGAGACTAAAGTAGCAAAAAGAGCATCTATTAATGCTTCCTAAAACAATGGCAGGAAATCAATTCCATGGGGCTTAACTGATGCAGGCCTGGAGGCACTAAAACCCATTTTGCCTGGTGAAGTGAGCATTTTGTGGGTCACCAACAGTTCATCATGATCCATTTGGATTGGCCAAGCTATGTTTAAAAAGGGATCAGTGACTCCAAACCAACCTGAACTGCAGGGCATATTGACAGAAAGGGAGTGACTAATTTGTAAATGTGAATGAAGCTGTATTTTATTTAAGATTAAAAAGTGATGAACAAGAGAGAGAACTAAATTACAGCCTTGTGGACGGCTACATTACAGGAATTCATCACAATTTCCCTTCTGGGGCTTCAGAGCTTGACTCTGACTTATGCTTTTTGGCATGGAAGTCCGAAAATCCAATATGGGTAATTGAATGAGTGTACTTGTATTAGTTAGGATAGGCTAGGTTTGTTGCAATAATGAACAACCCTCGGATCACAGTAGCTTATCAAAAGCAAGGCTTGTTTCTCACTTTTGCTACACGACTAATGCTTCATAATTGCTCAGAAACGCAGGCTGACCAACCTCCATCTGAGCTCCATTCCCACACTGCTTTCATAAGCCCTTCAGCAAGGAAAAGGGGCAAATTGTAGAATTTTTAAAAGAAACTCTTAAAGCTTCTGCCTGGATGTGAAAAAATGGCACATGAGATCACATGTCATTGGCCAAAATCAGTCATCCGCCATTCTAACTTCAGAGTGGGTGGAGAGGTGTGTAGTCTTAACATGTCTTTAGAAGAAAGAGCACAGTAAATTTTTTAAAGAGCCCCAATGACAATCATACAATGTTTTAGCAATATCATAACAGCCACTGATCACTGTGGGCTTTTGCCAGTACAAGCTCTGACTTCATTATTTTTTTTACAATCCATCCTGGAGAAAACCTACACAGTACAAAGACACATGAAGATTGGGAGTGGACATATTACTGTGGAATTGCTCTTTGTTTTCCTTTCTTTCTTTTCTGAAATATTTTTGGGGGCCAGGATGAGGGGCCTTAGGATTTATTTTTCTGCATTAGAACATGCACTAAAGGTGAGCCAGTTTTCTTTAATTCAGTTCAACAAATACTTTTGAACAAGACTTAGTGTGGTGGCACTGAAATTACAAAGATTAACTAGGACATGTCATCTCCTGCAAAAGATATTGTTATTTAGTAAGAAGTTATATTCAAATAAGAATAATCCAAAACAATATGCTGTAAATTCAAAACATGAGGTAGAAACAAAGAGCTATGAAAGTGAGCATTTAATTCTAAATCAGGGAGGGTTTCCTGCAATAGCAGCTCTCTTATGGAAAAAGTTTAAAGATAGTGATCTAGTTATAAGATATTAGGGGATTGAAACTATGTTTGCATATTTACAGAAAACAGAAAACACAAAGTGTTTATACCAAAAAAAAAAAAATGGAGAGGAAACACTATAGGTAGGTTGGGAGGGACACCCAAAAGTACTGTTTCATGGAAGATGTGGCCTTTGAGCTGGTCCTGAAATATTAGATGGCTATAGAGTATGTCAAGTAAATATGTACATGGGTGCTTTACAACACCAAACTAATACCATTCTCTGCTTTGAAATTCCTGTACCAGATCAATACTGGGCAAGCTGATGGCACTCCTGGCCTTGATTTGAATGTGGCTGAAGCCTGGGAGCTGGGATACACAGGGAAAGGTGTTACCATTGGAATTATGGATGATGGTGAGTATTTTGAAGCCTGTGCCTCATTTGGAAATAAGCGTGCCTTTGCTTGCCTTTTGATAAAAGTTGTATTGTTTTGGAGATGCTAACCAGAGATGGAACAGCAAGATACTGGGCATGATGGCCACACTGCACTGTGCCCAGATCTTCACCTTTCTTCCAATCAGTGGTCCTCAAACTTGAGGTTGCACTTAACAAATATTTTTTGAATTAATAAATAATAAGCTAAACAAATGAATAAATGAAAGCTGCCTATCACTCAACCATAATTTCTTACTGCTTACACTTTACCTTAAAATGTCCTCTAAACTCTTTATATTCACCATCAATTTCTCTAGACTCACACTATCCAATGTAGTCACCACTAGCCATATGTGCCTATTTAACTTTACATTTTAATTAATTAAAGTTAAATAAAATGTAAAATTTTATTTCAATTCCTCAATCACACTAGCCTCAAGTTCTTGATATCCACATGGGGCTAGCAGCTGCTGAAATTCAATTCCATTTTCATCATCACAGATAGTTACATTAGCGTGACTCTACATCCATAAAACAGCTTTTCAGTAACAGGATTGGAGCTTGGGGAAATTTGACTTTATTGCTGCTTTCAGAATGAACCCTTGTAAAGTAGCCTTTGATAACTTTTTATTACAGACATCCCTTACATGTTATTCAACCTGCGTGCCTACCAAAGACTTAGCAGAGCTTCATTTTCTATAGTTTGTGATATGAAAACCAATGGGCTTGATGAATTGGCATTTTTCCAACTACACACGTCCTTGGCCCTGCCAAGATTGTGGAGAATTGCCGCCTGTGGTCGTTTCACTGGGGATGTGTTGTTGCCCTCCATCACCCATCTGGGTCTGCCAGCAAAAAGCTCTACTGTGCATTATTGACCCAATTATATACAAAGGCTACACAGAGATGAAACAGTTGAGCCTTTCCCATCCGAAGATCCTCAAAGAACAGAACACTATGTTCCTTAAAGTGAGGCTTTGAAGCAGAAATGACAGAGGAAACCAAGAGGAGCCAGCCTGCTTAAAACCTGCGTTGTCTTGTGTGGGCTCATTAAATATCAACATAAAAACAATGCCTCAATGTTTTTTGATGTGTGAGACATTTTTAAGTGGATGTAAAACCTTCCTCCAGAGGCCAAGGGCTCTCACAAGAAGAAAGGAGCCCTGCATGAGAGTGTGTGTGCTCAGATGTCAGGAGTTTATAAATGTTTCTTCTTTTCTCACACTTGTTCTTGAAAACTGTTCCAAAGGGGTTCAGGCCAGCTCACCCAGGAAAACAATGCATCAGGATTTGGGGAAAACCTACCTAGGAGATATTGTCATGACCATTTCTAACAGCATATCCTACTGGGTATCCCCAGCCGGGGATCAGAGAAGCCACCCTAAAAGTGGCACTAAAGTGCCAACAGATGTGCATTGCTCTGCTCTTAGGAAACCTCCAAGAGTACTGTAGATGCCCATTTCAGAATACTTTAACTGAAAGCTCTTTGACTGACTCCTAAAGTCATTGGCTCCTGACTCATTTCCACATGCAAAGGCAAGCCCTTTAGAAAGTCTCAGCAGAATTTCTCATTTGATGTTCTTTCTTCAGCTGATTAATGGCCTTTGGGTTCCCACAAAAGTAAACTCTGCCCCCCAATTACAATTCCTGGTTTCTTCTTCATTTTAGTCAATTACTGCTGCAGAACAAAGAATCCCAACATTGAGTGGTTTAAAAAACAACCATATTATTATCTCTCACGGTTCTGTGGGTTGCTGGAGTTCATCTGGGCAGTTCTGCAAGTTCCACTGGAGTCTATCATGCAGGTGGAGTCAGAAGGAAGTTGACCCTGGAGTCAACTAGAGGCTCCAATGGGAGGCTGAAAAGGCTCAGCCTCCCTCCCTTTCCATGGAGTCTGAGGACCTCTCCTCTCACATGAGGCCTCCAGCAAGGTAGATGGATTTCTTATAGGTGGCTCAGGACTCCCAAGAGTAGGCCTTCCAAAAGAGAAGAAGCAGAAGCTGCCAGTCCTCTTAAAGGCTAGACCTGGAATGGGCACCGGTAACTCTGCCACTTATGTTGGATGAATGGTCCCAGGGCCAATCCAGATTCAAGTGGAAAGGAAATAAACTCTGAATTTGTGGCCATTTTTAATGCATCACATGCTATTCCATATGATAACTGAAGAAAAGTATCCAAGTTCACTGTTGAATAGCAAAATGAGCACATTTGGGACAAGGGCAGCTCCCCACATGGTGAGGACAAGGACAGATGCTCTTGCCATGTAATTGGCCATCTCTGTCCTCACAGCTAGAACCGGGAAGGCTGGCAACATCAGTACTGCATTCTCTCTCTTAACGACCTGCACGCATGAATGGTATGGTGCCATGTCCCAGACATTTTCTTGGCAAGATATTCCAAAATAAGGTTAAAGACAGACACAGATGCCAACCCTGATACCTAAGGGCAAAACTAATGTCATATTCTATCAACATTGTCTCTCCACATGTTGGCCTGTGTGGCAAATGTTCAATCATCTGCGTGCAGAAGTTTAAATTTGTGGACAGCCAGTTTTAATCACTGCCCTCCCATCTCTGGTTGCCCAACTCCAAACTCAGCCATCATCCCCTCTGCTGGATCCAGTGACTCAATGGATGCTCAATAAATATCTGCTGCCTTCACGTAGGTACAAAGCAATGTCATTTCCACATGCTACATATCACTAGGAGAGGACCTCCATGGTTAGCTGCTGTCTAAAGGGGCAGAAATTATTTCTTAAGGGTCTACTAGGACATTTCACCTATGTAGATATTAGCAAGGACCCCATTTAATGATGACAACTTCCGCCCTTTTACTGTAATGGAATTGTTTAGAGTTGGGAACTTGACCTGGAAAATGGAATGTGATCATGACAAGATACAGGGATGGACAAGAGTCATCCAGCCCAAGAGTAATTCAGGGCAGATGGCTGGTTCTCAAGATCACACAAGATCAGAGAAGGCATGGGTCAAGGCCCTTAGCCATTATCAGATGGAGCCAAGGAAGTGAGATGGAAGGCCAGCGAGCTAAGGTCAGAGGGAGCTTCAAGCTGAAGTAAGAATAAACAACTAACAGTAAAAACGACGAACATTTATTGAGTAATCACTATGTGCTAGACACTGCTTAGCATTTTGGAAATACAACCACAGTTATTCCCTAAGGTTGGTATTATTATAATCGCCATTTTACAGATGAAGAAACTGAGGTTTAGGGAGGCAAGAAACTGCCCAAAGTCTCACAACTAATTCTAACCACCATTCTTGGTACTTGAAACCTAATCCTTTGCTCTGCCTTCCTGGTGAGACTTTATGAATGGGAGCCTCATTCAAAATAGCATTAGGAGATATACCTAATGTTAAATGACGAGTTAATGGGTGCAGCACACCAACATGGCACATGTATACACATGTAATTAACCTGCACGTTGTGCACATGTACCCTAAAACTTAAAGTATAAAAAAAAAAAAATGACACCACCAGGATGTGGAAATTCTCCAGGACAAAAGACAGTTTTTTCAATAAATTCAAATAAATAAATAAATAAAAGATTCAAACCTGAGGACCACATAGTCACCCACACCCTTCTGAGAGATTTAGAACTCTGCATCACATAGAAAACAGTAGGAAGGTCCAGCAGGGTGACTGCTCCAGTTACTTTTGCTGCATAACAGATAATCCTGTATTAGTCCATCTTCACATTGCTGATAAAGACATACCCAGACTGGGTAATTTATAAAGAAAAAGAGGTTTAATAGACTCACAGTTCCATGTGGCTGGGGAGGCCTCACGATCATGGCGGGAGATGAAACCGTGTCTTACATGGCAGCAGGCAAGAGAGAGAGTGAGAGCCAGGTGAAAGGAGTTTCCCCTTATAAAACCATCAGATCTTGCGAGACTTATTCACTACCACGAAAACAGTATGGGGGAACCCACCCCCATGATTTAATTATCCCCCACCGGGTCCCCCCAACAAGATGAGATCTGGGGGAGGACACAGCCAAACCATATCCAACCCCAACACTTAGCAGCTTGAAGTTGCTATTTATCTTTAATCATGATTTTGTGGCACAAGAATCTGGGAAGAGCCTGGCTGGGCACTGCTCACTCAGTGTTGCTCATGCAGTTATGATGTTAGCTGGGCTGCAGTCTTCTGAAGGCCCCGCTGGGCTGCACATCCATGATGGTGCACTCCTATCGCTGGTGGTTGTTGCTGGTTGCCACTGGAGCTCAGCTGGGACCGTCAAAAAGAGTGCCCACATATTGTGCTTTACTATAGTTTGGTCTTGATGTCTTACTCACCAGAGTGGCTATAAACTCTATCCTGCCCCAACAGGACTCCAGGGGATTGGCTGTAGATGTTTACAATGTGCCTTAGTCCGTTCCTGATGCTGTAACAAAATACCTTAGACTAGGTCATTTATAAATAACAGAGATGTATTTCTCACACTTCTGGAGGCTGGGAAATCACAAATTCAGTATCTGATAAAGGCTTGCTCTCTGCTTCCAAGATGGCCCCTTGTTGCTCCATCCTGTGGAGGGGACAAACACTGCGTCCTCCCCTGGCAGAAGGGGTAACAAAGGGATGAACTCTCTCCCTCAAGCCCTTTTATAAAAGTACGAACCCCATTCATGAAGGCACAGCCCTCAAAACCTAATCACCTCCTAAAGGCCCCACTTCAAAATACTATTGCAACTAGGGATTAAGTTTCAACATATATTTTAGAGGGACACAAACACTCAAATCTCAGCATTTCACCCTGCCCGCAAGCACCACCCCCCCGAAAATTTGTGTCCTTCACATACAAATACACTTTTTCTAGCCCAGTAGCCCCAAAAGTCTTGATTTGTTCCAGCACCAACATCAAAGTCTAAAGCCCAGAGTCTCATCTAAATATCATCTAAATCAGAGATGGGTGAAACTCAAGGTACGATTCATCCTGAGGCAAATTGCTCTCCAGCTGTGAACTTGTAAAATCAAACAAGTTACGTGTTTCCAAAATACAATGGTGAGACAGGCATAAAACATACATTCCCATTCCCAAAGGGAGAAATAGGAAAGAAGAAAGGAGTAACAGGTCTCAAGTAAGTCCAAAATCCAAAAAGGCAAACAAATTCTGAGGCTTGAGAGTAACCTTTTCTGACTCTATGTCCCACCTTCTGGACACACTGGGGTGGGAGCTGGGCCTCCAAGGCTCCTAATGACCGCTCCCCCATGGCTTCACTGGGCACAGCTCATGCAGCAGCTCTCATGGGGTGGAGTCTCATGCCTGCCATTCTCCCACACTGGAATCACATGTTAGTGGGTCTGTAGTTCTGGGGTCTCAGGGCAGTCCCACCCCCACAGCTCCACTGGGCTTTGTCTTAGTGGGGGTTTTCTATGGTAGCCCCACCCCATGGCAGTTCTCTGCCTGGGCCCCGAGGCTCTAGGGTTAGGGTTAGGGTTAAAGAACTGGAGCTCAGAGCCAGGGTTCTGACATGCTACGCATCTCAAGTGAACTATTAACATTCTACCTAGGAATGTGCACATGGAACTCCTTCCTAGTTCCTCGAGGTCTCCAGGACTGTCACCGCTTCCTGAGAATTGGGACTATTGTGGATTAGACTTTCCAAGAAGCTTCAAATTGATGATAGGATACTAATGATTTATGAACCAAATTATAACCAAGTCTTTGTCATTTCTGTGCCACATTTATTATGATTGGCTGGTGATCAGTCGGTACCCCCATAGGCTGTGAGCCATAGATAGTTGTACAGCTCAGGTTCTACGTCTAAATCACCTGCGGTTTTCCAGGACCGACACTGTGCCTGGCATTCACTGCTGAGAAATAAACAAAAGCATGAAGTATAAGAATGAATATGAGAATATTGTAAGAATTAAACATAAGCCGATTAGGAAGATGTGTTCAGTACCTCCCACCTTAAAAGATAATCAAATATACAAAAATATAAAAGTACTATCTAGTTACCAAATTACTATTTTCCATTCTTCAGTCCATTATTACTTTTTCCGAATCATGTTTGTTGTCCTTCACAGTCGTATCAATCATTCTCTTTCTCAGACCAAAGTCGGTATCTGTTCTAACTTAACACTTAGTATTCCTCTTAACCTAATTTAAGATCGTTTATTTTAATTAGGCTAAATTTATCTTGTTTTAATTCTAATTTCCTTCTGGTCTCAAATTATCTTCTTGCTCCAGTATTTTCCCTTGACAGAGAAGACACTACTATTTATTGGAACATTTTTCTCCTTAACAGCTTCCATTCTCAGAACATGAAGCCATGTTTCAAAAATTGACTTCCTGTTGGAAAATATATTCTCTGGGTGTGTCTTTTTTTACACTTATTTAGATAAGTTCGTTTGATCTAGCTAAGTGTGAAAAAAGACACACACAGAGAATATATTTTAAAATATAAATATTTAAAATATAAATTATATTTTTGATCATTTATATTTAGGTATAAATTATCAAAATTTTTCACCCAATGAGTTCACAAAATTTAAGCTATCTTAACAAATAGAAGCAATTTAATTTCAACACAATATGCTGAAACCAAGTGGATATTTTTTAATGTTTCTTTTCTTCTGCATATGCACACTACTCCAGAGATGTGGTAGATGTTAGGACTAATGATGATAAGAAATAGAATGTATTAAGTGTTTACTATAAGCTGAAGACTTTCAATGAATTGTCTCTAATCTTGAAAACCGCTTTGCAAAGTAAATAATAGTCCCATTTCAAATACATGGAAACCAAAGCTCAGACAGATTATGTCACTTGGCTAAAGCCACACAAGTGTTAGTGTCTGAGCCCAGAGTGGAACTGGATCCACTGATTTCAAAGCCTATGCTCATCCCCAACTTCACCCCACAGCCTAAACTGACCATTTTGCTGGGGGGATGTTTCTTGGTTTGCTTTTGGGGATTTGTTTGTTGTTTCCTTTTAGAGACAGGGTCTTGCTGTGTCTCCCAGGTTAGTGTGCAGTGATGTCCTTATTTTTGTAGAGACAGGGTCTCACTATGTTGCCCAGGCTGGTCTTGAACTCTTGGCCTCAAGCAATCCTCCTGCCTCAGCCTCCCAAAGCACCGGGATTACAGGCGTGAGCCACCATGCCTGACCAAAATTGACGGTCTTTGAATTAGGATCCAGAACAAGGGTTAACAACATTTAAAAATATTTGTCTTTAAATATTCTGATGCCTTTCCCTCTGAAGACTTCGGGAGGCAAGTGGGAGAAGAAGGCATAATGATTTAGGGAGGGGACTATAGTCTCCCAAACTATAGAAAGCAGCCATAGTGACAGCAATTGCTTCACTCATCAAAATCAACAGTGAAACCTAACACACGTACCGTAGATTAGTGACTCTCAGTCCAGTTACTCATTGTATAACCGGAAAAAAAAAGAAAAATTTCTTTTCAGAAATATGCATCCTAATACAAGCTCTTTTGGGGAAGGCAAATCTCTAATGGTGGCCTAGCCTTAGTAAGCATGCAGTGAAGATAGCAGCCTTGGGACAGATTTAATGATACTTCTGGCTTTTAGATATTGCATCCCCATATAGTTATTAAATGCACCAGCTGCTGGGCCAAGCATACCACATGCATTCATTTCTTTAGTCCTTACATTGTTCTCACCCCCAGTTGATCAAAAAGGAAAATTATCACAGAGTCCAAGCAACTTGCCTGAAGTCTTGCAGGCAGTTATCAGGGTGGTTGGGACTCAAATGCCTGTCTTTGACTCCACAGACCTACGTTTGTAACCATTATGCTAGATGGTGTCAAGAACCTGCCCTGTTTCTTGGAGGGTTAGATGCTCAGGTGTAACTGCTGCAAAGCTTATGTGGTTTTGCAAACCCAAATGAGAGCTTTTCAATTGCCCTTGGAGTTTCTTGATGCTTTCTGAGGTCCAAGGGTCTGATGGAACTCAGCAGTGCTCATAGTCCCTGATTTTACCCTTGGAACGACTACTGGGCAACAAGACAGGCCACCATTCAGGAGAAAGCAGGGCTCCTGCTGAGACATTCAAGCCTCAGGCTTCCTGGAAAGCCACATTCTGAGGAGACAAGCCTCAGCTCCCAACCAGCAACACCTCACTGGAAACCATTTGCCCTTTACCTAATGGCTTTTCTTGCCCAGCCATGTTCTCTTATTATTTCCATGCCAGAGTACATTCTCCTAATCCATTGCTGTCCATGCCCTGTTAAATAATAATCACTTTTCCTCCCCAGGGCCGGTTTCATTTCAGAGAAATGCCAGTTGATGCTTTAAAAATGTCAAGATTTCTACAAATCTCTTTTAGATCAGTGCTCTGATGAGCCATCCATCTCACTGTCACAAAGCTGTCTTGGGCAGCTGTCTCTCCGCTCTGGCAGTGCAGCCCACCTTCACACCTCCACACAGAAGGGAGGTGCAAGACTGGGAGCTGTGTGATGGGGCACTCACCCCCATGGCAAGCCTTCTGGCACCAGCCCCATAAAGAGGGCACTTTCTTGGGCAGCTTTCCTGAGGACACAGTGGCAGGTATTAACCTTTGGTTCCTGTGTTATTGTTGTCTTTTCACAGGGATTGACTATCTCCACCCGGACCTGGCCTCCAACTATGTAAGTACAAGCCAACTTTGGTGGGGAAACAGATGCATCTTAAATGTCCTGGTGTCCCTGGCTATTAGGAACATGCACATGTCTACATGTCTATACACATGCATGCAAGTACAGGAGCATGCACACACACACACACACAGGAGTACAGCTGCTGGAACATATGCACGCACACATGGAGGAACACACACAAACAGGAACATACACACACATGCATAAGCACAAAAGATGCACACGTACTCATAGGCACACATGCATGCACACACAGACAGCCACATGGGCAGCCACACTGGAACTGTCCATCCCATTGGAGCCACAGCTCAGGCCACAAGCAAATGGACAAGGCATGTGGCCTGGCAGCAGGCAAAGGCAGTGGCTTTGAGAGAAGAAAGAAACCTGACATCTGAAAGAGCAGAGTGCCAAGAAAGTAGGTACAGGGAGGGGGAAGAAGAGAGAGACTTGGCAAGGTTTAAATCAACTCTACCTGATGATATTGAATTGAAGGGTGGAAATGAGCCATTTGGGTTCTTGTTGGACAAAACCAAAGGCAAAAAGCCAAAAACTGCAGTGACTCACATTGCAGCCCCAGCTTTATGAAAGTAAGAGCGTTATCTTTTTTGATTATTTGTGTCACTTATGACCACTCCACTGACTTTCCCCCATAACATTGAGAATTACTATCCCTTGACAAACAAGCAATGTTAGCAGAGAATCACCAAAAGCCCTGCTGGGCTAGAACCACACACTCTAACTTTTGACTCAGCAGTTCACACGCTGCTTTCCTGATGAAGCCCACAAGCCCTTTAAACAGAATCGATCACTTATTTTAACCCCAGGGAGTACAAGATTCAAGCATTGGTGCGTTCACTTAAAATTATCCAAACTATTTCTAAGCTATACTTCTGAGACCTCCAGATCTAGGTGTAAAAAATGTTGTCTTAGTCATTGAAGAGACTCATATTTAGAGAACAAGGGCTTGCATAAAAGAAAGGATGGTTACCCAGCAAAAAGTGTTTGGAGGTCACCAGTCTGGGTCATTTGTCCTGGAAGGCGAGTGTCTCTACGTTGCACAAAGAAAGGGGGAATATTCCATGTGTTTCATGCACTGGGCAACAAGAAACAAGGCATTCAAGGGATCTTATAAATCTAGAAGAGCATAAATTGAGAGGAGCATCTTTTTTAATATTAGGAAAAACTATTAAATGAATCATTGGCAGAATCCAGCCAATGTGGCCCCAGAAAGAAATGACAGAAATTAAACCAAAGCTATATTCCCAGCAATGATAATAATCCATGTCTATGGAGAAGACCATTGTAAACTGCCTGTGCCAGCGGTCCTGTGTGTGGAGTCTGAGGAAACAGCCCTTCTCCCTGTCTCCTCATGGTGCCTTCCCTACTGAACATGAGTGGAGCTGTCTGCTGGTCTTCTCATGCACTTCCTTAAAGGGACTGCCCTGGACACAGTCCTTGCTGCCTCTCCCTGACTATGGCTGACTCCGCTAGTGCCTTCACCTTTCCCTGCCTCCTCCATAACTGCAGGGCCCTGGAGATGTGTCAGGCAGGGGATTGAGAAGTGCTGCATTGCATTTTCTCCAAGGCTCTGATGTATCTGGGGCTGTTCCTCACAGAGAGCAAGTGTGGCAGGGATCATGGCCTCCAGGGTCGGTGGTCCTCCCTCCGAGGGCTGTCCCCACTCCACCCTCTGCAGACAGAGGCATTGATATTCTCCACAGTTCCCTCCATCTCCAGGACCCAGTGCCTCACAGGGCAGCCACGTGGAGTTCTGCTCACTTTCCCAAACCATACTTGGGGAAACAATCATCTTGTCACTTGGAGGACTTCAAGGTGGGGTGGTACCCATTGGGCTGGAGAGCTGAGGGCACATGGCCTGTCTCCTGTGCATAGCATAACCCCACAAAGGCCTAAGACATGGAGACCGACCTCTGCATCCTTCCCTTCTCCCTGCCTAGCCCAGGCAGTTCCTGTCAGGCTGCTCCCAACTCCAGCTGCCAGATTCGAAAAAGATAGTCATTCATTGGGGGCAAGAATCCTCTGGGGTTCCAGTGAGCTGCAGGTACAATGTTAGTGGATGGTGTGATCCATCTGCCAAAACCTTCATCTGAAATTGGAATGTGAAACCTCCATATTGAGCCGTGCCAGCTCCTCTGAGATCTGCAATACCAGAATACACCTGAAGAACTCTTATCGGTTCTGTGAGTCTCAAGTTCTTTTTTCTTCTTTTCTTTCTTAAGAACATTTTTCTGATTAAAAAATAAATGCATGTTATCTGTCAAAAAATATGAAAAAGCATAAAACAGATTCAAAACTAGCCATAATACCACCATTCTTATTATTTTGACATATTTGGGGCCTTTAATTTCTATGTGTCTATTTTTAATGAAATTGAGCTCTTATTGCATATTCTTCCCTTCTGCTTGATGTGCCATAAACATTTTTATGTTATTAAATATTCTCCAAAACATAATTTTAAGGGCTACATGGCATTAGCTCATGCTATAATTTATTTAAACATTCTGATCTCCAATTGTTGAACAATTAGGTTGTTTCCAATCAGTGTTTCACTGTAAGAGGGAGATGAGATGGCAGACAGTAACATGGGTGGACTCCAAGCCATACCATGCTAAGGAGAACTGAAAGAACTGGAAAAGCTTTTCCTGGAAAAAAGAAAACAGGCACATTGAGTATGTTTTCAAATATTTCAAATTCTCCTGGTACAATGAGGCATTCCACTTGTTCAGTAATTTCTCCCAAGAAAATTCTCACCAATGGGTGGTAACCACAGAAGCAAAATTTTAACTCAGTCAAAGGAAGAACTGTCTAGTGATTAAGATAGTAAATTATTGGGAGGCCAAGGCAGGTGGATCACGAGGTCAGGAGATTGAGACCATACTGGCTAACACGGTGAAACCCCGTCTCTACTAAAAATACAAGAAATTAGCCGGGCGTGGTGGCATGTGCCTGTAGTCCCAGATACTCAGGAGGCTGAGGCAGGAGAATCGCTTGAACCCAGGAGGCGGAGGTTGCAGTGAGCTGAGATTGCACCACTGCACTCCAGCCTGGGCGACAGAGGGAGACTCTGTCTTGAAAAATAATAAATAAATAAATAAATAAATAAATAAATAAATAAATAAATAAAAATAAAAGATTAGTAAATTAATGAAAGTAACAAATTCTTCATACCTGAAAATATTCAAGAGGAAGTTTGATGGCCACTGGTGGGATGTTATTGAAGAGATGACAATGTCTATGCTGAACTTAAACTAGATGAGACCTAAGAATTGAACAGAAAATGTGATTTCTGTGCAAAACTGCGCATCTTGATAACTTTCATTCAGAGCAAAGTCTGAGTCTTCAACTTGTATCAAACACTTGGAAGCTGACAATGAAATTATATATATTTACATATGGCTGTGAAAATGTTCTGCCTCTGGTATAGATGAGAAAACTGAACACCTAACTACCTCGTGCTTGATTCCTCAGCAGAGGGCCCAAACTGGCTGGTTTTTAATGGCACAGTGTCTCTCTCACCCTGTGTAGAGTTCAGAGTGGCAACTTCGGAGCTACTAACCACACTAATCTTCTTTATTTTTAATTAAAAATTTTACACTATCATTAACACAATGAGGACAGCAAATAGAGTAGACCAGCCCAGGAGAGCAATGAAACCAGTAGACAGTGATAGGCTCGAAAATTGTTTGAGCAGAGAATTAGCAGGCAGCTTCACACCTCGTTAAGTGACCTAATGGCTTGGAGGGATGAGCCAGCCTGGTGCCCCTTGAGAGAGAGGTACTTGGTGGAGTCTTTGCTTGGGTTTCCCTAGAAGCAGACTCTGAAGCAAGGGTTTGAGTACAAGTAGGTTATTTGGAAGAGGATTCTAGGAAGCAGGGGTAGAGGACAGGGAATGAGTCCGGGAAGGAAAGGTAGCTTGTAAACGGGGCAGTTATCAAACAAGACAGCACTGTGGGCACTGAGGCTTAATCTCACTGGGCAGCTCTGGGAGACAGCATAGAATATGTGAGCCAGAGTGATCCCCCTTGGGATGTGATGCCTCAAGAAGCTGGGGTATTTATGTGACAACTTCGTCAGTCATTGGTTGAGGGCTTGTCCCAAAAGATGTTCCTACCTCCCCACAGCCTGGGGAAAAGCCCTGGGCAGAGGTGTGGGTACAGACAGCTGCAGCTTACCAGGGACATGAGGGTTTCAGGCTGAAGGGGGATGTAGCAACGTCTGCCCCAGAGATGCCTTGGAAATTCATTAAAGGTTAAAATAAATAGACATGTTCTATGTTGAAAAAACTCCTTGTGGTTACTGATTTATTTTCAGTGAGGATTGAAAACTCTACCCAAGGCTCCTCAAAAAAATTACTTTATAATCAAACCAACCAAAATGTTTCTGAAAGCAGAATTATTTTCAAAGCTTGGTTATTCTGTATATTAAGAGAGGAAACAGCATATGCTGGTAGTCCAGTTTATTCCCATTAAACTAAGAATAAAATACTTGGAAAATTGCAAATCAATATATAAATGTAAGTTGTTAGTGTTAATCTAATTCAAAAAATCCACACTGAGCCTGCTGAGTGTTGGGAGTAAAGGATAATAACGGCCACTTGGATTATTACTCTATTGTTCTATGATTGAATTTCATCGGAGGGATCCAGTCCCACTGGTAAAAGTTCACTATTCCAAATAATTAAAATTTTTCTTTTTCTATCCCAATAGTCATGACACGAAATGAGTATTAGCCAAGAGGCTATTTTAGACCAGGTTAAAATTATAACCTCCTTTACCCATCTTCGCTATAATAACTGGGTATTTTCTCTAAGTCAATACAATGGCTGTGGATTGAACCTGCTATGTGCAAGCCCCAGAGGAAGAGAGATAAATAAGACACAGGCACTCTCTAGAGAAGTCGGCAGGTCAGTAAAGATGCAAGCATGTGAGACATGACTGTCAGGTGAGGGGTAGGCAGACAGGGAGGTTCGTTGTCTCTTTACTCTGAGCTCCCAATCCAGTGAGGATTGCAGGCTGGGTTCACAGTACGGGCCCAAGCTCAGGGGTTCTGTTAGGTCTATGGAACAAAGGGAGACTTCTTCAAGAACATGTGGAGTGTGACTTAGGTGGCAGCTTTCAGGGCATGGAGGTGGGTGGGGTAGAACGTCTCCTGCTTTGTAGCTTTGCTGAAGCTACAAAGGTGAAGAAAAGGCTGGTGGGTCTGTAGAATCCAAGGAGAGCCTTCTTGCTGTGTGCTGGGTTTTCTCAGAAGCAGACCCTGAGACAAGGATTTGAAAGCAAGTCATTCATTTGAGAGGAGATCCCAGGAAGCACCAGCTGGGAAGGAGGAAATTGATGCCAGAAAGGGAGAGTGGCCCAGAGAGCAAATTACCCCCTAGGGCAATGGGAGCTCAATCTCCCTGGGGAACTCTGGGAAACAGTGTGGACCGAGTGGGCCTCAGAGTTACCCACAAACTCCTGTCAACCACTGGGTGAAGGCCACTACCCAGGAGTAGAGATGAGGTGGGGAGATAGAAGGATTCATTCTAGACAAGAAAAATAGGGCCCTGCAGACAGAGTCTTCAGCAGAGTTGCATGTGCTGACAGTTGGAAAACAGCCAGCTTGCAAGGGTAGGGTTCTGACAGTTGGCAGTAGTGGAAACTGAGTCAAAGCTGAGATGACTCCTGGCTCCCTACCTCATGATGCAGCCTTAGAGGAGCATATCAAACATCTTTGAACCTTAATTTTTTCATCCGTGAAATGGGCAAAATGGATGTCTTGTCAGGTTTGTTGCAAGGTATCCTTGAGATAATATGCGTATCAGGCCTGGCACATAATAGATGCTCAATAAGCATTCATTTCCTTCTGTCTCAGAAGAGTTGAGGTTACAACGTTGCACAATTTCGGGTTGTCCTGATGGAGAAGCAGGGGTGTGCCTCAAGAAACCAGTGCAGTTGTTCATTGGACCTCCCAGTGAGCTTAGGGTCATTAAAAGAAGAAAGGGCAACTGATCCAGGCTAAGTATAAGATTGTGAGGGTTGCAAAGTTAAGGGCAAAAATCAGAGGATACCAACATAAATCTCAAAGGCTTTGAAAAACAACATCCAAGAAAAGAGAAGGTAAAGGCAGGGAGAAGACCCATTGCTCGTGGCCAGGGATGTAATGAAGGATGCCCCCGAGGAAGCGGCATTTCTGACCTGCATCTTCTTCCCTGTCACATACCTTAGAACTAGATGAATATTCAAGGATAGTCATAAGGGAGGGTTAATCCCTAAGGTGGGCAAAGGGATTATAAGGTAGCAACTACCCCAAGTGAGGTTTTCTCCGAGCCAGGGAAATCTCCTGGTATTTAAGCCATTGCAGGGTGGGACATCAACTCCTGTTCTGATGGCTGGGAGGATGGGCCACTTCTTGCACTCCGTCTTCTAGCTTGGAAACTGTGAGTGATGCTCTGAGCAGCTCCAAGATCCTGTGCTGAGAATCTGTCTAGATTCATGACACTTCATGAGCTTTTCCAAGAATTCTTGAGTGCAGCAAATACAGAAGTTTGCATTGACTCAACTCCACATCCTTCCCTAGACCACAGCTTCTGCCATGGGACTCTGTAGAATCTCCCTTTAAAGAGGTGAAGTGTGTTTCCTACCCCTTGACTTTGGATTGGGCCTTGTGACATGTTTTAAGCAATAGAATAATCTAGAACTGACAGTGCCAGTTTGGAGCCTAGGCCTTAAGAGGCCTTGTGTGCTCCCAACTGCCTACCCACGCCTCTGCCATCGCCATTAGAAGGGCATTCCCAGGCTCTCCTGCTGTACCCTAGAGGAGGGTGAGAGACATGGAGAAGAGCTTCCCTGCTGCCACGGCCTGAAGCACCACCACCCACACTGGCCTACAGAGCTGCAGTAAGAAGCAGAGCTGCCTAGCTGAGCCCCACCAAAATCACCAAACCTCAGCCAACCCACAGAAACAAGCAAGCCAGCCAAGCTCAGCAGAGCTGCCTAGCTGAGCCCAGCCCAGAGCACCTAGCTGCCAGCTGAACTGTGGACTCGTAAGCTATCTAAACACCTGCTGTTATATGCTGCTGACATATTATGGCCGTTTTTGTGTAGTAACTGTTACAGCTGCCCATGCTAGACCCCCTTCTCCATCCTCCTACAGTACTTGAGGTGTACCCCAGTCTGGAGAGAATATTGGCTTCTAGGCCTATCCTAGACCTACTGAATCAAAATCTTTAGGGACAAGCCTCATAGTGTGTATTTCTTTTAGAATATTGGCTTCTAGGCCTATCCTAGACCTACTGAATCAAAATCTTTAGGGATAAGCCTCATAGTGTGTATTTCTTTTGAAGCACTCCAAGATTCTGATGGTTAACCTACTCATTCATTTTGGCACTTCATTCATGCATTCAATCATTCATTCATTCAACAGTGCAGTTTACCTATAATGTTTGACTACATCACAGTTAGATCATAAGCTCTTTGTAAGGAAGTGTGTACTTTGTAAGTGTTTTGTGTCCCTCTTAACACTTATCACAGTGTTAAGCAAGCACTTAATACATATTTGTTAAATTGCATTAAATGTTAACTCACCAATATTATTGCAAGTAATACCAGGAACTAAATTATATGATGACCCTCTATCGACGATGATCAGAAACTGCAGCATGCACAACCCTCTGTGTAATTCCTAGTTCTCAACCACCTCATAGGTGGATGCCACCATTGCCTCCTTCATCATGCATGATACTAAGGAAAGAGAGGACCCTGGAACCTAACTGAGTTCCTATGGCTGCAAGCCTGGAGAGAATACGATTCGAGAGGTGAATAATCCACAGGCAAATAACTACAAGCTATTTCTTTTCTTTAATGTCTAGAATCCCTCAAGTTGCTGGAAATGCAATTAGGTTCCTAGATAGGAGAGGACAAATTATGTTCTTTGGTTCCGTTCAAAATTTGGAACATTATTTATGTTCCAGGGTTGCTATTTCACCAACAGAAGTGATCATAAGAGAAAAAGGCCCACCCCTACATTCCTGCACTTTTCCATTCTTTAGATGGGTCCTGACAGGTGACTGTCTCTGAAGTGGGTGCCTGCTGAGAGCTCAGAAGAGCTGCCAGCACAGGAAGTACCTTGAGCTTGACAGAAGTGTGCACATTGGGCCCCAGGGGGCATGTGGCCTCCATGATAAAAGGGCGACAGCAAGAAACCGGCACAGTACTCAGCCCCGAATGACTCAGATGTTATGAAGTATTGATCACATACATTGCTTCTGGCTTTTAGGCCTATGAATATTTAAATAAGCACATTAATATTGCATATGAAACTGAGGCTTAAATAACCTTTGTTTCTTATTGAAAGGAAGGGCTGGCATTTTCAATGTGCTCTTGAATGCTGGCTGGATCATGATGAGCACTTTAGCACCAGATCAGACTGAATACTGAGAATGGGGACTTTTTAAAAATCACTTTGATAGACCGTCAGTCAAATGACTATCACTTAATGCAACTCATGTACTAGAGGAAACTATTTATTTTTACAGAAACATACTTTGCTTTAAAAATAGGGCAGAAATGAAACCTTGCTTAACAAAATGAAACTACTTGTATGGACCTAAACTTACAGCTATAGCTGAAAGCAAAGAAAATATCTGGTCATTCTATTATTTTTAATTATTCAATTGACTAGTATTTGTTTCATTGAACTTAGTCAGCATTCAAGAAAGCCGTATTGTTCCCACTGTGCAAAATGCTATACTAGGGGCCTGAATTATGAAGTGTGAAAAATCCAGTCCCTGACCTTGGGGGGTTCACATGTAAGTATATAATTACATTATAATATGCTTAGTGCTAACCTGGAAATAAAACACCACCCATATAGGAATGCAATAGCTAGAAAAAGCAAGTCAGCCCTAAAAAATTAGAGAAAGAAAGATACTTAAATGCATTTAAAGAATGCAGCTCACCACATGGGGGATGAACTTGTTTTCTTGGGTCGATACAGCATATGAATTCATCTAGAAGCTTCATCAATACGATACTAGACAAATGGGTAATTGGATTTCATCTGGAGATTTGCTTCCACCTAGAAGCCTAGACTTAAAAAGTAGCCCACATCATTTCCTTACCCCAAATTCCCTAAAGCCCTTCGACAGATTCTCATCTCTTTGACTAAATTTAACTGGCTTAAAGACCAGGGTAATGTCTTCCAACTCTTTTACTCATGAGAGAATGAACCAGCGGCCTCATTCCCCACAGAGATCATTAAGAGAGACTTCATAAATAAAAGACTGAATTATGGATGGATGGACGGATGGATGGATGGATGGATGGATGGATGGATGGATGGATGGATGGATGGATGAATGGATGGATGGATGATTGGATGGATGGATGGTTAGATGGATGGATAGATGGATGGATAGTTGGATGGAACGGATGGATGAAAAGATGGGAGGATGCTAATGAGACTATTGGGATTTTATTCCATTTATCACTAAACACACCTGTTCAGAAAAAGTGTAGCAATGTTTACTGATAAGCCACAAGAAAGTCATTTATGCAAATATAAGAAAATTGAAAGATTACTATTCTCAACTGCCTTTGTTCCTTTCTTTGTCTTCATTATCGGTATATACGCACTGAATTCCCAAAATGTGAAATATTTTACTGGCTTTTTTATTTGGGTTTCTATCTCATAGAACCAAAAACCTTTAGGTGACCAAGCCTTACAAATAATTAACTTGGCAATAACCCCTGGCTACAGCTGTGGTTCAAAATGCTGCTTCTGCTGAGCTGACATCCATTTTCACTTTGTCCCTCTCCTCATGTGCCTGTTTCCCAATCATACTGTCTTAAAGCCACAGTTCTGGGTGTCTAAGGCAGGCCTGACCAGATTTCTGAACCCATGTCCCCCACCCAGGAGGGGAGTAGTGGGTTGATGCCACAGCAAAATGGGCAGTCATCCACACTGCTTGCCCATGTCTTGTTGCCAAGCAACAGAGCCCAAGTGGGTGTGTCCACTAGAGCCACACCTACATGGGATCATTGCCTGGGCAAATGTGGATCTGATGGAGACCAAACGTCTGATCCATCATCCAATTACAGTTTTCTGAAGCAGCAACAAAGACCAAGAAACAATGCCCAGGCCTCAATTAAGAAGGATCAGACTCTGAAGCCATGGAGTCTTCTAAAATATGATAGAAGATAAATTTTGTGGTTGTGTCAAAGAATCATGAGTACTATAACTGTCATTTTGGCTAGAGCCCCATTCTTACCTTTAAAAGCTCTTAATCATTTTTCCTTGAAGACAAAGACTTGATGGTAGGCAGAATTGTAAAATGCCCCCCTAAGATTTCCACCCTCTGCTGTAAGCACTCTGTATAGTCCCTCTCTTGAGTATGGCAGGACCTGTGAATATGATGAGATATCACTCTTACAATTAGGTTATTAGATTGCATTATATGGCAGAGTTAGAGATTTTTTTCAGATGTCATCAAGGCGCCTAATCAGTTGACTTTAAGCTAATCAAAGGAAAGACTATCCTGGGTGGGCCTGAACTAATCAGGTGAGCCCTTTAAAAGGTAATCTACAAGTCAGAGAAGGAAGGAGTCAGAGAGATTCTAAGCAGTGGAGGCTTTCACCTGTTGGCCTTGAAGATGCCACTGCCATAATGTGAACAGGGCCACATGGCAAGGAATGGCGGACTCCCTGGGAGCTGAGGCCTCACTCCTACAACCACAAACAACTGAATGAACTTGAAAGAGGACCCCAAGCCCTAGATGAGACAGCTCCAGTGACACCTTGATTTCAGCCAGGTGAGACCTTGAGCAAAAGCCCCAGTTAACCCACGTCCAGAAACTCTGAGATAAATTTGTGTTGTTTTAAGCCACTATGTTTGTAATAATTTGCTATACAGCAATAAAAAAACTAATACAACCTTCTTGATTATAGTGGATATTTGAGCACAAACTGAATGACTTGCTGTCTCTCTGAATTAATAAAAATAGACCACTCCTCAGTTTTTACTTTTTCTTAATATGTTTGCTTTTATCTCAAAAATAAGTATACTCTGCCTATTGCCACATGGGGCCCTTTCATAAATAATAATTCTGCTGCAATGAGAGGCTCAGAGAAATTTAGTGAGGAAGTTAAGAAGAGCTCTTGGGCCAGCCTCGCTGAATTCAAATCTCACGTCCAACTGCTTCTTAACTATGTGCCCTAGGCAAGTTAATCTCTCTGTGTCTCAATTTCCTCATCTGTAAAATGGGTTAATAATAATACTGATCTTACCGGTGATTGTGATAATTCAATTCAGTAGTGCACACAAGGCCCTTAGAACTGCCTCTGGCTCATAAGACACCCTCAATAAGCATTCGATGTTGTTAAGTCCCCTGCCCAAGATTGCACAGCTAGAATTCAGCAGGGAAGAACACAAGCCTAAGGTGGTCAGACCTCAAAGTCTGTTCTCTTAGCCTCCCCCTCCCTTCCTGCCTTAAGGACACATATGAATTTGCAGAAAGCATTTTTTAAATGAAATTAAAAGGGGCAATTAGTGCGTTATTCTAAGTTTTCTTTCCACTTTCCTGCTAACAACTAGTGTGTTATTCTAAGTTTTCTTTCCACTTTCTTGCTTCCCCAGCCCTCCCTGTCCTGCCTCCCAGAATACTTTACTGGTTTCCCCTGGGAGCACATCCTTAATAAATCACTTGCCTACAAGCTTTCATCACAGGGTTGGCTCCCAGGAATCCTGATCTTACATTAGAGCGGTCTGGAGCTTTAGGCAAAGCAGAATTTTCCATCCTACATGGCCAAGGCGGAGAGAATCTCTGACATAGAAATAAGATTAGCTTCTCCACCATGGTAACCCTGCTGCTGACTCCCAACCTACGGGAAATTATTTTTCACAAAGAAAGAATCTTTAATTACTAACCAATAATTAAAACCTGAAGCCAAGAACAGGAAGCCAGACTTTGGCTCTTAGCAATGTTCCTTAACATCACCGGGAGTATTATGGTGAGGTCTGCACTTTCCATGTGGCATGCACACAACCTCTCCACAATGAGTGCTCTGCTAGGCAGAAGAATAAGATGTATTACAGTGTGTAGGAGATGTTTTCATTAAGCTATGGAAAGAGATGGATTATGTTTTATAACTCAAGCATTGCCAATTTTTTAAATAAGGAGTTCAGTGTAAGTCTAAGCTATTCAAAGAGCACTAGTTCACAGACTCCCATTGAGGTACTGCAAGCCAAAAAAAAAATGCGTTGTTTGATCTTTATGGCCCTCAGTTTCCCCATCTATAATTGTCATCCCCAACAAGATTCTCATTGTCTCCAGAATCAAAAGAGTATAATGATTATTCATATGGCTGATATGAACACTGGGTCTTTGTTGATCAATCAAAAAATAGAAATTAAATGGAACTTCTGAGAATGTTCAAGGCGTTGAAGCTATTCTGGTATGGGTATTGGACCACCCTCCCTTTTTTTCTCCACAACACCCCACAAGCATACACACACATATTCTTTCTCTATCATGTAAAGAATGTTCCAGAACACTAGGTGGAAAGGAGCCAGTCCCTGTGTAGAGGCCTGTGTGGTGACAGATGGGCACTGAGTCATTTGATACAGTCAGCACCTTGCAGGAATTCTTACCAGGCACTTTACCAACAAAAAATATATTATCTGTGAATAAAACCATGGCCAAGGCTATTAACCACTTCGATTAATCACTCACAAGCGGTCACAATGATCCTATACTACATGGCAGCTTTATTGGGGAGTTTTGACTTGTTGCTTGCTTGATTATTAATAACTCGCAAATCCATCTCTCCTCCCGTGGAGAGTTGGTAGTTGGCTAACGAAGTATGAGAACCATGTGTTGTCTCCCACCTCTTCTCCCTGCCGTGGTTCTGATATTTCTCCATTGATTTCTGTGGAATAGCAGGAGTGTTAGTTCCCAGAATTTGTTGAGTATTTACTGTGTGTTTGGCCTTGTGTTTTATATGCATGATCACATTTAATGAGCGTGTTAAGCCAGTGAAGTGGGTACTTTCTTACCCACCTGTCATAGACGGGAAACTGAAGATCAGAGAGGCTAGTGATTTGCCTTAGCTCACACAGACAGTGAGTAGCAAAATGTGAAGTTCACCATCTGTCATGCTGCCTTCATTTAACCTGGCCCCCTCCAGTCTCCCACATCTTACCAAATGGCATCGCCATGGTCACAATGACTAAGGTGCTAAACGTTACCATCCTTGACTGCTGCTCCCTTCTTTTTCCCCTCAGCCACCCTATCTGCCAGTTCTGCTAGGCAATACACCTGCCTCTCTGTTCCCACCACTGGCATCCTGGACCAAGCCAGCATCACTTCCCTCCTGGACCCCACAAAAGTTTCCTGCTTCCACTCTTACCCTCTGCAATGCATTCTCCCCAAAACAAGCAGAAAGGTCGTTACAAAGAACAAAGTAGTGGAAGCCATATCACTTCCATGCTTAAAACCAACAGGTGGCTCTCCCCCTTCCCTGTGAGACTTAGCCTGTTTGCCTTTGTCCTGCTTACTCACGATGAACCAGACTCTACAATCCAGGATTCTCCCTAATTAAAGGCTTGGAAGACTGTCACACTAGCTCTTCCCACAGTTGAGTCCATCTCAACTTATATTGCACACCCTGTGTAGCCACTTCCTAGTTCTTAAGATAGTCTGTGGTTCTGTATTTTTGTTTTGTTGCATGTGTTCCCCCATTAGAATGTCAGCCCCAGGAGGATGAGGCCACGGGGATCTGACCTGTCTTGTTCACCTCTTTATCCGCAGCACAGCACCATGGCTGGAACCAAGTGAGTGGTCAGTAGGTATCTGTGAGATGACTGACTGGCTGAGGATTGAACACTTGGCTTTCCTCTTTTTCTTTTGCCTTCACCTTTTAATTTCTTCTGGCCATGCTTTCTCCTCACATAGCTCCTATCTCTGTCTTTTTGCTATGCTTCTCCTTATTTATACCTCAGTCAACACCAGCATTTTGTTATGAAAGAAAAGCTGCAGGTCAGTGCCACAAAGAAGACAATTTCCCCAGGAAATGAACACTTCAGTACTTCTTTAGTAACTTCTGGGGAGAAATACTATATTTCTTCATAGCTACAACCAAAAAACAGAAAGCCTCTCTATCCAAGACTGCCTTGTCCATCCCAAGAAAACAGAGAACTACAGAAAGCAGCAGGAATGATTCCCTTGATGCTTTTAATTCATTCATTTGTGTTATATGCAATTAACAATAGGCCAACTGATTTCTCAAAGCATGCAATTTCAAGCTGAAAAATTAACCTAGGTTATTTTCCACTCAGTTAAGTATCAAAAAGATTTTGAAAAATAAAAAAAAGAAAAAGAAAGAGGAAAAAAACCAACATGAGCATGTTCTTAACTAATGAGCTATGCTTATCCACTGTTCCACTAGAAGAGAATTTTCCAAATATGGACACTCTATTCACAAGTCTCTCTTGAGAAACGTGGTGTTACAGTGTCACCATTATTAATATTAAACTTGATGCACCATATTTACAAATCCTTCCAAAGGGAAACAAACCTGCCCTGGAAACAATGCTTATAATTATAATCGTGGATTCTATCTGTTCCTCACAGGGAATGCTTAAAATATCAATTTAAATGCAAATGAATCTTATCATTCCAAATTAGACTCATCCCATTGTGTTGAAATTAATATAGAAAATAACACCGAACACCAAATTACAAGTAATTAATATTGACACTGTGAAAAGTATACACTCTCATTTTGATATTTGGGGAAGAAAGTCTTGTCTGTGCGTGTGCCATTGTGTCCTATAAGCAACAACTAGAACACAATACCCTCAGTGCTAGTAATCATGCAGGATTAACACAGCAAAAATCTGAGAGGGAGGACAAATGGCAATGATACATCTTAGAATCCAGTAATCTATTCTTTGGGTCTGAGGAAAAGCACTTAAATCTGTATTTAAGTGACTACATACTATTTAAAAATAAACTATTTGAGGCCAGGCCTGGTGGCTCACACCTGTAATCCCAGCACTTTGGGAGGCCGAGGTGGGTGGATCACCTGAGGTCAGGAGTTTGAGACCAGCCTGACCAACACAGCGAAGCTCCATATCTACCAAAAAAAAAAAAAAAAAAAATACAAAATTAGCCGGGCATGGTGTCACATACCTGTAATCCCAGCTACTTGGGAGGCTGAGGCAGGAGAATTGCTTGAACCCAGGAGGTGGAGGTTGCAGTGAGCCAAGATAGTGCCATTGCACTCCAGCCTCCCCAACAAGAGTGAAACTCTGTCTCAATCAATCAATCAACAATTTGAGTCTTAAAAATTAAAATATTTTTCATAGGCTGAACACAGCGGCCCATCCCTATAATCCCAGCACTTTGGGAGACTAGGGTGGGAGTATTGCTTGAGCCAGGGGTTTGAGACCAGCCTGAGTAACATGGCAACACCCTGTCGCTACAAAAAAATTAAAAATTTGCTGGGAATGGTGGTGCATCTGTAGTCCCACCTACTCAGGAGGTTGAGACGGGAGGATCTATTGAGCCTAAGTCGAAGCTACGGTGAGCCACAATCACACCACTGCACTCCAGCCTGGGTGACAGAACGCAACCCTGACTCAAAAAAATAAGAAAAAGTATTTCTCTTAAATGCAAAGGCAAAGAGGACCTTTCTTTGTCTCTTCTGTACCTAACGTAAGGGTTGGCTAACTACACAGATTCTGGCCACCTGTTTTTGTAAATAAAGTTTTATCGGAACGCAGCCATGCTCACTTTTTTACTTGATATCTATGGTTGCCTGCATGCTCTAAGGGAAGGGTGGAGTAGTTGTGACAAAGTCCATATGGCCTGCAAAGCCTAAAATTTTTACTATTTGATCCTTTAAGAATAGGTCTGCTGAAATCCCCTGGTCTAATCAGTTGTGTGTCAAGATGTAGGAAAATGGTTTTGTTAGAAACTTAAGTCCAGAGAGCTTCAAAACAGGCTCCAGTGACAGCTGTAGCACCTTCTAGCAGTGTGACATCTGGAAAACTGCTGAATATCTTGGGGGCATAGCACCCTCATTTGAGAGCTGAGAAAATTGAACTCTTGTCTGTTGTAACTCTAAAATCTTATGAAACTCTCCTCCCTTCCAATAAAATCCCTGATTAAGAAACAAAAGCTGAATTAGTTTTGTTAAGGAAATGGAATCGTCAAGTAGTTTGAATCTAGTTAATTTGCTTTTGAGAATGACAGACATTAAGTCAAAGTGATGCTCCTTTTCCATGCATGATGCTGTATACACTAATCACTGGGGCTGAGTGATTTCAAAGAGTTTTGCATTCATTTACTGTCTTAGCTGGGATTCCTCCAAAAGCTGACTGTGAGACATGGATCCACAAACCAGCATTTTATTTGGAATTTGGTGCCAGGAAGCACAGGTAGGGGAGCAGGGGAGTGAAAAAGTGAAGGAAGTCAATACAGGGTGTGCACAAGTGTGTCCTACTGTGGGCAACAGGAGCTCAGTTCTGCTAAGCACCCCTAGAACATGAGTTAGAACACATGAAGGAGAAAGAGTACAAGTATGAACACACCAACTCTTATCCATCATTGGTTGATGATTAATATCAGGATGGAGAGAGGAACAATTTCCTATACTTCTAAGCTGCCATATCATTGGTGAATTTGACTCCAGAGATAAAGAGATAAAATGCTGACAGATGGAAGTTGTGTCAATGTGCACTGATATGCTCAAAGCAAGGAGTTATTATGGATGGGGCATCTAATAGCATCTAGGACACTTACAAAATCAGAGGTCTCCAATCACACATCCCTATTTGTAAAACAATTTTAACTAGGCTCTCCTAATACATGTATAGCTATTTATTCAGACAGTATATGTATGTACTACTATCAATGGGCTATGTACATTATAAAGCATATCCAAGAAAGAAAATTTTAAAGGATAAAATATAAATAAATATTAAAAGTTAAAATGCACACTCATGTTCATGGTAACATTATTCACAATAGCCAAGAAGTATAAGCAACCCAAATATCAATCAATCAATCGATGAATGGAGAAGCAAAATGTATTACATACATATAATGGAATATTATTCAGCCTTTTTATCACCTTAAGATCCTAAGGTCCTAAGATTATTTATTCAGAATTTCAGGAAGGAAATTCTGTTACTTGCAGCAACAGGGATGAACTTTGAGGACATTACACTAAATGAAATAAGCTAGTCATAAAAAGACAAATATTCTGATCCCACTTATATGAGGTATCTAGAGTAATCAAACTCATAGAGACAAAAGGTGGAAAGGTAGTTGCCAGGGTCTGGGTTGAGGGGGAAAATAGGGAGTTATTGTTTAATGGGTATAGAGTTTTAGTTTTGCAAGATGAAAAAGTTATGAAGATTGTTTGCATAGGTACTTAACATTACTGAACTGTACACTTAAAAATGGCTAAGATGATGAATTTTATGTTACATATTTTTTACCACTATTACAATGAATACATCGTTTTTTAAATCAAGGTAAAACAAGGCTTAAAAGATTTCCTCCCAACACTCCAATGGATCATCCAGCACATCCTCCCAAGTGAGCACAATCCACTTTTGAGACCTTTGCACTAAATACCTAGTCTGTAGCCCTGCCCTCAGTGTAATCAGCAAAAGATTCTGTATTAAAACATAAAATCCTCTGTCCAGCTAGATGTTAAGATCTCTGTCTTTAAGGGAGATAAAACAGAATAATAGGAATGGCACCAATAAGGATCATGCAGACAGGTAGATCTGGGTCCAATCCTGCCTCTATATTTAGTTACTGTGATTTGAAACAAGTTAATTAACCTCTCTGTTGTACACGTTGTACATTCCTGAGATATAAAAGAAGGATAGCAATATGCCTTCATGTTTTCATTCAACACCTAGTTATTGAGAGCTATGCTACACCAGAAACTGTAGTATATTAGTTACCTATTGCTGCATCTCAGATTACCCCCAAAACATGGCAGCATAAAACAAAATACATATATATATTTTGTTTCACACCGTTTTTATGAGTCAGAAATTTAAGAGCAGTTTGGCTGGGTGGCTCCGTGTTTCTCGTGAGGTTGCAGTCAGCATGTTGGCCATGACTGCAGTCAACTGAAGACTCAACCAGGGCTGGAGGATCGACTTCCAAGATGGTTCACATGGTGGCTGTTGGCAGGAGGCCTCAGTTCCTCCTTGCACGTAGCTCTCCACAAACTGCTTGAGCATCCTCATGACATGATAGCTGACTTCACCCAGAGCAAGCAATCTCAGAGAGGGACCAAAATGGAAGCTACAATATCTTTTACGATCTAGCCTCAGAAGTCACACACCACAATTTTGAAATGTCCTATTGGTTATATGGGTCAGCCTTGTTCATTGTAGGGGACTGTATACAAGGTCATGAATATCAGGAAGCAAGAATCCCTAGGATCCCAACTGGGAGGCGGGGACAAGTGGCTGAATAGAGCAGACATAGTTTCTACCCTCAAGGACCTTAGCAACTAGAGGGTAAAATAGACTCCAAAGAAATAACTACAGAAATAATTATGATCTAGGTGCTTTGCTACAGCGGAAGAGTACTCGGTGATATAAATGTGTTTAATATGGAGAACCAGATCTGGGCTGCCAGTTAAGGGAAGATTTCCCTAGAGTAGCTATCCCTATGCTGATACCTTAAGAATGAGGAGGAGTTAGCCAGGAATCTGGAAGCAGAAGGAACAGCTTGTGCAAAGACCCTGAGGCAGGAACATGCTCAGCCCTTTCAAGGATCTGAAGAAGGCCAGTGTGTGTGTGCTGGGGGAAAGAAGTATATCAGTACGGGAAGGAAAAATATGGCATGAGATGACATTGGAGAAGTAGAAAGAGAACCGACTGTATAAACTTTCTGAGCCATGAGGATTCATAACTTCATCCTAGGAGCAAAGGGAAGCTTCAGGGTGGCAGGGAGGGGGAATAACATGCCTAGATTTGGCATTTTTCAAAGATTTGCCTGCTAAAGAGACAGATTGGGAGTGAACAAGAAAGGAGGCAGGGAGAGCAGATGGGGGCTTTTCTAGGAGAAAGATTATTTGCCAAAGAGCTGTTATGGTTAAAAGGAAGATAGAGAGAGAGAAAGAATGTAGTTAAAGCACCCTGAACTTCAGAGGTGCTCCCTAAATAGTCTTTCTCTCTTCCTCTTAAAACAGAAACCTTCAGGGACACCTAACATAAGATGATATCTGCAAAACATATATCTCTAAAAAAAGCAGACAAAAACACAATCACTTAGCGCGGGCCTCATTAGGCACCTCATAAGTTCAGGCACTAGGGTCCTGAAGGAGTCTTGTGCACAGGAAATTCAGGAGGGGAGTCAGCAGTGAGCTTAAAGCCTCGCTCCACCACCAGCAGGAACCCGGACTGACCCACAGAGAGCGCTGAATAGCATTTATGATGCTTAATCAGAAAGCATGCAGCGTTGATCTGGAAATTAATTGGATGCTCGGATTTTTCGCACATCATGGAGAGTTAGATGTTACAAAGATTTTGACGGGAATATATTTAGTAACAGTATCACTGATGTTCAGTCTCAAGCAGGGGCCTGTATCTACTCTGGGGCTCATTATATTCTGAGTGACAACGGGTGCTTAGTAAATCTCCTTTGATTATGATGATCAACCAAGTCACTCAGAGTGTCTTTAATAGATAATGAGAAATTGTACCAGAGTTGGGGTTTTCTAAATATGAAATCAAACTGCAATTCTCATGACCCACTGTGCTTTTATTTATTTAATCATTTTTACTTAACTGATTCACTATTTTAATAGGTAGTTTTAAAAGTTAACTCTACATTACCGCCATAAATGGAAAATCTCACTTGCCATATAAATAAGACAATCATAAAAATAGATACCGTCTACCCCTAAAATCTGCCATGTACAGCTCAGGTTGGGCACAGCACACCCTGAGAACTGCTGGACCTGGATGTGCTTGTAGTCAAGGGTCTTGGAAGGAACAGCCGTGGTCATCAGTTCACACAGCCAGGATACAGGGGATATGCCCTTATGTGACATAGGGCATATATGATATAGAGTATATGTCCACACATTCCAATATCAATATAGGGAGAGAATGGTGGAGAGAGAAAGGGAGATCTCTCAAATTAACAACAATGAATATCGACTGAACCTGAAGAAACAGATGCTCTTTGGTTCATGGAAAGGGTGTGAACAGATGCTCAGGCCTGAACACTGCTCAGACTTTGCAGCTTCAGGGACCATCGGCTAAGAGACTTGTCTTCTGGACTTACTGCCTGGGGTAAGGACCAGGGCTCATTTATCTTATCTCTCTAATCTGGGGAGCTGTGAGGACTAGAATGGGTAAGGGTTCAGTGCAGGGTTTACAGCTGCTGAAAGGTCCCTGTAGCATTTCCTTTATGGAAAATCCTATGGATATACTTAAAGATAGGTATTTGTGAGGGTGAAACCTACCTACAACCTCTTACACTGCTAGTGCAAATGTCAAATGGTGCAATCCCTTTGGAAAAAGTTTGGCAGTTTCTTGTAATGTTAAACACACACTTAGCATACAACCAGCAATCCCACTCCTAAGTATGTACTCAAGAGAAACAAAAAGGTATGTTTATAAAATGGCATATACATAGCAGCTTTATATTTGCAAAACTTGGAAATAATTCCAATGCCCGTCAACAAGTGAATGGATAAATAAAACTGTGATGTGTTTATACAGTGGAATACTATCCCACAACAAAACAAACAAACTGCTGCTGCATACAGTACAATAGGCAAATCTCCAAATGTTGTTAGCTACCAACAAAGACAAATGCAAGAGTACATATACTCTCTGGTTCCATTTACATGAAGCTCTAAAGCCGGCAGAATTCAGATACAGCGATAGAGATCAGAACAGTGGTTGCCTAAGGTAGGTGAAGATTAACTGAGAAGGGCATCATATGGTGAGACAACTCCTCAAGGTGATGACAGTGTCCACTATCTTGATTGGCATGATGGTGACTCAGATTTACATACTGCTAAGATGCAGCATGCATGCTTAAGATCACATATGCTACTGTAAATTATACCTCAATTAAAAAACATGATTTAAAGCACAACCTATAAGCAAAAGAGCCAGTTTAGAAATCAGTTACCACCAAAAATGCCCTGTGAATGTGGGAAGAATGAGTGGAGAAGCCTGCCCATGTCTTGCCTCAGAATTTTCACTGCCCACCTGCTCACCTCCCTAGGTTGTCTCAGGCATAAACGAAGATGATAGATGTCAGGGCACTTGGAAACTCTCCAATCGCTGTACACTCTAAAAGGGGTCTAGTTTAATCATTTGTACTAATTTCTTAGAAATGCATCACTCTTTTTTCCTTATTTGCCTTTTTAATATAGAATCAAGGCTTGCTCATCATCAAAAAGATTCAAACATTACAGAAGTGTAGATAAAATAAAAACTGCAATTTCCCTTCTCTCTCCTCTCCTTTTCCTCCTCTATACAACCCACTCACTTTCCAATTTTGGTGACGTGGCAGTTCTGCATGGATCTTTCCAGATTTTTTTTCTCCCCCAACTGCAATCATACAGTACACCGTATCATGCAACCTGCTCTTTTATTTAACAACATATTCTCTCCAACAGTGTGGATATTCCGTCATTTGTTTAACCAAGCCCCTAATGATTGACATTTTGGGTTTCCCCTAAAGTTTTGCTGTTATAAACTACGAGACGAATGTGTTTCCTTGATCTTCTTCAAATCCTTGTGTGAATATCCCTTTAGAATAAGTTCTTAGAAGTGAAATTTCTGAGTCAAGTAGTACATGCAATATTAATTTTAATAAACCTTATCAAATTATTCTCTGAAAAGATTGAATCAATGCATAGTCCTCCCAGGAGAATCCCTTCTCATTTTGATCTCAAAGACAGGAAAAATAAAGTTGAGAGAATGCTGAAATATTCAAAGATTCTCCGATGCCCTTGAAAAGCAGAAGTGGAGCTGACATCAACATGGCCTTATTTTCGCTGCTGACTTGAAACTTCCATAATGAGGAAATAAAACACATGATTTAAAAAAAATAAAAAAACTCATCAATGAGATTAATGAGAGTTGAGAGCCTATGACTTGAACATTTGCTGGTTAATAGATGTAGGGATGGAAACAGTGTTGTGCCAATTACTGTAATTAACCAGAAATGAAGACAAATGGAAGGGAGCCTCTTCTGCCCACCAAGCTTCAACTTAAATGCTGAGTCATGAGCTACTAGTGGAGGCTGGAAGGCCAAGACCTGGGCTAGTGCTGGGAAAAGGAAGTAGCTCTTATTCTCCCAAATGTGTGCTGGGTGCTCAGAAACAGAGACAGTGGGACCCCATCTCTACAAAAATAAAAATTTAAACATTAGCTATGTATGGTGACATATGGGTGCCTGTAGTCCCAGCTACTCAGGAGACTGAGGTAAGAGGATTAGTTGAGTCCAGGAGATCAAGGCTGCAGTGAGCTATGATTACACCACTGCACTCCAGCCTGAGTGACAGAGTGATACCATGTGAAAGAAAGAAAAAAAGAAAGAGAGAGAGAAAGAGAGAGAGGAAGGAAGGAAGGAAGGAAGGAAGGAAGGAAGGAAGGAAGGGGAAGGGAAAGAAGGAAAGGAAGGAAGGGAAGGGAAGGAAGGAAAGGAAGGAAAGGAAGGAAAGGAAAGAGAAGCCATCCTGTCAAGGAGTCCCAAATATCCCCTGTCTCATGTAGCTCATCCTTCAGGAAATAGGACACTTTCCAACTAACACAGTTAGGCTATATCCCCCAAGGTATTATGTTTTTCCTTGAATGGAGTCAAACACTTTCTAAACTCGAGAGAATATGGCCCTGAAGGAAACTACGCCTGTTCCTGTGATGAAATGACCTGACAGGAAAGAACTCAGCATCTTGCTGACAAGTCAGGAAGAACTCACAACCTGCCCAGTGGTCATTTTAGTCAATTTTGGGGGGAAACAGTTCTTTTGAATAGGTCCCCTAAAAAAGGCTTGAAAGAAGAATTAGTACATTCCAAAGCAGTGATTAGAAATCATCATAATTTTCTACCAGGAGAAGAGCACTTTATTATTACTTAAAATTACTCTAGTCCAATAGCCAATTGCTATATTTTATGTTAACTTTTATTTACAGGAAGTACAATGTATTCCTTTTGGTGCACTGTTCCATGAGTTTTGACAAAAGTTCATACAGTCAAGAGGCAGAACATCCCCATCACCCAAAAAACTTTCCTCCTGCTGCCCCTTTTCCCACTCGCAGTCCTGGCAACCACAGATCTGCTTTTTATTCCTACAGTTTTGTCTCTTCTAGAATGTTATACAAATGGAATCATACAGTATACAGCCTTTGAGTCTGGCTTTTTCAAGCATTTATTCTTTATCAATGTGGTTGCATATATCAATAACATGTTCTTTTTTATTGTTGCGTAGCATTCCCTTGTGTGATGTACCACAATGTGTTTATCTGTTTTCCAGTCTGGGAACATTTGGATAACTTTCAGTTTGGACGATTATAAATAAAATCGTTATATACATCTACACACAGATTTTTGTATAGAATTTAGATGTCCTCTGTCTTGGGATTGAGGGGCTGTATGGTAAACCAACTGCTCTTTAATGTCTAGAAAATGTGACAGTCCTCAGAGTCATGGAGCCTAGAAAACAGTGCGGTTGTCCCTGGAGTTCAGAATGCTTTACTCTGTAAATATCATTCTTACTTGGATAGCCTTGGTCTGTGAGTAAATGTGCTATGATAGGCGTTGTGTAGCCGTTCATCCCAGCTCTGTCCCCAGAATCAGATAAGGACTCATGCTGTGAACTCTGATGCCTTCAGTCCAATGAGACCAGAACATCACTTGCCCGTTTTTATTTTAGGTCTCGTGTCAAGCTAAGCTAAGATACTTCATTCCTTTTTCTTTTCCCATCAAATTTTGTATCTTAAAAGTTTCAAAAAAATTTATAAGCAAGTATATCTCAAGATTTTTAACTGAATGAAATAAATTTAAATAAAATTCTGAGTATTTTTCCATTTGATTTTTTGGAAAATATATGCAGTTCCCAAATTTGAACAATAAATGTGCATTTATAATGTAAGATTATGCTCCCAGAAAGCTAAAAAAAAGTTAGAATTATCATAATTACATAATCCCTATTATACTTCAACTCTTAGACATAATTTTTAATCATTTATCTTCAAAAAGATGAATATTTTTAAATTTTTTTTCTTTTTTTTCAATCACTATTAAGCACAGTTGAGTTAAATCCAGTAAGCATTCTGTTGGGACTAAAGATTTTCTGTTCAAAGCACACCTAATGATTTCTCTCTTGTTTCAATTGTATTAAATTTATGAGACCTCTATTTTATCTCTAGTGTCAGTTTATTTCATTTCCATTTTCCACTTGTTTTCCTAAAATAACAACAAAATGCAATTAAAATGTGTAAATAATGCTGCTTACAACACCTCCATAGCTAAGTGTGGTATAAATAAAAGTGGTATGGCACTAGCACATTAAAAAAGGAGGCTTGAAATATCAACATTTAATGTAAAAAAAGTACAAGTACAGTAATGGAAAGCTGAATGTTTAAAGATTTGGAAACTCTTGGAAGCATGCTTGTGTTGCTCTACCGAATTCCAAAGGCAAACAGTTTTATTTTAATAATTTCGTTAGCTGGGCATGGTGACATGTGTCTGTAGTCCCAACAACTTGGGAGGTGGAGACAGGAGGATCGCTTGAGCCCAGGAATTTGAATCCAGCCTGGGCAACATAGCAAGACCCTGGATCTGTTTTCTGTACCTATAGTTTTCTCTATGATAATAACAAAATAATAATAATTTTGTTAATGTTCAGAGCATGAGTGAGCTCCACCTGACAACTCTTATAATGTCAAATGATACTGACGTCAACAAAACAACTTAGACAATTCTTGAAATTTGCTTATTTATCTGATACATTTGTTGAGAGTCTATTATGTGCAAGTGGTATCAAGTAAAAAACCCAGTGCATATCCTTGAACCACTTGGAGAGAACTGGAGGGGATGGAAAAGCGAGGGATATCTGTTCACAGCAGAGTGTCATGTGGGAAGAGGACATGTCCTTGAACCACTTGGAGCGAACCGTAGGGGATGGAAAAGTGAGGGACATCTATTCACTGCAGAGTGTCATGTGAGGAGAGGACAAGGAACAGGGAGGCACGGGGGTTGGATGAGCTCTCTTCCTGGTTCTTGAAAATGCCACGAATGTTGGTGGTAGCAGGAATGGCAAAGAGCACCATGAGTCAGGGACGTGTCATCTCCAAAAGGTCTAGGGCAGAGTATTTCCTTCCCAAGAAACCAGTGTCCCATAATTCACCTGCTGGAACCCCTGTGCACAAAGGGATTGTGTGATTAATGTAGATTTTGGTGTTTCATATTGTAGCAACTTAATAAGGTATGTGCCCAGCTTCTAAATGAAGGCTATAATCACTTTTCCATAGTTTATGAATTATGAAGTTGGATTCCCATCCCAAATGCTGTCCAAGTTTTTTGGCTTCAAAACCAATTAAAATGATGAATAGCTGTGAAAAGAACCAGAAGTGCATTTAATCTTTCTTCAGAACAGTTGGGGATCAGTTCTTTTTTGTCACATTTCACATTAGCTGGGAACATAAACTTGGTCTTGTTCAAAGGTTCAAACTACTTCTTCCTGAAAGAGAACCGATCTACTTAACTTTTTTTTTCCCCAGCTATTATAAACACTGAGATATTTACAAAGTGCCTTGTACTTCTTTCTGTTTATCTCCCAAGGTCACGACACTCTATTTGCATCTTCTCTTAGCAATGTTATCCTAAAAAGAATCATCAAAGCAAAGATTAACTGTTACAAGAAAAAACAAATAAGCGAGAAGATTACTTACAAATTTCGGGGGTTGGTTTATTATGGATGCAAAAATGAGTAGAAACTCAAGTCCCTGAGTCCACCTTTCATGACGGTAGTCCTGATTTTGCTATCATTTAATACAACTTAGGTCTTAATGTTCTCACTCAGTGCTGAGTGTGCTGGGATAAGCAAGGTGTTCACAGTCTTGTACATTTTTTTCTTTACTTTTTATCATAAAAATGAGCTGCAGATGTCATGCAGTGCAGAGAGAAGAGAATGCTTTCTGAGTCAGAAGGTCACATTTTTTGTACTCAACCACTTCTAGCTGGAAAACCTTGAGCAAATTACATAATCTCATGGAGACTCAGTTTTCTTACCTGTAGAATGGGGGTTATAATATTTAATTCTCAAAACTGCTGTGGGGCTCACACAAAATTAATTTGTGCTGAATTACACATATTTGTAATTTATACATAAAACTTATATGTATATGTATAATAGCAACAGACCCCTGATACAGTATTTATTATTCATATACCTGTCCTTTTGACAGAAGGAAAAAACATCATCTAAGATGTGTTTTAGACAAAGTTTCCAATCAATGATATTTGGACACAACAGCCCCTTCGATGAGGTGACTCAGCTATCAGTGAACTCATCTTTGCTATTTTTAGAGCTGAAAAAGGAGAAGCAGGTGATACTGAAGTTGTGTAATCAGTCTCAGGGGGAGGGCTATAAACTAGTGTCTCTGTCTCTCTCAGGACATCTGGACTCAAAGGTAGTGGCCTCAACCTCGCCAGCCATTCAAAGGCAAGCAGAACTCTCACAGAGGAGGCAAGGGCGGAGAAGCTTTGAGCATCTCTACAACATCAGAGAACACCCAGTCAAAAGAGAGGGAAACACAAATTGACTTGTACCTCATCACCTTGACAACACAAATTTAGACTCTGGCTGCTACATTATCTTCTGGTTCCTTTTCCGGAGCTGCTCTCCTTGAGCTGATTTACACGGTTGCTATTGTAGACCCTTGACTGTACACCCAGTCTTTGTGGAACTCCAAGAATCAGGCTTCAATTGTACTTTGAGCCAGCTACACTGGGCCCCTTCAACCCTCAGCCTTCTCTCCAGGCAAGTCCATAACTGCAGCTGTGGTAAGCCCATCTGCAGGCTGCCCTCTTCCTGTCCTGAGTCCCGGAGGGCATCCCTGTGTGATCACTGGCCTTAACCTCTCATTAAGCTATCAAAGCTACCTTCCACTGCTTTTCTTAAACCCACGTCTTTTCTATTTCCTTCAACTTCAAATTAGCCATTGTTTCCACATCATCCTCTCATGACATGATAGGGAATGAAGTGATGATGGCTCACAGCACTGCTGGGGCTGCTTTTACAAGAAGCTCACTCAAAGTCAACTTATTTTTTTTTTTTTTGAAACAGGGTCTCACTGTGTTGCCCAAGCTAGGATGATACAGTTGCACAATCATAGCTTGCTGCAGCCTCAACTCCCAGGTTCAAGAGATCCTCCCGCCTCAGCCTCCTGAGTAGCTGGGACTACAGGTGCGTACCACCATGCCTGGTTAATATTTTTTATACTTTTTGTAGACATGGAGTCTTGCCATGTTGCCCAGGCTGAGTCAAGGTCAGTTTTGTCACCATGGGGGGCATAGAGAGACCTCAGCAGTGAAGGCCTCTAGGAAATGGGAGAAATCCAACCAGGCTGGAACAAGGCTGGGAGAATCGGCCAGTTCTAGGGCAGTTGCCTAAGTAGAATGGGTCATGAATTCGAATCTGCTTCAAGCGATACTCAGGTCAAATTTGGACAATGAGGCCAAGCAAAGACTTGAGCACAGAATCAAAGCACACCTAGAGTTACCTATGTGCATCTCCGTTTTTGCTAAATCCAAATTACACCTTACTATACTGTTAACTTTTATTTGTCTATATCATTTGTTGGAATCCAGAAAACATACATTGTTTCTTTCCAGGAAAAAGTCAGGTATAAAAATAAGTGTGTGTTGAAATATAAGCACATTTTAAAAAGAAATTAGCTCCTATTCTCATTCCTGCAGCTTGGCATTGAGTTTGTCTGTAATTGGGTGTGTTTTAAAATTAAAAATTTGAAATAAACGTTAAGCAGCAGGAGTCAAAAATAATTCAGACCGTAATATTCATCAAAACTTGTTTAATAGCAGGAAACCCTCCACTCTGAACTTTTACTCTTCTTTCTTGCAGAATCAATCCCTCCAGCAGCCCTCAACTACCAGAAGCACAAAAATTCAATATATTTTTTTTTTTGAGATGGAGTCTCACTCTGTCGCCCAGGCTGGAGTGCAGTGGCATGATCTCGGCTCACTGCAACCTCCACCTCCTAGGTTCAAGCAATTCTCTGCTTCAGCCTCCCAAGTAGCTGAGATTACAGGTGCCCGCCACCATGCCCAGCTGATTTTTGTATTTTTAGTAGAGATGGGGTTTCACCATCTTGGCCAGGCTGGTCTTGAACTCCTGACCTCATGATCCACCTGCCTCGGCCTCCCAAAGTGCTGGGATTACAAGTGTGAGCCGCCGCCCCCGGCCAAATTCAATAATATTATGCTTAGTAGTCACACACTTTCTCTTGTTTTCTTTTGTTTTCTTTGGCTCATTAGACCTCTCCTTCAGAACCAAAGAAATCCATTGTGACAACTCTGTTCTCAGAGCTGACTTTTTCCATAGAGAGAACTTCAGTCTGAGACATGCCAAGGAGTTCTTGACGCTCCCAAAATTAACACCTTTCAATCTTTACTATTAGAGATTAACTTGTTTCAATGCCCATTCTCTTCTGTTAAAGCAGATAATATTGGGAAAGGCAATGTCTGAATGTATTTCTGCCAAGATGTCGATGGTTTATCAAAATCAATTTCTTCCTGTGGAAGAGTTTAGGTGCAAGGGGAGGAGAGAAAGTGAGAGAAGATTATAACAGGGAGGCTATGGATGCAGAAAGGAAAAGCGGGGAATCAAAGGCAAACCTGCCACCCATTTCACAAATAAAAGAATCAGTGTGGGCTGGATGCAGTGTCTCATGCCTGCAATCCCAATACTTTAGGAGGCCAAGGTGGGAGGGTCGCTTGAGGCCAGGAATTTGAGACCAGCCTGGGCAACACAGTGAAACTCTGTCTTTACAATTTTTTTTTAATTAGCCAGGCATGATGGCACACGCCTGTAGTTTCAGCTACTCTGGAGACTGAGGTGGGAAGATCACTTGAGCCCAGGAGTTGGAGGCTGCAGTGAGGGATGATTGTGCCACTGCATTCTAGCCTGGGTTACAGAGTGAGATCCTGTCTCAAAAAAAAAAAAAAAAAAAAAAATGCAGATTCAGTCAGTCTGGGCTGGGGCCTGAGATTCTGGATTTCTGACAAGTTCTCAGGTAATGTCAGTGCTGCTAGTACACAGATCACATTTTAAGCCACAAGAAGGCTAGGATATGAGGTATGAACAAAGGTGTTAGCTCAGTGGTTCTCAACCTGGACTATACATCAGAACCACCAAAAGAGGTTCTGTTGGGTTTGTTGGAGGTTTGTTTTTTTTTTTAAGCTCCTGATGCTCAAGCCCCACCCCAGATTAATTAAATCAGAATCTAGGAATTGCTCAAGTATTTGTATTTCTAAAAGCTCTCCAGGTGATTCTCTTGTGCAGCTTGAGTTAGGAACCACTGTTAGTTGATAACTGAAGGTGCTATTAAAAATTCCATAATATATGAGCTCATGAAGGCTAATGAGACACCCCAGCTAAGGGCATCTTCCTCTGCAACAGCAATTTGCTATTGTACAATGGGGGCAAACAGTTGGTGCTCAATAAATTTGTTCAATGAAAAAAAATAAGTGATTGGCTGAATGCATGAATGAATGGAAATGTTTGAAGTCAACAGTCTATGGAATGAAAAGGATTACAGTCCTATTATCAAAATGACAAGTGGCAGGATGGGTATTTTAAGACAGATCATCTTTTCCATCACTCTTTCAAATACCCCATAGAAGTACTTAAATCTTGGCCCACTTTTAAGCCTGACTTTGTTAATAACTGGAGGAGTCAAAGCCACAAATTTTCCACACCATTACTTTATTCCAGTGTTTGCCAAACCAACCAACAGTCACTATACACTTTTGCTACTGGTGTTATTATTTACCTAGTATGTTTCTTTAAATTGACTTACTTTTTAACATAAACAAATGTATTTTAAAGGGAAACTATAAATCACTATTTCAAATAGAAAAGCAACTAATATTCCATGACATCAGTAGAATTGACAGTCAAAATAAATGCAACGTAAGCAACTGAAGCAGGGTGTTTCTGCCTGCCAATGCTTGCCTCTGTCAGATAAGAAGAAGGATTAACAAGTATACGGAGGT
Source organism: Homo sapiens (assembly GCF_000001405.40). Classification (NCBI taxonomy): domain Eukaryota; kingdom Metazoa; phylum Chordata; class Mammalia; order Primates; family Hominidae; genus Homo; species Homo sapiens. The sequence continues at coordinate 17,399,588 of NC_000020.11, forward strand.
GTTAAAGCCATGGGGGCACTTAGCAGAGACTTTGTCACTGGCATAATAAGGATTGCAGGAGCGTTTTGCAAGGAGCCACAGTCCTGCCGTGCGATGCCATGTTATTTAACATGAAAAGCAGGCACCACGTGTAAGCATCTCATGGCATTTTCAGTCAATGATTGTCAAGCTGTACTCAGAAACCCAGGGGCCACCAGGTAGTGTTGAAGAGGCTCTAGAAAAAAGAGGAAGTATTTCAGATTCTGAGGAATTCAGTCGTCAGTGTTATTTGTCTTATAGAGAGTATGATTTTTTTTTAAATCCTATTTCTATAAGGAACAACATAATCAACAGAGAACAAAGAAACAGGTTGAACCCTGCCATTGAAATCAGGAGAATTAACCTTCTCATTGGAGGCATATTTGCTGGTTTAGGCCTCAAAGGCATTACATCAACCTTGGATGAGACAATTTACTAAATAAAACCATGTTATTAAAAAAATGAATGGACCATACAAAATAATATATTTCATGTGCTCCCCTAGCTCTTTAGTGAAGTATGGCCCTCTGTGGGAGGTTAAATTATTAGCTAAATGTATATACTTGGATTTAAACAGAATGATCCACTGATGTTCTAGGAAGTAAATGCACTAACTTATTCTTTTTTATTTGCCAGGTATTTGCTTTTCTTTTAAATAATGCATGCAGTAGAATATGATTAATATAATTCTGATGCAGAAAAGCAAGATTGCACACTTAGGAGAGAGGTCTCTGGAGCCAGACTGCCTGGTCTAAATCCCTGCTCTGCCCTTCATCATCTGTGTGACCTTGGGCAAAGTATTCAACCTCTCTGTGCCTACACTGCCCTGCTTATAGGATGAGGATGACAATAAGGGTATTACCCACATAAGGACATCATAAGGATGAGTAATGCATACAAAATATCTAAGAGTCCCCTATACAAAATACGCACTCCATATGTGCTACCTGATATCATTACAGTAAAAAAAAATTACACAAAATGTAATTTTTACTAATTTTAATTACAAAATGTAATTAAAACTAAGTCTTCCTTCCACCCTAGACCCCACGCCTCTCCCCAGGCAAAGTACTGTAAAAAGACCCTTGTGCTTCTTCTCAGAACTACTCTATACTTACCATCAAGTCCATCCCTCTCTTCTGTGCAAATGGGAGCCCACTATCCACTCTATTCTACATATTGCCTTTTTTGCTTAACAACATTTCTTGGGAATGAGTTCATTGCTAGTTTCATACCTCATTCTTTGCCAGAGCTGCAGAGTTTTGCATCATATGGGTGCACCAGAATTTCTTTAACTCATCCCCAGTGTTGGAGATTTAGGTTGTTTCTAATATTTCACTATTACAGTCACTGCCAGAATGAATATATTTAAATATACATCTTTCATTCATATGGAAGAATATCTTTAGGGTAGAGTCTTAGAGGTGGAATTGCTGGGTCAAACAGTCCATTCATGTTTATTTTGATAGATATTGCCAAATTTCTCTTCAAAGAGATTGTGCCAACTTCCATACCAACCAACCACATACAGAAGCACCTGTGTCCCCTCATTCTCAAAATAATATTTTAAATACATTAACAAGATATACAAGGTAATCAAGTTTTTTAGTCTGTTTGAGCTGATATAACAAAATATCTTAGACTGAGTAATTTATAAGCAACAGAAATCTATTGGCTACAGTTCTGGAGACCAGAATTCCAAGACCAAGGTGCCAGCAGATGTGGTGTCTGGTGAAGGCCTGTTCCTCATACACAAGGACTTCCTGCCACATCTTCACATAGTGGAAATGTTAAACAGGCTCCCTCAGGCCTCTTTTATAAGGGCACTAATCCCGTTCATGAGGGCTCCACCCTCATGACCTAATTACCTCCCAAGGACCCCACCTCTTAATACAAACACACAGGGGGTTATATGTCAACATATGAATTTTGGAGGGACACCAACATTCAGACTATGGCACCAAGGAATGCTATTATATGGAAGCAGTTATCAAAAGATTGAAATTACACATCTGTGAAATGCTAACATATGTCCTTTATTAATGCATCAAATAACAAAATCTAGTGGCAGGTAGGGGTGTGCTGAAAAGATACTTTTTAGCATACCGGCAACAACCCTAATGTGGAATGAAGATACATGTTGATGATATGCTCACAGGTACTGCTAATAATACTGTTGTTTGTACTTCCCATTCGTAATTGAAGGAAATGCTTGATTTGAGGTGGTGGCTAGTGCAAATAACAATGTAAATTTTTCCACCCAAGTTTTAGAGCCTATCTTGGAGCCAGCTCTTAGAGCCTCATTCCAATGAATGGCAGCTTATTTTTAATACATCAGGTCAGCTCCAGGAATGTACGCTTTTAGGGAAGCTCTTAAAATTCATGTGTGGGAATCAGCCTCCATCTAGCCTAATACATGCTTCACTGGCCTTCTAAAATAGCAAGCCGAGCAAGAAGACATAGACAGGCAAAGGCCACTCTAAAGATACCCTCCGGAGGTGTCTGCCTCGGCTGTTACTTAGAGCAACTGTTTGCTCCTTCCTGCAATACAGCTGCACTCCTCCACCACAGGGTTTTGGAAAATATCAATTAAATAATATATTTTAAACAACTTTGAAAAAGATAAAGGCATCTTTTTAATTTGGGGCACCCTATTAGCCATTAAGAATTAATGTTATTATCTCCTCATCTGTTTAGTGTTTAGAACCTCTCCCAAGTCTGCTGATAATGGTGGCAATGAGGGCCAAAGGATGGAGCTGCTTAGCTCTGGTAAATACTGGCCAGGCACAGAGGCTCATGCCTGTAATCCCAGCACTTTGGGAGGCTGAGGCAGGCAGATCACTTGACGTCTGGAGTTCGAGACCAGCCTGGCCTGGCCAACATGGCAAAACCCCGTCTCTACTAAAAATTAGCCAGGCATGGTGGCACACCTGTAATCCCAGCTACTCAGGAGGCTGAGGCAGGAGAATCACTTGAACCCTAGGGACAGAGGTTGCAGTGAGCTGAGATTATGCCCCCGCACTCAAGCCTGGGCAACAGAGCAAGACTCTGTCTCAAAAAAAAAAAAAAAAAGGCATGGTGGCTCATGCCTGTAATCCCAGCACTTTGGGAGGCCAAGGCGGGTGGATCACGAGGTTAGGAGATCAAGACCATCCTGGCTAATATAGTGAACCCCGTCTCTACTAAAAGTACAAAAACAAAATTAGCCAGGCGTGGTGGTGGGCTCCTGTAGTCCCAGCTACTCGGGAGGCTGAGGCGGGAGAATGGCATGAACCTGGGAGGCGGAGCTTGCAGTGAGCCAAGATCACGCCACTGCACTCCAGCCTGGGCGACAGAGCGAGACTCCGTCTCAAAAAAAAAAAGAAAAGAAAAGAAGAAAAGAAAACATAAAATGTCCAGCCACCCAGGACACAACTGTGTGGCCTGACCGTTCAGTTGTATCACTCCTCTTATCTGGAAAGTGCTCCAGTGACTACAGAAGTTGCTAGAATTTCCAAAAGCAAGAAGAAAGTGATGGGAAAATGTGTCAAATCCACAATGGGAGAACACTGTGTCACTAGAAAATTATATGACCCTGGCAACCTTAGGAGTATGGAAGAAAGATTTCAAACAAGTTTCTGACTATGTATCTTTTTCTAAATTTTTTTGAATGCTGAAGAAATGTTAAATTTCATTAAGTTTTACAGCCAGATTTAATATAGACATAAATCCCTTTAATGTTCGTTTCAGTCAAAAGTGAGCGGAACATTATCGTTAAACCAGTGCATGTGGGAGAATTACTTGAGGAAAATCAAAATAGGCACAGTTGGGAACATTAAGCCGTGGCCATATTAGACGCAAGTAGGCGCAATAGCAAAATTCTTTAGGCTCTAATGGACTGGGCTATTTTGCTTCTCAGTTTCCATACAGATGAGCTTTGTTCTGGGGCAATATGGTTGCAGTTTGAGAGTCTATCTGAAGGAGCTCATTTCTCTTTCATTAGTCCATGAGCACAGTGCAATTTCAGCTAATACTGTTACACAGCTCCTAGCTGGGTTATTTGGTTAAATGCCTTCAGGGAAAGTAGCAAGACAGAATAAAAGGACAAATGCAATGCGGTTTCTTGTTCTGAGTTCCTGTAGCTGTGGAATTACATTGGCAGTTAATCATTACCACGTTGTACTCGTGATCATAAACTCCTGTTATTTAAGATGTTATTCAAGTCTCACAAGAAACATCTTGTCTTCTGTGGCACAATTTCCTTGAGGTCGGGTTTGTGCACAACTATAACCATAGAGACCTGTTTCTTGTGCTTCGTGGACATGCTAGTAGGTATATAGTGCCATTTGTGTGAAATTGAAAATGACATTCCCTACTGGTGGGTGAACTGGGAAACAGCACCCTGTCTATGGGCAAATTAGAAAAGATGTCCCCTTCTGGGTGGACAAATGAGCAAAAGGCAGCCCCTCTGGGCTGACCAATTCTTTTTTAAAGCCTCCTCCACCTTGGGGTGTGGGGGTGGTGCACATGGCTTGGTAAGTCCAATGCAGACCCTAGTTGCTCCCTGTGGGCAGGAACCCCTGGCGCAATGCACAACCTGCACAACTGTACACAACAGCCCTGATTACAGAATCCATTTTCACAATTTTGTAGTTGGACCACAGAGTTTGCCCCTCAGTACTCTAAAAATATCTGTTCAATCACATCAGTGGATGTCCATATTAAATACATTGGTCTTCTTTCTTATGGCAAGTAACTGCCACTCTCTGCCAAGGGCAGTGTTCTAACCTTGGAAACAAACAGGACACTCGTAGGTTGAGAAACAGAAGAACTAGAGGACGGTGACTCCTAGGGGCTTGACCAGTGGTGGGCAGTGGAGTGGTGGAAACCACGGTGGCACCTCTTCACCATCGCAATGTAATGCTCTCCTCAGCCTCCATCATTACCTGGTGAGCTGGGGCTCAGTATCTGCCTGATAACCCACCTTCAGCTAGCATGAGACACAGGAGGAGCAAGCTTCAAACTCCCAACAAGGTAGTCAGCCTAGTTCATACCAGATTCAGTGGCTGTAGCCCAGGAGAGAACGAGGTATGGGGCACGTATGTCTCAGAGCAGAGAGATCTGCCTAGAAAGACAAAGACTGAGTGAGAAGCTATAGTGTGGGCTATCAGAGGGCAGCCTGGGAGCCCAAGAGGCCTCGGACATTGGTCAGGGATTGGCAAACTCTTTCCGATAAAAGGCCACTTTGTAAATACTTTAGGCTTTGTGGGGTTTTGTCACAACGACTTATCTCTGCTGTTAGAGTGCAAAAGCAGCGACTGGCAATTCATAAACAAATGGATGTGGCTGTGTTCCGATACAACTTTACTTACAAAAACAGGCCATGGGCTGATTTAGCTGGTGGGCCATATTTTGTGACCTTTGCTGTCGGTGATCAAAGAAAGAGGACACAACAGGAGAAGTCAGGTGAGGCATTGCCCATACTGCGTGGGGCAACGTGCTTGCCAGCTTACATTCCTTGTTTCATTTTATCCTCACAGCAACCAACTAGTAACAGTTTTACCACCTACATTTTGAAGATGAGGAAACTACAGTTTCTAAAAAATAGGAAAATTTCCAGGGTCAAAAACAGCCTCATTTCAAAACCAAGTCTGTTTGACTTGAATGTCTCTCTTCCTTCCCCTACATCAAGCTGGTACCTGCAGACGTATTTGTCTAGGGCAGCCCAGCCAGGGAAGCCCATTGATCACAGAGGCATTAAATTCCAGATTTGAAGGTATGGATGGCAGTGCCAGGGCCAGGTGCAATCTCAGGAGCCTCAGAAGCTTCTCTGTGGATGTAAAAGCAATGGGCACAGCCACCATTGACTGCAGGAGCTCTCACCTCTCTCATCACCAGCCATTCAGATAGACAAGCCCCAAATCCGAAAGGTGTCATCTGTGGGCCTGCGTCTTTGATAGCCAGGCAATTACAGCACCTCATATATAAAAAGCCAGAGGAATCTGTGAATATAATAAGTGACTGTCCTTTCTTAGCGTGGTGCAGGCCATCTGTTTGAAAAGTACACACTGCAAACAATGCCAAGTTGTAATTATTAAACTTTCTAGCTAAGAGCGAGTCTCATCTTTCTTCCTAATTATGCATTCAAATATTCAGAAATTAAGCCTTAGAATTATTATATACCAGGGATGGGTTTTTTTCCCCTGTGCATTAAACTTTTAGAAGAGAACATGAGCCATCATCAGAAGTTTCTCCCAGAAATAACTCCCAGAGAAGCCCTGAGGTCAGCTTGGAATCAACCCAACCTTCTCACTTTCGGTGTGATGGTACAATGATAATTCAAGTTCTTAATGATGACTCTGAATCATCTCGATCCTGAATCATCAGAGATTAAATTATTTTCACCAAACAGCTAGTATTTTCTAAAGCAGGAAAATCGATTAAAGGATTTCAGTAAAAAGTTAGAGAAGTCCAAACAAAGCAAGCATCTGGCAAGCCTCGGTGACCAGAACATTAAATTCACCAAACACCACCTGCTCCAAATGTCCATGTTAATGGCAATTATAGAAGACTCCAGTAGCATTCAAGGCCAGTTTAACTTATTCCTGTACACAAATAACTTTATGGGAGACAGCATTGTAATTCAAATCAATAAATGACTCGGTTTGGCTGTACAAGCATAAACAGAACGCTTGCAAAATATGGTTCCTCCTTGCTAGAAACCATTTGATTTTTAGCCAGAAAACATACAGCCAAACAAGAATAACAACTGTTTGCCTTCCTTAATGTTCAGTGTAGACTGTTACCCAAGGAATTAAGCATTAGTCATCAAAACTTCATTGCAAAGGCAACAAAATAATTGGGGTTCCTGAGTTATCATCCATTTCAACATTCAGAGGCCAATTTGACCCCAGACAATACAAGGTCTTTCTTCTTGTTATAAAAGTGGTTGCAGAGTTCTGAGGGTTCTCTGCTGTAAGCTCTGCTCTCAGAACTCTCCAGGTCCTGCTTCCAACCCCTGCCATGTCCGGCCAAACTATTTTCCCAGAGTCAGGAGCAGAGCCAACAGCCTCACTCAGACAGACCCCAGTGATAATTATCAGCCCAAAAGATAAGCCCAAGTGGAAAGTTTGAGAAGCCAGTCACTCAGGCAGCAGCTACAAAGGGACAAACACTCTCTAGTTTTCCCTCACTGACTTCATTTCCCTCTGCCAGCCTGGTAGAAACATGGTCTCAGTCCGCTCAGGTTTTGCCCCTGTCCTCCCTGTCTCCAGAAGCGCCCTCAAGCTTCAAAAGATTCATACAGCCTTCCAGAGAGGGAGACGGGGACCTAGTGCTGGTTTTCATCATCTGTCCACTCTGGCTTCTGCAGTAACACCATTCCCATTGGCCTCGGTGGTCAGTTCACCCAGATCCTGCCTAAACCCTGGATGCTTATTGTCCTGACCACCCGAATGTCCTAGGCCAGCTAGTTCTCAGCGTCACATCCTCACCAACCTCCGCTCCCTGCTCTCCACTGGGGATCAAGGGAATGCAGGATGGAGCTGCCCCAAGCCTGTAGCTCAGATGCCTCACAGGGGCATTTCTGATCTGCAACACTATGTCCCTGTTGTGAGCTGAGTCCCAGGCCTCTCTGAGGTTGGACATCCCAGCGTGCCTCTTCCCACTCCAACAGCACACCTCAGAAGGAAGAGGCAGCCTCAGGGGCCCGCTGAGTGGCCACTCGTGCTGGATTTCCACCCACCTCACCTTAGGGAATTTTAATTTTTTCTAAAGAGAAACAAACCAGATTGGGCAGATACTCTTCCAAATCTACTGCTTAAGTTTCAATCTCAGCTTTGAAGCCCAGAAAAAAAAGTATTAACTTGTGTTTCTCTCGATATTCCTACCCCACTAACTATACCTAAGAATGCTGTTATCTCTGAAAAATTCAGAGGTTAGGAGAACAGAACACCCTTGGGGAAGACAAGTTACTATTTCAAAATAGTATCTCTGAAAAAAACAGAAATCCAAATATCGCATGGGAAGTCAGTGGGAGAAAGGCCAAATCTGAGAGGGTCTCCCAGGAACACGGATTGCGGGCCAGATACAGAATTAAACTTTTAAAGTGAATGAAAGCAATCTGGGGTCTAAGTGGGGAAGGAGTCGAAAAACTGGCAACTTGCCAGTAGTTATGGTCAGTGGAGACGAGAAGACTTCCTCCTCTCTGAAAGCCAAGTGTTGAATGAAGACCTAGATCCTGGAATAAAGGATCAACATGCTTAAGACTCCAGGCAAATTACTGGGCCAAATTTCAGGGTGACTCCTGCCCAAGTACAGCATTTATTTAAATAAATTAGCATTACAACTCTGATTATTACAACTACTGGTGATTTTGTCACCTAAACAATAAAACAAAAATTAATGGAATTAGTGGAGTTGCTCTTAAAAACATTATGCCACCACATTAGGCTTACAAACTCAAGTGTGTCACAAAACTTGTGTGTTATCTTATGATAAAGCACAGTTCCTAAATATGTCTCAGGACCCATAACATCAAGAAATGCCAAAGCTGGAATGTGCCTCTAACCCAGTGTTTCCTGGCCCAGTGTATACTGTGAACCAAGAAGCCATCTGGGGTCTTCATTTCAGACCCCCAAAACAAAGGAGAGGAGAATGAGATGAGGAAAAAGGAACTTGAGAGAGAGCAGCTTCTCCAAGCAAGCAGAGAAGGGAATGGGGAAGGAATGGGTTATTCACTAAACAATGGTGGATCATCTCCCATTACAGACCAGAATAAAAGGCAAACCAACTAAAGACCTAAATGTTAAAGAAAAAAAAAACCCACAAAATTGCTTAGACAGTTTTAGTGGCTACATAATTATTTTATGTGGGGAAAGATTCTCAGTGGGAAAAAGGAAGGTGCTGGATGACAGAGAATAGTACACTTTTGACCATATGCTGTAGGGCATAAGAGTTCATACAGATACTTATTGAAGTTTGTAATGGTACATTTCTTTGTTTGATCTTTCGATTGATGTCTGTTCCCGCAACTAGGCTATAAGTTACATAAGGGCAGGGATGCCACCATTGTATTCCCGTACTTAGCAAAGTCTCTGACATATATTGGACTCTTAATGATATTTGTTGAGTGAATAAATAAGGTCAATTGTGGACAACGTCAGGGCCTTGGGCATGGGGTTTAAAACCCATAAGGGGAAAGGAAACCAGCCTATGCTAGTCTGAAGGAAGAAGCTGGTTGTGAGCTTTCTGTGTAAAGCAAGGAAACTCTAGAGGCCATCTCACTTGTGATGTGAGAACTAGAACATCTGGCCATCTGTCCAAGGAAGGATTAAGGAAGCTTACCCTACATCTTGGGTTCCAGGTGAAATCCATTAACCACAAGGGCTACATCAACTTGAAAGGAAGACAGTCCTGGAGAACACAGGGCTTACATTTGCTAACCCCTTGAAGGCTTGAAATAGGATGAAATGGGGAAGCCTGAAAGAGAATATCAAGAGAGGATGGAAAACCCCAAAGACATGCTTTGGCTCCAACACAATTTTGTGAGGTTTGGTCCAGTGCAGCACACTAATCCAGCACTCCAGGGAGGACTAGAAATGTTTAAAGTCTCCCAGCGCTTTCCCTTTACTGCGCCTCTGGCTGTACGGACCTAATGAGATGCCTTGTGTTTTTCAGAATGCCGAAGCAAGTTACGACTTCAGCAGCAACGACCCCTATCCTTACCCTCGGTACACAGATGACTGGTTTAACAGGTAAACTGGGCCTTGGGAGGTCTCTTTGACTTTAGGCTTTGGGGTTTTATTCTACTTTGTTTTGTTTCAGGCTTGACTACCACCAGCAAAATAATCCCCATGCTTCATTAAATTATATTGTGATTTTTCTTCTTAGTGGTTACATTCTCTAAAGTGAAATTTTTAATATTACAATCTTCCTCTAGAATAATCTTTTGACTGTTTTGTTCTGCTAACTTGAAATTATTTGCTACTTTAATCCATTAAAGAGAAAAGAAAATAGAAATAAGAAGTTCTTTCTCAACCCATTACAAGGTGATTTAAAACATGCTGATTTTGCTTTATGTGTTGAAACTGTCGTAGAGAAGTATTTTGCCCCATGGGTCTATGTGTTTTTGAAAAGCATTCTGTACGCTTTCTGCTATAACCCCATAACAGCTCATGGAGTCCCTTTCAACAAAACAGTAAGTGTGATTGGCAGAGGTTTGAAGTATTGCTTGGGACAAAGATCCTATGATGTCAAACTACCCAAACAGTCCATCCAAGAGAATAATTTTCCTTCAGCTTGTTTTGCCACTAAACATGGAAATGTGGTCTCTTTTTTCTTCAAGTAAACATTTTTCTTAAATGGTTAATTACATATAAGAGATATGAAGAAATAAAGATGTGCGGTTTGCTCAATGAAAGAATACTGTAATTTTTAAACCTAGTGTTTCCCTGTTATTGACGTCCTTGGGTGAAGTTCATAAAAACATATGAACTTCAATTAGTTGTATAAAAATATATGATGTGCAGAGCACTTTATCCATTTTTTTTTTTATTTCTCATGGCACTCTAAGTAGCACATAAAACAAATGTTGTCATTTTTAGTTTAGTGATAAGGAAACAGGCTCAGAAGGGTTGAAGGGCTTCCTTGGTCAAACAGTTAAAATTCAAGTCAAAGCCAAGATTAGCCCCATGCTTCAAATTATTTCCAAATCCACATTTGTACTATTCTTTGCTGAGTATCATTTCTATTATTTGATACAGGCAGCATGATGACCAGAATATGTTCAAGGGTAGAGCCTCAGTGGACAGGAAGCTTAGATTCTGTCTCTAAAGTTAGCAAGTTGACCTGAGACCCCTCAGTCTCATCAAGGGTTGACACAGGGTACACAGGTTCTGAGTACAAATGCAGAAAATAAGAAAAAAGAAAATGAAATTTAATTTTGTAATATTTTGTAAAGATCATTGCTGATGTCGGATAGCACAATTCATTCTCTATCCACATCACCTGCAACCTGAAAATGACATACAATGCTTGGAGGTGTGTGTTTAGAGGATGAGAATGTATAAAAAAGGTCTGAAAACTTTTGGCATGAAGTGTGTTTTATCTCTGTGACTTCTAACCCTAGATGGTAGCATATATTTAGCAAATAAACCATTTCAGACACAAGAATGTGAAGTTACCAAATGTGTGCCATTAAGCTGGGGTTTAGACAGAATTGGCAGTGGCCATCCAGGGCACAGTGCTGAGAAGGGCCATGAGAGGGTCTGGCTTCAGCAGGATTGATTACCAGCTCTCCGCATGAATATCAGAAAGTGCAGTGGCAACATATCCACTGGCTACTTGCTGTCTTTCTGTAACTAGTAGGTACTAAATTAGTCTTTGATGGATTGATGTAAGCACAAAAATATAACCAATGGAAAGATTATCCCCCAATCTCATTTTCTGAACCCAAACAAAATCTACCCTAGTCAAATCTTCCTGGGCAATGTGCTATAAAAATACTCCTTAAAAAAACTAAAAGGTTCCACTCCAAGATGGCCAAATAGGAACAGCTCTGGTCTGCAGCTCCCAGCATGATCGACGCAGAAGATGGGCAATTTCTGCATTTCCAACTGAGGTATCTGGTTCATCTCATTGGGACTAGTTGGACAGTGGGTGCAAGGGGTCGGAGGATTTCCCTTTCCTAGCCAAAGGAAGCCGTGACAGACTGTACCTGGAAAAATGGGACACTTCTGCCCAAATACTGTGCTTTTCCCATGGTCTTAGCAAACAGCAGACCAGGAGATTCTCTCCCATGTCTGGGTTGGCAGGTCCCACGCCCATGGAGCTTTGCTCACTGCTAGTGCAGCAGTCTGAGATTGATCTGCAAGGCAGCAGCCTGATGGAGGGAGGCTGAGACTTGAGTAGGTAAAAAAAAGCGGCCAGGAAGCTCAGACTGGGCAGAGCCCACCACAGCTCAGCAAGGTCTACTGCCTCTATAGACTCCACCTCTGTGGGCAGGGCATAGCTGGAAAAAAGGAGCAGAAGCTTCTGCAGACTTAAACGCCCCTGTCTGACAGATCTGAAGAGGGCAGTGGTTCTCCCAGCATGGCATTTGAGCTCTGAGAATGGACAGACTGCCTCCTCAAGTGGGTCCCTTACCCCCATGTAGCCTAACTAGGAGACACCTCCCAGTAGGGGCCAACAGACAGCTCACAAAGGTGGGTGCCCCTCTAGGACAAAGCTTCAAGAGGAAAGATCAGGCAGCAATATTTGCTGTTCTGCAATATTTGCTGTTCTGCAGCCTCTGCTGGTGATACCCAGGCAAACAGGGTCTGGAGTGGGCCTCCAACAGCCTGCAGCTGAGGGACCTGACTGTTAGAAGGAAAACTAACAAACAGAAAGGAATAGCATCAACATCAACAAAAAGGACATCCACACGAAAACCCCATTTGTAGATCACCAACATCAAAGACCAAAGGTAGATAAAACCACAAATATGGGGAGAAACCAGAGCAGAAAAGCTGAAAATTCTAAAAAACGAGTGCCTCTTCTCCTCCAAAGGACCGCAGCTCCTCGACAGCAACAGAACAAAGCTGGATGGAAAATGACTTTGATGAGTTGACAGAAGTAGGCTTCAGAAGCTCAGTAATAACAAACTTGTCCAAGCTAAAGGAGCATATTCTAACCCATTGCAAGGAAGCTAAAAACCTTGAAAAAAGGTTAGATGAATGGCTAACCAGAATAAACAGTGTAGAGAAGACTTTAAATGACCTGATGGAGCTGAAAACCATGGCACGAGAACTTCGTGACGCATGCAAAAGCTTCAATAGCCGATTTGATCAAGTGGAAGAAAGGGTAACAGTGATTGAAGATCAAATTAATGAAATAAAGTGAGAAGACAAGGTTAGAGAAAAAAGAGTAAAAAGAAATGAAAAAACCCTCCAAGAAATATGGGACTATGTGAAAAGATCAAATCTACGTTTGATTAGTGTACTTGAAACTGACAGGGAGAATGGAACCAAGTTGGAAAACACTCTTCAGGATATTATCCAGGAGAACTTCCCCAACCTAGCAAGGCAGGCCAACATTCAGATTCAGGAAATACAGAGAACACCACAAAGATACTCCTCAAGAAGAGGAACTCCAAGACACATACTTGTCAGATTCACCAAAGTTGAAATGAAGGAAAAAATGTTAAGGGTAGCCAGAGAGAAAGGTCGGGTTACCCACAAAGGGAAGCCCATCAGACTAACAGCAGATCTCTCAGCAGAAACCCTACAAGCCAGAGGAGAGTGGGGACCAATATTCAACATTCTTAAAGAAAAGAATTTTCAACCCAGAATTTCATATCCAGCCAAACTAAGCTTCATAAGTGAAGGAGAAATAAAATCCTTTACAGACAAGCAAATGCTGAGAGATTTTGTCACCACCAGGCCTGCCTTACAAGAGCTCCTGAAGGAAGCACTAAACATGGAAAGGAACAACCAGTACCAGCCACTGCAAAAACACCCCAAATTGCAAAGACCATCAATGCTAGGAAGAAACTGCATCAACTAACGGGCAAAATAACCAGCTAACATCATAATGACAGAATCAAATTCACACATAACAATATTAACCTTAAATGTAAATGGGCTAAATGCCCCAATTAAAAGACACAGACAGGCAAATTGGATAAAGAGTCAAGACCCATCAGTGTGCTGTATTCAGGAGACCCATCTCACGTGCGGAGACACATATAGGCTCAAAATTAAGGGATGGAGGAAGATCTACCAAGCAAATGGAAAACAAAAAAAACACAAGGGTTGCAATTCTAGTCTCTGATAAAACAGACTTTAAACCAACAAAGATCAAAAGAGACAAAGAAGACCATTACATAATGGTAAAGGGATCAATTCAACAAGAAGAGCTAACTATCCTAAATATATATGCACCCAATACAGGAGCACCCAGATTCATAAAGCAAGTCCTTAGAGACCTACAAAGAGACTTAGAGTCCCACACAATAATAAGGGGAGACTTTAACACCCCACTGTCAATATTAGACAGATCAACGAGACAGAAGGTTAACAAGGATATCCAGGCTTGAACTCAGCTCTGGACCAAGTGGACCTAATAGACATCTACAGAATTCTCCACCCCAAATCAACAGAATATACATTCTTCTCAGCATCACATCGCACTTATTCCAAAATTGACCGCATAATTGGAAGTAAAGCACTCCTCAGCAAATGTAAAAGAAAAGAAATCACAACAAACTGTCTCTCAGACCACAGTGCAATCAAATTAGAACTCAGGATTAAGAAACTCACTCAAAACCACACAACTACATGGAAACTGAACAACCTGCTCCTGAATGACTACTGGGTACATAACGAAATGAAGGCAGAAATAAAGACATTCTTTGAAACCAATGAGAACAAAGACAAAACATACCAGAATCTCTGGGACACATTTAAAGCAATGTGTAGAGGGAAATTTATAGCACTAAATGCCCACAAGAGAAAGCAGGAAAGATCTAAAATCGACACCCTAACATCACAATTAAAAGAACTAGAGAAGCGACAGTGAACAAATTCAAAAGCTAGCAGAAGGCAAGAAATAACTAAGATCAGAGCAGAACTGAAGGAGCTAGAGACACAAAAAACCCTTCAAAAAAAATCGATGAATCCAGGAGCTGGTTTTTTGAAAAGATCAACAAAAGTGATAGATCACTAGCAAGACTAATAAAGATGAAAAGAGAGAAAAATCAAATAGACGCATTCAAAAATGATAAAGGGGATATCACCACCGATCCCACAGAAATACAAACTACCATCAGAGAATACTATAAACACCTCTACACAAATAAACTAGAAAATCTAGAAGAAATGGATAAATTCCTGAACACAAACACCCTCCCAAGACTAAACCAGGAAGAAGTTGAATCTCTGAATAGACCAATAACAGGCTCTGAAATTGAGGCAATAATTAATAGCCTACCAACCAAAAAAAGTCCAGGACCAGACGGATTCACAGCCAAATTCTACCAGAGGTACAAAGAGGAGCGGTTACCGTTCCTTGTGAAACTATTCCAGTCAACAGAAAAAGAGGGAATCCTCCCTAACTCATTTTATGAGGCCAGCATCATCCTGATACCAAAGCCTGGCAGAGACACAACAAAAAAAGAGAATTTTAGACCAATGTCCCTGATGAACATTGATGCAAAAATCCTCAATAAAATACTGGCAAACCAAATCCAGCAGCACATCAAAAAGCTTATCCGCCACGATCAAGTCAGCTTCATCCCTGGAATGCAAGGCTGGTTCAACATATGCAAATCAGTAAACGTAATCCATCACATAAACAGAACCAATGACAAAAACCACATGATTATCTCAACAGATGCAGAAAAGGCCTTTGACAAAATTCAACAGCCCTTCATGCTAAAAACTCTCAATAAACTAGATATTGATGAAATGTATCTCAAAATAATAAGAGCTATTTATGACAAAACCACAGCCAATATCATACTGAATGGGCAAAAACTGGAAGCATTCCCTTTGAAAACCAGCACAAGACGAGGATGCCCTCTGTCACCACTCCTATTCAACATAGTGTTGGAAGTTCTGGCCAGGGCAATCAGGCAAGAGAAAGAAATAACGGTATTCAAATAGGAAAAAAGGAAGTCAAATTGTCCCTGTTTGCAGATGACATGATTGTATATCTAGAAAACCCCATCGTCTCAGCCCAAAATCTCCTTAAGCTGAGAAGCAACTTCAGCAAAGTCTCAGGATACAAAAATCAATGTGCAAAAATCACAAGCATTTCTATACACCAATAACAGACAAACAGAAAGTCAAATCATAAGTGAACTCCCATTCACAATTGCTACAAAGAGAATAAAATACCTAGGAATCCAACTTACAAGGGATGTGAAGGACCTCTTCAAGGAGAACAATAAACTGCTGCTCAACAAAAGAGGACACAAACAAATGGAAGAACATTCCATGCTCATGGATAGGAAGAATGAATATCATGGAAATGGCCATACTGCCCAAGGTAATTTGTAGATTCAATGCCATCCCCATCAAGCTACCAATGACTTTCTTCACAGAATTGGAAAAAAACTACTTTAAAGTTCATATTGAACCAAAAAAGAGCCCGCATTGCCAAAACAATCCTATGCCAAAAGAACAAAGCTGGAGGCATCACGCTACCTGACTTCAAACCATAATACAAGGCTACAGTAACCAAAACAGCATGGCACTGGTACCAAAACAGATATATAGAACAGAACAGAGGCCTCAGAAATAACACCACACATCTACAACTGCCTGATCTTTGACAAACCTGACAAACACAATAAATGGGGAAAGGATTCCCTATTTAATAAATGGTGCTGGCAAAACTGGCTAGCCACATGTAGAAAGCTGAAACTCGATCCCTTCCTTATACCTTATACAAAAATTAATTCAAGATGGATTAAAGACTTAAATGTTAGACCTAAAACCATCAAAACCCTAGAAGAAAACCTAGGCAATACCACTCAGGACATAGGCATGGACAAGGACTTCATGACTAAAACACCAAAAGCAATGGCAACAAAAGCCAAAATAGACAAATGGGATCTAATTAAACTTAAGAGCTTCTGCACGGCAGAAGAAACTACCATCAGAGTGAACAGGCAGCCTGCAGAATGGGAGAAAATTTTTGCAATCTACCCATCTGACAAAGGGCTAATATCCAGAATCTACAAAGAACTTAAACAAATTTACAAGAAAAAGACAACCCCATCAAAAAGTGGGTGAAGGATATGAACAGACACTTCTCAAAAGAAGACATTTATGCAGCCAACAGACACATGAAAAAATGCTCATCATCATTGGTCATCAGAGAAATGCAAATCAAAACCACAATGAGATACCATCTCACACCAGTTAGAATGGTGATCATTAAAAAGTCAGGAAACAACAAATGCTGGAGAGGATGTGGAGAAATAGGAACGCTTTTGCACTGTTGGTGGGAGTGTAAATTGGTTCAACCATTGTGGAAGACAGTATGGTGATTCCTCAAGGATCTAGAACTAGAAATATCATTTGACCCAGCAATCCAACTACTGGATATATACCCAAAGGATTATAAATCATGCTACTATAAAAACACATGCACACATATGTTTATTGTGGCACTATTGACAATAGCAAAGACTTGGAACCAACCCAAATGTCCATCAATGATAGACTGGATTAAGAAAATGTGGCACATATACATCACAGAATACTGTGCAGCCATAAAAAAGGATGAGTTCATGTCCTTTTCAGGGACATGGATGAAGCTGGAAATCATCATTCTCAGCACACCATCACAAGGACAGAAAACCAAACACTGCATGTTCTCACTCATAGGTGGGAATTGAACAATGAGAACACTTGGACACAGGGCGGGGAACATCACACACCAGGGCCTGTCAGGGGGTGTGGCAGACTGGGGGAGGGGTAGCATTAGGAGAAATACCTCATGTAAATGACAAGTTGGTGGGTGCAGCAAATCAACATGGCACATGTATACCTATGTAACAAACCTGCACGTTGTGCACGTGTACCCTAGAACTTAAAGTATAAAAAAAAGAAAATTTAAGAAAAACTAAAAACACTAAGGAAATGTCTTCTCTCTTAAATATTTCATTTGCAAACTTGTTCTCAAAATTATAATTTTAAACCAGCTAAAAACCTCCAATTAGGACTAATTAGTGCTTAGGGCAATAAAACTCATCATTGTCAGCGGTAAGAATTCCCAAGTGTCCAATTACCCAAGACACAGTCATAGTGACTCAGGCAAGCATGATCCCCATGCCTTAGGGAGCCAATGATTAAGACAGAGTGTCCACTTTGACCAGTAAATGGGTTCTTTTCAATTATCAAGTCATTTTCAAAGATCCTCACGCACTATGGCTTGTTATTACAAAGACTGGATGATGCCACCACTCAAATCGCAGCTACTTTCAAACATAACTACCATTGTAAATGATTATGGGAGGCTGGTGAGGTGAAGCTCAAGTCCACAGAACCAAGAAAATCCTTAGTTCAAAACATCACCATTACCCTGAAGATGATTCCTGCTTGAGTGAAGGAGAATTTGAATAAAGCGTCCCTTCCATGAGTGTACGATATGTTTATTTCAAAACCCCTCTGGGATGAAATGATATTATGCCTGATGTTTTCTTCAGTATTACTTATGGCTTGTGGCAGGAGGGAAGAGAATGACTGAAGTATAGAGGCAATAAAATTGGTTATGGGTTAATCATTGTTAAAGCTCTGTGATGAGTACATGGGATTTTACTCTATTTTTGTATGTTTTTGATTTTTTTCTAATAACAAGAAGTAAATTTAACTAGCATACGGCATAAAAAGAGGTAATAACAAAACTAGGACTTCAGTTTGGTATCATGAAACTGTTTTGGTGTGCAAGCTTCCAAGGAGCTTGCAATGTCAAATGATTGGGCAACAGATGCCCAAGTTACTACAATGCAAAAATGTAGCCCAGACTAAAATAACACAAGGACAGCTAATGCAAGTTGAACAGTTACTGTATTTAAGGCACTGTTCTGTGTTTTGCATGTATTCATTCAACTAATTCTCGTAGTAACCCTCTGAAATAGGTATTATGATTTTCCCCTTTTGGAAACTGAGGCACAGAGAGGTTAAGTTACTTGTGCAAGGTTACAGGGCTAATAAGAAGTGGAGGCAGGATTTGATGCCAGTGGGTCATTGGTCTAGGATTTTATCTAAGGCAATAGGTAGAGTTGGGAGTAGGGAACGAATGTATCCCAGGGCAAGGATATAATCTGGACAAAGATAGGCTGGCGGGGAGGTGCAGGATATGTTCAGGAGGTGGTCTGGATAACTGCTGTGGGATTTGGAGGCTGGTGCAGGAGGCAGCATTCTAAGAAGGATCCGCAAGTGAGGTGGAGCATAAAAGGGTTGAAAAAGTTGCTAGGAGAAAGAAATAAATTCTGTGGTTGGGTCAGAAACTGGGCCAGGGGCATAGATGAGGCTCATTCTCTCATTACACTCAAGATAATGCTGCTACTCTCAGAAGCCCCAATAGCCTGGAGCCTGGCACTTGTTGTTGGCTGGCATAGGACCCAGCATGAGCCTCCCACCAGCTGTGCAGACACCAAGGCATCCCACAGGTTCTTCAGGTGTTTTCTGGGCATAGGCACCAAATCCGATGCCCCATCTCTGTTCAGCAGAGTTGGGGCTCTTGAGAAAGGCTGGTGTCAGCATGCCCTGAAACTCCAGTATAGGGCTGACATGCTGAGCAGCGATAGGCTTGTTGCTATTAACTATTCCAGCCACACTGACTGCCACAAAGGCTAGTTACAATGCAGGAGCAATTGCTTCACAGGAAAAGGCAGCGGCTGTCCAGCACGAGATTCTCACTGCTGTGAAAATAGAAAATAAAATGCACTATAGGGGACACTCAAAGAAGTAAAATGTTCCCCTTGGTTGGGAGACTGAGTTCAATAGCAACACATCTCTCCTAGGTTTTCCTGACACTTTAAACCATCATCTCATACCCTCTGCATTTACTCATTGTTTTCCTTTATTAAACTCCACGCCAAGGGTGCTTTAGGAAAACAAACTTCATACATATGCAGAACTGCTTTTAGGGAATGTGTATATTAGAATAGCTTGCCTTGTGCTCGATTTGCTTTTGTTGGATTATTCCTGTTTAAGCAGAGCAAGCGTATTTATTCTACTGTGAACCATTTAATAATTACATGCAGTATCTGAGCTCCAGGGATGTACTTGAAATACAGTTAAGACATTTTCAAAAAGAGTATAATTTTCTCTTAGCTTGCAATGAGCAAAATACATTTGACCAAACAAAATAATAATAATAGTAACTCAAATTGTAAAAAGGTAGAAAATACACATTTAATCAGCATCAGTAATGTGCAAAACAGATATAACTGATTTGCTGAGAGCTATCAGGATTTAGCATCACATTTTTTCCCTTGCTGGCACTCAAAAAATATTGACTGACTGGTTGATAGATGAGTGGCATACCTTTCAACCATGCCAAGATGTTGAGTGGCCTTGACATCTGTCCATTGTCAAGCTGCCTGCTGCTCTCAAGGTCTGCAGCCCACGTTTTGTCAATAATCTTGCAGCCCTGCTCATTTTAGGTCAATGTTTGGTGATGCATTGCAGATCTGTATTCCATTACTGTGCTGTTGTCCATAAAAATCTCTCTTGCATAGCATTTCTTTGACAGGTGTTCACTACTGAAATGTCATCCCTGCCATTGACGATATTTATGAAGCATTGGGGACGCAGCATACTCTATCTATTAAACCCTAAACAGTGAGAGATTCTAGGTTAGATGCAATTCTTGGCTGCAGAAAGTTTACTATAAATTCAGGAAGAGAGAAGACATTTATTACTCAAGCAAACAAAATGGAGGGAAGGAAGATGGATAAATGGAGGCTGAAGAACATTTATCTCTTTGTGAGCCAATGTGATTGATAGCATTAGTTAAACCTTCAAATAAGAAAGGTTTTCTGGGATTAACTTTTATTTTCTTATTAAAAGTCATACTTCATTCTGAAGAACCCCAAGCAACAGGCCACAAAAAAGTGTGAGAAAAAAGGCCCTCTCTGGTTGGCTATTTTCACACTGATGTAAGCTGATACCTTACCCTGGTGATACTTAATGGTTTGGGAGTAGATGAACATCTTTCCCTTATGTCTTTATGAACTAATTCTGAAACACCTCCTGGATAATAAAATGCAAACTGTTTTCAAAGACATAGTCTTTTTCATGTGAGCTTTAAGACTACCTCATCAGTCGATATTAGCTCAAAGGTTACTGCTTGTAACCAACCCTTTCTACATCCAAACCAGAGCACAGTGAAATCCAACAGCATTTAATTTTTAAATTTCTAGTCCCCTACCTGGATTAGAAAAGTATTTATTATTTAAATTTTTCCTTCAGCTAAAAGGAGTAGATGTAATATAGATTTAGGGGTTATGGAGAAAATTATAAAGATGGTAAAAGAAAGACCTATATTTGGGTATAATTAGTTCTACTTTGTAAGCTAATGTGTACATGCCATATAGAGATTTTATGGTACTCAGACGGCAATCAATAACTCTTTTCTTAAGAGAGAGAAATACAGCACATTATGTAGACAAATGTAATATTATGTTAATTGCTTGGTATGGAATGAGTGATCCCTGAATCAGTTCCCTTATCTATAAACAGGGACTAAAGCTCCCACCTTGAAGGCTTGTACTGCGGATTCAAGACAGGTATAGAGTGCTTGGTACAGAGCATGGCACATGGTAAGCACTCCCTAACCGACAACCAATAGAGTTGTGAAATTCAGCAAAGAGATTTCTACAGGAGCTAAGTCAAAGATTATTCAACGACAAAGAAAAGTAGGAGAATTTATGCTACAGGAGTAAATGTAGCATTCACCCACCTTTCTCAGACATCTGCTCTCTCATTTAAGCTTTTGACAGAAACTGGATAACAGTCAGCTCAAGGTTAAACTCTCTGTCAAGATTCTAGTGCCTGTGTTTCTGCATTGCTGATTGAAAAAGGAGTTATAGCCAAAGATACCTTGTATGCATGAAACAAAGTTGATCTATTAGGAAATTTGAAATGTCTAGCATCTGGCCTCAGAAAGATGAGGAGTCTGCTCACTTCTCCAGAAAGCAATGGGTGCTTGCCAGCAGACTCAGGGACTTCCCCAGAGGCAGCTTTGCTCATTCTCACCTGTCACCTATTCTAACCTATTCTGCCTGAGCTATTCATTTCTCATCTATTCTATCAAGTAGGCTCTTGAAACCCCAAAGTCTTACCCTGTAGAGCTCATTGGACATTAGCCAGCAAACGTGGTCGACGCCAAACTAGCCAGGAAGTCTCTGCATTTCAGTTCTAATATGTCTAACACTGGAGCTTCTTTCTCCAAAGCCAAGGGTGAAAAGACTGCAGCTGGCCACCATGGGTCTTCTGTTGTCTAAGAATCTGTAGATGCAGAGAGACTGGAGACCAGAAGACAAAGACAGCCTCATGTGCATGAACTTAGCCAAGTTGCACACTGGCTTGCTGACTAATCTGTCTTATCTCCTTATCTCTGTGAATGCAGATCCCTGAAACACTGTTGTAGAAACTGGTTGTCAGAAACAGAACTAAGGAGTCAATTGAAACAATCATAGGACCAGTAGCCAGGAAAGGAAGAGAGGTAAAAAAAAAAAAAAAAAAAAAAAAAAAAAAAGACGAAAAAATATCTCCACATCAAAATTATCCTAAAATCCACTATTCCAAAATGCCTGAAAAAAATACACCTAAAAAAACTAAAAATCAGGATATTAATTTGTACTATATGAAATCGGTTCTATGAAGCAGTCTTGAAAAAGACTTTATCATAAGTTATTTTTAGTTTGTTCAGAGTGATAAATGCATGGGTGACATACATTTTAAAGAAAACTAAATGATGGTGGAAACATAGGCAAAAACAAAAGCATGGACATGAAAAGAACCAATTGCAGCTGAAAAATACAGCCTGTGGAATAAAATCTCAATAAATGGTATAAAATCTAGCCTGGATGCACTTGAGGAGTTAATTATCGAATTGAAGATAACAGCCTGTTTATCAAAAACCTACAGCAAACATTATTCTTCATGGTGAAGCTTTGATAGCATTCTCTAAGTCTGACAAGATGTGGGTTCTCCCTATCATCCCTTTAATTCAACACTATGCTACATTTCATAGCTGATCAAATAGTTATAAATCTAAGAAAAGGTGTGAGATCATTAAGAAGAAAATTATAAAATTTACAAAAGAATAAAGGAGTCCTAAATAAATAGAGTGGCATACTAAGCTCAGGGATAAGAAGATGGAACAATATAAAGATATCATATCAAATTAATATATTAATTCATTGCAATTTCAATTAAAGTTTCAATAGATTATTCAGTGGAACTAGACAAAATTGTTTTAAAATTGATATGGAAAAACAAGTGGCCAAAATAGAAGAAGACAAGTAAGGAGGAGGAAAAAAGGAGAAAAAAGAGGAAGAGAATGAAGATAAAGAAGAAGAAGATGAGGTTGAAGTTCAGCAACAACAGAACAACAGCAAGATGGGAAGCTTTGCCGACCGGATACCAAAACATTACACAACCATAATAATATGAGATTGTAGGGTTAGCATACAGAGAGACAAAAAGATCAAGAAACAGAATAGAGAGTGCAAAAACAGACACCACATAAAAGGAACCCTAATATATGATTAAGATAGCAATAAAAACAATAAGGAAATGATGGAGTGAAGGTATTCAATAAATGTGATAACTATGCACATGGGGAGAAATAGGCACCCACACCACATACTGAGCATAAATAAATTCCAGGAGAATGAAAGACCTAAATGGATATAAATCTTTTAGGAAAAAATAAAGAAAAACATCTTTATGATCATGACATAGGGACTGATTTCTTCCCTTTTCTCCCCAATTGATTTAGAAGTTTATTTTGCCAAGGTTAAGGGTCATGACCCATGACACAGCCTCAGGAGGTCCTGAGAACAGGTGCCCAAGGTGGTTGAGTCAGAGCTTGATTTTATATGTTTTAGGGAGACATAAGACATTAATCAATACATGTGAAGTAGACATTGGCTTGGTCTGGAAAGGCAGGACATCTTGAAGCAGGGGCTTCCAGGTTATAGGTAGATTCAAAGATTTTCTGATTGGCAATTGGTTGAATTATTACCTAAAGACCTGGAATCAATAGAAAGGTGTGTCTGGGTTAAGATAAGGGTTTGTGGAGACCAGGGTTCTTTTTATGTAGATGAATCTCCTAAGTGGCCACTCTTAGAGGCAATAGATGACAGATGATTCCTGTTCAGACCTTTAAAAGGTGCTAGACTCTCAGCTAATCTCTCCAGGATTGGAAAAAGATCTGGAAAGGGCAGAGGATTCTCTACAGAATGTAAATTAGGGATGGATTTCTTAAGCCACTAAACCACATGGAAAAATAAATGATTAATAAAGCTGGCTACATTAAAATTAAACACTTTTGTACAAAAAAAAAAGTCACAATAAATAAATTTGGAAGACAAGCCACAGACTAGAAGACGTGCAGCAAATTTTATGGAAAAAAAGGCTTAATATAGAAAATTTGTAAAGAACAGCTACAAATCAATGAAAAATAAATAAATACCCTTGTAGAAGAAATGGGCCAAGGTTATTAACAGGAAATTCACAGAAAAGAAAATCTAAGCCAAATAGCCTATGAAAAGATTACCTTGCTAGTGATGAGGAAATGCAAAATGAAACAATAACATACCATTTCACACCAACTGGACTAGCAAAAATGGTAACATTCAACAATGATCAATGTTGAAAAGGATTGAGCAACAGGATTGCTCACACCTTGAAGGAGGTAGTACATAGCCATATAACCTGTTTTAAATCCTACAAGAAGACCTCAGAGAAACTATTCCTTATGGGTACATGGAAATAATAAACAAGAATGTTTCTTTTCAAATTATTTGTAATAGCAAGCAAATTGCAAACAAATTAAATACCTATCATTAGAAGTATAAATAAATAAATCACAGCATATTTATAAATGGACTACTACACAGCACTAAAAATGGATGAACTAGAATTCACAAGTTAACTTCAGAAAATGTAGCAAATGAAGCCAATTTTACATAGATCATACACTAGGAAATTTTATACAGTTTGAAACATGCAAAGAGTGACATGTATGCTTATGCATACCTGATTATAAGTTCATAAAAATGTTCTGAACAGCAAATTTAGTACACTTGTTACCTCTGAGGAAGCAAAGAGGGGAAGGAATGGCATCAGAGAGGGCCTCAAATTGTATCTGTAAAGATTTATGTTGTTTCTTGGCGCGGAGGGGGTTGTTTTTTGTTTTTTGAGACAGAGTCTCACTCTGTCGCCCAGGCTGGAGTGCAGTGGCTCCGTCTCGGCTCACTGTGACCTCCGCCTCTCTGGTTCATGCGATTCTCCTGCCTCAGCCTCCTGAGTAGCTGAGATTACAGGCACGCGCCACCACGCCTGGCTAATTTTTGTATTTTTAGTAGAGACAGGGTTTCACCATGTTGGTCAGGCTGGTCTCAAACTCCTGACCTCGTGATCTACCCACCTCAGCCTCCCAAAGTGCTGGGATTACAGGCGTGAGCCACAGCGCCCAGCCTTTTATTTTTATTTGAGACAGTCTCATTCTGTCACCCAGGCTGGAGTGCAGTGGCGTAATCTTGGCACACTGTAACCTCCGACTCCTAGGTTCAAGCAATTCTCATGTCTCAGCCTCCCGAGTAGCTAGAACTACAGAGACAGGCCACCATACCTGGCTAATTTTTTTGTGTTTTTAGTAGAGACGGGGTTTCCAGGCTGGTCTTGAACTCCTGATCTCAAGCAATACGCCCACCTTGGCCTCCCAAAGTGCTGGGATTACAGGAGTGAGCCACCACACCCAGCCTATAAAGAATTATGTTTTTCTAAAAATAATCCAAAGTAAGAAAAATGTTTGGCTTTGATAGACTTGGATGGTGGCTATATGAGAGTCATCATACTATTCACTGAAATTGTCTATATTTTTTTAAATATTTCATAATTTCACATATTTAAATAATAAGCCTGAGCCAAAATGGAAACCCCAAAGTGTCAGACAGGCCCATTCACCATTAAAAGACCCACTTCTACACACCAGCCTCAAAGTGCGCATTAAATAAACGAATGCCAAAAGTCCATCATGCACCCTGCACACACCTAGTGAGAGGGTAGGGGAATTCGACCACTAGACAAGGCAGCCATTTTTTTTCTGTTCATCAAAGACTGCTTTGTACTGATCCTTGTCACCCAACATCTCTTTTTGTGGGATCCTTCAAATTAGTTTATGTCACTTATTATTAGAATTTATCCTTCCAAAACAGTTTATCGAGTAGGATCTAATAAAATTATAGGAATAATCAATAGGAATAAGATTAAAATGTGCTAGTTCATGTTATCCTAGTAGCTGTAACAAATAAATCTTGGCCCTGAAATATTAGTGGCTTAGCGGCTTAGCACCAAAAGAAGTGTATCACTCACCCACCAGTCCATCTCTGTGTTCCTGGTGGAGCAGCTCTCCTCTAAGCAGTGATTAGGGGATGCAGACTCCTTTCATCTTTGGCATAGGTTTCCAATGTTCCTGGGCTTTTTTGCATCAAACTACTTGAGGGGAAAGAGAGTGAATAATTGCCCAAGGGTAATTTTTATGGGCCAGGTTAACAAATAGCATTTACCCATCTGCTCACATATTTGCCATAACTCAGTCACATGGCCACATACAAGTGCAAGGGAGGATGGGAGCCTTACTGCAGCCTGGGGAGAAAAGAGAATGACTGGTGACCATTTAGCATTTTCTGCCACCAACAAAAACCATGTTACAGAGTGAGAGACAATACTGTACCAGAATACCTAGTTGAATGGTGATATGGTTTGACTCTGTGTCTCCACTGAAATCTCATCTTGAATTGTAATTGCCATAATCCCCATGTGTCAAGGGCAAGACCAGGTGGAGGTAACTGAATCATGGGGTCAGTTTCCCCCATGCGGTTCTCATGATAATGAGTGAGTCTTACAAGATCTGATGGTTTTATAAGCATCTGGCATTTCCCCTGCTGGCACTCATTTACTCCTTCCTGCCACCCTGTGAAGAGGTGCCTTCCACCATGATTTTAAGTTTCCTAAGGCCTCCCAAGCAATGCTGAACTGTAAGTCAATTAACCCTCTTTCCTTTATAAATTACCCAGTCTCTGGTATTTCTTCATAGCAGTGTGAAAACAGACTAATATGGGTATTAGCAAATGACTGAACTAAGAAACCAGCAAAAGCAGATTTAATTACTTAGTTACTTTTTGTTTTAGTCATGGTTCTCCAGAGAACAGAACCAGTAGGATGTGTATACATATAAAAAGAGGTTCATTATAAGGAATTGGCTCACCTAAGTCTGGAGACTGGCAAGTCCAAAATCTGCAGGGTGAGCCAGCAGGCTGGAGACCCTGAGAGCCAATGGTCCAGCTTGAGTCTGAAGGTAGCCTGCTATAGAACCAGGAAGATCCAACGTTACAGGTGAAGTCCAAAGACAGTCTTCCAGAGAATTCTCTCTTCTCAGAGAAGGCCAGATCTTTTGTCTATTTAAACCTTCAAGTGATTGGATGAGGCCCACGCACATTATGGAGGACAAGCTGCTCTAGTCAATGTCCACAAATTGAAATGTGAGTCTCATCCAAAATACCCTTGCAGCAACACCTAGAATAATGTCTGACTGAATGTCTGGATACCTCGTGGCCCAGCCATATTGACAAATGAAATTAACCGTTACAATTTTAATCTGCATGTTTCTAATAGGATTACATGATAGTTAAAGATCATGGTTAAGAGCAGGGCTTTGGAAGCAGCAGACCTGAGTTTGAATTCTTGTCCTGCCTCCTATTTGAGAAGTGACTTCACATCTATCTAAGCTTCAGTTTTCTCATCTTTAAAATGGGGATAATAATAGGCTGTTGTGAGGATTTAATAGGATAATACATGTAACTCTCTCAGCACAGGGCCCATCTCATAGTAGGTGCTGGTAAAAGAGGTTGTTTTATTCATATTGCTGGATATATCTAACACTATTCCCTAAGTGTAGTACATATATAAATACATGCTTTTGGCTGGAAAAACTAAGTGAGATGATCAAATCACTCTGATGGAAAAGCCAGCAGTGTGGATGGAAAAGGTGTGCCTGTTCTTTCTCTCAGGAAATCCACAGGGTTGCGCACAGGGCCTCAGGTTTTCATTTGGACACCCCAGCAGCCCCTCAATACAGGCTATTCACAAAAGCCCCAATACAGTCACCCTGACAGTCCAGCTGTGAACCCTGGCTCCCCACACGTGAGCCATGGTGTCCCTCTAGCCTTGTTCATTCATTGTGTCAGTAATCTACTGCCATGATAACGCTGCATAACAAATTATTCCAGAATTCAGTAGCTTGAAACAATAAGCATTGATTATTGCTCCCAAGTCTATAGTTTGGCTGGAAAGTTCTATTGATCTGGACCAGGCTAGGCTTGTCTTGGCTGAGCTCACCCTTGTCTCCCTGGTCAGCTGGCAGGTTGCTGGGGGCTGATTGGTTTAGGATGACCTCACTCACATGTTGATGGATTACTGTTGACTGGGGTGTCAGGCATTACAGGTTATGTGTCTTTCATCATCCAATAGGCTAGCCCGGGCTTACTCACATGGAGCCTAGACAGGGTGGCAAGAGAAAGCAGAAAAGCCACATGGTCTCCTGAGGCCCAGGCTCATCACTTCTGCCACATTCTTTCAGTCAAAATAAATGACAAGAGAAGTCCAGATTCAAAAGCCCAGGGTTGTGAGAAGGCTTGGTGTTAGGAACAATCGTAAGAAACCTCTATTTATGGCTGATTGCTAATTAGTGTTGCCTAATTTAGCAATGAAATGTTTCTTCCCATATGTTCCTCTGGAGAGCCCATGGCATTCCTCTCCCCCGCTTAAGGGCCAAAATTAAGATACAGAAGACTTATTTAATATCTTTACTTTGTTCAAGCTGGTTCACATACACTTGTCCTCCAGCCTTTGGTGAACTGTTTTAGGACAGGGACAGGTTTAACACAAGGGCCGACCTCTGCAGTGACACTGGGTTTACATATCTGGGTACATGATAGGCGGGTTTCATTCTTGTTCCAAAGAGAATTTTGAGGCATGAAATATGTAGCCTTTATGGAGGCAGGATTTACTTTGACTCATACAGAGAAAGAAAATGTGTGTGTGTGTGTGTGTATTTTCAATCCTTGCATGTGATATTTTTAAGGGCTGGTGCGATAGCTTTGCTTGCCCCAAGAGGATGTCCCAGACAGTGCACTAGTTGATGCTGCAGAAATGGAAAATTCCTAGGGATATGTAGCCAATGAACCCCTTCACCCACATTTCCTGATTGTTTGCCACAATTTGAACAGTGAGTGGAAAGACCTTGTGCATTCCGCAGGCCATACTCGCACTGTCCCAGCAGACCTGGGAATGTGCCCATTTGATTCAGTAGTTGTTCCACCCACCATTAAAATGGACTTTTCTAGCCACACTCAGCAGCTCACAGCTGTAATCCCAGCAATGTGGGAGGCTTAGATGGGAAGATCGCTTGAGCCCAGGAGTTTGAGACCAGCCTGGGCAACATGGGAAACCCCCTTCTCTACAAAAAATACAAAAAATTAGCCAGGCGTGGTGCACACACCTGTGGTCCCAGCTACTGAAGAGGCTGAGGCAAGAGAATCACCTGAGCCCAGGAAGTCGAAGCTGCAGTAAGCCAAGATTGCACCACTGCATTCCAGCCTGGGTGACCGAGGAGACTCTGTCTCAAAAAAAAAAAAAAAAAAAAAAAAAAAAAAAAGAATAAATAAATATAAATAAAGTGGACTTTTCATGGTTGGATCTGGTAGTTCCAGATGATTTGTACCATTGGAATCTTTTGCATCTTGAATGCTGTTTGGGTCTGAAAACACAGCCTTCTCAGTGATTCAGCTTATACTTGTTTTATTTCTCTATTGCGGCTTTACAAACCACCCCAAAATGGGGCGCTTTACAGAAAACTAAAAGACAGGTAGATAATGGTTTGCTCAGCACTTTAAGTCTTCACAGAACTTTAACACAAGGGCTGACCTCTTCAGTGACACAGGGTTTACTTGTATATGATACGCAGATTTCATTTTTGTTCCAAAGAGAATTTTGAGCCCATGAGAGATCTAGCCAAATTCGTTTCACTGCATATCTAATGTGTCTTTATATTTTTCCAAAGCCACGGGACCCGATGTGCAGGAGAAGTTTCTGCTGCCGCCAACAACAATATCTGTGGAGTTGGAGTAGCATACAACTCCAAGGTTGCAGGTAAGCCATCCCTGCCAAACAGAGGCCCCCACTAGGTATCACACTGATCTCAAGGCTGACTGTGGCCCAGCAAAAAATCCCACTGGTGCAGAAAAGCTAGGATCCACAGATTTGGCACAAGTGAAAAAAATTTTTTTCTTTTAACCTGCATAACAATATCAATAGTTTTAAATTTTTAATTTAAGCATAATATAAATTCAAAAAAGTTAACAAATCATAAATAAGCTAATGACTTTTCCCAAACTGGCCATACCCATACAGTGATCAGGAAACAAAATGTAACCAGCACCCCAAACATGTCCCCTTCCAGTTACTACTCTGACACCCAAGAATAATCATGATCTTGTTTTTTAACAGCAAAAAAAAAATGGTTATTGCCAGTTTTTGAAATTTATATAAATAGAATTGTCAGTCACTACTCTTCTGTGTCAGTGTCAATAACATTTTAATGAGTCTCAAATATAGACTATAGAATACAAGGTGGTGTGTATAAATTATTTGTAAACATACTCAGAGCTCTTCAAAATGTTTTGCACAATGGAACTCATCTTTAAAAAGAGAAATTCTGCCTAGAACCTTTTTCTTACATTTCATTGGGTAGGATATTTAAGAATTTCCTATTGATGGAGCCTTTAGAAATAAGAGTGGCAAGTCACTGGAAATTTAGAACCCAATATCCCTCCCCTCTCAGAAAAAAAAAGAGAGAGAGACACAGACAGAGACAGAGACTGAGAGATTCATAAGCTTTCAACGAGATGTCTGAGAATGGAGTGGCACCAGTCTTTTTCCAAGTTTTGCATCAAATTGATTCTTAATTTATTCAGGCTGAGTCACCCAACCTTGTTTTTCTTTTTTCTTTTCTTTTTTGTTTACAACTGTCCTGATATTTTCTTTTCCTGGCAATTTAATGGAACCATAAACCTACTTTCTGCTGACACTCCATTTCCATGGAACTAAATAAAGCAAAGGTAACCTATACAAACCCACTATTAACCTCTTTTCAACACTGTTTGCTAAGAGGCTTGCCTGAACTGGGTGCTGAATGTCACAAAAGAATACATCTGGAGGTTTCTAAAATGTAAATAGAGGAGGCTTAGCCCCTGGGTTTCAGCTCTCTTTACTTTGTGCACATCCAAAATGCTGGCATTAAAATGTCAGGAGCCATTATGAGCTCAGGGGAAAGAATATCACTCGGTTAATATTTTATAAGCCAGGCTCAGACCTGGGATGGAATCTAAGGGAGGCGGGTTCTCTACTCACAGGACAGAACTGGAAGCAACTGAAAAATTCAAACCTGAATTTCTTGTTCACACACCCAAGGTAACTGGTTTTTGGAACAAAGTAAAATGACCACCTGCAAAAGTTAAAAGAGTTAGGGGGAGCTCACAGCTTTCTGGAGGTTCCTGGGAGCTTCTTTTTCCATCTCCTTCTTTTCCTTTTTTCCTCTTCTCTTATTATTTGCACTCTGAAAACACCTGAGCATTGAGTGCTCATCAAATGTATCTAATTCTCCTGCTGTCTTAGTTTGCTCTGCCTAAAAGCAAAACCTGAGACAAGGATTCCGGGCAAGCAGTTAATGTGGGAGGTGGTCCCCGGAAGCCAGAGTGAGGGAGTTGGGGAAGAAGACAGGAAAGGAATGGAGGCCAACGAAGTGAGTCTCATGGACAACAGGGGCCCCGTCCTGCAGGTAATTCTCTGAGGAAGTGTGGAGAACACCCCTCAGAATTGACCCCGCTAATGTGAGGAGGCTGCGGCATTAATCTGCCAGTTCCCATCTTTCATTGTTCGGGGGTGCCGTCGGGCCTGTCCAGCCTGCCCAGCTCGCTTGAACTGAGTGGAGCTCCTTGAGCAGAGGACACCCCCAGGCAAAAAGCCAGGGAGCAGGCCAGAGGACCCGGTGGGTGCAGCAGCCTCTGCCTCGCCTGCTGAATGCAGCCTGACACCTCAAAGACGCGACTGGGCTTCTGTGAAGCCCAATGACAGCTAGGGCATCACAGCAACGTTTTGAGGTTCCAGAAACCAAGAACAGACATCCAAAGATTTTGAGCAAGGGAGGCTCCTTTCTTTCTTTTCCCACTCCCTTAGCCCCAGCTTGGCTCCCCTGTGACCACGTACGCTGGTTCTAACTACAAGGGCTGCGAGGCTCCAGTCCCATGCCTGTGCCTTAGGGAACCCAGTGTCCTCTGGCTCCCTGGGGCGTCAGCATGAATTCTTGAGGAAGCACTGGGGAATTACTCATGGATTACAAAAACAGCAGAGTTTATCTTACAAATTTAAGGAAAACATTTTATTCATCCTGGCTGGCAATTCCAAAAGTTGGCTGGTTTTTAATTATTTGCTAAAAATGAGCCAAACCCTCCAGAGAATCTTTCCATTCGGGAGCTTTCTGGGCTAAGGAGGTCTAAAGCGCCACCTGGTGGCCAACTCGGATCGTTGCTGGTCTCAAAGTCGAGGTGTTCGTTCGTTACAGGTTAGGGGGGCGCCCCTGTGATGTCTGAGGTCCTTCCCCAGCACCCCTCCACGCTGTCTCCAGAAAAAGCCCAAAGTTAAAATGTGGTTGAATCTTAACCCAGGGATTCAAAAAAGAAGAGTGGAGATTGTAAATTGAGTCCTCTGAACAGAAGAGAGCATTGAGCATCTCTGCATCTACCTGAGTTCCTCTTCTGTTCATAAATTTTTCTCATTTTTCCATCAAGGCTCCTGTCTTTTTCTTGTTGATTTGTAGGCATTCTTGGTGTGTCCCAAAGGTTAGCCCCTAACCCATTTTAATCAATGCAAAGATCTTCTCCTTCATTTCTCTTCGCGTCCGTCTTCATTTCAAACTCCGTGACATGTAGACCCGCACATACGGGATGTCCCAAAAGTCATCCTGCAGTCTTCAAGCTTTAATAACCCCAGGAACATTATTTGAAAGTTTATTTACATTTCCATTTTCACTGATTTAATTGTATAAATTTTGAAGAAAAATATTACTTTTTTTATTTTGAAAATGCCTTTATTCAAGTAACTGTCTTTTTTAAAAAGGACCCCATTCTTTCCTTCTTTCTTTTTTCATTTTAATTTTTAAGTAAACAACATCTTCAATCAAAAAGATTGAGTCAAAAATTAAAATTAAGTGTGTTATTCAAAATCCACAAAACCAAGCAAATGTACCACAAACAATGACCTTCCAAATGATGGTTTTTGCAAATTTGTCAAATGTATATTTCTGAAAATATTAAAGCTCGAGACCACATCAAGGAGTCGTAACACTGTCTCCTGCCTTCAGGCCTTTTGTGTGGTCCATAGTTACTGTGGGCACCTTCCTGTTGCAGGGGATGGAAGCTGGCGGACAGGTCCCCTGCCCCATATAGCTCACAGTCTAGGAGGAGAAAAAGACAGGGAGCAAATAAAAAAAAATCAGATAACAACTCATGAAAGAGGACAGAGAGTAACCAGGGCTCAGGGACAAGAGGCGCCTGAGGGTGGGGCTCTACAGTTCCTCACTGTTCTGGATTTCTGCAGAGACTCTCAGAGCAGCCCTAAGAGGGGGCCAGGCCAGGTGGGTTTGGTCCTATTCACCTTCCTTTTTAAACCAAAGCACACAGATTTACACACCGGGCTTCGGGATGAGATCACCTTTGATTGAAGATTTTGAAAAATATTTAAAAACCACACTGTTGACCATTGTGAAAATGCCGTGAAATTTCTCTACCAGCTATGAAGTGCTTTCACATATTATTATCACTATTATTATTGGCCAATGAATCTCATAACACTGCAGATAAACATATTTTATCTGAGCTTTTCAATAAACAAGTAAAAATCACTGTAAGTACAATGACTAACATGAGTTTTCAGAACCTAAAACCTGGATGAGCATGAATTTCCTCCTTATCATCCAGAGCTAATATTCATGAGCACAAAAAGTGGCATTGATGAGCACCGAAGTTTGTGGGCAGATGTAGTATTTACTGGAGGCAGGGACAGGCACACCTTGTGCAACAGGAGCAGAGGCAGAGAGGGTGCAGCTCAAATCCCCTGGACATGCAGCCCCCGGGGCACCAGGGCTAGCCACAGTGCATGCTGCACAGGCAGACAGAGAAGGCTCTAAATGAATGGAAGAGACCCACAGAGTCACCTCTACTCATTAATGTGCTGTGCAGGCCTGCCTGGGGTCAGATAGAAACACTTGATGTGTGCCTGTGTCTGTTCTTGCCCATCAAATACACATATCAGCATTGTTAGGGATGTGAAGACACAGACTCCTAGCTCCTTTGATTTCTCTCTCTCTCTCTCTCTCTCTCTCTCCCCCCACTTCCTTCCCTCCTCCTCCTCCCCCCCTTCCTCCCTCTCTCCCTCTCTCTCTTCCTCCCCTCCTCCTCCCCCCCCCTTCCTACTTCTCTCCCTTTCCTCTCTCTTTCCCTCTCCTCTCCCTCTCTCTCTACCTTCTCTCTCCTACACTCTCCCTCTCTCCCTCTCCTCTCTCCCTGTCCTCTCCCTCTCTCTCTACCTTCTCTCTCTCTCCTACACTCTCCCTCTCTCCCTCTCCTCTCTCTCTGTCCTCTCCTTCTCTCTCTACCTTCTCTCTCTCTCCCACTCTCTCCTTCTCCTCTCCCTTTCTCTCTACCTGTTCTCCCTCTGCCTCTCTCTATCCCATTCTCTTTGTCTCTCTCCCTCTATCTACGCTCTCTCTCTCTCTCTCTCCCAGTCTGTCTGCCTCTCTCCCTCTCTCTCTCCTTCTCTCCCTCTCTCTCACTCGGTCTACTCTCTGTCTCCACCCCACATTCCCCTGTAGCTCCTAGAGCATCCAGGGGCAGAGGAGAGGCCTTCCCTAAAAACCCTTGGGTCACGCTGAGCCTCTGTCTTGGCTTGGTGCAGTTGCTTGCAAAATTAATACTGTATCTCATTCAATTAATGCATGCCTCATTCCTCTTGAGCTTAACAAGATTAAAAGAATGTCGGGTGCCTGGTCCCTGAATATGAATGAGAGACTTGCTCTCAGCCTGTGGCCACCCTATAATGTTAAAACAGTCAGAAGATTAATACACATCCACTCTGAGGTTCTTGCGCAGCACAGAGGGAGCCCATGAAGGTGATAAGAGCTGCAAAGAGGAAGAGGGTTCAAGGCACAGCTGGAAGTGCCATGCACCAGCCCTGGCAAAATCCAGGGCTGGCATTCGTTGGTTTGTGGGGCAGCAGAAACCTGCTTTGGCCGGGGTTGAATTTCTCACCTTCCAGTTGAGTGGGCCATTCAGTCCTGGTCATCTTGGCACTAGGCAAGTTCAAGAGCATCTGAGCAAGTGAACGCCAGCCTCTGTCTATTTCCCACCCACAGAGTGGGCGTGACTTTGCACAAGAAGAAGCTGCACTGACCAGTTTATTCTGTGGTTCATTGGTCACCTGCATTAAATAAAGTTTTTAAATAAATAAAAACATAGGTGGACCAAAAGCAAAATACAGAGTCTTAAATTTCCTATCTCCTTATAAAATGAACCATAAAATTTAACATCTGGAAAGTTCAAACCAAAGACTAGGCTTATTCTAGATAATCTTCCTCCAGGAGAAAGAATGCTAACTGATAACTGGGTGTTTGTTGTCAAAAATGGTGATTACACTTATGGGTTAATAGTAGAAGATGGATAAGCAGAGCCTGTTATTCATTCTTCTGGACCTGTTATTTGTGTTGGGGAGAAAATCAACTAAATAAGGTAATAATGCCAGATATTTATTCACCAAATATTTGTCAAGCTTAAAATAAATACCAAGCATCATGTTGATCCTCAAGGACATGGAAGTGAACAAAATAGACACATGCCCTATACTCAAAGACCATGCCATCTGGTGGTATATGAAACACGCAAATAAGTAGTTGCGATAGAAGGTTAAAGGTACACAAGAAGAGGGCTATGAGCACTGAAGAGGAAAGTGAGATCCTCGAGTCTCCTGAGGACTGAAAGTAGTAGTCCCTCAGGAAAGAAAGCAATTTCATGTCCATTTCAGCTGCCTGGCAAGGACCTGGGTGGCTTTTAATTCGATTGACGTGCTCGCCATGTTAGAGAGTGAGGCTTGTGAAATAGTGTCCTTCAGGCACAACATCCTTTGGCCACCGGGGACAAGGAAGGAGTTTTGGGGCCCAGATTTTGACTGTGCATGGCCCAACCCCTTCATTCCATAATCGCAGTGGGTGGAAAGACTCAGGTCAGCTTCACTAGCACTCTAAGCTCCATGCCACAGAATTGTGAACCCACTGACCCATCCAGATGACAAAGCCTGGAGAGAGGCATGTGACCCCGTCAGCGAAGTTTTGAGGGTAGTGATGGAGAGACAGCACACCCAACCCAATGGCGGCTACTGAGATCCCCCTGGAGAGGCCTTTGTGGATGGCCAAACGGGGACCGGAGGCCTAGGAGCACCAGCTCTGCGGGGGCAGCGCCAGCACCTTCACCCTGTGCCCCTGTGTCTTAGGATTGTGTGTCCCACACTATCCTGGACTGCAGGACTTTGCTCCTTCCCAACATTCTGTGAGAAATCACTCCCACGAGGCATCAGAGAGGAACACAAACTTTACAGCGATGCTATAGGGAAGAAAGGAGAGGCAGCCGTCAGACACAGAATTACTAATACAGTTTAGAATAGCCATCTCTGCCTTTCTGTCCTCTCCGAAGTCCCTCTCAGCTACAGTGCAAATGGGAGTTCCTCTTTCCTGACCCCACCCGCTCCTGCACTGCCCCTGCCCCTCTCTCTGTCCCCTGCCCTCTGCCCTCTGCCTGCTGGAATTTCTCCTCAAATATCAAATATTGATTGCCTCCCCCATCTATCATATGTAGTAGCTTTATTTCTCCCTTAAAACTTGGCTGCAGCCAACACCCAGTTCTCTGAGGCCAAGCTTCTACTTAGAAACGAGCTTATCAAAGCATCGCTTCAGCAAAGGTGGTCTCTCCCATCATGAATTCTAGTAAGTTTTGCTAGGGGAATAAAATTGTCTTTAAATCATTACATCAGCAAAGATGTGGGTGGGATGCAGAAAGGAGCCAGTAGGACCGTCTGTGCCTCTTTCTTGATCCCTGGACTGCACAGTGGCCCCAGAGCACCTGAGATCTCCAACCATTCCAAGTACCCAGGGCCCAAGCCCTCCTCCACCTCCTTGTCTCCTGCGAACTGGGGAACCCAAACATGGTGTCCTCTGCTCAACGTGTCCACAGGCATCCGGATGCTGGACCAGCCATTCATGACAGACATCATCGAGGCCTCCTCCATCAGTCATATGCCACAGCTGATTGACATCTACAGCGCCAGCTGGGGCCCCACAGACAACGGCAAGACAGTGGATGGGCCCCGGGAGCTCACGCTGCAGGCCATGGCCGATGGCGTGAACAAGGTAAGGGGGCCGGCCCCCTAGGCCCCGGCCACTCACAAGTTGGGACAAAGTGGGTGGAGGGGTAGATGCAACTGGGTGAACCACTGTCACCCTGTGTGTGAGTCCAGGTCCTGCAGGAATCAGACAGCACAGGGGCTTAGCCATGCAGGAGGCTGACTGCAGGGAGGCCTGTGATGGATAAGGAGAGAGGGCAGAAAAGCCTCAGACGCGATGCCTACCTGGCTCCTGCAAACGACAGTGGGAAGGAAGGGGCCGGGGGGGGGAGGGTCTCAGACAGCAGTCCCCACGCCAAAGCTGCCCATCACAGACAGAAAGGGGCCTGCACTGGCACCCCCACCACCCACTCAGTCGTTGGCTGGCAGTAGCACACAGGATTTTGGGTCTCGGCGCACACAGGGCGGTAGATCCAGGAGGCAGCAGCCAAGACTATGACCACAATGCTCGTGGGGCAGGGGGTCTGAGCATGCATTCTCACAGCTGCTCCTCTGAGATTAGCCCAGGCTTGGACAGAGCTGAGGAGAAGGAAGCTGGGCAGAGCCTCCAAAGGGATGAGATGCAGGTCAGTGCTGCATAGGGAGGGGAAGGGGGCCCCTTCTCTGAGACGCTGGGGCTGGAGCCACCCCAGAGGAGACATGACCCCAGGCTCAGGGACCAGAGGATTTCTGGGCTCCAGTCTATCAGGAAGTGACTTAGCCTCGCCTGTAAAACGGTGATAATGAGGGGTCACTATGATGTATAAATGAGATAAAGATGCAACTGCTCGGCACTGAGAAGTGCCTGCAAAGAGTCAGAATTTGTCCCAGTCTCGACTGCCGCTTAAGCAACCACCCCAAAACTTCATAGCACAGAACACAACTCCTTTACTACGCTTGGGATGCTCTGGGTCAGGAATTTGGACCGGGCACACTGGGGATGGCTCATCCGTCCTCCATGATTCCTGGGGCCTCAGCCGATAGATTCGTTACTTGAGCATCCATTACCAAACTGTTGCGTCTTCATGAGCTGTTCTGATGCATCCATCTACTTGCCACGCGTGGCACAGCTCCCACCCCTAGGCTTACGCAGTCTTCTCAGGCCTGTCCTGGCTGCCAGGCCAGCAGTTCCCCCCCACCCACACCGTGCTCCCAGAGGACTCTCTGTAATCAGCCTGGACGTGGGACTCACACCACAAGGTCACTGCCGTGTGTGGAGTGAGTTGTCTGGTGTTAAGTGAGGGAAAGGACAGTGTGTGAGATTTTGTGTGTGGCTTTTGGAACTCCATTTTGGGAATGTTTTTAAATTTGCTTCTTAGATTTTGGTAAATTTCAAATAGATGAAATGGCTATAGAAACCAGCACTATTATAAATATTTTATAAAATGCATCTGCTCCACATACACATTTAAGTTATGTACAGTCTGTTTATGGAAAATGCATAAACTCATTACTTATACATTGATAACACTAAAATAAGTGAATGTACAGAACGCTATGTTTAACGCAGGCATAAAAAAGAGAATATTGAAGAAAATAAGAGTGGGCAATTGAAGGCTGCTTTTCCATACATTTCTTGAGGTCAGAAAACATGTGTTTTCCTGCCCAGACCATCCTCAGGAACTGGCCCGGGGTTTGAGAACATAGTGGATGAGCTGTTCAGGGGGCAGGTATGGAATTAATGCAGACACGAAATGGTACGGTTGAGAGGCTGAAAGTCACATCGAAATCTATGACTACAATGGATGCCATTGGTGCCCACCAAGATCCCCTTTACCAGGCCTGGGGGCCACCCCAGCTGCTGTGAGTGTTGGCTGCTGATGGCTCACAGTGGGCCCTCTCACGAAGCATTGCCTTGACGATGGAATCTTCTCTCCCAGAAAGTTATGCCCCCCACACCCAGGGCACAGCCCACAGCCGATGACTAAGGCAGGAGCCTGTTTGCCTCCAACAGGGAGGAGTCTTCAATGCAATTTATGGTCCAGAGCCCCCTGTGGGCCAGGCCAAGGGAAAGCTTTACCCAAGACTACATAGTTTTGGAGTTCCTTCCCCTCTGTATCTTACTTCACTTCCTTGCTCGCAGGTTGCTCCTGAGAGCCCTCCCTCAATGAGTCTGGGGCAGCCGAATCTCTGCCTCAGGCTCTGCTTCTAGGGAACACCTCCCACAAACACTGCCTCAAAATTTACCCCATTAGGTTTCCCTTTTTCCTTTGGCTGCCAGGAAGCTTAGAACTAAGTGTGTGCCTATTACCATTGGTTTTTTAGACTAGGTTTTCTTCTACCTTTTTTTTTTCTTTTGAGATAGGGTCTCACTGCATCACCCAGGCTGGAGTGCAGTGGCACAATCTCAGCTCACTGCAGCCTCAACCTCCTGGGCTCAAGTGATTCTCCTGCCTCAGCCTCCAGAGTGGCTGGGACTACAGGTGCATGATACCATGCCCAGCTAACTTTTTGTAGACATGTTTCACCATGTTGCCCAGGCTAGTTTCAAACTCCGGGACTCAAGAGATCCTCCCACCTTGGCCTCCCGAGGTGGGATTACAAGCATGCA
Organism: Homo sapiens; assembly: GCF_000001405.40. Taxonomy (NCBI): domain Eukaryota; kingdom Metazoa; phylum Chordata; class Mammalia; order Primates; family Hominidae; genus Homo; species Homo sapiens. Next base: position 17,439,407 of record NC_000020.11, read on the forward strand.
CCACTGCACCCGGCCTCTTCCACCCCATTTTTCTCCATCTCTTCACCACTCACAGCCTCCAAAATCATCCCTTAGCTTCTGTCCCTGTGTCCGTGTTTGTATTCCTAGTGAGTCTAAGCCTCTGAATGCTAGGCAATGTAAAATTTGTAAAAGAATTGATGAAATGAGCTCAGTCTGATTAGATTATATTTAGCCATGAGAAATCTAACTTTGGATCCTTACTAAATTGTTGCTTGCTTACACACATTCCTAGTCTTACCAGACTAAAGCATCTCACTGGACAAAAATTGGCAAGTTCACATGTAACTTCCTCAGAGTCTCAGCCCTAAACAATAGTAAACAATATTTCAAACCAAGTGGAACCCTTCAGCGCAGTGGGTGGCCAACTTTGGTACACAGGCTGGATCTAACCCCCAGACTTGCTTTGCAAAGACAGTTTCCTTGGGACACAGCCAGGCCCTTCCAGGTCTTTGTGACATTCTGGGCACCTCCAACCACAGCTGTCACGGGTCCCAGGGGAAGGAAGCACATAGGGCACCAAATGAAGGGGCTCATCTCTCAGAATCAGGCTTTTCTGGATGCTGGTCAACGTCTCTGTCTTCACTAGAGAGCCGACACTGCACAGCAGCAGGTCCGTCCTGTTGCAGGGATATTTCAGCAGGTGGAGAGCTCTTGACAGTGGAGAGACCTGAGTTTTAACCTCAGTCCTGCCCCCCATTGGCTGGGGAACTTCAGACTAGTCGATGTCTCCATTCCTCACTTTTTGCAAAATGGTCTGAGTCAGTGCTTCTCAAAGTGTGGCCACAGCCCACCTGGGAGAGTGAAAAATGCAAAACCTCAGCGCCTCCTCCCCTCCCACAGATGCCGCATTTTAACAAGATCCCATTAAAGTTTGCAAGGTGTTGCTCTACGTGATCTTGAGGATCCAAATCATCTAACCCTGAGATCCTAAGACCCTAACATATGGTTTCTTAAAACCTACAATGAATAGAAAAGGGCAGCAGGGGTGACACATTTCCAGAAAGGAACAGCCCTGTATTTCCTCATCAGACAATGGGTTGGACGGGTGGGCTGTGTGATGACTGAGCCACACGCCATTTGTCTCTGTGTTGAAGAAACAGAGGCCTAGGTAGCCCAAATAAATTGGTTTCTCGTAAGAATGCACCAGGAGGGCCTTGGCATAGTGGCTCACGCCTGTAATCCCAACACTTTGGGGGGCTAAGGCGGGTGGATCACCTGAGGTCAGGAGTTCAAGACCAGCCTGATCAAAATGGTGAAACCCCGTCTCTACTAAAGATACAAAAAATTAGCCAGGTGTGGTGGTGGGCACCTGTAATCTCAGTTACTCAAGAGGCTGAGGCAGGAGAATCACTTGAACCCGGGAGGCAGACGTTGCAGTGAGCTGAGTTCATGCCATTGCACTCCAGTCTGGGCATCAGGAGTGAAACTCTATCTCAAAAAAAAAAAAAAAAATGCACCAAGAGGGATCAGGGCAATGAGATAGATTCAGGCAAGACCTCATAGTGCCTGGGACCAGACAGACATCCTGATCCAAGGTGGCTGCAGGATGCCAGCCCCAAGAATGTGTGGAAAGCCACAGGAGGGCTCTGCGGTCACGGGGCTAGGCCACACTCACCCTGTTTGCTTCTCCCCGGTTTCGTGGCTCCGGCTCTCCAACTCACCCTTCCCCTTCCTTGAGGCTTATGCTTAGAGGTGTTTCCACTTGGACACCACCCCATTGGCACCCTTGCTTGTTACAATCTGTCAGCCTCTGCTCCAGCTGCCACCTGCCCTTGATGCTTTCAGGGAAATTTTGGCTCAAAATTAGGGGAAACACCCCAAGATGAGCCTCCAAAACCAAGAAGTGTGGTTCTGTTGGGAAGGTTTGGAACTTGCAGGGTCAGAGGCCAGTCAGATGGTTTCTAATAAAACCCCTTTCTTTCTCCTCTGAGGACATCAAAGGGTAGTTGTCTATATTCACAGTCTTCTTAGGCATCTGATGGAGTAATTTTTTCTGAGCTGTTGAATTCTTTCAAAGGTCTGAACAGAAATATAAGACTGTATGCCCCTGTATTAATCTGTTTTCATGCTGTTGGTAAAGACATACCTAAGGCTGGGCAATTTACAAAAGAAAGAGGTTTATTGGACTTACAGTTCCACATAGCTGGGGAGACCTCACAATCATGGTGGAAGGTGAAAGGCATGTCTTACCTGGTGGCAGACAAGAGAAGAGAGCTTCTGTAGGGAAACTCCCCTTTTTAAAACCATGAGATCTCATGAGATCTCATAAGACTTATTCACTATCAAGAGAACAGCATGGGGAAGACTCGCCCCCATGATTCAGTTACCTCCCACTGGGTCCTTCCCACAACATGTGGAAATTCAAGATGAGATTTGGGTGGGGGCACAGCCAAACGGCATCAGCACCTCTTCTGTTGTGGGTTCAATTGTGTCCCCAAATATTCATATGTTGGGGTCCTAATCCCCAATACCTCATAATGTGACCTTATTTGGAAATAGGGTCATTGCAGATATAATTAATTAAGATGATGTCATATTGGAGTAGGATGGGCCCCTAATCCAATATGATTGGTGTCCTTATTTAAAAGACAAAAAAAAAAAAAAAGAACAGGAACATCTGGGCACAGATAGGCATACAGGGAGAACAGCATGTGAAGATGAAGGCAGAGGGGCTGGGGATGCATCTACAAGCCCAGGAGAGCCAGAGATGGCCAACAGCCCACCGGGAGCTGGGAAAGGAATGGGATAGATTCCTTCTCCAGAACTTCTAGGAATGGAATTGAATCTATTATGTCTCCAGAACTTCTAGAGATGGATTCTATTCCTAGAAGTTCTGGAGACGGAAGTGTCAGCAGGGTTGGCTGACACTTCCGTCTCCAGGATTTCTAGGCAAGAAATTTCTGTTGTTTAAGCCACTCAGTTTGTGGTCCTTTGGTTGTTACTTTGGTCCTTTGGTTGTGGTCCTTCTGTAGCAGCCCTGGCAAACTAATGCACCTTCCAGTCTTAGAATGGATCATCAAAAAGGAGGTTTGGCAGTGCGGGAATGACCTGCTCACTGTTCAAGGTCACCTTGATGTCACCTGGCCCTCTGCTTTACAGCCAAGATGGTCAATAGTTGATCCAATTACGACTTTTTTCTTCTAGTTCAGGACCTTGAGAAGTCTCCCTCCCTCCCTTCTCTGATGTAGCTTCCTCGAAGGAATGAGCGTGTGAAAATGCTCACGATGCAGTCCTAGGAGAGAAACATGTTTCCAAGTTAGGGAGAGTGCTGTGCTGAAATGCTCCCAATAACGTCACACTGGGAGCTTGAAATTCAACATGGAAATTGACGAACACTAAAAATAAAGCCCTTTTACGCCCCCTTCAGGGAGCTGGTTGTTAAACATTGAATAGCACACCTCTCGTTAGAGGACTCTTCTGACTTCCCTTAAATTATAGCACTTACATACCTATGTGTTCTCCCTGCAAGTAACAGCCACCCTTGCCTTCATGAGTCTGGAAGTTCCCTTTGCGAAGTGGAAAAGCTGGAGGAAAAACACCTGAAACCCCAAGGTTTTGTTTCCCCAAAATGACAAGTTTCCCAACCAGAGTCCTAAGTTACCCCAAGACTGTGGAGGACAACTTTTCTAAGTCAAGGAAAGATCTCACACTTTAAGGAATTCACCACTTTTACATTAAATACAAGGATCCCAAAAACACAATTATGAGATGGGAAACAGAGTCCTCGAAGTGAACATCATGGTGACAGCAGCTAAATGTCCATTGCTACACTGTTCAGGAAATAGTGAAGACGCTTTATTACAAGGTTATGCCAGTCTGCTGTTGAAATTCAACCCATCTGAAACAGCAACAGGAGCCTGACATTTGAGTGACACAATGCGGTTTACAGAGAATGTCTGCCAACAGGATCGGGTGGCAGGAAAGTGACGTCCCTACCCTGTTTCAATGCCTGGTCTCCTTAAGAAGCATTTAGGATGAAATTTTTGATGCACAGACAGCCTGTTTCCTTATTGCATTATTCATTGTGTGACTGGAGAGAAATTGTTACACATCCAAGCCCCAGACCAGGTGACAGCAGGTGCCCAGGGGAACAGTTGGCAGATTCCCCCTTTCCTCAGCAGACATGGATTTTCACTGAGAGGCACTTTTTTTGACACCTGAGGCCAAAAGAGAGTCGGGAAGGTAGGAGATGTGTGCCCTCTGTCCAGACTGACAGTGCAGATGGTGGCAGCGCTCCACATCCCTGGGTGCCCCTGTCATTTTCCACGGACTTCTGCACTTCTCCACTGCCTCTCGAAGCAGGATATTTCTCTCTCCTCCATCTGTAGCCTCCCTGGCTGCAGGTGAAAAGGCCCTTTCAAGTGTGATTGTCCTGCAAAGCATGCCGAGCCCGCTGAAGCTTAAGAGAAAAATTGTTATGACTGATCTTCAGATGACAGCAAGTACATCTTTTAGAAAGTGGAGTGAGTATGATGAAAAATACATTATTTCACATTTGACTTTTCCCCAAGAAATGGGAATAAATTTCCCCAAGCAATGGGAATAAATTTCCCCAAGCAGTGGGAATAAATCTTTCCTTGTTTCAAGGTGACATTTTTTGGACAACATTGTAGCATTTTGGAAGTGAGGGTTCATTGTGCATTAGCGAAGGTTTTCTCCTAGTGACTTCCACTGCCTGGTCTACTCTAAGGAAAAATCCACTTCTGAAAGGCAATCTTCACACAAACAAAGGAGTCAGAGAATTACCTGTTACACAAGGCACTTCTTACGTTTGTCTTTCAATTTTATCATCCTGTACATATGTTTTGTTTGACCAACATGGTAATGATTAAAAGGAAGAGAACAAAGAGGAGATGGATAAGAGACTTTTATCGGGGCATGCACTGTTTGCCATAGATCCCACCATTCCCAGTTGTCTGATGGCTGCTTCACACAAACATCACCTACCTGACTCCTTAGGGATTTGAAGTTTGCACCTCCTACATTTGCTTAGTAAATACTTGAGAGAAGCAGTGAGGAGTGGGCAAGAAGGAAATCCTTTTTTTCTTTTGCTTAGTAGTCTATGTGTTGGGTTTACAGTTACAGCATTTTTCACGTTGTATATGGGAAGAGGGTGACAGTCAGAGGCCCCTGAATTACCAGAGGGTTCAATAATTGACTTCTGTCTTAGTTTTAGATCTCCTAGAAGCAGATCCTGAGGCAAGATTTGGGATCAAGTAGTTTATTGGGAAGGTGAAGAGAATACCAGTGATGAATGGGAGGTGTGGCAGGAAAGAGACAGGGCCAGTTAAGGGTATGTTATCCTGCCAGTCATCGCTGTCAGCAACTGGAGCTTAATGCCACTGGGAAACTTCAGAAAACCACACCAAAACTTGAGAACACACCCCAAAGGTATCCCACCCTGTGGGAAAGGAGCTGGAATAAAACCCATTGATGAGGTTTGTTCCCAAAACCTTGTAAATGCCCCAGTGCTTTCAGCCTGAGGACAGATGCACAGAGCAGCCTTTCAGCCTCTTGGGAGGAAGCCCTTAGACAAAAAGATGCATATGCTGACATTTGGAAACTCCCAGGCACAGGGAATTCTAAAGCCCAAGGGATATGGGCTCACACACAACTCCCAAAGTGCAGCTTAAGCAAAACCTAACCTGAGACTTCGAGTCATCACTCTCTGGATAAATAAAGCACTGGCAAGGTGATGTGTTTACTGTTCAGGAAAAGGATGTAGCCCTTGCAAAGAGGGAGCTACAAAAACCAGCCATTATGGGACACAGCATCTTATTTTGCTCTGACAACCAGAAGGGGAATTCGGGTGACGCTAGAAGGTCTTGAAAGTGACAACTGATTCATGAACGTCTTTCCACAACTTGAGGAAATGCAGCCACCCAGGGCAACCCTGGCACACCTTTTGCTGGCTCTGATGACTACATCCCAACTTCTTCTTAATCACTCTTCAGAGTTGCTGCTGGAGGGAATATTTTAGGAATATTTAAAGACAAGGCTACAAAAATTCTCTAAGGTACAGATGAGACAGCGCATTGATTGTTTACTCCCTAAGGGGCTGCAAAGGGCAAAGCACAGAACTCAGGTCTTCTTCCAGCTGGAATGTATGGACAGGGACCACTTACAAGAAAACCACCATCCAGGAAAGCAGGGGACAGAGAGCTGCCTGGGGAGACAGTGATTAATCAGGCATGGGCGAGGGGAGGCCACAGTGCCTCCTGCTGAAATTTAATCAGAGCCACGGGTCGTACACCATGGCGGCGAGTGCCAGGGCCTCTGGCAGACGATGAATGCCTCCTGCCAAGGAGCTCTCACGAATACTCTGTGAGCCCAGATTTATGCTCTGCAGCCAGATGAAGGTCGCAACTGAGCAGAACTGCTGCAGCGTGGAATCTGCAGTTCAGCCTTGGAAACAGCTGGTGCCGTTACCGTCCTTCCTTTCATTTCTGGGATAAAGAGAACTAAGAGAAAAGTCTGGTGGGTTTCGGGTGATCCTTGTGACCAGCCGTCTCATTTTGCCAGGGACTTTCCTGTTTTTAGCATTGAAAAGTCCTACATCTCAGGAAACCCCTCAATCCTGGGCAAACCAAGACAGTTGGTCACCCACCCTTTGGCGCTATTAGTAGCGTTGGCCCACCTGGGCCCAGTGAGAAATTCACCCGAGGTTAGAAGTTGACATGAATGTAAACTCAGCAGCACCTCTGACATCAGAAAGATTCATCACTACAATGGCTGGATCCTTTGAGCAGTGAGACAGAATAACACAGGATTCTGACCTCCAAGGTGGTTACACGAAAACCAGACAATAACTAAAGACAACCACAGGCGCCATCAAACACTGAATCGAGGTGAGGATTTAAATCAGAGGCCAGGGCAACTGCATCATCCTTAGCTTGGCTTTTCCAGAGAACCTGATACCCTACTCCCGCTGAACTACCACAGAACCCACAGGGACTCTGCAGAGTCTGGAACTGACCAGTGAAAGTTCCAAACTACAAAGGATACCATCTATCATCACTCCCACTCACAACTCATTGATTAAAATGGCTTATAAGACCTCACCCAACCACAAAGAGGCCTGGTCATGGGCTCAGACCGTGGACAGTTTGCAATATTTAGCAAGCAGCAGCAATGACTACCACAATGTGTACCGAAACAGTTAGGTAGCTCAAGAGGTAACCAGTTGACCTAGTGAGGACAAATGTGCAAATGTCGAAGATGTTTGTGAATAGTTTGAATAAAATTTGCCAAAGATGTTCATGAATAATTTGAATAAAATTTTTCATGAACTACGAGTGCAGAAAGGCAATATTCATAAATCAATACATTGTTTCATGTGCAATTTAAAATGTGTTTATTTTAAAATTCATATTTTAATAACAGATTAAAGTAATATAATGGAAAAGTGTCTGCAAGTCTAAATCCAACACATCAAAGAAAAAGGAAAAACTGAGTAAATATATATGCACATAGATAATGAAAATCTAGCTCAGTTTCTTAATACAGGAAGAGCTCTTACAAACCAATAAAAGGAATACCATGAGGTCAGGCGAGGTGGCTCACACCTGTAATCCCAGCATTTTGGGAGGCTGTTGTGGGCAGATCCCTTGAGGTCAGGAGTTTGGGACCAGCCTGGCCAACATGGTGAAACTCCGTCATCTCTACTAAAAAAAATAAATAAAGAAAAATAAAAATTGGCTGGGCACAGTGCTATGTGCCTGTAATCCCAGCTACTTGGGAGGCTGAGGCAGGAGAATATCTTGAAGCTGGGAGGCAAAGACTGCAATAAGTCGAGATCACACCATTGCACTCCAGCCTGGGTGACAGAGCTATACTCTGTCTCAAAAAAAAAAAAAAATCTATGAAAGAAAAAAACATAGGCAAAGCATATTATCTTTTGGGGCTTGGGGCTTTGCTAAATAATAAAGCAAGAATACAAATGAGCAGGAAAGACACAAAAAGATAAATTCAACTTTAGTGAAAAAATATATAACTCAAAACAATAAGGTACTATTTTTACCCACCAAATTGGCAAAACTATTTTTAAGAAATGACAATTCTAAATTATGACGCATATGAGCTGAATATAGAGTTCTCATGCACTGCTGGTAAACATATAAACTGTTAACAAACTTTATCAAGAACAATAATATGGCAGATGGACTAAGAATCGTCATTCATTTTTTTTCACCCAGAATTTCCTCTTTTAGAAACACTGCCTAAGAAAATAAACATACAAAGACATATATAAGATTATGTTCATTTTAAACATAAAGCACTTTTTTAAAAACTAGAGACAGCATTCCATGTACATTCAAGAAGAGGTGTAAATAAATTGCGGAATGGCTATTTCATAAAACTAATAAAAAATTATGGTGTAGAAGAGTATTTAATCACATAAAAAAAGTCAATTATATAAATTGTGAGAAATACATTTTAAGCAGGCCAAGAAAGTTGATCTATTTTTATTATCCCAATTTCACTTTCAAGCCCGTTCTTATACTTTGCATTTATATGTAAAATTGGCAAGAATCCACAAAATATCACCAGTGATTATCTATTCATGTAAGATTATAAAGGACTTTTATTTCCTTCATCTTCTATATTCCAATTATTCTATAATAAATATTATTTTCATAGTAAAGAATACAATAACTTTTTCCAAGGTATGCTAATGTTGTATTAAGAAATTAAGGTGACTGGAAAATAAAAATTACTATAATTGTTTACAAAAAGATAAGCTCTCCCAGGCTTGCCTCACCAGGGGTCTGCACCCTGCACCCATACCAACCCCAGACCAGCACCTGTTCTGGTCATTAACCCTGGTGGCTACCCATTGGTTAGGGTGGAGGGACTGACTCACTTTAGCCACAAGTTTCTCAGAGTGGGATTTCCACCTCCTCAAATGTAGGCAATGCGCTGGGGACACAGCAAGCCACTGCACCAGTCTCTAGCTGGAATGTCACCTTAGCTGACGGTAAGCAATTTGTAACATTCTTTTTATATTATGAGCAAAATAAAAAAATTGCTTGAATGTTTCAGAAATTTTGGGCTTGTGAGAGGCTACTTAAGGCCATGCCCAGCAAGTTCCAACTCACTGCTCTCACTGAGCAGGGTTTCTCAGCCTGGGCATATGGACATTCTGGGCAAAATACTGTTTTGTCGGTGGTGAGGAGGTTGTCCTTTGCATAGAAGTTTAGTAGTCTCCCTGGCCTTTATGGACTAGATGCTAGTAAAACACACATGGTTGTGATCACCAAAAATGTCTCCATCACTGCATCCTGGAGAAAAAGTCCACACTAGTTGAGAACCAGGGTGGTTAAGTACACTCCATAGTACCTAGGTTAAAAGTTTCCATTTGGTAAAAACTTTTGAGAAACACTGTAATCCCACTAAACTCCAAAAGACTGGCAGAATTCAAAGTGGAGTTGCACCACTCACTTAATTTCACCTAAATGCACTTGCCTTTTTTTTTTTTTTTTTTTCCTTTCACCCAGGCTGGAGTGCAGTGGTGTGATTATAGCTCACTGCAGACTCCAGCTCCTCAAACTCCTGGGCTCCTCCCGAGTAGCTAAGACTATAGGTGTGCCTCACCACGCCAAGCTAATTTTTTCTTTTGTACAGATGGGGGTGAGTGGGCCTCTCGCTACTTTGCCCAGGCTGGTCTCAAACTCTTGGCCTCAAGTGCTCCTCCTGCCTCAAGGCTCCACTTCCCAGAGCACTGGGATTACAGGCATGAGCCATCAGGCTGGCCTACTTGCCTCAGGCAGCTGACAGCCATTCCACTCACTGAGCATGAGCTGCAGGATTAGGGTGGAGACCCCGCCCCCCAGCAGACAGCCCCACCCACAGTGCTGGCTCTTGGGTCATGGCCTCCCTTTGTCCTTCAGCTCCAGGGCCACCCTCTAATCCATGGGTGAATTCCCATTTCCCTTTTGGGTTTTAGGCTTTCCTTTAACACCTATTCCCTGGATAAAATTCCCTCTGTTGACCTGCCAAGTGTGGCAATATTTGCCTGGCTGAATTTCAATTGATATATTGTATATTTATTGGGATAATGTTACATATATATAAATATACATATATATATGTATGTATGTATATATATATATGTATATTTGAGACTGAGTTTTACTCTTGTTGCCCAGGCTGGAGTGCAATAGCGCGATCTCAGCTCACCGCAACCTCCGCCTCCTGGGTTCAAGCAATTCTGACTCAGCCTCCCGAGTAGCTGGGACTACAGGCATGCACCACCACGCTCAGCTAATTTTGTATTTTTAATAGAGACGAGGTTTCTCCATGTTGGTCAGGCTGGTCTCAGACTCCCGACCTCAGGGGATCCACCTGCCTCAGCCTCCCAAAGTGCTGGGATTACAGGCGTGAGCCACTGCACCTGGCACATTTATATATTAACATAGGGAAAATTGACATCTCTGTGATCCTGTCTTTCTATTCGAGAATATGGCCAATATCTTTCCATGGGATCAAATCTTCATCTTCGTCCCTCCTTCCATAGAGTTCAGAGAGGTTCAAAGCCTTATTTAGCACTTCCTTAGCTTTTTTTTTTTTAAGTTTGTTGAATTTCTTCCCTTTTTTTTTTTTTTTTTTTTTTTTTTTTTTGTGACGGAGTCTCACTGTCGCCTAGGCTGGAGTGCAGTGGCGCGATCTCGGCTCACTGCGGGCTCCGCCCCCTGGGGTTCACGCCATTCTCTTGCCTCAGCCTCCCGAGTAGCTGGGACTACAGGCGCCCGCCACCTCGCCCGGCTAATTTTTTGTATTTTTAGTAGAGACGGGGTTTCACTGTGTTAGCCAGGATGGTCTCGATCTCCTGACCTCGTGATCCGCCCACCTCGGCCTCCCAAAGTGCTGGGATTACAGGCATGAGACACCGCGCCCGGCTCTTCCTAAGTATTTTATCCTTTATGTGGCCAGTGTAAATGGGGCTGCCTGTAGGGTGGCTGTGAAGACTGAATAGGATAATATGTGAAGTACTTAACAAGTCCCTGGCATGTAGTAAGTGCTATGGAAATGCTTGCTGTGATAGTCAACCTTTGTTTTCTGCACTTCTTCCTCTAACGGGTTATGGTTTAGATGTGAGCCATAGTTGTTCTGTCTCGATTTCTGCCTAGCTCCTGTTCAGGTGAAGCTGAGAGGCAGAAATGGATCAAGCCTTAAGCAGATGCCCAAGATCAAGGCACTGGCAGGTTCAGTGTCTTGCAAAGGCTCACTCTCTGCTTCTAAGATGGTGCCTTGTTGCTGTATCTCATAGAGGGGACAAACACTGGGTCTTCCCATGGTGGAAGGGCCAAAAGGGGCCTAGCTATTTCCCTGGAGCCCTTTTATAAGGGCAGTAATCCCATTCATGAGGACCAAACTCTCATGACTTAATTACCTCCTAAAGGTCCCACCTCTTAAGACTATCATGTTGTGTCTCAGGTTCTAATATATGAATTTGGGGGGGACATATAAGTTCAAACCAAAGTAGGGTGGCATGCCAGCAACAGCCCCATCCCATAACCAGCTCTCAGTCCTCTTATGGAGGTCCCTTCCCCACTCATTTCTGCCCCCAGAACTAGAGAATTTTCCTCACTGGCCCATCTTCCCCAGAAGCCAGAGACTTTTTGGTGCTAAAACCCAATCACCAGAAGCAAGGACACAATTATTATTGCTTCATGTGTCCTATCTAGCTTAAGAAAACAAAGTTTAATATTCCTAGAAAACGAAGCATTCTTGTGGGCAAGTCTCATGGTTTAAAACAAAATTAACGTTTGCTGTTTACTGTTCACGGTTCAGAAACAGGCTGACAATTGCTCTCTGTGTAACAGTGAGCTGGCTGCATAACAAACTGCCCCAAAACTCAGTAGCTTAAAATAACAATCATTTAATTTTGCTCTTGGGTCTACAGGTCAGCTGCGTTGTTCTGCTGATCTGCACCAGGCTAGGCTAATCTCAGGAGAGTGAGTTAGAGACTGACGGATCGAGGATGGCTTCCCTCCTGTGTCTGGCAGCTGTCAGCAGGGGCAGTGAATTTGACTGGAATACTTCTCTCTTATCAATCAGGAGGCTAACCTAGGCTTATCTTCATGGTGCAACGGAGTTCTGGGAGAGATCAGAGAACATAGGAGTTCTTGGGACTGATGTTTGGAACTGATACAGAATCACTTTCCCCCACATTCTATTGGCCAAAGCAAGACATAAAGCCAGCTTGGAGTCTAGGGGTAGGAAATAGACCACTCTTCTTGATGGATGGGGCTGCAAAGGCATAGTGCACAGGGCATAAATACAGGGAATCATGAATAATTAGGGTCACAATCAATCTACCACACTCCCCACACAAAGAAGAGAATGTTTAGCATCGATTTCCTTCATTTTAGCAAACGTTGCTTCATCTCACTAGCAGTCTACATATGGACTGATTCAGGAGAAAGTTCTGCAGATGGTCAACCTCACTCACCCATTTATTGTGAAACACATCAGTTGTACTTTGCTTTTTTTTTTTTTTTTTTTTTGAGATGGGGTCTCGTTCTGTCACCCGGGCTGGAGTGCAGTGGCACAATCTCGGCTCACTGCACCTCCCGAATAGCTGGGATTACAGACATGTATCACCACACCCAGTTAATTTTTGTATTTTTAGTAGAGACAGGGTTTCACCATGTTGGCCAGGCTGGTCTCGAACTCCCGACCCCAGGTGATTCACCCACCTCAGCCTCCCAAAGTGCTGGGATTACAGGCATGAACCACCGCGCCCGGCCACACTTTTGCTATTTCTTGATACCGAGCCCAAATCTGAGTCTGTTTGAGAGTGTGATCCTCCACACCAACTGTAGGGATATCTATTTCCCTCGCTGTCCTGGTTTCTGAGAGCAGTTCCTTGTTTTGGTTGGAGTTTTCCAGCATAGATTTACCAAGATGCTGAGAATAGTTCCCAGCTAGTGGTTGAATAAATATTTGTTCACTTGTCGATTCAATCAATCACAGGCTGATTAATTCCCAGTGCTGTTAGAAGTGATTGAAAATGTCACATCTGATTGTCAGGCGGCAGAGAGCACTTGGAGGTAATCCAGTCATCTCTCTTCCTTCTGGCTTCTCCACTCTTAAACCACTGATTCTGTGTCAGTTTCAAGCGTAAGGACCATGGACACCTGGTGACCACACAGGGAGAGACTTTCCCTGACAATCTCTTCTGTCTTCTCCCTCTAGAGGGTAACCAAGCCACCCTGGGCCAGGCTGTGGAGTGGCTGGAGGTTGCACCTGCCCCTTGCCTCCGGCACTGCATGGCTGCACTCCTATCCACCCTCCCAGCCCACAGGTGAACACTAAGCAGCCCCAGGCCCCATTGCCTTGGGGTAAGAAAGTGGGAAGCAAGAAACTAATGGTCCAATCCTGGGTTGTTTAGGTAGAGAGGAAAATACTCAGAAGACAAGGAAAAGGATTTTTAAGAACCTCTAAGAACATGGTTTGAGGAGAAGAGCCATGCTAACTGTAGGGACTTATGCAAAGTTTGCCATTTAAACTAATTAGCATGTGGCAATAACTACTGTGCTTACTACTGTGTGTTTAAGGTTTTATTCACTGTGTGTTTTACTTGATCATATTAGACTTTCCTCCTACATTTGGAGTTCCCTTGCTCAAGTAAAATGTCATATATTATGTGTTTAAAAGGATTCTAGTATCCAATTGAATAAAAAAGAATATATACATATGCACACACACGTAAGATTTTTATATATCATGGAGTAAATGTATGCTTTATATTTATAATGTCTACATATCATATTTAAATTTATATATTGATATATAGCTATTTAAAATAAAAGGTATATATCTTCTATAAATGTTTTGTATAGCTTATGTAGCTAAGAAAAATTATATGTCCATATACTTGCATTTTCACTAAAAAATGTCTGATACATAAAGAGATGTAAGAATGAGATAATAATTACCTCTAGAGAGTTGTTTTTTATTTTCCTTTCCATACAGTTAGACTTTTCATTGTGAGCATGTACCACCTTTCTAGCTTTTTTAAAAAGCAGTTTATTTGTAAATTTTAAGACAGTTCTTCCAATTTTCTTACCTCATTATCCCCAGCTTAAATTGTAAATTCAGTTGACTTTTTTAGATTGAATTCTTCCTGGAAAAAAAAAGTTTCCCACAATGCCCTGCCAGAAGGATATGGTGTCCAACCCAGTTTAAAAAGTGCACCCAGTCTTTAGGTTCAACTGCTGAAGAAGCCCAACCCCTGGGCTGGAGACCTCCCCTGCCCCCTCGCAGCCCAGGCTGTGGGTAGCGGCAGCGTCTCCCCTGCTCTCCCCAGGGCCGCGGCGGCAAAGGCAGCATCTACGTGTGGGCCTCCGGGGACGGCGGCAGCTATGACGACTGCAACTGCGACGGCTACGCCTCCAGCATGTGGACCATCTCCATCAACTCAGCCATCAACGACGGCAGGACTGCCCTGTACGACGAGAGCTGCTCTTCCACCTTGGCTTCCACCTTCAGCAACGGGAGGAAAAGGAACCCCGAGGCCGGTGTGGTGAGCACGTCCCCTTCTGTCCTTGTTTCCTTAGGGCCACTGCACCTCTGTGTCAGGGTGGGATGCTGGGACACTGGCTTGCTCCCCTCCTGTCCCCTCCCTCAGAGCCTGAACTAAGGCTCTGAAGGGAAGACCCCTTTTCTCTATGCCCAGTCCTGCTTTCTAACAAAGCACAGACCTCCCATCTGCGAGCTAGTAGCATGATCGGTGAGGACTCCTTTCTGGATCGTTTTCCATAGATTTTCTTGTTTATTGTTTCTGGCTTACAAGTAATGATGAAGTCTGGTTTACCAATCAGTTGCCCCATTCCATCACTTACAAGAATAACTAACTCATTGTAAGAACCAAGGCATCACACTGTAACCCTGTCTGAAACAAGAACCCATCTGTTTATTTATAGCAATTTAAAAAACAACATTCACGGATGGACTTTTCTGGATCCATAAACCCCGTAAAATTGCACACACATCTGTTATTTTCTCAGGGAAAGAGTTGTGATTTTCATCATATTTTAAAATGGAGCCATGATTTTTAGAACAAAAAGATTAATAATCACAGATTTATTGTTTGTTGCTCTTTTCTGAGCAAAGAAAAAAAAATCTTCCTTTCTTGGCAACTAGGTATAATGGTGAATTTTCCAAGCCCCTGGGAAATACATCATCTGTAAAGCATAATAAGCTTTTTTGGATCTTTTCCTCTCTGGAGATTTTGCTCACAGATCAGCCTTTTCTTACACCTCCAAACCAGGATTTAGTAGGTGGTTCAGTAGTCATGCATGAATTATATCCTGACTGGCTGCACCCATCTCCACTGAGGCTTCTTGAGACAGGAGGACAGGAGCTCAGGACAAAATCATTAGTACCATCCAGTGTTTCGATCCCACGCTCCCACGTGGGATCCCAACTTGGCAAGATGGCCATGCCCCTGCGTGAGCGAGGAGAAGCCCTTTACCTGGAAGGGACGCAGACCTTAAAAGCCTGTCCTTCCCACGAGCCCTCCTGCATTCCCCCTTGGTCTTGGGGAGGATGAAGAATGTGCCAGCTCCTCCCAAACAGAAGGGGGCTTTGACCCCTCTTATCCTGTAAGCTGTATGGACAGAAAGGGAGAAGGGCAGAGCAGACAGGGACAGGTGAGGTGACACTTCACTCTCACGCCTGAAAGCTCCACTCCCTACCCCAAAGACCTCTCAGTGGTGTAAATTTGTCCTCGACCCGTATTTATGACTCTTTCTACTTGGGCTGGCTAAAGGCCTTGAGTTTCCTGTGAGTACTATAATTTTGCTCAATAGATGCCCTTAAACCTCCCTGGTAATTTCTTCCTCAAAATAATAAGCTCTCTTGAGGATCCTACAGACAGAGGAAGAATTCCCGTCGTTTATACATGATTTTAATGAACACCCTGGCTCTCACAAACATTGAAAATGAGGTTTTTCACTTTGTGAAAGTCCTTTAAAAATCTGTTTACCAGTCTCCCCTCTAAATAAGAGTTGTGGAGGTGATACCCACATATTGGGTTGTCTTGACTCAACACATCTCAGAATCTCTCCGTGGATTTTAGATGTAGAGAAACATGTTTTAATAGCCTGCCCTTCTAGAGAGACTTTAGCTGAGCATGTTGATTCTTTCCTCTTCGGGAATGCCTTCTTTCCCCCAAGAAGGAAAAAGAAATGCTGATGAAGTGGCCTTTGGCCTTTCAAGGGCCAGTCCCAATGCAACAAAACTAGGGTGGGGGTATTGACATCACTTTCCACTTCATAATGTTTCCTTTTAGGTTTCAGGAAATAAATCTCTCTGTAGTCTCTGGAATAGCCACAGATATGCTTCTTTGAACAACTCATTTATCTTGTGGACACTGTAACTATAACTGACTATATATCCCCTTTTACGTGGGCTACTAGGAAGCTCAGATAAAATCTAGGGCAAAAGAGAGGCATATGGATGCTAAGTTTATCCTTAGTTTCATCTTAATCTTCTTGGGAACAAAGCATAGGTTAAATAAAAGGAGTAGGCTGGGGGCAGTGACTCATGCCTGTAATCCTTTGGAAGGCTGAGGCAGGTGGATCACCTGAGGTCAGGAGTTTGAGACCAGCTTGGTCAACATGGCGAAACCCTGTCTCTACTAAAATTACAAAAATTAGCCGGGCATGGTGGCACGTGCCTGTAATCCCAGCTAATTCAGGAGGCTGAGGCAGGAGAATCGCTTGAACCTGGGAGGCGGAGGTTGCCATGAGCCAAGATCATGCCACTGCACTCCAGCCTGGGCAACAGAGTGAGGCTGTCTCAATAAATAAATGAATAAATAAAAGGAGTAGATAATCCCCTGCTCCACATTGTGCGGGGGTTCAAAATAGCGTGATTTATCCACTCATTACTCATTATCTTCCCTTCCAGGCAACCACAGATTTGTACGGCAACTGCACTCTGAGGCATTCTGGGACATCTGCAGCTGCCCCCGAGGCAGCTGGTGTGTTTGCACTGGCTCTGGAGGCTAAGTATGTTCATAGCTCTGGGTCCAGGGCCAGCTCTGCAGGGTGGACTAACACGTGTCTCTCTGCCCACATGCCAGGTGTCCATGGAGGGAAAAGTTGATGTGAGAGGCCATGAATAGTCAGGGCCAATGAACTCTGCTGTGCATTTCTAAGTGGCCCATGTGCCCACCAGCACACGTGCGTGTGCATACACACACACACGCACACACCATAAAACCACATTCCTGGGAGCACACAACACCCAGCAGCACGTATTAGCAACTTACTCAGATACCCAGTGAAGGCACAGAGATATTTCTTTCTTCATCAAATTTACCCCTCTATCCTCTGTGTATCCCTGGGCTCTTCTACTCCAGTGATATTCACAATCAGCTACTTGAAGACAAATCAAATTGCCAGGCTGGTGTTTCAGAACATGTGGCAAACAAAGTGGTCCCACTCAAGATTTGTTAATTTGTGAAGTGGATTCACTTTTTAACACTGAAACAAGATAGGCAAAGTCACGCAGTGTAGACCAAGATATGGGCTTTCCTGGGAGACCTTCCAAGCTGAAGGTAAGAGGAGACCATCTCCTATGTCCTCACCATCCTATGGAGAGGCCACATATTGCTACTGCTGGACACACCTTGGATTTGAGTAGCAGTGGAGGTACCTGCCCACCTGCTACTCTACTTTCTTTTAATGATACCTGAGGCTGGCCTTATGTTCACAGAATGAACACATGGGCTTCAGACACCACACACATAGTGTGAGTGTAAGTGCCGGCTGTGTAGGGAATTGTCAGAGAATGCAGTTCCCAGCAACTTGTGAGAAGTTGGATTCAGTCTCTTGGGGAAGGAGAGTAGAGTTGCTAGGCAACCAGGGCTCCCAGCATCAATCTCTAGGCAGCCCTGCTTGTCTCTCTCCACATAGGCAGTGCATTTTCTGATTTGCAAAGGAGGCAGGAGTTGGTTCCTAGAATAGAAAGGGGCTTCAACAGATTACCTAGTTCAACCCTCTACCTTCACAAGAAAAGGCATAATTATCCTCCCTTTACAGATAAGACCCCAAATTGAGAGTGACTTCTCTTTTTGGACAAGTCTAAACTTTGACTCTTCTAACAAAATTCAGATAGAAAATTTATGATGCCAAGACACTGGTCAAAGCTCAACTATTAGGCACAGAGACCTCTGCCCTATCAAGCACAGAAAACAAAATTTACTCATATCCAATGTACATTTCCTGAAGATAAAACTGTTCATCTCAGGGTCTGAGTGGGCCCTGGAGCCTGAGCTGGCCTTGCTCACTGCATCCGCAAGGAGACAATTAGCACAGCCTGCTGCCTGTAGCTGAGCTGTGCAGAGCCAGGGAACAGGAGTGCTCCAAAAGCGAGAAGGGTTTCCGGTTGCCCTTTCAACCTCAGAAGTCAGGACTTGACTCACAGTCTTCTGGATTTTTGACAAACAAAATCCTATGCCTATGCCTAGATCCATAGGCACACAAATGGAAGACCTAAATAAATCAAAGTGGGGGAGTGAGGCTGCTGGACTCCTAGAGATTCATGGCTCTGCCTTGATTAGTCACCATTCTTTTAGCACATACGTCCAGATATCCTACAGAAAAGAATGCAGTCACCATTCAGGCATGCTTTGTTTTGAAGCAATGATCATGAACTTAATATTCTCTGCTGGCATAAAGAGGAAAAAAATATAACACCTGGCAGCTTGTGGGTAAGTCCATCACGGGAGCCGGTCCTAAAATTCTTCAAAATACCAACTTTCTGAGGTTGGAAGCAGACCCTGAGATGAGATTTTGGTGCAAGTGATTTATTAAGGAAGGGATCCCAGGAAAGGCAGTAAGGGAGTAGGGGAAACAAGTTAGGGATGGGGAAGAATCCAAGCAAAGGTTCAACTTCAAAAGTTCTGGCCTCAGTCTAATCCCGAGTGTAAATTAGGCCTCAGAGTTTGTTCTACCTCCAGGCAAGGAAGCAGGACTGTCATATTCTTATATGAGTCAGTCATCGGCTAAGAGCTACTCTGGAGAAGTAAACTCCAAGGCATCTCTAGCTTTAGGCAAAGCGGCTCCAATAGCCAAAAGTGAAAACCATTGGTCAGGATGAGATACTCCAAATGAGAGCCCAGAGGGATGAGGAATAGGGCCTCCACAGAGCAGTCCCAAAGCTCATCTCTCTCTTATCTTGAGATAAGGTTACAGGAAGTCCTCATGCATAACAACAAATTATCTAAATGTATGTCCATCAGGACCTTGAAAGAGAGAGAACAACACTTCCCCCATCATGACTGTAGGGGAGAAAAAGAAAACCATCTCTCTCTCCTAACCAGTTGTCACTTTGTAGTTTAATATCATAATGTACTTTTCTGCCTAATGCTTGAAAATGCCTACTTGAGTCACAGGAAATATTGCTCCCATCTCCCAGTATCACCAATATCAGAGAAATTTCAAAGAATTTTAGTGGGGGATGACTGCCACCTTCGAATATTTAGGTTTCTCTCATATGACCTGGTGCTTTCTCTGTGGTCCTAGAGGGTGAGCTAGGCTCGAGGGGTAGATGTCATAAGAAGATCAGTTTTTGACTCAAGAAAATCATCTGGAGTAAAGTGGTCCACATGCTGGACTGGAACAACATTTCCAAAACTGACCTTCCAGGGGATGGATTTTTAATGTAAACTCTTTAGCGAGTATAGTATATAGAAAGAAATTCATTAGGTGTGGCTCCATGACATTTTAACTAAATGAACAGACCCATGTAGCCAGCACCCAAATCAAGAAACAGACGATTTATGTGCCCTGTTGCTCAGCAGTGCAAGAGATTCCTCCATGTTCCTGTATGTAGTTATAGGTCGTTCATTCTCATTGTTGAATATCATTCCATTGTATAAATGGATATTTGGATTGTTTCCATTTGGGGCTACTATGAGTGATATTGTTAGGAACATTCTTGTACATGCCTTTTGGTGAACATACAGATACATTTCTGTTGAGCGTCTACTAGGGAGTCAAAATGTTGGGTCATTAATATACATATGTGCAATTCTAGTAGATATCGTCAAATAGTTTCCTGAAGTGGGTGTACCCATTGACCCTACCTTGAGCAGTATATGAGAATTACAGTTGCCCCACATCCTTGCCAAAATGTGGTATTATTAGTCTTCTATATTTTAGCATTCTTATGGATGTGCAGTGGAGTCATATTATAGTTTTAATTTGCACTTCCCTCATAGCTAGTGAAATTGAGCACACTGGGTAAAGTTTTTTAAAAAATACATTCCCAAGCCTCACCCAAGCCTCATAGAATACAAATCCCTAGGGATGGGTGGCCCAGGAACCTGACTTTTCAATGCCTGTTCCCCGGGAATACTTAAGCTGCCAGCCTGTCGCTGATCTGTGAACTAGGGTGTGAGGATGATCAATAAGGCAATAGCTCTGTGAATCTATGACTCTGGGTGCAGAGTGTGGGTAGCTGGCTTCTGCCTCTGATTAGGTGTTGGTATTCAGTCAAGATTTAATGTTTCTGCATGAAACAACGAATCCAAATAATAACAGAGACAAGGGTTTATTTCTCTGTCATGTGAAAGAAAATACAGAGATAAGGAACCCAGGGCTGGTTTAGGGTACCGGGGTACCATTGTGAATCAGGGAATCCAGCTCTTTCTAGCTTTCTGCTCCTTTGCTCTGCCACTTTCATGTTCTCTAGACGTGCTGGAACTCCAGCCACCATGTTTACATTTCAGGCAGGAAAAGGAGAAGCACAAAGGGCAAAAAAATAAATAAATAAACAAATAAAAGAGAGAGAGAGAAGGAGAGAGAGAAAGAAAGAGAAAAATAAAAAAAGAAAGAAAGAAAAGAAAGAAGGAAACCAGCTGAGTCAGCCATGTTGAAGGGGTTTTCCAAGGAGCCCCACCCAGTGGCTTCTGCTTATTTCTCATTGGCTAGAACTGTCACATGACCACCGCCACACTTCAAGGGAGGCTGGGAAATGTAATTTTATAGCTGAATGCATTGCTGTTCTGAATAAAACTGAAGTTTTCTTAATAAGGAAGGAGAAAAGATAGATATGGAGGGAAATACAACTGCTAATGTCTTCTGGCATCTAAGTGGACAATCACTCATCTCTGGATCTCTATTGTCTTATCAACAAAAGGTAGCAAGTTAGATCATCAATAAGGTTCCAATGACTTCCTGGAATATTTTAGCTCTGCTTCTGAAATATTGTTTTTTTAGGGAAGTTAATATTTTAATTGGATGTCTGGTGATTTTTAAGGTTGAATATGCCTTAAAGCTGAAAAACGTTCATTTACATACTTTTAAATATTGAGGTCAATACTTAGGAAATAGTAATCTAATTTACTTTAACTTCTGATATATGTGATATATGTTATCATTAATAATAATAAAGTCTTTTTATTCAGTGTCCAGCACTGTGCTAGGTACTTTACATACATAATTTACATTTACATCCTGCAACAAACCTATAAGGCCTTATGCCCATTTTAAAGATGTAAAGGCTAGAGCTCGAATTGTTAAAGTAACTTATCCGAGTTCACACAGTTGGCTTTAAGCATTAGGATGCCTGTTCCACTGGGCTCTCGGTGGAACATAGAAAAGGCCCTGCCACTGTCTTGCCTGTGGGGCTCACCACTCATCCTGCCATGGCAATGGGTTGCAGTGAATGAGTTAGCTCTTCCTCAAACATGATGCACAAAATCAGGTTTCACTTTCTTTGAGATGAGATTTTCCACACCACAACTACACCAGGGAGTCATGAAAACTGAATTTCCTCTCACGTCCTTATAGGACGTGAGCAAACAAAGGCTATGGAGAAAATACCAGCTTGACTCACAAATGCATTATTTTTCTCAGACTGGAAATAATCCAACCTTTGAAATTATTTTTTAATCCTATCAAAATTTAGAGGATAGACTCAGAATTTTAAAAATGAAAGAAAATGAATGGATCTTTTACGACTCCAAACATCTCTTATGATGAAGAGAACGAGACCCAGAGAAGTGAAACAACTTGCTCCAGGTCACACAGTTTACATTGTCAGATAAAGATCAGATCCAACAAGTAAAGGGATTAAAATTCTCCTGTTGACTTCTAGAATTTACCAGATGTTAGGAGAAGTGATTCCTCCAACCTTAAGACTACAGCATCATCTTTAAAACATTTCCATTTTCAATTTCTCTAAAGATGCATGTGCTGACTTTAAATTACTTTTGCTGCCTTGATCATTAGGAGGAAAATGTTAATTGGGTTCAGGGGAACTTGATGCTGTAAATAGAAGTACTATGCTCTGAAAGAGAATGGTGAGGGAACAGCCTTGCACACGAGAAAAACAATCCATTCTGTTAGAAGTCAGGTTCCTACAAAGGATAAATGCTTGAGGTGATGGATACCCCATTTACCCTGATGTGATTATCATGCATTGCATACCTGTATCCAAATATCTCATGTACCCCATAAATACATACACCTACTGTGTACCCACAAAAATTAAAAATTAAACATTAAACAAAAAGTCAGTCTGCTGGTCAGCCACTTCCTAAGAGATGCTTGCTGACCCCTGGACCCAAGTTTCTCAGATTTCCTGATGATCAGAATCCTGGAGTGCTTGTTAAAAACACAGATACCCTAAGCCCACTGGAGATCCATAGAATCAGAATCCCCAGGGGAGCCCCTGGAAAGCTCTATTTTTCACCAGCGCCCCCACCCCCACCAGTGCCGTCCAGGAAGTTAGGAAGCTCTCCCCTGAACGAGGTTTGCTGCATACTGAAAATACTAAATGTTTGGAGGAATCCATGGAATCAAAACCTCTGAACCTGGACATCATTTTTTTAACCATCCCCAGGTGATTCCAATGTGCAGACAAGGTTGAGAACCACTGTCCCAGACTACCAATGTTCTCAAACATCACTGTACAGAAGAATCATTTGGATTAAATGCAAATTCTCAGGCCCACAATCTCCAAGATGCTGATTCAGGACAGGTGGAAATTCACATATGTCACTAATGGTCCTGACACAGGGGGATTGAGGATCACAGTGAGAACTCCTGACTAGGATAACACAGAGGCTCCACTGATGCCTCCCTCAGCATCCTGAGCTCCCCCATCATGACAGCCCTCACATTTTCAATACTGAGTTGTCCCTCTGTCCCCCTAGGCTATCAGCTGGTGGGGACAGGGACATCCGTCTGACATGCCCAGAGTTAGCACGATGCCTGAATGTGGTAGACACTCAACAGACATCCATACAATCACTTCATTGCGCAGTACCTTCTCATATATCTGCATCTTATTTTCCCGACTCATATAAAACATTTGAGAACAGGGAAGAACATGTCACATTTCTTGTCCTACAGTCTCCAAAACAGTGACCTGTATATCGCAGATACTCCATAAATTTATTTTTTAATTATTTAATAACTATCACCTGTAATTCTTGGGCTGCTATGGTACAATTAAAGCAGGTTGATGAAATAAATACCTACTTTACAGAATATTGTAGTCTGTCAATTCCTAAATCATTCAGAAGGGATACTAGAAGGAACCTGGTTTTACTCTTCAGACATATGCAAATAGCAGGTCAAACAGTGTCATAGACTCAGTTACACTGGAGAGTGAACTATGCTGTGGTTTATCTCAAAAGTGAAAAGTTCCTTGTTCTGAAACATTATTTCTCTCTCTCTCATGCTCTCTCTCTTTCTAAAATGCACCCCATGAGAATAAATCTGCAGAGAAACATTTAAGGGAGCCCTTCTCCAGGCATCAGAAGTACAGCCCATTTTCATGGCAAAGATGAGAAATGAGAAACCTGCTAGCCAGCCCTCTGGTCATTTAGATCCTCATTTGTCAACACTTCTGAGATTAATAAACTCAGAATCCCCTTCCAGCAAAACACTCAGTTTTTAGCCATAATCAACTTAAGGAACTTTTACACCATTTTACATCATTTACACCATTTTACACCACTTACATCATTTTACACCATATGTCCAAGACATGTTCTGAATCTCCTCAAATAAGCATTGACCTTCCTTGGAACTTGCTTCTTTTCTTTTTTTCTTTTTTTTTTTAATTATACTTTTAAGTTCTAGGGTACATGTGCACAATGTGCAGGTTTGTTACGTATGTATACATGTGCCATGTTGGTTTGCTGCACCCATTAACTCATCCTTTACATGAGGTATTTCTCCTAATGCTATCCCTCCCCATCCCCCCACCCCCCACACACACACATGACAGGCCCCGGTGTGATGTTCCCCTTCCTGTGTCCAAGTGTGGAACTTGCTTCTTAATAGAAGAAGGTCTGCATTCAAGAGCACATGGATCATTTGAACTCTTGGTTCTGATTCAGATCTTCCAACCAATGAACTTTGCATATGTTGAAATTTTATCAAATGAGTTATGTTGCTCCTGGTCCTTTGAATTGTTTGACTTCTGAAGAGAACTGTAGTGCAAGGTTTTGCCAACTTTTTGACCAGAATCCTCGGTGAGTAATAAATTTTGCACTGCAGCTCAGCACACACACACACAGCTACCCTCCAAGTATTTCATGAAAAAATAGCTTCCTGTATTATGTGCAGTGCATACTGCTTTTCTATTCTGTTCCATTCATTTTTTAAAATAATAACACCAACCATTAAATCACTGGTTCTCAACATTGGCTGTCTGTTGGAATGGTCTGAGAAGTTTTAACAGTTTCCAATGCCTGGGTCTCACTCCCAGAGATTCTGATTTACTTGGTCTGGGATGAGGCCCTAGGCATGAGATCTTCAATGCCCCTAGGAGAAAATTTTCATGGGCAGTCCCAACAACCTGTGCGATAACCTGGCCCAAAAACAAATCATGATTTGCAATTTGAAAAACATAGACAATGTGTAGTAATAGACACTAATTTCCAAAAACAATAACATTTACAAGAAGACTAGTTTATTCACTGAACAATGTGCCAAGGACCATCCTGGACACTAAGGATATAAATATGCTAAATATAATTTCTCTACCCTTGAAGAACTGGTACCCTCCTTTTCAAAAATGGAACACACCCACATGCCAGTTCCCAGATGAAGGGACAGCAAGACCAGCACTCAGAAGCTCCCTGTATCCCCTTCCAGTCACTGCCCCACGAGACTGACCACTAACATGACCTCCAACAGCATAGATTAGTCATTCTTGTTTTTATATTTTAAACAGATGGAATCATACTTTATGGTCTCTTTTCTGCCTGGCTTCTTTAGGCCAACATGGTATTTGTGAGATTTTTCCATGTTGTTCAGAGTACCTGGAGTTCATTCATTCTCACTGCTGTATAGTACCCCACATTCTATAAGTTACACCTCAATTAGTTTACTCCCTATCTTTTGGATGGCATGTAGGGGTTTCACAGTTTGGGGCTAGGAGCATTCTAGTACACAGGTCTGGTGAATATGTACACATTTGGTCAGGTATATGCCTAGGAAAAGAATTTCCAGGCCATAGCTTAAGCTTAACTTTAGAAGATACAGCCAAACAGTTTTCCAGTTTAGTTGGAATTACTTGCACGCTCATCCACAAAGTACATGTGTTCCAGTTGCTCCACATCTTCAACACTTAACATTGTCAGTCTTTTTCATTTTAGCCATTCCGGTGTGTGTGTTAGAATAGACTTTTGAAATCAATTTATGTAAGTAAGAAAAGCAAGAAGATTTCTTTAATTGACTTATATAGTGGTTTTGAATGGTGCATGGACACCCTCCCTTGAATTTGAGAGTTCACAGAGATTCCAAAATCTTACAAGAGGTCTGTGTCCTGAGTAATATTTCTCTTAATCATTGTGCCTCTCTCCCTCTCTCACCCTGCCTTTTGCCCTTGCCCTCTTGCTCTCTGCTTCCTGTATCCAGCCTGGGTCTGACCTGGCGGGACATGCAGCATCTGACTGTGCTCACCTCCAAACGGAACCAGCTTCACGACGAGGTCCATCAGTGGCGGCGCAATGGGGTCGGCCTGGAATTTAATCACCTCTTTGGCTACGGGGTCCTTGATGCAGGTGCCATGGTGAAAATGGCTAAAGACTGGAAAACCGTGCCTGAGAGATTCCACTGTGTGGGAGGCTCCGTGCAGGACCCTGAGTAAGTGGGGGTAGTGGTCCCTCTGCTGCATGTGGAAAGTGCCCCTGAGATGGCTCCATGGCATTGGCATAATATCACATTCCCTCTTCATGTTTGGGTCAACTGTATTTTTTGTTTGTTTGTTTGTTTTTTTGAGACAGGGCCTCACTTTGTCACCCAGGCTGGAGTGCAGTGGCGTGATCACAGCTCACTGCAGCCTTGAACTTCTGGTCTCAATAATCCTCCTGCCTCAGACTTCCAAGTAGCTAGGGCCACAGGCATGCGCCACCACACCCTGCTAATTTTTTTTATTTTTTGTAGAGACAAAGCCTCACTATGTTGTCCAAGCTGGTCTCAAACTCCTGGGTTCAAGTGATCCTTCTGCCCTGGCCTCCCAAAGTACTGGGATTACAGGTGTGAGCCACAATCCTCGGCCTGGATTTGACTCAGGGACAACCAGTTTCCAAGCAGAGCTGCAGGTTTGCATAAATCCAGGAGGCACCATTTACATAGAACACAGAACCCCTGCTTTTGGTTGTGAGCCTTAACTGTTTCAGTGATGTATGCCATTATTTCTAAGGGCACAAATCAACCACTATAAACATCACCCAGCTCAATAAGGAGAACATGACTAACACCCCCAAAGGCCCCCTGCCGTGACCACTGCCATTAACATCCCCATGCCAGCGTAGCCATATTCTTACTTCTAACTCCATAGCTTAACTTGCCTGTTCCATACTTACTAGAATCATACACTATGTCCTGTTTTACAACTAGATTATTTCGCTTGGAGTTATGTTTGTGAGATCCAGTCATGTTTAATGTGTACTTACAGCTTTTCTCATTGCTGAAGAGTGTTCCAGTGTATGACTATAACACAATTCGTTTATTCATTCTACCTGTGGGACAATCTAAGGACTTGATTTTCCGCTGAGTGAGGTGGATTTTGCCACTTGGAGGGATTTGTGTATGGGGTTCCCTACACAGAAACCACAGCGTTAGTCAACTGCACCCACTTCCCTTCCAACTGCCCCACCTTGGCAAGTGGATTGGTCAGTAAGGATACTTCTTAATTTCTCTCTGTCCTCCTTGATGCATTAGTAAAATGGAGATAGTAATTTTTATTATTATCACTGAGGTATTATTTACATGTCATCAAATACACAGAACTTAAGTGTATCATTTGAGTGTTGATAAATGTATACACCCTGGTAACTACCACTGAATCAAGAGATGAGGCATTCCATCAACCCAGGAAGATTCGTCATACCTGCTTCCAGCTCGTCCACACGCTCCACAGGCACCCTTTGTTTTTGCTTCTCTCTCTGTAGATTCGTTTCACCAGTTTTCAGACTGGACTGTGTCCAGTTTCTTTTTCTCAGCATGAGGCTTGTGAGATTCGTCCAGGTCACCATGTGTAGTCGTAGCTCATTCATTCTCATTCTACCTTGAGAATACACCTCCGTGGCTTACATCATTTAAATGGTGGTAAAATTCATTCCCTGCCAGGGTCATATTTCCGAGGACCATCGAGCCTGGCCAGAGTCCAACCCCTCTCAGACTTTATCCTCCTCGCCACTCTTCATTGGTCCTAGACTTGCTGCATCTCTTCTACTCAGTTACCCAGACCTGAATTCCAATCTTGACTTCACCAACTTAGACAATACTTTTGACATTTCTGACCCTCTGCTTTAGCAATTCTCAACCTTTGTGCCCTGTCTCCCTTTGACAGCATGGTGACGTCTATGGGCCCCATCAGTCTAATGTTCTCCAAATTCATTAGATAAAATGCACTGGATTGCAAAGGAAACCAATTATGTTGAAACCAATTAGAAAATAAATTCATGCTGAAATATATGTCCCCTTGTCAGCACATTAAGTAAAAAGCTCTAGTGGCAAGTCTAATGGCCACAATAATTTCAGAGCAGCAGTGATGACTAATTGCTGCTGCAGGATCCATGCAGTGGCTGTGGTGGGACACGAAAATCTGCCAGCTCTTTGATGACAAAGTCCGAGGAGGAGCTAATGCCACTCTGCTTTGTGGCCTGCATTCATAATCGAAAGAGAAGAAAAGTTTCTGTTATAATCTAGTGAAAATTAAAATGTGGAATTTTTTCCATTGAAATTATTAGACCCCCTGAATTCTATCCAAATGGGCCCCAAAATAAGAGATTTTTTTCTCTTTCCTCACCAGTAAAACGGAGCTAATGTTTTTCCTCCGCAGGCTGCTGGGAGACTTTAGCAACACACAAGTCTACAGCAGGCACACAGTAGGCACTTAATAAATGTAACATTGCCTCTCCTTCTCATTCATGACTAGATGTGAACACTTCTAGCTTACACCTGTAGAATCAAAAGACAGTAATCTCCTAGAGTTTTTGGTGAAATAATTGTCTGATTTTTATGCAAATTCCAAATCAGATATCCTCTCAGCCTAAAATATCCTCCAATGGACAAGCATGTGCCCTGGGATTCCCATCCTCCCATGGGCCAGCAGCCTGCCATAGATGGGCTGCCTACCATAGGTAAGCATCCTCCCACGGGCCAGTGTCCTCCCGTAGATGGGCAGCCCACCATAGGTCAGCATCCTCCCACAGGCCAGCATCCTGCCATATACGGGCAGCCCACCATAGGTCAGCATCCTCCCATGGGCCAGCATCCTGCCGTAGACGAGCAGCCAACCATAGGTCAGCATCCTCCCACAGGCCAGCGTCCTGCCGTAGACGGGCAGCCCACCATAGGCCAGCATCATTCCACAGGCCAGCATCCTGCCGTAGACAGGCAGCCTACCATAGGTCAGCATCCTCCACGGGCCAGCGTCCTGTTGTAGACAGGCAGCCTACCATAGGCCAGCATCCTCCACGGGCCAGCGTCCTGTTGTAGACAGGCAGCCTACCATAGGTCAGCATCCTCCCACGGGCCAGCGTCCTGCTGTAGACAGGCAGCCTACCATAGGTCAGCATCCTCCCACGGGCCAGCGTCCTGCTGTAGGCGGGCAGCCTACCATAGGTCAGCATCCTCCCACAGGCCAGCGTCCTGCTGTAGACGGGCAGCCTACCATAGGTCAGCTCCTCCACGGGCCAGTGTCCTCCCGTAGAAGGGTAGCCCACTATAGGTGAGCATCCTCCCATGGGCCAGTGTCCTCCTGTAGACGGGCAGCCCACCATAGGTCAGCACCCTCCATGGGCCAGTGTCCTGCTGTAGACAGGCAGCCCACCATAGGTCAGCATCCTCCCACAGACCAGCATCCTGCTATAGACGGGCAGCCCACCATAGGTCAGCATCCTCCCAAGGGCCAGCATCCTCCCATGGACAAGCATCTTCCCATGAGTGAGCATCCTCATTGTTTACTCACTGAACCCCTAGAAAGTGGCACCAAGTGGATTACTGCCAAGCTGAGTATTTTTTTTCCATGAAACAGTCCATGATTTAAGAAGGCCTCACTCTAATCAGCACCACATGGAAAAAATAAAGCTTCAGCCCAAGCCCTATAATAATCTAAAAACACAGAGCTGCCCAAGTCCCAAGTGATGTTACAAATGTCCTATAATAAAAATAGCTACTCTGCACAGTTCCTCACCATTTTCCAAAGCTTCTGTGTCCACACATCATTTCTGTTCACTCCCGTATCCCTCCTCTTGGCAGGACAGACTTCTCTGAGCTCTAAACAAGTTGATTGACACAGTCAAGCCCACAGAGGCTGTAAATGTGAGACTGGAAGTCACTTTTATTGAGTGCCAACTGCATGCTATGTGCTTTCATACACGTAAGCTTCACAGCCACCCTATTGTTGAGGGTGTGCCTTATACTCGCACAGTCGAGGTGGGAGCAGGGGTGAATATTTTGCAGCCTTAACAACAAACTGGTCCCATGCTGGGTGTCAGGGAGAAACACCAACTAGGTGTGGTATATGCTAGGCCCATTTACATTACTGTATTTAATCCTTGTAAGCCCAGGAGGTGTGTCCTATCATTATTACTTTTTATACACAAGGAAGCTGAGATCCAGAAAGGATAAAAAAAAAAAAATGTGCTCAGAGTCACAAAGGGCAGAGCAGGACTTGAAGCAAAGCCCATCTAAACCCAAACCCCAGGCTCTTTTCACTACATGACCTTGACCTTAATCAGCTCCCGTGCATACAGGTCCTACATTAGGCCGTATGTGAGAGCAGCCCTACTGTGAGCTCACAGTGCCATTACTGATGACAGGAGGTTGGGAAAGGTCAAGGGCATGCTAAATGTCATCCAGCTACTAAGCAGCCAAACTGGGATCTGAGCCCAGTCACTTTGACCCCTCACGGTGGGCTCTCAGGTATCTCAGTGACTCCCCCTGGAGAAGGTGAGGCTTGGGTAGGGGAGGGAGTTTCAGTAAACATTCCCCTGGGGATTCTGAAACACCCACCTAGTGGGTGCTCCCATCTCCCAAACCCCATCACTGGCATTCCAGAGGCCCTTTTCACTGGTCTACAATGCCAAGGTCTGCCGTGTCTTTTGGGAATGAACAAAGAGACAAGACTGGGAACCACTGTCCAAATGGGGGATTTAAGGCTAAACCCTACTCATCATAACTAACTTTACCCAAAGTCAACATGAAATGGGCGTTGACAACTGTTTCCCTTGTTAGAGTTCAGAATAATTTCTTGAGAAATTTGGAAGTGCAGTGACTTTCTGCAGTGGTGAAAATGTTCTGCACTGTCCAATACAATAGCTTGTGGCTATTGAGTGCTAGAAAGTGGATGACCGTGATTAAGAAACAAGAGTTTTCATTTTATTTCATTCTCATTAATTTAAATTTAAATAGCAACATGTGGCTGGTGGCTACCATCTTGGACAGCCATGTCTAAGGCACATCTGGTAGTTACATCTTAGCAGGAGGGATGCTGAATTGTGCAAACCGAATGGGAAGTGGAGATTTAATAACATAAACTCTATGAAGGGGTGTCAAGAAGATGAGACTGCAAGAAAGGCTTGCTGGTCCATTTTATAGCCTCATGCCTTCCCCCAGCACGACATCCAATTGCAGCATCCTAGAAGCCTAAAGGCAGCCTTGGGAGGGTGCTAGTAAGAACTGCTGCTAAGAACTTCTCTCGGAAAGTCACTGGGATAGCACTTTATTCCACTATCTCATTTAATCACAGGAGGTTGGCATCCCTAGTCTTAATTTAGGTGAGAAAACAGGATCAGACAAATAAAGCAAACGGCCTTAACTCCAATGTCCTTATCCATTCCACAAGGCCCTGGGGCCTGGTACCTCATTCCCTTATTGCAAAAGGAGAAAGACTTACGATGTCTGTGCCTTTACAGACACTCTGCAAGCAGGGAGTGGGGGCTGGAATGTCCCTCACAGGCAGTGCAACTGGCACGATATCTACACTTACTTGCATATAAGCAATATTTACAATTAACAAAAAGGCAGCACCGTTGCAGTATTTAGGGGAAGAGTTAGCTTGGAATGTACTGCGGCCCTCTTAGTCAAGCTACGTGTCAATACCAGGCTATATTTTCTGAGATTGCACTGGACAAGCCAGACGGACTTCTAATGATCGTCAAGCACCATATGATTATGAGAGAGGGCAGGAGGGGAGCACCGCGGGAGAGAAGGAGAGAGAGGGAATGAGGGCGTATGCTGAGATGAACGGCAGTTTATCTCCCAGTTTCTGAATATGCTTAGCATTCCATCATAATCTGCATACATGTGGAATTTAAGGCCAGAGAGAACACTGGAAATAATGTTATCCAAGTCCCTGTAAGGAATCTGAGGTCCGGAGATGTGATCATCCCAACATCTCACAACTATCCAGGAACTTTATGCAAGATCAATGCAGTGTTTTCAATGAAGAGAAATGGGAAAGCACTATATTTCAGCACTAACTCAGTTGGGGCCTCCCAATGGACTGGGCCCTCGTCTGTCATATTCATGGTGTAACCCTAGTGCCTACAATAGTGCTGGGCATATAGTAGACAGGTGATAAATATTTTTTAAATGAATGAGGGAATGAAAATATTCAGCCAGCAGCAGCCGGACACAAGGGAAATGTCTGACTGCTGGCAATAGGACCGGCGGGCCAGCAAGGCAAATGTGGGAAGGAGGCTCTGCCTTGGTTGGAAGGGCTCTGCCTCCTCTCAGTGCCCTCCGGTCCCTCGTCCACCCCCACACCAGAACTTGTTCTCAGATGCAGATGAGTTAGGTCTAGGGCAAATACACTTGTTGAAGAATGCAGAGGCTCCACAGGGAGATTTGGAGAGCAGCCCCAGGGCTGGCTGTGCCGCTTGACAGAGGAGGCCCTTGTGACCACGAAGCACACTCGAGGAGCGGTGGGGTACAGGAATCAACAGCCGTGGCAATCGCCACTCTCCATAATGTGCAGGGCTGCACAGAAACAGCTTCCAAGGTGGAGTGAGTGGTGATTGTCAGGTTTGTGGGTTTCCTTGGCATTAATCTTCCCGGAGATGGAGTCAATTTGAAAAGCAATTTTCTAAAGAGGCTTTATCAAGAGAGTCAGTGAAGGATGCTCAGCTACAATCAAAGGGGAAAATACACCTGGCTGTGACCAGCTGCACCAGCTGTGTGTAGAATGAGCAGAGCCAGCCCAGGCCGGCCCCATCAGCCAGCTGGGAGTGACCTGTCTAACACAGCTGCCCCCAGCCCCTCTGGGCACCCTGAGGGGACTGTTCACTGAGCTCCTTTAAGGCTGTGCCAAAATATGTGATCCAGCTCTGAAGTTTAAGTGAATTTGGAAATAAATGTTAAAACCTGGTATCAATGCCGGAAGCAGCATGGGAGTGAGAGGTCAGCGTGTGCTCGGCCCTGTGCCACCTGGGGGACTGTGGACCAGCACTCCCGAGCTGCAGAGGCTTCCTGCACAAGTTCATGCCCACCTGACTCTGCTACAGGGGGAGGAGAAAACCTCACCATGGCCACCTGCTGCGTGTCGTCATGTGACTGCCACAAAAGCAGGCATCTTGGGCACTTGAGAAAGAGTGGCTGTCATTGTTACTATTGTGATTATTCTATCAAAACAATCACAGCCTTATAACTTTTTCTTTTTTTTTGAGACAGAGTCTTGCTCTGTGGCCCAGGCTGGAGTGCAGTGGCACGATCTTGGCTCACTACAACCTCCACTGCCCAGGTTCAAGCAATTCTCCTGCCTCAGCCTCCTGAGTAGCTGGGACTACAGGCATCCACCACCAAACCCGGCTAATTTTTGTATTTTTAGTAGAGCTGGGGTTTCACCATGTTGGCCAGGCTGGTGTCGAGCTCCTGACCTCAGGTGATCCGCCTGCCTTGGCCTCCCAAAGTGTTGGGATTACAGGCATGAGCCACCACAGCTTCATAACTTTATCTTACAGTTGAAGATTCATAACACAAGAAGCATTCCCCAGGGCCTCCTGGGAAGCAACACCTATTTCTTGACACAAGGCAGTTTAAACACTTACTTGCAATGATACACAATAAAATAAAGATACAAGCCACCCCGACAACCCCAAGTTTGTCTTTTATAAGACTGGAACACTACGATTTTGCATGTTATCTCTAATAGGTCAAAGAAGAACTCTTTTTTTTTTTTTTTTTTTTTTTTGAGATCGAGTCTCACTGTGTCACCCAGGCTGGAGTGCAGTAGCGTGATCTCAGCTCACTGCAACCTCCGCCTCCCGCGTTCAAGCGATTCTCCTGCCTCAGCCTCCTGAGTAGCTGCGATTACAGGTACACACCACCATGCCTGACTAATTTTTGTGTTTTTAGTAGAGACGGGGTTTCTCCATGTTGGTCAGGCTGGTCTTGAACTCCTGACCTCGTGTTCCGACCCCTCGGCCTCGCAAAGTGCTGGGATTACAGGCGTGAGCCTCCGCGCCTGACCTAAGAACTCTTAAACCTCCAGAAAGCATGCTTCATTTTCTGCAGCAAATGAGCTCCAGATCATGGCCTGGAAACTAACACCCTGTGACTATTTAAAATGTTTCTGCAGAGCCTCTTTTTGTTCCACCACCAACCTCCTCCTATTTAACCTTCTTATAAATTGATAATTCCTGAGCATATATCTCCTTTTTGCTTTAAAATAAGAATGTTTCATTCCTTTTCTTCTCATAAAAGCAATACATGGTCACTGTAAGAAAATCAGAAAATGCAAGTGAGCAAATGAAGAGAGAAACAAGAAACATCTGGAAAATACTGTTCCTAGGCTCTCCCAATGCCACGATGCCAGCCAAAAAAACCTGACCTGTGAGGGGAGAATGGTGTTCTTTCTCTACCAAGTTCGCTGCCTCTGGAATTCACAGCATGCTTTTAATTTAATTTCATAGTAACTTAATATTCTCAGAAGAGTCCAGCCACATGTCTCCTCTCTCAGCAGACCCAGCTCCTGTGCAGGAAGCAGTTCACATGGCAGGGCAGGATCGGGGCGTTTTTCTAGCTGGCAGTCTCTCCGTGGTGCTAAAAAAGCCAGACTCCTCAGCCAACGTGAAAAGAGTTGTTCTAGTGCTGGGATGATCTCTTATGATGGAAGGAGAGAAATACAGATTGGACCAAACCTGAGATGACCTTCAGGCACACCATGGCTAAGGGGGTTTCAGTAGATGGTGACAGTGCCTCTTGTTCAGGTCCCCTTCACTGGGCTATGCACCACCCCAGCTACTGTGGGCATTGGCTGCTAACTGTGGTCTTCTGCCTGTGTCTCTGAAGAATCACCCTCAGGGGCTATGGAAACCTGGCTGAAATAAGAATACATAAAACCCATGCTCCTGCCTCCAAGCAGGACAACTGTGTGGTGGCGTTGATGCTCCAAAGCCAGCATGGCCTGTGACCCCCAGGCACACCCCAGTGTCCAAGGCTTCTAGGAAAATGTGTGATTCTTAACACAAGTTTGTGTGTTTGTCCCTACTCCCACCTGTCTTTCGGCTTTCCAAGGTGCATGGAATATGTCTTTCAGTCTCCCTCCATCTCTCCCTTGCACCCTCTATCACAAATGCACACCACTCACTCTCAAATAAGACCTTTAGCCTGGGCAATCGGTGGCCTGTGTTCTAGTTTCCCCTTCTCAGCCTCGCTGTCATTTTCCCTCCCTTAGTCTTAGTCGCTAAGGCCTTCCCCATGAGCGTGGGGCTCCTGGGAGAAACAGATACGACAGCCACCATAGAAGATTCACACAGACAGGAACACACCGGCCCTTGTTGTTCTGCCAGTGAGGCTCCTTCTTGGGACTCAAATTCCAGGCTCCTCTGCCATGCCCTTAATGTCAAAGTGGTCGCCGGCCTACATCTATCTTTACAATAACTTCTTAAGGGCTTTTTAAAGAAAGCAAAAGAAGTGAGGTGACTGAGCCCACAGATGGAATGAGGCCCATATTCTGTATCACCAACGATGACATAAATATAGTCAATAGTCCTCAGACACTGTGCAGAGGGATGTGGTAATCAGTTTCCAATTGCTCTTCTCCAGAGACAGATAACACCTGTTTTAGGTTGGGTTGCTCGGAAGCAGAGCCTGAGATTGGGTTTGAGTACATGTGCTTTATTGAGGGAGGGCTTTTCAGGGAGAACTGTAGGAGAGTGAGGGATTTGGGAGGGGCAGAAGTAGCCAAGAAAGGATGTGGAACCAGGTATGTGCATGTGGCCTGACCCACCGGGGGCTTTGGAGCATCAACGCCACCACACAGTTGTCCCGCTTGGGGGCAGGAGCATTGGTTTTATGTATTCTTATTTCAGCCAGGTTTCCATAGCTCCTGAGGGTGATTCTTCAGAGACACAAGCAGAAGACCACAGTTAGCAGCCAATGTCCACAGTAGCTGGGGTGGTGCACAGCCCAGGGAAGGGGATCTGAATGAGGCACTATCACTATCTACCAAAACACCCTTAGCTGTGGTATGCCTGAAGGTCATCTCAGGTTTAGTCTAATCCATATTTCTCTCCTTCCATCATAAGAAGTCATCTCAGCACTAGAACAACTCTTTTCACGTAGCGAAGGACCTTATAGTTAATTCACAGAAACTTCATGTATGGTGGGCTGTGGTCTTATTTCTAGCAAAAGTGGCTGTCTCATCTCTGATTCTTAGCCAATTGAAGAAATATTTTCAGTTTTCCACAAGGCAAGCAATGCCATTTTTCTGCCAGAGTTTCTACAAATTGACTTGTAAAGGGTCTGTCACTATGACTCCAGTCCACAAGGGTCCTGGGTGCAAATTGGGACAGAAAACAAATTTTCTTAGAATTCAGCTGGTGTTCTGAATTCTTAAGATAATAGTGACCACTGCACTTGACAAATGATTAGTGATGTTTTATAATATCTATAATGATTGCCACTCAGTTACAGTCTTTGGTTGTTGGCTTGTGAATTTCCTTCTTGAAACTTTTCAAGAAGCCCTAGACTACAGGAAAGAAAAGAGAGCTCAAATTCAACACAGAACTCAGAGCCAGGGTCTCTCTTCCTGTTATCATTCTCTGCTTCCTGCAACTGTGCTTCTCAAAGACTCCCAAAGCCCCTCTGGCTCAACTCTAGAAGGAAAGCCCGATTCTGGGCCTGGCTGCTTGTCTGCCTAGAAACCCTGTGATAGAATGTGTCATTTCCCTCATACCTTGAGGTTCTGGATGAATATTTCAGAGTCCTCCAGAGAGGTGGCCAGAAAACCTGCAAAACAAAGCTGCAGTTTCCCCAACTGCTTTTCCTAGAGCCTGTGAGCCGGGAAAAAACTGAATGCCCTTGAAACAGAAGGCCAAGAGACTCTCTGCCTGTTGTTGTTGTTCTTATCAGATTCAAATTCAACATACATAAACAATTTAGACCCGCACTGTCCAGTACAGACGCAACCAGCCACAAGTGGTTATATAATAACATATTAGATTAGTTAAAATTGAATAAAATAAATTGAACATTCATTTCAGCACTCACATGATCTATGTTTCAATTGCTCATTAGCCACATGTAGCCAGTGGCTACCATACTAGAGATTATATATATAGAATATTTCCATCATCGTAGAGTGTCCTATTGGCCAATGCTGGTCTAGACATTTGTAAATATACTATGTATATGAGTATACATGTATATACACATATAGACACGTTATATATATGTGCATATATAATGTATATGTAGGATAATTTATCTTGCCAGCAACTGTTCAGGGCAGGAATTAATAGCTCAGATCATGCAAATACTTGCCCACAACTGGACTCGTACTCTGAGACTCTTTGTGCTACCCTACACAGCTGTCCACTGCTGGGCTAGAGCCCAATCTTTAGTTATTCATCACCTTACCTGTTTTGTTTCTGATCTTGTTCTGAATAAATAGCACCATCTTTGAGAAATCCAGGTTATGGCCCTCATTACCCCGACCCGCAAAGTTGGCTTAATGCCTGCTTTCCACCAA
Source organism: Homo sapiens (assembly GCF_000001405.40). Lineage (NCBI taxonomy): Eukaryota > Metazoa > Chordata > Mammalia > Primates > Hominidae > Homo > Homo sapiens. The sequence continues at coordinate 17,476,895 of NC_000020.11, forward strand.
ATGGATGGTTTCCCCAGATCCTGGGAACAGAAAGACCAACCCCACCATCACTGGATCCCCATAGCTGATGGACACTCCATACATGATTCAGCATCAGTATCCGGGGGTGGGAGAGGGGAATACAGCAGTACTCCATGAAACCGTTTAAGTCTATATTTGTAAAGTTCCTCCAGAGAGTATTAATGAACTGCACTGTATGTTTCAGCAAGCCCTCCCAGGTTCATGGCCTTGGTTCCTAGGGCAATGCAGAACCAAGGCTTGACTCCAACTGGGCACATGACCACTGTCTTTTTGTAAATGTGCTTTACAAGATGTGTGTTTAAAAATATTTTACTTATACTCCAAAATAAAAGCCATATTGAGGAAGGATATTTGCATAGGCAATGGGCCAGTACATGTGCCAAGCATTGTGCCTGGTATTTTATTTTATTTTATTTTATTTATTTATTTATTTATTTTTCAGCACAGGAAGATAATATTTATTATATTTTAACTAGAAACAGAACAGATAGCAAGTTCACGAGGTATGAATATTTTTTTCTTAAATCAGGCTTAAACAACAATAATAAAAAACAAGTCTGCATATATATGTTGGTCACTATTATAATCTTCAAGGGCACAAAAGCCAGCAGCATAAAGAAACATGAATAATGACTGAGAAGTTTTGATGTGCCAAAAACAAAGATCACTGCGTTGAACTCCTTTATTTTGTTAATATTATTATTAAACATTTAACAGGTATTAATTATTGTTATTTGGCAAAATATCCAACATGCACATGGTATTCCTACAAGAATCTTGCCTTAATATTGTTAATATTAACACTAAGTTTATTCCTCTCCAAAATTCAATGAGTTATGATTCCACTCTCTGTAAGTGTTAGTGTTAGTGGTAATATGCAAAACTGATTTTGTGTGCAGGGTTAAGTAGCAGATTGACTTCGCATTTGGTGGCCAGCTGTGTACCCTAATTTTTATCTATTTTCTTAATAAATTTAATTACATTTCATAAGCCCTGAGATAACCTGCTAATGATTGTATACTTTTAATCTATACTTTATTCCACTCAATTTGAACCCCACATAATAAGTCTTCAAAATTATTTACAGATGGTTGTAATTAAAGCAATGACAAAATTTACTACTTGTATAGATAAGACTGATAATAAGGCCTTTAACTAAGAGTTGCATATTTTACATGCACTTTTAACTTGCTAGGAGCAACTCTTAAAATTACATCTATCATTCTGTCAGAAAGCAGTTAAGTGCTTTTCATTTTGCTTACTTCTATATGTGTAACCAGACTCACTTTTTTCCTCCCGTGTAAAACAACTGTTTTTTTTCCTTCCCCAAATATTAATACTTGTCTTCCAACTGAACAATTGCTAAAAGGAACTTAGCATTTACACAGCACATTGATAACTATAGTGCTCAGCAGAGACATATGCCCATAATAGGCATCTGATAAATGTTTGTTCCACATGGAATGAATTGTAAGGCAGCTGTTTGAGTCATATACTGTTCATCATATACTGCAACTAATTTTGTTTAACTAGGAAATTCAGTTTACCAGATTTAATTCACCCTCAAGTATAAATCCAAAAACTTTAAATTAAAAAAAATCGATTTACTAATCCTCAGAAAAAGTAAACAAGTTAATCATAGTTGTTACTATGCTATTAGTTGATAGAAAATTTTTAAAAATTACTTTCCACTAAATATTGTGTACAACTAAGTGAGGGGAAGAAAGTTTTAAAAAATGAAAAGATATTAGCTAATTCTCATCATTTTCTCCACATTTATCCTTGCAGCTTATTTGTTCATATATTTATTCCTGTTAACTTCTCTAGCTGAAAGAGAATTTTATTATCTGAATGGAGTTCCCCATCACCTTACGTACAAAATATTAGTGAAAAGCTAGTGTAAATGTAAGATTGTATTTTCATGTCATGCCATATTTCTGCATTTATTTTTTGCTAGCATTAAATTTTTCGTATTTAAATGATGCTGTATAGAATATGAGATAATCTGCCAATTGCTATGATATTGCTTGCTTACAATATTCAGTTTTTGTTGATAGCTTTAAAGTATATTGCACACTTGTCATCTAGCACACTAATAAATAACTATTTTTGAAAGGATACACTGACAAATTCTTAAGTTAATGGCTTTAACCCAACATTTTTAGTCAGTTAAAGAACAGCAATGGCAAAAACATTGACAATACAGTTCATGGTCCAGTTCTCCCATCTTACGGTACAGGTTCCATCAGATGTGGTATCCCAAAAACAGGAGCTGCTGTGCGAAAGCCATATGCGCTCTTCTGGACCACTGCACATTTCACAATACATTTATAAGCTTTTCCCAGCTTAGGCAGATGTGTTAACGATAATTCCACTATGCTTGCGGTCCACTGGTTGATGTTGTTGTAATTATAATCTTCACCACCTAAAACCCCGTCTGCACATTCTTTGACAATATTGTGGGCTTCCTCAGCATTGAGGCCAACCTCGTCGCAGTGGCGATGGTACTCCTCCATGGTAGCGCCTGTTCTCCCTGGGGGCGGAGCTACGCCTGTGCCTGGTATTTCATACATGGTCTTATTTAACCACACAAGAATCATACGGCCGGGCGCGGTGGCTCACGCCTGTAATCTCAGCACTTTGGGAGGCCGAGGCAGGCGGATCACAAGGTCAGGAGATCGAGACCATCATGGCTAACACGGTGAAACTCCGTCTTTACTAAAAATATAAATAATTACCCGGGCACAGTGGAGGGCGCCTGTAGTCCCAGCTACTCGAGAGGCTGAGGCAGGAATGGCGTGAACCCGGGAGGCGGAGCTTGCAGTGAGCCGAGATGGCGCCACTGCACTCCAGCCTGGGCGACAGAGCAAGACTCCGTCTCAAAAAAAAAAAAAAAAAAAAAAAAAGAACTATCCACAATGACAGTGAAACTTCGAGTGCTTAAATAACCTGCCCAAGCTCTCATGAGCAGTAAACATAGAAGCAGAATTCTAATCCAAATGGGTTTATTCTCAAAGTCTGGAGTCTTGATGTTACACCACGCAATCCTCAAATGCGGTTTCCTTTTTTCCTTCTTTCTACTGCAAGAACCTTTGAGCTTCTCCCACTCCAAGAAGGCCATCTCCAGAAAGGAGATTGCCTGTAAGGACAGCCTAGAGAGTACTTGGGCTTAACCTCGCTCCAACTCTCGCCAAAGACTCCCCCAAAGTCTCCTGATCATTCATTGGACTGCCTTTCACTGGAATTAATTTACCCATTTTCAGCTTTTCTTTTTTTTTTTTTTTTTTTTTTTGAGGCAGAGTCTCGCTCTGTCACCCAGGCTGGAGTGCAGTGGCGCGATCTCGGCTCACTGCAAGCTCCGCCTCCCGGGTTCAAGCCATTTTCCCGCCTCAGCCTCCCAAGTAGCTGGGACTACAGGCGCCCACCACCAAGCCCGGCTAATTTTTCGTATTTTTAGTAGAGACAGGGTTTCGCCATGTTAGCCATGATGGTCTCGATCTCCTGACCTCATGATCCGCCCGCCTCGGCCTCCCAAAGTGCTGGGATTACAGGCGTGAGCCACTGCGCCCGGCCCAGCTTTTCTTAATGGTAGTAATGGCAGTCATATTAGCAACAGCTTCTATTTATCAAAGCACTTAGCACTTTGAAAGAAAGACATTATGAGTTCCTGCCTCAGTCTGGGTTGTCCCAGAAGTCCAACCTGAGACAAGACTTGGGTGCTGACAGTTTTTTGAGAAATGATCCCAGGTAACACAAGTGAGGAATTGGAGATGTAAAATAAGGAAGGGGAGAAAAGCCAATGAAGAGTGCATTAATGAGCGAGTTGCCACCGTGGGCAGCTGAGCTCAGTCCCACTAGGGACACTGAGTTGTCACGCTGAGGAATAGAGAAACCGGGGTAAAAACCTGTCAGTCACTGGGAGAGAGCTACCCCTCAAAGGTTAAATCCCTGCCACCTTTGGGCCGCCCTGCACGCAGGCTGTGCAGGCTTCCACGGAGGTGGGAGGAAGCCCAGGGGGAACACGGGGAGATTCTCGTGCCTGGGGTGGGAAGCAGTGGACGTGCAAGGGAGCTTCAGCTGCAGGTGAACTCAGAAGGGACTTAGGAGACTCAGGAGGGACATCACAGCATCTACTACATTCTCCTTCCACACAGAAGGTTCCAAGCGTAAGTAACTTGCTCACAGCCGGGCGTGGTGGCTCACACCTGTAATCCCAGCACTTTGGGAGGCCAAGGCAGCTGGATCACTTGAGGCCAGGAGTTCAAGACCAGCCTGGCCAACATGGTGAAACTCCGTCTCTACTAAAAATACAAAAAATTAGCCAGGCGTGGTGGCACATGCCTGTAACCCTGGCTACTGGGGAGGCTGAGGCATGAGAATCACTTGAACCCAGGAGCTGAAGGTTGCAGTGAGCTGAGATCACACCACTGCACTCCAGCCCGGGCAACAGAGTGGGACCCTGTCTCAAAAGACAAAAAAAAAAAAAAAAAAAAAAAAAAGAGATAAGTAACTTACTCAGGCTCACACAGCCAGTGTGGGAACTAAACCCAGGTCTGATTGATCAACCCCAAAGCCCTTGCCCTTTCCGCCACCTGAAGCTGCCCTCAAAATCCCTTGTAAGGTGCACCCACCACTGCTTATCCTATCTCCTCTTCACTCTGCCCTCAGGAAAATACCATCCACTGGCAAGTTGGTGCTGACACTCACAACCGACGCCTGTGAGGGGAAGGAAAATTTTGTCCGCTACCTGGAGCATGTCCAGGCTGTCATCACGGTCAACGCAACCAGAAGAGGAGACCTGAACATCAACATGACTTCCCCTATGGGCACCAAGTCCATTTTGCTGAGCCGGCGTCCAAGGGATGACGACTCCAAGGTGGGCTTTGACAAGTGGCCTTTCATGACCACTCACACGTGGGGGGAAGACGCCCGAGGCACCTGGACCCTGGAGCTGGGATTTGTCGGCAGCGCCCCGCAGAAGGGGGTGCTGAAGGAGTGGACCCTGATGCTGCATGGCACTCAGAGTGCCCCGTACATCGACCAGGTGGTGCGGGATTACCAGTCCAAGTTGGCCATGTCCAAGAAAGAGGAGCTGGAGGAAGAGCTGGACGAAGCCGTGGAGAGAAGCCTGAAAAGCATCCTTAACAAGAACTAGCGCTGCACATCCGCCTTTCCCACCGCCCTCCCTCCCCAGCTCCGCCTCTGTCCTCGCTCCACGTTTCAGGCAGGCACCTAGCAATTCCATCACCCGTACAGGCAATTCCGTCTTCTTAATCTGAAGCTTCACTCACTGTCAATGATTATTTTCATTACAATGGAAACAATCTTTTTTACTCTATGCCCCAAATATAGCGTTCCCAACAACATCCATGTCCTATGTGTGACTCTAAATTCTTTATTTCTGTCATTCAAATGGGTGATATCCTGAAAAAAAAAAAAAAAAAAAAACTGGGACAGCTTTCCCCTCATTTTTTTTTTTGTTTCTGAGAAAAGAACGTATTTTAAAAGCCACATAGAGTGACTCCAAGAACAATTGTCCATGGTCTCAAACAAGGGGCTGTTACATAACAAGAAAATCAAAGCTGAGGACAGGGTGTGAGCGCCACATCTCTGAAAGCACAGGAGACACTGTGCTATAAATCCTTTGGGGAGCGATGTTTTGAATTTAGTGAGATTTACCAGGGATGTAGATTAAGGTGATGTGATTCAAAAGATGCCATTCATAGAGAGCCCTAGTTACTGCATGGGGAAAGAGATCCAGGAAGCATGAGTGCTGGATATTTTACTACCAATGCCAAGATAATTCACTCTACTCAGCCGGCGTGGCAAATATAAAACTTACAGAGCGTGGCTGTGCTCTCACCAGCTGCTGCTCTGAGTTATGTTAAAATCCGCTAGAGCAGCCCAAATTTTTCTCAGTTTGTATAGAGTTCATCCCAGCCCCAATTTTCTGGGGCTCCTCACATAGCTACCCAAAAGAGAAAAAAAATTAAGACAAGCCTGGCAACACACCTGGTGAAGAGTAGTTTACTAGCTTTTCAAACAAGAATGTCCCTTTTCCTAAGTCACTTTGAGGTGTCTCAATCTGATCTGAGTGAGAGGCGACAGGAGTATTTTTTTTTTTTTACAGCTTTACACACACAGATGTGGGCTTTGATTTCCAAGTAATATAATGGAAGAGAAATCTCATACTCCCCCACAGTTTGATGTCATTAATGTGTTGGGAAAAAGGCCTCTGTCCCGGAAGAGTCATGGGAGGTGAAAGGGGCACGTTTGAAGATGCGAGCGCTATCTTCACATAGTTCTCCAGTTGTATGGAGCCTCTTCTGCCAAGAGAGGGCCATGCAATTCATCCCAGAGGAACCTGAGGCCTGAAGGAGGTGAGAGAAGACCTCTGTGAGGAAAGCACACAGTCACCTTCTCGGCAACTAAGCAGTCCCTGAGACCATTTAACATGCAACCCGAAGGTTATGGTCAATCCCAAAAGTCACCACTCCATTCCCAACTAGACATTACCAAAGTGACCTACCCAGAGATTGCTTCTCATCCCCAGTCCCAATGCACATCCATTCCCAAGAAATGCTTTGTCTTCAGCCTCTCCAGGCACCATCTCCCTTCCTGTGGGAGCAGAGAGCTTAGCCTGGAGCACCTTTCCTTCAAGCCAGCAACACAGAGCACTAGGTTCAATTCCCTGAAGGTGGCCACTTTAAGAGAGAAATCTGAAAACCCCATTTGCTTTCTTTTCTCCCATATTGGCATGGATTTCTGTCTTCTCTAACACCTTGTGACCTTCTCTATATCATGCTTTAAAGTGTAATAATATGATTTTTTAAAAGAAATTTATTACTTGTTGCAAAGGTCTTTTTAAACCAGTTTAGATTTCAAGAAAAAATAAATGGAAATCATCGAAAATTCATTTCACATTAATGGTCTAAAAATAAACCAAAGGACATTATGTGTGCATGTGTGTATAAGTGCACACAGAAATATATATACATATGTAGACTATATACATGTGTGTATATATGTGTATATATACATACACTTGTATAAATGTATATACACATATACCTATAATGTGTGTATGTGTATTTATTGAAGAAACAGATACCATACTCATTTCTAAAAGAATATTCAGAGAATATCAAGATGATTCTGGCTGAAAAAGGCCAGTGGAAATTCAGGTGAAAATGTTCATCAATTCCCATTGCATCACCTCTGTAATTTTTCAGCTCTCTGTATAAACATTAAATGTCTTATATAGCAGCAAAAATATAAAATAGTTGTCCATATTTTCACAGGTGTGGTGTAATTTATAAAATTAGAAAGCAACTTATCAGCTACTTAAGAGAAATGGCAAGTTTTGATATGAGTATACAATATATAAAAATATATATAGTGCTATATATATAAATATTTGGTCTCTATTTCATTTTTTGCATCAGTATTAATACTAAAATATGTCTCGCTAGTGATGTTTTTATGATATCCCTGATCCTAACTGAAGAGACAGTTATTTATAGTCATTTATTTTAAAAAATGAAAATAAGTGAATAATAATTAGGTTAACATTGTTGCTCCCTGTGACAAAATTTTATAAGCAAATTTCAAAAGACATGTTGTAAATTAGGAGGCTCAACAATAAAACATTATGCTCCAGAAATTATGTGAGATGTGCTATATTGTACATGAAAATACTTTCATCCATTCTAGGAACAGATAATTTAAAAATTGCCAAAGAGAGATCTAAAGAGCCTGCTTTACTAAGTATGCATAAAAGACTTATAATTAACATATAAATCATACACAAATTATTATCTACAGCAGTATTTTTCAAACTCTAGTTACATCCATTAGTGGGTTGTAAAATCAATTTAGGAGGTCAGTTTTTAATAAAATAGAGTAATTTAGAATACAGTAGGAGAGAAGAAAATCACAGGATAGGATAGGATAGAATAGAATAGAATAGAATAGAATAGAATAGAATAATCATGCATAATAAGGATAAGTATTGTTTCCTGAAATATTTGTTTCAGATGTGTGTGTGCACACGTGTGTGTGTCTGAGTGTGTGTACTGGATCACAATGTAAAATACATTTTTCATTGTGAGTGATGGTCAAAAATCTTTTAGAAACACTATTCTAAAATATATTAATCAGGCTAGACTAAGTTATGCTATAGTAACAGACAATCTCAAAATCTCAGTGGTTTAATACAACAAAGGTTTATTTATCATCCACACAAATTCCAGTGAAGGTTCAGGTGACTCCCCAAAGCCACAGACCTCCATGCAGTGACTCAGGATCCAGGCTGTTTCACCGTATGGTTTGTAATCATAGCACAAGGCTGCTACAATCACCATGCAGAAGAGAACCCAAGGAGGACATTCATCTGCTCTTCTATGTTTAGCCTGAAGGAGACACATGCATCGCTTCTGCCCATTGCCCACTGGCCAGTATTGGGCAATAGCCCTGGCTAAATGCAAAGCAACTGGGAAATCTGTGACAACTAAGGGAATATTTGGTGAGCATTAGAGTCTCCACTACAGAGAGTGCTTGACATTCCCTTAAAACATGTTCTTAAGAACCGATTTAACATGGCAATCACTCTTCATGGATGGTACCATGAACATTATTACAAACTGGCTGTACCTTACCCCATAGACCACAGACTATTCTAGAAAAAGACCTTAATAATTATTCATAAAATATTAATATACTATATTTACCAAAGTTAATTATAAAAACAATTTATAATTCTGTCCTCTGATATAACACTTAAACTCAATTATTAAAATCTTAGCCGGGCATGGTGGCATGTGCCTGTAGTATCAGCTACTCAGGAGGCTGAGGTGGGAGGATAGCTTCAGCTCAGGAGGTAGAAGCTGCAGTGAGCCGTGATCACACCACTGCACTCCAACCTAGGTGAAGAGCAAGACACTGTCCCAAAAATAAATAAATATAAACAGAGTCTGTTACTAAAAATAGATATTGGCGGATATAAGGTCCAAGGTTTGATCTTGTGATCCTGAGACACTCCTTTTTAATACTTAGGTTTAAAGATGGATTTCCAAAAGATTAAGTTTAAAAAATGATTTTTAAAAATTCCGATAGAGTTACTACTCTATGTCTTCATTCGTATCACTTATAAGTTAATGCATGGTTTTCATGTGATCAGCGCATTTGCTTGGAGTGATTATATGAAAACCACACAGTGTAAGACCTTCAGGACACATAAGTATTTTATAGTTAACAGAAAGAAGTGCTGAATTAGGGGAAATGGTGATCTCACAGCTAAAGTGTTTAGATGCAAATAGTCTAATTTGGTAGAAATTTCTAAAAAGCAAAATGCAAAGATAAAGGACAGTGGTTGTGGAAGAGAGTTAGGGGATCCTTAAAACTCTGGAATTGTGAAATGCCAGAGACAGAATGTCTCCTAGGCTAATGTAGGTGGTTCAGTTGTGGCCAGCAGGGTGGTTCTTTGTCTCTAAAGAATAAGTCAAGAGAAAGGGTGGGAGGATGGAGGGCACTCAGCACATGGGAGCTTAGAATAAATGAGAGTCAGGGTGACCAAAGCTGGAAGACAGTGTCTGGCAGCATTCAGGGTAGGGAAACATGAAGCCTGACATAAGGGAGAATTCCAGTCTCTGAAGAGCTGAAGTCTATCGAGGGATACAGGCCAATACATTGGCAAAGCCACCCCCAGAGAGAGTGCATTAAAACACCACCACTTGCCAATGGTCCCATTGCATGCTCACCCACAGCCTCCTCATGCCTTATGCAGCTTCCCAAGAACATTAACACCGGTATAAACGATCCAAGCAGCTAGATCTGCAGAAAACAACACCCTCTCTTTGAATTGTAAACTAATCAGCTAGTACTTGAGTTTTTCCATTAGTCTCTTGTGCATTTAGTTGAACCCTTTCCTTGGCTTCAAAAAACCCTGATCAAATTTGGTTTAAGATGTATAAGGGACCTGGAATCAAAGTCTGAGAACCTAGGGTAAATTCTCCAAGCCAAGGTCCTGGCTCCATGTTTCTCTTAGAACTGAGAAGAGACTCACGTTTGTGAACCTGGGAATAGAATGATCTCAGGTGAGGGATGCACTCAGCCTAAAAAGATGAAGATTCTGTGTGGCTAAATGTTTAATGCTCATTCATGCATGATTTGCGGTGGGATGGGATGGGAAGGCAACTAGAAATCTCAGCTCACAGAGTTTCAGGTGCCAGAAGAGCCACATGAGGCTGGTAATTCCTTAGGCCTAACGTCACTGTTACTGATTTCCAACCAGGAGGCTTTGGGCCAACCTGCCCTCCCCATCCCAAGATGGGGTGTGCCAGCTCCCCATCCCAAGATGGGGTGTGCCACCTCACAACACCCTCAAAGATGTCCCTCTGAATCTGAGAGGATATCCCATGAGCTACTCAAACTAGATGGAGGGAAGAAGCTAAAATTTATCTTTTTCTTTTCTGGCACCATGTCCCAGGACCACTGATGGGCCACAGGTGACAGGCAAGCTCCTGGTCACAAGGATGCAAGCATGAGGGTAAAGGGGCAGGTACAGCTGGTGAGGGCATCAGCCCAGTGGAGTCATTGACCAGGAGTGTATCTTCTGATAAAATAAGTTTCAACTCAAAAACTCTGTTTGAATACAACATAAGTCAGTGTGGCTTTTTATGTTGTTTGCTTGCTTTTATCCATGCCTGAGAAAATGGAGTCAGGTATTGTACCAATCAAGATACCAATCATCAATGTGCCAAATGCCATGTGAGTTTTGGGGTGACTTCATTCACCAGCAGTGTCCTAACCACAAATCTATGTTAGAAAAATTTTAGGATAAACTTGATAGTAATGGCTGCTTGAAGATTTTGTTTGTTTGTTTTTCGGGGTTTTTTTTCATTTAGGTTTTGTTTGTTCGTTTGTTTGTTTGTTTTTGAGACAAAGTCTTGTTCTGTTGCCCAGGCTGGAGTGTAGTGGCATGATCTCAGGCTCACTGCAACCTCCGCCTCCCAGGTTCAAGCGACTCTCCTGCCTCGACCTCCCCTGGTATTACAGGCGTGTGTGACCATGCCTGGCTAATTTTTAAAATATTTTTAGTAGAGATGGGGTTTCACCATGTTGGCCAGGCTGGTGTCGAACTCCTGACCTCAGATGATCCACCTGCTTCAGCCTCCCAAAGTGCTGGGACTACAGGAGTAAGCCACCATGCCCGGCCAGATCTTTCTTATAATGTAAGCTTCAAGTCGAGGAGAGAACTAAATGGAATTTCCCAACATGAAGGTGGAAGGAAGAGACAGGTTCCAATGCCAGGTTTAGAAGTGTCTTCTGAGATGTTAACTGAATTTTGCGGCAGACTGTTGGTGCATCCTCTGTATCAGGGAGTCTGCAAACTATAGCCAAACCCAGTACGCGGTCTGCTTTTATAAATACAGTTTTGTTGGAGACAACTGTGCTTGTTTGTTGTTGTATTGTCTATGGCTGATTTCATGCTACCACAAGAGAGCTGAGTAGTTACAGCAGAGGCTGTGTGGCCTACAATCTGGCCCTTTACAGAAAAGGTTTGCCAACCTCTGCCCTATATCTCCTTGGCCCACCTAAAGGTTATCTGTAGGCAGTTTCCATGCATGCCAAAGGCCATTCTATCACTCTGCCCAGCTGCAGAAAAGCCCCAGACCTCGTGTGGAGCAGGCCACAGGTGATAGGGCATCAGTGCCCTAGGGCCACCCTCTCCTGAGGAGAAATGGGATGGAGAGCTGGTAGACGGATAGCTCAGCTTCCTCACCTCCTGCTTGGGACAATTTGAAGATGTTCCACCCGCTCTCTTGAAGGGTCCCCAGTGGGATGGAGCCCCAGCTGCTCACAGTGGTGGCCACCTCATTAATGCCCCCTGCGTGGACACATCCATTCCCCATCTCATGCCTCCTCTTTCTCCAGTCAGGAGACAGAAACCATACCAGTGGTTTTAACAGAGAGAATTTAATACAAAGTACCATACAATTAGTATAATGAATTGTTACCTAGTTAATTCAAAAAGCAAAAGAAAACACAAGAATCACATGGACCAAAAAGTCCAACATTTGTGGGAGTGGGGGGCTCACGCAATGAAGATGCCCTCCTGGCTCGGGCAGGATCCTAAGGCATCCGTGGCACCCCAGCCTGCCTTACCCACCCACAGTGCCCGGAAGTGGAGCACAAGTGCACGTGTTAGGACCTGAAAGATGGGGAGTTAAGACCTGGCAGAGTGAAGCCAGAGGAAGCTCAGGTGGAGGTCTGTAGTGGTCCCAATGTGCAAATCAGTCATCTGACTTGGGTACAGGTGCATGAGGCCAAAAGATTAGAGAAACCACCCAGCAGCTGGTTCATGCCAAGATTTCCCTCAGGACCACTGGCACTCTCTCAAGGAAACCCATGCAGATTTTTTCTTGTAAAACCAACGCTTACAGTCTTTAGGGAGAAGCCCAGCGGGTGGTATGGCGCTGGTTATGGAATACAAGTGCCTAGTGGGCCACTTCTTGTCAGCAGACCTTCAAGAAGCAGCTAGCTACCACCTAAGAGGAGAGGTTGGAATTAATACAACTTGGAAGTCTCAGAGGTGGGAGTGTGCTGGGACCCAGACCAAGGAGGGGCATCAGCAGGCTAGTGCAGGTATCTCTGCAGAGACTGCGATGAGGCTGGTCCTGCAAATGCTGGGAAAATGGAGAACTGGACTCAGCTGCTGCTACAGGAAGGAACTGCCACTGCCAGGGTGAAGAAGCTGTCTCAGTCCATTTGGGCTGCTGTAACAGAATGTCATAGACTGGGTACCTTATAAACAACACAAATTTATTTCTCACTCTTCTGGAGGCTGGGGGATCCAAGATCAAGGTGCCAGCAAATTCAGCGTCTGGCAAAGGCCCACTTCCTGGTTCATAGATGGCACCTCCTCACTCCGAACTCACATGCTAGAAGGGATGAGGGGGTCTCTAAGGTCTCTTTCATAAGGGCACTAATCTGGTTCATGAGGGCTCTGCCCTATGACCTAATCACCTCCCAAAGGCCCCACTTCCTAATACCTTCACCTTGGGGTAAGGCCTTCAACATATGAATTTGCAAGGGACATAAACATTCAGACCACAGAAGGATTGCTGGGGTGGTGTGGACAAGAGCAGAAAGCAAACAAAAGCCAGCGAGTGCCTTCTTCCTCCTCCAGACTTTCAGTCTTCCCCCAGCTCCCCTCTAACAGCACCTCCCAGGGAGCAGCTGGCTAAGCAGGACCTGGCTGCAGAGTCCCAGCCCCAGCATCACTGGGTAGAGAGGGGCAGGTTTGAAGCAAGAGACAGGAGCTTACTATCCTTCCTGCGACACCACCCTAACAAACCGCCTGCACCCAAGACCTTTCTCCGGGTCTGCTTTGGGGGACAACCCAACTTCATCCAAACCTCCTTATCTGTTGATACCTAACCTTATTACTTAGCAGTTATCTTTGGGGTTACAAGCAAAGAAAACCAACTCTAACTAGCGAAAACAAGTAAGCAGTATGTCAAAAACATGTGGTGTAGCCCTCAGGCCTGAAGAACCAGCCAACACCATCCTAGAAAAAAGACAGTGATTGGAGCAAGGCTGGGGACCCGGAAACACAGCAAGGATTGGCAGGCAACCTTGCCGGGGTCTCAGGCGGCAAGTGCCAGCACCTGCAGCCTGCGCTATACTGGACTCAGATTTCTAATTTCATTGAGGGTGAATCTGATTGGGCTGGTCCGGGTCACTGGCCCACCCTGAGGCCAGAGGAAGGCAGAATATCTTGATACATTAGGGTTGTATCCAGTGTGGGAGGAGCGGCTACTCAATACAAAATCAGGGCTGTCACCTGAGGGACGGGAGGTAGGAGTGGCAGATGTTAGTCTGCTGTCTCAGGTTGGGTCCTCCAGAAGGCAACCCTGAGACAAGGAGTGAAGGGCAAGTCATTTATGTGAAAGGAAGCATCTATATCTTGAGAAGGAAAGTGAGACACGAAAAGGAGGAGGCCAATACCGGAGGCACTGATCAGTGCATTTCTTCACAGGCATCTGAGGCTCAAACCCACTGGGGAGCTCCAAGAGACTATGTAGAATATGCCTAAAAGTTACCCTAACAGCAGAGTGAGAGGGCTGGGGAAGAGACCTGCTCCTCCAGGTCCCGTCCACCCTTGATTGAGGGCTGCTCCCGGGAGCATGAACTCCCCAGGACAACCAATCTGCCCAGGTATGGACCAAGCATGTGCCTGTGGCCACAGGAAACTCTAAGGCAGAGTCGCACACGCCTGCCGCGAGAAGCTGGAGTGCGGTGAGACTTGGGGGATCTGGCGAGACACCCTGGGTGGCTGATACAACAGCAGTGACGGGTCACTGACTCAAGTGCTGGGAAGATGAGTGGGGCAGGGGCTACCACACAGCTGCTGTATGGAGCAGGCACTCTGGGAGAGTCTTGCTCCCAACAGACCCAAAGCTGCCTCAGGGAAGAGGAGACCGAGGCCCTGCATGGATGCTGTCGGGACCCTGCATGGATGCTGTCGGGACCCTGCATGGATGCTGTCGGGAGGCCTGCTCTGACTCCATGTTACTAACAAGAAACTCTTTATGAAACCAAAGATTTCGTGCGTGTTTCAGGACCCTGGGGAGAGAGAAAGCCCAGAAATGAACCCATTCTGCAGCTCTACAGAAGAAAACAGAACTAGATTGGGAAACAGAACTAGATTGGGACAGTGGAGTGTCAAGAAAATGAGCAAGTGAGTCAAATCCCTGGGACCCTTGCACAGTCAGAGCCCAACTAGGCTCTAAAGCGTGCACTGCAGCCAGCCCTGCATTTCACAGTATGGGCTCAACCTTCAGGCTGAGGTGCACCTGCCAGGAAATGGTGCTTACCTGGTCCCTGCCTCCCACCCTCACCTCACCTCCTTCCATTGTCCCCCTGCAGTCCCCTTTATGTCTCCTTGAACAGGCCGAGTTCACTCCTGCCCCAGGGCCTTTACACTTGCAGCTCTCTCTGCCTGAAATGCTCTACCCTCAGCTCTGTATGTGATATACCCCATGTTGTCATTCAGGTCCCACATCACCCCTTCACAGGGTCTTCCCTTACCACCCAATCCAAACTAGACCCCCAGTCATTCTAGCAGGTCACGCTAGTTGAGTCCCTTCATGGTAGAGTCTCTGACTTTCTCTTCGCTACCCGCTTGCATGGCGTTTCCTTCCTCCCCCACTAGAACATCACATCTGTGAGAGCAGGACCACGTCCCACTGTTCCTTGCTGTCTCCCAGTGACCAGGACCATGCCTGGCACAGAACAGATCCCAATCCATTTTTCTTGACTGATTGAATATAATATAAAAATGACCTTTCTTTCTAAAGCAATACCCCCTGCCTTTTAAAATAATATAAACTGAACACATAGTTCAGAAAATAAAAAGACCCAAGGAGGAAAAGAAAGGCTTTGCAGTGGCTGTTGAAGCTGAAGATAATAGACACACAGGCCCAAAGCCTAGTACATCCTGGGCTCCAGCTAATGGTTTCTATCATTCTCCCTTAAGCTTTTAAGTTATAAATATTTCAAAACTCAGTGGAATGGGTTCCCCATTCATCTTTTAGAAAAAACAACAAAAGCCTAATTCTTTCTTGAAATCCAAACCTCAAATGAATTTGGAACAAGATTGTTTCAAGCTCTAAATAGAAAGGAAAGGTGACTCCATTTAGTATTATATTATTTGTAACCAAGAAATAACAGAATGTAATTTGTGACTCTGTCAATTTCCTCTAATAATGTGTAGTTGTCTCACCAGATGCTTTTTGTAGGCCGATACTATAACCCATTTAAACACATTTACTCAGCTCCCTTAATGTACTTTGGTGAAGCTACACAGGGAAGGAGACTTTTTTTAATTGGCATAACTTATTTTTGGACTGTGAGTACAAAGATAGATACTGGAGGGCAACATAGACATTTGTGTAAAGATTCTGGTTTTGAGTAATTTCTGTGTTTTAGGATGTGACACAGTAAGTACCTGTGTGCATGTGTGTGTGTGCACACGCAAGATCATGCACACTCACATGGCCACTGCTATATTATGGTAATTGAGAGCATTGAGAAGTCTGAAAAATCGCCCCTTAATGGCACAGCACACTGTCAGGCACATAGTACATGTTCAATAAATGCTTGCTGGACTAATTAACTCACTTCTAAACAAGGAACTTACACAGTGACACTTCACCTTGCTTCTTGAAACCTGACCTAGGTTGCAATCTCTGAGTGAGAAAATTTTAAGTATCTCATACTAAGTACATTTGGTACCCATATGGTGGCAGATGACACTGGTGCACTGCCTATGACCCCTTGACCCTTAGTACTTCCTTGTATTTCCAGGCCTGACTTCCAAATGCCAGCACCTAGACATCTTTGCCTGAGAGCTTTCTTGGCCCCCAGAGAGCACACCTCCCACTGACTGCCAGGAGCTGGAGGATTAATACCCCAGCTCCCTCACCCCTCAGGGAGGCTGACTCTGAGGCACGTGATCTATGCTGTCTGCCAGAGCTCCTCAGTGGCCCCTGGTGTGAGCTGATTTGGTGGTAACGTCCTCCTTATTGGTTCCCTTCTCTTCCCTGCCTTCTCCACTCTCCTACTTGTGCATCCTAAATTCATCTTCCAATGAAACTTCGCATTCTCTGCTTTGGGATCAGCTTCTGGGGGAATCCACATTAAGAGAGATGCCTTTAATAATTTCATCTCTAGCAAAACACTCATCCACATAAGCACACACTTGTGCTTGAAATGGAATGAAGATGAGCCGATGTCATCAACCAGCATGTTTCTGTGTGAAATCCAGATGCTATCTGAGTCTCTAACGAGACTTATGAACCAGGATGAAGAGCATGTCTCTTTCCTAAATGAGGACGGTATGGTGGCCATTTAACAGAGCATCCCTGTCCTCATGAAGCTGACCCACCTACATTCCCAAGGTCCCTATTAATTAGACAAAGGATGTGCAAGCAAAGAAAACATTTTAATGAAGGCTTCGTTGGCAATGCCAGATGGGTCAACTATGGTCTAATCCAAACAGGAACCCTCACCCTTTTATCATTTGCTCTAAAATATCAAAGCATTACCCCTACAGTGGCCCCAAATACATTTTATCCCATCAAGCCTGGGCATTTTAAGAGCTCTTCTCTCCTGATTTCTTCTTGTCTGACTTTGTCTTTCCAATCATGGTCTCCACGATCACAGCGGTTTCTTCATATGTCTGAATGCTCTCCGTGGAAATCTTCTCGATAGATTCCACCACTTCCACTGTCTTATAGGCCAAAGCCTTGGGAGGGCCTTTTTCTGGCAGGCTTCTGCTCCTAGTCCCAAGCACCTCAGCTCCATCCTGATCAGCCGCAGGCTTTGGAGGCTCAGGTATAGATGGTTCCTCTGCACCGGGTGTGACCATGGCACAGGGTCTCCTGGACTCTTCGTCCCGCTCCTCACCCTCACGTTTCTCTTCAGGGCCTTCCAGCTCTGCACCATCTGGCTCAATCTCCTTGTCTATAGGCTGCTGGTCAATTGGTTGTCCATCTTCTTTCTCCTGCAGACCCACCTGCCCATTCTCTAAAGGGGGCTTGGGTGACTCAGGAGAGGGCTCCACCTGGCCGTCATAAAGCACAGAGTCTTCCGCAACAGAAACAGCCACCCCACCTTTAGCTGTGATGGAGGAGACATAGAATCTAGGGTCCACGTAATTGGCATCCCCTGTGACCAGCACGTGCCGCTCTTTGGTGTAGAGCTCAGTGGGGGTCTCAGGCTCTTTGGGGCTTCTCACTTTCTCCTTGACCTTCCTGTATAGTTTCCCAAAGCCTTTGCTTATCTGCCCTCCATCTGGCACATCCTCTGGAGCCCCTTCTTGTGTCAGGGGACTTACTTCTTTACTTTCTGATTCAAACTTAGATTCACTTTCCTCTTTAAGTACCACCTGTACCAGCTTTGTGTCTTCCAAACCTTTTAATGGTGCATCTTCCAGAGCTCCGTTGGTTTTGTCTTTTGTTATAATCTCTTTTCTCCTTGGAACATTCTTGGGGAGGGCTTTTTGTCTTGGTTTTGCTGCTGTTATATCCTGCAGAGCTCTGGTAAGATCTGGAAAAACACACAGGCAGAAATTCAAGTATAATTGTCACTGAGAGAGAAAGAAAATACGCTGGTTGGAAAATAGGCTAACTCTCTCGGAAACAAACGCCTATAGTACTAGGGTGGGGCTTCCTTCATCTGGAGCAGAAGCAATGGAAGAAAGGCCCTGGCTTTGTTGCTCCATGGCCCAGGCTGAGGTCCAGCTGGGCGACTCTGGACAAGTCACTGGATGCCTTTGGGCTTCCAGAGGGAAGGTGCTCCCTGTTCTGACACCCACAGTTCACCACCACACCAGGCAGAACCTACCAAGGTATGCAAGGCCATTGTCCTGACACTCAATGGGAGCCCTAGCCCCTGTTCCCACTGCAGCCCCACTGAGCTCACAGCAGACACTTGGATCCACAGAAGCCCATTCCTCAAAGTTATTCTCTCCTCTGACTTCCTCAAAGGAGAGACGACAGAGCTACCTGGGGGCTTCTGACATGCTCAGATGGCCTTGGGCCTGGAGATGGAACCCGTTCACGGTGGATCTACCTCATTCCATAATTAGCTCAAGCTAGATAAATGCCACCCGGCTGTGATCAGCCTCCCCTTCCTCCCAGGCCAAGAGAAGAAGCGATGCTATGAAATTCAGAAATGACAGGAATCCCCTGCCCCAAGTCCACCCTCCTGCTTCCAGACTAGCTGAAAGGAAAAACTAAAAGTTGAAGAAAACACATAAAATTCTCACCTGGTATAATCTATGAGGCTTCCCGGCTCCACCCACATAGTGAATTTTGAACTTTTTCAGCCCAAAAGTCATCCCCTGCATCCCTTCCCACTGGTAACCACAGGGCAAGACCGATCAAGCACCGGCATCAAGCACGGCTGATTCACAATAAAAAGAGAGCCAGGTGAGCCGGCAACAGCAGACATGGGTCACAAAGCCACAGGTGCAAGGGATGCAGAGAGGGACAGGGCACAGGAAAACTGCTGGGAACTGGTATGCGAGGAGGAGGTGCTTACAGGACTGCACAGAATCTCAGGGCCCAGTGCCAAAAAAACCCACAAGACCCCTTGTTCCAAATTATTAAGAACTTCAGAACAGCATTAGCAGAGCATTCAGCCAAGCTGGGACCGTTCTGAGAGCAAGCCCCTGCAGGGCCGCTCGTCTGCAGACCTGGCCCTGGGCGTCCAGCTGCAAGGCTGTTCCCTTTCCAACCATGTTGACTCTGGAACACCATTTCCACAAAGCCCTCTGAGCTATCTGGAAATAAGGATTTCAAGGCCCTATATGCATGAGCATCCATATTACCACCTTCTCTTTTCTCCCCAAATGCTGCGCTTGTTCAGAACTGGGAGATTTCGATGTGAGGTGAGGTCTTACAGACCAAATGTTGAAGGCAGATGCCACATTTACCAGCCAAGCTGTTTCTGCCTGGTTTGAGGGAGGGGAGAATGAGAGATGACTGAGCAGCCACTCTGCACTGGACACCATGTTACACGCGTTGGCACAAACCCTTTGATTCAATGTGGGGAGGCGGTGGGATGTGATCCAGTGTTCACTTACTGCCGAGCGGAGGGAGCAAGAAGTGAATATTGAGTTGTACTTTTTGCCCAATTAAATGCCTTGTGTTGCAAAAGTTATTGCTGTCAAACCATAAAACAAATATAAAAATACAAAATAAATGCCTCACATTAGGGATGGCATGCCCAAGGTAGCCTAGCCCCCTAGTCGATTTTTCTCCTTATAAACTTCTCAGCTCAGTCACTTAGCAAGCCAGAGAGGGCAGAGGGTGGGAAGGAGTCCTCCTTCACATAAAAGCATTTAATTTCCAGATGGATCTGAAGCAAGCATGAATGTTAAAGTCAGGAAGAGAGCCGCTTGGTTTTTTTCAAGACAGAAAAAAACAGAAGTCCAGTGTTGGGGAGCGTTACCTTTCCCACCGGATCCAGTGCTGAGAGAGACTCCATGGCTCTGGGTGAACAGGGGAATGGGAGTTTCAATGAAGGCAGAGGTCAGCCTGGCAGAAAGAACCAGAAAGAACAAGCCAAACAGAGGTCAGGGGCAAGAGCGACTCTCGTTAATGTTGAGCAAAAATGAAAAAAAAGCTTTCTCTAGACCAAATTGCTCACGAATTAGATATCATTTTAAACAGACAGCCATACACACATTTACATACTGGATGAGGACATAAAGGAAGTGATCATTTCTTTGAGCTCAAGAGTCATAAACTGTGAAACATACCTATAAAAAATTGTAAAGTGGGGATTGCTTATAACCTAAAAATGCCACTTCTCCATGAGACAGTGCCTTTTTTATTTTTTTGCCTTTTGTTTTTTTGCCTTTTTGATTTTTTTAGTTAGAGTAGTCAACCCAGGCTGAAGTATTTAGGGCAAACAGAGTATGATATCTCCAACTTAAGATATATGTATATATACGTGTATGTATATATATATACACACACACACGTATATATACGTGTGTATATATATATACACGTATATATACGTATATATATACACACACGTATGTATATATGTGTGTATATATGTATATGTGTGTGTATATGTATATATACGTATATATATACGTGTATATATATACGTATATATACATATACACACACATATATACATATATACATATATCTACTCATATATACGTATATACATATATACATATACATGTACACACACACATCATATATAAATAGAGAAAAAATGATAAAGCAATTGAGATAAAATATAAACAACTGGTGAATCTGGAGTATTCAGGAGTTCCTTGTTCTATTCTTGCAACATTTCTATCAATTTAAAATTAGACCAAAATCAGAACTTATAGATAAATAAAAGAGGTATCCAGTCACCTTTCTGTGAAGCCCTGTCCCAAAACAAAAATGTTTACAAAGTCACCGAAATGCCAGCTCCAGACTTATTCTTGCAGATGTGTGCATAGTGTTCACTGTGACATAAATATAATGTGGAATCATGCCAGATACACCGACCAGCACTGGAGAAAGAAAAATAAAATCCTGCTTCTCCTGCCAAGCATTCGAGTGCTCACAGCCAAGAGAGAGCACCCAGCGCGAAGGGAAGAGCTGCTCCTGGTGGGGACCTCAGTTGTGGGGGGCTTCTCTTTTCATTCAGTCGAAACCCAGGAATTTAGCAAGACTGAAGTGAAGAATCACAAATTAATTCCCAACCCGTTCTCTGGAAATCACCGTAGCTATGAATACCAGCATAGCTGGAGAGAAAGAGAGAATTTCCCAGCTTTCTTAAAGTGAGTAGGGATCGACTCACAGCTCCATTATGGAGAAGACCAGACAGCCACATAGTCACAGCCACAGACTGACTCAGCAAGGTGCTAAGAATTGTGAGGATGGCAGCAGGAGCATCACCAACACCTCTGAGTGCCCTCAAGTGCCAGGCTCCGTGCCACGTAGCTCACCTGCAGCACCTCATTAAATACTCCTGGGCATCCCACCTGCTGGGACACTTATGTCCCCAGAGGCCTATGAGCAAAACACAGGCTTCTCAGTGAGGCCTTTTCTGACCACCCTACTTAAAACTGCAAGCATTCCCCCATCACCCCTATTGCCACCACCCTCCTCCCTGCGGGAACTTCCTCCTCAGCACTGGTCGTACCTTCATCCTCTGTCTCCCCTACTAGTTATCCAACACCCATGGGGTCAGGAATTGTTCTGTTTCCTTCCCTGACACATGCCCACTGCCTATAACTGTGCCTGGCACACAATAGGCACTCAATAAAGAGTTGTGGAAGGAATAAGTGGCCTGGATGGGGAGGGCACACGCTCACCTGTTGCCTTCAATCTCGATGATACGATGATACCGGTCCAGCTCATTCTTCAGGGTTTGCTGGGCGACCGCCAGCTGCCGGCAGTCGTAAGAAGACTTCTCCAGGACCCGCTCTGTCTCCTCAATCTCCTTGCGCAGTGTCTCAATCTGCTCGTTATAAAGCTGAATCTCATCGTCATAACACTCATGGGCACTTTTAATAGCTTGTTCCAGAGTTGTTGTCTGTGGGCAAGGACACGCTGTAAGAAAATCCATCCCCCTTCTTCTCTAAGAGACAGACCTCACCAGGAAAAGGAACCTGGACTCGGTGAATGTTTTATGTTGTTTGTGTGTTTCTCTGTCCATTCGAGATTAGCAATGAATCACTTTGGAATCCTTAAGCTAAAAAGCAATGTGAAAACTGAGCTCCTGTGTCCTTACACAATTTTTTTTTTTTTTTTTTTTGATAGAGGATCTCACTTTGTCACCAGGCTGGAATGCAGGAGTGCAATCTCGGCTCACTGCATCCTCGACCTCCCAGGCTAAAGGCTTCCACCTCAGCCTCCTGAGTAGCTGTGACTACAGGCAAGCACCAACATGCTGGGCTTTTTTTTTTTTTTTTTTTTTTTGGTAGTGATAGGGTCCCACTTCGTTGCCCAGGCTGGTTTCAAACTCCTGGCTTCAAGTGATCCTCCCACCTCAGCCTCCCAAAGTGCTGGAATTACAGGTGCGAGTCACCGCACCCAGCCCTTCTTGCACTAATATCAGCACCCTCTGCAATTAGTCCATAAGGAGGCCCACCCCAAAGGCAGTCTGAAGACAAACCTAGAAAATAAAACGAAACCTAGGCCAGGTGGCTCACACTTGTAATCCCAGAACTTTGGGAGGCCGAGGCTAGCAGATCACTTGAGGTCAGGAGTTTGAGACCAGCCTGGCCAACATAGTGAAACCCCATCTCTACTAAAAATACAAAAATTAGCTGGGAGTGGTGGCACACGCCATAATCCCAGATACTTGGGAGGCTGAGGCAGGAGAATCACTTGAACCTGGGAGGCAGAGGCTGCAGTGAGCCAAGACCACACCATTGCACTCCAGCCTGGGCAACAGAGCAAGACTCTGTCTAAAAGAAAAAGAAAAAAAACTTGCTATCGGTGGAATAATATGTATAATTCAAATAAAGTACATTCTTCAGACTTTAATGAACAAGCATAAATCTGATAGCAAAAAAATAAGTAAAAAGAAGCACATACTAAATAGATAAGATGCTACCTTTATTGAAATACTGAGTGGGAGAAAAGTTTCCTTGTTCTCATTCAGCTTTGATTTTCTCCCGAGTTTGGATCGGCAGAGTTACATTTATGTTTTGGTAGCTAAGGTGTATGTGTGTGCCCTTGTGTACACATAAAATAATGTCAGAGAAATACAGTACATTAATCAGAGCAAGTAAAAATTAAGGGAGGAAAACAGAAAGAGATAGTTTTATATTCAGTGTAAGAGGTTGTGATGATACACAAAGACCCACAAATGCTCAGTCATGGGCCACATAACAGTACTGCAGTCAACAATGGACTGCATATAGGATGGTGGTCCCATAAGAGTACAATGGAGCTGGACAATTCCTGTCGCCTTGTGACAACCGCAGCCATCCTAGGGCCGTGGAGCCATACGTTCACTCACATGTCTGTGAGGACGCCGGCGTAAACAGACTGTGCTGCCAGTTGCATAAAAAAAAGTCTAGCACATGCAATTATGTACAACACATAATACTTGATGATGATAATAAACAACTATGTTACTGGTTTATGTATTTACGATACTACACTTTTTCTCATTATTTTGGCGTGTAGTCCCACTTTTAACGAGATGTTTCTGGTAAGACAGTGACGCCGCATTACCCCAGCCGCAGCCTCCTACAGCTCACGTTTCCCACAGCTCTTGATTGCAATATTTTCTCTTGTGCTTGATCAAGTGTTATTAAAAAAGAGTCAAGAAGCTTAAAAAAAATTTAAACTTTATAAAGTAGAGGCCGAGATATCATGATTCTTTTCCAATCTCATTCTTGAGTAGGAAAGAATTTGACACGCATGGTCCTCAAAAACAAAACAAAACAAACAAAACCTCACTTCTACCTAGCGCAGCCCTTCTGGAAGCCAGGGTGCACTGGAACCACCTGAGGGTGTTAAGAGTCTGACTCAGCAGGGATGGGGGGCCGGAGACTCCGCCTTGCTCACCAGTTCCCACGTGATGTTGATGCTGCCGGTCCATGGGCCACACTTCGAGTCACAAGGGGCAAGACACACATCTATATTCAACTTCATGTATGTCCACTGCAGGCATTTCCTACATCCAGACCTAAATGTACCTACTGGACACCCTGGAAGATGATCATTGCCATCAAAACCCAATTCTTCACTTATACACTTTATGCCCTTGGATCATGAAATTCCTTAAGTGAAAATGTAGCTTTCAAAGGTGTTCGGCAAATGGCCGGGTGTGGTGGCTCACACCTGTAATCCCAGCACTTAAGGAGGCCAAGGCGGGCAGATCACTTGAGGTCAGGAGTTCAAGACCAGCCTGGCCAACATGGTGAAACACCATCTCTACTAAAAATACAAAAATTAGCTGGGCGTGGTGGCTGGTGCCTGTAATCCCAGCTACTCTGGAGGCTGAGGCACCTGAACCCGGGAGGTGGAGTTTGCAGTGAGCCGAGATCATGCCACTGCACCCCAGACTGGGTGACAGAGCACCCCAGACTGGGTGACAGAGCACCCCAGACTGGGTGACAGAGCGAGACTCTGTCAAAAAAAAAAAAAAAAGCAGGTGTTCAGCCATAGATCTGTTGCATTAGAAGGGAGGAGGAAGGGAAGAAAAGGTACGTGTGCTAAGCACTTTGGGGAGATGTCTGTCCAGTCCACGTTGTCCCTGTGTCTGATGTCAGCCCCACCCATCCAAAGGCACGGTCCCAGCAACAAGATGACCCCACTCTCCTGTGCAGAGTTATAGGACCAGGGGTGGGCCTGACCTAGGCTGGCCTGTCACATGCCTTCTCTCCTGGGAATCTGGAAAGGGGTCTCAGAAATCGCAGAGTTGGTGGGAGGTTCTAGACAACAGGGACACATGAACGGGTCTGAGGCTGCCGCTCTGGAGTGGCGAGCTTTCATGTGCATGGCAAAGTTGAGAAAGGTAATTATTTGGAGAGGAAAAGAAATGAAGCCGAAAGGCAAAGACAAACAGAAATTAGGGAGCCATGGCAAGAGAAGGAAGAGATGGAAAAGGAGACGGAGAGCGGCTGCCTCAGCTCCCAGTTCCTGGTTCCTGATTCCTGATGCACACCTGCTCTCAGATTTCATGCCCTGCCTTTTATACCCTGCTCCTTTGGAAAAAAAAAAAAATAGTACCTTTCCGGTGGAGAAAACTGGCAGACAGCACCTTAACCAAGTGATCAGAGTTATTGTCACCTGTATGAGGACACAGCCACATAACGAAATACTCAGGACACAGCGTCACTCCATGGGGGTCTTGCCAAGAATGCAGAACCTCCATCTAATCCTGAGAAAACATCAGGGAAACCCAAAAGGAGAGACATGCCACAAAGCCACTGGTCTGGGTTCTTCCAAAGCATCACGGTCATGGAAGACAGAGAAAGACTGGGGACCATCCCAGTATGGGGGAGACAATCAAGACATGACACCTAAATGTGAGTAGGATCTCGACCAGGAAAAAACACGCGTGGAGCAACTGGTGAGATTTTAGTGCAGTCTATTAATGCGACAGGATCACTGTTAATTTCCAGGTTTTTATCATCGGCCCGTGGTTTTGTGGAAGTTGGGTGAGGGGTATATATTGGAAGCTACTGTGCTGTTTTTGCAACTTTTCAAAAATCTAAAATTACTTCTGAATAAAACAAGAGTCCCCTTCCTGTTTCAGCTAGTGTGATCCAGTTTCTGTTTCTCCCAAGAAATCTGGATTCAAACAGTCGCCTGTAATAGCAAATACAAGTCAGACACACTAACGCCTGGTGCAGCCACATCTCACCCACACCAGAGTGTTCAGACACTCCAGGAAACACTTTCAAGGAATATGGGGATTGAAAAGACCCCTTTGAGCCCCAAATCTCAAAGAAGTGTTGGAATTACATGGTGAGGGAAGTGTGTGGGGCTGTAGAGAACATAGAGGGGCCATGTGTTGAGGGATGGGGCGGGAGGGCTCATGAGACAGACTATTCTCACTTTTAATTTTTGAGACAGGCAGGGTCTCACTCTATTGCCCAGGCTGGAGTGCAGTGCTGCCATCAGGACTCCCTGAAGCCTCCACATCCTGGGCTCAAGTGGTCCCCACACCTTTGTCTCCTCAGTAGCTGAGACCACAGGTGAATGCCACCATGCCCAGCCAATTAAAAAAAAATTTTTTTTTGTAGAGACAAGGTCTAATTATGTTGCCTAGGCTGGTCTTGAACTTCTGGGCTGAAGTGATCCTCCCACCTTGGCCTCCCAAAGTACTAGGATTACAGGCGTGAGCCATAGCACCTATAATCTCTCACTTTTCTATGTTTGAAATCTTCCATAATAAAGAGTAAAAGAAAAAATTACATATGAAGAGAATGTACCCCAGATCACTGACCCAAGAGCTCTGGGGTGGCCGTTCCTTTTGGGTGTGGGTTCCCCAGCCCAGAGCGGGGGTAGTGGCTCATGCTGATAAGTCCTAAGCTGGGTCAACTCATCAACCTCACAACAACCTTATCAGGGAAGGGCTGTCATTATTTCCACTTTACAGATGAGGAAACTGGGGCACACTGGCAAAGTGGCTTGCCCATAAATACCACAGCAGGATTCGAATCTACCTGAACAAGGTCTGAAACACCTCCCAGAACCAGGCCACCCTTGCCCTGCACCTCAGCCTCCTCCCTGCTGCAGGCAACAATATGCAAGCACACACGTGCGTGCACACACACACACTCTGTCTCCAGGGCCCCTGCAAACTCCCCATTCCCACACAGCAACAGGCCAACACCAGCCTGTTCTCTCTGAAGACATGGGAAAGTCAGTGTGAGCCATGCAGAGACCTCTCCTTGCAGGTTTTCACTTAGCAAAGTTTTAAACTGTAAATAGAACCACAAAGCATCACAGAATGGGAAATGAGAGCCCAGGAAAGTCACCTGTGATCTTTCTACCCTACAAGTGGAGTGCAATCTTTTTATGTCTCAGGAAGTGGTGATTGTTGTTTTTGTGGTAGTGGTAGGGGGTGGAGGGATGGGGTGTTTTCTTGGGTGTGCATTTGTGTTTGTTTGAAGAAGGCTGCATGTTTTAAAGGCTGGAGATCCTCTGCTGGAACACTGCGGGAGGAGCTCCTGTCCTGGGCGCCCCCACAGCCCCCATCCCCCACATGACCATGAGGCCCAGAGCCCTCCAACTCCGTACTGGTCGCAGATGCTCTACGGGATTCTGCTGAGTCCAGTGAAGTGATGACTTGGTTTATAAAAGTGGACTGATGTCTATACCGATGTGGTTTTTACAGCTCCATAATTTAAACCTTTCATCAGAAGGAAGAGTGTTCAGGAAAACCAGTAAGAGCTCCTGTCTCAGGAGCTCAACAGGAATGGAGATGCCTGTGACGAGAGCCACTGTGGCACGGCGTCCACTGCCACCCAGCACCAGCCTGGCCGAGGAGAATGAGACACGGACCCTCCTCTAGAAGGCCGCAGTCCAGCAGGGGAGGCACGCCCAGGGCATCTCAGAGGAAGAAAGGGGCTTCCAGGAGGAGGCAGGACCGGTCCTGGGAACCGAGGAAGGAAAGGGACTTCCAGAAAGGAGAGAAGGAATGAGCAAAGGGGAGGTCCCAGAAACTGCAGGAGGGGTCAGGAGACGAAGAGAAGAGAGGTTGGCCCAGGGTTCCTCCAACGGTGGGGCCATGTGGCAACCTGAACTTTATCCGGAGCCAGGTGACTGCTGTTTCTGCCTGGACCGTTAGATTGCCTGGTTTATATCTGTCTCCCCACTGGGCTGTGAGCCGCTGAGGGCACGACACAGGCAGGAGCCTGACGCGAGCCCCATCTGGAGGGGTGAGCTCTCACCTCAGTCCTTAGGACCCCAGACACCTTTAGGTGTAAGGTTTTTTTTTTGTTTTTGTTTTTGTTTTTGTTTTGTCTTAAAAAAAAAAAAAAGGAAACTCATTACATACTGTCTTACACAAACTAAACCACTAGATGGTGCTAAGTGACTTTAATGAGAAATGAGACATGGGCGGTTCCCACTTTGCAATTTTAAAAAGTGACTTTCTTTACTTCCCTGTCACAGAAACTCTCAGTCCATGCAATTTAGGGAACTAGAATTACCTGTCCTTTCCTCTCCACCTGTCCGAAGTGCTTCCTCCGGGGCTCTTACGGGTATATGTGCACTTATTTGAAGGAGAGGCTTCCAGCTTCCAGCTCCAAGCCCAGGCACTATTCTCCCATCGTCCGCCCAGCGTCTCCCAGACTGAGCCCGCAGAGCCACGTGGAGGGCTTAAACAAGGCGCACCGGCCCGCCCCAGAGCTCCTGGGTCAGTGGTCTGGGGTGCCTGTGAATCTGCATTTCTGACAAGTTCCCAGGTGGTGCCCCCGCTGCTGGGACGGGGACCTCACCCTGACGACCCCTGCTGTGGAGAGTTCGGGAAGCTTCGGACGCCCTAACCATAGGCGGAACCCGCTGCCACGGCCCTGGTGCTAGCAGACGCTCTCTCTCGGCCCGCCCTCCACCGAGTTCCGGCCACAGAGCGGGCCCTGCCCGGCGGTGTGCGGCCACATCTTCCTTCAGCTCTAGCTTAGCTGCTACATTGGGAAGCCACTAAAACCTTTAAAACCAGCAAAAACCCAGCCACAAACATTTGAAATGAGGCCCAAGCCTGGGACACAGGGGGACCAGGTGGAACATTCGCCCACTCCCTGGGACCCGCCCTTACCCTGTGGTTCTCAGTGTGGCTCCTGGACCAGCCGCAGCACCATCACAGGGACACCTAGACATGCAGCATCCCGGGCCACACCCCAGACCCACTGAGTCAGGAGCTCCCGGGCGCACCCAGCCACGTCTGGGTTTTCATCAGAGCTAAGGAGGCAGAATTTTGGCCCCCGTGACCTTTTCCCCTTGGTGCTACACCCTTGAATATGTTACATGGCAAAAAGGGACTTTGCAGATATAATTAAAGTTCTTAATCAGTTACCCTTTTTTAAGGAAAGGAGTTTATTCAAGATTATCCCCTAAAAACAGAAGTCAGAGAAACGTGTAAGTCCAAGTCATTGAGATGAGACGCAGGAAGAGGGTTCAGAGTTCGCTGCCGGCTCCGAACGTGGAGGGGCCTGAAGCCAAGGAGCCTGGGCAGCCCTGACAGCCACTCCTGGCCAGCAGCCGGCAAAGAAACAGGGTCCTCACTCCTGCCAAGAACTTGAATGAGACTGGAAGCAAATTCTCCCCTAACAGCCTCTGGACAAGGGCCCAGGCTGGCCAACAT
This sequence comes from Homo sapiens, assembly GCF_000001405.40. Taxonomy (NCBI): domain Eukaryota; kingdom Metazoa; phylum Chordata; class Mammalia; order Primates; family Hominidae; genus Homo; species Homo sapiens. Next base: position 17,506,280 of record NC_000020.11, read on the forward strand.
CTTTCTTTCTACCTTTTGAGACCCAGAGCAGAGAAACCGATAGGACCCACCCAGACTTCCCACCTACACAACTGCGATGACACGGGTGCTGGTGGTGACTCATCAAGGCAGCAACAGAAAATGGACACAGCCGTGTTTCATCAGCTACATGCTATAGCTTGTTACTGAGTGAGTATAAGCACATCTGTCATTTTATTTAAAATGATTCAGTAATATTTTGATAACTGTTTTAATATAATTAGTTTCTTTTTTTTTTTTTTTGGAAACGGGGTCTCATTCTGTTGCCCAGGCTGGAGTGCAGTGGCTCAGTCTCAGCTCACTGCAGCCTCAACCTCTCCAGGCTCAGGCAGTCCTCCCATGTCAGCTTCCTAAGTAGCTGGAACCACAGGCACGCACCACCACGCCCAGCTAATTTTTGTATTTTTTGTAGAGGTGGGGTTTCGTCATGTGGCCCAGGCTGGTCTCAAATTCCTGGACTCGAGCAGTCCACTCACCTTGCCCTCCCAAAGTGCTGGCATTACAGGCGTGAGCCACCACACCCAGCCTGGTTTCCTTTAAATTATCTGTATTTTATTTTATGCCTTTACCATCATTTTTCTGAGAAGCGGTCTCCATCAGAATGCCACGGGTGGGAGTGGAGGAGGCAGCACAGAAGAGATGTTTGAGACCCTGCTTTAGAGACGAGGGCAGCAGGGAAAAGCCAGGAAGTCCTCCTGCAGCCACTCAGGACAGAAACAGGCGGCCAACCAGCGGTTTCATTTCATGTTCTCAGAAACCAGGTTAATCTGTTGTGAAATTTCTTATTTTGATATTCAACAAATACCTGTACATAAAGAGAGGAACATTCTTTTTGTCCTGGAACTGGAATTTGCCATCTAGGCTGGGCTCCTTCATCTTTCTCAGTATCTCTAGGGCAGTGGTTTTCAACTTTATCACCACCGCCCCAGGAAAAACCACATTTCTCATTGCGAGCCATACACATCAGATAGGTAGGTGTGTGTGTGTGTGTGTGTGTGTGTGTGTGTGTATTTCAACATATCCATATGGATATAGAGAGATAAAACAAGGGCTTCACAAAACAAATCCTCCCTTTCACTTGCTGTACACTCTGTTTTTCTTATTATATTTTAGTCTAGCATTTTGTTGACTTCCTTTTACATGCCAGTCAATTCTACTGAGTTCATTTTACATCCAAAAATGAGTTGTCACTAGCCATTTGGAAAACACTGGTCTCTAGGACCACGACTGGGCTTGTATCCACGTCCCTATTCACATACACAGCACACACACATACACATGACACACACACACCACACACACTTCACATACACATCCCACATATATCACACATACCATGTATATCACACACACACACCCCATGTACACAAACACATACAACCCTTATTCTATCCTGTCAGAGCCTCAGAAGAAACCACACAGGCCCCAGTCACCAGGATGAGGCACATGGTCCCTGAGCCAGGGTTTGTCTCACAAGAAGGAGGAGTTTTAAGTGCCTTACTTGGTTCCTCCTGCTGCGATCGTCAGTTCAGGGGACCACCACAGACCCGGGTTTGCTTTCCAGCAGCCCCTGAGAGCTGCTGCACTGTGAGTTTTGTGTGGTGCGTGCTGGGATGGGAATTAGGATGTGAACTCCAAGGTCCCAAAATGAAATCCTGAGCAGACATGGGGGCACTGGAAATCAATAAAAAGCGCTACATCTAGTTGTGGCTTCACATTTTTAGACAGAGTAACACATAACATCCAAATGGTCCAGGCTTTCTGAAGTGTCCGATTTTTACACGTTTTGCTCTCTTGTCCCCATGTGTACTTGTCAAACCAAATGTCAACTTACTTTTTGGTTTGGGAAATGTGGTTAGAGAGCCATACAAAGGTGCAGTATTTTAACCCAAGCGTCCCTGTGGAATGACCTGCTGTAGGGTAATGAGAAAGAGAGAGAACCGGAAGGAACAAAGAAGATGAGCCGGCAAGTAGCCAAGAAGGCACAGGCCACAGGACAGTTTGGGGCTTTTCTGTTTTGTTTTCAAATTAAGCTTCACCCAAAAGGGGTGGGGGTAGAAATGTGAGCTTTCCACCAACACGTTTCTAACTAGAAGCAAACACTGATACAACCACTCTTGCCGGGTTGTAATCAAATTCCGAAGGAGAACTGTTACCATGAGAAGGAAAACAGAAGCACAGATTTGAACAAGTGGAGGATAAAAATCCCTATGGTGTCCGTTTCTTCTTATTCTTACGAAGCTTGACCTGGGCAAAATGAATGCATGATGTAGACACTGGGGCAGCCTAAGCCTAAGACTCGGTGGGGAGGGCATGACTCGAAGGAGTCCCAAGGGGCACCTCTGAGGGGCCAGGAATGAGCGTGGCACCTGTGTCCCCCAGCTCAGGACTCTCCCTGTGTCCTGGAAAACTCCTCAGTCCAGGCCAGAGCAGAGCGCTTGGCCACCCACTCAGAAAACCCCGTTTCTGCCAGGAACATAGGATATGTTCAGCGTGTGACAGCTCCTCAAGCTGCATGCGTGTGCCTGCGCGTAACACCTCCATGAAACATGTGGGAAGCCCCAATGCACACGCGGCAGACTCGAGCGTACCTGTGCCTGCAGCTCCACTCTCTGCGCCTGCAGGTGGGAGAGCACCTCCCGGCCCTCCTCCAGCTGACTCCGCAGGGCGGCCACCTCCCGCTCCGTCAGGAGCTTCTCCTGCACAGAGAAGGCCAGAGTCAGACTCATGGGACATGCAGAGAGGAAAAGGGCAGAGAAGGTGCGGGGCCCTGGTATGGACGGAATATCCGTGTCCCCCTGAATTCTGTGTTGAAGCCCTAACTAACTCCCAAGATGAAGGTTTTAGGAGACCTTTGGAAGGTGTTAGGGTTAGATGAGGTCATGAGGATGGGGGGCCCCATCATGTGATTAGGGTCTTTGTAAGAACAAGAAGAGACACCAGAGCCCCCACCCCCACCCCCTGTCTGTCTGTCACGTGAGACACAGCAAGAAGGCAGCCGTCTTCAAGCCAGAAAGAGAGCCCTCACCAGACACCAATTCTGCTGGCATCTTGATCTTGGACTTCCAGCACCCAGGACAGTGAGAAGTAAATGTCTGCCTGTCGGCCCTCCCATCTGTAGTGTCCTGTTATAGTAGCCTGAGAAGACTAAGCCAGGCCCACAGCACAGCCATCAATGCCTTTTGCTTTGTCTTCAAAGTCTGAACCTCCTTGGGAGTGTGACATGCCGGGACCAAGTACCAGGAGACCAGAGCTTAGACCTGGCTGTGCCATGAACCTACTAAGAGACTCTAGAAAAGGATTTGACTCTCAAAGCCTCTGTTTTCCCTTCTGTGAAAGGGAAAACCTGGAATGCACACTCTCGAAGAAAATGAAGGCTGGTTGGAGCCGCGAGCCATACGCTGTGCTCGGATGTCAGCGCAGCACAAAGCAGGAGCCATCAGCCCCAGTGGGTGAAAGGGAAGTGACGCTCCAGGGAATGGCTAGAAGGAAATCCTCTGACCTCTCCACACTCTGCCAAGCAGGTCCCTCTCTCCTGACCTGCCTTTCCACGTCTATTCAAAAATATTCAAATTGTTTCACAAAGGCCTGACTGCTCAAGAGCCATGCATTCTGACACAGAGCACATTGACTCGAAGCCATGCAAAATCAAACACCAAGTCTACAATGAGGGTTTCTGTGTCCAGAGGCTGCATGGAAGACAGCCTCTGCTTCAAACACCTTACAAAGTGGCTGCAGCAATGACATAGACATACAGGAAAGTGACCGTCTAACTTGATTGTAGAATTGCTAAGCTAAGACTCATAAAGATGTGACACTTTCTCAATCGGTGCTTCTCTATCCTGAGCATGCACACGAGTCCCTGCGGATCTGGCTAAGATGCAGATTCTGCCTCAGTGGGTCTGAGGCTGGACTGGACACTCTGCACGTCTCACAAGCCCAGACGATGCTGATCGATGACATCAAAGTCAGTTTAGTGTCTGTATACTTATGACTTAGAAGGGTCTTATTACATGGGAATAGATGATACAATTCAAAAGGTATGCTCGGATGTAAAACACCTTTGAGTTAGAGTTGGGTTTGAAAAATAAAAGTAACATCTCTGGAAAGGAATCTCTGGGAAAGAAAATTAAGGCTTCAGGAAAAGTTTTTTTAGGCCTTTGTAGCAACATCAGTTACATCCACTAAGGAGAACAGGATCCTGAAATGGTAACTGGTGGGCAATTCAGACAAGACTATCCTCATGAATGCCAAAAAAAGTAACTTTCCTGTCGCTTAGATGATACTTTGCAGGGTTCAAAAGTGTCTTCTAAAGCAAATTTGGGGATTTCTTTAGCTTTGTATAAAATAATTAAGACGAAAAAGTTCAGGCAGCCGGTGACCCCAGCCCATGGGTTCTGCAGCAGTTTGTCTGCATGCTGGTCCTGGGCAGGCCCCACCTCCTGGGAAGCCCATTCATTGACTCGGAGCATGGCCTGAGCACACATCTAGGCAATTTCAAGTGTCACCAGGGTTGAGAGCCACCATCCTAGGTCATCCTTGCAAAAAGACCCAGAACCTTATCTCTTGACCAATCCACCAAACCCTGTAGTAGCCTACCACAACCTCTGAAGAAGGGACACTGTAACATTTTTATTTAATTTGCATCATTTCCAGTGTTTGTGGGGTTTTTTTGCTTCTTGTTTGTTTGTTTGTTTAGAGATGGGGTCTTGCTATGTTGTTCAGGCTGGTATTGAACTCCTAGCCTCAAATGATCCTCCCACCTCAGCCTCCTGAGTAGTTGGGATTACAAGCATGAGCCACCTCACTCAGCACCAGTCTATATATATATATATCATGCTATGCATCACAAAATTCCATAAACCATATTAGGAAAAGCGTTACTATCCCGTTGAGCAGCTAGAGAGTCAAATGAAGAAGGAATTTGGAACATAATATCAGAAGTAATTTTTCATATCCAAATCTTAATTTTTACAAATTGGCTTCAACAATCTCTATCCTTTCCCACTAGTTTCAATGCCACAGGCTCACATAATCATTAGCAGAGCTCCGTCTTGGAAATATATTCACTAATTATCTGAGATTATCTGTATTTGAAATTCATTATCAGATTGATAGGGAGAATAAGGAAACAAACCAATTTTTTAAATGGGCAAGAGGCTTGAGCAGATACTTCCACAAAGAAGCTATCCGGATGGCAGATGAGTGCACAAAAGGATGCTCGGCTTCCTTAGTCATTAGGGGATGCAAATTAAAACCACCACCATTAGAAGAGCAAAGACACACTACAAAGCTGACATACCAAGTGCTGGCAAGGACAGGAAGCCACAGAAACCCTCACGCATTGTGGGTGGAGATGCAACAATGGCACATCGCTTTGGAAAGCAGCTTGGTCATTTCTTATAAAGTATGCAAGGAAGAACAGCTCATAATTCTCAAGAGAAAATACCGAAGAAAATGGTCAAGGATGCGGTTTACATCCTCACATGTCTAAATATTGGCATTTACAGTACAAGTAAAATATCAGAAGAAGAAACTTCAGATGAGAATACAAGGCAGGAGTGGGGAGTGGACCCTGGTGGCCGCCCTCACAGTCCAACCTGTGAGCCCTTCCCTGGGAGTCTCCAGGTACAGCTTCCCTCCAGGGCTGGTTTGCCTTTTCCTGCTTCAATTCTTACCTCCCTCATCCCACTCGTCACAATGGATGCTGGAGGAGTGGTGTGGATGATCTGCTGCAGGATGCTGATATAGGTCTGAACTTCCAGAAGATTCTGTTGGGGGAGGGAAAACATTCTCATTATAAGTTGAGCTGCGCTGGTTTTTCCTTCTAGTACTAGATGAGAACAGGAATGGACACTTCCGCACGCTCCCTCATCACAGACAGGACAGACCATGACCAGGTTCAGGAGGAAGAAGAGACTGATGCATTTGCTGCCATGGGTGGGCCTGCCCACATGTGCACCATGCTCATTCCTGGCACCTCAGTCTCCTTTAATCTTCACAAGAACAACGGGGCCGATGAATAAACTAAGACTTGCCTTATTTCACTGTTTCTCTTCAGTTACATTGGTGCATTGGTCTTCACAAAGCCCTGGGTGGCGGAGGCACAAAAAAAAAAAGAGAAAAAAACCAGCCCTCACCAGACATGGTGGCTCACACCTGTACTCCCAGCACTTTGGGAGGCCAAGGCAGGTGGATTGCTTGAGCCCAGGAGTTGGAGACCAGCCTGGGCAACATAGTAAGATCCCATTTCTACAAAAAATGTTAAAATTAGCTATGTGTTGTGGTGTGCACCTGTGGTCCCAGCTACTTAGGAGGCTGAGGTAGAAGGATCACTTGAACCTGGGGGTGGGTGGAGGCTGCAGTGAGTTGTGATCACCCCACTGTACTCCAGCCTGAGTGATAGAATGAGACACCGTGTCAAAAATAAATAAGTTAAAAGGCCCTGGAGGGCACAAAGGACCCTTTCCAACACCAGCAGTGTTTCAAAGAATGGGCTTTGGTCAATCAGGCCTGGACTAAAAGACTTACTGGCTATGTGTGACCTCAGGCAAGCTATTTAAACCTCCTAAAATGCAAGTTCTTCTGTAAAACAGGGATAACTATCTGTAGGGATGCTGATCCCCTTTACCCGCCAGTGCCCCTGTCCCCAGCTCTGTAATAACAGATGACACAGCCCTCTCCAGAAAGCAGCCCTTGGCCAACAAATGGTCATCTTGTCCAGGAAGCTACCAGGCCCTGCCTCATCCCCAACCCAGGCCAACGACTGACAGCACAGGAGTACAAAAGACCAACTCTCTCAACTCCTTGAGGGACCCAGCTGTGGTGTAATTCACATTCACACTCCAGAGCTTCCTGTGGGATCATGAGAAGGCCACAGCTGGACTCCGGCTGAGGACAAGTCCTTGCTCTGCTCCCTGCCCTGTCCTGCCCTTTTCCTCCCCTTCTCAGAGCCCTCCACTAAGACATCAGTGACAAAAAATCACTACCTAGAGCTCTGCTTAGAGGAAGCCTGACCTGAGCAGTATTTCACAAGGCTGCTCTTGGGATCCAGTGAGATACTACAGGGAAGCCTCACAGTGTGAGCGATCATCATCACCGTCATCATCATCATCATCATCCTAAATGGCCTGGAAGAATTATTTGAGCTGCTTCAAAACTGGCCCAGGCACTGTTCCCAGGATTCCATCAAGTAGGGTAGAAGCAAGGAGGTGGGTGGGGAGGAGGAAATGGCTGGGCCTCATGGAAAGTTGGAGGGACCCTGATTGGAGCAGACAGGCCTGGTGTACTGATGCAGGTACACACTGAGGTAGGAAGGGAACTGGAAGTTCACTGAGCACTTGCCAAGCTCCAGGTTGTACCCATGTTCCCACATTGTCGTAGTTTGGGTTTCCCCAGAAGCAGACCCTGAGAGAGGGATCTGAGTGCAAACAGTTGACTGGGCAGTGATGCCAGGAAACATGACGGGTGGAGTGGGAAAGTGAGGCAGGAAGGGAGAGCAGTCAGCGAGGGCTATTACCAATGGATCACCACTGTGGGCACCTGGAGCTCAATCCTGGTGAGTATCTCTGGGTGCCAATGCAGAACAAAAGCCTCAGAGTTGGTCTACAAAGGCGAGAGGGAGCTGGTGTGTTTATACACCAACTCCCATCAGTTCTGGTTGAGGCTGCTCCCTGCTCCTGGGGACAGGAGTTCCCCAACACCCCACTACAGGCGGAGCAGCCTCCAGCTGCTTGGAGAAAGTCCTCAGGCAAAGCTGCAGGGATGGCAGTGGGAGGAGGCCAGAGCCCCTGGAGAGGGAAGCCCTGAGGCACCCACAGGTCTGCTACACTACTTCACCCACGTCACTGCTGGGAAGGAGAGCCTGCATTTGCATTTTGAAGAAGAAAAAGCAGCTCAGAGAGGTTAGGCCACTCACCCATAGTCAAACAGCTGCAGAATCTGATTTTTCAATTATGCCAGGGCCCCCCAGAATCAGGCCTGTGAGGAACTGTTGGAGGCTGGGGGAGTCTGAGCACTGCAGGAGAGGAAGCTCCTGAATAATGTGCTCCTGCAATTAACGGGCTCAGAGGCAGAGCTAAAAACAAGACTTTTTCATGTATTTTCTGAGCGGAAACAGTTGATGGACTGTAGCTTAATGAAGACAGATCTATATAAAATCACTTTGTAAATTATACTGTACAATATAGATACTAGTTCCCAACACCAGGGCCCTCAAAACACACCCACTACTGCCCACTCTTCAAAGCACATCTAGCTCAGTAAGCACTGTCCAGTGACCAATTCACCCCTATTTGGTTCGAGGGAAAACGCACAAAGGTATGCCACTCTAGCAGTCTGTTTTCAGCCACAGTACCCTCGGCTTACCTGATCAAACCCAAACTGGGTTTTCTAGAGGAAGGGCTTCAAGGGGTCATGATTACCTTCTTGTGCCTGTCCTTTGCCGCACTGATATCATCTTGCAGAAATTGGGCTTCCAGCTGAAGGCGTAGGTTATGCAGCAAGGCTTCATCAGCTTCCTGCAATGAGAGCCACATATCCCTGGCCACAGGCACCATGGAGCATAGGGGTAAAGCTGGCCGGGTATATGAGCACACAGACCACCTGGGAGCTTACTGAAATGCAGACTCTGGTTCAGTAGGTCTGGGAGGGGTCTGAGATTATGCATTCTAGCAAGGCAATGGCTTAGCCCATTGGACCTGTTCTAGAAGAGCAGTTCTCAACAGAGGGTGATTTTGCCCCCCAAGGGGACATTTGGCAGTGTCTAGAGACATTTTTAGTTGTCACCACTTTAGTGGTAGGGTCCTTCTATTGGCAACTAGTGGGTAGAGGCCAGGGACACTGCTAAATACCCTACAATACACAGGACAGCATCCCCCCACAACCCTGCACACAAGGAATTCCCTTGCCTAAAGGGTCAATACAGCCAGGGTTAAGTAACCTTGATCTAGAAAGATCGGAGCGCTAGGTATATTTACATACCAAATAAAGTTAATATTTAAGTAACGTCTATATTTGTTCTATATCTCATCATCAGTGAGTTGGGTTTCTAAGACTGAAAGAAAAAAATTGTTTTCCCTTAAATCCTGAAATCTGTATTCTAGCAGTTTTCTCCCAAGGACTGTTAACATTTACCTTGAGAAGATGCATCTTTCATACAAAAATGCATTTTTAGAATGACTGTTTTGTGAATAGCATTTGTTTGTTCCTCTAAGGTTGGAAACGACATTGATCACAAAAGGTTGAATTTTCTCAGGAAACTTTCTGATAATTCACTGGCTCTTGCCTCATTGATCTTGTTTGGATAGACCAAGTAGGTATGAAAGAATTATTCATGCTCTTAATAAGATTGTGCTATGATGTCCAGAAGTGACTTATATACTTTGGCATCTTCGGTGTGATATTACAGGTGAGCATTACTTGGGTTCATCAGGATTCCCCAGTCTCCCAAGATACCTCTGCCATGCACACCTGCCAACACCTGAGGCCTTGGGAAGTGAATTTTTACTGACTTATTAGTGACTTGCTAATAAACATAATGAGTCTTAGCAATGGGCTCTCATTAATCAAGGGGAACACGTGGTCTGACTAAAATATGTAAGAGACACTCTCCATACTCGCATGAACAGAGTTATGACAGTCACGATATGTGGACTGGCCATGAGATGTAGGGACACTCCCCACCCTTGTGCTACTAGGGTTTCGGTCTGGCAAGGCCTTGAGACTGCACTCTTAAGAAAGGCACTTGGGGCCGGGTGTGGTGGCTCACACCTGTAGTCCCAGCACTTTGGGAGGCTGAAGCAGGTGGATCACCTGAGGTCAGGAGTTCGAGACCAGCCTGACCAACATGGAGAACTCCATCTCTACTAAAAGTACAAAATTAGCTGGGCATGGTGGCACATGCCTGTAATCCCAGCTACTCAGGAGGCTGAGGCAGGAGAATCACTTGAACCTGGGAGGCAGAGGTTGCAGTGAGCCAAGATCATGCCATTGCACTCCAGTCTGGGCAAAAAGAGCAAAACTCCATCTCAAAAAAAATTAATTAATTAATTCAATAAAAATAAAAGGCACTTGGTTCCTTAATTGCTCTTGTGAAAGACCACTGGTGTAGTAAGATTTCTGATTGTCTGATGCTGACAAGAAGGATCCTGAAATTCTGACTCTATTGTAGCCTCTGCCTTCAATGAGCTTTCCATGCAAAGTGTTCTCTTAGCACCTAAGACACCAGAGCTGAGACTTCATGGAGCCTACAGAGAAGGTTGTATGGACCTTGGGGGCCTGCATCACAATAAATGTTAATATTTAACAAATCTCTTTCTGTGTGAATTTGGTCTAAAGCATTAGCAAGATGGTAAGGGAGTGGCCAACCCTCACCCAACTCAAACTTCTGAAGCTCTTTTATCTACCCAAGAGAACTGAAGATTTTATCTTACAGAACTTGAGAGTTGTACAAGATCAAATTAGTCAATGTGCAACCCTTAGGAATGTATCTTAAAACATTTCCTTCCTTTTCCATTAGCCACCTGCAGTGGAGCTGCCACCAAAATGCAGATTTTTGTGAAAACCCTCACAGGGAAGACCATCACCCTCAAGGTTGAACCCTCAGATACGATAGAAAATATAAAGGCCAAGACCCAGGATAAGGAAAGAATTCCTCCTGATCAGTAAAGACTGATCTTTGCTAGCAAGCAACTGGAGGATGGATGTGCTTTGTCTGACTACAACATTCAAAAGGAGTCTACTCTTCATCTTGTGTTGAGACTTCGTGGTGGTGCTAAGAAAAGGAAGAAGTCTTACACCACTCCCAAGAAGAATAAGCACAAGAGGAAGAAGATTAAGCTGGCTGTCCTGAAATACTATAAGGTAGACGAGAATGGCAAAATTAGTCACCTTCATCGAGAGTGCCCTTCTGATGAATGTGGTGCTGGAGTGTTTATGGCAAGCCACTATGACAGACATTATTGTGGCAAATGTTGTCTGACTTACTGCTTCAACAAACCAGAAGACAAGGAACTGTATGAGTTAATAAAAGACATGAACTAACAAACAAAACAAAACAAACAAACAAACAAAATCATTTCCTTTTGCGTTTCCTCCTGCCTCAGCCTCCCAAGTAGCTGGGACTACAGGTGCACACCACCACGCCCAGCTAATTTTTCTATTTTTGGTAGAAACGGGGTCTCACCATGTTGGTCAGGCTGGTCTTGAACTCCTGACCTCAGGTGATCCACCCACCGTGGCCTCCCAAAGTGCTGGGATTACAGGTGTGAGCCACCGTGCCTGGCCAACTTTAAACTTTCTAGAAGTAGCCACTTTAAATAAAATAAAAAGAAACAGGTGAAATTAATTTTAATAATATATTTTATTTTACCCAGTATACCCAAAATATTATCATGTCATCATGTAATCAATAAGTTAGTAGTGAGATATCTTCCATTCTTGTTTTCAGATGAGGTCTTTGAAACTGCTGTGTATTTTACACTCATAACACATCTCAATTCGAACTCCCCACATTGCAGGTGCTCCACAGCCACATGCGGCTGGTGGCTGCCATACTGCATGGCACGGCTCTATGGGAGCAATTTTCGGCAACGGAACATCTTGTTCCTCCTCAGTGCTCCTCCAGGTTTCTGCTGCAGGGTGAATCCCCAGGTAAGGAACTCTCGACAGAAGAAGGAAGGACACCAGTGTCCAGAGTCATTCCTCACCCCGGCCCCTGGACTCTCCTGCCTACTCTCTCCAAGGCTCCTCCTGATTCCTGGCCCTGGCACCGGGCTCCTGCTGCCACCAGCACCACTGCCCACTGGGAGAAGCAAGAGCTCCTGGGAAAACCACTCCCTTCAACAAATCTACACGTGGTCTGAAGTTTTTGGGGGTTTTTGTTTTAAATCAGAAATAAAAGAATGAACCAAATTACAAAAAGGGACACATTTTTCCAGATCCAGGACACTGAACTGTCCAAACTACAAGAATATGAAATCTAACTATGGGACTTAGCTTCTGAGCTCATTCATGTGTTTAATTAATTAGCCATTGACCTTTAACGAGCTCTGCCTTCAGGGGGTTACCATTCTGAGCCCTTAATGATGGGTCCTCACATCCTGCGACCCAGGGACAGTGAGGGAGGGTCTAATGAAAACTCAGCTATAGCGTTTCTTCTTCCAGAAGGCGTGCGCTACCCGGCCCGGGGCGATCAGACCCAGACTGATGCACTCATGCAAATCAAGGCCTTCCTACCGCAGGGGAAGTGGGCAGGCCCCTTGGAGATCCTGGTGTCTGGTCTTCTGAAATACCCAGAAGTATTTCACAAGCCTGGGAAGCCCTTTCATAAGAGAAATGGTGGAAAGGGAAGCCTGAATCTTTCCAGCAACAGAAAAGGGTGGAGGATTCAGAAAAACCCTGGTTCATTTGTAAAATACCAGCCAGACCTCAGGAAAGACGGAAACCAAGGCAGTTCCAGGAATCTAAGTAGCAGGAGTCAAGGACCTGTCCTCAGAGTGACCCAGCTCTGAATCAGTTCATCCCTGCATCCCTCCCTCAGGAGAGCTGTGATTGGCCAGCATGGGTCACATGACCACCATCTTGCCTGACAGCTGGACCACACGATGTGAAGGAAAATCACAGTGTTCCCGGACGCATCCCACTCCCTTCAAAGGCAGTGGTTCCCTGTGGAGTGATTCTCAGCCCCGGGGATGGGACCACACCCTCAGAGAGGCTTGGCTAAATCTGGGCCAGAGGTGCAGGAGTATTGGGTGGATGTTGTTCTATCTTCCCTCTGCCCCTCTTAAGACTGCTGAGGATGGGGTGGGGCACAGAATTCTCAATCACTCTTAACAAAATGCATCCAAGATTGAGCCACAAAGCTGAATGACTGGAAACAGGGCTTCAAGGACCCTTTGTGTTATTATTTATAAGGAATCAAACATTACAAATTTTAGAAATAGAAGGAACCCTGGGGTCACTGGTCCTCAAACTTTTGTTAAGCCACATGTGCCATCCTTTGAACAAAGCAGTCCATGGAAGCCACTGTACTGAAGCAAAGCCAAGGGGCCACAGGCATCTCCCATGCTCAGCTGCCCTCTTCCCTCAGAGACCCTTCAAGCAACTCGATGCAACATGAGGGCTCTGCCAAATGCACCTTGAAGTCCAGAGCCTCCCTCCATGTATGCAGGGCTGAGGCCAGACTGATGCAGTGCATCATTGAACTCGTGAATGGAAGTTAGTGGAAGATAACAGGCCTGGAACCTACCATGGGCTTCTCTCTCCTAGCCAAGAGCTGAGTGCTAAGCCCTGACTCCATCCTTCGAGGTGCCTGTCATTCTTCCCCACCTCCCTCCTAGGATTGTGTCAAAACCACCAGCACTGGGTCCCATCAGTTAAATCTTTATAACTGCTCATAGTGATAGTAAAAGGCCAGTCAATATGTATTCTTAAAATAGGGATTAAGCAGATGTTTCTGCAAGCACACTGTCCTGCTTTGAAGATAATCACCCGATAAGCTGACCCCAAAACCCCCAAAGGTGAGTAGGGCCCACTGGAATGTACAGCTGCTGATACGCTGAGGAAAATTTGTTTTGGAAGTGTTTTCTTTTGTTTGCGCCAGAACTCAGAAATGTGTAGACGCTTGTGTTTTTATTATGCTGTGGATGTTGTCAGCTGAATTTTCAAAAGCTTCACCAGCAGAATCATCTAGATTTTTCTGAATTGAGATTATGGGTCAATAGTCTAATTTTACAAAACATTCCAACTCTGATAATTGCCTATGTCCTAGATCTAGACCAGTGGTCCTCAAAGTGTGGTCCCTGGATCACAACACCTGGGAACGGATCAGAAATGCAAATACTCCAGCAGATGCCAGACCTACTGGCTTAGAATTTCTGGGGCTGGGGCCCAGGAGTCTGGGTTTTAACGTGCCCCCCCACCCCGCCCACCTTTCACCCCAGGTAACACTGATGCACACTGAAGTTTTAGAACCACTAATCTAGACTATTTACAGCCATGTTTTTAGAAAGGAGCTGGAGAAATAACTAGAATTTGGAGCATTATTGAAAATCAGCCCTTTTTTAACTCAAATGGTGGGGATTAAAAAGGAAAAAAAACAGCCTTGCTGACCTATTCACAGGGATCCCAGAAACTCCATTTAAAACCCAACTGCTAAAGAATGGGTATTTAAGTTCATTAAGAGTTCTAGTTAGCTGGAATTTAATTAAAAAACACTTTTCCTTCAACTCTGGATGTCAAAAACCTTTCCAAAAATGTTATGGCTGTTCTTCCAGGTGCTAATGTTGGCCTGGAGGGCACTGGACAAATTCTACATCTCTCCACCCTCTCTCTTGCCTCTGCCTCAGTCTCCTCAACTTTGCTGTCTCTCCCTTTGCATTCATCCTGACTCTTCCTCCACTCCTCTTGCCTCTCCACCCCCAGACTCCTCCTCTTCCTTCCCAGTTTCCTCTCCTTCTCTTCTCCGGAAGTTCATTTCCGGGCTCAGAGGAATTCTTGGCATACAAAGGCATAGCCCTGAAGGTAGGGCTTCATGCCTGCACCATTTTATCCCCTAAACTCCCTGGCCTCTTGCTGCTTTCCACAGGCACGTTTAAGAGACACATGAATTACATGAAAAAGTATATATGTCAGCCTTTAAATATTTTTAAAATTGTTTTTAAGTGAAAGCATTTGACTAGAAACCACATCATTTTAAAATTCTGGGAATTTTAAAGAGAAAAGGAGAGGGAGATTTTAAAGTCTGCTGCTTACAGTTTCCTCAAGATAAGCAAATCAGGCATCATAGCAGACCAGTAACTTCATACGTATATATTTGGTGACCATGAGATCTAGAAGTTAGCAAACCCAAATATTTTAAAGTCACCTGGAATTCCTACTACATCAAAAGGCTGAGAAGTTGAATAACTTTGGCCATAGGTTGTAGGTAACGTGTTGAGGAGTTTACTTCACTTCTAAGTGCACAGCAAAGAGTGGCCTACTATAATTTATCTGGCTGATAAAACTACAGGAGCTCTTTCCGTAGGCTTGATTACACGGGCAGCATGAAGAAATGCATGGTGGTTTTGTGAAGGCAGGGGCCATCAGTCCTTTCACATACACTGCAATATCCTCCAAGTAGGATGCAAAGACTGGATCAGTGATGTCCCACGGCCACACCCAGGGATGAATCCCTTCCACAAGTCAGACCAAAGGAAATGGCCACTGAGACTGAGCTAAAACCTCGTTGATCTGATGTAAGAAAATACCCAAAACCTGCAGGCCAAAATCACTCACACGACCAGCTGATGCGATGTGAATTTTAGCCTCTTTCATGTCATCTGATGATCTCAGCAGAGAACAAAAAGGTCCAGTGTTCACCTGGCCCTGCCCTTGAGGGACTATTTGGGTTCTCCAGAAGTGGACCCCAAGGCAAAGACTGGGTACCTGTGGCTTATCTGGGAGGTGATCCCAGGAAGCACAGGTAAGGGAGGCTAGTGAGCCAGAGAAGGAAACAAAACCAATGAAGGAATGTGACGAGCAGGTTGCCATTGTAGACAGCTCAGTACGGCTGGGGTCCCTCTGAGGGACCATGTGGAATGTGGCTCTGAACCATCACTATGAGGGGTGGGGAACTTATCCACCTATCCCAGTCCACAGCAACTGAGGGTTGTTCCTGGGGTGTTAACACCCAGCGCTTCTGGACTATACTGATGTGGGCCATGCATGTTCCCAGAGCCCGAGATGCAGGCAGTGATCAGGGTGTTCAGCGTGTCTGAGTGACCACTGGCATGGCCCAAGGTGTGTGGACAGGACACCAACATCAAGGTCCATGGGGCCACCTATAGCCGAGAACTCTCTGGCTTCGTGTCTGGCCTCTGAGTAATACCGGTTCCCTGACTATTCTTTGGAGGTAGAGAATGAACCACAAATACAAAAGACCCCAACTCCTGTCTACACTTACCACGGCTGAGCTGCGAGGCTCTGAAGTCATTTAACCTCATCAAGGGTGAGTTTCCTCACTGGCCCAGAGAAGGATTTGGAATAGGTCATTTCTGAGAATAAAACCTGCCCCCCCAATAACCACGGGCTGTTCTGAGGCTCCCACAGGCTTGCACAAGGCCCTCCCCAGCGTCCTGCATCTGCCTGCTGTGTTTATGATTTCTACTATTATCCAAGGACCACCTGCATCTTATTCACTCTGTATTTGTCTTTAAAGGTACTCATTCTTACGTAGGTTTATTTGGAAAGGAATATTTTATGTCATCCGCTGTAAATAACAGGTAATCATAAAAAATTCACAACTATTAAATATCACTCCTCCATGCACTTTCTAAAGTCACCTCCCATTTCAACAGGGTTCTGCACCCACACTGTGGAGAAAACCAAGCTGGTGTCTGTCACATCAAGTGCTCTGTAGTAATAACAGTGATCAGGGATTCAGCACCACCAGGTGATGGGCAAGTCATATACATTATTACATCATTTAGTTCTCACTAGGCACTTTCACTCCTATGGTGGGTGGGGAGTATTGTGATTCCATTTCACAGATGAAAAAACCGAGGCTCAGAGGGACAAGGCAATTGGCCCACAGTCTCACAGATGCTCAGCTGTAGCAGGAGGTTCCTAGTCACAGGCTACACTCCTCGCTGGGGCTCTGCAGCTCACCTGCGGGCAGTACTGTCTTACTTGGACCCAGGGGCCAGTCATGCTAATTGCCTGTGCTGGTCTCACCCACATTCTTGGTAGCATCTTTCCCCAGAACCTTCATAATATTCTTACAGGGCTGATACTTCAAATGTCCACACTCTATGTCACAATATACATGAAGGTGTATTATGCGATGCCTTTTCCTTATTTTTCGTTATCTATGTTGCCTTATTTTTTCTACTGAGAATATGGATTGCTTTTGTAAAAAGAGAAAAACAACAGAAAGTTTAAGCTTGTTTTTTAAATTCACTGTCATTTTCCATCAAGGGTAAAAGAGGAACCCCATTCTTTCTCCCCTTTATTTGAAGAGTACCCAGGATGGCACTGCGTGAGTGACAAGTGAGGACAGATGCTCACAAAGCAACATGTGGAAGTGTTGGGGAGAGGGCCTCGGAGGGCCTGAGGGGTGCTGTGAAGGGTGCTGGGTCCCCGTGTCTGAAGGCCATGTTCTGGCAGTCTGAGGTTGCACAAAACAGAAGAATGGGGATGAGCTACAGGTGTCAGCAGAATAGCAGAGTGATGTCAGACACTAATAAGGCCCAACTCCCAGCTCAGATGTCCAACAGGCTCGAGGCCATCGTTTTCCAAGCCAACTATTGAGCGTGTGTCCTCAGGGCCTTCCTGAAGTGCATTCTCACTGCCATCTCTGTGTTTCTATCTAGGGTGCCCAAGTGTCCTACTAGCTGTCCTGAGAGTCCCAGCCTGCATTGACTGACCTGTGTTATTACAAACTGCACCCTCTTTTGCACACTGTCCTGGTTTGAACATATCATACGTGCTCACGCGCAGAGGGGCAGGTAACATAGACAAAGCAAAATTGGGTTTCCCCTAGATTCTAGTTCTGATTTTCCCCTCAACCAGCAGAGTAATCCTAGACAGCAAAGGCTGGACAAAGTGAAGGGATGGCAAACATCCGGCGCTAACCCTGACTGTCCAAAGAGGCTGCTTGGAGTTCCATGTGGCAAAGAAGCCTAAAGCATACCTGGGCATGGCAGGGAAGAGTCTGCGGTTTTGTCAGCAATTTTGATGAGTTGTAGGCATGGAAGGGGCGGGGAAGGGCAGCCCATGTGCCCTAATCAAGCAGCCTTTCCACTAAATAGTCTCCATGGGTCGTTCTGCTCTGACATTGGAGCTCAAAAACGATCAGAAAAGGGCCATGCTTAAAGCTATGTGCCATCCCTGGTTCTGTACAACCCTGGTGGTCCAGAATCATTCTGCTTTTTGGTGGTGGGATTCTCCCAGCAAAAGCAGAAAATCCAATCAGTTAGTTAGAATCATGATGAAGAATCCCAAGAAGGAAATCACCACTGTTCTGTAAAGAGCAACTCCACATAACCCTGCAGGAAAGTCAAGTGGCTAAGAACCCCTGGCATCTCCCCTGGGGCTATTGGTCACGCTATAAGAGGGAACTCTAGAGGAAATAGAAATTTCTTCCTCTGTTATCTTGAGACTTCTGTGGAGCCGCAATCTCAAAACTCTTAGCCAATAGGACAGAGGTATCACTGTGTCCAAATAACCACTGCCCAAAGCAAGGTCCTTCCTAAATTTGGTGTTGGGCATCAGTATGTCTGACAAGTAAAACAGCAGCTTGTCACTGTAACGCCGGCAGGTTTTGCTAGCCTAGCATAACCAACAAGCTTCATAGTCTGTGTTTCTCTCGTGAGAGAGGGGTGTGTGTATGGGTGTGTGAGTTCACTCATAAAGACTCAATTGAAATTAACAAGTCAAGAGACAGAGTGACTGCAAAAGAAGTAGTGACCGCCAAAGTAACACAAAGAGGAAGCCTGTAAAACCTGCACTTCCACCATTCCATTCAACACTGTAATTAAGCTACGTAAACCCAAGGATGTGTTCCGCTCACCTTGTTAAGCCGTTCAAGCATTTCTTTTAGCAGGAGTTGACATTCGCACTCATTTTCATACCTGCAAATTGGACACATAAGTGAGAGTTGGGTAACTACCATGCTTTCACATGTATGGATCACATAATCAGCATTAAATTCAACCTGGGTACGATGCCCTCTCCTTTAAGGAGAGGGTCTTAATTTTAAAGTAGTAGCTAACGAATGCTGCATTTCCTAGCTGACTGCCTCCCAATCAGAAAGTGGTACCATTTGCACACCGCGTGGGGTAACCAGGGGCAGTTAGCGGAATAGGAGTCTCCCAGCCCGAAGGCACCAACCCCAGCCCCTACAGCCTTATTCCCAGCCACCCCAAGGATGAGGGAATTATATCCTAGCCTATCTATAACCCAAGTGCAGCAGTGGCAGAGATGGGAGACTGCCCTGCACAATCTACACCACCATTAACCTGACCGTACTTGGATTTCCTATAGTATTTTATTTGCTGACACATGTAATTTGTCAGTTTTTCTGGATTATGTCATTTAATCCTTACATCACCCCAGAAGAAAGCAGTTATTGTTAGTGCTGCATTAAAGATGAGGAAACTCAGGCAGATGCTCCGCACACTTTTCCCTCCTCCCAGCAGCATCACTCCCCACACAGCGATGGCCTCCTCTGGGCAAATGGGTGGGGCAGGCTGGACGTGCCAGGGAGTCAGGGCCTCTGGGAGCAGCCCACAAACTCTGAATGAGGCAAATTGGAGCATAAGTACCCCAGCTCCTTTTCTGCTCGGCTGGGACAACTGAGGCACGTCCCTCTGGGGGAATTTTAACCCTAAAGAGAGAAGATTCCTTCCTAAATGACCCCTCCCCTTGTTCCCTATAAGGTGACCCCCAAATGCCCATTCTTGCTGTCTTCAGGAGTTAGAGCCCTTGATGCTTGGCAAGCACAGGACTGCCTAGAAGGGAGACTACATTTTCCAGCATTCCTTGCAGCCAGGTGTGGCCATGTGACTAAGTCCTGACCAATGGGATGGAAGCATAAGTCTGCATGGCAGCTTCCAGATACCTTTAGTTAAGTAATGGTGTATGTGTGCCCTTTGCTTCTCATTTTCCATCCCTCCCTCCATCCTGCAGCCAGAAACATGAATGCTGCCTTCCTGAAGGCCACACAGAACCTTCTGTGTCCCAAATACTGTACAGTATCATACTAAACTGCTTAACCAGACCTTACACAAGTGAGAAACATTTTGGATAAGCCAATGACATTTTGGGTAAGCCAGTATCACTTTTTCTGTTTTTTTCTGTATGGCGGGGGGGGGGGGGGGGGGGCTGGTAAAATATGCATAACATAAAATTTACCAACTTAACCATTTTAAGTATATAGTTTGTGATAGTAAATATATTCATAATGTTGTGAAATCACCACCAACATCCATCTCTGTAACTCCTCATCTTGCAAAGCAGAAACTCCGTACCCATTAAATACTAACTCCCCATTCTCCCCATCCCCAGCCCTGACAACCACCATTGTACTTTCTGTCTCTATGAATTTGACACGCCCAACTACCTTATGTAAGTGGAATCATACAATATTTTTCTTTCTGTGACTGGCTTGTTTCACTTAGCATAATGTCTTCAAGTTTCAACCATATTGTAGCATATGTCAGAATTACCTTCCTTTTTAAGGGTGTATAATATTCTATGTATCGACCACATTTTGTTTACGTATTCCTTTGTCAGTGGACACTTGGGTTGCTTCTACATTTTAGCTATTGTGAACAGTGCTGTTATGAACACGTATATGCAAGTAGCTATTCAAAACCCTCTTTCAATTCTTTTGGGTATATGCACAGAAATGGAAATGTTGCATCATATGGTAACTCTATTTTTTAATTTTTTGAGGAACTGCCATACTGTTTTCCACAATGGCTGTACCATTTTACAGTCCCATCAACAGTCCATAATTTCTCCACATCCTAACAAACACTTATTTTCTGTTGTTTTTTGTTTTGTTTTGTTTTTTATAGTTGCCATCCTAATTGGTCTGAAGTGGGTCAATGTCAGTTTGGAGTTTCTGTCCTTTATAGTTGAAAGCAATCCTAATTAACACTGAGCCCAATCCACAAAGCATAGTTTTCTGTGCCCTTGCATGCCCATGCCATGGGTTCAAGTCAAGTATTCTGCAACCATGAAAGGTGCTAGAAAACCACACCACCATGTTCTCAGAAGGAAAAGTCATGAACTGAAGGAAGAACAATTATGAATATGTGCAATGTGCACGCATTCCCAGATCTAAAACCATCTGCGAAGCTGAGTTCTATCTAGGAAACTAAACATCTCTGCATAAGTTTTACATTTCACATCAGGATGTTACATTTAGTAGTTTATTTTGTGTGTTGCAATAACAGAGCCAGAAATTAGTTTTTAAATGTATAATTAGCTTTGAGAATAAAACTTAATAAAATCTAATTTTCTTATTGCTCTTTCCTGCTGGAAATATCTAAGAGTTTCCATAGCTTAAGAACATGTTTGAGGATCAACACATTAACCTGATATTGTGAGTAATTTTCATGCTGTAAAGACAAGTCTAGATATTATATTAAAGAGAAGTGATTTCCGGGCGCGGTGGCTCACGCCTGTAATCCCAGCACTTTAGGAGGCCGAGGCGGGCAGATCACGAGGTCAGGAGATCGAGACCATCCTGGCTAACACGGTGAAACCCTGTCTCTACTAAAAATACAAAAAAATTAGCAGGGTGTGGTAGTGGGCGCCTGTAGTCCCAGCTACTTAGGAGGCTGAGGCAGGAGAATAGCGTGAACCCAGGAGGCAGAGCTTGCAGTGAGCCGAGATCACGCCACTGCACTCCAGGCTGGGTGACAGAGCGAGACTCTGTATCAAAAAAAATAATAAAATAAAATAAGAGAGAGAGAGAGAGTGATTTCACTACAAAGAATTCATGATGTGTATATTCATATAAGTATATTCATAAAGTGAAAAAACTGGCTTCAATTAACTGTTTTACATAAATTATTTTTAGTTTTCAACAATTTGAATAATTGACTCTGTTGTTGTATTTTGATAGTTTTGTTTTTATTTCATTCTTGTTTTATTCAGTGTTTTGTTTAGTCTTTGACCTGTTAAAGACCTGATTTTGAAATTATTCAACTGCCAGGTAGAGACTATGCCTAGCACTGGCATGGAACCAAGCCTGCACATACTAACCCATTGCTGCATTATTTTCCCCTGGCTTTAGGTAGCCATCAACTCACCTCTGGAATGTAAACTCCAGCCTGGCATGTATGTGTATGTGTGTGTGCCTATGGATGTGGATGAGCATTTCTATAATGATTTTCAGTTCCCACTACCACAATCCAAATGTCAAAACTTCTCCAAGGGGGCAAAGGGAGGGAATAAATTAATATGAATTTTAAATAAATCACAGAGCCTGATGGAACTGCTTCATGATGGGCATATAACTCAGAACCAAGTGCAATCAGTAAAGACCAGGAAAACCCAACATGGCCTTTCCTTCAACTAGGACTCATGGATGTCATGCTTACCAGCCAAAGTACAGTAGACTATGGTCTAATGCCAACACAAAGGCCATCCAGGGAATCTTGATGGTCCATCAAGCTGCCCCGGATGTCTGAGCCACAGGGCACTTTCCCCCTTTGCTTTGGAGAACATGAGCTTCATCTGAATGAGGTCCTATTTCTGGGCCTTAGGCTGCAGGAGTCCAAGAACGGATTATCTCAAGATACAGTGTTCCCGAAAGAGCATAGGCCCAGGGTGAGAAAACCCAGGTTCAAGTTCTGCCACCCACAGGCCCTCTCCCAGGCTCAGTTTCCCCATGAAGTTCTGTAACAAGTGGATTTTCAGGTCCCTTCTACCAGCTCCAAGTCTGTTTCTACAGATTAAACCCCAAGACAAAAGAGCTGACAGGAATCGAATCAATAAATGTGATTTGATAAATGTGTTCAGAACACAACAATGAATAACCTGCCCAAGATTCAGATTGAGAAACTGGAACTCAAACATAGAGCAGGTTTACAGAAATCCTCTGACTACCCTATGCCAAGGGTTCCCAAATCTGGCTGGAATGACCAGTGGCACTCATTAAAAATGTTTAAGCTTCTGGGCCCCTCTTGAGGTCCAGGGTAGAGCCTAGACATCTGTATTTTAAAATTCATTTATGTAATTTTAAATGGATGAATATCTTACATGGTTAAATAAGTGTGTGTGTGTGTGTGTGTGTGTGTGAGACAGAGTCTCACTCTGTCACCCAGGCTGGAGTGCAGTGGCGCAATCTCAGCTCACTGCAGCCTCCGCCTCCCAGATTCAAGTGATTCTCCTGCCTCAGCCTCCCGGGTAGCTGGAACTACAGGCGTGTGCCACTACACCCAGCTAATTTTTGTATTTTTTAAAGTAGACACAGGGTTTCACAATGTTGGCCAGGCTGGTCTGGAACTCCTGACCTCAAGTGTTCTGCCTGCCTTGGCCTCCCAAAGTGCTGGGATTACAGGCGTGAGCCACTGCACCCAGCCCATAGTTAAATAATTTTTTTAAAGATATAAAAAGATGTTCTGTTAAAAGTCTCCTTCCCACCTCTGTCTCCCAATTGCTCAGTTCCTACTCACTTATCTCCCTCAGGTAGCCAGTGTCATTGGGGCATGTGCCTGTGTGTGTGTCTGTGTGTGTGTGTCTTTGTGTGTGTCCTGAAATTCTTTTTATGCAAGCAAAAAAAAAACTCTACTCTCCTCCCCTTTTAAAAGACTACATGACAATAACATACTTTTTTCCACTGCATAGTATTCCATTACATGGAGGAAGCACCTGTCTCCTTTTAATGGGCATTTATTTGGTTCCAGGCTTATTGCAGATCCTGCTGCAGTGAGTATCTTTGCAGGCATGCCATTGCACACCTGCTGGAGTGTACCTGTTGCAGTGAGTATCTTTGCAGCCATGCCATTGCACACCTGCTGGAGTGTACCTGCTGCAGTATTGGTGGAGGCATGCCATTGCACACCTGCTGGAGTGCATCCTATAATACATTCCTCAAAGTAGCCTTCTGAGTCAAAGAGCACACACATTTATAACTTGAAAAAATGTTGACAAATTGCATCTTTTTTTTAACAGCTCCTATGTGATTTTAACACATTACTCAATCTGTGGGAGGGGAGACCATGCCCTGGACCAGTGCTGCTTAGTCAACATTTAACTTTTTAAACTGAAAATCACCTGGGGAGCTTGTTAAAATGCAGATTCTGATTCTGGAGTTCTAGGGTGGGCCCAAGAATCTGTATTTCTAGCAAACTCCCGGGTGATGCCAATACTGCTGGTCCATGGACCGCACTTTGAGTATCAAGACACTAGAGGACACATACTGAGCATAATTCCCAGGTGTCAGCTGCTATGCCATGAAGGCAATTAGACTTAGCATGCCCAGGACCTAAATTCCAGTCCCGGGACAGCAGTTCGCCAGCTGAGGGGCCTTGCTGGCCAAATCCCTACATTTTCTGAGCCTCAGTCGCCTCATCTGTAAAACAGGTGCAGTAAAGATAAGTATGTAAGGATTAAATAACATCGGTACATCTCAAAACCAATGTGCTGAGCAAAAGAAGCCAGACAATAGAGTACATCCCGTAAGATTCTATTTTTGTGGAACTGTAGAATAGGCAAAGTCAATCTATGGTGATAGAAATCAGAATGGGTGCCTCCGGTCTGGGGCAAAGGGGACTGACTGGGAAAGGGGAGGAGGGAACTTTCAGGGGTAGTGGAAATATCTCACTTGTTTTCGTGGTAACACGGGTATATACATTTGTCAAAACTCACTGAACTATGCACTTCAAATCTGTGCATTTTATAACATGTAAGTTATACCAAAATTTAAAAATAGATGAAAAGTAAATGATACAACTTCGTGTAAACTGTGACGTGCCATCAAAACAGAAGCCAGTCTTAGCTTAAGGAAATGTGCCACCTGCGTGCAGGGATGAGGTCATCGATCGACAGGGGACCAGAGACGGCGCTCCACCCCTGCATGGTAGCAGCGTGCTCCCAGCCCCGCGCCGCCGGGACGGCCCACGCCCTGCCTCGGTTTCCCCCGATGGCCGCCGCTTACTTGCTTCGGAACTCGTCGAGCGCGCGCTGCGCCTCGGTGCCCTGGCGCTCCAGCCGGGCGCGCTCGGCCTCCAGGTCCCGGACGCGCTGGCGGTTGCTCTCGACTTGGCGGGCGAGGGCGTCCTCGGGCCCGGCCAGCTCGCCCAGGCGCTGGAAGGCATCCAGCTGCCTCCGGAGCCCGGCATGGCGCTGCTCGAGGGCGCGGGCCCGCTGGACGTGGGCGGCCACGCGCTCGCCGAGCCCCTGCAGCGCCGCCAGGCTCGTTGCCCCAGCCCAGCCCTCGTCGGCCGGGCGCTCGGGCTCGGCGGCGCGCGAAGCCTCGTCGGCGTGCTCGTACTGCTCCTTGCGGGTCTGGAAGACGTAGCTGCGCCGGTACATGGCTGCTCTGGCGCGGGCGCGCGGGCGGCGCCGAG
The DNA here is from genome assembly GCF_000001405.40 of Homo sapiens. Lineage (NCBI taxonomy): Eukaryota > Metazoa > Chordata > Mammalia > Primates > Hominidae > Homo > Homo sapiens. Next base: position 17,531,365 of record NC_000020.11, read on the forward strand.
CCGGCTCTCCAGGAGGCCCCCGGCGCAGCCCGCAGCCCGCTAAATAAACACCGGAGGCCCCCGGCGCGCTGCTGGGACGTTCCAGAGCCGATCAGCAGTTGGGCGCCACGCTGGGCCCGGGCGCGGGAGAAGAAAAGAGCAGCGGCCCGCTTTGTGCGGCGGATTAGCGGCCCATACAGCTCCGGGGTTGGAAGGTTACGCTGGGCAATGAGGTTTTTGTTCCGTGATTGTTCAGGCCTGTTGCTTTTGATTGAATGGAGGGTCAGGGGACACGGGAGCCATGACGCTCTTTTCACTGGTTCCACTGGGGACTGTGAAGGAATCCCCAAGCGAACTCTTTAAACTTGGACTAGCTCAAGAGCCCAGGGCTTGTCACTTTGTCTCCTCTTGCATTCAAACTCAATTGTAGAACTCTTTAACAATGCCATTTTTTTTTTCTGATTACTTAAGCAATTCTTTTTTTTTTCTTTTGGTCTTTTTTATTTCCAATTGCTCGGTTATGCATGCAATTCTTTTTCATAATCATAACATGACGTTTAGGACCCTTCTGTATAGCAGAGGTTCTTAACCATGGATGCAAAATAAAATGGCATGTCTCCATTAAGTAGTGAGGTGTGGCGCAAGTAATTTCTTAGTAATACCCGTGCATAAAAGCCTACAATAACTTAGGAGACATGCACGGTTATGTTTTTATAATTCACCCATGCTCTGATGGAGTTTGACATGCTTTCTTGAATGGAAAAAACAAATAGAGCCCCACCCATGGGCCTGTAATAGGTGGTTCACGCCTGTAATCCTAGCACTTTGGGAGGCCGAGGCGGGCGGATCACCTGAGTTCGAGGCCAGCCTGGCCAACATGGTGAAACTCCGTCTCTACTAAAAATACCAAAATTAGCCAGGCGTGGTGGCGTGTGCCAGTAATCCCAGCTACCTGGGAGGCTGAGGCAGGAGAATCGCTGGAACCTGGGAGGCGGAGGCTGCAGTGAGCCGAGATCGCCCCACTGCACTCCAGCCTGGGTAACAGAGTGAGACTCCGTCTCAAAAAAAAAAAAAAAAAGAAAAAGAAAAAAAGATTGCTTTTTTCTTTTTCTTTTTTTAACATAAAATGTAATACAAAAAAATTTTAATAAAAAATGAGATGGGGTCTTGCTATGTTGCCCAGGCAGGACTCAAACTCCTGGGCTCAAGTGATCCGCCATTAATTGGCCAACCCTCAATTCGAGAATAATAAAGGATTTTGTGCCATTATGTTCCATTTTAATTTTTATTATGGAACTAATAGTTGGATTTTAAGGACAAGCTTTTAAAATATATATATATAATTAATAGCTAGACTTTGACAAATTTAAAAGTAAATTTAAGAAAAGAAATTAATACCACTTGATGAGAATGTTTCTGAATGTAAATATTTTGTCATATCTCCAACTTTAAAAATAAGTATCAAAAGGGTTGTTTTCTTAAAAGGATTAGTAGTACCATATAATTACTAACTATATGGATTGTGTGTGATTATACTACAAATTAAAGTCATAGTTATCAAAGATAGAGAAAGAAAATTACACAGATCTTTGTGGAGTTTATTATTACACCAAAATATTACCTCAAGATAATAGATTCCGTCTGGAATAAAGCTCTGCAAGGCCCTAAACTGTGCTGGTGGCATGGTTATTGTTCTATTTTCTTAAACCATTTAAAATTAGATTTGGCCAGGTGCAGTGGACCACACCTCTAATCCAGAACTTTGGGAGGCCAAAGTGGGAGGATCTCTTGAGGCCAGGAGTTCAAGACGAGCCTTGGCAACATAGTGAGACCCCCATTTCTTTTATTTATAAAAATAAAAATAATAAATAAAAATACATAAAATGTAATTGTATGGTCAAATTGAGGATAACCACATGAATATTTTTGTAGGTGCACATATACCATGCTGATAGCATGGTAAATTGACTTCAGGCTTCCTCACGAGAGCAAAACCAACATATAGCAAGAGTTATAAAATCATTTGTTCCCTATGATACCATGTATCAGTCAAATATTGCTACAGAACAAAATAGAAGTATTTATCACTGCATTCCCTGGGGCTGGGAGCTCAGCTGTCTTCCAGCTGTAGGTCTCCTTTCAGCAGGGGCTGCTCTGCTCCCAATGTCCCTCAAGCTTCTAAACTAGCAATGAAAAAAGCACAAGAGCAAGCCCAGCCACACAAGCTCATCCCAGGCCTTTGTTTGCATCATGTCTGCTGACATCTCATTGGTCAAAGCAAATCACATGGCCACAAATAAAGTCAAGAGGAAGCAAGGAGGAGGCAGGGCTCAGCCTGAGGCCCTGGCAAGGGTGTGGGTGGATAATCCCATCATGCTGGAGTGGAGAATCAGGACCCACAACTCAATCGACCACACATGGCAATACCATTTGAGAAAAATATATTCTAGAAACATAACAAAAAATTCTTTCAATTTAATCCAGTGAAATAAACACTCAGAAAATATCTCCTCACAAAGCGTAGCCTCAGAGTTAAATATTGCACAAAATCAAGTCTCTGCCCTCAGGGTGCAGGAGGCGAATCCATACTGACTAATGAAAACACAAGATAATCTGGACAACTTCTAAAATAAAGATCTTAGCAAAATGCTGTGGTTGTATTGTCTAACTTCAGGTGCACTGGGAAATGCAATCCTGCTATGTGCTTAGAAGGAGTGTGCAATATTTGTCAACAGCCCTAAAGACCATATCACTGATAGGAGACCATTCAGTAGGAGTAGAGATCGTATGCATAAGGAAGAAATCATTGCTGAATGAATTTGTTAATTCAAGAGACATGTTCGTAGAGATAGATTCCACAGGACTTGATGAAAGGTCAGCTATGGAAGAGTTACTCTAAATACAGTTGAATGGCACTAGTTTGGGGGCAGGGACAGGAAATGGATGTTTTAGAATAAGAAAGATCTGAGGTTAAGTTCTGGTCCCATCACTTCAGTAAGTGATTTAACCTATCTAGTCCCAGTATGGAGACTGGTAAAATGAGAATAATCACTTATGTAAGTAGGGTAACCACACATCCCAGTTTGCCTAAGACACATTTACACCCACTATCTCAGCGTAAATATAGCAAGCACCATCTTTCACTCTCAAGGGTATCTTGGTTTGTCTGAGAAATACACGTCTTTTATCTGGCCTGCATAACCTGAATATGTAGCCTATATCTGACCATAAGGAATCATCCAGATAAATCCCAAAGAAGGAACATCCTATTAATAAAAACAGAAGGGGGATGGTATTCTATAAAAATGTTAATATCATAAAAGACAAAGAGAAGCTATGAAAATGTTCCAGATTAAAGGAGACTGAAGAGACAGGACATCTAAATGCAGTATAGGGCCGAGTGTGGTGGCTCATGCCTGTAATCCTAGCACTTTGGAGGCTGAGGTGGGTGGATCATCTGAGGTCAGGAGTTCGAGACCAGCCTGGCCAACATGGTGAAACCCCATCTCTACTAATAATACAAAAAATTAGCCGGACGTCGTGGCTTGTGCCTGTAGTCCCAGCTACTCGGGAGGCTGAGACATGAGAATTCCTTGAATCCGGAGGGGTAGAGGTTGCAGTGAGCCAATATCACGCCACTGCACTCCAACCTAGGTGACAGAGTGAGACTCCATCTCAAAAATAAAAATAAATAAATAAATGCAATATGGATCCTAGACTGGATCTTGTATTGGAGGAGAAAAACTGCTATAAAGGTTATCACTAGGTTCATTAACAAAATTAGAATATAAATAGTAGATTAGAACATAAAATTGTATCAAGATTAAATTTACTGAAGTTTATGACTATGCTACAGCTATGTAAAATAATATCATTATTCTTAGAAAATACACTCTGAGGGCTCAGGCTGGGCACGGTGGCTCACGCCTGTAATCCCAGCACTTTGGGAGACCAAGGTGGGCGGATCATGAGGTCAGGAGTTCAAGACCATCCTAGCCAACATGGTGAAACCCCATCTGTACTAAAAATACAAAAAAATTAGCAAGGCATGGTGCTACACACCTGTAGTCCCAGCTACTTGGGAGGCTGAGGCAGGAGAATCACTTGAACCCAGGAGGCAGAGGTTGCAGTGAGTCGAGATAATGCCAATGCACTCCAGCCTGGCAACAGAGCGAGACTTCATCTCAAAAAAAGGAAAATATACTCTGAACTATCTAGGAGCAAAGACCCATGATGTATGCAACTTATTCTCAAATGATTCTGAATAAAATGACATGTATAAATATAAACATAAATAAGTATGAGAGATAGTAAGGAAATTAGACAAAATATTAAGAGGTGAATCTGGGTTGTTTGTACTATTCTTGCCATTTTTCCTAGAAAGTTTGAAATTATTTTCCAAAACACCTGCAAAAAGTGTGATCACCTTTGCAGTATAGACATTTAATAAATATTACTTGCTTTATGTTATAGCTATATATATGTATAATGGCTAAGAGAGGGAGAGGTGCAGAGAGGAGAATGGCTTAGCAAACTGCAGTAACAATAGGAGAAAATGGGCTATAACCATTGAACAATTTTACTTATTTATTTTATTTATGTATTTATTTTTTTAAAAAAACAGGGTCTTGCTATGTTACCCACACTGGTCTCGAACTCCCTGCCCTCAAGCAATCCTCCTGCCTCAGCCTCCCAAAGTGCTGGGATCACAGGTAAGAGTTAGCACACCTGGCCCCACCAAACAATTTTAACCTTGTGGAATATACTATGATATAAATAAAAATGCTTATAACAAACTTGAAGGGGAAAAGAAAAGCAAAATACCAGATGCATGGTAATTTTAGCAGTACAAAAATATCAGAAATTAGTGAAATATGCCAGGTTTAATGTTCATCATATCTTTTATTCCATTTAAAGTTGTTTAAGGCTGGGTGAAGTGGCTCATACCTACAATCCCAGCACTTTGGGAGGCCAAGGCGGGTGGACTGCTTGAGCCCGGAAGTTCAAGACCAGCCTGGGCAACATCGTGAAACCCCATGTCGACAAAAAATATAGGCACATGCCTGTAGTCTCAGATACTCAGGAGGCTGAGGTAGGAGGATTGCTGGAGCCTGGGAGGCAGAGACTGCAGTGAGCTGAGATTGCACCACTGCACTCCAGTCTAGGTGATAGAATGAGACCCTGTCTCAAAAAATAAATAAAATAAAGTTATTTAAATGTAAAATACAGTTTCAAAATTTTTTAATTAACATTTTTCTTCACTAACAAATATCTAAAAGCCTGAGTAAAATAGGCTTAGATGTTTTGCCTTTTAGTCAATTTCATACTCTAGCATTTTGAGCCATCCCTTTCAGTTGAGATACATTCTGAGTTTGCTTTGGACATTTTACAGAAACAAAAGGTAATGGAGGTAATCATATATTCCTTAGAGGTGGGTTTCACGTTAGGTCTCTGCTGCCTACTATTGTGTGACCTTGAACAGGTCAATCTGTTTTCTACAATGATGGACTTAAGCTAAAGAATATCTAAGGTTCCTTTCTGCTTATTATGAGCAGAATTGTATTCCTCCAAATCTCACATGTTGAAGTCCTAACTCCCTCAAAATGTGGCTGCCTTCAGAGATGGGGCCTGTAAAGAGGTAATTGAGGCTGTTAGGGTGGACCCGTCTGTGGTGCTTTGTTCTGGAAGCCCTAGCAAACGAATACACTGCTCTAACACTCTGACTCTGCACCTTTTACCATCCGTCCTTTACCCAGAACATGCAAATGTCTGCCACAAGAGGGCCACCCTATACTAAAATTGAATGCCCTGCCACATGGTCCCACCAGGGTGCAGCTTGAAGCCTTTCCACCAAACTGGACCAACTCAAAAGGTAAGTCAGCCATGGAAAGTGACAGCCCAGGAGTAAAAGGGCAGGCAGACCCCTGGCTCCCGGATCCCTACTATCCCTGCTCCCTGTAGCCAGGCCTCTCCATGAGGCCCCAGTCTCTAAAGACGCACCCGTGAAGTATGCTCAGTGCTCCTGGAAGTGATGAGTCTGTAGGAAGGGTCACAGCAGATGGAGAAACACACTCAGAAGCAAGGCTCTCTCTCCAACTAACTGCACACACGCAGTTGACTCTGAAGAGTTGCTGGAAAATGAAGCCTGAGATTCAAACACTATCAAAGAGAGCACTAAGCATCCAACCTGCTTTTCTCAGGGTCTAATTCAGAAACTGAAGCACCAAAAAAAAAAAAAAAAAAAAACAAATTTGTGTGACAGCAAGTGTGTGCCTGGTGCTTTGACTGACAGGCACCGACAAAAGGCAGGATTACCAAATGTAATGCAGGATCCTAAACTGGACCCTAGACTGCAAAAATAAAATCTATAAGGGACATTGTGATGACAATTGATGAAATTTGAATATGGAATGAGGATTGATAAAAATATTGTAACAGAGTTAAAATGTCTAATTTTAAACATTGTATTACGACATGTAAGAAAATGACCTTGGCTGGGTGCTGTGGCTCACCCCTGTAATCCCAGCACTTTGGGAGGTCGAGGCAGGAGGGTTACTTGAGCCCAGGAATCCAAGACCAGCCTGGGCAATATAATGAGACCCTGTCTCTACCCCCAAAAATACAAAAATTGGCCGGGCATGGTGGCACATGTCTGTAGTTCCAGCTACTTGGGAGGCTGAGATGAGAGGATCACTTGAGCCTGGGAGGCAGAGGTTGCCGTGAGCCAAGACTGTGCCACTGCACTCCAGCCTGGGTGACAGAAGGACACTGTGTCTCAAAAGAAAAAAAAAAGAAAGAGAGAAAGGAAAGGAAAGGAAAGGAGGAAGGAAGAAAGGGAAGGGAAGGAAGGAAAGAAAATGACCTCGTTCATAGGAAACTGGTTTGGGGATGAGGCATGATGTCCAACTTACTCTCAATGGTTCAAAAAATAAATAATAGATATGCATTTATGTTGATATAAACATATATAAATAAATACATAAAATAATAAAGCAAATGATTGGTGGATTTAGGTAAGAGGTATAGAAGTTCCTTTTACTCCTCCTGCAACTTTTCCATAAGTTTGAAATTGTAACAAAAGAAAAAGTTACCTCTCAAAATCCCAACACCTCCAGGAAAATTGTGCTGAGAACAGGTGTTTCTTAATGATAGCAAGAAAACGCAAAAATCTTCCTTTGATTCACCAGATGGTATCATGATCTCAGCAACCAGGATTTCATTGACAACCACGGTAGGAGTTTTACACCTACCGAAATGATGGTACGGATTTTCAGAGACATCTGGACTTGCCTTCTCTGCACAGTCTCAGAATGTCCTTGAGACATTGTCGTACCAACTCATCGTCATTCTGGTTATGCATGAAAAGCAGCCCTTCCCATGACCTCAGAAATGCAGAAATGAGTCATTGTCCCAGCAGGTGCCATCCTCAGGACTGCGTTTGGAGAAGTGTCTTTTACAGTTATAATTTCTGTGGCTATAAATCTAGCCATGGTATTCATATTTCTGCCCTATATTTCTCTCTAAGATATCATTAAACAAACCTACCACCACTTTCAAGTTGGGTCAGCCTACATCTGAACCACAGCCCGTTTCCTTCTGGGAATACACTGTCAAGTGGTTTGATATATTACCAAGCCACAGTTGTCCAACTGGCATGCCCACTCTGTCCTAAAAAGAAGGATGTTCCAGCCCTGCTTTGTATCAGTTAGGAGATAGATCCCAAGGAATTGGGCACATGCATCCATGAATATATTTCTTCTTCTTTTTTTTTTTTTTTTTTTTTTTTTTGCAATGGGGTCTTGCTCAGCCCAGGCTGAAGTGCAGTGGTACAATCTCAGCTCACTGCAGCCTCAACCTCCTGGGCTCAAGCGACTCACCCACCTCAGCTGCCAAACTAGCTGGGACTACAGGTGCACACTACCATGCCCAGCTAATTTTTAAACTGTTTCATACACACAGGAGTCTTGCTGTGCTGCTCAGGTGGTCTCGAATTCCTGGCCTCAAGTGATCCTCCTGACTCAGCCTCCCCAGGTATTGGGATTACACGTGTGAGCCACCATGCCCAGCCCATGAATATATTTCTGATAGAAATATACATTCATATATTCATAGATTGAACATACATTTGGGGGCTGGGCATCTGGCTCTCGCCCAGCACTTTGGGAGGCTGAGGCAGGTGGATTGATTGAGCACAGGAATTTGAAACCAGCCTGGGCAACATGGCAAAACCCTGTCGCTATATATAAAAAATAATAATAATAATACAAAAAATTAGCTGAGCATGGTGGTGTGTACCTCTGTAGTCCTAGCTACTCGGGAGGCTGAGGTGGGAGGATAGACTGAGCCTGGCAGGTCAAGGCTGCAGTGAGCCATGATTGTGTCGCTGCACTCCAGCATGGGCCACAGAGCAAAACTCTATCTCAAAAAAAAAGACAAAAATTAAAAAAAGAAACATACATTTGGGCTGTCCATTGTTTTGTAGGTCCAGGTCTACTTTTCTATTAATATCAGTAGGGACTGATTGAACACAAGAGAACATGTTCTATCTTCCAAAGTTCACTAGCTTCCCAGCGTTGACCTGAAATTGGGGGGGACAACAATAGTGCAAGCTATTTTATGAACTATTTTCATATTGTGCATACAGTTTAGGAGTATAGTAAGGTACAGTTTAGGAGTATACTATACATTTTAAGCCCCTCAACGGCCCCTCAGACCTAAACTCCACATGAAGTTTTCTAATGAAATTCTAAAAATAGTCAGTTTACAGAAGTTCGCCATTGTTTAGCAGGGTCTGGCCAAAATTCAAAGAATGACCTATTCCAACCATCTGACTTGTTAGTTCATTTGGTAAGGAGCTACAAGTGATGTGAATATTTCCTGCTATTCCACCCTCTACCACCTGCCTGCTCATGATCAACTCCTACTGACTTCTATGCCTTCATTTATTTGAAATTTATGTCATCAGGCTTTACTTCTCACCCAGCATACATCATCCTTTTCTCCATTTGCCTGTCACCCTCAGCTTTGACACCAATATCTTCCCTACTCCTTTACACCTCCCACCCAACCCCTCATGTATATTAATGTATGCAGGAAGATGTCTAAAGTGGTCTTCAGTTCTACACACCCACGCCCCCATACCCCAAGACACCATTCCAGTTAAGGTCCCCCGCTGTTTACCTGGCAGACCTGCTGTATGAGTATCTTCACTAGACTGCAGCTCTTTGAGGGCAGGGCTGATAGCAATGCTGGGCATCCCTCAGTGGCCATTGTCCACCTGAGGATCTCCCCAGGTGCCCACCCTCCATCCTTCTCCATGCCTCTCTAAAACGCTGAAAGCCTGGCCCTCCCAGACTGCATCACCTCCGGGTGCCTCTCATGTCCTCTAGCTTCCTGTAGGGTTTGGCAAATGGGAGTCACTGTCAGGAGATCAAAAAGACTCCCTTCCTGCTTCCCTTCTGCTCTGGCATAATCTCTCCTCCAAGATCCTTTCCTCCTGCTCCTTTAAAGCCTACAGGTAGTAATAGTTTCCCACTGTTGCTACTACACCATGGGCACTTCACCATGCTTTGTTGATTCATTTGGCTCGTTAGATACTAGGAACGCTGGGAGCTACAAAATCTCATTCAGCAACTAGTTAAAGCTTCTGACACAAAGTGGATGCCCAATAAAATGAATTAAAGAGTGAGTGAATATTAGAGCCAGGAGCTGTAGCATGCACCTGTAATCCCAGCTACTTGAGAGGCTGAGGCGGGAGGATCACTGGAGACCGGGAGTTCAAGGCTGCAGTGAGCAATGATCATTCCTGTGAATAGCCACTGCACCCCATTCTGGGCAACATAGTGAGACCCTGTCTCTAAAAAAAAAATAATAATTAGTGAATATTAGATAGAAACTTGAAATAAAAGATAAAGTTTTTGCATGTTGGGAGGTTTGTCATGAAACTCTTAAATGGGAAAGCTGAATAGTGCTTGGCCAAAGATGGATCATTACAAGGGATCTTACCAGCAGTTCCAGGCCCTCTCATTCCACATTCGCTGATTGGGCTGTTTCAAGGGGCATGGTCAAATTTAGTAGCAGTCCAAAATTGAAATTTACTTTGCTGTCTGCTATGATGGCTAGGTTTACATTGTCTGTCATCATTAGAGGAAATATATAGGGACAGAACAAAAATACATTTATTAAGAAAGAGAACAGTGCACCAGTCAGCAGAAAGACTATAGTTATAAGACACATGAAAAGAAAAAGTTAATTCCTTGGAAAAGAGCTTTCTATTTTAAGAAGATGAACAAAATAAGAGAGGTCCTTAAGTGATAGCTAATGAAGACACTTCCCAGGCATCCTCAATGGCTGTGGCTTTTCAGATGTCAACCGAAAACAAAATCCATTACAAAGCGTAGCATCCAAGTTGGATATGGGTTGCTTATTTTGTTCTGTGGTCAGCCTTTGCTGAACATAGCAGTCTAAACCAGAGCCACAGAGCTGTGAGTGGTCCTTGTCTGTAAAATGCACTTGGACTGTCCTCGGTGACCCTAATTGCATGACTTGGCAAGAACAACAATTAAATAGGATATTTTGGACCAAATTCTCTCAGAGTACATTATTTTCTCAAGGTAACCTGAGTTTTGGGGTGACACACACAGTGTAACCAAAAGTGCCACTTTGCGAGGGTTTGCTAACTGATGTCCTCGTAACCTCCAAAATCAATTTCAGGGCATTGCAGAGTCAACACATCAATGTTCCCCTGCCTGCATTTGGGGCACTTGCTGGCTGAGTCACCTGCAGGAGTGTTCTGGAGTTGCCTCTTAGTAGATCATGAGAGCCAATTGCTAAATTTTCAGGAATTTTGCAAGCTGGTTGACACCTCATCGGTAGCTTGAAATTGGAAACGGTGAGAGTATCTACACCACAAGAATGATAAACACTACAAAGGAAGACATTTCTCTCCTAGAAAGTCAGCTGTTGGCCAAGCATTGTGGCTCATGCCTGTAATCCCTGCACTTTAGGAGGCCGAGATAGGAGGACTGCTTGAGCCCAGGAATTCAAGACCAGCCTAGGCAACATACAGAGACCTCATCTCTACCAAAAAAAAAAAAAAAAAAAAAATTCACCAGGTGTGGTGCCATGCACCTGTAGTCTCTGCTACTCAGGAGGCTGAGGTGGGAGGATCACTAGAGCCCAAGAGGTCAGGGCTGCAGTAAGCTATGATCGCACCATTGCATGCCTGCTCTGGTGACAAAGTGAGACCCCATCTTAAAAAGAAAAAAAAAAGTCAGTTGTTAAACATTTACTAACCTCACATTACCTATGAATAATACCATATCTCTGGTGATGGAAATTTTGGCATTCTTTCCTCAGTCTCATTAAGCTCAAAGAGAGTCTTCCTAAGTGTATTGTTTAACATGGAACCCTAAATTTAAATGCTAAGTTTTAAAAAATTAGACTAGAATTAGAGTATATAGCCTGAGAACATGGTTTGTTTTCATTTCTAGTTGGCTCAAGATGTTTCTGAAAAATAATTTATAATAAATTGCCTTATAAAGTTAAAATGCCTTCCAAAATTTTATAAGTCAATTTCAAAAACTAGGGAAGTCAGCCAGTAAATAAAGAGAGAAAGAGATTTATCTCAAAATAGTTTCAGCACCGCTAGAGGAATCTGTCTCTGTTTCAGTGGAAAAGGAGGCAGTTACTCCTAGCTAATCTCAATATTTTCTTTCCCCTGGAATAATGGCTGACCACTGGCTCTGTTGTTTTTGGCCAACTCCTCTACTGAAACAAAAATTTTGTAACTGCAGTGACCTAACTTGGGAAACAATTTTATAACATTTTCTAGGAACCACAAATCATTTGTTTCATTCTTTCTGAAGACCAACAGTGGCGGTAAGCAGAGAGTGTCTTTTGCCGTGTAACAAAGAAAAAACTTGATAAAGTCAGCAGCCAGAAGAGCATTTCAGTTCAAAGAAGGGTCATCCAGAGCCCATGAAATGTTGTCTTTCACATTAGGAATGAATATGCCTCACACAGCGTCATGACCGACTAAAACCCTGGATCAATCCAACTTGTTATTAGAGCATAAATGGTGACCTTTATTTATCACACAATGAATTTTAAGCTGGGAAGCCAGTTTTAAGAAAAACAGCAGCAACAGTGTTAGCTGCAAAAACATTTTAGAAGAGCTAGGAGAAAATAAAACATTATTGAACTTCTTCATGTGGCTAGAAAAAAAAAACCTTCTGGCATGTGACTCAGATTTCCATTGGGTGAATGCAGACTCATCCAAGTTATGCAACATTATTACTGTTGATAGGTTACAAAAAATCTATCAGCTCATCTATCAGAAAAATCCACCAGCAAAATGCCCTCAAAAGCTTATGAAATATGTACCAGTGAAGATATGCGAAGCAACTTGATATGCTGTTGTAGGACATGTGGTCATGAAAACTATGTCCGCTTAAGTTAAATAGTCTGGATTTAAATCCTTCATGACCCATTAGCTACATGACTTACACAAGACACTGAACCTCTCTAAGCCTCACATGCTTCATGTATAAACTGGACGTGATAGAAGTTCCCAAAAGAGTTGTTGTGAGACTTAAATGTTGTCTGGCATATGGTAAGTGCTTAACAAATATCTGCCTTTATTTTTTGCACATGGTCTATGTTTATTTTAAGCATCCGTCTTAGCTTGAAGTCCCCCAGAAGCCAACTCCGTGGCAAGGATTTGAGTACAAGTAATGTATTTTGGACATGATCCCAGGACACCAGTAGAAGAGTGGGGAAGTGAGATGGGGAAGGGAAAGTAGCCAATGATGGCAGGGTGACCACCATCACCATGGGGGCAACTGGATCTCAACATATCTAAGGGTTCTAGGAGACAGAGTAGAATGCATCACAGAGATATCCCAGGCAAGGGACGCGAAGCTGGGTACTTATCCACCAATCCCCTATCCATCATTGGTTGAGGGCTGCTCCCTACACAGCCCCAACTCCCAATTGTGCAGCACTTGTGGGACAGAAAGTGGCAGATGGTTTAGAGTAAGCAGGCTTTAGCACATAGAGGTGAGTGCTGAGGGGGTACGGGGGTGCAGCACAGCCACTGCTACAGCCCCACATTATTGTTTTCAGGTAATCAAATTAGCTGAAGTACCTCTACATAGTTATTTTAATAGATCAGCTCTCTAGAGATAATAATGTAACAAAACAAAAGAGCTGTGTCTATGCTGGTTTTAATGGCAGTACTAAGACAAGAAATAAATTACCTAACTTAAAAAAATCAGTATGAGAGTTCCCATTAAATCAACACAGAGTTGGGAATAATATATGGAGTTAAAACCATAATTCTGTTTTGAACCTCTTACCACCTCCTGAATATCCATCACCTAAAATTACAGATGTATCTGTTATTTTTCACAGTGCTGTGGAATAGCCAAGACATCATGAAAACGTAAAACATCCCTCTTTTTCCAAAAATCATCAAGCTTTTAGCAGCTGTAATAATAGGCTTCCCCAGTAACTGAAACCAATCAAGTTTTTAGGACAAATAACATTTTAAGACTTTCCCATGCATCCAGACAAAGGTTCAAACACTAAAATGATCATTAACACCTACAAACTGCATTCCCAAGCTGAGAAATGTATCTGTTACATAATCTGATCATTTGTGTTCTTGTCATGTGAAAAGGGGAAAGTCAATATTTTACTAACCTCTCATTCTTGGGCTCTCAATGCAATAGAAATTGACATGAGGACAAAAGAGTTTTCCCAGGCGAGGCTTCAATGGAGCTTATGCCCAGGCAAAAGGGAGGTAGCACAAGAGAAAAAGAGAATTGCCTGACTGACTTTCCAAAAAGAGCAGGTAGGGCTTTTTTTTATTAGGCAAAGCATGAGCATTGACACTGGGGGTAGGGTTTGCGGGCTGGGCTGGACGAAGCACAGGAGAGGTAGGGTATGCAGGTGGCATAACTGGTTGTGATGGTTATCTTGAGTAATGGGCCATCTGATGGTCTGGCCAGCATCAACAAGGCTGTAAATTAATTGTTCAGCATTCCTTCCTTGGTTTGATATTTAGATTTCCTAAGGCCAGTTCCTGGAATTCTTTAAGTAAAAGGCATGGTTAAACATTATGAAGGAGGGGGCCGGGCACGGTGGCTTATGCCTGTAATCCCAACACTTTGAAAGGCCAAGGTGTTAGAGAAGCAGGAGCCTAAGACAGCCAGAGTGAAAACATTTTAAAATCAACTCCATCTTAAAACTAGTGAGGCACACTCTTTTCCAGTCACAACCCATGGTCCTAAGGTGTTTACAACCTAGGAGGCAGCTTGGTAATGCCTGCAAGGGCAAACTCCTACAACAACAGAAAACCTAGATGTCCCAATACCAATAACAAGATATGCTTTCAAGATCATTATACTTATGCTTTGATGTACTTGCACACTAAAATGCCAAAGATAGTTTTCTTTAAATCAACAGAATAATACATTTTGTCATGCTGTCGGCCCACCTGCACATTGGCACAGCTTAGTTTAGTCTTTACATAGACAAGACCCCATATGAGAAAAACTTGAAACAAAAATGGTGTGTTCCTCCTCTTGCTTTCTGAAAATGTGCTACTCTGTGACAGAGTAGCTTCCAATAAACTATCTCGTCTTTCATCACACTTTACCACTTACCTTGAATTCTTTCCTGTGCGAGATCCAAGAATCTCCTCCTGGGGTCTGGATCAAGACCACTGTATTAGTCCATTTTCGCACTGCTATAAAGAACTTCCCAAGGCTGGGTAATTTATAAAGGAAAGAGGCTTAATTGATTTACAGCTTCGAGTGGCTGGGGAGGCATCAGAAAACTTACAATCATGGCAGAAGGGGAAGCAGGCATGTCTTACATTGTGACAGGTGAGAGAGAGGGAGAGCACGTGAGACTGCAAGAAGAACTACCATTTATAAAACCATCAAATCTGATGAGAATTCACTCACTATCATGAGAACAGCATGGAGAAACCGCCGCCATAATCCAATCACGTGGGGATTACTCGTCCTCTCTCAACATGTGGAAATTACAATTAAAGATAAGATTTGGGGCTGGGCGAAGTGGCTCATGCCTGTAATCCCAGCACTTTGTGAGGCCAAGGCAGGTGGATCACCTGAAGACAGGAGTTTGAGACCAGCCTGGACCAACATGTTGAAACCCCGTTTCTACTAAAAATATAAAAATTAGCTGGGTGTGGTGGTGCACACCTGTAGTCCCCACTACTTGGGAGGCTGAGGCAGGAGGATCCCTTGAACCCGGGAGGTGGAGGTTGCTGTGAGCCAAGATCACACCACACTGCATTCCAGCCTGGGCAACAGAGTGAGACTCCATTTAAAAAACAAAAAAAACAAAGAAGAAAGCAGCTCTTTGTTTCAGCTAGGAGCGGTGGCTTACGCCTGTAATCCCAATACTTTGGGAGGCCGAGGTAGGTGGATCTCGAGGTCAGGAGTTCGAGACCAGCCTGGCCAACATGGTGAAACCCTGTCTCTACTAAAAATACAAAAATTAGCCGGGTGTGGTGGCAGGTACCTGTAATCCCAGCTACTTGGGAGGCTGAGGCAGGAGAATTGCTTGAACCTGGGAGGCAGAGGTTGCAGTGAGCTGAGATCATGCCACTGCTGCACTCCAGCCTGTGTGACAGAGCAAGACTCCATCTCAAAAAAAAAAAAAAAAAAAAAGATTTGGGTGGGGACACAGAGCCAAACAATGTCAACTCCTTTTTCCAGTAACAGAGGCAGGAGTATTCCTTGAGTCCGGGAGTTTGAGACTAGTCAGGGCAACATGGTAAGACTTTGTCTCTGTAAAAAATTAAATATAATTAAGGAAAAAATAGTAAAATAAATAAATAAATATATATATGAGGGAGGAAGTCTGTCCCATTCCTATTGTACCTCAATTCCCCCAGAGAGATTTCATCCTTCTTATTCTTAAGGAGACAGGGCCAAAGATCTCATCTTCCGAAGCTGCTTCCTGCTGAACAGGGTTGTCATCCTTGCCTAATTTTGAGGGCACTGAAATCTCTCGCTTACTGTTTTAAAGACCTGTAAAAACTGGGCTCCTCCTGGGATGGTGTGGATTGGAATATTTGGGCCATTATTAGCTTGATTCAGAACTGTTGAAGCCTGGAAGACATAAACTTTAACCATCTGTACCCCTGTTGAATATAACAAATAATCATTTTAAAAATCAAATAGCACCCAATGATAATTAATAAAATGCTTAAGCCCAGTTTAACAATGTTTGTAAAAAGAAATTGGATGGCATTTGGAATCTAAGTGAATTGGTTGGAAAACCAGCCTCCTGCTGTCTAAAACATAAAGCAAGTGGATTTTTAATAAGAGACATGTTTTTTTTCTTTTTCTTTCTTTTTTTTTTTTTTTGAAACAAGGTCTCATTCTGTTGCCAGGCTGGAGTGCAGTGGTGCAATCTCAGCTCACTGCAACCTCTGCCTCACAGGCTCAATCAATTCTTCTGCCTCAGCCTCTCAAGTAGCTGAGATTACAGGCTTATGCCACCATGCCCGGCCAATTTTTTTTTTTTTTTTTTTTTTGTATTTTTAGTAGAGACAGGGGTTTCACCATCTTGGCCAGGTTGGTCTCAAACTCCTGACCTCAGGGGATCTGCCTGCCTCAGCCTCCGACAGTGCTGGGATTACAGTTGTGAGCCACTGCACCCAGCCAATAGAGGCATTTTTATGGAAACGGGGGAAAAACAAATATTAATAGTGGGCATAATCTATCCAGAGAATGTTAGTTTGGAGTTGTAGCCTGGAAAGAATTTAAGATCTAGTCCAAATTGCAGAAAATAATGCAAAAAAAAAAAAAAAAAAAGAAAAACCCTCAAAAACGACAGACAAGGCTAGAATCTAATAGCATGTGTATGATAATGTTTTTCTCTCTAGTCTCTCATTTTTATTAAAAACAAATTATGGTACGATCAATTTATTTACAAAATAAGTTTTAGTCTTACTATTCTTGGCCTGATGATTTGCATAAAGTTTACCAATAATAATTATTTGCCTTACAGGCTCTCTTAAACTGGCTTTGCTGAAACTTTTTACATAAGAAATCTCAGATTCAGACTTGTTAAAGCCTCAAGCCCAGCCACAAATTTATCTGTTCCTGCAAATACCTGTATGAATTGGGTGAATTCCTCTCCTCTGGAGGTCCCAAGATAACTTGGGGTTCTTGGGCCATTAGAAAGTGACATTCTTTTCTCACCAGGTACAGAGACTGCATAGACCGAGTATGATGCCAGTCTTCTCCAAGGGGCTTTTATCAGTTCTTGGAGTCAACCTCAATTTTTAAAAAATCAGTCTAAAAGCATAACATTTCAGTCAAAGCCTTGGTAAAATAACCAGTCTCCAACTGTGTATTTTTACAAAAGAAAACAGATTCTTATACTTATTGTTTTTTGGTGGTGGTAGTTTTGTTTGTTTGTTTGTTTGTTTGTTTTTTAGATGAGGTCTTGCTCTGTCACCCAGGCTGGAGTGCAGTGGTGTGATCATAGCTCACTATAGCCTCAAACTCCTGGGCTCAAGGGGTCCTCCTGCCCTTGCCTCCCAAATAGCTGGGACTACAAGCACATGCCACCACATCAGGCTAGTTTTTAAATTATTTTTTGTAGAGATAGAGTCTCACTATGTTGCCCAGGCTGGTCTCAAACTCTTTGTCTCAAGTGATTCCCCTGCCTTGGCCTCCCAAACTGTTGGGATTATAGGTGTGAGCCACTATGCCAGCCCCATATTTCCCTTTTGCAGCACTTGATCTTGGCTGCATGAATCCAGTTGCTTCTGTGTTTTGCCATGTTTGTTATTCCTTCTCAGCCTCTAGAACGAATCCTCTTAAATATCACATCTTTGAATTACTGGGGTTCCTGGTTGTATTAGTCTGTACTCGCACTGCTATAAAGAAATACCAAGACTGAGTAATCTATAAAGAAAAGAGGTTTAATTGACTCATGGTTCCTTAGGCTGTACAAGAAGCATGGCAGGTTCTGCTTCTGGGGAAGCCTCAGGAAACTCACAATCATGGCAGAAGGAAAGCAGGGGCAAGCACGTTTTACATCACCAGAGCAGGAGCAAGAGAGAGAGTGGGGAGGTGCTTCACACTTTGAAACAAGCAGATCTCATGAGAACTCTATCACGAGAACAGCACCAAAGGGATGGTGCCAAACCATTCACAGTCCAGGCACAGTAGGCTCATGCCTGTAATCCCAGCACTTTGGGAGGCCAAGGAGGGTGAATCACTTGAGGTCGGGAGTTCGAGACCAGCCTGGGAAACATGGTGAAACCCCGTCTGTACTAAAAATACAAAAACTAGCCTGGCGTGGTGGCACACACCTGTAATCCCAGCTACTCAGGAGGCTGAGGCACAAGAATCACTTAAACCCGGGGGGCAGAAGTTGCAGTAAGCCAAGATCGTGCCACTACACTCCAGCCTGGGAAACAGGGCAAGACCCTGTCTCAAAAATAAATAAATTAATTAAATAAAAAGTAAACCACTCATAAAGGATCTACCCTTATGATCCAATCACCTCTCACTAGGTCCCATCTGCAACACTGGGGATTACAATTAGACATGAAATTTGGGTGGGGACATAGATCCAAACCATATCACTAGGAGATCTGTCCCAAGCCCACTTCTCTATTTACCCTCAGAATAGTTCTCAACCTTTCCAGGCCATGAGGTAGTACCACTCGGGATTGCTTTCAGATGCACACAACAGGCTTACCCACATCAGGATTATTTTTCTCTAATTGTTGCCAGGAAAGGGATCCTGACCCAGACACCAAGAGGGGGTTCTTGGACTTTGTGCAGGAAAGAAGTCAAGGCAAGTCACAGAGAACAGTGAGAAGAGAAAGCTTATTAAAAGCCACTTAGTTACAGAGTAGGGTGTCCTCAGAAAGCAAGAGGAGAAATGTCTCATCTTTGTTTTAAATTTTTCTTATATAGGGTCTTACCTATATAAAAGTTAAGCTATATCTACCTGTTGGGGGGCTGACAGTGTCACAAGATTTATTAGTTTGTTGATTTAAAGAAAACTGTTCTTGGCATTTTAGTGCATAAGTACATCAAAGCATGACTATAATCCTTTTTTTTTTTTTTTTTTTGAGACGGAGTTTCACTCTTATCTCCCAGGCTGGAGGGCAATGGCGTGATCTCAGCTCACTGCAACCTCTGCCACCCAGGTTCAAGCTATTCTCCTGCCTTAGCCTCCTGAGTAGATGGAATTACAGGTGCCCATCTGCCCACCACCACACCCGGCTAATTTTTGTATTTTTAGTAGAGATGGGGTTTCACCATGTTGGCCAGGCTGGTCTTAAACTCCTGACCTCAGGTGATCCACCCGCCTCGGCCTCCCAAAGTGCTGGGATTACAGGCGTGAGCCACCGTACCTGGCCAACTACAATCATTTTAAAAGCATGTATTATTATGCAATACCAGGACATCTGGACATTTTTTTCTGTCATAGTTTATCCTTGCAGGCATTGTTAAGCTGTTTCCTCAGCTGTAAACATCATATAACCACAGGTCATGATAGACAAGAAATGTGCCTTGCCAGTTTTACGATGGAGTTGATTTTAAAATGGTGCCACTCTGGCTCTCCTATGCTCCTGCTTCCCTAACATGATGACATGCAGTCCAGAGGTAGGCAGTTCAGGGCGAGTGTGGTGGAGCCTTCAGTCCCAGGTTCATTCCAACTCTTCACTCTGCTGGCTTTAGTATGTGGCTTAGTGCCTGTATTAGGCCATACTTGCATTGCTATAAATACCTTAGACTGGGTAATTTATAAAGAAAAGAAGTTTAGTTGGCTCACGGTTCTGCAGGCTGTACAGGAAGCATGGCACCAGCATCTGCTCGGCTTCTGAGGAGGCCTCAGGGAGTTTTTACTCATGGTAGAAGGCAAAGGGGGAGCTGTCTGGTCACACAGTGAGAGTGGGAGGAAGGCAGAGAGGTGCCACACACTTTTAAATGACCAGATCTCTCAAGAGTTCACTCACTGTCACAAAGACAGCACCAGGGAGAAGGCGCTAAGCCGTTTATGAGTGATCCACACCCACGATCCAATCACCTCCCACCAGGCCCCTCTTCTAACATTGGGGATTACAATTCAACTTGAAATTTAGAGGTGACAACATCCAAACTATATCAGTGCTCAAGCTCACAGATGGCTGCTACCCTTAGGTATCACATCTGTACCTGAAATCACTTGTACATCTACACCACCAATCTTATTCATGTATTTATTCAACAAATATGTATTGACAACCTACCCTGTGCCAACACTCTTCTGGGCCTTGGGATACAGAAGTGAAAAAAATAAAATAAGGCTGGGTGTGACGGCTCACACCTGTAATCCCAGCACTTTGAGAGGCAGAGGCGGGTGGATCACCTGAGGTCAGGAGTTCAAGACCAGCCTGACCAACATGGTGAAACCTCGTCTCTACTAAAAATACAAAAACATTAGCTGGGCATGGTGGCGGGCACCTGTAATCCCAGCTATTCAGGAGGCTGAGGCAGGAGAATTGTTTGAACCCAGGAGGCAGAGGTTGCAGTGAGCCGAGATCACACCATTGCACTCCAGCCTAGGCGACAACAGCAAGACTCTCTCTCAAAAAGAAAAAAAAAGAAGAAAATAAAAATCCCTGATCCCTGTTCTTGTGGAGCTTATATTCAATTGGAGAAAACAGAAAGTAAATAAGATAAATAAGTGAAAAATAGAGTATAATAAGTGGTGATAAGTGTTACAGAGAAAAATAAAGAAAAGGGAACTGGGAGGATGGTGGGGCATCTGGTAATTTTAGACAGGGTGGTCAGAGAAGACCTCACTGAGGAGGTTACATCTGAGTAGAGAACGGAAGGAAGTGATGGGAAAGCCATTTGGATTCTTGAAGAAAGAGCGTTCTAAACATGGGGAAGAATAAATATAATAGGATGTGCCTGGTTTGTTCAAGGAAGGGTGCAGAGGCCATCATGGCAAGAGTGGGGCAGGTGAGGATAGAGTGCGGGTCAGATGAGGTCAGGAAGGGCAACGAGAGGACAGATCCCACGGGATTTCTACAAATCCTCCATAAGGATTTGGCTTCACTGTGAGAGTAAAGGGAAGCCTTTGATAATTTTGGCAAGGAAGTGGCATAAACTGACCTACAACTTAACAGCATGGCTTTCATGGCTGTGCTGAGAATAGCAGAAGCAGAGAGACCAGCCAAGAGACCATTGCAGTAATCCAGTTTAGAGGTGATGGTGAGTTAGACCAGGGTGATAGCAATGGAGGTAATGAGGAGTGATAGAATTCTATATATATTTTGAGGGTAGAACCAACAGAATGTACTGATGTGGGATGTGAAAGAGAAGAGACAAGGATAAAATCTGAAGCTGGAAGGATGAAATTGACATTTACAAGATGGGGAAGACTGGAAGTGAAGCAGATTTGGGGGAAAAATATCAAGATTTCTGTTTTAATTATGAGAAGTTGAGATGTCTATGAAACATCCAAGGGCAAGTGTTGAATAGACAGTTGCATCTACAAGTCAGAAATCTGGAGAGAGGTCAAGGACAGACATAAATTTGGGAACCAACAGCAGAGAGAAGATATTTAAAGTCATGAAACTGAATCAGAAAACTAAGGGAATTAGTGCAGAGAGTAAAGAGAAGAAGTCTAAGAACTTAGTATGCATGGGGACTCTGGAGATCAGCGGTTAGGAGATGAAGAGGAACCAGCAAAGGAGCCTGAAAAGGACCAGATAGGTAGGTGGAAAATCAGGAAGAGTGTGTGGGATTCCGGAAGCCAAGTAAGTAAAGTGTTTCAAAGTGAAGAGAAGATATGACTGACTATGTTGTATGAGATGAGGACTAAGAATTGGCCATTGGATTTAGCAATGTGACGTTCCATGGTCATATGAGTAAAAGCAGTTTCAGGAAAGTGGTGGGGAAGAAACTATGAGGATGAAATGCCAAACTCAACAAGAACAACTAAAATCCATGGAATAAAATTCACAGGGTAGACAAAAAAACAAAAACAAAAATCCTCAATGAAAGAACAATTACTTCAATCAACAACTTCAACAAATATTTAGTGTTTATCATCTATGTGCCAAGTGACATTCGAAAAATTCATTGGCAATTCAGTGATGAAGAAAACAAAGTACCTATACTTATGGAGCAGATATTCTATTAGGGTTAAAGAGACAGTAAACAACTAAACAAATATACAGTGTGTCAGTTGCTGATAAGTGCTTCAAAAATCATACAGAACAGAAAGAGGATAGACAGTGGAGGCAAGTGGGGTGGCAAACTACTTTAGATAAGGTGATCATCAAGGCCTTTCGGATTTATTAGTAGAGAGCTCATCTTATACCAGTTAGAATTGGGATCTTTGAAAAGACCTGTTAAAAATATATAAACATATATATATATATATATACACACACACACACACACACACACACACACATATATATATATACACATATATATACATATATATACACATATATATACATATATATATATACACACATATATATTTCTGATGGCAAGTCTGAGTAAATACAAGAGAAGTCACAATTTAATTATCTTTGGCACAAAGATAATTAAACTACAGTTGCAGATGGCATATTTTTAGCATTAGGGAATAGAAACTATTATGTACAGTATTATGTCCCCCAAATTTAAAATCTACATAAAATGCATGATTTTCTAGAAAAAAAGACAAAGTGCCAAAGTTGACTCAAGAAATAGAAAACTTGAGAAGAACAAAAGAAAATATAAAAATTAGTTTAAGGCTGACTTTGTTAGATTTATGTTTAAGATCAGGTCTAAGGACCTGCTGGTTTCTCAGGCCAATACTATCAAAGCTTTAAGGTACAGGTAAGTCTTGCCTTATATAACTTGTTCAGAGAAAAGGCAAAGAAGGAAATAGTCCCAATTTATTCTTTATTTTGTGTTTTCACAAACACAAAACCAAAATAAAACATAGGCCTTCCTTGTGAAAATAAATGTAAAGATCCTAAGTAAATGACTAATAAACCATATCTAGCAGTAGTTCCAGAGAACACACCTCAAGCCCGAGCAGAATGTATCATAGAAGGCCACAATTGTTTGGCATTAGCGAATCCATTAATATAATTTACTACATTAACAAATTAAAGGAGGGGAACACCTAGTTAATGAAACTAAATACCCACCACTGATGAAAAGTCTTACAAAAATAAGACAAGAAATTTATTTGACATATTAAAGGATATCTGCCAGAAGCCTAACAGAAAGAGCAGAACAGATGATGGAATATTAGATGCTTTTCCACCAAAGTCAGGAACAAGATAAGGATCGCCACCAGTCAGCATTATGCTTCCAAACCTAACCCATGCAATGACAAGAATTAGAAATTAGTTATAAAAATTAGAAACAAAGAAATAGAACTCTCATTTGTTGCTTATATCTCATTCCCATAACGTCTAAGAAAATTAAGAGGAAAAGTATTAGAATTAATGAGGGCTCAGTAAGATGGCTGGCTATAAGACTAATAAACAAAATCAAATGTTTGTCTTTAATAAACAATAATGAATTATAATTAACTAAAAATCACAAAATACCTTGAAATAATCTAATTAAGCCATGCATAGACTCTACATGAAGAAAAGTAGGCCAGGTGCAGTGGCTCATGCCTGTAATCCCAGCACTTTGGGAGGCCGAGGTGGGAGAATCACATCAGCCCAGGAGTTTGAAACCAGCCTGGTCAACAAAGTGAGAACCTGTCTCTACAAAAAATTAAAACAAATTAGCCAGGCATGGTGGTGCATGCCTGTGGTCCCAGCTACATGGGAGGCTGTGGCAGGAGGATCTCTTGAGGCTGCAGTGAGCTGTGTTCGTGCTGTTGCGCTCCAGCCTGGGTGACAGAGTGAGATCCTATCTCACAAAAAAAAAAAAAAAAAAAAAAAGAATAGTACAAAGTTTTACTGAGAGTCACAAAGGAATGCCCAAACAATTACAGAAACATGGCCGGCAGTGGTGGTTCATGCCTGTAATCCCAGCACTGTAGGAGGCCAAGGTGGGCAGATCACCTGAGGTCAGGAGTTGGACACCAGCCTGACCAACATTGTGATGTCCTGTCTCTACTAAAAATAGAAAAATTAGCCAGGCATGGTGGCCCACACCAGTAATCCCAGATACTTGGGAGGCTGAGGCATGAGAATCGCTTGAACCCGGGAGGCAGAGGTTGCAGTAAGCTGAGATTGTGCCACTGCACTCCAGCCTGGGCAACAGAATGAGACCCTGTCTCAAAAAACAAAACAAAATAAACAAACAAAACAATAAGAATTACAGAAACATGCCATGTTCACAGGTGAAAAGAATCAATATTGTAAAGATAATGGATTCCCCACAAATTGATGATTAAAAACTGTGCAATACCAATCAAATACCATCAAGATTTTTAAATAGAACTTCACAAGAAGATTGTCAAATTCATATGAAAGAGAAAATGTATAAGGATAACTAAGGACAATTTTTACAAGAAGAACAAGGGCCCATCAAATATTTAAAATATACAATAGAGCCAGAGTAATGAAAAAGGTGATATTTGTATAAGAATGAAGAAATCAGTGGAGAGAATAGAGCAAGCAATAGACCCATGTTGGTCCATTTCTACATGGGAATGGAATAGATGGTAAAAATGACATTTTATACCAATGGGAAAGGATAAGCTAGTTAGACAAAAAGTTTTGGGGAAAATGGATATATATTTGAGAAAAAATAAAGTTAGGTATCTCACAATATATAAAACTAATTCCAAATGAAATCTTGGTGGTAGAAAGGCTTTCTTAAGCAAAATTTAAAATACAATCATCAGCCGGGTGCAGTGGCTCGTGCCTGTAACCCCAGCACTTTTGGAGGCCAAGGCGAGAGGACTGCTTGAGGCCAGGAATTTGAGACCAGCCTGGGCAACATAGCAAGACTCTACAAAAAAATACAATAGTTAGCTGGGCATGGTGGTGTGTGCCTGTATTCCCAGCTACTTGGGAGACTGAGGTGGAAGGATCTCTTGAACCCAGGAGTTTGAGGATGCAGTGAGTTAATGATCACACCACTGCACTCCAGCTTGGGTGACAGACTGACAGCCTATCTCTAAAAAAGAAAAAATTAAAAATAATAATAAAAAAACACAGGAACACAAAACTATCTATTACTATCTATTGATCTATCTATCTATCGTGTGTGTAAATAAGCAAAACCTGGAAGGACAGACTTTGTTCTGCAC
Organism: Homo sapiens; assembly: GCF_000001405.40. Classification (NCBI taxonomy): domain Eukaryota; kingdom Metazoa; phylum Chordata; class Mammalia; order Primates; family Hominidae; genus Homo; species Homo sapiens. Next base: position 17,556,631 of record NC_000020.11, read on the forward strand.
ATTTTAAACCAGTAGTAGAGCTTAAATTTGGTGAGGAGGGAAAGAATTGCAGGGGAGTGAAGGTGACATTTTTCTACCCAGAGTTTTTTTTTTAATAAGAAGACATTCCCAGATAATTTATATAATTAAATTTTTTAAAACGACCTCTTTATTATTATATAAATATGTGGCAGGAAAATTAATAGGGAACATTTATTTTCTTTCTTAGACATTTTCAACATTTTTTTCCCCTGATAAATCTGTATTTTTTTAATAGCCAGAAAAAATGCACCAAAGTGGTTTCCCTTCTGAAATTATTTTTAATGGTGTTTGGCTCACAGCAGAATGATCCAGGCCCATCCGTGTCCTGGCTCAGGGCCCAGGCTCTCTCCCTGGCAGCCAGCGAGGTGATCTTGCCAGAGCTATCCCAACTGCTGCCTCCCTGGCTGCCAGCATCACCTTGGCTACCTGCAGAGACACTCCTGCCACTGCCTCACTGGTGGGGAGAGCTCCCTCCTGTTGCAACACTGATTAATATAAGATGAGTGGAAAAGCAAAGGGAGGGCAAATACAGAGGGCCAGGCCGTGCAAAGGAGAAGTCCGTTTCTGCAGCATTGATACCAGGTCCCACGTCAATCTCTCTGAATAATCTGGCCCTCGCAGTTTCTCTTTGGAGAAATTTGAGATACGCTTCCCAGCAGCTGGGTCAAAGGGCCTTTGAATACAGCGCCTCATTGCATATCCCTTCCCACCTGCACTGGTGTTGCAGACCATGGGGGGCACCTCATCTCTCCCCTACCTCAAGGGGGCTTCTCTGCAGGAGCTTACAGAATGGCTTTAGCTTTCTCTGCCCCCCTATGTCCCCTACAACGTATTCTAGTGACTCAGTCCTGGGCCCTCCTGGCTCAAGGGAAGTCCATATATCCATGAGTGGTTGTAGGAGGGTTGCCGGCATGACCCAGCTAACTTACTGAATCACCTTTTCAGATTTGGTGCCTTCTTCCAGGTCTCTTGCCTGGGACCTTCATGCGCCTAACAGTCTCTTTTGCTGTTTTATTTGAAGCATAGAATTGTAGCCTGAGTCTTTCCTCAGTTTATTTTGTGATTGATCCTCCTTACCAAGTGTTTATCGTGGTTCCAGTGTGTGTGTTGGGGGGTGATTCTAAAGAACACTGCTTGTGAGTCACGCTGCTCTGTTAATAAACCTGTTATGCAGGAAAACCCAGCTGAAAGGCAGATCCAAGCTGCTCACTCCCAGCTGTTAGTAAGTGGATACAATGGCCTTTTCATTGGGTATGAATTTTAGTCTATTATATTTTCTTTAGAAACTAAAATCAGCTCATGAGAAGTTAAAGTAATGCTGACTTTGTTTCATAAGAAATAAAAACTCGACTCAGGAGGACCCCAGCCATTATTTGTGGCTCACATTCTCTAAACTTCATCTGAAAAGCTGATATTCCAGATTCCTTACATCTCTCCAAGATGGCTAGCATCTTATACACACAAAGATGGGGGGGGGTTTTACTCAGCAAGAAAAATATTTATTTTCCTTTTTTTTTTTAGGAGAAAAATACTTGTCTCTTCAACCTCATTAATTTTTATGATGCGTAAAATTTTTTCATTACATTAGCCAAAAAGACTCTGGACTGAATAAAGTATAGCACCCAAACCATTTAAAATGGCTTCCTGACTGGGAAGACACTGCAGTCATCTCAGGGAAGTTTCTGGCCTTGGGAAAAACAAATGGAACTTTGGCCGTTCAAGAAGGGAAACTCAAGAATCCAGGCCTTGCGTGCTGCTCTTTTTTCTCTGAAAGCTTTTGGAAGTGGAGCCACACTTTATTTACCGAATATGCACTTCTTGTTTCTTGTAACCATGGTGCTTTAGTTGAGTGTGTCTTATGTCAGACTACTACTGAGCCAATATTTATCATTTTAGAAATTTCCATGAGTCATAAAACAAATGTGCAACCCGCTTGCTGTACCTTCTACGGGAGTTTCTTTCCTAGAGTTCTTTAAAGCAAAAAGAAAAAATGCTAAACCTAGAATCCAACACTTGCCGTTTATCAGAACACTTACATACTTTCTCCAGCATGGAGGCTCCTTCTGTGAAATTTGAAAATCCATTCAGCTCACATCCAAGGTGTGCTGCCTGCTGCCTGAGGTACCCTGCCTACCCAGGACTCCAAAACCCTCTCCAGAGGGCCAGGTCTGGGCTGAGAAAGAAAGGAGGCTTTAGAGGTTTGCAGAGAGGAAGTGACTCACTGGCTCAAGGGGTGGGAGGGAAGGCTTTCCACAGGATAGAGAATATAAATGAGCAAGCAATTCCTTCCACTTCCAGCATGGAAAATTTTACTAGGGGACCACCTCTTAATGACTGGGCCTGAATTTAGTGACCACTCACCTCCACTCCCCCTTCCAAAAAGAAGAGTAAAGAAAAAAAAAAAAGCAGGACCAATTGCAAGATGTGATGTTGTTTGCCTCATTTACACGTAAGGATGTTGAAGCTAATGCTGTTTGATCTCTTGTGTCAATCAGCTCCCTTTGCCCAGACATGGATAGTTGGGAGAACCACATTAAGTCTACAATCTAGAAAACTACAGCAATTTATTGCTTTTGCCATTAAAAAACAACAACAACAACAACAACAAAAACAAGTCCTCTAGAGCCCTGTTTTGTCTAGAGCCCAAGGCCTAGAGTTTATAAATCAAAATTTAAGAGACTGCGTTAGTATTACTAGAACAGGATACTTCACGAATTGCTAAGACTGTGCCAGGCACTCAGTATCTCTTCTGTGGAGTGCAAGCATCACCTTTTAGAGTTAAAAGGGTCAAATTAGTCAACATCTTGAGTTTACAGGTGAGGACAAGGAGTCCCAAAGGGGTGCACCTTGCAGAGGTCCTATGGCTACTTAACAGTAGGGCTAGGCAAGACTAGAATTTGTGTCATCCAGAGCACGAGTCCCCACCCCTGGGCCATGAACCAGTATTGGTCTGTGGCCTGTTAGGAATGCGGCGAGTGAGCATGACCACCTGAGCTCCACCTCCTGTCAGATCAGCGGCGGCATTAGATTCTCATAGGAGTGGGAACCCTATTGTGGACTGTGCATGCAATGAATCTAGGTTGCACGCTCCTTGTGAGAATCTAACTAATGCCAGATGATCTGAGATGGAACAGTTTCATCCTGAAACCAATCCCCCGCCAACCATCCCCCTGCCACCCCGTCTGTGGAAAAATTGTCTTCCACAAAACCAGTCCTTGATGCCAAAAATGTTGGGGACCTCTTATCTAGAGTCAAATACCTCACCGAAGGACTGGCAGTGGAAATATTGGAGCAAAACAGTTACAGTAAAAGGCACTCAAATTTCAAATCATGACCATTGGCCTTTGGCTATCTGTTTTTGGTGTTTGTTTTCCTTGAATACAACTCAGAGTTCCCTCATCAGGAAGAGCTGGGTTTCTTTGGCTGAACCATCATTTGACATCCCTCCTGCTACCCCCGAGAAGACAGGAAAATTAGGAGGTAAGCCAGAGCAGACCCCAAAGAAAATAAAAAAACAGGGAGGAAACCCATTACATATCTACATCTATCTTATGTATCTTGGTCCATAGGGTCTAATTTTTTTTGGTAGGACATCAGGCATTCTCTTCCTCCAAATATCCAACTTTGAATAAACCCTCCAGCCATCTCTTCCATATTCATATTTGCCAACATAAGTGACGAATGATGTCATTAACAAACACTCACTTCCTTCCTCTGTGGATGCTCCACTCATCAAAGATCCAGTAACATCTCCCTGGTGTGATCTGCTGCACCAGGTAGGATCCTGAGAATTCCCAAGGGAACTTGGGCCAAGTTTATCTTGGCATTTCTGTTTTCACTTGTGATCTCCTTATTCATCTTCATATTCCTGGTAGCTAACATGGCCGCAGCTGGCACACAGTAGGACCTCAGGAAACATCCTCAAATCTAAATGAAAAAATGTTCAGTTAGATTTGACAGTGGCTTCCCATTGTGAATATAAACAAGTTGCCCACCTGCATGCACTGGTATCACCTCCATATCCCAGCAGGGCTTCAGCACTGCCCTGACATTACCTGGCAGCCTCTGGGGTGGGCGCTTTGCTGGTTCTGAGTTTTTCCTGCCCTGTAGTTGCAGCGGGTGAGGCAGAAGTCTGCAGGGAATAATGGGACGAGCTGGGGAAAAATGAGTCCCAACCAGAGAGCTTGCCACAACCAGCCCATTGCTGTCTGTGACATGCTTTTTCCTCCTCTGACTGTCACTTTCCTCCCTTTCTTAACCACCGTGTGAAACAGTCCTTTCATTTTTTCTAAAGTGACTTATTCTGAGCTTTTAGAAAAACTCTCTTGTTTTTACATGTTAAGGTTTACTGTGAAATTTCTAGTCTCTTCATTCCTATCCTTCATGATTTTATGACTTGTGATTACACTCAATCCTACATGCTGAAGAGTCTGAACTCATTTCATCTATCCTTAAAAAAATGCTTGATTTCCTTGTTTTCCCCTTTCTGAATATTTTGTGGTTCATTTTTCTTTCTCCGGAAGTACAACAACCGGATCAGAAGTGTAAAAAGAATGTATCATGGAGGTTGGGCATGGTGGCTCATGCCTGTAATCCCAGCACTTTGGGAAGCCAAGGCAGGCAGATCACGAGGTGAGGAGATGGAGGCCATCCTGGCTAACACAGTGAAACCCCGTCTGTACTAAAAATACAAAAAAATTAGCTGGGCGTAGTAGTGGGTGCCTGTAATCCCAGCTACTCGGGAGGCTGAGGCAGGAGAATCGCTTGGACCCGGGAGGTAGAGGTTGCAGCGAGCCCAGATCGCACCACTGCACTCCAGCCCAGGCAACAGAGCGAAACTCCGCCTCAAAGAAAAAAAAAAAAAGAATGTATCATGCTTATGAAAAATGGAAGACAACTTGGAGAGATCCCCAGGATATAGTGCTGAATGAATGAATAAAAACAGGCTGCATTTCTGCATGTATTGTTCAGACCGTTTGTGTTTTACAAAATGCTATATTTTATAAAGTTCTGAAAGGCTCTGTGTTGATGAGAGGTGTGATGCCCACTCTGACCTTGATGTGTGTATGTGTGTATGCAAGGAACCGTGGGACTGTTCATTTATCCTTGCACTGGATTTGCTTTTTAGAACATTTCCCAAAAACTTTCTTGAAATATTTAATTTATTAGATGGGCTTCAGGGCAGTTCATGAGCTCCCTAAGGTTATAGGCCAAGCTTTGTGAGTAGAAACAAATGTCCGTCTTTCTAGAGAGAGGTTTTATACTTTTTTTTAATTTGTTTTGTTTTGAGATGGAGTCTTACACTGTCACCCAGGCTGGAGTATGACGGCGCGATCTCGGCTCACTGCAACCTCTGCCTCCTGGGTTCATGCGATTATCCTGCCTCAGCTTCCCAAGTAGCTGGGATTACAAGCGCACACTACCACATCTGGCTAATTTTTTGTATTTTTAGTAGAGATGGGGTTTCACTATGTTGGCCAGACTGGTCTCGAACTCCTGACCTCGTGATCGGTCCGCCTCGGTCTCCCAAAGTGCTGGGATTAGAGGCATGAGCCACCGCGCCCGGAGGATTTATACTTTTTATAAGAATCCCAGGCCGGGAGCGATGGCTCACGCCTGTAATCCCAGCACTTTGGAGGCCAAGGCAGGCGGTCACAAGGTCAGGAGTTTTGAGACCAGCCTGGCCAGCATGGTGAAACCCCATCTCTACTAAAAAATACAAAAACTTAGCCAGGCGTGGTGGCACGCACCTGTAATCCCAGCTACTCGGGAGGCTGAGGCAAGAGAATTGCTTAAGCCTGGGAGGTGGAGGTTGCAGTGAGCCAAGATCACGCCACTGCACTCCAGCCTGGGCAACAGAGTGAGACTCTGTCTCAAAAAAAAAAAAAAAAAAAAAAAAAAGAATCCCAAAGGGAATATATATGGCCTAAGAGGGACTAAGAACCACTGGTTGAGATAATTGTACTACTTTGTACTCCATTTTCTCACTGTTTAACTCAAGAAGCATGCTATTATCTGAAAAACATACATAATTGGTCAACCTTTAATGTTATAAAATAGTGGTATATGATTTTTACTCTACCATAACGACTAATAGAGAAATCAATAATGTCACCATGTGGTACTGTATCCTTCCCACAAATATACTTAAACATATTTAGCCTTTTCCTAAAATAGATGCCAGGGCCCTTGGGGCTGTCTGATCCATCAGCACCAGGCTATGGGCAGTAAGGAATGTTCAGAATGTATTTTCTACAGCTTCTATTTGTTTTACTTTGCCAATTAACCTCCTCTGTGGTGTTAAGCAAGCAACAAGACATACCTCATTTCTCTTGTTCAGCCTCACTCACAAGTGCTGTGTCATGCGGCCTGTTGGTAAAGGGCTTGGGATCAGATCCTGTACTCCTCTGGGCTCCCAAGGAACGTCTCTTCACCTTACCCCATCTGTGGGATGAGGCCAGTGATAATATCTAACTGTGGCAGTCACTACTGGTTATCTCCCAATATCCATTTTCTCCTTCTTCCTTAGTAAAGGAACAATAGTGTCTTAGCTGAGCACACTGCTAGTCAGAGAACAGACCATGTTTCCCAGCTTCCCTTGCAGCCATATGACTAAGTTCTGGTCAATGAGATAAAAGGAGAAATCCTATATAGTACAGGGTATGTGGTCTAGAAATATGGTATATGTTTCTGGAACCCACCCTCCCTCCCTCCCTCCCTTCCTACCTTTCCTTCCTCCCTCCCTCCCTTCCTTCCTTCCTTTCTGACAGAGTCTCGTGCTGTTGCCTCCCAGGTCAAACAATTTTCCTGCCTCAGCCTCCGGAGTAGCTAGGACTACAGGCACATGCCCAGCTAATTTTTGTATTTTTACTAGAGACAGGGTTTCACCATGTTGGACAGGCTGGTCTCGAACTTCTGACCTCAGGTGATCCACCCTCCCCAGCCTCCCAAAGTGCTGGAATTACAGGTGTGAGTCACCTCCTCCCCACCACCCCACCAGTTTCTGGGATCTTTCTATAAAAAAGTGGATGCTTATGCTGGGCAACATAGGGAGATCTTGTTTCCACACACGAAATATTTAAAAATTAGCTGGGGGCAGTGGTGTGCACCTGTGGTCCTAGCTACTTGACAGGCTGAGGTGGGAAGATTGCTTGAGCCTAGGAGGTTGAGGCTGAAGTGAGCGGTGATCGTGCCACTGTAACTCCAGCCTGGGTGATAGAGCGAGACCGTGTCTAAAAAAAAAAAAAAAAAAAAAAGAGGATACCCTTTTTATCTTTTTTCCTCCTTCTTACTGCCTAAAATGTGGAAGTAATAGCTGGTACTCTAGCAGTCATCCTGGACTGTGAGGTAACCTTAGAAAGACAATCTATGCACAACAAAGCAACAGTATAGAAATTGGGGCCAGGTGTGGTGGCTCATGCCTGTAATTCCAATACTTTGGGAGGCGGAGGCAGGAGGATCACTTGAGTCCAAGCGTTCCAGACCAGGCTGGGCAACATGGCAAGACTCTGTCTTTACATACACAGACACACACACACACACAGACACAGACACACACACAAATTAGCTGGGCATGGTGGTGGTGTGAGCTTGTGGTCCCAGCTACTCAAGAGGCTGAGATTGGAGGATTGCTTGAGCCCAGGAGGTCAAGGCTGCAGTGAGCCGTGTTTGTACAACTGCACTCCAGCCTGGGTGAGAGTGAGAACCTGGCTAAAAAAAAAAAAAAAAATGAAGAAATTGGGTTTTGAGCACCATCAAGTCAATATAACAAATCTGAATTGTTTGGCACTGTACTTCTATGTGTGAAGTAAACCATATACACATACACACACACGTAATAAAGCCTTAAGCCCTTATTTTGTAAGTCTTTGTTACTTGTAACTAAACACAACCCTTACTAAACTACCACTTCTTTGATTCATTTAAACTACTACTTCTTCTTCTTCTTTTTTTTTGAGAAGGAGTCTTGCTCTGTCACCCAGGCTAGAGTGCAGTGGCGCCATCTTCGCTCACTGCAACCTCCGCCTCCCGGGTTCAAGCGATTCTCCTGACTCAGCCACCTGAGTAGCTGGAATTATAGGCACCCACTACCGCGTCCGGCTAATTTTTGTATTTTTAGTAGAGACGGGGTTTCACCATGTTAGTCAGGCTGGTCCTGAACTCCTGACCTTAGGTGATCTGCCCATCTCAGCCTCCCAAAGTGCTGGGATTACAGGTGTGAGCCACCATGTCCGGCAAAATGCACAAATCTTAAGTTTTGACAAATGTGTATACCCATGTAACTTTTTTTTTTTTTTTGAGATGGAGTCTCACTCTGTTGCCCAGGCTGGAGTGCAGTGGTGTGATCTTGGCTCACTGCAACCTCTGCCTCCTGTATACCCATGTAACTTGAACCCCTAACAAAGTAAGAAAAAAAAAATGACCATCACCCCTGAAAGCTCTGTCAGACCCCTCTGCAGTCAATCTCCACTCCCACCCTATTTAACACTTATTCTGATTTTTTTCACTATAGTTTTGCCTGTTCTAAAATTCCTCAAACTTTGAATAAACTGTCAGTGGAGAGTAAGTAGATGAGATTGTCAACTACTGTAGGAGGGATTATAAATTGGTATATCCTTTTTAGAAGGCTATCTGGCAATATGTAATTAGTGAAATAAAATTTATGCATTCCTTTTGACTTAGTAATTTTATGGGAGGAATTTTCTGAGAAGTCTACCAGCTCATGTATGCAAAGAAGCCAGTCCCAAGGCTGTTCACTGAAGAACCGTTTGTGAAAGCAAAGGATTGGAAATATCCTAAATGCCCATCAGTAGGGGAAAAGTTAAATGAATGAACAGTCACACCTTGCAGCAATTATAAGAAATGATTTATTGATAATGGCAAGATTGCCAGGACAATCATTAACTGCACAAAAGCAAGTTACAAGATGCTACATAACCAACATAAAACCATTACACAGAACACCAATAAAAACGAAACACAAAACATATGCCCAAGGTCTATTTCTGTTAGTCCATACAGCAAACTGACATCAGTGGTTACCTCTGAGGAGAGGACTGGGATTATGGGAAAAGAGAGAAGGTGCTCAAAGGGGTTTTTCCTTTGTTGTATTGTTTGAATCTTTTACAATAAAACTACACTTGTGTCTTAGAGGATTAAGTTATTTTTAAAAGAGACTACTGACGGCCGGGCATGGTGGTTCACGCCTGTAATCCCAGCGCTATGGGAGGCCGAGGCGGGCGGATCACTTGAGGCCAGGAGTTCGAGACCAGCCTGGCCAACATGGTGAAACCCCATCTCTATTAAAAGTACAAAAATTAGTTGGGCATGGTGGCAGATGCCTGTAATCCCAGCTACTCGGGAGGCTGAGGCAAGATAATCGCTTGAACTCAGGAGGCGGAGGTTGCAGTGAGCTGACATCCTGCCACTGTACTCCAGCCTGGGTGACAGAGCAAGACTCCGTCTCAAAAAAAAAAAAAAAAAAAAAAAGACTACTGACATAAATAGGGATAGGAGATAGGAAATAGGTGAATTTGTGGAGAGGGAGGAGTTAAAAGTTTTTTTCTATGCTGTATATTGACAGTGTTATGTCTCCCAGCAAAGGAGCTTTCCCCAGCCTATCTATTAATACACATCTCTCTTCAGGCTCCTCGTTAATGTATCATTTCTTCTTCCCTGCCGCTTATATTAATGGTTTTAAATTCAAGTGCCTATATGTTCACAGATTAAGTATGCAAAATGTTTTCTAAACGAAATTGAAATATACCAATCTCATATTTAAGGAGAGACCTTATGTGTCTTAGTCTGTTCAGGCTGCTATAGCAGAATACCATAAACTGGGTGGCTTACAAACAACAGCAATTTACTTCTCATAGTTCTGGAGGCTGTGAAGTCCAAGATCAAGTCACCAGCAGATTCAGTGTCTGGTGAGAGCCCACTTCCTGGTTCATAGATGAACCTTTTTGCTGTGTTCTCACAATGGTGGAAGTGGCAAGCAGTAGTCTAGGACCTCTTTTTTTTTGAGACACAGTCTCGCTCTGTTGCCCAGGATGGAGTGCAGTGGCACGATCTCAGCTCACTGCAGCCCCTGCCTCCTGGGTTCAAGCAATTCCCTGCCTCAGCCTCCTGAATAGCTGAGATTACAGGTGCCTGCCACCACGCCTGGCTGATTTTTGTATTTTTAGTAGAGACGGGGTTTCACCATCTTGGCCAGCCTGGTCTTGAACTCCTGACCTCGTGATCCACCTGCCTCAGCCCCCTAAAGTGCTGGGATTACAGGTGTGAGCCACGGTGCCCGGCCTAGGACCTCTTTTATAAGGGCACTAATCCTATTAAAGGGGGCTCTGCTCTCATGGCCTAATCGCTGTCCAAAGGCCCCAACTTCAAATACCATCACATTGGGGATTACCTTTCAGCTTCCGGAGGGCATAAATCTTTATTAGTCTATAGCATTGTATGAAAACTCTTTCCCTCCGTGTGGAGAGGAGGAATGTCAATGTCTAGAAAAGCTGGGTGTTAAATGCAGAGGCTGAAGTTCAGTGGGACCTAAAAAAAATGGGGGCTCATCTTAAGTTATGATAAACTGATATATAAGTTTGATAAATTGTAAAACATCTTCAGATACTGGTTCACTTATTCAATACTTATTAAACACCTACTATGTATCAGGGGCTATGCCAGTTCATACATACGCATCTTAAATACCCCATGACCTCAAGGAACTCCCAGCTATCTGGTAGTAATGGAAAATGCACATAAATAATTACAGAGCTACAGTAATTGTAGGGAAAAAACCATGAAACCTCCTAACTCAAAGTATAGCATCTGCATCTCCTGGGGCCATCTAAGACTCCACCCCTCAACCCCGGAATCTGCAGTTTAACAAGGATCTCAGGTGATTTGGATCTTTATTAAGATTTGAGAGGTGGCCGGGCGCTCGGTGTCTAAGGCCTGTAATCTCAGCACTTTGGGAGGCCAAGGTGGCCAGATCACCTGAGGTCGGGAGTTCAAGACCAGCCTGACCAACACGGAGAAACCTTATCTCTACTAAAAATACAAAATTAGCCGGGTGTGGTGGCGCATGCCTGTAATCCCAGCTACTCGGGAGGTTGAGGCAGGAGAATCGCTTGAACCCGAGAGGCGGAGGTTGCAGTGACCCGAGATCGCACCATTGCACTACAGTCTGGGCAACAAGAGTGAAACTCAGTCTCAAAAAAAAAAAAAAAAGATTTGAGAAGTGATGAACTCTGGGATTATAGAAGGAACTAGGGGGGTGAAGGAGTTGTAAGGGGTACGGGGCACGAAAAAAAAAAAAAGAAGGAACTACTATTGATCCTTGGGAAGTGGTAAGAGAAGTCTTCAGATGCGAAGGGTGATAGGAACATCCCAGGCTGAAAAAATAAGCAGGCCCATGATCAAGGTAGTTAGAACTAGTAAGAGGTGTTCTGGAATGAGAAGTTTCGTCTGGGAGGGGCAGTGGGCACTTAGGAAGATATGGGAGATAGGGCAGAAAAAGTAGGCTGAGGCCAGAGGCAGACGGGCCAGACTGACCTGCTGAGGGTTATGGAGGAAGCCACAGCAAATTTTAAGCAAGAATGTAACAAGACCAGTCTTATGTTTGGACCTAACTCTGGTGGCAGAGTGGAGGACGAAATGCAGGAGAGGCTGGAGCAAGCAGGCAGGCATGTATCCTTAAATGAGCACCATTCACTTTTGGACTAGAAAGGAAGTCTGAATATTAAGAAGTGTAAGGGCCACAGGGTCCTAGGCAGGCAGAAAAGCAAAGGGTTCCAGCTGCAGGAGGATACAGGGGGGTTCCTTCTCAGTTCAGGAGTGTGGTCTCGGACTGGCATCTTCAGCATCACCTAGGAGTTGTTAGAAATGCCCATTCTCAAGCATCATCTTAGAAGCAGTGAGGGAACCTTGGGGATGGGGCACACAAATCTAGCTTTGAACAACTTTTCCAGGTGATTCTGATGCATGCTAAAGAACCACTGCTCTAGCCCGCCAAAAATCATGTCTCAGGTGGTAAAGGCTTAGAACTGCACAACTTACTGTCTTTTTTAAAAAGAACGAGGGTAATGAGAAATGGGTTCCTATGTTGAGTGGGGCAGAACAAAAGCCACATACAACCTAGATTTTACGTAGTGCCGGAAAAAAAAATACTGACCATCTTGTCCAAAAGTCTCATATTTGGAGAATTAAAATAGTTTTGGTCGAGGCCATGATGTTCTCGGTAACCTAAATTAATTTATAAAATTCTTTGTTCCCTTTATTTCCCACAAAAACACCCGCAGCAAAAACGCTGGGATTCATCTGGGCCCTCTGAAAACCGTGTTTCCGACGCAACCGCCCATTAGAAAAACACAATTCCAAATTAAAAACCCGGAGAACTGAGCGGCGGGGCTGGCGCCACCGTCCCGGGACAGCGCGGCCTTTCCCAGCCACACCCCTGCGCGCCGCCGGCCTCCTTCCCCGGCAGTTCCCAAAGATAAATAAATGCTCCTTGTTTTTCCAGACCTGAAATTAACGGTGACTCACAGAGCACTCTGCATGGCCACGGTCGCCTCGGGAAGGAGGAAAAATGTGCAGACTTTTTTCCCCTCACGCGAGGGCAGGACAAGCCAGACTGGGCCAATCAGGGGAGGGCGGCGGGAATCGCACCAAAGTAGGTAAAAAATGCGGGAGGCGTCCCCGCTGCCGCGGCCCGCGACTCCGCTCCCGTGGGTCCTCCCCCAGTGCGTTCCCCCTCCTCGGGCCCTGCCCTCCCAACCCCCAACATCTCTCTCCTTCCACCACTGTGTCCCTCTCCCTCACCTCTCCCCTTGCCCCCACCTCCCCCACTAAGTGCCCCCTCGCCCCTCCCCCCACATCCCCCTCCTCTCCCCACACTGTCCCCTCTCCCTCACCTCTTCCCTCCCCTCTCCATCCTCCTCCTCCCCCAACTATGTGCCCCTCGCCTCTCCCCTCCAAATCCCCCTCCTTCCCACACTCTGTACCCCTCTCCCCCGGCTCTCCCCTCCTTTTCCCCTCCACGGCCTCGCCCCGCCCCAGCGGCAGGCACACCTGGCCAGGTGGCTGCCTCCCCGCGCGGGCCATGCCTGCACAGTGGGTGGGGCGTCAGGTGGCCCCGCCGAGGAGGCGAAGGAAGGCCACCCCTCCCCCATCATCTTTTGCCCGCCCCTCGCCAGCAGGAGCCAGCCCAGTCCGCCTTCTAGCCTCCTGCAGACCAGAGAGGACGCACCCCCACCCCTAAACACTTTCTGGTGAGGCGGACCCTGCCCCGCAGCCTTCAGCAGATGAGGGAAGCTCCCCTCCGAGACTCTGGATAGCCGCCGGGGGGGCGTTGCCTGGCCGGCTGGTTGCGTAGCAACGGCAGGCGGTGCGTGACGTGCGCAGCCGCGTTCCGTCCTGAGGCGCGCCCGCCCCGGGGTAAGCTCGCGCCGCCGCGTCAGCTCAGCGCTGGGTCTCTCGGTCCCGCAGCCGTGAGGAGGACGGTCTGCATACTCGCTGCCCGCCGGCTCCCTCCCCCGCGTCCCTGCGACCGCCGCGGCGAAGATGGTGAGTAGGAGGGAGGCCGAGGCGTGGGCCGAGGCGGCCGGGAGCAGTGTGTCTCTGGGGCGCCGCGGAGTCGGGGCTAAGGGGGTGAGCCGTGCCTCAGCCCGGGGAGGGACCCGGTCCGGCTGCAGTGTCCGGGCTGCGGGTGAGGGGGGGTCTCTGGGCCTCCGTCTCCCGCCGTCCTGGCTGGGCCCCCGCGCCCCGGGGTGGATCCGCGGCTGTTGCGCAGCTCCCAGCTGGGGCGAGGCCGCCGCCCTGAGCGTGGCCTCTGCGGGTGTCTCCAGACCCGGCCTTGCAACAACTGGCTGGGGTCGAGCGCCCCCACCCGCTCTGTGAAATCCATCCGGGGGTCTGCACACCGAGGCCGGGGAGTGGGGGGCGGGGGGCGTCGGAATCCGGCCACCGTCCTTGTTGGCGTGGGTTTCCCCAGAGCTGGCGCTGAGGCGCTTGGTGACTTGTGCGCGTTCCAGCCCTTGAGGTCTGTCCATCTCAATAAGGAAGATAAAGCCTTTATGGAACAGTCCTAGAGCACGGAATGATCGCTAACGAGCAGGATCCTGGCATGATTTAGAACGGGGTGGCCTTGCAGCTCCTTTGTTTTTTTCTTTTTATCTGGCAATCGGCTTCCAGCAGCACTCTCGTCGTGCTTGTCAAGCTTGGCAGTGTCTGTTTTAACCCTTCCCTGCCCGATCTGTCCGTGTATGGTTAGAATTTTTTTTCTGACCTGTAGACAGTTGGACTCTGCCAGAACTTGGTGCGCAAGGTGTGGGCATGATGCTGGGATGCTGATACAACCAAATTTAAGAGCTTTAAAAACCATTAAAATACTGGAGTCACCAGAAAGTAAACAGGTGCTCATTAGTATATTCTATATGATGGACATTTTGCTTAATTTACATATTTTCCCCCTTTACACTGTCACTCTAATTAGCTATTTAAAAACGTATTCTCAACTGAACTATCAGTTGGAACATTTTGTCGTTTTCGTTAGTGTGCACACACTGTTACCATTTTTGGTCAGTGATTTGCAGGCGTAGCCTTACCAGACTTTGCTAGAAATATTACACTGTAATTGCATCTGTCTAGAAGCAGTTGGTACCAGCTTATCTGCATACAAACTGTTTTCACTGTATAACAGTTTTGGTTTTCTTAAGTTACTACAACTTCCGTGAACATGCAGGCGGCCCCTTAGTGAAAGAAAAGATAAACCGGTAGTTTCTTGATGACTGTAGATATGTATGTAATAGGGATTTGATACTGTTCAGTTTTTGGTTCTTCTTTGGTTTAATGCTGTAAGCTACAAAGTATCAGCATCTTGAGTCTTTTTAATATCTAATTATTAGAAATTTAATAACATTTTAAATGTATATGCTACTTTATACTGAAAGACTTAATCTAGGGGCTTTGAGTTATGGTACGCTTAAGACCATTCACTCTGTGAAAGTGCTTTGAAGCTGACTAGGGTCTGCTCTAGAGACTTCTGATTTGACATTATGCTTTTTTATTGAGTGGCTAATACAGACTTTATTTTTCTGTTTGAAAATAAGAGACCAAACATTTTACCTTTAGTTAAATGCTTAGTTTTAGTTAAAGCTTAACTAAATTCAAGGAAGGAAGGGTCTGTTATATTTCCTGGTTCTTGTGAGGAGTGGGAGAAATAAAAATTAGAAATGAGCGATTTCCAAATACGCTTCAAAATTGTTGGCTTTAGGGAGATCAAGAAGACCTTACAAGTTACTCTTAGAGTTCAGATTATAGACCCCCCATTTTTAAAGGTTATTTTTGTTTTTAGCCTTATGAGCGCAGGAGCATCTTTGTTTAGTTCAGTGATTAGAGAATATTGTGGGTATTATCCCAGAGTCTAGCACTTTGCTTTTAGCTCTTTTGGTTAGATGCTTGGTTCCAAGTTTCTTTTAAGATTAAATTTTAACTACCGATGGGTTTGTTCTAAATTAGCAGAATCACTTCCTTGTACTCACCAAGTCTTTTAGAAGCACCTGAAATAAAGCAGTTTGAAACCAGCTGGGCGCTTCAGGATGAGATTAGATGTTTTCAGATGTCTCCTCCAACAAAAAACAAACAACGTCTGCCTCCACGTGAACCACAATTACAGACCCCAAACAAAACGTGTGTGTGTGTGTACTGGGTGTGCCAGCCTCCTTATACAGAGATTGTTTAGTAGCCCATCATCAAGTTACTAAGGTTATTTGCTCAGTAGTTCTACTGGATATGGATTGAGACATCACACCTAGACTTGCCTAGCTCCTCTTGTAACCAGAGTATCTTTTATGCTTCTTGGAAAGTAAGAGTGTAGTCTTGCCCCTGAAGTAGAGTTAAAAGGTTTGCACGATAATCTAACCCTTAACCTTATCCTAATCTGGACTGTGGTCTCACAGACTGAACTAATTGGCGCAGTATTCAAGTATTCTAATACTTGGTGATTAGCAAAAACACTACAACCCAGTGAAATAGGTTGGGCATGTATTCACATGCCTATTTAACATATGAGAAAACAGATTGTAAAGGATTAATTGACTTGAGACAAATCACCTTTTCCAACTCCAAGTTTTAAAATAATAATTTTGAAACATTTTAAGCAGAAAAGTACACAGAATAACAGATCCTTTTGTACAGGAAAAACAGGGCTATCTTATTGCCATATTTCAGGTTTTTATGTTATCATTACAGCTAAATATGCATCATCTTCCTCATCCCACTCCCTTCCCTCCCTAGAGTTATAACCATTCCTGTGTCAAAGACATAATATCCTGGCTGGTTAAGGAGATGATTTTATTCAGGCTATTGCAATTAGGAGAGCATTCCTGATTGCCTTATTTGAAAATATGCAACAGGCCAGTTCTTTGCAGTTACCTGTTTCCCAGAACACAAAACGGTGGGGTGGATTAACCATCACTGCTTTCTGAGAACACAGAGCTCAGGTAAAGTTCACAGTAGTCACCTGAAATTGATATTCATTGATAGTTCCATACTTTTAGCTACTTAATCATTCATATGTATTGCCTTGATGTGCTTTTAAAACTTACGTAAATACTGTGCTTCATGTATCCTTTTGCAGCTCTGTGAGAAAAAATTAAACTTTGTGGGGGTGGTTTTTTTTTTCCCAGGGGAGGGCAGCTTTTGGATTTATTTGTAGCTTTGGTTCTTCAACTGCTGAATTGTGTTCTTTTGTATGATTGTGCAAGTTTATCCATTCCCCTGTTGATAGACATTCAGCCATTTCCTAATTTTTTGCCTTTTTTTGGTCTATTTAAAGTTTTTATAATAGGCAATTTCCATGTCATATATTGCTATATATTACTTCTCTAGCCCCAGTGTGTATCTCTCCATGGTGTATATCTAGAAGCGGAAGCCCTGGATTGGAGCATACATATTTTCTACTCTACTACTGGTTCGTTCTGGTTGTATCTCATCATTAACAGCTTGTTTCTACATTGCCTTTCACCACTTAATAAGAGACTTGAAACCTTTGCCAGTCTGATGGTTGTGAAATGGTTTCTCATTATTTTATTTTGCATTTCTTTGATTACTAGTGAGCTGACTCTTTTCATATGTTTATTGCATCTTAGGTTTTTACACGCATGCTGCATCCTGCAAACCTGGCCATTCTGTAAATACTTACCATCTTCACCTAAGCTTATTTGCAGAGCCATAAAGTAAATGTAGCAGTAAAAAAAAAAAAAAAAAAATCAGCTGGATACAGTGGCCTATACCTGTCATCCCAGCACGTTGGGAGGTTGAGGCAGGAGGATTGCTTGAAGCCAGGAGTTGGAGACCAGCCTGGACAATATAGTGAGACCTTGTCTGAACAAAAAAATTAAATAAAAATTAACTGGGCATGCTGGCATGTGCCTATACTCCTAGCTATTTGGGGGACTGAGGTGGGAGTATTGCTTGAGCCTGGGTGTTAGAGGCTTCTGTGAGCTATGATTGTACTACTGCACTCCAGCCTGGCCACAGCGGGAGACCCTGTCTCAAAAAACAAGAACATGATTATCAATACCAGAACCTCATACTGAGGAGTAATATTTCTCTTTTCTGGCACATAAATTTCTTTCCAGGCCCCTTAGCCAGCTAATTACCAGAAGTTCAATACTCTCTGTTAATTCTATCCACCTGCCATTTTTAGGCCCCTGGTAGTGGTAGAATGTAGAGTGACTTAGGACAGAGTTCTTTCCTTCTTTGCCAAGGGCTGTGGAGATTAATGTCCTTCACTTTACACTTACCCCTCTCTTTCCTGGCAGTTCTTCTAGCCAAAATGTAAAAGCACACACAGTAGATATATGGGAACAATGCACTTCTGCTAAAATTTGCTGTGTACCTAAAACTTCTCTAAAAAATTAAAAGTCTATAGCTGGGCGTGGTGGCACGTGCCTGTAATCCCAGCTACTCAGGAGGCTGAGGCAGGAGAATCGCTTAAACCCAGGAGGCGGAGGTTGTAGTGAGCTAAGATCGCACCATTGCACTCCAGCCTGGGTGACAGAGCGAGACTCAGTCTCAAAAAAAAAAAAAAAAAAAAAATTAAAAGTCTAAAAAACAAACATGCAAAACAAGTAAACATGACTGACTTTCTTTTCTTTCTCCTTTCCTTTCCTTTTTTTCCTTTCTTTTTTCTTTCTTTTCTTTTTCTTTTCTTTTCTTTTGTTTTTTTTTTTTTTTTTTTTTTGAGACAGACTCTCTTGCAGCCACCCAGGCTGGAGCTCAACTGCAGCCTTGATCTCCTGGGCTCAAATGATCCTCCCACCTCAGCCTGCGGAGTAGCTGGGACTACAGATGTGCACCACCACACCCAGCTAACTTTTTAAAATTTTTTGTAGAAATGAGATTTTGCTACATTGCCCAGACTGGTCTCAAACAATCTTCCCGCTTTGGCCTCCCAAAGTGTTGGGATTACAGGCATGAGCCATTGTGCCTAGTGACTATTTTTCATAAATAGAATTTGTTTAAATCAAAATTGTGTTTAACTTAGTATACAGGAAGACTTCAAATTTTTGAGTTTTTATGTTAATGTAACTTTATATTTTCTTTCAGTAATATTTGAGATGAAGCACACTACATTTGAAATTTGAAAAAAAACTTGCAAGTCTTGAAAAACTGAATTTAACATACAAATGCGTTGATTTTGTCCACAGAACAACACTCTAGTCTCTGAGTAACTAGAGCTAGTCTCTTTGTTGTACTGTCATTTGCATATGTAAACCACAGAGCATAATAAATAAGTAGAATATTGTGAAAGCATTTTTTTTTTTTTTTGGAGACAGGGTCTCATTCTGTTAACCTAGGCTGGAGTGCAGGGGCGTGAACACAACTCACTGCATCGTCCACCCTCAGGCTCAGTCAGTCCTCTACCTCAGCCTCCTGAGTAGCTGGGACTATATATAGGCAGGCACAACCACTCCCAGCTAAGCTTTGTATTTTAAAAGCTTTACATATATAAAGATGGGATTTATAAATATAAATTTATATATAAAGACGGGGTTTATAAAGATGGGGTTTCACCATGTTTGCACAGGCTGGTCTTGAACTCCTGGGCTCAAGTGATCCACCCACTTTGGCCTCTCAAAGTGCTGGGATTACAGGCATGAGCCACTGCGCCCAGCCGTGAAAGTATCTTGAGTTTACTTCTCTTGTGGCATAACATTTCTGTCTAGATTGTCCATGAAAGTCATACACAAAGATTTACACCTAACACTTCAGCAATATTGTAACCACAACTTTTCTTCTGTTCATGCCTCCTTTCATTGATGTTGGAAGTGAGAAGTTTTCACTTGGAATTGTGCTTCTGAATTACCTCCTGCTCATTTTTCTTGAAATTTTACAATTGGGAGAGGCATAGACTTAGACAAATAAACATCGGTTTTATTCATCTCAGTAATACTTTGGGCCAAAATGTTATATTCATCATTGAATCTGCTGTACTAAGACCCCCATTGAGTTGAATATTTAGAGTGATTCTTAGCTCCAAGATTAGTCTTCTAGAAGCTGATACTGTAATACTTACATGCTGCCAACACTATTCCATGTTTTGCTTTGTTATGTTTTACGTAGATTTTTTGTTTGGAGGTTCTAGCAGGGGAGCGCAGCTGCTCATATAACCTTGACCAAAGACCGGTTCTCCTCTATCAGGAATGGTCATCCTCTTTGACCGAGTGCATAGCTTTGAGAGGGATGCACATGGAGTGGTGAGGGAGGAAGGGGACACCTGCCTAGCCAGCCAGATCAGCCGAATCAACCCTGGTGATCAATGGGGTGACAGATGTTGCAGCCAGATCGCCCTCACATCATACGTAGATTTTTTAAAAGCAATTGATTTCAGTAAAAAATGCAATTAAAGTTTTAAAATTAACAAAGTAATCTCTAATTGAAGGTGTGAAAAGACTGAGAACGTCTGTTGCAGCACGGCATAGATGAGTGCTTGAAAGATAGAAACTTAAGTTCATTCTACACCTGGAAGGTCATTTGTCATTGTGTTTGTGCTTTTGGATCACATCAAAGGAAGATTGTTTACTCCTTTGAACATTTTTACATTACTTCATAGGTTGTTATTTCTGTTTGCCTTCTCACAGGAAAGCAAGGATGAATTTCCTACCCTTGTTTCTATCTTGGCTTGCTTTCAGAAAATAGCTTGTAAATGTAATTAGTGTTTATTTTAAAATGGTTTCACAACTTTTCTGTTGCTATTTTCATGTACAGGTGGAGCATCCCTAATCTAAAAATCCAAAATTCTCTAAAATCCCAAACTTTTTGAACACCAACATATGGAAAATTCTACATCTCACCTCATGCGACAAGTCAAAATGCAGACAAAACTTTCACACATAGAATTATTTAAAATATCATATAAAATAATTTTCAGGCTATGGGTATAAAGTGTATATGAAACACAAATGAATTTTGTGTTTGGACTTGGGTCCTATTCCCAAGCTATCTCATTATGTATATGCAAATATTCCAAAATTTGAAAATATCTGAAATCAAATGCTTGGTACCGGAAGGTACTTAACCTGTAGTAATAGAACTAACACTAAAGCACAGCACAGGCAAATACAGGTAAGGCTTCTCCAACTTGCCCTGGAGCAATCTTTGAAGTCAGTTGTTGAAGCTCAGGAGTTTTGAGGAATTCTCAAATCATTGTAAGAATCTGCAGCCTGACCAACATGGAGAAACCCCATCTCTACTAAAAATACAAAATTAGCCAGGCATGGTGGCAGGTGCATGTAGTCCCAGCTACTTGAGAGGTTGAGGCGGGAGAATTGCTTGAACCTGGGAGGCGGAGGTTGTGGTGAACCGAGATCACGCCACTGCACTCCAGCCTGGGCAACAAAGCAAGACCCTGTCTCAAAAAAAAAAAATCTTTAGAGGAATACTCTAGTTATAAGAATATTTCATCTTTAGGCCAGTGTTGTCAAATGGAAAGAAAATACAAGCTATGTATATACTTTTAACTTTTCTAGTAATATTTTAATATACTTTTAACTTTTCTAGTAATATTTTTAAAAATTGAGAAATTTTACATATAAATTGTTTGAAATCCAGTATATATTTTACACTGAAAGCACGTGTCAATTCAGGTGCTAAATTTTCATTGGAAATACTTGATCTGTATTTAGATATGATAAAATTTACATTTGAAAAAGTAGATTCATATACTCAAGTTGCTCCAGACCTACTTACAAGTTTTCCAGTAATGGATAAGAATAAATTTTTAGAATTTAAGTTAATTAAAATTAAATGAAAATACAGTTCCTCAGTCACACTAGCCACATTTAAAGGACTCGTTAAGTCACATGTGGCTAGTGGCCACTTTATTGGACCAACCTAAGACTTTGTGAGTTGGCCTACTTAATTTGTAATGGGAAGTTGGTGTGTGTACCAACTAAATTCTCTGCATTTCTGCACATGTCCAAGAAACGATGCTGAGATAGCATATGAATTTCTTTATAGGACTTAAGATGTTTTATGAAACTAGACTATTGAGCTCTTTTAAGATGGGGATCGTACATTCCAGTAGCAAGATACCACTCTCATAGTAGGCCCACATAGATGTTACTGAATGAACATGAATGAGTGAATGGGAGAGGGTATTCTTAATTATGACAAAGGACAGGTTCCCATGGAGGTGGAGTCCTTTAATTTTTATACCTTCTATTCCCACATACCTTTTTTAATGTAATGGAAATTGGGTTTTAAGTATTGAATTAATTGAATAGTACCTCCCCTTTGTATACTGCATGATAATTTACTTTGAGTCTTACAAGTAAAAATCCTTCAAGATAGTTAAGGCAGTTATTAGAGTAATACCTTTAAAGTGATTGTGGCATATTGAAAGTCCTCAATAAATGCCAGTTTCCTTTCTTTCCTTAAAAATGAAACCGTGGAATTTCATGCTCATTGAGGCATCCTGAACCATAGAAAAGCGCTCAAAAGCCTAACAAATGAAAGAGCAAGAAGTGGCCGGGCGTGGTGGCTCACGCCTGTTATCCCAGCACTTCGGGAGGCCAAGGTGGGTGGGTCGCTTGAGGTCGGGAGTTCGAAACCAGCCTGACCAATGTGCTGAAACCCCCTCCTCTGCTAAAAATACAAAATTAGCCGGGTGTGGTGGCTCATGCCTGTAATCCCAGCTACTTGGGAGGCTGAGGCAGGAGAATCACTTGGACTTGGGAGGTGCAGGTGGCAGTGAGCCAAGATCCCACCATTGCACTCCAGCCTGGACAACAAGAGCGAAATTCCATCTCAAAAAAAAAAAAAAAAAAAAGCAAGAAGTAATGCTGTCTTACATTAACTTATAAGTATTTACCTTATCTCATTCAACCCTTATAGCAGTTCATTGAGATAGATATTATTTGTGTTAAACTGTACTGCCACATTAAAAGCATGTGCTCAGTGTCTGGCTGCTGGGTTTTTTTAAATCTTGACTCTGCCACTTGCACTAACTGTATGACCTTTGGTAAGTTCCTGACACATTCTGTGCCTCAATTTCACCATTCTTCCAAGTGGGAATAATAATAGTACCTACCACCACAACAGTATGAATGATGCATGTAACTAGTTTAAAGCAGTGGCACAGGCCAGGTGTGGAGGCTCATGCCTGTAATCCTAGCACATTGGGAGGCCAAAGCAGGCAGATCGCTTGAGCTTACGAGTTCGAGACCGGCCTGAGCAACATGACAAAACCCAGTCTCTACATAAAATACCAAAAAAAAAAGGAAAGCTAGGTGTGGCAGCGCATGCCTGTGGTCCCAGCTACTTGGGAGGCTGAGGTGAGAGGATTGCTTGAGCCCAGGAGCTTCAGGCTGCAGTGAACCAAGGTTGCACCACTGCACCTCAGCCTGGACGACAGAGCAAGACCCTGATCCCCCCAAAAAAAGCAGTGGCAGGTAGTAAAGTGCTTATCAGTTTATCAGTGTTAGCTAAAATAAATGGTGGCAAGCTTAGATCTAATTAGGTAAATAGTCTTTTGTTATTACTTGCTATCCAAGTGGAAGAAGCCAGAATCATTTATTTAACTCATTAAAAAGGGATTCCTGCCTGACTAATCAAAAGGCAGTTTATCCTTCAAGGGCCAGCTCTAGGAAGACCTGCCTGACATGACACCTCCCTTTTGTCATCATGTCTCATACAGAATCACTCATTTCCTGGGCTGTCAATGCATGGAGAGCTTGCTGCTGGTGCAGCATTAATCATATATAGGATTCTTTCTTATATCTGTTATCTCTACCCAACTGGATATATCTTTAGAATAGTTCAAAGTTTTGTTCATCTTTATATCCTGTATTCATCTTTATATTCTGATGACACCAGTGTGTGCCTCAGTAGTTGTAGAGCAAATGAAAAGAGTTGGAGGAGTGCATTAGAATGTGTTTCAATAGTTTTATTCTTTCTTTAATATTATTTTACTTGGAATCATTGTATATAATCAACTTTTTAATTTGAATTTTCAAGTGACTTGATTCTTGATGTAAAAATATCATTTTACACTCTTAGTTATATTTTTCCTGGAGTAATTAATGGAGAACTAGACAGTTTTGCATTGCCCTCAATGTTTAGAATAACAATCATTTATTCAACAAATATTTGAGAGATTTTTGTATGTCAAGAACTGGTCCAAGCACTAGGGAAACAAGTTCTTTCCTCATGGAAGTTGCAATCTGATATGGAGGAAGAGACAAAAAAGACAAGATCATTTCAGCTGGTGATAAGTAGTATGAAGAAAATAAGGTAATCAATAGGGAGTACTAAGGCCAGGCGTGGTGACTCATGCTTGTAATCCAGCACTTTGTGAGGCTGAGGTGGGTGGATCACCTGAGGTCAGGAGTTTGAGACCAGCCTGGCCAACATGGTGAAACCCTGTCTCTACTAAAAATACAAAAATTATCCAGGTGTGATGGCACGCGCCTGTAATCCCAGCTACTCTGGGAGGCTGAGGCAGGAGAATCACTTGAACCCGGGAGGCGGAGGTTGCAGTGAGCCGAGATCGTGCCATTGCACTCCAGCCTGGGGGACAAGAGTGAAACTCCGTCTCAAAAAAAAAAAAAAATGGGAAGTACTGGAAGAGTTGGGCTACTTTAGCTAGAATTTAGAGAAGGCCTCTTTTGAGGTAGGACTTACATGGCAATAAAGAGCTAGCTATGTGAAGAGCATTTAGGGCAGAAGGAACTCTTAAGTAGAAGGGCCTGTAGAAGAGAATGAGCTTGACATTTGCCAGGGACAGAAAAAAGGCTTGTGTGGTTAGCATTCAGTCAACAAGGGGGAAATAAGTAGAAAATAGATTATAGGCAAGAACTAGACCAGAAAGGGCCATTAGGTCAAAGGTGAGGAATTTGAATTTTATTCTGATGACACCAGGAAGCCATTGGGTGTGTGATGGTGGGGAGGTGTTAAGTAGTGTAGTGGAGCGAGATATGATTTATCCCTGTGGTTGATGTGTAGAGACATACAAATGGGGACAAAGACCAATTAAGAAACTATTGCTGGCTGTGTGTGGTGACCCATGCTTGTAATCCCAATGCTTTGGGAGGCCGAGGTGAGAGGATCACTTGAGGCCAGGAGTTAAAGACTACCCTGGGCAACATAGAGAGAACCCGTCTCTACCAAAAAATAAAACATAAATAACCAGGCATGGTGGCACGTACCTGTAGTCCTAGCTACTTAGGAAGCTGAAGCAGGAGATTACTTGACCCCAGGAGGTCGAGGCTATGGTGAGCCAAGTTCACGCCATTGCCCTCCAGCCTGAGTGACAAAGCGAGACCCTGTCCCTAAACAAACAAACAACAACACAACCAACTATTGCTTTATTCAGATGGTAGATGGTGGTAGCTTGAATTAAGATTTGTTAATAATGAGAGGTGGTAAGATTGGATATATATTTTGGGGGTAGAGCTGGAAGGACTTAATGATAATTTGGATGTGTGGCATAAGGGAAAGAAGACTATCAAAGATGGCTCGTAAGGCTTAGACCTGATCTACCAGATATTTGATGGTGTCACTATGCTTGAGGTCCTATAAAAGAACTAAAACAAAATAGTTTAGCATAAATTGAGGTTCTTAGAATTTTGAGGAATAAAAAAATTGATTCAAAAGTTTTATAAATCTTTAAAATACCATAATTTCATAGTTGATTATATAAAAGTAGTATATATTCATTGTAGAACATTAAGAAAAATTTAGCTGTAATGACAGTTCCAACCAAAGTATTAACATTTGGGACATTTTCTTTTAAGCCATTTAATATATATTCTCATTTTTTCAAGAAGTAATTATTAACTACCTTCTAGGAACCTGGCACTGTTGTTGTAGGCTCTAGAGATTCAATAATATACAAGAAAAAGTCCCTGTCTCTATGAAATATACATTTTTTTTTTTTTTTTTTTGAGACTGAGTCTCACCCTGTTGCCCAGGCTGGAGTGCAATAGCGTGATCTTGGCTCACTGCAACCTCCGCCTCCTAGGTTCAAGCGATTCTCCTGCCTCAGTCTTCTGACTACTGGGATTAACAGGTGCGCGCCACCACGCCTCGCTAATTTTTTATATCTTTAGTAGAGATGGGTTTTCAACCATGTTGGCCAGGCTGGTCTCAAACTCCTGACCTCATGATCTGCCTGCCTCAGCCTCCCAAAGTGCTGGGATTACAGGTGTGAACCACCACACCCGGCCCCGAAGTATACATTCTAATGGGAGAGACAGTTAAGAAATAAGTAAACAAATAAGATAATTGCAGATTTTATACGTATTATGATGAAAATAAGGGAATGAGAGAGTGACTATCTGGAGACTGCCAATATAGATTTTTCTCACACACTTGAGTTAATCTATAAAGGATAAAACTGTATTTCCCATTTCCCAGTGTGACGTGAGTGCCAGGATAATTCAGTTGGGGGGAGAATAGTGTTTTCAACAAATGGTGCTGGCACAATTGGATATCCGCATGCAAAAGAACGTATTTGGATCCCTGCTTCATACTGTATGTTGTATTTAACTTAAAATGGATCATAAATCTAAATGTGAGCACTAAAGCTATGAACTTCTAGAACACATAGGTATAAATCTCTGTGAACTTGTGTTAGGCAATTTTTGTTGGTAGTTTTCCTGGCCTTTCTAGGCAATGACACCAAGAGCACAAGTGACAAAAATAGATAAATTGGACTTCATTGTATTCAAAAATGTTCATCAAAGAACACCATCAAGGAAATGAAAACACAACCCACAGAATAGGAAAAGATGTTTGCAAATCATATACCTGACAAGGAGCTTGTGTGTAGAATATATTAAAGGACTTACAACTCAACAATCAAAAACCCACTTGTTTGGGCAAAGGATTTGAATAGCTGTTTCTCTAAAGATGTGCAAATGACTAATAAGCCAATGGAAAAAAATGCAGAACATCATTAGCCATTAGGGAAATGCAGATCAAAACCGCAAATACTGCTTTGTACCTGCTAAGACAGCTATAATGAAAAGATTATTGTAGCAAATGTTGGCCAGGCTATGAAGTTGGAGCACCCATACATTGCTGGTGAGAATGTAAAATGGCGCAGTAATTTTGGAAAATAGTTTGGCAGTGCCTGAAAAAATTAAACTTGGGAGCTACCGTATGACTCAGCAGTTTACTCCTACCTACATATCCAAGCAAAATGAAAATGTATGTCCACACAAAAACTTGTACACAAATGTGCATAGCATTATTATTCATAGTTGCCAAAAGTGATAATAACCCAGTGTTCATCAGTTGATGGATAGATGGATAAATGTAGTATATCCATGCAAGGGAAGGGAATATTATTTGGCAATAAAAAGAAATGAAATACTGATACATGCTACAACGTGGATGAACATTGAAAATATGCTAAGTGAAAGAAACCAGTCCCAAAAGATGACATATTGTGTGATTCCATTTATACAAAATGTCCAGAATACACAGATCCATAGAGACAGAAAGTACATTAGTGGTTAGTAAGGGCTGGGGTGGGTGGGAGTGGGAATGAGGAATGACTGCTAATGGGTTTGGAGTTTCTTTTTTTTTTTTTTTTTTTTTTTGAGACAAGGTCTCTGTCACCCAGGTTGGAGTGCAGTGGCATGAGCATAGCTCACTGCAGCCTCTACCACGCTGACTCAAGTGATCCTCCCACCTCAGCCTCCTGAATAGCTGGAACTACAGGCCCATACCACCATCCCTGGCAATTTTAAAAAGTTTTTTTGTCAAGATGAGGTCTCACTATTTTGCCGAGGTTGGTCTTGAACTCCTGGACTCAAGTGATCTTCCTGCCTCAACTTCCCAAAGTGCTGAGATTATAGGCATGAGCCATTACACCCAGCCCAGGGTTTCTTTTTGTGGTGTTCAAAATGGTCTAAGATTAGGAAGTGGTGGTGATGGATGCACAACTTTGTGACTATACTGAAAACCCACTGAATTTACTACACTTTAAACGGGTAAATTTCATGGTATATAGAATATATCTGTAAAAACTACTTAAATTGTTTAATAATATCATGCATGTACATCACCCTCATGTTAAATTTATTTTTATAAGAAATACTCTGTCATCTTGTGCATAAATCTTGCATTTCTTCAAAAGAGAGTCCTAGGTATGAAATCACTGAATCAAAAAGGTGTGTGTATTTCTAATATAAAAAAATATGCTTACCTGCAGGGCACAGTGGCTCACGCCTGTAATCCCTGCACTTTGGGAGGCTGAGGCAGGCGGATCACCTGAGGTTGGGAGTTCGAGACCAGCCTGACCAACATGGAGAAACCCCATCTCTACTAAAAATACAAAAAAATTAGCCGGGCGTGTTGGCGCATGCCTGTAATCCCAGCTACTCGGGAGGCTGAGGCAGGAGAGTCGCTTGAACCCAGGAGGCGGAAGTTGCAGTGAGCCGAGGTCACGCCATTGCACTCCAGCCTGGGCAACAAGAACGAAACTCCGTCTCAAAAAAAAAAAAAAAAGGCTTACCAGAGAAAACTTAGAAAATATAGAAAACTAGAGAGAAGATAAAAATCAGTTATAGCCTCA
The DNA here is from genome assembly GCF_000001405.40 of Homo sapiens. Taxonomy (NCBI): domain Eukaryota; kingdom Metazoa; phylum Chordata; class Mammalia; order Primates; family Hominidae; genus Homo; species Homo sapiens. Next base: position 17,584,736 of record NC_000020.11, read on the forward strand.
CTTTTAGAGATAAAATTGTGGAACTTCTTTTTCTTCTGTACTGTTTTTCATAATTGAGATTATACTGTACATGTAACTTTATATCCAGCTTCTTCATTCACTGAAAGTAAGTCATAAGTATTTCCCACATGCTTTTCAAAACTTGGCATAAACATGATTTTAACAGCTGCATCAGGAACTATCCTGTGGATATACTATCATTTACTTTGCAGTTCTCCTGTTTTTATTTCTTTGGGCTGTCTGTTTTTTTAGTATTATGTAGATTATTTTCCTAGAATAAATTCCTAGAAGTGAGGTTACTGGGTTAAAGGGTCAATGGGTATGGATTATTATAAGGCTCTATGATATAAATGGCCAAATTGCTTTCTAAAAGATATTAATGAGTAATAAATAGGGTTGCCTGTGGTGGAAGACAAATCTGGAAAAGTAGGTTGGTTTACACAATAAAGTGCTTTTTATGGTCTGTTAATAAATAAGGACTTTATCTTGTGGGTGCTTGGGAATTGTTAAAGACTTAATCTTGGGAGTGATAGGAGATTTTGAGAGTAAATGAGAGGGAATAGATTTGAAATACACATTGAAGGAGGAATTGGCAGGGCTTAGAAAACTAGGTGTGACTGGGAAACAGGTAGATTAGTTAACCAGCAATATCAAATCTGTTTCATATTTATTGATTTGCTAGTTAACCATCCAGAGAGAACTAAGACAGCTTGTTAAACCAAGGAGAAATTTTTCACATTTAGCTTACTGTTTGGTTAATATGCTGTTTCTCAAAGAGTAGAATACTGAAAGTATTATTCACCTTGAAATAAAAATTATATATCTAATTTAGTATAATTTACATAAAGTGAAATTCACCCTTTCTGCTGTAAGTTCTGGAAGTTTTGACACATATATATGTACACACACATATATACACACACACACATATATATACATACACATATATAGTTGTGTAACTACAGCCACAGTCAAAATATAGAATAATTCCTTCACACACAAAAAATTCCTCATTAATCCCTCCTCCTATCCCCAACAACCACTGATCTGTTTTTTGTCTCTATAGTTTTACCTTTGCCATGTAAATGGAACTGTACATTGATACACTTTGAGTCTAGCTTCTTTTCACTCAGCATAAAGCATTTGTGCCTCAGCAGTTCTATTTTATTGCTGAATTTTATTCCATTCCCCAGTGGAGAGGTATATTTTATTTTATTATTTATTTATGTATTTATTTTTCTGGGTTAAGGAGCAGAAAGTTTAATAGACAAAAAAGAAGAGAGAGAGAGAGAAAGCTTCCTTATGCTGAGAAAACAGGTCGCCCGAGAGAGGGTCTCCCTGGAGAGATATATTTTAATTTTTTCTTGTCTCAGTTAAGGATGGGGCAGAATATTAGAATGATTTTTTCCTCTTTCTAATGCTCATAAATCCTTGAAACAGTCATTTTCTCTACCTTAGATAAAACTAATAGAACTTACTATTGCACACTTGATAGACTACAACCTTTATATGCACAGGGAAACCAAAAAATTTGTGTGACTTGCTTTATTGCTATGGTCTAGAATTGAACTTGCAGCGTCTCCAAGGTATGCCTGTATATACTAGGAAAAGGGACATATTTTAGGACAAAACCAATGGCTTGCCTCATAGGACCCAGTTTCATCATTGCAGATTTTGATTTATAGCTGCAGGTGATGGTTGTGCCTAGGAGAATGGTAGGAGGTATTGTAATTGAATCTTACTGTGTTGAGAGAACTATTCCCTTCTCTTTGCTGTTGATATGGCTTTGCTGTTTAACCACTTAATAGTCATGTGGAGAAAGAAGAGATGCACATTAAATTCTTAGGTTTGTTTTTAATTCGTAGTTTTGATTATCAGAGAACAAATGGAAATTACTGTTTCAAATCAGTCTTAAGCTGTTTGGTTTCTTTATCCATAACATTCTGTTACCCAAAGATTTCAATAAAAATTGGCTGCATTGTTAACTAGAAAGAGTCGAAGAAGCTCTAACTAGATTTTCTGGTTAATGTAAGAGTCTTTGCTTAGTGCATGGAAGGCCTTATGTGTGTTGTTTTAATCAGTCCTTTTGAGTTAGCAGTATGATAATTCACATTTTACAGATGATGAAGCTGAGGATTAAAGAAGTTAGCTGACTTGCCCAAGTTACAGGATTTTAGTAAGTCTGATTCAACCCTGTGGTACACTTTCTCCTCTGGTTAAAAAGGTCTTCAAAGGTTAAATGTTCCAAATTCTGTTTTTGAGAATAACACAGCCAGTTTAAAAATATATATATATTCAGTATTTGACTTGCTCAATTTTCCCAGTTAATTGTAAAATCAGAAATAGCCCTGTGTGTAGTATTGTTACATACAATGAAGTTATCTTTATTGCTGTTACATAAACCTTATATTTTAAATCCATTATTTCACTTCTTCCCCAATAACTAGGCTTTTGTTTCTCAAGGAATAAAAAAAAAAAAAAAAAATTCTTGTTATGGCATCTGTAAGAATTAAGGTCTTTGCTTAAAGTCAAGTCCTTATTATTTTTTTGAGACAGGGTCTTGCTCTGTTGCCCAGGCTGGAGTGCAGTGGTGTGATCTTGGCTCACTGCATTCTCCACCTCCTGGGCCCAAGTGATCCTCCCTCATCACCTGAGTAGCTGGGACTACAGGCATGTGCCACCACACCTGGTTAAGTCAGGCCCTCTTGTATGAAACTTTATGATGATCCTTCATTTTGGTTGTTTTGACTCTTTCCAAATTAACACTCGGAATAGGTACTTTAAAAAAAAAGAGTTTATCTGAATTTCTCCCAAGATTTCTTCCTTGCCCTCAGAAATAGTTAACCATAGTTAATTGTAGTAAACTAGAATTGAAGTCTTTACCCTTGGAGGCATTATTCTTTTTTTTTTCTTTTTTTCTCTTTGAGTGACTTTGATATTAGAGGCATTAGTCTGTCATTGTGTACATGATAACTGAGTTTCCTGATGACAGCAGGCATCAATCAAGCTAAATAATATATTGTTTTCTGAGGCAGAAAACTATGAAATATGGTCAATAAATTTGTTTACTCCAGACATACTACTTTGGTATTAACAGAGTTAATTTTATGTGTTACTTTATATCAAACTATTTAAAATTTAAAATTTCTTCAGCTTTATTAGCCACACATCAAGTATTCAGTAGCCACACTTGGTAGTGATTACCATATTAGACAGTGCAGAAAAGGGACATCTTCACCTTATGTAAAATGCTGATTTACTGAGCACGAGACCAGTACATAATGTACTGTTCCCTACTTGCTTTTTTTCTCTTGCACAGTGTATGACCATACCCTCCTTCTTTCCCCTCCAGGCACGTTTCCCCTTTAAATATTGAAGACCTCAAAATCATCTTTGCAGAAAGGCATAGGCCACAGACTGTTTCCGTGCTTCTGGGTTCTTTTCTTCTAGGCATGTCCTAAACCTTGGCAAAATAAATTTCTAACTTGATTGAGACCTCAGGTACTTTTGGTTTACAGAATTCACCTATGTCCTGGAATCCCCTGTTTGAGTTATCCCACCTTTCCAGACTTAACCAATGTACACTTTACCTCTATTGATTGATGCCTGCTTGTAACTTCTGCCCCACCTAAAATGTGTAAAATCAGTCTGTCACACAACCACCTTGGGCACATGTTCTCAGGACCGCCTAAGGCTATGTCATCAGCATGTCCTTAACCTTGGCAAAATAAACTCTAAATTGAGGGGAATAAAAAGGAACATTTGGCTGGGCACGGTTGCTCACGCCTGTAATCCCAGCACTTTGGGAGGCCGAGGCGGGCGGATCACAAGGTCAGGAGATCGAGACCATCCTGGCTAACATGGTGAAACCCCGTCTCTACTAAAAATACAAAAAAAAATTAGCCGGGTATGGTGGCGGGCGCCTGTAGTCCCAGCTACTTGGGAGGCTGAGGCAGGAGAATGGCGTGAACCCAGGAGGCAGAGCTTGCAGTGAGCTGAGATTGCGCCACTGCACTCCAGCCTGGGCAACAGAGCGAGACTCTGTCTCAAAAAGAAGGAACCTTTGTATCATCACAGAAAGTTCTGTTGGACAGCACGGCTCTCTAGAACAGTGGGACAAAGGATTTAGTAAGGCATGACTTCAAGATGGTGGTGGTGGTGGGGAGAGTGTTTCAGCACTCATTTACATATGGTCACCTGTATCCTCTGACTACTCCAGAACTACTGTTTACCTTCTCCAGAGAATAAACTCCAGAATTCCAGGGGTAAGGGGCTGGCAGCAGGATGGCGTTCAGGAGGGAGTCTAGGGATCTTTGCTTCTCAGACCCATTTCACTCATTCTTCCTTATTTGAACTTCCATATTTCTTCTCTTCTTGTCGTGGTGGACTTATGTTCTTTTTCTTTTTAATCCCATTTTTATACTTTAAGTAGAGTTTTGGTAGGGAGATGTATATATTCAACCCCTAACCCTCCCTCCCCCTACTTTTTTTTTTTGAGGCAGTCTTGCTGTGTCGCCCAGGCTGGAGTGCAGTGGTGTGATCTCTGCTCACTGCAACCTTCGCCTCCCAGGTTCAAGTGATTCTCCTGCCTCAGCCTCTTGAGTAGCTGGGATTACAGGCACACACCACCATGCCTGGCTAATTTTTGTATTTTTAGTAGACACGGGGTTTCACCATGTTAACCAGGCTGCTCTGCTGACCTCAGGTGATCTGCCTATCTCAGGCTCCCAAAATTTTGGGATTACAGGCGTGAGCCGCAGCGCCCAGCCAAGTTCCGCATCTTAATATAGGACCTGTGAGGCCCTGAACACTTCTGTGAAGCAGAAATGTGCTGAAGAACTTGTCACTCTCATTTTATTTATTGTCTCAGCATGATTGTTCAGAAGCATCAATTATAGCAGCCAAAAGCCCAAATATTTTGTCATTAGTCATTCTGTTTCTATTGGCCCTTGTGCAAGGCATGGTATAAATAAAGTAGAATCGTGAACCCAGTTTTTAACTCCCTAACTCCTTTGAGAAGTTGGTAGAAGTAGGTAGATTAAGATGCTGATGACATTTTTGCCAGTTTGAAAATTTGCTATTGAAAATTTGAGTATTTGTCTGCAGTATCCTACATTCAAATATTTCAGACTTTACCTTAGAAAAAAATTTTTTAATTAATAATTTTCTGAGGTAGTTAAAATAGCTTTCATCCTGTTTTCTCTATTAATAATAAGGATCATGTGAAGTTTAGTTGTCATTAATTATGTAGCCAAGGTCAGGTGTCTGTCTTGAGTTTAGTAGTACGGAAAAAGACCACCGTTTCTGATTTATTTTGGTTTAGGAGGGACTGCTGTAAGCTATCATTGCATTTAGCTTTTGGACTGGTTCAGTTATTTACAAAAATCAAATTAGAAAAATTTAATGCTCACGTTTCAAAGGTTACTATCCTTATGCTAGAATTGAGAGAATTGTTATTTTAAGTTGTGTTCTGTCCTTTGCAACTGTAAAATACCCAGTGTTCCATATTCTTTGTAACATTTACTTCCCTCTGTGAGTGAGTAGTAACATTTTTAAAGAAGCTTACACAGTGATTCTTAAGTATGCATGCAGGGCCTCAGATGTATTGATTTAATCTCTGAAACATTATTTCACAAAAGCTGTGCCAGAGGAGACTCAGACAGGTTTGAGAACAAGTTAAAAACTGGTAGTCAAGCGAGATAAAATGCAGTGAAGTATATTTTTAACAGCTATTTTTTGACATGGGGGTGGAGCTCTAAGAGCAACTGTTCTCCAGTGGTCACTGGTACATGGAGAAACTGAAGTTGTGGATAACATATCTTTTTAAGGTAATCACAAAGCTCTTGTTATGATAGCAGTCTATTTTTGCTCTCAAGATTTTCCTTCCCATTTGTGCAGCAAACTTGGTGCTATGTTCAGAGTATCCTTTAATGGTCTTTATTGTTAAAACTGTGTACTTGAATATCAGTAACTCTTAGAAAATTTTTTAAGTAAAAACAATTTGATTTTGCTTTTTTAAAAATAAAGTTTAGGTTTCTTGACAAATGAGCAATTAAATCTAATAACCTAACATTTTAGAGAAATACTAGGGCTGGGCATGGTGGCTCACACCTGTAATCCCAGCACTTTGGGAAGCTGAGGCAGGAGGATCACTTGAGGCCAGGAGTTCGAGACCAGCCTGGGCAACATAACAAGACCCTGTTTCTACAAAAAAGTTAAAAAATTAGCCAGGTGTGGTGGTGTTTGCCTGTAGTCCCAGCTACTCTGGATGCTGAGGTAAGAGGATCGCTTGAGCCCGGGAGATTGAGGCTGCAGTGAGCCATGATTGTGCCTCTGCACTCCAGCTAGGGCAACAGAGCAAGACCCTGTCCCCCTTCCCCCCCAGAAAAACCACGGAAATACTGAAAGAATGGGACTGATGGGAAAGGCTCTTTTAGGTAAAAAGATAATAAATATCTGTAAAACAGATAATTCTGTATATTGGTGTTACAGCCACTTTTGTTTTAATATTCACCATGATGTTGTTTTGTGATAACAAATCATCCAAAATTAATACAAGAACTCTCAACTATTATTATAGATAAACTATTATTTAGTATAATTGGGTTTTTTTTTTTTTGGGCAATCCTGTATATTTTATTTTATTTGAAACACTATTTCCAGAAAGGGCCCATAGGCTTTGCCAGGAGTCCGTGGCACACACAAAAAATGCTTTGACTTTGGACCTACTAATATTGGTAAAATAAAGTACTCTTACCACTACTGCTTCATTATAAAAATTTTGCCTGTAGGCAAAGAAGCCCCTATAGCAATGAGCTACGATTTTATTCTCTTTCATGAAATTTCAGAGCAATCTTAGTGATCATCACCTGAAGCTTAGTGTAAATACAAACTCTCAGACTCTACCCCAGATATTCTGAATCAGAATCTTTAAAATCTGCAGGTGATTCCTGTGCACATTAGAGTTAGATAATAACTGATCTAGTCCACTCCCCTAAGTACAGTTAAAGGAACAAATTTAATTCAGAGATAATGACTTGCCTAAGGTGACATAGCTAGTTAGTAGAGGAATGGGGATGGATTGTTACTCTCATGATTTTAGTGCTTTAAGATATCTCCTTTTGGTCTCTGAGATGTTAATAAATTGCAGTTACTTTAATCATTGTCTTCTTTCCATCTGCTAATCTTTACCCCAGATTTTCAGTTCACCCACTAGAGGCAAAGACGTAAGAGAGCTACCAGCGTATTGAGAGGAGATACACAGGCACTACGAGAATGGAGTTTAGAAGAAGGTCAGAGCCCTGGGCAGTGTTGGGCCAGGCTTTAGGGTTAGTATTCCGTGCTTTCTGTCTGCCTCATGGTTTTAGTTTTACTGTATAAAAATCATTATCAAGAACCTAGGGACTACAGCCAGGCATGGTGGCTCATGCCTGTAATCCCAGCATTTTGGGAGGCCAAGGCAGGCAGATGACTTGAGCCCAGGAGTTCGAGACCAGTCTGGGCAACATGGCAAAACCCCATCTTTATAAAAAAATACAAAAATTAGCTGGGTGTGGTGGCATGCACCTCTAGTCCCAGCTACTCAGGAGGCTGAGGTGGGAGGATCGCTTGAGCCCAGGAGGTCAGGGCTCCTGCAGTGAGCCATGATCACATCACTGCACTCCAGCCTGGATGACACAGAGAGACCTTGTCTCAAAAAAAAAAAAAAAAAAATCTCGGAACCGGTTATTTAATCTTTATTTCTTTTATCTCGGTTTTAATATTCACCATATCTCAAGGATGTGGTAAGTAAACCATGGTATAATAAATTTAAGTATATTCATTAAATCTAACATATACTATACCTTGTGGGTTTTTTATTATTTTTGCAGGCAAAATTTAGTATATAGTGTTACTAGTCATGAAGAGCCATACTACTAGTTACTAGTCATGAAGAGCCATACTACTCTAATATCAAAGCCACCACAGTGGGGAAATTAAGGAAAGTGAGCATTTGGCATTATTAATTAGCCTCCTGATCACCATACAGACTCCTTCCTTTCCACCTCCCCTCTCCCAGTCCAGTGATTGTCAACTACAATTGATTGCACCTATGCAGTTCCCATCACTTCCTCCTTAGTAATGCTGCCACTACCCTAGTGAAGGCCTTTTGCACCTCTTGCCTTGGTTGCTGAATTAGCCTTTTAGCTGGAGTGCCTACTATAATTTTCTTCCTCTTCTTGTTCTCTTACGCATGGCTTCATGTATTTTCCCAAAGCACAACTCTGTTCCTCTTACTCTTTTTAAAAATATCCAGTCTCCAAACCCCTGAACCTTCTGTTGGAGGCCTTTTCCATCTCAACCTGGTGCGAGTCTCCAGTTTCCTTCTCCCTTATCCTCATCTCCTGTTGTATTTGCTGGGTTCTCTTTGTCAGGAGCAGTCTTTTCATCCTTTCAGTCCCCTTGTTTTAGAGTGCTTTTAAGTCAGCATGAAACTACCTGATGAACTGTCTTTCTGTTTAAGCTACTTTCTTTAAATTCCCTTCCACTGGAGTTTATCAAGGAATAATGTATATTCTACCAAGTATTGAAGCTTTGTATGTGCTGTCCTTATCTTCTCCATAAGTCAAACTAATGATTCATCTGACTGATCTTTGATTTTTTTTTCAGGGTAACACAATAATGAATAAGACAGACACCGTTTATCTTAAGGAACTTACAGTCTTTAAGAACTTGTGGCCTTAAGGAGATGATATTAAGTAATTTTAAAGATAGAGCATTGAAGTGGTAGGAGGTGGTGTGTGGTGGAGATACATGATCTTATGGGAGCATGTGATACTGGTTTTGATGCAGAAGACTTTTCTGCGTAGTGAGAATTGATCTGACATCTAAAGAGTATTAGCCAAAGAACTGTAGGGAAGTGCTATCTAGGCAGGGTGTATAGTATGAGCAAAGGCCCTGAAGTGGGCCAGAGTATGGCAAGTACAAATGACTGAAAGAAAGCCAGGGTAGTGAAATTGCAGTGTGTGGTCTATAAGATAAGGCTAAAGAGGTAGGTATAGCCAAATGGAGCCCATTATTGGGCTGGGGGTGGTGGCTCATACCTGTAGTCTCAGCACTTTGGGAGGCCAAGGCAGGACAATAGCTTGAGGCCAGAAGTTTGAGACCAGCTTGGACAACATAGTGGGACCTTGTCTCTACAAAAAAAATTTTAAAAATTAGCTGGGCATGGTGGCACGTGCTTATAGTCCCAGTACTCAGGAAGCTGAGGTGGGAGGATCACTTGAGCCCAGGAGTGCGAGGCTGCAGTTTGCTATGATCATGCCACTGCAGTCCAGCCTGGGTGACGAAGTGACACCGTATCTCAAAAATAAATAAATAAATAAATAAATAAATAAATAAATAGCTATTTTTTACCTTCAGATCAATGGAAAGCCACTGGACTGTTCTAAGTATGGTGATCAGATTCATGTTTATGTAGAGGATGAATTGGAGGGTAAAGGTGATGGGCAGTTGGTATGGGCAGTCTTGTTGTATTAGAACTGCAATAACAAATTAAATTCAAAATCTCAGTGACTTAACACAGTAAAGATTTGTCTCTGTCACGCAGAGTCCAGAAGGGTTGGGCAGCCTTCTCCTATCATGAAGTATGCTTACCAAGGTCATCTTGGTGGGAGAAAACAGAGCTTTAAGATCACTTTTATTTAACTTTTATTTAATTTTTGATGTTTTAAAAATCATTTTATTGTGGTAGGATTCACATCTAAAAAGCTGTATTTAGTGTATTTAAAGATCACTTTTAAAGGGCCAGGACTGGAAGTAGTTTACATAACTGGGCCCAGCTTGGCTGTTCAGAACTCAAATGGCTGTTCAGAACTCAGTCATACAGCCAACTCAGCTTGCCAGGAAGGCTGGGGAATGCAGTCTTTCCTGTTCAGCCAAGAAGAGAAAACAGTATGATGTATACATATCCTAATCTCCCTCCTCTGCAGCCACTTGAGGAGTTACTGCAGTCCAAGTAAGAGGCAATGGAAGCTTGGACTGAGGGTGAAATGAGATGAATGTATCAGAGAAAGATGAAAATCCAAAGAGTAAGATAATGGAGGAGTTGCTAAGAACATCTCTTAGGCTTGGAGCCTTATGTGACTAGGAGGGTGGTGATAGCTACTGAGAAAGGAAGACTGGTTAGAAATGGACCAGCTTGTTTTTTATTTTAGACATGTTGTGCATCACATGCCTTTGAGACACACAACTGGAGATGTGAGATAGGAAGTTGAATGTAAAGACTAGAAGCTCAGAAGAGCAGAAGTCTGAACTAAGTTTTGGCTTAGATGATTGAAAGCTTGAGCTTGGGTAAACTCTCTGAGGAAGAATGCAGAGTTCGTCCTTTCCTTCCACACTGCCATCAGCCTCTGCTTTCCACTGCATTGTCCTACCACCCTCACCCCTTGACCTCAGCTGACCTTTTGGAGGTCCCCAGAGCCCTTTTTCTTGTCCTTAGGTAGTTCCTTTTGGAACTCCCCGTCATAGCTGTTCTGAATTGTTAGTAGTAGTAGATTGGAGGAGTGCCCTCAAACCCATCCTACTCCTCCTGCCTTATACTTCACAGAGAAAATAGAATCTTTCAGACACAATTTTTGGCAGTGTATCTTCCTTCCACCTCAAAACTGTCATTTTCCCTTCCTCCCTGTTTCAGAGAAAAAAATGTGTATCTTTTTCTTAGGCTAACTCTCCCATCTGTGCTGTGGATCTTACCCATTTCTTTAGATCTCTGATATTGTTAATTTTATGAGTGATTAAGATTATCTCCTCTGGAATTGCTTGAACCCAGGAGGCAGAGGTTGCAGTGAGCCGAGATGGTGCCATTGCACTCCAGCCTGGATGACAAGAGCGAACGTCCATCTGGAAAAAAAAAAAAAATCTCCTCTGGAGCCAAATTGCCAGAGTTCAAATCCCAATTCCTCTATTGTTTACTCTGTGACCCTGGGCAAATTATTTAATTTTGCTATGCATCTTTAAGATGCAAATAGTGATAGTAGCTGTCTCATAGAATTGTTGTGATTTAGAAGTGTCTAGCAATAGTAAGTACTCAGTGTATGTTTTAATTTTTTTTTAATGTTTTGGCTCTTCCTCTTTATTCCTTCAAGTTCTTAAATATCTAGAACAGTTACATCTCCCCAATCATAAGACAACTTGCATGAAGTACCATTCAATCTTCCCTTTTTTCTTCATTGTTAACCATCTTATGTTTTCTGTCTTTACCTCTTCAATTCCCCATGGGTCCCCAGTCCATTATGGTTGACTTCTGTCCCATTTCTCCCATCTGTTGAAATGTTCAGAGGCCCAATTGCCAAGCCCAGCGATCTGTTTTCATTCTCTGAAATACTGCAGAATTGGCTGTTGATGACTTTCCTCCTCAAAATATTCTCCCTTGCTTCTAAGATGCTGCTTTCTTCCTTCTTTTTCTTCTTAGTTTTCTGATTACCTCTTTTTAGTGTCCTTGATGGGTTTCTCTTTTTAATTTTTACGTACTCAGTGGTGAGAAACTAGATTGGTTTTTCTTTTGCTGCTTAATGTTGGTGACCCCATGGTGTGGGCTAGTCCAAAATATGGATTAGGTGAAGCCTTCCAACGAGATCCGTGCTCATATTTCTGCCACTGTCTGGTCATCTCCACCTAGATGTCTTGCACAGTCTTCAGAGTGGATGTGTCGTACTGTGCCATATTTCCTTTTCTGTTCATATATTGCAGTCTAGTCACTAATCGAGAGAATCCTGGGGCTTCTCTGATACCACTCTTTTGTGTCTCATTCAGCTATATTGGTTTGACTTTGACATGTCCTTGAATTTTTCTGTTTTTAACCTCACTGCTGTAGTTCAGAGCTTTCTTCTCTGAATATTTGTAATTGTGTCAAAATTGGTTTTCTGCTTCCAGTTTCTGTGCCAGTTTCTCCTTCAAGTATTCAGTGTTAATTTCCTCAAGCACAAGTGTCTAATGGTATAAGAAACCTCCACAGACATCACTTCTGATAGAAAAAAAGACAAAATTCTTCCTTACTGAGGCTTTTAAGGAGCTTGTAAGTTACAGCCAGATTTGGCTGAGATTTATCTGTTTTATAATTGCAGAATGCACATTTACTTTGTTTTTGATTACTAGTACATCATTGATTTAATTTACAAATCAGAATTTAGAATGTTTGAGATGCTTAGATATTGATTGATGTATTTAAAGATTGGTTGATTGAATATAAGGCTTTAGATGTTGCCTTCCTGCTTTTAGAAATTGCTTGTTGGGTCAAATGTGACTTCAACATTATGGACTAGGGAGTTAGAGGGATTGGGATCTGTTTCTAGTTCTTCAATTTTTGTTGCTTTGAACATTTTATTCATCTGTTGCAAAATGGAGATTCTTAACTTGCTTAACATAAGATACGTTGTAAAGATCAGAAATATGCTACTCCTAAAGCAGTAAAAGGTTTAAGAAAAGTGCTTTTTAAAATTAGGAATGTGGTAATATTGTGTACTTATGAGTTTTCTAGTCCTAATTTTCTGTTTCTGCCACTTTATTAGAGTGAATGTTCATTTATGAACAGAAAATGTGGAGTAGATGGCATTGGAGTGTGTTATTTAGAGATCTTTAATGAATGAGATGATGAAATAGCCCAGTTACCTTAATATTAAGTAAATGCTAGGATCTTAGTGTATCTTTCTCCCAGGATTCTTGCATGTGTTTTAAAGTGACAACTTTATTTTTATTTGTTTGTATAAATGTATGGGGGTACAAGTGTAATTTTGCTACATGCATGGATGGTAGCAGTGAAGCCAGATCTTTTAGGGTATCCATCACCCGAATAACATACATTCTACCCATTAATTAATTCCTCATCCTCCCCTGGCTCTCCATTGTCTTTTATTTCACACTGTGTCCAGGTGTACACATTATTTAGTTCCTAAGTGCGAACACATGGTATTTGTTGTAATAACTTTATTGAGGTATAATTCACATACCACAAAGTACAGTTCAATTCAGTGGTTTTTCAGTATATTCACAGTTGTGTATGCATCACTCCTGTCAACTTCCAGAACATTTTCATTACTTCAGAAAGGAACCCATACTCATTAGCAGTCACTCCCCATTCCCCTTTTTTCTCAACCTCTGGAAACCACTAATCTACCTACTGTCTGTTGATTTTACCCAATTTGAACATTGCATATAAATAGAATCATGCAATAGGTGCCCTTTTCTGTCTGGCTTCTTTCACTTAGCACAGTGTTTGTCAAGGTTCATCCTTGTAGCATGTATCAGTACCTCATTTTTTTAATGGCCAAGAAATATTCCATTGTGTGGATATACTACATCTTAAAAATCTATTCATCACTAAATGGACTTTAGGATTGTTTTCACTTTTGGTCTATTTTGAATAATGTTACTATGAACATTTGTGTACAGGTGTTGGTATGGACACATTTTCATTTCTCTTGAGTATATATACCTAAGAGTGGAATTCCTAGGTCAGGTGTTAACTTTATGTTTAACTTTTTGAGGAACTGCCAAACTGTTTGCCAAAGCAGCTGTACCCTTTTACAGTTCTACAGTAGCATATCAGGGTTCCAAGTTCTCCATGGCCCCACAAACATTTGTTATTGTCCATCTTTTTTATTTTAGCCCTCCTAGTGGGTGACTCATTATGGTTTTGAAGTGAAGAGGTATCTCATTATGGTTTTGATTTGCTTTTCCCTAATCACTATTGATGTTGAGCATTTTTTCCACGTCCTTATTAACCATTTATACATCTTTGGAGAACTGTCTATTTAAATCCTTTAAAACTGTTTTTTAATTGAAGTATTTGCCTTTTTTTATAATTGAGTTGTAAGGGTTCTTTATTCTGACAAGTTCCTTGTAGGATTTTTGGATGTTTTCTCTCATTCTGTTGGTTATCTTCATCTTATATGCATTTTTATTTCTTAAATGATTTGACATTTGGGTATCATTAATATTTTTCCATTGTTTAGTATTTAAATTCTATTGCTTATGATTCATTTTTCCCTTTTTATTAAAAAAATTTTAGAGGCACGGTCTCCCTATGTTGCCCACACTGGTCTCAAACGCCTGAACTCAAGTGATCTTCCTGCCCTCTCCCTCTAAAGTGCTGAGACTACAGGCATAGCTACTACCCAGCCTAAAGATACCATTCTTGACTCAAAGCATGGTTTTACATAAATTGACCATATGACCCAACAATTCCACTCCTAGTTTTCTACCCAAGAGAATTAAAAACATGCCCACACAAAACCTTGTACACGAGTGTTTATAGCAGTGTTAATAGTCAAAAAGTGGAAACAACCCAAATGTCTATCAACTGATGAATAGATAAGGAAAATGTGGGATATCCAAACAATGGAACATTATTCAACAGTAAAAAGAATGAAGTAACCAGCCGCTTTGTCATGCACCTGCAGCCCTGGCTATCTGGGAGGCCAAGGCAGGAGGACTGCCCAATTTTAGGAGTTCAAGGCTGTAGTGTGCTATGATCATTCCTGTTAATAGCCACTAGGCTGCAGCCTGGGCAACATAACGAGACCCCATCTCTCATGCACCCCATCCTGCATCATGGCTGAACATTCCAGATACTTCACAGCTCCCACCTGCTTAGCCAGGGAAGGGCCTTGCTGAGGAGTCATTGGCACTTGGCTCTGCTCCTTCAGCTTCTTCACTGTCTCATGGTCACTCCACAGGTCCCTTTTGGTGCCTACCAGCATAACAGATACATTGAGGCAATGATGGGAGACCTCTGGGTACCACTTATGCCTCACATTGGCCTAAGAGGATGAGTTGCCAATGGAAAAACAAATGACAGAGATATTGGTCTTGGGGATAGGAGAACAGTCGCAGTTGGTCATATTCCTCCTCTTGGCCAGTGGTGTCCCACAGGTTCAGGCTGATGATTTGGCCATCCACAGATGTCTGGGTGCTGTAGTTGTCAAAGACATTGGGCATATACTCCTTAGGAAAGGCATTTGTTGTATAACTGATGGGGAGGCAGGCTTTGTCTACAGCCACATCTCCTGCAATCACACATTTGATTGTCTACATTCTTCCCTTAGTCTGATCATCCTCCAGTGCTGTTCAACCATGACTGGCAGAGCCTCCTGGGCATCTCTTGTTGGGCTTTATAATTCTTGCTTTAGAAAAGCTAACATGCAAAACAAAGTAGTTAATGAGGCATTAACAATTATGGATATAATAAAGTTAATGTAAATAGCACATTCCTCAAGATGAAAAAATTAAAAACTGGTTTAAGATCTTGTGCTATCAAGATTTTGTTTAACTGTCCTTCAGCCCAGAATAGCAAGTATAACATAGCGAAAGGTAATTTTTCTGGTCAGTATAATCCCTAATTAAGCTACCCTCTTTATTATAGCAGTAGACATTTTCTTATTTATTCTAATCTTAGTTTAAAATTTGGAATTTTTAAGTGAAATTTTAATGGCAAGTGTGACTAATACTGAATATTGATCACATAATTTTGAAATGTGAGTAGAGCAAAGACCTCTTAATAAATCTTTTTTTTTATTAGAGAAAGAGATGCTGTAGGGATGGAAATTTCCCAGTCTAGCAGCTATGACCAGCTACTGTGTATTACAAAAGGAATTTTAGGTATCATGAATATACACACTGGGAAGATGATCTGCCTGTAGTCAAGGCTCTAAGCAACCTGTATAAGAAGAAAATAACCCAGCACCTTAGGAAACACTTCTTTTAAGGTTCTAGGGTAGGAGAGGCTGCTATAGTTGAATGTTTCCTTACCCCTGTGCAGTAGTGAGGAATGGCATATATTTGTGATCTTTTAAAAAGTTTGATGTCTAAAATTAGTAGTGATTACAGCTCAAATTTCTAGTTTTTTAATTAGATGATATACCTTTAAAATGTTAAATATATGCCAATCTATAAGCAGAATTTATTATTTTATGTTTGGCACAATAAAAATTGTAAGTCTTTTTCTCATGTATTTTCTCATCATAGGCCTCAGGAGTGCAAGTAGCTGATGAAGTATGTCGCATTTTTTATGACATGAAAGTTCGTAAATGCTCCACACCAGAAGAAATCAAGAAAAGAAAGAAGGCTGTCATTTTTTGTCTCAGTGCAGACAAAAAGTGCATCATTGTAGAAGAAGGCAAAGAGATCTTGGTTGGAGATGTTGGTGTAACCATAACTGATCCTTTCAAGCATTTTGTGGGAATGCTTCCTGAAAAAGATTGTCGCTATGCTTTGTATGATGCAAGCTTTGAAACAAAAGAATCCAGAAAAGAAGAGTTGATGTTTTTTTTGTGGTAAGCATGTTAGAAATATTGAGCCTCTGTAAAACTCATTTTGTTAGCACTCGGGAAGACCAGTTCCAGCACCAAAGTAATTTTTATTCAAACTATTTGCAGTTGTTGTCATTTAATTTTTATTTACAGGTTTCATAATGTTACCAGGGCTGATGTTTATGGGACCCAAACTAAATTTTGACTATTTTCTATCTACTTGTTATGTGACTCTCCGTTTTTGTTTTTTTTTTCAATGGGGAAAGGACAGGAGGCATCCTCTGAATGTACTGCTTTTATAGGCTAAAATTTCCTACTACTTTTAACTTTCTTACTTATAAGCCAAAACCCTACTTTTCCAACGAGCCATGCCAGGAACCAGCCTTCTATCTACTCTTTTAAATTACACCCCTTCCTTGTGCCTCTGTGGTCTACTACTTTTGAAGAAATTGGTACCATTCCCTCCCTGCTATAATTTGCTCTACAGTTGCACTGTTTAGTAGTGTAGTCACTAGCCACATGTGGCTATTTAAATTATTTAAAATTAAAAATTCAGTTTGTTAGCTGAATGAATTACCACATTTCAAATGCTCAGTAGCCACATCTGACTAGTGGCCACCTTATTGAGTAGCACAGATACAGAACATTTCCATCATTGCAGAAAACTCTGTTGGGCAGTGTTACTCTTAGATAGTGAAACAGGGCTATAAAGTTATTTTTATGGCCTTTTTCTTGAAATGTTGTTTAGTTATTCTGGTCTTTTCAGGCAAGTCGGTATTTGAGATGAAGCTTTAGAAAAAAGTTACACCTGGATCCCTCATTTATTGAATATTATACTGCATTCCTTGATATGGCCAGGAGTAGAATTCTTTAGTTTCTAAGGGGAGGGAGAAATGGTAACACTACCTGATTTTTTTCTTTTTTTTTTTTTTAGAGGGGCAAGGATTCTCTTGATACTTTGGCCTGAGTCAGGGCAAGGCAGGGAGGGACTTAGCTTTTAGCTATGTGCCATCAATAGCTTGGAGTGTAAAAGGGATATGGGAGTAGGAGATGCAGAGGATTGTGGTTTAAAAAGGAAGATAACTCGAGGTCACACCTCACTTGTATTTCAGTAAGCTTTTACTGCACTTGATTAAACCAAGTTGCTGTGAGGAATGCAAATATGAGGTCAGGGTGCACGTATTCAGGCAGCTTAGAGTCCATTGAAGCTGGTACATAAGACTGAAAATTAACAAGGATTTGAATGAAGGTGCATTTACTGAACTTTATTTCTACTACACGCCAGCTATTGTGCGAGGGCCTGGGAAAACAGCTGTGAATAAAACAGGTTAAGTCCTTCCTCTTCTGGCATTCACAGCTGAGTGGCAGACAGGCCAGCTAATGGTTTAGGCTTTTAAATTGGTCGGTATTTCCTTAATTTGCAGGTATTTTTTCTGCTTTTTATGTATTTTGTAATTATGAAAAGTATGCATTCTTATTTTTTTAAATGTGGAAAATAATAGAAGAAAAGGAAATTTAGTGTTAGTGCAGTGGTTTATTTTGCACTGTTACACTGTTACTTAAGAAAAGGTAGAACCTTATTAAAGGCATTTTCTATAACAAGCTCCGCCCATGGCCCAGGGAGCAGCTCTTAAAGTAGTTTAACAATTTGGTTAGAATAAAAGCAGAACAGCTGATGCTTTTTTATGTTTCTGACCTATTTTCATAACAAAAGTACCCACTCTGCTGGGCGCAGTGACTCATGCCTGTAATCTCAGCACTTTGGGAGGTGGAGGTGGGCAGATCACGAGGTCAAGAGATCGAGACCATCCTGGCCAACCAACATGGTGCAACCCCATCTCTACTAAAATTAACTGGGCATAGTGGCACACGCCTGCAGTTCCAGCTACTCGGGAGGCTGAGGCAGGAGAATCGCTTGAATCTGGGAGGCAGAGGTT
Organism: Homo sapiens; assembly: GCF_000001405.40. Classification (NCBI taxonomy): domain Eukaryota; kingdom Metazoa; phylum Chordata; class Mammalia; order Primates; family Hominidae; genus Homo; species Homo sapiens. The sequence goes on from NC_000020.11 coordinate 17,602,959, forward strand.
GCAGTGAGCTGAGATCACGCCACTGCACTCCAGCCTGGGTGACAGAGCGAGACTCCGCCTCAAAAAAATAAAAAATAAAAAGTACCCACCCTGTAGCTCAAACATCTGCCAGTCCTGAGGTTGTGATGGCTCTGCCTCCTTCCCTGGACCTTAGGATTGGGAGGAATAAGCCTCTGAGAGACAGACTGCCCTTTTTCCCAAGAATGGAATCTCTGCTCACTAGGGTAAGGGGTACACTAGGTGAGGTCCACATGCCAGTGCTCATGGCTGTTGAATGTCCTGGAAATATGGCAGCTAAATGGAATTATTAAATGCTCAGAAGTATTTAGCTATACCGTAATATCTTAATGACCTCCAGTAGGCTCTTGGAAACTACAGCTTTAAGCAAAACAACATACACCAGGTCCTCAAATAACGTCATTTCTTTCAATGTAGTTTTGTTATAACATTGAGAAAAAAAAATACTGGTTTTGGTATATGTCATTTTGTTTTAAGTCACAGGCTCCAAGAACTGATTGACAATGTTAAGTGTGGACTTACTGTACTGCATCTTCTCTGTGATATTTTAGCAGTGTGGCATGGAGGTGGGCCTATGGGTTGGCGTACAGAGGAAAGAAGGACCTCCGTGCAAGCAGTCTGAGTGGGAGGGTTTCTGTCCGTTACTAATCATCCTTATTCTTCAGTGTTGCTGCTGAAGGTGCTGTGACACATATGCTGTGCTTCTAACACGCTTCCCTTCAAGAGGGAGAACGTGCTCCAATGTTATAAATATAAAAAGATAGTAATAATATTGACAGTTAAGACATAATTATTGGTGAGTTGCCATTTAGAAATCTTTAGAATCATGAGATTATACAAGTGGATTTAATATTTTTTTCCAGAGAATTATTGAAACGTGGATGCCCAGATCTGTAATTAAACATGTATTGTTATGTTAGACTAAGAAAACAAGTACCTGTGGGATCAAAACCTGCTATTGGAATAGATGAAGGGACTGGGGAAGTCTAAGAAAAGGACTTTTATTTGTAATTTATTCTTTTTTGTCCTTTTTTTTAAGTTTTTGATTTATTCTTTTTTAGAAAACAATCTGAAGCAAAGGTGCCAAAATATTAGCATTTAATTCTGGGTCACACGTACTTACGGATTATTCTCTGTACTTTTATGTATTTTAAAACTTTTTTCCAACTAGAAAAACTGTCAAAAACCTTGTGTAAATATTAGCCTGAATCCAATCCCTTATTAATAATAATGAAAAATATTCTGAAGAAAAAGAATTGGGTTATACAGTGAAGTACTCAGTGTTGGTTCTTTCATTATGGCGACTGTAATCTGATTTTTAATTGGTGATTGTCTTTTGCCACCAGTGGTTCTCTTCTTTTTTCCCACCCTGGTCAACCTGAGTGATTCTGCATATGCCTATCTGTAGCATTTCCTCTCTGAGCTGCTGGGGAGGTAGAAAAAATGTGCAGTTAAGAAAAAATATCTCAGGAGAGTCTGAGGATTCTCAGCAAATGTTTACACAAGCAAATGTTTAACAAGTTGCAAGTTATACTTTCTCTAAACCACTTTTTTCATTTTTGGCATCTTTCTATCTAGGGCACCAGAACTAGCACCTCTGAAAAGTAAAATGATCTATGCAAGCTCCAAGGATGCAATTAAAAAGAAATTTCAAGGTATGTTCTAGATGACCTCTGAATATGTAGAGGTATGGTGAACACTCAGAATGGGGCAGCACCTTTTCTGAGAAGCACCTTATTTTTTTGCAGAGCTTCGGGCACAAGGGAGAAGTGTTACTTGTTTTGAGAAAAGCAGAAGACTGAATTTGACTTTCCATGTATCTTCTGCTTTGTGCTGGTTGCTCTGGGTCTGCCCAGCCTGTGTTTAATAACTATACCCTTGACATTGTCTATATATATCGTTTATTCAGGCTGGTTTTAAACTAGTTTGAGGTGCTACCAGTTTTCTCATGTAGGAGGTGGAGACTGATTGTTTAACATTGGACATAATAGTAAATTTGCTCTTGCCTTTGAATGTAGTTGTTATAATAAAGTTGCAAAAAGGAAATGTACCTAAATGAGAAAGGATGCTCTTTTCTCCAGCTTTACTGTTGAATGGCATGATTTTAGGTAATTAATTCATCTGTGTCCCAAGGAAAGTGCACCCACTCCTGAGCTGGTCAGTTGTATTTGACTTGCCACTGGGTGATTGGGATCCTGATGAGATGGCCTGGCCAGACTTCAGCCAGGAGAAAATGTTGGTATGATGGAAAGAACGTGCATGGGGCAAGTGCCCAAAGGCCTGCACTGAGGGCGAAGCCTGTCTAACTGCTGTGTGGCCTTGGCCAGAACTGCTTAACCTCCATGGGCCTTGATTCTCTCAGCTGTAGAAGGGGAGACTTGGTCTCATGTGTGAGTTTTAGTTTAAGAGTTTGCCCTGCCACCTTCCTGCCATGGCTGTTTCCAAACAGCTGAGTGAGCCAAGGTCACAAGGGCTTGGCCTGATGTTGATTTTGTTTTGTTTGTTTTACTGTCACTGGTTTTTATATTTTCATGGTAGAACAGGTTTGCCCTAGCCTGTTTTACTTAGTTCGGAAAAAAAAATTCTTGCTTCCTTTCCCGAGCCTTGCTGCTGCATAGTTTATTGCTGGGTCAGGTTCTTCGTGCATTTGGTTTGATGTTTGGCAACCCCCAGAAGTGTGTCACTGGGTTGCTAACTGACACTTTTAAATCCTTTAGCTTCAACACTTTCCCAGCCCAACCAAAAGGTTCACAGTGGATTCCTTATTATCTTTATTCTGCATTGCCTTTCAGTAAAGGGAATTGCTTTGCACACTTGATTTGGTGATACTAAAAGATAGTGGCCGGCTGGGTGTGGTGGCTCATGCCTGTAATCCCAGCACTTTGGGAGGCTAAGACAGGTGGATCACCTGAGGTCAGGAGTTCGAGACCAGCCTGACCAACATGGTGAAACCCTGTCTCTACTAAAAATACAAAAAAAAAATTAGCCGGGCGTGGTGGCACATGCCTGTAATCCCAGCTACTTGGGAGGCTGAAGCAGGAAGAATGCTTGAACCCAAGAGGCAGAGGTTGCAGTGAGCTGAGATCGCACCATTGCACTCCAGCCAGGGCAATAAGAGCAAAACTCTGTCTCAAAAAAAAAAAAAAGATAGTGACCATGCTGCCTTTTTTCTAATGAAAGCATCCACTGTCTTTCTCAGATCAGTCCTGAGTAGTTCAAAAGCTGACCTGCTGTGCTTTCAGCAGCTTGAGAAATAATGGTCTTTAAATGATGGGAATAACCATGCAGCTATTTAAAAGACAGTGGCCATTTACAGAGAAGCTACTGTATGTAATCCATAATTGAGCTCGTTTTTGCATTGTGGTAGTGTAATTGTTCTAAGAAAGCAATCAGTAACATATTTCACATAGTTTTCATTGTGATCGATTTCATAAATGTGTAGTGTAATACCATTGAAGAGCCAGCTGTTTACTTTTCAATACAGTTGACAAAATCAACTGTGCAATCAAAAATCATTTGTATTTTTATGTTTTAAAAACCAAGAAAATTTTCTTACTAGACCTGCCTTTTAGCTTTTTAGCAAAGTACAACATATCTTTAGAAAAGTGTATGTCACAAATTATTGTAGAATGTGTTGAATTTTTCAGAGTGAACATAATGGTTATTTCTTAATCTAATGACCAGCACCCCAGAAGCCTCCCTGGTGCTGTTCCCTTCAATTCATAGCACTTCTGCCTGCCCCTTCCTCCTCAAAGTAGCCAGCACCCTGGCTTCTAACAGCGTAAGTTAGCGTGGGCTGATTTTGTATGCTATACCTATATATATAATAGAATATATGCATTTTAAATCTGGATTCTTTCAGTGAATGCTGTTTGTGAGGCCCATCTATCTTGATGCATGTAGTTACAATTATTTTTTCTCGTTACTGTGTAGTATTCCGTGTTTGTATATACCCCAGTTTATCCAGATTAGAACTGGTCTTTTAAAAGTTTGGTTATCTTAGAGAAAGAGGTAAACTGCTGCCATAATTGTAAATAGAAGTGTTGTTTTTTCTCTCTAGGCATAAAACATGAATGTCAAGCAAATGGACCAGAAGATCTCAATCGGGCTTGTATTGCTGAAAAGTTAGGTGGATCCTTAATTGTAGCCTTTGAAGGATGCCCTGTGTAGATTATTCAGTGCCACAAATTGAAAGCTTCCATGTTTAATGTTATCCTCTTGCTATATAAATAAAGCAAATATATTTAGGCCAGGGTCTCACTGAGGGGGAGCTGTCTTGTCATCTTTTAGAGTAAACTATTCTATAAACATATGCAAACAGCCCTAAATAAATCTAAAGTCTAAAGTTTTATTGATGTGAAATTAAATTCTTATTGGCCAAATGCCTGTTTTGATGAGTTGATTTATAAAGATTTTTGTTAAGCTCAGGATTTTAAATTACACAGTTCACAAACAGTAAAGGCCATGTGAAGAGAATTATTACATCTTTATTAACCTCAGCATTTACTTTGTTTCTTTTGCTTAGGAAATTGCTCATAATCTGGTTATAATTTTGGTCCAAATTCTTTATTCTTCCTTGAGCTAAGCAGAATAATGGAATATAATATGTCTTCATAATATAACAACACTAATACACTAATAGTAAGATTAAGTTAGGCAGTCTTCTACCAAATGTGTAATGGAGATTGCCTCAAAATTGTGTCCACATAATCCACGCTCATCTTGCAAAGCGCTATTTCAGGCACATCATTGGAATACAGGAAGTAGCCCTGCACCTGCCAGTGAGCTCGCCATTCACTGATTGGAAGAGTGACCTGGCATCTTGGAAATCATTGTGTGTCTTCAGGAGAATGTGCAGTGTCTTGTAACAACTAATTATAATGCAAATTAGGGCTACATTGTAATCTGCTTTGTTAATGAAAATGATAAAACAGAATATTGACAAGCTAGGACACCTGTGGTATCTTTAATTGTATCTCCTTCAGAAGTTTGCTTCTTATGGTATAATAAAGTATGGAAGAATATTGAGTATATGTTTACTCTGGGCCTGGGAGAACTTAACTTTCTAGAGCAGTTTGTTGACTTGTGTGCAATGGGGAGAGGTACCATGATGACACTCACAGGGAGCCACTGTTCACTGACACTTGGAAGCGGTCATTGTTAATATCACGGGCGTAACACTTTGAACGATATAGAGATGCACAAACAGTTGAACTTAGAAGTAGCAGTATTGGCTTTATGTAATAAAGGAAGCATTTTTGACTTACCTCTCGTGTAATTTTCATGTGTGAATTGGGAATACAGGATTTTGCCTTCCATATGGGGTAAGGCATTGAGGTTTGGGTATTTCCAATAATTAAGAGTTAAGGTTGGCTGAGTGTGGTGGCTCACTCCTGTAATCCCAGCATTTTGGGAGGCCGAGGCAAGAGGATAGTTTGAGGCCAGGAGTTTGACAATCAGCGTGGGCAACATAGTGGGATCTCATCTACTAAAAATAAACAAAATTAGCCGGGTGTGGTGGTGCACGTCAGTAGTCCCAGCTACTTTGGATGCTGAGGTGGGAGGATCACTTGAGCCCAGGAGGTGAGCTGAGATCGTGCCACTGTACTCCAGCCTGGATGACAGAGCAAGACCTTGTCTCAAAAAAAAAAAAAAAAGTCACAACTCCCTCTGGTGAATAAGAAAGTTGGTGTAAAAGTTGGGAACGTTTTCAATGTTTATTACACTATAAGTGTAATAAATATTATACAAAATTATAAATTCACATTTAAAATTTAGAAAATAGAGAAAAGGGAAATTATACATTGTCCTACCACATGCCATCACATGGTTAGCATTTTGATACACAGCTGTGCATTATTACATGTCAAAGACTGCATATACTATGGTGGTCCCATACAATTATAATGTATTTTCTACTGTAATTAGATACACAAATACCATTGTGTTACAGTTGCCGACAGTATTCAGTATAGTAACGTGCTGTCCAGGTTTGTGGTCTAGGAGTAATAGGCTCTACCATACAGCCTAGGTGTGTAGTAGGCTATGCCACTAGGTTTAAGTGCAGTCTAGGGTGGGGAACATTTTAATGTTGATCCACATGCCAGGTGTTTGTGAGACAAGATTATGCTTTAATCAAAATATTTTGGAATTGTCTAGAAAATAGTGCTGGCTGCTTGTCATTCATCCTGAATTGCTTGTTTCTTTACTTTGTAGCAATGCTTTTAGTGTGGGTTTTGTTTTTTGAGACAGGGTCTCACTCTTTCCCCCAGGCTAGAGTGCAGTGGTGCAATCATAACTCACTGCATCCTTGAACTCTTGGGCTCCAGCAAGCCTCCTGCCTTGGCCTCCTAAAGTGCTGTGATTACAGGTGTGAGCCACTGTGTCCTGCTAGTGATTGTGATTAACAGGCCTCCAGGGAAGTGCCATAAGCCCAAGACTGCCGTACTCAAAAGTCAGCCATGTAGGTAAAGCAAGATATTTGGTCAAGGAGTTTTAGAAGGAGATTTTTCCTGTGGTGTTGGCTTAAGTGTGGCACTGTTGTGCGTGTGTGAGGTGTCTTCTGTGGGAAGGATTTCAAACAGTACAAAGGGATGTGATGTAAGCATCCAGAACTCACTCCAGAAATTGAATAAAATGCTAGTAGTTAGTCTCTAGGGGAACTTTTGAGAAAGTCTCAGTGGATTCCTGAGGCCCAAGAATTGTGCTAACAAGCACTCAAGGCGATTCTGGTACATAATTAGGGTTCAGACCTCAGCTGATTGGTCTACTGTTGGTCAGGAACAAAACTGCAAGTATACTCTGTTTCCAGAAAATACGTTTACCTCTTCACAAATGCTAACACACTGCAAAAATATGTTTGTGGAAAGCTGACTTAGTCTCATCTAGCGGTTACTCTCTTGCCCTGACAAAGCAGCAAATAAAGCCATTGCTAACAATTCAATCAGAGCTTGACTGTGAAGTTATCTCAGATAATATTACTCTGCAAAAACAGTGGACACAGTGACTTGGATAATAGGTTTGGTTTGGTGGTTTCCTTTCTGCAGAGTACCGGCTGCCGCAGGCACAGCAAGTGCAACTTGTTTCTTGACTATAATTGCCCTTCGGACCACCAGAGACTGAATATGCCCAACACGCATCACTTCTTCGTGATTTGGGGCATTTCTGAAATTGAGAACGGGCTCTAGACTGGGTTCCAGCTGGACTGCAGCTGGAAGGGACAGTAATGGCATTATGGCTGGTGAGGGGAGTATTCCAGGAGCCAGGGTTTCAGTGGAAGGCAGGCTTGAGTACCGTTTTGTTACTGAGGGCTCTCTGGGTTCTGCACAGTCCCAAAAGGGCACTGGGGAAGGGACTTATGGAGCCTCTGGCCAGTACCCTCAGTAACCAGCCCAGAGGTGAATTAACTTGCCTAAGGTTAATCGACTCACAAGTGGCAGAACTGGGACAAAAACTCAGATCTCTTGGTTTCTGTTCCTGAGCTATTTCCACCACCTCAGGAGAATTCACTTCATTCCTCTTATTATAATTGGATCATCTTTCCACATTTCTAACATCTGAAATTCAAAGGTTAGACCTTGTTCAGTGCTGGGGTGAGATTTGAAAGGGCCAAGAAGGAAAGCATTTCTTTTGCACTCTGAGCTCTCATCAGACCCAGCCCTGAAGGAAGTGTAGTGATGGCATCTGTGGAGGGCGTGGAGTGGCTTCTAGAACAAAACCTCGCTTTCCCCGCACCTGTCCCTCAGGCCTCGCTGGCTTCCTGCCTTCACTGCACCGCTTCCGTAGGTGTGGCCTGCAGGCGCAGCATCGTGGTGCCTGTGTGTTCCAGAATATCACATGGAGACACCTGAGGAAGCTGGTCAGGGCGCAGCTGTCTGTGAGGGGCTTCAGGTCTTGTTGTGCTGTCTATGGGCCATGTTAACCTGGAACTTCACATCTACTCTGTGGGCTCTGATCCATCTTCACCCAGCGGCCCAAACCCAGGGTCTGGCTTTGTGAAGCTGGGCCAGGGAGGAGCAGTGGTTCCTCTGTCGGGCAGCAGCTGGGTGAGTCCTGCCTCCACGGTGAACTTCATTCCAAGAACAGCACAAGCCAGTCCTCTGGTGCTGCCTGAGCTCGGCTACAGCTGCAGGACAGGGCTGCGAATGGCCAGGCCAGTGACCTGTGCCACGCTGGGGAATGCTGTGGGGCTGGGGGGGTGCTGCTAGCCCCTTCCGCAGGAAGTTTGCGAGGGCTGCGCCTCAGCTGGCTTCCCTGGAGCCTGACATGGAACCTGGCCTGGGACAGTTGAGGAGGCCCGGCCCACCTGAGGCAGGGCCCAGCCGGTGGCCTGGCAGACTCAGGCTCCCTCTGCCCACCTGGGAGGTACCACTGCCGGGCCTGAGGACTGCTCTGGCCCTGCTGGGGCAGGCGGGGACAACAGATGATGGGCCCTTAGAACGAGCTGCAGGAGAAAAGCTCCCAAGTGGCATTTTCCTGAACTCCCAGGCCAGCCGCACAGGAGTCCTACACCCTGTGCTACCTGCCTTCGGCTTCCTCCCTTCTGCATGCACAGACCTGGGGCTCCCAGCAGGTGGCCTGAAGGAGCAGGCTTTTAGCCAGAGTCCAGGAGGAGGCCACTGCCCCTCACAACCCAGAGGCGGCAGCGTGGCACCCCAGCATCCCTTGTCTCTTTCCCCAAGGTCTCCCCTTTCCGCTGCTCAAAATGGGTACCCCTGCCCCATTCCTGTGCCTTCAGAGGGGATCAGCCCAGCATGGAGCGCTCAGTCTCGCAGTGTGGCAGGTCGAGGGGGCGATTCGGTGGCAGCCCTGGCACAGGTCTGTCCGTTCCCCACACTCACCGGGGCCCACACCACTGACCTGACCTACAGCCACCCACGTGCAGAGTTCTGCCTCCTGCAGGCGGCCTCCCTCACCCAGAACCTGTGCTCCCACTCAGCCCCCTGTACCAGATGCATGGGGCGCGGATGCAGGGGGCCCAGTGGCTGTTGCGGGGCGCTCAGCCCAGGGTGTTCTTCCCCAGGCTCCCCACATTGCAGAGCCCAGCCCTGCCCCACAAGCACTGACCTCCCAGGCTGCGGGGCCTAGCCACGTGTCAGAGAGATGGGTTTGAACCTGCCCAGCCTTTAGCCCGGGGAGGTACCTTCACTTCCATGGGGCAGGATGCACCTCACCGGGAGGACCGAGGGCTCGCTGAGCGCCAGGCACAGGGCGGGAAACGGGCAGCCATCAGGTGTCCTTGTGGGCACTTCCTGCTACTCAGTCTCCCAGCCAGAAGCCAGGATGTCAATGTCCCAAGACCGTGGGATCCCTTTCTGCTTCAGCCTCCTCTAGAGAATTCTAAAACAGGCAGGCTTGGCTCTCCCTGCTCAGAAACCTCAGTGGCTGTACTGCCTCCCCAGTCCAGGGCCCCCCAGTCTTGGTAACCTGGCTCCACAACAGGCCGTGCCTCACCCCGCCCTCCACGCCTCTACGCTGCTGCTGCCTGAGTGCCAGCCTCCCTCACCTCACACACATCTGCTCTTCCTGGGAGCTCAGCTTAAGCCCACTTCTCCAGGGGCCTTCCTAGGACTCCCAGCACCCAGAACAGCCATGACGCACAGTGCCACATACCATAGCTGGGTGGCCCACAGGCACTTCCTGAGAACTGACATAAGGTCTGGGCCGAGCAGTTTGAGGCTAAGCAGTTCAAGGCTGCAGGCAGAGGCCGTGTGGGGGGCTGAGGAAGGGAGGCACACAGACGCACACCGCGGGGCTTCCCTTGGTCTTGAGGTTGTGAAAACCATCCGAGTCACTGCCACCACCTGAAGGGGCCATGCACGACAGAGATCCCAGAGCAGGCCACCTGCCAAGCTCATAGGCCTGTGGAGACCCCGGTTCTTGCTGCCACTGTCCCTGACAGAACCCTTCTCACAATGTCGTCCTGGAGGACCTGCCATCCAAGAGCCCAGTTGTCCCCCAGCCAAGTTCGGCCAAGCAGACCCTCTCCCAAGATTCCGAGGCTTGGCAGGGAGATTAAAGTGAACAGTCCTTGGTCAAGGCAGACCCGCCTTCCATTCCGGGCTTGGTTGGGGCCCTACTGTGACTCTGAGCCTCTGAACGTCTTTGTGGACTAAGCTCCAGGTTCCTATTGTTTACACTCAAAGGGACACACTTCTTGGGGCCAAAGACCATGCTGTCAGGGGCCGCTGAGGACACTGGGTCTGAGGGTCGTGGCAAACCTAAGCTGGTTTCTGCAGGTGAAACTCCACCTCCCGAGGGCAGGCAGTGGGCTGCTCCAGCCCTGGCCCACCCTCCTGGGGTGTGGGTGTCTAAGCCCCAGCCAGGACAGAGACCCCTTGTTCATTCCCGGACCTCCATCACGCAACAGCCCGGGCCACCAGCCGCGCTCACAAACCTCAGCCCCTCCGGGATGCGGGGCAGCAGTAAATGTATCTGGCTCTCAGGTGTCGCAGGCCCTGCTCCCTTATCCTGCCCGGAGGGCACTGAGGTCTGGGAGGTGACAAGGAAAACTGCTGGGGGCCCCGGAAGCAGCGAGTCTCAGCCCCACCCCACGCTACGCGGAGCTGCAGAGCCTCTGCCTTCAAAGCAGCTGAGGCCCACGCTTACTCTCTTCCCGAGTGCGCCCCCACCCCTTGGTTCTTCATCTTGGGCCCAACAGCGGGTGGGGGAGCCCCAGCAGAAGACCAGACGAGACCGCAGCACCGGGCACCAACGTTGGTTTTAATGGCATCAACACCCAGGAGGTCACACGTCAGTTCTGGTTGGCAACGTCTAGGGGTGAGGGGCTGTGGCCTCCAGTCGGCCCCACAGCCTTTGAGAACTGGCTGCCCGGTCCCACCCGCTTCCCGCCCCGCCCCACTGAAAAAACACTAAACGATTGCACTGACAGACAGACCCCAGAGCGCCCGGCCTCCCACACACCCACGGGGCTGTCAGAGTCAACCAGGGCTTTGGCGTCACTCGGCGGTGGCCCGGGGCTGCGCCCAGGATAGTGTTTATCAAATGTGACACAGGTTCATTTACAAACTGGGGCTCTGGAAGGTCTACTTCTGTGGCTCTAAGAGACTTGTCTCTCATGGCTTCTCTCGGAGCTACCGGAAGTTGGGCCTGGATAACGCTGTGTAGGTTGGTTGGTTTATTTGTAAGGAATGTGTAAGGCATTTTGGTAAGTTGAACAGTAACTTCTTTTTCCAAAGAGGAAACTCAGACAGAGGTGCCCTCCTTTGAGCTGCTGCCGTCCTCCTGTGAACGAAGGCAGGTGGCGTGAGGGGGGCTGGGCCACGAGCCATGGCAGAACCACCTGCCCTCTACCCTGGGCCTTTAGTCCCTCCCTGGATTGACCCCCTCAAGCCACTCCAGTCCCTCAGAGAACAGGAGCCACAGACCCCTGGGGCTGGGGGACAGGGAGGACTTGGTGGGAGCTGAGGGGAAACCATCATCCTGCAGGGCAGGGGCTGGAGCACTGGCTAAGGGGCCCACACAGGTGCAAAGTGAGGACCTGGGCCAGCAGGGGGATCAGACACTCGCTTCCCAGCAAGGGAACCCCAGAAGGGTGGGTGGTGGGCCGGGTGGGCTGAAGCCCTCGTTAGGAAGTCTCTGTCCCCACTACCTCCGCCCAGCTCTGCCTCCCCTGGGGCTCCCAGCCCAGCGCTCCCAGCAGCTTGACGACTCCGCCCAGCTCTGCCTCTCCCGGTCCTGCCTCCCCGGGGCTCCCGGCAGCTCGACTCCTCCCGCCCTGCTTTGGCGCCAGGCACGCACTGCCTTTTCCAGCTGTTCCTGCAGCTTCTTCACCGTGTCCTTCTCCCTTGCCAGCTGCTCCTGGGTCGTCTTCAGAAGCTCCTGCAGTCTCGTGGCGGCGCGCCCCAGGTCACTTGTTAACTTCTTCTCTTTTTCTAGTCTCTCCTGATGGTCAGAAGGTTGACGGGCATCAGCCCTTGCACCGGCAGGAGGGCCACCCCAGCTATGCCCACAGGACCCTGACGCCAGGGGCTGGAGCCCTCTGGGGACACAAGGAAGGCAACTCCTGGTCACCCGGAGATAGGTGGTGACGACAGGGAGGAAACCGCCCATGCTGACCGTGAGGGCTGGGTCCTGTGCTCTCAGCACCACCAGAACTTCCTGGGGCAGGAGCAGTTTACTCCGCACTGTCCAAGGCAGCACAGGAGACACACCTGACTACTGAGCGCTGGACGTGTGGCTGAGGAACGCACTTCACGTTCTACATGCTTCACATTTCGACAGCCACCAGGACTAATGGCTGCCATGTGACCATGTGACACTGCAGGGCTAGGAGTCCCCACCCCAGCCCCGGGTAGTGACAAGGGGAACCAGTGCCAAGGGCAGGTCCCGGTGGGGTCGGCTCTCCCCTTCCTGGCCCCTTTCCGAGGCCAAGAGTGGCGCCAGCCCCAGAGCAGACCCTCCAGGTGTGACCCCCGCCCCAGCCCCTGCCTGCCTTCAGCTGTGAGGCCTCCTCTGTTTCTGAAGACTCTAGGGGGCCGGCTGTGCGGAGCTTCTCCAATTCTTCTTGTAACCGACATGCCGAGGTCTGAGCCTTGCCGGAGAGGGAAGTGAGGTCTGGGTGAGACGTCTTATAAACGGCTGTGCTGTCAAGACCCTACCGAGCACGCCTGGGGACCAGGGGGCCCCCCCAGCCTGATGGAGCAACAGCTCCATCCTGTAGCTGGAATGAGTGGGCCAGACCCACAAGTTCTGACCCAGCCCCAGGCCCTCAAGGCTCCTCAGGGATGCAGACCACCCACAGGGCTCCCAAGGTGCCTCCAGCCTGTGCTCCACCTGCCCGGGCCCCACCCACTGCTGCCCAGAAGGCCCAGGCCCAGCCCAGGTGCTGCTGGGCACAGCCGAGCGGGGCAGGGCTGACCCACTCATTCCCTGGAGACTCAGGGCCCAGGGGCTGATGGGGGCTGAGAGCCACCAGGCAGGGCCTGACCTCCTCAAACTCGGCCGTGAGCTTCTGCCGCTGTGTCTGCTCATCCTCCAGGATGGCTTCTGTCCACTCCAGCTGCGTCTTCAGCTGTGCAAACACCGCAAACATAACCCGGCAGCCCGGTGAGGAACCCTCCAGGGGCCCAGGGATCCAGCACAGGCACCGCTCTCTAGCTGCTTCTAGCTTCCCCTTTCCCTGCCCCAACGCTCCCCTCGTTGGGGAGAGGGCACCTCAGCCCCTGGTACAGACTTCGGTGTGGCTCAGGAGCAGCTGATGGGGCCTCTGCAACCTCAGGGGCCTTTAACGAGACTCACAGGACAAGAACGATGCCTCCGAGCCCTGGCCCCATGACAACCCCCTTAACAGCCACACCATGGCCACCCCAGGGACAGGCCCTGCCTCTTGGTGAGGACTCTTGGTGGCTATTGCCGGGCTCAAAACTCTGGAGAGCGAATATCCTGCTAGCGATGTCCCAGCCGGGGTTGCAGTGGGAGACAGTCCCCTTCGATGGCTGCAGACCCTGCCCAGAGCTGCTCCTGAGCCCTGTAGGTGCAGACCCCAAATCACGGACTCCCTCTTCGAGTCCCACCTCCCCCCAACTCCTCCAGCCTCTCCACCTGGCCACCTTTCTGTTCCATGCTCTGTGGCTTTCTCCGAACCTGGATGATCCAAATGGGGCAAAGCAGGGTGGGGTGGGGAAGCAGCGGAGGCTGGAGCAGCCAGTGCGGGGTTTAGTCCGAACGGAGGCAGCAGGGCCTGCACTCTTCTGGGATTAGTGATGTGTCTGGGGACCAGCTCACCGCCCTAACCTGAACGGGGTCCTGCTCGGCTGGGGGCGCCTCTGGGGAGGAAGCTGGGGCCCCAGCTATGTCACCATCCTCTACGTGGCTCTTCATTTCACTCAACTGCTGCCTGACCTGGAACAGGAAGGGGTGTGTTTGCAAATGCACAGCCAGTCGCACACCCACCATGCTCACTCCTGCAGGGACCCCCTCGGAGGACCGTAGCTGCTCTCAACAGCCAAAGTCCCTTCAGGGGACCTGGCTTGGTAACTGTGACCTATGTCTGGCCACCCCCGCCGCCAACCTGAGCCAAACCAAGGCCACCAAGCCTCTGGGCTAATGAGACCCAATGTGCTCTGCTCCAAGCCCAACCGGAGGGGAGCCCTCCCTGGGAGTGAGGTGACCCCTGATGGGCATGGCCCACAGAGCAAAGGAATCCGAATGGAACCGGGGGGTGGCCGCCACACTGTCTACACCCCCCGTTTCTCCTTCAAGGATGCAGTCCACTGCTCAGAGCCCTTTCCGGGGTCTAGAAAAGATTATGAGATAACATTCTTGCCTAACAAGGTCCCCCACCCCTACGCTCCATCACTGGGGTTAGGTGGCATATCTGGCTGCACCCAAACCACTGGGCCTGCAATTTGAAGGGCAGGTGTCACTCGAGAGGCTCAGGTAGAGGTTCCAATTGGAGACCCAGGTGGGGCCCTTGGCATAAGCTCCCCAGGGAACATGGGCGGTCTCTGACCCTGCGCTGAGGGGCCACCCCAGGTACGTGGGAACCCCAGACATTCTTCCCTCCCTCTGAACAGCCCCTCCCAATGCAAATAACGAACTGCACAGCTGGAAGACAACAGAAACTCCAGGGGGTTTTCTCTGCACATCCCCGGCCTGGGCCATGCCCCCGGGGCCTGTCACCCAGACTTCGCTCAGCCAAGGCTTCAGTGAGTGGCCCCTAGACACAGGAGGAGACCTGGCCTAGGCAGCACTGCCCTCTGGTGTTCTGGTCCGGGTAAGACCTGAATGACCAAGGGGGACCGAGGGTGTTGGGAGCGTGTGCCGGACTCACTGGCTGCTGCAGGGGGAATGCCAGCCCATTTTTATTTAAAATTTCCCAATTTCTCCCTGTTGACAACTAATTCAAGATTTAAAAAAACACCGCAGATCAAACAGAACATGTCTGCGGCCTCACAGGGTGCTGCTCACAACACCAGCCTTGGGGCGGTACCAGATCCGGTGAGGCTGGGTGGAGCCTGCCAAGGAGCTGGGACTTGGCATCAGACACCTGAGCTGAACACCAGGAGGGACTCAAGAGGCCACCTGCACAGGCAGAGCTCCAGTGGTCTGCCAAGGGGGCTGCTCTCTGCACCCGGCAGCTGGTATGGGGCCGGGCGTGGAGCAGGTCTTCCCTGCATGCCTGTGGCTTTGACTGAATTGATCTGAGCTGTCACTGAGGTGAGAAAACCCACAGAAGGCACGGGACTTGCTGAGAGCCCCAGGGCGATGGGTGGCCAGGCCAGGAGGAACCCCCAGGCTTCCTGGTCTTGTGATGCCAGGGACTGCAATATCCCTGACGCCCCCAGGTGACTACAATGGGCTCACAGGGAATGCAGACGCCCAGAGCTCTCACTACCTTGAACAGGGGACCAGGTAGCCAGGGGACGGGAGATGGAGTGGGAGCACCCTGGTCCCAACAGCCACAGGCCCAGCTCAGAGTTCTGGGCAAATGTGCAGGAAGGCCCCCAGAAGCCGGCCCCATGCTGCTCAACGGGTGACACTGTCCCTTCCCTAGGCTTTATCTTTGAGTGGACACAAACGCATGACTGGCAAATGCATCTCACACACGCAACGCCCCAGGTCACACTCCTGGCATGGGGACATGGAGGCCACCTACCAGGGCAAGCTCATCGCTCTGTTTCTGGGCTTCGCTCTTGGCGGCATCGAGCTGAGATTGAGATTCTAGGAGAAGTTGCCTCAGCTTGGGGAGAAAACAGAGGCGGGTGATGGGAAAAAAGGAGAGAAAAGGAGAAAACCAGTCCCCGTGAGTTAGCGCCGAAACATAAAACCTAACACATCCACTTAACCAAAACCCTGAGGAGGGTCACAGCATCGGGCCGGCACAGGGCTCGCCAGGCTTCCTACAGCTACGATTTCTTTTTTGAGGACTTAGGAAGAATGGTGTTCACTGCGTACCTCTTTCAGGCCTTCACAAATGTTTACTGATTATCTCTGGCAAAAAAGGGCCAAAAGTTGGAGATGATTTTTTTTTTCAGAGATGGTCTCAATCTGTCATCCACGCTGGTCTTGAACTCTTGGGCTCAGGCAATCCTCCTGCATCAGCCTCCTAAGCAGCTGGGAACGGAGGTGCCCACCAGTGTGCCTGGCTTTTTTTTTTTTTTTTGGTAGAGATGCGGTCTTGCTATGTTGCCCAGGCCGGTCTCAAATTTCTGGCCTCGAGCAATCCACCTCAGCCTTTCAAAGTGCTGGGATTACAGGCATGAGCCGCTGTGCCTGGCCCAAAAGTTTGAGATTAAACCAGAATTGGGATACTGGGCTTGTGCTTCTGCTTCTGAAGAGCAGAAAAAGTGTCAGATCTAAATCCACTCCCCACCAGATATGACATCAGCAAGCCAGGCAGAGAATCCCCTTGCGGAGGGATAACCTAGAACGTCAAACGCCTCCCTCGGGGCAGGGCTGCCTGGCTCTGCCCCTGTCCTGGCTGGGAGGCTGCCTTTTTGAAACCTGCCCTGAGAGACACCTCAGGCCTGACAGCCCAACGAGGGGCCTGTGAGGCTTCGGGCAAACGCCTGAGGACTCGGACTTCAAGGCTTATGTCACCGAGAGCTGCTCCCACAGGGCTGAGGAGAAGCAGCTCAGGGAGGACCGCAGATCTGCTGGGCAGGGGCTGCACTCCTTGGGGGGCAGACTCACCCCTGCCACCTCCTTGGCGTAGTTCTGGCACTCGGCGCTGGCGGCCGCCATGTGCTTTTCCAGCTCTGCCTCCAAATGCGACGTGTGCTCCCTCACCTGGACAGATGCACAGACACGCACACGCATGCGCCAGCAGCCTCTGCTCAAAGGGCACTCACCTCAGGGAGCAGGCTGGCCCTGGGATAGGTGAGGCCTCTCGGGAGATCCCTGAGGCCCACCAGCTACCAAGCAAACGAGAAACTAGTCCGCGGCAAGAGAACCCCTTACGGAAAGTGGCAGGCTGCACCCGGGCACTCCTGGGGACTGACATGCTCTTAGATTTACTTGCAAAAGCAGGTACCAAGGGTACCTTCTCCAGGGCTCCCTGTGGCGTCTGAAGGGGGCAGTGGGGCCACCTTGACTGTGAAGGCCGTGGCAGAAGCCCTGTTCACCAGGGCTGGGCAGGTCTGCACAGGGCCCGTGGCTGGGTCTCAGGGTCCTCTGAGGTAGTCAATGTCTCTCATTAAGGAAAAACAGGATGGACAAGATCCCTTGGCTTGAGAGAGAATGCCTCTCTTAAGGCACACGGTCCATGAGGAAGAAATCAGTGAAGTGTCCTCTGCATTAACGTCACTTTCAAAGAGGCTCCCGGGACAAGAGAAAGAGTTCTCTGAGCAGAGCACATACCTGGTCCGAACTTTCAAGTTCTCCTTTTAGCTTCTCTACAATCTCTTCGAGATGCTTCACTGTGACCCGGGACTACAAAGCAAGGGGAAGGCTCCGTCAGACACGAGCACCTGGGGGTGTCTCCTTCCGAGGCCATGCTAGGACCCGAGCGGGACTGACCCAACTTAGGAAGCCCCGGGGGTGCCCACTCCGCCCAGCTGGGACGGTCACCCTGGCGCCATCTGGCAGTGTCTTCCTAGGCGGGGGCCTCCTGGAGGACGGACTGAGCTGTCATCCCGCAACTGTGCTTCATAGGGTGTCGTGGAAAAGCCCCACCGAGACACACGAGTCTCACAGGTGACAGAGACAATCCTGTCAACTCTCCCCTGGGCTTCATGTGCTCCACGGCGCCGGGAGGCAGGCAGGGCTGCATATACCTTCTGGAGCTCCTCCTCTGCGGCGCCCACCTTGGCCCTCCACACCTGCTCCTCCTCCTCCACGCTCTTCTGCAGGTCTCTGAGCATGCCCTCCTGGGGGGAAACCGAGGTGAGGCAGGGCCCTCTCCCTCCCGAGACCCGCACCACACAACCGCATCTTCCTGTCCCTGCAGCCCTGGTGACCTGCCGTGCTCCGCCTGCTGACTTCATGAGCGCCAGCGTTAGGTGGGGAGGGAAGGCAACCACTGTCCTGGGAGGGAGGTCCTCTGGCCAGTGGGCCAGTGTGGCTGCAGTGCCAGGCAAGGAAATGAGGTCTGTGACCTGCACAGGACCACTAGGATGCTTGTTACTGCCGGGGTTTGCCACCAGCACCAAGTGTGTCAATGGCCCAGGACGAGGAGCACAGGATGGGCTGGCCAGAGAGTGGCAGGGCTAGACCTGGCATTGCTCTTAGTCACAAACGGGGTTCAACCTGGCAGTCACCAGCTGCTTACCCCGTCCTTCCCCTTCCCCAGCTTAGAGACCGGCCCCGAACCTTCAACTTGGCCTTCTCTTCAGCTTAGAAACAATGACGACCTCAGAGGGTGCCATCCATTTACCATGCAGCCGAAGAACGGGGCCCAGAGTCACAAGGCCAGTGGGCTTTTCCAAAACACCAGGCCACCTCCTGCCCCATAGGCCCCGAAGCTCTCCTTCCCTGCAGCCTCCCAGGGATGCCCAGCTGACAGGTTCCCAATGCTCACCGTCTCCGCCAGGATGCTGCGGTACTGGTCACACTCGGCCTGCAGTGTGCTCTGCGTCTCCTCGGCCTCCCTCAACTTGGAGGCCAGGTCCTGAGAGAGGGAAGAACAGGTGTTTAGTTAGCCACACACAAAGGTTCTTCTCTTGGCTTCCCGTTGAAATGACTTGGGGCAGCCCCTCTTCCTGGGGACAGGGGAGCCCAACAGAGGAGCCTTGCCAGGCAGCCACACTTACCGAGGAGGGCTCCGCGGGAGCTGGCGGGTGCTTCAGCAGCGTGGGGCCTTTCTCTTTGAGATCCTGCAGCCACTCGGTGTAATTCTGCAATGAAACACATTCGGTGAGACCCGGGGACATTCCCTGAGAACTGTGAGGTCCCCGGGAACCACCCTCCCCTCCTACCTGTTGTGCCAAGACAGAGAGTTCTGGGAGCAGAGCCAGCAGGGCCTCCATGGTCTGCGCCTCAATCAGACAGAGCTGCTTCTCCGATTCCTCCTGGGGGGTGGGTGGGGAAGAGCGGAAGGTGTTCAGCTGTGGAGGTGTGGGGCACCTCCCCAGGTCTTTACTGATATGCCCGGGTCTCTGCCCCAGAAAGGGCACATCCTCAGCTCTTCAGGGAAGCGACAAGAATCAAAGGAGAAGATGAGGCTCCATGGGGCTGACTGTAAGCAGAGGGGTTACCCAGCCTGTATCTGGTCCATTTCAAACAGACTAAGCTCTGATGAAAGGAGCATACTGGGTCAGGCCAAGATGGCAGGTGCCAGCTCCCGGGACATCTCCCAGCAGGGACAGTCTCCACCAGCTCTCACTTCCCGAGCTCTCTGGGCATGTGTGCATGTGTGGGGGAATTTGGGGGGTCCGCAGTTGATGTGTGAGAGCCAGGGCAGGAAGAAGGGATGGGAGGACACTCATGGCCCCCAATGTTTTGGAATCTAGAGCTGTGATGGGGATGGGGGTGAAGGCAGGGAAGCAGTGCGTCTGCTGGCGGCACCACGGTTAGGGGCTAGTGGCAGCCAGGAAGGGGCAACCCAGAGAGGCTCATCTCCAGCCACCCTGGAGAGGGTGGATCAGCATTCCCCCTCTGCAGAGGGAGAAGCCCACTCAGAGGAGACAGGGACTTTGCACCCTGTGCCATGCTGGGTCGGACACCCCCTCAGTCCTCAACGAAGAGCCAGCGGCCCCCATTCAAAGCACAACAAAGATAAGGAAACAAAAGGAAACAAAGGGGGCCCAAGGGAATCATGAAGCAAAGCCTAGGACCACAGTGTCCCCCGGGAGAGAGCTGGGCTCTCCCACACCCCGAGGGGAAGGCTGCTGGGGTAACAGCCTGTGTCTGGCCCTGCCACCACCTGGACAGGCCTGGCCTAAGACCCAGGGAGGCCCCAGGAACTCCACCTGGATCAGAGCTGATGGAGTGTTAACTCCCCCAAGCAGAGTCCTGGAATGTGCATGAAGGATGCTGACCACCGGACACCCAGCCTGAGCGCAGCGCCCTCTGGCCTGACGCACACCTGAGAAGCGGGCCCTTCCTGGCTGGCCAAGTTATCCACAGGTAGGGCCCGTGACCCATGTGGACCCTTGACCTCACGACCACCACTGAGGCCTCTAGTTGTGAGTCAAGGCAAGCTGGAGACCCAGAGGCCACCTTCTATCTGGATGTGTGACCACAATCAAGTCAGGTGACATCTCTGGTCACAGCTTCATTTACCACATGGTAGCCAGACAGTCTCTGAGGTCACTGGGGGCTACAAGGCCAAGATTCTAGGAGTCTAACTATAGCTCTCACAGGGTGGCCTGAGGCCATCCTTCACCTCCTGCCCTAGCTAGTTGTCCTCATCTGATACAACCCTCAGGCTTCCTGGGAATCACCGCAAAGCTCCTGCCATTGGGGCAGATATTCCTGTGAGAGAGGCTGGGAGTGGAGGCCCTTTCATGAGGTAGGAAAACGTGTGTGACCTCAAAGTGTGGGCAGGGCCTTTAGTTGCAGCTGCTGCTGGCCATGTCCCCTGGCCAGAGCCTCCTCACTGGCTCCTGGACAGCCCAGCACCCCAAAAGCAACCCGTGGGCTCAGACACTGGGAGACACCTGCACACGCCCCACCTGGACAGCATGGAGCGCAGGGCCAACGCGGCCTCTGTTCCCCGAGTGCTCGCTGCAAACAATGTCCTCCCCTCTGTGACTTAAAGACTCCTCATGGGACTGGGCGTGGTGGTTCACCCCTGTAATCCCAACACTTTGGGAGGCCAAGGCAGGCAGATCACTTGAGGTCAGGAGTTGGAGACCAACCAAGCCAACATGGCAAAACCCCATCTGTACAAAACATGCAAAACTTAGCCGGGCGTGGTGGTGCACGCCTGTAATCCCAGCTACTTGAGAGGGTGAGGCAGGAGAATTGCTTGAACCCGGGAGGCAGGGGTTGGAGTGACCTGAGATCACGCCACTGCACTCCAGCCTGGGCGACAGAGCAAGACACCGTCTCAAAAAAAAAAAAAGTCTCCTCACAGAGCCCCCTGGGCCATGACTTCAGAGGCCCAAGCAGCAGGATTACCCGACAAAAGGACACACAACAGAAATAACACCAAAAAAGCTCATAAAGAGTGCAGCCTCGGGCTCACTGCCTCCAGTCCCACCCCAGCAGCTCTGTACCCTCAGCCAGAGAGACCAGCACGGAGAAGCCCATCAAGGGGGCACCCCCATCCCTCTCTTGGAAAGGAGCAAGTGAAGAAGGGAAGGACGGCAGGGAAGGAGGTGGGAGGGGGAGGTGGATGTAGAGCCGGGGTCTGGCGTGGACTCAGGAGCTCTGAGGCCAAGGCCACTCTGTGCGCACTTAGTGCACTGTGTGCGTCCTAGTGCACCTGTGCGTCTGTGTGTCCTAGTGCGTCTGTACGTCCTAGTGCCTCTGTGTCTGTCCTAGTGCCTCTGTGTGTCCTAGTGCGTCTGTGCGTACTAGTGCATCTGTGTGTCCTAGTGCTTCTATGCGTTCCTAGTGCCTCTGTATGTCTGTCCTAGTGCATCTGTGCGTCCTAGAGCATCTGGTGTCCTAGTGCATCTGTACGTCTTAGTGCATTTGTGCATCCTAGTGCACTTTCCATGGTGGGGGTGTGAGTGTGGTCGGGCTCTGACCTTGGCCTGGGTCAGGGAGAGCAGCTTCTCCTTGCAGGCCTGCTCGGCCGTGGCCAGTGCCTCCATGGCCTTCCAGTTCTTCTCCCGGAGGTCCTGGAGGGGACACAGGTGAAAGGTCAGCAGCCTGCACTGGCAGCACGGGCTGCCTAAGCTGGTGTCAGACAGGACAGGGCCCAGAGACCCTCCTTGATGCCACCCTGGCCCACAGAGGACCTGCCACGGGACAAAATGCCCCTTCCTTGGCCCATGACCATGGCGCCTGAACACAAGGCCTGGGTGCCGTAGCCAGAGGCGGGCAGCATGGCACAGGGTGAAGAGGTGGCGCCCTTTCGATAAAGACACCACTAGCCAAAGGGAGGAGGGAGGGCCAGCCTGTGTCCTCAAAGGGAAGAGGTTCCTGCTACCAAATGGTTAGTGCTGATCCCTTGGGCCAGCTCTGGCAGAGCCTGGCACAGGGAGGCCAAGGCCAGGGCCTGCCTTGGGAAGCTGCAGCCTCTGCAGGGAGCAACAGGGCCAGCCAGCAAGCCCGGCTCTGTGAGAAGGGGGCAGGAGGGTGTGGCCGAGGCCACACCAGGACAGCAGGCATGCCACCTGCCGAGCTTCTACATCCCCTTCTCCTGGGACCAGGATCCCCACTTAGGGCAACCACGTGACTCAGGCCAGGCCAACAGCACACTGTCCCCACCCCAGGGATGACTCCACGCTTGAGCGAGTGGCGCAGGCTGATCCACAGGCAGTCAGCCCTGGGTCTTTGGCGGAACTCAGGGGTGAGTAGAAGCACCCCCCACACCCTGGACCCCCACAGCACAATGGGGTGTAGAAACACAAGCTCAGCCCTCCCCCGAGTCCAGGGCGGGTGCCACATAGCAGAACCTTTCCCGGCCCCACCTGTGCTTCCCTGGCCCGTCCGTCCCCGCCTGTGCCTGCCGCACTCACATTGTTCTTCACTTTCTGCTGCTCGACGGCCTCCCTGAGCTCGATGGCCTCCTTCTCCAGACCCGACACCTGGGACTCCAGCTCCTTGAGGCTGAAGGGACACAACGAGGTCACCGCCTAGGCTCCAAGGGGCTACAGCCCCTACAGATCCCACCTGAGGCCCCATCCAGGGAGGAGTACCTTCGAGGCTGAACCATCTGGCCAGGGACGGTCCCTTCTGGCTGCCCCCACCTCACCCAGCGTGAGCTCCCAGGGAAGCCTGAGCAGCCCCCAACACCCTCCCCTCCCCCCGCCATCCAGAGCACTGACCCCAGAGCTGTCACCAGAGTCCCAGTTGGTGACACCGGAGAGCTGGGTTTCCAGGAGAGGTGGAATCGTGACCCTGCCCTCAGAGCTCTCCTGGGGCCCTCACAGCTTTTCCCTGCATCATGTGACAGCCTCCGCCGGCAAATCACCCCAAGAGCGTCCCCAAAAGAATGAGACTCCGAGGAAGAGGTGTCAGCAGGCCAGTGGCAAGGACACACTGACAATCACACCCTTGGCAGCCACTGCCCGAATTCTAGAATATCTGGGGCTGAATCGCTCCTCTCTACTCCAGAGCAGGATGGCCCAGCCTACACATAACTTTCAGATCAACTGTTTGAGAAGGAAATAAAAGCACCAATTTCTGCCAGACACATCTACATGATGCAAGAAAATTCAGATTAATCCTAACTACAACATGAGTTCATTATCCTAGTAATATGCTGTGTGGCCCAAGAATCTGATCTTAAAACACAAGAGCAAAACAACAACCTCTCTACCCCAACAAACACCACCAGGAGAAACAAAGTTTGCCCATGCTTTTTGGGAAAGGAAGGTGGACAAGGTTTGGTTGTGGGTCATTCTGGGCCCTCAGGGCAGCTGGCTTCCTTTCCCAGTCCCCAAGCCGCAGAGCCCAAATGCCAGGGAACATGGGCTGTGGCCTGGGGAGCTGCCTCTGCTGAGAGGCACACAGGGAGGTGCTTCTTTGGTGACGAGGGTCAGGACAAGGGAACTTTGTGAACTGATGGCCTAGGACACATCTGACCGTGTGCGAGGGAATGCAGGACACCCTCCATGCCTCCCCCACCTACTGCTGCATGGACCCCTAGCCACGGCGGCCAGGACCTGCCTCCCCAGACTGTGGGCATGTGCTACAGGAGGCGAGCCCCAGAAGTGATGGTCACAAGGACTCCGGCCCCTGACTCGAGCCACCCCACCCAGGTGTTGGCCGGCCTTAGCAACAGCAAATAAACACTCCCCGAACATGGCCTGGCGCTGGTGCTGCTGACACGGAGGGAAAACAAGGTCTGGCCAGCAGTGAAGTCACCTCACAGATGGAGGAAAACAACGCTGAGACGCTGCCAGCTCTGCCCCGACGCCTCAAACCTGTGCTCCAGCAGCAAGCCTGGGTTCGCCATTCTGGGTTGTGCAACCATTTTTCCTGTTAGAGTTCCTGACCTCAGCCCCTAAAATCCCTTGCTTGTACACACAGAACCTCTGACCAGTCAGTCCCTTCCCACAGAGAGATGGACAGGTGGATGGACGGACGGCAGGTGGCAGGGGGTGCTCCCACCCTGGCTGAGGCCACTCTGGAACGATGTGATCACGAAGCTCTCTGCAAGGCCGCCTTCTTTCCCGCCCAGGCCTGTCCCGTCCTCTAAATCACCGGAGGATGGGGGAGGGAAGGGAGCCTCTGAAAGGGGCTCTTCTGCAGAGGACCTGAGCACCCTCCTGAAAACCCTGGCCCCCCAAGGGTCTTTGGTCCCCCGGGCTGAGGCTCAAGTGAGCAGGCAGGCTGCTTCCCCAGCTTACCGAGTCTGCTGCTGGTCAGCCTCCGCCTGGCTGGCCTGGAATGAGAGACAAAAGCTCCTTGGTCTCCAGGAGACTCATCTCACGCAGCGGGGCTAGTCCACCCACCTGCTAGATGGAGTTCCCTTTCCTCCCCGTGGCCCCAGGCAGAAGGCTGACCTGGACGTCCTGGGCATCCCGCGCCTGGCCCGCCTCCAGCAGGGCCTCAATGGAACGGATTCTCTCTGTGAGCTGGGAGTTCTCCGCCCTGGCCTCCTGGAGCTGCCCGTGGAGGCCACTCAGCTCCTCGCATTTGCTGCGCACCTCCGCCTCGGAGGACTGTAACTTGCTGTGCAGCTCTGGTGCAGAGGAAGGGAAACGAGAAGTTAAGAGACTGCAAACCCCAGGGGGTGTGGAGGATGCCCTCACTGCTGCCCTCTTAGCACATGTGGGGCACCGAGGGCTTCCTCCTGCCTCCTCTGTGTGTCTGGGGCTCTTAAGACATACTACTGACCACTGGGGCCTCTTGTTAGCGGTTGAAGAAAGTGCCACTCTGGCATCACTTCTGAGAACCGTCAGGGTAGAATGCAATGCTCTCAGGACACTCATGAGAAAATGATAGAGAGTGGAAACGGACTCCAGCTGAGGCTTTTAAAGATTCATCTTCTAGAAGACTCTTTTTCTTACTGAGACCAGAAGTTCCTTAGAAAGTGGCTAGGTGGACCCCACTGCCACACCTCCCCCACCTCCCTGGCTGGGTCCCCCTCAACCCCCAAGACCTCTTCACAGTCGAGAAAGGCCAGGGGGTGACTCTTCTGCCCTGGGCCCCTTTCTCCCCTTGAGGTGTCCTCCTCCTCAGGTCACCTCAGACAGTCCCATGGGTCTAAGTGTCATCTTCGTGCCTCTGAGGCTGCACTCTCCCCAACCCCAGGCTCTGCCATCTGCCTCTTCTAAATGAAGCTCTAGTTAGACAACGCAAACCCAACATCCCGACCTCCCAGGACTCCTCATCTTCCTCCCTCGCCCACTGCCGAAGCCTACGAGCCCACACCCGCCATCTGTCAAGTTGCCCTCTTCACTAGCACCTCTGCGGCCACCTGGGCCCTGCCCTGTTGCCTTGGGCCTCAGCAACTGCAAGGCCTCATCCCTGGTCTCCATGGGCCACTCGTGCCCCTCTGGTCTGCTCTCCACCTGGTGTCAGTGTCCAGAAGCGCACATGAGACGACTTCATCTCCTGCCCCAAGCACTTCTGTCACACCTTCCACGGTGCCCAAGCTCCTCAGAGGGAGGGTGACCTGGCCCTGCCCCGCCACCAGCCTTCTCCTTCCAGCCACACTTGTTAGCCCATTTCTCACATAGGCCAAGTCAGTTCATTCCCACCTCCGGGCCCTGTGCTGGCCTCTGCCATGCATCCCCTCCTGCCTCAGAGAGTCTCCAGGACCACGCAATCTAAAGCCATGCCCAGCCCTCTGGAGCAGGGGCCGGGAAGCTGGGGCCGTGCCTCCCAACCTCCATTTTTCCAAGTGATATCAATGAAGCTTTCTTTGAACACAGCCAGGCCCCTCTGTTCACTCGGTGTTAATGGGCACTTTTGCCCACTGTGGCAGAGCTGAACAGTTGTGACAGAGACTGGCCAGAAGCATTCACCATCCATCCCCGACAGAAACAGTTCACCCGGTGTTAACGGGCACTTTTGCCCACTGTGGCAGAGCTGAGCAGTTGTGACAGAGACTGGCCAGAAGCATTCACCATCCATCCCTCACAGAAACAGTTGCCAACCCTGCCCTGAACACAGTCCCTGTGTAGAGGGCCCTGCTGTGCAATCCTGTCCTTGCAGGTGACTCTGTCGTGTAACCCCCAGTCCAGCCCAGCCCGGCACCCACGGCAGTGCTTGGCCTGGGGAGGGGCTCGGGAAGCGCCAGTGAGCCAAGGGCCACGGGCCTCTCACTGGCACCTTCAGCTCCCTTTCTCCAGGGGCTCTCGGCCCTCCATCCCTGTCACCCTTTCCATGATCGACTGCAGCAAGGGAACCACAGGCTTGTAAATCCTGCCTGGCCTTCTGGGCTGACTGAGCTGGGAGAGTAGAAAGGCCCAGAACACACATTTAGCTGAGACGCCTCAGGATCTCCCTGGTTCATCCACAGCCACTGCGGACCCAGGCTTGGGAGGGAAGCAGTGCCTTCCACCCCCATATGCCCTGCTCCCATGCACCAGGCCCTCACAGGCCTTGCCCCCCACTTCTAGCCCCTGTAGGTCCCATCCTCACAGCTCCATCCCCCCACCTCTGGACTGCGCCTATAGGCTGACTGCGCCCCCCGCCAGCCCCTGACTGGGCATAATCCCCTGCTCTTTGACTTTCTGAGGGGCAGTCAAGGGATCCGTGCTGCCCTCACCCAACAGGCCTAACCCACTGAGTTCTGGCACTGGCAGTGGGGCTGGGCCGGCATGCAGACCCAGCACCCTGCACTGAACCCCCGGCCCCACTGCCGCCGCCCTTACCGGCCATCTGCTGCTGTTGCTCCTGGGCCTTCTCGGCATCCGCCCGGAGGCTGGCGTGGCTGCTCTGCGTGTGGCACAGCTCCCGGCTGACCTCGTCCAGGCGCTTCTGCAGGGCCTCCTCACTCTCCCTGTGGGACGCCTGGGGACGGGCAGGGGAGTGGGGCAGTGAAGACGTGGAAGGACCAGGCCCTCAGCGGCTCTGCGGTGGAGGCGGACAGAGCTCTTTACCCCACCAAAGCCCCGTGCAGTCTCTGGTCCATGTGGGAAGGAAATGCATCCCTCGAGGCTCTAGAACCCGCACAGGCTTCACTTCGGCCAGAACCCTTTCATGGGGAGAAGGCAGCTGCCAGGGACCCACACTCACTTCCCAGTTCTTTTCTGAGTCCCTATTTTTACATTCTCAAGTGATTCATGAAGACATGGTTACTGCAAGAGTCCAAAGATACTGATTCAGAGTAAACTAGCGACATTTCCCAATCCAGTCCTCGATTCCTCTCCCAGGGGCGGACAGCTTGGTGGGTCTCCCACCTGCAGCTCCACATGTTACACACACACACGCACGGTGCACCACTGCGATCACGCTATAGGGCAGTGCTCTTAGTTCTTAATATTAGGTTGAACCACGTGAAATTGTCAGTGTTTGACCATTTTTACCTACAAAAATGGCAATTTCACATGCTTCAAAAGTATCTCAGAGACATTTCCTCACTCAGGACAGACAGGCCCACCACACCCTTGTTTAGGAGCCACACAGAGCTTCAGTGTTTGCCCAGTTCCCGGCTCAGTGTCAGGCAGGCTCTGGCAGTCCCAGTCGGTGCTCCACAGGACACCCTCATCCACCTGTAAAGGATTCCCACACACTGGGGCAGAAGTGCTGGCCAAGGCCTCCATTTAACCAGCCCTTTGGAGAACTCAGTTCTCCAAAAAGCCCGACCACTGATTATTCATTAACAAGCTTGTCTGGGGGCAGAACCAGGTAAGAGGGGCATCAACAGATGACTGCTGTTTGAATAAGAGGCTGTGAGTTATCCCTCGTCAATGCCTTTACCAAGCTGATCCCATCCACATCCATTTTCATTTTCTTTTAGGGCAATGGCTGCACAACCTGGAGCTGGGGTAACTGCTCAGATGAGCACCATCCGGGCAGAGGCGTGGCTGGAGCCAGTGAAGCCATCACCAAGGAGGTGGCCACTAGGCCGTGGTTCACGTGTACTGTGCAGTGAAAACTGGGGGCAGCTTTAGGATGGGCAGTGCTTTCTGCATTAGAACGTAGCAGGGGATTACTCAGTTCCAACTCCTAGGGAGGAAATGAAAGAAAGGAGTGACTGCAAGCTGCTCCCAGAAAGCACACCTGCTTCTCCTCTGCCAGGTGTCCCGGGCAGGAGCCTGCCTTGCACCCACCGGCTCCAACACCCTCACACCTCTGCCTCGACCAGGATACATAGGGCAGGGTCATTACACGACTGGAAGAAAACACACCAGCTGCTGCTGCTTTTTTTCTTTAAGAAAAGGGACTCCAGCTCAGACTGCAGGGAGACTGACCACACATGTTCTTCCGTTTGTTACTAACATTGATTAGAACTCTGATTCCAGCAACAAGCAAACAAAAACCCACCCACCTTCAGGAACCCCAAACTTAAAATCTTTGATGGAAACCACGGGCCTCCATCTTAAGACCTCAGGTGACAACTGTCTTTGCCTTGAAGAGAATGTTGTTAGCACAGCCAATCACACTGAACAATTTCAGAAGCGGGTCCCGTGGCTGGGTGGGCCCAGCTGGGGACTTTCATAAGGCCCTCCTGGATTTCTAAGATTCAGTTCTTCTAGAAGGATGTCATCAGCACCTTCAATGGGTACTTTCTTCCAAGCAGGCCCCAAGAGGCCGTCCGGGGAGAGACAGGCAATGAGGGGCAGGGCACCTCCCTGATGCCAGTGCTCCAGGACCGAAGGTCAGCACAGGCCACCCCCGCCCTCATTCCTGCAGAGCTGGCTGGCAGTGAAGGGGCCTCAGGTGAAGGCAGGACAGTCACAATATGGAAAGAGCCCCATTTTCACCTCAGCAAAAAAGAGACATTTTCTACAACCTCAACCGCCAGTCTGACTTGGAGATATCTTGAATAAAATTTTGTAGAGTTCACATTGAGCTCTTTTTCTGAAAAGCACTGATCTAGTCCTAGGCACTCTGGGTGTAATAGCATGGTTAACTCCCACAGTCACCCTGCAGGACAGCTCCTACTATCCTGTCCATAGTACAGATGGGAAAACTGAGGCTCTGAAATAACTTGCTAGGAAGTGGCAGAGCCAGGACCTGAACCCGACAGCTGGCGCCAAAGGCCTCACTGTCAATCACAGACTTGACAGGCACAGAATCTTTGGTGTCAGACTGGAGAGCAGGGAATCCTCTGCCCAGCCCCAGGCTGTGGACAAGGACCCTGAGTCTGGAGAGGACAGGAGATACTGGGAGCCTGGGGGCCCTGGCTAGATCCTTCGTAGGAATGACACGTGATGGTGACAGACCAAGCCCAGTTCCAGGCCCAGATGGACCACAACCGTCCAGGAGCCTTTAAAACACAATCATGGGCAGGCACACCCCACAGCTTCTCAACTCCCTCTTCTGAGTGGGTCTGCTTCACATGAACATCAGAAAACACCAAATTATCCATCTCAATTCCACCCCAATTCAAACTGTTTCTTTGTCCATGTTCTCTTTTAGTCCTTGCACACGCTCAAACATCACTCTTAAAATTTCGTGTCTGTTCTAGTTCCAAGAGGCAGCACTAATGCCCCCACGCACTACAGCCTGGTTTCAATGATGGGACAGAAAAAGGGCCCTAAGCCCCTGGGGTCTCATTATCCAGAAAAGTTAAACCCAAGTGGGCATGACATCAAGGTGCCTCATGCCCTGGGTAACAGCCCTATGTGGGGTCCACCTGCCCAACACAGGCCAGCAGACGGATGGGAATTCATCAGGCAAGGCCTCTGGGCTGGGAAAACATGCTGCATGCTGCCCGTGTCCCCCTGGGGACAGGGGGACAATCTTCCTCCCTCTGAAGGAGAACAGGCACCCTCCTGGGAAAAAAGGCCTCAAGGCCACACCCAGAAGCTGAGAAAGAAGAAACCCCACTGGCCTTGAAGCCAGAGGCTGCGTCCACAGCCTGTGGGCTCAGCTGGCTGCTCCAGAGCTGCAGTACCACAGTGGGGGCAAGTATGGGAGGAAAAACACGGCTCCAGAGCGAGACTTGGGGTTCAAATTCTGCTTCTGCCATGTCCTGGCTGGGTGAACTTGAGGTAGTTGCTGAACTTCTCTGCACCTCAAACTCCCTTATGGGTAAAAATGCAGACACTACCAGTGCCTACCTCATAGGGTTACAAGGAAAAGTGGCTGAGTTAACGCTTGAAAATGCTCAGAACAGTGCTTAGCATACAGAAAGCTCCCGCTTGATGCCAGCTGTAACTACTACCAAGGAGACTAAGGTGAAGAGTTTGAGCCCCAGCCCTGCAGACACCATCATCTGTCCCAGTCAAGGCTAGAAACGGGTGCCCAGTGTGGCACGGCCAGCCTGGGCCCATCCCCGCTATGCAGACAGGCTTGCTGGGCAGTGAACAGGGCACTGAGGCGGCCACTGCCCCGACTCACCTGCAGCTGCAGGACCTGCTTCTCGAAGGCAGCTGCCTTGGCTTCCAGAGCTTTCCGCTGCTGCTCATCTTGCCGCACAGCCTCTGACTTCTCCACCAGCTCTTTGCTGACCTTGCTGAGCTCCTGCCGAAGCTTGGCCAGCTCTGCGTTCTGCCTGCAAGACAGTCACCAGCCCGACTAATGGAAAGAAAAGGGTGATGGGATCGGTGGTCCAAGCCCTCCCTCCAGGACTCCAGCTCTCTTGTAAGTAAGCAGTTGCCCAAGTCTTGAAGCCATTACCAAAGCCACTTTTCCATTATCAGCTGTGTGGGGTTGGGCATGTGTTTTGTTGAAGACATTGTTTTACCTATATAGTGCATGAACCAGAGACAGCATAGAGCAAATGTGCACTAAAGCATCCCAGGGGAGCCCCTCCCAGAAACAGCCAGAAATTCACAGAAAACGGCAACACAGTTCTGGGTGCAAACCAGCCTTGAGATGAAGATCCACCCGCCTTGACGCCCTGTAGGCCTGTGGGCAGCAGCCCACGGAGTCCACGCGCCCCCTCACTGGCCAGCTGGACCAGGGCCAGGCTGGGGAGGCTGCCCAAAGCCAGAGCCTGAGGTGCTTACAAAACAGACCCTTCAGGACTGCACTTCAAAAGCTGGGTCTCAGGAGCTGGGAGGAATGTTCCGGAGTTACAGAAGGAGACTTAAAGGAAAAGGGGGCAGCTGGAGGCCTGCCTTTCCAGCGTAAGGCGTGTGATCAGGATGCCACTCCCTCACTAGCAGACGCTGCCTCAAGGCCAAAGACTGACTGTCCAACCAAGGGACACCACCAGACGAGACTGTCCCAAACCCTGGGACGCAGCACCAGGCCAGGCGGAGCTGGGAAACCGGGCTGAGGCTAGATTTGCTCTGCTGCCTGCGGGGTGGTGGGTCCCACCTCTCTGACTTGGGGGCTGCCTCGTCTGTACCGGGGAGGCCACACCAAAGCCCACTGTAGGTCCATCAGCTCCATGCTTCACAAGGCCAAGGTTCAAGTGACCTAGGAGGGAGGCGGAAGGTCGTGTGGTGCCCTCAAGATGGACTGGGAGCTCTGAAGTGGGCCTGGGAAAACACATCCCGCTGCTGAGAGCCACCCACCAGCCAGAGCTTCTGGACTGGCAGGGCCACTGCCTCAGCGTGACAAGTCTCCTGGCTTTAGAGCCTTACCCATTAAGGAGGCCACAGCAGATCCTATGTGGGGAGACGCCAGAGAATTTCTCAGTCCCCACATATGCCTTCTGCTGTGGCTTTTGGGGAAACAGCAGCCACAAACCTCCAACCAGCCGATGGCTCAGGAAGGGGACCCAGAGGGGACAGGCAGAGGGGAAGGCAGCTGCTGGATCTCACTCCACGTCAGAGGGAGCCATAGTCAAAACAGATACTTGGCCCAGCTCCCCTCCCTGTCCAGCTCCCACACTGGACTTCCCCTGACCCGACTCCCAGACAAGGACTAAGGGTGCCAGCGTGCTCTGCTGTGGTCAGCCCCTGCCTTGGTGAGAGCAGAGGCTTTCGGGATAACACAGAGCTCTGCCAAGTCCCTGCAGGACACTTCGGACCAGAGAAAGCAAAGAAATGTACAACTAAAGACACTGCAGTGGGTTTCTCGAGGGCTGCCACTGAGGGTGTAATGCTTAAATCAGGGAAGCAGAAGTGCGGCTGTACTCAACTCCGGAGGGGAAGTGCACCCTCCGGCCCACTTGCTGTGGGCTGCGGTGCTTCAGCAACTCAGAGACAACACTGAGATGAGAACCCCGCTAGGCAGGTGGGTGCTGGAAACCCTCCCTAGTACCAGTGCATCTGAAGCAAGGGTGTTGCAGAGCAGGAGGCTGTGCTCCAGGGCACAGTCGAGGCCCACCACCAGCCACCACAGGGACGCTGGGCCACCTGTTAGAAGACTCAGGGGCCCAGAACCCAGACGGGAGATGGAAGGTCAGGACGGCTCCGCACACATGTAGGGCCCATGCCTGGCTCTTGTGCCAGCTGCCCTGGCCGCAGCCTCGTGAAGCCTTCCTCGCTCCAGGGCCCTTGGGGAGGTGCTGAGGCAGGAAAGCTCAGCTTACTTGCTCTCCACCTGGCTCGTGGCCTGGTTCAAGGCATCCCGCAGGATGGAGTTCTCCTGCTGCAGGCGGGCCAGCTGCGTGTTGGGGCCATTCTCCAGCTGCTCCTGAAGAGTCCGGATCTGGAAAGTCACGGGCAAGGGCATCAGAGGCAGCTCGGCCTCACACACAGAACTGACTTCTGAGCAGTGGTTAGTGAAGACACAGCCCACAAAAGAAAACCCCCAAAAGCCTCCACCTTTTCCACGTGGAAGTTAAGAGGATCCCATAAAACAAGAGGCCTGAAAATTGCGAAGCTTAAGCGGCCAAGCATGACTCCCACACCCAGCGACACCTCTCTCCCTCCTCACTGCTCATGGCCTGCCCAAGGCTGAACACTCAGCCCAGGGTCTCTGACACACCCCATGAACATCTGCCTCCAAGGTCACATGGTTGACTGTTCTAAGACAAAGCACATGCACCGCCTCTAACCCCCCTGAGGAAGCCTCGATTCCTGCCCTCTGACCTCCAGCACGTCCTGAGACATGCAGCAGGGAGGAGGTCGCAGCCCACTATGAGCAGGGTGCAGGCTTCAGACTTTGACTACAGGGCCAGTCTGGGCAGCCGCCCAGTGCTGGCCGCTGGAGCTGTGTGATTTTCAGGCCTTGGTATTATGGGATCCTCCCCACCATGTGGAAAGAAGATAGAGCCTGCGTTTCTCTAGGTTCACATGAAGGGTGAGAACTTCACAGACACCCAGGAGGCAGGGAAACAGGGCTGGCCATCTGAGACTAGGCTCTTTTGAAAAGTGTTCTTTAAAATGTATTTCATACCTCCCTGGCTTTTAACATTATACACACACTTGGGCTGCCAGACCCTGTCCAGCCAAATGCAACAGCCCCTGGACTCCTAAACCTGACCAGACCTTACAGACCCCTGTGGGCATCCTCAACCCCCTCCTCATGCCTCACCCTTTGGGCCTCTCTGGCTCCCTCCGTCCTGGACCTGGACTGGGTCCTGTCCCTTCCCATGCCCCCGCCAGCCACTACACCCACCTTGCCCTGCAGCTGCTGCACCTCCTTCACGTGCTCCCGGTAGCTGGCCTGCATGCGTGCCTGCACAGCCGTGATCTCCTGCTCCCGGGCCACCAGCTGCTTTTTCACTTTGGCCTCCCCGGCTGCTGCTTTGGCCTTTTCTGCTGCCATCTCCTGGGGGGAAAGTAGCAGAGAGAGGGGCTGGTAAGCCTTGCAGGGCAGGAGCCTATCAGAAGGGAGCAAGAGCATCACCCGAGCTGGGAGGCTGGAGAGCAGAGCACAGACCCCTCCTGCTGGCCGGGTTCTCAGCTAGACTCAAGCCAGCTGCAGTGGGAACGACGACAGACAACAAGGGATCCCTGGAAACCCTGCTGGCCCTGGCCGGTTGTGGGCTCAATGTCAGGCCTTGGCCACAGTGGAGGTGGCAGATGCGGCAGGAACAGCAGAGACACACGGTGCTGTCCCTGGCTCTCCAGGGCACTGGCTCGGCCCTGCTGTGATGACAACACCCCAGCTTGACTCAGTCACCAACATCCAGGGCCCCTGGGACACCTACTTCTACTCAAGTGCCTTCATCAGGACTGAAAGGCACCAAGCCCTGATGGCTAGGGTGGGGGTGGGGCCAGCTGCCAGTTCCGCCGTGGCTGGGGGTAGGGCATGCATCTCTGCAGGCGGTCGCTCTGTCCTCCACCCAGGGGGACATCGGCTCCGATCAGTGCCAGATACCCACAGGTGAACATGGATGCCGAGTCTGGGGGGTCCGGCGTCTCCAGCAGGGACAGAGCAGGATGGGAAGGCTGGCCATGGTCTGTGTCATCCCAGAGGGATGGCCTCAACCAG
Organism: Homo sapiens; assembly: GCF_000001405.40. NCBI lineage: Eukaryota > Metazoa > Chordata > Mammalia > Primates > Hominidae > Homo > Homo sapiens. The sequence continues at coordinate 17,637,396 of NC_000020.11, forward strand.
AAACCATAGGGAGGCAGGGTGACAACTCAAGGAAAGGTTGACACAATGAGCCCCTGGGGTGGGGGTGTTCCCTGTCTAGCAGGCCTGGACAGACCAGCACTGATGTGATGTGAATACATATCATAAACACAGCAGGCCTGAGTGACCAGGGCACAAGCGTCCCACCAGCGTCAAGGCTGCTCCATGGGCAGTGGGCCAGGAGTGAGGAAGTCCGTCCCCTCCCCAGACCAGGACTATAGGGAGGCCTGTCCCAAAGGCCAGAGTGTCCCTCTTGCCTGAGATGGGAAAGAACCCTGAGGAGGAGCCACTGGGTGCTGGTGCTGTTCCGTGCTCCTGGTACTCTCTGGGACCTCCTGGGACCCTTGGCCTCACTTTTCAAAGACAATCATCTTTTTGGCTCTGCCCGGGGTGAGAGGCCCACAGGAACCTGCAGGTCTGCTTCACTGATTAGCTACAGAAGTGGGGGGCGGGATGAGCTGACACTGCGCCCCAGCACTGTCCCATTTAATTTTCTCTGGAAGACGAGGATTACAATCCCCATCCAAGCTGAGGTCACAGAGCCTTGGAGAGGACACACTTGTCCAAGGCTGGGGAGCAGCTCTAAGAGGCAGGGGTGGGGCCCAAACCTAGGACTGTACAAGACCAAGGGGTTCCCAGAAAGGGGAGGAATGAGGACGCCTGCCCTTCTGTGTGGGCTGGGAAGCCCCTGGGGAAAGGGAGGACAGCTTAGCGGTGATTCCAGGACCCCTCCGCACTTCCTCCTCTAACACACGTGGCCCCACCGGCCCACTGCTGGCAGACAGGTGTGGTAGAGATGGCTGGAAGCCTCCCAACACCAGCAGAGAGGAGGCCGCTCTCTTTGCTGAGTTTCCGACACAACGGCCCTTCCAAGTAGATGGTCCAGCCTTGCGAAGAAACCAAAGCTCATGGAGACCAGGCATTCCCACAGCCACATGGATGGCTGGTTGGGAAGCCACACTTGGGTCATCCTCAGCCCTCCTCTGCCACCTGGAGACACCCTTCCCAGCCCTGGGCAGGCCTCGTGCAGTTCCAAGGTCCACCCCGCTCAGGGTCTGCAGACCCCTATCTCCTGGGGGTCAGCGTCCCAAGGCCGCCAGGATTCAATGGGATCTTCCCCCTCTTTTGCCTCTAGGCTTTTTAAAGAGCAGAGAAAAGTCACTTGTCCTCAGTGCAGCTGTTTAGCTCTCTATGGTTTCTTTTTCTTCAAAGAGCTCAGAGACCCAGGGTTCCTTCTGCTTGTCAAATTCTTAATTCAGTTGCAAGAGTCAGATTTATTTCCTTGAAAAGCATTCCTGATGGTGGTGGGGGGGTTCCGGCGCACAAGAAGACAAGGCTTGGCACCATCACTAGCATTGGCTCAGAAGTGACTCTCTGTCCCTACTTCTTCCAGGCGCTGTTCCCTAGGAGTAGTGGGGCCCCTCATGGTGTAAGCTTTGAGGACTGTAGAGAGCCCTCCAACCTGCTTTCCCAGCCAAGCAAGGAAGCAACCTCCACCAAGAAGGCCTGGTAACAGGAACTCCTCCCGTGACCCCATCCCCAGGTAAACCCTCTGAGGGTCCCAGAGGGCCTTGGGGCTCCTTCTGTTTCACAGCCCCATCTCCTTCTGGGCCCTAAAGCCAGAACACGGGACCAAGCCCAGGACGGGGCCAGTCCGAGGCATGGCTTCAGGACAGAGGTTCTGGTGCCCAGGAACATGACAGCTGGAATGTTTTTCCAGAAGGTTGTGCCTTCTTGGTTACATCACTGGAGCTCTGCCTGGACTCCTCAAACCCCCAAGAGATTCTCAGACAGCCAGGACAGAGTTCTCAAGGGCGTCTGAGCCCATCAACTCCTGCAGACAGTGTGTGGACTGGTCCTTGAACCCAACTCTGCTGGGACTTCGCACATTTGGGAGACCTGGATACAGCAGATGATCCAAATTTTCTTTCTCAGTGTGTCCAGATCATGCCTTCAGCATCAGACCCCAAGAAACAGAATTAATGAAAACCCTTTTCAACTATAAAAACTTCTCTACAAGGACAAAGAAAACATGTCGAAGGGACTAGAACAAGAAACATAGGTTCCATCCATCTCCCCAGCTCCCGAGGGGGATTAAGGTAAGAGGAACTGCCACACTCTCTGGAATTTACTGTCTCACAACATTTCCCTCAGCAGTGCTGGGCAGTTGCAGTGTTACCGTAAGAATGAGGTAAACAGGCCAGGGACGGTGGCTCGCAGCTGCAATCCCAGCACTTTGGGAGGCCGAGGTGGGCGGATCACCTGAGGTCGGGAGTTCGAGACCAGCCCGACCAACATGGAGAAACCCCGTCTCTACTAAAAATACACAATTAGCCGGGTATGGTGGCGCTTGCCTGTAATTCCAGCTACTTGGGAGGCTGAGACAGGAGAATCGCTTGAACCCGGGAGGCGGAGGTTGCAGTGAGCCAAGATCGTGCCATTGCACTCCAGCCTGGGCAATAACAGTGAAACTCCAGTCTCAAAAAAAAAAAAAAAAAAAAGAATAAGGTAAACACATCGGCTCTGCTCAGGACTCTCAACAGAGAGCACGAGCACAGGGAAGAGAAACGGCCAAAGGCATCGACTACAAACATTTAACTATTTACAAGAAGACAATGTAAAATACTCAGAAATGCTTCCAGGCTTCCCCTCAGCTGCGAGGTGGCCTGGCCCTCTCAGTGGCCACTTGATCACTGGCGGCCTGCTAGGCTGAGCCTGGTGAGACCACCAGAGTGGGTCTGCGCCACCAGGCTTGAGGTCTGACAGGAGCCAGATGCAGCCAGGTGATGCCTAACTGTACCAATGACCTCTGTGCAGAACAGGAACATGGGAGCTCCAGAAGGCTCCTGAGGGAGGGAAACCAAATTGAGTCTTCCAGAGTAAGAAGACAATGTCCAGACATCCAAGCACGGAAGGGCATTAGAGGCCAAGGGAAGAGCAAGAGGAGAGCCCCAGAGGAGTCACGAAAGGGCACAGAATGTCTGAGCACAGGTAGGGAAAGGGAAGAGGTGAGGCCAGAGGCAGGGTGAGTGGCTGAGCTGGGGCCTGGGGGGCAGACTTAGGTCTGAAGATTAGGGGCCCCTGGCAGAGCTTGATGGGGGTCCTCACAGATCAGCATTTGGGAGCCCAACAGGACCTCTTCCGGCTTAGGGAGCAGAGTGTGGGTGGAAGGGAGGCCACGCACCGTTAACCTTCTCCTCACCTAAGAGGCAAGGCCAGTGGTCTCCGAGGAGGCTGGGTACTGAATGAGGACCACAGGCTGCCCTGAGCATGCAGCCAGGGAGATATTCTACCACCCCAGCAGGGTGGAGAGCAGCATCGAAGAGCGGCCATCTAAGGTGTGTCTTCTGGTCCTGCCCATCCCCCACCCAGTGAACTTCCCATCTGGCTCAGAGCCGTGACCCTGAATTTGCGACAAAAAGTAAGGCTGCCTTACTTCCAATTCTTTGTGCTCGAGCAGACAAAGGCACCCGGAAGAAGGGCTGTAGCCCAGACACTGTTGGACAGTCCACCATCCAGGCCCTCCCCCTGCGCCCGCTGCCCGGGATGGAGAAGGCAGGGAGGCAGGGAGAGGGCAAGAGCAAGCCTGCGGTGCTGCATGGGGCAAAGACGGCTTTCAACAGGGCCTGACCAGTCCCAGAGGGCCAGGGGGCCCCTCACCCTGCCCTTCCTCCAGGAAGGCTGGGGCACCAGGGCCCACCCTCAGCAGCAGAGAGGTGGGGAAAGACCCCGGTGAATTCTGCAGTGGGAAGAACAGCCCCTATGCCATGGATCCCAACACAATCTCAACGTGCCATCAGCCCCGTCCTATGGCAGCACCAACCCACCACCGTTTGCTGTTCAGAGTGCAAATGCTACGTGCCACGCCATCCGCTGATACGGGGAGCCAGGGTTTCCCTGCACATCCCTCCTCTGACATCAGAAAAAGGGAGAAGAGCAGCCCCTCCAGTCCCCTCCCCACAAGGTTTTGCATAATCCTCAAGAAAACAACCTTGAATCTACTGTGGCCACCCTCCTTTCCAGGCACAGCCCCTAGAAAGCTGGCCTGTGACTGCAGGACCTGTCTAGTGAAAGCCAGGTCTGGTCCATCCCCATCACAAACTGATGCTGCTTAACTTCCAAACCCTTGCTTCACTTCCCTGCGTTCTTACAGCCACGAAGGAAGCCACCACGCCGTAGAGCCACGAGCACTGCCAAGGGTGAGCTGCCGGCCCTTGGCTCTTTAGGCAGCAGATAAGCAGCAGTCCCTACTCAGCAGCCTGACAGCCAGCTACGTTCCAGGCAGGCCCCAGCATCTCGGAGCCCGGGATCCACCGTGGATGGGGCGGGGGTCCTCTGAGGACGGGAGAGGACAAACCATCTCCGAGCCCACTCAGGCTGTACCTTGTTGAGCTCCCTCAGTTTGCTCTTGGCGACAGCCGCATCTTCCTGTTCTGTGGCCAGCAGTTTTTCCTTCTCTTCCAGCTGGCGTTTCAGAATCGCCACAGGGTCACCCTTCTGAGTGGCCTAGAAATACCCAGAGATGCGTTAACAGAGGGGACAAATGGGACTTGGCTCATCCCCTGACCCCGGACAAGAGCAGAGGCCTGAGGGCTTGATGAAGTGGAGCAGGGGCTTCGAGTCAAGGGTTCCACTGGGACTCCAGATACTTGTGGGGAAAGGCGGCCCCGCCTCAGCCATCAGCCTGCCGGGACCCCTGACCCAGCGTGTGTTGGGACTGTCAAGGCCAAAGGCTTTGAATCCCTGGAGTGGCATTTAGGAGTGTGGTGTTGCCAGCTCCTCTGAGGGGCAGCTGGCCACCATTTCTGGCCTGGAGCCTACCCGAGCCGGGCGTGCAGCCCGTAGGCCTCTGGCTGCAGTATGGGGGCCGGGTACTCTGAGGACAGTGACCTGAGGAGAGCCAGGCCTCTCCCTGGTCATCTGAATCTCCTATGGCCACTCATACCCAGTAGAGCCCCCAGTGACGACTGACAAGCTCTCGGTGCCACTGAGACTGTGCAGGATGTGTATGGCCAGGAAGGGAGTGACCCCACTGGCCTCAGGGCACACCTGAGCATCTCTAACCACTAAATCCTCCAGCACAGTTACCCTGAACTCTGACTCCAGTGAAGGAATGTGCCACGCAGCACTTCTTGGGCACAGCTCTTGGCCAGAGGCACGAGATAGCTCAGAACTCTTAGCCTCTGAACCTGCCCCCGGCAGCACGACGGAAACCAGGGGCGCTCCTGGGCTGGGGAACCTCACAGGGCCCCACACTGTGTCCCTATACCTTTCTTTCTGCACCCTGAGCTGTGGCCACAAACTGGCTAGGCCCCAGCTCCCTAGATCCCATACCCTGCCAATACAGAGCCCTGCCCCAGCCCTAACCATCTCAGGAGCCAGGCCATGGGTGGCTTGACAGAAGCCAAAGCACCTGCGAGCGATCCCTCGGGGTGGCAGAATTCTGCCAGGAAAGAGAAGTGGAGGCTGTCCTATGAATGTCCTCTCTGTGGCAGAGGGAAGGGCAAAACCACCCTAGCCAGCTGCAGTGGCCTCTGAGCATGGCCAGCAGGAGGGTGGGCCCACCTTGTGCCAGGTGTCCTGAATGATGCCAGCCTTCTCAGACAGGATCTCGATGAGCCGCTGGGCCTCGCCCTCGTTGAACACCATGCTCCCAACCGTGGAGACCAGCGTCTTGTAGGGGAGGTAGAGAGGGCCGTCGGCATCTGGGGGCCCTGTGCAGCAAGAGGGAAAGAGCTGAGACTTAGGCCCATAAGCCACAACACACGTGGCCACAATGCCCATCACACCAAGAAGGTTCTGGTCACAGCCACGAAGAGCTCTCTGACTGCTTGGGGTCAGCAGGCTGAGCATGGCGAGTCTGCTCCAGTGTCTCCTGCTCTTTCAGGACACCAAGAAACTGACTCAACGATAGGTCCCTGCACCGTCCTAACTCGCCCATAGGAAGTCCCAGCCTGGGGTGGAAGTAGAGCTCCTCTTTTTTTTTTTCCACCATCAAGATGGCCTGCAACAAAATTAAGCAAGGCGTACTTTTTCCATAGGCTTTTCTCCCTTCCTTTTTTTTCTCGCAAATGCACTGGTCCTGTTCTCAACCTGCATGGCTCACCATGGTTCTCCCCACTGGCTGTGACTGAGCCCCGTGGCCTTGTGGGACCTGACTGGGCAGCGAATTTACCGTCCACCACACACAGACACCCAGAGCCACACTCCTGCAGCCACAGGAGGAGCACAGAAGGCAAGGAGAGGCTGCTTCCACACATCAGTGCAAACCCTATTTCTAGCTCCCTGGATGAAGCCCAGGCAGTGACAGGGTTTGGGAGAGGGAAGGCTGGCTGGGTTCTTATAGAAAGGGCCTGTCCACTGGCCAGTCCATGAGTGACTGCCTGGAGGACAGGGAGCCATCTGCCAACAAACGTCACTTCTGAAAAACTAAAACTGCCGACACCCCCCACGCCCCTCCCCACACACATGGTTTTGTTCTCATTGGGGCTTGAATGCAGCCTCGGAAGCAAGAAAGGGTGAACCAAGATGCCACGCCTGAGTGCCTGGACTCTTCCACAGCTGAATGACAGCACTAAAAATGAGCCAAATCAGAGAGCAGACAGGCCTACAGCAGCCCCTCAGCTGAGCCCACCTTGGGAGGACAAAGGAGAGGGCTGGTTTCCATAGCAACCCTCAATTCTCTGGCTTGTCACAATATTTTCACTTACTAGTCATAATATTTTCATTACAAGTCAAAGCATTTGGCACGATACCTTAATGAGGGGAACGTGGGATGTGGGCGAGCTGGTTGCTATGAGCACCTTTATTTTATAACTTCTTACCCTGGTGAGGCTCGGGAGTTTAAAAATAACCATGTTGACACCAAAGGCCTAAGAGGTCATGGGTGCCACGAAAACAGGTCCTGGCAAAAGCATGCCCCTTCAACCTTCTTTTCACTGAAATACGTGTATGTACATAAAGTAATTTTAATGCACACACAAGAGAAAATTCTAACCCAAAAGCCAAAAGAAAATAAAAACATGCATGGCTCACTCTCGGGAGAAACCCCCGTGTTAGTTCACATTTCGGTTCCCAGCCTTCCTGTCTTCCCCCTCAGCCTGCAGGTGCGTGTCTACTGCCAGCACTTTCCAGGAGACAGAGGTCACTTGTTTCAAAGACACCTCTGTAGTTACAGACTGGGCAGGGCAGCTGCTTCAGCCGGCGTCTAGCTGCTGGCTGCAAGGACATTTCCCCCTCCTGACTCAGAAAAGCGTCCTGCGCCGTCCGATGTGCTGGGCACCAGCCATGTGTGGCTACTGGGCACCTGCAACGTGGCTGGCCTGACTCGAGATGTGCTATGAGTGGAAAGTACACGTGGAATTTAGAAGATTTGGTATGAAAAAAAAAGAATGTGAAGTATCTGTAATAATTTTATATATGGATTGTATGTTGAAATAACATTTTGGATAAACTGGGTCAAACAAAATGTATCGTTAACATTCAGTCCATTTGTTTCTTGCTGGCCTTTTTAAATGTGGCTGAGGACATTTACATCACATCCATGGCTCACACGTGTGTGGCTCACATTCTGTTTCTCCTGGACTGGCTGGCCTATTCCTTTCCAGAACCAGGGACCCCCAAAGTGCCCCCTGCTGAATTCCTGGCAGCCCCTGGTCCTACAGAGGTTCCAGAGTGACCCAAGAGCTCTGGCCTCTCTTGAACTCTCTCCTTAAAGACCACCCTTCCAGGCCCCACGGCCCCTACTGCACTGCTGGGTGGGGAAACATCTGGATAAGGCAGCTGGAGGGCACGCGCTCTAGGACGCCGCTTCCTGCACAGGGGCAGCATGGCCACATGCTCACCCGCCGCAGGCTCAGTCCACAGAGTGCTCCCGAGAGTGTTCTCGGAGCGGCATTCTCATAAATCTTTATTAAAACTTTCTAACGTAATTCCATTCTATTAGATATTTTAACAGAAAAATAAAAACTTGCAACACGCGAAACAAACGCAAAGCTGCGTACAGCAAAATGTTAACGCTCTCCTCTGCCACCTCTCATGGCCCCCCAGAAACTTCCACAGCCTTTGCCACACTCATACAAACACTACCTTTTATACTGTTTTTAGAGAGCTATAACTTTACAAATCATTTTTCATTAAATCTTTTAGGTAAAAACTCTGCTGTCTCAATTGTCCCCAAATCAAGGGCAGCACAACTGAAAGAAAAAAGGAAAGCCCTCAGAAGCAGAGGCAGGATTTCTGGGCCTCCAGATGAGTTGCATTTAAATAACGTACTAACGGGAGCCTAAGGCGTGCCCAGCACATCACTTAGGGCTCCAGCAAATACTCGAAGATACCAGTAATCTTCCGAATTGTGAAATCTTAACGCACTAAACTAAGTCTCTCAGACTCAACACCTAGTCTGTGAAATCACAGACTTCAAAAGGCCCAGGGTGCAGTGAATGCTGGAAAAGCTCAGCTCCCTGAGGGCTTGCTCCTGCGGCTAACGCTTTGCCCATCTTGGTGGGTATGAAATACCAGGAAGGGACAGGCCAGGAGGCCTGGGGAGTGACCAGGGAGCAGGAGACCCAAGAGTAGAGACGCAGGCCAGTGTCTCACTTTGATGGATAATCCAGACCTCTGTCTGGCAGGGGACACAGCAACACCCCAGGGGCCAGGCCCTGCAGGAATGGGACAGGTACTGTGACAAATAACCACACAGGCCTGGGCTCAGGGGGGTGGCCTCTCCTGAGCTGGGTGGTCCTGGGCACGGCACTTCACCTCCAGGTGATAGCTGCAATGGGGGAATCTGAGCCAGAACCCTCAAAGCCACAGGCCTGCCCAAGAGCCTGGAAACGAGATTTTTAAGTGCTATCTTCTCATCTTTACTGCTGACAGCTAACTCAATAAAAAACAAATAAATGAATGAAACCACTGTACAGATGAACAAACACATCCGTGGGCCACGTCCAGTCTGCAGGTCACCTCTGTCCTTGGGCAGTGGGGCACCAAGGTCAGAGCAAGGCCTCTGGGACCAGGTGGCCTGGAGTCGAATCCCAGCTCAGCTCCTTCCCACCTTTGTCCTTGGACAAGTGGCTTAACCTTCCTTTGCTTCTGTTTCCTTGCCTACAAAACGGGGATGATCATTGTTCCCCTCACAGCGTGGCTGAAAAGAGTAAGTTGCAACGTGCTTGGAACCATGCCTGGCGCAGGGTAACGCACAGCAAAATAAATCAGCATGGCCGGCCTTCAAGCAGCTCACAGCAGCTCAGATAACGCACCTCACACCCCAAATTTCAAAATGACTCTCCCTTCTGCGACCACACTGGGAGGCTCAGGCACCTAAAATTAAACTCATCTGGCAAAGAGGCACTTAGTGTTCTCTCTCACTGTCAACTGTGGCGTCCTTGGATGAGGCTTTTCTCTCTGTATAATTTCCAGGATCCCCCATGGCCAGGGCTCAGGCATAGAAGGAGGATCTCAGCCCTAAGTGGCCTCATGAGACTCAGCGGCCAGCCCCCCACATCAGCTGCTGGAGCACCCCTGCACTGTGCACACCTGGCTCTCTCAGTCCACGGGGAGGGTATCAGAACCACTCCAGGAACTGCCGCCTGAGCCCTGGCAGCAGCTGGTGGTTAATAGGAGGGGATTATCGCCTTGGCCCTGGGATGGGCCCCACAAAAGGCTCCGGCTCAGCTCCAGCTGCTGCTACAGGTGCCCAGCAGCCCTGATCAGGGCAGGCAGGGCCAGGTGGTCTCTAGACACAAAGTATGTACCACCTGCATACCCAGCAGTTCGTAAATTGCTGGGCCTGGAAAGTTAAGTTATAGGTTGGGCTGTGGCCAACAGAGGCAGAGGACACAGGGCCATAAGGCAGAAGAGTGACACAAGGGGGACCTGGAGAACAATTGTGGCAGCAATGCCGAGAAAGGCTTTAAGGCATTGGGCCAAGCATAGCTGGGTAAGGACACGGTGAGGGGCTTTGGGCCCTAGCGTGTCAGACTTGCACCCGAGGTTGGACTAGGTCCAAGTCTTCATAGGCCCTGGGAATCTGGATTTTATTCTGTAGGCAACAAGCGATGCCTAGGAAGGAGCGTTTGAATTTGAGAAAAAGATTTCAGGATGCCCAGGGGGATGCGGCTGGAAGCAGGCAGACCAGCTGGCCTGGACCCTGGTCCTAAGAGCCTATCCCCGCTGGGTCCTAAGAGCCCAGGACCAGGATCTGGGCCCGAGTATTCAGGAAGCTGAGCTGGTGGGAGAGAGGCCCAGGTGTCAACCCAGGGACTCTGGCAATGGAACCTGAAACAGCATGGACTTGAGGGCTTGGGGAAGAACTCCAGTGGCAAAAACTCTCATTTCCTAAGAGATTGTCCAGATCAGTTCTGAGGGTGCCTCCCTCAGACACACACATGTAGTCTGAATAGCTGCTGCCTCCGGGCCTGCACGGGGTGACTCCAGACAGTGCAGACCAAGGCACCCAGCATGGCTGCCCAAGCCAGATCGCAATCTTGGCGTGCCTTCCACGCCCTGTAGTCCCCAGTCACCCGACCCAAACTCAGGTCTGCTGTAAGAAGGTGAAGACCCTGGGGCCCCAGGAAAGGGCTCCCACATGCCTCCTGGAAGCCCAGCACCACGCAAGCAGTCATCAGCCTCTGCAGACCAAGATTCAGAGGCTGAGGACAAGCTCCCCATTCCTGCTGACCCAAAGCCAAGGGCATCTCTGTCTCTCTCAACCTGAGGAGCCGGCTCCCTTCAGGGTCCCACCCCGAGGTGGGACGCAAGACGCTCTCTAGGGAGGAGCTCCGGCCAACATCACTGCTGGCCTCTAACTGCTCGTTCTTGGACTGTGGCCGTGAAGGCTCCTCCTGAGCCTGTGGGGGAAGTGAGCTTTATGAGACCCTGGAGGAAATGAAGATCTACCAAATGCTCCTGGAGGCAAACTGCGACTCCTGCTCTCACTCATTGCTCATCTGCCCACAGCTGAGGCAGGCCCTGGGCAGTGCACAAACAGTGGACTCCAGGCCCAGCTCAGGCCACAGAGCCCGGCCTTGCCCAAGCGCTGCTCAGCGCTCCTGACAGGAAGCAGGCCAAGGAGGCGCAGCTGCACTTGACCCCAAATGCCACGAACGGTCACATCCGCAGCTTTAAGGGCAATGGAGCTCAGTACAAATAATGTCAAGAACAACCCAATTCAGGGCCTTTCAATCAGTCCTTTTCCTTTAGTTGGAGAAAAACGTAATCGGCTACAAACTTGGGGACTGGTATATTTAATGGTATCTAATGGAATTTAAAATATCCTATAGATTGAAGAACTGTTTTCCTCTTTAAAGTTTTGTTTTTTCCTCCAAATTTCAACAAAACCAATTTTATACCTGGAGTTAAAAAAAACCCACATCACAATATTTTTAAAAGAACGACAATTCCTGGAGGACCTCTGGGCAAGGCCCTTCCCAAGGCACACAGGCTGGCCCAAGGAGAATACAGTTTAAACAGCAATTAGGACTCTACCTAATGCCTGCAGAAAACGGCAGGGGATTTTTAATCCCAGGCTGTCTGACCACAGCCGTCTGGGGGCAGTGACCGGAGTCCCAGCCTCAACACGTTTTCAAGTGGCTGAAAAGAGATTTCTGGAAGAGTGTCATCTAGCAGCTTCTCACACTGATACTTGGCTCGCTTCCCTAGGGGATGTTTTTGTTCTTCTTTAAAAAAAGAAGAAGAAAAGAAAAAGTTGGGTTTGAAGAACTTCCACAGAAAGTGAATAAAGGGTCATAAGCCCCAGAGAGTTTTCTTCAGAGCTTCAGACCCTGAGAAACTGAGTTAGGTTCAAAAGAAAAAGTATCTGACTTGATCTCCGTGTACACCTCTCTGTGCAACTGCCGGCGAGAAGGGCACAGGGGCACCTGCCGGGCAGGGCGGGGGCCTCGGGAGGGGCTGCCCACACCGGCCGCTCTGCCATCTGCTGGTCATGTGCATGACTTCTGGGAAGTCTGAGCTTTGCTTTCTGCTTCTGTCAAACAGGTAAAAATTCAAATCCACCTTAGAGAATTGCACGAGGGATAAAGGCATGGAAACCAGCCTCCTAAACTGCACATCTGAACAAACACCTGGCTGGGGAGAGCAGTGGCGTCAGACCTGCTGTGCTAAGCAGCGCTGGGTTTGGAGCAAAGCAGGCTACACATGGGGAGGACAGGCGTGGGTGGGTGGGTGGGTGAGGAGCTGGGAGCAAGGGGTGTTCCCATCACGAAGTCAAATTGTTTAAGGGCCCTGCTACCCTAGACACCTTGAATACCGTTTCCTGGGGGCTTGACAACTCTTCCCCATACCCCCTGACCTGTGACCCCAGCCCCATTAGATTGCAGAACACGACTTGGGATTTTAGGTTACATTTCCTATTGTAGGGGTAGAATGGGGGCTCAGCGAGACTGCACACGACACAGAGCTCACAGGCCCCCTCCCACCACGGCACTGCCAGGCTCCAGAATGTGGGAACTGCCTTTAACTTCCCACCTTACCTCAGTTCATGAATGCCTCCCAGATGCCTGTGTGCTAGGGCTGGGACACGCACTGGCCTCCTTCTGGAGGCCTCAGAAGAGCTGGCACTACCTTTCCTCATTCCAGACCCCAAAAGGAGCAACGTGTTCCTTGCTGCTCCTCAGAGGACACAGGGCTGCCTCAAAACACCCAGAAGGATGAGAGTTCCATCAGCTTTGGTATAATGAGGGCCTGTTTATTTGACTTAGAGACACATAATGGAGTTGTTTCTTCTCCATAAAAAAAAAAAAGTTATAGAAAAACTGGAAAATGCAGAAGGGTGAAAGGAAGATACTAACATTTACCCATAATCCTACCTCCCAAAGGTGGCCTCTTTTTCCCACATGGACTTATCTGACAACGTGGCAAGAATGGGCCTCTGAAATGCCTGTTTCTGAGTGTTTGCCACCTCATGGAGGTTGGGTGGGTTCTCCTGGGCCATGACACAATGGTCTCTCTGGCCACAGAGTAAAACTGGCTTGCATCAGCAGGCTGGGGAAAGAGGGCCCCGCAGAAAGCAGGCCCACAGCCAAGACAGAAGTGCCATGTCCCCAGGGTTACCCACCCCCGTCCATTAGGCAGAAAGGTCACAGGTCCTTGGGTGAGCTCCAGACTCCCCAAGAGTGCAACAAGTACCCTGCATCCCCGCATCCCCTGAGTGACGTGCTAGCAGAGGTAATGAGGAAACACCTGTTTCCAACCAGCAGCAACAATGAGTGAAGCAAGCTCCAGTTAAAAGTACACTGTTCTGGAGCTCATGCTAACTGTGGGGTCTTCAGAATGTACATATGTACTTCCTCAGTCTACGCCCACACTGTAGGATCCAGACTTGATTCCAGGTGCTGGGTGGGACAGCTCTCCTGCCAGTGTAACACCCAGATGGTGATTAGTACAAGATCAGGGCAGCCCAGGTGGGAGGCAAACCAGCATAATCCTGCAAACAAAGACTCAATCTGAGGATAAAAATAGATTTTTTTAAAAACCAACACCACTGCATACACACACGTCTTGTGTTAGAAACTTGACTTTCCTAATAGACACTGTGCATAGGTGCTCAGTTAACTATCGGAGAACAAACCAGCTAAAGCCTGGACACGTGCGTCAGCTGACAGTACCCGGAACACGGGGAAGCTTCCATTCTGGGGAATTTCCACTTCTCGAGGATCCCATCAATTTCCTCCTCTCCAAATATTTAGTAAAGAATTTGTGCCTTTCATTTCCAAAGAAAGAGGCTTTCTCCTTATCCCACGTCTGGGTTTATAATGCTCCCTGCTCCCCAAACTTCCTGAAGTTAGAATCATTCCCAGAGTAGCACAGCAGCACCGTGTGAGGAGTGCTGAGTCAGAAAACAAATCTTGTGGGCCTCTCATCGTAAATTGTGAAACGTTTCTGGAAAGCAATGCAGCACTGTCTTCCTAAATTAAAAACGTACCCACCTTTTGACTTGACAATTACTTATCTAGGACTTTATTTTGTAGAGACACACAACAGTGTATGTACATCATTGCAGCATTAATTTTAGCTGCAAAATAGCTGCACACTACTTAAATGTCATTTAAATAAATTACAATACAGTCATGCTAGGGAATATTATGCAGCTGAATGTGGCAGTTTCGCAGGTGCAATACGGAAAGATGTCACCAACACACTGTTAAGCAGACAGCAGTGTGCACTGCAGCTCCCGTTTGTGGGTGCCCATGTGAAGAGCACAATGAATTTACCCCCCCGCCCCTCCACCCCCGGGAAGCGGATGGTGATTGGGATGGAGCAAAAAGACTTTCTATTTTCACCTTCCATGCCTCCATACTGTGAATTTTGTTTGCTGGAAACACATATTTATGTAATAATAAATTGTAAAAGGCAAGGATTAGGAAGGCAGGTGTTCTCTGTCAAATACAGCCATGGACAAGTGGTAAAAACCCGCTGCAGGGCCCCCATCTGCTCTTGGAGGAAAATCAGAGCAGAAGTTCTGGAAGAGCTCCAGCCTGGGTCTGCAAAAGCATGTCCTGGGCCTACCACTCCTGCCAGGTCTCCCTCTGGGGCACCTGTCAGCAGGGGGCCCTGCTGGACCAGCCAGGTAACAGGTAGGGCTAGGAAGACTGAAGAAGCACTTCAAGTCTCTGGTGGAGCCCAGCTCCAGTACTGGTTTTGCTGCTAATCTGTCCTGTGCTATGGGCCAGCCACAGCCTCTGTGCAACACCAACACAGGTCTGCACAGACCGGCTAGTGATCCAAGAGGCCACCTCCTTTCAGAAGGTCCTGTTTAGAGCACTGCTGTGCAAAACTTTCTGCTCTGACTGAGATGATCTGTCTCTGCACTGTGTAAAGGGAGCCACTAGCCACATGTGACTAGTAGGCACTTGGAATGTGGCTAGTGTGACTGAGGAATGGAATCTTTAATTTTATTTACTTCTGACTGATTTAGGTGATAATTTAAATGCTCCCATGTGACCAGTGCCTCCCATATGGGACAGCACAGCCCTAGGCCCTACACCTCCCCTGCCCAAGTCAAGGCCTCCTGGACTCATGGGAGGAGTTCCCGTCCTGGCCTGCTCCACACCGGTGATCTAGAACCCACTGCCAAGCACCTCCCAGATCCCCGCAGCACAGCCCTCATGCCACCTCACCCCTCCCACCCAACACACTCACACCCACAGGTCCCTGTGTTTCTAGATGCCCAGGGCCAGTCAGCCCACCCGGAGTTCTGCCTACAGTTGCCTCAGGTTGGGCACACATGACCCCCAGAGAAGCTGGAGTGGGCAGGCCCCAGACTGACAGGAAGCTCAGCCCCAGCAGAGGGGCAACGAGGCACAAGGCAGCCAGTGGGGGCCGCCGCAGCCTTTCCAACAAAGGGAGGAACCCACGGTCTAACGTGTCTCATCCGGGCTTGCTCACCAGGCAACATGGTCACAGCCGCCAATGTTAAGTGGAAATCCAAATAATTCTGGAACATGAAAACTCCACATATAAGACGTAGCAAGGGTGAAACCAATTCCACAAGCCACTGGTGAAAACCCATGCTGTGGACTCACAGATTTCTGCCTCATACCCTCGGGCACCACAGCTCATGGCTAACTGAAAACCAAGAAAATCATCCGAGGGCACAGAGACAAGGTGGGAAATCACTGCAAGTGATGAAGTGTGCCCGGAGCAGAGAAGGGCCTTTGCAAGGCAAAACGGCCAAGCATCCAGAGAGCGCCACCGACAACTGACTGCAGTGGTGGGAATTCTGCCAGATGCAGCTACATGCCCACCGTGCCCAGCGCGCCCTCGGGCTCTCCCCTGTGTTCGTGTTATTTGTGTGTGGGAAAAGCAGACTAACTGTGAGGAGAGGTGCACACTTCACTGAGCCCACCCAGGGCCTCTGTCCTTTACAGTCAGAGCTGCAAAGCAGCTGGGAGCTATGCAGACAGACCTTCTTGCACACGCCACCTGGCAGTGGCTTAGGGGTTGGGCCCCCCACCCATGCTGTTAGTAAGAAGATGGTAGCCACAAATGAATCAAGAAATGTCCCTGGAGCCCGTCAGCTGCAAAGAGCAGAAAATACGTGTGCTAAAGAATAAGCAGACTGTGACGGAGTCCAGATGAGACCAATACATACAGATCACACGCCAAGAACAGCCTGGCCCTGGCCAGGCGCGGTGGCTCACGCCTATAACCCCAGCACTTTGGGAGGCCAAGGCGGGTGGATCACCTGAGGTCAGGAGTTCAAGACCAGCTGCCAACATGGTGAAACCCCATCTCTACTAAAAATACAAAAATCAGCTGGGCGTGGTGGTGGGTGCCTGTAATCCCAGCTACTTGGGAGGCTGAGGCAGGAGAATTGCTTAAACCCAAGAGGCAGAGGTTGCAGTGAGCCGAGATCGTGCCATTACATGCCAGCCTGGGTGACAGAGCGAGACTCCATCTCAAAAAAAAAAAAAAAAAAGAACAGCCTCCTGGTCCCAAGGTGGACAGAAAGAGCCACACATACATGCCTCACAACCCCCAGCCACCAAAGACCAATGTTGATGGGGACATTAATATCAGATACCCACCAGCACAGACTAGAGAAAAGCACACTGCACAGTTAAACAGTAATGCACAAACGCATTTTTGTCTGTTTTGGTTTGATAATGGCCATGCAGGGTCTGACCACTGCACTAAAGGACACAACAAAAGGACAGGGCTCTCCACCCCAATCGCTACCCGCTCAGACTGGTGTGGGCCGTCCACGTAACATAGACTCGACCTCCTCACATCCCAGGGCCGGCACCCTCCCTTCACAGTCTCCCTGTAGGAGAGCCTTTGTCATTCCAGGACTCAAATGTCCCCTACATCCTGAGTGTGACCCCATGATGGAACTGGTGGCAGCAGGTGCTGAGTGTGAAGCATCTTAAGCCAGAGTCCTAAATGCTTCTTCTTGTACAGATGCTGCTCCCCCAGTGAGAAGATCTCTACCTGGGACCACGCAACTCCAGACACATTAAGGACTTACGGGTTTTCTGTGGATAAACTTGGAGGCTTACCAATATGCACTACTGATTCTGTGGAAAAGAAGTAGACTGAATACATTGCTTGTTAACTGGGATTTCAAATACCTTGAATTTCGGGCCTTACCACTCAATCACGTGTGTGTTTGCTAGTGACTCCCTTCCATGTTCATAAATGCCTCCTTTCATCTGTCCTGAGCTTTTGCTGCTTGAGCATCATGGAATCAGGGAGGGTCTCTTCACTGTGGCTGGAGCTCTGGACCCATCACCAAGTCCACACTGCCCTATCAACAATCCTGGGTGACTCTATAGCCTGTGCCATTATATAAACCACCCTCAGCCCCTAAGGTCTGTCCACTGTGGCTCTCGGGTCCTTCTCTGCACTTCACCCCCGAACTACTGAGATGAACCCACAGGCAGAGGCCTGCGGTGCTGAGCTATGTCCAGAGACAGCAAGCAGGAGCAGGAGTTCCAGCAGCCCCTGCCTTCCAGGGATCTTTCTCAGTTGTTTTAACATCTGGAATTAAGGAAGTATCATTATTCCTTTATTTTTCACAATGGCAAAGAGAGTATTTAAGATAATATATCAAGACCCAATTTTATCTCTCTAAAATAATTTCTGAAGGGCATTATATCAGGAAGGTTTTAATAGGAAATTCTTTGCTTCATCAGTTCGTTGGAATTCCTGTCCCAGTAGCATTAATGAAGGCTTTCCAAAGGGCGTTCCCAGCTCCAGGGGGCGCTGTCACAAACACAAGATCTAGGGTCTTCAGCGTTGCTTTCTGACTTTTATTTTTTTCTTTCTTTTTAACATTTCTTATAGAAACCAGGTCTCACTATGTTGCCCAGGCTGGAACTCCTGGGCTCAAGTGATCTTCCCAGGGGCTGAGGATAACAGGAGTGGGCCACAACGCCCAGCTGCTTTTTGACTTTTGAAGAGAAAACTACTACTACATTGAAGAAAAAAATCAGAAAGGAATTGTACTGTATTTCCTACAGTTACGGTTTATCTTGTTATCACTCATTTAATGTCTCTGCCTTCCACTGTTCTTGAGGCATCTAAAGAATTTGGCACCCGACTTCTCCAATGAAAAGTCACATTGTGACCACGTGACCATGTCTTTGCAGGTTACTATGGGATCTTCACAGGCATCACTGTTAGTGGCTGCACTGTGTCTGGGTGAGCCGCATGCACCGAGGCCCTTGGGGTGGTCCGAGGGACACCCCAGCCACTCACCCACAGACCTGGCTGCCACAGTTTACACTGTTTCCTGAGGGGAGTCCAGGAGAAGAAGAAAAACTACTCATCCCTTTGAGGCTCTTGATACATTTCACAAAATTGCTTTTCAAAATGGTCACACAATTTACAATGCCAGCATTTAAAAATATACATTATATATTTATATTAACGGTTTTTAAATAAAGCTTATTTGCTTTAATGTGAGTTTTTGAAACTGCTAGTTAAATGATGATGTCTCCTGGATCCTGACTGGCCCCACATGTGGTACGTGGGACCCACAGCATCAGCAGCTCCCAGGAACTGCTTAGAAATGCAGAATCTCAGGCCCCACCTGGGAGCTGCTGAGTCACAAGATCCTGGGTGATTCATCTGCATAACAAAGTTTAAGAAGCACTTCAGGAGGGGACGTCTCCAGGATCCTCACGGTGTCTGGGGAGTGGCCCAAATCCACCGCAGATGGCCCTGAAGATGCCTTTGTACATCAACCATGGGAAAACAGGCCTGAGATTCCTCAGTGCTAATTCAAGAAACGAAAATAGAAAGTCCAAGAAAGAACTTTCCCCATGTTTTCTAGACTGCCGACACTGTGAAGAAGAAAGAAACCACCTTGCGGGCGGCATGTTGGTGGCACGTGTGGCCCTGTCTCTGCCTCTTCCTTGTGGTTGCACAGCCCTGCGTGGCTGTGTGTCAAGCTCCCCCATGTCAGCCTTGGTGACTTCTTCTCATGACAATGTCAGAGTGGCCATCTTCCACCATCTGGGCTAACCCATATTCATTTTTTTTCAAATTAAATCTATTTCATCCAAACCTTAAATTTTTATAGAGGCAAGTGCTTGGCGGGTCTAAGAAGACTTTTCCAAATTATGAATATATGAACACACTGCCCTAGATCATCTGCTGAACGTTTCCTTCCCTACTGCAATATGATGCTTCTCTCATTCAAGTTCTCAGTCAGTTTCAGAGCCTTCTATTCCCCTACTTGTAATTACAACAGTTGGGAGACGTTCACACATTGACAGGACTGGCCTTCTAAAATCCACTGTAAAAAAATCTGTTCAATTATTCTTACCTATTTTTCCCTCAGATGGGACTTTTGGAATAATCCGTCAAGTTAGGGGGAAAATCTCAAGAAAGTTTGGCTGGAATAATGGTAGACCACTAAATTAACTTGAAAATTACTATCCTTTCATCGATAATATTTCATCTTCTTCTCCTGGAATATGGGTTTTGTTTTCTTGGTTCCAACTTTATCACCCCACTCAAGCTGTTGTGTTACGTTCACAGAGGTCACACGTAGGTCTCATCCCTAACAAGGTTCTTTATTACCTGCAAATTAGAACAATTTTGTCTTCCTTTCCAATATTATCATCACACTTCTGTTTTGTATCTCGTTTCAAATGTCTAAAACCACACGAAATAACAATGACCATGGGATGCAGGAAGCTGTGGACATGCCTGATGTGGAAGAACCAAGTAAAAGCTGATTCTCAGCTCCATCCCCAGCTTTGAATCAAGTGGAACATCATGTTAAAGAAAGGGCAGTGCGTCGCCTGCCAGCCTCTGGAAGTAGGGCTGAGGCCAGAGCGTCTGGGTTTTCAAAGGGCTTTCAAGGCCACCTGATCTGGGCTGGGCAGCTGGTCGCTGGCTTCCCACAGGAGCCTACAGCCGCTCACAGGGGACAGGGCCTCTCACACGGAGCAGGGGGCTGCTGCCCCAGCAA
This sequence comes from Homo sapiens, assembly GCF_000001405.40. Taxonomy (NCBI): domain Eukaryota; kingdom Metazoa; phylum Chordata; class Mammalia; order Primates; family Hominidae; genus Homo; species Homo sapiens. Next base: position 17,657,356 of record NC_000020.11, read on the forward strand.
ATGGCCCATCAAAAACAGCAGAAGGAGGAAACCCCACGAAGGTAATAGCCTGACAGAGGCAAGATAGGGAAGCCCAGCTAAAGACACAGGGCCTGTGCAGCCCGACACAGGTACAAACATTTCACACCTCCTAAGATACCCTTCGTCAACACAAATGCAATTATTTTTCCAAATCAGCTAATGGCTATTTAAAAACAAGAAAAGAAAAGAAAGGAAAAAAGAAAAGAAAAGAAAGGAAAAAAGAAAAGGAAAGGAGAGGAGAGGAGAGGAAAGGAAAGGAGAGGAGAGAAAGAAAACATAAGTGAAACTGAATGAATGACAAACATGAAACAGGAACTCCCTGGACCAATTTCTACAGTAATATACACTAAACAGATAAAGGTAAACCAGTGCTTCATATGATCACATATATATCTATGTAATCCAGTGTTTATGTTAATGCTCTATAATGCTTTACCAAATGACTAGGGTGGCGCAGGGGAAGGAGAAGGCAGAAGAGGAAAGAATGCAACTGCTCCTTAAAAACACCTTCCTACCATCATTCACTCAACAAGCACAGATACCCGAGTCAGGCTGCACAAAAGCATCAGGTGAGGCAAGAACATCGAACAGGCTGACAGAACGCAGCCAGACAGTTAAGAAAGACTTGCCAACACGCAGAACTCTTCTACACTGTGTGGTGGACAGAATTATTGCTCCTAATTCCTCACCTCTCCTTGTGCTCCCATATGTTTAAGACATGCCAAGACACGGACCTGTTGCTCACTCCTCACCTCTCCTTTCTCACATCACCTTGCAGTCCCTTCTCCCTGGACACAGTGGACTCCCTGCCCCTTGACTCAGGCTCAGACACATCACTTGATCTGGTCAATGAAATGCTGACTTGAAATGCCCTTTTGTGCCTCTGTTGTAACTATGAAGGGCCTCTGCCCTGGAGGGCGCCAGAAGGACCACACATGGAACTGACCTGAGCTCAACCTGTAGCAAAGAGTCACCAACCCAGTTAAAACCAGATTGAGGCAGAGCCACCAACCGAGAAAGCTCACATCTGCCAACCTCCAGAAGCATGAGCAACAATAAATGACTGCTGTTGAAGGCCACTGAATTTTTTTTTGAATGTTTGTTACGCAGCCTTATTATGACAATAGCTGACTGATACAGGTGGCACTCCCCGAGAGAATCCATAAGTCATTTAAAGACAGCCTTTCCTTCTAAGTTCATAAAGAAATCAGTTACTTACCAGGCTCACCTTTTTTCTTTGAACCAGACTTCTTCTTGGCAGGAGCCTCTTGCTTTGGTGCCTCTGGGCTCTGGGCCACATCTGTATTTCTGCCCTGGACAGAAGCTGACTCTGTCTTTTTACCCTGATTGGCAGCTGCGTCTGCCTTTTTGCCTTGGTTGGGGGACCCTTCTGCCTTTTTGCCTTCACTGGGGGACCCTTCTGCTTTTTTCCCCTGGTTTGTAATACCCTCTACCTTTGTGCCCTGATTAGCAACCGAATCTGCCTTTTTGCCCTGGATGGGAGCTCCCTCTCCTTTTTTGCCTTGGTTGGGACTCCTTTCTGCCTTTTTGCCCTGAGCCCCTTCTGTCTTTTTACCCTGATTCTGGGCTCCCTCTCCTTTTTGGCCCTGGTTCTGGGCTCCCTCGGCCTTTTTGCCCTGGTTCTGAGCCCCCTCGGCCTTCTTGCCCTGGTTCTGGGCCCCCTCAGCCTTCTTGCCCTGGTTCTGGGCCCCTTCTACTTTTTTGCCCTGGTTCTGAGCACCCTCGGCCTTCTTGCCCTGGTTCTGGGCCCCCTCGGCCTTCTTGCCCTGGTTCTGGGCCCCCTCGGCCTTCTTGCCCTGGTTCTGGGCCCCCTCGGCCTTCTTGCCCTGGTTCTGGGCCCCCTCGGCCTTTTTGCCCTGATTCTGGGCCCCCTCGGCCTTTTTGCCCTGGTTCTGGGCACCCTCAGCCTTCTTGCCCTGGTTCTGGGCCCCTTCTACTTTTTTGCCCTGGTTCTGAGCCCCCTCGGCCTTTTTGCCCTGGTTCTGAGCCCCCTCAGCCTTCTTGCCCTGATTCTGGGCCCCCTCGGCCTTCTTGCCCTGATTCTGGGCCCCCTCGGCCTTCTTGCCCTGATTCTGGGCCCCCTCGGCCTTCTTGCCCTGATTCTGGGCCCCCTCGGCCTTCTTGCCCTGGTTCTGGGCCCCCTCTCCCTTTTTGCCCTGATTCTGGGCCCCCTCTGCCTTTTTGCCCTGGTTCTGGGCCCCTTCTACCTTTTTGGCCTGGTTCTGAGCCCCCTCGGCCTTTCTGCCCTGGGTTGGGGCCCCCTCCACCTTTTTCCCCTGGTTTGGGGTTGTATCTACCTTTTTACCCTGGTTCTGGGCCCCCTCCGCCTTTTTGCCTTGGTTTGGGGTTCCTTCTGCCTTTTTGCCTTGGTTTGGGGTTCCCTCTGCCTTTTTCCCTTGGTTTGGGGTTCCCTCTGTCTTTTTGCCCTGGTTTGGGGTTCCCTCTGCCTTTCTGCCCTGGTTTGGGGCTCCTTCAGCCTTTTTGCTTTGATTCTGAGTCCCCTCCGCCTTTTTGCCCTGAGTAGTGCCAGTGGCTGGTGTGTTGCCCTTGGCACCCACTGGGGGCACCACCACCATCGGCACCTCCTTGGGAGCAGTTTCCAAGATGGCAGCCTTCGAAGTGAGAACCTGGATGGAATTCACTACAGAGCTGACAGCTGGTTCCACTTTTGCCACTTTTTTCTCCTTCTTCTTTTTGTCCTTGGGGGAGGAGGCCAGCTTCTCCTGGGGCATGGCTGGAACTGTGGCGACAGGAGCAACGATAATGGGGGGCTGCACTGGGGTTGGAGCCACAGCCACAGCAGGAGCCCGCACTGGTTCTCGAAGGAGGACAGTCACATTGGGGGCTGGATCATGATCAGGTATCTTCCCATTAGGTTTCTCTTCCTTTTTCTTGGTCTTTCCTTTCTTCTCCACTGTTTTCTCCTTCTTTTTCTTCTCGACTTTCTGGTGGTGAGTTTTCGCCATCTCCTTGCGCTGGTTGGCTAGGGCTTCTTCATATGACGTTTCCTTCATGGAGAAAGTCGACACCAGGAAGATGCCAATGGCAGAAACAACCATGAATCCTCCAAAGACCACAACCCCCAAGGTTTGAGTGTCGTAAATATCCATCCTGGCTTGCTTTCCTTTCACCTGTCAAACATACATGGAGGTTACTATTTATAGAAATCAAGGCCTTCAACAGTTTCTATCCCCACCCTACCACCAAACTTCAGGTTTCACTAATTCTTTCTTCAGGCTAATAAATTCAGAGAAGAAACAAACCCAGGCACTCTCTGATGTCCCACATTCTCACCTGCTCCTCTTTAGGAGTGAGCGATTCGTACCCAAGGCATGAGCAGTCCCCATACAAAGCAACAGCAGAGTCAGAGCAGAGTGGAGGCCTATCTCTGGAGCACACACGCCCAGGAGCCTCAGCAGCCATGACCCTGATGCAAGATATTCCCCACCCAAGGTCAAAGATGCACAGGAGCACAAACACAGGCCAGGTGTGAGACCATGGGGAGTGGTGGAGACTGTAGTAAAAACACCCGCCCCCACCTAAAATTAGACAGTGACACTCTGTCATGGCCGATTGCCCTAGAAATGTGATTGCTGAGTTGGAAGATGTTTTGATTTTTCATGTTAGGCCAGACACTTTTAAAAAATTTTTCTCTCAACGTGAAATTGACTGATTTAAAAAATATGTGAACCGAACCAAACCAAACACATCTGCAGGCTTTCAGCCACAAGCATTTTAGCCAGCAGGCCCACAGTGTGCCATCTCCACTCTGTTGTTTCCCTCTTCCCCAGTGCCAATAAATGCTGCTACCCAGGATCAGAGATAAAAACTTCTGCATTACAATCCTGAAACGTGTTCAAAAATTCAGTGAGGGAAAATAGCCTTTTGCCAGCAATAGCTCCTGAGGAGTTATGGAGCCTGCAATTTGCATGTTGGGAAACAGGAAGAATCAGTCTTGGGAGGCCCAGAAGATGCCAGGTTTGGAATTTCACATCCAGAAGCTGCACAGAGGGTGAGGAGACAGTGTCAGCAGGCCCCTCTGTCAGACAACACTCCCCAAACCATAAGAATGAACAACACCATTCTCACTGCCTATGGACCAAAGTCCAATGGGTCAGAGGCATCCAGGTTCATACACCTTCCTGCCACAGCCCGGGCTAAGTTCGACTTCACTGAGGAACTCCAGGAGGTGTATTTATTTGGATACATTCAAGCCAGTCCCGAGTCTCTCTAAAGAAGATCGATGGAATGAGCAAAGAGAACACAAGGGTAAGAAGGGGTGGTTAAGGGGAGGTAAAAGGAGGTGGAAGAGGAGAGGAGGGGAAGTGGACAGGCCTCCCCCAGCATTGCCCTGCAAAACCTCTAGATGCTGTGGGAGACTGGGTCCAGGCTGCTTAGTGGCTCAGATACTGAGATTCTTCTCCTAAGACATTGAGATCCCCACTCCTCTTGAGTGGTTATAGAGGAAGGAAACAGAGTAGGAATCAAATCCAAATTTTGACATGAGGGCATTTTAAAGAAGGGACTGAGAAGGGAGACTGTTTTCAATGTCTTGGCATTGTGTTCTAAGAAAAATCACTCTCGGCCGGGCGCGGTGGCTCACGCCTGTAATCCCAGCACTTTGGGAGGCCAAGGCAGGCAGATCACGAGGTCAGGAGATCGAGACCATCCTGGCTAACACGGTGAAACCCTGACTCTACTAAAAATACAAAAAACTTAGCCAGGCGTGGCGGCGGGTGCCTGTAGTCCAGGCTACTCGGGAGGCTGAGGCAGGAGAATGGGATGAACCTGGGAGGTGGAGCTTGCAGTGAGCCAAGATCGCGCCACTGCACTCTAGCCTGGGCGACAGAGCGAGACTCCGTCTCAAAAAAAAAATTTTCAAAAAAAAAAAAATCACTCTCATCACAGAAGGAACACATTACTTTGACCTTTCTAAGACCTTCACAAGAAGAGGGTTTAAAACACTCATGACGAAGAAACTTCCTAGCATATGCTCTCCCTGGGGACAACTCTATCAGCTGCTGTGGCAACACACTTCTCCCACACTGTCACTCGGCGTTGAGCGAGACTGAGTCACACTTTTCATTCCAGTCTTAACCTCTACAAAGTCTTAGGGGAGCTCATGGAGGCCTTTGAATCCTGGGTAAGGCAGCATTTATATTTCCAAATGGGTTCTGACCTCTGGCCGTGGGCAGTGACAGTGTGATCCACAGCCAGGGCACTCTCACGTTTGATCATCGAGGGAGGATACCAGGAACTGGCCTTCCGAGAACACACTCTCAAGCTGGGTGTTAAAAAGGAAATCGCACCCTGCTCAGCCATGGATGGATTCAGTGGGTAGGAGGATGGGGACAAGAAGGTCTGGAACATGGTACAGTCAACCCTCACTTTTTGGCAGGTACCCACCAACCAAAACTCCTCTGGGTACTTACAAGATTTCTCAGAACTCTGCCAAAATGGACACCACATTATAATCACTACATTCAAAAATCCTAAGGCCAGGCATGGTGGTACAAGCCTGTGATCTTAGCACCTTGGGAAGCTGAGGAGGGAGGATCGCTTGAGCTCTGGAGTTCAAGGCCAACCCAGGCAACATAGTGAGACCCCATCTCTATTTAAAAAAAAATAAAAAATCCTCTAAAACACTCCCCTTCTCTAGAGAAACGAACATTAGGGGCCTGGGTCACCCTCACTGAGGCTCCATAAACCCCGAATCGTTTCCCAACAACCATGTGCTCGAGGGGTGGTCTTTACCGAGTCGCGATTGGCACTGGTTGCAGACCGTGACACAGTGAACAGCCACGCACAAAGCGGGGCCTGTTCACAGCCGAGGACTGTGGGGCTCTGTGCAGCCTTGTGGTTTCCAACTTCTAAACTCCAGCAGAAAAGCCAAGGCTGGAAAATGAACTTTTAATCTTACTCAACATAGGCAAACACAGAATACAAAAACATATTCTCTGTTGGGACCCAGAATCGAGAAAAACAAACTCGGGAGAATATTTTTCCTTTGCAACGCACACAAATATATGTTTTATAGCAGCACAAATGTGTCTTCCCAACTTTTGCAGAAAAAGAAATTACATCCCCACCACTAATTCCCAAGTTAGAATTTTTTAAAAGAAATCTTTCACAAGAAAATGAAAAGCCCTAGTCTTAAGTAGTAATACACTGAAACATTTAAGGCTAAGGCAATACCACCACGGACAGCAAAGAAATCGAAATGAAAAACAACCTTTCTGCTGCTTTGCAGAGTCAGCTTCAGTGAGGCGTAAACATCATGCTGGGAGATCCCTGATTCACAGAAATGATGAAGCCAGGGATGCCTCTCAAATTCGGTTCTCACAATCAGCATTCCGGGAGATTTGCTCCTGAAATCCACACCATGATAAGAGGCCCCCAACAGAAACCTCTTCTAGGGCTTCCTCCACTGCACCAGAGTTAGGGCAGATGTGTGCCCACCCATACCTTGTAGGGTCTGACCACAGGGATCTATATTCTGTCAATTCCAGAAACTTCTGTCAAATACGTACTTTTACTCCCTGCAGTGGTCCTCCCTTATCCTCTGGGAAACTTCCCAACACCCCCAGTGGGTCTGAAACTGCAGTAATACTGAATCCTATATACACTATTTTTTTCCTATACCTACATACCTATGATGAAATTTAATTTAGAAATTAGCCACAGTACGAGATTAACAATAATAAAATAGAACAATTATAACCATATGCTAGCATCACCACTCTTGCACTTTGGGGCCATGATTAAGTAAAGTAAGGGTGACTCAAACACACGCACTGTGATACCAGACAGTGGATCTGAAAGCTGAGAGGGCCACCAAGTGACGCACAGGCAGGTAACACAGACGGCGTGAATCCACTGCACACGGGATCGTTCACATCCCAGGCAAGACGCTACTCAGAATGGCATGCAACTTAAAACTCAGGAAGAGTTTCTTTCTGAAATTTTCCATTTAATATTGTCAGACCACAGCTTTCTGCTGGTAACTGAAACCACAAAGAGTGAAACCATAGATAAAGGGGGACTACGATATTGCTAACATACTCAGACTGTAAGACAAAAAGATGAAGGCCCCAAGAGGGAAGGATGTAGGAGGCTGCGCAGAGGCTGGACAGACTGAACTCACTGGCCCACCTCTAAGATCTTGAGAGAATGGCTCTTCTTCTGTTCTTAAGATTCGGGGAACAAAAGTAAGAGGAAGCCCCAAACTCTTTAGACACAGAAGATATCTGCTAATTCACATGGCCCGGCCAAGCCAGTTGGGTCCAATTTGGCAGCTGGGATTTTGGTAGGTTTTGTGAAAAGACCCTCAACAGCTCCCAGGACTCTGTCTCATTACTAAGCAGCAGCTCCACGGGGGACCGTGTGTGGAAGCTTGGAGAAGCTGTGGGGTAGGGGTGGACAAAGAAAACCAACCCCCAGATCCATTTCCTGGGCATAAGGTGACCTGCTAGGAAGGTACAGAACTAAAACAGAATGACAATAAAACAGAGACCCTAGCAGACATGGCTACATCAGAATCAACAGCTCCTAATTTTTAAAATATTATGAAATGACTCATACAAAAGACTAAAAAGAAAAATATGAACATCCATTAGCCTACCACCCAGGTTTACCAAACCCTAACATTTTGCCATATGCACTTTAGATATTTATTTATATATATATGTATGTGCCTGTGTATACATATATATGTGGGGGGGGGACACACACACATGTGTATATGTATATATATGTCATCTCCCTTCTAGAGGGGGACAACACCCTGAATGGGCCACTTACCACTTCCACCTGCTTTTGCTTCTATTACATGTATCTATCTCTACCAACAAAATACAGCCGTTACTTTGTGTGTTGGTAATTGCTGTGTAAGTGACATTGTTCTGGGTGCTATTTGGTAACATTTTTTGACTAAACTTTGTGAGAATATTCATATAGATACACATAGCTTTGGTTTATTCTTTTTGTTTTTTTGAGACAAAGTCTCTCTCTGTTGCCCAGGCTGGAGCTCAGTGGCATGATCCTGGCTCACTGCAACCTCTGCCTCTCAGGTTCAAGCCATTCTTGTGCCTCAGGCTCCCGAGTAGCTGGGATTACAGGCGTGTGTCACCACGCCCAGCTAATTTTTGTAGTTTTTAGTAGAGACGGGGTTTCACCATATTGGCCAGGCTGGGGTTTATTTATTTTCACTCCTATATTACATAGTTGAACCACAAATTATTAGCCATACTCCTATGCTTTTAGGTTTTAAAAATTTATGCTGTCACACAAAATTGTAGTGTGACATGTCTACCATATGAGTGAAAAATCTCCTTTATACCCCTGAAGCCAGCCACCCAGGGTCGCTTCCTGGAGATAACCATTGTGACAGAAGTCATTTTACTGTTTATAAGTTATTTTCTTCAAAAGACTTTGGTAATGCATTTCAAAGTCAGGTTTTCAATTACCAGGAATTTACTTTGGTATGTGACAGGAAACAGTGATAAAACTTTCCCCATCAGTTTAATTACCCAGCACCATTTCCTGACTGGTCTTTTCCTTCCCCCACAGACTCAGATGGCCATTTCTGTGCCATTCAGTGGATCTGTTTCTAGATTCTACACTTTGTTCCACTGTTATATTTATGCCCTGCATCAATGCCACATTTTCAGCTTAAGCATCCCCTACAAAATTTCTACTGGAATTTGCATTTGAATCACACTGAGTTTATACATGAACGTAGGAAGGATTGATATTTCTAACTATAGAAGCTATCTGTCAATGAATATGGTATGCTAGAGCACTACACTGATTTAAATGTTTTCTTCGAAGCCAGGCACAGTGGTTCGTGTCTGTAGTCCAAGCTACTTGGGGGGCTGAGGCAGGAGTTCACTTGAGTCTTGGAGTTGAACACCAGCCTGAGCATCATAGCAAGACCCTGTCTCTTAAAAAAAAAAAAAAAGTTTTCTTCCATACTTCTATAAGATTTTAATGATTTTCTCCATAAAAGTCTTACACGTTGTTTTGTTGATGGTTAGAATACCTTTTGTAAACTACTTCTTCTACTCCTCAGCTACAGACAACCAGCAAAGTAATTCATTTCTGCATATGTATAATTTACCCAGCTATCATCTATGTTCTTGTCAAATCTAGGAGTTTGTAGATTCTTTCTGATTTTTTTTAATAAAAAGTAAGCTGTGGAAAAAAAGACAGTATTGTTTCTTGCTTTCCAAACCATATGATCTCATTTCTTTTTCTTGGCTTAACAGAGCTGGCTGAGAACTCTGATGCAGTGCTGAGCAGAGTCTGTGCAATAAGCTGCCTTGTAGCATTCGCAAGTTACTACTTCTAATGTTTTACTACCAGTGTCGTACCAACTGCAGGTTTCTGGCAGAAATCTTTCCTCAGGTTAAGTAGCATGTCTTATATTCCTAGTTATCTTTTTAATATAATTGAGTATTAGATTTTACCAATTGCAGTTGACATTTTCTCCTTTAATCTGAAGTATGTGGAATTACAGTAATGCACAGTCTAATAATGCCAGTTCACAGAAAGTTTCTATGGTATAAATGTTTCTTGATGGAGATTCTTTTCTAACACATCACTAGATTTGGTTTGTTAACATTTTTATGTGAGATTTCTATGTGTATTTTAAAATGAGAAAAATCAGAGGTGATTCTCAGACTGTTTTCTGATCTTGGTATTAGGGTCTCTTGAGTCTCATAGAATAAGCTAAAAATCATTCCTTTTCCCCTATTCTTTGGCATAGTTTGTGTACAGGTAGGGTTTTCTGTTCTTTGTAGATCTGGAAGAACTTGCCCATAAAACCATCAGGATTAGTGTTCTGAGATCTTTTCTTAAAGGGGGAAGGCTGGCTAGAGTGCTGATTTTTAACAATTTCGATACAATTTAACAACATCAATTTCAATGATGATTCTAGGACCAGCTGCTGGCTTTCTGATCCAATCTATAAAATTAATATTCATTATTCCTTCCTCCATCTTCCACTGGTTTATTCTGTCTTTTCTAACTTTCTGACACGGCCATTTATCAACTTTCAGTCCTTTCTCTTTTCTTGCAGCAAATATTTAAGGCAATAAATTTCCCCCTAAGTACTGCTACGGCTTCATCCTACAAGCTGTGATGCTAACACATCTTCCTAACATCCATACGTGACTGAATTTCATGAATGTCTCCAGCTGCCTCCCCAGTGGTCAAACCACCTACAAGGTCTTAGGTCTGCTGCCCTTCCCCATGACATGAGCCCCCATCACACACACATCTGGACTAGTCAGTGTTGTTTGGTTCCGGATAGCTGACACTTGCTTGTTTACCCAAATGCTGGCCATCTGCTCATCACTGCTACTTGCATCTCATTCCTTTTTTTAGGGTCTTGCCAAAGTACATCCTTGAGTAGTTCTTTCAGCAAGGATCTCTTCTTCATAAACTTTCTCAGTCCTTAAAGCCCTGAGAAAATTTACTTCACCTTCATGGATTAACTGAGGACAGAATTCCATGCTGACAGTTTTCTCTCACCATGTTGAAGATGTTATTTCACTTGTCTTCCGGCATTTTCTTGATGAGATGTTTAGAAACACACTGTCAGTCTATTTGTTATTCCTTTATAATATCTTTTTAATCTCTCATTACTTTTAAGATCCATTTCTGGGGTTCTAAGGATTCAGCAAAATGTTTGTAAGTGTATATTTAACTTATTCAGACTCACTGTGCTGAGTGTGAGGAGTTATGTTATTCTTCAATTCTGGAAAATCCTTGGCCACACAGTTCTTCGAAAATGGCCTGCTCCCTATTCCTTCCTGGTAGAGCTCCTAATTAGACCTCAATCTCTTTGTGCTACCATTTGGATAACTCGTTAGACCTACACTCCAGTCTTCAGCTGAATCTCACCAGCTCTATAATCAGTCCTTCGTTATTCGATTTGTTTTTTAAGTCTGACTGGCTTTTCTATTTTTCATTGTCTTCTTTTCTACCTCTAACAGTGATTTGATATTATATCTTTGTGGGGCTTTATCACTGGTAAACCTTAATGGGCTGAGTTGTGGGCCTGCCTCTAATGAGCTGTTTTATCTTTGCTTCAACTAGGGCCTCAGGGAAGACCAGCCAGGGACTAACTTTTACAAGAGGCATGGTCTCCTCTTACAAATTATCAGGAGACTGTGTCTCCCTTGCCCAGGACAAAACAGATAAATTCTTACCTGTCATCTCCCCTTGCGACTACTGGGCAGGTGTTCTTTCTAGTCTGTCCTCCCATGGAGGGTACAGCCCTTCAAGGGTTCAAGTCTTACAGGTGGATGTGAGAGAAGGCTCAGTTCCCATTCCCAGTCTCAGACAAAATCCCATTCCCCCTGGACATTAAAGCCAAAGACTCAGATGACTTTGACCGATAATACCGCACCCCTACCCCTGTCCCAGGGTCAGCTCACTGCAGGTCCCAGTCACTCGCTGCAACCTTGGCTTATGAACTCTGGTCATCTCTTTCCCTACCTTGTGAATGCACTACTATGCATTTTAAAGACTGCTTACTAACTATGTAACATTTCTAAGTGTTGGAGAAGTGGGTTTCAGATCAGTTGACCTAAAATTTTAAGTGCAATCTCTGATTTTTTTTTTAACCCAAAGAAACTAAGAGAAAATGCAGTAACAAAGAGTCCGAAAAAATTTATTTCATTTCTAAGAGGATACATATAATGGACTCCCTATTTTAAAGAAACAATGTTACTCATTTTAAAGAAGAGTTGAAACACTAAAAATAGAAATGTACTCTATTATAAGCCTTTGCTTATTCATCAGCCATTTCAGATTCAATTTCTATGCCTGAGGGGGGTAAAAAATAAAGAATTGACAATTTCTGGTGTCTTTCCAAATAACAGTCTTTGGAAAGTAGGTACTTAAACAGACCTAAATCTTCTGCGAACTTCCAAGAAGCCTACGGGCTTCACCTTATTGAGGAAGACAGCATGCCTATGCGGTAGGAATCAAGAACTGATGTCTCAAAATGGACATGAACAGTTAAGATGTGCTAGCCCACAAGGGAGTTCTTACTGCCGTAAACATTTGTCTCCCAAAAGCAGGGGTCAGTGTCATCTATACTGTATCAAATCAAACCTCACCACATCAAATATGGTAAGTGATGAATCAATCGTCTACTCAATATCATATCAGCATCGTATGTGCTAATGTATACCATTATAAGGATCAAATCTAAACAGAACAACCCAAGTTTCCAGATGGGAAATAATACACACCATGGAGTCTTACACGTTTTCAGAGTTACTTCTTAGTTTTTCATAGTTTTCACACTCTTACAAATGGTAGCTCTGAAGTTTCGTTTTCTGCTTGTTGCTGGTATACGGAAACGTAACTGATTCCAGCAGGGTGATTTTTCCCCCACAGCAACTTGCCTAATTCTAGTAACACATCTGTCGATTAAAAAGAAAAAAATTCTACATATATAAGCATATGAATCACAGTTTTGTTTCTTTCTTCCCAATTTCCTATCGTCTGCTTAATTCTTCTTGAATTTTTGCACAGGGCAGGACCTTCAACACAGTGCTAAAGAGAAGGAATGACAGCAAGTATTCTGTTTTTCTCATATCAAAGGGAAAGATTTAGGTGTCTCTCTTTAGTGTGAGATTTACTAAAGCCTTTTTGCAGACATCCTTTATCAGGATAAAGAGGTTGCTTTCTTATTCCTAGTTTACATAAATAGATGTTGAATTTTATCAAATACTTTATCTGTATCTATTAAGATAATCATACTATTCTACTCCTATAACCCGTAGGTGTGGAAGGTGAATATAAACTTATTTTTAAACGTTAAACCAAGTTTGAATTCCTAGGATAAAACGATTTAGTCATACATACTGCTGGACTTTGTTTATCTTTTCAGGTATGAGATCTGACTGATGGTTTTCTTTCCTCCTACCATTCTTGTCAAGTTTTGTAACAAGGTTGGCTGGCATCAAAATGAGTAGTGTAGGATTCTTTTTTTTTTTTCATTGTTTCTACTTTTTAGCAATTACCTTTAAAAAAAAAAAAACAGTAACACACAGCACTCACAAAATTCAAAGTTAAACAAATCTTTACCCCCCCAAATTAATTCTATTATCCCTTCCAACTTAGATGTTACTGTTTTCATGTATTTAATCTTATCCTTGTTCCAGCCTCTCCAACATTATTCTTTTACATGTATTTAGAACTGTCCAAATATTTACCACTTTCTTTACTCATCATTGCTTGTTATGTCTTTTTCCACTTGCCATCACCTTCCTTCCAAGAATATCCTTGAGAAGTTCCTTTAGCAAAGATCTGTCAGTAGCTATCTTGGGTTTTTGTCTTAAAACAATCTTTTCACTCTCACTGTTGAATTTTTCCCTTGAGTTGCTGTATCACTAAATGTCTATATGTGGATTTATTTTTATTTACCCGGCTTGGGTTTTGGTTGGGTGTCTTACGCATTCCGCAAAATTCTCAGTCATTAGCTTTTCAAGTACTGGCTCTGTCCTCGCTCCTCTCCTGGAACCCCAATTAGACACACTTCTGCATCTACTCTTCCTGAATCTTAATTGGTCTTACAAATTATTCATCTATGTGGTTCTCTAAATTATATTTCTTCTTCTCTACTTTCCAGGTCATTCACTCTCTTCAGTTTTATGTAATCTGCTAGTAAATCCATCTGTTAGATTTTTATTATAAAGACATGAACTTTTCATGTCTACAAGTTGTTCCTGGTTCCTTTTTCAAATTTGCTAGGTCATTGTATAGTTTCCTCTTCCTCATAGGTATTTTCAATCTTGCCTATTTAGTTTGAGTAAGGCCTTTAAAATCTATGTCAACAAGTCCATTATCTTATGTTTTCTGAGATCTCTTCCTGCTGGTCCTCATTCAGTGCTATTTCATCCTTTGCATTTAGTTGTTCCTAACTATGGACTATTCTCTTTCGTTTGATAATTACAACTGGGGATTTGGTGAGCCTAGGATAAAGGTGCAGTCCTTCAATGATCTGCTCGCCCCTGGACTGACCCAGGAACACTAGGTGTGCAGGTCCACTCTCAAATAAAGAATCTTCAAATCAGCTTGGAGTTTCCCACTACTCAAGTCATGGGATCCACATGAGGGACAACTTGTGATATCCACTTCTCAGAATGTGCCCCTCCCTACCCTGCCTGTAGGGTGAGAATGGGCTTACCTCTGACTCCCCTTCTCCATGAAGGTGTCATGGCCCCTTGTGGTTCCAACTCAGGGAGCCTGTGTCCTATCATGCTGCCAGCATTAATCTCTGCCCCCTGCGCCTGGAGATGCTATCAGAACTTAAGAGTTTGCCTATTTTGCCAAAGGCCCCCGGGGTTGTCCTTATCCTCTTGGGTCACTCCTTTCACCACCTGCTTCAGTGTATTCCATTCTAGGCTTGTCAGAAGGTATTTTTAATGTCATTTACCTCTTGTCCAGGCCATCCAGCAAGTTAGAAGACCGGTTCAGGCCACCCAGCCTATTCTATCACCAGAAACCCAGTGTTGTCGCCCCCAACAGCCAAACCAAATTCCAGCCAACCATGCTCTTCAAAGAAAAGGGAGCACGTGGCTGCCATGTGCCAGGAGGCTGGCTGTGCCAGGGAGACTACTACCAACTCTGGACCTGGATATACCATCCTTCATTACTAGGTGGGCCAGGGAGGAAGGGCTCCTGCAGGAATATCCCGACACTGCCAACCCCTAGAGGTGGGCAGAGCTTCTAATTAGAAACACATGGGCCAGAGCTAAATGAGGTCTGATACCCAACTATTGGTTCGTTTTTAGGAAATTCACTCTGTAGGGGAAGAGTTCTGATGAAGAATTCAATCTCAAGATATGAGCTTCGTTGAATTCCCTTCCATTAACTCCTTGGAGAAGAGCTGCATTTCCACTCAGGTTTATATTAGGAAATATCACCTGCTCATCAGCAATAAAATCTGACCCTCACAAGCCCTTTTCCCAAGGCCCACCTTTGATTAACGAATTCTGCCAGCCTAACATCCTCTCTCTGTGACAGCGGAGAACTTCAGCCTGAGTGAGTCATTTCTTATTTATTATCAACGGTAACTCAAAATTCATTTTGGTTCCCTTTTAGAATCAGCCACTTTATAATATATTCCAAGGTCTCATTCATATACTGTTGGTGGGAGTATAAATTAGAACAAGCACTTCAGACAAAAAGTCTGGCACTTTCTTTTAAAGCCGAGCACCTACCTCCTTCTGGTCCTGCAATTCTACTCCTAGGTATACAGACCCAATGGAAATGTGTATAGACATTCACCAAAAGTCTGCGGCATTAATAGCCCCAAACTGGAAACTCTCCAAGTACCCACCTACAGTAATGTGAATAAACTCATATATTCACATGCTGGAATAGTGAGAATGAACAAACTACAATTACCCCAACAACCTGACAAGTCTTACACGTAACGTTGAGTGAAAGACACAAAAGAGCATATGCCGTTTGAGTCCATTTACATCAAGTTCAAACACAAGCAAAATCAATCACTGGTATTATTAAGAAGAGAGCAGGTATTCCCTGCCCACGATGGGCAGCAGCTGGAAGAGGGGCACAGAAGGAGGTTGGGGAGGTCAGGAATAATCTATTTCTTGATCTGCTGGTTAAACAGGCATGTTTAGCTTGTGGATACTTATTGCGTAGACTCGTGATAGTGCATTTTTCTGTATATATTTTACTTTAATAAAGAGTTTAAAATGTGTGTCATATTTCCTTGGAAAACGCGCCCCACAGATCCTGGAGGAGGAGCATCTTTAAGGCCTGAAGAATCTGTTATGGAGCCCTGTTACTACTGCCACTTCCCAGTGCTCACACCCACACAGGATCGCTCCCTTCACAGACAGGAAGTAACTGAGGCCAGGGTCAAGGCAGGCAGTCACCTCCTGACCTGACAGGGCAGTGACTCAGTGGGACCCACAGCCCTTTATAGTCCTGTGGCCATGCCACCTTGCTGTCCTGAAGTCTTTCTTTTTTCTTTTTTTTGTGATGGAGTCTCACTTTGTCGCCCAGGCTGGAGTGCAGTGGTACGATCCCGGCTCACTGCAACCTCCGCCTCCCGGGTTCAATTGATTCTCCTGCCTCAGCCTCCCAAGTAGCTGCGATTACAGGCATGTGCCACCATGTCCAGCTAGTTTTTGTATTTTTAGTAGAGACAGGGTTTCACCATGTTGGCCAGGCTGGTCTCGACCTCCTGACCTCAGGTGATCTGCCCGCCTTAGCCTCCCAAAGTGCTGGGACTACAGGCTGAGCCACCATGCCCGGCCCACCTGCAGTCTTTTTAAAATCAAACTGTACAGAATAAGTCTCCAGATCTTCCAACTTAAGAGGGATATGACTTAAGATGGAAAAGACTAACTTAGCTTCAGAGCAGTGGCTAAAGTTGACCTTTTAAGAGTCCTTTGACACATTACCAATAAGACTTTTTTCATTAAGAGTCTCAATAATTCATTTATTCTTCAGCATTGACTCCTTCCTCCCCTCAATCACTGTGATTACTATTCTGAAAATTAAGACTTTCCTTTCTAATTACTACAAATACCTAGAACTACCAAGGAAATAAAAATGTATTCATAAAACTAAAGCTACATCTAATTCCTATTCAGGATCAGACTTAATTAAAAACCAATTTAATGCAGTTGAGTTGCACACTTTAATCACTGAATGAGAACTTCAAAAAAACACACCACCTGGGTTTGAACAAGGGTCTTTCACCTTTCCAAGTAAAATGAGTAGGTCAGACATTCCCGTTAGAAAGGGCTAGAAATCTAGTATCTACTCTTCTTCACCTAAAATCAACAGGAGAGAAGAGGAGAAACAAAGGATGGGGCTGGACGTAGTATTGCCTCTTCCCAACCAGACCACCCTGCCTCAGCCATTGCTCCTCCTACTTAGTGGACTGCCACACAAAATTCCTCTGAGAAAAGAACATCACCATGAGGTGAGGCAGGAGAGGAACCTTGACCCCTCCCTCACTTCCTAGCACGATGAGGACTGACCAAGAGAAAACAAAATGTAATGCCAACTATAAGAATTCTCCCGGCCAGGCTCGGTGGCTCAAGCCTGTAATCCCAGCACTTTGGGAGGCCGAGGCAGGTGGATCACGAGGTCAGGAGATCGAGACCATCCTGGCTAACATGGTGAAACCCCGTCTCTACTAAAAAAAATACAAAAAAATAGCTGGGCTTGGTGGTGGGCGCCTGTAGTCCAGCAGGAGGGTGAGGCAGGAGAATGGCATGAACCTGAGGGCAGAGCTTGCAGTGAGCTGAGATGCACCACTGCACTCCAGCCTGGGAGACAGAGCGAGACTCCCTCTCAAAAAAAAAGAATTCTCCCTTCTCCCCCTAAGGAACATTCTTGCCCACTAAACACAAAATCTACCTCTTTTCAGAGCAGCCAGCACACTGTTCACACCCAAAACAAATGTTCTGTTTCCTGGTGAGTGTGTCGTCACTGAAATGCTCAGTGACTCTGCAAGGCCCACCTCACACTCATTGGTTATACAAGGAATTAAAGGATGCTCACAGCCAAGTCTCCTCCCCAGAACTGGTGCAAGCACCTGGGAAGGGCCCAGTTCTGTCAAGGTGCCATGCATGATGGACTCCCAGAGACACTGGGATGAATCTAACCAGGCTGGAGACTGAGGGCTCCCAGGAGAGAGCCAACATCCACATCGTCTCCTAAGGTTCACTTCAAACCCCAGCCTCCGCTGGAAGGGCAGGATGTCCACATTTAACAGTGCCCTCTGCATGTGACTGTCAATTTCTCAACTGGAGGCAGGCTGGAGGTAATCCAAACTTCACTTGCATTTGGCTCTGGAATATGTTTTTGTGTTTATATGTGATGCTCTAGGAATCCAGACTCCTTCAGGCTACATGATATACTCGCAGAACGCCAGTGCTACAAAATCATCTCCATTAGCTCAGCAAGAATGGGCACCTATTGCATGCTAGTCACTGCCCTCGACACTGGATATACCTCAGGAAACAAAAGCTACATCCCTGCACTGGTAGAGCTTACGCTTCAGAGGGGGAGATGACAAAGTCAGTCAAATACGGGACATGTCAGGGGGTGATGAAGAGAAAGTGATGCAGAGAAGGGGGGCAGGGAGTGGGGGTGGGAGAGCGTCAGAGGCTGACACTCCACACAGGGTAGCCAACAGGCCTGAAGGAGATGAGGGAGCCAGCCATGTGCCATCTAAGGAAAAGCTCTTAGGGATATGCCAAAGTAGACGCAAAGGCCCGGAGGCAGAAGCATGCCTGAGGAACAGAGGCCACCGTGGCTGCAGCAGAGGACAGGGAGATGGTAGGAGTGAAGCTAGAGCGAAAGTGCCCTGAGAGGCCACTGGAGACCTTGACCAAGGAGGGTCTTGAACAGAGGAGTGACATGGTCTGCTCTGGCAACAGACTAGAAGGCAGGGGGTATAGGCAAAGGCAGGGAGCCCACCAGAGGCTAGAGAAATAACCCGGGGCAGAGGTGAGAGCAGGCTGGGCATGCTGGCTCACGCCTACAATCCTGGCACTTTGGGTGGCCAAGGCAGGAGGACTCCTTTAGCCCAGGAGTTCAAGACTAGCCTGGGCAACGTGGCAAGACACCATTTCTACAAAAAAACCTAAAAATTCACTGGGTGTGGTAGCATGCACTTGTGGTACCAGCTACCCAGGAGGCTGAGGCAGGAGGATTAACTGAGCCTGCAATGTTGTAACTGCAGTGAGCAGTGATTGCGCCACTGTACTCCAGCCTGGGTGATAGAACAAGACCCTCTCAGAAATAAAAAATCAAAAGGTAAGAGCTGTTTGGACCAGGGAGAAGGCAGAAGTGGTGAGAATGGTCACACTGGCTCTGTCTGGAAGGTAGAGCTGATGGGACCTGCTGCGTACAGGGTACAGGTATGAGACGGCGAGGAGTTAAGGATAAACCGAGGTTTGTGGCCTGAAAGGTGGAGCTAGCTGGCCTAGTTTCATTTTATAGGAGGGAGAAAACTGAAGCCCAGGGAGGAGAAGTCATGTCCAAAGTCACTCACTCACTCCAGGGATCAGAACACCCAACCAGTGCTTCTCCCACTGCTCCACACAGCAGCTCCGTGGGACAAGCTGATGACTAGTCCGGTCACACCGGACAGCCCCCAGCACCCTGAGGGACTGCCAATACCCAAGCACATAACATATATTGGGGTAGGATGCTGGGCACTGAGAGCACAGGCCCAGCTTAGAGAGGACAAACACAGTCCACGGCTGCCACACAAGAAAGTCAACCTAGTGTAGCCAGAAATTCCCATTTTCCCCCAGAGAACCCAAAAATCTAGATTTTGTTTTTGTTTTTTATTATGAGACAGAGTCTCACTCTGTCGCCTAGGCTGGAGTGTAGTATGATCTTGGCTCACTGCAACCTCCACCTTCCAGGTTCAAATGATTCTCCTGCTTCAGCCACCTGAGTAGCCAGGACTACAGGCACATGCCACCATGCCTGGCTAGTTTTTGCATTCTTTATAGAGATGGGGTTTTGCCATGTTGCCCAGGCTGGTCTCAAACTCCTGGGCTCAAGCGATCCACCCGCCTTGGCCTCCCAAAGTGCTGGGATTACAGGGATTAGCCACTGTGCCCAGCCCAAAAAATCTAGATTTTAGTGAAAAAAAAAAAAAAAATTCCACTTTTAAAAGGTGACTCAATTGCTTAATAACATGAGGTCAGTGAAACAAATTCCATGTGAAGGCCAAGTTCAGCTCACACAGGGCACCAGTTTGGAATTCCTCTCAAGACAGCCTAACAGACCTTGTTTGCTTATACCCTAACAGACCTTGTTTGCTTATACCTTGCCCAGGATAGAGAATTAAAGATTTGAATTCAAGATGGTCTTTTATTCCAACTTTTGAGTCAGCAGATGATATTCATTATCACTATAAATAGTCTGTAACTTCCAGTAGTCTTAGTGGGCCTCCTTTCTGACCAGAAAGAGATCAAGTAGCTGTCCATCATTCAGCTTCTTCCTTTAAAGTTAAACTTTGGTTTTATATTATTCTTTACAGAGTACTAATACTAAGATGAGCCCACAAGTACAACCAAGAATTCAAAAATTATTCCCCAGTACTGCCCAATGATCCTTTCGAAGTTATATGGAGGCCGGGCACGGTGGCTCATGCCTATAATCCTAGCACTTTGGGAGGCCGAGGAGGGCAGATCACCTGAGGTCAGGACTTCTAGACCAGCCTGACTAACATGGTGAAACCCCGTCTCTACTAAAAATACAAAATTAGCCGGGTGTGGTGGCGCATGCCTGTAATCCCAGCTACTTGGGAGGCTGAGGCAGAAGAATCACTTGAACCCGGGAGGTAGAAGTTGCAGTAAACCAAGATCACGCCATTGGACTCCAGCCTGGGCAACAAGAGCGAAACTTTGTCTCAAAAAAAAAGAGAAAAAAGAAAAAGAAAAAAAAGTTATATGGAGAATAACAGAGCTGTGTAAATAGTCACTGGTGTAGGAAGCAATTTATGCCACCCAAGAACACTGGAACTCCAATACTTTGGAACTGAAAAGGTTTCGGGACTGGGCAGGTATTCTAGTCTTGCCAAAAAAATCTAAGTTAGAAATCACAAAATGTTCTTGATAAGTTAAAGTTGCTGCCCATTGTTGACAGGTGGAAGACACATGTTACTGAATGCACATAAAGGACACACACGTCTGGTTTTGGGGGTGTCTGGTTGTCTGCTTCAGGAGACTCGGCCAGAATTTGTCTGCCTAAGAAAAGTCTCCTAGGAGGCCCCTGAACTAATTTTCTATATGCTAAGTGAGAGTGCCTCCTTGCCTAGGCACTGTCACTTAAAATTAAATATTTACCTTCCCTTACAAGCCATCACTTTCTACCTAATATCAATTTATTTTCTGTCTTTGTTACAAGTCACCATTTTGATGCTGAGGGCATTGGGTAAAAAATCTCTCCAGGAAAGGGCCACTATCTGTGTGGCCCCCCTCCCACTCCTTTTTCTTGGAATGCAGTTTACAATGCACACAAAGAGGCGGGACTAATGCTTTCTCAGGGTGAGATCTTATCAGGTGAAGTGTATCAACTGCCACTAGTCAACTGGTTTTGACCTACAGAATGGGCAATTTCATGTGGTTCAACATATTACCACATGATCAAGAGGAACAGGGACATGAATGTTTACAGAATACCAGCTGCCTCTACATCAGCACTGTCTAGAACTTTCTGTGATGGTGGAAACCATCTACAGCCACGCTGACCAACTTATGACTACTGAGCACCTGAAATGTGGCTAATTTGACTCAGAAATTGAATTTTTAATTTTACTTAATTTGAATTGTTTTAAACTTAAATTGCTACTTGTGGCTACTGTATTGGACAACACAGTTCTAGACAGTAGCTTTTTCAGGCAAGAACTAGGTCTCACTTGCGGTGTTTGAAGGCCCACCACACAGGAGACCCTCGGTGAAAAAAATGAAATGAAAAATACCTTCAGCACTGCCAGATTTTCAAAATGCCTCCCCACCTTCCTGCCACTGAAGCTCTTAATTTTGATCTTCACGTTCTGTGTCCTCCCTTGGGTAATTATTGCCCCAGGAAGGTGGAGGTATATAGCCAGGAGGGAACATTTGGAAGGCCGGGCCCACATCGCCTAGCAACTGGGCAACAGGAACTGGCCTGACAACCTTCTGACCAGCTGGACCTCCACATTCTCATCCACTGAATGGGTGACAACCATTCCCACCCCCTAGAACAGGGTTATTTTAAGGCCTAAATGTAAACCACAGTTGTGGAATCTGATTCTAAAAAGTGAACCTTAAAAACCAAGTTGGGCTAAGCTTCATTTATCCAATGAGACAGCTGGGAATAGTTTAACAGGTATGGGGGCGCTGTCCGCCTGGTATAACCAATATTTATGATGTTATAGGCCAGGCCTTAACCACTGCAGGCCCAGCATGCACAGACGGACAGCACAGTCCCTGCCTTCATCATTCTGACTTGACCATTATTTTTGTTTCTCCTGAAACAAGATTTTAGCAAAGAAAAACTTGCTGTCTCAACAGAACTGTTGATCCTCTATGTGTCATTCATCTATTAGTTAAAATTCCCAGGGCTAAAAAGACAAGAAGAGTCTGGGGTCCCGACACTTTTAAAAGGTGTCCCTGCTACATAATAAATCAATACTCCAATTCAATCACTGGCATTCAACCATTTAAACTGAGTTTGCTGCTATGTAATTATTGCAGCCTGTTGAGTTAGGGCTCATTTCATTAAAGAGCATAATTGCTCAAATGTGACTTGATTTAAGATTTATTTAAAACTCTTCCATCACCAAAAAATACTCATATACCATGAACCACTGTAACTTCTTAATCTCTCTGTAAATGTTCAGAGGCAGATTCCTAAGTATGAAAGGTGAGAGTTGTTATAGTGCCTAGAGCTCTAAACCCTCTCCTAAACCCCAAGATCCCTTTCTGGTTTCCCCTCCCCCAACCTTAGCCTCCTCCAGGCCTCCACTGGCCCAAGATCCCTGCAAGCCGGCTTTGCGGTGCTCCATGTAAAAGGAAAACTTCACCTACTAGGAGGTCTGCCCCGGCCTTTGCTTCAACAGAGAGGGAAATGGCACCTCCAGGACCTCAGAACCGGAAGCTTCTTTCTGGAAGGGAAAGAGGTTGGCATATGATAGTGGGAGTGACCTTTGGCAAGTTCGTAAACGAGTCAAGACATCACACAGTAAGTGACATGCTGCAGGGTCACAGATTTCTCTAGGTGTCGGATTAACAGGAAGTTAAATCAAACAAGGAGTGTGAGGAGGGAGGCGGGGCAGTGGGAGAATGCCCCCCAGCTGCACAGGGCGGGGTAACATTCGCAGTTGTTCTTCCTGGGAGTGCCAGACAGACGTCCTGGGTCTCTGGGGACACCCAGTTCTGAAGAGGTATCTAATGTGAGATATGAGGCCCTACCAGGCCCATTTCTCCAAATTCCTGAAAATGCCATCCAGATGGCCCCTACCCTGAAGGTTCCAGCACGCAGAGTGAATAGCTGAGCAGTGACGTGGGAGGCTCCTCAGGTCCCTCAGAGTTTCATTTCCTTGGTGCTTCCCAGTCTCTCCTAACCTCTGACCTCTCAGAGTAATTGCCAAATTGCCTTCTGTTTGTACAAGGTCCCAGCACTTCCCGGCGTGGTTCCCGACCCTGTGAGTGGGTGGTGCTGTCTTCAGGCCACAGATAAGAAACTAGGATTCAGAGGGGCTATGGGACCTGCGAGTAGGCGGCCAGTACGTGGTCCGGGGTGTAGAACCCCGGCTGTGCAACTTCTGCAGCCCCGCGCCCGCCGCAGTGCCGGAGCCAGGCCCCACCTTCCTCCCGTGTCCAGCACCCCCCAACAAAAGCATCCCAACTGAACAGCCAACACTTGTGGCTCCTTCCTACAAGTGCTGGGTCTCCACAGCTTTCCTCGCAAATCGAAGCTAACAGGAGCCCCGATTTGCAGACCAGGAAATGGAGACCCCGAACGAAACAACTTGGTCGGGGTCACCCTCGCCAGCCGGGGCACTCTAGAGCTAAAACTCGCGACTTATCATTCGGAGAGGGGTCCCTGAAGCACTGCGGGCGCCCCACTGGAAGCGCAGACCCCGGCCTGCCTCCCCTAATCAGGGCGCAGCGGGAGAGCCGGCCGGGCCGGGGCGGGCACCAGGCCGGGTGCCAGCGCGCTTGGCCGGCCCGGAGGTGTCCGCTTCCGCCCGGGGCTGGCACCGCCGGCCCATTCATCGTGGCCGCGGGCGGGGCGGGCCGGGCCCCGGGCGCCCTCGTCCCCCCGCCGGGAGCCCTCGAGCCAGGCTCCGCGCAGCCCAGCCGGGGAAACGGTGGCCCCGGCCCCGCCGCCAGGGGGAGCAGGGAGCCGCCTCCCGCACTCCGGGAAGTTGCCACCGCGGCCGCCCGGCGTCCGTGCCATGGACAGACCCGGTCCCTGCGCCGCGAGCCCTGCGGCCCCGGCCCGCCCCGTCGGGGGCCGTCCCAGCCCCGCGAAGCGCCAGCGGGCCGCGGCCCGGGACCGGCGCGCTCGGCCCGTGGGCCCCCATTCAATCCCGCCCTCCTCCCCTCGGCCGGCCTCCGCCGCCTTCCGCCCGCACCCCACCCCTCCGGCCCGGACTCCAGCCCGGCAACGTCATCCGGCGGCTTCCCGAAACTTAACCCCTTCCTCCGCCAGCTGTGCGCCGCCCCGCCCCGCCCCGCCGCCAACTTTCTTCGCCCAACTTCGGAGCGCGCTGGCCGGCCCGACGGCCCTGCCGGGAGGGAGGGAGGCAGGGAGCGGTCGCCACGTCGCGCCCGTCTGCCGCCGCAGCTCCCCGGACGGCGAGGGCCGCGGGGTCCACACCACGGGGCGCGCCCTGCCTACGCCCCGGTACGGCGCTTGCCCGGCACCCCCGCCCCGAGTCCGACCCCGACCCCGATGGTGCACGGCCGCGGCGGCAGGCGGCGGGCGGCGGGCGGGCCGGGGGAGGGGCCGCCGAGGAGACGTGTCACTCGCGGCGCAGCGCGGCCGGCCCCGGCCCCCCGACGGCCCGGCCCGCGCGCGGCCGCTGCAGGGCCCGGCCAAGTTTCTTACCTGCAGCCAGAGACGCGAGAGGGAAAGCGAGAGGGCAGGAGCCGCCGCCTTCGCAGCCGCCGCGGAGCCGGGAGAGAGGAGCCGGCCAAGCCTCCGCCAAGAAACCGCCCCCGAGCAGCTGTAGACGCTGCGACCCTGACGCCGCCCGCCCCGTCTGCCGTCCGCTCCGGCCGCTCGCTGGCTGCGTGCGCGCGTGTGGAGTCGTGGCACTTTCTGCCTCAGAGCTGGCGAACGGCCCCCTCCGCCGGGATCGCCGCCTCCTGCCTTCCCCACCCGGGCCAGCCATTCATCGAGCCGCCTCTTCCCATTGGTCCGCACCCCGCCACTCTGCCGGTCGCTGGCCAGTCAGGACGCGGGTGGCCGAGCCGCGGCGGCGGCCATTGGGCAGAGAGGAGGGTCTCCACCTCGGCCAATGGGAGAGGGGAGGAGCTGCGGGGAGGTGAAGGGGGCAGGGCTGGGGAGAGGCGGGGCCGAGCGGCGCGGCGCTCGGCCGTGCGCGGGGCGGGGCGGAGCAGGAACGCCCCGCCCACCGAGGGGGGGGTCTCCGGCCAGCTCCGCCCACTCTGGGCCCGCGGCGCTCCCAGCAGTCTCTGACTAGGATCCGGCTCTGCCTAGGCGGGAAGCAGAAGGTTCGGGTCCCGGCGACCCCGGGCCTGCGCCTCTGGATACCGCTGGGCTGACATGGCGGTGGCTGAACAGGGTTGCGCAACCGCGAACAGCCAAGGAAGCTGCTTTATTTAAACCCAACTAACTTCCCCCGAAGCAGCGCCCCCTCGGGCCGCCGGGTATGAGGACAAGCTCTGCTGGGGGTCAGCCCAGGGAGAGCAAGTTCTTATCATCAAAGAGATTGCAATCAGCACCAGAAGGAATTTCCTTCAGTAAATGGAGGAATTGGGGTGGAAGAGCCAGAAGGTGCACGAGGAATTGAAGCGGATGTCATCGCCCTCGTTGTTAGGGAGGGTACAACTGAGGCACGGTCTATTTAAGATACTCAACCAAATCACAGCCGGCAGAGCAATAATTACAATCCACTCTGTGGCGTTTTATTCCATGCGTTGGGGAAGGTGAGAGGTTCTAACCTAAGAAAACTCATCCGTGTCCCACAAAACGGAGCAACTGGTACTTCCTCATTCCCTGACTTTCTCCCCAATATCAGCCAACACTCAGTCTTCATAATTAGTCAAGTCTTTAAATTAAAATAATTTTAGGCTTGATTTTTAACCATTATGTCAGCGTCTCTTAAAGCCAACCCTTTGAACTTGAGCCAAAGCCAGCTTCTTTGGAATTTTGGATTCTGAGCGACCAAAGGCTGCCTAGACTGCCCCCCATCACTTCCCTAGCTCCTGTTGCTGCAGAATCCCGTGCCTAACATCTATTTCTTGGACAATTTTCAATCTTCCCTGTCCCCATTTGTCACTAGTACTGTACTAGCTGTTGTTAGAAAGATGTGAAAAATACAAGCCTTCATGGGGAATAAAGAGCGATTGGGTTGAAATTAAACTGTTCATTCCTATTTTTAATCTTGGCGGTTCCTTAGCCCATTAATGATTAATCAGCAGGAATTAACCTGGATTAACTCTGGAACACTCAGTCATTTTCCAGCAGTGAGACCCGGCTTCAAATGAAAGTCAAGAATCCCAGCTTCTGGCTGGCAATTGCTACCAATGAGTCCTACTTGACCAGGGCTGGGCCATCTAACCTTTCTGAACATGGGTATACTCCTTTAGGACAATCACTCCTTCCTCTGGGTTTCAGGGAGGAAATTCATTCGTTCATTCATTCATTCATTCATTCACCGGTGTTTGTGGAGTGCCCGGTATACAGTGCTAAGCTGGGCAAGCAGCCTAGAATGACACATAGGTCCAGTGAAGACCCAGCTGCCCTCAAGGGCCTGTCCAGGGACAGGGACCTCCTTTATCCTGTTCACTGTTTATCTTTTTCCGGAAGCAGATCCTGGCAGTAGGGTTTGTTCAATCATTCATTTGGGGGATAATCATAAGAAACATTGGTGGAGAAGTGGGATGAGCAGGAGCCAATAAGGGGACCAACATCAAGCCTGTGACTGGTGTGGGCACACAGGGCTCGGCGTCTCTGGGGATGCTGTGAAACTGTAGAACACACCCCAGAGACGTCCCAGCTGAGGGGTGAGGACCTGGTTATTTATCCAGCCACTCCCAGTCCTCATTGGTTAACAGCTTCTTCTGGGGGGACTTTAACCCCCGCCCCCATCAAGCTGGAGAAAGCCTTGCAGCAAGAAGCCCTTGGCAGAATGGTGAGTGCCTGGAGGCATGTCGGGGGCCACAGCAGTGTCTCCCACACTGTGAACCATAGTCCGACACAGCACCTGCACAGAATAGAGGCTTGTGAATATACGTGTTCTGTAAATATTGTCCCATGAGCGATAACATTACAAAGTCCTTAGGAGTGAGGAGTGTTTACAGAAAAGGGGCTCCCTGTTTGTTCCCTTACATAACTTAACATTTGATTTGGCCTCAACACAACATTTGTTTCGGGATGGAAGAGCAGCCCTGTCTGAGCCTTTGCATTTCCTCTGTCCTTGCCCCTCATCTGCCAACAGCCAGCCCCAATGTGCTGTGAAGACTTCCAGCCTCATCATCCTCATGCCCTTTGGGCAAAGAAATCAGTCCCGCTGCACCAGGCTCTGTCAGGGCAGATCTGCACACCCTCAGGGTGGCCCGACTTTGACAGCCACTGCTGTGCCTGTGGACACCCATCTTTAACCCCCTGCAGCCTCGTCAGCTCTCCCAAGGCGTATCTGGGAAAAACCAGATCCATCCCTAGGACTAGATGGACAAGGGTTGCCTGTGGTGGGAGTGAGAGGCATCCCCCCAGGCTCAAGTCTTCTGCTAAATCATGCAGCCCTCCAGCAGCACGAGAAAGCCCATCCCACAGTCCAGCCTCCAGGCTGGGGCTCTCAGATGGGAACAGGTCATTTCAACACAAAGTCAGCAGTCTGGGAGCCCCCAGCCGGGGGAGTTACCCCACCCTGAGGGGAGCAGAGGCTGACAGCAGAGGTGTGAAGAAGTGGGAGGTAGCCAGGCCAAAAAGGGCACACTGGCGAGGAATAGCATGGGCAAAGTAAGGCATGATGTTAGCCAGGTGTGGTGGTGTGCCCATGCAGCTCCAGCTAGCCCCAGGACTGCTTGAGCCCAAGAGTTCCAGGTTGGAAGAAAGAAGAAGAAGAAGAAGAAGGAGAAGGAGAAGGAGAAGGGGAAGGGGAAGGGGAAGGGGAAGAAGAAGAAGACAGAGAAAGAGAAGGAGGAGAGGGGGAGGTGGAGGGAGAGGATGATCTGAGATCACATCATCTCAGTTTATCTGTTGAACAACTCAGTTGTTGGCAAAGCCTGAAGGGCGAGGGAGAGGCTGGGAAGAGCTGGTTCTACACAGGTGATCATAAGGGAAACAGGGAACTTCCCTGGGGTGGTGCAGATGTTTCATATCTTGATTATAGTGATGGCTGTGGTAAAACTCATAGGATTGTACACTCTTAAAAAGAGTACATTTGGCTTGGAAGCAAATTATGCTTCAATCAACCTGACTCAAAAAAAGGATGTATTTGGTTTTAGTTGTGTATTAAAAACAAAGCATTATTATTAGAAAAAAATTAAACATACAAGAATAATTACCTAATATGGTCCATTAACTCATGACAATAAATTGCAAATATTATCCGAAAGACTAGACAGGAAGATGGGAATATATTATATCTCACAGTTTAAAAAGAGATTTTGCTTTGTCAAACAACTATGAAAGGATGATAAATGACAAGTACAATAAAATATCATGTGAAAATAAAAGCCACTGTGATAATAGAGAACATGTTTAGGTTTCTTGTGCCAGGTACCATTTGAGACACGCTACAAATACGTAAAGTTATTTAACCCTCAGTACAACCCTATAAGGGAGGTAGAGTTATTATTTCCATTTTAGAGATGAGGAAACCGAGGCACAGAGAGAGCAAGGAACCTGCCCATGTCACAGGGCTCGTCGGAGGAGTTACATTGGTCCCCAAGGCTCATGGCAATAACTCTTGCATTCAGCGCCAGGTCGTGGAAGGTGTGCTGTGCCTATAGAAGGGGCAAGATTTGAGCCTAATCCTTTGAGAGTAGCAACTCAAGGAAGGGTTTGTGATTGATGACAGCTGTGATGACTCCTTTGACGTTCTATATTTTGGGTGGATGCTAGGTTTGGGGCCCACAGGGTTATAAGACCCACAATAGCTCAGGTGAGAGGTGACAAGGGCTGGAATGGGGCAGTGGCAGGGGTAGGAGGTGCAAGGTCCTTCAGGAGGGGTATTAGGACATGAAGTAGTAGCAAGTGAGGCTTAGAGACCAGCAGGAGTGAAGGAGAGAGGGGTTACCCATGAGCCCTGTTTCTGGCCTGAGTGATAGGGAGCATGGTGGTGTCACTGCTGGGGCAAGGCACACAAAAGAATGAACAGATTGGGGACAGAAGCTGGGGGAAATGTTGTATTGTATTTTGACATGTTGGATTTCAGGAGCCTAAGGCAAGTCCAGGTGGAGACAATGTTTCCGTAGGTCTGAGGCTCAGGGGTTGTTGTCAGGGTCAGTGATGCAATTAGGAAACCTAAGCATACCCTTGGAGGTTCAGACCCAAGGACAGCAATGACTATAACCAGTGGATAGGGTGGGAGTTGCATGTGGATGGGAACAGGAGAAAATGCTTGAGTCCTGAACAGAGAAAGGAAAAAACCCACAAAAGAGTATGTATCAATCAGCTTTTGCTATGTAACAAACCACTCCCAAACTCAGTGGCTTAAAACAAGTATGGTTTCTTATCAGAGCTCACACATCTGTGGGTCAGCTGAGGCTTGGCTGATCTTGGTTGGCTCACTCATAGGTCTCTGGGTGGCCTGAGAGCTCACCTCCAGCCTGGGCTTGGCTGGGGCACCTTACAAGCTCTGCTGCACCTGGCTCACCCCCTCTTCCTGTGATCAGCAAGCTATAAGGGGCATTCCCTTCTCACGGTGATGGTTGAAGGAAAAGAAAATAAGCAGAAATACATATACAAGGTGTATTGGATAGGTGAGCCCAGATTCAAGGGGCGGGGAAATACAGGGAAGGGTAAAGCAATGGCACCAGTGATGCAATCAACTACTGAGTCCAAGAAGGAGAGATGGAAAAGGTAAATCAGGTGAGGATGGCCTCAGCAAGGGAAGAGAGTTTCAAGAATTGGGGATGGTAAGCACTGTTAAATGTAGCCTAAAAATCCAGCAAGATGAAGACCGGGGCACATGGCAACTCAGGAGTCACCAGGGACCTTGGGGAAACAGCTTTAGAGGAGGGGTATTTGGTAAGGACACCACCAGATCGTGGAGGGCTAAGAAATGAATGGGAGTGGAGAAGGTAGAAGGAATGTACATCCATTCATCCGACAGATGAATCCAGCTGAGGACCCACTAAGTGTCAGTCACTGTTCTAGGTGCTGGGGAGAGAGCCACGAACAAAGGAAGGGTCTTCTCTCACGGAGCTCACATTCTAGTGGGAAGAGAGATAGTAGACAAAGCAACCAATAAATAAGTAAGAAGAATTGAAGTGGTGCAATGGGCTACAAGGAAATGAGAATGGGCTCAGGTGATGGAGAGGGATGGGGATTTGGAGAGGGGGAGCGCAGTGGATGTGAAGAAGATGGACAGAGAAAGCCTCTCTGAGGAGGTGATGGTTGACCTGAGACTTAAATGACGAAAAGAAGCTGATCTTGTCTTGGGAAAAGGAAGGGTAAGTGCAAAAATCCTGGGTCAGGGAGGATCTTCGCAGCTGGTTCAGGGAACAGAAAGAAGGTTGTGTGGCTGGAGCTCATGGGCAAATGGAAGGGAGAGAAAGGAAGGGGGTCTGCAGGCAGGAAGGTCCCAGACCACGGAGGCCTGAGGATACCATGGGAAGCTGAGGTTGGGTGGGAGATTTAAGCAGAAGAATGATGCAATCTGATGTGCATTTTCAAAGATCACTTTAGCAGCAATGTGCAGGATAGATTGGACAGTGTAATGGAGGATTCAGGACTCAAATTAGGAGACTGTTCCGAGATTCCAGGCAAGACATGGTGGATGATGTGCTGGTAAATATTTAACAACTGGCTCTCAGGTGCAGATGGGGATGGGGGCACTCCCTGATTTACAGCATCTGCCAATTTCTGTGGTGTAAATATTCCCATCAGAGCCAATTGATTTCAAGCTATGGAGTCATTGAAGGCAAAGATGGGAAGAAATTTGCAGTAGCACACCACTGTCTACTATTTCTACCATAAAAATATGAGAGACACAAATCATTCCAAGAGTATAGATAGTAGTACAATGTACTAATTAGGAAGTGATGGTTTTGAGTATTTATTACCTTTGTTTTTAATATGATCTATTTCATTTTAAGTTTATATAATTTAATTTTTAATAATGACCATGTTTAACCAACTGCTGGAAAAATTCCTAAAAATGTAACAATCAGCTGTCATAAGCAGGCTGGCTCTACCATACCACTAGATACAATAGTCATGTGGATCAGAGTGGAGTGTGTGTGTGTGTGTATCTGTGTGTGTGTGTGTGCATGTGCACATGCATGCCTGAGTGCATGGGAAAGAGAGAGAGAGAGACCCAGCAGGATTTTTAAATGTTAGAAAAATGAGATGTGCATGTTCATGTTGGCATTTCTGCACCCATATCATCTCCCTGTCTGAACTGTGGATTCATTAGGGTCAGTGGCTCTACCCAATGTTTAATTATGAACACCTAGTCCAATGCCTTTGTCCTGGTAAGAATTCTCCCTACCTGGGTTAGATCTCCCCAGAAGCAGACCCTGAGAAAAAGTGTTGGAGTGAAAGCAGTTGGAAGGTGATCCCAGGAATTACCAGTAGAGAAGTGGGGAAGTAAGACAGGGAATGTAAGGAAGTCAGTGAACAGTGCATCAACAGCAAGTTACCACTGTGAACAGCTGACGTGTAATACCATTGAGGAACTCTCTTGCTTCCAAACTGAGAAGCAAGGAAGCAGAGTACTTATTCACCAATTCCTATTCATCACTGGTTGAAGGCTGCTCCTGGAGGCATTAGCTCTCTGGTATTTCCAGCCCACACCTCAGAGAAAGCACTTAGGAAGAAGGTTGCTGGTGTTTGCAATCACAGGCTGTTGATATGCACAGGAATGGCAGAGGGGATGTGGGCAAGGTGCCAACAGTGTCTGCTCCAAAACTCATAAATATTTATTTAATGAATGAACAAATGAATAAATGAGTGTAGGACCGTTTGAGCTTCTTTAAACACTGACTTAGAGTTTTAAAACAGAATAGAGGCTGGGCACAGTGACTCACGCCTGTAATCCCAGCACTTTGGGAGGCCAAGGTGGGGGGATCACCTGAGGTTAGGAGCTCGAGACCGGCCTGGCCAACATGGTGAAACCCCCTCTCTACTAAAAATAAAGAAAATTAGCTAGGCATTGTGGTGGGCGCCTGTAATCTCAGCTACTCAGGAGGCTGAGGCAGGAGAATAACTTGAACTTGGGAGGTAGAGGTTGCAGTGATCTGAGATTGCACCATTGTACTCCAGCCTGAGTAACAGAGTGAGACTCTGTCTAAAAAAAACCAAAAAGCAAAAAACAGAATGGAGAGCCTTCCATTGCATAGTCAGCACATGTATCACGCACTTTTGCAAAATTTAAATCAGAGGACCTATGTGATATCCCAGACAATTAAAATTCTGCAATAGTTTTACTCAAAACCAGAGCAATGTTGTTACACAACAAAAATCTCTATAGACTATAGTAATTGTCAAAACAAAAATAAAATATACACAAAGGAAATAGATGTAAGTGTGAACCCAAGTTGCCAATTTTTGTGGCTGCAAGTGGTAGTAAAAGAGAACTTGGGAGAAGAATATTTGGTTTGTTCTGTGCGTAATGTTAGAAGTGAGCTTACAGATAGGAGTTTTTGCAAAAAATGACAATGATTGACTTAGTGGCTGGTGGTGAGTCCCCAGAGAAAACAAGAAAAACCAAAATAATAGGTGAATGATATTTATCTGACACTTTTCTGTTTGTAAAGTGCTTTGTAATAATTGTTACTATAACCATTATTATTATTATCCTCAGTTCACAGGTGAGGAGCTGACGTTTAGAGAAGTACAGTTGCTTGCTGAAGCCTTCACATTTACAGATAACAAAGTTAAATAAGCCCTGAACACTCCAGAAATGGCACCTTTGTAGGATACATCTCTCTGCCTCTCCCACAGAAATGCCAATGGAGAAATGAGCAGGTATAACAGACCCTACGTGAGTTAATGAAACCTTTCTCCTTTCTATTGTCCTTGCAGGACTCCATGCATCTTCCCTTCAGTGCAGTCATTGGATAGTAGCAAGCACTTAGTAAGCTGTCA
Source organism: Homo sapiens (assembly GCF_000001405.40). NCBI lineage: Eukaryota > Metazoa > Chordata > Mammalia > Primates > Hominidae > Homo > Homo sapiens. The sequence goes on from NC_000020.11 coordinate 17,690,425, forward strand.
AAAATGTTTTAATTGAACCAATGACACTGTCTAGCTGTGCTGTCCAGCTATGGTGTCTTAAGAATCCTGGATTCACAACTCCCTATCTCAGATGGGAAGTACCAGTCAGAAGAAACATTTCATGGCCCTGAGGTGTGCCTGGCATGACTAGGTGCCTCACATTGGACATCTTGGGATAAAATCCAAGGTTCACTGAGTTGGAAGGCACAATAGGGCTTCGTCTATCCATCCCTGAGCAGAAGGCATTCTTAACTAGTCCAGCTAGTTAGACAACTTGGCTCTTCTCTAAGATTACCAGAGATGAAGAGCTCAGGACTTTGACGTGTAGTCTAGAACTTCATCTCCCATTCCTGGTTTAGTAAACTCATTCATTCAATAAATATTTATAGAGCACTGCTGCACACTACAGTCTATATGAGCTGCTAAGAATTCAGCAGAGAACAAGACAAATAGGACCCCTACCCTCAGTGGGTTGATAGTCTAGTGGTGATGGGGGATGGGGGGAGGCAATCAGTATTTCAATAGATGGTTGCTTAATTTGTGGTAAGTGCTCCAAAGTAAATTCACAGGGTGAAGTGGTATATGGAAACTGTGAAGGACCGAGTTGTCTTTTTCCCCCCTGCTTTCTCTTTCCAATCCATCCTGCTCACATTTAGGAAACTTAACATTCCAAAACCACTACTTCTATCTTTTCTTGTCTCCCCTTCAGGAGCCTAAAATTGTACCCACCATGTCAAGTCTCTGTTTCTCTGCCTGACTTTTGTGGACCTCCATATACCAGTGCCCCCTGACATTCACCAAGCTCCTCCTCTTCCCATTTGTACCCCATGTGCCTCTGCCCAAAGCACACTCCCTATAGCCTTGCATGCCATTCTTGCCCTCTCATCTTTCAAGAGCTGTCTTTGGTCATTCATCCTGTAGTTGGTGCTAAGTTTGCCAGGCACCCTCTTGTTGATAGGGGTGCAAAGTTGGATTGAACTTGGTTATTCTCTGCCCTCGAAGAGCCTATGGAGCTGATTCCTCCACAGGACTCCAGAATACATAGCTACCACTCTTTTCCTCTGCCCCACCAACTCCCTTTGGAGACCACCACAACACAACTGGGCACCCGAGTTCACTGCTAGATTCTGTACATAGCAATCCTGACTCTTCAACAAAAAAGCTTATAAAAGGCCTGAGTCATACTTGTTTTTTCCTTCTGAACTCCCTGTGATTTCAATTCTGCAATGAGTTGGTTTTAGCTTCAGGAAGTCCTTTCTTATGTCTACCTTAAATCACTTCTACATCACTGTGCGCTTATTTCTTAGAGTCTTATTCTTCATGGCTTTAGGGCAGAGCTTCGGCACTCTGCTCAATGCTGGGTCTCTGCTGAGTGTTCACAAAGTGCCTGTCACTTGATTAGTAAGTGCCTGGTACTTAAAAATCATTATTTGATTCCCTCCTCCAGGTTCTTCCCTCCAGACTTAAAAACTGCAGCTTCTTAAATCTTTCTTCCCCAGCCACTTAATCATCTTGTGACACTTCTCAAATTCGGTTAATCAGCATTTTTTCTTTATTTTTAAATGATTAGTGAGAGTTTTAAAGAAGGTCCTTAAACCAGAGGCAAAATATATATATATATAATAGTATTCAGAAAGGGTCCACCAGGGCAATTGAGTTCATCTCCCTGTCTTTGGCCCTGCAGTCCCTTCTGCCAGCTAATAGATCAGGCCAACTATCCCAGCTCAGCACAATCGTCCCAGCCTCTGATCTGAATGTGCACTGCAGAAAAACTAGATTTGGAGGGATGAGAGCATAGCCTGCAGCCCCACTTGTACTCTTCTTCAGAAAGCTACTTGTCACTGTGGTCAGAAAACTCCAGGCCAGGGCAAAATTTACTTAGGTGGTTGAATTTAGGCAACTTTTCATTCTTCCTTCCAGTGCCATTTCCTGGTGAATCTGCAGATTCTCATGAGATTTTAGGTGTTGTGTGTGTGTTTGTGTGTGTGTGTGTGTGAGAGAGACAGAGAGAGAGATTACCTCAGATAGACTAATTTGCACTAAAGTTTTACTGACTTACCATGAAATGCCTTTCAAGCATTTTTGCCATAATACCTCTAGTGTCAGACGAGAGTGAATGTGGACACCAAGGAGGGGCATGGCCTTTAAGCCATCTGTCCAAGAAGACATTGACGTTACCATTAAACACCCATATGATTTTTTTCCCTTTTTCTGAGACACAGTTTCACTGTCACCCAGCGTGGAGTGCAGCAGTGCGATCTCAGCTAACTGCAACCTCTGCTTCCTGGGTTCAAGCAATTCTTGTGCCTCAGCCTCCCGAGTAGCTGGGATTACAGGGATGCACCACCAAGCCCAGCTAACTTTTGTATTATTAGCAGAGGCGGGGTTTCACCATGTTGGCTGGGCTGGCCTCAAACTCCTAACTTCAAGTGATCACCTGCCTCAGCCTCCCAAAGTGCGGGGATTACAGGTGTGAGCCACCATGCCCGGTCCCATGTGATTTTTTATTCTTCTTCAAGCTATTTCCACATAAGCTGGTTTTCTAAAAATGGAAATAGTATCATTGTTATTTTTATGATATAAGAGTAATACATTTGAATGCATAATACAGATAATACAGGACAAGATATCAAGAATAATGTAAAAATCACCAGAAGTCCCAACCCCCGATGTCATAGTTTAATTTTTTTCCCTTCTACACTATTTTCTAAGACACATTCCTTGTTTTAATATAAAAAAAGTTTTAAATTACTTACCACTGCATAAAGAGATTCTGGCTTATCTTTGTGGTAGCATCAGGTCCAGGCCCTGGGGAATTGGCCCAGCCTGATTTCCACTTTGAAAAGCTGGCACTCAGATGTGATATCTCCAGGAACCATGGACATTTCAGAAAAGGAGGGAAGAGACAGGGCAGAAGAACTTTCTGGAAATGTACTGGATGGGCACTTTTGAGAGGAGTGGGTGCTTTCCTGCCTTTGCACAAGTCACCCACAGGCAGCGGGTGGCCATTGGCGTGGACAATGTCTTTTGCAGTGTGCTGGTGTTTCCCTGAATGACCTACCTACAAACCTAGATTAATCTTCCTTGCAGGGAGGCTTCACCCTCCCTCAGCAGAGTGCTAAACACGCCAATTTCTAAAGAAGTGTTTTCTTTCTTTCAGGCACGAAAATTAATGAGCTCCGTCTTTGGCATGGGCTAGAAAATTCCACTGTGGCATTGGCAGGGTTTATGCAGAATCAGAACTTTAAAGCAACCCTGCGCTGAATGCTGCGAGGAACAAAGGTAAGGCAGATTGGTCTGACTTCCTTGCTCACGGTGGGGAAGAGACGGCGGGGAAAGGAGGCAAGGACAAATCACCTGGCTAGGAGAGGTGTGTCCAGTGGGAGGAGGTGCTTTCCCGAATTCTGAATTCTTTTCGGAACGTGTCTCTGCAGGCAGCACAATGCCCTCCTTATTCCCGCATCTTCACACCACGGTGGCTGACTTGGAGCCTGATGGGCAGTGGCAAGCGTTCAGATCTATGGCCGACGGGCACGTCTTGGACGGATTCCTTCAGCCACTGGGGTGGGAACAAGCAGCATTTGCCTCACAGTCTCTCCTTGTTGCGATGAATTGGCAGATTGAACTGAATACATACAACGTGTGGCCTAATTGTCAATAAGTACTTGTTCGTTCATTCAGTAAATGATTTTTGAGCACCTACTGTGCTCCAGGGGCTGGACATACAGCAGTGAACAAAACCGATGCAAAGCCTCTCCACAAGGTGGTATGGGATGGGAGGTGGACAGTCAGCACAAAACCAAGACAATTTCAAGTACTCATAAAACACAGTGATGGGACAGAGTGGGAGGAGGCTATTTTGGGATGATTAGGTAAAGCCCCAAGAGACACTGGAGCTGAACTCTGAATCACCCGAGGGAACCAGCTGTTGAAGATGTGGGAGCAGAGGTCTTCTAGGTGCAGGGATCAGCATGTGCAAAGGCCCTGAGGCAGGAGGGTGTTCGACAATCTTAGGAACTGAGTGGAAGCTGGTGAGGAAGTAGTGCTCATGAGCAAGGAGTTAAGAGGTCAGAAACAAAGGTAAGCCCTGGATTTATTAATATATTGTGTGAAACATTGCATCTAACATTGTAGTGTTTTATAGTTTGCAGGGGGCTATTTTTGTTTTTTCTCTCTCTTTTTTTTTTTTTTTTTTTTTTTTTTTTTTTTATTGAGACAGGGTCTTGCTTTGTTGCCCAGGCTGGAGTGCAGTCATGCCATCACAGCTCACTGTAGCCTTGACCTCCCAGGCTCAAGTGATTCTCCTCCCTTAGACTCCCAAGTAGCTAGAAATAGAGGTTCGTGCCACCAGGCCTGGATAATTTTTTTAAAATTTTCTGTAGAGACAGGGTCTCACTTGGTTGCCCAGGTTGGTCTTGAACTCCCGGACTCAAGCAATCTTCCTGCCTCAGCCTCCCAAAGTGCTGGGCTTATAGGTGTGAGCCACCGCACCCTGCCTGCAGAGGGCTTTGAACATACACTATCCTAATTCAATCATCCCAACAAACTGATTATATAGATAAGAAAACTGAGGCTCAGGAAGTAACTTCCTTTAGGTCATAAAACGAGGAAGTAGTGGGACAGGGACTTTGACCAAGGACTCTGTTTGCAAAACTCCAGAGTTTTTATAGACCACCATAAGCACTTGCCTTTAGCAGCTTGAAATTTTTAAAAAATGAACATTTTTCATTCTGTTATTTAAAAAGTAAGGCTGGGTGTGATGGTGTAATCCCAGCACTTTGGGAGGCTGAGCCCAGAGGATTGCTTGAGCCCAGGGGTTTGAGACCAGCCTGGTCAACAAAGGGAAGACCCCATCTCTACAAACAATAATTAAAAAAAAATTAGCTGGGCATGGTGGCATGCCTGTAATTACTCGGGAGGCTGAGGCAGGAGGATTGCTTGAGCCTGGGAGGTCAAGGCTGTAGTAAGCCATGTTCACAAACCTGCACTCCAGCCTGGGGTACAGAGCAAGACCTTGTCTCAAAAAAAAAAAAAAAAAAAAAAAAGTAGAGTCGCATAGGTAAAATTTTGGTAAATTTAAGAAGATACAAAAATTACCTATAATCTCATCTGTGAAACATAACAACTAGCACATTTTAGTGTATTCTTTCCAGTTTCTTCCCCTAGAAAAACCTAGGGTGTGTGTGTGTGTGTGTGTATTACACATTACATATGCACACACCACACATACATATATGTGTATATAGTCACCTTTATTGAGGTGTAATTTACATGCTCTAAAATTCACACATTAAGTGTACAAGTTGATGAATTTTGACAAATGTATACACCCGAGTAATCATCGCCATGATAGAGATCTGGAATATTCCCTTCATCCCATGGAGTTACCTGTGCCATTTAACCTGTTCCCCCATCCCCCACTCCAGGCAATCATTGACCTTATCTCTGTAGCCTCAGATCAGTTTTGTCTATTCCAGGACTTCATATAACAGGAACCATGTGTGTACTCTTCTATGTCTGGCCTCTGTTGCTCAGCATAATGTTTTCAAGGTTTATCATGTCATCATATATGCATCAAGAGTTTGTTCCTTTTGTTGCTGATTAATATTTCATTATAAGAATATACATTCACCTATTAATGGACATTCACCTGTTAATGGACATTTGGGTGTTTTTGGTTTGGGGCTATGATGAGTAAAGAAGTTATGACCATTCCTGCACAAATCTTTTTATGGACATGTTTTCTTTTTTCTTATTTATTGTAGAGATAGGGTCTTTCTATATTGCCCAGGCTGGTCTTGAGCTCCTGGCCTCAAATGATCCTCCTACCTTGGCCTCCCAAATTACAGAGATTACAGGCATGAACCACCACACCCAGCTTGTAGATGTGTTTTCATTTGTCTTGGGTAAATACCCAGGAGTAGAATCCTAGCTTATAGGGTAGGTCTTTATGTTTAATTTTACAGGAAACTACCAGACAATTTTCCAAAGTGGTTATATTATATTACATTATGTGAGAGTTCCAGTTGCCCCACATCTTTGTCAACACTTAGTATTGTTGCTCTTTTTAATATTAGCCATTCTGGTGGGCATGTAGAGGTTTTAATTTGCATTTACCTTATCACTAATAATGTCGAACATTTTTTCCCAGGTAAGTGTTTTTATAGTTGTAATTCTTTGTCTGGAGGCAGAACTAAAGACTGTTTGAGGCCATTTTTTGAGTCCTGGGTAATGCTGAAAATATTGATATTGTTATTGATGCAATGCTCTGGTACAGTAGGCTTCATTCTTCCTCTAGCCAAGTTGAAATGTGGAGGAAAATAACTCTGGGTGCCATGTTGCTAAAGAAATGATTTGTGTGAATGATCAGCCAAGCCGCGATTGGATCTTTTCAGTGGCAGTTCCAGAATTTCAGTACATGCCGTGTCTGATTGGAAGAATGGGAACTGGACTTGAAGAGTACTTTCTCGACATGGTGTTTTCATTTGGATTGTAGTGTGTTAGCAGGATCTCTAAGAGATCTGATGGTGATGATGATGATGGTGATGATGATGATAATGGGGAGGAGAATGTGGAAGGAGTTAGGGTGGAAACTAAGGCTCCCTGCAAAAGCTATGGCAGAGTTGGATTAATCCTACCACAGTGCAGGTGTGAGGCTGGGTGTAGCATGGTATTGAGCAGAACACCTAGGAAAGCATATTAATCCTAACAGGCCAGCAGATATCCCTAGCGAGCCTTCTCTAAACACCTGAAACTCCCCCAAAAGCATGAACAAGAGCCATATTTTATATGGTGCTAGCTCCACCTCCATATTCTTATTCCAGGAGGAATTGTCCAGGGAGATGGAAAGCAGGTGGAATTTGTGTAGCAAATCAGTCCCCTGGGGGTAGCACATTCAGGCCTCCCTGTGCAGAGGAAAAGGCCTTTGGGCCAGGTTGCCAGGCCTCCCCCTGAGCATATCAGCTCATGTGTTTCCTCAAGACATTCCTAATGATACTCCAAAGGCCAACCAGCAGAACACCTCCATCTGCCCTGAGACCTGACACTCACCGGTTCCCAGACATTCTGAATTATACCAAGCCAATTTATATAGTTTCTCCATCTAAATGTGAACTTACAAAGAACAGACATCATTTCTTATTTACAAAGTCTTAGTTTGGGTTCCCCCTGAAGCAGACCCTGAAACAAGGATTTGAGTGGAAGCAGTTTATTTGCAGTTTGATCCCAGGAAACATAGGTAGGGGAGCGGGGAAGTGAGGCAGGGGATGGGGGCAACAATGTGGGGTATGTTAGCAAGCCAGTTGCCACTGTGGGCACTGATATGGTTTGAATATTCGTCCCCTCCAAATCTCACGTTGAAAAGTGATTGCAATGTTGGAAGTGGGGCCTGGTGGGCGGTGTTTGTGTCCTGGGGGCAGATCCCTCATGAATGTCTTGGTGCTGTACTCATGATAGTGAGTTCTTGTGAGAGCTGGCTGTTTAAAAGTGTGTGGTACCCGGCCGGGTACGGTGGGTCATGCCTATAATCCCAGCACTTTGGGAGGCCAGGATGGGCGGATCATCTGAGGTCAGGAGTTTGAGACCAGCCTGGCCAAAAAAGTGAAACCCCATCTCTACTAAAAATACAAAAAAATTAGCTGGGAGTGGTGGTGGGTGCCTGTAAATCCCAGTTACTTTGGAGGTTGAGGCAGGAGAATTGCTTGAACCCGGGAGGCGGAGGTTGCAGTGAGCCGAGATCACGCCATCGCATTCCAACCTGGGCAACAAGAGTGAGACTCCATCTCAAAAATAAAAAATAATAATAAAAAAAAAAGGTGTGTGGTACCTCCCTTGCCTTGTTCCCACTCTTGCCATGTGATACACTGGCTCCCTGTTTACCTTCAGACATAATTGTCAGCTCCTTAAGGCCTCACTGGAAGCAAAGCAGGTGCTGGCACCGTGCTTCCTGAACAGCCTGCAGAACTGTGAGCCAATTAAACCTCTTTTCTGTGGAAATTACCCAGCCTCAGATATTTCTTTATAGGAAGAGAATGGCCTAGCATAGGCACCTACGGGTGGGTCCTGTGGGTCCTCTGGGACATGGAACAGGACATGACTCCAGGTTATTCCACCTGAGCAGGGAGGGAGCTGGGTTATTTATCTACCAACTGATAATAGTCATTGAATGAGGACATTCTGCAACTTGCAGCTGCCCGCTTGTAGGCAGGGTGGACTCCAGCAGCTGGCAAAAGCCCCCAAGCAAAGATACGCAGGTACTGGCAGCTGGGAGTCAGATTACCTTTGTACAATGAAGTTGTAAGGCCAAGAGGCTATGGGCAGGGCACTGACAACGTCAGTTGTGCTTCCCCAAAACGTGGCTCAGTTCTGGCAATGAATAGATCCTCAGTAAAGCGTGCTGGTTGAACCCAGAGAGCTCAGCCAGCTTTGGCCCCAAAGCTACAGCTCCTGTTTATTCTCCAGCAACCCCTGAATACTGCCATCAGCTGGCAATACTATTTCAGGATCAAACCTAAGATACCAGCACCCTTACATGTTCTTAAAGTGTGTAGTCTCAGAGCAAGCAGCCTCAACGTCATGTGGGAACGTGTAAGAAATGTGAATTATTGGGTTCTCCCCCAGACCTAATGAGTCAGAAACTTTGAGAGTGGGGCCCAGGAATCTGTATTTTAACGAGTCTTCCAGGTCATTCTAATGCAACCTACAGTTTAAGACCCACTGTTTTGGACTCTAAAATTTAGGGCCACCCAACAGTTTCCAAAGCGAAGCCGTTTGCTCTTGGTTAGAACTCCTCCATCCCCAATCCCAAGCACCAGCAGCAAAAGGGAATGGAATCTCTGGAAACATTTTATACTTTGCCCCCTTTTTTGAGTTTTTCTTTTCTTTTTAGGCTTAGTAAATATACATTGTACCAAGTTATCAATTACCAACAATGGAAAGTAGCCCAGGCATATATGCTATAGAGGATAACCTAAAAGACACCTGTGTTGAATTTAACTTGAAGGTGGGAGGATTTATATTTCTGCTTGTTTTCCTGAGCTAATATTTAAGTTACTTCTCTTTCCTTGAGTCCCTACCAGGTGGGCAGTAGGGGGAAAGTCACGGGTATACTGGTAGAAGAAAAAGCTGCCCTGGAATTTCAAGTCCATCACAGAAGATGTGCAAGGAGCTGGGGGTACCCACGGAAGTCACTTTGTGCAGGAAAACTGCATGAAGGATGGACTTGGTTTAACTGAATTGACGCAGGCCAGGTGAGAATAGGAACCGTGGCAGCAAGTGGCAGCAGGTGGATTCATAAGCAGTCTTCCAGGCTGATGTTTTCTGTACAGCAGACATCCCTCACTCTTTCCCAGCAACCCCAGCTGAGAACAGCACCCAGACAGGCTGATTTCTTCTGGAGAGGCCTGAGGCTCTTGCTCCTGCCCTGCCCTGTGCCCTGATGCCAGCAGCCACTGCAGCCCTTTTTGTGCTCACCCCCGACCTGTGGTGTGACATCACAATGTAGTCCATTCAGGATCTTGAGACTGATTTGCCCCATGGGCCTAAGACATAAGCTGAACCTCTGGCCTGCAGTTCCAGATCCAAGGTGACTGAGACAAACTGCCAGCTGCCACTGGCTTATCAGGAGCACCTGGTGAGTATTCAGAACTTTCCCAAGCAGCATGGAAGGAGATACAGCCAACAGCTGGCTGTCTTAGCACTTTAAGGTCTCATTCTCACACAGGTTTAGATGAGCCAAACCGGTGGACAGGAGTTCACCAGGTAAGCCCCAAACTCTTCCTAGGAAAGCTGACTCACCTGATGCACACACCCCTTCCCAGCCTCTTCCTGCTGTGTCACCATCTGCGGGAGGTGGTACTCTAGTCTCCCCTAAGACTCGGCTTGCCACCTGCACCAGCTCCCTGGGCAAAGGTCACCTGTGTTCTTAATAGAGCAGAGAGGCCAGGCTTTCAGATGGCAAATTCACTAGAGCATCACTTCTAGCCCTAATTGAGGTCAGGGACAGCCATTGGCCAAATGACACACCACATAGCAGGATGAGCAGAGGTAGCTGACACAGCCACCTCCCGTCCAAAATGTGAACGACGGTCCTTCCTTTCTGTAAGAGGCCTTCCTGCTTTGGCTGTTTTTAAATCCACCTCCTGGTGACCTGCTGGTATATCAAATCACTTCCTTTCCTTTTGGGACAGTAAGAGAGCTTTAGGATCGTGACGGGAAATAAGGAGATGGATTAGAACACCAGGAAAGTGGGCAAAATCTAAGGTAGCGGGGACAGGGACAGAGGCCAAAGCCATCTCTCAAAGAGGATGCTGGCTCTTTCCATATGGGCCACCTGCACTCGGCTGAGGGTGGTTTGAGACTCAAGGCCTTCTATAACAAACAGTAGGGACCCGTTCTGGGCCCCAGGAGGCACAGCTGCCTTCCCTACCATGGCCCATTCGTGTTTTCCCACAGTCTGTCTACGGTCCATTCACCATCTGTGAGTGCCAACACGTCCACACAGCTGCAGCTGCGTCCCTTCTCCCACAAAGGAGTGGCTTCTATAGGGACCCCATGATTTTAAGAAGGCTCCTGGCTCTCCTTGACTGTGTAAGGTAGAAAGGGAGGTGGTGGGGGGTGGATCAGAGAAATATTTTACCCTTAGGCTTTGCCATCCCTCCTTAGTTTTATATGTGATGGGCTGAAGCCAACCTCTGCTTCACACACAAATCCAAGACGCCAATGGTTCACCAAGCATGCTAAGAACATTTTAGCCTATGTTAGGCCCCACTGGAAAAGGAAAAAAGACAGTAGAGGGGCCGGCGCTAGAGCAACCTGTGGTCCCCGTCCTGCAGCAGGTTTAATTTGGAGAGGAGAAAGGGAGCAAACGCTGAACCTCCCGTGCCAGACCCACCAGCTATGTTATTGCTCTTAATTCCGACCTCTGTGAAGCAGGTGTTCTCAGGTTCATTCTACAGACATAGAAACTGAAGACTGTTCTGTGCTGGTGCCACGTCTAAAGAGGGTCATTAACCTGGAGCATGCCTTCACTCTCTATCGACTATCCCCAACATTAGAGCTCTCTGAAAAGAGAATGGGCTGCTTTGCAAGGCAGCAAGAGTGTGCAGGCCACGGCTCTTCCATCAGCATGGAAGGGAACGGGATTCTTGTGATCAGCTGGGAGCTGGACCAAAAGACCTTTAAAGGCTGTTTCCAAATCCAAGATTGTAGGTTTCTGGGTGTTAGTACTTTGCCCACCCTCTGCGATTGAACTCAGGTGGGTCACGCCTTAAGGACGGCTGCAAACTTTCTGTTAGGCAAGGAGAACTGGGAAGAACCATAGAGATCAGCTACGGGCCCCAGGTAGGAAAGAGGAACCCAGGCTGGTTGAGGGAGTTTTCCAAGGCTCCAGAGCCAATTTGCAGAGTTAACCTGTGTTGACTGAACAAATGGAGGAGCCAGTTCTGAGTGCTGATCAAACGTTCCCATGCCCATCTCTCTCATTCACCTGGTTCTTTCCTATCAAGATTATGATTCAGCCACCATTTACAAAATGCCTGCTGCATGCCAAGTGTGTTTCCAGAGATTATTCCACCTACTCCTCCCCAGCTCCATGAGGTGGGTGTCATCAGCCCCGTTTCTCAGATGAGCATGGTTAGGTAACCACCCCAGAGGATCAGGTACTTGTGGAGATGTCATAAATACTAAATGACGAAGCAGGTCTTTCTAACCCCAAGGAAAACTTATGTCTCCATCTGCCGCCTCCCAGCTTGTGTGAGGAAGCAGGGTCTCCTTTCTTAGCCTTTCCCTAAGGCAAACTGCCATCGATGTGCCAAGTTCCACAGTGCCTATTTCCAGCTCCTCTTGGACGTTGCCCTGATGGATGCTGAACTCCCTGTGGGCCCGCCTGTTTCACTGGCCCGGCCCCTCACTCTGATGGGGCAAGATGGAGCGATGTCTATACACGGACAGATGTTATGCACCAAGGAAGAAAATCTGCTAATCGAAAGCAGCTTCAGCTAATTGTGGCACTCTCCCTTCTGCGTGGTGCCCTGAAATAGTAGCCATGCTCTGTTCTTTTTTCACATCAGGGAGCCCCAACTGGCAACTTAAATGAGGTTGCAAAGAAGTCAGTTACACAGACCTCTGCTGCCAGTTTCCATGGATGAGGCCTTGCTGATGCTCCTTGGATAGGACCCGTGTGCAACTGTTTGTGGACTTGGCTTCTTGCTGTGGATAATTTGGACCCACTGTTGGGCTGGAAAAGCCTCATTTAACCCTGGGGAAAACTGGAACCTTCAGAAATTTAATGGAATACTAAGCCCAAGAACACATGGTCTGACCTTGAACCCTGGTTCTGATCTGCTTCTGAGTTATTCTATAGCCATCTCAGCCAACAGAACCGTCACGGGAATATTCTGTCTCTGTGTTGTCTCATATGATAGCCACTAGGCACACAGGGCCACTGGGCACTTGGGATGTGGCCAGTGGGACTGAGGAGCTGCGCTTGTTGTTTAAATGGAAGCTTAGATTACATAGCCATCGGTGGCTGGTGGCGGTGTGCTAGACGCTGCTGCTCTGGGCCCTGCTGACTTTTGTGACTTCATCTCTGATCTCATTCCCCTCTCCTGGCTTTCCCTTTCCCTCTGCCTTCACTCCCAGACCTCCTGTGCTTTTTGATTTTTGCATTTGCTGTTCTCTCTGCCGGCATCACTTTTTCCTCTGATCATTTTATGGTTTGCCCCTGTTCAACAGGAGGGCCTCAGATCAAGTGTGTGTCTTCAGAAAGATCTTCCCTATTCTACCTAATTGTGTCCCCAGCCCCATTCCAATTGCTCCTTATCTCTCTGAAGTTACGTTTGTGTGTTTTCTTGTCTACTGCCCTATCCCTGGATAAAAATCCCAGTTTCACCAGAGCAGGGATGCAGTCTGCCCTCTCCCACTCCATCTCTGTGCCTGGAACAGCGCCTGAGAGGCAGAAAGTGCTCAGTATGGTGCTTACAGTGTGTGAACATTCTGCAGGACAGCCCCCTCCTTCAGTGAGGAGGAAAGGCGGTCATGGCCCCAGTAACTTCTGCTGTGTGACAAAATAACATGAGCACAGCGGCCTAGAACAGCAAAGATTCGTATTTCTTCCAATTCTCTGGGTCTGGAATGTGAGCAGGACTCAGTTCCACATTGTGTCACTGAGGGTCACTCAGCTGGGGGCTAGGCTGGACAGGGTGGCCCAAGAAGGCCTCACTCACACAGCTGGGACTTTTGGGCTCTCCAAGAAACATCTCTATGCGGTTTGTCTGGGTTTTCTTACAGCATGGAGGTCTCAGGGCAAGTAGGCTGACTTTTTTTTTTTTTTTTTTTTTGACAGTGTCTTGCTCTGTTGCCCAGGCTGGAGTGCAGTGGTGTGATCTTGGCTCACTGCAACCTCCGCCTCCCAATCCTGGGTTCAAGCGATTCTCCTGCCTCAGCCTCCTGAGTAGCTGGGATTGCAGGTGCCTGCCACAATGCCCAGCTAATTTTTGTGTTTTTAGTAGAGATGGGATTTCACCATGTTGGCCAGGCTGATCTCAAACTCCTGACCTCAGGCCTCTGCCTCGGCCTCACAAAGTGCTGGGATTACAGGTGTGAACCACTGTCCCCAGCTGGCTTCTGAGAGAGGAAGCAGAGGCTGCCAGGCCCAGAACTGGCAGCACCATTTTTATCACCTTCTACCGGGCTAACTAAGCCATAGGGCGAGAGCCCAGATAAAAGGGGAGGGGAAACTGTCCACTTCCTGGTGGGTGGGCAGGATGTTCATACCAGCAGGAAGGGGTCTATGGACACGCTACACAGTCACTTCAACAGTGCTGTGGTAGTGCTTCTCAACTTTGATCATGCACATGGGCCATCTGGGGTCTAGTTAAGATGCAGATTTAGTAGGTCTGGAGTGGAGCCTGAGATTCTGCATTCCTAACAAACTCCAAGAGACGTCAAAGCTGCAGGCCCACAGGCTGCACGTGGAGTAGCAAGGCTGTATTAGAATGCATCCTATCAGGACTGAGCCTATGCTTAGGTTTGACATTGCAGGGCCCTCAATTCCACTTCTAGAGTGGACAGCACTTCTTTGGGTTAAGCATTACCCACTGTTGCTGAGGTCTACATGATCGGTCCCTTCTTCCCAGGCATCTGGGCTTGTGCCCACATAGGGTAACTGTCCCATCCTACCTCCCAAGCACTTCTCATGCATTGCTTTATCAGCCTTTAAGGCCTCTTCCTTCTTTAACATTTAATTATCATTGTGTCCCTTGTAAAATTGGTGGAATGGGTCTCTTTCAGTTAGGATTAGAAACTAAACTCAAACTAGTTAAAAGGCAAAGGATTGATTGGAGCACATATGGCTTCAGGACTGGCTGTATCTAGGCCCTCAAATGATGTTGTCAAGAAACTACTTGTCACCATCTCCAGTTCTGCATTGCCAGGATCGCTCTGACAGGATCCCCCACAAGTGGAAGGAGAGACGAACACTCACTTAGCAACCCCAGCAAGAAGGGGGCACCACTTCTTGCCTAATCTTTCTGGCAAAAGTGCCAGGATTCTGTCTGGCTGGCCCAGCTGAGGTCGCGTGTCCACAATGATGCAGTCACTGTGGCCAGGAGGATGTGTTACCTCATTGGCCAGGCCTGGTCATGTGTGTTGTTACCTCACTGGCCAGGCCTGGTCATGTGTGTTGTTACCTCACTGGCCAGGCCTGGTCATGTGTGTTGTTACCTCATTGGCGAGGCCTGGTCATGTGTGTCCCTGGAGCCAAGTGGGAGACTGGCCCCACCCAAGCCACATTGGATGAAAGCAGGAAGAGGTGATTCTCCATGTAAAATTGGAGAGAAGGGAGAGCAGTTAGAAAGCTAAAAAATTGTCCCAATTGATCATGAGAACAGGTGTTGAAGTCCTTGTGTGATGGCTGAGAAAACAGAGGGCGGGAGCCTCATAAATTCCAGAGGGCCCACAGCTAACCAGGCCTCCCAATCCCTAGCACAGACTCAGGGGCTGTCGAATTAAAGATCTTTAGCACCAGAAGAATCTTGAAAATTAGCCAACGCATGTTCCACAGAACACTGGTTCAAGGGAAGCTAACTGATGTTACTTAAAAGGCTGTCTGGTCTAGGAAAGGTAAAAGATAATGGGCTAGGCCAGGTCAGTAGTTCCCTAGCTTTACAGGACTTTTCAAAGCCGTAAATAGGCTGGTGTACATTGTGAATCCCTGAGAATGGGGGGAGGCCTAGGGACTATTGTTTGGAAAATTAGTAACCTAACTCTATTCCTCCCCATTTTATAGATGAAGCAACTAAGGCCAAGAAGGGAAAGTGATTTGGGCAAGGTTATGCAACTAGTTCATGCTGGGATTACCCCAGATGCTATGTTGAGGCATACTTCATGCTGTGCAGAAGCATCTCTTTGTACCTCAGGGCAGCCCTGTCCTCCTGGTTGTGTTCCTGCTGTCTGGAGTCTGTGTGTTTTCCTTTCTCCCACATATCCCTGCATAAGGGTTTGTGGGCTTCTATGGCACTGCTCCTGTGAGGGCCCATGGGCACCCAAAGTGCCCAACCCCTGCCTGGGACATGCCCCTCACTGCTGCATGCCTGAGGGAACTATTGAGAGGTGCAGAAAACCACATGGGTCTGTACTTAGGAAAACGCAGCCACCCAACTGGCAAGGTGACGGCATAGATGAGGTTGAAGGGGCTTGAAGGTTGGCCAAATCCGGAGAGTCAGCACAGACAGACACCAAGTGTGCCAGGCTGAAGGGTGAAGGTTCCTAGAGCCAAGTACACACTTTAAATCCAGGGAGAGATTGTGGGTCAGGGCTGGGGTGTGCTGACGTGAGGGTGATTGTTATAGCAACATTACCTTTGAGACCCTCATTCACCTGGGCACTTCATATGAGCTCATTCTAAGCCACTCAGTGACCCGGCTTGGGGATTATCATGACCCATATAGATCAAGAAGAAAAAAGTAGCTGTTGGTTAGTTGGCTGAACTCACAGGTATGAGCTTAACACGAAGGATTCAAGCTCTGGCTCTTCTCTTCGCCAAGTATATGATCTTGGGCATGTTACTAAACTGTCTAAGCCCCCATTTCCTCATCTGGCAAATGGGGCTCAGATATGTTCCTACATCATAGCTTTGTCGTGAGGATTAAATAAGATGTCTGTGAATTAGCAAGACACCTAGCCCATCCGTAGTAGGGGATCCTTAAGTGATGGCAGGAATGGAGAGGTAGGAACAGATCCACCAAGTAAAGGGTAAAGCCAAGATCAAACACAAATCCAGCCAGGTGTGGCTCCTTCTGCCTTTTCACTGCCACTAAGAGAGGGGTAGCATTCAATGAGCAGATGGCAGTGGCTCAGAGTGCAGATCAGTGCAAAGGTCTTTCTCGTCTTCTCTGCAAAGAAGGAGGGATGGCATATGTGTATCTTTGGTCATTTCCAGGTGACTCTATCCAAAGTCCATGCAGGCAAGTAGACGCTGTGAGCAGGATGGAATATACAGATCCAAACCTCTAGAGCAGAGCTAGGGCCAGGCATGACTTGATCAACATCTAAATGCCACCAACACCCAAGGGCCACACAGAGGGAAGAGACCGGGGACCACATCTTGGCACTTTCAGATGGGTTTGCAAGCACTGGAAATCAAAGCTTCACCAGGGATGCTTTAAAGATGAAAATCCCAGCCGGGCGCAGTGGCTCACGCCTGTAATCCCAGCACTTTGGGAGGCCAAGGCAGGCAGATCACGAGGTCAGGAGATTGAGACCATCCTGGCTAACACAGTGAAACCCCATCTCTACTAAAAAAAAAAAATACAAAAAATTAACCGGGCATGGTGGCAGGCGCAGTCCCAGCTACTGAGGCTGAGGCAGGAGAATGGCGTGAACCCAGGAGGTGGAGCTTGCAGTGAACCGAGATCGCACCACTGCACTCTGGCCTGGGGGACAGAGCGAGACTCTGTGTCAAAAAAAAGAAAATCCCAGTAAGGATTTAAGGGAAGATGCTGGGAGTAGCATGTGGTCCCCGAGTAGGAAGATGGAAGTACAGCAGAGGCAAGAATGGCAGTCACTGTTTGTAGATATTTTTCACAGGGAAGGTCAGAACATGTCCCAGGGAAACCATGTCCAAGGTTCAAGATGAGAATGACCTGATCCTATATATATATATACTTTTTTTTTGAGATGGAGTTTTGCTCTTATTGCCCAGGCTGGAGTGCAATGGCACGATCTCGGCTCATTGCCACATCCACCTCCTGGGTTTAAGTGATTCTCCTGCCTCAGCTTCCCGAGTAGCTGGGATTACAGGCATGTGCCACCACACCCGGCTAATTTTTTTGTATTTAGTAGAGACGAAGTTTCACCATGTTACTCAGGCTGGTCTCGAACTTCTGACCTCAGATGATCCACCCACCTTGGCCACCCAAAGTGCTGGGATTACAGGCGTGTGCCACTGCACCCAGCCCCAGCCAAGATTGTTTTTTAAGAATCAAAACTTGACTACGGGCTGGACACGGTGTCTCATGCCTGTAATCCTAGCATTTTGGGAGGCCAAGGCAGATGGATCACTTGAGGTCAGGAGTTTGAGACCAGCCTGGCCAACATGGTGAAACCCTGTCTCTACTAAAAATCAAAAAAAAAAAAAAAAAAAAACCAAAAAGAATTAGCCAGGTGTTGCGGTGCATGCCTGTAATCCCAGCTACTCGAGAGGCTGAGACAGAAGAATCACTTGAAACCAGGATGCAGAGGTTGTGGTGAGCTGAGATCATGCCACTGCACTCTAGCCTGGGTGACAAAGTGATATGTCTCGAACAAAAACAAAAACAAACAGAAAAAAACCTGAGATCCCTGATCCACAAAAGCCTGAAATATGATGTCAAATTGTATTTATATGTGCAAGGGGGCATTTTTCTTGAAGGAAGGTCCATAGCAGGAGAGACAAACCGTGGCATGGCTTTGTTTTGTTGGGTCCATACAGCATTATGAATATTTGAATGATTTCCCAACATTTAAAAATTGGATACTAGTACATAAAAATCTAAACGTTGGGCTTCTCTTGAAAAGACTCAGAAGAGCCAGTCACATGGGACCCACATTCCAGAAAGGGGTGGCCTCCTTTAGATGGGGTCTGGGACCTCAGTCAGCTACACAGTCCATAGCACTTTTGTGACCTCCTCAGTGGATGTCCAATGTTGGTCCTCTTTTATCAGCGCCCTTGCACTGTTTTCTTCACTGCTTTATTTTTTTAATTTGCCTTGTCCCTCTGGCTTTTTCATTTGCAACCCGTGATTTGAACTTTTAATAGATGCTCAAAGGGTGGCTGATTTTAAGAAGATCATTGAAACCGAGATCTTTTTTCCAGCTTAAACTCTTTCCCAACAATCCAGTGTTGAAACTGACCCTTAGTAGAGGCGGAACACCACCCTTCCCAGGCCCAGAAACAGATTCTTTTCCTCCTAAGGAATGCGTGTATGTTGTTTGTCCAAGCGCATGTTTACAAATGGCAAGCTTATCTTCTGATGTTATAAAACACCAAAAGCTATTTAGAAATTACTGAAACTCCTATCTATAGTTTCTGCAAGATACTGCTCAGGTGATAATGCAATCAATGAAAGCAATGACAATCTGGGAAATCCTTTCTTTATAACCTTGAGAATGTGGCTTTGAATGGAGACAAATCAAACAGATAGAACTCTTGCTCAGGCCCCTTTTCTGAAGCCAGAGCCAACAAGCCTAGTGATTTTCTTTTGAAAGGGTCTTAAGTAGGTCTTTGCATTTGGGAAGATCAGGCAAGTCACTTAGAGCCGATTTCTGAACTGAGACTCACAGAAGCACATACTCACACCCTCCTATCTGGAGACATGTGGACCTGGAGGGCTGGAGGAACTCAGATGCCTTGGTCCTTAGGAGGATCCAGAACCACCGCACTGAGGCCTAGCAGGCAAGGGCAGGACACACAAAATGTGAGAGCAGAGGAATGAAGGAAAATTAAATCTTGGGCGAGGCATTCTGTCCAGCAAAGAACAGGAGGTGAATACATGGCACGTGGGCCTTCGATATCCTATGAGTGGAATGAAGGCAATGCTTAAAACACTGCACCACTGCACAGCTCCACCTGTACACAAGATGCCCCTTTGTTTTGGGGCAGCCAACTGCTGCATCTCCTGTTTATATGTGCACCCAAGCAGAGGAAGTCAGTCCAAAGCTAGAAGGAGGGAAAATGATTGCCCAGAAGCTCAATGGAAGCCTTGCTTAATATCTCAGTGGTTGAGAACACAGATATTAGGCTGAGGCCCACTCGGTTTGAGGCCTGGCAATGCCATAGGTCAGTTAATTTATCTTATCTGTGAAATGGGATAATCATAGAAGCTATCTCATCCCAAGGGCAGGTGGGTGGATGAAATGAGATGATCTTGGTGCGGAGCTTAGCACGGTGCCTTGGTAAGCCTGGATAAGCATGAGCCGCTCTCTTAGGTGGGTTTCCCAGTTGCTGACCTGATCATCTAATTGCAGTGCAAGTAGTTGATATGGAAAGGGTTCCTGGTCCCATGAGGAAGGGAGTGAGGATGTGAGACCGGGAAGGGAAGGTGGCCTTGAGCAGTTACTGCCATGAGCACTGGGGGCTCCCTCCCACTGGGGATGTCTGGATATCACCTAATGTGGGACAGGCCCCAGAGCTGTGCCACCTGAGGGGTGTGGGGCTGGGTACTTACCCACCTACTCACATCCTGGCCGAGGGCTGCTCCCAAGGTGTCTCGTCCCCAGCCCTGTCCACTTGCAGGGCGAAGAGCCACCATGGAAACCATGAGCCCTGGGGGGGACATGGGCAGGGCAGGGACAGCGTCTGCTAAAACTGTCCTTGTTGTTCTGACTCCTGTCCTGGAGAGGGAAGAGCTGGTCTTTGGAACCACCCAGACCTCAGCCTGCAGCTCATCACTGCCTTTTACTAGATAGGTGGCCCCCTTTGCCTCTTCGGGCCTCCATTTTCACATCTCTTAAAATAGGAACAATTCTCTAATGTTGCAGAATTCGTTTTGAGGACTATGCATGACAATGGCCATACAGAGGCAGGCACGTAGTAGGCGCTCAGCCACCATGAGCCCCCTTACTCGCCAGCTCAATTCGGTTCCATTTCTCCCGCTTGCCTGTGATCCTTATTCTGTTTCTAGTCCCGGGGTGAGCCCAGGCTGGCACCAGACCTTCTTTCCATGTGAGCAGGGACAAGCTGACATCCAGACTAGTGCTTGCCTCCGAGGTGACTTCTGAGTGACAAGCTGCTGCAGTGATCTCCCAAGCTGTGTATTATCATCTTGTTTCCCCTTTAGCTTCGAGCCTCGTCAGTCTGTGGCTTTCATCAGATCCAGAGAGGGTAGAATAACTGGCCGGCCTAACGGCGGCTGAGCCAGGAGTGGAATCCCAGCAGGAAGAACTTTGGACCCTTGCAGTTCCCGCAGCAACCCAGGGCTGGGTGTGTGGGCAGATCTGGGGGCTTCTGCTGAGTCAGACTGTGTGGGAGTGTTGGGGCGGGGGCGGGGGCGCCGCCAGATGAAATCAGGATGCCCAGTGAAATTTACATTTCAGATAAACAAGAAAAAGCCCCTTCTGTATAAGTACAGTCTGTGAAATACTTGGGCCATACTTATACTAAAAAGTTATGTTGTGTTTATCTGAAATTCAAATTTCACTGGGCATCTGACATTTTTATTACCTAAATCTGGCAACCCTACTCTGGTGGGAACGGAGAACAAACCTCCTGGGAGGTCTGGGTTAGAGATGAGCACAGCAATCCTCCTGCAGGCAAAGGCCAGTGTGGAGCCACTTGCCTGCCCCCAGATGGCCTCCCCCGGGGCCCCCCTCCAGGGCCTGTAAAGCCCTCATGAGAGTCACTTTTGCCTGAAGACATTGTTTAACTGCACAGTGGAGTCAGTTACAGATTCACTCTCACCACACTTACCCGTATAAAGAAAATACGATTCTTTATTCTTAGACACCTCCACACAATGTGGTAAGAACAGAGTAGCTGCAAATTATGTATGTGTTGGGTGGGGTTCCCTGGAAGCAGAGCCTGAGAGCCGGGTTCCGGTGCCCCTGACCTGGTGAAGGAAGCAGGAGAGGGCAGGGGAGGAGCTGAGAGGTGTGCACCAGGGGCACTCAGCTTCTACCTGACCCCCTGGGGGGCTCTGGAGCCGGAATGGTACCAGGGAGTTGGCTCCACCTTGAGACAAGGGGGTTAGGGTTTTGTGCTTCCACATCCGCAAGCCATTAGTTGCTCTTAGGCAGAGGCCTGGGCCTTGCACCTCCCAGGTGTCTCCAGGTGTAGCAGCTTCCACGGCAGAGGTGACAGTCCAGAGAAAGCCACAACCACGCATTGAGGTTCCCTGCAACACTTGTAGCAGCTGGGTGCACCAGCTGGTCAAGGAGACCTGCGCATGGCACCAATGGCACCTACTACTCTCTGTCTCCTTGCAATGGAATAGTCAGATTCTCTCCAGGCCGTGTTAGAGAGTCCCTGTTGGGAGGTGCGGTCTCCTTAGGGACTGCTCTGCCCCTCCTCCGTCCTTCCTAAAGAGTGATGGCTGCCAGGTGGGTGTGGAGACAGGTGCTGACTGTGTCTTCAAGGCAGTGGGGAGAGGGGACTTTGAATACCCACGGAATCTGCAGGATGATGGCCTGAGCCTGTGGCAGTGCGGCTGCTGGAATCTGCTCCTTGCCATGGAGGGGTGACCAGTCCCTTTTTGTCTTTTAGGGCTATCTTAGTTTCCACTGCTGCAGCCTGTGGCCTGGACATTTGCCCATGGTTGTGAGGTCCCCATGCATGGGACTTCTTCCTCCTGACTCCAGGCTTCAGTTCACCCATCAGGCCTTAAAGCATCTTCGGCCCTATCTTGCCCTGAACTTTTTGCTGCAAAAACCAAGGGCACTGCCTCAAGCTTATCTTCCCAGCCACTGTTTACTGCTGCTACATTGTTGCCCAAGACACTTCAGAAGTGACTGTTGTTGTCATCTCCTGCCAAGTCCTGGAAGGCAAGCCACCAAGTCCCATGCACCATTCCCACAGCCCGACAACCTTCCTGACTCTACCCACTGGAATCTAAAGAGTCTGCCCACTTCTGGATGTTTGTTCAGGTAGGGAAGTTCAAGCCCCGTGCCCATGAACGTTCATCTTTCTTTTCTCTTCCACCTTCCCTGGGAGGGTAGTGCGGATAATGAGGTGAGCCTTCTTCCTCTTTCTAGAATCCATGGGGCAGAGAAGGTAGATTCTCCCTTCCTGTCTTCTGGGGAAACTCCTTCTCCCTCCCGAGACAACATTGCTTTCCCCTTCTCTGTGGGGTAATAATGGCAGAGAGAGGCGGGATCAGAATGCTGTACTCATAAGGGGGTGTATATTGAGAGGTTTAGAAATATGTTACAGTGCCCCTACGTTTATAGCAGCATTAGTAACAATGGCCAGATGGTGGAAGCAACCCAGCTTCCCATGATGGATGAATGGAGGAGCAAAATGTGGTGTATACAATGGAATGTTGTTTAGTCTTAGAAAGAGGAAAAATCCTGGCCGGGCATGGTGGCTCATGCCTGTAATCCTAATATTTTGGGAGATCAAGGAGGGAGGATTGCTTGAGGCCAGGAGTTCAAGACCAGCCTGGGCAACTTAGGGAGACCCCCCGATCTCTACGAAAAAATTAAAAAATTAGCTGAGCATGGTGGTGCATATCTGTAGTCCCAGCTACTAGGGAGGCTGAGGCAGGAGGATGGAGGATCACTTGACCCCGGAGTTCAAGGCTGCAGTGAGCTATGATTGCACTCCGGCCTGGTGATGAGCAAGACTCCATTTTAAAAAGAAAGAATGAGAGAGAGAGAGAGAGAGAGATCCTGTTGCATGGATGCACCTTGAGGACATCAAGCTGAGTAAAATAGGCCAGTCACCAAAAGACAACCCCTGTGTGATTCCACTTCCATGAGGCATCTAAAGTAGTCAGCTTCATAAAGACAGAAAGTGGAATGGTGTTTGTCAGGGGCTATGAGGAGGGGGAAATGGGGAGTTGTTTATTGGATATGAGAATGTTCTGAAGATTGGCCCAACAACGTGAGTACATTGAACACTACTGCACTGTACACTTGCAGATGACTAAGATAGTCCAGGCGCAGTGGCTTATGGCTGTAATAATCCCAGCACTTTGGAAAGCAGAGGCAGGAGGATTGCTTGAGGCCAGGAGTTTGAGACCAGCCT
Source organism: Homo sapiens (assembly GCF_000001405.40). Classification (NCBI taxonomy): domain Eukaryota; kingdom Metazoa; phylum Chordata; class Mammalia; order Primates; family Hominidae; genus Homo; species Homo sapiens. Next base: position 17,713,643 of record NC_000020.11, read on the forward strand.
GGGCAACATAGCAAGACCTCATCTTTACAAAAATATTAAAAAATTACCCGGGTGTGGTGGCTCGTGCCTGTAGTCCCAGCTACTCACCAGGCTGAAGCAAGAGGATTGCTTGAACCTGGGAGTTCGAGACTGCAGTGAGCTATAATCAGGCCACTGCACTCCAGCCTGGGTGACAGACTGAGACTCCATCTCAAAAATAAAAAATAAATAAATAAATAAATAAATGTTAAGATGGTAAAAATTTAAGTTGTGTATTTTACCACAATTAAGAATAAAAAGTGGTCTGGGCACAGTGGCTCATGCCTGTAATCCCAACACTTTGGGAGGTCGAGGCAGGCAGATCACCTGCGGTCAGGAGTTCAAGACCAGCCTGGCCAACATGATGAAACCCCGTCTCTACTAAAAATACAAAAATTAGCCAGGCATGGTGACAGGTGCCTATAATCCTAGCTACTTGGCAGGCTTAGGTACAAGAACCCGGGAGGCAGAGATTGTAGTGAGCCGAGATTGTACCACTGCACTCCAGCAGCCTGGGCGACAGAGTGAGACTCTGTCAAAAAAAAAAAAAAAAAGAAAGAAAGAAAGAAAAAGAAGAATAAAAGGTGAAAAAAAATACATCTATTACAAATGCAGATATCTCATCCATGAAGGGTGAACTAATATGCTTGTCCATTCTTTATATGACTTATTCTATTTCATCAGCTCCTGATCCTTTGCAGATAACAGGACCCCAAAGGGAAGGGAATATTTTCATGAAGGAAAAATGCAACCAGAAATAGTCCTGGCTAGAACCACTATCAGACAAGTATGTCCAGCCTAGATGGAATTTTATAGACAAGGGACAATTCTATTCACAAAGGTTGGGAGACAGAGTCATGGGACAAGGAAGGTGGAGGCTGCACAAGCTGGGAGACAAGCTGGCTTCTTCATGGATCGTTGCAGTTTGCCTTGGCTGCAGGCATGGTGATCTTAGCACACATCCATGAAACCTTACTTAGAATTGCTGGGGCCAGAAGTTCTAGGGAATTCAAAATTTTTTTTTTTGAAAAAATGGGCAATGTGATGCCTCTTTTGTATATTACAGAACATTCCTAGTGGAGCCTGGCTCAGCACCCTGTAAACCCATTAATATTCCTGTGGTGGAGTGTATAAATATTCACACTAACTGGGATAATAAAGACTATAAATAGCCTCATGTCAGTTCAGGCCAGCATTTGCTGCCAAGTAAGTCTCCCCGCCCTGTGCCCCCAAAAAGAATTTCTGGATTTCAGAGCCATTTGGATATGAAAATGGTAGCTTAGGGATTGTGGACCTGTATGAATTTTATACCATCTAGAGACTGTAAATGAACAGAGACAAAACATAGGAAGGAACCAGAAGGATGAGGTCAGTGAATTTAACGCTGATCTTATAAATAAGAAATGGAGGTGACAGGCCCAATGTCGCTCTGCTGGTCATTGGTGGAGCTAAGGTCAGACAAGGATCTCCTACCCTCAGCCCAGCTCCTCCAGCAGGAGTTAACAGGAACCTCCAGACCCAGAGTCCATGAAGCTGAGCCGCCACCTCCTTCCTAGTTCCCTGAAAAGGTGAGCCCTGCCTTTGGGAATGCCTCCTTATGGCTAGTACACCGTGTGTGGTGTGCCCTGCCGTGGGCTGGTTCTGTTTTCTCTGGGAGAGGTATCTGCAGAAGACATCGTCCTGAGGGTTCATGCACTTAGCTCAAGGCCTTGCACACAGATGGCACTCAGTGAATGTCTGAGGAACTGTTGAATGTATTTGGTTATTCATCACCTGTAGACCCATCAAGATAAGGATGTATAATCAAAGGGCCATGTGTAAGACAGCCAACAAGGAGCGGAGAAAGAAAAAATCTTGTTCCCCATTGCAGAATCGGAGCTAACGGCAAGGAAGGCAAATATTACTTTATTTTTGAACAACGAGCATTAGTGGTCATTAGAAAGTGATTTCTTTCATTCCTGATGCCTAAGCCATGGGCCTGACCCTGCCCCAGCACTCTGGGTGGAATGGGGAGGCCTTTGTGCCCAGCACAGTGCTCGGTACACAAAGCGTGTGCCACAAACACTTGTTGGATGAGTGAGTGAGTGAATGAGTATTAGGGGTCATCAGTTAGAACTCTGTTATAAAAGGCACAATCCTAACTTAAACTGAAGTAAGCAAAAATGACTATTTTGTTTATTTTTGCCTGACATAATTGAAAAGTCCAAGGGTAGTCGCCGTCAGGCATGTCTAAATCCAGGCCTGCAAATGATTACTGGGGACTCTGTCTCTTCCCTTCTCTCAGAGCTGCTTTCCTCCACCCTGGCTTCTTTCTCAGGTGAGCTCTCCACAACTGTGGTGACCATGACCACGGTAGGCTCAGTTCCCACCCGCCGAGCAGCCCTCACAGAAAGTGACTCATGTGGCCCAAGAAGGTGAGGGGTGGTCACTTGCCTGCCCCAGGATACTGTGGTGAGCGTGGTACACCCTGAAAAGTAGTTCCTGAGTGGACTGTACAAAATGGAGCCCTGTGGAAGCTCTTGAGGCCATGAGCTTCCATCCAAAATGGAGGCATTTCTCCCTCCGGTGTATGAGTGCAGCCTGACAGGGTCTCCTCAGACCCTTAACAGCCTAGGTGGGAGAGGGCTCCTCAGAGTCCGACCTTCAGTGTTATAGGAAGGTTACCCCCCTTCTTTTCTTTTCCTTTTTTTTCTTTTTTGAGACAGGGTCTCCCCTAGGCTGGAGTGCAGTGGTACGACCACGGCTCACTGCAGCCTTGACCTCCCCAGGCCCAAGCAATTCTCCCACCTCAGCCGCCCAAGTATCTGGGACCACAGGTGTGTGCCACCATGCCTGGCTAATTTTTGTAAAGACAAGGTTGTGGCATGTTGCCCAGGCTCACCCGTCTTTCCTTTCTATTTTTTTTTTTAAAGAAAGAGACAGGTCAGGTGCAGTGGCTCACACCTGTAATCCTAGCCCTTTGGGAGGCCGAGGAGGGTGGATCACTTGACCTCAGGAGGTCAAGGCCAGCCTGGGCAACATGGTGAAACCCCGAGCCAGGTGGTGCGGCATGCATCTGTGGTCCCAGCTACTCGGGAGGCTGAGACGGGAGAATCTCTTGAGCCCAGGAGGCGGAGGTTGCAGTGAGCCCAAGATTGTGCCACTGCACTTCAGCTTGAGTGACAGAGCAAGACTCCATCTCAAAAAAAAAAAAAAAAAAAAGAAAGAAAGGAAGAAAGAAAAAAGAAAAAGAAAAGAGAGACGGGGTCTCACTTGGTTGCCCAGGCTGGTCTTGAACTCCTGGGCTCAAGTGATAATCCTCCTGCCTTGGCCTCCCAAATTGTTGGGATTACAGGAGTGAGTGATGGCACCAGGCCAGCCACCCTCATTTTCATTCTTTCTCTATGAAACACTGATCATTTGAAGGGAGAAACTGCAACTCTGGAGAGTGTGGGTAGAGGTACAGGGAGCCAGGAAGCAGCATTGACAGTATTCCCTCAGATTCTGAGGGGTGAGCATCTGAGCTCCCTCGGGCTTGACTCCATCAGTGCAGAGGTCCCATCATCCTCTCACTGTAGACCGAAGGCACAGCAGGCATCCAAGGAACAACCCTGGGGTCATTCTCACCCTCATGCTCTCCCCGCTGCTTGTTGCTACAAGACTGGAGTGTTCTCAGGGCATAGGGGTGGGTGCTCTGTTTTCCTATAAATCTGCTTGGTTTGGGAGATACTTATATTCCATATCTGTGAGGAGTTAACTATGTAATAAAGTAGCTTTTAATAAAGGATGTCAGTGCTTTGAATATACGAATCTACATTTTAAAATAAAAGTAGAAACAGAAAATGAAGGCACCGAGCAAAAGAAGCAAATTTAACTACAAAGTGAAAGAGCTATTCATCTAGGCTAGTTTCCCTATATGGTCATTAGGGTTAGCTCAGAGCTTCCTAGTAGGCCAAGTAAAAAAGGAAACAAGATCTTTACAAATTCTTTTTATCATAAAGGTAGAAATATACCAATTTTGAAAGGCATACTTTTTTCTTGGCATTAAGTTCCAAAAGAAATATATCATGTGGGATAATTTATAAAACAAAATGTGAGCAGCAACAGTCTCAACCATGTTCCCACAGATGCAGATTCCCCTGCCCAACCCCTTGTGACTACTGTCTATAATAGATGAGGGAAAAACACTGATTTTAAGTATTAACATCCCACTTCCCTGGGGTAGGCAATATCACATGTGTCTAAATATAAAGCAAACATGGAAAATAAGATAATCTCACAGTTTCTCAGCAAGAAAATTCCAAAAATGCTTTTTGGCCACTTGAATATATAAACTTTTAGGGATATAGATAAAATAGTCTTACAGGTACCATTTGATTTCATAATTTAATTACACACAATTGAAATAACATATTACATAAAATAATATTTAGAAATGTTCATGTAGCAATCTGTTAATGGCAAAATAATACATGAAAATATTGCATTTTTCCCATTGACCTTTTGCAAAAACAATGGTATTCTAATGGGAGTCACTTTTTGTGTTGTAGAGGTGTTCGTTTGTTTGTTTTTGTTTTTGTTTTGAGATGGAGTCTCACTCTGTTGCCCAGGCTGAAGTGCGATGGCGAGATCTCAGCTCACTGCAACCTCTGCCTCCCAGGTTCAAGCAGTTCTCCTGCCTCAGCCTCCCGAGTAGCTGGGATTACAGGCGCCCACCACCATGCCTGGCTAATTTTTGTATTTTTAGTAGAGACAGGGCTGCTGACCTCAGGTGATCCACCTGCCTCAGCCTCCCGAAGCGCTGGGATTACAGGCATGAGCTACCGCGCCCAGCCTGCATTGTAGAATTTTTAGAGAATAACAAGTTCACTTCCAGCCAATGGTGGAAGAGATGTCCCTTTTTGAATCCATGTATAGTGTCCCCACTGGAAATTGTATCCCAAGCCCCAAATAGCCATTTGTATGGCATTGGAGCAGTTCCCCATCCTCACCCCATTTATCTGATAGTGGGGACATATTTGTGATCACCTCCTTATGAAGACCTGTCATACAGCTTTTAAAAATAACCTTAAAGGATGTCAAACATTTGCAACTGGGAGGTCATTCCTTTGGGAATTGAGATTAAATTCTACTGATTCCTTTATTCCTTATTTAAAAAGTTGACGCTCTAAGCATCTAAAACCAGAATTGTTTTTGGTCATTCCCTGCCGATGTGTCCTCCCCAAACAGGACTTTGTGGTTCAAAATACAGTAGGGTCATTGACAGAACACCCTGTAATACAAGAACTTTTACAGGACAGGATTATGTTGAGGCATCTGCTTAGTTCTGTTGTATGATGGCCAAGTGCTTAAGCTGTCCATAATGGACCCAATGCTGCAGCTCGCCCGGGGTTACAAGAGGGATGCCTTAGAAGAGGGGCGCTCCCCTGAAAGATGGAGAGCTGGTGTGCTTTGCCAGGTGCATGGTTGTTGTTGTTGTTGTTCTGTTTCGTTTTGTTTTTTGAGATGGAGTTTCACTCTTGTCACCCAGGCTGGAGTGCAATGGCTTGATCTCGGCTCACTGCAACCTCCGCCTCCCGGGTTCAAGTGAGTCTCCCGTCTCAGCCTTCCGAGTAGCTGGAATTACAGGTGCCTGCCCCCACGCCCAGCTAATTTTTTTCTTTTATATTTTTAGTAGAGACGGGGTTTCACCATGTTGGCCAGGCTGATCTCGAACTCCTGACTTCAGGTGATCTGCCTGCCTCAGCCTCCCAAAGTGCTGGGATTATAGGTGTGAGCCACCACACCTGGGCCAGGTGCATCGTCTTGAACAGGTCATTTACCTTCTTAGGCCTTGGTTTTCTTATGGGAGAAATTAGGGGTTTAGGCTAGATTAGAGAAGGATTTCGGGGAGCCCAAGGAGGGCATGGGGATGGCATCATGTGTTGGGGGGCTCTAGTGTCCTCTTCTCATTCCCAAGTCAACAGAGAGTAATTCTGCTTTGATCTATTTTATGTAAAGGAATTCCAGGTATAATTTCCTTTGAAGTAAAGATCCCTTTTTTTAATTAAAAAAAAAAAAAAAAGAGGAGCAGCTTGTTATTCAGGTCTGTCTGCTCTGAAGTTCTCTGACTTCAAAGCCATTGGGGTCATAGTTGTCTTCCTATTGATGGCTAATGAGGACATGATGCGCCTGGTGATTTGGGGGTAGACACTGCCTGGGAGCTGCGAGCATGTGCCATATGGCAGCACAGACGCTGCAGATCCCCCCGCAAAGGCCCATTTAGCTGGAACCCCATCATCCCAGCAAATCTGCTTGGAATTTTATCAGATAGAAGCAAAGGACAAGACGTGGTTCTCCAATTTTGCAACATACTTGAGTCACTTGGGGAGTTTTTAAAACTTCTATGTCCAGGGCATACCCTATGCTAATGAAATCAAACTCTGGAGGTGGGATCCAAGCATCAGTAATTTGTAACTCGCCCCATGTGAGGCCTAATGTGCTGTCAAGTTTAAGAATAAGTGCCACTGGTACAGCCGCTTGGAAAACAGTATGGCAATTCCTCAAAAAAATAAAAATAGAATTACCATATGATGCAGCAATTTCACTTCTGGGTATGTACCCAAAAGAATTGAATGCACGTTCTCAAAGAGATATTTGTGTACCCATGTTCGTAGCAGTATTATTCACAACAGCATAAGGTGGGAGCATCCCAAACGTCTATCAATAGATGAAGAATAAACAAAATGTGTTGTGTACATACAATAGAATATAGTTCAGCCTTAAAGAGGCAGGATATTCTAAGACATGCTGCAGCACAGATGAACCTTGATAACATTATGCTAAGTGAAATAAGCCAGACAGAAAAGGACAGATATTATATAATTCCACTTAAAATTTTTTTCTTTTTAGATTCTCTGCAGGGCAAGTTCTACACAGTTCCACTTATATGTAACTTCCACTTATATGAGGTATCTAGAGAAGTCATTTTAATAGAAACGGAAAATAGAATAGTGGTTGCCAGGGGTTGCAGGGAAAGATGGAGACTTGCTCTTCAATGGATATGGAGTTTCAATTTTGCAAGTTGAAAAGAGTTCAGGAGATTGGTTGCACAACAATGGGAATGCACTTAACATTACTGAACCGTGCACTTAAAAATGATTGAAATGGGACATTTTATGTTAGGTATATTTTACCACAATTAATGCAATAACATAAAAAGAGTAAGTGGCATCATGAATGTCTTGCTGGTGGAAGTGAGGTCTGTGGGCCAGCAGTGTCACATCTGCTTGGAGCTGGTCACACATGCAGTATCTGAGGCCCGTCCCAGACCTGCTGAGTCAGCACCTGCATTTTTTAACAAAAAACCCCCAGGTGGTTCGTGCACTCACTCAACTTTGAGAAGTGCTAGTTGTAATGAACCAAACATTAGACCAGGGTTTAGAAGGTCAGAAGATGTAGCAGACATTGTTGTTTGCCTACCCAGCATTCATTTCCTCTCTTCCTTCCTTCCTTCTTACAGAAACTGACGTTCTCTGAGTAGCCTCATGTTTCAGAGGGGGCTCATCTCATCCACACTTCCATAGCCCCATAGTGGTCCCATTCCCCTGGCCAGTGGCTGCTTTACAGGTGGGCATGTTGCCTGGTTCTGGCCAATGAAACTAAAGGAAGTTCCACTGGAGAGTTTCTGCGGGAGGTTGCCTCCCTTAAGGACACCCAAGAAGAAAAGACCTCTCCTTCATTTGGAAATTTTTTTTCTTTTTCTTTCTTTCTTTCTTTCTTTTTTTTTTTAAGACGGAGTCTCGCTCTGTTGCCCAGGCTGGAGTGCAGTGGCGCAATCTCAGCTCACTGCAACCTCCACCTCCCAGGTTCAAGCAATTCTCCTGCCTCAGCCTCCCGAGTAGTTGGGATTACAGGTGCACACCACTACGCCTGGCTAATTTTTGTGTTTTTAGTAGAGACGGGGTTTCACCATGTTGGCCAGGCTGGTCTCCAACTCCTGACCTCAAGTGATCTGCCTGCCTCGGCCTCCCAAAGTGCTGCGATTACAGGTGTGAGCCACCACTCCCGGCACCTTTGGAAGTTTGCACATTGGAATAGGACCCAAGCAAATTCTGGACCGCTGTTCACACAGAGTCATTGACTGATAAGATCCTGGGTCCACCTCATCAAAGGATTTCTTGTTATATGAGATTAGAAGTGTATTTATTGTTTCAGACCACATGGGGCAGGATTTTTCATTACTTATAGCCCAGGGTTTCTTAACCTCGATGGTATTGACACCTAGGGCCAGATAATTCTTTGTTGTGGGGCAGTTGTGTGCATGGCAGGATGCTTAGCAGTGTCTCTGGCCTCTGCCCACTAGAGCCAATAGTCCTTCCCCCTCTCCCAGGTGTGACAACTCAAGTGTCTCTGGACATTACCAGTGTTCCCTGGGGAGGGGGTCCAATGGCCCCCAGTTGAGCACCACTGTTGCAGCCAAAGGTGTCGTAAAGAATGTGAAGACCTTTTTATTCTGACCTCCGACGTTGCTGGAGAGCCCCAGGAGGGCAAAAGTCACTGCCTATGTCCACACCCCAGAGATGTTGCAAGGATCAAAGTGAGCTCAGGTGTGTGAGAAAAGCAAACACACACAAGGTGTTACTAAGCATTACCCGTCTTTGATGCTGCTGATGCATTGATAGCAATGTTGTAGTTTCCATTTATTCTTAGATTTCATAGGCAGAGATGTTTAACTTAACAGATGGCCAGCATGGATAGTGAATGGAATTTTCCCTCAGCAAAGGCAGAGCGGCTCATGAGACTTTCAGGCTTTTCCTTGCTCAGAAATTCTGGATTCTCACCCAATTCATCAATCCCAATTCTCAATCCCAATTCATCATCCCATAAATCCATGGGTGCTGAGGCGTTCTCCTGTTAACACCTGAGTTAAACACCATCTTGTACTTACGAAACATATTTTCACAGATGAAGAGTGAGATTCCTATTTAGCTGCTAAAGAGAGGTCGATGCCCTCGGCTCACACATCTGTGGATTTAAGACCCACAGAGTCAGGGGACCCTGAACAACCTCTCATGTCTTTTGCTCCCCTTCCTAGAATCTGCTGACACATCAAGGCCACTTTTCTTAGGAGCCCCCTGACTTCCAAAATCAGTGCCTTTGGATTCATCTCTTCCGGGAGAGTTCAGTGTCTTCTGAAATGTTACAAAACGTCCTTCAGAGCAAGAAGGCGTACACGAGGAGCTCGACTCTGTAGAAAGGTCTGGAGGAGGATGGGGACAGGAGAGGGGATGGGGCTGTGAAAGGGAGGCGTTGGATGCACCTGATCATTTACGTCATCGAATGCTTACCATGTCCTCAGCAGAGGGGCTGGTGTTGGATTGGGGAGCAAAGGCCATTAGGAGGCAGCTGCAGCCCTTCGGGGCTTCATGATCTGCTGGGGAATGTGTGGAGGACATTGGGTCATTCCTGTATCATAGTCCCATATTGTAAGGGGTAACTATCCCCAGGAACAGGATAACTATCTTGATTTAGGTCCCCCCAGCCCCACCCCTGCAGCCCATGGGCTTTGAGGGACACTGACTTCCTTGCTGAGCCCAGAGGTAGAACACACATATCAAACCACAATTTTTGTTTTAGGGGTTGGCGTATTACAGTTTGAACCAGAGAGGGCATTTGTTGGGGGCCCCTAGGAAAAGATAGCTTTGTGTTTCTTTGGGGGAGAGGGCTGTGGCTTGCAAAGGCAATGCTGCAGCCCAGTTACTTCCACGAAGGAGTTAAGCTGAAGATTGAGCCCATTCACAAAGAAAGACTGAGTCGAGAGAGCTGCCGGGAAATCAAGCTGAAGCCTTGCTCAACCTACGTCTGATCTACCTCTGGACTTTTTGGTAGCATGTGCTAATAACACCTCCCTATTGTGTAAACTGATTTACACTGAGTTTTGTGTTACTTTCATCATAAACTGTCCAAACTGGCACAGAATTTTGTACCAGGAAGGGGATGCTACAATGAACAAACCTTAAATGTGGATTGGTTGAGAAGAGACATTCAAGCGGACAGCAGCAAAGATGTCTCTATCAAACTTGGAAGATGGCGGCCGGGCGCAGCAGCTCATGCCTGTAATCCCAGCACTTTGGGAGACCGAGGTGGGTGGATCACCTGAGATCAGGAGTTCAGGACCAGCCTGGTCAACATGGTGAAACCTCATCTCTACTAAAAATACAAAAATTAGCCGGGTGTGGTGGCACACACCTGTAATCCCAGCTACTCGGGAGGCTGAGGCAGGAGAATAGCTTGAACGCAGGAGGCAGTGGTTGCAGTGAGCCAAGATCATGCCATTGCACTCCAGCCTGGGCAACAAGAGCGAAACTTCATCACAAAAACAAAACAAAACAAAAAACTGGAAGATGGCAACCCTCATTTAACAAAATGGCCGGTTTTGCTGGGATGCAGACCTAATGCTTATGGAACCCATGATATTTCGAGATCTTCCAGGAAATATTCAGGATGTTAGCTACCTCTGGCAGTCTTCATTAAGGTCCTAGGAGACTCAACTCCTGGGAGATGGTGGTCCATTTAAAAGTGGAGAGGGATGAAAATAGTTTTGCTAAGACAGAGAGTCTTTTTGCCTGGGGCCTGCAATCTAAAGTTGCAGGAAATTGATGAGCAAGTCCTGCTGTTTGGGAAAGCTGATTTATCTGGCTAAAGTTAGAGCACAGGCAACAAATGAGGTGACTTAAGCAAAAGCCACCTTCTCTTCCTTCTTTTGAGGTGGAGTTGGTGAGGCCAAAGAGTGCTGGAGCAGCCCTTTCACCACCATGAGGGGAGCCAAGCAAGAATAAAGCCAACACAAGGAGGGAAAGCTGGACAATCCCTGAGGAATGGCGCTGCGACCCATTCCCACCTGCAGGCTTTGGATTTCTATAATGTGTTCTTTACAATTTGAGCCAGTTTGAAGAGTTTCTAGAGAGTTTACACTATTATACAGTGTGATGAACACTGAAATAAAAGTATGACTAAAGTGTTGGGTGGTTAAGAGAGAAGGTGGGTTAATTAGCTAAGAGAAGTAAGTTGTTGCTTTAGGCATTTAGAATGGGGTGAGTTGGAAAGAACCCACTGCAGTTCTTAATATTAAGCACACTCTTTTCGTGGAAATTTATTTGACTCATCTGTGGCCATCATTCGGCTTCTGTTTGTCCATCCAGGTAGGAATGGATGTGTGAAGGCCTTAGTGGAGGCCAGTGCACCTGCATTTAGTAGACCCCGGGAAATGCTGGATGATGGAAGGAATTCTGCCATCTGTTGCCCCAGTCCCTTGGTGGGCTGAGGGAGTTCCCCAGTGTCCATGCACACTGGGAGAAGTCAGGTATCTGCTAATCCTCCTCTCTCCCCACTGCTGTCGCAGGAGATGGACAACATGTCTCCCAGGCTGAGAGCCTTCCTCTCCGAACCCATTGGAGAAAAGGATGTCTGCTGGGTGGATGGCATCAGCCATGAGCTCGCGATCAATTTGGTCACCAAAGGTATCAATAAGGTAATTCATATTTTCTTACTTCTCTGACTTCTCTTCCCTACCTTTCTTCCCCCAGTCCTGCCAGATGGCAGTTCCTGCCACGTGTCCCTGTGAAGGGCCATCAGAGAGCAAAGCTGCCGCTTGGCGGGGTGCCACATGCTTTCGTGCTATTGACCCCACATGCTCAGGCAGCCTCAAGGGCCTGCAGATGATGGGCACATACACATAGAATGGCTTCAGTTCAGAGCAGCTGGGCTAGGCATGATTCACTTGGTGTTCAAACACTCAGGGATCAACAGAAGTAGGTCAGCCGCCGGGGTCTGAGATGAGCTGTCAGGATGGATGATTTAGGTGCACTCCATGCCCCCATGAAGGGACTCATGGCATCTCGCTTGCCCCTGCCAGGGCACCAGCCTGGCAATGGGCAGGTGAAGAAACAGGAGCCTGGGGTCTACACTAGAGTGAGTTATTCTATGATGTCACTCTCAGCCCAAGAATGACCTCAAGGATATCCAGTGGAATTGGAATATTCTTTTCTACGTCATTGTTTGTTTTTATGGGGCTTTTAAAAAGCTGCTTAGGGCCTCAGGAGAGGATGAGACAGTCCCAAAGACAACGCAAAGAGAGTGAGCACAGACAAGGCAGGCTGTGAACTCACAGAACATGGCACGCCCGGTCAGGAGAGGCACCAGCTAGAGCTGTTGCTCTTCATTCTCCTCAGTGCCCCAAGTCAGTCTACCAGGCGGGACAGTGTTACAGAAACACCCAAAGAGGCTGGGAACTGCTGCACACATGGCTGACGACTAGTTTGGTTTGCATCTACATCTGAACCATGAGAGCCATGGTTTTCTGATTACCCCATTGCTCTGCACTAGCTGGTAAATACTCAGAATAACACCCCAATCTGTGAGCCAGTTTAATGTCCAGTAGATGGTATCATCAGAAATGGAAGTGCCCCTATTGGGTAGATTGGATTCTTTCCTGCCAGACGAAGGAGGGAGAACCATTCTCTGGGGAACAAATTTTAAATGAAAAAATTTTTGTACTTTTATTATTTATTTATTTATTTATTTGAGACAGGGTCTCACTCTGTTGCACAGGCTGGAGTGCAGTGATGCCATCTCGGCTCACTGCAACCTCTGCCTCCCAGGCTCAAGCGATCCTCTCACCTCACCCTCCCATGTAGCTGGGACTACAGGTGTGTGCCACCATGCCTGGTTAATTTTTTGTGTTTCTTGTAGAGACAGGGTTTTGGCATGTTGCTCAGGATGGTCTCGAACTCCTGGACTCAAGTGATTCAACATACCTCGGCCTCCCAAAGTGCTAAGATTATAGGTGCAAGCCATCACACCTGATGAAAAATTCCTTTTTTAAAAAAAGAAATCATTCTTCTTTTTACTTTCCTATTGTGATGTAACATACCGAGGAGAATATGTGTTGATATAAAGGAATTCACAGATCAATGAATTTTTACACACATATGTACACCTATGTACCCACTACCCAGATCCAGCAATCAGATGTCTCCAAAATTCCAAATGGTTCTCTTGTGCCTCTTCTTGGCCAAGGCTATCCCCTATCCTTAGAGGTAACCACTCTTCTGATGTCAAACAGCATTGATTAAATGTGTCCATAATTGTGGGGTTTTGTGGTTGTTGTTCAGCTATACTCATTATTTTAAAAATGTTTTTATTAAGGTATAATTGACATACATACATTAAATTTCACCCTTTTTAGTACATAGTTCTATGAGTTTGGACACATGCATGCAGTGATGCAGCCGCTACCATAGTCAAGACACAGAGCAATCCCATTACTCAAAATATTCATTTCCTTGTGCTCTTCATATTCACCAGCCTCAGTCCCTGGCAACCACTGATTTATTTTCTGTAGTGTTGCCTTTTCCAGTTTAAGTCTGTGTGTGTGAATAGCTTAACTGTGTTTTAAATGAGGATTATAGGTGGGTGGGTTTTAGAACAAAAAATGAATGAATAATGGAAAAATGTTAGGCATCTGAAAACTTGCCTGTCGAGTCAGGGCTGTGGGGACGGTTTGTCTGTGTGCAGCCGGGTCCCTGGAGATGTGCTCCTCTTGTGTCCATGACCTCCTGGCCAGTGCAGTGAGCACTTTCCTAGAGCTGCTAATTTTAGGCACTGGCACTGGGGCTGTCACCTGTATCCTTCGCTTTGAGCCGCCCACACCCGTGATTGAGATGAGGGTCACTCTCTCCACTTTACCAGTGAGGAGACAAGGGCTCCGAGGAGCAGTGCCTTGTCCGCTCCCAGGTGAACTGGAGCAGCCGTGGATTGTACTGTCACAAATTGCACAAGAAGATCTGTGGCCAGGCGGTTATGCCCGGCAGGGAGGAGGCTTAGACTAAATTTGGGGGTGAGAGCCTGTATCAGGGTCTGGAGTCCGGCTGGGCCTGTAGTGAGACCCAGGAGGAGACCCAGATGCGGCCCCTCCGAGATGGGCAAGCGCTTCAAGGTGAGGACCCATCTGAAGTCAGGGCCAGCAATGACAGCATCCTGGGCGGGCAGATCCTGGCAGGACAGGGTTCTCAGATTTAGCCAATAAAGATGCTGACTCTTGGTGGTTTTTATTTTGTTTTGTTTTTGGTTTTGTTTTTGTTTTGAGACAGTCTCATTGTATTGCGCAGGCTGGGGTTCAGTGACGTGATCTCGGCTCACTGCAACCTCCTCATCCTGGGCGCAGCCTCCACCTCAGCCTCCCAAGTAGCTAAGACTAGAGGCACGCACCACTATGCCCAGCTAATTTTTTGTGTTTTTTTGTAGAGACACAGTTTTGCCATGTTGTCCAGGCTGGTCTCAGCTCCTGGGCTCAAGTGATCCTCCCAAAGTGCTGGGATTACAGGCATGAGCCACCACACCCAGCCTCTTGTATTTTCATACCTTGCCTGCAGGATACATAATCCTGGCACAGGGAGGGACATCTTTCTGAGCCTCACGTGACCTCCTGTCTTTGCTGGCTTCTGCCAAGGTGCAGCCATCACCCTCCCCTGCTCCCCGTCCCACCCCAGGCTGGGGCTCAGCCTCAGTTTCTTTGCTGTGCACAAAGCCACCTTGGGTTCCGCCCTTGCTTGTGACGGCGTTCCTGGCCTCGCCCCATGGGCTCTGCTCTCTCAGTCCTTTCTGCACCCTCTCTGTGCACCTGCTGGAATGCAGGCCTGTGGGCCACCCTCACACTTACCTCCCTGGGCTCCGCACTCAGCCATCGGCTCTCTCTAGAGACCCAAGGGTGCTGGATGCCCTGGGGGAGATGAGACACCAGCGCCCCCGCTCCACCCCGCCAATTTATCCGGATGTCCTATTACCTCTCTGGGAGTCCCCTTCTCAAACTCTTACCAGCCCCTACATTGAGTACCTTCTCCTCCATTCCTCCTCTCACACAGGTCTTTCAGCTTTTTTTAATGGAGGATGTGGGGTGCTGGGAGGGGACTGTTCTTACTGCCTGTCCCCATTTTTCCCAGAGCTTTGGCTTTTGGCATGCACTGGTCTCTGGCTCCTGGTTTAAGTCAGGACTTTCAAAACTATTGAGTCTGCCATGGATCTACCTAAGCCTCTTCGGGAGCTTAAAAGCCATATGTGATAGCCTTCTTCTGGGTGTTTTGTATCTGCCCTTCCCAGGGGCAATCAGCATCAGCTGTGGCCTGAGGATCTAGATCCAGACAGCGGCCGCAGGTACCTGTGCCCTTGTCCGAACTGAGATGTACTAGAAATATAAAACACACCCTGCAGTGTTAAAGACTTAGCCCAAAAAAGGAACGTAAAATAGCTCATCTGTAATTATTTTATTGATTACACGTTGAAATGATAATATTTTGGAAATATGAGAGAAAATATATTTTAGAATGAATTTCACCTGTTTCCTTCCCCTTTTTACTGTGGCTACTAGGAAAATCAAAATCACGTATGTGGCTAGCTCACTTATTTCTGCTGGACAGCACTGGTCTAGATGTAAGGGCGAAAGAGCCGTAAGGGAGAAAGGAACTGTGGAAACAGAAAATTCATGGTGCACATGCCAATGAGGCTCGCTGTGCCTGGCTCTAGCTCTGTCTTGTCTTCTCTGTCCCGCTGCCCCATCCCTGATCCCTATACTACAGCCAGACTATCCTCGAACCACCCTCCTGCCAACTTGGAGCCTCTCTTGAAATGGGTTTTGAACCCCTTCAAGACCCTACTCACAGCCCACCTCCCCTGGGAAGCCTTCTTTCTGCCACCCCACCCAACAGGCTCCTTTTTCTGAGCAGTTTGGGTTTTTGGTGGGTGCCCCATGTTGCGACATCTGACAAAAGTTCGACTCTAGCTGGGCACGGTGGCTCACGCCTGTAATCCCAGCACTTTGGGAGGCCAGGTCAGGCAGATCACTTGAGGTTAGGAGTTTCAGACCAGCCTGGCCAAGGTGGTGAAACCCGTCTCTACTAAAACTACAGAAATTAACTGGGTGTGGTGGTACATGCCTGTAGTCCCAGCTACTTGGGAGGCTGAGGTGGGAGGATCACTTGAACCCAGGATGCAGAGGTTGCAGTGACCTGAGATTGCACCACTGCCCTCCAGTCTGGGTGACAGAGGGAGACTCTGTCTCAAAAAAGAAAAAGGTGGACGCTAGTTTGTCTGCACATGCCCCAAGAGTCCACACTCACAATGTTAGTGGCACAGCTTGCCTGTGCTTTTCTCCCTAAGTTCCTTGGAGGCAGTGGTGGGTCTGTGTTCTTTGTACTTCTCTTCTCCCTGTGAAAACCCCACCTATGGGTAGGTGAATTTTCAGACATCCCCCGAATGCAGAACTGTGGGGCAGGGCCCTGTGGGGCGGGTGTGCTTGAGTTCTCCCACAGTGCAAAAGTAAGTTTAGCATTGCAGAGAATCTGGTTTGGTTCAATGCTCTTTGCAGACACTATAAAGCCATATCCTTGAGCCTAAATATTCCTCCTAAGAGCTGCCTGAAGG
The DNA here is from genome assembly GCF_000001405.40 of Homo sapiens. NCBI lineage: Eukaryota > Metazoa > Chordata > Mammalia > Primates > Hominidae > Homo > Homo sapiens. The sequence goes on from NC_000020.11 coordinate 17,730,098, forward strand.
ATGAGACTGGAGGAAATAGAAGCAACACTTGGCATTTGCTTCATGTCAAGCACCTCTAAGTGCATTATGTATATTTATCTCATTTAATGGTAAAAAACAATCCTACAAAGTACACTATTTCATTTCCATTTTCCTGATTGGAAAGTGGAGACGCATAGAGACCACATGTGGATTGCTCAAGATCACATGGGGTGGTGACAGAGATGAAATTTGAATCTGGGCGGATAGGCTGCAGGGTCTGGACACCAAGTCATTGTGCCGTCTGCCCCTAAAACTGAAGCTGTGAGGAAGGTGCTTCTCGCGCGGCTTCTCTTACCTCCTTACCGGCGAGGCTCTGCTCTCCCTCGCCCTCACCTCCTTACCAGCGAGGCTTGCTCTGCTCTCTCTCGCCCTCACCTCCTTACTGCAAGGTTCTGCTCCCTCTTGCCCTCACTTCCTTACAGGCGGGGCTCTGCTCTCTCTCGCATGCCGGCAGCCAACGATAGCCCTACCTCTAGACTCTCCATGCTCAGGGGCGTCCCATCTCCTCCCTCCGTTACTTCGTGGCCACTGGTGGACAGGAGCGAGACTGAGTTCAGGACCAGAAGGCCGCAGTGTGGCCAGGCCCTGCCTCCATCATGTCCCCAGGTGTCCACAGCGAAGCCTCTGAAGGCTCCAACTCCTTTCTGTCCACTCTGCTGGGTGGGCGGTGAGACGCTGTGCTCCACTGCCTGATGTCTGAGCCCCACAAGGGGCCCGTCACGTAAGTTTGGGATTTTTCTGCCTAGGGTTGCCAGATCAAAATTCACATTTCAGATAAGCAAATAATTTTCTTAGTGTAAAATTAAAAGACAGGGAGGAGGAAGAAGGGGTAAACATTCCCTGAAGTGAGGATTCACACCAAAGACACAGAGTTTAAGCCGGGCGTGGTAGCTCCTGCCTGTAATCCCAGAACTTTGGGAAGATCACTTGAGGTCAGGAGTTCAAGACCAGCCTGGCCAACATGGTGAAATCCCGTCTGTATAGAAAATACAAAATTAGCCACGCATGGTGGTGCATGCCTGTAATCCCAGCTACTTGGGAGGCTGAGGCAGGAGAATCACTTGAACCTGGAAGGTGGAGGTTGCAGTGAGCCGCTATCGTGCCACTGCACTCCAACCTGGGCTATAGAGTGAGACTCTGTCTCAAAATAAAAGAAGAAGAAAAAAAAACACACAAGAGTTTAAACCTGAAATGACATGAAGACTTAGGCGACTGGCGAGAGAGAATCAAAGAAAGTTGTGTCACTGCACCATGGAGTCTGGTGGTGATTGAAGTCCGTTCAGCACAGGTGCTCAGGACCTGCGGACTTGGGCAGAGGGCATTGTAAGCAGCTAGAGAACAAGAGAGGGCAGAGACAGCTTATCTCTGCTTGACAAGGCCCAGCATTATGGTGAGTACTGAGCATTTTAATAAGTGTGGATCTCAGCCAGCTATTTAATTTTTAGGGCCCACTGTAAAATGAAAATGCAAGACCTCTAGTTCAAATTTATTAGGGGGTGTAGTGGCACGTGCTTGTAGTTCCAGCTACTCGGGAGGCTGAGGTGGGAGGATCATTTGAGCCCAGGAATTTATGGTTGCCAAGAGCTACTGCATGCTACTGAACTCTAGCCTGTGTGACGGAATGAGATCCCGTCTCTTAGGAAAAAAAAAAAAAAAAAAAAAAGTAGGCCAGGCGTGATGGCTCACTCCTGTAATCCCAGCACTTTGGGAGGCCGAGGCGGGCAGATCACGAGGTCAGGGGATCGAGACCATCCTGGCTAACTTGGTGAAACCCTGTCTCTACTGAAAATACAAAAAATTATCCAAGCGTGGTGGCACGCACCCGTAGTCCCACCTACTCGGGAGGCTGAGGCAGGAGAATCGCTTGAACCTGGGATGCAGAGGTTGCAGTGAGCCAAGACCGTGCCACTGCACTCCATCCTGGGCAACAGAGGGAGACGTCGTCAAAAAAAAAAAAGAAAAAAAGGAAAACTAATAAAAAAATAAAAGAAATTTAGTAAGAATTTCCAGATGACAAGAGCCAAGTGTTAAACCAGCTCAGGGTGCTCTTAGCACCAGGCGCTGTGTGAAAACATGGCTCAGATGCAAGGGAACCCAACCCTGGCATAGGCTCAAACTGCTGCTGTTTAGCAAGAAGTGGGCACCGCAAACTGGAGGGTGATTCCTCCCCTGCTTGGGGGCCGGCCCCTGGAGGAACCTCACTGTTTGCACTTGGAGTTTAGGGGCATTCTGCCCTTGAGCCCCCATCCTTTTGTTTGTTTGTTTCGAGACAGAGTCTCACTCTGTTGCCCAGGCTGGAGTGCAGTGGCATAATCTCAGCTCATGCAATCTCCACCTCCTGGGTTCTCCTGCCTCAGCCTCCCAAGTAGCTGGGATTACACGCGGCTGCCACCATACCAGGCTAATTTTTGTATTTTTAGTAGAGATGGGGTTTCACTATGTTGGCCAGGCTGGTCTCGAACTCCTGACCTCAGATGATCTGCCCGCTCAGCCTCCCAAAGTGCTGGGATTACAGGAGTGAGCCACCACACCTGGCCGAGCCCCCCCTCTTACAGCTGCAGGACGGAATGTAATTCCCTGGCTTGGCCATGGCCACGGCCACTGTCCAGAGTGGTAGGAGGACAGGGACAGCTGCTCAGGGTTTCTGTGTTTCTGTGTCACCCCTCCCACCCCAGTAGCTGAATTCTGGGGAGCTCTGGCCCAAGGAGGGAAAGGGGCAGCATCTTTTCTCCTTGATTAGGGGGCTTTCTGGAGCCGGGGGAGAAACCAAGCGGGCATCTGGCAGGGCCATGATGGGAGCCCACGACTCCAGCTTCCCTGGGGAGCAGGGTGAAGTGCTCAGGGAAGAAGGGAGAAGGGAAGCCAACTTTCCCTCCTGGAAGATGCCACAGGGAGACAGGAGGGAAAACTGAGGAGGGAGTGTCAGGTTGCCACTTGGCTCCAGAGGCTGCAAGACGGGGCTTCCTGTAGCATTCCTGGAAAGTTTGCCCAGGGTCCACATGTTCCCAGGCATCCTGGCTGCTGAGCCTGTGGGTATGTGGAGGCTCTCACTAACAGGCCAGCTGATGCTGGCAGTGCCACTTCTAAAACGGGCAGGGGATGCATTAGCCTCCAGGCCAGACTGTGGACAGTTGGGAAGTGCAGGAATAGTGCAGAGGAAAACAGGAGACTTAGTACCTCCACCTGGGGAATGGGAGGGGTGAGTACATGTGAGGATCAGGTGGATTAAAACGTGTCAGGTGTCTAGCAGCACGTGGCCGACAGAAGTGCTAAAAAGTGCTACTTAGCATTAACTACTATTATTAAGTATTATCATGAACATTTCTCTTTATGGAGAAAGCTTTGTGTAAGCCACTTACTATTAATTATTGTTAATTATTATTAATATTCTCTCTCCTTGGACACAGCTCTATGTCTCTCGTTTCTGTTACCTTCACCTTGGCACCTCCCACACCTACGTCTACTGGCTCAATTAACACTTAATAAATGTTATTTTTCAAAAACATTAATTTAAATACATCTCAGTAAAATCCATTCAAAATGGGAGGATACTGATAAAGTAAAATGAGATCACGCCAAGTAACTATATTGCTTTTTTTAAAAAAGATTAAAGTAGCAGTTCAGAATCACCACAAAATCCTGGCTTTTTTCTCTTATCAACAACTGGACCATGACTAAAAATAAAGCCCCCAAAATTCAATGCTTGGGTATATTTTATGACTGGGATTCAGCTTTTATTTGATTTCTCTTCTTAAAAAGTATGCTCTCTTTGGTTAAGATGAAGTTTGCTTTATTTTACATAACTAAAAGTAAACAGACACCATCAGGTTTTCCTGGAAAGGGCCCAGAACTCGAGGCATGGGTGGATGCTGGTTCTTGTTGGTTCCAGGCTGGAGAGCCCCCAAAACCAGCCCTGAGAGATGGGCGTTTAATGTGACCTGAGCTCTCCAGCCTCCACCATTTAGTGGCTTGGCTAGTTTCTGGCTACGTGGCCTTGGGAATTCCCTTCCTCCATGTGGTCCTTGTGCCTTGTCAATAATGGTGTAATAAAACTATAAAAGATGAATTAAAAGCCTCGAGGCAAGTATTAATAGCTAGAAAGCTTGAGAATGCCATAAAAATAGAAATCACAGTGCACTGAGTGCTTATCTTCCATGTATTTTTTATCCACAGAGACTGAGGAAGGGGAACGTGGACAAGGTTTAGCATGTTTTAAACCTTCTATGCTCCTCCTACAGAACTACAGCTCCCAGTATGAGAGAGGAATTTACATTTTTTGAATGCCTTCCCATTTAATTCACTTAATTTAATTTGCAGAGCACACCGTGTGCATTAGGAAGGTGCAGAAACTGAGATCCAGGTTCTGTGGGTTCTTACTTCAGGTTACATGAGTTGCCTGAGATCACACAGGTGGTTTGCAAAAACAAATCAATGCTAAGATGCCATTCATCTGTCAGCCCCATGTGCAGTGGTTCTCAGCCCAAGGAGATTTTGCCCCCAAGGGACATTTGGCAATGTTTGGGGATGGTTATGATTGTCGCTACTTGGGTCGGGGAGGGAGGGTGCCACCGGCATGCGTAGAGATCAGGGGTGCTGCTGAACATCCTGCAATGCACAGGACAGCCCCCCATAACATTTCAAGCATTGTCCAAAATATCAATAGTGCCGAGGTTTAGAAACCCCGTGCTATGGGCACAGTGGCTTACCCCTGTAATCCCAGCACTTTGGGAGGCCAAGGCAGGTGGATCACCCGAGATCAGGAGTTCGAGACCAGCCTGGACAACATGGCAAAACCCCGTCTCTACTAAAAATATGAAAATTAGCCAGGCATGGTGGCAGGCACCTGTAATCCCAGCTACTTGGAAAGCTGAGGCAGGAGAATCGCTTGAGGCGGAGGTTGCAGTGAGCCGAGATCACGCCATTGCACTCCGGCCTGGGCGACAGAGCAAGATTCTGTCTCCAAAAAAATAAAATAAATAAACAAATAAAAGAAAGAAAAGAAAAGAGAAGAAAAGAAAAGAAATCCCATGCTACAACAATTGCAGAAGTAGTGGGGCGGGAATGTCTCTTACTCTGTCTGGGTTATGTGTGTGTTTCCAAGAGAAATGCTTCACTGGAGGTCTGAAGGGAGCTTCAGGAGTGTGCTAGGCCCCGGCTACTCAAACTGTTGTCCCTGGACCAGCAGCAGCTGGGAGCATGTTAGAAATGCAGGCCTCTCCCTGGACTTAGACTTTCAGAACCCGCATTTTAACAAGCTCCCACATGATTCATGTGCTTGTCAAAGTTTGAAGGGGGCAGGGTCTGACTCATTCCAGGGTGGACGGCCCGCAAACCAGCCCTGAGAGATGGGCATTTAACTTGGCCTTAGCTCTCACCAGGGCTAAGACCCATGTCAGGGCTTCAAGGACTGACAGGCTCCCTTGAATCGGCCCTGCTCCCCCTCCTTTGATTGTCACGTGAGCCCTGGTTGCTGGGAAGGAAGAGCGCGTCTGAGCTGGCTTATGATAACCTTTCCTGCTTTCCTCCCTGTCTCATCCCCTCCCCAGGCCTACATCCTGCTGGGACAATTCCTTCTGATGCACAAGAATGAAGCCGAGTTTCAGAGGTGGCTCATTTGCTGTTTTGGTGCCACTGAGTGTGAGGCCCAGCAGACTTCTCACTGCCTCAAGGAGTGGTGTGCCTGCTTCCTGTAGACACAAACCTCATTGCTGCCCCCCACCACCCTCTGGGGAAAATGACGCCTTCTCCACCTATGCCCAGGCTCCGAGTCCTCATTTGTGTTTTTAATTTTAATGATACACTCCCATTATAAGCAGTAGTTCAAGAACATAAAACAGGACAAATGCAAGAGAAATGACTCCCAAACCCACCACCCAGAAACCATAGTCAATCCTCTTAGATGAATATCATGTCAAATATCTTTCAGCAAAAAATTTATATGAAAGAATGGATAATTTTATTTAAAAATAGGAATTGAATTTTAAGTCAGTGTATTGGTCATCTATTGCTGCATAACAAATAGTCCCAACATGTAGCAGCTTCTCAAAACAAACAATGATGCTACCTCACAGGGTTTCTGAGGGTCAGGAACCTGAGGGTTGTTTAGCCAGCTGGTTCTGTCTCAGGGTCTCTCATGAGATTACTCACTGTTGGCCCAGCAGCAGTCATCTGAAGGCTGGACCAGGGCTGGAGGACCCACCTCCAAGATGGCTGCCTCACATGGCTGCTGGCAAGACATCTTGGTTCCTCACCACATGGGCCTTCCCATCGGGCTGCTCGTGGCATGGCATCTGGCTTCCCCCAAAGCTGGTGACCCAAGAGCGAGTGAGAGAGCAAGCAGGAAGCCACAGTGCCTTTTATGACCTCGTCTCTGACACATGCAATATCACTTCTGCCTTATACTATTTGTTAGAAGCAAGTCACTAAGTTCTCAAGGGAGGATAATAAAACATTCTTGAAATAATATGCATACACATTTTAAAAATCACAGTTTCTTGAGGCCTGATTTACATAGAGTAAAACTTACCCTTTTCAGGTGTGCATTCTATAAATTTTGACAAATTCACCAGCATAATCAAAGATGTAAGACACTTTCATTACCCCAGGGAGTTCCCTCGTGCCTCTCTGTAGTCATCACTTCTCCCTTCCCAACGTCTGGCAACCATGAATCTGTTTTCCATCCTTATAGCTTAGATTTTTCCAGAAAGCCATATAAATGGAATTGTATAATATGTAGCCTTTTCAGGTGGGCTTCTTTCACTTAGCATAATTCATCTGAGATTAGTCTATTATACAGGCTTGTTAAACTCAAAAAAAGGTTTATTAGATGCTATTGGTGCCCAGCCCACATCCTGTCGGTATTTGCTATTCTAGTAGAGTCCAGTGACTTCTCCTAGCAAACACTTGAATGTCTTCTGCCTGAGGGTCTCTCTGGCTACAAGAGTGGGATCAGCCCACACATAGGGCAGAGGGGAAGTGGCAAGCAGTTAATGCCCAGTGAAGCCCACAGTGATGGATGAACAGTGATGGATAAATGTCCTGGCTTACCCTGCAGATAGGACAAACTCTGAGACCGTCTGTTTGAGCTCCCTAGTGGTATTGAGCCCTAGTTTCCCACAGCGGTCACCTGCTCTTGAACAGCTCATACTTCTCTCCTTCCTTGTCTTGTTTCCCCACTCCACTACCAGTGTTTCCTGGCATCATCCCCCTACTCCTACTCCCTAGAAAATACTCCAATTTTAGATTCAGGTTCTACTTCTGGGAGAACCCAACCTAAGACCAAAGTGTTGGAATTTAGTTTTATTTTAATGAAAGAAAAAATTGAAACGTAAAGAATTGCTGAAATTTGATGAATTTTTTCTTCATCTCTGGATATAGTCATAAATTATTAATTCAATTTCCTCTGAATTTCAGAATAATATGGAGGAAAAGAGTAAGAGGTTAATATCATTAGGTTTATTTTAAACTCAGGTTTTCAGTGAAAGATGGTGTGATGGCTAATACTGAGTGTCAACTTGATTGGATTGAAGGGTGCGAAGTATTGATCCTGTGTGTGTCTATGAGGGCATTGCCAAAGGAAATTAACATTTGAGTCAGTGGGCTGGGAAAGGCAGACCCACCCTTAATTTGGGTGGGCACCATCTAATCAGCTGCCAGCACGGCTAGAATATAAAGCAGGCAGAAGAATGTGAAAAGACTAGACTGGCCTAGCCTCCCAGCCTACATCTTTCTCCCATGCTGGCTTCCTGCCGTCAAACATCAGATTCCAAGTTCTTCAGTTTTGGGATTCAGACTGACTCTCCTTGCTCCTCAGCTTGCAGACAGTCTATTGTGGGACCCTGTGATGATGTGAGTTAATACTTAATAAACTCCCTTTTCTGTCCCTCTAGAGAACCCTGACTAATACAGATGGTATGAATTCCTGCTATAAAAGTAAAAAGAAATTGATATTCATGATTCTTCTCTACTTCCCTCCCACTTTTATTGGCTTTATTATTACTTTTAATTTGTCAAGGTTTATAGCATTTATATTCTTCCCACAATCGTTTAGTCCTAGTTGTGTATCTAAGAGCTTATCACCAATCCTTGTTAGTATCATTATTTTAAAGTTCATATCTTTGTCATTCCTGAATTATTTATTTTGATAATGTCTTTATTGGTTGACTTACATCAGTGTATCTATCTGTCAGAATAGGCCAAGTTCTGCTTCTGTAACAAACATCTCCCCACATCTTGGTGATTTATCCAACACAGGTTGACTTCTCTCTCATGCTACGTGTCCAGTACATGTCATCAGGGAACTCTGTCTCTTGTAGTCACTCTGAGGCTTTGGTTAATGGAGATACCCTCTCAACACACACTTCCATGATTACCACGGTGGTGGGAAGGAGCCATGCTGAATTACATACTGTCTGTAAAAGCCTCTGTCTCAAAGTAATACATTCTATTTGCACTCACATTTCATTGGCCAAAGGAAATCATATGGCCACACCTAACTCCAAATGGGCAAGGTCCCTTCTGAATGCAGGAGAAGTGGGAACATTTAGTGGCAGCACTAATCAAGACCACTGTCATCAATTAAGTTTATAACTTTTTTACTTGCTAATGTTTTCTTGAAAAAACAGAAACCAACCAAAGTTTATTATTTTTCCCCTGAAAGCCTTGCAGGTATTATGTTTAAGGTGATGAATATTTCCTAAATTCGTAAAGTGATTGGAATATTTCTACCGGAGTCTGTTAGCTCTTTCTAGCTCTGCTTTTCTTGCTCTCTTCAAGGAGGAACCAAAGAATCAAGAATTCCAGGAGAGCCAGTGGGTTGGCCCAAAGATTTAAATAGCTTCATCTTCTGAGAGCTCTGGGTCTCAATAGCCAGAAGCTTTCCTTTGCTCCTTCTTGCATGGCCCACCCTTGGACTAATTCTTCACTGAAATAGTCATGGTATTTAGAGGTAACTAATTTTCTAAGACAGGAGCTGGATGGCTCTAGGGAAAGGAAAGAGAGAGGTACCTTCATCTCTCAGTCTATTTCCACATCCCTCCAAACATTGTTGAAATTCATCCTTCTAGCCGGGTTGATGTCCAGGATCATGTAGGAGGGCCAGGGAGCTGAGAAACCTGGAAGAGATGGGGCCCCCAAGACTGAAAAGCCTTTATAAGAGAGACCCTATCACAGATATTGAAGACAAGAGTAGCTGTTCCCTATTTAGTGTAAAAATCTTCCCAAAGGCACTAGGAACTTTCCCCATCAGTCACTCATTCCCTGGTGTTGATTTTTGTCATCCTTGTAGATAAAATTATTGGTCTAAATTCTTCCCTTCTCCCTGCATTCCCCATGTTTGTCATGTGACTTTGCAGTTCCTCCCACTAGAGGCAGAGTGTAATTCCCAGCTCCTTGACTTAGACTTGGCCATATGACTTGCTTTGGCCAATGGTATGTGGCCGAAGTAAAAGTGTGCTAGTTCTGAGCCACATCATTCATTTCTACTTGCTGTCTTGTGCCTCCAAGAGGAGAGCTACTCCCTTGTATAAATGCTGCCCCTTCAGCCTGGGCTTCAGAATGAAACCAGGTGAAACTGACCTGAGCCAACCTGCTGCCGGGACCCAAGGCCAGCCAGCCCTGCAGCTTGATGCAAAGCCGCCCCACTGAGCCCAGCCTACATCAGCCAACCCTCAGCCAACTCATAGGTTTGTGAAGGAGAACAAAGGATTGCTATTTAAAGCCACTGATGTTTGGGACAGTTGGTTATGCAGCAATATCTAACTGATACATTCTTTGTAGTCTAAAATGTCCTTACCCTGCCAAAGTGTGCCACATCGAAGGCCAACCCAACCTTTAGATGGAGAAGCAGCCTAGGATGCGGTGAAAAACTTTGCTTCTGGAGCCAGCCAGGCATAGCCATTCCAGTTCTGCCAGTCCTTACCTTATCCCGGGTGAGCTACTTCAACCTTGCTGAGCCTCTGTCTCCTCATCTGTAAAATGGGTCAAGAAGGTAACAACCCTGCCTTGCAGGGCGGATCAATGAAAATGCACATGTAGGCTGGGCACAGTGGCTCACGCCTATAATCCCAGCACTTTGGGAGGCCGAGGCGGGTGAATCACTTGAGGCCAGGAGTTCGAGACCAGCCTGGCCAACATGGCAAAACCCTGTCTCTACTAAAAATACAAAAATTAGCTGAGTATGGTGGCACATGCCTGTAATCCCAGCTACTCAGGAGGCTGAGGCAGGAGAATCGCTTGAACTCAGGAGATGGAGGTTGCAGGGAGCCGAAATCATGCCACTGCATTCCAGCCTGGGTGACAAAGCAAGACTCTGTCTCAAAAAAAAAAAAAAAAAAAAAAGAAAGAAAGAAAGCACATGTAAAGGATGAGGTGAATAGGAACATGATGAATGGTCACTGATGGCTGTTTTCTTAGAGCTCTCCTTCCAGTCCTTGCCTCTTGCACTCTTGGTCCTCTCATGGCCCTTGGGAGAGAATTCACAGCTGCGAGTTGAAAGGGAGCCAAGATATCAACTTATCCAAACTAGTCCAATTTTGTCCCACCATATGAGTACTGGACACTGTATAACTTAGGGATTACACACTCTTTAATGGGTAGGTAAGAAATAACAGATGAAAATCAAGTTATCTCAGTTATCTTGTAGGGTCCCCCTAGCCCACTGATCCCCAAATACATTTTAAAGTGTGCAGAAGAGGAGTGGGCTTGCACGTACACCCCCAGTCCTGCCAGTGGCATCTCTTCTGCTTCTCAGGGCCATCGATTATTTGGGAAAGGGTTAGTGCCTGAAAACATTTCTTGATTGTCACAGATTTGACCAGCTTCTTAAACTATAGATGAAATGTCTACAAGGAAGAGGGATTGGATGCCTCTTCCTGGCCTGATATCTGTAGTTCTGAGGTATCTATGAATCAATAAATGATTTTGATTAGGATTTATGGAGTGTGTAAGTATCCACAGGCACTGTGGGAGAGGGAGGGGTAATAAGTATGAGTCTCTGGCTTCCAGGGGTGGTTGATTGTGAGAATGCAGGGTCACATGGCAAAGGTGTTGAGAGGTGTGTCTTCCTTTGGGCTTTCCCAGAAGCATCCCTGAGACAAAGATCTCAGTGAAGGTGGTTGATTTGGGAGCTGCTCCCAGGAAAGGGCAGGCAGGGGAGCATGGCAGATCGGGGAGGCAGCCAAGAAAGGTAACATCACCGCTCATCATGGCGGGCAACTGGCGCCCAGTCCTGCTGGCAGTCCTGGGAGCCAGTGTAGAGCAAGCATTTGAAGCTACCCCACCCTTGGGTGTCTAAGCACCAGTCTTATCAGTCATTTATGGAAGGCTGCTCCTGCAGGAAGTTCATTCCTCAGCTCCTGAGCCTACTACCTGGGAAATGAACCTGTGAGCAAGTGCTCAGGCAAAGAAATGCAGGCCCTGGCAGTGGAAGGTGGGCCGGCCCCTGTCCTGAAGTAGCAAGGGGCTACTGAAGTAGCAAGGGGTACTGCCAGCCCCTGCCACAGATGGGTTTTGGAATAGGACAGGCCTGGCTTTGAAAAGAGAATCCACCCCTTCCCTCCCATTATGAGACCTTTGGAAAGCCACCCTCTCAACCCAGCTGCCCAACTGTAGAATGGTTATAATAGTTCCTGCTCAAGTGTTAGGAAGATTAAAGTCCTTGCACCGGTAAAATCTTTATGCACAGTATATCTAAAAACCTATGTATTAAAAGGTGCCGCACTACTTCCGGCCAAATATGGGACCAACTTTAGTGCCCACTAGTGGATGAATGAATAGAGAAAACGTGGTATAGATACACCATGAAATATTATTGAGTCATCAAAAAGGATGAAATCCTGTCACTGCAGCAACATGGATGGAAACGGAGGTCATTATGCTAAGTGAAATAAGCCAAGCACAGAATGACAAATATTGCACATTCTCACTCATATGTGGGCGCTAAGAACGTGGATCTCATAGAGGGGGAGAACAGAACGATGGTTACCAGAGCCTGGGAAGGGGATGGGGTTGGTGGGGATGAAAAGAGGTTGATACATGGGTACAAAAATACAGTTGGAAGGAATGAGACCTAAGTCAGTAGAGTGAATACAGTAAACAATAATCTTCTGTATATTTCAAAGTAGCTGGTAGTGAATAATTCAAATGTTCCCAGCATAGAAAAAGACAAATGTTTAAGGTGATGGATATTTCAATTAAGGGTAATCAATCAGGGGATTTGATTATTATACCTTATATGAATGTATCAAAATATCACATATGTCCTGAAAATATGTATGTCTATTATGTGTCAATAAAAAATAATCTTTAAAAATGTGTGGCACTGATGGTGTATTGTTATTTAAAGAAAGGAGAGGTTGGTGCAGACCAGAGTGGTCAGGGGAGGCTCCTTGTTGGAAATGACATTTAAGCTTGCTGTTAAAAGGGGAGCTCAGGGGCCGGGTGACGGCTCATGCCTATAATGCCAGCACTTTGGGAGGCCAAGACAGGGTTAGTGCTTAAGGCCAGGAATTTGAGACCAGCCTAGACAACATAGCAAGGAGAGGTCAGGGTTGAATAAGCTGCAGATAGAGAAGAAGGAGGGGGAGAAGGGACAGAGAAGGGTCTGTGATAGGGAAGACAAACCCAACTGGCCTAGAGGGAGTGAGTTGTGGGAACGGAGGAACAGGTTAGGGGTGGGGCTGAATCCTGTAGGGCCAAGAGGCTTCCTCCCACTTCCCCCTGAAAGAAGTGGCAGGTGAGCTGGTAGCTGGCCCAGTCTGAGAAGCCAGTCATGGCAGGATTGCCATGCTGGGGAAATGTTCGTGTTCTGTAGCTATCAGCTGTCAGAAGGGATCAGAGATTCCATCTGTGCTGACAACCCAGAACATGGCAGACCTGCTCCTCGTGCCTGAGAAAGATCCTGTAGTAACGGATCCTAAAAAATACAATCCTTCAATCCTCCTTGTACCCACACCCTTTACCAACTTCTCAGCTCCTCAAGCCAAAAAGTGGAGTCTAACTCCCTACTATTGAATCTGGGAGTCTAACTCCCTATTACTGAAGCTGGACTAACCTTGCAACTTGCTTTGGCCAAAAGAATATGGCGGGTGAGACACTGTGACAGTTGTCAACCTGGGGTCCTGCTTGTGCTCTTGAACCCCTGCAACTATCATATGAACAAGCCGGGGCCAGCTTGCTGGAGGATGGGAGACACATAGCCCAGTTGTCTCCATGGCCTGTGTCAGCAGTTAGCCAACCTCCAGATATGTGAGCGAGGACATTCTAGACTAGCCAACACATCAGCTGACCTCAGATCCATGAAAGAACCCAGCCAAGATCAGCCATACCTGGCGCAGACCAGAAAAACCATCTAACTAACCCACACACTCATACACACGAACCAATGTTTTAAGCCACTACATTTTGGGAGTGTTTTGTTATATAGCTAGAGCTAACTGATACAAGTCCCATGTGAAGCCTTAGAGTGTGGAGTATCTCCTGGTATCAAAAAGAACCTCCTATTTTATCTTTTAGAGAGCACCCTGAGTGGTATCCAGGCATACGATAATAGAAGGATCACTACCACTCACATGCAGAAACCAAGCGACTATAGTGGGCATGGGGTGGGGGAAGCAATAAAAGCTAAGCACTGAACAGAGTCACTTTTAAAAAGTGCGACTCTGAGAAGAAGGAGGTAGGACAAAACCGTGACTGAATCTCAGAAGGTGAAACAAGACTTATCGATGGTATGACCAGCTGTAGGTGGCCTGGGTGATTTATTCCTGGAAACCTCGGAAAGAAAGCTGGCTCATGGAGATAAACCTTTAGCAAGTGTGTCTGGAAATAGATACATAAGTTTTGAATGTTTGGTGTTCTACATGAATGTGAATGTTTTATTCCGCACCATGGTTAATTCACTTTAGCCCCAGGAGGCTTTGGGGGTGCTAATACTTTACTAACACCCCCAAAGCCTCCCAGGACTGAGATGAGGGGTGTTTTCTCTGTCTCAAAAGCGGAGAAACTTAACCAAAGAGGTTAACACAGCCATGATGATTTGGCTGGTGATTTCACTCTAAGTCTGTCTGGCACTGAAGCTGTGCCTGCTGTCTGCAGAGCCCCCATTGGTGGTGGGGAGCGGATCTGGTGATTCTGAGATGCTCTTGGGATCTCGAAGGGAGCACTGACCAAGGACAGACAGGCATCACAAGGGATGAGAAAGACTCATTGGAATGGTCATGGAAAGAGGACCATGATGCATTAAGGGGGAAGCAGTTTACTAAAAAAGAATCACTCTACAAATGTTTACTGAGCACCTACTATGTGCCTGGCACAGTTCTAGGTACAACAGAGAACAGGACAGACAAAAACCATCATTCCTTAGGAGCTGACATTCTATGGATGAGGCAGAAAAGAAGGGTTAAATAAAATAAGTATTAATATGAATCATGAAATTGGCACTTTTTTGGCTGAAAGTAGCTGAATAGGGCCGGGTGACGTGGCTCATGCCTGTAATCCCAACATTTTGGGAGGCCAAGGCAGGCGGATCACCTGAGGTTGGGGGTTCAAGACCAGACTGACCAACATGGAGAAACCCCATCTCTACTAAAAATACAAAATTAGCTGGGTGTGGTGGTGCATGCCTGTAATCCCAGCTAGTAGGGAGGCTGAGGCATGAGAATCGCTGGAACCCGGGAGGTGGAGGTTGTGGTGAGCCGAGATCACGCCATTGCACTCTAGCCTGGGCAACAAGACTGAAACTCCACCCCCCAAAAAAAGGAAAATAGCTGAATATAGGCAATTTCATATGGTTCAACATGATACTATGTTAGTTTCATGATGGGTGCTATGAGGAAAATAAAGCAAAGAAAGAGGTCAAGAAGGCTAAGGAGAGTGGGGATTTTAAGTAGAGTAGTCACAGAAGGCCTCACTGCAAGGACTAATTACAGTCAAGTAAGCAGTGAGGCTGAGAGCAGTGGGGTAGCTGGGAGAAGACCATACCAGGCTAAGGGAGCAGCTCACACGAAGGCTCTGGGGTGGGATGGGCCCAAGGAGGGGAGTGAACCAGTTGAAGAGAAAATGGGTGGGATCAGATTGCATGGGGCCTTGAGGGTCATTGACAAGACATTGGCTTTTACTCCAGCTGAGCCTGAAATCCACTGGAGGGCCACAAGGTCAGACACACATTTTTGAAGTATCACTCTATGGTGTTTAGAACACTCTGGAGGAGCAAGCATGAGAAGAGAGACCAGTTAGGAGGCTACAGCATGAACCCAGGGCAGAGGTGAGGGTGGGTTAGGCCAGGATGAGAGTGATGTCCTGGTGAAAGTGATCAGATTCTGCATCTATTTTGAAGGTAGGGCCCCTGGAGTGAGTGTAGGAAGAAAAAAGTAGAGGTCAAGGCCTGAGCCCTGCACATACCAATGTTTAGAAGGCAGAGAGATGACCGAGGAGGAGCGGGGGTTCCTAAATGCCGTGCGAAGAAGGTGTTTCCAGGAGGAGGGAGTGAGCAACTGTGTCAAATGCTACCGATGGGTCAGATGAGGGGAGAACTAAGAATCGATGAAGGACAGTGTTTTTGGATGCTCTGCAAAAGATCCCGGGGTGGGGGCAGGGGGAATGAGGGGGGAACTTTGGGGATACGGGAGAGAGAGGGAAGAGCTGCTGCAGCGTGTCCTTGAGTAGACAATAGGTTTGGGATCCAAACAGAAGGAAAGACTGGCCTTGGCTAGGAGGACACCCACAGTGGGCCATAGGAGGGAAGGCAGAGCAGGCAGCCCTGATGCAGAGAAGAAGGTGTTGTGGTAGTGGGAGTTTAAGGAATTTCTCTTCTGGTGGCTTCTGTTTTCTCAGTGCAACAGGAAGCAAGATGGCAGGCTATGAATGAGAATGGGGAGTAAAGATGAAGTGTGAGCTAGTTGTCTAGGACAGTGGAAAGGTGGATACATTTTTATAAAGAGAAGGTATAACAATATAGACATATATATATATACTATAACAGTATAGGATAAACAATATAGATTAGCCAAGTAGATAGATGATAGATTAGATAGATAGATAGATAGATAGATAGATAGATAGATAGATAGATGATAGATATAGATGGATTGGATGATGGATAGATAGATAGAGATCCATTATCCATAGCATAGATCCTGGCTATTCTATGATACATGCATAGAAAAAACTGTGGAAAGAGAGATGCTGAACTGCCAGCAGTGGTTATCCTTGAGGGATGTGATTAAAAGGCCCTTTCACGCTCCACTCTATGCAGTAGTCCAGCATTTAAATTTTTGCACTAAGTATTACTTTTACAAATCAGAAAAAAGCAAGACAGACATTTCCATTTTGGAACACAAAGCATTAGAGCTGTAGAGAGCAGGGGGACGAGGTCCTGGGACAGCATTCTGTGGGCTCACACCCATCCTTCTCCCTCTGTGTCGCTGTCTCGCATCAGGAGCTCTCTTTCTAAGCCGAAGACAGCGCCTCCTACATTTCTCTGTCTTGGAGATTTTTGGATCTCCTTACACCTTCCAATTTTAATTCTCTGGTTACTTTTCCAAGGCCAAGGTCACCTTGGCGAAATGCAGGGTGGCTGTCTTTCTTTCTTGACTCATTTCTTTGTGCCTGTTTCTAGCAGATTCTTCAAAGCTGTGCACTGGTGCCCCCTTGATAGTAAAGTCTCTGTTTTATTTTAAGGATAATCTTTAACTGCACAAACTATGCTGCTTTAGTGCTTGGCCTGGTGATTGATTCTTCTTGGACCAGATTGAGAAGCCACTGTAGCCAGGGCACTGGGCAGAGAGTTAGAGGGCCGGATAATGCCATTAAGTGGGTGGGGGGCCAATGACAAAACACTTAGTTTGTCTGAGTTGCTGTTTCTTGGACTGTTAAATGAGAAAAGTAACTGATTTTCTTACCTCCTAGCTTTGTTTTGAAGAAAGCTCAAAAGTAGACATGAAGGCATTTTAAATAGAAAAGGAGGTGAGGTGGCCGAGTCCGGTGGCTCACACCTGTAATCCCAGCATTTTGAGAGGCTGAGGTGGGTAGATCACAAGGTCAGGAGTTCGAGACCAGCCTGGCCAACATGGTGAAACCCCATCTCTACCAAAAAGACAAAAATTAGCCAGGCATGGTGGGGCGTGCCCGTGATCCCAGCTATTCAGGAGGCTGAGGCAGGAGAATTGCTTGAACCCAGGAGGAAGAGGTTGCAGTGAGCCAAGATCACACCACCACACTCCAGCCTGGGTGACAGAGCAAGACTCCATCTCAAAACAAAACAAAACAACAACAAAAAAAAGCAAAGGAAGTGAGGTGCTGTGCAGCAATGGAACATGCAGTTATTGATATATTTTACTTTGGACAGCAGCTGCAGATGACTAACATTGGTGGCAGCTCCTCAGACCTCACCGTCTGTGTGCATGAGTCAGTGCAGGCTACGCTGTGCTGTGATAGCAACAACCACCCCCAGGAGCTCAGTGGCTTAGGACAGCAAAGCTGTCTATCTCATGCCCATTCCGTGCCCATCTCAGGTCTGCTGGGACAGCTCTGTGTTGTCCTGTCTCCACAACCTGAGCTGACACAGCAACCTCATCTTGAATGTATGCAGGATACTTCAGCAGAAAGAAGTGTCTCACACTAGCCATTAAATGCTCTGGCTCAGAAGTGACATGTCACTTTCACTAACAAACGGCTGGTCAGCACCAGTCACATGGCCCCACCCAGCCCCAAGGGGACCAGGTAGTGCTGTCTGCTGGGAGAGGAGAGAATGGAAAATTGGGGTGAACATCACAAATCACTACCATGTGAACCTATCTTGGGAGTGGGGGTGAGAGTCACAGGAAGTCCCCGAGAAGGCTCTGTTATAGGCAATGTTTGCCCCTTTTTTGTCTTTTTACAGATTTACAATGACTGAGTTTCTTAACCAATGTGCGTGGGTACGATGAATAAATCGTGGATTTACATTGTGAAAACTTTGGAAAATATAGGGGAATGTATAGAAGAAAATGAATAAGTTAGGAAATAAACCCTATCATCTAATATTTTATCGGATTTCTTTCCAGTCTTTTTTCAATTGCCTATAGGTACATTTTTAAATAATAGCTTTATTTCAATAAAATTTGTATACCATAAAATTTGTTCTTTTAAAGTGTACAACTTGGTGGTTTTCAGTATATTCACAGAGTTGATACAACTCTCGCCACTATTTGATTTTAGAATATTTTCATCACCCCAAAAAGGTATCCCCCTAGCAGTTGCTCCCCTCCCCCAGCCCAACCCAGCCCCTGGCGATCACAAATGGACTTTGTGTTTCTATGGATTTGCCTGTTCTGGACCTTTCATGTAAATAGAATCACATGCTGTGTAGTCTTTTGTGACTGGCTTCTTTCACTTAGCATCATGTTTTCAAGGCAAATCAATGTCACATGTATGCTGTATATTTTCAAAAGCAAATTGAGAGGCTGGGCGCAGTGGCTCATGCCTGTAATCTCAACACTTGGGAGGCCAAGGCGGGCAGATCACCTGAAGCTAGGAGTTCGAGACCAGCCTGGCTAACATGGTGAAATCCTGTCTCTACTAAAAAATGCAAAAAAATTTAGCTGGGCATGGTGGCGCATGCCTGTAATTCGAGCTACTTAGGAGGCTGAGGCAGAAGAATCGCTTGAACCCAGGAGGCAGATGATGCAGTGAGCCAAGATCACGCCACTGCACTCCAGCCTGGGGGACAGAGAGACGTCTCAAAAAAATAATTTAATAAATAAATAAAATTTTAAAATTTTAAAAATGATCTTATCAAACATAAGTTATCCTGTTTCTTTCATTTGTATGCTTTAAACATTTTCCCTCATCATTAAATCTTTTTGGAAAAATGGCTGTTTTTTTTTTTTTTTTTTTTTTTTTTAAGATGGAGTCTCGCTCTGTCGCCCAGGCTGGAGTGCAGTGGCCCTATCTCGGCTCACTGCAACTTCTGCCTCCCAGGTTCAAGTGATTCTCCTGCCCCAGCTTCCCGAGTAGCTGGGACTTCAGGCGCACACCACCACACCAGGCTTATTTTTGTATTTTTAGTATAGACGGGGTTTCACCATGTTGGCCAGGCTGGTCTCGAACTCCTGACCTCAGATGTTCTGCCCACCTTGGCCTCCCAAAGTACTGGGATTACAGGCGTGAGCCACCTCACCCAGCCTGAAAAATGGTTTTTAACGGCTATGTGTATAACAATCCATCAAATTTGTGTCCAATAATGTGTTGATTTGTGCCTTCTCTTTTTGACTTTTTGGCTTTCAGTTTTTTCACCATTACAATCAAAGCTTTTATGAGCAGCTATATACGTATTTTTTAAAAAATGAATGAGTGAATTCTAAAACAGAAATCTTTGCAATATTTTCCATTCTTCTTTTAAGGAAGATGCCTAAGAATGCATTTAACTGAATAAGAAGGCAGAAACATTTTTAAGACTTTTGATTCTTACTGCAGCTGGTTTTTCTAGTCACCAACCTGGGGACTGGCTTCATGTTAGTCTGATGACATCCTACCCCATCTCAGAGTAAAACCAAATTTCTTAAGATGGTCTGGAAGACCCTGCACAATCTGGACCTATTCCTTCTCTCATCTCCTCTCCACCCTGGCCATACCGGCCCCTTGTTGGTCCTTAAACACACCAGAGCCGCTTGTTGGCAGAGAGGCCTCCCAGCCTCTGCACGGCTCCTCCTGTGCCTGGAGCAGCCTTCCCCAGCCTCCACCCAGCTCACTCACCCTTTAAGACTCTGCTTACACTTTCGCAGGAGGCCCTCTCATTAAAAACACCGCCCCTATCTCCTCTACCAGCTTTATAAAATGTTTTTTCTTCACAGTAGCCCTTATCATCTTCTAATATAATTTTAAAATGTACTTATTTTATTATGTCAACCCATTCAAATTAATCACTAGGGCCTGGCCCTGTGCCTAGTATGAGTAGGCATGCAATAAGTAAGTGTTGAATCAAGCCAATGGCCAGCACTGAGAGCTGGGGGCCTCTACTGCCCAGCCATCCGACCCTCTTCCCCGGCCATCAGTGGGAGCTCTGGTGTTCTACTAAGTCCCCGTCAGCTGTTCCTTCTTGACTCAGCTCTGGAGCAAACTAGAAAGACAACTGCCTCAAGGGTTGTTTGTTCTGCCTTGTGGTGAAACCTGGAAGAGGTTGACCCTGAGAGAAAAATTCGCTCGTGACTGGGGTGAGCAAAGGTTTGTTTCTGGGAGGCGTGCAAAGCTTCCCAGGGCTCACACAGGGTGGAGCCCTCCAGGGACCCCCAGTGGCCCACCCAACTTCCAGACCCTGACTGCCCATGGGACAGACTCAGGTGCTGTGACCTCACCAGGACCTGCCAGGGATCAAACTCTCATGCCCAAACAAGGACGGCAGCCCCCTGGTGCTCCTGAAAGCAGGCAGTTTCCTGAACAGCCACAATGTGACCCAAGCGATGGGGCGGGAGAGGAAGAACCCACGGGAAGCAGGGAAATCCCTTGGCTGGCTGAGTCCGGCAAAGCCGCGGGGACCTCTCGGGAACCTCCCCATTGTGTAACACTTCCGGCCAGTCTCCTTAGGCTTCCAGGGCAGGCACAGGATCAAAATTCCCAAACCTAATACAGTTATGTTTTTAAAGTGTCCATAAGTCAATGGACAAACAATGCCCCATAATTAATGGCCTCAGGGTTGGGCCCTCAGCAAAGGAAGCAAAATCAGAGCTGCTCGGGGTCACCCACAGGCAAGCAGGCCCCTCCTTAGACCAAAGGGCTTCTCTCTCACTCCCCATAAGGATGTTGTCCACCCAGGCCCCTGGGGGCCCAGCCACTACTGAGGTTACCCACTCCTGGCTCAGAACATTCTGGAATTCCTCCTTTGGAATGGCCACTAGAGCCCCAAGTGGTTCTCTATACTATTCTCAACATGGTGACGACCCATTTGATCCATTCTCAACAAGTCTTCTGAAGATCCATTTGAGTGACTGAGTTATGGAATATGGTCTCTTACAAAACTCTGTTGAAGTGTAATACCCACAGAAAGATGCACAAATTATTGGCGAACAGTGTGATGAATTTTCAGAAGTGACCACAGCCACTTAACTACCACCCAGGTAAAGAACAGGACATTACTGGCAGGCCCCTCGGGCCCCGTCTCAGACGGGTCCACTTTCCCACAGCTGACATCTAGCAGCAGAGAGCGTTTAGTCTATTTATGAACTTTATATAAATGGATGTGTAAAATATGTGCAGTTCTGTGTCTGGCTCCTTTCCATGTTATGTTGGTGTGATTCATCCATGATATTGTGTGCAGTAATAATTCATTCTTTCTCGTGGCTGTATAGTATTCCATTGTATGAATAGACTACTCATTGGCTATGACAGATAGTGCTGCTAAGCATATTCTTGTACGTGTCTTTTGGTAAACACATGCTCTCGTTTCTCTTGGGTGTACTTCAAAGTGGGATTGCTGAGTAACAAAGCATATGTATGTTAATTTCATTGGACACTGCCAAACAGATGCCCAACATGGTTGGACCAATTTATACTCCTGCCAGCCATGTACGGGAAGTCTGCTTGCCCCAAATCCTTATCGACACTGGGTGGGTCAGTCTTTTTAGTCTTATCAATTCTGGGGGAGGTGTAGTAGCATTAAATTTTTCAGGATTTTTAAAGTTAAATTTTAATTTTTTTAGAGGCAGAGTCTTGCTCTGTGACCCCAGGCTCAGTGATGCAATCATGGCTCACTGCAGCTTCAAACTCCTGGGCTCAAGTGATCCTTCCGCCTCAGCCTCCGGAGCAGCCGGGATTATAGGTGTGTGCCACCATACCCACATTTTTCAGTTTTAATTTGCATTTAGAAATATGGTCTTCATTGTTAAAAATCTTAACGTGTGGCTGTAAAAGACGGAAAGGGACATCCGCATTGTAACTAAAAGGCTGGTGGGACAGTCGCTTGCTGCCTGCAGAGTCCATTGAATAAGAGCGAGGTCCGCTATAAAGAAATTGATTTATTTTCAAAGCTAGCTTACGGGAAGAAGCACTGGTGTCCACCTTGCCTTTGAATGTATCACTTCATTTTTGGAACAGAAAGTGGGCACTTTTAAAAGGCAGGGGAGGGGCTGGGCATGGTGGCTCACACCTGTAATCCCAGAGCTTTGGAATGCTGAGGCAGGCGGATTGCTTGAGCTCAGGAGTTTGAGACCAGCCTGGGCAACATCATGAAACCCCATCTCTACAAAAAATACAAAAAATTAGCCGAGTGCGGTGGTGTGCACTTGTAGTCCCAGCTATTTGCGAGGTTGAGGTTGCAAGATTGCTTGAGCCTAGGAGGTGGAGATTGCAGTAAGTGGAGATCGCACCAGGGCACTCCAGCCTGGGTGACAGAGTGAGAACCTGTCTGCCAAAAAAAAAAAAAAAAAAAAAATTTGTTTTAAAGGCAGAGGAGGAAGCAGGCAAGGTGAGGGGTCCGAGTGTTAGCTTGGTGTCTAGGTGGTTGAGCTGGTGGTGGTACCAGGTGGTTGAGCTGGTCACTGCTGGTGCCCTAATGGGCAGGCTGTTCTCTTTTGAGGCAACCTCCTGGAGGGTGAGAGTTTCTTAAGGGGCATGCTTTGGTTTGTAAATTGACTGTTAACTCTCAAGAGTTCTGTCTTGGAGCATGTAGATGAATTTGCCCTGTAGGGAGTCTGGTGAAGGGGAGGAAAAAGGATATATTTGCATTTCTAAACGGCTAAGTAGGAAGTGGGGAACCAGGGGAATGAGAAAAGACATAGAAAAAAATACTTAAGCCATCTCTTAGAAAAATGGGGGTACTTACTTACAATGTTGGGTTTGTAATGGGGCTGTGAAGATAGCCCCAGTACCTGGAATCGGGGCAGCACTATGCCAGTAAGTGCCCAATGGGTCCACTCACCTGGGAGCAGAAGGTCTGATATCACTACTAATACATCAGTCCTGTACCATGTAAGCTTGCTTCAAAAATTCCAATCATCCAGGGGCTTTCAGAGACTTACAAAAAAAGGACAATTCTGAGGTCTGTTGAAGTTCCCTTTGCCAGGATTTGCAGACACTTGGGCTGCAGAATGCAGTGCCTCTCCAGGGGCTGGGGACTGGGGAGGGACCATGGAGTACTCTGTTCATGCAGGCACTCAGAATCCCCAGAAATAGTCTCTCACACTACGTATCTCTCCCTCAACCTCAAGAATCTGGGGTGCCCATGGAGAGAAGCTTGGCCCCTGTTCCAAAAAGTCTGTGTGATGGTGAGGGTGCTGCCTCCCCAGGAAGGTCTCAAGGCACTGTCCTAATATCCCAGGCAGGCCATGGAGGATGAAGGGGTGACAAGTGACAGCCCCTTTTTGGGAAATTACCAATAGCTCAGCGCAGAAGTGATTATGTTTGTCAACCCTAAAGTTGTAGTCTCCCCTCCTGTCCCACCCATGTCCTGTTCAACATTAGTCCTGTCCACACCAACTCCAGAATGTACCGACCATCTTCCCACCTCCATAGCTCATGCCACACACTACTTCTAGTTGGAAGAGGACAACTTTTCTCCACCAGCCCTGTTTCCACACCTTCCCTTCTACTCCCCTCCCTACCCTAGGCCTTTGGTCCGCTGCCCAGCAGCCAGAAGAATTATTTAAAAACCAAATTAGATGATGCAGTCACATCTTTAAAACTGCAACACCCTTTCATTGCACTTGGAGTAAAATTCAAGCTCTCTGAGGCTTCACTGGGTCCCATGTGACCTGTGCCTGTCTCTTTCTCAGACCTCGTCTTGTACGCCTGCCCCCTTATCTTCAAGACTTCTTTCTGATCCTTGAGGTAGACCAGTTAATTCCTGCCTCAGGGTCTTTGCACATTCTGTTCTCTCCACCTGCAATGCCTTTTCCACTGGTATCTGCATAAAGTTCAAATGTTGTCTCTTCAAAAAGGCCCTTCCTGACCACTCAACCTCCAGTCGTCTCCTCCTCTGGCTACTCTGTCATATCGCCCTCTTTATTCTCTTCATGGTGCTTATCACCCTCTAAAAAGATCTTGATTTGCTTCCAAAATGTCTGTATCCCCATCTCCAGAATGTAAGGTGGTATATCCCCAGCACCCTTAAGTGCGGCAAGCATTCTGCAGGAAACCCGTAGGTATTTGCTGGATGAATTCTAACATGCTTCCATTAGCGGCAGGGGCTCATCCTATGGGTCTCCTCCCTTTCTCTGGTTCCAACAACTTGTGGTTGAATCGGTACCATGGCTCACAAGCCACTAGCTTTTCCTACCTCAGCTATAGCAGTACCAGGAAGGTGAGCTGTCCCTACTCACATATTTGGGCAGCAAATTGAGAGGATCTGCTCCACTCCTGCAGAGTGTGTCTGTGTCCATCACAGAGCTGAACCGCCTTTGTGTTGATATAAGCAAACTGAGGCACACACACTTTTTTTTTTAAATTGAGTACCTACGTGCCAGGCACAGTGCTAAGCACCAGAGTTAAAGAGAGAAAGTTCACAATCCCTATCCTGAAGATGCTCACAGTTTAGGGTTGGGGAAGAAAAATAACCAGACAAGGGCAATGCTACTGGGTTCAGAGGTTGCAAACATGAGTGTCTGTGGGAACCAGGCAGGTGCTGTGTCCCCTCACCCATCTCGGGTCTCGCCGGTGATGCAGTGAACACCCTCAGGTGCACTGCAGCTCTCCACTTCTCTAAGGGTTTGCTGTGTTTGCACACTGGGCAAGCTGAGAGGACCAGGGATGGATCACCCCAGGGGTGGCCTGCAGCCAACAAGAGATGGCAGCTGGCGATAAATACCCCAGCCGCCCCACCCCTAGTGGGACCATTCTGAGGCATGTTCTATGATGTTTCTCAGAGGTGCCCAGTAGCATTGAGCCCCACTTGCCTATGGGATAACTGGTCCATTAGCACCCTATGTATGGGCTTTCTCTCCTCCCTGTCTCACTTCTCCAACCCCTCCCTTGTGCTTCCTGGATTCACCTCCCAAATAAACTACTTGCACCCAAGTTCTCATCTCAGGGTCTGGTTTGGGAGGAATTCACACTAAGGCAGTGTGAAGCAGCTGGGTGTCATACAATAGGGAATGGTGGGGACTGTGGTGAACTTCTGTGCTCCCTAAAAGGTAGCAGCTGACACTCAGCTCCTGGCTGGTGGTGGCCAGGTTGCCATCTCCTTCAGTTTTTCAAGAGTTGCATCCAGATTTTCACGTGGTATCTCTCAACTTTTTAATGTCATAATAAATTCAAAATAAATTTAAAATACTATACAGGGCAAAGAAAGCACATCAATAGCATAATCTGCCATGTAGACCATAAATTTGCTGCCCCTGGTGAGCTCAATCAAGATGTGTAGAGGCATCATGGTGACTCCAACCCAGACTTACCCAGCAAGAGAGTAGGCAGGGGAAGCTTCCTGAAGGGTGTGATCTTTGAGTGGGGTCTTGAGAAGGAGAGAGATAGGGGAAGAAGATGGGAAAGGGCAGGAAGGGAACATAGGCAGGGAAGAGAAAATGGCATGAGCAACATGTGGAGAATTAAAAAGGGGGTCGGAGCTCTGAGGGATGAGGAAAGAGACCATGGATTGTCCAGAAAGATGAGAGAGATGAGTAACAGTCCACTAGATGCCAGGCATGGTATTAAGCGCTTACGTGCATTTTTCATTGCATCTTCCTAACAGGAGTTGAAATTATTATTGTTCACTTTACATACAGAAAAACTGAGACATAGAGAGGTTATTTGCTCAAGGTCACACAGTCAGTCAATGGAGGAACCTGGGCTGGATCAGAGCCTTCTTATGCTTAGGTGGAATGGGGCCAGATCATTCAACACCTCACGTATTACTCTCAGATCTTTACATTTTATTCCAACCATGGTGGGGAGACCCTGGAGAATTTAAGCAGGGAGGGTAATGTCACTATGACCACAGCAGGGGGAAGGCAGAGGGTAGGAGGCAGAATTGGGGGCGATTGCATGAATCAAGGTCAGAAATGATGGAGTCTCAGCTAAGTCAGTGTTGGGGCATGAAATCAAGGAGAGAGATTCAGGTGCAGAGGACACTAATGTGTTCTATTTTGGACACGTCGAGCTGGAGGTATCTCTGCAGCATCTCAGGGTCAACTCTCTGTAAGCAGATGGTTCTATGGGTCTGGAAGGCAGGAAGAGACTCGGAGTCATTAGGACACAGGCAGAAGACATGGCTGTGGGTGATGTTTCCATCAAGGAAGGTGGGAAACGGAAAGTTGCTGAGACAGAATCCTGGGGAGCTGCAAGGTTTCAGGGTGAAAGGATGTAGAAGAATGCACAAAGAACACCAAAAAGTAACAGCCAGAGAAGCAGAAGGGGACCAGAAGAGAGCAGTTCCATGGGCCACTGAGACAGGAGAGTTCCCAAAAGGCAGCATCAAATTCTTCCAAGATCAAGCAAGAAAATGGCTGAAAGTGTCCATGAGATTTGGCAACAAGGAAGCCATTGGTGACCTTAGCAAGGGTTACTTCAGTGGGGACAGAGGCAGATTGGGGTGAGGTAAGGAGTGAACAGGATGCGGGGGTGTGGAGACGGTGAGAGTAGAAATGATTCTACAGGCCGCCTCACCCAGGGAGAGACCTAGGCAGGCTCCAAGGCCGTTCAGCCTTCAGTTCACTTGTGCAATGCTGCATGTGCAATGGGTATTTAAAAACGTGTATTTCTGCTTTCTAATTCCAGTAGGTAAACAAAAAGAAAAGAAAAGAAAAGAAAATTTGTGTTTGTGCGTCAGCACTTCCTCTGCTTGGCTAAGTTTTGGGAGAACACCTTCTCTCCTTCTTTTACTCTTCTTTGACTTTCTCTCTCTTGGAAAGTGCTTACACCTGCTTAAGAAGTGAGTGTCCGCTCTTGATCCCTTTGAGTCCTTAGATGATTTTAAACCTTCATTAGAGATGAGGGGGGTGGGCAGGACCCGTATCTTTCTGCTTCTCCCTTCAGGTAAGTAATCTAGAGTGGCACATGCGCACTGATCATCAGTACCCACCTGCCAGAGTCACGGAGCCTTGCCATCCTCCATTGTAGACTGCGTCACGAGGTTGGCAGGACACCTCCACATCCAGCCTGGGAGAGGCCGCTGCCACCTGCTGCACTGCTCATGCCTGACCCAGCAGCCGCTGTCATTGGCTTGAAGAAGGAAGCTAAGGTGTTAGAAAATGTAATGCAGTGATTCCTGTCATTTGCTGTTTTGCTCATGAGTGCGGGAAAAACAAGAAGTAGAGCCGATGACAGGTGGGACCCTCTAATCGGGCTGGTATAGGGGGAAGGTGGATTTATCTAAGTCCATCCTTTTAGGATAGTCCTCAGTACTTCAGTAGCTGACACTTGAAACCAATTATCTAGGGATATCTTCATACAGATTCATTCATTCCATTCATTCCTCCAACAAATCTTTGTTGAGATCTATTGCAGACTTTCTTCAGTGGCTACAAATTATTTGACGGTCTTCCCATAAGTAACTGAGGTATAGATTCCCTAGTAACTACTGTGGCCAGCAGAGGATTGTGGATGTTCTGCTTTGTGTCCAGGGCTACACAGCTTTAGCCTAGTTCCCTGAGAGGTTATGCTACCTTGTAAGCCATCTGACTGTCCTGAGGTTGTCAGGCTGGGGCCGCCTACAGGTCCCAGTCCACATTCCCAACTGATCCCAGTGTCTCAACCATTCCAGCCCAGGGCCCAGCCAAGAGAGGGAGGTAGACTTCTTGGAAGTAGACCCTCCAGTCCCAGCTCTTCAAGTCACCCCCAGCCAGTCCAGTTTTCATGAGGTCTCAGACATCATGAAACAGAAACATGCTATTCCTCCTGGGCCCTGCCTGAATCTGCAGGCATAATAAAATGCTTGTTGTTTTAGGCCTCTACGTTTGAAAAGGCCATTATGCATAATAGATGGCTGAAATAAGAACCTACTGTCATTAGGTGCTACTCCAGGCCCTGCAGATAAGCAATAAGCAAGGTAGCACAGTCCCTCCCTATGTGGGGCTAACACTCTCACTGGGGAAGACAGATAATGAAAACAAACATGGAAGCAGTGACTCAATGCTTTAGAAAAATAAAACCAGGGACCATGAGAGTGACTGTTGGACAATCTTGGGGAGTGGTAGAATCAAGGAAGGTCTATCTCAGGAGGTGATATTTGGGCTGAAACCTTAATAAGAACAGGAGGATCAGACAGAACAGCAAGAACGAAGGTGCTAAGGACGCTGGAGGAGCGGACAGCAGTTGGGGAAAGTGGAGAGTGGTGAGGAAGGGCCTGAGTGAAATGAGATGAAGCTGGAGAGGCAGGTGGGATACCCTGCAGGGCCTGTGGGCCAGGCAAGGAGGCCTGTACTTTAAAGAGATGGCCCTGGCTGATGTGTGGGGGATGAGTGAGGGTGGAAGCGGGGACACTGGTAAGGAGCCTCATGTGGTAATCCAGGTCACAGACAGTGGTGGCTGGGACGAGAAGGTCATAGTGGAGACAGGAAAAAGATGAAGTGACACTGTGTGTTCAGGTGGAGCTGACAGCTCTCATGAATGGATTGACTGCAGAAAGCAAGAGATGGAGAAGAATCAAGGACAGCTCCTAGGTTTTCCTATGTCTAATAATTTTGGATTGTATTCTAGGCATTGTGGATGCTATTTTGCAGTGACTCTGGATTCTATTATATTTCTGAAGAGCACTGATACTTGTTTGTCTGCTTACTTGTTTTATAAAGCCATAAACTTGGCTCTCTCTACTCCAGCTGCCAACCCTCCCTCTCAGTCAGCAAGTTGAACCTCAGCTCAGTTCTTTTAGTCTTGGCTGGGCTATTGGAAGTCTTGCACACACGTACACAGTTGAGGGATCAGCCAGAGATTTGGACAGAGAAAACACACAGAATTCAGGGCTTCTCCTCACTGGTCCTCACCTTTCTGGGGCTCACCTCTCACTTTCTAGCAGCTGTCATTGCCCAGACTCTAACTTTTGACTCTCCAAGCCAGAAAGATGGCAGGTTTTCTTTTTTCTTTTCTTTTTTTTTTTGGAGATGGAGTTTTGTTCTTGTTGCTCAGGCTGGAAAGCAATGGCGCAGTCTTGGCTCACTGCAAACTCCGTCTCCTGCCTCAGCCTCCCAAGTAGCTGGGATTACAAGTGCTCACCACCACACCCGGCTAATTTTCAAATTTTTAGTAGAGACGGGGTTTCGCCATGTTGGCCAGGCTGGTCTTGAACTCCTGACCTCAAGTGGTCTGCTGCCCTCAGCATCTCAAAGTACTGGGATTACAGACATGAGCCACTGAGCCCAGCCGACGGCAGGTTTTCTACTGGAATTTTAACCACCCTGCATAGTTCAGGCCGAGAACCGCTTTCAGGCTAAAAGTCATAAAAACAAAATAGCAACCTCTTTCTATGCCATTCCTTTCTTCCAAGTGCAGAGCCTCCTCCTGTTTCTGCCTGCTTTTGTTCACTCTGTAATGCCTTTGGGCAGTTGTTATTTTTATTTTGAGATAATTACATAATCACATGCAATTGTAAGAAATAATACAGAGATACTCCCTGTACTGTTTACTCAGTTTCGCCCAGTGGCAACATCTTGCCAAACTATAGTACAACATCACCACAGGATACTGACACTGACATAGTCCAGATACAGAACACTTCCATCTCCACAGGGACCCCTCATGTTGCCCTTATACAGCCACACCCACTTTCCTCCCACATTACTTTTCCTTTAACTCCTTGTAACCACTAATATGTTATCCATTTCTAAAATTTTATTATTTCAAAAATGTTATATAAATGGAATCATACAGTATGTAACCTTTTGGGGAATTTTTGTTGTTGCTTTTTTCTTAGCATGATTTCCTGGAGATTCATTGAAGTTGCATGTATCAATGGTTCTTTCCTTTATTTCATGGTGTGGATGTGCCACAGTTTAACCATTCACTGGATGAAGTCCCTCTGGGCTGATTTCAGCTTTTGGCTACTATAAACGAAGCTGCTATGAACATTCATGTCCAGGTTTTTGGGTGAGCATAAGTTTTCATTTCTCTGGAATAAATACCTAGGAGTGCAATTGCTGAGTCACATGGTAGTTGAACGTTTGGTTTTTTAAAGAAATTGCCAAATTATTTTCCAGAGTGGTTGTACCATTGTAAAGACCACCAATCATGAATGAGTGATCCAGTTTCTTGCATCCTCACCAGCATTTGGTGTTTGTCACTAATTTCTGTTTTAGCCTTTCTGATAGGTGTGTAATGATATCTTCTCATGACTTTAATTTGCATTTGTCTAATAGCTAAAAATATTGAGCATTTTTTCATGTGCTCATTTGCCATCTGTATATCCTCTTTGTTTAAGTGTCTGTTAGTTTCTGAGCTTTGTTTTTGTAAAGGAAAACAACATATACAATTCTAATAGATATGTATCCTACAAACCTTCACATTTGTAGTCTGTCTGTCTTCTTCCAGTGAGGCTGCCACAGTCAGGACATTTTGCCCTAGGGTTCAGGAGATGATTGTGAGTCTAAATCACCCTCAGGTCAGTGAGGATGGCCAGGAAGAGAGGAAGGAGCAGGAAGACTTTCTCGTGTCCTTAAGCAGAGGCCTGCGGATAAGATTTATCCTCTCTCTCTCTCTCTCTCTCTCTCTCTCTATGCCATTCCTCATTTTCTGATGGTAAACAGAAGCTCCCAGCCCAGTTGCCGGTTCCCATCCCTTCAATATCTTCCTTGGGCATCCTTTCCCACAGCCCCTCTCAAAGTCACAAAAGCTGACCCCATTGTATTGCACATAGTAGATTATCCATAAATATTTGGGTTTGGTGGATAGAGTTTAGTTGGAATTCCTGGTGTGGTATCACAGAAATCCAGTTGGAGATTGCCTGGTCCAGAGGCAGAATCTGTCAGAAAGAGTCATTTCTGAGATATATTAAGTCAGTGTGGGAAGGACAGGAGCAAGCCTTGGTCTCAGGCAGCTGGAATCTGCAATCCAACCCAGCCACTACTCTCTCTGTTTCTCATCTCTGTCCTCTGCTCATCAGCTTTTATGCTCTGTGACTGCAGATTGCTAATTCCACAATGCAAGGAACATGGTGCCACCAGCCCTGGAGCCTCCCAGAAAGAGGGCCCGACCCTGTTCCAGTATTTAAAGTCCTGGGGAGAGCAAGGACAGGCTCAGTAGTGGCAAAGGGGTGAGGCAACACGATGGACAGTTTATCAAATTGTGGGAGTGGGAGAGCAAGAGGTCCTCAAAGTGGGCAGGCCTTGCAGACTCAACCATACCTGTTTGCTCCGAGTTTACTGCAAACATTGAAGGTTCCAGTGAGACCCTTGGAAGGCACATGAAGCTCACTCTCCCAATCTGGAAAGTCTCCTTGACTCCAGCCCAAATCTTACCCAAGTTTCGAGGGGCCATTCAGGTCAGCCTCCTCTGTGACCTCCTTCCTGGGGTCTAACTCTCCATGACGTTCTCTGTGAGTCAGAATAACACTATCTGCTGTAACAAAGAAGCCCCTCCCTTGCAGTGGGTTAACACAATACAAGTATTTTCCTGACTCACTTAAAAGTCTAATGTGTGTGTTTGAAGTTAATCTGGGGATGGAAATTCTCCTCTGATCTTGTGGCTCCACATTTCCCCATTTCAGAGTCTTCTGCATTTAGCCAGGAAAATGGGGAAAGATAGTGGAGAAGACCCTTTCTTAACCACCTCACTCCCATTCACATTCTAGTGGTGGGAGCGGGTCACATGGCCATGCAGGGTGCAAGGTGTGATGGGAAATGTAGTTCCTGGTGCACAACTGCTTCCCAGCCATGATGTTATACCACATAAGGAGGGATGTATGTTTTGGTGGACTGTTGGCTGACTTGCCACCTCACCTCCTGCCCACACAGTCAGCTATTCATGGACGAGTGCCTCGACCTCTGTCCCTGCTTGCTAGTCTCAGTGTCCAAGACACCTGAGTCTTTGCCTCTTGTTACACCCAGAGACCCAGCAGGCCAATGGATTCCAGAAAGAAGATGATTGGCTTAACCCAATACCTTTTAAAAACCAAATTGGCAAGCTACGGCCTGCAGGCCAGCTGCTTATTTTTGTAAATTAGGATTTATTGGAACCAGGGCAAGGATGAGGGTGAGGTGAGTGAGGCAGGATTAGGCCAGTGCAGGATCCAATCCCATCTTTATTTAAAATTTTAACATTTTGCTCATTATGGATTATTTTTTGCATTCATTTTGATTTTTTAAAATATTACTAAAAATGTTATTTATCTTGATTACCAAGTTTCTTGGCGCCCCCTTCAATGCTGCACCAAGGCCTCTTGCCTTACCCAGCCCTGGCTTCACCCTCCCATCACGGTTTCCTACTCTGAATGCCTGGCATTTGGAAATGTGCCCAGCTCTGTCTGAGTGAGGCTGGTGCGGTAAAAAGAGGTTGCTGCTTTATAAGCAAGAGGAGAGCACAGGCCGCCACAGGTGCAGGGCAGGTGTCTGAGGGGAGGGGCTGGGCCAGAGGCTGCTGAGAAACCCACCATGGGCCTGCTGCTTGTCCTGGAGAAGAATTACTCTCCTATAGCCTCCTTTCACCCAGTCCCTTCACCGCGCTTGGCCAGCAGGACCAGAAGGCCTTGGCTGTTTGAGGACTGCGGTGGAAAGGTCCTGGTTGGCTCCTAGGAGGCCTCCCTCCTCCTTCCAAGGCTCCTGCTGCCTCTGAAGTAGCCAGAGGCCTCACTTATCTCATTTCCTTGGAGTTATGTTGAGTTGAGCTCTGTGAACCTTTCAAATTGAAGTCACATCTCACAATTATTTGGTAGAAAAACACAATTGTCACCTATTTGAAGATACAGATTTTTTCCCAGAGCTATCTGGTTTCACTTCGCAGGCCCCAGGTTTCATTCCTTTTTGCTTTGTAGCTGAATTTGTTTTTGTGGTTCTCTCTCTCTCCCTCTTTTTGTCTTTGTCTTTCGCAGTGTGTCTCCTCCTCTCTTAATCTCTCTCCCAGTCTTTACTCTCCTCTTTCCCTCTTTTTCTTTCTCCCTCCCTCCTTCTCTTCCTCTTCCCTTTCTTTCTCTCATTCTGCATTTCTATCAGCCATAATCTCTCTCCACCTTCCCGGTCTTTCATCTCTGTCTTGGCCTCTCTCTCCCTCTTGCTCTTTCTCAGTCTCTCTGTCTCTCACTCTCTCTGTCTATCTCTCTTGCTGGGTTTGGGTGGTGCAGACAACAAGGCACCAAGTAGGACCTCAGGGTTCTGTCTCCTCCCACCACCATGATCCCATTTCCTTCCCCTCCCTACAGCGCTGGGGAGGAAGAAGGAATGTGGTCCTGCAGGATCCAGGCTCTGGCAGTCCTATCTGTGAAGGTCATTGGGAGAAGAGGAAGTGGCAACTTTCTTTAATATGAAAAAAAGAATATTTTCCAACCAAACCATACACCTTGTACCCCAAATGAGAACGACCGAAAGCCTTAGAAAACCACAGCCTGCCCTTTCCCCAAGAGAAAACTAACCATGTTCTATGAGTTAATGGAAGTTGACCTCCACATGCGCTCACCCCATGCCCCTGCAATTCTCTCCTGGACATAATTAAGGGGAAAGCATTTTGGCCGGGCACAGTGGCTCACGCCCATAATCCTAGCTTTGGGAGGCTAAGACATGTAGATCATGTGATCAGAGTTCAAGACCAGCCTGGCCAAGATGGTGAAACCCCGTCTCTACTAAAAATACAAAAATTAGCCAGGCGCAGTGGCAGGTGCCTGTAATCCCAGTTACTCGAGAGGCTGAGGCAGAAGAATTGCTTGAACCCTGGGGGGTGGGGGTTTCAGTGAGCTGAGATCGCACCACTGCAATCCAGCCTGGGCAATAGAGTGAGACTCTGTCTCATAAAAAAAAAAAAAAAAAAAAGGAAAGCATGTCTATGGTTACCAAAAGACATAATCAAGAAGGCTCACAGTGGCATTAGTCACAGTTGCCTCAAATCAGAAACTACTCAAATGTCCATCAATGATAAAATGAATAAATACATTGAATAAATATGGCTCACGCCTATAATCCCAGCACTTTGGGAGGCCAAGGCAGGCGGATCACGAGGTCAGGAGAGTGAGACCATTCTGGCTAACACAGTGAAACCCCGTCTCTACTAAAAAAAAAAATACAAAAAATTAGCCAGGCGTGGTGGCGGGCGCCTGTAGTCCCAGCTACTCGGGAGGCTGAGGCAAGAGAATGGTGTGAACCCAGGAGGCGGAGATGGCAGTGAGCCGAGATCGCGCCACTGCACTCCAGACTGGGCAACAGAACGAGACTCCATCTCAAAAAATAATCATAATCATAATCATAATAAATGAACAGATAATCCATCTCATTTGATGGAATATTCTCCAGTAATAAGAATAAACAACCTAAAACTCTACACAAAGACATCGTGATGAGCAAAGGAAGCCAAATACACAGAGAGCACTTGCTGGGTGCTGCCACATTTATAAAGTGCAAAAGGCAAAGTGAATCTCTGCTGTCCACTGGCGGCACTGCCTCAGCAGGGCACAGAACAGACAGGGTGTGAGGGGCTGCTGGGGGCTGGGATCACAGTGGTTCTTGACCCGGGTCCTGGTTACCTAAGTGTGTTCAGTTGGTGAGAATCTGTCAGGCTTTATACTATGGCATACATATGCTTCAGGCTACTTCCAATCATAGTAGAAGGCGAAGGAGAGCTGGCGTGTGCAGATCACATGGCGAGAGGGGGCAAGAGAGAGGAGGAGGAGGTGCCAGGCTCTTTTCAACAACCAGCTCTCTCTTGGGAACTAAGAGTGAGAACTCACTCACTCTCACCAAGCCATTCATGAGGGATCTGCACCCATGACCCAATCATCTTCCCCCAGGCCCCAGCTCCAACACTGGGGATCACATTTCAACATGAGACTTGGTGGGGCCAAACAACACCAATCCAAACCATAGCAGCTACTGCCTGGCCTCTTGGACTTCATGAGAGGTGAGGAGGTATAAGAAGGGTGCAGGTCCATCAGGCTCTACAGCAACCCCCAAGCCTCCTGAATGTCCCCCAGGGCAGGGGCAGCCTTCGAAGATGACCCGCCTCCCTGACCTGTCTCATACCAGAGTAGCTGAGCCACATCCGATGGGGGCACTGTTCTTGTCTCCAGGACTCAAACATTTCCCCAGCCACAGTCTAGCCCAGGCATATGCTGCAATGGACTCCAGGCCAGGCCCAGCCAAGGCTGGGTAGGTGAGCCCTGCCCCTCCAGGGAATGGGTCATAGGCCCCTGAGGAGGAGCTGAGACAGGCCAGCTGTCACCAGCCTGCCAGGGCTGCCATGCTCTGAGGCCAATGGCACTCCTCCGACTGGCTCAGCTCAGCCCTGTTTCTCCATGCCACAGTCCTCACAGCCTCCGGAGAGGCCAGTAGGTCCCAGAAACTGTACCAGATGCTGCAATACACCCCTCTCCTCACAGCGCTGACATATAAAAAGCAAATGAATAAATAAGACACTGACAATTTGTGACAATTTAACAGGATAATAATAGATACACCCCTAATATCTGTAGATGATAGACAAGCGATCCAATGGATGTTACCGGTCCAAAGCCCACACCCTTTCTATGCTCCGAACTGTGTCTGAAGGAGCTTTAATACAACCCAAGTTCACAGCCACCTCCCACCACCCTCCCCTCCACGGGTACACATGCCTGTGTTGCAATCTGCCCATGGGAAAACAGACCCAGAGAAAAAAGCCCTGTGCAGCCCTGGGGGCAGGGCTGGGTGGTCTGGGTCGAGTTAGGGTCCCAGGGCTCCAGGCTGTGACCAGATGGAGCATGGGCTCTGGGTGAAAATCTCCCATCAGCCCCATTTGTTCCTTCCCTGGGGGGAAGGGAATGGCCGAGAGGGCAGGAGTAGGGCTCGTGGCTTTAATGGCAGAAATGATTATATTAACTGGGATAGGGACTACCTGGGGGAGGAGAAATGCCAGGTAGGTGCCAGCTATGCAAAGACCCAGAGGAAGAACATTCCAAGAGGATGAAATGGCAGGTGCCAAGACCCTGAGGCAGGATGGAGTTTATAGAAAGACGGCCAGTGTGGCTGGAGCAGAGTGGGGTAAGCAGGGAAGATTATGCAGTTCTCAGAGAAATGAAGGTTTTATTTTCAGAGAAGTGGGGACCTACTGGATGGGTTTTGGTTTCTTCCATATTGAGGTATAATTAACACACAATAAAATGCACCAGACTTAAGTGTACAGATCAACACATTTTACATATATATACACCCATGAAGGCACCATCAGAGCAAGACAGAACATCTTCAGTCCCCTCAAGGGCTCCCTATGTCCCCTCTTAGTCAAAAGCTCCCTCTAGTATAACCACTGTTCCAGTATCTATCATCGAAGGCTTGCTCTGCCTGTTTTTGACCTTTGTATAAATGGAAACGTGTGGCTATGTGCTCTCTTACATCTGGTTTCTTTCTCTCAACATAGTATCTGTAAGTCACCCATTTTACCACGTGTAGCAGCATGTACATCATGGAAATGTACATGTCATACCTCTTAAGTGCTATGTATATATCCTGTTGTGTGAATATATCCCAACGTATTTATCCAATCTCCTGTTGATAGGCAGTTGGGTTGTTCCCAGTTGGGGGCCATAGTGAAAGATGTGGCTATGAATATTCTTGGATAAGTCTGTGGGTGGTCACGGTGCTGTCTCTGTGGGGTATACAGCCAGGAGTGGAACTGCTAGGTCATAGAGTAGATTTACGGTGACCTTAGTAGATTCTGCTAAAGAGTGTTCCAGAGTGGTTTGAGAATTTGAAGGAGAGTTCCCAGTGGGAAGCTGGTATGACCTGATTTATATTTAGGGAAGATCAGCTTGGCACTTTGTAGAGAAGAGCTGTAAGGGGGTCAGAGTGGAGGTGAGGAGACCAGCTAGGAGGTGATGGAAGGGTCTGGGTAAGCCATGACGGAGGCACAGCCGTGGTTGGTAGCAATGAAAGGAAGAAAAGATGTCACCTGCCCTTCAATAGGAAGGACACAGGGATAAGCTCAGTTGTCCACAAGGCCGAGCACAAATTAGTCCTTGAACCCAGGAATTCTAGCATAACCCAGCATTCCTCCCCACAGGTCTCTCTTGGGTTCGGGGTCCTGTCTCCTCTCTAAAACTCTTTTAACTATGGGATGGCAGCCCCCAGGGCTCACAGAGCTGGTATAGGAAGCTTCAGAGAGAATAAAAGACCTACTGGAGACAAGCAAACCTCTCTTTCCCCCCAAGCCTGGAAGTCACTTGAAAGTCCACTTGTTTTTACACATTTTTTCTTTTGAGACAAAGTCTCGCTCCCTCACCCAGGATGGAGTACAGTGGCGCTATCTTGGCTCACTGCAGCCTCGACCTCCCGGATTCAAGCAATTCTCCTGCCTCAGCCTCCTGAGTAGCTGGGATTACAGGCGCCTGCCACTACACCCGGCTAATTTTTGTATTTTCAGTAAGAGACAGGGTTTCGCGATGTTGGCCAGGCTGGTCTTGAACTCCTGATCTCAGGTGATCCACCCGCCTCGGCCTCCGTAAGTGCTGTGTTTATAGGCACGAGGCACCTCACTCAGCTTTACACATTTACTGATAGCCCCTGCTCAGCTCCCAAAATGCTCCATCTCCTTGGCTGCCCCTGTGCTCTCTCTGGGGTTGGGATCCCAGTAGCAAACACTCATTGTTTCCTTAAGTGCTGTTCACAGTCTGCACCAAGGGCACGTGCTGCACACTGGGAAGAGAGGCC
Source organism: Homo sapiens (assembly GCF_000001405.40). Classification (NCBI taxonomy): domain Eukaryota; kingdom Metazoa; phylum Chordata; class Mammalia; order Primates; family Hominidae; genus Homo; species Homo sapiens. The sequence goes on from NC_000020.11 coordinate 17,767,825, forward strand.
ATATCATGGGCTCTTTTCTGGCACCTGTGAGCAGCCAGGTGTAGGGTGGGGCAGGGTAGTCCTCCTCTGCCCTCAATGCACAGAGCCTGGGAGTCCAACAACATGTGGGCTTCCTCTAGAGCCTGGTCAAAATCCTCCTAACATTGGGACCAATCTGGAAATGAACTGCCTTTACTGCTCATTATGTAGTAGTGATGTCTTTCTACGTGGCTTCGTTCTTTCTTATCCTTTGGATCCTCTGGAGGTGTCAGTGCAGGGTATTACCAGGGCTTTCTATGAAAGGGCCAGAAATCCAGTTCTAACTGGTGTAAACAGCAACACAATAAATGTGTTGGTTTATATATCCAAGAAGCCCAGGGGTGTTGGCTTCAGGAATAGCAGGCTACAGGTCCTCAAAAATATCAGAAAGCTCCTACTCTCATTTTCATCTCTTCTTTTATCTCTTTTGGCTACACTTTCAAGCTACTTTTCTCCATGTGATAAAAGGCATGGCCACCAACAGTACAAGCATGTCTTGCCTGCTTATTAATACCGGTGGAAAGGGAAGGGCTTCTTTCCCAAGCAGTTCCCAGGAGTGGCTTCCCTTAGTCTAACATGGGTTGTGTGCTCAGCCTGAGCCAATCACTGTGGCCAAGGGCACTGATGTGCTGAGTTGCCACCCGGGAGCCAGAGGGTGCACTAAGAGAGAAGGAGGGGTTCCCCCAAAGGAAACTGGGTACTGTTTCCAGACAAAGGAGAAGTGGTAAATGAACAGCCCAAAACAGCAGATTTTAAAAATTAAAAATAAATAAATAAATAAAAATATGGTGTGAAATGATGTGGCTAGAAAAAAATAAAATAAAATAATATCAGGTGGTCTTAAGCTTTCCTTTCAGGAAAGTTGCTGATAAATCATTCGAGGCAGCCTAAGAAGAATGGATGGATCAATAAATAAACAGATGAAAAAGGGAACAAATATTTATGGGTCACAATATTTTAAGTTACTTGAGAGCCAGAGGGATGCATTTTCCAGGGCCTAGCCCAGGGCTTGGCACGGTATTAGATCCAGGGCAACTAATGCCTGCCATTCACATGGAAGACATGATCAGGAGATAGCTGTTCTCTTCCCTGCTGAGTCCAGACCAGCCTCAGAATCCTTCTCAACACAGCACTCCAGATGAAACTAACTGCCATCCTTTTCAAACGCATCACCTCCCCTCAGAACCTGCCCCAGTCCCCTAGAAAGTGCTCAACAAAAGCTTATTGACATGGACAAGGTATCCACTGTGGTCCACACCCTGTGACAGGCACATTTGAACACCATCAGCTTTCTAATGGAAAGCTATCTGCCGCTGCATCCCTTTCTCTGGCAATCTTACCTTTGCCTAAGCTCTGATAAGTGTTGACAGCATCTGTTTCAAGAGTGGGTTTGCACACGTTTAAAATGGCAACTGTCTCTGTACCCTCAGAGTCCCAGGGAAGACCTTACAGCCATGGTGTGGTGGTACCTGTGCAACAACCAGCTCTCAAAAAAAAAAAGTCCTATTTATAGCATCTGCCAATTTCCATGATATACAGGTTCCTACCGTGGTCAGTTTCAAACTATCAACCTGATCTCGATAAAAGCAGAGTTGAGAAAAGATGCACGTAATTGGCTCTTGAGACCTGACATGAGCTGGCTCCAGCACAACACAGCCTTCAAGTACATTTTGTTTCCCATGTGACTCTAGAACCACATCAGAATTTTCTTCAAGGTTGTTTTACCAACAGTCACTCAAGAACACTTGCTGACAATCCAAGACAGAGACCTAAATTCTCTTCTAGAACTTAGAGCCACTTCTAAAATCAAGATTAATGCTACTTTAGGCTCTAGAGTGAAATGTGCATGAAGAGATGTCACCTGACAGTGTAAAATTTATTCCCAGGTATTGCCTGCCTTCAGCACGCCACTCGGTTCCGCTCTTATTCTGTTGTGCACATTCAATCCACTCATTGACAATAACAACTTTCAAAGCTTTCCCTCAAAATTTTATTACATAAAATGTTTGGCATTTATAAAAATAGTATATGACTAGGCCAGGCATGGTGGCTCAGGCCTGTAATCCCAGCACTTTGTGACACTGACGTGGGTGGATGACTTGAGGTCAGGAGTTTGAGATCAGCCTGGCTAACATGGCAAAATCTTGTCTCTATAAAAAATATAAAAATTAGCCAGGCATGGTGGCCCACGCCTGTAATCCCAGCTACTCAGGAGGCTGAGGCACAAGAATTGCTTGAACCCAGGAGGCGGAGGTTGCACCGAGCCGAGGTTGTGCCACTACACTCTAGCCTGGGCGACAGAGTGACACTCCATCTCAAAAAATAAAATAAAATAAAATAAAAAATAGTATATGACTATTGTGACCCAATTTAATTCTTATCAATCCATGACCAATCTTTCCGTATCTATACTTGACCCACTTTTCACCTCCTATATTACCTTGAAACAAATCCCAAACATCATTTCATCTGTAAAGATTTCACTAAAAAGCAATAATATTTTAATCTGGAAAACTCATATAAACTGAGGTATTTTGCAACTTTTCAGTATAATAAAAAAAGAAAAAAGTAAGCTGAGGTATAATCAACTGAGGAGGAGTAAATTGTCAGCTCTCTCTGACTTCATGGAATTTTTATTTTTATTTTTGAGACAGAGTCTCACTCTGTCACCTAGGCTGGAATGCAGTGGCGTGATTTCTGCTCACTCCAACCTCTGCCTCCTGGTTTCAAGCAACTCTTATGCCTCAGTCTCCCGAGTAGCTGGGATTACAAGCGTGCACCACCACACCTAGTTAATTTTTTTGTATCTTTAGTAGATAAGAGACTTTGACATGTTGGCTAGGCTAGTCTCGAACTCCTGGCCTCAAGCGATCTGCCTGCCTTGGCCAAGGCAGGAGGATTGCTTGATTGAGTCCAGGAATTAGAGACCAGCCTGGGCAACATACGGAGACCCCATCTCAAAAAAAAATTTAAAAATTAGCTGGGTGTGGTGGTGTATGCCTGTGGTCCCAGCTACTTAGGAGGCTGAGGCAGGAGGATCGCTTGGGCCCAGGAAGTTGAGGCTGCGGTGAGCCATGACCACACCACTGCACTCCAGCCTGGGCAACAGAGTGAGACCTTGTCTCAAAATAAAGAAAAAAAAAGGAAAAGAAAATTGGGGATCATTTGCCAACATTTAGCAATTGGGAGATTTTTCTATAAAAATCCTATGGAGGCCAACCCAACAGCTTCTCTCCCCAGCTTTAAGCAGGGCTGATTGGAGACTCAACCCCCTACTCCCTCCCAAGACACCTCTGGCCAATGAGGAATGGATGTTGGTGGGATAAATACTCCAGCTTCCTTGCCCCTCAGGTGGGCTGCTGTGAAGCATGTCCCTGCCATCTCCCAAGGCCCCTACAGTGTTGAGTTCTGCTTGTCCACGGTGCTAACTACCCATCAATACTCTGAACAGGTTTGTCTCCCTTCCCCGCTCCCCAGGGGGGCTTCCAGAAATGCGTTTCCAAACAATCTTCTGAACTCCATCTTTCTCTACTTCTGGGAGAATTCAACCCAAGATCTGGTCCACCAGCTCTCAGCCCAAGTCCTCCCAGTTACCAGCTCTACCCCCGGCGGGGCATGTTCATCCGGAGTGCTGCTGTGACCCAGTCATTGTGCAAGGGCGCCGTGCTGCAAAGATCAAAGAAGCCTCTGCATTCTGGAAAATATTGGGTCAAATAGCATGTCATTTTAGAAAAGCTCTCAAGTATGGCATTTCCTGAGCACTGCAATTACAGCCTCTTTCTATGTTGGCTTTAAATGCCCGTGTAAGCAGCTATTTACTCTCTGGCTCGGGGCACCACTAAAGGGCTCTTGCTCGCTCTAAATATATCATGACAAACTCATAACCCTCAGGCTGCCCGAATGTACATTTGTGAGAGTCGGCCACCGTGCTTGTGGTTGAGTGCGTCCACATACAACCGTGCCCTGAGTGCAGTTCAAAGCTAAGCAGAGCCTCTTCCCTACTTTCCCCTTCGCCGCTCCCCTCCCCAGGAGAAGCCATGAGGAATTTCTCTGAAGAGAAAAAAGCGACAGGACTTTGAGATTCACTGTTAGACTGGCTCCAAGGGCAGGAGCTTCCTAGAGTTTAACAATAGGCCTGGCACTTAAAATATGTGCCAATAAATATTTGTCAAATTCTGAACCACGTTGGTGGCTTGCTTTCCCTCCCTCCCTTCCTCCTCCCTTTTCTTTCTTTTTTTTTCTTTCCCTTCCTTCCTTCTTTTTCTCTTTCTTCCTTCCTGTCTTTCTTCCCTTCTCTTTGCCTTCCCTCCTTCCTTCCTTTCTTTCCCTCCTTTCAAAAGTATACACATGTCATTGCTTGTAATAGACAAAAAACTGGATTCAACCTTCGTGCCGATGGACAATAGCAGGTTAAGTCCTGTACATCCACCTAATGGAATATTCTGTGGCCTTTTCAAAGAGAGCTCTTTATGCTCTGAGGTGGAGGTGCCTCCCAGACATATTGTTAAGTGAAAGAAGTCACATGCTGAAGAGCATGTATGGTGTGTTATCACCTGTGAAAAAAGAAAAAAATGCTTATAAATGCATGAAATACCTCAGGAAAGCTAAAAAAGAAACTAACAAAGGTTGCTTCTGGAGAGGAGAAGTGGAATGTAGGGGTTCGAGGTGAGAAAGAAACCTCACTTTGTGTATTTTATTGATTGTATGTATGTATTTTTCAAATGCAATATCAATAAAAAGAAAGATAAAAGAGCCTGCTTTCCAGTCTGAATGCACTCCCTGGGGTGTGCATTTTCACAGTGGGTTTTGGAATCCTGTGTGCGCCCCCAGCAAAGTGCCTGCCTCAGAATACATAACAGATAGGTCCGTCTTGAGGGAAGCAGGTGGAGTTCTCACCAGTGGTTCCCATCTACCAAAGTCAGGCTGGCAACTTGACCTTCTTTAGGCAGAAACATCACAAATTAGAAGAAAGCATTCTCACAAGAGCACAGTGGACACACTTCATTCACTCTGGACGCATCTGCTGAGCACCGACTGTTTGCCGCACAGTGTTCCAGGCTCTGGGGTATGGCAGAGCAAGACGGATAATAACCCTGCCCTTCCTGCCTTCTAGCTTGCCTTCTAGCTGGAGGAGGAGGGGGCAATCAACAAGTTAAGTAAATAGATGGAGGCCGGGCACGGTGGCTCACGCCTGTAATCCCAGCACTTTGGGAGGCCAAGGCAGGTGGATGTCTTGAGCCCAGGAGTTCAAGACCGGCCTGGGCAACATGGCAAAACCCCATCTCTACAAAAAATACAAAACATAGCTGGGCGTGATGGTGGGCACCTGTAGTCCTAGCCACTCAGGAGGCTGAGGTGGGAGGATCACCTGAGCCTGGGAGGTCCAGGCTGCAGTGAGCCATGATCATGCCACTGCATGCCAGCCTGGGTGACAGAGTGAGACCCTGTCTCAAGTAAATAAATAAATAAGTAGATGGAGTATGTTAAATCTAGGTAAGGGCTCAGGAGGGGAAACAGCAGGAAAAGTGAATACGAAGTGCTGGGGGTGGGGGCAAGGCTGTGACTTCAAGGTGGTCAGCGGAATCCTCACAGAGAAGGTCAAGGCCTGAGGAGGGGAGGCAGTGGCTCTGGAGATATCTGGGGGAGGAGCTGGAAGGACCAGCAAGTGTAGGGACGAAGCTCCTCCACCGTTTGTAGATGGGTCTGGGTGCCCAGGAGCTCCTGGGAACTCCTCTGAGGCCTGGTTTTGTATGAACTTAGTTTCTCTGAACTTGGATCAGTCAGCCCCATGCTCGGAATCAGGTGGAGCCAAATGCAAAAAGGGACCCAGGGCTGCATGGCTCATGCCGAGAATGATGCCCTGCCGGCTCAACCTCCACTGCAGGCTCAGGTTTGGAGGAAATAGGCCCCAGAGACTAAAACAATAATACATGTTCCAAGAATACTTCAAAAATATTCCTCCTCACAGGCTTTCCCAGTGTGGGTTCTCCAGCCCACAAAACGCTGTGCCGAGAGAAAGTGGCTTCTAGGGGGCCTCTTGGAGACTGACCGAGGCTCCAACAAGTCCTGAGTAAGAAAACCTAACTCACTTTGTTCAGTTGGGTGTCTCCCAAACTTCCCTGATGGAAGAAGCTTTTTTTTTAAGTTACTGCTATTAATATTCTTGGACACAAATGTCCATGGACTCCTCTGAGTGACATTGAATTAGGAGGTTTCGGTGGATTCATCCCTGGAGAAATCATTTTATGAATCAAATACAGAAGTCTTTGCTTTCTGTTATTTTCCCTGTAAGAGTCTCTTTCAAGACTGTTACCCAAAAAAGAAAAAAGGAAAAACCAAAAAGAAGGTAAGCCTTAAAAATAACAAGAGCGTGCTATTTCCAGTTCAGTGGAATGCCTGTGTCCACTTACGAACAGCGAGTGGGCACCTCGGCTGTGGACAGACCCTGTGCCCGGTAAGTGGGCAACTGTCCAACTGTGCGACCACATTCAGCGTAAGGATGGCCTATCCCCCACTGCCCCTAAACCTTCCCTATTGCCTAAGAATGGGGGAAGGTGAAAGAGAACTTCCTAGAAATGAAGCCTGGAAATTCTCTTCCTAGGTATATGTCTACCAGAAACCAGTGCTTGTGCTGCATAGAAGCTTCCTAAGACATGTACGAGAATACACATAGGAGCACTGCTCATCATGCCCCCAAACAGGAAACAACCCAAATATCCATCAGCAGGAGGAGATATAAATTATGTGTGTGTGTTCATACAATGGAACACAACACAATGAGAAAAAGTATAAACTACCGCCACACACAGCAGCATGGAGGAACCTCTGGAAGCTTGCTGTGGGATTCCTTTGTTTGAAGGTCAAGGACAGGCAAGACTGCCCCATGATGACAAAGGTCAGAACAATGGCTAGTTTAGGGGGCAGTGCGAGAGACCCTGCTGGAAGCTGAAAATACGCAGAAAACCAGCAAGCTGCCCGCTTATAATTCATGCCCTTTACTCTAAGTTATATGCCAATAAAGAAGTCAACAAGTTGAGAAGTGAAAACATAAAAGTACACTTTGGGAGGCCGAGGCAGCCGGATCACGAAGTCAAGAGATTGAGTCCATCCTGGCCAATAAGGTGAAACCCCGTATCTACTAGAAATACAAAAATTAGCTGGGCGTGGTGGTGTGCGCCTGTAATCCCAGCTACTCAGGAGGCTGAGGCAGGAGAATCGCTTGAACCCGGGAGGCAGAGGTTGCAGTGAGCCAAGATCACGCCACTGCACTCCAGCCTGACGACAGAGCGAGACTCTGTCTCAAAAAAAAAAAAAAAAAAAGATAAAAGTAAAGGCTGGAAAAGGGGAAGAGGTAGCCCAGAGCTGCCTGCTTTTCTCGCCCTATTAGGGATCCCCTAAATGCCATCGAGAGGCAAAGGTCGTTTTTTCTCCATCCTCTGCTACCATCCCCAATCCAAGCCACCATCACCTCCAGCCCCTGCTGGGTCTCCCCACTACACCTGTTGCACCCATCCCCCCAACCTTAGTGTCTACACGGCCATTAGAGAGATCTTTCCAACACACGAATCTGGGGACGCCACTCGCGTGATGGATTCTTCAACTTCTTACCTTTGTCCTCAGGCTAAAAATCTCAATGCCTCAATAGGGTTTACAGGACCTCTCCAGAGCTGACTGCAGCCTCCTCTGTCACCACCCTTCCTCTTTTCCACACCTCACTCTCCCCTATAGAATCCACTTCAGGTCCCTAAATAGGTCACGTGGGATCTCTCTCACCTTTGCATAGATCATTTCCCCTACCAGGAACAGTACTCTTCCCAACACACCAGCCAACTCCTGCAGCTGCCCATCACTTCTCCCAGCTCACCCTTCACCTCTCAGCTGCAACATCTCTTCCTCCGAGAAGCCTTCCCTGCTTCCACCTGGGTGCTCCTCTAGCACCCTCCTCAGAGCATCCATGGTGCTGTTGTGCAATCACCTGTGCAAGTATCTTCATCTCCTGCCATATCTAGCCCCAAGAGGGCAGGGGCTGCCTGTCTTGCCTACCATCAGAGCCCCAGCCACTAGCACTCGGTCCAACACGAGGATATGCCCAACATGCGGTCAATGGATGGGTGTGTAGCGCTCCTTGGAAGGTGGCTATGGCAGGTGTGGCAGACTCCATCTATTGGGGTCTGCCTCTTTTTACATAAAAGCTTTCTCTGAAGCCTCAGAAGGCTGCCCTGCCCATGCCCAGGGCACAATGGAAGGGCTGGGGAATCAACCTCTGTCCCCCACAACCCTCAGCCCATGGCTGATGGGAGTTCGTGTATAAACACCTCAGCTCACTCTCCTTGGGGGTAATTCTGAGGGAGGGCTCCACTGCTTCCCTGAGTTTCCCTTGCAGTTGAGCTCCACTTGACCACAGTGGTAACCTGTGTGGGGGCCACAACCCTGGGCCCCCTAAAAGCTTGCTGAAAAATTTTTTGCTGAAAAATCACTGACATGAGGCAGATTAATTAATAATAGAACAGGGGCCAGGCGCTGTGGCTCATGCCTGTAATCCCAACACTTTGGGAGGGTAAGGTGGTCTGATCACTCGAGGCCAGGAGTTTGAGACCAGCCTGGCCAACATGGCGGAACCCTGTTTCTACAAAAAATACAAAAAAATTAGCCAGGCGTGGTGGCGTGTGCCTGAAATCCCAGCTACTCAGGAGAGGATCACTTGAACCCGGGTGGCAGAGGCTGCAGTGAGCTGAGATCACACCACTGCACTTCAGCCTGGGCAACAGTGTGAGACTCTGTCTCAAAAAAGAAAAAAAAGAAAAAGAAAAAAAAGACAAAATTATTTTACAGATACACACGAGAGCCTTCAGAAGGAGATCCCAGCCCCATGGTGGCTCAGAGGCTTATATACTATCCTGCCAAAGTGGGAGGGGCAATGAGAAATGCTTCTGAAGGGATTTCTAGGGAGAATGAACAAGTCTTAGAGGGAGGGGAAGGAAAAAACAATTGTTCTCATTGGTGGGTCTGGGTCTTAGGCAGATAAAGGGACTTCAGCTTCTTTGAGAGAGACAGTGGGGGCAGGGGAAAGGTCAGAGAGACCTTGAAGCTTCTTCATGTTGTTTTAAATGTTCAATTTCCTTAAAATTTTAAACATTATTTCCAACATTCAGTTGAGCATGTCAAAATGCCATATTTTGGGGTATTGGTTTCTGAGCCCCAACACCTACTTCCTAAGACACCTATTTCCCTTCCTCGTCTCACTCCTATCAATATCTCTGAGGGCCACATCACAAATAAACAACTTGCCTTTGAATGCTTGCCTCAGGGACCACTTCTGGGGCCCTGTATCCGATAGCAGGGCTTCCCTTGCCCATTCCCTATCTGGCCCCAAGCTTCATGTGGGTCTCTTGGCCCAGGCCCCTTGCCGGGACACCCTCTACAGCACACACAGGGCGGAGATCAGATGGACACAGGCCACTGAGGACTTGGGAATGGAAAGGCAGTGCCTGTCAAACTGAGAGGAGCAGCCAGGATGCTGGGGATAAAGGAAAATATGAGGCCACAGGGACGTGGTAAAGAGTCGCTGACACAGAAATTAAAGTTGGAAATGCAACACCTTCAACGGAGGCTCGATGTGTGCCTGGAGGGGGCTGGGCTTCTGCCCTGGGTTCTGTAGGTTGAGTGAAGCTCACTGCCCAAACTTGCGAAATGCAGCAGAAGCCCGTGTACCTCCCTCCATTCCAGCCTCTGAAGGCCCAGGAGTCCTACAAGGTGCCAGTAAAGCATGAAGCAATGCCCTGGAAAGCACTAGGCACCCTGAGAGACTTGATAGAGATGTCTAAGGGATAAGGGACCCTGGGTGGACCTTCCCAGGTTCCCAGCTGGAGGATCCAAGCCTCCGACAGCCAGGGGGCCACAGCCTCTATTTGAAGATGGGACCAAGGTCTGAACTGGCACATCTGGGATCCCAAGTTAAAGATGTCCCTTGGCATCAGAGGTGGATGGGTGGGAATGTACGGCTGATGGGGATGAGAGATGGGCACCAGGAATACCAGCAATGGAGGCTGGGAGTCTGAGAAGCATGAGTCCTTCTAGGATGCCTTCCCCACACCCACAGGCTATGGGATTTGGGCCCAAGCCCTGAATGAGGCCTTAGGAGACCAGAGTGGGATCTGTGCTCACCCCACTGGCTCAGCATCCCTGGTTCAGTCATAGGTCTGCTGACCCTTCAGTTGGGCTTTCCAGACATCTATGAAATAACTACAAGTCACATTGAATTGGCCGGATATTTACACTGCCCTGGACCCCAAAAGAAATCCCTAAGTATGGGGAAGAGGTGGGCAGAGAAACTACTGAGGAGAGTAGAGGGGTGCCTAAGGTCAGATATTTGAAACATCTACTTTGAGGTAGCTCTTTGGGCTGCTGTTAACTGGTCTTAGCTTGCACCGATTTGCATGGCTGTATTAACTCCATAGATACCGGTGCCCTCCAATACACATGTGAGCAGTGGGCATGTGAAATGCAGCTAATCTAATCCAACTGCTATGTGCTGTGAGGGTGGAACACACACTGACTGCAAGACCTGGAAGGAAGAAAAGATACAGTATCTTATTAATAGTTTTATATTAATTGCACATTGAAATGATATTTCAGATAGATTGGGTTACATGAAATATATTATTAAAATTTATCGAGGAAGGAAGGAAGGAAGAAAGACAACAACAAGCTCCGTCTCCCTCTCCCTCTCCCTCTCCCCACGGTCTCCCTCTCCCTCTCTCTCCATGGTCTCCCTCTGATGCCGAGCCCAAGCTGGACTGTACTGCCGCCATCTCGGCTCACTGCAACCTCCTTGCCTGATTCTCCTGCTTCAGCCTGCCGAGTGCCTGGGATTGCAGGCGCGCGCCGCCACGCCTGACTGGTTTTCGTATTTTTTTGGTGGAGACAGGGTTTCGCTGTGTTGGCCGGGCTGGTCTCCAGCTCCTAACCGCGAGTGATCTGCCAGCCTCGGCCTCCCGAGGTGCCGGGATTGCAGACAGAGTCTCGTTCACTCAGTGCTCAATGTTGCCCAGGCTGGAGTGCAGTGGCGTGATCTCGGCTCGCTACAACCTCCACCTCCCAGCCGCCTGCCTTGGCCTCCCAAAGTGCCGAGATTGCAGCCTCTGCCCGGCCGCCACCCCGTCTGGGAAGTGAGGAGCGTCTCTGTCTTGCCGCCCATCGTCTGGGATGTGAGGACCCCTCTGCCCTGCTGCCCAGTCTGGGAAGTGAGGAGCGCCTCTTCCCGGCCGCCATCCCGTCTAGGAAGTGAGGAGCGTCTCTGCCTGGCCGCGACCCCGTCTGGGAGGTGAGGACCGTCTCTGCCCGGCCGCCCCGTCTGAAAAGTGAGGAGCCCCTCCGCCCGGCAGCCGCCCCGTCTGGGAAGTGAGGAGCGTCTCCGTCCGGCAGCCGCCCCGTGCGGGAGGTGGGGGGCGCCTCTGCCCAGCCGCCCCTTCTGGGAAGTGAGGAGCCCCTCTGCCCAGCCGCCACCCCGTGTGGGAGGTGTACCCAACAGCTCATTGAGGACGGGCCATGATGACGATGGCGGTTTTGTTGAATAGAAAAGGGGGAAATGTGGGGAAAAGATAGAGAAATCAGATTGTTGCTGTGTCTGTGTAGAAAGAAGTAGACATGGGAGACTCCATTTTGTTCTGTACTAAGAAAAATTCTTCTGCCTTGGGATGCTGTTAATCTATAACCTTACCCCCAACCCCTTGCTCTCTGAAACTTGTGCTATGTCCACTCAGGGTTAAATGGATTAAGGGCGGTGCAAGATGTGCTTTGTTAAACAGATGCTCTGAAGGCAGCATGCTGGTTAAGAGTCATCACCACTCCCTAATCTCAAGTACCCAGGGACACAAACACTGCGGAAGGCCGCAGGGTCCTCTGCCTAGGAAAACCAGAGACCCTTGTTCACTTGTTTATCTGCTGACCTTCCCTCCACTATTGTCCTATGACCCTGCCAAATCCCCCTCTGCGGGAAACACCCAAGAATGATCAATAAATACTAAAAAAAAACAAAAACAAAAAAAAACCATAAAATAAAATTAACAACATAAATTAAAAAAAAAAAAAAGACAACAACAAAAAAACCTTGAATCAGGATGAAGGGATTTGGGGTGATCTTTTCCATTCTCTAGTTTCAAACTTCACGTAACGTGATATTACTTTTAAATTTTTTATTAAAATTGTTTAAAAACAAAATGAAAAAAAAATAAATAAATAAAAATAAAATTTATCTCATTGTTTTATGTGTTGAATTGTGGTCCCCAAAAAGATATGTTGGAGTGCTAACCGCTAGTACCTCAGAATGCTACCTTATTTGAAAATAGGGTTGTTGCAGATGTAATTCGTTGAGATAAGGTTGATATGGTTTGGTCTGTGTTCCTGCCCAGATATCATGTCTAATTGGAATCCCTGATGTTGGAGGTTGGGCCTGGTGGGAGGTGACTGGATCATGGGGGTGGTTTCTTATGAATGGTTTAGCATCATTCCTTTGCTGCTGTTCTTGTGATAGTGAGTGAATGAGTTATCATGAGATCTGGTTGTTTAAAAGTGTGTAGCACCTCTCCCCTTCTTCTCTTCCCTCTGGCTACATAAGATGTGCCTGCTTCCCCTTCACTTTCTGCTATAATTGTAAGTTTCCTGAGGCCTCCCCAGAAGCAGAAGCCACCATGCTTCCTGTACAGCTTGCAGAACTGTGAGCCAATGAGACATCTTGTCTTTATAAATTACCCAGTCTCAGGTATTTCTTTATAGCAGTGTGAAGATGGACTCATACAAAGGTCATACTGGAATAGGGTGGGCCCTCAATGCAATATGATTGGTGTTCTTATAAAAAAAAGAAGATACAGACACAGCAAAAACATAGCCATGTGGCGATGGAGACAGAGATTGGAGTGATGCAGCTGCCAGTCAAGGAATCCCACGATTGCCAGCAAGCACCGTGTGCGGGGAGAGGCAGGAAAGGCTTCTCCCCTACAGGCATCACACAGGCCACGGCTCTGCAGGAGCCCCGATTTTGTCCTTCTGGTCTCCAGAGCTGCGAGACCATAAATGTCTGTGGTCTTAGGCCACCCACTTTGTGGCATATCGTGACAGCAGCCCTAGGAAAGGAACATACCCTGTTTCATTTTACTTATTTAACGTGGCTACCAGAACCTTGTGAAGTACGCACACCATGATTTCCTCTTTCCAGAGGAGGAAGCCGAGACTCAGAGAGGCCAAATGGTGCGTGTAAAGATGACAAAGACCCCAGGAGACAGATACAAATTCAGACATCCCCCTTCAGACCTCAGTGTTCTTTCTGGAACTGCATCCAACCTATTGGTTTCACTTTTATGTAACAAAGTTGTGAGGTGTTTTCAGTAGCCACGGACCCTCAGGTCACGTAACATGAGCATGCCCAGATGACTTCAGTGTGCAACCTGGGAGAGGGGGGATCCTAAGTGCTGGGATGGAGGATCCAATCAGATCAAGCTCTGGCATCACCCCGTGGCAGGATCCAGTCATATCACGCCTCCTGGCATCACCTCTTTGCAGGATCCAATCAGATCTCACCTCATTACCTTATGCTTATAAAACCTTACCCAGCCCCCAACTCGGGGAGATGCTGCTTTGGGAATTATCCCTGGTGTTCGCCTTACTTCTTACAAGTAATAACATCCCCTTGCTAAGTCCTCCTTGGTTGTAGTCACTGGGTTGATATCTGCCAAGCAACTGAACCTGCTGGTTGTGTGGATGACATTTCCATTGCTCATTTGTTCGTTTAACATGATTTATTGAGCACCTACAGTTTGCCAGGCACTGCTCTCAGCATTTCAGTTAGATAGATAAACCAAACACAGATCCCTGCCTTGTGGAGCTTATGGTACAGCAGGGAAAGACAGACATTAAATAATAAACATAATGAATAAGTACTTTTTTTGGTACGTTAGAAAGGCTCCATGCTATAAGAAAATAAGTAGAACAGGGTAAGGGGGATTGGAAGTGAAGGGTGGTCAGTTTGCAGTATTACATAGGGGGGTCAGGGTCAGCCCCATGAGGAGGTGAAGCTCAGCAAAGATGTGAAGGAGCTGAGGGAGTGACCCCTGCTGAAATCTGGGGGGAAAGTGTCCCAGGCATAGGGAACCGTCAGTGCTAAATGACAGCATGAATATCTAAGACATATCCAAGGGAAAACAAAGCAGCTTTTCAGGTGGGTTTTTGTCACTTGTTGGAATTGCTGCATCTAAGTGCTTTCTTCATGTCTCTTCATGAGACTTGACCAAAGGCCTTTCCCAGAGAAGGGCCCTAGAAGGGTCATGTGGGTTGTCTTGCATGGGCAGATGTCTCAGCAACAGTGGAAACCTCTCATCTGTGGCAGAGATTCTGGGGGCTGCACCAAGCCAGGCTTCCCTGGTGGGTCACCAGCCTAGTGCATGAGGAGGTCAGGACCAGCCCCACTGAATGGCGTTAAACACGCTGCAGCTCTTGAATCTGGAGATGGACTGAGCAGGGTGGGAGCCAGGGAGAGAGGGGACCATTTTTCTTACCTAAATAACCTGGAAGTATAATGATAATTGTGTTATTATCAGTGATTAGGGTGACAATAAGAGAAGATAATTTGTTTAAGGCAGTCCCAACCCCAAGTGTGTCAAGTATGTACGATATGGGGAGTATTTTTAAAAGATATCTGAACAAGAAAAGTCTGAGATCAAGTTAAATGTTCCTTCTCTCACAGAACAGGATGTAAATCTGATAGTCCCTGGGCTTTAGAGAAAATGATACTGCTGGATATTAAATTGTACAGCGTCACTATTTATTATTTATTCCAGTAAGAATGCTATCACCCTTACCAGACACCTACGTTTTATACTCACAAACTTCCCTGACCAGGGCCAAGAACAGAAACTCAACAGTTAGAGACTCTGCCAAGTGCAGGGGACAGGGCAGTATTACTCGGTGGTCCTCACAGGCATAGGCAATGTAGTGGGGCATTGGCAAGATGAACAAATTATGACTCCTGGACTCAATAAATAAGATGATCTCCAATTGTCCTGGCCAGAGTGGGCAAGACCAAGAGGTGGTTTCATTTCTAAGCAGTCAGAGAAGGTAAAAATAGCCTCTCCTCTCACTTCTGCACCACACCTGCATTCTGTTTGCTAGTCATCCCTGTCCTTTATCTGGTCCAGCATTGCTAGACAAGTTGGTGGCTCTGGAGACGACAAGTTTGAGCCATTCTCATGGCTGGATGAAACGAGGTATGGGATGGGAGTCTAGAGTCAGTGTCCTCAACTTCTCACCCCATCCCTAGGGTTCCCCACATGAGTCTAGTTTAATGCAATCCTCATTTTGCACATGGGGAGATAGAGACCCAAAGGGAGCCAGAACCTGCCCATGTCATGCTTAGGTCAAGGCAACCCGACCTCCATGCTCGTGTCCTTCCATTGCCTCACACTCCCTCACTCACCGAGCTCTGTCTCCTTAGGATGGAAAACAACTTTCAGGAAAATAAAACTCATCCAGGCCTCAAAACTTGAGAGAGGCTGGAGAACAGCCTGCTTTATTCACAAGTGACTAGACCAAGGGACTTCAAACTACATTTCAAGGAATCCCCTGAATGCCTTATAGAGGTTTCTGGAGCTGTGACATGGGGCTGTGTTTCCCCACCCAACCTCCACTCCTCCTGGCCTCACCAGATCTCAGTCCTCATCTGTTTTGTGTTTTGAGGTTCCACACTGGATATCATTGCTTTTCCATATCTGAAAAGCAAGTTTGGGATAAATGCATTGTTCAGAATGCATGGAATACTACTCAGCAACAACACGGATGAATCCAAAATGGGTAATGCTAAATGAAAGATGCCAGGCCCGAAAGGCTACATACTATATGATTCCATCGACACAACATTCTAGCAAAGACAAAACTGTGGGGACAGAAAGCAGCTCAGCAGTTGCCAGGATCTGGGAACTAAGGGTTGACCACAAAGGGTTGCAGTGTTCTGTGTTAACAGGGATGTTTCCTATCCTGATAGTGGCAGTGGTTACGTGACTGTCAGCATTTGTCAAAACTCACAGAACTATGCAATTACCGTATGTAAATTACACCTCAGTAAAACTCGACTTTAACAAAAAAGCTTGGCGATCACTTCCTGAACATTTTTTTATTCTAAGATCTTTATGAACAGTTAAAAAAGGAAGCAAAAGCTATCAGCCTTTGGGTGTGTAGGGTGGGAAGGAGATGGCCACCCTCTGGGGCCTCCTGCATGTCAGACAACCAGCTCGTCACTTTAGCTCATCTTTTAAAATTCACACTTTCACACATACGTATAATCCTCACAATAATTCTATGGAGAAGCTGAAAACTGACAGGCTCAGTGTGGCAGATAATATTTTCCAGAACAGCAAGAGATAATATGAAAAATAAATAAAATAACACAATGCAGTGTTTTAAGCCACCAGGTTTTGGGGATGATTTGCTGCACAGCAATAGATAATTGGAACACCAGGTAACCCGCCCGAGGCATCTTCGCAGCCAGATAAATGCGGTTCTCTATCCCAGGTCTGCCCCTTCGCTCTGCTCTGCCCCTTCTCTCTGCTTTGCCCTGTTCCTGAATCAGGCAGTGCAATACAAGCCCCACACACAGCTACAGAAAGAAACTCTAAATGCATCCCTCTGCAGAGCAGTGGGACCCAGCCCCACTCTGGGAGCCAGGTTTCAAGGTAGTGCCTGGCATACAATAGGTGCTCAATAAATCTTTGGGAAATAAAGGAAGCGATTCCAGGCCGTCCTAGGAGCTGACAGGACAATGAAGCCGACACAGTTCCTTGTTCACGGTGGGGTTGGCGGCGGGTAGGGAGGAGATTGCCCTTTAGGGAAGAGACGGCAATAAGCAAGCAATTCAGATGACTTTAGACACTAAGTGCCGTGAATGAACAGGGCTCTGTGATGGGGAGTGACTGGATGTATAGGGAGGCCAAGGAAGTCCTCTTTAGGAGATGATATGGGAATGTGTGAATGAGACCTGAAAGACAGAAAGATGCCAGCTTTGGACAGACGAGAAAGTGTCCTCCTGACAGAGGGGTGGTCAAATGAAAAGCTAAAAGAGGTACAAACACACACGTGCACATGTTCATATTCTAGAGCCGAGCAAATAAAACAAACAATATGAGAACATGGAATAAAGTGTAGGGCATCAGTTAGGAGCTCAACTTTGCCACCAGCTCCCCAAGTGACCTTGGAGTGGCTATTTTCTCTCCCTGGGCTTCTGTGTTTCCTGCTGTAGGATGCAGAGGTTGGGTGGAATCGATGACAAGCTGGACTGGCACACCCCAGCCTGTGACAGCAGACTGTGCGCGTCTCCTCCCAGCTCCATATTCGGTGATGTCACCTTGGTAGGTGGAAACTGGCCATAATGGAAGCAGTTATACCATGGGAAGTGGCAAATGCCACCAATCCAAATTTTTTTTTTTTTTGAGAGTTAGTTGCTAAATATTTACCAGCATACCACTGGACTAGATGAGTGCTTCTCAAACGCTTTTGCTAATGTTTCCTGGTGGCAGAGGACAGCTGATACATAACCCCAGAGGCCTGGGGTCTCAGCATTTTAGAATCTTCCTTAGACTCTCCTACTGTAGGCTAGGGGCAGTGACTCACGCCTGTAATCCCAGTCGAGGCAGGCAGATCACTTGAGATCAGAAGTTCAAGACCAGCCTAGCCAATATGGTGAAATCCCATCTCTACTAAAAATACAAAAATTAACCAGATGTGGTGGCACACGCTTGTAATCTCAGCTACTCAGGAGGCTGAGGCACGAGAATCCCCTGAACCCGGGAGGCAGAGGTTGCAGTAAGCCAGGATTGGATTACTGTACTTTAGCCTGGGCGACAGAGTAAGACTCTGTCTCAAAAAAAAAAAAAAAAAAGAAAAGAAAAAAAGAATCTCCTATTGTAGTTTTTAAAGTTTTTAAATCTACAGTTAATTTATCCTTCTACACCTTAATGTGCCTGCATGTCTTGCTTCCTTATACACTCAAAATATAAAATTTTACTTTCATAACTTCTGAAAGATGTATCTTATTGGTCCTGTGGGTTTTTTACATCATGCTACACACACACACACACACACACACACGCGCGCGCGCACAAGCACAGCCCTTCTTGAATCAGTGTGACCCTGTGTCAAGGCTGGCACTAGTCCTCCAGGTGGAAGGCCTCCTCCTCTCCCATCCCTCTTCTTCCCTTTCCCCTTATCCTTTCAAATCCATGGCCCACCCTGACTTGGAATTGAAATGGGCATTGGGTGAGGAGAAAACCAGAACTTGCAGCTGATTCGTGAGGCCCTGGGACCCAGAACAGAGGTTCTCAGGGTCTGCTCTTGACAGTGGGCCCAGGCCTGGTCAGAGATACTTCCCACCCTCTCGTGACAGAGCAGCTGCTGGCTCCTCGCAGGTGTCTCCACCGGCCCTGCCAGCACCCACAGGCGATTTCCCTGCAGACAGAAAGGAATGAGTTTCCTTTTCCTTCTCCTTGTCTGAAAGCAAGTGGGCTTAGATCATCACACTGGGGCTTAGTTAGGGAGATCCGTTTTCTGCATCCCAGACTCGAGGCTACCACAGACTTCCTGGCTGACCTTGGACAAACAGTTTTGTTTTTTCTATGCCTCTTTTTCCACCATCAGCTGCTGCAAACTTCACTGCTGGGGATGGCTGAGTGGATGTCTGAGACGGCCTCGAAAAGGGGCCAAGAATATTTCCAAACACAGAGCTGGGCCCGTGGCCCATGGTTCCATAGCACCAACAGAAAGGCAGAGACCCAGCCTCTCCAGGATGCCAGACTCTGGGGTGCTAGAACACTCATCGTGGAAAATTCCGGAAAAAAAGTGCAAAGCAACAGCATCCCCCAAAGGAGACTTGAGAGGTCTGTGGAGGGTAGGAGGCAGTGTGTGATGGGAACTGATATGGGGACATGGGGGAAGGGACAATCTGATACTGAAGGGACCCTCTCCTCCCCTTCTCCTCTAAGGTTCTCAAAACACCTCCTGGGTCTGCACTGGCACCTCGGCCCTCTGGGGCTGCCCATCCCCCAAGCACTCCAACAAATTTCCACTGAGGGCCTCTTCACCACTCAATTCAATGGCCATTTTCCAGAACTGATCTCACTGTCTGCTCCATCCTGTATGAAACAACCCCTCACTCTCTTCACTTAAAACCCTCTACTTTCATGGTGTATTTGTATTTGTATTGTATTCTCCTAAAGCAGAGACCTGAGACAAAGCCCTACATGCAACCAGTGTATGTAGCGGGTGGTCCTGGGAAGATGCCAGGAAAGCGAGCCCAGGAAAAAGTGTGTGTTACTGGGCTGGGCACTGCTGTGGGCACCCGGGGCTGGAAGCCTGCTGGGACCTTCCAAGGGGCTGTATAGAATGCACCTTAGAACTGTCCCTCCAAAGGCTGCAGGGCAGGAGCATTGGTCTGGACCCCATGGGTTAAATGTCACTTCCCAGGGATATTAACTCCTGAGGCAGAAAAACAGAGAGCCACAGGGGTGCTTAAGGTGGAAGACATCCGTGTGCGCAGGAACGGTCCATACTACAGCTGCGGCCAGTGTGGCCCTGAGGATGAGACCAGCCTGTCTTCTGGACATGGCCTCCATGACAGCCAGCTCCTGGGCTTCTCCTCCTGCTCCTGGGGCCACACTCTCCACCTGCTTCCAGGGCCTCTTCCCTCCACCCCACCCCACCCCACCGAGGCTCCCTTAACCTGCGATGCTTCTCACTGACACCTGCTTGCCTCCCTCCACACCCAATGTCCTTGGCTTCTCTCCATCACTGCACAGAACACATTGGATTCACATTTCGTTATGTTTTTTCTCCTCTAGGAAACTTCTTGTGGGCAGGAACAAGTATTGTTCTGTGGGCCTGTAGCCTAACACCGTGTCTGACACATAGCAGGAGCTCAGAAAGCTCAGGAAGAGGGAAGAAGCTCCTCTCTCTTCCCCGTAAAATGCCCATCAGTGGTGGCATTAGGAATCCATTTTCATTGCCCTTAAGAGCCCACATGAAGGCTGCCTACTGGTTTCTACTCTCCCCTGATTTCTGAAGAATGCAGGACCCTGGGATGGTGCAAGATGCCACTTTTTCTCTCAGGAATTCCAACCCAGCAGGTGATCTCCATCTGGCTGGGACATTCATTGCCCTCTGAAAGTCCCCCATTCCAGAACTCCACCACATTGCCCCCTCCCCACCCCTCACATTTTCATAAGGCTTGGCAAATGTGCAATTCTGTGTGCCTTCCCAGCAAGTTAGGGCTAGTTAGAACCCTGTACCCCATAAAGCAGTTCTTCCCCATCCCCCCTCTTCCAGCCCCCTGGAACCCACCAATCTGCCTTCTGTCTTTATGGATTTTACCTATTCTGTTTTTTTTTTTTTTTTTTTTTTTTGGTAAATAAAGTTGTATGATAGTGACTGACTTCTTTCACTGAGCATAGTGTTTTCAAGGTTCATCCATGTTAGCAAGTATCAGCACTTCATTTCTTTTTCATGACTGAATAACATTCTAGATATACCACAATTAGTTTATCCAATCATCCACTGAGGGACATTTGGGCTATTTCTACCATTTAGCTATTGTGAATAGTCCTGCTATAAGCACACATGTGGGTGTATTTGTTTGAGCACCAGTTTTCAACTCTTTTGAGTATACAGGCAAGGGTGGAATCACTGGGTCATATGATAATTTTATGTTTAAATTTTTGAGGAACCATCAAACCATTTTCCACTAAGGCTGAACCATGAGGCTGGGTTCCAACCAGCCCTAACCTATACTCCCCCCAGCGATATACAAAGGGTCCAATTTCTCCACACCCTTGCTAACACTTGTTATTTTCCATTTTTTTTAAACATCATTTTAGTGGGTGTGAAGTGCTAACTTACTGTGGTTTTGATTTGGATTTCCCTAATAATGAATAATCTTGAGCATCTTTTCATGTGCTTGCTGGCCATTTGTATATCTTCTCTGGAGAAATGTCTATTTGATTAGTTTACCCAAGTCCTTTTCGAAATCAGGCTGTTTGTCCTTTTGTTATTGAGTTGTAAGAGTTCTTCACATATTCTGGGCCGGGCATGGTGGCTCATGCCTGTAATCCCAGCATTTTGGGAGGCCGAGGCAGGTGGATCATGAGGTCAGGAGATCGACCTGGCTAACATGGTGAAACCTCGTCTCTACTAAAAATACAAAAAAAAAAAATTAGCTGGGCGTGGTGGCAGGCGCCTGTAGTCCCAGCTACTCGGGAGGCTGAGGCAGGAGAATGGCGTGAAGCTGGGAGGCGGAGGTTGCTGTGAGCCAAGATCATGCCACTGCACTCCAGCCTGGGCAACACAGTGAGAGAGACTCTGTCTCAAAGGAAAAAAGAAAAAAAAAAAGAATTCTTTACATATTCTGAATACCAGACTCATCAAAAATATGACTTGCAAATACTCTCTCTCATGTTGTAAGCTGTCTTTTCAATTTCTAGAGAATGTCCTTTGATGCGCAAAAGTGTTTAATTTTGAAGCCCAATTTATCCAGCTTTTCTTTTGTCACACGTGCTTTAGTGTCATATCTAAGAATTTATTGCTAAATCTAAGGTCAAAGATTTCCCATGTTTTCTTCTAAGAGTCTTATGGTTGGTTTATTTTGAGTAAATTTTTTTGCACATGATGTGAGGTAGGGGTGCAGCTTTATTCTTTTGCATGTAGATATACAACTGTCTGAATGTTCTCTTTAACTTCCCACATCAACCCCAGGAGAGAAGCAGTGTTATCAACTCCATTTTACAGATGGGGAAACTGAGGTTTTCCAAGGTAAAAAAGCTGCCCAAAGCCGCAGAGATAGCACATGGTACCACTGAGATTTGGTCTTGGGCCTGAGTAAGAACCAGCATATCTGACCATTGTGACTGATGCTCTGTCACCTGGCCCTGGCCCTTTCGCCCCCTGATTTCAGCCTGGCTGTGGGGGGTCAGTGCGTGTGCACGGCCCACATCCCTTCTCAGCTGTGCTGCAGCATCTCTCTGCTCTCCCATTGTGGGGTTTTTCCTGAAGCCTTGAGAGGCAGCAAAGTCCACACAAAGGCACAATTCTGGGAGGTGACACCCTTCTAGTGGGAGAATTCTACATGCTTCCTCTGTGGATGGAGCTGCCATGCCCACCTCATGAAGCCTCTCAATGAAGCATCCTCCCCCTCTCAGTCTCCCCACACCGCACCCTTGCCTGCTGGGATCCCCACCCAGATAAACCACCTGCATCTAAGTTCTTGCTCAGCTCTGCTTTTGAGGAATCCAACTAAGGTACCCACCCAAATTTGCAGGAAAGGCCTCCGACCCTTGCCAACTCCCCTTCCATCAGAGCACTCCAAGCCTCAGCCTGGCCACTAAACAGGAGGCTTCTGTTTCCCAGCCCAGGCCACAGCTCCTGCTGATCCCATATCTGAGCTGGAGGCCAGAAGGAGTAATTTTACCACAGCTCTGAGCTCCTCTACAAGAAAGGATGCAAATCCTATTTGGGCTGATGTTGCCAAAACCCAAACAAGAATTCTACCTCAAGGCACTTCTTTTTTCAAGACCACATGCACAGCTGGGCTTCCCCACGAAATCATAGCTCTCAGCACTCAAGATTTGTCCACCCGGCACCCTCCCTGGAAAGGCCTCCTGGCAAAAAGGAAGACAGTAGGAAGGAACTGGGAGAAGACAAGCGCCCAGGGACCCGCATAATTTTTGTTCTAGAGTTTCATTGCCTCACAGTTTTTCCAGATATAAATGACCTTTTCTAATAGAGGGGCTTGGACCAAGAGACTACTCTGAGCTCTGCCTCCAGAAATCAGGATAGTCCCACAGCAGCCTTCTGATAGCCTGGAGATGTCAGTGGTCACCCACCATGCTCCCCTCTCTGCCACTGGCACAGGGCACAGGGGCTTCCCTTCTAGTGGGCATGATAGCAAATTCCTGACGTTATCTCCCAGGCCTTAACCCCCAACTCTTAGAAGTGTGCTTAGCCTGCAAGGGGTCAGGGGACAGTGTGATTGTAGGTTATGAACCAGAGAGCCACATTCAGGTTCACGATTTGGGGTTATCCAGATAGTTACTGGACCCATCCTAAGCACTCAGGGTCAGGCTGACATCCTGCATTCCCAAATGGGAAGGCAGGACATGAGGATGCCGACCTCTCAGAAGCTGCAACTTCCTCAATTTTTTTTTTTTTTTTTAGATGGAGTCTCACTCTGTCACCCAAGCTGGAGTGCAATGGTGCAATCTCAGCTCACTGCAACCTCCGCCTCCTGGGTTCAAGTGATTCTCCTGCCTCAGCCTCTTGAGTAGCTGGTATTACAGGCACACGACACCATGCCTGCCTAATTTTTTGTATTTTTAGTAGAGAAGGGGTTTCACCATGTTGGTCGGGCTAGTCTCAAACTCCTGACCTCTTAATCTGCCCGCCTGGACCTCCCAAAGTGCTGGGATTACAGTCATGAGCCACCGCGCCCAGCCCAACTTCCTCAACTTTTAATGGCTTCTCTTAAAAGCCTGTCTTGGGTGTTGTTCTCCTCCCACACCTTTTCTCCCTCCGCACAGATGGCAACACACACAGAGCTGCAGTCCCTTGTCCACACACCAAAACCCCAGGGAGACACATCTCTGCATTCTCATGGCCCACCTGACTCCACGTGGAACATGTTGTCAGGGCTCGATGGATGTCTGTGGAATGGATTGGGTGCGGGCCACACACACAGGCCACTCACCACAGATACAGCAGCTCTCAATCTTGGCTGCACATGAGAATCACTTGAGAAGCTCAAAAAAGCATTGAAGCCGGGTCCTACCAGAGATCCTGATTTGATTGGTCTGGGTTGGGACCCAGGTAATGAGATTTTTAAAAGAATTACCCAGATGATTCCAGGGTGTGTACAACAGGAGTTCTCAAACTTGAGCCGCATCAGGATCCCTTGGGCCCGGCGGGGGGTGGGGGAGGGGCTTTTTAAAACACAAATTGCTGCTCCTGCAACCTCTGCCCAGAGTATCTGATTCAGTAGATCAGCAGTGGGACTCCAGAATCCATGCTTTGGGTTTGTGTGTGTGTGTGTTTTTAAGAGACAATGTCCCACTCTGTTGCCCAGGCTAGATTGCAGTGGCACGGTGACAGCTCACTGTAGCCTCCAGCTCCTGGGCTAAGTGATTCTCCCACCTCAGCTTCTGGAGTAGGTGGAACTACAGGTACGCACCACCATGCCTGGCTAACAGAATCTGCACTTCTAACAAGTGATGCAGGAGAGTTTTGGAAAACAGGGGCAATCTGTTCTTTGGGGAGAGAGCTGGGAGTAGAAATGCAGAGTATGGAGGGATTTGGGAAATGCCAGGGCAGGGTGTGCCTCGGGTGAAGCATGAAGGGCATGGGCAAGGGGGAAGGACATGGGAAAGGAGGTGGGCAGGGTAGGAAACGGCAGACCCTGTGGGATTTGGGAACCCAGGAGGTGAGGCAGGCAGCTGAGCTGAGGTCTCTGCTCTGCTCTCCGAAAGCATTCCTTCCGGGATCCTGAGAACACGAGTCGTACAGGCCCACTACCTTCACCTGTCCCCTGGACAATGACTTAGCCTCCCCTCTGGCCTCCCTGCCCCCTCTCAGGCCCCACCACGTCCATTCTCCCCTCTGCAACCAGAGTGACCATTCAATATGGTCAATCCAGCCATGTCATGTCATCCCTCTGCTTAAATCCTCCTAGGAGTTTCCCAGCCTACCAGTGATGAAGTTCAAATTCTATGTCCTGTTTACCCCACCATTCTGCAGGAGCCATGAGGCTTCCAAATTCAGGGAGTGTAAGGACACCACATATGCACAGAGGCTGTGCCACAGGCTGCACCTGCCAGTGACCGAACATGGTGGAGATACTGAGGCAGGCTCACTTCTGAGAGACACGGGGCTTCCCGAAAGCCCTGCTGAGTCTTCCTTAGACTGCACACTTCTGTGTCTGGGACATTTCCACCCAACCTCCCCTCCCTCAGAGTCAGCCTTACCTAAACCCTCAGAAATTTCATCCAGGCTTCTCCGTAATTAAGGGAGGAGCTGGACTCGTAGCCTGCAATCCTAGGTAAGGGGCACAGAGGAAGCACCAGCCACTGAAGTTATACTTTCCTGCACATGGGGTCCCCCACTGTCTCAGGGCAGCTTCCTAAGACTCCATGCAGATGTTTATGAAGGAAGCACCCTCAAGGGAAACCAGTTTGGGCAGGAGAGAAGCAGGACAAGGAAAGGGAAGGGGTTAAAGAGGCATCTGTTTCAGCTGCGGTCTGCATGGGACCGGCTCCTCTGTGGTGCCCTGGAGATCTCACGTGTATCCAAATAGGCCACGGAGGCGAAGGCTTGACCCACAGCCAATCTGAATGTGGTGGGTGAAATAACGCCCCGCACCCCTACATCTGTGTCTTAATCCATGGAATCTGTGAATATGTTACCTTATATGCAAAAAGGATGTTGAGTAAATTAAAGATGTTGAGATGGGGAGATTTTCCTGGATTTCCCAGATGGGCCCAATGTAATCACAAGGGGCAGTGAGAGGGAGATGTGAGGACAGAAGCAAAGGTTGGAGGGATGTGCTTGCTGGGGCCACTAGCCAAGGAATGCAGGTGCCCTCTAGAAACTGGAAAAGGCAAGAAAAAGGATTCTCCCCTAGAGCCTCCAGAAGGAACCAGCCTTGCTGACACCCTGATTTTAGCCCAGGGAAGCCCATTTTGGACTTCTGACCTCCAGTACTGTAAGATAACTTTGTGTGAAGCCACTAATCTGTGATGGTTTGTTGGAGCAGCAACAGGAATTGAACACGCTGAGTGCTGGCGGAATGCTTCGTGGTCCTCCTGGATCAGAAGTGGGTGAGAGGCAGAGGCTGCAGAGTTCCAGGCCATCTCCCCATCGCCTCCCAGCCCCTAGAGAGCCGCCGTGGGTCTGTTTGTCATCCCTTCTGGGTTCTGCTGAGTGATGGGGCTCCCCATCCTGCCTCTGCTCAGCCTCAGTCTAGAATTGGCATCTCAGCCAAGGGGCATCCCCCAGCTCACATGACAGTCACTCGGCCTCTCTTGTTTGGGTGCCCTCCTTTCTGATATGCCGAATGAGGACCTGGGGCACTGGTACCTTTGGCTTACTCTTCATTGTCTGTGTAAGTAATAAACAGTCTGAATCTATTATAAAAGCCCCTGAATCAGGGCTTGGAGTTGCCCTGAATTGTATGCACCTGAGCTTGACAAAGTCCCAGTGCCTAATCCTGCAGGGAACCCTGGAGTGGGGGTGACAGCAAAGGAGCTGGGCCTTTGTCCACATGACCACCAGTTGTGGCCATGGGCTGCCCGGGAGCCCCAGTGCCCAAGGGCAGGTCCCTGAAGGTATCAGGGGTGAGCCATTCACAGCAAAGCACACAGACCTTGGAAAAGGACCTCAGTGGGCCTGGAAGTGGGAGAAGAGATGAGGGTGTACAGTTCATTACATTCACCAATAATTCATATAAGACGCTGCAGGATTCATTGCTGAGGCACTGGATTTTGACCCCACAGAGAGAAAATGGATATGGTAGCCCAGCATACATAGCTGTAGGGACATTTCCTAGACCCCAGCTTCTAGGGCAGCCATCAAGGGTGCAATTTAACATTCCTGCCAATGTCCAGGCAGGCAGCAGTGGTTGTCCACAGACCAGGAAAAGGCAATTGTTTTCTTCATGAAA
The DNA here is from genome assembly GCF_000001405.40 of Homo sapiens. Taxonomy (NCBI): domain Eukaryota; kingdom Metazoa; phylum Chordata; class Mammalia; order Primates; family Hominidae; genus Homo; species Homo sapiens. The sequence continues at coordinate 17,794,574 of NC_000020.11, forward strand.
AAAGGCCCCAAGCCAGCACTTTTCATGCCAAACTACTGGCGGAAGCCAGCGGGCAGCCAGCCATGCCAGGGTTCTTGGAGCACAGAACCAAACAAGGTGGCTCAGCCCCCAACTGGATGCCAGGATAGGTTGGCTGGAGGAGGTCTGTAAGTACCACCGTGGCCATTCAGTGACAGCACAAAAGGATGCCTTGGTCCTCTCCTCTGGGTGCCCTTTGACCTTTTCTTTGAGAACCCCGGCTCCCCACCCATCTGCCTCCCCCTACCTCTATCTCTGCCACAATGTCTTCATTCCTTGTATTTTCCTATTGGCTTTTCTCCTGCTCTTCTCCTGACTTAGGGATGCAGAAGGCCCACAGGCACTTGGAGCATTGCTCAGCCACACAGGCCCCTCAGAGACAAAGAGGAATTTCCCTCATGACCTGGAGGACAAGATGGAGGGAAGGAGGGAAATTTAATCACAAGGTGGCAAAACTTTTTCTATTAAGGACCTGAAAGAAAATATTTTAGACTTTACAGGCCATGTGGTCTCTATTACAACAACCCAATTCCACCATTGTAGCATGAAAGCAGCCATAGACAATGCATAAATGAATGGGCCTTTGAATGGCAGTGTTCTAATAAAACTTTATTTACACAAACAGGCAGAGGGCCAGCTTTGACCTTTGGGTGTAGTTTGCAGACCCCTGGTTTACATGTTCCCAGAATCCAACAAGTTAGAATTAAAGGAACTTTAGAGATCATCCAGGCCAGGGAGGGCAGACAGGTTTCAAACCCATCTGCCAACTCTGAGTGCTCAGTGATGATTCCCTGATTTGCTGTGTTGAGGATTCTGAGGCCAACATCTAGCTTGGAGGGAAAGTGCCATAATAGTACCCTATGCCGTGGGCAGGGAGAGAGGAGTGGCAGCACAAGTGCCCCAGATTAGCTGCTTGATTAACCAAACACTTTCATTTCACATACAAACAGCTGGATCCCAGAGAGGTTAAGCGATTTGCCCAAGGCCACAGAACTGGCCAGAGAGTTGCTTGTCAACCGGCTTCTTCATGTTACTCTGCAGCAAAATGGAAAGCTGCATTTATTCCATTGCCTCATCACCACACATCTAAGCCAAATAATTTTCATGGTCCCTGGAGAGCAAAGGGTCAGAAGCCAGGGCCCCAGCCAGTCCTCGATTTGTGAGAATTGATGTTTTGGGGGCTTTCACAACTATAAAAAAAAGTCGCATTTGTGATGTCTGAAAAATTAGGAGACTGGCTTCAGAGAGTACTGCCTGACAGATCCTGGTCATGGTCGGGCATGAAGTAGCCCCAGCATTAAGCTGTAGCTTCCCTTTTTCAGCAAGAAATGCTTTGCAAGCACCATGGTCACTATCTCATGAGCCCCATAAGGCTAATGCCAATCAAGCATCAAGCTCTGGTATTTCTCACCCATGTGTCTATTTCCTAAGATTCTCAACAGCTGTGACTATCAGATAATAACTGCCATGGTCTTTATTAATCTTGATTAATAAGCAACTGTAGTAACAACTCTGAAAACAGGATGCAGGTTGAGGTTTTGGAAGAAACTTTTAAAACCCTGGACTCTGTAAACTAGGTCATTTTTAAAAATCAGACTTTCTACTGTTAGAGTATGTCTGGTAGCAGAGCTTTGAAATTGCTTGGGCGTCAGTTACTTGGCTCTTAAATGGAGTAATGCTTACCTCATGGGCTGTTGCAACATTCAGTTAAATAACAGATGACAGCCAAAGCCCACATGCCCAGGTCCACTCTGGAGGTCACTTACAGCTGCTGTTGGCAGTCCAGGCCATGCCAAGGGCTCTTTCCAGCACCTGCATCTATCTCTTCGGGTGTTCTCTATGCCCCTGCCCCAGTACCTCCCACCCCAGAGTGTTCAGCTCACACTCAACACAGGCTAGAGAAACCAGGGCAAGACTGCTCCTAGGGGCAGCCTCCAAGCAAGGAGGACTGCTAGGAGGTAGTGAAAAGGACTCTTGTGTCCTTGCCTTTCTGTGTACAGTTTTGAGGGATAGTTTGGTTTGATAAAACTTTATACAGTGTCTTAGAAGGCCCACAGGGATACCTGAGCCCTATTTCCTTCTCTCACTAATACACCCCCTTCTTGATTTTCTTTCCTTCCCTGCCTCACTTCTTCCCTCCCAGTGCATCCTGGGGTCATCTCTCAAATAAATGGCCTAAGCTCAAGTCTTTGTGTCAGGGGCATCCTGAGATACATTTAATTGTAATTTTTATTTTTTAGAGATGGGGCCTCACTATGTTGCCCTGTCTGGTCTTGAACTCCTAGCCTCCAGTAATCTTCTTGCGTCAGCCTCTCAAGTTGCTGGGATCACAGGCATGTACCACTGCATCTAAATCAGAGATACATTTGGATTTAGGAAAGGGAGTGGCTGGAAAGGAAGCAAGAACATGCATGTGTCCCCCATCCCAACACCATGGAAGAGGATGAGAGGGTTAAAGCTGCCGGCAGCTACGGAGCATCCGATAATGCAATACAAGAACTATCCCTGTCAATGAGCAGGAAGCTGACAGGGCTAATAGCAGCCAAGCAACTTTCTTTCCAGGCTGCTTTTCTATTCCTCTTCTGCTGGTTCCTCTGGGGAGGTCCCATTCATGACACAGTTCTGGTGGGTTTGAAAATCACGACACCCAACTCCACCACATCAAACACTCTGAGGTTGATATGGGAGAGACCGTAAATGAAGCTTGTACACCTGGGTTATTCACTGGCAGGGTGGGGCTGCAAATGCCTGGCATTTTGTCTGCCACGTGAACAGAGCTTGCATGCAGAATGAAGGTAAATAGAGGTAAGATGAGATGAGAGAGAGAGCCCATATCATCAGAGCCACTGAATCCAGCTATGACTTTGGAATCTGGTGGTTACTAGAGTCAACACAAACACATTCCCTTTATGTTTATTTGAGTTGCATTTCTGTCACTTGCAACCAAAAGGGTCCTGACCAAAAAAAGACATTTCAGTTGTGCCTCCCTGGAATTATTTCTTTTCCTGAAAAAGCCACGCTGTTCGGCATAACTGCTTTCCTCCTGCACCACAAGGGATAAGAATTTAATCAATTACTTAACATGGAGAGATTGAAGTTTTACCCATCCAGGTTTCCATTCAGGGACCCATCCATCTGTTTCTTATTTAAAGGTCTTATCAAGCGTGTGTTTTAATTTGTGTTCCCTCAAAACAAACCCTGGTGCAAGGATTCAGTTATGAGAGTAGTGAGCTGCTCAGGCAGACTCTGCCTGGGACCTTCTCATCCACTCATCCTGTAGAGCTGTTCCAGATGAAATTTACTTAACTACAAAGAACAGGACGCCCAAGTAACACTGGCTGAAAAAAAATGAAAACACAATTCTTTCATAAAATAAGAAGGCTGTGGGAGGAGATTTTGCAGTAGCAGCCCAATGACAAGGGAAAGGACCCTGGGTTTTTCTGTTATTTCTCCACTGCCAACCTCAGTGTGTTGGTTTGTCAGCCTCTTGCTTATCACCTTCTGGTCACAAGATGGCTGCTGCAGCCCCCAACATCACAACCACATACAAGGTCAGGAAGCATAGTGGGGCAGGGGCATTACAGCAGACATTATTGGAGCTCATCGCCTATCCCTCCATTTTATTATTTCAGTAGGCTCCAGTCAATTCCAAACTGCCTTAACCTGAGGGCTTTTCCCTAAAACCTCAGAAAACTGCTCTGCCCATGGACATCAGGTCAGAAGTGCCCCCCAAAATTCATATTCCTCCAGAGAAAGTCCTAACCAATGATTGAGGGGGAGTAGCTATAAAAGTACCTTAGTTCCCTCATTGCTCCAAGGGATAACCACAAGGCATGTGACTTACACCTTTTCCAAAAATGTCCCTGCATGATTAAGCTTAGTTCTCCACAGTAAAACCTGCTCTATAATGCACGCTTTGTTAAATATTTTTCCTTCCCTGTCTCACTTCCCTACTCCCTTGCTAGTGTTTTCCTGGGATTATGTTCCCAGAAAACTACTTACCCTATAATTCTTGTTTCAGGGAATGCTTCGGTGAGGGTTTGGGGGTGGGGACAAAGTAAGACAGCTCTTCTTTTTATCAAGGAGGGAAAATCTTGCCAGAAATTCCCCAGTAGACTTCCTCTTGACCATACCTGAGTTACCTGCCCCACCCCTGCCTCCAGCTGCCCTGGAGGAGTTGAAACAGTGAGCATCTGCAAAGTGCAGCAGGGCAGTTACATCTTTGGAAGTTGAGCTCACTGCCCACTCCCCCACCCCCAAATCAGGGTTTAGTCAGCAAAGTGAGTGAAATGGGCAATGACTGTTGAGTGGGCAACTTATGGAATGCCAGGTTCTGTTCAATCATTTTAAATCAGTGACTGAGATAATAAGGTAAAGGTCATTCTTGGCAAGTATGCAGTAGACAGGAAACCGTGGAGAGTAAGTAGCAAGTGTGCTGAGCAACAGAATGAGGAGCCTCAATAAACTCTGCAGAGCAGTGGACTGAAGGATCCTGCTGCAGGCCGGTGGGAGTTAGTGTAACAGCCTGGAGCTAGGGCCCAAAAGGAAAACAAAAACAACAACACAAGCATAAGATGGACAAGCGAAGGCTTATCAAGAACACACTGATGGGCTGGGCGCAGTGGCTAGCGCCTGTAATCCCAGCACTTCAGAAAGCCAAGGCAGGCAGATTGCTTGAGGTCAAGAGTCTGAGACCAGCCTGGCCAACATGGTGAAACCCCATCTCTACTGAAAATACAAAAATTAGCCAAGCATGGTGGCAGGCACCTGTAATCCCAACTACTCATGACCCAAGATGGCGCCACTGCACTCCAACTTGGGCAAAAGAGCAAAACTCCTTCTCAAAACAAAACAAAACAACAACAACAAAAAACACTGACAAAGACATATGGGGTAGCTTCAAGTGTCAGCAATGTGGTGTGCCTGCTGACTTCCAGCAGCATCACAGGTGATGTGTACTAAATATCTGTGCCCCTCCAAATTCATATGTTGATTCCTAATCTCCAATGCAATGATACTTGGACGTAAGGCCTTTGGGAGGTCATTTGGGTTAGATTAGGTCATACCATTATAAAAAGAGGAGGAGACAAGAGATCTCTCTCTCCACCATGTGAGGACACAGCAAGAAGGTGGTCCCTCTGTAAACTAAGGGAGCCCTCAACCAAGTTGACTGGCAGCTTGATCTTGGACTTCCCATCCTCCAGAACCATGAAAAATAAATGTCTGTGGTTTAAGCCACCCAGTCCATGGCACAGAGTCCCAAATGAACTAAGACAATAGGTTAATCCCATGAAGGCTAGTGTGAAGGTGGAGGAAGGTGAAAGTTCCCTTGTCCTTATCCTGGATTGATCATGGCTGGGGCCCATCCAACTGTGGATGTCACTTGAAACAAGCAGTAGCCAAATGAAGTGGGCTCAGAAGAAAGTAGCTGGGATGGAGGCAGATCTGGAAGCCACAAGATAAGAGAAGAGGCATTTGATGCAGGGCTGAGGAAATGTGACATGATAAAGATAAAACTGGAAGAGAACAGTATAGCCATGCTCAAATATTTGCTGTTATCTGGAAGATACATAAATCTTTATACAACTCTAGAAATTCCCTAATAGTATGTCAATCAGTGTCCAGTTAGGGAAATAGGAACCTCTTAGATATCTCAAATAGAAGGAATTGAATGTAGGGAACTGTTTACAAAAGTATTGAGAGAGTTGGAAAGGTAAGGATACCCAAAGATTAGTAACTGTAGGAAGTCACAGTCAACCTTGGCACTAGAAGAGCAACAGGAAAAATAGAATACCCAGAGCCATCAGTCACTAGACTGCTGGAGCTGCCAGAGCAGGAACCCAGGGACTTGTATTCATTGCTGCTTCTGCTGGAGGGTCAGTCTGATACAGAGAGAACAAGATTAGCTTCCCCTTCTTCTGCCTTCCAGTATCTCTCCAGTGCCTCCCATTGACTAAGCCTAAGCAGAAGCCAGCGGGCAAGATAACCTGGGAAATGCAGGGTTCCAGCCCCTTTGGCAGAGAGCAGAGCACTGAGGACAGGAATGGAGCCAAAAGCCAATGAGTGAGTGGTTCATGGTACAGGGTGGCAGGTGTAGAGAGAGTATGTGGATGAATGTAAGGAAGGCCTATCAAACCACCAGACTGGACAAAGACGAGAGAGAGGAAACAGTTCCCCTCTTCTGAGCCATTTCAGCAGAAGTGTAACAGGGAAGTTCCAACGTATGATAGGTCACTAGACAAGATATTTTATAAGGTTCATTTAACGCCTGAGAGCCTTAGATGCCAATTATGTACTGTCCACATTCACATTTCTGCAACTGTCTTTCGTTGCATGGTTTTATGCATTTCACAGGGGTGTTGATTATGTGGTCCCCATTCGATATGAATCTCCCTGGGAACTGGGCTCACAGCTAACTTCTCATCCTCTTGCCTCCCAACCACTTTGTGCAGCCTTCGTTAATGTTATCACCAGGCTGGTGGGCTTCTCTGCGTGGGAAATTATTTACAGTTCCACTCTGCTCTTGAAACGTGCCTAGAGTTTTAAAGGAAAGGGCCCTTCCAGAAAATGGACAGACACCGAAAATAAACTACCCAGAAAAATAAAACCTCTTTCCCCAGCACAAAGGAAATTTAAGAGCTCATTAGCCTTAGGAATAAATGGTATTTTCTAATGTGTGAAACCACTAGCAGGCAGAATATGAATATTCATAAGCATGCTCCTGGAATGAAGGTATTTGAAACCTTCCTTTAGGTACTGCCCATTTGGGGGAAAGGTATGTTAACTATTCGTAGTCTGATTGATTCAAAATGCTCTTAAAATGGGATTTCTGGCATTTTTGTTGGAACTTGTGTTCTGACACAAAATTCCTGGTGAAAGCAATGGGAAAAACTGGCCAAACTACCAACTACAGATCAAAAGCCTGGGATTAAGGAGATATCCAGGCAGTTTTATGAACTCTACTATCCCCACTCACATTTAATAACTCTTTCCACCTTGGCTTCCACGTTGTTCTATTCCCTGACCACAGGAGCTACCTCGATGCAGAAAGTCCCATGGGACCAAACCAGCAAGGGGACGGGGTGGAGCAGAGCATACTGAATGTCTGATTAAGAACCTCCTGGGTCTCATGGACTAAGCCTTGAGTTCTTTCCCTTCCTGGGTCTGGGTCTTTTTTGCGGGGGGCAGGGGAGATGGTGGTATTGGAGTAAGCCAATGGATCTAAACCTTGACTGCACATTGGAATCACCTTTGGAGCTTTGAAATATCATAATAACCAGGCCACACTCCAGATCGTCAATCACCGCAGTCTCTGGGGATGCACCTGGCCTTTGTTTTATCACTCAGGTGAAATCACTCAGGGGATTTCAATGTTCAGCCAATGTAGATGTGGTAGCCAGTCTCTAAGATGTTGCCATCAGTTCCCACCCTTCCCAACAGGCATGCTATTCCCCCATAAAGAAAGGGAGTGTGTTTTCTACCTTCTTGAATCTGGGCAGAAGTGACACGTGCCAGTTCTAGTCTAGCTTATAGGAGAAATGACAGTTTCTGTTCTTTTCCTTTTGAAAGATTTGCTCTTGGAACATTCCTGCTCAGACCCCAGCTGTTATGCAATGAGGCCAAAGCCATGTGCAGAGACCACATGAAGAGGGGTTGAGTGTATAGCTCAGCTACTCTCCCAGCATCAACTGCTGACCATGTTGGGAGACCCTCCCTGGAGGTCCAGCCCAGTTGAGCCTTCAGATGACTGCAACCCCCATTGACATCCGACAGTAAATATATGAGAGACTCTAAGTGAAAACTGCCCTACTGAGCCCAGTCAACCAGAAAGATGACAAATTATTGTTTTAAGCCAGTAGGCTTTGGGGTTAGTGTCTATTATACAGCATAGTCAACTGGAGCGGTTGGAAACCACTGGATCAAGACTAACCATCCACAAGTAAACATTCTCCTAAGGTACTTACTGTCCATAAGGAATTAGGATACCATCTGCCTCAACAGGGCCAACTCCATCCACATACTTAGTCTTGCCCCACTCCTACCCTCCAGCTATGCTCTGTGAGAGCACAACAGCCTGCTTGGTGTGGACAGCAGTGGGTCAAAGGGCGCTTCTAGTCCAAACGGGTATTTATTATTAATTTTTTAATATCATGTTAAAATTCATAGAGTTCTTGGTCCTATTTGGTTATTTTGATAACACTGGAAGGAAAGATGATCAATAGTACATTTTGCCGAAAAGGAACCTGAAGCCTCAGAGAGATTATATGACTTTGCCTTGTTGATGTAGCCAGTAATAGAGAAATAGGAAAATAAGTCCATGGGTCTTGAGTTTAATACAGGGTTCTTTCTGCTAAATTCTGTCCCTCTGAGGGAACACACACACACACACACACACACACACACACACACACACACACTTAGAGGGTGCAGTAGAAACTGCTGGTTGCCCCTTAATATTTATTTTCCCTTTGTGGCTTGAAAACAGAATGTTGACTTTACTCAGGGAAGCAATGTATCTAGCTAAAACCAAATTTCCCAATCTCTCTTGCAGCTAGTGTGGTCATGTGACTAGTGAGATGTAAGCCTTAATGTTTTATGGAGTTTCCAGGAAGCCTGCTTTAGAGAAACCTGTCTCAATTGAGAAAAATATCCCTTTTGCCTTACCTCCTTCTTCTAGCCTATATCTCATCGAATGGCTGGAGCTCTAGCAGCTATATTGGACCATGAGGTGAGTCTGAGGGTAGAAGCTGCAAGCTGCAGACAACGGAGCAGAAAGACATAACAAGCTTGGGTTCTGCCCTGGATTGCCTATCTCCAAACTTCCTAACAAATTAGAGAATAAATACTTGGGGATTTAAGCCACTATTTTTCAGGTCTCTATTTTAGCCAACTACAATTTTAAATTCATAAAGTGTACATAATTGATTATTCTGAAATTCCCATGGAAATTCTATTTGATGGTACAACTAACCCTTAGGACACCAGAAACCTATTTTCCATGACACAGCTTTAAACTTAGGCCTTGATTCCAGCTGCCATGCCTACCTCACAGGAGGAAATGGTCCATCTGGCACGTAGTGGATGTGCATCCAATATTTATTGGAGGGAAAAAGACTTTCATTGTACCTAATTCTGATAACCACATCTCTGTTCCCTGGCATCGTTTTAAAGACTTGAGAAACACATCACAACTGTGACCTCGGTTGGCCTAGGGATAAGAGGAAACCCAGACAGATATTCCAGCCAGCAGCCCCAGCCCTCAGCCCCTAGTGACCTTATCTCCTCTTTCCTCTGGTGGCCTTGATTTACCTCTGCCCTGGATGTGATGCAAGATGAGATTTTAAAGATGCTTGTGTGATCTTCCCTCCCATGATTTTCCACCAGATAGTTACTGCCCTTTGGCTTAGGCTCCAGAATGAGGTCATGTGGAACATCCTGAACCCAATCAGAAGTCTGGCCCAGACAAGCCCATTCAAGATCAGCCAACGGCAGCCAGCCTTCAGTCTCATGGATGTGAAATAAAATCTTTGTTGATGTAAACCACTGAGACTGTGGGCTTATTGGTTATGCAGCATTATTACAGAAGTAACTGACAGAACACCATCCACTGAGAGAACCACACTAGAAACTGGATGTCATCCTTTCCTCATCATGACTTTCCCTCATGCCTCACTTCCAACCCCCAAATCCTAAATATCCCTCAAAGCCGCTCCCTCCTCTCCAGCCCGAGTTTAGGCCTGCCTCATCTCTCTGGATTAGAATGGCCTTCCTGACTTTAGATTGGTACCCCCCAGTTCTACTTTCCCCACTGTAGCCAGGATGAGTTTTCTAAAGTATAAATCTGCTCCTGAGCCTCCCTTACTTAAGACCATGTTGTGGGTTTCAGTGAGGGGAGTGTCCATGGGTCTTAAGAAGGGGCATGTCCACGGCTTCCATGGGCAGATGCCACTGTCTACCCTGAACATGACTTAGTTCCAGCATTCCCTGCACTGAGTTGATCACCTTTTCCCCCTTACATAACACACAGCCAGGATGGGCTCTTGCTGGGTGCTACCTGACCAAGTGCCCTGTTCTTACCCCTAGGCTGCCCCTTAGGGCACTATTTAAATAGCCTATGGTTCTATTGGTGGGAATTAAATTAGGACAGTCATTACAGAAAACAGTATGAAGATTGCTTAAAAAACTGAAAGATAGGCCGGGCGCGGTGGCTCACGCCTGTAATCCCAGCACTTTGGGATGCCGAGGCGGGTGGATGATGAGGTCAGCAGATCAAGACCATCCTGGCTAACATGGTGAAACCCCGTCTCTACTAAAAAATACAAAAAAAAAAAAATTAGCCGGGCTTGGTGGCGGGTGTCCGTAGTCCCAGCTACTCGGGAGGCTGAGGCAGGAGAACGGCGTGAACCTGGGAGGTGGAGCTTGCAGTGAGCTGAGTTCGTGCCACTGAACTCCAGCCTGGGCGAAAGACAGAGACTCTGTCTCAAAAAAAAAAAAAAAAACTGAAAGATAGAATTACCATATCCAGCAGTCCCACCACTGAGCATATAGCCAAAGGAAATGAAGTCAGTGTGTCTGAGATGTCTGCGCTCCCATGCTCATTGAGCACTATTCCCAATATATGGAACCAACCTGTGTCTATCGACAGAGGAAGAGATAAAGAAAAGGTGGTTATATGCACAATGGAGCACTATTATCCCTTTAAAAAGAATAAAATCCTGTCATTTGTGACAACACGGGTGAACCTGGAAGACACTGTGCTTAGTGAAATAAGCCAGGCACAGGGAGACATATAGCACAAGATTTCACTCATCTGAGGATCTAAAAAGGTTGAATTTATAATAATAGAGCATGGAATGGTGGTTACCAGGAGCTGGGGGCAAGCGGGGAGGGCGTTGACCAAATAATATGAATTTCTAGTTAGACTGAAGGAATAAGTTTTTTTTTTTTTTTTTTTTTTTTTTTTTGAGGCAGAGTCTTGCTCTGTGGCCCAGGCTGGAGGGCAGTGGTGCGATCTCGGCTTACGGCAAGCTCCGCCTCCGGGGCTCACGCATTCTCCGGCCTCAGGCTCCTGAGTAGCTGGGACTACAAGCGCCCGCCACCATGCCTGGCTAATTTTTTGTATTTTTAGTAGAGACGGGGTTTCACCGTGTTAGCCAGGATGGTCTCGATCTCCTGACCTTGTGATCCACCCGCCGCGGCCTCCCAAAGTGCTGGGATTACAGGCGTGAGCCACCGTGCCCGGCCAGGAATAAGTTTTTAAGAGCTATTGCACAGCATGATGACCACAGTTAATAATAAAGCATTGTGTATTTCAAAATTGCTAAAATAATAGATTTTAAATGTTTTCACTACAAAAAAAATGGTAAATATGTGAGGTGATAGATATGTTAATTAGCTTGATATAATCATTCCACAATGTATACACATATCAAAACATCACATCATAACTCATAAATATATACAATTATTGTTTTTCAATTAAAGAAAAATTTTAAAAACAACACATGGCCAGGTGCAGTGGCTCACACCTGTAATCCTAGCACCATGGGAGGCCGAAGCAGGGAGACTACTCGAGGCCAGGAGTTCTAAACCTGCCTGGGCAACATAGCGAGACCCCATCTCAACAACAAAAAAATTTTAAATTAGCTGGGTGTGGTGAGGGGTGCCTGTTGTCCCAGCTACTTGAGAGGCTGAAGCAGGAGGACTGCTTGAGCCCAGGAAGTTGAGGCCGCAGTGAGCTAAGATTGCCACTGCACTCCAGCCTGAGCGACAGAGCAAGACCCTGTCTCAAACAAACAAACAAATAGCACATATGTACACATAAAATTGCCTGCGGCTTGTCTGGCTCTCTCATAAACTGTGAGCTCTCTGAGGACAGGACCGGAACACATTTTCCCTGAATAAAGTGAGCACATTTCCAGCCCCGAAGCCTGAGCCGCTGTGTCCCACATCCCATTCAGGAAGAGGGGGTTGTCCTAGAAGTAGCAGATCTGACTCAAAAACTCAAGGCAGGAGGGGTAACAATGCCAGAGAGAGAAGTAGCAGGGTAAGGAGGAGAAAGAAGGAAGAGGGAACGGAGCGAGGAGGAAAGGAATGAGAAATATAAAAATGGAGGAGTGAGGAAGGAATTCAGGAAAGACAAGGAATCCGCACAGGCAGAGACGCGGCTTTATCAGCTCTCTCCCTTCCAGCTCACTCCTCTCCACTCCCCCACAGAACTGCTCAGGCCATGTGTGCATTTGGCTCAGGACTCCAGTGCTGGTGCCAGAAGCATAAACCAGAGGGTGGGAGCTGCGTGGGGCCCAGACGAGGCGAGCCCTGTGGCCGGGCCCTCAGGACGTGGGGCCAGGCTGCTCCTCCCAGCCGCCCCGGGGGGGCAGGCCAAGAATTCTAGAAACCCTCTGCTGGGGAGAGCCCGAGGAGGCCCTGGCTGGGGTGACATCGGGAAAGCCCAGGGGGCCTGCTGCAGGCTGCGAGGAAGAAGGAGGCCGAGGTCATGGTGCAGAGGGCTGAGGAGGAAGTGAACCCCAGCTACAGGGTGCCCGGAAAGGGCTGGACCCACGGGGAATGTTGTGGCGGGGACCACATTTGGAGCAGCTCGGGACACAAGGGGTTTTGTCCCAAAGGAGACTCTGAACAGAGCCGCGGGCCCCGTCCTGGGAAAGCCGCTTGAGGGCACACCTGGCTGCTGCGTCCCAGAACTGCTGACGTCACAGTCACCTGGGGCGGGGAGGGGACTGGCGAGCTGTACTGTTTTTTTAAGTTTCCAATGATTATAAAAAGCAGCAAATGTGGGAACCATTGAACTGGATCAGGGTCAGCAAAACTTTTCTGTAAAGAGCCAGATGGTAAATATTTCAGGCATTTTAGGCCAGGATGGTCGGTCCCTGTCTCGGCGACTTGATTCTGTCGTTGTACTGAGAAAGCAGCCACATATGTGCAAAGGAATGAGCATGGCTCTATCTCGAAGAGACTTTTCAAAATTGAATTTCATTGATTTTTGAAATTTGAATTTTTTAAATTTGAATTTCTTGGAATTTTCATGTCATGAAACATTGTTCTGATTTTTTCCCCCAACCATTTAAAATATAAAAACCATCCTTAGCTCACACCTAGTGGTAGGCAGGATTTGGCCCAAGGGCTGTAGTTTGGTGATCATGGTCAGGCCAGTTCTGCCATAAAGAAATCAGTGTGGAAGCAGAGTGATTGCTTAGAAACTTTTAGAGCAATCTGACATTGCTCTGGCACCCAATCAAGTGTCTGCTGGACTCAACATGACCCAGGTGGGGCGACAGTGAACCCACAAGGTCAGTGACACATAGCGTGCTGCTTCATATGTGGTCAGTGATGGGTTGGAAATTTAAAAAAAAACAGGTCCTTTATACCCAGAAGGTTTGAAAAGTAGGGATCTCAAATCATTCCTTTGACCCCAGGGAGGGTTTGAATCTTCCCACCACAATCATACAATCACCCTAAAATATATAGTTATAACTACAGCAGGCAAACAAAAATATACATTTTTTGTGCATAGGAAAAAAAAATTGAAAAGGACTATAGCAAACGTTTAGTGAAGATTCTTTGAGTAGAATGTCAATGCATTTTTCTTTCTTTATATTCATCTGTGTTTTCCAAGTTTTCTTTAACGAATATGTGTGAATTTTATAATTAAGAGTTTTATGTGTTTTCTTAAAAACAAGTGGCTTTTAAGAAATTCTCTGGAGAATAATTTCTCCATTGGACAATCCTTCCCAGTGTCTCCCAAGCGTTCGGGAAGTGCTTTTTCATATTTAATCCACTTTTAGAGAAGCAGGGAAGAGAAAGAAGAAAATGGAAAACATATGTTGTCCTTCTGACTGCAGAGCCCCAGTTCTTGTCGTTCATTGTTATTTTTAACATAAGACTCATGGGCAGTAGTGGGGGTGGGGCATCAAGGCTGGAGATGTCATGAATGGTCATGAGTCCATTGTCACAGGACCGAAGTGAGTGGAGCCTCCTATGCTGACCTCTCAACTCTGGTGTCCCAGCAACCAGAGCCCAGTGTATGTCCGGTTGCTCAGGAACTGCAAGAAAAAGTGTGGGAGAAAGTTCACGGCAGCAGCACTTACTGCCAAGGAAAAAGCACAACTCTGAGTGCTGGGTATCATGGGCCTCAGTGGACCTGGGTTCGAATCCTGACTTGACCACTTTTTCACTGAGAAGCTCAGGCAGAGCACTGACATTTTCTGAGCCTCAATTTCCTCCCCAAGATAAGGTTGGGGGGTGGGGGGTGGGTAAACACACAACCCCCAAGCCGAGTGTCCCAGAGGCGAAGAAGACTGCTTGCATGAAAGCTCTTGACACTAGCAGACATTAAATCTGAGCTCTTCCTGGCTGCTCTGATGACCAGGGTCAAGGTCATCACCCCAGGCCAAGGGCAGGGCATAAACCTCTGCAACTTGGACTCAATCCTAGAAAAGACTTCAGCTGGAGAAGAAACCATTGCTGCTTTCTTTCTGGACTCCAGCCGTGTGTGACACACACCAGGGGCACCCATGTAACTGTGCATATACTTACGTCCCAAACTCAGCCCCAACCGGAGGCAGCCCAAGTTCAGGGTGTCCTTTGCTCATAAGCTGCACTGCCCAGGTCAGTAGCCATATGTGGCTATGTGTAAAGATTTAAATTAATTTGATTTAAATGAAATTAAACATTTAATTTATCGGTCACAGTACCCACATGTTGCGTGCTCAGCGACCACTCGTGGTGCAAGAACATTGCCATCAGTGCAGAAGGTTCTATCAGACAGCGCTGCTCGGTGGCTCAGTGCAGCTCCAGAAGACACCCCTAGAAAGTGCAGACTTCTGGTCATTTGCAAAAGTGTCCTCTCATTTCTGCAATAACAACTTCACTATATAGGGAAACAGAAACCTATAAAAATGTCATCTAGTGTCTGGAGTATTTGTGGGATGTGCCTATGAGAAAGCAGCTCCCTGGGTGGGTGAGGTCTGGGGGTCCCCCTGCAAGCCTCAGGCCCTGAAGCTGAAAGAAGCTTCTGCTCACTGGCTGACTGCTGTTAACATACAGTCGATAAAGAGATGGTGCTTCTTGTTTCTTTAAACAAAAACTATTTTAAGGAATTCTTGTTTCAAAATGGCTTGGTGCTATTCACAGGAAGAAAAGAAAAAGGGCAGCCTTATGCAGTGAGGCTCTCTGGGAACCATAGCCAGGACAGCTCTGTGGGGGCCGAAACAAACTCAGGAGTCCCAGAACCTACAGAGTGGGGCTCCACATCCTCTATGCTCCAGCCCAGGCTCTTGGCGCCCAGAGGCCTGCTGTGGCTCGGCCGCATGGCAGGACAACCTGTCTCTATGGGGTGGATTTGCCTGGAATGTGGATGGGATGGGCTTGTGCTGAGTTATAATAAACCTTCTCTCACTTCGCATCCAGCTCTGTTTGCCCAGCCTTCTCTAGAGAGCCTTTTGGAATCTTCTTTTCTATTGCAGCCCTGGCTCCTGCCACATGGAACAGTTTGAACAATCTATTCCAGCCTTAGATAGGCTGTGTTCCTCCCCCAGAAGGTGTAGAAGCTGCTGGCAGTGCCTACCCATGCCCTCAGGCCATGCCACATCAGGGAGCATGAACTCACTTTGGCTGCCAGCACCTGTGTCTCTTCTCCTGAGCTCACCTCACCCACATGCAGATGTGGCCGTCCAGGGGTATCCAAATTGTGTGCAACAGTGGATGATAACACATGTGGCTACCCCCTCACCCCTTAGAGGAATAACTCAGGCATTGCCCCAGAGTCTGCAGCACTGGAGCCTTAGTCGCCCACGGTGGTCACATGATCAGTCCTGGTCTTTATACCATTACTTCCCGGGATCACCTCCCAAATCAAATGTTTATCTTCAACATTCTTGTTGTAGGGCTGCTTCTGGGAAAACCCCACTGACCACTAAAGCTCCAATTAACCTTAGGTTGGGTTCTGGGAGAAGCTAAGACTGAAGTGCACAAGAAAGTTCTAGAATCAAGTGAGAAATGTGTATTGAAATGGGAGGAGATGGCCTGTCTTTTGAAATCCACAGAGAAGAGGATCTGAGGGATTTCTCAGTGAAGGAGACCAGCTGCTTCTCTGTGGAGTTTGGAGCCGCTTATCCAGGGATCCTGAAGACTCAAGAGGATCCCCAAGTTTCAAATATGCTCTTCCAGACACTCAGACTGGTAACCATGTAGTGGAATCTGCCTATACTTCTTCCAAATAATAGTCCTGGAGGGTTGAAAGGAACAAGAAAGGCGCACAAAATTCTCCCCTGTGAGGTCAGTTTCAAGCTCTCACCTAAGAGGGGCCTGGACTCCTAGCAGAGGCTCAGCCCACAGTGGTGCCAAGCCCAGGGGGGTGCTGAGCTGACAGGGGTGCCCAGCCGACAGGGGTACCCGGCCCAGGGGAATGCCCAGCCCTTGGGACCCAGGTCCAGTCATTGCTCCTCTGCCCTGTGTCAAGCAAGGGAGGCCCCTCAGGAGGCCTGGTGAGCACCAAGAACTCACTGGAAACCAGAAGGCTTGGGTGCCAAACACAACACATTGTGGTCTCAGGTGAGGATGGGGGAATGGGTGTCACAGGGAGGGAAGAGGCAGGCGCATCAAGTCCATCGCTAGTCCCTGTGCAGGAGGAGAGAGCAGGCTGCCATCACCCCATCTCTTCACCACAGAGACATGGTCCTCTTTCTGCCTTCTTCCTCTTTTTGGTGAGGCAGACACCCTCCCTGGGCTCAGTCAGAGCACCCCCCCCACATCCCTTCATCCCTACAGCATACCAGGAAGGCAACTCACAAAGAGGCCACAGCGCCTGGGTACATCCACACCCCAGCCCAGTGCCCTCCTGAAACCAGGGAGCGCAGCCGTCCTCTGGTGGAAAACTGAGAACTTAAAAACGTCCTCATTGGCTGCATTTCCATGTCTCTGGAAAAGCATTCACAACCAACCCATGCTTGAGAGGAAGCTTTCATCCATAAATGCTAATAACAGCCTGAAGGCTGAATCCCAGGACCAAGGGTTTCCTCTCCTTGCAGAACCAAATTGTTATGTCTAATTCTCGGTTGACTTTTCCAGGTGGCTCCATGGTTCCTTCAGTGTGGTGGCACTGGTGGCCCGTGGGAGGCAGCTGGCTGACAGCACGGACTGTCTTTGAGCTGGAAGAGTCAGGTGAGTTGCTTGGTGTCTGGGAAAGGGGCTAGGTCTGATCAGAGAAGCAAGTCCTACCTGTGTTTACCTGCCTGGCCCCAGACCCTGCTCCCTCCTTTCCAGGGTCCACTGAGCACAGAGGAAATGGAGCCAGGTAGCTCGTTGCCTGGCTTATTGTGTTGTTTTGGCTTTTAACTTTTAATTTTAAATTAGTTTAATTTTAGATTTAGAGAAATGCTGCAAAAAATAGTACAGAGAGTTCCCTTATATTCTTCAGCCTGCTTCCCCTAGCATCTGACATAACCACAGCATGATTACAAGAAAATTATCACCGGTGAATTGAAGTTAATGTTAGTTAACTAAATAGCAGGCCTTACTTAAATTTTACCAATTTTTCTGAAAATGCCCTTTTTCTGTTGCAGAATTTTATTCGTGATCCCATACTGCATTCATTGTTATTTTTTCTTTGTCTCCTGTGGTCTGTGACAGTTCCTCAGTCTTTTCTTGTCTCTAATGACTTTGACACTTTTGAGGAGTACTGGTCAGTAATTTTGTAGAATATCCCTCAGTTTGGGTTTGTTCAATGTTTTCTCATGATTGGAGTGAGAGTATGCATTTTTGGCAAGAATACCATTAAAATGGTGTATGTCCTTATATCAAAGAGCTCACTACGTTAATGTGTCTTGTTACTAATGATGTTAACCTGATCATGTGGCTAACTTGGTACCTACCAGGTTTCTCCACTATAAATGGACTAATATAATATATACTGTTTGGTGCCTTCTTTCTCAATAAATTTTTTAGATTCATTCATCCATAATGTTGCGTGTATTGTTTGTTCTTTTTTATTGCTGTAAAGTGTTCCATTGTGTGACTATACCAGCACCTCTCTCACCTCCAGGACAGGTGAGGAACATCAGCTATCTTTCTCTCCATTGCCTACAACAGTATTTGCATTGGTACCACTGAGTACAATTATATGGTGCACAACTAGTGCAGCTACACATGGCAAGCTGAAGTCCAAGGACTGCCTGAATCACAATGCAAGTTCTCAGATTTCTTTACCCCCAGAGAATTGATTCTATTGCACGCCGTCATTTGGGAAACTCAGGGTGAAGTACACACTCTAGCATGGCAGCATGGTTAAGTGGTTAATGAACATGAGCCCTGAAGTCTGGCTCTGGGTTCAAATCTTGTTGCCACTCATGAGCTAGGTGACCTTGACCAAGTTACTTCCTCTCTGTGACTGTTCCATCAGTAAAATAGGTTTAGTGATGATAGTACCTGTGCCATAGGCTACTCCAAGGATTAAATTTAATTTAATTTAAAAAAAGCCTTGGCCATGTGCAGTGGTTCATGCCTGTAATCCCAGCATTTTGGGAGGCCAAGGCAGGCGGATCACCCAAGGTCAGGAGTTTGAGACCAGCCTGGCCAACATGGTGAAACCCCATCTCTACTAAAAATACAAAAATAGCTGGACGTGGTGGCAGGCACCTGTAATCCTAGCTACTCAGGAGGCTGAGGCAGGAGAATCGCTTGAACCTGGGAGGTGGAGTTTGCAGTGAGCCGAGATTGCGCCATTGCACTCCAGCCTGGGCGACAGAACAAGATTCCATCTCAAAAAGAAAGAAAGAAAGCATTTAGCATGGTGTCTGGCATAGAATAAACACTCAACATGTTAATAGTGTTATTGTTAATAAACATCATTGTTGGCCAGGCACGGTGGCTCATGGCTATAATCCCAGCACTTTGGGAGGCCAAGGCAGGCGGATCACCTGAGGTCAGCAATTCGAGACCAACCTGACCAACATGGAGAAATCCCATCTCTACTAAAAATACAAAATTAGCCGGGCGTGGTGGCGCATGCCTATAATCCCAGCTACTCGGGAGTCTGAGGCAGGAGAATCACTTGAACCTGGGAGGCGGAGGTTGCAGTGAGCCGAGATTGCACCATTTTACTTCAGCCTGGGCAACAAGAGTAAAACTCCATCTCAAAAATAAATAAATAAATAAATAAACATAATTATTTTTATGGATTATTTATTTCTTGTTATTAATATTATAATACTACTCATTAGCTTTGCAGCCTCCATCTCTGAGGGCATGGTTTGAATGAGCGTGTATCCCTAAGAGCTGCCAGCAAACGGAAGAAGAGTTCCTGCACCTCTTGGTGCCTGAATGGTCCAGGGTCACCAACAAATAATAATACTCACAGCATGGGTTGTTCGTCAGGATTCTACAGAGACATAGAACCATTTGTGTGTGTGTGTGTGTGTGTGTGTGTGTGTGTGTGTGTTTTGTATGCATGTGTGGAGAGAGGAGGAGAGAGAGAGAGAGAGGGGCTTATTTTAAGGAATTGGCTTATGTGACCGTGGAGGCTGGCAGAACTCCCTCTTCCTGCAGGGAGTCAGTCTTTTTTCTTTGAAGGCCTTCAACTGATTGGATGAGGCCCACCCACATTATGGAGGGCAATCTGCTTTCATCAAAGTCCACTGATATAACTGTTACTCTCACCTAAAAGAAATTACCTTCACAACATCTAGACTAGTGTTTGACCAAATATTTGGATGCCGTGGCCTAGCCAAGCTGACATATAACATTAACAATCACAGAGGGCTACAGTTTGTGGTCCCCCTTCACATACAGAGGTTGACAACTCGAAAGCCCTACAGCAGTCAGTGCAGATAAAAATGGGGGGGTGGGCTCACCAGGCGGACTTGCCTTGGGGCGTAGGGGGACTTGGGCTGCCTGGCAGTCCCTGCATCGAGTCATGGTGGCCCATGCTTGGACCTAGGCCAAGACATATCAGGACTGCCAGACAGTATTATTTCAAATAATGCCAAAATCTGAATTTCTACGTGGAAGTTTCTATTTCTTTAATACTGGCAACTAGTTAAATGTTTTTAATTGTGTGCAGGACAAATGCACAAACCCAAGGGAAAGACGTGCCCTTGGGCAGCCCATTTGCGATCATGACCTACGCGATCTTACTAAATCTGTCAGCTTCCTTGTTTAAGGTATTCACAGAGCTTCTAGTCATAAAAATTGTAGTTTTGTAGGGGCGTTAGTGAGTTCTTTGAAAGCAGGATTTCTCTGCAGATCCGGAGCAGTGCTTCCCACTCTTTAGCATGGATCAGAATCCCGGGAGGGCTGTGAAACAGCCACCACACCTCACCCTCATTTCTGATTCAGTGGGTAGGGGTGAGCACAGAAAATCTGCTTTTCTAACAAGCTCCCAGGAGGTACTGATGTTGCTGGTCCAGGGACCAGGCTTTAAGAACTTCTGGTCTAGAGGGGAAAAAAGAACACGGGTGGACAGCAAGGAGAAGACATGGTGACAAGACAGGGCAGATCCTGCAGGAGGAGGAGCCGGGGGTATTGCTTTGGATTCACCACCATCCTCAGTCCTGTCTGCCTCCTTTTCTAACATCCTGATCTTCACATCTCCACCAGGATAGTGAGCTCTGTAGTAGAGGCATCTTCTATAAGATGCTTTACCCATGAAGGACACTCTGAGGCCCGAGGGGCCTGAGAATGAGTCTTCTTATTTCATCTTTGTGAAAGATGATATGGATAATGGTGATGGTTACACAACCATATGAGTGTGCTTAATGCCACTGAATTCCACACTTAAAAATGGTTAAAGTGGGGCCAGGCACGGTGGCTCACACCTGTAATCCCACTTCGGGAAGCTGAGGCAGGTGGATTGCTTGAGCCCAGGAGTTTGAGACCAGCCTGGGCAACATAATGAGACTTCATCTCTACAAAAAAAAATACAAGAGTTAGCTGGGTGTGGTGATGCATACCTGTGGTCCTGACTACTCAGGAGGCTGAGGCGGGTGGAGGCTGCAGTGAGCCGTGATGGTGCCACTGCACTCCAGCCTGGGTGACAGAGAGAGACCCTGGCTCAAAACAAAACAAAAAGGTTAAAATGGTGAATTTTATGTTATGTGTATTTTACTACAATAAAATATATGTTCTATGCTTAGAGATATGTATATTTGTAAAGCCCTGGAGTAGACCCAAATCAGCAGCATAGATGCCGAGGGACCGACAGGATTTGCGCTGGGAATGTGCCAGAAGGAAGAAACCCTTGAGCTCACCTAGCCATTCTGCAGATGAGCTGACTGAGGTCCAGGGCGGTCACCTTTGCTGTCAGGACTGGAACCTCAGGTGCGTCCTCACTGAGCATCTGAGGACATTGCCAGGTACCTGTTCATAAGAACCCTCCAGAAAGGGCTGAATAGTGCTCCCTTCCCAAACACAAGGGATATGTTCATGTTCTAAAGCCCAGAACCTGTGAGTGTGACCCTATTTGCAAAACAAGGACTCTGCAGATATAATTCAGTGAAGGGTGCCAGGATGAGATCATCTTGGATTATCCAGGTGGGCCCTAAATCTAGCAATAAATGTCCTCATTAGAGATACGCAGAGGAGAGACTCATAAGTGAGAGGAGAGAGGGCTTGGGAAGATGGAGGCAGAGAACAGACTGATGCAGCCACAAGCCAAGGAGCACCCGGGGCCACTAGAAGCCGGAAGAGAAAAGGGGAGATCCTCCCCGGAGCTTGTGGAGGGGCACGGCCTACCTGACACCTTGACATTGGACTTCTGGCCCCCAGAGCCATGAGAGGATGAATTTCTGTGTTGTTGGCCACACGGTTTGTGGTGGTTTGTCACAGCAGTACTGGAAAACAAATGACCTCCATAAATGGCTGAAAACTGAAGGGAGGAGAAGGGGAAGGTGCTGGTGGAGATGGCAAGTACTGTGGAAATAGACTCATCCTGTCTGGGCTTCTCAAACCAAAGCTGGCCTCTCCAACAATGGCAAGATAGTCACTGTATTCTCAGGGTGTCATCTTGACACTCCTCCAAACTCTTGCCCCCAAGTCACTTGACTCGACCTCCAAATGGCTCGCTGGAAAGCCGGCTGGGAGCAGAACTCTTACCTCCAAGCAGCTGCCCCATATATACCACCCCAGGCCCCTAAGAGGCTGAAGCTGAAATCCCCAACCCACCCTTGGTGGGCTCTGTGACGCCCATAGGAAAAAGAGTGGAAAATCCTACAGAATTCCTGTGCGATCACAGTAGGGTGAAGTCCTGCCTCCACTGGCCCACCCAACCCAAATGGAAGTCAAGTGATGGCAGTAAGGGACACCCCAGCTCCCCTGCAGGAAACAGGATTTGCCCTGCTGAAATGCGTGGCCCTGCCCTGCCCAGCTGGGGTCTAACAGAGGCTTCCCTCCAAGGCCGAGAGTCAGAAGTCCAGCACTGCTCTCTGCCGCTCTTGGCTGCGGTGCCAGCAGGTCTCCCCAGCATCCTGCCGGTCTCTGCCCTCCTCCAGGCACAAACCAGGGTCTCCACAGCTAAGCCAACGTGGGATTGGTCTTCTCCAGGCTAATCCAGCTGAACCACCCCCTCTGAATTAGAAAGGGCCCCAGGCCCCACGTCTAATTGGACACTCACAATGACCAGAAAATCAGGAAGAATGAACCCCAAAGTGCTCACAAATGCCCCATTCTCCGCTCCCCAAGGAGGCCCTGTCCACAAACAAATGGGCAAGCAACAGGCCCTTTCCCCAACCTCCTGGTGGGATGATGCCCTGGCGACGCCACACATTCTTTCTTGCCCAGACGCGGTTACCTCATGTGCCCAGCATTTCCTATGAAGAGGAAAAAGCCATCCCAAGCCCATCTCAGGAAACATGATCTCTGGCCAGAGAGGCAACAGTCTGAGAGGACCAGGCTCCTGCCACATTGTCCCCAGAAGGCAAGGGAAACCCTGGGCTCTAAATCCACAGCCCCCACCTGAAAACAAAAATCAAAACCCCACTGATTTTGAAAAGAATTTCCTATCCCCAGAGTTTCTCTCTTTCTTTGATTCTTTACACTTTAACCAAATATCTTTTGCATTTATTATTTGACTGGGAGACACATGCCTCCCAGGGAAGCACCCACCAATATCCAGCCTCCTGGCCTGTGCCCCAGTCAGTGCCATCCACACCCTTAGCCAGCCAGCAAGGGGGCAAACAGATCCCCCAGGCATGGACTTGAAGCTGCAGCCTGCGGTGTGAGATGTGGTTCTTGGATCAGAGAAAGCCACAGATGTACCCAAGACAGGCATCTCATCTCCTCCTCCTGTCACTTGTCTCAGCCTGTCAGTGGCTCGTCATGAAGGGGGTCAGGAGGGGGCCCTGAAGCCACGCTGTCTCCCACCTGGATGGTCCCATGAGCAGCTGGAGTCCCTAAATCCAGCATCCTAGTGGTCTCCAGGCTCTGCAGCCATTTGTCTTTGGTCCAAGTTAGAAATGAGTTTGAGATACTACAGCACTGGTAGCAGAACTCTTATTTTTTAATTTTTATTTTTTGTTTTGAGACAGGGTCTCACTCTGCAGTGGTGCAATCATAGCTCACTGTAGCCTGGAACTCCTGGACTCAAGTGATCCTCCTGCTTCAGCCTCCCAAGTAGCTGGGACTACAGGTGTGCACCACCACACCTGGCTAATAGTGGACTTAAAAGCACTAGTATTTGCATCTCCTCTTAGCCCATCCGCCCCACTATCTCTACCCTTCTCTGGGCAATAAGCTTGGAGGGATCCCGTGTGGTGGCCCTGGGCTCCGGCCCTGGCTCAGTCACGGCAGCTGTGCAGGCAGGCCTAGCTCACGGGTCCAAATGGCGGCCCATGTGCCATATGTCTGAGTATTTAAACACTATAAATCAAGCAAACAAACTGTTCAATAAAATATGTTCCATGCTCCTACTTTGACATATATGACCCATGAGGCTGGATTTGAGTTCAGGATTCTAGGGCTCTGCACGGTTCTACTCCAGAGTGTGGCAGTCTAAGAAGAGTTCACCCTGGCCATGGCCTGGCCTCTTACCTGTCCCACAACAATTCTGTCTGGCATTGCAGGGGGTCTTGTGTGCATGCACACAGATACTCAGCCTGAAATCCAAGTCCCATCCACATGTCCACGAAGAGCTACCACTTGATAGCTCCTGCACCTACCTGCTCTAGTCTCAGGTCACTTTTGGGGGGACACACCTAGAAACAAGACCAACATGGGTCCTGGGAGGAGGCTCCTAACCATTTGGGCAGAAAATCCAGGGTTGGGCTGGGCATGGTGGCTCCTGACTATAATCCCAGAACTTTGTGAGGCCAAGGCGGGAGGACTACTTTAGCCCAGGAGTTCCAGACCAGCCTGGGCAACATAACGGGACATTATCTCTATAAAAAAATTTTTTTTAAATTAGCTGGGCATGGTGGCATGTGCCTGTGGTCCCAGCTACTCAGGAGGTTGAAGTGGGAGGATCACTTGAGCCCAGGAGGTCAAGGCTGAAGTGAGCTATGATCACACCACTGCACTCCAGCGCACGCAACAGAACAAGACTGTATCTTAAAAAAAAAAAAAAAAAAATTCCAGGGCCCCAGGTACATGAAATATGGCCCAGAAGGTCTCAGGCCCTGAGTAGACATGATCCCACAGCAACCAGACTCCTCAGTCTGTGGGGAGGGGCAAGGCCAGAGGAGGGCCAGAGAAGGGCCCTCTACAGTACTGGGTGCGGGGTAGGGCCCCCTACTTGTGAGGGTCTAGGGCTGTATTGGTATGACCTTGGGATGCTCTCAGTGTGTGAGTCTGCTCAGGCTGCCGTCACAAACATCACGGACTGGGTGGCTTAAACAGAAATGTATTCTCATCTGGAGGCTGGAAGTTCAAGATCAAGTTGTCAGCAGGGCTGGTTTATCCTACACCTTTGGCTTGCCTTCTTACTGTCTTCATGGCCTTTTCTCTGTGCATATGAACTTCTGCTCTTTTCCTCTTCTTCTAAGGACACTAATCATATCAGATTAGGGCCCCACCCTTATGATCTATGACTCATTTAACCTTAATTACTTCTTTAAAGACCCTACCTCTAAATATAGCCACATTTGGGGGTGAGGGCTCCAGCATACATATTCTGGGGGAGACACAATTCATTCCATAGCACTCAACCTCTCTAAGCCTCAATTGCCTCATCTGTAAAAAGGAGATGATAATAAGGCTTGCTCCATGAAGATGGTGTAAAGATTAATTGGAATAAAGCAACTAAAATGCCCAGCCCAGTGTCTGAAACATAGTAAGTTAAGTAAGCACTGCTGTGTAACAAATGACTCCAAGGCTTAGTGATCCAAGACAACCCCCATTCTACTATCTCTCACAATTTTATGGATTGGGAATCTGGGCAGGGCTGGGTTGGGCAACTGTTCTGCTCCTCATGGCTCTAGGACAGTCCCTTTGTGTCTAGAAGGTAAGTTGGCTGGTTTGAAGGAGCTTCACTTACATGTCTGGTGCATTGGTGGGGACAGCTGGAAGGCTGATCTTAGCTGGGATATTGATCAGAGTACCCACACGTGGCCTCTTCAGGATGACCAGCCCAGGGTAGTCAAACTTCTTACAAAGGTCAAAGCTCCCAGAGCAGGAGTCCCAGCAGTGGAAGTGGAAGCTGCCAGACACAGACACCTAAGGCCTGGCCCAGAAACTAGTATGGCAGCACTTCCACCATTTTCTACTGGCCAAGTGCCCACAGAGCCTCTCCAAATTCAGCAAGAAGGGACACAGACCCCACATCCCAACAAGAAGAGTAGCAAAGAATGTGTGGCCATCTTTAACCTACCACAGCATCCAGGAAGTATTAACTATTGTCATTTTTCAAACATGGAAGGTAAAAAATGGGAGGCCACAAGAGTGGTGGGGTCCTTGGTGGTCTTTGACACCCGGAATAGAAAAGGGTGAGTTTTTGGTACTTTTAATGTTCAGAGCCTCTCCCCTCTCTCATGACTCCACTACCTTACCCATCTCACGTCCAGTTTCAGGGACCCTTGCATCACACGAGTTAAACTTCAGCTTAAAGTTCCTGTTGAGTGCGGTGCCTGTCAAGAGCTGTTGGTGGGAGACACATGGGCTTTCAGAGATGCCCCGCCCTCCCTCATGAAGCTCGCATCCAGCCCAGGGAATAGGAAGATAAGCAGTGCTGTGCTGGTAGCCAGCTTTCTGGGGGATGGGAGGACCCCGACTTGTAACATTTGCTGATTTCCCTGGCATAAGTAAACCAGGACTGATTTCAAACTGCCAAAATGACTTCGATGAACCCAGAGTTGAGAAGAGATTCCCAAAACTGGCTCTTGCAAGCTGATGCGTGCTTGTTCCAAAGATGGAAACAAGGCAGGGTCTGGTGAATGCCAAGCATAAACTGCAGGAAAGAGTGGGTCCAGTTGGGGGTAGGATGACGGGGAGGAGGCATTCGGGATGAGGCTTGGAGAATGGGTAGAAATTACTGAAGGAGGACATTCCAAGCAGGAGGAACAGCATTAAAAAAGATCTAAAGGGGGCCAGGTGCGGTGGCTCACGCCTGTAATCCCAGCACTTTGGGAGGCCAACACGGGCGGATCACGAGGTCAGGAGATTGAGACCATCCTGGCTAACACGGTGAAATCTTGTCTCTACTAAAAATACAAAAAATTGGCCGGGCGTGGTGGCAGGCGCCTGTAGTCCCAGCTACTTGGGAGGCTGAGGCAGGAGAATTGCTTGAACCCGGGAGGCAGAGGTTGTAGTGAACCGAGATTGCACCACTGCACTCCAGCCTGGGCAACAGAGCAAGACTCCATCTCAAAAAAAAAAAAAAAAAAAGAAAAGAAAAGAAAAGAAAAGAAAAGAAAAGAAAAAAGACCCAGAGGCAGGAAAACCCAAGGTATACCAAAGAACATCGAGGGGCAGGGTTTGTAGTGGACAGCACATGAAGGATGGTTAAAGATCTGGGTAGAAAGCCAGGTGCCGTGGCTCATGCCTGTAATCCCAGCGCTGTGGGAGGCCAAGGCAAGCAAATCACTTGAGGCCAGGAGTTCTAGACCAGACTGGCCAACATGGCAAAACCCAGGTCTACTAAAAATACAAAAAATCAGCTGGGCATCGTGGCGGGCACCTGTAATCTCAGCTACTCAGGAGGCTGAGGCAGGAGAATCACTTGAACCAAGAGGCAGAGGTTGCAGTGAGCTGAGATCTTGCCACTGCACTCCAGCCTGGGCGACAGAGGGGGAAAAAAAAAGATCTTGCTGGAAA
Organism: Homo sapiens; assembly: GCF_000001405.40. Classification (NCBI taxonomy): domain Eukaryota; kingdom Metazoa; phylum Chordata; class Mammalia; order Primates; family Hominidae; genus Homo; species Homo sapiens. Next base: position 17,821,844 of record NC_000020.11, read on the forward strand.
AGGTGAGGTGGGCTCTAATGATGAAGGGACTTGAGAGCAAAGCTGGGGGGTTAACATGGTTAAAAGAAAAACTTTAGACACATTTAACAAAGTTTAATTGAGCAAGGAAGAATTCTTGAATTGGGCAGCCCCCAAACCAGAATAGGTTCAGAGAGACTCCAGTGCTGCTACGTGGTCAGAGAGGATTTATGGACAGAAAAAAGAAAGCTGCAGCCAGAAGAAGGAAATGTGGTACAGAAACAGCCGGACCGGTTACAACTGGGAGTTTGTCTTACTTAACAGTTGGCCACTTGTGATTGGTTGAAGCTGGGTGATTGGCACAAGAGTAGGTTACAGTCTGTTTACACATCCAGCTAGGTTACAGTTCACTGTGTCTGGAGAAACCTTTAGGCCTAACTTACAAGATGCAGCTTTAGGCCAAACCTAAAAAACATTTACTACGGAGGGCGTCAGAAGGCTTTTGAGCAGGGATTGACATGATCTGGAAGGTGCATTGGAAGTGGGGTGAACTTGGAAAGTGGGACCCCCTGAAAGGAGACAAGGAGGTGGGACTGCCGATGGAGCAGAGGAGAGTGGGCCCAGCTGCATAGATTGGCTCTACCGTGGAGATGTCAAAGGTGTGGGCTGCGAGGCTGAAAGCCAGGATAGGGGATGATTTGCTCGGAGGAGCTGTTCTCCAGGGAAATCAGAAATCTTCATGGTCAAGTCTTGAAAAGTTTTGGTCTCCAGACAAAGGTTTCCAGTGGCAGCTCCTGGGGAGAATCTGGAAGCTAGGGACTTCCCCAAGGCCTTCTTTCCAGTAAGCAGCCCCCTGCAGCCACCGCACAGACCCCCTCAGGCCTCAGGTCCCTCTTGGGCCCGTCTCCACTGTGACAAGGGGAAGCCAGGACAGGGAAAGCTCACGGTGAGTTTGAACTTGAGATGCCTGGGGCTGGCAGATCAGTGCTTTGTTCCTCTGTCCTGTAGTATTCCACCAACCCCCTGGCACTGTCCTGAATGACACGTGTGTTCCTTACACACGTGCCATGCTCTACAGCCCATCTAGTGCGTCGGGAGGCAGCATCCCATTTAATCCATGCACATCCTGTCTGAGAGTCGCTATTTATAAGCCCATTTCATAGGTGAAGGAGCTGAGGCCCAAAGAGGTGAGAGACTTCAACAGGCAGTATGTGGCAGAACGAGGGCTCACAGGGCCTAACGCTTGCGCCTTGGAAGGTTCAGCCTGTCTGGGGACACAAAACTTGCACTCACGAAATAACTGGAGGGAAATAACTGGAGGGAAATAAAGAAGAGCTCTTTCTGGGGTCTTTTCCAACTCAACAACCCTGACGACCCCGGCTCTAGAAAAGTCCCTTGGGGAACCCTGCCAGGACAACCTGTTTCATCTCTAAGTGTTTATTACACAAACATATCTCTTATCCTTGATCCAAATGAAATCACCGCCATTCATATGTAACCAGGATATAACTGGGCCATGCTGGGGCCCATCTAAACACAGTGGCCTTTGAATAAACACAGACCTCTCCCAAAGCCCTGAAAACCTTTTTTTTTCTCAAGTCTCTTGAGCAGGCAAACATAGGAGGAGAGGAAAGAGTTGGGGGTCGGGAGCCATGTGCCAAACCCAACGCTGCCCACTGCAAACTTCTTACAGAGTCCTTCTGTCCGTCTCTGTCTCCAAAGCCCACGCCACAGGGCAGGGGCTCACCCAGCCCTCCCTCTCACCCTCAAACTCTCCGCCCTGCCAGCGTCCTGTCTCACTCCCCCTTCTCCCTCCTCCCCCTCCTACAAGCCCTCTTCCAGAGGTTTCCCTTCTGAGAGCAGCTCTAGAGGCTTTATTTTGAAAATCAAGGTAGCCCATTACCCCAGTTAGCACAACGAAGGGCTGGGTTAGGAAGTGGGTGCCTCCTCCAGAGGCCAAGGGAGAGGGGAAGTGTTTGTGGAAGTCCCTTCTTTTACCAGGTGTGGTGAAAAAGATGCTGAGCGGCAGCTAAGGGTACCTGGACTTAGCTCAGTCATTAAGTGTGCGACCTTGAGTAGGTGATTTCACCCTTGGACCTAAGAATAGAAACTGGGTATAGTGGCTCCTCCCTGAGGAGAGTACAGGGAAGAGAGACGCAGTGAACTTTGAACCCACTAGGTTTGGAGATGAAGAGTGGTTCCTGCCAATGGCACAGCCTTCATCTGATCATAAGGAAACAGACAGACCTGAACTTGAGAGCATTTCCTGAAACAATGGGTCCTTTAAAATGCCAGGGCCATGAAGGACAAAGGAAAAAGACCAAGAGACAAGACAGTGGAGGGCAGGGTGTAATCCGGGATCAAATCCTTGACGTGGGGAGGGAGTTTCTATAAGGGACTGTACATCAGATAGTAGCTATGAGTCAGTGTTCTATCTCTTGAATTTGATAAATTGCACCGCAGGTGTGTAAGAAGATGTCTTCATGTTTAGGAGATAGATGCTGAAATATTTAACGATAAAGGGGCAGGAGGTCTCCAACTTTCTAAAGTGTTTCAGAAATTAATAACAGTTTGCGTATATATATGTGAATACGTGTATATACACACATATATAAGAGAGAGAGGCAAATGTTACAAGTTGGGAAACCTGGATGATTTTTGTCTCATTTTTATAAGTTTTTTTCTAAGTGTGAAAGTATTTCAAAACAAAAAGTTAAAAAATAAAAATTGAAAAAAGCAGCGATACATAAGCGCTCTGAGTTTTATGAATTTTAATCAATTAAAGAAGCTTGTTGTTACTCCATTCAGTCATTCATTCAACAAATATTGGCTGAGCTCCTACACTGTGTGGGACACTGTGCTAGGTGTCAGGATGCAGCGAACAAAAGGCCCGGCCTAGCGACCAGACCAAGGTTGGGTCTGCAGTGCATTCCAGGGGCCTCCCCATAACCCCCAACCCCTCCCGCTTTGAGACCCAGGCTCTCCTTGCCCTAGAGGCCAGGCTGTCCCTGCTGCCAGGGGGCCCTTCCTGAGAACTGCCCTCACCTGAAGAGACCCACTTTGACCAAGCTTATGTCCCCTCCTGGCATCCAATGTCTGGTCATTTGGGCCCCCTTGCCTGGACTGGAATAACTCCAAAGACTATCCCAGCTTCAGATCTCCCACAGGGCCAGCTCCAGCCCTCATGGTGACAACATCGCAGTTCAACTCCTCCCTCTGCCCAAGAGCACTGTCCGAAAACTTCCTGCATATAACCTCTGTCTCAGAGTTTGTGTCCGAGGAACATGGTCATTACAGAGTCCCAACAGGAAACAAATGTCACAATCAAATTAAGAGAATTCCAGATGACTTATTAAAAGGACTGTTTACAAAGGTATGGGCAGGGTGTATAAGACCACCAAGAAAAATGCAGTGACCTGGGGCTAGGAACAATTAAGCCTTTACCAAAGGAGATAGCTACGTGGAAAAGGCAACCGTTGGCGGAGTAAGGTCCTTCAGCTGAGACTCAACCAGCCCGAGATGACCCAGCAGAGACGGAGCCACAGGAATAAGCAAATGCCTTTCCTCACTCTCCTCGTCCCCTTCCTGCTACTCCTGCCCGGGCCCCCCATTGGCCACACCCAGCCGGAAGTCTGAAGAAGGATGAGGGTGGCTCTGGTGGCGGACGGAAGACCTCAGTACAGAGTCCCATACAGCACCCGAGCTTGACCCCTCTGGGAGTGTCTGATGAAAGCTCTGGACTCTCCCCAGGAAATGGATCATAAATACACACACACAATTTTACACTTAATTTTAAGGAATTCATGGCTGCTCTCCCAGGAAGCCCAGGCACCCGAGATTAAACACCACAGTGCTATGAAGTGGTAGAAGCAGAGGCACAAAACACGAGTGATTGAAGAAGGGAAGAGAAAAGCAGAAAGAAAGGGAGGGGCACTGATGTCCTCATCTTACAGAGCTGGGAATCAGCGACTGCTGTCAGAAGAGGAAATGCTCATGCAGGAGTCAAAAATAGTCATGAAAGTTCAGACATTGGGAGTAGTGAGCTAAATGCTCATCTTAGGTATTGGGGAGTGAATAGCTGTTGTCTAAAGATGGTAACTGAGGAACGGAGGTATAAGTATGTGATTTGGAGTGTGGAGAAAATCCATAAACAGCAACTGGCAAAAGATGCTGTCTTGGGGGAGTAGGACTGGGAGTGAACAGGGGCAAGTACAGCAGGAGAGACACGATTGCTTTTCATTGTAAGCCTTTCTGATGTAACTGAGTTGTTGCCACTATATAACACACACACACACACACGCACACACATATGTGTCTGTGTGTGTATATATATAACTTTGATAAGTATAATTTTTGTAAAGAAACCTTTCCCTATTAGGATCTTCCAGCACGTCTAACCTCACAAGGCCTCAGAGCCAGTTCAACACACATACCCTTCCAGCAGACTGGCCTGTGCCCACCTGCAGAGCAGAAGTGGCCCTGCTTCAGCCACCTATTTCTGAGTCACAAAATACTCTGAAACTTGGTGACTCAAAACGACAAAAATGTATCATTTCTCTCCATTCTGTGGGTTGACCGGGTGTTTCCTTTGCTTTGCCTAGTGTTAGCTGGGACCCTGGGATGGCTGGAAGGTTACAGAATTGCCTCACTCACATGGCTCCACCGGGCTACTGGCTGGGGATCTGCGGAGCTGTTGACTGGCAGCCTTGGTTCCTCTGTGTGGGCCTCTCCACTTGGCTGCCTGGGCTTCCTCACAGAATGGCAGTGAGGGTCCAAGAAGGAGCCATTAAAGAAGTAAAGGCAGAAGCTGAAAATGACTGAAACCATTATACTTATATAGCATCACTTGCACTGCATTCTACTCATTAAAAGAAGTCAAAGGTCACCTCAGGTCCAAGAGCAGGGAATTAGATTCAATCTCTGAATGATAGCAGTGGCAGAAACAGGAATGCTTCATGGCAGAGGGAAAATACTCCACAGGATGCTCCCATTGCTCCAACAATTCTGCCACCAGCCACACCTCCACGGACTGCCTGCTGGAGACTTCCCATCCAAACTTGTGCTTCTGCACACGTCCCAGCCCTCTCAGATGCATCCTCTCTCTCAGTCTTCTCTGTCCCGTGCAACCCATGGTTCTAGATTGACATGGTCACCTTGGCTTTCGGTGTTTTTATTGTTATCTTAACCTTCATCAGATTTTATTATTTATTTATTTTTTTAAATTTATAATCATCTTCTTGGAGAATGATTCACCAAATTTTAAAATCCCAGACAATATAAACTAAGTCTTCCAAAATACTCTGTATATCCTACTGAACATCATTTCCATCCCTCCCACTGAGAATTATAGTGAACAGATGCAATCAATGTTTAAATTATGTATCTATGAATATGTAATTTATATATCCATACTTACAAGGCTGCCACATTGCATAACTCCAGGGAGGCACTTTTATGTTATAGGCTATGCAAATGGTGTCCCCTGGAGGTATGCAGTACGCAGCTCATACAACTGAACATGGCCTTCCTGGATATGGGTGCTTGGTAAGAGCATATCTTTTATTCGACCTCTCTAGTGCATACTCATTTTAGGGCAGTGGCTCTCAATCTGCACATTATAATCACCTGGGCAGGCCACACTGCCAAGCACTAAAATCTGAATCACCTCGCGGTGGGACCCAGGCATTGGCGTATTTAAAGTTCCCTAGGTGATTTTAACATGTAGTCAAGGTTTAGAACCAGTACTCTCAGGGGATGCGTACAGAATCCTTGAAAAGGGTTTTGTCTTTGGTAAAAGTGTAAAAATAATTGGCATTCATGTATAGAAAAAAAATAGAAAGTTGCAGGAAACTCTAAAAAACAAAATAAAACAAAACCAGTTCCATGCACTGAAGAAAATCCCTGTTGGGGTTTTTCTTTCTTTTCTCCATGAATATCCTTTGCCCCCTGCAGTCACACAGTGCAGAAAGCTTTGCTGGGCTTCACCCTGCCTCTCACTTCAGGTGGAAGGTGGAGAGGGATCATGGGGCTGTTGTTGGTGAACTTTGCTTTTCCCTCTGGCCTTAGGCCAAAAATGTGAGACTTTTTTGTTTGCAGAGATTGTCCTGTTCATCCCTTAAACAACCTTTCCTGGCCCAACGGACACTGTAGGACTTAGCTGGGTCAATGTCATGGTCTATACCTTCTGTGGCCTAAGCTGGCTCCAGACATTGGAGAGAGAATTGTATTAGCCTTGCTGGGCCTCGGCCCTGCCTTCTCCATGGGACATCTCCAGTGCAGGACCCTGGCTGATGGCCAGGCCTCTGCACATCCATTCTGTCATTATCCGGAGCAACCGCCCGCACCTCAGCCCCAAGTCTCCCACCTCATTTTGTTGGGTCCCTTGTTCCTGACCGGATACCTAGTCTGGTTCTCCTCTTCCTCTCCTAGGAACTTGCTTGCTCCTTTGGGAACTCTGAGCCTCAGACCTGGCAGAGCAGGAGTGTTACCCACTGGCAACATCCAGCTGGCCCCATCGCTGACCACCTACGACCTTTGGGACGTTTGGCTCCTTATCTTGACCCTGGGCTTGACCTGCTATTGCTGCACCATCAGAGAGAACCTTCCTCAGCAGCCAGCCCCGGAGTTCCTCTACTCCCACCTCCACCCTGGCTCTGGCCCCGCCTTCTGTGATGTGAGGGATTCATGAGTGCATTTGCTCTCTCCACAAATGTTTACTGACAGCCAATTATGCACCAGGCACGGCGCTTGGTGCCCACATTAGAAGAGGTTCCTCCCTCCTGGAGCAGACAGCGAATACACTGTCCCTGAGAGGGGTGTTACCAGGTGATAGGACCCTGCCTGGGATTTGGCGACCACTTCCCAGAGGAAAAGGGGCTGGGAGCCAAGACATGCAGGATGATGAGTAGCTGATGGGGTAAGGGAGCAAAAGCCTTCCAGAGAGAGGGAATGGCACATCCAAGGGTCTGTGCGGAGGCTGGAGGGAGGCCATCGTGGTGGGGTCTCTCCAAGCCAGAGAGTAGAACCAGGTGAGGCTGTGAGGTGGGCCGGGCCAGAGCACTAGATCCTGTGGGCCAAGCAAGATCTTAGTTGGCCTTCCAAGACCCTTCCACGGTTTCTAGGCAAGAGAGTGACACAATCAGACACACCCACTGATCAAACTATCCAGCTACAGATGCAGGAGACACCATTAAACACTCCCCTTGTATCATCTGTGGAAGGAGACAGACACTGGGAATGTGATTTGCCTGCCAGGATGGGAACTGGGTCACCCACTGAGGGGCAAGAGAAGAAGAAAGACTCCAGTGTGTGTATGTTCGTACACCTTCTTTGCCAGGCATGGTGGCTCACTTCTGTAATTCCACTGCTTTGGGAGGCTGAGATGGGAGGATTGCTTGAGGCCAGGAGTTCAAAACTAGCCTGGGCAACATAGTGAGACCCCACCTCTAAAAAAATAGAAAACAATTAGCTGAGTGCATTGGCACACATCTGTAGTCCTAGGTACTCAGGAGGCTGAAGTAAGAGGATCACTTGAGCCCAGGAGTTCAAGGCTGCAGTGAACTATGATTGAGCCACTGCACTCCAGCCTAGAGGACAGAGTGAGACCCATCTCTAAAAAGGACACACATGCACACAAATAGAATAAAAATTATGATTAATCTTGTCCCTTCAAAAAAGCTTGACTTTGCTATGGTTTGAAGGTTTGTCTCCTTTGAAATTCATCTTAAAACTTAATTCCTAATATGGCAGCATTGAGAGGTGGGGCCTTTAAAAAGGGACTGGATCATGAGGGCCATTCGTGTATTAATAGGTTCTTGGGTTATCATGGCGGTCGGTCATTAAAAAGCCAGCTTGACTCTTGCTCCTACCTCTGCCACAAGATCCCCTGCAGCACCTCAGGACTCTGCAGAAGAAGGCCACCAGCAAGAAGACCCTCACCAGATGCAGCTCCTCAGCCTTGAACTTCCCAGTTCCAGAACTGTAAGAAATAAATTTCATTTCTTTACAAATTACCCAGTCTCAGATATTCAGTTATAGCAACAGAAAACTGACTAATACAAGCCCGAATCTCTTCCTGAAGAGCAATTAGTCAAATCCAAATTGAGGCACGGTCTGTCAAACAAATGACTGAATGCTTTGAAATATCAGGGTCATGAAAGACAAGACAGGCCCAAAGGTGGCTCCAGGTGAGAGGAGCTTGAGCGGAGGCACAATGGAGGGAGGCGGGTCTTGACTGGATAAAAAGGGACATGGACATGACAAGGACAACTTGCAACATTTGGACATGGGCCATGTAAAGAGACCAGGCTTGTATCTACATTAAATTCATTGAGGGTGGTCATGGTTTCATTCTTATGTGAGAAAATGCTCACTATCTTAGAAAAGACATGTGGAAATATCTGGATAAAATCTCAAGATATCTCCGCAACTATTCTCAAATATAGAAAGAAACAAAAAGGCCTGGTGCAGTGGCTCACATGTGTCATCCCAGTGCTTTGGGAAGCCAAGACAGGGCGATTGCTTGAGGCCAGGAGTTTGAGACCAGCATAGGCAACATAGTGAGACCCCATCTCTATAAAGAATAAAAAAATTAGCCAGCTGTGGTAGTGCACATCTGTAGTCCCGGCTACTCAGGAGCCTGAGGCAGGAGGATCGCTTGAGCCAGGAGTTCAAGGTTGCAGTGAGCTATGATCATGCCACCATACTCCAGCCTGGGAAACAGTGAGACCCTATCTCTAAAAATATAAATAAATAAAAAGAGAGGGAAATGATAAAAAAGGAAAGAAAGAAGGTGGGGTAGGGAGAGAAAGAGAAAGAAGAAAGGAAATTAAAAAAGAAAGAGAAGAAAAGTGATAGGGGAGAGGAGAGAAGGGAAGGAAAGATACTGATTTTTTTTTTGACCAATGAATATGTTTATATAGAGATATAGCAAATGTGGCAAAATATTAACTGCTGGTAAATTTCATAGTTATTATTCTTGCAAGTTTTCTATGGCTTAAAATTTTTCAAGATGAAAAGTCTGGGAAAATTAAGATGAACATAAAATAAAAACACTTTTTAAACAATTGTTTATGATTGGAAAAAAAGAATCTGACTGTTGACAGATTCCAGGACCACGGCAACTCTTCATATTTTAAGAATAAACAAATCTCTCCCATTTAGCCTGGTGGCTGGGTGATCTATCCCCACCCCTACGGATGACAGGATGTAAAAATCACTTACTTTGGACTCCACGAAATGGGTGAAACACCCCACTGTGAAGACGCTGGGGGAGCTACGTATTCAGAGGACTCTCGGTTCTTTTCAAGCATATAGACATTTCCAACAGTGTAATGTCCTGACCTTTCTCACATGCCAAGCTAAAGTCATTTTTCTTTGAATAAGCTGAGATTTAGAAAAAGAAAACAATGATCCAGGTGGCCTTTAAAGAGTGAATGTTATAAAGAGCATTTCCCGCACTGGGGCTGGGGGCTAGGGTGAGGGCTGGCGGTCTGGATCACATGGGTTCCAATGGCGCTGCTCCCATCACGTGCAGCAGCAGCCGGCCTCACCCGGGAATCAGAGCCTGGACTGGCCACTGTGTTGCCTTTACTCTTAGAACTGGAGATAATGAAAACTAGAACTCATTACATCTGTAGGTGCCCGACATCGAGTGTGCCATGTGGGCATGGGTCTCGGGAAAGGAGCATTTTGACGGTGCTCCTAAGAACCCAAAGGAAGACAGTGGCCCAGGGAGTGGTGTTCTGGTTGGCTGATAGGGCCTGCAGTGGGTGTGCACGCAGCCATGGCTTCCAGGGGAGCCATGAGATGCAATGAGAATGGGGGACACTGACAATGCTCTTGATCCCACCCTCTCAGGCCACCCGACTGCTCTTAGTGCTGCCGGAGCATCTGAGACACGTGCAGGTTCTGGTTTCTGATGACAGCATCCCTAGGGAGCCAAGAGTTCAGGCTCTGGAGTTGAGAGCTGGTTCAAATTCTACACTTGTTACCTGCAGACTGGGACTTGGGAAGGCTGAACCTCTCCAAGCCTGTCTTCCTCAACCCTGAGATGGGGTAGAAGGAGGAGTGCGCTGATGATTAAACGAGACGAAGCCTCTTACTCTTATACATGGTGCAGATCGGAGCCCCCAGCGGGTGCCCCACAGGTGGTAGCCCAGCCAGGAAGCTGACCAGGGCAGCAACCTGGAAATATGACAAGATGGAGCAAATCACACTCCCCAGAGATTGGAAGGAGCACTTTGTCCAACTGTGGGGATGAAGACGGGGCGGAGCAGTACCAAGCATCACTAGGCTGCCTTCTGGGGAGAGAAGGACTCTGTAACTGGAGGGCCTTTCCTTTTCTGAGTAGAGTTTCCAAGTTTGGATTCTGAACTGAACCACCTGAGAAGATAATGCTGAGGCAAAGGCGCATCCAGCCGTTTCACTCCTCTCCGCCTCCCTTCTAAATACCATCAGGCGCTGCATACACTATGGTGGTCCCATAAGATGACCATGGAGCTGAAAAATTCCTGCCAAGGAAGTTGAGGCTGCAGTCAGCCATGTTTGCATCCCTGCACTCCAGCCTGAGCAACAGGGCGAGACCCTGTCTAGAAAAAAAAAAAAAAAAATTCCCGTTGCCTGGTGACGTCATAGCTGTCATCATGTCGTACAATGCATCACTTGTGTGTTTGTGGGGATGCTGGTGTAAACAAACCTACTGCACTGCTAGTCATATAAAAGTCTAGCACATATAAATACTGTATGTGCTGTGCATGATACTTGATAATGATTAATAAACTACTATGTTACTGGTTTATGTATTTGCTATAATTTTAATCATTATTTTAGAGCATGTACCTTCTACTAATTAAAAAAAAAAAAGTTAATTGTAAAACAGCCTCAGGCAGGTCCTTTGGGAGGTGTTCCAGAAGAAGGAAGGCATTGTTATCCTAGGAGATGACAGCTCCATGCATGTTACTGCGCTGGAAGCCCTTCCAGTGGGACAAGATGTGGAGGTGGAAGACAGTGATACTGACAACCCTGACCGTAGACCTAGGCTAATGTGTGCGTTTTTGTCTTTGTTTTTAACAAAAAAGTTCAAACAGTTAAAAAAATTAAAAACAGAAAAAACTCATAGAATAAGGATGTAAAGAAAGTACTTTTGTACAGCTGTACGAATGTGCTTGTGTTTTAAGGTAAGGGTTATTACAAAAGAGTCAAAAAGTTAAAACAAATTAAAAAGTTTATAAAATGAAAAAGTTACAGTAAGCTAAGGTTAATTTATTATTGACAAAAGAAAAACGTATTTTCTAAATTAGCCTCAGTGTACAGTGTTTCTGAAGTCTACAGTAGTGTACAGTAATGTCCGAGGCCTTCACATTCACTCACCACTCACTCACTGACTCACCCAGAGCAACTTCCAGTCCTGCAAGCTCCATTCATGGTAAGTGCTCCATAGAAGTGGACACTTTTTATCTTTTATACCATATTCTCACGGTACCTTTTCTCTGTGTAGATACAAAAACACTTACATTGTGTTACAACTGCTTGCAGTATTCAGGACAAAGACGTACTGTGCAAGTTTGTAACCTGGGAGCAACAGACTACACCACATAGCCTAGGTGTGTAGCAGGCTGTACAATCTAGGTTTGTGTAAGTCACTCTGTGACGTTCACACAACAAGGAAATTGCCTAATAATGCATTTCCCAGAACATAATCCCCCATTAAAGGGACACATGACTGTACATGCCAAGGAAACATTTACGGAGCATCCACTTCAAAATTTACATCAGTGGAGAAAAGCGATTATTCAAAAGATCCCAATTCAGCCAGGTGCAGTGGCTCACGCTTGTAATCCCAGCACTTTAGGAGGCCTAGGCAAGCGAATCACTTGAGGCCAAGAGTTCAAGAGCAGCCTGACCAACATGGTGAAATCCCATCTTTACTAAAAATACAAAAATTAGCCGGATGTGGTGGCACATGCCTGTAATCCCAGCTACTTGGGAGGGTGAGGCAGGAGAATCGCTTGAACCCGGGAGGTGGAGGTCACAGTGAGCTGAGATCACACCACTGCACTCCAGCCTGGGCAACAGAGTGAGACTCCATCTCAAAACAAACAAACAAATAAAAGATCCCAATTGAATGGGACAACCAAGTGGTCATCTGGGAAAAATTAAAGCTAAATCCCCACCTTATTCCTCACACCAACATAAATTCCAGATGGATCAGAAATTTAATCCCTCAAACTAAAACCATAAAAGCATTAAAAATAGAATACTTTTAAAAAAATAACCTCAGAGTGAGAAAGATCTTTCTTAACATAACACAAAATCTGGAACACATTTTAAAAAATAATAATAAATTTGATTATATAAAAAAATGTAATTCAAATGTCAAATAAAAGTCGAAGCACAACCAACAAAGCAAAAAAAGTGTTTACAACACATGCAGTTGGCAAAGGCTAATTTCCTTAATATATAAAGCACTTTTAGAATCAATAAGAAAGAAATGGCAAAGGATAGAGCAAAGCTCATAGAAATGGACCCACAACTGACCTTTTTTTTTTTTTTGAGACTGAGTCTCACTCTGTTGCCCAGGCTGGAGGGCAATGGTGCAATCTTGGCTCGCTGCAACCTCCGCCTCCTGGGCTCAAGCAATTCTCCTCCCTCAGCCTCCCGAGTAGCTGGAATTAGAGGTGCATGCCACCACACCCGGCTAATTTTTGTATTTTAGTAGAGACGGGTTTCATCATGTTGGCCAGGCTGGTCTCGAACTCTTGACCTCAGGTGATCTACCCACCTGGGCCTCTCAAAGTGCTGGGATTACAGGAGTGAGCCACCTTGCCCAGCCCCACAACTGACTTTTAAACATAGGAGAAGATGCTTGACCACACTAGTATTAAAAGCAAAAATTATAATTATGATTGTATACCAATTGCTTTTAGCTAACAGACTGGCAAAAAGTTTCATAGCACTGTGTGTTGATGAGAGTATAGAGAGACAGACATTCTCAAATATTATTACCGGGAGTAAAAAATCAGTAAGTACTATTACCCTAGAGGGCATTTTGACAATATTTATAAAAATTTAAAATGAACATATCTTTTGGCTAAGCAATCCCACTTCTGGGATTTATCCTGCAGACACATGGGCACACATGCCAAACAATCTAGTGACAAAGCTCTCTGAGATAGCAACATTGGAAGCAACCCAAGTGCTTGGCAATAGGAAATTGGCTAAATAAATGTACCATCCTGCAAGGGAATACTAGCAACCATTTTTTTTAAATGAAGCAGTACTTTATGTGCTGATATGAAATTATCTTCAAAATATATTAACATACATATATGCTCTTGCTTGCATAAAATGTCTCTGGAAAACGCACAGGGCACTGGTTGCCTCTGCAGGGGGGAAATGGAGGCAGGGAGAGAGGCCACTTATGTTCGTGTTTGATTGCATTAACATGCACATGTATTACCTATTTTTAAAAATAACATTTCTATAGTTATTACACTTGGGTAGGTCGGCTGTGGCTTCCCTAAGGATAAGGTTAGTTCCTCGATTCAGGAGCCAAATGCCAAAGGGACTCCAACAGTGATTCACGTTTGGAAACAGCCCGCGGGAATCTGTGCTGACTCATCGGAGGACCCAGTGGAACATGGCAGCTCCAAGGCAGAGCCAGCCTGAAACCCTGTGAACATGCTTTAGGACAACCAGACGGTCAGAGCGAGATGGGGTCAGGGTGGGGGACACCCTGAGCCAAGGAGCCAGTGACTTCCAGAAGAGTGAGGAGAAAATTCAAGGCTTTCCTCATGAAAGGGGGCAGAGCCGGGACAACATTCAAGGAGGCCAGGGGGATGTTGAGGGGGCCTGGCTGGAGGGCCTGGCAGGTGCATGGAGAGCCCCTTCCCAGACAAAGACCTGGGCCCAGTCCCTGAGAAGCACTGAGGCACCCACCAGGCTGGAAGCAGAGCCCTTCCCGCCCCCGCCCCGGCCACATCCACAGTTTGCTGGCATTTGCTGGCCTCCACCTCAGGCCCAGCTGAGTCAAGGAATTCCAAGGAACAGCCACCTCTTCCCATGCCCATCAAGGCGACCTTCCATGGTTTCCGTGGGACGTTTGGTCACACTGGGCTCAGAAATCTGCACTCTGTAAACTCACCGGTTTCTCCGTGACTGGGGTTTCCCTTTGTGCCTCAGTGTTCCTTTGGGAAATGTTCAACCTTTTTTTGGCCTAGTTAAGGAGAAAGGAATTTTTCCAGACTCAGTCAGAGATGTTGGCTCAGCTTGATTGGGAGGGAAGGGTGATTTTAATAAGGCCGGGGGTGGTAGTGGGGACAATGTGTGACCCCCCCGGGAAGTGGGACCGCACACGGTACCGGGGTGGGCAGTTCTGGCTCCTCCTGACCTGGCTGTCCCTCCCCAGTGCCATGAGTTTTGAGCCTGGTTGCCTTGGTGACCCGTTTTCAGTCCTTATTCACCTCCTAACCATCTCATGTTCTCTCGAGCCTCCTTCCATCCCCAGCACAGTCCACACACAATGTAAGTGCTCAAAAGTCGAACTGTAGCACTGAGTTGAGGGGTGGTCAGCCCCGGTGAGCCCTGGTGTCTCATCATGGTTTCCCCATGGCTGTCTCCACCCCTCTTCCAGAAAAGCTATTGAGAAATGGAACTCTTTGACATCACCCCTAGCTAAAGTTGCTGAAAACAGCTCAGAGGAGTGAATTCCACAGAGCCCTATGCCCCGCCTAGATTCCTGGGGCTTCTTGTCTCATGGAGTCTGCAGAGCCGCGTCCAGACCCCTCATCCTGGACCGCTACCCGGCATCGGCCTCCTCCACGTAGTCTTCTTGCTCCCACTGCAATCTGACTTTCTGCCAAACCATTTCCCTCCTGGCTTCAAACTTTTGTCGGGAAAGAGATGAAATCAGCACTTGGAGAGCTGGAAAGGGAAAAACAGCTGCTTTTCACAAAATGGGCTAGGGAGGGGGAAGCGGAGCAGCACAGCTGGATCTTGGTGGGAAAGCCAGAGTCTGGTGGGAACGTACAGCTCACAGCAGGAGAGACAAACACACAAACCTAGAGGGGCCCAGCGGCAGCAGCTCAGGGGCTTGCTTGCCAATGGCACCTTGTGCCGTATTCTTCAGATACAGTCACATCTCATATCCACATTAACCATCCTAGGGCTGTAGAGATTTTCTCCATTTTAGAGAGGTAGGCACAAAAAAAAAAAAAAGATTTCTCTTTCCCCTTAGTTCTCCTATAAGAATAATTATAGTGCGTGTGCTTGGGACAAATAGAGAGTGGTGGGGCCTGTGGCATCAAGGCCGCCAGGTAAAATTGCTCAGGTTGGGCGGACTCTGTGGCATCTTGCAACTGTGGCCGTGTGGCTATGTGGGCCTCTGATAACAACTATGATTTTTCAAGAGGAGCCAGGGATCTGGATTTTTATTTAAAAATTACCTGAGATTTAAACATTGGCAACTAATTCAGAAGCTTTACGGTATTGAGCAGTCAGTAGTACACTGTGGGCCAAGCAAAACATGTCTGTGGGTAGAGTTGGGGCTGAGGGCTGGAGTTTGAGTCCTCCTTTATGGGTGAGAACTGACACATGTACCCCAGCCAGGAGCAGGCATTGTCAGCACTCTACCCATCCCCCAAATCCCTTCCTCCCTTTTTTGTTTCCGTGACCCCTCCAGCTCCGAAGGGCTTTCACTTCCTGCAGTATGCACCTGACTTACCTCATGGTATAACCTGTTTCTTACCATTCCACTTTTCACCTGCCTTCCTCAATGATAACTCTAACATAATAGTACATAATAGTTGTTTTTTGTTTGGTTGGTTTTTTGTTTTTTTTGTTTTTTTTTTGAGACAGAGTCTCACTGTCGCCCAGCCTGGAGTGCAGTGGTACGATCTCAGCTTGCTGCAACCTCCACCTCCCGGGTTCAAGCAATTCTCCTGCCTCAGCCTCCCAAGTAACTGGGACTAAGGTGCCCACCACTACACCCAGCTAATTTTTTGTATTTTTAGTAGAAATGGGGTTTTGCCATGTTGGCCAGGCTAGTCTTGAACTCCTGATCTCAAGTGATTCGCCCGCCTTGGCCTCCCAAAGTGCTGAGATTACAGGTGTGAGCCACTGTGCCCGGCCTAACATAAGAGTATTTTAAAATATCAGTGGCTTATCAGGCACGATGCTAGGTGCTTGACATAAATATTGGTTTAAAATCAACACATCTAAGGGAGATCACATTAATGCTTCATTTACTAAATGTCTAATGGTTTTTGAGTTGTAAGGCAAGGTTTCAAAAGCCTAATCAATTTATATATATATAAAGTTAACATGTCCACATCCTTATGATGCAGGTAATGGGATTATTCACTTTTTTTTTTTTTTTTCAGACGGAGTCTGGCACTGTCACCCAGGCTGGAGGGCAATGGCGCGATCTCAGCTCACTGCAATCTCCGCCTCCCAGGTTCAAGCGATTCTCCTGCCTCAGCCTCCCAAATAGCTAGGATTATAGGTGCCCGTCACCATACCTGGCTAATTTTTTGTATTTTCAGTAGAGACTGGGTTTCACTATGTTGACCAGGCTGGTCTTGAACTCCTGATCTCGTGATCCACCTGCCTCAGCCTCCCAAAGTGCTGGGATTACAGGTGTGAGCCACTGCGCCCGGCCTATTCACATTTTATGTATAAGGAAAGTGAGGCCCAAAGACATCTGACCACAGCTTATAAGCAGCATTTCCTGGGGATCTTCTTCAGAGGGCTCCCTTCACCTTGCTTGGAGGGACAGAGAGCCCAAGGTGCCTAGAAATTTGCATTCTCCTCCCACACCTGCAATCCTTGTCCAATGACTAATGGGCACAAGAATTTGAAAGTCCAGCTCCCTTGCCTTGGGTTAAGATTAACTGAAGTGTCCCCTGCACTCAGAGCTCCCCCTCAGGATCAGGCTGAAAAGCCGTCATCTGTAGGATGTCGCCTGTGATCACCCCTGGCTTGGATTCCTCTCTACCCCAACCTGCTTCCTTCAGCCCCTTCCCAGTTTGCCCTGGGAGCACTTCCTTAATAAATCGCAGGCACACGAGACCTTGTCCCAGATCTGTTCTGGAAGAATCCACACTTAGGCACAGCCAAGGCTAATGGGCAACTCCTCTTACAGGAGAGAAAGAATCACCCTGCCAGGGGCTGGTACAATTGTTTGAGAGCCTCGGAGGACATAGGCTATAAAAGGACATTGCTTTCTCTGAGAACCAAGTAGCATGCTGGGGCCCCTCCTGCAGCCTCTCTGCTCTCCCACCCCACCCCTTCCTCCACACATCATCCCTCCATATAGATGTGTCATTGCTGCCAAGCATCCTTCCACCCTTCCCGCTGCCCTGGCAACCACGAAGATGGTGTGTGTCTGACCCTGCCCTAGCTCCAGAGTCCTGACTGGAGTAAGTCTTAGCTACCTTGTCATAGTGGTTGGTACAAATAACCCAGACTGAAGTCACTTCGCATATGAGATTCCCATGGAACACCACAGGGAGTGGCCCAGAGGCTGGGAACACAAATTCAATCTCGAGGGTGTACAGGCTTGGAACATGGGGAAATCCAGCAGAAAATCAAGTGGATCTACAGAAATGGGCAGACAAGAAAAGTGAAAGGAAAGGACACCAGAGCCCAAACCTGGCTTCTGTTGCTTGCCAACAAAAGCATTGTGACAATTCCCAGGACTCCCAGAGACCTGTTGTGTGTTTTGGAAATTCACAGAGCACCTAAGACTGAGCAGAAATACAGAGGAGGTAGACACTGGTCCAGTGTGGCTGGTAGATGCTGACGGTGGGAAGCACAGGATCTGCCCAGGGTGTTGGGTGCTTCTGCAGAAGGATCAGCCCTGCCATGAACATGAAAACCCCTTGCCTGATCCCTGCAGCTCCAGCCAGTCACTAAATGACAGCCATGTGACTACTGTGTGTGATGGGCTCACCAAGTGCATCCGATACAGCTTGTGAATTCAAGGACCTTGCAATCTAGTTAGAGGGACCACATTGGCTGCATAGGGTGGGGGTAAGGGCATGGTTTGGGGATCAGATGGACTTGGGTCTGGGTAGCACCAAATCTCTGTGGGCCTCAAGTTCCTTATACGCAAATGAGAGATAATACCATTATCTACACCATAAGGATGTGTTGACTTTTGAAAAATATATTTTTATAATTAATCAGGCTTTGAAACCTTGACTCACATATAATTCAAAATCATTAGACATTTTGTAAATGAAGCATTCATTTGATCTTTAGATGTGCTGACTTTTAAACAATATTTATGTCAAGTACCCAGCATCATGCCTGATGAGCAATTAATATTTTAAAATGTTGACTATTATATTAGAGTTATCATTAATGAAGGCAGGTGAAAAGTGAAATGGTAAGAAACAGCTTATGCTGTGCCCTAAGTGACAGACACAGACAAGGGGTGAGGTCTTTCTAGGAAAGTTTAGGAAAAGACAGGCTTGTGCCTCCTTTAAAAGACGGGGTGAGGGGGAACTAATGCTGTTACAAAGGTCTCTATCTCTGATCAGAGAAGTGCTGGGAGCCACATGAGGAAAGAGGGTTTGCATGGGCAGGATTCCATTACCAATTTGAGCTTCAATCCCAACATGGCTTTCATTCCAAGGTCTTTATCCAGAAGTCTGATTTGAGGGATAAGAATCAGGGAAATGTCTTGGCTCCCATGTTAGTGTATGTGATGAAAAGAGACAGCAACTGGCATTTACTGGACCTCTACGATGTACCAGGCCCTGTGTAGGTGTTTTTATAAATAGTGTATCTGTCAGCTATTCCCACAATAAAGCTGTGTAACAAAATTCACAGCATACAACATCTTCGGGTTACATGGAATTTGGCTGGCCTAAGCGGGGCTCAGCTGGGCCTGACTCCTGGCCATCGGATGGGTTCAATTCTGCTTAGTATGTTTCTTATACTTCTGGAACCAGCGCTACCTAAAAAATTATTTTCTACAATGATGGTAAAAAAGTGCAGGAGCCAGCTTAACAGCACAAGCCCACTCAAGCCTTCACTTACATCATGACTGTCAACATCCTTGACCATAGCAAGTCACATGGCTAAGACCAAAGCTAAGGGACATTAAGTATACTCTGCCACCTGAGGCCATAGCAAGAGTGTGGACATCTAATATTAATGCTACTACAGGGAAGTGAAAATAGGAAATTATTATTCTACCTTCTACAGAAGCTGTTTTATTCTATCCTCTTCAACAACCCCAACAGGCAGCCATTATTAACCCCAATTTAGAGATTTTAAAAACCGAGACTCGGAAAATGCCACAGTAATTTAGAATGTCTAAGCCACCAAACTAAGATTTGTGCCTTGTCTGCCTGGCTCCAAAAACTGGGGTCTTCTGCCATTCTGGGCAGCCTGTTAAGTTGAGAATTTGCATTTTAAACCATCCATCTGTGGGCAACAGTGACCTATCATAAACCACGGTCAAAATCAGAGAGAAGGATTTGAGTACAAGTAGGTGATTTGGGAGGTGATCTCAAGAAGCACCATAGAGAAATGTGGAAGAGAAACAGGGAAGAGAAGCCAAGAAAGGGGGCTTACTGGAGCCAGTTACTGCTGTGGGAGGATGGGCTACTGAGGACAGGGGTGACCAATAGAAGAGGGTCACATACTTCAGAGTTGTTGCAACCAACAGGCGGGGAGCTGGGGTCCTTGTCCATCAACTTCCAGGAGCCATTGAGAAGCACCACTCTGGTTCACTGGGTCTCAATCTAAAATCATCTGGGAGTTTGTTGTTGTTGTTGTTGAGACAGTGTCTCACTCTGTCACCCAGGCTGGAGTGCAGTGGTGTGATCTTGGCTCACTGCAACCTACCTCTGCCTCCCAGGTTCAAGCAATTCTCCTACCTCTGCCTCCAGAGTAGCTGGGATTACAGGCGTGTGCCACCACACTCGGTTAAATTTTGTACTTTTAGTAGAGATGGGGGTTCCCCATGTTGGCGAGGCTGATCTCGAACTCCTGACCTCAAGTGATCCACCCGCCTCGGCCTCCCAAAGTTCTGGGATTATGAGTCACCGCGCCTGGCCAAGTTTATTTTTTTTTTCCGTGATGGCTGGGTCTCAGCTCCAGTGATTTTGAGCTGATGAGGCTGTGTCAGCCTGAGCATGGGACTGGTGAAAGCTCCCCCAGTGACCTGTTGGACATGGTAGTTTGGGAAGCTCTGGTCTAGCTAGTTCCTCGGATCCCTCTGAGCCTACAAGTTCGAGGCCTCTTTGAACAAGCTCAGCTGAGGATGGAAACCCTGAGAAAGTGGCCCGTGCAGCTGGAGATAAATCATTTATTGGCCGGGGCTGCAGCTGGTGGCGGCTTGAGAAATGAGCTTTTTGGCCTTAACTCCACTGTTTGTGCTCCCGTGACCATAAGGGAACTGAACGCACAGACTTTCTTTTTAGAAAGAAAAAAAAAATGTCAAGCATATTTTCCAAGGTTTAATTTCCCTCCAATGTCCTGAAGAAACCTTTCGAAAAGCTTAGACTGCCTCAACCCCAGTATCTAGTAATAACATCAAACACTTTGAAATGGAGACCCAGTGTGACTTTGTTTAACTAAATAAAACCCAGGGAAGGAGAGAAATTAAAAAGAGCACGGGTTTAAGAGAAGTCAAATTTCCACCAAAAAGGTGGAAGAGGGAAGCTGGTTGGTGGAGTAGGATGGGAGGCAGATGCCGAATCCCAAGAGTTTAAAATTCAGGAAAAGAAGAGAAATGCACTGTCTTTGCCAGATTTAGCAAATAAAAATATGGGATGCCTAGTTCAATTTGAATTTCAGATAAACAATGAATTTTTTTTAGTGTGTGTCCTGTGCAATATTTGGGACATACTTATACTAAAAATATTATTCATTGCCCATCTGAAATTCAAATTGAACTGGGCATCCTGGATTTTATCTGGCAACCATAAAACATACAAAAATTGGTCTCAACTGGTCAGGACACCCTTAACCAGGTGTCTCTGAGTTAAATTGGGTGACTCTGTGCTAAACGAGATGTCTCTGGTCTTAACTGGGCATCCCTGGTCTTCTCCCATTTGTAACTGGAGTGGAAATACCCATAAAGGAAGATAAGGAAATAAATGGATGGAAAGGAGAGGAGACAGAGAAAAAGGGGGTCTTCATGGGAAGGGCAGGGGCACCAGCATCCCTCTGCCTGCTTTCTCCCACCCCTGAGCTCTCAGCACAGCCGAGGGACCTGAGGTCAGAGTCCCTGTCCAGAGTGAGAATTCGCCTTTCCCTCTGTGAGCTGAGGATTTGGAGGAAGGTCTGCAGAAATCGGGAGGGCCATCTGCCCCAGCCCTGGAGAAATGAGATGGGGTGCTGGAGGTTTAACCCCCAGGCACGGACTCGGGGCCACCCCTTCCCTATGGCCTGCCCTCCTTTGCCCAATCCTTTCTTCCCTGTGCTGCCTCCATCCGCCCTCTTCTCTTCTCCTACCTCCTCATCTCTTACCCTCCAAATAAGGAAGCCAGAGGCAGTGGTGTGGTCAGGGAGGATGCCTGCAGGTCTGATCCCTGCCCCCAGACAGAATCCAGTTGCCAATGAGGCAGCTGGGGAGGGTTTGGAGGAAGGGCTGTGGGTGCTGGGTGGTGCTGGGGATCCTGGCTCGCTGACCGCACAGGGCCCCACCGCTGGCTCCAGAGGACTCAGTGTAGCTGTCTCAGGCCTGCCAGGGCGCCTGCATTGGAGCCACATCAAGGTGAGAAGAGGGCCTGGCCTGCAAGGCAGCAAAGAACAGCTTTATTCCTTCACTGCCAGCGGCTCTGGGAGGTGGAAGATGACGTGGCCCAGTCATTCCACTCCCAGGAACTGACCCAAAGAAAATAATCCAGCCCAAGAAAGAGAGCTGTGCTCAGAAATATTCACAGCAACATAAGGGAAGTGGTTTCATAAACCTTGGCATGTCAGCACCGTGGAATGTTCCTTTATTTCACCCGACATTTAAGTGACCACTTGGTGACAGGCATCCTGCCAGCTACTGGGTACCCAAAGGAGGGTATAAGCCGATCCCTTTTCTCTGGGGTTCACAAGCAAAATGAGGGAGGTTGAGAATGCAGCCTCCAGAGTCAGGTAGCGATGGGTCTGTACACCTGTCTGTCCCCTCATCTGTAAAGTGGTGACACCCCATAGGAAGTGGTGAGGGCCAGTGGGGTGACACGCATCACACACACAGCACAGTGCCTGACATGCAGTGAGTGCTCAGCAGTTACCAACTACCCTCATGGCTCCTCCTACTCCTGCAGGGATGTGACAGGCATGGTGACGGGAGGATGTGTGAGCCGTTAAGAGTTCACAGAAGAGGGTGTGTAGGCACCACCACTGAAGTATGCGCAAGTGCTGAGAGCAGAAGGAATGATGGGGTTTAATTCTACTGGAGATGTCACCAAAGGTCACCATAGGCCTTAACTCAGCTGGGTCTTGAAGGATGTATAGAAGTTTGCTGGATGGACAAGAAATGAAAAGACATGCCAGGTAGAAGCAAACCTGTGGGCCCAGTGTGGGCAAATTCAACTCCACCAGACTCAGCTCTCCATCATGGTCCCCAGCCTTTTGGTGATGATCTCAATCTACTCAAGATGTTTTCAGGCCAACATTGAAAGGAAAGGTTCTGGGTCTCTTCCCTTTTCTTCCCATGATTCTCAGCCCCTGTGCAAATGTTCCCATCTTTCCCAGCAGTCTTTGCACTCTTCATATCAAGAGATATTAGAAAGACCAGAAGTGAGCCATTTCAATGTCCACTCGCACACAACCGGGTGAAAAGATCCCACGTTCTTGAAGGAAGGGTCTGTGGTGATAATATTGATTAATAACAGTCAACAAACACGACACCATACTTTTTTTTCTTTTCCTTTTTTTCTTTTTTGAGAACAGGGTCTCACTTCTTGCCCAGGCTGGAGTGCAATTGCGCAATCACAGCTCACCGCAGCCTCCAACTTCTAGGCTACAGCCATCTTCCCACCTCAGCCTCGGAAGTGGCTGGGATTACTGGGCTCTGCAGTAGGGCAGCCCTGGGTTTGAACCTAGATTCACTATTACTAGCTGGGTGACCTTGAGCAGGTCAAGCATGCACCACCACACCTGGCTAATTTTTTCTTTTCTTTCTTTTCTTTCTTTTCTTTCTTTCTTTCTTTTTCTTTCTTTCTTTCTCTTTCTTTCTTTCTTTCCTTTCTTTCTTTCTTTTCTTTCTTTTCTTTCCTTCCTTCCTTCCTTTCTTCCTTCTCTCTCTCTCTCTTTCTCTCTTTCTTTCTTTCTTTCTTTAGAGATGGGATCTTGCTATGTTGCCCAGGCTGGTCTCTAACTCCTGGGCTCAAGCAATCTTCCTGCTTCATTCTCCCAAAGTGTTAGGATTACAGGCATGAGCCCTCACACCTGACTGTTTACTCTCTATTGAGTACTTTACAAATACCATCTCTGTGAATTAGGTATTCTTATCCCCTGAGCTTAGATAATGCAGCTGAGTTGACGCGGCCTGCTGAAGGTCACCCAGCTACTAATAGTGAATCTAGGTTCAAACCCAGGGCTGCCAGAGCCCATTCCCTTACACTGGGTCATGTTACTAAAAATGCCAAAAGAGGCTGGGTGCAGTGGCTCACGCATGTAATCCCAGCACTTTGGGAGGCCAAGCCGGGTGGATCACAAGGTCAGGAGATCACGACAATCCTGGCCCACATGGTGAAACCCAGTCTGTACTAAAAATACAAAAAATTAGCCGGGCATGGTGGTGGGTGCCCATAGTCCCAACTACTCGGGAGGCTGAGGCAGGAGAATGGTGTGAACCTGGGAGGCGGAGCTTGCAGTGAGCCAAGATCATGCCATTGCACTCCAGCCTGGGTGACAGAGTGAGACTCCGTCTCAAACAAAAAACAAAAAACAAACAAACAAATACAAAAATTAGCTGGGTGTGGTGGCGCAGGCCTGTAGTCCCAGCTACTCAGGAGGCTGAGGCAGAAGAATTGCTTGAATCCAGGAGATGGAGATTGTAGTGAGCCAAAATCGCACCACTGCACTCCAGCCTGATGACAAAGCAAGACTCCATCTCAAAAAAAAAAAAAAAAAAAAAAATGCCGAAGAGCTAAGTCAGGGCTTTGATCAAGAAAGGCGAGAAGGCAGGGTTGAGCTCTTCGCTTGAGAGAAGGGGTTAGCTGGTGATGTTGTCATAAGCCCACGAGGGGCCACAGCTCTAGACCTGAGTGCTACACATTGACCCTCCTCTTGGCACCAGACACTGCCCTGCTTGTCATTTCTGTACGGATCAGGGTCCCAGCACAAAACCAAAACCATGCTAGATCTTCCAACCCAGGGAGTTTAATAGAGGGAACTTGTTTTGCAGCTTTGAATTGATGAACAGCCATATGAGGATGTCGAGGTCACCCAGAGGTTAGTAACAACAGGAAGCCACTGCTACCATCACTAGGGCTGGGACAGGAAAGGACAAAGGGACAAGGTGGGGTCATCAGAGTTGATGGTTCTGGGGCCTCTGGCAGGAGCTGGAGCCGCAGCAGAGAGGCAGCCACTGCCTGACACACCCCCAGAAGCAGAGCAGGGAGACACACCCTGAGCTCTCCCCGCCTCTGCCCTCCAGGCTTCTACTCACTTGTCCAAGCCTATCTGAAGCCAGAGGGCAGGGGCCCTGGAAGGGACCCTCTCCACACTGTAGAACAGAAAGCAGAAAGGAGAGAAAAGGGTCTGAGAGAAAACAGGAGGAGGCCAGACACAATGTCTACCCCAACAACTGCCCTTCAAGGTCATTGTTTTTACCCCATTGTAGAGATGAGGAAACTGAGGAAACACTCACATATCCACACCTGCACCTACACATGTACACATCACATACACATATGCACACATACAACCATTATGCACATCATACACACAGGCTCACTGCTTCACTTTGAAGAGGTTAAATGACTGAGCCAACCAAGATGAGACAACTTTTAGGTTGGTGGAGACCTAATTTAAACCCAGGTCACTATATCGGTTTTCACAGCTCAGGCCAAACTGGTCACCTCCAGGACTTTGTGAATCATGAAGAATCCAACAACAAAACAACAGCAACAACAGCAACAACATAACAATGTAAGAGACCTTGAAGTTCCAAAGGCTTAGCCCGTGTGGGGCCAAGGGTCAAGGGCCCTCGGATGATGATGGTGCTCGTGTTTCCCTCTCCTCCTCGGCTCCCTAAGTCCCAGCTGCAGAAGAACATTCTATTAAGCCACAGCCAGCACTCTGGTTTTGGGGACTAAAGGCAATTTTTATTTCCTTCTTTGTGCTCTTCTCTATTTTCCAGAAGGTTTTGTTGTTGTCGGTTTTGGGGGGTTTTTTGTTTGCTTGTTTTGAGACAGGGTCTGGCTCTGTCGCCCAGGCTGGAGTGCAGTGATGCGATCTTGGCTCACTGTAACCTCCGCTTCCGGGGCTCAAACCATCCTCCCACTTCAGCCTCCTGGGTAGCTGGGACTACAGGTGCATGCCATCCCACTAGCTAATTTTGTATTTTTTGTTTCGCCACATTGCCCAGGCTGGTCTCGAACTCCTGGACTCAAGCAATCCTCCTGCCTTGGCCTCCCAAAGTGCTGGGATTACAGGTGTGAGCCACTGCACCTGGCCTATTTTCCAGTTTTTTGTGAGGAGCATGCACTGCTTTGTTACTGGGAAGGACAGATCATCTTTAGGCAATATTACACGGTAGCAGGCCCCAGATGAAGGCTTAACAGAAAGAAAGTTGGGGCAAAAGAATGGTGGCAGGAAAGAGGACTGGCCAATACAGATGGCGTGTCACCGTCCTGCTCCCTCCTTCCCTGGAAGTGGACAAAACCAGGCACCATTCACATGCCATGGTCTGGGCTATTCTTAACATACCCTCACACATATGCACGCAAACCTCAGGTGCACAAATAGACACATGCACTTACACATATGGCACACATAAATATACACACACAAAGACACACACACACCCTCACAAGCACGCCTGCCCATGATGCATGTGCATACATACACTCACATATTTGCTCACACATTCACACACATATAAACACACCTCTCATGCACATACACACTCACATATTTGCTCACACATTCACACACATATAAACACACCTCTCATGCACATACACACTCACATATCCACACGTGCACCTACACATGTACACATCACATACATGTATGTACACGCACAACTATTATGCACATCGTACACACAGGCTCACTGCTTCACTTTGAAAATCGGATTTCCAAAACTTTCCTAGCACAACCATCTCACAAGGGTGTCTCTGGCCTCCTCCTCTGAGCAGCTCCCAATAACGCCTTCCAGGAGCAGGGGTGCCTTCTGTCTGGGCCCCAGAACATGCACTGCAGGTGTCGTCTCAGGGTGGGCTCCAAAGAGCATTTCCCTCTGTAACCACAGGCTGGGAGGCCCAGCCCATCCCCTTGAGCACTGGGCAACCCGTCGGCACCCAGGAGCTCAGCTCTCAGGAAGGCTTCCAGAAGCTCCCTTCAAAACCTCAGAAGCAGCTCCATACCCTCAGGAGAGGCTGCAGTTTGCAGAGTTCACACTTCCCTGGAGGAAGCCTATGAAGCCAGACCCACCTGGGCCCTCAGAAAGGCCCCTGGAGTCAGAATGCTTGGATCCAGTCCCTGCTCCTCTCTGAGCCTTGGTTTTCTCATCAGTAATGGAACAGACCTTTGAGCTCTCATCAAGAGCTTGTAGCTAATACTATAGACTGAGCCTCTCAACCTTCAAGGCAGCTGGAGAGGAGTTTAATTCAGTGGATAACATGCACCCAAAGTCCTTAGCCATCAGTGTTTATTGCTGGGGGTTCCACAGTCCCTGCTGATATAAATATATATGTAACTTGCTCCCCCCAGAGAGCCCAGATGGCTGGGAGGTGGAGGGGAACTGCACACACCTGTGCAGTCACCCTCACCACCCCTACAGGTTAGCCACAGCCCAGTGGTTTGGCAAAAACATCTGCCCCATGCTTCCTGGATAACATACTGAGCAGCAGAGACCCAGGATGGGAGGGGCAGCTGGGAGCTGAGGGCCTCCGGGATGGTCTCAAACAGGAAGGGATGGCAGGTGCTATGCCTGCAGGTGCGGGGACAGGGTCACATGAATCAGGTAGGCAAGGCATGGGCCTGTGACTTTTGAGGACCAAGGAGGGGGACATGCTCAGGATGGGCTGAAATGTCCCTCTGTCACCTTCCAAAGGGGGTGCCTAGCAGAGATCCAACTTAGGGTTTTTGCTTCTTTAGAGAAAGCCATTGTCAGCTACATCGCAGAATGGGTGGGAATAGGAAGTTAACTTGGAAAGACATGAATTGTCATTCCTTGGAAAAGGGGAATGAGCTTCCAATGGTCCAAGGAATCAGGAATGAGTCCACTGGGAAGCAGGGTAACTCTGGTGTCCCCAGAGAGCCAGGTCTGCAGTGACACCAGGAAGCCCTGCAATCGTGCTGGGCTTTGACCTGCTGGGTGAGGCCCCTGCCCCGGGCCTCAGGCCCTGCCGAACTCCATGCTGGCTCTTCTGGGCCATAGTCCTCCCCAGAGTAAGGAGTTGGTGAGGCCAAGGGGACATGCCCAGCTAGATGATCACACACATCCCCTTCTAGAAGGTACCCCTCGTCCTGAGGGTGGCCAAGGGGACGCTGTCTGCAAGAGAATGATGGAGTGTGGTTGGCCAGATGTGTGTGCCCAGGGCACCTCAGCATGAAGGGGACTGGGAGGTGGGAAGGGAAGGAGAGGGAAAAGGGAGGCCTCCTACCCAGGCTAAAGTCCCCACCCAGTGATTTCTGCTTAGACTGGCCACCCTTGTCATAAAGGAGGCCAGGAAAGGTGACTGTGCTATGCTTAATAATACAGACTCTGTAACTGGTAAGATCAGGAAAGACGATTGAGGGCAGGCAGCTGGCAGCCTTTCTGTGCTTCACTTTTCTACTAAATGCAGCAGAGGGGAGAGGGTTGCCCCACCCCAGAGAGTCCCTACCACAGAGCAGACCCCCTTAGCACCCAGGATCACTCCAGGAGCTGAGGACTATATCCAGCACCCACACCTTAAACTTGACTAGATGCAATTACTCAACCATACACTCACATTTTCCTCAGCTGGCCACTGAGGTCAGAGCCAGCTAGACTGGACTTCCTGCTGCTGCCCTGGAGATCCCTGTTGGCACTGGAGACTCCTGGACACAGAACGTGTTATGAGTCAGAAGCAAATGTGGAATTCTCTACTTCCTGCCGTCACCCACACGTGGGGCGTATCCGCTACTGCTGTATAACAAATCATCCCAAGAATGTAGTAGTTAAAGATAACAACGGTTTACTTTTACTCACAAGTCTGTGGATGGTCTGAATGGTTCTTTGGATCTGGACTGGGCTCAGCTGGCCTCAAATGGGCCTCACCCCTGCATCTGGAGGGAGCTGCTGGCTCATCTGGGCACTAGCTGGTCCCGATGGTCTCAGCGGGAACGGCTCCTTCTGCTTTGCATTCTCGCCTCCTCTGGGAGGCTGGCCCAGGCATGTTCACAGCACAGGTTGGACGGGTTTCCAAGGGAGCAATGGAAGTGTGCTGGGCCTCTTGAGGCCTGGACTTGGTTGCACCACGTTCTATTGGCCAAGTCGCAAGACCAGCGTGGATTCAAGGGGTGGAGAAATAGACTCCATCTGTTGATGGGAGGAGCAGCAAAGGCACATCGTGAAGGGATATGATAGGGGAGGGAATAACTATGGCTATTTTTGCTTACAAACAGCTTACTACAGGAAGTGTGGCCATCTGCCCTCCAGCACAGAGTCAGCATGCAAGCTGCCCTGGAAAAATTCCTATGAAATTTTTTTTGCAAACTTGTGGCCATTTGGAGGTTACGTGGTGAGAACATTCAGATATACGTAGATATCTGACCATGGTAGCTGCAGCACTCAGGGCCCCACCAGAAAAATAGAGCCCCAGCCAAGTAGTTCAATAGTGAATTAATACTAGAAACTACAGCTTGACCTTTGAACAATGAGGAAGTTAGGGTCATCAACTCCTCACGTAATTGAAAATCCACATATAACTTTTGACTCCCCAAAAAGTTTAGTAATAGCCTACTGTTGACCGGAAGCCTTATTGATAACACAAACAGTTGATTAATGCATATTTTATATGTTATAAATATTATTACTGTATTCTTACAATAAAATAAGCTAGAGAAAAGAAAATGTTATTAAGAAAATCATATGAAGGAGAAAATAAATTTATTGCTCATTAAGTGGAAGTGGATCATCATAAAGGTCTTCGTCCTCATTGTCTCCATGCTGAGTGGGCTGAGGAGGAGGAGGAAGGGGAGGGATTGGTCCTGCTGTCTCAGCGTGGCAGAGGCAGAAGAGGATGAGAAGGTGGAAGGGCCAGCGGGAGAGGCAGGCACACTCGGTGTAACTTTATGGAAATATATCATCATTTTTGTTTGACTTTTTTCCTTTCTCATTTCTCTGAAAATGTTTCTGTACAGTACCAATTCTTCTTCCACCATTTGCTTTAGTTTCAGTGCCCAAACCATAGAAGGGTCCATGTGGTAAAAAAAGTCAAAACTGACTTTTTTTTTTTTTTTTGAGTTGGAGTCCTGCTGTCACCCAGGCTGGAGTGCAATGGCACGACGTTGGCTCACTGCAACCTCTGCCTCCCAGGTTCAAGCAATTCTCCTGTCTCAGCCTCACAAGTAGCTAGGACTACAGGCACACGTCACCACACCTGGCTAATTTTTGTACTTTTAGTAGAGATGGGGTTTCACCATACTGGTCAGGCTGGTCTCGAACTCCTGACCTCAGGTGATCCACCCGCCTCAGCCTCCCAAAGTGCTAGGATTACAGGTGTGAGCCACTGCACCTGGTCAACAATCTTAAGTCATTGGAACCCTTCTGCCAGATTGTCTAATGTCAGTCTCTTTTCTCACAGTGCGTCTTCTATGTTCTTTTTTTTTCCTGAGCCAGTCAAATTTAGCAGTGGGGGTTGTATACCAACTTCAGTGACACTAACGTTAATAAGTTCTGATAATCCACTACCATGTCTTGTTTCTCATTGTCCGGCTCTGGTTCAGAAGCATTTATCTCTATCAAGTTGTCTTCTGTTAATTCCTTTGTGTGGTGTCTGTTAGCTCTTGAATTTCTCCAAAATCCATATCTTGAAACCCTTCACTCCCCAACCTTGTTGCCATACTCACAATCTCTTTTCTTGATTGGCTGTGTCATAAATCCTGTGAAGTCATGCACACCTAGACACAGTTTTCTCTAGCAGGAATTTAATGTCTCAGACTTGATGGCTTTCACAGCTTTTTCTATAACAACAACGGCATCTTCGATGGTGTAATCCCACCAGACTTTCATGATATTTTCTCTATTGGGGTTCTCTCTCATAGCACTGACAATCCTTTCCATGGAATACTGTGTGTATTGAACTTTAAAGGTTCTTATGACCTGATCTAGAGGCTGAATTGGAGACATTGTGTTTGGGGGAAAGGAGACCACTTTGACACCTTCGCTGTTGAACTCATGGGGTTCTGGGTGGCGAGGGGCATGGTCCAGGGTCAAGAGAACTTTAACAGGCAGTCCCTACCTCACAAGGTACTTTCTGACTTCAGGAACAAAGCATCGAAGGAACCAGTATAGAAAAAGAGCTCTCCTTATCCAGGCCTTCTTGCACAACCAAAAGACTGGCAACTGGTGCTTATCTTTCCCCTTCAAGGATCAGGGTTTAGCAGCTTTATAGATAAGAGCAGTCCCAATCACAAACCTACTGCATTTGTACAACACAATAGAGTTAGCCCAACCCTTCTTGCCTTAAATCCTGGTGCTCACTTCTCTTCCTTACTAATAGATGTTCTTTGTCCATTTTTTTTTCCAGAATAGAGTACCTTCATCTGTATTTAAAAACCTGTTCAGGTAGACATCCTCTCTCCTCAATGATTTTCTTAAATCATTTCTTTTTTTCTTTTTTCTTTTTTTTTTTTTTTGAGATGGGATCTCGCTCTGTCACCCAGGCTAGAGTGCAATGGTGCGATCTCGGCTCACTGCAAGCTCCGCCTTCTGGGTTCAGCCATTCTCCTGCCTCAGCCTCCCAAGTAGGTGGGACTACAGGCACCCGCCACCGCGCCCGGGTAATTTTTTGTATTTTTAGTAGAGATGGGGTTTCACCGTGGTCTCGATCTCCTGACCTTGTGATCCGCCTGCCTCGGCCTCCCAATGTGCTGGGATTACAGGTGTGAGCCACTGCGCCCGGCCCTTAAATCATTTCTTAATGGCATCTGGGAACTCGTCTGCTGCCTCTTGGTCAGCAGGAGCTGCTTCTCCTGTTATCCTGACATTTTTTAAGCCAAACCTCTTTCTAAAATTATCAAACCATCCTTTGCTATCATTAAATGCTCCAGCTTTAGATCCTCCAACACCCTTTTGCTTTAAGTTGTCATAAAACGACTTTGCTTTTTCGTGAATCATATTAGAGTCTCTAGGTATGCAATCCTGCACCCACATGAAAGCTGCATTTTCAATATGAAAGGAATTTTGCAAAAAAAGTGCAAAGTTTTTGTGCCTGCTGGCCCAGAAATGGCTTCACGAATTTCCTTTTGTTTTTTGCAATGGTTGTTAGGCTGGTTCATTTGTTTTTGAAATAGCCGGCAACCTCAGCTGCAGACATCAATCTATGGTAAACATCAAGCAATTCAACTTTCTTGTAATGTCATGGCTTTCCTCTGCTTCTTGGGAGCACCCCCAGCACCACTAGTGGCACTTCATGTGGGTCTCATGGTGCTATTCAGGGTTTATGGTATGCACTGCACACAAAGAAAAATACACGAGAACCAGAAGAGATCACTTTTCACTGCAATATGCAGTGTATCATTAGAGACAAACTGCTCACAGGGAGATGATCAGCATCATATGGTGTTTAAGTGGATACTTGCAACAGGAGCTTGCCACAATAGCAACAAGAGGTGGCTATGAAATTATGACAGTAGTATGGTATCAGTACAGTGAATTCGATGCAGTTATGATTTAATACTGTATCTTCGTTTGTTTCCATTTATCTTGATTGAAAGGCACCATGTATGGTCTGTGTCCGTATGTGTAAGTTTTGATAAATTTTAACTTTTTAGAATAGATTTGTGTATATTTTATGGTAGTAAATGATAAAATAGACTCCTATCTACATATATTTTATGCATTCATGACATACCTAACTTTTCCTGAATTTTCTTGATATTTCTAGACCATGCTGCAAGCTTTTTTAAATTATCACAAATCTCCAAAAAATGTTTATTGAAAAAAATCCATGTAGAAGAGGACCTGTGCAGTTCAAACCCATGTTGTTCAAGGGTCACCTGTAGTTGCAAAGGTGATGGAAGAGCTGAAAACCTAAACGGGAGGGTAGAGCAACCCAGAAAGTAGAAACTGCTACTTCCCCAGGGCTAGAGGAACAAGGGAAGAGAGGGTATTATTAGGAGCCGAAGTTATGGAGGAGACTTGGCCACTGCTGGAGGCATCACCTGAAACAGAAAGGGCTGGAGAGAGAATATTCCTGGCTTCTCTCTTCTACCAAGCTCAATCTCCTGCCACTGCTTCCCATTGACTGAACTTGTCAGGAAGCCAGGGTGCAGGGGAGCCTGGGAAATGTAGTCCACAGAGGTCAGGGCCGTGCAACACAGCACAGCAGAGAAGGATGAGGGATGGATCTGAGGACAAACAGGAAAGTGACAGTCTCCACCGCCTGAGCTGTGTGATGGGGATGAGAAGGGCCCTGTGCCTACCTGAAGGCAGAAGATTGTCTCAGCTGACAGCTTTGCGTCTTTTCTGATTCCTACAGAAATGGAGAGCATGAGCAGCAAGGGAGAAGTCTTTGTCACCCTATCCCCAACAGGAGGGGACTGTGGGAGAATGATCTTAGGTGGGGAGATGACCTGTGGTCTGGGGAACCAGGATGGCTGGGTTCTTGAGAGGCCCTGCCAGCCAGAGCTGGAGATCAATCCCCGCATTAGCAAGAGCAAACATCCAGCACTGTGGGGAAGTCACTATAGTAGCTGCCATAGATGAAGCATCCACTGGTCCAGGAACTAACCTTCATGCTTTAGGTGGATTATTTCATGTAATCCTTTTTTATTTTATTTATTTATTTATTTATTTGAGATGGAGTCTCGCTGTTTCTCCCAGGCTGGAGTGCAGTGGCGCCATCTTGGCTCACTGCAAGCTCCTCCTCCCACGTTCACACCATTCTCCTGCCTCAGCCTGGCAAGTAGCTGGGACTACAGGCGCCCGCCACCATGCCCGGCTAATTTTTTGTATTTTTAGTAGAGACGGGGTTTCACCATGTTAGCCAGGATGGTCTCGATCTCCTGACCTCGTGATCCACCTGCCTTGGCCTCCCAAAGTGCTGGGATTACAGGTGTGAGCCACCATGCCTGGCCTCATGTAATCCTTTTGATAACCCTTTGAGATAAGCACCAAGGGTGTTCCATAAAACCTAAAAAAAATTATAGCCAAAAAAAAAAGATTGTTCCAGTACACATATAACTGAACAAAAAAGTCCTGAAACTGAAAAATGAAAAATCCCAGAAGGTCTGAGTGTAGTGTGGCTGCTTGAGGCCAAATTAGACCTTCTGGTCAACATGATTTCCTGTAAGTGAATAGATAAAAATAAGCTTCTGTATATGTTCTATGTATTGAATCATACAGTATCACTATATATGTTTTTTCATTCAATATTTCTTACAATCCAGCATTGTAAAAGTTTCACATGACATGACACTTTAGAGGAAGAAATGGAAAATCAGGCTGGATGTGGTGCCTCACACTTGTAATCCCAGCAATTTGGGAGGCCAAGGCCAGAGGATCTGTTGAGCCCAGGAGTTCAAGACCAGCCTGGGCAACATGGTGAAACCCCATTTCTACAAATAATAAAAAAAAATTATCCAAGCATGGTGGTGCATGCCTGTAGTCCCAACTACTCCAGAGGCTGAGGTGGGAGGGTCACTTGAGCCCAGGAAGTTGAGGATGTAATGAGCCGAGATCATGCCACTGCACTCCAGCCTGGGTGACAGAGTGAGACCCTGTTGAAAGAAAGAGAGAAAGAGAGAAAAGAAAGAAAGAAAAGAAAAAGAGAGAAAGAAAGAAAGAAAGAGAGAGAGAGGGAGACAGAGAGGGAGGGAGGGAGGGAGGGAGGGAGGGAGGGAGGGAGGGAGGGAGGGACAGAAAGAAATGGAAGATCAGAGAAGTGGAATAACCTCCTAGGATCACACAGCTTGTGAATGAGAGGCACTGAGTTGCTCAGTGATGGAGTGTCTAATGTTGGGTGTGTATGTACTGACTGTGTCCCAAGGCCAATTATAACTTGGGGAAGGCACCACTACCTCCCTGTCATACAATGGGTACATTGTCTGTCAATGGCACGTGGTTGTACACACCTCCAGGGGTAAACAATCAAAAGTCAGGAGCCTCTCCAGCTCTCCCTCATAAAAATACTGTATCCTCTAGGGAGTGGGGTTCTCTAGTCCAGCCCCATGTGATATGCAGTCCCAGTGGGGCCGGGAGATTTGCCCAAGGTCACACAGCTGGTTAGAGGGGAACCACACACCACCACGTCCTGCAGCTGCAAATCTGTTTCATGGCCTGCTTCCTCTCTTCTTCCCTAGAATGCCTTTTTTTTCTACCACAGAGTTTCTACAGTTCAAACCTGGAGGGCAGGTTGGGTTTTGTTTTGTTTTTCACACACTCCTTCACAGATTACAGGAGAGATTTTACTCTTGAACTGAAAGTAGAAAATTATTGTTAGCTTTAACACACAGCTCTTTCTCTCTTCCCCAACCCAGATACATTAGGATCCTCTTGTCCTATCAAAAAAAAAATAGTAATAATAATAATAATAATAATAATAATAATTCTATGGGGCAGAAAAGAGAAGAATTTGTGAGTTTCCCATTCCTGGCTGGACATTTCCCACAAATGGCAGTTAAGTCTTCATTGACTAATAGGAAAAGAGCAGCTCCAGCCGCATGACTTCACGGCACAGGCAAAGTCAAAGGCAAGGAGAGCTCACCTTAACTCTGGTGTATAGACACAGACTCCATGCCTCTTGTCCAACTCTTCCATCAGGGAGCCAGAACGTCCACATCTTCCAGGTTCCTGTAGGCTGTGTTTAGGGAGAGATGTAAGACTCTACTGGAACTTACGTGCTGGGAGGGCCAATGGTGCTGACACTTGGTCTTCTTGCTCTTGGCTGATGGATAGCAGGGAATATGAAGCTATCTATATCTCACTCAGATAGAGATGGACATTCCAGTCAAAAGCTAAGCTACTTCTGAATGCAAAGATGGTGTATCAGCTTTTGCTGCATAACAAACCACTCCAAAATGTAGTGGTTAAAATAACTATTGTTTATTTAGCTCATGAGTCCTCATATTAGCCATTTGGGTTGTGCTTAGCTGGGCTCATTCCTATGTCTTTGGTCAGCTGCTGGGTTTGCTGGGCCTGTCTGATCTGGGATGGCTCAGCTGAGACAGTATGCCTCTGCTCCACGTGGTCTCTCATCCTCAGCAGCATAGCCTGAGCTTTATGCACAGTAGCCTGGGCTTTATCCATGGTAACCAACAGGCTCCCAAGACAAGAGCAGCAGTACTCAGGGCCTCTTGAGGCCCAGGCTTGGAACTGTCATAAGGTGACTCCCAACATATTCCAATGGCTAAGTCAAGTCAAAAGGCCATCCCTGATTCAAGGACTGGAAATCAGCCCCAGAAGCTACAAAGTCACATTGGAAAGGGGCATAGATTTAGGGAGGGGGAAGGATTGTCACCATGTTTGCAAATGATCTTCCCCTATATCCATTTAAAATTCTTCTAGGAACAAAGTAGGGGTTTCAGGAAAAAAAAAAGTGTTGAATCAAATAATACACCCAAGTAAGAGTTTGTGGCACCAGCCTGTTGCACGCCTACTAAATGCAAGCCTTAAGCCTCTGCAGTGGGTAGACCCTAAGCAGTAGCAAGCTGGAGCCTGCTAGCACTGACTCATGAAAGCCAACTGTTAAATGCTCAGGAATTTTTTGAGCCAGTTGTTAAACCATCATAGCTTGAAACTGACCATGGTGGGAGCGTTTACACCATGGGAATTGGCTAGCACTACAAATCAGGGTGCTTTTTCTCCTGGAGAGCTGGTTTACCCACACACCATCCCCGTTAAGCTGAAGGAAATACTGTCTCTTCCAACTTGAGGAGTAAGACAGATACACAATGGAAGATTATCACATGCCAATCAGGCATGATGACTTCAATACAAGAAATAAACTGAGAGACTGGAGACAGCAGGGAAAGGAACTCATCATTTCTGATGTGTAGAAATTACATAAGGCATCATGGAGGAGGTGGTCTTTTCAGCTGGGCCTTGAAGGAAATACAGAGATAGCCACAGCCAGAGGGAAGGCTGCAGCCTGTGGAACAGCCAGGCACAGAAAGAGGTGCCTTTAGAGAGCAGGCAGCCAGCCTAGTGGAAGGGGCTTAGACTACAGGTGTTTTATTTAGTACCATTTTTGCTTCAAGTGACAGAAAATCCCAAACAACAATGACTTAAGCAAGTTGGTTTAATTCTCTCCCTGTAAGCGATTTTGGGAAATGATTGTGAATGATCAGTGCTCTGCAGGCACAGCGGCTCTGCCTCCGACCAGCCCTCACATCTCCTCTTGTCCCAGACTCTCCCAGAACAGGTGCATGGTCTTCTTGTCCTTCTCTCTCCTTCTTGGGTGCTGCAGGCCATCCGGCAGCCTGGGATCTGACATCCAGCTTCCCCACTCGCAGCTGTGTGAGCTCAGAAAGGTTGCCTAACATTTCTGAATCCTGGTTTCCAACTTGGTAAAATGGAGCAACGTAACTCACAGAGGGTTACAACAATGTGGGGTATAGTGTCTGTGCAGAACTTAGCATGGTGACCGACCCAGGGTGGGCACTCAGGGGAAGTAGGGTGTGTGTGTGTGCGTGCGTGCGTGCATGTGCGTGTGCGTGTGCGTGTGTGTGTGTGTGTGTGTGTGTGATGAAAGAGAGAGAGAGAGAGCCTCTCCAGGCCCTGGCCAGAGACCCCTTGGCCTCCTCCTGCCTGCTTGGAGAGGCAAGGTCTCTCTTTTTCCCAGGGTCGGGTGATGGAGCTGTTGGGGAGGGAGCCCTGGCAGCCTGGTCCTTGTGGAGTTTGGTTCTGCGTGGGCAGCTGTGTGAACCTTGACCGCTTCAGACCAGCTTCACTGGGGTAGCCACTTCAAAGGGCCCATGAGGATGCCTGCCCCAGTCCCCAGCCCATCCACCCTCACCCACAGCCCATGCCCCATGAGAGGGGACTGTGCCTGGAAAGGGCCTCTCTGGGAAATGATGTCTACCCCTCCAGGATCAAGGGGTAGGGCAGTCGGGTTGCAGCTGGGGAGGAGATGAAGGCAGGAAGTATGCTAGGTCAGTGACCCAGGCAAATATTTGGCAGATCAATGCTCAAGGTTGACCTCAAGTGTTTACCACTGGGTCACCAGGAAGTGGCTTCTTGCCACTTTCACCCACGCCTCCCCTCATGGCAGCCTTCAGGGATGAGGGCTTTTCTGGCTGTGGTCAGGGGCTCACCTGTCCACCTAGCCCCCTGGCCTAGAGCGCCCTGCCTTGCCCACCTAACTGGAGGTGGTCTTGGGACACATCATTTTTTCCTCAGAGTGAGTGGTCGTCAGAGGCCAGATCCCACCAGGACAGCCTCCTGCCCTGTGCTGAGTCCTCTCCTAGGGAAAGGCCAGCCCACTCGCTCTCCCCTAAACAACCGGGAGCACAGGTAACTCGCCTCTCTCCAACCGATGAGGACGTCCCGCGCCCAGGCTCCTGAGGGAGGGCGTGGGAGGAAGGTGCGAGCCAGACCCACATCCTCTCTGCTGCTGGAGGGGGCCCTTGCACCGGCTCAGAAAGGTGCGGAGCGTTGCCTGCAGCCGAGAGGGAAACAGCGCCTCTCCGAGCACTTTGTTCCACTTGCTGGAGGGCTAAAAATACACTGGCACAGCCAAAGGCAGTCCTTGAGAGCCCAGGGGAGTTGGCAGTGGGGAATAGCTATCCTAGCACCTGGCACTATTAAAGGAGCATCGCAGGATTAGCCAACCCCCTGGGCCCTGCCTGCGCCCGTCATCCCCACTCTGCACTCAGTTCACTCTTCCTGCAGCAGAGTCCGGGCTTCCCTGCACCCCTGCTCCACCCTGCCCACTCTTTCCCCAGGCTGGACCATCTGTATCCCTGGTTGGAGCCTGGGGCTGCCTACGTGACTGCGCTTTTGCAGATGTCAAAACAGCAGCTCTCCTGCAAAACGCCGAGAATGCTTCCAATTCCTCCAGGGAAGCTACAATTTGCCATAAAGCTGAAAATGAAAATCCTTTTAGTGGGCCACAACCCAGTTTGTGAATTTCTTAAATTCAAGAAATGTGCATTGACACCCTGCTTCTATAGGCCTTAATCTTTCCAGGACCTCAAGCCTCTGTGAGAGTCTGAAGAAAGACAGGGACTCAGAAAAACAAAATGCTCCTAAGCAGCAATTGCCAAGCAATTTTAGGGAACTGGATTTTAGGGAAATGGATACCATGAACCCCATCCACACATGCTCACACTCCGAGTTCAGAATGCTTGATTTGCTGGAAGCCAGGCACTGAGCTAGACCCTGAGATGGAGAGATGAGGAAGTGGGGGAACTGCCGGGCACGCAAATGCCACCAATGCCACGGGCATGGTTAAAGAGAGGTGAGAACCAGGCCCTCAGGGTTGCGGGGGCGGGGCAGGGGGGAAGATGAACCAGGGTGTAACTAGAATATGGAGAAAAGGGTGCATTTGAATGGGGCTTTGAAGGACAAACGCGATCTTACTGGGGAGAAAATGTAGGGTTAGAGAATTTGTGTACATAGAATTTGTGCTCCTAGCAGGGCATGAAAAAGAAAAAACTTGTTTGGAAGCAGGGCAGTCCTGAGGGTTTGCAGGGGATACGAAGGCTGAGTGGATTCATGCTCTGTTGCTGTGTAAGTCTACCACAAACTGAGAGGCTAGGCACAACACACACTTATTATCTCAGCTTCCGCGGGCCAGGGGTCCACCCAGTTAGGGTAGGTCCTCTGCTCAGGGGCTCTCCAGGCTGCACCAGGGGTCACAGGGACCTGGACAGGAAGGAATCTGCACCTGAGTTCATTCAGGATTTTAGCAGGATTCATCTCCTGTGACTCTAGAACTGAGAGCCCCACCTTCCTACCGGCTGGCGGCTGGAAGCTGCCCTCAGCTCCTAGAAGCCACCACAGTTCCCTGCTACGGGCCTTCTCCATGGGCACCTCCCAACACAGCTGCTGCCTTTTCAAGGCCGGCAGAATCTCTATAAAGTCTGCTAAGACCGAACCTTCTATCATATAAAGAGTGATAGCCCATATTCTTGCTTCTTGCTAGGAGCAAGTCACAGGTTTTACCTGCACTCAAGAGGTGGGGATTCTATGGGGCGTAACAGTGAAGAGTGGAGCTCACAGGGCCATTTCAAGTTCTGTCAGCTGAGGGAAGACTTCGCTGGAAAAGAGGCTTGGAGAGAGTTATGAATGCCCTTGCATGCCAGTTTGAAATGTACGGGAGACAGGGAGCCACAGAAAGGGGATGAGGAGGGAAGGATAGGATTAGAGGCCAAAAGTTCAAGGGGAAGGTAATTTCTTTTCTTCTCTTCTTTTTCTTTTTCTTTTTTTTTTTTGCCAGAGTCTTGCTCTGATGCCCAGGCTGGAGTGTAGTGGTGCGATCTTGGCTCACTGCAACCTCTGCCTCCTGGGTTCAAGCGATTCTCCCACCTCAGCTTCCTCAGTAGCTGTGATTGCTGGTGCACGCCGCCATGCCCAACTAATTTTTGTATTTTTAGCAGAGACGGGGTTTTGCCACGTTGGTCAGGCTGGTCTCAAACTCCTGACTTCAGATGATCTGCCTGCCTTGGCCTCCCAAAGTGCTGGGATTAAAGGCGTGAGCCACAGCGCCCAGCCTGAAGGTACTTTTTATGGTTGGGAGGGGAAAGGATGAGGAGCCAT
Source organism: Homo sapiens (assembly GCF_000001405.40). NCBI lineage: Eukaryota > Metazoa > Chordata > Mammalia > Primates > Hominidae > Homo > Homo sapiens. The sequence continues at coordinate 17,861,880 of NC_000020.11, forward strand.
GGGATGGTGAAGAAAGACCCAGTGTCTGCCTCGCTGACCTGCATTTCCTCTTGGTCTCTATGCAAGTGTCACCTGATCAGTAAGGCTCTCCCTGTCCACCTGACATAAAACAACCGCCCACCTCCTCTCTCAAGCCCTCACCCAGCCTTACTGTCTCACAGCTTACCAGCACGTGTCATACCATGTGTTTGCTTCTTTATCTGTTTATTGTCTTTCTGTCCCTTGTAGAATGGAAGGAGTTTGTTCGGCTGACTGCTATATCTCCAGCCACTAGAACAGTGCCTGGGGTATTGTACCTACTCAATCAATATTTGCTAACTAAATGAATGAATGAATGTATGTATTCAAAAGATCTTCTGGCAGTAGACTTGCTAGAATTTCCCATAATTAAAAGGTGGTAGAGGAAGAAGTAAGCCATTAGTGATGCTCTAAGCTTTCTGCCTTGACAGATTGGAAGGTGATGCTCAGTGACATGGGAAGAAATAGGTCACAGTGGGAAGCAGATCTGGATTGAACTTTGGTCTAGTGGACCTGAGACATCCAGGTAGCAGTCAGGTCAGGAGAGCAAGGAGGGTGTTAGAAATGTGAGATCCAGAGCTCATGGGGTAAGTAGGAGAGAAGGGAGTAGATTATGTAGTCAGTGCTAACAGGGAACAGATGAAGTCGTGGGGTTCAATGAGAGAGAGGAGAACCAAGGACACATGCTGGGAAAGAAGAAGCCAGTCTGCGAGGTAGGAGGAGACTCTGGGGTCCCCAAGAAAGAGTTCCAAGAAGGGAGGCAGGTCCTGTTCAAACTATGGAGAGGGCAAGCAAACAAGGTGAGATGTGAAAGGATTTGGTGATTAGAGGGTGACTAGTGACCACAGGGAGAGAATCTCAGAGAAGTGGAGGTTTCCAGGTCAATGAGAGGCTGAGAAAGAAGGAACACGAGGCAGTGGCAAGAACAGATTTTATGGTGAGAAAGGGAGGAAGGAAGGAGGGAGGGAAGAGGATGGATCCAGGAGTGGGAGAAGGAGATTCTGGGACGGACAGAAGTTGCTAGCCTAAATAAGCAGCTCAGCAAACTCACCCTGAGTATCCCCTCCCCTGCTGTGCCCCACCCTCCTGTCAGTGGGATGTGGGAGAAACAGAAGACAGACTTGAGCATACACTCAAGGACATCTGGGTCCATTGAACCTGCCCCAACCTTGGGCTTGTCCGAGCTACCAAGAAAAACTTACAAGGAGGTACTCAGTGGGAACTTAGGGGAGCCCTGGGGGCTACTCGGTTGCACATGGCAGATCCTGGTTCTCACTGTTGTTCAGGACTGGAACCCCTTACAGCCTGTGGCAGATGGCATTTTCTAAAAACAGCCACCACAGTATCTCCCATCCCACTTGCTCTTATACAAGTGACCTTGGCACACCCCTATCGAGGGGTAAAGTCAGTGTCCCTTCATCTTGAACCTGGGCAGGCTTCTGTGACCTCCTTGGCTGGTGGAGTCCACCATAAACCATGTCAGATAACCTCATCCTCACGGCTGGACAAGGCCACACAGCTTCTGCAGGTTTCTCTCTCTTGGCACATGTGCCTTCAAAGCCGTGAGCCATCATGTAATAAGTTATCCCAAAGCCACCACACACACAGGCCCATGTGGAGAGAAACTGAGGCCGCCAGCCCCAGCCCCTAGCCCCACCTGAGCTCCTAGAAAATCACATCCAGGCCACAGCACTCACGATGGCTACAATCTGCCTTGCTCTCTAGGGTTCCCCAAGGCCCAGCTCCCCGTCCCTGCTGTGTGCTCCCTGGGAAGGCTAGCTTCACCGCCCCCCCATACACCTGCCTGGGCCCAGCAGGGATTAACAAACAGGCCCTGGGTACAGCGCCTCCTGAGCAGGACTTAACAGTGTCTGCACAGGTCACCTGCCCAGCTCCCAGCTCCCCACCCACCCCACTCCAGAAAAATGGAAAATCCAGGGACCATCCCAGGCCCAGCTGCGCTCCAGGAAGAAACCAGGCATGCTGCCAAGAATGACACAAAATGGACTTTGGGCCGATTGCCCAAGCTGGACTACTGCCCCCACCTTCTTAGGAAGGGCACTCTTTCCGGAACCAAGGCCATAGCCTGGAACAAAACCAGATGTCTGTAGAGCAGGACATGCCAGGTGGGAGGGGTTGCCGGGGTGTAGGAGGCACATACTTGATGCCTCTCGCACCCTATCAGCCCAGGCAGGCAGGGTGCGGGGAGGGAAGGAGACCCCATGTGTAAGGACTATCATCATTCTATTACTGCAGGCAGCTGACTGCTTCTGGAGGTGGACCTCTGAGGCCTCTGGCATTCAGCCCCCTCATCCCTGCCTTCAGCAATGGGGACAAATCGAGGTTGGGGGGCACAACAAGCTATGCTCTCTGAAAGCAAAACAGATAAGTACAAATCAGGAAAGAATTGTTTCCTATCCTGTATTTGTGTTAGGATACATGTAATCTGTGGCTGGGCACAGTGGCTCCTGCCTGTAATCCCAGCACGTTGGGAGGCCGAGGTGGGCGGATCACCTGAGGGTCGGAAGTTGGAGACCAGCCTTACCAACATGGAGAAACCCTGTCTACTAAAAATACAAAATTAGCCATGCCTGGTGGCACATGCCTGTAATCCCAGCTACTCGGGAAGCTGAGGCAGGAGAATTGCTTGAACCCGGGAGGCGGAGGTTGTGGTGAGCCGAGATCACACCATTGCACTCCAGCCTAGGCAACAAGAGCAAAACTCCAAAGAAAAAAAAGGATACACGTAATCTGTACCTCTGGAGCATTTAAAGTAAGACCTGCTTTATTGTCTTATTCTCAAGTTATCTTAATAGATATTTCTTGAGCACCTATAATGTGCCAAGCACCATAGATATATTTTCATAAATACATATGTGCATGAATATGCAAAGGATGTCTCTAGAATAGTGGTTCTCAACCAGGGCTGCCAGGGAATGATTGTCAATGTCTGGAGGCATTTTTAGCTGTCACAACGAGGAAGGTGCTACAAAAATCGAGTGGGGAGAGACCAGGGATGCTACAAAACATCCTGCAATACACAGGACAGCCCCTGCAATACAGCAACAACTTCTCTGGTCCAAAGTGTCATTCGTACTGAGATTGAGAAACTCTAAAAGGATACACAAGAAACGTGTTCACAGTGAACACCCCCATTGCAGGGACTAGGGGGCCAGTGTGCATGGGTATGCAAAATCATTAGTTTTCCTTGTGTGCCCTTGTGAGGAAGGGCATTTTGTAGAGTCTCTTATGAAGTGCATGTATTACTTGTTTTTAGAAAAGAATAACTGTGACTTGACTGAGCCATAATTATTTAGTGGTCTTCTCTTGATTGCTGGGGGAAGGAATTTAAAGAGGAGGAAAAGCAAGGGCCTGCCACAGTACCTGGGACCCACAGTCCTGAATCCACCTAGTCTTCCTCTAGACCAGAGTGTTCCCACCTGGCACCAGCGCATGGTGACCCAGTCTGTTCTTTCCTGCAGGGACCATCCTATACATTGGAGGATGTTCAGCAGCATCCTGGCCTCTCCCTCCCCAGATGCCAGTGGCAATCTCTTCCCCATTTCGACAACCCAAAATATCTCCAGAGATTTCCGATGTCCTATGGGGAGCAAAAACATCCCTGGTTGGGAACCACTGTGCTAGATTTACTCTGTGAAAATCTAAACACAAAGAAGTCCCCACTCACTGACCTCAGGGACCTATGGCTCAGCTGGATCCTCAAGGAGACACTGACCCGCAGACAGGCCATGCCCTGGGCCAAAGGACTAAGGACACGGAGACAGCAGACACTGCATGGAGCCAAGGGTAGGGAAGAATGTCTCCTGCAGGAAATGTTGCCCACTGATTACTGATCATAGAGAGGGGCCTCTTGGCCTCCCCTAAAACATCTGCCCATTTCTTTTTTTTTTTTTTTTTTTTTTTGAGACAGAGTCTCACTCTGTCGCCCAGGCTGGAGTACAGTGCAGTGGCACAGTCTCGGCTTACTGCAAGCTCCACCTCCTGGGTTCACGCCAGTCTCCTGTCTCAGCCTCCTGAGTAGCTGGGACTACAGACGCCCACCACCATGCCAAGCTAATTTTTTGTATTTTTAGTAGAGACGGGGTTTCACCGTGTTAGCCAGGATGGTCTCAATCTCCTGACCTTGTGATCAGCCTGCCTCGGCCTCCCAAAGTGCTGGGATTACAGGCGTGAGCCACCGCGCCTGGCCAACATCTGCCCATTTCACAGAGAAGGAGGTGGAGCAGAGGAGTGATAGGGCCTCAGTCACAGAGTGAATGATGGCTAGGAGAAGCTGGGACGGCTCTATTCCCTGTAGCATCCCAACACGTCCTGGGAGACTTTCCTTGTTCTTTATCCACTCCCTGACTCCATGGACACCCCCAAGTCTCCTGGTGCCTGCTTCTTGAAAGGGGGTCACCTAAGATGGCTCATGACTAGCGTCGTGTATTTTCTGCATTTACCCTGTATTTCTAGATAAACAATCACTCCGCTGTTCCCAAACACCGCAGTGGCTGCACACTGAGGTGTCTCCTAGGGGCTGGAGGATCACATCCGCAGCTGCACACCACAGGCCCAGGAAATGTCCACCACCATTAGGCTGTGCCACCTTCTGCAGCTACAGGCAGCTGAGACCCAGGGAAACCCAGTTTACAAAACTCTCTGACATCTACATAAGTGAGAGTGGCAGGGAGAAATAGCATGAGAACTAAAACCCACCTTGTTTCAACTCCTTAAGGAAGGCAGCTCAGGGCGAGTCCAGCCTTGGGCAATGAAGTCAGCCAAGACATTCCTTCCACCAGGTTAGAAAAAGTCAGATATCAAAGAACCTAGGCTTTAAAGCCAAACTGCCTGGGATTGTAACCCCATTCTGTGACTTCCTGGCTGTGTGATCTCAGACAAGTTACTCAACCTCTCTGACCTCTCTGAGCTGAGTAGCTGCATCTATACGACAGAGATGATAACACTGACCACTCTATAGTATCATCAGTCAGCTGAGATAATACAAGTGAAGTTCTTAGCACAGAGACCAGCACATTGTAACTACATGTTACATGATTCCTGCTATTATTTTATTATTAAGCATAAATATAATAACAACTACCTTACTGTGGTTCATGAGCTGGTATGTGGGGCCCCATAGAAATTTTCACAAATAAAGTCCAGTTTGGAGGCAACAGGGCTGGAAAACTATGAAATATCTGATCGTTTATATAACATCCCTCCTCCCACCATCCCATATTGAAAATATAAAAGGATCTTTTAAAAACAAATTTTAGTGGATCTTTTAAAAACAAATTTTACCCCATCTGAACAGCTAAGACCTGACTGCCCTGTTCTTGGTTTCAGCTGTTTTCCAGCTGCAGTGTTTTTCTCGTTGATCAGAGAGAAATCCCCAAGGTCTGGCAAAGGAAGCCTTTAATTGCTCTGGATGGACCGATTTTTGGCTTAGCTGCTCAAGCATATAATTGAATGAGAGGGAAAGAGAATATCACTTTGAGATTGCTTTGAGATGAATATACAGTCAGACATCCCCGCTCCTGACCAGATCTCAAAGATTCTCCTAGCCTGACTCCCACAAGCTCTGCGGACAGAGAACACGAAGCGTTCACTTCATTTTCCTGAACTTTATCAAAATAATAACAAGAGTGATCATAACAATCGTTGTCCTTTATCATATGTGCTTGTAGGTTGGAATTCCCCAAAAGTGAACTCTGAGACAAGGATTTGAGTCCATTGACTTTCTTTGGAGGGAATCCTGGAAGCACAAGGAAGAAAGACAGAGAATGGAAGACAGCCAGGGAAGCAAGTTATGGCTGGGGCCGCTGGAGCTCAAGCCCCCTGGGGACTCTGGGAGCCAGTGCAGCGCGCACACTTCAGCATCATCTCATCCAGGGATGAGGGCACTGGGGAATTTATGCCCCAGATCCCATCAGCCATTGGTTGAGGGCTGTTCCAAGGCTGTATTAATTCCCTGGCACTTCCAGCCATCCCCACTGCAGGCAGCCCAAAGAACAGGAACCTGGGGCAAAAGAGCCACAAGTCAGGCCTTCTGCAAAGGCACCAGCAGCATCCCTCCAGCACCCAAATATGACACAACCCCAAAATATGATCATTGCCCACTTCTCCACTCAAAAGACCCAGAGGATTTGTGACCTAATTGAATATATAATCTTTTTATAAGTAGATAAAAGAGTTAAATATCTATAACATTTAATTTACCCTACATGCTTATAATCACATATTATATGTTAATGATATATTAATTTAGAAAAGTTGCTATCTCTGCCCTCATTCCATGACTCAGTTTTATTCCAGCTCTTCCAATTCATCATTGCTCTCATGGTCTTTGTCATCATCAAAGCCACCTTTTGAATCATCTTAGTTTCCCAAGCACATCTTCTTTCCTCCCCTCTGGGTTCTTGGCGATACAGCATTTTTGGAATCTGTAGGATGCTTTCACTGAAATTTTTATCCCAAGCCTTGAGCACCTATTTGCATAACATTAGGGCAGCTGGCTGTTCCATTCATCTCAGAGGTGCCAATGCGTGCTCTCCATAATGTAACCACGGATGGTATGGCTTTCTTAAGTGTCCTTAAAAGACTCGCTCACTCTCATAGTGCAACACTGTGATGCCACACCCTTGGAAATTTGTTCCAAATCTGGGTTACATTTCCTAGCTTCCTTTTTAGCAATTCCTTCAAGATAACCTTAGTAAATAGCCAAAAAAAAAAAACCACCGATCAAGGTTGTTTCAGATAACATCTCGCCTAAACAGCACTTGGTTGTTTAAAGTAAAATAGTTGGGAGCACCCCACAACATGAAAGACTGTGTGAGTCTTTCTTGAAAATAGAAAGTCTCATTCCAGAGATCATCTGGGGAGCGGGGAGCTTTGGTGAGTATCCAATCCTGATAGTGGTTTTGACAGTCACATGCATAAACCCATCTTAATCTTCACAACCACCCCAGGAGGTGGGTTCTATCATTATTCCCATTTAACAGATGGAGAAATTGAGGCTTGAGTGGCTGAATAAGCAGTGGTGGGTGTTACTTGGGGATATGCACACCTTCCCCCACCATGCCGCCACCCCTGATGGGGGAGAGCTGTGCCCATGGGCGTAGCTGGTAGACTCCTGGGCCAACCAGCAAACCCTAAGGAACAAAAAGCCCCAGCTGGCCCGCAGCCATGGTGAGGTCCTCACTCAGTTCCCTCCACTTTCCTGAGTGAGGAAAGAAAAGGGCAACTTCCACCCTTCCTGCTGAAAACCTCTGCAAGAAAATGCAAAGAAAATTCCCCTCTAAGGGATCTGGAGCTGCTTCCAAAACCCACACCCAAGACCATTTCAAATAGGAAAGCAAAAGTGTGCAAGAGTTTTTAAAACAAGACAAAGTGGAAAAATCTTGACTCCCCCTTTCTTGTCTGTCTTGCTAATCAGTCCATGACACTTTGGGTATTTACTGATTAACAAAACTGAAGAATTGGCGAGGGCTGTGAGGGAGAGGATTCAGCCTGGTATCATAGGGAGACTGTGGGCTTTGGTAGCTGGCAGGACTGAGCTCACTGCCTTCGGGCACTCTCAGCCTCAGTTTCACCATCTGTAAGATGGGTAATAATCCCTACCTCGCACTGCAGTGATGGTGATGAAGATTAAGTAGAATGCAGCAGTCAACATAAGTCAGAAATCGGTAGTGTCAATCCCATCCTGCACCATCCCTCCTTTCCTCTTCTGTTTCCAGACAGGTTATAGGAGTAGGGGTGCTGCAATGGGACAGACTGGGTCCCTCTGGAGTTGGGAACGAGAGTTACCATAACGAGGAGTGGAGACCTGGACGCCTGGCTTCCTGCTCTTGCCTTTCTCAGGCACCTCTTCCCACTGGGAGAAGACCACGCGACCTGTCTGCCAGAAAGCCCTCCACCCCACCCCAGACCACCCCAGTCCTGCCTGTGGCCACACCCGTGTGTGGGACCCTCGTCTCCCCAAGGTGAGGTGAGTGGATGGAAGCCCCATAGCTGCAGCTGCACCCCTGCCTTCCAGAAACCAGGTATGGGAGCTAAAGTGGAGGAAACCGAGAGGGAGAAGACAGGTCAACAGCCCCAGCAAAGAGAAGACGGGGTGTTCTCCCCGAAAGGGCCCCTGAGGGGCACACGCTGGAGGCATGGCTGCTGAAGCCCCAGACCAAGCCGAGGGCATCCTGGGTTACACTGGTGGGTCTCAGAGCTGCTGGAAGGCTGCTCCTGGCCTCGCGCTCCCATCTCCTCACAGCTGCGAACTGTGAAGGGTTCTCAAAAGCAGGGTTTCAATTTTGCAAACAGATCTTCAGAAAAGTGTGCCTCCCAGCTTCCCACGGCCAGCCACGTCGGCAAAACATACCTCGGGAGAGGAGTCCGCTGCCAAGGAGGCTGGGAAACAGCCCGGAAGCCCAATGCGCCTCGGGAGGCTCTGTTTCCAATCAGCTGGTGGCCGTTCCCCCCAACTCGTTACCATAACCAGATTTGGGGTAAGTGAGCATGCCCCATTTCATGAACAGTTGTCAGAGAATCCCCAAATCCTACTCTCTGACAGGCCACACAGACCCCCCAGCGCAGGCAGCCCGGTGTCCTCAGGAGAAAAATGAGAGACTTGCTCAAGGCAGCTTCTCTGACCTCATCCAGCTCAGACGTTCTCTGATTTCGTATTTTCCCTGGACTTCCTTTAGAATAATTCCACAGGGTCTAGTACACTAGCCCCCTTAGTAATCCCTCATTATGTAAAAAAGAGAAAAGAGGAATATGTGAACTTTCTAGATATAGCACTCACACAACTCACAATTTAAAAAAATTTAGCAACAGGGTCTTGCTCTGTCACCCAGGCTGGAGTGCAGTGGTGCAGTCATAGCTCACGGCAGCCTCAAACTCCTGAGTTCAAGTGATCCTTCCACCTCAGCCTCCTGAGTAACTGGGAATACAGGTGTGCACCACCACAGCTGGCTAATTTCTTAGGTATTATTATTTTTTTGTAGAGACAGAGTCCAGGCTGGTCTTGAACTACTGGCCTCAAGCAATCCTTCCACCGTGGCCTCCCAAAGTGCTGGGATAACAGGTGTGAGCCACTACACCCCGCCCAGAGTGCACAATTTAGTTGTCAAGGAAAGATGGGTAGACAGTTGTTTTTTGGCAGCCCCCTTTCCCCTTTCTATTGCCTACTCCCCAAAACACTGACGGATACAGGGTGCCAAGCCATTATATTTTCTAATTCAAGAGTTAAATAACATTAAAGAATAATTTTTGGAAAAAAGACAAAATTATGACTCTCATTAAAATATAAAGATTTTATTTAACTCATTAATTAATGGGAAGTAGTTAAGATGTTCTAACTGGTTAAAAGGAGAATTCCAAGAACCACACACATGTAAGTCAACAGGAGGCTGAAATGAACTTGCAGAGGAAGTTTATCCACAGGGCAACCATCGAGTACATTCCCCGGGACACAAGGAATTTGCATTTCTATGAACTCAAGTCATTTGCACTATTATCAGTTCTCTGTGACTTATAGAGTTGTAAATGGCTCAAAGGCAATGGAAGGCAGTGATAAACTGGAAGAGTGCTCTAGGCTGGACATTCAGTGACATTTGCTCTTTTTTGTCCATTTGAAAGTCTTTTACTAATTTTTCCTGATGGTAATATAGGAGACCAAATGGTGGAAGAGTCAATAAAGGCTACACTTAGAGGACACTGATCCCTCCAGATTGGAATCCTGTGGAAAATTCTTGGAGGAGACAGAAGTTGAGCTTAATTTTGAGGGCTGGTGAAGATTTGGAGGCTGGGAGGGAGCCTCCAAATTATTCTTTAATGTTATTTAACTCTTGAATTAGGTATCACACCTGTAATACCACCACTTTGGGAGGCTGAGGAGGGAGGATCGCTTGAGCCCAGGCATTCTAGACCAGTCTGGGAAACATGGTGAGAGCTCGTCTCTACAAAAAAATATTTTTTTTTAATTAGTTGGGCATGGTGTGCACCTGTGGTCCCAGCTATTCTGGAGACTGAAGTGGGAGGATCGCCTGAGCCCAGGAGGTCAAGGTGGCAGTGAGCCATGATCATGCCACTGTACTCCAGCCTGAGCAACAGAGCAAGAAACTTTCTCAAGAAAAAAAAAAAAAATGATATGAAGAGGAGCACATCTGGCTACAGAGGCTACAGAGGCGAGTGTGGGCGGAAGTTTGGAGGGAGGAAGGAACCAGGCGTGTTCTGCTGGCAGGGTGCACTTTTCTGCCCAGAAAAGTGGGTTTGTGAAGGAAGCAGGTGACAAGGTTGGAAATGTAACTTGGGACATCCTTGTGGCTTTTTACTGTGGCTCTCAGCTTCTTAACAGTCCTGGAGAAAGAGAGGTAAGAGGATAAATAAAGATGGTGTAAATGGTGTGAAGATAGTTATCTGAAAAGGCTGCTGGGAGGTGCTGGTCTTTTGTTCTGTTCATAGGAGACAATTTTGCGTGCCTACCTTTTTTGGGAGTGTGATCCCCCTTCTTGCTGATGAGGAAGAAGCAAACTATCAGGTTTGAGACAGATAGCCCCCCCACTTATGAGAGGGCGACAGAATTTGAACTCAAAAAGACCCAACCACAGTCAGGTAGTATTGACCCGGGTGTGGTATTGACCTGGAAGTGGTATTGACCCGGAAGTGGTAAGAACATATAAAACTGGAGCCCTGGTTGTTACCACGGCAACCCGTAGTCTGTTGCATGCTGAGTTTGGGGGAGCAGAAGAGTCTCGCGGGGATAGTCAGTGCGCAGGGAGACTAGCACAGGCCGGCAGAGAAGTGACCCAGCCCCGGATTGCCTGGTAACCTTCCGTTCCCAGGAGGCTGCTGTGAGGCTCCTCTGGTAATCAGTTCCCTGAGTCCAGGGTTTCCTAATAGGAGCCCGTCTCCCTCCGGTTCACTTGAAGGGCTCTCTGCTTCTTTCCCTCAAACAGGCTTCATGGAGTATAATGGACCCACAGCCATCTCCTTCCCCAACACCAACTCTGCCTGCATTTTAGGCCAGGTTTGTAGGAGAGTTGAATGAAGATTGAATGAATGAATGATGAAAAGTACAAAATGCCATCACTTCACTTCTTTCAGGAAGACCCAGGACACTCTGCTGCATCCTCCACCTGTTTGTGAATTAAATGTCCATGATGGCTTTTACTAAGCACTTACTATGTGCCAGGCACTGTGCTGAGCTCTGCACCTTTAAGAGGCAGCAAGTCGTGACTGGTTCAGAGCTGGCTCAGAGCTGCCTGAGTTGGAAGCCTCGGATAGGAAAATGGAAGCTTAAAGAGGTTAAGCCCTGGCCAAGCACAGTAGCTCGTGCCTGTAATTCCAGCACTTTGGGAGGCCAAGGCGGGAGGATCACGTGGGCCCAGAAGTTCAAGACTAGCCTGGATAACAAAGTGAAACCTCATTTCTACAAAAAATTTAAAAATTAGCCAGGTGTGGTGGCACACGCCTATAATCCCAGCTACTCCGGAGGCTGAAGCTGGAATATCGCCTGAGCCCACAAGTTCAAGGCTGCAGTGAACTATGATCATGCCACTGCGCTCCAGCCTGAGTGACAGAGCAAGACCCTGTCACTAAAAAAGTTGGGGAGGGGGGTCAAGCCCTCTGCTGAGCTAGTAATAGTGGGACTGAGGTTCAAGCCCATGGCTGATTCCAGATCCTGTTTACAGAGCCGTTATGTGACGTAACTAAAGTGTTGATTATGCATCGACTAGGCACACCATGCAAGGTGCTGCGGATGCTGCTGTCACCAACACACCCAGTCCTGGCCCACAGGGGGCTGCCACCCCAGCCCCCAGTGCTCTCCCTGGATCCTGAATCCTAGCTATCCCTTCAGAGCCACCCCTCTGGCTTCCAAGCACCTGCACTACCCACTCCCACCCCTCCCTGGAAGGGATGGCGCAGCCTGGGAGCCAGCTGCTCTGGGGGGCTCAGACCTGTGGGCTGGATTGTCCATGTGTCAGGGAAGGAAAGGGAAGCCCATGGCAGGAGGGACACCCTCTTATGGGTGGTAGCAACTCCATGGAGCCCAGGCTGCATCGTTCACTGAGGCTGCTAATGTTTGAACCTATCTTTGAATAAGATCCACCCTCTTGCACTGGCAAGTCCAAGCTGTAGTAAACCCTGAGGGAGACCCACAGTCCAGCTGCAAGGCCCTGCCCCACTCTTGGCCGCTGGCAGAAGCTCCAGGCTTGCCGAGGGGTGCCACGTAGCAGAGGCAGTCTCCGCCTCTAGCCCATCCCACTCCTTCATCTGCTTCTCGTTAGCTTCAAAAGTAAGGCCTGGCGCTGTGCCCTGGGCAGGAGGGAGAGCTTGGTGTGGCCGCTCAGAGCTTCACCTCCCTTGCCTGGGGTTTCTCTTCTCCTGCCCCATCCATCGTCAGCACAGCTGACTGCTTCTGGGGCTCCTCTGTCTACCTTCCCCACGTTCCAGCACCCCCCTTCCCCTGCCCCTCTGTAGCAACCGCCTCCCTGCAAAGCCCCACCCACCCACACACTCATACACACACCCCTCTCACTCCCCTGGCACTCAGTCCCTCCAAGCTTCCTTCCTTATCCCTTTAGAGCCCTGCAGCCCTCAGGCAGTGTAGCCCAGAGGTTCAAGGGCATTCGCTCTGGTATCAGAAGGGTCTGGGTTCAAATCCCTTGTGCACTGCTTGCTGGCTGTGTGACTTTGGGCAAGTTGCCTAATCTCTCTGGTCCTCAGTTTTTGCATCTGTAAAATGGGGATGATATTAACAGTACCTACTTCATAGGGTTATCTTGAGGATTAAATAAAATAGTACAAGTAAAGGTCCCAGCATAAAATCAGGGCTGATCCACCTTAGGTATAAAAAGGATAAATTAGGACTTGGAATCTTACTCTTCCTAAGGAGACCTGCAGTTGGCTAAAGGAGGACCTGCCTTCAGGGACAGAAATTCAGGTTTTGTTTTAGAATAGGCCTGAGGGAGTAGGAAGCTGGAGGAACCTGTCTCTATATTCTGGATACCTCAAAGACAGTTAAATTCTGCCGTGGTGAGCATTTATTGAGCACTATCTGTGTGCCAGGCACTGTGTGGGGAAACCACAATCCCTGCAGATCAAGGAGCTCAGATTCTAGTGCCAGAAAAAAATGTAAAGAGAAAGGGCCACCATGCCACCCACTGAAGACGGCAAGGGAAGAGGCCAGAAAGTGCTACGAACAAGGAGGAAACAGCTCCAAGTTGTTGGGCAGTCGGGCGCTGGGTCTCAAAGGAGGGCCACTTGCATGGACAGAAGGTACCCCTCTTACTGAGCACTGGGGGCCTGGTGGGTCCCCTGTGCTCTCCAGGAGAAGCAGGCAGAATTCCTAAGCCCCGTTAGGCCAATGAGGAAGTTGAGGCACCGAGAGTAAGGGGCATCTGCTTCCCCACCAGCTGACTTCTATTCTAGAAAGGAATGTTCTGCACAACCCCAAACCGTCAGCTCTTTCTGCTTGCAAACTTGGCAGGAGTTTGCAGGGAACACAAAGAAGAGAGGGGGAGGAGCAAGGTGGATCAGCCGGGCTGGCTTGCCCAGGGCCTGGCACAGAGGATGGACTTTGTCCCACGTGGGTGAGGGGCGTTCACACACAGGCGTCCACACCCCCACGTTGCTCCACCAGGCAGAAGGCCAGATTTTGTCCTTGTAATTCCCAGAACTGCCCTGAAACAGGACTGCTCACTACTGTGCATGGTTTAAAATGCAGTGGGGGGTTTTGGGGAGTTTTTTCGTTTGTTTTGATACGGGGTCTCACTCTGTCACCCAGGCTGGAGTACAGTGGCATGATCATGGCTCACCACAGCCTCAACCTCCCGGGCTCAGGTGATCCTCCCATCTCAGCATCCCGAGTAGCTGAGACTATAGGCACTTGCCACCATGCCAGGCTGATTTTTTCCATGTTTTTTGTAAAGACAGGGTTTTACCATATTGCCCAGGCTGATCCACCCACCTTAGCCTCCCAAAGTTCTGAGATTACAGGCATGAACCACGGTACCTGGCCAAACATGCAGTAGTTTTAAAAGAAGCCTGCTCAGGGAGAGGAGAAATGAGTCCTGTCAGATCTGCTCCCCCTGGAGAATGGCTTCCTCACCAGCCCAGCCCCTGTCTGTGCCCAGGGGGAAGCAGGCATGAGGAGGACCAAGGGGGCACTGCCATGTACTGGCCCCGAGTAAGCCAGGCAGGCCCTCTGCTGGGATCCTCACAGATGTCAGTCTCCTCGATCCTTAAAATCAGAGCTCTGGAGTCAGTCTCTTGACAGCAAGCCAAGTGGAACGCCTGTGTCTGAGCAGTAGGGCAGAGACCCCGCTCTGCCTGAGCAGCGGAGACATCTCAGATCTCGCGGTTGCAGAGGATCTGCTTCCCCCTCAGATGCCTGCAGGGGGAAAGAAGCGGAGGCAGGGGGAAAGAAGCGGAGGCAGGGGGTTGTCCTGGCTCACTCTGAGCCCGCCTGGCCTGGGTAGCAGGAACAGGAACTCCATAGTGGGGACGAGGTTAGAGAGGAGGTGCTAGCCGGCTGCAGCCCCTCACAGGCAGGGCAGCCAGTTACATCTGAATTACAGATAAACCAGAAATACTTGTAGTTTAAGCATGGCCCAAGGACTAGGGCAGTGGCAGTGGGGGTAAAGAAGGGGAGAGGTTTAAGATTGTATTTGAAGGAACTGAAATCAGGATCTTGAAGAGATGATATCTGCGCACCCAGGTTCATTGCGGTGTTACTCACAAATGGCCAAGATCTGGAAACAACCTAAATGTCCGTCAGTGGAAAAATGGATAAAGAAATTGTAGTATACACCTATGAGGGAATATTATTCGACATTTAAAAAGAAGGAAATCCAGGGCCAGGGTGGTTGGTCACACCTGTAATCCCAGCACTTTGGGAGGCCAAGGCAGGAGAATCAATCACTTGAAACCAGAAGTTTGAGACCAGCCTGGGCAACAAAGCAAGATCCTGTCTCTACAAAAAATTTAAAAATTAGCCGGGTATCATGGCGCATGCCTGTAGTTTGAACTGCTCAAGAGGATGAGGCAGGAGGATCACTTGAGCCCAGGAGCTGGAGGCTGCCCTGAGCTATGACAGCACTGTTGCATTCCAGCCTGGGCAACAGAGCGAGACCCGGTATCTAAAAAAGAGAAAGAAAGAAGAAAGGAGGGAAGGAAGGAAGGGAGAGAGGGATCAATCCTGCCATTTGTGACAACATGGATGGACCTGGAGGACATGATGAGATCCTGAAGTAACTCAGACAGAGAAAATCAAATACTGCTCTTTCTCTCTTATACATGGAACGGAAAACAGCCAAACTCATAGAAGCAGAAAGTAGAATGATGATTGCCAGGGACTGGGAAGAGGGGGAAACAGAGTGATGTTGGTCAAAGGGTACAATGTCTCAGTTACGCAGGATGAATACATTCTGGAGATCTACTGTACAACTAGGGCCTGTGATTAACAATACTGTACTGTACACTTACACATTTGCTAACAGAGTAGATCTCATGTTTAGTCCTCTTACCACATAAGGAAATGAAAAAGAAACAGAGGAGACGGAAGGACACTTAGAGTGATGGATAAGTTTATGGCCTTGATGAATGTTTTCGCAGGTGTGTACATATCTCCATCCATCAAGTTGTATACATTAAATATCTACAGGCTGGGCGTGGTGGCTCATGCCTGTAATCCCAGCACTTTGGGAGGCCATGGCGGGTGGATCACTTGAGGTCAGGAGTTTGAGACCACCTGGGCAACATGGTAAAACCCCATCTCTACTAAAAATGCAAAAATTAGCCAGGCATGGTGGCTCATGCCTGTAATCCCAGCTACTCGGGAGGCTGAGGTATGAGAATCATTTGAACCTGGGAGGTGGAGGTTGCAGCAAGCCGAGATCACACCACTGCACTCCAGCCTGGGAGACAGAGCAAAGTTCCGTCTCAAAACAAACAAAAAAAAAACCTACAGCTTTTTGTGTGTCAATCATACCTCCACACTATGGTTTAAAAAAAGCATGTGATTTGGAGATGGATGCTCTGTGGATTGGTAATAAGTTAGATGTAGGAGACAAGGACATGGGAGAAATCAAGAACAACCCCCAGGCTTCAGGCTTGAGCTACCTCTGGGTTCATGGGACCACTTACTGGGGATGGGAGGGCAGGGCAGGATCAGACTAGAGAGGGGAACCAAGGCTTCTGTTTCTGGTGCTGTTAAATTTGGGAGGATTATTTGAGCCTGAAGTGGAGATTATGGTTATCCAAGCCTGGAGATTCCGGAATTAAGGGAAGGTCTGGCTGTGGCGTTACCAGCACCTGGGTGGAATTTAAAGCCATGGTTCTGGATGCAACCTTGTAGGAAGTGAGAGTTCAGAGAGCAGAGACAACTGTCCAGAGCTAGACCTTGAAGACTCCTCAACGCTGAAGGTCACCGAGAGGAGGGACAGCCAAGGAAACTGAGTCGCAGCAGCCGTGGAGGCAGGCGGGTGAGCACAGAGGGCAACAGAGGGGAGGTTTCTCTGAGCAGCGGGGGTGGCCGCGTTGGATGTTACTAGGAGGACTGATAAGATGGGAAGGGGCAGCCAAAGCCAGCCTGCAGTGAATTGAAGGGGGAACATGAGGAGAGGAAGCCGAGGCAGCCAACGTACCCACCACCGTCAGGAAGCCCTGCAGTGCTGGCTGGGGCAGGGGGCAGATTGAGTAGAGGCCACCGGAGGGCCAGTAAGATTGGGCAGGTCTTCATCGGTGACCTTTGGATGGGTTCCCTGCCTGGAAACATAGAGACAAATCCTGACTGCCCTTGAATTGGCAGTGGGACCTCAGGCAAATTGAGTTGAGTGAGAGATAGTATATAAGGGTGTTTTAATGTGTGCTGAGTGATACAGAGTGGGAGGGATGAACACCCCATGGTAGGTACATGCACACAGGGGGACCCCGCTCAGCAACAGCAGGGGACAAGCTACTGAAACCCACAGCAACGAGGACAGATTTCAGAATCGCTACAGGGAGGGAAAGAAGCCAGAATTCAGAAGGGCACCTGCAGTACAAATCATTTCTAAGAAGTTTTAGAACAGGAAACACTCATCTATAATGAAATAAAAACCTGAACAGGGGTTGCCGCAGGGGGCAGTGTGGGGGTGGCCTGACTGGCAAGGGACACGAAGGAACCTTCTGAGGGGACGGGAACATCCTTCCCTTGGGAGGAGTCTGATTTAACAGATGTCTGCATTTGTCACAATCCAGCAAATGGTGCACTTAAGATTGGAACATTTCACTCTATGTAAATTTTACCTAAAATGAACTATAAAGGCATTCCTGAATGCTACTTAATGATATACATGTGGAGACCTTTGGGAGTGAAGTGTACTGAGGTTTGTGGCTCCCCTTGAAAGGTGGAAAACAATAAGATGAAGTAATGGGTAGATGCAGAGCTGTGTGATGAAGAGATACAGTAAAATGCCATCTAGGGGGTACATATGTGGGTGTTCACTGGAAAATGCATTCAACTTTTCTGTGTGTTTGAAAATCTTTATAATAAAATGTTGAGGGGAAATTTAAAAAAAAGGATGTGAAACTACTTTTCTTTTCTTTTTTTTTTTTTTTTTTTGAGACAGAGTTTCGCTCTTTGTTGCCCAGGCTGGAGTGCAGTGGTGTGATCTCGGCTCACTAAAACCTCCGCCTCCTGGGTTCAAGAGATTCTCCTGTCTCAGCTTCCCAAGTAGCTGGGATTACAGGCACCCACCACCACACCCGGCTAATTTTTGTATTTTTAGTAGAGACAGGGTTTCACCATGTTGGCCAGGCTGGTCTTGAACTCCTGACGTCAGGTGATCTGTCCACCTCGGCCTCCCAAAGTGCTGGGTTTACAGGTGTGAGCCGCTGCGCCTGGCCAAGAAGACTTTTCATCCAATGCAAAGATACTTGTTGGGCACCTGCCATTATGTCAGGTGCTGCAAGGCAGGGGACGCAGTGCTGATGGAGATGTCCAAAGCTATGGCACGAGGCATCATCCAAGTGACAGGCAACTGAGCCAGCTCCTCAGAGCAGAGCGCTGTCGTTGTCCCTTCTCAGAGAGGACACCCAGGGCCAGAGGCAAAGGAGGAAAGCACAAGTGGGTCTGCTAGGAACTAATTTAAAGAAGCAAGTCAGCTGGGCTCGGTGGCTCACACCTATACTCCCAGCGCTTTGGGAGGCCAAGGCAGGAGGATCACGAGCCCAGGCATTCAAGGCCAGCCTGAGCAGCATGGCAAGACCCTATCTCTACAAACAAAAATTAAAAAAAAAAAAAAAAAAAAGAACAAGTCTCTGGGGCCTGTGCAAAGGGCAGCAGGGTGACTGGGTCCCCGGAGATTTGGGTTGGGATATTCAACACGTGCCTCGGAGAATGAAAATACAGTCAGGTTTGGGAACAACCACTTCAACCCCAGGGGTTGAAATATGCCCCCATCTAACTGCCCACTGCTCGGGGCTTCTGAACGTTTCAGCCCCTCCGTTATAAACAAGGGAACAGGAAACCCAGGATTGCCCTCCCCACCAAAGGTGTATCTGTAGGAATGTTCACCATAGCCTTGTTTTTTGTTTGTTTGTTTTTTTGAGACAGAGTCTCTCTCTGTCACCCAGGCTGGAGTGCAGTGGCACAATCTCGGCTCACTAAAACCTCTGTCTCTCAGGTTCAAGCGATTCTCCAGCCTCAGCCTCCTGAGTAGCTGGGATTACAGGTGCCTGCCACGACACTTGACTAATTTTTGTATTTTTAGTAGAGATGGGGTTTTGCCATCTTGGCCAGGCTGGTCTCGAACTCCTGACCTCAGGTGATATGCCTGTCTCAGCCTCTCACAGTGCTAGGATTACAGGCATGAGCCACCGCGCCCAGACCCCATGGCCTTGTTTTTAAGAGTGAACATGTGGCAGCCGCTGCCACATGCAGCTACAGGGGACTGGGTCAGTCATTTATGATGGTTTAAAGTGCAATGGAACTCCATGCAACTGTCAGAATTAGTGAAATAAATCTATAGGTCCTGGACCTTGAACTGCCCAAAACTTAATATATTGTTAAATATATATACACACACAGACATATAATATGTACATTATGATCCCATTTACATAAAACTATATGTAGGTAAATGTGTGTAGATACATATATATAGGTGTGAATATAAATATATATAAATACACACGCACACACAGAGCACCATAATAAAGTTCACCAAAATGCTAATAACAGTGATCTCTTCATAATGGAATTTGAATCATTTTTTCTTCACTTTCTTCTTGGTATTTTTCTACATTGTTTAAAATTTCACAATAAGTGTATATAATTTTAATGAAGCAATTATTTTTAAAAAAAATAATTGTGCAGGAGGTTTCAGAGTAAGTTGATGTCCACAAAGTGCTTAAGAGACTGTCACTTTGGCCGGGCGCAGTGGCTCACGTCTGTAATCCCAGCACTTTGGGAGGACAAGGCCGGAGGATCACCTGAGGTCAGGAGTTTGAGACCAGCCTGGCCAACATGGTGAAACCCCATCTCTACTAAAAATACAAAAATTAGCCGGGCATGGTGGCGAGCACCTGTAATCTTAGCTACTCAGGAGACTCAGGCAGGAAAATTGCTTGAACCCGGGTGGTGGAGGTTACAATGAGCCGAGATCGCACCATTGCACTCCAGCCTGGGCAACAAGAGCGAGACTCTGTCTCAAAAAAAAAGAGAGACTGTCACTTAGCCCCCGCCATGGTGGTGGAGGCCTGAGTCAGGGAGAGGTTGGGGAGGTGGGCTAAGGACTCTCTCGAGCTATGACTGAGAGCTCTCCTGTCCCCTCCCTGAGCCCTGAGGCAGGACTGGCTATATTTTTGTGGGGTTCAGTGCAAAATGAAAATGTGGGCCCCTTGTTCAAAAGGTATTAAGAATTCCAAGATAGTGACAGCAGAGTACGAAGCCAAGTGCAAGGGCTCATCTGGGCATGGGACACCATGTGACTCCACAGGTTACAAGCCCATGAGGCTGGCCCTGCCTGGCAGGACCATGTGAGCAAATTACAGAGCAGGGGATGAGGCCAGGAAAATGGTCAAGGAGGAGCTGGTCTGGGCCTTAAGATGCCATGGACCCACACAGACCCTTTCAGTTGACCAGGAATCTTGCCAGAACAAACCTTATAAACATTCATGCTTGTGCATTTGAAACCGTGGCTCCTGAGATGTTAAAAGCCCAACGGCAGGTTCCAAGGGCCCTGAGTCATTGGGCAGCTTTAATTAGCAAGAATTAGAGTCAGGAGGGGCTTAAGCTCAGGCCAGGCAGGTGGGCCTGGAGGGCTGCTTGTAGGAGGTGGCCTCTGCCTGCTGTGTGGAATCCCGGGGCTGGCCAGAGGGAACCTCCTCCAGGAACCTTCCACCCCCAGCCCCCGGAAGCTGCTGGTGCCCCTTGGCCCAGCCTGCTACCTTCCCCCAAGTCTCTGTTGGGGCGGTCACCCCAACACGTCACAACGTGGCTGCTCCTGGGGAAACCTGCTCCTGCGCCACCCACCACCATGTCCCACCCCCGCACCTCCTGGTTCCTGGGCACCACAAAGAGAGCCTGTGTTGAGGCCCAGCCGCGCTGAGCGTGCAGACAGCCTACACCTCCCGTAGGCCACACGGCACAAAGGCTGGTCTGTGTGGCCTGGCCTGGAGGGCCCACCGCCTCCCTTCCTCCACCAGGCACTAGGATCAAGTCATCAAAGGTCCCAGGAGGCTGCCAGGCTGGCTGGACAGCCGAGGAGACAAGAGCTGCTCAGCTGACCCTGCCAGACTCCAGTGTGTCCAGCAAGCAGCAGCCACTTCCAGGCTCACGGGCACTCACTGGTGACATGTGCACAGCCTCCAGCCTCTCTGAAGGCTCCTTACCCCTCTAAGTTCAGCTGAAGGGCTTATTCAGGCTCTCCCCTAATCAGGGCCCCTGCCACCAGCCTTTCCCCACCCTGCAACCCACCAGTGATGGGTACAAAGACGTGCCATCACTCCCACTATCTGTAGAACAGCCCAGAACTGATGAGGGTTTAATGCTGTCCACAGCAAACCTCACCAATAAGAGTTTGGCTTATGTCCTCAGATGATTCTAACAGAATGGAGTCCAGGCGCCCACACTAGCAACAGGCTTTTAATGCAGCCACTGTTGGCTCCCCGTCTCCTGTCCCCCTTCCCCCTCCCCTCCCTTGTGCCTCGGAATCACCTGACACATAAACCTCCTGCGCCCAGATCCTTGTCTCAGAACTGCCATTCCAAGTCTCTCCCAGCCTTGATCTCACCCCCCTGCTTCACTCATATGGCTCATGCCTGTAATCCCAGCGCTTTGGCAGACTGAGGCAGAAGAACCACTTGAGCCCAGGCATTCGACACCAGCCTAGACAACATCGCGAGACCCTGTCTCTACAATAAAATAGACAAATTAACCAGGTGCAGTGGCATACACCTGTAGTCCCAGTTAATCAGGAGGCTGAGGCAGAGGATCACTCAAGCACAGGAGTTCAAGGCTGCAGTGAGCTATGACTGTGCCACTGCACTCCAGCTTGGCTGACAGAGCAAGACCCTGTCTCTAAAAATAAATGAATAAATAATCATAGCTGCAACACACATGCATCCCATGCCTGTTAGGAGTGTGTGGAGGGGGAGTTTGGGTGAGGGGAGATCCCTGCAAGGGCCCCTGCTGCCCTTTTCCTCCGTGGGTTTCATTTTATGGGAAAAGAGAAAGAAAGTAGAATCTATGGAGACAAAAAAATGGGAGAAAGGGGCAAGGGGAGGGAGAAGGGGTATGTGGCATAGAGGGACACCACCTCCAGGGGACAAGCCAGGAGGACGCCTCCCTTGGGGCAGCCCCTCCCTCTCTCCACTCAGCTGCTTCTCCAGGAAGCCCCTTTATCCACACAGGGCTCCCCTAAGTCCTGCTCACAAAGGCATTTAGGACTCAGCTGGACTCCGCAGGGTGAGTAGTGTGCTGGTTAGGGTATTTCCATCGCTTCCCGAACATTCCCTGCCTGGCCCTGCCCCCTGGAAGGCTGAGCCCTAGGGACTGCACTGTCTGGGATCCCTGGTCCTCCACTTCCTGGTTAATCCAGCCAATAGCCTACAGTGGCAGGAGATGGGGGTTGTGGGGGGTGGGGCAGTGGGGAGGCAAAGTGTAGAATATTTATCCCCCACATTCTTCTCTCCCTCCCTCCCCATGGTTCTGGCAGGGGCTTCAGTCGGTGGCCCTCCTCCACGCTGCCCTTCTCCCCAGCAGCTGGAAACACTCTTCCATGGCCTTCCACTGGAGGGCATAACAGCTCCCCACTGCTGCTAGTGCCTGCGTGCCTCAACATCCCTTGTTTCCCTAAACTCAGACCAGGAGCAGACCCTCCATTAAGAAAATCTCTTTTGAAATCCCTTGAGGTACCACGGTTTTCTGTTGATGCCCTAACAGAGTCAGGTGCCTCAGAGTCACCTCCAAGTAACTCCTGGAAGCCCCTGGCTCCAGCAACGTGGCAAATATCAGTATTCAGCTCAGATGACCTGGGTTCGAATCTGAACTTCACCATTTACTTCCAAGTTGCGTGGCTTCTCTCAGCCTTTGTTTCTGCATCTGGAAAATGGGCGTGATCACAGCAGTGCTAAATGTCTCAGAATTCTCAATGTGGCAAATAACTGACCCCACTTCAGGCCAGCCCAGGAGACAAAGAGGGATTTACCGAAGGGCTGTGGGACCCCTGATAAGAACAACGGACTCCATGCAGGTTCTCACGACTGGTTCTCTCTGTCTCTAGGTATCTGCTTCTCTCCCTTGTCCCTGCTCTCTGCTATACCTCACATGTGAGGTATACGGCTCCCCTCCAGCTCATGAGTTTACATGCTCTAAATAGATACAGACTCCATTCTCCCTTCCACAAAGGCAAGCTCATACTTGCATACTGTACCACAACCCACTTCTATCCACTCATCCTCAGGAACCTCTTCCCGTCCCTGAATACCTTCTACACTGAGGGATGACAGCGTCCCGGTGAGCAGCCACGAAAAATCCACTGGACGTTCCATCAATATTTATCTTATTGACTTGTGTCTTTTCTTAGTAACTATCAGTGGATTCCGGAATGCATTCCCCTCTTCAGAACCCTATCTCAGGACCCCTTTGAAAGCAGGGAACTTGCCATCCTACTGTCCTGATTTCTTTCCTCCAGCCCCCAACCCTTGATCTGGCTTTCATGTAAGGCTCACAGTAGTGAAAACAGCAGCAGACCTGGTGCCGTCTCTCTCCAGTCCTGTTGTAACTTACTCTGAGCTTTCCGGGGCTATCGCCCTTGGGGATGAAACCATCTTCAATTTGGTCCAGCAGCTGTGACTTTTAAAACTCAGTTGAGTCTTGCACTGAAGAAAGACACAAAGCTACCCTTCTCCTCTTCTCCAAAGGTCAGCTCTGGTTTTTAAAGTTCAAACAATAGCAATTCAATTGAACACACAGATCCTAAATCTTTCCTGAGGCCTTCAAAAGAGAAAGAGAACACCACAGAGCTTTTAAAAATATTGTACAAAATCAAATTTTGAATATCACATCTTCCAGGGTCCCTGGAGATGCAGATGGCACACTCAGACTGGGCAGTTTGAGGGGAGTTTAATAAAGAGACTATTTACAAAGGCACAGATAGGATTTAGGAAATCAGTGCAGGCTAATTCAGAATTCTGTGGCCAGCAACATCAGGGGACGATTCCTAAAAGTGAAGAAGTAATTACAGGAAGCCAAGAGGGTAGTGGCAATGAGAGCTCCCTGGACAGAAGCCAGGACCTTTAGGAAGAGGAAGTACATGACCCACAGGGAATCCGAAAGGAAGGGCTGGGGAGGTGGATACCCAGACTCCCTCCCCTCCTGTCTTCCACACACTATCCCGTGGAGTGAACCCAGCTGGAAACTAGACATCATGGGAGCCCACTGCTCCAGGCTCCAGAGCCCTGCATCCCAGGACACAGAGCAGACAGGGAACAGGCAAGGCTGGGAGGGGAGCAGGGAGGAGAAGCAAACCGAAGCAAGCCCAGTGCAGATGCTTTGAGAGTTTACAACCCAATTAGAAAGTACGAATTTAGTGCAGAAATTGGGGAGCAATTACATGCACAGCTAAATGATTTTTTTGTTGTTTTATAAATATTTTCAACAAGTTCCCTTTAAAAAGCAAATGTCCCCCTGCAATTAAAATATGATTTC
Source organism: Homo sapiens (assembly GCF_000001405.40). NCBI lineage: Eukaryota > Metazoa > Chordata > Mammalia > Primates > Hominidae > Homo > Homo sapiens. The sequence goes on from NC_000020.11 coordinate 17,886,094, forward strand.
ACTTACAGGAAATTCTACTCACTCAGAGCTGTTCCAGACCCCAGACATTCAGGTAAATAAAGGTATGGAGCAAGCTTGTGTTGGCTTTGAGTCAATTGCATCTCCCACAGACATCCCCTCCAGCAACCTCCTTGATGACGTTCAAGCCAGGGAGAGGACAAATAGTTCCCCAAAAGAAAATTGGAGGGCTGCTGGAAGGGGAAAGATGCACCGGAAGGCCACAGAATGCCAGACAGCCATTCCACGAAGACACGCATTAACTCACAAAGGTCATACCATCTGTAAGTGGCTAAGCTCAGGTGGAAATTCCAGCCTGTCCTCCCCAATGGCCTTCACAAATATTCCAGAGGGCCTTCCACATGGAACTATGATCTGTAAGCCCTGGTTCAGCAGGGTCCTTCTTTCCAAGAGAGGTTCTTTTCTGGGCACTCCCATCAGGAACACCCAGGTCTACCCACGTGTGCCTTCTGTCTTGGGGGACCTGGTAGTTGGCAAGTATCTTCCAAGGGAGGTCCTTCTTTGGGGATTTTTCTGTGCTCTCCGCGTCCTGGCTGTGAGACATCGTGGCAGAGTAGTACTTCACTGATACTAATTCCAGGTATGACACCAAGAAGCCCAGCCCCAGGGCCCAGTGGTGGAGGGTGGGATTCTGCTCAACTGCAAGGCCCAAGCCCATCCCCAGTCCCCTGCCAGCAGACAAATGGCTGGACCCACACATAGCACTCTCTGCTCCTGGGACAGGATGTCAGCCAGCGCTCTGCTGGATACAAGATCTCAAAGACAGACATCAGGGAAACAGAGAGAGACCCACATGACTGTTTCAAACAAGTCATGCTCAAACCTTCTTCTTCTAATTCCTAATGTACCCCTCTCTTCTCACCTGATGCTAAGCAGTAACGGTGCCTTCATAAACTCGGAAAAGGAATCAGGAAAGCACCACCCTGGCCTGAGCAATAACAAAGTGCATGAAGGTCAGAAGCCGCTGTGTTTTTAAGAGGCTGTTTTATTTATTTATTTATTTAGAGACAGAGTCTTGCCCTGTCACCCAGGCTGGAGTGCAGTGGTATGATCTTGGCTCACCGCAACCTCTGCCTCCCGGATTCAAGCGATTCTCCTGCCTCAGCCTCCTGAGTAGCTGGGATTACAGGCACATGCCACCGCACCCAGCTAATTTTTGTATTTTTATTAGAAACAGGGTTTCACCATGTTGGCCAGCGTTGTCTTGAACTCCTGGCCACAAGTGATCCGCCCACCTCGGCCTCCCAAACTGGTAGGATTATAGGTGTGAGCCAGCGCGCCCAGCCAGAAGCTGTTTTTAATAACTGACCTTTTCAGACAAATCCCAGCAAACTTTCTCCCTTAGCACCATCTCTGAGGCCACGGTGGGTGGGGTGTGTCACCACGCCTCTCTGTAACACCTCCTGTGCCCTCTTGAAATGGTTATTGTTTCCTGAGTGGTGGCTGTGGACTTGTGGCCTCGTTAAGTCATATTATCTCAATGGAAGCCATTGTCTCCTGCTGGAGGCTCCACGGCTCCTGTCTTCATAATGCAACACCCTGACCCTGAAGTCTTGCTCTGTGGAGACTGTAACAAGATCCTGGCAGGGCTCAAAGGAAACCTTTCTTCTCTCCCAGCACATGCAGAAGTCCCACTGGCAGGGCCAAGGCATGGAGCTCTCCATCCCGGAACTGGGGCTTGAACTTGGCCAACCTGAGTTGGGGCAGATCATACCCTCCAGCTCTGGTCTGTCCTGATTTTCTTCTGGCCACAGCACATCCCCTCCCACTGTTCCTGTGGCAGCCAGCCTTCCAGATGCACCCCACCTCCTGGCAATCCTGCCCTCATGTAGTCCCCTCCCACATTAAATAGGGCTGACCTGTGTTACCAGTTGTGGAAATGACAGACTGTGACCAGGTCATCATAGATATTGCGGCTTCCATCTTGCTCTCTCTTGAATCACTCACGATGGCGAGAGTCAGCTGCCATGTTGTGAGGCTGCTTAAGCAGCCCTGTGCAGGCGTCCAGAAGGTGAAAAACTGAGGCCTCCTGCCAACAGCCACACGAACTCATCATCCGTGGTGGGAAGCCATCTCCAGCCCCAGCCACGCCTTCAGGTGACTACAAACCCAGCTGCATCTTGATGCCAACCTCATGAGTCAGAAGCCACTCCTGGATTCCCAACCCACAGAAACTGTGAGACATTAAATGATTATTGTTGCTTTAGGCCACTATGTTTTGTTCCACGGGATGATTTGTTCCACAGCATTAGCTAGCTAATATTCGTCCAGAGAGGTCAGCCTCCTGGGGTCAGAGTAGAGGAGGTCAGAGAATGAACACGGAGGGGCAGACAATGCAGAGTCAGAACACTTGGTTTCCTGATCCCATATTGTCCTGCTACACATTTTCAAAAAGGGGAGGGGTATTAAAAATGAAGCAAAGTAGTTCAGTATGCTTCAACCAGCCGTGATCACCCTGGGACCATCTGCTTCTATGAACTGGACACTATCGTCCCATAGTGCCCCAAATTAGGTTCCCCTTACAAAAACAGCACCACGCTGGTGGCGACTGAAACCCTGAGCTTCTTTTCACACACACCGCCCAGACCGCCCAGACCTCCTCAACTGGTTCTATGCTTGGACACCAGATTTCTCTTTAAAACCTAACTTTCTCTGATATCAATTGATCTTGGCCTTACTCCAAAGTTCCAATCTATCGAAATCACTTTCATCTCCCATTTGGCTGTCACTTTCACTGTTCCCTCCAATATGTGTCACCTGCACATCTGACCCTGTACTTTCTGCCATCTTCATCCAGAAAGTGGACTGAACGTTGATTGGCTAGGGCAGAGCTCACCACAGAGCCCTTTGGTACTCCATGACCACCAGGGCAACGGACTCCTTGATGGCAAACACTTTGCTGATAGACGTGCAATCTGCCATAAATCCCACCAAAAAACACCGTCATTACCAGTGAGTTTGCCAATCCTTTATTAAAATGCCGGCTGGGGGTGGTGGCCTATGCCTGTAGTCCCAGCTACTCAGGAGGCTGAGACTGGATCACTGGGGCCCAGGTGTTCGAGATTGGCATAAACAACATAGCAAGACCCTGTCTCACAAAAAAACAAAAAACAAAAAACAAAAAAAAACAGTAACATAAAATGCTGGCTGGACACAAATTTATTTACCCCATTATCCAGTACTGTCTAAAAAGAAAGTTGGTTTGTGTATTCGTTGCCTGTGGTTGCTATAATTACCATGAACTTTTGGTCTTAAAACAACAGAAATTTATTACCTCACAGTCCTGGAGACCAGAAGTCTGAAATCAGTGCCACCAAACTGAAATCAATCCATCAGTGGGGCTGTGCTCCCTCTGGAGGCTTTAGGAGAGAAACTGTTCCTTGCCTCTTCCAGCTTCTGGGAGCTACAGCATTCCTTGGCTTATGGCCACATCACTCTAATTCTCACATCCAGTGTCTTCAAATCCTTCTCTTCTCTGTCTTCACATGGCTTTCTTCTCTGAGTGTGAGTCAAGTCTAACTCTGTCTTATATGGACACTTGTGATGGCATTTAGGGCCCACAGGAGAGTCCAGGATAATCTCTTATCTCAAGATTCTTACTCACTTCTGCAAAGACCCATTTTTCTTACAGGGTAACATTTATAGGCTCCAAGGGTTAGGACCTGATATCTCTAGGGGGCCATTATGCCACCCACCACAGCTGGGCACAGCTCATCCCCACCAAACTCTCCCACCTCACCATCACTGCATTTTTTTTCCCTGCTGTTCACAAATGAGTTTATGTCACGCTCTGCTCTATAATTTTCCAAAAGTCAACATCAAGGTTACTGTCTCTACATTTTGGAATCTGCTTGAGACCTGTAATTCACCCAGCCACATCAGTCTGGACATTAAAAAGAGGTCATAATAAACAAAAATAGCATTTCTTAGGTTTGCCATTATTGCTGGCTCTCCAGTCCCTTAGAAACGTCAAGAATTCTCAGAATGTGTTCTCAAGTGGAGGCAGCATAGAGGTTGCAATCAGCTTCTCAAGTCAGACTGCCTGGGTCTGAATACTGCCTCTGTCACTATGGCCAACTGTGTCTTCCAAAGATGGCCACAAAAATCTCTCCCTTCCCACATGCTCTTCTGCAGCATGGCCTTGCCCCATCCCACCAGGGGGTCCATTTCTTCACCCCGCTCTAAAATGCATATGGCACAAGTGACACTGCCATTTAAAGACAAGGCCCTTAACAGTTGCCTGTTCCTGTCTCTTGGAATGTTTGTTCTTGAGACTCTACGCTCAGAACTCAGCCACCATGTTGTGAGGAAGCCCTCACCACATGAAGAGACCCCTTGCAGAAGTTCTGGCAGACTGCCTCAGCTGAGCTTCCTGCCATCAATGGCCAGTGTGCAAGTGAGCCACTGTGGGCCTCCAGCCCAGTCGAGCCTTCAGACCCTCCAGCCCCAGCCAACACCTGACTGCAGCCATGGCAGACCCCAAGTGAAAGCCACCCAGCTGAGCCCAGCCAATTCACAGAAGCAGAAGTAATTGCGAAGTGTTGTTTTAAGCCACTGGATTTGGGGACAGCTCATTTTACAGCAATAGATATTCAGAAGAGCCACTTATTGACTGAGTAACCTGAAGCAAGTGACAAGCTTAAGCTTAGGTTCCTGCCAGAAGCACATACCGAGACAAAGGCTTGGAGCATATAGTTTATTTGGGTGATGAATCCAGGAAATACAGGTAGGGGATTAAAACTAAAACTACTGCATGATCCAGCAATCCCATTTCTAAGTATATAACTAAAAGAATTAAAAATAGGATTTTGAAGAGATATTTCCATACCTATGTTCACTGCAGCATTATTCACAATAGTCACAAGGTGGAAGCAAACTAAATATCCATCAACAGGTCAGGTGTGGTGGCTCACACCTGTAATTCCAGCATTTTGGGAAGCCAAGGCTGGAGGATCACTCTAGCTCAGGAATTGGAGATCAGCCTGGGCAATACAGTGAGACCTCATCTCTATTTTTACAAAAATAACAATTAAATGTTTAAAAAAGTAAATATCAGCCAGGCATGGTGGCTCACACCTGTAATCCCAGCACTTTGAGAGGCCGAGGTGGGTGGATCATCTGAGGTCAGGAGTTCAAGACCAGTCTGGCCAACACAGTGAAACCCCATCTCTACTAAACATACAAACAATTGGCTGGGTGTGGTGGCGGGTGCCTGTAATCCCAGCTGCTTGAAAGGCTGAGGCAGGAGAATTGCTTGAACCTGGAGGTGGAGGTTGCAGTGAGCTAATATGGCGCTATTGCACTCCAGCCTAGGCAACAAGAGCAAAACTCCGTCTCAAACAAAAAACAAGAAACAAACAAACAAAAAATATCCATCAACAAAAACTATTAGAATTGATAAATTCAGTAAAGTTGCAGGATACAAAAAAAACATACAAAAATCAGTAGCATTTCTATATGCCAACAGCAAACAATCTGTAAAAGAAATCCAGAAAGTAATTCCATTTACAATAGTTACCAATGAAATAAAATACCTAGGAAATAACTTAACCAAAGAAGTGAAAGAGCTCTACAATGAAAACTACAAAATCTTAATGAAAGAAATTGAAGACACCAAAAAATGAAAAGATATTACATGTTCATGAATTGAAATAACCAATATTGTCAAAATGTTCATACTATCCCAAGCAATCTATAGATTCAATACAATCCCTATCAAAATAACAATGACATTCTTCACAGAAATAGAAAAAAAAATCCTAAAATATATATGGAACCACAAAGACCCAGAGTATCCAAAGATATCCTCAGCAAAAAGAACAAAACTGGAGGAATCACATAACCTGACTTCCAGTTATATTACAGAGCTATAGTAACCAAAACAGCACAGCACTGGCATAAAAACTGACACGTAGACCAACAGAAAACAATGGAGAACCCAGGAAAAAACCCATACATCTACAGTGAACTCATTTTTTACAAAGGTACCAAGAACATACATTGAGGAAAGGACAGTCTCTTCAATAAATAGTGCTGGGAAAACTGGATATCCATATGCAGAAGAATGAAACTAGACCCCTATCTCTTGCCATATACAACAATCAAATCAAAACGTATTAAAGACTTAAATCTAAGACCTGAAACTATGACACTATTAAAAGAAAACATTGGGAAAAAATCTCTCCAGGACTTTGGACTGAGCAAAGATTTCTTGAATAATACCCCACAAGCACAGACAACTAAAGCAAACATGGACAAACCACATCAAGTTAAAAAGCTTCTGCACAGCAAAGGAAACAATCAACAAAATAAAGAAACAACCCACAGAATAGGAGAAAATATCTGCAAACTATCCATCTGGCAAAGAATTAATAGCCAGGACATATAAGGAGCTCAAACCAGTCTATAGAAAAAAATCTAATAATCCAACCAAAAATGGGCAAAAGATCTGAATAGACATTTCTCAAAAGAAAACATACAGATGGCAAACAGGCATATTGAAAGGTGCTCAACATTATCGGTCATCAGAGAGATGCAAATCAAAACTACAATGAGAGGTCATCTCACCCCAGTTAAAATGGCTTTTGTCTTTTGGACAGGCAATAACAAATGCTGTCAAGGATGTGGAGAAAAGGGAACCCTTGTACACTGTTGGTGGGAATGTAAATTAGTACAGCCACTAGGGAGAACAGCTTGGAGGTTCCTCAAAAAACTAAAAATAGAACTACCATATGATCCAGCAATTCCACTGCTAAAAATATACCCCCAAAAAAGGAAATCAGCATAATGAAAGGATATCTGCACTTCCATGTTTGTTGCAGCTCTGTTCACAATAGCCAAGATTTGGAAGCCACCTAAGTGTCCATCAACAGATGATTGGATAAAGAAAATGTGGTACATATACACAATGGAGTACCATTCTGCCATAAAAAAGAATGAGATCCTGTCATTTGCAACAACATGAACGGAACTGGAGGTTCTTATGTTAAGTGAAACAAGCCATGCACAGAAAGACAAACTTCACATGTCCTCACTTATTTGTGGGAGCTAAATATTACAACAATTGAACTCATGGTGATAGAGAGTAAAAGGATGGTTACCAGAGGCTGGGAAGGGTAGTGGGGTGGGGGTAGAGTGGGGATGGTTAACGGATACAAAAATATAGTTAGATAGAATAAATAAGATCTAATATTTGATAGCACAACAAACTGACAGCAGTCAACAATAGTATATTATACATTTAAAGACAACTAAGAGTATAACTGGATTGTTTGTAACACAAAGAAAGGATAAATGCTGGCTGGATGCAGTGGCTCATGCCTGTAATCCCAGCACTTTGGGAGGCTGAGGCGGGTGGATCATGAGGTCAGGTGTTCAAGACCAGCCTGGCCAACATAGTGAAACCACATCTCTACTAAAAATACAAAAAAAAAAAAGGGAAATTCAGATACACGTTACAACATGGACGAATCTTGAGGACATTATGCTCAGTGAAATAAGCCAGTCACAGAAGGACACATACTGCATACAAGGTACCTAAAGTGTCAAATTCACAGACAGAAAGTAGAATGTGGTTGCCAGGGCCTGCAGAGAGAGGGAATGGGGAGTTATTTAATGGGTATAGAGTTTCAGTTTTGCAAGATGAAAAGTTCTATTACACAACAAGGTGCAAACAGTTAATACTACTGTACTATACACTTATAAATGGTTCAGATGGTAAATTTTATGCTATGTGTTTTTTTTACTACAATTAAAAATAAAATTGTCTCATCAAGGAGCAAGCACCCTGGGGTTTTCATACAACTCCCATCCCTCGCCCACCAGCTGAGAATCACTCTTGAGGTGTTAACTCCCCACACTCCAAGGGCCATAGAGCATGCCCTGTAGAGAGATACAGGGAGCCACAGGCACACATGGAATGGTCTGAGGTCACCTCCCAGTGCCCGGGAGACATTGGGGCACTGACCACATCTGCCATATCATTTACCTTTGAGTCCTCTGTAAAACAGGAATGATAAATACCTACCTCGATAGACCAGTTGCAAAGGCTACTTTGAACATACGCAGACTTAGACTTAACACAGTGCCTGGCCCACAGTTAAAATGTTATAATCAGGCTGGGTGGTGTGATGGCTCCCACCTGTAATCCTAACACTTTGGGAGGCTGAGGTAGGAGAGTTGCTTGAGCCCAGGAGTTCGAGACCAGCCTGGTCAACATAGCAAGACCCCATCTCTACAAAACTTTTTAAAATTAGCTGGATGTTCATCTGAGATGTGAGGATCTGAAAAAAAAAATTAGTCTGATGGGCTGGCCCACGCCTATAGTCCCAGCTGCTTGGGAGGCTGAAGCAGGAGAATCCCTGGAACCCTGGAGGTTGAGGCTGCAGTGAGCTATGATGGTGCCACTGCATTCCAACCTGGGTGACAGAGTGAGATTCTGTCTCTAAATAAATAAATAATTTAAAAATTAGTGGGGTGGCTGGGTGCAGTGGCTAACACCTGTAATCCCAGCACTTTGGGAGGCCGAGACAGGCGGATCACCTGAGGTCGGGAGTTCAAAACCAGCCTGACCAACATGGAGAAACCCCGTCTTTACTAAAAATATAAAATTAGCCGGGAGTGGTGGCACATGCCTGTAATCCCAGCTACTCGGGAGGCCGAGAGGCAGGAGAATCGCTTGAACCTGGGAGGCAGAGGTTGCAGTAAGCTGAGATCCCGCCATTGCACTCCAGCCTGGGCAACAAGAGCGAAACTCCGTCTCAAAAAAAAAAAAAAAAAATTAGCAGGGCATGGTGGCACACACCTGTAGTCCCAGTTACTTGGGAAGCTGAAGTGGGAGGATCCCCTGAGCCCAGGAGTTCCAGGCTGCAGTGAGCTATGAACAAGCCACTGCACTCACTCCAGCCTGGGCAACACAGCAAGGCTGTCTCTTAAAACAAACAAAAAGACTATAATCATTGTACACATCTGCCTTGTCTATTGGCAGGAACAGCGCCAGGACGGCAGGGGAAGAGCTCCGTTTCCCTCCCTGCTCTGGCTCCCTTTAAAGGTGGCTGCCTCTCAGCCTCCTGGCCCACCCGGCCTTCAGGGCCACAGGCCTCAAGCCAGCTGGACACCTCACACCGGACAGCTCTGCCCTGGGAATCCTGGAACCCCCTGCTAGTAGGCGCCACGACCCAGGTCGAGGAATGCCCTCAGCACAGAGACTGTCCCCTGGGGCAGCTCGCCCTACTGCCTGATAAGGGCGGCTCCTTCGCGGCTCCCAGACTCTGGAGCCTGCGGGCTGGGCTGCAGCCAAACGCAGACACCCCTCTAATGCCGACAGCCTGGCCCCCTTACCCTGTAGCTCTCCGCCCTCAGGATGCATTCTTCCCCAGAAGCTCCCTGCCCACCCCCACCTGGAAGGCCTCCCTCGTCTGAATCAGGGCGCACACAGCTGAGTCTCCAGCGCGGACACCCCGTCACCCCAACACCCTTCTCCTCCCCCCGAACAACCGCTTACGATTTTTAGAAATCAGTAAAATACATGCCCAGCTCCAAACTTTTGGAAGCGCCTCAGAGTTTTGCAGAGCATAGCAGTGGTTCTGGGCTCCCCAGTGCACCCCAGACTTGGCTCCCTCCTGCCCAGCCCACAGCCGCGTCCCGAGAGTGAAGGGGAAGCACAGGCAGCCCTTTCCGCCGCCCCCGCTGGCATGACATCACCTTCCCCACGCCGAGAAGCTGAAGTCTTTCTCATTTTGTTTCATGCTCCAAGCGCAGCTTTAAAAACCTTTCCTGGAGGTGGGGAGGGAAAATACCCAAAATATTAGCCGTGGCTACAGCTGGGTGTAGGATGCAGGGAGTTACTGTTTCCTTCTTTATACGTTTGTATTTTCCACAATGACCACATTCTATTTTTTATTGTCAGGAAAACGAATGAGTGTTTTTTAAGTAAGCAATTTAGAAGCCTATTTGGTTGCCTTCAGCATTTTTCAGGGCCTCAGCTCGTTTCTGGAGCCAGCTTTTCAGCCGCTCTTCTCTCCGTTCTCTCGCTCTCTGAGTGGAGTTCTCTGCCTTCCACCCTTTGCTTCTGTCCTTTGAAAATGTGAGCGAAGCACAGTTGCTTGTGCAAACCACACCAGCCTCCTGAGATCCTCTCGATTTTCCTTCTCACTGGGAATATTTTTCATCAGAATTTATTCTCCCAAACTAAGAAAGGGACCTCATGTCCCCGCTCATCTGATGCACTGAGAACACAGCATCATTTTCCCAGTATTCTTGCCAAGAATACACAACCTGAGGCTTATCATGAGGAAACATCAGGCAGACCCAAACTGAAGGACATTCTACAAGAAAACTGCGTGGACTCTTCAAAAATGTCAAGGTCAGGAAAGACAAAGAAAGCCCAAGGAACTGTCGCCGATTGGAGGAGATTAGAGACAGGGCAACCAACTGCAGCACGTGATCTGGGATATTGTGTTGCTATAAAGGACATTACTGGGACAGTTGGTGACATCTAAATCTGAATACGGTCTGTAGATTAGCTAATTGTATTGAATCAGTGTTCGTTTCCTGACTTAGTCACTGCACTGTGGCTGTGTAGCAGAATGTCCTTTACTTTTTAGGAATTATACACTGAAGCTTTGGGAGATAGAGGGCATCACATCTGCAATTTACTCTCTTATGATTCAGAAAAATATATATATTTGTACACACAGACAGAGAAAACAGTAAGGCAAATGTGGCAAAAATGTTAATATTTGGGGAATCTTGATGAAGAGTTTAAAAAAAAATCCTTTTGTTCTGTTCTTAGAATTTTTCTGTAAGTCCCTTTGCTTCTGACCTCTGGGTTAATGCAGTTGACACAACAGCCTGACTCCTAGGCTGACTGCTGACTAATTCTTTGCTTGATGCTCTTGACCTTGGACTGTGTCCTCCCCCGATTTAGCCCCTGTAGAGACAGTGAGCAGGAAGACTAGTTTGGTGAATAATAAATCCGCTGTCACTGCCACCATCACCACCAACAGGGGCAGAGGGACTTTTGCTGAGCACTCACTATGTAAGTCAATGCTCCCATACCCTGAGTGATGTACACAGTACTTCACTCAGTCCTCACAGTAGTCTTCTGAGGTTGCCATTACAATCCCCAATCTACAGATAAAGAAACTGAGGCTCAGAGAGATGAACTCACTTACCTAACGTCACAGCAGCTATTAAGTGGCAAGGCCAGAATTGACCCACAAATCTCTAGAACCCCACAGTCTTACACTAATCTGCCCTGACACTGGTAAGGAGACTGACTGGCTGTACTCTGTTCTGATATTTTCTCTCCTGATTCTCCTTTGCTGAAATAATAGAAACAAAAATAATTGTACCAGCCATAAAAAAATGAAATCCTGTCATTTTCAACAACATGGATGAACTTGGAGGACATCATATTAAGTGAAATAAGCCAGACACAGAGAGACAAATACTGCATGATCTCACTCATATGTGGAATCTAAAAAAAAAAAAAAAAAAAATTGATCTCATAGAAGAAGAGTCAGAGAGTCCAACAGTGGTTACCAGAGCCTGGGAAGGGCAGGGGAGAGGGGAGGATGGGGAGAGGTCGGTCAACAGGTACAAATTACAATTAGATGGGAGGCATAAATTCTGGGGTTCTGTTACACAGTAGGGTGGCTATGGTTAACAGTAAGATATTGTATATTACAAAATAGCTAGAGGAGAGGCTTTTGAATGTTCTCACCACAAGGGAATGATAAATGCCTAAGGTGATTGACATGCTAACTACCCTAATTTGACCATTATACAATATATGTATTAAAATATCAAACTGCACCCCATACCTATGTACAATGATAATGTGTCAATTAAACTAATTAATTTTAAAAAATTATTATAAAGCTATGCTGCTCCATAGAGTGACCACATGTAGCTGTTTAAATTTAATAAGGCTGGGCATGATGGCTCATGCCTGTTATCCCAGCACTTTGGCAAATCAAAGCAGAGAATTGCCTGAGGCCATGTGTTCAAGACCAATCTGGGCAACACAGTGAGATCCATCCCTAGAAAAAATAATTTTAAAATGAGCTGGGTGTGGTGATGCTTGCCTATAGTCCTAGCTTGACTGGGAGTTTGAGGCTGCAGTGAGCTATGGCATGCCACTGCACTCCAGCCTGGGCAACCAAGCTGAGCTCTGTCTCTAAAAATTAATCAGTTAATTAATTAATTAATTAGAATTAAGTAAAATCTGAAATTCAGTTCCTCAGTCTCACTAGCCACATTTCAACTGCTGATTAGCTCCATGTGGCTTGTGGCTACAATTATTGGACAGAGCAGATTGTAAAACATTTCTAACACGGCAAAAAGTTCTATTGGACAATGCCGTTCCAAAAACTTTTACATGTGTTCATGAAGATACAAAAAATGAAAAATAAACAAAAAAAAATTTACATACCCTTCACTGACCAAGATAATTTTTTATTCAAAGTTAACTTATTTTTAAGATAAAACTTCAAACACAAAATTGACTTCAACACTGTTCTCACTTGTCACACAGAAACCAACTTTTCAGCCGCGGCAGCATCAGGTGTTAGGGAGAGACACCTCCTGGCAGCACATGGAATTACAACCTAGCACAATCAGACACTGGAACCAGCCAGGGACTGGGTTTCAGCAGCCATCGGTGGAATACCAGGAGATTCCCAAGAGTGGGAGAAAAATCCCATACCAAGAAACAATCATGGATAAGGCACCAGGAAGACATACTAGGTTACAAAAGCCCATCCAAGGCCAGGCGCAGTGGCTCACGCCTGTAATCCTAGCACTTTTGGAGGCCAAGGCGAGCAGATCACTTGAGGTCAGGAGTTCGAGACAAAAGCCCATCCACCACCAGACATAAATCTCCTGTGTCACATCCCTCAAGCCATGCATGGCTGCACAGAGATACATAATAATAAGTGTCGGTCATTTGAATAAATAAATGATTGATTGATTAATTCTGATTATTTCAGAACTCTACCATTAAGCATTTTATTGTCTTCTTTAACATTCTTTTTCAGTTGGACACATATTATGAAGGGAATGTAGAGCTGGGATTTACTGCTTCAAACAACTTAGCTGACACAGAAGTGTTCGATGATCAAGGAACGTCTGGACTTTAGCAAAATCATCAAGAACAAGAAAACATCAAGATGAGTTTCTGGTAAAGCATAAAAAGAAGTTCCTGGCTAGGCACGGTGGCTCACGCCTGTAATCTCAGAACTTTGAGAGACCAAGGAGGACAGATCACTTGAGTCCAGGAGTTTGAGACCAGCCTGACCAACATGGTGAAACCCCGTCTCTACTAAAAATACAAAAAGTAGCCAGGCATGGTGGTGTACATCTGTGATCTCAGCTACTCAAGAGGCTGAGGCACGAGAATCGCTTGAACCTGGGATGCAGAGGTTGCAGTGAGCTGAGATCATCCCACTGCACTCCAGCCTGGGCAACAGAGTGAGACTCTGTCACAAAAAAAAGAAAGAAAGAAAGATGTTCCCATTTTTTTTTCCTTTGGCCCAAGATGGTGGAAATGAAAGATGGCTTACTGGATTGGGAAATGGATTGGACCCTAAATCATTCTTTATCCACTCGTTCCACAGATACTGATTGGGCCTCTTGGTAGCCAGGCGGCGGGATGATGAGTAGTGCTGGAGGCCACTTAGCTGAGTTGTGCACACAAAATAACACAATGCACAAAAGGTTTATCTTCAGGAACTCATCCCGGGTAGAACAAGTGCTCAGCAGAGATCTGGGCTGGTGAAGGCAGCTTGCGGTCCCTGACTCTTCTGAGAACCTGGGGATCCAGGTTCAGGGAGACCAACGCTATTGGATACAAATCTTGAATTTAAAGAAATTGGGATGTAAATAATGATGCAATCCCCGAGGCTCATGGAGTACCCCAGTGACAGGAGAGGTTTTCCATGGGATTCAAGCAGGCTAATCAGCAAGACAATCTGGGCTGTCTCAGTGAGCCGTGGCCTGAGGCTACTTGTGGGCCACCTGTCCAGAATTGGAGGGGTCCCAGGGTCTGATGTAGCTTCAGAGAGATGGAATAGTAAAGAGGATCATGCATTGCAAAGTCCACAACAGCCCCCCAAAACAAGGACAGTCCCCTTATTTGATGAACTTTTGTTGGGTTCCTGTCTTGTGCCGAGCTGTGTGCTAGGTTCTGGGGAGACAGAGACCAATAAGCTTCAGAGACCTGAGAAGTAGGGTCCTTCTCTTCTTCATCACTTTCTTCACAAACCCACTTCAGTTTCCTCTTAACTCCTGGCATGAGTAAGGTGCTATTTCATAACCCTTTTATCTTTATTAAAGGTGTCAGGTATCCAATAGGAAAAAAAATGCACAAATGAATTTAAAAGGCATTCACACAAAAGGATATCAAAATGGCCAGTAAGTTCATAAAAAGATGCTCAACATCAGCCAGGCGCGGTGGCTCATGCCTGTAATTCCAGAACTTTGGGAGGTCGAGATGAGTGGATCCCTTGAGGTCAGGAGCTTGAGACCAGCCTGGCCAACATGGTGAAACCCTGTCTCTACTAAAAACACAAAAAATTAGCCAGATGTGGTAGCACATGCCTGTAATCTCAGGTACTTGGGAGACTGAGGCAGGAGAATCATTTGAACCCAGGAGGCGAAGGATGCAGTGAGCCGAGATTGCGCCAGCACACTCCAGCCTGGGCAACAGAGCGAGACTCCGTCTCAAAAAAAAAAAAAAGATGCTCAACCTCAATGGTTACAGGGAAATGCAAATTAGACCCACAATATGCTGTGACTATACACTCCCTAGAATGGCTAAAATTAAATTTCTGAAAATATCAAGCATTGGTGAGGATGTGGAGGAAGTGAACTCTTACATGCTGCTGGTGGAAGTATAAACCAGTACAAGCACTTTGGAGAACCATTTGGCAGTTTCTTCTAAAATTAAACATACACTCACCATGTGACCAAGCAGTTCCACTCCTGGGTATATACCCTGAAAGAAATGAGTGCGTACACACACCAAAAAACATGTACAAAAATACACATTGCTGCTAAATCGATAACAGCCAAAAACTAAATACAACTCAAATGCCCATCAATAGAAGAATAGATAAATACATTGTGGTGTACAGCACAGCAAGAAAAATGAATGGGTTGCTCTTACGTGAAATATGAATGAATCTCAAAAACACAATATTGATCACAAGATATCAAATAAGCCAGGCACAGTGTGGCTCACACCTGTAATCCCAGAACCTTGAGAGGCTGAGGCCAGAGGATCCCTTGAGTCTAGGAACTTAAGACCAGCCTGGGCAACATAGGGTGACCCCATCTCTACAAAAAAATTTTTTAAAAATTAGCTGGGTGTGGTAGTGTGCACCTGTAGTCCCAGTTCCTCGGGAGGCTGGAGCGGGGGCACCGCTTGAGCCCAGGAGTTCAAGGCTGCATTGAGCTATGGTCACACCACTGCACTCCAGCCTGAGTCACAGAGGACTAAGACCCCTTTTTAAAAAATAAAAATAAAAAATAAAAAAATAAAAGGCAAAACTTATCTACATATGATGAGAGAGGTCAGAATAGTGTCTACTTGTTTAGGGCAGTGGGAGATGGGGATTGAGTGAGAAAGGGCCTGAAGGAACTTACTAGAATGATGGAAATGTTCTCTATCCTGATCTTGGTGGTTGTTACATGAGTGTATACATAGGTAAAAATTCATTGAGCATCCACTTAAGATTTGTGTATTTTACTATATGCAAATTATGCATCAATAAAAGAGCAAAAACAATCAAAACTCTTAGGTGACCACACCTGATATAAGCATGGCTGATACATTAAAAAGCTTGCATATATTACAATGAATACCATCATTTGGGAATTTAATATAATTTTGTAACAGCCTCAGAAACAGTCATATTCCAGAGGCCCTTGGCAACAGCTTTGTTGCTTACAGCTCACCAGCACCAAAAGGGACCCGTCGCTTTCCAACCAAGGGGGCTGTGGCCCTGCCCAGAACTCTCAAGGGATCCACCTTTCTGGGTCGAACTCTCACAGCTCCCAGAGTACCTGGGGCCAAGCACGTGAGCTGCCAGCAGGCCTTAGCACCCTGGGATGCCAGACCTGCTCAAACTTGGAGAGGGTCCTACAGGTCCTTGGAGGAAAATTACAAGCCCCAAGTACACTGGACACACAGAGTTTGCCTGTGATGAAAACTTAGATGAAGGAAGAAGCCCTTTAGGAGGGTCTTTCTTGTCTTCTGCAGATGTGCGGCTCTAGCCGTGCTGCAACGCAGACCATGGACCAGGAGCTCCCAACCTCAGCTGCACAGCACAGGGGAGCATTGGAACATGGGATGCCCGGACCGTCTGACCCACACCAACTGAATCAGAATCTTTAATATGGTGTTTCTCAGAGGGCCCCCTGGAGCCACAGCAACATTGTCACCTGGGAACCTGTTAGAAATGCACATTCTCAGGCCCCACTTCAGACCCACTGAATTCTGTGGCCAGCCCCAGCAATCTTTGTTCTGACTGTTCTCACAGTCCCTGCCAGGGGTTCTGATGCATGTGGAAGTGTGGGACCTAATTAGAAACTGCATTTCTAGCAAGTTTCCAGGCGGTGCAGATGTGGCTGCTCTGGGGACTACACTCTGAAAACCACCAGAGTCTAACTGTCTAATGGGTAGAGCCAAGCTCTGGGAGAGAGTGGGGGAAATTAAAAGCTACCCAGGTGAGTGGCTCTGATGCAGGTGAGAGTAATTAGCATTGCCATAGCCTCTCATCGTCTCATCTGACAAGAGGTACACAGCTGGAGAGGGAGCTCACACAGGTGAGGGCGTTACAGGAGAAGAAATACCATCTCCTCAATTTGACCTGTCTGTGGTCTCTTCATTTCTATAACACTGCAATTTGGGGTTCCTGGTACGGCAGAATTTAGGTTCTAGGTGCCTAGCCCTGAGAATTTGTTCTGGCAATATTGAAGCTGGAGACGTTTTTGTTAGAACACTTTGCATAAAAGCCTTTATGGGGAAGGGGACCTGATTTTACCTTAAAAAGCTAATTTTTGGCCCAAGATAGATGAGACTTAGAAGGGGAGAGGAAGTAAAGGAGGAGTAAAGAGAATGAAAAGAAGAGATGATGTGCAGGGCTGGGGAGGAGAGAGCAAATGGGGAGGAAGAGAAAGAACTGTGAGAGAAGGACTGAAAGATCGTCTCTCCTTTCCAAGGAGCGTCCGCCCTCTCTCTTTTTTTAAAATTGAGCACTGAGAAGGGATTTATGCAAGACTGGGTGCAAGAGCTGGGCAAGCTGATATGCAAAGCAGGAAAGCAAAGGATTGAAAGGAGTCAAAGTGCTGTCTTTGGCAGCACATGTATAAAATTGGAATGAAGGCCGGGCACCGTGGCTCACGTCTGTAATCCCAGCACTTTGGGAGGCTGAAGTGGGCGGATCACTTGAGGCCAGGAGTTCGAGACCAGTCTGGCCAACATGATGAAACCCGTTTCTACTAAAACTATGAAAACTAGCCGGGCGTGGTGGTGCATGCCTGTAATTCCAGCTACTCGGGAGGCTGAAGCAGGAACTCAGGAGGCACAGGTTTCAATGAGCCGAGATCACGCCACTGTACTCCAGCCTGGGTAACAGAGTGACACTCTGTCTCTAAATAAATAAATAAAACTGGAACAATACAGAGAAGATTAGCATGGCCCCTGCAAGGATGACACACGAATTCATGAAAAGTTCCATATCAATAAAAATTATTTTAAAATTTTTTTAAAAGAATGAGTTAAAGGAGACCCCAAAGGAGTGAGTGGGGGCTGGAGGCCAGGCCCACCATGGCAGAGGGTCAGACTTCATCAGGGTGAAAACTTCCTGCTGTGAAAAGCCAAACTACAGACTGGGAGAAAATGTTCACAGCACCTGTATCTGAAAAAGGATTTGCATTCCAAATACATAAAGAACCCATACAACTCACTAATAGGAAGGCAAACAGTGAAAACTGAGCAAAAGACATGAACAGACACTTCACAAAGGACATGCAAATGGCCAGCACGCACAGGAAGAGATGCTCACCCTCAGTAGTCTTCAGGGAGATGCAGAATGAAACCACAGTAAGATGCTACCTCACACTCACAAGCATGGCTGAAAATAAAAAGATGTGTAATACCAGTATTGGTTAGAATGTAGGGCAGCTGAAACTCCTAGCTCACTGGCAGGAACTTAAAATAGTACAGGCTGGATGCAGTGGCTCACGTCTGTAATCCCAGCACTTTGGGAGGCCAAGACGGGCAGACTGCTTGAGCCCAGGAGTTTGAGACCAGCCTGGGCAATGTGGCAAAACCCCATCTCTACTAAAAATACAAAAAATTAGCTGGGTGTGGTGGCATGCATCTGTAATACCAACTACCCCAGCAGGCTGAAGTGGGAGAATCACCTGAGCCAGGGAGGTCGAGACTGCAGTGAGCTGTGATCATGCTACTGCTCTCCAGCCTGGGTGATAGAGTGAGACCCTGTCTCAAAAAATAAAGATACAAATAAAATAAAATAGTACAACTGCTTGGGAGAACTACTGGAGTTTATTTTAAATCTAAACAAACACCCACCATTTGACCCAGCAATTCTACTGTTATGTATTTACTGAAGTACCATAAAAACATAGGCCCACAAAAAGACTTGTACACAAATGTGAATAGGCGTAAGTAGCTAGTGGCCACCATAATGCTGTTGGATTTGATTGCTCAAAAGCTTGTGGAAGTCTACATTGGAATAATAGGTTGCCTTTTTAAAAGGCTTGTATCCAAATGTGCGTAACAGCTTTATTCACGATTGCTAAAAATTGGAAACAATTCAAGTAATCCATCAACTAGGAAATGGGTAAACAAAATTTGTTCTCTTCATAGAAAGGGATAGTAATAAAAAGATTGAAATTACTAATAGATGCAACAACATGGATGAGTCTTAAAATCACTGTGTAAAATAAAAGCTGGATGCAAGAGTGCCTACCATATGATTCATTTATATAAAATTTTTAAACAAAGAGAACTAATTTATAGTTACAGAAAGCAGATCAACGATGAACTGGGACTGAGGTGACTGCAAGTGGGGGACTAAAACACTTTCTGGGGTGATGGACAGGTGTTATATCTTGTTTAGGTGCATGCATTTGTCAAAAGTTGTCCAACTGAATGCTTAAAATGTATGAATGAGTTTTATTGTATGTAAATTATACCTCAATAACGTTTATTTAAAATGAATTGGCCGGCACGGTGGCTTACGCCTGTAACCCCAGAACAGCACTTTGGGAGGCTGAGGCGGGTAGATCACCTGAGGTCAGGAGTTCAAGACCAGCCTGGCCAACATGGTGAAACCCTGTCTCTACTAAAAATACAAAAAAAAAAAGAAAAAAAAATTAGCCGGGCGTGGTGACAGGCACCTGTAATCCCAGCTACTCGGGAGTCTGAGGAAGGAGAATTGCTTGAACCCAGGAGGCGGAGGTTGCAGTGAGCCGAGATCGTGCCATTGCACTCCAGCATGAGAGACAGGGCAAGACTCCGTCTCAAAAATAAATAAATAAAATGAATCAAAAATAAAAATATAAAAAAATAGCAGAAAAGAAAAAAGGACAAGAATAAAATAAAAATAAAGAAAAGAAAAATAAAGAAAAAAATAAGAAACTTTGTGGTAAAAATAATAAAACAGTAAAATAGGAAGAGCACACAGAATGGGAAGAGAAATGGACCAAGGTGAAAACCGTGAAGAGCTGTCGAACTTGAAGAATAGAAAAGGAAGAATGAGCAGAGATGCACAGGCAGAGGTCAGAATGAAGTCCTCTGGGGGTCAAAGAAGTAAGAAGCTTGGTGGCCACAGACAGCAGAGAGTTAAAAGAGCCAAGGGGGCCAGCCAGTAAGATTAATGCCTGGAGAGGGCTGTAGGATGGGGCCCGAGTGGAGAAGTGACTCCTGAGAGGCCAGTTCTGAAGGTGGGTTGAGGGGTGATAACTTGGGCTGAGGGAGCAGAGAAGGAGCCTTCGGCAGCTTTGTCAGGGAGCCTGGGGAAGGAGAGTGGGCTCCAACAGGAGGCTGCTGGGAGAACCCCAGGGGAAACCCACCTGGTGGCCTCAATCTCCTGACACTGTCTTTCACGTCTTCATTCCTACACAGGGATAGATATTGCTATTTGACCACTGCCCCTGCACAAGGTGTGCCAAAAGTCCCCAAGCCCCTTTCCCATAAGAAGTTTACTGTATGTTTGCACTGAGGAAAGCTAAATAAGCTAGGTGAATTCCCCACCCCAAATTCCTAGGGATGCCGCTGGCTTGCCCCACCAAATCGGTCTCTCCTATCTGCCTGTATTGCTGGTGGGAATGTACTTTGGTTTGACTTCCATAGGAGCTGGTTTGGCAAAAACTATCAAAACTACAAATGCACACTGGAGGTACAAATACAACAGGAGGTATTTATGCTACGATAAACTTGCACACGGATGAAACCATGTATGTACTTGGTTATTTGTTGCCTCATTGTGATGCTGTTTGATCAAAACAGACCCAAATGCCCCTCAAGAAGGCCATTAGATAAATACTAATATGTTTTGTTTTGTTTTGTTTTGTTGAGATGGGGTTTCACTCTTGTTGCCCAGGCTGAAGTGCAATGGCATGATCTTGGCTCACTGCAACCTCTGCCTCCTAGATTCAAGTGATTCTCCTGCCTCAGCCTCTCGAGTAGTTGGGATTACAGGTGCCCATCACAACACCCAGCTACTTTTTGTATTTTTAATAGAGACAGGGTTTCGCCATGTTGGCCAGGCTGGTCTTGAACTCCTCACCTCAGGTGATCCACCCACCTCGGCCTCCCAAAGTGCTGAAATTACAGGCATGAGCCACCTCACATGGCCGTATTTTTTTTTTTTTTTTGAGACAGAGTCTTGTTCTGTCGCCCAAGTTGAAGTGCAGTGGCGCAATCTTGGCCCACTGTGACCTCCGCCTCCCAGGTTCAAGCAATTCTCGTGTCTCAGCCTCCCAAGTAGCTGGGATTACAGACGTGCACCACTATGCCCAGCTAATTTTTGTGTTTTTAGTACAGACGGGGCTTCACCATGTTGGCCAGGCTGGTCTCGAACTCCCAACCTCAGGTGATCAGCCTCAGCATCCCAAAGTGCTGGGATTACAGGCGTCAGCCACCATGCCCAGCCTTAATATGTATTAAGTATGTATATTCATCTTAGTCCATTTGTGTTGCTATAAGAAAATACCTTAAACTGGGTATTTTGAAATTTATTTATTTATTTATAGACAGGGTCTCACTGCTACCTTCATCTTCCAGGCTCAGGCTATCCTCCCACCTCAGCCTCCCGAGTAGCTGGGACCACAGGCGAACACCACCACATCCAGCTGATTTTTTGTGTTTTTGGTAGAGAGGGTTTCACCATGTTGCCCAGGTTGGTCTCAAGCTGCTGAGCTCAGGTGATCTGCCTGCCTTGGCCTCCCAAAGTGCTGGGGTTACAGGCATGAGCCACCAGGCCCAGCCTTGAAACTTATTGTATTTATTACAGCTCTGTTGACTGGAAAGTCCAAGATCCATCATTGCTGCCTGGTGAGGGATGCTCTCTGCTTCCAAGATGGCACCTTGCCGCTGTGTGCTCACATGGTAGAAAGTGGAAGGACAAGAGACTGCTCCCTTCAACCTCCAGCCCTTTCATAAGGCTGCTAATCCCAGTCATAAGAGCAGAGCTCTCATGACTTAATCACCTCCCAAAGGCTATACCTCTTAATACTGGTACATTGGGGATTTCATTTCAACAGGAATTTTGGAGGGGATTGCATATTTATTGTACTTTATTCATAATTTAATATCTATTTTAAAAATTATAGCCACATGCATGCAATGGATACTATTCAGGCACAAAAAACAGGATTCTCTCTATATACAGACATCGAAAGTCTTCCGAGTTATATTATCAAGTGAAAAGAAAAGCAAGACACATAACAGTTATATAGTACAAAATCTTTTTCCTTTTTTTTTTGAGACAGAGTCTTGCTCTGTCACCCAGGCTGGAGTACAGCGACACAATCTTGGCTCACTGCAATCTCCGCCTCCCAGGTTTAAGAGATTTTCGTGCCTTAGCCTCCCAGGCAGCTGGGACTACAGGCATGCACCACCACACCCGGCTAATTTTTGTATTTTTAGTAGAGACAGGGTTTTGCCATGTTGGCCAGGCTGGTCTCAAACTCCTGACCTCAAGTCATCCTCCCACCTTGGCCTCCCAAAGTGCTGGGATTACAGGTGTGAGCCACTGCACTCAGCCTACAGTACAAAATCATTTGTGGGGTTTTTTTTTAAAGGTATGTGTATGGAAGCTGGGTGTGGGAGGCTTACACCTCCCAGCACTTTGGGAGGCTGAGGCAGGAGGATTGCTTGAGCTCAGGAGTTTGAGACCAGCCTGGCCAACATGGTGAAATTCCATCTCTACGAAAAATGCAAAAATAAGTCGGGTGTGGTGGTGTGTGCCTGCAGTCCCCGCTACTCAGGAGGCCAAGGTGTGAAGGTCGCTTGAGCCCAGGAGGCTGAGGCTGCAGTGAGCTGTCATTGTGCCACTGCGTTCCAGCACAGGCGACAGAGCAATATCTTCTCTCAAAATTTTAAAAAAGGTGTATGGGGTAGGGTGTAAAAGAATATATTTGCTCTGTCACCCAGGCTGGAGTACAGCGACACAATCTTGGCTCACTGCAATCTCTGCCTCCCAGGTTTAAGTGATTTTCGTGCTTCAGCCTCCCAAGCAGCTGGGACTACAGGCACGCACCACCACACCTGGCTAATTTTTGTATTTAAAATACACCTCCCCCATAAAGTCTTTGCAGGTGTTGGGGAGTGAACCCAGGAGGTGGAGCTTGCAGTGAGCCAAGATCACGCCACTGCACTCCAGCCTGGGTGACAGAGCGAGACTCTGTCTCAAAATAAATAAATAAATAAATAAATAATTTAAAAAAAAACTTTACTCTTGGGTTCAATACTGGGGGATTGCAAATTAAACTGAAAAAAAGACAGATTAGCAAGAAAAAAGAGTTTAATTACCCGGGGAATGCACAGACACATAGAAGTGCTCAATGACGGAGTGGTTAGAACTGGGGGCTTATATGCCTTAGAAGGAGAATAGGAGGGCTACCATGGGAAGAACAAATAGATTTACAAATGGGTTTTTAGGAGAAGAAACAGGGTATTTTAGAAGTTTGTGATGAGGTTTATTTATGCAGGTGCAAATAGTCTCTGTGTCTTCCTCATGGCCATGAAACTCCCCTGAATAGAAGATTTGTGGTAGGTTTATTCTTGGTCCCTCTCCTGGAAGTGGAAGCTGCCCCAAAGACAGAATGTATGGCAGTCTTCAGTTCCAAGTGGGCCGCACACAAGGATACACAAGAAACTGATAATAGTGGTTACACATTTGAAGGGCAGGGGATAGAGGTGAATGAAAACCAAGAAGTTGTGAACAGGGACTTGGGAAGACGTTTTTAGAAATTTTTTCATCTTTATTTTTTAAATTTTAGAAAGATATGAATATATTGCCCATTCAGAAACAAACAAACAAACAAAAAACCCTAGGTTCTAAGAGTGATTGTAATTCATTTAAGGAGTGGTTTCCCCCTATTTAGGAAAAGATGGATCGTGCCTCATTAGCAAGGCCTAGTGGGATTCAGCCCTGAGGGAGGTGCAGGAGATTTTATCATCATCTTTGTCAGCATCACTGCACTTTCTACAGAGAAGGTTACAGAACAGGGTCAGGTCGTCGCCCTTTCTACTTTGCTTAGAGGGACGCTTACAGCCTGTGTCAGCTGTCAGTCCCAAGACCTCTGTCTCCCCAGTCTCCTCCAGCCTCCAGAAAAACAAAGGCAGCTGTGGAGGGTAGAGGATGGGCTAGGGGTGGGACCCAAGACTCACTGGACAATGGAAACCTTTCCCCTTCAAGCAGATGTCAGGATTATTATTTGCACTTTGCATGTGGAAAAGAAGGACTGTAACACGCTGACAAATGCCTGCATCTTGTTCTAAAATTCCTGACTTGTTGCCAATAAAAGAATCAAAGTGCTTTCTAGCTCAGAGAAAAAGCTGCTGCTAATTTGAAGAAGATTCCAGAATAGAAATTCAGGTCAACCAAAGGTTTTTCAGACAGAGTTGATGAGCAGGTCTTACATGGCCTGAAATTCAAAGATACAAACCAGAGAAAGAAGAGATCAAAGCTCTTGTCCTGGGGACACATTAAAAACTAGATCTGGACACATCTCAGTTCTGGAGCCAAGCAATTCCTCCCTCAGGGTGTCGAAACTAGTCTTCTCCTCAGCCTAGAGCCCTCCTCTCTAAACCTGCTTATTCTGGCCCTGTCTTCTCATCTTGGTCTCATCTTGGTCTCTTTGAGGTAGAAAATCAGCAGGACTTATTTTCTGAGCACCTGTAAGGCCCCTGCTGATCAAAACTAGGATGCAGGGCCGGGCATGGTGGCTCTCATCTGCAATCCCAGCACTTTGGGAGGCCAAGGCGGGCGGATCGCTTGAGGTCAGGAGTTCGAGACCAGCCTGGCCAACATAGTGAAACCCCGTCTCTACTAAAACTACAAAAATTAGCCGGGTGCATTACGCGTGCCTGTAATCCCAGCTACTCAGGAGGCTGAGGCTGGAGAATTGCTTGAACCCGGGAGGCGGAGGTTGCAGTGAGCCAAGATCGTGCCACTGCACTCCAGCCTGAGTGACAGAGAGAGACTCCGTCATACACACACACACTCACACACACAAAAACAGGATGCAGTAAAGAAGCCAGCTGAAACCAGTACATGGCCACCAAAGTGACCTCTGGCTGCCCTCATTTTTCATTAC
This sequence comes from Homo sapiens, assembly GCF_000001405.40. Lineage (NCBI taxonomy): Eukaryota > Metazoa > Chordata > Mammalia > Primates > Hominidae > Homo > Homo sapiens. The sequence continues at coordinate 17,910,970 of NC_000020.11, forward strand.
TAAATAGACTCCCACCGGTGCCGTGACAGTTTACAAATACCATGGCAATGTACCGTGGCAATGACCCAGAAGTTACCTTATATGGTTCCAGGAACTCTCCACCCTTTTTCTAGAAAATTCTGAATGACTCACCCCTTCATTCGCATATAATTAACAGTGGGTATAAATAGAACTCCAGCAATCCAAGCGGTAGCTCCTGCTCTGATTCCTCCTCCACATTGCTACTGCTGCCTCACACTGCCACTGTTGCTCAGGACTGCTCTGTGGAGCAGCCAGTTTGCTGTACACTGCTCCTCTGGGCTACTCTGGGCTACTCTGTCTATGGGACAGCTCTGCCCTGTCTGCGGAGCCACCATTTTGCTATACACTATTGCTCTAATAAACTTGCTTTCTTTCACTGTCAACTCACTCTTGAATTCTTTCTTGAGCAAAGCCAATAACCCTCCCAGGCTAAGCCCCAATTTTGGGGTTCATCTACATCAGGCTCAGAGAGACCTTCTCCGATCATCCAAAATATACAGTCCATCCAATGTATCTAACATATTTCCTATTTTATTCTCTTCATAGCACTGACCACAAATGAATTCTTACTTATTTGCTTATCATCCTTCTCTTCCAGCTAGAATGTGCTCTCATGGTACAGTCGTACTGTTTTGTCTCCCTATGTCCCCAGTGTTTAGAACAGTTACTTAGTACACAGCAGGTGCTCAATCAATATAGGCTCAGTTAATGAAAAAATGATTAAAAGTTAAACTTGAGATGTCTGTGAAATATCCAAGGAGTGGTGTCAAGAAGAGAGTTGTCAAGTAGTCAAGTGTGGGAAAGATCCAACCTAGAGGTACATATTTGGGTATTACTGGAACAAACTCAGTTTTTTTAAAATTGATAAAAATTGATGACAACAGCAAAGGAGAATTTAAAGAAGGAAGAGCCTGAGCTCCAAGGAGCCCAAAATTTACAGGTTGGGTGGAGAAAAGGGAACAAGCAAAGAAGAGTGAAAGAGATCAGTGAGGTAGAAGGAAATCCAAGAGATAAGTTATCCCAGAGGCTAAGAGACAAGACTGTTTCAAGGATGAGGAAGCAGCCACCTATGTGGAACACCACCATTGGAATTGCCAGCATGGAGATTGTCTGGGCCCTGATAAGAGCAATTTCAAGGCAGCGGTGAGGGCAGAAACCACTGGTGGATGGGAGGTGAGGCAGTGGGAGCACTGAGTGTCAATGACTTCAGAAGTTTAACTGAGAAGACCAGCGGATAAATTGGATGTAGCTATAGGCAGATATAGCTCAAAGAAAAATTCTTAGCCAGGCGCAGTGGCTCACACCTGTAATCCTAACACTTTGGAAGGCCGAGGGGAGCAGATCACCTGAGGTCAGGAGTTTGAGACCATCCTGGCCAACGTGGTGAAACCCTGTCTCTACTAAAAATACAAAATTGCTTGAACCTGGGAGGCGGAGCTTGCAGTAAGCTGAGATCGTGCCACTGCACTCCAGCCCGGGTGACAGAACAAGACTCCGTCTTAAAACAAAAAAAAAAAAGGAAAAATAAAAGAAAGGTTCTTTTTCTGCTCAACTTTTTATTTTTATTTTTATTTTTTTTAAATTGGAAGAATTATATTACCAGATTTTAATACTTATTACAAAGCTATAGTCATCTTGACTTATGTGGTATTGGCAAAAGGAGAGATGTACAGATCAATGGGAGAAAATAAAAAGTCTAGAAATAGACCCATACCAATATGGCTAATTCCTAAAAATGAAAAACCTACAGAAAAGTTGAAAGGATAGAACAATGAACACTTCTGTACCCTTCACTTTAATCATTTGTCAACCCTTTGTCACATTTAATTCCCATGCACATACCCGCATGTATTCACTTTGGGGTAAATCACTGGAAATAAAGTTGCAGACCCCCCTGTATATCAGCATGCTTTTCCTAAGAACGAGCTCATTCTCCCACATGACCTCATGATATATCCCACTCAAAGAAATTTAGCATCAAAGTTATCTAATAAAGAGACCATATTCACATTTCCCCAAATGTTTAAAAATGTCCTTTGTAGCTTTTTCTCTGGTCCAGCATCCGATCAAGAGTCATGCATTCCATTTGGTTGCCACATCTCTGTAGTCTCCTTTAATCAGAAACAGTCCCCTGTATTTTTCTGTCTTTCATGCCACTGACATTGGAGAGTTTGGGCTGGTTGTCACGTAGCATGTCCCACATTCTGGATTGTCCTGATTTTTTTGTCATGATTGGATTCAGGTTAAACATTCTTGGCAAGAATATCACAGAGATGATATGAACTCTTAAGGGTGAATCTCTGTTAAAGGTGGACAACACTCAGCCTACTTAAATGCTGACAAAAAGGATCCAGTAGATGGGTGATAGAAATTGGAAGGAAATTTGGACGGGGAAGGAAATTAGAAAGATGAATGAAGTAATGAAGTTTTGAGTTGGCAAGAGAGGTGGAGTCAGAGCACAGGCAAAGGGGTTTGCCCTGACAGGGAGCAGACGCATTTCGTCGGTCGTAACAGACGAGAAGGAGAAGATGCTGACAATGAATGTGGTCTGAAATCGGGAGAAGGAGTGTGTTTGGATTTGATGGCTTCTTTTTGGATTTGACGGTCTTCTTCTCAGTAAAATAAGGCAGCATCTGCGGGTGAAACTGACAGTAAGAGTAGAAGAGTGGAGGGGAGTTTAGAGGAAGAGAAAGTATGACAAAGTCATTGGTGGCAGTGGCAAAGCAGGCTTCCTGGAGAAATATAAAAAGCTAGGCATACTGTTAGTGGGAATGTAAACTGTGGAAAACAGTATTGTGGTTCCTCAAAAAATTAAAATAGAATTACCATATGATCCACCAAGTTCACTTCTGGGTTTATACTCAAAAGAATTGAAATCAGAACTTTTAAGAGACATTCATACACCCTGGTTCACAGCAGCACTATTCACAATAGCCAAGAGCTGGAAGCAACTCAATTGTCTGTCGATGGACGAATAAACAAAATATAGAATACACAGTGGAATATTATTCAGCCTTAAAAAGGAAGAACAGTTGGGTGTGGTGGCTCATGCCTGTTATCCCGGCATTTTGCAAGGCTGAGGCAGGCGGATCACCTGAGGTCAGGAGTTCAAGACCAGCCTGGCCAACATGGTAAAACCCTGTCTCTACTAAAAATACAAAAATTAGCCAGGTGTGGTGGTGCATGCCTTTAATCCCAGCTACTCAGGAGGCTGAGACAGGAGAATCACTTGAACCTGGGAGGCGGAGGTTGCAGTGAGCCGAGATTGTGCCACCACACTCCAGCCTAGGTGACAGACAAGACCCCATCTCAAAAAAAAAAAGAAAAGAAAAGAAAAAGGAAAAAGGAAAGACATTCTGACACATGCTATATCATGAATGAACTTTGAGGACATTATGCTAAGTGACATTAGCCAGCCACAAAAAGACAAATACTGTATGGTTCCATGTATGTGACATCTCTAGAGTAATAAAATTCATAGAAGCAGAAAGTAGAATGGTGATTAGCAGGGGCTTTGTGGAGGAGTGGGCAATGGGGAGTTTTTTAATGGGAATAGAGTTTCAGCTTGGAAAGGAAAAAATTCTGGAGCTTGGTCGAACAACAATATGAATGTACTTAACACTACTGTATTGTACACTTAGAACTGGCTGAGGTAAAATTTGTGTTGTATGTTTTCTTACCACCATAAACAAACAAACTAACACAAATATACATACACCTATGGAGGGAAAAGAAGTTAGGCAGGCCATGTTTAGTATCCAATTGATGCTTGAGATAATTCATTTATAGAGAAATTAGCTGATTAGCTAAGTTACAAACTTTTCTCCAGCAATATTCTGCTGCTCAGGTATGTAGGTAGAGAAGGGAAATATTTGTGTTCATTCAGGATGGGGCTCTACAAAGAGAGAGGGGCCAGGGAGCTGAAGGAGTTTGTGAAGAAGTGTGGTAGATTGTCTTACTGTCCAATAAGAATTTTCTCCTCCTGCCTTCCCTGACCCCAACCCAGGGCATGGAAAAGAGTTCCCTGCCCACATTGCCCTTGGGCTTGACCATTGACTTGTTTTGACCAACAGGCTGGCAGAAGTGTCAGGGTGCCTGTCCCAAGGCTGGGCCTTAGGAAGTCTTGCATGTTCCCCTCCTTCTCTTATGCTCCTGCCATCTGCCATGGAAAGAGCTTGCCCCAGCCAGCCACGGCTCCTTCACTGCGGTCGTAGAATAACAGACCCCCAAGCACCAAGCCCAGTTGTTAAGCACCAGACCAGTGGGACTCTTGGGAGGAAGGACACTGTGCTGGGTAAGCCACTGAGATTTGGGGGCTTCGTCAGGTGGATTTCACTATGTGAAACAGTTTTGTACCCTGTTTCTCTCCCTCAACAAGAGATCTTGAGCATTTGGCCAGGTGCAGTGCCTCCCACCTGTAATCCCAGCACTCTGGGAGGCCGAGGTTGGCAGGTCACTTGAGGTCAGGAGTTTGAGACCAGTCTGGCCAACATGGTGAAACCCCATCTCTACTAAAAATATAAAAAATTAGCTGGGTGTGGTGGCGGGTGCCTGTAATCCCAGCTACTTGGGAGGCTGAGGCAGGAGAATCACTTCAACCAGGAGGCAGAGGTTGCAGTGAGCTGAGATCGTGCCATTGCACTCCAGCCTGGGCAACAGAGCAAGACTCCATCTCAAAAAAAAAAAAAAAAAAAGAGAGAGCGAGATCTTGAGCATTTAAAACTTCAAGGACATTATTCTCAATGGCTGAATATTCCATTTAATAAATAACATAATTTACTGAATGGTTCTTTCATTATTGGGACACTTAGAATTTTCCATGTTTTCATTGTATTGCAGGAAATAAAATGAAATAACATTGCAGGAAATATTGTATATAAATTCCAAATACAAGGTATAAATACTTTTAAATTTATATTTTGACCCCAGTACAATATGCATATGGATTTTTAAAAATCAAACAAAAAATAACAAAAGATTAGTGGATATTTGAACAAAGCCTCTAAAAATCAAGGACAGAAACTGTGAGGTATTGCTAGGATAGCCCCAGTTTCTTCTACCAGGAGGTTGAATTAATAATTTCACCACAGCCGGGCAGAGTGGCTGATGCCTGTAATCCCAGCACTTTGGGAGGTCGAGGCAGGCAGATGACTTGAGGTCAGGAGTTTGAGACCAGCCTGGGAACATGGCGAAACCCCGTCTCTACTAAAAAAAAAAACAACAAAATTTAGCCGGGCGTGGTGGCGTGCACCTGTAATCCCAGCTACCTGGTGAGGCTGAGGCATGAGAATCCCTTGAACATGGGAGGCAGAGGTTGTAGTGAGCAGCTGAGATCACGCCACTGCACTCCAGCCTGGGTGACAAAGTGAGACTCTGTCTCAAAATAATAATAATAATTTCACCACCACTGAGATGATCTCGTGACATGTTTTGTCCAACAAAATGAGGCAGAAGTGACATTATACAGTTCTGATCCTGGGTCTCAGGAGGCCTGGGGTTTCTGCTGTGTTGCAGAACCCTGCCCAGCCATCCTGAGAACAGCCCAATCTGGCCTGCCTGATGGAGGATAAGAAACCACATGAAGCAGAGCCAAGTAATACCAGCTGAGTCCTAAAAGCTCCGCCAGCCCCAACTAACCACCAGCTGCCTTTCTACAAGTGAATGATCCCAAGCAAAGTCAGCAGAGCCCAATATAAATCAGCAGAACAAATCAACCAACCAACCAACTGGTAGACTTGTGACTAAAAACAGATGATACTTTTATATGTCACTAAGACTTTGTAGTTGTTTATTAGGCAGCGTCATTGTGCCAGTAGATAACCAATACAGGAATCAAAACTTTAAAAACAGGAAAAGAAGCTTCCTTCCAGTTTTCAATCGGACATATGAGGAACTTGGAAGTCATGACTCCATCTTAATAAGTTAAAAAAACCGAACAAACTAAAAATCAGCAACTCTTGGCTGGTTGCAGTGGGTCATGCCTGTAATCCCAGCACTTTGGGAGGCTGAGGTGGGAAGATTGCTTGAGCTCAGGCGTTCGAGACCAGCCTGGGAAACATGGGGAGACCCCCGTCTCTACAAAAATAAAAAATAAAAATAAGCTGGGTGTGGTGACGTCTGCCTGTAGTCCCAGCTACTTAGGAGGCTGAAGTGGGAAGATTGCTTGAGTCTGAGGGGGTCAAACCTGCAATAAGCCAAGATTGACTGGGTGACAGAGTGAGACTGTCTCAAAAAAAAAAAAAACTTCTTAGATCTGTCACAGAATTGAGGTCACAGGGCAAACCACTGCCTCCAAAATTGGAGAGACAGACAGATCGTACAGAGAATCACAACTTATCACTGCAGAGTCACAGGTGCAGAGACCTTGCTAGGAACAAGTACAGGGACAGGAAAGCCTGAACTGCAATTTACAAATTGCTGGAGGCTCAGTGTGGACAAGTCTAAGAGTTTAAAACTCCGGGGATGGGGCCAGTCTTGAAGGGCATGCCCATACTTTTGGTTTCTTGGGGGTTTTTTTGTTTGTTTGTTTTGAGACAGGGTCTCCCCCTGTTACCCAGGCTGGAGTGCAGTGGCACAATCTCGGCTCACTGCAACCTCCACCTCCCAGGTTCAAGCGATCCTCTCATCTCAACCTCCTGAGTACCTGGGATAACAGGCGTGTGCCACCACGCCCAGCCAATCTTTGTATTTTTAGTAGAGATGGGGTTTCACCATGTTGATCAGGCTGGTTTCAAACTCCTGACCTCAAGTGATCCACCCACCTTGGCCTCCCAAAGTGCCAGGATTACAGGCATGAGCCACCGCGCCCAGCCACATGCCATACTTTTGTGAGTTTTACCTTCAGGAGTTCTACTGGTTTCTCACAGTAAAGACTGGAGAAAACCCCCCTCATGAGGTTTCTTACAAAGCTAACCATTCTCCTACCATACCATTTTCATCAATCACACTCCTTAGTATTTACTCAAAGGACTTGAAAATGTGTCCATGCAAAAACCTGCATACTGACGTTTATAGCAGCTTTATTTGTAATTGCCAAAAGTTGGAAGCAACCAAGATGTTCTTCAGTAGGTGAATGGGTAAATAAACCAGTACATCCAGAGAACGGAATATTATTCAGGGCTAAAAAGGAATGTACTCTCAAGCTATGAAAATAAATAGAGGAATCTTCACTGTTTATTACTTAGTGAAATAAGCCAACCCGAAAAGGCCGCATGCTATATGATTCTAACTATATGGCATTCAGGAAAAGGCCGAACTATGGAGACACTAGAAAGTTCAGTGGTCTCCAGGGTTTGGGAAGGGTAGGGAGGGGTAAACAGGCAGAGCATACAGGATTTTTAGGGCAGTGAAGCTATTCTGTGTGATACTATAATGATGAATGCATGTCATTATACATTTGTCAAAGCCCAAAGAATGTATAATACCAACAGTGAGCCCTAATGTAAACTTGGACTTTGGGTGACAACAATGTGTCAGTGTAGGTTCAACAATTGTCACAAATCTACCACCCTGGTACGGGGTATTGCTGACGCAGAAGACTGTGTGTTGTGGGTTGGAGGAAGGAGGTATATGGTAGCTGTACTTTCTCTTCAGTTTTGGCTAAACTGTTAAAAAAAATAAGTGTTCTTAAAAAATGATCATGCCAGGTGCGGTGGCTCACGCCTGTAATCCCAACACTTGGGGAGGCCGAGGCAGGCGGATCACGAGGTCAAGAGATCGAGACCACCCTGGCTAACACGGTGAAACCCCGTCTCTACTAAAAATACAAAAAATTAGCCGGGCGTAGTGGCGGGCGCCTGTAGTCCCAGCTACTCGGGAGGCTGAGGCAGGAGAATGGCGTGAACCTGGAAGGCGGAGCTTGCAGTGAGCCGAGATCACGCCACTGCGCTCCAGCCTGGGCGACAGAGCGAGACTCCATCAAAAAAAAAAAAAAAAAAAAGATCAAAAGTCTCAAAGCAACAATGTAAGGTCCCACCTCAAGAACTTAAAAAAAGAAGAGCAAAATAAACTCAAAGCAAATAGAAGAAAGAAAATAATAAAAGCAGAACTTAATGGAAACAAAAACAAAAAAAAATAATAAAGTCAATAAAACAAGGAGTTGATTCTTGGAGAAAACAACAAAATTGTCAAAACTTTACCAAGACTGAGAAAGAAAAAAGGAAAACACAAATTACCAATATCGGGAATAAAACAGAGGCTATCAGTAGACATTGCAGACATCGAAAGAATAACAAGAAAATATTACAAACTGCTCTACACATATAAATTTGATAACACAGATTGCACAAAAAGAAAGTAAAATACTCAGATATACATCTATCAAAACTTTCCGGCCGGCACGGTGGCTCCATGAGCCGTGTTCGTGCCACGGCACTCTGGCCTAGGCAACAGAGCAAGACCCTGTCTCAAAAGTACAAATTTAAAAAAAAAAACTTGCACAGGATCTGTAGGCTGAAACTACAAAATGCCAGTGAAAGAAATCAAAGATCTAAATAAATGGAGAGGCATCACATGTTCATGAATTGGAAGACTCATCACAGAAAAGATGTCAGTTCTCCATAAAAATTGCATAGGTTTAAAAAAATACCCATCAAAACCCCAGCAGAGTTTTTTGTAGATATAGACAACATTAGTTTAAAATGTATCCAGAAAGGCAAAAGAATAGCTAATACAATTTTGAGAAAGAGAAATAAAATGGGAGTAATCAGCCTACCCAATTTCAAGACTTACAATACAGCTACAGTAATCAAGACTGTGTTGTGCTAGTGGAGGAAGAGACACATAGATCAATGGAACAGAGCAGAGTATCCAGAATTAGATGCACAAAAATATGCACGACTGATATTTGACAAAGGCACAAACACAATTCAATGAAGAAAAGTTGGCCTTTTCAGCCGGGCGCAGTGGCTCACGCCTGTAATCCCAGCACTTTGGGAGGCTGAGGCGGGTGGATCACAAGGTCAGGAGTTCGAGACCAGCCTGGCCAACACGGTGAAACCCCATCTCTACTAAAAATAAAAAATTAGCCAGGCATGGTGGCAGGCACCTGTAGTCCCAGCTACTCGGGAGGCTGAAGCAGGAGAATTCCTTGAACCTGAGAGGCGGAGGTTGCAGTGAGCCGAGATCGTGCCACTGCACTCTAGCCTGGGCAACAGAGCGAGACTCCATCTCAAAAAAAGAAAAGAAAAGAAAAGAAAAGAAAAGTTGGCCTTTTCATCAAGTGATACTGGGACAACTGGATAGCCAGAGGCAAAAAATGACCCACCTAAACCCCACACCTTCTACAAAAATTAACTCAAAATGGATTGCAGACTTAAATGAAAAATGTAAAACCATAATACTTTTATAAATAAACAAAGAACATCTCCAGAGTTTAGGGCTTACACTTGATAGCAAAAGCACTATCTGTAAAAGGAAAAAAACTGTATATTGAACTTTATCAAAATTAAAACTTTTTGCTCTGGGCTGGGTGCAGTGGCTTATACCTGTATCCTGGCACTTTGGGAGGCCAAAGCAGGAGGATCGCTTGAGGCTAGGAGTTCAAGACCAGCCTGGGCAACATGGCAAAATCCCATCTCTACAAAAAATTTTAAAATTAGCCAGGCATGCTGGCATGTGCCTGTAGTCCCAGCTACATGGAAAGCTGAGGTGGGTGGATCGCTTGAGCCCAGGAGTCTGAGGTTGCAGTGAGCTGTGATCACACCACTGCACTCCAGTCTGGGTGGTAAAGTGAGACCCTGTCTCAGAAAACTATTATTATTATTATTATTATTATTATTATTATTATTGTTATTGTTATTTTGCTCTGTGAAAGACTGTTGAGAGGGTGAAAGGCAAGCTATAAACTAGGAGATAATATTTGTGAGTCACTTATTCAACAAAGGACAAGTATTTAGAAAACATAAGGAATCCCTAAAACTCAACGGTATGAAAATACGCCATCCAGTTAGAATAAAATGGGCAAAAAATATGAAGAGATATTTCTCTGAAGAGGATGTACAGATAACAAATAAATACATGAAAAGATGCTCAACAATGTCAGCCATCAGGGAGATGCAAATTGAAACCACTATGCGATATTATACACATCTATCAGAATGGCTAAAATACAAAACAGAATAGGGACAACATCAAATGCTGGTGAGGATGTGGAGAAAACGGATCCCTCATACATTGCAGGTGGGAATGTAAAATGAAATAGCCCCCTGGAAAACAGTTTGACAGTTTCTTTAAAAAAAAAAATCTAAACATGCAACTCCCATATGACCCAACAATTTCACTCTTGGGTAATTATCCCAGAGAATAAAAACTTAAGTTCAGATATGAACTTATACATGAATGATTATAGCAGCCTTATTCTCAACAGCCCAAACTAGAAAGAAACCTAATTCCTTTAATGGGAAATGGTTCTAAAAAAGATAGTACTTTTATATCATGGACTACTATTCAGCACTAAAAAGGAATAAACTGGTCAGGCACAGTGGCTCACACCTGTAATCCCAGCACTTTGGGAGGCTGAAGCAGGAGGATCACTGAAGCCAGGAGTTCGAGACCAGCCTAGGCAACATAGTGAGACCCTGTCTCTATTAAAAAAAAAAAAAAATAGCTGGGCATGGTAGTGCAGCCTACAGTTCCAGCTACTCCAGAGGCTGAGGTGGGAGGGTCGCTTGAGCCTGGGAGGTTGAGGCTGCATGATCACACCACTGCACTCCAGCCTGGGTGACAGAGTGAGACACTGTCTCAAAAATAAATAAATAAATAAATAAATAAATAAAAGGAATAAACTATTGATACAAATAATAACCTGGTAGGATTGGCAGAAAATTATGCTAAGTGAAAGAAAGCCAATTATAAAAGTTTATATATTATATGATTCCATTCTTGAAATGGGAAAGTTAGAGAAATGGGTTAAGGAGGGAGTGGCTGCAGGAGGCAAGTGGGTGTGGCTATAAGAGAGCAACACGAAAGATCCTGGTAGGGACAGAAGTGTGTGTATCTGATGTGTTATGTCAATGTCCACATCCTGGTTGTAATATTGTACTGTAGTTTTGCAGGATGTTACCATAGCAGCCAAGGATACACAGGACCTCTAGATTATTTTGTACAGTTACATGTGAATCTAGTATATTTATCTCAAAATAGAAAGTTTAATTGAAAACAATCAAACATTAAAAGATGCATTAAAAGATGGAGTCAGTGACATTTTCCAAAAGTAGAACAGCAATAAAAAAATAAGATGGAAAGTAGGAAACAAACCCACAAGAAAGAGATGGCATTCATTCAGGTGGTCTGAAATTGTGAAGGCTAATTTTATGTCAACTTGACTGGGCTGAGGGATGCCCATGGCTAAACATTATTTCTGGGCGTGTCTGTGAGGCTGTTTCCAGAGGAGATCCACATGGGAATTGGTGAAGTGAATAAAGCAAATGGCCTCCCTCACTTGGGTGGCCATCCTCCAATTCACTGAGAACCTGAATAAAACAAAACAGCAAAAAAGAACAAATTTGCTCTGTTTGAGCTGAAACATCCTTCTCCTGCCCTTGGACATCAGCACCCTTGGTTCTCATGCTTTTGTGCTTAAGCTAAGACGCCACCAGCCTCCTGATTCTCAGGCCTTCTGACTTCCACTGATCTCCACCACCAGCTTTCCTGGGTCTCAGCTTGCAGATGGCAGATCATGGGATTCCTCAGCCTCCATAACCACACAAGTGAATTCCATAAGAAATCTCAGCCGGGCACGGTGGCTCACGCCTGTAATCTCAGCAGTTTGGGAGGCTGAGGCGGGTGGATCACCTGAGGTCAGGAGTTCAAGATCAGCCTGGCCAACATGGTGAAACCCTGTCTCTACTAAAAATACAACAATTAGCTGGGTGTGGTGGCACACGCCTATAATCCCAGCTACTTGGGAGGCTGAGGCAGGAGAATTGCTTGAACCTGGGAGTCAGAGGTTGCAGTGAGCTGAGATCGTACCACTGCACTCCAGCCCTGGCAACAGGGCGAGACTCCGTCTCAAAAAAAGAAACACAACAACAAAAGAAATCTCAATCTTTCTCTCTCTGAAAAAGCAAGAGAGCATGAATGTCATGTTGGTTCTTTTTCTCTGGAGAACCCTGACTAACACAATACAGACATCCAACTCAGAAGAGTTCCAAGAAAGAACAGAGAAAACAGTGGGGAAGGAGATTATCAAGGAACTAATACAAAAAACCACCAGAATGAAAGGAACTTATTTCCCACATTGCAAGATCCATATAAAGGTAAATCATCACAAAATGTCAGAACTCTAGGGTCAAAGAACACAGAGAGGAAAAAGGAAAAGGGTCTTCTGGGGGTTCTGTGGTATAAGCCATATCACTTCTCGCTCCCCTGCCCGCCCCCCGCCCCCGCCCCCGCCCCCCACTGCTGACTGAGGATGCAGTAGCCTCCCATCTGCGAAGTCAATGACCACTCCTCCATCTGCTTCCCAGCTCCATTCTCTGGGGGTCTTGCTCATCTTACTGTCAGTTTAGCCAAGATTCAGGAGAGAGCTGAGCCTAATACCTGGGCTCAGTCTACCCTCTCAACTCAGAAGTCGGGCGCTAGAATGTTACCCTACGTTAGATTCTGAAATCCAAATTTTTGCTTCTGCCTCTGGCCACCTCACAAGGGACTCACGTGCAACCAAGCATCGGCGATGCCTTCCCCACCTCTCAGGCTGCAACCTGGCCAGGGCGGCTCTTTTCACGTGACTTTGCCCTTGATATGCTTGTTCATCTGAGTCCATATGTTACCTGTTTAGCAAGTGGGTGATGGCGTCCCTCTGTGAGGAGGTAGACGGATGCTGAGAAAATTAGTTCCTAGTGCAACTCGAGGGGTGGGGAGAGGCTTTTGCCTGCCTTACATCAACCTTGCTAAGATGTTATTTTTTAATTACACAATAATATTTGAATAATATCACAAAAATTAAACCATTACAAAAGATTCCTCCTATACTTGCCATTTCCAATACCAGAGGCATAAATTTCCAGTCCTTTTTGTATACATTTTCCTAGATGTTTATGTATCCATAAGAAATATATTGTGCTGCTTTAGTGTGGATTTTTTTTTCCTTTAACACATGAGAAAACGGTATGTCATATTGCAGTTTGCTTTTTTTTTCTTTTTCACTCAATAATGTATGTCAGCCACCTTCCCATGTCAGGACTGGCAAATCTCCCATCTTTACATTTTACTATTACATGGAGTTTATAGTAAGGATGACACATTTTATAGCCATTCTGCTTGGGATAGATGTTTCCGTTTTTCCAGGATTTTTGCAAGTGATGGGGCTGCACAGCAGTCTGTGGTCCAAAGCCCCGTGCCGGCCCATAGGTGCAGTTTATTAGCCGTCTACCACAAGATAAGAACAGAAATTTGGGATAGGTGTTGAGAAACTTTTATAGCAATTTGGCGGGGTAATGTCATATCGAATCTTCCAATAAAAATTGGAGGCTTATATTTTCTAAGTCTTTATTTTTTAAATTTTCACTTCTCTAGTAATTCATTTTTACTACAAAAGTAAAAATGTACGTGTTTATGACAGATCAGAAATAAAAACTAGACCACAGTCTGAGCACAGTGGCTCAAGCCTATAATCCCAGCACTTTGGGAGGCCGAGGCGGGTGATCACTTGAGGTTAGGAGTTCAAGACCAGCGTGGCCAACATGGTGAAACCCCGTCTCTACAAAAAATACAAAAATTAGCCAGGCATGGTGGCATACACCTGTAGTCCCAGCTACTTGGGAGGCTGAGGCACGAGAATTGCCTGAACCTGGGAGGCAGAGGTTGCAGTGAGCCGAGGCCGCACCACTGCACTCTAATCTGGGTGACAGAGCAAGACTCCATCTCAAGAAAAACATAACAAACCAAAACAAAACAATAGACCTTGCCCCCAGATTCCCAGATTTTTGAGAAGAGCTGCTTTTGTGGACAGCTTAATGCATGCCTACCCTCTCATTCTCATGTCAGCATCTCTCTGCCATAAATCTAAAGAATGACTCTCTGGGGCACAGGATTTAGACATCATTTATTGTAATCGAGAGTGGCAATTTGCCCCTCAAAAGGCTAGATCCCCACCACCATTGGTATCTTGTTGTAACTCACATGTTCCTGAATACCAACGAGACGGAGCTTCTTTTTGTATGTGTATTATCCATATATATGTCCTTTGAAGCCAGCCTCAAGTCCAGGAAGTCAGCCAAGTCCTGGGTTGTGATAATCCTCCTGCAGCCTCATCTGGTTTGAACTTCCCAGAAGTCCTAGGAGGTGAACCAGGCAGGGATAATTTCCTCTTTAAACATTCCAGTTCCTCCTGTGGGACATTGAGGCTGAGGCTGCACCCAGGCCACATGCATATGTATTTATTGGCAGGGCTGGGCCTGAGACTAGGTCTCCTAGCCTAGAATTCCCTCCAAAGATTCACGAGAGTCCAAAGACTAACACCCATGGCCCGGGTCCAAAAGTTCACTAAGAGGACAGGCTGAGGCTACATGATGGGGGAAGGGGGGAGTCAGAATTAGGGCCAAGAACTAGATCTGGGAGGTCAGGGAGGGAAAGGAGAAACAGTGAGAAACTGTGACGCAGCACAACATATATCTCAGCACTGGGAATGTCTATCTTCTGGCGCTGTCGGAGGAGATAAGTAGATTATCTGTCAGCCCAACAGTCTAAGCAAAGAAGAAGCCAGGAGTTCCTTCCGTCAATTCACCTAATCTTTTAACACTGCTTATCGGTGGGGTCGATGTAACTCAAACCTCCTAAAACAACACGGGGTTTATCCTGTCCGACTCAAGCAATGAACTTGCAACTACCAAGACATCAGGCCAAACCATCACTCATTTTGCTCAGGTGTGCCTTTGTGCAAATACTCACCCTGCCAAGTCTGGGAGGCCATTTCCAGAAACCATGGGTGGTGGGTTGTAATGGCCGGTCTGCCTCGTGGCAGGCAAGCAGGTAGCAGTGAAGGAACATGCCATGAGAAGTGGGTGCAAAGAGAGAAGATCTCAGAGTTGGGTGGAGACTTAGAACCATCTAACCCAATCCTTACCCACATTCATAGGTTCAAGTACCAGGTCTCTGCACCATTTCTAGACATTACTTAGCTTCCCTGAACCTCAGTTTATTCATCTGTAAAATGGGCTCTGCCTGCAGTGGGTGACATTGGGGCTGCACCTGTATCCTGCAGACCCTGATCATCCCTGTGTACAACTTTGCCTGTGTGCTTAGAAGTGTTAGAGAATTCACACTCCCAGGAGCAACCCCCCCAAATAGCCTAACACCCCAACTCCTGAGGGGCAGGATCATTCTTAGGTATGAGTTCTACACTGTCTCCCAGGGACCCCCCATGAGACTGAGCTCCAGCTACCCACAGCAATGAGGTGCTTGACAATACACCCCAAATCAGTCGCCCTCCTCTCCCTCTTTCACTTCCCTACAGCCCCTTGAGATCACTGTCCATATAAAACACTTGCACAAGAATCCATGCAACAGAGTCAGCTTCTGGGGGAACCCAAATTAAGAAACTTTCCAACTTTCTCACAGTGTTGTTGGTAAGATCAGGTACAGCTCTCAGACAAAGGTCGAGGTTATCAGCATGAAACCGTGGCACTATTCTGTGTGCCAGGCAAAGGGAGCCACAGGTTAGTCTGAGTTGGGTATTCTGGGGCTTTTGAACTCTAGGTGGTCACATGGAGACTTTAAGGTAGAATGAACATAAGCCGTAAAAGACAGCAGAGTTGGAGCCTACTGGGCTCCGCCTGGTTTTAACTGCTCCCAACACAACAATCACAACTGCCAATCTCCAAGTTCCAAAGAACTGGCTCTGCCAACGACTCAGAAATAAGTTTTGAGCATAATCTAGCCCGTAGTTGATATCAAGCAGAAGATGTGATCTGTGGTTCTCATAGCTCACAATCTATGCAGAACCCAAAGAGAATATGTAACAATTAACTGAGCAAAACCAGCAGCAAATCCTGGAACATCGTGTGGAACTAGAAGAAGATGGTGGTTTGTTGAAAGAACACAGGAGCCCTGAAGGAGCTCCAAATGGTCAAGGTTGGAAGAATTTAAACAATAAGAAAAATAATGATAGTTTAGGACAATAACCCATAGAGTTAAATAAATGTCCACAAGTCCACACTGATATAAGTATTTGATTAAATAAGTCAATAGGGAAGTGACAGCTCTTCCTTGCAATGAAAATCCAGTCAATCCATGCGGAAGGAAGGAGCAAAGGAGAAATCAGCATTAGGTCAACACCACAGTGGTGATTGTTGCAGACAAGAGCTGCTAATAGACAACAGAATAGGTGGAAGGTTTGAGGAAAAAAGGGGTTTGCAAAGCCTTAAGTATCTCTTCCAGGAGGTTTGTTGACAAGGGTGGGGTTTGGGGACAGAAAAAACATTACCAAGGAAAAGCCCATCAGAGACCACTTGACCAGGTGATCAGGGCCATCATCACAGACGTAAGCCATCAACGCCATGCCCCCGTGACACGTGCAGTGAGCAGGATGCAGCCCCAGGCCTCTGGCGCCCTTGCCTGGGATGCACAACCTGAGCCCAAGTTCAGACAGGCCTGAACTAAGAGACTTCTGCAAAGTAACTGATCAATACTCTTCATGGGTATCTAGGTCCTGAAAGACAAGGAATGACCAAGGAACTATTATAGAGTCTAGAAGACTAGAGAGAAAAAAACAACTATATGCAAATGCGGGATCCTGGATGGGATTCTGGAGCAAGAAAAAGACGTTAATGGGAAAACCAGTGAAGTTCACACGGGATCTTTGGTTTGATTAAGGCTGCTGTACTGAGGTTAATTTCCTGGTTCTGATTACTGTGCTATGGCTTTGCAAATTGTGCTATGGTTTTGCAAGATTGGGGTCAACTGCTGGAGGGACATAGAGAAGTTGCCTGTACCAGGCTTGCAAATTTTCTGCTACTTTTACTACTAGTTTTCTAAAAGTGGGTCAAAATATAAAGGTTTTTTAAAAAAGCATCAAATGTCCAGTTTTTCAGCAGTATCTTTATTAGAAAAGGAACAATCCCCACATTGTGTTGATGTGAGCAGTACTCAAAACTGAGGCAACAGATCTCAAAATATTTTGGCATGTGGGAGTGGGGAGGTAAAGGCTGAAGCCTCCTCTGTCCGAAGCATGCCCCCGAGGCTGGGAGGAGGCAAAAATGACAAATCACATCTGAATCTGTTTGGCAGAAAAAATGTCCAGTGACCTGTCCGAGGGCCAGTCACACATTTATCAGGAGTATTAGCAGCTCCGCATTCCCAGTGCAGGTCTCCCAGGTCCACGCCCTAGCCTCAGCCCAGGACAGGCTCTGATTTCTCCGAAAATGATGTGCAAATCTGTTTCAAACCACATGACCTTTTGCCACAACCTCTTTGTGGCTTGTTCTATTGGATCAGAAGCCAGGAGTATTTTCGGAACATTGCTAATGCTCTGAGCATCTCAGTTCTAGGCCTGTAGGCCACATATGATGTGCGTTGGGCCAGAGGCCCAGGTCAAGGTGTCTCGAGGGAAATTGGAGTCAATGGTGAAGTGAGAAAGCTCTTGTGAGGCCTTTGGCCCCAGTGGGAGGGCCAGGGACAGAGGTGGGCCTGCCTGGTGAGCCCACCTGCAGGCAAGAGGCACCCTGGGGAGGTGCCAGGAAGCAGGGCGCAAGGCAAGGAGGCAGGAACAGCCACGTCTGCTCCTGCCCTTTAAACAAATACCAGGCTGTTCGAGTCCAGAGAAGAAATAAATATTGACAAAGGTGCGGAGCGGCAGGAAGGCCAGGTGGCCGAGGCCCCAGAAGGAACATGGCCTAGATAGGGTCTCCTGGGATGACTGCGAGGAAGCCTCAGCCCCGAGCCACCCTCCCCAGGGGCCCTTGGCGAGGCTGCCTCTACGGAGGTCCTTCCCCCGTCTCGGCAGGTGCTTCGGCACCTTGAGGGCTTGGACTCAGGCTGTCAGGATGAGGAGCCTATCCACGGGATCAGTTGCTGGTGTTTGCCAAAGGTGTGTCCCAGAGGGGCCACCCGTAGCCTCTGACGGTGCCACGGCTGGAAGGCCCTGGCCAAACACCTGTCCCACTTCAACAGCGCGTTCAGTGGATCCCCCAAACCAAAGGGCCTGCTGGCGTTCTTCAGTGAGCTTCTCAAAGTGTGGGTGCAGGGCTCTCAATAGAGGCCCCTGGGCGCTGGGTAAGAGGCACATTCCTGAGCCCACACCTACCCCTCCAGGACACTGCAGGTCGAAGCTCAGGAATGTGCATTTTCACCACCTTCCCTAGTGATTTTAGGCAGAGGGCTCATTAGAGCCAAGTA
Organism: Homo sapiens; assembly: GCF_000001405.40. Taxonomy (NCBI): domain Eukaryota; kingdom Metazoa; phylum Chordata; class Mammalia; order Primates; family Hominidae; genus Homo; species Homo sapiens. The sequence goes on from NC_000020.11 coordinate 17,929,324, forward strand.
ACAGAAGAGGAAGCGAAGTCTCAGAGAGGGAGCAGCACTCTTTGGCAGCACAGGGAGTGAGGGGCAGCGAGGGAGGAGGGTCCAGGGCAGAGTGAAGTGGCCACACCTGCTCTGTCCCTTGGCTGGAAACAGCCTAATGGTCCAGACGACCCCCTGGGCTATGGGAGCTCAAATCACTTCCCGCCAGAAGGCTTCTCTGACCCCTCACCTCCAGCCCAGGGAGATGCCCCTGCCTGTCCCCTGGGCTCCGCGGCCCCTGGGCTTCCTGCTCCCCTGGCACTGGGCACACTGGAATGCAAATAACCACCGACCCTTGAATGTCCCCACCAGCATGGTGCCTGGCGTGTAGTGGATACGGCCGGGATGCAGGTGCTTGAGCCATGCCATCAGGAATCTCTCCCATCATCTCAGTCCTGCCTTCCCTTCTATGGCCCCCTGCAGTCCCCACTAACCCCAGCTTGCCCTGCAGCTCCAACAGAATGGGAGTGCATCCCCAACTATCAGCCCGGCCACAGTCCCGGGGCTCCCTGTCCTTGGACTGCCAGGGGTCAGGTGCCAGTGTGTGAGCCAGTATCTGTGGCTGGATGCAAGGAGATGAGGCTCCCCTAGGCTAGACCCCAGTGCTCTGGCCACAGCTGCATGCGGGGTGGGGGCAGCCTACCAGAAAGGGCAAGACTGGAAGTGGGGAGGTGCCCCACAGGAAAACCGGGATTCTACCAAGGGCAGGAGGCTGGGCAGGCGGAAACCAGCACCATCCACTCCAGCCCACCTGCCCTCCTGACCTCCCACAATGGCTGCTCTGATGACCAGAAGGTTCCTCAGAAGCCAGTTAAATCTGTTTCTCCTACCCCACACACCTGGCTCTGCCTCTTCCTTTGTTCCCTTGGTGGTCCTGAAAGGCTGGCTGGCTGCTGTCACGTTCCCCACCAACCACCCCAAACCCCACTCCCCTGCCCTCGGGGTATCCCTGGTCCCCCCCACCTTCTCATATGTGCAGTCTTCATGTCGTGGATTCCAGACCCCGGCCCTGCTGGCTGCCTGCCCAGCCAAGAACACCTGCCGTGGACACCTCCCCACGCCTGGGCCACCACCTGCCCAGTCCTCATCACCCGCCATCCAAAAAGTCACTCTGGTGTTGAAGACTCATCTAAACCTGGACCCCAAAATGCTACTGGCATTTAGTCACTATTCCACAGGCCCGTTCTGATTATTTGTTATTTTATTTTATTTGAGGCAGGGTCTTGCTCTGTCACCCAGGCTGGAGTGCAATGGTGCAATCACTAGCTCACTGCAGCCTTGATTTTCTGGGCTCAGATGATCCTCCCACCTCAGCCTCCCAAGTAGCTGGGACCACAGGCACACACCACCATGCCCAGCTAATTTTTTTATTTTTTGGTAGAGACAGGGTCTCCCTATGTTGCCCAGGCTGCGTGATTTTAAAAACATAAATATCTCCAAATTATCTGACCCTCCTAGAGATGAAATCTCCCTGTGGCCGCTGTTCTTTTTTTTTTTTTTTTTTTTGAGATGGAGTCTCTCCATGCTGCCCAGGCTGAGCTTGAACTCCTGGCCTCAAGCTATCCTCCTGCCTCAGCCTCCCAAAATGCTGTGACTACAGGTGTGAGACATGGCACCAAGCCTGTGGCCACTTTTTCTTTATTTTCACATGAGATAAAGACACCACCTGAGAAAGTATTTGAGTGTGTGTGTGTGTGTGTGTGTGTGTGTGTAGCTGGGGTATGGAGTCACATGTGCGTGTGGGAAACAAGCCTGAAGGGTTGCTTTGGCACATCACCTCTGGGTCTTGCCATTGCAGTGATTTATTTGCTTTTCTGTATTTTCTACCTTAACATGTAATTTTGGGGAAATTAAAAAATCAATTTAAGAAACTTAATGGATAAACAAAAGACAGTCAATACTGGAAAAGGCACAAATCATGAAGGTAAACCCATAGGCATGGATGTGAATCTCAGCAGTGTGTGGTCTTGGGCAAGTGGCTTGTGCCTTTGCCTCTCTGAGGCCTGGTTTCTCACCCCCCCAAAATGGGGGATTATATAGTAAATGGCAAAAGTGGCTGTAATCTTTGCCACTTCTCCCATCAAAAGATAGAGTTTGTTTTCCCTCCCCCTGAATCTAGGCTGCCCTTGTAAGTTGTTTTGGTTAGTGAAATGCAGGAGAAGGGATGGTGTGCTTGTTCCAAGTGGACCTCAAGGGCCTTGCAGCTTCTACTCACTCTCTTGGAACCCCGCCCAGCTGCCATGAGAACAGCCTGGGCTAGCCCACTGGAGGATGAGAGCCCACACAGAACTAAGACAAGCTATCTCAGTTGACCCCATTCTGAGCCAGCCAGCTGGCCCCAGCAGACCTGGAAGTTGACCTCTGACAACTGAGTGAGCCCAGCTACCAGAAGAACTGCCCAGCTGAGCACAGCCATTAGAAATAAATAGTTTGGGCTGGGTGCAGTGGCTCACACCTGTAATCCCAGCACTCTGGGAGGCCAAGGTGGGTGGATCATGAGGTCAGGAGATCAAGACCATCCTGTGAATGGTGAAACCCCATCTCTACTAAAATTAAAAATACAAAAAAAAAAATTAGCCGGGTGTGGTAGTGGGCACCTGTAGTCCCAGCTACTCAGGAGGCTGAGGCGGGAATGGTGTGAACCCGGGAGGCAGAGCTTGCAGCTAGCCGAGATCATGCCACTGCACTCCAGCCTGGGCGACAGAGCAAGACTCCTTCTCAAAAATAAATAAATAAATAAAATAAACAGTTTGGGGGTAGTTTGTTATGTAGCTAACAACAGCTGACAAACACACTAAACATGCCCCTAACTTATGACCTTTGCCCTTGCTCTTTGCTCTGCCTGAAACCCCACTCCCTGCAAACTCCATGGGCCTTTTCTCTCTCACTGCCTTCAGGTCTCTGCTCAGTGAGGTCTCCCCTGGCCAGTCCATATAAAAAGCCCCTCTCCCATCACTCTCCTTCGTATATATCTTGCCATAGCACTTACCACCTCGCTTCTTTATGTATTTACTTGCTTATTTGTTTATTGTCTCTCTTCCCCCAACACACACACCATGGAATATGAGTGTCATGGGGGCAAGGAGATTCTCTATTTTGTCTACCACTATTAGCGCCCAGCACCTGGTAGGGGTTCAGATATTTGTGGAATAAACAAGTTCATCTTTTGCCTTAGGGGCTCCCATCCAGCTGGCCACAGCGCTCTCACTAAGAAGACGTATTCTGGGCACCTCCCAGCTGCCCGCCTGGCTCTGGGCCCTCAATCCCTGAATGACAGTGGTCACTGCACTTGAATAACCCTCTAGAGTGTAAAGGGACTTCCTCCTTTCCTGCAACCCACTAATGGGGTCTGCAGACCCCACTCTCCAGCCCTGTTTCTCAGGTGAGATAACTGAGGCGGAGAGACTAGTGCAGGTGTAGGGACACAGGTATCTTGTGGCACATCTTGCCTGGTGCTCCCTCAGGCCATTGGACAGAGGCACCTCCTCCCACCACCAAGAGCTGGGCCAGGCATCAGGGATCCCTGGTCTGAGCCTTTTCTTCTCCTAACTTGCATTGAGACCTGAACAGTCCCTAACAGGGAGACAAAAAAAACTTCTCAACAGTGAGAAGCCTCTGACAATCCCAGCACCTCATTAAATAGACTTTCATCATTTCATGCAAAGCTACCAAAGGAAAGAAAACATCAGGGGCTGTTAGACCTTGGCCAGGGGTCCCCTCAACTCTCAGAGCGTCAGGAAGGCTGAGGAAGAGGGGTGAGGGGGAGGGTCCCCCGCAGCCTCTGGCTGGCCTCACCCAGCCATCTCCCATGGCACCTCCTGCCCTGGTCAGAAGCCCTCCTGCCCTCCTGGGCACTCAGGGGAAATCCTCTGCAACTTGGGATGAAAACCACAGAGCAAGAGTCCCTGGAATTCACGTGTGACTGCTTGGTAATGTTGCCTTAGCCCAGCTTTCCCCAAGAGCTGACCCAAAAGGAAGATTCAAGCAGAAGCATTTTGTGGGGGGATGGCCCCAGGAAGCCCCAGTAGGAGTGTGTGCTAACTCTGGGCATTCCCAGCTTGGTGGAGTGTGCCCCTGCCATCAGGGGTGCCCTTGAGAAGAGAGGCAGGCAGGTCCTGATGTAGGATGCCACTGGGTGTGCAGGAAGGAACTGCAGGTGACTTTGGGGGTCCAGGGCCCTGAGGAAAACTGAGAACAGCACTGCTGATCCCAGGGGAGGGGATGGAGAGCAAAGGGTGACTCTAGGGAGGCATTTCAGCAGAGGAGACCCATGAGAAGGGGAGGACCCTCCATCTTCAGGCTGGGTATTGAATTTTCCAAGCCCACCTGGCTAACGACTTTGCCCCCAGAGGCACTTGAGCAAAGGGCCAGCCCCAGCCAGAGCCAGGAGAGCAGGCTCTGCACTGCCGCAGGAGAGCTGCTAGCCCAGCCTGGCTACACCATGGAAGCCCAAAGACAGGAGCTCTTTTACAGAAATGAAACCCCTAGAATTAGTCCCCAGACCAATGGCTCTGCATGCAAAGGCACAGACAGCATAGACTGAAAGTCTACTGTGTGCATAGCTGCAGCCAGGAGATGGGCAGGGGCCCATAAGAGAACACCAAGGTCATGTTCATTAAGCATTCACTGAGGCTGTGCATGGCCTACCTCAGCGCTCACAGCCCCTCCTCCTAGTGGCAACTACGACTCTCCCCTGAGATAGGACCGGTATTCCAAACACCTCTCCGGGGCAGGCAGGGGTGGCAGCCCCTTCACTAACTGGACTCTCCTTTTGTGCTCAGAGTAACCCCCCTCCCATTTTACCAACGTGGAAAGGGATGAGCTTCAGGAGCTTGGCCATGGTCACCGGTGCCAGGGAGTGAGACAGAGGCAGAACCCTGGGAGGCCTGGGTGATTCAAACACATCACAGAGTCTTTACCCTAAGGGAGCTGCAATCCAGCCGGGGAAATAAGACCCCGAGGAAAATGAGCAAGAGCAGTTAAACCGCAACATAAGGCAATAATACAAGGAGGCTACCACCCAGAGCCGGACATTCCACACCCAGCAGTCGGCCTCGCCGCCTCCCGCCCGCTTCTTCTTGTAAGGGCCTTTCTCAAGAAGTGGCTAAAAAGGGACTTAGGATAGCACTTGGCGGACAAAAGGGGTTGTTGGCCCCTGCTCTAAAACATTTGCCAACACATCTTCCCATCCCCTAGGGCTTTAAGAATGATCCCCACCCTTAGCTAGTCAGTGGCTGCAAAGCAGCCCCTTTCATTAAGCCAGGGAGGGGGGTCCAGTGGAAACTGAGCCCCCGATCTTTGGGAAACTGCTGAGGAGGCTATAAAATTAGAGAGAAGGACGAGCAAATTACAGAGAGGGAGTGGGCAGGCAGCAGGGCCTTTCATCAGCCTGATTAGCTAAGGAAAGAGGCCCAGCCATGGGGGAGGAAGGCCAGGGGAGGTCGCCGGCTACCTCCTGGGGGATTGAGGGCCCCTCCAAAGTTCAGGGGCCTCAGCCCAGGCTTCTGCCTTCAGGTCAAACCTGTCCTTGCACAGTAGGGGGAGGACCCAACATTTTACCGGGATGCACCATTTCTCACCCTCTGACTCTGGGGCCTGGCTGAATCTCCTGGAGTCTCATTCTCCTCATCTGTAAAACAGCCCCGGCTCACAGGATGTAACTGTGACTGAACTAAACAAGTGGTTGGTTCTCAACCCTAGCTGTACATCAGGACCACCAGGTGAAGACATGTTAAACCTCCAATACTTAGGCTGTACCCTGTACTATTGATATCAGAATCTTTGGTGGGGGGTGGGGAGGGTTGGGTGGGAACATCCCAAGCACAGGGACAACTGGAACAGAGGGCCTGCGCAGGAGAGCCTGGGGTGTCCTGGAACAGGTGTGGCTGGATGGGGATGAAGGAGAGGGATGGCACAGGAGGGAAGTTCACAGAGGTCAGGGGAGCTCAGCTACACTTGCAGATCACAAACCACCCCACATTTCATGCAGGAAACAACCACAATAAAACCACCACCATTTTATTGTGCTTGGGCTTCTGGGAGGCTAGAGTCTGGACAGGCCTTAGTGGGAATGACTCGTCTCTGTTACATAACATCTGGGGCTTCAGCTAGGAAGATGTGAGTGTCTTGCGGGGGCAACTGTCTAATACAGTAGCCCCTAGGCTCATGTGACTATTTAAACAGAAATTAATTAAAATTAAGCAAAATAAAAACTTAGCTTCCTCAATTGCACCAGCCACATTCCAGGTGCTTAATAGAGAAGTGCCAGACTTGGCTGGGCGCAGTGGCTCACGCCTGCAATCCCAGCACTTTGGGAGGCCGAGGTGAGAGGAACCCTTGAGCTCAGGAGTTCGAGACCAGCCTGGGCAATACAGGTAGACCCTGTCTCTGTAAAAAATAAAAAATTAAAATAATTTTTACAAAAGAGAGAATTGCCATACTTGGCAGATAAAAATACAGGACACCCAGTGAAATCCGAATTTTAAATAATCAACAAATTTTTTTTTAGAATAACTATGTTCCAAATATTGCATGGTATGTATTACACTATATTATTTGTTGTATGGAATTCAAATTTGGCAGTGTTCCATGTTTTATCTAAATCCCAGCTAACATGTGGCTAACGACCACTAGGCTGGACGGCACAGATACCGAACATTCCCGTCACACAGAAAGTCCTTATGAACACTGCTGCTCTGGAGAGGTCTTCACTCACCTGTCTGCTTCCTGGGCTGGGAGGACGTGAAGACGGGGCTTCACTGGAATGTGGGACCTCTGTATCTGGCGTGGGTCCTCACGGATGGCAACCACATTCCAAGAGAGTGGCCCAAGAGCAAGGCTTCCTCCGCTCTGTACCTGGAGGTTACCCGCCAGCGTCACTTCTGTCCTGTTCTGGTGGGTTACACATGTGCCATTCCAGCCAACCCAGGTTCAAGAGGAGGGGGATCCGATTCCTTCTGATGGGAAAGCTGCAAGATCACATTACAGAAGAGTATACGGGACTGGAAATATTGTTGGAAAATACAACGTTGGAGTTGGGGACATCAAATCACGTAGGGCTTTGTAGTTGTTGGAAGGACTGGGGCTTTGAGTCAAACAGGGAGTCATGAAGGGTATTTGCAGAGTAGGGTCACAATCTGACTCATGTGCGAAGAAGATTCCTTTGGCTGTTGCAAGTGAATAAAACGTAGGGGGTGAAGGCAGAGTCTGGGAGTTTCCTTAGGTTGTACCTAGCCCTAAACTAAACTGAAATCAGACCCCAGCCTAGTACTTGGTGGTGGAGTTGGCATGACGATCCCAGCTTCTGGACCCTATTTCCCTCTTCCCTGCAACAAGGACCCTTGCAAGTAGCCCCTCCCCTCACACCAGCTTCACCTCTTGCCCCCAATTCTGAGGCGAGTCACATCTGGTCAGTTTCACTCCCCCGCCCCCTCCTATGGCGACAAGTGCTTTAACAGACAGTGCAAAAGGGGTCAAAAGCACTGCAGACATGAACCAGACTTTAGAAAAACACATAGCGCGAGCCCTGTTGGGATTCGCAGCAGGCGTTTCCAATGTTTTTCTCGAGACTGCAGGCTTGGGATTTCCTGTCTTCTGAGGCATTCGCTGAGCAGGCCAAGATCAGCTTCATAGGAAGGCAGGAATGGGGCTTCCTACATTGCTGTCTGCAGGCTCTCTCTGGCTCCTTTCCTCTCCTCCCCTTAGGGTCTTTTTTGTGTATTCTTTCTCCTACTTCTGACACTTTTTCTGCCCCCAGATAAATGTCCAGCCACCTGCCTCCCAACAGGACTGAATCACGGGATCATGATACAATCAACAAATCCAAGGAGCTGAGAGGCCCCGGGAGCTGCAGCTGCATCCAGCTGGAATCTTGAAGGCTGGCTCTAGCTACGGGTTTCCACCCTCATGCGAAGTGTGCCAACTGCTTCGCAGAAACCTCCTAACTTCAGCAGGGCAGAGCAATGGGAAGCTATGTCAAGAATTGCTATGGGTATCCGGCCTGATTTAGGGGTAACTGATACACAGCCTAACACCGCACAGCACCGTTCTTATTAACTGTTCCTTGACTTTGCCCTGTCTTAGGTTGACCGTCCAGAGCATGGGTCATCCCCTCCCTGTCTTTTTGCAATGTAGAGAGGATGGGGTAAACAACAAACACATGACCTCCATTCCCTCTCCAAACCCCATCAGAACAACTGGAAAGGATCTGCAATGTAACAGTTAAAAAGTAAGGCCGTTCATAAACAGTTCCTGAAACCCAAGCAGCTGGCCAGTCTCCTGCTCCATTTCCTTGCAGCAAGTTTCAGTGGAAACTCTATACCCCAAACCCCCAAATCCCTACCCTTTGACTGATGCGAAAAATCCCCCCAAACAGGCCTTTGTTCCTTTAGCTGAGGACACACCAAATGTATTAATGAACGTGGATAAGAGCTGGAAGGCAACTATCAGAAGTGGCTGTGGACTAGGATTACAGGCTGTTATTTTCCTGGCCTGAATATTACAGGTCCCACAACTTAAGAAGCTTTAAAGGAGGTTTGTAAAGCATGTATTAAAAAATAAGGCAGGCCCAGTTGGGCAGTGGCTCATGCCTGTAATCCCGTTTTGGGAGGCTGAGATGGGAGGACTGTTTGAGGCCAGGAGTTCAAGACCACCCAGGGCAATATAACAAGACCCGTCTCTACAAAGATTTTTTTAAAAAAATTACTCAGGCATGGTGGCGTGTGCCTGTAATCCCAGTTACTTGGGAGGCTGAGGTGGGAGGATGGCTTCAGCCCAGGAGCTGGAGGCTGTCATGAGCCATGACCGCACCACTGCACTCCAGCCTGGGCAACAGTGAGACCCTGTCTCAGAAACAACCAACCAACCAAAAAAAAGAAAGGCTCAATTAAAAATTAAAATCCTCCCAAACAGCTACCTAAACCATTCACAACTTCTAGCTAATGAAGACTTTGGTTGGGTGGGGTGGTTGCTGAAGGCAGGGAAGAGGCTGGGAGGCTCAGGGCCTCTGTGCTTGTCTGCAGGGGGCCCTCACCTCTTCCTCATGGGAAGCAGGCCGTGGAAGGACAAAGATGCAAAAGAGCTGTTTTGGGGCCTCAGGAAAACTCCTCCATGGATCTCCACGGAGAGAGAGAACCAACAGCAGAAAACCTCCAGAATCCAACCCCAATGCTGGCATCCTGAATCGTTTTTTGTAAACAATTCCTATTCGGATAGGAAAAAAATCTAGAAACATTTAATAACTTATTCTTGAGATGTGGTATTTTACTGTTATTTTGTTTTACAAGATGTGGGGACTTCATTAAATCCCTACATGTATTAAAGTTAGAAATAAACATTAAAACCAAAAAAGTCAATGGTTTTGAATGGTGACAAACCAAACCTCCAATAAGAAATCACTGTGGGCAGCTCACCCACGCAAGGGGCACCTTGTGTATGTGCGAGGAGTGGATGGGGAAGGGCGTCCCCTGGACCTTGCAGACCCAGCTGTGTCTAAAGGACATAACTGATCACTGCCCAAATGTTGTCCACCACCCCCAACTTCCTTCCAGACACATCACATGGCCTGGCTGTGAACCCCCATCAACATCACAACTGTTTTGACACCAGGCTCAGATGGGGAGTTCTCGAACAGCATGGCCTCAGCAATGGAGGTTGTGTCTTGGGTAACCAGAAACCTGAAGCCCGCAGGAATCCTGGAGGGGACTGCTGGTCTGGGAAAACACCATTCAGAACTACTTAACTCTCAAGTAGCCTGACATTTCTCTTCCTGCTACCTTAGCTATAAGCTGATAATCTGAGCAGCTCTGCGGGGATACCAGGCTCCTGCTCAGCTGTGGGTGGGCAGGTGGCTGTGCTGGGTCGCCCCTGCCGCCTACAGGCAGAAAGCGGATGGTGCAAGGTTTCCTTCCAAACGGAAATCGCCCTTCACAGAGCTGAGCCTGGGAATTACCACAAAGAAACCTCACAAAGAAAAGGTGCGCAAGGCAAATGTTCAGAAAACAGACCCCTAAACCCTGAGATGGCACAAGTGAATGTGTTGGGTGGTGAACTGGCCAAATGCTTGTGCTCTGTCACCACAAACGACCCCAGTGGTCTGACATGACCTCAACGGCTTCACAGACCAGGGGTGTGCTTTCCTTCCTCGTGACAATCTCCTAATTTTGCTTTTCAGAGTGGGGGAGGGCGGGGAGAGGGGAGGTGGATGGCAGTTGTCCCTGTTGTCTAGTCTGGAGTACAGTGGTGTGATTTTAACTTACTACAGCCTTGAACTCCTGGGCACAAGCAGTCCTCCCACCACCTCAGCCCTCCAGGTGTATGCCACCACTGTAGGTTAGCATTTTTTGTAGACACGGTTGCGCTGTTTCTCAGGCTGGATCCTAGCTTTTAATGAAATCGTATGACATGTGAACTGTGCAGTTTTGCGTGTGCCACGAGGCAACTTTCTCAGCCGTGCCTTGGGCAAGTCACAGCCTTTTTGGCCTGGATGCCTTAAGGCAGCCCATCTGAAACCACTTCCCATTCCCATTTCTAGAAACCTTCAAGGGTTCCCTATGAATTGTGCACCCACATGGGTTTTCCTGGAGGATCACTAGTTCTCAGAACCATACAAGCACACAGCAAAAGCCTCTCCACACATCACCCTGAAGTGACCCAAATTCCCATTTCTCAATGTGGGACCTATGCTCTCCTGCACTCCAGCAAGATAGCTGTGGATTCCCACCTGATGCTGTTCCTCCTGCTGCCAAGTGCCTGCCTGCCTTTCCAGGTCTCAGCACACCACACAGGTCGCAGTCAGCATCTAAACCCATCCCCCCACCCCAGACCACTATGAATGCACCCTCACATACAGGTAAAGGTAGCAACTCACTAGGTGACTGACAGAAGGGGAAAGGTGACTACATCCCTGACCCAGAGTGCCTCAAATTTCCTAAGTGACTGTCAGGTGCAATTTAATGAAAAGCCTTGGAACAAATACAGCAGGTAAAACATCTACAATCATACCATCCATGAAGGCTGTATTAGAGATTGCTGGCATAAAACTAATTTGAGGGGCCTCTGAAGTGCTGACTCCAGCTCACAGATCAGTCAGCTGAGAGAGGCAGCCTAGATCACTTGGTGAGCAGCAGACCCAGCACTCAAGATTCATGCCTCTGCTGTCCATTTGACAAGGTTTAGTCTCAAGAAAATGCACCAAGGCCCCGAGGCCAACAGCCAGAGCTCCACCAATCAGGGCTGATCACACTGGTGCTCAAGCACTGCGGCCCAGGAACCTGACTGCAGGAGTGCTGGCTCTACACTAACAGAATGCTGGGCGTGTGTGGGTGGCTGCTGTGGACATTATGGGGGAGATGGGTAGGAAGGACAGATTTGGTTAGGAGCCCAGACTGAAGTTACAACTGCCAAGTTTAAATTCACTCATTTTGTGCACCGTTTCCCAAGTATGTACTGTGAAGGTAGAAGGCACTGTGGCCGCCTGTAAATAGCTGGGGAGGCAAGACACGAAGACCAGATAAATGTTAAGAAACATGCTCCCTGTATGTATTGAAATCAGTTCTGCAACCCTCATACCAGTTGGCTGTAACAGATGCTAAATGTGGTGGGTAAAATGTTTTTAGTCTCATGGTCTTACCATGAATTACTTATTAGAAAGGTAAAGGAGATTACCACCCTAAGTGCTCAGTCATCAACAAAGGAATAGACACACAACTCCTGAAGACATGTCATTGGCACCAGGGAGTGGTTTCGTGGAAGACAATTTTTCCATGGACAAGGTGGGGTGTGGAAAGGGATGGCTTCCAGATGAAACCATTCCACATCAGATCATCAGGCATTTGATTCTCCTAAGGAGCGCACAACCTAGACCTGTTGCATGCCCAGTTCACAATACTGGGTTTGCACTCCTATGAGAATCTAATGCTGCTGCTAATCTGACAGGAGGCGAACCTCAGGCGGCAATGCTGGCTCACCTCTTCCTAACAAGCCATGGACCTGAGACTGGGGACCACTGCCCTATGGTAAAGGCCCTGGCCAAAATGCAAACCTCCATCAGGTCAGGAGCAAACAGACAAACCCACATTTAGAGACCATCTAAAAAAGGCCTGGAGTACTTAAGAATGTCAAGACTAGGACAAATTTCCCCTGACCGCCCCCAGGACTCTGGGCAGAACCTGAAAACCCTGTAACCACAGCCAAACCCTAGCACCACCTGCACTCCTGGGACACACTCTGGTTGTAGTTTCCACGAAAACAGGCCGTACATTAGTAGCACGATTATTTTATTATATGCTTTATAAAAAAACAAACACCCAAAGACATACAACACACCGCCCTCACCCCCCAGCGGCCATTAGGGAGGGGGCTTATACTTTTCCTAATGTAGATCTGGCCATCTTATAAAGCAGACCACATTATTTGTTTCCATATATACCTGTAGATATTTCTCTCCCCTCAAATATTTATATCTCGACTAAAAAAAGGAGGTGCAAAGAGTATATAAAGATAAATGAGATTTTCTTGCTGTTGTTATAGTACAAACACCAGATGACTACCAGTGGAGTAACAGGGCAAAACAAAAACACAAACCCCACCTTCAGTGAGGAATGGAAGGTCTGTTACCGACCTCAAGTAGCTGAATCACCTGCTGTAACTGGCACCTCCCTGACAATCATGGGTTTGTAGGGACATGGGCCAGGTGATGGCTTCTACTTGTTTCCAGAAGGCTAATGTGTCCTACACCCTTTCTTAGTAACTAAAGACGAACTACGGGAGAACCCAGTATTTGGATTCTGCCCAGAGGTATTAAATGCACAAGGAAAAATTAGTTATGTCCAAGTAGCAAGCAATAATATTTTTAAACCAACATGGTTAAATGTTAAGATTTGTAGAAATCAAAATATTTATTCACATAATTTTAAACTAAAGTTGAAGCTAATATATCTTCCGTGGTAATGATTTAAGTGCAAGTGATGCTTGGCTTTCTTTCACATTCATTTCTTTTCTTCTGAGTGAAGGCATATCAGTTATTCTTGAACAAGTCAATACAGCTCTGCAAAAGGGAGACATTGTTCTGTGGGGAAAAAAGGCAAGGCAGACCAGTGAATTATTAAAACTTGCCATATACCTGGAATGACTCAAGTACACCAACACGGCTTTTCACGGGAGGTTTAAAGTCAGCCAGAGCAAGCTGGCCCTTCTCTTCATCAAATCCCAGGTGAACTGCAACGTACCACGCATCCCCATTTCATGTTTCAGCTCCTCTCCCTCAGTGGGTAAGGCTACCAGCCAAAGAGCCGACGTTCACTCCAGCACCTCTGCCCTCACCTGCTTGCTCCTAAATGTGATCCTGCTTACTGTAACTTCTTAAGACACTATCAGTGCGTTGTTCCATGAAGGCAAGGGCCTTGGAAAGATTGAATAAAAGTTGCTAGAAATTAGGGCTGGGAGCTTTAGCTCACACCTGTAATCCCAGCACTTTGGGAGGCCAAGGCAGGTGGATCACCTGAGGTCAGGGGTTCAAGTCCAGCCTGGCCAAAATGGTGAAACCCCATCTCTATTAAAAAAAAAAAAAAAAAGTTGCTAAAAATTAGTCATGGGTGACATTATAAACAAGACTACAAATAAACAATGAGTGGCTCCCATCAACTAAGTACTACAGACGATTAATACCACAAGGCCACCCCAACTGCCTGATGACAATGGGTTAGTAAACTGGGAAATAACTTGGAAAAAACCATAAAAGATGTTGGCTTCATCTGTAGAAAACACTTACCCTGGCATGTTTTATTTCCAGTTCAGACATTTCAATTAGATTCTTTCTAAATGCTGCCACTCTCTTCCGTTTGAAATTTATCAGTTCTACAGGAAGAAAAAATGTTTATGAAACCAAGAAAAACTAAACAATTTTCATGTTCACTTTAACTACCAAATGGCATTCTTACAAATGGTCTCCAATGCTTTCAGGCACCAGCATTATTTCCTCACATTTGTATTATCTCTGTGACTGGGACACATCAGACATCTATTAACTGTGGTGATACAGCTATCACTGTCTTTAAGTGGAAAACATCACTGAATCACCAAGCATCGTGAGTGGGAGAGCAGCAGCTTATGACTTGGAGAACACGTTGATGAGCAGCCTCACTCTCACCCTCTAGGTACCAGTGACTGGGAACAGGGCTGGAGTATGGGTGGTGGTGAGCCACATACTTCACCAATGGCTTGTGAAAATGCTTCTCAAAAGAAGACATACCAGGTTCATGCAAACAACGTTCAGCAGCACTAGCCATTAGGGAAATGCAAATTAAAACCACAATGAGATTACCTCACACCTGCTAGAATGCATTTTCTCAAATAGATGAAAGATCAGTGTTAGCAACAATGCAGAGAAAAGTGAACTCTTCTACACCGTTGCTGGGAATGTAAATTAGTACAGCCACCATGGAAAATGGTATAGAGGTTCCTCAAAAAACTAAAAATAGAATTACCATATGATCCAGCAAACCCACTTCTGGGAATATAAAAGGAACTGAAATCAGTATCTCAATGGGATATCCGTACTTCCATGTTCACTGCAGCATTATTTACAATAGCCAAAATACAAAATCAATTGAGAATTATCCATCAGTGGATGAAGACAATGTAGTATAGATACATTATACTATCCGGCCTTTTAAAATAACAAAATTCTCTCATATGGGACAATGTGGATGGATCTTAGAGGACATTATGCCAAATAAAATAAACCAGGCACAGAAAGACAAACATTACATGATCTCACTTACAGGTAAAATCTTAAGTTGAACTCCTAGAAGTAGAGAACAGAATGATGGTTATCAGAGGATGAGGGTGGGGTGCTGGGGAAGGTGGGAAAGAGAATGGGTAGAAGGCTGCAGCTAAACTCAAGGAATAAATTTTGAGATCTACTGCACAACAGGGTGACTACAGTCAATAATATATATTGAAACAGCAAATTTCAAATGTATTACCACTGAAAAAAATGAAAGATGTTAATTAGCTTGATCTAATAATTTCACATTATGTACCTGCAAAGCATCACACTGTATTCCACAAATGCAATACAATGACTTGTCGATTAAAAATAAAACTTAAAACATTTTTAAATCCAAAACAGTGAAAAACTGCTACACGTATTCAAGACAGGTTTACTTGATGATCTTTAGGGCATGCTTCCTTTTCATCTACTCCTTTTTCTTTTTTTTTCTTGAGACGGAATCTTGCTCTGTTGCCCAGGCTGGAGTGCAGTGGCGGGATCTCGGCTCACTGCAAGCTCTGACTCCTGGGTTCACGCCATTCTCCTGCCTCAGCCTCCCGAGTAGCTGGGACTACAGGCGCCCGCCACCACACCCGGCTAATTTTTTGTATTTTTAGTAGAGACGGGGTTTCCCTGTGTTAGCCAGGATGGTCTCGATCTCCTGACCTCGTGATCCGCCCGCCTCAGCCTCCCAAAGTGCTGGGATTACAGGCGTGAGCCACTGCACCCAGCCCTTTTTCATTTCATCTACTCCTATTGCCATCAGAATTCGGCATTAATGACCCATTGGAAATTGGAACAAACCAAGAATATGCATGTCCGCCCTAATTCCTTCATTGAATTTGTGACATCAAGTTCTGTCTTGCAGTTTTACTTGACTAAAACTTTGACCATCACCCAACCTTCTGCTGGTGCTCAAGTGTTCAGAGCAGACTCACCCTCCTTCCTGTCTCTACAGTGCTGTGCAAAAGAACTACAATACAAGCAGCCACATCCAAGTTAAAAAGTCACAAATTTCATAGTGATATGTCAAGTCTATAGTGCTTGCACTACAAGGTGATGTTTATCAGTCCCTTGGATATCCTGGGTGAAGATAAGCTCCCTGCCTTCCTCTAGACCTACACACAGTACCAGGGCTCCATACACTTAACTATTCACCTCCTGTGAAACCAGCCCTTACCCACTGACTCAACTCTAGTCGTCAGCTCAGCTGCAAGTCTCAGAAAGCACTTATACCAAAGGCAAACAGGTTAAGACCCACCAATCTCAGCATTCCACAGAATACTGTATTTTTAGATAGTGTACCTATCTGGCATTTTGAATATAGGATATAATCAATGTGGGCGAAAACTTTAGGCAGTAAAGGTAGACCTGAATTGGCATCATTTTTTAAAGTTTTATGTTTTTTCTTCAATCTCCTCTAAAATTTCCAGAGCCATGAAACTGGCCTATAAGATTTCAACTCAGTAGTTTTGAAGTGTGTACGTTTCCTTGAAAATTTTAGTTTTAAAAAAAAAAAAAAAGCTGTAATTGTTTCAGAAACAGGGTAGCATGAAGGTTACTTTGGAAGAACCCAACACAGCCTCAGAGCCTGTCTACATGACATTTGCCAGGAAGCTCTGTGCCTTTGTGCCTTACAGTTAAGGCATTGTATTATAATCCTGAATAGACAGACAAATGATTAGAAATCTATAAAGTCTAGGTTTCCCCCAGGTAGCTTCAAACATGTTGATGAACACATCATTTCCCTATGTCTAGATTACCCTACCACTGGGAAACAAGAAAGTTAGGAAAAAACTAAGTAAGATATGAATTTTTCATGGAAACACGCGTTAGGGGGTTGGGATTGAGTCCAACAGTGCCCCACTACAACTACTCACATTCTGGGTAATCCATTCCAACATTTGCTCTGACATGTTCCATGGCCCCTGAGAACCCCAGAGAAGATCCACAGAATCCTCTTAGGTAAGGACTACATATTATACTCATGTTCAATAGAAATGGTGAAAGTCCTCTGCTCTAAGAGGTGAAATGGATAAGGCAAGAAAGAACCCTATGGATGTGGACATGGACCGGACTTGTGATCCCTGAAACCTGCATGTGTGTGCAACGGCATATGTGTGCACACACACATACATTTCCTAGCTCAGTCCACTGAAGGGCACAGAAGCAGAGATACCCCGAAACGATGAGCATACTCAGATGCTGGTAACTGTTCCCAAAGAAAAAGAACCCTGGCTCCTTGAAAAAATGGCCAGTTTCAAGGCTGGAGCAGAGAGTAAGATTAGCATGGCCTATCACTCTAAAAAAGACGGGTTAGGCTGTTACAACCACATGCCAGCTTAAAGGTGCTCCTATTGGCAAAGTCTGGACAGGCATCAAAAATAACTTGGTAATACAATAATGAATTCTAAACCATTTTAAAAACTGGGAGTCCATGACTCTAATAAAGATAAAGGAAATTTCTGAGAAAAGGGAAGGCTTTTTTGTAGTAGGATGACAAGTGCCAACTTGGGTAGGAAAGCTAGAGCTAGAGATGAGGGAAATCGTCTTTCTGCAATCGTCAGAGTAACAGCTGGTTTAGGCAAGAATCATTAATACATGCTAAACCTAGGGAGGAAGTTTGATGAAGACCAAGGTATTTGCATGGTCTTAAATTGCCTCACCACAGATTGATGGGGGTTAAAATAGTAACTACACAGTGGAGAAACTGGATTTGGATACTATCTAATTGAGTAATCAAAATTACCACCACGAATGAAGGAGAGACACACTGTCCAATCAGAAGTGACACCCCAATAAGGGCATATTACTTCTATTCTGCCAGGAGCCCATAACCAGATCTAAACATGAGGAAACCTACCAAAAGTCAGAAATACAGGATTTGTAAAGAGATTCTCTAAAAAG
This sequence comes from Homo sapiens, assembly GCF_000001405.40. NCBI lineage: Eukaryota > Metazoa > Chordata > Mammalia > Primates > Hominidae > Homo > Homo sapiens. The sequence goes on from NC_000020.11 coordinate 17,947,019, forward strand.
ACTGATACTGTTAAAAACTAAGAACTATTCCAGAGTAAAGGAGACTAATAGCTAAGACAACCAGATGCAATCCTAGACTGGATCTTGTAGAGGACATCAAGACAAACATGAAAATACAGAGAGCAGATTGTAGACCCAAAGTTAAGTTTATCACAGCAAACAACCATACTGTAACCATACAAGAGAATGTCTTCAGTCTTAGGAAATAAACCACAACGTTTTTAGGGCTAAAAGAAGCATGACATATGCAACTTAATCTCCAATGGTACAGAAAAACCAGGTGTGTAACGTTTGTAAGCACGCAAAGCCATGAGGATGACTGTGCATGTGCAAGTGATAAGGCAGAGGGGTGAAGTGCTGACACTGGGTGAAGGATACATGGGTGTTTTTTGCACTATTTGTAGAACTTTTCTAAGTTTGAAATTATTTTCAAATTACAGTACAGAAAGAAGAATGTCCTGCTCAACCTTCTTTTGCAGATTCGGAAAGTTGTTCAAATTTCTGGCAGCACTCCTGCTGGTGTGCCTCAGCCAACTTGACGTCTTTGCTCTTTAACCGGGCCTTATCCAGAGCTTTGTTTGAGTTCTCATAGTCAATGAGGGCTTTGGTGCGTCTGTATAAGAGATCCTGGGAAAAAAATTAACAGGTATACATACTAAGTATCTAAACCAGTCTAAAAAATAGCCCAAGTGCCAATGTACCACCTGAGATGTTAGTGGCAATAATCTACCTCTACACCTTCCCTCTCCCAGAGTATTTTTAAATCTCCAGCTTCGCAGGGATGAGCAATGCTGATAGCTTTGTTGAGAGCTTTTTTTAGAATTCCTTATATGAATCAAGTGATTACTCAAGAGTGAAAACAGAAGGACTTTTGTTTTCCAGTAATTCAGTAAATAAAGTTAACTTTAAAAATTAAATATTGTGTATCAGAGATAACTTGAAATATACAGTCACTGCTGGGTAAGTCAAGTTGAGCGCTGCTAAAATACAACTGGGCAATGAAGTAGTAAGAAACATAACCCTACCCTGCAAATCCTGCTTCTGGTAATCTACCTTGGAGATCCACTTAGTCAGATATAAAGATTCTTTGCAATCTTACAACAGAGTAGAAGTTACTTTAGTATCTGAAATGAGCAATTATGATGTATAGATTACACATTTAAAACTAGGTGAAATAATAACTGATGGGTGAAACTACTAGGCCTATTTTTGTATATACTCAAATAATCGTAAGTGAGCTCTTAATTCCATGAAAGTAGAAAATAGGCTATTAAAAAAGTATGTTTTTAAAAACTCCCAAGATTCAGAAAACATGCCAAAGGGCAAATTAACTAAAATAAAATTGCATGATGGGGGGAAAAATTTTTTTTACTCTTTTACTTTCTGATGACATTTCAGCCTTAGAGGGCATACAATCCTATCTAATTTTATTTTGCCTGATTTAATACATTTCACATAAAATTAAAACATATTTGTTCAGGGCAATGCAGACAAAGCATGTTTCATTCCCAAAGGTTATTCTGCTTACCATTTTGTCCACATATACATATAACGCTTCACGGCTCAAAGGCTGCAGGGATACTTGCAATTCAATAAAAACTCCCAAATCTTCTTTGCCCCAGAAACAGCCCTTTCTGCATGTTATGTCCCACATCAATGACCTATAATCCCCCAAACTATTACCTGTCTACTTCACACAACCCATACAGTGCTGTCAGATACACAAGCTTTATGGATACAATGCCAGAAAGGCATGTCATTTATAAAAACAAGTCTGATAAATTCTTATTCTGCTCCTTTGTATAAAGAAACTTTTTAAACAGACTTCTGGTCCTGCACTGCTCTGAGAAGCTGAGCAACTCTCTTCCTACCTTAGCAGCTTCAATGTTGAGCATGTAGTATCGGAGGAGCTCTGTTAGCTTCAAATCTTCATCTGATGAAACTCGACCCTCTACTTTCTATATAGAAAAGGAAAGGTCACCATCAAGGCAGAAAGCTATAGATTATAAAATATATATTATGAAGACCAACACAGAAATCCTTACCCTTAGTTTTTCAAATAGCTCAGCAACCTTCAATAGGTACCTGGAAATGTACATATAATTTTGGTTTAAGGTCTTAAATCATCTATAAAACATGATCTTACCAGTGTGCAAGACAGGAATGGGTCAACTCAGGAGTCCTAGCCTTTGGTACTTTAGCATTAATTTAAAAGTAGTGCTCTCACTTCAACTGACCCCAAATAGTAGAGAAAATGGTCACAAAATTACACACATGTACAGCACCACACTCAGCCTCTTGGTGACCCTTCGGTCATCCTGCCATGCGCCCAAATATTCTTATTAAATGCCAATGCTGTGTAAACCAAGGTTGGTTTCTAATGAGCTATGCTATGGGCATCACAAAGCAGTAAATATGCTATTTAATTCGTCATGGTTCTGCCATTAGCCTTTCAATTTCGAGTCAGAAGTAGTATCACCTGTTTTGCCAAGCCTGGATGTTAAGTAAAATATTGTCTTACACCAGAAATGCCCAGGATGGAGAAACTGAAACACATACATAAGTGCAGAGTGAAAATGGAAGGGTTTTTAATTAATGAATGAAGGTAATTTCAGAAAATTGTACATCAAAACAGCTGTGTGTTAGACTGGGGTCATTAAATTATTCTCATGACCACTATAACCAAATCTCTTCAAGGTCCAGGGCAGGGGCACATGTTCTCAGGATCTCCTGAGGCTGCATCACAGGCCAAAAAAAAAGAAGGTCTAGGGCATTACCAGGCAAAATTGCAAGCACCAATTGCCAGGGGAAGATGCAAGATAAACTCTTACAAACTCCAAAACTAAAGAAAACAGGCTTTTAAGTGTGACAGAAACTACTGCTTTGACAACATTTACTGTATTTGTTTACATATAGAAGAGCCCAAGTCCCCTACAATTGTCTTACAAGTGTCTTATGTCCAGAGAACATGTAAGATGAGTGCTAGAGACTTGTCTTACTGAGCTTGTAACTCCAGAGCAGGACCATGTAGTCACTACTCATTTATGCTTTTAATTACACCACTCGGCACTCTTCAATTGGGTTAGGGGAAATGCTTTTCCAAAAAAACTTACTTTTTGATGACTGTGGGCTCTTCTAAAGCCAGGCTATGTAAGCAGGCTGCGGTGTGGATATAGTCATCGGCAACATCTGCAGAAACAAGGACAAGTCTTTTTATCCAAACACAGCCAGGCTCATCAGCAAAGCTCTGACTAGCGGTAAATGATATTTACTTTTATGAGATCTGGTCATTTTGTCAGCTTTCACACAAGAATCTTTGATCCTATTGTAATAGTTAATAAGGAAGTTCTTCTCTTGCTCAAAGAAGTCATCTACCTCCTAGAAGGAAGAAAAAAAGAACCAGACATTTCATGAAATATACTATCCCTGCAGCCTTTTACATTTATCAATATAAAAATATATTGCTTAGAACATGGCATATAAACGTGAGTAAAGTTTAACCTCTACAGATCAGGGAATTACAAATTTACGATACTATTTCTTAACCAAGGCTGGGAAAAATCAAGGGCTGGCAGAAAATGTCTACAGAAGAATCACTTAACAACCACCAGTAAAACTGGCACCCTAAGACACAGCAATTTTACGCTAGTACAATGGTTCTACCAGGTGGAACATGGCCACTTAGCCTTGGATACCTATCTGTGTGTGAATGAGGTTTTTTTTTCTCGATTGGTTTCAGACTGGGAGGAAATCCTGGTATCTGGTAGGCATTGGCCAAGGATGCCAATGCCAAATATCCCATAATGCATGGATACAGGACAGTCCCATACACCTTAAACTGGACCAAGTCCGAGTTTCCTAATTTCTGATGATGCCCTCTCTACTTAGCACCTGTATTCTGGGCTCCCTGGAGTGGCAAAGCCAGATACCAGACAGTAATTGTAAGGGTAACTCAGTTACAAAGGAATGAGAAGGCCCGAGAAGTAGTAAAGTAAATCATACCTCTAACGGTAACGGAAACGTTATTTTGTATTCTTGTCTTTGTGCTAACGCCTTGAAATCCAGTATGTAAATAAAATCTAAAGTTTGGTTCCTTAGTTGTGCCAGCTAGGTTGCATGTCAAGTGCTTCTCTATCACCTGTAGTTGGTGACCAAACTGGACAGTGTAGTTCTGAGAGTGGGATAAAATACTGATCTTGTACTTTATTTTAGAAATTAACTGAGTAATCTCCCTCCTTACAGAAAAGGAGAAAATGAAGCCAAGTGTGGAAAGGTTCAAGTTGCTTCTCCTGGGACAGAACAAGGTGCTCTGGGAAATAAGTGAAAATTGAATAAGTAGATGAAAATTACCAAAATCTGAAGAACACTTACATGTCTTAAAAGTTAACCATTTGTTTCACAAGTATCTCTTTCAAAGAAACAAAAGGTCACCTATTCCCGATGAAGTAAAAAATTTTCTCCAACAGCCAAAGGTCACTTACCTTAACTCCAGTAAAAAGGACTTCATCAGCACTTTTCACCACACTTTTGAAGAAGCCACCAAACATCTCTTTAGTATTTTTCCGCCTAACACTTAGCTAAAAGAAGAAAATTCCAAAGAGTTTATATGGTATGGATTTTTCTAGATTCTCTTAAAGAAGTTCTGAGTAACATTTTAAGTAATCCTCTTTATCAGTACAGGCAAATGCATAAAGTATCTTTAATTCTGCCTTAACCTCCAAGCTTAAAACACCTAATGGCTAAACCCAAACATAGGTAGGTCATCTCATTCTAAAAGGCTTGACAGATTTTGAAAGACTGACTAGAAGCTAAGTCTTAGTGGCTCTGAAATCCTTGGGAAAATTACTGTTCTCTTCTATCCATATTAAGTAGCAAAAACCAAAACATGTTAAAAAGAAAAATAGCATAAAAGTCATAATTCGCGGCCGGGCGCAGTGGCTCACGCCTGTAATCCCAGCACTTTGGGAGGCCAAGGCGGGCGGATCACGAGGTCAGGAGATCGAGACCATCTTGGCTAACGCGGTGAAACCCCATCTCTACTAAAAATACAAAAAATAAGCCGGGTGTGGTGGTGGGCACCTGTAATCCTAGCTACTCGGGAGGCTGAGGCAGGAGAATGGCGTGAACCCAGAAGGTGGAGCTTGCAGTAAGCCGAGATCGCGCCACTGCACTCCAGCCTGGATGACAGAGCGAGATTCTGCCTCAAAAAAGAAAAGAAAAAAGTCATAATTCAACAAAAAGCGTAGGTGGGAAGAAAATAAATTACACAAATTTTAATTTCCTTAAAATGAACTTAGTTAAGTTTGGAATTGTTAAGAAATTAACTAAGGGATGTTTGGGACTGTTAATTTCTTAAAAAGAAACCTAGGTTTTGGAAGGGGAAAGAAGTCAAAATTTTCTTTAAGCAGAGTTTTACAAAAAATGACTTACAATGAAGGAAAAGCAGCATCTAAAAAGGTTTCCATTGTGTAAGAAATTCAAAACTTTAAAGCAGTAGAAACTATCAAGTACATTTTGAAAGTATAAACATTTGAAGTGGATTATCAAAATGGAATAAAAATGCCTTACATCCTGATCATATTCCAGGAAAACATGAAAGTTGCGATCTTTACTGAGAACAGGGTGAGAAGAAAGCCGCTGAAGAAAGACTTCATGGGAGGACACAGTCTTCTTAAACACAGCGAGATACTCACTGAAAAGAGATGTGCACATGGCATTCAGTTGACACAGCTCAACTACCTGACCAATACCACTCCTGATTAATTCTATGGCCCTGCTCATGCCACCACATAAAACACTGCAACTGGACCAAACAGTATTTCAGTATAAACTGGTGTCTAGTTAGATACTAAGGCAGTTGCCATTTTTGAATCTGTGGAATAAGACTATGGAGGAAAGCAATGTTGTAACTGGATTTGATGGGTCAAGTCCATGAGCTCCTAAATCTACATGCAATTACTGTTACTTAGTAGCCACAGAACATTTGTTTCTTTAAAGCAATGAGAACCCTTTAACTGCAGCCTAAGTATACAGCATGAGTCTAATGAAGCTAAAAGTTAACAAAAATTACAAAGCAGCTTTATCTCAACCTAGACATTAAAAGTCACCTTAAAATTCCTAACGGTAGAAACTTGGATCTGTTGTGTTCAGTGCCTCATTCCCCAGAGCTGGTCCCGAGAGCCACTCAAGTGTGTGCTAAATGCTTTCAGGGCCTGGAGGTTTGAGTGCTGCCCTAGATGACACAGGGGTTTGGAGAGGGGGAGCTGATGGTTGAAGAGGGGAGGAATGAGTACTTTTCAGCTAAGATGAGGAAATGCAAGGATGGATTCATAAGAAACTTTCCAAAAATCTATTTTTGTTTGAAAAAATTAAATGACAACCAGATTAAAATATACTTGCTGCCTGTAGACCTGGACTTCCTCTTTCAAATTATCTATGTGATGGTTACTGAGAATGCTACTCTATAACAGCACTATTTGGCCTGGCCCAGGGGCAGCTCACTATAATCTCAGCACTATGGGAGGCAAAAGCAAGCTGATCACTTGAACTCAGGAGTTCGAGACCAGCCGGGGCAACACATGACGAAACCCCCAACTCTCTAGTTTCTTCTCAACGTCTAGTAACCAAGCTTCCGAAAGAAAAGCTTTGTACATTATGAGCAATTTATAAAGGCACAAAAGTTTATTTCCTCACTGTGCCAGACCAGCATCCTTAATAAGTATGCCCTACATATGGGAAAAGACAACTACTCTATCGGGTATTAGTGTCAATGGCCTCCAATGAATCAATGTGTGAAGTACAAAGACCATGTCCCACACTATGCAAGATGTATTACTAGTTTTAGAAAACGACGCTAGGGACCTAATTAAACAGCTGCACTTAAAACAAAATTAAGTCAGGTTCTTCTACTTATTTTTGTACACAGCACCACTTTTCTACTTCTCAAAAGACAGAGCCCACCAGGAAAATCCACTTACGCTTCCAGTTCTTGTTTCATCTTGGCAAATTCTTCTTTGGTCATAGACCCTTCACCTTCTCCCAGTTTCTGCATCTTCTCTCGAGGACCATCAAAGTCGGGCTTCGTAGGAGCAGGTGGAATCTGCAGCAGAGGCAGGAACTCATGAGCCTCTTGTCCCAGCAGCGATGTTTTCTAGTTGGTGCCTCATTCTACTCTTGCTGGTCCACAGGAGACAACCACTCCACTCCTGTGGGGCTATTTAAAAGTCAACTCCTGTTTTTTCTTAACCTTCCTTAACTCTTCTGGACATTTAAAATGAGGTGTCTTCCTGAGAGTTGCATATTCACTTTGATGGCAATCATTTGTTCAGTTTATCCATTATAGACAATTGTTCAGAGCACAACAGTGTCTATACTGCTTCAGTGTTCGCCTAAAACTAGTACAACGAATGCTAAGCACCAAAGATGAGCCATCAAGATTATAAAGTGTTCAGTATTCCAAAGGAATTTTTTCCTAATCCCAAAGGATAATCAAGGACTCTAATTTTGAATGAAAGACATATCTAAATATAAGCTTCGGTATTAATTTTGTTTAATGATTAAGCAATCATCATTTGGAGAGCTTCTTCAGTCTGCCTGGCAGGACAAAACGCGTGGAAATCTCCTTTAAAATCAGTTAAGTCTGTTCCTGCCGCCAAGAAATAACAATCAAGGGCTGAAAACTGCCTCCTTGAGCACTTTTTTTGTTTTTGGGAGAAAGAGTCTCGCTCTGTCACCCAGGCTGGAGTGACGTGGCACGGCCTCGGCTTACTGCAACCTCTGCCTCTCAAGTTCAAGCGATTCTCATGCCTCAGCCTCCCCAGTGGCTGGGACTACAGGTACGCACCACCACGCCCAGCAAATTTTTTGTATTTTTAGTAGAGACAGGGTCTCATCATGTTGCCCAGGCACGTCTTAAAATTCTGAGCTCAGGTGATCCACCCACCTTGGCCTCCCAAAGTGCTAGGATTAAAGGCATGGCCTCCTTCAGCAACTTTTGAGAAATCTTATCACAAACTATTACCAATAGCAGTGTTTCCTAGAAATCAATTCTACTGACATAGGAAAAAACATACCAGAGAAAAACCAAACCTAAAGGTAGGTAAGACTAAAGTCATTACACTGTTCACACCCCTTTACAATGTAAATAATGTAAGCCTGTATGCACCACCTCAAAGCTGTAACACTATTCCTTCACATACTTTCCACTTGACAGTCAGCAAATACTCCAGTAGGTAGATGAAATCTAACTTTTCACAATCCATTAAAAAAAGTGGATATAAGTCTCTTTTAAACTAATGCATAGCAAGGCAGAAAGAACTAGCTTATTTGATTTTCTAAAAGACTCACAATAAGCCCAGCATAGTCTGTTGTTTCAATAAGAGTGTCATGTAGCCACACAAAGTCTTCATGTTGCCTTGTAACAGAAAACTCTGGGCTCTGAAACGTGGGCAGTGTGGTCTGTAAAGAAAGAAAGAAGTTAACTGGTAACCACGACTTTTAGATAAGTGATCTGGGTTTCCTAGGCTACACAGTGGGAAAATTCTGCATAATACATCATAATATGATCCAGTAAAGAACAAAGCAGTTATACATGATCTCCTGTCATGAAAGTCATAGCTAAGATTCAACCTGAACTCTAACGATTTCTCCCCAAACTCCACCTTTCTGAAGCTTGTAATGAATATCCCATCAGAATCTACTGGTAGAAGTTCAGTTCTAAGAAATAAGCCACAACCCTAATTCTATTTTTTTGTTTCTGTGTACTTTTTTTTGTTTATATACATTTTTGGGACAGGGTCTGGCTGTCACCCAGGCTGGAGTGCAGTGGAATGATCTTGGCTTCTTGGCTCACTGCAACCTCTGCCTTCCAGGCTCTTAAGCCATCCTCCCACCTCAGCCTCCTGAGTAGCTGGAACTACAGGTGTGTGCTACCACATCCGGCTAATTTTTATATTTTTGGAAGAGACAGGTTTTTGCCATGTTGCCCAGGCTCAAACGATCTGCCCATCTTGTCCTCCCGAAGTGCTAGGATTACAGGTGTGAGCCACCCAACCCAGCCCCAAATTCTATTTTTGTAAGTCTGAATTTACCCCCCACCCCCAACTTATGACAAAGAAGAAAAATAAATTTTAAAAAAACCTCTTAGCTGTAACTTACTATGGTTCTAAAAATTGTCCCTGGCTTCCTTCCTTTTCACTCCAGTGAATGCTGATTTTACCTCCTTTGATCTGGTAAGCTCAGGCAGAGAATTATGTCACCAGTCTTTTTACACTACCTCCGGAATAACTGAAGTGTGCTATTCAAGCCGCCCAGGCGTTAAGAAAAAACCACATGGGAAAGGTCTTTCCCAATTTAGTAAATGCTGAAAAAAAGCAAGCTACAGAGACAAACTTCCCTTGGATGCAAATTAAAAACAAAGCTGGGGCCCGGTGTGGTGGCTCTGGCTCACGCCTTGAATCCCAGCACTTTGGGAAGCTGAGGCACGTGCATCACCTGAGGTCAGGAGTTTGAGCCGAGTGTGGTGGCTCAGGCCTGTAATCCCAGCTACTCTGGTGGCTGAGGCAGGAGAATTGCTTGAACCCGGGAGGCAGGGGCTGCAGTGAGCCAAGATGGTGCCACTTCATTCCAGCCTGGGCAACACAATGAGACTGTCTCCAAAAAAAAAAAAAAAAAAAAAAAAAAAAAAACAAAAAAACAATGCCCACAGCCCAGGGCTCTGCCACAGCAGAATGCTGCTGCCGCCACAATGGCACTCACCTGATGCTTACTGTGAGATAGATTAGGGAGGTTCTCACTTAATAGTGCTACCCTACGAATAGCAACTGTTTCAAGCTCAGGGAATCTCTTCTCACATCCACTGTGAATAACAAGGCTGCAACCTAGCACTGTATGTATTACCACTGCATGTTACTTACCTTTGTGTGCACTGTAAATTTGACTTTGTCTCTCTCACTGAGCGCATCAGGTATGTCAATCTGAAGCGAGGGATCAACATTCAGGTCCACAGATACAGATCTCAGCTGAAATACATTTTTTGCGTATTAGTTTCAAACTCATTTGGCCCTAAAAAATTATTCCAAAAATGAGTAGTTACTAAAAAGCAGTTTATACATAGATCATTTAGAAATGTCAGTTGAGCTGGGCGCGGCGGCTCACCCCTGTAATCCCAGCACTTTGGGAGGCCAAGGCGGGTGGTTCACAGGGTCAGGAGATGGAGACCATCCTGGCTAACATGGTGAAACCCCGTCTCTACTAAAAATACAAAAAATTAGCTAAGCGTGGTGGCGGGCACCTGTAGTCCCAGCTACTTGGGAGGCTGAGGCAGGAGAATGGCCTGAACACTGGAGGCGGAGCTTGCAGTGAGCTGAGATCACACCACTGCACTCTAGCCTGGGCGACAGAGCGAAACTGTCTCAAAAAAAAAAAAAAAGAATTAAAAATTAAAAAAAAGAAAAAGAAATGTCAGTTGAGACATTTCTAAGTTTATGTGAAACTGAGGGGAAACCCATTCTTCACATGCATTGGTATATCCGAAGTATTCCTGTAATGTAAACAACAGCTACAATAATGTCATGTACAATACATTTGGCCAAATACCTGACTGTACACTAAGGCCTGAACTAAATAGAACAAAATCTTGAATTCTTACATAAATGCCAAAGTACAATGAACATTCAAGAGGCATTAACCAGGCCACACAAATATCTGAAAGGAAAACCTGGGGAGATGGCACAGAGAACAGTCATGTGGAATAGGATCCTGGGTGGAGAGTTCAGAGTAAACCTGGGACTGTTTCAAATAGCCAAGGAATCTAGACAGGAGGGGTGAATTAGAAAAACCAACCAAGGCCTTACTTAATTAGCACAATCCCACTGTGGTTACACATGAGCAACAAGTGTGAGCATCACTCTGAATACTCAATTAACTGATTTTCTGAGCTGGAAATTGAGAGGAAAAAAACTACCTAACTCCATTTCTGCCCGTCAAAAAAAAAAAAAAAAAAAAGAGAGGAGAGAACAGTGGCAGCACTAATAGGAACTGGGCTATTAGGGAAAAGTGACTTAAATAAAAGTACATTAAAGCAGACAAGGTGGTGGTCAATCTGAAAACCTGACACACAAGGCACGAGGAACTCATAGCGTAAGCATCTCATTGCCCCATTCCTTTTACTGTAAGGAGTGCTAAAGTAAAGTTGTCATAACACTGGATTACCCAAAGCACGGAATGCCAAGTGAAGATTACAATTAAGAAGATGAGGTATTTCACTCCAAATTTCCCTTTGGGTCCCTTTCTTCAAAATAAAAAGTTCAAGACTAAAAACTTATGTACTTAACCTCTAAAACTTGAAAATCTGGTCAATCAGCTATAAAAAGACTAAATATATTCACTAAAAGCACATGGATTACTTAAGTTTCAAGTACTCCCTTTTTCCTTAAGCACTGTATATTTATAATTCTGAAAGCCAGAGGGAGCCTATTACAATGGCTTTCCTCCAAAAAATTAAGCTCAAGTAGTCACCAGAAGTTGATTTTAACATCAACTATTAGTAAGATCAAAACAGATACTTTTGAGTCCTCACATCTCAACCTAAGTATTTTTCTTCCACATGAATTCTTGATAACTCCTATGAAATATCTGCTTGTCTGGCTTAATTTTCACATGTCCATTTGTGAGATCTCTGCAAACAAAGATAAAGCTTCAAGGTCTGCGACTTCATTTGATCATAACTGACTCCAGCTTTGGCGTATTTTCTGATAAGAGCTTCCTTCCTTCTGCTAAGTTAACACTGGCAAATACAGCCTTTAAAAATACCTCAAATCATTAACTGAGATGTGATTGCAGAGGCTATACCAACGACTCTACTGATCTTAGGCTTATCTGTCAAGGTCAGGCAGGCCCAAGAACAGGAATAAACAGAGCCAGGCCTAAGAAGTAGCCATGGTCTCTGGAGGAGACATAGGACAGCTCACAGGACAGGTCTAAGGTGCCTTTCCCAGAGCTCAAAAACTGCCACATTTCCTAAGATTCCATTTCCTAAAGTCACAAACCCTGACTTCTAGCACTGCTCAAATGAATATGCTGACAGTTCCATTTTCGCTCACAAGCCCAGCAAACTCAGTGAGCCTGTGAACTCCACATGGGATACCCTTGGAATTCGAATAGGAGGACCCAAGGGGGATGTAATCAAGTAAATGGAGCTCATTTGTGCACCACAGTTAAAGCTGCAATGGATGCTACCAGCTGCTTTAGCTGCTTTTCGTTCCTCTGAATAATTATCTTCTCTTTTCGTCCCTTTCCCCATGTAGAGGTAATACCCCCGACTATACCTGTCTTCCTTTCTGGTTAGTATAGAAACATATTTTTTGTTTCAGAATGTGATGAAGACAAAAAGAAGAAAACCACTAGGTTATGAGTGACTGCAACCACAGCATATCAAACATCCGAGGTTCACTAGCAGCCATTTTGCCCAGACATTTCGCCCTAGGAAGGGATTCAAGCAAAACTCCAATCACTTGACATGACAGTCCTAACCACCAAATAAGCAAATAATGCAATGTTGTATTTGGGCCTTAAAGAACTGTCTAAAAGAGAGTATTGGCAAAACCCCTCAGCATCCAGGCCATCATTAACTCAATGTCCCCCAGGCGCAAGTTAAATGAACTTTCTCATATTATAGCATATAACCCTCCAGATGAGACAAACATGGGTAGAAACTTGTGAAATGACTAGAGCTTCTAAGTCAGCATTTGTACTCTCACTCGGGAAGCATCAAGTGTGACCAAAAGTTCAGCATTCCTTCTGCTTAGTCAACAAACCCACTCCACAGTGCTACAGAACTTGCTAAATAATTGCCAGGCTCCACTCTTCCCCTCTCACTTGCCTCTGCCTCCATCCCCCCTTAAGCTTGAAGGGCTCAGAGTACTCCTTAGCCCTGCTGGCCAACACTTGAGTCTCTGACTTAGGCCACAGATGTTACAATGCTTACAGTGGCCGTTTACAACAGTTAACAAAGCAGGCTTTAGAACCAAGTCCAGCCTTGGGCATGCCGGACCTTTACCATGCAAAGTTTTACCTCTTTTCCAGATCCCTTAGGTCACTTGTAAGAATCAAATTGAAAATATACCTACTCTCAAATAATTTAAGTTTTAAAACTGACTTCTGGCTGGGTGTGGTGGCTCACGCCTGCAATCCCAGCAATTTGGGATGCCAAGGTAGGCAGATCACTTGAGGTCAGGAGATCGAGACCAGCCTGACCAACATGGTGAAACCCCGTCTCTACTAAAAATACAAAAAGTGGCCAGGCACGGTGGCTCACGCCTGTAATCCCAGCACTTTGGGAGGTGGAGGCAGCTAGATCACAAGGTCAGGAGATCGAGAACATCTTGGCCAACACGGTGAAACCCCGTCTCTACCAAAAATACAAAAATTAGCTGGGCATGGTGGCGCACATCTGTAATCCCAGCTACTCAGGAGGCTGAGGTAGGAGAATCGCTTGAACCCAGGAGGCAGAGGTTGCAGTGAGCCGACATCACGCGACTGCACTCCAGCCTGGGCGATGAGAGCGAAACTCCGTCTTAAAAAAACAAACAAACAAAAAAACACACACAAATTAGCCTGGCATGGTGGCGTGCGCCTGTAATCCCAGCTACTCAGGAGGCTGAGGCAGAAGAACTGCTTGAACTCGGGAGGAGGAGGTTGCAGTGAGCCAAGATCGCACCACTGCACTTCAGCCTGGGCAACAGAGCGAGTCTCCAAAAAAAAAAAAAAAAACTACACATAAAAAACAAACCCAACAACCCAGCCTGAGCAAAACGGTGAGACCTCATCTCTATTTCAGAATTTTTAAAAAATTTTTAAAAACCTGACTTTTGTAGATTTCCCTTGAAACTACTGGATCACGTATCCAAAGTTTTAGGTAAAGTTTCAGTTCATGATGTACTTCCCTACCAGGTCAATCCTTACAATACGGATTATAATCAGCCTTCACGGTAAACAAGCACGGCTTCATTTGGAAAGCACATTTTCAACTGTTTTAAAAAATCGCAGTGCTTTTGGTAAGAGAGCCAAGGCACTTCCCTAAAAGGAGAAAAGTAGTTACGGAATCCCTGTGCATTTCCTCACCTATTCATCAGCTTCCCAGCTGGGGCACATCAGACACTGGCTGCAGGACAACCCTGCAGCTGTTGAGCTCCTGCCCACCAGTCTTCATAAACTCACTTTTGGTCCAAATTTCACTTACGACTCTACCAGCAAAGCTGCCTCTTCAAAAGGTTTAATGGCTTACAGAGGGCAAAGGGCACCTGGATGACTGAACAACACAAAAGGCAAGATTCTAAAACTCAGAACCCACCAGGAGAACAGAAAAAATACAGTTTTTTCTAAGTGGTTATGGTGACTGCAGACTCAGTGCCAAAATGAAAAAGACACAGTCCAAAGAAGTGAAACTCCACAATCTCTGATCTGTTAGATTGGGGCTAGTTGAACAGTCATTTAAATCTAATAGTCATTTGTATACAATGTAAGACATGGATACAATATGCAGTGCTAGCCTGTATTTTCCTATTTGAATATCCCACATAAATTACTACAGATAGGATAAAAAAGACACATATCTATTTAAATGACTTCCTAGTTTCCATTCCAAAAGCAGAAGATATGTACTTAAGCAGCACATGCTACAGTGTCTTCTCTTTCAAACTATCTGTTCCTAGCCTCTAGGGATTTTGTTTTGTTATGTTTCATTCCACTGCCTAAGAAACTAAGATTTTGCCAGCAAGAGGGCCAATATGACAAATCATCGATGATTCTTAGCATGGAGCCAAGAAGCCTGCCTCCTTGATCAGATTTTCAGCTGGAAAGATATCCACACCTTGCCTAGTCCAATATTTGTTAAGTGAGAATATAAAATTCAAAGATGTTCTGTCACACTCTAGATTTGTATTAATGTCCACAAATATTAAAGATTCACATGATACATATTTAGGAAACACATGCTACTTTGTTACTGTTTGAACTCTCAGGAAACAATGTTCCCATTGGTGCTCCGAATTGTTACTATTCTCTGCCATCCTGAAGATAACTAATACGTACCTATCTGTGTTCAATCTCAGCTTTAGATTATGGCACTGGTGTGTGAGAAACAACTGGTTCAACTAACTATAAGCAATATATTAACTCTGCTTTTTTTTTTTTTTTTTTGAGACGGAGTCTCACTCTGTTGCCCAGGCTGGAGTGCAGTGGCACAGTCTCAGCTCACCGCGACCTCCACCCCCGGGGTTCAATTCTCCCAGATACTCCTGCCTCAGCCTCCTGAGTAGCTGGGATTACAGGCGCCCACCACCCCACCCAGCTAATTTTTGTATTTTTAGTAGAGACAGGGTTTCACCATGTTGGTCAGGCTGGTCTCTAACTCCTGACCTCGTGATCTGCCCGCCTCAGCCTCCCAAAGTCCTGGGATTATAGGCGTGAGCCACCGCGCCCAGCCCAACTCTGCTTTTACAGGTATTGGCTCTCATTCCCTAGCCATTGGTTCTCCCCTTCCTGTAATTCAGGCCTGCAATATAATTTCTTAGTCCCCCAAGGAAAACAGAACTAAAGACTTCTAACAGAAGATCTCAGTCTACTAACATAGCTAATAGCTATTAAAGCTACTCAGGCATCGGCTTAATAAAAAACTAAAGGGCTGCAGCAAGTGATCAGATTTTCACCACTCATCTTTGTGAGATGGGTCTCAGAGGGCCCCGTCCCTGCTGACACCAACCATTCTTACCGGTAGCCTGCCAACACACAAGCAGTTCACAGTAGAACACTGCAGACTGCAGGGCATTTTCAGGCTACATAGCCTCAAGTTCCTAGAACAGGAACTGAGGCTTGGAAGAAGGTCAGTGCAGCGCACTCAGCGAATGGATAAACTGAATCATCATTTCACAAGGCTGCAAGCCCATGTACTAATGGAATCAACATGGAACCAGAGTTAAATTACTGCCTTAAATATCTAATGCATGTCAAGAAATCCATCTAATTACTAAGTACCGAAATTATAATACTTTCAAATGAATTCACAAAGCAAAACAGCTGAACTAATGATCTGTAAGGATCTCCTGGCAGATAAATCCTACTGGGAATCAATACACCACTGCTACCAAGAAAGCAGGTCCAACAAATGAATAAAAGAAACCCAGCCAGGCAGAGAGGTTCTTGTCTGTAATCCCAGCACTTTGGGAGGCTGAGGCAGGAGGATCGCCCGCGGCCAGGAGTTTGAGACAAGCCTGGGCAACACAGCAAAGCCTTAAAAAAAATCACCTAGGCTCGGTGGCCTATGCCTTTACTCCTAACACTCTGGGAGGCTGAGGTGGGAAGATCACTTGAGCTCAGGATTTTGAGTCTGCAGTGAACTACGATCAGACCACTGAACTCGAGCCTGGGAGCAGGCCGAGACCCTGAGACCCTGTCTCAAAAAGTAAAAAACAGAAATGCCAGTTTCCTTTACTCAGAGCTAAAAGCCTTCACCTACTACCCAATCCCATCATGGCTCCCTCCCAAAAGTTCACTGGCATACCATATCAAGTCAGCAAGCCCCCTTTTTTGTAGCAGGGTCTCACTCTGTTGCCAAGGCTGGAACAAGCCCTCTTCAACAAAGCTAAGATGGTCCATATTACTCATGTGGATGAGGGTGTTGAAGGACATTTACTGCCTTCCTTCATGGTCTCACTTCATGATCAAACCAAGATGCACAGGAAATAGGTTTGACAATTTACCTTTACCAAGAAAGACGATTCAGCAACAGTGGTAGAGCTGCCTGTTTGAACTTAACCTTGGTCATCTCAGTTTGAAATACAAATGGCAGCATGGAGAGCAGGCTGCCCGCTTTTTGGTTGGACATTTCTTTCACTCTTGAGTTTGAGGTACAGCAAATTTCCCAAATCATTCAGATGTAAATATTCCAATACTCAGACCAGGGGCCCATTCAGGAGGCTGAGTGCAGGAAGATGGCCTGAGCTCAGGAGTTCGATACCAGCTTGGGCAACACAGCAAGACTGTCTTGAGAAAAAGAATTCTAAACAAAATAAATACAAGAATTCAAAACAAAATTCATGAAAGATATAGGAAGGGTGAGGGAAGAAGTCCAACATTTTATCACCCACCAGCTACCAAGTATCTAACAGCACAATGTCCTAGCTCTGCGGTGCTCTTGAAAGAAAAAGTGAAAACCCTGACAAGGGAGCCATCTGGATTTGTATTCCTCACCATTTACCATGACTAGAATGCTTAGGAGTGTGCCCTTCAGAAACTGAGCTTTTCAGGCAGAAAATTAGTTTTCTCTCCAGACCATATAGGAATGCCTAAAAAAGTTATGCCAAAATGTAAAAAGAAGAGTCAAGCCAAGGACCCCCATTTTTAAACTTAAGTGTTGGCTGCCCCTCAAACTGCAACTTACTCCTCCTGGGGTACTATGGTTTGCCTTTAGGCAGCATGTGAAGGTGTGAAGATCTCTTTTAGGAGATCTTGTCAGAGTACCTCAATGGCCAATCAGAAAACAGGTATTAAGGGTGAAGAAGCCACTTTTTGGAAAGTTAGATCATGCAGAGAAACTTAATTTACACTTTAATAGCCGTTTCTCACTATTGGGATCATTAAAAGTTAGACTGTTTCCTTAAATACTATTTAACTTCACTACACACTGTTGTGACCACGGGCTATTTAAGACATTCAGGGTACTAACCTATAGATCTGTTCTCACCTAATTTGCTCGAGCATCAAGACCCTGATAATAAAGACAGAAAAATGCTGAAACAGCAGAATTTTAAACCAAGTTCCCCTCTGCAGCACAAGAAACTCAGGTAAGTTTCCAGTGTCCAAAGCCTACACTCACAAACACAAACACGAAGCCCTCCCTTTGCAACCCTCAAGTACCCAGAACCTGCTGAAGAAAACCATCTTTCACCACCTTTTGTTAAGGTTCCTCAGTATTAGTGGAAAAGCTTTATTCTCACAAAGATATCCAACAATGCTAATTTTTACATGGCATGTTATTTCCTTAGGCAAGATTAATAGAAAACCTGAAAAATTCGCAACAAGCACACAAAGACTAGCTTCTGTAACACAACCTGACCCCACCCATATCACACCATTTTAGAAGGAAGTCCGTTTAAACCAGTGATTCTCAAACAGGCAATTTTGACTTCTTATCACCATGGGAGGGGAGGAGGCCGCGTCCTAGCAGAGGCCAAAAACAGTTGCTTCACATCCTACAACCCAGAGGGCACTCCTCAACAAAAGTGATCAGGCTAAAATGTCAACAGTGCTCCCCAGGTTGAGAAACTGAATTTTAAACTCAACCTCTAGTTTAGATGACCACTAGGTCTCACCGAATGAGGAGTTTACAGCTCAGAAACAAATCTAGAAAACTTAACAGCCTTGGCCAAGCACAATGGCTCATGCCTGTAATCCCGGCATGTTGAACTGGATGGTGAAACCCCATCTCTACCAAAAAATACAAAAATTAGGTGGGCATGCTGGTGTGTGCCTGTAGCCCCAGCTACTCAGGAGGCTGAGGTGGGGGTGATCACCTGAGCTCCCCAGGTCGAGGCTGCAGTGAGTTGTGATCGTGACACTGCACTCCCGCCTGGGTGACAGAGCCAGACCCTGTCTCAAAAAAAAAAAAAAAAAAGCCTCTTGGCCATTTCTACCTATGGCCAAAATAATGTGAACAGATAATGACCTTTTAGAGTATTCACAAATGGGGATCTTAAGACACCGAGTACAAGTTACTGAACTAGAACTAAGGCGTGGGAAGCTTGATACGTCATACTTCCTCAACTTAGAAAATAGTTGCAAGGGTAGCATAAAGCTTCAGTCCACAAAGTTTGTAAGTTTGGACTTGCTATGGTATTGGTCAAAGTTCAGGATTGTTCCTATACTAACCAACTGCACTCCATTCTAGCTAATGGAGAACAAAAATACCCCTAGAGGCAGCTTCCACACCAGTTAAACACGAAACCAGAGCAGCAGTACTTAGTCTACAAACACTCCTGAGTAGGTAAGAGGACAGATATCATTCACCAAAGTCCCTGTAACCAAGCAGTAAGTTAAGGCCAAGTTGTTACTGTCAAGGAAGGAGAACCCCCTAGTTAAAAATAGCACTAGGCTGCGAAGGTCGAGTTCAAATACCAGCCTGGCCAACATGGTGAAACCCGGTCTCCACAAAAATACAAAAATTAGCCGGGCATGGCGGTGAGCGACTGTAATCCCAGCTACTTGAGAGGCTGAGGCAGGAGAATCGCTTGAACCCAGAAAGCGGAAGTTGCAGTGAGCTGAGATCGAGCCATTGCGCTCCAGCCTGGACGACAGAGCGAGACTCCGTCTCAAAAAAAAAAAAAAAATCAAAAACCAGTAAATAGAGGACCAGTTAGGAACCAAATTAACCATGCATCTCTTCCCCTGAACTATTTTCTGAGGAAGAAGGCAAACCCCAACACCCTCGGCTAAAGAATGTAACAAAATGCCAGTGTCTGGCTACCAGACACGACTGACACAGTATTCCCTTTCAGTTTTGCTGAATTGGCCAAAATGAGTATTGGGCTAGAATTCAAAATCCTGAAGAATCAAGTATGTCCCCCTACCTTAGTGAGTCTTAATTAACTCCATCCTTAGGGAGAATTCCAAACCAAAGTAAATTATCAGGAGGGCATTTAAACAATTTAAGTAACACACATTTCAGGTAACACACAAAACATTTCAGTTGACTACCGAAATTGTATTATGGCAAAAAGTTGCCCAAGACTTAGTTTCCCATTATTTCATACTTGCCCCAAACTCCCTTTCAGTTAACCATAACACCATCTAGGCCAGACCACAGCAGGTTATCAGCATCAGCAGAGATCAGAAAACAAAAATAAAGCCACGCGTCAGGGTAATTATTTATTTTTATTGTCTCTTTATTCCTGTAATGTAAAAAGGAAAACAATGTCATGTAACTCTCTTCGCTACAGATACGGACAGTTTCTGTAGCCTCTAAAACAGGCAGGAAATGGCCTTCATAACCATTCTCCAATTTTGCTGGAGGATCAGGGTGGTGGAAGTCATTTTAAAAACCAGCTGCAATATACTGTACTACCAGAGAGTGGGGTGAAGCAATTGAGTCCTTTTACCTAGCTGACTCCGAATCAAGACAGCTAAAAGAATGTACCAGAAAGAAAGAAAAAATAAAATGCTACCAAAATCCCAATCCATTATCTACCCTTTATGGAGAAAAGTACCTTTATAATGTTTTACAAAGAATCGTGGTCTCAAGTTTCCACTTTGTTTTAGTAATAAAGAACTTTCAAAAAAAAAACCACTCTAAACAACACCCTCCTGTATAGAAAGCTCTATTTTAATAATTAATGCAATGATACCCTTGTTGGAACAATCCAGCCGCTTTGAAACTCTGGTATTTACTTACTAGATGAACAAGTTTCTCTATGGAGGTGCCTTTAACTTCTCAAGAAATGTGTAAGTTAAGACGGCTCCAAATTACATTTTAAGAGAGCCTTGTATTTTTAGAGGTTCTTTTTCATCGGTCAGAAAAACTTACGTTGACGATTCTGCAAGAAAGGTTGCTCGCAAACCATGCATCGCAAAGCTACCGAGGCAAATTTAAAGAACCAATGAAAAAGAGTGGAGGCTCGTCTGAATCTTTAATTGGCTATGGGAATTTCAATTTATTGCATAAATAATCTTTTAGACCTCAAGATACACGTGACCTAGGGACAGTTTACATCAATGGGCAAGACTTAAAAATAGACACCAAGTTCAGCAAGTATTTGAGCACCTACTAAAAATTACACAACTCCCACAACAACGCATTTTGCGTTTCTAAAGTTGTAAGCAGCATGTTCGGACGCTTGATGCAATTTCCCAAGTTGTTTGGGCCCCCCCCCCAAAAAAGTCTTCTCAGTAAAAGGTGGGGGGAAGGAGGGTATTTTGGGGGCAACAAACCAAACTGGTCTGTCGCATGTTAAGTCAATTTCACGTTCACCTACTGGTCACCACGAAGCCGAGGAAAGTTTTAAAAAGAACATTCCGGGGTCTCCAGAGATCATCTCTCCAAGTCCGCTCGGCACCGGCGCCTGAGCTGGGGCTAAGGTCCCGCGTCTCTGGTTCTGTCCTAATAGAATCCGGGACATCCACAGGGATTCCCCGGGGCAGCCTTCAGTGAAGACCAGGGAGAGGGGCCGCCCGGGTCTCACGGGTGCTTCCCGCGCTGGGGATGGCGGCGAGCAGCCACGGCCTATGGACGCGCAAGGGAAAGAATGCAGCGACCCCGGAGCTCGCAGGGCCGCCCGCCCAGGAGTCTGAGGCTGGGAGGACCTCACCTTGCTGCGGTCCTCCTCCTGCTGCTGCAGCAACTCGGGAACCGCGGCCATGGCGACGCGGGACTCGAGCAGGGGCCGCCTGGCTGTGCGAGGAAAGAAGAAGCTGGGCCGCCGCCGCCGCCGCCTGGGCGCCTCTCGGGGGCGGCCACGGCCCCGCCTCCGCCGGCCTCCCTGCCCGACGGCGGCAGGAGGCCTCCGGACTCCGCCACCATCCCAGCTGCCCCGGGAGCAGGCGAGCAGGGCGCCACGTGCTCCCCCAGAGCAGCCTCCCAGTCCCCGCTGCCGTCCATCTTGGAGCCGGGCAAAGACGCCACGTGGGGCCTACCCTTGCTCCGCTCCACGAGGAGGCCGCCAACCGCAGGGCCGCGACACGGACGGGAAGCAACGGACACTCTCCCAGCAAGACGCGTCTAGAGAAAGACCGCGTTTCGGTGCGGGGGGAATTTATTACTCAGCCCGAGTCCAAGATGGCAGCGAGCGCTGACGTCACCAGATCTCGTGAGAGCAGAAGGGCGCGATTTGGAGGCTCCCGCGCTTCGGAGACGCCGGCCCTTCCGCTCGGAGAGGTACTCCCTGCCTCTAACTGGTGGCGCGTTGGCGGAGGCCGACGAAAGCCTCGGGTGGGGCGTGAGCGCCGCGGGGCATTCTGGACCTGCTTTGCCTTAGGCTGTGCCTAATTCGAAACCAAAGCGCGGGACGGATGAAAGTACGGGTCGCGAGAGGTTGTTCGCGCCTTGAGAGTTAAGCGAAGTGTGGTGGCTTCCAAGGTACCGACACTTGCCGTAGGCTGGGCTTTTATTTAAGTCGTCTTTTCTCTAATCCAGACTCCTGCCACAGGGGCCACCGCCGTCCTGGCCCCGCCAGGGGTCCGCACCCACGGCGGAGCGGGAGGCGACTTTTTGCGGTCACAGTAATGGGACCTCAGCGCCGCCACCAGCTCTGACCGGCGAGCGACGGGACCCTCCAACCCGATTTCCACGTCTGTGCAACGGGTTCATTCTAGACCCACGGTAGAGGGTGTGAGGACCAAATGAGAAGTATCCACACAGAATACTTAGCAGAGAGCCTGGTGTCTAGGAATTAGTCGTCGTCTGTCACCTAGGACTGTGTGGCCGCCATGGGACGGGCTCCATCTTTGTGTTTTTCCGTGTCTCGCACACGCCTCCCTTCCTGGGCGTCACATTCCTGCAGATTAGAAACTGGGACGTCTTGCCTCAAGCTGTCTACTAATTCGCATTTAGTATGTGTCGGTCCTTCGGGTATTGAGTCTTGATTTATTTATAAATTTTTTTTGGAGGCAGGGTCTCGCTCTGTCGACTTTCTTAAGAAAGGGCTCTGTCCAAACATGTCGAAAAAGTTCACAATTTTGATGTGCAATATCATTCTGATGCAGCTTTCGCTTTGATGGTTGTTTTCTCTCCAATAGGAATACAAACATAAAGGCCTTCGACCGTTGCAAATAGACTAAAGTGAAAACAAATCTGAATGAAGATGAAGTTATTTCAGACCATTTGCAGGCAGCTCAGGAGTTCAAAGTTTTCTGTGGAATCAGCTGCCCTTGTGGCTTTCTCTACTTCCTCTTACTCATGTGGCCGGAAGAAAAAAGTGAACCCATATGAAGAAGTGGACCAAGAAAAATACTCTAATTTAGTTCAGTCTGTCTTGTCATCCAGAGGCGTCGCCCAGACCCCGGGATCGGTGGAGGAAGATGCTTTGCTCTGTGGACCCGTGAGCAAGCATAAGCTGCCAAACCAAGGTGAGGACAGACGAGTGCCACAAAACTGGTTTCCTATCTTCAATCCAGAGAGAAGTGATAAACCAAATGCAAGTGATCCTTCAGTTCCTTTGAAAATCCCCTTGCAAAGGAATGTGATACCAAGTGTGACCCGAGTCCTTCAGCAGACCATGACAAAACAACAGGTTTTCTTGTTGGAGAGGTGGAAACAGCGGATGATTCTGGAACTGGGAGAAGATGGCTTTAAAGAATACACTTCAAGTAATTATCTCAATTCTGATTCTATATGTTTGCTATGTTTTCTATAATAGAGAGCAACGGTGTCAAAAGAATGAGGTTTGGTTTTGTTTTTTTAACTTACTAGCAAGGAACTCCCTTCAGATAGTAATTAACATTAAATAGCACTTTATGTGTATTAACTCACTTGATCCTCATGGTAGTCCTGTGGAGTATAGATACTGTTATCCACATTTTACAGATGAAACTAAAATAGATCAAATATTTGACTAAATAATACATAAAATTCACTTGTTTTATAAGCTACCAACAATATTAGAATTGCTTGTTTTCCTTGATTATTGAAAAAAGTCACCTGGTAACAGAATTCTAGTTGTTTGCTAGATAATTCTGTTTAGAATCCAGTAAATACCCACTGTCCTACTTATTAGCGTAAACTGACTCGTAAATTTAAAGACCTTGAAGCAGACCAGAACACATGACCTATATTTAGACCTTGGTAAACATAATCAGAGGTTCTTCATAAGGATCTGAGGATAAATACACTTTAACCTTCAACTTCTAATTTACTAACTTGGACAAGTGAGGAGAATAGCTTCCTTAAATTTAATATTCCATTCAAAAACAAAGACCATTGGCACTGGTGAATTAGCTAGTCCCATAAATTATATAGGGGTCTTTTGTTAAAGGAAAGTTTCACATCAATCATTCCTTTACCCAAGCTTCCCAAAGTGCAGTACATGTACTCTTAGTAGTACACAAACTCTTTCATTTTTGTTTTAAGAATAGTGTACTGACCCTTGCCATAGCCTGGGCTTCTATTTAAGTCGTCTTTTCCCTAATCCAGACTCCTAAAACTATGCGTGTAACACATTAAACATGTCACATGTTCTAAAGAAAAATACTAAGTATATATAGGTGGTATTGGATATGTACCAAATGGTCAAGGCCTTTGCTCCTTATAATATTCCTCAGCTGTGTGGGGCAAGGATTATATATGCAAGAGCTAACTGCCTTCCTAAGATAGTTAATTAGTAGCAACCACCAAACTATTGTCTGCTTTCCAAGCAAGCAACATAAAAATCTTCTAATGGCATCTTACAGTTTTGTATTTGTACCACTAAAATTTAGAATTGATAGTTTTCTCATGAGAAGTTATTTTCCTTAAACCAGGAATGTACAGCTGAAATTACTAATAAGAAATGTATTATTAAAAGGCAGAAACCTGCTGGAACACATGGGACCCCAGGGCCTGTAGCTCTTGGCACAAAGTAAGGAAGTGCACCAGAGAGGAATTTCTGTTTGGAATGTGAATGAGCCCCAATAGCCCAGGCAGAGAGAAGACTGGTTGTTTTTTTTTTCATAGAGTCAGCTTTGTTGATCTAGATTAGCACTCAGCTGTGTTTCTCAGTTAACTCAGTAGCAACCTTAAGAAATGAGCAGAATCGCTTACCCCAGCACCCCGCCCAGACTTGACCGCCGGGACCCAAGTGATTCTCCCATCTCAGCCTGCTGAGTAGCTGGGACCACAGGCGTGCACCACCATGCCTGGCTAATTTTTTTATTTTTTGTAGCGACAAGGGTCTCCCTATGTTGCCCAGGCTAGTCTCCAACTCCTGTCTTCAAGTGGTGCTCCCACCTCGGCCTCCCAGAATACTGAGACTACAGGTGTGACCCACTGTGCCCAGGCAGAATCACTCTTTTTAGAAAATAAGTATTAGTAAGCAGTGGGTTCTGAAATAAATAAAGGGACAATTAGTGTCATGGTGAATAAAAGAAAAAGGGCTCACTAAATTGATTAACGGGTCTGGAGGATACTGGATCCCAAACCCAAGAAGGTGGCACCCAAGAAGAATTACATTTTAAAAATTAAGAAGATTTTTTTAATGAAAAATATTGGATCAGTAATTTCTACCCAGTCTTCTCAAAGGTGAGAGCATAGAAATGTGTCTGGCATTCTTCCAAATACTTGAGCAGTTTCCCAAGCATCAGTTCATCTTTTGAAGACTGGTGGGAATGAGAAAGTCTGACTTATTCTGATTTATATTTTGTGTATAAATACACACAAAGGGATGGGGTTTAGGTTTTAATTTTTTTTTTTTTTTTTTTGCTACGCTGATTTAATCCTGAAGTATTAGCCATCCTGCCAGTTCCATCATGAGAATACTGGAGATGCATGAAGGTTTTTTTTAGTGCACTTCATATACGAGGACTTGAAAACATTTCACTTTCATTACTTTGAGTGAATAAGCAGACTTGATGCTACATGCAGTGAATATTCTTGGATCATTTTTTATTTTTATAAATTGAATCATGTTGAATGTTCTGAGCCTTAGTGTCTAAAGGATCCTGTAATCTAGGTTTTCATGTTTGTGATCATGTGTATATGAAGAACCTAGCCAGGGGTAAGTTTGCAGCGAGAAATGTATGGTCTATTGGCATGGCATTTGCTAAGTTTTTTTCTTCCTGTTTTTAACATGTTTGTCTTCTGCTTCATTAACCTAGTGTGTAGATGAATGCTATACACTTCTTTTTCCTAGGCTTTAATTCCATCAGTCATAAATTTCTTGTAGGTCTTTCACGTGTTAATAATTCCAATTGAGTCAAGTAAATTTGGAGTAGAATAACTTAGTTCCTAAGTTGAATTTCATTTAACTCTCCAAATAATTTTTCAGAAGGGATTCCATTTTTTGCTAATGATAGAATTGACATTTCCAGCTGGGCATAGTGGCTCATGCCTGTAATCCTAGCACTTTGGGAGGCCGAAGCAGGCGGATCACTTGAGGTCAGGAGTTCAAAACCAGCCTGGCCAAAATGGCGAAACCCCATCTCTACTAAAAATACAAAAAAATTAGCCGGGCGCAGCGATCACTTGTAATCCCAGCTACTACGGAGGCTGAGGCAGGAGAATCGCTTGAACCTGGGAGGTGGAGATTGCAGTGAGCCGAGATCATACCACTGCACTCCAGCCTGGAAAAAAAAAGAATTGACATTTCCATCTTTGTAAAAAATAGTTGAAGGCCGAGTGCAGTGGCTCATGCCTGTAATCCCAGCACTCTGGGAGACCAAGGTGGGACGATTGCTTGAGGCCAGGTGTTTAAGACCAGCCTAGGCAACGTAGAGAGATTGCATCTCTACAAAAAAAAAATTTTTTTGAATTAGCCAGGCGTGGTGGCACATGCCTGTAGAGGAAGCTGAGACAGGAGGATTGCTTAAGGCCAGGTGTTCAAGGTTACAGTGAGCAATGATCGAGCCAGTACACTCCATCCTGGGTGACAAGTAAGACCCTGTCTCAAAAAAAAAAAAACTTGACAAATGTAAAGTTGTTTTCCGCCTTTTCTGTGGGTCTCTCTGCAAGCATGTTCCAAGCACGTGTATTTCCTGCTCTGTTTCTCTGAGTATCTAATTGGTGATTTCCAAGATTGCTTCCTTTGCTCTACTGTGTGGTAGATTGGAAACAGATTCTGGTGCCAGGCTGCCTGTCCAGCTTTTTGCTTTGGGGCAAATTAACAGCACTGCCTGGTGGGATAGGGCCTCATTCATTAAAATGGGGGTAACTTACAATCCCTATTTTGCTGGGTTGTTGGGTTTGAAAATTAAATAATGTTTTGAAAGCTCCAAGGCCATTGCTTAGCATAACAGTCCCCCCTCTTTCTCTCCTCTTACTAAGAAACAAGTGAATATATTTCTTGTGTTTGTTGAGTCTCTTTGTGTGTTTTTTTTTTTTTTTTTTTTTTTGAGATTGTCTTGCTCTGTCACCCAGGCTGGAGTGCAGTGGCATGATCTTGGCTCACTGCAACCTCTGCCTCCTGGGTTCAAGCAATTCTCCTGCCTCAGCCTCCAGAGTAGCTGGAATTACAGGCATGCGCCACCACACCTGGCTAATTTTTGTATTTTGAGTAGAGACTGGGTTTTACCATGTTGGCCAGGCTGGTCTTGAACTCCTGACCTCAGGTAATCCGCCTGCCTTGGCTGCCCAAAGTGCTGGGATTATAGGCATAAGCCACCATGCCCGGCCATGTTCCCTTTTTTAAAATGTGTATGAGGAGGGGGCTTACTATGCAAGCGCTTGGAGGCCAACGAGCACTGAAAATGAGGAGAGAGTTCAAAAATCAAGTTAGATCCTGGGATACGCCAACAAATCCAGACACTACAGTTCTTTCGGAGAAACCTGGGGACGAAAAGTAAGGCTTTGACCTCAGAAAATGAACATACAGGAAAAATAATGTGTCCTAATGTGTCCTAATGAAATTTCTCTAGTATTCACATGTTATAAAATGTTAGGAAGAAAGAAGATGTGTCCTCCTACAAGCCATAAATCAGAATTCTAATAATCTAAAGCTAATTAGAAAAATATTACATGTTAAATATTAAATATTAGAATAGAAAAATGTATGAGGGAAAAAAATTGAGACACAGCTGAATTTTTCAGGCTGTTCCAGCACTAAAAAAAAAATACAGGAGAAGAATGTCACATATTTTCCTCTTCCTCCCCCTCCAGATTCCATAATATCAAATTCATAACTTTTCATTTGCGCATGCCTTATTTTCCATTCCTTGTTTGTCACTAATCCTGTTAGTAAAAGGATTCCCCCACCTATGTTCATAATTAAGTTTTGGTCTAAAAAGAACTACAAACAGAAGCACAGTTCCCTAGATTTCTAATTTTTTTTTATTTTATCACAGCCAGTTAACTTATTACATTGGATACTTAAACACATAGTACCATAAACTGGATGTGGTCTTGTAGCCGCCAGATCTTCAGTTTTGACTTTGGCCCAATTCTCCTAGAAGTACTTAATTTTAATTCATTTTATTACCTAACGTCCTATTAATAATCCCGTTGGTTTCAAAGTATATTCTTAGGTTTCACAAGAGGCTGAAATTTGGTCTTAGGGGTTGTCACTTAAAAATAACTAATGTAATTTTTGGCCGGGCACGGTGGCTCATGCCTGTAGTCTCAGCACTTTGGGAGGCCAAGGCTGGCAGATCACGAGGTCAGGAGTTCGAGACCAGCCTCACCAATATGGTGAAACCCCATCTCTACTAAAAGTAGAAAAATTAGCCAGGCACGGTGGCGGGCGCCTGTAATCCCAGCTACTCAGGAGGCTGAGGCAGGAGAATCACTTGACCCCAGGAGGCAGAGGTTGCAGTGAGCCAATATCGCCCACTACACTCCAGCCTGGGCGACAGAGGGAGACTCCATCCAAAAAAAAAAAAAAGAAAAAAAAATGTCATTTTTAATTGTATTGTTTCAGGGCGTTTTAGAGTATTTGTTTTTCAGTGTTAGCTTTGTTTGTGTTTCCCCCCTCCCCTTTTCCCTGATTTTCTTTTCAGACGTCTTTTTACAAGGGAAACGGTTCCACGAAGCCTTGGAAAGCATACTTTCACCCCAGGAAACCTTAAAAGAGAGAGATGAAAATCTCCTCAAGTCTGGTTACATTGAAAGTGTCCAGCATATTCTGAAAGATGTCAGTGGAGTGCGAGCTCTTGAAAGTGCTGTTCAACATGAAACCTTAAACTATATAGGTCTGCTGGACTGTGTGGCTGAGTATCAGTAAGTATGAGATTGGAGGTGAATTAATACAGCGTAGGACAGATGGTGCCTGTCAAAGGTGTGCCTGTAGGTACTGTAGCCTCTGTCTGTTTAATGTCCAGACCTTTGTGCTAGGTAAAAGAATTGGGTGGGGCGGGGTTGAGAACAGGTACAAGGAGAAGAGCCACGTAACCTTTGTCATCCAGTACTCCAAAATCAAATTGTTTGCTGGAGAAAGGTATATTCTTTGTTTGTTTGTTTTGTTTTGAGACGGAGTGTCACCCAAGCTGGAGTGCAGTGGTGCAATCTTGGCTCACTGCAACCTCCGTCTCCCAGGTTCAAGCGGTTCTCCTGCCTCAGCCTCCTGAGTAGCTGGGACTACAGGCATGCACCACCGCACCTGGCTAATTTTTGTATTTTTAGTAGAGACAGGGTTTCACCATGTTGGCCAGGCTGGTCTCAAACTCCCGACCTCAAGTGATCCATCCACCTTGGTTTCCCAAAGTGCTGGGATTACAGGCGTGAGCCACTGCACCTGGCCGAGATTTTTCAATCTCCCTAACATGGCCTGTTTGCCAGCCTGTCCTTCCCCTCCCCCAAAGCAAGGTACCTGCCATAAGATCCAATTTCATTCCTGCGTTTTCTTTCCTGTTTTTCTAAAGATAGCACCATGATCTGTTGGTTCTGAAAATCAACTCTTCCTGGCTTCCAGGCAGTGCTTGACATGGATCAGAGATCTGAACTTACTAAAGCTTCCCATGGTTGTTTTGTTTTGTTTTGTTTCGTTTTGTTTTTTGAGACGGAGTTTTGCTCTTGTTGCCCAGGCTGGAGTGCAGTGGTGCGATTTCAGCTCACTGCAACCTCCATCTCCTAGGTTCAAGCTATTATCTTGCCTCAGCCTCCCAAGTAGCTGGGATTACAGGCATGCGCCACCATGTGTGGCTGATTTTGTATTTTTAGTAGAGATGGGGTTTCTCCATGTTGGTCAGGCTGGTCTCGAACTTCGGACCTCAGGTGATCCGCCTGCCTCAGCCTCCCAAAGTGCTAGGATTGTAGGCATGAGCCACCACGCCCGGTCCCCATGGTTTTTATATCGTAGCTGTCTTACTGTTTTACTCAGGTACTTCAGAGTCCAAGTGTTACAGGAAAGGGGTCCTGATCCAGACCCCGAGAGGGTTCTTCGATCTCGGGCAAGAAAGAATTTAGGTTGAAGGCAGGCACAGTGGCTCACGCCTGTAATCCCAGCACTTTGGGAGGCCGAGGTGGGCAGATCACCTGAGGTCAGGAGTTCAAGACCAGCCTAGCCAACATGGCAAAACTCCGTCTCTACTAAAAATACAAAAATTAGCCAGGCGCAGTGGTGTGTGCCTATAGTCCCAGCTACTCGGGAGTCTGAGGCAGGAGAATCACTTTAACCCGGGAGGCAGAAGTTGCAGTGAACCGAGATGGTGCCACTGCACTCCAGCCTGAGCAACAGGTGAGACTCTGTCTCAAAAAAAAAAAAATAAAAGAAAGAAAAGAAAAAGCATTCAGGATGAGTCTGCAGTGCAAAGTAAAAGCAGGTTTATTAATAAAGTAAAGTAGTGGAAGTATAGCTACTCCATAGACAGAGCAGGGCGTTCCTGAAAGTAAGAGGAGGAACACTTCCACCCTAAGTACAGTGCTCATATATATAAGATAAAAAAAGAGATCTTGGGGAGATGTGCTCTACTGCAAGGGTTTGTGATAAAGGATTAATTTTCTTAATTATTATATTTTGCAAGAATCGATACTATCTTTAAAGCAAAATTAGGAATGCCTTCGTTCTCCAGATATCAGGGTATCTGGACACTCCCAAGTCTGGGTCTGTTTAGTAAACATTATTAATTTGTTCCCTTAACCTTAAACATCTAGAGGCTATGAATGCCTGACTTTCTGGGAATGCAGCCCAGCAAGGCCCAGCCTCACTTTCCTAGCCCTCACTCAAGATGGAGTTGCTCTCGTTCGAACGCCTCTGATACAAAGGTGGCTACAACCTGCAGGTACCCCTAATCCAAATAAGGCAAGCGATCACTAAGAACAAGATAGAAAAATCCGTTCATGTAAACCTTGAAGCTCTAGTTAAAATTTAAGTTTAAAAGCTTGTCTATTCCACAGCCCAATACAAATTCGTAAACTTTCTTAAAACATTATGAGATTTTTTTTTGGTTATTTATTTATTTATTTTTAGTTCATCAGCTATTGTGTGGCCCAAGACAATTCTTCCAATGTGGGCCAGGAAGCCGAAAGAGTGGGCACCCTTGATAGTCTGAAAACTGTTTAGACCACCTAATGGTTTTATTTTTTATTTATTTATTTTTGAGACGGAGTTTCACTCTTGTTGCCCAGGTTGGAGTGCAATGGCGTGATCTTGGCTCACTGTAACCTCTGCCTCCTGGGTTCAAGCGATTCTCCTGCCTCAGCCTCCCAAGTAGCTGGGATTAGAGGTGCACGCCACCACACCCGGCTAATTTTTGTGTTATTAGTAGAGATGGGGTTTCGCCATGTTGGCCAGGCTGGTCTCGAACTCCTGACCTCAGGTGATCCACCCACCTCAGCCTCCCAAAGTGCTGAGATTACAGACGTGAGCCACCGCGCCTGGCCTAGACCACCTAATGGTTTTATAGCACAACTGCGTCATATCTGAGAAGAGCCCTGTATACCAAGAGATTTAATAGACTTTGGTTGCCTTTTAGATAAACCAAGGAAGCCATACAGTCACCTCCACCCAAGGCCTACAAGAAGTTCCTGACACCCAATGCTTGTCATAGAGATGATAAAATATGTCCATAGCACTGTTGTTTGTTTTTTGCTTTTTAAGTCAACATCAACCTTGGTAATATGAACATTTTTGAAACTACGGTTTTTTTTTGTTGTTTTTGTTTTTGTTTTTGAGACAGAGTCTTGCTCTGTCACCCAGACTGGAGTGTGGTGGCCCAATCTCAGTTCACTGCAACCTCTGCCTCCTGGGTTCAAGCAATTCTCCTGTGTCAGCCTCCCCAAGTGGCTAGGACTACAGGCACCCACCACCACGCCTGGCTAATTTTTTGTGTTTTTAGTAGAGATGGGGTTTGGACATGTTGCCCAGGCTGGTCTCGAGCTCCGGGCCTTGAGTGATCTGCCCGCCTCAGCCTCCCAAAGTGCTGGGATTGTAAGTGTGAGCCACTGCACCCAGCCTAGAATTTTTTTTTTTTAAGACACAGTTTTGTTCAGTTGCCCAAGCTGGAGTGCGGTGGCATGATCTCGGCTCACTGCAACGTCCACCTCGCAGGCCCAAGCGATTCTCCCACCTCAGCCTCCTGAGTAGTTGGGACCACAGATGCGAACAACCACGCCCAGCTAATTTTTTTGTATGTTTTGTAGAGATGGGGTTTTGCCATGTTGCTCAGGCTGATCTAGAATTCCTGAACTCAAGCAAGCTGCCTGTCTCCGTCTCCCAAAGTGCTGGGATTTACAGGTGTGAGGCACCGCGCCCAGCTAAGAATTTTTTATTTTTGTTATTTTTTTAATTTTATTTATTTATTTTTTTGAGATGGAGTCTTGCTCTGTCACCCAGGCTGGAGTGCAGTGGCGCGATCTCGGCTCACTGCACGCTCCGCCTCGGGTTCACGCCATTCTCCTACCTCAGCCTCCCCAGCAGCTGGGACTACAGGCGCATGCCACCACGCCCGGCTAATTTTTTTTTTTTTGTATTTTTAGTAGAGACAGGGTTTCACCGTGTTAGCCACAATGGTCTCGATCTCCTGACCTCGTGATCTGCCCGCCTCGGCCTCCCAAAGTGCTGGGATTACAGGTGTGAGCCACCGCACCGGGCCTAATAATTTTTTATTTTATTTTAGTTTATTTTTTTGAGGCAGTCTTTCACTGTCACCCATGCTGGAGTGCAGTGATGCATTCAGGGCTCACTGCAGTCTCTAACTCCCCAGGCTCAGGCTGTCCTTCCACCTCAGCTTCCCAAATAGCTGGAACTACAGGGATGCACCACCACACCCAACTAATTTTTCTATTTTTTGTAGATGTGGGGTCTCACCATTTTGCTCAGGCTGGTCTTGAACTCCTGGGCTCAAGTGATCCACCACCTCAGCCTCTCAAAGTGTTGGAATTACAAACGTGAGCCCCTATGCCTGGCCGATTTTGTTTTTGAGAAGGAGTTTTGCTGTTGTCGCCCAGGCTGGAGTACAATGGCGAGATCTTGGCTCACTACAACCTCTGCTTCCCGGGTTCAAGTGATTCTCCTGCCTCAGCCTCTCTAGTAGCTGGGATTACAGGCGCCTGCTACCATACCCAGCTCATTTTTGTATTTTTCATAGAGACGGGGTTTCACCATGTTGGCCAGGCTGGTCTCAAGCTCCTGACCTCAGGAGATCTGCCTGCCTCGGCCTCCCAAAGTGCTGGGATTACAGGTGTGAGCCACTGTGCCCGACCCCACTGAATTTTTAATGGGTAATATGCTATTAAGAGTAACTCCCCACACCCACTCTGTATTGAACCTCTGTTTAAAAAGCTCCTGTGTTCCTGAGATATTGTATGACCATATGTACAATCATTTGTCCCCACACTCATTTTTTAACACAAGATGATATACCCTGCTTTTTTCCACTTAAAAAAATTATTTAAAAAAAAATCAGGCTGGGCGCAGTGGCTCACACCTGTAATCCCAGTACTTTGGGAGGCCAAGGCAGGCAGATCACGAGGTCAGAAGATTGAGACCATCCTGGCTAACACGGTGAAACCCCATCTCTACTAAAAATACAAAAAGTTAGCCAGGCATGGTGGCAGGCGCCTGTAGTCCCAGCTACTTGGGAGGCTGAGGCAGGAGAATGGCGTGAACCCGGGAGGCGGAGCTGGCAGTGAGCTGAGATCACGCCACTGCACTCTAGCATGGGTGACAGAGTGAGACTCCATCTCAAAAAAAAAAAAAAAATCTTTTATTAGTTTATATAGATCTGTAACATTCTTTTCTCATGTAATAATTTTCCACCACCCACAATTAACACTTAACACTGGTGCATTTGCTTAAAACTTTTTTTTTCCTTATCCCTGTGATTACATGGAGATCTTTTTTTTAAAGAAATATAATATTACAGATTAACCCCAAATTCTGTTGAACCACCCGTGGCCAAAGGCGATTGCTGTTTTAAGTTTGGCACTACCTCCTTCTAGTCTGCCTTCTACGCTCTTTTTTGTTCTTTTCTTTTTTTAATGACCAATGATCTGTGACACAGCATCAGGAGAACCTAAGAATATGTGCCCTCTATACTCTTAGCACACACATAATGCTATGTATAATACACATGCATAGGCAGCACTTATGTATGATTTCATGCAGAACTGTGACAGTCATAATATACAGACATCTCTAGATACACAGCATCACAAAGCTAGTAAGATATTGGGCTCAGGAGCCAGCTGCTTGAGTTTGGATTCTGGCTTGGCTTTTCATCTTAACCTTAGATTAATTACTTAGTCGCTCTCTGTCTCAATTTATTCATCTTTAAGATAAGACAAATGGTAGTACCTACCTTGTTATAAAATGAGATATTCCCTGAAGAGTGCTTAATGCATACTATGTATTCAGTAGATGTTACATTATTATTTTGATCTACTTCTTTTTTTACTTTTTTATAGAAATAATTCTTGCTGTGTTGCCCAGACTAATCTAGAACTGGGAAGGAAGTATGATCCTCACCTCAGCCTCCCAAAGTGCTGGGATTACAGGCGTGAGCCACCTTGCCCAATCTACTACTCGTGTGTGTGTGTGTGTGTGTGTGTGTGTGTGTGTGTGTCAGAGTCTCGCTCTATTGCCCAGGCTGGAGTGCAGTGGCACAATCTGGACTCACTATAACCTCCGCCTCCCAGGTTCCAGCAATTCTGCCTCGCCCTCCTGAGTAGCTGGGATTACAGGTGCCTGGCTAATTTTTTTTGTATTTTTAATAGAGACAGGGTTTTGCCATGTTGGCCAGGCTTGTTTCGAACTCCTGACCTAAGGTGATCCACCCATCTCAGCCTCCCAAAGTGCTGGGATTACAGACTTGAGCCACTGCACCTGGCCCTACTTCTCTCTTAACTCGTTTTTTGTATTCTTTTGTATGAATGAGCCTTACCCATTTCCCTATTGGGAACACTCAGATTATTTCTAGTTTTCCACAATTACAAACAGTGCTGCAGCAAATGTGCCTCTTTGTATATTACAGAGCTGTTCTAGGCAGATGCACAGATTCATTTGTTTATTTATTTTTTTTCTTGAGACGGAGTTTCACCCTTGTTGCCCAGGCTGGAG
The DNA here is from genome assembly GCF_000001405.40 of Homo sapiens. Taxonomy (NCBI): domain Eukaryota; kingdom Metazoa; phylum Chordata; class Mammalia; order Primates; family Hominidae; genus Homo; species Homo sapiens. The sequence goes on from NC_000020.11 coordinate 17,982,181, forward strand.
TGAAATGGTGCGGCACCGCAACTTCCACCTCCTGGGTTCAAGCGATTCTCCTGTCTTGTACTCCCAAGTGGCTGAGATTACAGGCATGTGCCACCATGCTCAGCTAATTTTTTGTTTTTAGTGGAGACAGGGTTTCACCATGTTGGCCAGGTTGGTCTCGAACTCCTGACCTCAGGTGATCCACCCACCTCAGCCTCCCAAAGTGCTGGGATTACAGACATGAGCCACCATGCCTGGCCTGTTTGTTTTAGACGTGTGATATATGCAGTTACAATCCATTTAGTTGGTCTGAAGTAGACCCGGACATGACTGCTTCTTAAATCTCCCAGGCACTTGTCACTTCACTTGTACTCAGGATATCAAGCCATTGCTATCCTATACTTTAGGAAGGTTGCTGGGTCAAGGGTATGCATTTTAAATTACCAAGAATATGAGTGAATACATTTAACAATACAGTGTTAGTAATTTTGATAACATTGTATTTTTAATTTGCATGTCACATAAGTGAGACTGAGCATCTTTTCATTTAAGAGCTATTTGTGAACTGTTACTGTACTTTTAATTTGGGTTTACGCTACTATGATGTTAAAAAATGTTTTTGACTGACAATAATTATATATATTTATAGGCTACAGTATGATATTTTGATATATGTATACCTAATGGAAAGATTAAATAAGCTAATTATCATATCCATCACTTCACCTATTTATCATTTTTTGGTGGTGAGAATCTTTAAAATCTACTCTTTTAGCAACTTTTAAATATACAATGCATTATTAAATATGGTCACCATGCTGTGCAACAGATCACTAAAATTTATTCTTCTGACCTAACTGAAACCTCTTACCCTGGGATCAGCATCTCCCCTTTCCTCTTCCCCACTCTCCATCCCTATCCTCTTGTAATCACCATTCTACTCTCTCTCTTTCTGAGTTCGACTTTTTTAGATTCCACATATAAATGAAATCATGCAGTATTTGTCTTTTTGTGCCCAGCTTATTTCACTCAGCAAAATGTTCACCATGTTCACCCATGTCACAAATGACAGAATTTCCTTCTTTTTAAAGGCTATGTAGTGTTCTATTGTGTGTGTGTGTGTGTGTGTGTGTGTGTGTGTGTATCCACATTTTCTTTATCCATTTATCCATAGATGGACACTTAGGTTGTTTCCGCATCTTGGCCTTTGTAAATAATGCTTCAGTGAACCTGGGATTGCAGGTGTCTCTTCAACATACTGATTTTAATTCGTTTGGCTATATATCCAAAAGTAGGATTCCTGGATCGTATAGTAGTTCTGGTTTCAGTTTTTAGATGTTTTAGTTTTCTGAGGAACCTCCATGATGTTTTCTCAAATGGCTATACTAATTTACATGCCCACCAACAGTTTATCAGGGTTCTCTTTTCTGCAGTCCTCACCAACACTTACCTTTTGTCTTTTTGATAATAGCCATTCTAACAGGCATGAGGTAATAATAGCCCAGTGTGATTTTGATTTGTCTTTCACTAATGATTAGAGATATTGAGCATATTTTCATCTATCTGTTGGTCATTCATGTCTTCTTTTAAGAAATATTCATTGAGCTCCTTTGCCCATTTTTTAATCAAGTTATTTGTTTTGTTACTATTTAGTTGTTTGAGTTCCTTATATACTTTGGATATTATCCCCTTATCAGATAGGTGGTTTGCAAATATTTTCTCCCATTCTGTGGATTGTGTCTTCACTGTTGTTTCCTTTGTTATGCAGAAGCTTTTTATTTGGATGTATATGTCTGTTTTTGCTTTTGTTACCTGTGCTTTTGGGCTTCTGAGAAATCATGGCTCAGATCAGTGTTGGGGAGCTTTTCTCCTGTTTTTTTTCTAGTAGTTTTACAGTTTCAGGTCTTAAATTTTAAGTTGATTTTTGTATGTGGTATGAGATAGGGTACAATTTCATTCTTATGCAAGTCGATACCCAGTTTTCCTAACACAATTGACAAAACATTCCCCATTGTTCGTTCTTGGTACCTTTATTGAAAATCAATTGACTGTAAATTCATGGTTTTGTTTCTGGGCTATCTGTCCTGTTCCATTGGTTTAAGGTGTCTGCTTTTATGCTATTATCATGCTGTTTGATTATAACAGCTTTACTTTATACAGCCATGTTCCACATAACAATATCTCAGTCAACGACAGACTACATGTAAACAGTGGTCCCATAAGATTATAATGGAGCTGAAAAACTCCTATCATCTAGTGATGTTATGTTATAGTGCAACATACTACTCGTGTTCGTGGTTATGCTGGTATAAACTAACCTCCTATTCAGTCATATAAAAACAGCACATACCATTATGTACACTACAGTATATAATTGATAATGGTAATAAACAACTATTACTGGCATAAGCTGGTATATAACCAGCTTATAAACAACTATTACTGGCATATTACTGGTATTTACTATGATTCTGACCCTGTGTAGGCCTAGGCTAATGTGTATGTTTGTGTCTTAGTTTTTAACAAAGGTTTAAGGGGTAAAAAATAATTTTAATAATAGAAAAAGCATGTAGAATAAAGATATCAAAAAAGAGGCCGGGGCATGGTGGCTCACACCTGTAATCCCAGCACTTTGGGAAACCGAGACAGGTGGACCACTTGAGGTCAGGAGTTCGAGACCAGCCTAGGCAACACGATGAAACTCCGTCTTTGCTACAAATGCAAAAAATTACCCGGGTGTGGTGGCACATGCCTGTAATCCCAGCTAGTCTGGAGGCTGAGGTAGGAAGATTGCTTGAACCCGGGAGGTGGGGGTTGCAGTGAACCAAGGTTGCACCACTGCACTCCAGCCTGGGTGACAGAGCAAGACTTTGTCTCAAAAAAAAAAAAAAAAAAAAAGAAAAGGAAAATATTTCTGTATAGTTGTACGATGTGTTTGTTTTAAGATAAGTATTATTACAAGAGTCAATAAATTAAAGAAGTGGCCGGGCATGGTGGCTCATGCCTGTAATCCCAGCACTTTGGGAGGCCAAGGTGGGTGGATCACCTGAGGTCAGGGGTTTGAAACCAGCCTGGCCAAAATGGCAAAACCCCATCTCTGCTAAAAATACAAAATTAGCCAAGCGTGGTGGTGCATGCCTGTAATCCCAGCTATTTGGGAGGCTGAGGCAGGAGAATCGCTTGAACCTGGGAGGTGGAGGTTGCAGTGAGCCAAAATTGTGCCATTGCACTCCAGCCTGGGCAACAAGAGTGAAACACCATCTCAAAATAATTAAAGAAGTTTATACAGTAAAAAAGTTACAGTAAGCTAAAGTTAATGTATTATTGAAGAAAGAAAAACGTTTTTTATAAATTTAGTGTAGCGTAAGTGTACAGTGTTTATAAAGTCTATAGTAGTATACAGTAATGTCCCAGGCCCTCACATTCACTCACCGCTCACTCACTCAATCACCCAGAGCAACTTCTAGTCCTGCAAGCTGCATTCGTGGTAGGTGCCCTATACAAGTATACTGTTTTTTATCTTTTATACCACATTTTTACTGTACCTTTTCTGTGTTTAGATGCACTAATGCTTACCATTGTGTTATAGTTGCCAGCAGTATTCAGTACAGTAACATGCTGTACAGGTTTGTAGCCTAGGAGCAAAGGTCTGGGTGTGTAGTAGGCTATCCTACCTAGGTTTGTGTAATATACTCTATGTTTGCACAATGACAAAATTGCCTAACCATGCATTTCTCAGGACATATCCCTGTCATTAAGCTACACATGACTGTACTTTGAAATCAGGCAGTGTGATGCCTCCGACTTCATTCTTTTCACTCAAGATTGCTTTGGCTATTCGGAGTCTTTTGTGGTTCCGTGTTAATTTTAGGATTTTTTTTTTTCTATTTCTGTGAAAAATGATGTTGGAATTTTTTTTTCTTTTTGAGACAGAGTTTCACCCTTGTCGCCCAGGCTGCAGTGCAATGGCACAGTCTCAGCTCACTGCAACTTCTGCCTCCCAGGTTCAAGTAATTCTCCTGCCTCAGCCTCCCGAGTAGCTGGGATTACAGGGGCACATCACCACGCCTGGCTAATTTTTGTATTTTTAGTAGAGACGAGGTTTCACCATGTTGGCCAGGCTGGTCTGGAGCTCCTGACCTCAGGTGATCTGCCCACCTTGGCCTCCCAAAGTGCTGGGATTACAGGTGTAAGCCACCGTGCCCGGCAGAATTTTTTTTTTTTCTTTTTTCCTGAGACAGGGTCTGGCTTTGTTACCCACGCTGTTGTGCAGTGGTGCAATCTCGGCTCACTGCAAACTCCACCTCCTGGGCTCAGCCTCCTGAGTAGCTGGGACAACAGGCTCCAGCCACAACACCTGGCTGATTTTTTGGTATTTTTTATAGAGACAGGGTTTCACCATGTTGCCCAGGCTGGTCTCGGGCTCCTGAGCTCAAGCAGTCCACCTGCCTTGGCCTCCCAAAGTGCTGGAGATTACAGGTGTGAGCCATCACACCTGGCCTGCCATTGGAATTATGATAAAGATTGCGTGGAACCTATAGATTGCTTTGGATAGTATGGACATTTTAACAATATTCTTCCAGTCCATAAACAGAGGATATCTTACCATTTATTTGTATCATTTTCAGTTTCTTTCATCAATATTTTATAGTTTTCAGAATGCTATTAAGGTTTTTTTTTTTACATTTATTAAGTTCTACAATTACAGTACATTGCTGCAAACAGTGTTCTGTGGCAGAAATATAACATGGTGGCTCACACCTGTAATCCCAGCAGTTTGGGAGGCCAAGGCGGGTGGATCACTTGAGGTTAGGAGTTGAAACCAGCCTGGCCAATAGGGCGAAACCCCATCTCTACTAAAAATACAAAAATTAGCTGGGCGAGGTGGCGCACACATGTAATGCCAGCTACTCAGGGGGCTGAGGCAGAAGAATAGCTTGAACCCAGGAGGCGGAGGTTGTGGTAAGCCGAGATTACACCACTGCACTCCAGCCTGAGTGAGACTCCATCTAAAAAAAAAAAAAAAAAAAGAAGAACCAGGAATGGCATCCTAGAGTTACTGGGGCCCTTTTCTCAACTACACAGATTGTCAAACTTGGCAATATTACAAAACAATTCTGAAGACAATAAAATTATCTCTAAACCTAAACTGTCCAGTAGAGTAGCCACTAACCCCTATAGCTATTGAGCATTTGAATGTGGTCAGGCCAAACTAAGGTGTGCTATAGCAATATACAAACTACATTTCAATGACTTTGTACAAAAAAGAATGTAAAATATCCCTATAATAAAAAAAAGACGTAAAATATCCCATTAATCATTTGTTAGTTGATTACATGTTGAAATGATATTTTGGATATGTTGGGTTAAGTAAAATGTTAAAATTTCAGCTGTATTTTTTTTTTCTTTTCCGATGTGGCTACTAGAAAATTTAAAATGACACATGGCTCACATTTTACTTCTTTTAGCCAGTGCTGCTCTAGACTGAGTTTGCATGAGGTGTAACTGTCTAGAGCTATAGTGACATGTAAGTAATATACATGCTTTGTACAAAATCTCCCTATAAACTGCTGATTTTGAAATTGAAGTCATGAAAGACAGATTGAACCGATAGAGTCCTTTGAGAGTCACCAGTTACTGGTCCACTCTCTGTATCCTTTTGATATTTGCATTTGGCAAGTATAAACCCGACCAGGATAGGGGATGGGGGGAGGAATCCACTGGTTATTTGATGCAAAAAAAGAGGGAGAAAAAGTGGGGGGGTGCACTTATAGTCCCAGCTACTTGGGAGGCTGAGGTGGGAGGATCACTTGAGCCCAGGAGTATGCGTTTAGCCTGGGCAACATATGAAACCCCATCTCTTTTTTAAAAAAGGAAAAAAATGGTGAATAAGAGCAATGGTCATTGGCTGACAAGTAACAAACTATACATAAGAGAACTGTTAACCTAGTAGAGATTTTCATTGTGATCTATTACCTACAAAGTCTTCCTGTGGTTTCTCTTTAGGGGCAAGCTCTGTGTGATTGATTGGAAGACATCAGAGAAACCAAAGCCTTTTATTCAAAGTACATTTGACAACCCACTGCAAGTTGTGGCATACATGGGTGCCATGAACCATGATACCAACTACAGCTTTCAGGTCAGGACACTGAGCCTTTACTTAAAGCTTTGCTCAATGCTTACTTAAAACTATAACTCCGGGCCGGGCGCAGTGGCTCATGCCTGTAATCCTAGCACTTTGGGAGGCCAAGGCCGGTGGATCACTTGAGGTCAGGAGTTCAAGACCAGCCTGGCCAATATGGTGAAACCCTGTCTTTACCAAAAATACAAAAACTAGCTGGGCATGGTGGCTCATGCCTGTAATCCCAGCTATTCTAGTAGCTGAGGCAGGAGAATTGCTTGAACCCGCGAGGTGGAGGTTGTAGTGAGCCAAGATTGCGCCACTACACTCCAGCCTGGGCAAGAGAGTGAGACTCCATCTCGAATCTGTCTCAAAAAAAAAAAAAAAAACTTCTCAGTGGGGGGGTAGGAGGAGAAAAATTGTAAAAAAAAAAAAAGTTAAAAAATAGAACTCCTTGAGGTTTTTCCTTTTTTAATCTCTATTTTTATCCCATTGCTTAACGTCTTCCTTGTTCCTTTCCCACTTAAAAAAGCACTTTTTGGCTGGGCACAGTGGCTCACGCACTTTGGGAGGCCGAGGCAGGCAGATTGCTTGTGCTCAGGAGTTTGAGTCCAGCCTGGGCAACATAGTGAAACCCCGTATCTACAAAAAAAATACAAAAATTAGCTGGACATGGTGGCGCACACTTGTGCCAGCTACTTGGGAGGCTGAGGTGGGAGGATTGCTTGAGCCCAGGAAGTGGAGGTTCCAGTGAGCCGAGATTGTACCACTGCACTCTAGCCTGGCCGACAGAGCAAAACCCTGTCTCAAAAATAAATAAATAGGCCAGGTGTGGTGGCCCAAGCCTATAATTCCAGCACTTTGGGAGGCCGAGTTGGGCAGATCACCTGATGTCAGGAGTTCAAGACCAGCTTGGCTGACATGGCGAAACCCTGTCTCTACTAAAAATACAAAAATTAGCTGGGCGTGGTGGTGTGTGCCTCTAGTCCCACCTACTTGGGAGGCTGAGGCAGGAGAATCGCTTGAACCCAGGAGGCGGAGGTTGCGGTGAGCCAAGGTTGTTCCACTGCACTCCAGCCTGGGCAACAGAGCAAGACTGTCTCTCTCCAAATAAATAAATAAATAAATAAATAAATAAATAGCACTTTTTGGCCAGGGGTGGTGGCTCATGCCTGTAATCCCAGCACTTTGAAGGAGGCCGAGGTGGGCAGATTGCTTGAGCCCAGGAGTTCAAGACCAGCCTGGGCAACGTGACAAAACTCCATCATTACTAAAAATAGAAAAATCAGCCGGAAGTGGTGCCCGCCTCAGCTTCGAGGGTGCAACGAGCCGAGATTGTGCCACTGCACTCCAGCCTGGACGATGGGAGTGGGATCCTGTCTCAAAAAAGAAAAAAAAAGCACTTTTCCACCCTCTTCTTGGGCCTTTTTTTTTTTTCAATGGCTCTGTAAGGATCACAGCCCAGTCTTCAATGTTTTATCTGTCATCTTTGTGTTCTTGTGTCCTGGTGCAGTCTTTGATCAACCTACCTTAGAAACTGAGTTAGGAGATATCCTGTAGATTATTTTATACTGAGTTTGCCCTGGAGTAAGAAGGAAACGAACCTAAACTCTGGACCTACTGTAGTGAAACGAGAATTGCCCTGTGTTTCTTCCTAGGTTCAATGTGGCTTAATTGTGGTGGCCTACAAAGATGGATCACCTGCCCACCCACATTTCATGGATGCAGAGCTCTGTTCCCAGTACTGGACCAAGTGGCTTCTTCGACTAGAAGAATATACGGAAAAGAAAAAGAACCAGAATATTCAGAAACCAGAATATTCAGAATAGGGAGCAAGTTGCTATTTGGGAACATTCAGCACCTTCTCACAGTTTGGGAACATATATTGCTGTTTACTCCAGTGTAAAAATGAGGTGCCACTGGATCTGAGTGCTACACGAACACAAGTAGAAGTATTAATTTGTTGAAATGTGTTGTTACCAAAAAGACTGAAAAGCCCCAAAGTCTAGATATAAAGACCTAGACTTCGGCACGCGAAATCCCAGCTATGCTACCTCTTATTTACCTGAAAGGAGGACACGCAGGATGGGCAGTCATGCTGGTGACTCTTGTACTCCCTTGAGGGACATTGGGGGGGGGGGGGCGTGGTCCCAGGCAGGATGCCCAGTCTTTGAGCTGAGATTGGAAGGCAGTGAGGCTGAGGGTGCCAAGATTTCCCCAGGGTTCACCCAGAGGGGAAGGGGCTACATGCCCCCAGCTGTGTGCAGGGAGGACACATCAGCCCACTACCGCTGCCAACACCAATGCCTAAAACTTGTTTCATACATTGGGGTTTTCTATATATTTCAGCTGGGAAAAGCTTACATTTAACCTTTTGAAAAAATAAATACGTGATTAGCCTCAACTAAACATTGCTGACTATAAAGACAGTATATTCACCATGTCGCTGGCAATATGTCATTGCGTAACACCAAATAACCCCCCAGAAGTAGCCAGAGGCCAGTTTGAACATCACAATTCTAAGTGTTTTAGTAACTATTTCTGGCGTGAGTCAACAGATCATGTAGATAGAGTCAATTATTGTTTGTGGAGTTTTTCAGCTATAGGGGAGGGGAACTATTAAAATCCATTTGTTTCTATTCAATAGGTAATAAAAATTAGTTGTCCCTGGGTTTGGGAAACTTAAATGCCCATTACAGCCCTGGGGAAGGGTTTTCTGTCTTATGGAGTGAGTCTTAGCATTTAAGTTATACAGTTGCTGCCTTAAAATAGTAGCCTGCTACAATGACTTCTTTGGGTAGCCATTTTCATAAGAAATAAAATACAAGATATGAGTAATGAAGCTTTGGTTTTGTTTACTTTGTGTGTTTATAGGATAATTTTATAAACCTGGAAATTGTTTGCACTTTTTTTATAATTCAGAATTTTACAAGCCCAATAGCTTTGGTGAGAGTTCTGTGTAAGTGCATAAAAGAAAGCGTCCTCGGCTGGGCGCAGTGGCTCACGCCTGAAATCCCAGCACTTTGGGAGGCCGAGGCGGGCGGATCACAAGGTCAGGAGATCGAGACCATCCTGGGTAACACGGTGAAACCCCGTCTCTACTAAAAATACAAAAAATTAGCTGGGCGTCGTGGCGGGCGCCTGTAGTCCCAGGTGCTCCGGAGGCTGAGGCAGGAGAATGGCGTATACCCGGAAGGCGGAGCTTGCAGTGAGCCGAGATCACGCCACTGCACTCCAGCCTGGGCGACAGAGCGAGACTCCGTTTAAAAAAAAAAAAAAAAAAAAGCCTCCTCACTAAGCCCTCAGCCACGGTCACCTAGCAAGGAAAGCAATATTCAGGTAGGAGATGGGAGGATCAAGGGGGACCTTTGTATTATCTCTATACACTTCTGCATTCATGTGGGTTTTTCTCAAGCTGCAGATACATATTTCTGTAGCCTGTAAATTCCAGTCAAAAATGAAGTGAGGCAATTAAAAGTTGTGCTAGCAGAGTTTGCCACTCTGCTCTAATAAGCCTCAACCTAGAATTTAGGAGGCTAGACCTAACAAAATTTCTTTTTATTTTTCTTTTTTTTTTTTTTTGAGACCATCTGGCTCTGTCAGCCAGGCTGGAGTGCGGTGGGCTCACTGCAGCCTCCGCCTTCCGGGCTCAAGCAATTCTCCTGCCTCAGCTTCCCAAGTAGCTGGGATTACAGGCGTGCACCACCATGCCCTGCTAATTTTTGTATTTTTAGTAGAGACAGGGCTTCGTCATGTTGACCAGGGTAGTCTCAAACTCCTGACCTCAGGTGATCCGCCTGCCTCAGCCTCCCGAAGTGCTGGGATTACAGGCGTGAGTCACTATGTCCAGCTGCAAAATTTCATTTTAATACAGGTGTTCTGTTATGTAAATAGAAATTTGTCTCAGACCTGTGACTTTGTACTAGGAGTCTCCCAAGATAATGGTGGCCTGAAAAGTTCTATGAGGGAGCCCCTCAGGAGAGTGTGACCAGGAGGATGTGGTTGGTATAAGAACAGAGAAGGTAAATCCCTGGGCAGGTTTTCTTGACCTCAAGGGCTCACCAGTTTCTCCTGATAATCATGATACTCCTCGGGGGTCACATCTCCTGAGATGTTAATGTCAACGGAAAAAGTTATTGTTACTACGAAAGCATAGGAGGAGAAAGTCAAATTTGAGTTTCTAAATGAGTTGCAGTTTTTCAAGAATTAACATGTATGAGGCAGTGGCTTACGCCTGTAATCTCAGCACTTTGGGAGGCCGAGGCGGGTGAATCACTTGAGGTCAGGAGTTCAGGACCAGCCTGGCCAACATGGTGAAACCCTGCTTCTCTACTAAAAATTAAACTAGCTGGGCCTGGTGGTGCACACCTGTAGTCCCATCTGCTTGGGGAACTAAGACGGGAGAATTGTTTGAACCCAGGAGGCAGAGGTCGCAGTGAGCTAAGGCCACGCCACTGCACTCCAGCCTGGGCAGCAGAGCGAGTCTCCGTCTCAAAAAAAAAAAAAAAAAAAAAGGAATTAACACGTATGTTAGGAATTGTTGGTTGCCATCTCTTTGCCGAAGTGAAATACTGCATATGAAACTCCAGTGAAATGAAACAGCATTCAAAATAAGGAGAGACGCTCAAGGATAATTTACATTTTTTTAAAGGAGGTGTGTGTATATTGCTTTTCTGAGGAGGCTTTCTCAGAAGTACAGAATGTTGCCTTCCAGTGTTTAGTTTTGAGAAAATCCGTTGGCTTCAAAGCTAACTGCATTTCCTTTTCCTCCACAGTTCTACCCATTCTTACCAATGCAGTCAGCAACTGACAGAAGTTCCATGCTGACACAAAAGCCAATTTTGTTTTTTCCAAAAAAAAAAAAAAAAAAGTATAAATATATACACATACATGTATGGCCTTTTTCCTCCTTACACCTGGCCTCTTCCTCAGAGCCTGATAATCTGAGAACATTAGCCTCTATAACCCTATTATAATTCTAGGAAAACTCGTCAGTGTATGACCTACGGTTTCATATGTGTTGACCTTGGTAAATACAGGAAGGGGGTTAGTCATAAGTCAGTGTGTTCCTAGGTAACCAATTTGGCTACTGGCTTTAAAAGGAATTGGAGAAGGGTACTTTGTTTTAATCACTGAGGCTTTCCACCCGAGCAATTAAATATTTGATTATAACCTACCCTGTGTTCCTGCCCACCCCTCAACAAAAGAGTGAAGGAAGGGAATCATTGGAGTAAAAAACATTAAGAAACAAAATAGAGAATAGTTGAAACTTCCATGTTTAAAGAAACAATAAGTTGTTTGGAGCTATGTGTTAAATCACTCAATGCTAAGTAAAAAGTAGAACTGACTTTTCCTTCCTGCCTCCCTTCCCGCCAGCAGAGGCCTAAAAGTTAAGCAGATATGTGCTTCTGCTGGAAGTCTAACCTACTGATCCACTTCAGTTATTTATACTATTGAAGGGAACTAGAGAGAATCTCTGGGGAGAGACCCCAGAATGAGCAAAAGGCTTGTATGTTGCCATGACAATAACAATTGTCAGGTTGAGTAATGCATTTGTGAAGATCCAATCATAAAAAGATGGCCAGGCACAGTGGCTCATGACTGTAATCTCAGCACTTTGGGACGCTGAGGCAGGCGGATCATTTGAGCTCAGGAGTTTGAGACCAGCCTGGGCAACATGGCAAAACCCCATCTCTACCAAAAATACAAAAAAGTAGCCAGGTGTGGTGGCATGCACCTGTGGTCCTAGCTACTTGGGAGGCTGAGGGAGGATCGCTTGAGCCTGGGAGGTGGTGGTTGTAGTGAGCCAAGATTGCACCACTGCACTCCAGCCTCAGCAACAGAATGAGACCCTGTCTCAAATAAATAAATAAATAATGTTTTGGGTTCAGATTTGAGGGTTTTTTCCCATTTTACTTAAGAAATAGATATAAAATATGTAGATTGTTACAGGCCAGGTGCAGGGGTTCACACCTTGAACCCAATGCTTTGGGAGGCCAAGGCTAGAAGATCGCTTGAGGCCAGGAGCTGGAGACCAGCTTAGGCAACATAGAAAGACTCCCATCTCTAAAAAGTAAAAAGTCGTGTAATCCCAGCACTTTGGGAGGTCGAGGCAGGCGGATCACGAGGTCAGGAGATCGAGACCTTCCTGGCTAGCACAGTGAAACCCTGTCTCTACTAAAAATACAAAAAATTAGCCAGGCGTGGTGGTGGGTGCCTATAGTCCCAGCTACTCGGGAGGCTGAGGCAGGAGAATGGCATGAACCCGGGAGGCGGAGCTTGCAGTGAGCCAAGATCACGCCACTGCACTCCAGTCTGGGCGACAGAGCGAGACTTTGTCTTGGGAAAAAAAAAAAAAAGTCGTTGGGCATGGGGGTCATGCTGATAGTCCTAGCTACTTGGGAGGCTGAGACAAGAGGATCACTTGAGTCCAGGTGTCCAAGGCTGCAGAGAGCTATGATCACACCACTACACTCCAGCCTGGGTGAGACCTTGTCTCTAAAACAAACAACAACAACAACAAAAAATAGACCAGGCCAGCGCGGTGTCTCATGCCTGTAATCCCAGCACTTTGGGAGACTGAGACGGGTGGATCTTCTGAGGTCAGGAGATCGAGACCAGCCTGGCCAACATGGTGAAACCCCGTCTCTACTAAAAATATAAAAATTAGTCGGGCGTGGTGGTGGGCACCTGTAATTCCAGCCATTTGGGAGGCTGAGGCACGAGAATTGCTTGAACCCAGGAGACAGAGGTTGCAGTGAGCCAAGACCATGCCACTCCACTCCAGCCTGGGCAACAGAGCGAGCAAGACTCAGTCTTCTAAAAAAAAAAAAAAAAAAAAAAGCATTACAGATAAAAGCTGTTGCCTTGTTTTCTTAATCCCATTTCCCTCTCCCCTGAGACAAATGCCGTCATAAATTTGATGTGGGTTTTTTTGTATAGTTTTACTGTGTGTACTGGTTTCCATGTATAATATAGTTTTGCTTTCTGTGTTTTTAGATTTACTTGCTTTATCTCAACTTTGTTTTTGAGATGTCTCCAGGTTCACCAATTCTAGATCTTTCATAACTGCTTTTAACTCCTCTGCAGTTCTCCCTCCTGTTTTATTGTCATGCTAATGGACTGTTCGGTTAACAGTGTTTTGCTACTCCAGACGATGCAGCAGTGAACACCTTTGCACGTGTTTTCTGGTACACACAATACACATGCAATATAGTGGAAAGTGCAGTATGGATTGTGACTCTGCCACTTACTAGCTCTGTGACCTTGGACTAGTTACTTGACCTTTTTTTTTTTTTTTTTTTGAGAGGGAGTCTCACTCTGTCGCCCAGGCTGGAGTGCAGTGGCACGATCTCGGCTCACTGCAAGCTCGGCCTCCAGCGTTCACGCCATTCTCGTGCCTCAGCCTCCTGAGTAGCTGGGACTATAGGCACCCGCCACCACGCCCGGCTAATTTTTTTTGTATTTTTAGTAGAGACGGGGTTTCACCTTGTTAGCCAGGATGGTCTCGATCTCCTGACCTCGTGATCCACCCACCTCGGCCTCCCAAAGTGCTGGGATTACAGGCGTGGGCCACCGCACCCGGCCTGTTACTTGACCTTTTTGTGCTTGATTTCCTCATCTGTAATTTGGGGGAAAATAATAGTATCTGCTTCTTGAAATTGTGAGGATTGAATGAGCGAAGCATTCAGAAAAGTGCCTGACACATGGTGGGAACAAAATGTTAGCCATCCTCCTATCAAATGATCAGACCTGGATGTGTCTCTGCTGGGTCAAAGCTTGAACATTACCACCAAATTCCTCTCCAAAACAGTGACATCGACTTAATGTCCCACCAGTGGTGTCTGAAATTTCCTGATTTCTCGCATATTCTCTAACACAAGAGTTGTGAGCCCCTCTTCTGACGGTATGAAAACCATTTTTTTTTTGGAACAGCATTAACGCGTGAATAAAATCTGCTTTAAAACGCGACTGTCATCTAGTGGTGAGAGAAGTACACTGCAATTATGGGGCAGAAGCCAAAAATGGGCGGACCTACATCTATCTCCGGGTAATTTGGGCATTTTAGTCACCAACACAGGTCTGTTTTGAATAAAATCAACTACATGAGTGTTCTTCCTTTACCTCTGTATTTTCAGGCAGCTTGTACTTCTCACTTTTTCTACTACAATAATATAGAAGCCTGGCTACACAGCCCAGTGAGGCCCCTTGCTACCAAATGCATCTGGGTCACCGGTTCGGAAAAGTGGAGTGAGATAAAGTAGAAATGAGGCTATTTACCAAACTGGTAGGAAACTGCAGCTCCAACCAGGGCGGGCTTCCCACAGGCAGCACTGATTTTCCAGCAGGAGAGATGGCAATTCCCACGTTGGTGCAGGTCATACAGGCACTGCAGGGGACTCAGCTCAGTCGGCTCACCAGAGCCCCAGTTAATGCGTCCCAATCAGCCTCAGCCATTCTCTGCGAGGACTTCTAAAAGGATTGAAAAGTGTATGAAAGTGTTAGATATTAATCATCAGAGACATAGATATAGTTTTAAAGATCTGTTAGATAACAAATATTATCTAACAGGTTAGGTAACATGCTACAATTTTGTGATGAACAAAAATGTTCATTAAAGGTAATAGTGTAAAAAAGCAATGTTGCTGAAATGTAACCTAATGTGTCTTTAAGTAATAGTATCACTAAACTAATGGCATATTAAAAGTTTTTTAAAAAAAGAAGCCGTGTGCGGTGGCTTGTGCATGTAATCCCGACATTTTCGGAGGCTGAGGCTGGCAGATTGCTTGAGCCCAGGAGTTCAAGACCAGCTTGGGCAACATGGCAAAATCCTGTCTCTACAAAAAATACAAAAATTAGCCAGGCATGGTGGTGCACACCTGTAGTCAGGCCCAGCTACTCAGGAGGCTGAGGTGGGAAGACCACTTGTGCCTGGGAGGCAGAGGCTACAGTGAGCCAAGATCACACCACTTCACTCCAGCCTGGGGGACAGAGGGAGACCCTGTCTCAAAAAAAAAAAAAAGTTAAAAAAGAAAACAAATTCTAAAGAACAGCAAGCTAAGGTCAACTGTGATTAGAAGCATTCATTTAGGCAAGTCTAGACTGTCCTACTGCACCAGTCTCACTCATTTCTAAGCTGTTGTTTGTGCTGACACCTTTGCATAAAATAACTTCCCTTCCTCCCTTTGTTCAGCCATATCTTGCCTGAGAGCTTGGGCCTGAACCGCAATCCCACTGATGATCTGCTCAAGTCTTACCTGCTCCACAGGAAACAAAATGGTATAGGGCAGGAAGCAGGAGCCTCAGAATTGGGCAGAGGTGGGTTCAAATCCTGCTGTGCAATGCTAAGTCACTTCAGCTCTCCATGCCTTTTTCCTCACTAGTAATTTGGGGAAGAGTATTAACCTCAGTGTTCCTGGAAAGATTAACATAGGAAATGTGTGACAAATGCTGAACGTGGAATAGGCACTGGGCAAAGATCAACTACTTCCTCCGTGGAACCGACTCTACCCTTCACTGAACTCTTGTGGTGCCTTTGTTTTTACCACCCACTTTGATTCTTGTTCATATTCTACCTTTTTCTGTTACTTCACTATTTCAGATGTACATGTAACAAACACAGTGAAACCCCGTCTCTACTAAAAATACAAAAAATTAGCCGGGAGTGGTGGCACATCCTGTAGTCCCAGCTACTCAGGAGGCTGAGGCAGGAGAATCGCTTGAACCCTGGAGGGGGAGGTTGCAGGGAGCAGAGATTGCACCACTGCATTCCAGCCAGGGCGGCAGAACGAGACTCCGTCTCAAAACAAAAACAAACAAACAAACAAAAAGACAAAAAAAACTACTTATTTTATATCTATTTCTTAAGTAAAATGAAAAACAAAAAGAAAAAAACTCTCAAATCTGAACCCAAAACATCTTTTTATTTATTTATTTTTTTGAGACAGGGTCTCATTCTGTCGCCAAGGCTGGAGTGCAGTGGCACAATCTTGGCTCACTACAACCTCTGCCTCCTGGATTCAAGCGATTCTCTTGCCTCAGCCTCCCGAGTAGCTGGGATTACAGGTCATTACCACCGCACCTGGCTAATTTTTTGTATTTTTAGTAGAGACGGGGTTTTTTCATGTTGGCTGGCTGGTCTCGAACTCCTGACCTCAGGTGATCCATCCACCTTGGCCTCCCAAAGTGCTGCGATTATAGGCGTGAGCCACCATGTCTGGCCCAGAATAGTGTTTTAAGAGAGAGATGAGTAAAGAGACAAACAACAGAGGAAACTGCCATTTCCTAGAGCAGCAGAAAAAGAGCTGGGTATCAGAATGGCTCACCAGAGAAATTTGGTTAGTGCTGGTCACCCCTTTGATAAGAGGCTGTGGGTTGACTTGTGAGCTCAGTGATTTGAAAGTTTTGAGTATATGAAGAAAAAAAAAAGAAATGAAAGCTTTGTGTAGAACTAGGGGAGTCTCGCAGTGAAACAAGACTTGCAAAATAGGATTAATGAGGCAGTACAGATAAGGATGCGATGCTGAAGAAAGTCATGGGATTGTAGTTAGACGGTGTATAAATCAGAGAGCTAAAACCAATAGGGCTTGTAGATATAGGTATATGACAGGGGATTTATTAGGGGAATGGGCTCACACAATTATGGGGGCTGAGAAGTCCTACGGTCTGCTGTCTGCAGGCTGGAAAACCAGGGAAGCTGGTAGCATGGCTCCGTCCAAGTTCAAAAGCCTCAGAACCAGAGAACCTGATAGCACTCAGTCTCAGGCCGAAAGCCTGAGAATCCAGGAGGCCACTGGTGTCCCAGAGTCCAAAAGCTGGAGAAGCTGGAGTTCTGATGTCCAAGGGCAGGAGAAGAAGGGTGTTCCAGCTCCAGAAAACAGAGCAAATCCTCCTTTCCTTTGCCTTTTTGTTATCCTGGCCCTCAGCTGATGGACGGTGCCCCCTGACATTGAGTGAGGATGGATCTTCCTTACTCAGTCCACTGATTCAAATGCCAGTTTCTTCCAGAAACACCTCACAGACACCTCAAAATAATGCTTCGCCAGCTGTCTGGGTGTCATTAATCCAGTTACGCTGACACCTAAGATTGACCATCATAGGTGGTAATTCATTCCTTTACCCGACAAATGTCTTATTGAATATTCATGTCTGCCTTGTGCTAGTTTTTTGCAAAATGCATGGAGCTGACAGTCTAGAGAAAGGGCAAACAATTAATAAGTGAGAAAGTTAGTATGAAAATTACAGATTGACAGTGCCATGAAGAAACAGAGGATCACTGAGCCAGGAGGAGAATTGCAACTTTGGATTGTGTGGTCAGAGAGGGCTCCTCTGAGGGGCGACACATAACATGATACTTGAAGGAGGAAAGGAGGAAACGTGGCCAGCACTGCAGAGAGCCACAGGAAGAATATTCCAGCAGAAGGATCAGCATGTTCAAAGGCCCCAGGGTAGGAAAGAACAGCATGTTACAGGAGCTATAAGAACACAGGGGTGGCCAGAAGGCAGTGGGGAAAGGAAAGGAATTGCAGGCTGCAGAAGTGGGCGGGGGAGCCAGATGATGTCAAACTCAATATGCCATGGTAAGGAGTTTAGATTTTACTCTAAGATGGAAAGACAGGGATAAGCAGGGGAATAAAGCCATTCCATTGCCTTTTAAGAAGAGCGGGGCCAAGTGCAGTGGCTCTCACCGGTAATCCCAGCACTTTGGGAGGCCAAGGCAGGAGATCACTTGAGCCCAGGAGTTCGAAACCAGCCTGGGCAACATAGTGAGACCTCCACCTCTATTTTTTTTTATTTTATCTTATCTATTTTATTTTATTTATTTTGAGATGGAGTTTTGCTCTTGTCGCCTAGGCTGGAATGCAATGGCGCCACTTCGACTCACCGCAACATCTGCCTCCCAGGTTCGAGTGATTCTCCTGCCTCAGCCTCCCGAGTAGCTGGGATTACAGGTGCATGCCAACGCCACCATGCCTGGCTAATTTTTGTATTTTTAGTAGAGATGGGGTTTCACCAGGCTGGTCTCGAACTCCTGACCTCAAACGATCCACCTGCCTCGGCCTCCCAAAGTGCTGGGATTACAGGCATGAGCCACCGTACCTGGCCTAATTTAATTAAAATTATTTAAAAGACGAAGAAGAAGAAAAAGAAGAAGAAGAGGAGGAGGAGGAGGCGGCGGCGGCAGCAGCAGCAGCAGAAGCAGATCAGCATTGTTTGGAGAGCAGAATGCAGGAGGCAAGTGCTGAAGCACAGCCTGGCTGGACTATTATAGACAGAGCTATTATAATAGGAGTCAGCACACTGGCTCATCCACCAAATCCGGCTTGCTGCCTGATACAGTCTTTATACGGTCTGTGAGCATAGAGTTGTTTTTACATTTTTAAATGTTTGGAAAAAAAATCAAAAGTAGAGTCTTTTTATGGCATATATAATTTTTATAAAATTGTAAAGATTCGAATTCCAGTGTCTGTAAGTCAAGGTTTCCTGGAACACAGCATCACCCATTTGCTTTTGACTCTGGCTGCTTTCCTTCTGTAGCTGCAGGTTAAGTCGGTAACAGAGGCTGTATGGCCTGCAAAGCCTCAAGTATTTACTATCTGGACTTCTATAGAGTAAGTCTGCCGACTCTCAGTCTAGATGATAGAAGAGGTAGGCTGGCCTAGAGAAATGGCAGAGGAGGTGCTGGGAAGGAAGATTCGAGATGTATTTTGGGAGCCTTGCCTGAGGGTTTGAATGAGATGAGTGATGAAGAAGTATAAATGGAAGGTAAGTTGTAGGTTTAGGGCATGTGTGTTATTTGCTGACATGGGAAAGGCTGGAGGGAGAAAATCCAGGTCCAGCCCCATCTTTTCTCCTCACTAACACTATCAGTTAGCTTTGCTGTGCAATAAATCACCCAGCCTGGGCAACATGGTGAGACTCGCTTCTAGAAAAAACGGAAAAAAACAAAATAAAACAAACTAGCTGGTTGTGGTGGCACATGCCTGTGGTCCCAGCTACTTGGGAGGCTGAGTTGGGAGGATCGCTTGAGCCTGGGAGATAGAGGTTGCAGTGAGTCATGTTTGTGCCACAGCACTCCAGTCTGGGTGACAGAGTGAGACCTTGTCTCAAAAACAAGTAAATAAAAATCACCCCCAAATTCAGTGGTTTACGACTTATTTCTCATGATTCTGAGGTCAAGCTGAGCATTTCTGGTCTGTGCTGGCTCAAGTAGGGCTAGATGATTTAGGATGTCATCACTTAGATGTCTGAGGGTTGGCCTGGTGTCAGCTGGGGCCATGGAGATGCCTGGGCCTGGTGACTCTCATCCTCCAGAGGGCTAACCTGGGCTCTCATTCACGCAGCAGTAGCAGAAGGATTCCGGACAGCAGCAGAACAAGCCCCAGCACACAGCATTTCACAAGCCTCGGCTTGGGCCGTGCTGACTAATGTCTCGTTTGCCAAAGCAGGTCATGTGGCCAAGGCAAGACCAAAGGATAGAGAAATAAATTCCACCTCTTGCAGAGAGGAGCCAAAAACTCACATGGCAAAGGGCTGTGGAACAGGAAAGGGAACAATGGGCCCATTTTTACAACCCACCATGCTAACAGCATGACCCAGGCAAGTTATCTAAAGCTTTTGAGCCTCAGTGTCCTCGTCTGTAAATGGGTAAAATAATAACTACTTCATAGGGTATTCATAAAGACTAGAAATAGCTGGCACATAACATAGTAGTAGCTGTTTTATTGTTATCATCATAATGAAAAAGTTCAGTCCCTGCTGGGCAAACTCATATTTCCCAAACTCCAGTCACTCCTGTGCCACAAAAAAACTTTGTTTTTGCCATATCTGAGCACCACTTAAGACTATTAAACAGGTTCACTTTTTTTTTTTTTTTTTTTTTTTTAGACAGAGTCTCGCTCTGTTGCCAGGCTGGAGTGCAGTGGCACAATCTCGGCTCACTGCAACCTCTGCCTCCCGGTTTCAAGTGATTCTCCTGCCTCAGCCTCCTAAGTAGCTGGGACTACAGGCGCACACCACCATGTCCTGCTAATTTTTTTGTATTTCTAATAGAGATGGGGTTTTACCATGTTAGCCAGGATGGTCTCGATCTCATGACCTCATGATCTGCCTGCCTCAGCCTCCCAAAGTGCTGAGATTACAGGAGTGAGCCACCGTGCCCAGCCCCACTCTTTTTATTTAAAGAAATTAATTTCAGGCTGGGTGTGGTGGCTCACGCCTGTAATCCTAGCACTTCGGGAGGCCGAGGCAGGCAGATCACCTGAGGTCGGGAGTTCGAGACCAGCCTGACCAACATGGACAAACCTCATCTCTACTAAAAATACAAAATTAGCCAGGAGTGGTGGCACATGCCTGTAATCCCAGCTACTCGGGGGGCTGAGGCAGAAGAATTGCTTGAACCTGGGAGGTGGAGGTTGCTATGGGCTGAGATAGCACCATTGAACTCCAGCCTGGGCAACAAGAGTGAAACTCTGTCTCAAAAAAAAAAAAAAAAAAAAAAAAGAAATTAATTTCAAAAGGAAGCATGAAGCATGTTAACTACTACAATGGGAAGTGACTATCACCTGTCCTAAATAGAAGGCAATAAATACATTTATTTATTGTAAAATAAATACAGTAAACACAAAGCAGTGGCCGAGCATGATGGCTCACACCTGTAATCCCAGCACGCTGGGAGCCCAAGGCAAGGGAATCACTTGAGCTCAAGGCAAGGGACTCACTTGAGCTCAGGAGGTTGAGACCAGCCTGGGCAACATGGGGAAACCCTGTCTCTCCAAAAAAAAAAAAAACGGCTGGGCACGGTGGCTCATGCCTGTAATCCTAGCACTTTGGGAGCTGAGGCAGGTGGATGACCTGAGGTTAAGAGTTCGAGACCAGCGTGGCCAACATGGTGAAACCCCCGTCTCTACTAAAAATACAAAAATCAGCCAGGTGTGGTGGCACACACCTGTAATCCCAGCTACTCAGGAGGCTGAGGCAGGAGAATCGTTTGAACCCAGGAGGTGGAAGTTGCAGTGAGCCGAGATCACGCCACTGCACTCCAGCTTGGGCAATGGAGTGAGACTCCATCTCAAAAACAAACAAACAAACAAACAAACAAACAAAGCTGGATGTGGTGACTCACACCTGTAATCCCAGCACTTTGGGAGGCCGAGGTGGGTGGATCACTTGAGGTCAGGAGTTCGAGACCAGCCTGGCCAACATAGTCTCTACTAAAAATACAAAAATTAGTCGGGCATGGTGGCACATACCTGTAATCCCAGCTACTCGGGAGGCTGAGGCACAAGAATTGCTTAAACCCAGGAGGTGGAGGTTGCAGTGAGCTGAGATCGCACCACTGCATTCCAGCCTGGGCAACAGAGTGAGACTCTGTTTCAAAAACAACCACAAACCAGGGCTAGTAATTCTAACTCACTTCTGCTTTCCAAAAGCAGAATCTGAGGGCTGCTCTCTCTTTTATAAAAGGAAGATATTCGAACAAAAGGCCAGTGACAAAGGCTGTGTTATCTACAGAGATTTTCTTCCAAACAGAATCAGAAATATAGAAAATGGATACACTTTTTTGCGGTGTACTCCAATGTTATTTAGAGCAGCACAGCACAGTACATAAAATTGTCTCAAGTCGTTTAGGAAATGCTGAGGCTAGACCAGAAACAAGAGGGAGAAAATCGCCCGTTTAACAACTTTCCCCTTCATGAAGCTCGAGACACATATAGGACATGGGGCAAAGACCTGGTGTGGCTCAGGGACTTTCCACCTCCTAGCTGTGTAACCTTGAACTCACCTGTCGACATTTGGAGGCCTGGGGATTCTCAAGAAAAATGCAGTTAATGACAGCTTGCCTGCCTCACAGGGTCCCTTAAGAACCAATTGTGAGCCTACATGTCACAAGCCCTCATAGTCTGTAAAATGCTGAATAAATAGAGCAGATTGTAAGGCTATTCCCTGAGGCTAGGCATGAGGAGGTGAGCTGTGAGGAAGGGAGAACCAGCTCATTAACCAGGGGAACAAATGACAGTGTGATGGCATCCCTCCCACATCCATGGGGGCCTCTAAAATCAAGGAGCCAGCCAGTGGTAGGGCCTAGAGATGAGAGGACTGGTGGCCTCTCCAACTGCTTTCCAGTTCCAGGACCTCCAGCTTGTCACCAGGACAACCAGGCAGCCCTCACTCCCTGCACGGCAGCTCAGGTGTCACCCCAGGACATGGAATTGATCGAGAGGCCTCTGCCCCTTCCTTTGGTAGGTTTCTTTGCTGAATGCTCAAGAAGCAGCTCCCTGGTTAGGAATTCCAAGAACTTCTAACTGACAGGGAGTCCCAGCTGTCCCATCATGGAAGGCAGCCACCATATGTGTGGAGAGACTGTGAACTGTGAACTACACTTACGTAACCCTGAACTCGAGTCTTGCTCACAAGACCCAGCTCATGTTCCCTGCGCTGCGAAGCTTCCCAGGAATGGTCCGTGGTTGTTCTGTCTACTGTTGCATTTGACACAGGGCTCTGCCAAGGTATTCACCACATCTGCTTGTATATCCATCTCCCCACTAGACTCTGGGCAAGCCTCCAACTTTCAAATTATTATTATTTTTTTGAGACAGTGACTTGCTCTGTTGCCCAGGCTGGAGTGCAACACTGGTGCCAACATGGCTCACTGCAGCCTCGAACTCCTGGACTCTAGTGATCCTCCCACCTCAGCCTCTTATGTAGCTGGGACTGTAGGCATGTGCTACTATGCCTGGCTGATTTTAACAGTTTTTGTAGAGACAGGGGTCTTGCAATTTTGCCTAGGCTGGTCTCGAACTTTTGACCTCAAGTGATCCACCCAACTCAGCCTTCCAAAGTGCTGAGATTACATGCATGAGCCACCGTGCCCGGCCTAAACCTCCCATTTTATGTTTCCTCTGCCCCTGGTCTAACTCAGTGCCTGGTATGTGGCAGACACACAGGTCAGTGTTACAAATGACCATACCCTCACACTCGCTGTTCCAAATGATGGCTTCTTACTAAGAACCTGAGAATTTCTGCCTGCGGGTTTTGTCTGGGTGCGGATCAGGCCAAAGTTCCATGGAGTTAACACCCTGGGGCAACACTTAAGCAATGAAAACCAGCAGTTAGTGGATGAATAGCCCAGCACGGGACAACCCTGGGGCAGGTTCTGCACAGTCACCTGGCCAGACCCAGCAGCACTGAGCCCTGGCTGTCCACAGCAGTGACTGCTCATAACCACTCTGCCTTCTCTTTCAGTCTCACTTCCCCTCTACCATCTCACGCTTTCTG
This sequence comes from Homo sapiens, assembly GCF_000001405.40. Lineage (NCBI taxonomy): Eukaryota > Metazoa > Chordata > Mammalia > Primates > Hominidae > Homo > Homo sapiens. Next base: position 18,005,558 of record NC_000020.11, read on the forward strand.
GGTCAAAGAAACTACTATCTTGGGGTCTGCTTCTGCTGGAGCTCAAACCAAGACAACTGGCTAGTTGGCTGATTGGCTGTGTGAATGGGCACGATTAGCAGCAAAGAAAGAAATGGAAGCCCGCGCGCCGGCTGGGCCCTGGCACATGCGCTGCCCCCACAGTGTGTCTAGACTACGTCGGGGCACGTGCACAGCCAACAGATCCGACACAGGAAAAAGCACTTCTCAGCTGTCCCCACCATCCTGCTATTTGTCATTCCATCCATCTGCTGTCCCCACGAAACGCTCACCCACGTCAGCTAAAATGGTACACTGGGCTTGGAATCGGCTGGGGAAATGTCAGGCTGACAGAACAGGGGGGACAACTGAAATAGCAACTGTGTGGACGGTGGTGGTGACACAAATCTGCCCCTTTGCGTAGAAGGCAGGACTCCCAGAGCTCAGGAGGCCTCTTGCGGAGGAATTGGTATGTGGCGAAGGCTGCAGGGAGGGGGCCCTGGGACTCAGGGGCAGCTAGAGCAGGGCCCTCTGCCCTGAGAGCTCTTCACCCCTTCCTCCCAGAATAGAGGAGATTGTCCAAACATAGAACTCAGTTTGTTTAAAGTCATTGTTTATTTTTAAATGTTCAGTTCGTTTTCCAATCAATCTTCCACGGTGCAGTTCAAGAAAAATGTGTGGATTTTCATGCCTGAGGTCAGTTGCAGGATGTACCTCGCAGAACAGCGTGTGCCCCTGCAAGCTGGGGATTGAGTGTTTTGTTCTGTTTTGTTTTCTCAGGGTAAAGGGGTCATTCTAAAAGCAGGACTGTTTGGATCTTAGAAGATTGGATATTTATTTATTATTTAAATTTTTTTCTTTTCTTTTTTTTTTTTTTTTTGAGATGAAGTCTCGCTCTGTCACCCAGGCTGGAGTGCAATGGGATGATCTCAGCTCACTGCAACCTCCGCCTCCCCAGTTCAAGCGATTCTCCCGTCTCAGCCTCCCCAACCAGCCGGGATTACAGGCGTGCACCACCATGCCTGGCTAATTTTTTTGTATATTTAGTATAGATGGGGTTTCATTTTGTTGGCCAGGCTGGTCTCGAACGTTTGACCTCAAGTGATCCACTCACCTCGGCCTCCCAAAGTGCTAGGATTACAGGCATGACCCACCGTGCCGGGCCTATTTTTTTTTTAATTTATTTTAGAGAGAAGGTCTCCCTATGTTGCCCAGGCCGTTCTCATACTCCTGGGCTCAAATGATCTGCCCACGTTGGCCTCCAAAAGTGCTAAGATTACAGGTGTGAGCCACCGCGCCTGGCCATGGATACTTATACATTCTTTCTACAAATATTTATTGAGTGCCTGTGTTGATCTAGGCACTGTCTTGAGCTCCAGGAAGAAAGCAGTGAGCAAATTCAACAAAATTCCCCACCTCTTCGAGATTACAGACCTGTGGGAGGGCTGGACAGTAAACAAATATATGTACAAATGTCAGGAGATTTTAAGTGTGAAGAAAAGCACAGGGGCCAGGTGTAGTGGCTCACACCTGTAATCATAGCACTTTGGGAGGCCAAGGCGGGTGGATCACCTGAGGTCAGGAGTTCAAGACCAGCCTGGCCAACATGGCAAAACCCTGTCTCTACCAAAAAATATAAAAATTAGCTGGGCATGGTGGCGGACGCCTGTAGTCCCAACTACTTGGGAGAGTGAGGCAGGAGAATGGTTTGAACCTGGGAGGCGGAGGTTGCAGTGAGCCAAGATTGCACCATCGCACTCCAGCCTGGGCGACAGAGCCAGACTCTGTCAAAAAAAAAAAAAAAAAAAAAAAAGGGAAGAAGAAAAGCAAAGGAAAGAAAATGCAATTTGAGTATTTGAGTTTGGGTGGCCAGGGAAGGTGTTCCAGTCATCTCACTGCATGCTAAGCCACCTCAAGACTAAGTGACTTGAAACAACAATCATTTGCTTATCTCTCATGATTCTGTGGACTAACTGGGCTCAGCTCGGCAGTACTTTTGTTCTATGCAGATTTTCTCTGCAGCTACAGTCCACTGGCGCTTGGCCAGGCTGGAACGGCCGGGATGCCTCACTTACATGTTTGGTGTCCTGGCAGGGATGGCTGGGGGGATGGGCTCAGTGGGGGTGTTTGGTCAACTGGGCTCCCCTTCCAGGTAGTCTCAGCACCTTTCCCTCTCCACAAGGCCTGTCTATGTGGCCTCTCACGTGGTCTCTCCATTTGGCCTTTCCAGCAAAGCAGCCAGACTTCTTTACATGACAGCTTGGGGCTCCTGCAATTCAGAAGCAGAAGCTGCCAGGCTGTGTCAAGGCTTAGGCCTGGAATTGGCAGGGCATCACGCCTGCCACGTCCTGTTTAGTTGAAGCCAGGACCGGCTGAGATCCCATGTGGGAGGAGGCCACACAAGGGAAGGGGTGCTGGGAGGCCTGGCTCCTTGCGGGCTGGCCACCCATGCCTCCCTGACCGTGCGCTGGCTAAGCAGAGACCAGGACAGAGGAAGGAGTGGGCCCTGCAGCGCTGAGGGGACACGCAAAGTCCCCGAGTCAGGGCTGTGCTGCAGGAGCAGCAAGGAAAGAAACAGGCCACTGTGGCGGGAGCTGAACAGCAGAGAGGAAAGATAAACGACGAGGTCAGGAGGCAGCCAGGGACCAGACTGTCCCGGCCACAGGCCACAGAGAGGGATTCAGGAGTTATTCCTAGTGGGATGAGAAGCACCGGACCTGCCTTGATCCATAACTGGTGGGTTCTGAAGCTGGGGACATCTCCGCCCCATCCCCACTGCTGGGTTCGCATGCTGCCCAGAACGGCCCTGTTTCAACTGCAGCCCCTGCTCCCAGCACCCTCCGGCTGCCTCTCTGCCTGATGGTCTCTCTGTGGCACTCAGCACCACTGCATGCCTGATATTTTACTGATGTCCCTATTGTCTTGTTTACCTTCTCACTCTAGAATGTAAACCTGAAACAGACAGGGATGTCTGTCTGTTTCATCCGTAGGCCCACAACCATTAAATAGTATTTGTTGTACCAATGAACTAACCAGCCCATCTCTGTAACCCCAGTTGGTGCTAACACTATATTGGGCCTCTAGCAAAAACTGCATGACTGAATTAATGCAACAACAACAACAACAAATACATATATATATATATATATTTTTTTTTTTTTTTTAAGAGACGGAGTCTCTCTTTGTCGCCCAGGCTGGAGTGCAGTGGCGTGATCTTGGCTCACCGCAAGCTCCACCTCCTGGATTCACGCCATTCTGCTGCCTCAGCCTCCCGAGTAGCTGGGACTACAGGTGCCTGCTACCACACCTGGCTAATTTTTGTATTTTTAGTAGAGACAGGGTTTCACCATGTTAGCCAGGATGGTCTCGATCTCCTGACCTCGTGGTCTGCCCCCCTCAGCCTCCCAAAGTGCTGAGATTACAGGTGTGAGCCACCGTGCCCAGCCAAAAAAATAATTTTTATAGTTCCAGTCAACTTATCTAAAAGTTGCTTTCAAATAAGCAATTATCCAGGGAAAATGAAGAAGAAAAAAAAAGCCTTCAAAGTAGCCCATGCCATGACCGACAGTCACAGGACAGCCTCTCATTCACCTATGATCCTGGTGTACTTGGTAAGTCAGTTACCAAGCAGTCATAGCCTGGCGAGCCCTGGATTAAAGGAGGAGAGGCCTGGAACAAGAAGGAAAATGCCAGCTGTCAGTGAGGGGAGGACAGAAAACTCAAAACACAAATGTGGTCGGGTCAGCAGGGCGATGTTTCAGAGCAAAGCAATCTAGGGCTGCATGGCAGGGACAAGCTGGCCCGTGGGCCTCAGCAGCTCTCCAAGCTGTGCCAGCAAACCACCTGACAACAGGCGATATCTGTAACAATCCTTACAACACTTTTCTTTTTTTTTTTTTTTTCAAGAAACAGGGTCTCATATGCTGCCCAGGCTAGACTCGAACTCCAGGGCTCAAGTGATCCTACAGCCTCAGCCTCCCAAGTAGCTGGGATTACAGGTTAGTGACAGGTGCCTGGCTAATTTTTTTTTTTTTTTTTAATTTTTATTTTTTTTATTGATCATTCTTGGGTGTTTCTCGCAGAGGGGGATTTGGCAGGGTCATAGGACAATAGTGGAGGGAAGGTCAGCAGATAAACAAGTGAACAAAGGTCTCTGGTTTTCCTAGGCAGAGGACCCTGCGGCCTTCAGCAGTGTTTGTGTCCCTGGGTACTTGAGATTAGGGAGTGGTGATGATTCTTAACGAGCATGCTGCCTTCAAGCATCTGTTTAACAAAGCACATCTTGCACCGCCCTTAATCCATTTAACCCTGAGTGGACACAGCACATGTTTCAGAGAGCACAGGGTTGGGGGTAAGGTCACCGATCGACAGGATCCCAAGGCAGAAGAATTTATCTTAGTACAGAACAAAATGAAAAGTCTCCCATGTCTATTTCTTTCTACACAGACACGGCAACCATCCGATTTCTCAATCTTTTCCCCACCTTTCCCCCCTTTCTATTCCACAAAGCCGCCATTGTCATCCCGGCCCGTTCTCAATGAGCTGTTGGGTACACCTCCCAGACGGGGTGGTGGCCGGGCAGAGGGGCTCCTCACTTCCCAGTAGGGGCGGCCGGGCAGAGGCGCCCCTCAACTCCCGGACGGGGCGGCTGGACGGGCAGGGGGCTGACCCCCCCACCTCCCTCCCGGACGGAGCGGCTGGCCGGGCAGCGGGGCGCCTCACTTCCTAGTAGGGGCGGCCGGGCAGAGGCGCCCCTCACCTCCCGGACCGGGCGGCTGGCCGGGCGGGGGGCTGACCCCCCCACCTCCCTCCCGGACGGGGCGGCTGGCCGGGCGGGGGGCTGAGCCCCCCACCTCCCTCCCGGACGGGGTGGCTGGCCCGGCAGAGGGGCTCCTCACTTCCCAGTAGGGGTGGCTGGGCAGAGGCGCCCCTCACCTCCCGGACGGGGCGGCTGGCCGGGCGGGGGGCTGACCCCCCCACCTCCCTCCCGGACGGGGCGGCTGGCCGGGCGGGGGGCTGACCCCCCCCACCTCCCTCCCGGACGGGGGGCTGACCCCCCCACCTCCCTCCTGGACAGGGCGGCTGGCCGGGCGGGAGGCTGATCCCCCCACCTCCCTCCCGGTCGGGGCGGCTGCCGGGCGGAGACGCTCCTCACTTCCCAGACGGGGTGGCTGCCGGGCAGAGGGGCTCCTCACTTCTCAGACGGGGCGGCTGCCGGGCGGAGGGGCTCCTCACTTCTCAGACGGGGCGGCTGGGCAGAGACGCTCCTCACCTCCCAGACGGGGTCGCGGCCTGGCAGAGGCGCTCCTCACATCCCAGACGGGGCGGCGGGGCAGAGGCGCTCCCCACATCTCAGACGATGGGCGGCCGGGCAGAGACGCTCCTCACTTCCCAGATGGGATGGCTGCCGGGAAGAGGCGCTCCTCACTTTCCAGACTGGGCAGCCGGTGCCTGGCTAATTTTAAAACTATTTTGTAGAGACAGGGTCTTGCTATATTGCCCAGGCCGGTCTCAAATTCTTGGCCTCAAGCAATCCTCCTGTCTTGGCCTCCCAAAGTGCTGGGATTACTGGTGTGAACCACCATGCCGGTCTGGAGTCATTCTTGGCTCCTCTCTTTTTCTCAGTACTAGGGTGACTGTATAATTCATTATATAAACCTGAACTTCCCCAGACAAATAAGTTGTATGGTCTATCCATTAACCCACTCCAATCCATCAGCAAATCCAGTTAGCTCTATTATAAGAGACATATCCAGCATCCGGCCATTTCTCACCTCCTCCACTATCATCCTGGTCCAAGCATTCATCGTGTCCTGCCTTTATCTTTGCAATGGCCTCCTAGTTGATCCCCCACTTCTAGACTTGCCTTTTACCCCCAAATCTGTTTTCACAGCAGCCAGAGTAAGCCCGTTAAAAATAAGTGAGATCATGTTACTCCTCTGCTGAAAATACTCGGCAGTTCAGAGGAAAATCAAAAGTCTTTAAAATGGCCTACAGCAGCAGTCCGTTTCCTGCAACCGCTCTGACCTCATTCACATGTTCCCCATCTCTTCTCACTCCACGTAAGCTACACCAGTTCTCGCGCTCTCCAGGTAAGTCAAGCACACTCCCACTTCAGCCTGGCCTTCGACTTTGCTCTTCCCCCTGCCTGGAATGCTTCCCACATAAGGACAGGGCTTCTTCTTTCATTCCTTTCTGGTCACAGGTCCCTGACTCCTGTATAAAAAAATGACATCACCCACTGGCTGCTCTGAAAAGCCATCTTTGCATTGTTCCTTGTCCGGCTCCTTGCTCGCCGCAGCCGCCTTTACCGCTGCGGACTCCGGACACTTCATCACCACAGTCCCTGAACTCTCGCTTTCTTTTTAATCCCCTGCATCGGATCACTGGTGTGCCGGACCATGTCAGACGCAGCCGTAGACACCAGCTCCGAAATCACCACCAAGGACTTAAAGAAGAAGGAAGCTGTGGAGGAAGCGGAAAATGGAAGAGACACCCCTGCTAATGGGAAGGCTAATGAGGAAAATGGGGAGCAGGAAGCTGACAATGAAGTAGATGAAGAAGAGGAAGAAGGTGGGGAGGAAGACGAGGAGGAAGAAGAAGGCGATGGTGAGGAAGAGGATGGTGATGAAGACGAGGAAGCTGAGTCCGCTAGGTCAAGCGGGCAGCTGAAGATGATGAGAATGATGATGCCTATACCAAGAAGCAGAAGACCAACAAGGATGACTAGACAGCAAAAAAGGAAATGTTAGGAGGGTGACCTATTCACCCTCCACTTCCTGTCTCAGAATCTACATGTGGTCACCTTTGAGTATTGAGGCCCGCTAACCCACCCACTGCGGGCAGTGCCACCCGCAGATGACACGGCCCACCCGCCCACCGAGGGCAGTGCCACCCGCAGATGACACGGCCCACCCGCCCACCGAGGGCAATGCCACCCGCAGATGACATGCGCTCTCCACCACCCAACCCAAACCATGAGAATTTGCAACAGGGGAGGAAAAAAGAACCAAAACTTCCCAAGGCCCTGCTTTTTTCCTTAAAAATACTTTAAAAAGGAAGTTTGTTTGCATTTTTTAATTTACATTTTATATTTTTGGACATATTGTTAGGGTCAGCCATTTTTAATGATCTCAGATGACCAAACCAGCCTTCAGAGCGTTCTCTGTCCTGCTTCTAACGTCACTTGTGATGTGACCATGTTCGTTATAATCTCAAAGGAGAAAAAAACCTTGTAAGACAAGCAAAAACGACAACAGAAAAACAATCTTATTCTGAGCATTCCAGTAACTTTTTTGTGTGTGCGTACTTAGCTGTACTATAAGTAGTTGGTTTGTATGAGATGGTTAAAAGGGCCAAAGATAAAAGGTTTCTTTTTTTTCCTTTTCTGTCTATGAAGTTGCTGTTTATTTATTTATTTATTTTTTGCCTATTTGAGGTATGTGTGAAACAATGTTGTCCAACAATAAACAGGAATTTTATTTTCCTGAGTTGTTCTAACAACAACAAAAATGACATCAGCTGGGCGCGGTAGCTCATGCCTGTAATCACAGCACTTTGTGAGGCTGTGGCAAGAGGATTGCCTGAGGCCAAGAATTCAAGACCAGTCTGGACAACATATCAAGACCCCATCTCTCCAAAAAATACATACAAATTAGCTGGGCATGGGAGCCACTTGGGAGGCTGAGGCAGGAGGATCCTTTGAGCCCAGGAGTTCAAAGCTGCAGTGAGCTATGTTTGCACCACTGCACTCCAGCCTGGGCAACAGACCAAGACCCTGTCTCAAAAAAATCAAAACAAAATGACACCAATCTCTATCAACATCACCTCCACCTCATCCCAGCTCTCCTTCTCTTACATGGTAAATTAAATTTTCTAACAATGGCTACAGTTATGTATGTTCCCACAAGTTCTTCTAGAACCATTCCTCCCGTCAAGAGAGTTTTCTTTTTTTTTTCTTTTTTTGAGACAGGGTCTCACTCTGTCACCCAGGCTGGAGTGCAATGGTGCAATCTCATTTCACTGCAACCTCTATCTTCCGGTTCAATCAATTCTCATGCCTCAGCCTTCTGAGTAGCTGGGACTACAGGCACGTACCACCACACCCAGCTAAGTTTTGTATTTTTGGTAGAGATGGGGTTTCACCATGTTGGCCAGGCTGGTCTCGAATCCTGGCCTCAAGCCATCCACCTGCCTTGGCCTCCCAAAGTGCTGGGATTACAGGCATGAGCCACCACACCTGGCCAGGAGAGTTTTCTTTCTCTCGCCTTGAATATGAACCAGCCTTTAGTAACTGGCTTCTAATAAGCAAACTGTGACAGAAGCAACGCTGCAGGACTTTTGAGGCCCGCTCTTAATTTGTGACACAGCCTCCACCTGACTCTTCCTCTTAGGACCTTCTCCTTTGGAACCTACCACGTCCTTGGAGCCCAAACCAGCCCACACAGAGAGGAGACCATAAGGAGAGGTCCATGTGGAGAGGAATTGAGGCCCCTAGCCAACCACCAGCATGAACTACCAGGTTCACGAGAGAATGGGCCTTCAGATGAAGCCCAGGCCCCAGCCTTTGAGTCTTTCAGCTGAGGTCCCAGCCATGGTGGGGCAGGGAAAGCTGCTCCTGTTCCCCTATGCTAGGCCCTGTCCAAATCTTTGACCCACAGAATCCATAAGTTTGGGCCCATCTAGTTGCACGGTCATAGTAACCAGAACACCTCATTTAATTTTTCTCTATAGAGTCTAACATAATGTGTATTTACTTGCTTCTCTATTGTCTACCCACACCCCCCTCCAAGAGAACGTGAGTTCCTTGAAGGCAGAAACTTTTGTCTATTTTTTCTAGCCTCAGTATCTAGAAAAGTACCTAGCACACAGTGAGCACTTGAAAAATATTTGTTGAACAAATGAATTAAAGAAAACTGCTAATTAAAGAAAACTGCTCCTTACTATAATTCGCAACACCTTCTGCTGAGGCATGCGACCTTTTCCTGAAGAAAGTGTTCTCTGGTGTGTTTTGGACCAGCTCCCTGCTAAAAAATATCTCTTGTCAGCCATCTGGAAAATGATAAAGTTGGATCCATACCTCCCACTATACACCAGGAAATAGTCCAAGCGGATCAAAGATTTATACATGGTAAAATGAAGCCATTCAAGTCCTAGAAAAAAGCCCCGTAGCATTCTGATGTCGCCTTGGAGTAGGAAAGCCTTTCTAGCTACGACTCAGTCTCCAGCAGCCATTAAAGAAAAAGATGGGCTGGGTGCAGTGGCTCACACCTGTCACCCCAGCCCTTTGGGAGGCCGAGGCAGGCCGATTGCTTGAGCTCAGGAGTTCGAGACCAACCTGGGCAACATAGCAAGACATCTCTACTCAAAGAAAAAAAAAAAAAGAAAGGAAGAAAGAAAGAAAAAGATGGATCAACTCAAAGTACATAAAAATAAAAAACTTCTGCTTGGTCACAACAACAACAAAACAGAATGAGCAAAATCAGGCCGGGCGCGGTGGCTCACGCCTGTAATCCCAGCACTTTGGGAGGCCGAGGCGGGCGGATCACGAGGTCAGGAGTTTGAGACCAGCCTGGCCAACAGGGTGAAACTCCATCTCTACTAAAAATACAAAAATTAGCCAAGCGTGGTGGCGGGCACCTGTAATCCTAGCTACTTGGGAGACTGAGGCAGGAGAATTGCTTGAACCTGGGAGGCGGAGGTTGCAGTGAGCCGAGACCACGCCATTGCACTCCAGCCTGGGCGACAGAACAAGACTCCATCTCAAAAAAAAAAAAAACAAAAACAAAAACAGAAAAACCAAAGAAACAAAAAACTTCTGGAGATTAGGCAGAAAAAAAAGACCAAGCTAGGCAGAAACCCAGTGGGAAAATGGACATTCAGGCAGGCAGTTCACAGAAAAGGGGACTATAAAGTCAGCCCTCTGTATCCAAGAGTTCTACATTGTGGATTCAACCAACGACAGGTTGAAAATATTTGGGGTCAGGAGCAGTGGCTCATGCCTGTAATCCTAGCACTTTGGGAGGCTGAGGTCGGAGAACTGCTTGAGACCAGCCTGGGTAACATAGTGAGACCCTGTCTCTACAAAATATTAACTGGGCGTAATGGCACATGCTTGTAGTCCCAACTTCTCAGGAGGCTGAGGTAGGAGGATCACCTGAGCCTGGGAGGTCAAGGCTGCAGTGAGCCAAGATTATGCCACTACACTCCAGCCTGGACAACAGAATGAGATCCTGTCTCAAAAAAAAAAAAAAAAAAAAAAAAAAAAAAAAAAAAAAAAAAAAAGGAAAAACCTAATAAAAATAATATAAATAAAAAACAACAAAGCATAACTACTATTTATATAGCATTTACATAGTATTAGCTATTATAAGTAATGTAGAAATGATTTAAAGTATATGGAATGGCTGGAAGTGGTGGCTTATGCCTGTAATCCTAGCACTTTGGGAGGCCGGGGCGAGAGGATCACTTGAGTTCAGGAGTTTGAGACAAGCCTGGACCACATAGTGAGACCTCATCTTTAAAAATACACATATATGTGTGTGTGTGTGTGTGTGTGTATCTATGTATGTCTATATATCTATATCTATATCTATATCTATCTATCTATAATTAGGCCATATCTATCAACATTATAAAAACCAGCAACTTACATCATAATGTGCCAAACTTCCTGATATATTTTGAAAAGATCCCCAAAACTCCTAGAAGTTTTATATCTATATCTATATATATATATATATATATATATCTCCATATATATATATATATATCTCCATATATATATATATATATATATCTCCATATATATATATATATATATATATATATGGACGTATATATATACACACACACACACATATATATATATGGAAGGATGTGCGTAGTTTATATGCAAATACTATACCTTTTTTTTTTTTTTTGAGATGGGGTCTCACTCTGTCACCCAGGTTGGAGTACAGTGGAGCAATCTTGGCTCACTGCAACCTCTGCCTCCCAGGCTCAAGCGATCCTCCCACCTCAGCCTCCCGAGTAGCTGGGACTACAGGCCTGTGCCACCAGCCTGGAAAATTTTTTGTATTTTTGGTAGAGGTAGGGTTTTCCCATGTTGCCCAGGCTGGTCTTGAACTCCTGAGCTCAAGTGATCTGCCCGCCTTGGCCTCCCAAAGTGCGGGGATTACAGGTGTGAGCCACGGTGCCCAGCCAGTACTACACCATTTTACATCAGGGACTTGAACATCTGTGGATTTTGGTATCTGTAGCGGTCCTGGAACCAATCCCACGCACATAGACTGTACAAATGGCCCTTAATCATATGAAAAAACATTAACTCTCTCTCAAATATAACAAAAATATAAAATTATACCGAAAACCTATTTCTTCCATATCAGATTGGCAGACATCCCAAACCATAGCAAGACAACACTGGCAGGGTGGTGAGGTCACAGGCACTCTCACACATCACAAACAATACAACCTCTGGGTAGGGTAATTAGGCTGTATCTATCAACATTATAAAAACCAGTAGCTTACATCATAATGGGCCAAACTTCCTGATATATTTTGAAAAAAACCCAAAACTCCTAGAAGTTAGGCAGAGAAAAAGACCAACACCCCAGTGGAAAAAGGGGCGTTAAAGCAGTTCACAGAAGAAGGAACTACAAATGACCCTTAATTGTATGAAATTGTTAGCTCTAACCATTGCATTTCTGGGAATTTATCCCACAGATATATTTGCACCTATATGAAATGACATATGTATATTACTCATTGTAGCATTCTCCATAGTAGCAAAATATTGGAAATAACGTTACTGCCTATCAATAGAAGACTGATAGCCTAAATTATGGCACATCCATATAATACAATACCAGATAGCTGTAAAGAAGAATGAAAACACTTTTTTTTTTTTTTTTGCGATGGAGTCCACTCTGTTGCCCAGGCTGGAGTGCAGTGTCACAGTCTTGGCTCACTCCAACCCCTGCCTCCCAGTTTCAAGCGATTCTCTTGCCTCAGCCTCCCAAGTAGCTGGGATTACAGGTACACACCACCATGCCCGGCTAATTTTTTTGTATGAGAACACTTTTTTGTACTATTTTGGAAAGAACCACTAGATGTACTATTAAAAGAAAAATGCATATACACCTACTATGTACCCACAACACTTAAAATTTAAAATTAAAAAAAAGAAAAATGCAAAGTTCCAAACAGTATGTATAATATGCTATCTGCTAATTAAAATGCTAAAAGAAGAAGAAACAGTGGACAGCAAGAATACACACATTCATGTTTGCTTATATATGGGTAAAGAAACTCAGGAAAGTTACAGGAGGAGCTAATAACAGTGGTTAATTACAATGGTAGAGGAGAGGCTTGGCAGATAAGGGACTCGTTTGCAGATATGACTTTCCTTTGTGTACATTTCTATATATTATTTTACTTCTTCTGAAAATGCCACATAATTTGCAATAAATGATTCACTCCTTAGCTCCAAAAGCAAGTCCTTTATCAAAATGCAAATGTTCCAGAGGGATGTAGCCAGATTCTGTGGACCGCCGTCTTTTTCACCCTTAAGAATCCGTCGCTATGATTTCTCTTCCTCTGCTTGGAGACCTTTAGAGAGCCAGCCTGCAGCTGCTCAGAGCATTGACTACTAAACAGCTCACAGTTGCTATTGCTGAAAATGCCCGGTGGTTATGCCTTGCCTGACCAGGGGTAGCCCACAGCTGATGACAGGCCCCCTTGCCTCAAGGTGGGACAACTTCGGTGGTGCCATTCATATCCAGAGCTGCCTGGAATCAGGCCGAGGCTGGACATCAGCCGACCCCGCATCTTTGCTGAGTTTATTCCTCTGCTGTACTTCCCTCGCTTCCCTCACCTCCTTCTTGGTTTCTCCTGAGAGCCTCCCTCAATAAATCACTTACCCCAGAATCCTTGTCTCAGACTCCGCTTCTAGGACCCAACTTAAGACATTCACAAAATAAATCACATTGATGGAAAACAGATCCCATTCTCCAAAATGAATAACCAGTAGGCACTTGTGACTAGCACAAGCATCAGCATATCCACATGGTGCTAAACTAACACCAACCCAAAGCAGATAGTGCTGGGTGGACTCGGTACAAGTTAATAGCTCATGGGTCTCCATCCCCAACACCTTCAGACCCAAGGCTCCAGGGCTGCCAGCCTGAGAACCCTAAGTCATGATTTTGGGCACTTTGGCTGGATTTCCTAGCAACTGGCTGAGAGCAGGACAGGTAAACAGAGTTGGGAGGAGGAAGCAAAAAAGGCTAGAGTGGACATCAGTTGACTTTGCCTGCCATGGTAGAGACTTTCAGTCATCCACCATAATCCATCCCCATTCTGCTGCACAGAAGTATTGTGGCTGAGACACCTGCTTTTCTCCACCCCTCTAGTTAATGTGACTAAATTCTCCCTATGGAATGGGAATGGAAGGGCCATACCCAGGCCAGTGTCTTCAGGTAGGGGCTGTGACCCTTCCACACCTGTACCAGACACAATCATCATCTCACTGGGTTTTGCCAGCTTTCAGGTCTATGTGCTGAAAGCTGCTTACAGCTAACCTCTGCAGATTTTCCTGGCACAGGAGGCATGCTTGGCCAGTGCACAGGGCAAGTTGGAAGGGCCCTAATGTCAGCAGCCTTCAACCAATGATGGATGGAAAGTTGCAGACAGTGTCCTATGCATCTGCAGTGGGATAACTCTGAGACGTGTGCTGTACTGCCTCCTAGAGGGCCCAGGGTGATTAAGCACCAGTTACCCACAGCAGTAACTTCCTTGATTCTGTTCCCCACATGGGCACTTTTCTTCCTGTCACACCTCCCCAATCCCCTGCAGATACTTTCTGGGATTGCTTCCTAAACAATCCACTTGAACTTTTTTTTTTTTTCTTTTTTTTGACATGGAGTATTGCTCTTGTTGCCCAGGTTGGAGTGCAATGGCACGATCTTGGCTCACTGCAACTTCCGCTTCCTGGGTTCAAGCAATTCTCCTGCCTCAGCCTCCTGAGTAGCTGGGATTACAGGCGCCTGCCATCACGCCTGGCTAATTTTTGTATTTTCAGTAGAGACGGGGTTTCGCCATGTTGGCCACGCTGGTCTCAAACTCCTGACCTCGTGATCTGCCCGCCTCGGCCTCCCAAAGTGCTGGGATTACCGGCGTGAGCCACCGTGCCCAGCCCCACTTGAACTTTAATCCTTGCCTCGGAATTGGCTTCTGGGGAAACCAAAAATATATTAAAAAAAGAGAGACCAGGACCTTAAAAAGAGCCCAAGTTGTTGAGCTCCCTGCCAAGTCACCCCCAGGTATCTCTGCCCACCAGCTTGCATGAGCCAGATCCTCAGTGCAGGTTTTTCCAATCAGTCATTTGTTCTTCCACCCAACGCTCAAGATTTGCTTCTTCAAGACAACTCTCTGATCAGCTGAGACCCATAGACACCCAGCTTCTACCACACATATGATGGCATTATCCTAGGGCATGGCAGAGCAACGCAAGGGAAAACTCTGGGCCCCCAAGTGATGTCATGGAGGAGAACTCTCAACCCAGAACTACTACGTGAGAAACAACGCTCTCTCTTCTTTAAGCCATAGGTGTGTTGGGAATCTTTGTTACAGCAGCACGCCTGATCTTTTGTTTTGTTTTGTTTTGTTTTAGAGATGGAGTCTTGCTCTTTCGCCAGGCTGGAGTGCAGTGGTGCGATCTTGGCTCACCATGTTGGTCAGGCTGGTTTCAAATCCCTGACCTCAAGTGATCCTCCCACCTTGGCCTCCCAAAGTGCTGGGATTACAGGTGTGAGCCACCGCACCCGGCCCAGCCATGCCTTGTCTTAACTAGCATAGCCGCCCAACGTCCACTTCTTTTGGCCATGTTGTCCTGATTCTGCTGGAGAATCCCTTTCCCACTGCTCCCAGACCAGTGGTGTAGCTGACCTGCGCTCTCTCCACTCAATTCAGGGGAGGGAGGGGTTTAGGCCTGGGCTAAGAGAGCTGCACATTTCCCAGGGCACAGTGATTAGTTGAGGGTGGGTCCCAGAGCCAAATCTGCCCAAGATCTTAGCCTGAAAGAGAAACCCTCCTGCTGAGTGACTGCACTGTGAGGCAGAAGTCCAGAGCTGTGGGTGGCCATCCAGCCTCCATTTGCGCCTGCCTGAGAAAGAAGCCACCATGGGGGAAATCGAGCTAAAAGACGGAGAGGGAGGTAAGAGAGGATGACATCACATAAGCACCAGATCTGGCCACCCCTGAAACTGGAACAACCCTAAGCTTTACAGCTACTACATTCCCTTTTCTGCTGAAGTTGTTTTACACTGGGTTTCTGTCTCTTGCAACCAAGAGCTCTGTTAAATAAAAACCTGACCCTAAGGAGAACGTTAGCTGGTTCACAATTCCCTGTGCAAAACAGGCACAGGTCAGCTGCCCCAGCCTGTCGTTTGGATATTCCTTTCTAAGAACGCTCACTTTTGTTGTCTACATGACCCAGATAACCAAGGAGAAAGCAAATCAACCGCCTTCCAGCGGCGCCTTCCTTGGCAGCAAGTGCTAAGAGAGAACACAATGTGAGTACTCTGCCCTCTGGAGTCAGGGTTGATCCTCAGCACTTGCTGTCCTGGGAGGCTGCACCTGTGACACTTGAGTGCCAGGTTCAACCCCTACTGCTGCTGCTGCTGCCTGAATGGGGCCATTTAGACTGTTGAGTGCTACAGCCTCAGCCCAGGAACCCGGAGCTTCACATGAGGCAGAGCAGGGCCCCAGGGTCCCTGAAACTTGCCAGTTCAAACAGCAGAGGGGTGAGGACTCCCCAGTCAGCCCTGGTCTCATACCTGCCTCTGCATGGTCCCAGTCCAGCCTGAGGCCTTTGCTTTCTTTTTTGAAGGGAAGGTGAGGAGAGAGGGGGAAAATAGAGGTGTTCTGACTAGACTTAGGATTCCTGGCCTCTGCCTCTGACCGCCAGAGGACAGCCTCTGCAGTTGCCTCATCTACTCATGAAAACAGGCCTGTGACCCCAGGGGTGCTCTGAGGATTCTTCCAGAAAACATCTGCCCAGCTAGGACTACCTAGCTCACTGCCCAAAAAGGGTTCATTTCCTTTCCTTCTGAAACAAAAGCGCTTAATTGGAAGAGAAGCATTGACTCAAGCTATAGGATATGCCACTTAAAATGTCCAGATCTTGGCACAAGGCCTGGCGCACAGTGTGGGAGAGAAGGAGAGAAGAAGGTGGAAGGAAAGGAGGGAGGGGAAAGAGGAAGCAGGGAGGGAGAAAATAAGACAAGGGCCTCCTCATCTGGATGCTTCCCTAGACCAAGAAGTGGCCCAGGTGGTGCCCAGGGGACAGGGAGTGGGCAATAAAAGACAATGGGGTGTAGGTGATAGGGTGTAGATGATCAGGGTATAGGTGATCAGGATGTAGGTGATGGGGTGTAGATGACTGGGGTATAGATGATTGAAGTGTAGGTGATGGGGTATAGATGATCGAGGTGTAGGTGATGGGGTATAGATGATTGAGGTGTAGGTGATGGGGTGTAGGTGATGGGGGTCAAGGTGATCAAGGTGTAGGTGATGGGGTGTTGGTGATTGGGGTGTAGGTGATCAGGGTGTAAGTGATGGGGTATAGGTGGTGGGGTGTAGATGATCGGGGTGTAGGTGATGGGTATAGGTGATGGGGTATAGATGATCAGGTTGTAGGTGATCGGGGTATAGGTGATCAGGTTGTAGGTGATGGGGTGTAGATGATTGGGATATAGATGATCGAGATGTAGGTGATGGGGTATAGATGATCAAGGTGTAGGTGATGGGGTATAGATGATTGAGGTGTAGGTGATGGGGTATAGATGATCGAGGTGTAGGTGATGGGGTATAGATGATTGAGGTGTAGGTGATGGGGTGTAGGTGATGGGGGTCAAGGTGATCAAGGTGTTGGTGATGGGGTGTTGGTGATCGGGGTGTAAGTGATGAGGTATAGGTGGTGGGGTGTAGATGATTGGGGTGTAGGTGATGGGGTGTAGGTGACGGGTATAGGTGATGGGGTATAGATGATCAGGGTGTAGGTGATTGGGGTATAGGTGAGCAGGGTGTAAGTGAAGGGGTATAGGTGGTGGGGTATAGATGATCAGGTGTAGGTGACTGGGGTTTGGGTGATGGGGTGTAGGTGATGGGGTATAGATGATTGAGGTATCGGTGATGGGGGTCAAGGTGATCAAGGTGTAGGTGATGGGGTGTTGGTGATTGGGGTGTAGGTGATCAGGGTGTAAGTGATGAGGTATAGGTGATGCAGTGTAGGTGATCAGGGTATAGGTGATGAGGTGTAGGTGATGGAGTGTAGATGATTGAGGTGTAGGTGATGGGGTATAGGTGATTGGGGTGTAGGCAATGGGGTGTAGGTGATCGGGGTCAAGGTGATAGAGGTGTAGGTGATGGGGTGTTGGTGATTGGGGTGTAGGTGATCAGGGTGTAGGTGATGGGGTATAGGTGATTGGGGTGTAGGCAATGGGGTGTAGGTGATTGGGGTCAAGGAGATAGAGGTGTAGGTGATGGGGTGTTGGTGATTGGGGTGTAGGTGATCAGGGTGTAGGTGATTGGGGTGTAGGTGATCGGGGTGTAGGTGACCAGGGTATAGGTGATCAGGGTGTAGGTGATGGGATGTAGGTGATCAGGGTCAAGGTGATTGAGGTGTAGGTGATGGGATGTTGGCAACCAGGGTGTAGGTGATCAGGATGTAGGTGATGGGGTGTAGACGATCAGGGTGTAGGTGATGGGCTGTTGCTGACCAGGGTGTAGGTGATCAGGGTGTAGGTGATCCGAACTTCCTACTCAATTCAGGCAACAGCTCCCAGCCTGAGGCAAATACCCCCCGAGGCAGTCAGGGTCTCACCTCCCATGGCTCTGACGCAGGCCTCCAAGGTGAGGAGATGGAGGTAGCAGAGGTCACTTCACTCAGCTGTCACACACCCTGAGGGAACTCCTGTCACTGTTATCCCACCTGCAAGTGAGGAGCCAGCATTTCTCATGCTCCAGGGTTGGCCACAGAGCCCATTCAAGGGAGGGAGAAGAGCCTTCGGCCAGCGCATCCTAACCGCAGAAAGCCAAGACCTCTGCAGAAAAAGAGACCAGGCCCATAAAAAGAGATCCATGAGTTGAGTTCCCTGCCATGCCACCCCCAGGCATCTCTGCCCACCAGCCTGCATGAGCCAGCCCCTCAGTGCAGGTTTTTCCAATTGGCCGTTTGTTCTTCCACCCAACACTCAAGATTTGCTTCTCAGCCTGGACAACATAGCAAAACCCCATCTCTACAAAAAATACAAAAATTAGCTGGGCATAGTGGCACACACCTATAGTCCCAGCTACTCGGGAGGCTGAAGTGGGAAGATTACCTGAGCCTGGGAGGTCAAGGTTGCAGTGAGCCATGATCATGCCACTGTACTCCAGCCTGGGTGACAGAGTGAGAACTTGTCTCAAAAACAAAAAAAGAGAGGAAGATCTGCTTCTTCAAACCCACACAACTAATATAAAGTAATCAACCTCCCCACCTCAATAACCTGAAGTTAAACATCACACAATAAGCCCTGAACAGAGAGCTGTAGGTCAATGTTCCATTTTGCTTTTAAAAGCTTCACAAGAACATTTCATTTATTAAAATAGTTTCTGTAAACTCTTTCAGAATAACAAAATTCACTTGCCTTGCTTAAACAGCATTTCAAGTAGAAGTATTTTTATTTCAAGGCACCATAAAATGATGATCTCTCTAAGAAATACCTCTCCTTCCGTGTGTGAAAATCCTTGGGGGAAAAAAAAATCCCACACGGTGTTCTTGGCCATCAGGATCATGAAAACAAACTTTGGTGAATGTGAGCAACTGCGCCAGACAGGACACAGGTTACAGGGCCTGACGTCACTAACGGCAACTGACAATCTTGGAATGGACCCTACTGCTGATGTTTCAAAAGGACACAGAGGTGAACTGGTCACTTCTAATTAAGAAGAGCCAGTGGGGTGGGGGAAGCTGAAAACCAAAAATCCACGTAGACATACGTGGCAGTGTGAACGTCTGTCCTCCCCTTCCTTCTCCTCACTTCCTCTCCTCCTCCTCACTCAGGCTGGTATTCTCCTGGTGTGCGGATGTCAGCTTGCCCTGCAGAAGGGCTGCCAGTTTTTTAGATGTCTTTTTGAGAAACGAGCTGCCCGGATGGGCACTGTTCACGTGCAGGTACAGGTCCTCCTGGGTGGGGCCCGTGTAGCCGCAATCCTCGCAGACGTAGAGCTTGTCCCGCCGCTGCTTATAGGCATACTGCTGCTGCACCCCATGGATTTTCTTCAGGTGGGACTCCAGAGAGCAGCGCTGGGTGAAGGCTTTATTGCAGACGTTGCATTTGTAGGGACGAATGCCTGAAAGGATGAGGGACAGACACAGCATCGGTTGGTCATGGCCAAGCCAGAACCACCCAACTATGAAGCCAGTAAAAGTCATGCCATGACCAAGGATTCATGGCAGCATGAGGACAATGGTTACAGCAGGAGAGAAAACTGTCTACAAAAAATCATAGCATCCACCTGAGTAAACCTAACACAAACAGATGCCAACATAGAAAACAAACAAACAAACAAACAAACAAAACCACCACCTGCTTTAGGGAGGAAGATTTTTATTCTTCCAACTCACATACCTTAATGTTTTCATATTATTGTGAGCAAAGTAAACTTTTAAAAAAAATTAATTCGGGCCAGGTGCAGTGGCTCACGCCTGTAATCCCAGCACTTTGGGAGGCCGAGGCAGGCGGATGACTTGAGGTCAGGAGTTCGAGACCAGCCTGGCCAACATGGTGAAACCCCGTCTCTACTGAAAATACAAAAAACTAGCCAGGCATGGTGGCGCGCACCCATAGTCCCAGCAACTCGGGAGGCTGAGGAAGGAGAATCACTGGAACCCAGGAGGTGGAGGTTGTAGCGAGCTGAGATCGAGCCACTGCACTCCAGTCTGGGCAACAGAGTGAGACTCCATTAAAAAAAAATTAATTTGGGTATTCCCAGAAACAGAGCCTGGGACAAAGATTCCAGTACAAGTAGTTTATTTGAGAGGTGATCCTGGGAAGAACCTATAGGGCAACGAAGATGTGAGGCAGGGAGGGGTAGGATCCAGTAGAGGGGAAGCTACCCAGCCAGTTACACGGTGGACAACCAGGGTCCAGTCCTCTGTGCAACGCAGGGAGACAGTGTGGCACACACCTTGGCGTCATCCCACCCCTCCAGGAGCTGAGGTCAGTCACTGGCTGCCGGCTGCTCCTGGGTGGTTTTGATTCTCCATCCCCAGCACTTCTGCCTGCCTTGTGCAGACAGACTGGGCTCCAGCAGGGAACCCCTCAGGCAGAGGTGCAGGGGTGGACAGTTGCCACTTGGACAGGTGTGCCCAGAAATGGCAGATGCCCAGGCCATTGGCAGGACACTAAGGCATTTGTGGCAGTT
The DNA here is from genome assembly GCF_000001405.40 of Homo sapiens. Taxonomy (NCBI): domain Eukaryota; kingdom Metazoa; phylum Chordata; class Mammalia; order Primates; family Hominidae; genus Homo; species Homo sapiens. Next base: position 18,026,027 of record NC_000020.11, read on the forward strand.
ATGAAAATCATTTCCAAACAAGATCTCATGCTGGCATTAGAACTGGGCTAACACTGGACCTGCCTTCTAGCTGAGATATCACAGGTACAATATAGAGCAGGGAGCTCAGCCTCATCAAAGCATTGCCGCTCCTACCTCCATGATTGGTACTCACCCTGATGTGTATGGCAGAATGTCAGATAAAGAATATAAACATGGACTCTGTGTGTGTGCAACAGACTATTTAGATGAGCTTGGACAGTACAGTATTTTACATACTTGCCAGAGCCTCAGAATCACCTGGAGAACTTTTGAAAATCTTAACTCACTTCTCCTAAGACCAACTCAGTGGGTCTGGGGTAGGAATCAGGAATCCATTTTTTTTTTTTTTTTTGAGACGGAGTCTGGCTCTGTCACCCAGGTTGGAGTGCAGTGGCGCAATCTCAGCTCACTGCAAGCTCCACCTCTCAGGTTCACGCCATTCTCCTGCCTCAGCCTCCCGAGTACCTGGAACTACAGGCACCCGCCACCACGCCCAGCTAATTTTTTGTATCTTTAGTAGAGACGGGGTTTCACCATGTTAGCCAGAATGGTCTCGATCTCCTGACCTTGTGATCTGCCCCCCTCGGCCTCCCAAGGTGCTGGGATTACAGGCGTGAGCCACCGCGCCGGGCCCAGGAATCTATTTTTAACAAACGTCGCTGGATATTCCAGTGTTCAACTTGGCTTTCAAGAGCCACAGGTTAGGGTCTTTAAGATTCTGGTTGTGGTCTTGCCTGAGGTCAGGTAAGGTAGTGGCAGGGCAGAGACCTCAGAGCACACCCAGCTCAGCACCCTACACTGGCGAAGGTCACCCCTTGAGCCAGTGGCTGAATAGGAGGCTCACACTCAAAAAGAAGGATGGGACTTAAAGGTGGAACAACAGACGCTGGGGACTACCAGAGGGCGGACAGAGGGAGGGGCCAAGGGCTGAGAAACTCCCCATTGGGTACTACGCGCACTACCTGGGTGACGGGATCATCTGGACCTCAAATCTCAGCATCATGCAATGTACCCATATAAACAAACCTGCACATGCACCCCCTGAATCTAAAATCAAAGTTGAATTTTTTTTTTTAAGGTTGAGACTGGTATGTGACAGAAGCAAGCACACTAAGCAGAATCTCACATGACAGATTCTAGGAAATTCCCGTAGGCCATATCAGCAAGTTTTATTGGGCTTTAAGAAACGAATTGGCTGGGTGCTTCACAGTGACTCACACCTGTGATCCCAGCACTTTGGGAGGCTGACGTGGGCGGATCACCTGAGGTCAGGAGTTTGAGACCAGCCTGGCCAACATGGCGAAACCCCGTCTCTACTAAAGATACAAAAATTAGCTGGGCATCATGGCACATGCCTGTAATCCCAGCTACTGGAGAGGCTGAGGCAGGAGAATTGCTTGAACCCAGGAGGCAGAAGTTGCAGTGAGTCGAGATTGTGCCACTGCACTCTAGCCTGCGCAACAGAGCGCGACTCCGTCTCCAAAAAAAAAAAAAATAAGTAAATAAATAAATAAATAAATGAAATTAAGAAATCACCATAGTAAGGTTTTTTTGTTTTTTGTTTTTGAGACTGAGACTCGCTCTGTCGCCCAGGCTGGAATGCAGTGGCACCATCTCGGCTCACTGCAAGCTCCGCCTCCTGGGTTCACATCATTCTCCGGCCTCAGCCTCCCGAGTAGCTGGGACTACAGGCGCTCACCACCACGCCCAGCTAATATTTTGTATTTTTAGTAGAGACGGGGTTTCACCGTGTTAGCCAGGATGGTCTCGATCTCCCGACCTCGTGATCCTCCCATCTCGGCCTCCCAAAGTACTGGGATTACAGGCGTGAGCCACTGCGCCCGGCTGTAAGGTCTAACTTAGGCTCTCAAAGAGAGGTTATGGCTGTGAAGGAGACACACGTCACAAAAGCATGGAAGTTGAGAGAGGGTGAATATGGTACTGGGGGTGCATGGAGCATGAAGAGGCCACTGCCACAGCCACGAGACCATCCTAGAGCCTAGAGACAGGAGGGATGCCACCTGGAGAAACCCGCAGACCCTGTACAGATTCCCGGGCCTGCCTCAGGGACCCCAGGCACTAGGTCAGGGGCTGGGACTAGGAAGCTGTAGTTTTATTTTTAATATTTTATTTTATTTTATTTTTTTGAGACTGAGTCTTGCTCTATCACTCAGGCTGAAGTGCAGTGGCATAATCTTGGCTCACTGCAACCTCCGCTTCCCTAGTTCAAGCAATTCTCCTGCCTCAGCCTCCCAAGTAGCTGCGACTACAGGTGCCCGCCACAACAGCCATCTAATTTTTTTATTTTTAGTAGAGAAGGGGTTTCACTGTGTTGGCCAGGCTGGTGTCAAACTCCCGATCTCAGGTGATCCACCTGCCTTGGCCTCTCAAAGTGCTGGGATTACAGGCATGAACCACCGTGCCTGGCCCTAATAGTTACCTTTTATTAAAATATAAAAAATAGGCTGGGTGCGGTGGCTCACGCTTGTAATCCTAGCATTTTGGGAGGCCGGGCTGGGTGGATCGCCTGAGGTCGGGAGTTCGAGACCTGCCTGGCCAATACAGTGAAACCCCGTCTCTAGTAAAAATACAAAAATTAGCCTGGTGTGGTGGCCCACATCTGTAATCTCAGCTACCTGGGAGAATGAGGCACGAAAATTGCTTGAACCCAGCAGGCAGAGGTTGCAGTGAGCTGAGATAGTGCCACCGCACTCCAGCCTGGGCAATAGAGCGAGACCCTGTCTCAAATAAATACATAAATAAATAAACAAAATAAATAACAAAAGGTTACTATTAATAGTTGTTTAAATTTAAAAGTAATATACCCCCCAGTTTTATGGTGAAAAACAGCAGTAAATTAAAAAAAATAAAACAGAAAAGATCCCTTTGTCACCCCATGCACCTCTCCTTCCCTAGTCCTAACTCGCAAGTTTCTTGTGATCCTTCACATTTTCTACAAATTATATATATGTACATTTTTATTTTATTTTATTTTTTGAGAAGGAGTCTCACTCTGTCTCCCAGGCTGCAGTGCAGTGGCACAATGTCGGCTCACTGCAACCTCTGCCTCCTGGGTTCAAGCGAGTATCCTGCCTCAGCCTCCCTAGTAGCTGGGACCACAGGTGCCTGCTACAATGTCCAGCTAACTTTTGTATTTTTTTAGTAGAGACCGGGTTTCACCATGTTGACCAGGCTGATCTTGAACTCCTGACCTCAGGAGATCCACCTGCCTCGGCCTCCCAAAGTGCTGGGATTACAGGCATGAGCCACCACGCCCGGCCTACATATGTATTTTAAGATTAATAAATATATGTCATCTCTGGGTGTTGCCTGAGCAGGAGAATTTGTTAAAGCTTCCCCAGGAGGCTCTAGTGTGCAGCCAAGTATGAAAACGAGAGTTCTAAATAAATGCACATTCACATTGGCATATGCACGGATGTACATGTTTCCGAAACATAAACCTGGGGTTCTGGAGAGACGGTCTGGAGGGTGGTGAAGGCTTACACTTGCCATTGCGTCCCTGTCTGTACTACTTCCCATCTCCAACCACCTGCCAGTATTAATAATAATAATTTTCGTACTAACTGTGGTTCCTTCTGGGCAGTGTAATGACAATGAATCTCCCACCTTTTCTCTTAAAACTATTCTAGGATGGGTGCATGGCTCACACCTGTAATCCCAGCACTTTGGGAGGCCAAGGCAGGAGGATCTCTTGAGTCCAGGAGTTCGAGACTAGCCTGGCGAACATGGGGAGATCCCTGTCTTTACAAAAAAGTAAAAAATTAGCTGGGCATGGTGGCATGCCCCTGTGGTCCCAGCTACTCAGGAGGCTAAGGTGGGAGAGATCACTGGAACCCAGGAATTCAAGGCTACAGTGAGCCATGATCGCACCACTGCACTCCAGCCTGGGCGAGAGTGAGACCCTGTCTCAGAAAAACAGAAAACAAACAAACCAACCCTCACCAATCAAGGTTAAGAAAGTTTTAAGGCAATATTTTAAAAATCAAAATATCGAATGAATGGATGAACTCTGTTGGTTCCAGGAAAGAAAGGCCACATCTTTGGGACTAGTTTTCCACATAGGCAAGGACTACAGACTCCTCTCCTAAGGAATGCGCCCGCTCTAGCTTTCATGTTTGCACTGTAATGCAGACTTTGTGTTTTCCCGGCCTTCTGGGCCCATGCAGCAGCGAGCAGCTGGCTCCCACTACCCAGTAGATCAAGCGGCAAACCCGATTTCCAACCTTCAGCTCATCAGAGCAGAAATCCACCCAGAGATTAGTTGCTCCTTTCACTAGTTAGTAGAAATAACCGACTACTGTTTTAAAACATCCAAACTAAAAATATGGGGAAGCTGGCACACTTAACATCAGGCTTTAACCTGGATGCAACAAACTCCTGGAGGTTCCCATCCTCAAAGGTGATCTGCCCCCGAGGAGAGGCCAGCCAGGCCACCACTCAGCCCCATGTGCACAGGGCCACATCTCCTTCCTCTCTTCAGTCAACACAGCCTCTGAGCATCTTCTATGAGCAGAGTACCCAGCAAGGCCTGGATAGCAAACGCTAGAAGATTCCAAAGCCCTGCATCATGCAAACAAGAGAGATGATGGCAGTGGGGGCTTTTTTTCCAGGGAGTGGGTAGAATTAGAGCCTGGCTTGGAAGAGGAGTGACTCGCAGACAGAGATGGAAAGGAGACATAGGCCCAGAAAGCTCCAGTTATGGCACTTCTGACTTTTGCCAAATGCACTGCTCTGTGCCCCAGCACTTCTGCTTCCCCATTTGCTAGTGTAAACGCCACCATTCACCCCTCATTCACTGGTGCGGGCACTGCCATGCGGCAGCCCCTTGGTGACCCTTTCTAGGCTTGGGAACAAGCACCTCCCTCCCAGAGCACCCCCATCACCCACACATTCAGGGGGACGTGGGTGGCCAGAGAGGAGCCCTGGGCAAGACGGACTGATGCCAAGGCCCCTCCCACCACTGAGGCTCACCCATCTTGGTGCTCTCACGCAAAGGCCAACCGTGCCTGTGTCTAAAGCAGGACATGGGAACTGAAGAGCACCACCCATGCGCTAGACGTCATTAACCTACTGACACCCACACGACTGTGAGTCCAAGGCCACCGAAGAGCCAGGCTGCGGATCTGCTGCTTATTAACTGAAACGGGGGCGGCTGCTCCAGCCCGAAAGGCCGTTTCCTCACCTGTCACAGGGGTGTCATAGCTCTTGCATGGCTGCTGTGAGGATTAGCCGAGATAGACTAAGTTCTCAATGGGATACAGCTCAACATAATGCAGATAAGCCTCATTCGTAAGCTGGCTGCTGACCAGCCTGGCCAATATGGTGAAACCCCACCTCTACTAAAAAATACAAAAAAAATTTAGCCGGGCATGGTGGCGAGTGCCTGTAATCCCAGCTACTCGGGAGGCCAGGGCAGGAGAATCGCTGGAATCTGGGAGGCAGAGGTTGCAGTGAGCTGAGATGGCGCCACTGCACTCCAACCTGGGTAACGGAGCGAGACTCTATCTCAGAAAAAAAACAAAACAAAAACATAAGCTGGCTGCTGGGTACATGAGTATTTCGCAGATTTGTCTTTAAACTGTACCTATATGTATACTTTTGTACGTGTTACTTATTTCACAACAAAAGGAAAGGATAATTTTTTAAAATGTGGCTGGTGGAGGAGAGGGGGGACTGCTTTCGCCGTCTGCCCTTTTGAATTTTGTACCATCAGCCTGTCCTACCTAGTCCGAAAAATATTGTTTATTGGGTTATCAAAAAGGGTTTGTTGTTTTCCATTTTTTTACCCCTAATAGCAAATCAAGCTTCGTGCCATACATCCTCAAGGAAAATTCTACACTTTGGAACTTTCTAGTTGCTTTCCTTGCTATAGCTCAACTGCTCCTTTACTGAACTTTATCCGAAGGTGAACTTCAGCGAGAAGATTTTTACAGGCATGCTTGTGGGAGTGGACATTTACGGCAGCCTCCCCGGAAGGCAATTTGGCAATGGCCATAAAAAAAAATCACACTGTATCTACCCTTTGGCCCAGCAATTTCACATCAGGGAAATTATCCTACAGGAAGACTCACACAGGGAGGCGAAGGATATACAAGATATACTCATGGTAGGATTGCCTGAAATGAAAGAAAGGAAAGAAGGAAGGAAAGAAGAAAGGAAGGAAGCGAGGAAGAAGGGAAGGAAAGAAGAGAGGGAAAGAAAGAGAAAGAAAGAAAGGAAAGGAAAGGAAGGAAGGAAGGAGAGAGAGAGAGAAAGAAAGAGAGAAAGAAAGAAAGGAAAGAAAAGAAAAGAAAAAAGAAGGAAGGGAAGGAGGAAGGAAGGAAGGAAGGGAGGAAGGAAGGAAGGAAATCTGCAAATGGAAACAAATGTCATCAATTGAGGAATAGGAAAAGTACAGTCCCTCGATACTGGAAATTTTGTCATGATTTCTTTTATTATTATTATTATTATTATTTTGAGATGGAGTCTCACTCTGTTGCCCAGGCTGGGGTGCAGTGGCACCATCTCAGCTCACTGCAGCCTCTGCCTCTCGAGTTCAAGCGATTCTCCTACCTCAGCCTCCTGAGTAGCTGGGATTACAGGCGCCAGCCACCATGCCCAGCTAATTTTTGTGTTTTTAGTAGAGACAGGGTTTCACCATGCTGGCCAGGCCGGTCTCAAACTCCTGACCTCAAGTGATCAGCCCGCCTCGGCCTCCCAAAGTGCGGGGATTACAGGTGTGAGCCACCGCACCTAGCTCCAAGATATATATTATGTGAAAAAGCAATATACATTAAAAACTTTTGGGAAAAAAATTAAATGGTGGAACTGGGGCTTGGCATGTGAAGGGAGTTTACATTTTTTTCTTTCCTTTTATCTCCTAATGAACATATTACCTTTTTAGCTAAAAAGTAAATTAAGATAAAATACAAATTAAAAATAAAACAATGAAGCGAGGGTTTGTTAACTGGACCAGGCAATTCCGCATGACAGCATTCAGGCCACTAGGGGTGGAGGTGACTTGACTCTTTCTTCTCCATCTGGCCCACTCCAAACATCTCCCAATCTGCATTTTTCCCAATCTAGTCAATCCTTCCCTTTGGGCTCCAAACAAAGACACCATTGTTTTCTCTTCTTTAATCAAGATGGGATTTGTGTGCCTTCTCCTCCCTCTGAATGTAGGCCCCGATGGAAGATAAGGACAGAAGGCGCCCTAGAGGGTGGGGCCGGTGCCCCCTCCCCACCTCCCTGACCTCAGAATTGGAATTCCTCGGCTTCACCCTGTGGAACTCAGCAGCTTCCCCAGGAATGGCATGAGCCCTGAACTGCCTCCTTTATTCCAGCCAGCGTTGTTAAGTTATAACCAGCATGGGTTTATGACCTCCCTGGGCCACGTGGCTCCCTGCAAAGCCTTAGCTGGGAGCCCCACGGATGTGTGTGCCCTTCTCACCTGTTTATGGCCCTTTACGCTGTCTTCTCTGCAGCTTTTTATATTGTCTGAAATCTTTTACAGAATACTTAGTCATTTTACAAATGAGCAAAATAAAACACTTTCCATAAACGCGGGACTTAAATGATGGGCCTGGCACATCGGGCACTTCCGAAGCAATAGTCTGCATTTCCTGCATGCTCGCTCCTGGGGACTCTGGCACTGCCGGTCCACTGACCACCCTTTGAGTAGGGAGGGTGTGGACACTCAGTGCAGAGTCTTGTGCTTGCAAGGGCTGGTTATTATTTTTTCCTCTAAAATAAAGATCTCCTCCCTCTCCTCCCAAACCAAATCGTTTACTTCAACAGAGAACCATTCTTAGGAAGCATCCTAGCCTGTTCAACCTAAAACACTTAAATAAATCCGAAAGAATGTCCTATAAATACTATATATATCCTATAAATATAAAGGCCCATGTTTTTCACAGGCTATGAACTGAATACACATTCATTTCCTGGAAGCTCATGTCCCCTCTCTCTATTTTGAGCTGGTCAGCAGGCAGAATTTCCCATGTTGTCCTCAGTGATCCTGTCAACTTCACTGAAGTACAGCAAGTCCCTCAATTATATAGTGGCTGCTGCTGGCTTCCCATCCAGACCGCTTTTCTGGGTCAGTGCATGTCCCCAGCTGTCGTGTGGCTTCTGGCTGTCCCCTTCTTTAAGGAATCAGCACTGGGCAAGTGACCTTCCAGATGCTCAGGAGTGTCTCCCTGACCTCGCCCAGGGCAGACACAGCCCTCAGCCAACGTCAGACTGAAATGGGGGTAAAAAAGTCCCTGCCCCCACCTTGCCTGTAGCAGATCCATCCTGGAGTCCATTCACACTCCTGATCCCCCCTGGGATGAGGTCGAGGCTGCACTCCAGCTAACAGCAAAACCCATGCTCATCCTCTGCCCTCACAGGCTCCACTTGACAGCCCTCCCTCAATAAACCATTTGATGGGAAGCCGCTTCCAAACCCCACCTAAGATAATTTGGATTGAAAATAGCCACTTGTTTTCACAAAATATTACAGAGTTTTTCTGCACAGGTCAGTTTCTCTCTTCCAGTCTTCAGTAGGACACCATTTAACTAACACTCCCTTCCCCTCTTTCTCTCTCTCTCTCTCTCTCTCTCTCACACACACACACACACACACCCCTCCGATTTACCTTTCTTGGGTGAACTCACAGCCAAAAAAGAAGTCCTAATCTTTTCTTTCGTCTACTTGGATATTAATGTAAGACATCTTCAGGTTCTAGTTTCCCTGGATCTTTTCCAAGATATTTCTTTGTGTTTTGAGTCTTTCCTTAGATATCCTGTTTGCTCAGTAGTTGCAGGGGATTGGAAGAGATGGGGGAGTCGGGGGTGGTGCAGATTAACCCTGATTCTCTAGCTCACTGTCTTTGCCCACCTCATCAATATTATAGCTACAATTCTCCAACAAAGGGTCCTCGGCCCTGGGTCCTGGGTCCTGGGTCCAGGCCATGGCCTGGTCTAATTGGACTGCAAACAAACATACCCCTCATTTAACTATCTGTCGTATTTATGTTAAGTGTCTATATCTTTGTTTCTGGCCTAAATACAACATTTACTTATAAGAACCAATAGCAAAAATACAACACTCACAGCTCAATCAAAGGCAAGACCAGGCCAGGCGGGTGCAGTGGCTCACGCCTGTAATCCTGGCACTTTGGAAGGGTAAGGCAGGCTGATCATCTGAGGTCAGGAAGTCGAGACCAGTCTGGCCAACATGGTGAAACCCCATCTCTACTAAAAATACAAAAATTAGCCAGGCGTGGTGGCATGTGCCTATAATCCCAGCTACAGCTACCTGGGAGGCTGAGGCAAGAGAATCGCTGGAACCCAGGAGGCAGAGGCTGCAGTGAGCCAAGACGGGAGCCACTGTACTCCAGCCTGGGCAACAGAGCAAGACTCCACCTAAAACAAAACAAATAAGCAAACAACAAAGGTAAGACCAAATTCCCACTGAATTCAAGTAAGGTCTTTTGGAGCTGGTGAAGTTTGTTCACATGAACTAAAACATCATCTGAGAAACCCACATTTTTGCACTTTGTACCAACTGTCTCTTTTGGACAGAGCTGAAGAGATGGCTCGGCAAGCCTGTTCCTCTGAGCTTGCCACCAGCTGATGTGTCAGGAAGCCCCCGGCTGCTCTTTCTGGTCTTTTATTACATGGAGACACACCTTCATCAGAAAATAGGTCGGGATGGGGTAAATAGGTCTAAAACATTTCCATAGTTCCATTTGTTCATCCCTTTAAGTGTCAAAATGATGATTAAAATTTTTAAAGGTTATCTTAGTGCCATCCAATAGAAATTAAAATGCAAGCTGCTTTATAAGTTAACGTTTTGTAGAAGCCTCAAACAGGTAGGAAGAAACAGGTGAAATGAATTTTAATGCTATATTTTGTTTAACTCATTATGCCCAAAATACTACCATTTCAATGTAAAATCCATATTAAAAATTGAGATTTTTGGCCGAGTGCAGTGCCTCATGTCTGTAATCCCAGCACTTTGGGAGGCTGAGGCGGGCAGATCACCTGAGGTCAGGAGTTCGAAACCAGCCTGACCAACATGGAGAAACTCCATCTCTACTAAAAATACAAAATTAGCCAGGCATGGTGGTGCATCCCTGTAATCCCAGCTACTCAGGAGGCTGAGGCAGGAGAATCACTTGAACCCGGGAGGCAGAGGTTGCAGTGAGCCAAGATCAAGCCATTGCACTTCAGCCTCGGCGACAAGAGCAAAACTCCATCTCAAAAAAGAAAAAAACAAAAAAATTGAGATTTTTACACCTTCTTTTTTTGCATTACAACTTGAAACTTAGTGTCTCTTTTGCCTATACAACACATCTCAATCTGGACCAGCCCCTCCTCTGAGACTCAGGAGCCACACACAGCCAGTGGCCGCCGGACCAGCCAGCACACCTCTAGGTTTTTCACTCCTAGCTGCCTCCTAAGCCCTAGCCTTTCCCCTAAGGTGATAACTGCGAAACCCTTTGGGAAAACGTCAGGTGGAAGGTATTTTCATTCACTAACTTAAATGATTTTCAGCTCCCTCACAGGAGTCACTAGAAGAGTAGGAGATGGAGAAAATCTGAGAACCTCAGGTTGGGAGTCTGAAGGGGTACAGGCACCCCCTTTCTTGCTTCCTCTGTGGGCAGAGGACATCTTGGCACCACTGAACTCACACGCTCACAGGCTCCTCTACAACCTACTAAACCCCAAGCTGAAGTGTGCACTTTGTGCTACTAATAGGTCTGAGTTTCCCTTTATCTCACCTTCCTCTAGAAGCAAGCAGGCTTCTAGAAACTGCAACAGGCCGGGCGCGGTGGCTCACGCCTGTAATCCCAGCACTTTGGGAGGCCGAGGCGGGCGGATCACGAGGTCAGGAGATCGAGACCATCCTGGCTAACAAGGTGAAACCCCGTCTCTACTGAAAATACAGAAAATTAGCCAGGCTTGGTAGCGGGCGCCTGTAGTCCCAGCTACTCGGGAGGCTGAGGCAGGAGACTGGCGTGAACCTGGGAGGCGGAGCTTGCAGTGAGCCGAGATCGCGCCACCGCACTCCAGCCTGGGCGACAGAGCGAGACTCCGTCTCAAAAAAAAAAAAAAAAAAGAAAGAAACTGCAACAGGGCAGGCTGGTGAGGCCCCTGCCTCAGGGGGAATGCTGAGGAAGGCACTGGGAGGCAAAGAGGGCAGAGAAGGAGACCCTACAGAGGATAAAAGACCATGAACTTCAGGGCCAGCCAGTTCTGGTTCCCAGCTCCACCACTGATGGGTTGTGTGAGCTCCCTGAGCCTGGTTTCCTCCTCTGCAAAAGGTGGAGAACAACAGCACTGACTGCTTTGGGTAATTTGAGATGACAGGATAAAGGCCGGAGGCCTGGCATGAAGGAGAGTGACCGTGTGTGGCTTGCTTCTGCCTGCAGGGCTGTGTTACTCTCTGAAGGGTCCCCTAGTCTCTGCCGAGCCACCCTCCTCACTTGCTAAATCTTCTGCCTCCCAGGGCGGATGCCCCACTCATATCCCCTTAGCAGATCGCCAGGCATCTCAGATGGTTCCTGCATCTCTCTGCCTAAGGATGCTCTCCAGGCCTGCAAAGGGCTGGGGTGGGCAGAGGGTAGGGAGAACTGCCCAGGAGTCAGGAGGTCCAGGATGGACACCCAAGGAGGGATGGGGGTTGATTGAGCAACCTGGGGTGCATTCTATATGGTTCTTCAGAGGATCTCCAGTGGGATTGAGCCTCCGCTGCCCGTAGTGATAACCCACTCATTATTATTGAGCTTTTATTGGCTGTCTTCCCTCCTGACCTCCCCTCCCTCCTCTACTGTGTTTTCTGGGATCACCTCCCAAATACATTGCTCACATCCAAATCCTTGTGTCGCGTCTGCTTCTTGGGCAACCCAAACTAAGACACTCCTCATTAGCAACGCTCTTCCTCCTTCTGTCCTGCTGTAGAAAGCTTGCTCATCCTTCAACGCCCAGCTGAAAGACTACCTTTTCTAAGAAGCCCCCCTGACATGCAGTTAGAAACAAGGCACCTCCCAGGACTCCCCTTTGGCATGTGCCACTTTTTCTTCTGTCTGGCATATCGGCTGTTTCACTTGTCTCACAGTCAGATGTCTGAGTTATTCCTCCCTATGTTGGCTGAGAGCTCCATGAGCACAGAGGTGAATCCTAGGGCCTGTTACACATCAGGTCCTCAGGAAGCCTCTGCCAACTGTTGCAATTTTACTACTAATAATAGCTAATATTTACTACGCACTTACAATATAAGAAGCACTTTTATGTAATTCTGGCCCCAAAACCTCACAACCATCACTTTAAGTGGCAAGTATTAAAATGATCACACCCATTCTAGAGATGGAAAAATTAAGGTGAAAGACGAATAATTTAGAACAAGTCTCACAGTCAGCTAACTCAGATCAGGAGTTCTTAACTACTATGTGACCGCCTCAACTTGTAAACTCTTCTCTGAGAAGCTGTCAGTCCCTAATATTTCCCTTAGTCTCCAGCAATGGAGAATTAACTCAATCACAGGGGAGGCAAGGCCATCAGCTCAGTGTTTACTCCAGCTGAAGGTACCAACAGCTAGCCATGCTTCCTGGGCCCCCTGCGTTGTGTCCTAGAAGCCAGGGTGGGGGAGTGACCACAGAGTCCATCCAGGCAGGGAATGCCCTCAAGGACATCCTCAGAGATGATGTCCTTGAGACACCCTCAAGGAGGGGCTGAGACACCCTCCAGGGCCACCAATGGCCAGCGACTTCAGGAGTGGTCCTGATTTCCTGCCCCTGGGGTCAGGAGGAAAGCCCAGCTTTGCTGCTGCTGGATGGGTCCCTTGACAACCTCGAGACCTCCCCTAGGCCTCTTATAAGACCCCCTACTGCCCTATGGATCCTCCACCTCTCCCTAAGCATTCTCCTCACCCCCACCCAATGGCCAGCTTAGACTCACAGAGGTCAAACTTTTATTGATTCACTGGTGCTAGGAAAAGCAGCCATATAACCAGACCCAAAGAGCACACTATGGGATTCCATTTACATCAAGCTCAAAAACAGGCAACAGTAACTTAAGCTGTTAGAATTTGCAACAGTGGTTTTCCTTGGAGAGAAAAAGGCAGACTGAGAGGGGTAGTGACTTCTAGTGGCTGGAAATATTCTGTTTCTTGGTCTGACTGCTAGTCGCATGAGTGTGTTCACTTTGTAAAACTTCCTAAATTTGCTGAGGTCGGCACTTAGGATCTGTGCACTTTTCTAGATGTATGTTACACTAAAATGAAAAGTCTCTTTAGAAAAAGTTTTTGGCCGGGTGTGGTGGCTTATGCCTGTAATTCCAGCATTTTGGGAGGCCAAGGCGGGTGGATGGCTTGAGCCCAGGAGTTTGAGACCAGCCTGGGCAACATGACGAAATCTCATCTCTACAAAAAATACAAAATACAAAAAAAATTAGCTGGGAGTGGTGGCATGCACCTATAGTCCCAGCTACTAGGGGTGCTGAAGTGGGAGTATCAGTTGAGCCCAGGAGTTGGTGGCTGCACTCCAGCCTGGGTGAGAGAGCAAGACGCTGTCTCAAAAAAAAAAAAAAAGAAAGAAAGAAAGAAAGAAAAGAAAAAGTTTTAAAAGAGGAAAACAGAAAAGAACTATGTTAGGATTCCAGCCACTCTCTAAGGTGACAGAAACTCTTTCCAGACCAGGGAGGCAGCTCACGGCCAGTCCTCTAAGAGCAAACACGCATGATATGAACTAGAAAATAGGATGCAGAGGCCTAAGAAGGAACCTGTATGAGGGCTGAGTAGCTGGGAGCCCCATCTGGAGGGAGGAAAAAGTGTCTTCCCTTCCCTACCAAAATACCAAGGACGGAAAGGGCTCGGGGACTATAGATAGCAAACCCTTTTTTTTTCCCCTTGAGACCGGGTCTTGCTCTCTTGTCCAGGCTGGAGTGCAGTGGCACAATCATAGCTCACTGCAGCCTCAAACTCCTACGTTCAAGCGATCCTCCAGCCTCAGTCTCCCAAGTAGCTAGGACTATAGGCACGCACCACCACGCCTGGCTAATTTTTAAATTTTCTTGGGGAGACAGTCTTTCGATGTTGCCCAGGCTGGTCTCCAACTCTTGGCCTCAAGCAATCCTCCCACCTTGGCCTCCTTAAGTGCAAGGATTACGAGCAGGAGCCACTGCACCCAGCCTGCAGATAGTAAATTCTATAAGTCTGTTGGGAGGGTGGGTGGTAACCTGGATAGGGTTGAATGGGTTAAGATGGGATGGGATAGGATGAGCTGAAATGGGTTGGAGTGAGATGGGCTGATCTGAGGTGGGCTGTGATAGGATGTGATGGGATAGGACGTGATGGGCTGGGATGGGCTGAGATAGGATGGGGATTTGAAGATGGGACCCACATTGTAAAGGCCTTTACACGAAGCCCATCAAGATGAGAGATGAGGAGTCTGGATTTCATTCTGTTCAGAGTTGGAGATTTCTTAGCAGGGAAGTAGAGTCCTTAGAATTCTCCTGGAGGGATCACTCTGGCAGAGGTGTGGACAATGGAGCTCAGGCGGGAAAGCATGGAGGCCAGGTGTTTCTCAGATAGAAGCAGTGAGGCCGAGACAAGAGGCCAAGGGCACCCCCAGGACTCTGTGAAGAACTGGAACTGGGGAGAACCTGGATTCCCACTTCCTAAGTCAGAAAACTGAGGCAGGTCCCAGAAGAGGAAGATGCTTGCCTGCCAGGCTCCAGTACGAGGCTCGGGTCAGCTCTAAAGGCAATGAGCTCCTTTTTGTGTCTCAGGAGGAACACGATGCTATCCAGAGACAGGCTTATGTCCCAAGAGAGAAGTATAAAATACTCATTGTGGGGCCACAAGAACCACATTCCAGCAGCCAGAACCAAGGGGCTGAGCTGTGGCAGGCCCCGCGTGTGTGCCATGCATCATGATTCTCAGAATACTTCCAGCCAGGGATCCGTTTTGAGCCTCGCTAGAACTCACATCGATATCTCCATTTTACAGGGGTGAAAGGCAGGCTACCAAAGGTGGCTCACCTGGCCCAAGGTGACACAGCTGGCAGGTGGCAGAGTCAGGAGGTGAACCCAGAAGGGCTGGCCCTAACGCCCCATCATCTTGTGATCTTTCTTTTTTTTTCTTTTTTTGAGATGGAGTCTTGCAATGTCACCCAGGCTGGAGTGCAGTGGCATGATCTTGGCTCACTGCAACCTCCGCCTCCCAGGTTCAAGCGATTCTCCTGCCTCAGCCTCCCAAGTAGCTGGGATTACAGGCGCCACCACCACGCCCAGCTAATTTTTTTGTATTTTTAGTAGAGACAGGGTTTCACTATGTTGGCCAGGCTGGTCTCAAACTCCTAACCTCGTGATCCGCATCTTGTGATCTTTCTAGAAACACAACATTGTTCCACGGTCTCAACCTGGTTTTTTGGTGGGAAAGAAACAGGAGCTCTTGGCCAGAATAACAAAACAGAGAACAAAGCACGCACTCCCCGCTCACCTGTGTGTGTGCGGACGTGCCTCTTCAGGTCGAAGGTGTCGTTGAAGCCCTTGCCGCAGAAGGTGCACAGGTGTCTTTTCACCTGGTTGTGGCACTTGAGGTGACGGTTCAGCATGCGCTGCAGACGGAAGCCCTTGCCACACAGGTCACAGCTGTGAACCACCGAGTCGCTGCACGTGCCTGTGGTGAACTGGGGGCAGAGAGAGGCCATGAGGGTCCCCGGGCAGGCAGGCACATCCAGTAGGCTCACTCAAGAGACCCACCTCCCTGTGTCTTGAGGCTGCCCTGTCTGCGGCTTCTGCCCCTAAAATTTTCAAGCAGGTTTTGGCTTTGGGAAAGGTGAAGTAACAACTGGCAGTTCCTCCCACCCTTTTTTTTTTTTTTTTTTCTTTTTGAGATGGAGTCTTACTTTTTTTGCCCAGGCTGGAGTGCAGTGGCTCGATCTCAGCTCACCGTAACCTCCACCTCTTGGGTTCAGGTAATTCTCCTGCCTCAGCTTCCCAAGTAGCTGGGACTACAGGGGCACATACAACCACGCCTGGCTAATTTTTGTATTTTCAGTAGAGACAGGGTTTCACCATGTTGGCCAGGCTGGTCTCAAACTCCTGACCTCAAGTGATCCATCCGCCTCAGCCTCCCAAAGTGCTGGGATTACAGGCATGAGCCACCGCACCCAGCCAGTTGCTCCCACTTTTTATTCTCCCCTTCTTCCTTAGAACAAACCTCTGACTTCTAGCTGGGCATACTGTCTTACAGCATCCTACAGGCATGTGATGGGGTATGAATGTTAGGCCCCTCCAAATGTCTTGTTGAAATGTGATCCCCAGTGTTGGAGGTGGGGCCTCGTGGGAGGTTACAGGGGCAGATCCCTCATGAATGGCCTGGTGCCGTCCCCGTAGTAAAGAGCGAGTTCTTACTCTCATCAGTTCATGGGAGAGCTGGCTGTTTAAAAGAGCCTGGTGGCCAGGCGCGGCGTCTCATGCCTGTAATCCCAGCACTTTGGGAGGCTGAGGTGGGTGGATCACCTGAGGTCGGGAATTTGAGATCAGCCTGACCAACGTGGAGAAATCCCATCTCTACTAAAAATACAAAATTAGCCAGGCGTGGTGGTGCATGCCTGTAATCCCAGCTACTCGGGAAGCAGAGGCAGGAGAATCACTTGAACCCAGGAGGCAAAGGTTGCGGTGAGCCAAGATCGGGCTATTGCATCCAGCCTGGGCAACAAGAGCAAAACTCCGTCTCAAAAAAAAAAAAAAAAAAAGAGCCCGGCACTTCCTCCCCTCTCTCTTGCTTCCTCCCTCACCATATGACACGCTTGTTCCCCTTCCGCCTTCTATGAGTGGAAGCTTCCTGAGGGCCTCACCAGAAGAAGACACCAGCCCTATGCTTCTTGTATAGCCTGCAGAACCATGAGCCATAAACCTCTTCTCTATAAATTAGCCAGTCTCAGGTATTCTTTATGGCAACGCAAAATGGACTAAGACAGCATGGCCATGGACTACCTGGCCAATGAAATAGAAATCTCCTTGAAGGGGAGCAAACGGTGCCTTCTTCCTCCTCCACTCCTTCCTGCTGACTAGAGCACCAACAGTCACCTTGGACCATGAGGTGGGAGGAGCAGAAAGGAGTCTGGGTCCTCATGACATCATGGAGCCTGGTATGTTATATTACAGACAGTACCCAAAGAGAGCCACACTCAATTCTGTCCTCCTTGTGCCTGCATCCTGCTCCATTTATCAAGAGATGGAGACTGTTTTCCCTCCCCTTGAATCTGGGCAGGGCTTATGACCAGTTGGATCAACAGAATGCAATGAAGATGTGTCAGTTCCAGGTTTTAAGAGACCTTGTAGCTTCCATTTCTTCCCTCTTATAAGCCAGCTGCCACATAAGAAGTCTGAGGCTACCATGCTGTGAGGAAGCCCAAGCTAGCCATGTGGACAGCCAAAGGCCACATGGGGGAGCACGGAGGAGCCAGATATGAATAAAGCCTGATTGGACTCTCCATCCCAACTCAGGGCTGCCACCAGCTGAATGAGTCGCCCCCACTAACACTACCCAGAGTAGAACTGCCTAGCAGAGCCATGCCTATGGCTTTTGTCTTGACCCACGAAATCATAAACGCATAAAATTATCATTTTGTAAAGCGGCTTGGTCAGTACCCACAGCTTTGTTATCAGCAAAACCACAACCAGACCTGGGTCTGGACTCCCTGCCCAGTGCTTTCTACCACCTTCGCTGCTGCTAAGGAAGAACATAGAATCTACATCTGGGTGATAAAAATGATGTGTTCAATTTTAGTATCTGATTTGGTAACTTTTGAACATGTGATGTGAATGTTACCAAATCAGATCCTTTAGAAGATGGATCCCATTGCTCTGCCAAAATTCATCACTAGCAAGAAGACTGGTCCTCTCCTGGCTCCACACTCTCCCAGCTTCAAATACTCTCCTCTTTCATCCACCCTGGGTATTGCCCTCCCAGGACTCAAGGGAGCTCAGTTGCTCCCTTGCCGATGCAGCCTTCTCCAAATACTGCAGCCCATGACTAAACTGCTCACTGTCCCACTTAAACCAGTGCCTCTCAGACTCCAGCATACCTATGCCTCCCCTGGGGTCTTGTTAAAATGCAGGTTCTGATTCAGGAGGTCTGGTAGGGTCTGATGTGCTGCATTTCTAACCAGAGCCCAGGAGATGCCACTGCAGCTGATGCACACGCCACACTAGCCCTGAGAAGTCATGCTATATTCCATCTCATTCCCAAGTTTCACTATGCACACAGTTCATCTTGTTTTCTCAACTCAACACTTTGAGGATGGTCAGCAAGCATTCGGTCCCATTCCTGCCTCCCTACCCACTGCTCCAAGCCTAGTCTAGGGCCAGTGCACAATCAGTATGTGCTGACCGGCAGCTGGGAGCAGGTGGCAGGATGCAGAGAGTCTCAAGGGAGGCACAAGACCCCAGAACAGGGTATTCCAGTCAGCCTCCTCCACTAGTTCATTTTCCTTTGCTTGGAGCTTAATTTGCCCCAGCTAACATTGATAAGTCCCTGATCTGTGACAAGCCCTGTGCTTAGAGCTGGAGGCAATACAGTTAGAGATGGCTTAATCCCCAGTCCCTAGGAAGCTGCCGAGTCTAGTGGGGGTGCAGGCAAGTCAACAGCCATTGACATCTGAGAGGCCCAGGGGTCCGAGGGGGCACCTACCCCAGACCTACAGCACCAGGGAAGATGCTTCCAGAGGAAGTGAGCTCCTTAGTCAGGCAAAGATGAGGAAGAAAAGGGGTGCACAGCAAAGAACATTCCAGGAGAGGACAATGGGAAAGAGGGAACTGTGTGTGGTTCAGCATGGCTAGCCTGAGCCTGGGAGAGCAGTTAATGAAGAGAGCAGTGGTAGCTGAGAAGAACAAGATCCCCTTAGGAGTCTACCTTGAGGGCCCTACTGGAGCTGGAATGTAGTCAAAGGGCAAGAGGGAGCCACTGGAAGACAAAGGGGGAACATCACAGGGGCTGAGTTCGATGACCCAGTTGGGTGGCTGTCCTGGATCCTCATCAACTACCTCACTCCCCAGAACTGCAGCTGCCCACCTCTACCCAAGGCTTTCCTATCACCCACGCAGTTCATGTTCTCCTTGCCCGGCAGTCCCCATCCTGCTTACTTCCACCCTTGAAGGGATTTGAAAAGACTAAATATGCTCCACTAAGTACTTTGAGCTTCTAAAGACCAAGTGTGCACAAGCACATTTGAGTGGTAGTGAGGGGCTAATGAAATAGAACAAAGACAATTACCCTGGTAATTCCAGTTAAAATTAGTAAAAACCTGCAACTGTCTTTTGAAAGTCTTGCAGAATGTGCCTAAGGACTCACCAACCATAGTTCAAACATGAATTCTTGTTTAATCTTTTTGACAAATTCCTATTTTTAAAATGCTCTGAATGCAATACAGATGCCTTCTATTGCAGTCTAGAATGAAAATCTCAAATCGTCGGTATTATTTTGTTTGAAAAGAATAAGATCTTGAAGGGCACAGGGAAGGGAGATCAGTGACAATTTAAGGGAGTACAGGGCCAGTAGATCATCTGATCAAGACATAGAAAGTGTGTTATTTATTTTTGTTTGTTTTTAATTTTTTTTAGAGATAGAATCTCACTATGTTGACCAGACTGATCTTCAACTCTTATCCTCAAGGGATCCTCCTGCCTCAGCCTCCCAAAGTGCTGGGATTACAGGCGTGAGCCACAATGACTTGCCAGGAAGCTTTATAAAACAGGGGAGAAAATGGGAGTGGAGAGAAGGGGTTGGAGACTGAAGGCACACCTAATTCTCAAGGGGACGTTTCCTCTGGTTTTCTTAGAGCAAAAATGGAAATTCTCCACATATCCCTCAGCAAAGGCAATTTTTCCATTTCTCCCCATTTCACAGCATGGAAAGCTGAGTCACCAAGAAGTGGCTCAGGTAGGGAATTCATCCTGTGGCACACCCTCCAATCCATTAAGTGCTGCTTACCACCCTTATGACCAATCCAGCCATCAGATATTAACAAATTACACTCAAAGTCTTCAGGAGCCTTGTTGAAAGAAGATGTAAGGTTATTTAATGGCAAAAAATCATGGCTGACAAAGCTAGCTTCTGCCAGACTATTTCACTTCTCAGAAAGGAAGGGATCTTTGTAAATTCCTAAACATGAAATTTATCCCTAAAAGTATATTTAATATGCCTTGTGCCTTGAAATTTGGTTTGTAATAGCAAAGGACTGGAAACTAAATACATGTCTATCAATAGGAACTTGTGAAAAAACGGTGGCAGAACCTTACAATTAATGCACTGGACAAAGGTAAGAGGCTAGAAGCAGTTCAAGTGTCACCTGCCAGCCATGTGAGTGAGCCCTTGTGGATGTCCATCCCAGTCAAACCCCCAGAAGACTCCAGCCTCAGCCGCCATCTGACTGCAACCACAAGGCAAGAACTGCCCTGCTAAGCCCAGTCATCCCACAGAGGTGGATGATACAATACTACATCATTTCATCTATTAAATTTGGAGATTCTTGTGAAGCAGAAATAGGTTAACTGGAACAGTAATAAACGTATCATTCTCTCCAGACGCCAGACCTGCCACATTTCTAAGTGTCTCTCCCAGGACTGCATGGTACAGAAGACACATCTGACTCCTGGACTGATGTCTCATGGGGCAGAGGACCAGCTGACCCCGCCTGGATCAGGATCACAGCTCTGCTCACTGGAGCACCTTTATTTTGTTTACATAGGTTTACACCTAACACTGTACCTCCTAAAAGTTAAAAAAGAGTTAATCGATCTTACCTTGTTCCTCTACAAGTACTAGACTAAACTTAATTACATCTTAGTCATGTTAGTTACAAAACAATAGTGGAATAGAGAGACAATAAATCTGAAGGATCAAAAAAAAAAAAAACCTAGATCTGGCTAGGGGTGTGATATGGAATGTCATTTAACATCCCTATGTCACAATTTCCCCACATGTAAAACAATAAAATGGTATTAGATGATCTCTTCAGCAGTATAAGAAGCTAAGAGCAGGGTCTGTTTTCCAGTTTCCTCAATTCCTTCAATTCCTGTTCTACCACTTAGTTTGTGGCAAGTTACCTAACTTAGTTGTAGGCAAGTTACCTAACTTCTCTAAGCCTTCATTTCATCACCTGTAAAATGTGAATAATAATATTTGCATTGGCAGGCGTGGTGGCTCACGCCTGTAATCCCAGCACTTCAGGAGGCCGAGGTGGGTGGATCACCTGAGGTCAGGAGTTCGAGACCAGCCTGACCAATATGATGAAACCCCGTCTCTACTAAAAATACAAAAATTAGCCGCGCATGGTGGCTACTCATAATCCCAGCTACTCGGGAGGCTGAAACAAGAGAATCGTTTGAACCCGGGAGGCGGAGGTTGCAGTGAGCCGAAATTGTGCCGTTGCACTCCAGCCTGGGCAACAAGACTGTAACTCTGTCTCAAAATAAATAAATATAAATAAATATAATAATAATATCTGTCTCTTAGAAATAAATGAAATTGGCAGGGCACAGTGGCTCACACCTGTAATCCTAGTACTTTGGGAGGCCAAGGCCGGTGGATCATCTGAGGTCAGGAGTTCGAGACCAGCCTGACCAACATGGTGAAACCCCGCCTCTATTAAAAATACAAAAATTAGCCAGGCATGGTGGTAGGTGCCTATAATCCCAACTACTTGGAAGGCTGAGGCAGGAGAATCACTTGAACCCGGGAGGCGGAGGTTGCAGTGAGCTGAGATTGCGCCATTGCACTCCAGCCCAGGCGACAGAGTGAGACTCCGTCTCAAAAAAAAAAAAAAAAAAAAAAAAGAAAGAAATGAAGAAATTAAATCTTAATTTAATTAACCTGGTGCTTTGTAAGTCCTATTATAGTTAGACCAACTCCAAAATTCTGTGGTCCTAAACAAAAGGTAATTGGTCAAAATTTCTTGTTTCTCGGCCAGATACGGTGGCTCCTGCCTGTAATCCCAGCACTTTGGGAGGCTGAGGGGGCAGATCACCTGAGGTCAGGAGTTCGAGACCAGCCTGGCCAACATGGTGAAACTCCATCTCTACTAAAAATACAAAAATTAGCCAGTTGTGGTGGTGCACGCCTATAGTCCCAGCTACTCAGGAGGCTGAGGCACGAGAATCACTTGAACCCGGGAGGCGGAGTTTGCAGCGAGCCAAGATCATGCCACTGCATTCCAGCCTCAGCCATAGAGCAAGACTGTCTCAAAAGAAGAAAAAAAAATTTGTTTCCCAATTTGCTTTTGAATTTTTCTCTCTTTGATGGAAGAAAAGGGGAACTAAAAAAAACAAAACGAAACTAAAAAGGGAGCCACTAGCTCCCAGTCCTTCATCTGCAACTCTGTAATTCAAAAAGCTCTGAAAAACAGCTGGGTATAGTGGCTCATGCCTGTAATCCCAGCACTTTGAGAGGTGTAGGCAGGAGGATCATTTGAGGTCAGGAGTTCAAGATCAGCCTGGCCAACATGGTAAAACCCTGACTCTACTAAAATACAAAAATTAGCTGGGCATGGTGATGCACACCTGTAATCCCAGCTACTCAGGAGGCTGAGGTGGGGGGCGGCGGTTACAGTAAGCCGAGATAGCACCACTGCATTCCAGCCCGAGTGACAGAGAGAGACCCTGTCTCAAAAAATAAAATAAAATAAAACAAAACATATGACAAAAAGCTCTGACAACCAACATTCTCTCCTATCTCCCGTGACAGTGAAATCTGACCTGAGCTGATGTAAAAATATGTGCAGACTTTATCCCATTTAGTGTCAATATTCACATTTTAATATGGAAATTATTAATATATTTAATTATAAGGTACTGCTCCAAGCCTGCCAGGGGTGGTTTTTACACCATGCTACCTTCTGGAAAAGCTTAATCGTCTCACCCTTAATCCAAAATTAACACTTTGCAAAAGGCTTATTAACGAGGTGGGGAAACTACCATACAGGGAGGGAAATGACCTTGGTCTTGAAATTAATTCAGGGCACGAAGACGAAGAGACAATGAACAGCTCTCCAACCCCATGGCCTGGCGCTTTTCTGAGCACTGTCCTGTTTTCTGCAGGATCTCGGCTTTCATTTCAAAAAATGTGCAAAATTCTCCTCAAGTTCTTCTTCTAGAAAACAGGACTCAGCGGCAGAACAAACCAATCATTGTCTCCGCACTGCTGAAAACTGCAGGAACATCCAGGGAGTCAGGGCCTTCGGCTGGCCCTCTGACCAGCTTCAAAGCCGGCTCAGATCATTCACCTGTCAAACTTCTAAAGGTGAAAACAACGACAAAAAAAAGAACAACTTTTATTTTCTGTTGATGTTTCTAGCAGACAAGTTCATTTAGTTAATGGTCTATGGGAGGATATTCTGAGTCCAAGGCTACCTTCTGGTGGCCATTTGGACCAGATTTCCACCGACACGGTGCGATGCTTGAATGCTAAAAGCATGCTAAGCATATTTCCCCAATTCGTTTGGCATTCAGATTCCCCCCCCGATCCTATGTACCATTTCCTTAGACTTCACAACTCCCCTACATGGCAGAATGGAGAGCCTTCTCAAATGCAGAGAAGATGAAGGGAATATATATCTTTATAAACCTGAAGAAGAAACTGAGGCCCAAAGAGATATGACTTGCCCACGGCCACATGACTTGTAGTGGCCAACCCTGAGAATTTTGAATGTGGTCCGTCATCTGCAAAACTTGTGCCTACAGTTCCCTCAGGACAGGCCCACAGGTCTGTGGGGCAGGAGGAGGGGGCATGAACCCCATTGTTTGTCTCATATCATCATGAGTCCTTAATGTCAGACTATCAACACTAAGGGCTAAAGCATCAAAGCCACATATTGACTACGGCTGACATACTGGACAGTACAGTTGTCCCACAATGCAATGGAACAATGCTGAAAGGTTGAGGATCCTTGGGTTGAGTTTTGCCACTAACAACTTTGAGGAACTCAACAAAAACTTGCTGGGCTTAATTTTTCTCACCCTGAAAGTAAGGAGATTTGGGGCCATACATGCTTTAAAGGTTCCTGTAGTCGATCCTATGGAAGGACTCAGTATCTATCCCAACTCCTTTTGGTGGGCCTTCCTGCACCGCCGAAGCTAGAGAAGTGAAAACTACGCTTCCCTGACTCCCTTGCCATGAGGATTTGGGAAGTAACTTGGGTTTCACCAGTTACATGCACTATCAGGAGATCTGAATTCAGCCCCGAGTTAACTGGGCAGAGGCAGGCAAGAGGCAATTGTTTTACACTTTGCCATGGCAGATGCAGGGACGGGCAGCCATCGAGGTGGCAGCTTCCTGATTGGGCAGCAGCTTCAGCTCCTAGGTGGCCCAGTTCTGCTCTGTGGCTCTGAGTCATTCCTGGGAGCTCAGCTTGGTCCTTCTTTAGTCCATTTAATACCTTTCTCTGCTTAAACTAGCTATAGTGGATTCTGATGTTCGTAACTAAGCCTATGTAGTCCTTTCCAACAATAAAAACCTACTTCACCTATATTCAAGTTTAACACCAGGCAATTAATACACATTGTTCTCATATTCCTCCTTTTCCCCCTTTTAATTAATTTAACCTTCATCAAGAATCCATTCCAAGCATTTTTCCAGTATCCCTTTTCTTCCTGCTTTCTGTGTTTTCCTTCAAATGCTATCACTCATGTCTGGGAACTGTTGACTTCTTCCCCTGCCTAAATTCTTGTTCTGTGTTCACTTATGTCCTTCTATGACCCAGGCACTACTGCACTGGTTGCTGGGTAATACGAGCCCAGTAGGAAGTGTTCCCTGGCTCTGATGGATCTAGAGTGGAAAAGAGAAGTCAGTTGGCCAAATGTGCAGCCAGGAAAATGGGCAGCAGGTTACAGTGGAGCAGGGGGAGGAGTATTCAAGTCTGTCTTGGGAGACAAAAAAACAAGAGGAAAGGAGTCAGGGATGGAGCTTATATTCCCTTCCAAATATCAAATGAATTGGTTTTTAAAAACGGCTTGAATCCATAATTCACAACAAAATGAATGAAATAACAGATTGAGAGCCAGGCTCAGCAGCATGTGCCTGTAGTCCTAGCACTTTGGGAGGCTGAGATAGGAGGATCGTTTCAGCCCAGGAGTTTGAGACCAGCCTGGGCAACATAGTGAGGCCCTGTCTCAAAAGGAAAAATAAATAAAGAGAAAGAAAAGAAAGAACTAATTAGCCATCAATGGAGAATTCTGGTTAACAACTGATTATCTTCATTTACAAATAAAGGTAAATAAAGCGAATCCAGCATTATTCTGCCTTTCATAAATGAACTGTGCCACTGGAAAACCAAGCAGTAGATGAGGCAAAGTGTATCTCTATAGAAATACATCAGTTAATAAACAGAGGACAGAATTAGATTATTGCTGTTTTAGAACACCTAATAAGCCAAAATATTTAGGTCCTGAGCATCAACAGCTGCTAACATCAGAAAAAGAGAGATAACCAAATATTCAGTGCCTCTGATGAAGACAGATGCCCCACAGTGTGACATATTCTAGCTGAAATAAAATAGAGCTGACCAAGCAGGGAGAGTTGCATTATCCAATAGAACTTTTTGTGGTGACAGAAAAATTATATTCTGTACTGTCCAGTACATTAGCCTCTGGTCACACATGGCTACTAGCATTTGAAATGTCGCTAGTAGGACTGAAGAACTTAACTGTTATTTTGAGACAGGGTCTCGCTCTGTTGTCCAGGCTGGAGTGCAGTGGTGCAATCTTGGCTCACTGCAATCTCCACCTCCTGGGTTCAAGCGATTCTCCTGCCTCAGCATCCTGAGTAGCCTGAATTACAGGTGCATGCCACCAAGCCCTACTAATTTTTTTTGTATTTTTTTTTAATAGAGTCGGGGTTTCAACATGTTGGCCAGGCTGGTCTTGAACTCCTGACCTCAGGTGATCCGCCCGCCTCGGCCTCCCAAAGTGCTGGGATTACAGGCATGAGCTATGGCGCCTGGTCTAATTGTTAATTCTTAATTGACTATGGCTGTGATAGTCACATGTGATACTGGATGCTGCAGCTGCAGATCCAACTATCCGTTTAGAGAAAACCTAGGGGACTGAGAAACATTAGGCACATGGTGATGCGCTCAGCAAAATCCAGACTGTTGGGGACTCTACAAAACAAATCACCCATTTCTTCAACAATTAACTTGATGGAGGGAAAATGTATGAAATTAAAAGAGGCTCAAAAGACATGCCAATCAATTACAATGTGTGGACATTATGTGGACCTGATTAAGCAAACTGGAGGGGAAAAGTATTAATTTATGAGACAATTAGTAATGTGAACACAATTGGTAATGTGGGTGTGATCATGAATTTTGGTCTTTATCCACTAAACGCACATTCTGAACTATTTATGGTTGAAATGGTATGATGTCCTAGATTTGCTTCAGAATCATGCATGGGGCAAGGGGTGGGAGTGTGGCTGGGCAGGACTGGCCATGGGTTAATGGTTGTTGGGGCTGGGTGGCAGATACGTATGACTATGCCTTTGAGATTGTAAATAATACAAAGTGATGGGGGTATGGGGACTACTCCGTAGACACACATCTGCACCACTACAAGACTCGATAGAGAGCCGGGTAAAAGGCCAAGCATACTTTTGAAAGAATCTAAACTTAATTTATTTTGAAGAACCCATGGGAGAGGACAAAAAGAAAGAACAGAATAGGAAAGGGTGAGAGGACAAATTCACTTGGTACTCCATACTTGGACCTGGGTCCTACCAGCCAGAGAATCACGTATGAATACTATCAGCCAACTTCAGAGTTACTTACTTTCTAATAAGCCTCCAAAGGACAATGGTGATTAGTATTTCCTGGGTTTCTCTACCCCGCAGCTGAAGACCTGCAGATGGATCCAGCACAAAAGGGACCTGCCATGCACACTCTCTGGAATGTACATCATCTTCTCACCCTTATTTGTTTGGCAAATTACAGAATTCTCAGTAGTAAAGAGACAATTTCACAATCTGCCCTGAGGCACACCGTCAAAAGGCAGGTAGGCTGGGAAGGGCCAGCCACATTTCCTAATCTGCACCTCGGACTCCTTTTCCAGATCCACCCATCAACACGATCAAGTTAGTGAATCCCATGTCCTTACAGCCAACAAAATGTTGGGCATTAAAACTTGCTGTATGTCACTGTCAGCTAACTTCCTCTTGGGCAGTTTACACATGCACAGAAAGCTAAACACTTTACACCCACTATCTCATTTAATCTATGCAACTCTTCTAGGAGGCTGATTCTTTGAGTCCTCCACTTTACAGATCAAGGAACTGAGGCTCAGAAGAGATAATGATCCATGAACACAGCCGTTAAGAGGGACCCAAATGGCAGGGCGCGGTGGCTCACACCTGTAATCCCAGCACTTTGGGAGGCCAAGGTGGGCAGATCACCTGAGGTCAGGAGTTCAAGACCAGCCTGGACAACATGGCGAAACTTCGTCTCTATTAAAAATACAAAAATCAGCCAGGCTTTGTGGTAGGTGCCTGTAATCCCAGCTACTTGGGAGGCTGAGGCAGGAGAATCACTTGAACCTGGGAGGCAGAGTTTGCAGTGAGCTGAGATTGCGCAACTGTACTCCAGCTCCAGGCGACAGAGAGAGACTCTGTCTCAAAAAAAAAAAAAAAAAAGAGGAACCCGATTGAGGTTTTCCTTCTTACATCATCCAGAGCTTCTCCTCTGCCCAGCAGGAGCACCCATATTTCTTGGCTTGGCCCCTTCACCATCTCACCCTGTCCTGGTTACATTTCCAGCTCTTTACCGCCAACTCTCTCCCTGACCCCAGCAAGCCCTGTTTCCTATCTTCAGCCACCAGAGCTTCATCCTTTCTATGCTCCAGCTGCGGGACTCAGCCCACACTGCCCTCAGGCCCACCCGCCTCCCTTCTCCCCAGCCTTCAAATCCACATCAGGACACTTTCCCCACTCAAATCGGTCACGTCTTTGTTTGGAATTCTGGTTTCACATTCACTGTCCTGCAGCAGAGTTAATAATGTTTGTGTCTCCCTATTAACCTGAATACTATCTATGGTTATTGGGCACATACCATGTTCTACCCTCCACTCATTTATCCTCACGATGCTATCAAGTAGGTATCATTATCATCTTACAGATAAGGAAACCGAGGCTCAGAGGGGTGAGCCACTTGCTCAAGGTCCACAGCTAAGAAGTGACAAAGCCAGAGCTTATATGATTAACCGCTACTGCCAGATGATTCTGGAAGGAACACCAGGGTGGGAGCATTTTTACCTCCTGCTGCCTTGCACACCCCAGGTGTTAGACGGGCAGAGTGTTGCTTCTCTGTGCCAGGCAATAGCTCAAACCTGCCCTTCTTGTGGTCCTGGGAGCCCACTGCCTAAGAAACTAATTCTTGGCTGGATGCGGTGGCTCACGCCTGTAATCCCAGCACTTTGGGAGGCTGAGGCAGGCGGATCACCTGAGGTCGGGAGTTCAAGACCAGGCTGACCAACATGGAGAAACCCTGTCTCTACTAAAATTACAAAATTAGCCGGCGATGGTGGCGTATGCCTGTAATCCCAGCTGCTCGGAAGGCTGAGGCAGGAGAATCACTTGAACCCGGGAGGCAGAGGTTGCAGTGAGCTAAGATCCAGCCATTGCACTCAGCTAAGATCCAGCCATTGCACTCCAGCCTGGGCAACAACAGCGAAACTCCATCTCAAAAAAAAAAAAAAAAGAAAGAAAAGAAAAGAAAAGAAAAGAAACTAATTCTTAGAGAAATTGTGAGTTCAGCATGCCTTGGAAAGAACTTTATAATTATACAACGTGCTAAGTCACAGGCAATTTGGTCAGTCATTTGAAAACTGCCAATGCCATGGCTGATAATAATTCTGGAGGCTTGGAGCATATTAACACCAAAATGTTTCCTTTTTGGGGGTAGAGGCAGAAAGAGGGAACCTAAACATCCCCAGTAAATAAAAATTCCCCTGGAAACTATGGAAAGAAGACTCTTAACGGTTCAGGAGTGAACTGTGCCTCCCGCCCCCCTTCCCCCAGCACACAGGCAACTAATCTAGGAAATAAGATTGGTTTACGTCTTCCTTTAATCCAGGATTCCAACGGCCCTGTGTGCCTGAGGCAGAAGAGTTTGCCTAAAATATTTGTTAAGAGACTGGATGAGAATCTGTCACTTTCTCTCCAGGGGAATCTGGGCAATTGGGGGACAGAGGGGCAAACTAGCTGCAGAGGCTCCCAAAACAACGTTGCAATTGTCCTTCCAGCCTGGTGATAAATATGCAAGTGGGGCACTTTGTAGAATCTCCCGAAGGGCAGAGCTACCAGCCTCAGGCAAATTTTTCCCTCCCACTTAACCCCACCTGGCCCGGAAGAGCCTCAGGCCAGCTGACTTTGAACCTCACCCTCACACTTACCGCTAAGCTGCCGGCCCGCACGGTTTCGGCAGCTTCTTCTTTAAAGAGGTCTTTCCTTTGGATCCCAGCTGAAGCCTCAAACCTCAGTTCAAAACCAAATGCGCCTCAGCCCACCCCGGAGTCAAACCCTGGGAATACGCAATGTGCATAGGGGACCTCTCCCAGGAAAATGAGGGGTCCTTTCTCAATCCACAGCAAAGCCCAGGCTCTCCCTCCCCACCGCCCTCTACTCCCGGTCTGGGTGGCAGGAGGGCACCGGAGAGCCCTGGAATTACCACCTGCACCGGGGGTCTAGGGGGTGCACAGTGTAGCACTGCGGCCCACCAGGCTAGAAAGAGGGGCCAAGTGATCATAAACCACCACCTCCTAGCTCCAGCTGGCTGAGTCAGTGGAATGGGATTCCTAAACCTTGGTGGGTAGCGGATACCTTTGAGCAGACCATCATGGAAGTTCTGCCCGAAAGCGCAGGTGGGCGTCCAGAATGTTCGAGGGGGCCCCGAGGCGCGACCATAGATGGGAGGAAACACTCCAATCCACTGGGGTAGGGGCGCTCGAGAAATCTGTAGTTGAACCCTTTTACCCATCAATTTAATTCAAGATTGGAAAGATGACAGATCTAAAGTGCCGTGCACAAGCCTCCTGTCTGACAGACACTGGGAACCGGTTCATGTTGGGAGAGGCCCACTATGTGTCAAGCTGCCGCCCAGGTCCAGAACATAAGCATGGGGGGTGAACTCTCAGAATCGCGGCGCCAGGAACTGCGTCCCAGAGGGTGGAATTTCTGAGAGCGCTGAGGCTTCCTTTCCAACCTCAGGAACTCCGACGGCCTTGGTTATTCTACAGGCCTAGCGCACAGAACGGGCTGCTGGCGGAAGGCAGTGATGCCTGTGCCTTTTCGGCAGTTCCAGAGGCAGCACTCGGCATCAGGCGGGGCCACCGGGAGGACGGAGCCCACTCCGGGAACCGGCCGCCCCTGCGCAGCAGCTACCCTGCGGGCGGGAGGACGCGCCGAGGCGCCCTGGCCGCCGCCCAGGGGCAGGTGCAGGAGCGGCGCGGCGGGCGCGCTCGGGGCGCGGGTGCCGGGTTGCGCAGGCGGGCGCGGCAGGGAGGGGCGCCGGCCTCGGGAGCCCGACGCCAGGGCGTGGTGCAGGTGGCGGCGGGGGCAGAGTCGACACAGTACCTTGATTTTCGATCTGGCGACCGGGCGCTGCTTGGTCGCCAGGTGTCCATCGGGGCCCTCGGCGTCGCCGGGCTCGGGGGTTTCGCTCTCGGGGGCGTGCGGGGACGAGCTGCTCTCTGCTCCTCCAGGCTCCCCCGCGCTGCTGCTGCCGCTGCCGCTGCTGCTGCCGCCGTCGCTGCGGCAGTCCTCGGGGGGGTCGTGGAGCAGGCGGCCTAGGCCCACTGTGGAGGGAGGGGCCGCGCCCCGACACACACACTCGGCGTCAACCCGCACGCCCGCGGCAGTTTGACCTGCGGGCGGTGCTGCCGCCGCCCCGCCCCGGACCTGGGCACCTCGCCAAGTGGGCAACGTCGCGGGGGAGGCCAGTAAGCCCCGAATCGGCCCACAGAGCTAGCTTGGGGTGCTCGGAGCCTCTTTCCGGTCCCAGCCAAGGCGCCCACGAGGAACCGGGCGGCCACGAGCGGCGGAGGACCCCGCGCGCCAAGTTTCCTCTCAGGGCGGGGGAGGCGGATCTGACCTCTCCCCAGCTAGCCCCAGAAGGGTTGGCGAGCCTTTGTGCACCCCCATGAGGACGTGAGATTGGGGGTAGCCTCTGCTGGCTTTCAATCCCTTTCCTGGGCCACCTTGGCCCGCGCTGCAGCCAACGGTCCCGCCGCCGGGCAATTAGAGGCTCCCACTACGGGGAAGGGGGCGCCTAGAGTCTGGGGCATCCCAGTCCCTCATTGCCTGCCCTAACCCGCCTAGAAGACCCCCGCGTGCCCCCCGGAAGAGGGGGATGAGGTGGGGAGCCCGCCCCTGCCGATGAGCAGAGAAGACCCGCCACCCCTTCCCCCACCCCGGGAGCCCAGCGCCCAGGCCCGGCCCCCGCGCGCGCTCACCTGGGATGTAGGTGTCTGCCCTTTTCTCATCCGGGAGCTCATCCCAGCTGCGGACCGAGACCCCCAGGCTCCTCCTCTTCACCAGGAAGACTTTGGGCATGGTGGGGTCCCCTCTCCCGACTGCGGCCCCCTCCTCCCGGCTGCTCCCCGCTAGGGGCAACGGCGGCGGCTCCGTCCCCGGCTCCCGGCGGCCAGAGCCCACCTTCCCGCCTCGCCTGCCCTCTTCCTCCACCCCCCGCCGCGGCGCGGCCCAGGCCTCTCCCCCGCACGCCTGGCGACTCCCAGCCTCCCGGCTCGGCGACACCTATGCCTTAAATCGCGAGTGAGACCACGCCGGGGAAAAAGTTTCATAAGGTGGAATAGAAAAGGCACCAGGAAACTTGGGACTGAGCATGCGCCCTGCAACATAACGGTGTCAACAAGCTCGCTACCTGTCCGACCGGTTCCGGCGGCCGGGGCTGCCTGTTCCAGCCCTTCCTTAGGCATGAATGTTTGCAAAAGAATTTAAAGTCTGTTCTTCCCCCTCCTCTTTTTAAGAAAGGAAGAACATTTTTTAATCAACCCCCGCCCCATTCCCCCATCACCTGCACCTCGAGGCGAGCTCTTCGAGGTAAACCCCAGGTTCGCCTCCCAGGGCACCCCTCCGGTGAGTTGGGGCCTCCCACGAGTTGCCCCCCTCCCCCGCCCGGTGGATTTGTCTTCGACGAGCCAGAAAATGGCTCAGTTCCCCTGGACCTTGTGGAGCCTTCCTGGGGCTTGATGAAATCTGGGCGGTCAGAAGGGGGAGGCGGCGGGAGACTTCCAAGGATTCTGATTATTAATAATGGGGGGTGGGGGCTTAGGGGCTTAAGCTTTCCATCAGCTACAACACCCCCCCCCCATAAGCAGTAAAAATAAATTTAAAAATTCGGCATCTTTAGACCACGTTATTTTTCTGACTAGTATCATACAATCTAAGAAAAACAAGCCTTGCCCCGCCAAAGCAGCTTCTCCTCACAAGACGTTGCACCCCCCGAGAGCCCCCTCACCCCAAGTAAACACACAATAGAAACAAAAGCCAGGAGCATATTATGCAAATGCAGCTTCAAAACAAGCCCCCAATCCTCGCCCACTCCCACCGTTGCCTCTCCTAACCACCCGATCCCCAAATTCTGAGACTGGGAAATACCTTTCCAGGAAGCTAGCATAGTGAACATTGGCTACATCTTCTAGCCGCCCCTACCGGGGAGGTAGGAAAGCTTTGCATTTATTATTATATCTGTTTGTTCCTATCAACCTTTATGCCTGGAGGGGAGAGGGAGAGAAGGAGGGGGAGTTGGTAAAATATGCCAAGTTTGTAAAGCAGTTGTGCTCACGTTGCGGGGCGCGCTGCCCTTCCCAAGGCCTTGTTCGGGTGCGCCCAGGACAACCGGCACAGCCTCTTGTGTCGCTGCGGTCGCCCTCCTCCAGGAGGTCGTCAGACGTGTGCCAGCTGCCGGGTGCTGCGGGGGCGCGTCTGGTCAGGGATGCCCTGGAGCCCAAGGCTCACCCAACAGCCAGCCTCACCTGTCTGTAACCTGACCCTCCGCGCTCCCAGCCTACAGGGCCCGGGAATCAACACAGCGGTTTTCCCTGTTCCCTTCCGCCCTGAATGGCCCTTGGGGACACAACCGCCTGGTAACGGATTTCTCGGCGCTACTGGCGGACTCGCGCGGCGCAGGGAGCCGGGGCGCAGCTCTGCCGGGGCTGCGGGCGGGACCGGTGCGCGGCGCCTCTAGGTCTGCCCTCAAGGAGTCACCCTCTCTGGACTGAACTCTGAACTCCAGCTTTTCTCTAAGAAAAACCAGCTAAGAACGAAAAAGACTTTGATCCCGGTGAGCCGGAGGAGGAGGAGGAGGAGGAGGAGGAGGAGGAGGAAGACATTTCTGTAGCGGTGCAGGAAAACAAGGCTTCTTGTCTATGAGGCTGATGGGGCAGCTTCCGGGAGACTCTGCAGATGTATTTTTATCCACCAACAAACGGGATTTGCTAGAAAGAAGGAGCTTGGGTGAATGGAAGAGTAAAAATGAAGTACAACTATGAAGTTACAGAATTATTCCCAGTCTTTAAAAATCTTCAAAACTTCACTTCGTTCAGAACTTCCAATTATACAGAAGAGGCTGTCAACTCCATTAACAAAGCTTTTTTTTCCTTTCACTGGATTTCAAACCAGTGAGTGTCTTGACTACTTTGCCTATTTGTATTATTTTAAAAGATTATAGGATGATGAGGTATAAGGCTAGAAACCTCCAAAGCAATGCAACCTTTATAGGTTTGGGGATGAAGACTTAACAGGATAACAACCTTTTTATTCTATGGTCGTTGGATGCACACCTACTATATTTGCTGGGTGCTTCCTGAGGAGAAAGGAATTTAATGTGTTTTATTTCTCTCTTTTTTCTTGATCAGATGTGATAGGGGTCTATCAAAATTATTAACATGTACAAAGAACCAGCTTTTATCTTGGTTGACTTGCCTCCATTGTAAGGTCGGTTTTCTAAGTATTATGAGAGGAGTTGATAGAGTATCCCAGAAAGCAGGATAAGAAGTGAACCCAATTCTCCTTTTCTTGCACTACTATTATATGCTTATACACTGTTGGTGAGAATGCAAATTAATTCAGCCCCTGTGGAAAGCAGTTTGGAGATTTCTCAAAGAACTAAGAATAGAATTACCACTGGACCCACCAATCCAATTACTGGATATACAACCAAAGGAAAACAAATCGCTTTACCAATAAACACTTGTGTGTTTATTGCAGCACTATTCACAGTAGGAAAGACATAGTATCAACCCAGGTGCCCATCGATGGTGGACTCAATAAAGAAAATATGGTACATATACACCATGGAATACTATGCTGCCACAAAAAAGAATGAAATCACATATTTGCAGCAACATGGATGCAACTGGAGGCCATTATCTGGGCAAATTAACTCAGAAACAGAAAATCTAATACTGTAGGTTCTCAATTAGAAGTGGGAGCTAAACATTGGGTACACACAGATTCAAAGATGGGAACAGTTAACACAGGGGATTTCAAAAGTGGGGAGGGAGAGAGGGGGAAAGCCTTGAGAAACTACCTATCAGGTACTATGTTCACTATTTGTTTTTATTTTCATTTTATTTTTGAGACAGAGTTTCCCTCTGTCCCCAGGCTGGAGTGCAATGGTGAGATCTCAGCTCACTGCAACATCTGCCTCCTGGGCTCAAGCAATTCCCGTGCCTCAGTCTCCCAAGTAGCCAGGACTATGGGCATGCACCACCACACCTGGCTAATTTTTGTATTTTTGGTAGAGACAGGGTTTCACCATGTTAGCCAGGCTGGCCTCGAACTCCCGAGCTCAAGTGATCCGCCCCCCTCGCCCTCCCAAAGTGTTGGGATTATAGACATGAGCCACCACAACCGGCCTGTGTTCACTATTTGGGAGATAGGATCATTGGAAGCCCACACTTCAGCATCATGCAATTTACCCATGTAACAAACCTGCACATGTACCCCCGAATCTAAAATTAAAAAAGAAAAGAAAAAGTAAATAATGCTTTAAAGCTTTTTCACATTATTTCCTAAATACCTTTATTTACATTCATTTGGCAATATTATTTGTCCCATTTTTTAAGAAGGAGGGAAAATAGGCTATGAGAAACTAAGTACCATTCAAGTTCTGCTGGGCGCTGTGGCTCACGTCTGTAATCCTGGCACTTTGGGAGGCCAAGGCAGGCAGATCACCTGAGGTCAGGAGTTCCAGACCAGCCTGGCCAACATGGTGAAACCCCATCTCTACTAAAAATACAAAAATTTGCTGGGCATGGTGGTGCACACCTGTAATCCCAGCTACTCGGGAGGCTGAGGCAGAAGAATCACTTATACCTAGGAAGTGGAGGTTGCAGTGAGCCAAGATTGCCCCACTACACCCCAGCCTGGGTGACGGAGCAAGACTCTGTCTAAAAAAAGTCTCGCTGTGTTGCCCAGGCTGGAGTGCAATGGCGAGATCTCAGCTCACTGCAACCTCTGCCTCCTGGATTCAAGTGATTCTCCTGCCTCAGCCTCCTGAGTAGATGGGATTACAGGCGCCTGACACCACACCTGGCTAATTTTTGTATTTTTAGTAGAGATGGGGTTTCACCATGTTGGCCAGGCTGGTCTCGAACTCCTACCTTATGATCCACCCGCCTCAGCGTCCCGAAGTGCTGGGATTACAGGTGTGAGTCACTGTTCCCAGCCCAATTATTCTTCATATGCACATCCTCATATCTCATTTGCAACAAAGTCAGTTTAACTTATTTATTAAATAACAAACGATCTGCATAAGTTAAAAATATATAAAAGTAGACATTTATATCTGAGCCTCTTATTACATTAAGTACAAAATATACTTTTGATTGTCTTGTCAAACTGTAGAGATGTGTTGCTGAGATAGTGCAGGTACGTTTGGTAGAGTTGAGTGAATTCTGGGTGTAGCTACTGGCCTTGAAATAGATTCATTTCCATTCCTTCCACCTGGGATCGTGGCCTCTGCCTTATTTGGACGGAGCCCTCAGTATGAAAGCAATTTATCTGGCTCATATTACACAATGTGTTAAATACCTTGTTACCTCTTTAAATATAGACATTTTGGTCATAGTCAAAGTTGAATACTCAGAACTTAAAAACACACACAAGATGTTAATAAAAACAATTTCAATTTTAAAAAAAGAAGAAATGAATCCAATTCTTTACAAATCTCAAGACTGAAGTTGGAAGAGACAGGAGACATAATGTGGTCCATACCCCGCCCAATATTGGGGGTGAGGGGTCTGTACAGCATCCTTGGTAGGTATGTATCTAGCCCTGCTTGAATACTTCTAGTGTTGGGAAGCTCACTGTCTCAAAAAGCAACCTATTCTCTGGTTAGACAACAATGATGCTAGAAAGCTTTTCTTTCTGCTTGTGGAAATCTGCTTTCCTGCCCTTCCATCTCCCCTTTTATTCTGTCATCCAGGGCTGCTGAGACTCCCCCTGTACTCCCTCCCCCTGGTAGCTCTTCAAATTCTTGAAAGCAGCCATCTGCACCCTCACTTAAGACTTCTTTTCTCCAGTAATATATATTCAGGTTGAAAGGAGGCAGGTACAAACCTGCTCAGTGGCATCCCTGGAGCACACAGCAATAAGGAGAGGGTAAGATGTTGTTGAGAAAATATTCCTAAGGAAACTTTATTTAAACTTTTTTTTTTTTTAGACAGAGTTTCGCTCTTGTTCCCCAGGCTGGAGTACAATGGCACGATCTCGGCTCACTGCAACCTCCGCCACCCAATTTCAAGCGATTCTCCTGCCTCAGCCTCCCGAGTAGCTGGAATTACAGGCATGCACCACCATGCCCGGCTAATTTTTTGTATTTTTAGTAAAGACGGGGTTTCTCCATGTTGGTCAGGCTGATCTTGAACTCCCTACCTTAGATGATCCGCCCACCTCGGCCTCCCAAAGTGCTGGGATTACAAGCGTGAGCCACCGCGCCTCCCACCTAAACTTTTAATTGAAGTATAGTACAGTATTAGGAAAATGATATATTTTTACCCACTGAACTCACTAGTGGAAAAAGCACCCAAGTACAAGCCAAGGGTGCCTGCTCTCACCACCCCACTCACATTAGATTGCTTCCTTGCAGGTACAGCAAGGCAAAAAAGAAGAAATAAGAGTATAAGGATTATAAGGGAAAACAACAAAACTACTATTGTTTGTAGTCAGCATCACTGTCTACGGAAAACCCAAAAGAATCTATAGATAAATTATTAGAATTAATAAGAGACTTTAGCAAGATTGCAGTGTAGAAAATCTGAGTGTGGGCTGGGCACAGTGGCTCATGCCTGTAATTCCAGCACTTTGGGAGGCCAAGGTGGGCAATCACAAGGTCAAGAGATTGAGACCATCCAGGCCAACACGGTGAAACCCCGTCTCTACTAAAAAATACAAAAATTAGCTGGGCATGGTGGCGCATGCCTGTAGTCCCAGCTACTCGGGAGGCTGAGGCAGGAGAATCACTCGAACCCAGGAGGTGGAGGTTGCAGTGAGCCGAGATCGCACCACTGCACTCCAGTCTGGCGATAGAGCGAGACTCGGTCTCAGAAAAAAAAAAAGAATCTGAGTGTGTAAGGTTTCAGTGTCAATTAAATTTCTACATGCCAGCAACTGTCAGAAAAATAAAAAGTCTAATGAAAAATGATTTAAAACACAACAAAAATACAAAGTCCCTTGCAATTGATTTTTTGAAAATATTGTGCAAGCTCTTTGTATATAAAATTAGAAAACTTTATTGGTAGCCGGGCATGGCGGTGTGCACCTGTAGTCCCAGAGACTCGGGAGGCTGAGGTGGGAGGATCACCTGAGCCCGGGACGTGGCGGTTGCAGTGATCCTATATGGCACCACTGCACTCCAGCCTGGGCCACAAAAAAGAAGACCCTGTCTAAAAAACAAACAAACAACAACAACAAAAAACTTTATTGGAAGACATTAAAGAAGACACTAATCAATGGAAAGTTTTACTATATTAATGGATTGGAAGATTCAGAATCAAAGAGGCCAAAAATCTCCAAATTCATCTATAGATATAATACAATTTTTAAAAATACTTGACAGTCTTTTTGTGGGACATGATAAATTTCTTTCAAAATTTATGTGAAAGAAGAGTCGAAACACTCCTGAAGGACAAGGTGTGTAGGCTTGATCAATCAGATATCAATAGTAATTAAAATGATGTGGCTTTCATTCACAGAGGGACCACTGGTACCTGAGAGAGAGCCTGGAAACAGCCCCACACATATGTGTGCATTGATTTATGAGAGAGGGTATGCAGTGCAGCAGGGAAAGATGTCATATTCAATACATGGAATTGGAACAAGTGCTTATCCGTTTGGGAAAAATAAAGGAAACTGAATAACACACATATCAGTTTCTGGTGGATTAAACATTTAGATGTGTGTGAATACATATACATGTATATGTATATAGACAATGTAGAGGAATATGTTTATGACCACAGGATAAGAAAGAATTTCTTAAATAAGACCCAAAAAATAAACCACAAAAGAAAAAGGGTTTCCACCTTGAAGAACTGTGAACTTAAAAAAGAAAAGAAAAAGGTTGAGGCTGGGCACGGTGGCTCATGCCTGTAATCCCAGCACTTTGGGAGGCCAAGGCGGGCAGATCATGAGGTCAGGAGATCGAGACCATCCTGGCCAACATGGTGAAACCCCCGTCTCTACTAAAAATACAAAAAGTTAGCTGGGTGTGGTGGCACGCGCCAGTAGTCCCAGCTACTCAGAAGGCTGAGGCAAGAGAATTGCTTGAACCCAGGAGGCGGAGGCTGCAGTGAGCCGAGATAATGTCACTGCACCCCAGCCTAGGCGACAGAGCTATACTCTGTCTCAAAAGAAAAGAAAAGAAAAAGTTGATAAATTTAATTGTAGACAAATTAAGAATGTCTTTATCAAAACACACAATAAGGAGAATGATATGCTAAACAATAAGCTGAGAAAACTTTTTCAACACATTTCTCTTACAAATGATTAGAATCCAGAATATGTAAAGAACTGTTATGAATCAATTTTTAAAAAAAAGATAAACTCAATAGAAAAATGACAAAAGACATGAACGGGCATTCCCAGGAAAACATGAATATATAAACATATATATAAAAGATGCACGATCTCATTCATAAACAATAAAATGCAAATTAAAATGACAATGAAATACTGTTTTATATCAGACTGACAAAATCTAGAAGTCTGAAAATACCAAGTATTGGTGAGGGCACCAAGCAATAGGTTTGACTTTATTTAGTAAAATTGAGCCAGAAATTCCAGTCCACATTTTTAATCTAGAAAAAGTCATCCATTAGTGAACCAAGAGACACAGGCAAGAATATTCATAATATCATCATTCATAATATTCCAAAAAATAAAAACTCAACCTAAAAATAAAAGACACAACCCAAATATCTGTCAATAACTAATTGGATGAATACTTTGTGATAAATTAATGCAAGAAAAATAAATGGCCCCACAGCCACACACATCAATAAAGCCACACAATCAAAAATATAGTTGAATGAAAAAAGTAAATTACAAAAAAATTATAATATTCAAATTATTTTTTAAACACATAAAAGTGAACAATAGGCTATTTAGGAATACAAACATATGTGTTAAAACCATTAAGCAACAGGCCAAGTGCGGTGGCTCAGGCCTCTAATACCAGCACGTTGGGAGGCCAAGGCGGGCAGATCCCTTGAGGTCAGGAGTTCAAGACCAGCCTGGCCAACATGGTGAAACCCGATTTCTACAAAAATACAAAAATTAGCCAGGCATGATGGCACACACCTGTAATCCCAGCTACTCGGGAGGCTCAGGCAAGAGAATTGCTTGAACCCGGGAGGCAGAGGTTGCAGTGAACCAAGATCCCACCACTGCACTCCAGCCTGTGCAACAGAGCAAGACTCCATCTCAAAAAAAAAAAAAGCAAAACTACAACAACAATAAAGCATTAGGCAACAATCGACAATTATGGAAGAATATCAAAAGAATTATGCTGAATGAAAAAAGCCAATCTCAAAGTTTACGTATTTTATGATTCCATTTATATAACATTCTTGAAATGACAAAATTACAAAAATGGAGAAAAGATTAGTGGTTGCTAGGAGTTAAGGATTTGTAAAAGGAAGACAAAAAATATCCTTGTGGCATTGGAACTGTGCAGTATCTTGACTGTGGTGGTTGATGTACAAGCCTACATTTGTCGTGAAATTGTATAGCCCTAAATACACACACACACGCACACACACACACAAATGAGTACAGGTAAAACGGGGTAAATCTGAATAAAAGCTGTGGATTGCTTCAATGTCAATATCCTGCTTGTGATATCATACTTTAGTTCTGTAAGATTTACGGTTGGAGGAGACAGGAAAAGGTCACACAACTGCCTATGAATTTGTAGTATCTCAAAATTAATAATTTAAATTATCATTAGTTACAGTAAGAAAATGACTAATAACAAAAGTCAGGATAGTAGCGACCACCAGGGGGAGAGGAAAGGGTATACACAAGGAGTGTCCCAACGCAAAGAAAAGATAAATGTTTGAGGTGATGAATTTCCCAATTATCCTAATTTGATCATCACACATTGTATACATCTATCAAAATATCACAGGTATCCTCAAAATATGTACGACTATCATATGTCAATAAAAAAATTCAACAAAATTGCCAGGTGTGGTGACTCACGCTTGTAATCCCAGCACTTTGGGAGGTCAAGGCGGGTGGATTACTTGAGGCCAGGAGTTCACCAATGTGGTGAAAGACTGTCTCTACTAAAAAAAATTAAAAATAAATTCAACAAAGCTCACTGACTCGTTGAGACGACTCTGGCCGTGTTGACTGCTGACGCTGTGCTCCAGCCTTCTCAGTTAGGGGGCCTAAGATCTCTTTGGTACCTGGGTTGTCTGGTAAGAGCCAGACTTGGCAGCAATCCTCTTTCTAGGCTGAACCTTGAGTCCCATTGCTTTTTGATAGATCTAATGGATTACTGCTCTGCAGCCAGTTCTTCATGTGTTACCCGTTAGGCCAGTTCTGGGGGAGGCATCCTCGTCTTTCTTTGCCATAGAACAAACACTAGTCAGTCTTGCAAAGCCTTTCTTTCACTTTCAAGTGAGATTAAGTTAATTCCGATTTGGTTAAAAACTTCCTAAAGGAGATAATTTAGTCTACTGGTTTGATACAGGTAAATGGACTTTAAACTTTCTTTAAAGTAAAGAAGTTGGTAGGTACAGTTAGATTATAGTCTTGAGGTCCGTGTGAAACCAGCGTCACCATATTTTGATTTCTTTGATCAGTTCAGGGCCTGAAAACTCTGTGGTGGGGGAGGCGAAAGAATCCAAACTTTTCCGTATGAAAGCATTTTTCACCAAAATGAGCCTCATCCCTTTACGCAAAACACACACACTAAAGGAAATAGGGAAACAGTCTTTTTATTTTATTTATTTATTTTTTGAGATGGAGTCTCATTCTGTTGCCCAGGCTGGAGTGTGCAGTGGTGCCATCTTGACTCACTGCAACCTCTGTCTCCCGGATTCAAGCGATTCTCCTGCTTCTGCCTCCCAAGTAGCTGGGACTATAGGTACACACCACCACGCCCAGCTAATTTTTGTATTTTTAGTAGAGATGGAGTTTCACCATATTGGCCAGGCTGGTCTCAAACTCCTGAGTTCAAGTGATCTGCCCGCCTCAGTCTCCCAGAATGTTGGGATTACAGGCGTGAGCCACCATGCCTGGCTGAAAGTGCCTTTTCATTTCTCCTTACCATGTATAAGTTCAGTCATTGTCTTGAACACTGTCTCAAATACTTGTTTTTTGTTGTGGATAGAATCTTCTCTGAATAAGAAGCTGAACTTTCCATAGAGAGGCCCTGGAGTCTAAAATTATCAGAACCATTAATTTATTTGTGTCTTCTATTATGATCTCTTGTTTTGACAATAAGAACCCTTATTACTTTCTCAAAAAAAAAAAAAAAATCAACAAAAATCCCAAAGAAAGACAAAGACAGGCTGGGTTTTCAAGAAAGTTCAACAAAAATCCCAAGGACAGACAAAGAGAGGCTGTGGTTTCAGGCTAGTAATGTTGGATTTCTAAACCAGGAAAGTAAGAACAATTATTATTATTATTATTATTATTTTGAGATGGAGTTTTGCTCTTGTTGCCCAGGCTGGAGTGTAATGGTGTGATCTCAGCTCACTGCAACCTCTGTCTCCCACGTTCAAGCGATTCTCCTATCTCAGCTTCCCAAGTAGCTGGGATTACAGGCTAAGTTTTTGTATTTTTAGTAGAGACGGGGGTTTCACCAGGTTGGTCAGGCTGGTCTCAAACTCCTGACCTCAGGTGATCCATCCACCTCAGCCTCCCAAAGTGCTGGGATTACTGGCATGAGCCACTGTGCCCAGCCAGAATAATTATTATTATTTCACTGTGTATATATATAATATACACTCTTGTCTGTAAAATATATTTTACGACAATTTTTATTGAGGTATAATTGACAAAAATTGTATATATTCAAGGTATAGGTGATGTTTTGCTATACATATACATTGTGAAATGATTACTTTAGTCAAGCTAATTAACATATTCATCACCTCACAGAGGTACATGTGTATGTATATATGTGTGTGGTGAGAATACTTAAGATCTCATCCATTAGCAAATTTCAAGTATACAATACAGTATTATTTACTATAGTCACTATGCTGTACATTAGATCTCTAGAGCTTATTCATCTAATTACTGAAAGTTTGTAACCTTTGGCCAACATCACCCCTTTTCCCCTACCCCATCCCCCGGTAACCACCCTTCTACTTTCTCCTTCTATGAATTTGACTTTTTAAGATTCCACATGTAAGTGAGATTATGCAATATCTGTACTTCTTGTCCTCCAGGTTCATCCATGTTGTAGAAAATGGCAGAATTTCCTTCTTTTTTAAGGCTGAATAACATCCCATTATATATGCATATTTTATATATATTTTACATTTATATATTATATATTAACAAGCCACAAAAGAAAGGTATATATCCAAAGGAATTATACATTATATATAATAAATAAAATATAGCCAAGAGTGGTGGCTCATGCCTGTAATCCCAGCTACTCGGGAGGCTGAGGCAGGAGAATGGCTTGAACCTGGGAGGCAGAGGTTGCAGTAAGTGGAGATCACTCCATTGCACTCCAGGCTGGGAGATAGAGTGAGACTCCATCTCAAAAAAAATTAATTAATTAAAAATATATATATATACACTATATAATATATACACATGTTCTTTATCCATTCATCTGTGGATGAACACTTCAGTCGTTTCCATATCTTGGCTACTGTGAATAATGTTGCAGTGAACACAGGAGTGGGGATATCTCTTTGAGATACTGATTTCATTTCCTTTGGATATATATCCAGAAGTAAGATTGCTGGATCATATGGTAGTTCTATTTTTATTTTTTTGAGAAACCTCC
The DNA here is from genome assembly GCF_000001405.40 of Homo sapiens. Classification (NCBI taxonomy): domain Eukaryota; kingdom Metazoa; phylum Chordata; class Mammalia; order Primates; family Hominidae; genus Homo; species Homo sapiens. Next base: position 18,069,588 of record NC_000020.11, read on the forward strand.
CTACTATTTTCCACAGTGGCTGTACCAATTTACATTCCCACCAACAATTTCTGAGGGTTCCCTTTTCTCCACATCCTTGCCAACACTTGTTATTTTTTGCCTTTTTGATAATAGTCACCCTAACAGTTGTGAGGTGATATCTCATGGTGGTTTTGATTTGCATTACACTGCTGATTAGTGATATTGACTACATTTTCATGTACCTGTCAAGCCAGTTTGTATGTCTTCTTTGGAAAAATGTCTATTCATGTCCTTTGCCCATTTTTAAATTGGGTTATTTGGGGTTTTTTTTGTTATTGAGTTGCATGACTTCCTTATTTATTTGGGGTATACTCTTACTGAATATATGATTTGCAAACATTTTCTCCTATTCCATGGGTTGCTTTCTCCTTTTGTTGATTGTCACAATAATTTTTTTTTTCTTTTTTTTTTGAGACAAGGTCTCACTCTGTTGCCCAGGCTGGAGTGCAATGGCATGATCTTGCCTCACTGCAACTTCCACCTCCCGGGTTCAAGAGATGCTCCTGCCTCAGGCTCCCAAGTAGCTGGGATTACAGGCACCCGCCACCACACCGGGTTAATTTTTGTATTTTTAGTAGAGACAGGGTTTCACTATTTTGGCCAGGCTGGTCTCGAACTCCTGACCTCAGGTGATCCACCCAGCTCAGCCTCCCAAAGTGCTGGGATTATAGGCGTGAGCCACTGCGCCCGGCCGTCACAATAATTTTTAAAAGAGAAAACCTAATCAGTTAGAATAGTGGGCATGTGTCATGCTTATAGGAACCTGCTGCACACCTTTATGCTTGGGCAATTTCCCACTTATGAGTTAACTTCCTCACAACAGAGTCTGCAAATTACTTTCCCAGACTCCATGCTACTGAGTGCAAGCGTGTGACCCAAGTTCTATGGCTGGGATTTTCCCATAGACTCCAGTTAAAAACAAACAACATAAACAACATGAACCAAGACGAGCTGCCAGTGTCTGCTGGGGCAAGGGTGACGGAGAGAGACCTCCGAAGCTTGGAGGGTGCTGTGGCCAGGTTCCTGGTGGTCGAGCCCTGTACTCAGCGAGAATGGTAGTTAGTTACTCAGGCATCCTGGACAGAGATGGCTGAAACAGACACCCTCGCAGGAGTGGCCTGCACTTTAATTTGAGCATCGATTCAGGACGCTTCCTTGCAAGATGGAGTCTCCATCTCCCGAGATTCCATGAGCTACCTAGCAGTGTTTAACACACTCCTTTTCTGATTCAGCTGGCTACAGTGAGTTCTGCTGCCACATCCTGGGTCATCGATTCTGCCATTGGTGTCCTAGGACAGCATTAAGACCTTCAGCTGTCTTCTGATTGAGGACAAGATCATGGTGTCTCATCGTCCCCACCCCACTGTAATTCAAAATAAAAACAATGCTAAACCACAAAATAGGTACTTGTCTTTTTTTTTTTTTTAGATGGAGTCTCACTCTTGTCACCCAGCCTGGAGTGCAATGGTGCGATCTCAGCTCACTGCAACCTCCACCTCCTGAGTTCAAGCAATTCTCCTGCTTCAGTCTCCCCTATTACAGGCGTGTGCCACCACGCCTGGCTAATTTTTGTATTTTTAGTAGAGACAGAGTTTCACCATGTTGGCCAGGCTGGTCTCGAACTCCTGACCTTAGGTGATCTGCCCGCCTCAGCCTCCCAAAGTGCTGGGATTACAGATGTGAGCCACCGCGCCCAGCCTATGCTTATCTTAAATCTCCACTTTCTAGGCTATTTTGCAAGGTTCTGGTTAGACTCGTCAAAGCAGAATCTCTCTCTTTGTCTCTCTCTCTTTCTCAGCCCCTCTCCTTTGTCCTCCTGCTTTTCTGGTGTCCTAAATTTATTCCTAATCTGCCTCTAGTCTTGCACTGTCCAAATAGGAACTGCAGTTGGTTACATGTGGCTACTGGCTATTGAGCACTTGACAGGTGGGTAGTCTGAAATGAGATGTGCTATAAGGGTAAAATACACACCAGATTCCAAGTATTTAATATGAAAAAAATAATGTAAAACATTAACTGTTTGTATATTCATTTACATGTTGAAATGATAGTGTTTTGGATATATCAGGGTAAATAAAATATATTATTAAAATCAATGTTTTAAACTTTTATTTATTTTAAATTTTTTTTTTTTTTTTTTTTTTTTTTGAGACGGAGTCTCGCTCTGTCGCCCAGGCCGGACTGCGGACTGCAGTGGCGCAATCTCTGCTCACTGCAAGCTCCGCTTCCCGGGTTCACGCCATTCTCCTGCCTCAGCCTCCCCAGTAGCTGGGACTACAGGCGCCCGCCACCGCGCCCGGCTAATTTTTTGTATTTTTAGTAGAGACGGGGTTTCACCTTGTTAGCCAGGATGGTCTCGATCTCCTGACCTCATGATCCACCCGCCTCGGCCTCCCAAAGTGCTGGGATTACAGGCGTGAGCCACCGCGCCTGGCCTATTTTAAATTTTTTTAAGAGATGGGAATCTCACTATGTTGCCCAGGTTGGAGTCCAGTGGCTATTCACAGGCACAATCACAGCTCACTGCAGCCTCGAGCTCCTAGGCTCAAGGGATCCTCTTGTTTCAGCCTCTCTAGTAGCTGGGACTACAGGGCCATGCCACCATGTGTGGCTCTTTAAAAAACTTTTTATGTGGATACTAGGAGATTTCATATTACACCTGTGGTTCACATAGTCCCTCCCTCCCTCCCTCCCTCCCTCCCTTCCTTCCTTCCTCCCTCCCTCCCCTCCTCCCTCCTTCCCTCCCTCCCTCCCTCCCTTCCTTCCTTCCTCCCTCCCTCCCCTCCTCCCTCCCTCCCTTCCTTCCTTCTTTTCTTTTCTTTTCTCTTCCCTTCCTCCCTCCCTCCCTCCCTCCCTTCCTTCCTTCCCTCCTTCTTCCTTTCTTTTGAGATGGAGTCTCATGCTGTCACCCAGGCTGGAGTGCAGTGGTGCAATCTCAGCTCACTGCAACCTCTGCTTCCTGGGTTCCAGTGATTCTCCTGCCTCAGCCTCCCAGTTAGCTGGGATTACAGGCGCCCTCCACCAAGGCTAATTTTTTGTATTTTTAGTAGAGACAGGGTTTCACCATGTCAGCCAGGCTGCTCTCAAACTCCTAACCTCGTCATCCGCCCGCCTTGGTCTCCGGAAGTGCTGAGGTTACAGGTGTGAGCCACTGCGCCTGGCTGTTCACATTGTATTTCTACTGGACAGTGGTTCTAGACTATTTAGACTGACATGAAGAGCCTGTATTGTTCTGGAAGGCTCACTTCAGGTATTCCTCCAATGTTCCTGATCAGCATTCGATTGAGTGGGGGATGAGAAGGAGATTGCATTGAAAGGCCAGTGATTTGGCTTTGAAACCTGGCTCTGCTACTGATAAGCTCTAGGGATATAGTGGCTCAGTCAGTCTGAAAGCCTCAAAAGCAGGGAAACTGACAGTGCAGCCTTCAGTCTATGGCCAAAGGCCCGAGAGCCCCTGGCAAATCACTGGTGCGTGCCCAAGAGTTCAAAGGCGGAGGAACCTGGAGTCTGATGTCCAAGGGCAGGAGGAGTGGAAGGGAGGATCCAGCACGGGAGGAAGATGAAAGCCAGAAGCCTCAGCAAGCCAGCTCATCCCACCTTCCTCCACCTGCTTTGTTTTATCCCTGCTGGCAGCCCATTAGATGGTGCCCACCCATGCTGAGGGTGAGTTCTTCCTCTCCCAGTCAGCTGACTCAATGTCAGTCTCCTCTGGCAACATCCTCACAGACACACCCAGAAACAGTACTTTACCAGCCATCTAGGCATCCTTCAATCCAGTCAAGCCAACACCTGATATCAACTATCACACTAGGAAAATCAAATGGGATCATATTTGTGTATGTGCTTGTATGAAGAATTATGCTACTGTTCAGATAACAAGGCTGGGCACAGTGGCTCACGCCTGTAATCCCAACACTTTGGGAGGCCAAGGCAGTTGGATCATTTGAGGTCAGGAGTTCAAGACCAGCTTGGCCAACATGGTGAGACCCAGTCTCTACTAAAAATACAAAAATTAGCCAGGTGTGGTGGTGTGGTGGCACACGCCTGTAATCCCATCTACTCGGGGGGCTGAGGTAGGAGAATCACTTGAACCCAGGAGGTGAAGGTTGCAGTGAGCTGAGACTGCACCATTGCAACAAGCCTCCATCTCCAAAAAAAAAAAAAAAAGACAATGACCAATGTTAATTAAGTGCGCCTGTGACCTAGCTACTAGGTAATATGCTCTGGGCATATTGTTCCTGAAGCAGCCCTTGTGGGAGAGAAATACTCTTTTCATGCCCATTTCACAAGTGAGAAAACCAAGGCTTAGAAAGGTCAAGAGCCCCTACTTTTAAGCCCCTCATTAGAGATATACAAATTTTATTTATTTATTTATTTATTTTGAGACAGAGTCTCACTCTGCCACCCAGGCTGTAGTGCAATGGCATGATCTCGGCTCACCGCAACCTCTGCCTCCCGGGTTCAAGTGATTCTCCCACCTCAGCCTCCCCAGTAGCTGGGATTACAGATTCGGGCCACTATGCCTGGCTAACTTTTGTATTTTTAGTAGAGATGGGGTTTCACCGTGTTGGCCAGGCTGGTCTTGAACTCCTGAGCTCAAGTGATCCTCCCTCCTCAGCTTCCCAAAGTGCTGGGATTACACACATGAGCCACCACGCCCAGCCAATACACAGGATTCTAAGAATGTGCATTCTGAGTTTAGCAGGAACTGGCAGCATGTCCATCAGGGCCCCCAGTCATGCCAGGTGGGGGACCCCCTTGCCTGAGGCTCCTCAGTCTGTAAACACACTTGGAATTTTCCAAGAACAAGATATCAGTGTCTTCTCCACACCAACGAGCTCTGCATGCTCTGGGCACAATTGTTTCTGGGGAAGGGTGGGAAAGGAAGGGTCTACCAGCTTGAAGTTTACCTGAGGAAGATATCTGGTGTTTTCCCATCCCTCCAGCATTCATCCTTCATCTTCCAGTAACTGAACTCTCATTTTCTTGGGAAATTGCTTCTTCCCTATTCTCATGCTGTTCTGGACAGGCCAGTTCCACCCCTCCTAGCAGAGGTGGGAATTTAACCCAGCTAATTAGAACCCTCCACCATCTTGGCCATGGCGACTGTTTCAAGGACAGATGTGACATCCAGACAGAGCCAGCTCTGTAGGTGAGCTGCTGTGGAGACTCCCATCCCTCCAAGGTTGAGGAGAGGATGTTATATAAGCTTAGGGTTGGCAGCCATCTCTGCCACCAGCAGCTGCCTGCAGATGACGCCAACAGAGGAAAGTGGAGAGTGTGAGGCTGGGTCCATAAGACTGTGTTGGATCCTGTTATTTCTCTGCTCTCCTAGTGACTCATGGAAAACACAGTGTGTCCTTTCCCAACAAACCACAAGTTGGTTCTCCAAAGGCCACCAGGCCACAATAATGTTTTAGCTCACCCTCGTGAGGCAGAGGGTATGGTTCTGTAGATTGAAGATATACATGTAAAACAACAGATCGCCATCATTTGGGGCACCATAAAAATATAAATGTAAATAGATGGCTTGGGAGTGAGTTGATTGTCATTATAAGAATTATTGGCCGGGCGTGGTGGCTCAGGCTTGTAATCCCAGCACTTTGGGAGGCTGAGGCGGGTGGATCACCTGAGGTCAGGAGTTCAAGACTAGCCAGGCCAACATGGTGAAAACCCCATCTCTACTAAAAATACAAAAATTAGCCGGGCATGGTGGCGCATGCCTGTAATCCTAGCTACTTGGGAGGCTGAGGTGGGAGAATTGCTTGAACCTGGGAGGCGGAGGTTGCAGTGAGCCAAGATCGCTCCATTGCACTCCAGCCTGGGCAACAGAGCAAGACTCCATCTCAAACAAAGAAAAAAAAAAAAAAAGAATTATTAGCCGGGCGCAGTGGCTCACACCTGTAATCCTAGCACTTTGGGAGACTGAGGCGGGTGGATCACAAAGTCAGGAGTTCAAGATCATCCTGGCCAACATGGTGAAACCCTGTCTCTACTAAAAATACAAAAATTAGCTGGGCGTCATGGCATATACCTCTAATCTCAGCTACTCGGGAGGCTGAGGCAGGAGAATCACCTGAACCCAGGAGGCGGAGGTTGTGGTGAGCCGAGATTGCGCCACTGCACTCCAGCCTGGGAGACACAGGGAGACTCCATCTCAAAAAAAAAAAAAAGAAGAAAAGAATTATTTAAGATGTAGGGCTCCAGGTGGACAAACTCAAGTGTGTGGATAATGTCACATGATTTTGTTTTCTTCACTTTGACTCCAAGGCTCTATCCCGTTGTGGTGGGCTTGCCATGCAGCCACCTTCTTCCCTCTCCACTTTGGATTCTGTTCCCAAGGAGGGGAATGGGGGTCCTCACTGCTCTCTGGATCCCAAGCCTCTGTCCTCCTCCCTAGCTTGAGCAACCTCCTTCTGTCCTTCCATGGTCCTGTGTCCACACACCTCTCTTCCCCACTCATGAATTTAGCTTGCTTTGAAGACTGCAAGAGAAGCGCCTTCAAAAGACCCTGCTCTCTCCACACAGACCCCCAAAGACAAGAAAGCATGAAGAACAGCTACCTGATTGGTGCCGATGGAGGAAAACTTACTACTAGAACAAAACACAAATTAATATTTCAATAGTTTTCCTGCCACAAGGTTTCCTCAACAATTAACTCATCTTTACTGCCTTTCAACCATGTGTATGGCTATATGTCTGTTTGAGGAGTATTTACTAGTCTATGGTAAATGTTAACATGGAACCCCCAAATGAGAAAATTATTCTCTCTTTAATTCTCTGTTGATAGTTCTGATTCGATTCAGGGGAAAGTCTTAGTTTGATGTGAATACGGTTGTTTTTTGTGATTTATTTATTTATTTATTTATTTATTGAGACAGGGCCTTGCTCTGTCACCCAGGCTGAAAGGCAGTGGCATGAGCACGGCTCACTACAGTCTCAAGCTTCTGGGCTCAAGTGACCCTCCTGCCTCAGCCTCCCAAGTAGCTGGGACCACAGGTGCATGCCACCACGCCTGGCTAATTTTTGTATTTTTAGTAGAGACAGGGTTTCACCATGTTGCCCAGGCTGGTCTTGAACTCCTGAGCTCAAGCAATCCATCCACCCCTACCTCCTGAAATGTTGGGATTACAGGCATAAGTCATTGCGCCCAGCTGTGAATAGGTCTTTAACACCTTCCTAACACTGGCTAAACTCCCTTTAAAGAGCAATCCAATCTCGGACTTTGATCCTCTGGCAAGTAAGCAATGAGTAACTGGCTAAAATTTAATAACATTATTTTGTTGGTCTATATCTATGCATTTTCAGCTTCCCCTCTATTCATGGCAAGTGATTTTGGCTTCCTATCTCCAGTAGCGATATAGAATTCCTCCTTAAATACATTTATTTAATGAAAAGTTAAGTGTAAATAGATTGTCTAAGAAGCAGATGCCAAGAAGGGATTAAACATGCAAGAAATGTACTAGGGGGAATGTCTGTGAGAGAAATGAGGAGGGAGCCAGAAGAAGGTTTTGTGAGTGGTCAGACTGGGATTCAGAGCTGACCCCAGGGAGCAGCGAAGAGCAGGAAGGAAGGGAGTCTGGGTGGCAGCATCTTAGTCTGCAGGGCAGTTCTAAGACAGGTTCAGCAAGGCCTTTGAGGAGTCCTCAGCCGGCCATCTGTCAGAGGATCCCATAATGGGCCTACCTTACTACCCTACTGTGCTCAGGCACTGGCTGGAGCAGCCCATGGAAAGCACAGCCTCACCCCCAATGCAGTGAGGCAGTTCAGAGTGCAATGGCCAAGGCCCTGAGTCCATTGCATTTCCTGCAGTCAGAGATGTGAGTGGCACATTCTCACAGCCACCATGTGGTAGAATGGGAGTTACATCCACGGAGCTAAAATCCTACAGATGGTGTCAGAAAAAGGATTTGGGGGCAACACTCCTGTAAAGGAAGACGGCTTTTTCTGTGAGAGAGGCTGATCCTCTTCCGCCTTGCTCACTCCCACTGTGGTAGGCTGAAAAATGCATTCTCTCCTGGCACAAGATATCCATTCACTGATTCCTGGAAACTGTGAATATTACCTTATTTGGAACAAGGGTCTTTGCAGATGTCATTGGATTAAGGATTTTGAGATGAGGAGATTATCCTGGATCATCTGGGAGGGGATGCCCTAAATGCCAATATAAATATCCTTATAAGAGAGAGACCAGGTATATCTATACAATGGAATACTATTTAGCAATTAAAAAGAACAAAATTCTGTCATTTGTGGCAACTTAGTAAGCTTGGAGGACATTATGTTAAGTGAAATAAGCCAGGCTGGGTGTGGTGGCTCACACCTGTAATCCCAGCACTTTTAGAGGCTGAGGCTGGCAGATCACCTGAGGGCGGGAGTTCAAGACCAGCCTGGCCAATGTGGTGAAACCCTGTCTCTACTAAAAATACAAAAATTAGCCGGGCATGGTGGTGGGCGCCTGTAATCCCAGCTACTCAGGAGGCTGAGTCAGAAGAATTGCTTGAACCCGGGAGGTGGAGGTTGCAGTGAGCCGAGACTGTGCCATCACACTCCAGTCTGGGCGACAAGAGTGAAACTGTGTCTCAAAAAAAAGCAAAATAATCCAGGCACCGAAAGATAAATACTCCATGTTCTCACTCATGTGTGGAGGCTTAAAAAGTTGATCTCCTAGAAGTAGAGAGTAGATCAATAGCTACTAGATGCTGGGAAGCAGAGGAGGGGGGAGATGACTAGAGGCTGGTTGCTGAATACAAAACTACAGCTAGATAAGAGTTCTACAGCACTATAGAGTGACTATAATAAACAATAATTTATTGTATATTTTCAAATAGCTAGAAAAGTGGATTTTAAATGTTCCCAATATAGAGACATGATAAATGAGATGACGAACATGCCAATTACCTGATACGAGCATTACACATTATATACTGTATTGAAACATCACATTAGGTGGGTGCGGTGGCTCACGCCTGTAATCACAACATTTTAGGAGGCCAAGGCAGGAGGATTGCTTGAGCCCAGGAGTTTGAGACCAGCCTGGGCAAGATGGCGAAACCCCATCTCTACCAAAAATACAAAAATTATCAGGGCATGGTGGTGTGCACCTGTAGTACTAGCTACTTGGGAGGCTGAGGTGTAATAATGAGAGGCTTATAATGAGGGGAAAATACCTCCTATTGTTTAAGCCAGTGCCGCTTCTTGCAGCCAAATGAGTATCTAACACATTCATATTTTGATAAACTCTGATCTAAAGGATGTTGGCAGAGAGAGCGAGCGAGTGAAAGAGAGGAGAGAGCTGGGCACAGTGGTTCACGCCTGTAATCCCAGCACTTTGGGAGGCCGAGGCGGGTGGATCACGAGGTCAGGAGATCGAGACCATCCTGGCTAACACAGTGAAACCCCGTCTCTACTAAAAATATTAAAAAAATTAGCTGGGCGTGGTGGCGGGCGCCTGTAGCCCCAATTACTTGGGAGGCTGAGGCAGGAGAATAGCGTGAACCCAGGAAGCAGAGCTTGCAGTGAGACGAGATTGTGCCACCGCACTCCAGCCTGGGTGACAGAGTGAGACTCCATCTCAAAAAAAAAAAAAAAAAGAAAGAAAGAGAGGAGAGAGAGAGAGAGAGGTTTTTACAATAGAAGATGGGGTTTATTTCAAGGCTGAACGACTTTGAGACTTTTTCCCTGGTACTTCACTGTCCCCTCCTTTTGAACTTTGGCAGTTTCTGTGACAGCTTTGACCAATTGAATATAGTAAAAGGGATGCTGTGCCACGTTGTGGTCTATAAAAAATCAGAAGTTTCTGCCTCCTGTCTCCCTGAGTGCTCACTCTGGGGGAAGCCAGTTGTCATATAAGAGGTCAGAGTATCCTGAAAGGAAGCGCAAGCCAGCTGCAGGGAGAGGTCTCATGGAGACAGTGACACCTGACCAGCTCTAGCTGCTCCAGCCACCCTAGTCTAGGGCCGGGGATGTAAGTGAAGATGACATAAACCTCTGGCACCATCTGCCTGTAACTGCATGAGGCAAGTGACAGCTGCCCAGCTGAGACCACTCACCCCTGGAACCATGAAAGATCATCATAAATAGTGTTTTAGGCCCATAAGTTTTGGGGTAGATTGTTATACAGGAATCGATACTCAGGACAGAGAAACACAGTTATTATCATCATTTTACAAATGGGAAGATGGAGGCTTAGAGAGGCTCTCCAATAAGAACATCAAGCCAGAGTGTGGCCAGCTGACATGTGAGTCCTATGCTGTCCAATTCCAGCTGTCCTGGTTTGGAGAGCGTTTGGAAAGGAAGGTGTAGTGAGGGAGTTGAGATTAGAAAAGGGTCCCCTGGGCCGGGCGCGGTGGCTTATGCCTGTAATCCCAGTACTTGGGGAGGCCAAGGTGGGTGGACCATCCGAGGTCAGGAGTTCAAGACCAGCCTGACTAACATGGGGAAACCCTGTGTCTACAAAAATACAAAAATTAGCCAGGCATGATTGCAGGTGCCGGAGGCTGAGGCACAAAAATCGTTTGAACCTGGGAGGCGAAGGGTGCAGTGAGCTGAGATTGCGCCATTGCATTCCAGCCTGGGTGACAGAGCAAGACTCTGTCTCAAAAAAGAAAAAGAAAAGTGTCCCCTGGCTTAGAGGTTCTGGAGACCTTAGTTCTGGTGGAGGCACTCAAGGCTGCAGTGGCTAAAGCCACGAATGGAAGGTAAGGACATGAAGAAGTGGCAGAGATCATTCCTTCAAGAAGGTTGGTTGTGAAAGGAAGGAGCGAGGCAGGCTACCATCTGGATATAGTATCTAGTGTAGGAAGTGTTATTTCTATTTAACCTTTTTATTATGAAAAATTTCAAATAAACATAAAGTAGAATAGTATAATGAAGCCCCAGGTACCCATCCACCAGCTATGATAATCAGCAAATAACTCCATCCATTGGGATTTCATCCTGAAGTATATCCCAGGTGCATAACTTTATCTGTTACTATTTCAGTTTGTATTCTAAAAATATATAGCCACAGTATGATTATTGTTGATGTGTGTCATGAATCTCTTTTAGGTTCCTCCTCCATCTCTATTTTTCCCTTGCAACTTATTTGTTGAAGAAAGCAGGTTGTTCAAGACCAGTCTGGCCAACAAGGTGAAACCCTGTCTCTACTAAAAATACAAAAAACATTAGCTGGGCATGGTGGTATGAGCCTGTAATCCCAGCTACTCAGGAGGCTGAGGCAGGAGAATCCCTTGAACCTGGGAGGCCAAGGTTGCAGTGGGCCGAGGTCGCGCCACTGCACTCCAGCCTGGGCAACAGAGTGAGACTCCATCCAAAAAAGGAAGGAAAGGAAAGGGAAGGGGAGGGGAGGGGAGGGGAGGGGAGGGGAGGGGAGGGGAGGGCAGGGAAGGGAAGGAAGGAAGGAACAAAGAAAGCAGGTTGTTTTTTCAGAAGAATTTTCCAGTCTGGATTTTACTGATTCTATACCTCAGATGCTAACATATTCCTTAGTCCCTTGTGTTTTCCAAAATTGACTTTTTTTTTTTTTTTTTTGAGATGGAGTCTCACTCTTGTTGCCCAGGCTGGAGTGCAATGGCGTGATCTCGGCTCACCGCAACCTCCGCCTCCCGGGTTCAAGCGATTCTCCTGCCTCAGCTTCCAGAGTAGCTGGGATTACAGGCACGCACTGACATGCCGGCTAATTTTTGTATTTTTCTAGAGACAGGGTTTCTCCATGTTGGTCAGTTTGCTCTCAAACTCCCAACCTCAGGTGATCTGCCCACCTTGGCCTCCCAAAGTACTGGGATTACAGGCGTGAGCCACCACACCTGGCCAGAATTTATAGATTGTTGATCCTCTAATTCTATCATTCCTTCTTCACTAGCTGGAATACTTGCATAAAAAGAAACTTCCCCCTTATCAACAATTTAATCCCTGAGATAGAGTTTATAGAAAAAGTGAAGATAAAAGTAAGATAATCTTACATGAGATAGATCCCTTGCAACTTCACTGTTCTTTCCTAGTGTAGGTTTCCCAGCCCAGCATTATAATCTCTCCTTCCCCAATACCCTTGCTGCTCTGGGCCTCTCTACTTTTGTCCTGCTTGTCTGGAAAAACCTCACCCTGAGGGCCTATATCTCTCACCTTCTCTGGGCCTGCTACAGAACTGGTGAGCACTGCTGGAAGAAAATTGCAAAGCATGGCTGGCTGGTTTCAAGGACCTCTAGCACGCACCCAACACAGCTCCTGGGCCAACTGTGTGCTCTGTGAGACCATAGCTGCTTGAGACGCAACTAGTGAGACCAAGCAACTACATTTCCATTCTTATTTAATTTTAATTAACTTAAATATAAGCAGCCCCGTGTGACTAACGCAGGTTATGGAACATTTTCATGATTCCAGAAAGTTCTGTTACACTAGGTTAGGAAACTTGACTTCCCACTCCCCAAGAGAACCAGTTCATAGCCTTTCCCCCTTGCCTTAAATCTCCCCAACCATTTTCTCCACTCTCCCTTCATTCTTCCTTGAGAATAAAGAATATGAAAGCTTCCAGGTGAGCTCTCCATTCTTTACTGAGAATGTAGAAGCTCCTAATGGAAGCTGGCCCAGTCTCCAACCTCAACTCCTCTAAACCTGTAACATTTGCCACTGTGGAGGAATGTCCATCCTCTTATGGAAGCCAAAGCCTTTATGATGATGCAAGCCCAGGTCCCTTTTGAATTATCAAGGACTCTGTCCCTTCACTTATCCCCTTCCGCCCTGCATCATTCATCTCCCCTACTCTACTGGAACGCTTCCATCAGCAAACAGATGTTCTGTCTTTCATCTTAAAAAATCCTACTGTATCCCCACTCCCTTCTACTTCTCTGGTCCCCATTCATAAATAAACATGTTGAAAGTGTCACTCTGTCAGTGCTTCTCAATATGTGGTCCTCAGGCTCTTAGCATCAGCATCACTTGGGAATTAGTCAAAAATTCAAATTCCTGGGTACCACCCCAGACTCACTGAGTCAGAAACTCTGGGCCCAGAAATCTGGGCTTTACAAGCTCAACAGGTGATTCTGATAATTGTTTGAGAACCTCAATATGTTCTACAATATGTGCCATGCTTTTCACTTTCTCCTTTATTCTTCCTTCCATGGAACTCCTTCCCCCTTTGATTTTCATCCTCAACTCTTCCTCATAGCTTGGCTCTGGCCTTTTCATCTTCTCTATCTTTATTCTGTCCCAAGGAGCTCTTACCCATTTCTTAGTGTTAAATCCCATGAATTCAAAGTCATAAATGCAACCCAAAATTTTCTTAGAGTTCCAGATTCTTACGGATCCAGTTGTTGGTATCTTCATCTGAATGTCTTACAAACATCCCAGTAAGTCTGAAAAGGCCTGGACGTTTCCCCTCAATCTCTCCTTCCCCATGTTCCTGCCCCAGGCTTCCCCATTTCAATAAGTAGCATTCATTCAGCAGCTGCAGCAAGAAACCTCCGAGTCACGCTTGATCCTTCCTTTCTCTCACCACCCCTCCACACTCTGTCAACTCTAACCACGCCAGCCCACCCTGCCTTCACTCCGATGCCACCATCCTAGTCTCCACCCTCCCGCATTGCTTGTCTCCCAGCTGGTCTCCTCACTCCTGCCTTGTGCCTTCCAATCCATTCTCTCCATAGTAAGAAAGGGGAACTTCTGGAAAGCTAGAATAAATCATGCTATTTAAAAATTCTTCAACAACTTTCCACCATGAGTAGAAAAGAATCCAGACTCCTGCCCCAGCCCACAAGGTCCTGCTGATCAGGCCTCTGCCTCCCTATCTGAGCCTGTCTCCTTCCGACCACTCCCTGGCCTCCCTTGATCCATCCACACTGACCTCCTTCCCTTCTTCCAACAACCCGTGTTTCTTCTTACCTCGGCGCCTTGCTTATCAATGGTCTCCCCACTCTCCTTTGTCATCCTTCAGGTCTTGGATCAAATGTCATGCTGCAGAGTTCTTTCCACCCTCTTGAAAAATGTCAGGCCTCAGCCTGGTGTGGAAGGGAAAGGAAGGTGGAAGAAGCAGCAACTCTGGCCACCTGTCTCTGACATCATTGATCTCCATAGAAGGGCACGAGGAAAGATGAAGAGTACGTGGTTAGGAGATGGATTCTCTCCCTGTCCCTCAGAGAAGAAAAGAGTCACAGTCTTTTTCTGGAAGAGTTGTGTGGGGATTTCGCCCCTGTGCATGGAAGAAGGCCTGAGACAGCCCTAGGACGATATTTTCTCTTTAAGTCCTGAGCCCACTGAATGGGTGTGCTTCTTTTTGTATACTCAATACCTGCTGGGGGAAACACGTCTCCTCCAAGCCCAGGCTATGTGTTTTCCAACCTTCAACTGCAGAAGTGGGTCAGTGACCTACGCCAGGCCAAAACATCTCAGACATGAGAATGGCTCAGGGATTCACATGTGACCCGAAGTAGCCCCATGAGAATCAAGCCTATGACTTTTGCTAGATTCACGATAAACATGAGTTCTCTTTTTTCCTTTTCTTTTTTCTTTTTCTTTTCTTTTTTTTTTTTCTTTGAGATGGAGTCTCACTTTGTTGCCCAGGCTGGAGTGCAGTGGCATGATCTTGGCTCACTGCAACCTCCGCCTCCTGGGTTCAAGTGATTCTCCTGCCTCAGTCTCCTGAGTAGTTGGAATTACAGGTGTGTGCCACCATGCCTGACTATTTTTTTATATTTTTAGTAGAGATAGGGTTTCATCATGTTGGGAGGCTGGTCTCGAACTCCTAGCCTCAAGTGATCTGCCCACCTCGGCCTCCCAAAGTGCTGAAATTACAGGCATGAGCCACGGCGCCTGGCCTGAGTTCTCTTTGAGCTGCAGTTAATAAACTAGCAGAATGTGAGCTGGAATCTGCAGCAGATTATTTTTGTCTCTGCATGGAAAAAAAAATGGTAAAAAGGAAGCCAACTCAGAGGCGAGCAAGGCAGCTTTTCTTTGTGGAATGACTTGGGGACCCAGACTACTTCCCTTGTGTGGCTCTGCCATCTTTAGGACCTTGGTTCCCTTTGGCTCTAGCAAGCAGCAGAAGAACAAAAATGAGGATTCTCCATCCACTTTAAAAATTCCAGCCTAGAAGTGATACATGTCACTTCTATTCTCATTCTATTGCAAAGCATTAGCCATCTGGCCACACATAGATACAAGGAGGGCGGGAAATGGAGTCCCTGCATGGGAATCCATCTTTAAGAGACAGCTCCATGCTATGGAATGAGCAGCACAAATTTTTGGAGAAGCACCAGTCATCTCTGACACCTGCAGGGATAATAAAGGGACAGGAAATATGGCTGGGAAGATAGGGTAGGCAAGGTTTTGAAAGCCCTGAACATACAAAATTATTCGGACTTCATTCTATGAGCAATAAAAAGCCATGAAAAGCTTTGAGCAGGAGGGTAGATGATCACATCTACAATAGAAAGATAATTCTGAAACAGGGTAAAAGATGAAACAAGGGCCGGGCGCAGTGGCTCACACCTGTAATCCCAGCACTTTTGGAGGCCGATGCGGGTGGATCTCCTGAGGTCAGGAGTTTAAGACCAGCCTGCTCAACATGGTGAAACACCGTCTCTGCTAAAAATACAAAAATTAGCTGGGTGTGGTGGCGCATGCCTGTAGTCCCAACTACTTAGGAGGCTGAGGCAGGAGAATCGCTTGAACCTGGGAGGTGGAGTTTGCAGTGAGCCGAGATCGCACCACTTCACTCCAGTCTGGGCGACAGAGTGAGACTCTGTCTCAAAAAATAAAAATAATAAAAATAATAGAAAACAAAAGAAAAGAAACAAGGTTGCCATGGTTTAAATGTGGTGTCCTGGTGTCCCCTCCAAATTTCATGTTGAGACATAATGCCCATTGTGGTGGGATTAAGAGGTGGGCATTTTGGGAGATGATTAAGTCATTAAGTCATGAGAGCTCCACTGTTATGAATGGATTAATCCCTTTATAAACAAGGGTTCGGAGAGAGTTTACCCCTCTATTCCACCCGGTGAGGATGAAGCAACAAGACACCATCTTGGAAGTAAAGAGCAGCCCCCACTGGACACCAGTGCTGACCCAGACCTTGGACTCCCAAGCCTCCAGAACCAAAATAAATAAATTTCTGTTCTTTTAAAATTACCTAGTCTTTGGCATTTTGTTACAGCAGCATGAATGACTAAGACAAAGGTGTATTGGCTACATCTAGTAGAGCCTCTTCAGATTCTCTTGATATGTGGACCCCAAGCTGCTGGTTTCAACCCAGCAGCTGCCATGCCTCTTGTCTTCATTATGTCCTTTCTTCAACTTTCTTTGGGTTTTAGCTGGTATTCTTTTTACAGTTTCTTTTCTTTTCCTTTTTTTTTTTTTTTTTTTTTTAAGAGGCAGGGTCTTGCTCTGTTGCTCAGGCTAGAGTGCGGTGACACCGTCATAGGTCACTGCAGCCTGTAACTCCTGGGCTCGAGCACCTCAGCCTCCTGAATAGCTAGGACTATAGGCATGCACCACTTCGCCTGGGTATTTTTTTTTTTTTTTTTTTTTGAGATAGGGTCTCGTTCTGTCACCCAGGCTGGAGTGCAGTGATGCGATCTCGGCTTACTGCAACCCCCGCCTCCTGGGTTCAAGAGACTTTCCTGCCTTAGCCTCCCGAGTAGCTGGGATTACAGGCGCCCACCACGAGGCCCAGCTAATTTTTGTATTCTTAGTAGAGACGGGATTTCACCATGTTGGCTAGGCAGGTCTCAAACTCCTGACCTCAGGTGATCTGCCTGCCTCGGCCTCCCAAAGTGCTGGGATTACAGGTGTGAGCCACCATGCCTGGCCTGTTAATGTTTTTGAAAAAATTTTTGTAGTGATGGGATCTCACTATGTTGCCAAGGCTGGTCTCGAACTTGACCTCAAATGATCCTGCTGCCTCAGCCTCCTCAAATGCTGGGATTACAGGCATGAGCCACCATGCCTGGCCTATAGCTTCTGGAGATAGAACCATTTCTTCTTTTCTAATATATTTATTAAGCTTTAAATTTCCCTGTAAGTACTGTGTTAGCTATATTCCACACATTATGCTATGTCATATCTTCCTTGTCATTCAGTTTTCATTTCCATTGTGAATCTTTCCTTGGCTCACGAGTTATTTAGGTATGTTTTGCTATTTTTGTATTCTGTCTCTATCAACAAACAAATAAAGCAGAGGAAAATAAAACACTTAGGAAAAAAATCTATTGAGTGATTTCCAACGATAACATATGGAAGGATTTAGGAATATAGCAATTTCTATTATTGTCCATGAGAGCTAACTAAAAGGTGCTAATTACATAATGGAGACAATTTTAAAGAACCAAAACTGCCTAGCTATAATTGAGTATCTTTCCCACTAGCCCATAACTATGAACCATGATGGCTTAATACAATCTCATACTTACCTTTGGTCTAATAACACCTCTTTACTCACACTAATTTTCTTTTTCAATTTAGATAAATCATTTGAGAGTCCATATACAGTTTTGACTTTGGAGTTTCATGACTTCAAGACAGCTTATTAAAAAAGCCCTCGCAAGGAACTTGTAGTAAACTTTTGTTGTGTTAACTGCGCTCTGTGGTTCCCCCTAGCATCTTCTGGAGAAGTCAGAGCCTGTGCCCCGCAAGGCTGTGCTTTAGCTGAGCCCATTAACAATGGGAGGGGCCAAAGAAGTAGGGCTTGCTCAACTCGGATGGAAAGCTAGGCTGATGGTGAAGGTGGGGGGCCACCATTGACCCAGTTTCCAGGAGGCAGGTGCTGACCTAGCGGTCCACTACATGGTGGAAGCCCAAGGAAGGCCAGAATACTTCTAGAATCACTGGCTGTGGCTCGGAGGGGACCTGGGAATACACATCTGAGTCAAGTCGGGAAGGTATGTAAGTTGAATGCAATACAGCATATTTTATAGTATAAAATTAAAATTTGCAAAGATAATTTTATTGCTAGCATTAGATGATAGAGGAAAGGAAAGGAAGAAAAGCATACTAATTTTACCATTGTTCATAGCAGGAAGCGAACATCTAATCTAATGTCTAAAGGAATCGAGAATTGAGTCTAAGTATATTGCATACATTTACATATATTCACCAGAACAAAAATACAACATTCCTAAAGATCAGAAGACATGAGTGAGAAAAGACAACTAACTTTCCTATGCAGAAGAAATCCAAAATATTATGTAGATACTCTGCTTCTATTAGATTTGTATTGCTGCTGTAACAAATTACCACAAATGTCATGGCTGAACACAATACAAACTTCCTGTCTTACAGTTCTGGAGTCAGAGGTCTGACAAGCGCCTCAGTGGGATAAAATCCAAGGGTCAGCAGGCTGTATTCCTCTCTGCAGGCTCTAAGGGAGGATCTATGCCCTTCTCTTTTCCAGATTTTAGAGGCTGCCCACTTTCCTCAGCCCACGGTCCCTTCCATCTTCAAAGTCAGCAATGGCAAGCTGAATTCTCGTGTCCATCACTCCAACCTCCTCTTCTGCCTCTCTCTCCCACCATTTTTTTTTTTTTTTTTTTGAGACGGAATCTCACTCTGTCGCCCAGGTTGGAGTTCAGTGGCACAATCTTGGCTCACTGCAACCTCCGCCTCCCGGATTCAAGCAATTCTCCCTGCCTCAGCCTCCCGAGTAGCTGGGATTACAGGTGCCCACCACCACGCGCGGCTAATTTTTGTATTTTTAGTAGGGAGGGGGTTTCACCATGTTGTCTAGGCTGGTCTTGAACTCCTGACCTCAGGTGATCCGCCCACCTAGGTCTCCCAAAGTGCTAGGATTACACGCATGAGCCACTGAGCCCTGTTTTTTTTTTTTTCTTCCTTCCCTCCCTCCCTCTCTCCCTTCCTTCCTTCCTTCCTTCCTCCCTCCTTCTCTCCTTCCCTCCTTCCTTCCTTCCTTCCTTTCTTTCTTTCTTTCTTTCTTCTTTCTTTCTTTTCTTTTTTCTTTCTCTCTCCTTTTTCCTTTCTCTCTCTCTCTCTCTCCCCCCCGCCTCTTTCTCTCTCTCTCTTTCTTTCTTTCTTTCTTTGGTCTTGCTCTGTTGCCCAGGCTGGGGTGTAGTGATGCAATCTTGGCTCACTGCAACCTCTGTCTCCTGGTTCAGGTGATTCTCCTGCCCCAGCCACCCAAGTAGCTGGGACTACAGGCGGGTGCCACCACCCCTGGCTGATTTTTGTATTTTTTTGTAGAGACGGGGTCTCGTCATGTTGCCCAGGCTGTCTTCCACTTTTAAGGATCCTTATGAACACATTCGGTCTGCCTGGATATTCCAGGATAATCTCCCTATTTTAAAAATCAGTTGATTAGCTGGGTGATGTGGCTCACACCTGTAATCTCAGCACTTTGGGAGGCCAAGGCGGGTGGATCACTTGAGGACAGGAGTTCGAGACCAGCCTGCCCAACATGGTGAAACCCTGTCTCTATTAAAAATACAAAAATTAGGCGGGCCTGGTGGCACGTGCATGTAATCCCAACTACTTGGGAGGTTGAGGCAGGAGAATCGATTGAACAGGAGGAGGAGGTTGTGGTGAGCTGAGATCACGCCATTGCACTCCAGCCTGGGCGACAAGAGCGAAACTTCATCTAAAAACAAACAGTCCAGGCGCGATGGCTCATGCCTGTAATCCCAACACTTTGGGAAGACTAGACGGGCAGATCACCTGAGGTTGGGAGTTTGAGACTAGCCTGGCCAACATGGAAAAACCCCATTTCTACTAAAAATACAAAAATTGGCCAGGCATAGTGGCTCACACCTGTAGTCCTAGCTACTCTGGAGGCGGAGGCCCGAGAATTGCTTGAACCTGGGAGGTGGAGGTTGCAGTCAGCTGAGATCACACCACTGCATTCCAGCCCAGGCAAGAGAGTGAGACTCGGTCTCAAACAAGCAAACAAACAAAAAACTCGATAAACTCCTTACACAAAGACACATCTAAAATAAAGTGAAAACAAAGTTTGAAAAATTACCTTTTTAGAATGACTTAGGAGGGGGAAGTAGGGGTGAAGAGAAGTTGGATATACGCACAAAAATATAATTTGATAGAAGGAATGAGTTCTAGTCCAATAGTACAGTAGGGAAATCGTAGTTAATAATTAGTGTATATCTCAAAATAGCTAGAAGATAATTGTAACATTCCCAACACAAAGAAAAGATCAACGTTTCAGGTAATGGATATCCTCGTTACCCTAACTTAATCATTACACATTGTATGCATGTATCAAAATATCACATGTACTCTCAAAATATGTGTAACTATGATATATCAATTTTAAAAAGACAGAAAAAAAGGATTTAGGTCCAGTTTACCAGTGAAATCCTTCAAGTGTCCAAGTTATTAAGGATCAGCTAATTATTATGTAGTGTATGTCTCTACTGTATAAAATAACAATAAAAAACTTTTCAAAGCATTTTTGTTTTGTGTGAGACAGG
Source organism: Homo sapiens (assembly GCF_000001405.40). Lineage (NCBI taxonomy): Eukaryota > Metazoa > Chordata > Mammalia > Primates > Hominidae > Homo > Homo sapiens. Next base: position 18,090,032 of record NC_000020.11, read on the forward strand.
GTCTCATTATTTTTTATTTTTATTTTTTGACTGTCCTAAATTGTTTATTAGGTATGAATTTTACAAACTTAAACTTTACTTATGTCAGTGGCAACAGTGGAGCTGGAGATTATCACATTTTCTCCAAGCTGCATGACGAGACCCACCAATAGTGTGGTGGAACTTAAGGCCCTTTCCAAGGCCATGGCTCTTTCGGCCTGCAGATGTCAGCCCACGTGTCTCCCTGGGCTTGTAGACTGATTGGTGATCCACTGGGTGTCAGGATTTCTTCTGACAGCTTAATGGAATGCATCAATGAGGATAACCTCAAAAAATTTGTATGTGAAATCTTCAACTCAGTAAGAATTCAGGACTCTTAGAGCCCCACAGTGGTGTCCAGCTTGCTCCTCTGCAATGGACTGAGGGTTCAAGCAAAGTTTAGCTGGTTAACACCATGATGTTCAGGCTTGCCGTAAGTTGCACCCTTAGGAACTGGGTGTTTTTGGCCATCACCGCACACATGAATCCTATATATAATGTAGCCTTGTAGTTCAGTCGGCGCACTTTATGGGGCCAAGTGGATTGGGGAGCCCTGTGGAGAGCAGAGGGCTGGCAGTACTGCCAGCAGCGGACCCTGAGAAGAAAGCGCATGAGATCAGACTGCTTCTCCCTCCATAGCTCCTGGATGTACTTGTATGCACCCACCGTGGCTTACCTGATGGCTACTGCCAGACAGAAAGGCGGGGTCTCACTCTTTTGCCCAAGCTGGAGTGCAGAGGCGTGATCATGGCTCACTGCAGCCTTGACCTCCTGGGCTCAAGCCTAAGTCTCCCGAGTAGCTGGGACTACAGGTGAGCACCACCATGCCTGGCTAATTTTTGTATTTTTTGTAGAGACAGGGTCTCACTATGTTGTACAGGCTGGTCTCAAACTCCTGGGCTCAAGCAATCTATTCACCTTAGCCTCCCCAAAGTGCTGGTATTATAGGCGTGAGCCACCACACCCAGCCAAAATATTTTCTGAAAGAAAACAAAATCAGAGGCCAGGCACGGTGGCTCATGCCTGTAATCCCAGCACTTTGGGAGGCCGAGGCGGGTGGATCACTTGAGGTCAGGAGTTCCAGACCAGTCTGGCCAACATGGCAAAACCCTGTCTCTACTAAAAATATAAAAATTAGCTGGGTGTGGTGGCATGCACCTGTAGTTGCAGCTACTCAGGAGGCTGAGGCAAGAGAATCGCTTGAACCCGGGAGGCGGAGGTTGCAGTGAGCCAAAATTGCACTACTGCACTCCAGCCCAGGTAACAGAGTACGATTCTGTCTGAAAGAAAGAAAGCAAGAAGGAAGGAAGGAAAGAAAGGAAGGAAGAAGAGAAGGAAAGAAAGAGAAAAAGAAAACAAAATCAGAAGAGCCAGACATCAAGAGCCAAGCAAATAGACCATAAAATACTTTTTAAAGTAAAATATATTTTTAAAAATATGGTTAATGCATCAAGAAAAAGAAATAAAGGTCTTCTTTTTAAAGTTACAAAGGTAACTAATAGAATTTAAGAATAAAATAATGGGAGAAATAGAGTAGATAAGTAGGGCATGTAAAGAGGTTAAATTGTCATACTCGTGTTGGGGAACTCATGGATGTTGTATATTTGTACATCAACAAATAAAAGAGTTGCCATTGCAGCCAAAATCTGTGGGGAATTTTGGTGCAGCGTCCAGCCACTCCACTCCCAGTGACAGCTCGGAGTTCTGTCTGGATATCTACCCTTTCCCAACCCTGTTCCACATGGTCTGGGTGGAGTTGTCTCAAATTCAGCTTATCTGTTCCTGCCCAATGAGTCAACCACGCCGTTTAAGAGCTTTAGCCTCTGGCCCAGGACTCTGTACCTGCAAAACCTTTCTTACTTTTGCAGGAGCCGTCCCTGTGAAATTGGGTATGTTTAATGTTAAGGGGAGCTCTGGGTACTGTTTTATTTCTGTGTTTATGGGCTTGATATTCTCCTTCATTTATCGGAAGAAGGAATGGCGTCTTTCCTAGATGGGCCAGAGAAGGCCCTAGTCCTTGCTATGGGAAAAGACTCCTGGTGGATGGGATGCGGGAAAGGAACAGGACATTTGTTGTCAGCACCCTGTGGCAGACACTGTCCATATGCCATGCACAACCCCGTGGCATGCACCCCTACACAATGACGGCTGCCTACTGCAAACACCTCCAAGTCCTCCTCTGCCGGAAGGTTCTCTCTCTCCCTCTCTCTACCCCTTCCTCCTCCCTGTCCCCACCCCCTTCCTTAAGAGCAAGCTAGGCTGGCAAATAGGGCAAGCTGAAAGTTCTGTATCAATGACAGATAAGGAGCTGTCGGGTTCGCACTGCAGCTTTCTCGCCCCTCTGTTGGGAGAACTCTGAAGCATCTTCTACACCGTCTCCCAAGCTCTCCAGGGGGAGTGGGCTCCGGGTGCCCGCAGAGATAACTTGCTTGATAACGCAGCTTTCTTTTTTCTTTTTTTTTTGAGACAGAGTCTCGCTCTGTCGCCCAGGCTGGAGGGCAGTGGCGCGATCTCGGCTCACTGCAAGCTCTGCCTCCGGGGCTCCCGCCATTCTCCTGCCTCAGCCTCCGGAGTAGCTGGGACTACAGGCGCCCGCCACCACGCCCAGCTAATATTTTGTATGTTTAGTAGAGACGGGGGTTTCATCCGTGGTAGCCAGGATGGTCTCGATCTCCTGACCTCGTGATCCTCCCGCCACAGCCTCCCAAAGTGCTGGGATTACAGGCGTGAGCCACAGCGCCCGGGGGATAACGCGGCTTTCTTTACTGGCTCTCTTCCTTTTCTTATCTTGCTTCCCTACTCCCTGAAATCATCTCTCAAACTACTTGCAATTAAATACTACAGAGTCTGGGAGACCTCTCATTAAGATTCATCCAGTCCCACTCTCTCAGTAAGGGCCGCTGGGTTCTGCTTTCCTTGACACACCCCTCGTTCACTTTCCCTCTGTGTGCTTCCAGTGGCTCCATCCCAACCCCAGGACAGGGCACATGGATCACACCTAGCCAATCAGCATTGATCTTTTACCAGCCACAGGGAATGGCTTAGGGGCAGCTTGTGACCGGTTCGAAGCCAATGAGGTGTGAGGAGTCTTTAGCGGGTAGAGAGGCCCGCCCTGCTCCCTGTGCACCTGGAAGAATGAAGCCTGGATCCGCCGCCATCACCTGCCAGCCTGTCTGAAAATGGAGCCAACAAGGAGGGCTGCTGGATGGAGTGAGAAACCAGGCCCTGTGGTAGTGTTTGAGCCCCTGAATCAAGCTGTGCTTCAAGCTAGAATTATCCCGAGAGTTTTCAGTGAAACGAGTCAGGAACTTCTCTATTAAACCCATTTTGAGTTGTGACTAAGATGCCTAATGGATACAAGACAGAGAAAGGGCCTTCTCCTGGGTCTCCCTTATGAGAAACAGAGAGAGAGGTGGTTGCTGCCTTGGCTCTGTGGCCGAGCAGGTGCAGTTCAGACAGACGTGGTGGGAAGTGATCTCTGCTTGCATAGGAGGGGAAACCCACCTGGGCTGCTCCCGTCCCTGGGGGGTGCCAGGCACTCCCAGCCCAGGGGATCAGGCCCAGGGGAAGGAGGGACTGGAGGTATGTTCAGCTGGGGCTCCCTGCAGGAACGCTGAAGCCAGAACGGAACAAACTGCGAACAGTGCCATACGAACACTGCACTCACTCTAAACCCAGGTGGGATTAAAAATCGGCAGATCTGGCCGGGCGCAGTGGCTCATGCCTGTAATCCCAGCACTTTGGGAAGCCGAGGCGGGCAGATCACATGAGGTCAGGAGTTTGAGACCAGCCTGGCCAGCATGGTGAAACCCCGTCTCTACTAAAAATACAAACACATGCCTGTAATTCCAGCTACTTGGGAGGGTGAGGTACGAGAATCTCTTGAGCCCTAGAGGCTGAGGTTGTAGTGAGCCGAGATGGCACCACTGCACTCCAGCCTGGGCAATAGAGTGAGACTCAGTGTATAAAAAAAAAATCGGCAAAAATCTGAACTCGAAACAGACAAATCGGGAATTACAGGAAAGCAATCTCTCTCCTGAAAGCGACTTTGGGGAAATTGGAAGCCCTTCCTACTCCACAGATCCACCAGTTGGCCCATGACAGTATTGGGACACAATCCTCTCCCTGCCCAACGAGGATTGCCCCAAATTAAAATGCCAATGCCTCCGCCCAAAGTGGCATTATTGGCTGTTAGTAGACTTTAATACTTACACAAGGGTTATTATAGAATTTCACAGAGCAGATTTTGCAGGGTGCAAGAAGTAAGGAACCCGGAGGGAGGGCTCAGCTACAGAGGATAAAGGATTCAGCACTGGTCACTCCCGTATGCTCAGAGTAGACGTTAAGACTGATAAGAGGCATGAGGGAGACTCAGAGGACATTCTTCTGCTCAAAGATAAGAAAACTGTTTTACCTGGCATTTACTTGTACTCTAAGCATATACCTGATTCTCTGAGTCCCACCTTAGGCCAAATCCGGCTAACCCATTCATTTACAGTTTGTCTTCTGGCTACTTTTGCACTACAATGGCAGAGCTAAGTAGTTGCCTCGGAGACTGTGCGGCCTGCAATCTCTAAAATATTTGCTCTCTGTCCCATTACAGAAAACGTTTGTTGACTCCTCTAAATCAGTGGTCCTCAAACTTGAGTGTGTTAGAATTCCCCCAAGGGTTTGTTTACACGGAAATTGCTGAGCTCCATCGCAGGGTCTCTGATTCATTAGGTCTCAGGTGGGAACTAAGAACAGTTGATCCTTGAACAACACAGGTTTGAACTGTGTGGATCCACATATATATATAGATTTCTTTTGCCTCTATCACCCTTGATACAGCAAGACCAAGCCCTTCTCTTCCTCCTCCTCCTTGGCCTACTCAATGTGAACATGGTGAGGATGAAGACGTTTGTGGTGATCCACTTCCACTTAATGAATAGTAAATGTATTTTCTCTTCCTTATGATTTTCTTAATAACATTTTGTTTTCTCTAGTTAACTTTATTGTAAGAATATAGTAATAATTTATATAACATACAAAATATGTGTTAATCAACTGTGTTATCTGTAAGGCTTCCAGTCAACAGTAGGGTATTAGTAGTTAAGTATTTGGGGAATCAAAAGTTAATGCAGGCCCGGCACGGTGGCCCATGCCTGTAATTTGAGCACTTTGGGAGGCCAAGGCAGGTATATCACTTGAGGTCAGGAGTTTGAGACCAGCCTGGCCAACATGGTGAAACCCTGTCTGTACTAAAAATACAAGGATTAGCCGGGTGTGGTGGTGCATGCTTGTAATCCTAGCTACTTGGGAGGCTGAGATGGGAGGATCGCTTGAACCCAGGAGGTGAAGGTTGCAGTGAGCCGAGATCGCACAACTGCACCCCAGCCTGGGCAACAGAGCGAGTCCCTGTCTCAAAAAAAAAAAAAAAAAAAAGTTAATTCAGATTTTGGACTGTGCAGGTGGTGGCACCCCAGCCCCTCCCTCGTTGTTCAAGAGTCAACTGAATGGCCATTTCTTTTTTGTTGGGAGTTGGGGAGTTCCGGTGAAGACAGGAAAACCTGTTAGACAAATTCTAAAAGAGCTGTAACCTTAATTTCCCTTTCTAACGAGCTCCCAGGTGCTGTTGCTGCTGCTGTCCTTGCCGTCTCCACATTGATGCACCTGAGAAAGGGCAAAAGCAAAATAGCCGGAAGTGGCTCAGGTCATTCACTCCTGCCTACTTCTCATTAGCCCAATATTAGAGGCTGGGAAATATAGCCACTGGTTAGGCAGCCATGTATCCAGGAAGATGGAAAATAGATTTGAGAGGACAACTGGGAGGACTAGAGTGCTGCATTATTTTCTAGGGACTTAAAACACACACACACACACACACACACACACACACACACACACACACACAAAGACTTAGTTCTCTCTCCTACTACATGTTCAGCTTAGGTAAGCTAGAGGCTAGAGGCTTGTTCCAGGTTGCTTTTGTCCTCACTTTACAACCCAGGTTGAAGGAGCAAGTGCTACATTTTTCAAATGTTGCTTTAAAAAATTTTGTATTGGCTGGGCGGGGTGGCTCACACCTGTTATCCCAGCACTTTGGGAGGCCGAGGCAGGCAGATCACATGAGGTCAGGGGTTCGAGACCAGCCTGGCCAACATGATAAAACCCTGTCTCTACTAAAAATACAAAAATTAGCTAGATGTGGTGGTGCACGCCTGTAATCCCAGCTACTTGGGAGGCTGAGGCAGGAGATCACTTGAATCCAGGAGGCAGAAGTTGCAGTGAGCCGAGATCACACCACTGCGCTACATGCCACTGCACTACAGCCTCGGCAACAAAGTGAGAGTCTATCTAAAGGAAAAAACAAAAAACAAAAACAAAAAAAACCTTTGTATTGAAATACAACATGTATACAGAAAAGTGCAGAAATCAAAAGTGTATAGCTCAGTGGCTTTCACAAAGTGAACACACCCATGTAACCAATGCACAGACAAGAAACAGAACATGACCAGTGCGCCAAAAGTCCCCTCACCCCCATCTAGTCACCATCTCACTTTCAAGGGTTGCTACTGTCAGAGGTGTGTAAACCAGAAAACTCCATCTTAAATAGGAGCTGGGTAAAATGAGGCTGAAACCTCCTGGGCTGCATTCCCAGACGGTTAAGGCATCCTAAGTCACAGGATGAGATAGGAGGTCAGCACAAAATACAGGTCATAAAGACCTTGCTGATAAAAAAGATTGCAGTAAAGGAGCCAGCCATAACCCACCAAAACCAAAATGGTGACAAGAGTGACCTCTGGCCATCCTCATTGCTACACTCCCACCAGCACCATGACAGTTTACAAATGCCATGGCAATGTCAGGAAGTTACCCTATATGATCTAAAAAGGGGAGGCATGAATAATCCACCCCTTGTTTACCAGATCATGAAGAACTAACCACAAAAATGGGCAACCAGCAGCCCTCAGGGCTGCCCTGTCTATGGAATAACCATTCTTTTATTCCTTTACTTTCTTAATAAACTTGCTTTCACTTTGCATTGCAGACTCTCCCTGAATTCTTTCTTGCATGAGATCTGAGAATCCTCTCCTGGGTCTGGATCACGACCTCTTTCCTATAGTACTACTGTTGGCCAGGTGCAGTGGCTCACACCTGTAATCTCAGCACTTTGGGAGACCAAGGCTGGAGGATCACTTGAGGCCAGGGGTTTGAGGTTACAGAGCTATGCTCTTGCCACTGCACTCCAGTCTGAGTGACACAGTGAGACCCTGTCTCAAAATATTAAAAAAATAATTTAAAAATTTAAAAAAAGGGTAACCATCATCATGCCACAGATGAGTTTTCCTGTTTTGAACTTTATATACTAAGCGTCGGTATACAAAGATGTGATGCACCCAGAACTTTCACCCACCGTATATTGTGCTGTACGGACTCTCCTGTAACTGATTCTTTCACTCAACAGTTTGTTTGTGAGTTTTATCTGTGTTGTTGCATGCAGCAAACATGCAACAAATTTCTATTGTGGTTTTTTTTTGCATTGCTGTGTAATATTCCATAAATAGATGATTTGTTTATCCACTCTACAGATGATGGACAGTATTTATTTCTAGTATTTGACTAGTACTAATAGTGTTTCTATGAACCTTTTAATAGATGTCTTTTGGTGAACATGTATTTGCATTTCTTTTGCAGATACGTGTTCCCAAGCCTTGTGGTGGCACTACTGGGTCATAGTGCTAGGGGAGGTATATGCTCAGCCTTAGTAGTTATTGCCAAACTGTTCTCTAAAATGTACCAATTCACAGGCTTATTAGCAATGTCTGAGAGTTCCAGTTGCTGCACATCCCTGCCAGCACTTAGAACTTCACGCACCGAATCTGATCCAGCTGGACTTTGCCGGAAAGCACATAGACAACTTTCATTTTGCAAAGCCACAGGCTGCCTGGAGAGACACACATGCAATGTGTGACGAGTACGACACCTCACCCAGTGCTCTGTCATTGGACCAGGGAGCTCAAATGAGCAACCCAACAGTACAGATATAAAATTTGGAGATTTTATATAAAAATCTGGCTATTTTGCTTCTGAAAAAAAAAAATGAAGGATCCAGCAATAGCGGGCCCAAGTTCCCGCATGACCATAAATGGCCAGAGTTGAGTGTTGGTATCTGCCAGTCCATCCACTGTCACCATTTCCCGATCCACTTCACTCATTGACCTTCGCTCCCAGACTGTAGTAGATAATTGAGTTTCCTGCGGTGGACTCCAGCCTTCCTTCAGCCCAGATCAAGACGCCCAACATAACCAAGCAAATATTTCCAATACATTTCTTATATCCTACCAAGGGTTGGTAGTGGAGATATTCTCATATCCAACCCTTGGTAGGATATGAGAAATGTGTTGGAAATATTTTCTCTGCCCCCAAGATATCTCCACTAGTACAACCTTTTCTTTGTATTAAGAATTGCTCTTGGCCGGGTGCAGTGGCTCACGCCTGTAATTCCAGCACTTTGGGAGGCTGAGGCAGTCAGATCACGAGGTCAGGAGATTGAGAACATCCTGACCAACATGGTGAAACCTCATCTCTACTAAAAATACAAAAATTAGCCGGGTGTGGTGGCGCATGCCTGTAGTCCCAGCTACTCTGGAGGCTGAGGCAGGAGAATCGCTTGAACCCAGGAGGGGGAGGTTGCAGTGAGCCGAGCCACGCCACTGCACTCCAGCCTGGGTGACAAGAGTGAAACTTCATCTCAAAAAAAAGAAAGGAAAGGAAAGAAAAGAATTGCTCTCTTCCTGCAGGCATATCTCAAGTAGAATAAAGAGTACTGGAAATGATGAGACAGTACATTGTTCTTTTGATGGTGAATATCTCCAATTTCAGATTTTCTTTTTTCCTGTGGAACACACCATCCCAAAACTCAGTGGCTTAAAACAACATTTTATTGGAACTTGATTTTGTGGGTCAGTAACTAGACCAGAGCACAGTGGGAATAGCTCATCTCTGTTCCATGATGTCTGGGGTCTCAGCTAGAATGGCTCAGATAGCCGAGGTCTGGCTGGAACAATTCAACTAGGGTATGTCTAGGCCTCACCCTTGGTGTTGCCTGGGTTCCTCAGTTCTCTCTACATGGCTTCTCCACGAGGTTATTATCTGGGGCTTCCTCACAGCGTGGTAGTCTCAGGGTAGTTCCCTGAGGCTGCCACACCTTTTTCAGGCATAGATCTGAAGCTGGCACATCATCATGTACACCGTATTTCATTATCAAAGCAAGTCACAACGTAAGCCCAGATTCAAGGTGAGCAAAGATAGCCTCCACTTCTCAGTGGAGAAAACTACAAGGAATTGGTGGCCATCTTTTTTTTTTTTTTTTTTCTTTGAGACGGAGTTTCACTCCTGTTTCCCAGGCTGGAGTGCAATGGCGTGATCTCGGCTCACTGTAACTTCCGCCTCCTGGGTTCAAGCGATTCTCCTGCCTCAGCCTCCCAAGTAGCTGGGATTATAGGTGTGCACCACCACCTGTGGCTAATTTTGTATTTTTTGTAGTGACAGGGTTTCCCCATGTTGGTAAGTCTGGTCTCGAACTCCAGATCTCAGGTGATGTCCCCACCTCAGCCTCCCAAAGTGCTGGGATTACAAGCATGAGCCACCACGCCCAGCCTTGGTGGCCATCTTTAATCTACCGCAGCTTCTCCACTTCCTGCCTCTCTTTCCTTTTATCCTCCCTGCCATGCTAGTTTTTTTGTTTGTTTGAGACGCAGTTTCATTCTTTTTGCCCAGGCTGGAGTACAATGGCCTGATCCCTGCTGATTGCAACCTCCGCCCACTCTGGGATCAAATGATTCTCCTGCCTCAGCCTACCAAGTAGCTGGGATTACAGACATGTGCTACCACGCCCGGCTAATTTTGTATTTTTAGTAGAGATGGGGTTTCACTATGTTGGTCAGGCTGGTCTTGAACTCCTGACCTCAGGTGATCCACTCACCTTGGCCTCCCAAAGTGCTGGAATTACAGGCATGAGCCACCTCACCTGGCTATGCTGTTTTCCAGAAACATGTATGGTATGTTCCAAGTACTATGCTAGTTAGTAGCACAGAGATAAAACATAGTTCTTGACCTCAAGAAGCTTACAATCTACTGGACAAAATAAATTGACAGCTACAATAAAGAGTGGAAAATGCATGTATACATGTGCACACAGGGCCTTTTAAAAGAGGCCAATATATTATCCATATTTGTAAACCCCACAACTGATTCAGATCCTAGGTCATGCCCTCTATAAACACAAATTGAACCAAGAATTAGTAAATGTTATTAATACCTGAGAATGAATGAGTTTATCTGGGCATTTCTTTTCTTTTTCTTTTCTTTTTTTTTTTTTTTTACACGGAGCCTCACTCTGTTGCCCAGGCTGGAGTGCAATGGCTCAATCTTGGCTCACTGCAACCTCTGCCCCCCAGATTCAAGCGATTCTCCTGCCTCAGCCTCCTCAGTAGCTGGGATTACAGGTGTGCACCACCATGCCCAGCTAATTTTTGTATTTTTAGTAGAAACAGAGTTTCACCATGTTGGCTGGGCTGGTCTCAAACTCCCAATCTCAGGTGATCTGCCCACCTCGGCATCCCAAAGTGCTGGGATTACAGGTATGAGCCATTGTGCCGGCCTGAGCATTTCTTATGAGGAGACAAAATTAGAAAGATGTCTTGAAAAATGTAAAGAAAATAGGCCAGGCGCTGTGGCTCACGCCTGTAATCCCAGCACTTTGGAGGCTGAGGCGGGCGATCACCTGAGGTTGGGAGTTTGAGACCAGCCTGACCAACATGGGAAAACCTTGTCTCTACTAAAAATACAAAATTAGCTGGGCGTTGTGGCGCATGCCTGTAATCCCAGCTACTTGGTAGGCTGAGGCAGGAGAATCGCTTGAACCCGGGAGGCGGAGGTTGCAGTGAGCCGAAGCCATGCCATTGCACTCCAGCCTGGGCAACAAGAGTAAAACTCTGTCTCAAAGAAAAAAGAAAGAAAAAGAAAAATTTAATGAAATTAACTGCCCAGTTATTAACTAGACTAGTGATAAAAATTACTAGTCAGGATTTAAAATTTTCTACTATTTGGCATAAAATATTAATTTATGCATGCTGAGTCATTGAAGCACCCCAAGAACCTGAACATTCTTAGGGGACACTCTTTGGAAATGGCTGGCGTGAGCATTTCAGAGGTCACTGGGCCTCAGAGCTGGGGGCCTGGGAAGAGGGAGAAACTAGGAGGGACTTACAGGGGTGGCAGGGGCTGGAAGGGCAAGGGGAGGATCGAGAGTGATTTCATTTATCTCATGCTTCTGCCTGGAAACCTGTAACTGAATTGGCACTTGTCATGGTGAGGCTATAGCTGTTTGCGGGAAAAAAACAAACAGTTGTTTGTTTAAGCTATTGCTTATCAGGTTTTCTGTTAGTTGCAGTCAAATGTTTTTCTAACTAGACAGCCTGTAGGTGGAAAGTGGGGCCTTTGGAGAAGGAGGATGGAGAAATGGATGCCGCAAAAGTGTCCTGGGCCAGGTTCCCTAGCAACAGAGCTGAAAACGGGGATGCTTGTGCAAAGGCTTTACTGGGAGAGTGCTCACAGGGAAGTGTTGTAAGGGAGTGAGGGAAGTAGGCTGGGCCCGGAGGAAAAGCCAGACAGGCATGTGGATTCAGGTGAAGTCCTGTCTCAGCCTCATCCCACAGGAGCTCTGAAGTATAAGTTGCAACATTGTGAACCTGTCTGCCTCGTGTGTGTGTTTGGGAGATGGGGGGTAGGATGAAAATTGTGTGGCAGCCCCAACTGCTGAGCAGCACTGGATAAAGCTGAAGGTGTGAGCCTTAGCAACCGCATCTGCAGCAGCTGGGGGCAGTAAAAGGAATCCCAGGGGTCCACGCAGGCACCAACAGCATCTGCTGCAGAGGATGGCTAATTCTTTGTATGATTTATGGCAAATCTTAAAAGGTAATTTATATGCACACACACAAAAATAGCTAAAATGTTACCTACACACTGACCAGAATACTTCCTAAATGGTGAAGAAGGCAGAGAGCAATCGGAACTCTTTTACGTTGCAGGCTCAACCACTTTGGAAGACGATTTGGCTGTACCTGCTAAAGTGAAACATATGAAGACCCTACGATCAAGCAATTCCACTCCCTTGACTATACCAGTAGAAGTCTGTCCATCAAAGACTTGTAGTAATGTCAGCAATAAAAAGGAATGTACAGACAGGCGCTGTGTAGTGACAGGGATAGGTTCTGATAAATAAGTATTTGTGTATATCTAAACATACCTAAACCAGAAAAGGTACAGGAAAAATAAGGTTTTATAATCTTATGGAACCACCGTCATATATATGATCTGTTGTTGACAGAGACGAACTTATGGTGGTGCATGCCTGTTGTGTTGGTGAATACCACAGGAATTATCTTGGTGAAGGAATCCAGTCTCCAACAGTTACATGCTATATGATTCCATCTATATGGCATTCTCAAGAAGACCAAAGCCATAGTAATGGAAGACAGATCAGTAGCTGTAAGGGACTGGGGAAAGGGGAGGGGATTGTGATTCTAAGGGGACAGTAGGTGAGAGTTTTTGGGGTGATAGAACCAACTATATCTTGATATTGTGGTAGTTACATAGATCTATACACATGTTGAAATCCATAGAATTGCACACCAAAAAGTCAAATGAACAAAAATAATTTAAAAAATATGTATAAGAATGTTCATAGAAGGTGTATTTATAACAGCCTAAACAGGTAGCCTCCCAAAAGTCCATTATGAGCAGAGCAGGCATGCAAATTGTGGTATGTTGGTTCACACTGGGAAACACTACCCAGCACTGGAAAAGAACAAACTACTGGAACATGCAATAGCGCGGATGAGTCTCAGATGTAATATTAAGTGAAAGAGGACAGACACAAAAGAGAGCACACTGTATGATTCCATCTGCATAATGTTCAAAATGGGCCAAATTGAGATGATACAGTCAGGACAGGACTGGAAGGGGACATAAAGGAGTCTTCTGGGGGTGCTAGAAATATATTGTGATCTGGGTGGCAGCTTCATGAAAGTATTCATTTGTTAAACTTCATCATGCTCTACACTTATTTTTTTATTATTATTATTATTAATTATTTGAGACAGAGCCTCGTTCTGTCGCCCAGGCTGGAATGCAGTGGCGAGATCTTGGCTCACTGCAATCTCCACCTCTCAGGCTCAAGCAATTCTCATGCCTCAGCCTCCTGAGTAGCTGGGATTACAGGCGTGCACCATCATGCTCAGCTAATTTTTAAATTTTTAGTAGAGATGGGGTTTTGCCTGTTGGCCAGGCTAATCTCAAACTCCTGGCCTCAAGTGATCCACTCGCCTCGGCCTCCCAAAGTGCTGGGATTACAGGCGTGATCCATTGCACCCAGCCATATACACTTAAGATTTGTACTTAAAAAAAAAAAAAAAAGATTTGTACTTTTGCTTTTAAAAATAGTACCTCAGTGTTTAAAAATGTAAATTATTTTCAACTGATTTATACCTGTCTGGGTGTTATAGGTGTTATGCGAGGGGCTAAAATTTATTGTTGATTGTTAGTTCTTTGACAGCTGACTCCTTATCTCAACTCAGCAAACACAGGGCACTGTGCTGGCTCCAGGGTCACCAGAGAACAAAGAAGCAGTCCCTACCCTTGATAAATATTTGCTTTCAATAACAAAGGGGATGATGATATTTGGAATCCATCAAATTCAGGATTATGTTTACTCCTGCTGGGTGAAAATGAAGCTATATGAGGACAAATAACCATTTTCCTCAAAAGGAGAACACTTTTTAAAAGTGCTTAAACTAGGCTGGGTGCTGTGGCTCATGCCTGTAATCCCAGCACTTTGGGAGGCTGAGGCGGGTGGATCACGTGAGGTCAGGAGTTCAAGACCAGCCTGGCCAATGTGTTATACCCTACCTCTACTAAAGATACAAAAATTAGCCAGGGGTGGTGGTGGGCATCTGTAATCCCAGTTACTTGGGAGGCTGAGGCAGGAGAATCGTTTGAACCTTGGAGGCAGAGGTTGCAGTGAGCCGAGATTGTGCCACTGCACTCCAACCTGGGCAACAGAGAGACTCTGTTTAAAAAAAAAAAAAAGTGCCTAAACTAGGCTGGGTGCAGTGGCTCATGCCTGTAATTCCAGCACTTTGGGAGGCTGAGGCAGGAGGATTGCTTGAGCCTAGGAGTTTGAAACCAGCCTGGGTAACATGGCAAAGCGCTGTCTCTACCAAAAATACGCAAATTAGCCAGGAGTGGTGCTATGCACCTGTGGTCCCAGCTACTCGGGAGGCTGAGGTAGGAGGATAGTTTGAGCCTGGGAGGCAGAGGTTGCAGAGAGCTGAGATGGCACCACTGCACTCCATCTTGGGCAACAGAATCAGACCCTGTCTCAAAAATAATAATAATAATAAGTGCCTAAACTACCACTTTGGGATTGGGAGATAATTTAGATTTTACTACAGGCCCCTTATAAAGGAAATACTTGCTTTTGAACTGTAAGAAAGCATGGATCAGAATCCATACCAGAATGATCCCAGGAGCAGGGATTTTTCTATATGCCATTTAACTTCTAATAGAGCTTTCTGGAAACATAGTGTACTTCTTTTGTCTCCATTTTGTCTGATTTATGCTTCTTTTGTCCTATGCTTAACTCATGACAGAGTTGCCAAATTAAAAACCTAAGTCCATTCCTTGTAAGACAAATACTGAACCTTGACTCATTTATTTGAGGAGGTTATTTACTATTAGGTTTGAATAAAGTTCTGATATGATTTTTACACTTAACCTTTTTCCAAGCTTCCTCGATACTATCTGCTTTTCCTTAAAATGCAAAACGAATTCCAAACATAAACTGAGACAACTATACTTTTTAAAAATATGATTTAAGAAGCACAGTAGTTATAAAATCAATTACTATTGGAAAAGAATGGGTGCTGCATATACTTTCCCAATATTAACTCATTTATTCCACAAAGATCTGCTCACTATCTTTTACAATTTAGCTCACTTTTACTGACAACATGGGAAGCACTGTAATAGATGAAGCTTTGTAAAAGATAAGACACAGCTTTTGTCAAATAACAATACAAGAATATATAAACCACATATGACCATGTAAGAATTTGTAAAAATAGCCAGGCCAGGTGGCTTACGTCTGTAATCCCAGCACTTTGGGAGGCTGAGGCAGGTGGATCACCTGAGGTCAGGAGTTCCAGACCAGACTAGTCAACATGGTGAAACCCCGTGTCTACTGAAAACACAAAAATTAGTTGGGCATAGTGGCGGGCACCTGTAATCCCAGCTACTTGGCAGACTGAGGCAGGAGAATGGCTTGAACCCAGGAGGCGGAGGTTGCAGTAAGCTGAGATGGTGCCATTGCACTCCAGCCTGGGCAACAAGAGCGAGACTCCTTTTCAAAACAAAAACAGAAACAAAACAAAACAAAACAAAAAAGAATTTTTAAAAATTACTACAAGGACACCAAGAATAAGAGAAGTGATACTCGTGGCCATGAGATGATTAAAAGCATTTGCAGTGGGTATATTGTACAGCCTTTTTGGTAAAAAGGTTTGTATTTGCCTAAATACACTTAAAGAAACTCTGGAAAGATCCATGAAAAACCAAGACAGAGGTTATCCATGGGGCATGGGAGAAGAACTGTGCAAAGGGACAGGAGAGTTTTTGCTAAGTTCCATCGTGTCCTTGGAAACCCTGTGAAATGTCTAATATTTGTTTTAAATGGTACCCAGCATTGTTGTATTCAGGTATGGAAAGACCTGCAGACATGGGAATGACTATCATGAAGGAAGAAGTTTGTTATGTTCACAGATACCAGAAACTGGAGGCACAGCGCGCCATGCAGGGCCATGCAGGGCAGCACCAGAGTTGGTCAGGAGGCAGAGGGAGTGAGTGTGGGCAGAAGTCTTTAGTGTGGATTCCATGGGAGGGAATAGGTGAGGCAGGGTAAGCGGGCTTGAGATTGGCTACTTTGAGTAATTTCAGTGGGCTCTAGGCTACAGGAACTGTCCCTGCTTTCCCAGTACCTGGCCTTGGAGTGAATAGGGCAGGGGAATATGAGAGTCTGGGCCAGGTATGAGAGTCTGATAAAGGAGGTGGTTGGGGTATGGGCTTCAGATCGGTTAGTTTGTATTGGAAAGGTGCACTCGCAGACGAGTCCCTTACTACCTTTAGAAATTGGCTAGCCCTAGGAGGGGCAGTACCTCCAAGTGAGCAAGGCCCTCAGGATGTTAAAGTATCAAGAAATACAGAAAATGAAAACCACAATTGATATAATATTGCATGTGAAATGATTAAATATTGACAGGAGCATTTATGTGCTCCTTCGTGGGATGGCTGCCTGATTTACAGCTTCAACTTCTCAGACACCCAAGATGGCTCCCTTCAATATGATATGACGGCCTCTGGCCTTGGTCCAGGACAGGCCCAAGGCAAAACTGGGCCTACCCAATGAGATGCTCCCTCCTGAAAATCTGATACTTGGAACAGAAGAGACACAGGCAAAAAATTTCTGGAGCTTAGTTCCTTCAAGGGCAATAATAATTATTTTCCCTATCTGAATGTCCGATATGGCAGCCATTAACCACATGTGGCTACTGAGCACTTGAACTGTGTGTGGCTAGTCTGAATTGAAATGTACTGTAAGTGTAAATTACACACCAGATTCTAAAGACAGTACAAAAAAGTTGTAAAATATCTCATTAATACATTTTTATATTGATTACATGCTGAAAGGATAATATTTTGGATATATTGGGTCATATAAATATATGGAAATTATCTCGCCTTTTTTTTAAATTAAAAAAATTTTTTTTTTTATTTTGAGATGGAGGCTCCCTCTGTTGTTCAGGCTGGAGTGCAGTGGCGTGATCTCAGCTCACTGCAACCCCCGCCTCCTGGGTTCAAGCAATTCTCCTGCCTCAGCCTCCCGAGTAGCTGGGACTACAGGTGTGTGCCACCACACCCGGTTAATTTCTGTATTTTTAGTAGAGACAGGGTTTCACCATGTTGGTCAGGCTGTTCTCAAACTCCTGACCTCGGCCTCCCAGAGTGCTGGGATTACAGGTGTGAGCTACTACGCCCAGACTGTTTATTTCTTTCTTAATGTGACTTCTAGAAAATGTAAAAAAAGAAAAGAAAAGACTTACGCATATACACATGCAGCGTTCCCCAAAGAAACAGTCAATCCTTGCCCAATCCACTAAAGGGAATCCCACCAGTCAGCCACCATCACACACGAAACAGCACACACACAGCTCCAACACCAGTTTTTGTTTGTTTGTTACTTAAAATAAAAAAGACTGTTTTTCTTTAGAGCAGTGTTAGGTTCACAGCAAAATTTGACAGGAAGATACAGAGTTATCCTATATATCTCCTGTCCATATACACACATAGCCTTCCCATTTATCAACTGCCCCTACCAAAGTGGTACATTTGTTGCAGTTGATGGATCTACACTGACATCTCATCATCACCCAAAGTCCATAGTTTATTCACTCTTTTGTTTTGTTTTGTTTTGTTTTGTTTTGTTTTTGAGACGAAGTCTCACTCTGTTGCCCAGGCTGGAGTACAGTGGTGCGATCTCGGCTCACTGCAACCTTCGCCTCCTGGGTTCAAGCAATTATCCTGCCTTCAGCTTACCGAGTAGCTGGGATTACAGACTCATGCCACCAAGCCCAGCTAATTTTTGTACTTTTAGTAGAGATGGGGTTTCACCATACTGGTCAGGCTGGTGTCAAACTCCTGACCTCAGGTGATCCACCTGCCTTGGCCTCCCAAAGTGCTGGGATTACAGGCGTGAGCCACTGCACCCAGCCTCAATTCACTCTTGGTGTTGAACATTCTGTGGATGTGGACAAATGCACAATGACATATATTCACCACTATAGAATTATGCAGAGTATTTTCACTGCTTCAAAAATCCTCTATGCTCTGCATATGCATACTTCCCTCCCCTTAAGTCCAGGCAACAACTGATCTTTTTACAGTTGCCACAGTTTTGCCATTTCCAGAATGTCATATAGTTGGAATCATACAGTAAGTAGCCTTTTCTGATTGGCTTATTACTTAGCAATATGCATTTATGTTTCCTTCATATCTTTTATGGCTTGATAGCTCATTTCTTTTTAGCTCACAGTTTATTCATCTGTTCACCTGCTGAAGGATATCTTGGTTGCCCCCAAGTTTTGACAATTATGAATAAACCTACTAAACAGATTTTTGTGTGGATGTAAGTATTCAACTCTTTTGGGTAAATACCGAGGAATATGATTGCTCTATTGAATGGTAAGAGTATATTTAGCTGCGTAAGAAACTGTAAAACTGTTTTCCAAAGTTGCTGTACCATTTTGTATTCTCACTAGCAGTGAATGAGAGTTCCTGTTTCTCCACATCCTTATTAGCATTTGGCATTGTCAGTGTTTTGGATTCTGGCCATTCTAATATATGTGTAGTGGTAAATTGTTGTTTCAATTTGCATTTCCCTTATGACATATGTGGAGCATCTTTTCATATGCTTATTTGCCATCTGTATATCTTCTTTGGTGAGGTGTCTGTTAAGGTCTTTTGCTCATTTTTAAATTGGATTGTTTGTTTTCTTACTGTTGAGTTTTAAGAATTCTTTGTCTATTTTGGATACCAGTCTTCTACCAGGCATGTTCTAGCACATATTTTCTCCCAGTCTGTGACTTGGCTTTTTATTCTCTTGTAGTGTCTTTTGCAGAGCAGAAGTTTTTAATTTTAATGAAGTCCAGCTTATCAATTCTTTTTTTATGGATTGTACCTTCAGTGTTGTATCTAAAAAGTCATTGCCAAACCCAAGGTCATCTAGATTTTTTTTCCATATTATTGTCTAGCAATTTTATAGTTTTGCATTTTACATTTAGGTCTGTGATTTTTCTTTTCTTAAGAGATAGGGTCTTGCTATGTTATCCAGGCTGACCTTGAACTCCTGGGTTCAAGGGATCCTCCCACCTCAGCCTCCTAAGCAGCTGGGACAATAGGTGGGTGCCATCCTACCTGGCAGGTCTATGATGCATTTTTAGTTAGTTTTTGTAAAGGGAGTAATGTCTGTCCAGATTCTTCTTATTATTTTTCATGTGGATGTCCAATTGTTCCAGCACCATTTGCTGTAGAGACTATTTTTGCTCCTTTGTCAAAGCTCAGTTGACTGTGTTTATGTGGGTCTATTTCTGGGCTTACTATTCTGTCCAATTGATCTATTTGTTCATTCTTTCACCAGTATCACACTGTCTTGATTACTCTATAGCCTTTTAGTAAGTCTTGAAGTTAGGCATGTCAGTCTTCCAACTTCATTTTCTCCTTCAATATTAAGCTGGCTCTCCTGGGTCTTTTGCCTCTCCATGTAAACTTTAGAATCAGTTTGTCAATATCTTTTTGTAAAAAAAAAAAAAAAATTTTTTTGAGACAGGATCTTGCTCTGTTTCCCAGGCTAGAGTGCAGTGGTGCAATCTTGGCTTACTGCAGCCTTGACTTCCCAGGCTCAAGTGACCCTCCCACTTCAGCCTCTCAAGTAGCTGGGACTACAGGTGCATGCCACCACACCCAGCTAATTTTTTTTTTTTTCAACAGGGTCTGGCTGTGTTGCTCAGGCTGGAGTGCAATGGCACAATCTTAAGTCACTCACTGCAATCTCTGCCTCTGGGACTGAAACCATCGTCTCACCTCAGCCTCCTGAGTAGCTGGGACTACAGGTGCATGCCACTATGCCTGGCCAATTTTTGTACTTTTTTGTAGAGATGGGGTTTTGCCATGTTGCCCAGGCTCGTCTCAAACTCCTGACCTCAAGCAATCCACCTACCTTGACCTCCCAAAGTGATGGGATTACAGGCAAAAGCCACCACTCCCGACCTAATTATTTATTTATTTTTTGTAGAGACAAGTCTCACTATGTTGCCTAGGCTGGTTGGTCTTGAACTCCTGGGCTTAAGCAATCCTCCCACCTTGGCCTCCCAAAGTGCTGGGATTACAGGTGTGAGCCACCACTGTGCCCAGCCATCAATATCTATAAAATAGAACTTGCTGGGAGCTTGACTGGGATGGCATTGAATCTATAAGCCAAACAGGGAAGAAGTGGCATCCTGGTGATATTGAGTCTTTCTAGTAATGAACATGGAATTTCTCTTTATTTATTTAGTTCTTTGATTTATTTCATTAGAGTTATGCCATATTCCTTATATAGCTCTTATACACAATTTGTTAGATTTGTACCTAATTCATTTTGGGGGCTGCTAATATAAAAGGTATTGAGTTTTTCATTTCAAATTTCACTTGTTCATTGCTGGTATACAGGAATGGCATTGACTTTTGTGTATTAACCTTATATCCTGCAACCTTGTTAAAATTGCTTCTTAGTTCCAGGAGGGTTGTTTTTGTTTTTGTTTGTTTGTTTTGGTTTTGTCTATTCTTTCAGATTTTCTGTATAAACAATCATGCCATCTGTGAACAAAGACAGATTTATTTTTTCCTCCACAATCTGTATACTTTTTATTTTCTTCTCTTGCCTTGTAGTGTTATCTAGGACTTTCAGTATAATGTTGAAAAAGAGTGGTAAAATGGGCCACCTTTGCCTTGCTCCTGCTCCTAATGAGAAAGCTTCTAGTTTCCCACCATTAAGTATAATGTTAGCTTGATATTCTTTATCAAGTTGAAGAAGTTCTCTCTATTCTTAGTTTACTGAGAGTAATTATTATGAATAGGTATATTGAATTTTGTCAAATGCTTTTTCTGCATCTATTGATATGTGATTTTTCTTCCGTAGCATGTTGATGTAGTTGATTATGTGAACTGGTTTTCAAATGTTGGACTAGCTTTAAATACCTAGAATAAATCCCACTTGATTGTGATGTATAATTTTTTTATACATTATTGAATTTGATTGATTTGCTAATATTTTGTTGAGTATTTTGTGTCTACAATCATAACACATATTGGCCTATAATTTCCTTTCCTATTTTTTTTTTTGTTGTTGTTTGTTTTTTTCAGACAGAGTCTCATTCTGTCACCCAGGCTCGAATGCAGTGGCGCGATCTCGGCTCCCTGCAACCTCCTCCTCCTGGGTTCAAGTGATTCTCATGCCTCGGCCTCCTAAGTAGCTGAGATTACAAGCGTGTGTCACCACACCCAGCTAATTTTTATATTTTTGGTAGAGATGGGGTTTCTCCATGTTGGCCAGACTGGTCTCAAACTCCTCACCTCAAGTGATCTGCCCACCTCGGCCTCCCAAAGTGCTGGGATTACAGGTGTGAGCCTCAGCACCCAACCAGTTTCTTTTCCTTATAATGTCTTTGTCTGGTTTTGTTATTACAGTAATGTTGGCCTCATAGGGTGAGTTAGAACGTATTCCCTCAGCTTCTAGCTTCTGAAAGAGATTATAAAGGATTGATATAATTTCTTCCTTAAGGCCTCACAGCAGCTCACTCCTGTAATCTCAGGACTTTGGGAAGCCAAGGTGGGCAGATCACCTGAGGTCAGGAGTTCAAGACCAGACTGGCCAACATGGTGAAACCTCATCTCTACTAAAAATACAAAAATTAGCCAGGTGTGGTGGCGCATGCCTGTAATCCCAGCTACTCAGGAGGCTGAGACAGGAGAATCAGTTGAACTCAGGAGGCAGAGGTTGCAGTGGGCTGAGATCAAGCCACTGCACTCCAGCCTGGGCAACAGAGTGAGACTCCATCTCAAAAAATAAAAATTTATTCCTTAAATGTTTGGTAGAGCCTGTTAATGAACTCATCTGGGTCTGGTGTTTTCGATTTTGGACAGTTGTTAATTACTGATCCAGTTTAATATTATATATAATGAATATATATATGAATATATATGAATGTATATATTTATATATATGAATATATATGAATGTATATATTTATATATGAACATATATGAATGTATATATTTATATATGAACATATATGAATGTATATATTTATATATATGAATATATATGAATGTATATATTTATATATATGAATATATATGAATGTATATATTTATATATATGAATATATATGAATGTATATATTTATATATATGAATATATATGAATGTATATATTTATATATATGAATATATATGAATGTATATATTTATATATATGAATATATATGAATGTATATATTTATATATATGAATATATATGAATGTATATATTTATATATGAATATATATGAATGTATATATTTATATATATGAATATATATGAATGTATATATTTATATATATGAATATATATGAATGTATATACCATCTGAACATATATATATATGTTCAGATTGCCTATTTCTTTTTGTGGGAATTTTGGCAGAAGTGTATTTATTGGATTGGTCCATTTCATCTAGTTATCAAATTTGTGGGCATATAGTTTTTCATAATATTCTTTTATATCCTTTTGCTATCTATGGGATCTGTAGTGATGATCCTTTTTTCATTATGATATTAGTAATTTGTATCCTCTTTCTCTTTTTTTTCCCTGTGGTCAGCCTGGTTAGAGTCTTACCCATTTTATTTATCTTTTCAAAAACCAGCTTTTGGTTTCATTGATTTTCTTTCTGTTGACTTCTTATTTTCTCATTTTTTTAAAATTTTTTGAGATAGAGCCTCACTCTGTTGCCTAGGTTGGAGTGCAGTGACACAATCTTGGCTCACTGCGACCTCTCCCTCCTGGGTTCAAGCGATTCTCCTGCCTCAGCCTCCCAAGTAGCTTAAGGGATTACAGGCACCCACAACCACACCTGGCTAATTTTTGTAATTTTTTAGTAGAGGCAGGGTTTCACCATGTTGGCCAAGCTGGTCTTGAACTCCTGACCTCAGGTGATGCACCTGCCTTGGCCTCCCAAAGTGTTGGGATTACAGGTATGAGCCACTGCACCTGGCTGACTTCCTATTTTCAATTTCTTTGACTTTGGATGTAATTTTTTTTTTTTTTTTTTGAGACGGAGTTTTGCTCTTGTTGCCCAGGCTGGAGTGCAATGGTGCAATCTCGGCTCACTGCAACCTCTACCTCCCAGGTTCAAGCAAATCTCCTGCCTCAGCCTCCCAAGTAGCTGAGATGACAGGCATGCACCACCACGGCTGGCTAATTTTGTATTTTTTGTAGAGATGGGGGTTTCACTATGTTGGTCAGGCTGGTTTCGAACTCCTGACCTCAGGTGATCCACTCACCTCAGCCTCCCAAAGTGGTGAGATTACAGGCATGAGCTGCCGTGCCCAGCCTCAGCTATACTCAGCTATAATTTTTATTGTTTATTTCTCTCTGTTTACTTTGATTTAATTTGCTCTTCTTTTTCTAATTTCCTAAGGTGGAAGTTTAGATGATTGCTTTTTCTATTCTGTATTTTTTTTCTATAAGACTAGTCAAGTGCAGTGGTGAGAAGGGGAGAAAGAGTAGAACAAGGAGTTTGATCTGTAACTGTCTGTGAACAATCAATGGAGATAACTCACTACCTTCAGACCAGCCTAGATGATTGATTTTTTATCTTTCTTCTTTTCAAATAAATGCATTCAATGCTGTAAATTTCCTTGTAAGTACTACTTTCACCGCATCTCATAAATATTAATGCTATGTTTTCACTTTTATTTAGTT
This sequence comes from Homo sapiens, assembly GCF_000001405.40. Taxonomy (NCBI): domain Eukaryota; kingdom Metazoa; phylum Chordata; class Mammalia; order Primates; family Hominidae; genus Homo; species Homo sapiens. Next base: position 18,113,706 of record NC_000020.11, read on the forward strand.
TAAAATATTTTTAAATTTCTTTTGAGATTTCTTCTTTGAGCCATGTGTTATGTAGAAGCAGTTAATCTCCACATATTTGAAGACTTTCTGGTTATTTTTCTGTTATTGATTTCTAGTTAAATTCCACTGTGGTCTGAGAAACAGACATTGTATAATTTCTACTTTTATTTGTTTTTTTAACTTTTAATTTTTGTGAGTACATGGTAGGCATATATATTTATGGGGTAATGAGATGTTTTGATACAGGGATGTGATGCATAATAGTCACATCATGGAAGATGGAGTATCCATCCCCTCAAGCATTTATCCTTTGTGTTACAATCCAATTATTCTTCTTTAGTTATCTTTAAAAGTACAGTTAAATTATTATTGACTGTAATCACCCGTTGTGCTACCAAATACTAGCCCCTAGTCATTCATTCTTTTTTTGCGTGCCCATGAATCATCTCTACCTTCCCCTCATAACCCCCATTACCCTTCCATCCTTCTACTGTCTACCTCCATGGGTTCAATTGTTTTTATTTTTAGACCCCACATATAAGTGAGAACATGCAGTGTTTATCTTTCTGTGCCTGGTTTAATTAATTTAATATAATGACCTCCAGTTTCATCCATGTTGTTATAAATGACTGAATCTTGTTCTTTCTTTATGGCTGAATAGTACTCCATTGGGTATAAGTAGCACATTTTCTTTATCTAGTCATCTGTTGTTGGACACTTAGGTTGCTTCCAAATCTTGGCTGTTGTGAACAGAGCTGCAACAAACAAGGGAGTGCAGAAATCTCTTCAATATGTTGATTTTCTTTCTATTGGAAATATACCCAGCAGTGGGATTCCTGGATCATATGGTAGCTCCATTTTTAGTTTGTTAAGGAATCTCCAAACTCTTCTCCATAATGGTTGTACTAATTTACATTCCCACCAACAGTGTACAAGGGCTCCCCTTTCTCCACATCCTTGCCAACACTTGTCATTGTCTGTCTTTTGAATAAAAGCCATTTTAACTGGGGTGAGATGATACCTCGTTGTAGTTTTAATTTACATTTCTCTGATAATCAATGATGTAGAGCACATTTTCACATACCTGTTCACCACTTGTATGTCTTCTTTTGAGAAATGTCTATTCAAATATTTTGGCCATTTTTTGATGAGATTATTAGATTTTTTTTCCCTATAGAGTTGTTTGAGCTCCTTATATATTCTCATTGATCCCTTGTCAGATGGATAGTTTGCAAATATTTTCTCCCATTCTCTGGGTTGTCTCTCTATTTTGTTGATTGTTTCCTTTGCTGTGTAGAAGCTTTTAACCTGATATGATCCCATTTGTCCATTTTTTCTTTGGTTGCCTGCGCTTATGGGGCATTACTCCAGAAATTTTTGCCCAGACTGATGTCCTGGAGACTTTTCTCAATGTTTTCTTATAGTTCATAGTTTACTTTTTAAAATTTGTTAAAGTGTGTTTTATGGCCCCAAATGTGGTCCCTATCTTAGTGAATTTCTATGTGGTGGACAGAATGTGTATTCTGCTGTCGTTGGGTGAAGTAGTCTATAGATGTCAATTATGTCCAATTAATTGGTGGTGTTGTGTATCACCAACTATGTCTTTACTGACTTTCCGCCTGCTAGGTCTGTCCATTTCTGATAGAGGGGTGTTGAAATCTCCAACTGTATTAGTGGATTTATCTAATTCTTCTTGCAGTTCTATCTGATTTTGCCTCGTGTAGTTTGATGCTCTGTTGTTATGTGTGTACACATTAAGGATTGTTATGTCTTCTTGGATAACTGTTCCATTTATCATTATGTAATGCCCCTCTTTATCCTTTATAACTTTCCTCGCTTTGAAGTCTGCTCTGTCTGATATTAACATAGCTACTCCTCCTTTATTTTGATTCATGTAAACATGGTATATCTTTCTCCATTTATTTACTTTTTAATCGGTATGTGTCTTTATATGTGAAATGGGTTTCTTGTAGACAACATGTAGTTGGGTCCTGTTTTTTGATCCACATGATCATTTCTATCTTTTTTTTTTTTTTTTTTTTTTTGAGATGGAGTTTCGCTCTTGTCGCCCAGGCTAGAGTGTGGTGGTGCAATCTCAGCTCACTGCAAACTCCACCTCCTGGGTTCAAGTGATTCTCCTGCCTCAGCGTCCCGAGTAGCTGGAATTAAAGGCGCCCACCACCACGCTAATTTTTATATTTTTAGTAGAGATGGGGTTTCACCATATTGGCCAGGCTGGTCTCGAACCCCTGACCTCAGATGATCCGCCCACCTCAGCATCCCAAAGTGTTGGGATTAAAGGTGTGAGCCACTGCACCCGGCCAACATCCAAAGCTCTATCTTTTAATTGATGTATCTGAACCATTGACATTCAATGTAATTAATGATATAATTGGATTACTGTCTGCAAAATTTGCTTCTGCTTTCTATATGTTGCCCTTGCTCTTTTTCCCTGTTTTTGTCTTCCACTCTTTTTTTTTTTTCCCCTTTTCTGGTCTTAATTGGGCATTTATATGATTTCATTTTTTTCTCCTTTCTTAGCATATTAGTTATACTTCTTTTTTCTTTTTACTTTTTTTAGTGATTGCCTTAGAGTTTGCAACATACATTTACAGCTAATTAAAACCTACTTTTAAATAATACTATACCACTTCACCAGTGGTGTGAGTACCTTGTAATAAAATAATCCTAATTCTGGCTCATGCCTGTAATCCCAGCACTTTGAGAGGCTGAGGTGGGTGGATCACCTGAGGTCAGGAGTTCGAGACAAGCCTGGCCAACATGGCGAACCCCATCTCTATTAAAAATACAAAAATCAGCCAGGTGTGGTGGCATGCACCTGTCATTCCAGCTACTGGGGAGGCTGAGGGAAGAGAATCACTTAAACCTGAGAGGTGGAGGTTGCAGCTAGCCGAGCCCATGCCACAGCACTCCAGCCTGGGCAGCAAAGTGAGACTTCGTCTCAAAAAAAAAAAAAAGGATCCTAATTCTTCCTTCCTGTCCTTTCTATCATTGCTGTCATTCCTTATACTTCTATATAAATACATATAAACATACACACACACGAGGTATACACAGAAATCTACATGGTCAAATACAATTGTTGCTATTATTTTGAATGAACTGTTATCTGATAGAACAATCAAGAATAAGAAAAATAGAAGTTTTCGGCCAGGCGCGGTGGCTCACGCCTGTAATCCCAGCACTTTGGGAAGCTGAGGTGGGCGGATCACCTGAGGTCAGGAGTTCGAGACCAACCTGGGCAACATGGTGAAACCCCGTCTCTAATAAATATACACAAAAATTAGCCAGGCATGGTGGCGGGTGCCAATAGTCCCAGCTCTTCAGGAGGCTGAGGCAGGCAAGTTCCTTGAACCCGGAGGCAGAGGTTGCAGTGAGCCGAGATCATACCACTGCACTCCAGCCTGGGCAACAGAGTGAGACTCCATCTCAAAAAAAAAAAAAAGGAAAAATAGAAGTTTTCATTTTACTTTTATTTATTCCTTGTTCAGTGTACTTCCTTTCTTTATGTAGAGCTGACTTTCTAACCTATATTTTTTTCTTTGTCTCTAAACACCTTTTTTAGTATGGTGGCTAACACCTGTAATCCCAGTACTTTAGGAGGCTGAGGCAGACCAGATTGCTTGAGGCCAGGAGTTCGAGACCAGCCTGGCCAACATGGTGAAACCCCTTCTGTAATAAAAATACAAAAATTAGCCAAGTGTGGTGGTGCACACCTGTAATCCCAGCTACTTGGGAGGCTGAGACACAAGAATCACTTGCAACTGGGAAGCAGAAGTTGCAGTGAGCCAAAATCACGCCAGTGCACTCCAGCCTGGGTGACAGAATGAGAGACTCTGTCTCAAAAGAAAGAAAGAAGGAGAGAAAGAGAGACAGAGAGAGAGAGAGGAAGGGAGGGAGGGAGGGAGACAGGGAAAGACTATTTCTTGCGAGGCAGACCTACTGACAACAAATTACCCCAATTTTTCTTTGTCTGAGAAAGTCTTTTTCCTTCACTTTTAAAGGACAATTTTGCAGAATTCTAGGTGTTGGTATTTTCCTCTCACTTTAAATATTTCACTCTACTTTCTTCTTGCTTATGTGGGTTCAGAGTAGAAGTTGGATGTAATTCTTATCTTTGATCCCTTATAGATAGTTGTTTTTTCCCTCTGGCTTCTTTCAGAATTTTTTCCTTATCTTTTATTTTTTGTAGCTTGAAAAATGATATGCCTGGTATAGGCTTTTGGTGGATTTTTCTGTCTTTTTGTTTTTTGTTTGGGATTTATCCTGCTTGGTGTTCTCTAAGTTTCCTAGATCTGTGATTTGGTGTCTGACATTGATTTGGGGAAATTCTCAGTCATTATTGTTTCAAATATTTCTTCTGTTTCTTTTTTCTTTCTAGTGTTCGCAGTATGCGTATGTGACATCTTTTATAACTGTTCCACAGTTCTTGTATATGCTGTTCTGCTTTTTTCCAGTCTTTGTTCTGGTTAACTAGCTTCTCCTGAGAGCAAATCTTCTTAAGAAGAGCAGAGTGCTCTGAGGAATTTCAAATTTGTTCTTTCTCCCCACCCCTGCAGGAAGCATGAAGGGGTTTTCTTTACTAATATTCTCTGGTATATATTTACCATGAGAACCTGGTTCTGCTCCTAGAGGTAACACTCACAAAAGTGTGGGGACCCCCCTCCCCTCCCCATGACTCTGGAGTTTTTAACTCTCAGACTTTTCCACAATCAGCCTCTGGCAAATAATCAATTACAGTTCAGGATTTCCTTCCCTGGCACTGGTTCCAGTGCAGGTTTTTGCCCCAGTATATTGTGATTCTCTGTATTCACCTACCTATTTGTCTCTCCAGTTGTGGGGGGCAACATTTTACCTTGTGACCTCCCTTTTTTTTTTTTTTTTTGAGACGGAGTCTCCCTCTGTCGCCCAGGCTGGAGTGCAGTGGCGCGATCTCGGCTCACTGCAAGCTCCGCCTCCCGGGTTCACGCCATTCTCCTGCCTCAGCCTCCCGAGTAGCTGGGACTACAGGCGCCCGCTACCACGCCCGGCTAATTTTTTGTATTTTTAGTAGAGACGGGGTTTCACCGTGTTAGCCAGGATGGTCTCGATCTCCTGACCTCGTGATCCGCCCTCCTCGGCCTCCCAAAGTGCTGGGATTACAGGCGTGAGCCACCGCGCCCGGCCTTTTTTTTTTTTTTTTTTTTAACAGATCTAAGAAGAGTTGTTGATGTTTCAGTTTGCTCAGCTTTTACCTACTCTGGGATATTTAAAAGAACATCCCAACCTACAAAATGAATAAATCCAATTTCTTATACATGAAATAATCAGACTGGGCACAGTGGCCCACGTCTGTAATCCCAGCACTTTGGGAGGCTGAGGCAGGCAGATCACTTGAGGTCAGGAGTTCGAGACCATCCTGACCAACATGGGGAAACCTCGTCTCTACTAAAAATACAAAAATTAGCTGAGCATGGGGGCACTTGCCTGTAATTGCAGCTACTCGGGAGGCTGAGGCAGGAGAATTGCTTGAACACGGGAGACGAATGTTGCAGTGAGCCGAGATTGCACAACACCACTCCAGCCTGGGCGACAGAGTGAGACTCCATCTCAAAAAAAAAAAAAAAAAAAAAAAAAAGAATTGATATAGCAAACTTCGCTATTGTTTTATTTCAAGAAATTGCCACAGCCACTCTAACATTCAGGAACTGGCACCCTAATCAGTAAGCAGCCATCAACACTGTGGCAGGACTGTCCACCGGTAAAAAATTACAACTTGCTTTTAAATTAAGATATGTACATTTTTAAAGACATAATGCTTTTGTACACTTAAAAGACTACAGCATAGTATAAGCACAACTTTTTTTTTTTTTTTTTTTTTTTTTTTTTTTGAGACAGAGTTTCACTCTTGTTGCCCAGGCTGGAGTGCAATGGTGTGATCTTGGCTCACTGCAACCTCTGCCTCCCAGGTTCAAGTGATTCTCCTGTCTCAGCCTTCTGAGTAGCTGGGATTACAAGCGCCCGCCACCATGCCCAGCTAATTTTTGTATTTTTAGTAGAGACGGGGTTTTGCCATGTTGGCCAGCCTGGTTTTGAACTCCTGACCTCAGGTAATCCACCCGCCTTGGCTTCCCAAAGTGCTGGGATTACAGACGTGAGCCACTGCGCCTGGCCCAAAGCATAACTTTTATATGCACTGGAAAACTAAAAAAAATGTGGACATAGTGAGACTCCGTCTCAAAAAAAAAAAAAGTGACTTTTTAAATTGTGATATTCATTTTATTGCAGTGGTCTGGAACCATATCCACAATATCTCTGTGGTATGCCTGTAATGGAAAAAGATATTCCATGCAAATAGTAACCAAAAGAGAGATGAAATGGCTGTACTAATATAACCAAATAGAATGAAGTAAACGACTGCTGCAGAAGATCAAAGGGGACATTATATAAAGATATAGGGTGAATTCACCAAGGCATAAAACAATGATAAACATGTGCACCAAATATTAGAGCTGCAAAATATTTGAAGGAAACATTGATAGAAGTGAAGGGAGAAATAGTTCTAAAATAATAGTTGGAGTCTTCAACACCACTTTCAATAATGGATAGAACAACCAGAGAGAATATTAATAAGAAAACAGAGGACTTGAACAAGTAATAAACCAAGTAGAACAAATAAGTCATATTCGAAACACTCCACCCAACAACAGCAGGATAGAATTTTTTATCAAGCGTACATGGAACTTTCTCCAGGATACACAATGTGTAGACCACAAAGCAATTCTTAATGAGTTTTAAAAGATTAAAGTCATACAAAATGTATTTTCAGATCACAGTAGAATAAAGCTAGAAATCAATAACAGAAGGAAAGCTGGAAATGTAGAAATATATGAAAATTAAACAATACAATTTTAAACAACCAGTAGGTCAAGGAATAAATCACAAGGGAACTTATAAAATACCAAGAAGCAAATGAAAATAAAAGCACAACATACCAAAACTTATGGAATATGGTGAAAGCAGTGCCAAGAGAGAAATTTATAGCTAAAACCTACATACATTGAAAATGAAGAAAGATCTCAAATCAATAACTTAATTTTACACTTTAAGGAAAAGCAAATAAAACACAAATCTAGCAGAAGAAAGGAAATAATAAAGACCAGAACAAAGATAAATAAAATCAAAACTAGAAAAATAAGAGAAAATTAGCAAAACTGAAAGTTAGCTCTTCAAAAAGATCAATATAATTGACAAATGATTAGCTAAATTGATGAGGTAAAAAAAGAGAGAAGACTCAAATTACTAAAATCAGAAATAAAAGTATATACATTACTACCAATTTAAAGAAATAAAAGAGAATACTATGAACATTTGTATGTCAAGAAATTAAATAACTAGACAAAATCCTCACATTTCTAGAAACACACAATCTACAAAGACTGAATCGTGAAGAAATAGAAAATCTGAGTAAACCTGTAACTAATAAGGAGATTGATTTGGTAATCCAAAATCTCCTAACAAAGAAATGCCTGGACCACATTTCTTTACTGACTGATTCTACCAAATATTTTAAAGAGAATTAACACCGATCTTTCTCAAACAGTTCTAAAAATTTGAAGAGAATGGAGTACTTCCTAACTCACTCTATGAGGCCAGCATCAACCTAATACCAAAACCAGAAAACACACTACAAAAAAGGAACAGACAAGTATTCCTTATGAATATTGATGTCAAATCCTCAATAAAATAATAGCAAACTGGAATCAGTGGCATTTTTAAAAAGATTATATACCTTTAACAAGTAAAATGTATCCCTAAAATACAAGAATGATTCAATATATGAAGATGAAATGAATACACATTAATAGACCAAAAAAAATGGTCATCTCAATTGATGTAGAAAAAGCATTTGGCAAAATCCAATCCTCTTTTGTGATAAAAACATTTAACAAAGTAAGAATAGAAGGAAACTACCTCAACATGATAAAAACCATTGCTATGATTTTAACGATGATGTCCCTTCCCAAATTCATGTTGAAACTTAATCCCCAGTGCAATTATAAGAGGTGTAGCTTTTTGAAGGTGACTAAATCACTAGGGCTCTGTCCACATAAATGAGATTGGCATCCTTATAAAAGGGCTGAAGTATGAAGGGAGCACTCTCTTGCCTTTCCACCTTCCAGGATGTGAGGATACAGCAACAGGATGCTATCTTGGAGAGAGCAGCCCTCACCAGACACCAGTGGTGGTGCTTTGATCTTGGACTTCCTAGCTCCAGAACTGTAAAAAATAAATTTCTATTCTTTATAAAGTGCCCAGTCTAAGGTATTTTGTTATAGCAGCACAAATGGACTAAGACAGCCATATATGGAAAATCTACGACTAACATCACTGGAGAATTATTGAAAACTTTTCCCCTAAGATCAGCAATAAAACAAGGATACCCACTTTTGGCAACTTTTTTTTTTTTTTTGAGACTTAAAAGAGTCAAACTCTGCTGTTGCACAGGCTGGAGTGCAGTGGTGCAATCTTGGAACTGCAACCTCCACCTCCCGTGTTCAAGTGATTCTCCTGCCTCAGCCTCCCAAGTAGCCGGGATCATAGGCTGCATCACCACACCCAGCTAATTTTTGTATTTTCAGTAGAGATGGGGTTTCACGATGTTGGCCAGGCTGGTCTCGAACTCCTGACCTCAGGTGATCGACCTGCCTTGGACTCCCAAAGTGCTGGGATTAGAGGCGTAAGCCACCGTGCCCGGCCACACTTTTGCCATGTCTATTTAACATCGTACTGAAAGTTCTAGCCAGAGCAATTAGGCAAGGAAAATAAATGAGGCATCCGGCAGGGCTCGGTGGCTCATACCTGTTATCCCAGCACTTTGGGAGGCTGAGGCAGGTGGATCACGAGGTCAGGAGTTTGAGACCAGCCTGGCCAAAACAGAGAAACCCCGTCTCTACTAAAAATAACAAAAATTAGTTGGGCATGGTGACGGGCACCTGTAATCCTAGCTACTCTGGAAGCTGAGGCAGGAGAATCGTTTGAACTCAGGAGGCGGAGGTTGCAGTGAGCCGAGATCATGCCATTGCACTCCAGCCTGGGCGACAGGGCAAGACTCCATTTAAAAAAAAAAATTAGGCATCCAATTGGAAAGGAAGAAATGAAATCATTTCTGTTTGAAGATTACTTGATCTTATATGTAGAAAACTCTAAAGATTGGTTTCATTAAAAGAAACTTTTAGAGCTAAACAACCCATTCAGGGCCGGGCACGGTGGCTCACACCTGTAATCCCAACACTCTGGGAGGCCAAGGTGGGAGAATCACTTGAGGTCAGGAGGTGGAGACCAGCCTGGGCAACATGGTGAAACCCTGTCTCTACTAAAAATACAAAAATTAGCCAGGCATGGTGGTGCACACCTGTAATCCCAGCTACTTGGGAGGCTGATGCAGGAGAATCCCTTGAACCCAAGAGGCAGAGGTTGCAGTGAGCCGAGATCATGCCACTGTAGTCCAGCCTGGGTGACAGAGTGATACTCCATCTAAAAAAAAAAAAAAAAAAAAGGCCAGGCGCTGTGGCTCATGCTTGTAATCCTAGCACTTTGGGAGGCCAACGTTGGCGGATCACCTGAGGTCAGGAATTCAAGACCAGCCTGGCCAACATGGCAAAAACCCATCTCTACCAAAAATACAAAAATTAGCCAGATATGGTGGCAGGCACCTGTAATCCCAGCTACTTGGGATGCTGAGACAAGAGAATCACTTGAACCCAGGAGGCAGAGGTTGCAGTGAGCTGAGATTTCACCACTGCACTCCAGCTTGGGTGACTGAGTGAGACTCCATCTCAAAAAAAAATTCTACTTACAACAACATCAAAAATAATAGAATATTTAGAAATTAACACAGGAAGCAAAAGACTTTACGTAGAAAACTATACAACGTTTCTGAAAGAAATTTGAAAAGACATTATTAAATGTAAAGTCATCTCTAATTAAAGACTTAATATTGACAACATGACGATATCATCCAAAGCTATCTACATTCTGCATAATCTCCATCTCCATCAAAATCCAACATGATTGTTTTTCATAAAAAGAAAACCCATTATAAAATCGATAAGGAATATCAAGTGACCCTTAATTGCCAAAACAATCTTTTTTTTTTTTTTTTTTTAAGATGGAGTCTCGCTCTGTCACCCAGGCTGGAGTGCAGTAGCGCAATCTTGGCTCACTGCAAGCTCCGCCTCCTGGGTTCAAGTGATTCTCATGCCTCAGCCTCCTGGGTAACTGGGACTACAGGCATGCACCACCATGCCCAGCTAATTTTTGTAGTTTTAGTAGAGACAGACCATGTTGATCAGGCTGGTCTCGAACTCCTGACCTCAAGTGGTCCACCTGCCTCAGCCTCCCAAAGTGCTGGGATTACAGGAGTCCGCCATCACGCCCAGCCTCCAAAACAATCTTAAAAAGAACAAAGTTGGAGGATTCATGCTTTTTTGTTGCAAAACTTACTACAAAGCTGTCGTAATCAAAACAGTGTGGTTCTGACTGGCAATAAGGACAGACATATAGGCCATTACAAGACAATAAAGTGTAGAAATAAACCTATACATGATTAATTGATTTTCAACAAGGGTGCTAAGATCATTCAATTGGGAAAGGACAGTCTTTTCAAATTTTCAGGGAGAAAATTGTATATCTAAATGCAAAAGAATGAAGTTGGACCTTACCTTATACAATACACACAAATTAACTCAAAGTGGATCAAAGACCTAAACAAAGAGTTAAAGCTACAAAACTGTTAGAAGAAAACACAGGGAAAAAGCCTCATGGCATTCAATTTAACAATAATTTCTGGTGGAATTTGGCTGTGAATCCATCTGGTCCTGGACTTTTTTTGGTTGGTAAGCTATTAATTATTGCCTCAATTTCAGAACCTGTGATTGGTTTATTCAGGGATTCAACTTCTTCCTGGTTTAGTCTTGAGAGGGTGTATGTGTCGAAGAATTTATCCATTTCTTCTAGATTTTCTAGTTTATTTCCGTACAGGTGTTTATAGTATTCTCTGATGGTAGTTTGTATTTCTGTGGTATTGGTGGTGGTATCCCCTTTATCATTTTTTAATGCATCTATTTGATTCTTCTCTCTTTTCCTCTTTATTAGTCTTGCTAGTGGTCTATCAATTTTGTTGATCTTTTCAAAAAACCAGCTCCTGGATTCATTAATTTTTTGAAGGGTTTTTTTGTGTCTCTATTTCCTTCAGTTCTGCTCTGATCTTAGTTATTTTTTGCCTTCTGCTTGCTTTTGAATGTGTTTGCTCTTGCTTCTCTAGTTCTTTAATTGTGATGTTAGGGTGTCAATTTTAGATCTCTCCTGCTTTCTCTTGTGGGCATTTAGTGCTATAAATTTCCCTCTACACACTGCTTTAAATGTGTCCCAGAGATTCTGGTATGTTGTGTCTTTGTTCTCATTGGTTTCAAAGAACATCTTTATTTCACAGCCGAATTCTACCAGAGGTACAAAGAGGAGCTGGTTCCATTCCTTCTGAAACTATTCCAATCAATAGAAAAAGAGGCAATCCTCCCTAATTCATTTTATGAGGCCAACATCATCCTGATACCAAAGCCTGGGAGAGACACAACAAAAAAAGAGAATTTTAGACCAATATCCCTAATGAACATCTATGCGAAAATCCTCAATAAAATACTGGCAAACCAAATCCAGCAGCACATCAAAAAGCTTATCCACCACGATCAAGTTGGCTTCATCCCTGGGATGCAAGACTGGTTCAACATATGCAGATCAATAAATGTAATCCAGCATATAAACAGAACCAAAGACAAAAACCACATGATTATCTCAATAGACGCAGAACAGGCCTTTAACAAAATTCAACAGCCCTTCATGCTTAAAACTCTCAATAAATTAGGTATTGATGGGACATATCTCAAAATAATAAGAGCTATTTATGACAAACCCACAGCCAATATCATACTGAATGGGCAAAAACTGGAAGCATTCCCTTTGAAAACTGACACAAGACAGGGATGCCCTCTCTCACCACTGCTATTCAACATAGTGTTGGAAGTTCTGGCCAGGGCAATCAGGCAGGAGAAAGAAATAAAAGGTATTCAACTAGGAAAAGAGGAAGTCAAATTGTCCCTGTTTGCAGATGACATGATTGTACATTTAGAAAACCCCATCGTCTCAGCCGAAAATCTCCTTAAGCTGATAAGCAACTTCAGCAAAGTCTCAGGATACAAAATCAATGTGCAAAAATCACAAGCATTCCTAACACCAATAACAGACAAACAGAGAGCCAAATCATGAGTGAACTCCCATTTACAACTGCTTCAAAGAGAATAAAATACCTAGGAATCCAGCTTACAATGGATGTGAAGGACCTCTTCAAGGAGAACTACAAATTACTGCTCAGTGAAATAAAAGAGTTCACAAACAAATGGAATAACATTCCATGCTCATGGATAGGAAGACTCAATATTGTGAGAATGGCCATACTGCCCCAGGTAATTTATAGGTTCAATGCCATCCCCATCAAGCTACCAATGACTTTCTTCACAGAATTGGAAAAAACTACTTTAAAGTTCATATGGAACCAAAAAAGAACCCACATTGCCACATCAATCCTAAGCCAAAAGAGCAAAGCTGGAAGCATCACACTACCTGACTTCAAACTATACTACAAGGCTGCAGTAACCAAAACAGCATGGTACTGGTACCAAAACAGAGATATAGACCAATGGAACAGAATAGAGCCCTCGGAAATAATACCACACATCTACAACCATCTGATCTTTGACAAACCTGACAAAAACAAGAAATGGGGAAAGGATTTCGTATTTAATAAATGGTGCTGGGAAAACTGGCTAGCCGTATGTAGAAAGCTGAAACTGGATCCCTTCCTTACACCTTATGCAAAAATTAATTCAAGATGGTTTAAAGACTTAAATGTTAGACTTAAAACCATAAAAACTCTAGAAGAAAACCTAGGCAATACCATTCAGGCCATAGGCATGGGCAAGGACTTCATGACTAAAACACCAAAAGCAATGGCAACAAAAGCCAAAATTGACAAATGGGATCTAATTAAACTAAAGAGCTTCTGCACAGCAAAAGAAACTACCATCAGAGTGAACAGGCAACCTACAGAATGGGAGAAAATTTTTACAATCTACCCATCTGACAAAGGGTTAATATCCAGAATCTACAAAGAACTTAAACAAATTTACAAGAAAAAATCAAACAACCCCATCAAAAAGTGGGCAAAGGATATGAACAGACACTTCTCAAAAGAAGACATTTATGCAGCCAACAGACACATGAAAAAATGCTCATCATCACTGGCCATCAGAGAAATGCAAATCAAAACCACAATGAGATATCATCTCACACCAGTTAGAATGGCAATCATTAAAAAGTCAGGAAATAACAGGTGTTGGAGAGTATGTGGAGAAATAGAAACACTTTTTACACTGTTGGTGGGACTGTAAACTAGTTCAACCATTGTGGAAGACAGTGTGGCGATTCCTCAGGGATCTAGAACTAGAAATACCATTTGACCCAGCCATCGCATTACTGGGCATATACCCAAAGGATTATAAATCATGCTGCTATGCTGCTATAAAGACATATGCACATGTATGTTTATAGCAGCGCTATTCACAATAGCAAAGACTTGGAACCAACCCAAATGTCCATCAATGATAGACTGGATTAAGAAAATGTGGCACATATACACCATGGAATACTATGCAGCCATAAAAAAAGGATGAGTTCATGTCCTTTGTAGAGACATGGATGAAGCTAGAAACCATCATTCTGAGCAAACTATCACAAGGATGGAAAACCAAACACCACATGTTCTCTTGTAGGTGGGAATTGAGCAATGAGAACACTTGGACAGGGTGGGGAACATCACACAGTGGGGCCTGTCGTGGGGTGGGGGTACTGGGGAGGGATGGCATTAGGAGATATACCTAATGTAAATGACGAGTTAAGGGGTGCAGCACACCAACATGGCACATGTGTACATTTGTAACAAACCTGCCTGTTGTGCACATGTACCCTAGAACTTAAAGTAAAATTTAAAAAAAGAAAAAAAAAACAATAATTTCTTCAGTATGACACCAAAAGCACAGACAATAAAAGGAAAAAACAAATAAATTGGACTTTATCAAAATTAAAACCTTTTGTATACATAAGGATTCTATCAGTAGAGTGAAAATGCAACCTATGGTATGGGAAAAAATATTTGCAAGTCATATGTCTGATAAGAGGTTAATATCCAGAATATATAAAGAATGCCTACAACTTAACAACAAAAAATCAAGCAATTCAATTTAAAAAACAAAAGGCTGGGTGTGGTGGCTCACACCTGTAATCCCAGGACTTTGGGAGGCCGAGGTGGGCAGATCACCTGAGGTCGGGAGTTTGAGACCAGCCTGACCAACATGGAGAAACCCCGTCTCTACTAAAAACACAAAATTAGCTGGGTGTGGTGGCACATGCCTGTAATCCCAGCTACTTGGGAGGCTGAGGCAGGAGAATCACTTGAACCCCAGGAGACGGAGGTTGCAGTGAGCCAAGATTGTGCCATTGCACTCCAGCCTGGGCAACAACAACAAAACTCCGCCTCAAAACAAAAAGCAAAAGACTCAAACTTTCTGTAACTAAGATATATGAATAGCCAATAAGCAAATGAAAAGATGTTCAATATCCACTAACCATTAGGGAAATGCAAATAAAAACCTCAATGTGATACCATTTCACACTTGTTGGGATAACTACTATTAGACAAACAAGAAGATGAAAGAAAAAGAAAATAGCGTTGGCAAGTGTATTAGTCTGTTCTTGCACTGCTATAAATAAATACCTGAGACTGGGTAATTTATGAAGAAAAGAGGTTTAATTGACTCATGGTTCTGCGGGCTGTACAGGAAGCATAGCAGCATCTGCTTCTGGGGAGGCCTCAGGAAACTCACAATCATGACAGAAGGTGAAGGGGAAGCAAGCATGTCTTTCATGGCTGGAGCAGGAGGAAGAGAGGAAGTGGGGTGGTGCTACACACTTTTAAACAACCAGATCTCATGAGAACTTACTCACTATACAGTACCAAGTGGGGATGGTGCTGAGCCATTGATGAGAACTCCACCCCAATAATCCAGTCACCTCCCACCAAGCCCCACCTCCAACACTGGGGATTACAATTAGACATGAGATTTGGGCAGGGACACAGACCTAAACCATATCAGCAAGGATATCTAGAAATTAGAACCCTTGTGCCTTGCTGGTGGGAATGTAAAATGATACACCCTCTGTGGAAAACAGGAGGGCAGTTCCTTAAAAAGTTAGATATGGAATTTCCTTATGATCTAGCAATTCCACTCCCGGGTTTACATCCCAATGAACCCATAGGGGAAAAAAAGTTGACAATATCATATATTGAAAATGAGTTTTTGACTTTTTTTTTCTTTTGAGACAGAGTCTCACTCTGTCGCCCAGGCTGGAGTGCAGTGGTGTTATCTGGGCTCACTGTAACCTCCACCTCCCGGGTTCAAGCGATTCTCCTGCCTCAGGCTCCTAAGTAGCTGGAATTACAACTGTGTGCCACCATGCCCGGCTAATTTTTGTATTTTTAATAGAGACAGGGCTTCACCATGTTGGCCAGGCTGGTCTCAAACCCCTGACCTCAAGTGATCTGCCCGCCTCTGGCTCCCAAAGTTCTGGGATTGCAGGCATGAGCCACTGCGCCCGGAATTTGTTTTGTCTTTCTGAGATGGAGTCACCCAGGCTGAAGTGCAGTGGTGCGATCTCAGCTCACTGCAACCTCCACCTCCCAGGTTCCAGGGATTCTCCTACCTCAGCCTCCCGGGTAGCTGGGATTACAGGCACGCTCCATCATGCCTGGCTACTTTTTGTATTTTTAATAGAGACGGGGTTTCACCATGTTGGCCAGGCTGGTCTCGAACTCCTGACCTCAGGTGATCTGCCTGCCTCAGCCTCCCAAAGTGTTAGAATTATAGGCATGAGCCACCATGCCTGGCCAGAGTTTTTGACTTTTGGTATTTTCAACTTATGATGGATTTATCTGGACACAACCCCATCATAAGTTGAGAAGCATACTGAATGTCTATCACTTCCGCACCATTGTAAAGTGGAAAAATCATAAGTCAAGCCATCATAACTCTGGAATTGTCTGTATATCTGAAAAAATTGAAAGCAAGGATCAGAATCTGGCACACCAACATTCACAGCAGCATTATTCACAATTGCCAAAAGGTAGAAACATCTCAAATGTCCATCAGCAGATGAATGGATGAACAAAATGTTGTATATACATACAATGGAATATTATTAAGCCTTAAAGAGGAAGGAAGTTCTGACATGTGCTACAACATAAATGAACCTCAAAGGCATTATTGCTAAGTGAAATAAGTCACACACAAAAGGACAAATATTGCATAATTCCACTTATACGAGGCATCTAACATAGGCAAATTCACAGAGGCAGAAAGTAGAATAGCGCTTACCAGGGGCTAGAGGGAGGGGAAATAGGGAGTTACGTTTTAATGGACACAGTTTCTGTTTGGATAGATGAAAAAGTTATGGAGATGAATAGTGATGCTGGTTGCACAACAGTGCAGGTGTACTTAATGCCCCTGAGTTGTACGCTTAAACGTGGTTTACCTAGTAAATTTTATGCTATGTGTATTTTACACAACTTTAAAAAGATGAACTATGAGTTAAAAGCATTGGGTAAATAAGTAGAATTTCAAAAAAGCATTTAAAAAATTGTTTCCAAGTGTACTTTTCCAGAGTAGACTAGATACCATTGAAGTAAGAGAGACCCATCGATTAGAAAAGAGATAGGAAGGCAAATGAAATTAAAATGACCAGAGTTTAAAAAGGATTAGACAGAAAGTAATAAATGTGACAGGCAGGCACAGGAGATCCAATAGGCACATAATTCATGTCCCTGAAGGAGAAATTTGAATAGAACAGAAAATGTATTTACAGATGTAATTTAAAAAATTTTCCAGAGTTAAAAGTATGAATCTAAAAATTGAATGGGTACCTCGTGTCCAAGGAAAATAGACTCAAAAATATATTCTTGTAAAGTTATTGGACTTCAAAGATAAAGAAAGTATGCTTTAAGCAACTATGCAAAGTAATTAACTAAAAGGAGAAAATTAGACCGGCCTCCAAGTTGCCACAGCTATATTTGATATTTGAGGACAGATGGGTAAAGTCTATATAGTCTTCATGCAAAGAAAGTGTGACCCAAGAAATTTTTACTCAGCTGAACTGTACTTCAGGGACAAAGACAACACAAACATGTTTTTTTAATGTGCAAGAATTCAGGAAATATAGTTTCTACAACACTTTTTAAAAGATTCTAATAGAGGGTAGATGGAGAAAAGACACAGAAAGGACTGGTGATGACCATCAAATCCATTTAAAGATGCAACTAAGATGAAAACAAGCATGGCAATTATGGTTAAAGAACAAAATGTAGGCCAGGCGTGGTGGCTCACGCCTGTAATCCCAGCACTTTGGGAGGCTGAGGCAGGTGGATCACATGAGGTCAGGAGTTCGAGACCAGCCTGGCCAAAATGGAGAAAGCCCATCTCTACTAAAAATACAAAAATTAGCTGGGCATGGTGACAAGCCTGTAATCCCAGCTACTTGGGAGGCTGAGGCAGGAGAATCACTTGAATCTGGGAGATGGAGGTTGCAGTAAGTTGAGATTGAGCCACTGCACTCCAGCCTGGGTGACAGAGTGAGACCATGTCTCAGAAAAAAAAAAAAAGAGCAAAATATATATGTTATAAACTCTGACAGTGAAGGAGTGATATAACCAACAAAAGTTGAATGAGAAAGAGCAGAAGATAGGAAATAGGTCAAGTATGCTGGTGATATAGTTTGGCTCTGTGTCCCCACCCAAATATCATGTTGAATTGTAGTCCCCATTGTTGGAGGTGGAGCCTCATGAGGGGTAATTTGATCATGGGGGTGGTTTCTAATGGTTTAGCACCATCCTCCAAGTGCTGCCTCATAGTAGAGTTCTCACAAGATCTGGTTGTTTGAAAGTGTGTAACACCTCCCCTTTCTCTCTCTCTCTCTCCCTCTGCTGCCAGCCACGTGAAGATGTACTTGCTTCTCCTTCACCTCCTGCCATGATTGTAAGTTTCCTGAGGCCTCCCCAAGCATGCTTCCTGTACAGCCTGTGGAACTGTAAGTCAGTTAAACCTCTTTTCTTTATAAACTACCCAGGCTCAGGTAGTTCTTTATAGCAATGTCAAAACAAACTAATACAGCTGGTTTCCTGAATGTTTAGAGCTGGTGACCAGAATATATTATTTAAAGATGGTAAATCAAGCACAGAGGTCTAAATATATTTAAAGGCATAAAGGTAAAGCTTAAAAACAATCTAATCCCTAAGTTGGGCGGTATGAAGAGAGGATATATGCTGATTCCATCATGTTTATGGAAAGGAGTGAAAAAGGCCGGGCACGGTGGTTCGCACATGTAATCCATGCACTTTGGGAGGCTGAGGCAGGTGGATCACTTGAGGTCAGGAGTTCAAGACCAGCCTGGCCAACATGGTGAAACCCTCTATCTGCTAAAAATACAAAAATTAGCCGGGCTTGGTGGCATGCACCTGCACTTCCAGCTACTCGGGAGGTTGAGGTGGGATAATCACTTGAATCCAGGAGGCAGAAGTTGCAGTGAGCCAAGATCGTGCCACTGCACTCCAGCCTGGATGAGTGAGATCCTGTCTCAAAAAAGAAAGAAAAGAAAAGAAGGAAGGAAAGGAAAGAAAGGAAAGAAAGAAAGGAGTTAAAAAAATACTCTCAGGAAGATCCTAGGAAAAAGTGCAAACCATGACAAGAGCATCTAACTGTATTGCAAACATATGAAACGATATCACTGAAGGGGTGGAGGGCAAAGGTGCTGATTTGGTAACTTTGGAGTAAATGAGGTCTATAAAGCCAAAAGCAATAGGAACTGCAAAAAAGCATGGTACTCTAGTAGGTAAAGTTGTTTCCCACAAAAAAAAAATGACATATAATTATGAGGTAAACAATTCTGAAACTGCTATACATGTACACTGGAATCAAACAATTGCGCAAGTGGATGGTGGAAAATGGGAGCCTGAATTCTCACTGATGGAGTAGGAATTTACCAATAAAAAAAGGAGGTTAGAATAATCCATCTGGTAATGGACTAGAGTTGCAGACATCAGCAATATCTCACATTTTAGTCAATATAGATTCAGGTGATTACATATAGAAATATTTGCAGATATGTAACATACACAGATAAGTATACACACATATATTTATGTGCTTTGTCAGCTGAGAGGGCCCAAAAGAAACAAAGCCCCAGTAGCAATAAGCATGCCAGGACCTATATCTTGGATTCCAATATTATTCTACAATAAAAAGAACCTTGGATTCTTGGAGAAATGGCAGATTCTGAGACTTGGGCAGGAAATATACAAGATTAGCTCAGAATATTGTGCAGTGTCAGAAAATAGACAAGTGCTAAACAAGAAAAACACACATTGATGAGGGTCCGTCAGAGAAGCAGAGGAGCTGAAAGATCTCCCAACGGCCAAAGCGGGAGCCATCTGAGCAACAAAATAAAGTAATATTGGATTATAACCCAAAGTATAAAATAAATACCCACCAGTCCACACTGATAGAAACAAATGATTGAATCAGTTACTAAATGGGAGAGAAGAGACAAACCTGTGCAGAATTTCAGATTACTTATATAGATACTGCATTGAATTCATGGTGATTAATTCCAGTACCAGAAGAAAAACTGGCTGTTTTGGAGTTCCTGAGAAAATATCTATTTTCTTCAACATGTCACCTTCCTAAAATGTTTTCAAGGGTAGTTTTAACTGTTTTTGACTTTTTCCTTATGTGCTGACTTCAGAGCCTCAGCCTGAAGAAGGTGGGATTTCGTGGCCTTGTCTGCCTATAGAGCCCACTACAGGGCCATACACAAGGCAAGCCTTCTTGCTTGCATTTAAAATAGTCATAATGGTGCTTTATGCGGTGCCATGTGGTGTGATGTTTCTGTAATCATTTAGTGCTGAGACTGATAAATTTATCAGTCACTGGTGCCAGTTCAGCTGACACCCTCCACCTTCTTCCCAAACAAACCTCCTCCTTCCCACCTCCTCCTTCTCTCTCAGCCCCAATGATGACAAGCTTCTGATCATTGCCTGAAGCCTCTGCCTTGACCTATTGCATTCATGCCCACCATCAAGCCCAGTTTAAACCCGTGCCTCCTACTGATACCTCCTGCTAGGGTACTAGTGATTTACTATTCTTTAAGACAGAAGTGACCCGAAACCCAGCTCTCCCAGGATAGCTGCCAGGACCTGGCCATGATTCAAGCCCAAATAACATAAGCCAAATTACACACTCAGTGAGGAAGGCATTTTTTTCAAGTCCCCACCCTTGTGTGAGTGAAGGTGGAACAAAGATTGTGTGACCATGTTGTTCAAACACAGGAAAATGACTGCATTCCCTCCCCTTAGTTTTCATTTGTTGATTCTTCTCCAAGCCCTGACTTCCAACTGTACTTCTTTTTTGATGCTGCCTCTTGCTTAGAGGATTCTGAAGGGAAGGACAGGGTAGTATGCTGTTCTAAAGAGTATGGGACTTTATCCTGTAGGCATGGGGAGCCACTGAGCGGTTTTTAAGGTGGTCAGCTTCCTATTTTTGTCTTTGGAGGTAAGTTCACTCTGAAGGCCAGCCAATGGCAGGGCAAGGCACCCACTGTCCTCTCCAGGAAAGCAGTGGCCATTCTGGGCACACCTAAGTCAATCCAAAGCTGAGAGGGGCAGGAACTGATGTGATCTTAGGATGCCGAGACACTAGAATATAGCCAGATACACAAGGTTCAGATGTTCTGGCCTTACAAGCAAATTGTATTAAATCAGCCATGCTTCCTAAGCTTCGTCCCACCTTGGTAAACATAAAAAATAAGGATATCTGTACAACTCACTGGGATCAACTTGCGTGAGCTTGGATAATTCTAAAAGGAGCTTCATGGATAATAATTATTTACATTTCCTTTATATGGTACTCTTATAAAAAAGAAAAAGAAAAACAAAAAAATAAATGACATATAATTATGAGAAGAAAAATAAAAGCAAATCTTGGGGTAGATTTAAATATCAACTTTGGGTAAAATTTCCTGATAACATTCTTCTTGGAGTCTCTTTTAAATATCAAGTTTTGTGTTAAAAATAGTTCCTGATCATTGCTCCTGCACATAGTTCTTGATCAAGATTTTTTTTTTTTTTTTTTTTTTTTGAGATGGAGTCTCACTCTGTCACCCAGGCTGGAGTGCAGTGGTTTGATCTCGGCTCACTGCAACCTCCACCTCCCGGGCTCAAGTGATTCTCTTGCCTCAGTCTCCCAAGTAGCTGGGATTACAGGCACCCACCACCACACCTGGCTAATTTTTGTATTTTTAGTAGAGACGGGGTTTCATCATGTTGGCCAGGCTGGTCTCGAATCCCTGACCTCAAGTGATCCACCCTCCTTGGCCTCCCAAAGTGCTAGGATTAAAGGTGTGAGCCACCACGCCTGGCTGATCAAAATCTTTTTAAATGATCATCTCTTTAATTTTTGATAGTTACCATGGAGAAAAAACTTTTTTTTTTTTTTTTTTGAGTTGAAGTCTCACTCTGTCACCGAGGCTGGAGTGCAGTGGCTCACTGCAACCTCTGCCTCTCGGGTTCAAGCAATTCTCCTGCCTCAGCCTCCCAAGTAGCTGGGATTACAGGCATGCGCTGCCACATTTGGCGAATTTTTGTATTTTCAGTAGAGACGGGGTTTCACCATATTGGCCAGGCTGTTCTCGAACTCCTGACCTCAAGTGATCCACCTGCCTTGGCCTCCCAAAGTGCCTGGAATACAGGCATGAACCACCGTTCCCAGCCAAAAAGCTATTTGATACAAGAAGTGATGATAAAATGTAAAGCCATCGGCTATGAACCAATGGGAAAAAAAAGAAAAAAACACACAATAAAAAATCAAAAGGAAATAAAGACAATAAAAGAAACAAAAAAGAGCCATTTTTTTTCTGTTCGTATAGTTATGTAAGATTTTGTATAGAAGTGTATCATGCATGTATGTGTGACCACACAGCCTTGGTGTGCCACTGGACCAATTTTCACAAACACCCAGTACCAGCACCCAGTACTAGAGTTCTAGATCAGCCTAGCCAACATGGTGAAACCCCATCTCTACTAAAAATACAAAAATTAGTGCAGCCTGGTGGCTCAGGCCTGTAACCCCAACTACTCCAGAGGCTGAGATACAAGAATCGCTTGAATCTGGGAGGCAAAGGTTGCAGTGAGATCACCCCACAGCACTCCAGCCTGGGCGACGGAGTGAGACCCTGTCTCAATTAAAAAGAAGAAAAGAAAAGAAAAAGAAAAAAATAGTTGCTTCTCAGTTTGATGATATGCAGTCACTCTCACAAATCAGTAATTTATGCGACAATAATCACGGAAAATATACTGCTTAGGCTTATAAATATTTAAACAGATAAACATACTTTTTTTTTTTTGCAAGACCTCCCTCAGTCCCCCAACCCACTTTTTTATTTGACACAGTTAATAATAAATGATTTCTTAAAAGTAGAATACTTTTTTTTTTGCTTCTAGTATCCTGAAAATAAAGAAAAGAGTACATTTCAAGAAAACAAGTTGAAAAATTAGTCACAATAAAATGAAAGGCGATTGATCTAATTCCCTGATGTACACTCTAAGGACATACAGCTCTGTTGAAGGCTCACTGATTTACAGGGGAAAATATCTAGGATATACCACGAATAAAAAGAAGTCTAATATAATTTTTAAAGAGAAATATGCAAATACACCCTGAACTGAATTTCTTCTCAAAGTTCATTACAGCAAGAACTCCATTTTCCAATTCAGTGGTACATTCTCTCTAGGCTGCAAAAAATGCTGTGGACAAAATGACATTTGGAAAAGGTATCTTTAAAGATACCTTTAAGAGCAATAGTCCCCTTATGCCATTTACGCTCACATAAGAGACTGGAATAGCAAAGCACTATGAACAGTAATGAATGTTGTAAAACTCCCTGGTGAGGCTTAATCAATACTGCCTATAGCCGTGTCCACCGGAAGAAGCTCGTTCTCTGTGAATTCTAGTGGGAAAGAATGATTGAATGATGAACACGTTTTCACTGGTTGCTCTATCAGATACTTAAAAGTTTCTGGGAGGCCTTGCCTTTTTTACCCGAGGAAGAAGTGAAAATGCGTCTTGCACAATTGCTTAACTATTCCCAACGCAAGACTTCTTTATATCATTTATTTCCCTTGTATTACTGGCGCGGAAACTTGGGTGTAAAAGTGATCACAAAGATTACATGGGGCCAGGCGCGGTGGCTCACGCCTGTAATCCTCTCGGGAGGCTGAGGCAGGAGAATCGCTTGAATCCGGTAAGGTTGCAGTGAGCCGAGATCGCGCCACTGCACTCCAGCCTGGGCGATAGACAGAGACTCTGTATCAAAATTATAATAATAATAATAATAATAATCCGAGCCTGACCAGTCGCCCCACAGCGTCAAGGTGAAACCAGGTGACCGCGACTACAGCGTTTAATAATGGGTCCTCAGGCAAAAACTCCACGGATGGGAACCCCGCGCCTCTGAAGCTGCCTAACGAGGCGGTCTCCTGGTGGCGCCTGCCCCGCCAAAGGAGCAATGAGGGGGCTGCGTTTAGGCGAAGCCGGTATTGGGCGAAGCTTCTGGATCAGTCAGGGGCTCAGAAGGGACGTCTGTGGGAGAGGGGTCAGCACGGTATCCAGACCCCGCCCGGGGTGAGGTTGGTACTGAACTGACTGAGGGGCATGGAACCCCCACCCTCCACCCTGGTAAGGTGCCGGGGCCAGTTTGGGCCGGGACTCCTAGAATTTGAATCGGGGGTGGTCTAACGCTGTCGCCTGCGGGGTGTGCAGGAGGCCCCTAGTGAAGCCAAGAGTTCGTAGAGCCTGGGCGCCGCTCTATGCTCGGCTCTCGATTGCTCACGCCTGGCAGCGGCGAGCGGCGCACGCGACGGCTGGGGCTCTGCGCTCGAGGGGTCGAGCCTGGGCAGTACAGGCGGCGGTGCGCACTCTGCGGCGGCCTCTGCGCCTCGGGCGGGCGGGAGAGAGAGGCCGCGGCCGCCAGCGTGGGGATGTCTAGGAGCTCGAAGGTGGTGCTGGGCCTCTCGGTGCTGCTGACGGCGGCCACAGTGGCCGGCGTACATGTGAAGCAGCAGTGGGACCAGCAGGTCGGTGTCACGTGACCGTCTCTTCCGGGCCCGCGCGCGCGGCGTCGACCTGGGGCCTCTCGTGGTCTCTGCCCGCTCGGTTCCTCAGCTCCTCTTCGTGTCTTTCCCCCGCGGTGGCGCGGCCCTGCACCCCACGCGTTTGCGGCTGCGGCCGGCGGCCGCTCTGCTGGGCTCCGGGCGCTGCAGCTCCCGGCGGGCGTGTGCAGCCCGCAGATTCAGGACGACCCGGCTGCCCGGCTTAGCGCCTTTGGAGCTCCGCGCTGAAGGGGCCTTGCTCCGCACAGGCACGGCACGCAAGCTTTTGGGGTGCCCAGTGGCTCTGTTTTCAAGTCACAGCCGGCCCGCAGGGTGCGGACCTTTCCACATCTCACTTGGGCCGCTAGAAAATAGAAGGTGGGGAAGGAGTTTCTTGGGGTGCATTCTGCAAGCTACCAGCCTCCCTCCTGGCCCAAGGTTGGGGTTAAAGCCTAATGTGTTTTACGTGCTATTGATTTTATCCCATGGTAAGGGAGCCCCCCTTCCCCGTACTCACTCTCCATGCCTTTGACCAAGATAATTTGGTGAGATGTTTGCACTTCTCGTTTAAATGAACAGTTTGCTATGGAAACTAGAATCTGGGAACGATAGAGATAACAGTCTCCAGATTTTTTTTTTTGGTACTTTTATTTCAGGAAATATCCGTGACCTGCTGATCAGCAGTGACTATTCTGTCCTCTCAGTTCATATTTTCTTTCTTATTCAAGTTGACAGACCTTTAATGGGTGATTACTGTGTGGAAGCTACCTCACTAAGCACCTTGGGAATACAAAGATAAGGAAACTCCACTCTTCCAGAGTCTATCAGTGATTCACGACCTTGCTGAGAACAGGGTCATTGGTGAATTTTCAGAAAACAACTTGGCAGTGATTGGGGTTGAACCTAGTTCACCAAGGGTGAAAATAATGGACTGGATGAATCAAGAGTAAACAGTCTTTTCTTGATTTGCCTACCCAGACCTTTGGACTGTGCTATGTGCTTGATATACAGAGATGAAGTGGATGAGGTCTTTGTTCTTGGTGTTCACAGACTGTGGAAATTAGAAGAGAGGAAGCATGTGATGGTACAAGAATTTTGACGAGGGGTTGAGATGACTTAACAATGAAAGGGCACAGGAGAGATCAGAGATTTGGGATTAAAATGTGCTCCTAAGGGGCTGGCTTTTGGAATAGAGGCAGAAGACTTCCGCCTCTTACAAGGAAAAGTAAAAGATGTTGATCCTGGGAAAACTTGAGATGGAGTAAAATTTAGTATGACAGATGATCTGACGTCAGTGAAGTGATGTTTGAAGGGTTTGGGTAGGGATGGATTAGAGCTTGGCTTTGGACCCTAACTGAACATCAAATGTTCCCGGAAAGTTTTTACAATGTGACTAAGGCTTGGTCCCCACCCCAGACCATTTAAACCAGAATCTCCTGGGGATGGGGACCTGGTTCAACAATGTTTTAAAAGTAACCCAGAGAATTTTAACACAGGACTAAGCACCATTGTGTTACAGAGTGGAAAAGTGGTTATTTGGAAGTTAGAGCTGAAGAACCAAAATAACGTGTGTGTGTGTGTGTGTGTGTGTGTGTGTGTGTGTGTGTGTTTATTTTTTTTCCTTTTATGTCCGGTTCTTCATTAGGGGCTTACATTGTATTAATAGCAGTGGGAAAGACTAGGACAAATGATTAGCACAGTGGATGTGTCGGAAGGTTCAAGGAAGCAAGAAATTAAATAATGAATATTGATTCCTGACCGTCTACCACATACCAGGCAGTGTATTAAGCACTTTATGTATATCATCTGTAATCCTCACAGTAACCTAGCAAAAATTAAGCAGTGCTACATGAGGAGCCAGAGTTCTAGGTGTTAGGGTTGGAAGAATAAAGAGGTCTTTAGTGATTAGTAAGGAAAGTTGTTAGAAAGGTAGTTCAGTGAGGGTCACAGGAAGGATGTGTGAGGCAATCAGCATAGACCTTGAAACCTAGAGGAAGATAGCAAATGATGGGATGGAGAGCCAGATCATAAGCACACGTGACATCTCTGAGAAGGAAGGGTAGGATCTGGGAGGCAGGTGTGGAAGGAATGATTCTGGTGAATGGTGTGGGCTTGGGAGGGTGGGTATCGGTGTGTCATGGTGTAAGAAGCACAGGACAGGAAGACCTGCAGTTGGGGGAGTGGAATAAGCACCTCCGTTTTTGTCTCAGTGGTGATCTTGCCAAGGGTGCATGGTTCAAGACAGTTGTGTTTCAGTTGAGTTATATCAATCCCGGGACTCCTTCAAATCCCTCATAATGAAGCTGTAGGCCTGGAGGAGGTCCAGCAAGTAGGTATTATATTAGGTGAGTTTTTAAAAATAGGTAAAATAATTTGGAAAAAACCCCACAAACATACGCAGGCCCTGGGCCCCACTCCCATTAATTCTACTCTATATAGCCACTATTAAAAACCATTTATTGGCCAGGCACGGTAGCTCATGCCTGTAATCCCAGCACTTTGGGAGGCTGAGGCAGGCAGATCATTTGAGGTCAGGAGTTCGAGACCAGCCTGGCCAACGTGGTGAAACCCCGTCTCTACTAAAAATACAAAAAAATTAGCCAGGCCTGGTGGCGCACGCCTGTAATCTCAGCTACTGGGGAGGCTGAGGCACAAGAATCGCTTTAACTCAGAAGGTGGAGATTGCAGTGAGCTAAGATCGTGCCATGGAGCCAAGATCTCCAGCCTGGGTGACAGAACGAGACTCCTTCTCAAAAAAAAAAAAAAAAAACCAATAAAACAAAACAAAAAAAACCCTATTTATTTATTTTGAGATGGGGCTTGTTCTGTCACCCAGGTGGGAGTGAAGTGGCACAATCTTAGCTCACTGCAGCCTGTGCCTCCCAGGCTGAGGTGATCCTATCACCTCAGCCTCCGGAGTAGCTGGGAACACAGGCACACACCACCACTCCCTGCAATTTTTTTTTTTTTTTTTTTTTTTATTTTTATTTTTGCTAGAGATGGGATTTTGCCATGTTGCCCAGGCTGGTCTAGAACTTCTGAGCTCAAGCAGTCTGCCTGCCTTGGCCTAAGATTACAGGAGTGCTGGGATTACAGGAGTGAGCCACCACGCCTGGCCTAAAACCTTTAGAGTATTTTGTGAGCAATAAACTATAAAATGTTAGTTATTAGTAATGACTGATGTTTTTAAAAGTCTCTTCTTGGGTGCCAGGTCCACGTTCTGAAGTGCTGTGGTTTTTTAGTGCTTACTAAGGTAACTACCATTGATGAGCATTTATTTTTTCCGCTGGTAGTAGCATCCTTCTTTTTCTTCTTTCTCTGTTATATAATTAATTAATAATTCTGCATGATTTTTACATTGTTAACTTTACATGCTAGAAGCCAAGTTGAGATTTTAGTAATCTGCATTTTTTCTGTTGGTGTTTATTGTTCAGCTAGGATAAGTGCTAACAGAAGAGTAGTTTAGAGTGTTACTGTAGTAACTCGCCAAGTTTTTAAAGCATTACATATCAATTAAACTTTAAAAATTTAACATTGGCCGGGTGCAGTGGCTCACGCCTGTAATCCGGCACTTTGGGAGGCTGAGGCAGGTGGATTACTTGAGATCAGGAGTTCGAGACCAGCTTGGCTGACGTGGTGAAACCCCGTCTCTACTAAAAATACAAAAATTAGCTGGGCATGGTGATGCACGCCTGTAGTCTCAGCTACTCGGGAGGCTGAGGCCGGAGAATCACTTGAACCCAGGAGGTGGAGGTTGCGGTGAGCTGCGGAGTGCAGCCACTGCACTCCAGCCTGGGCGACAGAGCGAGACTCTTGTCTCAAAAAATAAATAAAAAAAAATTTAACATAGTGCCAGTTTTTTTTTTCTGTTATTTCCCATTAAATTTTCTGTACTAAATGTTCAGGAATTTCTTAAAATATGATAAGAAATCATTTCAGTAATAACATTTAGCACACTACCAAATTTATTTGATCGTTTATTACATTTTACATTTGTACAGAAAATTAAAATAGTAACTGGGTATTTGGAATCTGAAAGTTTTAAGTATATTTTGGTAACACTGTTATTTGGATTTGAATGGCACAAGGATGGGGACCACCTGTTCGGGATGTTACTGAAATCTGTTTCTTACGTTTTTAGAGGCTTCGTGACGGAGTTATCAGAGACATTGAGAGGCAAATTCGGAAAAAAGAAAACATTCGTCTTTTGGGAGAACAGATTATTTTGACTGAGCAACTTGAAGCAGAAAGAGAGAAGATGTTATTGGCAAAAGGATCTCAAAAATCATGACTTGAATGTGAAATATCTGTTGGACAGACAACACGAGTTTGTGTGTGTGTGTTGATGGAGAGTAGCTTAGTAGTATCTTCATCTTTTTTTTTGGTCACTGTCCTTTTAAACTTGATCAAATAAAGGACAGTGGGTCATATAAGTTACTGCTTTCAGGGTCCCTTATATCTGAATAAAGGAGTGTGGGCAGACACTTTTTGGAAGAGTCTGTCTGGGTGATCCTGGTAGAAGCCCCATTAGGGTCACTGTCCAGTGCTTAGGGTTGTTACTGAGAAGCACTGCCGAGCTTGTGAGAAGGAAGGGATGGATAGTAGCATCCACCTGAGTAGTCTGATCAGTCGGCATGATGACGAAGCCACGAGAACATCGACCTCAGAAGGACTGGAGGAAGGTGAAGTGGAGGGAGAGACGCTCCTGATCGTCGAATCCGAGGATCAGGCATCAGTGGACTTATCGCACGACCAGAGTGGGGATTCCCTCAACAGTGATGAAGGAGACGTGTCTTGGATGGAGGAGCAGCTGTCCTACTTCTGTGACAAGTGCCAAAAATGGATACCAGCCAGTAAGGAGCTTCTCAATTCCTTTGATTTGTCAATTCCTGTGTGAAGGTTTGTTTTTCCAACCTGTGAAAGAAACGTGAATGTAAAAGAGACCTAAATAAAAGGATAATTATATTTATTCTCTAGTTGATCAGCTATAAATTTATATAAAACATAGGCATGTTTGTACTAATGAAACGTACTGTCAACCTCTATCACATTGTTAAATTAACACTTTTGGTGGTAACTCAATAAAATTGAGAAAATTGGAAATCCTGTGTTACTTAAAGAATTAGCCATATTTTTCTAACAAGGTCACAGAGATTTAGGGCCAAATTCCAGTCCCAGTGTTGAATTCATGTTCAAGTTTATAAAAATTACTTTGTTAATATTTAACTTACGTGGAGAACTCCTGCTATTGTATACTGAAAAGAGGTTAGAATTAGCAGATTGAAGGTGTTTTTTGCCCTTTTTCTAGGACCAGTCTTTTTTTCCATTTTCCTTTTTTTCTGCTGGCAAGAGATACCTCATACACACTCCCTGATTGCCTCAATCTTGAGATTTTCTTTTCTTTCTTTTTTTTTTTTGAGATGGAGTTTTGCTTTTGTTGCCCAGGCTAGAGTGCAATGGCATGATCTCGGCTCCTGGGTTCAAGCGATTCTCCTGCCTCAGCCTCCCAAGTAGCTGGGATTATAGTGTTTGCCAGCACACCTGGCTAATTTTTTTTTTTATTTTATTTTTTTTTTTTGAGACGGAGTTTTCCTCTTATTGCCCAGGCTGGAGTGCAATGGCATGATCTTGGCTCACTGCAACCTCCGTCTCCCAGGTTCAAGTGATTCTCCTGCCTCGGCCTCCCGAGTAGCTGGGATTACAGGCATGCGCCACCATGCCCGGCCAATTTTGTATTTTTAGTAGAGATGAGGTTTCTTCTCCATGTTGGTCAGGCTGGTCTCAAACTCCCAACCTCAGGTGATCCATCCGCCTCGGCCTCCCAAAGTGCTGGGATTACAGGCATGTGCTACTGTGCTCGGCCCTGATCTTGAGATTTTCAATGGCCAGCTTCCTGGCACCTGAGGAGTATGGCTTGCCAGCCATCATATGGTTTATACCGAAACAGGATTTTCCCATTAGGCAAGAGACTAGTAAAGATATAGGTACTTGAGGAATGCCTTTGTGTAATATAATTTGTAACCAAGTCAGAGAAATACATATATAACTGTGAAGAGGGTCATTTTCTGGCATGTGGAAATGTTTTTCTTAAAATGGGTTCAACTTCAAATTTAGTCACTGTTAACAAATTAATAGTAACATTTTCACAGGAAATGCAGAATTTACTAGTTAGCTGGTTTTTGCTTCTGAGCGGTCTCTGTTATTGATTTCAGGTTCTGCCTGAATTCTCAGTGGCTTTCCCTTTGTCCTGTTGAGGACAAATTTTAAGCTACCCTTTGTGGTCAGGACCCTGCTAACTGTAGTTTCTTTGATTCCCACACAACTTTGCAGTTAGGGTGAACTTATTCTTCACAAACAATTCTTATCCTTAGGGCTTTGCACAGTTTTTTTCTTCTGGAATATGCATCTCCACAGCCTCCATTCTCCCTATACACAAAGAGACCCCTTTTCACCTGGCCAATTTCTAATCCTAAGCCTCCCCCTAATATAGGTTGGGCCTCCTTTTATTTACCCTCACACTGCCCTGTGGTACACAGCACATTCCATTCCTTATGTGTCACAGAGCATCAGCATCACCTGAGGGACTAAGAAATGTAACTCCTAGGCTCTGCTTCAGAAATTGATGCATTTTATCTGGGCTAGAATCAAGCATATTTAGAAAACCAAGAACAACTTGGGTGATTCCAATGCACTGTGAGCATGGAGAACCACTGTGTTGTTGTGATCACCTGTTTTCTATGCAGCCCTCAGGGAAGTGCAAACCTGTGAGATCAGGCACCATTATCTGTCTTGGACTTTGTATTCCCAGTTCCTAGCCCAGTGCCTGGTATGCAGAGGGAGCTCATATTTTTTGAAAGAATGTGTGAAGAGACCTGCCTCTGGGAGTCAGGAATGTGACAATTGGGAAATCCAGCAACAATACCTGCTTTTCCAGTACCTTTCTCCTAAAAGTTACTGGATCCTACAGATCTTAGTGGGCGTATACTTGGTGTTAGAAGAATAGAAATCTTTCTAATTCCCTTCCTTTTCCCCATTTTGCAATTGTGGGTTGGCTGAAGAAAAGAAGACAACATGGGAAAGGAAAATCTGGGTGATAAACGGATTAAACCTTTAGGTTACCGCTGCTCTAGATAAACCCATGATGTGACTTTTTGTTTTTCTCCTAGGTCAGCTGAGGGAACAGCTCAGTTACCTTAAGGGTGATAATTTTTTTAGGTTTACTTGTTCGGATTGCTCAGCAGATGGCAAGGAGCAGTATGAAAGGCTGAAGCTGACATGGCAGCAAGTGAGTAAAAAGCCCTTCCCCAAATCCATGAGGGTGGTTCCCCCAGGAGTTTGTTGGAACGAATATCTAGAAACTTAGGGATGAGCTTTTGAGTTGTTTGGAGGGGCACTTTTTATTTCGCAATGAAATTAGATACCGAATATGTGGAGAAGGGAGTGAAAAATACTCGCTGTAATCCCAGCACTCTGGGAGGCCAAGGCGGGCAGATCACCTGAGGTCAGGACTTCGAGACCAGCCTGGCCAACATGGTGAAACCCCATTTCCATTGAAAATACAAAAATTAGCTGGCTATGGTGGTGGGCCCCTGTAATCCCAACTACCTGGGAGACTGAGGCAGGAGAATCGCTTGAACCTGGGAGGCGGAGGCTGCAGTGAGCCCACACCGTGCCACTGTACTCCAGCTTGGGCGACAAAGTGTGACTCCTTTTCAAAAAAAAAAAAATATATTCACTGCTGACTTGGTGAATTGGGCTTGAGAGGCTTGAGAATCTCATGATTTCTTTTATATGTGATACCAAGCTCTGATTATAATTGAAAATGAAATTCTCATTTTCCTGGCAGCCATTTTAAGAACAATAAAACTATTTTTTTAAAGTGGAAAGATGGCTATGTTGAAAATAGATTTGGAAGAAGGAAGGTGACTGATTGCAAAAACCAACATAACCCAGCTTTTCTGCATTTGAACTCGGAGATGTTTGAATTTTTGTTTGCTGAAATACTTGTTCCTTTTTAACTGTCTCTAATATCAGCACCCTAATCTAAGTCAGCTGTATCCTAAACAATAGCTTTTTGCTGATCTCCAGGTTGTATTAAATTGTTTTAGTTTTGTTTCTATGTCAATATGTTAATGTATAATATGAATAATAAGGCATCAGTGTATACTTTTTAGTTCAAAAACCAGATGAAACCAGACATGGTGGCTCACATCTGTAATCCCAGCACTTTGGGAGGCGGAGGCGGCCAGATCACCTGAGCTCAGGAGACAAGCCTGGGCAACGTGGTGAAACCCCGACTCTATAAAAAACAGGCCAGGCGCGGTGGCTCATGCCTGTAATCCCAGCACTTTGGGAGGCTGAGGGAGGCAGATCACCTGAGGTCGGGAGTTCGAGACCAGCCTGACCAACATGGAGAAACACCGTCTCTACTAAAAATACAAAATTAGCTGGGTGCGGTGGCACATGCCTGTAATCCCAGCTACTTGGGAGGCTGAGGCAGGAGAATTGCTTGAACCCAGGAGGCGGAGGTTGCAGTGAGCCGAGATCGCGCCACTGCACTACAGCCTAGGCAACAAGAGTGAAAGTCCATCTCAAAAAAAACCAAAAAAACAAAACAATACAAAAATTAGCTGAATGTGGTGGTGGTGCACTCCTGTGGTCCCAGCTTCTCAGGAGACTGATGTGGGAGGGTTGCTTGAGCCTGGGAGGTTGAGGCTGCAATGAGCTGTGATCGAGCCACTGTACTCCAGCCTGGGTGGTGACAGAGTGAGACCCCATCTCAAAAAAAAAAAAATTATATATTACTTAGTTTTTATGTTCATTCATTCATTCAACAGATACTGAGTACCTGTTATGAACCAGGTGCTGTTCTAGGCCTGAGACTACTGTGGTGAACGAGACAGCTAAGGCCTCTGCCCCAAGACAGCTGACATTCTATACTTAATTTTGATAATAAACAGATCAACAAGATAATTACCCACAGCACTTTTTACTTTGAAGGAAATAGAGTAATGAGAAAGATTTTAAATTACACCATTTTAGCCACTTATGGTGTTCCTTGTAAATTGTAGTTGCCTTAGCAGCCTTCGTCTATTATCTTAATTATCAGTGCTTTATTAGGACAGCTGATGAAATCTGTCAGTGTTGAATTAGGAAGCCTTTTCTTTGACTTGCCTGAAAAAAATGTAAGTAGAAAATGAAGAGAAGTTTGTATTGAGGATAGAGCCTTATGAATATTATAACTGGGACATTTTTCTCAAGTGTACATGGGATACTGTGTGTAGGCAAGATCTTATTAATAGATTATTGTGATATGTGCACACAGGTAGATTTGTATTTGTCCTGCAAGTTGTTTCTCATAAAAGCTGTAAAATGGAAGAAGAGCAAATATATGTAAATTTTCAAAAATGTGAGTTTTCTGTAGTGGTTCTTTTTAAAAGAAAAGCTGGCTTTTGCTTATTTTGCTCAGAGTATGTAATATTGGCTCACTTTGCATATTTATTTATTCTTTTTAAAAAAAAATTTTAAATCTTTTTGAGGCACAGTCTCACTCTGTTGCTCAGGCTGGAGTGCAGTGGCACAATCTCGGCTCACTGCAACCTCCGCCTCCCAGGTTCAAGCAATCCTCCTGCCTCAGCCCCTCTAGTAGCTGGGATTACAGGCATGTGCCACCATGCCTGGCTAATTTTTTGTATTTTTAGTAGAGATGGGGTTTTGCCATGTTGGCCAGGCTGGTCTCGAACTCCTGACCTCAGGTGATCCACCCACCTCGGCATCCCAAAGTGCTGGGATTACAGGCGTGAGCCACCGTGCCCGGCCACTTTGCATATTTAATTAGACTAACATAACTTGCAGATTATTTTTTCACTTCCAAAATACGTATTGATGGTGGATACTAACCTGGTAGGGTGAAGTGATAACTTAGGTTGCACATATGTGGTTCTTAGCAAACAACTGACCAGTATTTCTAGTTGCATCTGAAAAAGCCCATCTCTCACTGAAGACCTGAAAGAGAATCAGTTGGTCTTGAATGGACTCCATTGATGTAGCCACATTCTTAGTATATTGAAATGTGGGTTTTCCGTCTTTAAATTTTAAACTTTGAAAGATTTACCAAAGAAATATGTAGAAATGCTTGTAACACAAATAGCATTTTGTTTGTATTATAAAATACTTACAGTAAAGAGGTCTGATCTCCTGATTAAAAAGCCCCTTCTTGCCACACTCCCTTTCTGTGTCCTCTCCTCTTCCTTGGTGACTCCTGTGAATAGCAGTTCCATACGTAGGAGAAACTTTATCAAACATTTGGGAAGGATAGGGAAGTTTTTGCATTCTTTTCCTGGAGACTCATTCTTATGGCACAAGTAAAGATACTATGATCGATCTTTGCTTGTTATTTTTCTAGTGTTCTTCAGCATATACTGAGTACCTGCCAGCTCTGAGCTAGGCCCTGTGGATACATTGGTCCACAAGATCAGCCTCATTACTGATGAGCTTGGTCTGGTAACATGAGAGCAGAAAACTAAACTGGGGTTCATTTTTTTTTGTTTTTTTTTTTTTGAGATGGAGTTTCACTCTTGTTGCCCAGGCTGGAGTGCAATGGCGCGATCTTGGCTCACTGCAACCTCTGCCTCCTGCATTCAAACGATTCTCCTGCTTCAGCCTCCCGAGTAGCTGGAACTACAGGCGTGCGCCACCATGCCTGGCTAATTTTTGTATTTTTAGTAGAGACGGGGTTTCACCATGTTGGCCAGGCTGGTCTTGAACTCCTGACCTCACGTGATTCACCCACCTCAGCCTCCCAAAGTGCTGGGATTACAGGCGTGAGCCACCATGCCCGGCCTGGGATTCATTCTTTTAGATCATAAATTCCAGGAGAGAAGGAAAAACAGGTCCTTTATATATTAGTTTATAGTTTGCCTAGTAAAGATTAAGTGATAATAGAAAAAGTTATTTTCAAGTAAATATGTAAGCTTTTTAGGGTCATAAAATGTCTCAATTATACAAAAAAGTCATAGAAATACTTTATCACTGAGATTATCAGCAAATACATATTTCTGAGATACTCTTCTGAGAGTGGGCAAAGCTCGTTCTATGATTTTCTTAAATTATTTATTGAGCAATAATTATTTTTTAAAATTGTGATGAAATATGCATAACATATAGTTTACCATTTTTTAGTGTACAGTGCAGTGGAATTAAGTACATTCACATTGCTGTGTAATCACCACCACCATCCACCTCCAGAATTTTTTTATCTTTACAAAATGAAACTCCGTGCCCATTAAACACTAACTTCCCATGAATATTGATTGTTTAAAGGAAGGTGTTTGTTGGCTGATGTAGACCAGATGCAGATATAACTGGAAGACATTTTTTAAAATCTGTTCATGGGGTTAATTGTTTTTAGACTGTCTGCAAGTATTGCAAGTTTAAGAATGGGGGAAATTGAAACTTGGTTAGTGAAGGGTCAGAATTACTGGGCCCCTTTGAGTGGTGTAGATATTGCTCTTTCCGTAAGACTGCTGGGGATTTAATGCTGTGAATACAGATGTTGGGGGCATTAACTGCAATTTACTACACTCCTTACAGCTACAGGATGCTCTTTATAGAAATAAGGATTAGGCTGGGCGCAGTGGCTCACATCTGTAATCCCAGCACTTTTGGAGGCTGAGGCGGGCAGGTCACTTGAGGTCAGGAGTTTGAAACCCTGTCTCTACTGAAAATACAAAAATTAGCCAGGAGTGGTGGTGCGCATCTGAGATCCCAGCTACTTGGGAGGCTGAGGCAGGAAAATTGCTTGAACCCAGGAATCAGAGGTTGCAGTGAGCCGAGATCGCACCATCACATTCCAGCTTGGGCATCACAGTGGGACTCTTGTCTCAAAAAAACCAAACAAACAAATACAAAAAAACATCTATATGAGTATCTGAGTATAGATGCAAAGAAAAATGTCTGAAAGGATGGGATTATTTCTTGATGGTGGATTTCAAGTGATTTTTACTTCCTTCCCATTTGGGGCCATGAATTCCTCATCTGTAAAATAAGAGTAGATTAGATTAGGAGTTTGCATCCTGAGCTCTGGGGTTGTCTTGGAGCGCTCTGAAAATGGGCTGAGTGGCTAGGCCTTTCAGTTCCCTGTTTCTTCTCTAATGCTGATTTCATTTGAAGGAGGGGTTTGACAGGTAAAAATGGCTAAGTCACCGAGTAGATAGATGGCATGTAGCATTATTTTTAGTTCTGAAATTCTGAGTCTTGTTTTTGCCATCTAAGAGCTTAGAGAAATATATACAAGGGTAATTTTCAAGATATTTGATAAAGGGTAGTGCCGTTGGTCAGAAAATGCTGGCTGGAGTAGGCACCTGGAGGCCTCCTGCTGGCCAGAAGGTACCCCTTGATTTAGGACTACACTGTGTAGGGTGCGGGATCCTTGGGACAATGCCTGTTTATCAGCTGATTCAGGGGCATCTCTGTTGTAGCCATCAGTTCAGCCACACATTAGCCCTGCATGTGTGGCACCTAAGGATTAGATGCTTAGTTCTGCACATAATTAAGTGGATTAGTGATAATCTAACGAAAGTAAAAAAGGAAGTAAATTCTACCCTGGGAATATTCCAAGATACCGTCCGTCCTTTGTTCGCTCTGTTCCCCACCATTCCTACTCAGAATATAAAACAGAAGAAGCTTTTCCCCCCTCAAGATTAACATCCCTAACCGTGCTGTTCTCCCACCTCTTGTTTCAATTGTGTTTCAGGTCGTCATGTTGGCAATGTACAACTTGTCTCTGGAAGGAAGTGGACGTCAAGGTTATTTCAGGTGGAAAGAAGATATCTGTGCTTTTATTGAGAAACATTGGACTTTTTTACTAGGGAATAGGTAATGTGTTTTTAAAAAATCTTATACTTCAAGGAATATGTAAAGAATGAAGTATACAGGATTTGAGACAGCCTAATGTAGACTTGTTAGAGATTTATTTTAATTTTTTTGAGATAGAGTCTCCCAGGCTGGAGTGCAGTGGCATGACCATAGCTCACTGCATCCTCAACCTCCTGGGCTCAAGTAGTCCTCCTGCATCAGCCTCCTGAGTAGCTGGGATTACAGGTGTGCACCAACATGCCTGGCTTATTTATTTATTTATTTATTTTTTGGAGGCAGAGTCTTGCTCTCTCCCCCAGGCTAGAGTGCAGTGGCGTGATCTCGGCACACTGCAACCGCCACCTCCCGGGTTCAAGCGATTCTCCTGCCTTAGCCTCCTGAGTAGCTGGGATTACAGGCACCTGCCACTATGCCCAGCTAATTTTTGTATTTTTAGTAGAGACGGGGTTTCACCATGTTGGCCAGGCTGGTCTTGAACTCCTGACCACAAGTGATCTGTCTGCCTCGGCTTCCCAAAGTGCTTGGATTACAGGCGTGAGCCACTGCGCCTGGCCTTATATTTTTGTAGAGACAGGGGTCTCGTGTTGTCTCAGGCTGGTTTTGAACTCCTGGGCTCAAACAGCTCTCCTGCCTTAGCCTTCCAAAGTGCTGGGATTATGGTGGGTGTGAATCACCGTTCCTTACCTTGTTAGAGATTTAGAGTGTTTACTTGTGGCAATTACGAAAATTTTTGAATTCCAGAGAATATTTTTACTTTTTTAAGATTAAAAAAAAAACTTGGCTGGGCGCAGTGGCTCATGCCTGTAATCCCAGCACTTTGGGAGGCCGAGGTGGGTGGATCACCTGAGGTCAGGAGTTCAAGACCAGCCTCGCCAACATGGTGAAACCCCATCTCTACTAAAATACAAAAATTAGCTGGGCGTGGTGGCAGGCAACTATAATCCCAGCTACTGAGGAGGCTGAGGCAGGAGAATTGCTTGAACCCAGGAGGTGGAGGTTGCAGTGAGCCAAGATTGCGCCATTGCACTCCAGCCTGGGCAACAGAGTGAGACTCCATCTCAAAAAAAAAAAAAAAAAGATGTTTGTTTCAACTGAACATGACGTTTTTTGAAGAAATTCTTAGAATGTTAAAAAATAAGAGTTGTATTACATGAGACTGTTCAAGAGTTGGATAAGTCAATATTTCACTTGAGGAGATAGGGTTATTATATTCTTTTAAGCTGTGTGTGGTGGGGCATGCCTGTTGTCCCAGCTACTCAGGAGACCAAGGTTGGAGGATCACTCGAGCCCAGGAGTTTGAAGCCAGCCTGGACAGTATAGTGAGACCCCCATCTCTTAGAAAACACCAACCAGGCTGGGCCCGGTAGCTCAGGCCTGTAATCCCAGCATTTTGGGAGGCCGAGGCGAGCAGATCACCTGAGGTCTGGAGTTCGAGACCAGCCTGGCCAACATGGTGAAACCCCATCTCTACTAAAAATACAGAAATTAGCTGGGCTTGGTGGCGGGTGCCCGTAATCCCAGCTACTCGGGAGGCTGAAGCAGGAGAATCGCTTGAACCTGGGAGGCGGAGGTTACAGTGAGCTGAGATGGGGCCACTTCACTCCAGCCTGGGTGACTCAGCGAGACTCCATCTCAAACAAACAAACAACCAACCAAAAAAAGAACCAAAACAGAGCAGTGCCTTCTAGGAGGACAAGACAGGAAAAATAATGGCAGTTACTGACTGCATCTATTTAGGTTGCCCTTAGTTAATAGAGTTTTGTATTACTAGTATTTGTTTTTAACTCTGTAAAGTAGACACTCTTTTTTATTTTTAACTATTTTTCATAGTGCTTAGCAAAGTCTGGGCACATCTGCATGTGGCTTGTTCATTGGTCACTGTGTTTATCATTGCGCTTTGAGTTTGCTGCTGTGTGCTCTCCCCAGTGGCTGCTTTGGTGCATTAGACTCGGGGATGCCGATGCACAGACCTTGCGACCATATATTTTCACTAAATGTCCACGTGGATCTATCAAGACTTTTATTGCTCTTGGGTACTTGTGAGTTTGCTACCACACTGGTGAATTTTTGTTTGAGATTCTGATTGTTAGTTGCTGTCTGAAGTCCTGTGTGAGATTCATGAATCTTACATAATGAGGTTAGTTTAGACATGACAAAGTCTTTGATCACTTCAGGTCAGGGCAGGGAGTTCATGCCTTTCCTCACTTGGGGTTCACTGCAGCCTCTGTTTCTTCAGAAGCTGAGGAATCACAGCTTTGCTCATGTTACTGAGAGTACGGGAGGGTAGTCAGAAGGAGGGTGACCTGCAGGCTGCTGTGAGAAAATGGAATAGACTCCCTACATTTTTGCAAAAGGGGTTATTTTAGTTCTTGAGCTATTTATTGGTGCTAAGAAAAGAATCGACACTATAACTGGTTCTTTCTCATAAGGAAAAGAAATCTGTTGTTTAGTTTAATGATTTAGCACTATTTATGGACCTTAATGTACCCCATTTATAAGGGATAAGAAAGGGAAAAAACTGATAAAATTGGATCTTGGAATGTTTTCATGATCTTCGAGTGCTGTCCTATTTAGTGGGTTATCTCCTGGAAAAAATTAGATTTAGATTGCCTGTTTTTAAAAATATTGCTGGATTTTAACAGAAGTTGTTTAAATGCTTCATTTGTTCATTTCTAGAGCATGTTCTGAGAGGAATCAGCTGAGCCTTATTTCTTTTTAACATGCCAATGAAAGGCATTAATTACTCTCCAGTTTCTGTGTAGTTTATTTAGTGTGTTGGCCATATTGGTATATCACCGGAATTATTATTTATTTGATCTTCCTATTTAAATCAAGTCACCTGAAAAATACATTAATTTTAAAAAGAAACTTAACATCACCATGGTAAGTGGGAAACCTATATAAATTGTCATAAGTAGAATGTAACAATAAAAATAAAACAATGCTGTTAAATTGTAGCTGGATCCCATGGCATATAATGGCAAGCCATGGCTTTCTTTTCCAGTCAAAAAGGGAGGCTGCTACAAGTGTTAATGAGAATTTAAAGCAGTAAACTTTCTTTTGATCTAACCAGAAGAAGCAAAAGAGAATTAGAAATCACTTTATGATTCTTGCCACCCGGTTTCATGCTACAGTGCTGCTCTTCACTTTGGGAACTCCACTTGAAATATCAGTGATTGGAGAAGTCCCCTGAAACCACTACCCCTGGGTAGTTACCACTTGCTCAGACATTTCTGTGTATGAATGTTAACAAGATTACCGTACCCCAGAGAAGCTGTCTGTAAAGAGCATTTATATTTAAGGTACACTTTTTTCATAGCTACTAAAGATTTTCATTCTGCTATCCATAGGACGTACTTTATTTATTTACTTACTTACTTATTTTTTTGAGACGGAGTCCTGCTCTGTCGTCCAGGCTGGAGTGCAGCGGCGTGATCTCGGCTCACTGCAACCTCCGCCTCCCAGGTTCAAGCAATTCTCCGGTCTCAGCCTCCGGAGTAGCTGCTACTGCATTAAGAACTAAAATTGACCAGTATTAACCGCAGTCTACTGTCTATGCCTTCCCTTGGAAACCACAAGCCTTTATTAGACTCCAGAGTCCCAAAATAGTTCCATCAGTCAGATTCTGCCAGTGCAACTGCTGTCCAGGCAGGAAGGCAAATGCTTCCTATCTGCCACCTTCCCAGAATCCTCGTAAAGTTGATTGAAGTGTAGATACTATGAATGTGTACTATCATATTTCATCAATTCTAAGATCCATTAACTTTAAGATACACCATTTTGTGTACAAATAAGAGCTAACTACCAATTAAATTATGACATATCAGTAACTATAAGATGTATCTAGCTGTCAGAGATGTCAAAATTTGCAAAATTACGTATCTTAAAATCAGTAAAATATGGTAGTAGAAGAAAATATTCAAGCTATTCTTCACTAATCAAAACTATACCTTCTGGAAGAATTCAAGGCCAGGACTGTAAAAGCAGATTAAATGAACAAATACTAGGCAATTATTCAGTAATAACTAAGTTTTCATATACTTTTTAACTTGTTTCTACAATGGTACATAAAATTATTTAGGTTAGCACACCCCACCATGCACGACTAATTTTTGTATTTTTCGTAGGGACAGGGTTTCACCTTATTGGTCAGGCTGGTCTTGAACTCCTGACCTCAGGTGATCCACCCGCCTGGCCTCCCAAAATGCTGAGATTATAGGCGTGAACCACTGCACCTGGCCAGGACATACTTTAAATTCTTAAAAATTGTAACCATTTCTCATTTGTCACAAGATCTAAGAGAATGCTATACAGTGTAATGAAGTTCTGAATTTTCTTTCAGATGTTTACAGGTTTTTCTTTTATGCCTTTAATATGTTATTAAAGTTTAAATGTAAAAAGGTGGGGGTTTTTTTGGTGCTACCCATCCCCCTTCTCCAGCCACTAGGAAGAAAGCTGTGTGTGTGTTCCTGGAGTGGCTTACACACAGCTTGTAGCATCCAGGGTGGGCAAAAATAAGCCTGTTTTCCAAATACTGGGTATTTGTGCTCTGATCACTGATTGCTGCTTCTAATCATAGAGGTGAAAAGAGATGGCAGCCATTGTTGTTATAGCTCCCCTCATTGCAAAAATGGGTAAAGGCATTTAATAGACACTTCTTCAAAGATATTAAAATGGCCAATAAGCACATCAAAAGATGCTCAGCATCACTAATCATTAGGGAAATGCAAATCAA
The DNA here is from genome assembly GCF_000001405.40 of Homo sapiens. NCBI lineage: Eukaryota > Metazoa > Chordata > Mammalia > Primates > Hominidae > Homo > Homo sapiens. The sequence continues at coordinate 18,155,678 of NC_000020.11, forward strand.
ATCTATAACACGATACCACCTCATGCCTCTTAGGATGACAATTATCAAAGAAACAAAACAACAACTGTGGGCGAGAATGTGGAGAAATGGGAACCCTTTTGCAGTGTTGGTGGGAATGTAAAATTGTACAATCGTTGTGGAAAATGGTGTGGTGTTTCCTCAAATAGTTAAAAATATAATGATCATATGATCTGGCAATTTCACTTCTGGGTATATACTCAAAAGGACTGAAAGCAGGGTCTCAGAGATACTTGTATATCCATGTTTTTAGCAGCATTATTCACAATAACTGAGATGTGGAAGCAACCAAAGTGTCCATCAGTAGATGAATGGATAAGCAAAATGTGGCATATACATACAGTGGATATCATTCAGTCTTAAAAAGGAAGGACATTCTGGCACATGCTGCAGTGTAGATGAACCTTGAGGACATTATGCTGTGTGAAACAAACCAATCACAAGAAAACAAACACTGTGTGATTCCACTTATCTGAGATACTTAGGGTAGTGAAAATCACAGATACAGAACGTAGAATGGTGGTTGTCAGCACTTGGCGGGGAGGGTGGAATTGGGAGTTGTTTAACGGATATAGAGTTTCGGTTTTGCCCTGTGAAAAGTGTTCTGAAAGTGGATGGTGGTGGTGATTGTACCATATAAATGTACTTAATACCACTGAACTATACTGTTAAAAATTGTTCAGATAGTAAATGTTATGTATATTTTACCACAATAATAATTTTGGGGGAAAACTATTGAGGCCATTCATAAATACTGTGTTTGTATATGTCCTGGCAACAAATTTATTCCATTCCATACAAATGTCTCATTATGTGTTGTGCTGTGATTTAGCTGGCTATATTAGTTTGCTAATGATGCTGTAACACAAACTGGATGGCTTAAACAACAGAAATGTATTCTAGTTCTAGAGGCTGGAAATCTGAAATCCAGGTGTTGATAGGATTGGTTCCTTTTGAAGGCTGTGAGGGAGAGAGTATTTTATGCCTCTCCCCTAGCTTCTGTTAGCCACAGGCCTTCCTTGGCTTGTAGATGACGTTCTCCCTGTGTCTTCATGCATCTTCCCTCTCTACACGTCTGTCTCTGTGTCCAAGTTTCCCCTTTGTGTAAGGACACCAGTCATATTGGATTAGTGTTCAACTTAATGACCTCATGATCACTGTTTGCACATAAGGTCACATTCACAAGTACTGGGACTTCCAACATCTTTTGGGAGGATACGATGAAATCTGTAACACTGGCCGATAATTTTATAAACATTTATGTTATTTCCAGTTTTTCTGTGTTTAAGTTAGCCTTGTGGGGCATATTCTTGTATATATATCCTTTGTGTTTTTGTGATTAGAAGTAGATTTGCGAGGTCAGAGGATACACACAATTTTGCTGTACATTATGAAAGTAACCTCCAGAAAGTATATGCCCATTTATAGTCCCACTGTCAATGTACAAGTACGCACCCGTTTTCGACACAGTAAATAACACATTGGTTTTTAAAATCTTTTGAGTCTTTGTCAGTCTTTTTTATTGTTTTTGTTTGTTTGAGATAGGGTTTCACCCTGTCACCCAGGCTGGAGTGCAATGGCACAGTAATGGCTCACTGCAGCCACTACCTCCCAGGCACAAGTGATCCTCCCACCTCAACCTCCCAAGTAGCTGGGACCACAGGCACGTGCCATCACACCCAGCTAATTTTTTTATTTTTATTTTTTTGTAAAAATGAGGTCTCACTATGTTGCCCAGACTTCTGTTTGTTTATTGCAGTAAAAACAGTGAAAATTTACCATCTTAACCAGTTCCAAGTGTACAGTTCAGTGGTGTTAAGTATGTTCACGTATTTGAATATAGATTCACAGATGGCCAGAACTCTTCTCAGCTTGCAGATCTGAAACTCTATCCCTATTAAATAACTCTCCATTCTCCCCTCCCCACAGCTCTAGGCAGTCACCATTCTACTTTCTGTGTCTATGAATTTGACTACTCTAAATACTTCATATATGTAGAACCATACAGTATTTGTCTTTTTGGGACTGGCTTATTTCACTTAGCATAAGTGTCCTCAAGGGTTATCCACATTGCAGTATGTGATAGGATTTCCTTTATTTTTAAGACTGAATAATATTCTATTGTATGTGTTTATGCTACATTTTGTATTTATTAGAGAGGATTTGGAAAGATTAGAAAAAGATAAGAATGTAGGAGAGGTACTTTGGAACCAAAAGCTTGGGGGTTTCATTCTCTCCATCTCAGATAGTGCTTTTTTTGAGACCCAGTTTCATTCTTGTTGCCCGGGCTGGAGTGCAATGGTGCAGTCTTGGCTCACTGCAGCCTCCGCCTCTCGGGTTCAAAGATTCTCCTGCCTCACCCTCCCGAGTAGCTGGGATTACAGGCATGTGCCACCACACCCAGCTAATTTTGTATTTTTAGTAGAGACGGGGTTTCACCCTGTCAGCCAAACTGGTCTCGAACTCCTGACCTCAGGTGATCCACCCGCCTCGGCCTCCCAAAGTGCTGGAATTACAGGCGTGAGCCACCGCACCCAGCCTCAGATAGTGCTTATGCCTACTATAGCTGAGCTTATTTGTTTTGTTTATTTTCTGAGTTTTCTATTAATATTACGTCTCTGTTCCTCAGAATGGTTTTCCTTTGCCTTCCCAGCAATACCTTCCAACTGTTAGACTGGTCTTCTTGTGAAAGACTGTCTTCTAGGATTTCCGGGGATTGATGTATCTTTTCAAGGTGGAAATAGAACAGTCGCCTTGAAAGAATTTCCGTTAGGGAACCCGGATAGTTGGCATTTTGCATGTTTTGTTATTTTGTTGTGCAGTAGGTGCTCTCTGTGTTTGTGGAGTATACCACATAGTTTTGTTACCACTCTAGTGCATCGAGGCAGATAGGATCAGATTGAGAGATGTGTGCTACTCCTCGGGTAAAATGAGGTATTTACTGGAGCCAGTTAACTTCTATCACAAAATGCCCAGCCTTGGAGTTACACTTTTTGTATGCTTTATTCTTGGGAGCTGTGCTTAATTCACATAACAAAGCAACTTAATTAAAATTAGCCTGTAGAATTCCATAATCGTGATGATTGTGATGAGAAGTATTTCACGTGCTTTGTTTGAATTATTGCATTTAATCCTCACAGCAACCCTGTGAGGTAAGTTCTATTATCCTGATTTTACAGATGAACAAACCGAGGCTGCTAGAAGTTGGTAGCGCCAGGGTTTGAAGCAGGCGAACTCCAGAGCCTCTCTCCTGCCTCTCGTGCTCTGCTCCTTCAGTAGCTGGAGGTGCCATTGCATGTTGCAGGCCAGGAGTCACAGTATACACAGACTGTCTTTTCTGTATAATGAGCAAAAGTGCCAATCATTTTTAAATTCTTGGACTCTTTAGGAAAAAGACGTCTACCTGGTGGAGCACCGTGGCAGGTTGCCTCAGCGTGGGAAGTCCCATGTACTTCCGTTCAGGTGCTCAGGAATTTGGAGAGCCAGGATGGTGGAAACTTGTTCATAACAAGCCCCCAACGATGAAACCTGAAGGAGAGAAGTTGTCTGCCTCTACTTTGAAAATAAAAGGTACTGTTGTGAGAACAGTACAAAAGTTGCTAGTCAGACCAGAGCCAAGCAGGTGTGAGCCCAGGAGACGCTCCTGCTTCCACTGGGCATGGCTCGCAGGCCTCTCTGGAGCTACTCTGTTTAACACTTCTGTGATGACACTTGTGTGTGTGCTAGAAATAAATGCCACATAAAAACATTTTATCACTTCCTAATCAAGCTATCAGTTTTATAAATTTCCCAGGGTATCTGAAAGGTTCAATGTTTTCCATCTGGTTTTTGTTTTTAAACTTCTCACAAAGGTGAAGAGATATTTTAAAATTCCCGTAATAAATAACATGATGAATTCCCATGTACCTTCCACCTCACTTTGACATTAACTCCTGACAGTCTCATTTTATCTAAATCCTCAGTACTTTTCCCCAACCTTCCCCATTCTTACAATTGGATTATTTAGAAACAAATCCCAGGAATCAACATTTCATTCCTAAATATCTTAGTATGTATCTCTAAGAGATCAGGATTCTTTCCTTTTTGCAGCCTGACCATAATGCCATTTTCATATTTAAAAAGATGTTAACAGTGACTTCTTACTATCACATATTGATCTGGTTTTATAATCTAAAAAGCTTTTAATGAGCTTTTAAATTTTTATATTTATTTGTTTGCTTGTTTGTTTATTTATTTGAGGTACAGTCTCGCTTTGTTGCCCAGGCTGGAGTGCAGTGGTGCAATCTTTGCTCACTGCAACCTCTGCCTCCTAGGTTCAAATGATTCTCGTGCCTCAGCCTCCCAAATAACATGCCACCATGCCCAGCTAATATTTTTGTATTTTTATTACAGACGGGGTTTTGCCATGTTGGCCAGGCTGATCTCGAACTCCTGACCTCAGGCGATCCACCTGCCTTGGCCTCACAAAGTGCTGGGATTACAGGGTGAGCCACCGGATCAGGCTGATGAGCTTTTAAAATTTTAAAAATATGATTGGGAAGAAAATCAAATAGTACTTAAGGGTGTAAAGTATGAAAGTTCCCCCACCTGCCTATGGCCTGCAATTTCACTTCCCAGAGTAACCACTGTTGTCTTTTGTGAATACTTTCAGAAAGATCTCTGCAGATTTAAGCATTTTCTTAGTTTTTTAAAAAAGTAAAATGGACTCGTACTATTATGAGTTTTCCATTTTTGCCACACTTACCAGTATGTCTTGGACATCTTTCCATGACAGTACATGTAGATTTACCCTATTTTATTTCATTACATCCATTATATAATTATGTGATAATTTGTTAAACCATTCTCCTGTTGATGGACATTTTGGTTGTTTCTACCTTTTTGTTGCTATTTTATTTATTTATTTTTTAATTAAAACATTTTTAAAAAGTAATAGAGATAGGGTCTCGCCATGTTTCCTGGGCTGGTCTTGAACTGTTGGGCTCAAGTGATCCTCCAGCCTCTCCTTCCAAAAGTGCTGGGATTACAGGCATGAGCCATCATGCCTGACCTTTTGTTACTTTAAACAGTGCTACAATTCTACAAATTTGTGTACATGTGAAAATGTGATAAATTCCTGGAGTTTCTACATCAAAGGGCATATTCATTCAAAATTTTAATCAGGATTGCCAAATTATCCTCCAAGAAACTGTAATAAGGCCGGGCATGGTGGCTCATGCCTGTAATCCCAGTACTTTGGGAGGCCGAGACAGGTGGATCATCTGAGGTCAGGAGTTCGAGACCAGCCTGGCCAACATGATGAAACCCCATCTGTACAAAAATACAAAAATCAGCCGGGCGTGATGGCGCATGCCTGTAATCCCAGCTTCTCTGGAGGCTGAGGCAGGAGAATTGCTTGAACCCGGGAGGCGGAGGTTGCAGTGAGCCGAGATCACACCACTAACATTCCAGCCTGGGTGACAGAGCAAGACCCTGTCTCAAAAAAAAAAAAAAGTACCCATTGAAATGCCCATGAAAATGCCCATTTCCCCATACATTTACTGAGCTTTATCAAACTTTTTTTTTGGCTCACTGCAGCCACCACCTCCCAGGCTCAAAATCCACCCACCTCAGCCTCCCAAAGTTCTGGGATTAAGAGGCGTGCACCACCACGCCTGGCTAAACTTTTAATGTTTGCCAGTTCCAGTAGGTGAAAGATAGTATTTATTTGTTTAAATTTGCAGTATAACTTCTTTTTTCTCAAGAGATATCTAAGTCTTTTTTAGTTTAGGGCATTCATTGAACATTTCTCTTTATTGAACATGATATTACTCATAATAATAAATTAGCAAAAGAAACTAAAGTTGAGTAGTTATTTTAAAATTTAGATATGGGTTGAGCAATCCAAATCTGAAAATCCAAAATCAAAAACACTCCAAAATCTGAAACTTTTTCAGCACTGACATAACGCTCAAAGGAAATGCTCATTTGCAGCATTTCGGATTTTGTATTTCTGGGTTTGGGATACTCAGCCAATAAGTAAAATGCAAATATTCCAAAAGCCGAAAACATCTGAAATCCAAAACATGCTTGTGCCCAAGCATTTCAGATGAGGGATACTCAGCCTGTATTTATTCTTTCTTAGCAGCCTCAAAACCAACTTTAGATCCCATCATTACTGTTGAGGGACTTAGAAAACGAGCAAGTCGGAATCCTGTGGAATCTGCCATGGAATTAAAAGAGAAAAGGTCTCGAACTCAGGAAGCAAAAGACATTAGAAGAGCCCAGAAGGAGGCCGCTGGCTTTCTTGACAGGAGCACATCTTCTACCCCTGTAAAATTCATAAGCCGAGGCCGCAGGCCAGATGTGATTCTGGAAAAAGGCGAAGTGATTGACTTTTCCTCCTTGAGCTCCTCTGACCGCACCCCGCTGACAAGCCCATCTCCTTCTCCTTCTCTGGATTTCTCTGCCCCTGGTACACCTGCCTCTCATTCTGCCACACCTAGCTTGCTTTCAGAAGCAGATCTGATTCCAGATGTGATGCCCCCACAAGCCTTGTTTCATGGTAAGAGTTTGTTTGCTTTGCTCTTTTATTTTGGGTATGGGCCATGGTATAAATGTACAAGTTTTCACCCCGTGGGCTGTGTGCTCTGCATTTCTTCCTTCCTATGTCTTGATGACACTGTTTTGTACTCTGCACAGATGACGATGAGATGGAAGGCGATGGAGTCATAGACCCAGGGATGGAGTACGTCCCACCCCCTGCTGGGTCAGTAGCTTCTGGGCCAGTGGTTGGGGTCAGAAAGAAGGTCAGAGGCCCTGAACAGATAAAGCAGGAGGTAGAGAGTGAGGAGGAAAAACCCGACAGGATGGATATTGACAGTGAAGACACAGATTCAAACACATCTTTGCAAACAAGGGCTAGAGAAAAGAGGAAGCCTCAGCTGGAGAAGGACACAAAGCCGAAAGAGCCCAGGTATACTCCCGTGAGCATCTACGAGGAAAAGCTGCTGCTCAAGAGGCTGGAAGCTTGTCCCGGTGCTGTTGCCATGACTCCGGAAGCTCGGAGACTGAAACGCAAACTGATTGTCAGACAAGCGAAAAGGGATAGGGGATTACCACTTTTTGACTTGGATCAAGTTGTTAATGCTGCTCTTTTGTTAGTTGACGGGATTTATGGAGCCAAAGAAGGAGGAATTTCCAGACTTCCAGCTGGACAAGCCACGTACAGAACCACCTGTCAGGACTTCAGAATCCTTGACCGATACCAGGTGAATGCAAGCACTTGCTGTAAAGCCCTTGGGGGCAGGAGTGGAGGTGGGGCAGGCAGCACTAGGCATTGGACATGGTTATGCTGTGACCTTTTAAATCCTGAGTAATTTGGGAAGAGAAAAGTAAAGTGCAAGGGAAAAAAATACAAAAATCGCTGGGCTTTATTTTTCAGAATTGTTCATTGTAAGTACACCTGAATACATCTGAGTTTTTCTTTTCCTTTAGGCATTCAAACATAACCTATAAGTTTTCTTCATCTGTCTCTCTTGTCTCTCTCTCTCTGAGGATAGATATGCATGGTTTGTGTCGTAGCTTTGACAAATTTGTTGAGGCCATGACGGTGTCTCTGACACTGTGTTGCAGAGGATCTGAAGGTGTGTAGACATCTGCGAAGGACAACATGAAGAAATAGCAGCCAAGGGATCAGTGTGGTATCAGTGTTGCTCAAAGGATGGTCGGTGGAACCCAAATTTTGTGGATGCTTCTGGGAACAATTAATTCCACTTAGAACTACCTGTATATACTCTCCCACTGGGAGGAACAAGAGGCCTTATTCCCTTTATCTTTGCTAGCACTTGACACTAACCAGCCTTTAAGTTTTGCTAATTGGCTGGCTGTAAAGTGAAATCTTGTTTTTTATTTATATTTCTTTGGTTACAGGTGAGGTTAAATTTCCTGGTTGTTTCTTTGTGAATTGCCTGTTTGGAGTCTGCATGTTTTTCTCTCTTCTCTGGAAGCTAGTGGGATCTGCTCTTCATTGCTGGTGTTCTGGTATTATTCAGTGATGTGCCGTATGTAGGGCTTATGTCTTTCCTTGTGCTGGACATGTGGTGTGTGGGCCCTTTCAATTTGAAACTTTCTTTCCTGAGTATGGAAAAGTCTTGATTTCCTATCTTCTATTTTTTCTGTTCTCTCATTTTAGAACTCCCCATTATTTGGATATTGGACCCTGTAGATTAAAAGTTGGCAAACTTTATCTGTAAAGAAATAAGTATTTCTGCCAGATAGTAATTATTTTAGGCTTTGCCGGCCACAAAATCTCATTCGGAACTCTTCAACTCTGCTGTTGTGATTGGAGAGCCGTAGTGAATGAGTGTGGCTGTGTTCCAGTAAAACTTTATCTACTAAAATGGGCAGTGGACTGGATTTAGCCTGGGGGCTATAGTTTACCAAGATCCCTACTCCAGATAGATCCTCTTTTCTTTTTTTTCCTAATTCCCATCTTTCCTGGGAAGCACAGTATTAACTGGCCTGCCTACCAGGAGCCAAGTCGGGAGGGCCCAGGAGCCCATCGTTTAGGAGGTAAACTGACTCTCCCTGTCTTCAGTACAGTACTCCCACCCTTGGCTTCCTGTGTCCAGAATCTCCCTCTTGAGCCTCTCCAGTCTTCTGCCCGTGGAGGGAAAGATCATTTCCTAGATGTGGGCAGTATAATTACTATAGGGGTATAATTGGAGCCTTTAACCTCTTAAAGAGCCTCACAATCCATAGTCATACCCCCCAGGCTCTAAGCCTGATGCCTTAGGTGACTACACTTCCCTGAGGCTGTGTTTTGTAAATCACCCTGCTTAGCTTCACCACTGGCTTAGGTATTGGCTTTCTTTGGTCTGTTAAGTCATTTGCTGCTTGTTCATATGCTTTTGTTAGTCATCTATTCACTTGTTCTTGTTCTTTTTTTTTTTTTTTTTGAGACATGGTCTCTCTCTGTCACGCAGGTTGGAATGTAGTGGCACAACCACAGCTCATTGCAGCCCCGAACTCTCAGGCTCAAGCAATTCTCCCACCTCAGCTTCCCAAGTAGCTGGTACTATAGGCACACACTACCACACTCAGCTAATTTTTTTTTTAATTTTTATTTTTAGTAGAGACAGGGTCCTACTATCTTGCCCAGACTGATCTCAAACTCCTGGGCTCGAGTGATCGCCTCAGCCTCCCAAAGTGCTGGGATTACAGGCATGAGCCATTGCGCCTGGCCAATATTCACCTGTTCTTTGTTCTTATTCTTGTGGGCCTGTCTGTTTACTGCCTATACTTAATTTTTTAAATTGTAAGATGTGTCATACAGATAGAAGGCAGCATAGAAATATGGTATAATTTAGATATTAGTAAAATAAATGCCCATGTATTCATCTCCTGGATAAAGAGTGTTGTAAACACCTTAGAAGTCTCCTGTGTACTTTCTGTTCCCCTCAGAGGAAGCCACTTTGACTTACAGTGTTAATTATTCTTTTGCTTTTTAAATGTGTATGTCTCTAAATGATATACTTTTCGTTTAAAAAAATACTGAGTAGCAAGCATAAATCTAGCTGTGTAAGTAAATTGCCACTATTAGATGAAGTTTCCTGGAGAAGATAAGCTAAATAGTCATTCTGGGTCATTGTTGTGGACTGAATTGTGTCCCCCTTAAGCATATGTTGAAGTCCCAACCCTGGTACCTATGAATGCAGCCTTATCTGGAAATAGGCCCTTTGCAAATATAATTAGCCAAGACCACCAAGGATTGCCGGCAGCACCAGGAGCTAAGAGAAGGGCACAGAACAAATTCTCCCCTAGTGCGTACCCCAGAGAGCATAGCCCTGCCCACACTGTGACTTCTGACATTTGGCCTCTAGAACTGTGAGACAATAAATTCCTGTTGTTTTAAGCCACCCAGTTTGTGGTGCTTTGTTCCTACAGCCCTGGGAAACTAATACTTACAGTGATGTTCTGGCTTCGGCTTCCATGAACCCCTTCTGAGGTAGTCACTGGCCAAGGTCACTAGGGAGTCCTGGGAAACATGAGGCTCACCATAGCGTATGCATCAGCCAGGGCTGTGATGTATACCAGAGATGCGGCAGAAATCTGGGCAGAGGAAGTGGGATCCTCTGTATTTCCTGCCTGAGCTGACAGCTTCCTTCCAGCTTGCAGAAGGTCAAAGCAGTTATTTGTGGAGTGAGCATCATCAGCTGGTCTTTGGGGTGGGCATGGGTGGTGTACAGGAGGCTCACCTGTACATGGTGAAGACAAGCTGAGCGTAGATAAGATTCTGGGCCACGACGCCATAGGTTTAAAAGATGGTCAGTGGCAGCAAGGACTTAAGGATGATAGCCTCAATATGTGTTAGAAATACCAAAATTGTTAGAAATAGATAATCGGTGCTGCGAAGAAAAGTCAGCACAGAGACAAAAGGTATCTCAGCAAGGCCATCTTTTCTTTCTGTAGAAAGGGTGCTCAGTTGCAGATGGAACAAAGGTGAGAGCACACTTGAACACAGGAAAAGCAGACATATTTATCCCTTACGCACTTGGGTCGTCCTTACTGCTGTGTCCTGCATCCACTGGCTGGAGCGGGACCTCACAATCTTAAACTGATACCCGATTTGCTAATAGCCTAAAACTTTCCTAAATAGGTAAGTGCAGGGAAGAACAAAGAAGTTGCTTACAAAAGGTTTAAGGAAGCAATAACATTTCCAAATAAGGAAGGGGCGTAGACTGTGGGCTGGAACGTGCCTGTGAGCATGTCCAACGGTTACAGAGGATAGGGCTTAACAAAGAGTTATTAGCACAAGGCAAGGAGACTTGAAGAAAGTTAGTCTTTAAAAGAAACTGTTATTTCTAACACTTATGATTTATTCTTTAACAAGAAGGAAAACTTTGAAGAGGAAACTTTTTACTTTCTACACTATGTCTGCCCCTTGGGTCACACTTGTTCACCCTTTGTTGTGAAACTCAGCAGGGGTGTTGGGATCTCCCCTCTCTGGAGATTCTTTTGCCCTCCTCTGTATTTGATCTCCTGTTTCCTGTGGCCCATCTTTACCTTGTTATAGGTTTATTCCCTTGTTCTTAATGACTTCCTGAGAAAAGCTGCATGGGAAGTAAAATTTGAGACCAACATACTGAAAAGACCCTCATTAAGTGAGGTTGAACCTGGAATTCCATACACAGCCACATTGTCTAGGTGAGACCTCTGTTGAGGACCACTGCACTTCCTTTAGGTTTTTTCTTTGAATCTAGTCAGAGTCCCTGGGGAATAATCTTCTGGGCTCAGGATGCTGGTTGCCAAGTTGGGGAAGAGGGACCTTAGCATTCAGCTTGTCAGGTACTCACACCTCAGCCCTCCAGCTGGATCCCCTGTTAGTTCTCTAGAGATCAGACCTCCTGGCTTCTGGGGGAGGGCAGCCACCCAGCAACAGGGAGTGGAAGGATCTGGGGATCATACTGCTTTCCACATGGTGTTTGCCTGCTCCTTATTTTATTGTCCCATTTGGTCCCAGTTCCAGAGGAATCTGCTGGCTGCTGCCTGGATTTTAGCGGGTTCTGTAGTATAGATTGGGTTAGTTCTCATTTAGCTTACCCAAAGCCACTTTGGGATTTTGGTGTTAAATCAGTTACTATTTGTCCATCTGTTTACCAGTTACTGTTCTAATTAAGTCAGCTTCTATAGTTTTAGTGGGATTTTGGGAAGTAGTAAAGCTTTATATGCTTGTGTTTTAACCCAGTCTTAACTTGGAATTTTAGTATAAATTTTAATGTATTTACACAGGGAGTGGCTGTAAATGCATTTATTCAATCCATACTCTTGTTTTATATTTATTCTTTGAATGTATTCGTAGCTATAAGTTTCTCAATAAGTGCTGCTTTAGCTGTGATTCTTGACTTTTGAAATGATGTGATTTTATTTCCAATCAGTACTTGGCATTTTGTTATTTTTCTCATTATTTCCTCTTTAATCCAAAGGTTATTTAGTTGTTTTTTGGTTTTCAGATATATGAGAATTTTAAGCTATGTTTTGGTAATTGATGTGATTTCTAATGTTGTATTATGATCAGAGAAAATAGTTTATGTGATGTTCATTCTGTACCATAAAGAAAGTTATACATTCTATTTTTATTCTTTTTATAGGTCCTAACTTAAGATACATTTATTTTTCCTTATTCTTTTTTTAATATCATGTGGTTGTCCCCCCAAACAAAAAAGTACATTTTCATGCACTTATCTCTTTTTTTCTTTTGTATTGCTTATTTAAATGACATAAATCTTTACTAAATTATTCACTCGTCCTATTGTTTCTTTCTAGATTAATTTCTTGCTGGACTGCTTTCTCTAACAGTTCTTTAAAAATATGGGCTTTTTGAGGTTAATTTTGAAAACTTATACGACTAAGAATATCTTCATTTCACTTTTTCATTTAAATGATAGCAGTCATATAAAATTGTTATTTTAGTTTTTTCCATTGATATTTTGAAATTATGACTTCATTATCATCTTACATACAGTGTCACTCCTGAGAACCCCGGTACTGATAAGAAATAGAAATTTTTGACTGGGCTCAGTGGCTCATGCCTGTAATCCCAGCACTTTGGGAGGTCGAGGCAGGCAGATCACTTGAGGCCAGGAATTTGAGACCAGCCTGGACAATATGGTGAAACCCCGTCTCTACTAAAAATAAAAAAATTAGCCAGGCCTGGTGGCGCATGCCTATAATCCCAGCTGCTTGGGAGGCTGAGGCTTGAGAATCACTTGAACCAGAGAGGCAGAGGTTACAGTGAGCTGAGATCATGCCACTGCACTCCAGCGTGGGTGATTGGGTGAGACTCTCTCTCAAAAAAAAAAAATTTTTTTTGTTTCTTATCAATTAAGTGGCCTCCTTGTTTTATTCTCCCATCTCCTAAAACTTTCAGAATTTTCTCTTTGTTTTTTATCTTTAATTAGTGCATGTTAAGTGTCTTTTATTTTCTCTTTTTAAAGCTTTGTTTTCTTTTTTCTATTATTTTATTTTCCAGCACATCCAAAACACAGAAATTGTGTTTGTTCTCATTTGTCTTACTTGACAACTCTGTTCTTTTGGTCAGAGGTATTTTATATGCTTCTTGGCATTTATTCTGCTTGGTGTTCGCTGACCTTCCTGAATGTGTGGTTTGGTGTCTGACATTAAATTGGGGATATTCTCAGTCATTATTGCTTCAAATTTTTCTTCTATTCCTTTCTGTCTTCTGGTATTCCCATTGTGTGTTTATTACACCTTTTGTAGTTTTCCGCAGTTCTCGGATAGTCTGTTTTGTTCTTTTTTTTCATCTTTTTTGTCTTTGCTTTTCAGTTTTGGAAGTTTTTACTGACAGATCCTCAAGTTCAGAGATTCTTTACTCAGCCGTGTCCAGTCTACAAATAAGCCCATCATCAAAGGCAACCTTTATATTGGTTACAGTGTTTTTTATCTCCAGCATTTCTTTTTGATTCATTTTCAGAGTTTTCATCTCTTTAATTGCCCATCTGTTCTTGCATATTGTGTATTTTGTCCATTAAGCCCTTAACATATTAAACATATTATAGGCATATCTTGTTTTATTCACATTGCTGTATTGCACTTCACAGATACTGCATTTTGTACAAATGGAAGGTTTGTGACAATCTTATGTCGAGCAAGTCTGTTGGCACCATTTTTCTAGTAGTGTGTGCTTACTTTCTGTCTCTGTGTCTCACGTTTTGGCAGTTTTTGCATTACTTCCAACTTTTTCATTATTATTATATCTTTTATGGTGGTCTGTGATCAGTGATCTTTGATGTTAGTATTGTAATTGTTTTGGAGCACCATGAACCACACCCATATGAGACAATGAACTTAATTGGTAAATGTGTGTTTTCTGACTGTTGCACTAACCAGCTGTTCCCCATGTTTCTCCCTCTCCTTGGGGCTCCCTGTTCCCTGAGACAACAATATTGGAATTAGGTCAGTTAACCCTACAATGGCTTTTAAGTGTTCAAGTAAAAGGAAGAGTTATACTTCTCTCACTTTAAATAAAAAACTAGAAATGATTAAGTTTAGTGAGGAAAGCATTTCAAAAGCAGAGATAGGCTGAAAGCGAGGCCTCTTGTGCCAAACAATTAGCCAAGGTGTGAATGCAAAGGAAAAGTTCTTGAAGGTCATTAAAGGTGCTACTCCAGTGAGTGCACAACTGATAAAAAATCGAAGTAGCCTTATTGCTGATATGGAGAAAGTTTGAGTGGTCTGGATAGAAGATCAAACCAGCCACAGTATTCCCTTAAGCCAAAGCCTAATCCAGAGTAAGGCCTTAACTCTTGAATTCTGTAAAGGCTTGGAGAAGGGAGGAAGCTACAGAAGAAAAGTTGGAAGCTATCAGAGGTTGGTTCATGAGGTTTAGGAAAGAAGGCAGCTCTATAACACAAAAGAGTGCAAGTTAAAGCAGCATTTGCTAATGTAGAAGCAGCAACACGTTATCTAGAAGACCTAGCTAAGATCATTGATGGAAGTGGCTACACTAAGCAAGATGTTCACTGTAGATGAAACAGCCTTCTATTTGAAGAAGATGCCACCTAGGACTTTCATAGTTAGAGAGAAGTCAGTGCCTAGCTTCAGAGCTTCAAAGGACAAGCCAACTGTCTTGTTAGGGATTAATGCAACTGGTGACTTTCAGTTGGAGCCAGTGATCATTTACTCTTCCAAAAATCTTAGGGCCCTTATAAATTATCCTGAATCTACCCTGGCTGTGCTCTATAAATATAGCAGCAAAGCTTGGATGACAGCATATCTGTTTACAGCATGGTTTACTGAATATTCTAAGCCCACTATTGAAAGCTACTACTCAGAGAAAAAGATTATTTTCTTTTTTGAGACGGAGTCTTGCTCTGTCGCCCAGGCTGGAGTGCAGTGGCGCAATCTCGGCTCACTGCAAGCTCCACCTCCCAGGTTCATGCCATTCTCCTGCCTCAGCCTCCTGAGTAGCTGGGACTACAGGCGTCCGCCACCATGCCCAGCTTATTTTTTGTATTTTTTTTAGTAGAGACGGGATTTCACCGTGTTAGCCAGGAGGGCCTCGATCTCCTGACCTCGTGGTCCGCCCGCCTCGGCCTCCCAAAGTGCTGGGATTACAGGCATGAGCCACCGTGCCCGGCCTGAAAAAGATTATTTTCAAACAATTACTGCTCATTGACAATGTACCTGGTCACCCAAGAGTTCTGATTGAGAGGTTTAAGATTAGTATTATTTTCATGCCTGCTAAAACAACATCTATTCTGTAACCCATGGATCAAGGAGTAATTTTGACTTTCAAGTCTTACCATTTAAGACTCTTTTTAAGGCTATTGCTATCATAGATAGTGATTCCTCTGATAGATCTGGGCAAAGACATTGAAAACCTTCTGGAAAAGGAGTCATCATTCTAGATGCCATTAAGAACATTTGTGATTCATGGGAGGAATCAAAATTTCAACATTTACAGGAGTTTGGAAGAAGTTGATTCCAAGCCTCATGGATGACTTTTGAGGGGTTCAAGACTTCAGTGGAAGAAGTCACTGTGGATGTGGAAAGAGCAAGAGAACTAGAATTAGAAGTGGAGCCTGAAGATGTGACCGATAAATGTCATGATAAAACTTGAATGAATAAGTGTTGCTTCTTATGGATGAGCAAAGAAAGTGGTTTTTTGAGATGCTATCTACTCCTGCTAAAGATGCTATGAACATTGTTGAAATCTCACAACAAAAGATTTAGAATATTGCATAAACTTAGTTGATAAGTTAGTGGCACAGTTTGACTCAGATTTTGAAAGAAGTTATGTTGTGGGTGAAATGCTGTCAAACAGCATCACATGGCCAGGCACAGTGGCTCACGCCTGTAATCCCAGCACTTTGGGAGGCCGAGGCGGGCGGATCACGTGAGGTCAGGAGTTTGAGACCAGCCTGGCCAACATAGTGAAACCCTGTCTTTACTGAAAATACAAAAATTAGCCAGGCGTGGTGGTGTACACCTGTAGTCCCAGCTACTTGGGAGGCTGAGGCAGGAGAATCGCTTGAACCTGGGAGGTGGAGGTCTCAGTTAGCTGAGATCATACCCCTGCACTGTAGCCTAGGCAACAGGGCAAGACTCTGTCTCAAAAAAACCAATATCTTTTGTGAAAGGAAGAGCAGGTCAATGTGGCATGCTTCAGTGTTGTCTTATTTTAAGAAATTGCCCCAGCCATCCCAACCTTCAGCAGCCACCACCACCCTGATCAGTTGGCAACCATCAATATTGAGGCAAGAGCCTCTACCAATAAAATGATTGACTCACTGAAGGCTCAGATGATCATTGGCATTTTTTAACAATAAAGTGTTTAAAATTAAGTCACACATTTTTTTCTTAGACATAATGCTGTTATTGCACACAACAACAATATAGTGTCAACTTTTTTTTTTTTATTTGAGACAGAGTCTCACTCTGTCACCCAGGCTGGAGTGCAGTGGTGCGATCTCGGCTTACTGCAGCCTCCACCTCCTGGGTTCAAGCGATTCTTCTGCCTCAGCCTCCCGAGTAGCTGGGACTAAAGGTGCGTGCCACCACGCCCAGCTAATTTTTGTATTTTTAGTAGAGATGGGATTTCACCATATTGGCCAGGCTGGTCTTGAACTCCTGACCTCGTGATCCGCCCGCCTCGGCCTCCCAAAGTGCTGGAATTACAGGTTTGAGCCACTACGCCTGGCCACTTTTTTTTTTTTTTTGAGACAGTGTCTCGCTGTCACCCAGGCTGGAGTGTAGTGGCACAATCATGGCTCACTGTAGCTGTCAGTTGACTTCCTGGGCTCATGCAGTCCTCCCACTTCAGCCTCCCAATGTGCTGGTATTACAGGCATGAGCCACCACACCCAGCCTTAAACATAATTTTTATATGCACTGGGACACCAAAAACTTGTGCAGCTTGCTTTATTATGACATTCACTTTATTGCAGTGGTCTGGCACTGATCCTGCAATGTCTCTGAGGTGTGCCTATATTTTAAATTCCCAGTCCAGTAGCTGTAACATCTTTGCCATATCTCAGTCTGGTTCTGATGTTTGTTCTGTGTCTTCAAGCTGTGTTTTTTTGCCTTTATACCTTGTAATTTTTTGTTGAAAGCCAAAGATGATGTTCTGGGTAAGAGGAGCTGTGATAAGTAGGCTGTTGGAAATGGGGGAGGTGTGGGCAGGGAAAGCCCTCTATAGCTCTGTGAGTAGTTCTCAGTCTTTTTTGAGCCTGTGCTCTGGGCTGTGGACTAAAAGTGCTTCTCAGTTTTCTCTCCGGTCAGCTGGGACAGGATGGCTAGAGGGTGTGAAGTTAGGTATTTCTCTTCCCCCAGGTGAGTTAGGCTCTGATTAAATCCCAATAGGTTAGGCTCTGATAAAAATAACTTCTCCTGAGGGCAGGTGTTACTAAGAACACAATGCTGTGTTTTATTTTAAGATGGTTCCTTTTCCCCTCCTCCATCTGGAATCAAGAGGGGAGTTTTCTTTGATATTCACTGTGAGAACCTGGTCCAACTTCTGGAGGTGAACCTTGTGGAGTGGAGTTTTTATCCTTAGACTTGTCCGCATTGAGCCTTCAGCAATTTTCAGTTCTTCAGGGCTTTCCCGCCTTGATGCTGGTTCCCACAGAGGCTCTGCTCCCGTGTGCTGTGATTCTCTTTCTCTCCAAATTTGAGGGCAGTGGTTTGCCTTGTTATCTCATGTCTTTTACGGATCTACAAGAGTTCTTGATTTTTCACTTTGTTCAGTGGTTTACTTGTTAGGCTGGAGGAATGACTTCTAAGCTTCTTGCCTGCCAGAGTGGAAATCAGAAGTCCTTGGATATGCTGCTGTGATCTAGGAAATTCCCCATTATTGCTTCTTTAAATATGTTCCTCCTTTATCTTTTCCTCTTCTGCACTCTGAATATGGATGTTAACACCATTACTTCTTTTTTTTTTTTTTGTCTTTTCTTTTGCTTTTTAAACAAAATCCTTAACCAGTCCCTGACATCATTTGTTGAGTGCTTTATTTCAGTGATCATGTGTTTAATATCTGGTAATGAATAAGAGATGCTTCATAATTACTCATTCCTGCTTCCAGGCTCCTCCATTACCTTGGAGGCTATTTCTTATGCTTTTTCTTCCTTAACAGCTTTATTAACATACAGTTCATATACCTTACAATTCACCTATTTAAAGTGTACAGTTGACGGGTTCCTAATATATTCACAAAGTTGAACCATAATCAATTTTAGAACATTTTGTTAACCCACAAAGAATCCCTGAACCCTTTAGCTGTTACTACCCAAAACTCCCTATTCCTACTGCCCATGAATTGACTTTCTGCCTCTGTAGATTTATGTACTCTGGACATTTCACATAAATGGAGTCATATAATATGTGGCCTTTGGTGAACACTTTCTTTCACTTAGCATAATGTTTTCAAGATTCATCCATATTGTAACATATATTAGTATTCCTAAATATGGCTTAATATTCCATTGTATGGATAGACCACATTTGGTTTATCCATTCATCAGTTGATGGACTTTTGGGTTGTTTCTACCTTTTGACTATGAACATAAATACTGCTTTGAACATATGTATACAAGTTTTTGTGTGGACACACATTTTTATTTCTCTGAGTGTAGATCTAGGAGTGGAATTGCTTTGTCAAATGTAACTCTGTGTTTAACTTTTTGAAGGATTGCTAGACTGTCTTCCAAAGTGGCTGTGCCGTTTTACATTCCCACCAAGCAGGGTATGAAGATTCTGATTTCTCCACACATCCTTGCCATATTGTTGTTGTCTGTCTTTTTTATTATAGCCATCCTACTGAGTATGAAGTGTAGTATCTCATTGCAGTTTTGATTTGCATTTCTTTGATGACTATTATACTTTAAAATTCTTGTCTGTTTGGTAAATTAAGTGTGCCTTTTCCTGTAATAGCTTGTTTAGTTTGTTATCCTTTTGTTTTCTTGCTTTTTTTTTTATTTTTTTTTTTGAGGTGGATTTTTACTGTTGTCGCCCAGGCTGGAGTATAGTGATGCGATCTCGGCTCACTGCAACCTCTGCCTCCTGGGTTCAAGCAGTTCTCCTGCCTCAGCCACCGAAGTAGCTGGGATTACAGGTGCCCGCCACCACACCCAGCTAATTTTTGTATTTTTATTAGAGATGTGGGTTTCATCATGTTGGCCAGGCTGGTCTCGAACTCCTGACCTCAGGTGATCCACCCACCTCGGCCTCCCAGAGTGTTGGGATTACAGGCATGAGCCACCGCGCCCGGCGATTTTCTTGCACTTTTTATTTATGGGTCTTGATTTTTTTTTTCCCCGTGAGCTCATACCCCCTTAGTGTTTTCAGCTACCTTTGCTGGCAGTTTACACCTAGGGAAGAGAGCAAAAGCCTGGTTCCTAGCTTTTGACCCTGTCAGCAAGTTTAGCAAAATGGGAGGTTCTGGGCAAAACCATTTCTCCTCCTCTCTTTTTCCCACAATCAGCCACCCTCTTCTCTCAGGGAACCTCCCAGGACCTCTCGCCCAGGTGCTGCTTTTAATCTCCCTCTGGTGTTGCTTCCTAGGACTGTGGGATGCTCAGGGGCTGCCCAGAGTGGTATCCACCCTCACCCAGGAAGGCTCTAGTGCTGCTCTGGCGTTACCTTCCAGCCAATACGTGGCTGGCAAAGTTGATTGGCAGCGATCTACCTCTCCCAGAGAAGTGCTCGGGGGAGGAGATGGCTTAACCAAGCAGCCCCTGACCCATCTGTGGGGCAGAGCCTTTTTCTGCCCTCTCTACTCTGCTGCCTCACTCGTACCCAGCCACCTGTCGCCTCCCCGGGCTTTCTCCCAGCCTTGTGTTTTGCCTTCCCTCTCATGTCTGTAGCATCTCTCAGATGGGCTTGGAAAGGGACCAAGCAGCCCTCCTAGCTCTCCATTGTGTTTAGAATTAGAAGTATAAAGAAACTCATTTAACATTTTTTCTCACTTATTTGACCTTGGGATGCTTTTTTTTCCCACACTTTACCATTCAGCAAATGCAAGTCAAGTACATAACATACACCGAGAGCCGAAACATGGCTCAAACCTGTAATCCCAGCACTTTGGGAGGCCAAGGCAGGCAGATCACTTGAGCTCAGGAGTTTGAGACCAGCCTGGGCAACATGAGGAAACCTCGTCTCTACCAAAAAAAATACAAAAATTAGCCAGGTGTGGTGACATGTGCTACTTAGGAGGCTGAGGTGAGAGGATCACTTGAGCTAGGAGGTCAAGGCTGTAGTGAGCCATGATCATGCCACTGCACTCCAGCGTGGGCAACTGAGTGAGACTGTCTCAAAAAAAAAAAAAAAAAGCCAGGTATGGTGGCTCACCCCTGTAATCCCCACACTTTGGGAGGCTGAGGTGGGCAGATCATGATGTCAGGAGTTCAAGACCAGCCTGGCCAACATAATGAAACCCCGTCTCTACTAAAAATACAAAAATTAGCCAGGCATGCTGGCGCGTGCCTGTAGTCCCACTACTCAGGAGGCTGAGGCAGGAGAATCGCTTGAATCTGGGAGGTGGAGGTTGCAGTGAGCCGAGATGACACCTCTGCATTCCAGCTTGGGCAACAGAGTGAGACTTCGTCTCAAAAAAAAAAAAAAAAAAAGTGCCAAGCGCTATTCTAGCAGGGGATCTGCTGTGAACTAAGACAGAGTAGGTCCCTGTCCTTAGGCAGGGGGCATCCTTGAGCAGGGAGCTGACATTAACTAGCTCACCAGGCAAATAAGATTACATCATGCAGAGTGAACGCGGGGACAGTGATGTTACATCATGCAGAGTGAACGTGGGGAGGAGTAGCGGGCAGGAGCACTGCTCTATGGGGGTTCAGGACGGCCTCTCTGAGGAGGCAGCACTTGAACTAAGTCCACAAGGAGGAGCCAGGGTGATGAAGGGTCAGTGTGGAAGGCCCAGGCGCAGGCCCTGAAGCAGGAGTTGGGTTGGTGTATGTGGCTGGAACCTGGTGATGGCAGAGGGAACGGGTTGGTGGCTAATGAGGCTACTGGGGTGACAGGGGCCAGATCCTGCAGGATCCTACAGGTCATAAGTAAGGAGTTTGAACTGCATTCTGAACATATGGTAGGAAGCCATGTCAGAGTTTTGATCAAGGGAAGTGAATTTATGTTTTTAGAAGACTCTGGCTTCTGTGTCGAGAGTGGATAGTATGGGTGTAAGAGTGGGAGCAGAGAGACCAATGGGAGGCAGTTGATCCAGGCAGCATTGGGAGTGGTTTACACTAGAGTGGGAAGAAGTTAGGGAGCTGTATAACTTTGATGGAGCTTCCCAGAACTTACCTTGAGGCATTAACCAGATAATGAGAGTATTCTGTGCAGTAAGTAGTTCAGTGCCTGGTGTTACAGTTATCTGTTGCTGCATTATAAACCACTCCAAAACTTAGTGGCTTTTGATCCCTGTATCTTTTTTCTGATTCTGTGGATTGACTGGGCACTGTTGGGTTCTTTACTTAGTGGGCTGAAGGCTGGGTTCACTCATGTGCTGCATTAACCTGAGAGCTAGTTTGGGATTGGAATGACCAGGAGAGCCTCTCTTCCTCCAGAGTCCATCTCCCTGTGGCCTCTAGTTATTAACTGGTCTAGCTGGACTCCAAGAGGGAGAAAGTGGAAGCAAGCCACCAGTTGTCTTAAGACCTAGACTCAAAAGTCCCAGAAAGTTATTTCTGCTACTTTCTGATTGGTCAGAGCTATTCACAAGGTCCACCCAGCTTCAGTGGGTGGGGAAATTTATCCTGCCTTTTGATACGAGGAGCCGCTTAGTAGGGATGGAGGAATTGTTAGTGGCTGTATTTAGAAATTACATACCACACTTTTCAGTTTTACCTTGAAACTGACTTTAAGCCTTGGAAGAATTCAAAGTTGGCCTTTGAAAATTTTGGTGTCCAGTTTGGGAAGGTATGAAAGCAAATTATAATGGAAGGAATCTTGCTCTTTCCTTTTAACAAAGTTATTTTCTAGGTTAAGAGCAAACTGATTCTACAAAAACAAGTTTTTAAACATCATCCAACCCTTCGCAAACAACTTTATAAATGTGCCTTTTAATCTTCCATCTGATTTCTTTGCTATAAAGCCCTAATTGTACATGTTCTGTTAGTACATGACTGAGAGCCCTGGAGCGGCAGTCATTGAAGAACAACATATTTCCAGTCCAGCTCTTGGGGTTTGAAATGAAACACATAAAATCTACCAAGTCTGTTAGGATACCTTCCTAGGGAACAGAGGCCTCTTCCTCATTGAACCCCTGATAAGACCTCTCTGCTACTGAGATTTATTTTAGGGAGGCTGAGGCAGGAGAATCACTTGAACCTGGGAGGCAGAGGTTGTAGTGAGCCAAGATCGCACCACTGCACTCCAGCCTGGATAACAGAGCAAGACTCTATCTCAAAAAAAAAACAAAAAACAAAAGTGACTTGGGTGCTATTGAAAGCATTCCATTTTAAAAGGGAAACAGAACATAAAAGTTCAGAAAAGTTGCAGCCTGACAATGCAGTAGACAAAAAAAACCTATTTTTTGAGGAGAAAGTCAAGCTGGCTGCAGAAATTTACATAAGTAACAAGGAGCCGAATGTTAATCCCCAAGACAATCTCCATGGCATTCCACGGGAATCCACGGGAGTGATATTCTACATCACTCCCATTTTTGTCAAATTTATTCACTGGAAAAGAGATTGTATTAGTTTGTTTTCATGCTGCTGATAAAGACATACCTGAGATTGGGAAGAAAAAGAGGTTTAATTGGACTTAGAGTCCCACCTGGCTAGGGAGACCTCAGAATCATGGTGGGAGGCAAAAGCCACTCTTACATGGTGGTGGCAAGAGAAAAATGAGAAAGATGCAAAAGTGGAAACCCCTGATAAAACCATCAGATCTCGTGAGACTTATTCACTACCATGAGAACAGTATGGTGGAAACCGCCCCCGTGATTCAAATTATCTCCCACTGGGTCTCTCCCACACCATGTGGGAATTATGGGAATACAATTCAAGATGAGATTTGAGTGGAGACACAGAGCCAAACCATATCATTCCACCCCTGGCCTCTCCAAATCTCATGCCCTCACACTAAAAAACCAATCATGCCTTCCCAACAGTCCCCCAAAGTCTTAACTCATTTCAGCATTAACCCGAAAGTCCATAGTCCCAAGTCTCATCTGAGACAAGGCAAGTCCCTTCCATCTGTGAGCCTGTAAAATCAAAAGCAAGCTAGTTACTTCCTAGATACAGTGAGGGTACAGGTATTGGGTAAATACAGCAGTTCTACATGGGAGAAATAGGCCAAAACAAAGGGGTTACAGGGCCCATGCAAGCTTGAATTCCAGCAGGGCAAATTCTAAATGATCTAAAATGATCTCCTTTGACTCCTTATCTTACATCCAGGTCACACTGATGCAAAAGGTAGGTTCTCAGAGTCTTAGGCAGCTCCACCCCTGTGGCTTTGCAGGGTATAGCCCCCCTCCTGGCTGCTTTCATGGGCTGGCATTGAGTGTCCAACTTTTCCAGTTGCACAGTGCAGGCTATCGGTGGATCTGCCATTCTGGGGTCTGAAGGACGGTGGCCCTCTTCTCACAGCTAGGCACTGCCCCAGTAGGGACTCTGTGTGGGGGCTCTGACCCCACATTTCCCCTCTGCACTGCCCTAGCAGAGATTATCCATGAGGGCCCTGCCCTGACAGCAAACTTTTGCCTGGGCATCCAGGTGTTTCCATACATCTTCTGAAATCTAGGTGGAGGTTCCCAAACCTCAATTCTGGACTTCTGTGCACCCTCAGGCTCAATGCAAAGTGGAAGCTGCCAAGGTTTGGGGCTTGCACCCTGTGAAACCATGGGCCGAGCTGTACCTTGGCCCCTTTTAGCAATGACTGGAGCGGCTGGGGCACAGGGCGGCAAGTCCCCAGGCTGCCTTCTAGGCTTCCAGGTCTGTGATGGGAGGGGCTGCCATGAATACCTATGGCATGCCGTGGAGATTGTCTTGGGGATTAACATTCGGCTCCTTGTTACTTATGTAAATTTCTGCAGCCAGCTTGACTTTCTCCTCAAAAAATAGGTTTTTCTTTTCTACTGCATTGTCAGGCTGCAACTTTTCTGAACTTTTATGTTCTGTTTCCCTTTTAAAATGGAATGCTTTTAATAGCACCCAAGTCACTTTTGTTTTTTGTTTTTTTTTGAGATAGAGTCTTGCTCTGTTGTCCAGGCTGGAGTGCAGTGGTGCGATCTTGGCTCACTACAACCTCTACCTCCCAGGTTCAAGTGATTCTCCTGCCTCAGCCTCCCAAGTAGCTGGGATTACAGGTGTGTGCCACTATGCCTGGCTAATTTTTGCATTTTTAGTAGAGACAGGGTTTCACCATGTTGGCCAGGCTGGTCTTGAACTCCTAACCTCAGGTGATCTGCCCACCTCCGTCTCCCATAGTGCTAGGATTACAGGCATGAGCCACCATGCCTGGCCTTCAAGTCACCTCTTGAATGCTCTGCTGCTTAGAAATTTCTTCCACCAGATACCCTAAATCATCTCAAATTCAGAGTTCCACAGATCTCTAGGGCAGGGCAAAATGCCAGCAGTCTCTTTGCTAAAACATAGTAAGAGTCACCTTTGCTCCAATTCCCAACAAATTCCTCATCTCCATCTGAGACCACCTCAGCCTGGACCTTATTGTTCATATCACTATCAGCATTTTTGTCAAAGCCATTCAACAAATCTCTAGGAAGTTCCAAACTTTCCCACATTTTCCTGTCTTCTTATGAGCCCTCCAAACTGTTTCAGCCTCTGCCTAATACCCAGTTCCAAAGTCATTTCCACATTTTCAGATATCTTTTCAGCAACACCCCACTCCTGGTACCAATTTATTATATTAGTCTGTCTTCATGCTGCTGATAAAGACATACCCAAGACTGGGAAGAAAAGGAGGTTTAATTGGACTTACAGTTCCACATGGCTGGGTAGGCCTCAGAATCATGGCAGGAGGTGAAAGACACTTCTTAGTGGGCAGTGGCAAGAAACAAATGAGGAAGATGCAAAAGCAGAAACCCCTGATTAAAAAAAACAAAACATCGGACCTTGTGAGACTTATTCACTACGAGAACAGTATGGTGGAAACCGCCCCCATGATTCAAATTATCTCCCACCAGGTCCCTCCCACAACACAAAGGAATTAAGGGAGTACAATTCAAGATGAGGTTTGTCTGGGAACACAGAGCCAAACCATATCAGAGATGTATTTCAAAAATTCTATATACAGTAGTAGTTGGCCCCAGTGGCTCTTTGGATAACAGAGCAATCATATAATATGACTCATGTGTGTGTTACCTACTTGATACTAGTTAATATTTAGTGAATGGGTTGAAGGCATAATATAGACAAAGTGAAGCCTAGAGAAGCTGCAAATCCAGTGTTCAATCCTGCATCTCACTCCCTCTAATGAGTTAAAAAAAATTTTTAAATGACTTCAGAATTTTAAAATTATTATTTTTATTTTAAACAGCTGGGGTTTTTTGTGTCTAGTTTTATGCAAAGGTGTCTATAAACTTTGTATTGAAGTTTGAGCTTTCCAAATAAGTAATACAAAAAGACCTACTTTATGACACATAAAAATATGATACTAATTATATATGGAAATTAACCAATCCTCAGAGTAATTTTGTTTCTTTTTTTTTTTTTTTTTTTTTTGAGACGGAGTCTCGCTCTATCGCCCAGGCTGGAGTGCAGTGGTGCAATCTCGGCTCACTGCAAGCTCCGCCTCCTGGGTTCACGCCATTCTCCTGCCTCAGCCTCCCAAGTAGCTGGGACTACAGGCGCACCTGCCACCACGGCCGGCTAATTTTTGTATTTTTAGTAGAGACAGGGTTTTACCGTGTTAGCCAGGATGATCTCGATCTTGTGACCTTGTGATCCGCCTACCTCAGCTTCCCAAAGTGTTGGGATTACCGGCATGAGCCACTGTGCCCAGCCTGAGTAATTATTTCTATATAACCAGTGTTTCTTTCTCATAGACTTCCTTGCCGTCCAGGAAGGGATTTCGACACCAGACCACCAAGTTTTTGTATCGCTTGGTAGGATCAGAAGATATGGCTGTGGACCAGAGTATTGTCAGCCCTTATACCTCTCGGATCTTGAAACCTTATATCAGGTATATGGAGAACTAGAGGTGTGATGTCAGGTGTGTCATGAGGGATAATGATTGTGGTTTCTGTGCCCTGTTCTCCTGTTGGAGAGAATAAAGATCACAAACTGTGAACAACATTGGCAAGGACTGAGTTCTGTGCTTCACCTCCAGTTTTGTCCTTTGCTTGTTTCAACTCTACTTTTTTGCAGAGAACATGGTCCTTTGAAAGAAACTTAAAAAGCAAAAATAAATTAACTGAAAGATTGCTTTGTGATGATCATAATCATTGTTTTATTTATTATTATTATTTTTTTTTTGAGACAGACTCTTGCCCTGTCACCCAGGCTGGGCTGCAGTGGTGCAATCTTGGCTCACTGTAACCTCTGCCTCCGGGGTTCAGGGAATTATCTTGCCTCAGCCTCCCAAGTAGCTGGGATTATAGGCATGCACCACCAAGCCCAGCTAATTTTTGTATTTTTAGCAGAGACAGGGTTTCACCGTGTTGGCCAAGCTGGTCTTGAACTCCTGACCTCAAGTGATCCACCCAGCTTGGCCTCCCAAAGTGCTGGGATTACAGGCGTGAGCCACTGGGGCCGGCCCTCATTATGTTATTTTAAATACTAAAGTTGTATATTTTTAGTAGTCTGAAATGAAAAAATGTGAAAGACATCTCAGTTGAGCCTCCATCTGGACTGGATGTATATGAAGCAGTTTCCAATAATGAATGTCATTGTCCAGGCAATGAAATGGAAGCTGAGCTTGCTAGAGAGGACCCAGCAGTGTCTGGCACTGTAAATGAGAGCACATTATTGCACTCATTGCACTACAATTGCCCTGCAGCTCCATGATCACCCTGACCCTCCATGCCAGCACCACATTCCTGGGCAGGCACAGTGAGAAGCAGTTTGTGAGCCTGCTCCAAGCTCATTGTGTCTCTGGTGTTCCCCAAATGCCCCGCAAAGTTGAGTGTTCCCTCTTCTGGCCTCCAAGGCACTGGAGATGCATCCTCATGTCTGACTCCTTGGGGTGAATCTGATGCTGTATCTGTTTCCTCACTGTTCATGAAGGCACCTAGCACAGTCCCTGGTGGGTACAGAGGGCTTTGGCCTGATGAATGTTCAGAGTGAATTTTAGATTTCATACATAAAAGTATAGCTGTAATCAAGCCAGCTTCGTGTAAAACAGTGCAGGTTACTTTAAAGTTTCAAGCAGATCAAAGAGTTTATATGAGTCAAAAAGCTAGGAATAATACCAGGTATTTTTCTTGACTTGAATTTGTTTATCTTCTGTGGTACCGGAGGCGTGATTATGAAACAAAGCCACCCAAACTGCAGCTCCTGTCACAGATTCGTTCCCACCTGCACAGGAGCGACCCTCACTGGACGCCGGAGCCCGACGCACCTCTCGATTACTGTTATGTGCGGCCAAATCACATCCCAACGATCAACTCCATGTGTCAGGAGTTTTTTTGGCCTGGTATGTTCCCCCTCCCAAACCAGGCAGGTCATTTTTCTGTACAGTCCATTCTAGCAATTTTTAAAATTAGTTTATGTGATATCCTTAAGATTTTTATTTATGATTTCGTTTAGTTTGTCTCTGCTAACATGGAAATATTAAAATACAAATACCTCTTGCTTTCCCAAAATCTAGAAGAAGCCAGCAATAAACAGTGTTTTTGTTTGTTTCTCTTCCCTGTTTGTCTCTGTTTCCAGAGTAAAAGATTCATCCTGTTTTGCTTCTGCATATGTTTAGATACCAGGTAATGTCTATCAAAGATACACAGACTGGTAGCTTGGGCGTGTTTGGACACTTTTGTTTTTGGCTTAATAATTCTTTATGTTTTGTTTATTTAGCTGTTCCTTAGAGAGTATTAGTACAGCCAGAAGGTGTTTTTTAAAAGCCAAATGCCCTGATCACAGACTGAGAATAAGGGTAAACCCAATATAATTTGTCATTTTATCAGCCTTAACAAAATTGCCTCTGAAGACCAAAGTCATTAATTAAAGGAACACATTTGCATTGCTAAATATAAACTATTCTTTGTGGATCTGCTTTCCCACGCTGCCTTGAAACCTAAAGGAAATAATACATGTCTTTCAGATGTTAGATACGATTTCATCAAGATAGAGCTGTGTCGTCTTTATTGTCACATAATCACATAACTGTGAATGTGGTGGCAGAGCTGCACTCATTCTTTTGGGAGTCATACTGAGCCAAAAGTAACATTCTGGGAGCATCTCCTGCTTCCTGCCCTTATGTTAGGTGCCTTCCATACATTATGCACAGAAGCATATTTTACTTATTTATTGTGAAAGGTAGCATTTGTACAAAAGAACTTATAAATTATATGTGTGGGGGGTAAAGGATGTGATAGAACACGCTCGGAGGATCTTTACTTAACCCTGTCAGGTCTAGGTATGCTCTTCATCTTACATATTGCAGAAACGGAGTCTCTGAGACATTTTGAAATGTGCCAAGCCACACATGGTAGAGGAGGCTGAGTTCAAAGCCAGCTGTGTCCAATTCTGAACCCGTGCACTGCTACCTACCCTATTCTGCCACTCTTCTTTTAGGAAATACTATGTAATTTCAATATTTTCTAAAATTCACTCTTATTTTTATGATCTGGTTGTGTGGTCTCTATGTTACCTCCAGTTTTGGTGTTTTTTTTTTTTTTTTTTAGCATGCAGGTGTAGCTATATGTACATGCTGAACAGCTTGGTGTTCCTTAATTCTCAAAGGCATGTGGTTTGAGTCTCCGATGGTTTCTTTTCTTTAGGCATTGACCTGTCTGAGTGTCTGCAGTACCCAGACTTCAGTGTTGTTGTTCTTTATAAAAAAGTCATCATTGCCTTTGGCTTCATGGTTCCTGATGTGAAATACAATGAAGCTTACATTTCATTTCTGTTCGTCCACCCTGAATGGAGAAGAGCAGGGATTGCAACTTTCATGATCTATCATCTGATTCAGGTAAGTTGTCTATGTTTATGATTTATCACCTGTGTCTGGGCTCCCCTGAACAACCTGGAGGAGGAATGAAGCTGAGCTAGCCCTTCCCAGCATGGCCCAATGGAATGGTTTCCTTGTAAACCAAGTGAAGAAAGCCAGTCATCAGCATTCATGAGGTTATCAAAGCACACAGTCAAAAATCTTCGACCCTCTAAAATAAGATTATTATTCAGACTCAGGTTTCATAGAAACCAGTTTGTGAACATGTGTATAAATAAAATGAGAAAATACCAAAAGCAAGAGCTTTAGGGTGGACTATTCATATTAGTAGTAGCTACTGCTCTTAGGATCATCACCTTCGCAACTCAGAGAAGTGAGGGTAGGACTATTATTTTTATTTTTTTAAATATTTGTAAACATTTTAGCACAACTGTATCAATAAGAATATGTATATATTTTTTGAGACAGGGTCTCATTCTGTCACCCAGACTGGAGTTGCACAATCATAGCTCACTGCAGCCTCAACCTCCTGGGCTCGAGTGATTTTCCCGCCTCAGCCTTCTGGGTAGCCAGGACCACAGGTGCACACTGCCATGCCCGGCTGATTTTTTGTAGGGACAGGGTCTCACTGTGTTGCCTGGTCTGTGCTTGAACTCCTTGGTTCAAGCAATCCTTCCACCTCAGCCTCCCGAGTGCTGGGATTATGGGCATGAGCCACTGTGCCTAGCTACATATTTTATTTTTGCTGATAGTTTGTAATTTTACTATCACTGTATAAGGCTGATATGAACCTTCTAAGATTTGATTCTAGTATTGAATTATAATTCATCCTTTAATATATTTGTATCACCTTTGAAGAAAATACACCATATATCACCATCAAAAAACATGCAAGGATTTTTTTCCCCTAGAATTTTTTTTAGTCAACTTTTACTTAGAAACCATTTGGTATGGAGGATTATATGTTTATGCAGGCAAGATTCCTTTTAAAGAGGAGATGAAGATGATAAAAGTTGTTTCTCCAATTTTTAATGAAACTTGCTTAATAATTCCCAAATGTTGGCAGGAACCTTGGAACCATTTTCCTAGAAATTGCTTTCCTTCTCTCCTTAGGCAGTGATTATGTAAATCACTCACTGAGTAATTAATATGTGCTACTTTGGGTGGTGGTTTTCTCTTGAGAGCTTCTCAGTTATTTCTACAACACTCCCTTTCTCTGCCCCATCCCAACCAAGAGTTGATCTCTCAGTATGCGTCTTTTTAACCTAGGAGAGCACTTAGAGGATTTGCTGCCGTATCTGTCACTGGTAAGGGCCTGAAGACAGGGCACGAATAGTACTCTGTCCTTGTGTGTGTGTGTCCTTGGTGCCCAACATGAGGGCTGGTACAGAGTCAGTCCCTGCTGAGTGTTTGCGAGGCCACTGGAGGAGTGGTTCATCTTTGCAGGTGGGCACCTTCCCCTCCAGCCAGACCATACCCCTGAGGGCCCAAACATAGGTGGCGCACAGTCGCTGGCACTCAATGATGGCCACGGTGAGATCACGTATATTTGCAATCTAGCAAACACCAATATGACCCCACAAAATTTGCTTTAAAAACTCACAAAGTGCTCTTGTCCCTGGCATACTGGTAAGTGCTCTCTTGTCCTAAAAATGCCTATGGATACACATGGAAGTTAAGCAGAGAAAGCAGGTAGCTATCAGATGACTGTCAACAGAGGAGTTCTTAGAGGCCTGAGAGAACCATGGGTTATAAATCTCAAGGACTCTATCAACTTCAGTATTTCAGTGCCTTCTTTATTAAAAAGTAAGTTCTTAAATGATATGACTTTTGGGACACCTTACTCTGTGTAGCTGATTAAAGAATCTAAGGACTTGCCTTGTGTTGATAGAATGATTGTTACTCTTTTCCCCTAAGATTAGGTCAAAGCTGAATGTAGAAATCTCAGTTCTAAGAAGCTAATTCTGTCAGTTTTAGAGAGACAGAAGGTGGACTTTGGGATTCAGAAGGTCTATACAAGGGCCTCAGGTTTTATAATTACATTCTTAATATTTCATGTTTGTGCATGTAATTTAGCAGGCCTAGTAAAGGAATTTTTACAGGTTTTGGGGAGGTACAAGATAACATCTAGTTTTAAAAAGCAAAACTTATTTTGTTTTGTATTTATTCAAGGTTATCATAGTGTTAGGTATTGAAATGTTTGACATATTTAAAGGTAATTGAGTTGTAAATAATAAAGCTGACAATAACAATATCCCCATTGACCCTTTGCTTCAAAGAAAAATAAAAAACACCCAGAATACTATCAGTTTCCTTGGTCTTGTGAATGTTTTGATCAGCAGCAAAATGTCATTCTGTTTCCAGCTGTTGCTAGGTGTTGCAATGTCTCAGCCTCAGTCTCTGATTTCTCCGGTTTCCATAACTAACTGCCTACACTTAAAAGCGTTTCTTTACCTACTCATTTTCCCTCAGGCCTTTCCATTTTTATCTTGTATTTTTCCACTCTTTTGGCAGACCTGCATGGGCAAGGACGTAACCCTTCACGTCTCAGCAAGCAACCCCGCTATGCTACTGTACCAGAAGTTTGGATTCAAGACTGAAGAATATGTATTAGATTTCTATGATAAATATTACCCATTGGAGAGTACAGAGTGTAAACACGCATTCTTTCTGAGGCTCCGGCGCTGATGCGAATACAGCTCACAGAGAAACGCATGTGCTATTGGAGAACAGGTCTTTGTGGAGATCTAAAGGCAGTGATTGATTTCACAGGGAGCTCTAATCTCTGTGATTACATGGTCCTTCAAACTCCCAACCAAAGTGAGAAAAGCGGCATGCAGTGAAATGAGCAGTGAGCAGCCCTTTAGCAAAATCGCCCTCCAGTCCTTCCTGGAGATGCCTTCAGCCAGCATCCCAGACTCCACAGTTATTTATGAATGATGTCGTGATTCTCCCTCCACCTGACAGTTTGTAAGAGTGAAAGAGCATCTAACCTGATGCTCTTGGAGAGAGATAACCTGTCTGTCATAACTTAAAGGATGAGAAAATGTGGTGTAGCTATTAAAGATTCATGCAGTCCCAAAAGGCACTGTCCTGGGATGATGAGAGATTATAAGGTGATTTCATAAAAGGAATCCAACCCTGTGCCCGGCCATTGATGTGTTGTCATTGAATCCAGGAGGATTTCTAGGGCACTGAAGTTTTGTTGTTTCTTTTGCTGACTTTGGTTACAGTCAGAAAAAATAAACTAGATGTTTGTGTCTACATGTTCTACCTGTTGTACCTATTAGCATCTTCCTGCAGGGACTTGGGCCCATGGCCTGGGAGGTTGGTTTGGGATTGGGGTTGTTGGGCAGCCTGCCATTCACCTGGCCTATCCTGGCCCTTCTCATGCCCAAGACAGTTGTTTCACAGGAGTGGAAGTGTGGGTGATGCAAGTAGAACCCTCTAGATGTACCCTGTGTGGTCTGCAGGACTGGACTGTTTGCTGTGTTTGTGGATGTTGGCGATAGACTGTCAATTAGGTTGTTTGTGATCCAACAAGAACATTTCCAAAAGTATCTAGGTGTTCTCAAATAAAAAGCTTTCTTTGCACAACCCATGGCCAGAGCGTCAATCTAGTCAGTTTGCTTTCAAACCCTCTTTAATTAAGATCAGTGGTTCTTAACTTTTTGGGACATGGATCACTTTGAGAATACAAAGAAAGCTGAATACTCTCTAGAAAACTGTCATGCACATTTAAAATTTTGCATCAGGGATCTGTCGACCACAAGTTAAGAACATCTGTTCTAGAAGCTGTACTTGCAGCCAGCTCGAATTCCTTTGTGAGAGAGAATGTGTTGAGCTCCCACATTAAGCCAATCTGGAAGCTGTTCAGTCATCTGGGGAAACAGTTGAGGCTCCATTTCATTTGTGAGAGGAACTGTAGCAGCACTGTCTTATCTATTTCTTTCCTTTTCTTTACCTCCTACCCTGCCTCCCAAGAGTTTTCTGCCTCTTTGGAAGGTTTTTGTTGACAGAATGGATTGTAACACCACGAAGTAAAATTGAGGAGACAACATTTCCACATCTGTAAACCAGCTTGTGATTGTTGTATGTGAATGTCAGGCATTTGTTGTTGCAAAGTGGGGGCTCAAATAATTGTCTCTGTAACTTCAGGGAGCTGAGGAAAGCTGTGATTGCTTTTACTGACTCTGTTTCACTTTTTTTTTTTAATTTTGAGAAATTTTAAAAACCCTTTTCATTTCTTTTTTCTTTTTTAAATTTTGAGACAGGGTCTCACTTTGTCGCCCAGGCTGCAGTGAAGTGGCACTGGCGCAATCTCAGCTCACTGCAACTTCCGCCTCCCAGGTTCAAGTGATTCTCCTGCCTCAGCCTCCTGAATAGCTGGGACCACAGGAACACGCGACCACACCTCGCTAATTTTTTGTGTTTTTGGTAGAGATGGGGTTTCACCGTGTTTTCCAGGCTGGTCTCGAACTCCTGAGCTCAAGTGATCTTGGCCTCCCAAATTGCTGGGATTATAGGCATGAGCCACCACACCCGGCCTTTGAGAAATTTTAATCACACACAAAGACAATGATGCCACAAACCCCATCACCCATATTCAACAATTGTTGAAATTCTATGTCATTTGCTTCATTTATCCTTTTTTTTTTTTGCTAAACTATCTGAAGGTAAATTCTAGATATCATATAATTTTACCACTTCTTACTCAAATAGGTATTTCTAAAAAATAAGGATATTTTCTTATATAATCTCAGTGTTCATTATCAGTCCTCTAACAAGATGAACATGTTTGGAATTATCTAGCAGTCAACCTGTAGTCACACCTTTTGAATTGTTTCAGAAATTCCTTTTACAGTTGGTTTGTTGGATCAGCGGCCAAGCAGGGTCCACATAAGTGACTTACTGTCCTGTCTCCACCGCCTGTTCATCCAGAGTGCCTCCGCCCTATTACTGCACTGCCACTGACAACATCAGTTGTCCCATGGCATGTCCCACATGTGGGTTGTCTGTTGCGTCCTTGTGGTGTCCTTCATGGGGCAGGACTGACTGGACAAGGTGAGGAGTGGACCTATGCTTGTCTCTTTAGCGGAGGGTGGGGACAGCTGACTCCCTGCCCCACTCCATTCCCTGCTTGGGTGTTGGGGCAGGGCCATTTCCCAGGGGTGGGCTTGATGGCCCCTGTGTGTGGGGCAGCTGTCGGTTTTGATCTGCCTTTCTCTCTGGCCCTTCTGAGCTAGCCCTGTAGTAAACCCTTAGCTAGTCCTCTAGAAGTGAATCTCCACAGTGCCAGGCTTGGGGCTGGGTTGCGGAAGAGCCATGTTTTGGTGGATTAAAGTCAAAATTTACTGTGAAGTTTCAGAATATCAAGTAAGGAGGAAGGCTTGTTTTTTCATGCCACAAAAGTGAGAATGAGTTCTGAATGAGTTCTGACAAGCTGAAGAGCTCTGCCTTCAGTTGTGTGTTCGTGAGAGAGTCTGGATTGTCCCCTTGGGAGGTGGCCTGGGGTAGCCAGGTGGGCCTTTGGGATCCCTAGGGGGTTGCAGTAATTCTGATTAATTATTGTCCATATTTACTCAGTCTTGTTCTAGGGAGGTTGAGCTCTATTTACAGCAGGATGGTTAAGAACCAGAAACATAATTTTAAATTTTCTAAAGGCAGTTAACATATTTTACATAAAGTTTTCATCACCTAAAAGCCACATTGCCTTGGGACCTTTTCCTGGAACTGTCTCCTGCAAGTGGCTTGGTGTATTCACTACAGCCCTGGGGAGAAGCATCCAGGTTGACCCCACAATGTGGGGTTGCATTACACAGTGTGGTTAAGCATATCCTCCAGGTATCTAACAGCAGGAAGTTGCAGTAAAAACATAATGTACCTCAGAACTGGGAATGGCCATGGGGTCATGAGACTCTTCATTAGTACATACCTAACTCACATACTTGTGAGTTTGTTAGTACATACTTGACTCTGAGAAATGTATTACAGTTATTTATGAGAAACAAGTTCACAGTCTTAGTGAATGTCATGCTTCAGCTTCCTCATCTGTAAAACAGGGTTGATGAGACCCACCTCACACATTTGTAGTGATAGGTACAACAAGGTCAAGAAAATCACAAATGGAGGACCCTGAATTCAAAGCCAGGCAGTCTGGTACCACAGCCTTCAGCCTTCACCGCTCTGGCTAAGCCTTGGGGAGGGGGCTGGGAGGTGTAGGGGGTAGTTTAGGGGGTCTGTGTGTGTCTGGCTCGGTACTGCCCCCAGTGCCTGGAGTGGTGCCCAGCACAGAGCCAGTACTCCACACATTGGATGAAGGAGGGAGAAAATGAGCTGTGTGTACCGGGAGTTCAATGTGATGAGAGACCTCAGTAATGCCTCTTGTTTTTTTCACTTTTTAAATATAGGCATGGAATCTTTCTGTTTATCAGAAATCATAAGTGTTTCTCATTGCACCCAGCCCCTTCTCTTTGCCTGGATAGGTAAAGGCAACTCTTAGCCTCTTAGAACCTTACAACATTATATACAGGTTACCCCATGCTAGAACAATCTCTACAAAAGTAACCAAAGACTGTAGTAAAATTTCAGTTTTATGAGCTAAAGGAAAAGACTGATGGCTGCTCAGGTTAAGAGGCTGGAAGGTGGACAGTTTGTGCTGTCACAGATGGAATGGCTCCAGGCAAGCCCACGTGTGTGAAGGGCAGCTCAGCCTTCCTCTGTAGCCTTGCTGCTCATATAAGGTGGAATTTTATTGCAGGTGACCTCAGAGCATAGGTCTGGAAGGCCACTGGCCCAAGCATGGAGACAAAGTCCACCTGGAAACTCAGAAGACCCAACATTCTATCCAGCAGAGCAGGTTCCAGGTGCATCACATGTGAATCCCCTCAGCCCTTGGGACAGCCAGAGCTCCTAGGAGTTTGTCCCCATTGGGTGCAGTCAGTAATGTGCTGATAAATGACCACAGACTGGGGGTGAGGTGGGGAGAGGGGGAGCAGTAAACCAAGCCCCTGATGTGTAGTGTTTGCTGATTTTCATGGTGAAATACTGTTACTATGGCAAATTTTCTTTTTCTTTTTTCTTTTTTTTTTTTGAAACAGAGTTTCCCTCTTGTCACCCAGGGTGGAGTGCAATGGCACAATCTCGGCTCACTGCAACCTCCGCCTCCTGGGTTCAAGTGATTCTCCTGCCTCAGCCTCCCAAGTAGCTGGGATTACAGGCGTGTAATCCCACCACGACCACCACGCCCAGCTAATTTTTGTATTTTTTTTTTTTTTTTTTTTTGAGACAGAGTCTCGCACTGCCGCCCAGGCTGGAGTGCAGTGGCGCAGTCTTGGTTCACTGCAAGCTCCACTTCCCAGGTTCATGCCATTCCCCTGCCTCAACCTCCTGAGTAGCTGGGACTACAGGCGCCCGCCCCATTCCCGGCTAATTTTTTGTATTTTTAGTAGAGACGGGGTTTCACCGTGTTAGCCAGGATGGCCTTGATCTCCTGACCTCATGATCCACCCGCCTCGGCCTCCCAAAGTGCTGGGATTACAGATGTGAGCCACCGCGCCCGGCCTAATTTTTGTATTTTTAGTAGAGATGGGATTTCACCATGTTGGCCAGACTGGTCTGGATCTCCCGAACTCAGGTGATCCACCCACCTTGGCCTTCCCAAGTGCTGGGATTACAGGCGTGAGCTACCACACCCAGCTCTATGGCCAATTTTCAAGCTACCAATGTGATGTCACTAAACCCAGAGGTAGAACGATGTGTACAGTAGCCACCATTATATTGTATTTCTGTCACGCAGAAACAATAGATGGAAGTTACCTCAGAAGCACAGGTAATAGTAACAAGCAGTCATGACAATTATCTAATTGTCATGTAGTAAGCTGTTTTGTTTGTTTGTATCTTATAGAGATAGGGTGGGTCTTGCTATGTTGGCCAGGGTGGTCTTGAACTCCTGGCCTCAAGCAATACTCCCACCTCAGCCTTACAAAGTGCTAGGATTACAGGCATGAGCCACTACACCTGGCTGACATTTAGTACGTTTTGAATATTGATTTTAAATATGATTGATTTAATTAATGTATATAATTTAACTTTTAATAATGACTTTGGAAATCTAACCAGCAGCTCCTGCATGCAGCCACCTCAGGGCTGGGCACAATGGGGTCTGATAGCTTGCCTGGTGGTCCCACAAGCAGCAGACTTGAGCAGCTCCTGGAGCTCACCACGTGCGGCCCACAGTGTGAGCCTGGGCAAGGACAGAGCTGCCTCCCGAGGAGTTCCTGTGCTGCCAGTAGCAGCTGGTGGAGGCGGACTAGGAAGGTCAGGGAGGCTTTCTGGAGGCCCTGGGAGGCCCAGGTTGCAGCCTCACACACATTGGATTGTCTGTGGCTTTTGTAGCTTCCAAGCTGGCTGCAGGGAGACCACTCTACTGAACACATTCTATGGCTTAAAGTAGTGGTCCCCAACCTTTTTGGCACCAGAGACCAGTTTTGTGGAAGACAATTTTTCCATGGACTGGGGTTGAGGGGGGAATGGTTTCAGGATGATTCAAGCACATTACATTTATTGTGCACTTTATTTCTATTATTATTACATTGAAATATCTAATGAAATAATTATAAAAGTCACCATAATGTAGAATCAGTGGGAGCCCTAAGCTTGTTGTTTTGCAGCTAGGTGGTCCCATCTTGGGGTGATGGGAGACAGTGACAGATCATAGGGCATTAAATTCTCATAAGGAGTGCACAACCTAGATCCCTTAAATATGCAGTCCACAATAGGGTTCACATTCCTGTGAGAATCTAATGCCACTGCTGATCTGACTGGAGGTGGAGCTCAGGTGATAATGCGAGTGATGGGGAGCGGCTATAAATACAGATGAAGCTTTGCTCACTTGCCCTCTGCTCACCTCCTGCTGTGCAGCCCCGTTCCTAACAGGCCACAGACCAGTACTGGTTCATGGTCTGGGGGTTTCAGACCCCTAGTTTAGAGCTTTCCTGCCACTTAAAAACACATGACTTGAAAAAATGTCTTTTGGATTCATGTTTCATTCACATTTTCACAATTATCAACGTTACATTTGTCCATTAGAAAAAAGATGGACTGCTGCTCCCTCCCCCTCCCCCTCTCCCTCTACCCACGGTCTCCCTCTCCCTCTCTTTCCACGGTCTCCCTCTGATGCCCAGCCGAAGCTGGACTGTACTGCTGCCATCTCGGCTCACTGCAACCTCCCTGCCTGATTCTCCTGCCTCAGCCTGCCGAGTGCCTGCGATTGCAGGCCCGCGCCGCCATGCCTGACTGGTTTTCATATTTTTTTGGTGGAGACGGGGTTTTGCTGTGTTGGCCGGGCTGGTCTCCAGCTCCTAACTGCGAGTGATCCACCAGCCTCGGCCTCCCGAGGTGCCGGGATTGCAGACGGAGTCTCGTTCACTCAGTGCTCAATGGTGCCCAGGCTGGAGTGCAGTGGCGTGATCTCGGCTCGCTACAACCCCCACCTCCCAGCCGCCTGCCTTGGCCTCCCAAAGTGCCAAGATTGCAGCCTCTGCCCGGCTGCCACCCCGTCTGGGAAGTGAGGAGCGCCTCTTCCCGGCCGCCATCCCATCTAGGAAGTGAGGAGCATCTCTGCCCGGCCGCCCATCATCTGAGATGTGGGGAGCGCCTCTGCCCCGCCGCCCCGTCTGGGATGTGAGGAGCGCCTCTGCCCGGCCGCGACCCCGTCTGGGAGGTGAGGAGCGCCTCTGCCCGGCCGCGACCCCGTCTGGGAGGTGAGGAGCGCCTCTGCCCGGCCGTGACCCCATCTGGGAGGTGAGGAGCCCCTCCGCCCGGCAGCCGCCCCGTCTGGGAAGTGAGGAGCGTCTCCGCCCGGCAGCCACCCCGTCCGGGAGGGAGGTGGGGGTCAGCCCCCACCCGGCCAAACACCCCGTCTGGGAGGGAGGTGGGGGGGTCAGCCCCCGCCCGGCCAGCCGCCCCGTCCGGGAGGGAGGTGGGGGGCTCCTCTGCCCGGCCAGCCGCCCTGTCCGGGAGGTGGGGGGCGCCTCTGCCCGGCCACCCCTTCTGGGAAGTGAGGAGCCCCTCTGCCCGGCCACCACCCCGTGTGGGAGGTGTACCCAACAGCTCATTGAGGACGGGCCATGATGACGACGGCGGTTTTGTGGAATAGAAAAGGGGGAAGGGTGGGGAAAAGATTGAGAAATCGGATGGTTGCTCTGTCTGTGTAGAAAGAAGTAGACATGGGAGACTTTTCATTTTGTTCTGTACTAAGAAAAATTCTTCTGCCTTGGGATCCTGTTGATCTGTGACCTTACCCCCAACCCTGTGCTCTCTGAAACATGTACTGTGTCCACTCAGGGTTAAATGGATTAAGGGCGGTGCAAGATGTGCTTTGTTAAACAGATGCTTGAAGGCAGCATGCTCGTTAAGAGTCATCACCACTCCCTAATCTCAAGTACCCAGGGACACAAACACTGCGGAAGGCCGCAGGGTCCTCTGCCTAGGAAAACCAGAGACCTTTGTTCACTTGTTTATCTGCTGACCTTCCCTCCACTATTGTCCTATGACCCTGCCAAATCCCCCTCTGCAAGAAACACCCAAGAATGATCAATAAAAAAAAAAGAAAAAAGATGGACTGCTAAGACTCTTCTAATTTCAACTCTTAGAAATTTTCAGATTTTAAAGAAAGGAAGGTTAAATCTAAACAATTTTTTAAATTTACTTATTTATTTTTGAGACAGCATCTCACTCTGTCGCCCAGTCTGGAGTTCAGTGGTGCCATCTCACTGCAGCCTCCTTCTCCAGGTGCAAGTGATTTTCGTACCTCAGCCTCCTGAGTAGCTGGGATTACAGGCGCATGCCACCACACCCGGCTAATCTTTTTGTATTTTTAGTAGAGACAGGGTTCACCATGTTGGCCAGGCTGGTCTCGAACTCCCGACCTCAGGTAATCCACCCACCTCGGCCTCCCAAAATGCTAGATTACAGGCGTGAGCCTCCGCACCCAGCCAGGAAGATTAAATATTTTATCACCTACTTTTGTCAATGTTTCTCATTGGTTACAGTCAGGAACTAGAAGAGAGAATTGTTAAAAACTTGTGATTAGGAATTGTATGCAACCATTTCAAGGGTAATATCTGATATTTTTTAAATGTCCATGAAAACCAGATCAAGTTTCTCATTAAAATATGTGAAGAGATTTTATTTGAAAATGATATATAAATTCAATATTTAGTACATTTTTTTACTTTATCTCTCCTAAGAATGTGAAAATGATTTTCTTCACTAAGCTCCAAGTGCATGCGTTCATCCCTCTGGAGTGTCCAGTATGTGGCACAGATACTCTTTTATTTGTGCTCCATGACTCAGGGAGAATGCTGACTGGCCACCTCTGCCATCCAGTCACAGCCAAAGGACGTTCTCAGAGCCACTGTCTCAGCAACTCCATGAGGTGGTCCTGTAATTGCCTCTATTTTATGAGGAGAAAAGGGAGGCTTGAGAGGTAAAGAAACTCCCCAAGGATGCGCAGATAGTAAAGTAGGGCTAATGGTTAGAGAGTAATGCCATGGCTAGGCCACAGATGGAAGGGATTGCAATGGAATATAAGGGAATATTCTGTGTTCTTTTTTTTTTTTTTGAGAGAGAGTGTCTCGATCTGTCACCCAGGCTGGAGTGCAATGGCGCCATCTCAGCTCACTGTAACCCCTGCCTCCGAGGTTCAAGCAATTCTGCTTCAGCCTCCCAAGTAGCTAGGATTACAAGCGCCTGCCACTACACCCGGCTAATTTTTTATTTTATTTTATTTTATTTTTGAGACTGAGTCTTGCACTGTTGTCTGGGCTGAAGTGCAGTGGCACGATCTTGGCTCACTGCAACCTCCACCTCCTGGGTTCAAGCAATTCTCCTGCCTCAGCCTCCCAAGTAGCTGGGATTACAGGCACCCGCCACCATGCTTGGCTAATTTTTTTTGTATTTTTAGTAGAGATGGAGTTTCACTATGCTGGTCAGGCTGGTCTCGAACTCCTGACCTCGTTATCCACCCGCCTTGGCCTCCCAAAGTTCTGGGATTATAGGCGACAGCCACCGCACCCGGCCTAATTTTTTGTATTTTTAGTAAAGATGGGGTTTTGCCATGTTGGCTGTGGCTGGTCTCAAACTTCTGACCTCAGGTGATCAGCCCACCTCAGCCTCCCAAAGTGCTGGGATTACAGGCATAAGCCACCGCGCCCAGCCTACTGTGTGTTTTTTTTTTTTTTTTTTTTTTTTTTTTTTTTGAGACGGAGTCTCACTCTGTCACCCAGGCTGGAGTGCAGTGGTGCAATCTCGGCTCACTGCAAGCTCTGCCTCCCGGGTTCACTCCATTCTCCTGCTTCAGCCTCCCGAGTAGCTGGGACTACAGGTGCCCGCCACCACGCCCGGCTAATTTTTTTGTATTTTTAGTAGAGACAGGTTTCACTGTATTAGCCAGGATGGTCTCGATCTCCTGACCTCGTGATCCTCCGTCCTCAGCCTCCCAAAGTGCTGGGATTACAGGCGTGAGCCATCACGCCCGGCAGCTATTTGTTTTTAAAGACAGATCTAGCTTTAAAAATGGAAGCAACTTGATCAAAATTCTGTTACAAAATTTTTGAAACCATTGAAGTTTAATGTTAGATAAAAAATTAAATTTAGAGAACTACGTGAGAGGCCACGTGCTGATGCCTCCCCACATTATATTTTGCTCGGCAAATAATAATGCCTTTATTTGCTAAAATGCTAGCTTGTGTCAGTGTCTGCAATGGCTTTTCTGTGCAGGAGTAGGTGCTGTTGTCTGCATTAACCAGGTTTTGGACTCCCTGGGAGCTGAGGCAGCTTTTGTCCTCCCCAGCACTTGGCTGAGGCCTGGGCACATAGAGACGCTCAGTTGCCAAGATCCCCAAAGCAGTGACGGCTTGCCTCCGGAGAACAAGTCCTCTGGACAGCTTACCGCTTTCCTCCCCTTCCCAGAGAGCTAAACCAGTGCTTCCCAGCCTTGCCCTGCAAAAACCCCAACACAGAAGGAGGCACCAGCTATGACCTGGCAAGAACTCACATCCTTTGAGGTTTCATTGTTAAAAATTGCAGCTATGGGCCGGGCGCTGTGACTCACACCTGTAATCCCAGCACTTTGGGATGCCGAGGAGGGAGGATCACCTGATGTCAGGAGTCAGACCAGTCTGACCAACATGGTGAAACCCTGTCCTGACTAAAAATGCAAAAATTAGCTGGGCGTGGTGGTGCACGCCTGTAATTGCAGCTACTCAGGAGGCTGAGATAAGAGAATTGCTTGAACCTGGCAGGTGGAGGTTGCAGTGAGCCGAGATTGTGCCACTGCACTCCAGCCTGGGCAGCAGAGTGAGACTCCGTCTCAAAAAAACAAAAAAAATTACAGGTATGTTATATTCTGCTCTTTAAGTATATCTGATTGTTTTAATATTAAAATGGATTTTTTCACTCCAAAGCTTTGGGTAGAATTGAAACCCTAAGAAGATGGGCAGTTTTAGCTTATGGTTTGGGACACTCTATGAGCCTCCAGAGAGAGAGAGTGTGCGCACAAGCACACACACAAATGTGCACTATCAATCTGAAATTTCATTCTTTTCCTCTTAATGAATAATCAAGGAGTTCAAGACACACTTGTTTTCACTTTGACACTATAATTCGTTTCATTTTGAGAAAGAGAATTTTGAGTTGAAGATAAATGACAGTTGAAAAGCAAACGTGCTACTAATATGTTCACATTTGCCCAAAATGTCTAGTATTCCAGTTAAACTGAATATTGCTAAAGGTTCAATTAAATGAAAAGATATGTCCAGTGAAGGACATTAGGCTCCAAGTGGGATAAAAAGAAAAAGCCTGATCTTAGAAGGTCTTGAGGAAGCAAGGATTGTTGGCAACATGGGCCCTTGAGATTAAGCCTTAGGCTATGGCCTCATGCCTCTGAGTACAGTAGTTGCTTACCACTGAGGAGCAGACACTACTCAGCTCTTGCAGAGCCAGTGCTAGGCTGGGCTTGGTAAAAACAGCAAAGGTCACAAAGCATTAAGCAGACAATATTAGGTGCTAAAAATACAAAAATAACGGAAGCTCCCATTTCTGAACTCCTCTTTCTCCAGCAGCCCTATGAGGTGGTCCTGTAATTGCCTCTATTTTATGAAGAGAAAACTGAGGCTTCAGAGGTTAAGTAACTCCCCAAGGATGCACAGATAGTAAGCAGAAGATAGCATCTAAGTCCAGGCTAGAATGGGCCTCTCAGCCAGCCCCCTCCTTGTCTGCAGAAGTGAGTAAGATGTAGGAGGAAAATCATCCAAGGCCAAAGAGGCCCTTGAACCCTGGATAGGGACTCATGATTCAGAGCCCAGCCATATACTTCCCATTCACTTTGCTGGTGGGACCTCTAACTTCTTGTTTAGATATTTGATTGCTGGTCTCCCAAGTCAAGTTTCTTAATCTGAGGTGGTTGTATGCAAAGGCAAGTGTATATGAGTATGAGAGTATGAATGTATTTCTGGGGAGAGGGCCTGAAGCTTTATCAGATCTTCAAAGGGGTATGTGAGACAAATAGTAGTAATTAGCCCTGTTTAGATGCAGACTCGAGGCCGGGCGTGGTGGCTCACACCTGTAATCCCAGCACTTTGGGAGGCCAAGATGGGCAGATCACCAGAGGTCAGGAGTTCAAGACCAGCTTGGCCAACATGGTGAAACCCCATGTCTACTAAAAATACAAAAATTTGCCAGGCATGGTGGTGGTTGCCTGTAATCCCAGCTCCTCCTTGGGAGGCTGAGGCAGGAGAATCATTTGAACCAGGGAGGCGGAGGTTGCAGTGAGCCAAGACTGTGCCACTGTACTCCAGCCTGGGCAACAGAATGAGACTGTGTCGCCAAAGAACAAAACAAAACAAAAAACAGATGCAGACTCAAGGAAGAAACTTTCTAGAGCCAGCTGGGTAGTTGGGATAAAGGTACAAAGGGAACGACTCACCAAACAAATTTAAAATGTTTATTTTAAATTTTGACATAATATCAGGCTTAAGGAAAAGTTGCAAAAGAGAACAAAGAATTTCCAGATACTCTTTACCCCAGTTCTGTAAATGTTAATATTTTATACATTTGCCTCTCCCTCCTCTCTTTCTCACACATGCACACTCACTCATACACACAGACACTTTTTTTTTCTGGACAAGTTAAAAGTAAGTTGCAGATATCATGCTCATTTTACCCTTAATATTTTGGTGTGTATTTCTAAAAGCAAGGAATGTTCTTACCTAACCACAGTACAATGATCAAAATCAGGGAAATCAGTGTTAATATGCTGTTATCCAATCTATAAATCAAATTCAGATTTCACTAATTGTCCTACTACTGCCCTTTATGGCAAAAGAATATCCAAGATCCAGTGTTGCATTCAGTGGCCATGCTGCTTTAATCTATAATCAGGAACTGTTCCTGAGTCTTTTTTGACATTGACATTTTGAAGAGTACTTGGCTAA
The DNA here is from genome assembly GCF_000001405.40 of Homo sapiens. Lineage (NCBI taxonomy): Eukaryota > Metazoa > Chordata > Mammalia > Primates > Hominidae > Homo > Homo sapiens. The sequence goes on from NC_000020.11 coordinate 18,200,269, forward strand.
TTTGTAGAATGTCCCTGAATTTGGGTATGTTCGCTGTTTCCTCATGCTTGTTGAAATTTGTTTTTGTGACCTAACATATGATCTATCCTGGAGAAAGGTTCATATGCTGAAGTGAAGAATGTGTGTTCTACAGCAGTTAGATGAAATGTTCTGTAAATATCTGTTAGGTCCATTTGGTTTAGAGTGCAGTATAAGTCCGAAGTTTCTTTGTTGATTTTCTTTGTAGATGACCTCTCCACTGAGTGAAGGGTGGTGAAGTCCCCAACTATTATTATATTGGAGCCTATCTCTCCTTTTTATTTTCTCAAAATGCATTTTCAGACCAATGGAACTTATCTCTTAAGCTCTAATGATATTTATTTTATATCTCTAGGTTCTCTGGTGTTGGATGCATATATATTTATAATTGTTATATCCTCTTGCTGAATTGATCCCTTTATCATTTATATAATGGCCTTCTTTGTCTCCTTTTATGGTTTTTGACTTAAAGTTTATTTTGTCTGATATAAGAATAGCTACTCTTGCATGCTTTTGGTTTCCATTTGTGTGGAATGTCTTTCCATTCCTTCACATTCAGTCTTTGTGTCTTTTCAGGTGAAGCGAGTTTCTTGAGGGCAGCATATAGCCAAGTCTTGACTTTTTTTTTTAAATCCATTTAGCCAGTCTATATATTTGATTTATTTATTTATTATTTTTTTGAGATGGAGTTTCGCTCTTGTTGCCCAGGCTGGAGTGCAATGGCACGATCTCAGCTCACTGTAAACTCTGCCTCCCACATTCAAGCAATTCTCCTGCCTCAGAATGTTGGCAAGTAGCTGGGATTACAGGCATGCACCACCTCACCCAGCTAATTTTGTATTTTTAGTAGAGATGGGGTTTCACCATGTTGGTCAGGCTGGTCTCAAACTCCTGACCTCAAGTGATCCGCCTGCCTCTGCCTGCCAAAGTGCTGGGATTACAGGCATAAGCCACCATGCCCAGGCAGTCTATATTTTTAAATTGGGAAATTTAAGCCATTTGTCTTCAAGGTTATTGTTGATAGTAGGTGAGAACTTACTCCTGTCATTTTGTTAATTGTTTTTTGATTGGTTTGTATATCCTTTGTCCCTTTCTCCTTCTCTTGTTGCTTATCTTTGTGATTTGGTGGTTTTCTGTAGTAATCATGTTTGATTCTTTTTTTATTTCCTTTCACTTGTGTATCTGCTGTACCAGCAAATTTTGGACTTTCATGTGTTTTTATGATGATAGGTATTGTCTTTTCACTTCCAGATATAGGATTCCCTTAAGCATTCCTTGTAGAATTGGTCTAGTGGTGATGAATACCCTCCATTTTTCTTGTGTGGGAAAGACTACTACTCCTTTATTTCTGAAGGATAGCTTTGCTGGGTATATTACCCATGGTTGGCAGGTTTTTTCTTTTAGCACATGGAATATATCATCCCATTCTCTCCTGGACTGTAATGTTTCTGCTAAGAAATCTGCTGTTAGTCTGAAGGGGCTAATATGTGACTTGATGCTTTTTTGTTGCTGTTTTTTTAGCATTTTCTCTGTCTTTGACATTTGATAATTTCACTGTAATGTGCCTGAGAGAGGATATTTTTGGGTTGAATCTATTTGAGGATCTTTGAGTTTCCTGTGTCTGAATGTCTATATCTCTTCCAAGACTTGTGAAGTTTTTGACTATTTCATTAAATTGGTTCTCTTTGCCTTTCCTCATTTCTTCTCCTTCTGGAACTCCCAAAATTCAAGTATTTGTCTGCTTGATGTTTTCTCATATATCATGTAAGCTTTCTTCATTAACATTTCTTTTTTTTCCTTTATTTTTCTTTCTTTTTGACTGACAAGTTATTTCAAAAGACTTGTCTTCAAGTTTAGAAATTCTTTCTTCAGCTTGATCTAGTCCATTTTTGAAGATCTTATATTTTTTAATTTCATTTATTGAATTATTCATTTCCAGGATATATGTTTGCTTCTTTTTATATGTATATATCTGTCTATCTGTTTAATTTCCCATTCAGATTGTGAATTGCTTTTCTGATATCTTTGTTTTGTCACCCGTGTTCTCTTGCAATCTCCATGTGTTCCTTGAGATCTTTATTTTGAAATCCTTTTCAAGCATTTAATAAATTTTCTTTTCTTTGCGTTCTGTTACTAGAGAATTATTTGTGTGTGTGTGTGTGTGTCTCTGTGTGTGTGTGTGTGTGTGTTTGGAGGTGGTGTGTTTCCTTGCTTTTTCATGTTTCTTGTGTTTTTATGTTGATAGCTGTACATCTGATGTAACAGATGCTTCTTCCAATTTTATGGAGTAGCTCTCATAGGGAATTACTTTTTCCTGTAGATGTATCTGTAGTGTCAGTGGGTAGGGTATTTTGCCTTTAGTTCTGGGTGGGTACCATAGTGTAGTCTTCATATTATTTATTTGACCGTATCAATGCCAGTGGTATCTGTGAATGCCCCAGTGGCTTTGGCTACAATTTGTGAGGTTGTGGTGAGACTTTGCTGGGGACTGGGGTGACCAGTAGCTAGGCTGGCTGGTCCTCAGGCCCTTGGGCAAGGTACATGGGCAGTAGAGCCCCTGGTGGGTCAGTCCTCAGGCCCCCAGGTGGTGGGGAACATGGGTGGCAGTGGCAGCAGGCCTGGTAGGCTTGTCCTTGGACCCCCAGGGGGCAGCCACTAGTGGGGGCAGCAGTGGGTCCTCTGTCAAGCTAGTCCCTAGGTGGAACATGTGAGCACTGGCAGTGGCAGCATGGGCCCCTGGTGAGCCAGTCCTCAGGCACATGAGCAGAGAAGTGGCAGCAGTGGGCCAGGTGGGCCATGGGTACCAGCCATGACAGTGGCATGGGTACCAGCAATGGCAGCAGCAGACTCTGGGGAGGTCTGTCATTGGCTTTCAGGTGGTGCATGCACATGGGTATACAGCAGCTCCATTGCTGGACAAGCTGGGTCTCTGCCAGTGGCAATGGCCCTGGGCAGGCAGCTCTCAGTCTCTGGGGAGTGCATGCCTCTGCTCTCTATGTCCTGGGAGCAGCCTCCTTGATGTGCTGGACTGTTTGTTCCCAGGATATAGTGCACTGTGTGGGCTCAGGTACCCAGGAACATGGCCACATGGCTGAATCCAGTTGGTGTCACAACACTTCTGCACTCTGAGGAGATGTCAGCAGGGCCCTAGAAATCAGGACCTTTACTTTTTAGCACACACAGTTTTTAAAAATTTATAATTCAACCCAGTTTATTATATTTACAATTTCCTACGTTTTAAAGTATTGAATAGATGACTTACGAGGTACAAAATGAATTTTCAGAGCAAAGTTGGAGAACTTTCACTTCTCGTTTTCTCTTTTTTTTTTTTTTAGATGGAGTCTTATTCCATTGTCCAGGCTGGACTGCAGTGGTGTGGTCTCAGCTCACTGCAACCCCCACCTCCTGAGTTCAAGCTATTCTCCTACCTCAGCCTCCTGGGTAGCTGGGATTACAGGCACCCGCCACCACGCCTGGCTGATTTTTTGTATTTTTAGTAGAGACAGGGTTTCACCATGTTGGTCAGGCTGGTCTCAAACTCCTCACCTCAGGTCATCTCCCCTCCTTGGCCTCCCAAAGTGCTGTGATTACAGGCATGCACCACTGCACCTAGCCACACTTCTCATTTTCAAAACTTAACTACAACGCTACAGTGATCAAAGCAGTGTGGTGATGGCATAAGGACAGATCATACAGAACAATGGAATAGAATTAAGAGCCTAAAAATAAACCCTTATAATCAGCTGATTAATGAGAAAGGAATAGTCTTTTTAGAAAATAGTTCTGGGACAACTGGATATCCACATGCCAAATGAATAAATGTGGACTCCACCCCCCCGACCGGCCTACTTCACATCATACAAAAATTAACACAAAATGCATCATAAGCCTAAATGTAAGAACTAATACTATAAAACTCTCAGAAGAAAGCATAGGAGTAAATTTTCATGATCTTGGTTAGTCAGTGGTTTCTTAGATATAATGCTAAAAGCACAAATGATAAAACATTGATAAATTATATTTAATAAAAATTAAAAGCATTCAACTTCAAAAGACATAATCAACAAAGTAAAAAGACAAGCCGCAGACTGGAAGAAAACCTTTCAAATTCACGTATCTGATAAGGTATTTATATCCAGAGTACATAGAGAACTCTTACAACTCAACAATATAAACACCCACCCAGATGGGTTTACAGGTGAATTCTAGCAAGCATTTAGGAAATAAATTATAGTAATTATTTTACAATCTATCTCTCAGAAAATAGAAGCAGAGGGCCTACTTCCTAACTCATTCCTGAGGTCAGCATTACCCTAATACCAAAACCAAATACACTGCAAGAAAACTACAGATTAGTATCTCTCATGAACATAGGTGCAGGAATTCTCAACAAAATATTAGCAAGTTGAATCCAACAATGTATAAAAAGAATTATAAAAGACAACCAAGTGTGATATATCCAGGAATGTAAGGCTGGTTCAGCATTCAAAAATCAGTTAATGCAATTCATCATATCAACAGAACAAAGAAGAAAAATCACACGATTATATCAATACATGCATAAAAAGCATTTGACAAACTTCGATACCCATGCATGATAAAAACTCTCAGCAAAGTAGGAATAGATGGGAATTTCCTTAACTTGATACAGAACATCTACAAAAACTCTACAGCTAAAATCATATCTAATGGTGAAAAGCTAGAAGTTTGTACACTAAGATCAGGAACAAGGCAAGGATGTCCTCTTCCTTTCACCACTCTTTTCAATATTGTACTGGAAGTCCTAGCTCATGCAATAAGATAAGAAAATAAAACTTTGTTTACAGATGACGTGATTACCTATGTAGAAAATCCAAAAGAATAAATAAAAAACTCCTGGAATTAATAAGTGATTATAGCAAGGTTGCAGGATATAAAGTTAGTATACAAAAGTCATTCACTTTCCTATATATTAGTAATGAACAAGTGGAATTTGAAATTTAAAAAACACAATGTTATTTATATTAGCAACCCCTAAAATGAAATACTCCGGTACAAATCTAACAAAATGAAAGGTATACAGACTGTGAAGGAAGATATAATGCTGTCTTTGTTTGCAGATGTTATGATTATTTATGTTGAAAATGTGAGTAATAAAGAAAAAGGAAAAAAACAAAACTCCTGAAACTAATAAAGTGATTATATCAAGGTTGTAGGATACAAGGTTAATACAAAAAAAAGCCAGTCACTTTCTTATATACCAGCAATGAACAAGTGGAATTTGAAATTAAAAACACAATACCATTAACACTAGTACCAAAAAAGAAATACTTAGGTACAAATCTAACAAAACATGTACAAGATCTATGTGAGGAAAACTATAAAAGTCTAATGAAAGAAATCAAATTACTAAATGGGAGCTATTCCATGTTCATGGATACTGTCAAGATGTCACCTCTCTTCAACTTGATGTACAGAATCAATGCAGTTTCAGTAAAGATGCCAGCAAGCTCTTTTTTATTATATTGACAAATTGGTTCTAAAATTTACATGGAGATGCAAAAAACCCAGAATAGCTAGTTTGAAGAAGAACAAAGTCAGAGGACTGACACTACCCAACTTTAAAACTTACTATAAAGTTACAATAATCAAAGCAGTGGTATTGACAAAAGAGTAAAGAAATAGATTAACGAAACAGAATAGGGAGCCCAGAAATAGACCCACATAAATATAGTCAGCTGATCTTTGACAAAGGAGCAAAGGCAATACAATGGAGCAAAGATAGTCTTTCCAACAAAGGATGCTAAAAGAACTTGAGGTCCTATACTTTTCATAAAAATTAACTCAAAATGGATCAGAGATCTACATGTAAAATGCAAAACTATGAAAGTCCTAGAAGATTACATAGGAGAAAATCTAGATGACCTTGAGTATGATGATGACTTTTTAGATATAACACCAAAAGTATGATTAATGAAAGAAATAATTGGACTTCATTGAGATTAAAAATTTTGCCTTCTCATTACAAATGAGAAGGCAAGCCACAGACTAAAAGATATAATTGTAATAGACTTATTTAAAATATTCAAATAATCTTAAAACTTAACAAAGAAGATAGATATGGCAAATAAGCATATGAAAAGATGCTCAACACCACATCATTAAAGAATTGCAAATTGAAACAATGAGATACAACTGCATACCTTTTAGAACATTTTAGGGGAATCTCAGTGTTTCTCATTTACTTAAATAAGTTCTTGCTACAGTTTTGGTGGTAATCCTCACAGGAGTCTGAGGGGACTGATTGCATCTGGAGAATTTGTGGGGAAGCCTCGGAAGCTTATTTCATGAATTATTAGAGTGAGGAGGGAGGTTGAGGGAGGGAGGGAAAGAGAAGGAAGAGACCAAGACCAAGAAAAAACAACCCAAAGGCAGGTCTTGTCGTATCTTCTAGTCCCTCGGCTGGACCTCAACCAACCCCCAGTGCTCATCTCTGAGCACTAGGAGGAGGGACTGTAAGGAAAAACTGGTCACCTGTTCTCTTTCTCTGGAGGCCCTTTGTTCCAGTTGCACAGCCTGATTCGCTCTTCCATCTGCTCCCATTAGTCAACGAAGGCCTGGTGTCACCATCCCAGGAACCTGGCTTCTTTCGCTGGGCTCCCTCCAGTCAGCAACACCAGATTGCTCTTTCTTCCCACTTAGCCCTGCCCCCTTTTGAATCTCATATAAAGTTCTATTTTCTCTTCTAATTCTCAGGTTATTTGCATTACAGCCACAGGTGTGGCTGTAAAAAACTTGGCCTTTGGATTGTTTGGGCTTGAATCCTGTATTTGCTACCTGTGGTTCAGTTTCCCTACCTGTTAAAAATATTTCTTTTGTTGTGAGGGGTATGTGAAGTACATACATGGCGCCTCGTAACTGGTGGGCACACAACAATGGTGGTTATCCTCAGGAGTAGAGAGTATCCCAAACAGTGTGGGGCTGGAACTGTGTAATTCTTCACGTTCACTGCACAAAGCACCAGGTTCCTGGGTTCCTTCCTCAGAGAATCTCATGTAGTTGGTCTGGGGTATAGCCCTGGCATAGGGGTTTTTAAAAGTTTCCCAGACCAGATGATCCTGACAGATGGCCAAGACTGAGAACCATAGGTGTGCGGGACTAATCAAGGATGGAAATCTCTTTGTGCACTTTATCTAACCCGCCTCACCCCCTAGATCCTATGCCTTTGCTTAGCCCTGGTCTTGACCCCCAGGCACACTGTGCCTCCAATGCTGGACAGGCCCTCATTTCACTTTCTGAAGTGTATTTCTTTCTCCAAGCCCGAAGGCCTGTCTGAACATTTGGTAACTGACCTACTCAGAATGAAGCAGGACTCACTTTGTCTTTTTTAGGTAGAAGCTGACTCCGTGTTGGATTACATTTTTTCTCACAATCACTTTTTCTTTGGTATCATATTGGTGCTTATCCTTTTCCTCCCTGAATTTCTATAGACAGAAGACCAGACTCACTGGCTTTCGTGCACTAAAAATCTAAACCACTGGAGTTTACATGGAGGAGCCCAGGTGTAAATTAATGTTTGGGCAAAGCAAGGCTTCTCCCCAGGGTAATCAAAATCCCCAGGGCTAGAGATAAGGAAGGGAGGGGTGAGGTAGGAAGAAGGCTGTACAGCTGAATTAGGTAGGATGCTTTAGGCTGCAAGTAATAGAAATGCCAACTCAAACTGGTTTAACCCACCATCAATTATTGTCTCACCTAGCATATGTCCAGAGGCAGTGTGTCCCATAGTCACATAGCTTGTTAGCTTATTAGCTGTGTGGCCTTGTGCAACTGACTTAGTCTCAATTTCCTCATCTGTGAGAAGGATTGTTGCATATCAAATTAGATAATATAAGCAAAATTCTTACAGCACTCTATAGCATAAAGTAAGTGCTTTATAAGTGTTAGCAACTGTATTGGTCAGTCATTGCTCCATAACAAACAAATGCAAACATCTCAGTCTACAACAATTGGTATTTCCTTCTCATGTGTCTACAGGTTGGCAGGATTTGGTTGGGCCACTCTAATTCAATCTGTGTGTGGCTGGGCATGGTGGCCTATGCCTGTAATCCCAGCATTTGGGGAGGCTGAGGTGGGTGGATTGATTGAGCCCAGGAGTTCGAGACCAGCCTGGGTAACATGGTGAAACCCCATCTCTACAAAAAAAAAAAAAAAAAAAAAGCCTGGCATGGTGATGTGTGCCTGTAGTCCCAGCTACTTCAGAGGCTAAGGTGGGAGGATCACATGAGCCCAGGAGGTCAAGGCTGCAGTGAGCCATGATTATGCCACTGCACTCCAGCCTGAGTGGCAGAGAGAGAACCTGTCTTAAAAAAAGAAAACAGAAAAAAAAAAAAAGACTCACAATCTGTGTGCTGCTGGGTTTAGCTCTTGTGCTGATGGGCTCAGGTTTGCCTCACACATGTTCCTTCTGGTCTCATGGCAGCACTACAACAGGCACCAGAAGAATGCTTTCCCACAGCAATAGTAGAGGCACAAGACAGTGGAAAAACACAAGGCCTTGGTCAGGAACTGGGACATTGTCCCACACGCGCGTGTGTGTGTTCGTGTGTGTGTATGCACACATACAGGGCAGAAATTATGAGTGAAAGAGACAGGGATGGAGGAAGGAATGGGGGAAGGAGGAGAGGAGTAGGTAAGGAAGGAATGCACGTCAATCTGAGTAAAGGGTATATAGGTATTCTTTGTACTGTTTTTATTTTTGCAACTTTTCTGTGTTTACAGTTATTTCCAAATAAAAAATAAGCAGAAAGGAAAAGCTAATCATCTCCCCCTATTCCAGTCCCCCAGGCATGTATCCTTCCGTAGCTTCTCCACACCTACACGAACCTAGACGATTCCTTCCACACCTTCCCCACACCCACACGAACCTAGATGAATTCCTTCCACACCTTCTCCACACCCACACGAACCTAGACGATTCCTTCCACACCTTCCCCACACCCATTCTCCACACCCACACGAACCTAGACGATTCCTTCCACACCTCCACACCCACACGAACCTAGATGAATTCCTTCCACACCTTCCCCACACCCACACAAACCTAGACGATTCCTTCCACACCTTCTCCACACCCACACGAACCTAGACGAATTCCTTCCAGACCTTCTCCACACCCACACAGACCTAGACGATTCCTTCCACACCTCCACACCCACACGAACCTAGACGAATTCCTTCCACACCTTGTGCACACCCACACGAACCTAGACGAATTCCTTCCACACCTTCTCCACACCCACACGAACCTAGACGAATTCCTTCCACACCTTCTCCACACCCACACGAACCTAGACGATTCCTTCCACACCTTCCCCACACCCACACAGACCTAGACGAATTCCTTGCACACCTTCTCCACACCCACACGAACCTAGACGAATTCCTTCCACACCTTCTCCATACCCACACGAACCTAGACAATTCCTTCCACACCTTCTCACACCCACACAAACCTAGATGAATTCCTTCCACACCTTCTCCACACCCACACGAACCTAAACGATTCCTTCCACACCTTCTCCACACCCACACACACCTAGATGAATTCCTTCCACACCTTCCCCACACCCACACAGACCTAGACGAATTCCTTCCACACCTTCTCCACACCCACACGAACCTAGACGATTCCTTCCACACCTTCTCCATACCCACACGAACCTAGACAATTCCTTCCACACCTTCTCACACCCACACAAACCTAGATGAATTCCTTCCACACCTTCCCCACACCCACACAGACCTAGACGAATTCCTTCCACACCTTCTCCACACCCACACGAACCTAGACGATTCCTTCCACACCTTCCCCACACCCACACGAACCTAGACAATTCCTTGCACACCTTCTCACACCCACACAAACCTAGACGAATTCCTTCCACACCTTCTCCACACCCACACAAACCTAGACGAATTCCTTCCACACCTTCCTCACACCCACACGAACCTAGACGATTCCTTCCACACCTTCCCCACACCCACACAGACCTAGACGAATTCCTTCCACACCTTCTCCACACCCACACGAACCTAGACGATTCCTTCCACACCTTCCCCACACCCACACGAACCTAGACAATTCCTTCCACACCTTCTCACACCCACACAAACCTAGATGAATTCCTTCCACACCTTCTCCACACCCACACAAACCTAGACGAATTCCTTCCACACCTTCCTCACACCCACACGAACCTAGATGATTCCTTCCACACCTTCCCCACACCCACACAGACCTAGACGAATTCCTTCCACACCTTCCTAACACCCACACGAACCTAGAGAATTCCTTCCACACCTTCACACCCACACAAACCTAGACGAATTCCTTCCACACCTTCTCCACACCCACACAAACCTAGACAAATTCTTATACACTTAAAATGGGATTTTGTTGTTTTATTAAAATGCAGTCATTCTCTATGCATTAATTATTGTGCAGCTTGATTTTTCTCCTTTTTTTTTGTTAAATCTTCCTCCGTCATCCAGGCTGGAGTGCAGTGGCGTGATCTCAGCTCACTGCAACCTCCACCTCCTAGGTTCAAGTGATTCTCCTGCCTCAGCCTCCTGAGTAGCTAGGATCACAGAGTTGTACGATAATGCCTGTCTAATTTTTGTATTTTTAGTACACACGGGATTTCACCATGTTGGCCAGGCTGGTCTTGAACTCCTGGCCTCAAGCAATCTGCCCACCTTGGCCTCCCAAAGTGCTGGGATTACAGGCATGAGCCACCGCATCTGGCCGATTTTTCTCTTCACAATACATCATAGACATCCCTTCAGGCCAAAAGACATAGATTTAATTTACTTTTAAATAGAGCTGCATAGTATTCTACATGTGTGTAAGTATCACAGTTTCTTCAACCATCCCTTATTGGTTGATACTCTGGCAGTTTCCAGTTTTTTGCCTACAAATAAAGCAGCAAACAGTATGCTTGCACATATAACCTGTTGTATTGGTGCCAAATCCATGAATCACTTCTGAAAGTATAATTTTAATCAGAGTCAAGTAGCACCACAGATCCTCCAAGATCCATTCTGCTCAACACTCTTCCACAGTGGCTATTAAGGCTGGTCTCCAGCTGTTCACACCTTATGTCCAGTGCATGCAAGCCTGGCATTTTTCTGGAGGGCCAGCAGATCTTCTAAGAAGCTGGGCACACCGAGTTTCTCCTTGAACGTGAAGAGACTATTGAAACCTGTCTGCTATCTTTTGGTAGGTCCCTCATATTTGGCAGGTGAGTCCAGTATTACTATATGTTCACCAAACTTCACAGAGCCCTTCTCATCTCACTCATGAGCGTCTGGTAATTATAACTTTAAAAAGGTTTTGTTAGGGCTGGGCGTGGTGGCTCATGCGTGTAATCCCAGCACTTTGGGAGACCGAGGCGGGCAGATTACCTGAGGTCAGGAGTTCAAAACCAGCCTGGCAAACATGGGGAAACCCCATCTGTACTAAAACTACAAAAATTAGCTGGGCATGGTGGCGGGTGCCTGTAGTCCCAGCTACTCAGGAGGCTGAGGCAGGAGAATCACTTGAACCTGGGAGGCGGCGGTTACAGTGAGCCCAGAACATGCCACTGCACTCCAGCCTGGGCAACAGAGTGAGACTCTGTCTCAAAAAAAAAAAAATGTTTTGTTAGAAGTTTTAGGCAGGGCCCAGGCTTCTGTAGTGGGGGGCCACATATGGTCCACAAGTGGCTGATTGGATGCTCAAGTGGAGTCCATTTCCAGCACAATTAATTTGGCTGAGATCATGGTTTTGATTTTCACATGGGACACACTGCCTCAGGCCAAGAATAATAATGAACACTTATGGAAAGCTGCCTCATTCAGGAACCCAATTAAGCACTTTTACAAAGACCATCTCATTTAATTTCCTCCACAACTCTGTGAAGTCTAAGAGTTGTATTACCCCATTGTTTCACTTTTCTATTACAACAATAATTCTGTATAAAAACACCCCAAAACCTAGTGGTTCAAAATCACCACCTATTATTTGCTTGTGGTTCTGTGAGTAACTGAGGCTGGGCTCAACTGGGCAGTCCTTCTGGTTTCTGCTGGGCTTCTTCCTCTTGTGTCTGTGGCCAGCTACAGGTCAGCAAGGCAACTTGGCTTCTGGGAGTTGGCTGGCTGTTGGCTGGAGAGATGGGAATTTTTGTTCTGTGTGGTCTCTCAGCCTCCAACAGGCTAGCCTGGGCTTATTTACATGTAGGGGGGTGGAGGTGGTGTTGAGAGTGGGAGACAGGTGGAACAGAGAGAGAAAGGCAACAGAAAGGCCAAGGCTTGTGGAGGTCTGCCTCAAAACTGGCACAACATGACTTTGCCACATTCTTTAGGCCAGAACAAGTCAGAAGGTCAGCCCAGATTTAAGGAGTAGGAAAAAAGACACCACATCTTGAGAGGAGCTGAAAAGTCACACTGCGAAGGGCACGAATACAAAGCAAAGTGGCCGGGTGCTCTGGCTCACGCCTGTAATCCCAGCACTTTGGGCTTTGGGAGGCCGAGGAGGGCAGATCGCCTGAGGTTTCAAGTTCGGGACCAGCCTGGCCAAGATGGTGAAACCCCGTCTCTACTAAAAATACAAAATTTAGCCAGGCATGGTGGTGGGTGCCTGTAATCCCAGCTACTTGGGAGGCTGAGGTACGAGAACCTCTTGAACCTGGGAGGCAGAGGTTGCAGTGAGCCAAGATGGTGCCAGTGCACTCCAGCCTGGGTGACAGGGCAAGACTCTGTCTCAAAAAAAAGAAGAGAAAAAGTTTGTGGCCATTTTTGTAATTTACTTTGCTGCCTCCTGTTTTTGTAAATAAAGTTTTATTGGGACACAGCCACACCCACTGGTGTATGTATCATCTATGGTTCCTTTCATGCTACAGTGGCAGAGTTGAATAGTAGCAATAGTGACCACGTGGCCCGCAAAGCCTAAAATATTCCCTGTCTGGCCCTTTCTAGAATACATGTGCTGCCCCCTGCCCTGCCCTGAGTTCTCTGAAGCCTCTATCCACATGGCTATGCTGTACCTTTAATGCAAACTGCCCTGACCTGGGGAAAAATGGTTTCTGTGGATGTTGTGTGTTTAAATGCCTGGACTAGTCTCCTCTCTGTGTGAAAACACCCTTGACTCCCACAGATTTCCTTGGCCTTCATGGTGATCCCTGTGGGCCCAGTCTTTGGTAGTCCTTTGCTTGGAGGAGGTGGCATGGGTTTGAGCTTCTGATCTTTAAGAGTAGGGACAGGTAAGACGAGAGCAGACAGGCCCTCTGGGAATTCAAGGCCCACACAGAGAGAAGCTGCCTGATGCCTGATCCCTCCCTGCCACGCAGCCGGGCACAGTCACAAAACAGTCCTGTTTGAAGTGGGTTATTAAGTATTGGCCCCAGGGCCAGGCCCTGGTAAGCCTGCCATTTCATCCAGCACTTTTCACCAAGCTTGCTGTTGAAGATTACTCAGGAAGGCGCCAGAGACACGATGATGAGATCCAATTATTATTTAAATCTAGAGCTGGTCTTAGCAGGCTGAGGTTTACTGGGAAATAGACCATAACAAATAGAAGTATTGATGAGTTTGGCCGGGCGCGATGGCTCACGCCTGTAATCCCAGCACTTTGGGAGGCCGAGGTGGGCGGATCACGAGGTCAGGAGATGAAGACCATCCTGGCTAACATGGTGAAACCCTGTCGCTACTAAAAATATAAAAATTAGCCGGGCTTGGTGGCGGGTGCCTGTAGTCCCAGCTACTCGGGAGGCTGAGGCAGGAGAATGGAGTGAACCCGGGAGGCGGAGCTTACAGTGAGAGGAGATCGCGCCACTGCACTCCAGCCTGGGTGACAGAGAGAGACTCTGTCTCAAAAAAAAAAAAAAAAAAACAAAAAGAAGTATTGATGAGTTCAATGTAAAGGGGAAAAAGCTCAGTATTTATGTACTTAATTGGAACCACCTATACTATGTATTAAGCCAAAAGAACAAGATTCAGAACAGCATGTGGTTTGCTACCATTTATGTTAAAAGAGGGCAGGGGTATTATATTATATTATATATTTTATTATATATGCAAATAATGCCCCCTAAAGATGTTCACGTACTGATCCCCAGCACCTGTGGCTGTTACATTACATGGATGGCAAGTAGGTATTAAGTTTGTTAGCTGACTTGAGATGCAGAGGTTAGCTGGGGTTATCAGAAGGCCCATTATAGAGTGAAAGAGGGAGGCAGCCCCAGAAAGATTACACCCGCCATTGCTGGCTTTGAAGATGGAGGAAGACAGCCAGGAGCTGAGGAATGCAGGCAGCCTCCAGAGGCTGGAAAGGGAAAGTCCTTCCTGCAGTCTCCAGAAGGAGCGCAGCCTTCCTGACCACACCTTGATTTGAGCTCACTGAGCCCCATTTCAGACTTCAGGCCTCCAGGACTGTGAGATAATGAATTTGTGTTAATGTCAAGCCTTTAGGTTTGTGGCAATTTATCACAGTAGCAGTGGGAAGCATATATATATATATATAGTCTCACGTGTGTCCATGTGAAGACACCACCAAACAGGCTTTGTGTGAGCAACACGGCTATTTATTTCACCTGGGTGCAGGCGGGCTGAGTCCAAAAAGAGAGTCAGCAAAGGGTGGTGAGATTATCATTGGTTCTTATAGGTTTTAGGATAGGCGATGGAGTTAAGAGCAATGTTTTGGGGGAGGGGGTGGCTCTCACAAAGTACATTCTTAAGGGTTATAAAGATTATAAAGAATATTGATCAGTTAGGGTGGGGCGGAAACAAATCACAATGGTGGAATGTCATCAGTTAAGGCTATTTTCACTTCTGTGGATCTTCAGTTGCTTCAGGCCATCTGGATGTATACGTGCAGGTCACTGGGGATATGATGGCTTAGCTTGGGCTCAGAGGCCTGACATATATATATATATGTAGCAGGAGGTTCTCCTCAAGCAACTAATCTCTAGGCAATCAGCCTTACTGTTATTTTATTTGTTTGTTTTTGTTGAGACGGAGTTTCGCTCTGTTGCCCAGGCTGGAGTGCAGTGGCACAGTCTCAGTTCACTGCAACCTCTGCCTCCTGGATTCAAGCGATTCTCCTGCCTCAGTCTCCTGAGTATCTGGGACTGCAGGCACGTACCACCACACCCAGGTAGTTTTTGTATTTTTAGTAGAGTCGGGGTTTCACCATATTGGCCAGGCTGCTCTCAAACTTCTGACCTCGTGATCCTCCTGCCTTGGCCTCCCAAAGTGCTGGGATTACAGGCATAAGCCCTTACGGTTATTTTAATAAGCCCTTACTGTTATTTTAATAACTGACTTGCCAAGTACCGGGAAAAATCCTCCTTGTCCAATAGCATTAGGAGGCTGTTCCTTACCAAGGGCCATGTTGAGTTTTAAAGCTCAATATGTAGTAAGGCCAATCTCCAGATCTTCACTATTCAAAGTGTGGTCATCGCCTGAGGGCTTTTTAGATATGCAGGGTATCAGCCCTACACCAGTCCTTCTGAATCAGAATCTGTACTTTAATAAGATGCAGTGATTCGTGTGCACACTAAACTCTGAGAAACACTGATCCAGCCCATCTTCCTTGCCTAGGTGCATTAAAAGAATACCCCACACTCTTTAATCAATATGAAAATAAAGGCATGATTATTTCCGCCAAATTTTTCTTTCTCCTGCCTCCAAATTGTTCTCTGTTGCCACATAAGAGTCTCTTCCCCCTTCTTTTGGCAAAAATTCAAATGATCATCTTCAGAAGTCACCTTTCTCCTGATAACTTCCGATCACTTCTGTTCATGTCTCCCACAGCAAATTGTCCTAAGGAATTAACACACTTTCCCTTCTCCTTGTGAAGAGACAGCCTGAGACCAGAGACTGCCCCTTCTCCTGATGAGAAGATAGCCTGAGGCCAAAGACTGTCCCTTCCGTGTCCCTCCCTACTCCTCAAGCAGAGCCTCCACTCTTCAAACTTAACGGTCTCAACTGATTTCCTCAATGACTTGATTTCTGTACGGACTTTTATTTGTGACATCAGGTTTCCCTAAACATCCAAGGGCATACTGGGCTCCTTAAATGACCTCACCCAACTATGACGTGGCACGAGGTGAAACAGTTTCCCAAAAGAACGCTTGTGCCTCCAGACCAGAATTGTCACACCTGAAGTTGTTTATTTGAGCAGCCTTGTCATTGGGCTTTCCAAAGCAGGCTTTGTACAGTGGCCACACCATGGTCTTGCATGATACTTGAATTTGGAAGGT
Organism: Homo sapiens; assembly: GCF_000001405.40. Taxonomy (NCBI): domain Eukaryota; kingdom Metazoa; phylum Chordata; class Mammalia; order Primates; family Hominidae; genus Homo; species Homo sapiens. The sequence goes on from NC_000020.11 coordinate 18,216,564, forward strand.
TCCTGGTAGACGTAGAAACGGCCCAGACTGCCTGTTCAGAGCTAAGCATCATGGTAAGTTAAGGTACATTCTCTCCTAGTACACCTTGAGTTACCTAATAAAATAATCCAGAGCAGCCAGGCATGGTGGCTCACACCTATAATCCCAGCACTTTGGGAGGCCAAGGTGGGTGGATCACGAGGTCAGGAGATCAAGACCACCCTGGCCAACACAGTGAAACCCCGTCTCTACTAAAAATACAAAAATTAGAGGGTGTGGTGGCGAGTGCCTGTAGTCCCAGCTACTGGGGAGGCTAAGGCAGGAGAATTGCTTGAATCCGGGAGGCACAGGTTGCAGTGAGCTGAGATCACGCCACTGTACCCCAGCCTGGTGACAGAGTGAGACTCCGTCAAAAAAAAAAAAAAAAAAAGATCTACAGCTGAGCCTCCAAGAAGTAGACTGAGGGTTGCATTTTCTTCATCTGACATTTGAAACTGCCAGTGAAGTAAGGAAGGGCAGCTCTTTTCCACAAGCAAACATTACCTCTCTATGTCTATCTTGTAGTGGAGACCTCAAATGTGTCTGTCTTGGTAAGAATTCAGGAAGCAGTAGAGCTAGGTACCTGTGGTAGATATCACTAGAAACTTCAATTTCAACAACGTGGTGAGTAGGATATAAGCTGTTGAGGTTCTGTGGCCATATCCCCACCCAAATCTCATTTTGAATTGTAGCTCTGACAATTCCCATGTGTCATGGAACGGACCTGGTGGGAGGTAATTGAATCACAAGGGCAGGTCGTTCCCATGCTGTTCTTGTGATAGTGAATAAGTCTCACGTGATCTGATGGTTTTATAAAGAGGAGTTCCCTTACACAAGAGCTCTCTTTGCCTGCCTCCATGTAAGACGTGACTTTGCTCCTCCTTCATCTTCTGCCATGACTGTGAAGCCTCCCCACCCATGTGGAACTGTGACCCAGTTAAACTTCTTTCCTTTATAAATTACCCAGGCTCGAGTATGTCTTTATCAGCAGTATGAAAAAGGACTAATACAGCAGTTAACATGAACAACTCATACTCCAGAACATTCCACCCTAGATTTTCAGAGTAAAATCCAAGAGAACAGTGGAATCATAAGGGTGGGAGAGAAGTTCACGGGGCAGGAGGGGACCAAGACTGGGACAGTATATTTCATGGTTATATTTCTACAAGGATTACACTGGGGCTCCTCTTCCTTAGTACTGACCTTAACCGTTCAGATCACGATTAAAACATTTCTTATCATCCCAAGGCCTATGGATTTGGGAGCCCCACAACAGTGTAAAGCCCTGAGTTAACAAAATATCATCATTTATAAAAGCTCTAAACTAGGCACAGCAACCGTATTTTTTTGGTTTTGTTTTTTTTAATCCAGATTCAGAAATTAGAAGCCTCTTTTTAAAATTGAAATGGGCCCAAGTGGTTAAGTCATGTTACTTGGCTCATGTGCCTATTGTTCTTGCTATGAAAACTAGCAACTTGTGGCAATGAACATAAAGCTTTTTTTTCCAATAGCTTTACTGAGATACAATTTATGAGGCATAAAGTTTACCCATTTTAAGTGTAGAAGTCAATGGTTTCAAGTGTATTTATGGAGTCATGCAACCATCACTGTCATTCAATTTCAGAATGTTTTCTTCCCTCCATGAACCCACTAGCAGATTCGCAGTCACTCCTCATGACCACCCCGACCCACTCGGGTAATAGGGAGCCTTTGACTAGCCATTCACTCCATTTCCAAACAGTTTTTCATTCAAGGGCAGTGTAATTTTCACAGCATTGAACAAAACTTTCACCGGAAAGAGACAGAGGCAAAGCACCAGGCTGAGCTCCTCAGAGAAACTTGCTCTTTTGGTTACACTTACTTCATCCGCAGCTGCTCAATCAGAGACTCTCCCTGCCCCTGGCAGTCCAACTTCCCTCAGCAGGAGTCTGTTTTCAGGCTGCAGGGCTACAGAATGTGGTCATTCCCCCCACCTTAAAATATTCACATAAAGCAAATGCGTCCTCTCTGGGTAAATTCTGAGCCACGGGGGCAGGCGAATGTGAGTGTGTATATGTGTGCGCATGTGTGCATGGGAGTGTGTATGTGTACATGTGTGTGGTCGCCAACAGTTTGCAGCACAAACATTCACATCGAATGTAAATCTTGCTGGTCTCCAAAGCCCTCACCTGGGGAAAGTCACCATACTGACGTTGTTTTACATTATTAATGACAGGGATGCAATGAGAAACCTTAGAAAAATCCAGAAATATCTGAAAGCTCAAACCCCACAGTAGTGTTATGAATATTTGTAGGCAAAGCACTCAGTTCTACAACTTATTTTGCACACTTCTTATAATTCATATAATGCATTCAATATCAACTTATGGGTCCACATGTCAGCTTGATTATGCTGAAGAGCAAGTGAACCTCTAAACCAAACTTTTTGTTCAGAAGGAAAAGCTCATCCAAGTTCTTCCTGTACTTGAGGAGCCAACTACCACTATCTTTTTGAAACTTGACAAGTGGTAATTTGTCCAGGGATTTAGCTATCAAGCCATCGAATCACAGAAGCAGTATCAGCCAAATGATGCCATAAACTGTTCTTTTTGATCATAAGACTGGGTTTCAGATAATTATCATGTAATGTATACACTACACGTTTTGTTTCAGTAGCTCAATTGCAATTTCTAATGGAGCTTTAAAAAATTGATACATCATGGCCTGGTGAGGTGGCTCACACCACAATCCCAACACTTTGGAGGGCTGAAGTGGGGGATTGCTTGAACTCAGTCATTGGAGACCAGCCTGCACAACATAGCGAGACATCATCTCTACTAAAAGTAAAAAATAATTAGCCAGATGTGATGGCATGCACCTGTAGTCCCAGCTACTCAGGAGGCCGAGGCAGGAGGATCTCTTGAGCCCAGGAGATCAAGCCTGCAGTGAGCTGTGATCGCACCACTGCACTCCAGCCTGGGCAACAAAGCAAGACTCTATCTCAAAAAAAAAAAAAATCATTACATCAGGTAGCTGATTTCTAGAGCAAACAAAAAGTTTAGGGGTCCCACAGAGTGCTATAGCCACGTGTGTCAGACTGTCACTCTCCATCACCCTCTCTGTGCGCTCCTCTGACTCTCTAAGGGGCCAGCTTGACCCCAGCCCTGGACAGGGCCCACAAGGAGTCATAAGACAAGATGGAATTGGTGGCAGAGGTTCCAGTGAACCCAGATCGACCCATCACACTCCAGCCTGGGCCACAGAGTGAGACCTGTCTCAAAAAAAAAGATTGTTGTTGAGGCTGAACACAGTGGCTCACGCCTGTAATCCCCCCACTTTGCGAGGTCAAGGTGGGATCACTTGAGGCCAGGAGTTTGAGACCAGCATGGGCAACATAGTGGAGCCCCATCTCTACAAAAATTTTAAAATTGCCCAAAACCCAAGGTGGCGGCGTGGCCATCACTGGCCAGGATCACGGGCACAGTCCTGCGCTCTGTGGTGGCTCCTCACAGCCCTGCTCCAGACTCCCGTGCAGGCATCTAGTGGGACACGGCAAACTCAGGCTGCAAGGACATCCGGGCCCAGATGAGGAGAGTTTTCTGTGCTTCCCCTACGACAGCAACCTGCTGACTGAGAGATCCACCTCCAAAACCCCTCGGTGGTGTTCTTCTACATGGCCCGCCTGCAGGCAAGAAGTGATGGAATTTATGTTGTCATGGAAGTTAATGTTTCAACTCAAGAAGAGAAATAACCTATCGACATTATCTGATGACAAATTACAAGAGTGTTTCCCATCCCCACAGTATAAAAAGGTTATTTGCATAGGTGCAAAAGAAAATGGTTTGCCACTGGAGTACAAAAAGAAGTTAAAAGCTGTGGGACCAAATGACCGTACAGGAAAGGTCTCAGAAGAAATTGAAGACATCATCAAAAAGGAATCACGAACTCATTAGAACATAACAGAATATATCTAAGGATATTCCATGTACTAATGTAAAATACCATTTGAAAACAGGGATCTGGAGGATCTCCATGTTTGATCCATCTTCAACCGTGCTCTGAAGAAATATCGCACGTGGGTGATTCTTGTTTTCAGACTATAAAAATAAACTGGTTTAGGAGTTAAGCAATGTTATAAAAGAGGGTGATTACCTAGCACTTTGGGAGGCCGAGGTGGGCGGATCACTTGAGGTTAGCAGTTCGAGACCAGCCTGGCCAACATGGTGAAACTCCATCTCCACGAAAAATACAAAAATTAGCCAGGTGTGGTGGCACATGCCTGTAATCCCAGCTACTCAGGAGTCTGAGGCAGGAAAATCGCTTGAGGCAGAGGTTGCAGTGAGCCGAGATTGTACCACTGCACTCCAGCCTGTGCGACAGAGTGAGACTCTGTCTCAAAAACAAAAAACAAAAAAACAGAAACAAAAACAAAAAAAGAGGACGATGAGGCCCTGGAATGTGTGACAAATGCATGTGAGTACCCCTTCGGTAAACACTTGAAGCTATTATTCTCTTGAGTTGATCTTCAGTGTTTCCTTGTTCTGGCAAAGGATAGATTTGCAGCTTGCTTGATGATGATACTGATGGTGCTGGTAAATTGCTCTGCTCTGGGTTTTAAAAAAATCAGCTTAATGAGAGTAAGTAATCTGCAGACAATTGATAATAACATTTTGAAACTGGAAAGATGGTATACTGTTTTTAGAGGAATAAATCTATTTGTGGTTAAAAAAATAAATAAAATTAGCCAGGTGTGGTGGTGGCGTGCATCTGTACTCCCACATACTCAGGAGGCTAAGGTGGGAGGATGGCTTGAGCCCAGGAATTCAAAGCTGCAATGAACTATGAATGCACCACTGCATTCCAGCCTGAATGACAGACAGAGACTCTGTGTCTAAAAAAAACCCCAAAAGCCAAAACAAAATAAAAAAAATGTTTGTTGAATGCATAATAACTTTTGATACTTTCCCTCAAAATGCAAGTTAGGAAATGAAGACACAGAACATCCCTCCCTCTGTTTCTCCTGAGTGCATTCAGTGCATCCCCTCAGTCTATCCTGTGCATCTGATTTATTTGAGAGGCTCTGCTCTGGGTGGCCCCACTGAAGACAGAGCATTTACCCCACTCAGAGTTTTCAAAAAGTTTTCATATGCACTTTCCCATTTGATATTCACAACCTCCCTGTGAGGGCCCATGTATCTATCCCCATCTCATAGACATTCATTGGACCTTGCTGGGAACATAGCCAGGAACCAACAAATGTTAATTACTCTTATTTTTCATGTCTTCTTTCCCATGTCTTCAATTGCCAAGCTACATTAATTAAATTTTTGCCTGTGACACTTTGTGCAATGAAACAAAGGTTGTAAATATAAATCAATTAATATTTGTTAGACACTTACAGGCTTGCAATGCCCCAGCCACCATATAATAGATACCAATCAGTAAATAAATAAATAAATAAGGAAGAAAGGGCAGCTTTTGCTTATGGAAGAATTATAATTAATATGTGTAGAAGGAATGAGGAAAATAGAAAATCACTGAGAAAAGCACAGTAATAATTGTTGGACTCACCAATGAATTCTAAAAGTATTCAGCAAAAGTTTGAGGAAAAACAGGATATTTGCAGACTCAAGTGTGTTCCCCAAAATGTTTATTAATTACAAAGAGAAATATAGTAATTTCAGAGCAGACAAATCCAAGCAGATCAGGGAGACATGACTACAAAGTTTAGTTTACTTTATATAAAACAAATAGGTTAAAGAAATATCAGCAAACATTTTTGTCAGTTTTTCCCCAAATCAGATGTTTCACAGATGTGCCATCTGATTGTAGGGAGCACTTATAAGCCCCAAAAATATTGTACCAATGAGGTGAGTGATAATTCCCATTCTTACTGAATTTCTTCTTGCCTGCCGGCTGGCTTCTCTAAGGTTTAGCCAGTTTTTTATTTTATGCTGTGTAATTTCTCCTTTACATAGATTATATGGAAACATCTCCATACAGTGAAGAATCATAAATTCCTGTTTCAGTAAACTCCAAATTAATAACTTCTAAAGATTTTATTTACCTGACAATTGAATATAATTCAGCCTGATATTGACTTCATAAACATCATCATGGATAGTAGAGAAAACATGCTATCAGAGAAATTAAACTGTTTTCACAATCCTGGGTTTGAAGCTCACTGACCTGAGCAATTGCCTAGAAAATCTGAGATTCTAAATTTTAAATTTAATCAAATATTTTATGAAACCATAAGAACGCAAGAAAAAGGGGATACTGAGAAGCAAAAATCAAATGAAACAAAAAAAAGCAAATAGCAAAATAGCAGCAACTCAAACTATATTAATAATCACATCAAATATAAATGGACTAAATAGTCAAAAGGCAGAGATTATCAAACTAGTTATAAAAGTAAGAGCTAACTATATACTGTCTATTAGAGATGCAATTTAAGGTTAACCAACCCACATGGCTGAATGTCCTTACTTGGGAAAGAATATCCTAGAATGGCCACATCTTGGGAACTGAGGGACACATTATCAAAATTGAGCAGATTTCTGTAAAAGTAAAGGGATTCAAGGGAAGGGGACCTACACTTTACCTCTTGATGGGAGGAGAATCAAAAAATTTGTGGCCATTGAAAAAAACTGTTACAAGGGTAAAACTACCTATGTATACATTGGTTATGAGGATTAGAATTGAACGTAATGCATGTATTGGACACATGAACGAGAGGTTACTAGTATAATTATTATGGCTGTTAAAATAGTGAATGATTGGAATGCAGTCTGGTCAGGTTGTTTTTTTAGCTTTAACCATCAGAACTTCAATATCATGTGGCATCTCAGCAGGAGATGTTCAGTAGCTTATTGCCTTGGGTCAGGTGCCCCAGAAGCAGACTCTTAATTGCAGAGTTGAATGTAAGCGACTCATTAAGGACATGCTCACAGGAAGGCTGATGTGGAAGTAGGGATGGGCAAAGCAAATGTATGCTTTCAGGCAAAGTCCTGTGGCTCCAGCGTGATCCTACAGGGGAACTCAGGAGTGTGAGTTATGCCTCAGAGTTTCCCTGACTCCAAGCAAAGGAAGTGGGCTGTCACACGCCTGCATCCTTCAGACTTTGGCCATGAACTGCCCCAGATAGAGGATATAAACTCACAGGCACTTCTAGCAACCTGAGTGTGGAAAAAGTGGCTCCAGTAGCCCGAGAAAAGACTTCCAAGAAGAGTCTCTGGTGTGAGTCGTGGGGTGCATACTCAAGGGAGTACAGACAAAACAGTTAAAGGGATCTGCAAGGGTCTGGCCAGAGCCCTGGCAGTGTCTACTGCACTTATTAATATTTATTATGCTGAATAGACATTAGGTTGGAGACTCTCAGCTAACACCCAGCTTGCCTGCTACAGGGCAGGGTCTTCTTTCATGTTTGTTAGGAAAGAAATCTAACATCTTGACGGGCCACCATGTGTGAGGCCACACAATAAACAATTTAAAAAACACGACCTCATTCACTCTTTAGATGGCCTTAGGAAGAGAGTTTCATATCCTTCTTTGAAGGATGAAGAATGCTCTAGAGAGACTTAGGATCTTGCCCAACGTCAAGTAGATAATAAATGGCGAAGCTGAGATTTGTACGCATGTGTGTCTGGCTCCCTGGCTGTTTCCTGAGAACTTGCTTGGGAAATAGAAAACCTTTATGAAATCCTCAGAGACCCTGAAAATTGTCTTCTCAAAATAATTTTACAACAAACTACAGTGAACCTATGTCCATTGCTGCTGTGTTCATTTTCTAGAGCTGCCATAACAACAAACTGGGTGGCCGAAAACGATGGAAATTTGTTTTCTCACAGTTCTGGAGGCCAGGAGTCCAAAACCCAAGGTGTTGGCACAGCCGTGCTCCCTCTGAGGGTGCTAGGGAAGGAAATGCTCCAGGCCTCTCTCCCGGCTTCTGGAAGCCTTAGTCTTTCTGGGGCAGTAGCTGCTTCACGTGATCCTCTGTAATCACACAGCGTTCTCCCTGTGTCTCCACACCATTGCCCTCTGCATGTATGTTCAAATTTGCCTTTTTTACAAGGGTACCAGTGACCCCATCTTAACTTAGCTAAATCTGCAAAGATTCTATTTCCAAGTAAGCTCACAATCTGAGATACTAGAGATAGGATTTCAACATATGTTTTTTGAGGAATACAATTCAACCCATAGCAGCTGCCCACAAGAGACCATGTCTCTAAATAAATAAACAAAACAACAAAACAATGCTTTCTTTACAGAAATCTCTCTCAGTGGCTGGGAAGACAGTATACCAAAAGCCCAGGTTTAACTTGATTTGATGGGTGATCCTAGGAATTTTTGTTCTTTGTATGCAACTTCCTATTGGCTAATAGGACCCAAAAAAAATCCATTTCAGGGACTCAGAGGGTAGGCGGTGTCTGTGTATCAGCCTGGCCTTATGCCCCCTCGGAGCCCCAGGCTGACTCATGGCAGGGTTCTCTCAGCTCAGCCCTCGTGCTTTCTTTGTTTCTCTTGTTGTTGAGCACAGCCTGGTTTTCCTGCCGGCTCCCACAGAGAGTGTGCCCTGTCCCACATCTCTGACGAGCTGACAATACAGAGCTGCAGGCTGGAGCCCCTGAGGACTGAGAGTATACTGACCTCTAACTTCTTCACCCTTGTCTGCAAGAAAAGAAAGCCTCTGAGCTGCAGGGTGGCAGGTCCTGGCTGTGTCATGATTCTTGAATCACAGATGTTTTTCTTGGCTGAATGCCGGGGCCAAACTATCCAGGGAACACTGGTGGGGCAGGGAAAAAAAAGAAGAAAGCCCTAAGTTTGTTTTCTTTGCTGTCTTTTTCATCCAGATTTAAACAGTGTCAAGGCTAAGACTGAGCAGATCTAGGGACAAACAGCAACAACCACCATCTGGAAAATCAGCGGGCAAGGTGCTCTGGCTAGGCCAGCAGGCACAGCAGCCCTTCAGAGGTGGTGACATTTGACTCTCGGCATAATCCCCCGTGTCCTGCCATTCTTTTGCTTACCTTTCCCATTCTGGGGTCTGCACTAAGGTCTGGAATTGAGAGCTGCTATATAGGACCTGATGTTAGCAGGCGTGTGCCCCAACTGTTTTCTCCAGTATCCTAAAAGAAGAGAAACCCCAAGCCAGCTACATGGATAATTCTTCTCTGGCCAAGAAAGAAAAATGCTCGCATGGATTATGCATTTTCAGAAGGAACCGTGCATTCTCAGAAGGGTGTTTTTCCTTTGCCAAGCTCTGTGCTGGGTTTTTCCTGTGCTGGGCTCAGACAGTGTTTGGCACAGAGTAGTCATTCATTTCACAAGTATGTATTGAGCACGTGTGATGTATTGTTCTAGGTGTTACTTAAATGGACAAAAGAGTAAAATAAAACCATAGTATCTAAACTAATTACAGAGTTTCTAAATGTTGGTGACATAGAGGCCTGGGACATTATTTTAGCTCTGTCATGTAGAGATCAATAGTGATAATTTGTTTTGTTCATGATTAATTAGACAGCAATATCATTGATGCTTCTATTCCAGAGCTGAGGCACCTTATGGTGCCAGTAAGGAGGGAAATGCCAGGAAAAAAAGGGTGAGGACAGTCAAAGGGCACAGGAATCAACCTGAAAGAGCTCCTAATGGCCAAAGCTGAAGCAATTTAAGACTTAAAAAAAGTAATGTTGGATTATAACCATAGAATAAACATCCATGAGTCCATACTGATACCAGTAAGTTTTTAAAAATCAGTAAATAAATAAATAAGGAAGAAAGAGCAGCTTTTGCTTATGTGTAGAAGGAATGAGGAAAATAGAAAATCACTGAGAAAAGCACAATAATAATTGTTGGACTCACCAATGAATTCTAAAACTATTCAGCAAAAGTTTGAGGACAAACAGGATATTTGCAGACTCAAGTATGTCCCCCAAAATGTTTATTAATTACAAAGAGAAATATAGTAATTTCAGAGCAGGCAAATCCAAGAGACACCACCTTAACTAGGTGATCAAAGATACTGAGAAGTGACAGCGTGCTGGCAGCCCTCACAGCCCTCGCTCGCTCTGGGTGCCTCCTCGGCCTTGGCACCCACTCTGGCCCTGCTTGAGGAGCCCTTCAGCCCGCCACTGCACTGTGGGAGCCCCTTTCTGGGCTGGCCAAGGCCAGAGCTGGCTCCCTCAGCTTGCAGGGGAGTGTGGAGGGAGAGACGCGAGCTGGAACCAGGGCTGCGCACGGTGCTGGCGGGCCAGCTGGAGTTCCGGGTGGGCGTGGGCTTGGCGGGCCCCGCACTTGGAGCAGCCAGTCGGCGCTGCCGGCTCCGGGCAATGAGGGGCTTAGAACCCAGGCCAATGGCTGCGGAGGGTATGTTGGGTCCCCCAGCAGTGCCGGCCCACCGGCACTGCGCTCGATTTCTCACCGGGCCTTAGCTGCCTCCCTGCGGGGCAGGGCTCAGGACCTGCAGTCCACCATGCCTGAGCCTCCTCCTCCTCCGTGGGCTCCTGTGCGGCCTGAGCCTCCCCGACGAGCGTGGCCCCCCGCTCCACAGCGCCCAGTCCCATCGACCACCCAAGGGCTGAGGAGTGCAGGCGCACGGCGCGGGACTGGCAGGCAGCTCCACCTGCTGCCCTGGTGCTGGATCCACTGGGTGAAGCCAGCTGGGCTCCTGAGTCTGGTGGGGACTTGGAGAACTTTTATGTCTAGCCAAGGGATTGTAAATACACCAATGGGCACTCTGTATCTAGCTCAAGGTTTGTGAATGCACCAATCAGCACCCTGTGTCTAGCTCAGGGTTTGTGAATGCACCAATCAACACTCTGTATCTAGCTATTCGGGTGGGGACTTGGAGAACCTTTGTATGGACACTCTGTATCTAGCTAATCTAGTGGGGACGTGGAGAACCTTTGTGTCTAGCTCAGGGATTGTAAATGCACCAATCAGCACCCTGTCAAAACAGACCACTGGGCTCTCTGTAAAATGGACCAATCAGCAGGATGTGGGTAGGGCCAGATAAGAGAATAAAAGCAGGCTGCCAGAGCCAGCAGTGGCAACCTGCTCGGGTCTCCTTCCACGCTGTGGAAGCTTTGTTCTTTCGCTTTTCGCAAATCCTGCTGCTGCTGCTCACTCTTTGGGTCTGCACTACCTTTATGAGCTGTAACATACGCCGTGAAGGTCTGCAGCTTCACCCCTGAAGCCAGCGAGATCGCAAACCCACCGGGGGGAGCGAACAACTCCAGACGCGCGCCCTTAAGAGCTGTAACACTCACTGCGAAGGGCTGCAGCTTCACTCCTGAGCCAGCGAGACCACGAACCCACCAGAAGGAAGAAACTACGAACACATCCGAACATCAGAAGGAACAAACTCTGGACACGCCGCCTTTAAGAACTGTAGCACTCACCACGAGGGTCCGCGGCTTCATTCTTAAAGTCAGTGAGACCAAGAACCCACCAATTCCGGACACAATGCCATCACCAGTAAGAAGATACATCAACATGATGTTCCCTCAGTAGGATGCAGGGAGAAGGAACAATGCCACCTGTGGTTTCCTGCCCAAAATGAATAGACTCCATCTAACGCCGAGACACACCCACGTTGAGAGATATTCTACGAAATCAGTGACCAGTACTTTTCAACAGTGGCAAAGTCATGAATGACAAGGGAAGACTGAGGGACTGTCACAGGTTTTAGGAGATTAAGGAGACATGACATCTATATGTGATAGTGGGAAAACTGTTGAAGCCCAAATAAAGTCTGCAGCTATGTTAATAGTATAGTACCCATGTCCATTTAGAATTTTTTTTTTTTTTTTTTTTTTTTTTTTTGAGACTTGAGACTCTCTCCATCACCCAGGCTGGAGTGCAGTAGGGCGATCTCGGCTCAGTGCAAGCTCCGCCTCCCAGGTTCACGCCATTCTCCTTCCTTAGCACCCCCTTCCCTCTTCCCCACCCCCCCACCCCCGCCATCAACTGGGACTACAGGCACCCGCCACCACGCCCAGCTAATTTTTTGTGTTTTTAGTAGAGACGGGGTTTCACTGTGTTAGCCAGGATGGTCTCGATCTCCTGACCTTGTGATCCGCCCGCCTTGGCCTCCAAAAGTGCTGGGATTACAGGCGTGAGCCACCGCGCCCAGCCTAGAAAAAAATTTTTTATAGTAAATAATCAAACAAGAATGTACATTTCTTAATTTTAATGTGGTTATACCAGATGTTGATATTGGGGGTAAAGGAGAACTCTACTATCTGCAACTTTTCTGTGAGCCTAAAACTGTTCTTTTTAAAAGCAAGAATACATTTGACGCTCAGTGCAGTGTCTCACACCTGTAATCCCAGCAGTTTGGAAGGGCGAGGGAGGCAGATCACCTGAGGTCAGGAGCCTAGCCAACATTATGAAACCCTGTCTCTACTAAAAATATAAAAACCAGCTGGACATGGTGGCAGGCACCTGCAGTCCTAGCTACTCTGGAGACTGAGGCAGGAGAATCCCTTGAACCCAGGAGATGGAGGTTGCAGTGAGCCGAGATCACTGTGCACTCTGCACTTAACTTTTTCAGAACAAAATACTGTATAAGCCACACTACCCCATACAAAGAACTGTAATTATTTGTAATTCTTATGAACTAGGTATTCATTTGTACAAATCTGGAAAGCCAGTGGGCGACAGAGTGAGACTCCGTCTCAAAAAAAACAAACAAAAAAAGGATACATTTGAAATCAGGTCTATTTTAGATTCCATAGAAAAAGATTTACTTTTAAAGATTCAGAATGGCCGGGTGTGGTGGCTCACACCTGTAATCCCAGCACTTTGGGAGGCCGAGGCAGCCAGATCATGAGGTCAGGAGATCGAGACCATCCTAGCTAACACGGTGAAACCTCGTCTCTACTAAAAGTACAAAAAATTAGCCAGGTGTGGTGGCGGGCGCCTGTAGTCCCAGCTACTCGGGAGACTGAGGCAGGAGAATGGCGTGAACCCAGGAGGCGGAGGTTGCAGTGAGCGGAGGTTGCAGTGAGCCAAGATTGTGCCACTGCACTCCAGCCTGGGCAACAGAGCAAGACTCCCTCTCAAAAAAAAAAAAAAAAAGATTCAGAATGGGCTGGGCGTGGTGGCTCACGCCTGTAATCCCAGCACTTTGGGAGGCCGAGGTGGCAGATCACCTGAGGACCAGCCTGGCTAACATGGTGAAACCCTGTCTCTACTAAAAATACAAAAATTAGCCAGGCATGGCGGCACCCACCTGTAATCTCAGCTACTCAGAAGGCTGAGGCAGGATAATCACTTGAACCTGGGAGGCGGACGTTGCAGTGAGCGGAGATCATGCCATTGCACTCCGGCCTGGGCGACAGAGAGAGACTCCGTCTCAGGAAAAAAAATAAAAAACAAAGATTCAGAATGATCTGGTTTTATAAAGCATGTGTTTATCATGAACTTGGTGTATTTAAGAGCGTAAACCCGTGTGTCTGTGAAAGGCTAAACCGGCTGTCAAGGTAACTGAGCCTTTGTTCTTGCTTTGCCCCTTTCTGACTCAGCATTACCAGGTCATCTTGGCTTTCCAGATTTGTACAAATGAATACCTAGTTCATAAGTATTACAAATGATTACAATTCTTTGTATGGGGGTAATGTGGCTTATACAGTATTTTGTTCTGAAAAACAAAGTAATACAAAAACTAGTCAGTGGTGTGAATTTTGTTTACCTGAAATCAGATGTCATGTTGATCACGTAACTTCTTCTGGCCTAACATTGACGCATTGATATCCTCAGACCAGGTCCAGAGAGGCCACTTCCCATAATACCAGGCTTTCATTACTGGCACCAAATTGGTGGGGAGAAAAAAGAAAGAAGGGATTTCTTTCTACTAAATAAACTCTTAGGACCTTCTGAGAGAAAGGATCAAATCTCAGGTAACCAGAAAGGTCACTGTGATTATGAAAATCATAGCAACCAATGGTTAAGCAGAAATGTAGATGACGCCATTTCTATTGTATCCATGTAACTACTGAGAAGAGTTAAATATTTCCTACTTCTACTGTCTGTGTACTTCTCAAAGAAACCTTTTTTTCAGTTGTTTTTTTTTTTTTTTTGGAGACTGAGTCTTGCTCCGTCGCCCAGGCTGGAGTGCAGTGACACAATCTTGGCTCACTGCAACCTCTGCCTCTCGGGTTCAAGCGATTCTCCCTGCTTCAGCCTCCCGAGTAGCTGGGACTACAAGTGCGTGCCACCGTGCCCGGCCTTTTAGTCTTTTTTAAAAAAAAATTTTGTATTTCCATAGTTTTTTTGGGGGGGAACAGGTGGTGTTTGGTTCCATGAGTAAGTTCTTTCGTGGTGATTTCTGAGATTTTGGTGCACCCACCACCCGAGCAGTGTACACGGAACCCAATTTGTAGACTTTTATCCCTCACCCCCTTCCCACCCTTTCCCCCTGGAGTCCCCACTGTCTATTGTATCATTATTATGCATTTGCGTCCTCATAGCTTAGCTCCCACTTACGAGTGAGAACATACGATGTTTGGTTTTTCCATTCCTGAGTTACTTCACTTAGAATCATAGTCTCCAATCCCATCAAAGTTGCTGGGAATGCCATTAATTCATTCCTTTTTATGGCTGAGTAGTATTCCATCACATATATATACCACAGTTCAAATAAACCTTTATTTTTAAGAATGCTGTATTTCTGGCCAGGCACAGTGACTCACGCCTGTAATCCCAGCACTTTGGGAAGCCAAGGCGGATGGATCACAAGGTCAAGAGTTCAAGACCATCCTAGCCAACATGGTGAAACCCCATCTCTACTAAAAATACAAAAATTAGCCAGGAGTGGTGGCATGTGCCTGTAGTCCTAGCTATTAGGGAAGCTGAGGCAGGAGAATCACTTGAACCCGGGAGGCGGAGGTTGCAGTGATCTGAGATTGCACCACTGCACTCCAGCCTGGGTGACAGAGCGAGACTCTGTCTCAAAAAAAAAAAATTGCTGTATTTCTTAACCAGGCACAGTGGCTCATGTTTGTAATCCTAGCACTTTGGGAGGCCGAGGCAGGCAGATCACTTGAGGCCAGGAGTTCAAGACCAACCTGGCCAACATGGTGAAACCCTGTCTCTACTAAAAATACAAAAATTAGCTGGGCGTCGTGGTACATGCTTGGAATCCCAGCTACTTGGAAGGCTGAGGCATGAGAATCACTTGAACGCAAGAGGTGGAGGTTGCAGTGAGCCAAGATCATGCTACTGCACTCCAGCCTGGGTGATGGAGTGACACTCTGTCTCAAAAAGAAAAAAAAGAAAAATGCTGTATTTTTAACAACATGTGCTATGTGTTCTTTCTTGGTCTATGAATAATAACCCTTATTGTGTAGGGAAAATGTGGCTGCAGCCAGGGTCACCATCGACACTTGTGCATACTGTGCACTACAAAATGCACCCAGCTGAGGGACAAGTAGGGGCTGACATCTGTCTTCCTCTCTGCTCCCCACGCTGCATGCCTGTGGGGCTGTAACTACCCAGAGGAATGCATGTCTTTTTCTAATTACACAAAGGTGCCAACTGGCTGTTAGCTCTACTCGTAGGTGTAGTGTATGTGTAATGGACTGGATCAGCAAATTGAGAGAGAGATTACAAGTTCAGTGCAGCAAAAGGCATTGTGGTGATCTATTTGAAATTCTTTACCATATTATGAAAAATATTCCTCTCTAAATCTAGTGTTTTCATTGAAAAATTCATACTCTCTGCCATACCAGAAACCTACTGTCACTACTCACATATTCTTCAGAAATTTCCTGAATACATCCAAATATATATTTTTGTACACACACACAGCCACAGCCACACATATATTCATTTATGCAAATGGAAGTTTGCTATTTTATCCCTTGTTTTTTTAAAAACTTCAAGATTTTTATTATTGTGGTAAAATATATATAACATAAACTATATCATTTTAATAATTTTTAAAGGGTAAAATTCAATAGCATTAAGGACATTTACATCATTTGTGAAACTCTCATCACTATCTCCACAACTCTTTCATTCCAAACTGAAACTCTGTACCCATTAAACAATAACTCCTAATCCCTCCACTCCATCCACCACTGTTTTTCTTTCTGTCTCTATTAATTAGTGGCAGAATTTACTTTCTGCCACTACATACCTCATATAAGTAGAATCACACAATATTTGTCCTTTTGTATCTGCCTTATTTCAGTTAGCATAATGTCTTTGAGGTTCATTCATGTTGTGGGATGTATCCGAATTTCATTTTTTTTTCAGGCTGAGTAATATTCTATTGCATGTATATAACACATTTTATTTATCCATTCACCTGTCAATCAACACTTGAGCTGCTTATACCTTGTGGCTATTGTGAATAATGGTGCTGTGAACAGGGGTGTATGAATATCTATTCAAGTTCCTGGTTCCAAGTTTCGGGGTACATATCCAGAAATCATATGGTAATTCCAGCTTTAATTTTTTCAGGAGCCACCATACTGTTTTCCACAGCATCTGCACCATTTTACATTTCTACCAACCAACAATGAACAAATCTAATTTGCTCACATCTTCACCAACACTTGTATTTTGTTAGTAGTCATCCTAATCAGTGTGATGTAATACATCTTTGCGGTTTTTATTTGAATTTCTCTAATGATTAGCAATGTCAAGCATCGTTTCAGGTATTAATTGTGGCTATTTGTGTATCTTCTTCAGAGACATGTTTACTAAAATCTTTTATCCATTTTTTACTTGGGTTGGCTTTTGAGTTTTAGGCATTTATTATATATTCTGGACATTAATCCCTTGTCAGATATATGGTTTACAAATATTTTCTCCCATTCTGTCAGTTGTCTTTTCACTCTGTTGATAGCATACTTTCATGCACAGAAGTTTTAAATTTTGGGCCGCGTTTAGTGGCTTATGCCTGTAATCCCAGCACTTTGGGTGGCTGAGATGGGAGGTCAAGGGTTCAAGACCAGCTTGGTCAACATAGCAAGATGCCCATCTCTATAAAAAGAAATAAAAAAGAATTTAAAAAAACCAAAAAAATAAATTTTTAATTTTGATGAATCCCAATTCGTCTACTTTTTCTTTTCCTTCTTTCCTTCCTTTCTTTCTCTTTCTTGCTTCCATTTCTTTTCTTTCTTTCTTTCTCCTTCCTTCCTTCCTTCTTTCCTTCCTTTCTTTCTCTTTCTTGCTTCCATTTCTTTCCTTCCTTCCTTCCTTTTTTTCTTTCCTGAGACAGAAAGGGTCTCACTGTGTTGTCCAGGCTGGAGTGCAGTGGTATGATCTCAGCTCACTGCAACTTCTGCCTCCCAGGCTCAAGCCTGATGTCATGTCCAGAAGCACAAACAACTAAATCATTACCAAATCTAATGTCATGAAGCTTCCCCCCTATGTTTTATTCTAAGAGTTTTAGCCCTTAAATTCAGGCCTTTGATCAATTTGATTTAATTTTTGTACAGGTACACCTGAGAGATACAGCAGATTCGGTTCCAGACCACTCTAATAAAGCGAATATTAAAATAAAGCCAGGGACAAAAAGTTTTTGGTTTCCCAGTGTATATAAAAGTTATGTTTATACTACCCTGTAGTCTATTAAGTGTGCAATAGCATTACAATGAAAATGTAATACCTTAATGAAAAAATACCTTATTGCTAAAAAATGCTAATGATTGTCTTAGGCTTCAGTGAGTTGTACTATTTTTGCTGGTGGTCTTGCTTCAATGTTCATGGCTGCTGACTGATTAGGGTGGTGGTTGCTGAAGTCTGGGGTGTCTGTGCAATCTCTTAAAATAAGACAACAGTGAAGTTTGCCACATTGATTGGCTCTTCCTTTCACAAAAGATCTCTCTGTAGCATGCGATGCATTTGGCAGCATTTTACCCACAGTAAAACTTCTTTCGACACTGGAATCAGTCCCCTCAAACCCTGTTGCTGTTTTCCCAAGTAAGCTTATGTAAGATTCCAAATCCTTTGTTATTTCAACAATTCACAGCATCTTCACCAGGAGTAGATCCTATCTCAAGAAAAACCACTTTCTTTGCTCATCCACAAGAAACAACTCTTCATTTGTTCAAATTTTATGATGAAATTACAGCAACCCAGTCACATCTTCAGGCTCCTCTTCTAATTCTAGTTCTCTTGCTGTTTCCACAACATGCACAGTGGCTTCCTCCACTGAAGTCTTGAACCGCTCAAAATCCTTCATGATGCTTGGAATCAACTTCTTCCAAACTCCTGTGAATGTTGATATTTTGACCTCCTCCCATGAATCGCAGATTTTTTTTTTTGATTTTTTTTTTTTTTGAGTCTTGCTCTCACCTAGCCTGGAGTGCAGTGGCGCGATCTCGGCTCACTGCAGCCTCCACGTTCTGGGTTCAAGGGATTCTCATGCCTCAGCCGCCCTCATAGCTGGGATTACAGGTGCCCACCACCACGCCCGGCTAATTTTTGTATTTTTAGGAGAGACATGCGGTTTCACCATGTTGGCCAAGCTGGTCTTGAACTCCTGACCTTGAGTGATCCACCCGCCTTGGTTTCCCAAAATGCTGGGATTACAGGCATGAGCCATCGTGCCCAGCCAGAATCACAGATGTTCTAAATGGCATCCAGAATGGCCTGATTTCAGTATTGTTGTGTCTGAGGGAATAAGGAAGCCTGACGTGAGTACAGAGAGATGGGAAATGGCCTATTGGTTGAGTAATCAGGTGCCTCAAAACAATTAACAATGGTAACATCAAATATCATTGATCATAAATCACCATTAACAGATATAACAATAATGAAAAAGTTTGAAATATTGCAAGAATTGCCAAAATGTGACACAGAGACACGAAGTGAGCACATGCTGTTGGAACACATCCCTGATAGATTTGCTTAATGTAGAGTTGCCACAAATCTCCAATTTGCAAAGAATGCCATATATGCAAAGTGCAGTAAAGCGAAATGCAGTAAAATGAGGTATGCCTGTATATGGTATAAGAAAAAGATCTAATTTGACACTTTTGCATGTAGATATCCGGTTTTCCTGGCATCTCTCCATTGAATGGCCTTGGCATCCATGTCAAAAATTGTTTGACCATATATGTGAGTGTTTAAATCTGGGCTCTCTATTCCATTGGTTTATAGGTTTGTATATCTGTCTTTATGCTGGTACCATACTGTTCACACTACTATAGCTTTGTAGTAAGTTTTAAAACCAGCTTTGGTCCTTCTTTTTGAAGATTATTTTGGCTATTAGACATCCCTTGAAATTCCATATGAATTAAAGATGGATTTTTTCTATTTCTGCAAAAACTATCATTGGGATTTCAACAGGGATTGCATTGAATCTGTAGACTGCTTTTGGAAGTACTGATGTCTTCACAATATTACATTTTCCAATCTATGAACCTGGGTTGTCTTTCTATTGATTTATGTCTTCTTTAATTTCTTCCAAAATATTTTGTAGTCTTCATTGTACCAGTCTTTCACCTCCTGTATTAGGTTAATTCCTAAGCATTTTATTATTTTTTTTGATACTGCTGTAAATGAAATTGTTTTCTAAATTTCCTTTTCAGATTGTTGGTTTTTTGGGTTTTTGGTTTGTTTTGTTTTTCCTTTGAGACAAATTCTCATTCTGTTGCCCAGGCTGGAGTGCAGTGGCACGATCTGGGCTCACTGCAACCTCTGCCTCTTAGGATCAAGTGATTCTCATGCTTCAGCCCCCTGAAGCTACTACTTAGCTCTCGAGTAGTCCTGAGCTGAGACTACAGGCATGCACCACCACGCTTGGCTAATTTTTTTTGTATCTTTAATAAAGACGAGGTTTCACCATGTTGGCCAGGATGGTCTTGAAGTCCTGACCTCAATCCACCCGCCTTGGCCTCCCAAAGTGCTGGAATTACAGGTGTGAGCCACTGTGTTCTGACACTTGTTCATTGTTAATGCATAGAAACACAACTGATTTTTGCATGTTGATTTTGTATCCTGCTCTATCCTTTGCTTTTAAAAATATATGTATTGGGATTTTCCCTTACAATCAATATTTTGAGATACTTCATTGTGCCCTCGATAGCATTCTATTATGCGGGTATTCTAGATTGGTCTTCATTCTACAGCCCACAGAACAAAGCTGGCCCATTGCCTGTTTTTGTACCTAAGCTGAAAGTGGTTTTATAATTTTTAAATTATTGCATTTTAAGCAGTACATATATAACCTTTATCTTGTTTCTTGACCATAAAACCTAAAATACTTATTATTGGCCCATCAAGAAAAAGTATATTAATCCCCATTCTGGAACATACTTAGCCAGTCTCTTGTTGAAATTTTATTTGAATTGTTTCTAATTTCAGGCTTTTTTTTTTTTTAAGAGATAGATCTTGCTATGTTGACCAGGCTGGTCTCGAACTCCTGGCCTCAAGTGATCCTCCCACCTTGGCCTCCCAAAGTGCTGGGATTACAGGTGTGAGCCACCGCACCTGGCCCTAATCTCATGGTATTCTAAGCAATATTTTAGTAATGTTCATCAAATTTTGCCCTCAAGGATATCTGTAGGGTAAATCCCTAGTAGAGGAATAATTGCTGGATCCACACATGTGCATTTTTATTTTGGAGAGTTAATGCCACAAGTCCCCTGAAGGAAATCACAGCCACTCTCCTCTCATCAGCAGTGCATTTCCTATGTGCTTACAGTGTGAATTACTGATTTTTACACTTTTATTGTCTCATTGTTGGAATTTCCATTTATTTAATTGTAAGTTAGGCTGAGCACCTTTTAATAAAAAGGTATATCTATATGTTCCTGTTTTTTGCTCCTTTTTTCTTTCACATGGTTGTGGGTCAGGATAAGTAAGGTTAGGAGGCCATGCTGACTTGCTTCCTTGCGTGAAGCCCTGTGGGCTTCTTTTGCAGTGGGCTTCTTTCGTTTGCACCCTTGCATGTTAGCACCTAACTCTTTGCAAGGTAGCAAAAGAGCTACCAGTCTCTGATGCCCAATATGGCTGGGAAAAGCCCCTTTCTCATGATGTAGCTTCCCCAGTCTCCAGCCAATCATCACCAAAAGCCCAAGAAGCTATTAGCTACAAATTCCTGCTTTGAGGAGATAGGGACTTCTCTGGGGTCCCACATGCACGGCTAGACTCAAGGTTTAGCTTACAGTGACCTTTTCCTCAATTTAATAGTAAAAAAGACACCCCTAGGTGGAAACTTTTTATGCTTTTGATACATGTGACAAGTGTTAGAGCATGTAGACAGCAAGTGCATGCGCCAACCGCTGGTCCTCCTTTGCATACTTGACCTTACCAGTATTTTATGAATAGGTATGAACTACTACCCTAAAGGGAATTTCCCTTAAGGCACTAGCTGCCGTCTCTCCTTTTAAGCAGCCTGCTCTGCCTCTCACAATGTACTTTGCGCTTTGCAATAAACTTTTTTGCTTACTCTTACTTTGGATTTGCTGTCAATTTCTTTTGTGTGATGAAGTCAAGAACCTGATCCGGCCCACTGACAACAGTTGAATTATTGATAGTCACTAGCTATTTTTGTTTCTAATAATAATTCTTTATATATTAAGGCAAACTGAGCTTTTGTCATATGAGTATCAAATGTTTTTTTCCCAAGTTTGTCATTTAAAAAATTGTTTAAGTCCGTATTTACCCTAAAAGTGTTATATGCACATGAATATAGTCATCTTTTCCTTTATGGCTTCTGGGTTTTATGTCTTACATGAAAATTTCTTCCCTATTTGAAGATGATTAAAAAAAACTTCATGTTTTCTTTTGGTTCTTATATGTTTTTAAAGTACTTTAATCCATCTGGCATTGACTTTGGTATATGGAGTAAAGGATGGCTCTGGCTGGTAGTCAGCTGTCCCAAAGCCATTTCGTGAATAATCTATCTTTTTTTTCACTGCTTTAAAATGCCATCTTTCCATATGTATTTAGGTTTACTTTTCAGCACTCTAATTTGTTCCACTGATCTAGCTATACATTCATTCATGTACTATTTCACGCTTCCTTAATTAAGTATAGTTTTATAATGCCTTTTATCATTTGGAAAAATTAGTCTTTATTAGCCTTCTTCTGTAGAGTTTTCTTGGCTATTTTTTCTATGAAATTCAGAATCAGCTTGTCTAATTAAAAAGTTGGTATTTAATTGAAATTGCATTAAATTTTTAGATAAATTCAAAGAAAAACTGTATTGTTAGTTCTTCCTATTAAAAACCAGGGTGTATACTGCTATTTATTCAGGGTTTTTTCTTTGCTAGCTAGAGCTTTAAAGTTTTGGTTTATATAAATTAATTTTAACTGAGTTTATTCCTAGGTATTTTTTCTTTTCTGGGTATTATGAGTAAGATTTTTCTTTTTTATGTTTTCTAACAGATTTTTTGTCCATCAAAAATGATTGTATTTTGATCTTTGGAGAAAAATGATGGATAGGAGACAGGACTAACTTGTAGCTCCCATTCAGATGGACAGAGCAACATGTGGAGACTCACACTGTGGACTTTTGCTCCAAAACCTACCACAGGAACATACCAGGAAAGCCAAGAGAATCCACAGAACCTTTGAAGGAAACTGATTGCTGCTGCAGGTCCCTGGAGACAACGGAAAAAACTCCGAAGACAAAGGACATAATCTCTTGGGAGCTCTAGGGCCCTGCTCACCTCCTGATCCTCCCTACATTACTGCAGCTAATGCTGTCTTGAAAGTACCACCTCCTGGCTGGAGGCCAATCAACACAAAACTAGCACAACAAACAAAAATACAACCAAGACCCTCACAGAGTCCACTTCGCTCCCCTGCTACCTCCACCAGAGCAGGTGCTGGTATCCACAGCTGAGAGACCTGAAGACATCACATCACAGGACTCTGTGCAGACACTCCAGTACCAGTCTGGAGCCCAGTAGCTCCACTAGTTGTCTAGATCCAGAAGAGAAATAACAATCACTGCAGTTTGGCTGTCAGGAAGCCATATCCCTGGGGGAAGGGGGAGAGCACCACATCAAGGGAGCACCCCATGGGACAAAAGAATCTGAACAGCAACACTCGAACTCCAGATCTTCCCTCTGACATAGTCTACCCAAATGAAAATGAAACAGAAAAACAATCCTGGTAATAGGACAAAACAAGGTTCTTTAACACCCCCAAAAGATCACACTAGCTCACCAGCAATGGATTCAAACCAAGAAGAAATCTCTGAATTGCCAAAAAAAGAATTCAGAAGGTCGATTATTAAGCTAATCAAGGAGGCACCAGAAAAAGGTGAAGTCCAACTTAATGAAATCAAAAAAATGATACAAGATATGAAGGGAAAAATCTTCAGTGAAATAGACAGAGTAAATAAATAACAGTCACAACTTCTAGAAATGAAGGAGATACTTAGAGAAATGCAAAATGCACTGGAAAGTCTCAGCAATAGAACCAAACAAGTAGAAGAAAGAACTTCAGAGCTTGAAGACAAGGCTTTCCTATTAACCCAATCTAACAAACACAAAGAAAAAAGAATTCAAAAATGAACAAAGCCTCCAAGAAGTTTGTTGGTCTTGAGGAAGAAGAGAAATCTAAAAGTCTGGAAAGCATGTGTGAGGGAATAATTGAGGAAAACTTCCCTGGCCTTGCTAGAGATCTATACACCTAAATACAAGAAGCTCAAAGAACACCTGGGAGATTTATGGCAAAAAGAGCATCACTTAGGCACATAGTCATCAGGTTATCTAAAGTCAAGATGAAGGAAAGAATCTTAAGAGCTGTAAGGCAAAAGCATCAGGTAACCTGTAAAGGAAAACCTATCAGATTAACAGCAAATTTCTCAGCAGAAACCCTACAAGCTGGAAGGAATTGGGGCCCTATCTTTAGCCTCCTTAAACAAAACAATTATCACCCAAGAATTTTGTGTCCAGTGAAACTAAGCTTCATAAATGAAAAAAAAAGATACACCTTTTTTCAGACAAACAAATGCTGAGAGAATTCACCACTACCAAGCCAGCACTACAAGATCTGCTAAAAGGAGCTCTAAAGCTTAAAACACATCCTCAAAATACACCAAAATAGAGCCTCCTTTTTTTCTTTTTTTTTTTTTTTTGAGACAGTCTTGATCTGTCGCCCAGGCTAGAGTGCAGTGGTGCTATCTTGGCTCACTGCAAGCTCCACCTCCTGGGTTCATGCCATTCTCCTGTCTCAGCCTCCTGAGTAGCTGGGACTACAGGTGCCCGCCACCATGCCTGGCTATTTTTTTTTTGTATTTTTAGTAGAGATGGGGTTTCACCGTGTTAGCCAGGGTGATCTCAATCTCCTGACCTCGTGATCTGCCTGCCTCAGCCTCCCAAAGTGCTGGGATTACAGGCGTGAGCCACTGCACCCGGCCAATAGAGCCTCCTTAAAGCATAAATCTCACAGGACCTATGGAACAAAAACACAATAAAAAAAAAAAAAAACCCCAAGGTATTCAGGCAACAAAATTGCTTGATGAATAGAATAGTACCTCACATGTCAATACTAACATTGATTGTAAATGGCCTAAATGCTCCACTTAAAAGACACAGAAACAAACAAAACAAAAACAAACACAAACAAAAGATACAGAATGGCAGAATGGATAAGAATTCACCAACCAAGTATCTGCTGTCTTCAAGAGACTTACCTAACACATGAGAACTCACATAAACCTAAGGTAAAGCAGTGAAAAAGATATTTCATGCAAATGGACACCAAAAGCAAACATGAGTTCACTTAAGATATAAGCTATTCTTATATCAAAAAAAACAAACTTGAAAGCAACATCAGTTAACGAAGACAAAGAGGGCCTAGACAAAGAGGGCCTAATGGCCCCTTTTATCATGATAAAAGGACTTGTCCAACAGGAAAATATCACAATCCTAAATATATACGCAAATAACACTGGAGCTCTTAAATTTATAAAACAATTGTTACTAGACTTAAGAAATGAGATAGACAGCAACACAATAATAGTGGCGGATTTCAATACTCCACTGACAGCACTAGAGAGGTTATCAAGACAGAAAGTCAACAAAGAAACAATGGATTAAAACTATACCCTAGAACAAATGGACTTAACAGATATTTATAGAACATTCTACGAGCAACTGCAGAATATACATTTTATTCATCAGCACATGGAACATTCTGTAAGATAGACCATATGATAGGCCACAAAACAGTCTCAACAAATTTAAGAAAATCTTTTTTTTTTTTTTTTTTAACAGAGTCTGACTCTATTGCCCAGGCTGGAGTACAGTGGTGCAATCTTGGCTCACTGCAACCTCTGCCTCTTGGGTTCAAGTGATTCTCATGCCTCAGCCTCCTAAGTAGCTGGGATTACAGACACCTGCCACCACACCTGGCTAATTTTTGTATTTTTAGTAGCGATGGGGTTTCTCCATGTTGGCCAGGCTGGTCTCGAACTCCTGACCTCAAGTGATCTGCCTGCCTCAGCCTCCCAAAGTGCTGGGATTACAGGCATGAGCCACCATGCCCGGCCAAGAAAATCAAAATTATATCAAGTACTCTCTCAGACCACAGTGGAAAAAAATTGGAAATCAACTCCAAAAGGAACTTTCAAAACTATGCCAACACATGGAAATTAAATAACCTGCTCCTGAGTGATCGTTGGGTCAACAATGAAATCAAAATGGACGTTAAAAAATTCTTTGAACTGAACGGTAATAGCGACATAACCTATCAAAACCTCTGGGCTACAGCAAAGACGGTGCTAAGAGGAAAGTTCATAGCCTTGAATGCCTGCATCAAAAAGTCTGGAAGAGAACACATAGACAATCTGAGGTCACACCACACATAACTGGAGAAACAAGAACAAACCAACCCCAAACTCAGCAGAAGAAAAGAAATAACAAAGATCAGAGCAGAACTAAATGAAATTGAAACAAAAAATACAAAAGATAAATGAAACAAAAAGCTTGTTCTTTGAAAATATAAATAAAATTGATAGACCATTACCAAGATTAACCAAGAAAAGGAGAAGATCCAAATAAGCTCAATTAGAAATGAAACAGGAGATATTAAAACCAATACCATAGAAATACAAAAGCTAATTCAAGGCTACTATGAACACCTTTACACACATAAACTAGAAAACCTAGAGGAGATAGATAAATTCCTGGAAATATACAATTCTCCTAGATTAAACCAGGAAGAAATAGAAACTCTGAACAGACCAATAACCAGCAGTGATATTGAAATGGTAATTTAAAAATTGTCAACAAAAAGAAGTCCAGTACCAGACAGATTCACAGCTGAATTCTATCAGACATTCAAAAAAGAATTGGTACCAATCCTATTGACACTATTCCACAACACAGAGAAAGAGGGAACCCTCCCTAAACCATTCTATGAAGCCAGTATCACCCTAATATCAAAACCAGGAAAGGACATAACAAAGAAAAAGAAAACTACAGACCAATATCCCTGATGAACATAGATGCAAAAATCCTCAACAAAATACTAGCTAACAAAATCCAACATCATATCAAAAAGATAATCCACCACGACCGAGTGGGTTTCACACCAGAGATGCAGGGTTGGTTCAACATGCACAAGTCAATAAATGAGATATACGTAAACAGAATTAAAAACAAAAATCACATGGTCATCTCAATAGACACAGAAAAATTATTTGACAAAATCCAGCATCCCTTTATCATTAAAACCCTCAGCAAAATCGGCATAGAAGGGACATACCATAAGGCCATAAAAGCCTTCTACAACAAATCCACAGCCAACATAATACTGAACAGGGGAAAATTGAAAGCATTCTCCCCGAGAACTGAAACAAGACAGGGAATGCCCCCTCTCATCACTTGTATTCAATATAGTACTGGAAGTGCTAGTCAGAGCAATCAGACAAGAGAAAGAAATAAAGGGCACCCAAACTGGTTTTAAAAAAGTCCAACTGTCACTATTTGCTGATGATATGATCATATACCTAGAAAACCCTGAAGACTTCTCCAAAAAGCTCCTAGAACTGATAAATGAATTCAGCAAAGTTTCAGGATACAAAATTAGTGTACACAAATCAGTAGCTCTGTTACACACAGCAACCAAGCTGAGAATCAAATCAAGAACTCAACCCCTTTTACAACAGCTGCAAATAAAATAAAATAAAATACTTGGGATATACCTAACCGAGGAGGTGAAAGACCTCTACAAGGAAAACTACAAAACACTACTGAAAGAAATCATAAACAACACAAACAAATGGAAACACATCCCGTGCTCACAGATGGGTACAATCAATGTGAAAATGACCATACTGCCAAAAACAATCAACAAATTCAATGCAATTCCCATAGAAATTACACCAGCATTCTTCACAGAACTAGAAAAAAATAATTCTAATGTAGACCAATGAACAGAAGAGAAAACTCAGAAATAAAACCAAGTACCTACAGCCAACTGATCTTTGACAAAGCAAACACAAACAGTCGAGAAAGGACACCCTAGTCAACAAGTGGTGCTGGGATAATTGACTAGCCACAGGTAGAAGAGTGAAACTGGATCCTCATCTCTCACCTTATACAAAAATCAACTCAAGATAGATCAAAGATTTAAATCTAAGACCTGAAACCTTAAAAATTCTAGAAGATAATATCAGAAAAATCCTTCTAGATATTGGCTTAGGCAAAGACTTCATGACCAAGAACCCAAAAGCAAATGCAACAAAAACAAAGATAAATAGATGGGACTTAATTAAACTAAAAAGCTTCTGCACAGCAAAAGAAACAATTAGCAGAGTAAATAGTCAACACACAGAATGGGAGAAAATCTTCACAATCCATACATCCAGCAAAGGACTAATACCCAGAATCTACAAGAAACTCAAACAAATCAGCAAGAAAAAGAAAACAATCCATATCAAAAAGTGGGCTAATGACATGAATAGATAATTCTCAAAAGAAGATAAACAAATGGCTAACAAGCATATAAAAAATGCTCAGCATCACTAATGATCAGGGAATTGCAAATCAAAACAACAGTGAGATACCACCTTACTCCTACAAGAATGGCCATAATCAAAAAATTAAAAAAAATTGATGTTAGCATAGATGTAGTGAAAAGGGAACACCTTTACACTGCTGGTGGGAATGTAAACTACTACAACCACAATGGAAAAAAGTATGGCGATTCCTTAAAGAACTAAAAGTAGAACTACCATTTGATCCAGCAATCCCACTACTGGGTTTCTGCCCAAAGAAAAAGAAGTCATTATATGAAAAAGATACTCACACACATATGTTTACAGCAGCACAATTCGCAATTGTAGAACTATGGAACCTGCCCAAATACCCATCAACCAATGAGTGGATAAAGAAACTGTGGTATATATATGTATATGTATGTATATATATATATATGTATGTATATATATGTGTGTATGTATATGTGTGTGTGTGTATATATATATGTGTGTGTATATATATGTGTATATATATATATCCATATCCAGCAGCGGCTGGGTCTGAGTGAGAGTAATTAAGGAGGTGGAATTGGCTAAAATTGAATGAGCGTTTACTACGTGTCTGGGAGTCAGTGCTTTAAGCCCAGCCAGCCTAGGATCATTTCCATCTTTTACAAATGAAGGAAACTGGGCTCCGATAAAGTACAATATGTGCCCAGGTTCCCTGGTCTGCAGGTGATGGAGGCAGTTTTGGGACTTTGAGAGAAGGCGTGAAGAAAGGCTTCAGCTTTGGGGGGCTGTCATGAAGCAGGAGAGCCAGCAGGAGCAGGGGAGGAGATATAGGACCGGAGATGAAGATTTCCGCTCAGCATATGCTGCGCAGAAAGTCTGGCCGGCAGATGACTCCGCAGGTCTGGGCCAGGAGTGAGCCTGGGCCGCAGTTGGAGATTTGGGACACCTCCTTAATTTCCTGCCTTAAAGCCTTCACCCAGCAGTGAGGTCTCTGCTAGGACTGAGACCTCCCAATCCCAGCTCTGTCCTTTCTGGAGCCTCAAGAATGGCTAATTCAAGGATTGGGTGTCATCGTTCCCCCCAGCTAGTGTGAGTTGAACTTCACCACCCCAGGCCATTTCCCCTTGAACATGCTGGTCCCTCTGCCAGATTGGTCCCCCTCATTGATTGCACCCAGCCTGACCACTCTGCCACTTACTAGCTGGGAGACCTCGGTCAACTGACCAATTTAACTTGTCTGTGCCTCAGTCTCTGCATCTGTAATGGGAATGCGAATGATACCTGCCCGAGGGTTGTTATGAGGATTACATTTCTATTATTTTAAATTATTATTATTTTAATTAAATATTAGTACACATGTAATTGCTATTTAAATGTTGCTAAGTAAGAAAATGCAACTAGAGATTTTTGTATGGGGCATACTACGAGCATTAAGAAAGAAGGTCAATTTTATTTGGAAGTTGGAAAGGGATCAAGAAAGAAATTATTCTTGGGCTCCGTCTGCCCTCACCTCCTTGCTGTGGCCAGTTAGTCTCAGGGCTTGGCTTCTGTTTGATAGTCTAGTGTGCTGTGGTGAAGCGGTTGTGTGCTAATTCTAATTTCTTTACGTTCTTCCCCCAAAACCAGATATGTCAGGTCTTTTTTTGTCATTAATTTTTAAAATTTTTATTTATTAATTTATTTTTGAGACAGGGTCTCGCTCTGTTGCCCAGGCTGGAGTGCAGTGATATGATCATGGCTCACTGCAGCCTCAGGTGCCTGGGCTCAAGCAATCCTCTAGCCTCAGCCTCCTGAGTAGCTGGGATCACAGGTGTGTGCCACCACACTCAGCTAATTTTCTTATTATTTTTAGAGATGGGGTCTTGTTGTGTTGGCCAGGCTGGTCTTGAACTCCTGGGCTTCAGTGATCCTCCTGTTTCTGCCTCCTAAAGTGTGGGGATTACAGACATGAGCTCACAGCAAAATTGAGAAAAAGATACAAAGATTTCCCATATACACACCACGCTCGCACATGCAAAGCCTCCCCCATTATTAACATCCCCCACCAGAGTCGCACATTTGTTCATTATAACCAATGAACCTACACTGACCATCATTATCACCCACAGGCCATAGTTTACATTAAGGTTCTCTCTTGGTGTACATTCTGCAGGTTTGGACAAATGTATAATGACACGTACCCACCATTACAGGATCACACAAAGTAGTTTCACTACCCTAAAAATCCTCTGTGCTCCATCAAAAAGCTTATCCACCATGATCAAATGGGCTTCATCCCTGGGATGCAAGGCTGGTTCAATATACGCAAATCAATAAATGAAATCCAGCATATAAACAGAACCAAAGACAAAAACCACATGATTATCTCAATAGATGCAGAAAAGGCCTTTGACAAAATTCAACAGCCCTGCATGCTAAAACTCTCAATAAATTAGGTATTGATGGGATGTATCTCAAAACAATAAGAGCTGCTTATGAAAAACTCACAGCCAATATCGTACTGAATGGGCAAAAACTGGAAGCATTCCCTTTGAAAACTGGCACAAGAGAGGGATGCCCTCTCTCACCACTCCTATTCAACGTAGTGTTGGAAGTTCTGGCCAGGGCAATCAGGCAGGAGAAAGAAATAAAGGGTATCCAATTAGGAAAAGAGGAAGTCAAATTGTCCCTGTTTGCAGATGACATGATTGTATATTTAGAAATCCCCATCGTCTCAGCCGAAAATCTCCTTAAGCTGATAGGCAACTTCAGCAAAGTCTCAGGATACAAAATCAATGTGCAAACATCACAAGCATTCTTATACACCAATAACAGACAAACAGAGAGCCAAATCATGAGTGAACTCCCATTCACAATTGCTTCAAAGAGAATAAAATACCTAGGAATCCAACTTAAAGAGATGTGAAGGACCTCTTCAAGGAGAACTACAAACCACTGCTCAACAAAATAAAAGAGAACACAAACAAATGGAAGAACATTCCATGCTCATGGATAGGAAGAATCAATATTGTGAAAATGGCCACACTGCCCAAGGTAATTTATAGATGCAATGCCATCCCCATCAAGCTACCAATGGCTTTCTTCACGGAATTGGAAAACACTACTTTAAAGTTCATATGGAACCAAAAAAGAGCCCACATTGCCAAGTCAATCCTAAGCCAAAAGAACAAAGCTGGAGGCATCATGCTACCTGACTTCAAACTATACTACAAGGCTACAGTAACCAAAAGAGCATGGTACTGGTACCAAAACAGAGATATAAACCAATGGAACAGAACAGAGCCCTCAGAAATAATACCACACATCTACAACCATCTGATCTTTGACAAACCTGACAAAAACAAGAAATGGGGAAAGGAGTCCCTATTTAATAAATGGTGCTGGGAAAACTGGCTAACCATATGTAGAAAGCTGAAACTGGATCCCTTCCTTACATCTTATACAAAAATTAATTCAAGATGGATTAAAGACTTACATGTTAGACCAAAAACCATAAAAACCCTAGAAGAAAACCTAGGCAATGCCATTCAGGACACAGGCATAGGCAAGGACTTAATGTCTAAAACACCAAAAGCAATGGCAACAAAAGCCAAAATTGACAAATGGGATTTAATTAAACTAAAGAGCTTCTGCACAGCAAAAGAAACTACCATCAGAGTGAACAGGCAACCTACAGAATGGGAGAAAATTTTTGCAATCTACTCATCTGACAAAGGGCTAATATCCAGAATCTACAAAGAACTCAAAGAAATTTACAAGAAACAAAAACAACCCCATCAAAAAGTGGGTGAAGGATATGAACAGACACTTCTCAAAAGAAGACATTTATGCAGCCAACAGACACATGAAAAAATGCTCATCATCACTGGCCATCAGAAAAATGCAAATCAAAACCACAATGAGATACCATCTCACACCAGTTAGAATGGTGATCATTCAAAAGTCAGGAAAGGACAGGGGCTGGAGAAGATGTGGAGAAATAGGAACACTTTTACACTGTTGGTGGGACTGTAAACTGATTCAACCATTGTGGAAGACAGTGTAGTGATTCCTCAAGGATCTAGAACTAGAAATACCATTTGACCCAGCCATCCCATTACTGGGTATATACCCAAAGGATTATAAATCATGCTGCTATAAAGACACATGCACACGTATGTTTATTGCAGCACTATTCACAATAGCAAAGACTTGGAACCAACCCAAATGTCCATCAATAATAGACTGGATTAAGAAAATGTGGCACATATACACCATGGAATACTATGCATCCATGAAAAAGGATGAGTTCATGTCCATTGTAGGGACATGGATGAAGCTGGAAACCATCATTCTTAGCAAAGTATTGCAAGGACAGAAAATCAAACACCATATGTTCTCACTCATAGGTGGGAATTGAACAATGAGAACGCTGGACACAGGAAGGGGAACATCACACCCGGGGGCCTGTCGTGGGGTGGGGGGAGGGGGGAGGATAGCATTAGGAGATATACCTAATGTAAATGACAAGTTAATGGGTGCAGCACACCAACATGGCACATGTATACATATGTGACAAACCTGCACGTTATGCACATGTACCCTAGAACTTAAAGTATAATTTAAAAAAATCCTCTGTGCTCCACGTATTTATTCTTCTCCTCCCAACCCCTGGCAACTACTGATCATTTTACTGCTGCCTTTTCCAGAATGTCACATAGTTGGAATCATATAGTGTATAGCTTTTTCAGATTGATTTCCTTCACTTAGTCATAGGCATTTAAGTTTCCTCCACGTCTGTTCATGGCTTGCTAGCTCATTTCTTTTTAGCACTGAATAATATTTCATTGTCTGGATGAACTACAGTTGATTTATCCATTCACCTACTGAAGGACGTCTTGGTTGGTTCCCAGTTTTGGCAGTTATGAACAAAGCCACTATAAAATCTGTGTGCAGGTTTTTGTGTGTACGTAAGTTTTCAACTCCTTTGAGTAAATACCAAAGAGCACGACTGCTGGATAAAATGGTAAGAATATTTTTAATTTTGTAAGAAACTGCCAAACTGTCTTCCAAAGTGGCTGTATCATTTTGCATTCCCACAAAAATTCATTTGTGTTGTAACGAATGAGAGTTCCTGTCACTCCACAACTTCATCAACATTTGGTGTTGTCAGAGTTCTGGATTTTGTGGATTTGGGTCATTTAATAGGTGTATAGTGGTATCCCACCACTGTTTTAATCACATTTCTCTAATGATGTATGATGTCCTCTGTTGATGGACATTTGGGTTGTTCCCAGTTTGAGGATGGTACAAAAAGAAATGCTGAAAACATTCCTGCAGGTATTTTTGGTGGTCCTATGCACTCATTTTGCTTCAGTATACACATAGAAGTGTGAAACTGCTGTATCCAAAGATATGGATGTGTTCAGCTTTATGAAACTGTGCCAATTGGGTTTCCAAGGTAGTTGTACCAGTTTCCACTTATGCCTGGAGTTAGTCATATTTAAAAACTAGAAACATTTCTTTCATATTGAAATAACTCTGGGATTTGCATAATTCAAAGGAGGCCTGGTACGGCTTGTAACAATCTGAACCATGCTCCTTTTCAACAGAGAATTGTAAAATGGTATTAAAGGAGTATAATTTGTTCCCCTTGCTAATAGTAAAAGAGAAATGATTCACACAAAGACACAGAGAATAATGGAAGCCAGCATTCTTGAATCTGTCTTCCCTGTATTAAACTATTACCTAATTAACAGCATGCTGGGGTCGTACATTGGATTCTGGAGCCAACCTCCAGGGTGCACTGGAGTCTATTTGAGGATGGAGGGTGGGAGAAGGGAGAAGAGCAGAAAACATAACTATTGGGTACTGGGTTTAATACCTGAGTGATGAAATCTTCTGTCCAAGAAACCCCCATGACATGGGTTTACCTATGTAACAAACCTTCACATGGACCTTTGAACCTAAAATAAAGGGCCTTTATTACAAGGCCTTTATCACAAGGACCTTTGAACCTAAAAAAAAGTTTTTTTTTTTAAAGAAAAAACATTCTGCTAAAAATGTACAAATGTATGATACAATTGAATATTTGAATACAACTGAATATATTAAATAAGACATTTTGGCCAGGCACGGTGGCTCGCACCTGTAATCCCAGAACTTTGGGAGGCCAAGGTGGGCGGATCACTTGAGATTAGGAGTTCGAGACCAACCCATGCAACATGGTGATACTCTGTCTCTTTAAAAAAAAAAAAAAAAAAAAGAAAGAAATTTTTATTAATTTTCATATGTAAAAAGAGTAGGGTGGTCAGGCACGGTGGCTCACGCCTGTAATCCCAGCACTTTGGGAGGCTAAGGCAGCGGATCACAAGGTCAAGAAATCGAGATCATCCTGGCCAACATGGTGAAACCTCATCTCTACTAAAAATACAAAAATTAGCCGGGCGTGGTGGCATGCACCTGTAGTCCCAGCTACTCGGGAGGCTGAGACAGGAAAATTGCTTGAACCCAGGAGGCAGAGGTTGCAGTGAGCCGAGATAGGACC
Source organism: Homo sapiens (assembly GCF_000001405.40). NCBI lineage: Eukaryota > Metazoa > Chordata > Mammalia > Primates > Hominidae > Homo > Homo sapiens. The sequence goes on from NC_000020.11 coordinate 18,251,000, forward strand.
ACTGCACTCTGAGCTGGCGACAGAGTGAGACTGCGTCTCAAGAAAAGAAAGAAAAAGAGTAGGGTAATTGTGATAAAAATAATTGTATCTTTTGGAGATACATGTCTAAATATCTAGAAGTGAAATGATACAATGTCTGGGATTTGCTTCAGTTCTATGGGTGGAGGGGGATGTCACTGAGTGGGATGTGGGGGGCAGGACCAGTCACCACTGATGGCAATTGAGGCTGGGCGATGGGTACTGTGGATTCACTCAACTCTGAACCATTTCTGTGTATCTTCAAAACTTTCCATGGTAAAGTTATTTTTAAAAGCTACTCTTAAAAAAAGATATAAAAAATCATGTAATCTATTTTAGAAAAATTTCCATCAAAATTGCTAAAATAAAATATGGCAATTGAGGAAGGAAAAAAGTAAGAAAAAAATGCAGGAAATATAGTAACATATTTTACAATAATGTCAATCCAAAATATTATTTAAGAAGATTTTGCTACATGACACGAGTAGGGAGTGATATTGTCAATTATCTGAAGTTGCCCATCTAGAAGTTATCAATAAGCTTATTTATCCATCATGAATTTGCTGGTAACCCACTGGGGGCAGGGCATCAGGAACCCCAGCCCGGGCAGGGAGACCTAGGCAGTGTCCTCATCGGCCTCCCCGCCTATGCCAGTGACCATACCACCAAGTCTCTCTGCGTCTGTTTTCTGCTCTGAACAGTGGAGCTCATGATGGCATTAGAGCAACACCCATTTTACTGTGTTGTGAGGAGTAAAGATCATAATGGACATAGGTGCTCTTGATTCATTTGGGAAAAAAGAGGGGCATGGGGCAGGGATTTGCTTGTGGAATAGTGCTCTGAGGGCAGGGAAAGCAGGTAGCTATTTTTATGGGAACCACACACAACCCTAATACTGTAGGAGTTGAAAGAACAAGCTTTTAGGATGGCTCCCAGCACTGCCCCTTGGGAGCTGTCTGCCTTGGGCACTCTTTGCCATAGGCGCTGTCTGTCGGTGCCCCAACGACGTCTTCATCCTGGAATTCAATCAGACCTCAAAGCCCCGTGGTGATAATCAAAAGTATCAATATGTGGCAAAGGTGTAGAAGAGTGATTGGCTTGTAGGAAGCACTTAAGGCAGGTGCACAATCAACTTTGTGATTACTACTAATATAATAAAGCAGCAGGTTGTTTACTCTGATGTCCCGTGGACCCCTTAAGTATTTCTGGAGCCAGGCCTATGTCTGCAAAATGATGAGTTCCTGCCCCAGAGAGCTACAGCATCTTTCTGTAAAACCATAATTGATTCAGACTGCACCTAACTAACCTAGCCAGAAAGTTGGAATTTCAAGATGACCAACTAGACCTTTAATAGTTCAGTGCTTTTATAGTTCATGTCCAGGGTCACATGTCACTGGGAAACAAACCTCCATCCTTCTGTCCTGTGAAATGGGTACTCATCCTCAAGGTGGTAGAAAGGAGAGGCTGCTTTCCACTCTGTTGATGTTGTTAAGTCCTTGCTTAAAGGGTAAGACTGGGAGGTCCCAGGAAGGCAGCCTGAACAATTTCTCTTCTCTCTGGGTTTGCCACAGACACTTCAGTGCCTGCCTTCCTGACAGTGGGATACGCCGGGTGATTCACCAGGTTCAGTCTGGGAGGAGGCGTGGAGGATCCTGCCTATCTTCTCAGACACGCAAAGTCCCAGGTTTTGTTTTCCGAGTCTTGGCGTCCCCAGCCAAAGTTCCTGGGTACTGGCTGCCACCCATGGGAGAGGGGAACACCCACCAGCTCCACCCCATAGGACATTGCTAGGGCCTTAGTCACCTAGAAAAGCCCTCCACGTATTTGCCTGGTTAATGCAACAATAGAAGGGTTACGCCCCAGCAACTTTGGTCTCCTCACTCGGTCACCTCAAGAAAGCCTCATCAAACCTTTGCCATGAAAGCACAATGCCAGAAACGCGGCTGCGTGCCTGGCTTAGCCATACTTGGGCTGCTCTTCATTCAAAAAGGCCTCTGGCAGCCTCTCCTGAAATCATTTGGGCTCGAGATGTCATTCCCTGGTCACACCTAGATTCTTAACTGATTTGTTAAGATTTATGAAGAAAGGCTCCATTCTCTTATTCACTTGGCAAATACTTTTTGGCTCCTGTTCAGAGGTGATTGCAAGAAGCACACGGAGAAGTCAGATGTGGTCTCCGGAGCTGTTCTGGCAGTTTTCACAAGGCCCAGGGGCAGGGTAGAGGTGCATGAGGCCGGGGTGAGTTCTTGGCCTGAAGATCTGAAGACATAGACAAGTTGAGGTACTGCTAACATCCCCTAGGGAGTCCCAGACTTTTGTGCCACCTGGGGTCAGGCAACAGGGAGTGGTAGGGCCTGCGGTAAACCAGAGAATGCACGGGCTTTCTAGAGAGCAGCCGCCCTCCCGAGTAGCTGACTGCTGCCTTGTGGAAATAAGTGCCCAGCTGAGCCAGATCTCTTGTTTTGTCAAGAGAAGCCAGGAATTTGGAGTTATTGTGAAATTTACGGTATTTCATGTTAACAACTAATTTTTTAAAAATTATATATACACATGGAAAGATGCTCAACATTGGTAATCATTAGGGAAAAACACACCAAAACTACAATGAAATACCACCTCACATCCATTAGGATGGCCATTATTTTTTTAAAAAAGAAAATAAGAAATGTTGGTGAGAATGTGGAAAAGTTGAAATCCTTGTGCCCTGTCAGTAGGAATGTAAAACGGTATAGCCACTGTGAAAAACAGTATGGCAGTTCTGCAAAAAATTAAAAATAGAACTACCATATGATCCAGCATTTCCACTTCTGGGTATACTTCCAAAAGAACTGAAAGCAGGGATACTAACAGATATTTATACACCTCTGTTTGTAGCAGCGTTATTCATAATAGCCAAACTGTACCAGGAACCCAAGTGTCCATCAGTAGGTGAATGGATTAGCAAAATGTGATATACGTGAGTGTATACAATGAGACATTATTTAGCCTTAAAAAGGAAGGAAATTCTGACAGTGTTACAACGTGGATGGGTCTTGAAGACATCATGCTAAGTGATGTAAGCCAGTCACAAGAAGACAAATGCTGCATGATTCCGCTTCTATGAGGTACCCAGAATTGTCAAAGTCACAGAGACAGAAAATAGAATGGTGGGTTGCCAGGAGCTGGGAGAGAAGAGAATGGAGAATTAGCATTTAATGGATATAGTTTCTGTTTTGCAAGATAAAAAGAGCTCTGGAGATGGTTGTACAACATTATGAATGTATTTAATGCCACTCAACTATACACTCAAAATGGATAAAATGGTGAATTCTATGTTATGTGTATTTTACCACAATAAAAAAAAATGGGAACAAAATTGTAAGTACAGCACAATTCAAACAAAATTTGTCTTTGGGTCCTGTGGGGCCCGAGGCTGCTAGCTTGTCCTTCTGCCCTACTGGTCTTCTGCGAGAGCCCATGGCCGTTCCACATTCTGGCCTAACTCCACTCTGCGTAGTCTTGGGAGCTGGACACACCTAGGTTTGAATCCTGGCTCTGCTCCTTAGTAGTCATGAGATGCTGAATTCTTCTCTACCAATGGGTCTGGGATTATAAAAGCTTTGTCTCTGAGAATATTTGTTTCCTACCAGAAGGCTCTGAAGGAAACAAATCTACTAGATTCACGACCTGGACAGAGCATCCATTGCCAATGTGAATAAACTCTGTGTGAAACTAAAGCAGAGCTCAGCTCCTGGCTGTGAGGACGAGTTCCCAGCACACTGATTTGAAGTGGTACTTCAGAACTATAAACTCTCTTTGACCTCATGCTTAACATTTTAAGAAGAGGGCAGCAAAATCGCCAAGGTATGCTGAGAGCAAGTGTTCATGTGCACCCAGCCAAACATTGTGAAGAAAAGGAGTAGGGAGAGGACATATTCACAAAACAATTTTTTTTTTTAAGAGACAGAGTCTTACTCTGTCACCAGGCTGGAGTGTGATGGTGCAATCATGGCTCACTGCAGCCTCAAATTCCTGGGCTCCAGCAATCCTCCCACCTCAGCCTCCCGAGTAGCTAAGACTATAGGCGTGTGCTACCATGCCTGGCTAATTTTAAAATATATACAGATTATAGAGGTAGGGTCTCACTATGTTGCTCAGGCTGGTCTTGAACTCCTGGCCTGAAGTAATCCTCCTGCCTTGGCCTCCCAAAGTGTTGGGATTTAAGGTGTGAGCAAACACGCCCAGCCATTTTTTAAATAATGTAATTTCCCCCACAATTTCCCTGTAGAGTTTGAAATTTTTGTTGACTGTTTTGTCTGAGGGATTCCAATGGACTTGCTTTTTCTTATGGTATAAAATGTAGCAAAAGTAAATTAGAATTTTTGAGTTATATTCTTAAAATTTGCCACCTTTCCTTGGACAGGTACTAGAGATTTGAAAACAAATAAACTGTGCCAGGCCCCTGTCTGCAAGGAGCCGACATTGTAGAGGAGAAGACAGAGTGTGCTTAAGCGTAGTTTGCTAACTTCTGAGTGTGAAAATTGATTATACAAATTGGGTCATTCTTGTCATACCCAACAAAAACAGAGTTGAGAAGCCAGAAGGGAAAAGCACTTGCGGCATATAGCATTGCTCCAAAAATTTAATTCTCTCCAAGTCCAGCAGCTAAAGCTGCCTGTGGTAACCTAAGACCAGCTTTACCCAATAGCTGCTGAAACAAGACCAGCCTTGGACCAGCTTTACCCAATAGCTGCTACAGCTCAAAGACTAATTTTACCCAGGCCTGTGGCTCACCAACTGGAGCTTTCCAGCTCCCCACAACTTTACTAATACCCATGAACTTTCTTTCAAGACCACAGGCAACATTTCTTTTTAAAAATAAAACCCCCAACTTTCTCTTTGTTCTTCAGACACACCAAAGAGTACCTAGTCTATGTGTACGCCCCAAATTGCAATTCTTGTATCCCAAATAAAACGTTAAATTTAGAGACTCATCTCTACATTTTTATTAGACTATGGCATGGACAAGAGGGTGCAACAAGAGTACCCTGCTGGGCACAGTGGCTCATGCCTGTAATCCCAGCACTTTGGGAGGCTGAGGCAGTTGGATCACCTGAGGTCAGGAGTTCAAGATCTGCTTAGCCAACATGGTGAAACCCTGTCTCTACTAAAAATACAAAAATTAGCTGGGTGTGGTGGCACACACCTGTAATCCCAGCTACTCAGGAGGCTGAGGCAGGAGAATCACTTGAACCCAAGAGACGGAGTTTGCAGCCGAGATAGTGCCACTACACTCTAGCCTGGGAGACAGAGTGAGACTCCGTCTCAAAAAAAAGAAGAAAAAAAAGGCACTAAGAGTACCTAGGATAGGTAAGCAACTCAGCTAGATAGGAGAGGCCAGGGAAGTGGCCTGCTGGAGAGGAGATCAGAGTTGAAAAATAAGGCTGACCAGGAGTTAGCCAGAGTAAGTGGGAGTGGGGAGATGGAGGAGCCCACAGAGGTGGAGCTCACCTGTTTGCCTGTGATGTAAGGCCTAGAATTTCGTTCAATATTAAGTGCTGCTTTGACATCTGGTCAAACTGAGAGAGCCTAGAATGCTCTAACCACAAATTCCCCTCCCTTCTGCTCTCTTGGATAAGATCCCCTAGCCAAACACGGTGCAGTTCCTGCTTATCTCTGAGCAGTGGGTGTCAGTCAGTTCCCTGTCAGCCTGAGAAATTATTCAAACAAGCCCATCATATTCTGCTGCAGGAATCAGGAATCACCCTACCCTTTTGATAGCACAAAGCCTGACTCCAGACCCTGGCTATTCACTCTGTTCCCAAGTGTAGCCCCTGTGGCCCTGCGTGCTATGCTGTGTTCTGATCCAGAATGTGAGTTATAAACTGCCGTCATCTCATCTGTCCAGTGTGAGGTGTCCTGTGTTTGGCCATCCCCATAACCCTGGAACAGGAATCCCTTTCTCACCAGCAGGATGAATAGCAGGTGATTAAAACAATCCCTGTAAGGGGTCTGTGTGCAAAGCCATCAATCAGCATTGCTCAAGGATCCCCTGAGGTTGGGAGCAACAGGATGGCTGCTAAGGAAGTGGTCAGAGACCAGCCCCGGAAAGTTTTAGTCCCTTTTAACCAGCCATTGCAGATCATAGTGGCGGGAGCCCCTGGGGGGTGTCGAGCAGGGGTTAGCCCCCTGGCCAGATCTGAGTTGTTGTTTTATTTTATTTTATTTATTTATTTGTTTATTTTACTTTAAGTTCTAGGGTACATGTGCACAACGTGCAGGTTTGTTACATATGTATACATGTGCCATGTTGGTGTGCTGCACCCATTAACTCGTCATTTACATTAGGTATATCTCCTAATGCTATCCCTCCCCACTCTCCAGATCTGAGTTTTAAATAGATGGTTCTGGCCAGTGTGTGGGCTGGGTTTGAAGGGGATGAGACTAAAAGGAGCAAGTCTGATTAGGGAGTCACTGCAGGTGCCCAGGTAAGAGACGATAGGACCTCAACTAGGACCAGAAATGGAGGGGTAGAGAGAGAAGGTGAGCCTTGGAAGGTGTTTATAATGCAGAAAATATAATTGGGTTGGCCCCACTTCTTCAAAAGACAGCAAATATGTGTTGAATACACTAGTGCATGCATGAATATTAATTGAGATTTTATTGGGCCTAGGAGAACTGCAGGGTAAGGTTGGGCAGGGTGGGCACTTCCCAAAGGCGCCAGTCATGGGGGTGAGGGCTGTAGGGTCCGCTCTGCACTCTGCTCACCAAGTGCAATACAGAGGTTTGCAGAGGGCAACATGGAGACCTAAGACAAAGATATAGCCCCCCAGGTGCTGACCGATTCGTAGACGTGAACTATGGCTATGACTGCATGCTAAATTGCTGATTCCGGCTAGGTGGGCAGAAGAGTTCTGAATAGGCTGATGCCATTTCTCTCCATGTTCTCCTGTAAGATAAGAGCTGGGCTTCTTGAACCAAAAAAGTTTTACTTTTTTCCTGGGGGTAGAATTAACCTTCAACCTGTTGACTCAAGTGTGTATTAACCAATAATCTAAATTAAAAACTTTAAAAAGTCAAGGCCGGTTATCAAGGTCCTCTGAAGTGTGATTTCAAGAGAAAATTTAGAAATATGAGAAACTCAATGTATTAAACACCAAAGGGCTTTATGTCAGTGGTTCTCAATCTTGGATGTGCATTAAAACATCTGGGGGCCCTTTTAAAATACTTAAACCTGAGCTGCATGCCCCGCGCTTTTGATTCAGTTTGAGAGGGGCAGAGCTCGGGGATCTGTATTTACGTTATCATTCTCGGAACAGCTCTAGAGGGCACTGTCTGCCAGATGTTAGCTCACGCCCTGGCAGAAAACGCCATCGTGAGAACAGCAGGCACCATTTTTCTGGACTTTTAAAATCATTAGCTTTCAGGCAAATACTGAGTAATCTCATTCACATGTAGAATCTATTTTTTAGCTTTTTAATTAAATTTTTTCCTTTTTAAAAAATTTATTTTATTAAAAATATTAGTTTATACAAAAAATTTAAAATTTCCTTTTTTAGAGATGGGGTCTTGCTATGTTGCCCAGGCTTGAGTACAGTGGCTAGTCACAGGCCCAATCCCACTCCAAACAGCAAGGGAGTTTTGACCTGCTCCGTTTCCAACCTGCACTGGTTCACCCCTCCTTAGGCAACCTGGTAGTCCCCTGTTCCCAGGAGGTCACCGTATTGATGCCGAACTTAGTGCAGACACCCAATCAGCATTGCACACTACAGCCCAGAACTCCCAGCCTCAAGCGATCCTCCTGCCTCAGGCTCCCAAGAAGCTGGGACCACAGGCATGTGCCACTGCACCCAGCAACATGTGGAATCTAAGAAAGTTGATCATAGAAGCAGAGAGAATAGTGGTTACCAGATCCTGGGGAGGGGAGGGTTGGTCAACCAGTACAAAGTTACAGTTAAGAAGAATAAGTTCTGGTGTTCTATTATACAATAGAGTGACTATAACTATTAATAATAATAATGTATTATATATTTCAAGATAGCTAGAAGAGAGGATTTTGAATGTTAACACTACAAAGAAATAATAAATGCTTAAAGTGATAAATGTGCTAATTGTGCTAATTATGCTAATATGATTATTATACAATGTACCATGTATTAAAACATCATACTGTACCCCATAAATATGTAGAATTATGTGTCAAGTATAGATAAAATAAAACTAAAAAAAATCGCTAGCTTTCATTACCTAGTTTTATTCACACATTATACTAAATCAATGCTCAAAAGTCTTGTTCATGTTCAGACAAAACAATCAAGATTTATAAGTATAGGGAAGCTTCAAGTTGAAAAAATTGATATCCAAGAAGATTCCATCTTGATTTGAACTTAGGCACATTATCAAGCATTTGAAGGGCTAGTTGTTATCCCTTCTGTTGCAGCTGAAAGCCCTGATAAATTAGTTAGGTTGACATCTTAAATTCTCATGACAAATTTTGTTTCATCTCCCTGCCCCAAAGTAAGCCATAAATCAAGCTTTACAAGGACTTAGAGGACTTTTGGCCTGGCATGGTGGCTCACACCTGTAATCCCAGCACTTTGGAAGGCCAAGGCAGGCGGATCACAAGGTCAGGAGTTCGAGACCAGCCTGGCCAACATGGTGAAACCCTGTCTCTACTAAAAATACCAAAAAAATTAGCCAGGCATGGTGGTGCACACCTGTAATCCCAGCTACTCGGGAGGCTAAGGCAGGAGAATTGCTTGAACCCAGGAGGTGGAGGTTGCAGTGAGCCAAAATTGCGCCACTGCACTCCAGCAGCCTGGGCAACAGAGCAAGACTCTGACTCAAAAAAAAAAAAAAGACTTAGAGGATTTTTTTCCCCCTAATAAGTTTCCCAAAGGGTGTGGCAGAGTCTGGAGAAACCTGCTTTTCATGTGCTCCTTGGTTCAGCTGCCTGCTCCCCTGTGGCTTTTAGCAATTTCTTCTTCTGTTTCCGCATCAGTGTAATTAGCAAAAGGCACCATATCCCTGAGGACAACACCCACAAAAATATGAGACTCTACAGCAAGTACTTGCAAAACCTAGAAAAGACACATACCCCTCCCCTAACATGCTTCAATTCCAAGACAACTCATTAATTCATAGAGTAATGTATGTGAGCAAACAGAGAAAATTATGAACTCCAAAGTGAAACCTGGCTAAAGATGTGTAATATAATAAATATATTTACATGCAAAAATAAAGATATCTACATGTGACATATATATGGATCCATATATATGGTGGGATTATTTATTTATAGTAGAATTCCCCAAACTTTCTCAGCTCATTGCACCCTGAGCATCTCAGTAATTTTTCACAGCACCTCCTAGGCCAACAAGAATACCCCAAACTTCCATTATTAGGTTCATACAACATAAGTATTTAGTAGCCACTGAAAAAATACACATAACTCCTAAAAAATTTACTTCCCCCTAAAATAAACATCCTTAAATAAGTTAAATATGAACGTGCCTACTGGGCACTCCACAACTTCTCAAATCCGGAGTCTGGTTGGAACTGACACCTTCACTGCCTGCACCACCACGGACCTTCAATGGTACTTTTTTTTTTGTCACAGCAAACACTGGAAAGTCAGCTTCGCAAATATATAATATCATTAAAAGGAAGGAGCATGGTCTAATGATGAAATGTGAAATACGTCAAGCCAGTCTCAACCTCTCCGAGGCTCAGTTTCCTCACCCTGGAAAGGTAATAAAATAAATGCATGCTTTTTTTTTTTTTTTCCTTCGGAGATGCAGTCTTGCTCTGTTGCCCAGGCTGGAGTACAGTGGGCGATCTCGGCTCACTGCAACCTCCGCCTCCTGGGTTCAAGCAATTCTCCTGCCTCAGTCTCTGGAGTAGCTAGGATTACATGTGCCCGCCACCACGCCCGGCAGATTTTTGTATTTTTAGTAGACATGGGTTTTCACCATATTGGCCAGGCTGGTCTCAAGCTCCTGATCTCTTGATCCACCCGCCTCGGCCTTCCAAAGTGCTGGGATTACAGGTGTGAGCCACCGCACCTGGCCAATGCATGCCTTCCCTACTTAACAGTTGTGAAAAATGAGTGGGATAAAGTGTAAAAAATATCTCTCAGCACTATAATGCACTATAATAATAGACACTTTTTTTTTTTTTTAAGACAGAGTTTCGCTCTTGTTGCCCAGGCTGGAGTGCAATGGCACGATCTCGGCTCACCGCAACCTCCACCTCCCGGGTTCAAGCGATTCTCCTGCCTCAGCCTCCCGAGTAGCTGGAATTACAGGCATGTACCACCATGCCCGGCTATTTTTTTTTGCATTTTTAGTAGAGACAGGGTTTCTTCATGTTGGTCAGGCTGATCTCGAACTCCCAACCTCAGGTGATCCGCCCGCCTCGGCCTCGCAAAGTGCTGGGATTACAGGCATGAGCCACTGCACCCGGCCAATAATAGACACTCTTATGTGTAGTAATAATTACTAAAAATAATAAATTGGAAATGATCACAAGACAAATGGAGTTAAGAAATTAAATACTATGTATTTTGAAAATTATCATCATCTTTAAATCTTGCTACTCAGCATGGCCCCAGGACCAGCAGCAGTGAGAGCTTGTGAGATGAGCCGAGATTGCGCCATTGCACTCCAGCCCCGGCAACAAGAGCGAAACTCCGTCTCAAAAAAAAAAAAAAAAAAAAAAAAAAAGAAATGCAGATTCTCGGGCTTCATCTCAGACTTGCTGAATCAACACCTGCATTTTAACAAGATGCCCAGGTGTTTATGTGCACATTAAACTTTAGGATGGGAGCCAAACGATAAGAACTTTTGAACACAAAGGAGGAAACAACAGACACGGGTCTACTTGATGGGGGAGGGTGGGAGGAGGGAGAGGAGCAGAAAAGATAACTATTGGGTACTGGGCTTAATACCTGGGTGATGAAATAATATGTACAACAAGCCGCCATGACACGTGTTTACCTACGTGACCTTCACATGTACCCCCAAACCTAAAATAAAAGTTAAAAAAAAATTTAGGGAACACCAGTTCAATTTATTTACATTATTTTAAATTGGATAGTTTTAGTAAACTTACTTCTTCCAATCACAATGTAGTAGAAATCAATAACATAGGGAAATCTTGGAAATATCCAAAGGTTTGGAAATTAAATGACACACTTCTAAATAACCCATAGATCAAAGAAGAAATCACGGAAATTAGAAAAATATTGAAACTGAATGAAAATTAAAACACAACATGTCAAAACAAATGGAATGCCTCTAAAATAATACTTAGAGGAATGCTTATAGCACTAAACACCTATATTTTAAAAGAAAAAGGTCTCAAATCAATTACCTATGCTTCCACTTCAGGAACCCAGAAAAAGAAGAACAAATCGAACCCACACTAAATGGAAAGAGAAACTAGTAAAGATCAGAGCAGCTGGGCACAGTGGCTCACGCCTGTAATTCCAGCACTTTGGGAGGCCGTGGCAGGCAGATCATGAGCTCAAGAGATCAAGACCATCCTGGCCAACATGGTGAAACCCCGTCTCTACTAAAAATACAAAAATTAGCTGGGCATGGTGGTACACGCCTGTAGTCCCAGCTCCTTGGGTGGCTGAGGCAGGAGAATCACTTGAGCCCTGGAGGCGGAGGTTGCAGTGAGCCGAGACTGTGCCAGAGCCAAAATCAATAAAACAGAAAATAAAAACAATAGAAAAATCAATGAAACATAAAAAGTTGGTTATTTGAAAAGTCAACAAAATTGATAACTGTTTAGCTAGACTGACAAGAAAAAGAGAATGAAGATATAAACTTCCAAAATAATCAAGATGAAGGAGGATGCATCACTGCATGCCCAACAGAAATCATAAGAATTAAAAGGAACTATTACAACTTTATGTCAATAAATTAAACAAGTTAGATGAACCAAATTCCAAGCCAGGAAACTACTAAAACTGACTCAAAATAACATAAAATCTGAATATGTTAACATCAGTTATAGTTAGTAATTTTATCCATTAGGATTAGTAATTTAAAATCTTCTCACAAGGAAATCCCAGGCCCAGATTGTTTCCCCAGAATTCGTTTGATGAAGTCCCTTGTAAATTCTATCAAACATTTAACGAAAATGAATGGGCTAGTACAATCCAACACAAATTCTATAAATAAGTATTATAGAAAGGTAAAGAACAATTTCCAACTCATTTTATTAAGCCAGTATTACCCTGACACCAAAGCTAAAGACATCATAAGAAAAGAAGACTATGGGTCAGGTGCAGTGTCTCATGCCTGTAATCACGGGATTTTGGAAGGCCAAGGTGGGTGGATCACTTGAGGCCAGAAGTTTGAAACCAATCTGGCCAACACGGCAAAACCATGTCTCATCTCTACTAAAAATCAAAAATAAAAATAAAAATAAATCAGCTGGGCGTGGTGGTACATGCCTGTAATCCCAGCTACTTGGGAGGCTGAGGCATGAGAATCATGTTGAACCTGGGAAGTGGAGGTTGCAGTGAGCTGACAGCATGCCTCTGCACTCCAGCCTGGATGACAGAGCGAGACTCTGTCTCAAAAAAAGAAAAGAAGACTGAACAAATAGCTCTCATGAACAAAGATGCAAAATCCTTAACAAAATATTAACAAATGAAACCCAAGAACATATAAAAAGAAATTGTGGTGGTTTTCACAAATAGCCACAAATACTTTGATACTGCTCCCTTTAAACTATGAATCCTAACTGTCCTCTTGATTGTGGGCTGAACTTAGTGGGTTACCTCTAATGAAAAGAATGCAGTGGAACTGGCAGTGTTAGGATCCCAAGGGTAGGTCACAAAAGGCATTGTGGCTTTCTCTTTGCTCCTTCTCTATTTTCCTTATTATCTCTGGGGAAAGCCAGCTAATGTGTAATCGGTCCACTCACACAGCCCTGCACCCTATGGAGAGGCAGACATGGCAATGAACTGAGCCTCCTGCCAACACCCAGCAAGGAACTGAAGCCTCCTGCCAAGAGCCATGTGAGTGAACCACCCTGAAATTGCATCCTCCAGGCCCAAGCAATGCATCAGACTACTGCAGCCCTGGTTGACATGGTTTTTTTCTTTTAAGCTCCTTTATTATTTTGTTGAGGTGAAATGCATATAACATAAATCAACCATTTTTTAAAAGTACCTAATTTAGTGGCATTTAGCATATTACAGTGTTATGCAACCACCACTCCTTTCAAGTTCCAAAACATTTTCATGACTCTCCTCTCAAAAGCAAAACCATGCCCATTAAACAGTCACTCCCCATTCTCCCCTCCCTCTAGCCCCTGGCAACCATCAATCTGTCTTCATGAATTTACCCATTCTGGATATTTTATATAAATAGAATTATATAATATGTGACCTTCTATGTCTGACCTTTTTCACTTAGCATACTGTTTTTGAGGCTTATCCACATTGTAGTAGGTATCAGTACTTCATTCCTTTTCATGGCTGAACAATATTCCATTGTGTGCATATGCCACATTTTGTTTATCCATTCATCAGTTGATGTACATTTGGGTTGGTTCTATCTTTTGGTTATTGTGAATAGTGCTGCTATGAACATTTGTGTACAGATATTTATGTAGCTGTGTTTAATTCTATTGGGTGTATAACTATGAGTGAAATTGTCAGATAACGTGGTAATCCCGTTTTACTTCCTGCCAAATTGACAAACTGTTTCCCACACCAGCTTCATCATTTTACATTCCCACCAGCACTATCCCAGAGTTCCAATTTCTCCACTTCCTCACCAATATTTGTTATTTTCCTTTTAATTTTTTAAAATATGGCCAGACTAGAGTCTCATTGTGGTTTTGATTTGCATTTCCCTAATGATTAATGATGTTGAGTATCTTTTCAAATGCTTATTTGCCATTTGTATATCTTCTTCCAAGAAATATCCTTTGCTTAGTTTTGAATTGGGTTGTTTATTACGATGTTGAGTTTTAGGAGTTCTCCGTGTATTTTGGATATTAATTCCATATCAAATATGTAATTTAGGTCAGGCATGGTGGCTCACGCCTATAATCCCAGCACTTTGGGAGGCCGAGGGAGGCGGATCACTTGAGGCCTGGAGTTAGACACCAGCCTGGCCAACATGGTGAAACCCTGTCTCTACTAAAAATATAAAAATTAGTTGGGCATGGTGTCACACACCTGTAATCCCAGCCACCCAGGAGGCTGAGGCAGGAGAATCGCTTGAACCTGGGAGACAGAGGTTGCAGTGACCTAAGATCGTGCCACTGCACTCCAGCCTGCTCGACAGAGTGAGACCCCATCTCAAAAAAAAAAAAAAAAAGTCTGTATCTGACACTGGCACATAAAGTGGAAAGCAAGAGTGAAAAATTATGCTGAAAACTGGGGAGATCGAATTAAAATTCTACGTATGGAATCCCCCTGAGAGCTCAGTCCTCTTTCTACGCCCTTGTGAAGGAACAGTGCACATCCTCATTTATTGCCAGGTAGAGAAAAAAAGTGCAGACAAACCAGAGAATTCTTCTCTAACAAAAAGTTGAGTGAGCGGCTGGAGAAAGCCAAGGCTTCTCACATATCGTTCCCTGCAGCAGAGCTCTCTCATGTGATCACCCCCAGCATCTGCAGCCTGTAGCCTCTAGATTGAAATCTTTTTTTTTAAATATCCCCCGAGGGTTGAACATTCCTGGAGGTACTCAATACCAGGTCCATGTGTGGAGTGGATGGAGCAAGCTCCTATTCCATCTCCCTGCTCAAAAAATCCATTTACTATATTGTCCTCAGATAAAGGACATATCAGCATATTAAACTGGTAAGAACAGATTCTACACTTGAACTTAACCAAAAGGCCAAGAAGCGATCTAGAGTGAAATCTTATCTGTAAGCCCTGGACAAACCCCCTTCTTCCACCTATCCCCAGGAAACAGGCCTTCCTACACAGAAGGATAGGAAATCCACACAAATCACAGAATCCTTTCCATAACAGACAGGGAGGACCGACCAGACATATGATGAAACCAGCAGTGTGGAAGAGAAGTCAAAGGAAACAAACAGGAAAACTGATGCAGGTTGAATATCCCTTATCAGAAATGCATGGGACCAGAAGTGCTTTGGATTCAGATTTTTTTGAGTTTTGGAATATTGCATATACATCATGAGATATCTTGGAGATCAAACCCAAGCCTAAACATAAAATTCACTTATGTTTCAGACACACCTTATACATATAGCCTGAAGGTAATTTTATACAATATTTTAATAACTTTTGCATAAAATTAAGTTTGTGTGCATTGAACCATCAGAAGCAAAGATGCCACTCTCTCAGCCACCCATGTGGACAATCTGTGGTTCCCTGGCATCACCATCATTCCTGACTGTGAATGTCTATGTTCTCAACAAGCAATCATTTTCTTACACTTACATTGTGACCTATCACATGTAATGTGATCCATCATGTGACCCATCACATGTAATGATTGCTGAGGCAGCAAAATCATTCTCCTCCCTCAGCCTCCCGAGTATTTGGGATTACAGGCACCTGCCACCATGCCCGGCTAATTTTTGTAATTTTAGTAGTGAGGGGGTTTCACCGTGTTGGCCAGGCTGGTCTCAAGCTCCTGATCTCTTGATCCACCCGCCTCGGCCTTCCAAAGTGCTGGGATTACAGGTGTGAGCCACCGCACCTGGCCAATGCATGCCTTCCCTACTTAACAGTTGTGAAAAATGAGTGGGATAAAGTGTAAAAAATATCTCTCAGCACTATAAGTGATCTCATTGTGCTATGTTAGTATTTTTGAGTGCCTATTAAAAGGCCTAATTAAAAATATTAAAGTAATTATATTCTTTATCCCTTAGTTTCTTTTTCTATGTAATGACTATTAGGGCAGAATATCTTCCTCAGGGCATGATAAAAGATAAAAGATAGATAACAATGCAAGATATAAAATACCCAAATAAAGGAAATTATGCTAAGTAAAATAAGCCAGGCACAGAAAGCCAAATACTGCATGACCTCACTTACATGTGGAATTTTTAGAAGTTGAACTTAAAGAAGCAGAGAATGGAATGGTGGTTGCCAGGGGCTGGGGACAGGGATGGGGAGATATTGGTCGAAGTGTATAAAGGATTTATTGTATAGCAAGGTGACTATAACTAATAATAGTGTATACTTGGAAATTGCTAAGACAGTCGATCTAAATATTCTCACAGCAAAAAATGGTAAGTATGTGAGGTGACAAATATGTTAATTAGTTTAATTTAATCATTTCACAGTGTATATATACATATATCTAAACATCACATTGTACAACATAAATATATACAATTATTATTTCTCTATTATACCTTAATAAAACTAGGGATAAATTAAAATGAAATCAAATTAAATATCCAAATAATTAGGTTTCAAGCTTCCAATTAAAGATTTCACTCTCATCTTAGAATTTTAGTTGGGGAAGCAAAAAGATGCAGCTACAAGGGTAACGTTTACACAGAGAATGGCATTTGAATGAAGCTCAGTTCCAACTGCTAGCTTACCACCCTCAGCCCCTTCCTTAACCAACGTATGTAAAGGATGCTGAGGCTGGTGTGGATTTCCTATGCTATTGTTTATTAAGATCTGTTCCCTGGGGATAGGTGGAAGAAGGGGACCCAATATAGGAGGAACCTTGACTTTCTCTGGAAAATACGCCAATTTTTGTTAGAGAAGAATATGATGTAGTGATGTATTGAGAGAGAGAGAGAGAGAGAGAGAGAGAGAGAGATGTATAATACACACAAATGTATGTAGAATCCATTGTTCTACACGATGAGAATCTATTGTTGTAATATTTGGTGTTTGACCCCTGGTTCCTAACACAGAGCTCCTTAAGGCCTTTGTAATTTCCTCAGTGATGGCGTCTGACACAGAGTTCTAAATCCCTTGGAATTTCCTGAGTGACAGGAGCATCTTTTGTTCTCAGGACCCGACGCGTGGTTTGCTCCTGGATGGCCTCATAATGGGGGCTGGTTGCCAGGGGAACCAACCTTGTGATTAGAAGGTTGAAACTTTCAGCCCCACCCCTGACCTCCAGGGAGCCGGGAGAGGCTGAAGGCTGAGTTGATCACCCGTGGCCAATGATTTAATCAGTCATGGCTAGGTAATGATGCTTCCCTAAACCCAAAGGACTGGGTTTGGGGAGCTTCCAGATAGCTGAACACTTGGGGGTTCTGGAGGGTGGTGAGCCCAGGGAGGGCAGGGAAGCTTCGTGCGCCTTCCCACACACCTCACCCCACACATCTCTTAAGCTGGCCACTCAACTGTATCCTTGCCAGAGCCTTATAATAAATGGGTGAATGCAAGTAAAGTGTTTCCCTGAGTTCTGTGAGCTGCTCTAGCAAATTAATCAAACCTAAGGAGGACGTCATGGGAGCCCCAAATCCAAATCTGAGCTGGCCAGTGGAGGTAGAGGTGACAACTTACTATGTGCAACTGGCACCTGAAGTGGGGGCAATCTTGTGGGACCAAGCCCTCCACCTGTGGGATCTGATTCTCCAGGTGAATAGTGTCAGAATTGAATTATAGGACGCCCAGCTGGAGTCCACAGAGAATTGGTTCGTGTGTGTGGGAACCCACCCCCAACCCCAGGTGTCAGAAGTGTTGTGTTGAGTGACATGTGTATCAGCGTGGAGGAAGAAACACTTTGGTTTTTCTTCTCTCTCTTGTAAGAGTCCTTGTTTTATTTATTTCCTTCACCCAGGTCTCAGTGTTCTCATCAGTAAAAAGGGATAACACGCCTCACTTCAAGGATGGTTGTGAGGAGTGAAGACAGAGCCTGGCACACGGTGGGGATTAGTTCGTGATCACTAGTCTGCTTAGTGATGAATTCAAGTTCATGCTCATGTCATTCTCTTAGGGACATACAGCACACTAGGGGAGGTTAAAGATGCTTGCACACATGCCCACAACACATCTTTGATGGTTTCACAGTGTTCTCCCCGCAGCAGTGTTCCTGAAAGTCCAGGTCATACATTGCAGTATGTGACTCTGCCACCAGAGAGGGGCCTCTATGGAGAATGACCTTCATGAGGTGCTGCCACTGTGGACCTAAGGCCGAGCGCTGGAGGCACAGGCCAGGCGGCTAAGCTCCAGGGAGAAGTCTTGGCAGAAAAATACTGGGAAATCCTAGGAGTCGAGGGCACAGTCAACGAAAGTCCCTTCCTCACGCAGTTGTCATGTGGTCCCTTTAAAGAAGCCTGAGCCTAGCCAGGCGCTGTGGCTCATGCCTGTAATCCCAGCACTTTGGGAGGCCGAGGCAGGTGGATCACCTGAGGTCAGGAGTTCGAGACCAGCCTGGCCAACATGGTGAAATCCCATCTTTACTAAAAATACAAAAAAAAATAATAATAATTACCCGGGCATGGTGGCAGGCGCCTGTAATCCCAGCTACTTGGGAGGCTGAGCGAGGAGAATCACTTGAAACCCCGGGAGTGAGCTGAAATCGCACCATTGCACTCCAGCCTGGGCAACAAGAGAGAGATTCTGTCTGAAGAAAGAAGAAGGAGAAGGAGAAGGAGAAGCAGCAGCAGCCTGAACCCCTTTGCCCTAGAATGGTCCAGAAGCATAGTGGGGATTCTGAAACCAACTAACTGTCCAGAAGCCTCAGGATTGCTCAGGTTGTTGAAGTCAAGTCTCCTAGAGTGGAAATGGACAAACAACGTGGTTTCCGTGGCCCACATTTACTTATCCTGTCTTCCATTTTCTAAGACATTAAAAATATGCATCAACCTAGACCAGTGTCCTAGGCTACGTCATGAGGCACCCTCTGAAGCAGAAGGTTTCACTGTGGAATACAGGAATGAACCTACCAGGACATAACAGGACCAGAATGTTAAAGAATAGTTGTAAGGAAAGTGCATCATTGCACCCAATTGTGACTTCCCTTAAAAAGCTGCTGGTTATAATGAAACAGACAAGACAAAGTACACCAGAGCAGATATCACTACAAACAATCAGAGCCTTGGCTGCTGTAATTGTCACGGCTCCATAATACCATCCTTTTCTAAGAAGTTGAGATCATTTGCAGTTGTGACTTCATTTAGCCATACAACAAGCCTATCCATAGGTGGGCTATTATCATTCCCACTATGCCTCATGCAATGAGGACTGCCTCAAGGTTACCTGGGAAATTGGCCATAAAGACGAGACTGGAAACTTAGTTTTCATTAAGTTTTCACTTTCATTTTTGACCAATTACAGCTTGCCACCACTGGCAAGGCTCACAAGACATTTGGAAAAATGCCATCCAAATGTGAAAATGGCAATATTAAGCCTTCGGTGCTTGAAACACTCTCCAAAAGAAGATTGTCTTATATCACTAAAGAAACTGTAGAACATCTCTGGCTAACACACATGCCAAAAGCCCTGAGGTCTTTCACGTGTCATACCATGAAAATAAAATTTTAAAAAAAGATAAGAAGAAGTAGTAAAAATGAGGAGATAAAATCAGAAACATTCCTTTTCAACAAAACAGTGCAGGTAAGGGTGAGAGCAGTTCCTTCTGGAGCCCTCTAGTAAGAGGTGTTATAATACACATGAGAGGAAATCAAAGAAAGGGAAGACATACGTTGAAATGATTTGCCTTATTAAGACATCTAATTTTAATCTCCAGTTAACTGCAATCTTCTTCATATTGAGTGTACTTTTCAGTGACAATCAAGCAATCTGAAGCAGCTGGAGTTCTTCTTGGTCAACGCATGGACCTCCAACCTTTCAGGCATTCATGATCCCACATGATTGACAGAAGTCTCCACTCTTGAGCTAAAAACATGTCAGCCTGTTGTAATATGAAGCTTCTTTCCTAAGTCAGAAAAGTTAATGACAAATGTAATCAAAACACAGTTTTAAAATAAAATTGAAAGCATCTCTCTACAGCATTGATTTTAGAGTTTGGTTTCTACCTGGCCCAGTAATGCAACGCTTTCCTAGCAGACACCTCAAGACTTCAGGGCATCTTGGGAAGTGGGATGGAGCCCTAGACCTGGCTTTGAGGGCTGGCGCTGTGCAATCACCTGGGTGACCTCACACAAACCCCAGTCCCTATGTCTAGAACCTTCATCACAAAGGAATGGGCCAAACCAGAAGACTTCTGAGGCCCCTTTCTTGAACTTTCACCTGCTTATAAGTGAATTTGCTTGATTAGACTAGACATCATATTGAGAAGCCAGAATAGAGAAAAAGGAAAAAAAAATAGACTAGAGAACATCACTGCACACTTTTTTGGCCACACCTGGAGCCAGCTTGTGTCCCCCTTTGTGACATGTGCCTCTGCATCAGCAGAGAATATCTGATTGAACTTTGCACGCCAACAGAATGTTAAAGGCCTTTTTACACTTACTACATTGCCTTGTGATTATTTTTTTCTACCTCGTCATTTCCCCAATGAGACTATGAGCATCTTGGGTCCAGGAACAGGGTCCCTCCCCTTTGAATCCCAGGGGTTCAGCTGAGCAGGACACTGTAAACCCCTGATAAATGGCTGTTAGCTGTCTACATACATTATAGCATGTTGTCACACTAATATAACAGAATGTATTTATAAATATATAAATATATTTCTTATATAAATGAATATATTTATAATTAATATATATTTTGTTTTTAAAATTAATCTAATTAGTCATAATCCAAGATAACCTTCCTGTTTCTTAAAAAAAAAAAAAGACACAGTCCTGAAAAAAATCTGTTCCCTGGCAAAAAAACCCCACAAACTTGCACATCAATTAATTATTTTTCTTCTTATTTTTCTTTTCCTGCTTCTACCCCTGCATCAATAAATTTAAGCAGGCAAGATAATGAAACCCATTCATCTTATATTTTCAGTAGAATGTTGAACTCTACGGAACTCAAAATATATAAGCAAGACTGAATTCACTTTTTTTTTTTTTTTTTTTTTTTTTGAGACAGAGTCTTGCTCTGTCACCCAGGCTGGAGTGCAGTGGCGCAATCTCGGCTCACCGCAAATTCCACCTCCCAGGTTCAAGCAGTTCTCCTGCCTCAGCCTCCTGAGTAGCTAGGATTACAGGCATGTGCCACCATGCCCAGCTAGTATTTTAGTTATTATTTTTAGTAGAGATAGGGTTTCACCATGTTGGCCAGGCTGGTCTCGAACTCCTGACCTCAGGTGATCTACCCTCCTCGGCATCCCAAAGTGCTGGGATTACAGGTGTGAGCCACCATGCCCAGCCTGAATTCATTTTTGTAACAATTTTGAACAATAAGAAGTTGGAAGATGATAAAAAACCTAATCATTTAAATATCTGATCCTTGCTGGAACCCATAAATCAATTCTAGAACTCTGGACTTTCAATTCACTGAATTAGTAATTTCTTTCTTAGTGTCTGTCTTTTTAAAGATGATCACTTTATAGTCAATAATAGCACAGATCCTTTTATTTCATTTTGTAAAGGCCCAGTTTCATTAGAAGCACAGAATGTCATGTGTACAAAAGAAGAAAACATTCTGATGAAAATTTTTATTTTTAACAATCTGTTTTCCAGCTGTCCAAACAACTAGTGGCCACCAGGGCACCCGCAGTCTCCTCCCTTGTGTCCCTGAAGCTCATCAAGAGTTGCTCAACAGCCCGCAGAACCACGTGCCTGTCTCATTGTCCTTATCTTCCCATTTCAAGGTTTGAACCAACCCTTGAGTACAGTCCTTACCGAGTCAGCCCTGAGTGCCTTAGGGAAAGAAGTGAGACCGGGCATATCCCCTGGGAGGGGAAACATGTTGCAGCACATCATGACAAAAATATCAAGACAGAAGTTTATAAAATGTGCTAGGAAAATCGAAGGAAGAGGGTGGGGGTGGGAAAACTTCAGAGAAGCAGCGACAACTTGTGCTGGACCTGAAGGATGAATAAGAGCTGCCAGAGGGGACGGGCGCGGTGGCTCACATCTGTAATCTCAGCATTATGGGAGGCTGAGGTGGGAGGAATGCTTGAGCCCAGCAGGTTGAGACTGCAGTGAGCCACGACTGAGCTACTGTACTCCATCCTGGCCAAAAGAGAGAGCCCTGTGTCATAAATAAATGAATAAATAAATAAATTTTTAAAAAAATGTTTGCCAGAGGAAGAACGTGGTGGTATTCAATCCATGAAGTACAGGAGGCTTGATGCCCATCATTTTGAGGGAATTCTAAAATTTTAAGTAGTGAAAAGTGGCAGGGAATACCGTGGGATAGGGAGGAGAAACAGAAAGGAGAGCAGTGAATAGTGGTTAAAACTAGTGGCAGGTTGGGGTAGACTGGAACAGAGTGGAGATTTGATCCTGAAGGCAGTAGGAAGCCACTAGAGGTTTATAAGCAGTGCGGGTAAATGGTCCCAGTTCTGTTCAGATAACAGGGGAGCAGAAAATTGAAAAGAGGTGAGGAGACTTGGGAATGGCTAAAACACTAGCTGAGAAGCCACTGCATTAGTCCCAGGGAGAAATGACGAGGGCCCAAGACTTCATCCAATGCTGAGGCAATGGGAACAGAGAGATCCCGACAGATGTCCACATGCAGAGCACGCAGCAGGTGGTGGAGACTGATGTGTGTCAGGTGAAGGGAAAGGAACTCTAAGAAGGTACTTAATCATTTGTGAAACTGAGAGAAGAGTCAGGAAGTCAATGGAGATGTGGGGACTACAGGAGGAGAAAGAGGTTTGGGAGGGAAAGGACGGGATGAGTTTGAGGCATGCTCAGCTTAAAGTGCCTAATGGTCAGTCTAGCAGAGATGTCTGCCTAGCATTAGAGAATGGATCTGGAGCTCCAGAAAACTGATATGGGATGGATCTTGTATTCTCTCACACAAGAAGACAAAGTTCAATTTTGATTCAAGAGATCACAGAACCATTGTAATTGCAAAACAATGGAGCAATACTCCTTCTATTGATGGATAAAAGCAGGAAAGCTAATCTGGCAGCTGAAAAAGATGGCCCAGTGCCAGGTCAGACTGAGACATTTTTTGGTTTTGTTTTAGGGGTTCTTTGTGTTTTGGAGGGAATTGCAATTTTATTTCCTTGTTTGTTGTGGTCATCTAGATATTAACTGTCTCCTCCCCCTCCCAAGGATGTACTCAATTCCTAGGATCTGGTATAGACTTACTAATCACTGGTATGCATCTTTTTGTCTGCCTGGAGGCGACAAGATTGTGTTTTGTCACACTGGTTACAAGGCGAAAGGGTAAAAAGAAGGCAATTAAAAATAAAGTTATAATATAAATTGTACTGCTTCTCTCTTTGAAGGACTTCATTAGACCTATTAGGAGAGCTGTTTGATATGGTTGAGCAGGGTGTGCACTGAATATTTGTAGAAATGAATATTTATTATAAAAAATTTCAGGTAGATGGCAGAAAAATACCTTAAGGAAGGGGGCATCTTTTTCTAATTTGCACAAAGATACTGTCTGGGCTACTAGAAACTCTCCCTGCTGAAGATGGTTGGCTGCTATGAAACATAACAGCAGTAACATACAGTCATGTGTCGCTTAATGACGGGGAAACATTCTGAGAAAAGTATCGTTAGGCAACTTTATTGTGCGAACATCATAGAGTGACTTACACAAACCTAGATGGCATCATAGAGTGACTTACACAAACCTAGATGGCATAGCCTACTACACACCCAGGCTGTATGGTAGAGCCTATTGCTCCTAGGCTACAAACCTGTACAGCCTGTTACTATACTGAAAACTGTAGGCAACTGTAACATAATGCTAAGTAGTTGTTTGTCTAAACATATCTAAACACAGCATTCATGTTTCTAAACATATCTAAACATAGAAAAGGTAGAGTGAATGTGCAGTATTTGTAATCGTATGGGACCACCGTCATATATGCAGTCAGGAAATGTCATTATGTGGTACATGACTGTATATTCATTTCACCCAGGAATTAGAAGGCTGAAAGGAAACACAATCCATTTTCCAGTTGCTGGAACCACACTAAGAATATCAGCCTGGAATTCAGTCTTTAGCCAGTTTGAATTGTGAACAAATACAATTCAAGATATAATAATCAGGCTTAAAATCTTGTTGTAGTCAAGTGCAATGCTCTTCTACCAAAAGAGAATGTGTAGCATCTCCAGTTTCTGCTTATATCTTGTGGAACTGGAAAAGAAAGCCAGAAGATATCCTGACTTACTCAGTTTTTTGCTAGGATTCATACATCAATTCCTTAAGTGGAAGATGTTCTCTTACATGAATGTGTAGCATCAAGAACATCACAAGTAAGATTTTAATGTGGTTATAATTCATTCCAAAGAGAGAAATACTACTCAAATCCATTACATCTGAACTTGTTTGTTTGCTTTTTAATGTATTTATTGTCTGCTGTAAGCTCCTGAGAAGACAGAGGCTCTATCTCATTTATTGCCAAATCCTTGTTCCTAGAACAGTAGAATAGCAGATGCTCAACAAACCTTTCTCTTGTTCTGGCTAAGCAAATTTATTTAGCCTTTTAACCCAAGATTTAAAAGGATTTAGTCAGAATGAAAAGAAATCAGGAACGGGACCAATTTAAGGTTATACTGATAATCACATCGGTAAGTATGGTGAAAATTTACTGAGCAATTACTGTGTGCGAGGCCACTGTTCTGATGGCTTAAATATGTGGACCCATTGAATCCCCACATGACCCACAGAACCTCATGCAGGTTAAGAAATTTCCGCCAGTTCAGCCAGAGGGTGAGTGGCAGAGCTTGCATTGAAACTTGGGCAGCCTCACTCTACAGCCTGTGCTGTTGCCCATAACAGGCGCTTTAGCTGCTGCGTTTGCCTGAATGCTAATAGCCTTCCACTCCCTTTATTACCTTGAGACTGAGCAGTGTGGACAAATGCAGGTAGCTTTCTTGTCCTTCTTTCAAGAATGTTGGGCCAGGCGCGGTGTCTCACGCCTGTAATCCCAACACTTTGGGAGGTCGAGGTGGGTGGATCACCTGAGGTCAGGAGTTTAAGAACAGCCTGGCCAACATGGCGAAACCCCGTCTCTACTGAAAATACAAAAATTAGCCGGGCATGATGGTGGGCGCCTGTAATCCCAGCTACTTGGAAGGTGGAGGCAGAAGAATCACTTGAACCTGGGAGGCAGAAGTTGCAGTGAGCGGAGATTGCGCCACTGCACTCCAGCCTGGCCGACAGAGGGAGACTCTCTGTCTCAGGAAAAGAAAGAAAGAAAGAAAGAATGTTGTACCTGTACATTTAACTTGTTCAACAGTCATTTTCCCAATTACTCCATTTTGCTAGTGGCAAAACTCCTGATAAGCAGATGTTCTGTCCCTGGGCAGTTTCCTTTGGAAACTACTTGGTGTATGGAAGCTTCACACCCTTAGTTAGCTCAAATATGGCTCCATGCATGCATTTCGAGGCCTGAGGATCCATTTCAGCCCACCATTTTGAAAATGCTCATACAATATTAGCTTCAATGGGGACAAGGGCTTTGTTTGGTTGACGCTATAAACAAACAGTAGTTGGCACCAAGTAGACCCTCGGAAAATATGGAATGAATGAATGAAGCCATGCCCTGAGAGCCCTGAGACAATACGTGACACGTCCATACCCCACCCCCTCCAGTCAACAAGAACGAGAATGGCTATATTACTTATCTGCATTTTATTTTAGAGCAGTAACTGACTATGGAATTACAATAGTGTCTTTTTTCCATCTTCTTCAATTATATCCATAGTTAAAATATAATTAAAATTTCAACCTCACAAGATTTGGAAAGATGCAAAGTCAGTGGCTTCCTCTGAGGCCTTAGCTACCCCTTGTCCAGGGAAAATGCTGGCCTCTGGACAACTGAATCCTGACGAGAACACTTGCGCCGGTCCTCTACCTGAATTGCCAAAAGGGCCCGCAGGGAAAGGAAGGAATCACCATGTTTAGGGCGCCCTCTTCTGTTCAAAGGGCTGAAGCCCGTGGAGCCAGGGCAAGGCTTTCAGCGGATGAGCATCTTGGAGCAAACGTCAGAGAACCACATACTTTCATTCCTGGAAAGGGCTTTAGAGATGACTAGTTCAAACTACACATTACACATGGGAAACTGAGGCCCAAAGGGGTCAAATGCCTCATCCACGGTCACACAATTGGTTAAATCTCGAAAGAGGAAGAAACCGGACTCCCTGGCCCAGACCCCTCAGTAACAAGAGGAAAATGAACTCGTAACTCCAGTCTCTTATGCCTTTGTAAAAATCAAGAAAAATTAATCACAAATCTATAGTGCCAATTTCTTACGATTTATACCTTCAACTTCCTGTAATGTCACTATTCACATTTTCAATACGTTAACAAAGGTTCCCCAAGCATAGATTTCCTTAAGAATCAAAGAGAGACTTGCCTCTATTTTTTTTTTTTTTTTTTTTTTTTTTTGAGACGGCGTCTTGCTCTGTCACCCAGGCTGGAGTGCAATGGCATGATCTCAGCTCACTGCAACCTCAGCCTCCCGGGTTCAAGCCATTCTCCTGCCTCAGCCTCCCGAGTAGCTGGGACTACAGGCACCCGCCACCAGGCCCAGCTAATTTTTATACTTTTAATAGAGACAGGGTTTCACCATGTTGGCCAGGATGATCTCGATCTCTTGACCTTGTGATCCGCCCGCCTTGGCCTCCCAAAGTGCTGAGATTACAGGCGTGAGCCACTGCGCCCAGCCGACTTGCCTCTATTTAGTCCAGCCATTCCTTTCATTATTTTTCTCCACAGGCCTCATATTTGAAGGTTTTTAGTCTACCAAGCAAGCCACACTTTTAGAGTAAAAATGCATTTTCTCATTTAAAAAAGTACAGAAACAATGACCATGTATGAGACGTTACGCTACTGATATTATCAAATGAAATTTAAAATGTGAAATGCTTGAAACAGTGATTGATACATTATAAATATGCCAGAGATGTTCGCTATTATAATTCTACAATAACAATCAACAGTAGAAAGAAAAAAAGTACTTTTGTTAGTCTGTGCAGCCCTATGCAAGATTAATGTATCATTTCAATTTGATATTTTGAAATACTAAAAATAATAGTGGAGTTCAAAGGTAATTCTGGGGATACCTGGAAGCCAAAGATCCCTAGGTTGGGGCCAACTGCTGTAACCCATTAATCTCCCAGCCTGGGGTGGGGGGCTTACTCTGCCCTTACATGGGATTGTGATGCTCTCTCATCTAGTGCGTTGATGTGGGTGCCTTTGTATGAAGGGTGTGTCCTTGGCAGTCCTTCAAGCCTTCTTGCTACTCCACTAAAACAAACATATCCTATAAACAAATTCTTACAGATAGATAGCTGGAGCCTAATAAGGATGTGTTGAATGTTTGCAACTCTTTGCTAAGACCACAGGCTTCTAAAAGGAAAAGAAAAAAAAAAGCTAATTCCATTTATGTGATGTTCTAGAACAGGAATCACTAATTTGGTGACTGCCTTTGAGGCAACAGAATTGAGTTTGACTGGGAAGGGGCATGAGGAAACCTTCCAGAATGGCGGGGATATTCTCATCTCGAGAAGGGTTTGGGTTTTATGGGTGTCTGCATTTGTCAAGATTCATCGAATAGTACACTTAAGATCTGTGCATTTTGTTGTATGTTTTAAATTTAAAAAAAAAAACCATTGACAAATACTGAACTCTAATGACATGTATGCTGAACGATTTAGGGGTGAACTGATGTCTGCAACTTTGAAATGCATCAAAAAAGTGGATGAACTGATGGATGGATAGAGGGATGACAGAAAATATAACAAAAGATATATAGTAAAAAATAACTATGGCGGGCATCTGGATATTCACTGTATGATTCTCTCAACTTTTTTTTTTTTTTTTTTTTTTTGAGACAGAGTCTCACTCTGTCACCCAGGCTGGAGTGCAGTGGCACGATATTGGCTCACTGCAACCTCCGCCTCCCGGGTTCAAGCGATTCTCCTGCCTCAGCCTCGCGAGTAACTGGGATTACAGGCGCCCACCACCACGCATGGCTAATTTTTGTATATTTAGTAGAGACAGGGTTTCACCATTTTGGCCAGGCTAGTCTTGAACTCCTGAACTTGTGATCCACCCGCCTCAGCCTCCCAAAGTGCTAGGATTACAGGCGTGAGCCACCACGCCCGGCCATTCTCTCAACTTTTATATTAGAAAATTGTCACGATATGTTGGAATGAAAACAATTAAGGTAGATGTAATCATTTATTACCTTTAAACATGTTATGCCAACTTATTCAATGTTCAAGCTTCTGCTTTGTAAAAGGACATTTTTAACAGTTCTAACCAAAGAAGGCTGCAGAGTGGAAAGCTAATACCTTGGTGGTACTCTTCTCCACCAACATGGCTGGATGGTAATTACCTGTGACACATCCTTCCCTTTAGACTCTGTGCTGCTGGAGGGCAGGGAGCATGAGGCATTCATTTCATGAGCCATGTGTTTGTGGTGGGCACTTAATTAAGATGTGGTAAGAGCAGAGTTTCTGAGTCAGAAGGGTTCAGATTTGAGTTCTGCAACTTACTGGCTGCATGACCTTAGGCAACGTACTCACTAACACAGAGCTTCCATGTCCTGTCCGTAAAAAGGAAGTCATCTCCATTTGGCTGTCTGGAGGGCTCAGTGAGGTGATGTGACTAAAGCACAGTATCTGGCTCCTGAAAAGAACTTCAAAAATAGTAGCCTGTGCCTGAGACTGAGGCAGACCTGGATCTTTGGGCCCTAACAGAACTACTGGAGGACAAATTCCCAAAGGAATCACTAAATGATGGCTATTTCATTTCATCAAGACTGAGGTATCATGTCAACCCATTTCTAGGACAAAACTTCAGCTGCTGTCTTGGTCTGCTTTATCCACACCTGACCTGTCACTTACAATGTACATTCTGAGGACCAACATCTCCAAACATTGTCCTGGGGCAGGAGCATCCTCCTTACTAGAAAGCTCAGGGCCTCTGAATCAGAATCTGCATCACAACAAGATCCCCAGAATACTGAAGTTTGAGAAGCTCTGGTCTACATTAGATGGTTTTCTAATGGCTCCCTGTTGCCACTGATAATAAAGCTCTCTTGTCTTTACCAGAGCTACAAGTCATCCCTGACTCTCTTCGTCTTCCTTATTGCCCTTAATTTCTTCATTCTTTAGGATCTGCCCTCAGTGCTACTGGTTTTATTGTCATTAAAAAATATTAACGCAATGCTCAGACTTCCTCAATTATGAATATGGTAAAAAAAATTAACTTATGGACAATCTATTCTAAAAATACTAAATATATGGACACGTGGATGCAGCACTGTAGTCCTCCTTATTCACAGTTCCACTTTCTGAGGTTTCAGTTACCCAGGGGCAACCACGGTCTGAAAATAGGCGAGTACAGTACGATAAGATATTTCGGGAGACCACATCCACGCAACTTTTGTTACAGTATATTGTTATAGTTGTTCTACTTTATTATTAGTTATGAATCTCTTACTGTGCCTAATTTATAAATTAAACCATATCTTCAGTTTTTTTGTATAGCAAAAAACATATGTACAGTATGTGGGATTTGGTACTATCCAAGGTTTCAGGCAACCAGTCTTGAATGTAACCCCCCATGGATGGCAGGGGAGGGGAACTACCATATTTAAATTTTTAAAAATTGATAAGGTTTCTTTTCTCAGCTGGTAGGTTTTGTGTTGTTATGATTTTATAAGCTCAGCCACATGCAAAATCGAGTCAAGACACCTTGGCCAGGCAGGTGAGGAAGCTTATGTAGCCCCAACCTTGCCTTCTGCCACTCTGCACCCCATATTCCCTTCTCCAAGCTCTCACAGCTCTCTGCACCTCTGAATAGCTCTGGTGACACTAGGATCAGTGATTTGCCTGTCCTTCTCTCACTGCTACCTGAATACTGTATTTTCTTTCATAAAATAGCATCCTACCTGAATGCCTAGTGCTGACTGGAAAATATGGAGGGAGTGTTGGCATTGGAAATTACAGCTTTGTAACTATTAGGGTAAAAACTAGTCTAGGCAAGAATCATTAATGGATGCACAGTCTTAAATTGTCTCCTCAGAGATGGTCTTAGAAACGAAAAAAATAGTAACTGTACAAGGCAGAAATCAGGCACTACCAAATGTGATATCCCTCACACAACCCCCAAATAAAACATTCAGCTACCAAAAAGGAGGACCCTGTTCTTAAAAGACAGAAAAACAAACCCTAAGAAAAATATTCCAGGTTAAAGGATACTAGAATCATGACAACTAAACCTAATCCTAGGCTGGATCCCATACTAGAACGCAAAAAAAAAAAAAAGTTATAAAACACATTATCAAGTCAATTGTCAAATTAGAATACCGATGATAGGTTATTAAAAGTACTGCATCAGTGTTACATGTACTGCACCTGCAACTTTGTTACGTTTGAAATTATTTTCAAATAAAAGGTTTAAAATTTACAAAAAAGTATTTCTTTCTAAATTAAAAAAATAACCATTTCAATATATAAAAATAAAAATATATTTAAATATAAAAATAAACTACCCAAAGGCATGTTTCTTTAAACAGGTAAATCACGCTATCAGTAAAAAAAAAAAAGTGCAATAGAGCAGCCGGGTGCGGTGGCTCACACCTGTAATCCCAGCACTTTGGGAGGCTGAGCTGGGTCAATCACCTGAGGTCAGGAGTTTGAGACCAGCCTGGCCAACATGGTGAAACTCTGTCTCTACTAAAAACACACAAAAAAATTAGCCAGGCATGGTGGTAGGTGCCTGTAATCCCAGCTACTCGGGAGGCTGAGGCAGGAGAATTGCTTGAACCTGGGTGGCAGAGGTTGCAGTGAGCCGAGATTGTGCCATTGCACTCCAGCCTGGTCAATAAGAGCAAAACTCTGTCTCAAACAAAACAAAACAAAACAAAAAAACAAAAAAAAAAACTGCAATAGAGCTTGTGAGAAGCTGCCAGGAACAAGGTGAAATGGAACATACATTGGAGGAGAATAAGGAAGCAGCAATAATGAATCCTGGCCAACAGGTACTGAGCCCCAAATCGCTTCACAAGTATTATCACAGTTTCACTGCTTTCCAATGTATTCATTTATGCCTTTGTGTTTCTTTTTGCTATATTTTTTCAAGCTTGGGTTGAAGACTTTGTTTCCTTACCTCTTAAATTTTTTATTTCAATGATAAAGTCATTAAATACAATGGATTTGCTATGATCAGAATTTTGGTTTTCATACATAGTATTCTTGTTTTGTTTCTAATGTAAAACAAAAACTACCAAGGCTTAAGAAAAGAAGTGAAAAGGTTGAGTTACTACACACACCACTGAAAAAGTTTCACAAGTTGTTCACTGAGGGGGAAATTTCAGTGTTTTTAAATGTTAGGAGGTAGAGTTTCATTGTGGCTGTGTTCATTATGGATTAAAAACTAGCACTCTGGATAGGTCAGAATGAATCCATAGTACTGTTACATAATTGGTTTAAAAGGTTCTATTTTTCAGAGGTCAGGAAAAATTATTGAGTTACAGCCAAGTAGTTTTGCCCTACTAGGGTCACTCAAAGTTTAGAGTTCTTAACAGATATAGCTGAGGGGAGATGGCATTGCTTTATTATTTTCTAAGCAGGTGCTGCTGTAAATGGAATCTTTTCCTTTTACTGTCTCTTCTTTTGCTCTTTTCTTTGCCTAAAATGATTGGATGACCACACAAATATTAGCCAAGTTATCAGGTTTCCAGTTCTACATCTCCATGTTGTTTTTTGTATCATTCTCACATGATTTGTTTCTATCAGAGTCACTTCAATTTCTTTTTGATACAGAATCATCTGTGGTTAGAACTGATGAGTTGGTAGCTCTGCCAAAGTATTAATACCCTGTTAACAACATACTTGACAGCAGCAACAATTAGGAACAAAGACAAAAATAGTATAACTAAAATTTGCAGCGACTCCTTAAACCAACTTCCTACTTGGCCAAACCAAGCAATAAAGAAAATCCAACAGCTGAATGTATCCTTTCTGGGACAACAAATCGGCCTGTTTTCTGAACTTTATTATTCAGAAGCAGGTATTCAAATACAATCAGAAGTGACAGCCAGCACACAAATGCCACCTTGTTTGGTCCATAAATATCCCAAGGCAATGCCTTTGTATAACATCTTTGCAGCAAATGATGTAAAGCTCTTCTGCTGAGTTTGTATAGTAGACGCAGATTACACATGCAGTAATTGCCATTGTAAGGGACAGGCTTCAAGTGTATCTTACTAAATTCAGGCACTCAGAACCAAGAGAGAAACTCGCACACAAAACAATAAAAATCAGTATCTCCAACTACTCCTGAGAAGTCTGCACTTCAACAGGCACATTGATGAGAAAGAATTAAGTCATCTGAGATCTCACTAGGGAGTGTAGATACACTAAATCAAATATTGACATAAAACCATTTCTCAGGGGCAGACTCCTTCTTCTTTCCAACACTGACATTGTGTGGTAATCATACCTTGGCATGAATACCTCAAGCCAGGAAGGATATAACCAGAGTAAATTTGGTACATTCTTTAAGTGTATTTCTCAGATGGCAGGGGGCTGATGTAACAAAATATGCCTGCAGTTACAATTTAAAAGTGTACTTAATTCAACCAGCACAAGGACACCGACTAATTGAATATAAAGAGTATAATTAGTTATGTCCCATAATCATCAGAACAATGTCTTTACAGAAAAGGTAAAAGACCTTGTAGTTGAAATACTCATGTTGTATTTCCAAGAATAGTATTACCAATCACATATCTTAAAATTTTTTAACCCTTTAAACTAATTTTATTTTACTTCAAAACTGGTTACTGAATATCATTAACCTTTGAGGTATATTTCTGTGAGTTAAGCAGAAACATAAATTGACTTTTTAAATGGATGAACCTTATTAAACTTGCAGCTGATTTTTTTGTCAATATTCTAATAAAAGGAACCTCGCCAGCATTTCAGAGAAAGGGCTACAAACCCAACAACCAGTTAAAGTTCCTTATGTAACTATGGTCTTATTGATTATAACAAATTAGCTGCCTATGTGAGGATTTGTCCTAGATCTAGGATAGCCAGAGAAATAAATATAAATTTTGTGACTTACAGTAGTTATCAAATTAACGTGTTCTGCTGACCATGATGGAATAACTGGTATCAGATGATCATTCCCATTATAAATAACCATAACACTGGGGAAAGTATAAAGCAACTATTTTCAGGCCCTGGACTATAGGTTGCACAAAATTGTGATCCCTGAGAGATGGGAAATTCAGAAAATGAGTTCTACGTTTGCCCTGGCTAACTGCTTGGGGACAATTTCCTGACCATGATATGGGATGGTGGGGGAAAGACACACTAGTCTCACTGAGATGAGGAGGCAAAAAAGACTTTAGGGATGGTGAAGCAGATGACACTGGTAGGGTAGGTCTCAGAAAGGAGGCAGCTGTGCAAAGAGGGGAAAGCCCACCTCAGCTGAAGTTGAGCTTTGCTTGTGCAGGGTAAATATGCAATGATTACCAGAAAACAGCTGCTTGAGAGAAGAATGGAAATACTAGAAGTTTAGCAGGGCTGGCGAGTGTAGGCATTCCAGCCCAATCAGAATAAACAAACCTCATTAACACCTCAATCATTCAGCTGAGAAACCAGAGAGGCCATGCCATAAAATAAGGACCACATCTTATAGTAAGGTCTTCTCAAGATATGCTCTAACTGGAACTAAATTAAGGACGTAAAAATATCTGCATGGGTTAAAGAACTTGGAGTTTGAGTCCTGCAAGTTAGAGGAGCCTGGTAAACACTTTGACCTTTCAAAGATCTATCCTAACAAAGAATAAAATGAAGCCTGCACAAGTTCAAAACATTCATCCAGTAATTAAACTGCCTACAGGTAAAAAAAGCACTTTCAGACTAACGTAAGAGAATTTAGAATCATGCCACAAAAAATGTCCTGCATAAAAAAACTTTAAAATTACTAGACATGCAAAAAAACAGGAAGTGTGACCCACTGTTAAGAAAAAAAGGCAGTCACAGAAATAGATCCTGAGATGGTCCAGAGGTTTCAGCACACAGACTTTACAGAAACTAGCATAAACATATTAAAGAAAAATACACACATCACAAAGAAACAAATGGGGGTGGAAATCTCAGTGGAAATTATTTTAAAAAGAAACAAGTGGGAATTCTAGAACTAAAAATGTAACAAATAAAAATTTAAAATTTGCTAGATGGGCTTAAAAGATTGAAGATGGCAAAAGGAAGTTTCAGTGAACCTGAAGACAGGTCAATAGAAACCAATCTGGCAAACAGAAAAACATACTGAGGAAAATTGGATAGAGCTTCGGGAACAATATCAAATGGTCTAACATACGTGTAAGTGGAGACTCAAAAGGAGAAGAAATTGAGAAAGAATTATCCAAAATGAGAAGAAACTGAGAATTATTTAAAGATAATGATGGCTAAAGTTCCTAAATTTAATGAAAAACAATAGCTGACAGGTTAGAGAATCTCAATAAACCTCAAACTGGATTAATACCAAACAACAACAAATGATTTAGACACATGAATGTCAAACTGCTGAAAACCAAAGACAAAGCAAATTCTCAAGAGCGGTGTGTGTGCGTGCACACACACACACCCCTATCTACCCATTCTCAACTATACCAAAACAAACAAACAAACAAAAAAACCTGACCTTCCCTGGGGAAATATGAATAACCTGTCTTTATTTTCAAGTTCAAAAGGCAAAAGTCAGCTATATCTGGCAGCTGCTCCATGCACTGCCTTACCTGCATGAGGGATTTAAGCTGCTCAGTGGGTCAGATTTTAAGCTGGAAGAGAAGCCATTATCACCCAGTGAGACCAGATTGCTATAGTTTTCCAGCACCATCTCCCAGTATAGGTCCTTCTGAGCAGGACTCCACAGGCTTCATACCTCTTAGATGAAATCCACAGCCACAACCTTGAATATTATGAAAAACCATTATGCCAAACACAGCTCCGCTCACTCTGTTGACATGTGTGCCCATGTTGAAAACAAGGGAGCAAGAGGGCTGCCTTGGGGAAGATAGGTAAAATATCTAGGTCCTGCTTTTGACTGTAACTCTGGAGCTTGGATTCCAAGACCATTAACCCTATTCACTATCCAACCAGCATCACTTGCTGTGATCCTAGTCTGGCTATTATGGGCTTTACAAATGAAAACACAATTCCTAACCTTGAGGTGTTTTACATTTAATAGATAACATATTAAAAGAAAATATAAGTATAGAATCATGGTCTTTCTGAGATTTAGGAATTTGGAGATTCTTTAATCTAGCTGCTTATATTCAATTTAAAGATCTGAGCCCCTGATTGGTTTAAAGCCTTGTTACCCAGTCTGGTCTGAAGACAAGCAGTACCAGCATCATCTGGAAGCTTATTAGAAATGCTGATGCTTGGGCTCCATCAGGCATTCTGATTCAGAATTTGCTGCTTACAAGATCCCAAGTGACATGTATGCATGTTTTTGAGAGCGCTGGGTTAAATGATCTACCGAGGTATATGGTTCAGAAATAGCAACAACCAATAACTAAACTTCTGATTTTCCAAAACAAGATCTCTCTTCTACATTATTACACAACATCTTCCCTTCTCAAGAGGAAAACAGCTCTGTTATGAATAATGGATGCCCAGGCTCCACTGCAAACTCATTTCTTGGGGTGGTGTTCAGGCATTGTATTTTTAAAAGCTTCCAAGTACAGCCAGGGTTAGAAGAGTCTCAAGTAGTCACTATAGTATAGTGATCAGGGAAGGTTTCACGAAAGAGAGCTAGGTATTTGGTCTTGAAGGACCAGATGGATTCAGAGGAGCTAAGGGTATTCCAGATGAGGTATGGCATGGAGTGGGTGGGAAATGCCAGGAGAAAAAGAGGACATGGCAGCAAAGAGTGTTTTAGAAAGCAGGCAATCCAGATTTCTAGATGGAAACTCCTAATTATTAAATGCTGAGGTCTGTCAAAGATGAAACTGGAGGCTGGACACACCAAATATCTGTATGACAGAGCTGTACATCTAGACGGTGGACATCTAGCATCCCTGTCTATATGCAAGTCAGCTGGCTGCAAGACCACGTGCTGCTGAAAATCTCACTGTGGTCATGACAGTCCACCCAGTGGCTCAGACCCTGAGATTCTGTTCACACTTCCTACACTCTTCCTTACTCGTCTGTGTTCTTCCAACTCCTCATCTTGCCTAATTCCTCAGGCAGCACCTCATCCTGTAAGTCTTCATTTCCAGGCTTAAGAGATGTCAGCCATCTGTGTCTTTATTGTACAGCCAGCACAAGTGAACACTTGAACACAGGCATCCCTGCATTGTTGTTCTGAACCTTTATGTGTATTAACAACTAATTTCTTGGTGATGACTGACTCATGAGGCAGAGAATGATGTTGAGGGATGAATCCAATTGACACTGGACATGTCTCCGGAGCCAGGACTGAACTGAATTCACAATAAATAATGTAGCCTCGGGGTACCAGAAGGGAATGGATTCACCCTCTGAGAGCTACAAAAGAATTTTAGGAAATTCTCATCTCCCTGGCCCTTCAGACAGTGGTCATTTTCTTGGTCTTCCAAGAGAATGACAAAGTTTCAGAAAGCCTATCTGAGGAAGGTGAAGGGCAGTGAGAGGGTGCACGGGTGGAAAAGCCCTCTCAAGAGTGACGTGGGCCTTCCCCTCGAGCTCCCCAGATGGGGCGTCCCAGATGGCACCAGCGCAATCTTGTTCTCAACCAGGATCCCGGACAAAGACCTAGAGATCCAAGCCGACGGCAGGCCAAGCTCTGGCCCGAGACTGAGGCTTCTGCTTCTCAGGAGATGAGAGTTTAACAATAACTTCGTGGATTTCAAAAAGAAGAAAAAGGTCTCAGGGCACCGGAAAAGGTGTATTCGGGTTGAGGGCGTGGGCTCAGAATCGGGTCTACCTCGTACGGGATGTGAGACTTCAGGCAGACTGCTCGGCCTTTTCAAGGCTTTAAATGGAGCTAAAGGGTATACGACATGACGTTCGCCCGGTGTTTAGGAATATGGGGCGTGACTTTCCAAGCAGGCGGCTGGAGCCAGGGAGACCACAGGCCGCTGCAACACAAACCAGCACCTGAACAAGCTTGGTCAGCCAGCGGTACACCTCCGCCAACCCCAGAAGCCGAACAGATGCGCCCCGAAACGTCATTTCCGCGCGCCAAGGGGCGGGGCCGGTACCGGGTGCGGAAGTCGCTCCAGGGGTCACTGGGAAGTGTAGTTTTCGAGACAGAGGCGCTCAGAAGGAGGGTCACAGTAGGGCCAGGCACTCTTCTCGGGAGCTCCTACGTGTTTTATGCACGTGGTTAAGAAAAAAGAGGGAGAATTCAGGTGCCACAGTGGCCATTCTCCGGTGACCGGAGCGTGTTACTCAGAAACGGATCCGTCAGAGGCCAATGGGAGCTGCCGGCCTTCAGGGCGCGCCTGGTGGCGCCGAGCATCCTGGGAGGTGTGGTCCGGGCGCTGTGCCGAGGATTCGGGGTAGTGTAGTCCTGGCGCCCCGCTGGAGGAGCTCCCCAGCTGGTGGCTGGAGCGACCCCTTGTTCTTTGGTGGCGCTGGTGAGTGAGGCTCCCGCGGGACCCTTGCCGCAGCCGTACCCTTTTCTGCGCGAAAAGGAAGGTCCCGAAAGGCTGGACTATGGGCTGAATTTGGGGACCGTGCGGGTGGCGCGGGGGTGGTGATTGTGGTGGGAACGCGCTGGCGTGGCGCAGGCCGTCCTCTCCCAGATGTCTTATTTTGGGGGTGTGGGCGTGCATCTCCAGGGGAGTTGGGTGAAGCCCATCCGTGAAACTGGATGGTGATGAGTGGGGGATCGGGCTCTCTCTCCTAGGGTTCTTGTGGGTGGGGACAGGTTCGGCTTTGGCTGAAGTCGGGTATTGGGAAAGGGAGTCGCTGATGCCATAAGTCCCCGGTTTTGGGGGAGTTGAATAAATAAGCTTTTTGGGGGAATGGTATTTCCCAGGTGGTGGAATGGGAACCATCCCTGGGGCCATGTGTCCCCGAGGCATTGGTCGGTTGAGGGCTAGTCTCTTGGGGCCACACTATTCTTCGGCTTTGCTGGAGTGGAATGAGGAGCGGTCTGGCTTGACCAAACAAGCCAAGGTTAGACTGGATCTGGGGTGGCCATTTTGCCGCGATCTTAGGGTTTCACTTTGGTTGGTCACCCCCGGGTTCGGGCGTTGGAGGAGGAAGTCTGGCTGGGACGCACAGGACAGGTTTTTTCCAAAGGTCCCAGGGACCGTCATTGATCGCAAGAATTACGGATTCCCAGGCCCCTGGTGTGGCCAGGCTTTGGGATTTTACATTCCATTTAAGTTTTTATTGCGGAGAAATTTCAAACAGCCAGAAGTAGATAGAACTCTATAGACCAGATCTCCATCACCCAGATTCAACACTTAAAACCTTATGACCAATCTTGATTCATCTCAGAATGGACACAGAGAATCCTTGCAATCCAGAGTTCACCGTCACTGCCCTTACTGTGTAAGAGCACGGTCTCCACAGCCACATTTCCTCTAGGCTCTGTCACTTTATAGCTGTGTCACCTTGGGCAAGATGCTGACTTCACTGTACCTCAGTTTCCTCGATTTTATCCTAAAGAGGATAATAGCATCTATCGTATTGGGTTGTTGAAAGGATAGAATGAGGTGAAACTCCTACAGTGGCTGTAACAGTCTCTGGTGTATACTAAGTGTTCAGTGAATATTACCTTTCATTAATAACAGGCACAGAGAAGGTCGCTTCATGCTCAGCGTCAACAGCATATCAGGGCAGGTCGTGCTTTCAACCTGTACCCCAGCTGTGTTCCCAGGAAGCTGCCCGCAGTTCTTTTCTCCTTTTCTTCTGTGGCAGGTTCATTCCTGATGCTGTTAAGGAATAGGAGGTACTGCCCTGCTGGAGAGGATTTCCCTTGATTTTCTTGAACGCTTTTTGTTCTTGTTCTGCCTCCCTGTGGCTCCTGTCTGCCCAGAGAGGACTGCCTGCTGGGGAAAGGGGGTACTCCTGAGCTCCTGACAGCCCAGCTTCAGGTGGGTGCCACTTACCTTTTGCATTTCGAACCATGAGTGGGTTTCTTTTGCTCAGCTTTGACGTCTGTGTTCTACAATGTCCCATCCAGGGATCAGGGCCCCAGCTGGTTCCTTCAGGAAACTAGGCTTGTTTTAAGAGTGATCATTTTCACAGGGAATATTTTTCAGAGCTGATGCTCTCATTCATTACACCTATATTCTTCCCCTACATTCCTTCTTTCAGTATTTGTTCAGACTGCTCATTCCCAGGGCTTGTCAGGTCCTGTGAAGTTGTTAACATTCTGTTCTTCTGTCTTCCAATACTCTCACTTACTCTTTTCCCTGCTAGAGTTTTGGCAGCAAATCCCAGTTATATCATTTCACCTGGGAACACTTCAGGAGGCATCTCTAACACATAAGGACTTCTTTTTTTAACATAACCACAATTTCATTGTTATACAGTTACATTGTTACAATTATATTTTGTTATACCCAACAAAATTAATAACTTATTAATATCATTTAATATCTAGCCCATATTGTTTTCCCCCATTGTTAAAAAAAAAATCTTTTTTTTCCACCAGTCAGAACAGCCCTGGTCAGAGGCAGGAGAGGGAAAAGTATCTGGAAACAGCATCCCAGTTTTCCCTATCTCTGCCTCATTTCTCCTCCTATTTCTTCTGATCTTGCTGATCTGTGTTGACAGCCTTATAACTTGATATAAGCTGGACCTCTGAGTTTTCCTTGCATCCTTGTTTCCAAACTTACTTCCCATTAGAAGTTGTGTCCTCCTGGCCGGGCACAGTGGCTCACACCTGTAATCAGCACTTTGGGGGGCCAGAGCGGGCAGATCACCTGAGGTCAGGAGTTCGAGACCAGCCTGGCCAACATGGTGAAACCCCATCTCTACTAAAAATACAAAAATTAGCCAGGCGTGGTGGCACACACCAATAATCCCAGCTATTCAGGAGGCTGAGGCAGGAGAATCTGTCGCCTGGGCAACAGAGCAAGACTCCACCTCAAAACAAAACAAAAGTTGTATCCTCCTATTCCACCTGTGCATTCTTCTCGATTCCTTTTCTTTCCCTTTGTCTCCATTTCTGCACTGCCCTAGCTTCCTGTCTCTTCTTCACCTTCTTGCCTTGTCTTTCCTCCCATTTAGAGCTGAACTCCTTGAAAGAATTATCTATGTTTGTTGTCTGCGTTGCTATCCTTCTGTTATGTTTCGAATATTTTAGTAAGGCTTTTTCAAGTGACACCAAAAAATATTCTTGTCAGGGTTACCAATGGTCTCCTTGACTAAAGGCCACAATCAGTTCTCAGCAACATTTGATGTAATTGTTTACATCCTCCTTCTTAATATATCCTTTCACACAGTTGCTCTTGGTACTAGGTCTTCCTGGTTTTCCTCCTAACTCATAGCCTGCTCCTCCTCTGTCTCCTTTACTGGCTCTTCCTTCCCTCCCAAATTTCCACCGTGGAAAAGGCCCTGCTTCAGTTCTTAGACCTCCTGTCTTCTTCAGCTATACTGTCTCCTTGGTTCTCCCGTTCATTCTCAAGGCTTTAAATGCCATCTGTCTGAGGCTCAGCCTAGAGCTCTGTGTGCAACTCACATCCTGGTCCCCTACTGTCTCCTTCTTCACATTTCCAGTTGGATTTTTTTTTTTTTTTTTAGTGAGACAGGAGTCTCGCTCTATCGCCCAGGCTGGAGTGCAGTGGCACAATCTCGGCTTACTGCAACCTCCACTGCCCATCTTCAAGTGATTCTCATGCCTCAGCCTCCTGAGTATCTGGTCTACAGGTGTGTGCCACCCCACTTGGATATCTTATGGGCATCCCAAAACTAATGTGTGCAACAAGAAACTCTGATTACCTTCCCTGAACATGTTCCACCCCAGTGGTATATAGACCATCCTTTCAAGAGTTTATCTTGGAGCAGAAGCATTTCAGCTCTTTCCTTCAGATTGCTTGGAGTCATCAAGGAGTCATCCTTGATCCTGTCTTGCTCTTATACCCTCATCCACACTACGGAAATCTGGACTCCGACAGTTTCCATGCCCTGCTGTTTCCACCATGGTCCAGGCCACCGTCTCATCTGGACGATCATAGCCTTTCAGTGATCTCTTTGTTTCTGCCTATGTCCCGCTAAGGTACATGAATCAGTGGAGCAAATAGAAGGAGATTTTAAATGTAAATCGAATCATGTCATGTGTTTGCTCAAAATCTTCCAGTGGCTTCTCATCCTAACCAAAGTCAAAACCAGTATCCTACAAAGCTAGGTCTGATGTCCCTACATTTACTCTTGGCCTTCATCTGTACCACACTATCTCAGTCACTCCACACCAGCCACAGTGAACTGTCCGTCCCTTGGCCATGCCAGCCTGATTCTTCCTTGCATCAGGGCCTTTGCACTGACTGTTCTCTTGCCCTAGATGTTCTTTTCAAAGTTATTCCCTGGGCTCTTCACATCCTTGAGATTTTTACTCAGTCACCTCAGAGATGCCTTCCCAAATCACCCTATCTAAAATTCTAAAACCTCACCCCACTTCTGT
Source organism: Homo sapiens (assembly GCF_000001405.40). Classification (NCBI taxonomy): domain Eukaryota; kingdom Metazoa; phylum Chordata; class Mammalia; order Primates; family Hominidae; genus Homo; species Homo sapiens. The sequence continues at coordinate 18,292,606 of NC_000020.11, forward strand.
GACTATCCTTTCTCCTTCCCTGCTTTATTTCTCTTCATGCCACTCATCACTTTCTGATACAGTGTGTATTTTATTTATTCATGTAATTGGCCCATCTTTCTCCTCTAGACTTTCATGTCAGTGAGGGTAGATTTTTGTCTTTGTTCACTTCTGTATCCCCAGGGTTTAAAATAGTGCCTATCACACAGTAGGAGCATAATAAATACTTGCCAAATGAAGGCATAATCCATAGGAGTAATGGATGAGGCAGACTAGGATGTTGGGAAATGGTCTACAGAGACTGGCAGGAGGCTTTTGCCATTGTCCTGGTGCTCCAACTGGTGTAGGGGTGGGGAGGAATTGAGAGAGTTGGCAGAGGTGGAATCCATTTGCCTTGATAATTGGTTTGATATGGAAGGTAGAGAGAAGTAGTCATGGGACTGAGTAAGTGCCATGGATGACAGGAAGATGCTTCTGTTATCAGGTAAGCTGAAAGAGAGAGGGCGCAGTATGTCAATAACCAGCAAGGGTTCTGGTTATTGACTGCTACACAACAAACCACTCTAAAACTGAGTGGCTTAGGAGAGCAACTATGTTTTAATCTCCCACAGTTCTTTGGGTTTACCCAAAGCGGATGTGATCAGCTGAGATGTGAGTGATGCATCTTGCTATGGCTGCAGTCATTTGGGGACTCATTTGGGTTGGAACATGCAAGATGGTTCCGTCACACATTTGACATATTTTCGTGGGTTCCATCACATATTTTCGTGGGTTGGCTGGAAGGCTGGGGTCAGCTGGGACAGCAGGCCTCACTCTCTCCAGGTAGTGTAAGGGCTTCCAGCAGGATTGAACTCGTTACGTGGTACGTTAGAGCTCCCAAGAGTGAAAGCTGTCTGGCCTTCTTAGGACTTAAGCCTGTAACTGGCACAGTGTCACTTGTGTCAAATTTATTGGTTAAAGCAGGAACAAGGCCAAAATGGAAGAGCTCCCAATGTTTAAAGCTGGAATAATTATAACAGCAATATAAACAGTGATACTATTGTGTTATAACCCATAGGATAAGATATAAATCCATACTGATATAAATAAATAACTGAATATAAATAAATGGGGAGACAGAACAGCTCTGACAGAGGAATTCTAATTAATGGATTTAGAATGAAAGGGGGAAAAAGCTGGAATAATTTTAACAGCAAAATAAACAGTGATACTATTGTATTATAACCCATAGGATAAGATATAAATCCATATTGATATAAGTAAATAACTGGATACAAATAAATGGGGAGACAGAACAGCTTTGACAGAAGAATTCTAATTAATGGATTTAGAATGAAAGGGGGAAAAAGAACTTTGTCATTTGGTAAACAGCACAGTAATAACTATTGCAGATAGGTTCCACAGATATATGCTAAAATTAGTGGCTGAAAGTTTGAAGAGAAATAGGATATTTGTATAATCTCAAAGTATCTCCCTCAAGATATTTATTAATTATAAAGGGAAATGTAGTGACTTTACAATGGAGAAGCTCAGAAGACACCCCCTTAACCAAGTGATCAAGATCAAGGTTAATATCGCCAGTAAAAAGACATAACAATATCATGAACTCATTGATATGTTGAAGGACACAGCATCACATCTGAGGTATTCTAACCAGAAGTGAAAAACTCGTTCTAATCATGAAAAAACATCGGACAAACCAAAACTGAGGGATACCCTTCAAAAGCGCCAAGTTCGTGAAAGATGAGAAAAGACAGAGGATCTGTCACAGATTGGAGGAGGTTAAAGATCCATGACAACTAAAGGCAATGTGGAAACCTCAGTTGGATCCTGGACCAGAAAAAGTACATTGGTGGAAAAACTGGCAAAATTTAATTAAAGTCTGTAGTTTATAGTATTGTGTCAATGTTAATTTCCTGCTTTTGATGATTGTACTATCATTTTCTAAGATGTTAACATTAGAGAAAGCTGGGTGGAAGGTATGGGAATTGATATTTGTGCAACTTCCTTGTAAGTCTAAAATTTGTTACAAAATAAAAAGTTTTAAAAATCCATCAATTCTATATTCTTGAGTTTTTGTTTTGTTTTTTGAAGAAGGGGTGTTGAGTTTTGGTAAAGAGTATCTTACATGTAGAGAGGCAATCATGACTTCTCCTTACATCTATTATTGTGGTGTATTATAATAAAAGATCCCCTAAAATTGAACCAGTCTTGCAATCCTGGGTAAATTTTTCTTTGCCATGGTGAAATATTTTGTTATTGCGATGTTGGAGTCTTTTTGCTAACATTTTAATTCGAATTTTGCTTCAATATTTGTAAGTGACAATTAGTCTATAATTTTCTGTTTTTGAACTGTCATCAAGTTAAGGTCCTCATGGTATCCTTGCTTTATAAAATGAATGAGAACTTTTCCCTTTAGTTTTCAATGCTTTGGGACAGTATTTGGAGCATAAGGACTACCTGGTTTGAAGGTTTGATAGAATTTCCTTGTGACCATCTGGAGTTAATTTTGAGAGTTATTCACTTCATCTAGGTCTACACGTTTATTTATATAAAGGTCTGCAAAGTAGTCTTACATGACTTTTAAGAAGATGTTTTTTGGTGACTTTGCCTTTCTTATTTCTTATTTTGAGAGCTTGTTGGGAGGTTCTAGCAGGGGAGCACAGCTACTCGTATACCCTTGACCGAAGACTGGTCCTCCCCTATGTGGGATGGTCATCCTCCTTGACTGAGTGTGCAGCTTCCGGAGGGATGCACATGGAGCAATGAGGGAGGAAGAGGATACCCACCTAGCCAGCCAGATCAGCTGGATCAACACTGGTGATCAATGTGGTGACAGATGTCGCATCCAGATCGCCCTCACATCCATGTCACTTCTTAGTTGAATATTTATGCTTTCTCTCTTTCAGTTAGCTAGTGTTTGTCTACTTTTTTTGACAAAGTAGGATTTGGCTCATTAGATCTACTGCTTTCTGTTCATTAATTTATGCTTTCATCTTTATTAATTCCTGTCTTTGTGCTTTCTTTTGGGTTACTTTATTTTATTAGCTTTTTGAGCTTGGAATTTAATTAATTAATTTATTTATTTTTTGAGGCAGGGTCTCACTCTCTCACCTAGACTGGAGTGCAGTGATGCAGTCAGGCTCGCTGCAGCCTCAACCTCCCAGGTTCAAGTGATGCTCCCTCCTCAGCCTCCTGAGTAGCTGGGACCATACGGGTGTGTGTATGCACCAAATCTGGCTATTTTTTAAAATTTTTTTGTAGAGATGAGGTCTCACCATGTTGCCCAGGCTGGATTTTTTTCTTTCCTTTTTATTTGTAAAAGTACTTAAGGCTATAGTTTCCCTTACCTCACTGTGTTAAATAAATCCTGTATATACGTAGTGTTTTTTATTACTGTTATTTTTAAGTAGTTCTATAATTTCATTTTGTGTATTCCCTTTAATTCCTGCCTATTGCCTATGATATGATCAGCAACCTTTTTCTACTTTCTTCTTCTCCTGTGTCTTCTATTTGAGTGGCATTTCTACCTTATCAGGACACAATGCCCTATAACATTAGCACATGTTTTCCTCCTCTTTCTTCTCCCCCTTTTAGTTCTAAGTTTACAATTATGTATATTAAATGCTCATCATCAGTCTTTTTGCTAAATTTCCCCTATCCTGTCTTGCTTTGAATGATGATTTTTGGCCAGACCTTTTTTTTTGGTGGTAAATATGCATAACATAAAATTTACCATTTTAACATGTTTGAGTCAATGGCATGAAGTACATTCATATTGTTGTACAACCATCACCACTATCTATCTCCAGAAATATTTTCATCTTCCCAAACTGAAACTCCATACCCGTTAAACAATACCTCCCTATTCTCCCTTACCCCAACCACCTCTCCTCAACCACCATTTGACTATTCTAGGTACCTCATATAAATGGAATCTTACTGTCCTTTTACTTCTGGCTTATTTCACTTAGCACAATGTCTTCTAGGTTCATGTTGTAGCATGTGTCAATTTCCTTCCATTTTAAGTCTGAATACTATTCCATTGTATGTACGTATCACTTTGTTATTCATTCATCCATTGTAAGCAACGCTTGGGTTGCTTACACCTTTTGGCTATTGTGAACAATGCTGGTATGAACATGAGCGCACAAGTATCTGTTCGAGTTCTTCCCTTCAGTTCTTTTGCGTATATAGCCAGAAGTCGAATTGGTGAATCACATAATAATTGTATTTTAAATTTTTTGAGAAACCACCATACTGGTTTGAGGGTATACCACATTTTACATTCCCACCAGCAGTATGCAGTGGTTGAATGATAATTTCAAAAACTCTGGTAGAACTCATGTTTTTTGTTTAGAGTCACTTTGGATTCCTGTTGTTGTTCTTTAAAGTCTAATAGTTTTTCTAGTGCATGTCTTAGAGTTGGTGGTTATGAGTCAACTTTTCCCTCATATCCCATAGGCCCTTTCATATTTAGATTCAGGTAATTGTTTTTAAAATGTTTTCTTACATTATACTTTTAAATATTTCCGTTGTTTTGGTATCTAGGAACTAATTATATGAATATTACTTCTTTGTCTGTTTTCCTTTCCAGCTTCTTTCTCTCTGATCCTTTTTACTTCTTATTTCACTTCATTCTCTTGTTTTCTGGCTATTACTAAGTGCTCGTCATGTTTTCATTTCAATCTATTCCTCCTTGAGTGTCTTATAAGTTTGTCTTCATTTATCATATAATATTGTCTTTTTCTTTGATTTCTTTCAAAAGTTTGTTGAAATCTTTTTGTTTCTTTACTTTTTTTGTCCATTTCTATTCTTAGTTTTTGAATTTTTAATTTATGATCTCATATTTGGGGTATATCTCATATCCCAAAATGTTTGTTTGAAGATATTTAATGTAGCTTAATGTTACGGTTTTTTAAATTTTTTTTCTGTCTCACCATTTTTTTTTTGGTGGAATTTTCTTTAGTTGAATTGTTTGGATTCTCATTTTCATTTTTTTTAATAGACTACAACTGTTTGCGTGTCTGCATTTCTGTAAACAGAACTGTCAGATTCTAGTGTTTTTGAGATTTCCCTAGTTCAGGAAAATGCTTCTGGCAGTGTAGCAAAGTACAGTTTCTTTACTGGATTGCAGGGGAAGGAGAGGTGGTGCATCCTTTGGGGTTTCTTTGTTGTTGTTTTTTGTTTTTCTCTTTTGTTTTGGAAGACCCTGGATTACTCTCTCTTGCTTGTTTTTCCTTTTCCTTTGCTGTTTCCAAGCAGTATCTTTTCCTTGCTTTATACTTTCCCCATTATGCCACTGCGCCCCCAGTTGTGGGGTTAAAGAGCAGGCCCTGCTTCACTCATGGGGAGAGCATTTCTACCTGACACCCTCCCATTTCTGTTTTCCTTACCCAGATCTACCTTCTGAGATATCATCCTTCTTCAGGGAGATAAGGAAAAAAAGCCACAGGGTCCCGGAGAGCCAGGGGAATGGTGAGTGTTTCCTGTCTCCATTACTGGCTGTAACAGGATGGACACATTCCCTTCTCTTACCCTGACTGCCTTATTGGTGCCTAGTAGAGTTCAGCTCCAATTCCTCTTACTTGCTCCCCTGCCTCAGCATCACTTTCTGCAAAACCCATGACACAGTTATTCACCTAGTAAACTGAACAACACACAATTCTACAGTATGAGATAGAGTCTGCATTTCTTTGTTCAGCTTCAAAAGTTCTGCTGCCTGAGAGTAACGTCACAGTAATGGAACGGGAAGATTCTGGAATCTGTGTCCCCACCTAGACAACGATTATACTGGCAGGATCTATCAGGTGTACCTATTTTGGAACTCTGGAGTCTAGTTGAAGGCCTCCAGTTCCCAGGGGGAAGGAAGCATGGAGGGTAAGTCACAGCTAATTTTAGCTCTTAGTATAGTAGCAGCTACCTGTCATCCACCCTGCCAGCCCTATGGCAGGTAGCTGTCCTATATTCCTAGATCAGCTTCTGCATGGCTTGTGGGAGACATGGTGGACAATAAGGACCCTTTACTCCAAATATTGAGGATCTGTGTTCTGATTGTTAATTGCTGTTTCTGATCACAGAGGTGGTCCACTTAAATCCCCTGAAAGCTACTTCAGCCAATTGCAACCCCCCACTGGCTAAAGTGGCTTTTAGGGGATTTAAGGAGCCAGAGTCTGTTTTCCCCCACTGAAGTTCTCTTTTTCCCCTTTGAGAGCGAAATATTTGAGGACTAGTATATTGAAAAGCAACTGCATATGGGGGAATGTAGAAGGTATACCCATGGAAAGGCACAGGCTCAGAAAACACCTGAGAAGACCTTAAGCTTACACCTCAGGCTGATTCTTAGCATGGAGACACCCTACATCAATATTAAAAACAAAACAAAACAAAACAAAAAAACAAAAGGGAGACTCTAACAGAGTTGCTGCTTTATAAGATTTAAATGTCCAGTTTTTGACAAAAATCATAAGGCATACAAAGAATGAGGAAAATATGACCCATTCAAAGGGGAAAAAAAATGAATAAACTGAAAACATCCCTGACAAAGGCCAGATAGTGTACTTACTAAACAAAGACTTTAAAACAGCCATCTTAAAGAGCTAAAGGAAGATGTGGAGAAAGTCAAGAAAATAATGTAAGAACAACATGGAAATATCAATAAACAGACAGAAAACATAAAAATAAACCAAAAATAAATTTTGGATTTAAAAAGTACAACTGAAAAGAAAAGTTCATTAGAGGGATTCAGAAGTAGATTTGAGCAGACGGAAGAATCAGCAAACCAGGAGATAGGACAATTATCAAGTCTGAGGGACACAGACAAAAAGATTAAAGAAAAGTGAACAGAGCCTAAGGGAACTATGGGATACTATCAAGTGGATCAACTATGCCTTATGGGATTCCCAGGAGAAGACAAAAAAGGGACAGAGAGATTGTTTGAAGAAATAATGGCTGACAACTTCCCAAGTTTGATGAAAGACTTGAATATAAACATCCAAGCAGCTCAATGAACTATAAGTAGGAAAACCTCAAAAGGACTCACACTGAGAAACAATGTAATCAAAGCATCAAAAGCCAAAGGTAACAGAGGGATTTTTGAAAGCAGCAAGAGAAAAGCAACACTACGTACAAGGGATCCTCAATAAGATTATTAGCAAATTTCTTACGAAAAACCTCTCGGGCCAGACGTCAGTGGGTTGATATATTTGAAGTGCTAAAAGAAAACGAACAAACAAAAAAGCCTGCCAATCAAAAATTCTGTATCTGGCAAAACTGCCCTTCATTACTGAGGCAGAAATTAAGACATTCTCGATAAGTTGGTGGAGATTACAACCACTAGACCTACCCTACAAGAAATATTAACAAGAGTCTTTCAGGTTGAAATAAAAGGACTTTAGACAGTTACATGAAGCCATATAAAAAAATTAAGTTCTCCATTAAAGGTTAATACACAGGTAGTAATATAAGCTAGTATTACTGTAACTGTGCTTTGTAACTTCACTTTTTGTTCTCTATATGAGACTTAGGAGACTACTGCATTTAAAAAAAAATAGTCTATGTTTTTGACCACACAGTGCATAAAGATGTAATTTTGTGACATCAGTAATGAGTTGGAGATGGAGCTGTATAGGAACACAGTTTTTATATGCTATTGAAGTTAAGCTGATGAGTTCAAATTCAGTTTTTAAAGTTTAGGACATTAAGTGTAATCCCCTTGGTTACCACAAAGAAAATATCTGTAGGATGTAGAGAAAAGCAAGTGAGATGGGAATTTAAAAGTTGCATTGAAAAAATCAACCAAAGACAAAAAAAGGACAGTAATACAGGAAATTAAGAATAAAAATCTGCAAGACATGTAGAAAACAAAAAGCAAAATAGCAGAAATCAGTCCCTCCTTATCAGTAATTATTTTATATGTAAATGCTTTAAACTCTAAAACAATTTGGCATAGTGGATTTAAAAAAACATGATCTAACTATATGCTGTCTACAAGAAACTCACTTTATATCCAAAGGCACAAATAGTTTCAGAAGAATGGAAAAAGACGTTTCATGCAAATAGAAACCAAAGAAAGTAGGAGTGGCTACATTAATACCAGAAAAAATAGACTTTAAATTGAAAAAGGTTACAAGAGATAAGGAAGACATTAATACAAAAGGTTTACTACAGCAAGAAGATATAGAAATTATACACATATACCTCATAACAGACCCTTTAAATATATAAAGAAAAATGGGCAGCATTATAGGGAGTAGAGTTTTATAATAATAATTGGAGATTTCAGTACCCCACTCTAAATAATGGATAGAACAATAAGAAAGACAATAAGTAAAAAAATAGAAGACTTGAACAAGGTGTAAATCCAATAGATATAATAGACATATTCCGAACATTGTACCCAACAAAAATAGAATACACGTTCTTCTCAAGTACACATGGGACATTTTGCAGGATAGACTAAATGTTAGGCCACAAATTAAGACTGATATCATAAGAAGTATCTTCTACCACAACAAGATGAAGATTGAAACCAATAACTGAAAGAAAATTTAAAAATTCACAAATACGTGAAAATTAAAGAACATACTCTTAAACCAGTAGGTAGAGGAATAAACTACAAGGGAAATTAGACCATACTTTGAGTCAAGTGAGAAAGAAACACAACATAGGAAAACTTATGAGATGAAGTAAAGTGCTAGGCAGGAAATTTTTAGCTGAAATACATTAGAAAGCAAAATCTCCAAGGAACAACCTAATTTTACAACTTAGGGAACCAGAAAAAGAAGAACAAACTAAACCTAAAGCTAGCAGAAGGAAGGAAATAATAAACACTGGAGCAGAGTCAAATAAAATAGAGAATAGAAGGATAATAGCAGAAAGCAACAAAACTTAAAGTTGGTTCTTTGAAAGGATTAAATAAATTGACAAACCTTTAGCTTTATTGACTAAGAAAATAAGAAAACTCAAATTACTAAAATCAGAAATGAAAGTGAGGACATTACTATTGTTTCTACAGAAGTAAAAAGGATTGTACAAGAGAACTATAAATTGTATGCCAACAAATCGGATGCCCTAGATGAAGTGGGCAAATTCTTAGAATGCAAAACCTATCAAGACTGAATCATAAGAAATCAAAATTTTGAATAAGTGTATAACTAGTGAGGAGATTGAATCAGTAATCAAAACCATCCTGATAAACAATCAGGCCCTCCTGGACCTGATGACTTTGCTGGTGAATTCTGCCAAACATTTAGAGAAGAACTAACACTAGTTCTTCTCAAACTTCTCCAAAAGTATTGAAGAGGAGGGAATACTGCCTGACTCATTCTGTGAGGCCAGCATTACTCTGATACCAAAACCAGACAAAGACACTACAAGAAAATTACATCATTTATAACATTGATGCAAAAAATTTCAACAAAATACTAGCAAACTGAATTCAACAAGCGTTTGAAAAGAATTATACACCATGACCAAGTGGAATTTATTCCTGAAATGCAGGATTGTTCAACATACAAAAATAAATGGGTATATGGCCGGGCACGGTGGCTCATGCCTGTAATCCCAGCACTTTGGGGGGCCGAGGTTGGTGGATCACCTGAGGTCAGGAGTTCGAGACCAGCCTGGCCAGCATGGTGAAACCACATCCCTACTGAAAATACAAAAAAATTAGCCAGGCATGGTGGCACGTGCCTGTAATCCCAGCTACTCTGGAGGCTGAGGCAGGAGAATTGCTTGGACCCAGGAAGCAGAGCTTGCAGTGAGCCAACATCGTGCCTCTGCACTCCAGCCTGGGTGACAAGAGCAAAAACTCTGTCTCAAAAAAAAAAAAAAAAAATCAATGCATATAAAATATCACATTAACAGATGAAAGAAAAAAAACACATGATCATCTCAATGCAGAAAAGTATTTGACAGAATTTAGCACCCTTTTATAGAAAATAACTAGAAATAGAAGGAAACCACTCTATAATAAGGCCATATGCAAAAATCTCACAGCTAACATACTCCATGGTGAAAGACTGAAAGCTCCAACATCAGCAATAAGGCAGCAATGCCCACTTTTGCCACTTATAGCCAACAGAGTATTGGAAGTGTTAGCCAGAGAAAATAAGCAAGAAAAAGAAACAAATGCCATCTGAATGGGAAAAAGCGAAGTTATCTGAGTTTGCAGGTGGCGTGATCTTAAATGTGGAAGACCCTAAAGACTAAACACACACAAACCTATTAGAACTAGTATATGAAGTCAACACACAGAAATCAGTTGCATATCTATACACTTAACAGTGAACAATCCTAATAGAAAATGAGGAAAACAATTTCATTTAAAATAGCATCAAAAAGAAAAAAATGCTTAGGAATTAACCAAGGAGATGAAAGACATACACTGAAAACTACAAAATACTGCTGAAAGAAAGATGTAAATAAATGGAAAGACATCACATGTTTGTAGACTGGAAAACTATTTTTTTTTTTTTTTGAAACAGAGTTTTGCTCTTTTGCCCAGGCTGGAGTGCAGTGGCATGATCTTGGCTCACTGCAACCTCCACCCCCCAGGTTCAAGCAATTCTCCTGCCTCAGCCTTCCAAGTAGCTGGGATTATAGGTGCTGCCACCACACCTGGCTAATTTTTGTATTTTTTAATAGAAACGGGGTTTCGCCATGTTGGCCAGGCTGGTCTTGAACTCCTGACCTCAGGTGATCCACCTGCCTCGGCCTCCCAAAGTGCTAGGGTTACAGATGTGAGCCACCGCACCTGGCCAGAAAACTTAATGTTAAAATAATAATACTACTCAAACCAATCTACAGAGTCAATGTAATCCCTATAAAAATAACAATTTTTTTAATAAATAGAAAAATTCATATTAAACTTGATATGGAATCTCAAGGGACACTGAATACCTAAAACAATCATGAAAGAGAACCAAGTTGGAGGACTTACAGTTCCTTATTTCAGAATTTACTACAAAGCAACAGTAACCCAAACTGTGGTACTAGCATAAAAACAGACTTACAGACTAATAGAACAGAATAGAGATCCCAGAAATAAACCCTTGCATATATGGTCAAATGATTTTTGACAAGAGTGGCAAGACCATTCAATATGAAAAAGACTATACTCAACAAACGCTATTGGGCAAACTGTATATTTATATGCTGAAGAATGAAGTTGAACCCTTACCTAACACCATATACGCAAATTAACTGAAAATGGATCGAAGACCTAAACATAAATGTGAAAACTATAAAAATTGTAGATGAAAACCTAGGCAAACATCTTTATAACTTTGGATTTGGTGATGATTTCTTGGAAATGACACCAAAACATAGGCAATAAAAGAAAAGAATAGTGAACTTGGACTTCATCAAAATTTAAAACTTTCATTCATCAAAGGAAGGGAATATATTTGCAAGTCACATATCTGATAAGGGATTAATATTTAGAATATATAAAGAACTCCTACAGCTTAACAACAATAGAAGAACGCCCCAGCTTAAAAATGGACAAAGGATTTGAATAGTCATTTTTGCAAAGATATACATGTGGCCAATAAGCACCTGAAAAGATGTTCACTATCATTCACATTAGGAAAATACAAATGAAGACCACAATGAGATACCACCTTATACCAATTAGTATGGCTATTACTTTAAAAAAAACCCAAAACTAGAAAGCAGTAAGTGTTGACAAGGTTGTGGAGAAAACAGAACCCTTGTGCATTGCGGGTGGGAATGCAAAATGGTACAGCTGCTGTGGAAAACAGTGTGGTGGTTCCTATAGAATTGCTGTTTGATCCAGTAATTCCACTTTTGAGTGTATACCCAAAAGAGCTGAAGGGACTTCAACAAATATTTATACAACCATGTGCATGGAAGAATAGCCAGAAGCTAGAAACAAACCAAATGTCTATTAACAGGTGCATAAACAAAATGTAGTATATACACACAATGGAGTATTATTTAGCCTTAACAAGGAAGTAAATTCTGAGTGCATGCTTCTACATGGCTAAATCTCGAAGACATGCTAAGCGAAATAAGTCAGACACAAAAGGACATATATGATTGCACTTATTGTAGCTACATAGAATAACCACATATATAATGGAGACAGAAAGCAAAATGGTCACTACCAGGATCTAGCGGGAGGAAAGAATGGGAAGTTATTGTTTAATAGTTACAGTGTTTCAATGTGGGATGAAAAAGTTCTGGATTCTACCAGTAGGTGGCTTTTATTCCTCCTAGGGGGCCCTCCCTGCCTACATTTTGGCTTTGTCTTCCTTTGCTCATAATGTCCTTGTCCCTGCTCCCCACATGCCTCATCTGTAGTTCCTAGCACTTTCTTCTTCCCTTGATTCCAACCCATTCTCCAAGACCAAGTTGCCATGCCCTGTCTTAGAAACCCCTTTCTAATCTCTATTCCAGTGTGTCCTCCATTTGGAAGTAGTGCTAAGAAAATTAAAAGAATAAAACTGGGCAGGGGCATGAGAATAGGATGCAAAGATGAATTTTTGGACTGAGTGGCCAAGAAGCTCCATGGTGAGCACTCACAGTCTAAGGCTGGAAGTTTAATGAACTGTTTTCTACATTTCACAGGTAAGAAAACTGGGATACTAGTTGGTGGCAGAGGTGGGTCTGAAACTCAGGCACCATGATTCCAGGGCTTCACTACTCTCTGCTTGTGACCATCAGGCCCGAGAAAGCCAAGCCGTAGGATTTTGAGGAATTACTGAGTTATAGTGGACTATTTGATCTTTTAAATTCTTAAAACTCGGAAAATCTGTTATCCTTTATTGTTGCTTACATTTTATATGTTGCTTGCTCTTCTGTCTGCCTAGATTTAAAGTTCCCAAAATGTAGGGACTCCATTTTGTGCACATATACCCTGTGTGGCCCCCCAGGATCTTGACTGTATGGGTTCACAAATGCCACTGGCTGGATTGAGACAGGGATTTAAAAGTCTTGGAACACATGGCACCAGGGTCACTGGGATCTTGATATCTCACCTGCCTCCCCCAGGGCAGCCTTATCCCTGCCCCTCACCCTGCCATGGGCAAGGCTGGCTTCTGAGTGAGCAGGGCTCAGTTTTGTGTTACAGGCACACATGGCATTCAGGGATGTGGCTGTGGATTTCACCCAGGATGAGTGGAGGCTGCTGAGCCCTGCTCAAAGGACTCTGTACAGAGAGGTGATGCTGGAGAACTACAGCAACCTGGTCTCACTGGGTAAGCCTGATATCTGTTAGGATTCCCATTCTTATTGCTGGGAATTTTAGGCTATGCTTGAAGCAGCCATCTTGCTTTGTTACTTGACCTTTGGGTTGGACCAAAAAGCAACTACATTTTATTCGTGTTTCCCCAGGGAGGGTCTGATTTTGCAGAGTGGAAAATGGGTAGATTTGTTGTGTGTGTGCATATGTGTATTGTGTGTGCTACTCTGCATTTCTAGGCCTTTTTTCTCAGGCTGGGGTTCTCATCCTATGTTAACTTGTTTTAAATGAGAGGGGTGTTCATCTACTCGGCATGGAATAGAATCAGTGTACTCTCATCTGAGTTCACTGCCCACTCATCCCTTCCATTTCTGAGAGCCCCACTCACCTCTTCCAACTCAGGGCTTTGTACTACCTTTGAAGTTTCCTAGGCTGTTTAGCTTTGAATTCTTGAATGGGCTCTTGAGCCCATAACCTAGTTACTTATTTTCTTTTCCTGTGAGCAGGAATTTCATTTTCTAAACCAGAACTCATCACCCAGCTGGAGCAAGGGAAAGAGACCTGGAGAGAGGAAAAAAAATGTTCACCGGCAACCTGTCCAGGTGAGTGGGAAAACACTGGACAAATGAGACATGAGCTCAGCAGCTCAGAGGACTGGGGGAGAGGAGGCGTTGCTCAGGTGCTGGGGAGGGAAGCTGTTCCCCTGACCTCCTGGGCTGCTGTTTAGATTGCCTGACACGGCCTCCCTTCCAGATCTCCATCTTCATTCGAGTATGGACGGGGCTTTCCTGGTGTCTCGTCTCCTTCCTCCACTAGGAAGCCTTTTTTCCTCCCAGTGGGTTTCTCCTCTCTAGCTCACTCAGTTCTCTTTCATATATATGGGCTTCTTTCTCTTGTTACTGTTTTTTAAAAAGATCATCAAGAATATGGAAACAACTGTGACCTACAGAAAGAAGGCAAGCCCAGTGGGAGGAAGAAATCTAAAAAGCCAATAGAGAAATTGAAATGGAATTCTAAAAAAAACTGTGAGCTATTCAAGAATGGCTTTTACATTTTATAATGTTATATAAATATCTATATAATATCCTTAATTTTGCCTCTTAACCATCAAAGCCTGAACTATTTACTATCTTTAAGAAAAAGTTTGCTGGCCCATGCTCTAAGGGAGTACAATACATAGCCTTAACTTTTTATATTCTATTAATACTTAATCTGGGTAAAATATAAAATGTAAGAGCATTGCAATTACACAGTTCCAATCACCCCCCCTCCCAACATCCTTTGTACTATAATTGTCATTTGTATTATACACTCCTTATTACAATGTTAAAATGTTTGTTTTAAATGTTCATCTGGATTTGTTTTCTACAATGTATTTTTTTAATTAAGAGAAAAAATAGTCTTTAACTTATCCAGATAATTTATCATTTTCTGTTCTTTTTGTTTGTTTGAAAATCCGAGTTTACCTTTGGTATTATTTTTCTTGAACCTTAAGGACTTCATTTGGCATTTCTTATGGTACAGGTGGCAGTGTATTCTCTATTGCTTCTGAAAGTGTCTTTATTTTACCTTCATTCTTGAAGTGTATCTTCGCTCGATGTAGAATTCTACATTGGTTATTTTTTCAGCACGTTAAAGATAGCATTCCATTGTTCTGCCTGCCATTGTTTCTGATGGAGAAGTCACCATGAACATAATTTAGCTTTATTTCCTTTGGCTACTTTTCTCCATACTTTTGGTATTCAGCAGTTTCACTGTGATGTGACTGCCTTAAGTACATTCTTCCTTTACATGTTTTTATCTGCCTGAATCTCTCTGTCCCCTTTTGGGACTATAGGCACATGTATATTAGTCCTTTTTATATAATCCCACAGGTTATAGATCCTTTCCATATTTTTAAATCTTTTTTTTCTCTCTGTTCTTTAGACTGGATGATTTCTGTTGGTCTGTCTTCAAGTTTACTGTCTCATTTGTCATTTCCAATGTGCTAAGCTCTGGCCAGTGAATCCTTCATTTCACTTATTTTTCAGTTCTGCAATTTCCATTCACTTTTACTACACTTTTCTTTGTGGTGAGATTTCCTATCTGTTCACTAATTATAATTAAATTTTACTTTATCTTCTTTAAATCAGACACTAAGTGGATAACTTATTAAGTGAAAAAGTTATAGGATTTTGTATACTATGCAGTTGAGTTTGTTGTTAAACAAAGAGAAGTGTATGAAAGAGTATATATCCATATGTTTATGTGAACATAGAAGTCTGTTGTTATTTACCATTACTAGTGGTTACCTCTGTGGGGATAGAATTGGGGAGGGTTGGACAAGGGGCTGCTGAGAATTTTTCATCCTACTTTGCATTATTTTTAAATGACAGACACATAGATAACTTTAAGAAATTATATATGTGCTTTAATTTTTAAAATTCTTTTGACAGTTTTATAAATGTTTGCACAGAAGTATATATTTTCTTTTTCTGGGTAAGAAATTTTCTCCTCTTGTTTTTATTAAATTGATTAATTCTGTCTTCAAATTGAGGGACCATAGCATACATAATATAAATTGTCGCTGTTTTTCAACTTGCTTGTATCCTTACTGTTCATCTGTTAGAAGGAATCCTAAAGCTCTCCACAGTCGTAATTTATATCAACTTCTCCATTTATTTCTAAGTTTTTGTGTTATATTTCACTTTATTGTTCTATTAGGTATAGAAAGGTTCAGGATATTTTTATCTTACTCATTAATGAAGTTTTTAATGCTGAAATTCTCTTAGTTCCATGAGCTATTGTTTCCTTTAACTTCCTCTTTATTTCTTTTTAGTCTTAGCACTGTACTTTCTGGTGCATCTTTTTGGTATTTTATTGTTCATCCTTTTATTTTAAAATAAAAACATTGTCATTTGGGTGTTTTGCTTTTAAGCAGCAGCATGTAGCTGGTGTTGCATTTGCTGTCAAACCAAGTGGTGTTAACTTTTAATAGTGACTTTACTTAATAACAGATAAATTTCATGAGACTTGCTCAGGGGTTGACTGAGGCAGATGAGTAGGTGTTTTACTACAGCAATAGGAAAGAAGGAAGGTCAGGGCAAAGGAAGTAAAGCATCTGTATTAGTCACCTTGGGCCGCCATGACAAAATACTGTGGACTAGCTGGCTTAAACAACAGAAATTCATTTAGTTATAGTTCTGGAAGCCAGAAGTTCAAGATCAAGTTGTCAGCAGGTTTGGTTGCTCTGAGTCCTCACTCCTGAACTTACAGATGGCCACCTTCCCCCTGTGTCTTCACATGGCCCTTTCTCAATGCTCACACATCTTTGTCGTCTCTTCCTCTTCTTAAAAGGACACCAGCCCCATTGGATTAGGGCCCACCCTTACGACCTTATTTAACCTTAATTACCTCTTTAAAGGCCCTGTCTCCAAATACAGTCACATTAGGGATTACAGCTTCAACATAAGAATTTGGGGGAAACACAACTCAGTCCATAACAGCATCCTTGTGAGAGCACCATAGTGATTTCATAGACTCTCCGCCGAATATATAGTTCCATAAAAGGTCAGTTGGATATGTAAGTCCATTGGATCTCAGTTGTATGAAGGAGTAAAGATGAGGGACTGGTGTATAAGCTGAAAGGTCATGGATTGGAGCCCCAAATAAGGTCAGGAACCAATGTGCCCATGGTGCTTGAGCAAAGTGAGTCAGAAGGTAGAAGAAAAGGCTGTGTCAGAGAAGGGAATGTGCACAGGAGAGAATGTGAAGATTGTGCAGTGTCTGTGAACAGCATTCACAGTGCAGGTGAGGTCAGTGTTGCTGAGAAGTTGGAGTCTTAGCCAGAGGCTCAGCCCTGTGGAGCACCCTGAGAGTGCTGACAGGTATTGGTGTGGAGAGGATGTGAGGCTGGTAGGTGATCAAATATTCAGGGCAGTGTGTGAAACCAGGAGACCTGTGGATGGTCCTAAAAAAAGTATGGTAGGTAATGGTGTGGAAGCCACATTACAAAACAAGGACATTCATCCCACTGTGTAATGCTTGAGATATGAAAGGAAGAAGCTGTCTATCTACTTGAGGGAATCTTACAAAAATCTTCCTCTCAAGGAACAAGAGAGGTGTCTAGCCAAGGACATGGAAGGAATGTTGGACAGAGAAGGAGAGGATGTAGGGGCATTATCTGACCTGTGTGTTCATTCTAGAATTGGCAGGTGGAGGCTGGGAAAATGCTATACACCCTGACCTTTGTACATTTACACAAATATGTGTTTTCTCAACCTGAAAAGTATAGAATTATCAAAACATTTATATTAATAACAAGCAGCTTACCTATCATTGTCTTAAAGCGAAACCTATCTTTTTTGTCTCGTTTTTAATCCTTGTTTTAATTTAAAGAAAAACAGCAGCTCTTACAATGATGTTGAGCACATTAAAAAGAATGCTGTACAATCCAAGGAGCAAGTCATTGTGGTTGCCCAGGAAGCTGTCTTGGAAACCCAAAATATATGTGTAACGGGAGGAAGACTGTTCTAGGTATAAAATACATCTTAACGGTTTCATTATTCTATATTTGGGACTTGGATTTAAGACAGGCAATATCAGAATCCTCAAAATAGGCTAGTTACAAGAAAAGTATTTAATTTTCTCGGCTGTTTCATTAATCAGAATGCTAATTCAATAAATGTAACGGAATCATTTGCAACAACATGGATGAACCTGGAGGATGTTATGTTAAGTGAAATGAGCCAGTCACAGAAAGACAAATACCACACAATCTTACTTATATGTGCAGTCTAAAAAGGTTGGACTCATAGAGAAAGAGAATACAATGGTGGTTACTAGGGGATGGGGGTGGTTGGGGAAGATGTTGGTCAAAGGATTTTCACATAGAAAGAATAAGTTCAAGAGATCTATTGTATAACATGATGACTACAGTTAATAACAATATATTGTATTCTTGAAAATCACTAAGAGTAGATTTTGGGTGTTCTCATCACAAAAAATGATAGGTATGTGAGGTGATGCAATATGTTAATTAGCTCAATTTAGCCATGTCACAATGTATATATATTTCAAAATGTACACAATGAATATATACATTTTTTGTCAATTTAAAAATTAATTAGTTTTTTAAAAGTAACAGGAGTTACCATAATTATGAAGAATTATATGCCCTCCTGAAGTGACTAATCCTTGTTATTTATATTGACTAAGAAGCCTGGTAAGAGGTAACACAGAAGCCTAAGAATGAGAACTAAAGCCAGGTGCTGTGGCTTGCACCTGTATTCCTAGCTACTCAGGAGGCTGAGACCAAGGCAGGAGGATCACTTGAGGCCAGGAGTTCAAGACCAGCCTGGGCAACATAGCGAGACTCTGTCTCTAAAAAAATTTTTATAATTAGCCAGGGTGAGGTGTTGTGTGCCTGTAGTCCCAGCTACTTAGGAAGCTGAGGAGGGAGGATTGCTCGAGCCCAGGAATTTGGGCTACGTGATCTATGATTGTACCACTGCACTTCAGCCTGGGCCACAGAGTGAGATCCTATCTGTAAGAAATTTAAAAAATAAAGAATGAGAAATTGGATATCTGGTGAGGTAAAAATAGAGCTTTTATTTCTAAGTTGAGTATACAAAAGACAAAAATTAGTTATTTTTCATATGGAGGACAGAAATACACCAAGTTATAATTCTTTTTTAGTTACCAGTATTATTGTCAAGTTTAAGCTTTTTTCTGTTTATTGGCAAGCTAAATAATTGTACATGTTTTTAAGCATATATAGTGTTGATGGACGGTATTTAAAGTTTTAAGTTTCAGTCTCAAATAATTAACATAAGGCTGATCTCATTAGTTTAGGCAAAAATACAAGTAAAATTATTGCATGAGAACACTTTGTATAGTTTTGTTTTTGAATTTTTTAACAAAAATATTTATTCTTATAATGATTTCCTAACAGAGATCTTAGAAATTGAAAAACAACTTAATCAGTCTTAAGTTAAAAACTGCCTGAAAAATATGCCATTTCTGGTATTTACTTTGAGTAAAGTAATTGTAGATTCACGTAATTTCTGGCACTGTCTGTAAATTATAAGATACTAGTTGGACACATATATCTACATGTGCCTAATCTTACATATTTATGAAGGCAATATTAGCCTATCTGATTTTTAAAATCAGTATAGGTTGACTCTCCCTTATCCAAAATGCTTAGGACCATAAGTGTTTCAGATTTTGGGTTTGTTTGGTTGGTTGGTTGGTTGGTTTGCATTTTGGAATATTACCATAAACATAATGAGATATCTTGGGTATAGGACCCTAGTCTAAACAGGAATTTCATTTATGTTTTGTGTACACCTTGTACACTTGGCCTGAAGGTAATTATATTTTTCCTTTGAGGATGCTGAATAAACTGAATTTTATGTGCCTGTGTTTTGACTATGACCTGTCACATGAGATCAGCTGTGGAATTTTCTACTTGTGGCTGCATGTTGGTGCTTAAAGATTTTCAGATTTTGGAACTTTGCAGATTAGGGATGCTGAACCTATATATTAGTCTTGGAAGTTTAGATTAGTTAAACTTTCTTTGAGAAAGCCTACATATCAGAACCAAGTTTTATATCACTAGAATATTATGCTAATGTTATGTTTACACTGATAAAATAAGGGAAAAGACATTGCATTTGTCTTATTTGCAGGCTTTATCTTACTTTGAAATATTGATTCCACCCTTTAGTTACATACCAGCTAGTAAGGTTGTTTACATATTGTAGTAAATAAGCTCTGAGTGCCTCACATTTCTTTCTTATCGTGCAACCTAATAAGCAAGGTGCCTGGCTTAATTCACAGCTAAACTTTTTTCTTCAGAGCCAGAGCTTCAGCTGCAGCAAGAAAGATTTCCTTCAGAAACTGGCATATTTGAATCATTAGGAGTTCAATTTTCAATTTTATTTATTTTTTATTTTTTTGAGACAGAATCTTGCTCTGTTGCCCAGGCAGGAATGCAGTGGCGCAATCTCGGCTCACTGCAACCTCCGCCACGCAGGTTCAAGCACCTGCCTCAGCGTCCTGGGTAGCTGAAATTATAGGTGCACACCACCACAACCAGCTAATTTTTATATTTTTAGAAGAGACAGGGTTTCACCATGTTGGCCAGGCTGGTCTCAAATTCCTGACCTCAAGTGATCCACTCGACTCAGCCTCCCAAAGTGCTGGTACAGGCGTGAGCCGCTACACCTGGCCTGATTTTTTTTTTTTAATTTAGTTATTCTCGAGTTTTTAAATTTTAAATTTGTGTCAGTGCCCATTAGTCTCTATAAACCTATCAGTGCAGGAGCACCTTAGATTTAAAATATTTTATAAATAAATTCATTAACCTGGTAATATTTTGTGTTAAAATTTCTTCTAAGACTAAATATTCCTAGTGTATACACAGAATGCCAAATTTGGTGACCAACTGAAAAAACTGACTAATGGAGAATTAAAGTTTTGTTTTTCTTCTGTCACTCCATACAAATGTTAAAACCATGTTGAATTAAGATTTCTCTGAAGGCGCTTCTATAATTCTGAAATACATTTAGTGTAAATAAAAGCCTGCCACTTTACACATAGGCACAGCAGCTAGGGCTGTAATAAGCCTACATATCAGAAGCCTTGGTTCTTATAAGGGTGGGTGGGAGGTATTACCTGTGTCAAAATTATAGTCACTGTGCTTAACTCAGGACAGACACAGGAGTTCCTTTTACTGCTGAAAGACCTACTTACCCATGACTATGCCCTAATATGTATGAAGGTAAGCCAAGGAGATATGAGCTGTTGCTTCCCTTCTCCTGTCGTATTCAAGAGAAACAAAATAGCCAATAAATCAAATCTGACAACTCCACCCAACTCAAGTTTCCATAATGTCAAGGAAGTTGCTGGCCAGAAATAGAACACAAAATCAGTTATGAGTTGTGGAACCTCAGACAACCTAGATTAAACCAAATAAACTTAGTGAGAACTCAGTGAAAGCAGGTAGGATTTACTGCTGAAAAAGGGTCTTGAGGGACCACCCGGCACCTGTCCTGAATACAAGGGCTGGAAGAGCAGGCTTTCTCTGCAGGAGCTCCTCAGCACTGGCGTGGGGAGAGGCAGGCATCAGGTTAGATTGTTGGTTCCTCTGTCTGTCATCAAAGCCTGAGGTAAAGGCCACCAGAGCTACTGAAAGGAGAAAAGTTGAGCTTATTTACTGGCCAGGCAGTGAAACACAGAAGGGAAGACATTCACTTGGGCAGTTTGCTGAGTAGGAAGAGTCAGGAATTTTTAAGTGGTAAGAAAAGGTGGTTCTGCTCATTGTAATTAGGATTGAAAAGTAGCATTTCGCGTAGCATGGAATAATTCTGGAATGTGGATGTGTACACTTTTAATAAGCTTGATTTTTCATTGGTCAAGAAAAGAGCATTCGGGTAGATCCATCGAGATCTCTACCTCGTTACTCATATTGCCTGGTCATTGATTGCCTTCAGCTGACTAGACCCAGTTGTGATAAAACAATATACTCAATGTTGACATCTCCTACACAAGAGGCACTATAAGTAGAAATTTCTTCTTTTACACTGATTTTTGGGGAAAATTTTATTTACACTAATTATGGAAATAGGTTGGGGGTACCAGGAGGGAGCATCCTTTAAAGTCATTGGGGACCTGGGCTCTGTGTTGTCCACTGCTGAAAGCCTACTGCCTCCTAGAAATTCTGGCATAGAGTAATCTAACAAATCTTTGTTGAGTGGGGAGACAGCAGCTCGGGTGTGTCACATACTGTTTCACTACCCTCTCATGCTCCTCCCTACACCAGGGCTTCTCTGTTCACTCTAAATAACTGCTTTCTCAATCCATCCCCTTGTCCTCATAGGGAAATAAGGAAGGACATTTCCACATGAGTCCTAGGGTTAGACATCTTTCCATCAAAGAAGAAAGTACTTGTGGACATGATTTATCTCAGTGTGCATGGTTGTGAGTTAGAAGGTAATTAATTGTATTGAAGGTGAGGGGGAACTGTTCCATACTGGCCCTATTTACACACCCAAAAATGCCAGGGATGCTTGTGTAGTCTTATATGTAGAGCAGGTCTTAACAAGTGGGTTTTCTAGATTGTAATGCTAGACGTAATAAGTAGCAGTAGGCTGGAGAGTAGGCCATGTAAAGGAAGTCCCGGTTGGATGGCACTTAAGGCCTAAGTGTTTTGAAGCCTAGGGGATCTGACTAAGCTGATTGCTCAGGCTGCCCACTGAGGACTCAGTTGTGACTCACACTTTTCTCTCTGCAGCAGATCCAGAGCCAGAGCTCTACCTCGATCCTTTCTGCCCTCCGGGTTTCTCCAGTCAGAAATTCCCCATGCAGCATGTGCTGTGTAATCATCCCCCCTGGATCTTCACATGCTTGTGTGCAGAAGGTAACATCCAGCCTGGGGATCCGGGCCCAGGGGACCAGGAGAAGCAGCAACAAGCCTCTGAGGGGAGACCCTGGAGTGATCAAGCAGAAGGTCCTGAGGGAGAAGGTGCCATGCCTTTGTTTGGAAGAACCAAGAAAAGGACTCTGGGAGCGTTCTCCAGGCCACCCCAGAGGCAGCCAGTCAGCTCTCGGAACGGCCTCAGAGGGGTGGAGTTAGAAGCCAGCCCAGCTCAGTCAGGGAACCCTGAGGAAACAGACAAATTGTTGAAGAGGATAGAAGTCTTAGGATTTGGAACAGTCAACTGTGGAGAGTGTGGACTGAGCTTCAGCAAGATGACAAACCTGCTCAGTCACCAGCGGATACACTCAGGGGAGAAGCCCTACGTGTGTGGGGTATGTGAGAAGGGCTTCAGCCTAAAGAAGAGCCTCGCCAGACACCAGAAGGCACACTCGGGGGAGAAGCCAATTGTGTGCAGGGAGTGTGGACGAGGCTTTAACCGGAAGTCAACGCTAATCATACACGAACGGACACACTCCGGTGAGAAACCTTACATGTGCAGTGAGTGTGGGCGAGGCTTCAGCCAGAAGTCAAACCTCATCATACACCAGAGGACACACTCAGGGGAAAAGCCTTACGTGTGCCGGGAATGTGGCAAAGGCTTCAGCCAGAAGTCAGCTGTCGTGAGACACCAGAGGACACACTTGGAGGAGAAGACCATCGTGTGCAGTGACTGTGGCCTGGGCTTCAGCGACAGGTCAAACCTCATCTCCCACCAGAGGACGCACTCTGGGGAGAAGCCCTACGCCTGCAAGGAGTGTGGGCGATGCTTCAGGCAGAGGACCACCCTTGTCAACCACCAGAGGACACACTCAAAGGAGAAGCCCTATGTGTGCGGGGTGTGTGGGCACAGCTTCAGCCAGAATTCAACCCTCATCTCTCACAGGCGGACACACACTGGGGAGAAGCCGTATGTTTGTGGGGTGTGTGGGCGAGGCTTTAGTCTCAAGTCACACCTCAACAGACACCAGAACATACACTCAGGAGAGAAGCCCATTGTGTGCAAGGACTGTGGCCGGGGCTTCAGCCAGCAATCCAACCTCATCAGACACCAGAGGACGCACTCAGGCGAGAAGCCCATGGTGTGTGGGGAGTGCGGGCGAGGCTTCAGCCAGAAGTCAAACCTTGTTGCACACCAGAGGACGCACTCAGGGGAGAGGCCGTATGTGTGCCGAGAGTGCGGGCGAGGCTTTAGCCACCAGGCCGGTCTCATCAGGCACAAGCGGAAGCACTCGAGGGAGAAGCCCTACATGTGCAGGCAGTGTGGACTGGGCTTTGGCAATAAGTCAGCTCTAATTACACACAAGCGGGCTCACTCGGAAGAGAAGCCTTGTGTGTGCAGAGAGTGTGGCCAAGGCTTTCTCCAAAAGTCACACCTCACCTTACATCAAATGACACATACGGGGGAGAAGCCATATGTGTGCAAGACGTGTGGGCGGGGCTTCAGCCTCAAGTCTCACCTCAGCAGACACAGGAAGACCACGTCTGTCCACCACAGACTGCCAGTGCAGCCCGACCCTGAGCCGTGTGCAGGGCAACCTTCGGATTCCTTATACTCTCTCTGAAGGCAAAGATGGGGACAAGGACTAAGAGTCAGAATGTTGACACTTTGATGAAATGGAGTAGAGAAATGCATTCTGTAAGTGGTCAAAGGACATTTGACTGTTTACTTTCTCCACACTAAGTCTTCTCCATGTTTTGTGGCCTTCGGTTGTAATAAACTTGGCTTCTTTATACATCTGTAACTGTGCCTGTGTCCCTCATTCACTCATCTATAACAGGGATAAGGAATGATACAGACATCTGAAACCCTTAAGTCCACTATTCCACAGGAATTCATTTCCTCGGAAAACAAGAACCAAATCATTTGCAGATTTATTAGAAAGACTGGACCTTTGTATGGGGAGAGAATCTAGGAACTACATAAAGAGATTTCATGGGATGGGAGGGGATCTTCCAGAAAGTGTAGCTTCCTCTAGTCCGGCTCCATCTGCAGCTACCCCCATCCCTTGGCTCTGACAGCCCCTTTCCTGCTTCTCTCCTCCCAGCTTTCAAACATCTCCGTTGTTGCCTTTGCCCCTGACTACCTTTGTTGTGTTTCTCAGGCTTTTTTAGTCCCTGGTCCTTCCATCGGGGGCCCTCTCACCAATACATTGTCCCCAGCACTCCAGTCCCACGGCCTGGTCTTGCAGCTGTGACCAAGCAGAGCCTTGGATCTCAGTTACACCCATATCAGACCACCAAGAAAATAGATAATCTCCAACCACCCCCAGCTATACCACCTCATCAGCACCTCCATAACTACAGTCAGGCACTGCATAATGTTCGTCTGCGACGGACTGCATATACAGTGGTGGGCTGGTAAGATTATAGTGGAGCTGAAAAATTCCCGTTACCTAGTGACTTTGTAGACCTCCCAGTGGGACAAGATACAGAGGTGGATAAGACAGTGATATGGATCCTGACCCTGTATAGACCTAGGCTAATGTGTGTGCTTGTGTCTTCGTTTTTAACAACAACAACAACAAAAATTTAAAATTTTTAAAATAGAAAAAGCGTATAGGATAAGGATAAAACAAAAAATATTTTCGTACAGCTGTACAGTGTGTTTTTGTTTTAAGCTAAGTTACAAGTGAGTCAAAAAGTAAAAAAATTTAAAGCGTATAAAGTTAAAAGCTACAGTAAGCTAAGGCTAATTTATTATTGAAGAAAGAAAAATTTAAAAATAAATTGAGTGTAGCCTAAGGGTACAGTATGTATGTCTGTAGTAGTGTATAGTAATGTCCCAGGCCTTCACACTCACTCACCACTCACCGCCTCGCCCAGAGCAACTTCCAGTTCTGTAACTTGCCATGTATGGTAAGTGTCCTATACAGGTGTACCATTTTTTTTTTGGCTTTTATGTTGTATTTTACCTTATTTTTTCTATGTTTAGATGCATAGACTCACCCAGAGCAGCTTCCAGTTCTGCAACTTACCATTTATGGTAAGTGCCCTCTACAGGTGTACCATTTTTTTTGTCTTTTATGCTGTATTTTACCTTACTTTTTCCATGTTTAGATGCACAAATAACTTAGCATTGTGTTACAGTTGCCCACAGTACTCAGTGCCTACAGTACTCGGTGTAACCTGCTACACAGGTTTGTAGCCTAGGAGCAATAGGCTATACCATATAGCCCAGGTGTATAGTAGGCTGTGCCATCTAGGTTTGGTAAGTACACTCTATAGTGTTTGCAAAATGACTAAATTACCTAATGATTTCTCAGAACATATCCTTGTTAAGCAACACTTGACTGTATATGACAATCTTTAACCATGTGTCTTCCTCAGCCCTCCAATAACAGAGATTAAACCCTTGAAGCCACATTCCCCAATCAGTCCTGTAATACCAGTGTTTAGGACTTTGAATCATGCTCCTCTATCCCAGGACCCAGTCCCCATGTCAGTCATCAGGTAACTGATCTAAGGTCTTTAAGCCACACAGTCTCAATAGTTATCCTATCTCAGGGCTTAAGGTATTTAACCCTACATAAATATTATTAACCATACCTCCTTCAGTGTCTGGTTTTGCTCAAAATAAGTGTCCTTCAAGGTAAAGATCATCTCAAGGGTGCAACTGTAAGACCCCTTTTTAAGACTTCAGAAATATTTAAGTGTGTGGCTCCTTGACTATACACAAAATGGTTCTAAATTTTAAGGGAATCATCCCATAGCACCTTGACACTCAACCCAAATGAGAGGCTTGTCCTGAAGAGCTTTGTGGATATGGGTTTTGTCTAATGGAATGAGCTTCAATAAGAGGCATACCCTTAACGTTTGTAACAGGAACACCAGCTTGCTCTGAAAAGGACAGAAAAGCCCCTACCTCTTTCTATGGGCAGGGAGGCAGGGTGAGAAACCTACTAAGCTGCAAGCACAGGCCATTTCTCATGGAAAAGGAGGAATAACTTGGACTGCAGACATCATGGAGAATCACTCTCAGGGGCAGTACGGTGCTACTAAGGTAACTGGTGGCATGTGCCCAGCTGAACTGCTGAATTTCTATGAACCAGTACCTGCTATTTCCCCATTTTTTGATAGAAGCACTTTTTCAGGGATAGTTATCCCTGAATCTACACTGGGTGTTAGATATGCTGCTTTGGTTCCCAGGTCTTCAGATAAAGCATCATCTACACCTTGACCTGATTTAGAGAATGAGATCCCGATCTTTGAGCCAATGCCATAGTGGGATAAGACTTTGGAGGCATCTTAGGAGGGATGAGTATATATTTCACATGGAATGGATGTGTGAAAATCGTCTCCAAGATGGACGTAATCAATTCGTCCCTCCCTATATCTTTATTATGAGATGGGGTGAAGGGGAGTGACCTGTTACCTTCCCCATGTATCTGGGCTGGTCTTAGTGACTTGCTTCATCAAGAGGGTATAGCAGAAATGATATTATGGGACTTCTGAGACTAGTTCATAAGAAGCCATGCAGCTTCTACACTTTGAACCCTGCTGCCATGCTGTGAAAACTTCTAGTCACATGGAGAGGCCTCATAGAGGTACTCTGGTAATCAGCCATAGCTGAGCTAGCCAACAGTGAGCCTCAACTGCAGTCACATGGGAGAGCTATTTTGGAGGCCTGCCCTGTCAGGCCTTTCAGACGACTGAAACCCTAGGTGACATCTGCAACCAAGTGAGGGACCTCAAGTGAGAACCATTCAGCTGAGTTCAGTCAACCTATAGAACTGAGGCATGATGATAGTAGTTGTTTTAAGCCTCAAATTTTAGGATTGTCTGTTATACAGGAATAGATCATTGGAACATATAACCTTGGACTGACTTCCTAACTGATTCAAACTCGAAGTCATAATGAAAAAGGTCAGATTTGTCTATACAAAAATAAATTCTGCAAGGCAATTCACACTTACGGACAAAACAAAAGACAAACTTGATAGAGATGCTGTCTTTCCTATCTGCATAATACCATTAGAAATGAAGTTTTAAAAATCAAAAACACAGTCGAAGATACTAAAAAATACAAGGACAGATCACAGCATAGGAAGAGAAGTCTTCTTTCATTTGAAAATATCCTTGACATCAGTAAAGGTACAAATGAAAGCCACACACAGAGATATTTGCACCTGCCAGATTAGCAAAGACTACAAAATTTGGACATAGTATTGTAGATGGTGGAAACAGGCACACTTCTACATTAGTCTTGGGAATACAAATTGCCACAAGTCTTCTGGTGGACAACTTGGTAATATCTCTCAAAATTTAAATTCATATTCCCTTTGAGCCCAAAATCTAATTTAATGAATTTATCTAATAGCTGTGTATGTTTATGTGCAAAATGATTTAGATAAGTTATTCAATGCAGTCATGAGTAATTTCAAATTTTAGCAAAGAAAAACATGTTCAGTAGAACTGATTAAATATAAATCATGCACAAACGGACAATATGCTGTCGTAACAAAGAATGAGAAGCATCACTATGTACTTATATGAAAGAATCACCAAGATTAATCAGTGGGAGGAGGGATGGGACAAACAGTCTGAGAACACTGTGTCCAGGGTGCTAAGTTTTAGGTTAAAAAGAGGCAATCAAAGAACATATTTTTAAAAGAACAAAGTTGGAGAACTTATACTTCCGAATTTCAAAACTTACTATATAGCTCCAGTAGTCAAATAACCAGTGGAGTTTTTTTAAAAATATAAGCCCAACAGCAGAATTTTCTTCTAAAATGGCCCACAAAGACAATTTGCATTCAAATTTGCATAAGTAGGGTTTTCTAGATGTAATACCATACTATATTTTTCTTCCAAAATGGTCTTGAAAGCAGGATTATTTTTCATCCAACTTCACTAAGTCTTATGAGTTTTTAGAAATAATTCTTATGCCAGGCTTTTCTAAAATGACCCAGAAATGTAACTTTTCATCTAAATTTGTTCAAGTTTTTAGGACATGTGGTCATAAATTCTATGCTACATTATTTTACAAAGTTCCCCAGAAATAAATACACTTTTCATTCAAATTCATTCAAATCATGGGTTTTAGGGTACACAAATTCTTTGTCAAATTTCTCCCCAAATGAGTAAGAAACCTGAGTTTTAAAAATCCAAATTTATATAAATAGTGGGTTTTTGGGAAGTAAGTCATATGCTGGATATTTCTCCTCATATCCCCCTGGAAATGTGAAATTTTCATGCAAATCTGCTCAAATTTGGATGCTTATTGGAACTTAAGTCCTACACCAGATTTTCCTTCTAACATATGCAGAAAATGTCATTTCTTATCCAAATTCACTGAAATCTTAGGATCTTTGGATCTAAATCATGTGTAAGACTTTTCTTCTAAATGGCCTGGAAATGTGATTTTTCAATCAAATTGGCTCAAATAATGAAGTTTTTTGGAAATAATTTCTATGCCAGAATTTTCTTCCAAAGTAACCTAAAAATGTGATATTTTATCAAAATTTCCTTAAATTATGTTTTTTGGGGTAAGCTGTATTCCAGATTGTTCTTTGTAAATGGCTGGGAAATATTATTTTTTCTTAAAATTTACTAACATTGTGAGGTTTATTAGACATAAGTCCTGTCCCAGACTTTCTTTCAAAATGGCCCCAAACATGTTTTTTTCAAAAAATCCAAATTTACTCCAGTTTTTTGGCACATCAGCCCTAGGCCAGCTTTTTCTTCCAAAAAGTGGAAGGTTTTTGGATATAAGTCCGATGCAAAAAATGTTTTTCCAAAATGATTCAGAAAGATGATTTTTTTCATTCAGACTTGCCAGAAATGTAATTATGGACATAATTGCATGCCATATTTTTCTTCTAAAATGGTGTAAAAAATATTTAATCCAAATCTGCTAAGTCTTAGGTGGGGGCAGGCAGTAGACATGAAGTCCTCACCATAATCTTTTCCCAGTGTGACACAGACATGCAGCTTATTTATCCATATTCATTAAAATTGTGGAGTTTTTTTAGGTTTTTTTTTTTAACATAAGATTTAAAGCAGTTTTTCTCCCCTAGAATGGCCCAGAAACATGATCTTTCATTCAAATTGGCTCAGACTATAGGTTAGTTTGGAAATAAATCCATGCCAGATTATTCTAAAATGGCCTGGAAATATGGTTTTTTTTTTCACCCAAATCATAGATTTCTGCTGTTTCCGTTGTAGTTCACGTGTTTTCAAGTCCTGGCATAGTGAATTACTGTTTAGATCAGGATACTGTGTCACTAGTGAATTACTGGGGAAGAAGTATACACACAAATCCATACCATATGTCGACAAAAAGAGTTGAACTCTTACATAATTGAAGAGATTTATTCTGAGCCGAGTGACCGTGGCCTGTGACACAGCCCTCAGGAGGTCCTGAGAACATGTGCCCCAGGTGGTCAGGGCACGGCTTGGTTGTATACATTTTAGAGAAGCATGAGACATCAATCAAATACATTTAGGAAATACATTGGTTTGGTCCAGAAAGGCGGGACAACTCAAAAACGGGATAGGGTGGGGTGTGCTTCCAGGCTATAGGTGAATTTAAACATCTTCTGGTTGACAATTGGTTGAGTTTGCCTAAAGACCCGGGATTGATAGAAAAGGAATGTTCGGGTTAAGATAAAAGATTGTGGAGACCAAAGTTCTCTGGAAGTCTTATGGTGGCTGCCCTTAGGGACAATAGATGACAAATGTTTCCTATTCAGATCTTAGTTAATCTCTTTACGATTGGGGGGGGGTCTGGAAGAAAAATATATAGCTATGTTAATAGAGATTCGTTACAGATGCACGTTTTTCCCCACAAAGAATAGCTTTGCAGGGCCATTTCAAATATGACAAAGAAATATATTTTGGGGTAAAATATTTTGATTTTCTTCCTTGTCTCATAATGTTATGCCAGAGTCAGGTTGGAAAATAAGTCACGATATACAGGGTTAAATAAAACCCAACTGATGAGAATTTATGATTTGTAGGGCATGACTCCCCAGACCCCTTAGATAGGAATTTGGGCAAGATAAAAAAAATCAGAGTTTAGTTCTCACATATACCCCAAATATAAGTAGTTCTCAGTATCTGAAAATGGCTTTATTAAGGGAGTTAATATTTCTAAATATGTGTGAGACTGAACACCTTCTATTCCAATGAGTGTCTTGATATGGTTTGGGGCTAGAGTTTCTTTTGTGAAAGGAAAATAAATTCACTATGCCAAAAGGAAAAAAATGCAGCTGAAAGCTGGGTCACGCAAACAACTGTCTTGAACTGTAGTTGAATTGGGGTTTTATCTTGGAAATTCTCCTTAATGACTAAAAGTTAAGATTAACAATCAGCTGGTTTTAATTTCTTCTTACCATTAGAGCACTCAGTAATTGTATGAATTGTGTGACCATTTTTTTGTTTTGCTTACCTGGTTGTGTTTGCCTGTTTCTGTTTTTGTTGTTTCAGTCTTTTTCCCATTAGGTTTGATCATCTCTACCCGACTTGGTCAAATCTGAAGAAAAGTTCCAAATTATGGGGAACAAAGCCTCTGAATTGTCTACATTCCTGCAGCTGGAAAAAAAAAATAAAAAAGCCAGCAAAAGGAAGAAAAGAAAGATTTTGACTACCTGAGGGGCTTTGTTTACATAACAAGGCCATCTTTCGCCAGCCAAGCCCAAACTGAAAGAACTATGGTGGCTGCCCCGCAGCGTAGTTCAGTAGCTAAAGGTTCTGCCTGCTTTCACCATAGCAGCCTGGGTTTGGTTCCTGAATCAGGTCCTTTCTGGCTTAAATTTTGTGTTATTAGTACTTTTGAAATATCAGCAGGTTGTCCCAGCTAAAACATGGTTAAAAGAGATTTAAAAGGATTTTTAAGAGCTCAGTGGTTAAAACTCAGCTTAATTAAAAGCTAATATCCAAGATGTGTGTGTATGAATATAAGGCCTTTATGCTTTTTCTCTGTCCTAGGATCTTGTTTTTTGAGAAAAAGTTTTTTGCTTCTCAGTTGACTGAGTTCTGTTTCCTCAAATTACTTTGGCCTGTCTCTCCTTCCTCTTGCCACTCTCTGCTGCATGAAGGATCTAAATAATTTCTAACAGCCTGGGATTCCTTAAAGAAAAGAGAGAAGGCACCAGACTCCTTTCTGGGGAGAAATCTCTGTTCTTCCATATGGAACCCCAAGAATATAAACAGACAGGTTCCCTCTGATCTTAAACTGCTTGCTTTTGTATTGTTACCTGATTTTTAAAAATTATATTATAGCAAGCAAACATTTTTCTTTAAAAAATGTTCTTATTAAAGGGAAATAATTTCTAATTCAAAGGTTATTTATGAAACAAGGCAAAAGATAATAAAGGTTAAAAGGAAAATAATTTTATATGAGAAAGAATTTGTATGGTAAATTTTTTGTCCCAAAATAAAATGACTGGTTATTTAAGAAAGCGGATATTTAAGATAAAACAGGAAGTCCAAGTGTGGCAGGCCAGGTCTCACTAATGCGGGCCTTCATAACAACTGTTTCAGCACTGACTGATTAAGTTAAATATTAAAAGCTGAAAGGGCCAGTGACCTTATGCAAAGGCTGGGCTGTAACAGAAGCCCACCAAGAGTTTTGCCTAAGCCTTTCCTGGCCTTGAAACATGACAAGATAATGAAGGAATTCTTAACAGGATACATTTAGGATTAAGCAAGTTTTATTGGGGGTCTGAAGAAACTCCCC
This sequence comes from Homo sapiens, assembly GCF_000001405.40. Lineage (NCBI taxonomy): Eukaryota > Metazoa > Chordata > Mammalia > Primates > Hominidae > Homo > Homo sapiens. The sequence continues at coordinate 18,324,934 of NC_000020.11, forward strand.
AGGCCTCCACAAACAAGTTTACTGGGGTCTGAAGGAACTTCCCAATCCTCCATGATTTAGCAGGAGACAAGATAAGGGTAATCACCCCGGAACCTGGACCCATTTAGATTAAGTAAATTTACTCAGGCTCCAGAGGAAGGTCTTCAGAACTCAGATCTTAGTTACAGATTAAAAGAAGTTAATCACTTATGTCTTTAGATGAATGCATACTTACACATAGACATATGGCTTAGAAGACATATAAGCTCTGGAAAACTTTGTAATTTTGAGTTGGTCTAGCAGTGTTTTCCAGGTCTTCTCCCTGTAACCGGTTACAGAAATAAAAACTCTCTTCCTCCCCAGTTCATCTGCATCTTGTTATCGGGCCACGAGAAATAGCAGCCCGACCCTCAGTTTGGTCTGGGAACATAGGCATATATCATAAATGGTTTGTGTAAGTCATAATAAACTTTGTAAAAGGAGAATTTATATAAAAAAACTTTATGTGATCAAGTTGGCTATAGTTAAAAGAAAATTATTTCTAAAAGTCTCTGTAGAGATTAGGCTTTGATATTAAAATACCCTAATACTCAAAAGAATTGGTTAGAACAACAAAATTTTCTTAAGGTATTGATTTACTCTTAATGAAATTACAGGAGATTTTTGTTAACCCCAAAATTTAACTTTTATTGTGTCTTGCTGTTTTCAGTTTTCTCTCCCCTTTGAGAAGGCCTGAGATAATAATTCACTCCAACTTTTTCATCAGCTCCTCTAACTTTTTATCCTTATTTTCTAAATGCTGTTGTGACCTAATGCTAAAAATGTTTTATCTTAAAGGTTTAAAGGAAATGTTTTCTTCCAATATAACATTCTGTGCTCTTAGCTTTTCTTAATATGTCTAAATTGGTTTACAAAATTGAAAACCTGGCTGGGTGCCGTGGCTCATGCCTGTAATCCCAGCACTTTGGGAGGCCGAGGTGGACGGATCACCTGAGGCCAGGGATTCTAGACCAGCCTGGCCAACATAGCAAAACCCCATCTCTAGTTAAAATACAAAAAATTAGCCAGGCATAGTGGTGTGCGCCTATAATCCCAGCTACTTGGGAGGCTGAGGCAGGAGAATCACTTGAACCCCGGAGGCGGAGGCAGCAGTGAGCCCAGATTGCACCTCTGCACTCCAGCCTGAGCAACAGAATGAGCCTCCATCTCAAAAAAAGAAAAAGAAAACCTTCACTTAGGACACACTCTTCCTATGTCTAACTAATTCAAGTACCCATTTTTCATTAGTTTTGACTTGCAGGTTATCTAAATGGACTCCCCACAGGGAACAGCAGTCACACTGCAAAAAGATTTATTTTTGGGGTTTTTGCCATTTGGTAACTGGACTAACAAACAGATTTTATGTTTTATTGAAATAATTCCTACATCATTATTAAGTTTTGATTTGCTTAGGAAAACTGAGATTAATTTTGTTTTTAATTAAGGCTATTACCTACATGTAACTTTCTGTATTACTTTTAAAATCCTTGTGCTATTGAGTTACAGGGTTTTGACTCCTGGATGCAAAAAGGACCAAGTTCTGCTGAATCTTAAACACTGACAGCAGTTAAAGGCTCACCTTCAGACTTAGGAGATGATAACAATAAAAATAAACTGCATTCATGAAACACAGAGCCAGAAATTAAAACTATTCAACCCCTCTAGGCCCAGGGACTATTGAAGAAAAGGTGAGTGTGTGAGACTGTAAGGGCCAATTTTGAGAGAGAAAATTATATCAGAGTTTCTCTATAGATTAAACATTAATAATCAAAGAAACACCGATGCAAGACCAGCATCTGGGCCCCTGTGTCAGATTGACAAGGTTTTTCTTGGAGCATTAACCTACTCTTTAAAAAATTAGAAAAAGTTATAAAAAGGTTTAGGGAAGTTAAATCTTATGGTCAAGATGATTAAAATTTAATAGATTTGTTTATAAGACTTCAGGCAGATTTAATTGGCCTCATGCTTTCTTTATTAGTACTTATTGTTTGGGAAATTAAGTCTCCTCTCTCAAAGAAAAAGGCTTTTGCCTTTAAAAAAAATATTTCAGTTATCACTTTGGCTGAATGAATGACTTATTTTACAATTTCCTGTGATCCCATTTATGATATCAAGTGTTTTAAACTTTTTTTATATTTGACAAACTTTCCAAAATCAAGTTCTAAATTCAGTCCTTTGACCTTTTAATTTTTTGATATTAGGTCCCCTGAAGTCCAAAAGAGACATATTTTGCTTATTTGGCATAATAAAACCATACAAGAAGCATCATCAAATATGAAATGGTGTTTAACGTTCTTTGGATTATATTTATATAAATGTGTTATTAGTATGTATTCCAAAATTATATGAGATTCCTGTGATTCTGATACATCTTAGTACATGTTATCAGTAGTAATTATGATTATTATGTCAAATTGTTGTATGCCGCAGGAGTAACCAAATTTCCTTGTAAATTGTGTCTTTAACCATGACCGTTCTAAGACTTTCATTATCCACAATTGTGGTTTTACTTTGGTCTGTTTATAGAGTGGTTTATAATCAGCTATAGACCTCTGAGGAGTACTCTTAAATATGAGTTTCTGATAGTATTAGAGACTGTGCGATTGGAATAAAGAGAAAAACTTCCAGAACTCTCATGGAAAGTTGATGTATTCATGAGGGTTGTTGATCGACTATTGAGAAGAACAGGAGTTAATTGCATGGACTGAACTAATAGAAGATTGAAATAATTACAATAATCCTTTATGGCTTTTTATTTAAAAATTTGCCAGTTCTCTTTGTTTTATTTTTCAGATTTAAGAAAATTTTCTCTTCTTTTAAGCTATGTACAGCTTTTAACAATTGAGTAAATTATACTCTAGTGAGCAAAATTTAAAACATAATTTCTTTCTCTCTACCTCATTTCCCCAAAATTTGGAAATTATTTGTAAGTATTCTTAATTTATGGCAATATAGTTATTTATATAAGCTCAATAAGAATCTGTTTTCTTTTATAACAGGATGTAATTGGAGATACTGGTTAGTTTACCAACGCTTTGACTGGAATGACATATATTCAGACTGCCCTGAGAAAATAAGGCTAACTTTTAGAGCCACTAAAAACCCCTTGGAAAGATTGGCCTTATACCTTGTTATTTACAGGGTCCTGGCCTGTGGTAAGTAAAGAATGTCACTTTCAGACATACCTAGGAACCCCAAGGTTTTTTGGAGACCTCAAAAAGAGAGGAATTTATTCCATTTACACAGGTATCTGCAGGCACAGATAAATCCTTGACTGGCCTCATGGCTTTAGAAAAGCCCTAATCTCAGATTCCTTATGGAAAAGCTTCCAGCAAAGCCAAATTTTTCAAAAAGACAGCCTATATGGCAAATGATTATTGTTGCTGCACTTCATGTAAATAATCAAGCCAATAATAAGACTAAAACTTACTTTACAAATAAAGTGGTCCTACTATGATTTTGTCTTTAATAAAATGGGAGAATTGGAGAGAGAAAAATCATGTTTCAAAATAAACTCTAGTACACCTGTTATTGGATTCTAACTTTGTCAAGTGTTTTTCAACTTTTATTATATTCTACAATTTGGACTGAATTCTAAAATATTTCGTGACTACAAGTTTCCAAAATAATGTTTTCATTTTTTTCTTCTCTCCTTTCCTTTTTCTGCCATTTTTCCTGATTTTAAATACTGAAGCTAGACAACATAAACTTATGTATCTCTATATATAAACAAATTTTATACCTACCTACTGATGTATTGACTTCGGAGTAATATGGCCTATATCAGTTTTCCAGGATTGTTCTCCCTTTTTAAAAAATATTTGTTATTTTCTCATCTTTCCTCTGCTTCCTTTCTCTGTCCTTCACCTATTTTTTCTTTGTAGAATATAAGACTTCATAACTGGCTAAAAATGAGTTTTCCTAACAACGTGGGACCTTACCCCTCTAGGAATGGGCCATCCCAATCGTGAGAGATCAGACAAATCCTGAGATCAGAGACTCATTTTCTTCTAAAATGCATTTTCTGAAAGAGTTTAAAAGAAAAAATAGGGAGGTTTGGTCCAATGGTAGTGGGTTATCAGAACTTATTAACACTAGTGTCACTAAAGTTGGTATATGACCCCCCCACTGCTAAATTTGACTGGCTTTTTAAAAAGTGGCGGTGAGAATTGTGAAAAGAAAATAAATTTACTATGCCAAAGGAAAAATATTAAGCTGAAAGCTGAGTCATGCAAGCAACTACCTTTCCTTTTGTTCCTAAGTAGATAACTACAGATAAAAGGTTAAATATTTCCACAGGTAGCTACTTTATGTTCATCTTATCTTATGTAACGTGTCAATTTACTGAGTGTGACACCAATACATAATTGACTATTCCCTTGCTTGCTCCTTTTCTCTTGCAATATGTGGATTACCATACTCTCCCTCTTTCCTCTCTATCCCACTTTTCTCCTTTAAATGTTGAAGCCCTGAAAGTCATCTTTGGAGAAAGGCACAGACTTGTTTCCCAAGCACATCATTCACCTTGGCAAAATAAGCTTCTAAATTCATTGAGAGCTTTATCAGATACTTTTTCGTTCATACTTGCTCTTTCTAGGACCTGGTATTGTTTCTTATATTCTTAAATTGCTTTGACAGTATTGAACACCTAGTTTATGCAAGGACTTATATACTAAAAATTACCTAAGAGTGTCTCTGGTTCTGAGCTTTTTATTTTTTTATGACTTTTTTTTTTTTTTGGATGGAATTTTGCTCTTGTTGCCCAGGCTGGAGTGCAGTGGCGCGATCTCAGCTAACTGCAACCTCCCCCTCCCAGGTTCAAGCATTTCTTCTGCCTCAGCCTCCCGAGTAGCTGAGATTACAGGCGCCACCACACCCAGCTAATTTTTGTATTTTTAGTAGAGACGGGGTTTCACCATGTTGTCCAGGCTGGTCTCGAACTCCTAACCTCACGTGATCCACCCACCTTGGCCTCCAAAGTGCTGGGATTACAGGCGTGAGCCACTGCACCCAGTCAACATTTTTTTTAAAGGAAATGATTCACTTCTAATACCTGTAAACAAGTTAAACTTAGTCATCCAGGAGTAATGTTACTGAAAATAGCAGAGTAGGGAACTCTAAAATCCTGTCTCTCCACAAAAGCAATGAACAATCTGGCAAAAACTGTCAGAGTCAAATTTTTTGGAACTCTGGGAATCTATTAAAAAACAACAATAGCAAGCAGGGGAATGCTTACTGAAGAAAGACACTGCTGAATTTTGGTAAAAGTGCTGTGGCTTTGTAACTTACCTGCTTACCATGCCCCATCATCAGCTTGGTAGCAGCTAAGACAGCAGCTCACATTCCAGATGCAGGTTGCTGGCATCAGAGGGAGAAATATGGACTTATTTTCAAGGAATCATGGTGGTGTGTTTTGATCTGTCTGGGCTCCCTGAAGGGTTGGCACAAGGGCTTGCTTTTCTTTTACCTGACTCAAACTTTCTCCAAGGCATAAGCAGTTTCCAGATGGTGTTTGTTGAAAGCATGTAAAAGCAAATGTATTAGCCTTAGCCACCTGAGACAAAGGATGACAGTTGGAGCAAGCAACAAGCAACAAGAAAAGTCTGGGAAGAAAGAGAGCACACATGGAGATACATGGAGAAATGATGACTTTGAAAAGCTTCTGTATATATGAAGAAATCCAGAAGGTCACATACATGCCCAGGCTGGACATATGCCCAGAGACACCTGAAAAGACTCTAATCTTTAACATCTATCTAACTTTTAGGCTCCACACAAGGAGGGAGTGAAGGTTAAGGCAGAGTTTTAAACAACCTGGCCAAGCATTGAAGGAGTTCCTCATGCAAAGCCAACCTGCAAAGACTGGGAGAGTATTTTATACTTTTGGCTCTCACTATTTCAGGAAATCTCTTCAAATCACTAGCTGACCACTAAGCTAAAATAACAAAACTTCAGTGGCCAATGACAAGGAATATAGCTTTAACAAAAATGGTTTAGAGAAGTGTCTAAACCATTAAAGTGTTAAACAACAACAAACTACAACAAGCAGCAACAACAAACTCTGGAGAAGAAGGAGAATCTGATTTCCAAAGTTGTCATATTATTCAAAATATCCACTTTGCCACAAAATGTTATGACACATGCAAAGAAGCAAGAAATTACGGCCCATTTGCAGGAAAATAAGAAATGTATAGAAACAGTCCCTGAAGAAGCCCAGACACTGGACTTACCAGACAAAGACTTTAAATCAACTGTCTTAACATATGTTCAAAGAGTTAAAAGGGAACCATGGACAAAGAACTAAAGGAAACCAGAAGAATGATGTGTCACCATATAGAGAATATCAATAAAGCTATACAAAATATAAGAAACAACCTAATAGAAATTCTGAAGCTGAAAAGTACAATTACTGCAATGAAAAGTTAATTAGAGTGGTTCAACAACAGAACAAAGAATAAGCAAACTTGAAGGAAGGTTAATTGAGATTATCTATTGTATGAAGCAAAAAGAAGAATAAAGAAGAATTAGCAAAGATAAATAATTCCTGGAGTTTCAATGTACAACAGGGTAATGACAGTTAAACAATATTGTATAGTGATAATTTGTTAAGAGGATAAATTTTAAATCTAATTACACACATGTACAATGGTAACTATGTAGAGGTACTGGATATGTTTATTAGTTTGGTTGTGATCATTTCACAACGTACACATATCAAGACATCAAATTGTACACTTTAAATATATATAATTTTTATATGTCAATGATGTCTCAATAAAGCTATTTAAAAAAAATGAACCAATCCTCAGAGAACTATGGGACAGCATCAAGCATACCAACATACATATAATGGGAGTCCCAGAAGGAGAAGAAAGAAAGGGCCAGAACATATATTTGAGGAAATAATGGTTAAAAACTCTCCCAATTTGATGAAAGACATGAATCTACACATTCAAAACGCTAAGTGAACTATATAGGCTGGTGCAAAAGTAATTGCAGTTTTGCCATTACTTTCAATAACAAAAACCACAATTACTTTTCCACCAACCTTACACAAGTAAGGTAAATGCAAAGAGATTCACACTGAGATACGTTGTATTCAAATTGTCAAAAGTCACAAAGAGAATCTTGAAAGCAAGAAGAGAAGAGGCTCATCACTTACAAGAGATTCTTAATAAGATTAGCAGCTGGTTTTTCTTCAGATACTGTGGATGCCAAAAAGACAGTAGGATAAATATTTAAGGTGCTGAAAGAGACCAAAAAAAAAAAAAACCTAGCTGGGTGTCGTGGCTCATGCCTGTAATCCCAACAAGTACTTTGGGAGGCTGATGTGGGCAGATCACTTCAGCCCAGGCAACATGGCAAGACCTAATCTCTACAAAAAATAGAAAAATTAGCCAGACATGGTGGCTACATATGTAAATATAAAGTATTATTGTATTTTTGGCTTGTAACTCCTGTTTTTTTCTATATGATTTAAAAGACAAATGTGTAAATAATCATTATAAACAATGTTAATTGGCACACAATGTATGAAGATGTAATTTGTGGCAGTAACAATGTAAGGAGGGGACAAAGCTGTATAGGAGCAGAATTTTTATATACTATTGAAAGTAAGTTGGTATAAATTTAAACTAGAGTGCTACAAATTTAAGATGACAATTGTAATTCCCAGAGTAACAATGAAGAAAATAACTAAAAAGATAATGAGAAAAAGAAAAGAGAAGAAATCAAATTGATACAATTTTTTTTTTTTTGAGACAGAGTCTCACTCTTGCCCAGGCTGGAGTGCAGTAGCCACAATCTCAGCTCACTGCAAACTCCACCTCCCAGGTTCAAGTGATTCTCCTGCTTCAGCCTCCCAAGAAGCTGGGATTATAGGCATGTGCCACCATGCTTGGATAATTTTTATACAAAATGATACACTTAAAAACATCAATTAAACACAAAAGGGAGAGACGGAGGGTGGAGCCAAGATGGCCGAATAGGAACAGCTCCAGTCTACAGCTCCCAGCATGAGCGACGCAGAAGACGGATGATTTCTGCATTTCCCTTTGAGGTACTGGGCTCATCTCACTAGGGAGTGCCCGACAGTGGGTGCAGGACAGTGGGTGCAGCGCGCTGTGTGCCAGCCGAAGCAGGGTGAGGCACTGCCTCACTCAGGAAGCGCAAGGGGTCAGGGAGTTCCCTTTCCTAGTCAAAGAAAGGGGTGACAGACAGCACCTGGAAAATCGGGTCATTCCCACCCTAAAACTGTGCTTTTCCAATGGGCTTTAAAAATGGCGCACCAGGAGATTATATCCCACACCTGGCTCGGAGGGTCCTACGTCCACGGAGTCTCTCTGATTGCTAGCACAGCAGTCTGAGATCAAACTGCAAGGTGGCAGCGAGGCTGGGGGAGAGGCGTCTGCCATTGCCCAGGCTTGATTAGGCAAACAAAGCAGCCGGGAAGCTCAAACTGGGTGGAGCCCACCACAGCTCAAGGAGGCCTGCCTGCCTCTGTAGGTTCCACCTCTGGGGGTAGGGCACAGACAAACAAAAAGACAGCAGTAACCTCTGCAGACTTAAATGTCCCTGTCTGACAGCTTTGAAGAGAGTAGTGGTTCTCCCAACATGCAGCTGGAGATCTGAGAACTGGCAGACTGCCTCCTCAAGCAGGTCCTTGACCCCCGAGCAGCATAACTGGGAGGCACCTCCCAGTAGGGGCAGACTGACACCTCACATGGCCGGTTACTCCTCTGAGACAAAACTTCCAGAGGAACAATCAGGCAGCAGCATTTGCAGTTCACCAAGATCCGCTGTTCTACAGCCACCGCTGTTCCACAGCCACCGCTGCTGATATCCAGGCAAACAGGGTCTGGAGTGGACCTCTAGCAAACTCCAACAGACCTGCAGCTGAGGGTCCTTCCTGTCTGTTAGAAGGAAAACTAACAAACAGAAAGGACATCCACACCAAAAACCCTTCTGTACGTCACCATCATCAAAGACCAAAAGTAGATAAAGCCACAAAGATGGGGGAAAAACAGAGCAGAAAAACTGGAAACTCTAAAAAGCAGAGCACCTCTCCTCCTCCAAAGGAACGCAGCTCCTCACCAGCAATGGAACAAAGCTGGACAGAGAATGACTTTGACGAGCTGAGAGAAGAAGGCTTCAGATGATCAAACTACTCCGAGCTACAGGAGGAAATTCAAACCAATGGCAAAGAAGTTAAAAACTTTGAAAAAAAATTAGATGAATGGATAACTAGAATAACCAACGCAGAGAAGTCCTTAAAGGAGCTGATGGAGCTGAAAACCAAGGCTTGAGAAATACGTGAAGAATGCAGAAGCCTCAGGAGCTGAGGCGATCAACTGGAAGAAAGGGTATCAGTGATGGAAGACAAAATGAATGAAATGAAGTGAGAAGGGAAGATTAGAGAAAAAAGAATAAAAAGAAATGAAAAAAGCCTTGAAGAAATATGGGACTATGTGAAAAGACCAAATCTAAGTCTGATTGGTGTACCTGAAAGTGATGGGGAGAATGGAACCAAGTTGGAAAACACTCTGCAGGATATTATCCAGGAGAACTTCCCCAATCTAGCAAGGCAGGCCAACATTCACATTCAGGAAATACAGAGAATGCCACAAAGATACTCCTCAAGAAGAGCAACTCCAAGACACATAATTGTCAGATTCATCAACGTTGAAATGAAGGAAAAAATGTTAAGGGCAGCCAGAGAGAAAGGTTGGGTTACCCACAAAGGGAAGCCCATCAGACTAACAGCAGATCTCTCGGCAGAAACTCTACAAGCCAGAAGAGAGTGGGGGCCAATATTCAACATTCTTAAAGAAAAGAATTTTCAACCCAGAATTTCATATCCAGCCAAACTAAGCTTCATAAGTGAAGGAGAAATAAAATACTTTACAGACAAGCAAATGCTGAGAGATTTTGTCACCACCAGGCCTGTCCTAAAAGAGCTCCTGAAGGAAGCACTAAACATGGAAAGGAACAACTGGTACCAGCCACTGCAAAAACATGCCAAAATGTAAAGACCATCAAGTCTAGGAAGAAAACTGCATCAACTAACGAGCAAAATAACCAGCTAACATCATAATGACAGGATCAAATACACACATAACAATATAAACTTTAAATGTAAATGGGCTAAATACTCGAATTAAAAGACACAGACTGGCAAATCGGATAAAGAGTCAAGACCCATCAGTGTGCTATATTCAGGAAACCCATCTCACGTGCAGAGACACACATAGGCTCAAAATAAAGGGATGGAGGAAGATCTACCAAGCAAATGGAAAACAAAAAAAGGCAGAGGTTGCAATACTAGTCTCTGATAAAACAGACTTTAAACTAACAAAGATCAAAAGAGACAAAGAAGGCCATTACATAATGGTAAAGGGATCAATTCAACAAGAAGAGCTAACTATCCTAAATATATATGCACCCGATACAGGAGCACCCAGATTCATAAAGCAAGTCCTTAGTGACCTACAAAGAGACTTAGGCTCCCACACAATAATAATGGGAGACTTTAACACCCCACTGTCAACATTAGAGAGATCAACGAGACAGAAAGTTAACAAGGATACCCAGGAATTGAACTCAGCTCTGCAGCAAGCGGACCTAATAGACATCTACAGAACTCTCCACCCCAAATCAACAGAATATACATTTTTTTCAGCACCACACCACAGCTATTCCAAAATTGACCACATAGTTGGAAGTAAAGCACTCCTCAGCAAATGTAAAAGAACAGAAATTACAACAAACTGTCTCTCCAACCACAGTGCAATTAAACTAGAACTCAGGACTAAGAAACTCACTCAAAACCACTCAACTACATGGAAACTGAACAACCTGCTCCTGAATGACTACTGGGTACATAATGAAATGAAGGCAGAAATAAAGATGTCCTTTGAAACCAATGAGAACAAAGACACAACATACCAGAATCTCTGGGACACATTCAAAGCAGCGTGTAGAGGCAAATTTATAGCACTAAATGCCCACAAGAGAAAGCAGGAAAGATCCAAAATCGACACCCTAACGTCAAAATTAAAAGAACTAGAAAAGCAAGAGGAAACACATTCAAAAGCTAGCAGAAGGCAAGAAATACCTAAAATCAGAGCAGAACTGAAGGAAATAGAGACACAAAAAACCCTTCAAAAAATTAATGAATCCAGGAGCTGGTTTTTTGAAAAGATCAACAAAATCGATAGACCGCTAGCAAGACTAATAAAGAAGAAAAGAGAGAAGAATCAAATAGATGCAATAAAAAATGATGAAGGGGATATCACCACCAATCCCACAGAAATACAAACTACCATCAGAGAATACTACAAACACCTCTACGCAAATAAACTAGAAAATCTAGAAGAAATGGATAAATTCCTCGACACATACACTCTCCCAAGACTAAACCAGGAAGAAGTTGAATCTCTGAATAGACCAATAACAGGAGCTGAAATTGTGGGAATAATCAATAGCTTACCAACCAAAAAAAATCCAGGACCAGATGGATTCACAGCCGAATTCTACGAGAGGTACAAGGAGGAGCTGGTACCATTCCTTCTGAAACTATTCCAATCAATAGAAAAAGAGGGAATCCTCCCTAACTCATTTTATGAGGCCAGCATCATCCTGATACCAAAGCCTGGCAGAGACACAACCAAAAAAGAGAATTTTAGACCAATAGCCTTGATGAACATTGATGCAAAAATCCTCAATAAAATACGGGCAAACTGAATCCAGCAGCACATCAAAAAGCTTATCCACCATGATCAAGTGGGCTTCATCCCTGGGATGCAAGGCTGGTTCAACATACTCAAATCAATAAATGTAATCCAGCATATAAACAGAACCAAAGACAAAAACCACATGATTATCTCAATAGATGCAGAACAGGCCTTTGACAAAATTCAACAACCCTTCATGCTAAAAACTCTCAATAAATTAGGGATTGATGGGACATATCTCAAAATAATAAGAGCTATCTATGACAGACCCACAGCCAATATCATACTGAATGGGCAAAAACTGGAAGCATTCCCTTTGAAAACTGGCACAAGACAGGGATGCCCTCTCTCACCACTCCTATTCAACACAGTGTTGGAAGTGCTGGCCAGGGCAATTAGGCAGGAGAAGGAAATAAAGGGTATACAATTAGGAAAAGAGGAAGTCAAATTGTCCCTGTTTGCAGAAGACATGATTGTATATCTAGAAAACCCCATCGTCTTAGCCCAAAATTTCCTTAAGCTGATAAGCAACTTCAGCAAAGTCTCAGGATACAAAATCAATGTACAAAAATCACAAGCATTCTTATACACCAATAACAGACAAACAAAGAGCCAAATCATGAGTGAACTCCCATTCACAATTGCTTCAAAGAGAATAAAATACCTAGGTATCCAACTTACAAGGGATGTGAAGGTCCTCTTCAAGGAGAACTACAAACCACTGCTCAATGAAGTAAAAGAGGATACAAACAAATGGAAGAACATTCCATGCTCATGGGTAGGAAGAATCAATATCGTGAAAATGGCCATACTGCCCAAGGTAATTTATAGATTCAACACCATCCCCATCAAGCTACCAATGACTTTCTTCACAGAATTGGAAAAAACTACTTTAAAGTTCATATGGAACCAAAAAAGAGCCCACATCGCCAAGTCAATCCTAAGCCAAAAGAACAAAGCTGGAGGCATCACGCTACCTGACTTCAAACTATACTACAAGGCTACAGTAACCAAAACAGCATGGTACTGGTACCGAAACAGAGATATAGATCAATGGAACAGAACAGAGCCCTCAGAAGTAATGCCATGTATCTACAACCATCTGATCTTTGACAAACCTGAGAAAAACAAGCAATGGGGAAAGGATTCCCTATTTAATAAATGGTTCTGGGAAAACTGGCTGGCCATATGTAGAAAGCTGAAACTGGATCCCTTCCTTACACCCTATACAAAAATTAATTCAAGATGGATTAAAGACTTACATGTTAGACCAAAAACCATAAAAACCCTAGAAGAAAACCTAGGCAATACCATTCAGGACAGAGGCATGGGCAACGACTTCATGTCTAAAACACCAAAAGCAATGGCAACAAAAGCCAAAATTGACAAATGGGATCTAATTAAACTAAAGAGCTTCTGCACAGCAAAAGAAACTACCATCAGAGTAAACAGGCAACCTACAGAATGGGAGAAAATTTTTGCAACCTACTCACCTGACAAAGGGCTAATATCCAGAATCTACAATGAACTCAAACAAATTTACAAGAAAAAAACAAAAAAACCCCATCAAAAAGTGGGCAAAGGATGTGAACAGACACTTCTCAAAAGAAGACATTTATGCAGCCAAAAAACACATGAAAAAATGCTCATCATCACTGGCCATCAGAGAAATGCAAATCAAAACCACAATGAGACACCATCTCACACCAGTTAGAATGGCGATCATTAAAAAGTCAGGAAACCACAGGTGCTGGAGAGGATGTGGAGAAATAGGAACACTTTTACACTGTTGGTGGGACTGTAAACTAGTTCAACCATTGTGGAAGTCAGTGTGGCGATTCCTCAGGGATCTAGAACTAGAAATACCAGTTGACCCAGCCATCCCATTACTGGGTATATACCCAAAGGATTATAAATCATGCTGCTATAAAGACACATGCACACGTATGTTTATTGCGGCACTATTCACAATAGCAAAGACTTGGAACCAACCCAAATGTCCAACAACGACAGACTGGATTAAGAAAATGTGGCACATATACACCATGGAATACTATGCAGCCATAGAAATGAAGAGTTCATGTCCTTTGTAGGGACATGGATGAAACTGGAAACCATCATTCTCAGCAAACTATCGCAAGGACAAAAAACCAAACACCGCATGTTCTCACTCATAGGTGGGAATTGAACAGTGAGATCACATGGACACAGGAAGGGGAACATCACACTCCGGAGACTGTTGTGGGGTGGGGGGAGGGGGGAGGGATAGCATTAGGAGATATACCTAATGCTAATGACGAGTTGATGGGTGCAACACACCAACATGGCACATGTATACATATGTAAGAAACCTGCACATTGTGCACATGTACCCTAAAACTTAAAGTATAATAATAATAAATAAATACATAAATAAATAAAAAACACAAAAGAAGGCAGTATTGCAGGAATTGAAAAATGAAAAATATATAATCCATATAGAAAACAAATCCCAAAATGGCAGAAGTAAATGCTTCCTCATCAGTAATTATTTTAAGTGTAAATGTATTAAATTATTTAATTAAAAGGGAGAAATCACTAAAATGAATTTTTAAAATATGAACCAACTGTGTACTATCTACAAGAGACTCACTTTAGATCCAAAGGCATAAGAGGTAGACAATGAATAGACAGGAAACATATATTACATGGAAATAGTAACCAAGACAGAGCTGGAGTGACTGTCCTAATATCTGACAAAGTAGATTTAAGTCAAAAATTGTTACAAGGGACGAAGAATGATATTATACGTTTATGTTATGTTATATGTTATGAAAAAGTCAATCCATCAAGAAGTTAGAAAAATTATAAACATAGATGTGTAACAGTGTGAGCCCCATAATATATATGAAACAAAAATTAACAAAATTAAAAACAGAAACAGGCCATTTTATAATAATAGTTGAAGACTTCAGTACCCCATTTTCACTAATGGATTATTGAGCTATAGAGCAACTAGATAGAAGATTAATAAGGAAACAGAGGACTTAAGTATCACTGTAAACCAACTAGACCTAATAGACATATGTAGAACACTTCACCCAACAACAGCAGATTACACATGCTTCTCAAGAGCACATGAAATATTCTTCAAATATTCTTAGGCTGCAAAATTATCTTCAGTAGGTATAAAAAGGCTGAAATAACACAAAGCATCTTGTCCGGCCACAATGAAACGAAAGCAGAAGTCAATAACAGAAGGAAAACTGGAAATTTCACGAATATGTGGAAATTAACACATTCATAAGCAACCAGTGGATAAAAGAAGAAAACAGAAGGGAAATTTAAAAATGCTTTGACTGGAGTCACTGCTGCTAAGGTCCCTACCACAGATGCAAGAAAAAAGCTTTATGCTTTCTGTCTGATTATGACAGCTAAGATTGAATGCAGCAATATAGAAACTACATAAACATGGAGGGGGCAGATAATTTTTGCAACTCAGAAATAACCTTATAAACAGCAAATAACTGGTTTTACTCAAAAAAGAAAAAGGAATCTCAAATTTGAGTTTATGTTAGAAGTGGAAAATTGTTTCCCTCATGTCCTTGCCTTCTGGTTGATTCTACTTTAGAAGCATAAATATCAAAACTATTTTAGATTAAAAGCAAATTAATGATTTTATTTTTTTTCTTTTGGAAACAGGGTCTCACTCTATTGCCCAGGCTGGAGTGCAGTGGCACAATCTCAGCTCACTGCAACATCCACTTCCCAGGTTCAAGCCATTCTCATTCATACATCAGCCTCACGAGTAGCTGGAATTACAGGCATGGGCCACCACATCTGGCTAATTTTTGTAGTTTTAGTAGAGATGGGGTTTCACCACGTTAGCCAGGCTTGTCTTAAACTCCTGGTCTCAAGTGATCTGCCTGCCTTGGCTTCCCAAAATGCTGGGATTACAGGCGTGAGCCACCACGCCTGGCTACAAATGAATGATTCTTTAATAAAAATAAAAATAAACAATAAATGCTTTGAGATGAATGAAACAAAAACACAATATACCAAAACTTATGGGATGCAGCAAAAACAATGCTCAAAAAATTTATAGCTATAAATGCCTACAAGAAAAAGAAGGAGTTCAAATTAATAATTTAACCTTTGATCCTGGGAAACTAGAAAAGGAAAAAGCAGACTCAATTTAGAGCAAGATCAGAGTGGAAATTATAGAAATATACAATAGAAAACAATAGAAAAGTCAATAAAACCAAAAGTTCCTTCTTTGCAAAAATCAACAAAGTTGACAAATCTTCAGCTCAATTGACCAAGATTAAAAAGAAAGGAGATGAAAATCAGAATTTTTTTCTTTCTTTTTTTTTGAGACAGAGTGTCACTCTGTCACCCAGGCTGGAGTGTAGTGGTGCAATCTTGGCTCACTGCAACCTCCTTCTCCTGGGTTCAAGCGATTCTCCTGCCTCAGCCTCCGAAGTAGCTGAGATTACAGGCACCCACGACACGCCCAGCTTATTTTTGTATTTTTTTTTAGTAGAAATGGGGTTTCACCATGTTGGCCAGGGTGGTCTCGAACTCCTGACCTGAGGTGATCCTTCTGCCTCGGCCTCCCATAGTGCTGGGATTACAGGCATGAGCCACTGTGCTGGGCCAGAAAATCAGAAATTAAAGTGGGGCCACTACTGCAGACCTTACAGAAATAAAGATTATAAGAGCATATTATGAATAATTGTATGTCAGGAAATTAGATAACATAGATGACATGTACAAATTGCTAGACACGTACAAACTAACAAAACTTAATCAGGAGTAAATAGAAAATCTGAACAGAGCTATAACTAGCAAGGAGATTGAGTCGGTAATGAAAAATCTCCTAATAAAGAAAACCTCAAAACCACATGGCTTCAATGGTGAATTCTACCAAACATTTAAAGAAAAATTAACAGCAATCCTCCTTAAACTCTTCCAAAAGGTAGAAAAGGAGGGAACAATACCTAACTCATTCTATGAGGCCAGTAATTACCCTGAGAGCAAACTTTGGCAAACATATCACAAGGAAGGAAAAATAGAGGCCAATATCCCTTATGGATATAGATGAAAAAATCCTCAATAAAATACTAGTAAACCAAACCCAGGAGTACATTAAAAGGATTATACAGCACAGCCAAGTGAGTTCCTGATTCAGCATAAGAAAATTAATGTAGTACACCACATTATTAGAATGAAGAGAACAAACTACATTCCATTTATATGAAATATTCAGAATAGAATAATCCACAGAGACAAGATTAGTGGTTGCCAGGGGCCAGGAGGAAAGGCGAAATAGGGAGTGACTGCTTAATGGGCATAGGGTCACTTTTTGGGGTGCAAAAATGTTCTAGATCTGGATAGCAATGATGGCTGCAGAACATTGTGATTGTCACTGCCATGTACACTTTAAAGTATATAAGCCACTGACTTGTATACTTTCAAATGATAAATTCTATATGAATTTTACCTCAATTAAAAAAAATGTAGCCATCTAAATCTTATAAACAGGGCGATCGAATAACAGAACCAAAACAAAACAATCTAGAGCTGTGCATTTACTTTTTTTTTGGTGCCACAAAAGTATTTGAGGTCTAAAATTATCAATGTAAAATAAAACTTACACACATTTGGTAAATCCTAAAATGTTAGCAATGGCCTTTCAATTGTTTTCAACAGAGAAAAAGATAATACACAAGCCAGGCGCAGTGGCTCACTCCTGTAATCCCAGCACTCTGGGAAGCTGAGGCAGGAGGATCCCTTGAGACCTAGAGTTGAAGACTAGCCTGGGTAACAAAGAGAGACCCCATCTTTTTTTTTTTTTTAGATGGAGTCTTGCTCTGTCACGAAGCTGGAGTACAGTGGCATGATCTCAACTCACTGCAACCTCCACCTACCGGGTTCAAGCAACTCTCCTTTCTCAGCCTCCCGAGTAGCTGGGACTATGGGCGCCTGCCACCACACCCAGCTAATGTTTGTATTTTTAGTAGAGACAGGGTTTCACCATGTTGGCCAGGTTAGTCTCAAACAGGTGATCTACCTGCCTTGGCCTCCCAAAGTACCTGCATTACAGGTGTAAGCCACCACGCTTGGCAGTGTCTAGATATTTTAACAGTATGTGGTAAAGCTCCCTGTATTTAAGTTAGTGTAAATATCAAGGCTCTCCTGCCTTCTGTACTCAAGAAAATTTATAAGTCCACATTTCTGCTTCAGATTTTCTAAAACAAATGGTTTCTGCCATATTCACTGAGAAAACTAATAAATTGGAAATCAGTATCAGTAAGAAAAAAATCTATCCATACACAAATTTTTAAATTTATTTTTTATTTGTATAAATGTATGGGGTACAAGTATAATTTGGTTATAGATAAATTGTATAGAGCAGTCAGTGTTTTTAGTGTATCCATCACTGGAGTAATGTACATTGTACCATTAAGTGCTTTCTCATTGTCCTCAGCCAACCCTCTTCTCACCACCCCACCAACCTAAGTCTCCATTGTCTATCATTCCACACTCTACTTCCATGTGTACACATTATTCAACACCCACTTAGAAGTGAGAACATGTGGTATTTGTCTTTCTGTGTCTGAATTCTTTCACTTAAGAAAATAGCCTCCAGGCCAGGCGTGGTGGCTCACGCCTGTAATCCCAACACTTTGGGAGGCCCAGGCGGGCGGATCACGAGGTCAGCAGATCAAGACCATCCTGGCTAACATGGTGAAACCCCGTCTCTACCAAAAATACCAAAAAAATTAGCCAGGCGTGTTGGCGGGAGCCTCTAGTCCCAGCTACTCCGGGGGCTGAGCCAGGAGAATGGCGTGAACCCGGGAGGCGGGGCTTGCAGTGAGCCGAGATCGCGCCCCTGCACTCCAGCCTGGGCGGCAGAGCGAGACTCCGTCTCAAAAAAAAAAAAAAAGAAAAGAAAAGAAAATAGCCTCCAGTTTCATCTATGTTGCTGCAAAAGACATGATTTCATTCTTTTTTATGGCTGAAGAGTATTCATATATATATACCACATATTCTTATCCAATCATGGGTTGATGGAAACTTAGGTTGATTCCATATCTTTGCTATTGTGAATAGTGCTGTAATAAACATCTATGTGCAGGTATCTTTTTGATTTAATTATTTTTCCTTTGAGTAGATACCCAGCTGGATCATATGGTAGCTCTATTTTTATTTATTTTTTCTTTTTTGAGAGATGGAGTCTCGCTCTGTTGCCTAGGCTGGAGTAGAGTGGTGCGATCTCGGCTCACTGCAGCCTCCACCTCCCGGGTTCAAGCTATTCTCCTGCCTCTGTTTCCCAAGTAGCTGGGACTACAGGCCTGCGCCACCATGCCCAGCTAATTTTTGTATTTTTTTAGTAGAGACGAGGTTTCACTATACGTTGGCCAGGCTGGTCTCCAATTCCTGACCTCAGGTGATCCGCCTGCCTCAGCCTCCCAAAGTGCTGGGATTATGGGCCTGAGCCACTGTGCCTGGCCTGTTTGCCATCTTTTGAAAAGTGTCTATAGATACCCTTAGCCCAGTTTTTGATGAGATTATTTTTGCTGTTGTTAGTAGTCTGAGTTCCTTATAAATTCTGGATATTCATCCCCTGTTGGATATATAGTTTGGATATTCATCCCCTGTTGTATATATAATTTGCACATATTTTCTCCCATTCTGCAGGTTGTCATTTTATTCTGTTGATTTTTTTTTTTTTTTTTTTTTTTTTTTTGGTGTGCAGAAGCTTTTTAGTTTAATTAAGTTCCATTTGTCTATTTTTGTTTTTGTTGCCTGCACACAAATTTAATAATTTCTCATGATCTCTTGGGTTAATAATGTCACATCTGAAATTAGATTTCAAAATTAAAGATATTGGTAACACTATAAATTGAAAATACTTCTTAGCCAAGTGTCCTCAAAAAATAATTCTTAGCCTTAAATGGGAACAAGAAAGGCTAAAATTTTAAAAGTATGTGTGCAAATCAAGAACCTAGAAAAAAATCAGCCAAATAAACCTAAGAAAAAAGACAAAGTATTACACAAATTGGTATAATAAAAATGTAGGCCTTATCAGTAATATCCACAATATTGCTGAGGCAGACAATCATTTGTAGTTCAGATTAAGTTAAAAGTCATTAATTTCAGGAAAAATAAATATTACACTGCAAAAGATTTAAAAAACATATGTTCCATGTTTACAAAATTGTATATACATACACAAACACAAATACACAAATATTTCTAGATTTGAAAATCTAGATAAAATAGATGTTTAGGAAAATATAGCTGATCAAAATTTAAACAAAGCAAGTTAAAAAATAAAAAGAAACCAAAATCACAACAATTGAAAAGTTAGACAAAAAATTATCTCAAAGACACCATATTTGAGGTGTTATTAAAATTTTTACCAAAATTAATTTGCTCTATAATCCCAATGTTTAATCAATGGGTCCAGAAATAGATGAAAAGGTGGAAAGTTAGCAAAGCATTTGTTTAGTTAAAAACAACAAGAACAACTAAAACAACTAAACAACTAAATCCTACTTATTAGCATAACGATAAATATACTAAAATAGCAGAGAAACAAATCCTGCAATGTAAAAAGACTGACACAGCCAATTAGGGTTTACCAAGAAGTTTAAGGACAGTTCAACATTAGAAAAACCTATCACTGTAGTTTCCTAAAGGAATTGACTTTTAAAAAGAAAATAACATTTTAATAGATAGTGTAAAATTATCCCTTACAAAATAATGCCACACCTGAGCAGAGAAATTTTAGAAATACTGGAAGAGAGAAGATATTTACCTGATTAATGAAATCAACCAAAATCCTGGAATAAACATTTTGTTGGATAGTGAAATGCTAGAATAAATGAGAAAATTAAAAATTCTTCAGAAGATGTCCACTATTATGGTCCCAACTCAGTCCATTAGAACAAAGAAATAAGGTTTACAATTATGTTATAATGAAGTTATATAAAGTTATAAATAAAACAAAACCCTCAGCAATTGCAAATGTTATCTTCCAAAATATGCGATGAAAGAAACTGAAAACCTAAGTGAAAGATGCCAATCTGAAAAGGGTGCATACATTATGATTCCAACTATACAGCATTCTGGGAAAGGCAAAACTGTAGAGACAATAAATGATCAGTGGTTGCCAGAGACTCAGGAGGAGGAAGGGAAGGATGAATAGGAGGAGCATATGGGATTTTCAAGGCAGCAAAACTCTTCTGGATGGTACTGCAATGGCAGGTACGTGACATTACGTGTTTGTCAAAACCCGTGGATCGTTCCCTGGCGTGATGGCTCACTCCTGTAATCCCAGCATTTTGGGAGGCCAAGGGGTGGTATTGATTGAGCCTGGGAGTTTGAGACCAGCATGGGCAACCCAACTCTATAAAAAAATACAAAAATTAGCCAGGTGTGGTGGTGCATGCCTGGAGTCCCAACTACTCAGGAGGCTGAGGCGGGAGGACCCCTTGAGCCTGGAAGGCTGAGGCTGCAGTGAGCTGTAATTGCATCCCTTCACTCCAGCCTGGGTGACAAAGTGAGACTGTCTCAAAAACAAAACAAACAAAAAACAGAACTTTACAACACAAAGAAAGAACACTAATGTAAACTATGAACTTTAGTTAATAAGGTTTCAATAGTGGTTCATCAATTGTAACAAATGTTCCACATTAATATAAAATGTTAATAAAAGGAGAAACTGTACTGAAGGAAGAAGGGGTTATGGGAATTCCTTTTTTGCCCAAATTTTCTGTAAATTGAAAAACTGCTCTAAAAATAGTCATTTTTAAAAAGAGAGTTTTGGTAAGAAAACCATATAAGAAAGAAAACATTCTTACATATCTGCAAATGCCAGTGACACAACATCATTAAAAATACGTCATTTAGACATCAGGAAACACTTTAAGTAGCTAGCAAGTAACCTATGAAAAAATATCTAGGATTTACAAGAAGAAAATTATAAAACTTTACTGAGAATATTTCTAAAAGCACATATAATTTAAAAAATGCAAACATGATTTCTATAAAAGATTCAACACTTTAAAGATGTTAATTCCTCCTTTTTCTTACATGCATATTGATCTATAAATGCAATAACTTTTTTCCACTTGAGATTTTTAGTGGATTTGGATACTAAAGTTCATTTACAAGATAAAATTTCTGAGAAGAGCAAATAAAATTTTGTTAAAGAACAATGGGAGATCCTTTTGTAGTTCGCGTGACGATGGGGTGTTCACACGCATGTGTGAGATGTGCCACCCTTGAACCTTGTTATGATGTCGTCACATTACCCATCCAACATGAACTTGAAAAAAAAAAGGGACATAAAAAGAAAAAAGAATAGGAGACTTCCTTTAAAAGATTTCAGAGTTGTACTGTAAGCCATAATAATTAAGATAGACTCCTATACATATGGGCCTTCAGTTAATGACAAATACTGCATTTCAAAGAGAGCGAAAATGAAAGACTTTTAAAGTGTTGTTACAAGCTATATTTATCCTTTGCAAAAGGTAAGTTAGGTTGCCCACTTTATAGTACTCCCTAACTTAAATTCTGGAAGGGTAGGTTCTTAGCAGCTACTAAAGGTAGTAAGTAGATTTCTGCTAAAGGGAAGTCTGAGAGGTCAATGAGATATGCCTCTAGAAGTGTACCCTGGAAGGACAAGCCCTGAACTTTACAGGAAGGAGGCCAGGACACACGATGCCAGAACCCTTGCCCCAAGTTACTGTCAGGAACCCCGAGTGAACCCTTGTCACTGCTACTGAATCACAGCTGAAAAAACTCCTACCTCCTTCTCCAGAGGAAACCTTCACACTGAGGTGTTTGTGCTCTTGCATCCAAGGAGCCTGGAACACAGAATACATGTACCTCATGGAAGAACATTCTGGAACACTATGAGTAAGGCAGTAAGGAGACACCTGTGAGCTGCTCTGGAGACTAAGCACCATGAATATGATTCCTAAGAGACAATCTCACTTACGAATGATCTATATTAACTCAAGTTAATAACTAATGTTCAAGTTAATAACTAAAAGTTAATATTCTGGACTGGCACCCTTGAAGATTTATTTCTACCCAATATTCCTGAGTTTTTAATTTATATCATTGTATATAAATGATATACAATAATTATAGGCATTTTCAATAAAACTTTTCCGAGAAAATTAAATGAAATTGCCCCAGACAGTTCTTTCTGTAAATGCAGCATAGCATGAAGTTTCTTTGCTCTTTTTTTGAATTCCCCCAAACATTTAAGACTCCAGTTTCCATACAAGTTTGTGAACTCCATGTGTTCTGTAGGACTTGTTGAAATAAAGATATAATAAATCATGTAGAGAAAATAGCTGAAAAAAAGTAAAAATAGGAGAACATGATTAATATTAGTCTTATTAGAATAAAAATTGTATTCAGTCCTCAATCAGAATTGAGGCCGCCTCTTGCCACTTCCCTGCTGCAGGTTTGTCTCGAAGGGTAATGGAAACCATGCAGTGCTATGCTGCTGACTTGTACAAGATAATAGTGACATTACATTCAGCTAGAGCGCCAAGTGACAAGACAGATGGTGAGAGATCTTACCAGCCATGTTAGTTTTCTTTTTAACTAATAGGCATTGGGAAACCACTTAAAGCTTCAAATAGACACATTTTAGAGAGGTCACTCTGGAGCTATGGAAAAATGGATTTACTGGAATAAAGCCAGAGGATGGGAAGTTATTTGAATGGCTATTCTAATAATATAATTGTAGGAAAATATGAGAACCAAAATATTCTGGAACTAATTATTAATTAAAATCTGATAACGAAGGATGTCCTGGAAGTGTCATGATTATGACAGCTATTTGTTCTGTTTCTTAAAATGTTAAGAGATTAAGACACCTACAGCTCCAAAGGAACACTTGCTTATGCTACCTTCACCTGCTGCTCACTGGAATATCATCTGCTTTCTATGAGATTACTATTACAGAGCTTTCTATAAGACTGCTATTAGATAATGATAATTGCTATTATCTAACAGTATATGTTGGTGTCTCCTAGTAAATTTCCTGGCAAGAGACCCAAGCAGTGAGATGTCAACAGCAGTGGATGCTTCTAGGGGATAGAATGAGCCATCTTTGATGAATACAAATTGCATGCTTCAAAGAGTATGGACACTTTTTGGATATGTGTGGGTAAGTTCTGAACACTGAGGTTGAAAAAAGAAAACAAGTACCAATCTATGAAGAGTATTACATATCAGAATAAGAAATTTGAACTTTATTCTGTGGATAAAGGGTATTTCTAGGATAAGATGGCAGAATTTACACATCCTCTTTCTCTACATCTAATAAAATTAAGCAAAATTGAAAAAATATATATATTTATCAGTATCATTTAAACATCTTAGTTAAAATATGTACATAATGGTCACAGAGGGACAGAAGATTCCAGGAATTTTTTGGCTCCTACTTCCAAGGCCATTTCCACCCTATGTGAGCACTATGAGGAAAATATTGTGAATGGACAAAATTCTTAAGTATGCCATCAAACTTGGAAGGAAATAACTGAAGGGACAATGAGGCATCCCAGAGGAATGATATGGAATCACTTTCAATAGTGATGTGTGATGGTTGTCACAGCCCACCCACTTACACCGGCCTCACAGTCAGCCCTCCTACTTGGGGAAGAGGGTTTTTGGGAAATAGGTCTACACCAGTGATTCTCAACCAGGGGCAATTTCAGCCTTTAGTGGACTTTTGGCAAAGTATGGAGACATTTTTGTCAAAACTTCGGGAGGGTAAGGGGTTTCTATTGTCATGGTAGAGACCCAGGATGCTGCTAAACGCCCTACAATGCACAATACAAGGCCCCTCAAGTGAAGAATTTGTGGGCCCAAAATGTCAATAGAGCTGAGGTTGGGATAAGCCTTGTCTAAATGATGGCAGAGAAAACAAATAGCATTTATTTATACTAATCAATTAACAATCTTTTTCTTTAAAAATAAATAAAAGTCCACCAAAAAGTTTTCCAGGTCACTGAATACATATGAAAACACTGGCAAAAATAACAATGATGAATAAAGTGAATAGGTAACCCTTGAGGAATCAGGTAATTGTTTCCCTGGTCTTGAGTGACTGTGTCCACAATTCATTTTTTCTGGTAGGTATAACTCCTTTTCTGCATCCATGCTTCACAGATTCTCTCCTTTTCAGACATCCTGGGATGAAAGGATTTGACTTCTATTTTTTTCATTTTAATTTTAATTTATTATTTATTTATTTATTTATTTATTTATTTATTTTGAGACGGAGTCTTACTCTGTTACCCAGGCTGGAGTGCAATGGCACGATCTCGGCTCACTGCCACCTCTGCCTCCTGGGTTCAAGCAATTCTCCTGCCTCAGCCTCCCAAATAGCCAGGATTACAGGTGCCTGCCACCACACCCAGCTAATTTTTGTATTTTTAGTAGAGCCTGACCATGTTGGCCAGGCTGGTCTTGAACTCCTCACCTCAGGTGATCCACCCCCTTGGCCTCCCACAGTGCTTGGATTACAGATGTGAGCCACTGCTCCCGGCCCTTTTTTTTAGACTGTATTTTTCGACATCTGTTTTCTCTCTTCTTAGGCTATTAAATATAAGCTATCAAATAATGTGGATAGTTAATGCTCTTATCTCTCTCAAATCCTTCTTTCTAATAACTGAGAGCAAAGGGACTGTATTGACTGTGTTGAATCTCTTCATGCACCAGTAACTCAGCTATGAAGGGGGTCTTCTTTAAACGGCTGGTCTGACTTTCATAGATTGACACTGCTCCTTTCTTTTATTGTGAAAAAATTAAACTCCTAAAAAGTCTTTTGGGAACTCTCAAAGTCTTTTGGGACTTCTCAAAAAACATAAGAAGTATTCACCTACATAAATGTTGAAAGATTATATCTTTTTTTTTTTTTTTTTGAGACAGAGTTTTGCTCTTGTTGCCCAGGCTGGAGTACAATGGCGTGATCTCGGCTCACTGCAACCTCCGCCTTATAGGTTCAAGCGATTCTCCTGCCTCAGCCTCCTTAGTAGCTGGGATTACAGGTGCCCACCACCATGCCCAGCTAATTTTTTGTATTTTTAGTACAGACAAGGTTTCACTACGTTGGCCAGGCTGGTCTTGAGCTCCTGACCTCAGGCGATCCACCCGCCTCGGCCTCCCAAAGAGCTGGGATTACAGGCGTGAGCCGCTGCGCCCGGCCAGATTATGTCTTATGAATAAAAGTGATAAGACCATATGGAATTACTGGACTAGTAGCATAGTTAAGCATTTTGTTTAAGACAACAAAGCGCATTTTGAAAATGCTGCTATCTCTCAATGCTGATAGTGCTTTTCTCCTGTGAGTGACCCAAGAATATTATAAATAGTTAGTAAAGGGAATGGAGACTTTGAGGTTGAACAAATGTTGCACTAGCTGTTTCTCGACTGAGTGTAACAGCTTCATGATTAAGGGAAAACAAAATTATTTTCTATTCCAAAGATTCATTCTATGAGGTGGCCATAAAGTCTAGAATTAGATACTAATGTTTTGTCATTCATTGTAATGCAATATTAGTAAACCATTTAAAAGATTTGCCTGGTTTCCTGACTTGGTGGCCACCTTGAATAATTCTTGCTGTCTTCTGGGAAGAACAATGGAATTTATTCCTGCCTTAAAAATCATACATCATGACTATCCTCAGAGAATGTCCTTTTCTATTTCTAGGAGTGACTTCTAATCTTCCACACTGGTGAGAAAAAGAAAGCCTATTTCATCCCGTTAGCGATGCTGAAACCCATGATTTACTTTCTGAAGATGTCCCAGCGAGTCCCCCGTCAATTCACTGCCACATATATCCTGTTCCATAACGAGTGTGTCTTCCTTATAAATACTGCCCAGACTCTTGCCGGTTCCTCTCCCTTTGTCCTTTCATGTGAGTGTTCTTCGGCTACCTTAGTGGAAATATAGATCTGTCTCCTCCTTATCCTCTCAATTACAACAAAATAAGATTGTTTACTTTTTACGTTTACGGGATGAAAGTGCCCCGTTCAGGTCAATGAAACATCAGTGCATTGCATTGACTCTGAACACTTCAGAATTTAGAGCTGCCATTGAATGCCAGCTGATGGAGATAGAGTGCATATCAGACAGGTAGATAAAGTTCAGGTTTCCTGGGGAACCAGGTATAGAGAAAAACAAGTCTGATATGAGGAAAATCGCACAATTTAGAGTAGTATTGCCATGTAAGTGATTTCTGCAAACTAGGAAAAGTAGAGCTGAAGTTATTATGTGGATAAGTCAAAAGAGGAAAGTGTGTACTTTTTCAGAAGCAGAAAAATATTCAAACTTCTTTCTTCTTTTTGGGTTTAGCAGACGCTCCAATGTGATCTTTGCCTTTGGAGTTTGGGTGAGGTATAAGAAATGGGCTGATCCCTGATTCCATACTTTATTCCCCCTCCATCCTTTCCTTCCAGATAGACAATTCTACCCATCAGTGAATCACTCAATAAGTCTCAACAGCATTTGCTTTTGCTGAGATTGCTCAGCAGTTGAGGGTCCTTTGCTAGGTGAGACCAATAGGAGACAAACACCTTTTCCATGGTCTTTTATTTTTTTTTTTTTAGACAGAGTCTTGCTCTGTCATCCAGACTGGAGTGCAGTTGCACGATCTCGGCTCACTGCAAGCTCCACCTCCCAGGTTCAAGCAATTCTCCTGCCTCAGCCTCCCAAGTAGTTGGGATTACAGGCGTGCACCACCACACCCTGCTAACTTTTGTATTTTTAGTAGAGATGGGGTTTTGCCATGTTGGCCAAGCTGGTCTTGAACTCCTGACCTCAGGTGATCCACCTGCCTAGGCCTCCCAAAGTTCTGGGATTACAGGTGTGAGCCACCACGCCTGGCCCTTTTCCATGGTCTTTGAAAGATGATGCTTATTTCATGGTCAGTGGCTTAAAAAATCCCCGTCCTGGTTTTCTTCAACAAACTCTCTAGTTTTCCCTTTTTACAAAAAAGATTTTGTAAAAATTAGTAATCTTAAAAATATTCTGACAAAAAGTAAAATTAAAGGGACATCTTTTCTTGGTTTTCCTTCTACGGCCCCATGTGCAGTACTTTCACCTTTAAGCAAAGAGAGTGGTTTCGATAGTCTCTAAGATTTCGACCTGATCTCACATTCTGCCATTCTACCCAGCTCTTAATTCAGTTTGCTTCCATTATCCTAACAGGCTTCCACTTATTTAGAACCTGGAAATGCTGCTATTTAACACCCTGCAACACTGACGCAAACTTATGATAGGTACCAATTACTGAAGGCCAAATGAGTAAAATGTGTAGTTTTAGGACCTTTAAAAACATCTCATTTAATCTTCCTAGCATTCTATGAGAGAGGCATGATTCCACACTTATAAACAAAGAAGGAAAGGTTGGGGATGTGAAGCATCTTGGCCAGGCTTCTGCTGCCAGTGAACAGTGGAGCTGGGACTCCAGCCCAGGCTTTCCCAACTCAGAAGACTGAACATCCAGGAGGATGTTAACTACTTGTGT
Source organism: Homo sapiens (assembly GCF_000001405.40). Lineage (NCBI taxonomy): Eukaryota > Metazoa > Chordata > Mammalia > Primates > Hominidae > Homo > Homo sapiens. Next base: position 18,353,231 of record NC_000020.11, read on the forward strand.
CCTGTCCCAAACAACCCGGAGTTCTCAGTCGGCTTGGTTCTGCTTGTGACCTCACATCAAGAATAGCAGAGATCACCAAAGTGATGTTCACCTCAGTGTGACACTGTTGTTGTTGTTGTTTCCTTGGCTTAAGCAAAGGAAGCACTAGTGGAGAGTCTCAGCCCTTAATCCTCCTCCCTAAGTCCCCATTTATAATAGAAATAAAAGGCTGTAAAGTCAGCTGGGCTTGGGTCCAGGCTCATCTGTGGAGGAGGCAAGCTCATGTTCCTCGCCTTCCCTTTCAATGTCCATTGTGTTGTGTCTCTGCCACACAATGCCATTACCCTTGCCATTATCTGTATACCTAAATTTGATCATTTTGTGTGTGTGTGTGTGTGTGTGTGTGTGTGTGTGTGTTTTGAAAAAGATTTAGTAAAACATTTCCCAACAAGTGAAAGTTCTTGGCTGGGCGTGGTGGCTCACGCCTGTAATCCCAGCACTTTGGGAGGCTGAGGCGGGCAGATCACCTGAGGTCGGGAGTTCAAGACCAGCCTGACCAACATGGAGAAATCCCATCTCTACTAAAAATACAAAATCAGCTGGGCGTGGTGGTGCATGCCTGTAATCCCATCTACTCGGGGGGCTGAGACAGGAGAATCGCTTGAACCCAGGAGGCAGAGGTTGCGGTGAGCCAAGATCGTGCCATTGCACTCCAGCCTGGGCAACAAGAGCAAAACTGCATCTCAAAAAAAAAAAAAAAAAAAGTGAAAGTTCTTATATGGCATAGATATGAATTCCTTCCTCTGGTAATAATTAGGTTATTCCAGGAAGCACAATGTCATTCTTTAAATAAAAGATTTCCTGTTTAAAACTTTTCAAAGGAGCAGACCATGTTGGAGATTCTCCTTAGGTTTGGTTGGTGTATAATTCATTTTATTAAGCCATTCTTCATTTTAAGGCTTTGCTATAAAGTTAAAAGTGTACCAAATAAAAATAAACTATTTTGTATTTAGAGAAGAGTAAAGGGAAGAAAAATGAATACTCAGTCTTTATGTAAACTCCAAGGATAGTAGGGCTTAGAGGGCTTTTCTAGTTTTATGAGAATTTGTACTACTGATTTTTGTATATTCCTGTTTTTGAGATAAATGGATCTCTGGGGAAATTGTTGAGTTACAATGGCATTTCACTGTGATCCCTGTCAAGCTCAGATCAGCTCTATAACTCAATGATGACCTGTCTCTTTGATTACTGTCCTGTAAAATGTCAGCTAAAGTTTCCCAGAGGTCATGCATGTACCATAAGGCAGAGTACTTTTCCTCAGTGCAACAGTTGCTGGCTCTCTTCATTTCGGTATATGTGCTTTAATGCAAAGTATCTAAACCTGCAGTGTGATCTGTATATGTTATCCTATTAATTGTATTATTGATCATTTTGATTATCTTGCTTGAAGATTTATTCATACTTTTTGATTTGGTAGAAACAAATTTTTTTTCTGCTTATAAAAAGGATCTAAAAGACAGGATGAGAATGATGTCCCACCAAATAGAAAATATCAATGAGATAAAAACTATTAATTGGAACCCCAAATAAATTATTTGGTTAAGAATTACAATAACTGAAATTAAACATGTACTAGAGGTGTTAATTAGTAGATTTGAGCAGGCAGAAGAACTGATGGGCATGAATACAGATTCAGACTACATAGTATGAGAAACAACAACAAAAAGAATGAAGAAAAGTGAAGAGAGCCTAAGAAACACCACCAGGTGGACCAACATGCATTATAGGAGTCCTAGAGAAGGAGTAATAGAGGAATAGAAGGAAAAGTTGAAAAAGTAATGGCCAAAAATTTCCCAAATTTGATGAAATGCATGAATCTATATATTCAAGAAGCTCAAAATACTCCAAGTAGGATAAATTCAAAGAGATCAACATGTAGACACATAATAAACTGTCAAAAGATAAAAGACTATGAGAGAATCTTGAAATCAGAGAGAAAAGCAAATCATCATATACAAGGGATCTGTAATAAGAAAAACAATGGATTTCTCATCAGAAACAATGGAAGTCAGAAGGCAATGAGTTGACATATTCAAAGTGCTGAAAGAAAAGAAAATGTCAATCAAGAATTATGTATCCAACAAAATTATCCTTTTAAAATGAAGGAGAAAGTAAGATATTTCCACATAAACAAAAAATAAGTTTATTGCTAATAGACTGACTCTACAAGAAACAAAAAGAGAATTAAGTGATACATTAGGAAAAGTCTAACATAAAAGGCAGTAATTGAGAAATAGAGGAACATGGAAAATTCAGAAAACAAATATTAAAATGGCAGACATAGATCCTACCTTATCAATAACTAGATTAAATGTAAATAGATTACTCTCCAATTAAATTTTAGAGATTGGCAGAATGTATAGAAACTATGATATAACTATCACAGTATCCAAAAGAAAGATAGAGTGGCTATTCCAATATCAGAAAAAAAATGGACTAAGTTAAAAAAAAAAAGGTCATTAGAGACAAAGAAGGACATTTTGTAACAATAAAACGGCCAATTATTCAGGAAGATATATCAATTGTAAACATGTATGCACCTAACAATAGAGTCTCAAAATACATGAAGCAAAAACTGATAGAATTAAAGGGAGAACTAACTCAACAATAATCATCAGAGACTTCAATATTCCACTTTTAATAGTGGATAAAACAATTAGTAGATCATCAAGGAAATAGGAAACTGAATAACACTATAAAACCCTAAAGAATTTCAAGCAGGGTCTCACATAGATATTTGTACACCCATGTTCATAGCAGCATCATTCACAATAGCTAAAACATGAAAGCAACCCAAGTGTCCATTGCCAGAAAAAATTGACAAGCAAAATGCAGTATATACATATAATGGGATATTATTCAGCTTAAAAGAAGTAAATTCTGATATATGATACAATGTGGATTAAACTTGAGGACATTATGCTAAGTGAAAAAAGCCAGGTGAAAGGAGGGAAAGGGTCAGAAAAAAATAACTATTGAATACCAGGCTTAGTACCTGGGTGACAAAATAATCTGTATGACAAACCCTCATGACACGAGTTTACCTATATAACAAACCTGCACATGTACCCCTGAACCTAAAATAAAAGTAAAAACAAAAAGAAATTGAAATTACCCTTTTCTATCAAAGTCTTTGTTCTTTATGTAAAATATTATATTTGGGAGGTATATATGTATCATAATTCTATTTTTCAAATAAGAATTAAACAACAATAATATATACATATACACATATGTTTATATATACATACATATATTACATATGTATGTGAGATGAGGGTTATATTTAAAAAGTTAATCAATCACAAAAGACAAATACTGTATGATTTCACTTATATAAAGTATTTAGAGTAGTCAAAATTATAGAAAGTAGAATGGTGGTTGCTGGAGGCTGGGAGAATGGGAGTTAATGTTTGATGGGTACATAGTTTCAGTTTTACAAGATGAAAAAGTTCTAGAGATTGATGGTAGTAATGGTTGCACAACTTTATAAATGTATTTAATACCACTAACATGTACACTTAAAATGGTTAAGGTGGTAGCTTTTATGTTGTATGTATTTTACTACAATTTTACAAATTGGAAAAAAGAAGAAATGGAAAATATGAACAGACCTATAACAAGAGATTGATTAGTGATTTTTTTAAAAGTTTAGTATGGATATAAGGGCTTCAGAGGCATAGAGGGGAACACCAAGACACTCTGGGCCACCTCAAAGCATGTGGACAGGACAACAGTAAGGAAGTTGGCTTCACCCTAACGGAAATAAGGTAAATTCCTTTACCCATTCCATAGCAAGGCATGGGGAAATAATAACCTGCCCACCTGCTCCATATCGTCCTTCTTAGAACAAAGCCTGAGAAATAACTCCCAAGTCCCCTTAGCCAAAGCAGTGTCACTGAGAATGGGGTGATATAGTTTGAATGTTTGTCCTCTCCAAATCTTACGCTGAAATGTGATTCCCAATGTTAAAGGTGGGGCCTGGTGGGAAGTGTTTGCATCATGGGGGTGGATCTCTCATGAATGGCTTGGTGCTGTCCTCATGAGGGTGAGTGAGTTCTCAGAGATCTGGTTGTTTAAATTGTGTGGCACCTCCCCACTCTCTCTTACTCCTGCTCTTGCCATAGGATATACCAGCTCCCCATTTGCCTTCTGCCATGAGTAAAAGTTTCCTGAGGCCTCACCAGAGGCAGAGCAGATGCCTTTGCCATGCTTCCTGCACAGCTTGCAGAACTGTGAGCCAATTAAACCTCCTTCCTTACAAATCACCCAGCCTCAGGTGTTTCTTTTTAGCAACAAAGAACAGCCTAACCCAAGGAGTAAGTGCCTGTACTTAACAATCTCCTGTTCGCTAGCCATCGACTTACTAATAATACTGATTATGCACAAAGGCCCACCAGCCACTGAGCAAAATCAGTCATATTACATATAACAGACATATTGGTGAGCACATCACATCTGGCAGCCACATACGCATATATTTAATTATGTCCATGTGGTTTAAGAAAATTAAAAACTTTCCAATTGTTACCTTTGGTGAGTGGATGGGGGAGATTAGTGAGAGTTCCAGGCATAAAACTATGCACCATACACTTTTATATATTTCATTACTGTGGATCTTTATATTGTGTGAAAATAGAAATGAAGATAACAAATAGGATAATTTACATATCTTTTCTGTTAAATCTAGCAAGTTTATATCCATATGAACTGAGAGTGCCAGTTCAAATTCATACTCCCTAAATAAACCAGAGGTCTCTCCATGAAACATTGATATGAAGTCTTTACTGAAAAAGAGATATGGACACATTAAGGCAATTAGTCCCTTTATTAAGGTAAATAGCAATGTTCTTTTCTTAAAAAAGAAAGATGGAGAGGAAAAGAGGGTGAGGGAGGGGTATAGGAGAGGAAAAGGAGGTGATGGCTGGGGGAGGAAGAGGGAGGGAAGGTTAGGACATGGAGACTGGAGACCAGAGGATGAACAGGAGGATGAAGGTAGTCTAGAGGAAAGAGGTTGGGTAGGAGATTGCGAAGGGAAATTTAGGGCACATGGGGGCAAAGCAGAGTCTGAAATATTTAGTGAACTCCATGGAGATGTTTATTAGGCCCTAGCCAAAACATGTCAGTCTGGGTGTGTATCCTAATAAAAAGCTTGATAAATTTATGTATGTTTTAAGAAATGTGTTCAATTCTAGGCTTCCTTTGTCTTTAGATGCTCAGGGTATTTCAGAGCTGTCCCTGAAGAAACACACAGTCTGCCCAGCCATGGGTAATGACAGTCCTGTGCCACCCCCAAGTTACCATCTCTCACTACCAGCAAATTCCCTGTTCCCAATTCACCAAGAAACAGTCTTCAACCTAGGAGGAAAGAAGGAAGAGGAAAGAAGCATGGGGCACAGGTGGAGGGAGAGAGCACATGGTCCCTCCTTCCTCTCCTTGGGATGCTGCTCCGTGGCCCCAGCACCGCTCCCGAGAGATCTGTTCTTTCCTGGGACAAAACAACCATCAGTTTCTGGGGTTGAGTTCTTTCCTGGAAAGGCAGAAGACTGTCTGTTCTTTGTCTAAGGAAAGCCTGAAAACATCTGTATGCTTTTGTCTATCACTTCAGGACTAAATGAAGACGGATGAGCAGAGAAAGGATGGCTCGTCCATGTCTTTTATGTAAAGGAAACCTTCAGGAAGTTGTTATGAATGTTTCTGAGGTGCTGGTGTGTTGGAGAGAACCAAAAAAGTCTTCAATTTTGTAGTTGGCCAAGGAATAGCAAAATCCCGGTTCTGAGGCATTTAAAAATAGACAATGGAAAAAAGCAACTGGGGTGAGTTCCTGGGACTCCCTGCAGTGGTAAATTGGAGAAAGATGAGACAAGGATGCATTCCAGCAAGGGAGAGACTTACCTTTGTGTCACCATGAGCCCAACTCCTGACGCTGGGGCCCAGGCTGCCAGTTAGGGACGTCACCATTACTGGACCACAGAGGAAGCCCTACCATCCCCAGGAGAAGTCAGTTTCACACTGGAGCATTTGTGCTCCTAGTACCCTAGTTGCACGGAACTCAGAATGCAGGGACTTCTAGGTATATTACGACTTAAAACAGGAGGTTCTAGAACACATAAGCACAGGTGACCCATGGGAGTAGACATCTGTGGCTGTTCTGGAAACCAACCACAGTGAGCACCATTTTAAGTAAAAATGTTCTAAGTTACAGATGACTTGAAGGATCTTACTTTGCAGAAGTCCTTGAACAATGTTTTCTACCTAATATCCTCATGCCATTTTTGGCAACTCACTAGAACAGTTTTCAGAGAAAAAGCCTCTCCAGTGATGATCTAACTTAACCCAGGCAGCTTGGTTTTCTGTCACTGTAGCATAATGTCAAAATTCCTTTTCTCCATTTATTACTCATCACATAACACCCTAAATCCTCAAGAAAACTATTTGGAAATATCTTAATATGGCACATCACTTTCAGCGTGTGCTCTATAAATGTGTTCTTATTTTGAAAAGTGAATGGATGTCTAAATCCCAAGAACAAGCACAGAAAGGCAGAACAGGGCTAGCAGCTTGTCTTCCCAGAATGAATATTGCGCCAACCACTGTGAAAACCTGGAACTCCAATAGTCATTCCACACACAAAAAAAATCTGATGCTTAGCATACATATTTTTGGAACATCTAATAAGTTAATACTTTACATTAGTGGGTTTTTTTTACATTTATAGTAAATCTGACACATAAAGACCTCCATCCTCAGCCACCCCAACTCTGTTTGAATGGCACCTGGTGGCTTGTCTGATGAGCTGCAGCCACACTGCCACCAGCTTGCCCAGCCTCAGGCTTGTCCTCCAGGGCTTGGATAGGTAAGTAAATGACTCCACTGACATAGTGACTCCCAGCTTCTGGAAACCAGGAAATAAATATGATTTCTAAGAGAGCTGAGAAATTAAGGCTTGAATTTGGCACAGATCTGCTTTCTTTTCCTCTTCTCGCTAGCTTGTGACCAGCTGTTGGATCGGAGTTGGGTAAACTCACATCTTGCACACAGGCCTCCAGCTTGTGCTTGGTATTTATGGGGAGACACGTCTCCAGCTTTGCTGAGTGTGAGCCCCTACAGGATCCTGGGGCAAAGGGAAGACAAGAAGCCTGAGTGAAGCCCAGGCAGGCCTTTTGAGGGGCTTGTCTTTCTTGACAAGTGGAGGGAGGCCACAGAAACTTTCTAAGCCATCACTGTCATGGTCCCCTCTGTGCAGGCCACTCCGGCAGCTCTGAAAGGATGGTGTTGAGGAATGCAAGGACAGGGTTGGGGAGATCTGTAGGGTGGCGATTTTATCAAACCTGCAAGAGATGATCTTGGTCTAAGGTGGCTGTTGTAGGAATAAAGAGGAGGAAAAGGATCCAGGATCCAGGAACAATTGAAGAGATGCAACCCACAGGGCTGGGCACTGGATGTGAATGGGAGGAGGAGGGAGAGCTGGGCTGACTGTCAGGGAGGATCCTTGAGCATGTTGGGTGAGACCAGCTGAGTCAGAGAAGAGGTGACAGGGCAGGGCCTCAGGACTAGAGCTCACCTGCTGACACAGCATAGCAGAGGACGCTGAGGGGATGAACTCAGGCAGCCAGGCAGGAAGTGTGCTGGGCCCCAGAGCCTCCCTTTGCCATTGCCTCTGAGTGACCTCCCTGGAGGAAAAAGTCACACACTTGCTTATACAAGGCTGCAATGATTTGAGAGCATAATAAATACCAAAACAGTAAAATTCCATGGTGCTACTTGCTCTCTTCCCTAGAGAAAGGAAAAGCATGGAAAAATAATGTTGGATGTGCTATCACCTAAGCAGATCAGCAACATGGCTTAAAGGTGAGCACCACTGGGCATAATGCACACTTCAATTAAATGCAAAGTTATCATGTGCTCTTCTTTCAGAACTTTTAAATGTAAAATATAAGACACATAAGAAGAAACTCGAGAAAGAATTTCCAGCTTTTGTTAGACCTCACAGAGAGGCCTGTCCATTGTGCAAATAATCTTGCATTTGGGTGCCTATTTGCCCAGGTCTTATATTAAAAAAGATATTTACTATGGTCTGAATGTTTGTGATCGCAGCCCCCCAAATTCATACGTTGAAGCCTAATCCCTAATGTGGTGGTATTAAGAGGTGGGGCCCTTGGGAGGTGATTAAGTCATAACACTCCACCCTCATGGATGGGATTAATGCCTTCCTAAAAGAGTCCTAAGGGAGCTTATTTGCCTCTTCCATCAGGTGAGGACACAGGTAGAAGGTGTCAACTATGAGGAATGGGCCTTCACCAGACACCAAATCTGCTATTTCCTTGATCTCGGACTTCCTAGCCTCCAGAACTGTGAGCAATAATGTTATTTGTAAATTACACAGTCTAAAGTATTTTGCAGCCAAAACAGACTAAGAAAGAATATTGTAAGGATTCAAACAAAGGGAGGGATGGTCAAAGCTACATGCAATACCAAAAGCCTGAAAGGACAAAGGTACCTGATCTTAGCTATAATGTTAATCTGGGCATCCTTCCCCTAGGGATGATCCAATTCATGATCCACTAGGCAGAAGACAAACACTGATTGACAGATGTGTGCACTTAATTCCTTCTCTCTCTCAATGTCACGGCAAATCCTCATGCACAGAGGTCACATTTTATTCCTTTACCTCCAAAGGAATAGACACACACTAAATACCTTTAGATTGCATCATTTCCATTTAATGCTGGTCCTGATATTAAGGAATTTAAGAAGAGAGTAGGAGAAGGAGGTGAAATAAGCTTCCTACTTTCACAGCAGGTAACATGTTTCTTGGTACATGGATTAAAATCAGGATTTTTGTTAATAATAAAATAGATTTCCTGTAAAGTCTTTATGTAAAACAGTCTATGCACAGACCTTTAATAAATTGATAATGTATGGACAATATTTCAGTAATTTTTCTTGATTTGAATTTTCTGCACTAATTTCTTACAATAAACATGTAATGTTTTACACAAATTATTTCAATAGGAGAAATAGTAAATCATTTAGTCGGTCAAAACTTGATGAACCTAAATGTTTTCATGACTACAAATGTGTCCAAGAGGCAACACATCCTGCAATGTTACCCACCTTACAACACAAAAGCCCACATAACCAGGATATGATTTGAATTTTTAAATACTTATTTTGCAATTTTAAGTTATAAGGAGTTGATACCCAAATATTTCCTAATTTAACTGGCTTAAGTATTTTTATTTTTATTTTTATCTACAATCTTACATCAGAACTATCAGATTTGTTTTTATGTGTTTTTCATGCTTAACAGCCAAGACATCCCTGCTGCAAAGCCTGATTTTTGGCTAGAAAATCTTTTGCCCATACCAAAAACACAGTATATTTTCTCAATAATTATTTCCTGATAATCTACTTTGTGCCAGGAACTGGAATTTGACATAAGACTCCACACCAACATATTTTCAGTCTTCTGGGAAGATGGCATCTGACCAGGCAAGAACTACCCGGACCGATGGTTTCTGCTGGAGGGAGAACTAGAGGTGGTTTGGGGCACACAGAGGGGAAGCCCTCATCTGGTCTTCAGGGCAGGGTGGTGGAGACAAACAGGCAGAGGCAGCCATGTTCACATGAGTCAGGGTAAAGAGCACATCCCTGGGGAACTTTTTTATACCCAGGTACAGTCACCATGGGGAGTGACGGCTGGGACGTGGGGGACCACGGAGTCGCCAGCCAAGTCGGGAAGGGCGTTTGGATTTCTCAGGAAGACATCGCGGGCCACCCAGAGAAGGGCAGGACACAGGGCACGAGGACATGAGGAAGGAGGCTCATGCCCACCAAGCGCAGGGCCCAGCTGAGACCAGTGAGGGCAGATGGGAGCCTGAGCAGGTACAGGGTCAGGAGTTACGAAGATAGTGGTCAGGTTCCTAGAGCTCAGGCATTCAGCTGGGGCGTGGTGGGGAAGTCCACTGGGGCAGCTGGAGGCACAAGAGAGAAGGGCTGGATGTCCCTGAGGCCAGCATCTGAATGAGAGCAGAGCTCGTGGAGAGCACAGCAAAGTTAAACGAAAGCCTACCAAGGTAGGAGCGAAAGGTATTAGGCAAGAGAAGACAACATAAGAAGTAAAAGTGATAAGTTCACTGATTTATACACTAACTCACACTAAGGATAGGAACTGTGCAGTGTTGATCCACGCCTAGAGGTGGAAGTTATCTAAGGCAGCAGTCCCCAACTTTTTGGGCACCAGGAACCGGTTTCATGAAAGACATTTTTCCACTGACCAGGTGCAGGGGCTTGTGGGGGGGTGGCTTCGGGATGATTCAAGTGCAGTACATTTATTGTGTACTTTATTTCTATTATTACTACATTGCAATATATAATGAAATAATTATACAGCTTACCTTAATGTGGAATCAATGGGAGCCCTGAGCTTGTTTTCCTGCAAGTAGATGGTCCCATCTGGGGGTGAGAGGAGACAGTGGCAGATATCAGGGATTAGATTTTAATAAGGAGTGCACAACCTAGATCCCTCACATGCACCATTCACAATAGGATTCACACTTCTATGAGAACCTAATGCCACCACTGATCTGACAGGAGGCGGAGCTCTGGTGGTAAAGCAAGCAATGGGGAGCAGCTGTAAATACAGATGAAGCTTCACTTACTTGCCCACTGCTCACCTCCTGCTGTGCAGCCTGGCTCTTAACAGGCCACAGACCACTCCATGGCCCAAGGATCGGGGACCCATGATCTAACCCAATAACTCTCACATGCTGCAACCCTGGCCACAAGGAAGGTGACAGGACTTAGGGCTAGGGGAATAACTTCAGCAGAGGAAGTGGCTCCTCAGCTAGGTTGAAAACATGCAGGGATTTCTAGCAGGCCTGAACCTGGAGGTGCAGGATGATGCTGCAGAGAGGGAGATGCTTATCTCATCATGCAGGGAGTGAATGCTAGTGACCGGTTGAGGCAGTTTGAGCAGGACTTTTTACCTGGTGGAAGGCAAAGGAATCCAGTGTCTTCAGACCCCTCAGGCAGGAGGGGGTCCAAGGGAACATACACCAACCACAGCCCCCTTTCCACCATGGCCTGCAAGAGGAGAGGTCACGTGGACCTCTTGCTCTTGGCAGAAACTTCTCTCTACTTCCTTGATCATGAAAGTTTTGTTGCAAAGTCAACAAGACTAAAGCATGTGCTTGTGACTTGGTTGTTCCACATTCTAAAACAAGATTCTCAACTTCTTGACATGGAATCAAGTTTATTGACAAAACGCATTACACAGACCTCCTTTTGAAGAGCCATGGTTCTTCACGGTTTCCTATTGTTGTATAACATATTACCACAAACTTAGCTGCTTAAAACAACCCACACTTATTATCTCATAGGTTCTGTGGGTCAGGAGTCTAGGCATGGCTTAGCAGAGTCCTCTGCTTAAGGTTTGACCAGGCTGCAATCAAGGTGCTGGCTGGGGCTGTGATCCCATTTGAGCTCGAGATTCTTTTCCAGGCTCACTGGTTGTTGGTGGAATTCAGTTCCTGGCAGTTATAGAATGGAGGCCTCCAACTCCTAGAGGCTGCATGGCAGTTGCTGCAACGTAGTCCTCTACACTCATGGCAGTTTACTTCTTCAAGATGAACAGAAGATAATCTCAGCATTTTGAGTCTCCAATCCTTAGATGCCCCTTTAAAGGGCTCACCTGATTAGGTCAGGCCCACCCAAGATAATCTCCCTTTTGATTAACTTAAAGTACATTGATTATGGACTCGCTTTATGCCCCAAATCCCTTCTCTTTTGCCATATAACATAACCTACTCACAGGTATGACATCTCATATTCACAGGCCCCTCATGGAAAAGAAGGAATGGGAGGAGGGATATGTATGAGTGTGACTCATTGAGAGGCATCTTCGAATTCTGCCAACCACATCTGGGCTTTACCACTTTGTATACCCAGTTTGAAGGAAAAATAAGAGAGGGCACATATGGTTGGAACAGCAAAGAAAAAACAAGAAATTAAAGCAGCTTTTCAAAAGAGGGGTGTGGTGCCTGGGGTGAGGTGCCAGAAGGGCTAGGATGAGGAAAATAGGAAACCTCATGTGAAGCTTCGTTTCTCTGTGCATGTCCATAGAGCCTTGGCCGATATTCTCAGATCTCATCTAATTCCTACTCCACTCTCTCTGCCATGTGTGAAGTATGAAAGTGCTGGGAGAGACACAGACTTATACATTTTACTGTTATGTGCTTTTTATATTTTTATATTTATCTACATAATAACTTTCCGTTTCAGGTAGTGGACTATGAAAAAGTAAAAACCACGTTTTCTGAAGCTTATTGATAATTACCATGGAATGCAAACCCTTTATTCTCTAGATAATCTACTAATTGACTCCAATTTATTCATTCTATTTATTTACTCACTGTGGTAGCCAGCTTCCAAAATGGCTCCCAGTGATCCTTACTTCCTGGCATGTGTGCCCTCACGTGGTTGCCTCTCAGCTGAATAGATATGACCACAATGGGATATGGTGGAAATGATGGTTGATGATTTCCAAGGTAAAGTGATAAAACACAAGAGGCTTCTGTCTTGCTGTCTCTGGGATGGCTCACTTGAGGGGAAGCAGGCCGCCATGTTGTGATGCCACTCAAGCCGCCCATGCAGAGGTCAACACTGGGAGGGACTGAGCCCTCCTGACAGTAACCAGCACCACGTGAGCAAGTCCTCTTGGAAACATATCTTCTGGCCTTGGCCAAGCTTTCAGATGACCAAAGCCCTTGCCAACATCTTGACTAAAACTTATGAAAGACTCCAAACCAGAACAACTCAATTCAGCAGCTTCTGAATTTCTCATCCACAGAAACTGAGATACTGATTTTTTATAATTTAGGCAACTAAATTTTAGAGTAATTTGTTAGGCAGCAATAAATGCTTAAATATATACTGACCTTCTATTGTTTGCCCGGCCTGGGTCTGGATAGAGAAAGAACAGAGATAGCAACTTCCCTGCTGGTATAGCGTCTCTGAAGTGGAGTGCCTTTGGGTGAGCTGTGGAGGCTGTGGTGGAAATGTCAGCTGGAGCAGTAAGAGAAGAGTCTAGATGTTCTGAGTGTATAGGGCTGCTGGGGTAAGAGGGTGGCATCAAACCAGCTCCCCCCCACCCACTAAATCTAATACAATTTTATTTTTAAAAAAGTCCACTCTATTCAAACGTTAGAGCAGGAGGTGTTCAGAGGCAAACAGACATTTTTAGAAATTATGTGTCTCATACTCCATGAGACTAACACGTCACCTCCCTCATCAAAGCAGCCTAGGGGAAGAATGTGAAAGGTCAAATTCTAAAAATCTCTAATACTTCCCCAAATTTGAAGGGAAAACAACTGAGGGAGGGAATACACTTACTAAAACAAAATACATGAATGTCCCTCTAATGGTGACTCCTCCCTAACAACTACATACCGGCAAAGCAAACCAAAGCTGGACAGTAGTTAAAGCGGTAAAAACAGATTTTCTTCAGGACTGCAACAGGGAAAGAGAGATCACACTGTAGAACTGGACTCAATTCTGAACACAGTGAGGATAAGTGGGAATAAGCCAGGAGCAGGGTGGAGGTCAGTGGATGGGAAATTACTAAGAAGACATCAGAGGAAAGGGGCCTCCTGGTTAAACAGATTCAACAGGATTCTTGCTGAAGGCAGGCCAGGATAATCACATATTACTTGGGGGATGCTGGAGGATGAGGAATTTGATTGGATATTGAGAGTGATCAGGTATGAGGGGTGGGGAATATCTCTCTAAACTGACTTAGCAAGATTCTCACTAAAACTCAGCAATGCAGGCCCAAGAAGGACGAAAGCCAAGGTTGAGGCCTAGAGGGCTTAGATGAGCCTAACTAAAGTTTAGTCAAGGAGAGTCTTTGGCATTACTCAGAAAAGGAAAGAATAAGTGCCCAGATTTCATCAGTTTCTTTTTTCATGCTTTGAGAAAAAGGGAAAGAACATTTGAGGATGGAACTAGCAAGAAGAAATAATTAAAACACCACAACAGCTGGCAGTGGGATTGTGGATCAAGCTTGAGTGTGGATCAAGCTTGATTTATATAAAATCAAGTTCAAGAATGCCTCTCCCTGCTGGAGATTTAATCATGTTTGGGAAAGGTTTCCCCAAATCCCAAATTTCCCCTTTTTCTCTTCTCTGTTTGATGGGGTTGCAGGGAGGAAGTTTCTGCTGAGGAGAGGCAAGATACAGGGGAGAAAGTGGAGGTTGAGGGTGGAGAGGAAAAAAATTGTTAGTATTGTTTGGATCAGTAGTAAAATTTCTGAGGCTCTCACTACATTGGGAAGGAATAATTTAAAAACTGAGCCATTTATCACCACCCATTAAATCAGGGGCCTGGGAACTGACACTCATAAAAATTAAAATAAATAAATATTGAATTAATGTCTGCTAAACTTTTTTTTAATCAAGGTAATTAATGAATGAACTAATACCTCTCTACTTCTGAATAATTTCCTTGGTTTCAATTTCATTTAGTTCTGCTCTGATCTTTGTTATTTTGTTTCTTCTGCTAGCTTTGGGATTGCTTTCTTCTTGCTCTTTTTAGTTCCTTGAGATGTGACACTAGGTTGTTAATTCGTGATTTTTTTTTTTTTTAGAGACAGGGTCTTGCTATGTTGCCCAGGCTGATCTGAAACTCCTGGGCTCAAGCAATCCTCCTGCCTTGGTCTCCCAAAGTGCTGGGATTACAGAGTGAACTATTTTTTTGAAGTAGGCATTTAATGCTATAAATTTTCCTCTTAGCACTGCTTTTGCTGTATTCCAGAGGTTTTACTATGTTGTGTCTCCATTTTCATTTGTTTCAAAACATTTTAAAATTTCCATCTTAATTTAATTATTAATTCAAAGATCATTTAGAAATGTGTTGTTTAATTTTCAGGTATTTGTGTAGTTTCACAAGTTCCTCTTGGTATTGATTTCCAGTTTTATTCTGCTATGGTCTGAGAAGATACTTGATACAATTTCAATTTTTTAAACTATACTTTAAGTTCTGGGATACATGTGCAGAACATGCAGGTTTGCTACATAGGCATACATGTGCCGTGGTGGTTTGCTGCACCCATCAACCCATCATCTACATTAGGTATTTCTTTTTTAAAAATGTATTGAGACTTGTTTGATGAACTAACACATGGTCTGTCTTGGAGCATGTACCATGTGCCGATGAGAAGAATTTATGTTCTGCAGTTGTTAGGTAGAAGGTTCTGTAAATGTTTATTAGGTCCATTTAAAGTCCAACTTAAGTCCAGTGTTTCTTTGTTAATTTTCTGTTTTGATAATCTGTCTAGTGTTGTGAGTGGGGTATTGAAATCCCCTCCCCACAGCTTATGATTTATTGCTGTCTATCTCTTTCTTTAGGTCTAGTAATATTTGTTTTATGATTCTGGGTGCTCCAGTGTTAGATGCATATATATTTAGGATTGTTATCCACTTGTTGAAGTGATCCTTTTATCATTATGTAAGACCTTGTCTTTTTTTATTCTGTTTTTTATTTAAAGTCCATTTCATCTGACACAAGTATAGCTACTTCTGCTCACCTCTGATTTCCATTTGCTTGGAATATTTTTTCCATCTCTTTACCTTCAGTTTATAAGCATCTTTATCAGTATGGTTAATTTCTTGTAAGCAGCATATAGTTGGTGCAGGCTTTTCTTATCTATTTTACCCATCTGTATCTTTTAAGTGGAGCACTTGGCCCATTTATATTCAACATTAATATTGATATGTGAGGTTTCATTCCTGACATAATGTTAATTGTTATCTAGTATTTTTTGTGGGTTTTTTTTTCTTAATCTGCTTGTCTTTGTGGTCTAGAACCAAAAACGAGCCTGAATTCAAAGCAAACCTAAGCAAAAAGAACAAAGCTAGAAGCATCACATTACCTGAGTTATACTACAAGGCTACACTAACCAAAGCAGCATGGTCTGGTATAAAAATAAATGTACAGATGAATGGAATAGAATAGGAGCCCAGAAATAAAGCCACATATCTAAAGCCAGCTGATCTTTGACAAAGTTGACAAAAACATACGCTGGGGGGAAAGACACCCTTTTCAATAAATGTGGCTGGGAAAACTGGATTGTCACATGCAGAAGAATGAAACTAGACTCCCTAATACCCACCATATACAAAAATAAATTCAAGCCTATAGTCCCAGCTAATCAGGAGTCTGAGGCAGGAGGTTGAGATGGCAGTGAGCCATGATCCTGCCACTGTACTCCAGCTTGAGTGACAGAGCAAGACCCTGCCTCAAAAATTAAAAAAAAAAAACTCAAGATGGATTAAAGACCTAAATATAAAAGCAGAAACTGAAAAAATTATAAGAATTCCTAGGGAAAACTTTTCTGGTCAAAGCAAAGAATTCCTGACTAAGACATCAAAAGCACAGGAAACAAAAACAAAAATTGACAAATGAAACTTAATTAAACTAAGAAGTTTTTGCATAGCAAAAGAAATAATCAACAGAGTGAACAATCTGCAGAACAAGAGAAAATATTTGCACACTATACATCCAATAGGAGAGTAATATCCAGAATTTACAAGAGGTTCAAACAACTCAACAAAAACCTCTCAACTCTATTAAAAAGTGGGCAAAGATTTTGCCACATTTTCTTAATCCAGTCTATCATTGTTGGACATTTGGGTTGGTTCCAAGTTTTTGCTATTGTTTTGGAATACTATGCAGCCATAAAAAATGATGAGTTCATGTCCTTTGTAGGGACATGGATGAAGCTGGAAACCATCATTCTCAGCAAACTATTGCAAGGACAAAAAACCAAACACCGCATGTTCTCACTCATAGATGGGAATTGAACAATGAGAACACATGGACACAGGAAGGGGAACATCACACACTGGGGCCTGTTGTGGGGGGGGGGGCGGGGGGAGGGATAGCATTAGGAGATATACCTAATGTTAAATGATGAGTTAATGGGTGCAGCACACCAACATGGCACATGTATACATATGTACTAACCTGCATGTTGTGCACATGTACCCTAAAACTTAAAGTATAATAAAAAAAGTGTCAACTATGACAATATCATACACTAATTTGACTGCCCTAAAAATCTCCTGTAATCCACATATTCTTCCCTTTCTTCTTCCCCCGAACCCCTGTTAATCACTGATCTTTTAATTGTCCCTATAGTTTTGCCTTTTCCAAAATGTCCTATAGTTGTAATTATACAGTATGTAACCATTTCGGATAGGCTTCTTTGATTTAGCAATATATATTTAAGGTTCCCCCATATCTTAAAAAAAAAAGCAGTGTTATTGAGGTAGAATTGGCATAAAATAAAGTACACGTGTCAAATATTTTTTAAAAAAGCGGGCAAAGACTATGAATAGGCATTTTTTCAAAAGAAGACATCCAAATAGCCAAAAAGTATATGGACAAATGCTCAAGATCACTAATCATTAAATTAAAACCATAATAAGATATCACCTTATACCAGTTAGAATGGCTATCAGTTAAAGTCAAACAATAACCAATGTTGGCAAGGATGCAGAGAAAAAGGGACGCTTAGACATTGTTGGTGGGAACATAAATTAGTACAACCTCTATGGAAAATAGTATGGAGATTTCTCAAATAACTAAAAATACAGCTATCACTTGATCCTGTGATCACAATACTGGGTATCTACCCAAAAGAAAATAAATCATTGTATCAAAAAGACACCAGAACTCATATGCTTATCATAGCACTATTCACAATTGCAAAGATATGGAATCAATCTAAGTGTTCTTCAATGGATAACTGGATAAGGAAAATGTGAGATACACACACACACACACACACAGTGGAATAGTCTTCAGCCATAAAAAAAGAATGAAATCACGTTTTCTTCAACATGGATGGAACGGGAGGCCATTATCTTAAGTGAAACAACTCAGACACAGAAACTCAAATACCTCATGTTCTCACTTCTAAGTGGACACTAAATAATGTGTACATGTGGACATAGAGAGTGGAATAATAGACACTGGAGACTTAGTAGGGTGGGAGGATGGGAGAGGAATGAGGGATGAGAACTTACTTAGTGGGTGTAATGTACATATCTGGGTGATGGTTACACTAAAAATCCAGACTTCATTGCTACGCGATATAACCATGTAACAAGACTGCACCTGTATCCCTTAAATTTACACAAAAAAATAAAAATTTCCTTAAGCGAGGCCCAGAAAGACAAATACTGCGTGATTTCACTTATATGTAGAATCTTAAAAAGTTGAACTTGCAGGGCATGGTGGCGCACACCTGTAATCCCAGCTACTTGTGAGGCTGGAGACAGGCGAATCGCTTGAACCCAGGTCGCAGAGGTTGCAGTGAACTGAGATTGCACCATTGCATTCCAGCCTCGGCAACAAGAGCAAAACTCCATCTCAAAAAAAAAAAAAAAGGTTGAATTCATAGGAGGATAAAGTAAAATGGTGGTTACCAGGGTGTGAGGTTGCAGAGGTGGATGGGAAAAGGGAGACTTTGGTCCAAGATTACAGAGTTTCAGGTAGATAAGATGAATAGGTTCTGGTGATTAATTGCACAGATGGCAACCATAGTTAATAGTCATGTATTGTATATTTCAAAATTGCTAGAGGAGTGGACTTTAGATGTTCCTACCACAACAAAATTATAGGTACTTGAGGCCGGGTGTGATGGCTCACACCTGTAATCCCAGCACTTTGGGAGGCCTAGGTGGGTGGATCACCTAACGTTAGGAATTCAAGACCAGCCTGGCCAACATGATGAAACCCCGTCCCTACTAAAAATACAAAAATCAGCTTGCAGTTTGCTGAGATGGCGCAACTGCACTCCAGCCTGGGCAACAGAGCAAGATTCTGTCACAATAATTTTAAAAAAAAAGTATTTACCAGAATTTTTGAATAACATTCTACTAAAGTAACTTTAGAAATATTTATAATACAATTTAAGAGTTAGTTAAAAGATGCCCGTTATTTCTATTTAGTGATGTACTAGAAGCTGTAGTGCTTCCAGGATTACAGATAAGTGAGAGGCATGATATTAAAATGGACAAGAGTCAACATGTATGTATTTTTTTTCATTTTTTCAGACGATTTATGAACAAAGTTAAAGCAGTGTCCCAGCCTAACCAGTAGTCTCACAAAGTCAGGTTTATTTGATTCATTGCAACAAGGAGTCCATTCACAGGAAAAACAAAGGAAAAGATTTAGTAATTCTAGGACTCTCAAGAAGGATGAAATTTAGTCAAAATTGAAACACACAGGTTTTTGATAGGCTCAGAATAAAGCAGAGCTATGTGTAAAAGGTCATCACCACATTTGGACTGGAAAATGGGCCCAGGGTTTTATGTTCTTGGAAACTACAAAGTTAAAAGAGATGTAAAAAGTTGTGTCTGTAAACCTCTGTGCTGAAGCTCTGCACCAGGGTTGGAAATTGAGGCTGCTTCTCTGTGTCAAAGTGACTTCGATCCCCCAGGCAAGAGTGGGATGTTTCATTCATACTGATTTAATTTCAAATAGCAAAGCTCCTGGCAGTCTATAATTTTTGAGAACAAAATTCCTCCATAGTAAGAAACCAGTAGTCACTCAAAGAGAGGGTTGTTAACGGCATTTCACAGCTGTGGCTTGTTCACAGAAGACAAGTCATCTGCTCTAAATTTGCAGCTGGCTTTATCTGTGTCTGTTATCCCAGCTTGACGAAAGTCCAGACTGATTTTTACTTTCTCAGCCTGAATTAATTTTTACTTTCTCAGTAATTATAAAACTTCAGAAAATTGTTAGCACCAAAAAAGAGTTTTCAGCAAGGAGCCAGGTGAGAAAATAGAGTCAAAACTTGATAGTATTTGAGTTTGACAAACCTAACAAAAACAAACAATGGGGAAAGGACTCCTTAGTCAATAAATGGTGCTTAATGGGCTAGCCACATGCAGAAGATTGAAACTGGATCCCTTCCTTACACCATATACAAAAATGAACTCAAGATGGATTACAAACTTAAATGTAAAACCCAAAACTATAAAAACCCTGGAAGACAACCTAGGCAATATCATTCTGGACATAGAATAGGCAAAGATTTTATGATGAAGACACCAAAAGCAATTGCAACAAAAGCAAAAGTTGACAAATGGGATCTAGTTAAACTAAAGCGCTTCTGCACAGCAAAGGAAACTACAAACAAAGTGAACAGACAACCTACAGAATGGGAGTAAATTTTTGCAAACTATTCATATGACAAAAGTCTAAAATCCAGCATCTATAAAGATCTTAAATAAATTTACAAGAAGAAAAAACAATTCCATGTGGGCAAAGGACATGAAAAGACACTTTTCATACATGTGGCCAACAATCATGTGAAAAAAAGCTCAACATCAATGATCATTAGAGAAATGCAAATCAAAACCACAGTGAGATACCATCTAACACCAATCAGAATGGCTACTTTTAAAAAGTCAAAAAGAAAAAACAAAAAAACCTGCTGGCAAGTTTGTAGAAAAAAGGTGATGCTTATACCCTGTTGGTGGGAGTGTAAATTAGTTCAATCATTGTGGAAGACAGTGTTACAATTCCTCAAAGACCTAAAAACAGAACTACCAGGCCAGGCATGGTGGCTCATGCCTGTAATCCCAGGCCAAGGCGGGTGGATCACCTGAGGCCAAGAGTTCGAGGCCAGCCTGGCCAATGTGGTGAAACTCCGTCTCTACTAAAAATACAAAAATTAGTAGGGCATGGTGGCGCACACCTGTAATTCCAGCTACTTGGGGGCTAAGGCAGGAGAATCGCTTGAACCCAGGTGGCAGAGGATGCAGTGAGCTGAGATCGTGCCACTGCACTCCAGTCCAGGCAAGATTCCAAAACAAAAAAAAACCATTCAACCCAGCAATCCCATTACTGGGCATATACCCAAAGGAATATAAATCATTCTATTATAAAGACACATGTATGCATATGTTCATTGCAGCACTATTCACAACAGCAAAGACATGGAATCAACCTAAATGCCAATCAATGGTAGACTGGATAAAGAAAATGTGCTACATGTACACAATGGAATACCACACCGCCATAAAAAAGAATGAGATCATGTCCTTTGCAGGGACATGGATGGAGCTGGAGGCCATTATCCTTAGCAGACTAATGCAGGAACAGAAAACCGAATACCACATGTTCTCACTTATAAGTGGGAGCTAAATGATGAGAACACATGGACACATAGATGGGAACAACACCCACTGGGGCCTATTGGAGGGTGAAGGATGGGAGGAGGGAGAGGATCAGGAAAAATAACTGTTGAATACTAGGCTTAATACCTGGGTGATGAAATAATCTGTACACTAACCTCCATGACACAAATATACCTATACAACAAACCTGCACATATACCCTGACCTTAAAATAAAAGTTAAATTTAAAAAAACTAAGTTAAAAATTAAAAAAAAAGAAAACATCACTAAGGGAAATACTATTTAAAACAACAAAAATATTAAGTGCCTAAAAGTTAACTGAACAAAAAAACACATAGTGTTTACAGGAAGAAAATTAACATTTTTACTGAGAATATAAAAGAAGTCAAGAATAAATAGAAAGATTACCATGGTTTTTGATTAATAAAGTCTCAGTTCTCCCTCAAATATATGTCTAAATTCCATGATATTCCCAATTAAATCTAAAGAAGAATTTTAAGAGTTTTAATAGACTAATTCGAGTTTGTGGAGAGGAGAAAATCTATGAATAGTAAATAATTTTTTTTTCTCTTTTCAATTTCTTTCTTTTTTTTTTTTTTTTTTTTTTTTTTAGTATTTATTGATCATTCTTGGGTGTTTCTCGCGGAGGGGGATTTGGCAGGGTCATAGGACAATAGTGGAGGGAAGGTCAGCAGATAAACAAGTGAACAAGGGTCTCTGGTTTTCCTAGGCAGAGGACCCTGCGGCCTTCCGCAGTGTTTGCGTCCCTGGGTACTTGAGATTAGGGAGTGGTGATGACTCTTAACGAGCATGCTGCCTTCAGAGCATCTGTTTAACAAAGCACATCTTGCACCGCCCTTAATCCATTTAACCCTGAGTGGACACAGCACATGTTTCAGAGAGCACGGGGTTGGGGGTAGGGTTGTAGATTAACAGCATCCCAAGGCAGAAGAATTTTTCTTAGTACAGAACAAAATGGAATTTCCTATGTCTACTTCTTTCTACATAGACACAGCAACAATCTGATTTCTCTATCTTTTCCCCACATTTCCCCCTTTTCTATTCGACAAAACCGCCATCGTCATCATGGCCCGTCCTCAATGAGCTGTTGGGTACACCTCCCACACGGGGTGGTGGCCCGGCAGAGGGGCTCCTCACTTCCCAGAAGGGGCGGCCGGGCAGAGGCGCCCCCCACCTCCCGGACGGGGCGGCTGGCCCGGCGGGGGCTGCCCCCCACCTCCCTCCCGGACGGGGCAGCTGCCGGGCAGAGACGCTCCTCACCTCCCAGACGGGGTCGCGGCCGGGCAGAGGTGCTCCTCACTTCCCAGACTGGGCAGCCAGGCAGAGGGGCTCCTCACATCCCAGACTATGGGCGGCAAGGCAGAGACGCTCCTCACTTCCCAGACGGGGTGGCGGCCGGGCAGAGGCTGCAATCTCGGCACTTTGGGAGGTCAAGGCAGGCGGCTGGGAGGTGGAGGTTGTAGCGAGCCGAGATCACGCCACTGCACTCCAGCTTGGGCAACATTGAGCACTGAGTGAACGAGACTCCGTCTGCAATCCCGGCACCTCGGGAGGCCGAGGCTGGCGGATCACTCGCGGTTAGGAGCTGGAGACCAGCCCGGCCAACACAGCGAAACCCCGTCTCCACCAAAAAAATACGAAAACCAGTCAGGCGCAGCGGCGCGCGCCTGCAATCCCAGGCACCCGCAGGCTGAGGCAGGAGAATCAGGCAGGGAGGTTGCAGTGAGCCGAGATGGCGGCAGTACAGTCCAGCTTCCGCTCGGCATCAGAGGGAGACCGTGGGGAGACGGGAGACGGGAGGGGGAGGGGGAGAGGATTTTTTGAAGCAGGACAATAGGAGTGACTACTTTAAAGATATTTATAGAGCATTTTGCAATAATCAGGCCAGACCTTTGTACACAAGAGAATTCAGGGTATGCTAAATAAAGATGGCCTTTCAACTAGTGTGGAGAAGATGAGTGACCCCAAAACTGTATTGGCACAAGGGATGGTTGCTCACTTGGGAAAAAGTAAACTTCAGTCCGTGTATCCTTTAGAAATATAAATGGAAATAAACTAAAAAGCTAAATAAAGCAGACAAGTATTTACATATTAGAAGAAAATATAAGATGAAAATGTTTTGATTTTGGAATAGTGAAGAACTTCAGCAAGTCAAAGACCTCAGAAGTCCTAAAAAATACTAAAATATTTGACAAAACAAATCTATAAAGCATTTATTAGACGGTATACAATATACATAAAGAAAAGGCAAGAAGGACAAGACACCTGTATTATCCAGAATATGTAAGGAATATGTAAAGAAATCTGACATTATAGCAATGAGAAACTATCCAATAGAAATTATCCCGTGAGAAATTATCCAATAAAAAATGGCAAAGCACATGGATGAGTGAGTCATGGAAGTACCTACCAACGCTTAATCCAGGAAGAGATAGTCTTAATAAGAAATCAGGAACAGGCAAAAAATAAATAAATAAATAAACTAACTAATGGCAATGATGTGTGTTTGATCTGCGAAATTGGGGAGGTGTGGAGAAAGGCATACTTTGGTGGGACTGTCAACTCTTATGAGGGAAATTTTGGCAACATCTTTCAACACTCAAAATATGCATAGTCTTAAATCCAGTGATTTTACTTTCTTCTGTCTTCACAAAATATTGACACATGACTAGAAATGTTGGTTAGCTCTGTTAATCTGTTTAAATAATAATGGTGTATGTCTATGTTTTATATTTTTTAAAAAAACACTTAAAAAGAATTTAGTCAATTCACAAATAATGGAAAGGTCCCCAAGATGTATAAATGAATAAAACCAATTACAGAATAATTACATTGTATTCAAACTTTAAGAAAACTATATATTTTATATGGTGTTAAATTGCAGAGAAAGATAAAGGTTTCCAAAGCCTGCACATACGCTGTTTTTTATTTTAGAGACGGGGTTTTGACATGTTGTCCAGGCTGGTCTCAAACTCCTGGGCTCATGCAATCCGCCTGCCTCAGCCTCCCAA
The DNA here is from genome assembly GCF_000001405.40 of Homo sapiens. Lineage (NCBI taxonomy): Eukaryota > Metazoa > Chordata > Mammalia > Primates > Hominidae > Homo > Homo sapiens. The sequence continues at coordinate 18,377,514 of NC_000020.11, forward strand.
AGTGCTAGGATTACAGACGTGAGCCACCGCGCCCGGCCAGCACATCCACTAACAGTGGTTACTGCTGGGGATTATGAGAGCCACAGAAATAGGACTTCCACTTTTTGTATAATATTCAAAATGTTATTCTTAATTTTCACTATAAAAATTTTATTCTAGTTTTATGCGTAAAGATTTAAAAATAACTAGTATTTTATTTATAATTACAACGTTCTATTAAAGCTAGGGGATTTATATCCTTACTAACAGAAATACAACAAGTAAAATTTATGTAGTCTAGGTAAACAGAAAATGTCACTATTTCATTAAAAGAGTAGGGTTCATTGAAAGTGAAAGGGAAATTTTGAGTCAATTAATTTAGGTAAATAATACCATGCATTTCCATCACTTCACAAGAGAGAAGGAAAGGCCAAGAGACGATGTGGACAGGAAAGCAGGGGCCTGGCAGAAGGAAAGGGATTGCATATAGAGGGAGTTTTTGGGGTCAGGTAAGGATTTGGGGGAAATGGGTAGAAAAACCAGTTGAGGGAGAGGGGATGAAGAAGGAGATGGGGGAAGGAGAGGGAAGAGGTGAGAGATGGAACTGTGTTTTTGTTGGCAATTCAAGTAAGAACCAAGACATCTCAGGAGCGTTCCCACGGAATGTCCAAATGCTCTGCCTTCCAGAAGCAGGTGCTGATGTATTTCGGGAACTCTGTGGACATACTTAGCAGTCTAAATCTAGATTCCGGGTTGAATTCCCAGCACTCAGTTCACCCAGATCTGGCCTCCAGCAGCAGGACCAGAAGCAGCAGCGAGGAGAGGCAGAAGCAGCAGCCACCTGGGCACTCCTCACCATCACAGAAGCGGCTCCCAGATGGCTCTGTGGGCCCAGGCCCCTCTTCCTTCCATTCAGAAAAACACACAGCAGTTAACTGCATCCGTGTGTGCAATTGAGAAGGTAACACACTTCATTTCCTGTTCATTGAGGGACAAAGGTATATGTGGCCTTTTGTCTCTCTTTTTGGGATTTACAATGAAAAGGAGGGGAGAGTAGAGAATGAGTCACTTTACCTTGCCTGTTCTATGTCCCCACAAGACCGTACCCTTAGAAAACCACAAAGGGAGGCTGGGTTTGCAATTACTTGAAGAACGGGAAGGTGGATGAGAATCCAAGAGATGCTCTTTATTTTCTGTTTGGCCAGGAAAAAGCAAAAACCTGGCTCCGAAGCAGTCAGAAATAGAAGTGGGAAAAGAAGCAAGTGATGTGCGTTCTTGAGGTCCTCCGAAGAGATGTCTTGGAGACAACAGAAATAAATGACCCTGTAAATTTTCTTTATCCTACTGGGCACCTTGACCAGAGCACCTGGAGCTGTGGCCTTGCACAGGTGTTGGGGAGGAACTCTTCTGGATTAAACATGGAAAACCCACCAACCACAGAGATGCAAGCTTCAAGTGAGCGTATCTGCGCTGCTAGTATCCTAGCGGGGTGGGAATCAGAATGCAATGACCTCGATGTGTGTTATTACATAGGTAGAAGGTTCTAGAACTATGCTGTAGCCAACCCCCATGTGCAGGTAGGGGGCATTTAAAATGTGGTGAATTGAATTAAGATGTGCTGTAAGGATAAAATGCACACCAGATTTCAATGACTTGGTGTGAAAAAATAACATAAAATATATAGAATATTGCATTAACAATTTAGATGAATTATAAATTGAAATAATATTTATTCTAGTAAAATATTTTTAAAACTTTTATTTTCGGTTCAGGGTTTGTTATATAGGTAAACTCATATCATGGGGGTTTATTGTACAGATTATTTTGTTACCCAGGTACTAAGCCTAGTACCCAATCGTTATTTTTTCTGATCCTCTCCCTCCTCCCAGCCTCCACCTTCTGAGAGGCCCCAGTGGGTGTTTTCCCCCCACCTGTTTTTTTTTTTTTTTGAGACAGAGTCTCACTCTGTCGCCCAGGCTGGAGTGCAGTGGGGATCTCAGCTCACTGCAAGCTCTGCCTCCCAGGTTCATGCCATTCTCCTGCCTCAGCCTCCCGAGTAGCTGGGACTACAGGTGCCCGCCACCACGCCCAGCTAATTTTTTGTATTTTTTTAGTAGGGACGGGGTTTCACCATGTTAGCCAGGATGGTCTCGATCTCCTGACTTCGTGATCTGCCCGCCTCGGCCTCCCAAAGTGCTGGGATTACAGGCGTGAGCCACCGCGCCTGGCCGGTGTTGTCCCTCTTTTTGTGTCCATTTGTTCTCATCATTTAGCTGCCACTTTTTTTTTTTTTTTTTTTGGACATGGAGTTTCACTCTCGTCGCCCAGGCTGGAGTGCAACGGCAAGATCTTGGCTCACTGCAACCTCTGCCTCCTGGGTTCAAGCAATTCTGCCTCAGCCTCCCGAGTAGCTGGGACTACAGGCGCCCACTACCAGGCCGGGCTAATTTTTGTATTTTCAGTAGAGATGAAGTTTCACTATGTTGGCCAGGCTAGTCTCCAACTCCTGACCTCAGGTGATCTGCCTACCTTGGCCTCCCAAAGTGCTGGGATTACAGGCGTGAACCACCGTGCCTGGCCAGCTCCCACGTATAAGTGAGAACATGTGATATTTGGTTTTCTGTTCCTGTGTTTGTTTGCTAAGGATAATGGCCTCTAGCTCCATCCGTGTTCCCACAACAGACATGTTCTTGTTCTTTCTTATGGCTGCATAGTCTATTTCATGGTGTATATGTACCACATTTTCTTTATCCAATCTGTCATTGATGGGCATTTAGGTTGTTTCCATGTCTTTTCTATTGTGAATAGTGCTGCAATGAACATACACATGCATGGGTCTTTATGGTAGAATGATTTATATTCCTTTGGGTGTATACCCAATAATGAGATTGCTGGGTTGAATGGTATTTCTATTTTTAGCTCTTTCAGGAATCACCATACTGTTTTCCACAACGGTTAAACACTCCCACCAACAGGGTATAAGCATCCCCTTTTTTCCACAACCTTGCCAGCATGTTATTTTTTGACTTTTTAAAAATAGCCATTCTGATTGGTGTTAGATGGTATCTCATTGTGGTTTTGATTTCCATTTCTCTAATGATTAGTGACACCGAGCTTTTTCTTTTTTTCATATGCTTTCTGGCCACAAGTATGTCTTCTTTGGAAAAGTATCTGTCCATGTATCCCAGTAAAATTAATTTTGCTTGTTTCTCTGCACTTTTAGAAGTATGGCTACTAGAAAATTTATGATTGTATATGTGGCTCAGATTGTATTTCTATTGGACAGCACTGTCTGGACTCTAGAAGATGCTCTGATTCAAGAGGATGTAAAGAAATTCTCTAAGCCGATAAGAAAAATAGAAGAAACCCAAATGGGCAATGAGTGCATGGGAACTCACTCACCTCAGTGGAAAGGAGGGAATGGCAAGCCAGCCCACTGAAGCCCACTGGGGACATAGGACAAGTCTGCAAAGCAGAGACAGCCCCTCCAGGAAGAGCGACCAGGCCTTGAGAGGACATGGCCTTAGGACCAGATCCAGGGAAGACACAGTCACTAACCCCTGGCTCATCTGGCAGGTGTGGGAAGCAGCCAGGCCCGTGGCTTCACCAGCTCCCCCCGATCTCTGCCTTCAGCTGTCCTGCAGCCTGGGTCAGGCACCTAGGCAGCTTTATGGCAGGCGGAGATGCACCACCCACATCCTCTTTCCAGGCAGGGCTTGCTGCCCTGGCTGTAGCGAGTGCGGCAGCAGGTGGCCTCCAGCTATCAGCAACTTCAGAGAGCTGCCTTGCCTGAGGTCCCGTCCCTTCTGGGGAAGCTCCCATCTGCCAGGGGGCTACAAAAGCACAGTGGACACCATGATGGGCAATTCTGGCTGATGGGAGCACCACCTGGTGGCTGAGGCATTCTTGGGCCACATAGCAGTTGACTGCCCTCTCCACCATCTTTTCACAAGTGTTAATCCCAATAAACACCCATCCTCTTCCATCCCAAACTGTCTTGGCATCTGCTTCTAGAGAGCCCAGCCTGGGGCAAATTTCACGGGAAAGGGCGCATCTCCTGCAATTTGCCTGTGACCATGAGGGTGGAGGAGGGAGATGTGTCCCCATGGGTTCCAGCTTGTCCTTGCTCGTCCCCTTCATGCTCACCTGTACTTCCTGAACGTAGCCCTGCTGTGGTACAGCATCTTCAGGCCCACCATCAAACTAACCAGCTCAAGCACTGAAGAGAGTCTAACTCCTTTAATAAATTCCTTGTTCCAGGCTGGGCGTGGTGGCTCACTCCTATAACCCCAGCACTTTGGGAGGCTGAGGTGGGAGGATCACTTGAGCCCAGAAGTTCGAGACCAGCCTACATAGGGAGACCCTGTCTCTACAAAAAAAAAAAAAAAAAAAAAAAAAGTTTTTAATAAAATAAATTAGCTGAGGGCAGTGGTTTGTGCCTGTAATTCCCAGATACTCTAGAGGCTGAGGTGAGTATCGCGTGAGCCCAGGAGTTTGATGCTGCAGTGAGCCATGATCACACCATTACATTCCAGCCTGGGTGACAGAGAGATAGATACCCTGTCTCTAAAAAATAAAAAAGTTTTAAAAATCTCATTCCCTTTCACTTAAAGTGGCTCTGTTCCCTCAACAAGCCCTGTCATTAGGAAAAGAAAAAGAAAGCTTTAGAAAGGACAAAAAACAACATGATTTTTCACATCAGAAATGTTCTGCCTTAAAATGTGTTTAATTTTCCTGAAAATATGTACTTTAATATTAATAGAACATTTTATGTGACCCTGTAGGATTTCATCAGAAAGCGTTAAATATTAGGCTGCCTTTTCACTTTTTAGTCCTATTTTAACGGAGGTTTGATTCTGAAAGAGTGAAATTCAAGGGTGATGAATGTAGGCTGTGAGCTTTAGAGAAAGGAAAGGACCCTAGCATGAGACATCAGATGCGTGATTTACAGATCCCTGAGTCTGGCCAGCCGGCACTGGAAGGGCCTCTTGGTTTCAGAAGGTAGAATCCTCCAAGAGGGAGTGTGGAAAACCTAAGAGGCGTTAAAAGCGTGGTTCCTGCACTCAGGGCACAAAAGTTCCCCACCAAGAACCCCAAGGCAATTGTTTCTAGAACCCACGGGTCCATGAGGCCCTCCCTGCTCCCTGAGGTCTGGGGAAAATGGCCTTGAACCCCATTACCCCCCACTAGACTTCTCCCTCTGCACATCTTTTCACAAGTGTTGATCCCAATAAACATCCATCCTCTTCCATCCCAAAGGCAGGGTTTGCTGCTTGGCGGTGGCAAGCACTTCCATCCCTTCCTTCACACAGGATGTGAGTGGCAGAGGCACCTGGTGCCCTATAGCCACCATCCAAGCATGACTGCTGTTGCTTTTCTTCTATCTTCTGAATCTCATGCAGTTTTTCTTGGGGCCAACCCTGAAGAGAACCATAAGGGAAGAGAATTCTGGGCAAAGTAGTCCCAGCCAAGCTGACACAGGGCAAACCACCACAGGCCCCAAACCAGATGATCACACTCCCCAGTCTCCCTGGACACTGGCCACCATGCAGCAGCCTCCCTTACACGAGTGGCTGAGGGGCTGATAGGGGTAGGAGCAGTGGCGGTGCCTGCCCAGGGGCCTGTGTTCCCGCGACTTTGCACCCTCTGTCCTCCCACAGACAGCTGCCCAGTCTAGGGAAGTATCACCACCCAGCAGGTGGTGATAACAGTAACCACCTCAACAAGGCCCATTACTTATTGTGCTGAATTAATTATAGCAAATTAATAAATATTCTATTACTTATGTTAACACAAACTAGTTAGGGACTTCAGAACTGCAGCATTACCACCCAAAGATTAAAATAATGACGTGAAGAAAGGAATGAGTCAAAATTACACATTCTTATAAGTGGTTTATTGAGAGCTGATTTGTCAATCAAAGAACACACCATAATGATGGGAATATTGATGATTTCAACATAAAAAAATTTAAATAAGGTCAATCTTTACATAGTAATTAGGAGCCACTTACAAGATGTATCAAGCAAACAGAGCAAGATACAGAACAGTGTGTGGTTGGTTTGCTACCATTTGTTTTAAAAGAGGGGAAAGAATATATATGTGCTACAGACATGTTTATATGCTATGTGTACTCCTCTGTACATGTGCTTATACCACATGTATGTGCATATCTAACTCTGCACAACCCCGGGAAAGGCAAGTCGACGCTGATGTCATTGCTGGCTGAGGAGAGAGGTGGTGGCTGTGGGACAGAATGGGAGGGACGTATCCCTACATAATACTTCATACCTTTTAGCTTTGAACCATGTGCAATTATTACCTATTGAAAAATAAGTTAAAAACTAAAAATCAAATACACAAAAAACCTGCAGCAATAAACCATTAAAAAACATACATTCAGTTTATCACAGTCCACAGTATACTGGGAGCTGTCCATTTAGTACTGATGGCTTATACTGTCATATGATTTAAAAAAAAAATCTCCTGAGTTCCTCTCAACCTCAATTTCTAATCTCAAATACACATTTCAGAAAGACATGATTAAAGAATAGCCAGAGCTGCACATATTCTTTTTTTTTTTTGAGATGGAGTTTTGCTCTTGTTGCCCAGGCTGGAGTGCGATGGCGCGATCTTGGCTCACTGTAACCTCTGCCTCCCGGGTTCAAGCGATTTTCCTGCCTCAGCCTCTCGAGTAACTGGGATTACAGGCATGCACCACTACGCCCGACTAATTTTGTATTTTTAGTAGAGACGGGGTTTCTCCATGTTGGTCAGGCTGGTCTTGAACTCCCAACCTCAGGTGATACGCCAGCCTCAGCCTCCCAAAGTGCTGGGATTACAGGCGTAAGCCACTGTGCCAGCCATGCACGTATTCTTAAATGAAGTCCCGTGGAGGCCTCAGGGCTAACAGTCATCCAGGCTGAGGCTCCTAGTTTGAGCGAGTTGGTCCTCAAGCCCTTGGCCAAACTTGGCAGCAAAGAGTGAGGTGACAAGGTCATCTCCAGTGTTCAGAGCCAGGTCGTATGCTGTCTGGCCTCCTGCATTCTTCTTTTGGATGCTTGCATTGCATCTGCAAAGGAAATGGAGAAACGGAGGTGCACTGAAGGACTTGAACATGTGACCCTAAGAGCTTGACTCTACCCTGCCATGGAGGCCAGGCTGGGCCCCTCCTGGTCCCACCTCCCCAAACCTCTCCCCAAGAGGTCACAGTGACTTCAGTTCTCAGAGGTGGCTCTACCCTGAAACCTTTAAAGAGGCTCTGTGATTTCAAAATGTCCAATTGCAAATCCTGGCCATTGGTTCCCATTGCATTAAAGTCCTACAACTGAGTGTGTTTAATGGGGGCAACATTTTCATTGCGCTTTGAAAAGCCCTCAGTGCCCCGGAAGCCATGGTGGGATGGTGGTCCCCATGGACAGGGACAGCAGTTCAGGAACCAAGGCCCCTCTTAAAATCATCACAGGCCATTAGGGAGATCCCTGTGGCCCTCAAAAGTATCCATCAGAGGCCAGGGGACATACCCCAGTAAAGTGGCGGTGCTCTCTCTTCCTGCAAGGCCAAGCAGAGTTGCTTCATGAAGAGCTGTATTTCTGAGCCTAATGAGGGGGGAAAAATCCTGGATAAATCCTTAGTTAGCATCATCAGGAAACTGGAGAGGATGCATGTGACCCAAGGTCCTGGTTTTGCTCACCGACCTACTTAACTAACCTGGGAAACCTCTTGAGTCTCCTCTCTCTGCCTTTCTCTTGGAGGAATACTGTGATGGAGGGTAAGCTTTGATACTAGATAGTGCAAAGGTTATAAACACATTCATTTTTTAATGTGAGAAACCCACAAGGATATGGTTGGTAGTTGATTTAATAAATGCTAATAAATACCATTGTTCTAAATTGCCTGCAAGAGTTTATGCAACATATTGGACATAGTCTTTTTTTTTTTGAGACGGAGTCTTGCTCTGTCACCCATGGTGGAGTGCAGTGGTGTGATCTCGGCTCACTGCAACCTCCGACTCCCAGGTTCAAGCGATTCTCCTGCGTCAGCCTCCCAAGTAGCTGGGATTACAGGCACATGCCACCATGCCTGGCTAATTTTTTTGTATTTTTAATAGAGACGGGGTTTCACTGTGTTAGCCAGGATGGTATCGGTCTCCTAACCTCGTGCTCCACCTGCCTTGGCCTCCCAAAGTGCTGGGAGGACACAGTCTTAACTTTGGCTTGGACCTCTTGGGCACGATAGTAGCTTCTCAGGGCTGAAGCTCCTATTTTTGTGTGGGGAAAATGACCTTGGCTCCAGTGAGTTGGGCTTACATGATATGAAAATAAACACCAATCTTAGAAACCAGGGGGCAGGCCTGAGAGGTCAGACACAGCATATTTTGCTGCAATGCCAGGGTTTCTCTCCGTATTTCCTGGTCAGGTTTGACCTAGTGAGGGAGGAGTGGGCAACTGAAATGGAGGCTGGAGTGGCGCCAGGACTCCTGAAAGGCTCCTATGCAGAGGTGGCAGGAGTGAAGGAGGGCAGGAGTCATGACTGGAAGTAGAAATGAATAGGCATTGACGGTCTGAACTCTCTCTGCCCCTGCTCCTTCCTTTGACGCCATCACCCTCATCCTCCACACCTGCAGATGTGCCTGCAGCCATGCATTGATCCCTATGGAGAAAAAGGAGAGTGGCTTCCTCTCTGATGAAGATAAAGAGAACCGCTGGTGAGAATCAGAGGGAAGCTTTTCACTTTCTGGGACCCAGGGGTCCTAGCCTGGGAGTAGCTCCATCTACCCAGAAAGCCTCCTGGTTGACAAAGCCGTTCTCTTATACACAGAGTTACCAGTCATGTAGCCCAAACTCCATTCTCAAATGTGAATGGACAACAAAGGTTCACAGACATCTGAGAAAAACCTGTAGAATCAAAGAGAAAACCACGATACACAAACACAAGGAATTTAAAACAAGACAAAAATCTAACTGGTATCTGCAGAATGAGTCAAGATAATATTGCACAAAAGTATGAGACTATGAAAAAGAAACAATCAGAACAAAAGCAGCTCCTAGAAAGAATAACGATTATTCAATAGGAAGAATGGACAACAAAGTTAGGAAAATCTCTCGAAAGATAGAAGAGAAAAAAATAGATGAAACTATGGAAAAACAGAAAAGAAAGACAGACATATGGAGTTAATTCAAGCCATCCACTGTCCAACTAACAGTTCTAGAAAGAGAATAGAAAAATGGAGGGGAGAAAATGCCAAAGAGATAATAGAACAAATTTTTCCTAACCTAAAGAAAGATAAGACTTTTTAAATTGAAAAGGCCAACTGGGTGAATCAAAAACAGCACATCTAAAAATACCCTTGTGGAATTTCAGAACATCAAGGATAAATGCTTTCAGAAAAAACAGGTCACAAATGAAGAATTTGCCATAGAATGTTCATGGGCTATGCTGTGTGCCAGTGTATTAGTCCATTTTCACACTGCTGATAAAGACATACCCAAGATTGGGCAGTTTACAAAAGAAAGAGGTTTAACTGGAATTAGTCTGGAAAAGACTGATTTCCTCCTTATCTTTCATCCTTTCTTCCTCACTGGTGGCATAGAGCTTAACTCTCTGTCACTTCACCCCTATGGTTCCTTGGGCCTTTATAAAGCATTCACCATTTGAACTGGGATATATTCATAGGGTTGCCGCATCTCCTAAGTAGACTTAAGATCTTCTTTCTTCACAATTCTCCCCATATTGAGAGCAGAGGGTTCATTCTATGTATTGCATGGGGGGTTTGCTGGTGGTTAGATTTTCTGTGCTGGCTATTTCCTATGTATCCACAGTTCAGTTTTGGAAAATGCTGAATGGTGACTCTGCCATGGAATTTGTATTTTAAAGAAACTTTACTATTCATATACAAACAATTCAAACTATTTACTCAAATCTAAGTATCATGGTAGATTAATGTACATTCTCTCCTTAAATTACCTAATGGAATAAATGTCCACAGCTGAACCTCTAAGAAGTAGACTGATGCTTGCATCTTCCTCACCTGGCTACTGGGGCAGAGCCAGAGGATGGCATGTTTGGAATCGCCAATGCAGTGAGGAAGGGCAGCTCTTGTCCAAAAGCAAACAGCATTTCTCTGGGCCTCTCACCTAGTGAGATCCTGAGCCTGTGTTTCTGAAATTTGCTAGTAAGAGGAATGAGCTTTGGTGGAGGATGTGAATTTCTCCTGGCCATTCCCTTTTGTTGAATATGAGTTCATTCTGGTAGGAATGATACAAACATGGAACTAGGAAATTAGGAAAGAGTTTTCTGCCACCTGCCAAGCTACTTAATGGAAGTTACCTGGTGAAGAGACCACCTAGGCTCCACTAGCCAAACATGCTCAGATGGGAGACAGCATTTTAATTCTTGTTTGCTAAGGAACAACTCGCTGAGCCTCTTTTACAGTAAAACCAGATCTCTGGATGACTTATGCCTAAAAGCAATAGGATGGATGGAACTTTGAGGCCATGTTCCTGGGTCTACAGAGGTCCAGCTATGGGGCAGAGGCTGGGCTGATCCAGGCCCAAACTCTTGAAACTAACAGATATAAACCAGACTTGGCAGAATGTGGCTCTCAGTGGGAAATGCTACTTTCCTCTACTGGCATGCACTGGAAAGGAAGAAGAGATCCCTGTGCTCTACGTGAGAGAGGGCCAACCCTCTAGCTTTCCTCCCCACAACCATGTGAGCTACATACTGCCCACAGTCACCATGATCCTGCAGGGGGGTGACAAAGGCTATTACACACCATTCAGATAGACAGGTATAACCGCAGTGTCAGACTTTACAGACATGCAATGAGATCACATGTGGATAAATGCCAATTTACAGAATGGTGGTGAAGCAAACATGGAAGCTGAGGCACAGCAAAATAAAAAGGCAATCTGTTCAATGCCCAGGGCACTTTCCTCCTCTTAGCTGGACTCTTCATAAAGCCAGGACTCACGCTGCTTACACTTCAATTCAAAATGCGCTCAAGTAATTTCTGTATCAACCACAAACATACTTAAATGCTATTTAAAAAGCTTTTCTGAATTATAAAAATATAAAATATGCCTTAACACAAAACAAGGCAGCACCATTTTATTAATAATGACAATAATACAACAGTGTGGGATAAATAAATAAGTTGACACAGTAAACTCTAAGAAAACTTGAGAAAATAAATTCCAAGCATCGAAGCTTTACACCAACACACCAAACATTCTGCTGTAAAATAAAACTAACAAAAGGGGGGTAGAAGCTATTAAAATGCAGACATTAGTAAAATGCATATAGAAAAATTAACAGGATTATATTTTGAACACTAACACTAGAGACAGTTTTGAAACAGAGAATAACAGAAGCAAAGCTACTGAAATTTTGGCCTCCGTGGTAGCATGAAGTACACAGCAGAATGTTCCACTGACACGGACCTTGACCTCGCCTTAGTAAGACTTCAGGAGGTAGGAGTGTTAGATGCCTGTGATGTCCCTAGAAGACTCATTTCAACAACGTAGTCGGCAAGATATGAGAAGTTAACATGAATGACTCATGCTCAAGGAATTTTCACCCCATATTTTCAAAGTACTTTTTGAAAGAACAACAGAAGCACACAGCTAGAAGAGAAGGTTATTGGACAGGAGTGGACCAAGACTGGGAGGGTAAGTAACAGGACTTGGTACCTTTCTGTTTTGTATCACGGGTGGGAAAGCAAGGCAGCAGGAGACCATGTGGTGACCTCAGATGTACCAGTCTCCTCTGCAGTGGTGTGAGATCTGGAGACAACCGTATGATATTTTCTTTCTGCATTAACTTCATGGGGATATTTTCATGGGGAATACACTAAGGTCTGTCTTCCCTTGGTGTTTTCACGATTCATGATGAAAACATTGATTAACACCCCAAGGGCTAAGGATTTACTGGCCCCACACAGTATAAGTTTATGAATTAACAAAATGTATCATCATTTATAAAAGCCACTAAATTAGGCAATCCAACAGTCCATTTTTAAAATTTCGCTTTACCCAGCTATGGAAAACAGAAGGCGTTAAGCCTCTTATTAAAGCTGAAATAGGTTAAAATGGTTAAAGTGGCTGAAACTGAACAGGGTGTGTGTGTAGACCGCTTCTGCTGCAGTGGAGCTCCAAGCAGTCAGCCTGCTGCTACCTTAGCTCTCCTTTCAATGTGTTTCACTTACGGCCCCCACTGCTGGTCGATGTCTGCTCCTCTCTGCACGAGAACTGGAATCGCTTCATGGTGCTTATTCATAACAGCCACGGTTATGACGGGTCGATTGTCTTCATCACAGCAGTTGGGGTCTGCTCCCTGCAGCAAACGGAAAAGGACAAACTCTCCAAAACACCCTGCACTCAACAGCATCCAGTCGCCATCCTATGAAGTATAACAGATGTCCTTTACAGAGCTGATGCAACTAAAGTGCTTTCAGATCAAAGGAGAGGAGAATCAGGAACCTCAAGACCTGATCTACGATGAACAGAGCTACAAAGTTACCCAGGTGACAAAACTTCTGTTCCCCACATGGGCGGGGAGGGGAGGGCAGGCACCCTGACAACCTTGCTTCTTTAGGAAACCCAGGATAAAGGTAATATGGGGTCATGGGCCAGAGATTCTATCCAGCTTCATGCATGTTCCTTGGTCTCATCTGTGCTTCTCTGCCTATTTTCTCTGATATAAAAACTAGCAACAGGGAACAATTAATATAAAGCTTTTGACTAGCCATTCACTATATCCCGGGTTTTTAATCAAAGGGCAGTGTAATTTTCACAGTATTGAACAAAACTTTCATCTGAAGGAGACAGAGGTGGAATGCCAGGCTGAACTCTTCAGAGAGACTGGCTCCTTTGGCAACACTTACCTCATCCAGCAGCTGTTCAATCACAGAGACTCTTCCTTCCCCCGTGGGTCCGACTTCCTTCAGCAGGAGTCTGTTTTCAGGCTGCAGGATTACAGAATGTGGTCATTTCCCCCACTTCAAAATATTCACTCAAGGCAAACACTTTCTTTCCAACATTGAATTCTAAGTCACAAGGACAGGTGACTATGAGTGTGTGCATGTGTGAGTGTGTGAGTGGTCTTTAATAGCCCACAGCACAAATATCCACATCTAATATCAATCTTGCTGCTCCAAAACCTTGCTTCAGGCAAGGTTACCGCATGGACACTATTTTATATTAAGGACAAGGATGCCATGAGAAACCTCACAAAACCCAGAAACTCCACACTAGTTTTATTATGACTAGAGCTCTAGGAAAAGCAATCAGGTGAATCCTAAAATTTATTTTGCATACTTTATAAAGTGTTCAAGGTCAGCCAAAGTATGACAGTTCAGAAAATATACTCCCCTGAGGAACGAATGAGCCAATAAATTGACTTCTTCTTTAGAAAAAAAAGGAGGGGCATAGTAGCTCACACCTGTAATCCCAGCACTTTGGGAGGCCAAGGCATGCAGATCATTTGAGGTCAGGAGTTTGAGACCAGCCTAGCCAACATGGTGAAACCGTGTCTCTACTGAAAATATAAAAATTAGCCACGTGTTAGCTGCCTATAATCCCAGCTACTTGGGAGGCTAAGGCAGGAGAATCGCTTGAATCCAGGAAGCAGAGGTTGCAGTGAGCGGAGATCATACAACTACACTCCAGCCTGGGCAACACAGTGGGACTCTGTCTCAAAAAACAAAACAAAACAAAGAAAAAGCTCTCAGCAATTTCAAGATCTTTTTTTTTTCTCTGAGATGGAGTCTTGCTCTGTCACCCAGGCTGGAATGCAGTGGCACGATCCTGGCTCACTGCAACCTCCGTCTCATAGGTTTCAGCAATTCTCCTGTCTCAGCCTCCTGAGTAGCTGGGACTACAGGCACATGCCACTATGCCTGGCTAATTTTTTGTATTTTTAATAGAGATGGGGTTTCACCATGTTAGCCAGGATGGTCTCGATCACCTGACCTCATGATCTGCCTGCCTCAGCCTCCCTAAGTGCTGGGATTACAGGCGTGAGTCACTGGGCCTGGCTGAGTAACTTATCTTTTTATATTTTTAAATGCCATAAATTCATCTTTATATATAAAGAATTTCAAATGCTGAAAGACTGAAGGAAGCTGTTTAGAAAGCAAGAGACATTGCTTTTAGTATGTTTCTGCCTCTGGATCCCGGGCATGGCTGTGGGGTGGTCACAGGACCACCATTTCCATTTGTAAAGTGGAAATAATACCTTCCCTGTCCTTGCTCCTGTGAAGCCATGGCCATGAGGACACTGGTCAAGGCCTCTGAGCCTTTCAGAAGATGATGCCTGGTCCAGGCGGTGCTGCCTCCTTTCTCGCTGTCCCCATCTTACTGATGAATAGCTTAGAACCAAGTACTCTAATCAGTAAACCCCCAGCAGGGGTCTTGGGGAGCACTTGTTTACACTGATTTCCATTCCTCATGGAAATGTGTACTAGAATGCAGTAGGCATGTCAGCTTCAGGAGGTGTGAGACCTTTACGTCTTTTGTTTAGGTTTTATTTTCAACACGTAGAACAGTGCCTGGTACACGTGTGCTCAAAAATAATCACTGAATGAGTGAACAAATGTTACAGCTTCTGATACTTATCCCCTAAGTGCAAATGAGAAAAAAAAGCCATATACAGTGGAAGATTCAGGTTATACACAGAGTAAATAGGTAGAGTCTCCCAAATTGTAAGCTGTTCAGTTTATGGAACTCTATGCTTTTATACCCAATAACAATATTTCAAACTGGGAGAAGGTGGTGAGTACAAGAAATCCTAAAATACAAAAGTTGAAACAATTCTAACATATTCTTTCCAAATGTACTGGTGTTTGTTACATACAAAGCATGTGGTGGGAAGAAAAAAAAGATAAAGAACAGAGTCCCTGCCTCCAGAGGAATCAGGAGGCAAGCTGGGCAGCTAGTGCACTGACAAGGCGGCGTTGAGGGCCTGGCCTTGGAACCACACATGGAGGGAAGCACACGGCATCATGCAAGTGTCCAGCTCGGACCCGGGCCCAGGCCTTGGGACTTGCTGCTAATCACATCTGTTCTTTGTATTGCAGCCAAGGAGGACCAATTAAAAGGCAAGGCTGGGGATGGAGCAGGTGGCATCCACTGCCCTTTTCTCCAAAGCTCCTTTTAGAACTATTCTTGGCATATATTTTTAAAACACAAAACTCTAAAGATGTGGGAAACTCTAAAACGGTACTGACCATCGGTGAATTAGTAATTTTGAGAAATTCCAAGAAGACTGAAAGTAGATGAAATCTGACAGGGAAACCAAACCAAACCAAACCAAACCAAACCAACAAAAATCCAGCTGAAGATACCAGAGGTAGGAGTGTTTTCTTTCCAGGGGAGCCCTGCAGAAGCTTAAATTAATCCATATGGAGGTTAGGTGTTGGGCGTAGCCTGAATGCATGAGTAGATTATTAAGGGCTCCGTGGTGAATAGCTGAGATCGCTAGTGCCTTACCCCTTCTTCCCCATGTAAGAAGGGCAGGAGGCTTGTGCACTTTGCCCTGATAACTATTTCGCAGAAAGCATAAGATTTGCCCAACAAAGGCTTCTACTTGGTGCACTGGGGCCCAAGAAAGGAGAAGGGCAGAGCCTAGACCTCCATGACAGACACAGGGGAGGGTGTAGAGGGAAAGGAAAAAAGCTTCATCCCAAGCTGAAACCCGTGAGAGCGCTTCACACACCAACACCCTCACCACCAGAGGAAGACCTTTTCCACCAGCAACACAGGGGATCTGAAGGCTTTCTCCTGCTCCCTGCCCACACTCCCTCCAGGGACGTCTGTCCACGACATGCCTGTCCACTCACACAGGGACTTCAGGGTCCATCCTCATGCTGGGCACCAGGCCAGCATCTGCACTACCCAACTAGTCTTCATTTGTCAAACGACCAGACAACCAAGGTTCCATATTTGAGGCAAACCAAAGTCGAAAGATAGGCAGACAGAACTGACCCCAGAGGAAACACAGAGATGATTCAGGAAACTGATGGGAACTTTGAAATAACTCTAATTCATAATCTTGAGATACTTTAAAGAAGTCTAAAGGACAAGGATGCCATGAGAAACCTCATAAAAAAGGAACAGAAAATGAGAAATTATTCTTCCATTTTAAAAAAGGTCAAAATAAAACCTGAAAATCACAGGCTGAAGACAACATCCACAAGGACCAAAAAAAGACACTTACTATAAGCTGCTCCTTCTTTTCTTGAAAAGTTTTGGTCTTGAAATTCTTTATCCTTTTGATTTTTTCAATAGTATCTGAGGTACTCTGGCTGTAGTCACTCACTGAAATGACACAGTTGGGGAAAAAAATGATGCCCCTCCCCCAACTCCCCACACAAACAGTTATTTCTTACTTCCACGTCCCTCAAAAGTCAGAGGATAAAATGGCTATCATAGAAATTTCTATTTGATTAAACCCGGCAGGAGAGACTCCTGGAGCCACTCTCCTGTCCAGGAACCAGAGGAAGGGTGGGAAGGAGAGGAAAAGAGGGACTTCGGTTTTTAGGTCCAAAAGTGCACCCCACAAATGAATTTCCCCAAGCCCTGTAAAGGACTTCAAAAGTCTCACCTCTGACTTCAGAGAAGCCAGAGAAATAAAACGTCTGGAACATAACTGCAAGATCTGTGACCGGGCTGTCAAACTCTTAGCAGTTCTCTGCTATACCTGCCAAGTCCATGTGTTCCTGGTCAGTTGTTTTAAAATTGCCAGAAGGGAATAACTCACCCCAGCTGGACCTGCTGCCGCACAGCCCCCCATCACCCTCGGCAGCACTGCTCAGAAGGTGATCGCTGAAATTCACTGCCTTGTTCAGGTAAAGGTTCTGGCCAATGAAAACATTTAAACACCATGAATGATGAGGCTGCTTTGTCCCACTAGAAAGAAGGATCTCCCTTCTAACCTGCTCCTCCTTATTAAGTACAGCTCTACCTACCCAGAGAGTGGAGCCTGAGACCTGGATGTCCTTCCTGACTCCTCCTCACCTCCCCAGCATGCTTTGTCCGTTCTGCCCCTTACCCGCGGCTCAGTCTGGCCCCTCCTCCTCTCCCTCCCTGAAGCCCCAGCCCCCTCGTCTCACATTGGGACCATCACAATAGCCTTTCAACAGGGGTCTGCCAGCCTCCCTGCATGTGGCTGTCCCAGTCACCTTTAGATCCTTTATAAGTGATTGTGTCATTTCTCTGCTTAAAGTCCTTCAATGTCTTGGAATTAGGGTGTCATGATGGGAAGGTCTCAGGCTGCCAAGTGTGAATCCTGGGTCTGCCACTTACTAACTTAGTGCCCTTGGAAGAAGCAGGTTGCTTAACTTCTCTGAGCCTCAGTTTCCTCACCTGGAAAGTGGAAATAATATGACCTACCTCAATGGCATGTCGTGAAAGCAAAATGCAGTAAAATGGGCGTCTACATAATGAGGCCAGACACAGAAGTCTGTGTGCACCCGGACTGATCCCCCTGCACCCTCACGTGGCTGCCTGCTCCTGTCCCAGGGAAGAGCCTGCTACTTCCTGAACACTAGAACATGCAGGCTAACAAAAGATTTATTAAACCTAGGGCCCAGGTGCAGTGGCTCACTTCTGTAATCCCAGCACTTTGGGAGGCTGAGGCAGGTGATCACTTGAGGCCAGGAGTTCGAGACCAGCCTGGCCAACATGGTGAAACCCCATCTCTACTAAAAATACAAAACTTAGCTGGGTGTGGTGGTGTGACCCTGTAATCCCAGCTACACAGGCAGCTGAGGAACGAGAATTGCTGGAACCCAGGAGGGGGAGGTTTGCAGTGAGCCAAGATTGTGCTACTGCACTCCAGCCTGGTTGACAGAGCAAGAATCTGTCTCAAAACAAAGCAAAACAAAACCAAACCAAAACAAAACAATGACCTGGGAACAGTTACTCCAATTCTACTTGTGAGATAGCTAGCACATTGGAGGTGCTGCTGGTGGCCTGCCCCATTCCCACTAGCTGGCCAGGTTACTCACCCCAGCTGTTGTGTAGCTGCTAAGAGCTTACTGCTGGACCTCCTTCCCCAGCAAAGTGCCCTCAGTAGGTGGATGCTGCTTTGCCCTAGAGGTCATGCTCCCTCTCCTCCTTGCCTCAACTGGGGACAACTTTGTGGTTTAATTCATTCTCCAGAGTTCCCCTTGGATCAGGCTAAAGCTCAACTTTGCTTTTGTCTACCTGCTCATTCAGTCCCTTCCCCTTCCTTGACCTGCTTCTCTCACTTCCCTTCCCCTGAAGTTCCTCTCTGACCCAAGCTCTGCTCTAGTCACAACAATTAAAAAGAGCAGTTAGTGCTTTATTTGGTTTCAAAGCACATTCATGTGCATTAGCTCGTTAGATACTCCCAGCCTCCCCATGAGTTAGACAGGGCCCATGCTTCTATCCCAATTTCAACAACACCATTAGCACCTTGCCAGGGCCTAATAAATGTTAATTTCCCTCCTTTTCCTTGGCTTCTCAATTGATTGATTAATTATTCTGACTTTTTGTCCAGTGAAACTAAAGCTGCTAATGTCAATCAATTAATGTTTGAAACACATTTACAGGCTCTGTGGCAATGCCCCCGTCACCATATAAAAGGGAAGATCAAGGACACATGGCCACAAAGTTTGGTTTATTTTATAGAAGAAAATATGTCAAAGGGCATATCAGCAAATATTTTTGTTAGTCTTTCCCCAAATCAATTATATCACAGACATGCCATCAGACTTCAGTGAGTCTGAATAAGCCTGAGAACTACAGAACAACTCCTGTTCTCACTATATCTTCATGTGCCTGTCTGAGGTTTAACTTGTTTATCTAATTCTATGAAATTGCTTGCCTCTAGTAGCATTTCATAATGTGTGAAACTTTTCCTTTCTATGGATTACACAGAAGCATTTCTATAAATTGTCTCAATTTACTAATCGGTCAGTTCTCAAATGAATAACTTCTGGAGGCTTACTCACCTTGTTTGAGACTTGACTATAATTCAGTCTGATGCTAACTTCACAACCATCTTCGTGGACAGTAGCAGAGATAAGCTTTTAAAAGAGTTGTAGAGAGAATTCATAACTGTGGGTGTGGGACTCATTGCCTTAAGTAACAGTGTACAAATTCTGAGATGTCAAACTCTAAATTTAACCAAATATTTAATTAACACAGAAGAAAGTAGGAAAAGAAAAACAGAGCAACAAAAACTAGACGAGATAAATAGAAAACAAAGAACAAAATGGCAGATCCAAATCCAACCATATCTAAACTCTACTAATTATAAATAAACTACTCTAAAGAGACTGCCAAATTGAATAAAAAGGCAAGATCCAAATCTATGCATTCTTCAAGAGATGCACTTTAATCAAACTACATGACTAGATGTTATCACCTTGGAAAAGATATCCTGGTAGGGGGCGGGGACAGGGCTTGGTAATTAAGGGACAAGTATCACAGTTGAGCAGCTTTCTGTGTAAGTAGCAATAGGAATTTAGATTAAGCCAAGGGACAAGAAATGTTTTCATGAAGGGTCAGATAGTAAATATTTTAGGTCTTGTGGACCATATGTTCTGTATTGTGAATACTTTACTGTCATAGCACAAAGCAGCCACATAAGTAAAGGAATGGGTGCAGCTGTGATCCAATAAAATTTTATTTATAAAATTGGGCAGCGGGCCAGATTTGTCTCAACCGCCACAGTTTGCAGATCTCTGGATTAGGCTGAAGAAATTCATAAACTACCAAAATAGATTATCAAAGGAAATTGGGTAATACTGGAAAATGAGATCGTCTTGATGTTGGCCTATTTGGCAGCAGAAGAGTACACAGCCTATTTCATAAAGTTCCTTCTAGTCTTGCGACAAACAGAGGAAAGGTCCTCTCACAGAGCTGTCTTTTTATAATGGCAATGTAGTATCAAAGAAAGGACATGGGACTCTGACAGGGTCCGACAGATCTGCTTCAAATCTTGAACCCCATGAGACCCAGCAGTGTAGTC
This sequence comes from Homo sapiens, assembly GCF_000001405.40. Classification (NCBI taxonomy): domain Eukaryota; kingdom Metazoa; phylum Chordata; class Mammalia; order Primates; family Hominidae; genus Homo; species Homo sapiens. The sequence continues at coordinate 18,397,494 of NC_000020.11, forward strand.
TTGGGCAGGTCACCAAACCTCTCTGAGCTTCAAAATTCCTGGGTGTCAAATAAGGCTTCTTCTGACTATCAACTGCGGTGTGAAAAACCACCCCAAACTTAGTGAAATTAAACCACCACCACTTTATTATGCTATGGATTCAGAGAGGGCATAGCAGAGATAGCTTGTCTTTGCTCCACATGTCTGAGGCCTCAGCTGGAAGACTCAAATGGCTAGAGGTGGTTGGATGTCTGGGGGCGGGAATCATCTAGAGTCTAGTCACTCATGTGGCTCATGAGCAGAGATGACTCGAGGACTGGGTTCAGCTGGCGCACCTACATGCGGCCACTCCATGTAGCTTGGGCTTCTCATAGCAGGGTGGCTGAGCTCCAAGAAGTGCTGGAGGTGAGTGTGCCAAGCAAGAGAAAGCCACATGACCTTATGTGGCCAAGCCCTGGAAGTCTCATGGCATCACTTCCATCATAGTCCGTTAGTCAAACAGTCACAGACCCGCCCAGATTCAAGGTGAGGGGACACAGATTCTACCATTTGAGGGGAAGACAGTCAAGGAATTTGTGGTTATTTTTTTTAAAGTGATCACAAAGGTAATACACCTCCCTTGCAGGTTTGCTGTGAAGGCAAGAATGATGAATACAATGCTGATGCTGGGTGCACTGTAAAATGGCAGCTGTTATGTCACTATTGCTATATATTAACAGTGTATGATTTAAGTGCACGATCTGGATGGATTAAATTGTTCTGGGACCTTTCATTCTGACTGTTAGAATTTCCAATGTGACATCTGAGCATGAGATGTTCAGAATTTTATTGTCTTAGGTCAGGTGCCCCAGAAGCAGACTCTGAGACAATATTCATGTGCAAGTGATTTATTAGAGCAGAGCTCACAAGGCAGAAGAGTAAGAAAGTGTAGAAAGCAGAGCAGGAAAGGGAAAGGAGCCAGGCAAGATGCAGTTTCAGGCAAAGTCCATGGAGGGTTCCTTCAGCCTGATCCCGTGGACACTTGTGGAGTGGAAATTTCATCTCACCCACCTTTCCCATCCTGGGTTCTGCAATCAAGGCCCGGAATTCAGGGTTGTTCTGAGCATAACACCTGAGGTGAGCAGAGATGTGATCCAGCTGTCTTCTCCAGTACCCTAAGAAAGAAGAGAAACCCCGCCATCTGGATGATTCTCCTGAGACTAAGAAAGAAAAATGATAGCATGGAACATATGTTCTTAGAGAGGTTAATTTCCTTTGTCAAACTTTGTGATGGACTTTCCTTAGTGAACCTCAACTATGCTCTGGAACAAGTTCCATTTTCCTCCATAACTGCTTGTTACATGTAATTAATCATAGACTATTATAGAATTTCAAAAGAGGCCGAGCATGGTGGCTCACGCCTGTAATCCAACACTTTGGGAGGCCGAGGCAGGTGGATCACTTGAGGTCAAAAGTTCGAGACCAGCCTGGCCAACATGGTGAAACCCTGCCTCTACTAATAATATAAAAATTAGCCGAGCATGGTGGCGTGCACCTGTAGTCCCAGCTACTCAAGGGGCAGGAGAATCGCTTGAACACATGAGGCGGAGGTTGCAATGAGCTGAGATTGCACCACTGCACTCCAGCCTGGGCAACAGAGCAAGACTACATCTCAAAAAAAAAAAAAAAGAAACTTAAAAGAACATATTTTGATTGCCACACATGGGGTCTTTTCTTTTTCTATGATTCTATCCCACCTACAATAACTTACCTAATATTTTATTTTATTTATTTTGAGATGGGATCTCACTCTGTTGCCCAGGCTAGAGTACAATGGTGTGATCATGGCTTACCACAGCCTTGACCTCCCTTGGCTCAGATGATCCTCCCACCTCAGCCACCCACGTAGCTGGAAATTCAAGCACGCACCACAACGCCTGGCTAGTGTTTGTATTTTTTATAGAGATGGAGTTTCACCATGCTACCCAGGCTGGTCACAAACTCCTGGGCTCAAGTGATCTGCTTGCTTTAGCCTCCCAAAGTGCTAGGATTATAGGTGTGAGACACCGCACCCAGCCCTTACACAATATTTTAAATGTACCATTTGGGGCTTGCCAAACGTGTACACCCCAATCAATATATAAAACATTTCCATCACTCTAAAAAGTTCTCTTGGGTCCCTTTCCAGTCTGCACAGGGTTTAAGACACATTTGAATTAGTTGCCACCATTTAAAACTTGGGAGATTTCACGTGAGTCTGGTGCCCGGTTTCTCATATGCAGGCGGAAGACGCAGGGGCACTGGGCTCACCTTCCCACACAGGCTGACCACCTGAGGCCAAGGAGCAGCTGGCTGCTTTGGACAGGGCACAGGCTCTCCAGCCAGCCACAGCCCCTGCTGTGCCCTGTGGCCACTTGACTCTGCAAACCCACATTGGATCCCACCAACAAATGAAGACACTAAGCTGAAAGCAATCAGAGGGATTTTCCAAGGTCATGCAGCATGGTTCAGTGGAAAGAGAACATAATTTGGAGTTCAGACAAGCCTGCGTTTAAATCCTAAATCTACCATTTATTAGCTTAGTGATGTTGAGCCAGACACTTAAATCTCCCTAAGCCTTACTTTTCTTACCTAATAAAATGGAACTAATACCCCCTACCTCATGTGTTATTGTGACAAGAGAACCTAAGTGTTCTTACTTGGGTTCCCCTGAAAGCAGAACCTGAGATAAAGACTTAGGACAGGTGGTTTCTTTGGAAGGTGACCGTGGGACATGCAAATGATGGCGTATAAAGAGCAGGACAAGGAAGGGAAGGAAGAACGAATGTGTTAAAAACTAGTTAATACCCTGGGCAACTGGGGCCCGATCTTGCTGGGGATATGAGGGACCATGGAGAACATGTCTCACAGTTGTCTGCTGAAGGACAGAGAAGCTAGGGGATCTGCTCCCCGGCTCCCTTGCCCATGAGTGAGGGCAGCCCAAGTAGTGTCAACTCCCAGTGCTTCAGGGTTGCACCTGTGTACGGATAGGCAGCCTTCTCCTGCTCTGAAGTTGGAGGCAGCAAAGTCAAGAGAGATAAAATTATTTAAATAAAACAGTGAGAGAGAGAATGGGGCACATTTGATGAGGCATGCTAGCAATGATGGGTGAAACCATCCACCACAGCTGCACTGAAAACAAGCAGGCTGAGATCTGGCTTGGGGCATCTGGAGAGTCCACTATGAGTAATCGAGACAACACTAGAGATCATACTGAGCCTAGTGCACTGTTTGACACAAAGTAGCCATTTATCCCACAAATATTTACTGGGCACCTACTATTGGTCATGTACTATTCTAGGGCTAGGATACAGAAGTGAACAGAGTTCTTGCCCTCAAGGATCTTACATTCTTAGTGGACACAGATAATATGAAAATAAATAAATACGTATGTAGGAGTATGTTTAAAATGAGGTTCTGACTGAGAAGCTACAATACAATAGATCTATACTTCTTTTTTTTTTAGACGGAGTCTTGCTCTTGTCACCCAGGCTGGAGTACAGTGGCATGATCTCAGCTCACTGCAACCTCCGCCTCCCGGGTTCAAGCCATTCTCCTGCCTCAGCCTCCTGAGTAGCTGGGATTACAGGCACCCACCACCACACCTGGCTAATTTTTGTACTTTTAGTAGAGATGGGGTTTTGCTATGTTGGCCAGGCTGGTCTCAAACTCCTGACCTCAGGTGATCTGCCTGCCTCGGCCTCCCAAAGTGTTCTGATTACAGATATGAGCCACCGAGCCTGGCCTAGATGTATATTTCTAAAATGAAATCTCAACTCTCAAAAAAGCACTGAGTAAGGACCTTGTGAGGAAGTCCTTTGGAAAGGGTCATTGTAAGACTGTGAGTCCCCAGGCTGAACGAGGGAATTCAAAGGGACTAGTTTCTGCTACAGGAAACTGAAAACCTATTTCTATTATCCACTGCTACCAAACAAAACACCCCAAAACTTAGTGGTTTAAAACATCAACCACTTTACTGCCCATACTTCTGTGGGTCAAGAATATGGTCAATGCTCTGCAGGGACGGTTCATCTCTGCTCCACATGGTGTCAGTTGAGCCATCTCAAATAGGGCTATGGGATCCAAGATTATTTCATCCACAAGGCTAAGGCCTCAGCGAAGATGGCACAAACTACTGGGAGCTGTCTGGGATGGCTCAGCCTTCACCTGCACTCATTCAAATGTCTGGAGTCTTTGGGTTGGGTGCTGGCTCAGGTGCTCTGTTCTTCTTCATGTGGCATCTCTTCTAATTCAGTAATCTATACTGAACTTCTTTACACAGTGCTGACTTCCTAGAGAGTTAAGTGGAAGCTTTCAGCTCTCGTAAGGCCTAGGCCCAGAACTATCACGGTGTCTCTTCTATCACTCTCTATGTCAAAGCAAGTCACAAGGTCAGTCCAGATTCCAAAGGAAGAGAAACAGCCTCTTCCTCCTAAGGACAGGAGGGATGTGAGGAGTGATTCTGGTCATCTCTGCAGACAATCTACCACAGGTCTGATACCACATTTATATCTGGAAGACTTCAGTCAGACTGTGGGCTGGGTTTTGACTCCCACTAAGGACATCCAGAGGGCAAAGAAGATCTGGGAATGACCAACTTCTGGCATGGCAGCCTAGGGATTTGAGTGGACCTACTCCCCAGTAAAATTGTTAGAGTAGGTAGCTAGGGAGACATGAGCAGGGCAGGAAAGGCTCCCCCAACCCCCAGAAATGTCAGGTGACCATCAGGTGATGGTCAGGCAGTTGTTAAACTTTCTCTAAAATAACAATTGGCTGCAGCTGGTGCCAGGGGACAGCGGTCTCCCAATAGATAGAAGACACCTGAAGCTGGTGATCAGCAGCTTCCCGATGAGATCTCAGGAGTTGGACGAGTGGGATCAGGCATGTGCACTAAGAAGAAAAATGGCAGAGTTTAACTGGTACATGACCTTTCTCTAGGAACACTCAATGGATAAGGGAATGCCTCAAGTGAGCATGCACACAACTTCCATAAACATACGGTGCATGTGGTCCCTCCCAAGTACTGGCAGGCCACTGAACATGGGGACAGCCCACCAAGAGGAATCAGGGTAGAAGTAATGCAAACTCTGGAAACATGCCAATGTATAAGCCCCACATTAAGGGCTGAACAGCACACTTGAATCTCTCAAGTCACCCGCTTGGCCTTCTTCAAAGTGTACTTCCTTTCGTTCCTGCTCTAAAACTTTTCAATAAACTTTCACTCCTGCTCTAAAACTTGCCTCAGTCTCTCACTCTGCCTCATGCCTCTCGGCCAAATTCTTTCCTTCTTGGAAGCAAGAACTGAGGTTGCTGCAGACCTGTAAGAATTTGCCACTGCAAACAAAACTATTTTAAAAAACAGCAAAATCCATCACAAGTACTTTAGAGCCATCTAGAAATGGTTCTAAAGCCATACAGAAAATAAACATTTAATGAAAATATACCAAAACTCAGAATCATGAGAGTCTGTGGTGTTTGAACCATGGGCCACTCCCTTCCACATGTTCTCAGCTCCACTCCATATAGGTGCAGATGAGTACACAGGGCTCCCTCTCCTCAGAGTTCCCAAAGGGGTGTAGTATCTTCCGAGGAAGGACAGGGACTTCAGTATTTCTCATCCTGTCCCAATTGCCCTTTGCACAGGCTAAGTTCTGGCCAAGTGTGGTCAAGAGATGGGGGCTCCCTTTCTCTGCTCAGTTACCACTCATGGGATAGATGTTCTACCTTTGATCTGGGACACTGAGAATACTGGGGTCCAGACCACCTATTCCTGGATCATTCAGCACAAGTCCAATGTTGGGAGAAGCAAGTCATGAAGAACAAAGGCTACAGCTGCACATGCTCTGTTGCTTACCCAGCCCCTAAAGCAATGGTGCCACATTGAAAAAACATGCCATTGTCTCCATCCAGAGCATTGGCTCAGAGATTTTGCCCAGGGGAAGAGGCAGGTCAAAAAACAGAGTTCAGAATCTCTCCCCAAAGAAACAGACTTCATTTGTAACAAAGTGTGGGAAAGTTCAAGCCTAAGGCTGCTTTCAAAACAATGGAGGGTGTGTTAAAAAGCAGTTAAAAGAAGACTAGAAGATTCATTAGAGATGTGAGCTAAATAGGCCAGCCAGTTTACTCAGATCAGAGAAATAAACAGCTAAGAAGAGCCCTCCTGAGGTAAGAAAAATATTCAAACACTGACCTAAAAAACAATCCCTGTAAAGCCAGGTTGTCCAACCCACAGCCCATGGGTTGGACATGTGACCCAGGATGACTTTGAATGGATCCCAACACAGATTCATAAACTAACTTTCTTTCTTTTTTTTTTTTTTTTTTTTTGAGATGGATTCTCACTCTGTTGCCCAGGTAGGAGTGCAGTGGCATGATCTCGGCTCACTGCAACCTCTGCCTCCCAGGTTTGAAAGATTCTTTGGCCTCAGACTCCCGAGTAGCTAGGATTATAGATGCCTGCCACCATGCCCGGCTAATTTTTGTATTTTTAGTAGAGATGGGGTTTTGCCATGTTGGCGAGGCTGGTCTCAAACTCCTGAGACGGCCCACCTCGGCCTCCCAAATTGCTGGGATTACAGGCGTGAGCCACCGCGCCGGGCCACAGATTCTTAAACTTTCTTAGAACATTATGAGATTTTTTTTTTTTTAGCTCAACAGCTACCATTAGCATTAGTGTATTTTATGTGTGGCCCAAGACAATTCTTCTAGTGCGGCCCAGGGAAACCAAAAGATTGGATACCCCTGCTGTAAAGGATGCCAAATTTAATTAAACCAGTCCGTGAAGCAATTTATGCCCCAGGTCATGGTTGAAAACAATACAGGAATCATCCAACAATAAGCACAGCTTAATGGCTAGGTGTGGTCAGGAAAGAGACAAAGAGAGCCCTGCCAAACCACCATCATCCTGTGGTGACAGGGTGCATGCCAAGGCTACACTCTCCATGGAGTCACATCAGAAGCTTCATACTGTGGGGGTGAAATAGAGTTCACTAAAATGAACAGACAAACAGACAAACAAATAACAATAACAAGCCTGGAAGATAGGTCAGTACCCAGAGTTGATACAATATATTATCTAACACATCCAGTTTCCAACAAAAAAATCATGAGACATGCAAAGAAACAGGAAACTCTGACCCAAACACAGGGGAAAAAACATGCAACAGAAACTGCCTGTGATAGCAACTAGAGTTGAAGATTTAAGACTTCAAAGCAGCCATTATAAATATGCTCAAGGAACTAAAGGAAATCATGCTTAAAAGGAGTAAAAGAAGAGCCAGGAGTAGTGGAATGTACATGTAGTCCCTGCAACTCGAGAGGCTGAGATGAAAAGATCTCTTGAGCCCAAGATTTGGAGGCTGCAGTCAGCTATAATTGCACCACTGCACTCCAGCCTGGGTGACAGAGCAAGACCTTGACTCTTAGAAAAAAAAAAAAATAGAAGAAATTATGATGCATTTCAGAAGGCTGAGGTGGGAGGATTGCTTGAGGCCAGGAGTTTGAGACCAGCCTGGGCAATATAGTGAGACCCCATCTCTACAAAAATTTTTTTTTAATTAGCCAAGCATGATGGTGTGCACCTTTAGTCCCAGTTGCTTGGGAGGCTGAGGCAGGAGCATTGCTCAAGCCCAGGAGTTTGAGATTGCAGTGAGCTGTGATTTGTATCATTGCACTCCAGCCTGGGTAACAGAGCAAGACTCTGCCTATAAAAAATAAAAATAAAAAAAGAAGGAAGAATTCTTCCTGAAATAAGAGAATATAAATAAACACATGAAAGGAAAACCAAATAAGAATATGTAGCAGAAAAGTACAATAACTAAAATAGATAATTCACAAGAGGCGCTCAACAGTAAATGTGAAGTAGGATAAAAAAGAATTAGCAAACTGAAAAATAGGTCAATAGATATTATACAACGTAAAAAAAAGAGAGAAAAAGGAATGAAGAAAAATGAACAGAGCCTAAGAGACCCATTGGAAGCTATTGAGCATGCCAACATCTACATGAGAATCCCAGAAGGAGAAGAGACAGAGAAATGGGACAGAAAAAAATATTTGAAGAGATGATTGCCAAACCCTTCCCAAATTTTATAAAAGACATGAATTTATACATCCAAGAAGCTCAAAAAGCTGGAGGTGGAGCAAGATGGCAGAAAAAGCCTACATCATTCATCCTCCCTGCTGGAACACCAAATTTTAACAACTATCTGTACTCAGAAAAGCACCATTACATGAACCAAAAATCAGGTGAGCAATCACAATACCTGGTTTTAACTTCATATTGTGAAAAGAGGCATCGAGAAGGGCAGGAGAGACGGTCTTGAATCACTGATACCATCCTTCCCCATCCCCCAGCAGCAGCTATACAGGATGGAAAGAGAATGTGTGCACTTTGGGGAGGGAGAGCACAGTGACTGGGGGACTGTACACTGAACTCGGTACTGCCCTGTCACAGCTGAAAATAAAGCCGTGCTGGGCTCAGCCAGTGCCCGCACATGGAGGGAGCATTTGGACCAACCGTAGCCAGAGGGAAATTGCTCATCCTAGTGGTCTGAACTTGAATTTCTCAGCAAGCCTCGCCACTGGTGGCCGAGGTGCTCTGGGATCATAGGTAAACTTGAAAGGCAGTCTAGGACACAAAGACTGAAATTCCTAGGCAACTCCTAGTGCTAGGCTAGGCTCAGAGGCAGTAAACTCGGGTGGCACGTGACCTAGGGAGACACCAGCTGGCATGGTTTAAGGAGGACTTGTAATATTCCTTCTCCAACTCCAGGCAGTGCAGCTCATGGCAACAAAAGTGACTCCTTTCTACTTAAGGAGAGGAGAGCAAGGAGTAAAGAGCACTTTGTCTTGTATCTTGGATACCAGCTCAGCCACAGTAGGACAGGGCATAAGGCAGAGCCGTAAGGCCCCCCTTCTAGGCCCTAGCTCCCAGCTGACATTTCTAGGCAAATCCTGGGCCAGAAGGGAACTCACTGTCTTGAAGGGAAGGCCCCAGTCCTAGCGGGATTGATCGTCTGCTGACTAAAGGGCCCCTGGGCCCAAATAACCACCAGCAATACCCAGGGAGTATGCTGTGGGCCTTGTGCTCTAATATGTGCTAACTTCAGGGAAGACCCAGCACATTCCAAGTTGTAGTGGCTATGGTGCAAGACTCATTCTGTTTGAGAAAAGCAGAGGGAAAAGTAAAGGGGACTTCATCTTGCACCCTAGGTACCAGCTTGAACACAGTGGGGGAGAGCAACAAGCAGGCTCTTGGGGTCCCTGAGTCTAGGCCTAGGGCCTTGGACAGGATTTCTGGATCTGCTCTGGGCCAGAGGGGAGCCCACTGCCCTGAAGGGTGAGTCCCAGGCCTGGAAGCATTCACCACAAGCTAACAGAAGAGCCTTTGGGCTTCAAGCAAACATTGGCAGTGGCCTGGCAGAATCCCCTGTGGACATGTGGACCAGTAGTGGTGGTGGCCACAGGGAGAGGTTCCTCTGCCTGTGGAAAGGGGAGGGAAGAGCAGGAAAGACTTTCTATGATTTGATTGCTTAGCTGCAATATAATAGAACATCAAGTAAATAATTATGTTTTTTTACTCTAACCCTTGGCTCCCGACAGCATCTGTGGACATGCTCAAGGCCTGGTAGAACTCACCACCTGGAAGGTTAGGACCTTGGGCAAGGCCCAGTGCTATACTGGCTTCAGGTATGACCCAACTCAGTCCCAATAGTGGTGGCCACAGGAGTGCTTGCATCACCATACCCCTAGTTTCAGGTGGCTCAGCACACAAAGAGAGACTGTATGTCTGGGAAAAAGAAGGGAAAATAACAAGAATCTCTTCCTGGTAGTCCAGATAATTCTTCTGGATCTTATCTAAGACCACAAAGCAGTACCTCTACAAGTCTGCAAAAATCACAGTGTTATGGGGCTTGGGGTCCAAGTCCCTTCGAATACCTGGAAACCCTTCCCAAGAACAATAGGCACAAACAAGTCCAGACTGTGAAGACCTCAATAAATACCTAACTTTTCAAGGCCCAGACACTGAAGAGCATCTACAAGCATCACCAGCATTCAGGAGAACATGACCTCACCAAATGAAATAAATAAGACACCATGGACCAATCCTGGAGAAACAGAGATATATGACCTTTCAGACAGAAAGTTCAAAATAGCTGTTTTAAGGAAACTCAAAGAAATTCAAGATAACACAGAAAAGGAATTCAGAATTCTGTCAGATAAATTTAAGAGAGTTTGCAATAATTAAAAAGAATCAAGTAGAAATTCTAGAGTTGGAAAATAGAACTGACATGCTAAAATATGCATCAGAGTCTCTAGATAGCAGAACTGATTAAGCAAAAGAAAGAATTAAAGTGAGCTTGAAGACAGGCTATTCAAAAATACACAGTCAGAGGAGACAAAAGAAAACATAATAAAAAACAACAAAGCACACCTATAAGATCTAGAAAATAGCCTCAAAAGGGCAAATCTAAGAGTATTTGGCCTTAAAGAGGAGGTAGAGAAAGAAATAGGAGTAGAAAGTTTCTTCAAAGGGATAGTATCAGGCCAGATGCGGTGGCTCACACCTGTAATCCCAGCACTTCGGGAGGCCAAGGTGGGTGGATCATTTGAGATCAGGAGCTCGAGACCAGCCTGGCCAACAGGGTGAAACCCCATCTCTACTATAAATATAAAAATTAGCCAGGCATAGTGGCTCACGCCCGCTATCCCAGCTACTTGGGAGGCTGAGGCAGGAGAATCGCTTCAACCCAGGAGGTGGAGGTTGCAGTGAGCTGAGATCACACCACTGTATTCCAACCTGGGGGACAGAGTGAGACTCCGTCTCAAAAAAACAAACAAACAAACAAAAAAACCAAATGGATAGTATCAGAGAACTTCCCAAACCTAGAGAAAACTATCAACATTCAAGTACAATAAAGTTATAGAACACCAAGCAGATTTAATCCAAAGAAGACTACCCCAAGACATTTCATAATTAAACTCTAAAAGGTCAAGGATAAAGAAAGTATCCTAAAAGCAGCAAGAGAAGAGAAACAAATAACATCCAATGGACCTCCAATACCTTCAGTAGCAGGCTTTTCAGCAGAAATCCTATAGGCCAGGAGAGAGTGGCATGACATATTTAAAATGCTGAAAAAAATTAAAAAAGTTTTACCCTAGAATAGTATATGTCTGGCAAAAATATCTTTCAAACATGAAGGAGAAACAAAGATCTTCCCAAAGAAAAGCTAAGGAATTTCATCAATACCAGACTGTTTACAAGAAATGCTAAAGGGAGTTATTCAATCTGAAAGAAAAGGATGTTAATGAGCAAGAAGAAATTATCCGAAGGTCCAAAATTCATGGGTAATAGTAAGCACACAGAGAAACACAGAATAGCATAACACTGGCATTGTGGTGTGTGAACTTCTCTTGACTTAAATAAAAAGACTAAATTATGAACCAATCAAAAATAATAACTACAACTTTTTAAGACAGTACAATAACACTAAAGAGAAAAAACAAAAAGTTAAAAAGCAGGGGGGATTAAATCTAGAGTTTTTATTAGTTTCCATTTTGCAAGTTTGTTTGTTTATGCAATCAGTGTTACTATTATGCATTGCATGGCTCTACCAAAATATCTCACGTACCCCATAAATATATACACCTACTATGTACCCACAAAAATTTTTTAAATAAAAAATTTAAAAATTTTTTAAAAAGAAGCTCAACAAGTTTCAAGTAGGATAAACCCAAAGAGATCCACAGCGAGACACATTATCAAACTGTTGAAAGAATATGACAAGAAGAGAATCTTGAAAGAAGCAAGAGAGAGGTGATTCCTAAGGTTCAAGGGATCCCCAGTATATTAACAGCAGAACTCTCATCAGAAATAACGGAGGCCAGAAGACAGTAGATCAACGTATTCAAAGTGTTCAAAGAAAACAACTGTAAAGCAAGAATCTTATAGCTAGTAGAGTTTAACAAAAACAGAGAATTCATTGCTAGCAAATCTACCTTATAAGAATACTTATGAAGTTCTTTAGGCTGAAAGCACATGACCCTAGAGAGTAATATGAATACACACACACACACACACACACACACACACACCACCACCACCACCATCACCACCAGTAAAGGTAATTATGTAATTATAAAAGACATTATAAATGCATATTTCTTTTCCCTTCTTCTCAACAGATTCAAAAAGAGAGTATGTAAAACAATATGAATATGAATATAATTATACAGTTTGGCCTATAACATATAGAAATAAGATATATTGACCAATAACAACACAAAGAAGGTGGGTGAGGCCAGGCGTGGTGGCTCACGCCTGTAATCCTAGCACTTCGGGAGGCCAAGGCGGGTGGATCACGAGGTCAGGCGATCGAGACTATTCTGGCTAACACAGTGAAACCCTGTCTCTACTAAAAACACAAAAAATTATCTGGGAGGCTGAGGCAGGAGAATCGCTTGAACCCAGGAGGCGGAGGTTGCAGTGAGTCGGGATCACGCCACCGCACTCCAGCCTGGGTGGCAGAGCGAGACTCCGTCTCAAAAAAAAAAAAAAAAAAAAAAGGGAGGTGAGTAAGAGCAAAGCTTCATTGGGCTTAGGAAATAATCCAAAGGAATAAATTAAGAGAACTATAAATGGGGGAAAAGAAGGCTAATATAACAAAAGCCATAAATAATAGTTCTTTTTTTAAAAGACATCATGTTATAACTAATAATTGTAACAGTGTTTTGAGAGTTTATAACATATATGTAAACATAAACATAATGTTATATTAGAAAATAATGCCACAAAAGTTGGGAAGAGGGAATTGAATTATAGGGGTAGAATTTATATATTTCATTGGAATTAATTTAGTATAAACTTGAAGTATAGTCTGTTAAGATGTATGAGGAAAACCCTATAGTAACCACTAAGGAAATAACTCAAAGTATGTAGTGAAAAAGTCATTAAATAAATCAAAATGTTACACTGGAAAATATGCAATGCAAAAGAAAGCAGTAAAGGAGCAACAGAGGAACAAAAAAGGCATTTAGAAACATTTGGAAAACAAAAAGCAAAATGATAAGTCCAACTTTATCAATAATAACATTAAATGTAGATGGATGAAACAATCCAATTTAAAAAACAAACAAACAGGGATTGTCAGAATGGACAAAAAACCCTGATTCATGGTGCTGGACACAGGGGCTTATGCCTGTAATCCTAGCACTCTGGAAGGCTAAGGTGGGAGGCTTCCTTGACACCTAGAGTTTGAGACCGGCAACACTGGCAACACAGTGTCACCCCATCTCTACAAAAACGTTTAAAAATTATCCAGGTGTGGTGGCTTGTGCCTGTGCTCCCAGCTACTCAGTAGATTGAGGGAAGAGGATCACTTGAACCCAGGAGGTCAAGGCTGCAGTGTGCCATGATTGTGCCACCGCACTCCAGCCTGGGTGACAAAGTGAGATCCTATCTCAAAAGAAAGAAAGAAAGAAAATGAAGGTACACCAAACTTATGGGACGCAGTGAAAGCAAAGCTCAAACAGAAATTTATAGCAGCAAATGTTCACATTCTGAAGAAAGATCTCAAAATCATCACCCTAATCTTTGACCTTAAACGAGGAAAAGAAGAGCAAAGTCAACTTAAAGTAAGAAGAAAGAAGGAAATCATGATGAGAGTGGAATTTAGTGAAATACAGAATATAAAAATAATAGAAAATCAATAAAACCAAAAGTTGGTTCTTGGAAAAGATCAATGAAATTGATAAACCTTTAGTAAGATTGACCAAAAAAAGTGACATCTCAAGTTACTAGAATTAGAAATGAAATAGGAGATGTTATCACCAACTTTATTGAAATAAAAAAGATTATAAAAGAGTATCACAAACAACTGTATGCTAATAAATTAATCAGATGAAATAGATAAATATCTGGAAAAACACAAACTACCAAAACTGATTCAACAAGAAATAGAAAATCTGAACAGACCTATAAAAAGTAAAGAGTAATCAGAATTGCCCACTAGACAAACATCAGATCCAGATAGCTTCACAGGTAATTTACCAAAATTTAAATAATAGTTAATACCAATTCTTCATAACCACTTCAAAAAAAAAGAAGTGTTTCTATAAGGCTACCATTATCCTGATACCAAAATCAGACAGACAGTAGAAGGAAAGAAGAAAACTGCAGACTAATATCTCTTATAAATATAGACACAAAAGTCTTCAAGAAAATACTAGCAAACTGTCTTAGTCCATTTGTGCTGCTATAAACAAAATACTTGAGACTGGGTAATTTATAAAGAACAGGAATTTATTTCTCACATTCTGGAAGCTAGAAGTCCAAAATAAAGGTCCCTGCAGGTTAGGTGTCTGGGGAGGGCCTGGTCTCTCTGCTTCCAAAATGGTGCCTCGTTGCTGCATCCTCCAAAGGAGGGCAACGTTGTGTCCTCACATGGAGGGAGGGCCAAAGGACAAAAAGGGGCCTTAACTCATTCCCTCCAGCCCTTTCATAAGGCACTGATCTATTCATGAGGGCTCCATCCTCATGATCAATTTCCAAAACGTCCCGCCACTTAATACCACCACAATAGAGATTAAATTTCAAAATGAAATTTGAAGCATGTAGCTGGGACCACAGGCATGCACCACCACAAATGACTGCTTTAAAAAAAAAATTGTAGAGACAGGGTCTCACTTTGTTGGCCAGACTAGACTCAAGAGATCCTCCAGCCTTGGCCTCCCAAAGTGCTGGGATTGCAGGCATGAGTCACCACAACTGGCCCAAATTATAGACTTAAAAATAGTCAAAATGGTGAATTTTATGTTATTTAAATTTTACAATTAAAAAAAGGGATAATGGCAGATAGCAATAGCACTGTGCACTAACAACATGCCGTCACGACAAAAGAAACCCACATGCGCCATGTGACTGAGGAACTAGACTACAGGGCTATGAGCTAAAACATCAGAATACTGAAAGTTTAAGAAGGAGCTTACAGGAAGAGCTTCTTTTTCCAATACAAAGAAAATTACTTGAAAAAGAGGAAAAGAAAGAAACTTACTTCTTACACATACAAATAAATCTAAAAGGAAGAGAAAATGAAATGTTCTTTCACAGAAAGAGTGAATTCCCTCCCGACCAGAAGAAAGGGCATCCTCCCCCTTACCTCTTCCTGGGCTGATGGCTGTCAGGAGGGGTTTATGGTCACTCATTTTCTCCTGCCTCTGCTTTTGAGAGGCTAGTTCCTGTTCCTTTTTTGCTAGCAGCTTGCCAGATGGGTAGAAGAGGCCAACAGTCTGTGTTCCTATGTCCCTCTTAGTCCCAACATCAGATCTGGGCAAAGGAATATTCAGGGACTGCCAGGCACATCGGGGCCATGCGTGAGGCAGAAGACATTTTTAAAATTAGAATATAATTTAATCAATCTTGCATTTTACTTATAGAAAACAACTCTAATCAGAATAAAAAGTATCTCAAGAAAAGTGTACTTGGAACTAATAGGGTTTTCCAGCCTTTGCCTCATCTTCCTTGCTCCTGTCTTTCTCAGCAACTTCCAGCCTGATCCAGGATTAGCCATTTATTATCTAAAAGTCAGCAAATCAAGGGGTGTTTGCCGGCCTGCTTGATGCCTGGAAGATATCTATCCTTTTCAGCTCTGTAATCCAATAGAGCATAGACTTCACTACTAATCCACACTCAGCCACTGGTCACCAACATTTTCTCTAACATACTTTCCTGCATCTAAACCTGGGGACCTGAGAGGACTACCATGAAAGGTTGTGCGTTGCACAACGTCACTGCATTCAAAGTAGTACCATTCATATGGTGAACATCATATATTTGCATATGTATTAGGGTAATTTTTCTAGTAGAGAAACCAGTATATTACAAGCAATTTCCAATAGATGGCAGTCAAGTGTCTTGAGAAAAGAACACCTTTGTTTCATTTGCACAAAGGAATAAGGGCTAGTGGCAGTTTAGGATTTAAATCTTTCAAACTGGGTTAAGAAAGCCATGAACGGCTGGGCATGGTGGCTCATGCCTGTAATCTCAGCACTTTGGGAGGCCACGGTGGGTGGATCACGAGGTAAGGAGTTCGAGATCAGCCCGACCAACATGGTGAAACCCCATCTCTACTAAAAATACAAAAATTAGCCGGGCATGGTGGCACGGGCCTGTAATCCTAGCTACTCAGGAGACTGAGGCAGAAGAATTGCTTGAACCTGGGAGGCAGAGGTTGCAGTGAGCCAAAATTGCACCATTGCACTCCAGCCTGAGCAACACAGCGAGACTCTGTCTCAAAAAAAAAAGGTCATGAACTCCCTAAAACTGCATACAAAGTGCTGAGTGTATCCTCTAATAATGATCAATCTTTAACTTCTTATAATAAAGAGATAAGAAGAAACATGGAAAGTCTTTATCCAGCTTAGAGAAATGTATAAAATTATAAAAATCTAACACAAAGCCAGTTGTTAGAGCTTAAGTACTTCTGAAAATAACCTGGTGAGATTTGTCCTCAAACTATGCCCAGCTGTTATAAATTACAAAAGCAATCTTATATACCCTAAGCTTTCTAAAATATAAAAAAGGGGAAGGAAAAGTTCTCAGAATGCTACATAAGAAATTCAAGAGAAGTGCATTCTGTCTCATGTATTTTAAAGCCACTAAAGTGGCATTATGTCTACGGCCTTGCAAATGCAATTAAAATCTAAATTGACTGCATTTATTTACACACCTAGTTGAAATTCCATGTGAAAGTTCTAAAAGTTTTGGGTCTCTTCCCCGGGTTGATTCACAGGGTGGAGCACACACATTCAGAGTTACAGCCTCTTCCTGGGTACCAGTTCTTACTACAGGGGAGGCCTCACCTCAGAAAAAGGGCGAGGTTCCTCAGCAGCTAGAGCCAGGCTTCTGTCCAAGCTAAGTTTCACTAGGGACTTCACACAAATACCACAGGAGCCACAGAATCGGGCAGACAGGTGATTGCTGGCCCCACATTTAGGGCAAACAGAACAGCCAGCAGGAATGCCGAGCTAGAGGATAGAAAATATCTTGATGAATATTAGAGTTATAATTTCCTCATGTAAATTATTCTCATACCATACAAATTAACATATGCCCAGACTCTCTGACCCAGCCATTCTACCTTCCAGAATTTATCCTACAGATGGACAAGTACAGAAAGAAGTGTACTCCAGGTCAACCCCTAAAACACTGTGGTTTTAAAAGAAATCACTGAAAACAACACACATGTCCAGCAATAGGGATGGTCTAAATATAACACAGTACATACATACAAACAATGGATTATGAAGTCACTGAAAAGAATGAGGAGGTTACTAACAAGACACCTTGCTAGGTGAAAATAATTGGGTCAGTGTTCATAGCACCAGTTTACTTATACATGCATTGAATAGCTGAAAGAACATCTCAAGAACTGGATCTGAGCAATTGCTTCTGAGAGGAGAACTGTGGGACTTAGAGAGAGAGGAGACTAACCCTTCACTCTAAAACTTTTTTGTTATTTGCATGCGATACTTAAATAAATACATAGTCTTGAGTGTTTTATTATAAAGGCAGGCAGACATAATTCATTTTAAAAAATGCCAGTAGTCAATAAACGAGTGAAAAGGTTTAACCTCAAAGAAATGCAAGTCAAAACAGTCATCAGAGATGGCTCTCAGTGTAAGATAATTAATTATCTCTATCTCCAGATTCTTAGGTTATAGGTACCAGTAGCGAAATCACAAGAAGTGATTTCTGCAAGGCCATGGAAGAAGTGCCTGGCTCTCTCCAGGCCAGTGGTGAGGTGCTCAGTATACAGAATCTCAGTTTTAAAATACCCACCATGGCTCCACACCAGCCGCAGAAGGACGCCTCCCAGAGATTCCAGCGACCACATCTGTAGCAGGAAATGGTCCCCCCTTTCTGAGTGGGCGGAGGAGGGGCTTTATCCCCACTGCACATCGACTGGTGAATGAAATGGCATTTAAAGGCAGGATCAGTACTATATTCTCTAATCCCCCTCCCAATTCAAAAAAGATAAAAAATTCCCAGACAAGATGAGCCCCGGAAATAGTGTTTTTTTTGTTTTGTTTTGTTTTGTTTTTTTCCCAAAGGAGTACAGCTATGATGAGTTTCACCAATTAATAAATTAGTACATAGAGCTCACATTCCTTCATGGAGATAACAGAAAGTCAATGAAACTGGTACCTTGCACATCTTAATATTTTTCAATATCTTTAATATCAGGGATAGCAAGCCCTACTGTTGATTTAACAGAACAATATTAATGAAGGAAGAAGAGAGCTAAGCTACCTGAGCGGTCATGATTGAGGCTTATCTTCTATCCTTTGGAGTTTTGGTTTCCATAGAAAAATGTGACTTCATTTCCCATTCTTGACACATGAGAACAATTATTTTATATTGGGGACAGAGGCAGAATTGTTTTGTGAGAATTCCTGGGACTATGTTAGGTAAACCTATATTTGAATCTGTTGCTTCCTCACTATTGCCTGGTAGGAGACTTGCTCACTTCCCAAATGGGAGTGACAGCACAGTGGCTGCTACCTGACCACCCACCATGTGCAGGCTCCATTCCCACACTGCCCTGCACCCTCACGTCAGTCCCACTGTAGACCTGGGAGGTGGGTGCTGTCATTGTCCCCATCTTACAGAGGGAGAGCTTGGGGACACAGAGAGGGTGAGATGCACGATTAGAGCCATCTGACTCTAAAGCCTGGCTTCTCTCCCTGACTCCATACAGCCCCTTCAATACAATAGCTTACTCCCAGGTCTGTAGGGAGTTTCAGACGATTACCCACAGTTAAGTGGATAGGAATGCTTAGCACAGGGCCAAGCTCCACCGGCCAGCTTCCTTCCGGTCCCACCTTCCTTTCCACTAGACCCTGATTTCTTCAGGAGAAAGGACTATAATTTCACTTTTATTCCCCGCACTAGGACAGTCCTGGTACCTTGGCACATGGGAGTCATTCAAAAGGTTTTACTGAGTCAATGAATGACTGATTCAATTGGTAACTGAATGTGTATTACCACATATGCCAGGCACAATACTAAGAACACGCACACCAGGGAAAACATTTGCTAAGGGCACTTTTCCCTAAAGACACACATTTTAGTTCACTCTATCTGCCCAGCTCTATCCCGTTTTGCTTCAGGGACCGCTCTGTTATCTAGAATAGAAACCTACTCAAGAGAGGCCACATCAGCCCCCAGCATTCATAGACACCCGAGAACAGAGGGCCTCTTTGTGTGCGCTTGCCTTCATTTCTGTGCAATTAGAGGGAAACTCCTTCAGGTAAATCAAAGAGAAATTCTCTGCAAACTTTTGCTTCAGAACTTACATTTCAATTATCCTATTCTTAAAACAGGATTTTGGCATAAAGGTTGCTGACCTTGGTTTCTAAATACAAAGCCTTCAGACTTTTCATTGAAATGTACTGACTGTTCAAGTGGCTTTTAAACATAACATTGCTTTAAAGAAAGAAAAGTTATCTTTCTGGTAGTCTTACTGATCAAAAAAACAAAAAAAAACAAAAAAAAAAAAGAAGAGAAAGAAAAGTTATCTTACCCCATCATATTAATGCTGCTAAACAAAGAAAAGACATAAAGCTATCAGAATGAACATGCATTGTTACTTCTATGGACTACAGAGATAAGTATTATCCTGTGGCATCTAAGCTCTGATATACCATTCAGATAGAAATACAATTTTTAGAACAAATTCAATTTTGGGATTGTTCTGAAAATAGTTTTGTTGATAGATGAGACCCAGAAACAGTTACATCACTGACAGTTAACAAAATCAATTTAAATGGTTTTATTATTTACATAAGAAGTCCTGAATGCCTGAGGAAAGGATGTCTGAGAAAATCTTTTGCTGGCAATTTACTGAAATCTATCTGTAAGAATATTTCAAGAATTCCAGAAGTTCCACTGTTTTCTATTTTTATGCTTTCCCAATCTCACTATTACTCTCTCTGGTGCCTTGGAAAAAATTATAGAGTGTCATTTTATGATGAGAGAGTGATATCAAGTCTAAAACCACATTAATAGACAACTCTCAACAAAAGAGAACCCTAAAATTACATCAGCTTTGATGTGGAAATAGATGTGTTTTCTGATGAAATTCAACACCTCATTAGTTTGTTTTTAGTCTCAGTTCTGAAAAAGAAACACATCGTATGTAACAGAAATCATCTTTTTTTAAAAAAAACTACAGATTTTTCCTTCTGGTAATGATAGCATAAGACCATAATAAATGACTCCCACACAAAAAACAACTATAAAATCTGCTGATAATAGGCCGGGTGTGGTGGCTCACACCTGTAATCCCAGCACTTTAGGAGGCTGAGGCGAGTGTATCACTAGAGGTCAGGAGTTCGAGACCAGCCTGGCCAACACGGTGAAACACCATGTCTACTAAAAATACAAACATTAGCCGGGCGTGGTGGCACATGCTTGTAATCCCAGCTACTTGGGAAGCTGAGGCAGGAGAATCACTTGAACCCAGGAGGCAGAGGTTGCAGTGAGCCAAGATCATGCCACTGTACTCCAGCCTGGGCGACAGAGCATGACTCTGTCTCAAAAAAAAAAATCTGCTGATAATACATGAAGGCAGTAGAGAATGAACAGAAGCAGGTAGAGTTGCAGCAAGTACATACAAGCAGGAGGGGAGTTATACAAAGTCAGTTCCCATCGTCACAGTTTTCAGCCTGGAGCTAAGGGTAGTCTACATAGCGCATGTGAAGCGGTGGGCACAAGGCAGTATTTCTGGCCAAGAGAACCAGAAAACTGAAGCTGGGGAATATTTGGCTGCTGAAGAGGCAGGGAGCTCCCAGAAAGAAACAAGAAAGAGAGAAGATCTTCTCTGTGTATTCAGATCTTTTACCAATCCTTGAACAACATATGTACAGAATAGGCTTGAAGCAGTTCAGCTAAAGATAAAATATCTGAATGGAGACCAAACTTTCTGTCCCTCCTCCCCTCAAATTTTTTTCTTGGTATTCAGTATGTTGAGGAATTTTAAATTGTACCCTAGCATTATGAATGTTCAGCTGTGGTACTTTCTAGATTCTGTTACTCTGGGGATTTTGTTGTTTGTTTGCTTTGTTTTAGTAGGCAATGATATATATGCTTGCTTTTGGGGAATGTGCTGCCTGGAACAAACTATAACTAGTGCTTCACACACAAAATTGATCCTAAGATGAATCAGATGTTGAAAGAAGCAAACCAGAAATTTAAAGCATATTCTGTCCACAATGAATAAAAAGAGGAAATCTCAGCAAAGAAATAGAAACAATAAAAACAGAAACAAGTGAGAATTCTGGAATAGAAAAAGATAATATTTAAAATAAAATATTTACTAGACGGACTGAATAGCTAAAGGAGATGGTAAAGGAAAGTGTAAGTGAACTGGAGGATAGATCAACAGAAATCATACAATGTGAAGAGAAAAAAAGATTTTTAAAAAATGAACAGGACTGGCGCGGTGGCTCATGCCTGTAATCTCAGCACTTTGGGAGGCCGAGACAGGTGGATCGCTTGAGGTCAGGAGTATGAAACCAGCCTGGCCAACATGGTAAATCCTCGTTTCTACTGAAAATACAAAAATTAGCCAGGCTTGGTGGTGCACACCTGTAATTCCAGCTACTCGGGAGGGTGAGGCAGGAGAATCGCTTGAACCTGGGAGGCGGAGGTTGCAGTGAGCTGAGATTGCGCCACTGCACTCCAGCCTGGATGACAGAGCGAGACTCCATCTCAAAAAAAAAAAAAAAAATGAACAGAACCTCAGGGACTTATTAGATAATATCAAACAATTCAACAGGTGTGTACATGGACTTCCAGACGGAGAGTAGAAAATGAGTGGAGTAGAAAAATAAAGAAATCATGGCCGAACAATTCCTAAATCTGATGAAAGACAGAAATTTACAGCGACAAGATTCTAAATGAACACCAACCAGAATTACTTCACACTAAAGCACATTATAGCCAAACTGCTGAAAACCAACAATAAAGAGCAAATCTTAAAAGCAGCAAGAGAAAAATGACACATCCCGTACATGAAAATGTCAATTTGATTTACATTTGACTTTTGAGCAGAAAGCATGGAGGCCAAAAGAGTGTGGAACAGCTTTAAAGTTCAGAAAGAAAATAACTGTCAGCCCAGAATTACATATTCATCAAAAATACTCTTTGAGAATGAAGTTGAAATAAAGACATTTTCAGGTAAAAGAGAACCAAGAGAAATCACTGCCAGCAGACCTGCACTCTAAGAAGTGATAAAGGGAGTTCCTCTGTGTGAAGGGATATGATACCAGACAGAAACTCAGGTCCACAGAGAAGAGTAAAGAACATCAGAAATAGTAAAAATAAATATTGGTGTAAATACAAAAAAAAAAACAAACAGCTTTATCTTTTTGGTTTTTTCCTCTTAATTCCCTTACAAGCCCTTATAATTGTTTAAAGTAGAAATTATAACACCTTTCTAGCCAATTGTACTCTGCAGAAAACATGCAGCTTCTCTGACATGAAGATTTAAAGTCCCTGCCCCAAATAGGACCCCAAACAACTTTTCTGATGCTTATTGACAAGGAAGATGAATGAGATAGCGGGCATTTTGTGCATCCTTCTTCTTATTCGCAAAATTGCTAATAATGGTCAGTGTTTTAAAGTCTCCAAAGCTTTATGCCTCAGATGCTCATCCAAACACTAGGTGGCAAGGAGGTCAACATCCATGTCAAACGTATAAGCTTGCACCCATAGGTGTTTACACAGCATCCAGTTCAAGCTGCTGGCTCCGAAAATGCATGCTGAGTGCATGGAGACCCCACTGCAGGGTGGGTAGGGAGCATCCTTGAAAACGTCATCCTCAGAGTACTGCCACTTGACAAACCTAGCAACGGCATGCATTCCAGACAACTTGTACTTATGGCTTAAGGCGAATGAGCCAGGGACTTCAGCGATCCTTCGGATGATGGCCTAGAGATACTTATCTGGGCTGTCTGTGCCTCGCACCCACTCCATAAACTTTTGGGTTTTTTCATCCTCTAGCACATGCCCCACATACTCCCTACTGACCACAAAATAGGCACTGCCTGAAAAAATGGGTGCTTCCAGCGGAGGATGCCCTTTGACAGTCCCCACATGTGTCAGCTTTCCATTAATATCTGCATACCACTTTTTCCACCTTTCTTCTTTATTGGATGGCATCCTCTTGGCTTTGAGACTGTCTTCACCCATTAACAACTTGAGCTTCCTAACAATTTTAGGTTGGTTTTAATAGGAAAATCCATACTACAAACATGTATTAAGTACTTCCAGTCTGCACTCACTGTGCAGAGGTCCCTCATGCAGTTGAGGTCAGCCAGAACCCGACTCCACAAGGCATAAACCAGACTCTCCAACTGACAGGCCACAAAGATGTTACTGAAATGACCCAATGCCCATCACTGCAGCTAAAAAGGAATCTGCTGATTTTTTTTGTCCACATGAATGCAATAGAAATTCTGAGGCATATAGATGGCTCTCTGGAGCCTGTCAAGCGTTTCAGTTTTATAATGAACCAGTATAGAATATGCTATTGGAAACCTCACCTCTTCCTTCTTAAGGGGTTCTACAATATATCTACATCTCTTGATGAAAGAAGTACATGAAGAAGTACATAACTGGTCATGTTTATAAAGCCGTCAGGTATACACCAAGGGCACTTAGTAAATTTCACTGTTAGCATCTCAAGTTTTACCTTTTGGATTTCATCTACATCCCCCCCGTAAAACTTTGGTGCAATTAATATGACTACTAGGATTCTCTCCAACAAGCTCCACATATGTGACGCTTACAGATTTGGACTTTTGATGAATCCTTAAAACGGAGGTGACTAGGGAAAAAATAAGAACCACAAAGTGGTATTTAGTGGGATAAGAAAAATGTCTCCACAGCAACTGCCTCAGCATTTCAAATGCCAATCAGGGACTTTGCTTGGTTAAGGGCAGTCTTCTAGGCTTTAAGCACCAACTATTTCCCCTCCATTGTGCCTTGAGGGTTGTCAGTTTGCATTTATCAGAAGCTCAAAGGCACCTTGAAATGAAGAATGCCGCATTTAGAATTAAGGAAAGTCCAGATCACTTAGGACTCTGATTCCAGGTGACATCCTGCACTTATTCCAAGTACTTTTCATGCTGTCAGGCATCTTAAATGTACTAGGCATCCAGGAATAATGGTATGTCCCATAGGCTTTTGAAAAAATCTCTCCCTGGGTGGCTTGCAATGCTCAGCTGGATTTGCAGGTGCCTCATCCACCCTGGAGCATCATCTGGCCCCAGAGCACAGCAGTTTGCCCTACCATGCAGCTTCTGCTAGCAGAAGCCATGCAGGACTGCTCCCTTTGCCCATTTTTAATGGCATTATTTGTTTACTTACTATTGAGTTGTTTGAGTTCCTTATATGTACTGGATATTAATCCCTTATCAGATGTATGGTTTGAACATATTTTCTTCCATTCTGTAGGTTGTCTCTTAACTGTGTTCATTGTTTCCTTTGCTGTGCAGAAGCTTTTTAGTTTGATGTAATTCTGTTTGTCTATTTTTTGCTTTTGTTGCCGGTGCTTTGGGGGTCATATCCGAAAAAAATCATTGCCCAGACTAATGTCATAAGCTTTTTCCCTATGTTTTCCAATAGAAGTTTTTCAGTTTAATCCATTTTGTGTTGATTTTAGTATATGGTGTGAGATAAGGATCTAATTTCATGCTTCTGCATGTAAATATCCAGTTTTTCCCAAACCACTTATTGAAGAGACTATCCTTTCCCCATTGTGTGTTCTTGGCACTTTTGTTGAAAATCAATTGATGGTAGATGCATGAATTTATTTCTGGGCTCTCTATTCTTGTCCATTGGTCTACATGCCTGTTTTTATGCTAGTACCATGCTGTTCTGATTACTATATGCTGAATATCTCTAATCTGAAAATCTAAAATCTAAAATGGTCCTAAATCCAAACTGACCTATGTGATGGGTCACAGTTGAAATGCAGTCAAAACTTTGTTTCATGCACTATGTTATTTAAAATATTATATAAAATTACCTTCAGGCCATTTGTATAACGTGTATAAGAAACATAAAGAATTTCATGTTTAGACTTGGGTCCCATCATCAAGATATCTCATTATAAATACATAAATATTCCAAAGTCCAGAAAACCTAA
Organism: Homo sapiens; assembly: GCF_000001405.40. Lineage (NCBI taxonomy): Eukaryota > Metazoa > Chordata > Mammalia > Primates > Hominidae > Homo > Homo sapiens. The sequence goes on from NC_000020.11 coordinate 18,422,702, forward strand.
AATCCAAATACTTCTGGTCCCAACTATTTCAGATAAGTGATACTCAGCCTGTATAGCTTTATAGTAGCTCAGGAAGTGTGATGTCTCTGGCTTTGTTCTTTTTTTTTTTTTTTCTCAAAATTGATTTGGCTATTCAGGGTCTTTTGTGGTTCCATACAAATTTTAAGATTTTTTTCTATTTCTGTGAAAAATGTCAGCAAAATTTTGATAGGGATTGCATTCAATCTGTAGATCTCTCTTTAGGTATTATGGACTTTTTAACAATATTAATTCCTCCAGTCCATGAACATGGGATATCTTTCCATTTATAGTCATGCACGACATAATGATATTTTGGTCAATGATGAACTCCACATATGACAGTGGGCCCCATCATATTTTATAGAAGCCAAAAACCTCTATCACCTTGTGATTTGTATTACAAGTGCCTAGAACACTGAGTAAAGTTTGCAACCTAGGAGCAATAGGCTATACCAGATAGCCTAGGTATGCAGTAGGCTATACCATCTAGGTTTGTGAAAGTACTGTACATGCCATGATGCTAACACAACAATGAAACAACCTAACAATGCATTTCTCAGAATGTTTCCCTGTCATTAAGTGATGCATTACTATATTTGTGTGTTCTTCAATTTCCTTCATCAATGTTTTATAGTTTTTAATGTACAAGTCTTTCACTTCCTATAGTTGGAGCTTTCCAATACCCCGTTTTCATTATTTGCTAGAAAAACTAGACAAAAATAAGCAAAGATATATAATATCTGTGCAACATTCCACATTGATTTAATTGATATTTATAGAATACGCAACAATGACAGAACACACATTCTTTTCAAATGCACCTGATATGTTTTCCAAGTTAGATGCTGGGCCATAAAATAAACCTCATTAATTTAAAATAACTGAAATTATACAGAGTGTGCTCTCTGACCATTAATGGAATTAAATTTGACCTCAATAAGAGTAAGATAAGTAGAGAAAGTGCATATGTTTTGGAATCAAATAAATAAGTCATAGGTCAAAGAAGAAATCACTGATAAATGAGAAAATGTTTTAAACTGAATTATAATGAAAATACATAGGATGCTGCCAAAGAAGTTCTTAGAAATTTATAGTTTGTGTTAGAAAATAAGAAAAATTTGAAATGAATAATTTGAGTTCTCATCTTAAAAATTAGAAAAAGAAAATCAGATTAAACCCAAAGAAAAGAGAATAAATAAAGAGCAAAATAAAAAAAATAGGATTCAAAAAAATAGAGCAAATGAATTAACCAGAAGCTAGTTCTTTGAAAAGATCTAGCTAGATCTTGAAAAGATCAATAAAATTTACAAGCCAGACAGAGAGAGAAGGAATGATAAAGAAAGAACACACATATTACAAATATCAGGCATGAAAGAGGGGAATAGATCCTACATACATTAAAATGGTAAAAAGGGAATATCATGATTAAAATGATTGGTGATACCGGCCGGGCGCGGTGGCTCATGCCTGTAATCCCAGCACTTTGGGAGGCCAAGGCGGGTGGATCACCTGAGGTCAGTTGTTCAAAACCAGCCTGGCCAATATGGTGAAACCCCATCTCTACTAAAAATACAACAAAAAAATTAGTCAAGCATGGTGGCAGGCACCTGTAGTCCCAGCTACTTGGGAGGCTGAGGCAGGAGAATGGCTTGAACCCAGAAGGTGGAGGTTGCAGTGACCCAAGATTGTGCCACTGCACTCCAGCCTGGGCGACAGAGCAAGACTCCGTCTCAATAACAACAACAACAAAAAAAAAAAAAAAGAAAAGAAAAGAAAAAAATGACAGGTGATATCAAGTGTTGGAGATGATGCAGAGAAACTGGAACCTTTATATATTGCTAGTAGAAACACAAGTGATATGCCAGCAATATATGAATGTATACCACTTCTGTTCCTACCAGCAATATATGAAGGTTCCAGTTTCATATAGGGCAGTATCTTATAAAATTAAACATGCGTTTAAATAGGACCCAGCAATCCTACTCCTAGGTATTTACCTAAGAAAAATGAAAACTATGCCCACACAGAGATTTGCATGTAATGCAGCATTATTCATAGTGTGCCGGCACTGGAAACAGCATGAGTACCTGTGGATGAATCAACCAGTAGATCCATACTGAGGAATAGTACTCAACAATCAAAATGAAAAAAAAAATCAATACATGCAACAACATGAACGAACCTCAAAAACATTCTGCTAAGTGAAGGAAATGAAGCACTCACAAAAAACTACATACTTCCATAAAAGACAAAATCATAGTGTCAAAACAGATCTGTATTTTTTGGGTCTGGTGACCAGGGAAGTGGCTCAACTAGAAAGAAGAATGAGAAAACTTTTCAGGGTAAATAGAACTGTTAAATATCTTCATTGTGGTGGTAGTTAAAATGGCTATATATAATTACCAACATTCATCAAACTGTACAATTAAAATAGGTGAATTTTACTGCATATAAATCATATCTCAATAAAGCTGGAAACAAAAGGAGTTCCCTCAAATCAACTACTCTTAGACTGTCCGTGATTAGACGACATTAAAAGGTATCTTGTCAGAGGGCGCAGTGGCTCAAGCCTGTAATCCCAGCACTTTGTGGGGCCGAGTTGGGCGGATCACGAGGTCAGGCGTTTGAGACTAGCCTGGCCAACATGGTGAAACCCCGTTTCTACTAAAAATACAAAAATTAGCCAGGCGTGATGGCATGTGCCTGTAATCCCAGCTACTCAGGAGGCTGAGGCAGGAGAATCGCTTGAACCAGGGAGGCGGAGGTTGCAGTGAGCCGAGACTGCACCACTGCACCCCAGCCTGGGTGACAGAGTGAGACTCCATCTCAAAAAAAAAAAAAAAGGTATCTTGTCCAACTCCACTGCTATAGGTTGAATTCTGTCTGCCCAGAAAAAGATAAGTTGAAGTCCTAACTCTCAGTACCTCAGAATGGGACCTTATTTGGAAAAAGGTCTGTACAGAGGTAATCAAGTTAAAATGTGGTCATTAGGGTGGGCCCTAATCCAGTGTGACTGGTGTCCTTATGAAAAAGGGAAATCTGGACACAGTGGCATACACACACAGGCAGACACAGAGGGAGAGCTCCACGGGATGGCAAAGGCAGAGACTGGAGTGCTGCATCTAGAAGCCAAGGGAAGTTTGAGGCTACCAGAAGCTGGGAGAGAAGATGAAACTGTTCATTCCCTAGCACCTTCAGAGGGAGTGTGGCCCTGCCAACACCTTGATTTTAGACTTCTAGTCTCCAGAGCTGTAAGACAATAGATTTCTGTCGTTGTTAGCCACCTAGTTGATGGTGCTTAGGAAACTAGTACACACCCATTTGATACCGGTAGACCAGGGGTCCCCAACCCCCGGGCCATGGACTGTACTTATCTGTGGCTTGTTAGGAACCAGGCCACACAGCAGGAGGTGAGTGCTCCGCCTCCTATCAGATCAGCGGCAGCATTCGATTCTCATAGGAGTGCAAACCCTATTGTGAACTGTGCATGCGAGGGATCTAGGTTGCGCGTTCCTTATAAGAATCTAACTCATGACTGATGATCTGAGGAGGAGCAGTTTCATCCTGAATCCATCCCCCAACCAGGTCCGTGGAAAAATTGTCTTCTACAAAACTGGTCCCTGGTGCCAAAAAGGTTGGGGACCGCTGCTGTAGACCATAATAACCACATTGTCCAGTTTCATGAGGAATCTGTCCGAGATGAGAACAAACCTCACAAACAATCGGAAACATGCACAGCAACCCAAAAGAAGCAAGTTGGCTAGTAAGTGCCAGCTTCTTCCGGTACAAAGCAAGAGTCACCTGGAAGTAATTTTAATTTTCATCAGAAACGTTTTATAAACATAAAATAGATCATCACCGTATTTAAAGTGCATATACTCGTATTTCTTCCCTTCAACATTCAAAATAGGCTGGCAGGAAACCCAAGAAATAGGTGGCTACAATGTTCTCAATTTCAAAAAGCAGTGTGCATACAGAGTCAACGAAGACAATGGACTATGGGGTGTGGGAAGGTGGAGGGGATGACAAAGACATACCTGTCTGTAAATGAAATGTGAATGAGTTCACTTCCCCACAGGCTAATGCCAGCCTCCCATGCAAAGTTATTAAACAAAATCATAAGAAATTATTGATTTTACTGAATCCTCTTGAAGTTAAGACTTTGAAAACAATTTGTATTGATATAAAGTTCTCCCCACATATGGAAATCTTGCTTTCAGTTTACCATGAGAAGCTTTTTTTGGTCTCTCTCCCCAACCCCCTCGGCAGATTCTGTTTCTCTATTATCATTAACATTGACATAGTAGCCACTAAATATAGGATTGGCACATGCAATCAACCTACCTCTTGTGATGAAGGCAGGGCCCCCTCACAGGTGACACAGTATCTCAGGTGAGCAGGATTTCCTGTACCACAGGCCCGGCAAATTACCTTCTCCTTAACAACAAAAAATAAGACATACATGTTCCTCTGAGCAAACAACTGTGCAAAGAAATCATCAACCAGTCTTTTCTGTCAGTCATTCAGCTACAGGCCCTATTACTGCACCCAGGCCCTGAATACTGGATTGGTTTAGGAGTTACTGTAAATAGTGTCAGACAAATATCTGTAGGTTTTTTTGGGTTTTTTTTTTTCCATTTGTTTTTGTAGAGATGGGATCCGACTGTGTTGCCCAGTCTGGTGTCCAGCTCCTGGCCTCAAGTGATCCTCCCACTTCAGCCCCCTAAAGTGCTGGAATTATAGGTGTGAGCCACCATGCCCAGCCTGAATGTAGTTTTAAAAGAAACAAAACCACAAACAAACAAACAAACACACTGAAAAAAGTATTCGTTTGGTTTTCAAAAGGTAAGTTGGAAATTCTGCACTGGTTATGTGTAAGGTTGGGTGTGTGTGTGTGTGTGTGTGTGTGTGTGTGTTTCTCCAGTGTGAAAACCGTGACACTGAGTAGACGTTCCATTTCATGGCTTAAACAGTAAACAGAAAGACCCTAGACCAGCAAGGGATTATCTGTGTGTTTACAAGTAATCTGGTTCTTGGACTTGGGTTTACCCTCTGGGGCTTCATGTTAAATATGAATTTAGGTTTGCTCTGTAGTTTTTACTTAGAAATAGAAGAAGTGAAAAGACTGCCAAAGAAAGAGAGTAGTGGCTGGGTGCAGTGGCTCATGCCTGTAATCCCAGCACTTTGGGAGGCTGAGGCAGGCGGATCACAAGGTCAGGAGATTGAGACCATCCTGGCTAACACGGTGAAACCCCGTCTCTACTAAAAATACAAAAAAATTAGCCGAGTGTGGTGGTGGGCGCCTGTAGTCCCAGCTGCTGGGGAGGCTGAGGCAGGAGAATGGTGTGAACCCGGGAGGCGGAGCTTGCAGTGAGCTGAGACCGCGCCACTGCACACCAGCCTGGGTGACAGAGCAAGACTCCGTCTCAAAAAAAAAAAAAAGAAAGAGAGTGGTAAGTACAACTTAATTTTTTTCTTTTTTTTGAGACGGAATCTCCTTCTGTCACCCAGGCTGGCGTGCAGTGGCGAGATCTCAGCTCACTGCAACCTCTGCCTCCCGGGTTCAAGTGATTCTTCTGCCTCAGCCTCCCGAGTAGCTGGGACTAGAGGCGCATGCCACTACGCCTGGCTAATTTTTGTATTTTTAGTAGAGATGAGGTTTCGCCATATGGGTCAGGCTGGTCTCAAACTCCTGGCCTCGTGATCTGCCCACCTCAGGCTCCCAAAGTGCTGGGATTACAGGCGTGAGCCACCGTGCCCGGCCGTAAGTACAACTTTCTAAGCCAGGACCCTGGGGTTACACTGCAATACAGAGAAAAACAACAGACAAAGAAATGATGGTAAAAATAGTCTGGAGTTCAGCTATCAGAGGTTTTCTAACACGTTTAGTTACTGACCACTATTCTCTCAGGATACAATCTTTTTCCATTGATAATGACCAGTGGTGCTCAAGTGTTCCTTTCTAGTCCAGCACTGCGGTCCCTAGATGTCCTGAAACTAATATATCAAACAGTGTGTTCAGAAGCTGATACAGGTAAAGTGGATGATCAAGAAAAACAAAGCCCAGCTCCCAGGGTTTTATTTCCACTACCACCAGGTAGCTCTATGGAGTCTCAGCCTTTTAAAGTCTGGTTAACTCCATTTTAGTGGAAGATTCCAAAGTCTTCCTAGGCACTGAGCCAACGCACCACAGTTGCCAATCTAAACAACTCCTAAAGGGCAGAGGCCAACTGACTGCTATTAAAAATGGCAAAGAATCACACTCTTGCTCTCAATGGTTCCTGACACTCCCTGGGGGCCAACATTCTTCAAAGTTACTTAAAGTTGCCACAGCATAATCAGCAATTGGCCAGCATTTATCTATGAGATTTAGGGCTGTGACTTTCCTGAAAATGTTGCCTCAGAAAAGATCTGGTGAAACCCATTGAGAAATGAGACAAATTTCCTGTCTCCATGTTAAAAAATACTGAGATCAAATAAAAGTAATCTTTCTGTATGCTACAGAAAATACTTCCTCTAGGAAGAGAAAACTGGAGAACAACTAAAATTGCTTACTTCTCAAGTCCAACGGCTTCCTTCAAGACCTCACCTTGCAGGGCTCATAATCCAAAACTGCTTCTCATAACTTTGCCCAGTGCATACTCTGCCCAATCCCTGCCCTGCCTTACAAAACCCTGTTTTTTTAAATTTTAATTAATAAACTTTAAACTTTATTTTTAGAGCAGTTTAAGGTTCACAGCAAAATTGAGTGGAAATTACAGAAGATTCTCGTATACCCTGTCCCACGCCACAGACACGGCCTCCCCCACACTATGGACATCCCACACCCAAGTGGTACATTTGTCACAACCAATGAACATCACTGACACATCATTATCACCCGCAGCCCATGGTTTACATTAGGGTCCAGCACTCACTCCGTTTAAATACCTTTCCCTGCCCTCCTTCTTCTGAGATACTACTATGAACTTGTCTAAGTGATGGTCTACTTTACTGCGTCAGGTCTATTAAACGTAGTTTTCTTGGTTGACAGGTTTTTCTATGTTTTTATTTGTGGAGACTTTTGACACCATGCCATGGCTCACTTCTTTCTAGAGCAGTGACCACGACCCACAGTTAGAAATCATTTTATATCACAATCCACTATACTCATAAATTCACAGATGTCTGTGGCGGTGATTTGGAATTGAGGCTACCATCAGATGGCCTTAATGGGGATGGCAAACACCTATGATGAGAACTTTTAAAAAGTCAATATCCTCATTTGCTATTTCATCCACAGCCTTTGCAACATACTGAATAGTTGAATGATTCTAAGCTATTTAACAGAGCCACTTAGTCACTGGGATAAAACTTTTCCTTTTAAAATAGTTGGAAGAGGAGAACAATTTTCAAACTCCCAAGTGATAAGCTTTAAGTGACACAATTAAAAAGGAAGAATATTGAAAACAAACTAGTAGGTCATTGCAAACTTAATCTCAAAACTGACTAAGATAAAGTTCTGCTTGAGGTGGAGTTATGGTTACACTGGCCTTAACCCCAAATCACGGTGTGAGAGGCTGGGACTCACTGAAGGCACCTGTGACTCAGGCACAGGAATTATCAGATCTTTTCAGGAGTATTTCAGACCTAAGCCTCATAAATTCTAAGAACCATAAACATGACTGAAGTCCTGGAGGTATATTGCATGTTGCTCGTAAAATCCCAAAGGAAACTGTAGTAGCTCTTCTTGATAAATGTTTTTAGTTAACATCTTCTGGTGAACAGGGATGCTAAAATTAGTTTTCAACTTTAGAAAACGGCCAATGGAGGCCAGGTGCGGTGGCCCACGCCTGTAATCCCAGAACCTTGGGAGGCCAAGGTGGGAGGATCATGTGAGCTCAGGAGTTCCAGACCAGCCTGGGCAACAAGGTGAAACCCCATCTCTACAAAAAATAGAAAAATTAGCCTGGCGTGGTGGCATATGCCTGTGGTCTCAGCTACTTGGGGGCCTGAGGTAGGAGGATCACTTGATCCCGGGAGTTCAGGCTGCAATGAGCCATGATCGTGCCACTGCACTCCAGCCTAGGCGACAGAGTGAGATCCTGTCTCAAAAAAAATTAATAATAAAAATAAAAAAAGAAATGACCAATAGATGCATTTGTTAAGTGAAACAATTAAGTTGCGAGGAAAAGTATATAACATGATTTCATTTTGTTTAAAAAACCAAACCAAACCAAATCTAAATGTATGAATATACATAAATATGTTTCTGTGAATCTAGAAAAATACATAAAAGGACACTCTAAGCTGCTAACGTTGGTTATTTCAGAGAAATAGAAATGGAGGTAGAGTGAAGAAATTATACACTTTTTGGTATATCTTTGGATTATTTCATTTGTTACAAAAAATTAGGTATTAATTATTTTAAATAAATAAGTTGTAAAATCTTCTCTTATTCTGAAATAGGTATCTTTGCCAAAGGTCAAATACAGAAACTTCTGCTACTGTATCTTCTAATCCCGGCAGAAAAAAAAAAAAATCTGATAGAGCAAAATTCCTCAGCATTAACAGTGCCTTAAATCCACACAAGACTGCAACTACCATGGAATCTGTCTTCATCATAGAAGGAAGAGCGCAGATGGTGCTTTTGCACTCAGTGGAGTGAGCTAGAGACCAACGCAGAAAGGGGACGGGAGCTGTCAATGGCATGCTGCCGCCTGCCGGGAGGTAAGACTTGCTGACTTCCCTGAGCAGTTCACATGAGTATTCCCACCAACTTCAGAGGTGGCTGTCTGGGTGAGAATGTTATCTCAAAACCTGTCACCCTTATGACATCTGGGAGAGGCACTGGAATGAAGATTGTCAGGCCAGGGTTTCCAAACAGATGTCCTTCTGTGAGTAGAAGCAGTAATAGTGATTGTCTGGCATAAAAAGTCACACACTTCTCTCCAGCATCAGAGGTTATGATGATAAAAATCTCTCTACAAATCAAGTCTGGTTAAAACCTGTCCCCACTTTCAACCTTCAGGGCCCACAGGGAAAAATCTGAGCTACAAAGTCTGGTAGAGAAGGTGCCATCTCCTATAACCCACAGCACCCCAGCATTGTTGCAGCCCAGCAAAACCAAACTCCTTGCAAAGTTTTGAGGCACATTTTCTAAATCTCATCTTTGAATTCATTATTGATTTCCTCATTATATGTTCTAACTTTGTCTCACCTATGGAGTAGAAATAAGTTATCAAATTATTCCTATTATAACTTATTATGTCATAAAAATGTCTCTTATAAAAATTGCCCTGCAAGAAAGAGGCCATTCCTGGATTTAATGCTGCTTATCACTGTAGAAGTCCTGTGTTTATTCTCAATATAGGATTTACAACAAATTGAAGGGAAAAATTACTTACATGTACCTTTGTGTCTCTCTGCCTTCCCATAAAATGGGAAGAACTCTAGATTTCAAATACTGAAGATGATATTATATATATTGAGTTTGGGTCACAACTAACACTTACCCCTATTCTTCCTGTTCTGAATAGTCCAAAGAGTTTGCAGTGATATTATCTTCAAACATCCTGAATAAATGTATTAATAAGAATAGATTTGCTGTGCTTGACAGAACACCCAAAATAACACAGGCTTAAATAAGAGAAAAATAGATTTCTCTCTCCCATATATAAGAAGTCTGGAGAAAGACTTCCAGGACTGTATAGTGGCTTCCTGCAGTGGCTTTTTAAGCATCTTAAGATTGAAAATAGTCATTGAACAAAAAGATTAGTAAATTTTCCTCTACCTGACTTTGGCCTGGCCAGTTATTCAAAATCTCATTTCTGAAGGCTCACACAGCCTTGTACACTTGTGAACTCTTCATGCTAAAGGGAGCTTGAAGGTGAAAGAAAAAGTGGATTTATCTTTTCTCTGAATACATTTTGCCCATATACAACCCACAAGGCCATTTTAGGAGTGTTATGGCCTGTACATAATGCCATGCATTTCCCTTATTGCTAAAAATTCTTAGTTTTTTAATCCCCCAAATTCCCTCTATTAAATCTATTTTATCCTCTAGTGACCTTTACTTGGGATTAAAGAGGAAGTAAATGGGACTGTAAATTGAAGAATGGAGAAAATATTTAGTTGTATGTTTAAAGATTCTATCAAAAAAATGTTCACAGTATGATATCATTTTTTGAGCAAAGTTTTTTGGATGTAAGTGATGATACATAACTTTTTCTTCCATGTGACTAGTTCTAGTCATTCTTTTTCTCCATAACAAGAACCTATAATCAAATAAGGCAAACAAAAGTATGAGCCACTTTAAGGACAAAATTATAAATCAACACTAACTGCAATGTTGGAGTTTAAATATATGAAGTAAAAAATTGTCTTTGTTAGCTGTAGTGCAATTTGCCCTCCAAATCCATGTTCAGGGAATACAATCCTACATATCTCTCTTAATATTATAGATCCTATTGGCAAATTAAACTCTTGGACAGCATACCTTACTAAAAATAGAATGGATTTTGTTCATGTATATTAGCTTATCAATTGTTACCCCATCCTGGCGGGCATGGTGGCTTATGCCTGTAATCCAGCACTTTGGGAGGCTGAGGTGGGCGCATCACCTGAGGTCAGGAGTTTGAGACCAGCCTGGCCAAGATGATGAAACCCCATGTCTACTAAAAATATAAAAATTAGCCATGCGTGGTGGTGCACGCCTGTAGTTCCAGCTACTCAGGAGGCTGAGGCAGGAGAATCACTTGAACTGAGGAGGCGGAGGTTGCAGTGAGCTGAGATTGCGCTACTGCACTCCAGCCTGTGTGACAGAACAAGATTCTGTCTCAAAAAAAAAAAAAAATTGTTACCCCATCCCACTAGCTGAAAAAGGACATATACCTGTTCAAACATTACTATGTATTTCATTCATGTTTTTACAGAATCACATTTCATTACCTTCAAGTGGAGGCTTGCCTGTGGCTGCAGCTGTAGAGCAAGAGGGGCCTCACACACCACACAGATGGGAGTGTTCATGGGTACCAAGCTTCTGCATTCTGCACACAAGCCCATCTGCACAAGGAAAAGGTCTGGTTTATCTTGCACATAAAAACTGAAGGTATGAATAGATCTTAGAATGTAAGGTTTGGTCTACAGCCGTACCACCCTGAACATTCCCGATCTCATCTGATCTCAAAACCTAGGCAGGTCGGGCTTGGTTAGTACTTGGTGGAAGAATGTAAAGTTTGATTTGTTTTTGTAAAACAATTTTTTAAATAATTACCTTTATGATGGATATGCTAATTACTCTGATTTGACCACTACACATTATTTGTATCAAATAACACTATGTACCCCATAAATATGTACAATTACTATGTGTCAATTAAAAAGTAAATAATAGAAAATAAAATAACAATTACTTTTATTATTTTATTCCTATTAAGAGTAAAAACATGTTCATTGTAGAAAAGAGAGATGTTAAAAAAAAAAAGAAAAATATCCATAGGAAATTGTAGCATGATGGAATGAGGAGGTCTATAAATCCTCTTCCCCAAAAATGAATCACAGGCTGGGTGCGGTGGCTCATGCCTGTAACCCCAACACTTTGGGAGGCCGAGGTGGGTGGATCATCTAAGGTCAGGAGTTTGAGACCAGCCTGGTCAACATAGTGAAACCCCAGCTCTACTAAAAATACAAAAATTAGCTGGGCGTAGTGGCGGGCGCCTATAATCCCAGCTACTTGGGAGGCTGAGGCAAGAGAATCACTTGAAGCCAGGAGGCAGAGGTTGTAGTGAGCCGAGATCGCCTCACTGCACTCCAGCCTGGGTGACAAGAGCGAGACTCCTGCTCAAAAAAAAAAAAAAAAAAAAAAGGAATCACACAGTCAGATACTGCTGTCAAAAAGCAACCACTTCAGCACCCTGAAGTCATTGAAAGGCAGATAACAAACAGAAGTTCCTAAAAATGACTGAACTGCAGAAAAGAACACTAAGCTCTGGGTGGTTGTTGCCTGGGCTGCCCCCTCCTTCTCTAACTCTGTCAGTGTGGTAGTTCCACCAGGGCAGGGCAGGCTGTGAAAACCAGAAGTTTTGTGGCTGCTGATGGGCAAGGATCACTTGATTTAGAGCACTGTTAAGGTGACGATTTTGGTGGCAAGCAAACAAGGAAGACCAGTGGTCCCCTAGTCTGAGATAATGAGCCTGTTTGGGGTAATCGATGCACTGACTGGCAAACTGGCCAAGGATTTAACATGGAGTTCCAGGAGGTAATTCAATGATAGGGGCTTGATAGCTCTCCACATAGCCTTAGTTGACAGGAGGCTATGCACATAAGCAACATAAACCAGAGTAGGCCCAAGCCACCCACACCGCCCTGGCTGATGGGAACTACACATAGAGAACTGCAAGAGAGCTCGGCATAGAGTAAAAGCTGGGGCTGGAAAACAGCCTTGAGTTTCAATGTTACCCAGCCAACACACAGATCCATCAGCAGGGAGTGGAGGCTTTCCTGGATGGAGCTGCCTGTGTACAATCTCTGGCCAACTGAACACTAAGATATGCTGACCCAAAGGTAAACATCAGGCTTAAATATAAGAGAAAGGAAAAGCTGCTGCTCTACTATTTACGACAGCAAAGTCTTGGAACCAACCCAAATGCCCATCAATGATAGACTGGATAAAGAAAATGTGGCACATATGCACCATGGAATACTGTGCAGCCACAAAAAAGAACGAGTTCATGTCCTTTGCAGGGACATGGATGAAGCTGGAAGCCATCGTTCTCAGCAAACTAACACAGGAACAGAAAACCAAACACTGCATGTTTTCACTCATAAGTGGGAGTTGAACAATGAGAACACATGGACACAGGGAGAGGAACATCACACACCGGGGTCTGTCGGGGGTGGGGGGCAAGAGGAGGAAAAGCATTAGGACAAATACCTAATGCATGTGGGGCTTAAAACCTAGATGATGGGTTGATGGGTGCAGCAAACCACCATGGCACATGTACACCTATGTAACAAACCTGCATGTTCTGCACATGTATCCCAGAACTTAAAAGTATAATTAAAAAAAAAAAAAGCTGCTTCTCTGTCTATGGAGTAACCATTCTTTTGTTTCTTTACTTCTCTAATTAAGAAAAAAAATTTAAAAAAAATAAAAAGCCTGACACTAGTGGCCATGCCTTGCAGGGGAGGCAGACATTAAAGATTTAATCCAAGTAAACAAAACACAAAACAACAACCCTCGGGGAAAAAAGTCAGAATCCAGAGTTGCTAGAATATACTACCTGACGCAGTCAAGAAAAAACTTATGAGACATGCAAAAAATAAAGTGACCTACACTCAGAGGAAAAATAGTCAATAGTCCACAGAAATTATCTCTGAGTGCCTTTACATGCTGGATTTAGTAGACAAAGATTTCAAAGCAGCTATTTTTAAAAAATGTTCAAAGAACTAAAGGAAACCACATTTGATAAAAATTAAAGTATGATGACAATGATCTGACTGGTAGGGAAGCACAATAGAGAGACAGAAATTATTTTTTTAAAAAAAGAATTCAGTCAAAGCCTGGAGTTGAAAAGTAAAGTAACTGAAATTCTAAAAATCGCCAGAGGCGGGCGCCTGTAGTCCCAGCTACTTGGGAGGCTGAGGCAGGAGAATGGCGTGAACCCGGGAGGCGGAGCTTGCAGTGAGCCGAGATCGTACCACTGCACTCCAGCCTGGGGGACAGAGCGAGACTCCATCTCAAAAAAAAAAAAAAAAAATCACCAGAGCGACTCAACAGCAGATCGCATAACAGAAGAAAGAATCAGTGAACTTGAACAAATAGCTCAACAGAAATTATCTAATCTGAAGAACAGAGAAAAAAGACTGAAGAAAATAAGCAGAACATCAAAAACGTATGGGGCAAAATCAAGCACAGCAACAAGTAAGGGAAAGAGAGAAAGGAACAGAAAAAGAATGGAAGAAACAATGGCCAATATTTCCCACACTGGAGGAAAACCAATACTCAGCACATCCAATAAGCTCAGTCAATCCCAAGAAAGACAAACACAAAGAGACCCACACTTAAACACATTATAATCAGACTGTTGAAGGTCAAAGACAAAGAGAAAATACTGAAAGTAGCAAGAGAAAAAACCACGCATCAAAAACAATGGAGGGCAAAAGGCAGTAGAATGACAAATTCAAAGAGCTGAAAGAGAAAATAATTGCTAAACCAGAATTACATCTGCAGCAAACCATCCTTCAAAAATGAAGGCAAAATAAACATTCTGACGTACACAAAGACAGAGAGAAATGGCTATCAGGCATGCCTTACAAGAAAAACTGAAGGAAGTTCTTCAGGCTGAAAGGAAATGACACTAGATGATCACTTGAGTTCACAGGAGGAAGTGAGAAGACCAGATATAATAAATATGAGGGCAGATACAAATGACTCCATAGAACTTTTATCTCATCTTCTTTAAATGACATAAGATTGTATAACACCGCATTTTTCAGTTTATAACATATATAGAAGCAATATTTATGGTTATTACATAAAAGATAAAGAAAGGAGGACGATACTTAAGCAATGTTAAGAAAAAGAAAGAAAGGGGCCGGGTGCGATGGCTCACACTTGTAATTCCAGCACTTTGGGAGGCCAAGGCAGGCGGATCACTTGAGGTCAGGAGTTCAAGACCAGCCTGGCCAATATGGTGAAGCCCTATCTCTATGAAAAATACAAAAATTAGCTGGGCATGGTGGTGCACACCTGTAATCCCAGCAACTCAGGAGGCTAAGACAGGAGAATCACTTGAACCCAGGAGGCAGAGGTTGCAGTGAGCCGAGATTGTGCCACTGCGCTCACTCCAGCCTGGATGACAGAGGGAGACTCTGTCTCAAAGAAAAGAAAAAAAAGAAAAGAAAAGAAAAAGAAAGAGGAAAGGAGTGAAATTTCTATATTTCAGTAGAATTGAGTTAAATTACTCTAAAATGGACTGTGATATACCCCATCTTCCATGATGTGGTTATTATATATTACATGCCTGTATCAAAACATCTCATGTACCCATAAATATATACACCAACTATGTATCCACAAAAATTAAAAATCAAAATTAAATAAAATAGAATGTGATAAATTGAGGTCCATATTGTAATCTCTAGAGCTTAAGATAACTTTAAAAATAATAAAAAAGTCAACAGAAGCATTAAAATGGCACACTAAAAGTAACACAAAAGAAATAACACAAAAGGCCGGGTGCGGTGGCTCACGCCTGTAATCCCAGCACTTTGGGAGGCCGAGGCGGGCGGATCATGAGGTCAGGAGATCGAGACCATCCTGGCTAACATGGTGAAACCCCGTCTCTACTAAAAATACAAAAAAATTGGCCAGGCATGGTGGCAGGTGCTTCTAGTCCCAGCTACTCGGGAGGCTGAGGCAGGAGAATGGCGTGAACCTGGGAGGCGGAGCTTGCAGTGAGCTGAGATCATGTCACTGCACTCCAGCCTGGGTGACAGAGTGAGACTCTGTCTCAAAAAAAAAAAAAAAAAAAAAGAAATAACACAAAAGAAAGCAGTAAACGAGGGAAAAAGTAACAAAAAAGCCATGATACAAATAGCAAATAGCAAAATGGCATATGTAAATTTAACCACATCAATAATGACATTAAATAGGAATTGACTAAATATCACATTCAAAAGGCAAGGTTATTCAGAATGGATAAAAAAGCAAGATCCAACTACATGCTGTCTACTAGAAACACACCTTAAATTCAAAGACACAAATAGATTGAAAGTAAAAGCACAGAAAAGGCCTTACAATGCAAACAGTAACCATAAAAGAGCTAGAGTAGCTACATAAATATCAGAGAATAAAGGACTTTAAGAAATATTAGCATAGACAAAGAGAGACATTTGGGGATGATAAGAAGGTCAATAGTCAGGAAGATAGAACAATTATAAGTGTATATGACTGTATTAGTCTGTTCAGGCTGTGATAACAAAACACCATAAAGTGGGTGGCTTGTAAACAACACAAATTTATTTCTCAGAGTTTTGGAGCCTGAGAAGTCCAAGATCAGGATGCCAGCGAATTCAGTATCAGGTGAGGGCTTGCCCTCTGCTTCACAGATGGTACCTTCTGTGTCTTCATATGGTGGAAGGCAAACAAGCTCCTTTGAGCCTCTCTTATAAGGGCACTAATCCCATTCATAAGGGGTTCATCATCACGACCTAATTACCTCCCAAAGACCCAACCTTCTAACACCATCACCTTGGGGGTTGGGATTTCAACATACGAATTTTGGCCAAGACACAAAGATTCAATCCATAGCATGGACATAACAACAAACCCCCAAAATACATGAAGCAAAAACTACAAGTCAGAGTTGAGGTTAAGGTTCCATCTATCACCTGCGCACCTAAAGTCCCAGCTTTACTGGGGGACCACAGTGGTGTTCTGAATCTCTAAGAATTAGCATGAATTTAGAGCCAGTATCTAGAAATCCCTCAAAGATTTGGGCATTTCCTTTTCCCCACTGCACAGTCACTCAATTGAAAGCAACAAGTCCCCTTGGGGAAGCGTTCAAGGAAGACTTATGATATGTACTTGCAAAGCTCCAGGGTCCTTCCCTAAGGAGATCCAGTCTCCCCTTAAATCAAGAGACTGAATTTGTGAACTGATTTATGTCTGGAAACTGGGGGAGGAACTTGGTTGCTCCAATGCAGTGATTCAAGTCAGTTTTTAGCTACATGACCTAGCATTTTTCAATTATATAGACCAGGCGATACACTAGAAGGCTGCCCGTCTATCATTCCTAGGAATGCCATGTCAGATTCCTCTTACTGAAACATCATTACTGTCCTTGTCTTTGGCAGTTAAGTGCTGCCACTTAACTTCTGCTACTCTGGGATCTCACTAGCTCTAATGAGATCAGGGAACTCCTCTAAATAGCAGCATCCCCCACGATCATATCTGGCCTACAAAGGAAAGCAGCCACAGAACTTTTTAAGGATGCAGCTGCTCCTCTCACTAATGTATTCCTTGATATCTTAGTGATGGAAGTGTCTTCTGGGCCTTCTTGTGAAACATAGGTAAGAGTTAGGGATGCAGGACACAGGTATCAACCCCACTCCAACTTTCCTATTTGCCTAAGTCTCTGTATTCCCTGCTCCACATGATGCTGGGTGTTAGGGACTAAACTGTGCCCCCCAGAATTCATTATATTGAAGCCCCAGCCCCCAATGTGATTGTATTTGGAGATAGGTCCTTTAAGGAGGTAATTAAGGTTAAATGAGGTCATTACAGTGGGACTTTGATCCAATATGACTGATGTCTTTATAAGAAGAGGAAGAGACACCAGGGTTGTGTACCCAGAGGAAAGGCCAAGTAAGGACACATCAGGAAGGCAGCCGTCTGAAAGCTGAGGAGAGAAGCCTCACCAGAAACCAAACCTGCTGGCGCCTTGATCTTAAACTTCCAGCCTGCAGAACTATGAGAAAATAAATTTCTGTTCTTTAAGCCACACAGTCTGTGGGGTTTTGCTGTGGCAACCTTAGCAAACTGATATACCTGGGAAACTTCTGCTATCCCAATCTCATTAAACACAGGCCACTACTGAGGCCAAGCTTTAAGCAGTCAACCAAGCAAGCTGTTATAGCCACCGCAGCTGCATTATCTAACACATTAAACCCAGAATCTCTATAAGGTGTGCACATATCAATGAATTTATACCAATTTCAAGTCATATTGTCTTCATTTAAAATCTAATCCCACACTTATTCCCCAAGACTCTGTCACTATATATTAGTAAAATCTTCCTCTTCTTTGTGTGTGTAAGTTATTTCCTCCTGGATCACAGCATGCACCTGTCCTCCTGTAGCATGCTGGGTTGGGTCCCTAGAATGCAACAGGTGGTTGTGATGGGTTTAAACCACCCACAACCCCCTGTGAGGAGAATAAACATCCCCTTTCAAGCCATCTGCCCAGGTGAGGTTATCACAAACATTTCAAGAAAACGAAGGCTGGTATCCTCAGACAGAAGGGCATCCTCAGACATAAGGGCAAACTACATCCATTGGGCAGGAGGCACAGAGTGACAAGGGTAACAAGACTGTCAGTTTCATCTGGGTCCCACCTGCCATCTCTATCTGAGTTTCAGGGTCCCATCCTTTCTCAATTAATGGCCTAACTTTCAAATAAGAAATCTGGTGATCAGGTGAATTTAACAGACATTATAAGTCCCCAACATATACAATACAATTTTTGTTTGATTTTCATCAATATAACCCTGGAGCTACAAGAAGTATATTATTTTGGGCTGTCATAGGAGCCCTCTGGTTCCTGCACCATGACTTAAAGGTCCTGAGCTTGTCGTTTTCTTTCTGTGAATGCTCCCATGGACTCAGGAGAATACATCCTCCACCACAGTTTTTGTAGTCATTGTCACTGTCATAGAGTCAAGTGCAGCAGTTACTTGGCCATTCAAGATACTTGCTTCAATTGGCACGTCATCACAATCAGCCACAGGTGACAGCCTGATTAACTGTGATGCCCCCTCATGCTATGGATCACCAGTGTCCCATTTCCCATTGGCAAGGAGCTCGGCACTGTTCCCAAGCAAAGGACAAGACCAAACCACTTCCAAAATCCCATTTCCCAGTTTATTTCCTGGGACCAATCCCACTACCAATTCTGTATCAGTCAGAGTCCAATCAGGACATAGAAACCACAACTAATTTGAACAGGAAAAGTTCATATAAATAGTTATTAACTGGTATCCAGGGATTAACTACTAATGGGTAAAGCAGATTCTACATATACAGAAATTCCAAACATAGGGAGGATCCCCTACCTCTGTGGCTGAGACAGAGAACCGAAGGAGGATCAAATTTGGAAGAGGCACTTACTTTGCCCCACATCCAAGGCTGAAATCAGACTTCATTGAATTGAGTGTGGTTGTCACCCACCGGATGGCAGAGAAGTTCACTGAGGTGACACAGATCAGAGCCAGCAAGGAAAAAGCCGCCCACTGGGATCCAATGAAACTCATTAGGAATTCCTCATCTAGGGAACTGGCAGAACATGTTGGGAAGTCAGATACAGAGATGTGGCTGGAACTTGCTGGAAAGTTGCTACTGGGATGCCCCAAAGACTATCTGGGAAGCTGGCTGGGGTGCCAGTGGAACTGAGAAGCGTCCATGGGACAACACTGAAATTCACAGGGTTCAGCACAACTGGGTGTCCTACAGGTTAGCTCACATGGCAAGAGCAAAGAGACAGGAGAGCACACACCTCTGCATCTCTTTACTGAGACTCTCTGAGTCGTGGGTCTAAGTAGGATCCTGCCCCTTTGACTCCTAGAAGCCCAGCTCAGAGCAGGACACAGTAGTACTCAATAAATGGTTGTTAGCTTAAATTACAAAGCTGTTATACATTATAGTCTATTGTTGCACTAATAGAAATATAACTGGGGGGCAATCTAGGTGTTTTAAAGTTCATAATGTTAAATATTTATAATCACTGATAACCTTTCCTCCCTGTAAAAATGAAGTTAGTTGTGAAAATCCCTTTCCAGGCAAGTAGAAAATAATTTTGGTATCGCACCAACTAGTATAAACAGAGAAAAATCAACCAATGGGACTTGTTCATATTTTGTTTTCTGTATCGTCTTCTTTCACTAACACATTTAGTCCAGAATCTCTATAAGCTGCAAACATATCAATGAATTTGGCCCAATTTGGTGTTATAGTCTGTTTTTATTTAAAATCGACTCCCACCCTTATTCCCTAAGATTCTGCCATTATATATTAGCAAAATCTTTAAGGAGTTTAAAATGTATCACTGAAGTAAATTAAATTAACTTCTACAAAAATATTGAGCAATATATTAGAAAAATATTAAAACAGCCATTTAATACCTGACCCCTTGCTTGAGGCATAACTCGAATCTAAAACTCTGGACTTGGAACTCACTCAATTAGTGACTTTTTCTTAGTAACTATCTTCTTAAAAATTGTAATTTTTCACTCAATATCACAGATCCCTTTATTTCATTTTCATCCCTTTATTCCAAGTCCAAAAAAAATCCCCAAAATATCAAGTGCTTAAAAGATGAACACATTTTGGTGAAGGTTTTAATTTTTAGCAAGCCAAGTATGTTTTTTAACTATCTACAAAATTAGTAGTGAGATATCAATTATTATCTATCCTAAATCAGCCAAAGCTTTTAAATTTAAATATACAGATCAATCTATAGATTCTTTGGACAGAATGATGCATCTTATGGATATATAGATATATAGAGACATAAAGTAATTGGTAGTTCTCTTTATTTATTTCTAGAATATATTTCCTTATTATACCCAGGATATGAGCAGAGCTATCAAATGAGTAGGAAACATTTATTTATCCATGCATGCCTCATTAAAACAATAAGATTCCAATCTTTTTTAAGCCCGTGCTTCTGGCAGGCCACACAAAAGACACAGCATTGCAAGTAAGTTTTTCCATGCTTAAGTAGGAGTGTGTAAGAGTTCAATCAGCCAGTAATTCTTCAACAAGTATTTATATGTGCAGTTCATGTGTACCAAGCACTGTGTTACTGCTGCAAATAAAGATCAGATCAACCAATGAAAGATGTTTTTAAGAATTCTGCTGCTCACCTGAGCTCCTTCTGGGGGTGGGAGACGACAGCCAAATATGGGTGGGACAGGAGAGCCACATTCTTGACAGAAGCGAGCAAAGGGATCTGATGGCCGGGGGGCAAGGCAGTGGGCACACCTACAACAAAACAGGTTCCCGATTGGCCATGTTCTGGTGGGCCCACATTAAGAAGACTGATAAAAATCTAAAAGCGGTCAAACAGTTTTAAACACAAAACAAAAGCAGACTGCTCTCAATGGCTATGGAACAAGTTCAAGACAGGAAATACTTATCTAGGTCATTTGGTCATTTTATTGGAATAGTGGCCTTGCAACTGGACCCTCTGGTGCCCTTTCTGCGTAGGCCAAGTCCATATAACTTCTTGATCATGGCAAGAAGTTTATCAGCAGCCTTGGCCCCACTTCTTGCTCGGGCTCTGGCTTGTCCTGTCACATTGGATTTGATGTGTATGAGGGTGAGCCCTGGGAATTCCAGCAATTTTTACATTATGCTTTTCTGACTTTCTACCATTGAGCCCAGTCTGAGGGACAGGGCTTCTTGCCTGTGCCTCAAACCCATCCTTTCTCTTTGCCCACCTTTGCTTAGAGTCCTCAGGCCCTGCCCCAGCAGCATCTGGCCCCATTTCTTATGCAGCTGGACCCATCGTTTAGCTCCCACTCATCTAAATGGGTTCTGGCTATCTGCCAAAGTGAGAGCATTCTTGGAATTAGGCTGCCCTAATTCCTTTCCTGCTACTGCCATGCCTTTCCAGACAAGTTGGCTCCTGATCCTGTGACCTATTGATCTGAACAGCTCCTCAGCAACTAGAAGGCTTGGATACTGTGCACCGGATTGTCTCGTTGCCCACACTAGTCTCCACGTTGGAGCTGAGCTCATTCCCACACTCTTATCCTATTTAGTCCTTCATTACTGTACCATGGCACCAAGGTTTCACCATCTCTCTGGCATGGGCCCACCCGCCAGAGCAACAACAGTTCCCTCTTTTCTATGCTTAAAGCTCATGAAGTGTAATCTGACTATCTCATTCCACTGATTTGAATTGAAGACATAGAGCTGGGAGTCTCAGAAGGTCAAGGTAACTGGAGCTTTCAGGAAAGAATACCAGAGAAGAGCTGCAGGGAGAGTTTCAGAATTTTGCAGAGGGTCACCCTCAAGTCTTCACCTGGGTACTACTGATGAGTGCATGTGATGGAAGAAACCACTCAAGGTTAGAAAGTAAACACCAAAGGGTAACAGAGAAAACAGTCTTCAGGATTCACACAGGGCTGCAAAGCTCATGCTTACACCAGCCAAAGTGGAAAAAATTCATATTTACCGAGGTATCAGTTAGAATACTCTATATATACTCTAAATACTCCAATTAGAACATAGGAGTTGTCAGGTATGGTTTTTTTTAAAAAGCTAGGCCTAACTATATGCTGCTCAAAAGAAACCAACTTTATATTTGTTTGTTTATTTATTTATTTATTTAGAGACGGAGTCTTGCTCTGTCGCCCAGATTGGAGTGCAGTGGCATGATCTGGACTCACTGCAAGCTCCACCTCCCGGGTCCATGCCATTCTCCTGCCTCAGCCTCCAGGGTAGCTGGGACTACAGGTGCCTGCCACCAAGCCCGGCTAATTTTTTTTTTTTTGTAGTTTTAGTAGAGATGGGGTTTCACTGTGTTAGCCAAGATGATCTCGATCTCCTGACCTCGTGATCCGCCCACCTCGGCCTCCCAAAGTGCTGGGATTACAGGCGTGAGCCACCGCGCCCGGCCAGAAACCAACTTTAAATAGAGACATAAATAGATTCAATAAAGGGAGGTACACACACATCAAAAGAAAGCAGGAGTGACAACATTAACATCAGAACAAGTAGGTTTCTGAGCAAAGAATATTAACAGAGTTAAAGAAGTTTATTTCATAATGATAAAAGGGTCAACTTAGCAAGAGGACAAAAAAATCCAAAATGTTTATGTACTTAATAGCAGAGTATCAAAGTACATGAAGAAAAACTGATAGAAATGAAATGCAAGAATAAATAGGCAAATTCATAATTACAGTCATATATTTCAATACTGCTTTTTCAATAACTGATTACATGATAAACAGAAAATCAGTAAAGATAGAGAAGACTTAAACAATACCATCAACTAACTAAACCTAATTGATATTTATAGTACACTCATTCTGGCAGAATACACATTCTTTTAAAGTGTACATAGAACATTTACCAATCAAATCATATATCTTTTCTGACCAAAAGTAAATAAATTTGACATAAGCACCAGGCCACGTGTACTGGCTCATACCTATAATCCCAACAATTTGGGAGACTAAGGTGGGAGGATCACTTGAGGCCAGGAGTTCAAGACCAGCCTGGGCAACTTTGTGAAAACCCCACCCCTGCCACAAAAAAATATATATATACAAGGTTTTTTGTTTTGAGACAGAGTCTTCCTCTGTCGCACAGGCTGAAGTGAAGTGGCATGATCTCGGCTCACTGCAGCCTCCACCTCCTGGCTTCAAGTGATTATTGTGCCTCAGCCTCCCGAGTAGCTGGGATTGACAGGCATGTGCCACCATGCCTAATTTTTTTTTGGTATGTATATTTTTAGCAGAGACGGGGTTTTGCCATGTTGGCCAGGCTAGTCTCAAACTCCTGGCCTCAAGTGATCCTCCCACCTCAGCTTCCCAAAGTGCTGGCATTATAGGCATGGGCCACCACGCCCAGCCAAAAAAAAAAAAAAGAAAAAAAGTTTTTTAATTAGCTGGGTGTACTGGCACATGCCTATAGTCCCAGCTACTTAGGAGGCTGAGGCAGGAGGATGCCTTGAATCCAGGAGTTTGAGGCTGCTGTGAGCTATGATTGGGCCTCTGCGCTTCGGCCTGGGTGACAGAGTGAGACCCTAAGAAAGAAAGAAGAAAGGACGAAAGGAAGGAAGGAAAGAAGGAAGGGAGAGAGGGTGGGAAGGCAGGAAGGAAAGAAAGAAGGCAGACAGGCCCAAAAGATACAAGGAAAATCCTCCAGTATTTGGAAATATAATAAAACACTTCTAACTAACCCATTGCCCTCCCTACAAAATAACAAGGATAATTAGAAACTGTTTGAACTGAATGAAGATGAAAACACAACATATCAAAATTCAGAGACTGCAAGTAAAACAGTATTCAGGGGAAATGTATAGTTCTAAATGCCTATGCTAGAAAAGAAGAAAGACTTCAAATCAGTAACTTCATATTCCCATTAAAGAAACTAAAAAAAGAACAAATTAAACCTAAAATGTACTCCAAAAGAAAGATTAATAAATATAAATGTACTTATATCTATTAAAGAAATCTAATGTGTAGTTAAAAATCTTCCTGAAAAAAAATCTTCCTGAAGGAAAACTCCAGATCTAATCATTTCACTTGTGAATTTCTACCAAATATGTAAGGAAGAAATAACACCAATTTTACATAAACTTTTTCAGAAGGTGAAGGAGTGAAAACACTTCCTAACTTATTCTATGAATCTAGAATTATACCGATACTAAAACCAGACAAAGACATTAACAAGAAAAGAAAATCCCCCAACATCCCTTATGCAAATGCTGGCAAAAAAAATTCTTTAAAACCTTTTAGCAAATCAAATTCAACATTATATAAAATAGATAACACTTCAGGTAGATATATTTCAGGGATGTAAGGTTGACTTAACATTTGAAAACCAATCATTGTAATTCACCACATGAACAGAAAAAGAAAAACTAAATTATCCTCTCAATAAATAGAAAAAATGCTTTGGACAAAATCCAACATCTATTCCTGATTTTAAAAAAGAAGCTCTCAGCAAATTGGAAACAGGTAAAAATTTCCTCAACTTGGCTGGGTGTGGTGGCTCACGCCTATAATCCCACTACTTTGGGAGGTTGAGGGGAGCAGATCACCTGAGGTCAGAAGTTCTAGACTAGCCTGGCCAACATGGTGAAACCTCATCTCTACTTAAAAAAATACAAAAATTAGCCGGGCATAGTGGCGCATGCCTCTGTCATCCAGGCTGGAGTGCAGTGGCACAATCTTGGCTCACTGCAACCTCCGCCTCCCGGGTTCAAGCGATTCTCCTGCCTCAGCTGGAGATCCCAAGTAGCTGGGATTACAGGCGCCCACCACCACGCACAGCTAATTTTTTGTATTTTTAGTAGAGATGGGGTTTCACCATGTTGGCCAGGCTGGTCTTGAACTCCTGACCTCAGGTGATCCGCCCACCTCAGCCTCCCAAAGTGCTGTGATTACAGGTGTGAGCCACTGCACCCGGACTATAATGCATTTTTTTAAAGGCCAAAAGTTTGAAAGGACACTTTACCAAAGAAGATGCATGGATGGAAATAAGCACATGAAAAGAGGCTCAACATCATTAGTCACTAGGGAAACGCAAATAAAAACCACAATGAGATACTGTTACAATCTCATTAGAATGATCAAAATAAAAATAAAAGTTAGTAAGGATACAGAGAATTCTCCTCCACTGCTGGTGAGAATGTAAAATGGAACAATCACTTTGGAAAGCAGATTGGCAGTTTCTTAAAAAAATATATACCTATCATATTCCTCTTCAAGGTATTTGCCCCAAGGGAAATGAAAACGTGTATACATAATGACTTTGGGGTTTTAAAAATTATTTTATTGTATCTGTTAATTTTTATCAATTTATTTATTTATTTAGAGACCAGATATGAGACTGGATCACTTTTGTATATACAGTAACTTTTGTACAAATGTTCACAGCAACTTTATCTGTAATAGCCCAAAATTGGATATAACACAAATTCCCATCAATAAGTGAATGGATAAACAAACTGTGGTATATCCATACAATGGACTGTAGTTCAACAATAAAAAGAAACGGATGTTTGTTACAAGGAACAACATAGATGAATCTGAAAATAGTTACGCTGAGTGAAAGAAGTCCAGCATTAAAGAGCACACACTAAGTCACTTCGTTGACATATTGAATCACATGCAAGTTAAACTATAGTGACAAGAAAGAAATCAATAATTGCCTGTGATGAGCGGGGGTAAAAGGAAGGGGTTACCAAATAGGGTACAATGTAGGAAATTTTTGGCAGGGATGAACTTACTCATTTTCTTGATTGTGACAGTGTCATGGTTACATACATACATACATACATAGTCAAATGAACTCTAAATACATATGCAGTTATTGTATGTCAATTATACTTTTTAACAGGCTGTAAACATTTAATTTAAAAAGTTGGGGCCGGGTGTGGTGGCTCACACCTGTAATCTCAGCACTTTGGGAGACCGAGGTGGGCAGATCACGAGGTCAAGAGATCAAGACCATCCTGGCCAACATGGTAAAACCCCGTCTCTACTAAAAACACAAAAATTAGCTGGGCGTGGTGGCGCGTGCCTGTAATCTCAGCTACTCGGGAGGCTGAGGCAGGAGAATCGCTTGAACCCAGGAGGCGGAGGTTGCAGTGAGCCAAAACTGCACCACCGCACTCCAGCCAGGGTGACAGAGTGAGACTCCGTCTCAAAAAAAAAAAAAAAAAAAAGTTGGAGGTGGGCAAAAATGTCGTATCTTTAAATTCTCTTTGACCATGATGTATCTTTGTAGGATTTAAGGCAGAGTAAAGAGAATGTGATACTTACTTGAGAAAGTCTGTCTCCCTTTGAATTCTCATTATCTCCGTGCTTGTCAAACACTTCTGACCGCTTACGTGTGCAAAACCGGGGGACTAAAATTAAGAATATAGGTATAAAGACAGAGTCATATAGTCAAAATAACATGGTAAAGGCTATGGTATAGTAAAATTCCATTAAAAATCATTATGGGTGAATACACATAGACATATAAAGAGGAATAATAGACACTATAGACTCTAAAAGTGGGAAGGGTGGGAAAAGGCGAGGGCTGAAAAATTACCTATTGGGTGCAGTGTTCACTATTTGGGTGAAGGGTACCCTAGAAGCCCAAACCTCACCATTATACAATACATGTAACAAATCTGCACCCCCTGAACCCATAAAAATAAAAAATTATAAAAATAAAAAATCATTATGAGTAATGTAATTATTACTCTAGTATCTAACATTTCTAAATTATTTAAAGTGCTATTCACAATCATATATCTATATTTCATTAAAAATGAGAGTTTACAATAAAAGATACCTGAATTTACCATGAGACAGACCAGATTTTAGGATTTAAAAACTTTAGTATCCCAGCCTGGCCAACATGGCGAAGCCCCATCTCTACTAAAAATACAAAAAAAAATTAGCTGGGTGTGGTGGCGGGTGCCTGTAATCCCAGCTACTCGGGAGGCTGAAGCAGGAGAATCGCTTGAACCCAGGAGGTGGAAGTTGTGGTGAGCCAAGATTGCACCACTGCACTCCAGCCTGGGTGAGAGTGAGACTCTGTCTCAAAAAAAAAAAAAAAAAAAGTAAAAATAAATAAATAAACTCGGCTGGGCACAGTGGCTCATGCCTACAATCCCAGCACCTTGGGAGGCAGAGGTGAGCAGATCACCTGAGGTCGGGAGTTCGAGACCAGCCTGACCAACATGGAGAAACCCCGTCTCTACTAAAAATACAAAATTAGCAGGGTGTGGTGGCGCATGCCTATAATCCCAGCTACTCAGGAGGCTGAGGCAGGAGAATCGCTTGAACCCGGGAAGCAGAGGTTGTGGTGAGCCAAGATCATGCCACTGCACTCCAGCCTGGGCAATAGAGTGAAACTCCGTCTCAAATAAATAAATAAATAAATAAATAAATAAATAAACAAACAAACAAACAAACTTCAGTATCTATTTTTCTCAAAAACTGTATCTCTAGGAAACTCAAAGGTCTGAACTTAGGACTACAGGCTCTATCCTGCAGGCAATAGAGAGCAGTCAGAGGTTTCTCATTGCTTTTGTGCCACATCTAACATGGCCTAGGCTGGGTGTAGTGGCTCACATTTGTAACCCCAATACTTTGGGAGGCTGAGGCAGGAGGATTGCTTGAGGCCAGGAGTTCAAAAATAGTCTGGGCAACATAGTGAATCCCCATCTCTACAAAAAGAAAAACAAATAAATAAAAACATAACATGACCTAGACCAGAAGTCTCAAAGTGGTGGTCTATTAGGCAAATCTGGCCTGCCATTGAGTTTTATTTGGCATTGGCTCCCATAGTGTTTCAAAATTTTAACTAACAGTCAAAACTTTAAATTATGTTATTACACATAAAGATGTAGTTTTCTGCCTTCTCATGCAAATTCATTGGATGTAGCAACACTGAGCCTTCAGTCCCTGGGTGATTCTGATATGCAACTGGGTTTGGAAACCATGCTTTTCTCCTTTATACTTGATGGTAAGTGTGAGCAGCCATGCAATCATGGGCACACAAGGAGCTGTGGTTACACAGAAAATGTGACTCCAGGTACATTAAACTTGGGACTCAAATAGGAGGAACAGAACAAGGGCTCCTGGGTTGCCCTTAGATGCCAAAAGTCCAAATTGGATTTTATAAACATTGAAAAACCAAAGCACTATAATAGTATAGTAGGCAACTAGTGTAAGAGCATCTTTCTTGTGTTATAGTAGTAAGAATGCACTGATATGCCTTTTATTTTTATTTTTATTTTCATTTTTGAGATAGAGTCTCACGTTGTTGCCAAGGCTAGAGTGCAATGACACAATCTTGGCTCACTGCAACCTCCGCCTCCCCAGTTCAAGCGATTCTTCTGCCTCAGCCTCCCGAGTAGCTGGGACTACAGGTGCGCGCCACTATGCCTGGCTAATTTTTGTATTTTCAGTAGAGACGGGGTTTCACCATATTGGCCAGGCTGGTCTCGAACTCCTGACCTCATGATCTGCCTGCCTCAGCCTCCCAGTGTGTTGGGATTACAGGCGTGAGCCACCACGCCCAGCCAATATGCCTTTTATTAAGGTCATAAGTCACCTCTATCTTGTCAAAGCCAATGTGAATTTCCAATTGTCTGTCTTTATCTAATTAGAACCTTCAGTAACATATGACATAGATGATCTTCTCCTTGAAATTCTTTCATCTCTTGGTTTCCATGGCAACATATTCTTTTGGCTTTCTTTCTACTTTCAGGCTCCTCCTCCCCTGCTCAACCTCTAAGTTGAGGACTTTCTTCATTTTCCTTCTCTTCACTTTCTGTTCAGCCTTGACTAGTGATCTCGTTCAGACCTAAGCTTCAAATACCATCAACATATTGAATATTTCCATATTTCTAAGTACATATGTCCAGCTCTGACCTCTCCCATATGTGAACTTGCACATCCAACAATCTACTCAACACCTCCACTTGGATGTCTAATGTGCCCTTGGACACCTGCTCGTCTCTCATCTTTTCCAGCTTTGTCAATGGCACCATCATCTCCAGATACTCAGGACAAACCCTGAGAGGCAGACTTGGCTCCTCCCCTTCCCTCTCATCCGTCGGATCCCTCAGCAAAGCCCGCCTCCTATCCTGACCACCTCTACAACCTTGGTCCAAGTCACCATCATTTCTCACCTGGAACAAAAGCCTCCTAAATAATGTTCTCCCTTTCCTCTTCCATGGTCTAATCTCCATACTGTGGCCAAACAGAAAACTTTTAAATGTAAATGGGACTGTGTCTTGCCTGCCAAACAGATACCATTTACAATTAGAATAGAATTCAAACTTCTTACGGTCAGACTAGTATCTGTGACTCTCAACCATACCTGACCGTTAGAATCATTTAGGGGTGGTTTTTTTTTTTTTTTAACGATGCTCAAACCCCACATCAGACCAATTAAATCAGAATTTCTGACGCTAAACCTTGGGGATTGGTTTGAAGCTCTTCAGGTGATTCTAACGTGCAGCCATGATTGAGAACCACAGCTCTAGATACTCTGGCCCCAGCCACCTTCTCACTCATCTCCCACCTTGCTCATCAGGCCTGAGAATGTGTGTTTCAAATAAGTTCCCACGTGATGCTGATGCTGCAGGTCTGGGGATCGCCTCTGAGAACCACTGCTCTATCTCATTACCATGTTATCTTCTTCATGACGCTTACCACCATTTTAAATTTTCTGTTTATTTACTTAAAATTATGTGTCTGCCCCCAAGCCCAATAAAAGGTAAGCTCCATGAATACAGGGACTTTTCTTGTCCAGTACAGTATTCCCAGCACTAGAACAGTGCCTGGCACATGGTCAAAAGTGGGGGAGGTGCAGTCTTAAAGTATTTCATGGGAGCATTAAAAATATAGGAGGTATTTGAATACCCTAAAGATTGTCCTTAGAAGTTACCTGGGACTGGCGGGTGGGTGGTCTAGAACCTGATCCTCCACCATAAGCTGGGATTTCCAATGGACTCTCTGAAAAGTGAAGATCTTTCAAAGTTTTAGGGTCAGTTCTTTCACCTACCTGGACGTCTACAATGATATTAAAAACATTATTCTTTGAGCATCTGTAATTATACATAATCATACAAAGATATCTTCACAGCGGGAGACCTTTTAATAAAGAACCACTGTCACCACATTGCTTCCCTAGAAGTAACAATTATATAAAGAGCTCCCGCCACACACTCAATGCATTAGAAGTGAGAAAGAAAAAACAAGCCCAGACTGAGAAGATCATCTTCCCCGCTGCATTCTACAATATTCCACTTCAGGCTGGGAAAACAGACAGATCAATCCAGTTGCAAAGTTAGCAGGAAATATTATATCTCCCAAGAGCACACTGCAGCTGTAAATGTCGTTAGCAGCCCCCTCTTTGCATGCCTTGTCTTTCTTACTCACTGAGAAACCCTGTTCTCTTAAATCACAGATTATCAGAAACTTTGCTGTTTGAAATTCTCAGTAAGAACGAAACATTCAACTCTTGCCTGGGGAATCTAGGCCACTCTGACATAGAGAAGCAGCTTCAATGTCCAACCCTGGTGCAGAGATAATCATTTCTGAACACAGTGTTCCCCATGTATCTTTGTAGTTTCCAAGGCAACAGAACCCTGGGTCCCCTTCCTGATGCTGATACCCTGGGTCCATACCTGATGCTGATCCCTTCACACCCAGACCAGCTTCGCTTTGAGACTATCAAAACTCTGCTTTCATTTATATTTCACCCAAACTCCACCCTTCCCCCAAACCCTACAACTCCAGCATTTCCTCTGTTTGGTTAGATGCCCCCATGGCTCCCGGCAGTGGGTCAAGAAATCTAACTTGGTTGGACTGCTTGATCCTCCTTCATGATCTTAAGCTGTAAGCAAGGACGTCATTAAAATTCAAAGTACAGCATACTTTCCTGCCCCAGTGTTTCTTATTCCAACACTTCTCCAGACAAGAAAACATGCAACGAACATGCCATGAACCTCTTCGGTGGGTTCAGAATACAAAACCTTGTCTTTGTTCTGTCACATCATACCTGGAAACTTTCTAAGGTTAACATTCCAGCTGCGTTGATTTTCAGAGTTCTTATATTTTTTCTTTAGTTTTGATCCAACAAATCCATTTTTGAATTCCTAGGAATGAAGAGATTGCATATCAATCACTTGGTTATTCCCATGTGAGAATTAAAGCTGCATGATAGAGAAAGTGTCATGGTGTGCATTTCTTATTTGAAAGAGTTTATGGTCATTTGTACAAAGTGACCCCTGTTTCACTTTATTCTGGAAACATGCAGCTTTGTATCTGGACTGGGCTGCTCAGCTGGCAGCACATCTGGATGTAGCCCTCACCAGGTGAAGTGGCCAAGGCAGGAGGCAGGGAGCAGCACATGCAGGCAGGATGTTACAACTGTGGGAGTCTGGGTAACAACAGAGGGACCACCAAGTCCAGAGGGCAAAGGCAGGGTAGAGTCAGACCAAAATCAGACTTCTGCACACCACCTGCCCACACACAGTCCTTAAACACTCTTCTCTCTGGACTTTCTCCATGGACTTGGTCCCTCACACCTGATTCAAGCCTAAGCACTTGCTGACATATGTTGGCTTAGCCCCCGAAGGCGGCCCCTGCCCAGTGTAGATCCTTGCCTTGATCACACTTGAGTCCCACCCATGCCTGCATCTACCAACCTCCTCTCTAGCATCAGGTTCATGGTCAAGCTTAAGTGAAACCCCTATAAACTTCCTCTGTCAATCCCAACAACATCCCTGTGACCAAGACCTCTGGGTTGGCCGCCTTACTGTAGGCTAGCCCATCCTCTGGCCTAACTCCTTGAATCTTTCTTATCGATGCTCACACCCAGTGCCTGAAGCGTCACACATCCTTCTCAGATGGATCTAATTGACTCTTCACAGTGGGGAGGCTTTGCAGATATTTGGGAATAAAGATTTCAACATAAAAGAATTCTATGCCCACTGAGGACTTCTACTTAATGCATCTATTCAGCAAATACACACTCACCACCCTCTCCTGCCTGCTCCTGTGCAAGGCAATGAGTATGGCAACCATGCCACCTTGGAGCTTATAATGCATAGGCAAGATAAACAAGGAACAAAGTAATCACATGCTCAAAGCAGTTTATAAAAGAAGGCCTGGGTGCCAGGATAGCAGTGATAGGGCATAGCAAACACACTCCAGTTTGGTTGGAGTATATGTAGGGGGTTGACAGACCAGGAAAAGCTGACCAAGGGCAGAAACTGATGACTTGGATGGAAGGCTAAAGGTTTCTGGTTTTTTCAGTAGGTAAGAGAGAGCCACTGAAGACACTGGAGCATGGACCCCAATGCTCAGCAGGAACTCTCATCTTCAGGGTGGATAGGAGACTGACAAAAGGCTGAGAAATCAGTAAAGATGCTTTGCAATGGTTGATAATGACTTCAGTTATAAGGACCTGACTGTGAGCAGAGGTAAGGTAATAAAAGGCAAGATCTGCTCACTGAGAAAGAAGGAACCAAAATACAGTGACAATCTGAATGGATTATAGTTTCATTACTTGCCTGCCTTGAAGAATCTTTGAGAACATTTTCAACATTGTCTTCAGGAGAGACTATATTTGGTGGTTCATAGTCTACGTGAAACACCTTTGTCACAATGCCACTCTGTCTGCAGTCTCTGAAAATTATTATTAAGAAAGGAAAAAGTCTGTGTTACACAAAGATTTTTTAAAAAGTGGCTAACAAGATGATTTTATTAAAGTGCCTTAGTCTAGCTACTAAATTTATTGTATTTCAAATTGAAGAAATCAAATGTAATTTCTATAGTCTTTCCTGACCTCCTTCCTTTTGGGCTATTTACTGCTATGTAACAAACCACCCCAAAGGTAGTGCCTTAAAACATGAATCTGTGGATTCACGGTCCCCACTGGGTAGGTCTCATTTGAGCTCTTCCATGTGGCTGCCATCAAACATCAGCAAGGGCTGGAGTCAACTGAAGGCTCAACTGGGCTGGATGTTCAAAATGACTTCTCTCAAATATGCAAAGCCTGGGCTGGGGTAACTGGAACAGCTAGGGGCTCGCCACTCATCACTCTCACTCAATCTCCATCCCTCTGTCCCTCCCTCTCTCTCTCATGTGGTTAGCTTGGGCTTCCTCACAGTATGGAAGCCTCAGGTAGTCAGACTTCCTCCATAGTACCTGACTACCCCAATCCCCTGCCAGTGTTTTTGTCCCAAGAAACCAAAGCAGAAACTACAATACTTCTTGTGATCTCAGAAGCCCTTGGCATCATTTCTGAAACATTCTATTGGTCAAAAGCAAGTCACAACACCAGCAGAAAGGTTACAAAAGGGCATAAATTCTGGGAGGCATAGTTCATTGGGGGCCATTTTTGAAGACTATCTACCACATTCATCATAAAGATATCAGACCATAAGCCTCAAACTATTCTAAAACAAAAAATGTGTTGCCTAGGTCATTCCACATGAATCAAGAGCATTTTCCCTGTCTCAGCTGTAGACAGTGTAATATATGCTGCTCTGGTAGATTCTGTAACTCAAATACTATCATGTTTTCCATTCATTCATAATATTTCACAATTCATCTTGTTCTCTGATGCAGTAAGAGCTTCATAAGAAGACAATGTAGCCGTGCCCATGACTAAAAACTAGTGGTGATGTTATTTCACTACCAGTAGCTCACCTATACTCTATTTTTTAACAGCTTTATTGAGGTATAATTTACATGACATAAAATTCATCTATTTTAAGTTTCTGGTTCAACGGAATTCAGTCAATGTAATGTACACAATTTTGTGAGTATCACCACAGTGGAAATATTTAGGACATTTCCATCACCCAAAAGAATTCCCTTGTGCCTGTGTGCAGTCACTCCTATCCAACCTCCTAGGCAACCACTGATCTGTTTCCTATCTCTATAGTTTTGTCTTTTCTAGAAATTTAACATAAATGTAATTATACATATGTGGTCATCTTACGTGTCTGGATTTTTTATTTATTTGTTTTTTTTTGGAGACTCATCTATGTTGTTGTAACTCGTTCATTGTTATTGTTGAGTAGTATTCCATTTTATGGATATACCACAATTTTTATGTCCATTCCCCAGCTGATGGTCATTTGGATTATTTCTGGGTTTGGGCTATTATGTATAATGCTGCTATGAACATTCATGTATAAGTCTTTATGTGGACACGTTTTCATTTCTCTTCAATAGATACTGAGGAGTGGAATTGTTGGGTCATATGGCAGGTATGTGTTTAATTTTCAGAAACTGCCAAACTGTGGCTGTTCCATTTTACATTCCCACCAGCAGTAGCTGAGGGGTCCAGCTTCTCCACATACTTGCTGACACTTCATATTGTCAGCCTTGTTGATGACCTGTACTCTTGATCATGTTCTCTGTAGGTATTTGCTTGATACTTGTCCCTTGTCTATCAAGATATAGGCTTGGTCGTTGTAACACAGAATCAAAACAATAGTGGCTTTATGGCAGGGCACGGTGGCTCACTCCTGTAATCCCAGCACTTTGGGAGGCCAAGGCAGGCGAATCACTTGAGGCCAGGAGTTCACGACCAGCCTGGCCAACATAGCAAAACCCCATCTCTACCAAAAGTACAAAAAATTAGCTGGGTTGTGGTGGTGCACACCTGTAATCCCAGCTACTCAGGAGGCTGAGGCACAAGAATTGCTTGAACCCACGAGGCGGAGGTTGCAGTGACCCAAGATCACACCACTACACTCCAGTCTGGGTGACACAGCGAGACCCTGTCTCAAAAAACAAATGAACAAACAAACAAACAAACAGAGGCTTAAACAAGACAGAAGTAATAGGGTATAAGCAGTCTAGAGCTAGGTATAGGGGTGTCATGGTGACAGAAGCACGATAGCAAGTTTCTACTTGGTTACTCCATCATTTCTATGACATTGCGTTTATCCTCATGGCCCAACCTGACTGGCCAACCACATCTACATTCCAGCCAATTGGAAGCAAAGCCCACCCTTTCTCTTTAAAGGTACAATCTTAAAGTTGAACACATCACTTCTACATGTATCCACTGGCCACAGCCTGGTACACATCTCTAACTAGCTGCAACGGGGATTGGGAAATATCTTCTAGGCAACCATGTGCCTGGCTAAAAATCATGGGCCCTATTATTAAAGGGAAAAACAGATATTGGGGGACATCCAGCAGCCTCTGCCACATCATCATGACCACGCTTGGCGAATTTATTTGATGTGTTTAACTCTCACCCCTCCTCATACGCATTGAAAGCTCACCTTTCCTATGCTGTCCTTTCCATGTGATTATGGCTCAAAAGTTACCGCAGCCAGTGTTTCTATTTGACCTGGCCAGACTCTTAATACTTTTTATATTTCCAATTATCTTCTTTCTTCAGTGTTCTTTGTCTGCTTTGCCCTTACTGATTTTCATATGATCTTTAATACACATTGTCTGGCTCATTAGCATTTCTTCAGCAACTGCTCAGATTTCTTACATGCTCAACTTTTATATTTCTTAAAATTTTTGAACCTTGAAGCAAATAAGTATCCCTGGATCTTAGGGCGGAAGATTTATGAATCTTTAAATCTGGTTTTGTTGTTTTTTTTAAAGAAGAGATTTAAACAGGGAAATTTAGCCACCTATGAGTCACTCCAGCCAGTGAACATGCAAGTGTCTTCTGATCACAGAAAGCTGAGATGTTATTTCTAAATACTGTCACTCACAGATAGGTAGTGGCTATTTAGATGAATTGTGTATTTCTTAGAATTTTTTTCTCCATCTTCAAGAAAGTTAGCTTAAAACTTCTATGTTGTTTAATGTTAAACAGATTCATAAATCTGGTTACAGATATAGATGATCTTTTAGATGAACCACTTCCTTAACTTATTCGCCTCAGCATCCATCTCATCTGTATGTTCACCTTTGGCCCCAGGCCTGTCATTCAAGATCCAATTGTCCTTCCTGTTAACACACACTTCCCAGGCATCACAAGCCTCTCCATCCAGGGATCACCTGAATCTTGGATGGTCTTGATGCTCCCAGAACGCACACTTACAACCCCACATGAGGTCACATGAGTAGAGGCCTGGCTCATATCCACCTATTCTACCCCCTAAGATCCAGGTTGTTTCCCCCACCCCAGCTGGCCCTTCCTTGGGGAACCAGCTAAGGCATTCACCTTTTGAGTTGAAAACTCAAACGTTTTTAAATAAATATTTTCCCTAAGCTGAGCACATCTGAAATACTAACAGTACCTTTCAGAATAGACACTTAGTGGACACAGAGCAGAATGGTGAGAGGCATAAAGAATGACCTTATTTTTTACTCTCTCTTGAAAGCCTTATTAACTCCTTCAAACTGCATAGTCAGTCATTAAATTGCCTCTTCATTTTACTACTACTTGCAGCTTCTAAGGAGGCCTGCTTTACAGCATTTGGCCACCAGAGTATTGAGGTTCTTAATTTTTAATAATTGAGATGACTTACCTTGATAGAAGTGGCCTGGCAAGTGTGACAACATTTTATAAAGAATAATAACGTGCATATACTCCATTTGCAGCACACACTTTAAAACAATAATAATGTGCATAAAGGGGTTGTTTTGTTTCATTTTATTTGTTATAATTTTCAGATGCCAAGGCAATCATGTTTGCTGTGGAATGTGCAGCTCTCCTCAAAAAGCCATGCAGTAATTCAGTCAGTGGGGGGTGGGGCTAGAGTCCTTTAAAGTACCTGGGCCAGCCAGGTACTGCATTTGGTTTGGGGCTTTTAAATGTTCCCAAAATGTGGCCAAACCTGCATTGCTGGAAAAATAATTCCTATATCACAGCCACACAGAATTGCAAGGATTTGAGGTTTTTTTTTGTTTTGTTTTGTTTTTTGCCTACAACACATGGTGAAGGTTGCCAAATTAAATAGTGTTTCTATATTTGAAAATGGGAAAAAGTCATTAAGAAAAAAAAGGATAAAGAAAAAAGTATGGTAGCTAATGTCCAACAAGTTGAAATGACAGTAGCTTTGAAGGCCAATTAAGTCGATACAAAACGAAATCGAGAATGACGGCGGTGGTTGTAGGCTGCATCCTGGGGAATAAAAGAGCCACTCCGCGAACACAGTATTTTCTTCAGAGCAAGATGGAGCTCTTTAGAGACCCCCGGCCCTGGAAAGGATCTTCCTTCCTGAAACCCCAATGTGGAATTTAAAATAAAAACAGTATTAATATACATAACACTTCACTGAGCTGTATACTTATGATTTCTGCACCTTACGGTATGCCTCAATGAAAGGCAAGTAAAACACAAATGTTACATACATATGCTGAAATTAAAATAATGTTTCAGTAGTGTCCTTCTAATGCAGCACTGATTCTGATAGGAAAAAATGAATAAAATTAGAACATAATGTTATTATATCATAAATTAAATTAATCACCATGCTCTTAACTTACTTAGAGACAGCAATAGCTTTAACTTGTATTTTTCCATCAGGCAGAGTAATAGGTTTTATATACTTAAATGTGTTATTTTCCCCATAACCAATTCTCTTTAGAAATTCAGGTTTGCTGCCATCCAGAGTATAATATATGTTGACATCTGGAGTGTCTGAAAAATCCAAAACAGGATAACTATAATTAACACCAAAGTAGCAAGTCCCTGAATAATGCCTATAGGTCAGTTTAAGATCTAAGTGTGTGATTTAAGATTTAAAGTTGTGATTTAAGTTAAGATTTAAAGTTGTGACTTAGGACAGGCATGTGGCTCACGCCTGTAATCCCAGCACTTTGGGAGGCCGAGGCGGGCGGATCACGAGGTCAGGAGTTCGAGACCATCCTGGCTAACATGGTGAAACCCCATCTCTACTAAAAATACAAAAAATTAGCCGGGCGTGGTGGCAGGCGCCTGTAGTCCCAGCTACTCAGGAGGCTGAGGCAGGAAAATTGCCAGAAACCGGGACGCAGAACTTGCAGTGAGCTGAGATTGCGCCACTGCACTCCAGCCTGGGCAACAGAGCGAGACTCCGTCTCAAAAAAAAAAAAAAGTTGTGATTTAAGATTGTGTTAATCTCCTTAAATAACTGATCTATAGGTTATTATATATACATAATGGAAATGAATAGTAATAGCAATAATGCAGTTCTTTCTCTGTACCAGCATTGTGCTTTACTTGAATGAGCTCATTTCATCTGTACAACCCTATGAGGTAGGTCCTATTTTACACCCATCTTATAGATGAGATAACTGAGTCCCAGAGAGATTAATAAAGTTGCTAAATAATAGAGGAGTTGTGATTTGACTTCTGCTAGGTTGGATACATAGCCCCTGCTCTTGAACCACTATGCTCTTTTGCCTCTCCAACAGGGCACTGACACAAACATGATTCAAGATTCAAAAGGTCAAAAAGGGTATACAGTGAAAAGTCTCCCCCAACCCACGACACCAGCTTCCCAGAGGTTATCAATGGTATCTTCAGTAACCTTCAAAAATATTTTATATCCATACAAGCATCTATGTACATATTCTTATTTCTCCCTCTCTTTTGACACAAATGATGGCATACTGTACCCTGTTCCACATATTTCTTTTTTCATTTATCAGTATGTCTTATATTGGTACATAAAGAGCTCCCTAGGAAATAAATTTAAATTTTTTTAAAAAAAGAGCTTCCTCATTATTTGTTATAGCTGCACCACATTCTCTTATATAGATGAACAATAATTTAACCAATTCCCTACACATGGATCTTTAGGCTGTCTTCTTTTTTCCTTTTCTTTGTTTCTTTTGCAATTATAAGCACTATAATAAATAATTTTGTAAAGAATTATTTCTGTAAATATATGGGCAAGACAAATATGTAGAACTAGTTACTGCTGAGTCAAAAGATACATGCATTTGTAATCTTTTTTTTTTTTTTTTGAGACGGAGTTTCACTCCTGTCATCCTGACTGGAGTGCAGTGGTGCGATCTTAGCTCACTGCAACCTCTGCCTCCCGAGTTCAAGCGATTCTCCTGCCTGAACCTCTTGAGTAGCTAGGATTACAAGCACCCACCACCACGCCCAGCTAATTTTTGTATTTTTAGTAGAGACGGGGTTTTGCCATGTTGGCCAAGGTGGTCTCGAACTCCTGACCTCAGGTGATCTGCCCACCTCAGCCTCCCAAAGTGCTGGGATTACAGGTGTGAGCCACCATGCCCTGCCAGCATTTGTAATCTTGATTAATATTTCCAAACTGCCCTCCATGGATGGTTAAGCAATTTACACTGCCACCAGCAATGCATGAAAACACCTATTTGACCACAATCTTCCTCATCTAGTGTGTTATCCATTTTTCTTTTAGTTTTCCTAATTTCCTAGGTTAAAAAAAATACTATCTTGTAGTTTCAATTCATCTTTCTTGCATTTTGAGTAAAACTCACTAATTCATTACAATGAATGTTTGCTGAATACCTATTATGTACCAGACATCATTCTAGGTATAGGGGATATGCAAAAGTATATCTTAGGGGCTCCTTGCATATCCCCTGTACCTAGAATGGTCCCTGCTCTCATGGAGATTATGTTTTAGGAAGGACACTGAAACAGTAAACAACCAAGGAAATGTAGTTTGTCAGGTGGTGATTAAGTGCTTGGAGGTGAAGCAGGGATAAGTTCTGCTCAGCAAGCAGACGAAGGGGCAGAGAGAAGCGTAAGGAGAAGAAATATTTTCATATGTTTAAGAGACCTTTATATTTCCTTTCCTACAAAATGTCTTTTCATTATTTCTCAAAAGAAGATATACAAGTGGCCAACACACACATGAAAAAATGCTCATCATCACTAATCATCAAAGAGATGCAAATCAAAACCACAGTGAGACACCATCTCACACCAGTCAGAATGGCCTTTGTTAAAAAGTCAAAAACTAACAGATGTTGCAGAGAAAAGGGACACTTATACACTATTGGCAGGGATGTAAGTTAATTCAGCCACTGTGGAAAGCAGCTTGGAAATTTCTCAAAGAAATAAGAGTTGAGGCCGGGCGCGGTGGTTCACATCTGTAATCCCAGCACTTTGGGAGGCCCAGGCAGGCAGATTAAAAATACAAAAATTAGCTGGGCATGGTGGCACACAACTGTAATCCCAGCTACTCCGAAGACTGAGGCATGAAAATCACCTGAACCCAGGAGGCGGAGGTTGCAGTGACCCAAGATTGCATCACTGCACTCCAGCCTGGGTGACAAAGTAAGACTCGGTCTTAAAAAAAAAAAAAAAAAAAAAAGAAAGAAATAAGAGTTGAAATACCATTCAAGCTAGCAATCCCATTACTGGGTATGTACCCAAAGGAAAATAAATTGTTCTACCAAAAGGACACATGTACCCATATGTTCCTTACAGCACTATTCATAATAGCAAAGACATGAAACCAACCTAGGTGCCCACCAATGGTGAAATGGACAAAGAAAATGTGGTACATACACACCATGGAATACTATGCAGTGATAAAAAAGAATGAAATCATGTCCTCTGCAGCAAATGGATATAGTTGGAGGTCATAATCCTAAGCGAATTAACACAGGAACAGAAAACGAAATACCACGTGTTCTCACTTATAAATGGGAGCTAAACATTAGGTACAAATGGACATAAAGATGGGAACAATAGACACTGGGGACTACCAGAGGGTGGGGAGGGCTGAAAACCTACAGCAATGCTTGCTACCTGGGTTATGGCCTCAATCATACCCCAAACCTCAGCACCACACAATATACCCAGGTAGGAAACCTGCACATGTACCCCCAAGCCTAAAATAAAAGTTGTAAAAGAAAAAACAAAAAAAAGGTCTTTTCATATCCTTTGCCCATTTTTCTTCTGGGTTACTGTTCTTTTTGTTACTGAATTGTGAAAACTATTTATTTATTTGATATTTACATA
Source organism: Homo sapiens (assembly GCF_000001405.40). NCBI lineage: Eukaryota > Metazoa > Chordata > Mammalia > Primates > Hominidae > Homo > Homo sapiens. Next base: position 18,463,613 of record NC_000020.11, read on the forward strand.
TTAGGGAATTTTGATACCCTACCATTCATATCATCTTTTGTCAATAGTCACCCAACTTCTCCTAAGAATTATGGGCACATACATTAAAATGTTTAATTTGGTTTGACAGTTTAAAAAATTGTATCAGCTTTTAAGCTAAAGGAGAACACAGATAATAATACATATGCTTAGTTAGAACTCTTGGTCTAAGCAGCACAGGGGTCATAACATAAATGCAGATAGTTTGTACACATTTCAGTTATTAAAATATATAATTGGTTAAAAAAAGGCAAAAATTGGAATTTCAAAGTCTTTTTTACACATCTATTTGTTCATATGTTTTACCTGTGAAACTTTCCTTCCTTATGTTAATTATATATGTGTATGTATATATATGTGTATGTGTAGATATACACACATATTTAAGATTTTGAAGAATACGTATTAGCAGGATATACATTCACTGCTTTATTTCTTTTTTCTTTTTCTTTTTTTTTTTTGAGATGGAGTCTTGTTCTGTCTCCCAGGCTGGAGTACAGTGGCGCCATCTCGGCTCACTGCAACCTCCGCCTCCTGGCTTCAAGCAATTCTCCTGCCTCAGCCTCCCGAGTAGCTGGGATTACAGGCATTGGCCACCATGCCTGGCTAATCTTGTATTTTTAGTAGAGACAGGAGGCTGGTCTCAAGCTCCTGACCTCAGGTGATCCACCTGCCTCAGCCTCCCAAAGTGCTGGGATTACAGGCGTGAGCCACCAGGCCTGGCCCTCACTGCTTTATTTCTGTAGTTAGAGTTGAGATTTATTTTCACATTACTATATGCCAAACCCTGTGCACCTCATACATACACGAACCTATTTATCCTCACAATGGCTCTAAGAAGTAGATATTATTATTCCTGTCTTACAGTGAGGTAACAGACTCAAAAAGGCTAAGTAATGTACCCAAGGTCACTAGAAGTTGTCAAGGCAGGGATTAAGTCTCCAACCTGTCTGACTGGAAAGCCTGTATCAGTAGGTCAAATTTATTATACCAGCTAAATAATGAGCATATTGGAAAAGTTTGGGGAGCACCGGGACTTTTTTTTTTTTTTTTTTTTTTTTTTGAGACGGAGTCTTGCTCTGTTGCCTAGGCTGGAGTGCACTGGCGCGATCTCGGCTCACTGCAACCTCCATCACCCAGGTTCAAGCAATTCTCCTGCCTCAACCTCCTGAGTTGCTAGGATTACAGGTGCCCACCACCATGTCTGGCTAATTTTTGTATTTTTAGTAAGACAGAGTTTTGCCATGTTGGCCAGGCTGGTCTTGAACTCCTGACCTCAAGTGATCCACCTGCCTCGGCCTGCCAAAGTTCTGGGATTACTGGTGTGAACCACCGCACCCGGCCAGCACCGGGACATCTTACCTTGGCTAAGGTAAGTCAAGACATTGCTGAAACTATACAAATGAAAGGTTGGTCAAAGCTAACCATTTTAATCTAAATGTATACCACTCTATAAACCATCAATGTACAGCACTGTTTCAAATTTTAGAAGTTTTACAAATTTCCCAAAAAGCTGAGCAAAGAGTGAGAAAGCAGGCAAAGAGATAAACCAGCAACCAGATAACACAAGAAATATGACAATGTTATTTTAAACAATTTCAAACATATGTGATTCTTACCTGATTTCATTTCCAAAAGCGTATTGTTATCAATTTCATGGTTAGCTTTTCCAGGCTGAGGCACTCGTAATGGTATGATCTGAGGGACACACACTGAACCAGCAGTCATTTTCTCTCTCTCTCTCTCTCTCTATATATATATACATATAAATTCCAATGTACACAAAAGCTGAAGAGCAGCACTTAATTTAAATGCAGCAAAACTAGTTAAAACGAGAGAATACTGTTAACATGGCACTACAAATATTATTCCCTTTTTAATTGAAATAATAATTACATTTCATCTGTATTTGCTGTTGAGGTCTTGTGTGGGGTTTTGATTATCTAAATACCTCACTTCTGCGAAAGGAGCATGAATGAATGAGATGGGGAAAAGAAAGAAGTTACTTTAAAAGGACAAATTAAATGAGTAAGGCAAAACAGAGACTATCACTAACGCTCTGACTTGAGTTCCCTGTAAATCATTATCGCCTTTTCCTGCCTCTGGTGTGTGTCAGCTCTCTTGGCTTCAGGGCAAGTCATCATACAAGGGGAACAGAAGTAATTCTGTGTGTACCACAAAATGTTAGTTAGAGCTAACTTTTTTGGGAAAGCTCCGGGTTCACAGCCTTGCCATTATCACCAGAGCAGTTCTAGTATTTGAAAGCTGCAAAGACACTTTAGAAGGACTGCAGAGTACTACTTCTCAGTGGAAAGGAAGTTTGCAAGAATATAAACAGTGACCAATAAACACAAGCCTCCCGTTTCATCTACTGTATTTATAAATCCTGGTATTAATAATTAACTACCAGTATGAAAGCCTTACTGGTCTTTTTGGAGGTGAGGGTGGGGAGGAAGGTTGTCATAATTAATGCACAGAAGGTTTCAGGGGGAAAAAACGCTCACCTTAACACAACAACCATTTACATCTCTGTATTGCCTTTTCAAATTTCATTAATAATCCATAGATTTTGCCCAATTATAATCTACATATTCATTCCATTTTTATAGTCTACTTCTTGCATTCTCACTGTATTATTTAGTTTTCCCTGTACTTATTTATCCATTTGTGGCTGGGCATTTAGGCTATTTCTAGTTTCTTTTTAGTTTTGCCTGTTGCAGTTCTAATAATGCTGATCTGAACATGTCTGCAGTTTGAGCTTTGTCACAGACTGTATTCTCAAAAATGGGGTACCTAAATTTAAGGGGTGAACTTAATGCCTTGTTGGATAGTTCCGGATCTAGGGCCAAGAATATAAACTACAGATACTGACAGCACAACAATAGCTCCTACGGGAGTGTGGCTGGACTTGAGACTTGCCCATAGTCGCATTTCCATTTAAGTGAAAGGCAGATAAAATAAAAGTAGTTGAAAAATTCTAAATAAAAAATATGTAGGAGAGGAAGTAATTCGCGAGCGTCAACTAGCAGCTGCCCTTAGGAAGCTGGGGTGGCCAGTGGGCCCCACGCAAAGGGAATCAAGAAAAAAGGCGGATCCGCCAGGCCCAAATGGCAACGTGCAGTCAACAGGATCCCCAGACCCCTCAACTCTCCCAACGTGGACCGCCCCCTCGCAGCCCGGATCCGGAATCCCGTTTGGTTGTTCCCGCCCATCAGGGGCTGCCAAGGACACCTGCATCCTTTCGGCTGGAGTAAGGGAAGCTCTTCCCCTCCTCTAGCCGCCCTCCTCTTCCTCTAACCGCGGGGCCCGGGATCGGGACCCCTAATGCATCTCTGCCGCGCCCAACCCAGTCGCCAGCCTCTCACCGCCTCTTGCCTCCTCCTTCGCCGCCGCCCGGGTTACCACAGACGCGGCGAGCCGCGCCCCGCCCACTGGGTGCTGGGCAGATGATTGGTGGAGACTCAGCTTCTTAGCAACTAGACCGGCCCCTGCCGCTCCGCAGGGAGCCTGGTACCCGCCTGGAGTTCCTTTCCCAGTGCTTTCCCATAGGCATCTAAGAATATTCCTTCACAGAGTTGCCAAGTGCTAAAAGTTGGTTTCCCAACTCAGAATGAAGGAACCAGGCTTGTGCGTCCGATGGGCATTGACATTCTGGAAAACAAGAATAAGAAGCTGTAGCGGCGCCTGTAAGTGGGCCGGAGCAGGCGCAGCTTGGCCACCTCCCGCCGAAAGGCAAGGAAGGACCGGCTGCGACACGAGGAAGAAGGCCCCTCGGCCTCAGCAGAGCGCTATCCTCCACTGGTTCCCCGGGTTCCCCGGCTTGCTACCGGGCTGCTCCGTGCATCTTTCCCCCCAGGCGTCAGGAACTGCGCCCTCATGGCGGAGGTGAAGGTGAAGGTGCAGCCGCCTGACGCGGATCCGGTCGAAATAGAAAACAGGTAAACCAGTGAGGCTCCGGCTTGGCACTCCATCAGGCGCCCAGTCATTTGGGCAGCTGGACCCCTTCTCCGGGATCCCTTGGGAGTGGCCGGAGCGGGTTAGGTGAGCACGCGGGAAAAACGATTGCGGGGTTCTGGACCCACTTGTTCCTTCCCATCCTGGGAGAGCAGAACTCAAGAAGTTCAAAATGGGTTTGACAGCTTGCAACTTTGTGTAGCTGGCTGGCTTTGCCCTGATACTTTTGGGGAAGTTGTGATGACGTGCTGCCTTCCTACTTTGACGCGATCAGTGCTTTGAGAGGAGCCCTCGGCTTTCTTTCCCTGTAGAACACTTGTGAATACATGTTCTGATCCAGGATCGCTCTTGTCACTAAGGGAACGTCTATGACAAAACGTTTAGGCGGAGTTAGGGCGCAGTTGGTGATTACGAAGTAACATTAAGCCAGGTGGTTTCAGTGCAGTATTGAACTCAAGACTTTTAGGACACCCAAAGCCTCTGCCACTTTTATTTTTATTTGTTTGTTTGTGAGACAGAGTCTCGCTCTGTCGCCAGGCTGGAGTGCAGTGGCGCGATCTCGGTTCACTGCAATCTCCGCCTCCCGGGTTCAAGCGATTCCCCTGCCTTAGCCTCCCGAGTAGCTGGGACTACAGGCTCGCGCCACCACGCCCAGCTAATTTTTTATGTTTTAGTAGAGACGGGGTTTCACCATGTTGTCTGGGATGGTCTCGATCTCCTGACCTCGTGATCCGCCCGCCTCGGCCTCCCAAAGTGCTGGGATTACAGGCGTGAGCCACCGCGCCCGGCCCAGTTTTATATTTTACCGAGGCACTGCCACTCTTAGATTTTCACGTAGTTTTAAAAGACTCAACTTTCTCAGACTGTTAGGAATAATACATTTGTTGATGTCGACTAGGTGAAGATTTTGACTTTTTTTGTTTGGTAGGTATAATTCCAAAAACAGGCCCCATTATGGTGAATTGTCATAACAAATTTTGGCTTCCTACCAGAAACATCTGCATTTGCCTCCTGCTTGCAGATTTATGGCTTAACTTTGTCATGCTTATTACACCCGAGAAAACTGAAGTCTCAGCTTTAATATTTTTTCTGTGATTTCATTAGACTTTTGCTCTAATTTAAAGTTCTTATTAGTGAGGAAAAGAAATATTCTTAAATAACAATAATACTGTAAACATGTATTTAGAAATCATCTTCTTCAATTTCTAACATGCTTTGATCCAAAACCATCACAGAAACCCAGATTGTCTGCCAAATGTGAAAAAGGCACAGTTTCAAACTATTCTACTTGTATTTTTACCCCCACTGTCTCTTGAAACAGGTAACCATGAAGGATAACATTAATACCTTTGTTTCTAGGATTATAGAATTATGTCACCAGTTCCCTCATGGAATCACAGACCAAGTAATTCAGAATGAAATGCCTCATATAGAAGCCCAGCAGCGGGCAGTAGCCATCAATAGGTTGTTGTCTATGGTAAGGTGAATCTAACTATTTTGCATAATTACTGATATGCTGATTATCACTGGTTTTTATTATGTAGTTGTGATGGTTAATTTCATGTCAACTTGACTAAGATACAGGATTCCTACATATCTAGTTAAATATTTTATTGGAGTGTCTGTGTGGGTGTTTCTGAAAGAGGTTAGCATTTTGAATTGGTGAACGGAGTAAAGTAGATATGGGTCCAGTTGGGTGAGCATCATCCAATCCATTCAGGGCCTAAATAGAACAAAGTGGCAGAGGAAGATTGAATTCACTCTTTGAATTCAATCTTGAGCTGGGCTATGAATCTTGTGCCCTCAGCACTCCTGGTTCTCAGACCTTCAGACTTGGACTGGTATCTACACCATCAGCTCTCTGCTCTCAGCCCTTTGATCTGCAACACCAGCTTTCCTGGGTCTCCAGCTTGCAGAGGGCAGATGATGGGACTCCTCAGCCTCCATAATCACAGAGCAAATAGCTTCTGATGAATCTTTCAAGAGGGAGGTGTATCCTATTGGTTCTTTTTCTCTGGAGAACCCTAATACAGCAGTCATAAAACGAGAAAGTGTGTTAGGTTTGACTGATAAGACTCTAAACCAGGAAACAGCTCAAACTACCTGAATTGAAAAAAGAAGAAATAATTATGCGTTATAAGACAAATGAAATAAATGTATTATGGTATAACTGTTGTATTTATTAATTGCCACTGCCATACATAGGTCTAGTCTGTTCTCACCTTCTGTTTGCTTCCTACTGCTGGTGTTGGGCCATTTCCCATAAAATATTCCACCCCCCGATTTTCCTATGAGTTGTCACAGAGCCCAGTCATCAGGGTTTCATTCTCCACATTGTCACTCTGAGCATTTCAGGAAGCAAGAATGAGTCCAGTTGAATGAAGAATGTTGGGCTTTGGGGAGGAAGTGCAGCCTTAGCCCCCAGTGACATTGCAATGGAATTTATCAGTGAAGCCATTCTCCATCTGTCCAGAAACAAACAAGCAAGACTGTCTAAAAACCCACCAAGTGGTGCCGATGCTCTAAATCTCCCTTACTTTCCCTCATCACCAAAACATCCTTTTCCTAAGAGCATTTCAGTTTGGCTTTAGTAGCAGTTAGGTTAAAGAGTTCTACGCCAAGGCCTCATCTGAATGACTGATTTGTTTTTTAAGTCTACTAGCCTTGTTGGATTTCCAAGGGCTCTGGATGTGGAGATTTGGGGTCCGATGAATCTTTTCTTAAACCTTTCCCATCAATTTTCTAGCTCAGGAGTTGGCAAACTTTTTCTATAAAGTGCCAGACAGTATATGTTTTAGGCTTTGTGAGCCATATGATTTCTGTCACAACTACACTGTCATTTTAGCAAGAAGCAGCCATGGATGATGATACATAAACAAATGGCTACAGCCATGTTCCAACAAAACTTTGGTTATAAAAACAAGCTGTGGAGCAGATTGCTCACCCCTGTTCTAGCCCAAGGACAAAGGAATGTTGCTGATTTCTAGTTATTTCACTGTGGTGAAGGTCTTCAGCTCTAGGAAAGACAGAGGAAGGGATTCTGGGAGGTTGTAGCAGTGGAAAAAGTTCTTTTCTTCCTCTGATCGCCCTCTCAGCTCTTTCCTTCTGACTGAAAATCATCTTCAGCACCTCTCTTTTACCACCTCTGCCACCACCCACCCACTGCGAGTCCTATTGGCTATAGGTTGTATGCAGGCAGTAGTAGAGCTATCAAAGGATATTAAGAAAGGGAGTGATTATTAATAAATCATGTAATGTTTCTGATTTTAGCTCTTAAAAACAGTTCTTAAATTTGCTGTCCACACCCCCTCCATTTCTATCCCTGGTACTGCATCATGTTCAGGCTCATGGCTTTTACCTGGACAGCTGCAGTAGCATCTTAACTGGTTTCCATGACTCCATCTGTCTCAGAGAAGCCAGCCTGATTTGGGATTACAGTCATGAGCCACCGAGCCTGGCCCCTGATCTGTCTTAAATGCAGGTCTGACCAAGGCACTCTACCACCTACAATTTGTTTATACTGGAGATTCAAGTTCAAACTCCTGGGTTTCCCACACTGAGTCCCTGCATTGTTCACCAGCCTCATCTCCACCACTCTACTTCAAAAGTTAGGTTTCAGGAGGAGCAGATTGTTTTTGGTTTCTGGCCACATCATGCTGTTTCGTGCCACAGGACTCATGTTGTTCCCCTGCTTAGAAGGTTCTTCTTATTCTTTACAGATGACTAACGCATTAGGACTCAACTCTGCCATTGTCTCCAGGAAGTCACTGAACCCCCCCAGGTTGGGCCGCAGCCTGTTCTCCGAGTACCCAATCTGGGAGTTCAGGGTGGCTTTACTTACCTCTATCTTAATGCCAACCAGATGGGTATTGAAGTCACCTGTGTGTTTCCCTTTTAGAATTAATGTTGTTCCCCCAAACACCTATCATAACACCTGGCACAGTACAAGTATTCAGTAAATATTCATAAGCTGGATAAATGACCAGAGCCTCTGGATTGGGCCTTGTAGTCCTACTTTGCCACTTCGTGGGGTCAGGGAACAGGAGTGTGTCACTGTTCATTCAGTATGTAAATCCATTTCCAAGTCATGAGTGTCTGTTTTAAAACAAGGGAATGGGCTGGGCACAGTGGCTCCTGCCAGTAATCCCAGCACTTTGGGAGGCCGAGGTAGGCGGATCACTAGAGGCCAGGAGTTCAAGATCAGCCTGGCCAACATGGCCTAACCCTATCTCTACTAAAATACAAATATCAGCGTGGCATGGTGGCATACACCTGTAATGCTAGCTACTTGGGAGGCTGAGGCACGAGAATCGCATGAACCCGGGAGGCAGAGGTTGCAGTGAGCCGAGATTGTGCCACGGCACACCAGCCTGGGTGACAGAGTGAGACTCTGTCTCTAAATAAATACATAAATAAACAAGGGAATAGCGTCCCTCTCAACTGTGGCTTTCTAGTACTTCCAGAGCCTAGTGGTATAATTATCTGGGTTCTCTTAAGTTCGGACCCAAGGAAATTCAGGAGCATGACAGACATACTTTATTTTACTTTTGATTTGCTATATAAAAACAATACTACTCTAGTCCTTTTATTCATTGGCTGACTTCAGTAAATGTCACTGTTAACTTTTTTTGTTTTTTGTTTTGTTTGTTTTTTGCTTTTCAAGATGGAGTCTTGCTCTGTTGCCCAGGCTGGAGTGCAGTGGTGCGATCTCAGCTCAGCCTTCCATGTAGCCGGGACTACAGGCGCATGCCACTGCACCTGGCTAATTTTTGTATTTTTAGTAGAGACAGGTTTTCGCCATGTTAGCCAGGCTGGTCTCAAACTCTTGACCTCAAATGGACCACCTGCCTTGACCTCCCAAAGTGCTGAGATTACAGGTGTGAGCCACCACGCCCAGCCATTAACTTTATAAATTTTATTTTTCACTGTGCAACAGAATATGCCTATTTAGTCTTTATTTCAACTTTTTATTTATATAAATTATATTTTTATTTTATATATGTAATTTGGATTTATATTGATTTTTAATATAGATTGTTATTCTCAAGCTGCTTTTTAAAAATTCTTTATGCATTGATCATATAACCAAGCCAAGATCTAGCCTACAGGAAATTGTTAGTGATATTTTGAAAAATTTTGAGATTAAAGAGCAGGTTTTGAAAAATTAAGAATGTTAAAGAATGCATCAACATTTGTCATTTGATTTAACATATCTCCAAAATAACTGACTCCTGTTTTCTACTGTCTTAAAAACTAGGGTCAGTTGGATCTCTTAAGGAGCAATACGGGCCTTTTATATAGAATAAAGGACTCTCAGAATGCTGGGTAAGTACTTGTTTTTTTAATTTTAAGAAAATGTTTATTATTTGCAAACGTATGTGTTGGGAATAAAGCTAATACAAAATTACATAAACCTGTCCTGTGTATCATCCCTGCCTCCTATGATATATTCCATTTCCCAGAGGTAACTGCTCTTAATAATTTAGTGTATATCCTTTCTTCTAGCTATATATAAATACACATAGATGATTATATATTTATATATAATCTTTCTCTTTTTTTTTTAACAAAAATGGAATCATGCTATCCATTCTGTTTTGCAATTTGTTTTTTTCACTTACTGTATCTTGGACATCTTTTCATGTTGGTACACACAGCTCTGTCTCATTCTATTTAAGGTAAGCCTTTCTTTTGGTAAATATGTCACTGTGGTGACCTTGTCTGCTAATTTTGTTTAAGTAGTGATGTAGATTATTAGATTATCCTATAGTCCTTACCTTACTAATTTTACTTTATTCCACTACAGTAAAATGAAGGGATCCGATAACCAAGAAAAACTAGTATATCAAATCATAGAGGATGCAGGAAATAAAGGTAAGCATGTGAAAGATGAAGCAGAAAAAAACATTGTCTTTGGAACTAGATATAGGGACCCAGATCTCAGCTTCCCAGGGTAGAACTCAGTGGACAGAGTATACTGAGGAAGGTAATAGAACATACAAATATAACATGCATGTGCTTGAAGGACACCCAAGAGTAAGGCCGTTGTTGCCTTGAAAGAGACAAGAACTAAAGGGCTGTGTCCAGGGATGGAAAAAGACGTCTGAATTCTGAGTCACATGAATGTATTATCTATTCAAAATAAATAAAATTTAAGTTTTTTTTTTAAATCTGTACCTTCTAGCTATATGACCATGGACAAGTTACTTAAACTTTGTGAGCTTCAGTTTCTTTATCTTATCTATAAATTGTGGATGCTGACACCTCTCGTTTTTGCAAGGACCAAAAGGAAAGCTGGTGTGGTGTAGCAGTGTCTTAACAGATGTCCCTCCGCAGCTATAGTTTCTCTTCTACCCGCTTGAAGAACTGTATCTAAATTGCAATCCTAAGTTACAATAATTTGGGATCTATTTGAGTCATTGATATTAGCTGGAAAAATTGAGATGTAATCTGAAATTACATAACTAATTCTTATATTTATTAAAATTAACATTTTTAAAAATAGTCCTATGAGAAAGCCATTCTGCATATTTTTTTAATCTTCCTATCTCATATGCCATTACATTGGGAAGAAAATAAAGCAAAATATTTACATACATTCCCTTTCCATATATAACACTTATTTCCTTCTTTGAAAAAGAAATCATTGCTTCTCACACAGGGCTTTTAGCAGCCATAAGAACCCTAGGCTTCCTTTTCCATCTCACAAATACAATGTTGTATAAATAATGGATTACATGCATGCAGACACTCATCTAAAGAGTGTTTTTGTCCCACTTGAGGATGGCAGTTGACCTTGACCCAAATTTAAGTTTGTATTTCACATTTACAATCTAAAATGAAAGTATCAGAAAACAGAGATAAGGGTACAGATGATAAAATTCCATTGCATCCATGATTTTTCCTTCCATTATAAAAACGTCGTTTTCATAATTTTTTTTTTCTTTTTTTTGAGATGGAGTCTTGCTCTGTTGCCCAGGCTGGAGTGCAATGGTGTGATCTCGGCTCAGTGCAACCTCCGCCTCCCGGGTTCAAACGAGTCTCATGCCTCAGCCTCCCGAGTAGCTAGGACTACAGGTGCATGCCATCAGGCCCGGCTAATTATTTTTGTATTTTTAGTAGGGACAGAGTTTCACCATGTTGGCCAGGCTGGTCTCAAACTCCTGAGCTCAGGTGACCCACCTGCCTCGGCCTCCCTAAGTGCTGGGATTACAGGCATGAGCCACCATGCCCAGCCCTTTCCATAAGTTTTTTAAAAGTTTGCCACACTGGGATTCCAAGAAATTTCTAGTTAGAAATTATAAATCATTATAATAAGTCTTACAAAGCATTATACTTATTTATTGTTTAGCATACTTTTGCTACTTTAGCCAGCATTCTTTACTGTTAGCTTTATACTGCTAGCTTTGGAATGAGACACAAGTTAGAGGAATAACATTAAAAATCCATGAAAACCAGAGTTCAACTTATTTTACTTTACTTTCTTATAGGAATATGGAGCAGAGATATCCGCTATAAAAGTAATTTGCCATTAACAGAAATCAACAAAATTCTGAAGAATCTGGAAAGTAAAAAGCTTATCAAAGCTGTTAAGTCTGTAGCAGTGAGTAGTCCTTTCCTCAGATACCCACTTACATATGTTGCTTCAAGTTTTTATTCTTGAAGTTATGTCATGATTTAGAACAGCTGGTCAAAAAAGACTTAAAAATTTAGCTCATGTTGGATTGGTTTGGAGATGCTGCTTAGACTTGTCCCTACACAGTTAGCTCTTGGTGTCTCACTCACCCACTCAAAAATCTAAAACTACTTTACTGTCTTCAGTGAAGAATCTTTGGAACTGTGAACATTTTTCCTAGATTTTGTGGTGTGTAAGATAATTTACTTTATCCCGACATATTAGCTTTCTCATTCAACAAAGAGTGTTTGCTGTGTGCCAGACACTGTTTTGAGTGCTTGGGATACATTAATGAACAAGTCGTAGAAAGATCCCTGCCTTGGTGGAGCTTCTCTTCTAGTACACGTGTGTTTTTCCTGCTCCTCATCCTGCCCCACCCCTGCTCCAGAGCTGGCTCCCTCGGGGACATCTGCCCCTGACCTCACTGATTTAGACATCAGAGGAACTGAGATTCCCCTAGAATAAAGTTTGCTTCAATACACATTTCATAAGAATTACAGCTATAATTCAAATTTTATAATTTCAGAGCTGTTAGGTCTGTGGCAGTGAGTAGACCTTTCCTCAAATATCCGCTTACATATGTTGCTTCAAGTTTTTATTTTTGAATAAAACAAGAATTATAAGAATTATAACATCACTTATAAGAATTTGATGCTTATTAGTGATTTTATTTATCAGAATAGCATTTCCCTTCCACATTGTTTAATGGATAATTTCAAATATATACAAAGGTAGAAAAAATCATATAATAAAACCCTATCATGTAGCCTCATTTTGTCAGTCCTCCTTCTACATCTTTATGTTTAATAACAGCTCTGCTGAAATATAATTCATCATTCATACTACAGAATTCATTCAACCTTTTAAAGTGTAAAATCTTTGGATTTACAGTCACTGGTTTTTACTATAAGCTAAGAGTTGTGCAACCATCACCGCTGTTCTAATTTTAGAACATTTTCATCACCCCCAAATGTGGCCACTAGTATTTGTTTCCCAGCCTCTCTTTCCATAGGCCCTAAAAACGAATAATTTATTTTCTGCCTTTATTATAGATTTGCCTATTCTGGACAGTTCCTATAAATGGAATAATAGAATATGTAGTCTTTTATGTATGACTACTTTGACTTAGCATGATGTTTTCAAGATTTATCCATATTGTGCTTTATTCCTTCTTATTGCCAATTAAAATTCCATTGTATAGATGTATATCACCTTTTGTTCATTCATCCGTTGGTGAACTTCTGTGTCCTTTTAAGGGTTAAAATAATCTTAGATCTCAGTGTAAAGTGCAAAACTATAAAACTTTTTGAAGAAAACATAGAAAATCTACATGACCTTGGCTTTGTTAATGAATTCTTGGACTATAACTCCAATAGTAGTCTATGAAAGAAAATGTTAATAAGTTGGAGTTTATCAAAATTTTTTGAAAACCTCTGCTTTGCAAGACACATTAAGAGAATGAAAAGACAAGTTACATACTAAAAGATATTTGCAAATCACATATTTGATAAAGGACTTGTCTCCAAAATATACAAAGAACTCCTAAAATTCAGCAATAAGAAAACAACACTTTGGGAGGCCAAGGCGGGTGGATCACCTGAGGTCAGGAGTTCAAGTCTAGCCTCACCAACATGGTGAAACCCTGTCTCTACTAAAAATACAAAATTATCCAGGCGTGGTGGCACATGTCTGTAATCCCAGCTACTTGGGAGGCTGAGGCAGGAGAATTGCTTGAACCCAGGAGGCAGAGGTTGCAGTGAGCAAGATTGCACCATTGTACTCCAGCCTGGGCAACAAAAGCGAAACTCCATCTCAAAAAAAGAAAAAAAAAAAAAAACACACAATGAAAACAAATAATCCAACTAAAAATGAGCAAAAGATCTGAACCTCACCAAAGAAGACATACAGATGGCAGATAAGCATATGAAAAGATGCTCTACATTATTTTTCATTAGAGAACTGCAAATTAAAATAAAATTTAGTATAGTGAGATACCACTACACACCTATTAGAATAGCTAAAATCTAAAAATTGGTAATACCATATGCTGACAAGATACAGACCAAGATGAACACTCATACATTGCTAAGAATGCAAAATTTTCAGTCCTTTTGTTAAAAAACTGGGCAGTTTTTACAAAACTAAACAGAGTCTTACCACATTGTCCAAAGGTCAAGCTCTTAAGTATTTACCCAACTGATTTGAAAACTCATGTCCACATAACTACATGAATATTTATAGCAGCTTTATTCGTAATCAGCAGCTTTATTCATAATCAAAAACTGGAAGCAACCAAGGTATCCTTCAATAGGTGAATGGATAGACAAACCAGAATAGTATTCAGTTATAAAAAGAAATAAGCTATCATGAAAAGATATGAGTAAATCTTAAATGCATATTGCTAAGTAAAAGAAGCCAGTCCGAAAAGGCTACATACTGTATGATTACAACTATATGACATACTGGAAAAGGCAAAACTAGACAGACTAAAAAGATCGGGGTGAGGGCAGGGATGGTAGGGAAAGTTGAATAGGTGAAGCATGAGAAATATTTCTAGGGTGGTGAAATTATTTTGTATGACAGAAGCATTAACCAAATTTGGAAGCCCACCCAAGCTTTGCTGTCCAAAGTTTTTATTAGGGTTTCATTATACAGGCATGATTGATTGAATCCTTGGTCATGTGAGTGAATTCAATCTCCAGCTCCTCTCTTCTCCCAAGAGATTGGACTGATGTCATGTGGCCCAAAGCCCCAACCCTCTAATCATGCGGTTGGTCTTTCCAGCATGGACAACTCCTATCCTGAAACTATTTAGAGTCCTATCAGGAGTCACCTTGTTAGCATAAACCCAGGTGTGATCTAAGGGATTCACCATGAATAACAAGGCCTATTGGGAAATTCCAAAGATGTAGAAGTTATTTCCTAGGAAAAAGGGACAAAGTCTAGCCAAATTTTTTTCTTTTTTTTTTTTTTTGAGACATGGTCTGGCTCTGTCACCCAGACTGGAGTGCAGTGGCACAATCACAGCTCACTGCAGCATCAACCTCCTGGGCTCAAGCCATCCTCCCACCACAGCCTTCCAAGTAGCTGGGACTATAGGCACGTGCCACCATGCTCAGCTAATTTTTGTATTTTTGTAGAGACAGGGTTTTACTATGTTACCCAGGCCTGTCTTGAACTCCTAGACTTAAAGATCTGCCCACCTCAGCCTCCCAAAGTGCTGGGATTACAGGCATAAGCCACCATGCCTGGCCCAAATTCTTCATGTTTACAACCCAGTGAAATTTGGGTTCCTCAGTGTTGGGGTGAGTAGTTACAGACAAACAAGGAAAGTTAGAATGATCCATGTAGTAATGGATTAGACTTGAAAACATCAGTATGGACTCTTGTGTAATTTAATATAAATAATATAGATGGTTATATTTAGAAATATTGAGTATAGCTATGTATATATACAAGGGTTAATATGCGCACATAAATCTCGTGCTGCCAACTGAGAAGGCCTAGAAGTGATGACATCCCGATGGCAATGAACACATCTAGTGCCCAAGTCGTGGTTTCTATCATGCAATAAAATGAACATGTAGAAAATGCTCCTGACGGCTGGGCAGGGTGGTTCATGCCTGTAATCCCAGCACTTTGGGAGGCCAAGGAGGGTGGATCACCTGAGGTCAGGAATTAGAGACCAGCTTGGCCAACATGGTGAAACCCCATCTCTACTGAAAATACAAAAAAATTAGCTGGGCATAGTGACGGGCGCCTGTAATCCCAGCTACTCGGGAGGCTGAGACAGGAGAATCGCTTGAACCTGGGAGGTGGAGGTTGCAGTAAGCTGAGATCGTGTGCCATTGCACTCCAGCCTGGCAACAAGAGCGAAACTCCGTTTCAAAAAAAAAAAGAAAAGAAAATGCTCTTGACATCTTGTAGTGCTAGAAAGTAAGAAAGTGCTACAATAGCTGGACACGGGGGCTCATGCCTGTAATCCCAGCACTTTGGGAGGCTGAGGCGGGAGGATCACGAGGTCAAGAGATCGAGACCATCCTGGCCAACATGGTGACACCCCCGTCTCTGCTAAAAATACAAAAATTAGCTGGGCATGGTGGCACATGCCTGTAGCCCCAGCTACTCGGGAGGCTGAGGCAGGAGAATCACTTGAACCCAAGAGGCAGAGGTTGCAGTGAACCAAGATTGCACCAGTGCACGCCAGCCTGGGCGACAGTGCAAGACCCTGTCTCCAAAAGAAAAAAAAAAGTGCTAAAATACACACACACACGATGGGAGCATAGCAAAGGGATACAGGAACCAAGTGAAAAGCTTCCAATGCCCAAAGCATTCCAAAGCTTCCAGTGTGGGAATAACAATGAAGTATCTGAATGTAAATCAAAGTATAAAATAAATACTCATGAGTCCATAGTGATAGAAATACGGTGTTTGAGAAACTGTCACAACTAAAAGAAGCCTGAGAGAGATGACTAAATGTAGTATGATGTCCTGGATGGAATCCTGGAGCAGAAAAGGAACATTAGGACTAATGAAATCTGAATAAAGTATGGCATTTAGTTAGTAATGATTTATCAATATTAGTTCATTAATTGTGACAAGTGTACCACACTAATCCAAGATGTTAAAAATAGGGGAAACAGCATGATGTATATAGGAGCTCTGTGTACTATCTTTGCAATAATTTTGTACATCTTAAACTGTTCCAAAATATAGGTGTTTTTGTTTTTGGAAATTGTTATCTTATAAACACATGAACTGTGCATGTTCTTTCCTAGGCCTCAAAAAAGAAGGTGTATATGCTCTATAACCTGCAGCCAGACCGGTCTGTGACTGGTGGAGCCTGGTACAGTGACCAGGATTTTGAATCTGAATTTGTAGAGGTGCTTAACCAACAGTGTTTTAAATTCCTACAGTCCAAGGTGAGGTATGATTGAGGAAACATCACTGCAAACCCTCTTGTAAAAAGTTTTTCACAAAGGATTTTAATCTATTTATCATATTTTATAGGAATTAAAAACCTGAAATTGGGAATTTTTACTTAACTAAATATGTTCTGTTGTTGGTTTGACTCAGTATAAAGTGTATTCAGAAAACACACCAATATTCTTATTTACATTTCTTATGTTTCAATCCTTATAGGCAGAAACAGCACGAGAAAGCAAACAGAACCCAATGATACAAAGAAATAGTTCATTTGCCTCATCACATGAAGTGTGGAAATATATCTGCGAATTGGGAATCAGTAAGGTCAGAACTGAATTTCATCTTATTTTTTAAAACTTATTCTTTGTCACATACAATGTATTCCAAACATGTATTTGACCCACATTGTTTTTTTTTTTTGAGATGATAGCTACGAACATTCTGCAGAATCCACTTTGGGAAAATACTGTCCTGTATCTTAGGCAAAGGCAGTCACTGCCATTGGGCATTGTCTGAACTGATACTCAGCTTGGGACACTGATGCTTTTTTTATTTTTTTGGAGGTAGGGTCTCATTTTGTTGCCCAGGCTGGTTTTGAACTTCTGGACTCAAGTGATCCTCCTGCGTTGGCCTCCCAAAGTGCCACTGTACCCTAGCCTTTTGAAATTCTTTTTTTAAGGACACTGATGCTTTTCACAGTGAAGAAATCAAAGTGGCCATTTTGGACATGTCACTTTAATTTCCTGGGCCTCAGATTTCTCATAAAAACTAGGAACTTGGACTATTTGATGTCTAAAGTGCCTTTCTGCTCAAGCATTTTATAAATCTCCAATAAATTCCTGCTAAAGAAATGTTATTTTTTATAAGATTTCTCGATTTTACTTAGGAAGTAAAGATACCAGAAAGTGTCAAACTCAGCATGAGCTTAGAGTTCTGTCCCTGGCACCTCAGTGGTTTGTGCTAACTTGGCCTATTGTTCCTCCTCTTTGTGCTTTAAATTACTCCACCCCAGCATAATGTTTCTCCCATTTCACAGCAGAATTATGACCCTTTACTGTTTTATTTATTTATTTGAGATGGAGTTTGGCTCTTGTTGCCCAGGCTGGAGTACAGTAGTGCGATCTCAGCTCACTGCAACTTCCGTCTCCCGGGTTCAAGCCATTCTCCTGCCTCAGCCTCCCGAGTAGGTGGGATTACAAGTGCCTGCCACCATACCCAGCTAATTGTATTTTTAGTAGAGACAGGGTTTTGCCATGTTGGCCAGGCTGGTCTCGAACTCCTGACCTCAAGTGATCCACCTGCCTCGGCTTCCCAAAGTGCTGGGATTACAGGCGTGAGCCACTGCGCCCAGCAACCCTTTACTGTTTTTAACACCCTCCAAGTGGATGTCTCCCTATCCTACTTGTGTCCTTTCTGATGTATCCCTTTTTTAGGTAGAGTTATCCATGGAAGACATTGAAACCATCCTGAATACACTCATTTATGATGGAAAAGTGGAGATGACGATTATTGCTGCAAAAGAAGGCACAGTTGGCAGTGTAGATGGACACATGAAACTGTACAGGGCAGTCAATCCAATCATCCCTCCCACAGGTTTGGTCCGGGCACCCTGTGGACTCTGCCCGGTGAGTTAAAGTGGCTTCACTTTACACTTGACTGCCCACGGGTGCAAGTGCCACATTAAGAAACAGAGCAAGCACAGCCCAGTTTTCTCAGACTCTTAGGGTTGACCAAGAGCTATTCAAACCTCCATGAAACCTTGATGAACAGACCTTTAATGAACACATCATTCCTTTACTTTTTTTTTTTTTTTTTTTTTTGAGACGGAGTCTCACTCTATCACCGAGGCTGGAGTGCAGTGGCACAATCTTGACTCATTGCAACCTCCAACTCCCGGGTTCAAGCAGCTCTCCTGCCTCAGCCACCTGAGTACCTGAGATTATAGGCACCCACCACCATGCCCAGCTAATTTTTTTTATTTTTAGTGGAGACGGGGTTTCACCATGTTGGCCAGGCTGGTCTCGAACTCCTGACCTCAGGTGATCCCCTCAGCCTCCCAAAGTGCTGAGATTACAGGCATGTGCCCCTGTACCTGGCCCCCTGCTTTACATTCTTTCTTGGAACAACCACATTAAGGATATTTACGTTTTCTGCTCTTGGCCTTGAAATGGACACTTTTTGATGAGGGCTAATCATTTCACCTAAATAGGGCAGAAAATGAGATTTGTTGAGAACCTACCTTGGGCCAGATATGTCCTTGATGATTTCCATAGGCGGTCTCATTTAATCCTCCTTACATTCTTGAAGCTAGTGGTGTTATTTCCCCTTAAAAGTGAGGGAGCTTAGGCTTAGGAAGACATAGGGGCATACAGCTTAGAAGTAACCGGGATTCAAACCCAGAGATCATGTCTTTCCCCTGCAGCATGCCCCAGCACTCCTCCTTCATTCATTCCCAAATATTGTAAGTGCCAACTCTATGCTCTAGGCACTAAGGATACAAGAGAAAGCAAGAGACACTGTCCCAGTCCTCATGGCATTTATAGATGAGCCTGTGTGTGTTTTATTTCATTATACCAACCTTTGTCTATATGCCTAAGCTCTCTATGCCTTGGTTTCAGTCCCTAGACAAAAGGCTAACATATTAGGAATTCTGTTTTGCACCCTTCACAAAAAGGTAGCTAAACATGAAACATTTGGTTAATCAAAATTAAGTCATTCATATGTATAGGTCTCCCTGCCCATATTCCTGTGTTACCTGGTGATAGCCTTTTGCCCAGCAGACAGGTGAGCATGGTCATCTTAATGCCACAGTAAAAAAAGCCTCTCTACTACTCCTAACTTGATGATCACAAAGCAGGCCCTATTATAGTATGTTCTTCCCGCTCCCCCCTCGCCCCCCGAGATGGAGTCTTGCTGTCGCCCAGGCTGGAGTGCAGTGGCACGATCTTGGCTCACTACAACCTCTGCCTCCCAGGTTCAAGCAATTCTCCTGCCTCAGCCTCCCGAGTAGCTGGGATTACAGGTGCCTGCCACCACGCTCAGCTAATTTTTGTATTCTTAGTAGAGACGGGGTTTCACCATGTTAGCCAGGATGGTCTTGACCACCCACCTCGGCCTCCCAAAGTGCTGGGATTACAGGTGTGAGCCACTGCGTCCGGCTATAATATGTTCTTAAGTACAGTCCTAGTCCCTTTCAGTTTGAAAGTTTTGTTTTTAATCTTGCTTTAAATAAGTGGTTGGGTCTTAGATATTTTAAAACTTTAATTTGAATATAATTTTTTTTTCTTTTTTAAAGGTTTTTGATGACTGCCACGAAGGTGGTGAGATTTCACCATCTAACTGTATTTACATGACAGAGTGGCTCGAATTTTAATAGAGAGCTATGAACTTTATTGACATTTTGCAAATGAAGTTACTTAGGGAGCAGATAATTTAATTCATGATGGAACACGAAATCTCCTTGAAAGCAAACTTCACAATAATGGACGTAGACTTGCTGCTATGAAAACATATTTTTTTTATTTATGAAGACTAAATTTATATTGGTAAAATAGCCAGTAGAATATGAAAGAAATAAGGTTAGTAGTGAAATTCATTCTTCAATAAATAAAACACTTTGAAACTCCGGAGGACCACATCTTTCAAGACTTCTGATGGGTCAAGGAAAAAGATGCCAACATACCCGTATTTACCAAGTACTATGATAATGGCTAGAGTATAAAAATGTTCTTTTTAAAGTTATTTATTAAGTTCTTCATTGGAAGTTTTTTTTTATATCTGGTTCACTACCACCATTTTCTGTTTCCTACTTTCTCAGTGGTTTCATTGAAAAGAAATTAGAAGGGGTTAAAGGCAGGAATAGCAAAGAGTGCAAACTTGGGGTATGACTGGGGGAGAGTGGAACATGCCTTTTCCGCACAATATTAATTCCTTTTTGTATCAGAAATGTTCTTTTAGGAGATTATGCTACCATACTTACTTCAAACCCAATGACTACTGTCAAGGACATATTTTCAGTACATAAATACTATCATTTTCATTCTAAAGAATATTTTCACTGTTCCTTCTTTCTTAAAGTCTTATGTTTCACTCTTTAACTCAAATGTATTCTTTGTTAGAATTTACCCTAGATTCTTATTTAATGTCTGCAGTAGACTGAATGTTTGTGTGCCCCCAGAATTCTAATGTTGAAATCTCATTTCCAATGTGATGGTATTTGGAGGTGGGGCTTTTGGTAAGTGATAGGTCAGGAGAGTAACAGCGCTCATGAATGGGATTAGTGCCCTTATATAAAGAGACCCAGAGAGCTCCATCACCCCTTCTGCCATGTGAAAGGGAGAAGACAAACATCCACGAACCAGGAAGTGGGTCCTCACCAGAAAACAAATCTGTAAGCACCTTGATCTTGGACTTCTCAGCCTCCAGAATTGTGAGAAATAAATTTCTGTTGTTGATAAACCACCAGTCTATGGTATTCTGTTATAGCATTAACTGAAACTAAATATACTCCGTGCCCTCCATTCACACTTTATTTTGAGAGAGGGGATAACATTCTTTTTCTCTTACTCTGTTTTAGATTTATTTCCCTTCCTTATTCTGTTCTAAATCATGGTGTGATGTGTCTAAGCAGAAAGCCATTATAATTGTCCTCAGTTCTAATAACACTTTCAGTTCCTATGGTCAGCCACATAGAAAACACTAGGTTATTTGATGTATTGTTGCACAGAAGTTGACTGTGCGGCTTTTTAGAATTGCAGCTTCATATTTTCACTTTGTAGCTCCACTTAGAAGTTTCTGTATCCAAGCCAAAAACATGGGACCCATGGAAAGGAATTCAAGCTCCACTAGTACTGAGGGTTGGGTTCTAATACCAGTTTGGAGATGCTCTAAGTGGATATCAGAAGAGTTATTTTAAGATAAATGGTATCAGTAAAATAAAATTCAGGCCACATTCTGTGAATTAGCATTTGATGACACTAGCTCTTTGTAACAAAAATTATTTCAAGTATTGAATATACATACATATATAAGATACACAGCCTTTTGGCCAGAACCCCCATCTTCCAGTAATTTGCCAAAATGATGAACACAAACGGAAAGAGGAGAGGCACCCGATATATGTTCTCTAGGACTTTTAGAAAACATGGAGTTGTTCCTTTGGTCACGTATATGCGAATCTATAAGAAAGGTGATATTGTAGACATCAAGGGAATGGGTACTGTTCAAAAAGGAATGCCCCACAAGTGTTACCATGGCAAAACTGGAAGAGTCTACAGTGTTACCCAGCATGCTGTTGGCATTGTTGTAAATAAACAAGGGCAATATTCTTGCCAAGAGCATTAATGTGCATACTGAGCACATGAAGCACTCTAAGAGCCGAGATAGCTTCCTGAAATGCATGAGGAAAATGATCAGAAAAAAAAAAGAAGCCAAAGAGAAAGGTACCTGGGTTTGCCAGGGATGGTGGCTCACGCCTGTAATCCCAGCACTTTGGGAGGCTCAGGCGGGCAGATCACGAGGTGAAGAGATCGAGACCATCCTGGCCAATATGGTAAAACCCTGTCTCTACTAAAAATACAAAAATTATCTGGGCATGGTAGCGCACACCTGTAGTCCCAACTATTCAGGAGGCTGAAGCAGGAGAATCGCTTGAACCTGGGAGGCGGAGGTTGCAGTGAGCTGAGATCGCGCCACTGCACTCCAGCCTGGTGACAGCGAGATTCCGTCTCCAAAAAAAAAAAAGAGAGAAAGTTACCTGGGTTCAACTGAAGTGCCAGCCTGCTCCACCCAGAGAAGCACACTTTGTGAGAACCAATGGGAAGGAGCCTGAGCTGCTGGAACTTATTCCGTATGAATTCATGGCATAATAAGTGTTAATAAAAGATCTCTGGACTGTAAAAAATTATATATATAAATATATATAAATATAAATATATATATAAATATATATAAAAATATATATGTAAATATAAATATATATATATGTAAATATAAATATATATATATATATATATATATATATATATATATATATATATATATATATATATATATGAAGGATCTGGGAACCTGAAACTACAGACAGAGGGTTTCTCTTCCACCCTCAGTGAGAGTTGGAATGGTAAGAACAATGTCTGTCCTTCCTGGGACTTGGCCTATCAAAAAGGCACTAGTTTTATGTAGTAAGAAAAATGAACTTGGAAGAGAGCTAGAAATGAGAAGAAACCAGCTTGTATGTTTTAAATATAGACTTTGTCTTATGTCTTTATAGCTAAAGATTGGTTTTTAGAGCTTAACATTCAATGGCTAAAACAAAAGTATTCCTTACCTCACCAATAAAGAGAAACTTCAAGCTTTTTTCCCATGGTATGTTTTTAATTCTGAAAATTAACTGAAGGAGACAAGAGACAATTTAAAATTACAGCACCTCTGATGAATAGTTAAATGGATCATTTATCCTACAGGGATAAACTGTAACCAAAACAGATTGTGGGGCTCTAGACTCCGGACAGCACCAAAAATTCAAGTTGCATATGAAGTCCTAATACTTACAGTTGATTTCCATTCAGTATTCGGTATTTTGCTCACCTGAGAATAGATACTCCCCAGAGTGTATAGAGGCCCCTGTATATTCAATGATGACCACAAAGAATCAAACAGAAATCAGAAATGACAGTCCATGGCTCTATGGTTTTTAATGAATAGTTTGTGTAGATTTTCCCATGAAACACCCCTGATCTTAGTTGGGTGATTTATAGACCTATGATGTTGGTGGTGATCAGCTAAGCAAACTAGCCAAACAGAAGTAATTTCAAATTAAGTCACTTTTACTTTGTGCTATTACTCATTATTGGATGGTGGGTGAGGGGAAAATACAAAATATATGTCCTAGACCAATGTTGTCCAATAGAGCTTTCTATAATGACGGAAATAGCCTATATTGGCTGGTCAGTAAGGTAACCAATAGCCACCAGTGGCTGTTGAGCACTTGAAATATGGCTAGTTTGACTGAACTGAATTTTCAATTTTACAGCTAGCTGTGGTTACTGGTTACTATATTTGGCAGCAAAGTTCAACAATCCTATAGGTCTATCTTAATTACTTTTATAGGAATGAAGAGTATCAGAATTATTTCTCAATTATATATATTTAGTTTTCATTTCTACAGAGAAAGAGGTCAACAAAGTTTTGTGAACTAAATTGTATAAGTTTCTTTTTTAGGAAAGGACTTCACAGAGAACAAGGCAAAGAATAAGTAATACAACAGCAAATTTCCAAAAAATTCAAGTAGAATCAAACTTTGACTATAGATTTGGTCAAATTAGTGCTAAACAGCCTCTTTAACAACATTATTATTCAACTGATTTATATAATTTGCTTTTTAGTAGTCAAATACATTGTTTTAAATCTTAATTATTTTTGATTATAAAATACATGCTTAGTGTAACAAATTCAAATAATCAGGAGGATAAAGTAAAATAAGGGGCCGGGCATGGTGGCTCATGCCTGTAATCCCAACACTTTGGGCGGCTGAGGTGGGTGGATCACTTGAGGCCAGGAGTTCGAGACCAGCCTGGCCAACATGGTGAAACCCTGTCTCTACTAAAAATACAAAAATTAGCCAGGCGTGGTGGCACATGCCTTTAGTTCACACTACTTGGGAGGCTGAGATGAGAATCACTTGAACCCGGGAGGTGCAGGTTAGAGTGAGCTGAGATTTGTGCCACTGACCTCCAGCCTGGGAGACAGAGCAAGACACTGTCTCAAAAATAATAATAAGGACGTCCACCACACTTTACCTACCAAAATGCCCATTCCCCAAAGATGATTGCTGTTGAACGATTAGGGTACCTTTCCTGATTTTTTTTGTCTAAGCACATTTAAAAACCAAGACTTTTGGTTTTGAGCGATAGCTCTGAATCTCCTTTAGGTATGAAGTGTAGGAAATTGTATTTCTGCAGCAAACTTAGGCTTTGCAACATCAAGTGTGGATTCACTGGAAATTATTTGAAGGAACACATAGCGATCATAATAGCCAAAAAATGTTGGGAAATGAAAAAGGGTGGGTTTTTTTAATTAAAAAAAAATTTTTTTTTTTAAGAGACAGGTTCTTCGCTCCATCACCCAGGATGGAGTACAGTGGCGCGATCATAGCTCACTGAAGGCTCAAACTCCTGGGCTCAAGCAATCCTGCCTCAGCCTCCCAAGAAGCTAGGACTACAGGTGTGCACCACCATGCCTAGCTAATGTTTTAATATTTTGTAGAGATGGGGTCTTGCTGTGTTGCCCTGGCTGGCCTCAAACACCTGGCCTCAAGCAATACAACCACCTCAGCCTCCCACAGTGCTGGGATTACAGGCATGAGCCACCACACCCAGCCAAAAAAAGGTTTTCTGAGGAAGTATGATCAGAAGAAAATGGAATGTGCTTGAAAGAGATCTAAAGGGCCATGGAAGTTAAAAGGTTTAACTCTATAGAACAGAACACGAAGTATGGAAAGGTTCTTTTTAAAAACACTTGTCTTTTGGAACAAAATCCAAATTGTCCCCATGATTTCGTCCTTTGACATTATGTTCATCTTGGTTATCTTAGTCTTTTCTCAGACTTCACAGACAATTATCTAAAAGCCCCTGGCTAAGTGAATGCTTATGACTGTGGTCACAAATGGATGGCTTGGATTTTATTTGTCTTGCAGTGTTTGTAAATTTTTTGATGTATACTGTTATTGCCAACTTACATACTCCATATGTATATGGATTGTATGTGTATGTGTGTGTGTGTGTGTGTATATATATATATATTTGCATTCCCCAAATTTAAAAACTACAATTTGGAGATTTTTTTCCACACAAAAAATCAGAAAATTGGCAACACTCTGCCCCATTTCCACATGGCAACAATTTAGACAGGCCATGAGCTCTCCACATGGCTCTGATCCCACCACTCTTGTCTCAAACAAATCTAGTCAGTTGTACGTATATTATGAATGTATATTGCTGTGCTTCTCCTTCCTGCCTGACTCCGGAAGACTCCTGTCTCAGTCTCTCTCAACATGTCTGAAGGACTTAGGGGCAAGTGTCAGAGGTGAAGGCCCTAGTCTGAGTTTAATGTCTGGGGCCAGCTTGAAACAGCAGCTAGTATTTTGAGCTCTAAGCTAACACTCTGGACTTTCAGTCATGTTTTCTTTCCCCAGTGAAATAGAAAAGTTTGATTTCAAAGAGGAAAAGTGTGCAATACCTGCAACATACATAAAACCTATTTAATTTTACTCAGGAGTGGGAATCAAGAAACCTGGGTTCTGTTTCTGACTCACTTCGGATAGAGAAGGGTAGTTAAGCTGTCCTTATGTTTCTTATCAAATGAGGAAAATACTGTGGTAGTTCATAGCAATTTGGGGAGTTTTAGAGTCTATGGAAAATGGAAGTGCTATTTGTAACTTAGATTGAATGTTGAAACTTGTGTTTGTTTTTCAGGCACTTACGGAACTTAACTGGATGTTCTATGTGTCTAGTAATCAGCTGATAGTAGATATTATTCTACTCCTATATTGGGATGCAAAATAGCAGAAATCATACAGTCTATGCTGGTACTTTCAGCAAAGACTTTACAACAGTAATCAGTTCATGAAACTCTGTGTTCTGAAAGTGGCCACAGTCAGTGAATTTGTGCAATTTGGTTTCCAACCTATCGGCCACTTCTTGTTGTTCCTTCCAGGGAAGGAACGGGTCGTCAGTAGAGCCAAACTGCACAATGTAAGGGCAGTTGGCCTTGATCTTCTCCCACTGCCAGGGGCGGGTGAAGTATCCTATGGGGAAAAAAAAATGATCTTTCAGTACCCATGGATAATCTCCCTTCTAGATATTCTAAAATACCTACTGGCGACCCACATAGAGACGCAAAGGAGCAGAGCCTCCGTGTGAGTTAGAAGCACTTCTTTTGTTTTCAAATCTGTAGGGCTTGATACCACAGTTACTCGTGAAGAGGTGGTATATGGTTCAACTAAAACCAGGCCTCTAGGGTTCAGTTCTAGACTTACAGCTTGGGAAGAAATCAAAGTGCAAACTTATATCCAAAGATAGGTGGTATATCTTTCTCATATGCTATTAGAATTTTTTAGCCTATCTGAAAGACAGCACTGTTTTTACAACCTAAACAGACAGCCCCATGTCTAGAGAAGGGCTTTGCTCAGATTTCTACCTTTGGACTTACCACTTGCACGCTCATTTTCATCCCCCAAGTCTGATGTGTACGCAGACACTAATACAATAGCATATACTCGATGTGTTTCTGCATACCTGGAGAAACAAAAATGATGTCAGCTAATATATAATGTTACCTCTGATCACCAAAAAGTCAATAAACTACTTAAAAACTCATTTGAGGTAGCCTACAGAAAGCACGTGCTACCTGCTGTTGAGGTTGATGTGAAAAATGGCAAGGAAACTGCAGAACTATAAGCCCAACCCTGGCTACTGGATGAGCTTCTACTCATTTTTCTTTTTTTTTTTTTTTGAGACAGAGTCTCACTCTGTCACCCAGGCTGGAGTGCAGTGGCACAATCTTGGCTCACTGCAACCTCCACCTCCTGGGTTCAAACAATTCTCCTGTTTTAGCCTCCTGAGTAGCTGGGATAACAGGCATGCACCACCACGCCCAGCTAATTTTGTATTTTTAGTAGAGACGGGGTTTCACCATGTTGGCCAGGCTGGTCTTGAACTCCTGACCTCAAATAATCCACTCACCCCGGCCTCCTAAAGTGCTGGGATTACAGGCGTGAGCCACCACGCCCAGCCACTACCCATTTTTCAAGGTAGTTGAAACTTGTACAAACCTTTCCCAATAAACAAAAAATGTGTAATCCATCCACGTTTAGTATGCATCAGTGTCACTTGGTTGGTGAACATGCAGATTCTCAGGCTCAGACCCAGAGTCTCTGATTCAGAAAGTTGGCATTAAGGCCTAGAATCTGCATTTTAAGGCGTGATCCCTCCTTCAACCCAGATGACTCTAATGCAAGTGGTCTGTGAACTGTATTTTAAGAAACACTGTATAATACCAGAAATGTACCTTTGTTACCACACACTCCACATTGCCTTATATTATTCATTTGTGTTGTCTTATGTACATTTCTCTCAATAAATTGTCAGCTCCTTAAAGGCAGGCATGAGTCCTATTGATCTTTGTGTTCCTGGTGCCCATTACAGTGCCTGGCAAGTAGACACCCAGCTAACTCTTAGGTTGGTACAAAAGTAATTGCAGTTTTTGCCATTAAAAGTAAGCAGGAGACAGACAAGAAATAAACAGGATGTCAGATGCAATGCATAATCCTTGACTAGATCTAGGATTGACTAGATCTAGGTGAAAAGTACTACAGATAATAAGATATAAAGAGGATAGGAGCCAGTAGAGTGAGTCTCCTTTATTGGCAAAAACCACAGTTATATTTGCAGAGAGCAGTCTCCCTCAGCAAAGACTGGGATAAGGAAAGACACATAGTAGTAATAATTTCAAGGGGCCTTTGTGCCAAGAAAGAGTTAGGGTTGGTATTTTGTTCTTGGGCCTGAACTTTTTTCCCCATTTATTTTGAAAAATATCAAACCTACAGAAACGTTGAAAGAACAAGCACCTAGGCCGGGCACGGTGGCTCACACCTGTAATCCCAGCACTTTGTGAGGCCAAGGCAGGCAGATCACCTGAGGTCAGGAGTTCAAGACCAGCCTGACCAATATGGTGAAGCCCCGTCTCTACTAAAAATACAAAAATTAGCCAGGTGTGGTGGCAGGCGCCTGTAGTCTCAGCTACTCGGGAGGCTAAGACAGGAGAATTGCTTGAACCTGGGAGGCAGAGGTTGCAGTGAGCCGATATTGTGCCACTGCACTCCAGCCCGGGCAACAGAGGGAGGCTCTGTCTCAAAAAAAAAAAAAAAAAAAAAAAGAACAAGCACCTAGATTCATTAATTTTGTCACATTTCACCCGTACTTTAGCATGTATCTCCTGAGAAAGCCACTCCCTTAACCATGGTACCACTATTACACCCAATAAATTTCACATTGATACAGCAATATTATCTGTATTCATTTTTCCCCAACTGTACCAAAAATGTCCTTTAAAACATTCTGCAATCCTAGATCTAGTCAAGGATTATGCATTGCATTTTATTTTCATGGCTCTTCAGTCACTTTAAAATTTTTTTGTTTTAAATGACATTAACATTGTTTAAGAGTGTAGGCCAGTTGTCTTGTACATTATCCTCTAAATAGGATTGTCTGTTTCCTCCTAACTAGACTGAGGTAAACATTTCTGGCAAGGATACTGCATAGGTGATGCTGTGTCCTTCCCATGCCATTACATCAGGGGACACATGATGCCAGTCTATTATTGGTGAGATTAAGTTTGATCATTTGCTTAAAGTGATATCCACCTGATTTCTCCATTGGAAAGGCACGATTTCCCTTTCATGATTAGAGTCATCTGTAGGGTAGTCCTCTATGATTTTGTCAATAGGAAATTCTACAACCTTAACCCAATCGTTTTGGCATCCATTTTTCTCCTTGCCTCCCTTAACTTTAGAAGTCAATTCTTAGAAGGTTGCTAAGAATCCTGCAGTGAGTTCAAGGATCTTTAAAAGCAGGCACACCTTTACTAATCAATGGCTTGAGAAAAATGCAGTTGGCCTTGAGTTGGAACAGAATTCAATAATACAAGGAGCTCTTCCTTTTCCAGACAACCCCTGGCAGCATATAACATTCTTACACTGGGAGTGTACCATAATTTTGTGGTTCCATCCTGAAATACTCTTGTAACTTTAATCAGTGTGGCTGAAAGGTTATGAAATTTGGCAAGATTCCCTGACATGCAATTCATGTGACAGCCTAAGTGACTGCTTGGGACAAATAAAAACTATTATCCTTTGTCATTTTGCCTAGCAAATATGAAAGAAACTCAACCCTTATAGGCTAAACTTAGCTTATTCAGCCAGCTAAGTCCCTACCCACTAGGCCTTATAAGGCTAAAAGGGGAGATGTAATATTCTAATGAGAGCAGTAGGGATGTGCATACGAATCCTAAGGACTGGGGATTCGCAGGTGAGTAACACTGCAGACACAATCTACCATATGCCAGGCTCTCTTCTAGGCAATGGGGTTTCAGTGCCAGAGTGAACAAAGCCCTGCCTTCATGGAGTCTACATTCTATTGGCAGGAGACAGACAAGAAATAAACAGGATGTCAGATGGTAAAAAGTGCTGCAGATAATAAGATATAAAAGAGATAGGAGCCAGTAGAGTGAGGAAGCCATTTCATATGGAGTGATTAGAGAAGGCTTCACCAAAAGGGGACATTTGAGCAGACACTTCAAGGGGAATAGAAAGCCATGCAGTGTCTAGGGCCAGAGTATCCCAGGTAGAAGGATGAGAGCAGGCTAAGATGTGCATGTACTTGGCATGTTCCAGGAACTGCAATGAGGTCAGTAAACCTGGCTGGGAGGAGAGAAGGAGAGTCTGTAGAGACAGAATCAGAGCTGACTGATGGGAAGCTACTGGGGTTTGCAGCCACTTATGCTTTAAAAGGATCACTGCATCTCAATAAGAGCAGATTTTTTGTTTTCTTTCAATCCACTAGCAAAACCAGGAAGGAATTAGGACAGATTATGTTACCACTTTAGAGGTCAGCACTGTTTCCTCTGCAACAGAAATTTAAGATATACGCAAGGTATTTCTCAAGCAAGCATGACTGGAGCCCACAAAGGGGATAGCAGTTTAACAAAGATCGCACCTCATGGCCGCGATGGCCCCAGAACTGTGGCCAATGATGATAGTCTTCTCATCACAGTGCAGCTCTGTCTCCATGAAGGGCAGCCAGATGCTCTCTCGTGCTGTAACTTAAGGTTCAGGGTAAAGAAAAAGTCTGTCATTTGATAGTGGCAGTCTGAATCCAACGCTGCCCCACCTTTCAAACAGGCAACTATTCAGCAGTTCACAACTTTTAAAACTGCAGGACCACAGCAGGAGACCAGACTGTATTAACAAAACCAAAGATTTATGTATTACTACTTGAAAGATCCAAGTCCACAGTTTTGGTAACTAGTTTTTCTTTTCTCTTTTTTTTTTTTTTTTTTGGTTTACCATGTTCTTGTAAGAAAATACTAAGGAAATAATAAAATATAACTCTGAAATTTTAATGTAAACTTTCAAACTTGAAAAAAAAAGCTAATGGTCAGGTGCAGTGGTTCACACCTATAATCCCAACACTTTGGGAGGCTGAGGTGGACAGATCATTTGAGGTCAGGAGTTCGAGACCAGCCTGCCCAAATGCTGAAACCCCGTCTCTGCTAAAAATACAAAAAAAATTAGCCAGGCGTGATGGCGCATGCCTGTAATCCCAGCTACTTGGGAGGCTGACACAGGAGAATCACTTGAACCCAGGAGGCAGAGGTTGCAGTGAGCCAACATCACGCCACAGCACTCTGGCCTGGGCAACAGAGCGAGACTCCATCTCAAAAAAAAAAGCAAAAAAACTCTTGCAACATTCTAAAATTCACATTTATTCATTCTTTCCAAAAAGGGGATTCCTGAGACAAGTCATAGGCATACCCAGAACAAAAGTAGCAATATGACATTTTTAAACATTAGGACCTCAAATAGATGCTGTAAAGTTTTATACCTATGCCTCAAGTATAGTACCCACAAATTCTGCCTGAAAATATTTGTAGACATATAGAAGGGAAAAATCAAGTTGGTGCAAAGTTGAAAATTAAATTTTACCATGCCCAGGTGCTTTCCTAATCCTTACTAGAATTTTCTATGGCTTACCCCATCCGGGAGGTGAGGGGCGCCTCTGCCCGGCCGCCCCTACTGGGAAGTGAGGAGCCCCTCTGTCCGGCCACCACCCCGTCTGGGAGGTGTACCCAACAGCTCATTGAGAACGGGCCATGATGACAATGGCAGTTTTGTGGAATAGAAAGGGGGGAAAGGTGGGGAAAAGATTGAGAAATCGGATGGTTGCCGTGTCTGTGTAGAAAGAGGTAGACATGGGAGACTTTTCATTTTGTTCTGTACTAAGAAAAATTCTTCTGCCTTGGGATCCTGTTGATCTGTGACCTTACCCCCAACCCTGTGCTCTCTGAAACATGTGCTGTGTCCACTCAGGGTTAAATGGATTAAGGGCGGTGCAAGATGTGCTTTGTTAAACAGATGCTTGAAGGCAGCATGCTCGTTAAGAGTCATCACCACTCCCTAATCTCAAGTACCCAGGGACGCAAACACTGCGGAAGGCCGCAGGGTCCTCTGCCTAGGAAAACCAGAGACCGTTGTTCACTTGTTTATCTGCTGACCTTCCCTCCACTATTGTCCTGTGACCCTGCCAAATCCCCCTCTGCGAGAAACACCCAAGAATGATCAATAAATAAATAAATAAATAAATAAATAAATAAATAAATAAAAATGACAAATTCACAGAATTGAAAAAAAAAAAAAAAAAAGAATTTTCTATGGCTTTTGGTTCACACCCTCCTCCCCAAGCTGCTTGCCTTATTCTTTCTTAGGTATATAGGCATCTTTGGTTCCTCCACTATGATATTCTTGTTCTCTACCACAAAAATGGTAATATCAAAACCCAACAAGATGAGGCTATTTAAAAACAAGTTTAAAACTTACTTGGGTCGGGCATGTTTTTAGCCAAACACTGGAAACCAGGTATCTATGATATGAGGGGGGAGAAAAAGCTATAATAAAGAGCTTAATTACAACTAATACTTTGCTAATAAGAAATGAGGCACCTGATATGATCGTTACCAATTCAGTATTAACTTGTGTTATGAAATGAAGTAGGTTAAGTGACCATCTTTTCGCATGAACTCCATCTGTAGTTCTGTATCTAGGCAGCTCTGCTGATCTCTATAGAGAGACCTATATCTGCATTTGTACACCCATATTTGCCTCTACAGGCCTGCATCTATAGAGAGGCATGAACAAATGTGTTCTAGACAGACTGACCTGGAGCCAAATAGACTGTGTTCCAGGGAGTAGGTAAAACGTGGCACAGGAACGTGATACAGAAATTTGGAGACAGCATACTCTCAGAAGCTCCAGCCCTGACCTTTGGGGTTGTAACTCTGACCAGGGTTTTCAGCCACAGCGCTGCAATCTATTCTGGAGACCCGCTCTAGAGGACAGCAACCCAGGGAGCCGACTTACCGCCTGGTTACAGAAGAGGGTTAAAAAATAAAAATCAAACGGCACAGGTCAGCCTACAGTAAGATGCCACTTTTATAAAGCTCACCAAGAAGCCAAATAGAACAGTCTGTTGTTTAAAAGGTATATTCATAGGTTGAAAAGTACTTCAATTTTAAAAAGAGAAGCAGATGAAAAAATTCAGGATGGCACGGGACTGAGATGGGTAGACATAAGGGTCGTTTGGAAGATGATGTATAGGCAATGTCCCAGGTTTTAGTTTGGTAATTCATTACATTATGCCTCATAATGTAGACGCATGTTACGTATATCCTTTGTATATATTAAGTATAGCATATTTAATTTTTTAAAAGCTGAAGCGGGAAGCAGTGAACATGTAAAATTATCTGGGAAGTCCCAAATCTGAACCAGCAGCAGATACGGGGGGCGGGGCTCAGGGGCTCAGCCTCGGTAGTTCAAAGGGGTTCCTTTAACTCTAAAGGCTGAGCCCTCAGAGAAGTCTTCCAGGCAGTTTTACCAGTCAAAATTCGACCACTAGCTCAGACTTTAAGAGAAGGCAGCGGGGGAGAGGCAGGAAAACACACAGGGCTTTGCTAGAGGGGATTAGACGCCTATTCAAACTTCAGCCCTCAGTCCTCTCCCGCCGTCCCTCCCTCCAGGCTGACTTCACGGAGCAGCGGCGTTGGGCGCTTACCTTCTCCAGCTCCTTTTTCACCCAGCCATACCAGCCGTGGGTGGTCACATCCCCGCCTCCGTTCCCGGGAACAATCACTGCCTTGCTAGGAGAAGCCATGAGTGCAGCGAGGCCAGAGTTCCCCAGCGCGGGTCCAGCGGAGCTGAGCCCAGCCTGCTCCCGCAGGGAGCCTGCGCCGCGGCATCCTGGGAGTTGTAGTTGCGGGGACCTGGGAGGCCGGGCTCTTTCCTCCTTGGCCTGCCTTCCGCTGGCTGCGTGGGGCAGCCAAGAACAAAGCCTGCGAGCTTCCATCAATTGTAAAGCAAAGCACCCTTTACTTGCCTCTTACTAGTGCTCTCATGTTTTTCCCTTATTTAAGACAGGCTATGACACGGTTGGGGTGTGTTATTTCTTTGCTAGATTTACTGATATTTCTATAGGAAAGTTTGTTTTTGGTTTCAAACATGCAGAAAACCCATTTATAACCTGGGAACGCCTGAAATCCATATTATTTTTCCTTCTGAGTTTAAAACAGTTTTTAGTAGTCAGTATCAGCCCTGGTTGTTGTTTTTCATTGCTTTGAATGAAATTTCCTTGCATAAAGCTACTAACCCAAGTAAAACAAGCAAAAATTTAATTAAATACCAAGAAAATACTTCGTCAGATTTTCATATTAAACCAGCTGATACTGAAATTGTTTAAAATAGTTTATAACCAATGCTTAGTCCCATATTCCTGGGAAGACAAACAAAGCTTCATGTACATTTGGTCACCGGGTGGGCCATTTAAACATTTTGTAAGGGGATTTCATTCAATTGTTATTTGAATTCCAATTTGTCATTCTGGTTGTATAAAAGCTTTCCCATGCAAGAGGGCTGATGTTATAACAGTAGATTATTATGCTACAGTGTATTTTCCCCCGGTAAAGAAAGCTTTTTATGGTTTGAATTTTCTGGAAACATTGGAGAAGACTGTCCTTGTCATCCACACTACAACAAAACTTCAGGACCTTGGGCTTTGGGTTCATGGTCTCGCAAATGAGAACGGTCCCTCCACACTTTTGGAACAGTGCACCCATTGGAACTTTTGAGGTAAAGCTACCCTGGGAAATTTCTCCCAAGAAGAAAATGGCATCCTTGATGTGAACAGCTTTTCCCAAGTTCACAGATTAAGACTTCTACTACCATGAAACTCTTATCTTTCAATATTTTTTGTCTTCCTTATGCCTCTACAAACAATAGAAGTGGAAAAGGGGTCTGTTATGTGCACTTATGGGGTATACTTTTATTTGTGAAGGAGTTTGCAGCCAGCCTTATACATGGATAAACTTAGACTTTGATAGATAAAAGATGAAGGCCCGAAGTAGGTAAGAAACTTTAATGGTACATGCATTGCTTCATAATCAGTCAAAAACAAAACATTGGTTCACTCCTCTAACCCACATCATGGGTTAAAGAAAACATTGCCAGTAGGCCTTCACTCTTCTAGAAAGGCATCATTTGTTAGGTCCTTTTACCATGGTTTGAAGTAAAAGAAGCAATGATTAGAAATGTATCCCTCATTGGCTGGGCGCGGTGGCTTACACCTGTAATCCCAGCACTTTAGGAGTCCGAGGCAGGCAGATCACCTGAGGTCAGGAGTTCAAGATCAGCCTGGCCAACATGGCAAAACCCCATCTCTACTAAAAATACAAAAATTAGCTAGGCGTGGTGGCAGGTGCCTGTAATCGCAGCTACTCAGGAAGCTGAGGCAAGAGAATTGCTTGAACCCGGAAGGCAGAGGTTGCAGTGAACCAAGACTGTGCCACTGCACTCCAACCTGGGCGACAGAGCAAGACTCCGTCTAAAAAAAAAAAAAAAGGAAAAAAGAAAAAAATAAATTCAGTGGTAGAGGATTAACGAAGAAATTGCTTAGTCAAGTGAGTAAACCCTTTATCTAGCTCATTCTTTGATCTATTTGATTTTAGGAGGTTTGGTTTATCGGGGCCTTGGGTTTAGGAGCATACCCCGAACTCTTGGTGTTATCCTCCCAATATTTATAATAATAGTCTCCCTGGTGTGCTGTATTCTCTCAAAGGTTTTAAATGTTTGCACGCGGTCATCTCTAGAACGTCAGATGTTCTCTCTTCAACTGGAATGACAAAAGCTGAAAGAAATGTGCAACCATGAGAACACCAAAACCTATAAATGATGTGCTGAGACCGAAACCCAAAATGATGGTAACTGAGAGTGGCGCTAAGGCCCTAAGTTTTGGTCACACTCTCACCTAAGTGAGAACCTGACCAAAAAGGGGGAATTTTTTGCACAAAATTTTGCGAGGCCATTGTTTTGGACTAAGCTCATGCATTAGGCCCCAACAAACCAAACCAAACCAAAATGGAGTTGCTTGTGCTAAGACTTCAAGGAAACATAGATTCTAGAACAGACTAGGTTTTGTTTTTTTTTCTGCAAATCTCTATAACAAACATCTCTGACAGCGTAGGTATCCACCCCATGAAGTTCCCATTAAATCTTTTTTTTTTTTTTTTTTGAGACGGAGTCTCGCTGTCGCCCAGGCTGGAGTGCAGTGGCGCAATCTCGGCTCACTGCAGGCTCCGCCCCCTGGGGTTCACGCCATTCTCCTGCCTCAGCCTCCGGAGTAGCTGGGACTACAGGCGCCCGCCACCTCGCCCGGCTAATTTTTTGTATTTTTAGTAGAGACAGGGTTTCACCGTGTTAGCCAGGATGGTCTCGATCTCCTGACCTCGTGATCCGCCCGCCTCGGCCTCCCAAAGTGCTGGGATTACAGGCGTGAGCCACCGCGCCCGGCCATCCCATTAAATCTTTTAACCAAATTAATTTCCTCTCGTCTGGAGACCATCAAGCTTCAGATGATCATGCAACAAAGGTTCCAGCCAGTTCCAGGTGAAGACACCACCCCTAGCCATCAAGAAACTACCCTGCCTCCACTAGATAGAGCAGGGCGAGTTCCATGATCACCAGTAGGTAGGGACTACACCCCAAGCCAGCATGAAGCAGTTACAGAAAAAAGACCATCAGTCCCTCTGCCTCCCATAAAGATTTATGGGGATCACATCTCTCAGCGGGCAGATGAGCCAGGAAAATAGGGTCTGGAGGCAGGGAACAGAAGGCCGATTCACACTTCGGTAATGACAGGAAATATCCTCTTCACAGGGTGTAGGCCAACTAAATGACTTTGTAGCTTTACTTCATCCTCTTCATTTACATAGGGTGTACCCCAAGTAGAGGGTATTTAAATGCTCAAAAATTCTATAATGGGGATTTTGAGGCCTTATGCTCAGGCCTGCTCCCATAATGTAGAGTGTACTTTCATTTTCAATGAAACCCTTCTTTCCTTCCTTTCTTTGTGCGTTTCGTCTAATTGTTTGTTCAAGACGCTAAGAAACTGGACACCCTCCACCATTAACAAAGGGACATGAAACTTTTGGGGGTGATATATATGTTTATTATCTCGATTGTGGTGATGGGTGTCAAAACTTAATAAATTGTACATTTTAAATATGTGCAGCTTAAGGTACATCAATTATACCTCAATATAACTCTTTCAAATTTAAAAATAGTAATCCCAGCATTTTGGGAGGCTAAAGCGGGAGGATTGCTTGAGCCCAGGAGTTTGAGACTAGCCTGGGCAACATGGCAAGACTCCATGTCTTCAAAAATTTTTTAAATTAGCCAGGCACGGTGGTGTACACCTGTAGTCCCAGCTACTCAGCAGGCTAAGGTAGAATGATCACTTGAGCATGGGAGACTGCAGTGAGCTATGATCATGCCACTGCACTCTAGCGTGGGTGACACAGTGAGACTCTGTCTCAAAAAAAAAAAAAGGAATAAAATGTCAACATAAAACAAGCAGAGACATTCCTATAACCAACTGGTTGTTTGCTTAGTAGTTTTTAGTTCAAGAAGCAGTGATACTCCCTAAACAGGAACTGGGGGCTGAAAAAGGATCTAGCAATCTAGCTTCCCTTAAGATTTAGTTAGCTCATTCTTCTAGAAGGAGAAAAAAGGCAGTGACATTAACTCTCATCTTAGGTTGTTTATGCCAATAATAATTGAGAAGATTATAATTACATATATCCGTTTTGTTTTCTACTTTTTATCTCTTGTACAAACAATTTCTGAGCTTATCATTATCACAGAAGAAACAGTTTTAGTTTCAAAGCTAAAAGCCAACATTTTTGTCCATTTTATTTTTTGAGATGAAGTCTCGCTCAGTCACCCAGGCTGGAGTGCAGTGGCGCGATCTCGGCTCACCGCAAGCTCTGCCTCCCGGGTTCACGCCATTCTCCTGCCTCAGCCTCCCGAGTAGCTGGGACTACAGGCGCCCACCACCATGCCCAGCTAAATTTTTTTTTGTATTTTTTTTTTTAGTAGAGACAGAGTTTCACCATGTTAGCCTGGATGGTCTCGATCTCCTGACCTCGTGATCCACCCGTCTCAGCCTCCCAAAGTGCTGGGATTACAGGCATGAGCCACTGCTCCCGGCCATTTTTGTGAATTTTTAAAAATCTGAAAATGCACCTTTATATTTGGTACCTCATTTGCTAATATTGAAGAAGTTGTTCTCAAGAACTTGCTGAGACAGTTTGACTCTTTCTAAAGGGATCACCCACCCTCCACTGAGGCCCTCCTTCTAAAGGGATCACCCACCCTCCACTGAGGCCCTCCTTCTAAAGGGATCACCCACCCTCCACTGAGGCCCTCCTTCTAAAGGGATCTTCCACCCTCCACTGAGGCCCTCCTTCTAAAGGGATCTTCCACCCTCCACTGAGGCCCTCCTTCTAAAGGGATCACCCTCCCTCCACTGAGGCCCTCCTGCTGAATAATCTTCCTCTGCCTGGATTTTTCTTTTCAGGTCAGGATGTTTTCTGTGGGAAGTTTGTCTCTAAGTCTTCAAACTCACGGTCTAAATCTATTCTCCTCTCTTCTGTGGTTACTTTTCCTTTCTGCCACTGCTTTTGTTTACTTGTTTGTTTGAATTTTGGTTTTGCCACCTTGAGGAGAAAGGAGGTCAATGGAAGCCTTCTTCAAAGTCTTGAAGCACACATGGCAGCTCCTGGGAAAGGAAGGGAGGTGAAGAGGCTGTTCTTGGCAGAGAGGAAGGCATGCAAAAGGGCACTGAAACAACAAACAGCACATGTGGGCTGGGAAGGACAGTGGTTCATTACTGGAGGATTGAGATCTGTAGATCATTGAGGCCCGTGAGTAGCACAGGGGCCCCTACTGTATCCTGTGAATGATGGGAAAATTATGTAAGGTTTTAAGCAAGAGAATAGTAGGGTCAGATATGTGATTTAGAGAAGTCTATCCAGCAACCAATGTGATTTTTAGATCGGGCAAAATTTGGGCAAAACAATCATTCGAGAGACTGTTGCAGGAATCCAATCAGAGGATGAGTGCCTGAACTAAGCAAGTAGATGAAATTGAGAAATAGAGTAACAAATTAACAAGACCAAGTGATTCAGTGTCACCTTCAAGGTGGAGGTGTTAGAAATAAGGAGGAGCCAAGGATAACTTCCTACTTTATAGACTCAGTAACTGGGAGAAGAATGGCATCTTCAAGTGAAGATGTACAAGAGGCAGAAGGTTCACTGGGAGCCAGGGGGATGATGGATTCAGTTTAGGACATATTAAGATCGAGATGTGCAAGCATACCCAGTGATATCTGCAGGACATTTCTCCAGACGGCCTTGGACTGGCCCAGTTCTCCCCACTTTCTTGCTCATAGTTCTGAAGAATAATTCCGATGTGCTGGGAATATAGTATTCTGAGATAAGGAGGAAATAGCCAGAACAGCCCAGGCTGTGTTCTAGCCTCACTAAAAACAAGATGTCCTTCAATGCTTTTACGGCTTTTCCCAGCTAGAATACAAGTGGGCATGCACAGACGAGACTCGATCTGCACCGTGTGGCTTTCCTGAGTCTTGAGAGACCAGCTCATGTTGAATCCTAGGTTTCTGCTGTCCCTTGCTGCTTCTCTGTGAGTAATAAATCCACTTCATGTAACTTGTGTATGTGAGTGTTCTGGCTCACCAGACTCGGGCAGGTAGTAGAAGTACAGCCCAAGATGCAGTGAACTGAATTGGTAACCAGTGCACAGTAAACACACTTTGAAGAACCCAGCAGGTTGCTGAATATTTGAATCGGATGTTAGGTAGAAAAGTCTGACCCAGAAATACAGAATTTAGGCTGAGCGTGGTGGCTCACACCTGTAATCCCAGCACTTTGGGAGGCCGAGGTGGGCAGATCACCTGAGGTCAGGAGTTCGACACCGGCCTGGCCAACATGGCGAAACCCCTACTAAAAACACAAAAATTAGCCAGGTGTGGTGGCCTGCGCCTGTAATCCCAGCCACTCACGAGACTGAGGCAGGAGAATCGCTTGAACCCAGGGGCAGAGGTTGCAGTGAGCCAAGATCGTGCCACTGCACTCCAGCTTGGGCAACAGAGAGAGACTCCATCTCAAAATAATAATAATAAAATAAAATAAATAAAAGAATTTAGACTCAGGCTACAGATGATGATAATATGTCAGAAAAATTATGAAAGATTTTGAAATAGTCAAAAGAGGTTACTGGGTGAACTTTCTGTGGAGTGCTGTGCATTTTTAAAAGACTCTCTGGGGGCCGGGAGTGGTGGCTCATGCCTGTAATCCCAGCACTTTGGGAGGCCGAGGCGGGCAGATCATGAGGTCAAGAGATCGAGACCATTCTGGGCAACATGGTGAAACCCTGTCTCTACTAAAATTACAAAAATTAGCTAGGCATGGTCGTGTGCACCTATAGTCCCAGCTACTCGGGAGGCTGAGGCAGGAGAATCGCTTGAAGCCGGGATGTGGAGGTTGCAGTGAACTGAGATCGCGCCACTGCACTCCAGCCTGGCGACAGAGCGAGACTTCGTTTCAAAAACAAAAAATCCCCTGGGTCATTTGCCGTAGGAGGGATGTACCTCTGCCTTTGAGTATGCTATTTTACAACTCTGTAGAGATAGAAATTAACTTATAGAAGATAGTAATGCAAATGTTCCCTGCCCACAACAATGAAAACTATTCCTGTCCACAGCAATGCAAATCAATTTTGTGTGATAGAGAATATGTCACTATAAATCAAATTCTCCTTAGAACCAGTCTGAACATCCCTCCTGGTCGTAGGGATTAATTAAAATCAATGAATGAGTTAAGTAAGATCTTTGGCACATGTTCATTTTATATTTGCATGAAGGCCATAATTTTACCTTTTGAAACACTTTAACAGTTTTGAAGCTTTCACCAACATCCCAATGGATTCACCTGACAGAACCAGGTAAACCACATTACTGAAGAACACCCCATGGGGCTAAGCCCAAGCACATTTTTTCCTGGCTCCGGGAGTGAATACCAAGTAGCAATAGTACTACAGCGTTGCTGACTTTCTCCCTAGGTTTCTTTCTCCTCCTTACTGATTTTGGGTTTTGTTTCTGATTCGCCCACAGCTGGCGGATTTTTCCCCATGAATGGCGACACCAATTAGGAACTCGCGGGAAACCCCGTTGCTCCCTTTCCCCTGGCTGGCAGCGCGGAAGCCGCACGATGCCTGGAGTTCCTGTAAACCACGTGAACCAGCGGGACTTCGTCAGAGCTCTGGCAGCCTTTCTCAAAAAGTCCGGGAAGCTGAAAGTCCCCGAATGGGTGGACACCGTCAAGCTGGCCAAGCACAAAGAGCTTCCTCCCTACGTTGAGAACTGGTTCTACACACGAGCCGGTTCCACAGCGCGGCACCTGTACCTCCAGGGTGGCGCTGGGGTTGGCTCCATGACCAAGATCTATGGGGACGTCAGAGAAACGGCGTCATGCCCAGCCACTTCGGCCGAGGCTTCAAGAGTGTCCTCCGCCGGGTCCTCCAAGCCCTGGAGGGGCTGAAAATGGTGGAAAAGGACCAAGATGGGGGCCGCAAACTGACACCTCAGGGACAGAGAGATCTGGGCAGAATTGCCGGACAGGTGGCAGCTGCCAACAAGAAGCATTGGAACAAACCATGCTGGGTTAATACATTGCCTCATTCAGAAAAAAAAAAAAAAATTAGGAACTAGGTTTTACATTCTGAACATTTGGTGATCTCTTTAAGTGAATTAATAGTTTTTAGAGATCTATTCTCTTTTGGATAAGAGATGATGAAAAATCTGGTTTGTTAGTCTTTTTGTTTGTTTGCCTTTTTGTCTACTTATGAGTTCAAATCAGTTAAGACTTCCATGCCCATTGGGAAGGAGAACAGCTTTTTGTTATCTAGTCCACTGAATTTTTATGTTTCTGAATTTACTTTCGACCTGTGGCCAAAGTTGCAGAACCAAAGCTATAT
Organism: Homo sapiens; assembly: GCF_000001405.40. Lineage (NCBI taxonomy): Eukaryota > Metazoa > Chordata > Mammalia > Primates > Hominidae > Homo > Homo sapiens. Next base: position 18,505,399 of record NC_000020.11, read on the forward strand.
GCTATGTGTCTATGTGTCTTCCCGGCTGTAATCAACAAAGGCCTTCCCCTCTTGTTGTGGGAGTAAAAAAATCTTACTACCTTTGTAAAGTTTTAATAAGTTATATTATTTCATGTCTTAAAGGAGCTCTGTTATAATTCACTTATGGAAACAAACACATGTAAATCAATTATTTCTAAAATTCCAGAAAATAAGTAAATTAAACTTATGCATGCAAAATTTCTTAAAAATGCTGAAACCATCCTGACAGGGTTAACAAGATTACAAGCCAGCCTTTAGGCAGGTTAGTTAGGCACTGACCAGGGTGCATTGGTGCCCTTCAATTCACTTCCCTGCAGCTGCTAACTAACCAAAAGCCTTGCAGCACACTGATCACCTACTCCCTGATTGCTCCTATCCACAGAATCTCTGACACTAGCTCTTTGTACCCAGGAATTGCTTAAGGTATTTTTCAGATCCTGAATTCCCACAAAACAGCTGATGCCAAACTGTCTAGGGATCCCCACCAGGAAGGGCACAGTGGCTCACGCCTGTAATCTTAGCACTTTGGGAGGCCAAGGTGAGAGGATCGCCTGAAGCCCGGAGTTTGAGACTAGCCTGGGCAACAAAGTGAGACCCTGCTTTACAAAAAAAAAATTTTTTTAAATAAATAAATAAAGACCTCCACCAAGAAACAACACTGGAATGAAGTTTCTTCATCTCCCTGTCCCATGACTTCACCTCTCACTTCCTGACCAATCAGAAATCCCCACACTTTAGCCCATTGCCCCTCCAGACTTCTTAAAAATGCCATCTCTAATCTCTTGGGGAGGTGGATTTGAGGATTGCTCTTGTCTCCTCATTTGGCTGCCACTTGATTATGGAACTCTTTATCTGCTGCAACTCCTATTCTTTCTGTTACCGCACAATGGACAATCGAACCTGATGGTCCTATAACAATCTTTCTTACAGAAATTGCTAGTACAGAAAGAATCCAGGTTCAAATAATCAAGGCAAATCTTTGGCGAATAATATTAAGTTTTGGTTAAAAAAAATCCCAGCTATGTCTTTTCTCAGTGTTAAGTATTATACATGTGTACATTTTGAGTTTGTTTCCTTACCGAGAATAATTAATCTGAACTTCCTAAATTTATAAAAGTTTACTATTGATAAGCTAATATTAACATTACATTGTTTAAGATCCTGAAAAATGTGAATTTGTTCAACAAAACTGAATCATTCTCACATTTAACAGTAATTGTTTCTTTGTGCCTTAAACTATTAATAATTTCTATGATCTGTAGATAACTTAAAACTTAGTATTAAATTGAGCTAATTAATGGATACTTCTTGGATGCCTAGATATGTTCTTGCATAATTTTATGTTTACATCGTTTTGCTTATTTTTATATGCTACAGAGACTACAACTCTGAGTCACAGTAATGATGTGTTCATGTTTGCCACTTGTCAGCGTGTGTAAAAATGGTTGTGGTGGCTTTATACAGTTGTGTTCTATCGCGCCTTTTGCAGCAACATGGATGCATCTGGAGGCCATGATCCTAAAAGAATTAACGCAGAAGCAGAAAACCAAATACATGTTCTCACTTGAAAGTGGGAGCTAAGCATTGGGCACACATGGACACAAAGGTGACATTAATAGACGCTGGGGACTACTAGAGTGGGGAGGGAGGCAGGGAGGGGCTGAAAAACTTGGGTACTATGCTCAGTATCTGGGTGACCAGCTCATTCGAATTCGAAACCTCATAGCCAGGTAACAAATACGCAGTGTACCCCCTAAATCTAAACGTTGGAATTATTTTTTAAAAGAAAGTTATGTTCCATGTATTTCTAAGCTTACTCTCCTAAAATGGTTGAATATTACAGTTCTCAATTATTTATCTCCATGTAGAAGGATGACAGGGACTGTGCGCTAGTGCCAGCCTCCGCTGAGAGCGCCAAGACATTACAGCAAGCGACGGTAGGAGAGCTTGTAACGTGAAGCACCACCACACCTCTGTACTTCAAACTTAACCACAGAGACCGACTCCCAAACCAGCAAGTGCGTAAGCGCCGCCGCGCTCACCACCCGCCCCGCCCCTTCCGCATGCTAATGCCTTCTTCCGGCAGCCTTAGTTTCTTCCAACCAGTGCAGCTCCCTGTTCCGCGAGCATACGTCATCGTTCTCGCTTTCCGGTAGCTAAGGCGATCAGCGGGACTTCCCACTGAGACGAGCGGATGTCATATTGTATCAGGGCGAACCTCTGAGGAGCGCTGGCTGCGCTTAGGCAACGGTGCGGCAGGCGCCGGGGTTTTCTGAAACAGAAACGTTTAGGGGTGGGGAAACGTGTTCCGAGGAACTCTCGTTTTGAAGTGCGACATACACCTGTCTTGCCCTGTTCCAAGATGGTGGCAGAGCTTCTCTGAGTCTCTCGCTTCCTCCAGTCCGTCGGAGAAGCGCTCTTTGATTGGCCAGTGGACAGCGCCGTGGCATGACGCGCTGGGGCGCTGGCCAATCGGTTGAGAGCTGAGCTGGACTTGGCGGTGGGAGCCGGAGCCTGCTTGTTGCAGCTGTGGGTGAGGACGGCTCTAGCTAGGTGAGCGGCTCCGGCCAGGTGAGCGGGGCGCATAGGTGACGGAGGGCCGAGGGCACGGGTATGAGTTTCTGCCGGGGGCGAGGTGAGCGGCTTCTGGGAGGAGGCCTTTTCTTGACAGTTTAGGGTAGCGGGGGAATGGATGATCCGGGAGTCCCCTGCGGATGTCGTCCCGCACCAGGCCGGGACCGATTTCTGGCTCCAGTTTCCCCAGAATTGCGGAGTGCGCACACCTGGAAGGACCCAAGTCCCGTTTTATAGTTGAGAAACTCAAGACTCAGACAAGTGAAACGACTTTTGCTTCATGACAGCTGGAACTGGAACCCAGGTCCTTGGACTCCCTTCAAGGATTAAACCTCACTTATTCTTACATACACATGGTCACTGTGTCCTGAGAAGTTACGAGTTGGCGCGATAAGGGTGGTTCAGATTTTTTGGCATATTCTCCTGTTATCTTTCCAGGCCTTTCATTCATTCACTAATTCATACTTTCAGTTATTTACCTCTTCAGATACCTTCCCCGATACTTTGGTAAAAGCTATGGACCCATCTCCCTAGAAAAACGGCATATTCCCTCATGCGCATAACTTCAGATGATTAGTGGACCTTCTATAGTCCCCTTGGATTATGTGTCCACTGCTAAGAATCCAGACCCTAGAAGGGTGAGGGAAACAGGCAGTAGGAAAAGGAGGGAGCAGGTCTTAGGCTGTACATGCTTGGAAACCATTAGATGGAGGCAGTAGCTTCTTTTTTTTTTTTTTTTTTTTTGAGATGGAGTCTCGCTCTGTCGCCCAGGCTGGAGTGCAGTGGCGTGATCTCGGCTCACTGCAACCAATGCCTCCCAAGGTCAAGCAGTCCTCCCTGCCGCAGCCTCCCGAGTAGCTGGGATTACAGGCACCTGCCACCACGCCCAGCTAATTTTTGTATTTTTAGTAGAGACGGGGTTTTGCCATGTTGGCCAGGCTGGTCTTGAATTCCTGACCTCAGGTCATCCACCGGCCTCGGTCGCCCAAAGTGCTGGGATTACAGGCGTGAGCCACCGCGCCCGGCCGCCAGTGCCTTTTAATAAAGAACGTTTTGAGAGAGAGACGGTTATTTAATGAAATCTGCTGACATACTTGCTGAGAGTTGTGATAGAACTTGCTTTCATTCCGACTTTAGTTATCCCTTTGCTTCCCATGAAGCTCCAGAGTGCTTCCTGTGCACACAGTGCTTCAGGTTCTTGCCGTTGCCAGAAATAAACAGATTTCTTAGAGTTTCAGTTGGAGCAAACATTGGAATTCTTGTGTTCTGGGCTTTATGTAGTAGAGTAATTCATTTGCTTTTCTAGCCATGCAATATTATTGCCTTAATCAAAATTATTTACAGTATGGTACTTCCCAAAATAACAGACAGTTGTTATCCATATTCAGGAAGTGGGCGCGAGAGGCCACTTTAATTTGATAGACTCTTTAATTTGCCTTTTTACTACTTTTCTTGAGGGGCTTGTTCCCTTGAACCCCAATAGCTGAGTTGTGTGTTACCCTAGATTTTAGGATATGAACAGGATGTATAAATACTCAATGAAGTTGGGATCATCTGGGTTTGAGAGTTTAGCCTGTAGGACAGTTTTACTGACCACAGTCTTCATTTTTTTTTTGAAACAGAGTCTGGCTCTGTCGCCCAGGCTGTGCAATGGCATTGTCTCGCCTCACTGCAATCTCTGCCTCCCGAGTTCAGACGATTCTCCTGCCTCAACCTCCTGAGTAGCTGGGACTATGGGCACGTGCCACCACACCTGGCTAATTTTTGTATTTTTAGTAGAGACGGAGTTTCACTGTGTTGGCCAGGCTGGTCTTGAACTCCTGACCTCGTGATCCGCCCATCTCAGCCTCCCAAAGTGCTGCGAGTATAGGTGTGAGCCACCACACCTGGCCTTGACCACAGCCTGTCAAGGCATGAACATAAGCAACCGTGGTGAGGAAAGAGGTTCTGGTGAGACTCAGCATAATAGTAATTTTGGTAATACCAAGTAGAAATAATTTAGCTCAAAACTGGTTCCCATTATGAACCAAACTTGAAGATCAGTATCCAGCTCTTTTCTCCAAAGTTAACAAAGTGCGGAAGGGAATGAGCACCCCCCCGCTACTGAAAAAAAAATCACTTGGAATGTAAAATTTAATAGAGGAAGAAAGGAAGGAGATTAGAGAGGAAGATAGTTGGATGCCGAAACAGGGTTCAAGACTTACCCTTGAGCAAGGGGCTGAAATTGGCTTGACTGATAGGACGTGTGATCTGTGAGGAGGTTTGAAGTAGTAGTGTTTAACTACATGTAGTTTGGAGATGATCAGGTGATTGTAAACCTCCCACTCCTTTGATTTATTTTTAAGTGCTTGAAAGGAGAGGTGAGAAAGGAGCAGTGATCAATGATAACTGTGCGGTTAACTGACTTTTGGGTATCAGATGGAAAAGAAATACTGTCATTCTACAGCAACAGGTTCTTCCCAAGTATTTAAGAAACACTGTGTTAGTTGGGCCGGGTACAGTGGGTCACGCCTGTAATCCCAGCACTTTGGAAGGCCAAGGCGGGTGGATCACCTGAGGTCAGGAGTTTGAGACCAGCCTGGCCAACATGGTGAAACCCTGCCTCTACTAAAAATACAAAAAATTAGCCGGGCTTGGTGGCACAGGCTTGTAATCCCAGCTACTTGGGAGGCTGTGGCAGGAGAATCGCTTGAACCCGGGAGGTGGAGGCTGCAGTGAGCTGAGATGGGAAAAAAAGAGAAACACTGTGTTACATGACCCATCTTCTTTTTTTGACATTTAGTTCAGAATTTCACATACCATTAAGGTAATTAAAGTTTTATCTTCAGTTCCCTTTTAGACTATGGCGACATACCTGGAGTTCATCCAGCAGAATGAAGAACGGGATGGTGTGCGTTTTAGTTGGAACGTGTGGCCTTCCAGCCGGCTGGAGGCTACAAGAATGGTTGTACCCCTGGCTTGTCTCCTTACTCCTTTGAAAGAACGTCCAGACCTACCTCCTGTACAATATGAACCTGTGCTTTGCAGCAGGCCAACTTGTAAAGCTGTTCTCAACCCACTTTGGTATGGATTCTTTTGAAACTGGTAAAAATGATAAATACAATATATTATGAATTTTATGTGATGCTCATAAAAGTCATTAAATTTGGGCAGGTCATCAAATTTGTGATAAGTAGTAGATGATGAGACTCCTAAACGATTCTTGTGGTGAGTAGTAAGTGGTGAATATTTGTAGAAATCTCCCTGGCCTGATAATTCCAGATAAAATTGGAATCTTACAGGAATGAGGTAGAGGTAGAGGGAGAGGATTTGTAATTCACTTTTTTTTTGGCTGATAATCAGTTTGCTTTTGGCTTAACTGTAGACTTTATTGATTCCTCTTAAAGTAATTTCCCAGAAGAATTCGAAAGCTTAGACCGTCTTCTCATGCTTCCCGGGTACAGTGATGCTATATGGCAAGGAGAAGTAGCAGGCAGAAGAAATTTTAACTGTTAACAATTTGTTAAGTGTAATTTTTTTTTTTTTTGTGCCTGAGATAGTGACCTATTTCTTTTAAATGTGGGCATTATTTGAAATGATTTTTAAACAGGTAGAGAGTGTCATAAAATTTTTATATGAGGGAACATTTTTTACTTCATTCTCATTGCTTTTATTTAATGTGCCCATATGTGAATGCATAGCCACTGGTTATTAATTTTCTAAATGTAGAAAATAAGGGAAAAGTAACTGAAGCATTATCTTGAACCAATTTGAGGAAGTGAAATGTGCTTGCCCAACTTTTCTTAAAATGGGCTAAGTCAGGTTAAAAATCTAGAAGCATTTTCCTGTGTGTGAAATATGCTTTTAATGTTGGAATTTAGTAGTTTCACATAGCCGGACAATAAAGATGTTAGAAAAAAATCATGAAGAGTATGTTAAGATAAAAGGCAAGAGAGAAATAATGTATAATTTATATAAATCATGACATTTAAAAAATTAGGAAATTGGAAAAGAGAAAAAGATTTAGTATTTCTTCACTGTGGCTGTTTGATGGAAATTGTGGTGTACTTAGCCAGAATTCTAACTGCGGTGAACGTTTTGCATACTCATACTTATGCATACACATAGAAACACTTACTTGTGTGATTTACTGAACTTGAAATTTACAAATGAACGCTTTCTACCTTAAAAATAAAAATTTTATTTTAAAAATAAAAGTGGTACCTACTTATAATATTTATCTTTCTCACAGTCAGGTTGATTATCGAGCAAAACTTTGGGCCTGTAATTTCTGTTTTCAAAGAAATCAGGTATGTGAATTATTTTTAAAAAATGTTATATGTTTTATTTTAGTTGTATTATGAAAAAAATTAAGTTAGGTTGAATTTGTGTTTACACTGGCAGTGAGCAGTTTCTGCTGAACTCAGGGTGATAACTTTTGTTAAGCACAATATTGAATTTGAACATTTGTGGTTTATTCTGTTGAGTGGTTTTCTTGAGTCCTTGTCATTTGCTTGGGGCTGGGGAGGGGGTGTTCATTGAATTCCCTTTTCTTACACATTTTCTGTAGGCAGTGAATCTGTGACCCAAAGAAAGCACCTGTTTTTCATATTTCTCTTGACTTCAGTATATTCTGATTGGATAGTGTATATTACTGAATTTTCATTTTCTGATCTTTCTAACTTTTAGAGTCCAGGTATCAGTGTTGAGCTTCTTTTGATTTAAAAATTTTAAAAGTACCAAACTAGAAGGAGCTCACAAATCACAAGAGAGACTTCTCTATAAAAGTAACTGTGCGGCCAGGCCTAGTGGCTCATGCCTGTAATCCCAGCATTTTGGGAGGCCGAGGTGGGTGGATCATGAGGTCAAGAAATCGAGACCATTCTGGCCAACATGGTGAAACCCCATCTCTACTAAAAATACAAAAATTAGGCCGGGCGCGGTGACTTACGCCTATAATCTCAGCACTTTGGGAGGCTGAGGCGGGCAGATCATGAGGTCAAGAGATCAAGACCATCCTGGCCAACATGGTGAAATCCCCTCTCTACTAAAAATACAAAAATTAGCCAGGAGTGGTGGCAGCCACCTGTAGTCTTAGCTACTCAGGAGGCTGAGGCAGGTGAATCGCTTGAACCCGGGAGGCGGAGGTTGCAGTGAGCCGAGATTGAGCCATTGCACTCCAGCCTGGCAACAGAGCAAGACTCCGTCTCAAAATAAAATAAAAAATTAGCTGGACATGGTGGTGCGCACTTGTAGTCCCAGCTACTCAGGAGGCTGAAGCAGGAGAATCGCTTGAACCCGGGAGGTGGAGGTTGCAGTGAGCTGAGATTGCGCCACTGCACTTCAGCCTGGCAACACAGCAAGAGTGTCAAAAAAAAAAAAAAAGTAACTGTGCCTGTAGTGGAAATGTTCTAAAAGTGGATTGTGGTAATTATTGCACAACTGTACGTTTTCTAAAAATCATTGACTTGTATAATTAAAATGAGTGAATTTTATGTTGCGTAAACTATACCTCAATAAAGTTGTTAGAAAAAATTTGTGTCCAGCATAGTGTACACTGTTCTAACAGATCTTAAGCTCTTCACATGCATTCGTTCATATATTTGATCATAATTACAATTACTCATTCTCAGATACAGCATATAAGTCTAGTGATGAAGAGGACAGTGTACAATTGATGACTGACCATAGGTTCGGAAACTATAAGCAGATGTCATTTAAAATATATCTTCATGAGAGATTCAGAAGTATATAGAAATCTTAAAAGCATTTCTGCTCCCTATTACATTTAGGATTAATGTCTTTGTTTAATATAATTTATTATAGTAATTCTAAGGCAGGGTAGCATAGTGGCTAAAGAGCCAGAGATCTGTAGCCAGACTGCCTGGGTTTGGCTCTCAGATCTACCACTTATTTCCTGTGTAACTTTGGGTAGGTCACTTAACTGCCTGTGCCTCAACTTCCTTGTCTTTAAAATTAGGATGATAGTATAGTATACCTATAGTCACTTCATGAGATTATTGTGAGAATTAAACTGAGTTAATGAGTATAAAGGACTTAGAACAGTGCTTGACACATGGTAAGTGCCATATAAGTATTTGGTATTATTATGCTTACCTAAGATTGTCACCTGCCAATTTATAAGTATGATCTGCAAGTCTATGTGTCCTAAGTGGAAATAATCTTTTGTAACCTTCCTAGCTGGACAGTGTGGGGGTTTTCTAGCTCTAAATGAATGTAGAGCTGGAAGACGGAGGGATCAGGGTGATCTCCGTCTCCTTTGCTCCCTTCTGTGCAGCTGGCTGACTGCGTGGGTGAACAGGGCCTCTCCAGGTTGCTGGGAGGTGGCTGGTGTGTCTGTAGTCATAGATCGAGCTTATCCCTGCTGGGAGCTGCAGTCAGTGGGCAGTCATGGCCAGGATGGGGCTAGAGTCTTCTGCTGGCTCTGACTGAGATTCTTGCTGGGGCTCGCAAGCTCAGTTGTACCCTTCTCTCCCAACCAGAGGCCCCTAAAGCTGCCTGTCAGCTCCTCAGCAGCACTTGCATTTGGTCACTCTGAGGTCACTGGCCTGGAGTGATCATCTGCTCACTTTGGGGAGATGCACCTCAACTTGTATTTTTAATGTAAAGCTAAAGACTATTTGGATTATAAGCCAACCCACAAGCTGTGAATTTAAAACATTTGCAGAGAGTTTTAAAAACAAAAGAAAATGCCTGTGGCATTATGTTGACTGGAAAAAACAAGTTCCACATTGTATATATGGGATGTTCTCAACTGTGCTTAAGTCTGGAAGGAAATCTGCCAGGAGGTTGACAGTAGCTGCTTCTAGGTGATAGGATTTTGGGGGGCTTTTCCTCCTTTGTTTGCTTCTATTTTCCTGGACTTGCCAATTTTTCTACATTCCGTATGTATTACTTTATTGATAATAGCCAAAATAATAAACCTAAATAAAGTCTTTGGCTTTATTTAGACTATTAACTATTGATGAGATAGGTGAAATCTCAGCCTTTAATTTGCAGGGCAAAACTTAAGAAATGGTTTTCATTTGTGTGTTTTTGGCTAGGCATGGTGGCTTATGCCTGTAATCCCAGCACTTTGGGAGACTGAGGGGAGAAAATCACTTGAAACCAGGAGTTCAAGACCAGCCTGGGCAACATAAAGTGTGCTTTTAAACATTTAGAAGTTACAATAGCTTAAAACTGCTCTAAAAAATATTTTTTAAGAGGACAGAAATGATATAAATATAAGGCAGGGTTAGAAGTTTTAAATGCTGATTTTTATGTTTTTTAACGTGTCCTGTATTTTGTGCTTTCAGAATAAATACATGGTCATTACCATTTTTTTTCTTCTTTTTTGAGACAGAGTCTTGCTCTGTTTCCCAGGCTGGAGTGCAGTGGCGCAATCATGGCTCACTGCAGCCTTAACCTCCTGGGTTCAAGTGATCCTCCCACCTCAGCCTTCTGAGTAGCTGGGACTACAGGTGTGAGCCACCACGCCCAACTAATGTTTTTACTTCTTGTATACAGACAGGGTCTCACAGTGTTGCCCAAGCTAGTCTGGAGCTCCTGAGCTCAAGTGTTCCTCTCGTCTTGGCATCATTATCATTTTTACACATGGAAAATAAAAAGTGTAATATAGTTATGCCAACCCTAATAAAACTGTTTCCTTCTTTTCAGTTTCCTCCAGCTTATGGAGGCATATCTGAGGTGAATCAACCTGCCGAATTGATGCCCCAGTTTTCTACAATTGAGTACGTGATACAGGTAATTTCTTTGTTGTGCATTTAATGAGCAATGTTAAATACTGAATTTCTCTTGAAATCCTTTGTCTTCCATGTCTCTTACCTGGGCAGGGGACTTAAAGCTGTGAGGGCAGCAGGATCCTAACCTTTAGGTTTGATGTGTGTGCATCTACTGGCATTGTTTTCAAGTCCTGACATTATAGAAGGCTACTAAAAAGGTAGAACTGATTAAATTCCAAACCTGTTCTCTGTAGCCTTCTTCATCTCAGTTGATGGTACTCCATCATCTAGTTGTTTAGCTTCAGAACCTTAGACTTATCCTTGACCTCTCTCTTTCATGTTCCATATCTAATTCACTGGAAAATCCCATTGGCTCTATATTTGAAATTTATCCAGAATCCACCCACTTCCCCCTCCCTACTACCAGCTGCCCTGGGCCAGCCACTCCTTCTTACTTGAATCTTCTAATTGTTCTCCCTGATGTTACCATTGCCTATTTATACATTATTCTTCACCCAGCAGCCACAGTAATTCTTTTTTTTTTTTTTTTTACAAATTGTATTTATTCATTTATTCAGTGAGGAAAGTTTGTTTTGCTTTCAAATATTGGCCTTTGTGAATAATGCTTCAATGAATATAGCTGTTCAAATAACTGTTTACCCATATGTTGGAGGTTTGCATTTCTGCTACATTGTGTTTTATTGGAAAACTTGTCTGTCTTTATGCCAGAACTAAACTGTTTTTATTACTGTAGCTTTGTAATGTGCTTTGAAATTAGAAAAGGTGACATTGTTTCTTTTTTTTAAACATTTTTGGGCTCTTTTTTTTTTCTTTTTCTTTTTTTTTTTTTCTTCTGAGATGGAGTCTTGCTCTGTTGCCCAGGCTGGAGTGCAGTGGCACGATCTCGGCTCACTGCAAGCTCTGCCTCTCGGGTTCACGCCATTCTCCTACCTCAGCCTCCCGAGTAGCTGGGATTACAGGCGCCTGCCACCACGCCCGGCTAATTTTTTTAATATTTTTAGTAGAGACGGGGTTTCACCATGTTAGCCAGGATGGTCTCGTTCTCCTGACCTTGTGATCCACCCACCTCGGCTTCCGAAAGTGCTGGGATTACAGGCGTGAGCCACCGCACCCGGCCACATTTTTAGGCTCTTTATTGTCCTTTGAGATTCCGTATAATTTGTTGGTTACTTTTTCTATTTCTAAAAAAAAAAAATTGTTAATTGAAAAGGGATTGCATTGAATCTGTAGTTCACTAGGCAGCATGAACATCTTCACAATATTAAGTCTTACAACCCTTGAACATGAGCATGCTCAAAAGTGAGTTTAATTTCCATATATATGTTGATATTTTTGCTTTCTTCTGTTATTGATTTCTAGTTTTATTCCATTTTTATCGGAAATAATTATCTCATGTGTCCGTGTGAAGAGACCACCAAACAGGCTTTGTGTGAGCAACAAGGCTCTTGATTTCACCTGGGTGCAGGCAGGCTGAGTCCGAAAAAGGAGTCAGCAAAGGGTGGTGGATTATCATTAGTTCTTATAGGTTTTGGGATAGGCAGTGGAGTTACGAGCAATGTTTTGTGGGCAGGAGGTGGATCTCACAAAGTACGTTCTCAAGGGTGGGGAGAATTACAAAGACCCTTCTTAAGGGTGGGGGAGATTACAAAGTACATTGATCAGTTAGGGTGGGGCAGAAACAAATCACAGGTGGAATGTCATCAGTTAAGGCTATTTTCACTTCTTTTGTGAATTTTCAGTTGCTTCAGGCCATCTGGATGTATACGTGCAGGTCATAGGGGATATGATGGCTTGGCTTGGGTTCAGAGGCCTGACATTCCTGTGTTGTTATATTAATAAGAAAAGCAAAACAAAATAGTGAAGTGTTGGAGCAGTGAAAAAATTTTGGGGGTGATATGGAGAGATTAATGGGCGATGTTTCTCAGGACTGCTTCTAGCGGGATTAGGGGCAGCGTGGGAACCTACAGTGGGAGAGATTCAACTGAAGAAAGATTTTGGCGTAAGGGGTGATGTTGTGGGGTTGTTAGAAGGAGCATTTGTCGTATAGAATTATTGGTGATGGCCTGGATGTGGTTTTCTATGAATTGAGAAACTAAATGAAAGACACAAGGTCCAAATAAGAGAAGGAGAAAAACAGGTATTAGAGGACTAAGAATTGGGAGGACCCAGGACATCCAATTAGAGAGTGTCCAAGGGAGTTCAGTGTAATTACTTGTTTGGTTGGTGAGTTTTTGGGCTCTATTCTTGACAGAGTCCTTTTTGTTAAGTTGGAGGCTGAGCTTGGTGAGGTGTGTTTTTAAAAGACCATTAGTTTGTCCTACCGTTCCTGAAGATTGAGGATGGTAAGGGGTATGAAGTTTTCACTGAATACCAAGAGCCTGAAAAACTGTTTGGGTGATTTGACTAATAAAGGCTGGTCCGTTATCGGACTGTATAGAGGTGGGAAGGCCAAACCAAGGAATTATGTCTGACAAAAGGGAAAAAATGACTGCAGTGGCCTTCTCAGACCCTGTGGGAAAGGCCTCTACCCATCCAGTGAAAGTGTCTACCTAGACCAAGAGGTATTTTAGTTTCCTGACTCAGGGCATGTGAGTAAAGTCAATTTGCCAGTCCCGAGCAGGGGCAAATCCCTGAGCTTGATGTGTAAGGAAGGGAGGGGGCCTCAACAATCCCTGAGGAGTAGTAGAATAGCAGATGGAACACTGAGAAGTGATTTCCTTGAGGATAGATTTCCACGATGGAAAGGAAATGAGAGGTTTTAAGAGGCAGGCTAATGGCTTGTAACCTACATGGAAGAGATTATGAAATGACAACAGAATAGAATGGGCCTGTGAGGCTGGAAGGAGGTTTTTTTTTTTTTTTTTTTTTTTGTCTAAGAACCATCTGCCTTGAGTGGAGAGGGATTGATAGGTGGAAACTTCAGTGGGAGAGTAAACAGGAGTGACCAATGAGAAGGAGAAAAACTGGCCATGAGGGACAGAAGTTGGAATGCTAGCTGCTTCTTTAGCTACCTTATCAGCAGAAGCGTTGCCCTGGGTGATGGGATCTGATGCCTTTTGGTGGCCCTTGCAGTGTATGACTCCTGCTTCCTTTGGAAGTAAAGCAGCCTTTAGAAGAGTTTTTATTAAAGAGACATTAATGATGGAGGACCCTTGTGTAGTGATTTTCTGCCTATATAACAGCATGGTGGTGCAGGATATGGAAGGCATATTTAGAGTCAGTATAATTATTGACACGTAATTCCTTTGCAAGAGTGAGGGCTCAAGTTAAGGCAATGAGTTCAGCTTGCTGAGAGGTAGTGGAGCCGGGCAGAGTGGTAGCCTCAATGATAGATGTGGAAGATACTATGGCATAGCCTGCCTTTGCTGGTGTGTGGCGATTAGGCCTGGTGGAACTGCCATCAATAAACCAGGTGTGATCAGGGTGAGGAATAGGAAAGAAGGAAATATGAGGAAATGGAGTGAATGTCAGGTGGATCAGAGAGATACAGTCATGTGGGTCAGGTGTGGTATCAGGAATAATGTGGGAGGCCGGATTGAAGTGCGGGCCAGGAACAATGGTAACTGTGGGAGACTCAACAAAGAGTGAGTACAGCTGAAGGAGCCGGGGAGCAGAAAGTATATGTGTCAGGTGTGAGGAAGAAAATAGATTTTCAAAGTTATGAGAACTGTAGAGAGTGAGTTGAGCATAGTTTGTGATTTTGAGGGTCTCTAAAAGTATTAGGGCGGCAGCAGCTGCCGCACGGAGACATGATGGCCAGCCTAAAACAGTAAGGTCAAGTTGTTTGGACAAAAAGGCTACAGTGCGCGGTCCCGTTCCTTGTGTAAGAATTCCGACTGTACAGCTCTGCACTTAGGCTGTGTGTAATGAAAAGGGTTGGGATGAGTTAGGGAGACTAGTGTGGGGGCAGTCTCTAAAGCTGACTTCAAGGAACGGAAAGAGGAGTGGGGAAAGGATTTAGGATCTGTGGGGTCAGCTAGGTTTGCTTTTGTGAATTAATATAATGGTTTAGTCAGGATGGTAAAACTAGGTATCCAAAGGCAGAAGTACCTAACCATGCCTAGGAAGGAAAGGAGTTGTTGTTTTGTAGAAGAGATTGGGGTTTGGGAGATTAGTCAGACATGGTCAGCAGGGAGAGCACGGGTGTTTTCATGAAGAATTATGCCGAGATAGGTAATAGATGAGGAAGAAATTTGAGCTTGACTGAAGTAATGGGGGCTGTCCGCGAAGCCTTGCGGCAGTAGAGCCCAGGTAATTTGCTGAGCCTGATGGGTGTCAGGGTCAGTCCAAGTGAAAGCAAAGAGAGGCTGGGATGAAGGGTGCAAAGGAATAGTAAAGAAAGCATGTTTGAGATCCAGAACAGAATAATGAGTTGTGGAGGGAGGTATTGAGGATAGGAGAGTATATGGGTTTGGCACCAAGGGGTGGATAGGCAAAACAATTTGGTTGATAAGGCACAGATCCTGAACTAACCTATAAGGCTTGTCCAGTTTTTGGACAAGTAAAATGGGATTGTAAGGAGAGTTTATAGGCTTTAAAAGGCCATGCTATAACAAGCGAGTGATAACAGGCTTTAATCCATTTAAAGCATGCCGTGGGATGGGATATTGGCATTGAGCGGGGTAAGAGTGATTAGGTTTTAATGGGATAGTAATGGGCGTGTGATCGGTTGCCAGAGAGAGTGGAGGTATCCCATACTTGTGGGTTAAGGTTGGGGGGTACAAGAGGAGGATGCGAAGGAGGCTTTGAACTGGGGAAAAGAGCGGGAGTGAGGTGTGGCTGTAGCCTGGGAATAGTCAGGGAAGCAGATAATTTAGTTAAAATGTCTCGACCTAATAAGGGAGCCGGGCAGGTGAGGATAACTAAAAAGGAGTGCATTAAAGAATGTTGTCCAAGTTGGCACCAGAGTTGGGGAGTTTTAAGAGGTTTAGCAGCCTGGCCGTCAATACCCACAACGGTTATGGAGGCAAGGGAAACAGGCCCTTGAAAAGAAGGTAATGTGGAGTGGGTAGCCTCTGTACTGATTAAGAAGGCGACGGACTTACTCTCCACTGTAAGAGTTACCCAAAGCTCGGCGTCCGTGATGGTCTAGGTGGCTTCTGAGGCGATCAGGCAGCGTCCGTCTTCAGCCACTAAGCTGAGAAGATCTGGGAAGGAGTCAGAGAGCCTTGGGCCAGAGTTCCAGGGGCTCTGGGAGTGGCTGCTTGGTGAGTTGAACAGTCCGATTTTCAGTGGGGTCCCGCACAGATGGGACACGGCTTAGGAAGAATCCCGGGCTGCGGGCATTCCTTGGTCCAGTGGCCAGATTTCCGGCACTTGAAGCAAGCTCCTGCGGGAGGAGGTTCTGGAGGAACCCCTGGCAGCTGCGGTTTAGGCGTTTGGAGTTCTTGTGTGCTGGAGATGTGGCTGGGGTTTGTCTCACAGTGGAGGCAATGAATTGCAACTCAGAAATACATTGTTACTTGGCTGCCTCTACTCTATTATTGTACACCTTGAAGGCGAGGTTAATTAAGTCCTGTTGTGGGGTTTAAGGGCTGGAATCTAATTTTTGGAGCTTTTTCTAATGTCAGGAGTGGATTGGGTAATAAAATGCATATTGAGAATAAGACGGCCTTCCTCTGGGGGCCTTCCTCTGGGGTCTAGGACAGTAAAGCGTCTAAGGGTTTTTGCCAAACGGGCCATTAACTGGGCTGGG
The DNA here is from genome assembly GCF_000001405.40 of Homo sapiens. Lineage (NCBI taxonomy): Eukaryota > Metazoa > Chordata > Mammalia > Primates > Hominidae > Homo > Homo sapiens. Next base: position 18,521,431 of record NC_000020.11, read on the forward strand.
TTTTTATATCTGATGAAAAAGAGCCTAAATGCTAACTGATTTGGGAGAGGTCAGATAAAGAAAAAAGGAGCATTAAACTTGACTATGCCTTTAGCTCCAGCCACCTCTTTAAGAGGAAATTGTTGGGCAAGTGGGGAGGGCTAGTCGTGGAACGAAATGGTAAGCCAGGCCGGGTGTGAGGAGGGGAGGTGATAGAAAGATTATAGGGTGGGGGAGCAGAGGCTGAGAAAGAATTGGGACCTAGCTTGGCCTGGTGAGGAGCAACCTGGGGAGAAGGGGAGAGGTCAGATGAGTCCGTAGAAAAGGATTAAAAGGACTTAAGAGCTTGGGGTGGAGACTGAAGGAACAGACAGGAGAGAAAGAAGAAAGATTTGGGACGAGTCGCATTGGGAGCAGAGACTAGGGAGGGACCAATGTGTAAAAGAATGCCTGGACGTCAGGCACCTCAGACCATTTGCCCATTTTACGACAAGGATTATTTAGATCTTGTAGGATGGAGAAATCAAAAGTGCCGTTTTCTGGCCATTTAGAATCATTGTCGAGTTTGTACTGGGGCCAAGTGGTGTGGCAGAAGAAAATAAGACACTTAGATTTTAGGTCAGATGAGAGTTGAAGAGGTTTTAAGTTCTTGAGAACACAGGCTAAGGGAGAAGAAGGGAATGGAGGGCGGAAGTTTGCACATAGTGAAGGAGGTAAGTTTAAAGAGAAGGGTAGAGACACGGAGTAGGGGGTGGGGAGCAGCCATGGGCTGCAATGTGGGTGAGCAGCCAAAGCAGGAGTCCCTACAATTGACTTGTCACCAAGGGAATGTGGGTGAATGACCAAGGCAGGCATCCCTGCAGAGATCAGACGCCAATGGAATGTGGGTGAATAATCAGGCAGGCGTCCCCACAATGATTAAACACCAAGGGAAGGCTGTCTTCCTGAGTCCGTGACCGGCGCGTTTTGGGTCCACGGATAAAAGGTGTCTCCTTTGTCTCTACTAGAGAGGAAAAAGAACTGGAATTGGAAGGACAGGGAGATTGAAGGGTAGCAAGAGAGGCTGGAGAAGAGAGTGAAAAGACCACTTACCCGATTTGAAATTGGTGAAATATTCCCTGGGCTAGTTGGTCCGAGGACCTGAGGTCGTAGGCGGATCTCTTCACGGGGTGAGGGTGAGGACAGGGGACTGGTCTCTTGAAGGAGTCCCTCTGACCCGGGTCTTCGGCACCAAATATCTCACGTGTCCGTGTGAAGAAACCACCAAACAGGCTTTGTGTGAGCAACAAGCTGTTATTTTACCTGGGTGCAGGCGGGCTGAGTCCAAAAAAGGAGGCAGCCCAGAGTAATTCTTTAAAAACAAATCGGCCGGGCGTGGTGGCTCACACACGTAATCCCAGCACTTTGAGGGGCTGAGGCGGGGGGATCACAAAGTCAGGAGATCGAAACCATCCTGGCTAACACAGTGAAACCCCTTTTCTACTAAAAATACAAAAAAAATTTAAAAATTAGCCGGGCGTGGTGGTGGGCACCTATAGTCCCAGCTACTTGGGAGGCTGAGGCAGGAGAATAGCGTGAACCCAGGAGGTGGAACTTGCAGTGAGCCGAGATCGCGCCACTGCACTCCAGCCTGGGTGACAGAGCGAGACTCCGTCTCAAAAAAAAAAGAAAAAAAAATCATGTTACTTCTCTGTTCAGAAAACCCCACTGGAGAAAGTGGCTTTCTTTTACCCAGGGTAAAAGACAGTTTTCAAAGCCCCACGTGTTACCACTCCAACCCCAGTATCTGCTAGTGTCCTCGTTCAGCCCAGTGGGCCTCTTTGACTCTCCTCAAATGTGCTAACACTCCTGCTTGAGGACCTCTGCTGTAGCTTTTCCCTGAGGCTGGAGCTCTCCCCTGTATCTGTGGTGCTCCTTCCCTCTCTTCCCTCAGGCTTTGCTCAAACATTACTTTCTTTTTCTTTCTCTTTCTTTGTTTCTTTCCTTTCTTTTTTTTTTTTTTTTCTTTTTTTAGACAGAGCCTTGCTCTGTCACCCAGGCTGGAGTGCAATGGCACGATCTCAGCTCACTGCAACCTCTGCCTCCTGGGTTCAAGCAATTCTCCTGCCTCAGCCTCCCAAGTAGCTGGGATTACAGGTGAACCCCACTACGCCTGGCTAATTTTTGTATTTTTAGTACAGATAGGGTTTCACCATGTTGGCCAGGGTGGTCTTGAACTCCTGACCTCGTGATCCACCTGTCTTGGCCTCTCAAAGTGTTGGGATTCAGGCATGAGCCACTGTGCCCGGCCCTCTTTTTCTTTTTTTTTTTTTTAAGATGGGGTCTTGCTCTCTTGTCCAGGCTGGTATGTAGTGGTACAACCATAGCTTACTGCAGCCTCAAATTCCTGGGCTTAAGGGATCCTCCTGCCTCCGCCTCCTGAGTAGCTGGGACCTTAGGCATATGCCATCATCCCCAACTAATTTTTAAATTTTTATATTTTTTTTTGTTAGAGACGGGGTCTCGCCATGTTGGCAGCCTGGTCTTGAACTCCTGTGCTTAAGCAATCCTCCCATCTTAGCCTCCCAAAGTGCTGGGATTACAGGCATGAACCCGGCTCATATGCTACTTTCTAAATGAGGCTGCCCTGATTTCTCTGTTTAACAGTTGACTCTGCCCTCTGCCTCTCCTCCTGGTGTTTGCAGTCCCCCTTAACCTCTCCATTCCAGAAAGTTTGCTCCTTGAGGCAGGTAGAAGTCTTTGTTTTTTCTGTTCACTGTGTGTCCCAGGACCTGAAACAATGTCTAGCATGTAGGAAGTATTAAAAAATGTTGGCAAAGTTGTTGGATACAAATAGTTTTTATCTTTAGTTTGATTTAATAAAATCTAAGTCATTTAATAAGTTAGAGCTTTGTATAGATGTCCTTATCTCCTAAAACTAAATATAGATGAAGACTTACAATTTTCATACCTAATTTGCCTTAAAAAGTGCTGGTTAAGTCTATTTGTATATTGATCATTATGCTGTTTTTCTTTGCCCAAAGCGAGGTGCTCAGTCCCCTCTGATCTTTCTCTATGTGGTTGACACATGCCTGGAGGAAGATGACCTTCAAGCACTCAAAGAGTCCCTGCAGATGTCCCTGAGTCTTCTTCCTCCAGATGCTCTGGTGGGTCTGATCACATTTGGAAGGATGGTGCAGGTTCATGAGCTAAGCTGTGAAGGAATCTCCAAAAGTTATGTCTTCCGAGGGACCAAGGATTTAACTGCAAAGCAAATACAGGTTTGTACCTTACTTGTACAGGAGCAGAAACAAGGACTTTTTTTTAAAAGAGACTGGGGTCTCTTTAAAAGAGCCTGTAGCCCAGGCTGGAGTTCAGTGGTGTGATCATTGCTCAATGGCTCAAGCCATTGGCCCACCTCAGCCTCATGAGTAGGTGGGACTAGAGGCACATGCCACCACACCCAGCTGAGGACATTTCTTAAAAATTAGTCATTCACTTTTAGTGTCATTGGAAATGAATCTTTTTGGCTTTTTTTTTTTTAAGGATATGTTGGGCCTGACCAAGCCAGCCATGCCCATGCAGCAAGCACGACCTGCACAACCACAGGAGCACCCTTTTGCTTCAAGCAGGTGAGAGCCCAACATGGAGTGTTACACGTATTGTGATGGACATGCAGATGATCCATGGGAGTAAGGGAAGAAAAATATTAGAATTTGTATTTTCTTATTATTAGAGAAAAAGATAAATGATTAAGCCTAATCAATATTCAGTGTTTTGTCAAAAAGGTTTGGAGACCACTGTGCTCAATTGCTGTTTTTAGACATTCCACATCTGATGTCCTTTTTGATGCTTAAGTAAAACTGGAAAAACTGAAAAGACTTCTTTCATGTGTCCTCAAACATACTTATGACCGGGTATTCACTTGACTCAGCCCATTGAGTGCCTAGACTGAGCTAACAAGCTCGATAAAATGCATTGCCCGACATGCTGAAGACAACCTCTTACTTTCAAGGCTTAAGAGAAGCACAGATTAGAATGATGAGGAATGATGAAGATTGTCCACATAAATGGACCTCACATAGACTGAACTCATGTTAGGCATGTCCTTAGGATTTTTTTGCTGTCTAAAAATTAATTAAACTGAATTGCTCCTTTTCCAGACAATTTTTTTTTCCGTGCAACATAAGTAAATTGCTAAGTACTGGGCTTTATATTCCTCAATAAAACTGCTTTAAATTGTTTTGTGTTAGTAGAGAGATAGCTTTGAAGAAAAAAATTACCAGTCAGTTACTACTCTGAATAATTATCTTGAAGAGCAGTAATTATGTGGCACCTAGTGTTGAAGACCAGAGTACTTTATTCAATCTGGGTTGATGTGTCTGTTAAAATCTTGCAGATTTCTGCAGCCTGTTCACAAGATTGATATGAACCTCACTGATCTTCTTGGGGAGCTACAGAGGGACCCATGGCCAGTAACTCAGGGGAAGAGACCTTTGCGATCCACTGGTGTGGCTTTGTCCATTGCTGTTGGCTTGCTGGAGGTAATTTAAAATTTACCAGGACCTCTCAAATCATACAAATGTGCTCTCAGAAAATATATTTGTTGGCTTTGTTTGAAAATCACTTGTGATCTAAGTCAACCGTCTGTGTTAATGTATCAGAAAGCATTTGAGGCATCATTATCATTCACGTTGAGGGAGCCCCTCAACATTTTGAAAATGCCAAAAGTTTTCATTGAAAAACTAAGAATTAGAGCAATAGGGAGCACTCAAACAGCGAATTAATAAAACTGTGCAAACCCATAAGGTTGGAAGAAGACAAGTGCTGCTTTTCTGCATTATCATCTGTATTATTCTGCATTATCACCACTTTTTAGGACAGCTGGAGAGAATGCATCTTTGGAGTATTTCTATTGGGAAACTGAAACCATACTAAAAGGTGAGGCTGTATACTTCTAACATGCTGCCATTCGCTATTTTAGGGCACTTTTCCAAACACAGGAGCCAGGATCATGCTGTTTACTGGAGGTCCCCCTACCCAAGGGCCTGGCATGGTGGTTGGAGATGAATTAAAGATTCCTATTCGTTCTTGGCATGATATTGAGAAAGATAATGCACGATTCATGAAAAAGGCAACCAAGGTAGGTGCTCTTGGGTATGGGCTGTAATTCTGAAAGCCCATTGTCAGGTTTGGGCTGCTCTGGAGTGACAGCTACTTTGCCAAGGTCATGTGTCATGGTCAGCAAGACGCTGTTTCAGAGACAGTTTTCCAATCTTAGCTGCTGTTAAATTATTGCTCCTACTTTCAGACCTTAATTAGAGTGGGTGGCCTTAAAACTACTCAAAGGGTTTTGAGAATGAAAACTATATTTTTATTTTATTCAGATATTTTTGAAAATGATTTCCAGGCCAGTCCCGGTGGCTCACGGCTGTAATCCCAGCGCTTTGGGAGGCCGAGGCTGGCAGATCACTTCAGGTCAGGAGTTCAAGACCAGCCTAGCCAACGTGGTGAAACCATATCTCTACTAAAAATACAAAATTTAAGCCAGGAGTGGTGACTCACGCCTGTAGTCCCAGCACTTTGGGATGCCAAGGTGGGCGGATCACTTGAGGTCAGGAGTTCGAGACGAGTCTTGCCAACATGGCGAAACGCCTGTCTGTACTAAAAATACAAAAATTAGCTGGGCATGGTGGCATGTGCCTGTAATTTCAGCTACTCGGGAGGCTGAGGCACGAGAATCCGTTGAACCTGGGAGGCAGAGGTTGCAGTGAGCTGAGATCGTGCCACTGCACTCCAGCCTGGGTGACGGAGTGAGACTGTCTCAAAAAGTAAATAAAAATAAAAATACAAAAATTTGCTGGGGATGGTGGCGCACGCTTTTAATCCCAGCTACTTGGGAGGCTGAGGCAGGATGATCACTTGAACCCGGGAGGTGGAGATCGCACCACTGCACTCTAGCCTGGGCAACAGAGAGAGACTCTGTCACAAAAAGAGAAAAGAAAATGATTTACATGTTTTTATATTTGATTACCTCCTTCGGTAATTCAGGCATACCTTGGGAATAATGTCACTGTTTCCTAAAGATAGCTTTCCTCTCTTCACAGCACTATGAGATGCTTGCTAATCGAACAGCTGCAAATGGTCACTGCATTGATATTTATGCTTGTGCCCTTGATCAAACTGGACTTTTGGAGATGAAGTGTTGTGCAAATCTTACTGGGTATGTTGACAGTGAAAACCTGGGCAGAGTGACAGTGTTATTTTAAGGAAAGAGAAATTAGTGATGGAGCCATAGGAATGGGCAAGGCCAACTCAGAGAAGCTTTCAGGTAGCTCTGGGCTATGGTTTCAGTGACTGGGGAGGGCCTGTGGGCTCCTTGGAGAGGGAAGTAGTGATTAGTAGGAGGGCTCAAGAGTTCACTACAAATAAGTCGTTTCAGAGTAACTTATTTCTTCCTTAGAGTTGTTAACACTTTTACAGAGACCAGGCCAAGAAAGCAAGCAGCATGGACTATCTGGCCTTCATCAGGGCACTTCCTTTTGAGAATTGGGGAAAACAGGGTCTGAATGCTGAAACAACTAGGATAAACCTGGCTAAGTGGCCATACTTTGTGACTAACTCCAAGTGCACTCAGCCTAGAGGTTGTACTGACTCAAAGCCTGAGTCAGTATTGTATTCACAGGCCAGAGTGTGGAGCAGTGGTTCTCAACATGTGGTGGTGTCCAGATTTGCAGCCTTAGGGGCTCCTGGGAACTGATTGGAATTGTATATTTCTAGGCCTTACCCAGACCTCCTGAATCGGAAACCCCGGGAATGCAGCTCTCTAGGAGATTCTAGGGCACATGAAAGTGTAGGAACCACTGATGAGCACTGGTCTGCAGCTGCCTACGTATTGTTATCACCAGGGGAACTTTAAAAGCTACACTTTCTTTAGGTCTTGTCCTCAGAGATTCTAATTTAATTAGCATGAGGTGCAGCCTGGGCATCAGCATTTTAAAAGTTTCTCCCGTGATTCTAACATAGAGCCGAGTTTGAGAACCATGCAGCATCTTGAGCCTCACTCTAGACCTGAATCAGAACCTGCATTTGAACAATATCCCAGGTGATTTGCATGCACAGAAGTTTGAGAAGCATCATAGAGCTGTGGAATGGGCCTGAGAGTCTGCATTTCTAACAACCCCACAGGTGATGCTGCTGGTCCCCAGTGAGTAAAAGGAATAAAAGGTAGAACCAGAATCAGTTGGAGTTGTCCTAGAGAGCAGCAGATGAGTTAGGTGATAGAATTAGGGTCCCAAATGATACTGATGTAGCTATCTCAGTAATCCACATTTAATAGTATGAATTCCTACCACGGCCTTCCAGGAGTTCTGACTCGGAATGTCCATAGAAAAGCTTTAGTGTATTTGTGAACATCCCTTAGATTGTATGCTAGTTTGTGTGAATTTTTTCTGTGAAGAGTTACCATCTGTTGCACACATGTGTTAGTATAGCTCAAGGTGAGCCAACAGTGTGGGATGACTTCCAGCAAAGGCAAGGTGATTCCAGGCTGTGCTATAGGAGAAGATTATCTTCAGGGAAGACCATATTCTTGGTTTCTTTGGTGCTAGTCACACCTTATCCAAATACATTGTTTTCTGTTCTGAACATTGCAATTTCAAGGGGCAATAGGAGATGAATTGGAGATGTTTGAAGAAGAGCAGTGGTGGAGAGTCCTGGAAACTGTCATGTGAGGAATGATTGAAGTAGCTGGAAAAGATTAAGCTGAAGACACATGGGGGTGTGAGAACTGTATTCAGCAGTTGAGGGACTTCCCTGTGAAGGAATCTGATTTGTTCTGTATGTGACCAAAGAGTGGAACTAGAACCAAACCAGTGGGTGGAAGCTGCTGGCAAATGAAATTTCACTCAATATCAAGAAGGGCCTTTCTTAACAGAGCTGTTCAAACACAGAATGGACAGCTTGGGGAGGAAGCTCCCAATGCTGGAGGAGTTCAAGCCTAGTCTGGATGTAACTTGGCAGGTATTTTGCAGAGGGTTTGGTTGAGTGTTAGTATTAGAGTTGTGTGAATGTCACAGAAAACCCACAATAAGTTTATTTCTCTGGCGGTAGGCAGTCCGGGGCTGGTATGTTGCTTTCGTCATCATTACGGGCTGAGGCTCCTACTAAGCTGCTCTACCACCATTCATATGCCATCTGTGGCTCAAGACAGTTGCTGGAGCTCTAGCCATTTACAGCAGCAGGAAGGAGGAAAGGTCAGAGAAGGATTGCTCTTCCTGGAGGAACACACTCCACATATAAAGGACACAGCAATAGTCAGAACGCACATGCCAACAGAGGCACATGGCCATAGGCAAGGCAGGCTGGAAAATGTCATTGTTCCAGGAAACTAAGGAAGAGGTAGATATTTGGTGCCAAAGAGCTGACAGACGGTTCAGGCACTCTGAGATGGCCGGACCAGATGATCTTTCTTGTGTTCTTCAAGATTCTGAGATCTTGTTTTATGAATGACGTTTGGAGGCATAACTTGCGTCAAGCTGTGCTTTTCTGTCCAAATGCATGAAATGCTGACATTTTGCACAATGTTTTCCTCTAACTTCAGTAAGGGATTAATATTAATACTCATGAGTTGGAAAACATAATTCTTGTAAAGTCAAGAATTCAGTATTTTGAGGCAGTAAATTAACCTGAAAAGGATTTCCCACAGGCCTGGGTATTTTCCCATACCAAAGAACTGTGAGAGGAATTAGAGCTGTTCTTAAGGCTTCTGTTTAATGCTTTAGAAGTAGTTTCTTTGCCAAGTATGAATTTAACATGCTGTTTTTATTTTTTTAATTTATTTTATTATTTATTTACTTATTTATTAATTTTTTTTTTGTTTGAGAAACAGTCTTGCTCTGTCGCCCAGGCTGGAGTGCAGTGGTCCGATCTTGGTTCGCTGCAACCTCTGCCTCCTGGGTTCAAGTGATTCTCCTGCCTCAGCCTCCTGAGTAGCTGGGATTGTGGCTACTAATCTTTGTGTTTTTAGCAGAGATGGGGTTTCACGATGTTGGCTAGGCTGGTCTTGAACTCCTGACCGCAAGTGATCCGCCCTCCTTGGCCTCCCAAAGTGCTGGGATTACAGGCGTGAGCCACTGTGCCTGGCCTGTTTTTTTATATTTAAATTAATCAGTGGCTCTTTTGGGGACCTGGTTTCTTTTTTTCTTTAAATTATTTTTGTAAATACTGAGGGAGCATCTGAATGGCTTTCAATCTTCCTAATATTCACTTGATTTTTTTCTTCTTACCTAGAGGCTACATGGTAATGGGAGATTCTTTCAACACTTCTCTCTTCAAGCAGACATTCCAAAGAATCTTTACTAAAGATTTTAATGGAGATTTCCGAATGGCATTTGGTGCTACTTTGGACGTAAAGGTACGGTAAACTTTTTTTTTTTTTTATGTGGACTCACTGTACTGCCCAGGCTGGTCTCAAACTCCTGGTCTCAGGCAATTTTCCCGCCTCAGCGTCCTAAAGTGCTGGGATTATGAGGCATGAGCCACTGTACCTGGCCATACTTTTAAAACTTCAATGAAATTATAGTGTTCTTACTTTTTCAATCAATATCCAGACTTCTGGCAACCTCCACCTGCTGGACATGGGCATGTAAAAGCCAATTAAAAGGATCTCAACCAAATGGCTATTAAAAGCATGTTATTCACTTTATCCCTTTGCTTCTTGAGGATGACCTATATATTTATTTATGTTCTAAGTAACAAGCTGCCTGGTTCACCCTCAGGCTCTGCTCCACCCTGCTTCAAGGCAGTAGGAGATAGAAGAGGAAGTAGGGTGGGTGTTATGAGCAGCACTGTGGCCTGAGGACAGGGGCAGCCACACGGTGGTCTGCATCCACCCAGCCATCAGCATGGCTCACTGCATTGCACAGAGACGTGGTTATGTTTAATGTCTTCCTGAAGAATAGCCAAAGTACTCTAAAATAGCACTGGGCCAGGCATGGTGGCTCATGCTTGTAATCCCAGCACTTTGGCAGGCCGAGGTGGGCGGATCACCTGAGGTTGGGAGTTCGAGACCAGCCTGACCAACAGGGAGAAACCCCATCTCTCCTAAAAATACAAAACTAGCCGGGCGTGGTGGCACATGCCTGTAGCCCCAGCTACTTGGGAGGCTGAGGCAGGAGAATGGCTTGTACGTAGGAGGCGGAGGTTGCGGTGAGCCAAAATCCTGCCATTGCACTCCAGCTGTGGCAACGAGTGAAACTGTCTCAAAAAAAAAAAAAAAAAAAGACAGCATTTTGAGATTTTTTTTTTCCCATGTAGGGACTCATGGCCCTGATACAGCTGATTCTAAGTCATTGAGAAAGCATTAAAAGAGGGTGTTAGGCCAGGCACGGTGGCTCATGTCTGTAATCCCAGCACTTTGGGAGGCCAAGGTGGGGTGATTGCATGAGCTTTGGAATTACAGACCAGCCTGGGCAACATAGCAAGACCCTGTGTCTACAAATGATTTAAAAAAAAAAAAATTAACCTCGTGTGGTGGTGCACACCTGTGGTTCCAGCTACTCAGGAGGCTGAGGCGGGAAAATCACATGTGCCCAGGAGTTTGAGGCTGCAGTGAGCTATGATCATGCCACTGCACTCAGCCTGGGCAACAGAGTTGCCAGTTGGCGGGGCAGGTCAGGGGCCGTCATTAGAAGATACGATTGGAATTATTACTTGGAGAATTAGAGATAATTATTAAATCATCTAGGTTAGACTTTAAACCATAATCTTAAATGCTTGAGGGTTTTCTTTTAAAGATGGACTTTTGAAATGAATTCACATTTTAAAAATCTAAGTATGTTGGCCTTGTCGTTATATTGGAGTTCATGAATTAAGTATTTTTAAAGCAACACAAAACAGTATGTTCTCTGATTAGGTATATGCAAATAATTATGGATATACATGAATGTGAATATATTCATACAAGGGATTGGAAAAGAATGTAGTATTGTTAGAATTGTTATCTACATGTACAGTAATTTCCAAGTTTAAAAAGTAAGTTGTGAGAGTTGAAAATGCTCATGTTTCAAGTGTTTCTAAGGGTGGATTTTATTAAAGTTCTAATCACAGTGGCTGAGGAAAAGTTTGTAGGACTAAGCAGTTATGATCCCTGTGGAGTTTTCTCTTGGCAGAATAGTAGTGTTATATTTTCCCTCTAAGCTTTCATTGTGGCCATGATGACAGCAGGGTGGATTGAAGTGATCTTTAACTTTACACTGTCACATATTTGTTATAGACCTCTCGGGAACTGAAGATTGCAGGAGCCATTGGTCCATGCGTATCTCTGAATGTGAAAGGACCGTGTGTGTCAGAAAATGTAAGGAAAACAACTCCATCACCCTCACCTCCTGCCCCGGATTTAACCCGTCAGAAGTGTCAGAGCATGATGATCTCACATGTGTCACCTGTTGGATGTGTCTGCAGTGACAGGAGAAGGGCTAACCCTCACTGATGACTATACTCGGAGAGGTGGTGTTATTCCATCTGTTCATCCAAAGGGTTAGAGAGAAGGAAACTGAGGCCCAGAAAGGTTCAGTATCTTGCTCAGGGTCAGAACTGACATGAAGGAGTTAGAGCCCAGGTGCCCCTGACTCCACCACCCATGGTCGTTGTGCCAAAGCCACGGCATGCTGTTCAGCACAAGGCAAACATTCAGCACAGTCCTTCCAGAGTAAGCCTATTGCTCATTGCCCTTAGAGGTGATACGTTTGTCTCACTCAGCTAATAACAAGCCTTTTACAACAGAGACCACCATGAGTTGGTGTGGAAGTGGGTGACACTGCTGTGTGTGCAGACATCTGTTTTCTCTAGTAATAGTTTTTGAGAACAATTTAGTTATCATTTGAGATGAGCGGCTTTGCTTATTGTCCACTTCCTCTGATTATACTTTACTTGCTAGGAGGCAAACCATTCGGTTTGGCAAGGCCTCTCTAAGGTGGTCCTGGGCTGGGGTTACACAGTCATGTTCTTCCCTCATTGTCACCATCAATGGGAGGGTAGACCATAGAGCCAGATGTGGATCCAAGGTGCAGGTTTACACCCCGCACCTGGCCCGAGCAAAGGACTTATTTGCTCTGTGATTCAGTATCCTTATCTGGCAAATGGGGATAATAACAGTGCCCACTCTACAGCATTGTTAGGAGGTTTAAATGAGTTGGTTCAGGTGAAGCAGTTAGTGCCTGGCACACTGGAAGTGTGGGTCTTCTTTCATGTTGTCAGCAACAAACGTTCTTGGGTGACCACATAAATTAAACTTTTGTTGAGCTTGGCAGAGGCAAGGTGATTTGAGAGCACATTCCTGTAGCCTTCTGAGTGAGGCAGATTGCTGCCCTAAAGCCCATCTGATGAGTCATTCATTACCCCCAGAGTACTAAGGGGCTTGTACCCCTATTTCCTGGCAAGGCTTTGGAAGGCTGCCTTGTTATAAAATATTTTTCATGGACTTAAAATCTGCCTGCTGAAGGCTTCTTGAAGTAGTTTAAGAAGGTATTTTTATGAATTAGTACAAACTAATTAATATTTCTAGTAGAATTCAGCCATGAAAGTTTTGTTTGGGGAATGAGGATGCAAAGAATAGGAAAATACAATTTTCAGACATACTGAGTGATGAATTTCTATACCTACCATTTAGTCATTGATTGTTAACATTTTGCCATAATTGCTCTGTTGTCTTGTTTGCCACATTTGCTTTATCTGATTTTCATTTATTTGCCACATTTGATTTATCAACTTTTTTTTTGCCGACCTTTGAAAATAATTTGCAGATATCATGACAGTCCTTAAGCACGTCAGTATGCATCTTCTAAAAATAACGATGTTCTCCTACCACGATGTCATTATCAAACTTAAGAAAATAATAATTTCCTAATATCTAGTTCATATTTTTTTCCTAATTTCCCCCCAAATGCCCTTTGTAGCTGTTTTTACCCCAACTGGCATTGCATTTGATATTACAGCCTTTGTAAAGTGAGAGTCTGGGTTAAAGGTGTGTTTACATTCAGGCAAAGCCTTTTTGCCAAGCATTGTTCCTGGGCAGTGTGTACTTTATGCTTGTGTCACATCCAGAGGCACTATGTCTGCTGTCCCGTGTTACATGTGCTGAGTTAGATCGCTTGGTGATGGTGGTAACTGCCCCACTGCCTTTCTACTGTAAGGGAACACTTCCCCCTTTGCCATTAGCAGGCAATCTTTTGAATGAGAGTGTGTAGCACAATATGAAACTCTTGTTTGCCAACAGCCTAATGGTTTTTAGCATCCATTGATCTTCATGCAAATCAGTTTATTTCTTTGGGGATTATAAAATGGTCATTTCCTAATTGTCTTTATCGTTTCTCCAATAAAGGCATCTAAAGAGCAAATGTTTAAGTAAGGAATTTGTGTATCAGTGAGAAAATGATATTTTGGAGCTCTAGAGGAGCCGTCCTGGGTCTGGTGCTTAGAATGGGGTTAGCAAGGCAAGAAGGGGAGGCATGAATGCTCCTTTGACTTCTTTGCCTTTTTCCTGAGCACAGCTCTTCACCTTCCAGCAGATAATAAACACCTGCTTCCTTTAGAAAAGGCCACTACAAGGAAGGTGAACCCCCGTGAATCCATCTATCTTATTATCTAGCTTAGGGAGTACTGACAGAACAGAGTGCACCCTCTCCGCTCTCCACCTTAGAGCTGCTGTGTGATTTCACCTTAAGGGTCTTTCTTAAGAGTCTGACTTGATTGATTCTTTGTGGATTTCAGCGTTATATACCATGTAGAGACACCCCCTGACACACCCACCCCCCCCCACACACACGTAGTATATGTGTAAACCCGGAACGATGGGTCACACCTGTAATCCCAACACTTTGGGAGGCTGAGGCGGGAGGATTGCTTGAACCCAGGAGGTCGAGGCTGCAGTGAGCTGTGATTGTGTCACGGCACTCCAGCCTGGGCAACAGAGTGAGAGACCATCTCAAAATAAATAAACATAAATAATATATATGTATAGTATATATGATGTAATAAAAATTGGTCAGAATGTTAATATAAAAAGCTTAATTTTAAAGTGTAAATGTAAATGTTAAGCCTTCATCTGTTCTCTTTTCAGGAGAAGGTTTTATTTCAACTTAAATGTTCTCCTAAAAGAAGATACTCTAAGTAGCCTGCCCTACTCAGTCAGTACTTTTCATTAGCAATTAACCACAGGGATGGTTTTCTGGTTTTGTTTTTCAAATTCCTCTTCCCACCCCCAGGAGCTTGGTGTTGGTGGCACGAGTCAGTGGAAAATCTGTGGCCTAGATCCTACATCTACACTTGGCATCTATTTTGAAGTTGTCAATCAGGTGAGTTGGATTTCTTCACATGTCTTCATGTCTTAGTGTCCTGTTTTGTGATTTATCTCAAACCAGTGGTCTCTGGTTACTTTCTTCACAAACCAATATTCCTTGGGTATTGTATTAGGCCTGATGATAGTCTGGCATGACCTTTTCTTATTTATTCCTTCAAGGGTTTAGTCGGAGTCAGGCAACAAATTACTTTTGTCCTTTTATTGTTGAACTGATAAGGTCATTAGAAGTGTAATAGATTTTACCAGTCATCATAATGTTGGTGAATTTTTTAGTGCATCGGTTCTTTCCCTAATATTTTATTATGAAAAATTCCAAACATACAGAAAAATTGAAAGAATTGTACGGTGAACACGTACTACCTAGGTGAACCCATCAACTTGATTCTGTAATTAACATTTTACTCTACTGGCATACCTTGGAAATACTGTGGGTTCAGTTCCAGACTACCACAATAAAGTGAATATTGCAATAAAGCAAGTCACATGAATATTTTGGTTTCCTATTGCATATAAAAGTTATGTTTGCACTATAGTATGTTAAGTGTTAAATAGCATTATGTCTTTGAAAACATTGTTCATTCTTGGATTAAAAAAATACTTTACAGTTGACCCTTGAGTAGTGTTGGGGTGCTGACACTGCATAGTTAAAAATCCACATATAACGGCCGGGTGCTGTGGCTCACGCCTGTAATCCCAGCACTTTGGGAGGCCGAGGCGGGCGGATCATGAGGTCAGGAGATCGAGACCATCCTGGCTAATATGGTGAAACCCTGTCTCTACTAAAAATACAAAAATTTAGCCAGGTGTGTTGGTGGGTGCCTGTAGTCCCAGCTACTTGGGAGGCTGAGGCAGGAGAATGGCGTGAACCCAGGAGGCAGAGCTTGCAGTGAGCCAAGATCGTGCCACTGCACTCCAGCCTGGGCAACAGAGCGAGACTCCATCTCAAAAAAAAAAAAAAATCCACATATAACTTTAACTCCCCCAAAACTTAACTACTAGTAGTCCACTGTTGACTGGGAACCTGACCGATAACAGTTGATTAACACATATTTTGTAAGTAATATATATTATGTCCTGTATTCTTACAATAAAGTAAGCTAGAGAAAAGAGAATGTTATTAAGAAAATCATAAGGGAAGGAAAGTGTATTTACTATTTGTTAAGTGGAAATGAACATCACAAAGTCTTCATACTCTCATCTTCATGTTCAGTAGGCTGAGGAGGAGGAGGAAGAGGAGGGTTTGGTCTTGCAGTCTTGGGTGGCAGAGGCAGAAGAAAATCCACATATAAGTGGACCTGTACAGTTCAAACCTGTGTTACTCATCATTAAAAAGTCAGGAAACAACAGGTGCTGGAGAGGATGTGGAGAAATAGGAACACTTTTACACTGTTGGTGGACTGTAAACTAGTTCAATCCTTGTGGAAGTCAGTGTGGCGATTCCTCAGGGATCTAGAACTAGAAATACCATTTGACCCAGCCATCCCATTACTGGGTATATACCCAAAGGACTATAAATCATGCTGCTATAAAGACACATGCACACGTATGTTTATTGTGGCTCTATTCACAATAGTAAAGACTTGGAACCAACCCAAATGTCCAACAATGATAGACTGGATTAAGAAAATGTGGCACATATACACCATGGAATACTATGCAGCCATAAAAAACGATGAGTTCATGTCCTTTGTAGGGACATGGATGAAATTGGAAATCATCATTCTCAGTAAACTATCGCAAGGACAAAAAAACACCGCATGTTCTCACTCATAGGTGGGAATTGGACATTGAGAACACATGGACACAGGAAGGGGAACATCACACTCTGGGGACTGTTGTGGGGTGGGGGAAGGGGGGAGGAATAACATTAGGAGATATAACTAATGCTAAATGATGAGTTAATGGGTACAGCACACCAGCATGGCACATGTATACATATGTAACTAACCTGCACATTGTGCACATGTACCCTAAAACTTAAAGTATAATAATAATAAAAAATAAATAAATAAATAAAAAAACCTGTGTTGCTCAAGGGTCAACTATATTGCTCAAAAATGTTAATGCTCATCTGATCCTTTAGTGAGTCATACTCTTTTGCTGGTGGAAGGTCTTACATTGATGTTGTTGGCTGCTGACTGATCAGGTTAGTAGTTGCTGAAGGCTGAGTGGCTGTGGCAGTTTCTTCTCTTTTTGTTTTTTTTTTAATTAAGACAAAGTCTTGTTCTATCACCCAGGCACGATCTATCACCCAGGCACGGTCTTGGCTCACTGCAACCTCCACCTCACAGGTTCAAGCCATTCTCCCACCCCAGCCTCCCGAGTAGCTAGGCTTACAGGTGCCAGCCACCATGTCTGGCTAGTTTTTGTATTTTTAGCAGAGACAAGGTTTTGCCACAATGGCCAGGCTGGTCTTGAACTGACCTCAAGTGATCTGCCTGCCTCAGCTCCCAAAGTGTTGGAATTACAGGTGTGAGCTACCACGCCCCACCTGGGAATTTCTTTTTTTTTTTTTTTTTTGAGACGGGGTCTCGCTCTGTACCCCAGGCTGGAGTGCAGTGGCATGATCTTGGCTCACTGCAAGCTTCGCCTCCTGGGTTCACGCCATTCTCCTGCCTCAGCCTCCCGAGTAGCTGGGACTACAGGCACCCGCCACCACGCCCAGCTAATTTTTTTTTTGTATTTTTAGTAGAGACGGGGTTTCACCCTGTTAGCCAGGATGGTCTCGATCTCCTGACCTCGTGATCCGCACGTCTCTGCCTTCCAAAGTGCTGGGATTACAGGCGTGAGCCACCATGCCTGGCCGGAATTTCTTGAAATAAGGCAACAATGAAATTTGCTGCATCAGTCGACTCTTCCTTCCAGGAAAGATTTCTCTGTAGCATGCAGTGTTGTTTGATAGCTTTTTACCCACAGTAGAACTTCTTTAAAAAATGGAATCAATTCTCTTAAACTTTGCTGCTGCTTTATCAACTAAGTTTATGTAATATTGTAAATCTTGTCATTTCAACAGTGTCACAGCATCTGCATGAGGAGTAGATTCCATCTCAACAAATGACTTTCTTTGCTTATGCATAAGAAGCAACTCCATATCCATTAAAGTTTTATCATGAAATTGTAGCAATTCAGTCCCATCTTCAGGATCCGCTTCTTCATCTTTTTAATTAAAAAAAATAGGCCGGGTGTGATGGCTCCCGCCTGTAATCCCAGCATTTTGGGAGATTGAGGCAGGTGGATCACGAGGTCAGGAGTTCGAGACCAGCCTGAACAACATGGTGAAACCCCGTCTCTACTAAAAATACAAAAAAAAAAAAAATTAGCCACGCATCGTGGTGCACACCTATAATCCCAGCTACTCAGGAGGCTGAGGCAGGAGAATTGCTTAAACCAAGTGATGGAGGTTGCAGTGAGCCGAGATTGCGCCACTGCACTCCAGCCTGGGAGACAGAGCAAGACTCCGTCTAAAAAAAAAAAAAGGCCGGGTGCGGTGGCTCACGCCTGTAATCCCAGCACTTTGGGAGGCCAGGGCAGGTGGATCACGAGGTCAAGAGATTGAGACCATCCTGGCTAACATGGTGAAACCCCATCTCTACTAAAAATACAAAAAACAAAATTAGCTGGGTGTGGTGGCGGGTGCCTATAGTCCCAGCTACTTGGGAGACTGAGGCAGGAGAATGGCATGAACCCAGGAGGCGGAGGTTGCAGTGAGCCAAGATTGCGCCACTGCACTCCAGCCTGGGCGACAGAGCAAGACTCCGTCTCAAAAAAAAAAAAAAAAAAAGAGATGGGGTCTCTCTTTGTTGCCCAGACTGGTCTCAAACTCCTGGGCTTAAGCCACCTTGGCCTCCCAAAGTGCTGGGATTACAGGCGTGAGCCACCACACCCAGCCAGGATCCACTTTTTTTTTTTTTTTTTGAGATGGAGTCTTGCTCTGTTGCTCAGGCTGGAGTGCAGTGGCACCATCTCAGCTCACTGCAACCTCTGCCTCCCGGGGTCAAGCAATTCTGCTGCCTCAGCCTCCCGAGTAGCTGGGATTACAGGTGTCTGCCACCACACCCACCTAATTTTTGTATTTTTAGTAGAGACGGGGTTTCACCGTGTTGTCCTGGCTGGTCTTGAACTCCCGACCTCAGGTGATCCGCCTGCCTTGGCCTCCAAAGTGCTGGGATTACAGGCGTAAGCCACTATGCCCAGCTGAGGATCCACTTCTAATTCTAGTTATCTTGCTCCTTCCACCACATCTTCAGTGACTTCCTCCACTGAAGTCTCAAACCCCTCAAAATTATAAGAACTGGAGTAAACTTCCAAACTCCTGTGAAAGTTGATATTTTGACCTCTTCCCATGAATGATGAGTGTTTCAATGACATGTAGAATGGTGAATCCTTTTCAGAAGATTCTTCATTTTCTTTGCCCAGATCCATCCCAGGAATCACTAGGTATGGCAGTTATAGTCTTATGAAATGTGTTTCTTAAATTTAAGACTTGAAAGTCAAAATTTCTCCTTGATTCATGGGATGCAGAACGGATGTTGTGTTAGCAGGCATGAAAACGTTTATCTCCTTTATATCTCCGTCAGAGCTCTTGAGTGACCAGGTGCATTGTCAGTGAGCAGTAATATTTTGAAAGGAGTCTTTTTTTTCCTGAGCAGCAGGTCTCAACAGTGGGCTTTAAATATTTAGTAATTGCTGTACACAGATGTGCTGTCATCCAGGCTTTGTTGTTCCTTTTGTAGAGCACAGGAAGCGTAGATTGAGCACAATTCTTAAGAGTCCTAGGATACTTGGAATGGTAAATGAGCATTGGCTTCAACTTAAAGTCACCAGATGCCCAGGTATGGTGGCTCACACCTGTAATCCCAGCACTTTGGGAGGCCAAGGTGGGTGGATTGCTTGATCTCAGGAGCTCAAGACCAGCCTGGGCAATGCTGTGAGGCCTCATCTCTACCAAAAATACAGAAATTAGCCAGATGTGGTGGTGTACGCCTGTAGTCCCAACTACCTGGGAAGCTGAGGTGGGAGAATCTCTTGAGCCTGGGAAGCCGAGGTTGCAGTGAGCTGAGATCATGCCATTCCACTCCAGCCTGGGTGACAGAGCAAGAACCTGTCTTAGAAAAACCAAATAGAGTCACCAGCTGCATTAGATCCTAACAAGAGAGTCAACCTGCCCTTTGAAGCTTTAAAGCCAGGCATTGACTTCTCTCTAGCTATGAGAATCCTAGATAGCATCTTCTTCCAACTACACTGAAAATCTGTGGTTTAGTGTAGCCACCACCTTCATCAGTGATCTTAGCTAATCTGAATAACTTGCAGCAGTTTCTACATCAGCACATGCTGCTTCACCTTGTGCCATTATGTTATGGAGATGGCTTCTTTCCCTAAACCTCAGGAACCAACCTCTGCCAGCTTCCAGCTTTCTCCTGCAGCTTCCTTACCTCTCTCCACCTTCATAAATTGAAGAGAGTTGGGACCTTGCTCTGGATTAGGCCCTGGCTTAAGGGAATGTTGTATCTGGTTTGATTTTCTATTCAGACTACTAAAACATTCTCCACATCAGCAATAAGGCTGTTTCACTTTCTTATCATTCACGTGTTCACTTTTAATTTCCTTCAAGAACTTTTTCTTTGCATTCACAGCTTGGCAGTTTTGGGGCAAAAGGCCTAGCTTTCAGCTATCTTGGCTTTCAACATACCTTCCCTACTAAGATTAATGAGTTTTAGCTTTTGATTTAAAATGAGAGATGTGTGACTCTTCCTTTCACTTGAACACTTAGAGGGCATTGTAGGGTTATTAACTGGCCTCATTTCAATATTGTTGTATCTCAGGAAATAGGGGAGGCCCAAGGAGGAGGAGAGAGATGAGGGAAAGGTCAGTCAGTGGAGCAACAGAATATACACAACATTTATCAGTTAAGTTTGCCATCTTATATCAGTGCAGTTTGTAGCACCCCAAAACAATTAAAATGGTAACATCAAAGATCACTGATCACAGATCACCATAGCAGATATATAATAATAATGAAAAAGTTGGAAATATTGTGAGAATTACTGAACTGTGACACAGAGACATGAAGTGAGCACATGATGTTAGAAAACTTGCGCCAATAGTCTTGCTTGATGTACGATTGCCACAAATCTTCAATTTGTTAAAAAATCTGCAAATAAATGAGGCATGTCTGTGTTTGTTTAATGATTAACAATCCGTCACAAACTGGATAATTCATCAGCAATAACTCATCCAGTTTGTGATTCATCAATCCATCTTCGTTTTGCTGCATTTCAAAACAAGCCTCAGTCATCCATGTATTTCATGCCTAAACACTTCAGTAGGTGTATCATTAACTTAAGTTCAGTATTGAACGTAGTTCTTCAACTTTTTTGGAGATAAGGTTATATGCAGTGAAATGTGCAAATCCTAAGTGTGCCCTTCAAAATGTGTCAAGAACCTTCCTGTCATTGCTGTGTCAGTCATTTTAGAAGAGTACAGTGGGCTCTGTGACCGTGTTTGAGTTGCGCCTATAACAGACAAGGTTATGGCCTCTCATCCTACAGCACAACACCCCGATCCCCCAAGGAGGCAGAGGAGCCATCCAGTTTGTCACGCATTATCAGCACTCCAGCACCCAGAGACGCATCCGCGTGACCACCATCGCCCGAAAGTAAGCAGCCCCAGTTTCCTTTCTGTTGAGGAACTGACTGACATTTTTCCCTTGAAGAGATACTTTAACATTTGTTAGTTTGTCTTTTTGATTCCATTGAATGGTTCTCACCAGACCTCATTAGCTTATTTGATCAGAGGAGGAGGCATTTTTGGCTAACCCAGTTGGGCCTATGAACACTTGCCTAGAGGAATCATCTTTCTGTAGGAAATATAGTTCATTAAAAGTATTAATTATTATTATTATCATCTGGAGACAGTCTCGCTCTGTTGCCCAAGCTGGAGTACAGTGGCACAATCACAGCTCACCACAGCCTCAACCTCCCATGCTCAAGTGATCCTCCCACTTCAGCCTCCCAGGTAGCTGGGACCACAGGCACCTGCCACCAAAACTAGCTAATCTTTTTACTTTTATGCAGAGAGATGGTGATCTCACATTGTTGCCCAGGCTGGTCTTGAACTTCTAGGCTCAAGCAGTCCTGCCACCTTGCCCTCCCAAAGTGTTGGGATTTCAGGAATGAGCCACTGCACCTAGCCTGTGTTTCTTTTTCTGAATGGATGTCTGGCTTTCTGATCTCTCCTAAACATAAGCATGGCACTAACTCTGGAATTGTCAGTTGGGCAGATGTACAGAGTCAGCTCAGGCACATAGAAGCAGCATTTGACCAGGAGGCTGCGGCAGTGTTGATGGCACGGCTTGGGGTGTTCCGAGCGGAGTCAGAGGAGGGGCCCGATGTGCTCCGGTGGCTGGACCGACAACTCATCCGACTGGTAAATTGGGGACAGTGGCATTAGGTTCAGTCTTGGTTTCTGCTTTACTTTCGAGAAGAAAATTGTCACTTAATTATTATTATATAGTGAATCAGCAAGAATTTATCAGTTGCCTACCTTATGCTGCACGCTGGACATTCTGTTAAAGACGTGTTAAATGTGCATTTTCCCCTCAGAGATTTACATTATAGTTGGGAAGAAACAACACGCATGGAGCATTTGGAGAGTGATACAAATCTGTGTGGGTTGAGTTGACTTAGATGAGTCATTTTGTGAATGCTCTGGTCTTGTATTTTTCTTCTAAATCTGGAAAGTGGTTTTGGAAATAGGGATCCAGCCTGGTAAGTTTAGGGAGATGCCTTTTATCAGTCTGGATTTAATGAGATGAGAGAAGTCACACTGTAATTTAAATGGGGAAAGTCTTTTATAAAGAATACAACAAGAGAGTAGAACAGTGAGGGACTGGCTAGAAGGAAGTATAGAGAAGTGGGCAGCCACTACTTGTGGGGCTGAGATAGAGCACCAAAGGAAGTGCCCTTCTCCCCAGGGCTGATCCAGACCTAGTTGGGAGGGCATGGCCATGGCTTGGTGAGTCTTTTGCAGAGAAGTTACCGTGGTGCTGTGCCAGGGGAACTTACTAGAAATTCACTTTCTAGAATTTGAAGAAAATCCACCCTCCAGGGTGCCAGGGAAAGCTGTGTATAGGAAAATGTCTCACTGGAGACATGCAGGGATGCTGCTTAGCTGCTGGCTGCCATGTTCTCCAGGAGCTCAGCACTGGGGAGCCACGGTGCAGCAGGACCTGGCACCCGGGAAGCTGCTGAATGAGCACTCGGGCGCCCAAAGCTGACGCTCACCTCCAGCACTCTCTACTGACAACGCTTGATATCGTGCCAGCTGGCAAAGGAGAGGTAGTGAAAGGGCCCATGTCCATTTCACAGCAGGCAAAGGGGGTGAGTTTGGAGCCAGCACAAGGCAATAAATCAATAATTGGCACATGATAATCTTACCTTCCTGGAGAGTCACAGCATGTGTTTGTGATCAAAGCCACCATGGAAAGGCCCAGTAGGGAAACCTGTTTCATTTTGTTCAGCCCTCTATTTGCCCTTGCCATCTCATGGAACCATTTTTCAGGAAGTGTCAACATTTCAAACATAATTTGAAAATTGCTTCTTTAGGATTTCAGAGGGAGGATAGATAAGCAGAGGGCCCAGGTGGCTAACAAAGACTTCCTGTGGAAATGAGCCTTGAGTCAGGTTTTTATTACAGAATTAATTGGAGAAGGGAAGGCAAGGCTTGCTGAGTGGAGGGCTAGCAGGAATGAGCCTGCAGGAGCTAGCTGGGTCTTTTAGCTTATGCTGAGGACTTTGGAGAAACCAGTGTCACAGGAGGCTAGGTTGTGCAGTGGGGAACAGAGTCAGGGAAGGTACACCTTGATTGGGGAGCTCCTTAACTTTAGGGAGCAAGGGAGACGTGGCTGTGATTGTTAAGCGGGGGTTTGATGTCAGCATGATGCTTGTGTTTACATTTAATATCACCATGTGAGGCACATTGCAGAGAGAAAAGGCTATTGTTGTGAATGGAGGATTTTTCAGGCTCAATGGCACTGAGACCAGCATAGTGGCAGGAGAGATGGAGGAAGCAGAAGGTTTGAAATCAGGATGTAAACTGAAAGAATTGATAAAACTTGATGAAATGATTCTGTGTAAAGTCAAAAACCAAAAAGTCAGCACTGAATGACATTTCACACATGGGTAACTGCATGAGTGGTGTTGAGGTAGAAGATGGGAAAGGAGAGCAACTTTAGGGTGGGAGAAAGTTTTTTCTCTTTTTTTAATGTAATAGTTTATTTTTGATAATTTTTGATAATTGAATGTGAACTTGCAAAAGTGTGTCTCACGAAAACTCCCATATTTGGGTGGATGTCCTGACTGGGGCTCAGGCTATAGGTCAGCACTGGACACTGGAGGGTGGATTTGGATGACACCCATCTGGCTCTAGTGTTCATTTGTACCCAAAGCAGTGAGGATGGGAGGAGGGGGCCAAGAACTAACCCCCAAGGAGTCCACAGTTAGGGGGAGGAGGAAGACAAAACCATTGAAGAAGGCAGAAAAGGGTTGGTTGGAGAGATTATGAGAAATAGGAAAGTGATGTATTAGCAGCTGAAGGAGAAAGTTTCGAGACATTTGGGCAGTCACCTGGCTCATGCTGCTAGGAAGTTCAAGAAGACGAGAACTGCGGAAGGACACCAGATTTTGTGGGAAGAAAGTAATTGTTAGAAATGGGGTTTCTTTAAATGATGAACAGTCCAATTCTTTAGTGACCAGAAATGTGTGAGCAGAAATAAAGGCGGGAAGAGAAAACATTGTGGTTCAGAAGTCTGCCATTGGGAGAAATAAATTTGAGTTTTAGTGTGAGAGAACATCAAAGCGTAACTATAATTGTTAGTTTTCATGGTGTTAGAGGGTTTTCATATGGAACAGGTGCCTGGAAGAGCTCACCTAGCTTCTCTGGTTAGGGCAGTCCTCAGGCCAGCATTGCCTGAGAGCTGATTAGAGATGCAGAATCTTCAGCTCCTCCCTAGAGTCTGCATTTTAACAAGATCCCCTGGTCATTTGCCTGCTCACTGATGCTTGAGAAGTGCTAGTCTAGGACTTATAGTAAGTGGCAGAGTTCAGACTGGATGTAGCTTAGTCCAGGAATATTTCCAGGTAATGCTAACTTAGATTTTTCTCTCTCTTTTTGTGTGTGTTTGTTTGTTTTTTGGTATTTTCTTTCCATAGTGTCAAAAGTTTGGACAGTATAACAAAGAAGACCCCACTTCTTTTAGGTTATCAGATTCCTTTTCTCTATATCCTCAGGTAAGTAATGTATGTTTCTAAAATAACTACAGAGCAATAAATTTTGATAGAAATTAACTTTATTCTTAGGGTAAAGTGAAGACTTTTTAATGTGTTGAGACTCAGTCTGTAGGTGACAGAGATTGTTCAACCCAAGTCGAATATGTGTCTAGGCAAGACAGCACCCTACGCCCTACAGAAGATAGAGATGACATGCAGAGGGGAGAAAACTCATGCATACATTTTCATGAACAGGCAAAATAGGATCATTGATATAAGGCCGTAAAAAATATCTCTCATGTGTAGAAGTTCTGGGGAAACAGCTACCTCAGCAACAAACCAAGAAAATGAGCACACATGGAGATGAAGATAACAAAACAAAACCACAGTTAGTACAACAAATATTTAATAATATGTCTGTGGTTATTATGTGCATCATAACCAGGAGTGAGCAATAAGCAGCTCCTGAAAGTAACTGCACTCTGCATGAACCAAGCCTTTGGAAGCCATTGGACAAGAGAGAGGAGCAGGAGAAGTAGATGAATTTCCGTCTCCATTGTAACTTAGGAAATAGAGCACAATTCATGGGTGTCTATAAGGATTACAGGAGCTGAGGCCAACTGAGTATTAAATATTTAGCACAATGCCAGTAACCTGTTCAGCACTAAATGTGACCTAGCTCCATAGCAGGTGCCTGGGACTCTGAGGTGTCCATGTGCCAGAGGTTAAAGCTGTGTGGTGTTGTGAGAAGAGCCCTGGACCGGCCAGAGTCAGGTTGAGGTTCCAGTGCTGGCTCCGCAGGGGCTGACCTTAGAGGAGGTTCCAAAGCCCCGTAGAGTTTGGTTTCCCACCTCTAGCAGTGGGGAGTTGGTCTGGTGAAGTGGTTTGCAGTTTTTTTTTTTTTTTTTTTTTTTTTTAAAGCCATGGAATCCTTTCTTTGAGAGGAGCTGCCCTTAAAAGCCAGCACATAAAGCAGACAGAGTTGGTGCTTCTCTGGTTGTGCCTGTGTACCACCCCCACACTGGGTCCCACCAGAGCCCTCATCCCTGGGCCCCTGAGGACTTGATGAAGACTCTAAGAGCACAGCTTGAAAACCAGATGAAATGCTTTCTCAGATTCCTTCTGTCAAGGCATTCTAGGAAAGAGGCCAACAGCCCAGTCTCTAGAGCCAGGCGGCCAGGTGTAGAGTCCAGCTGTGACACTCAGTAGTGGGGTGACCTTGGACAAGTTGCTCGCCCCTCTGTGCCTCAGTTTCCTCACCTGTAAACTAGGGATGGTAAGAGAACTTACCTCATGGGCTTATTGGAAGGATTAAATAGTTCTTGTCAAGTGCTTTGTGACTTGCATGTAGGATGTATTAGATGTCAGCCTTGATTATTATTTAGGAACCTATGATTGAATATTTGGAGTCTCAGGAAGCTTTACACTTCACAAGGCAGCTCATTTTCGTGTTCTGGCAACTCTTTAATGTGAGCTGAAAGTCTGCCCCCACCCCTTCTTCTCATCCTCGAGGGCGAGAACCTATGGTTGCAGTGTCATCCCTTGTCCCTTTCTCCCCTGCACCAACACTTCACCATCCCAGCTTGTGTCCTGAGCTGTCATCTGCTGTTCCTGTGCCTGGAATCCCCTTCCCCCTGGCCCTGTGGCCTCCTCAGCCACGTCTCTCAGGGTGCACTGTCAGTCCCCGGAGCTCTAGGAAGTCTCCTCCTGGCCCTCCACCCCCACTCCCCACTGCTATCCTGTACTCTGGCTCATAACTCGTAGCCCGAGTGTGCCTTTCTCACTGGGCCTGACTTCTGAGAGCAGATATTCTGTCTCCACTGCCTGGCACAGTGACTCTGGAAATAAACATTTCTTTGGCTTTCCTCTTAACTGTGGAAGCTTTGACATACCCAGAGGCCCTTTTCTTAAAAAAATTTTGTATTTTTTTAAAAATTTTTAATTTTTAATTTTTTTGAGACGGAGTTTTGCTCTTGTTGCCCAGGCTGGAGTGCAATGGCCTGATCTCAGCTCACCGCAACCTCCCCCTACTGGGTTCAAGTGATTTTCCTGCCTCAGCCTCCTGAGTAGCTGGGATTACAGGCGCCCACCACCACACCCGGGTAATTTTGGATTTTTAGTAGAGACGGGGTTTCTCCATGTTGGTCAGGCTGGTCTTGAACTCCCGACCTCAGGTGATCCGCCCGCCTCGGCCTCCCAAAGTGCTGGGATTACAGGCGTGAGCCACCACGCCTGGCCAAAGGCCCTTTAAAAAAAAAAATTAATTTTTAATGTGGTAAAACACACATAACAAAATTTACCATCTTAACCATTTTTAAGCATACCGTTGAGTAGTGTTACGTGTATTCCCATTATTGAGCAACTGATGTCTAGAATTTTTCACTTTGCAGAGCTGAAACTCTGTGCTCATTAAGCAACAACTCTCAGTTTTCCTCTTTCCCTAGCCCCTGGTGCCCCCTTATGCTTTCTGTTCTGTGAAACCAGAGAGCCCTTTTCTGGGTTCTCCTATTTCAGAGCCCTGAGGTAGATCTACTCTGTGGGTGTCTAAGAAGGTTACAATTATATGCATTTCTCTTTCCGTTCTTTGTGAATGCAGTTTATGTTCCATCTGAGAAGATCTCCATTTCTTCAAGTGTTTAACAACAGTCCTGATGAGTCGTCATATTACAGACATCATTTTGCCCGGCAGGACCTGACCCAGTCCCTCATCATGATCCAGCCCATTCTCTACTCTTACTCCTTTCATGGGCCACCAGAGGTGAGGCTCTACCCAAATGCTTTCCTGAGGATTGGAATCACCTAACATATATTCTTTTTTAAGCAAATTTACTTAGCAGAACTGTAAAAAAGAAGTAAAATTTGGAGTTTTTATAGTAATTTAACATTATTTCTATTAAAAAATACCTTTAGGAAAATGTCAAAGGACATATAAAGCTATTATTTGTGAAAGGCAGGAATAAATGTAAAAAACTCTAGGAAATAACTTGGATGCTTTCTTTTTCCTTGTGCTTGTATACTTACATCCAACAATTCCATGTCTTGTATCTGAAGGAAAGACTCCTAGATACAGAGTAGACTTTGTGCCAAAAAAAAAAATAGTAAAGGAACTACTATAATAGAGGATCAAATAACAATCCGAATGTTTAATATAGGAAAATAAATAAGTAACCTGAGAAATGCAGTTGACCCTCAGTATTCATGGAAGATTGGTTCCAGGACCTCCCTCAGATACCAGAATTCTTAGATACTCAAGTTACTAATATAAAATTACATAATATTTGCATGTAACCTTGGCACATCCTCCTATATACTTTAAATCATCTCTAGATTAGTTATAATACCTAATATAATGTAAGTACCATGTAAATAATTGTCATACTGTATGGTTTAGGGAATAATGACAAGAAAACAAGTCTGTACATGTACAGTACAGATGCATATTTTTTTCAAATATTTTCAGTCCAAGATTGGTTGAATTTATAGATGTGGAACCCACCGATACGGAGGGCCAACAGTATTCACAAAAAGTATGTAACATAATAAAATAGATAAGTCCTTATGTAAAAATGTTACATGAAAAAAAGTCAAAATAGAAACGTTTCTAAATATTCCCTGCAAAAATAAAGAACTATATGGAAAAAAACAAAATATCAATATTTGTTGTACTTGGGTACACATTTAAAAATTTTCTTTATCGAGTACCACTTACTTTTATTATTGAAATAATTACTAAAATAGCAGGGGGATCACATGACATCAGGAGTTTGAGACCAGCCTGGCCAATGTGGCGAAACCCCATCTCTACTAAACATACAAAAATTAGCTTGGAATGGCGCCAATAATCCCAGCTACTTGGGAGGCTGAGGCTGGAGAATCACTTGAACCCCGGAGGCGGAGGCTGCAGTGAGTTGAGATCGCGCCACTGCATTCCAGCCTGGGCAACAGAGCAAGACTCCCTCTCAAAAAATAAAAATAAAAAAGAAATAATTACATATATAAAAATTATATGTGTATATGTAAATATAATAAATTATATATGTATATATAAGAACTATGTATATAAATATATATGTATATGATTATATATGTATATATAAATATAAATTATATACTTATATAATATAAAATATTACTTACAAATAAATAATAAACGTATTTTTTTTTGAGATGGGGTGTCTGTCACCCAGGTTGGAGTACAGTTGTGCGATCTTGGCTCACTGCAACCTCCGCCTTCCAGGTTCAGGTGATCCTCCCACTTCAGCCTCCTGAATAGCTGGGACCACAGGCACGTGCCACTACAGCCCGGCTAATTTTTTGTGTTTTTGGTAGAGATGGGGTTTTGCCATGTTGCCCAGGCTGGCTTTGAACTCCTGGGTTCAAGTGATCTGCCTGCCTTGGCCTCCCAAAGTTCTAGGTTTACAGGCATGAGCCACTACGCCCAGCCATAATTTATATTTTGTAGTAAACTTTAAAAACTTGTATTAAATGCTGCTTTTCATATAGGTATCCGTATTCTGTCTCATCTACAGAGAATGTCTGTAGAGATTGCTAAAATACATACAAAACTGAGAATATTCAGAATTATTTTTCGTTCCAAGATCAAAAGATATCATTAAGCCTGGACAACATAGTGTGAGACCCTGTCTTTACAAAAAATAAAAAATTAGTTGGGCGTGGTGGCATGCACCTGTAGCCTCAGCTACTCAGGAGGCTGAGGTGGGAGGGTCACTTGAGCCCAGGAGGTCGAAGCTGCAGTGAGCCAGGGTCACATCACTTTACTCCAGGCTGGGTAACAGAGCAACACCCTGACTCTTAAAAAAAAAAAAGGTATCATTAATCTCCGTTCTCAATTGATGAGGAATTATTTGGAGCCTATTTTTCCTACAAAGTTGAGAATGAGTCAGAAGCAGAAAGTGGAAGTATGTCAGGAAGAAAAGGGGTGACTTACTGTGCTGGGCACCATTTGTAAATAGCCTTTGCTGTGGATACCAGGCATGGGATCAGGGTCGGGTGGAAGTGGTTGCTGTGTGGGGAGCAGGGAAGACCAATGCCATCTTTCTCTCTCTTTTTCTTCAGCCAGTACTCTTGGATAGCAGCAGCATTCTAGCTGACAGAATTTTGCTGATGGATACTTTCTTTCAAATTGTCATTTATCTTGGTGAGGTAAGATGATATTATTAATTAATTAATTTCTTTTTGTTTTTAAATTGGAGAAAAGGCATACACATTTAATGTGCACACAAGGAGAATTATTGTCCTTAACTATGGTTTTTGTTTTCTTCTCTTATTTATTAAGTTAGGTTTTTAATGACATTTGTAACCACAGTTTGGGCTTAGAAAGCACCATGGCTTTTATTCTAGTAAATCCCTGGAGTATTTGTATATTTATTAATTTTAATCATATTTGCTGTTAAGTATGGGCCAGGTGCAGTGGCTTATACCTGTAATCCCAGCACTTTGGGATGCTGAGGTGGGCAGATCACCTGAGGTCAGGAGTTCAAAACCAGCCTGACCAACATGGCAAAACCCCATCTCTACTAAAAATACAAAAGTTAGCCAGGCGTGGTGGCACACACCTGTAGTCCCATCTACTTGGGAGGCTGAGATGGGAGAATCACTTAAACCCGGGAGGTTGAGGTTGTAGTGAGCTGAGATCACACCACTGCATTCCAGCCTGGTCAACAGAGTGAAACTCCATCTCAAAAAATAAATAATAATAATAATAATATATGCTGTAAAAAAATCTCAGGTGGTTATTTTAAATCACTGTAAATTATTACCTTCGAAGTTAGGCAAAACTAGTTTTTTCTCCTCAGTAAATATTTTATACATACTGCTGTTCTTTCAGAGTTATATACATACTGCTGTTCTTTCAGAGTTAGTGTTTAGAGCTAAGGTTGTACTTTGATGAAATAACATGGCCCAGGGAACTTTACGCTGTGTCTGTGGATCCCTAGGATGGCTGTGGATAGCTTTCAGTCCATTTCTTTCTCAGTGGGGTTCATGCCCTGAGAAAGGGAATGGCTCCTCTGAATTATTTGCATCTTTATGGCAAAAAATCCTTTAATGAAGATGATGGTGATATTTATATTCAGTGATGCTTTTTCTTCTATTGTATGATCTCTACCTTCTTAAATTGGTTATTGATTTGGTTTCCTAATGGCCAACCATTAGAAATGATTTCTGATGTCGTGAAAAGATATAAATTGTGTTTCAGGATTCCTTCAGTAACTTAGGAAGTGTTAGTTTTCTAATACTCCTAAGTATTTTATAACTTTAAACTTTTTTCAGCATGTTAACACCCAGTCTGCTAGCCACTTGCACGCAAGTGCTAGGCTGTCAGTAATAGTCCTAGACTGAGAGCCGGATGACCAGCTGCTCTTCCCACTGGAACCTTTGGTATCAGTACAGTTGGCCCTCTGTATCCACGGGTTCCACCTCTGCAGATTCAATCAACTGCAGGTTAAAAATAATTTTGAAATAATAATAAAAAATAATACAAATAAAATATACAGCACAGGCCGGGTGTGGTAGTTCATGCCTGTAATCCCAGCACGTTGGGAGGCCGAGGTGGGCGGATCATCTGAGGTCAGGAGTTCAAGACCAGTCTGGCCAACATAGCGAAACCCTGTCTCTACTAAAAATACAAAAATTAGCTGGGCATGGTGGCAGACACCTGTAATCCCAGCTGCTCGGGAGGCTGAGGCAGGAGAATCGCTTGAACTCAGGAAGTGGAGGTTTCAGTGAGCTAAGATCGAGCCAGTGCACTCCAGCCTGGACGACAGAGTGAGACTCTGTCTCAAAAAACAAAACCAAAAAAACAGCACAAGAACGATTTATATAGTTTCTACATTGTATTAGATATTATAAGTAATCTAAAGATGATTTAAAGTGTATGGGAAGATGTACATCGGTTATATGAAATACTATGCCATTTTGTATGAGGGACTTGAGTATCTATGGAATTTGGTATTGGGAGGAGTGGTCTTGGAACCAATCTCACAGATACCGAGGGCCGACTGTACTAAGGATGAAGCTTTCTTTGCCTTAAGCTCATCTCCTTATCGACATTTCTTTTGCAACCCCTGATCCTGTTCATTCACTTGTTTATTGAGCACCTTCTTGTGCAAGTGAGGGGTTCTAAGGATAAAGACAGTGACATTGCTCTCACCTTCCCAAAGTCCTGAGCGTGCTGAACGCGAGTGTTCTTATGAACTTCTGGACCCTGGTGAGCTCGTGGGCATTTCCCATAGGCCAACAGTCAATCACAGCATTTAGACCTGGAAAACGGTAACTGCTACTTTGAGAAGGAGTGAGCAGGCTACAGAAGGAGGCATCTGATGAGAATCCTCTGCCTGGAGCCATATTAATGGCTCTGTTAAGACACATTGCACACTTGCTGTAGCCTCTTTCTCCATTTTTCCTCTCCATTGTCTTCTTGTTCTCCTAAATAACATGCGAAAGCACTTCACTTTATTTATAAAGGTATATGAATCAGTTAATGAATGTTTCTTGATTTCCTGTGTATACAAGATATTTTCTAGACCAGTTGTGGATGAGTATAAAAGAAGGAAGGGTGATAAAATGTGTAGCGTAGTCAGGGAGACAGATCGTCTGCTTTCCACAGTTTAGCATATGGCTTCTCCTCACTGCCTCATCAACACTCATACTTTGATTCTTACAGCTTTTGTCTCCTTTGCCAAGGGTACCCCAATTCAGGGCCCAGGGGGAGCAGGGGATGGGGGTGAGACAATTGCACGCAAGTCTGTATGACTACTGCTCACCAGAGGAGTGTAATATGTGTGCCGTTAGGAAAGGAGATGGGGGAGTGGAGTCTGTGTGGGCAGCCAACAAATCCCTTTCCTTACCAGATGTGCGGAGATGAGAGGCTAGACTGAGTGATAACAGTGGAAGTGGAAAAGGAGGGAGTCCACCGCTCCTTGGGATGAGTAATCCATGGGCTTTGTTAACTAGTTGATATAGAAGAGAGGAGGCATGAGTGACGCCTGACATTCCTGGGGGAATGCGCAGGCGGGGGCATTTTCCTCCTGCTTCTCCTCCTGCCGGTAGCTCTGCTTTGCTCTCCCTCTGAAGCTTGTCATTTTTGATATTAGACTTCTTCACTAGAAACAAGCTCTGGGTGGCGATGGTAGAATGTCAGTGTCAGTGAAGGCTGTTATTACAGTTTCCACAATAGTTTTGGTTGGTTTGTTTCTGTGTAGACCATAGCCCAGTGGCGTAAAGCTGGCTACCAGGACATGCCCGAGTATGAAAACTTCAAGCACCTTCTGCAGGCACCACTGGATGATGCTCAAGAAATTCTGCAAGCACGCTTCCCGATGCCACGTTACATCAACACGGAGCATGGAGGCAGTCAGGTGAGTGAGCTGAGTTCTAACTCCAGTGGTTTGTTCGTTTTATGATAGATTGTTATTGCTATACATCTAAACAGGATGGTTAATATTTTATGTGATGACATAAATTGACACACAGGTAATCTTCCAAATATGACTTCTTTTTAAATGAGTGGTCAGGCCAAGCGCGGTGGCTCACACCTGTAATCCCAGCACTTTGGGAGGCCGAGGCGGGCGGATCATGAGGTCAGGAGATCGAGACCATCCTGGCTAACATGGTGAAACCCCGTCTCTACTAAAAATACAAAAAATTAGCTGGGCGTGGTGGCGGGCACCTGTAGTCCCAGCTATTCGGGAGGCTGAGGCAGAAGAATGGCGTGAACCCGGGAGGCAGAGCTTGCAGTGAGCTGAGATCGTGCCACTGCACTCCAGCTGGGGCTACAGAGTGAGACTCCGTCTCAAAAAAAAAAAAAAAATGAGTGGTCAAAATGTGCTTATGTAAAGGGATTGCCAAGATAAAATACATATTTTATGTTTTAGGATCCTTAAATGGAGAGCCAGTGGGCTTAAGCTAAAGAAATAGATTACTGTGCAGTAAAACAATTCTAATTAGATTACTGTGCAGTAAAACAATTCTAATTTAACCAAACAAATGTTGTAAAAACTTATCTTTTTTCTGTTACATTAATATTAATGTCACTTTTTAATCTTTAAATCTTTTTGTTGTTGTTGTTGTTAAAGGCTCGATTCCTTTTGTCCAAAGTGAACCCATCTCAGACACACAATAACCTGTATGCTTGGGGACAGGTAAGAAATCTTCAGGTATTTGGGGAGGATGCTAAGCTAGTTTTTTTTTAAACTTGTTTTAAAATTCTACAAATTGGATCTCTTTTGGCCTGGAGACAGAATAACTGCGTAAGTTGGGTATTTTGCTGGGGAGTGGCGGGGAGGGAAACAAGTTGAATAACATTACTGGGCCGGAGGTTGAGGGGGCTCCCTGGGTGTGTCCCCTTCCACAATATACAGCAGAACATACCAGGTTCAGGCCAGGGGACAGAGCACTGTACTGTGGCCTCCATGGTGGTGTCCTCCGTCACACAGCCTCATGGCCCCTAGTCCTCTCCCCACCAAGAATACAGGGCAACTTGTCACCATCGGTTTTGCCGCCTCCTCACTTTCCAGCCTAATTCCTTCCCTTTTCTTCCCCCAACCCCGCCTGATTACTACTTTATCTAACTGCTCCCAGCATTTATGTCTCTCTCAGATGAGTCTTTCCTTTCATTCTGTTTTCTTAAAACATTTTTAAATTAAATTTTTTTGAGATATTGTAAATTTACATATAGTTGTAAGAAATAATACAGAGAGATCACCTGTATCTTTTACCCATTTTCCCTTAGTGTTAACATCTTGCAAAAACTATAATACAGTATCACAACCGGGATATTGAGATTTTTAAGGTCAAGATGTGCAGCATTTCCATCACCACACTTATGCACTTTATTTCTATTATTGTTACATTGTAATATATAATGAAATAATTGTACAACTCACCATAATGTAGAATCA
Organism: Homo sapiens; assembly: GCF_000001405.40. Taxonomy (NCBI): domain Eukaryota; kingdom Metazoa; phylum Chordata; class Mammalia; order Primates; family Hominidae; genus Homo; species Homo sapiens. The sequence continues at coordinate 18,555,933 of NC_000020.11, forward strand.
GTGGGAGCCCTGAGCTTGTTTTCCTGCAACTAGATGGTCCCAGCTGGGGGTGACGGGAGACGGTGACAGATCATCAGGCATTAGATTCTCATGAGGAGCATGCAACCTAGATCCCTCACATGCGTTGTTCACAATAGGGTTTGCACTCCTATTAGAATCTAATACTGCTACTGATCTGATGGGAGGTGGAGCTCAGGTGGTAATGCACGTGATGGGGGAGCAGCTGTAAATACAAATGAAGCTTCACTTACTTACCTGCCACTCACCTGGTGTGTGGCCTGGTTCCTAACAGGCCAAGGACTGGTACTATCCGTGGCCTGCAGTTGGGGACCCCTGATTTAAAGTGTATGGGAGGGTATGCATAGGTTATATGCAAATGCTACACCATTTTGTATTAGGGACTTGAGCATTTGTGGATTTGGGGATCCACAGGAGGTCCTAAAACCATTCCCCCACAGATACTGAGGGATGACTGTATATAGAAATACAATTGACTTTGGTATGTTTATCTTGTATTCTGTGACCTTCCTGAGTCGCTTACTACTCTTAGGAGTTTTTTTGTAAACTTCTCAGAAATTTCTACTTAGACAATCATGTCATCTGCAAGCCGGGGACAGTTTTATTTCTTCCTTTTCAATCTGAATAACTTTTACTTTATTTTCTCAAAGAATCAGCTCTTCATTTCATTGACTTTATTATCTTTTTATTTTCAATTTCATTGATTGCTGCTCTAGTCATTGTTATTTCCTCTCTCCTGTTTGCAGTAGGTTTTTAAAAACTCTTGGCTGGGTGCGGTGGCTCACGCCTGTAATCCCAGCACTTTGGGAGGCCAAGGTAGGCAGAACACGAGGTCAGGAGTTCGAGACCAGCCTAGCCAACACGGTGAAACCCCCGTCTCTACCAAAAATACAAAAATTAGCTGGTGTGGTGGCATGCGCCTGTAGTCCCAGCTACTTGGGTGGCTGAGGCAGGAGAATTGCCTGAACCCAGGAGGCGGAGGTTGCAGTAAGCTGAGATCACGCCACTGCACTCCAGCCTGGGCAACAGAGCAAGACGCTATCTTGAAAAACAAAAAGAAGTGAATTTATTATAGACAGCTTATAGTTGGGTCATGGTTTTTAATGCACTCTGCTGAGCTCTCTTACTTGGTATATTTAGACCATTTATATATAATGTAATTAATGATATGTTAGGGCTTAAGTGTGCCATTTTATTTTTTGTTTTCTGCTTTTCTTTTTTCATCTTACGTACTTTTTTCCTGCCTTCCCATGAGTTATTTGAACATGTTTTAGGATTCCCTTCTGACTTGTTTGTAATGTTTTTGAGTGTATCTCCTTATTTAGCTTTTTAAGTGGTTGCTCCTAAGTGCCCTAGGTTTTTTTATTTTAATTGAGATGAGGTCTTGCTATGTTGCCTAGGCTGGTCCTAAACTCCTGAGGTCAAGCGATCCTCCCACCTCAGCCTCCCAAAGTGCTGGGATTATAGGCATGAGCCACCACACCTGGCCAGGCCCTAGGTATTACATCATATATGCATAACTTATCACAGTCTACTGGTGTTCAAGCGAAGTCTAGAGACCTTACCTCCCTTTTCAACACTTTACTCTCCTCCATCGGTAATATAATTATGTTAAATATTTCCTCTGCATACATTTAGTATCACATCAGACAGTGTTATAATTTTTGTTTCAAGCATCAAACATAATTGATAAGTCTTAAAAGAAAAACCTATTATATTTCTCTACATGGTTGCTTTTATTGTTTTCTTTCTTTTTAGAGATCTTTTAGCCATTCTTTTTTTCTTTTTTCTTTTCTTTTTTTTTTTTTTTTGTTTTTTTGAGATGGAGTTTTGCACTTGTTGCCCAGGCTGGAGTGCAATGGTGTGATCTCAGCTCACCGCAACCTCCGCCTCCAGGTTCAAGCAATTCTCCTGCCTCAGCCTCCCGAGTAGCTGGGATTACAGGCATGCACCACCACGCCTGACTAATTTTGTATTTTTAGTAGAGACAGGGTTTCTCCATGTTGGTCAGGCTGGTCTCGAACTCCTGACCTCAGGTGATCCGCCCGCCTCAGCCTCTGAAAGTGCTGGGATTACAGGCATGAGCCACCGCGCCTGGCCTACTTTTAACCATTCTTTTAGCATAGGTCTTCTGGTGATAGATTTTTAGTTTTCTTTTATTTGAGAATGTCTTGACGTCCCTTTCATTTCTGAAGAATATTTTCTCTGCATATAGGATTCTGACTAACAGCCCTTTTCTTTAAGCAGTTGAAAAATATTGTGCTGCTTCCTCTGGCCTTTATGGTTTCTTATGAAAAGTTCACTGTCAGTCTCATTGTTTTCCCCTGTAGAGAAGGTGTCATTTTCCTCTGGCTGCTTCCAGTAGTCTTTTTCTGTTGTTAGTTTTCAGGGTGGATGGGCAGGGGCAGAGAAGAAAGTGTAATTATGACATGTCTTGGCATGGATTTCTGTGGGTTTATCCTGTTTTGATTTACTCAGCTTTTTGCTTCTGTAGGTTTCTATCTCTTGCCAAATAGGAAAGTTTTCAGTCCTTATTTCTTTGAATGCCTTTTCACCTGCTCTCTTTTCTTTCTTTCTTGACATCCAGTGACATGAATGTTAGATCTTTTGCAGTACCCCAGGTACTACATTTCCATGTATTTTCTTTCTTTTGTTCATTTGGGTAACTTCTATTGTTTTGTCTTCCAATGTATTGATTCTTTTTTCTGTTCTCTTTCTGCATTGAACCTATGCACTGCGCTTTTTGTTTGTCACTGTATTTTTCAGTTACAAAATTTCCTTTTGGTTCTCCGTGACTTCCACTTCTTTCCTGGGACCTTGTTGTTTCTTTGCTGAGGCTTCCTATTTTTTCATTTGTTTCAAGTGTGTTTGTAATTGCTCATGAAGCATTTTTATCATGGCTGTTTTAAAATCTTTGTCAGGTGATTCTAACATTGTTGTCAACTTAGTGTTAACACCTGTCACTTGTCTTTTTTAATTCAGGTGGAGGTCTTGGTAATCACTTTGTGTAAGTGATTTTTTTATTGAAACTTGGACACTTGAGTGTTTGTATGAGACCCTGGATCTTATTTAAACCTGCTACTTTTCGCTGATTTTTTCTTACACTACTCTGACAGGGAAGGTGGTTGGTGGGGGGGGTGTCGGGGGCACTGGTGGGCTCCATTACTGCCAGGTGGAGAAGTCCAGGTTTTCCACTGGCCTCTGTTGACACCTCGGGGTGTCTAGTGATTTCTTGTTACTGCTTAGTGGGAATGAGAGTTCCAGCTCCCCCATAGCCTCCAGTGAGACCGCTGTGGAGATGGCCTTGTTACACTTGGGTGATGGTGAAAGTCCTGACCCTCCTCCAGGCCTCTGAGGCCACCCCAGTAGGCAGGCGGAGGGACATATATTTTGCCAGGTTGCGGTGGAAGTCCAGGCTCCCCAAATGGCCTCTACTGACACCACAGGGGTAGGAAAATTTTTTTACTTGGCCATTGGGGATGAACTTCCTGGTTCCATACTTAGCCTTCTCTGGCACCATCTTGGTGGGAGTATTAGGGTGCCTTGTTACTGCCTTGTGAGGGTAGAAATTGTAGCTGCCCACCCAGCCTTTGCTGGTTCAGGTGGGTCAGGGCCACAGTTTTTCCTCTCATTTTTGCCCGGAGTACAGTGGTTATTATCTAAGATTGTTCTGTCTTGCTAGGCTGCTTTAGTCCTTTGGCTAGAGAAAGTGGGTGTTTTTTGTTGTTTTGTTTTGTTTGAGTCTGTGCTCAATGACAATTTGCCAGCTTCCTCAGCTCCAAATTCAGAGTATATGAGGCATAAGAAAGCCCAAGGAACTCACTGCTGTGCATCCTTGGGTCCCAAGGTCTTTAGTTTTTCTGTCTTCTCTCCACCTTTAAAAGTCTTCTTATGTTTGGTTTACATAAGATGCCCGAAGTTTTCAGTTGTACTTAGTGGGAGGAATAGAGAAAAGTATATATTCTATTCCTTCCTCGAAATCCTCTGAAAACATTTTGATCATGCTTACACTTTTCTAATTATAACAGTATGGTTTCATTTTAGAAAATTTGAATATGTTTTAAAAAATAAGAAAATTTAAATTACCTAGAATCATTATTTAAAGAGTTAACTATTTCCAGCTTTTTTCTACGTAAAGTGTATTATTGTGTGTGTGTGTATATATATATATATTTTTAATTTCTTTACAAAATTGGAATCTTACTACAAATTGAGGTTTCTATTCAATTTTTCCCATAACATTAATAAAATTATAAGCTTTTTCTGATATTTGAAATATCCATCTGTTCAGTGGAGATACCAGTTCACTCGTTTGTGGGTACACCATTATCCAGCTTCTGTGGTAAGCAGAGCACTTAAGAGGAAAGGCAGGCATATGGGCCTCCGTGAGCTCACAGTGGTGGGGAGCTAGACCCTGGGTACTTCATCAGGACTATGGAGAAGAGGGTAAAGTAAAACGCCTGATGCTCAAAACTAGCAGGCGGTGGTGGCCTGATCTCGGCATACCAGGAAAGGATTTTGTGAGGAAATTGTGCTTTAGTCAAAAGAAGTTGTTCGTGAGGCAGAGGATGGGGTGATGGGAGTACTCGTAGCAGAGGGGACAACACCTGTGAATGTTCTGAGGGAAGGTGCTTGACAGCTCATGAATTCTAATCAGCTTCTAAGATATCTGCCAACTAATCTTTATCATTACATTTCAGGAAACTGGAGCACCCATCCTAACTGATGATGTTAGCCTGCAGGTGTTCATGGACCATTTGAAGAAGCTGGCTGTCTCCAGTGCCTGTTAAGCTGAGGATACAACCAGGAAATGCAACGGTGTCAGATTGTGTTCAAAATGTCTAGAAAGGCTTGATAACATTCCTGTTACTTTTCTAGCAGATTTTAACAAATAATCAAGGACATTTTATATGTAACTCTTTAGATTATAATTTATTTGTATTCCTGTCTTTGTCCTTTTTCTTGCACTATAAAATTATAAGGTCATAAATGTTTTGGTACTTGTAGATGTTTATGTGCTTTTTGTATCCTAACTTTTAGAATCTAAATAAAATCAGAGGTAATGTATTTTGGCAGCTTGTTTAGGTGAGAATCTTAATGATCATAAAGGAAATAAATCTAGATGCAGAAAGTACTGGCTAAAATATTGCTAATACAAATGTGATTTCCTGAGGTCTCTGTGTGAGTGTGTATGTGTTTTAAGTGACTTCCTTAAGAGGTGTTTCCTGAACCTAATTCTCATAATTAAAGTAATGTATATGCAGGATCAAAATGAAACAAATATACCTTATCCTAAAGAGCTCATAACAAATAAGTTACCTCCACTCTATAAACTCAGACCTACTTTTTGAAGATAACTGCTTTTAACCTCTCCTTACAAGATTTTTGTTGTTGATGTATTTAATTTTAGCCCATGTCTCAATTCTCATTTTCAAAGAATCAATATATTAATATACCTTTGGTCATTTTTGTATTTTTATTTTTATATTATCAAGATTGGTAAAATGTATATTCTGGGTCAGATACAGTGGCTCACACCTGTAATCCCAGTGCTAAATTTAGGAGGCCAATGCAGGAGACTCACTTGAGGCCAGGAGTTTAAGACCAGCCTGGGCAACATAGCGAGACTGTCTCTACAAAAAATTTTAAAAGTTACTGGGCCATGGTGGTGTGTGACTGTAGTCCTAGCTACTTGGGAGGCTAAGGCAGGAGGATCACTTGAGCCCAGGAGTTCAAGGTTGCAGTGGGCTCTCATCATGCCACTGCACTCCAGCCTGGGTGGGAGAGCAAGACCCTGTTTCAGGAAAAAAAAGAGATTATATTCTGGCCTATTATCATATTTTTTGTCACTAAGTTGATTGTCAAAGCTGAAAGCTCCTAAGAAGCATTTACACAGCCGTGATGATGTAAATATTGTTCCAGTCCAAGCCAGGTAGGATGACATTTTTCTCTAGGGTGCTAGTGTCCCAGTCAGTCCCTATGTCACTTGTAGGAAAACATTCCAAAGGACAGAATCAGAGTTACTTTCTTACATTCCATCATGCCGCATGTTGGTTTGATCCCTATTTGGATTATGATTTCTTAGATTTGCTGTGGTTTTCCCCAGAATTTCTAAATTTTGTTTGCTTTCTGAGAGAAGAAATATTTTGCTTTCTATTTACTAAGAAATTCTAGCCTATTCTACTGAATGAAGTCCATTTTTTTCTTCTTTGGAGGCCACTGATGTCCCCTTTTAAGGGGGGCCAATAACTTTGACCTACTGCACAACTGTCATCCAGGAATTTCTTCTGTTTGGAATCTCGGGTTAGTTCCACTCTTCCCTTTATTCCATAAGGCATTTTGCAATCTCAAATGACTTTTACTAAAAGGAGTACTTGGGGAGAACTCACTGCATCTTAGCATATCTGCAAATCTATTCTGTCTTCACACTTTATAGCTTTGCCAGGTAATATAGTTTGGATATTTGTCCCCTCCAAGTCCGTCATTGAAATGTAATCCCCAGGATTGGAGGTGGGGCCTGGTAGGAGGAGTTTGGGTCATACCGCTGGATCCTTCATGAATGGCTTGGTGCCATCCTCACAGAAATGAGTGAGTTCTTGTCCTGGGTTCAAATGAGGTATGATTGTTTAAAAGTGTGTTGGCTGGGCACAGTGGCTCATGCCTATAATCCCAGCACTTAGGGAGGCTGAGGCGGGCAGATCACCTGAGGTCAGGAGTTTGAGACCAGCCTGGCCAACATGGTGAAACCCCATCTCTACTAAAAATACAAAAATTAGCCGGGTGTGGTGGCTTGCGCCTGTAATCCCAGCTACTCAGGAGGCCGAGGCATGAGAATGGCTTGAACCCAGGAGGCAGAGGTTGCAGTGAGCCGAGATCGCACCACTGCACTCCCTGGGGGACAGAGCGAGACTGTCTCAAAAAAAATTTTTTTAAAGTGTTACCTCCCCCACCTCTTCCTCTCGTTCTTGCCATGTGGTACATCGGGCTACCTCTTCACCTTCTGCCCTGATTGTAAGCTTCCTGAGGCCTTCACCAGAAGCAGATGCTGGCACCATGCGTCCTGTACAGCCTACAGAACCGTAAGCCATAAGCATAAACCGTAAACCTCTTTTTAAAATAAATTACCCAGTCTCGGGTGTTCCATTACAGAGATCCAAAGACAGACTAACCCACTGGGTCTAAAAAGTATAGGCCCAAGATAATCTCAGAACTTTGGAGTCATTCTTTCATTCGTTCAACAAATAACTATCCGGTACTTGTTGTCTATGGAGTAGTCTTCTAGGCATTGGGAATACTGCCAATAAAACAAAAATTCCTGTTTTCATAGAGCTTATGTGTTAGTTAGGGAAGACCAACAATAACAATGTTAGAAGTAAATGATATGGCCGGGCGTGGTGGCTCATGCCTGTAATCCCAGCACTTTGGGAGGCCGAAGTGGGCGGATCACCTGAGGTCAGGAGTTTGAGACCAGCCTGGCCAACATGGCGAAACCCTTTCTCTATTAAAAATACAAAAATTAGCCAGGCATGGTGGTGCACACCTGTAATCCCAGCTACTTGGGAGGCTGAGGCAGGGACAAATTGTTTGAACCCAGGAGATGGAGGTTGCAGTGAGATTGTGCCACTGCACTCCAGCCTGGGCAACAGAACGAGACTCCGTCTCAAAAAAATAAAAAACAAAAAAGAAATGAAGTAAATGATACATTAGAAGGTAATGAGTGCTATGTAGGAAAATGAAGCTGGAAGCTCCTATTAATTGGATGTTGGAACAGCTGGATTGATTGCAATACTCTGTTTTGAATTTGTATTCGAATACAAGTTATTGTATTTCTTTTTGTCTCTGCCCTACATTCTAGCAGAATTCTAGCAGAGTTTCCTATCTTAAAATGTTGAACATTGGCCAGGTGCGGTGGCTCACACCTGTAATCCTAGCACTTTGGGAGGCTGAGGTGGGCAGATCACTTGAGGTCAGGAGTTCAAAACCAGCCTGGCCAACATGGTGAAACCCCATCTCTACTAAAAATATTAAAAAATTAGCCAGGAGTGGTGGTGGGCACCTGTAATCCCAGCTACTTGGGAAGCTGAGGCAGGAGAATCACTTGAACCTCGGAGGTGGAGGTTGCAGTGAGCTGAGGTCACGCCACTATACTCCAGCCTGGGTGACAGAGGGAGACTTCATCTCAAAAAAAAAAAAAAAAAAAAAAGTTGAACATTTACATTTTTCTGTGCGTTTTCCAAGAATATTTTTAGTTTTGGATATAATTTTTAACACATCATATAGAAGAATACATAAAGTTGTCTGTACAGATTAAGGCCAAAACATCCTCTTTGGCTTTTCTGTTTCAAATTAACAGAAAAAAGACTGTGTGATAGACCCAGCTAACTCTGCGGTTCTCTCTAGTGTCAGTGAGTTAAGGAGCTGAGGGAACTGCATGGTATGACATGGCCATGCAGGTCCCACCTTAGGGTACCAGTGACGTTTTTCCACAGAATGTAGGGGGTGGCAGGGTGATAGTGCTGTGTGGAAAACAGCTATCATGAGAAGGGGCCACTGAGCCCAGTATGCCCAGTGAGGACTCTGAACTCCATCTTTTTATTAATTGTTAATTTTTGTGGGTATTGAACTCCATCTTGAAGGTAGGGCAAGCCTCTGACTTATCTTAGGCAGAGGGTGAAATGATAATTTAAGGTTTGAAAGACACTCCAGAGGGGGAAGGATGAGAGGAGACTGTAATCCAAGTGAGAAATGAGGCCTAAACAGAGACAGGGTATTTAGACAGAGGTGACAGAGGATGTCAGGTGAGATGATTCCAAGTTCCTGGCTTGGGCAATTTCTCAATCACTCTCTGAATCAGGGAAGAGAAAGGGAAGGTTTGTTTCCTGTTGGGAGTGGCATTGATAAATTCAATTCGGAACATTTTTTTAGTTTCAGGAGCTTGTGGAATATGCAGCCGAGGATGCATAGCAGGTTGGCAGTAACATGAATTTGCTTTCAGAGAATCTGGAGTAGATTTGAGAGTTATTAACATATAACATAGGTATCATGAGTAAGGCTGATGAGAAGGATGAGAAGAGACGCAAGCTTGAAACAATACCAATTTTTCTGTTTTGTCTATAACTATTGAGCTATAGTTCACATATAATAAACTGCACCCATTTAAAGCATACAATTGGATAAATCTTGACAGAAACCACCACAATAATCAACATACAGAACATTACCATCACCTCTCAAAGTCTCCTCAGACCCTTTTAGCCCTTCCCTCTCTCCATGCCCTTACTGCAGACAACTACTCATCAGCTTTCTCCCACTGGAGTTTGCTTCTAGAATTTCGTGACTGGTTTCTTTGGTGTCTAGCTTGCTTTTTCACTTAGCATAATCCATTTTGAGATTCATCGTATGGTTGTATTTATCAGTAGTTCTTTTTTTTTTTTTTTTTTTTTTTTTTTGAGAAGGAGTCTCACTCTGTCACCCAGGCTGGAGTGCAGTGGTGTAATCTCGGCTCACCACAACCTCCGCCTCCTGGATTCAAGTAATTCTCCTGTCTCAGCCTCTGGAATAGCTGGGATTACAGGCGCCCGCCACCATGCCCGGCTAATTTTTGTATTTTTAGTGGAGACGAGGTTTCACCATGTTGGCCAGGCTGGTCTCGATCTCCTGACTTGAGGTGACCCACCCATCTTGGCCTCCCAAAGTGCTGGGATTACAGGTGTGAGCCACCCGTACCCAGCCAGTAGTTCCTTTTTATTTGTAAGTGGTATCCCACGTTTTGTTTAGCCATTTACTCGATGGGTATTGGGGGTGGTTTCTATTTTTTCCTATTAAGAATAAAACTATGAACATTCATGTACATGGCTGTGTGCAGACACAGGTTTTCATTTCTCATGGATAACTAGAAACGGAATGCCTGGGTTATATGGTAGGCATATGTTCAACTTTTTAAAAACTAAGTTTTGCAAAGAGATTGTAACATTTTATGTTCCCATCAATAACAGTTCCAATTATTCCAAATCCTTACAGCTCTTGGCATTCTCAATCTGATTTTAGCCATTCTAGTAGGTGTGTAATGGTCTCTTATTGTATTCTTTTAATGTCCATTTCTGTGATGACTAATGATGCTACTGTGCTTATTGGTCATTTGTATATCTTCTTTCGTTCTATTCAAATTTATTGCCTGGTTTTTAGTTGGGCTGTATTTTTATAACTGAGTTGTAAAGCGTCCTCATATATTCTGGATCCAAGTCCTTTTGTTAGATATATGTTATTATGAATATTTTATTCTGTGGCTTGGCTTTTCATTTTCTCAACTGTGACCTTCAAAGAGCAAAAATTTTAATTTTTTTTTAAAAGCCCTATTTATCCATTTTCGCTTTATGCATATATATATAAAATGAGATGGGGTCTCACTATGTTGGCCTTGCTGGTCTGGAACTCTTGGGTTCAAGCAATCCTCCCTGCTCTACCTCCCAAAGTGCTGGGGTTACAGGCATGAGCCACCCCGCTTGGGATGCCTTTTTTATTCTAAGAATTCTGTGCTTATTCCAAGATGGCAAACATATTCTCCTGGTTTTTTTCTAGGCTTATATTAAATAGTTTTAGCTTTTACATTTAAGTCAGCGATCCATTCAGAGTTAAGTTTTTTATCTATTTCTGTAGGGCAGAACATCAGTTTTTAAAGGGTGGGCAAGGTGAAAAGAACCCTGAAGGATACCAGGGAAAATGATGTTTCTGAAGCCATGAAAGGTGCAGGTGGGGTCAGTGGTGGCAAATGCTTTCGAAACCAAGTTTGAGTGTGGCTGAAAAGTACTTAACGTTAATTTACCGGGCCTACCTTGTGCCAAGCACATCACACTTGCTCTTAAGTTGTTCAGTCTATTGAGGGCATCTTGCTTTAAAAAATGTATGCATAAGACAAAAGCTGGAGGTGGTCGGAGTCGAAGGAGATTTTTTGTTTTTGAGACATGGGCACGTTTGTATGAAGGATAAACGTCAATAATGAAGATGGGGGAGGACTTAGGGTGTCAATGAGGGGAAAGGCCACTGAGGCTGGAAAAAATAGTACCCAGAGCCTAGTGGAGGGATTAGCTTTGGCCTGGAAGTATTTAAAGTTCACCCAGAGTTCCGGAAAGAAAAATGGAGGAAAAGAAGAGTTGCGGGGAGAGACAAGCGGTATCCCTGCAAATCTGAAAACTGGAAGAGGAATTGGAAGTAACCTTTTCGGATACCGTCTGGAGCCCACGAAGGCATTACAATTTTGCAAGTGAGAAGCTTCTCCTCTAAGTTGTCATTTAGTCCTCGTCACGTGGTAAAAAGTATCGCACGCCCACAGTTCTACACCCGAAAGTCCGGACACCTGAGCGACTTTCCGGGCCAGAGGCCCCAAGGTGCATCGGGGCAGAGCCGGAAGCGGACGCTGAAAACTGGCGGCTCCTTAATGGTTCCGGCGGCAGGGACCGCAGCGACGCCCTCACCGGAAGTCCCGCCTCTGCCGTGGGCCTGCGAGAATCGAGGCACTCGCTGGCGTACCCATGTATCGAAATGAGTTCACGGCCTGGTACCGGCGGATGTCGGTGGTCTACGGGATCGGCACCTGGTCTGTGTTGGGCTCACTGCTTTACTATAGCCGGACAATGGCGAAGTCGTCAGGTAGGGCTCTTCGGCGGGGCCTGCCCCGGAACACACGGCCTTCGATGAGAGTTCCCCGGGGGTCATGGAAACAACTTCCCTGTCCTTTAAATCCCAGGTTTATTCTGCAAAACTAATTGAAACGGGTGCTAACAGCCGTTTGTTATAATGGAATCTGCAAAGAACTAGACTCCAGGAATTATTAATACCTTGTAAATATTGTTTCCTAAATCTGAATCATTTACTGGATAGGGCCGTCCCCATATTCAGAATTGGAGGAATCTGTGTAAAGTGCAAGGTGGACTTTCAGAGACTCTGGCCGGTGATTTTTAAAGAGTGATGCTTCAGTACTACTGTCCCTCATCGTATATGGCGAGCAATTTCAGTACTTTTAGCAGCCAAGGCGTATTAAAATCTTCCAGTTACTAAGCGCAAAGGGAGAAAAGTCTCTCAGCTTTGAAAAATATGCTGGAAATCTGTAGAGACATTAAGTTGATTAGTGTGGTTGCTAGGGGCTGAGGGGTTGGGGAGTTGGGGAATGACTGCCAAAGGTATGGATTCCTTTTGTGGATGAAAGTATTTTTAAATTGATTGTGGTGCTGGTTGCACAAATCTGAATATACTAAAAACATTAAATTGTATATTTTAAGTGGGTTAATCGTATATGTTAATTATATCTCAGTAAAGTTGTTGTGTAAAAACTATGCTGAAGATTACATTTGGTGATGAAGCTGTCAGTGGCCTGAAAGTACATGTGTCCAGCATTAAGCATTTAAAAACATTTTGGCCGGGTGCAGTGGCTCACGCCTGTAATCCCATAACTTTGGGAGGCCGAGGTGGGAGATTGCTTGAGCCCAGGGGTTCGGGACCAGCCTGGGCAACATGGGGAGACCCCCATCTCTACCAAAAGAAAAAGAAATTTTTATATATAATATTTTATATTTACTTTATATGTAATATATGGTAAAAATACTTTACATTTATATATAAAGTAAAAATATTTTAATGTCCATATTTATGTTTTCTTTCTTTCGTTCTTTTTTTTTTTCTTTTTGACAAGGTCTCACCCTGTCGCCCAGGCTTGAGTGCAGTGGCATGATCTCGGCTCACCACAACCTGCGTCTCCGGGCTCAAGTGATTCTCCTGCCTCAGCCTCCCGAGTAGCTGGGATTGCAGGCGCAGGCCACTGCTGCCCGGCGAATTGTTTTATTTTTTTTTTGAGACAGAGTCTAGCTCTGTCGCCCAGGCTGGAGTGCACTGGCGCTATCTTGGCTCACTGTAACCTCCATCTCCCAACTCAAGCAGTCCTCCTGCCTCATCCTCCCCAGTAGCTGGGGTTATAGGCCCATGCCACCACGCCCAGCTAATTTTTGTATTTTTAGTAGAGATGGGGTTTCACTACGTTGGCGAGGCTGGTCTCAAACACCTGACCTCAGGTGGTCCACCTGCCTCGGCCCCCACAAAGTGAGATTGGGATTACAGGCGTGAGCCACCGCACCCAGCTTTTCTTTTCCCTTCCTTTTCATTCCTTCCTTCATTATTGGGGTTGGAGAGAGTGGATGTAATTCTTACCTTAGTTAATTTCTAAGACTTTAATGACTGCTTTCTAAGTTAATAATTCAGGTGTTCTTTTTTTTTTTTTCTCTTAATGGTGATAAAGTAGACCAAAAGGATGGCTCAGCAAGTGAAGTACCCAGTGAACTCTCTGAACGCCCAAAAGGATTTTATGTGGAAACAGTTGTCACATATAAAGAAGATTTTGTTCCAAATACAGAAAAGATCCTCAACTATTGGAAATCATGGACTGGTGGCCCTGGTACAGAACCATGACTGGCTGCTGAATTCTGAAAACCAGGACTTGGTTCAACATTTAAATTTGATAGTTGCCCTGATTCCCATTTTGGGTTTGTGAAAAGTGTATGTATTTAAATTTGCTGTAAAACATAATCACTAATAATATGCAATAAATATTTTCTTGAAGGAAACTATCTGCGTTTTCTTTTTTTTTTTTTTTTTTGAGACGGAGTCTTGCTGTGTCACCCAGGCTGGAGTGCAGTGGCTCGATCTCGGCTCACTGCAAGCTCCGCCTCCCAGGTTCATGCCATTCTCCTGCCTCAGCCTCCCGAGTAGCTGGGACTAAAGGCGCCTGCCACCATGTCTGGCTAATTTTTTGTGTTTTCAGTGGAGACAGGGTTTCACCGTGTTAGCCAGGATGGTCTCCATCTCCTGACCTTGTGATCCGCCTGCCTCAGCCTCCCAAAGTGCTGGGATTACAGGTGTGAGCCACGGTCCCCGGCCTACTATCTGCATTTTCAAGAGGTGTTCCTCTGTATTTGCATGAGTGAAAGATTGCTGTGAAATTTCACATAGAGCTTCCATAAGCTTGATTTCCTGAAACTAGTTAATGTAGATTTATATTTCTTTCATGTTGCTATTAGGCACAGCTTTAGTGGTCGCTTTAAGGTTAGTTTCAGCAAATCTCCATATTCACTTTGGGATTCACAGTAGCCCTTTGGGTACTACTGCGTACTGGGTAAGTATGATATAAATTTGATTGTAACTTCTGAATTAAACAGACTGGACCTATTCTTTAGGACCAGTGCACATACCCCTCATTCCTTCAGCAAGTGTGGATTACCCACCAACTGTGGCCAGTGCTATTCTAATGCTGGGAATGCAGTCAGGACGACATGATTGATGCTGAACCAGTTTCCTCAGTGGTCTCTTGGTTGCAGGCAACAAACACAAGTGAGCTTAAATCAAAAGTGGGTGTTTATAAAAAACGTGTATTGGTAGCTCAGAATTAAAGCAGAGAGTATGGGCCAGGAGCGGTGGCTCACGCCTGTACTCCCTGCACTTTGGGAGGCCGAGGGGCGGATCACAAGGTCAAGAGATCGAGACCGTCTTGGCCAGCATGGTGAAACCCTGTCTCTATTAAAAATACAAAAATTAGCTGGGCATGGCACCGCGCACCTGTAGTCCCAGCTACTTGGGAGGCTGAGGCAGGAGAATCGCTTGAATCTGGGAGGCGGAGGTTGCAGTGAGCTGAGATCGCACCACTGCACTCCAGCCTGTTGACAGCGAGATTCCATCTCAAAAAAAAAAAAAAAAAGCAGTATGTTGTCTTCAGAAGGCCTGACACTGGGACCAGAATGCAGGCAGCCACTTGTTGAGCCTGCCTGGGCTCTTGGCCTTGCTTTTCTTATTGCACACCAGCTGCTTTTCTCACCTTTCTGGAGTAATACAAATATCCCAAGAAGATACTACCTCCCATGTGCAGTGCCAAAGTCTGACCAGCCTCTCCTCAACCTGGTCTTTGGCTTCCACCCTTGCGAGAGACTCAGTTCAGTTTTTATCAGATCCCTGCCTATGGATTATAGAGTACTGCCTCAGTTATGAATAAAGTGGCATTTGTTTCTCATTTAGGTAGTGTTTTCCTGTTCATAGCTGTTGGGACCCTGTGAGTAGAGATGTGATGTGTGGTAGGACAGGAATTGGGCATTTCAGGGTTCCTCTACAGTACTATGACCTTCAGACCCTCATCTTGATTTCTCATTGGTGTCAGTTCCACCATTATGGGTGGCCTGAGCAGTGCTGTGGTGCAGTCAGCCTTAGTGACAAGGATTCCAAAATCACAAGTAACAGCTCCAGATGCTGGTAGCAGAGACTCAGCTTCCCAAGGGATATCAGGTCAAGCATGGATTCGTGCCAATTGGCTGTGTATTCCAGTGGACCATCTTGGTTGGCATCAAACTGATGAATGAGAAGCAGTGTACGACAGTAGATGGGGAAGGTGAGAAGCAAGTGAATCAGAAGTATGGGAGAAATGGGAACAGTAGCATGAACGTTTTGGAAGACATTTCCTAACATGAGGGCTTCCAGAGAAACAAAGGGCAAGGGCTGAGGGGCTGTGGCACTTGGCAGGTGAGAGTTGTTAATAGAGCACACCGAGGATAAACAGCTGAACTTCTACTCTCACCTGGCAGTCTACCCAGGATTCATACACTTGTGGGGCTTAAGGGGACATTTGGGTTAGCTTTCCTTGGGACTTGGCTGGGTTTCTTTGCTAGATCTAATTTATTCTCTTATTTCAGCCCAGCGTTCTCCTGAACTCAAGATCCATGTCCATCTAGCATTGCCACTTGGATATCTAGCCACCTCAGCTTTGTCCATAACTTAAATTGCTGTCATCACCCACAAGGCTGCTCTTCCTTCCGTTCTCTTTCTCAGAGAGTACTCAGTTCCTCAAATTAGGAACCTATCATTCTAGACTTCTCCCTCTTCTTGTTCCTTCTCCTTCCTCCAGCCACCAGGTCCCATCATTTCTACTGCAAATATTCCACTCCATTCCCACCTTCCCATTCCCTTTACCACTACCTTACTTAAATCCTCCATCCTCTTTGCTTATGTAGCCTCAACTTCCTACTCTCTTTGTCTCTACTTGGAGTCCCCTCCAATTGGTTTCTACAGTATTAGCCAGCATGACTTTTTTGAAATTAATTTTTATATTTTTAACAAAGCAACAAATGCATTAAAAAATTAAATAATGATCAAAAGTTTGTAACCAAAAAAACAGTTCCTGCTTTATCCCTCCTTGCTTTCAACTATTAGGTTTTTTTTTTTTTTTTTTTGGTATTTACGTCCACATTTCTAAATAATAAGCTTTTACTAATATCTTTAATTTATCAATCATGTATGGGATTTATTAATGAGGATTTGATCCTCCTTTCCAACTGACTAACCAATAAAACTATTGCATATTTTTGATGAATCAATAATTAATATTTACCCTGTTTTAACTATGCAAACATAGTTTGTTGATAAGCCAAGTAAGTGAGCTATAATTGTTTCTCATATAACTTTTCTTTCTGGAGTTAACTGCACTCTTTTTTTCATTTGCTTTGTTTTCTTGATGTTTCTCTCTCATTCTTTCCACATCCTCTAACCTCACAATATAATTTTCCACACAAACCTTTCCAGTTTCTCTTTTCTGTTTTTAAATCTTGGAGCTCTTTGTCTTCTTGGTACAATCTGGACTGATCACTCTAGTTCTGCTTTGCATCCATTTTTCTTTGCTATTTGCTTTGCCATCCTATAATGGATCTCTGTTTTCTCGATACTGTGTCCCCATAATTCTGAAAAAGGGTATATAATTTTTTGGTGATTTTTCATGTCTGAACATGTCTTTTTTTTTTTGAGACAGTTTCGCTCTGTCACCGAGGCTGGAGTGCAGTGGTGCGATCTCGGCTCACTGCAACCTCCGCTTCCCAAGTTCAAGCAATTCTCATGCCTGAGCCTCCCGAGTAGCTGGGACTACAGGCCTGCGCCATCACACCCAGCTAATTTTGCATTTTTAGTAGAGATGGGGTTTCGCCATATTGGCCAGGCTGGTCTCAAACTCCTGGCCTCAAGTGATCCGCCTGCCTCCACCTCCCAAAGTGCTGGGATTATGGGCATGAGCCAGTGTACCCGACCAGAACATGTCTTTTTCGTATTCTCATACTCAATTACTAGTTGGCCTGGGTACAGAACCCCAGGTTTGATCATTACTTTCCCTCAGAATTTTGAAAGCATCAGTCCCCTGTATTCTAGCAATTCCAATATTTCAGCTGAGAAGTCCTAATCTTTGATTATTACCTGTTTTCTTCTCTCCAGAAGGTCTTAGGACCTCCTTCATCTCTAGTGTTCTGAAATTTTTACAATGATGCACCTAGTGTGGCTTAAAAAAATTGACTAGGCTGATCACTCAGTGGGTTCTTAGTTCATGGAAACTCTTGTTTTGTTCTGGGGAATTTTCTTATTTTTTAGGAATTCCGTTTGCCTTTTAATTTTTTTTCTCTGTGTCTGGAATTCCTAATAGACATTCCAGACTACTTTTTATTATTTTATACTTTTTCTTAACTACTGTTGATCTCTTTGTTTATTTTCTACTTTTCAGGGAGAGGGTCATTCATTTACTTATACACTTGTGAAGGCGGCAAAATTTTACCTATACTTTTTAGGGTTTGTGGCTGGGCCTGAGAATTAAATTGACATAAAACAGATTAGCCAAAGTAAAGTGTACAGATTCTTACATGCACTTGGGAGCCCCCATAGAAAAATGGAGACCCAAAGTGGCAAAACCTAACTGGTTATATACTGAGTTAAACAAAAAGAGGCAATTATGGAAAAGGAACTAAAATGTACAGGAAACCAGAGGAGGATAAGAGTTATTTAAACAAGGCCTGTTTGTATAGAATTATCTCGACCTTGACTCTCCATCTCTGGTGATAAGAATGGTTCTTTCCTCCTGGTATAGGGAGGGCATCTTCCACATGGCAGTTTTATCTCTTGCTTGCTTTTTTTTTTTTTTTTTTTTTTTTTGGAGACAGAGTCTTGCTCTGTCGCGCAGGCTGGAGTGCAGTGGCATGATCTCAGTTCCCTGCAACCCCCGCATCCTGAGTTTAAGCAATTCTCCTGTCTCAGCCTTCTGAGTAGCTGGGATTATAGGCACACACCACCACACCCAGCTAAATTTTGTATTTTTAGTAGAGACGGGGTTTCACTATGTTGGCCAGGCTGGTCTCAAACTCCTGACCTCAGGTGATCCACCCGCCTCTGCCTCCCAAAGTGCTGGGATTACAGGCGTGAGCCACCGCGTCCGGCCTATCTCCTCTTCAAAAAGAAAAGAGGAGGTCAGATCACCCTTCCTGCACCTGCTATTTTTCAAGTGTCTTTAGCTCGAAATAAATTTTATGCCAAAGTGGCATATTTTTTGGTGGTGTATCCCACCATCCTTCACATTCAACAGATAGCTACTGAGCCCCTACCTTGGGTGTGGAGGACAAAGCAAATCCATCTTGGACGCTGATCTGCCATGTTGGATTCTGATTAACCCTTGTTCCATGAAGGCCTCTAAGATTTGCAGCTTATCTATTGTTCCTTGTGTAAGAGCATGTCCTTACAGTCAATCCTGCCCTTAGATCCAACAACCTTGATGTTATTGTACTTCAGTTGTCCCACATATCCCTGCTGAACCACCCTTCCCTAGAGTATAAAAGCCCTGGGTCTGCGGGGTGATGGCTCAGGGATCCGCCATCTTGCCTGGCAGCCACCCAAGACACAGACACGGCTTCTGTTCCTACGTCCCTATTAAGTGTTTCTTTCTAAGAAACCAGATTTGTCAGCCTCCTTTTTGGCCTCTCGGCTTCCTTAGACTTTGGGGCCAGTTTGTATAGCCCTGCCTACCATGGGATGCTGGGCCAGCATTGCTCTGTGTGCTGAGTACTATATAAACAAGGCCCTCAAGCAGTTCTATCTTCCAGCGGAGAAACAGACAACAAAAACTAAGCAAATACATTATGTCTTATATAATACAACTTTTTTTTTTTTTTTTTTTTTTGAGATGGGGTTTTGCTATATTGCCCAGGCTGGTCTCGAACTTCTAGGCTCAAGTGAACCTCCCACTTCAGCCTCCTGAGTAGCTGGAGCTACTGGTGTGCACCACTGTGCCTGGCTGTAATCCAACTTTTTAATTGCATTTTAATATTGGCTATTATAGAAAGCTCTTGTAAATTAGTTCCTTTTTATGGTATCCTATTCATTGATGAATACAACATTTTCTGATGGCTGGAGGTATTCTAAGTTGTTTTACTATTTATTCTTGCACTGCTATAAGTTCCTTTACATGACTTGTTTTTGTCTCTCTCAAGTTGGAGGCATTTGTCTCATGTCCCTTCTTATTGTACAGGCATTGATTTAAGAACCTTTCACGAACCTTCTGCAGCTTGAGGATGGGGGTAGGTGTTTGTTAAGTTATGACTGGCTTTTTACTGGTGGTTGGTGTTGAAGTTAGGATTCTTAGCTACACACCACAGAACTGGAGCCAGTTCATGCTGAAAAGGAACCTTGCAAAGGATATTGGGAAACTCCCAGAATTAGGGGGATCATTGGGGAAACATAGTTACAGACAGCGCAGCCAGGAATGGCACCCCAAGTATCCTGCCAGACCACCACCAGGTACAGGCACTGTGGGGTCATGCTGACAAAATAGGCTGTTCCTGCCGGGCCCCTGCCTCCAGTACCTCTGAGAGCAGGGAGTTTCTGAAGACCCCACATCAGAATGGCTTCCCGGAGCAGCCTGCTTATCGTCACTCGTCTCCGAATCTAGTTTCACATGGGGATGCCTAACTCAGGGTGTGTTGGTCACACTCCTGGGCCTTAGCTGCAATTAAGTCTGGGAAAGAATTTCTGGCTTCTACTGTGGGGATATATGGAGTTTTAAGGTAAGAAGTTCCCCAAATATAGGATGTTCACAAAATGCTGGAAAGACAAATACCATGACAAATGTCCACTAGAGACAGCAAGGCAGATATTTTTAGTGGGAGGTACTGACATGCCAGCATCTGTCAATCAGTTCCCAGGAGAAGGGTCCTCTCTCCAGTCTCCCACAGGGATCGAGGGTAGATGCCTGGCTGTAGGAATCCTGGGAACTAGACTGGGGAGGGGTTTGGAGATGGTTGTTTAGAATAAGGGTTTCCATTGAATCCGGGGCCACATCCCCCTCCTCTGCTCTGGCCAGAGCAGAAACTTCAGGTTTCCTGAGTGAAGTGCAGGAAGTTGGGGTGGGTACCTGGGGGTCCAAGTGTTGCTTCTGCAGACTCAAACATCTCTCTGCGTCCAGCCCACCCTTCACCCTGCCTCCACCCACCTGGAATTTTGGTATGTGTTATGTAGAGTGTGTCTATATTTTAAAATCCCCAATAAAAAAACTTAAATTTTGAGTCTCTGTTGAGCTACCCTGGTAGGCCACACTTGAAAAGTGTTGTCAGGCTGGGTGTGGTGGCTCACGCTTGTAATCCCAGCACTTTGGGAGGCCAAGGCAGGTGGATCACTTGAGGTCAGGAGTTCGAGACCAGCCTGCCAACATGGTGAAACCCCTTCTCTACTAAAAATACAAAAATTAGCTGGGCATGGTGGTGCATGCCTGTAATCTCAGCTACTTGGGAGGCTGAGGCAGGAGAATCACTTGAACCCAGGAAGCAGAGGTTGCAGTGAGCTGACAGAGTGAGACTCCATCTCAAAAAAAAAAAAATAAATCAATGCTAGAGGAAAAGAATGTGTCCCTTCCCATAGGAAGAGGGCTTTGGAAGCCTGTGCCTGTTTTCCTTCAGACTTTGCCCCGTGCACTTCTTGTCTTTGCTGATTTTGTTTTGTATCCTTTTGCTGTAATAAACCACCAACGTGACAATAACTATATGCTGAACCCTGTGAGTCCTCCCAGCAAATCACTGAACCTGGGGGTAGTCTTGGGGACCCTGGACATGCTATGCAGGCAAAGGCTACCCAGCTATGGAAGGAATACTATTATAGTCCCACTCTATTATAGTCCCACTCTATATCTGTGACATATAGAGGCTCAGGATTGTCAAGTATACTTTTCAAAAGTTAAAAACATGAGTCAAATACAAGAATGAGCAAATGTCAAATATTTGTTCAAGTCATAAATGAGAAAACCAGCAGCACGGTAAAGCTGATTCAAAGAAGAAGAAAGGACCAGAGGTTATTTAGGCACTGGAGAAAAAAGAGTTAGAATAAGATTTCTGGTTAATGTTCTAGCGGGGATAAAGCCCTAAATTTTGGGTTATTATTTTTTAATGGACAGAAATTATTTTTATTTTTATCCAACAAAAGTTTACAAGTTAACATGAACCTTCACAAAATCCAAGCCTTTAATTAAAAGTAGGTGACGGTGCCTGGCTAACACAGTGAGACCCCGTCTCTACAAAAAATTAAAAAATCAGTGGGGTGCAGTGGTGCGTACCCGTAGTCCCAGCTACTTAGGAGACTAAGGTGGGAGATTGCTTGAGCCTGGGAATTCAAGGCTACAGTGAACAATGATCACACCACTGTACTCCAGCCTGGGTGACAGAGCAAGACCCTGCCTCAAAAAAAAAAAAAAAAAATGTTGGCCAGGTGCTCTGGCTCACGCTTGTAATCCCAGCACTTTGGGAGGCCGAGGTGGGCTGATCACTTGAGGTCAGGAGTTTGAGACCAACCTGGCCAACATGGCAAAACCACGTCTTTACTAAAAATACAAATGTTAGCCGGGCATGGTGGAACGTAATCCCAGCTACTTGGGAGGCCGAGGCAGGAGGAACACTTGCACCCAGGAAGCGGAGGTTGCAGTGAGCTGAGATCACGCCACTGCACTCCAGACTGGGAAACAGATCGAGACTCCGTCTCAAAAAAAAAAGTAGATGATGAGTCAAACAAAGGTACCCTAATTAATTAAATATCCTAATTAATTAAATAATTCTTGAGTGAGCCCATTAAACACAGTGCCCCAAGATGACATTGAAAGAACTCACTACGTTTTTTGCTTTAGATTCCAAGTTTCCGATTTTTTCCCGTAACAGTATCCTGATGGAATTTGGTCATTGGAGGTCCCAGGACTCGGTTGGTTGCTCAGTGGCCGGGCCTGCCCTGTAGTTGCTGCCTCACCAAACACTGTAGGTGAATCAAAGTAACATCCAAGGTGAGGAGGTATTTTGAGTGCATTTTCTGGCAGGACACGTGTAGTTGGGGACCAGGCACGTGGAGTTCACAGAGACTTTCTGGTGATTTCAAATCAGAGGACCATCTGGCCCTGTTTTTGTATTTTTCCATCTCAGATCCAGCATACTTCAAAGCAAACATGAGACTCTCCTGGACTAATCCATTTTCAGAGAAGAAAATCACTCCCCAATTTGTATGCTGATGGATTAGAGAAAAATGTTGAAATGGCTGATGTCAAAGAAGTGATGGAGTTAAGGTGCTCCTAGCAACAGAAACTCACCCTGATGGAATGAAAACCATGCTTTTTAGGGTGCTGTGCTCCCACGGGTTCTAGCACACACAGCACTGGGCTTTCAACCCTCTGGGGAGCTCTGCTTTAACTGCCTGAATTAGACTTTTAAGATTAATTATATGACCTATCATCATTTCCAAAATGACAGACATGGCCCAATCATATCTGTGTGGTTGTGAAAATATACTTAGATTGTTTGCTGCAAGATTGTTTTTTGAGTGCTCCTGTGTTATATTTACTCCTCACTGCAATCATGAAGACAAGATATTATCCGCACTTAACAGATAAGAAGACTGAAGCTGAATCAGGCTAAGTCACATTTCCTAAGGTCATATAGAAAGTGGCAGAGCTAGCACAGAAGCCGTGGTTTTTCTGGCACCAAAGTCTAAGCTTTTGGCACCATATGAACTTCCTCTCATAAAGCAAAGAAACGGAGGTATTGACTATACGTTTTGAAAAGAAACACGGAAGACTTTTTACTTTTCTAAAATCCAAATGCCAGAGTGCTCCAGTTACCAGGATGTTTCATGCTTTCGTGAGAGCCAGAGAACAAGTCAGAAACTACCATCAGGGCTCTATTAAGAACAAAAGTGAAGTGGATTTAGGGTAAGTAGCAGTTTGGCCACACATTGTACCCACTGGCTTTATGTATTTGCTATCTAATGGAGTGGTGGTAGATGACTTGGGATACAGCAGCGTCTTGTATCATCAAAGAAAGGTTGAATACACAAAGGGAACTTTAGTATTAAATATATTTTATTCTAGTGGCAAAGGAAAAAGCTATATCCAGATATTAGTATTGTTTCTGTTTTTTTTTTTTTTTTTTTTTTTTTTTTTGAGATGGAGTCTCTCTCTGTTGCCCAGGCTGGAGAGTGCAGTGGTGTGATCTTGCCTCTGCAACCTCCGCCTTCTGGGGTTCAAGCGATTCTCCTGCCTCAGCCTCCCAAATAGCTGGGATTAGAGGCATGCGCACCACACCTGGCTAATATTTGTATTTTTAGTAGAGATGGGGTTTCACCATGTTGGCCAGGCTGGTCTCAAGTTCCTGACCTCAAGTGATCCTCCCGCCTCGGCCTCCCAAAGTGCTGGGATTACAGGCGTGAGACACTGTGCCTGGCTCAGATATTAGTATTAAACAGATGATGTCTCCCATAGTACAACTAATTCAGAAGCAGGAACACAAGCTAGGCAGTTCAATTTTTTCACTCTTTCTTCCTTCACTTATTCATTCACATATTCATATCACGTCTATGGAGTACCTTCAATAGTCATCACCCTGTAGGAACAGGAAAATAATTATTAGATTCATAATTCATAGGGACTGTGTAAATAGTTATTCATGTCAGATTTATATTAGGTCAATAATATTTTCTATTTAAAATGATTGCGGCTGGGCACAGTGGCGCACACCTGTAATCCCAGCACTTTGGGAGGGCAAGGGGGGTGGATGGCTGGAGCTCAGGAATTAAAGGCCTGCCTGGGAAAAATGGTGAAGCCCTGTCTCTACCAAAAATACAAAAAACGTAGCTGGTCATGGTGGTGCATGTCTGTTGTCCCAGCTACTTGAGAGGCTGAGGTGGGAGAATCTCTTGAACCCAGGAGTCAGAGGCAGCAGTGAGCTGAGATCATGACACTGAACTCCAGCTGAGGCAACGGAGTGAAACCAGGTCTCAAAATAAAATAAAATGACTGGAAAAAGTTACTTCATTAGCATGGCAAATACTTCCACAGGAGTATTTACCCAAGTCTGAGGCCTCATTGAATCATGGCCCAGCTTCTTTCTCAGGGAGTGGGGCCCTGTTTCTAAGGGAGTCTGAGCAAGAGCGCTGAGTGCAGTCATGGACATGTCCGTCCCTTTCTGATGTCCCTTTCCCCCATGAGCCATCTCGGACCACTCAGATGAATGATGGATGGTAGAACAACAAAGCAGAAATAATTCAGTTCTGTGGCCTGTGGAGTACCATCCTAGCCCAGGAATTTATGAGAGAAAGAATCAACTTCTATGTAGTTTAAGCCATTGTTACTTGAGTCTGTTACAGTTTCTGTTGCTGTAAGCACATTACACCTCCTCCTTAATTTATTTTTAAAAAGCAAACCTGGCTAGGCATGGTGGCTCATGCCTGTAATCCGAGCACTTTGGGAGGCTGAGGTGGGTGGATCATCTGAGGTCAGGAGTTTGAGACCAGCCTGGCCAACATGGCGAAACCACGTATCTACTAAAAATACAAAAATAAGCCAGGCGTGATGGCGCACGCCTGTATCCCAGCTACTCAGGAGGCTGAGGCAGGAGAATCGCTTGAACTGGGGAGGTGGAGGTTGCAGTGAGCTGAGATCAAACCACTGCACTCCAGCCTGGGAGACAGAGTGAGGCTCCGTCTCAACAACAACAACAAAAAAAGTGAACCTATCTTTCCATGGCAGAAGAATCACCTGCGTTTTCTGAGCATCCATGCCTTTTGAAGAAGAGTATGTATCTGCTTGTTCACTAACGGCGTTATGTCTCTCAAATGAGAAAGTTCTTTGTGTATGCTCAAGCACTTCACTTGCACATGCCATTGTTCTTAGGAGTAAAGTATGTTTTAGACATTCCTGAAAGCCAGATGTGCAATACCTTCTTTCTTTCTTTTTTTGTCTGTGGACACTAGATTTTGCTATGTTGCCCAGGGTGGTCTCAAACCCCTGGGCTCAAATAATCCTCCTGCTTCAGCCTCCTAAAGTGCTGGGATTACAAGTGTGAGGCACCATGGCTGGCCTCCTTCTTTCTTATAAATCCAGTCTTCTGTAGTCCTCCATCTGTGTTGCTTTCTTCACTATGGTAACCCAGGCAATTACTCTTCCCATCAATACTTGCCTGTCCTTTGAAAGTAGGAATATATATCTATATATCTATATCTATATATATATATATATTTTTTTTTTTTTTTAATAGTGACAGGGTCTTGCTCTGTGACCCAGGCATTATAGCTCACTGTAGCCTTGAACTCCTGGGCTCAAGCGATCCTCTGCCTCATCCTCCTGAGTAGCTGGAGCTACAGGCACACACACCCATGCCTGGCTAACTTTAAATTTTTTTTGTAGAGACAGTCTTGTCATTTTGCCCAGACCAGTCTCGAACTCCTGGCTTCAAGTGATCCTCCCGCCTCAGCCTCCCAAAGTGCTGGGATTACAGATGTGAACCACTGCACCTGGCCTACATTGGTGTTAACATACTTCAGCAGGCCAGTTTAGCAGTGTGTATCAAAAAGGAAAATGGGCACAACCTTTCACCCAGCAATCCCACTTTCAAGAACTTAAAGAGATAAATGAAGAGCTGTAGGCAGAAGGTTCTTCATTGTAACTTGTTCAAAATGACACCGAACTGAAATCAACCTTTTGAGAGACACTCCCGGCTGTCTTCCCAACATCCACTTCCCCCATTCCTGCTTTATAACAGACCCCTCAATCCACCCCACCATGTGCTTCAGGGGGACTAGCCTAGCTCCAGAGGGCAAGTCCTGATTGGTCCATGTCAGTATTTCTCAAAGATGGCACTGCTGGCATTGTGGACAGGATGATCCATTCTGTAGGCTGCCCCAGGTGTTGCAAGAGCTTGAGAATTTCAAGTCCCCTGGACACTGAATGCTACCAACAGCCTCCCAGGTCCAGATTTTCCTCCGTACACACATCTCGTGCACCCTGGAGAACTGTCTCCCCTGCAGGTGAGAACCTCTTGTCTGAGCCAGTCTTGGGTGAGAGTATGCCCCGTCTCCCTTACCAGTAATTCGCATAAGCATGGTGGTGTGACCTCATCCTGGCGAGTTAAGTAGGAGGGCCTCTGAGCAAGATATCCTAGCTTCAGTGGAAGGGCCAGGAAGAGATGGTCTGCTGTTCATCAGGACATTGTGTCTGGGTGGGGTGCCTAGAACAGCCACAGCCATCTCTCAGGCTTGTGGGGTGCCCGAGAAAAGCCAACATGCTGGGGTGACAGAGCAGAAAGAGGGAAAGAACTGGGTTCCTGATCTTGGTTAACTTTGGAGCTGCCTTGTCAGGTCAAATATATTTCTTCTTTCTCTTTTTCCTTTTTTTCTTCTCGTGGCACAAAGCACACAACATACAATTTACCATGTTAACCATTTTATGTGTGCAGTTCAGTAGTGTGAAGCATATTGACATTGTTGTGAAACAGATCTCCAGACCTTTTTAATCTTGCAAATCTGAAATTCTGTACCCATCAAACAACAATTCCCTTTCTCCACCCCCCAGCCGCTAGTAACCACCATTCATCTTTCTGTTTCTGTGAATTTGACTACTTCAGATATCTCATGTAAGTGGAATCATACAGTATTTGCCTTTTTTTGTGACTGACTTATTTCAAGTAGCATAGTGTCCTTAAGATTCATCCATATTGTAGCATTTGACAAGATTTCCTTCTTATTAAGGCTGGATAATATTCCACTGTATGGATATACTATATTTGTTTATCCATTCATTTGTCAACAGGCATTTGAGTTGCCTCCACCTCTTAATCATTACGAATAGTGCAGCTTTGAACATGGATGTTCAAATATTCTTTGAGAACCTACTTTCAATTCTTTTGCACATATACTCAGCAGTAGGATTGCTGGATTATATGGTTGCTGGGTTATTACTTCTATTTTTTATTTTTTGAGAAACCTCCATATTGTTTTCTATAGCAGCTGCACCATTTTACAGTCCTATCAATAGTGCACAAGGAGGGCTGGGCATGGTGGCTCACATCTGTAATCCCAGCACTTTGGGAGGCCGAGGTGGGTGGATCACAAGGTCAGGAGTTTGAGACCAGCCTGACCAACATGGTGAAACCCTGTCACTACTAAAAATACAAAAATTAGCCGGATGTGGTGGCGCGCGCCTGTAATTTCAGCTACTCAGCAGGCTGAGGCAGGAGAATCGCTTGAACCTGGGAGGCGGAGGTTGCAGTGAGCCAAGATTGTGCCGCTGCACTCCAGCCTGGGTGACAGAGCGAGACTCCATCTAAAAAAAAAAAAAAAAAAGTGCACAAAGGTTCCAATGAAATAACACATTTCTTTTTTTGAAATGGAGTCTCACTCTGTTGCTCAGGCTGGAGTGCAGTGGCATGATCTCGGCTCACTGCAAACTCCGCCTCCTGGGTTCACGCCATTCTCCTGCCTTAGCAGGGCATGGTGGCAGGCGCCTGTAGGCCCAGCTACTCGGAAATAACACATTTCTTAAAAGTTTGAGCCATTTTGAGTTCCATGCAACGAAAAAACATCCCAACTGATCCAGACCTAAATATTCGTCAATAGAAAAAATTGTTTAGGGGAATTACAATGCATATATTAGCTCTTAGCATCTGCACATCTATTAATAGAGAAATACTGTAAATCCATGATACACTGTTAAGCCAAAAAATTGGCTTCTCACACTTATTCCTTTGGCAATATTACCTGAGCCCCAGGTACTGTGTTAGATGCTGAGGATTCAGTGGTAAGCATGAGAGACACAGGTAGAAGAACACAGCTTACCAGGCAAATAGACTCATTGAAAGTAGCCAGAAGATTATGAGAGAAAACCCACAGGACAAACATGAGAAAAACAGGGAGCAGGAACACCTACTTTTCTTGGTGTGGACAGAGAAGGTCTATCTGAGGAGGTGGCATTGAAGCTGAATACCTAAAGGCAGGAGAGGAGTGTGTTGTACAAAGAGTGAATGAATGTAGAGGAACCTACCTGTTCCAGGTGGAGCAAGAGCAGATCCTAAAGTCCTGAGCTAGCAACCAAAGACTATTTGAGGAATTTAAAGGTGGTCAGAGTCTGGATTGTTAAGACTTTATATTCTAAGAGCATCACTTTCATCTGTGCCTGGAGAATGGATTGGAGAAGGACAAAGGGGAGGTAGGAAGACCAGTGAGGAAGGTGTGGTAGAAATCCAAGTGGGAAAGAATGGTGGAGCAGGATGCTGCAGGAGGGATGGAGAGAAGAGGGCACTTTGGGATAGGTTTTGGAGAGGGAGAAGATTTGCTGATGGACGAGATACTTAGGGAATGGGGAAGAGAGCAATCACAGGTTACTTCTGGCTCCAGTAAACAAGTGGAGCCACTTATTTAAGTGGGGATTTTCCAGGTGCGATGGCCCATGCCTGTAATCCCAGCACTTTGGGAGGCCACGGCAGGCGGATTACTTGAGGTGAGGAGTTTGAGAACAGCCTGGCCAACATGGTGAAACCCCATCTCTACTAAAAATACAAAAATTAGCTGGGCATGGTGGCAGCACCTGTAATCCCAGCTACTCAGAAGTCTGAGGCAGGAGAATCACTTGAGCCTGGAAGGTGGAGGTTGCAGTGAGCCAGAACGAGCCATTGCACTCCAGCCTGGGTGACAGAGCGAGACTCTGTCTCCAAAAAAAAAAAAAAAAAAAAAGGTATGACTCTTATGGTGGAGTATGAAGGGCTTCGGGGTTCATTGAACACCAACTGGTGAATTGCAGTTCAACTCTGGCAGGAATCACCTGGAGTTAGAACAGATCCTGCAAGTTTAAGGGTACGTTTCCCAAAAAGATTGCCCCTATTTCAGGTGCCAACCACACTTGGGTGTCCCCAAACCACTTGCACTTCAGACCAACTGGCTACACAGTCAGGAGTATCCATGACTCCCTAGGGTTGATAATGCACTAGAATCACTCATGGAACTGAGGAAAGTGCTGTAATTATCATTTATAGTTTTATTATAAATAATACAAATTAGGACCAGTCAAATGAGATATGTTAGGCAAGGTCTGCGAGAGTACCAAACACAGAGCCTCTGTGCTTTCTCCCTGCGGAATCAGGGCCATTACCCTCCCAGCACATCAATGTGTTCAGCAACCAGGAAGCTCAATGAAGCTTCAATGTCCAGAGTCTTTCCTGGGATTTCATCATGTAAGCATGACTGATTGAATCATTGGCCACAGGTTGAACTCAATCTCTGTCTTCTACCCCTCCCACAGGTTGGGCTGGCTCAGACATCCAGTCACTATTGGTCTTTCCAGTGACCAGCTCCCAATCTGAATTGTCTTGTTAGTAAACTCAGGAATAATCAAGGAGCTCATGAATAACAAAGATACTCCTGTCTCTTGAGAAATTCCAAGAATTTTTAAAGCTCCATGCCAGAAACCCAGAATTAACAAAGGCCAAAGTCTTTATTGTACCATAGGGGTGAACATTTTGAATTCCATTTTAAGTATGTTAACTTTTTTTTTTTTTTTTGAGACACAGGTTTACTTTGTCACCCAGGCTGGAGTGCAGTGGCAGTGATCCTGGCTCACTGCAACCTCCGCCTCTCGGTTTCAAGTGATTCCTGTGCCTCAGCCTCCCAAGTAGCTGGGATTATAGGTGCCCACCATCACGCCTGGCTAATTTTTGTATTTTTAGTAGAGATGGGGTTTCACCATGTTGGCCAGGCTGGTCTTGAACTCCTGACCTCAAGTGATCCACCTGCCTCAGCCTCCCAAAGTGCTGGAATTACAGGCGTGAACCACCACGACCAGCCCAATTTTCCCTTTTTTAGTCTTATTCTTTCAGGAGTGCACAATGGAGTTTTCCAGGGGCTCCGTGACATATAGTGACTTCATTGCTCTGATATTCATATGTAGGGGATTTATTATTGCTATTTTTAAATGCATTGATAAATCCATGTTAACTATTTCTCTTAGTTAAAAACAGTAAACATTTTTAGATATAATCCACCTAAACAAAAGCTATACTTTGTGCCCAATAATTTTTAAGAATGTAAAGGGATCCTGTGATCAAAATATTGAGACCTGCTGATTTTTCAAAAACTCAAATTTTACCAGTTGTTCCAATAATAAGCTTTTCCTTTTCTTGATTTTTCTGGCCAGGATACCACCCAGGTTAATTTAGTTTTCCTGTCTTTTTTTTTTTTTTTTTTTTTTTTGAGACAGAGTCTTGCTTTGTCACCCAGGCTGGAGTGCAGTGGCACGATATCGGCTCACCGTAACCTCCGCCTCCCGGGTTCAAGCAATTTTCTTGCCTCAGCCTCCCGAGTAGCTGGGATTACAGGCATGCGCTGCCATGCCTGGCTAATTTTTGTATTTTTAGTAGAGACGGGGTTTCACCATGTTGGCCAGGCAGGCCTCGAACTCCTGACCTCCAATGATCCGCCCACCTTGACCTCCCAAAGTGCTGGGATTACAGGTAGTTTTCCTGTCTTTTAAAAAGTCCACGGCTGGGCGCAGTGGCTCATGCCTGTAATCCCAGCACTTTGGGAGGCCAAAGCGGGCAGATCACCTGAGGTCGGGAGTTCGAGACCAGCCTGACCAACATGGAGAAATCTCATCTTTAATAAAAATACAAAATTAGCCGGGCGTGGCGGCGCATGCTTGTAATCCCAGCTACTCAGGAGGTTGAGGCAGAAGAATTGCTTGAACCCAGGAGGCAGAAGTTGTGGATAGCCAAGATCACACCATTGCACTTCAGCCTGGGCCACAAGAGCAAAACTGCATCTCAAAAAAAAAAAAAAAAAAAATCCTCCTTAATTCTCGGAATCCTACCTGGTTATTTTGTAGAATGTTCCTCAATTTATTTTTGTCCTATGTTTCATCATGATTGGATTCAGGTTATACATTATTTGGCAGAAATACCACAAGATTGATGTTGTGTCCTTCCCAGTGCAATATCAGGAGGCACATGATGTCTTGTTACTGGTTATGTTAACTTTGACAACGTTATTAAGGCAATTTAGTATTCAGTATTTAACAAACAAGCACACTAGTTTGTAGTCTTTTCTGGGCAAGTGAGGGTTTCTTCTCAATTTCAGTGCCTTTTCTACGCCCACCAATGCTATTAGTCACCTTTAAGGTGAAGACTGCTGAGATGGAATTATTTTTAGCAATGATAATAATTTGTTGGGGTAATAGTTGTACAGCCCTTTGCTGCCATCTAAGCACTTTTACGTGGTTTGGTTCATTTAAATCTAACAACCCAGTGAGGGGGCCAATTAGTAGCATTTATATTACATGAGAAATTAGAATTCTAGAATCACATACCTATTTATTATCATGACATGGCTAAGTCGAATTAATAGTGAGATAGGTAAATGGCTATTTTAGGCAGCAGATCCTTTTGTATGTGGTATCTGAAAAGCCACTGAGGCAGGAAGACAAGGAAGAAGAATTTGGGAGGATCTGCGTGCAGAGGAGTGGAAGAGGAAAGAGGAATACAATTAGAAATAGGATTCAGGCTGAATTTAAAGGCTTAGTGATGACGGGTTCTTAGGTTCGGGTATGTGGGAGAAAAAAACCAGCATAGAGACTACCTTCGGGGCAGAGTGGGTTCTGGGCACTGGGTAGGGGCTGGGCCCGGGATGGGGGGATCAAAGGGCTCTGGCGGGACCCAGATGTGGATGGGGCAGGGCCGAGCGTGGGGACTGGGCTTTTCAATGACGGGCGGGGTTACGGTTGGGCAGCAGGTGGGCGTGGCAGGCATAGGCGGAGTCAATCTATGAGTGGGTGGGCCTATCGCCAGGCCGAGAGTGGGCGTGGCCGACGTGGGGTGGGTAGCAGCCGACCGAGTCGGACCGGCCAGTTGGGCGCGCTTCCGGGTGTCACCTCCAGAGGGCGCCGGCTGCGGAGCCGCCCTCAGAGTCGCGAGGCCGGACGCAGCGCGGCGCCGCCCCACTCGCCCCAGCCGCCGCCATGAAGGCCGTGGTGCAGCGCGTCACCCGGGCCAGCGTCACAGGTCAGTCGGGCGGGGCCGGGCCCGGGAGGAGCCGCCCCTGACCCCCGCGACCGGCTGTCTTGCGTGGGGGGTCTTCCTGCGCCATCCTTGGGGCCGCTGCGGCCCCTCCGCGAGCCTGGTCCCCTTCGCGAGCTCGGTCCGCGCAGCCGCGAGTCCCCAGGGCCGGCTTCGGGGCAGCGCGGCGGCCGGAGAGCCCCCTGCACGTGCCCGACCGGCCCCGGCGCGCCCCTGGCTTCCGGCTCTCGGCAGAGGGTGCAGGACCAGCGCGCCTCATTCTCAGCACCTTTGTCCTGCGTGCGGGATGGCGGAGCCTCGGAGCATCTCCGTGGTCCGCTCTTCAGGGAGTGTTGATGAACCACGCTTAGAGCATTTCCGGAGCAGGCACTCCTCCCTTTTCACTGCTGTATTTTAAATGTTCAATTTTTGCCCATTTTTACGTATTCCAATTTTTATGGGGCTTGACTCAGGATGAAATGCACAGATGCGGAGAGTTGCTCCTTGGGCTGAGCTTTGACAGTTGCGTGCACGTACGTGACTGGAGCCTAGGCTGGATGAGGGGCGCCCCCTGCCCAGGACGCCCCTCGCCCTCGCCCGCTGAACTCTGCGCGGAGGGGTCGGGATCTAAAGAATTCAAGATGAAAACATTTCTCTTTTTCTTGTGGACCAAGCTACCCGACCCCTGGTCATCACTCAGCACTTTCGTCTCGGTTGGGCATCAGAGGTCCAGATGATTAGTGTAGAT
The DNA here is from genome assembly GCF_000001405.40 of Homo sapiens. NCBI lineage: Eukaryota > Metazoa > Chordata > Mammalia > Primates > Hominidae > Homo > Homo sapiens. Next base: position 18,588,858 of record NC_000020.11, read on the forward strand.
AAAGTAGTCGTTTTAAGAAAACCACGGTACGAAAGATATTTTTTAAAAAACATTTAAATGACAAGCTTTATATTGTCTTTAGTCTTTTCTGTCTTTATTGGCACAACTATATTGTTTCAGTTCAAATAATTTCAGATATCCTGTCCTTGGAGCCAGTCTGCACCAAATATGCGTTCTTGTGTCCACAAAAGTATGAATTAAAAACAAAACAGGCCGGGGGCTGTGGCTCACACCTGTAATCCCAGCTCTTTGGGAGGCCAAGGCGGGCAGATCACCTGAGGCCAGGAGTTCGAGACCAGCCTGGCCAACATAGAGAAACCCTATCTCTACTACAAATACAAAAATTAGCCGGGAGCGGTGGTTGGTGCCTATAATCCCAGCTACTCGGGAGGCTGAGGTAGGAGAATCGCTTGAACCCGGGAGGCAGAGGTTGCAGTGAGCCGAGATTGTGCCAGTAACCTCCAGCCTGGGCGACAGAGCGAGACTCTGTCTCAAAAAACAACAAACAAACAAAACCCCAAAACAAAAAACAAAACAAAACAAAAACAACAAAAAACCCTAAAGAAACAACCAAACCCACCAAAACCGTATATTTAAATCTAAGAGTCTATTTTTCAACCCCGCCTAATGATTTCTAAGCTGTTCTGGTAGCTTTGGTTTTGGAAATGGTCCTGGAATAATAGGGAATAGAGTAGCACTGGGATTTAGGAATTTTAAAGCTTTTATAACATTTCTGTAGATATTTAAATTCATGAAAACTGGGAAAATTCATAGATGAAAGATGTTTTGCATTATTGAGAAGAACCTTGCAGTCTGCTGCTGTGTGTGGTCGTCACTGACAGATTTAAATTTTGATCTCTCTCCTGAACTCTCCATCCTGCTAATCTGGAATATTGAAAATGTGTATTCTGTGAGATGTGCTGAATAAGAGTTTGGGTTATTTTGGTTCACTATTTAAGTTATATGCTTTCAGTTAAAACAACCAAACCTGCATATTAAAAAAGATAAGGGTGTTAATTATGGGAAAGTGTAAATAATTCGGGAATTCTGGGTTGGGGAACTGTGGAATTCTGTTAGAAGGGCCCTCCACTTATGCAGGCCTTCTAGTTGCATTGTAATGGAAAGGGATTTTCTGATTCCTTTAAAATGTGGCTGGTTTCACTGAAATGTGGCTGTGTTTGAATGGCATTTTATTTTAGGGGTTCTAAAATGTTAACTTCCTGTTTTATGGTCAGGACAGCATAGATTATCAGGAGTCACACATTTTATTTTATTTTAAAATAGTTGGTTGACTTCACATTTATTTTAAATTTATGCATTTATGGTTTGTTTGTTTTAGAGATGGGGTCTTGCTCTGTCACCCAGGCTGGAGTGCAGTGGCACTATTATAGCTTACTACAACCTCAAACGCTTGGGCTCAAGTGATCCTTTAGTTTCAGCATCCTGAGTAGTTAGACTACAGGCGTGTGCCGCCACCGCTATGTCCAGCTTAGGAGTCACACATTTTACTATGTGGTATATTCAATTTATGTGATTGGTCAAACACATTTTTTTTTATAGTAACCCTGTAATATCATTTGATGCCCAGTCCATCAGATTTCTCCAATTGGCTAATTGGTTTTGTTTTTGTTTTGAGAGAGTCTTGCTCTGTTGCCGAGGCTGGAGTACAGTGGTGCCATCTCTGATCACTGCAGCCTCTGCCTCCTGGGTTCAAGCGATTCTCATGCCTCTGTGTCCTGAGTAGCTGGTCTTACAGGTGCGCGCCACTGTGCCTGGCTAATTTTTTTGTATTTTTAGTGGAGACAGGGTTTTGCCATGTTGACTAGGCTGGTCTCAAATTCCTGGCCTCAAGTGATTTGCCTGCCTCGGCTTCCCAAAGTGCTGGGATTACAGGCATGAGCCACTGCACCCAGCTTGATCAAACACATTTTGATGCCTTAGGTTGGGTACTGTGATAATCTAATTTTTAAAAGTTTATTATGGCACATTTCAAACATATTAACAGACGGAATAGGGCAATAACCCCCATGTCCCATCATTCATTGTCAGCAGCTAAAATTTGATGTCTGTGAACAGTGTTGGAAGAGGATCTAAAATGTTTGGGTTTAACTAGGTTAACTTCAAAGGTTATGAATTCTTGAAGTAGAGATCTCAGGTCTGATGCCACTAGTAGGTAGAAAAATTGACCAAACATCTCAGTCTTTTCCAGCCCTTTGATCTTTTGTTCAAAGTGGTGATTCTCAGATTTTTTCCCTTGGTGATCCATTTACTTATAATAAAAAATCCTTTTGAATCTCCTAGTCCTTCTACTTGTCCCTGGAGGGGGGACAAAACTGCTCCAAAATAAGACAGCAGTCTCTGTGTCATATATAGACTTTGGGCCATAATTTGTTTCATGTTAAGATAATTATAAAACTGTCAAAATTCTTTGACAGTGATTCTAGAATCTAAGCAGATAATCCTAACTGTAGAAAAGGCTTTAGTGTACGAAGATTTTCACTACACTGTTATTTACTGAGGTGAAAATTTTGAAAGAAGCCATATGTCCAGCAAGATGGAATGGTTAATCAGTCTACTTGATGAGCTGAATCTATTAAAAGGTGTTTAGGAAAAGGTTATGACATGAAAAAATTCTTATGCAATATTATTATAAAAATTTATATGCAATGTTATTATAGTAGTTGAAAACAAATATGAATTAAAATGTATGAATAGATACAATATTAAAAGGAAATCATTAAAATATTAAAGTACTTACCTTTGTTCTTTTTTTCATGTTTCTCATATTTTCTAAAATATATAATCCTTACTTTGATGATAGATATAACTTCATGACCTTTATTTTTTAAAACATACTTTGGGAAAAATTTAGAAAGTATATCAATATTGTAAGAAAGTAATGTTGATTTATTCAAAGAACAAATAAAGCCAAAGGCTTTTTCTGAAGCAATGCAAATGAGCAAACCAACCCCCAATTGTTTACTGCCTATGTCAGGATAGATTATTTCTATTTCAGCTTTTGAGGCAGTGGCTCAAAGGACAATAAGTCACACACACATAGTTCATTATAAGAAAAGCAGCACAGAAGAAAAGATTTAAAAAATTTTAGCCTAAAAATAAAGAAATTAAGCATTACTGATATTTCAGGAATGGATTGATGTGCTCTGCTGGGATCTGAATAGCAGGTGGTCTCTTGCCATTGCAACTGAAGAAAGAGGGAAGTTTCTCACCCTTTCTTTAGCAGTGTATTGTAACATGACATAGTCTATGTTACTGTGTTAGTTATATTTATAGCTATTACCCTGCAGAAGCAAGCAAACAGCAAGAAAATGGCTGAGGTGACCCTTCTATTCCGATTAGCACATTAGGTCAGTACAAGATGAAGTAGTAAAATAACATAATCTAATAAGATTGGCAAATAATTGGCAAAAAATAGAAAATTTTCAAAAGCACCACTTGAAATACAGATTTAGCTGGGTATGATGGCGTGCATCCATAGTCCCAGCTACTCTGGAAGCTGAGGCAGGGAGGATTGCTTGAGCCCAGGGGTTCTGGGCTATAGTACACTATGCTGACCTGCTGTCATACCAAAGTTCTGCATCAATATGGTGAGTTCCCAGGACCAGAGGACCATCAGGAGGGATGGACCAACCTAGGTTGGACATAGAGCAGGTCAGAACTCCTGTGCTGATTAGTAGTGGAATTGCACCTGTGAATAGTCACTGCACTCCAGCTTGGACAACATAGAGAGATCCTGCCTCTTAAAAAGAAAAACAAATGAAAAAAAAAACAGGGATTCTCCATCATAAAGATGCATCTTTTTTTTTTTTTTTTGAGATGGAGAGTCACTCTTGTCACCCAGGCTGGAAGGCTGGAGTGCAATGGTGTGATCTTGGATCACTGCAATCTCCACCTTCTGGGTTCAAGCGATTCTCCTGCCTCAGCCTCCTGAGTAGCTGGGATTACAGGCGCCCGCCACCATGCCCGGCTAATTTTTGTATTTTTATTAGAGATGGGATTTCGCCATGTTGGCCAAGCTGGTCTCGAACTCCTGACGTCATATGACTGCCTGCCTCAGCCTCCCAAAGTGCTGGGATTACAGGCATAAACCACCATGCCCGGCCCATAATGATGCATCTTGCTACCATTTGAGGTATCGTCTAGTGGTAGTAGGGCATACATTTGGTTATAAATACATATACAAATGTTAGGAGTGTGTGCTTAGAGCCTTTTTTTTTTCAAATGGACAAGATGCATGATTGAAAAATATTTGGAGATCATTGGCTTAGAATGTAACCACAAAACTAAACTGGGAAATAATAGCAGTTTGGTGAGTTGAAGCTTAATACATAAATTGTGATTTTTATGTATTATGTATTTGTCCTCATAGTAAGTAGGAAAATCATTTATGATATGAACATTTTCCACTTTGTGCTTCCTGTATACTGTGTTACCATATTTTTTGATATTCTGCAAAAGGCAGGAATCTCTTTTCTGAGAATTAATATAGCTGAGCTGGCTTCTCTGGGGGAGGAAAACACAGTTCTGTTTTTATAGATGGGCAAACTTGACCATAGAAAATTTTGGGTGTCTTACCCAAGGTAACATAGATGAAATATGGCCCTAAGATCCTGCTTAATGGTTGTTCACTTTACAGCTCCCATTCATTCCAGAGATAAAATCAGAATGGATGGGAATTATTATCATCTCACTGCATTTATGTAACTCTTTTCATTTTCGAATACGTACTGACTTTAACCAAAGAAGTTATAAGAAGTATGTATGATGTTTAAAATACTCCTATGGTTACTTAAAAGTGCTTTATGACCTTGTTTGGTTCTGAGTTCTTCTCTCCCTTTTGGTTCCTTTCTAGTTGGAGGAGAGCAGATTAGTGCCATTGGAAGGGGCATATGTGTGTTGCTGGGTATTTCCCTGGAGGATACGCAGAAGGAACTGGAACACATGTAAGATGCATTTCTGTCATTGCTGTTTGAGTGGGCTATGTGGTGGTGGTCATGCTGGGAACTTCCATAGTACTTTGTGCCTGTGAGGTGAGCCCCTGTCACTTTTAACCATTGTCCCATTGGATGTAGTATGGTTATCTCCGTGTTTCAGAGAAGACCGAGGAAGAATGATTTAGGAGACCTCAACGCTAAGTCAGCCTTTGAGCAGGAGCACCGCCTGTCCCCTGTCTGTTTGCTACTGTGGCCTCAGAGCATGCCTCTTGTTCTCTTAACGCAAAAACCAAGCCTCTTTTCTTATGTTTGGTTTCTCTTTTTTAAATTGGGCAGTTATCTGGGCACTATGTATTTTTAGAATGTCTACTAGCTCGCTGTGCACATAGGGATCTAGAACTCAGAGAGGTTAAATTGCTTGCCCCAGATCATGCACACACACTTAGCAAAAAGCCTGAACCCCAGTTAGAGTCTGGGCTCCCTGACCTTGAAGCCAGTGATCTTTTTACTAAGGTGGTGGCGGGGGTTGAGGAGCAGGGGTTGCCATTGCTGCTGCCTGCCTGGCTCTCTGAGTTTATAGATGGGCAAACTCGACTATAGAAAGGTTTAGGTGTCTTAGCCAAGGCAGCACAGATGAAATATGGCCCTAAAATCCTGCTTAATGATTGTTCACTTTATAGCTCCCATTCATTCCAGACATAAAATCAGAATGTGCCCTCTGTGCACCTCCTCCCCTCCATTACCACGGGGCACATTTACTTTAGATGCTGGATCCATTTATTCTGCCCCTTGGTGCTCAGAGCTTGGGTATAACCCTGCCCAACTGATTCTTTTGTGTTAGATTGAAAATCAGACTTGAAACTGAATTCCTGCTAAGGTGTTGATGATGGATAACTATCATTCAATACTATTTCAGTGATGGTGGTATTTTAGTAGCTGTCCTCTGGATACTCAAAGAAGTGGTAGAGTGGTGTAATGGCTAAAAACTGAGGCTGTGGGTTTGAATGTCTTTATGGCTCTGACATACTACAGAGCTAATACTTAGCCTGGTGCTTAAGAGATGTGATTCAACATAAGACAAATCTTGGCTGTGGAGAGGGGGTAATGAGTAGCACCTGTCCCTGAGGGTGCCCATATTAAGAGTCAGTTAATTAGTATTTATAGAGTCTTTGAAACTGTCATCTACTTAACATCATCCAGAAGGGTGGCTCTCAAATGGTGAGATTTCAGCTTTCATGCTGGTGGTTCTCTGCTGTGCTTCTCAAATCTGACCCTATAGATGTCACCTGGTCAACTTTCTTGCCATGGTGACTATCCTTCTTCACATGTATAGGGAAAGCCCCTCTGGGGCTTAAGGAGCTTGTGACATAGTTTTCAAGGTGTCTTTCTCCAGATCTTTTTGCATATTTGCAATAACCATGATTTTTCTCTCAGTGTATTTGCTGAATTGTTCTTTCTTTTTTTTTTCTTTTGAGACAGAGTCTCCCTCTGTCACCCAGGCTGGAGTGCAGTGGTGCAATCTTAGCTTACTGCAATCTCTGCCTCCCTGGTTCAAGCGATTTTTGTGCCTAAGCCTCCTGAGTAGCTGGGATTAAAGGCGCCCGCCACCATGCCTGGCTAACTTTTGTAGTTTTAGTAGTAGAGATGGGGTTTCTCTATGTTGGCTAGGCTGGTCTTGAACTCCTGAACTCAGGTGATCCACCCACTGTGGCCTCCCAAAGTACTGGGATTTCAGGCATGAGCCACCGTTCTCAGCCGAATTGTTCATTTTGAGTAGCTCCAAGAAGGGGTTTAAAAATGGATGTCATTTATCCTAACATGATGAATTCGTTCATGAAAAATTACAATTGGACCCATGTTTTGACATATCCCCGACCTAAAGGAGCAGAGAATAGGTGGTTGTCATCTTAGCCCCAGTTCTCACCAGTAGCTGCTATGAACTGGAGCGACTGGCAAAAAAGAAGCAATCTCAAAACAACCGTGTGAGGTAGAACTGTTATTATTCTGTATCGCAGCTGAGGACACTGAAGCACAGGGTGGATAAGTGACTTGCCTGAGGTCATGCCTCCTGTCAGGGATGGAGTCATCATTATGTCCTTATTTGACCGGAAGCTGGTGACATTTTTGGGGTATGGAGTGTGTTGGGGGGCTTGTGATCTCTCAGGTAGCTCTCACTGCTCTTTTTCCCCTTAGGGTCCGAAAGATTCTAAACCTGCGTGTATTTGAGGATGAGAGTGGGAAGCACTGGTCGAAGAGTGTGATGGACAAACAGTACGAGATTCTGTGTGTCAGCCAGTTTACCCTCCAGTGTGTCCTGAAGGGAAACAAGCCTGATTTCCACCTAGCAATGCCCACGGAGCAGGCAGAGGGCTTCTACAACAGCTTCCTGGAGCAGCTGCGTAAAACATACAGGCCGGAGCTTATCAAAGGTAAGCAGGAGAGCCACATCCAGGAACGGGTCTTTGGGACACTCCTGGATGGAGAGAAAAAAGAAGCTGCAACTGCAGCATCTCCTTTTCTGGAAAGTCATTGTTTATGCTTGTTACTTACTTAGAACCACATACTAGCTGCTGCTATTGCTGCTGTTGTACTTAACACATGTCCTCAGAATGCTTCTGCTGGCATTTGCCCTCCTCCCTTCTTCTGTTCACATTTTGAAAATGTTTGGGAACCCAGAGGTGTGGCTAATACAGTGGTATTTCTTTGATTGTTTAGCTTAGCCCTGTCCAATAGAAGTATAGTGCAAGCCTCAAATGTGAGCCAAATATGTCATTTTAAGTTCTTGTAGCCATATTTAAAAAAATAAAAAGAAATAGGTGAAATTAATTTAAAAAATATATTTTATTTAACTGAATATATTCAAAATATGATTTTACTATGTAGTCGTTATAAACAATGATGAGGTAGTTTACATTCTCTTTTTTTTTTTTCTAAATAAAGGCTTTATTTGATTAGAGCAGTTTTAGGTTCACAGTAAAATTGAGAGGATGGTACAGAGATATTCCATATATCTCTGCCCCCGCATGCATAGGCTCACTCATTATCAACATCCACCACTAGAGTGGTGCATTTGTTACAACTGATGAACCTAAGTTCATTGTTGGATTATAACTGTTGTTCATGGCACATCATTATCACCCACAGTCTCCTGTTGGCACTAGGGTTCACTCTAATATTCTCTGGGTTTGGGCAAATTTATAATGACATGTGTCTACCATTACAGTATCATACAGAATATTTTTTATTTTATTTTTATGATTTTGTTTCTTTTTCTGTTCTGGCTTCTCAATAAGCTTTTTTGACCTAGTCTCATAGACTCTCTCTTTTAGTAGATGAGAGAAAGTGTGTGTGTGTGTGTGTGTGTGTGTGTGTGTGTGTGTGTGTGTGTATAGAGAGAAGGAGCTATAGATGGTGTTTTTGTTCTCCTAATGGTTATTTCTAAGTTTTTAACATTCATGAATAGTTACAAAAATTTCTATCAAAATTTATAAGGATCTTAGTATATTTGAACATCCCCTTTTCCTTTCTAGTTCCACTTTTTAAAATGACTTTATTAAGATATAATACACATACTGTACAATTCACCTATTTAAAGTGTACAAGTCAATTTTTTTAGTTAAGAGTTGTGCAACCATTGCCACAATCTAATTTTATAACACTTTTGTCCCACTTAAAAGAAATCCTGTACTCATCAACAGTACTAGCCTACTCCCACTCTCTTCTTTGTTGCCCCAGTCCTAGGCAGCCATTAATCTACTTTCCGTCTCTTTAGATTTGTCTATTCTGAACATTTTATGTAAATGGAATTATATAATGTGTGGTTTTGTTCCTGGCTTCTTTCACTTAGCATAATGTTTTCAAGGTTCATCCATGTTGCCACTTTTCTTTTCATCATAATCATAATCACTTTTAATCATAATTTATTTATAATCTGTAACTGGCTGTATTTGATAATATATTTTATCAATTTCTGTGGTCACCAACCTGTCTTGCTTCCTTCTTTGGGCTCTTCTTTCTGAAGTACATTCTATGATATATCAGTTGTTTACTAAGAATGTGTTAGTGGAACATAGTCATTGTAGGTTTTAAAATGTTTTTATTTTGCCTTAATTCTTTATGATTGCTTAGCTGGGCATGGAATCCTAGCTTGACAGTTCTTTTCTCCCAACATTTTGTCTTTTTTTGTAAAAAAATTATTAGTATACTTTAAGTTCTGGGGTACATGTGCAGAACGTGCAGTTTTGTTACATAGGTATACATGTGCCATAGTGGTTTGCTGCATCCATCCACCCGTCACCTACATTAGTTATTTCTCCTAATGCTATCCCTCCCCTAGCCCCCCACCCCTCAACAGGTCCCGGTGTGTCCATGTGTTCTCCTTATTCAACTCCCACTTATAAGTAAGAACATGTGGCGTTTGGTTTTCTGTTCTTGTGATGGTTTGCTGAGAATGATGGTTTCCAGCTTCATCCATGTCCCTGCAAAGGACGTGAACTCATCCTTTTTTATGGCTCATTGTATTCCATGGTGTGTAGGTGCCACGTTTTCTTTATCCAGTCTATCACTGATGGACATTTGGGTTGGTTCCAAGTCTTTGCTATTGTAAAAAGTGCTGCAATAAACATACGTGTGCATGTGTCTTTATAGTAGAATGATTTATAGTCCTTTGGGTGTATACTCAGTAACAGTAATTTTTTTTTTTTGAGATGGAGTCTTGCTCTGTTGCCCAGACTGGAGCACAGTGGCACAATCTTGGCTCACTGCAAGCTCTGCCTCCCGGGCTCATGCCATTCTCCTGCCTCAGCCTCCCGAGTAGCTGGGACTACAGACACCAGCCACCACACCCGGCTAATTTTTTTTTGTATTTTTTTTTTTTTTAGTAGAGATGGGGTTTTACCATGTTAGCTAGGATGGTCTCGATCTCCTGACCTCGTGATCTGCCTGTCTTGGCCTCCCAAAGTGCTGGGATTACAGGTGTGAGCCACCGCGCCCGGCCAGTAATGGTAATTTTTAGTGCCCTAAAAATCCTCTGTGCTCTGGCTATTCATCCGTCTCTCTTCCCTAACTCCTGTCAACCACTGATCTTTTTACTGCCTCCATAGTTTTACCTTTTTTAGAATGTCATATATTTGGAATAATACAGTGTGTAGCCTTTTCTGATTGGCTTCTTTGACTTAGTAGTATGCATTTAACGTTTCTCTTTTCATGGCTTAATAGCTCATTTTGTATTAGCACTGAATAATGTTCTATAGTCTGGAGATACCACAGTTTATTTATTCACTTACTGAAGGATATCTTGATTGTTTCCAAGTTTAGGCAGTTATGAATAAAGCTGCTATAAACATCTATGTTTTCTTATTTTTTATGTATTTTATTTTTTGAGATGGAGTTTTGCTCTGTTGCCCAGGCTGGAGTGCAGTGGTGTGATCTCGGCTCACTGCAACCTCTGACTCACGGGTTCAAGCGATTCTCCTGCCTCAGCCTTCCGAGTAGCTGGGATTACAGGTGCGTGCCACCACACCTGGCTAATTTTTGTATTTGTAGTAGAGATGGGGTTTTGGCATGTTGGCCAGGCTGGTCTCAAACTCCTGACCTCAGGTAATCCGCCCACATCAGCCTCCCAAAGTGCTGGGATTACAGGTGTGAGCCACCATGCCTGGCCAAACATCTGTGTTTATAGCAGGTTTTGTATGTATATAAGTTTTCAGCTCTTTTGTGCAAATACCAAGAAATGCAATTGCTGGACTTAATAAGAGTATGTTTAGTTTGTTAAGAAGCTGCCAAACTGTCTTGCAAAGTGGCTGGATCATTTTGCATTCCCACCAGCAATGAACGAGAGTTCCTGTGGCTCCCCATTCTTGCTAATATTTGGTGTTGTAATTGTTTTGGATTTTGGCCATTCTAATAGGTATGTAGAGGTACCTCATTTTAATTTGCATTTACCTGATGACATATGATATGGAACATTTTTTCATATGCTTATTTACTATCTGTATATCATCTTTGGTGAGGTATCTGTTAAGGTCTTTGGCCCATTTTAAAAAATTGGATTGTTTTCTTACTGTGTTTTAAGAGTTCTTTTTATATTTTGGATACTAGTCCTTTATCAGATATGTCTTTTGCAAATATTCAACTTGCAAATATTTATCCTTTATCAGATATGTCTTCTGTGAATATTCAATTTACAAATATTTATCCTTATAGGATATTTCTTTTGTAAATATTTTTTCTCAATCTGTGGCTTGTCTTTTCATTCTCTTGACAGTGCCTTTCATGGAGAGGAAAATTTTAATTTTAATAAAGCTTAGCTTATCAATTCTTATTTTCATAGATTGTGCCTTTGGTATTATATCTAAAAAGTCATCATCCTACCCAACATAATCTAGATTTTTTCCTGTTATCTTCTAGGAGCTTTATAGGTTTGCATTTTACATTTAGGCCTATGATTCATTTCAGATAATTTTTGTGAAGGGTCTGTGGTCTTTGTCTAGAGGCGCTTTTTTGTATGTGGATATCCAGTTATTCCAACATCATTTGTTGAAAAGACCCCTTGCTCCATTGTATTGCCTTTGCTCCTTTGTCAAAGATCAATTCACTGTATTTATCAGGGTCGAATTCTGGGCTCTCTGTTCTGTTCCATTGGTCTGTTTCTCTCTTCTTTCATTGATACCACACTGTCTTATTTATTGTAGCTTTATTATAAGTATTGAAGTCGTATAGTGTCAGCCCGTTAACTTTGTTCTTCTCTTTTAATATTTTTTTGACCATTCTGGGTCTTTTGCTTCCCCATGTAAACTTTAGAATCAGTTTGTTGATATCTGCAAAATAACTTGCTGGATTTAGATTGGGATTGCATTGAGTCTGTAGATGAAGTTGGGAAGAACTGACACCTTGACTATATTGAATCTCCCTGTCTATGAACATGGAATATCTCTCCATTTCTTTAGTGCTCTGACTTCTTTAATCACTTCTTTAATTTTTCTCATATAGATATTCTAATTTTTTTTAAGATTTATACCTAAGTGTTTCATTCTGAGGGGTGCTAATGTAAATGGTATTGTGTTTTTAATCTCAAATTCCACTTGTTCATTGCTGGTATATAGGAAAGTGATTGACTTTTGTATCCTGCAGTCTTGCTGTAATCACTGCCTGGTTTCAGTTTTTTGATTTTCTTCTTGGATGATCATGTCATCTGCAAACAAAGACAGTTTTATTTTTCTTTTTATTTCTTGCCTTATTTCATTAGCTAGGACTTCCAGTCCGGTGTTGGAAAGAGTGGTGAGTGGGGATATCCTTGGCTTATTTCTGCTCTTAGTGGGAAAGCTTCTAGTTTCCCACTGTTAAGTATGACGTTTGCTGTAGGTTTTTTGAAGATACTGTTTATCAAGTTGAAGATGTTCTCCCCGGCCAGGCGTCGTGCTTCACGCCTGTAATCCCAGCGCTTTGGGAAGCCGAGGAGGTCAGATCATTTGAAGTCAGGAGTTTGAGACCAGCCTGGGCAACATGGGAAACCCAATTTCTATGAAAAATACAAAAATTAGCCAGGTGTGGTAGCACGCACCTGTAATCCCAGTTACTTGGGAGGCTGAGGCAGGAGTATCGCTTGAACGTGGGAGGCGCAGGTTGCAGTGAGCCGAGATTACGCCACTGTACTCCAGCTTGGATGACAGAGCGGGACTCTGTCTCAAAAAAAAAAAAAAAAAAAAAAGCAGTCTGACAGCTTTGAAGAGAGCAGTGGGTCTCCCAGCACGCAGCTGGAGATCTGAGAACCGGCAGACTGCCTCCTCAAGTGGGTCCCTGACCCCTGACCCCCGAGCAGCCTAACTGGGAGGCACCCCCCAGCAGGGGCACACTGACACCTCACACGGCAGGGTATTCCAACAGACCTGCAGCTGAGGGTCCTGTCTGTTAGAAGAAAAACTAACAAACAGAAAGGACATCCACACCGAAAACCCATCTGTACATCACCATCATCAAAGACCAAAAGTAGATAAAACCGCAAAGATGGGGAAAAAACAGAACAGAAAAACTGGAAACTCTAAAACGCAGAGCGCCTCTCCTCCTCCAAAGGAACGCAGTTCCTCACCAGCAATGGAACAAAGCTGGATGGAGAATGACTTTGACGAGCTGAGAGAAGAAGGCTTCAGACGATCAAATTACTCTGAGCTACGGGAGGACATTCAAACCAAAGGCAAAGAAGTTGAAAACTTTGAAAAAAATTTAGAAGAATGTATAACTAGAATAACCAATACAGAGAAGTGCTTAAAGGAGCTGATGGAGCTGAAAACCAAGGCTTGAGAACTACGTGAAGAATGCAGAAGCCTCAGGAGCCGATGCGATCAACTAGAAGAAAGGGTATCAGCAATGGAAGATGAAATGAATGAAATGAAGCGAGAAGGGAAGTTTAGAGAAAAAAGAATAAAAAGAAATGAGCAAAGCCTCCAAGAAATATGGGACTATGTGAAAAGACCAAATCTACGTCTGATTGGTGTACCTGAAAGTGATGGGGAGAATGGAACCAAGTTGGAAAACACTCTGCAGGATATTATCCAGGAGAACTTCCCCAATCTAGCAAGGCAGGCCAACGTTCAGATTCAGGAAATACAGAGAATGCCACAAAGATACTCCTCAAGAAGAGCAACTCCAAGACACATAATTGTCAGATTCACCAAAGTTGAAATGAAGGAAAAAATGTTAAGGGCAGCCAGAGAGAAAGGTCGGGTTACCCTCAAAGGGAAGCCCATCAGACTAACAGCGGATCTCTCGGCAGAAACCCTACAAGCCAGAAGAGAGTGGGGGCCAATATTCAACATTCTTAAAGAAAAGAATTTTCAACCCAGAATTTCATATCCAGCCAAACTAAGCTTCATAAGTGAAGGAGAAATAAAATACTTTACAGACAAGCAAATGCTGAGAGATTTTGTCACCACCAGGCCTGCCCTAAAAGAGCTCCTGAAGGAAGCGCTAAACATGGAAAGGAACAACTGGTACCAGCCGCTGCAAAATCATGCCAAAATGTAAAGACCATCGAGACTAGGAAGAAACTGCATCAACTAATGAGCAAAATCACCAGCTGACATCATAATGACAGGATCAAATTCACACATAACAATATTAACTTTAAATGTAAATGGACTAAATTCTCCAATTAAAAGACACAGACTGGCAAATTGGATAAAGAGTCAAGACCCATCAGTGTGCTGTATTCAGGAAACCCATCTCATGTGCAGAGACACACATAGGCTCAAAATAAAAGGATGGAGGAAGATCTACCAAGCAAATGGAAAACAAAAAAGGCAGGGGTTGCAATCCTAGTCTCTGATAAAACAGACTTTAAACCAACAAAGATCAAAAGAGACAAAGAAGGCCATTACATAATGGTAAAGGGATCAATTCAACAAGAAGAGCTAACTATCCTAAATATATATGCACCCAATACAGGAGCACCAAGATTCATGAAGCAAGTCCTGAGTGACCTACAAAGAGACTTAGACTCCCACACATTAATAATGGGAGACTTTAACACCCCACTGTCAACATTAGACAGATCAACGAGACAGAAAGTCAACAAGGATACCCAGGAATTGAACTCAGCTCTGCACCAAGCAGACCTAATAGACATCTACAGAACTCTCCACCCCAAATCAACAGAATATACATTTTTTTCAGCACCACACCACACCTATTCCAAAATTGACCACATAGTTGGAAGTAAAGCTCTCCTCAGCAAATGTAAAAGAACAGAAATTATAACAAACTATCTCTCAGACCACAGTGCAATCAAACTAGAACTCAGGATTAAGAATCTCACTCAAAGCCGCTCAACTACATGGAAACTGAACAACCTGCTCCTGAGTGACTACCGGGTACATAACGAAATGAAGGCAGAAATAAAGACGTTCTTTGAAACCAACGAGAACAAAGACACAATATACCAGAATCTCTGGGACGCATTCAAAGCAGTGTGTAGAGGGAAATTTATAGCACTAAATGCCCACAAGAGAAAGCAGGAAAGATCCAAAATTGACACCCTAACATCACAATTAAAAGAACTAGAAAAGCAAGAGCAAACACATTCAAAAGCTAGCAGAAGGCAAGAAATAACTAAAATCAGAGCAGAACTGAAGGAAATAGAGACACAAAAAACCCTTCAAAAAATCAATGAATCCAGGAGCTGGTTTTTTGAAAGGATCAACAAAATTGATAGACCGCTAGCAAGACTAATAAAGAAAAAAAGAGAGAAGACTCAAATAGACACAATAAAAAATGATAAAGGGGATATCACCACCGATCCCACAGAAATACAAACTACCATCAGAGAATACTACAAACACCTCTACGCAAATAAACTAGAAAATCTAGAAGAAATGGATACATTCCTCGACACATACACTCTCCCAAGACTAAACCAGGAAGAAGTTGAATCTCTGAATAGACCAATAACAGGAGCTGAAATTGTGGCAATAATCAATAGTTTACCAACCAAAAAGAGTCCAGGACCAGATGGATTCACAGCCGAATTCTACCAGAGGTACAAGGAGGAACTGGTACCATTCCTTCTGAAACTATTCCAATCAATAGAAAAAGAGGGAATCCTCCCTAACTCATTTTATGAGGCCAGCATCATTCTGATACCAAAGCCGGGCAGAGACACAACCAAAAAAGAGAATTTTAGACCAATATCCTTGATGAATATTGATGCAAAAATCCTCAATAAAATACTGGCAAACCGAATCCAGCAGCACATCAAAAAGCTTATCCACCATGATCAAGTGGGCTTCATCCCTGGGATGCAAGGCTGGTTCAATATACGCAAATCAATAAATGTAATCCAGCATATAAACAGAGCCAAAGACAAAAACCACATGATTATCTCAATAGATGCAGAAAAAGCCTTTGACAAAATTCAACAACCCTTCATGCTAAAAACTCTCAATAAATTAGGTATTGATGGGACGTATTTCAAAATAATAAGAGCTATCTATGACAAACCCACAGCCAATATCATACTGAATGGGCAAAAACTGGAAGCATTCCCTTTGAAAACTGGCACAAGACAGGGATGCCCTCTCTCACCACTCCTATTCAACATAGTGTTGGAAGTTCTGGCCAGGGCAATTAGGCAGGAGAAGGAAATAAAGGGTATTCAATTAGGAAAAGAGGAAGTCAAATTGTCCTTGTTTGCAGATGACATGATTGTATATCTAGAAAACCCCATTGTCTCAGCCCAAAATCTCCTTAAGCTGATAAGCAACTTCAGCAAAGTCTCAGGATACAAAATCAATGTGCAAAAATCACAACCATTCTTATACACCAACAACAGACAAACAGAGAGCCAAATCATGAGTGAACTCCCATTCACAATTGCTTCAAAGAGAATAAAATACCTAGGAATCCAACTTACAAGGGATGTGAAGGACCTCTTCAAGGAGAACTACAAACCACTGCTCAAGGAAATAAAAGAGGATACAAACAAATGGAAGAACATTCCATGCTCATGGGTAGGAAGAATCAATATCGTGAAAATGGCCATACTGCCCAAGGTAATTTACAGATTCAATGCCATCCCCATCAAGCTACCAATGACTTTCTTCACAGAATTGGAAAAAACTACTTTAAAGTTCATATGGAACCAAAAAAGAGCCCGCATCGCCAAGTCAATCCTAAGCCAAAAGAACAAAGCTGGAGGCATCACACTACCTGACTTCAAACTATACTACAAGGCTACAGTAACCAAAACAGCATGGTACTGGTACCAAAACAGAGATATAGATCAATGGAACAGAACAGAGCCCTCAGAAATAACGCCGCCTACCTACAACTATCTGATCTTTGACAAACCTGAGAAAAACAAGCAATGGGGAAAGGATTCCCTATTTAATAAATGGTGCTGGGAAAACTGGCTAGCCATATGTAGAAAGCTGAAACTGGATCCCTTCCTTACACCTTATACAAAAATCAATTCAAGATGGATTAAAGATTTAAACGTTAGACCTAAAACCATAAAAACCCTAGAAGAAAACCTAGGCATTACCATTCAGGACATAGGCATGGACAAGGACTTCATGTCCAAAACACCAAAAGCAATGGCAACAAAAGACAAAATTGACAAATGGGATCTAATTAAACTAAAGTGCTTCTGCACAGCAAAAGAAACTACCATCAGAGTGAACAGGCAACCTACAAAATGGGAGAAAATTTTCGCAACCTACTCATCTGACAAAGGGCTAATATCCAGAATCTACAATGAACTCAAACAAATTTACAAGAAAAAAACAAACAACCCCATCAAAAAGTGGGCGAAGGACATGAACAGACAATTCTCAAAAGAAGACATTTATGCAGCCAAAAAACACATGAAAAAATGCTCATCATCACTAGCCATCAGAGAAATGCAAATCAAAACCACTATGAGATACCATCTCACACCAGTTAGAATGGCAATCATTAAAAAGTCAGGAAACAACAGGTGCTGGAGAGGATGTGGAGAAATAGGAACACTTTTACACTGTTGGTGGGAGTGTAAACTAGTTCAACCGTTGTGGAAGTCAGTGTGGCGATTCCTCAGGGATCTAGAACTAGAAATACCATTTGACCCGGCCATCCCATTACTGGGTATATACCCAAAGGACTATAAATCATGCTGCTATAAAGACACATGCACACGTATGTTTATTGCGGCATTATTCACAATAGCAAAGACTTGGCACCAACCCAAATGTCCAACAATGATAGACTGGATTAAGAAAATGTGGCACATATATACCATGGAATACTATGCAGCCATAAAAAAGGATGAGTTCATGTCCTTTGTAGGGACATGGATGAAATTGGAAATCATCATTCTCAGTAAACTATCGCAAGAACAAAAAACCAAACACCGCATGTTCTCACTCATAGGTGGGAATTGAACAGTGAGATCACATGGACACAGGAAGGGGAATATCACACTCTGGGGACTGTGGTGGGGGGGGGGAGGGGGGAGGGATAGCATTGGAAGATATACCTAATGCTAGATGACGAGTTAGTGGGTGTAGCGCACCAGCATGGCACATGTATACATATGTAACTAACCTGCACAATGTGCACATGTACCCTAAAACTTAAAGTATAATAAAAAAAAAAAAGCCATTCCTAGTTTACTGAGAGTTTCTATCATGACTGGATATTAAAGTTCATCACATGCTTTTTCTGTGTTTATGGATGTGAAGATGTGATTTTTCTTCTTTAGCTTGATTGATTAATTGATTTTTGAGTTGAACCAGCTTTGCATACCTGGGATAAATCCCACTTGATCATGGTGTATAATTCTTTTTATACATTGTTGGATTCTATTTGCTATTTTGTTGAGGATTTTTGTGTCTGTATTAATGAGAGGTATTGGACTGTTGTCCAGGCTGGAGTGCAGTGGTGCAATCTTGGCTCTGCAACCTCTGCCTTCCGGGTTCAAACGATTCTCATACCTCAGCCTCCTGAGTAGCTGGGATCCAGGTGTGTGCCACCACACCTGGCTAATTTTTGTATTTTTAATAGAGACGGGGTTTCACCATGTTCGCCAGGCTGGTTTCGAATTCCTGACTTCAAGTGATCTACATGTCTAGGCCCCAAAGTGCTGGGATTACAGGCATGAGCCACTGCGCCCGGCTCTTGTAATTTCTTTATCTGGTTTCGGTATTAGGGTAGATTCTGGCCCCATAGAATGAGTTGGGAAGTACCCCCACTGCTTCTATCTTCTGAAAGAGATAGATTGTAGAGAATTGGTATAATTTATTCCTTAAATGTTTGATAGAATTCACCAATGACCCCATCTAGGCCTGGTGTTTCTTTTTGAAAGGTTATTAAATATTGCTTCAGTTTCCTCAATGGATATAGGTCTATCCAAATTGTCTTTTTCTTCTTCTTTCTTTCTTTTTTTTTTTGAGATAGAGTCTCGCTTGGTCACTCAGGCTGGAGTGCAGTGACACGATCTCAGCTCACTGCACCCTCTGCCTCCCAGGTTCAAGCGATTCTCCTGTCTCAGCCTTTTGAGTAGCTGGGATTACAGGTGCATGCCACCATGCCCAGCTAATTTTTGTATTTTTAGTAGAGAAGGGGTTTCACCATGTTGGCTGGGCTGGTCTCAAACTCCTGACCTCAGGTGATGCACCTGCCTCAGCCTCTCAAAGTGCTGGGATTATAGGCGTTAGCCACTGCACCCAGCCTGTCTATTTCTTCTTGTGAGAGTTTTGGCAGATTGTACCTTTCAAGAAATTGGTCTTTTCTTAATTTCTTTTTTTTTTCTTTGGGAACCCTGAGAAACTAAGGGAATTGGTCTTTTTGTCTAAGTGATCAGATTTGTGGATATAGAGTTGTTCGTGGTATCCCCTTACCCTCTTTTTAATGTCCATGGACTCTATAGTGATGTCCTCTGTTTCATTTTCGATATTGGTGATTTGTGTCCTCTTTTTTTTTTCTTAGTTATCCTTTCTAGAAGCTTATTGACTTTATTGTTTCAAAGAGCCAGCTTTTGGTTTGATTTTCTCTACTGGTTTCCTATTGTCAATTGATTTGTGCTCTATTTTTTTTTTTTAAAAAGTTTATATGCTAATCTTCTCTGTATTGTTCCAATTTTAGTATATGTGCTGCTGAAGCAAGCACTCTGCTCTAATTTTTGTTATTGCTTTTCTTCTGCTTACTCTGCATTTAATTGCTCTTGTTTTTCTAGTTTCCTATGAAAGAAACTTAGATTATTGATTTTAGTTCTTTCTTCTTTTCTAATAAACACATTTAGTGCTATAAGTTTCTCTTTTCCCCACTTTTGTGCTAAGAATTTTGTAATAAGTCTTCAAAACTTTGTGTGTAGTTTATACTTAACAATTCGGACCAGCCACATTTCAGGTGCCCAATGGCCGTGTATAGGCCATGGCTGTCATATTGGATAATGTAGATTTAGGTCTCTGCTTACCTGTTTATTCTTGGGTGTGCCAACCTAGTTCGACTAATCAAGACTTAGCTAGAAAATGTCTTAGAATAATGGTCCTGGTTTTCAGGAGAACTGTGATTCTGTGAAGACTTTAAGGGCGTCATTCATTTCTAGTTTCTTTTCATGTTTCTGGGGATAAATTGCACTAAATATCATCATATTTTACCCTTTTCTTCAAGGTTACTGGAAAACACATTCATAGGTCTTCATGGAGAAATACATAAGAAAAAAATTTTTTTTTTAAATTAGAAAACATAGCCTCCTTTGTTAATGCATTTCATTTTGAGCCCTTCCTAAGTAGAATGTGTTTTTCAATGTTGAACTGCAGTATCTGTTGCTCTAGTTACACCCTTTTGTAGACAGTTATTAACTTTATTTTTTTTTTTGACAGGGTCTCACTCTGTCACCCAGGCTGGAGTGCAGTGGTACGAGATCTCCGCTCACTGCAACCTCCACCTCCTGGGCTCAGGTGATCCTCCTACCTCAGCCTCTCAAGTTGCTGGGACCACAGGCATGTGCCACCACACTCGGCTAATTTTTTTTGTATTTTTTTTTTTAGTAGAAATGGTGTTTCACTATGTTGCCAAGTCTGGTCTTGAACTCCTGGGCTCAAGCAATCTACCTGACATGGCTGCCCAAAGTGCTGGGATTACAGGCGTGAGCCACCAAGCCCATCCTAATTGTTAACTCTTTAGTGTTTCCTATGCTCTAACTTTCTCTCTCTGGATTAAGCAAACCCAGATTTTTTTTTTATTAGGCCTACTTTCAACCTTAATAAAATTTTTGAAATTTTTTTGAAGCTCTGTAGCAGAGCCCACATTGAGGATTGTCAGCTCATTTGATGTGCTCATGTTTAGATGGGTGATATTCCTACTCCTCCTTGGCATTTCCTTTTAATTCTCTTTCTACTTGTAAAAAATGTCCATTTGCTGTAAGAATACATGGATTCTAGATGAACAGAACATTCCCACCTTAATTCAAATCCCACTCTTACTTGGGTTCTGATAGAGCAGAATAGATTTGCCTCTCCTGGAAATATCCAAATTTAGAACTCCATTTACAAGTCTGGTCATGGATGTCTCCAGTGGTTTTTCCTACCCTATGTCCACTGGGATCCTCCAAAGTGGTTTGCTGCAAACATGTTTCTTCACAGAATGAGTAATTAAGTCAAATCCTCTGAGTAATTATTTTTCTTTTCTGAGACAAAGATTAGATGCTGCCAGCATTGTTCTTCTCTGCTTGCAGGTGTTTGTGGAATCATTCCATTTCTGAGTAATCTCAGATGAGTTTTAGAATGCTCTAAAGTCCCTTGAAACATAGATGAAAGTAAGGAATATCAGAAAAGCATAAGTGAAGGCATTTTAAATGGGTGAACATTTATAGTTGTTAAGGAATGCTTGAATGAAAGGAAAACTGCTTTCAGTCTGCGTTTTTAAAGAGGATAGTTTATTATTATTGGGTGTTTGTATTCCTAAAAACACCTTTTATTTATTTCTTTTTGACAGAGAGGGTCTTGCTATGTTACTTAGGCTGGGCTTGAACTCCTGGGCTCAAGTGATCCTTTCTCCTCAGCCTCCCAAGCTGGGACTACAGACGGTGTGCCACCACACCTGGCATACTTCTTGAAATAATGTATATTTTATCTAGGTAATTATATGAAGTGCCTGGGGCAATCATAAATAATTTTATAATGGATCAGAATTTAAGCTCATGGTGTATAATACATCTGATCATTTTGATGAAAAATTGACATAAATTATACACAGTTTTTTAAAAGGATTTTAATATTACAATTTAATGCATTTTGGAAAAGCAAATGTAAAATGACTTGGGCTTAAAAAACCAGAATTTATGGCTGGGTATGGTGGCTCTTGCCTGTAATCTCAGCACTTTGGGAGGCCAAGACGGGTGGATTGCTTGAGCCCAGGAGTTTAAGACCAGCCTGGGCAATATGACAAAATCTCGTCTCTACAAAAAATGCAAAAAAATTAGCCACACACGGGGTTGTGTGCCTCTAGTCCCAGTTATTCAGGAGGCTGAGGTGGGAGGATCGCTTTCACACAGGAGATTGAGGCTGCAGTGAGCTGAGATGGTGCTGCTGCACTCCAGCCTGGGTGACAGAGCGAGACCCTGTCTCAAAACAAAACAAAAAACACCAGAATGTACAATTCTGTGAATAGTCAGAGACAAATCATAGAACTATTTTGATTACAAGTGCAAAGTAATTTTAATGTTGGTTATAGATTTACTTTCTTATTCCCCTAATAAGAGTAAAAAATCATGGTTAGATGCTACGAAGTAGGTGGCAATGCCTTAACCTTATGCATGTTATCAGGCCCAAGGGCCCCTTCCATCCTTGTCAAGGGCTAACCTTTTCTCCTTTCATACAGCATATACAGACAGTTTTAATCAAAATTTATTTCCAAATGTTTTGAACTTCCAGAAGTCCTACAATTATATCAACAGTGTGTCACATTTTCTTTTGGCCTTGTCTCTTTTACAGCCTCCAATGAAACAAAATTCATAGAGCATGCGTTACACACTTGCTGTCTTTTGCTTAATTTTGAGAATTTGGCTTCCAGCTCCAGTATGAAAAGGCTCTGTGAGCCCAAGGGATGTTGGAATGCAGATGAAATGCTAAATACATTTTCTTTATTTTAGGATTTTTAAGACCACTTCAGCAACTTTAAAACGTAAAGTTTAATTAGATTTAACATTTTTTCACTCCCTTCTCCTTTCCTAAGTGAAATTTTATTTTACATTTATATTTGATTTGTTTCTCTTATTTGTTGTTAGTGACAGAGAGAAGATCGTTGTCCCCTTTGTTCCTTCTCTGTGTTCCTCACATCCCTGCCAGCACCCATGCGGTTAGGGACATTTCCTCATCTGCCGCAGCTCTTCCCACATGGTCCCTGCTGTGATGCATGTGCCCACAGCAGGCCGGCTCTCTTCGTTCCTGTTGTTTTATGGCCCGCTTGGTAATATAACCCCAAGCTCTTTCACTTGTTCTGTATACAGTGGAACCCTGGAGGGGAAGCTAGTTATGGTTTGGTCCTCACGCATGTTTTTTTAAAATTATTATTATTGTTATTATTTTTGAGACGGAGTCTTGCTCTGTCACCAAGGCTAGAGTGCAGTGGCACGATGTCAGCTCACTGTAACCTCCGCCTCCCAGATTCAAGTGATTCTCATGCCTCAGCCTCCCGAGTAGCTGGGATTACAGGCGCCCACGACCGTGCCCGGCTAATTAATTTTTGTGTTTTTTTTTTTTTTTTTTTGAAACGGAGTCTAGCTCTGTCGCCCAGGCTGGAGTGCAGTGGCGGGATCTCGGCTCACTGCAAGCTCCGCCTCCCGGGTTCACGCCATTCTCCTGCCTCAGCCTCCCAAGTAGCTGGGACTACAGGTGCCCGCCACTACGCCCGGCTAATTTTTTGTATTTTTAGTAGAGACGGGGTTTCACCGTTTTAGCCGGGATGGTCTCAATCTCCTGACCTCGTGATCCGCCCGCCTCGGCCTCCCAAAGTGCTGGGATTACAGGGGTGAGCCACCGCGCCTGGCCCACACATGTTTATTATTATTGTTAGTTAATAACATGCCAAAATACCTCTGTTGAGGGCTTGTTATATTCCAGGCCCTGTGCAAAGCAAACACTCTTTCATTCTTTATCTCGTTGAATACTCACAACAATTCTAAGAGGTGAGTATGAGGATTACTGCCATTCTGTAGGTGAGGTGCAGCACGGTAACCTATGGAAGGTCACTCAGCACGTAAGTGGCAGAGCCTGGAATCGAACCAGCAGCTGTCTCTAGAACCTGAGCTTCACTGATATCTTTGCTTCACTGTAAAATTCACATCTTCTTGGCTTATTGGCCTTTTCTGTTATCTTTCTTTTTTTTTATTTTGCGACAGAGTCTCACTCTGTCGCCCAGGCTGGAGTGCATTGGCGCAATCTGGGCTCACTGCAACCTCCTCCTCCCAGGTTCAAGCGATTCTCCTGCCTCAGCCTCCTAAGTAGCTGGAACTATAGGCGCCTGCCACCACACCTGGCTAATTTTTGTATTTTTAGTAGAAGCAGGGTTTCACCATGTTGGCCAGGTTGGTCTGGAACTCCTGACCTCAAGTGATCTGCACACTTCCGCCTCCCAAAGTGCTGGGATTACAGGCGTGAGCCACTGCACCTGGCCCTTTTCTGTTATTTTTCTGTATTTATTGAGTCTACTGGGACTTTCCTGCCTTCTCCGTCATGATCAAGGAAATCAGCGGAGGGGTTTTTGGGCCTCATTTGGGCCTAGGAAGGGGAGCAGTGTGCCCTGAGGCCAGAGTGTCCTTCCTTTCTGAGCAGGATGTTCATCCAGGATTTTAGTCCTGTTTCTGCTGGGGGAGATGTTATTGGTTCCATTCAAGTCAGTTTTGTAACTTATCCATCAATAAGACACTTTATCTGTCAGCCCTTGTGCTAGGCTCTGGGTATACAGTGCCGAGTAAGAGTGATGCAGTTCCTGCCCTAAAGGAGCTCACGGTCTAGAGAAGAGAGATACTAAACTAGTGTGGCTGTTTCTGCCACAGCGTGGTAACATTCCTCAGAAACCTCCTGCTCTGCGAAACTGTTGCTAAAACTCTCAGGGCTTATGGGAAAAATGGAGTTAATAGCAGAACACCAAAGTCCTGTGGCTGGGTTGGAAGGCAGTAGGCACTTGTTTTTTATTTTCATAAGATACTTTTAGGGGCTTCTGCTGCCAGTGCTGAGGGCTTTTCTGCTGAAGGCTGTCATTTTATTCCCACTAGTCTGGCTCTCCTTGTCTGAGAAAACCCACCTCTGCTGAGATACAGCCTCTGTGGTATATGCACTTTCATTTACCAGTTGTATATGAGCGATTCTCCTTTCAGAAACAAGTGTCATCAGAACCTTCTGAGGTGACTGGTGTGATGCATACTTTGAGGGAGTGTTAGGGATGAATAACAGGGTTAGTTGCTAAGGTGGTGGCTGCACATGTGCTTGGGCATGATTTTGTCTGAGCTGTGTTTAGGTCATTTGTTGATTCTTCTTGACTCATCAAACCAATACCCATGCAGAGTGTTGTTGATCTTTATGCTTGTATGTGGGTATGTACTGTTGCCCCTCGTTGAATATTGACTGGCCACTAGGGTGCATGCTATTTAAATTGGAAACACCCCCACTGTTTTTCTTTTATATTTTACATAAAGTGTAAAAGATTGGAGACAGTTTCGCCATGTTGCCCAGGCTGGTCTCAAACTCCTGGGCTCAAGTGGTCTGCCCGCCTTGGCCTCCCAAAGTGCTGGGATACAGGTGTGAGCCACTGCACCCAGCCTATTTTTCTTTTAAAAACTCTCTGAGCCTCTTCTTCTATTGTAATGACCTGGGGCACTGGACAGACCAGCCTCAGAGCAGAGATCAGGTTTTCCCAGCATGCTCCTGCTCAAGCACTGAGCATCCCACATCCCTAGAAACCCCTAAGTCCTGGGCAAACTAGGATGGCTGGCCACCCTAAGAAGCAGCCCTGTGGCAGTGCAGTTCTCGGGAAAACTTGGGCCAGGTGATATCCTGAATGCATTGTGTAAAAATGCACTCCTCTTTGCATAGGAGACAAGGTAGGGCTAGGATGAACATCGGGGCAGGAGGATTAGCTGTCTGCTTCGGCTGGAGAAATGACAGAGTTCACGGCCAGGTCCCCAGTAAAGCCGCTGGAGTATCCAGCTCTAGGCAGGTGTGTGACTGGCCTGAGCAGGTTCAAGAGGTTCAGGGACAGACTTGGATGGAGGAGTGGAAGAGAGACCACATTGCTGAAAAACACTGTTGGCAATCTGGCAACTTGGTCATCTGGTGCACTGGCTGACTTCTATGTTTGTTAGCGGCAAAGACAGCCGGGAGAGAGATTTAAGCTGAGATGAGAAGGATGAGAGAAGCTGCAGGCTGTAGTATCAGGAAGGGTTTTTTGTGTGGGCCCATTTAGAGGCACTTCCTGTGTCCCAGCAAGCTCCCTAGGCTTGCACACATTTTCCCTTCTCCCTCCCTCTCTCCCTTCCTCCTTCCCTTCCTCCTGCTCACTCTTTCTTCCACTCTCCTTCAATCCCTTCCTTCCTTCCTTTCTTCCTTCTAAAACGGCCGCAGTGTACCCTCTTCCCCTTTCTGCTCTCCTCCCCCTACTCCTCCCAACTTCTCATCCTTGGCCTCCCCACGTTGCTGGGCTCCTCCCAACCTGGTGGTCTCAGGGCAGTTGGCTTCATAACATGGTGCTGGCTTCCTCCACAGTGAGCATTGCAAGAGCAGGCATTCCAAGATGGGAATAGATGTGCTGATCCCTTCAGACCAGGCCTGGAAAGTGGCACAGCCTCACTTCTGTCATATAATGTTGGTCAAAGCAGTCTCACAGCCTACCCCGATTCAAGGGGAGGAGATACAGTCCCACGCTGTAATGACAGGAGTGTCAAAGAGTTTGAAGCCATCTCTAGTCTTCCACAGCTCATAACCCTGCTGCTCTCAAAGGGTAGAACTTTCCTCATTTCATGGCTGTTTCTCGAATCATTGCTTTAGGGGAAAAACTAGTGAATAGTCCTGTCATATTTTCCCCTCTACTGAGAATGAGCTAAACGTTGAGGGTGCATTATTGGGTCCCCAGACTGAGTAGGCACAGGAAACTGGGTCACTTGTATCCTCAACAGCCCTTCAGGGATCTCCAGCCTTCACATGAATGCTGAAGGCCCCATTTGGCAGGAGGCATTGAACGCTGTCCAAGTTGAGTGTTAAGCATGTATTGCTTTTATAGTTAGAAAAAAAACAAGTTATACCAAAATGGAATAGTGGAGAAGGGCAACCTTTGCTCTCAAGCTTCTAGTTCCAGCTCTGAGGCATTTGTAATGGGCTCAGGGAAACATTCACTAGTCAGCTTTGTTCAGCAAATCAGAAGCTGCTACAGTATTCAAAAGGATTACCTGTATATTCTCTGCTGGGTCTGATTTGTTGTGGGCATCTAAGAGCTAGAGAAATGTGGACAGACACGTCAGGAGGGCAGCAGTTTATGACCGCTTCTGCTCTGTGTACTCCATGGGACGTCCATGATGCCCGTGCCTCTCCCGCTTCATAATGCAAAGAGAAAGTGCCAGGAGCTGGAAGACCACGTCTAAGTTTTTGTTTTGTGCTTAGTACTTGATTTCTGTGGATTTGTTTAATTTTCTACTCTGTTTACTATTTAAAGCATTTTAACAGCATGAGTGAACTTTCAGTGGAAGCCTGTTCTATATACTTTGGCAAAGACTGTGATGCCAAAGGCATTATTTTTCTTGTAAATTTAGGAAATTATAATGTGGGATCGTGTCTTCATTGTTAATGAATGGCAGGGTTGGCAAACTGTGGTACAGGCTGTTGCTCTTGTGTAAAAGTTTGACACAGATGTCCAACTGATTTTGGCCAAATACATTTATATTTTCTCTCATTCTTTCCTTTTCTTTCATTCTCTTCATTAATTTGCTTACTGACTTCATTATTTATTCCTGCATGTCTCTTTTTTGGTCTTACATGTAAATCATCTTCACAGCTACAATGTAGCATACCTCTTCCCAAATGGCAAACTATATCTACTTTCGTTATTAAACCCTGTCTTTTCGTGATTTCATTGATTTGCTTAGTTGATTGTCTATTGTGAACAGCAACCTGATCTTGCCAGTTCTCCCTTCCCCTACCTAAAATAACCATGGCCACCCTAAAAGCAATGTCAGCCACCACAGTGGCTCACACCTATAATCCCAGCACTTTGGGAGGTCGAAGCAGGAGAATCACTTCAGCCCAGGAGTTCTAGACCAGCCTGGGCAGCATAGCAAGACCCCATCTCTAAAAAGAAAAGAAAAAAAGAAAAAAAAAGAAAAAATTAGCTGAGTGTGATGGTGCACGCCTATAGTCCCAGCTAATTGAGAGGCTGAGGCAGGAGGATTGCTTGGGCCCAGGAGTTCAAGGCAGCAGCAAGCTATGATCACACCACTGCACTCTAGCCCGGGTGATAGAGTAAGACCCTGTCTCTAAAAAATTTTTTTAAAAAAGCAGTGTCAGTGGTATGGTGGGGTTTTGCACTCCTGCACTAATGGCAGCATGCCTTATGCACAGTGGGTGCTTTGTGATTTTGTGCAATGAATGCCTCTGGGTCTCAGGAGATGAGGACTGGTCCATTTTGGTGGCTTTGCCATCCTTTCTATTCTTTCCATTCTCTCTGGGCTCTTTCCCCCTCCTGTCCTTATTCTCCTTCCTCACTTTTATCTCATTTCCTGAATTTCCTCCGCACTTCTGGCCATGAATTGCAGGATCAGCTCTTTCTCCTTAGCCGAGAGTCTATGATACAATTCAATTGGAAGAAATAAAGATAATTTTTAAAAGAAGATACAGGCATAGGTAGAAAGAAACTTCTGTTCAGTGTTGTTACAATCCAAGTAAGTAAGGTGACTTGGGATGAAACGAAAAGTCTGAATCATTCAGCAGGAGGAATGGGAAGAGTTCAAAACCTTATTGATTCAGGGACTACGAATTCAGAAAAAAATTATATATAATATATATAATATTAGATATATAATTTTTAATAATGTGTATATATAATATAATGTATATACATATACACACACATATATATTTGTGACCATATATATGAGGGTTTACTTCTGGACTCACAGTTCTAGTTCATTGTTCTATGTTTCTGTACTTACACAGTACCATACTGTTTTGATTACTGTAACTTTGTAGTAAGTTTTGAAATTGGGAGGTGTGAGTCCTCTAACTTTATTCTTCTAATTAATGATTGAATAGGTAGTAGGATGAGGTAGTTCAGACATCAAAATGATATGAAAAGGTCTAAACTGGAAAGGTTTGCTCTCATTCGTGTCTCTGTCCAGCCTGTTTTTCTTGCTCTCTAGAGGTAATTACTTTTATTATTTTTTTCTATCCATCTATCCATTTGCAAATGTGAGCAAATATGAATTTTAAAAATATTCCCCTTTCTATACAAAAGGTATGATGTGATGTACTGTTTTATATCTTGGCTTTAAAAAAAAATTCACAGTGTGTCCTAGAGATTCTTTTCATACCAGTTCATAGAGACTTCTTTCTTTTTTTTTCTCTTCTATTCTGAACAAATTAAATCTCTCTTTTTAAACTGCTGTGTACTGTTCTGTGGCAGGACCATAGCCTGGCTTATTTAATAGATCTTGTATTGTTGGACTCCTGGATTATTTCTAATTTATGTCTCTTAAAAACAACAGTGACATGATGAATACATTTGTACATATGCCACTTCATATGCAGTCGGGAGATACCTGTTGGAGAAATTCTCAGAAATGGGATAGACGGTGCCAGATGGCCGTTTGTAGGCACCGCACCTTTCTGCAGTGTGAGACTACCATATTTCTCCTAGCTCTGTTGGCAGAGTGTATTTTGAACTTCTAGAATTTCACCCATCTGATAGATATCCCATTGTAGTTTTAATGCACAGAGTGTGGTTGGACATTTTTTCAGATGTTTGACTGACTTATTTCCTTTTCTCTTAACTGTTTATGTGCTTTGTCCTTTTTTTGTTTTTGTTTTTTTGTTTTTTTTTGAGACAGGGTCTGGCTCTTTGTCACCCAGGCTGGACTGTAGTGGCATCATGATCATGGGTCACTGCAGCCTCAACCTCCCAGGCTAAAGCAATCCTCCCACCTCAGCCTCCTGAGTAGCTGGGGCCACAGGCATGTTCCACCATTCCCAGCTAATATAGATATAAAAATTATATATATGAACACATCTATAATACATATTAATACATATATAATACAAAAATTATATATACATACATATGTGTGTGTATATATGTATATGTATATATAATTATACACATATATGTGTATATATACATAATTTTATACACACACACACACACACACACACACACACACACACACACATATAATTTTTTTTTTTGAGATGGAGTTTTGCTCTTGTTGCCCAGGCTGGAATGTAATGGCGTCATCTTGGCTCACTGCAACCTCCACTTCCCTGGTTCAAGCAATTCTCCTGCCTCAGCCTCCCGAGTAGCTGGGATTACAGGCACCTGCCACCATGCCCAGCTAATTTTTGTATTTTTAGTAGAGATGGGGTTTCACCATGTTGGCCAGGCTCATCTCGAACTCTTGATCTCAGGTACTCCTCCTGCTTTGGCCTTCCAAAGTGCTGGGATCACAGGCGTGAGTCACCGTGCCTGGCTATTTTTATATTTTGTAGAAACAAGGTCTCACTATGTTGCCCAGGCTGGTCTCAAGTTCCTAGGCTCAAGCCGTCTTCCCACCTTAGCCTCCCAAAGTGCTGGGATTACAGGCATGAGCTACCTCCCCTGGCCTGTTCATTTTTTCTGTCAAGTTATTTGTCAGGTTCTTTATTTCTGTGAGTGCTTTATACATGCTATGAGTTGCAGCTATCTTTCTCTATTTTGTCATTTGCCCCTTGACCTTGCTTAAGGGACTGTTTGCTGGGTAGACAATTTTGATCCCTAAGCAGTAGATTGTCAATTTTTTGAAATGTCTGCTGGCTTTTGAATCAAGTTTTCTATGACTCATATGACATTTTCTACTCCAAAATTACAAAGAAATTTGGCTATTTTTGCCTCTCCTCCTTTTTTTGTTTTTAATTTTTTTTTGGAGACGGAGTGTCACTCTGTTGTCCAGGCTGGAATGCAGTGGCACAATCTTGGCTCACTGCAACCTCCGCCTCCTGGGTTCACACGATTCTCCTGCCTCAGTCTCCCGAGTAGCTAGGACTACAGGTGCACACCGCCACGCCTGGCTAATTCTTTGTATTTTAGTAGAGACAGGGTTTCACTGTGTTGCCCAGGCTGGTCTTGAACTCCTGAGCTCAGGCTATCTGCCCGCCTCGGCCTCCCAAAGTGCTGGGATTACAGGGGTGAGCCACCGCACCTGGCCTCCTCTCCTGCTTTTATGCTTTCATTTTTTACTTTGAAATCTTTTATCTGTTTGTAGTTTATCCCATATAAATGTAAAGCATGGATTGAACACTTATCTTTTTCTTCAGGTATTTACTAAATGGCTTCCCAAAACTATTTATTTAAAAAGCAACCTTTAGCTTTACTAACTGAGTTTCTGGCTTTATCTTCTAGTAAATTCTTGTATGTATTTATGAACTTTTAAATTTTATTTATTATTTTTAGTTTTTAATTTTAATTTTTAAAAACTTCCATTCACTGAAAAAATTTCATTTCTATCTATTCTTTTTGTCTGTCTGTCTTATCTGTATATATGCTGAAGACACACTGTTTTAGTTATTGAGGATTTTTACTATGCTTTCCTACCAGGTAAGGTGAATTTCTCCCACATTGTCCTTTAGAGTTTTTCCTAGCTCTTCTTAAATGTTTATTTTTTCATATGAATTTTTAAATCAGCTTATTTACTTCCAGAAAGTAATCATGTTATTTTTACCTGGAGTGTGTTAAAGTTATGAATTCATTAATCCTCTGGGTCCCCGTATTGGACACATTAAGTTTGGCTGCCTGTTTACATATCCCCTCTTGGGTACCTAAGAGACCCCCAAACTCAATGGGTCTAACCCTGATCTCTTAATTTCACTTCCTAACCCCAACCTATGCCACTGTGGGCTTACCTATCTCAGTTGGTGGCAACGCCAGCCTTCTAGTGGCTTAGGCAAAAAACCTCTCAACTGAACCAACTAAATTAATGCTGGATGGAATATATTTCTTTAACTCTTTTGTATTTCATTTTATTCATTTTTATTTTTAAAAATTTTCCTACAGCTTTCATAGGCTGACTTTCTTTTTTTCTTTTTTTTCTTTTTTTGAGATAGGGTCTCATTCTGTCACCCAGGCTGGAATACAGTGGCATGATCATAGCTCACTGTAGCCTTGAGCTCCTGGGCTCAAGCAATCCTCCTGCCTTAGTCTCCAAGTACCTGGGACTATGAGCATGTGCCACCATACTTAATTTAAAGAAATTTTTTTTAAGAGGTAGAATATTGCTGTGTTGCCCAGGCTGGTCTGGAACTCCTGGGTTCAAGTGATCCTCCTGCCTCTCAGCCTCCCAAATACCTGGAACTATAGGTGCATACCGCCTTGCCTGGCTGTTAACTTTTTATTTTGAAATAATTTAGGCTTACAGAAAAGTTTGACAAATAATAAGATTCATCCAACTTCTATTGATAACATTTTACATAGTACAGTTATCAAAATGAGGAAATTAACACTGATAACATACTATTGACTAAACTACAGACCTTATTTGAATTTTGCCAGTTGTCCCACTAATATCCTTTTTTCTGGTCCAGGATTCAATCCAGAATTCCAAACCGCATTTAGTTGTTGCAGCTCCTTAGTCTCTCCCAGTATGTGGTGATTACCTTGTCTTTCCTTGTTTTTCATGACGTTGCCATTTTTGAAGAGTCACTCATTTTGTCAGTTTGTAGAATGTCCCTCATTTTGTGTCCGCCTGATGTCTTCTCATGATTAAAGTTAGGCATTTTTGGCAGGAACACTACAAAAGTGATCTTGTACCCTTCTCAGTGCATCGTGTTGGGGCATATGATGTCGACATGTCTCATTATTTGCCAGATTTTTCTCTGTCAAGTTACTGTTTTCCACTTTGTAATTGGTCTGTGTTTTGTGTGGAGATAATTTGAGACTATGCAAATATCCTGTTACTCAGCCTACTCCCACTCACTAATTTTAGCCTCCATCCATGGTCTTTGCCTGTAACAGTTATTACTGAAGTACTTGCTTAATCAATCCATCTTTTTTTTGAAGTAAGTTTATTCCATATATATATTTGCATTAGAAGTGTAAAAACAAATTAGGACTTTAATAAAAATCTTATGTATTTTTAAGAATGGTTATATTCTTAAATGATCTGTGTATGCTAAAATGGCTGGGTGAATCTCATTATCTTGGTTAGCATTCAATTACTAGATCCAGAACATCTTGGCTAATATATTTACTTTTTTAAAAAAATTTTTTTGGCCAGGCGTGGTGGCTCACGCCTGTAATCCCAGCACTTTGGGAGGCCAAGGCAGGCGGATCACAAGGTCAGGAGATCGAGACTATCCTGGCTAACACGGTGAAACCCTGTCTCTACTAAAAATACAAAAAATTAGCCGGGCATGGTGGTGGGCGCCTGTAGTCCCAGCTACTCGGGAGGCTGAGGCAGGAGAATGGCGTGAACCCGGGAGGCGGAGGTTGCAGTGAGCAGAGATTGTGCCACTGCACTCCAGCCTGTGTGACAGAGCGAGACTCTGTCTCAAAAAAAAAAAAAATTATTTTGCTTTAAGTTCTGGGATACATGTGCAGAACGTGCAGATTTGTTACATAGGTATACATGTGCCATGGTGTTTGCTGCACCTATCAACCTGTCATCTAGGCTTTAAGCCCTGCATGCATTAGGTATTTGCCCTAATGATCTCCCTCCCCTTGCCCCCGACCCCCTGAAAGGCCCTGGTGTTTGATGTTCCCCTCCCTGTGTCCATGTGTTCTCATTGTTCAACTCCCACTTATGACATCTTTTTAAATACATTGATTTACTTCCTAGGGGGTGAGGAAGATAATTCAGGGTGCCTAAGTTACCTGACTGCAGGAAAAAGAGGTCCCTACATAGTCTTCTTAAAGAAGCAGGTTTCTAGCCAAATTAAGAGTTTCATTTTTAAACAGGAAGGGAATTTCATTTTCTCCAGGCTTTTTCACTAAGTGTTAACCTGATAAATGCATTTCCTAATCATGAGCCATGCTGATTAAACCTTCCCTGGCCACTGCATAGTGTTCTTCTAATAAATGCCTGCAAGAAATTTCCCAAGTGTTGTTAGTGTAGAATTTTTGCATCTGTATTCAAAGGAGAAATTTGTCTATGCTTTAAAAAAAATTCCTGTCTAATTTTAGTGTAAGGGTGATACTGGCCTTGCAGAATAGACTAGAAAGCTTTACATCTTTTCCCGTGGTCTGGACCAATTTAAATCACATAGGCGTTACTGTTTAATAGAACTTGTTAGTGATCTCTTTGGGCCGGCTTCCTTGGCTGTTGCCAAGGAAGTTTCCCAATATCCCGCAAGTTCCTCTGGGCAGTGCACTTTACCTGTCCTCTCCTTCACAGCTGGATTTTCCAACTTATTAGAAGACAATTTTATAGAATTTTTTTTTTTTGTCTGAGATGGAGTCTTGCTCTGTCGCCAGGCTGGAGTGCAGTGGCGCGATCTCGGCTCATTGCGACCTCCGCCTCCCGGGTTCAAGCGATTCTTCTGCCTCAGTCTCCTGAGTAGCTGGGAGTACAGGCGTATGCCACCATGCCCAGCTAATTTTTTGTATTTTTAGTAGAGATGGGGTTTCACTGTGTTAGCCAGGATGGTCTCGATCTCCCGACCTCGTGATCCGCCCGCCTCAGCCTCTCAAAGTGCTGGGATTACAGGTGTGAACCACTGTGCCTAGCAATTTTATAGATTTTTAAAATTATTTTGAAAGATCTCTATATCTAGAGTCACATTAATTTTCTCATGTCTTTTGGTTGTATTTTCCTCCTTTTTTTCTTAATCAGCGTTTTTAGTTTTTTTTGTATTTCATTGTTTTGCTTTAATCTTCTTCACTCTTTTCACTTCATCTTCTTCACTTTAATGAGTGTGTGATTTATTTGGTTTCTTTTCCTGGTTTCTTATTTCATTCGGGTTTAGTCTTATTTTCTAATAATTTGGTTTTAGTCTTATTTTCTAATAAATGCACTTATGGGATGAAACTTCAGAGTTTGGCATGGCTCCTCCTCCCCACATCTGCTCTATCAGCAAATCCTGTTTGCCTCACCTGGGACATGCACACGGAAGCTGAGAGCAGAACGCCGCTTCTGCACCCACCCTGGCGCAGGCCGTCTGCATCTTTCATCTGAATTTTTGTGACAGCCTATTAATGGGCCTCCTGCGTCCAGCCGGGTCTCCTTTCAGGACATACCCAACACAGCAGCCTGAGTGAGCCACTTCCCCCATGTGTTCTATGGTATTATAATAACATACTTTTAAGTTAGGAAAACTTACAGGGATCACTTTCTCTTACTTCTCAACAGTACTTACAAGAAGAACTGTGTGTGTGTGTGTGTGTGTGTGTGTGTGTGTAGAGACAGAAAAAGAGCATGCACAATAGAGGGCATGCTACTCCAGGGACTATGGCTCTTGTCATGGGAGTGACAGGAACTGATGGAGGGTGGTTCTGAGCAGAGGCTCACTCTGGCCATGGGGGTGCCCTGTCAGGGAAGGAAGCCTCACCAACTCAGACCAGTCTACCTTGGAGCCTATGTTAGGCTGCTCCTGCTGTCTTTTGTCCTTGGAGGCTCTGAACTGGGTCAGAACCCTGCCATGAAGCCCTTCCAAGGCCACTGTGCTCCCAAGGTGAAGACTTATTCCCTAGGCTGTTTCCCAAGCCGTGTCCAGCCACAGTGCCCAGCCCAGCACACCAGAGCTCCTGCAGTGAGGTTAAGTGACAATATACTGCAATAGTAAAATACATAAGAAACTCATAATAAAGTGCCAGCAACATGGAAATGCACTGGATTTGAATGCAGACCCTATCCCATTATCACAGTCCCAGGGAGAAATTACAGGCCAAGATTAATTCTGTAACATAATCAAATCCAAAAGCTTTGAAGACCGAAGGAAGTAAGATATGAAATCATATCCCAAGACATCATGAGCTCAGAAGCCACCTCCCCTGCTGTTCTTTGTGGAAGGGTGGCCATGCTCGATTGAGTCTGGGTTCATGCAGCAGCCTTGTCCAAGCTGTGTCTGAGATGTGTCATACAGGTGTCCTTGTAGGTCCTTTGGGGGGACTCAAACACTGCATCATCCCCACACAGGCTTCCTTGAGCCTCAGTTAGACAACCATATAGCCTTCAACCCTACAGAGTTATCCCAGGCAGAGTGATGTCAAGGACCCCAGCAGGGCCCAGAGATGTCTGAGCAAAGTTTGATAATCAGGGAGCTCCTTGCCTTGGATCTCCTGTTATGCAAGAAGGCTACCTTAATTGCCTTGAATTTATGACCTCAGGATGTAGGCATAGTTGGGAATTTAACTTCCCAGCTAAAGGTAAACTTTGGTCCTAGACATTTACCGTCGTAATGTTTGTTTCTTCTCATGGCTTTGACACTCTTTAGTTTGGAATTGAGGGTGGCCCTGTTAGTGAAAGGTGCCCTCACTTTTCCATAGTTAGGTATTTTGGGTCCTCCAATCCTTCTTGCTACAAAGTTCCAGGCTTGAGACACTTGTTTCCAAGAAATGAATCTGTTGTAGACACCGCCCTCAGATGTAGATACCACCTCTGCGCTGTTGCAGAGCCAAGTGGAGAACCCTGATAAGGGGAGCCCAAAGCCTGGGAAGAAGCCACAAGAGCCCCAGGTCTGCCTTTCCACTTCCCTCCATGGCCCTGAGTGTGGCATGCAGTCAGACCTAGGCCTAGCCCTCAAACTGTGAGAAAATCAGCTGCCAGGGCCTGAAGGGCCTGTAATACACCCATTTGCTGACAAAACAGATATTTTCACCACCAAGTCACTTAGGACTTGTCATTCCTAGAGCTACTGGTCTCTGCCTAAGGCCCCAGAGCCCTTGCCTCAGCTTTCCAGGCACCTTTGAGCCAGGCGTCTGCTGCTGTGTTGTCCCAGTGGTGGTTCACTGGCACTGGCCCAGCCTCTGGGGCACTGGGGATGCCAAGGAACACTCCTGTCTCTGTAGAAGCAGCCCTGTACTTGAGGTCAGAACCACCATGGATGCTAGCGGCTTCCAGAGTCATACTCCCAAAGGCTCTAGGCACAATCCTGCGCATCCAGATCAAACTCCTCTAGCAGGCAGTGGCTCCAGCCTGGCCCCAGGCTTATTTTGAACCCCTCAATGCCACTGATTTGCTTAATTTCTTGAGGTCCCAGCCTGTAACCCACTGTTGGGGTTTCCATCAGTAACAGCCTCCTGCCTGCTCAGGTTCTGAACAGATTGAAAGTAGAATGAAGAGGAAGCCTGTGGGGTGAGAATGCCTCCTTGGTGGCAGATAACTGCCTTTAGGGGATGTGCTTAGATGGGCTGACCTGAGGCTTACTGTCTAGTGCCCATGTCCCATACTGGTCCCCAAAGGTTGGCTGAGGTCCAGCCCATTCATGGCCACACAGGGCCAGCTCTGGAGAGCAGCGAATGTGGGCTTGCTCCCAGCCAGGCCAAGAAGCATTGGTACACGCCTTTTGTTCTCCCCATTTTTCTTTCAGAGTATACTTTTTTGGCATAATATTTTTCTGTCCCATCCCTGCAATTTGCGCATATACTACCATGGACAGTGGTAGGCATGACAATAGTAATAATAGTGACTATGATTTCCTGTACACTCACTGTGCTGGGCTGTGTACTAACCTATGTGCACCTTTGTAACCATCCCAGGACAACTGTCCTGTTGCACCAGAACAAACTGGGGCCCGGAGAGGTGGTGTGAGCCTTCTTGGCTGGTGGCTAAAGTCAGTGAAGCATTGTCCAGAGGGGCATGGACACCAGTTTTTGTAGCTACACAGAGAATCTGCAGGGAGGCACTCTGGTTTACAGCTGTTAGGGCCTTGAAAAGTTCTGCTGGAGATGAGTTCATGGGTGGTTAGTCTCCAGCTGAGAGCTTTCCTGCTTTAAACATGCAGCATAAGCGTGTCTAACATGTGCTTAACCTGCAGCTCTGGGTAGAAAGAAAGCTGGGACTTAATATTTAAGAACAACTTGATTATATCACCATAGGAGCCCAGATGTCATTTTATAGATATGCTTTTGTGTGAGTGTGTGTTTTTTTTAAAATGTGTTTATTTTCTCTGGTTAGTATAATTCTTTTTGGGCGCTTTACCCTTTGATCTGGACTGGAAAAAAATGTTACCATTTTAAGATCTCTTAAAACATGTCTTTGGATTTATCATCTGTACGGATGGAAATTCACATAATAGTTCTATTCTTAACTGAAGAAAAACAGGAAAAGAAAATAAATTTCTCACTACTTGGAATGATAAACAAGGTGAAGCATATACTGTATATCCTGGCAACAGAAATTCAAGGTCGGAAATAATTCCTGTCCTCTTGAGCCTGCCTTCAGCCTCCCTGAGGAGTGCAGTGACTGAAATTTTCTACTAATTGTAGCCATAATTTTAGCATGCAATTAAACACATGATTTCCTTCCCAGCTGATGTCTTTTTAGTTAGTCTGACATGGATGAGACAAAAGCTCTGTTGATTTGAACGGCCACTTTAATCTGATAGGAGGTCACGGAAAGTCATCATTTTTTGAGCACCTTTGACTATCCAGTAGGATCTAGATTAATCTTGCTTATAAACATGGCCAACAGCTTGGGTGCTTCTAATACAATTTCCAATGCTACTGTCTGTGGGCCAAAGAAAGCTGTCTGTTGGCATGCCCATTTTGCTGAGTCCTTCTGAAGTTAGGGACCCACTGGTAGGAAAGACTCAGAGAAGGAATTTGTGAGGTTGTGGTGGCAGGAACAGAGACTCATGGAGGTCACCCAGGTTGCGGAAGGACCTCAGGGTGTGAGGCCTGCCTGTGCCGCAGTAGCCCAAAAGCAGTGCCTTCCATGGAGGGAGATGGAGGGCTTCACTGCATGCAGTGCAAACATGGCCTTCCAGAATGCTCTGTGTTTGCCTTCCCACCATGTACAGTCCCGGTAACCCACATTCTTTCCCACCCTTGGTGTTACCAGACCTTTTATTTCTTGCCAAATCTGTTGGGCACGCAGCAGCCTCTGTGCTACTTAATCCTGCATTTCCATCCCTCTTACAAGGCTGGCTAACTTTTCCTGTGTTGAGTGGCTGATCCTCCTCCCGGTCAACCTCCTTCTCCCACTGTGACCCGGGTTTTGGATCACGCTGATCTAGGTGTGTGATATGGTTTGGCTGTGCCCCACCCAAATCTCATCTTGAATTGTAACTCTCACAATTCATATGTTTTGTGGGAGGAACCTGGTAGGAGGTAATTGAATCATGGGGGCGGGTCTTTCCTGTGCTGTTCTCGTGATAGTGAATAAGTCTCACGAGATCTGATGGTTTTAAAAACGGGAGTTTCCCTGCACAAGCTCTCTCTCTTTTTGCCTACTGCCATCCATGTAAGATCTGATTTGCTTCTCCTTGCCTTCCGCCATGATTGTGAGGCCTTCCCAGCCGTGAGGAACTGTGAGTCCGTTAAACCTCTTTCTTTTGTAAGTTTCCCAGTATTGAGTATGTCTTTATTAGCAGTGTGAAAATGAACTAATACAGTGTGCTTTTGGATGGAGTAATCTGGTGTCTCCATCTTTGGTAACTGTTTGGATTGCTTTTTCAGATGGCAAGTTTGGGGCCTACATGCAGGTGCACATTCAGAATGATGGGCCTGTGACCATAGAGCTGGAATCGCCAGCTCCCGGCACTGCTACCTCTGACCCAAAGCAGGTAAGCCTGGAGTCTGGTGCCTGGCTCCGTCCCTTGGGTGCCTGTAACATCCCTTTAGTCCCTGGAAGAGTCCTCGGTCTGAGGAAATACATCATTGTTGCAACGTTGTATTTATTTTAATACCTGCCTTCCCAAGAGTGCATGTTTACGGTGCACTCCTGAGTACTGTGGCCGGTGGGTACAGCACTTCTCCCTTGCCTCGTCCTGCCTTTGAATTCCAGAGGACATGTCCTGTGCAGAGCCAGGTTCTTCCCCTGGGCTTCCCTTCCCTTGGCCAGGTGCCGTGGCGCCCACCTGCCCCTGGGTGGCAGCAGAGCAATGGCCCTGGATTGGCCGGTTCACCCATTCCGAATGGTTACCTGAATTGGGTTTGGTCCCAGGTGTGGATAGATGTGCCCCCCAAGGTTTGCTGTAAATCTCCATTTTTCTAAAGCAGTGTCTGACCTGGATTTGCTGCCAATTTGTAAGCTCTCATGAAATAAAAGTTAATTAAAATAGAGAAAGGAAATGTGTAATAGTCCTTGGAACCCGCGTGGTCTCATAGATGCTTAGCATACTTGTAAAGGCTTAATTAACACACTCACTGGATAGAGACACGTAGGGCCTGGCAGGCAGAGGAAGAAGGACTGAGCAAACATTTCCATTCTTCCTTCCCAGTCTCCCTCCCTTGCTAGCATGCTGTGATGGCCAGTGATGCGGCAGTAAGGGGACAGCGTGATAGAAACGTGAAGCTGGGCAACCTGTTCAAAGCCTGATTTTTTTTTTTTTTTTTTTTTTTTTGAGATGGAGTCTCGCTCTTGTTGCCCAGGCTGGAGCACAATGGCGCCATCTTGGCTCACCGCAACCTCCGCCTCCTGGGTTCAAGCAATTCTCCTGCCTCAGCCTCTCGAATAGCTGGGATTACAGGCGCCCACCACCATACCCT
Organism: Homo sapiens; assembly: GCF_000001405.40. Classification (NCBI taxonomy): domain Eukaryota; kingdom Metazoa; phylum Chordata; class Mammalia; order Primates; family Hominidae; genus Homo; species Homo sapiens. Next base: position 18,629,159 of record NC_000020.11, read on the forward strand.
GCTAATTTTGTATTTTTAGTAGAGACGGGGTTTCTCCATGTTGGTCAGGCTGGTCTCAAACTCCTGACCTCAGGTGATCTGCCTGCCACGGCCTCCCAAAGTGCTGGGATTACAGGTGTAATCCCACTGTGCTCGGCCTTTTTTTTTTTTTTTTTTTTTTGAGACAGGGTCTTGCTCTGTCACCCAGGCTGGAGTGCAGTGGTGCGATCATGGCTCACTCCAGCCTCGACCTCCCAGGCTCAAGTGATCCTCCTACCTCAGCCTCCTAAGTAGCTGGGACTACAGGCATACGCTACCATGCTGGGCTAATTTTTGAATTTGTGTAGAGAGGGAGTTTTACCATGTTGCCCAGGGTGGTCTTGAACTCCTGGGCTCAACTGATCCACCTAGGGCCTCAGCCTCCCAAAGTGCTGAGATTACAGGCAAGAGTCACCATGCCTGGCCAAAGCCAGATTTTTAAAGTGGAACATAATCTTTCTTTTTTGTTTCTGTATTAGTTTATTCTCATACTGCTATAAAGAAATACCTGAGACAGGGTAATTTATTAAAAAAAAGAGGTTTAATTGGCTCACAGTTCTGCAGGCTGTGCAGGAAGGATGGCTGCAGAGGCCTCAGGAAACTTACAATCATGGTGGAAGGTGAAGGGGAAGCAGGCACATCTTCACATGGCCAGAGCAGAAATAAGAGAAAGCAGGGGGATGTACTACACATTTTTAAACAACCAGATCTCATGAGAACTCACTGTCACGAGAACAGCAAGGGGGAAGTCTACCCCCATGATCCAGTCACCTCCCACCAGGCCCCTCCTCCAATGCTGGGGATTCCAATTCAACATGAGATTTGGGTGGGGACACAAATCCAAACCATAGCAGTTTCTGACTCTTTTTGTATTGAGGAACATGTCTGATGTAGTAGGCTAGACTTCAGTGGTAGTAACTGAGGGTCTTGGAATGACTAATGACATTAAAAAAATCACAAATGAAAAGTCCACATGAAAATGTAAGCTTTTTATTGTGAAATAATTTGAGACTTACAGAAAAGTTGAAAAAACAGAGTTTCCATATACTTTTTAACCCAACTGCCTCTAGTTTCAATGTCTACATAACCATAGTACAATGACCAAGACTTTGAAATTAATGTTGATATAGTACTATTATATTAACTATATTACAAACCTTATTTGAAGTTCACTAGGTTTTTTGTTTGTTTGTTTGTTTTTCAGACGGATTCTCGCTCTGTCTCCCAGGCTGGAGTGCAGTGGCGCGATCTCCGTTCATTGCAAGCTCCACCTCCCGGGTTCATGCCATTCTTCGGCCTAAGCCTCCCAAGTAGCTGGGACTATAGGCACGTGCCACCATGCCCGGCTAATTTTTTTGTATTTTTTTAGTAGAGACGGGGTTTTACCATGTTAGCCAGGATGGTCTCGATCTCCTGCCCTGGTGATCCACCCGCCTCGGCCTCCCAAAGTGCTGGGATTACAGGTGTGAACTACCGCGCCCAGCCAAAGTTCACTAGGTTTTTTAAATGTCTTTTTTCTGCTCCGGGATAATGCAGGATTCCACACGGCATTTAGTTGTCATTTCTGCTTAGTCTTCTCCAATCTGTGACAGTTCCTCAGCCTTTCCTTGTCTTTTGTGACATTGATACTTTTCAAGAGTACTAGTCTACTGTTTTGTAGAATGTTTCTCACTTTGGGTTTTCTATGATTATATTGAGGTAATACATGTTGACAGGAATAGGAAATAGCACAGAAGTGATCTTGTGCCCTTCATAGTGCATCCTACCAGGAGGTATGTGGTATTGATTTGTCTTGTTACCTGTGATACCAGCCTTATTACTTGGTTCAGGTGAAGTCTACCAGATACCTCCATGTTAGATGAAGTGCTAACCTCTTTCCCCTTGTCTGTCCTCTGGCTCATTCACAGCAGACAGCTCTCTCTCAGCTTTGCAGGGAAAGAAGCCAGCAGATGGCATTGACTCTGCTTCTCTATCCCCCTTCTGCCACCGTGGTAGCAGAGCTACCCTTTCCTGGGCTGAGTCCAGCCTCTCCCTGGGGCCAGGACCAGCTACATAATTTGAGAGGCCCAGTGTAAAATGAAAATGTGGGGCCCCTTGTTCAAAAAATATTACAAATTTCAAGGTGGTGACATAGAGCATAAAACGAAAGGTGGGGCCCCTCTGAAGATGGGGCCTGTGTGACTGCTCGGCTGTGGGTCTAGACTGACCTGGGCTTTGGAGCCCTTCCCTTCCACCTCCTCAGCAGCTTCCTGGAAGCCTCTGTCCTCTTGTTGGTTCTGTCTGCCTCTCACAGTCATCCATCTTATCCCATTGGGTTTTAAATATGCCCAAATGTCTCCAATTGAGAAATGCTTCCATTTCCTCCCTTCTGCTCTGCCACAGTGTCCTTGGGTCTGTAAAGGTTCTCACCGAGGGCCCCAGTGACCTCACATTGCTTTATTTCATGCCCATTTTTCAGAACACTTTTCTTGCCACTGCTGCCCACTTTTGCCCCTGGAAATGGCTGGAGCCTTGTTTCCCAGGACGTCATTCTCTCTGGGTTTTTGTCTTGCCTCTGGCTACTCCCTCTGGTTTTATTTGATCATTATTCCATAGTTTTTAGTTATTATTCTGCTTTAACTCTATTTGGAGAAAAATTTTAGTCTTTTTTTCATTCTAAATATTTTTCTGGAAATGGTAGAATAGTACATTTTGCCTTTAGAATCTTCACCTTTCTTTCAACCAGTACCCTCTTCTTGTTTAGGTCAAAGGGTACAAAGATGCAGTTATTTTGGGTGAGTAAGTCTCAAGATCTAATGTACACCATAAGGAGTGCAGTATCATATTGTGCACTGGGAGTAGATTTAGGAATTCTCAGCACACACAGAATAAAGGACGGTAACTGTGTGAGATGCTGGACATGTAATTTACTTGACTGTAGTAATCACTTCACTATGTGTATGTAGATCAGAGCATCATGCTGTACACCTTATACAATAAATCCCTCTCCCCAAATCAAAAAATCCTCAAGTAGGCATTTTTTAAACTTCTAACGAGCCATGTTAACTTATAAGGATTAAAAAAGACTTTTAGTTATTTCTGAATCCTTTAGGAGTTTTCTCCTCAAATACACAAATTGTCTTGCATCAACTTCATTTACATGGACCAGTTTCCTGGCCCCCAGAAGCCTCAGACCCTGAACATTGCACTGCGCTCTGCCCCTAGCTCTCCAGTAGGTGGCGGTGGGTAGGCGCAGAAGCGGCCTGTGTTAGGTTGGTGCTGGCCTGTGCCTGGGGCCTCTCTCTGCCTTTTCTTCTGAATTAGAAGGAGTTTCCTCTTGGAGCAAATAGCTAATTTGCTTGCTTTTGTGTTGATAGGAGGAGCACAGCCAAATTCTTTTTACTGATAGATAAACACGTGTTTCTATCAATTAAGCTTTTAATTCTCAGTGTTTTATTTTTCCATTATATTCCAATCAGTAATGAAAACTGCTACAATTACATTAAAGAAAAATGGTTCTTTTGGCAAATTTCAACGTTATAGAAAAATGATTCTTTTAGCAGGTTCTTTTAAAATATAAATAAGTTCTTTAAACTATCTGAACAAATGGATGATGTGTGTGTGTATATGGATGTATATGTGTGCATGGGTATGTGTGCATATGTGTATGTGTGTGTATGTGTGTGTGTATATGTGATGTGTGTGCCCATGTGCATGTGCATGTGGGTATGTGTGCATGCATTTGTGTATGTATGTAAGCACCAAGTGTCGTTTTGGTATTTGATGGTGTGCTAGGCACTGTGAGGAAGAGAAGGAACTGCTGCTGCCCAGCCTGTGCAGCCGGGGATAGATTTTGGGCAACATAAACCTGAAAGGTTAATGACAGTGAAAGAGGTGGACAGCATAAGACAACTTAGGAAAGGTTACAAGACCATTCAGTTTGTGCTCCTCCTTAGAACTCTTCAGTGCCTTCCAAGTGCATTTTGCTGAAGCCTTGCATTCCTTGCTGTCATTTGCCAAGGCCTAAGTGACCAGGCGTCCGTGGCCCTTTCTTGCCTGCTCTGTGGCTGTCTTTCCCTCCATCCCTATGCTTCACCTACTGCATCTGCTGTTGCCTCCTCTCCCTTGCTGAGAAGAGGGTCAAGCTCTTTCCTACCTCGGAGCTCTTGTCTCAATTCCAGGGTCTCCCCCTCCTTCTCCAAGAATCTCTGACCCCCACAGTTCCCAGGAAGCCCCTTCGGCTACTCTACTCTGCCCTGTTGCTCTGATGGTGTATTTCACAGACTTCACACCATCTGCTATCATGGTCCACACCACTCATAAAACTCAAGCTCCCTGAGTGTTGTTCACTGCCCTGTCCAGGGAGGTGTGTGTGGGTGGGAGGGGTGGTGTTTGTTTAGCAGTGGTGCTCACAGCTGGTGGGCTGTGGTGTCTATGAATGTCCTGAGTTCAGAGAAGGCCATTGTCACTGCTGTTGCCTCTCAGCCGAGTGGGCCTCCCAGGGGACCGGAGGTTTTAGCTGACCTTTAAGGATATGGAAAGTAGAAGGGATTCCCAATTATTGTTTTCAAATTTCTACTTCAAATAAGGGTAGATTCTTATTTTCAAGAATCTCAGAGCTCTACTTATGTGATGCAGCTACTGCTGGTGAAGACTGAGCTGGTAAAGGTAACCAGCAGTTTGCCTTTCTAACTGGACCGCTGCTTGTTTGCAGAACTGGCTGCTGCAGCATCTGCATGCTTTCCATGCAGCATACCCATCACATTATAGGCTGCTGCGTGGGTTTCATGCTATGTCCTGGCAGTGATAAGTTGGAAGGAGAGCATTACATTCTTGCTCCAAATGACATATTTCCAAAGGGAACAGGACATGGAAGCAGCAGCAGAACCAACTGACTGCTGTTTTGCCTGGTGCATTTTTTGCAGGAGAACACGATTCTGGTAGGAACATCCTGCTTATTATTACCTAGTGCATGATTGCTGGTGCATGAGCTCTTCCATTGGTGGCTAGATATTGGGAGATTTTAACACCCTAGCCTGCCATTTCTGTGATAGAAGCTTATTCTTGTCTTGTTTTAATCTTAAGTGCTCTTTCTCTGCGTAGGGCTTGTTTTCCTGAGCCTCACATGGATTGGGGGGCAGATGGAGGTTTTTCCTGGTGAGAAGGGCCATTGGTAATTGAAGGACTCTTCCCTGGGGCCTAGGGCCCACTTAGTTCATAGTGTTGCCATTAATTATTTACATTCTCATTTATTTAGTGCCATCGAAGCCCTCATTAAATTGAAATGCTGGAAGGAGCTAAAAAAATGAACTTTCAAGTATACATGTTTGAGTTAACGGACGTGTTTATTGACAAATCACTGGGATGAGTTGGCTAGCGAAACACGGTGCCTTCAATTTTACGGAGCTATTAATTTTACGCTCCTCTGAGTATCACCGTTGCTCTGTCCATAATTTTCTCTGTATACTTGTCTTATCAGCAAGCATTAATCCCTGAGCCTGGACCTTGGAATGTCAAGATTGAGACATTCATGGCTTTTGTAGGATCTGAAAGAAATATGTAGGGTAAGGGGGTGTGGGGGAAAAGAATTACATTTGGTTTTATTTATTTATACTTCCAGTGACAGGGGCAGCCTTTTGATTACCTGCTGTGGAATCCAGAGGTGAAATGAAGGACACATGAGCACACAGGTGGCTTGCTTCTACCAGGTGGCCCCATCACAGGTGCACAGAGGGGAGCTCTCACTTGCTGCATATTTCAGTTTGGGGGACAAATCAAATGAGAAGTACTCTGAATATAAGGAAGAATTATGTTGTTGCTAATAACTTTGCATCTCTTCATGGAAGAACAGTTATTTAAATGTACTCCTTTTCACTCTGTTTTTAGGCTTGAATTCTAGATTCTAGCTCCCTAATTGTGGTTGGTTTCAGCTTCAGTGTTCACATGGCCTGAACCAAGCTCGAGTTGTTGACTTGCTGCAGGAGTATGTTTTAAAGTCTGGTTGCCAAGATGGTAGCCAGATCTTGTCAATTACTCCAGAAATATTAGTTCATTTTGTCATATTAATTTATTGAACAAACGCTGACTGAGGGTCCAGCTTTGTTTATGCTGAAGTATCACCAAAACAGAAGTGGGAACTCAGCAAAGCGTCCTCATTACAGAGTTGTTGCTGTTGTGCAGTCTTTGTCAGTGACGCTGACTTCTGGGACGTAGGCTGCCACATGGAAGGCCTCCTACCAGGGCTAGGGCGCCACCTGGCCAGACCTCTCACCACACATGGAATCACCTGGATTTCTGATCCTTTCTGTCTGAGCACCTGCTTTCCATGAATTATGAGATCAGCTCAGCCCTCTGGGGAGTGAGTTGGGTGTAGAGATGGTGGAGCTCCTGACCTCACTCAGCCCAGCCCACTGCTCTGCACAGTCAGAATTTATCCTGAGTCCTTGTCAGTGCCTGGGGGAATGCCTGCCTATTGCATGAATATTTGGTATGAAAGGGTGGGAGCTTAGTAGATGTTTTTCTTCCTGGTGGAGAGCTGTAAGGGATCACTTTTATCACTTTAATTTGTTTCCAAATAGATGGTTGTCCTAAGTCAGCTCATAGTGGGCTTAAAAAGAAGCCTTTACAAGGCTGGCATGACTGTCTCTTTGTTGGGGACCCATTGATGAATTGATTAATCAATTGACTTTCACCTTACCATCTTAAATCCATAGCACAGGTTAAGGAAATTGCAAAAATTGAAAAGAGTTTTTTTCTCTTCTACTGGAATATGTCTGGTAAATTAAAAACTAGGATCTGTTTCTTTTCTACCATTGACACATAAGACATTTCTAATCTCCAACCAGAGCAAAATATCTGTTTTGCTTTAAACCAGTCTCTCAGGACACTAATGGGGTAGTGCATTTAAGGTTTAAGGGCTTTATTTGTTTGTTCCTGTATATGTGTTTTGGGCAGATTCCTAGTTATTTTAATCTTATAATCTCATTTGTGTGTGTGTTAAAAAAAAACGAACTCCTTACCTTGCTGACTTGACCTGCCAAAGATTAACAGCATCCTTTTTATTCTGAAGGGAGAGAGGTAGAGTTTTTCCTTCCATGGATTTATACATTGTGCATAGCAATAATTTAGTTAAACAGACTCAGTATTTTAATTGGGAATTCTTAGCTTGTTAAGTGATTTACCAGGAGCTTCACAGTCCCGGGTAATTGTAGAAAAATGTTCTGCCAGTCAGTGGTGTTTTGCAGAAAACCTTGCCGAAACATTTGCTTTAGTAATGGAGAGAGAATGAAAGATCTGGAAGTGATAGAATTCTAAAAAATGCAGCACTTGCTATACTTTTTTTACAGGCATAGATAAAACCCTTATCTACACAGAGGTGTTTGCCAGCTTGCCGCAGTATAGGTGTAGTCTGTAATGACTGATGAGGTAGTTATCTTTTTTAATCTTAAAGAGAAGGTTAGGATGGGTCAGTGGGGTGTGAGTTGGATCAAGTAGACTCTTAGGGGCTCACAGACTGGCCTGAGCTTATCCCACAAGTTTTGTATGTGTGGATGTGTGCAAGTGCCTTTTGCTGGGAAAAAGGGGACCAGGACTTTTGTCACATTCTCTGGAGGTCCCAAGAAGTGAAGAGGCTGGTGGACTGGGGACTGTTGTGTGCAGAGATTACACATTCTTTCTCTATCAAAGTTATCCAGGGGTTGGTGGTAGTGTTCCTCAAACGGCAGACTGAGGACCACTGGCATCAAGCCACCCATGGTGCTTACTAAAATGCAGGGTCCTGGGCCCACCCAGGTTTTCTGAGCCAGAGTTCCTGGAGTGTCTGGATGAGGAAGGCAGAAGAGTAGCCCATTTATGTTTCTAACCAGGTCTTTGTGTGCTCCTAAGCACACTGACATTTGGGAACTACTGGAATAGAGAGAATCAGGCCTTGCAGTGATCATCTGCTCCAGGTGTTGGTTTCTTCTGGACCACCCTGCCCTCCCTTCCTCACCCCCAACTGTCTAAAAATACTTTACAACCTATGTTACTGCAGCTGCCAGGAAACAAGATGGCTTTGCTTGATTATTGAGGTCACATGTGAGTCTGTTCTTATTCATCAACGAGCCCTCAGTCTCCCAACACCCCTTCCCCCTGCCACACAGGCAGTGATGAAAATGTTTCCAGAATATGGTGCCTTCTCAACGCAATTACAGATGTGTCAGGGAAAAGCCGATGCAGCAACAACAGCTCAATATGTTAGTGACTGATGATCAGCCGCTCTACTGGGTGACATTGAGGCATATGCTGGGGTAATAACTTTTTTCCTAGGAGAGATGAGCCCAACATGTGGATTGCTCAATGAGTGTGCAAGATTGTAGCAGTGTAGCCACTTTAAGACTTGTAGTTGAAAGTAATTTATAGTTTTCTTGGCTTTCTGAGTACCAGACATGGAATGCCTTACTCATCTGTCGAAGTGTTAATGGAACTAGAATAAAAACCCAGGGTGATCGACATCTTAGCCTCTGCATGGAAATTGTAGTTTAATGAAATTCATGAATGTGGAGGCTTCCATGGGCAGTTAGCTGATCATTTACATTTAAACACACATGGGAAATTGTTAAGGGCTCATATTTTATGATGTATTATTACCTATTCAGTTCATGGTAAAAGCTTTTCACAATGAATTGTAGACTAGTTTCCTGCAGATTATTTATTGTTTCATGAATAAGTATCACAATTTTTTCTCCTTTGTGTCTCTGCTCATCCACCTGAAATGAACTCCTTCCCTGTCTCTACCTGCTGACATCTTCCCCATCTTTTAAGGTTCATTTCAGATAGGTAGCTCTTCACACATGATGCTTACCTCAGTGCCCATCCAGGCGAGGCCTTTCTTCCTGCCTTTGGCTCCCCATCACGTGGTGTGGCAAGGATTTCGTAGTGGTAATGCCCTTGAATAAAAAGCTCATGCTCATTTGTTTGTTTGCTTGCTTGTTCATTTATCCATTTATCCATCCACCCATATGTCCCTCCATCTGCCCATCCATCCATCCATCCATCCATCCATCCATCCATCCATCCATCTATCCATCCACTCACCTGTCCACTACCTACTCATCCAATACCTTTATCCAGCAGATTATTATTGGGTGCTTGCTCTGTGCTGGCCCTGCATGTAGGTCCAGCACTGAAACAACATTGTACCCTCATGAAGCTTCCATTCTAGTGGAGAAACAAACAAAAACAAAAACAAGTATAATTTAAAATTCTGATGATATAAAGAAATCAAACAGGGTTAGGTGTAGAGAATGCTGTTGGCTAGAAGTCCCCTTAGGTGCAAGCGCTAGGGAAGGATGCTGAGATAAGAGGGAGCCAGTGAAGACTGAAGGAAGAGTGCCAGACAGAGGGGTCAGCAGATGCAGAGCTCTAGGGTGACTGGTGGAAGAAAGGCCAGTGTGGCTGGAGCTTGGAGGGTGACAGGGAGAGGGGCAGAACCTGAGGCCAGAGCTGTGACCTGGGGTTGATGGAACAAGGCCTCATGGGCCAAGGTAAGGAATTTGGCTTTTATTGTTAGTAAGCCAAAGACCTGTTAGAATGTTGAGAGCTCTGATTTGTGTTTGCAGAGATGGATGAGACTGGGTTTAGTGTAGGCTCAGGATCGGGGGATGTGTGGCTTGTGACAGGGTGGCAGAGAGGGCATTTAGGAGCTGTGGAAAGATTCTGGATACACTTTGGAGGCCCTCAACCACTCTCATATTCTGCCTTCCACAGTAGAGCTTTTCTGTCAGTGACTCATGTTTGGTTCTTTCATACTGTGGCTTGAGCATTAGAGAGTAATATTGTAAAGTTCAACCTCCCACAGTTCACTGCAGGAATGACCCCATTCTTGCCTCCAAGGCCAGCATGGTGGAGGGATTCCATGGCATGAGTTTCTATGATGACATCAGACATTGGACATCAAGGAGTGCGATGCTCACCCCTGGTTTTTAGTGATCCTTGGGCACAGTCTGGACACAAAAGCCAGAACTTGTTTGATGGTTTTTTTTTTAAGAAAAAAAAAAAAAAAAGCAAGCAAGTTCAGGGAAGCAGTCTCCTTTTTCCTGGTCAACATGAAGCCAAGTGTTTCACTATTGCCCAGTTTTCCCCCAAATACAAAAACATTAATTTTAAAAAGATACTGTAAAAAGCCCAAGAAACATGTATATTGAATTTGATTTATGTATACTATTGTAGCTAATATTTTCAGGGAAATTTCTAAATGTCTGTCATAGGAGCTTGTCAGAAAAAGAAAGATTTATTTTTGGAAAAGTATGTTTCCTGGTGTTCATTGAGCTTGGAAATTATGGAAAGTCATTGTCAGAAGGGAGGCAGCTGCTCCAGAGGCGGAGTGGAAGTCAGGACTGGAGAAGGTTGTCCTACTGTGGGCTCCAGCGTGCCTCTTGCTGCTAGCTGGTCAAGAGTCTCGCAGCAGCCACTTTATACCTCACTAGCTCCACCATCGCAATTATTTCTGTCAAAACGAAACACAAAAGAATGGCATGTCTATGAATATTCTTCACAGAAAATATATTCGTTTGACTATTTTCCATAAAATGTGAAGTCAATTTCTTTTTCTATTTTTAATCATGAAAGTGAAGCCCGGAAGCCTCAATTTCTTTGTAATGGAAAGATCTGAGTTTGTGGCCTTGTTTCCATTTTCCACTTCTCCTTTGCTAAGTCAGGAACATGATACTCACATAATATCCCCCGGGCAGTGGCTCTGTTCAGGAATTGCATGGCTGTTTGACTGCAGAGGGAGGGCAAAGGCTATTATTAACCATTCGTGTCATTGTTGGGTCATGAAACCTTCAGGGGATAAGTATAAGTTCTATAAAATTTCATTTTGAAATCCAGACCAGATCTGGCCTTATGCTCTGAGGATTTTTTTTTTTTTTTAAGTTTCATGTTGTCCCTTTGCCCCCCTTCATTTTCTCTTGGGAAGAGTCTCTTATTATCATAATTACTACTTGAAAAAAAATTCCAAGCAAGAAAGCAGTGTATTAACTGGAAAGTAACAATTTAGAAATGTTATTTTTTAATAGTAAGCTTTTATAGTATTCCTGGGTAGAAAGGTATTTTTATAGAAACAGTTATTTTCCTATCTTTTTTCTCATGAGTCCATAAAATAGCATTTTTATATCAATTTTTGTTATATCTAATACATAAAATCAGTATTCTTTTAAGAATTTAGAAGTTTAAGATACACTAAAAATATTTTTGACAATAACTCTCATTCTCAGAGGTAGCGCCGTTAATAAGTTCTATGTATTTACTTCCAGACTTAACAAAAATATGTTTACCCACATTTACACATGGTATCTCTGGGTGGGTATATGTCAGAAGATTTTTTTAAATTGTGTTTAATTATACATAACCTAAAATTTTTAGGTATACAGTTTCGTGGCATTAGTATATTCACATTGTTATGCAACTTTTATTATCACCATCTATCTGCAGAATTTTTTTTTTTTTTTTTTTAAGACGGAGTCTCGCTCTGTCACCCAGGCTGGAGTACAGTGGAGTGATCTCAGCTCACTGCAACCTCCATCTCCCAGATTCAAGCAATTCTCCTGCCTCAGCCTCCCGAGTAGCTGGGATTACAGGCATGCGTCACCGTGCCTGACTAATTTTTGTATTTTTAGTAGAGATGAGGTTTCACCATGTTGGCCAGGCTGATCTCAAACTCCTGACCTCAAGTGATCTACCCGCTTCGGCCTCCCAAAGTGCTGGGATTACAGGTGTGAGCCACTGCTCCCAGCCTATCTACAGAATTCTTTTTATCTTACAAAACTGAAACTTTACCCTTAAGTAGTAATTCCCGATTCTCTTCTCCCTTCAGCCACTGGCAACGGCCCTTCTATAATACTTTCTGCCTTTTGAATTTGACCACTCTGAGTATCATATGAATAATCATATGGTATTTGTCCCTTTGTGACTGGCTTATGTCACTTAGCATAATTTCTTCAAGATTCATCCATGTTGAGCCTTATGTTCATAGCATGTGTCAGAGTTTTCTTTTTATGGCCACAGAATATTCTCTTGTATACCGTATTTTGTCTATCCATTCGTTTATCCATGCACACTTGGGTTGTTTCCACTTTTTCATTATTGTGAATAGCGCTGCTGTTAACATTGGTGTACCAATATCTCTTCAAGACCCTGCTTTTAATTCCTCTGGGTAAATACCTAGGTACAGGTTGTGGATCATATGGTAGTTCTTTGTTTAATTTTTTGAGGAACCACTATACTGTTTTCCACAGCGTCTGTACCATTTTACATTCCTACCGGCAATGCTCAAGGGTTCTGATTTCCCCACATCCTCACCAACATTTGCTGTTTTGTATGTGTGTTTGTGTGTGTGTGTGTGTGTGTTTTCTGATACTGGTCATCCTAATAAGTGTGAAGTGTATCTCATTGTGGTTTTGATTTACGTTTCTCTAATGATTAGTGATGTTGAGCATCTTTTCATGTGCTCCTTGGCCATTTGTATATCTTCTTTGGAGATCTATTTCAGTTCTTTGCCCAGTTTTGAATTGCTTTGTGTTTTTTTTATTGTTGAATTGCAGAAGTTCTTTATGTATTCTGTGTATTAATTTCTTAACAGATAGATGATCTGCAAATATTTTCTCTCATCCTGTGGATTACCTTTTCACTCTGTTGGTGGTGTTTTCTGATGTACAGAAGTTTTTAATTCTGATGAAATCCAATTCGTCTGTTTTTGCTTTTGTTGCCTGTGCTTTTGATATTATATCCAAGAAATCATTGCCAAATCTAAATCATGAAGCTTTTTCTTTATGTTTTCTTCTGAGAGTTTTATAGTTTTAGCTTTTACATTTAGATATTTGATCCATTTTGAGTTAGTTTTAGTATATGGTATAAGGTGTATGATGTTTTTACTTGCAGACAGGTTGGGAGACCAGTATCAGGGACTTTATTTTCTGAAATCACTTGAGAGTAAGTTGTTGGCCTGATGCCTTCTCACCCTTGAATTCATTAGTATCTTTCCTGCAAACAGGGACATTCTCTTATAGAAGCCCCAAAACAGCTGTCAAAATCAGAAAATTAGCATTGACATTTTACTAGCAGCCATCTTCAGCCTCCATAATTTACCAGTTATCCCAAGGAGGTCTTTTATTACTATTATTATTAAGTTTATTTTCATTGTCTCAAGGTCTGCTGAACTCTGGATCCAGGCTGTGTCAGTAGGGTAGTGTGATGCCTCTTGTACCTATCTCTGCCTCCTACAGTTCTTTTTATTTATTTTATTTTATTTTTTATCATAGAGACAGGGTCTTGCTGTGCTGCTCAGGCTGGTTTCAATCTCCTGGGCTCAAGCAATATTCCTACCTCTGCCTCCCAAAGTGCTGAGATTACAAGTATGAGCCACCGCACCTGGCCAAGTTGTTTACCCTCTTCAGAAGGCTTAGCTTGCAGTTTCAGCAGAAGGATCGACTCCCAGGAAGACCGTGAGAGAGATTTGGGACCCAAGTTGATAATACTAAATACACTGAACTTGAGTGTTTTCACCATGTTCTGGCTCTAGGGAAGTGACAGTTGCTAGTGAGGTTGGTGCTATTGTATGTGTCTTCTGTACCTTGAAGTCCCTCAGAGATCTTGCCCCTGGTCTTCTTGTTCTAAGGACACAACAGGTTCCCTTTTTCTCTGAAGATGAAATCTAGATCTTTGATTTTGGAACCAAATTTGGACTCTTGACTCTGGAGCACCAATTTCTTTCTTTCTTTTCTTTTCTTTTATTTTTTTTGAGACAGAGTTTCGCTCTTGTTGCCCAGACTGGAGTTCAATGGTGCGATCTCTGCTCACCGCAACCTCTGCCTCTTGGGTTCAAGAGATTCTCCCGCCTCAGCCTCCCCAGTAGCTGGGATTGCAGGCATGTGCCACCATGCCCGGCTAATTTTGTATTTTTAGTAGAGATGGGGTTTCTCCATGTTGGTCAGGCTGGTTTCGAACTCCTGACCTCAGGTGATCCACCCGCCTCAGCCTCCCAAAGTGTTGGGATTACAGTTGTGAGCCACTATGCCCAGCCTGGAGCACCAATTTATTTAGCAATTTGTTCTCTGGAATCAATCCCAGGGTATGGGTTTTTCATAAATGCCTTGTTGAGAGTGCGTAGTTGAGAGGTGCTGTAGGTAGTACGACACCGTCTGGCTTCTCTACCAGGTTGATCTTGCTTATGGCTCTGGCTTGACTCTAAAGTCTCAGGTCTGATCTTTCCTGGAATCTGTGCCTAGCTCTTCGATTCTGAAACCAAATCTGGATTCTGGGTGAATCTTCTGTATTGATTTCTAAAGCAAGTTTTTGTTTGATAGCATAATCTGAGTAAAGTTTTTGATTGAAGCTATTGATGAGAATTTTCAATTAATCTTCTGTGAATTTGGTGCAACTGCACCTATGACTTGTTGCTACCATCTTGTGTGAAGAGTTGTCTTCAGCCATGCTGGAAGAGAGTCCCAAGAAGGTCTTCATAGTGAAAGGATCCAGTTCAGAATCATGCCTTGTATTTGGTTGTCATGTGTCTTTAGCGTCCTTCATTCTGGATCATTTCCTCAGTCTTTCCTTGATTTTCATGACCTTGAGTCTCTGGAAGAATACAGGCCCATTATTTTGAAGCATGTCCCTTAATTTGGGTTTGTCTGATGTTTCCTTAAGATTAGATTCAGGGTGTATGTGTGTATGTGTGTGTGTGTGTACATGCACTTGTATGTGCACAGGTGCTTGAAAGAAATGGTCCTATATTGCCTATGTTTTTGTGAAACATGCTTTCTTTCCCACCCCACAAGGGCATTTGTGTGTTTACATATGCAGCTAGATCATTCATTTTAACTGCAAGATGGGATTCTGTCCTATGAATATACTGCATTTTGTGTAGCTATTTTCCTTTTGATGGATTTATGGAGTTGGTCGCAATTTTTTGCTCTTACTAATGATGATGCAAAATTGCTTTTTTTACATCTCCTTTTGTGGATCTAGATTTTCTAGGTAATAGAAAATTGCTCCTTTATAATGTTTGTTATTGTTTTTAAAATTTGAAGTATTTCAAACATACTAGATCTGTACAGAGAATGGTATAACAACACCTCACTTTAGCACATGTTAATATGGGCTCTACAATCTTTAAGTTGGTAGAATTATTTTATTCAATAAATGGCTAAACTGGGAGTTTTACAGGGACTTGTTCTAAGTTAGCATCTCACTGAGTGAGAATTATTGTTAACGATAAAGTTGCCTCAAAACTATGTAGCTTTCTCCAAGAAGGAGATATTTTGGGAAAACTGTCAGGTTTAACAAACAGAACATGTATACCTCCCAGATGTGACCTGTGAATAAAATACCAGGTAGGCTCAGCCAACTTTTCTTTTATGCTTCTTTCATGTCTTTCTTAATAGAATTTAATAAAATGAAACAGGAGGAGGAATCATCAAAGGTTAGGAATAATAGACCTGAAAGAGTTGCTTGGAACCTGTGTAGATTCATTTCTCATCTTGGTTCCTTTACTTGGCATCAGGTGAGATGAGACATCCATTCAGGAATTCATTCCAAGTCTATTTCAGTACCCAGGATAGATTTGAGATAAATCAGTTCCATACTGAGGTGTGACATTAGGCAAATCAAGGGAAGGAGGAGGAAAGGAATCAGGTCAGAGCTCAGCTTACTTTATTCAACCGTGGCGTATGGGGCCAGGCGCAGTGGCTCACATCTATAATCCCAAGACTTTGGGAGCCCAAGGCAGGAATATCGCATGAGCCCAGGAGTTTGAGACCTGCCTGTGCAACATAGCAAGACTCCATCTCTACAAATAATAATAAAAAAAAATTAGCAGAATGTGGTGGTGCACGTTTGTAGTCCCAGCCAGTCGGAAGGCTGAGGCGAAGAATCACTTGAACCCAGGGGGTTGAGGCCACAGTGAGCCATGATCGTGTGTCTGGACTCCAGCTTGGGCAACAAAGTGAGAACTTGTCTGTAAATCAACCGATCAATGAATCAATCAATCAATCACCTGTGGTACATGGAGTTCTATAAAGATAGGTAGATAGATGAGAGATAGAGAGAGAGAAATTCGGGACTTGGAGAGGAGTGCAGCATCAGGAGTTTTATTGAAGCATCTAATTTTCACCTGCAGAAATGGAAACAAGGAGGAACTGGTCTCCTAATTTACATACCCGCAGGGAGAAATCTGTGTGTAACTCTAGATTGCAGTGCCCGGAGCAGAAGCAGAGGCATGTGGCCAGTTGTGTCTTCCTACCAGTTCTGGAAAAATGAGATAGACTTAGATACCAGCTCCTGCAAGCTTTGGAGGTGTGGCCTCAATATCTAAAATGAAGTCTCTGTGTGCCTGTTGTTGGGTGTTTTTGTTTTTAATGCTTAATTGCATTCCTAGAATTCCCAGGTTTGCCTGTTAATAGTGGAATACTATACAAAGGAACCACAGAGGTTTCTTAACATTTACACTACATTGGAATCCTATTCCTGGCTGAAATGGTGTTTTGCAGAAATGTGGCATTCATTTTTATGTTTTGGTACCTGGGTTATGGGTAAGGATAAAAGGTCTGTGGCCTTCAGCCTGAAAAATAACAGCAACAACAGGAACCACAACCGGGAGTCAGTTTGGGGCTTTGATGGGTTCCTTTTTCATAGTGTTTTAAGGACTATATATTTAAAGGCGCTAAAAATGAAATGTTAGTATTTTAGCATATGGCAGAGTGGACATGTTTCAGTCATCAGTTTAAGATTCTGGGCATAGTGTATAAATAGTAATTCCGAGGGTATTTTTTCCTTCATCCTTCCTAGAGATGTAGAATGCTTGGCATTTGAAATGAGGTCATCCAAGGCCTTGGATTGCTGCTACAGATAGTGGAGGCCTGTTGTTAGGCGTCTACCTCACATTTGTGTCCAAGGCCCTGGGAGAGACCAAAGCAGAAGCGAGGCCTCACTGGACAGGTACAAGGCACTGGCAGGCATGGCACACCTTCACTATGTACCCCGTCTTTGTGGCTGTCAACGCCTGTGACGAGTTGGCAGCTGGCTTTGGTCTGGCATTTGTTCTGTAGGTGGCTGAAATGCCCATCATGGAAGAATGTCCTCATGGGTTTGTAAGGAAAGGGGCTCTCCTTGTGCAGATGCCTGCTGCTGTGCACACACCTTCCCATGGAGCTTGTGGGCCGCATCTCAAGGGGGTCACTGGGCTTCCTGTAGTCCTGAATCTACCATTCACCCCATCTGTCTCTCTGTTAAAGGCTGGGGCAATACAAATGATGCTGAGTGTAGTTTTGTCCTTTATTTTTCCTCATGAAAACCCTTGAGGAACTAAAGGAAGGAAAAGAGGAGTAGCCTAAAGCAGGTCTGGGAGTTGGGTGCCTGGGAATTCTGGCAGGACTCCTACTAAGTGACTTTGGTCACATCACAGAGCCTCTCAGATTTGGTGTTTTCGTGTGTCAGGTTAGAGGGTTGGGCCAGGTGATCCTATGGGGCCTTTCTGGTGCTAGAAACTGGTGACTCTGTGGTGTTGACAGTTGGCCATTCATAGGTGTGCCTTCCTCATGTGCCCTCATTGGCTGTCTCTGTTGACAGTGTTTTTCCTTAGACTTTATTCTCCAGAAAAAACCCACAACCCAACATGGTTTTGAAATCTCCACTGGGGACCCTTAGGAACTTTGCAGGCATCAGTCTTTGTATGCTGATGGAAATCAGATGTCGAGAGAGGAGGGCATGCATGTTAATGAGCCATATGGACCCCATTGCATTTCAGGCTCATCAGCCCTGACCTTCTGAGATGAACCACTTATATTTGGCTTTAACTTGAGCTCAGCAGAACAAAATAAAGCTCTGACAATGGGGGAAAGGAATTCCAACTTTCTCTGCTCTTCTAATCAATCAAGCTGAAAGTCTCAAAGGCCAAGTATTTCAGAAATAACAAATGCAAATAACTTAATTTTCATCGCGAATATCTATTTTCCAAAATGTATTGGTGTTTTCATTGGCTTTGAGTGAGAGGCTCATTTCTGTACTTGACCCTTAACTTTACATATAGAAATTGGGGTGGTTGCCTCCATTTGGTTCCTTTTAAATAAATATTTATTAACTACTTTTCATGTGCCAGATTTCTGTGTGGTGGGTGCTAGAAAGAGTGATAAGCCATGGTTTTTTTCTTCAAGAGCTTGTCCCTTAGTGAGATGGAAGTCACATTGGGGCAGTTCCGAGAGGATGTTATTTGCCTGGTGCTGAGGGAGTGAGTGGAATACAGGGAGGTTTGGTGGGGGCTTGGTCGTCAGAATAGGTGTCCCTGAGCACAGAACAGATGTCTTAGTTGCATCTCGAAGGTTGAGGAAGAGGCAGCTGGGTCTGAAAGCTTGGGGCAAGGGTGGTGCATGCCCAGAAGATCAGGACACGAGCATGGAGGCTTGAACCTCCTGGGGAATGAAAGCAGGTGAGTCTGATGGGGCAAGAAGGCAGGGGGTGGGGAGGATGATGAGGATGGAGAGGCAGCCAGATGTGGCAATGCTGTGTCCTGGTAAGGAGCTTGTACTTTTGTTTTTTGGCGGTGGGCAGTGGGCAGCCACTGAGGAGGGATTTGCAGTGAGGGGAAGGTCAGAAGTCGTCCTCAGCTGTGACCCTCTTGTAGCAGGATGGCAGATAGATTGGACTGGGCAAGGTAAAGGAGGCAGAAAGACCTGAAAGGTGAGAACTGCTGCACTGGGCCAGGGTAGAGAGGAACAGAGCAGGAACAGATGGGCAGGGGCCAGGGGAGAGTGGTGTCATCAACCTAGATGGGGCCCACATCAGGAGCAGGGCTTTGAAAAGATCTCTTCTGTTCCCTGAATCACTGTTGGCCCTGCAGGACCAGTTGTTCTCTTTGTTCACCTGATCCCTTCTCTTTGGTGCTGATAATCTCCCTCAAATAGCCAGTGGCCCTTCATTGTTGGCTCATATTATAGATAAAGGACCAGGTCACGGGTATAGGAAGCTGGTGCAGTCTTCTCTGATACCATGGGAGGCCTTGCTGGGAGGCCAACTGCAGGATCTGTGGCTGTTGGTGGGCAGGTGTGCTTAGTACTTGGTAGCTTTGACCTAAGCCACTGGTTTTCAACCTTGAATGTGCATTAGAATCACCTGAGTTGCTGTGAAAATTCCCAGTGCATAGGCTGTACCCCAAGCCAATGACACCAGATTCTCTGGGGATGGGACCAGAGATGGTTGCGTCTGCAGCTGAGTTTGGGAGCAATGATCTGGGATGTACAGCGAGGGACCAGGATGACAAGAGAGTGCCCAGTGCCTTGCTTGGGGACCTTTTTCCTAGGTCATCCATAGGCTGAATTAGAGCATTTTCAGGTCTCAGTGTAAAATGAAAAATGCCAGACTCCTTGTTCAAAAAGCAGTAGAAAAGTACTTTTAAAGGCACTAAAAGGCAAAGCATTTTCTCTTCTTTCATCTCTCTCTCTTCCTCCTCCACTTGTCATGGTGCTTCTATTTTCTATTTTAAGTCATTATAACCAAGGACAAATAAAAAATTTAGATTATTGGCGTGAATTTTACCATTTATATTGTGCAGTGCCAGTTTTAAATGAAAATTTAAGGCCGAGGTGGGCGGATCACGAGGTCAGGAGATCGAGACCATTCTGGCTAACACGGTGAAACCTCGTCTCTACTAAAAATACAAAAAATTAGCCGGGTGTGGTGGCAGGGGCTTGTAGTCCCAGCTACTCGGGAGGCTGAGGCGGGAGAATGACGTGAACCCGGGAGGCAGAGCTTGCAGTGAGCTGAGATCGCGCCACTGCACTCCAGCCTGGGCAACAGAGAAAGACTCCATCTCAAAAAAAAAAAAAAAAAAAAAAAAGCAAATTTAACTTGTATGTGGAATGACCAGAATTACACAGTTTGTATTTTGTAGCTCCTACATCATATGAATTTCATTCTTACCAGAACAGTGGGAACTAACATATTCCTTCTTTTTGTCTCACACATGTCCTGCCACCACTGTCTTGTTCAGTTCACTGATGAGTCAGGAGGGACTGTCAGGTCGGGGAGCCATGGGTCGCCTTGTTTGCTTTCTGAGTCAGTATGTCCAGGGGAAGTGGTGGCTAACACAAGACAAGACTCGAGCGAGAAAGACTCTGATGGGCTTTCTCAGCCATTCATCTTTCTTTTTTTTTTTTTTTTTTTTTTTTTTTTTTGAGATGGAGTCTTGCTCTGTCGCCCAGGATGGAGTGCAGTGGCGCGATCTCCGCTCACTGCAACATCCGCCTCCCGGGTTCACGCCATTCTCCTGCCTCAGCCTCCCGAGTAGCTGGCACTACAGGTGCCTGCCACCAAGCCTGGCTAAGTTTTGTATTTTTAGTAGAGATGGGGTTTCACTGTGTTAGCCAGGATGGTCTCAATCTCCTGACCTCGTGATCCGCCCGCCTTGGCCTCCCAAAGCCATTCATCTTTCTTAGAACACCATTGCTCTTTCTGTGTTCAAGGCAAGTTCTGGTTCAGATGGAAAGTGTGAGCTCTTGGGGCTTTCAACACCCCCTTACTCAGTTGTAGAAGTAACACGCTTACTGTAAATGTGAGTTGAGTGTCGCTGAACCCCCATGCGTTGTGGGCCCACCCAGCGCGGTGCTCATGGAATCCCAAGTGCTATGCTCAGTAGGCAGCAGAGAAAGGTGTCAGACCCCCATATTGTGTGTATCACCTCCGCTCATGCTCATGCGCCACAGTCCTGTTGGACTTCACCTACAAAACACACATTCGAAGGTAAAATTGGGCTGGATGCAGTGGCTCACGCCTGTAATTCCAGTACTTTGGGAGGTGGAGGCAGGTGGATTGCTTGAGCCCAGGAGTTTGAGACTAGGCTGGGCAACACAGGGAGACGTTATCTTTACAAAATTTAAACAAAACAACACACAAAAAACCTAGCCCACTGTGGTGGTGCATGTCTGTAGTCCCTGCTACTCAGGAGGCTGAGTTGGGAGGATTGCTTGGGCCCAGGAGGTCAAGGCTGCAGTGAGCTGAGACTGCACCACTGAACTCCAGTCTGGGTGACAGAGCAAGACCCTGTCTCAAAACAAAAACGAACACAAAAACAAAACAGGTAAAATTGTTAACAGTTTCTACATGGCTATAGCAGAGTATTTAACTAAGTGCAGAACCAGTTGAGTGCGAGGCCCTGTGTGCTTGCTCAGGTCACTTGCCTGTGAAATCAGCCCTGTCACCCTGTCATGTTGCAGCCTATCACGGCCCCGTCCTCCCTGCCCACATCCTGGCCATCCTTCTCCATGATGAAATCTGCCCTCCTGCTCTGTACTCCTGGCCTGCACGCTGAGCACCCTACTTCATGCTGCAGCTGCCCTGCACTGAACCCCCAGTGCCCCATGCTGCTCCACTTCTGATTTCCTTTGTCAGACTTATCTTTTAAAATATTGTCACTGTATCTATTGGTTAGTTACTTTTTACATTTATTGTCTCTTTTCCCTGCCAAAATATAAGTTCCCCAAGGGCAGGGATCTTAGACCAATTATGGGAAAGCAAGAGGCAGCTCAGAATTGACTATGTGCTATTTGCTGTGTAAGGTTGTAACATGGGATAAAGCAGGCATTACAAACTAAAGGCAGATGGAGGATTTCTCAGCAGGTAGTAATTGGGCAACTGGTGGCAATTATGGAAAATTAATGATTTTAGATCCTTTATCCCATACCTTAGAATAAATTCCAGTGGAATTAAAAAGATAAATGTAATTTTAAAAAATCTCACAGAGGGTACTGGCCTTCCTAAATATAAAAATGTGTTACAACGCTCTAGTAATGCAACAGATGGTGCTGGCAGAGCAGGAGAGAAACCTATTAACAGACTAGATGAAAGACCTGAAAGAGAACCTGATTATTTATGGGAAGTTGAGAATATAATAAAGGATACCATTTCAGAGCAGTGGCAAGAGGTGGATTTTCAAAAAAGCTGTTACAACAGCTGGTTAGTTTTTGTTTGTTTGTTTGGTTTGTTTGTTTTTAGATGGAGTCTCACTCTGTTATGCCGGCTAGAGTACAGTGGTGTGATCTTGGCTCACTGCAACCTCTGCCTCCCGGGTTCAAGTGATTCTCCTGCCTCAGCTTCCAGAGTAGCTGGGATTATAGGCATATGCCACCACACTGAGCTAATTTTTGTATTTTTAGTAGAGAGGGGTTTCACTATGTTGGGCAGGCTGGTCTTGAACTCCCGACCTCAGGCAATCTGCCCGTCTCCGCCTCCCAAAGTGCTGGGATTATAGGCGTGAGCCACCGCTCCCAGCCAACAGCTGGTAGTTTTAAAAATTGTTGGTACATAATCTGCCTAGCTGTCTTTCTGTGGCTCCTTTGCCTCCAGTATATTCTGATAAAGAGAGGATTTGTCTTAACGCTCTCATGACTGCCCCCTTTGAGAGTTCTGTCACTGCATCTTGCTCCTGGCCAGCGTTAGAACTTTCAGGTCCCAGCATAGGCTGAGCCCTGTGCAGCTTGGGCCCCTCCCCAAAACGGTTCAGTGAAATTTTTCTGGAGAGTGGTCTGAGCATCAAGACTTTTCAAAGCTCTCCAGGTGATTCTAAACTGTAGCTAAGATTGAGAACCGTGGTTTTAGTAGGCTCTGGCATCCTTTGGGATGCCAAAAGTCCAAGATCTAGGCTAAGAACACTGCCCCAAAAGATTAGGGCATAGGGCTTGCCAGATTCTTGTAGCTGGGCAGGGATGGAGGTAGATCTGGGGTCTTTCAAACCAGCCCACTTATTTAAAGTGGACAGAATGCTTTCCAGGGTATGTGTCCAGAGGATGAGAGGTAGGGCCGTTAGCCACTGGTTCCTGTCCCCATTGGCAGTTCAAGCAGGCCAGCAGGCTTCCATGGCTTCTGAGAAGGCCTCATGGCAAAAAGACCTGCAGTGCCTGGTGAGGAGTACTGACTGTCAGCTGAGCTGAAGCTAACGTGGAACTGTCTGCAGTGGTTGGGGCTGACATAGGGCGGGCCCAGGGGGCAGCATGCAGGCACTGAGAAGTGTCTGGATTTGAGTCTTTGCATAAACTTATATACCCCGTCCTTGAAATTAAGTGCACTTCTAGGCATTTGGGGGATTCCCAATAAATATTAGCTGGAAAATAATAGCTATAAAAATATTTTCTAAAGCAATAAAAGAAAAATGCCATTTTGGTTTTATTCAGTTTACAATCTTTAATAAGGTAGAGTAACTCCTAGGATTAAAAGTCAGTCACAATCTTGGACAACATTTTTACTTTCTGGTGCGTACTTGGCTCCTATTCAGGAGCTGGCAGGCTGAGTCTGGAGGGGCCCATCCAGCTTTTAGACCAAGGCAGGTGCAGCCTGGAGGGCCTCAGAGGACCAAAGGACCCTTTCAGGGATACACGGGTAACACTCCTAGCTCCACTTTTGAGCAGTGGGTCTCTACCTGGGCTGCCTTGTCCTGTGTAGTCTTAGGGGTCTGGCACCCATAAGCGGACTCTGCTAGCTTTGACATTTCCATCCCGCTGGAGCACTTTGGTCTCATTTTTGATGAAGCACTCTCAACTCCAGCTTGTAGACCTGTTTTGGATATCAGGAGTAGCATCCGAATTTCCATCAGTATGAAGCAGTAGAAAGGGAGACACAATAGGAAAAATGCTTTGTAGACTGCAAAACTCTATGCAGATATGGGGTGGGACTAAAAATAGTATGATAAATTGTGGATTTTTGCTGAATTTAGAACAGAATGATGGATGCTTTCATGTCTGTTTAGGGACTAAATGGCACTGGGGAATAGAGGAGAGAGTTGTTCAGGAGCAGTTGTTGGCTGACTTGCTTAAGAAACAGAATTTTTGCCAGTGTGTCTGAGACTTCCTGAAGCAAAAAGGGATCACCCAGCTGCAGCTTGGGGCTTTTAGCAGGTGGGTTGTGGCCACATGGCATTGACTTAATTAATTAATTAATTAAAGAACAGGCCAGGCACAGTGGCTCATGCCTGTGATTCCAGCACTTTGGGAAGCTGAGGTGGGCATATTGCTTGAGCCCAGGAGTTTGAGAAGAGCCTGGGCAACATGGTGAAACCCTGTCTCTATAAAAAATTAGCTGGGTATTATGGCATATGCCTATAATCTCAGCTGCTTGGGAGGCTGCAGTGGGAGGATCATCTGAGCGTGGGAGGTTGAGGCTGCAGTGAGCCAAGATCGTACCACCAAACTCCAGCCTGGGTGACAGAGTGAGACTCTGTCTCAAGACAAACAAACAGACTCATAAATTAGCTGTCTTTGAACTCAAATATTAGTCTAAAGTATGCTAATATGTGAAAGTAATATGTTGATTTTTGAGTGTGAAATAAGAATACTCTAAAAATTAAAGTAAGCTTATGAAATTCAAATAATTTTTACTTATTAGTGGCTTATAATTACTGTGAAAGGTGTATGATCTAAACAGACAAATAGCATACTTGTTTAACAATTAGACAGTGGTTAATTCATAAACTTCTAATCAGACATCTGTCTTTGGATAGTAGCTCTGGCATTCTTTCCAAAAGTTTATTTACTAGTTAAAAATGAAATGTTAGAAAGCTGTTGTTTTGGAAATGTATAATTCCAAAAGTAAACCTTGCTTTTGAAAAATGAAATTGTTATATGTGAAGGAGGGTTATAATAACAGAGCATCATTGTTAATAAAAACACATTTGAGAACAAACAGTTTTAAAGTTTCAAATCCATGCACATGACCCTCACAGCCATCATGAGAGGGGAGGGGCATGGGGATGGCCTCAAATGACTTGTTCAAGGTCATGTGACATGGCTAAGTGAGAGAGCTGGATCCCAATAGAAAACAGTCTTTCAGGCTGCACTGCTTTACATTTTTTTCTGACTGAACTTCGTTAAATATGATTTCTTTCCAATTTATAATATGGTCTGTTTAAACAAATAAAACTCCAGAATTTCTCAGACCAGTGGGTGGATGATATGTTTTGGCTGTGTCCCCACCCAAATCTCATCTTGAATTTTATGATAGCTCCCATAATCTTCCCATGTTGTGGGAGAGACCCAGTGGGAGGGTTTTCCTGTGCTGTTCTCATGATAGTGAACAAGTCTTAGGAGATCTGATGGTTTTATAAAGGGCAGTTCCCCTGCACATGTTGTCTTGCCTGCCACCATGTGAGATGTGCCTTTGTTCCTTCCACTTCTGCCATGATTGTGAGGCCTCCCTAGCCATGTGGAACTATGAGTCCATTAAACCTCTTTTTTAAAAAGAAATTACCTGGTCTTGAGTATTTCTTTATAGCAGTATGAAAATGGACTAATGCAGTGGCACTGGGTCCTCCAGGAGTGAGCTGCTCTGGAAAGTATTCAAGTCCTTGCCATTTGTTCTTCGAAGGCCAGCTCAGTTCAGTGTAGTTGCAGGGGTTTACAGGTCTATCTGTGGACTCTGTCCCCAAAGCTTGGATGGTGTTAAGGAGAGTCTCTCAGTACCTGTGTGTAAAGCCATTGTTCAGTGCTTACCCATTCTGCTGTGTTTCTCCAGGCCAGAGCTCTGGGAGTCACACTGGCTCATCTCCAGAACCTGTATTTTTCTCTGTCAGAAACATTCTCTATATTTGATGGGCTGAGAAAAATAATCTATTCAACCTGAGAAAGCTCATTAAAAAAAAAAAATCTGTTGAATAAAAGGTTAAGTTGGTAAGGGAGGCTTTGGTTTTATACATACGGGAATAAAAGTCTCTTACATTGCTAAAAAACCCTTTGTCTTTAAAAGCATCAATCAATATTAACAGTGCTTTTAAAGTGAGATTACATTATTTTAGAAAGTAATCATGATTCAGAAAATTAATAAATGCTTATGAATCATGCTTATGTATTTCATTTTAATCTGTAGTTTGGAATAAAGTTATTTCAAAGAGTGTTTTTGGTTATTAGAATGTTTAGCTATGTTATGATATAACACTTAAACTTAATTTCAGTAACAACAAAACAAGAACCCATAATTTTAGGATCTGTAATACAGCCTAGGAAATGAGGTCTGGTGGGAATGCTTCCAATTTAGTATCTTTGTTTTTCAGAGAAGGTTATGAACTCTCTTCAATTAATCCAGATACAGATAGCTTCGATTACTACTGAATTTATGTGAATGATTATAGTAGACTAATGAGTTAATCTGTTAGCAACCCATTCTGACCTGTGATGTACTAGGCCAGTTGCTTTATCTGTATGAGTTAGTTTTCTCGCTTCTTTTAGTGAGAGTGATAATTTCTGTTTGTTGCAAGGGTAAGTCTGTTTTAATTATGGCAATTTTTTTCTGAAATACTTACTTTTAAAACTTTGTATTATAGAAAACTCCAAACTCACATAAGTAGAGGGGGTAGTATAATGGACCATCATGCACCTGTCATCTTGTATCAGCAATTATCAGCCATCACAGAAAGTGCATGGGCGTCCCTGTGAAATGGCAGGGCTGTAAGCGTGGACAATTGAGAGCCATGCTGGAGGGAAGCATTGTGGGTGCAGCACACATCACGTCAGGGGCAATACCTGGGTGTCCCCAGAGGGTATTTCATTGAATGGCCATATTCTTTTCCTAAATGATGGGCATTTCATTTGTTTTCTTTTTCTTTTTTTCTTTTTACTTTTTTTTTGAGAGGGAGTTTCACTCTTGTTGCCCAGGCTGGAGTGCAATGGCGTGATCCGGCTCACAGCAATCTCCGCCTCCCAGGTTCAAGTGATTCTCCTGCCTCAGCCTCCCGAGTAGCTGGGATTACAGGCATGCGCCACCACACCCAGCTAATTTTTTATGTTTTTAGTAGAGACGGGGTTTCACCATGTTGGCCAGGCTGGTCTTGAACTCCCGACCTCAGATGGTGCACCTGTCTCAGCCTTCCAAAGTGCTGGGATTACAGGTGTGAGCCACCACACCTGGCCTCATTTGTTTTCTTTTTTTTCCCTAACACAGGCAGTGTGGCAGTATTTTTCTATGTAAATATTTGCTTACTTCTGTTTTCTTTGTAGGAAAATGGAGGAAACATCTAGAAATAAAGAAGGCTTGGATATTTTCTTTCTTCTCTACAAATATTTTATTGTGACTTGATAATTTTTAGCACTTTGGCTTTTTTCTTAGTTCTAGGTTAATTATTCTCTAAATGGAACTGTCTTTATAGGGATTATCTTAAGAAATGCTAGTTGTCACAGCACACAGACTCAGAAATCTCTATGGCTTAACACAATAAAAGTTAATTTTGCTAAAGTACTACACGGTTTGGCAAGAGTCTCCTCCATCTGTTGACTCAGGAATCCAGTCTCCATTAGCTTGTGTCACCACCTGGTGACAGAGGAACAGGGATCTGGAGTCACCTCACTGACTCTTACACATCACCTCTGCTCATGTTCCCATTCAGTTCTTGGGAGGCTGGCAGGTAACACGAAGGAGCACATGGATGCTGGGGGAGCACTATGTCTGCCTCGCTCCTCTGGTCGTCAGAGTAGGTGCCATTGTAGATTTGACAGCTCTTGTCCCTGCAGCCCTCACATAGCTAACACCACACCCCATTCACTTGAAGTCTTCTGTTTACCAGGGAATCGGAGGTTTGAAATCAAGCTTAGACTCCACACGTGTCTCAGTACCTTCCTTAGTCGTGGCCGTGGCAGAACAGCCTCTCCAAGTGCATCCTGGAAAACCGGCATCAGAGCCTTTCAGTAAATGGGCTTAGTGTCATTTAAATTTTAATGGCAATATTCTTTTTTGTTGTTACTTTAAATAAATTCCAGTTTTTAAACTTTTTAATTTTGAAATAATTTGTCATACAAAAAAAGTTGCAAAAATAGGATGCAGATCACCTTTATACCTTTATTCAACTTTCCTTAATGGTTGTTTTTTTTGTAACTATAATATAATGATCTAAACCAGGAAATTAACATTGATACAACACTAATCCACAGATCTTCTTTGAATTTTGTCAAAGGCAATACTATTATAAGTAAAGGAAAAGCCGTTCTCAGGTTCCAGTTTGCACATCCCATCACCTATGTGTGGTCTTTCTTTGGTCACGGGGACCCCTTACTCAACAAATGAGCAGGATGCGCTGAGAGTGCCTACTTTGCCGATTAACAGGTAACCTAGCACTGGGCCTTTTGTAGTTCATGCATTACTATTTTTGCATTACTACTCTGTTGGCAACATGCTGAAAAAAAACAAGGGGAAAGGATAATAGCCCTTCTTATTTATTAGAAAATAGACAAAGAACCTCTAGTAATTTTGGAGACTTTGGAGATAAAAATGGTCTAAAACTCAGACCATCACTTTTCTGCAATCTTTCCATTTCTCTTGGCCAGAGATAGCACCTCTAACCTTAGCTAATTGGGTTGCCCAAATGTGGGCTTGGCCAACAAAAGGAGCAGAATGAGGGAGTCCAGATCGCTCAGCAGAAAATAATTCTCACCACTGCCTTAATTCAAGTCAGCAAGCACTTATTGTCTATTGAGTGCTTGGAATCTTAGAAAGAAATACAGATATGTCTATTAGTCATCTATCACTGTGTAACAGATTACCTCAAGCTTAGTGGCTTAAAACAATAACATATAGTATCTCATGTAGTTTCTGTGAGCCAGGAATTCAGGAGAGGCTTTCTGGGCAGTTGGCAGGAGGTTCAGTTCTTCTCCACGTGGGCCTCCCCATAGGCCTGCTTGACGTGGCTTATGACATGGTGCTGAGTGAGCAGTTCAAGGTGGAGGCTACAGCGTCCTTCAGGGCCTCGCCTTGCAAATCACACACACATTTCCACAATATTCTATTGGTTACAGAGGTCAGCCTTACTCAGTATTAGAGGGGAGTACACAGGGCCTGAATACCAGGAGGCAAGGATACTTGGGGCACATCTTGGAGGCTGGCTACCACAGTGGGAGAGAGAAGTGGCAAGGCTCTGTGATACTAAATAGGTTTGCTTGTGAAGCATTATTTCTGTCTATAAAAAGTATTTATTAAGCCCCTTTCTGTGTAGGTATCTGGGGGAAGAACATTCTAGGCAGAGGGCATAAGAGTCTGAGATGTGTGTGTGTGTGTGTGTGTGTGTGTGTGTGTGTGTGTTTCCCCCACCCCTGTGTGTTGTTGTTGTTGTTTTTAAAAGATTTAGCTATAGGTCTGAATACCAAGCTATAGCTAGTGTCTCTTCTATTTATACTTAATTTCTTTTTTTTTTTTTGAGACAGAGTCTCGCTCTGTCGCCCATGCTGGAGTGCAGTGGCGCCATCTCGGCTCACTGCAAGCTCCGCCTCCCAGGTTCATGCCATTCTCCTGCCTCAGCCTCATGATATTTGTACTTAATTTCTAATAATTAAATGTTTGTTATGCTTTATGTCTTTGCCATAGATATTAATAGATGAAAATGTGGATGAACTTTGATGTTCTTTTCTGAGATGAAGTCATTGTGCTAGCCAGTTTCATTTCTCAATGTCTGTTAATGGTTTGTCATTCGAGTGCAACCCCATGTAAACACACAGGTAACTTGGTTAGTAAGTTGTAGGAAGAGGAAGATCTCTGACTTTACTTTTTCCTATTCTACTGGTTAAACATGACTGACATATAAATGTTTATCTGTTTCACAGAGTCAGTCTTTATTAACACTCCCCATGTTAGCATCAAAGAAGAAAGTTTTGGTACAAGCAGCCTTACCCACTTATGTAGGGGTGGGACACTGATTAGCAGTTGGTGTGACTGTGGTGCAGAGTGAGCCTTGCACTTAGAGAAGCAGCCCCCTGATGCCCCAGGCTTGGGTGTGGCATCTGACAGCTTTGGACAGGTCACTTACCTCTCTGTAGAAAGGTGGCACATTTGTGCACTCTGTAGAAAGAATGGCATCTGGCACATTTTAGGAATTGAAAATGAACTTTATTATCTGTAGTTCTAAGATATCTAAATGAATTCTTAAAAAAAAGAAAAAGCGTAAGCAGAGATCTCAAATGTGCATGGCTGCTTTCTTAAGAAGAATTTATATTTTCAAAACTAATACTTTTTGTATACTCCTCAAGAAAGTTTTAGAAAAGTGAAACAGACATCTTTTCTTTCTGGGACGTAGTCTGATGGATGCAAGCCTGAGTCAGGTGCTAACAAACTTCGTCAAAAGCAGTGCCCAGCACTGGTTTGCACCTTTGGCCCTGTTGCTCCCCACCATGAGTGCCCAGGCTGACCTGTGGAAGGGGACTCTCCCATTCTCCTCGATTTGCAGACTCTTTCCTCCCTCCCTTTATGAACAGCTACAAGTACATGTGCCCTTTCCATTATATTCATGATGTTTAATTTCTCTTTTGTCATATCAACTTAAGCTTGAAATTGAGATTACTTAACCATATCTTTTAATGTCATGCTCAGGTTTGTTTAATTTTTTAAATGTTGTCTTTTATAGAGTTTATTATGGTTAATCAAAAAATATATTTTTTTAAGAATGAGTTTATATTCTTTGGAGGGACATGGATGAAGCTGGAAACCATCATCCTCAGCAAACTAACATAGGAACAGAAAACCAGACACTGCATGTTCTCACTCATAAGTGGGAGTTGAACAATGAGAACACATGGACACAGAGAGGGGAACTTCACACACTGGGGCCTGTCAGGGAGTGGGGGGAAAAGGGAGGGAGAGCATTAGGACAAATACCTAATGCATACGGGGCTTAAAACCTAGATGACAGGTTGATAGGTACAGCAAACCACCATAGCACATGTATACCTATGTTAGCAAACCTGCACGTTCAGCACATGTATCCCATAACTTTAAAAAAGAAAGAAAGAAAGAAAAAAAATATTTTTTTACCAGCTGGGCATGGTGGCTCACATCTGTAATCCCAGCACTTTGGGAGGCCGAAGTGGTGGATCACTTGAGGTCAGAAGAGGAGTTTGAGACCAGCCTGGCCAACATGGTGAGACCCTATCTCTACTAAAAATACAAAAATTAGCTATGCGTGGTGGTGGAAGCCTATAATCACAGCTACTCGGGAGGGTGGAGGTTGCAGTGAGCTGAGATTGCACCACTGCACTCCAGCCTGGGAGCCAGAGCGAGACTCCGTCTCAAAAAAAAAGTATTTTTTATTTTTATTTTTTGAGATAGGGTCTCGTTCTGTTGCCCAGGCTGGAGTGTAGTGGTGTGATCATGGCTTACTGCAGCCTCAACCTCCCAGACTCAAGCAATCCTCCCATCCTAGCCTCCTGAGTAGCTGGGACTATAGGTGCACACAAGTACGCTTGGCAAATTTTTGTATTTTTTTGTGGAGACAGGGTTTTGCCATGTTGCCAAGGCTGGTCTCGAACTCCTGAGCTCAAGTAATCTGCCTGCCTTGGCCTCCCAAAGTGCTGGGATTACAGGCATGAGCCACCGTGGGTGGCCCAAAAAAGAAGCTTTTATTTAGCAAAGCAGAAACTGAAAGAAAAAGGAAGA
Source organism: Homo sapiens (assembly GCF_000001405.40). Classification (NCBI taxonomy): domain Eukaryota; kingdom Metazoa; phylum Chordata; class Mammalia; order Primates; family Hominidae; genus Homo; species Homo sapiens. The sequence continues at coordinate 18,660,572 of NC_000020.11, forward strand.
AAGAAAACAAAAAGGCTTTTTATTACAAAAAAAATTATTTAGTATAAAGAGAGTTTAAAATAGACATCCTATCGGCTCATTTTAGCAACTTTGAGAAAATTGTGAAATATAAAATATTAAATAAATCCAGGGGATATATTTTGACTAGATAAAAATTAACCCTATATACCATAAACAAATTCAGAAGAAAAAAGTTAGGCTAGGAAAAAATATTTGTAATATTTTAAATTGAATTTTGTATTGAGGTTACTATATGTCACATGCAATTGTAAGAAATAATACAGTGAGATGCTGTGTACCCCTCACCCGGTTTCTCCTAACATGGAAGCATCTTGCAGAACCACAGATAATATCCCAACCAGGATATTGACAGTGATTTTATCTACCCACCTTTAGGCTGAGGTTCATTTTCTTTGCTTCTATAGATGTCTTGTTGATCCAGCACTGTCTTGCCTCCATTTTTATACCTTTGTCAAAAACTAGTTAGACTTGTGTGGTCTGTTTGTGGGCTCTGTTTTGTTCATTCATCTTTGTGCCTATCCCTCTGCCATTATCACTCTATCTTGATCACTGTAGCTTCATAGTAAGCCATAATGTTGGGTACAGTATTTCCTCCCACTTTATTCTCCTTTGTTAGACATGTTTTTAAGCAGTTCTAGGACCTGTGCCTTTCTGTATAAATTTTAGAAAAAGCTGTCTGTGACTACAAAAAATGATGCTGGGAATTTGATAGGAATTACATTAAACCTGTACTCAATTTGCAGAGATTTAACTTTTTTACTGTGTTGAGTCTTCTAGTCTTTTTTTTTTTTTTTTTTGGGACAGAGTCTTGCTCTGTCGCCCAGGCTAGAGTGCAGTGGTGCGATCTCAGCTCACTGCAAGCTCTGCCTCCCAGGTTCATGCCATTCTCCTGCCTCAGCCTCCTGAGTAGCTGGGACTACAGGTGCCCGCCAGCACGCCTGGCTAATTTTTTGTATTTTTAGTAGAGACGGGGTTTCACCGTGTTAGCCAGGATGGTTTTGATCTCCTGACCTCGTGATCTGCCCGCCTTGGCCTCCCAAAGTGCTGGGATTAGAGGCGTGAGCCACTGCACCCAGCTGAGTCTTCTAGTCTTTAAACATGGTATTCCTCTCCATTTATGAAACTTTGTTTAAACAAAGTAATAATATTTGGAATCCATAAAGAGCACCTACAAATCAATAAGGAAAAAAAGGCTGAAGAGCCATAGGAAACGGAGAAAAGGCTGATAACAGGTAATGTCCAGAAGAAATATAAATGGACATTAAGATTTGAAAAGAGACCAGGCACAGTGGCTCATGCCTGTAATCCCAGCACTTTGGGAGACTGAGGCAGGAGGATTGCTTGAGGTCAAGAGTTTGAGACCAGCCTGGGCAACATAGTGAGACCCTGTCTCTACAAAACATATAAAAATTAGCCAGGCATGGTGGTACAAGTCTGTAGTCCTAGCTACTTAGAAGGCTGAGGTGGGAGGATCGCTTGAGGCCAGGAGTTCAAGGCTACAGTGAGCTATGATTGCACCACTGCGGTCCAGCCTGGGTGACAGAGCGAGACCCCATTTCTTAAAAAAAAGTTGTGAAAAGACGTTCAGTTTTCCTGATGATCCAGGAAATGCAAGTTACAAGCTCCCATGTTTTGCCTTGTTAGATAGGTAAAAATTAAAAATCAATAATACTAGCAATTTTTGTTGGCCAGGCTGGTCTCGAACTTCTGACCTCAAGCGATCTGCCTGCTACAGCCAGGCTGGTCTTGAACTCCTGACCTCAAGCGATCTGCCTGCCACAGCCTCCTAAAGTTCTGGAATTACAGGTGTGAGCCACCATGCCCAGCTGGGGGTGGGGGGGAGAGTATTTTTGGAAAGCAGTCAGCAAATGCTGAGTAAAATCAGAACCAGACCTAACCTGACTGAGCAATTCCACTTCTGCAAGCTGCTCCAGAAGCACATACACATGTGCAGAAGGGTATTGGTAGAAGGATGCTCAATACAGCGTTATCCAAACAACCAAAATGCTAATCAGTAGAGGAAAGGTTACACAAAGGGTGTCTTGTCCATAGTGTAGAATACTGTGCGCCAGTTAAAAAGAATGCAGTTGACCTATATCCTATGTGTACTGACATTTCCAAAGGGATAATAGGAGAGAAGTCAAATATTCCCCCCTCCTTTTTTTTTTGTTCCACTTTCCTTTTAAATAGATATAAAACAGCCATCTTGTCAGTTCTGGCCTTCTTGTCACATTGTTGAATGGACACAGCTGCTTCAGATAACTCAGTTGTGGCTCAGGAGGTGAAATTACTGATAAATTAACTTTCTTTTTATGGCTCTTATCGCAAAGTCATTTATATTGCTTTTGTTGTGTAGTGGGAATGGGGAATGAGGGTCCAGGGCCTGGAGAGGCTGGGGTTGTGACTGGGGCAGGAACCATGTGTCTCTGGTTATGCCCAGTGGTCTTATCCTCTCACTTCCCTGCCCCTTTGGTATCCTACCCAGGTCAGAAGGACAGTGTTAACCTCTCTATTAACAATGGCTTTTCCTTTGAAAAGGTCTTAATAGGGCTGGCATCCAAGTTTCATGGGATGCCCTAATAGGGCTGGCAACCTTGTTTTCATGATCTAGTTTGGTAGAAAAGTTTCATAGAAAGTGTCCATATAGCTGGGTGTGGTGGCTCACATCTGTAATCCCAGCACTTTGGGAGGCTGAGATGGAAGGATCAATGAGTCCAGGAGTTCTAGGCTAGCCTGGGCAACATGGCGAGACTCTGTATCTATAAAAAAAAAAAATATACAAAGTTTCCATACAACAGGTTATTAAGTACTTTGATCTATGTTCTTACCAAAATGTATGGCTCATTTAATTTAATAGATCAAATTACAGTCACATGCCACATAATGATGTTTGGTTAACAATGGGATCCATATATCTATGCAGTGGTTCATCTATATATCCACATGATGCTGGTCCCATAAGATTATAATATTGTTTCTTTTCTATGTTTAGATACACAAATACTTACCATTGTGTTACAGTTGCCTACAGTATTCAGTAGAGTAACATGCTGTATTAGTTAGTTCTCATGCCACTACGAAGAAATACCCAAGACTGGTTAATTTATAAAGGAAAGAGATTTAATTGACTCACAGTTATGCATGGCTACGGAGGCCTCATGAAACTTATAATTGTAGAAAAGGCACCTCTTCACAGGGCAGCAGGAGAGAGAATGAGTGCCAGCGGGGGAACTGCTAGACATTTATAAAACCATCAGATATCATGAGAACTCACTCACTATCATGAGAACAGCGTGGGGGAAAGTGCCCCCATGATTCAGTTACCTCCCACTGGGTCCCTCCCATGACATGTAGGGATTCTGGAGATTACAATTCAAGATGAGATTCGGGTGGGGACACAAAGCCAAACCATATCACCTACTGTACAGGTTTGTAGCCTAGGAGCAATAGGCTACACCACATAGCTTAGGTGTGTAGTGGGCTTTATCATCTAGGTTTGTGTAAGTCACTTGGTGATGTTCACAAGACGATGAAATCACCTAACCATGCATTTCTTGGAATGTGTCCCACAGTTAAGTGATGGATGACTGTATTTATTTTTTCAACAATCCTTCAGAACAGAATTGTTTCTGTGAACAGAGTTCATGTTGTGTATGTCCTTTTCACTCTTTTTTTCCAAAAATTTTTACTGTGCATTCTTATTTAAGACCTATAAGAAGGAATAATACAATGAATGCCTGGTGTATTCACCTCTGAGCATGAGAAAGTGTTCTTCCCACTCATAGAGTCTTCTAGGATGTTCTAATGATGAGGGGACCGACTGCCTTCATGCCCCTTGTGTTCCTGCTTTCTGATGGTATTGGCTTCTGGGGCTCAGCTCCATGCTGTTTCTTGTAATGTCCTCGGTGATGGGAAATTCTACAGCAGGATTCAAGATTCTGCGGTGATGCTGTCCTGAATCCATGAGCAGATCTGTGTGGTGGTGGCCAGGGGTGATGGGGGCTGATTTGGGGAATGGATTTGGCTCAGGAACTCAGTTGAAGCTGTGGACACCATTTTAAGCACTTTGTATGTTGACTTCAAAGTTTTGGAAGCCTTGGAAAAATTTTAAGCAGAGAGATGACATGGCCAGTTTGCTTTTTTAATCTACGGTTCTGGCAGAAGTGTGGGGTGTGTTGTGTGTGAGGCAAGGGTGTGTGGCCCAGGGGCTCCTGCTGGTCAGTTTAGGGGCCCTGCAGGCCTTACCCTTCTCAGGCATCTAGAGCTAGGTTAGGGTCACTAGTTGCCTCAAATCCCATCTTCCCCCACCTCTTCCTTAAGGGAGACCTGGGTACACGGGGTGGGTGGGGTTCAGGGACTTAATAAGCCAGTGGTCTCTAGTGTGGGCTGTCAGAAAAAAAATAATAAAAAGCCACTTGGAGGATGGAAAGTAAATATTACCACTCCTATTTATATGTATCTCGGACCATTTTATAATGTTTTTAGTGTGTGAATACCACGGAAGACATAGCTAACTTATAAGTAGTGAACGGGCATTATGGGAGGAGCATGCTCCCAATCTTTTTATCAGTAGTGTGGGCCATCACTGAGTTTGGAGACTGCTGCTGAGAGGAAGGTGGGTTCAGTTGGGGCTGGGGGCCAGGGGGTCTTGGCAGTTGTGCCCAGTGTCTGCTTCTGTGACAGGCTGGCACTTCATTAGAGGCCCAGGCATCTCCAACAGCAGCTCTCAGACAGATGCCAGCAGGGCATCTGCCTAGTGCTCCACTGGTGGCTGGCCTGCCTCCTGGGATCAGCCCCGGCTCTGGGGAAGCTCTCTTCAGGTATCCCCTTGAGGAGTGCCAGCCGTGGAGTCAGACCTGCCTTTCCATCAGGCTCAGGAGCCTGGTGGTTCTGCCCTGGCAGTTTCTCTAGTTTGTGAGTTCCAGGAAGAGTGTGGGTTACTCAACTTAGTTACATATTCTTAGTTTGAATGGTGTCCTGAGTTACAACTGACAAGTGGCTCTGAAACATCTTTGGCATTTAGGACCACCATTCCTGAAAAGTAGCAGTCTTTAGGTTTGATGAGGTACCCATCCTTTACAGCCTTGTTTGCAAGGGTTACTTAGTCATCTGAAATGTAAACAAAATACAAGTCAATTTTTATAGCCTTGTCAATAATGCTTTACAAAAGAATGTATGTGGTCTATAGGGTTTATTTTTTCTCTCGCATGTTACACACAAATATTTCTTTTTTAAGTTTTTATTTTGAAATATTTTAGATTTACAGAAAAGTTGCAAAAATAGAAATGTTGCTGAGAGTATAGAGAGTACCCATATACCTCATCCAGCTGCCCCCACTGTTACCCCCACAACATATTGTCAAAATTAAGAAACTGACATTGGGTACATTACTATTAAACACATATTTTTGGATTGCACCAGTTTTTCCATTTATATCCTCTTTCTGTTCCAGAATCTAGTCTAGGATCCTGTTTCAGGATCTGCCACATTGCATTTTGTTGTCAGTGACAGTTTCTCAGCCTTTCCTTGTTTTTCACCACCTTGACAGTCTTAAGGAGGACTGGCCATGTACTCTATAGAATATCTGGGTCCAAGGTTTTTCTAGTGATAGACTATGGTTCTGGGTTTTTGGGATGAGTACCAAAAAGCTGAAGTACTCTTCTCATATCGTGTCAAGGGGTATGTGACATCCCTGGTGATGTTAACCTTGATCACCTGGTTAATGTAATGTTGGCCAGGACTCTCCATTGTAAAGCTACTATTTTTCTCTTTTCCTCCTCTGTTCTTTGAGAGTGAGTCACTAAGCACAGTCCTTTCTTAAAGGGGTTGAGAGGATTAAGCCCCATCTCCTGAAGTTATCTACATGCATTATTTATAGTGGCAGGACACCCAGATAGATTTAATTGCAGATAAACAAGAAATTTTTTTTTAGTGTGTGTCCCTTGCAGTATCTGAACTTCACAGTTAATTAGACGTCCTGTATTTTGTTAAATCTGGCAACCCTATTTGGAATTCTTCTGTAAGAAAGATTTGTCTCTTTCCCTTGATGTTTGATTTTGAGTTTGATTTCACTATCTTCTTGGTATAGCTTTCTTCCTACTTTCTGTCATCCTTCAGCAGAGTTTGATATACTTTAGTGATTGTACTTTCTCTACTTAATTTTTTTTAAAGCAACATGGAAAATAGTTTTGTTTGCTTCAAAAAAGGAATCAGTTTATGTGTGTGTTTTAATCAAAAGATTTTTCTCATTATATGAGCCAAAAAGCACATTAGTTTCCAACCCCTATAAATGAAACCCAGAGTTGAAGAAAACAAGGGATTTGTACCGAATTTCTAAGTGCAGATTGTGGGAGGGGCAGGGAAGAAGGCGCTGCTCCTGGAAGCAGCCCCAGGTGACTAAAGCAGCAGCCAGCCAAACGGTTCCATCCAGCCTGGCAGTATGAGGCACTTGTGATTTGCTTATGACCCATGACTTCCAGCAGGTGTGAGAGAATTCTAAGTGGATGTGGAAACCAAGGAGGGCTACGTGGTGGGGATGCCAAAGGGATCTGTGTAGTTTGCTTTTAAAAGGAAACCCGACCTCTCGTTTCATGAAGTGCACCTAGCCCATCAGATGGCATTGCATTTCATTAAAGCAGCCATTCTGCACCACGATTACCTTGAGTGTTTTGTTCTCAGCAGCTGGTACCCATCAAATTGGGGCCTGCTTTTCATCAGCAGCAGGTGTTCCAGGAAGCAGCCAGGGACTGCAGAGTTCAAAGATGGCTCAGCTCATCCTGGAGAGGAGACCACTGTTGTCTAAGCGGCCCTGACGAGCCTTTCCAGAGCTGAAAGATCGCTGATGGGCCAGGCAGAGAGGAGGTTTTGGGACTCGGGAACCAAATGGGGCTGCTCTGCTGGCAGTTCCCCTCTTATCAGTTTACTTGAAAGAAGGATGGCACATGAGAGGGCGTGTGTCCCTTGAAGGGAAGGTCCCCCCTGGCATACAGCGGGTGTTTTTTTGAACATTTGTTGATCCAATGAAGGCATTTCTTCCTTGCCCTGCCACACGTTCAGGTGACTTTCAGCAACTATGACATGGATCCGTCTGCCTTATGAACTGACCACCAGCTTCTGTGTTAATGAGTCCAGTCACTTGCCGCTTCTTACCTAAATCTGTTTGCCAGGTTTCCACAGAAAGCCCCCCACCTGAGCGCCCTCTCCCTTCTCCCCACGCCTCTGCCTCTGGGGCCAGGTCATTTCTCTTCTATCTCTGGCACCTGGCACATTACTTGACCTGCAGAAGGCCCTCGTCAGATGCATAGGGAGTATCTACCTACCTCAGGTGGGAATGACTTGCGTATCCCAAATGAGAAATGCTTATACGTGCGAAGGTGCCCAGGGCAGTCGTTAAACTGTCTGCACATGTGTATGGCTGATACATTTAGACAGAGGCTGCCAGTTCTTTTTCCAAAAGAAAACAAGATGCATTGCTTTTAACATAGCTTCCTGAAGGTGTTACAAATGTCAGTATTTGGTTCTTGCAGTACTGTTGAACAGAACAACATATGTTTGTCCATGTGTTTATATATTTTTAAGATACCAGATGTCTGTAGTACCAGTTATTATCTATTTTTGATTTATGTTTTGAAACTTAGAAACACATTTTGGGCTAGTACGATAGCATGAGTGCTGAGTGCTACCTGGTTGTAGGATATAGTTGGACAAGCTATTTTGAATTTTGAATTTTCTTGAGTTTCTGTTTATGGGATGTCAGTGTGTTACACACATGATAAACAGGTCAGTTCCTAACAGCTCTAAAAAGGAGCAGGCAGTTATGTTTCTGTGAGGATTTTGGCATGCAAGTGTAATGCTGAAGAATGGCAGCTGAATCCTGCCACTGTTAGGGGTGAGAGAGCCAGGAGCCAAGCAGTGGGACGGTGGCACCATTTGAAGACCTCTGTTGTCGGTGAAGTTAGCTTGACCCACACCTGTGGCAAGGCCCCATCCTGAGTGTGAGAGCTCCTGGGGCCACCACTGCCAGTGGTCAGGGGATAGAGACTGAGCCCCCGAGTCATTACTGTGAGGTGTTTTCTTCTGCATCTGGAGCCACAGTGGCATTGTTGAGTGAAATGAGCTACCAGGTTCTCATTTTCACGCAGCTCATAGTCCTCTCTGAACTGCTCACTGTTCTTTCTTGAGGAAACTAAATAGCTTAACTTGCCCTTTTCCAGATTTTTCTGCCTCTCAACTTCTAGAGCTGAATGTGAGGTCATTTAAAGGTTTTCTTTTCAGCTTTAATGCTATAGAATTGGACATTTTTGCAGCTGTGGCCACCTTGCTTTCAGAAATGTGTTTCTTCTTATTCTGGCTAACGAGCATCTTTGAGGTGCAAGTCTCGCCCAGAACAGGCATATCTGAGAGGCGCAGCTCACCTTGATGGCTTGGCTCCATCCTCAAAAGGCAGGGAGGGCACTTTATAGAGCACTTGTGTTCAAGCTTCCTTAGCAAGGACCCCTTTGTGGACTTGTAATTATATCTGGACTGTAATAGGAAACATCATGAGCTGCTGTTTGACATGGGGACCAGGGGGTAGTGAGGTGAGTAGGAGTGTGTGGGAAGGGGCGTCTCTGAGGCCACTCCTGAGGGGCCTTTGGCCACACAGTGTGGAAGCCGTAGCTCTGGAGTCAGGGTTTGCCAGCAGGGTCCCCTCCCACTGGTCAAGGGTCTGCCCTTGATGCTGCCTGATGCCCTCTCCTTGAGAGTCCTGTCCCTTCCCTCAGGTCAGCGACTACCTCCAGGCTGTGGACCTGCATGAAACTGAAGGCCAGGTATTTCCGCCTGAAAGTTGGCCCGTCTTTGCATTCCTCGGCTGAGCTCCTCTTTCTCCTGTCATGTGCAGGATTCTGTCATCGGATCAGGCTCTTGGGATCTACCCCCTTTTCCTTGGCTTTCTGTTCCTCATCTGTAACCAGGGCTTGTTCATCCACATCTTGGTGATAATGAAAACAACGAGTGACCACTGTCGACTGAGCGCTTGCTCTGCTGGGCCTGCCCTTAGTGCCTCACTCACCCCTCTCCCCAGCCTCTAAAAGTTAGGTGCAGATGACCCAGATTTTCCATTTTGTGTGTGTGTGACTGCTGAACTTGAGGCCTTATCACTCCAAACTGGGTTATTCCAATCGCTCCCGGGGGGGTCTGCATGCCAAGGGTTTCTGTACTGTGTCTTGCATACCGTGGCCTGCTTAACATTTCTTGAACGCTTTGATCACAGCAGTTCTCTCCACAAGTCTTTGCTGGCTCCAGTTCCATTGGGGGTAAAGATCAAACTTCAGGCGAGCCAGGTCTGTATCTCCATTCCTGTCTCTGACTGCTTCCCTGTAGGGATTGTCTGCAAGCGCACACCTGCATTTTCTTGTCCACAAGTCTATGCTCTAACTCTGTCACCTGCATGGCTGCAAATTAGCTTCCTTCTTCCTGCCCTCTTCTCTCTAGCTTGGATTTTGAATTTGAATGGCAGGCATGGGATGTCCGTGTGTGTGTACTGCTGATGTGTACAGCCGCTTGTTAGCGCTCTCATTGTCTTCAAATGTAAGTCATTTTGGCTGGGTGCGGTGGCTCATGCGTATAATCCCACGCTTTGGGAGGCTGAGGTGAGCTGATCATTTGAGGTTAGGAGTTCGAGACCAGCCTGGCCAACATGGCAAAACTCCATCTCTACCAAAAATACAAAAATTAGCTGGGTATGGTAGTGCACGCCTGTAATCCCAGCTACTTGGAATGCTGAGGCAGGAGAATTGCCTGAACCCAGGAGGCGGAGGTTGCGGTGAGCCAAGATCACGCCACTGCACTCCAACCTGGGTGACAGAGCAAGGCTGTGTCTCAAAAACAAGCAAACAAATGTAAGTCATTTCCATTTGACTTCTCAAGAGCTCATCTCTTGTTCTGCAATTAAATTATCAACTTCTTAAGGCAAGAACCAGAACTTAAAACTCTGCCACAGCTCCCATTGCAGTGCACAGAGTAGGCAGTCAACAAATATTTGCTTTTGATTAGAGTTCTAAATAAAGTCGTTTACTCAGAATAAAGAAGCTTTGTGTCACTGGAATGAGAACATGGTGTTGCTGTTTCTCCTGCTCACATCCAATCTTGTCGTTCTTCATTGGTTCATGAGAGGCTAAGAGCAAATCAAGCCAATGAACAGAGAAGCCATGGAGTGAAACCTTCAGAGGTTTCTGTACATCCAGACAGTGAAAACATTGTCATCATCATCAGTATCACCTATTAACAGAAAAACGTGAGTCTCAAGTGCTAGTGGCATTCATAGTGAATTATTTTGTGTCATTTCCTTTAGTGTTTGTCCCATGGACCCACTCGGCAGATTCTTGGGTGTGCTGGCCATTCTTGGGTGTGGTTGTGGATGACAACCTCATGGAAATGGAACTGAGAGATGCCTTGTCAATCCTCAGTCAGTGCTCTTCCAAACAGTCCCCACTGTGCACATGCCCTGGAATCTGCAGTCTGTGGCTCTGTTGCTTAGTAGAATCAAGGCAGGTGGATGGAGAAAGGCTGCCACTTCACATGACATTCTCATGTAAGGGGCCTCTTTCTCATTCTCTAGTATTTATTTTATCTTGAGACCTTGGTCTCATTACAGTTTAAATTTTGTTCTCTTACTTTAATGGCTTATTTAATTGAGAACATTTCAATGAAAAAATGTTTAAAACATTGTAGTTGTAAAGAGTCTGGGGTCATGCGGAGGTTTTAATTGATCCCTATGATGAATGAATATAACTCCCTAGTGCAGGGCCTCCTTTTCATTATTTCTCAAGGCCTTTATCCCGTCTCCATCAGCACAGAACAGCTTGATGTTTTTTGGCCAATTGCAGTCTGAGTTATTCCACTTTTAAAGCATTGACTTCATAACCGAGAGGCTGAAGGCAGAGTAAGCTGGATAAGTTACTCCTGTGCTATTTATTGCATAAAGCATTAAAAACAGCACTAGCATGGTCATCTCTTTTACTTTTCAGAGGCTCTGTCATCACTTTAATTGGTTGTTGTTAGAGCAGATGTTTTAAAAGGAATATTTTGGCATGACTATATTTGCTTAATTTCTGATGACTTCCAGGACATGTATATCTACATTTACAAAAACAAAACTGTGGTCTCTGGGAGCAGAGCAGCCCCCTTGGTCCTCACCAGACCTGGGCCTGGAGAGAGAAGTGAGGTTGCTGGGGCAAGAAGTTTGAGGGCAGGAAACATAAACTTGGAAAGCTGGGGCCAGTGTGCAGAAACTTCTCCATTTACAGTCACCAGAACGTTCAAGAGCAACCCAGATGTCAAACCACCTTGAAATACAGCTTTTAAGAATGCAAAAGCTGGCTGGGCGCAGTAGTTCATACCTGTAATCCCAGAACTTTGGGAGGCCGAGGTGGGAGGATCACTTGAGCTCAGGAGTTCAAGACCAGCCTGGGCAACATAGGGAGACCCCATCTCTACAGAAAGTTAAAAAATTAGCCAGGTATGGTGGTGCATGCCTGTGGTCTCAGCTACTCAGGAGGCTGAGGTGGGCAGATCACTTGAGTCCAGGAGGTCAAGGCTGCAGTGAGCAGTGATTGCACTACTGCACTCTAGCCCAAGTGACAAAGTGAGACCCTGTCACAAATAAAAGAATGTAAAAGCTAAGTCATCATTGTTACAAGACAAAGAAAATTAAAAAAAAAATCAACCTGTTTAGAGATAGCTTATGAACCAATTAAGTCCTTTGCAACCTCAGTACCTTTGTAAAGCAGTTAGCTGACTCCAGACTTGGGCATGATGCTTGTTTCACATGCCATAGCTAAATAAATCTAGTGAGTTTGAATAGCTTTTTTCAGTTTTTTTTTTTGAACTTAGGTATTCACCAAAAAGCTTATCAATACTAACTTTCAAGAAAAAAAGATTTGTTTCCCTGTTTGGGTCAAACTATATTTCCCAAATTGGTATTTTATAACAGTTTCCAAAATGATATCCTAACTCAGTATTTTGAAGAATTTTAGCTTCAGAAAAATTCTCTAAGAATGAAAGGATTATTTTATGGGTCTTACATTCTTTTATACTATTCAAGTTATCTTCTCTCCCCTTTTCAGAGTTTGGATAGATAGGGGAACTCCATTGGTTAAACCTAAAGCAGATACCTAACAAGTCAACATCCTCATTGTAAGTGGTCCTGCTGAATTCAGTAGGGTCTAGCAAACTTCCTTTAGTTAATTAATACATTAGCTGATTTGGGGCTGTACCATTATGGTTGTTTGTTATGATAAGCCAGACAGGTGCTGTTCAGTTCATAATTTGGCTTCCTAGATGTAGAAGTCTCCGGCTTCTGAGCCAAAAAGCGAGCGGGCCCTGTCGTCCAGCTGGGTTCTGCTTCATTCTATGCATGGCGATACTGAGCACGGTGGTGGCTGGGTACATAACAAGCGCTCAGTAACTGTTTATCGAATTAGTGAATTGCAGAAAGAGTTAAGTGACCAGATGTCATTCGTACTTATGGAGTAGCTTATTGATGGAGTGCCATCTGGTTTCCACAGTCTTGTTATTATCTGTAACTGTTAATTGATAGCCTAGCTGTTTAATCTGTCCAGTATGTTCAAGTCCCAAGTTGAAATTTTGAGGTTAATTAATGTTTTTTCCTCATATTTTGTACCCACCTAAACACCTTACAGTTAATAAAATGTTTAACCTTTTCTGGTATGAAAAATTCTACAAGTCAAAACACATGGTAGAATATATCTATGAATCATATTTTCTTTTGTGACTGCTACTCCTTTTTACAAGTTATTGGGAGAGGGAATGGGAGGGACTTAATTCTTCCCAGATTCCTGCTCTTATATAATGTAAAGGGAAAGGCCTAGAGTGATGAAAACTTTTCTTGTCAAGTTTATGATTCTTGACCTTTTTAGAATGGTGTCTGTCTCAGTTGATTAGAAAAATAAAAGTACAGTTTCTTTGAAATACTGTAACTCATTATCTTCAAAAGCACTTCTACTCTTTAAAGCCTGTTTATGTCTAAAATGACGTTAAAAAAATACCCTTACAGGAGAGGGAAAATGGTATTTCTAGTTTGGGCTCCGGGGAACAAACACAGAGGTCTTTTTACCAGTCCTCAGAGAGGTAGTTGTGTGGCTGTGTGGGCCTAGAGTGTGTTTCAGCCGAGAGTCCCACAAAACCACCCTGGCAACGTTGATCTGATTAGTTTTCTCTATAAATTGTGTGGTGGCCCACTACATAAAAATGATTGTATCCATTTTAGAGAAAAATGTTTCTCTAAAAAAATGAAATAAAACCCTATGTTAGTTTTTTTTTTTTATTTAGAACTAACAATTTAAAAACTTTATCGTATTTTTCTATTTTGTTACAAACCATTTCAGAATCACCTTTTCTTAAATGACCAAACCAAATTTCTCAGGATTACCTTTTTTCCTGTAATTACTTGCTAAATTTCTGTATTTCCCTGTGGATTTATATATCCTACTTTGGTGATTTTTTTTTCCAATTTACTAACTTGATTTGATATTAATATACAGAGAAACTGTTGCAAGTGAAACATTCTGAGCAATAATAATTTTATTGACTTGGAAGCCTGGCTGTCTTGATTTCCAGTGTTTGCCTGCAGTGTTTAACTGACAACCCTGAGATTATTACCAAACGTTTATGATTTTTTAAAAAGCAGGAGAAGAGGTAGAGAGGGGAATGGAAAAAATGCTGTTTAAATTAGAAACTGCTTGTAGCAGTTCCATAGGGAGGCAGTTAACCCAAGTCACTTAAAATATGGTCACGATATTGAGAGTTAAATAATTTTACTTGGAGATGACTTCAAGAACAAATATCAAAAGGTCCAAATGAACTTAAAGGTACATCAAAGGGATTGCAGGGCAGCATGCATAGTTTCAAGAGTTACTTTGTGGAGGGTCGTTTCTTCTGTGGGTTTACCCCCAATTTGGGGCCACATGTGACCTCGTGACTCCAGATTGATTCCTAGTGCCTCTGTGGACAAGGCCAGATGCTATCTCCTCTGGGGGAGCTGATGCCCCTCCTCTGCTGCCCCAGTTAGTGCTCACCAAGCAGTTTTGGAAATCAGCTGGCCTCCCGTCTGTCACAGGGGAGCCCTAGACCATGGTGATGGAAATCTGCCCCTGCCTCTGCCCCTGGGACCACCCTGGGCAGAATAGTGTGGGTGCCTGTGCAGAGACCTTTCAGCCTTTGCCTGCAGTTGTGCTGGTGGAGACCCCAGTCCCAGCTCCTGGGAAGTGAATTCTGTGTGTGTCACATTGGTCTTTAAGTCAGGCCGTCTCTGTTAGTTGTTTAGTGCAGCATAGCAGGTTACTCCCAAACTCAGCAGCTCAACACAACAATAAACATTTTTTACACAGTTTCTGTGGGTCAGGAATTTGGACCATTGAGCCCAGGTGTTTCTGGCCAGGGGTGTCTCATGAGATTCCAGCCAAGCTTTTGGTTGGGGCCTCGGTCCACTGTAATTTGGACAGGCAGGAGCGCCTACTTCCAAAGTGGCCCACTACAGAGGCTGGGAAGCTAATGCTGGCTGTGGGCAGGAGGCCTCAGTGTTTTGCCACATGGGCTTTTCCACAGGGCTGCTTGAATGTCCTCACAACATGTGGACTGGTTTCCCCCAGAGCCCTAGCCTTGGAAGTCCCATACTGTCATTTCTGCAGCATCCTGTTGGTTATGTAGGTCAGACCTACCTGACTACATGGGTCATGAATACCAGGAGGCAAGAATCACTGGGGACCATTTTGAAGTCTGGCTGACACACAGTGGCAAACATACCTTCCGGTTGCTGGATCCATGTTGTTGTCATCCCTTTGTATGGCTGGAGAGGAACAAGATGCTCAGGGATTTTGGGTGCCATTCTTGAGTTATATTCTAGGGAGCTTTCAGAGGTGGCTGCCTGGGCATAATAGAGGAAAGCTGTATCCTTGCCAAATGTCTCGGGGAAGCATTTTCTTCAAACTTTGTACTCTTTAAATCAATGATGATACTTAATCTTGTTTTTAAAAAGAAGAAAATAAGATCACCTTTAATTCTAACCTTCACATTACCAAAATGGTTTTAGTCTTTTTTCTATGTAGTCCTTTTTTCCTATGGCTACATATGTGTATATTTACACACATATATATGTAAATATACCTATGTGTATATTTACACACATATATATGTGTAAATATACCTATGTGTATATTTACACACATATATGTAAATATACCTATGTGTATATTTACACATATATATGTAAATATACCTATGTGTGTATTTACGAAATGGGATCACAACATACTGATTTATAACCTAAGTTTTTTATTCCTAATATTGTGAATATTGGTATGTTTTTGCATACCTTGAAATAATCTTTTCTGACCTCAATTTTGATGGCAGCCTACTATTCTGCCATAAGACATATCATAGTTTATTTAGCGAAATCACTGTTTTTGGATTTTGGAGTTATGCTCTAGTTTTTCCTCTTAGGAGCAGTGATTTGGTGAACTGTACTGTGTACTGAATCTTGCCATGTAGCCCAGGTTGATGCTTGCTGTAAGTTCCCAGACCTGTAATGCTGGGGTAGAGAATGCAGACATGTCCAAGGTTTCGAAACTGCTCATCAAGAGCTCCTCTGTGATGTTTGTATGTTGTACCCTTAACTGGCAGAGTTTGCAGGTGCCCCTTCCCCACCTTGGAGTCAGCACATCATTGTGAATGTTTGCCAATTTGGTAGAATAAAAAAAATGAGGTGATAGAGCAACTTTGTTTATGTGGAGTTTGCCTTGTTTTTTTAAAAAAGTCAGCTATTCCTAATTGTCTAAAGAAATTAGGTCGGGGGTGGGTGGGGAGTAGCATGTGCAGATTGAATTGCAACTGCCAGGCAACTCAAGTGGAAACCCAAGCAGCCTCCCCTGTGAGAAGCTGTTTTCTCCACCCCGTGGTGTAGCCAATAAATTGGAAAATTGACGGTTGTATGTTTGAACCTTCATTTGTCTCTACCCACCCAAAATCTCAAGGTTCTGCTGAGCAGCAAAACAGACAAGAGTAGAGTGCACACACAACTGATTTATCTTCAGAGCCTTGAAGACCAGAGATGTCCTGACTGTCTTCACCGACGGCTGCTGCTTGTAGGATCACATTTTGGTCCTATCTGTTCTCAGCTCTGCCGCTGGTTAACTTACGGCTCAGTGACAAGCAGACTTTTGGATCCCAGTCTGGTGTTTCACACTTGTGCATGCGCTGGAGTAATTCTCGTTCGCCCTTGAGTAATTCCATATCAAGCCCCCCAAAAGGGCAGGAAAGGGAAGGAGAAAGGAACTCACATTTACCAGCTCCTAGCTCCTACTTGCCGTGCGTTTCTCTTGTTTTTATTCTTACTGCCTCCCACCCCCTAAAAAGAAAAGAAACAGGTATTTCCTATACATTATTCAGGTGACAAAGTAATTAATCATTTATAAATAACATACAGCTGAATACCTTCTCTTGTGAACTTTATGAGCAAGTAAATATTTTCTTATTTGACGCTTTTGTTTCCTCTGCTTGAATGCAAGAGCTTTACAACCCTTAACAGCCCAAGTGCATTTGAAATGGTTTGAGTTTTCACTGTGTTGTTTCTACAGACCGAAAGAAAACATGCACAAGTTTTTCCATTGAGTAGATAACATGTCACTTTTTTTTTTTTAATGGACTGGAGCTGTGACTGTTCAACTTGTTGCTGAAGAATCCGTGTTCTCTTGTGCAGCTCTGAGTTATGTAGGGAACAGTTCGTTGATGAGATGCTCCTAGTTTATGTTGCTGAATTTTTTTCTTCCTCCCAGAGCTGTTTTCTCTTATTTAAGAACACTTGACACAGAGAACTGGGGAGGGGTGATCAAAACTGGCTAACATGCCTCTAATGCCCATCCTGTGCTGAGCAGAACGCTTTGCTCTGATGTTGGACGTGGTGGAAATCTGCTCCCAGGGAATGCTTTTCATAAGCCATGGGTGTTCAACAAACACTGATTAATGCAGATGTTTACTTTCCAGAGTGTCTAGAACCTTCCACCGATACAGTTTTATTAAATTCCCCCCACACCTGAAAGGAGAACTGTTTCAGTTTACTGATGCAGAGGACACAGGACAGAGAGGCCGGGTCAGATAAGAACTAGGTCCCGAATTCCCTCTTATTTTTCTCTCTTTACAAACTTCTATCCAAATACAACTGCAAAGACAAAGTTCGGGACTATCTACACAATCTTAAGCAGTAATTTGAGAAATGGAGTTGCTTCTTTTTAAAAATTAAACCTCAGCTCTCCTTAGTGGATACACAAGTGTGATCTTAAACATGCTTGGTGAGAGGAAAGAGAAGAGCTCACTTCTACAACACTGCACACCTTGATTCTTTGGTTTCTTGCGGGATAAATTAGAAATGCAGGTTTCACTGAGATTTTTGAGACAATAGAATATTGCCCAATTTAGTTGGAACATAAAAGAAAGGCTTAGAAGAGAATTTGAAACCAAGAGGTTCACTAAATGCCAGCAGGGTCAGGTAGGTCAGCAAATAAGAGAAATTAGTGAAACTGCTTGTGTACTGGAGCGACCTGATGTAGATAGCCTCAGGTTGATCAGCACCTTGAGAGCACCTGGGGCCATGGGGCCACCTCGCAGCCCTCTGTCTGCAGGTGCACCAGCTCAGCCCCTTAGGTGAGAGGAAATAGAGCTGATTTTATGAGGCCTCTGGGTGAGGGGTGGACTGTTAACACCTCCACTGGTAATTCAACTTTACTGTCCAGAAATTGTTCTTCATATGAGCTTGCATCTTTCTAGGTTAGCCCACTGCCTACTTTAACCCCACATCTCACTGGACATGTAGTATCTCTTGAGTTCTGATACTTGTCATTTTCTGGAAACTCGTAATATAATATTTTGAAACTCGATTGCAGGTGAGACCATATTGTAACTGTGATCTATTCTAAAATAAAAGATCTGAAAACATATCAGAAATACACTTTTAGGATTATAAAATGGACATTAGCTAAATGTTCAATGTTGAAATGAAGTTCAGGTGAGCTGTTTACCCTCTGGGAAGGCAACATTTTACCTTTTTGGTTCCGCATTTGTTTTCTCTCTCTACTTCCCCATTCCTCTTCCTCCCCTCGTCACCGCCCTTCCTCTTCCCTTCCTCCTGCATTGCCAGCACTACTTTTTTTTCTCCCCTCCCCTGCTCACCCCACATCTATCACATTCCTTGATAGAGAGTTGATTTTCTTCTCAGTATGTCGTAGGCTTAGAATCAGTAGACCCTGCCGGACACAGGCCTTCTCCTCACTCTTCTGGGCCTTGGCTTTCTAGGAGAGCTCTTTTCTCCATGTTGTCTGGTCATCCATTAGATGGCTTATTAGGAGTGGAAGAAAAAGCTAGTGAGACCCTGGGCTTATGTCAGCAGCTGTTTTTTGACATTTCTATAGTATTCAGAGTTAAACCCGGAGTGAGCCACACCCTTAACCAGGTCCATGAGTGAGCCAGCAACTTATTTCTGGTTTTCTCAAGACCATCCTTTTGAGTTGTGAAAGTGTTTCTTGATTTACATTTTCTTTGATTGCATCTGAAAAGGCCTGTTGGCCTGACAACCGTTGCTATGGGAATAATACTCGTGGTTAGTGCTGTTGGCAGTCACCATTATCAAAAGGATCAGGTGCCTATTTATTTATTCATGGTGTGGAACAAGGTTCCCTCATAAAGCGCATGAACCTTGTTCTCTCCCACCTTATTATAGTCTGAGGTTTACATGACGTGCATCCAAACTGTAGTAGTGATTTTAATTTGCCACTAGTGTCTTTAATTTTCTAAGGAGTCTGGGAACTTGAGATACATTTTTTGGAGAACAGATATTAAAAGTGAGATTTCAAATAATTACCCTTTCTGGTATGATTTATATGTAACACTGATCTGCCTGATTGTCAGGGGGAAGAATAAACTGCTGTTGAGAACTGACCTAATCAAACTGGCCATATTCAACTCCTAGATTCTTTTTGGTAGGTAATTATCACTGCTAGATGTTTGAGGTGGGTGAGGGCTGGTTATTCCCTCACTGCCAGATGTGATGGAAATAAGTAACCAAATTCTGTTCTACAAGGTTTATTAAAGAGACATGAATTAATAAGTAAGCCCTAAATATTTCCTGCAACCTGTTCTGTTAGCTTGCTGAAGCCTCCTTGCTCAGGAGAGATGCCACATCTTCTAGATATAGGAGCAGGAGCTGTTATCTCTTACTTATTGATACACAGTCAAAACAAAAGTCTCTCTATGGTGGTTCCTGGGGATGCAGTAACAGCTGGAAGACTTTTATGGTTCATAAAATTGGGTCTCCATTAGGCCCTCAGAAGTCTCTGATCCAGGATCAGTATATGTATCATTGCTCAGGAATTAAACTTTGGACACCTTCCTTAGGTGTTGTAGAGACTATAGACCTAGGTAGATTTATATACCTTGTTTATGCTGGGGAGGGGAGTGTGCTTCAAATATCATAGCCAATCTACATTTCACATATACCATTAATTTCACTGGTGAGAACTCATTTCTAACACCCATTTTGCAGATTATCAAATCACTAATTTTATTCACGGTCTCATTGTGTCACCTAGGCTGTAGTGCAGTGGCACAATCATGGGTCACTACATCCTCGACCTCTCAGGCTCAAGTAATCCTCCCCACTCAGCCTCCTGAGTAACTGGGACTAAAGGTGTGTGCCACCATGACTGGCTAACTTTTTTTTTTTTTTTTAATTTTGTAGAGACACTCTTTATCACAGTGATTTTTGTTGTTGTCTACGTTTTTTTTTTTTTTTGGTCTCACTATGTTGCCTGGACTGGTCTTGAACTCCTGGGGTCAAGTGATCCTCGCATCTGGGCCTCCCAATGTGTTGGGATTACAGGTGTGAGCCACTGTGCCTGGATTGAACACCTACTCTGACCTTCATTTTGTCATAGTATAGCTCCATGCCATGGTCTGGGTAACTGAAGCATCTGGTATCGCTGCCTCTGGAGTGTGGCTCCTGATTCCAATGTGGGGTGCTCACTCCTGTGGTGTGCAGGCCAAGGCCTCCGTGTCTCTACTGTAGGGAGATAGCAAAGCAACCACACAGCTATTTTCTTACTGTGGTCTGAGACAAGGTGACCTTGAACAGGCCTCACTTCAGGAGGTTAAAAGTACAAAATAAAGCCAGCTCAGAGTAGATGACGGGTTAAACTTTGGTGGTGTCATCTTAAAATGGTTCCCTGAATGAGTGAGTTTATCTGTATCACAAGGACAATTTTATGAACCATAAAAGTCTTCCAGCTGTTACTGCGTCCCCAGGAACCACCATAGAGAGACTTTTGTTTTGACTGTGTATCAATAAGTAATTTGGTTCAGAATAGTTTTTCGCCAGTCCTTTTCTATAAGTCAACAAATAACCACTTGCAAGAAATAAGTGTTCTCTGCTCTTTATCCCAGTGATTTGTTGTTGTTGTGTGTTTCTACGCCGGGTGAGTGGTTTGGAGCTTTTTATCTGAGTTAGCCAGGGTTAGGTGGTCCTGAGTACTGAGCCACACACCCTCATGCAGGAGACTCCTGACTGGGGATGGGAAGCTGTCATCTCAGGGTTCAGATGCCAGCTGGGCACGCTGAGCTGTCTGTCCATTTGGGACACTTTATAAGCAACTGGATTCATTTACAATCTGGTTTGCAGGCAAGGCGTGCAATTATTTTAAGCATTATAATGTGAAAATCAGATGAAGCCCCACAGACACTTTTTATGGCAAGATGTCATCCGCTTGAGCCATCATTAATTTGTCTGGATTGCACATATCATTCAGGTTTATCCCATTGGAAATTCTATGGGATCCACCAAGTGTTTTTTGGAGGAAGGTGTTTTACTGGGAAGTTTTTCAATATGAAAATGAAACATCATTGTCTGGAGAAGAACAAGGACAGGAATTAGAATGGGCTTTTTGTCAGAAAGCATGTAAGCAGGAAGAGAGTAGAAGAAAATGTTTCCAGTGTTGAGAGAAAAAGGCTGCCAATTTAGAACTCTAAATCCAGGGAAGTTATCCTTTAGAAATGAAACAAAAACACACTTCCTCAGACAAACCAAAACTGAGGGGATCCATAGCTGGTAGACCTGTCCGGCAAGAAATGTTAAAAGAAGTTCTTCTGGTAGAAGGAAAATAATATTATCAGTAGGTTAGAAATTTGGATCTACATATAGAACAGAAGAGCGTCAGGGAAAGATAAATGAAAGTAAAATAAATTCTTTTATTTTTCTTATTCTTACTTGACTCAAAAGTTAACGATTTAAACCAATCATAGTGATGATGTCCTGGCGATTGTGGCATATGGATAAGGGAGATGAGTGGCAGCGGTGCCACTAGCCATGGGAGGGAGGAACTGGGAGTGCTGTTCTATGGTACCTGCCCACAGGCGTTAACAGTACAGTGTTATTTGAAGGTGGGCTTAGATGAGTTACAAGTGTGTATTGTAAGCTCTGGGCAATCACTGTGGATTTTAAAAAGAAGTATAATTGATCTACTGAGAGGGGGAACCCGTATTTGTGAAGGTGTATAACCAGCCCCTCATATGCTCATCTCCTCCCATTTTAGGCAACAGACATTTCAATTACCTCTTTCAATTCCATCAGGCCACTACTCTGAGGGTGATATATACGTGATGTGTGACCATGTGATGAGAGATTTCTTCGCCCATTGTTGGACATTGTGCTGTAAACTGTGTTCCTTGCTTTGAAGAAATGTAACATGCTCTCCCAGATGGGCACAGTATCTATTGTTTTAATCCACTAATAGTGTCTTGAGCATTACCATATCCCACCCAGTATGCAAAACCCAGTCCAGAGTAAATGTATGTTCCTGTTAGGACCCATGTGTGGCCTCCTGAGTGTAGAAGCAGTGGTCCCATGTTGTCTGTTGTCCTTGGCAGCTGTGTGTGGAACCTTCCTCCCTTAGCTGTCTGTAGTCTCTTTCTTGCTGGTAGACAGGACAATCCTTGACATTTTGTGCCTTAGAGCATACAAGAGGAAAATGTTGACAGTCAACTCATCTCTACCTTGCCATAGCTCCCTTGTCTATTTATTTTTTGGACACAGATGGCTGGCCCAAGCGAGCACACCCAATATCCACTAGTTGGTTTCAGTTACCTTCTGTCCTGGAAGAAGGTTCTTATGGGCATCAACATGTCTGTTTAGCTCCTTAAATTACCATAGTGGTTTTCATAGGTTCATGCCCCATGTGGGTATACCCTCAATAGCCCTGTGTTCTGTCTGACCATGTGGCAAGCCATGGCTACTGCCCATGAATATGTATATGCTCAAACTTCAGGACTCATATTGTTGCCTATATTTTTTTCATTATGAGGAAAACAGTTTACAGATTAGGACACTGAGCTGATTTACTCTTAACCTTCTTTAATCAGAGTTTTCCTATTAGTCGGTTGTGGTGTAATGGACTTCCAAACAGAATGCTGCCCATCTATCTTGGAGTGCCATTTGTAAACCAGGCAGCTTTTTGTTGGTCAGTTGTGAGTTGGTCATAGGGCACTGCGCATATGACAGTAGGGTCTGGCAGCTTTTCAGGTGGTTCCAAAGTTGGCCCTAGGTGAAAATAGACTACCTGTTCATGGATACAGTGAGTAGCTCCTTGAGTTCCTCTGTTAGCATATTTCTGCGTGACCATTTCCATTTTATTATGTGACTCTTCTGGGAACTGCCTTTCTTATTAGAGTGTTTCTCTGTCAATATTGTCTAAGACATTATGGGTATTTCAGATTTCAAGATTATTTTATGTCTTTCAGTCATTGGGGCAATTTTCCTTAGTACCCAACAGCAAGCCAATAGTCATTTCTCGAGTGGCATATACCATACCACTATGTTTAGAAATGTTCAGGTCTGAGATTCCAGTGCTTGCTGCTGGCTGGTAGTCATGAGCTGTGCCCTAAGCTTCAGTCTGTGTAAGTGCAGGTTGAAGACACTTCCAAAGTCCTATCTGAGTGTGGATCATAGGGCCCAACAGGCTTTGACTGAGCCACTGCTTTTTGCAATTCAAAGATAGCCTGATGCAGTTTATGCTCCCATTCAACTGTGACCTTCTTTGGGGGTAGTTTTATGGTTAGGAACTAGCAGTATTCCCAGAGGTGGGATACGCATGCTCCAGAATTCGAGCAAGCTGACTGGGCGCCGTGCTTCTTGCTTGATTCCAAGGACAGGCAATGGCAGCAGGTTCCTGCTCCCTTTCTGCCTGCAGCCTTTCCAGCCTATTTCCTCAAAGCCCTGACCTCTTGTAACTATGGTTTTTTTCCCCCTCTACTTAGATAGGTATCCTGGAGGGGATAAGAGTAGGAGCAATTCCTTTTTCAAAGCTCAGATGAGGCTCTGCAAAGCCTGGAGAGTAGGCCTTTCCCTGGAAAGTGGGCCTTTGTTATGGAGATGTGGCTATGTGTATTTCTCAAGGGTTGCTCTTCTCTCCTACTGGAGCCACATGAGGGTCTTCTCAGCAATTCACTGTGAGAATCTGGTCCAGTTCCTGTCTGGAAAGATCCACCAAAGTATGTGGATCTCCCCACTCCTGCCTCCCCACCCCACCCCTGCATGATGGGCTCCCAGGAGTTTCTCACTTTCACACTAGTTCATGCTCACCTCCAGCAGTTCACCAAATGACTTTTTTTTTTCTTGAGATGGAGTCTCACCCTGTCACCCACACTGGATTGCAGTGGGGTGATCTCAGTTCACTGCAACCTCAGCCTCCTGGGTTCAAGCGATTCTCGTGCCTCAGCCTCTTGAGTAGCTGGGATTATAGGTGTATGCCATCATACCCAGCTAATTTTTATATTTTTAGAAGAGATGGGGTTTCATCGTGTTGGCTAGGCTGGTCTTGAACTCCTGACCTCAAGTTTTCCACCAGCGTAGGCCTCCCAAAGTGCTGGGATTACAGGTGTGAGCCCCCACACCTAGCCCCAAATTACCATTTAGATGTTCTTTTCAGTTTATGGCTCCAGAAGCTTCTGCCACAGCTAAGCAGATCTCAACTGCCACTCTGGATTTGCTTGTCTCTCCAGATTTCAAGGTGGTGATTTGTCCTATGATCTTAGTTTATTGATGGGTTCAAGAAAAGTCTTTAATTTTCAGTTTGTCCAGCCTTTTCTTGTTATAAGAATGACAGTGACAACTCCCAAAATCTCTACATGTTGGAGCTAAAGTCGGAAGTTTCTCAAATCCTGTTGTAAGTGACTGTGCCTGAGGGCTCAGCCCCACTAAGGCACAGTTTTGTTTTTTTGCTTTTTTTTTTTTTAATTAGAGATAAGGTTTCACTGTTACCCAAGCTGGAGTGCAATGATCATAGTTCACTGTAAACTCAAACTGGGCTGAAGCAGTCCTCCCACCTCAGCTTCCTGAGTAGCTGGGCCTATAGGTGCATACCACCATGCCCTGGCATATTTAAAAAATTTCTTTTGAAGAAACGGGGTCTCACTGTATTGCCCAGGCCAGTCCCAAACTGCTAGCCTCAAGCCATCCTCCCAATTACTGAGTTTACAAATGTGAGCCATTGCACCCAGCCACAAACAGTTTTGATAAGAGGCTTCTGGAAGGAAAGAGGAAGGCTAGAAGGCTCCAGAGATCAGCTCACAAGACACAGCCAACCCTTTAGAGTATGTTGAAGGAAATATGTGGCAAGGGATAAAGGTGCTGGAAGGAGAGAGAATCCACCCCAGGCATGTATAAAACCAGACCTGTTTTCCTCCTTATACATAGCTGCCAGTTGGCTGCACATGACGGGTGTATGTGAGAGTGCTTTCTGCCTTGGACCTGTGGCCATGGGTGGCTGTGTGAATGTGCAGGGGGGCAGAGGCGCCAGGAAGGGAGAAGGTATGGCAGACATCCTTGGGGAGGCAGGAGTGACTGAGCCCTGCGCCTCGCTCCAGCTTCAGTGGCTCCATGGCAGACACGTGGGTGACCGAGTCTCTCTCTCATATGTGCATTTGGATTTTGTTGTTGCTGCATACTCAACTCTGGCTTAGTACAGATTCCTAGGGCTAAAAACCAAATCAGCACATTTCATACTCTGTGGTTTGTTTTAGCTCTCTTTTCTCAAAGCTAAATACCTAAGTAGGAACTTGTGCTTTGATGTGACATCCCAAATGTACCTTCTTTGATGCAGCCCAGAGTGTGTTGTAGTCACACTGAACAATGGGAATAGGAGAAGGGAGAAAGCCAGGCAGATAAGTTCCCCTCTTCCTTCTCCCCTGCAGTGTACACCAAGTCATGGTTTTTCTTTTTGCTTGCCCAGAGAAAGTCCTGTGTGCTGCGCCAACTTCAGTGTCATTTGTAGGCCCATCGTAAAGTGGGAGCCTGTAGGGCCTTTGCATCATGTCCCAGTCCTTCTTACTTCCCTTCCCAGTGGCCTCACTTTTGTCGCCCTGGTTCTGCACCTGCTAAAGAAAGTGTCAGCCTCAGGTTCTGTTTCCTGGAGGATCCAGACTGAGACACACATTTACAGAAATCAATGACATATGATGTATTTCTCCTACGTTGAGATATAGAATATCCACCATAGTTTGTGTCCTCTTTTTATTTAAACAGATTTTATAAACATTTTCCCCATTTGAAATATTCTTCTCTAGCATGATTATAAATGGCTGCAGAGTTTTCCATAATGTGAATGTATCAGCTTTTAAAAACCAATCTCCTATTGTTGGATATTTAGGCAGTGTGTGCCCTTGCACATCTATTTTTGCATATATACCTTTGGTAATTTCTGCAGGATAAATTCCTAGAAGTGGAATTCCAGTTATATTGTTTTATATATAGTTATATATGGCCAGTTAGCCTTCCAAAAAGTTTATAATTTACCTTCCCAGCAGCAAAGTATAAGAGTACTTGTTTTCTTGGATTCTTCCCAATATTGTATATGCTTTAAAAATCCATGTCAATTTAGTAGGTGATAAGTGATCCAGCTGGAATTTACATGTCATTTCTTATATGTGAGGTTGAACCTTTTAAACATATATTTATTAGCTGTGTGTGTGTGTGTGTGTGTGTGTGTGTGGTGTGTGTGTGCATGTGCATTTGTGAATTGCCTGTTCCTGTCCTTTGCTGGTTTTTATCTTTTCAATGGAGGTGTTCTTTTTCTTATTGATGTGTGTGTTCTCTGTTGTCCACCGTGTTCTTCCTTGTAGCAGACCATGGCTATGGCCCTACTCAAAGACCAGGTTAGAGCAGAAAGTCTTGGGGAAGAGATTTTATGAGAAGTTGCACCACCACAATGCAGACTCACTCAGGCCTTCCACAAATATTTATTTAGCACTGACTTTGTGCCAGGCACTGTCTAGACACTTGGGATTTAGCAGTGAACATAGAAAGATACATACAGAGCTTAGATTCTGGTCTATTGGGGGTTGTATGGAGCTATGGGAAATGGTGCAAAAGCAGACAGGTGTGCCAGGTGGTGATGAAGGTGATGGAGAAAATTCAGGCAGAGGAGAAGGATGGGGCTTCCTAGTGGGCTGCATTTTTAGGGAACCATTTGAGTCAAGACCTATGCCAGGGGGCAATCATGCAGAGGTCTAAGGAAGGACATCCTAGGTAGAGGGAACTTCCAGGTTGGGTCCCAGAGAGGGCCAGTGCTGGGTGAGTTTGAGGAACTATGACAGCACACAGGGTGTGAGGGTGGCAGTGTTGGTGGAGGGAGGTGAGGGGGTGTCAGGACCAGGGACACAGGGCCTCAAATCTGAGCAGCTTTACAAATAGCAAGTTAAGAGGGATTAGAACTTGTACAGGAGTGTAGTTTGCTGAAGTGCCTTCTGATAAAGGAGAAATCTCTTCCACAGTGGTAGCCCAGGTTAGACTTAGTGAACTGTAGGAAGTAAAAGGAGGTATTTATAGTGTATTATGTTTGTAAAACATAAATAAAGGGTTTTCTTTTTTTTTCTTTTTCTCTTTTTTTATTGAGATAAGGTTTCTGTCACCCAGGCTGGAGTACAATGGCATAAGCATGGCTCACTGCAGCCTTAATCTCCTGTGCTCAAGTAATCCTCCTACCTCGGCCTCTGGAGTAGCTGGGACTATAGGCATGCCCAACTAATTTTTTATTTTTTGGAGAGACGGGGTCTCACTATGTTGCCAAGGCTGGTCTTGAACTTCTGAGCTCAAATGATTCTCTCACCTTAGCCTCCCACAAGCCACTGTGCCTAGCCAAAATAGGATTTTGAAGGATGGGGTGCACAGTCTTTGGACAGTAACAGTAACAAAGAAGACAGTTTTGTAGAATTGGAGAAAATGTGTTTGCAGAAGGCTGTTTGGACTTGTGCCTTCTTAATCTTTAAGCAAGGTATCATCGCATCCCACTTCAGAGGTGGTTGTTAGTTGATTCTCCCTTCACCATTCATCAAAAGAACAGTCTGATGCCAGCGGCTAGTTTCAAAGAGTAAAACGGAATATCTCTTTATTTCTTTTAATTAATAAAACCCATGCATGGTCCATCTATATTTGAAGCTAAAGTTATGTCAGTATAAGAACATAGTTCCTTGGTTCTCAGAAGATGTTTATTCATTCACTAATCAATTTTTTCACCTATCAAATATTATCATTTACCTACTATGCCACGCACTAGGCATTTGGGATACCATGATGAACAAAACTGACACAGACCCTCTCCTCACTGAGTCTTCGGACTTGGGATCAGGCAGACATTTTTGAAATAATTCTACAAATAAGTATTAATTATAACCTGTGATAAGTGCCATGAAATGTAAGTACAAAGTGTCAGAGGAGTGTGAACCTAGATTCATGCAGGGTACAGGAACTCTTCCCTGAGGAAGAGAAGCTGAGCTAAGGAAAAGGGTGTAATGAGGTGAAGTGGGATGGGAAGAGCACTCCAGGGAGAAGGAGCAGCACATGCAACAGTCCTGAGACAGGGTGACCCTGCGGCTTTCCTACATAATGTCAGCGGACTACAGCGTAACACTTTGGGGGCATAAACTATTACCTTTTGGATATCTGGAAGGTCCCTTGCCGGGAACGACCCATCTTTCTATACTAGATTGCCAAGTGTTATTTTTGTTGTCTGCTCTCATTTTATCTTCTAGTGTTTGGTTTTTTAGCTATGAAGCATTCACAGAAATGATAAGAGCCAAGATCTCCTTCCAGGAATGTGGTGTTTAATTGGGTAACCCGTGTACCTGGGAGAAAATGCCCGCAGAATATTGAGTAGGAAGCAGGAAGTCCTTGCTCTGATCCTCATTCCCTGGGGTGGCCTGTGGGGGGTGGGGAGGTATGTGTTAGCAGGTGGAGCTAGCAGTGGCCAGGAAGGCATGACCCAATGAGAAATAAAAAATTCAGAACCCTCTGAAAGCATTGCAGAATATGATGGGAATTGAAATTAGAAACATTGTGTGCATTTCTAATACTCGTGCTAGGAAAAAGACTATAGCTGTGTTAAAGTTTAATGCGTGGACCGTAATAGAGAGCTGAACAGCTCTCCACGGCCCCGTTTTTCCATTCGTTTTCGGAATAAAGAAGCTGGTTCTATTTTAGGCTTGTATTTGGGAAGTGGACTTTACCAGAATGGGAGTCTGAGGCCAGAGTTGCCTTTTCCCTCCCATGTGAACAGATACAGTTGAGAGGTGAAGAATGGTGTGCTCTGCCCTCCACTGCCCGCCCCCTTTGTATGTGTGTTATGTGAAATTTTAAGGGGGTATATGGAGTTTGGTGATTTAAAATTCTTTATCAGTTTTCTCTCTAGATTTTCATAGAATCACCTATAGACTTTCTTTAGGGTACCTCTGTTAGGGACAGAAAAAGGGAATGAAATATACACCGGTTTCTTGTTGTTTTCATTTTTAGCATTCATTTGAGCAGGGATGCAACTGAGGCTTTAGTTTGCCCTTGGATTAGTTATCCTCTGTCTCAGTAGGCAGGTTTATTTGGACAGTGGCATATGGAGAGGGTCAATGGGGGCAGGAAGGATGTTGGTATTTTATCACTAACATTGTTTAAAATTACAGTGCATGTGGACAATAAAAACCATAATGACTTTATTATTTGTTTTAAAACTATCTAGACCAGCACTGTCCAATAGAATTTTTTGCAGTGTTGCAAATATTTTACATCTCACTGTCCAGTACATTGGACACTAGCCACTTGTGACTAATGAGCACTCTAAATGCAGTTAGACTGTGGAACTTAAATTTTAATTAAAAATTTTTTCATAAGTTTAAATTTAAGCCGGGTATGGTGGCCCATGCCTGTAGTCAGTCCTAACTACTTGGGAGGCTGGGGCAGGAGGATTACTTGAGGCCAAGAGTTAAAGACCAGCCTGGGGCAACTTAGCGAGACCTTGTCTCTACGAAAAACAAAAATAAGCCAGGCGTGGTGGTGTGTGTCTGTACTCCCAGCTACTTAGGAGGCTGAGGTGGGAGGATCACTTGAGCCCAGGAGTTCAAGACTGCAATGAGCTGTGATCACACCACTGCATTTCAGCCTGGGTGACAGAGCAAGACCCTGTCTCTAAAAAAAAAAAAAAAAAATTAAAAAATAATTTTACCCATGTAAAAAATTGAATTATTTGTTTTTGTCTTGTTGATTTTTTAAAAATTTCTTGTAGATTTTGGATTTTAGACCTTTGTCAGATGCATAGTTTCCAAATATTTTCTCCCATTCTATAGGTTATCTGTTTACTCTATGGATAATTTCTTTCACTGTGCAGAAGCTCTTTAGTTTAATTAGGTTCCACTTGTTAATTTTTGTTTTTGCTGCAATTGCATTTGGGGACCTAGCCAAATTCTCTAGCAAAGCTTATGCCAAGAGGGTATTTCCTAGGTTTTTCTTTCAGTATTTTTATAGTTCGAGGTCTTACATTTAAATCTTAATCCATCTTGAGTTAATTTTTGCATATGGTGAAAGGTAGGGGTCCAGTTTCATTCTTCTACATATAGCGAGTCAGTTATCCCAGCATCCTTTATTAAATAGGGAGTGCTTTCCCCATTGCTTATTTTTGTCACCTTTGTTGAAGATCAGATGGTTGTAGGTGTGCAGCCTTATTTGTGGGTTCTGTATTCTGTTACATTAGTCTGTGTGTCTGCTTTTGTACCAGTATCATGCTGTTTTGGTTACTGTAGCCTTATACTATAGTTTAATGTCAGGTAATGTGATGCCTCTGGCTTTGTTCTTTTTGCTTAGGATTGCTTTGGCTACTTGGGCTCTTTTTTGGTTTCCTATAAATTTTAGGATAGTTTTTTCTGTTTTTATGAAAAATGACATTGGTATTTTGATAGAAATGGCATTGAATCTATAAATTGCTTTGGGCAGAATTTTAACATGGGCAAAGGACATGAACAGACACTGCTCAAAAGAAGTCATATGCATGGCCAACAAACGTGGAAAAATGCTTGTTGTCACTAATCATCAGATAAATGCAAATCAAAACCACAATGAGATACCATCTCACATCAGTCTAAATGGCAATTTTTAAAATTAAAAATGAGCAGAAGCTGGCAAAGCTGTAGAGAAAAGAAAATGCTTATACCTTATTTGTGGGAATGTAAATTAGTACAGCCACTGTGGAAAGCAGTTTGGAGATTTCTCAAAGAACTTAGAACTATTAATATCATTCAACCCAGCAATCCCATTACTAAGTATGTACATACCTAAGTGAAAATAGATTGTTCTACCAAAAAGACACATGTACTTATATGTTCATCACAGTGCTATTCATTCTAGCAAAGACATGAAATAATCTAAGTGCCCATCAGCAGTGGACACATAAAGAAAATATGGTACATATACCCCATGGAATGCTCTGTAGCCATAAAAAGAACAAAATCATGTCCTTTGCAGCAACATGGATGCAGCTGGAGGCCATTATCCTAAGTGAATTAATGCAGGAGTGGAAAACCAAATACTGCTTCTCACTAAGAAGTGGGAGCTAAACACTGAGTACACATGGAAGTAAAGATGGGAACAGCAGACACTGGAGACTACTAGAGCGGGAAAGGAGGGAAGGGGATGTGGGCTGAAAAACTACCTATTGGGTACTATGCTCATGACCTGGGTGATGAGATCATCTGTACCATAAACCTCAGCATCACACAATATACCCAGGTAACAAACCTACACATGTACCCTCTGAATCAAAAATAAAATTAAGAAAAGAAAAATTTAAATAGCCACACCTGGCTAGTGGCTACCATATTGGACAGTGCAGGGCTAGACAATGTCCCACCTTGTTGCCTGCATCTGGGGTGCATGCATTACTCCTACTCCCCAGCCTTAGCCCCTACTGCTTGGAGAATCTCACACCTGGTCAGCATAAAGCCAGTTTTCAGGCTGCCACTTACTTACCTTTTGGTGTCTGTGCCATGAAAAGAGGCAGAGACCAAAGAGGTTGTGCCTATGTAAAAGGAAAAAAAAATTAGCACCTTACTTACAACTTAGGGCACAATAAAGCATGTATCTAAGAACATACTTTTATTGTCTACTGATTACCAATGATGTGAGAGCCACACCCCAAACTGTGTTCTCCTCCATAGTTTATTCTTCACTTTAGTGTACACACTGGCCAATGCAAGGACTTAATGATCTCCATCTTTCATGTGTAATTAAATATTAACATGATACCTAAGACAAGGAGTTTGACGTTTGCTGATTTGATGCCTTGTTTGTAAGTGATGGAGGTAATGAAATGGTTTCTAACTTCTTAGAGAAAAGTCTCTGGAACGTAGCATCTCCATTCATATTTGCCACAAGCTCTCTGTATCTCTGCTTCCTTTGGCTATTTGCCAGGGGGAATGCCTTTTATCTGCAGGTTTGGGGCAGGCTAGGGGGAGAAGAGGTCATTTTACTCTGCCTTTATGACAAGGTTAACTGGTTTCATCAGGCTAGTACAAGCCACCATGAATGGATCCACTCACTGAGGGAAGAAGACAAATGCCTGCTAGCTATGGCACTGATTGAGTTGTTGCTGAGGTCAGTAGCTCAAAGGGATGCACTAAAGGCAGAGCCATCTGGGCTGGAGTCAGGAGGAGCCCCACTGACTGCCTGGAAGGAGAGCTGAGGCTCTGAACCTTGGCTCCTAGCACTTGGCACCATACGCCTATAAATTATGTTTACTTTTTATGAAATCATCCCTGAAAAATCTTTCTGCCAAACAGGATAGAGCTGCATGTGAATTAATCAGCACTCTTATTAAAATACATCAGTTATCTTTTATTTTGCTATATGCTACTTGTACATCATTTGGACATTTTCTAGAAACAGGACATGGATTTTTTTTTTTTTTTTTTTTTGAGACAGAGTCTTGCTCTGTCTCCCAGGCTGGAGTGCAGTGGCACAATCTCAGCTCACTCACTCCACCTCCTGGGTTCAAGCGATTCTCCTGCCTCAGCCTCCCGAGTAGCTGGGATTACAGGCGCGTGTCACCACGCCTGGCTAATTTTTTTGTCTTTTTAGTAGAGATGGGGTTTCACCATGTGGGCAAGGCTGGTCTCCAACTCCTGACCTCCAGTGATCCACCCGCCTCGGCTTCCCAAAATGCTGGGATTACAGGCGTAAGCCACTGCACCCGGCCAACAAAATTATCCTTTGCTTTTCTTTTTGACCTTGTATTTCTCTTTATTGTGGTGGTTGGTGGTGGATGGGAAGGGAGGGAACATTTGTTTATATGACTTTTATGTAAATGAAGAGAAGTTAGTCAGTGAATAACATTGTTTGTTGTTTTCTGCCAGCTTTTCTTGTAATAGAAAAATTGAGGGCCAGGTGCGGTGGCTCATGCCTGTAATCCCAGCACTTTGGGAGGCTGAGGCGGGTAGATCACCTGAGGTCAGGAATTCGAGGCCAACCTGACCAACGTGGCAAAACCCCATCTCTACTAAAACTACAAAAATTAGCTGGGTTTGGTGGCACATGCCTGTAATCCCAGCTACTCGGGAGGTTGAGACATGAGAATCGCTTGAACCCAGGAGGCGGAGGTTGCAGCTAGCCAAGGTTGCGCCATTGCACTGCAGCCTGGGTGACAGAGCGAGACTCCCATCTAAAAAAAAAAAAAAAAATTGTCTTCCGCATGGATCACACTTATTTATTAGACATTTATTTGTTTTCTCCCTTTGCTCCTTAACCAAGCACCTTGAAAGCAGCACCCTTATCCCCATTGTGTATCCAGTCTCAGTGAGGTATTCACAGAGTGGGCACATGCAGGGACCACAAGCCCATCAGTAAACGAGCAGGACGTTAGAAATTAGGAGTTAGATCTGTGCTGACCAACATGCTAGCACCAGCCACGTGTAGCCATGAAAATTAAATTAATAAAAAATTTTCCTTAGCTGCACTAGCCACGTTTCAAGTGCTCAGTAGCCTTGTGTGTCTAGTGACTACTGTATTGCACAGCACGGATGCAGGAAGTCTCCATCGCATTGAAGGTTCTACCTGACAGCACCATGGTCGACCTTTCTGGAATGAGCTTGTTTAGTCTGCAGATGTTGCTGAGTATCTTCTCAGACCCTGCTCTGACCACAGGGATGCTGTGAGGAGCAACAAAGGCCAGGCCTGGCACTCACAGAGACACCATCTGGGTGAGGAACAAGGTGTGAGAAGTGAACGAAATTCTTACATCATAAATGTCAGTACCGCAGTGCTCACGGCTCCCTGGGGATACAGGAGTAAGATCCTATTCCCTCTTCTCAGCAGGGAAGAGAGATAATTAAGCATCATATTTTACAAATGGGGAGACAGATTAGTGCAGGTAAATTGAGCCCACCCGTGCCTTGCAGTTGGTCCCTTTGCCTCTCTGAGCTGCATCTTCTTACCCTGGTTAGTGAGGCGTTTAGAACGTGTTCTCCAGAGCATTGGTGAGGGCTCCAAAGAAAACCTTCTGCTTAGCACTCACCATTTAATACATTGAGGCTATTATTACGGTAACCTTTCATACTATAAAACTGGTTCGGAAGCTAATAAGCAACCTCAGCTAGAGGCCGCGGGAAGGGGAGGCCTTTACTGGGAAAGGGAACAACTGGGTTAGGGAGCAGCAGCCGGGCCTTCCGAAATGATTGCATTTCCCTGAGGGGGACATGCCTCGGTGAGATTCTTGTAAATGGAACACTTTGCAGACTCCTACTTTTTTTTATATACAGGTCACAAATTGCATTTATTTGTAGACATCTAGAAAACAATCAAAAGTGTGTATATCACTCTATATAGATCTTATTAATAATTTTATTTGGACAAGAGAACTTATGCCACAGCAGTCTTACACAGCATGGTTAAAGACTGCAGTACCCCCAAGAGTGGTTTCAGGTATGTACAGTATGTGAAGAAAAAGTGGCACCTCAGAGCCACCATGATCAAGTTAAAAACGCCCGACGTATAGTATATGTGCCAATAGATTCCCTTCAGGTCATGACCAGCATGAAAAACATCAGGACACAGATACTCAGCGCGTGTTCTGCGAATGTGTCCTGCAGTATCTTGCAGTTAAGAGTTCAGATCAGATCCTGCTTCCATGTTAGCATCAAGCCCTCAGGAGAAATGAAAAAATCCCTTTTCCCTTGTGCAAGTGTCAGCAACGATTCACACATAGAGCTGGAGTGGGCTGGGTAGCTGGCCGCAGAACCCAACCAGTCCTTGCCTGGGAGAAAATGAGATTGATACTGAAGGTCTCTCGTTCAGGTGCACATCTGCCTCTGGTTGTAAGAATTTCGTTTATTGGTTGGTAAATAAAACCAGGAGAAAGCAATGCAGGTCTCTGGGAATCTCATCCCTTCCATAAGGGAAATGCTCTGCCTATGCCAGCCCCCTCCCCCTCCGCCTCCCCCTTCCCCTTCTTCCCCTTCCCCTTCTTTCCCTTCCCCTTCTTTCCCTTCCCTTCCCTTCCTTTCCTTTCCCTTCCCTTCCCTTCCCTTCCTTTCCCTTCCCTTCCTTTCCCTTCCCTTCCCTTCCCTTCTCTTCCCCTCCATTCCCCTCCCCTCCCCTCCCCTCCCCTCCCCTCCCCCCTTCCCTTCTTTCCTTCTCTCTCTCTCTCTCCTTCTGCCCTCCCTCCCTTTTTCTGTTTCTTCCTCCCTTTCCTTTTCCTCTGACAGGGTCTTGTTCTGTTGTCCAGGCTGGAGTGCAATGGTGCAGTCATAGCTCACTTCAGCCTCAACCCCCAAGGCTCAAGTGATCTTCCTGCCTCAGCCTCCCAAGTTGTTGGGACTACAGGCGCGTGCCACTACACAGGCTAATTTATTTTTAATTTTATTTTTGTAGAGATGGGGTTCTCACTATGTTGCCCAAGCTGGCCATGGATTCCTGGGCTCAAGAAATTCACCTGCCTCAGCCCCTCAAAGCGCTGGGATTATAGGCGTGAGCCACTGTGCCTGGCCCACGTTTTATTCAGTCAGGAAGATAGGAGGATTTAAGGCTTTGGTGACAATTATAATAGTCTTGAGAAATTGTTTTCCCTTAAAGTCAAGGTGTTTTGTAGACTCCTATTTGACCATATTTTAATGGATGCTGTTGTCATATCTGCACCCAGGCTGCGTTGTCTTCTGTAAAGAGCACATCTCTGCTCCAGAATCTTCCCTAGAATTTTCCAGGAGCGAGGGGAATGTGGGCCTCATATGTCACCTTCCTGCCTGTGCGTATTCCCCCACCTCTCAGACACTAATGTCTTTGAGCAAGTCAGGCCGCCTGTCTCGGAGTCTCATTGTAGGTGAAAATGGGGACGTGCAGGGCCTTGCCAAGACCAGGAAAGATGACATCTGTAGTTTCCACGTCTTTCTCGGTCTCAGGTGGTTTGGTTACCCCAGCCCTTCAGGTCAGGTGCCCTCCTAGACTGGGGGTCCTGCGGTCATGATGGATGCTCAGATTAGGGAGGAAATTCATGGGCGTGACTGACACACTGAGTCAGCAGAGTCTAGAAAAGGTCACTATGCTCACAGGTGAACTGTAGTTTTTGTTTGTTTGTTTTTGTTTTTGAGACAAAGTTTTTCTCTTGTTGCCCAGGCTGGAATGCAATGGCACGATCTCGGCTCATTGCAACCTCCGCCTCCCGGGTTCAAGTGATTCTCCTTCCTCAGCCTCCCAAGTAGCTGGGATTACAGGCATGCACCACCACACCCAGCTAATCTTGTAGTTTTAGTAGAGATGGGGTTTCTCCATGTTGGTCAGGCTGGTCTTGAACTCCCGACCTCAGGTGATACGCCCACCTCGGCCTCCCAAAGTGCTGGGATTACAGGCGTGAGCCACTGCCCCTGGCCTGAACTGTAGTTTTTACTGCTTCCATTTAAAATCTGAGAAACTGGAGAAAAATCTTGTACTCAAGATTGGGTAAATCTCTTAAAAGTTATTTAAAGCAGCCAGGTGCAGTGGCTCATGCCTGTAATCCCAGGACTTTGGGTGGCAGAGGCGGGCAGATCACAAGGTCAGGAGATCACGACCATCCTGCTAACACGGTGAAACCCCGCCTCTACTAAAAATACAAAAAAATTGTCCAGGCGTGGTGGTGGGTGCCTGTAGTCCCAGCTATTCGGGAGGCTGTGGCAGGAGAATGGCGAGAACCTGGGAGGCGGAGCTTGCAGTGAGTGGAGATCCCGCCACTGCACTCCAGTCTGGGCGACAGAGTGAGACTCTGTCTCAAAAAACAAAAAAAATTATTTAAAGCAACATTACAAAAACATTGAATACAATAAGAAAACCAATGTGCTTAATACAACTATTTTGATTCCTTATTTCTTCATAGTGTTTTGCAGATATTCACATGTCCTTCTTATTGATGTAATTGTCATGAACTTTTTCACTTAAAGCTTTACCATTTTCAGTGAGGGTGACTAAATTTTATATAGTGGTAGAGTATTCCTTAAACAAAATGCTTGGGATCAGAAGTGTTTTGGATTTTTTAAGATTTTGGAATATTTGCATTATACTTATTGGTTGAGCATCCCTAATAGAAACATTCAAAATCCAAAATTCTCCAGTGAAATTCACTTTGAGTACAACCTTTCAGGATCGTGTCTGTTCTCAAAAAATTTTGGGTTTTGGAAGATTTTGGATTTCAGATTTTTGGAGTGTGGATATTCAACTCACATATTTTTTGTTTGTTTGTTTTTGAGACAGAGTCTCGCTCTTTCGCCCAGGCCGGAGTGCAGTGGCGCTATCTCGGCTCACTGCAAGCTCCGCCTCTTAGGTTCACGCCATTCTCCTGCCTCAGCCTCTCGAGTAGCTGGGACTACAGGCGCCTGTCACCGCGCCTGGCTAATTTTTTGTATTTTTAGTAGAGACGGGGTTTCACTGCGTTAGCCAGGATGGTCTCAATCTCTCAACTCATATAATTTTTATGTTTGCATGCTATTTATTAAATCAGTCTACCATAACTTTACTCTTGGACATCTAGATTAATTTTTCACAATTATAAGTAGTATGCAAGTGATCATCTTTATTCTGATAATACTTTTCTTTGACTGAAGAGAAATTCCAAGAAATGGGTATGAACACCTTTGTATGAGCAAATCAGTAAAACTTTAGCAAATCACACATTTTTACTATTCTGATAAGCTTTTCTAGGATCTGCTGATGTATATGTTTTTAACAATAATTACATAGTTCAGTTCTGTATTATTAACTTGAAATGATCTTAAATTTTTATCACAGAAAATATTAAACACATGTACACTGGGCAATAGAGTCTGTCGAACCCCTATGTGTCCAGCATCAGTGGACACCCAGGATGGCAGCTCTGATTTTGTCAACCCTTTAACATCTTCTATTACTTTGAAGCAAATCTCAGTGTTATTTCATCTATACATATTCAGTGATTTATTTTTTTAACCTCTACATTTACATCCAAAGTCCTTACCTTGTCTTTCTAGCTGCATAACCCACATGCGTTAAGCATCCCCTGTGGACAGTGGGAAACCATTGACTGTTTCCGAGCAGAGGAAGGATAAAGTGGTGAGAACTGTACTTTGTAGAATGAACTTGTTAGCTGTCTGCAGGATGCTTGATGTGGAAACACCTGGAAGTGAGGAGCTGGTCATCCATGTCCAGCCCTCCAGCTGTGATGCTGCTGCTCAGCTCATTCCCATTCCCTCCTCCCGCTCCCTGCCTGCATCTGTCTCCTTACCCTCTTATGAATAGTTGGTGACTGAGCCCTGCCATGGCTGAAAGTCACAGTCAAATAGAATTCTCAGTTAAAAGTTCCTTAAACAATAGGAACATTTGATTTTCTTTCATGAGTTCCGAGGCCCGAGCCCAGGGACTCCAGGGCTGGTTACTTTGGCAGCTCCCAGGTGCTGGGGTTCTGTTTTCCTCTCTGTCCTCTACCTCATCTCCTCTTGGTTACAAAATGGCTGCCACAGCAGTGCCCTTACACCCTCCACGTCTGTGTCCAAGGCAGGCCAGAGGGTTGGTGTTTCCTATGTCCTCTGGGCAGAGCTGGGTTACTGTCCAGCAGGTCACCAGGGAGTTTGGGAAAGTGGATTTGTGGCATTTTCACACTCTGGAGTGGAGTTGCAGCAGGAGAGGAAGGCTATTAGGTCAAGAGAGCCTGCCTTAGGGGCTCTTATTTAATAGCCTGTTTTACATGTGAAAAAGCTTTAGTCTCTAAAAGCTTTCTCCAAAACCACAGGTAGGCCATGGCAGAATGAAGCCTCCAACCCAGGTTTTCCCACCTGAGGCAGCGGTGTTCTTTTCCCCATCTGTCACCTTGAGTCTCTGTGCAGGAGGCTTGGGTGGAGCAAATAGAGGCCTGGAAATGGGTCAGCAGTAGGAACAGAGAAGGCCAGAGAAGTGGGAGATGTGGAGAAGGACCCTGAGGTGACAGCAAGCCTTGAACAGGCTAACAGGGACATGGGCAGGGGCAGCTTTGGGGTTTTCGCGTGATGCCAGCAGGACAGTCATGGGGAGGTCCGGCCTTCAAGTTTCTGTCAGATCTCCCGCGTTGAGGCAAGTCATCTGTTAGAGGTGGTCATCAGGGAGGATGGAGCCCAGCTTGTGTGGGGATGGCTATAAAGTGGAAGAGGAGCCAGGGAAGTACCTCAGTTTGGAAGCCTAGTGGGAGAGACTTTCTAGAAGGGCAGCTCCATGCTGTCTCACTGTAAGAGGCTGAGGAGGTGAGCATTTGGAAAGTACCATTGGGCTTGCTGGCCACACAGTCAAGAGTGATCATGTGTGTGTTTGTGTGTGTGTACGTGTGTGTACACATATGTATCTTAAACTTACTTTGAAATAATTCCAGACTTAATGAAGTTGCAAAAATAGACCAGAAGAGTTCTCATATTCCTTTTACCCAGCTTCCCGAAGTGTTAATGTTAATGATCTCACATATCTGTAGTAGTGATCAAAACCAGCAAGTTACTGTTGGTAACATAGCATTAACTAATAATGAATCTGCAGGCCTTATTTGAATATTGCCATTGTCCCACTGGGTCCAGAATCCAATCTAGAATCCCATGTTCATTTAGGTGTGTCTCAGCCTCCTCCAGTCTTACGATCTTGATACTTCTGAAGACACAGGCCAGTTATTTTTTAGAATGTCCCTTAGTTTGGGAATTTGATGTCCTTGGTGTGCCATGTCAGGGCACATGGTATTGATGTGTCTCATGACTACTGATGCTGACCTTGATCACTCACTTGGTCAAGATGGTATCAGTCAGGTTTCTCTGCTGGAAAGTTACTATTTGTTTGTTTCTCAAGAGAACATTTCTTAAATGGACTTCTTAAAACACAGGTTCTTTTTAGTGGCTCATCATTTGACTGTCTTCAGTAGCCTCTGTTGATGTTTTTAAAAATCAAAAGAACATCCACTTGGTTAGAAAATTCAAAGACGGAAGATTATTAAAAAATAAAATTCTCCTCATTGTATATCCTCCTGAAAAATTTCCTGTGCAAATAGTGGTGACCTTTTTTTTTTTTTAATTTTTGATTTTTAAAATTTCAATAGCTTTTGGGATACAAGTGGGATTTTTTTTGTTATGTGGATGAATTACATAGTGGTGAATTCTGAGATCTTAGTGTACCCGTCACCCGAGTGGTGTACATGGTACTCAATATGTACTTGTTTATTCCACACCTTCCACACCCACAGTGACCCTTTTGACGTGGCGTCAGTGGCATGGTGGAGGTGGCAGTCAGGGCTTCAGTGGACTGAGATTCGATTGGAGGGTGTCTGGGGAAGTGAAGACTTGGACTAAGGTTCCTGGAACTTGAGGGTGTAGCAAAGGCTCAGAGGAAGGGGGACCTTGGGAGGAAGGAAGGCTTTTCACAGGACAGGGTTGCGTGGAGACTGGCTGTAAAATTACTTTATGTACAAAGGACTACAGATGAGAGGTGGCATCAGAGTAGCGCCTGACTCTGTGAGGTGAAAAAGCTACTGCTGTTTTCCCATAGTGTTTTTGGAATATTTTTCACAATGGTCAGTACATACTAAAGCACATGTTAACTGATTTTTCATTTATTACAAAATGACAGGGTGCTGGATTCTCTCATTAGGGATGGTGAGCCCCAGAGAGTTGTTGTTTATGGGGGCATTGGCAGGGTTCTGTTCCCACACATTCAGGCCAGAGATTTGGTACCCCTGCCTGGTGCTTTGCACAAGAACCTAGCATTGTCTGTGGGTGGGCACTCTGGGCCACAGAGACACAGGTAGCTGGAGGGCAGTTTTACAGCTGGAGAGAAAACATGTTACCTAACGGACTTGGTTTAATGAACTCCTGATGAAAGAGATGTACTAACAAGCACCCCAATAAGGGGGGCATATAGCAAATGTCTTTTAGAAATAATAGAAATGGTCTTCTTTAAGTAGGGTAGTTCCTAATGATTCATTACGTCCTTTGCCAGACCCTGGCCATATGTTTTGAACTTGTTAGGTCTTCTCAACAATAGAATTTTTGCATTATGCCTTTTCTTCCTCCTGTGCAATCTTGTGGGCAGGTAGGAGCAACAGAATGCGGGTGGTGTGGAGGACAAGGGACATCCCAGAGCCC
This sequence comes from Homo sapiens, assembly GCF_000001405.40. Taxonomy (NCBI): domain Eukaryota; kingdom Metazoa; phylum Chordata; class Mammalia; order Primates; family Hominidae; genus Homo; species Homo sapiens. The sequence continues at coordinate 18,701,576 of NC_000020.11, forward strand.
TTGGTTCTATTGCACTATGTGAGCTGAATGCACCCAGGGAGTCTGTCTGGCCTTTCAGTGTCGGGGAGAGCAGTAGGATGGGACCACGTGGGACATAGGCCTGACACACAGGTCATCACTTAGAAATGAGCACTGGACTTGCCCCAGTGCCTGGGATGCAGTAGGCTTTCAGTAAATACTAACTGACACATGAATGTTCTGTGTGCTTGCTTTGGCTTCTCCTTTTAAAGAATCACCTAATAATTCTTTAAGTCTCTCGAATTGCCGATTTGTCCTTCTGTCAGATAAAATGCATGAAGTAAGCTGATGATTCTGAATAGGAACAGAATACGTTCTTGGTTGATTTAAAGTATAATTTAGAGTTTTTCATTTTGCTTAGAGCTAATATACAGTGCGATGCCTGAGGTCCATTGTAAAATCTTGCTATGTAACCTAATCATTGTTGACAGGAGAAATTTGTCTACAATCATTTTAATCTGTTGCATAATAAATATTTAGAGAGTCTCTTATTCACTTCCATTTTAGACAAAGCGTCTATTTGTACATCCTTCAAAATGGTCAAAGATGAAAGGGAAGATCCTTTTATTGGTCCCTCAGGCCAAGACAGAGGGAAGGACTGATAATCTTTTCAAACCAAGAAAGATTTTGGTTTCCATTCCAACATCCCTGAGTAATCCACAACTGTGTATGGTACTCCCGCCCCCTTCCCTCCATCTCTGTAATAAACTCTTCTTCCTTAATTTTAATTTTCTTGACAATTGAACCCTTCAGTTGGGTGCTATTTGGCTTTATCCTTGTTTTAAATTTCCCCTTTTCTCATTTCCCAGACTGGGCAGTTGTTGAGTCCAGAATTAACTGGGGAAGTTGGCTAATTTAGCAAGGGCTATAGAATAAAGATCTAGATTAGATGCAGGCTAGAAAAGCCAGGCTGGAGTACATACTAGAGACCGCAGAGACATTGATCTACTGCAGATCAGATTTAACTCCTCAGTAATATCAGGTGTTGTGGCTGCCAACACAGTGACCAGGAGCAGGTTGGTCTTTGATGTCTCTGTGTCAGCACCTGAGGCAGGGATACTGAAGAGAACATGCCTGCCATATAGGATAGGAATCTGGTCACAAAGGTATCACTAGTTCTGTTGGAGTAGAAATCACATCTGGAATGAGGCAAAAAAAAAAAAAAAAAAGGAACTGTCTACAAAAATTTTAAAAGAATTGGCAAACTAATGTTTTTCTTAGCAGATGTGCCTTTGCCATATTCCTAAGGTTTCCCTCCCTGTCAGTCATGCGTCCTGTTTTATGAGACCCATTTCTCCTGGGGCCTCTGACTGGGCCGCTGCCTGGACCTGCCCTCTGGGCTGCTGCCATCCAGCAGGAGTCCATAGCTTCCTTTCACTGTCCTGCTGGGTGGGTCAGCTTTGTGGATCCTCCCACCCCCGTCTTCATCTTTCTTGGGTTTCTTTTTTATTTGTGCTGAAGTCTATTTTCAATAATTTTTTTCCCTAGAAGAATGTTCAGAATGTAAATCTTCTGCCTTTTAAAAAATAAATCTGAAAATGTCCCTATAGTCCTTACACTTGACTGTTAGTTTATATGGATGTAGAATTCTAGGTTCAAAATTCTTTGCTTCAGAATTCTGAAGGCCATGGTTCTGCTTCTGGTGTTTCTATGAGGACTATTTACTGACCATATTCTCACCCTTGGATGGGAGCTTTTCTTTTTTCCTTCTGGGTCGTGTGGAGACCTGTCTTGATCTTGGTGTCCTCAAACTTCATGAAGATGTGTCCCATTTTCATCCTTTCTGGTAATCTAGGTTTCTTAAATCTAAATTCCCTTGCCTTTTCTTTAGCTTGAGGAAGCTCTCTTCTTCTATTATTGCTATTTTCAATATTTTCTCACCATTTATTTTTCTCTTCTCTCTTTCTGGAAAGCCTAGAGACCAGTTGATAATCCTCCCAGGTTGTCATTTTTCTTAAACTTTCTCGGTATTTTCCATTCTTTTTCCATTTGTTTTTTTAACCCCATGGGGCAATTATTAAACTTGAAATTATTAATCTCCCAACCTTTCTACTAAGTTTTTAATTTTGGCAAGCAATTTTTAATATCCATGAACTCATTTTTTATCATAATTTCTGCTTTTTCATAGTATTCAGTTTTTTTTTTTGTTTCTGTTTTCTTATTTTGTTTTTAGGGGTATTATGTTTTCTTGATGTTCTCTGAAGATACATACTAACTGAACTTTTAAAATACTCATTTCTGTTTGCTGAAGTAGCTTTTTTCCCAGAGTCAGTTCTGTTTATTCTACTCAGTTTTTTCTTTTGAGCTCTAGATGTGCCCCCACATATCTCGATGTCTTTGGCTGTCTGTTCATATTAAGAACACTGGCCAGGGTAGATTAACATAAGTAATCATAAGTAGTTGGTAGCTTTTTTTTTTTTTTTTTGAGACGGAGTCTCGCTCTGTCACCTAGGCTAGAGTGCAGTGGCGCAATCTTGGCTCACTGCAAGCTCCGCCTCTGGGGTTCACGCCATTCTCCTGCTTCAGCCTCCTGAGTAGCTGGGACTACAGGTGCCTGCCACCACGCCTGGCTAATTTTTTGTAGTTTTAGTAGAGACGGGGTTTCACCATGTTAGCCAGGATGGTCTCGATCTCCTGAGCTCGTGATCCTCCCACCTCGGCCTCCCAAAGTGCTGGGATTACAGGTGTGAGCCACCACGCCCAGCCAGTAGTTCGTAGCTTTACAGGCAGGTCATTTGGTCTCCAGTGAGCCTCCTGAGCAGGAGGGTAGCTGGGCATTCAGTGTATGTGCTTACATGGGCAGAAACCTTAGAAAAATGGCACAGGAACTCCAATGGACTCAGGTTCAAAAGGGTGTGTGCAAGGGGTGGGGAAAAGATGCCTAACCAAGGGCAAATATGGGAGGGTAACCTCATCCTGTAAAATAAGCAGAGACAGAAATTCTAAGAACAGAAATTTTGTTGTTGTCACTGTTGTTTTTAAAAGTTATCTCTAGAGCCATGGTTCGCACCCATTTTGCACCTTTGGGGGCATTTGACAACTCTGGAGACATTTTTGGTTGTCACAAGTAGGGGAGGAGGACATGCTACCTACCAGCTTCTAGTGGGTAGAGGCCAGGGTTGCTACTCAACATCCTAAAATGCACAGGACAGACCTCACCCCAAAGAATTATCCAGCTCCGAATGTCAGTAGTGCTGAGGTTGAGAAACACCACTGCAGAGGAAGATGATCAAGGAGAGGGTGGGGCAGGGGAAGGAGATCAGGAAGCATGTCCGGAAGCATACAGGTTCCTATTTTGCCTGCACACTCTGCCAAGGGGAGACTTGGGTCACACTAAATAAGCTTCCATCTCAGAGCAGTTGTTAAGGTAGATTATCTGACCTTTGCTGTCCAGTAGCATGGCCACTAACCACAAGTGCTAAACTGAAATAAAATTACAAATTTAATAGATTTGCACTAGCCACATTTCTTATGCTTGACAGCCATTTGTGACTTCTGTACTGGATAGTGCAAAGATAGGACATTTCCATCACAGATAATTCGGCTAGACAGAGCTGGTCTAGACAGTATTGGTGCTGTTTTAAGGAACTTGAAGACTAGGAGTGCTGTTATGTTTAAAAACATAAAATTTTGCTTTTCAGGATATCAGGGGATAAGGAGAGTTTGAAACAAATTAACAATTGGTAATTTTGAAATTTTATAGATTGGTTGATCTGAGTTCATCACTATCCTCACACGTGGACATGGATTCATAATGTGCCCTCCAACACAAAAACCACTTGCATCCCCACAGCAACTCCCGCCCCTGCCTGTACCCTTTCTCACAGTTAATTCATAGTTAATATGAGAAGAGGGTTGGAACTCAAGCCAGTGGACAATGAGAGCAGCTTTAGGTGTTGTTCAAAAAGGTCCCCAGGAAGCTACCGCCAGGTTCAGGTACCATGGTAGCTGGTAGTGGTGGGTGAGTGCCTTTACTCCTGTGCTTTCCCAAAAGGATGGTGAAGAATCTGAGCCCTTTCATCACATGATGGTGAGCTCAGAGGCAGAGGCCTCAGTGGGAAGGATGAGCTGGACGGAAGTGATTCCACCGTCTTGGTGGTCAGGCTGCATTAGGAGATCTGCTTTGTGTGAGAATGACTGAATGGAATGTGGAGATGGGAGAGAGAAAATGCCAAAGGTTGGAAACATTGTTGGAATCTTGAATATGTTCTAAAAATGGAAGACTTTGCTCTTGTAGCCCAATGTATTCTAAGCTCATTTGCTGTTTTTTGAGCCTGTATCCTACTGAATGCAAAGCCATTTGAACCCTTCTTATGTGGTCCATTTTCTCTTTGGCTGTCTGTGTTATTGGAGCCATGACTGATCAAGCCTTTAGCTAGAACTCCACTGGAAAAGGGGATTAGCTTAGTGAGTGTGGCTTTCCTCAGTTTTCTTTTCACTCAGATTTGGATAAAGAGGATAAATGATAAGTAAAAAGCTATCAGCAGTTGTGTGGTTTGTTGCCAAAGATTCAGCAGTTGTTGGTTCGTTGCCAAAGATTCAGCAGTTGTTGGTTCAGAGTGGGGAATCCTGGGGTCATTACTGACCAGATAGCTTGCAACCCTTTCTCTATGTCAGGGGCTACACCAAGGCAGTTGTGTGGTTTGTAGAAGTAGGAATTGCGCCACACCCTGTGTTCATGGTACCAGATTTGCCTCCCCTCACTGAGGTTTGTTTGGGGGGATTGCTCTTCGTTGGCACCTGGAAAGACCTTTTTATGAAAAGCATCATTGAAATTAGAAGGCATAAATAAATAAAATATCATCTCTTTGCTGTTGCTTTAGACTTTCTTCTTATGGTAGTGTCTTTTGGAATAGAATCATCTTTTGATCTCCAGTAAACAGGTAACCTGTCAGGTGGGTGGGATTGCTCCTGAATGTGGGCAGTTCAGCATTTCAAGTTGAATTTGGAAGAGAAAAAGGCAAATTGGGCCTTCTTTAAGGGTGGAGAACCCACTACCTCTAAAAAACAAGAGTCGTTGCTTTGACAGTGATGTAGAAAGTTGCCTCTGAGGAGCTGGATTAATAGGTAATCTCTTGAAAAAATAGCACAGAAAATGACCTTTTACTTGTGTTCTCTGAGGCAGATCAAGTGGAGTTTATTTCTAGGCAGAAAAACATTTTGTGTGAATTATATCTAAGGAAGCAGTGTAACTCGGTGCTCAGTAATTAGCCCTGTCCTGGTATTTAAGACTCTGAAAGGAAGTGCTGCCATTGTAATTGAGTTCTTTTTAATCCCGTTAGCGGTGCATTTCCATATTTTAATTGAATGTTTCGGAATTTAGCAGGTGAAGCCTTTCTGAGTGTTGGCATTATCCATCAGGTGTGCCCCCTGGAGACCCCGTGTGCTGAGGGGGCTGAATAGCAGTGTGAGCCTCGGCCTGAGCAGTGGTGTGGGGTGGATGCCACTGCTCTTGGGTGGCCCCAAATGTCTCTCACTGTTCCCCTGTAACTTGCCACTTTTCACCTGGATGTTCATCACCTGTAAGCAGTTAACGTCTTTATAGTGAGATGCAGCGTTCAGACGACTCCCGTTTCCTTAGCTCCCTTAGACATGGTCAGGATTCCAGTTATATTCAGAAAGAGAGTTTCGTTCGATAAATAAAGCACATGATCATCAATTCTGGGAAATGCAGAGACCTGTTTCATCTCATTTCAAGGTTTTTTCCATTTAAACAAGCTCCTTAGCTGTTTAAAGCCACACACACAGTTGTTGTTTAAGTAAAGCAACCCTGGACGGACTGCAGTAGACAAGATTGTACCTTGAGTGCTCTGTGTCTGGGACTCACCCTGCGTGCTCACTCATATATGCACCTGGTCTTACCCAATATACCAAACTGTGGTGGTGGGTGTCTTGGAAATGTGCCAGCTTCTCTGGCCATAGAGTGCTGTGCAGTACAGCAGCACCAGACTCTAAAGGGAGCGAGCACTGATCAACTGGAAGGGTGAGTGGCTCTTTTCAAGGTGAACTGGTGGCTGTCTGTTCACAAGAAAGACTCTTTGGGCATCATGTGTTACAGGCTTATTGTCTACTATTGAGGGGTGAGTCTTAGGGCTGGTTCTTTTCTCTCTGGACTAGTGGGCTTTGCCGCAGAAACTCTTACAGTACATGGTAACACACACGCGCGCACACACACACACTCACACACTCTCTCACACACATGTCCTTATGCTGCTTCCTTTCCTTCTCAGATCAGCTGAAGAGAAGAGTAGAGGGGACTTGTCCCTTGGCACCTCTCCGACTGGCTTACAGGCCTCCCAGGATCAAGGTTTCCTTGTGAGTGTGTCTGGTGAGGGTGTGGCGTGAGGGGCACCTTTCCAGAACCAGCCAGTGTTTCCAACTCTCCATGAGTGGGCGGGGCTTTGGGCCCATGCATTAGGGGATGGTTAGGAGCTTGGGGAGACAGGGCCATTTCTCTGCCTCTTGAAATGTGCCTGGTCCCAATTGAGATGTGCCGTGGGTATACAGTACACACTGGATCAAAGATGTAGTATATAAAGAAGGTAAAATAGCTAATTATTAACATGTGTGTGTGTGTGTATATATATATTTTATATATATATTATATATATATTTTATATATATAATATATATATATTTTATATATATATAATATATATTATATATATATTTTATATATATATAATATATATTATATATATATAATATATATATTTTATATATATATTATATATATATATTTTATATATATATTATATATCTATATATATATTTTTTTTTGATACAAAGTCTCACTCTGTCGCCCAGGCTGGAGTACAGTGGTATGATCTCAGCTCACTGCAACCTTCACCTCCCTGGTTCAAGCGATTCTCGTGCCTCAGCCTCCCAAGTAGCTGGGATTACAGCCACGCACAACCACACCTGGCTAATTTTTGTATATTTAGTAGAGATGGGGTTTCACCGTGTTGGCCAGGCTGGTCTCAAACTTCTGACCTCAAGTGATCTGCCCGCCTCGGCCTCCCAAAGTGCTGAGATTCCAGGCATGAGCCACTGCGCCCGGCCACGAACTGCTGTAAACATTTCTAAACACTCCCATTTTTATACTTACCTCCTCACAGATCTGCACAAACAGTTCAGGGCGGGCAGTGGTCTGTTGCCCTTTCTTTGAGCAGCACTGGCTTAGAGGGCAATCTTTTCTAGCGCTGTTGTCAACATAAGGAGATACTGCCCTCCCACCTGCCCCCGTGGTGGCAGCAGGAGTGCCCCATACCTCCTGTCATCTCCATCAGTTCTGAAGGCTGCTCAAAATACAGGTGTTTTGTATTAAGTAAAAGCGATGGGTTTGCAGTGCAAATACAGCTTCAAGACTGGACTTCCTCCCCACTTAATCGATTGCCACTGCTGCGTCCCTTCTTTGTAGAACTTCTGGGGCTATCTCTGCCTGCCTCTAGGACAACAGTGCTTGCTGTTAGACTAGTTCAGACTGTCAGTCTTCACATGTTTTGCAAGCATATTGATGTACAGAGCGTGTTATTTCCCAGCCTCTGTTATAGAATAAGACCCTTTGAAAAGACTTGTACACAATAAATGTGATCAATAAATATGATCACAATAAATATGATCCCCCCTTTGCAAATTCCTTGCAAAGCCCAGGGTTTTATATTGGCAGCCCTGCACAGAAAGGTGCATGTTTATGTAAATCAATGTGGTATGTACCTAGGGTGATATAATCATATAATGAGCTGCAGCTTCTCTTCCTCTTCATCACCATCATCATGTTTGGGTAAAGATGGTTGCCATTTCCCTCCCTCATGGTCATTATTTCTGTATTACTCTCCATACCTCCTTCCATTTCTTTCTGGAAGGTGTTGAAAAATCTTTACCAACCATCTACCTGGCTCCTAAAGGTGCAGGTCATGGCTATGTCTGAGACTGGCAAGTTCTGTCCACAGGTCTCACCAGATGGTTGGGCAGTCCTCCATGGTCATCACCTGTGGGCAGACGGTCACTAAGGGCAATTGGGGGGACAGAATACCTAGGCTGATTGGAGTCATCCTTTTTTTATCAGAGTGCCAGGTAGTTGAATTTGTGTAAATTAGATGTTCTCATGATGCAATTTATAATACCCAGGTGTACTTGGTATAAAACTTCTCCTGGGGAACCTGACAGATGAAAACAGGGAATGGAAGCAGCTGACAAGTCAGGACATTCCAACTTACCTTCATGCCCAGAAGTTAGAGGTCAGGGAGGGGTGGGACACTTTCATTTGTGAGTGGTAGTTCTTTTTTTTTAATGCCTGGAAAACCATTAGAAAACAGGCAATCTGGAAACTTTGGGCCTTACTCCTAATTTCATTTTTGATTTTAGAATGTATTAGGGTAAATAACTTATTCTGCTTGTATTTGAGGATTTGCTGACTTCTGAGAGCACCATGTATTCACTTCCATTATGAATAGGGCAGCTTTATGATATATTGTCTACATTTTGGAGTATTGAGAATGAAGGGGACAAGAGGTATAAACTTTGATTGTCCTGGGCAAACCAGAACATGTGGTCAACCCTAGTTATGAAGATCAATTTAGGTTATTCATCCTAAAACCAGAAATTTTGATAGAACTGACAGGTTAGGTATCATGTCTTATCCTAATAAAATTTTCTATTAAAACTATGTAAATTCAGTTTTATGAAATAAATCTATACCAAGATCATTTCATAAAAAATGGACTTTTTGAGAAAATAAAAAATGACATTGTATTTTCAGAATCTTTCAAACATATTCTGATCTTTTTTTTTTAATTGACAGTGTTTGAAGGTAAATAGTGACCATGGTTTTTGTTAAGAATTCATATGTAAAATATGTCCCTTGTTTAAAATTATCTCAGAGATTACTCTCATTCAAATCTTTAATCAGTCAGTTTATTATTCATAAGTCTGGTGTTTCTAATAAAATTCTACCACATGAAACAGAATGGTGTTTAATAAGATAATAAGCTTTATAAAATGTAAAAGTGAACACCTTAATTATTTTAAATTATATCAACTTTAGAAATGACTGTATAATTAAGACTTGCCTATAGCTTAGAATACTCTTAGGAAAGATTCACTGTACTACTTCTCAGTCAACAGCCCTTAAATGCAGGTGGCTGACAGTGGCCTGTGTTACCAATGTAATTGGACGGTGACATGCCTCTGGCCCTGGATGATAGTGCCACCAGAGCCACATGCCTCCTGTGTAGAGCCAGGAAGGGGCTCTGTGAGTGAGTTGAATCATGGGCCCGTTTTCCCTGTGTTCTCTCCTTTGGCCATTTGAGGGTTAAGGAGGTTGGGCAGACAGTTTTTGCCTTGATGGGTACTGGATACTCTTGTATTCCTATGACAGTACTTGAATTTTTCGTGAAGTTACTTGAAATCACTTTGGTTACTTTGGGTCTGGATCTTATGATTTCTTAGGTGAGTCTGGAGCAGTGCTCAGTAGGACTAATTCTTCCCACTACTGCAGTGAGTCCTTCCTGAGCTCCATGGAGTGGTGGGAGCAGGCGCTATTCTCAGCCCTGTGTGAGCGCAGGTGTTGTAAGCACTAATCTTTTCCTGACCTTGTGTAGTTTCTTTACCTGCTTAGTACTCAGCTGGATGCTCCAGGGGCCTTCTGCACAACTCCACTGTTCTCCCTCTGTGCAGCTGTCTCCTCTCCAGTACTGTGTCCTGAGTGCTTTAGCTGAGTGGCCTCCGGGACTCTCAACCCCATCTCCTTTACTCAGGAAGTCCTCCAGCCTCTGCCTTGGTTTCCCTCTCATACTGTGACCTGTGAACTCTCCCTAGGTGGTCAGATGGAGCTCCCATGGGGCTTACCTGGCTTGTTGTTTCCTGGCCTTTGTTGCCTGAGGTCCTGTGTCTTAACAACTGTTGTTTCTTAGGCTTGTCCTTTTTTTTTTTAAACTTCAATGTGATGGTGTGAGGATAAATTTGGTTCCTGTTGGCCCATCTGGGACAGAAGCAGAAGTGTCAGGACAGTGTTTTTAAAAAATCATGATCTGGTGTAGGTTTTTTTCTCGTGAGCTGTTCTTACTCTGAGTCCTCTTTCTAGGTCAAGGGCGGTATCTGGGTTGCCTTGAAGTCCTTCCTGCTTCATTGTGCTTATTTAGGTAGAAACCTTATTTAAGAATCAGCTCAGGCCAGACACAGTGGCTCATGCCTGTAATCCCAACACTCTGGGAGGTGAGCAGGAGGATCACTTGGGGTCAGGAGTTTGAGACCAGGCTGGCCAACATAGTGAAACCCTGTCTCTACTAAAAATATAAAAATTAGCCAGGAGGCCGGGGTGGGGGTTGCCGGGGGTCGGGGGGCACGTGCCTGTAATCCCAGCTACATGGGAGGCTGAAGCAGGAGAATTGCTTGAACCTGGGAGGTGGAAGTGGTTGCAGTGAGCCAAGGTGGCACCACTGCACTCCAGCCTGGGTGACAGAGGGAGACTCCGTCTCAAAAAAAAAAAAAAATCTAACTTCTTCCACAAATATTTCTTCATCAACTCCATTCTGCATGGGTTTTTCCTTAGAGTACTTAGGGACTCTAGTGTTCAGTGGCATACTGTTACCAGTGTTTCATCTTTGTTTTACAGTGATTAAGTCTTCACTTTCCAAACTTCTTGAGCCAGGGGTTCTTGTTTGTAATTTTTTGTGCTCTCCACAGGGATTAGCACAAGAATAAGCTCATAAACATTAGCAATTGTGTTTTGAAATTCTTTCCTTTGTGACCACAGGACACATATGATATCATTTTCATAAGTACTGTGTGTGTGTTGTGGGGGTGGGGGTGGGGGGGAAGCCAGGATGAAGTAGTGACTCTAATCCCATGATCAGATGTCAGCAAGACTGTCCTTGCTCCCGCAGTGGTCTCTCTCACTTGTGTTTTAGCTGGCTATTCATTTACAATGGAATCATTGGATCATAAGTCAGCATGGACCTCGACCCGAGATCCCATATGAAAACGAAATCTTAACAATGGAGACACATGCCATAAATTAAGGTAATTCCCTCCCACAGGCTTTTCAATAAAGTAGCAGTGGGCCCACTGTGTCTGCAAAGGTCCCCAGTGGAAATAAAACCCCCAAATGCACATATTTGGGATCCACAAGCTTACCGGATACTTCTCTACTGTGGCTTGCTCTAAGCATAGAACAATCATGACCTTACGTGGCTCACGCAGAACCCATTTTACCAGTAGCTGTGTGGACACCGGAATGTTTTCTTCCTTCAGCTCCCCCAAATCCTTTCGTGTACAGACTCCCCTCCTTACCTTGCCACATAAGGTACCAGTTTCATCAGAGGCATCTGGCAAGGCTCTCATGGTTTGACTGTCACCAGATCTCTCTGTAATGGGATTACCATTTTAACCTGTTCTCTTTCCCTCCCCTGTCCTGGGTTTCCACTTTCCCAGCCTTCCTTCTTCCTTTGGCCTTGGCCAGAAGGGGCTGCTGGAGAGCTGTTCCCGGGGCTCACCATAGCCTCTGCTCCCCCTCCCATGGCCTCCTGCCGAGGCTGGCCCTCCGGGCATCTTTTGCAGAGGTCACTCTTTGAAAGATGCCTTTTTTTGTGCTCCTCTGCCAATTGTTCTTTCTGTCTAGTGTGTGTCCTCCTGGCATTTCAGGAGCTGTTTCATGTAGTGTCTGACTTTATAGGTGTGCACCTAATGACTTTAAAAGGCTTATTTTTAGGTTGCTGTTTTCTTCCCCAAACCTTTTTGCTCCTTCAGAAATGTCCTCTTGTTAAAATCTTCCCAGGGTTTCTATGCATGCTTGAGTGCTTGATTCTCCAGTTTGATTGGATGAGCAAGCCCTGCTTCCTGCTTCCTTTAGAAATATTCCACCCTGGAAGGGACCTGACAGGATGGTAGTGGCTGTGGGTGTCTGCATTGGTTGAGCTGCTCAGTGTTTTTGGTCCAGAGACTGGAGCAGGTCCCTGGTGCACAGAAAAGGATTTGGAGGATCCTTAGCCTGGGTTCACGTCCCCACCTTCATCTTCTGACCGTATCCTCCGTTCCTCCTTTGTCAAGCCTTAGGCTGTTTTTTTCTGCATTGGTCTTCCCTGGACATTCTTTTACTTACCTTGGTTCTTCGTTCATGCACTTTCTCTAGACTAAGGTTTCTCTCTGCTCATATAGTTATCCCCATTCTTGAAGGCTGCACTGAAGACCATTCAGTGTCTTCGGCAGCTCTTGATGTTCTCTCCTCAAGGGCAGGTTATACCCTCATTTTGCTCTCCTGTTGTGACATAGCGTGGTTGTGGATAGAGTGGTCCTTCTTGGATGTTCTGTTGCCTTCACGCAGGTGAGCTGCCCAGAGCCCAGCACGGTCTGGGTTCTCATCCAGAGCCTGGTCTGACCTGAGGAGCCCTGACCTCCAGCCTGCACTCCACCGTCTCCTGGAGATGTGACCTGGAAGGCCCAAAGGTCTGCACGCTTTAGCTCACCATCTGTCAGATGGGGGTGACTGTGAGGCCTACCCACCCTTCCTCATCATTGTTAGAGTCAAAGGAAAGGCAGGATGAGAAAGGGGAGTCTATTAGGTAAACACAGAGCAAATTATTTTGCCAAGTCATTTAACCTCTTAGGACCTGGTTTTCTAACCTGTGAAACAAGAAGGCTGTACTAGATATGTATTTTTGGACCAAATAACCTTTTTTGTTTTCCCATTCCCAACCACTTGTGTGTTTGTTTATTTCCTCTGATCTGGGGTACTGTTTCATCAGGCTTCTTGTTCTCATGCTTGGGTTCAAGCTGTTTTTATTAACATAAATCCCCACATTCTGTGCTGATGATTTCTTGCTATGGGGATAATTCTCTTTTTCTTCAAGTTTCCTTCTCCTTGGAGCTAGTTTTAGGACTTTTCATTGACTCTACTCTTCACAGGTAGAGGAGACTAGTTAGGATAAGTAGTTTTTTCCTTTGTTCATTTCTGTGGCTCCTGTGCACGTAGGCTTCTGAAGAAGCACAGATCCGGGGTGGTGGAATTGACAGACACTGTCTCCTGCAGTGCTGCTTGGAACCAGGGTCAAGGCCATCGTCTAAGTGGGACACAGTGAAGCTGTCCTTTAGGAGCACTGAGGCCTCTTCTCTTGGTGTCTTTCTCAGATGAGGAGCAGGTAAGAAGATTAGTTTTGATGAATCATCCAAGTCCTGGAGAAGCTTTAAAAAATTTCTCCTCAGGGCAAAACTAATTTCCTATTTCAACTAGAAGATTTCTTTCAATAGGTGATACCTTCAGTACCCCAAGGAGAAACTGGGTGCCGACACTCCTGCCCCTTCAGCCAAACGCCTGTGTTTGGTGATATGACATTGGTGATATGAACGAATGTCTATTGTCCAGGGCTTTTAAGAAGTCTCTGGTTCCAGTGCACAGGCCTTTCCTAGATTCTAGGCTGTGCAGGCCTTGTCCCTGCTTGTATCTCAGTGACAGCCTGAGGACCAACCCTGACTTTGGACACCAGGCTGGGCCAGCTGGGGCTCTGCCTTTGCTGCATCTGCCATTGGTCCACCCCGAGTGGGTGTCATCCCTGAGTCCTAAGTAGTGACCAACTACTGTCATACACTGTCCCCTCCCCCACTCCATTTCCCCCAGGGTCAGAACACAGCAAGCCCTGTCCCTAAACTTGTACTCCAGGGACATTATGGAAGGGTGCCTGCTCCCCCAGATCACTCCCTTGACTGGGACCCCTGTTGTTGATGGTGTGCTCCAGGCTGAGTCAGCCTCCCCACCCACCCTAGCAGTTGGGGAACTCTTCTGCATATCTGCTTCATCTTTGGATTGTGGCCCTTTGAAGGCTCCCTGTAAGCTCCCTGTCCTGCAGTGGTTGCTAAGTGGTGTCTGGCCGTGTACTGGGCTACAGCATTCACGGTCAGAGAAGCATCAGACGAGACCGGGTGCATTTGGGGTGGGATGGCCATCGACTGAGAAACATCAGAAGAGGAGGCTAAATTAAACCAAGTCACAAAGTAAAGCATATAATTACTATTTCTATTCTGGTGGGGTAAGAGATGGAAACCATTGTTTAAAATGAAACTCTGGGATTTTCTGTGGATGTAATCTATAAAATGGTGACTAACCAAAAGTTGGCAATGCTGGTTTTACTTGCATCCCTAGTGACAAATTATTTGGACTCACATGGAAACATTTCCCATAAACTCTAAAGGCTCATGTGTCAGGTTGTCATTCATAGGCTTCACATTCTGGGCAAACAACAGGTTCATGTCCTGCGCTGCTTTATCTCGGGAGGAGTCGGGTGCTGAGTCTCCAGCATGCAGATATTCTGGTTGTATCTGGAGTCTGTTGTTGGCACTGACTCTTGTTTGGGCTTAGTTTATGTCATGTTTGAAACACAAATTGAGTGATTTGAGGTTGGACCCCCTTACTGTACTGTTGAGTTTGTGCTAAGGAAAGACCAATCCTGCTGTGCTCTTGGTTTGCTAGAAGCTTCAAACTGCTTTTCAGGCATTTGGATTCACCAGCACCCAGCATGTTTCAATGGTACCTTCTTCATCTATTTTAGAGCCATGTGTGTTTTGCAGCAAATGTAACCCATGTGGTTTGTTTCACACACTTCCTCCAAATATTGGTTCAGGATCTGAACCTTTGATATCCCAGAAGCATTTGGATTCTCTCCTTGAAAAGGCTGTAACATTTCCCCACTTCCCAGAAAGGGGAAATAATGTTTTAAGACTGAGGAAGGAACTCAAGCTCCACAGTGTGTCTGGATTCAGGTTTGTGGCACGTGGGGTCTGACTGGTTGGGGAAGCAGCATCATGTCACACCGGCCCCTCCTCACTGGGGTCCAACTCTCACCAGGAGACACATGCCACCCGCAGGTGGCTGCCGGGTCTCACGGGAGGCCCATGGACTTGTCCAGGGTCTGCTTGCTAACTCACAGAAGGAGTAAATCTAAACTGACGGAGGCACTTAGGGCTTTATTTTTTCTTTCTTGTTTATCTTGAAAGGTTTTTAGAAGGGAGATGTCACAGTCTTTTAAAAATAGTAAGATAGGCCAGCCTGTGGTGTTGTAAATTTCAATTTAGGTAAAAGAGTACACTTGACTCGAACAATGTGGAGGTCAGGGGTGCCAACTCCCCACTAAGTGGAAAATCCAAGTAAAACTTTTGACTTCTCAAAAACTTACCTGCTGCTAGCCTACTGTTGATCAGAGAAGCCTTACTGGTAACATCAATAGTCAATTAACACATATTTTGTATTTTGCAAAAAGGGTAAGGTTTTCATGTTTTCTTGCACAGCTGCAACAATGGCTTCATGAATTTTCTTTTTTTTTTACAATGGTTCTTATGCTGGATTCATTTATCATGAAATGGTGGGGGACGGCAGCTGCAGGCCTCAATCTGAGGTACACATCAAGCAGTCAAGCAATTCAGCTTTTCCTTGGAATGTTGTAACTTTACTCTGCTTCTTGGGAGCACCTCCAGTGTCATTAGTGGCACTTTGTTTGGGTCTCACAGTGTTATTCAAGGTTCAAGTTATTGCATTAAACACAGTGAAAAATACACAAGAACCAGGAGAGATCACTTTTTACTGCAATCTGCAATTTACTGGAGAGATGACTGCTCACGGGAGATAATTAGCATCACATGGTGTTTTAAGTGGATTCTTGCAACAGGTGAGTTCACCATAGTAGTAACAGGAAGTGGCTACAAAATGATTACAGTGGTACAGTATGTACCACAGTTAGTTTGATGCAGCTACTATGATTTAATACTGCATCTTTACATGTGTTTACATTTTTCTTGACTGCAAATGGTGCCATGTACAGTCTGTGTATAAGTTTTTGGTAAATTTTAGCTTTTTATAATAGATTTATGTATATGTTATGGCAGTAAGTGACAAAAATAGACTAGTATCTATGTATAGTTTATACATAGTAAATTCGTGACATACCTAACTTTTTCTCAATTTTTCCATGTTTTTAGGCTACACAGTTTGCAAATTTTCAAATTGTCTCATATCTTCAAAACATTTTCCAGCATATTTATTGAAAAAATTATGCATAGTGGATTCTCACAATTCAAACCTGTGTTATTCAAAGGTCAACTGTGGTTCATCTTCTGTAATGGAACCAGTTTATTTTCTTCTGGGTCTTTGATTGCAAGAGTTCTTGTTACTTTAATCTTTTGGACTGTCCCCTCAGAAAACTTAGAGCTTAAGCTAAATGTGATCAGCTAGAACTTCTCATTAACCAGCCATTGCATGTTAATTAAAAACTCAGTCTACAGAGGGTGCCAGTGGATGTGGAGAAATTAGTTAGAATTCTCCTCTAAACTGAAAAAAAATATGGTATTTAACAGTCCAGGATTAAAGATTTAGAATGTAAAAAGACTTAGGAAAATGTAGCTAAAAGATGGGCTCTGTCTGGGTTCAAAAGGAAACAGGTTTGGGAGCCTCTTGGGAAACAGCCAAAGAAAACCAAATGTTTTTAGGTTCAGTTTAAGATTAGAGTTAGATTTTTCTTAACCAGTCTTTACCAGTTTATCCTGCTCAATCTTGGGTTTATTTCTTTAAAAATATTCAGGAAGAACAATGAGCTTTGAAGGTTCCAGTAATATTACTTTATTAAAGATATTTATTTTGGATAAAAAGCTGGAGATCTATGTTTATTAATTAGTTAAGTTAGTTGGAGGATTCTTTCATATTTCTGAAAGACAACCACTAGGACTGTGTGACCATAGGGTGCTGTTACCTCCAGGTGGCAGCGACCTTCAAGGGCCAGTGTGGCAACCAGAGGCAGCCATCCCTGCAAGTCGTGGCACTTGGTGGGGCCGTGTGGGATGATAGAGCCTGGGATTCCAGAGGGAGGATGTATGGGATAATGAGGGGGAGACATGTTTACATTTGGAAAAATTAGAACTGTGGAGCAAAGAGCTGCCTTTAGGGCAACAATCATCTGTGTAATACATCTATATTATTGCCAGTATATAATTGTGATAATGTGTACTATGCAATGCTATATAGATTATATAAGGTTGAACCATATGAATTTGCTGCTTTTTGACCATTTTTATTACAAATACTTCAGTTTTGTATGGTTCTATCTAATATAATGTTATACATATACATGCACACACACACCCCTCTAGGTTCATAACATTCTTAAAAAGAGATTGGCTTGTAGTTCAAGAGAAAGACACCAGCTATTAGTTAGCCCTCTCTAAGTTAAGGAGAACTTATTTTATGTTCCCTTTGGCCCACATAAGAATCCAGAGTTAGGCATGTCAGGGGAGTGGTAGCTCTGTCCTCTGCCTTGGCTGGAGGCTGGACCAAAAGCCTGACTTGCCACACCTTCTGCCCTGAGCAGAGAGCTACAAACCTTTGTCCTTCCTTGGGGGAGCATGGTCTCCCCGTTTTGTACAGATGCTCCTAGACTTAGGATGAGGTTTTGTTTCGATAAAGCCATAATTAATTGAAATATTGGAAGTTGAAAGTGCATTTTTGACTTTGTATGTTTTCAACTTACAATGGGTTTACCAGGATATAACCTCATCCTAAGTCAAGGAGTGCACTGAATGCTTATTACTTTCACACCATCTTAAAGTTGAATAATCTTGTAAGTTGGGGATTGTCTATTTTTTGTGTATATTTCTGTGTGTGTGTGTATATATATATGTGTGTGTGTGTGTGTGTGTGTGTTTGTGTATCTTGATTATTCATGTATTTCTCCACATCTCCTCCTACCCTAACCTATTTCCTAAAAGTATATTAGGCAGAGTTCCTCTTATTAGTGCAGATCTAAAGGCCTGGCCTAGGCCAGTTTTTGTAGGTGAGTCCTTAAAATATGGCATCTGAGGAATTAGCCACTAAACTGTCCCATCAGTTGGAGTGGCTGGAATGGCTGGAGCCTTTACATGAAATGGGATTAGTAGAATGTCACATTATGGCAAACCTAGTGATTTTGAGGACCCAAGTTGTGGAAACAGGCGTTGTTTGTGGTTACCAGTGCATAGTTTGTGGATTCAGCTCTTTCTCCAGATGAAGAGTTCCTGGAGACTGCGAGGGGTGAGTCAAGCCTCCGAGTGGTACTGCTGCTACACATGGCAGAAGAGGGACAGCTGCTGCTTCCCCACTGGGCATGCCCCTCCTGTCCCTTGGTGACAGCAGTCCAGCCTCTGGTGGTGGCTGTGACTTAAGACACTTACTTTTATGTAATTCTGTGGCAAGGCATTTTTAATCATTTTGTCATAATAATTTATTTTGTCAGAGTTGGGGCATTTTAGGCAATTGAAATCTGTTGACATTCTAGAAATCTGGTTCTTGAGTCTGATATTGTTATCACCATTTATCAAAATACAGCTACATTTACTCAGTTAAAAGCCTGAGGCAGTAAGGGGTGCAGTTTTTAAGATTCCTTACAGAACAAACAGATAATGATTTTCTTCAGAGCTTGGATATCAGCCTCACTGGTATAAAAGGAGAACTGTTTGGATGTATTTCTTACATGTAAATAACATCAGAGTTTCTTCTGGGATTTGCATGAAGACCATGGCTGGTTTGTAAAGCACTAGATCTAGTGGAGTATATGCCACACTCAGGCCATACCTGTAATCATTTTTATTTTCAAGACTCTAGTGTAACTTTGAAAAAGTGTATCACTTAGTAGGGAGGAAAATGACCAATTGGTTTTCTACTATTGACTGTTAAGAGAACATTTCATACTATCATAAATGCAGATCAGACATAAAATATACTTAATACTAACTAGGTAACCTCATTTGCACCTACCTGCAGAAAAACTTTTCGAAAGTAGGCCTCCTTCCTTAGAGAAGATAAACTTAGCTTTTGTCCCTGAATTACCTTCATAAGATTTTCAGGAAATATCTGTCTAATTTATTCTGTTTTAACCTTTTTCCTTCAAATGCATCTCTGTTGCATTTGTAGTGTTTTTATCAGCAGATTCTTATTTCTACTCCCAACAGGTAACTTTAAAAGTTTTTTGGCCAAGCAGCTTGGCTCAAACCTGTAATACTAGCACTTTGGGAGGCTAAGGCATGTGGATTGCTTGAGTCCGGGAGTTTGAGACAAGCCTGGGCCACATGGCAAAATCCCTCTCTACAAAAAAAACATACAAAAATTAGCCAGGCATGGCAGTGTGTGCCTGTAGTCCCAGCTACTCAAGAGGCTGAGGTGGGAGGATTGCCTGAGCCTGGGTGGTCAAAGCTGCAGTGAGCCGAGATCAAACCACTGCACTCCAGCCTGGGCGACAGAGTGAAACCCTGTCTCAAAAAAAATTTTTTTTTGTTAACATGTAAAGTATGATTCAATTATGATTTCCTTAAGACACATTAATTTAGATATTATATCCAGCAACCTTGTTAAACACCCTAATGTTTTATAATCTGTGACCTGCAGATTCCTTTGGACTTTCCATGTAGATAGTCATGCCATCTGAGATTAATGACAGTTTTGCTTCTGGCATGACAACCGCTATGCCTTTTATTTCCTTTTCTTGTCTTACTGCACTGTCGAGTACTTTAGTATAATGCCAACAGAAGTGGCGCGAACAGACTGTCCTAATTTTAGAGACAATGCTTCTATTGTTTCACCATCCAGATGGTGACTGCTATAAGTTTATTTTGTTTCAATAAATCCTTTTTTAATAGGTTTGAGCACGTTTTTTTTCTGTCCTAGTTTCTTGAGGGCATTTACCATGTGTGGCTACTGAGTGATGCTCATTTGTTCATGTGGCCACATGGTCCTCCTCCCTCTTCACTTGTTAATGTAGTGATTAATTTTCCAATGTTAAACTATCTTTGCCTTTCTTGGCAAAAGTCAGATTTGGTCATAGTATATCATCATTTTGCCAGATTTTAGTTTGTTAATACTTTGTTTAGGAGTTTTGTATCTATGTAGAAGTGAGCTTAGTTTATCATTTTCCTTTTTTGTTCTATTACTATCTAGTTTTGTAATTGAATTAATATTATCCTCATAAAATTAATGAGTTGGGAGGATCTCTTTCTTTTTTCTGTTGCTTTAGAAGAACATATCTGATTAGAACGATCTGTTCTTTGAATGTTGGTAGACTGTGTCTGTAAAACCGTCTGGGCCTGGTCGTTTTCTTGTGGGAAGTTTTTTTTCCTCCCACTTTCAAAGCCAGGCTTGTTTCCTATTTTAAGTTTTATTTTAGATATGTTCTACAGACTGTGAAGGTGTTTTGGAGTGGTTGTGGAGACACAGATGGGAAGCTGTGGGGGCTGGGTAGTCAGTGGCATTCCTCCTTCAGCTCCAGCCCTGCGCTCTGTCCTGGAAGAGGACAGGTGGCTGGGTCACACCCGGGTCTGTGCAGTGTGGGAGATGAGAGACATCAGTCTCTTCAGGCCGCTCCCCAGAATTAAGTCAGGGCAACCCCAGGGCTCCATGAGGACCTTGGCAGTGTTTTCCTCTGACCCACATAGGTTAGCCAGGCTCTGGATGCCATTCGGTCTGTGCTAGCCACCATCGAGGGTGGCTGGACTCCTCAGGCCCATCTGATTTCGTGGCTCCTTGAGTGCACATGCTGTCCAAGTTCAGACCTCATCCCCACTCTCCTCTAGCTATGCCCTTTCCTTTGGCATGGCTGCATGTTCTTACAGCTCCAGTAGATGTAATTCGCACTGTAGTCTGTGGGCATGGGGTTCCTGGGAGTTGGGCCCTGCCCATCTGGCGGTACCAGGCACTCAGCATTGTGCACAATCCTAACATGCCCAGGCCACTTGGCTAGGAGCCAGTGTTGAAAAAGCAGAGATGGCACAGAAAGGGCCAAGTGGAGCAATGCATATGGAATTGGACGTCTGCACTTTAAGTAAAGGAGACTTAAGATGGTTGTGGAGGTGGGAGGGGAAAGATTTTATGTTCACATTTATTAAGATACTGCATCATGTTTGATAGCTTTTCTTGAGTTGATGCCTGGTTGATGGAGATTTACAGTCTTATGTTAGGTTCATTTGGCTTAGATGGAATGTGTTTTTTATTGACTCATTCACCACTTGCATCAATTTTATGACTAGAGTGTGAACTATCCAGCTGTATTATTGGGGACTGTGCTTGTTCATCATGGGCACACTCAGTTTCCCTGCTGAGTAAAATAAGAGACATCATAGCAGGTAGGTGGACCTGCTGGGACTGCAAAACATGGTTTTAAGGAATGGGCTGTCTTCGGTGTAGAAGTGCCAGGTAAATGGCAGGCTGGTGCTTTGGAAATCATCATTCAGATACAGCAGATTTGGAGCATGCCCCAAATTTATTTATCAGTTTCTGTCAAAATCTGAAAACACTGTCTTATTTTTCTGGACCTAAAACACACAGAAAAGTCAGCACCATAAGAGAGGGAAAAAAGACAAAAAAAGTCAAAACACATAGAAACAACATCTAAATAAATACAGAAGATTCCATTATTCAGTTAATGATATGAAGTTTTGTGTGTGTCTGGCTTGTGGAAAGAGTCATATCACTTTAGACCAGAGTTTCTCAGCCTCACCACTCTTGCCATTCTGGGGCAGAACATTCTTTATTGGAAGGGGCTGTCCTGTGCGTTGTTGGATGTTCAGCAGCATCTCTGGCCTCTGCCCACTGGGTACCAGTAGTGTGCCCCCACAGCTGTGGCAACCAAAAATATCTCCAGAGACTGCCAGTGTCTAGAGGGGCAGGGGAAGGCAGGAGACAGGAGGAGTGCTAAGTCACCTCTAGCCTAGAGCCCCTGCATTAGATGCTTTGGTGCCATTGTGGTCATCTTGGCTATTATTGTCCCTGCTACTTGGCTCCATACCAGTGAGATAGAGGCTAATGATAATAATAAGTATATTTCAGGAACCTTAGCCAGTCTTACCTACACTGCCTGTCCAAGGCATTTACAAAAGCAGGAATGTTCCAAGGAATTCTGTATTTCTAAAATTTTAATTTGTGGAATAGAGCCCATGGCTAGCCTGATCACAGGAACAAATGATCATATTCCAAGCAGGTTATTTTCTGTAGCCAGCTCTGATATCCACACTACAGTACACTTGGTTTTGTATGTATAATTCTGTCGGTGCAGGGTATAATAGTCTGTTTGAGAATTATTTAATAACACAAGAGATTGTTACAGGTGAATTTACATACCTCAAATTCATGCGTGCTGCAGCTCCATTGTAGAGGAAAAGGATTTTAACCTATTGCTTCCTACACTTAATGATTCTATGAGTTCAGATATTTTTGCTACAGGTATCAAAAGATAAACTGGCCTAAATGATAAGGACATGTATTAGATCACATAACCAAGTGCTAGAGGTCAGGCTCTGTCAATTGAGTGGCTCAGTAGTGTCCTCAAGGGTTCAGACTCCTCCTGTTTTCCATTTAGTTTTCTAAGTGTGTTGGCTTCCCTCATGGTCCTAGAGTCACCACCACATTTCCAGGCATTGCGTGGAGACACACAGCAATGATCAAAGGCGGAAAAGGGAATGTCCCTATCTCCTGCCCCCTTTTAAGACTTTCCTGGAAGCCCCTGGCAAACTTCCTCTCACGTTCATTGGCCAGAATTCCATCATGTACTTTGTCTCAGCCAACACCAGCAAGAGGAAAGCCCCATGAGCTCTGTGATGGTTTAGACTGGAGCCCGTAGGAAGGACCTGGCTGTGTGGAGAACAATCCACTAAAGAGGAGTTCCATGAGCAAAGAAGAAGGTGGGGCAGCGTGGGCAGGTAGGCACATGGGTACCTCCCACTGTGGTGTGTGGGCAGTGACACCTTTGTGAAATTTGTATTCATAAAATTTTTGTATTTTGTGTGTGACTTGGGGAGAGGGGTGATGATATTTATTGCCCTCAGCCTTCTGAGCAGAATGGCCATGGAGAATTCTATTGCCCAAGACCTCAGTTCTTCTATCATAATACTCATCGTTTTTTCAAAAATTGGCTCATACTAAGTGATTAGATTTCTAGAGTTTAACTTTTTAATAACAAAAAGTTCAAAATTTCATTTGTAAGTAGTAATTATTATAAAGATGGACTATAATGTGTGAATATCACCTTACAACTCAGCCATAGTTTATGTATCAAGTTTGTAACCTAGAATGTGATTTAGAATCTGTAGTGGGCACTAAATATTGTATACACTTTCATTTTTCTTCAAATTGACCTAAAAACAGGAGCCTTCCCTCCCCTGGAAAGATTTAAAATATTTGAAAATGTTTTTTCACTTCCAAATAAATGGGGATCTATTTCATTTCTGTGTAAGATTTCCAAGAGAGGAAATCCACAAGCTGTCAGCAACCTTCCTGGAACAAGGCAGTCCTTAACTAATAGAAATGTGACTGGCATGCCCCCTCTTTTGTTCTTTCAGTGGTGGAATTGATGCAGGGCAGGGAAGCCCCTACATGGGGCTCAGCCCGTGAGTGAGGGTTCTTGGCTTTACCCAGGAAAGAACCCTGGTGAGCTGGAAGTAGAAGAAAACAGCTGTTATTGAAGAGGTGGTGTTACAGACCTGTGGCTGTTCCTGCAGAGCAGGGCTACCCTGCAGGCAGAGAGTAGCAGCTCAGGGCAGTTTTGCAGTCATATTTATACTCACTTTTTATTGCATGCAAAGATTAAGGGGTGGTTTATGCAGAAATTTCTAGGGAAGGGATAGTAACTTTTGGGTCACCAGGTCATTAGCATGGAAAGGGGCAGTAACTCCGTGGTGTTGCCATGGCAGTAGTAACTGGAGTGGCACACTGATGGGCGTGTCTGATGGAAAGCTGCTTCCACCTGAACCCTGTTTTAGCTAGTCCTCAGTTTGGTCCAGTGTCTGAGCCCCAAGTCTTGAGTCGAGTCCCACCTCCTACCTCAGAATGGGTGATAAATGGATTTATATTTTTATTTGTAGTTCATAAGCAAATAGTTTGAAGCAATATGCTTTAGCCTCTGTCCTGATGTCACTGGTTTAAATAATTTGTTTCTGTCAGGTTGAGTTCTCTTGGGTCCAGGTCTCCAAGCTGACCTGGCAGGAGCCACTTTTTAATGACGCTCTTTCTCTAAGGTGCTCCACTCGTTTTTTGCGTAAGATGCTGTAATAGCCTCACTTTGAACTCTCCGAGGTGTTCCTGGGCTGGGCTCAGCATTAGAGCCTAATCCCAAGTCACCCTCTGCTTACAGAGGCTCACATCTCTCATTTCTCTGGATGATGATGGTCAGTATCACCATCACCCCACACCAGTGTATCCTCAGTTTCCTGGTTTTAACTGCTCAGCAGATGTCCGACAAAAAACCTCCCGATATCATCAGTGTTTTCTTTCATTCCCAGGTCTTGGTGTCTGGTGTGACATTTTATCCCTAGGATTCAGACAGATCTTCCAAGATGGAGGCTGACACCCAGCAGAACTGGGAGCCTCCTTGCTCTGCTCCCTCCAGGCAGCTGGGTACTGTGGTCAGTTCTAGACAACTGGCATCTTTGTGTGTGGCTCTCCCACCTGGATTGTTTTGTTATAGAAGAGGGAAGCCAGTTGGTGCCAAAGCATTGGATTATCCTCAAGTTCACTTGTCTAGATCCTCACATGTTTAGGGATGTGTCTGAATTTACAGGTGTGGGTGGAGTGGAGTCGCCTCTGGCATAGTCATTCTGTGAATCATTGATTGAACCTAAAATGCAAGCATTTATCTTGATGGTCTGACCTTCCTAGTGACAATGGGGGCATTTTCTTTTCAGGCTTCGTCAAGTGCATTCTTTGCTTGTTTGTCCAGGAATGTTCCTGATCTTGATTTAATAATTGAAAATCACTCAATTTATCTGTCAGCCTCTGAGCCCCATGTTTACCTTAATTCTCATCATGAAAATTGCATTGTACAAGTAATCTAACACAAATTCAGCAAAGATGAGGGGGGTGTTTTTGTCAATCAAGGGTTTTTTTCCTACCAGGTTACTAACATAATTCAGCCTGTCACTCATCAGGGTAAATGTCAGCTGCCTTCACCAAAATTTAGGTGCCTTGTGCATGGATGTGAAGAGACTCAAAATCCTAGAGGTGTTTCTGAGGGAAGCCCCATTGGGATGACTAGGAATTCTACTCCTTGTTGTCACTTAGTGGGGAGTGTTGATACTTTGGCCAGCAAAGAAGATCCAGACTTAGTCCTGGGGGTTTTGATACCATTCCCAATACCTCTTCCTCCCCTTGCCCCCTTTCTTGGGGGACAGACACCTACCACACTGCTCTTCCCCGTTATGGTAATTAATACCATGCATTGTACTTTTGCTCACAGTCCAGACCCAGGAGATGGGGACACAGTGTCTTCTTAAGATGCTGCTTACTTATAGGGGCCAGAAAGGACTCTCCTTGGAGCTGACTTTATCTTTCCCAGAGAAGGGAAGTGGAATGCTGGAGACAATTGAAGAGTTACCAATCTTTGCATTCCAGGCACCTGTTGGCCTTGGCTGGCTGAGAGTCTGTGAGGACGGGTGGACTCTTGGGTGCTGGGACCCGTGGCTATGGGGAATGAGCAGAGTGACAGAGGAGTCCTTGGCAGGTGCTGTGGTGAGGTAGCAGCTGTAGTACCTGGGACTTGGCCGCGTGCCTGGAGGCCTGGGCAGGGCCCATGGGTGGGAGCAGAGGGGCCTGCCTGAGCTTTGGAGCTGCATGACAGAATGTGGATTCCCCCACGGCTCCCGGGGGTGAGGTGTTGTTTAGTGGGAACCTGGAGGGCAGCCTCAGCCCAGCCCTGAGAGAAGACTAGTGTGAGGTGGCTCAGAAGCCCCAGGCATGAATGTAGGCTTGGGCAGGAAACAGGATGAGGTGGTAGGGCTGAGGAGGGTTTAGAATTCCTGGAGGGTAAAGTGCAAGGCGAGAGGAAGTGGGTGGCGAGGAGACTGGTGAGGCTGTTTGAAGCTGGGTCTGGGTGGACTTCTGTAACACCTTGATGATGCTCTTCGGCCCTGAAGGAGAGGGCGGCCCTGGAAGGGATCTGGGTGGGGAGAGACGTTATTCTGTAATGAGTTTTAGTGAGATATTCACATGCCACACAGTCCGCACATGTGAAGTGCACAGTTCATGGCCTGTAGTTCATTCGCAGAGCAACCATCACCATGAGAAGACCCCTGTTTTTAGCTGTCACTCTCCCCTTCCCACCATCCTCCCCAGCCCTGAGCTGTAGATTTCTCTATTTTGGGCATTCCATGTAAAGGAGGGCACACAGTATGTGACCTTTGTGCATGGCTTCTTTCACAGAGCAGAGCATCATCGGTGTTTGTCCATGCCATGGCACGTGTCAGCACTTCAGTCCTTATTTCCATGTAATCTTCCATCATGTGGATATAGCACACTTCACTCACCCACCTAGCGGTGGATGGGCATTTGTGGGAGAGGTGGCCTAGGGTGAAGCAGAGGGGAGGCTGATGGAGAAGATGGTTTGTTCACTGTGGAAAGGGGGTTCCAGGGAGCTTAGGTGAGAAGGGGCTGAAGGAAAGGTAGCAGTGGCAGGAACATTGTGAGTGTGTGGGATAGGGGATGGGAGGGGCATGGGTAGGACCCTGGAGGGGTTTTCAGTCCCTTCATGGACTTGGAGACTGTCAGCCCCTCCTGGCCTTCCTGCCTCCTTGGCTGGCCTTGTCTACTTGCTGAATACTGGGGACCCCTCAGCCGGCAAGAGGGCCCTGCCTGGGCAATGGGCTAGCTAAAAGGTCCCCTGGAGTGTAGGGAAGAGGGCGGGGCCATCACCCTGAGTTTGGCTTCTGGTCAGTGGCACAGCAAGACCTGGCTGGGGGATGGGAGTCAGCCCATCTTCAAAGCCACTCGAACTCTGATTGAAAACCGTGCTCCCTATGAAACCTCAGTTTAAGATAAGCCCTCTAGCCCAGCGCTTCCTAAAGTTCAAGGTGCACAGGAGTCCCGTGGGGATCTGTCAGAATGCAGATTGTGGTTCTGCAAGTCTGGGTGGGGTCTGGGAGTCTGCATTCTGACAGCACTTTGGAGATCTGCCATTGCTGCTCCCAGGACCAGCCTCAATTCCAAACAGGTCGTTGCTCCTCAGTCCTATTTCGGTGTCTGGATGTGGGAATCTGTAAGTAGGGGAAGTGGAATAACCAAAGGGATGTGGCCCTAAGGTTGTCAGATCTTTTTGAGGCCTCATTTGCATAGGAAACTCACAAGAGCAGCTGTTGAGGCTGGCAGCAGTGCTTTCTCAGAGCACAAAGCAGTGCTCATGTGGCAGGAAAAGCCCCTGCCTGGGTCCCCTGGGTCTGTCTGGTGGTAGGTGTATTTTGAGTCAGGAGAATAAAAATAGTAAGATGGCTCTGAGCATTGCATCCATTCTCCAATTTCATTGTTAGCACACTTCCTCCCAGGAGTGACAATTCCTGACAGCATCCTGAAACTGAATTGAAGCTAATGACAAAGATACCTGGGAGCTGGGCACAGCAGCTTTTGTTTGTACCAAACCTACGGCCGATGCTTGCTTGCTTGATTGCTTAAGATAGGGTCTCACTCTGTTGCCCAGGCTAGAGTGCAGTGGTGCAGTCACGGCTCACTGCAGCCTTGACCTCCTGGACTCAAACCATCGTCCTGCCTCAGCCCCTCAAGGGGCTGGGACTACAGGCATGTGCCACCACGTCTGGTGAGTTTTTGTATTTTTTGTGGAGTGGGGTTTTTCCATGTTGCCCAGGCTGGTCTTGAACTCCTGGGCTCAAGTGATCCTTCCGCCTCATGGCTAAGGCTTTTATAGATACATTTTCTTCTACAGAAATAGAGTTCATGACAGTTTTGTCGTGGTTTGCTAACATTTCTTTTCAGAAGTAAATGGCAGTGATAACACACGTTCAATTTCTGGTTCTTTGTGAGCTACTGGTAGATCCTGAAACTGAACAGGCTCAACCATGGCCCCGGGGTATTCAGAGCTGAGATTTCAATTAAATTTGCAGAAGTGTCATAATAATACTTTTGAAGAGCACTTCATTTTCTCTGACAAGCTGCATACTGGAGAATTGTACATTTGTGATCAATAGTGGTTTTATTCCTCTTCAGATATTTTGTGGGGAAGCAAGTCATATATTAGAGCCCTTTGGCAAAGCCATGACTAAAAATGAAGTGTCATCACTTCTGTGCTTTAAAAAATTTATTATGTAATATTTGATAGCTGAAAAGGAGTATCTGTAATACACATGTGTCAAAAGCATAACGACAACACAAACAGCCTAGGTACTGCCTCCCAGCCTAAGAAGCAGAGCGACTTCCATACCCAGGGCCTTCCTGCCTCCTCCCTGCATAGCCTGCCCCTGGCCGGGAATGACCACTGTCCTGCCCCTTATGTTCATCACCTCCCTTCTTCCTTCTCTCTCTGAGTGGCTTCTATTGCACATGTGTGTCCCTAGGCAGGTGGCCTGGCCTTTGTATTTGAGCCCCTCCTCCAGTGCTGTCCTTTTGCTTGTGTCTTTTCTTCTAGGTGGGGCCTGTGTGTGCTCTCCTGTTTCTACCTGCTCCACTGCCAAACAGTCCCTCAGAGCTGACTCTTGTACTCTTCCCCAAAATATATGCTTTTTAATGATGAAGAGATGGGAATTGTGGTTTTTGTTTACTGCAGCCATTTATTTTCCCTATCAACACCTCAAGTGGTAAATCAATCTGTACAGAATATGTCATAGTTTAAAGAACTCTCTTCTTATGGGTATTTAAGTGGTTCCACAGTTTTTACTATTGTAAAAACCAGTGCAGTGAACATCCTTTTGCATGTATCTTTGTGCTTAACAACCAGTTATTTTCCACAAGATAAATCCCAATGGGTGTGAGTGCTGGGTCATAACAAGCATATACTTAGTGCTTTAAAATATGCATTGCCAAATTGCATTCCCAAGGCCCAAATTTATACTCCTATCACCAACATAAAATATTCCTTTCCTCAAACCCTTGCAAAGGCTGAGTATTGTAATTGTTTAGTCCTTATCAGTTTCATGAATCATAAGTTATATCTTATTGTTTGTATTTGTATCAACTTAATTGCTAATGAAGTTGAGCTCTTCTTTTCCACAAGCTCATTAGGCATTTGCATTTATTTACAATTTTTAAATTGATTGTGAATCTGGATTTTGGATCCAGATAAGCTTGATTATCTTCTCGTTTGCATTTTATATTTTCTCATTCAAGAATTAGTTTTGGCATTTGTATAACTCATTTGGCATTGTTACATTACTTAACATAATTTCCTTTATTATTCTCAAGAGGCTGGAACTCTTTTATGAGTCATTTATTCATTTATTTTTTAAGGATGGGAATGATGTTATATTTTCTGAATATTTGCGTGTTTTGGAATGTCTTGGTTGACATAGAATATTTGGGTCACCATCTTTTACTCTCAGACTCTGTGGACATTGTCCTGTCCTAGTGTTTGGTTGACTGAGTTCCTTACTTCTCTTCGTCCATTCCTCTGTTGTCATGCAGTCTTTTATTCACCCAACATATAGTTTGTCAGTGTCTTAGCGTCCTGCCTGTCCACTTGCATTTAGTGGTGTGGAAGGGAAGGTTAGTGCCCTTGTTATGGATCTCCTTTCTTAAATTTCCCTGAGGGTCGATCCTTCCCTTATGTACTGAGCCTTTCGTTAGCTGATGGGATGAAGGATTGTAGCCCTTCTGTAATGTTTTTTCATATTGTCTTTTCTGCATCTGCTCCGCTCCCTCCTTTTACAGTTCCTATCCTACAGATGACTGGATTTCCTGTGTTGAATTTCCAAGTTTCTGCTTTCTGCTTATCATCTTTTCCTCTGGGTATCAGAAAAATGACATGAACTGATTTTTCTGAATCATTAGTTTGGTTTTCTGTAGAACTTGATCTGTTGTTAACCACATCCACTGTGTGTGCTTTCTTTCTCCAATCAATTTAAGTTGTTTATTAAAGTATTATGAACATAATTCAATATCACATAATACCTGAAGGTGTATAATGAAAAATAACACTCTCTGCCTGTTCTCCGCCCTCAATCCTTGTCCTCTTATCCATAAGCAACCAGCTTGAACATATTTTAAGCAATTTCTTTATGTATTTTTTCTCTATTTCTAAATAATGAACTTTTGCTATTTCTTGATTTATTAAAATTTGACATTATTTTTTCATGCTGCTATACAGATGAAGACTCAACACTCTTCACTCCCTACTACTTTCCCTCTCTCCATCATTGTTATGTCATTATTTTTAATTGATTCAATAAGCAATATTTATTGTCTGGACTCTGTAACTGTTATGCACCACAAAGCTGTGTTATATCCTATAATCTTTGTTGCTGTTGTTCAGCCTTTTGCTTTTCTGGGAGTGTGTTCTTCTCTTTCTTTTCTCCTTGAAGCCTTGGGGAATGTACTTCTATTTACTCCTCCTGCTCCCAGGCCTTCGCTCCAGTGCCCCTCTGTGGAGCCCACTCTCTGGAAGCCTTATTAGCTCCCATGTGGGCTACTTGCTGTCCTGGCTGCTGAATGCACGTCCTGCCCAAATTTGGTCTCCACCTTTCTCCCAGGTCATGTCTACTGCTCTTCTAGGTTCCATGTCTTCCTCTCTTGTTTTATTGTTATTTTGTACAATAATTCTTCACTGTTCCAAATCTGCTTGCTTGGCATTTATACAAGGTATAGACCAAGTGGGAGAGGAAAAATGGTTCTCTTTTTCTTAAGACTCTAGTAAATTGAAGAAACATTTTGAATCACTTAAAGAACACTGTTAGTTTAAAATGCTCATGAACAGTGTTCTGTTACCAATTATGCATTGGAATACCAACACTGAAATTGCTTAAGTATCTCCTTAAACTCTGTTACAGTTCATGATTATTAACCAGACATGTGCCGACAGGGTAATAGATGTTGACTAAAGTCTAAAGTTGATGTAGAATCAATAGGTGCTGATTACTTTTGCCTTCTAATAGCTTACGACCTACAAAATGGTAAGGGTACACACACCAGGAGTACATGGGGGGCATGGCCAGTGCATCTCCTTCAGTGGAAAGGGAAATGGTTACTTCTGTCCTCTCTTTGACGTTTTACCATTAGCCCCATTAAAGGAAAAACCCAGGATATAGGTGTGGTGAAGCAAAGGCGACTTCAGCACTGGGAGTGTTAGAAGTGCAGTCGATACCTTGTTCCCCAGTAGGGTTAGGGAATGGACAGCAACATAATACAAAACCCTGGCTACTAGAGTGTATCGTTTGTCACACGTATGGAGTACTGGTTTTCAAAGAATTAGCATATATAATAAAAATGTGACAAGATTATACTCAAACTTACTTGATCATTCCTTCTCATTCCAGCCTCTTTAAGTGCCTTGCAGGGTGGGGAGTAATCCTGAACATCCGCCATGGCCTTCCAATATGTAGACACGTAAACCAATGTAAGCGTCTGGTTAAGAGAGGGCCAGATAATGAGTTACACATAACGAATTCTCATGTTAACATGTGGTTTTTTTCAAAGCATTTAAAATGCTTGTGGTTTAGGTCCCCAAGTGAAAGGATTTAGGTATACAGGTGGTTTGTTTAGGAGGTCCTTCCATGAAGGAAGTGAGGACTAGGAAGGGAGGCCAAGGGAGGAAAGCCTAAAAGGGCACGTTAACCATCCCAGGTGTCCTCAGGGGGACTGTGTGGGACATATCTCAGTTGGCTCAGTGGGCAGAAGGAGGGTGGGGTTCTTAGCACCCCATGTCTCATTTCTCAGTGACTGAGGACCACTTCTAGAATCCTTAACTTCTGGACACTTCTGGCCTGCCCTATACTCAGGCCTTGTGCCCGCCTGTGGCCACAGGGTGTCCTTAAGCAGAAAGGGGCAGGTGCTCAGGTAGGAGGCTGTGGATTTGCAGGTCAGTTGTCCATGGAGGCTGCAGGTGACCTCTGGGCTGGGGGACACAGTGGGCTCTGGCAGTGTCTGTGGTGGGGAGCTGACAAAGAGGTTTTGAGGGCAGCTACACTGAT
Source organism: Homo sapiens (assembly GCF_000001405.40). NCBI lineage: Eukaryota > Metazoa > Chordata > Mammalia > Primates > Hominidae > Homo > Homo sapiens. The sequence goes on from NC_000020.11 coordinate 18,733,484, forward strand.
AGGGAAACACTCTTGGGCTGACCTCTAACCTCTCCCATCCCACTATGGTCTGAAACAAGCAACCACTAGGGCCTGAAGGCTGGAGGTGTTCCACCATGTCCCCTTGCAGGGAAGGAGTAGACCAAAGAGACTTAGCTAAGTCAGAGTAATAAGAATAATAGAAAGGCAACTGAACTGTCCCTCTTCTTATTTTTGCATACTTAAAAGGGTTCTTTCAAACAATGGGGAATTAGAAAATGAAATTAGCTTGCATGATTTCAGATGGGGACAGATGCCTGTTTGCTTGATTAAAAAAAATTCTACAAAAACCTCAAGCAGAGTTAATAATGTATGAAAATTAGGTACCATGTGTGCACTTTGCTTCATAATGTTTTTGTTAAGCAACCAGTTGATTTAAAAATAATGCAATGCCACCACTGACATAATGGCACTCTACACGGTGTGTTATGGAAACATCCTCTCTTAATATTCTGTTGGGTTTTCCATTACACAAGGACATTTTTTTAAAAAGCTTTCAGAATTATCACATAATATGAAATTATATCAAGCTGCAGTTTGAGAAAACAAATTATTCACATATAAATTCCAATTGTGTTTTAAACATGTTTTTATCAGCTAGAGGTAATGTACGGATGTAGGTCTCTATAGATCTTGTAAAATGCCACGTTAGATTCAGACTCCTATCCTCAGATTTTTACCAATAAATGACATTTGCTCACTGCAGGTTGCCTCCTCCTTCTTTCCCCGTCCTACCCTCTGCCACCAGGCCTGTAAGTAGCAGGAAGAAACAGGGAGAAGCCAAAGGTCACAGACTCGTGGGATTTCAGTTCAAGAGATGTCCCACTTCTGAAGGGAAAGATGAATCTCTATACGAAGTTGACACATGGTCATTGGGCTGGCCAGTGGTGATGTCCTCTCCCTGAGTTTGAGTGCAAGTCTCCATCATTCTCATGATAATCCATTCCCGAAGATGTCTCATCTTGCTACAAAGGGCAGTGGGCTTCTCAGGCTACTGTGCCCTTTTTGGGCTTTATTGCATCTGGACAGTAGTGGTGGAAAGTTGCCTTCCAGAAGTTTCTGTGGCCTAGCAGAGCACACTGAGGCATGGTGAAATTCAGAGAAACAGCCTAAACCATTTTTCTGTGTTCCACAGCATGCATTACTCTTACATTGTCTTGAAATTCTTCATTATTCAACTAAGCAAATACCAAATGACAGCTGGTTGTGTTTATCTCCAGGGTGACAGAATGATCACACAGCATGGTTTAAGTGACTTGACAAAAATCAGAGCATTTGTTACTGGTGGTAGTTGATGGACACTCAGAAAGGACAGTGAGCATTGTGGAGATAAATTTCTAAAGCTATTGAAATGAGTTAATGGGCTAATGGATGGGGGCATTTACCCTTTTGCCTTTAATTCATGTCTTGACTTCTGCGGGGTCTGGCTGGGCACGTCCTCTGCACAGCATCCTCTGGTTCCAGCCGTTCCCCCTGACATCAGCCGGGCCACAGGAGTGGGCGAGAATGCTGAGTAATCCACCTTGAGGTATTTTTAAAAGTAATTGCAGAGGAGATATTTGATCTTTATGACTTGCACCATAAGACTTTTTTGGAATCTTTGCAAGGGTTTGGTTGTAACAGAACTTTTCCGTCTACATTATGATCTATAAAAATCATAGTAACTGACTTTGTGGGATTTGAGTTCTTCTTTTGTTATTTTCTTTGCTTTCTAATTAGATTTTGCTCGTATGCAGGACAGAGTAGTCTGGCAGATAATAACTAGCATTAAAGTAACTCAAAGATAGGGCCATACCTGGCATTGTCCAGCAAGAATGGAAACAGGGTGTGCTGTCCTGGACCTGTGGCAGTTACGAGAAGCCCCTGTGCAGGTGTTTGCGCCACAAAGAACCAGGTCAACTGAAGGCTTGGCCAGGAGTCCTGAGACCTGGTGCTCCTCCCAGCCTGACAGCTGCCTGGAGGTGGCATGAGGCGGGCTCTTATTTAACTGACCTCATCTCTATTGTGTTCAGAAGCAATCTTCAAATAATAATATCTGTTCTTGATTTTTCGGAATGCCAAAGGGGACAAATTGATTGTCACAATCTAAGGGGTCATTTATTTACTGAGTGTGAAGATGGACTTTTTAAAGAGCTTAAGATTTCAAGTTATGTGCATGGGCCCTTTGAGGATGGAGGTGCTCTTTTTGTAAATTGTAGACTCAAGACAAAGAATAAGTCTTGAGTTGAGTTGAGTTTTGTGGGACTTATCACAAAAGTAAACTAGGACATCTATGAGAAGCTGTAATTTTTCACCATCATTCCCCAAAATCATGTTGGAAGTAAGTTTAAGACACCATCACCATCTCACTCTAGAGCACCAGTGTCCAACCCTTTGGATTTAAGGACTTTTTTGCTTCTCTGTGGTGGCAGATATCATGAAAAGTATGCACAGACTCTTTTTTTTCAGTAGTTCATCAACTATCATTAGTGTAAGTGTATCTTATGTGTGGCCCAAGACAATTCTTCTTCTTCCAATGTGGCTCAGGGAAGCCAAAAGGTTGGACATCCATACTCTAGAGTAATCCTTCCTTTCAGGGATTTCCGGGCACCTGTGTTCTGAAAGGACTTGCCCATAAATCAGTTTTCTAGAACCCCTTCATGGCTAAATCTAGTGCTTAATGGCCTGGTAAACTTGGGTGTTCCTGAGAGAGATATGGGGGTGATGGCAACAGCAGACATCGTGTTCCTGTGGGCTAGGTTTTAATCCTTCAAGCCTAGGTAAGTGCTGCTGGTTGCAGGCAGCTCACCTTGTCTGATTTTCCCCTGGAGTGAGTGGAATCTTCAGGTGGCCTAGAGTCCAACTGGACACAAAGTGCTCAGCTCTCCAATTTGTTCACAAAGGTGCGCCCTCTGCCTCATTAGTGTCCATGGGAGCCTGAACTTCCTTATTCATTTCATGTTCTGTGTCATCGTCACCCTGGATCATCCCACAGTGTGAAGGGATCTGTCTTTCAAGGTGCTTCATGAGTGATGCTATGTGTGTGAAGGAACAGAGGCAAATCGCAATTCCCTGTTGATCTGGTGCTTTGCACGACTCAGGGCGTGTGCACCTTGCAGCCACCCCCTCTCCTTGCCCTGGGCATATCATGTACAGAAAAACAGACCTTGACTGGCTGCCCAAGAGCCTCTGTTTTTTTCTTCCCAGTGGCCTGCTGCCTGCTTAAGAGACAGATACCCCAACTCCGAAGGCAAGCCCCTCACCTGCCATTGCCAACACCTATGCCCTCTGAGTGCTGGTGAAGAGTTGTTCAGTTTTGCTACTCAGCTGGCATAAAAGCTTGAGCCTCTGTGCCCTCTGAGGCTATTGCCTGGCCTGATCTTGCAAACAAAACCTGTCCTGTCCATTCATTTCTTCAGTCATTCATCTGTGGCCACACGAGCCACATCACTGTGTCCATCTCAGCTAATGGGTGGCTCGGGCTCCTGCCCAATGCCTGTGTCCAAGCCTGCCCTGCTGCCTTGCCGTGCCGGTCCTGTCTGAAGTCTCTGATGATGATTTTCACTGGTGTTGCCTCAACTCCTCTGCCACTCCCGACAATAATGCTTCAGTTCTGCCTAGGGTGCCCCTCATTCGGCCCTTCCCTCCTGTCACCCTACTCTCATCTGGGCCTCTGTTCTTCTGCCTTTGCCTGTGTGGCCCTAACATCCTTGTCTTCAGTCATCTCTGTGTGTTGCTTTCTGCTCAGACACACTGCCCTGCCATGTGCCATCTGCCACGGTGTGCCTGGGAGTGAGTAGACACTCGGGTGATGCCAGTCCCTGGAGTGCCCCTGCCTTCTCACCCCCAACCAGGACCTGACTCCCACTCCCAGCACAGCTTTCGTTGGCCCTCCCCAAACTTGGGGCTTGCCTGCCCTGGAGACCCCCCCATACTTTGGCCACCCAGTGGCCCCACTAGGATGTGCGGATGCTAACTGCATTCTTAGGCCATCACCTGAGGGCTTGGTCCTGAGTGTCCATGTCCCATTTGCTGGGCTTCCCCTGCCTTGGGCTGCCTTGGGTCAGCAGGTGGGCCCGGGTCAGACTCTGCTCCCTCACTCTGATCTGCTTCTCCCACTGCCACTGACAGGCACACAGGGCCCTTTCCTGAGGCCAAGTGCCAGGGACATCAGAGAGCCAACACTAGGCTTGTGTCACTTCTGAGGCTTCCCCACTCTGCTCTTAGCCAGCCCTATTACTGGTTGAGTTAAACTGTTGCCGGTAATTGTATTTGATCCTCTGGCTTCTTCAGCCTTCGGGACAGAAAAGGATGGACGAATTGAGTCCTGCAGCAGCATGTTGCTAAACCACCAAGGAGCTGGACCAAGGTTAGGACCAGTTTCTCTTTAATTTGGCAAATGGAGATGGCTCTGAGGTCCCTTTATGCTTTCTACCCATGAAGACAAGTGTGCGGCTACAGAGGGCAACAGCAGAATGGTGGGGGCTCGAAGCACCCCCAGGTTCCTCTGCTTTACCCCTAATACACATCAAGTGCTTAGAGCAGGCCTGGCTTCGTGTGAGTGGGGATTGCCAATTATTTTTCCAGTGGACAGTCAGCCTCAGGAAGGCAGGGCTCTGCTTGGTTTTCTGCTGTGTCCTTGGCACCTAGAGTAGGTATAGTCAGTGCCCAACAGTTAACTGCTAAGTGAAGTTAATAGATTAAGCAAGAGAGGTCATGTGGCTCCCTGGGAAGAATGCGGGGTTTGGCGTCTGGAGGCCTGGGTGTGGTCCCCCTCAGCCGCTAGCAGGCTGCAAAACCTTAAGCAAGTCACATGACCTTGCTGGGCGTTGCTGTCTTGTTTATGTCCATGGGCATGTGGTGTAAGATTTTGCTTTCAACTTCAAGTGCCACAAACCTACATGAGGGTGGCTTATAACGTGAGGGTGGCTTAAACAGTAAGGAGCCTGGTTGCCTCCCCTAAGGGGAAAGCTGGTTCAGCTGGCTCAACTCTGCCGGGGCTCTCCAGAGACTTCTGTGCACCTCTGGATGTCCCCTCCTCGTTTTGAGAGCTGCACCATTCCGAAGCTCCGTTTCCTCCCCTGACTATGGCCAAGGATAGGAAGGAAGGCAGTGTTTCCTCTCACCTGTGTTTATTAGGGAGGGAAGCCTTTTTCCAAAGACCCTCTGCAGTCCCCTCAGGTCTTGTTGGCTATGGTTTGTGTCACATGCCATGTGACAGGAGAACCAGACATTGCCACCTCTGAAGTAGGAGACTCCTGCCAGCAGGGAGGGAGGAAGGGGCTGGGAAGATGAGTAGCTGCGGTGTAGGCAGCTGGCAGTGGCTTCTCTGTGGGACATTGATGATCATTCAACTACTATCAGGTTATTAAGAGCAAACAAGGTCACATAGGTGGAAATGCTAAGTGGGGATCCCTAACAGGTGACACATATGCACCCCATCAACATTATGGTCCAGATACATGTTTGAAAAGAAAGTGCGAATGTTCTTAGGTAGCGCTTGTCCTCTGCAGTGTGTCCTCAGGCCTTAGGTGGAGCTTGTCCTCTGCAGTGTGGCCTCAGGCCTTAGGTGGAGCTTGTCCTCTGCAGTGTGTCCTAAGGCCTTAGGTGGAGCTTGTCCTCTGCAGTGTGGCCTCAGGCTCCACCCTGCCATATTGTCTTACTCTTGGCCACTTAACTCATTTTGCTTCCTGGCTGGTCTCTCAAGGCATTTAAGTTTGCAGGCCCTGAAATCAGGCATTATAAGATCAATGTTCAACTAGTTCATTCTTAGATTGTGCAATTAGAGCTTGGGCATCTTAATTAAAAAGAAAAACGCTTATGTTTTCAGTGGATTTAATCATGAATTGGGTGAGTCTGGATCTGCATATTCCAGTCCCCCCTCTTTTGGCACACGTGTTCCCAAGCTTCACTGTGAAAGGTGCAGGCTGACCACAGGATCATCACCTGGCCCCTGGTGGTGTCTGTGTGTCCAGGGCAGCTTTTGGAAGGCTGGGTTTCTCTCTAAGGCGCTAAAGCCAGCATGGTTTGGACAGTCTCTCCCTTACAATGTGGGCTTTCTTGCCAGTTGATTAAAAACAAGCAAACAGACAAAAACCCAGAAGTACTCTATTTCAGTGTTTGTAGATTGTATGTTCACAGACCTGTAGTGGTTTATATTCTCCTTGACATGCATCTCCTCTTAATTTGAAAGCTGTTGACATTTTGCTTGAGCTCATATGCAGTACCAGTTTCTTTTCTTCTTCTTTTTTCTCATTTGTTTCCTTAAAAAAAAAAATCCAGCTGCTTTCTTGCTTTGAGATGTAAATTCCACATTTTGGCTGCATTGGATTCCAAGTTTTCCCAGAAAAGGCTTAAATTTATTAGGTTAGTTCACAATGTTCTCACAGAGAACTTGAGTTTGCGGCATGGAGCCATATGTGGTTGGGTTGTTTTAAGATAAATACTGTAAGAGAGTCAGCATTACATCACTGGCAGAAATGTGGGCTGTGCCTGTCATTTAAATAGTTATCACATGTGATTTAAAAGCTGGCTCTCGGTGGGAGGGGATAGGGTTGGAGGGGAAGGTCAGATGGATGTTTCTGCATCTGTGGTGTCTGTGCCTCTGCCTCAGCACAGAGTCGAATGACACTACGAGGAGCTGAGAAGCCTCCAGAGGGCTGTGCTAATTGGGGTTACTCCCCATCGTCCTCTCTGGATCTGGTTCTCAATAGCATAAAAGAGTACAAAGTGAAGAACAGGCTGGGTCACAAAGAGGCCTTTGCATGAGATTACTTAGCAAGGGGGAGGAGGTTTATTTAATTTTGTGACTGTTGATATTCACATTTTGTTTTTTTTTTGTTTTGTTTTGTTTTGTTTTTAATCTCTGAAGATGAGAAACAAAACTGAGAGGGCATCTTGCTTTTTAAAAATTGTACTTTCTCAGCATCTAATTTGGACCTGTTCATGAGTATTTATATATGTGTGTATATGTGTATGCATCTACACACAAGTAAGACATACAAGTATGAACACATGGATGCGAATATAAAATGTCAATTGCTGGCAGCAGAAGGCAGCTTACCACAATTTACTGCAGAACACCAATTTCAAGATATTTGGATTTTATGAATCAGGAATATAGAAAACAAAAAGAAATTGGGGAGTCTAGCATGGATTGCTAACTTATGATTTCCAAAATTGCTTAATTTTTTAAATTATAGTAAAATACACATAAAACTTACCATCTTAACCATTTTAAGTGTATAGCTTAGTAGTAATGGGTATATCCACATTGCAAAAATCCAAAATCTGTTTGCAAGAAAGGGAATGAGACAGAAGGAGTCCTGTATACTGTCCTTATCATTTCATCAAAGAAAGAGCATTTTAATACCAGAAGACAGACGAAAGGAAAGAAGCCTGTTATTTTAGATGCAGGAAATTCCTCCTAACCTGTGGCAGAATAGTCAAGAGAAAAATATTTTTCCATGGAAAAGTAATACTACAAAGAACTATGTAACAAGCAGCTCTGTGTGGCCATTTCTCAGATTTTAAAAATGCTAGCTTTTTGTCATCTTTGCTCCAGATCATTCATTCCTACTTAAAGTGCTGCTGCATGAACTGTTTGTTACCAGGCCATGGCGAAACAAAGAACAAAACTGAGACGGCATCTTACTTTTTAAAACTAAAATTGTACTTTCTCAGCATCTAACTTGGACCTGTTCATGAGTATTTATATATGTGTGTATATGTGTATGCACACTCACTGTCACCCAGACTGGAGTGCAGTGGCGTGATCTCGGCTCACTGCAACCTTCATTTTGGGCCAGAATGAAGTCAGCTACACCACAGAGCTCACAGTTGAGAAGAAATCTCTCACAATACTTTGCTGATGAAGGAAGCTATGTACTGATTTACATTCTGACACGAGCATCTTACTGTTGCTGGTCCAGGTGTCACGTGCATTTTGTGGAGTGCACTGATTAGTAACTCTGCTCTAGATCTGGTTTTGTTCTTATAAAGTTGATGGTTACAGTTGAAGCCTGTATATATTCATTCCACTAAGATCCCATTATCCTCTTTCCCCTCCATGTTAACTAGTGTATTGAAGTTGGCGTGTATTCTTCCAGGCCATACTGTATTTGCATGAGCTCACTAGCTATGTAGAGTATTATTTTGTGTTAGTGGAATCCTACTGTATATAGCCTTCTGAAGCTAAATTTGTTTTGTATAACATGATTTTCAAGATTTATCTATTTTTTTTAATTAAAAAAAATTTTTTTTGAGACAGTCTTCCTCTGTCACCCAGGCTGGAGTGCAGTGACATGATCTCAACTTACTGTAACCTCTGCTTGCTGGGCTCAAGCGATCCTCCCGTCTCAGCCTCCCCAGTAGCTGGGACTACAGGCATGTGCCACCACGCCTGGCTAACCTTTGTATTTTTTTTTTTTTTTTTTTTTTGTAGAGACAGGGTCTCTCTATGTTGCCCAGGCTGGTCTCAAACTCCTGAGCCCAAGCAGTCGCCCACCTTGGTCTCCTAAAGTGCCGCTATTGCAGGCATGAGCCACCACCTCTGACCAAGACTTGGCTATTTTGATATATGTAGATCTACTGTACAATATTGCTTTAGGGGACCAGACCACATTACACGTATCTGTCCTCCTAATGTTGATGGACATTTGGGTTGTTTCTAGGTTTTTGCAAATACAAATGACACTACAGTCCATGTTCTCAGAAGCCCCCACTGTGCACACAAGTGGAAATTTATCCAGGGGAGTTTTCGGAGGAGAGTTGCTGAGTCAAAGGTGAAGTGATGTCTTCATTCACAAAATCTAATTAGTATATTAACCAAACTTAGCTGTATTCTACAGCTTTTCAGGTAAATGGGGAGTAGGAAAGAATAAGCCAGGGGTCCTCAACCCCCAGGCCAGGGACCGGTACTAATCCCTGTGGCCTGTTAGGAACTAGTCTGCACAGCAGGAGGTGAGCAGCCTATGAACGAGCATTATCACCTGAGCTCCGCCTCCTGTCAGATCAGCAGTGGCCTTAGATTCTCATAGGAGCGGGAACCCCATTGTGAACTGTGCATGCGGGGGATCTAGGTTGCAGGCTTCTTATGAGAATCTCACCAATGTCTGATGCTCTGAGATGGAACAGTTTCATCCTGAAACCATCCCCTCTTCTGTCCCCCATCTCACAGAAAAATTGTCTTCTATAAAACCGGTCCCTGGTGCCAAAAATGTTGGGGACCACTACTATAAGTCAATTATTAATAAATTTGATTTCCTGGACCCAATTGAGAGCTACTGGTTGGTTGTTCATCTCTCGAAGGGTTAACTCAAAGTCTGTTCATAGTGGAAGAAATGATCTGGCAGATTGGGGGAAGTGAATCCTCTTTGTGTCTTGGATGTGGGGCAGGGACCAGCAGGGAGAAGCCAGCCCTTCAATAAGTTTCCTTCTTTTTATGTAAACTAGAAAAAGTTCACAGACTTAGTCTGGGAGGGAGATAAAACTGGGTATTGCTGTCTCTTGTGTTTTTTGGTCTAAGAAAATTCCGTGGTTCAAAACTTGGCCGGTCTTCTCTGCTGGGTTTCTCAGCAGGCTTTCCTGTAGTGGCTGGGCTGCTGCTCAGTGTTAGATGATGGAAGCTTCTTTCAGCCATCTAGCTGATGCTTTCTTTGAAGAACTATTCAGGGAAGAAGTGGGCCCAGGTTCCATTCGAGTGAGACATCAGGGGCATGTCCCCTGCTGGCCTGGTGGGAGCCTAAGAAGGCTCTAGTGGCCAGTGTCCTGAGTGTTGCCACCACGCAGCCTGCAAGCAAGTCAGCCTTCAGTCTCAAATCAACTGGTAACTGAGACGGTGTTCAGTGTGCTTAATGCACTTTGTTTCACAGCCTTCTCTGTAATCTTCAGCAAAGAGTAATGTGTTTTGAACATTCTTTAGAAAACACGTGGTGTGGCATGGTGGCTCACACCTGTAATCACAACACTTTGGGAGGCCGAGGTGGGTGGGTTGCTTGAGCCCAGGAGTTCAAGAACAGCTTGGGCAACATGGTGAAACTCTGTTTCTACAGAAAAATTGGCATGCACCTGTAGTCACAGATACTTGAGAGGTTGAGGTGGGAGGATCACTTGAACCCAGGAGGTTGAGGCTGCAGTGAACTGTGACCGCACCACTGTACTTCAGCCTGGGCAACAGAGTGAGACCCTGTCTCAAAAAAAAAAAAAAAAAAAAGAAAAGAAAAGAAAAAAGAAAACAACAAGTAGAAGGTAACTTGATGAGAAAAAAAACTATCAAAGAAAAAAGTAAGAGATGAAAAGCCTTCATATATGGAGCTCTTCTAAGGCTGTTGAAGAAGGCTGTGGCATGACCGCTCCCTCATACTGTGTGCCAAGTTGAATTATGGTTGGGGAAAAGTCTGAGAGTGATTACTCCTATGACTAATGATTTGTTTCAGTGATTCAGGTGCCTGTTGGAAAAACATTCTGTGTATAATTTGGTATATCTGAACCACTGTGCTCTGCCAGGTTATCAGAAAAAAACTTTTCAATGGTTCCCACCTGGGAAGTCACTGGTGTGTGGGATACACAGGCATGTGTTTGTGTTTGTAAAATATTCTTTTTTATTTTTATTTAATCAGCTGTCAAAGCTCGAAAAACAGCAGCAGAGGAAAGAAAAGACCAGAGCTAAGGGACCTTCTGAATCAAGCAAGGAAAGAAACACTCCCCGAAAAGAAGACCGCAGTGCCAGCAGCGGGGCTGAGGGCGACGTGTCCTCTGAACGGGAGCCGTAGCTCAGGAGGCAGAATTCAGGTAGGAGTTTCCCTGCTTGGCTTCATCTTCCCACATTTTGGGGAAGCAGCAATGAATAGGAGGGAATAGCTGCTGAGGCTGAATTCATTCATTTCACAGCGTTCATCCATAGCTTCCTTAAATCTGCTGCCTTCCAGGATGGAGACAAAAGTTAGTGTGTTAGTCCGTTTTCACGCTGCTGATAAAGACATACCTGAGACTGAGTAATTTATAAAGATAAAGAAGTTTAATGGACTCGCAGTTCCACGTGGCTGGGGAGGCCTCACAATCATGGTTGAAGGCAAAAGGCATTTCTTACATGGCGGCAGGCAAGAGAGTATAAGGGTCAAGCACTCCAGCCTGGTGACAGAGCAAGACTCCATCTCAAAAAAAAAAAACAAAAAACAAGTGAAAGGGGTTTCCCCTTATAAAACCATCAGCTCTTGTGAGACTTGTTCACTACCAAGAGAACAGTATGGGGGAAACTGCCCCCATGATTCAGTTACCTCCCACCAGGCCCCTCATCTTGAATTGTAGTTCCCATAATTTCCACGTGTGTGTTCCTACGTGGGAATTATGGGAGCTACAATTCAAGATGAGATTTGGGTGGGGACACAGCCAAACCATATCAGTTAGCAAATAAGATTGTATTTTATTCATTGAGATGCAGGAGGGTGGCATACCACAGGCCTGGGGTGCCCACCTGGGGGTGGAACCTGTTTGTGCCACCTTCTCTGGCTGCCTGTGCCAGTCCACAGCTGCTGCTGTGATTGCCTGTGCAGAACACTCACTCACCGATACAGAATCCAGATGCAGATGCAGAGTCCACTTGCGCTCCTGCATCTCCCTTCCTGCTCTTAGCCACTCTAGCAAAGGGCACTGCCATCTCAGCAGCCTACTTTCATTGCCACCTGCCCCGTGTTCTGAAATCCTTCACAGTGCCCCGTGTGGCACTGTGAGTTTACTTTTCCTAAAATGGCATTTTATTCTTATTGTGGCTCACTGTAGCACGGAGTCCACCTCCCTGCCTGAACATCAGAGGCCTTGAAAATGTGATGCGGCCATCTGATGGCACTGTGCCTAGTTCCTCCCACCAGGGAACCTGTTTATTTTGCCAAGCACTGGACCAAATACTGGGTGCAGATTTGAGGGACCCAGGACCTGTCATGGGGAGGTCACAGGCTCAGGGAGAAGCATAGGAACAGTTATACTACAGCACGGTGCGTGTGGCAGGAGTGTGAACAGGTGTGGGGTGGAGATGGGAGGTCAGGAGAGGCCCCTCAGAGGCCTGGGACCAGATCTGGAAGGACAGGTGGCAGTGGGGAGGCAGATGAGGGGCAAGGGCAGGGGAGAGCTGCCTGAGCCAAGAGAAGAGCAGTGCAAATGCCATCTGGAGGTTGGGGGGCAAGGACAGGAGAGTTTGGGAATGGAGGAATTGCAGAAGGGTGGGAGTGTTGAGTGCCAAGTGGAGTGGGAGGGCAGGGAGCATCTCTGAACTTAGAGAAATAGGAGGTCTGGATTGTATAGGGTCTGGTATGCAACCCTGAGGAATTTGGATTTTATCCTGGGGCGGGAGGGACCTCTGAAAGGTTTTAAGTGTACAAGTGACATCATCAGATACAAAGTTTAAAAAGAGCACTCACTTGAGCAGCTTTGGGGAGTGAGGCTGGAAGCAGATAGGCCCATTAGGAGGTGATTGCAGAAGTCCAGAGAAAAAATTATAGTAGGAACAGAGGGGAAAGAGTGGGATTGAAAGATGTAAAGGAAATAGAATCATTTCAACGTGGTGACTGATTAGATTGGAAGAGGAGACATCCAGAAGGATGAGGGAGGAAGATGGGGGTTGCTGACGGTACCTATTTTGGGTGTGTTGTGTTTGAGGTGCCTGTTGGCAGCCAATGGTGATGCCAGTCGTCTGCTGAGTCTGTGGCTTTAGAGCTGGGGAGCCAGGTCTCGGACATACAATTTGGAGCCTTCAGCTCACAGACTGTGGTTAAAACCAAGTTAGGAGACAGAATTCACCCAAGAGACACCAAATTATGATAGAAGAACATCCAGAAGGTGGTTTTCAGCCTTCTCTTTCTCTTCTGAAAGAGAGCAAGGGTCAGAAGTGTACCTATGAAATGGCTTTTAGGATCCACAATACCAGGAAGTGAGATATATTAGGCCAGGTGTGGTGGCTTACACCTGTAATCCTAGCACTTTGGGAGGTTGAAGTGAGAGAATCACTCGAACCCAAGAGTTTGAGACCAGCCTGGGCAACATGGTGAGACCCCCGTCTCTTAAAAAAAAAAATTAGCTGAGCATGGTGGTGCTTGCCTATCATCCTAGCTACTCAGAAAGCTGAGGTGGGAGGATTGCTTGAGTTTGGGAGTTGGAGGCTGCAGTGAGCCATGATTGCAGCACTGCACTCCAGCCTGGGTGACAGAGTGAGACCCTGACTCTTAAAAATAAAATTTAAAAAAGATACATTAGTTGTAATTGGGCACAGTGGCACCAGCTCCCAAATGGATACACAGACGAGAGGAACAGAATGGAGAGCTCAGGAAGGGTGGATTGTTGGTTCATAGACAGTTTTAGGGGAGGGGACTGGACAGTGAGTCCTGTTGTCCTCTTAACTGTTCCCTCATCACTGTGTTTTCCTGCTAGTGTTGTGCAGGGAGACAACAGCACTGTGGTGACCAGCCTTGGCTTATGTATCTCACGTATGCATGGGACACTGAAGGGTGCCTCGAAGGGAAGGGACGTCACATAAAACTTCCACTCCCACCCCTCCAAAACTTCATGATAATTCACTTTTGTTAGTGGTCAGTTTTGGCATCACAAATATTGCTGGTGCTTCTGATTTATAGTCTGTCCAGAAATCCTTAATCCAAAGAGGTGAAATGTGCTAAGTGAAGACAGGGCACAGAGTGGCCCTTTAAGATACTTTTTCAGTTGTGCTAGTTAAATGGGTCAAGCAGTAATTCAGAAACTCATCGAGGTCTTCTTTCCATCCTGCTAACTTTTGGGTGACAGTGAGTAAGTTCTATGGTTTTTCTTCTATTGGAGGAAAACTCATCTCCGTCAGCAGTGCTTTGTGGAAGGCAGGCAGGTAGAAGTCATGGTGCCTGGAACTGGCCCCAGCAGCCTGGGCAGGGCGGGGGCAGGCATGTTCCCTCCCCGCCATGTTTCTGTGTTTTCTCAGGCTTCTCTGGATCACAGGGAAGCATGACAGAGAGAGCATCCCAGCGCTGCTCCTGTTCCTTGAATGAAAGGTGCAGGGACTGTTACTGGTTAGGCCAAGTTTTAGTAATTACTTGGTCCAGAAGCAAAACTCAGATTGGACACTCCAGTTTCCACTCCTGGGGTTCAGGGCAGCTTCCCAGCCTTAATGCTCAGGCATGGCCCATGTCTCTTCTTCCAGTTCTGTTGAAGACTGTACTTAATAGTCTTTCCTGCAGTGAATTGGGACCTTAACAACAGGTTCAAAACAACTTGGGCTGGGCATGGTGGCTCACGCCTGTAATCCCAGCACTTTGGGAGGCCCAGGCAGGCGGATCACGAGGTCAAGAGATCGAGACCATCTGGCCAATATGGTGAAACTCCGTCTCTATAAAAAATACAAAAAAAAAAAAAATTAGCTGGGCATGGTGATGCGCACCTGTAGTCTCAGCTACTCAGAAGGCTGAGGCAGGAGAATCTCTTGAACCCAGGAGGTGGAGGTTGCAGTGAGCCAAGATTGCGCTACTGCACTCCAGCCTGGCGACAGAGTGAGACTCCATCTCAAAAACAAACAAACAAACGAACAAAACAAAACAAAAAAACAACTTGAATGTTCAGACTCCCATCATGAACTTAATGAACGGGAGAGGGAGAAACATACAAGCCCCTGTCTCCCAGCAACCAGACCCAGATTATCAAGCTAAACACACTGGCACGCATACACACACACACACACACACACACAAATACAAATTCACATGTGCCTTGGAGGTTTGTATTTTCAAAACAGCTTAAAAAATTCAAATACCACCTAGCTGATTCCTTCCTGGGTTGTATTATTAACCTAATACATTTTATAAATTTAATGTCTTGATTTTTGCTTTATATCTGATCAGTGCTTTGAAAATCTTTGGTTTAATCTATGACGGGGTATTGAGTTTTGTTACTTTTAAAATTCATGCAAAACATAACAACTTAAAGACTTCCATTTGCTTTAGATTTGGCCTCAGAGTAATTCCTGTAGAGAATACACCATGGATGTTAGTGTTCTGTGGCCCCTGGGTAGCCTGGGAGTAATTCTGCTAATTCTGTGGGCAAGAAAAACACCCGAGGGTCTCATGGGCAGACAAGGGGACAGTTACTGCATGTGTCACAGAACATACAGGAGAACACGCTCATAGAAGGAGAACTGAGCACATAAAAAGAAGGGCAGGAGGAGGGTGTGAACATTTCACATTTTTCCCCAGTGTCTAAGTTTACGAGGGGAATTCTCATGGACTCGTAGGTATCTACTTCTTGCTTCTCTCACGTTAATGACATTTTAATAATGTATTTATTTCCTTCTCACGGTAGTGCAGATTAGGTAGCATAGAACTTGGGGTCAGTGGTGCTATTGTGAATCACCCAAATAGGGCCAGCCACAGAGGGGAGGCAGCAGGGGGAGCAGACCCCACGGGAAGTGTTTGGAAAGGAGGAGGCAGTTGTGTTTTTCCTTCCCCTTCCCTATAAGTCAAGTTCACTGCAGCCATGCCATCATGGGGCCCTTGGGAAGAGGCAGGCAAAAGAGGAGGAAGAGGGCAATGGAGGGAAGTTCCTGGCTGGCCTCAGCCTTCAGGTTAGGAGACTCAGCGGGAAGGAGCAGAGGGACAGATGGAGGGGAAGCTGAAGGCCCCTGGCATGTTCTGGCTGTGCTCCAGGCTGGGATCCTTGGAGTGGGGGAATGGGGGTTGGGTTGCAGGAAACTTGGAAGCCGTGACAGGGATTCTGGAGGGAGAGCAGTGCAGGTGGCTCCAGGGCTCCAGGAGGCAGCTGCAGCCCAGTGAGGTAGCAAGACACGGTCAGGCCTCAGGGCCTGTGAGAGTGCTGCTCAGCATCGCCGTGGGGTGGGGAAGGCTCCAGAGGGTGTTCTCTGCCTGGTGGAGGGTGTGGAGGAAAGCTGTGTTGGGTCTGTGGGCTGACTCTCGGTCCTGGATAGAAGTGGTGAGGTGAGCCTGCTGCAGAAGCCATGAGGGGGCAGCTTCATTAGGAGGTTGGGGGTCATGGCCTCAGCTCTTCATAGCACTGACAGTCCCTCCAGGTCTCAGCTGTGACCTCCACTGGCCTCCTGGATGAGACTTGCAGGGGTCTGTCATTAATGACACCTGAGACTGAGTGAGATATGCTGGTGAGAACTGAGACGAGGCCAGGTCAGCCAGAGAGGGCCTTGGGTCCCTGAGCAAGAGACACCAAACTTCAAGTAGCCCACCGTCCCTCAGTGGTGCAGTGTCAGGGCCCAGGTGCTGAGCTGCACCAACCACCCTGCCACAGAGGACACTGAGGACCCAGAGTACTGTTGACATTAAGGTGAAATGGAGCCTCTGTCTGGTCAGGAACGCCCCTATTGCTACTCAGCGCATGGAGGCTCATGAACAAGTTTAGATCGGCCCATGAAAGACAGAGGCCACGTTTTGTTTATACCGATGTATATGGTACTGTCTGGGTTTTGGACAAAGCGCACAAGGAAAACCATTTATTGATGGTTTACCATAGGCATCCAGTTGTTCTTCTTTACGTCAGGGTCAGCAGTGACGGTGTCAGGCATGGACAGATGTCCAGGCAGGGAGGAGTCCTTCAGAGCCGCCCACAACTAGCCGAGGACCAGAGCGGGGCTGGGTGCTCCTGCTTCCGAGAATTTAGCCATGTTCCTGGATTTGAAGATCCTAAACGGGACCAGAACCAAGTGACAGCTGGCATTCCAATGATATATTTGGGGTTTTTTGTTGCCCGTGGGTTTTGTTCCCCCTTCTGATGAAATTTGTCATCCCAGTAGGCCACAAAATCACCACCAAATATTCAGATATCTATGAGAGCTGGATTAAATGGTGACAGACAGAAGGTGACCCTGACATTTGTTTTGTTCCCCAGAACAACAGCAGCCCCCTCACTATGAAGGGAGTAGCACTTTTCATTTGCTTTTCTTTAAATACAGAAAGAGCCCTAGGGAATCTGGCAGGCCCTAAGGGGAGCAGCTTTGAGTTTCCAAGGCACGAGAGAGAAAGAAAAGGCAAAAGAAAATTGAATGAGAAACTGCATGATCTTGGGCATATTTTTCTTTGAAAATGATTCAAAAGCCTTCATGGTTCAGAGGACATTTCCAGGGCCTTGACATTTCTCTGTCACATTGCAAATGTTGCTTCTTATTTTACCAAGTGGACATGAAACTGCTAAAATTAACTGTGTTTTTGTCCTCTGTCTCAATCCTTCGGGCTCTCTCACCTTGCTGGGAGGAGTTGAGGTTTTCTGTGAGGATGCAGCTCTATTATTTCTCCTTTCTGGCCACTGCTAAAGGCACTAGGGCCACCTCTCACTAAAATGATGTGGTTTCTGATTTGATTGCAGGGTCAAGTATTACCTCATTTGAGTATTGACTTAGCTGCTGTAATTAGGGTGTGAGAGGAGTGTGCTCCTGACTGGCACCCCACATTTCTGTCCTCAAATGGCAACACACTTGAAACCAAACAAGAAAGTGTTTTGGAAGCTGCCATCTGTTTGCTTTTTCAATGTGACCTTTGTCTGAATAGTAAGATGTGTCCTGGCTGAGCACACTTCTTCCTAATGAGCTACAGCAGCCGTGTGTGTGTGTGTGTGTGTGGGTGTGTGTTTTCTGTTGAAAAGGTATTCAGTCCCTTTTCACTGTTCTTTTCGCCATACAAGGTAGGACTCCTTTCATTCTCTGAGCTTCACTTTGCTTCCCTGTATCAACATTTGTACCACATTCTCATGTCCATGTGCTGGTATTTCATGGTATAAAACTAGCTGTGTCTCTGGGTAGTGTTTTTATCTTTTTTTAACTTAAAACAATTTTTTTAGTGGTTGCCCTGGAGTTTACAATATACATTTTTAACTAGTCTAAGTCCACCTTGAATGACACTCTACCACTTTACCTGTAACAGGCACCTTATAACAACAGCATATTCCCAGTGACATTGCTATCATTCATTTCACTTTACATATGTGATACTCACCTAATACATTGTCACTATCATTAACTTAAATAGTCTTTTTTTTTTTTTGAGGTGGAGTCTCATTCACTCTGTCACCCAGGCTGGAGTGCAGTGGTGCAATCCCTGCTCACTGCATCCTCCACCTCCCAGGTTCAAGCGATTCTTGTGCCTCAGCCTCCCTAGTAGCTGAGATTAAAGGCATGCACCAACATGCCTGGCTAATTTTTTGTATTTTTTGTAGAGATAGGGTTTTAACATGTTGGCCAGGTTGCTTTTGAACTGCTGGCCGCAAGTGATCCACACACCTCAGCCTCCCAAAGTGCTGGGATTACAGGAGTGAGCCACCATGGCCGGCCTTTGTTTTTGAAGGATAATTTTGCTGGTATAGACTTCTAGACTTGTAGTTTTTTTTTTTTGTTGTTGTTGTTGTTGTTGTTTTAATTTGCCTTTCTTTAAAAACACAAAGAGCCCTAGGAGCCTCACAGCCCTAGAGGAGCAGCTTTGAGTTTCCAAGGCATGAGAGAAAAAGAAATATTTAAATATTTTCAATACTTAAATTTTTATTCCTCTCTCTCCTTGTTTGCAGTTTCTTATGAGAAGTCCCCTGTAATTCTCATTCTTATTGCTCTATAGGTAAGGTGGGTTCTCCTTACCCCACCCCCAGCCCCCAGCTTCTTCAAAATTTTGTCTTTGGTTTTCCGCAGTTTGGATATGACGTGCCTAGGTGTGGTTCTTGCTTGGTATTTTCTGAGCTTCTTGGATCTGTGATTTGATGTCTGTTATTAAGTTTGGAAAGCTCTTGGCCATTAATACTTCAATACCCCTAGCTTCATTCACAATTTCCTCTCTGTTCTCTCTTCTCCTTTTGGTATTCCAATTATATATATGGTACATCTTTTGCAATTGCTCTACAGTCTTGGATAGTCTGTTCTTTTTTTCTCATTCTTTTTCTCTTTGTTTTTGGTTGGGAAAGTTTGTAATGACCTATCTTTGAGCTCACTGATTCTTCCTTGGCTGTGTCCAGTTTATTCATGAGCCCATCAGAGGCATCCTTCATTTCTGTTACAGTGTTTCTGATTTCTATTATTTCCTTTTGTTTCTTTCTTGGAGTTTCCGTCTCTCTGCTTACATTACCTATCTGTTCTTGCATATTGTTTACTTTTTCATTAGAGCCCTTAACATATTAATCATAGTTTTAAAAAGTTCCCTGTCTGATAATTCCAACATCTGTATCATAGTCCCAGTCTGATTCTGGGGATCTTTTTGGGTCCGCTGACCTTGAATCTGTAACTGTATGGCTTTCAGTACATTTGGGACATTTTAAGTAATATCTATTCAAATATTTTTGTCTGCCCCATTCTTCTTCTTACCTGGAGGTTACTGTTCCCAAACCTTAAGTGTCATTCTGGTTTTTTATTATCCATGAGGTTGGTTTGCTTCCTCACTGATGCAGAGTAGCATGTTATATTACTTTACTAGTAGTGGGACTGGATTTTCTCTATGCCCAGGCTTCCACCTCCATTACCTTATTTATTAGAAAATAAATTGGCCATTACCTTATTGATTAGAAAATAACTGGCCATGATTAGTGATTCCATCTATTGCTAAGGTGCAGAGCCAGGCTTACAAATAATTTAGAGTGTGCCATCTAATACAGTAGCTACTAACTGCATGTGGCTATTGAGATGTAAATTAAAATTAAATAAAATTTAAAATTCACTTTCTCAGTCTCAGTAGCCATATTTCAAGTGCTCACTAGCTACATACAGCTAGTGGCTGCTATTCTATCATTGCAGAAAATTCAACTAAACAGCACCAACCTGTAGGGATCAAGTTATGATTTTGATACTGTCATCTGAATCACTTTAAGTACTATAAGATTGACATTGGCTGGGTGTGGTGGCTTATGCCTGTAATCCCAGCATTTTGGGAGGCCGAGGCGGGTGGATCACCTGAGGTCAGGAGTTCAAGATCAGCCTGCCCAACATGGTGAAACCCCGTCTCTACAAAAAATACAAAAATTAGCCAGGTGTGGTAGTGTACGCCTGTAATCCTAGCTACTCAGGAGGCTGAGACAGGAGAATCGCTTGAACCAAGGAGGCAGAGGTTGCAGTGAACTGAGATCGCGCCACTGCACTCCAGCCTGGGCAATGAAGCGAAACTCTGTCTCAAAAAAAAAAAAAAAGACGTTGATATATAAATAAGTACAATATACATGAGAAATAATAGATGGGAGAATAAGTTAAAGCCAAAAAATAAAAGCCAATTGCTGTCAAGGTTTGTTCCTACCACTTTCAGGTAACATCAATTTTTTCTCCATGCTTGTTTTATTGCATTGCATTAAGCTTTCCATTCGTAATTAGGAAATCATTCTTTTCATGTTCTATCTGTGAAGTCAGGACCATCAGCTCTCAAGCAAAGGAAGAGATTCCGATTCTGGGGATCTTTTGACACTTCAGTGGAGGGAGCTTGCTGGAATCTAACAGTGCTAGAAGGTCAGAGTGAAGCCTGCATTGATAACTTCCCAGCATCTCTCATGTTTTTTGCATAGAACAGCCTTACCTTTCTAGGTAAATGAATTCTGATTTGATTACCAGCTAAGACCTGAAATAAATAGGTAAAAAAAAAAAATCTTGGTCCTTTTAACAGTGATGTGGAGAACAGATCTGTGGCATGTGTGTGTTTTGTCTAGCACTTGCATCCTGTGGTTGCTTAAATGGCCTGAAGCCAGAAGCAGGTCAGTTGGAAGTCAGTGTCTTTGAGGGTTTCAGTGTTTACGTGGGCTGTGAAGGGTTTCCTTTCTTCTGGTCCTGGTCTGGCCTCACTGGAGATGTTCCTCACTGTCCCTCGTGGTTGACGGCAGTAAGAGAACTACTACAGCAGGTGGAGGAAACTGGTGGTTCCCCTAGCTTCTTTCATAAGACTATGAAATTGTGGTGCTAAGTTATCAGGCACCTCTTACTACTGCCTGTCAGGTGTCCCCAGCCTCTGGGTCATGTCTGCCCTCAGTAGCTCATGTGACGCACATGCGTTTGGAAATAGACATCATCCCTTCAGTAGCTCTTAGAGGGAGGCACATTACCCCTTATCCAGGGTTTCTGAATTTCAAGCCTCAATGGTCCACCCTTTTCTGGAGAACCATGTGTTTAGCTTGAACAGGACTTCTGCTCAGCACTTCTAATTTGGCAGATGGACCTCACAGATAGCTCACTCCCACCTTCCTCATTCAAGCTTCCAGCTATGTGAGCTGCGTGGTCTCCAGCTACTCCCAGTTGATGGCCAGTAACCTGGCTCCTGGGTTATTCTATAGTTCAAGAAAATAGGAAGAGACATCTTTAGCAAGTGAGACTAGAAATAGAGAGCAACGTCTATTGACCAATCCATGTATTGTAGTGGGCGGTGGCTTTCAGCTGGAACAGTGTCCACTGCTGGCCAAAAATCTCTTGCATGTAGTTTACAAATCACTCATGATACTAACATTGATCTTATGATTAGGCCAGCCCATTAGTGTTCCCAGTAGTAGCACAGTTAATTCTAAAGGCATACCTAATGGATTGTCCTTCAGGTTAGATGCTTTATAAAGTTCTTATGCCTAGGAAGTTTACCTAAAAACTTTAAGAACCCATTGGCCAAAACCTCTCAGGATCCCTTCCAGTTCTGTGTTTCTCTAGTAGGGAATAGAAATTCCTAAATCATCTTTCTCATATAACATTTCTTTTGAAAGCCATTTTTTTTATTACAAAGTTAATGCTCACTCATAGAAAATATCAAAAATGCCAAAATACCCGAAGAAGAAAATAAAAGTCATCTGCCACCTTATCATTCTATGATTATTATTATTTTTTTATTATACTTTAAGTTTTAGGTCCATGTGCACAACGTGCAGGTTTGTTACATATGTATACATGTGCCATGTTGGTATGCTGCACCGTTAACTCGTCATTTAACATTAGGTATATCTCCTAATGCTATCCCTCCCCTCTCCCCCGACCCCACAACAGGCCCCAGTGTGTGATGTTCCCCTTCCTGTGTCCATGTGTTCTCATTGTTCAGTTCCCACCTATGAGTGAGAACATGCGGTGTTTGGTTTTTTGTCCTTGGCGATAGTTTGCTGAGAATGATGGTTTCCAGCTTCATCCGTGTCCCTACAAAGGACATGAACTCATCATTTTTTATGGTTGCATAGTATTCCATGGTGTATATGTGCCACATTTTCTTAATCCAGTCTATCATTGTTGGACATTTGGGTTGGTTCCAAGTCTTTACTATTGTGAATAGTGCCGCAATAAACATACGTGTGCATATGTCTTTATAGCAGCATGTTTTATAATCCTTTGGGTATATACCCAGTAATGGGATGGCTGGGTCAAATGGTATTTCTAGTTCTAGATCCCTGAGGAATCGCCACACTGACTTCCACAATGGTTGAACTAGTTTACAGTCCCACCAACAGTGTAAAAGTGTTCCTATTTCTCCACATCCTCTCCAGCCCCTGTCGTTTCCTGACTTTTGAATGATCACCATTCTAACTGGTGTGAGATGGTATCTCATTGTGGTTTTGATTTGCATTTCTCTGATGGCCAGTGATGATGAGCATTTTTTCATGTGTCTTTTGGCTGCATAAATGTCTTCTTTTGAGAAGTGTCTGTTCATATCCTTCGCCCACTTTTTGATGGGGTTGTTTGTTTTTTCTTGTAAATTTGTTTAAGTTCATTGTAGATTCTGGATATTAGCCGTTTCTCAGTTGAGTACACTGCAAAAATTTTCTCCCACTTTGTAGGTTGCCTGTTCACTCTGATGGTAGTTTCTTTTGCTGTGCAGAAGCTCTTTAGTTTAATTAGATCCCATTTGTCAATTTTGGCTTTTGTTGCCATTGCTTTTGGTGTTTTAGACATGAAGTCCTTGCCCATGCCTATGTCCTGAATTGTATTGCCTAGGTTTTCTTCTAGGGTTTTTATGGTTTTATGGCTAACATTTAAGTCTTTAATCCATCTTGAATTAATTTTGTATAAGGTATAAGGAAGGGATCCAGTTTCAGCTTTCTACATATGGCTAGCCAGTTTTCCCAGCACCATTTATTAAATAGGAAATCCTTTCCCCATTTCTTGTTTTTGTCAGTTTTGTCAAAGATCAGATAGTTGTAGATGTGTGGAATTATTTCTGAGGACTCTGCTCTGTTCCATTGGTCTATATCTCTGTTTTGGTACCAGTACCATGCTGTTTTGGTTACTGTAGCCTTGTAGTATAGTTTGAAGTCAGGTAGTGTGATGCCTCCAGCTTTGTTCTTTTGGCTTAGGATTGACTTGGCAATGCGGGCTCTTTTTTGGTTCCATATGAACTTTAAAGTAGTTTTTTCCAATTCTGTGAAGAAAGTCATTGGTAGCTTGATGGGGATGGCATTGCATCTATAAATAACCTTGGGCAGTATGGCCATTTTCACAATATTGATTCTTCCTACCCATGAGCATGGAATGTTCTTCCATTTGTTTTTATCCTCTTTTATTTCATTGAGCAGTGGTTTGTAGTTCTCCTTGAAGAGGTCCTTCACATCCCTTGTAAGTTGGATTCCTAGGTATTTTATTCTCTTTGAAGCAATTGTGAATGGGAGTTCACTCATGATTTGGCTCTCTGTTTGTCTGTTATTGGTGTATAAGAATGCTTGTGATTTTTGCACATTGATTTTGTATCCTGAGACTTTGCTGAAGTTGCTTATCAGCTTAAGGAGATTTTGGGCTGACATGATGGGGTTTTCTAGATATACAATTCATGTCATCTGCAAACAGGGACAATTTGACTTCCTGTTTTCCTAATTGAATACCCTTTATTTCCTTCTCTTGCCTGATTGCCCTGGCCAGAACTTTCAACACTATGTTGAATAGGAGTGGTGAGAGAGGGCATCCCTGTCTTGTGTGAGTTTTCAAAGGGAGTGCTTCCAGTTTTTGCCCATTCAGTATGATATTAGCTGTGGGTTTGTCATAGATAGCTCTTATTATTTTGAGATATGTCCCATCAATACCTAATTTATTGAGCGTTTTTAGCATGAAGTGCTGTTGAATTTTGTCAAAGGCCTGTTCTGCATCTATTGAGATAATCATGTGGTTTTTGTCGTTGGTTCTGTTTATATGCTGGATTATGTTTACTGATTTGCATTTGTTGAACCAGCCTTGCGTCCCAGGGATGAAGCCCACTTGATCGTGGTGGATAAGTTTTTGATGTGCTGCTGGATTTGGTTTGCCAGTATTTTATTGAGGATTTTTGCATCGATGTTCATCAGGGATATTGGTCTAAAATTCTCTTTTTTGGTTGTGTCTCTGCCAGACTTTGGTATCAGGATGATGCTGGCCTCATAAAATGAGTTAGGGAGGATTCCCTCTTTTTCTATTGATTGGAATAGTTTCAGAAGGAATGGTACCAGCTCCTCCTTGTACCTCTGGTAGGATTCAGCTGTGAATCCATCTGGTCCTGGACTTTTTTTGGTTGGTAAGCTATTAATTATTGCCTCAATTTCAGAGCCTGTTATTGGTCTATTCAGAGATTCAACTTCCTCCTGGTTTAGTCTTGGGAGGGTGTATGTGTCGAGGAATTTATCCATTTCTTCTAGATTTTCTAGTTTATTTGCATGGAGGTGTTTATAGTATTCTCTGATGGTAGTTTGTATTTCTGTGGCATCTGTGGTGATATCCCCTTTATCATTTTTTATTGCATCTATTTGATTCTTCTCTTTTTTCTTCTTTATTAGTCTTGCTAGCGGTCTATCAATTTTGTTGATCTTTTCAAAAAACCAGCTCCTGGATTCATTGATTTTTTGAAGGGTTTTTTGTGTCTCTATTTCCTTCAGTTCTGCTCTGATCTTAGTTATTTCTTGCCTTCTGCTAGCTTTTGAATGTGTTTGCTCTTGCTTTTCTAGTTCTTTTAATTGTGATGTTAGGGTGTCAATTTTGGATCTTTCCTGCTTTGTCTTGTGGGCATTTAGTGGTATAAATTTCCCTCTACACACTGCTTTGAATGTGTCCCAGAGATTCTGGTATGTTGTGTCTTTGTTCTCGTTGGTTTCAAAGAACATCTTTACTTCTGCCTTCATTTCCTTGTGTACCCAGCAGTCATTCAGGAGCAGGTTGTTCAGTTTCCATGTAGTTGAGCGGTTTTGAGTGAGTTTCTGAATCCTGAGTTCTAGTTTGATTGCACTGTGGTCTGAGAGACAGTTTGTTGTAATTTGTTCTTTTACATTTGCTGAGGAGTGCTTTACTTCCAACTATGTGGTCAATTTTGGAATAGGTGTGGTGTGGTGCTGAAAAGAACGTATATCCTGTTGATTTGGGGTGGAGAGTTCTGTAGATGTCTATTAGGTCCACTTGGTGCAGAGCTGAGTTCAATTCCTGTATATCCTTGTTGACTTTCTGTCTCGTTGATCTGTCTAACGTTGACAGTGGGGTGTTAAAGTCTCCCATTATTATTGTGTGGCTTTATGAATCTGGGTGCTTCTGTATTGGGTGCATATATATTTAGGATAGTTAGCTCTTCTTGTTGAAATGATCTCTTTACCATTATGTAATGGCCTTCTTCGTCTCTTTTGATCTTTGTTGGTTTAAAGTGTGTTTTATCAGAGACTAGGATTGCAACCCCTGCCTTTTTTTGTTTTTTCATTTGCTTGGTAGATCTTCCTCCATCCTTTTATTTTGAGCATATGTGTGTCTCTGCACGTGAGATGGGTTTCCTGAATACAGCACACTGATGGGTCTTGACTCTTTATCCGATTTGCCAGTCTGTGTCTTTGAATTGGAGCATTTAGCCCATTCACATTTAACGTTAATATTGTTATGTGTGAATTTGATCCTGTCATTATGATGTTAGCTGGTTATTTTGCTCGTTAGTTGATGCAGTTTCTTCCTAGCCTCGATGGTCTTTACAATTTGGCATGTTTTTGCAGTGGCTGGTACCTTTGTTCCTTTCCATGTTTAGTGCTTCCTTCAGGAGCTCTTTTAGGGCAGGCCTGGTGGTGACCAATCTCTCAGCATTTGCTTGTCTGTAAAGTATTTTATTTCTCCTTCACTTAGGAAGCTTAGTTTGGCTGGATATGAAATTCTGAGTTGAAAATTCTTTTCTTTAAGAATGTTGAATATTGGCCCCCACTCTCTTCTAGCTTGTAGAGTTTCTGCCGAGAGATCCGCTGTTAGTCTGATGGGCTTCCCTTTGTGGGTAACCCAACCTTTCTCTCTGGCTGCCCTTAACATTTTTTCCTTCATTTCAACTTTGGTGAATCTGACAATTATGCGTCTTGGAGTTGCTCTTCTCGAGCAGTATCTTTGTGGCGTTCTCTGTATTTCCTGAATGTGAATGTTGGCCTGCCTTGCTAGATTGGGGAAGTTCTCCTGGATAATATCCTGCAGCATGTTTTCCAACTTGGTTCCATTCTCCCCGTCACTTTCAGGTACACCAATCAGATGTAGATTTGGTCTTTTCACATAGTCCCATATTTCTTGGAGGTTTTGTTCGTTTCTTTTTATTCTTTTTTCTCTAAACTTCTCTTCTCGCTTCATTTCATTCATTTGATCTTCCATCACTGATACCCTTTCTTCCAGTTGATCGAATTGGCTATTGAGGCTTATGCGTTCGTCACATAGTTCTCGTGTCGTGGTTTTCAGCTCCATCAGGTCCTTTAAGGACTTCTCTGCATTGGTTATTCTAGTTAGCCATTCGTCTAATCTTTTTTCAAGGTTTTTATCTTCTTTGCCATGGGTTCGAACTTCCTCCTTTAGCTCGGAGTGGTTTGATCATCTGAAGCCTTCTTCTCTCAACTCGTCAAAGTCATTCTCTGTCCAGCTTTGTTCCATTGCTGGTGAGGAGCTGCATTCTTTTGGAGGAGGAGAGGTGCTCTGATTTTTAGAATTTTAAGTTTTTCTACTCTGTGTTTTCCTCATCTTTATGGTTTTATCTACCTTTGGTCTTTGATGATGGTGACGTACAGATAGGGTTTTGGTGTGGATGTCCTTTCTGTTTGTTTGTTTTCCTTCTAATAGTCAGGACCCTCAGCTGCAGGTCTGTTGGAGTTTGCTGGAGGTCCACTCCAGACCCTGTTTGCCTGGCTATCAGCAGTGGAGGCTGCAGAACAGTGGATATTGGTGAACAGCAAATGTTGCTGCCTGATCGTTCCTCTGGAAGTTTTGTCTCAGAGGAGTACCCGGCCGTGTGAGGTGTTAGTCTGCCCCTACAGTGCGGTGCCTCCCAGTTAGGCTACTCAGGGGTCAGGGACCCACTTGAGGAGGCAGTCTGTCTGTTCTCAGATCTCAAGCTGCATGCTGGGAGAACCACTACTCTCTTCAAAGCTGTCAGACAGGGACATTTAAGTCTGCAGAGGTTTCTGCTGCCTTTTGTTTGTCTGTGCCCTGTCCCCAGAGGTGGAGTCTACAGAGGCAGGCAGGCCTCCTTGAGCTGCGGTGGGCTCCACCCAGTTCGAGCTTCCCGGCCGCTTTGTTTGCCTACTCAAGCCTCGGCAATGGTGGGCGCCCCTCCCCCAGCCTTGCTGCCACCTTGCAATTTGATCTCAGACTGCTGTGCTAGCAATGAGCGAGGCTCTGTGGGCGTAGGACCCTCAGAGCCATGCGCGGGATATAATCTCCTGGTGTGCCGTTTGCTAAGACCATTGCAAAAGCGCATTATTAGGGTGGGAGTGACCCGATTTTCCAGGTGCTGTCTATCACCCCTTTCCTTGGCTAGGAAAGGGAATTCCCTGGCCCCTTGCGCTTCCCGGGCGAGGCGATGCCTCGCCCTGCTCGGTGTGCTGCAGCTACTGTCCTGCATCCACTGTCCAGCAATCCCCAGTGAGATGAACCCTGTACCTGAGTTGGAAATGCAGAAATCATTCGTCTTCTGCGTGGCTCACACTGGGAGGTGTAGACTGGAGCTGTTCCTATTTGGCCATCTTGGCTCCACCTCTGATAATTATTATTAACATAATGCTTTGGAATACTTTTTCTAAACAGGTAATTCTACATCTGTTTCTCTAACTTTACAAAGTTGGAGACATACTGTATATATATAGTGTCACCTGTTTTTTATCTTTTAACAGAATATCTTTAACATTTCTCTAGGTCATTCTTTTACTGTGAGCTTTATAATTTCCATCTGCACATCAAATATTTGAAGACTAAATTATCCCAATGCATTAAAAATGTAGAATATTGTAGAATATTTAATTGAAGTAAATGTAAAAGAAAAATACGTTCAACCAGGATTCCAAAGCTCATCTTAAGTTCAAAAACAAAGATTTTAATCTGTGCCAAGAAGATGGAGTTTCTCAAAGGTCAATGTGGGGAACAATTACAGTATTTCAGTTATTGGTATTGAAGGTAGGGAAACAAGTATGAATAGTCCCCAGGTCCGTAACTTGGGTTAACATCATCCACACAATGTAAGAACAAATGGGTTGTTTCTAATAGCTAAAAACTGAAAGTAATATGGTCCCCAGGAATGATGTTGTCTGTTCTCCACCCACTGGTTGTCTTTTAGAAAACTCTTAGGAAGGTGTGCAGGACTCTTACAGGTGGGTTTGGGTGTACGAGGGTAGCCCTTGGGGATATGGTGGCAGACAGAGCTGCAGAGCATGGGCTAGCTGTGGTTCCAGCTTGCCTTTCTCATGTGTGCACAGGGACTTCGCTATCCAGCTGGGCAGGGGAATGAGGGCTGTTAGTCTATGGAAGCATCTGCTTGTGATACAACCCTTTCTTAAGAAGGTGGCCTGCACTGAGTGTATCAGGAAGCACATCCATGGAGGTGGCACTGCCATGGCATATTGAGTCGTATTGAAATCTTTTGCTTTTACTGAAGTCCATCCAATTAGAATCTAGATCTGAGGGAATAGAAACTCTTCTGTTAGGCTTTAGCTTTAGTTTAACTTTTGGATGACAAATGCATGCATCATAGATCTCGGCAATACTAGCTGGTTTTTGTTATAGCCTCGGAATTACAAAAGGAAACCCTGAGACACTTGGACTTCTGTACCAAACAGCCAGGCATCCTTTGAGTAGTATTTAAAATGTCGCAAGACTAAGCATTTAGTTTATTCCCTCCCTGTCCCTGCATTTCCTTAAGCTCCCATCCCTCTACCTCCCTCATTGTTAAAATGATTTGGAAATCATGCTTTTATATCTCTTTTCTAGGAATTTGTTCATTTCATCTATGTTGTCTAATTTGTGAGTCGAAAGTTGCTTGTGATATATTCCTTTTATCTTTTTAATGTCTGTAATGTCTGTACTGATGTTGCCTCTTTGATTCCTGATATTGATAATTTGTGTCTTCTCTCTTTTCTGGGTAAGTCTGACCAGAGACTTATCTATTTTATTGATCTTTTTATTTTTATTTTTTCTCTCTTGCCTTTTTCTGTTTGAAATGTCATCAGTTTCTGCTCCTTATTATTCTCTTCCTTCTCTGCTTGTTTTGGATTTACTTTGCTTTTATTCTTCAATTTCTTAAGGTAGAAACCCAGATTATTGATTTGATAACCTTTTTCTTTTGTAATATAAGCATTTAATGCTGTGAATTTCCCTCTAAGCCCTGCCTTAGGTGAATATAACAAATTATGATATGTTGTGTTTTCATTTACTTCAAAGTATTTTCTATTTTGCCTGGTGACTTCTCTTTGATGCAAAAGCCATTTAGAAGTGTGTTCAGATATTTGCCTTGGTGTCTTTTGCTCTAAGAATGGAGTTTTAATGAACTGGAGACTCTTTGAGGAGAAGGTATTTGGGTTTGTACATGGCAACATGGCAGGTTTTTCAGTGAAGTGATGCACTGATGCTGGTGTCACTGTATGAGCTTGAAAACATATCTTCAGCTGCTTAGTTACTCTTATATGCCTATGCTAATAGAATCTGAAGGCAAACATTGGAATCCTTCTTAATAACGTGTCTTCTTTGGTCTTTTTAGTGTGTTATCATTGGGCAGAACTGGATCCTGAAAAATTCAAGATGCTAAGCACCTACACTACTTTAAGAATTTGGAACTGAAACATGAAGAGGAAGACAGAAATAAGAATTTGGGAACCTGAATAGCTCTGCAAAAAACACCAAAGGACCGTTTTATCGTTTTCTGTTGTTGCTGTGGTGGAGTGATGCAGTGGGCACTGCCGGTGGGCCAGGGGGCGGGTGCGCATGTGGTAGAAGGTGTGCGCTCGTGCCTCCCCCACAGAAAGGCTTTGTTGGTTTCTACCACATCTTGGCTTGCTTTTGGAACAGGCTGGCCCAGCATCATTTGTCATCAAGTCCACTGTGGTGTATTCTGCGTGTCCATGGCGGGGGTTCTCCAATACACTCACACTGTCCATGTTCTTTTTATTGCCAGGGCCCGTGTTGAAGTGTCAAGAGAGCAATCATCAATGATAATGTATTGTGTGAGACCTTTGCATCTTGTAAATTTTCTCTTTTTTCTAAAAATAAATAATAATAAAATCCTAAATCTCAACAAACCACTTTATTATCAAACAAATTCTGCTCTGTTTCTGCATAACGATGATGTCCATAGAAATGCAATGCGTCTGACCTCTCTCTATGCGTATCTACACTTCTTTTCACATAAGTCTCTCGCAAGAGGGCCTTCTCTAACTGGCCCACACAGGCTCCTGAGTCCAGGTGGGAGCCTGTCTAGCCAGTTTACAATTGATGACATGGTACTTGGAAGTGAGATGTCAGGAAAAGGGAGTGTGGGTCAGAAGATAGTCCAGTTTCAGAATGGCCACACTGTTCTGAGACCAAGTGTGGAGCCACATCTGGTGTATCCAGCTTTGGGAGGTGGAGGAAGGCCTCAGCATGGCGGGTGGTGCAGATACCCTTTATCCAGTAGCTACATGGTTGTCCATGTATCCAAGTCACCACACCCAGCACTCTGGGAAGAAAGAATCACATTCTGCCAAAGTAATTTCTCAGTTAAATTTCAGTCTACTGGTGGCACACTCAGAGTAGTCATTTTTTGACATATGATTTAATAGCTTTATTTATATATCTAATAACGCTCGCATATATGCTCTCTGGAAAATATTTTTGTATATAGAAGAGACATCCTTAATTGTGATTTTTATAATGCTGAAACTCTGTCTTCTGTGACCTCTATAATAACTTCTGAATCCATCTAGTCTGACCCAGTCATCTACTTCAAATGATAATAAATCAGAAAATGTGGAAAACAAAAAAGCTCAAAACACATCTCTTGGAATATAGAGTTGGAAAAGGGTCTGCCAGACTGCTTTGTTCTAAACCAATTCAGATGGTCCAGTGTAATTCACAATGGTTTAAACCTCTAGATTTGAAGTCATTACATCCCAGATGCAGACCCTGGCCAGCTCCCTAAGCTGTGTGGGCAGTGAGGTCCCAGAAGCTCTGCTGTTTGAGTTATCTAAGCAGGGTTTTACAGAGTGAATTCAAATTCACTTTAAAGCTACTTGAACCTACATGTCGATAAACTCAGTTGTAGGGTTTGGCTTGCTGGATAACTGTCATGTTTCTCCACCACAGCATTTTATTGCCACCAATTAATGCTTATTGAACAGTTGCAGCCTGTCCTTGTAGTAAGGGGTAACGAGGATTGCATAGAGATACGACCTAAGGATCATGACATTTGGATGGTGGTAAAATGCTAAAGGCCTTTGTTGGTCACAGCCCAGTTCCTGGCTCCCATTCTAAAGGGACAGAGACATACCAGAGAGTGAGCACCATGTGGTCAAGTTGCTGAAGGGTCTGAAACCGTAAAGGAAGAGCTGAAGGAGCTGGGGCTGTTTCATCTGGGAGGGGAACTCTAAATGTTTGAAAGATGTGGAAGAGAAGCTGGGTCAGGAACAAAAATAGGAGCAATGGGTGTAAGTTGCATCAACGTAGATTCTGGCATTCTAACAACATGATTCAAAAGTGGAAGGTGATGTTGGGAGCTTTTGGTGTTTGAGCAGAAATTCTGAGCCTATATGTGTGAGGGGGGATCTTTGATTAATTAAAACATCTTCCTCACAGTATGCAGGAACATGGTAAAAGAAAGCATTTACTACTTTTGTAAACATTTTGGATTGAAGAGAACTTTTCCATCATCCTGAAAATCACTTTCAACTCCTGGGATCAGAGAAATAGCAGTGAATACACCGAAGTCTGGCCTAAGAGGGTCAGATCTAACCACAGGGCCAGATTATAGAGAAAAATGAAAGCTCAAGAAGAAACCCCATAATATCTGCAGCTGCCTCAAAAAGGTGGTTAATTTCCACCCCCACCTACACTCCTGAAGGTCCTTTCCTAGTTGCTTTGAAACTAATG
The DNA here is from genome assembly GCF_000001405.40 of Homo sapiens. Classification (NCBI taxonomy): domain Eukaryota; kingdom Metazoa; phylum Chordata; class Mammalia; order Primates; family Hominidae; genus Homo; species Homo sapiens. The sequence goes on from NC_000020.11 coordinate 18,765,723, forward strand.
GCTAAAATTAGATTTTGGGTGGCATTCTTGTGGAGAATAAATCTCTCAGTCTTTACATCTCTCCCAACATCTCTGCCTCCTTCTTTCTGCTTATTTATAAAGCATACTGCTTATTGTCCATTAAAACATCATTTGAATGAGGATGGGAGAGGAGAATCGTACCATGTATGGCTTTTCTGAGAAGCCTTGGCAGATCACAGACCCAGGACTTTAAACAGAGTGCTGTGCCGATAACACTGCATAGCAGGACCCATTTAATCTTGCCTTTGGTGGTTTACTTTACAGGAGACCAAGCTCTTGTGGCTACACAAAACATAGACCAAATAAAGGCATCTTTGGGGGCTGGATGTCCATAGCAGCACCTCATGGTTAGTGGTCCCAGGGAGGGCATTTTCTCTACCAAGCAGTGTCCTGGCTCAGATGGGTGCCAGCTGGCATATATATGGACAATTTGGCATTTCATTGATTTGATCATAAGGAACAAATAGTTCCGCAAACACCCTATTTCCTTTGATATGGTAACATTTGAGTAACTCCAAAGCCAGAGAGGCAATCTTTTCTATCTCTGGTTTGTCAGATTTTCTGCCGTTTTTCAGCCAGGCACTTTAAGAATTCTTAATTTGTTGTTCGTTATTGATTCAGGTCCTTTAAAAATAGAGTTAAACACCCTCATCTCAGAAGACATGGAATAATATCAAAAGTAAAGCCACCCACTGGCTGCATCAGAAAAGAAGAGGGAGGCCGGGCGCGGTGGCTCACGCCTGTAATCCCAGCACTTTGGGAGGCCGAGGCGGGTGGATCACGAGGTCAGTAGATCAAGACCATCCTGGCTAACACAGTGAAACCCCGTCTCTACTAAAAATACAAAAAATTAGCCGGGCGTGGTGGCGGGTGCCTTAGTCCCAGCTACTCGGGAGGCTGAGGCAGGAGAATGGGGTGGACCCGGGAGGTGGAGCTTGCAGTGAGCCGAGATCACGCCACTGCGCTGCAGCATGGGCGACAGAGCAAGACTGTCAAAAAAAAAAAAAAAAAAAAAAAAAAAAAAAGAAAGAAAAAAAGAAGAGGGAAAGCCCTGTTTCCCTGTTTTGAGGTGAGTCTGTCTTCTGCAGATGATGTTTTCATTCTCTCCTAGGGTACAGACACCAACGTATTAAATTTTTAGAGGTTCTAGGAAACAAAACCTTAAATTTCCATTAGGAAAGTATCTATTAGTGATGGTATTTTAGGTTTGTTAAATCTAAATTACTATGTTAGTTTTGATAATATGCTTAATATTTGTAGGGGCCTTAAAAATAACTTGTTTTTGAATGTTCCCTGAGGGTGGATGAGTTAGAGGCTCCATCACTGAGCAGGAAACACATTAGGGGTGGTCTGTTGAAGATGCCGCAGCTGACAGTCCCCTGCAGCAGAGAGACGGGCTTGGACCCAGGCCGGGGTCTGAAAAGGTGGCCTCCCAAGGGAGCAGAGTTCAGTAGGAAGAGTTGGCCAGGTGACAGGAGGGTATAGAGGAGTGTGAAACAACCGGCGGAGCTGCCACAGGTGTGAGAGGAGGGGAGTTTCGACGTCTGCTGGCAGGTCGGTAGGACTGGACTTGGGGAGAGAGGGAGCACGTAGAGGAAGAGGGACGTAAACAAGACTTCGTAAGTGAGCAGGGCCTGGACCGCAGAGGTCTTGTAAGTCATGATAATGCGTTTAGGTCCTATCATGCCCCACTTCTTGTCTTCTCCAGGCTGATTTGTTCTAGTTCTTCAGCAGTTTCTTATGTGATATGACTGTCAAGCGACCCTAGAGAACAGGATGCAGCTCTGCCAGTGTGGTGTGATGAAGGCCCACGATGTGGACAGTGGTGTTGTGGTCTCGACAGGCCATGGGGTTGCACAGACTTGGGGTCGAATCCTGGCCTTGCTATTGACCTGCTGCATGGCCTCAGGACAGTTTATTCAATTATTCAGCCTTCTATGCTTCTGTTCCCTCATCTGTCCGAAGAAGGAAGTGCTTGCCACTTGGAGCATGGTCGTAAGGGTTAAAGGAAGAGGAGGCTCAAAGTCAGCACAGTGTGAACAGTCCCCATTCCTGTGGCTGCATCACGTCTCTGGCTCCCACTAAGCCTGCGTCTGCAGGTCACTGAACCCCCAGGTTTACTCCATGTAACCACTGTCCTCCACCAGTGAAGAACCAGAAGAACTTGATCTTATGCCTGTTGGGCTAGGCCTGTGGTCTGGTCTATTGAAATATTTCCAGTGTCACGTTGGTGATTCCTCTCAGCTTTGAGTCAACCTTGGACCTGTTTTCTCTGTCTTTAAGTCTTGGCTAAACACAGTTCACAGGATAGAGCTGGCACTCCATTTGGAATCCTCTTTCAGATCAATAGGTGCATTACTTCAATTCCCATCGAACCCTCATTCCTCCTTCCCATGTTGCCCATTCTTGCTGAAATCAGGCCATACTGTTTTCACAGTATTCTGATTAATTCAACGATCCTGTCAAAAAATATTAGTTCCGCACAGTGCGTTATTTGTGAATTCATTCTCAGTTCCAATGATCACTGTGTTCTTTTCCACAGGCTCATGAGCCATCTGTTTAATCATCTATTCTAGAATGATTTTAGGAGCCCACATCTAACTGGGCTGTCTGCAGTGTCTGGGATCCATCTTGTTGAAACTGGGATTTTTTCACTTGTTCAGTTTTCTGTCCCCTCTCTTCAGATTTTTTTTTTTTTTTTTTTTTTTTTGAGAAGGAGTTTCACTCTTGTTGCCCAGGCTGGAGTGCAGTAGCACACTCACCGAAACCTCCACCTCCCAGCTTCAAGTGGTTCTCCTACCTCAGCCTCCCCAGTAGCTGGAATTACAGGCATGCAGCACCATGCCTGGCTAATTTTTTGTATTTTTAGTAGAGACGGGGTTTCTCCATGTTGGTCAGGCTGGTCTTGAACTCCCAACCTCAGGTGATCCGCCCGCCTTGGCCTCCCAAAGTGCTGGGATTACAGGTGTGAGCCACTGCGCCCGGCCTCTTCAGAATATTTTTAAAAGTTGTCAGTGGTAACTGCCCTATGTGCACATCTTCAAGTTCTCTCAGAGCTTTTGAAACCTGAGTTCATTCAGAGTCCCTCGTAAGGCTATCTCCTCACCTACTGGGCTTTGAGTCCCCTTTTATGATGTTTCTTTTGCCTTTTTTGAGTTTGAAACATTTGCTTACAAGAGTTGATGAAATAACTAACTGAATTTGAACCCGTAGCCATGGCCAGAAGCTAGTCTAAGACCCGTACCTGTGTCAGCTCTTGTAATCCCCACATCTCTTTCATTATTCCCATTTTACAGTTGAGGAAGTTGAGATAGAGAAATGAAGTCGCTGTCAGGAACTGTGAAGGGTCTGGAATCTTACTCTACTAACCAGTAGACAGTTAGTCTGCTGCAGTATCCTGGGTGCTGGCAGGAGACAGGAGATGCTGGGCCAGGGTCAGGGCTGAGCTTTATTACAACAACAGCAGGATCTAGTGTCAGCGTTTATGCCAGCTGCCTAACCTTAACTTCAAAAGGTGACACCTTCACACACAGTGGGTTGTGCTACAGAAGAATCCCAAGTGTAGAGAATCCAAATCTTCTGTCTTTGCCCTGAGAGAGCCACTCTCTCTCTTCCAGGGTGGCTGACTATAGAAACATCCTTGGAAAGAGTCCTAGAACAGAGGTGGCCAATACCACGGCTCACCAGCTATGAAGAAACAATAGAGACCCACAGAGAATTGTCTCCCAAAAGGAACTTAACCAAAATCGCTCCGTTAGGAGGTGGTGGTGTCAGGATTCAAAGCCAGGCCATCCGGTCCCAGAGCCTGTTCTTATAGCCCTGCTCCCACCATGCTGCCCCCAGGACAACTCAGTGCAGGAAGGAGGTGCTGAGCTGTGGCGCCATGTCTAACTGGTCACCAGCGGCTTCACACAATGATTATTTTACTTGTGAATGTGCACTGAACATTGCTCTCATTTGAATCCCTCCCCTTCTCACCACTCCAGCCTGCTGAATCAGAAACTGAGGGTGCAGCCAAGAAATCTAGGTATTTACTCATTTATCTTTATTTTTTGTGGGTACATAGTAGGTATATATATTTATGGGGTACATGAGATATTTTGATACAGGTATGTGATGCATAATAACCACATCAGGGTAAATGGAGTATTCACCACCTCCAGCATTTATTCTTTCTTTGTGTTACAAACAACCCAATTATACTCTTTTAGTTATTTTAAAATGCATACTAAATTATTATTGACTGTAGTCATGCTGTTGTGCTATCAAATACTAAATCTTATTCAGTCTAACTTTTTTACCCATTAGCCATCCCCACTACCTTCCCAACCATTACTTTTCCTAGCCTCTGGTAACCATCATTGTACTCTCTATCTCTATAAGGTCAATTGTTTTAATTTTTTTAGCTGCCACAAATAAGTGAGAACATGCAATGTTTGTCTTTCTCTGCCTGGCTTATTTCACTTAACATAATGATGGCCAGCTCCATCCATGTTTTGCAAATGACGCGATCTCATTCTTTTGTATGGCTGAATATCACTCTATTGTGTATAAGTACCACATATTCTTTGTCCATTCACCTGTTGGTAGACGCAGGTTGCTTCTAAATCTTGGGTATTGTGAATAGTGCTGCAATAAACATGGGAGTGCAAATATCTCTTAGATATACTAATTTCCTTTCTTTTGGGTATGTACCCAGCAGTGGGATTGCTAGGTCATGTGGTAGTTCTATTTTTAGTTTTTTGAGGAACCTCCAAACTGTTCTCTGTACTGATTATACTATTTACATTCCCACCAACAGTGTGTGAGGGTCCTCTTTTCTCCACATCCTTGCCAGCATTTGTAACTGCCTTTCTTTTGGATAAAAAACATATTAACTTTGGTGAGATGATATTTCATTTTAGCTTTGATTTGCATATCTTGGATGATCAATGATGTTGAGATATGTTCCTTCTATACCCAGTTTTTTTTTAGGGATATTTAATTTTATCAAATGCTTTTTTTTTTTAGCATCAATTGAAATGATGCTGAAATGATCATATGAATTTTTTGTCCTTCATTCTGTTTCTTTGATGTATTACATTGATTGATTTGTATATATTGAACCATCCTTGTATCCCTGGGATAAATCCCACTTGCTCATGATGAATGATCTGTTTAATGTGTTGTTGAATTTGGTTTGCTAGTATTTGGTTGAGGATTTTTTGCATTAGTGTTCATCGTGAATATTGGCCTGTTGTTAAATTTTTTTGATATGTCTTTGTCTGGTTTTGGTATCAGGGTAATACTGGCCTCACAGAATAATTTTGAAAGTATTCCCTCCTCTATTTTTTGGAATAGTTTGATTAGGATTGATATTAGTTTTTTAAATGTTTGGTAAAATTCAGTAGTGAAGTCATTGGGTCCCAGGCTTTTCTTTGCTGAGATACTTTTTATTATGGCTTTTATTTCATTACTTGTTATTTATCTGTTCAGGTTTTGGATTTCTTTATGGTTCAATCTTGGTAGGTTGTATGTGTCTAGGAATTCATCCATTTCTTACAGGTTTTCCAATTTATTGATATATAGTTGTTCATAGTAGCCTCTAATAATCCTTTGAATTTACGTGGTATCAGTTGCAATGTCTCCTTTTTCATCTCGGATTTTATTTATTTGAGTCTTCTATCTTTTTTCTTAGTTGGGTTAAAGGTTTGTTGATTTTGTTTATCTTTTCAAAAAATCAACTTTTCCTTTTGTTGATCTTTTGTATTTTTTAAATTTAAATTTCATTTATTTCTGCTCTGATTTTTATGATTTCTTTTCTTCTAATTTTGGATTTTGTTTACTCTTGCTTTTCTATTTATTTAAGATTCATCATTAGGTTGTTTATTTGAAGTTTTTCTACTTTTTTGATGTACATGCTTATTGTGACAAACTTTCCTCTTAGTACTGCTTTCACTGTATCGCATAGTTTTTGGCATGTTGCGTTTCCATCCTCATTTGTTTCAAGAAATTCTTAAATTTTGTGCTTAATTTCTTTGTGGACCCACTGGTCATTGAGGAGCACATTGTTTAATTTCCATATGTTTATATGATTTCCAAAATTATTGTTGTTATTGATTTGTAGTTTTATTCCGTTGTGGCCAGAGAAGATATTTGATATAATTTCAATGTTTTTCAATGTTTTAAGACTTGTTTTGTGGTCTAATATATGGCTTATCCTTGAGAATGATCCATGTGCTGAGGAGAAAAATGTGCATTCTGCAGCCATTGGATGAAATGTTCTGTAAATATCTATTAGGTCCATTTGGTCTATAGTTCAGATTAAGTCCAATTTATCTTTGCAGATTTTCTGTCTGGGTGATCTGTCCAATGCTGAGAGTGGCGTGTTGAAGTCTTCAGCTATTAATGCATCGGGATCTGTCTTTCTCTTTAGCTCTAATAATATTTGCTTTACATATCTGGGTGCTTCAGTGTTGGGTGCATATATATATTTAGAATTGTTATGTCTTTTTGCTGAATTGACCTCTTTATAAATATATAATAATGTTCTTTGTCTTTTTTTATAGTTTTGGTCTTGAACTCTATTTTTTCTCACATGAGAACAGCTACTCCTGCTCTTTTTAAGTTTCCATCGGCATGGAATACATTTTTCCATCCCTTTATTTTTAGTCTATGTGTGTCTATAGCTGAAGTGTGTTTCTTGTAGGCAACAGATAGTTGGATCTTGTTTTTTAATCCATTCAGCTACTCTATGTATTTTTATTGGATAATTTAGTTCATTTACATTCAATGTTATTATTGATAAGTAAGGACTTACTTCTTCTATTTTGCTATTTGTTTTATGATTGTTTTGTGGTCTTCTCTTTCTTCTTTCCTTCTTTCCAGTCGTCCTTTTAGTCAAGGTGATTTTCTCAGGTGATGTTTTAATTTCTTGATTTTTATTTTTTTGTGTATCTGTTGTATTTTTTTTTATTTGAGGTTACCATGAGGCTTACGAATAATATCTTATAACACATTATTTTAAACTGATGACAACTTAATGCTGATTGCATAAAGCAAACAAGCAAAGGGAAAAACTAATAAAATCTCTACACTTTAACTTCATCCCCTCACTTTTTAACTTTTTGTTGTTTCTATTTATATCTTATTATACTGTTTATGTCTTGAAAAGTTGTTATTTTTGATAGGACCAGTTTTAGCCTTTCTACTCAAGATATGAGTAGTTTATATACCACAATTACAATATTATAATATTCTGTGTTTCTGTGTACTTAGTATTACCAGGGAGTTTTTTTATTGGTTTGTTTTCTTTTCTTTTACCTTTAAATGAGTTCTTATTGGCCATTAATGTTTTTTTCTTTCAGATTGGAAGACTCCCTTTAGCATTTCTTGTAGGACATGTCTGGTGTTGATGAAATCCCTCAGCTTTTTCTTTTCTTTTCTTTTTTTGGTCTGGGGAGCCTTTATTTTTTCTCTATGTTTGAAGGATACCTTAACTGGGTATACTATTCTAGAATGAAAGTTTTTATTTCAGCCCTTTAAATATGTCATGCCACTCTCCTGGCCTGTAAGGTTTCCACTGAGAAGTCTGCTGCCAGACGTATTGGAGCTTTTCTGTATATTATTTGTTTATTTCTCTTGCTGCTTTTAGGATTCTTTCTTTACCCTTGACCTTTGGAAGTCTGATTATTAAATGTCTTTGGGTAGTCTTTTTTGGGTTAAATCGGCTTGGTGTTCTATAACCTTCTTGTACTTGAATACTAGCATCTTTCTCTAGGTTTGGAAAATTCTCTATTATTATTCATTTGAAGAAACATTCTATCCAAATTTCTCTCTCTACTTCCTTTCTAAGGTCAATAACTCTTAGATTTGCCCTTTTGAGGCTATTTTCCAGATCTTGTAGGCAGGCTTCATTTTAAAAAAATTCTTTCTGTTTGTCTCCTCTGTGTATCTTCAAATAGTCTGTCATCAGGCTCACTAATTCTTCCGCTTGATCAATTCTGCTGTTTATAGACTCTGGGCTGGGTGTGGCAGCTCCTGCCTGTAATCCTAGCACTTTGGGAGGGTGGAGCAAGTGGATTGCTTGAGCCAAGGAGTTTGAAACCAGCCTGGGCAACAAGGCAAAACCCTGTCTCTACAAAACAAACAACAACAAAAAATTAGCCCACTGTGGTGCACACCTGTAGTCTCAGCTACTCAGGAGGCTGAGTGGGGAGGATGACTTGAGCCCAGGAGGTCAACGCTGTAGTGAGCCATGATTGCACCACTACAATCATGGGTGACAGAGAGAGACCCTGTCTCAAAAGAGAGAGAGAGCCTGGGTGACAGAGCAAGACCCTGTCTCAAAAAAGAGAGAAAGAGAGAGGAAGGGAGGGAGGGAGAGAGAGAGAGAGAGAGAGAGAGAGAGAGAAAGTGGCTTTGATGCATTCTTCAGTATGTCAATTGCATTTTTCAGCCCCAGAATTTCTGCTTAATTCTTTTTAATTATTTCAATCTCTTTGTTCAATTTATCTGATGGGATTCTGAATTCCTTGTCTGTGTTATCTTGGATTTCATTGAGCTTCCTCAGAACAGCTGTTTGAATTCTCTGAAAGGTCACATATCTCTGTATCTCCAGGATTAATTGTTCGTGCCTTATTTATTTTCATTTGGTGAGGTCATGTTTTCCTGGATGGTCTTGATGCTTGTGGATGTTTGTTGGTGGCTAGGCATTAAAGAGTTAGGTATTGATCATAGTTTTTGTGGTCTGGGCTTGCTTTTACCCTTTCTTCTTGAGAAGGCTTTCCAAGTATTCAAAGGGGCTTGGGTGTTGTGATCTAAGTCTTTGGTCACTGCAACCATATCTGCTTTAGCGGCACCCCAAACTCAGTAGTGCTGTGGCTCTTGCAGACTTATAGAAGTACTGCCTTGGTTGTCTTGGGTAAGATCCAGGAGAATTCTTTGGATTATCAGGCAGAGACTTTTGTTCTTTTTTTTTTTTGCTTTCCCCTAAACAAATGGAGTCTCTCTCCCAGTGCTGAGCTGCCTGGAGCTGGGGGTGGGATGACACAAGCACCGCCGTGACCACCACAACAGGGACTACACTGGGTCAGACCCAAAGCCAGCACAGCACTGGGTCTTGCCCAAGGCCTGCTGTGACCACTGCCTGGTTACTACCAATGTTCACTTAGGGCCCCAGGGACTCCACAATCAGCAGGTGGCAAATCCAGCCAGGCTTGTGTCCCTCACTTCAGAGCAATGAGTTCCCCAAGCCTGGGACCAGCAGACATGCTGTCTGGGAGCTGGGGCCTAGAGTTGGGGACCTTAGGAATCTACCTGGTGCTCTATTCTACTGTGGCTGAGCTGGCACCAAAGCCCAAGACAAAGTCCTTCCCACCTTTCTCTTTTCTTTCCTCAAGCAGAGGAGTCTTTTCTTATGGCCACCATTACCACAGGCCCATGGTAAATAGTGTCTGGCTATTGCTGATGGTCACTCAAGACCCAAGGGCTCTCCAGTCAGTGTGTGGTGAATGCTGTCAGTCCTGAGACTCTCCTTTCAGGGCAGTGGGCCCCCCTCTGGCCCAGAGCAGGTCCAGAAATTCTGCCTAAGGGCAAAGGCCTAGAATCAGCAGGCCCAGGAGCCTACTTGGTTCTCTACTCCACTGTGGTGGAGCTGCAAGAAAAACTCCCGTTTGCTCTTGCCTCCTTTTCTCAAGCTGAAATAGGCTTTCCTCATAGCCACCACAGTTGGCAATATGCTGATTTACACCTGAAGCCAGTATGGCTCTGAGTTTCACCCAAGGCCTGTGGCGAGTACTGCCTGGCTACCACTGCCAATTATTCAGGGTTCAAGGGCTCTTTAGTCAGCAGGTCATAAATCTTGTCAAGACTGGGTCCTTCCCTTGAAGGTGTTTAAGGTCTGGGCTGTGTCTAGAAATGTCATCTGGGAGCTAGGGCCTGGAATGCCTATTGCCTTATCTACTGTGGCTGAGCTGGTGTCCACGTTGCAAGACAAAGTCCTCCTCACTCTCCCCTCTCCTCTCCTCAAGCAGAGAGAAGGAATCTCTCCTGGAGTTAGCTTCTCTGCCTGGGGTTGAGGGAGGACATGCAAATACTCCCTCAGCTGTTGCCTCCCTAAGTCATGTGCACACCAAGTCCACTGACTCCAAGCCTAGCACAGCATCAAGACTTGCCCAGGAATTGCAGTCCTTGTGGCTCAGACTGCCTTTCAAGTTTATTTAGAACCCGGAGCAATTTAGTCCACAGTAGCGAGGCTTGCTGGAACTCAGGTTCCAACCGCTGGGATGGGCGATTCTCCTCTGGCTAGGGCTGGTCTAAAAGCTGTCTCCATAAATGTCAGCTGATTGCTGCCCAGTGTTGCTTTGCACTGTGATAGGGCAGCGCTGAGTTTCAATGCAAAGTGCCATAATCACTGCACTCTCCCTCCTCTAAGTGCACAGATTCTCTCTCCGCACCATGTGGCTACTGCCAGGGGATAGAGGACGGGTGATAAAGGCAACTCAAGACTGTCTTTCCTACCCTCTTCAGTGCCTCTTTCCTTAATATGATGTTTAAACCAGGTATTGTGATCATTTACCTGATTTTTGGTTTTTATGAAGATGACTTTTTGTGTAGATAGTTGTTCAATTTGGTGTTCCTCTGTTGGGTGTGTAAAAAGTAAAGTAGAGGTTCCTCTTCCAAGACTTTCCTCCCCATTTAACTAGTAATAAATAGTGACTTATCTTAGAAGCAAAATTTATTCAAAGACCTGTGCTAACATTTTTAAATATCTGCTAGCCGAAAAATTACTTCTCTTAGAAGGTCAAACAAAGCAATTAAGTTAAAACATATTAAACAAGTTTGAAGAGGAATTATGAAATAAAAAGAGGGGGAATTATAAAAAGTAAAGTAGAGGGTCCTCTTCCAAGACTTTCCTCCCCATTTAACTAGGAATAAATAGTGACTTCTCTTAGAAGCAAAATTTATTCAAAGACCTGTGCTAACATTTTTAAATATCTGCTAGCCGAAAAATTACTTCTCTTAGAAGGTCAAACAAAGCAATTTAGTTAAAACATATTAAACAAGTTTGAAGAGGAATTATGAAATAAAAAGAGGGGGAATTATAAAAAGTAAAGTAGAGGGTCCTCTTCAAAGACTTTCCTCCCCATTTAATTAGGAATAAATAGTAACTTCTCTTAGAAGCAAAATTTATTCAAAGACCTGTGCTAACATTCTTAAATATCTGCTAGCTGTGATAAATAAATCGATGCACTTTATGTTCTTAGCTCCCACAATTTAGCCTAAATATGCTGGCATGCTTATTCTGATCCAAGCAAGCATTAGCTCATAGCCTGTTCCTCTTCCTTATTTGAAGGTGTTTTTACCTTTCTCAGCATTCCACAAGTTACTTCCTCCTTCCTTTGTTCTCCTCTGCCTTTGCCTCTTTTAAAAAGTTCTAAGTTGCTAGCCAATCGGGACAAATACAGACTGTGAGGTCCCGTTCCAGCCAATGAAAACCAGACACAGCAGTAGGGTGGATGCATCAGATTATAAATAACGCTATCTCCTTTGTTCGGTGTACTCTCGTGGCAAAACTGCTGGTGAGTGTACCCTTTCTGCAGAAAGTAAAAATGGCCTTGATGAGTAACTTAAATTTATGTTCAAGTGCTATTTCTTTATGCTACTGGGGAACAAGCATTTCAAACAGGTGGGGGAACGATTGCTGGAGACTTCTATTTGGCCATCTTGCTTTGCCCCCTCTTTCCAGAAATCTAGGTGTTAACAAGCCTCCAGCTAATAGTAATGTGCCTAAATTTTGAGAGCCACTGCTTTAGTCTATTCCGAATAGGAGAGTGGCAAGCATCACATGTCTGAGTCTACCAGTGGTCTCAATCTAAGCTACATATTACAGCCACCTGGGGAAGTTTTGAAAATCCTGGTGCCCAGGCTGCATCCAAAGCCAGTGAAATTTCGTAGGTGGCTCTGATGATCAGCTGAGGCTGAGAACCACAGGTGTACTAGATTTTACATTGTGCCTTCCACCTTATAAAGCTCTTCGATCATGCCCTTCTTCCTTAAAGCCATAAGGATAATGCACATGGGAACGGTATCTTGCATTTGAAAATGCTCTAGCAGATGTTACTTTTTTTTCTGGAACAGATGTGTGCCAGAGAAGATTCTTCACCACTGCACAGATGAAGCCACCTAGAAGGCAACTGACTTGCTCAAGATCAAAGAAAGTGACTGGGCCATGGCTCAAAACTAAGAATCCTGGGACTCACTAATTTGTTTGTTCATTCATTCATTTATTCAACAGTCTATATTGGCGACTGTGCTAGTTTCTGGACACATACGGACAAATGTCACTGAGCCCTGACGAAAGGATTTACAGTCTGCTGAGAAAATGGATGGACAGACAGACACACAGCCACAACAATGTGGAGAGTGCTTACATACAGGTGGCAACAAGGTCTCCTGAGATGATCCAGCAAGAATTCCCAAGCCTTTGGTGGAAGGGATAGCTGAGGAGAGTTTCCAGGGAAGCTTGGTTGGTGGTCTGGGACATGTAGGAGATGTCCAGGCAACACCAGACAGCTTATATCAAGGTGTACCTAGAGAACAAACCTGGAGAAGCAGAGTGTTCTGAGAATCTCAAGGAAGGCCTAGTACCCAGACATAATGCCCCATTCAAGACCTTGCAAGTCTTTTTCATCGTAGTCTTATTGTCCATTAACAGGTTATTCAGTTACATTGGAGCAGTATCTGAGGGCAAAGCCAGCACTCCAGACCCTGCACCATTTTTGGTGGTATTCCAGAGAAAATGGGATTTGGTCTAGGGGTCTTGTCTTCCTTTTCTGGGCCAAGCACAGGGATAGGCTTTGCCTTCTCTGTGGTATAATAAATGGGGTAGAACCCAAGGAAATTGTTGGTGGGGGTTGCTCGGTATGTGAAGTGGGAAACTTTATGCCCCAGAGCTCAGCATTACCAGAACCAGGTCTGGCTTCCGTCCTGTGCAAGTTATTAGAGGCCTGACCCTTTCAAGCCATTTGACCTCTGCATCTCTCATATTTGTACGGCGGCTATGCCTCCCTCATTGGGTTGCTGTGAGGCTTCAAGACAATAATTTATGTGAACAGGAACAGCGAGATACCAGCTGCTTCACTGATGCTGTCACAGTGGAGGGAAGTAGGGGGCTGGAAGTGGACGACTGTGCTCGCTATGGCTGTGTTCTCTCCAAACCCTTGACTCCAGACATGTGTTTCACTAGCTGTGGGCTGAGGGCAGATCAGGAGTGAGAGAGCATGAGAGGGGCCTGCTGGGACTCCCTGGCCTTGCAACTCTATTCAGTTTTTGGTTTTCTTTCTGGCACACATTGATGCAAGTGTTGCTGCTCAACAAGGAAACAGAAATACCTCGTGGATAACTGACGGCAAATAATGTTCTCCTCACATTTCTTACTACCTCCTGAAGAGGGCTGCTTCTGTATGAGGACATGGAAAGAGGAAGCCCTCCCTGCCCAGAGGTGGATCCCAGAGGGAGCCAAGCAGTGGCTGTGCTTTGATTGGAGAGTGACGACCCTGTGCATAATCATTGATCCCCCCAACTCCGGCACCCATTTGGCTCCACCTAGAGTGGGGTCAATTTCCTTACACAGGCTGCTTCAGATGCCCCTCTTTCCCCAAGATGATGATCACCCATTTTAGCAAACTCACCACTCTGAAAATCAGTCCTTATTAACAAGAATAACAGACTGTATTTTGGCATTTTGGGGTCAACAATATGGAAGAGAGTAAAAATATGGAGAAAAATCTCTGGATATCCAGGAATGTAGGATTACAAACTGCTATGATAAATGACTTAAAAGATTACTTTAAAGCTTTTTATTTGAAAACAATTTCAAACTTGCAGAAAAGTTTCAAGAATAGTACAAAATATATCCTGTGTACTTTATTCAGATTTGCCTATTGCTAACATTTTCCTACATTTATTATTTCTTTCCACCCCCTTTGCATATATACATTTTTTCCTGAACCCATTCAAGGATAAATTACCTTCATACTTGAGAGTAATTTACACATCTCATGGTTACTTACCCCTAAATACCTTAATGTGTATTTCCTAAGATTAGGGACCTCCTTTTACTTAACTATTGCATGATTGTCAACTTCAGGAAGTTTCATGTTCTTTAATTTATTGTCTGTAAGGTGTGTAAGAACAGTAAAATGTGTGTTTCTTTTTTTTTAGTAAAAGGGTATATGAAGGCATGGAAATGTAAACTTTTGCTGAGGGTTAAAGGATTGTTTTAAGTTAGATAAGGAAAGCTGAAGGTTCAAAAAAGTGGTGGAAAAATTGTGAAAATTAATCTTACAGAAGAGGTTCTCTGTGTGAACATGTTGACTAAATTCAAAAGGGTTATAAGGTTTTTGCTTCTTTAAAATTTCTGAGTCGTGATTTTGGCAAAATAAATAACTTGTGGTAATCTGTAATTCCCAAAATCAAACTTCATTTTCAAAATTGTCTTCCCTGGCACCTGGCTTTTCAAATACTTCAGAAGGCCCCCGAAATGTCCAGAAAAGAGAGGTAAACAGGATTATTTGACATGTTCAGGTACATGGGATTGCCAAAATGATGCTCAATCTTCTTTAGGTTACATTTTTGTGAATAATACTAATATATATTCTGAAATTTTATAGGATTTCTAAAATTCTAATGTCTAAGTATATGTTACCAATTACAATTATAGTTAAGTTATTGTAAACCACAGAAATAACTAAAAGGCATACGCCGTATATGACTTTGTAACTTTACTTCATCCTCTTCATTTACATAGGGTGTGCCCCAAGTAGAGGGTAGTTAAACTCACGAAAACTCTGTAACAGGGCCTTTGAGCTCCTACGCTCAGGCCTGCTCCCACACTGTGGAGTGTACTTTCATTTTCAATAAAACCCTTCATTCCTTCCTTGCTTTGTTTGTGAGTTGTGTCCAATTCTTTGTTCAAGAAGCCAAGAACCTGGACATCCTCCATCATTAACATATTGACTATTTCTTGCAGCTGGAGTCCATTTCCACTCCAGTTTGCCCTCTGCACACGCATATACACACCCCGGCCCTGCACATGATGCTGCTGCCACTGCTGCCACTCCTACCAGTGTTTCATAGCTGCTGTGTCTTGTGCTCCGTTTCTTTCCTCATCAATTGATTGTCTAACTTAGTGGCTTAAAATACAACCATTAATTATTTCTCACATTTCTGTGGGTTGGCAATCTTGGTAGTTTTTCTGCTGGTCTCATCTGGGTATACACACATGACTGTTGTCATCTTATGATTAAGCTGGGCTGAAGAGTCCAAGATGCCCTCACTCACACATCTGGCTGTTGGCGGGATGCCTCAGTTCTCTAAATGGCCGCTAATCATCCAGGAGGCCAGCATGGGCTTCCTCACAGCATGGCAGTCTCAGGTTTCCAAGAAGTTGAAGATGGAAGCTACAAGGTCTCTTAAGGCCTAGACTCATGAAACCACACACATCACTTCCATGATATTTTATTGGTTAAAATAATAGACAAAGCCAGCCCATATGCAAGGAGGTACAGAAATAAACTCCAAGGGTGAAGTCTTGATGGGAGGGAGAGCAATGCAATATTGTAAATGGGCATGGACTCATCAGGGGCCATTATTATAATGATCTACCGTACCCCATGATCTGGTGAGCAAGAATTAACCAAAACATGCCCCAATAGGAAAAAAGCAAGCCTCTCTCAACTACAGCACTGGCATGTCAGCTAGTGATCTTTGGTGGCAAACAACAGAAATAGACTGTAGCCAACTTAAACAGAACAGCCTTCCATGAGAAGGGCGTCAGAAAGCTCACAGGCTTGGTGGAGGAGTTTTGCAATGAGACCTCAAAAGCATCAGGAACAGGGCAGCTCTGGGGGTGGGGAGCAGTCTCTGAAGCAGGGATTGATGGACAGCCATTTGAGGGGACTACCATGGGAACGACTTTATTTTTGCTGACATTTTTTTTTTTGGTCTTTTTGTCATTTGGCTCAAGATTCAGATTTCTTGGGGAGCACTGGCCTGACTTGGGACATGTTTCCAGGGCTTCGGTGGGTAAGTGGGCAGGAAACTTGATTGATAGGACCATGTGGGGTGGGGAGAAGGGAGCACCCCAAAGGAGAAGATAGGCACTGTGGCAAAAAGTGGAGGAGGTGCTAGGCAGGCAACAATGCCCACTGTCTCCTGATGTCCAGCCTGTTCCTGGGGGTGCTCACTTGGATCTCTGGGGTCTGATAGTGATTTAGGAGCGATCACCTAAATCTAACTCAATGCCTCTGCTTTCACCCGATGAATGAAAACAATCATTAAAAAACATTTTTCCCTCCTACATGCAAATGTAATTTTAGGTTAATTTTGTCACACTGGACCTTTTTTTTCTCATTAAACATTGTTTTCATGGGTCTTAAAATCCTGTGACCAATGTTTGGTCAAATAGATTCTGATTAATAAGTACCGATTTTAAAAACTAATAACTTCAAAAAACTGTCACACACACAAAAAAACAAATGGTCCACAAAACATTCTCCTTTCCTTCTGGATGTTTTATGATGCATTTATTGTTAACCAGTCTTTTACTATTAACTTAAATGTCCACTTGAAACAAACAGTTCTGAGACTTTTTCCACCACTGATTAAGACTCGGGTGGCATGTATTAGGGCTAATATTCATTTGGCCTTCTGAGATTTCTGGGCAGACTTGGTGGCCTTGCCAGCTCCTGCAGGCTTCTTGTCCACTGCTTTAATGACGTCCACAGCAACTGTCTGTATCACATCATCAACAGCAAAGGGACCCAGAAGAAAACGGTCAGAGAAGCTCTCTACACACAGAACCATATCAACAATGGCGGCATCACCCGATTTGAAGAATTTGGGTTCATCTTCCACCTTCTCACCAGAATGGTGACCAATCTTCTCCATCAGCTCAGCAAACTTGCAAGCAATAAGAGCCATGTGACAATCCAGCACAGTGGCACAGCCAGTATTGATTTGGCCTTGATGGTTCAGGGTAA
The DNA here is from genome assembly GCF_000001405.40 of Homo sapiens. Lineage (NCBI taxonomy): Eukaryota > Metazoa > Chordata > Mammalia > Primates > Hominidae > Homo > Homo sapiens. Next base: position 18,782,768 of record NC_000020.11, read on the forward strand.
TCACCTGAGCAGTGAAGCCAGCTGCTTCCATTGATGGGTCATTTGTGCTGTCACCAACCAGGTTGCCACAATAAGCATATTTGACAGACATGTTGTTGACATTGAAGCCCACTGTGTCCCCAGGAAGAGCTTCACTCAAAGCTTAATAGTGCATTTCAGCAGACTTCAGTTGTGATGTTGACTTGAGCAAAGGTGCAGTATCCACGCTAGGCTTGAGAGCACCAGTCTCCATTTGGCCCACAGGGGCAGTATTGATACCACCAATATTGTGGACATCCTTGAAGGGCAGACAAAAGGGCTTGTTAGTTGGACAAGTTGATGGTAGAATGCAATCCAGAGTTTCCAGCAGTATGGTTCCACAGGCATGGCCATTTTTACAGGTGACTTTCCATTCCTTGAGCCAAGGCATGTGAGCACCTGGGTGCAGCCTTCTGTCACCATTGCCACTGATAATTGGCCCAAATGCTTCTGTGTCTGGGCTGTAGGCAATTTCTTAATGTAGGTGCTGACTTCCTTAATAAATTCCTCATATCTCTTCTGGCGTTAAGGTGGCTCAGTGAATCCATTTTCTTAACACCAACAATTATTTGTTTCACACTCAGTGTGAGCCAGAAGGGTGTGCTCCTGGGTCTGCCCATCTTGGAGATAACAGGTTTAGATTCATCAATGGAGGCAACAGTCAGGACAGGATAGACAGCCCCAGATGTTCCCGTAATCATGTTTCTGGTAAAGACTCAGTGTCCTGGGGCATCAGTGATGATCACACAACATTTGCAGGTCTCCAGTTCCCACAGGGAGAGGTGAATGGTGATGCAACACTCACTCTCAGCCCTCAGTTTATGCAAGACCCAGGCTCACTTGAAGGAACCCTTTCCCGTCTGAGCAGCCACCTTCTCAAATTCTCTAAATGCCTCTTTGTCGATCTGCTTAAACTAGAGTCTGTTGTCTGCAACTAAGAACTCTGCCTGATATACACATCACACACACCCCCGCTGCCGAGCTGTAAATGTTAAACAATAGGCTCTCTGTGGAAAAAAATGCCCTGTGCCATTTTGCACTCCCACCAGCAGTATAGGAGAGTTCAGGCTGCTTTGTGTTCTTGCCAGCATCTGTTTGCCAGCATGTTATTGATGTTGGTAAAAGAAACAATGTAATTAAAAAAAAGTTCCAATATCATAGTGTGATTTTGGGTTGTGGGGCAAAATATTAACACACCTTTCTATTCCTCTGTCACTGTTTTTACTATTAAAGAAAAGCACACTTATTTCAGCCTAATACCTCCCATTTGTTGACCCATATAGTCACAAATGGAGAATTTGAGGAAGTCTACCCCTTGAAATATTGTTTCATTGAAACCAGAGAAATGTTTGAAAATGTATAGACACAGCTTCTCTAATTGTTCCTGTGCTCTCTGCAGCGGCATGAGCACATGGTGGGCACAGCTGTCCCACCACTGGTCCAGGGTAAATCACTTTATCTCCCTGGGTTGTCCTACGAATGGGAAAGAGATTATGAATAAAGTGAATCAGGTATAGCAGTTCAACTTCAGGATCAGTCTGTAATTTAAGGTCATTTTCATGTTGGATTAGGAAGCATATTCAAAGACAAGAGGCTTATGGTTAGTAGCTAATTAACGGCCTTGATGGAATTCTTAACAATTCAGGATATTGTGCTGATTTGAAGCCGTTGCCAGCTCCCTCTGTTAATAAGCTGTGCTCTGTTCCCCCTCATCTCTGACTCCCAGAGTCTGCTGCAGAGCTAGATAAGGATTTCAGCCTGCATGCCCATCAGGGCCCAACTTGCTGGGGGCTGGAATCTGACCTCAGGATCCTCAACTTCAGTTTTTCATCTACAGGGAATTTTTCTTGTCTTACCTTCCAAGGCAATGTTCTCAGCACATGATACTTGACATCCAGAGAAATCCTTGTTATCAGTGTCAGAGTCTTTTAATAAGAGACTGGGCCCAATTTGTGCTCACTGGTGTGTGAGAAGAAGACCGAGAGCGAGGTGGGTGAAGGGGAGGCAGCAGAGCAGTGGTGAGCTCACGCATTCCAAAGAACCAAATAAATGATTCTGGATAATCTGCCATTTCAGTATTGCCTTTTCTCCCCTCTTTAGTGCAGATGGCATGGGACTGTACTAGATCAGGTGGTGAGAGGAGGACAAGCACCTACTGAACTGCTCAGGCTGAAACATCTCATCCCCTCTGCCTCTTTAAAAGTAAACGTAGGAATTGCATTCACTCTATTGTAATCCAATTTTGAAGCTTCTAGAAATAGGAATTTTGTTGCCAGGCCTCAGTAGAAGTAATTCCCTTCCCTAACAATCACGAAGGAATTAAAACAGCATGCAATGGGGCTGGTGAAGTGTGTCCTTGTAAAATATTAGACTTGGCTTGTTGTCTGGTTTTAACTAATATGCCAAACTATAGGTGTGGATATAACTTATTTCTGGATTCCATGATGGTTATTTTATTGGATGTTTTCTCATTTGTGTATCTGAATTCTGAAGTGACAGAGACCCAATTTCCCTTTGATTCTCCTCCCCACCCAAGGTTTGACCCAGTGTATCAGTTAGCTTCTGCTATGTAATGAACCACTCCAAAAGTCAGTGGCTTAGAATGACATACATTTTTTTAAATGGACTGTACTTTTTAGAGAAGTTTTAAGTTCATGGAAAAATAGTGCAGAAAGTAAAAAGAGCTCTTACACATCCTCTGCCCCCACACATCTGCAGTTTCCCTGACTAACATTCCAACACCAGAGTGATACATTTGTTACGATTGATAAACCTACATTGATACACCAAGATCAACCAAAATCTACAGTTTACCATAGCGTTCACTCTTGGTGTCCTATATTCTATGTGGTTGGGGCAAATGTACGATGACTTGTGTTCACCATTACAGTATCATGTAGATTGGTTCACTGCCCTAAAAATCCTCTGCTCTGCCTATTTATCCTTCCCTCCTCCTAACCCCTGATAACCACTGATTACCACTGATCATTTTACTGTCCCCCAATTTTGCCTTTTCTAGAATATCATATATTTGGTATCCTACAGTATGTAGCCTTTTCAGACTGGCTTATTTCACTTAGTAATATGCAGCTAAGTTTCTTCTATGGCTCGATAGCTCACTTTTTTTTAAGCATTGAATATTCCATTATCTGGATGTACCATGATTTATCCACATACTGAAGGACATCTTGGTTGCTTCCAGTTTTGGCAATTATGAATAAAGCTGTATTAGCCCATTTTCATGTTGCTGATAAAGACATACCCAAGACTGGGCAATTTACAAAAGAAAGGTTTAATTGGACTTACAGTTCCACATGGCTGGAGAGGGTTCACAATCATGGTGGAAGGCAGGAGGAGCAAGTCACATCTTACGTGAATGGTGGCAGGCAAAACAAAAGAGCTTGTACAGAGAAACTCCCGTTTTTTAAAATCATCAGATCTCATGAGACCCATTCACTATCATGAGAACAGCATAGGAAAGACCCATCCCCATGATTCAGTCATTTCCTACCAGGTCCCTCCCACATGTGAGAATTATGGGAGCTACAAGATGAGATTTGGGTAGGGACACAGAGCCAAACCATATCATTCCACCCCTGGCCCCTCCCAGTCTCATATCTTCACATTTCAAAACCAGTCATGCCTTCCCAACAGTCCCCCAAAGTCTCAACTCATTTCATCATTAACTCAAAAGTCCACAGTCCAACATCTTCTGTGAGACAAGGCAAGTCCCTTTCACCTGTGAGTCTGTAAAATCAAAAGCAAGTTAGTTATTTCCTAGATACAGTGGGGGTACAGCCATTGGGTAAATACAGTCATTCCAAATGGGAGAAATTGGCCAAAACAAAGGGGTTACAGGCCCCATGCAAGTCCGAAATCCAGCAAGGCAGTCAAATCTTAAAGTTCCAAAATGATCTCCTTTGACTCCATCTCTCACATCTAGGCCATGCTGATGTATGAGGTGGGTTCCCATGGTTTTGGGTAGCTTTGCTCCTGTACCACAGGGTACAGCCTCCCTCGTGGTTGCTTTCATGGGCTGGCGTTGAGTGTCTGCAGCTTTTCCAGGTGCACGGTGCAAGTTGTTGGTGGATCTACCATTCTGGAATCTGGAGGATGGTGGCCTTCTTCTCACAGTTCCAATAGGCAGTGCCCCAGTGGGGACTCTGTGTGGGGGCCCCACATTTCCCTTCCACACTGGCCTAGCAGGGGTTCCCATGGGTGCCCCACTCTGCAGCAGACTCCTGACTGGACATCCAGGCATTTCCATACCTCCTCTGAAACCTAGGTGGAGGTTCCCAAACCTCAATCCTTGACTTCTGTGCACTCCCAGGTTCAACACCATGTGGAAGCTGCCAAGGCTTGGGGCTTGCACCCTCTGAAGCCATGGCTGGAGCGGCTGAGAGGTAGGGCACCAAGTCCCTAGGCTGCACACAGAATGGGAACCCTGGGCCTTTGGAAACCATTTTTTCCCCCTAGGTCTCTGGGCCTTTGATGGAAGAGGCTGCTGTGAAGACCTCTGACATGCCCTGGAGACATTTTCTCCATTGTCTTGGGGATTAACATTTGGCTCCTCGTTATTAGGTAAATTTCTGCAGCTGGCTTGAATTTCTCTTCAGAAAATGGGATTTTATTTTCTATTGCATTGCCAGACTGCAAATTTCCCAAACTTTTATGTTCTGTTTCCCTTTTGAAACTGAGTGCCTTTAACAGCACCCAAGTCACCTCACGAATGCATTACTGCTTAGAAATTTCCTCCGCCAGATACCCTAAATCATCTCTCTCAAGTTTAAAGTTCCACAAGTCTCTAGGGCAGGGGCAAAATGCTGCCAGTCTCTTTTCTAAAGCATAACAAGAGTCATCTTTTCTCCATTTCCCAACAAGTTCCTCATCTCCCTCTGAGACCACCTCAGCCTGGTCCTTATTGTTCATTCACCTTATTGTTCATTCATATCACCATCAGCATTTTTGTCAAAGCCATTCAACAGGTCTCTAGGAAGTTCCAAACTTTCCCACATTTTTCTGTCTTCTTCTGAGCCCTCCAAACTGTTCCATCCTCTGCCTGTTACCCAGTTCCAAAGTTACTTCCACATTTTTGATGATATTTTCAGCAACATCCCACTCTACTGGTACCAATTTACTGTATTAGTCCACATTTACTCTGCTGATAAAGACATATCCAAGACTGGGCAATTTACAAAAGAAAGAGATTTAATTGGATTTACAGTTCCACATGGCTGGGGAGGCCTCACAATCATGGCAGAAGGCAAGGAGGAGCAAGTCACATCTTATGTGGATGGCAGCAGGCAAAATAAAAGAGCTTGTGCAGATAAATTCCTGTTATTTAAAACCATCAGATCTTGTGAGACCCACTCACTATCACAAGAACAAGACAGGAAAGACCTGCCCCTATGATTCAATCACCTCCCACCTGGTCCCTCCCACAACATGTGGGAATTATGGGAGCTATGCAGTCTATGCATGTCTATGCATGCTAACAAAATTACTCTTGTACCCCATAAATTTATACAAATACAAGATGAGATTTCTGTGGGGACACAGAGCCAAACCATATCAAAAACTGCTGTGAATATCCATGTGCAGGTTTTTGTGTGTACATAAGTTTTCAACTTTTTTGGGTAAGTGCTAAGGAGCAAAACTTCTGGATCATATAATAATAGCATATTTAGTGTTGTAAGAAACAGCCAAAGTAGCTGTTTTCCAAAGTAGCTGCACTATTTTGCATTTCCATCTTCAGTGAGTGAGAGTTCCTGTTGCTCCACATCCTCACCAGCATTTGTTGTTGTCAGTGTCTTCGATTTCTGCCATTCTAATAGATGCATAGTGGCAACACTCATTTTTTACTTTTTAAGATTCTGTTGGTTGTTCAGGTGGCCCTTCTCATCTGAACTTCTCAGGCGGGATGCCATGGTCTTGGATGATCTTAATTCTATTACTGGGGCTTTGGCTGGAACGATTGTGGCCTCATTCCATGTGATCTCTCATCCTCCAGCAGGCTAGACCAGGCTTCTTCACATGATGGTGGAAGGGTTCCCTGTAGCAAGAGGGTATGTCCAAGTAGAAAGCATTTTTCAAGCTGCTGTTTGGCTTGTTTGCTACATGAAAAAAAATGCAAGTCACACATCTAGGCCTAAATTGAAGAGATAGAGAAGAGGTGGATTCTATTTCTTCATGGAAGGATTTGCTCTATTTTCCCCTTCTATAGCAATTGGCGACTGTGATGTCTAACTCAGCACAGAGATAACCTCTGACATTACATCCAGTCACTCTAAATCCCCATCTAAGGGGGCACCCATAACATTAGAGATTACTTGGTGGGTACAATGTATGTTATTTGAGTGATGGGTACACTGACAACCCTGACTTCACCACTATGCAGTCTATGCATGTAACAAAATTACACTTGTACCCTGTAAATTTATACAAATACAAATTAAAATAGACAAATAAAAACAGCTTCTTTAGTTAATACAGGGAAATATTATAGAAAGGAGATTAATTAATTCTGCTTTTCTAATTATTCAGTTGGTCTTGTTCCTAGGAGGCAGTCATCATCCCCTAAAACCCCAGCTGTAGGAGCTCATAATCTTTGGTCTTAATGTTCTATAAAATAAAAGCAATACATTTACTCTTGCCTGCATTTCTTAACTGCTAAACAAGAAGCTTTTGAGGTTTAAGGGCTTACAATTAATTGTACTTCTTTGCCTTCCATCTTTAGAATCAGTTGAGAAACAGATACAAGCAATGGGAATTAAACATCAAAATGATACCTCTATCGCTGACAGCATTGGTCCAGAGAAAGCAGCTTGGGGTACAGCCAGACAGGGCTCCTGCTTCTTCCCATAAGGACAGACTTGGGATGCTCCATGGGAGAGGAGCCTGGGTCTGCAGAGCAGGTCCACTGGCCTGGCCAGAAAAAAAGAAAGTTGTTGCTTCTCACCTTCCAGATTATGGCAGTCAAGACAGAGGGATCAGGGAAGGGCTCAGGAACAGGGAGAAAAGAGGCCATCAGGCTGTGTGTGAGTATGGCTCCTTCTCCCACCTCTTCACCAGTCAGCTACAGCCCTGCCCTTTCCAGGGGAGGAGTGAGGAGTGAAAGGATGAAAAAATTAAGTGGAAGTTTTTTCCAAATACTTTCTATTTTGACTTTCGGGGCAATTTTTCTATATGCATATTGTGTTAACTTCTTGTTGAAGGAAAATACACAGAGGAGAGCACTCAACATGAGCAGACAACTCAGCACATTTTCGCAAATGGCAGACACTTGTGTAACCAGCACCCGGAATAACAACTGAGGCATTACCAGCCCCCTAGAAGCTGTATGGGTTCTTTTTGTGTCTGACTTCTTTTGCTCAAAATGATGATTGTGAGGTTCACCCATGTTGTGTGTAGATGTGACCGGTTAATTCTCGTTGCTGTATAGTATTCCACTCTGTGAATACATTGCAATTTACCCATTCTACTGTTGACGGGTAAACTGCATCAACAGTAGAGTGGAATGCTCTGTGAATACATCTAGAAACCATGTCTAGTTTCTAGATTTGACTGATTAAAACATTCTGATATGTGTCTTTTGTGAAAATATGCAGGTATTTCTGTTAGGCATATCCCTAGAACTATCCTTTAGAACCCAGAAGTTCCACTTATAGAGATACATGCACAAAAGATGCTTAGCAATTTTAGATACTAAAAACCGTTTTCCAAAGTGGAACCGTGTTGTACTCCCACTGGCAGCATTATGAGAATTCCAGATGCCCACCTCCTTGTCTCCCAATATTTTGAAAAGGGAAGAAGTTCTTGTTCTATAGATAAGTAAAATACCGAGAGAGAGAGAGAGAGAGAGAGAGAGAGAGAGAGAGAGAGAGAATAAGTCCCCCATAATAGAAAAAGGAAGAATTTTCCGAATAATTTTTAAAAAGAATTTTAAAAAATGCATCAATCCATCTTATTTTTTGATACAGTTCAAAATAAGTTGCAGACAATTATTAATAACAGACGGGGACTTTTTAGGTGCAATACCTCCTTACAAGCAGAAGAGTGATTCATGATCTAACTTTAGAAACTTGAGATGCTCTCAAAATCTCATCCAGCTCCGTGGAGGAAGGATTCTGCAGACAAGATGTTCCCTCCACAGAAATTGTGATAAAGCACCAATTAGTGACTACAGCAAAGAAGTGGGAGTGTTTAACCTTTTGGGTGCACCAACAATGTGCTCCTTAATTTGAAAATAGGGTACAAAGTGTTAGCAAGTGAAGAAGAGTAATCGTTCATCACTCAACTTGACATATCTCCTTTGCAGCAGAGGCAGGAGAAGGGATCCTCTCTGCTCCATTTATTTTGGCTTTCATCTAACTTCTCTGAGAAAGGACCAGATGCTCTAATGAGGGGTACCAGACACTGAAAATATCTGGAGATCAGGATAAAACACGCTGACAGCTTTCCCCTTGAGAAGCCTACCTTCCCTCCAAGCTCCTTAGAGCATTTTATATGCATTACCCAGCAGCAAGTCTTATTATCCTTTTTTTGCAAATGGTAGAAAAGTGATGCAGGGAGGCTGAGCTGAAAAAGCTCACTTGAGGATACCAGGGAAGCCAAATGTTCAGCTCAAAATAGAAACCGAGAACTCTGGGAAACTCAGACAGCATGAGAAGGTCCTTTCATCTCTGGACCCTTCTGTATCTTTTTAGACAATAAGCCTTTCCCTGAAAGAATTTTTCCCCCTAATGACAGGGCTGCCAACTCTCCCTCCAGGATGTTGTAAAAAGGTGACATTTAACTGAGGAAATGGAAACTCTAATTGACTTCTCCTAAAGCAGAAAAATAAGTGGCCTGTATTCCTTCTCTTGGCCAGATGTTTGTAATTGTCCCCTTGGGATTCTACCTTGGGGGAAGCTGAAAGAGGCAAAACAAAATTGTCCACTTGAATTGGTCTACTTACACCCACAAGAATTGTTTTTACTTCGTGGTGGAAGATGTGGAGAGCCCATCCAAGAAGACAGCAATTTCAGGAAGAGGATTCCAGCTCATGTCACTAGCTGCCAGCCCCAGAATCTCTTGCAGTGATAAATAAGGAGCTTGAGGTGAACACTCCATTTTTAGATCTGGATATTTGGAGGCCTGTGCTTATTTGAACCAGTTGTGTTCCTTGCTTTGGATAAAGGAATTTTAGCAGAGATGATGTGAGCAAAATCTTGAAATGTGCTTGTGTAGGATGTCTTGCCCTCTTGTGTTGCAGTCATCATCATGAGAAGAACATGCCCCAGGGAGTCTGTGGGTCCAAGAAGGATGGACCAGCTGAGCTCAGCCTACATGGGCCAACCACTAGCCACTCTGAAAACATGTAATCAAGAAATAATTGTTTACTATTGTGAGCCACTCAGATCACCACTGAGTTTTGTGGTGGTCTGTTATGCAGCACATTATGTTATAATGGACAAATATAGGGCTATTAAGAGTAGAATAAGTAGAGGAGGATTCTTAGCGTGCTGTGGACAATGCTTGCAAAAGTGCTTGGCTTAGGGTAGTCACATAGCAAGCACCTAGTAACTATGAGAGAAATGGAGCTCATCAGGTTGATTGTATATCATATAATTTAAAGGTTAGAGTGAATCACATTAAATATTCTGAATGTCTGGACTGTCTGTTGATATCTTCCTATTAACTGACAGTAACTTTTCTCTCTCTTTTTTTTTTTGAGACGGAGTCTCGCTCTGTCGCCCAGGCTGGAGTGCAGTGGCCTGATCTCAGCTCACTGCAAGCTCCGCCTCCCAGGTTCACGCCATTCTCCTGCCTCAGCCTCCCAAGTAGCTGGGACCACAGGTGCCCGCCACCGTGCCCAGCTAATTTTTTGTATTTTTTCTTTTTTTTTAGTAGAGACGGGGTTTCACCGTGTTAGCCAGGATGGTCTCGTTCTCCTGACCTCCTGATCCGCCCACCTTGGCCTTCCAAAGTGCTGGGATTACAGGCATGAGCCACTGTGCCCGGCCACTTTTCTCTCTTTTTTTGTATCCTTTTCCCATGACTTCTTTACTATCTCTTCCCCAATCAGTATTTCGGTATCTATCTATGACTATCTATCTATGACATCCATCTGTCTATGACTCAGACCTGGGCTGAACTATATACTCGCCACATAGATTCTGCAATTAATATTCTGCTGTATTTGTTTTATGTATATGTCTACCTACGCTTGTATACATCCATCAATCCATCTTATTTTTTGATGCTTTTCAAATAAGTGGCAGACATCAGTGCTCTTCACCCCTATGGTGAATTTTGACAAATGCATACACTCATTATCCCTGAAGGTGTCCTTAGGCCCCTTTCCAGTTAAGTCTACCCCCAACTCCCAAGGTGAACTCTATTCTGATTTTTTTCCCACCATAGATTAGTTTTGCCTGTTTTAGAACTTCATATAAATGAAATTGTACATGGTGTAATCTTTTGTGTCCAGCTTCTTTCATTAGCAAAATATTTTCAAGTACCTGTGTTGTTATAAGGGTCCTCATTTTAAAACGAATAATTTGACAAGATCTTTGCAAACTGATCTTTACTTTAAAATTTTGGACTTCTCTGATGTGTATGTAAATACAGTAACCACCTTTAAATTAAATAGCCTAAATACAGTAACCACTTGAACTAAGCCTCTGAAACAGACATCTCTCCCATGTGTCTGTCAGACCTTGTCTTTCTGTTTTCATGCTCCCCACATCCCCCTACCTTGTTTAGCATTGATAAACATTTCAAAACTGCAGAGGGAATTTATCATATTTGTCTCAAGGGCACAGCGCTTTTGATTTACTGTGTTCAGTAAGATGCAGGGGGCTAACCAACCTCTTAGGATTAACTGCATTTGACTTACCTTCAAAAGGTCATCAGCAGTACATCCTTAGTAGGCCTCACAATAGTGTGTCCACAATACGGGTTAGTGGGAGTGATTGAAAGGCTTGGAGAGTTGTCCTTCTGGGTTTGCTCTGGTTGGGCGATCAGAGTCCATAGCACTGGGTGGGAAAACATGAAAGAAAATAAGTGAAAGTGACATGTTCCTCCAGAATAGCTAAAGGTCAGCGCTCACCCCATTCAACCACTGTATTCCCTAGACTTAGCATGAGGCGGTTTCTAAAAATCAAAGCCACACTTAGCGTGGTAATGTGGCTTTGTACCATGTCAACCTAGCTAAGCGGGAACTACGTTTCCCAGAATTCCTTGCCTGTAGGTTTCCGGGGTTAGCACACGCCACGTGACCTGATGCGGGCTTCGTGAGGCGGAAGTGACGCAGTGTTGTCGTCTCGTAGGCTTGAAAGGTAGGTGCCCGACATTAGGGACTGTCGCAGCCCGGGGAATTGTCCCCATCTGCTGGCTTACCTTGTGGGCGTGGATCCCCTCTAACTTTCCTAATTCCCGGGCGGCCCGCGGGCCTGCGGCAGATTCAGCTCTCAGGACTCCACTTTCAGTTTCTTCCACTTCTGGGGCAGGCTGCTTGTCCTGCCACTCTCAGGCCCCCCACCAGACACGGCAGCAACAGCTGTTCCTAAGTGTTCAACTCGCTCCTTCCCGCAAATGTAGAAGCTCAAATCCCTATAGCAAATTCCATATTCTATGTCATTCTTAATGCTTCCGTCTCTCTGGTTGAATCTAGATTGGATACAATCAGTGATGCACATTTACCAGACAGAGGATGTGCAGCGTTTACTGTTGATTTCTCTCTTTTCCTCCCTATCACCTCAGTTTAGTTCCAGGATCCACACTCCTCCACCATAGTCAGGAGATTCAGGGAAAGTTGGCAGGGTTCAGCTTTCAAGTTGACCCTTGATGAACCATGGTCAATCCTGTTAAGAGGCGTGAAAGCCAATCCCAGCCAATGAGACTGGGGAGAAATCACTGAAGAACTTGTGGAAAACAGACCCTCTGGATAAAAGACACGTGTGGGGAAAAAGGGGCTTTTTAATGTTATTCTGGATGTTTCCCAAAAGTACTGCTGCTGCCTTGCCTCCCTGACAGACACTGGCCTTAGGATGACATGCGGCAGGAAGGAAGGACGGATCTGGGGTTTTTCAAGACTCACTGAGATGCACAAGGAACCAACCCTCAAGTAGCCAACTCGTTCCTGTTTGCATGTGTCGACTGAAAAGAATCAAAATAAACAAAATATAACTATTTCTAAGAGGTTACAACTTGCAGGCAGGAAGCAGGCCTCTACCTGAGGCCATAAAGCATACTTTGAAGGAGAAAAGGTAGGTATTTATGCTAGGTGGAGAGGTAGGATATACGTATTCTGTAGCATACAGGAGAAGCCTATGAAAATTCATGGAGGAAACTCGTTAGAGACACGCACTGGGCTTACATATGAAGAATATCCAAAAGCGGATGACCTGTGTTCACTCTGGGGTGAAGATTTAACATTTAAATGTATTATAATTAGGCTGTAAATGCAAAAAGGTGAAACATAGGGCACAAGTTCACGATCTGTGCAATCTCCAGAGACCAGTCTGATCTAGCCTGCAGCTGGCAGTCATCTGTCAAGAAGGGGCTCTTTGTAGCCCAGAGTAGCTGTCAGGTTGGAACCATAAAACCAAAAGGAGGGCATCGGCGGTTAGGTGAAGAAAAGAAGTCTTTTGGCCTTTTTTCCTCTTCAAGTCAGCTTTTGATAAGATCTAGTAATAATAAGGGGATGGGTGTGGCTGCAGGTGGGACATGTCGGTTCTCTGTCCTGTCACAGCTAAGAACTAAGAACTTTAGAGTCTTTCAGCCATAGAGGGTCCTGTCATCCATTGAAGGGATCAGTCCATTGGGATTTTGCCAGTTTTAGCATTGATGCTGTGTCCTGGGAAACCCCTGAATACTTATCATAGCAGAAGTTCAGCCACTGTAGCCCTACCTCAGGACCGCTTTTATGGGAAAGAATAATTCCTTTAACTGCTTGAGCCATTTGAGTTGTGGCTGCTTTTGGTACTTGTAATAAATTGAAAGCATCTTGAATGTTCTGGGACAGTAAAAGAATGTGCCTTTGTTTCTGACAGCAATTATAAAATCAATTATATGTTTATATTCTAAAAAATGTTTTGAGTAATGCTGACATCATTGGAAAAGTGCATCACTTAGAAAATGTATCTGTGTGTCAATTTTGTTTGTTCAAAATCAGTTTCATTAATTTGTGGGAAGATACACCTTGTACATTTTACCTAATTAAAAAAAATATTGCCAGTTGAGTATACTTGTGATATATTCAAAGATAAATAAACTTTTTCAATTTTAGATATTCATATGTCTTTGGGCCTTTGTTTAGTTTTGTCCTAAAATAGGAATGCTTTTATATGGGCCAGATTCCTGCAGTGATGATATCTGGGAAGGAAGGGAGGGCATGATCTTTGTTCTATGTGTTTAAAAGTCTCAAATGAGTTACTGGGATGTAAAAAATATATTCGCACATGAGTTTGGTACAGTTCGGTGATTTTTTTTTTTTTTTTTGAAAGAAAGAAAGGTTTCCAAGGCTTGACACTGTCCTGTGGGTGTGGTCAATTAATTGCATTATTGGTCCCGACTCTTTACACCTACCCTTTGCCATGTAGCCTGGTAGTGGCCTCTCACTATGACACTAGGATTTCCCATGTGATGTTCTTTGGCCAATAGGTGCAAGCAAAGGTTTGAAGAGCACTGGGGAGTTGGGATTGTTTGCTCATATCTCTGCTTTCATGATGACAGTGTGCCTTGGTTAGCCTGGGGAGAATGAGTGTCACATGGTCCAAGCACCACTATTGCCACAGCTGATGATAAGTCAGATAACTGCCAGATTTAAGTGGGCCCAGAGGAGACCAGAAGAATCACCCAGCTGAACCCAGCCTAAATTGCTGACACATTAACTCATGAGCTAAATAAATGCTTATTGCTTTAAGCCACTAAGTTCCGGGGAGGTTTGTTGTGTAGCATTATTGTGGCAATTCATAACCAAGACATCTTTAAAGCATTAGGGACATTTTGGGAAGGGCTGTAAGAGTTAAATATGTTGGCTTTATAGGCAGTTGTACCTTACACAGTTTAACTCAGAAGTTACTCAGTAATCACCCATTTATGCATGTGTATGTCTTATTCAAAGATGTGTGCAACAGTACCATTTTAAGTATATATGTGTGTCTTTATGCCTTTTGCCTTGCCCCAAAATGGGAGTGCCCTCAGATGGATCACATCCCACCAGTGGGAGCTGGTTTCTGTTTCACATGTGTAATAGTTATTGGGGGTTTTAGGAATGGGTTTTTCTATGTTTGGTGTAATTAAGTGATTAAAGACTACATCCACCAGATTCCTGTGTAACTTCCTTACAGTAGTTTATGACCATGTTGGGGTTGTTTCCTACAGTTCTGATGGGAAATCATATGTGACTAAATTTAAGTTAATTATAATTAAATAAAATTAAGAATTCCATTTATCATTTGCACCAGCCATGTGTTAAATGCTCAGTAGCCACATACAGCTAGTGGCCACTGCTTTGGCCAGCACAGATACAGAACACTTTTGTTACCTCAGAAAATTCTATCCGGCAGTGTTGGTCTCAATGCTTAGTTCACATTTTTTATTTACAGAATCTTTTCTGCCTAAACTTCTAGTTTCTGCTGACCAGTTGCTTATGACAGATCCTCACTCTGGACCTCCCAGGAAAAATATTATTGTTCCCCAGTTTATTATATAAAACTCAAGCTAGCCTGTTTTGACACCTACATCATTGAATGTTCTCTTAGTTTACAGGTCACAGAGCTAGCCATTAAAGTGGAGTTTTTATTTTACAGAGGGAGTATCCATTCTGCCAGGGCAGAGTGAGGCTGTGGGAGGGAGTGATGGCCTCTGAGGAAACCCCCAGCCTGAGTTGTGAAAACCCCAGCAAAACCTGAGGGGAGAAAAGGAGAAGAAACCAAGGCACAGGAAAGGAATTTTGGGCAAAATCAGGAAATGCCCAGGTACCACTGTACAAGGTTCCCTTGTGTTTATCCTCCCACTTCCACCCCACTTTAGCTAGGATTTACTAGAGGGGACAGCCTGTCTCTGCTTTCTGGTTTCCTCAAAGGATTTTCCTCCAGTTTGTCTCCACACTCACTCAGATGGGGTGACGTTTCTGGATGATTAATCTAGGGAGTATAAACTAAGCTCCTCCATGTCTGGAACTTTCCCTGGGTGGGCCCCTCACTACCAGCCTTATGTTCAGAGGCCACCCAAGGAGGGTGACTGATGGGTGGGCGGGCACTCTTCTTTGTATTGTGGGGTTTAGTTGCAGGCCCATTGGGCCCTCATGTTGAGTCTTTTCTTTCAAAAATACTTCTGTCAGGGATAAAGGCAAAATTTTGGTTTCCATCTGCCATTTTTTTTTTGGTCTTTTTGTCTTGATTTCTTTGGAATTCAAGTGGGGAAGAAAGATGCTGTTTGTTGGGTGTTCCTGGAGACCTCAAAAGTCTTGGTAAAATGTTTTTCCGAGGCTGCCGCATGCTTGACTTGGGCTGCATTTGTTCCCAGTTTAGCTTGTGTCTGAACCTCGTAGTCTGAAGTGTATCCAGCTCTATGTTCTTGTGGATTCTGCTGCATGGTGGTGGAAGGGCTTGATAAAGGCTGATGGCATTTAACTGAGGTTTGAAGGAAGAGCACAGTTTGGGTAAAGATGGAGGACAGGATGCAAAAAACCTAGAGACAGGAAACTCAAGGAGTGTTCAAAAGGGGAGTGTGAAGCCATCTGGGTTGGACTGAAAGACTCCTGCAGGCACATGTTAAGAGAAAGGTCTGGAGAGATCAGGATCATCAGCTGGTGATATTTCTCTTCACCTCAAAATCATTGAACATCTTTGCTCATTGTCCTTTCTAGACAGGAACAGGAGTCCTCCACACTCCTTCGAGGTCTGCCTTCCTATCCCCTGCCACCTCCTCCAGCATCTCGTTCCCTTTTGTGTCCGATTTTATGAGAAGGGATAACCTTACTGAGCATTTATCTGTGTTGGACACTTTCTATGGATTATCTTATTTTATCTTTAGAGCAACAACCTGTGACACAGGTAATATGATCCTCTCTTTGTAGGTGGAGCATTAGAGGCACCAAGTGGATAGGCAGCCTGTCCAAAGTCACACTGCTGGGGTTTAAACCAAGGCCAGGGTGAAGCTCTTAACTACACTACAGCTTCTTCCTATTTCTCTTGTAATTTCTTTCTTGTTTTACACTCCCCTTCTGCATATAAAGATGTTCACATGTCCTTTCTCCTAAGAAACAAGAACTTCTTTTAACTGTTCCATCTCCTCAAGCTTTCCTCTGCCTCTCTCCTCTCTGTTCCTGCCAAATTCCTTGAGGAGTCTGCTAAGGGACACTTCTTCCCCACCATCACCTCCATTTTGCTGCTGGAACGTGTGGCATTCAGTGATGGCTCTCTCTTTATTCCCACTTTTGCAGTTGTCCTGTAGATTTGACTATTTTGACCATTTGTCTTCCTTCTGTCCTTCTTTCCTCTTGGCTTTCTTTAAACTCAAACTTTCAGGTCTTTCTCTCTGCCTGATCATTCTACCTGTTCTGAAAGCCTTCCTTGCTCCTCCTCCTTCCCTATCAATGTCTCACCCAGGGCTTTTAATGCATCAGAGAGCCAAGTCCTGATGGATCCTAAAAGGCTGAACACAAATGTCTTCCAGGAAACGTCCTTTGATTCACCTCCCTCTTCCTGAACTCTCTTGCAATGTGTGTATTTTGTATCTGTTATCTATTGCTTCTAACAAGTTACCCCCACACTCATCAGCTTAAACATCAAACATTTATTATCTCACAGTTTCCATGAATCATACATTTTGGAGAGGCTTAGCTTGGTGGCTCTGTATTAGAGTCTTGATTGAGGTTGCAATTGAGATGTTGGCTGCAGTCACCTGAAGGTTTGACTGGGGCTGGAGGATTGTCTTCCAAGATGGCTCCCTCCATGACTGTTGGCAGGAGGCCTCAGCTCCTCACCACATGGAAGTCTCCAAGGAGATGCTGCTTGGGAATCCTTAAACATGGCTTTTGGTTTCATCTAGAGTGAGTGATTCAAGAAGAAGCAAATAGGAAACCACAGTGCTTTTTATGTCCTAATCTTGGGGGTTATATACCCTCACTTCTGCCATACTCTATTTGTTAGAAATAAATCACTAAGTACAACCTACCTTTAAGGAAGAGGAATTAGGTTCTACTTTTTGAAGGTAGAAGTATGGAAGAATTTGTGAACATATTTTAAAGCCACCATATGTATTCCTCTCATGGCACTTATAATAGGTTGCCTTCTATCTTAGATGTTTATGTATATGTTTTTCTCAATTCTGCTAGCTATAAGCTGCTTCTTAGACATATTTCCTTTGTATATTTTTTTATTGTGATGAAATATGTGTATATATGCCATTGAAACAATTTTTAAGTGTACAATTCATTGGCATTAAGTACATTCACATTGTTCTGCAGCCATCACCACAGTCCATCTCCAGAACGTTTTCATCTACCCAGACTAAAACTCTGTACCCATTAAACAACTCCATATTCTCTACTCCCTGCACCCCCTGGCAAGCACCATTCTACTTTCTATCTCTATGAATTTGACTACTCCAGGTACCTCACATAAGTAGAGTCTTAGAGGATATGTCCTTTGTGAATGGCTTATTTCATGTAGTGTAATGTCTTCAAGATTCATTCATGTTGTAGTATGTATCAAAATTTAATTCTGTTTTAAGGCTGAAAAAATCCATTGTACCTAATGTAGATGATGGGTCGATGGGTGCAGCAAACCACCATGGCACGTGTATACCTATGTAACAAACCTGCATGTTCTGCACGTGTATCCCAGAACTTAAAGTATATATAAAAAATTCCATTGTATGTATAGACCACATTTTGTTTATCAAATCATATGTTGATAAACTCTTGGGTTGTTTCCACCTTTTGGCTATTGTGAGAAACGCTGCTATGAGCATGGGTGTACAAGTATTGGAGTCTGCTTTCAGTTCTTTTGGGTATATGCTCAGAAGTAGAATTGCCAGATCATGTAGCAATTCTATGTTTAATTTCTAAAGGAGGTACTACACTGTTTCCCATAACAGCTGCACCATTTTACATTCCCACCAATAGTGCAATTTCTCTGCACCTTTGCCAATAGTTGTTGCCGTCTTTTTTTTTTTTTTTCTTTTTTTTTGGACACGGAGTCTCGCTTTGTCGCCCAGGCTGGAGTGCAGTGGTAAGAACTCGGCTCACTGCAAGCTCCGCCTCCTGGGCTCACACCATTCTCCTGCCTCAGCCTCCCGAGTAGCTGGGATTACAGGCACCTGCCACCATGCCTGGCTAATTTTTTTGTATTTTTAGCAGAGACGAAGTTTCACTATGTTAGCCAGGATGGTCTCAATCTCCTGACCTCATGATTTGCCCACCTCGGCCCCGCAAAGTGTTGGGATTACAAGCGTGAGCCACCGCACCCACCTTTTTTTTTTTTTTTTAAGACAGAGTCTTGGTCTGTTGCCCAGGCTGGAGTGCAGTGTGGCCATGATAGCTCACTGTAACCTTGACTTCCCAGGCTCAAGCAATCCTCCCACTTCAGCCTCCCCAGTAGTGGGGACTACAGGAGTGAGCCACCATACCCAACCAATTAAAAAACTGTTTTTTGTATAGACAGGGCCTCATTATGTTGCCCAAGCTGGTCTTGAACTCCTGGGTCCAAGTGGTCCTTCCGTCTCAGCCTCCCAAAATGTTGGGATTACAGGTGTGAGCCACAGTGCCCGGCTGCCTTTTGTTTTTGTGTGTATTTCCAGCCCAGTGCTTTCCACACACTAGGTACTTAGTAAATATTTGTTGGATGAATGCATATGGAGGCAAACTTCATATTGTCCAAATTCTTGTGGCATTTCTGGTGAAATATAGTGAAGAAAAGATCTCGGGAATTCTGGAACATTTCCTCTGTATACCTGACTTTTGGAAAGGGGTCACCAGGGGTCAGGCAGGTTATGACTAGGAGCTGTTGGAATGGGAACCCCTGCCTGCCTGAAGCAAGCAGCAACTTTGTTTTCAAAACTGGCTAATTGTCACCAGATGAAGGTTCAGATCCTTCTAGTGTAAGAACAGCCAGAAATCTGGATCTTAAAATTTGACATCTCTCCCTTTTTACATGTCAGTAGCTATGGCAGGTTGCATTTTCAGTCCCAATTTTGATCCTCTCGCTGCCTCTCACCCAGTTATGGCTTCATCATGGACAGAGAGTGTGTCCTAAATCTTCGACTTTAAGCCTGGCTCTGAGCTTTGCTTTTGCCATTGGTGCATGGGCAGAATGGCTGTGAGCCAGTGCTGGGCCTTAAGAGGTCATGTGTGTTTCCGCTGCTGCTCTTATGCTGCTGTCATCGTCATGGAAAGAACACACCTGGCTGTCCCAGAGAACAGACGAGCAACACGTGTGTCCCAGAAGAGCTGCCTAGCCAGTCTCAGCCCAGGTCTGTATTTCTGACAGACCTGTGAGAAATAAACAGTGAATGTTACATGCTGCTGAGATTTTGTGGTTGGTTTGTTTCGCTTCATAATGTAGCAAGAATTAACTGATGTAAGAAGGAACTAAAAAGCTAAAATTTATGCATCATAATGCGATAATAGCAGTTGGTACTAATATGGAAACTAATTTAAAAAATAAAAATCCAGTATTCTAGATTTGGCTGTGACTTCTGCTTTAGAAAGAGCTCAGACCAGTAGCAATGCAAATCTGCCCACACATCTTTTTGCTTTTCAAGTCAGGTTTATTGAGGTATACTTTACATGTTTAATTAAATCTTTCCCAGTGCAGTTCTGAGTTTTGACAAAGGTAAAACAGTTGTGTAACCACTGCCACAATCAGGACAGAGTAAAGTCCCATCACCTTCCCTGCTTTAAAAAAACCCCAACAAAACTCTGTGCCCCTTTGCAGATAAATCCATTGTCTACCCCCAATCCCTGCAAACCACTGGTCACTTATTTTTGTTTCTGTAATTTGCCATTTTTAGACTGTCTTAAAATGGAATCGTATCGTGTGTTGGAGAATCTGGCTTTTCTCACTCAGCGTAATATATCTGAGATTCATCCCTGTCGTTGAGTGAATCAATTGCTCATTCCTGTTTATTGCCATGTAGTATTCTATTCCATGATTACACCATAATTTGTTGATACAATTTCCTGTTAAAGAACAGAAGATGAAGAACCTAAGATTTGGGGCTGGGTGCGGCAGCTCACGCTTGTAATCCCAGGACTTTGGGAGGCTGAGGTGGGTGGATTACCTGAGGTCAGGAGTTCGAGACCAGCCTGGCCAACATGGTAAAACCCTGTCTCTACTAAAAATACAAAAAAATTAGCTGGGTGTGGTGGCAGGCATCTGTAATCCCAGCAACTGGGGAGTCTGAGGCAGGAGAACTGCTTGAACCTGGCAGGCGGAGGTTGCAGTGAGCCCAGATGGTGCCACTGCACTGCACTCCAGCCTGCTTGACAGAGTGAGACCCTGTCTCAAAAAAAAAAAAAAAAAAAAAAAGATTTGGATCATCTTCAGTGTTTTGCTTTAATGAGTAATGCTGCTGAGAACACTCATTACATGTCTTTCTGTAGACCTATATATTTCTCTTGCATAAATAGCTAGGAGTGGAAATAAAAGATTGTATGGTAAGTCCGTATTTAATCATGTAACAATGCCAAAGAGTCGGCTTCAGAAGCAGCATCATTTTGCACTCTTATTAAAAAAGCACAGGGTTCCAGTTGCTCCATCTCCTCACCAACATCTGCCATTGCCAGTTCTTCCAATTTTAGCCATTTTAGTGGGTGTGAAGAGGAATCTTATTATAGTTTTAATTCAAATTTCCCTAATGACTAATGACGTTGAGCACCTTTCCATGTGCTTCTTGGCCAGCTGCATTGGAATTTCTCTAATGAGAGAAGCACCCACTTATAAGAGAGAAACTCATGAAGGGGGTGGAAATCTCTTTCTTTAAAGATATATTTTATGTCTTAATACATAATAACAATTCAACAACAAACATTATTCCAGAAGGATCAGGTGAAACAAAAATTTTGGTTTTGAAATGTCCAAACCCATAAACTCTTGGGTTCAAAGTAGTTAGCTATGTGCCTTTGGACAAGCTACTCAGCCTCTCAATTTCCTCATTTCTAAGGTGAGAACAATGTTAGTAACTACCCCAGAATATTATGAGGTTTAAAGGGCTTTACTACAGTGCTTGGAGGATTGTTATAGCTCAGTAAATATTAACAACAATAATAATAATATCAACAATTGGCTCAGTTGTTAAATACTTCAGTATTTTAAAAAACCTATAAAACAGCATAAGCTTATGTCCACACAAAATTTTGCACACAAGTGTTTATAGCAGCTTTTTAAATAACTGGCAAAAGCTGGAAGTTACCAAGATGTTCTTCAGTAGGTGAATAGATAAACTGTGTTGTAGCCATATGATATTATTTAGTGATGAAAAGAAATGAGCTATCAAGATACAAAAAGACATGGAGAAAACTTAAAATGCACATTGCTAAGTGAAAGAAGCCAATCTGAAAAGGCCACATCCTGTACGATTCCGCTATATGATATTCTGTAAAGGGCCAAACTTTAGACAGTGAAAAGATAAGTGATTGCCAGAGGTTAGGGAGGAGGGAAGGATGAATAGACAGAGTTCCGAGGATTTTTAGGGCAGTGAAGCTGCTCTGTATGATACTGTAGTGGTGGATACATGACATTATGCATTCGGCAAAGCCCATGTAATGTACCTCACTAAGTGTGAACCTTAACACATTAACTGTGGACCTTAATTAAAAATAATGTATCAATATGGGCTCATCAGTTGTAACAAATGTACCACACTGATGCAAGATATTAAAAATAGGGGAAACTAAGCAGGGGAGCAGGGAGATGAAGTGTTTCAGAACTTTCCATGCTTCTCAAATGTTCTATAAACCTAAAACTGCTCTAAAGAATAAAGTCTATTAATAAAAAAGCAAATGAAGAAAAAAATAAAACATTTTTACTTGAAAATGTTTAAATTAAATGTTTCTTCTCAGTTTGAATCATGTTTTTCCCAAAGTGTGTGTGTGTGTGTGTGTGTGTGTGTGTGTTGTAAACTTTAACCTAGAGACAAATTACGAGATAGTTTTTATTTTCAAACCAGCGAGAATGCAACAGGTATGTGGGGGATCATATTTATCTATATCTATATCGTCTATAACTATATCTATATCTATCATCTATCTCTATCTAATCTCTCTATCTTCGTGTTGTAGTTCAGCATATTACACATTTTAATGAGCAGAGGAATCATTGGGCATCTTGTTAAAATGTGGACACCAATTAAGCAGGTCTGCGTGGGATCTGAGATTCCATATTTCTAACCAGCTCCCAGGGATGCCACTGATGCTGGTCCACAAACATTTTAAGTAGCAAGTGTGTAGACAAAAGCAACTGAGTGTGTGGAGCCTGACTCAGGTAGGGAACATTATGTCATCATCTCAGCCAAGCCCTAGCACTGAATGTGTCTGTCTGTCTGCTGTGTGGAAAGACTGCAGGCTGTAACTTCAGTAAGATTTGTCTGTTTAAGTACTGAAGACTTTGCCCATAAGGACTGGTTTGCAAGCCCAGCTATTACTTTTTTTGGACTTTACCACAGTCAGTTAGGGCCACAGTAATGCTGAGTAACAAACCACTTAAAAGCTCAGAGGATTAAAATGAGCAGAATTTATTCTCGTGGGTCTACATGGTAATTTCCTGCTTGACTGATTTAGGTCAGCTCCACACGTGTCTCATCCTTCCTGGACCAGCAGCTCCCTAGGGCATGACCTTGTCATGGCCATGGCAGAAGCACAAGCATGAAAGCCCCACTGCGCAAGGACATTTCAAGCCTCTGCTCACATCATGTCCGATAACATCCCGCTGGCCAAAGCAAACCCCACGGACACAGCCACCTTCACAAGGGTGGGTAATTTTGCTCCACTTACGACTACATAATAATCCCACTACAGGTGTGATGGATTAAGACCTGTAATTTGACCTATCACAGTCTTTGCATCAACAGAGTAAGAGGTGAAATTCTACTTAGATAAGAGCCTCACCCACAGTAATACATGCCATTTCCTGAAGCCATATCAAATATAAAAAAATTTTTCACCACTGCCTCTGAACAGGTTTCCTGTTGCTGCTGTCACTGTCTTAGAACTCAAAGATATGTGGGCTGCAGACATATATGCGTACATATAGAATGATGCTGTAGTTGGAATGTGTGTTTCCTCCACATCTCATGTTGAAATCTGATATCCAGTGTTAGAGGTGGGGCCTAATGAGAGGTGGCTGAGTCATGGGGATGGATCTTCATGAAGAGAGGATAACCTCATAAAGAGATTAATGCCTTCCCTTTTCGGGGATGAGGCGAGTGAGTTATTGCTCTGTTAATTCCTGAGAAAGCTGGTTGTTACAAACAGCCTGGCACCTTCCCCCGCCTTGCTGCCCCCATGTGATCTCTGTACACACTGGTTCCCCTTTGCCTTCTGCCATGAATGGAAGGGGCCTGAGGCCTTCACCAGAAGCAGATGCTTCTTGTACAGCCTGCAGAACCATAAGCCAAATAAACCTCTTTTTTTTTTTTCATAAATTATCCAGCCTCAGATATTCCTTCATAGCAACACAAAACAGATGAAGATGAATGGTGGAACAACCAACCAACCAACCAAGTGCTGACAAGTGTGCAGAGTGTCTTAGGTTGAGCTGCTGTAACAAAATATTATAGACTAGGTGGCTTAGATGACAGAAATTTATTTCTTACAATTCTGGAGGCCAGGAAGTCCAAGATCACTGTGCCCGCACATTCAGTGTCTCCTGAAGGCCCGCTTCCTGGCTGGTAGATGGCCATCTTCTGGCTTAGAGCATGTTCAGGATGGGCAGGGGGGCTCTCTTCCTGTTATTCTCTCTTCTCTGTTCTTCTTCCTTCTCCTCCTCCTCCTTCTTCTTCTTCTTTCTTCTTCTCTCTCTCTTTTTTTTTGTAGAGATGAAGTTCCACTATGTTGCCCAGGCTGGTCTCAGACTCCTGGACACAAGTGATCCTCCCACCTTGGCCTCCCAAAATGCTGGTGTTATAGGTGTGAAGCACTGTGCCTGGCCTCCTCTTTTCTTATAAGCGCATTAATCCCATCATAGCCTACCCAATTTAATTGCCTCCTAAAGTCCCAGCCTCCTAATATCATGATGTTGGAGATTAGGATTTAATAAATATTTGAATTTTGGGAGGACACAAATATTCAGTCCCTGACACAGAGCAACTAGAATCCTCATGCATTTGCTTGTGGGAATACAAAATGGTACTTTGGAAAACTATTTTGGAGAGCTTCCCAAGTGGAGGCTTAGTCCAGAAGTCCTTTCCCAAAGCTTGAAAGGACTAGATAGTTACGCAGTTTACTTATTTATTTGAGTTGTTTTTAAAATTTTTAAATTTAAATTTTTAATTTTAAACACAGTAATTTAGCACAGGTCTCAAGTGTACAGTTGGGAGGTGGGTTAACAAGTGTGCACCCTGTGTAACTACTGCAGTCAAGTTACAGGACATTCCCATTATTCTAGAAAGTCCCTGAAAGTCCCCCAACCCTCAGTCCCAGGCAACCATGAATCTGCCTTCTGCCTTCTGTCATTATAGATTAGTTTGCTTCTTCTAGAACTTCATATAAATGGAAGCAAATGGTGCGTAGTCTTTTATGTCTTCCTGCTATATGCTGTTTGAGTCCATTTCTTTTCTGACATAATGGGGCCAGAGAAATGCCATCCCAAAGCAGATTTTGGTGATCCCTGGTTACCGCAGGCATTAGTGATGCCCCACCCATACCCTGCCCCCAACACAGTGGTGCCTACAGCCTGGCTCCCAGCTGGCTGCACTTGCCCCAGGGCTTTCTCTGGCCATTGACACCTGCCTTGTTCCCATCTCTGCATGCTGGAATTAATGTCCTGGGAGCAGTGGGTGATGGAGTGGTTGGGTAAGTCCCAGCTCCCCTGTCCCTCATGGGAGTGGGGTTAACTTGTCTTACATGAGTTTCCTAGAGTTTTCCTGCAAGATTAAACTCCAGTGGCCCAGGGTAACTTCTTCTTCTTCTTTTTTTTTTTTTGAGATGGAGTCTCTCTCTGTTGCCCAGGCTGGAGTGCAGTGGCGCGATCTCGGCTCACTGCAACCTCCGCCTCCCGGGTTTACGCCATTCTCCTGCCTCAGCCTCCTGAGTAGCTGGGACTACAGGCACCCACCATCATGCCCAGCTAATTTTTTTTTTTGTATTTTTAGTAGAGACAGGGTTTCACCGTGTTAGCCAGGATGGTCTCGATCTCCTGACCTCATGATCTGCCCGCCTTGGCCTCCCAAAGCCCAGGGTAACCTCTTGAGTACACACTCTCTATTGGCTGGTTTCCCTTCTCCATCTCACTTCTCCATTCCCCCAACTTCATCTCACAAATAAGCTACGTTGAATTCATATCTCAGGTTCTCTGTCTGGGGGCAGACAAACAAGATTCCAGGAAATGATATAAGTTTCAGACAAGAGGCTTCTGCCTGTTGGGTGTGTAGAATGGGGATCCTGACGTGCTACCTCATTGTCTTCTTCCGTAAGCAGTTATTATCAATCTCTTCTCATAGTTGGATTTTTAAACTTGTATGCATCTCTCCTGCCCATGTTCTGAGTTTCTGGGAGCAGGGATCACGTATCTGCCCTTCTGTGTATCCCATGCAGGCTCCAGCTCATTATGTTGGGCAGGATTGGTACTTACCAACCCTCAATTGAATCATCAATCCTGTGAGAATTTCTGGGACCCAGGCCAGGGCTCAGCATTGTTAAAAATGTGACTGGATTCAGCAGGGGCCAGGGAAGTGGGTGATGGTCCTACTGGAAACCAGATGGCCCACAGAACAAAGATTTTAAGCCTTCAGAGGAGTTCATAAAAGTTGATTTCCCATCTGTGTCGAGGCTCAGAAGGTATGATGTCTTCTCAATGTGGAGATCCTGGTTTATGCCTCTGGTCTTTGGGTCTTTGGTGGAGACACTTTCAGACCTTCCTCTGGGGACTCATGGTGACAGCCCCATGCTGCCAGGAAGCAGCCTTCCACCTGACGAGTGAAGAAGAAACCCCAGCTCCTGCTTGTTCATGCTTCTGCACACACTGCAGATGGCTGTGTGTCTCTCAAGGCAACTGGGGGCTGTGGGCCACGTGGCATTCAGCTCCTTAGTACTAAAATGTGTTATATTCAGGTGTGTGCATTGGTCAACTCTCAGCAAATGTACACTTAAGATTTGTGCATTTCTTTGTGTGTAAATTTTACATGAAAAACTAAAGAAATATTGTACTGTAGTAAATGCTTTGCATACTCAAGTGTTTGGGGGCTACTGATACCTGTAATTTACTTTGAAACATAAAAATAAGATAAAAATAAGATGGAGAGCTTCAAACAAGTGTAATATAGTGCAATGATAGAATATTGGTGAATATTTGAGTGTTGACTGTAGAAATCTTTCAACTTTGCAAAATATGCCTAAAAATTTTAAGAATAAGATGTTGGAAAAATTGTATTCAATTAAGAAACCATGGAGAGAGTGCACACTCATTACAAACAAAGCAGAATATATAAAGTAAAAGGTGAAAGTCCTTTCCTTCTCCTCTCACTGCATCTGATACCCAGGTGCAGGCACCTTGTCTGAGGCCCTCACAGCAAGGGTAAACTCGGTGACATAGATTTGTTCCCATTCAGGGGATGGGGGTGGGTGACACTTCTTAATCCCATTCCCCTATTCTGTTTGACCCATCTGCCAGCCCGACACCTGTGAGTGAATACACCTGCCCAGGTGCTGGGTTGGCAAGTGGGAGATGGATTTGCAAACTTTCAGAAAGAAAGCCCCCAGCCACATTTTGTTCCCAATGAGGAGGCTGGCAAAAAAGGGAAATGACCTTTGTTATTGAAATGTAATGACACCAAAGCTCTCAAAAATGATGGGGTTTCTCCTTGTTGCCTTCCGAGGTGCAATGGAAGAAGCTGTGGGTACCTGTGGTGGGCACTTGTCGCTGTGCAACACCCTTTTCTTTCCTGTTACCCCAACTCCAATTCTGTCCAAGGGACGGGGAGCCCTGCTCAGGGGTGTGAATCCTGATGGACATGTGATTCAGTCCTTGCCAGTGAGACCAGTGGAGGCCTTGGGACCTTTTCTTTCTGGTAAGCAATAGGTCCAAGGAGAGGTCTTTTTTGTCCCTTTGGCTTGGGCTGCTGTCTTCTGAGGATGTGATGGAAGGAGCCATGGCAGCCAGGCAGCCGTGAAGTGACAAACTGGGGACAAAAGGCAACACATTGAGGATGGTAGAATGCAAGAGTGGACACAGCACAGAGGTCTTGGCTGACCTCTCCAAGCCATAGTAGAAAAACCCAATTTTCAGACCTTGGAGGGCCTGTTATAACCCCAGTTGCTGGCATGATGGTTCACTTTATGTGTCAACTTGACTGGGCCATGGGATCCCCAGACCAGAGGTAAAACATTATTTCAGAGAGTGTCCATGGAAGCATTTCTAGAAGGAGGGGACAGCACTTGAATTGGTGGACTGAGTAAGGCAGATGGCCATCCCCAATGTGGGAGGCATCATCCCATCTATTGAGGGTCTTAATGGGACAAAAAGTGAGGGGAAGGTGGAACTCAGCCTCTCTGCCAGGCCTGAGACGTGGATCTTCTCCTGCCTTTGGACATCTGGGGTCCTGGTCCAGGACTTACACCAACCCCCGCCGCCCCCCAGTCCAGGCCTTCGGACCTGGAATGAATTACACCCCCTGTCTGTGTCCCTTGTTTGCATGTGGGACTTCTTGACCTCCAAAACCATGTGACCCAGTTCCTATAATAACTCCTTTCATCTCTCTCTCTATATATCATATTGGTTCTTTTTCTTTGGAGAACCCTGATTAATACAGCCGGGTCCCCTCCCCAGAGTTTTTGATTCAGCAGATCTGGCATGGGGCCTGAGAATGTGCATTTCTAATGAATCCCTAGGTGGAGTTGATGCCACTGGCCTGGGGACCCCATTTTGGGACCACTGAATTGAACCATTATCAGTTTTTATGGTAGTGGTTGTTACTTGAAGCTAAAAGCATCCTATTTAATAAAATGGTTTTGCAATTTTTTATTTTTAAATTTTAATTTAATTGTATTTCTTAGGGAACAGATCTCCATGCCTCTCACATTCCTTTAAAGCATTTGAAGAATTCAGAAACAAAAAGCTACAAATCTGCTGGGACCAGATCCTTGGGTCTGAATGGCAACCAAAGGGGAAAGAATCTCAACAGGGCTGAGGAAGATTGTGTCCAGTTGCAGGGTGCGTGTTTTCAAGATGCCAATGGGGTGGCAGTCAAGGTAGGAGAAGCAGCCTGCCACGGTGCAGGTAACAAGGCAGTAGTATCTGTTGAGAATTTAAATAATAAAACTGACTAGACAGTGTCTCTACTTTTATTATTTCTATTGGAGGACAATTCTAAAGAATGTCGTTGGGGAAGTGCTCCCTTGAGTCCTGGCATGTTTTGGATTTCTTATGTATGAGCTGTGGAACTGCATTCCCCTCGGACACACTGTGGCAGGAGAATGACAGCCCTATTGGGGACCTGCCTGAATAATTTAGATGGGACGGCGCTGTCTTTGAGGAAAATGAGATACGGGCAGTGGTGGGGCTCAGTTCTTTGTTGACTGCTTATAGTGAACTTGCTGGGGAATTCCTGCCCTCCTCATTTTAAAATCTCTGTGCTGATGTTGTCCATACCTGGTGACCTCATGGCAAGAACATGGTTTTGGAAGACACTGGGCTTTGTTTAACTGCTCAGCTTTGATAACAGCAGCTCATCCATCTTTGCAAATGTACTTTGAAGCCTTTTTCATTCTTCTGCAACATTCCCAGAAAGAACGAAGTTTCCAGCAACTCCATATAACAGAGCTTTGCTTACACATAAGAGCAGTTTGGTATAGGAAAGGATACAGGCTCCAACTTGATGAAGCTCCCTATGGCCAAATCTGGGACAATTTAGCAAGGAAATAAACAATGATAATAGTAGATTATGACCCACAGAATAAACAAATACCCACAAGTCCATGCTGAGATAAATAAATAATTGAACAAATAAAGAAATGGGAGAGAAGAGGGCAATTTTCCTTAGAGCAGAATTCCAGTTATTAAATCTCAAGGGAGTAAGAAGCATAGAAGATGACTGCTGGGCCTACCTCACACTGATTGCTGCAGGGATGGGCCATGGATGGATGCAACAAGAGTAGGCCAGAGGATGATGCAAAACAGGGCATTTGCAAGGTCTCAAGGCACCTCCCCTAAAGATACTAATCACAGAGGGAAAAACAGTAACTCTACAGTGCAGAAGCCTGAAGGAGCCGCTTTAACCAAGTGATCAAGGACAACATCGGCAGAAATGGGACATAACATCATGGACGCCTGCTATGGCACAGTGGGAAGAGCACAGGTCACCTCTGTGGCATCCTTGTCCCAAATGCATAACCTCCACCTAACCAGGAGAAAGCATCAGGCAGTCCTCAAAGGAGGGACATTTTTGGGAATAACTGGCCAGTATTCAAGTGTCAAGGTAACGATAGACAAAGATTGAAGAGCTGCCCCAGACTGCAAGGCACTAGGGAGACCTGCAACCAAATAGATATGGTCTCACATGGTCTGTAGATTAGTTAGTAGTCATGAACCAATGTGAATTTCTCAGATTAGATCACTGTACTGTGATTATATAAGATGTTAGTTTTGGGGAAAGCTGGGAGAAGGTTAAACAGGTACTATTTTTGCAAACTTTTTATAAGACTGAAATTATTTCAGAATAAAAAGTAAAGAAATAAACAGGTGGACTTTGGAGTCATTCTGCCTCTCCTCAAATCTGGCTACACTACTTACTAACTGTGTGACATTGGGCAAGTTACTTCATTTCTCCCCTCAGTTTCCTTATATGTAAAATGGGGATAAAAAGAATACCTATCTGGGAGGCCGAGGTAGGTGGATCACTTTAGCCCAGGAGTTTGAGACCAACCTGGGCAGCATGGTGAAACCCCATTTCTACAAAAAGTACAAAGATTAGCCAGGTGTGGTGGCACACGCCGTATTCCCAGCTACTTGGGAGACTGAGGTGGGAGGATCAAATGAGCCCAGGAGGCAGAGGCTGCTGTGAGCAGAGATCGCGCCACTGTACTCCAGCCTGGGTGACAGAGCAAGACCTTGTCTCAAAAAAAAAAAAAAAAAAGAAAAAATACCTATCATAGAGGGTTGTAATGAGAGTTAAATGTGTTAATACATGTGTAGTACTTAGAACTCTGCACCTTGGCCCAGAGCAAGGGCTATACTATTACGTGTAATTATCAGAGGAGACTGGCAGCATCTTCTGATCTTAGGGACATTTAATCTCTCTGTGTGTGTCTCACTGTGCTTCTGGAAAGTTTCTGATGCAGGCTCCTGGACTGATTCCTTCTCCAATCAATTACTCTGGCCTAAAAGCATTTCCCTTTCTACCAGCAGCCAGATAAAGCCAAATTCAGCACTAGGATCTGTAGTATTAACTTAAGTATTACCCACTTAATGGGACTTAAGTGTTACCTAGTTTTAGAGGAATAAGAATAACTTCTGTCTCACGTTGGGTTTCACTGAGGAGATGTCTGCATTGGAAAGACAGAGCTCATGTCACTAAAGAAGCTTCTGGGGCCAGTTTCCCTTAACCCCATTGCAGCCTGCAGACCTTTTGGGCTTGCAGGACCAACATCCCTGATTGGTTTGGGAGGGGCGTGTGTGTGTGGATCTGCCTCACAATGGCCTGTCTGAGCCCTTATCTGAGGTCACACGTTATCATTTGTTTGGCCAATAAGACTGTAGCACACACACCAGCTTCAGTCCCCACTTGGCCTTACCTTTGATGTCACAATCTGACCTGTGGGTATTAATCTGGTCACAGCTGCTCACAGACTAGATGGCAAGGTCCAGGGGACTAGCACAGGAAGATGTGGAAGAGAAGTGACCATCAACCCAAGATCAAAGCAGAGGATGGACCTCTGGTGGGCCAGTTCGAGGTTCTGGGTTCAGTTCCAGAACCTGCCATGCCACATCCTCTAGAGCTGTCAGAATTTGAGAGCTTCCCAGTGTTTCAGGACATTAGGCTTCACATCAGGGAAGTGGGAGCTCAATTGGTCAAGAAAGTCAATGCCGTCTTTCAGCTGGACATCACCAAAAATGGGAAGACCATTTTGCGGTGGACCATTGATCTGAAGAATGGTTCTGGGGACATGTATCCGGGACCTGCCAGGCTCCCAGCAGACACTGTCTTTACAATCCCGGAGTCTGTCTTTATGGAGCTGGTTTTGGGCAAAATGAACCCGCAGAAGGCTTTCCTTGCCGGAAAGTTCAAAGTGAGTGGCAAGGTTCTGCTTAGCTGGAAGCTGGAAAGGGTTTTCAAAGACTGGGCTAAATTTTAAGCATGCAAAAATACCAAGGAAGAACTTCTCTTCGATGATAATGTCGAGTGGAAATCATGCTTAATCTGAAGATTAAAGTAAAAAGTATCCAATATTTTTACTCAAATTCTTCCTATTCAAGTTTAATTGATTTTCCTGTTGATGGGTAAATTTTCAGGGAGGGTTCTGAAGCAGTAAAAAGCGTTGTAGTGCATCAATTAGAATCTTTGTCTTTTTCTCTTTTTTTAGCTCCATTTATGCCCTTTATGCTCCATTTATGCCAGGGTGAGAGCCACGTGTAAAGAAATGGGTGATTATGATCATTGGAATTAAATACTCCAATGATTGTGTTCTTGAGACATTTTTCCTTTTCTAAAAAAGTTTGATGTTTTGGGGAAAGAAGTGATAACTATCATTGTGCAGGTGTGCATTCTGCATGGTAACTTGATTCCATGAGGAAACTTTACTATGAGACTGTGGGGTGCTAAGGGAATGGGGCACCACAGGTCTGTGGGTGGAACCCAGGCAATAGAGGGGATGGTGCTGTTGGTGTATTATAATTTCTGATGGTTTCAATTCCAAGAAACTTGAAGGGCTTGGGAGGTGTTCTAGGCCAGTGGTTCTTAACTGGAGCATGCATCAGAATCACCGGAAAGGTTGGTTAAAGTCTGGATTGCTGGGCTCCATCTCAGAGCTTCTACTCAGGAAATCTGGGCTGGAGAGAATGCACATTTCTAACAAGTTCCCAGGGGATGCTGATGGCACCACCCTTAGAGAATTCCAGCTCTGCTTCACTTCATGCCAAAGCTCTCAGTATTGACTGTAACTATTCTATTCTAGGCCAATGAGATGGTGCCATTAATTAAAGGATCTCCCAGAGACAGACCCCACAGCCCTCTGTGAGCCATTTATAAAGTATCCATGCTGTCAGGAGCTTGTGCATTGAACATTTTACAAAATCAGAGGGCAGCCTGGGAGATTTCCCTTCCGGAAGCTCCCTTCACATGTTGTCTGGGAGGATAGGATGAAGTCTGTTGCAGCTGATGCAAACTCCTTGTGGGTGAGTGTGTGTGTGTTCTTGGTTCACATGTGGTTTGTGTGTACCTTTGACTTGTGGGCTAAATATACACAGTGTGGATACTCTGAAACCTAGAGGAAAGTTTCATCACAACTGCCATGCTCAAACACCTACACAGTGTGGACACTCTGAAACCTGGGTGGAAGTTTCATCACAACTGCCATGCTCAAATACACGCCTACCAAATAATCCCACCATTCTGTTCTTGGGTATTTTGTTAAGAGAAAAGAAAGCATATGTACAAGCATAAAATAAACACTCGCATGCATGTGAATGTTCATGGCAGCTGTGTTGGGAGTAGTCCTAAACTGGAAACAAGCCACATGTTCATCAACAGGTGAATGGGTGGACAAATTGTGCGGTGTCATACCATGGAATATTACTTAGCCATGAAAAGGAAGAAATGATTGGCATACACACAAATGACAATGTGGATAAATGGCAAAATAATTATGCTGAGTGAAAGAAGACAGAGAAGACTGAGCACATACTACATGATTCGATTTATATTAAATACTAAAAAATGTAAACGTAGTGACAGAAAAAAAAAGGCAGTGGTTGCCAAGAGACAGGAGCATGGGGAAATGAGGAAGGATGGGGGGATTATGACAAATGTCATGAGGACACTTGGGGGTAGTGGGTATATTCATTATCTTAATTGTGGTGATGTTTTCCCAAGTCAAAGCATCGCCTTGTGCAATGCATATAAACCCATGCAGTTTATTATGTGTCATATAAGCTAATCAGGTTGTTTTTAAGAACCTGCCACCCTCCCTTAGAAATAAGGCTTTTGTGTGGCTGTGTTCCTGAAGAGGAAGGATCAGCAACTCTCCCCTTCTCTCAGCAAGATGAGCCCTCTCACCTCATCTTGGTCTAGTGTTCAGCTCCTGACTATTTGGATGGCTCTGCAGAGGCCTTCCTCCATTTCATA
Organism: Homo sapiens; assembly: GCF_000001405.40. Taxonomy (NCBI): domain Eukaryota; kingdom Metazoa; phylum Chordata; class Mammalia; order Primates; family Hominidae; genus Homo; species Homo sapiens. The sequence continues at coordinate 18,816,275 of NC_000020.11, forward strand.
TTAGAGAAAGGCAGAGTGAGAACTTGTTGCTTACAAAATGTCATCCTCTCTGTGGGAAACGAAGAGATCATTTGTCCTGAGAGTGCTCTACTCCACAGTTAGACATTGCTAAGGGGATGGGCATGGACTTAGTGCACATCCTGGCTTCTTCTCTCATGTGCGTCATTATAGAGGTGATCTGCATCTTGTCCCTGTCAGTGCCCCCAGCCTGTGAATGTCTCAGAGGCTTCCAATGGATTCTGAGCTCTGTTGTGAGCACTCAGCTCCACTGGCCCAGGCCACTCCCATTCAACCATGTTTGAGTGTCAGGCATGGGGCCGGCAGGTGTTTGGGGTGCCATTGTGTCACATTCCTTTTTTCTTTTTTCTTTTTTTTTTTTGCGACGAAGTCTCACTCTTGTCCCCCAGGCTGGAGTGCAATGGAACGATATCCGCTCACTGTAACCTCCGCCTCCCGGGTTCAAGCGATTCTCCTGCCTCAGCCTCCCGAGTAGCTGGATCACAGGCCCCTGCCACCATGCCCAGCTAATTTTTGTATTTTTAGTAGAGACGGGGTTTCACCATGTTGGCCAGGCTGGTCTTGGACTCCTGACCTCAGCTGATCTGCCCACCTCAGCCTCCCAAAGTGCTGGGATTACAGGTGTGAGCCATTGTGCCCAGCTGTGCCACATTCCTTTTTAAGGGAAATGGCTCACCTAAGCCCCTGCTACCTGGGAGTCCTGCTCATACCATGTGTTAATCATTTGGCCCTGAGATGGGGGTTGCTTAGAGATGGGAGAGTGGGCAGAGGGGTTATGCAGGCTCATGCCTGGGCTGGCATCTGACCTATGACCCATTCTGACTTGGGACAAAAAAAGTGACCTGAGCTAACTCGATTCCTTTCTCAAGAATTTGGAACTGGGAAAGTGAGAGCCTGAGCTACAATCAAGCAGCGAGAATGGAATGGGAGAGGCTGGGATGCAGGGGGTGAGGAAGGGGCTGTGAGGAAGGGCAGCCATGGGGCAGGGGCTGGAGAGATGGAGGGGCAGGAGCCTGGAGTAGGGAGAGAAAGGTGGTCAACAAGCGAGGAGTGGGAAGCCCAGGCCTCGGAAACATGACCGCAAACCCCTTTCAATCTCAAGAAAACGTTCAATGCTGAATGCCACGTGAAGCTGCTGGAAGGACTCAGATTCTGGAATCAGAAGCGGAATTTTGAGCCCAGCATCACCATTTTACACCTGCCTGACCACAGGTGGGTACTGAACCGCCTCTTGCCCAAGCTTCCTCATCTGTAAACGGGACCAGGAGCCCTCGTGATGGTGGATTGCTGGGGAGCCCTCATTCGGGCGGCCCAACAGATCCCCTAGCTGGAAGTGGGCTTCCTGTGCATGTGAGTCCCTTTCTCCGCTGGGTAAGAGGAAGGGCAGGCACTTAGGCTGGCTCCCCACTGCCTCTAGGGACTTTCCTGCTTTTTCTCCTATACTCGGCTGGTGCCCTAGAAGATCACATGTGGCTCAAAACACACATCTGTGTTTTGTTTGGTCTATACAAGGTGGGCCAACACAGTGTTAGTAAAGTTTGAATTAGGACATTGTATATAAAAAATTGGATTTCTGTATTCTCTTTAAAAATTCGGTCATTTGGATACACTGAGCCTGTATTCCTGCCAGGCAACGGCTGCGGGTGTGGAGCGGGTGGGCTATCCAGACAGACCGAGGCCCACTCCTCCCAGCTTGGCCTCCCTGGCTCTGAAGGTGAGTGTTGGTGGCTGCAGTTTCCTTGGGCTGGGCCAGCCTTGCAGGGCCCCTGTGGGTATTTGTGCTGATGACCGTGGCTCCCTACCATACATGGTCTTACTCTTCGCCTGTCAGTGTTCTATGGCTGTGTAACAGATTACCACACATTAAGTGGCTTAAAACAACACCCATTCATTAACTCACAGCTTCTGGAAGCCAGAAGTCCAGGCAGGCTGAGCTGCCGTCTCAGCTCCCATGGCTGATCTTAAGGTGTTGGCCACTCTGGGCTCTTCTCTGGGGGCTTGAGGGGAGAATCTTTTCCAAGCTCATTCAGGTTGTGGCAGAATTCACCTTCTTGTGGTGATAGGACTGTTTCCTATCAGCTGGGAATGCTCTCAGCAACTTGAGGCTGGCCAGATGGCTCCTCCATCTGCAAAGCCAGCAATGGTGTGTCGAGCCCTTCTCAGGCTTTGAATCTCTCTGAATTCTTCTGTCTTCATCTTCTGCCTCTTCATGAAAGGACTCACGTGATTATACCGGGCCACTCAGATAATTCATAGTAAGCTCTCTATCTTAATGTGAATTTATTAGTAATCTTAATTATGTCTGCAAAATTCCTTCTGCCATGTGAGGTAATGCTGTGGAGTGAATGTGTCACCCCAGATTCATATGTCAAAACCTTGAACCCCAATGTGATGGTATTTGGAGGTGGCGCCTTTGGGAAGTAATTTGGGTTAGATGAGGTCACAAGAGTGGTTCCCTCATGATAAGATTAGTGTCTGTATTAGTCTGTTATCACATTGCTATATGAAAAATCTGAGGCTAGGTAATTTATAAAGAAAGAGGTTTAATTGGCTCATGGTTCTTCAGGCTGTATAGGAAGCATGATGCTGGCATCTGCTTGGCTTCTGACGAGGTCTCAGGAAACTTACAATCATGGCAGAAGGTAAAGGGGGAGTAGCACTTCACATGGCCAAAGAAGGAGCAAGGATTGGGCAGGGGAGGTTCTACACACTTTAAAACAACCAGATCTTGTGAAAGCTCCATCAAAAGAACAGCACCAAGCTGATGGTGCTAAGCCATTCGTGAAGGAGCCACTCCCATGATCCAATCACCTCCCACCTGGCCCCACCTCCAACACTGGGGATTCCAGTTTGACATGAGATTTGGTGAGAACACAGAACCAAACCATATCAGTGTTTTTATAAGAGGAAGAGACCAGAGCGCTCGTTCGTTCTCTCTCTTTCTCTCTTTCTTTCTTTCTTTCCTTCTTTCTTTTCTTTCCTTCTTTCTCTTTCTTTCTTTCTTTCTGTCTTTCTTTCTCTCTTTCTTTTCTTTCTTTCTCTCTCTCTATCTCTCTCTCCCTCTCTCTCTCTCTCCATTCCCCCCTCTCTCTTTCTTATTCTTTCTGCCAATGAGGATGTAGCAAGTAGGTGACCATCTGTACACCAGGAAGAGGGCCTTCACCAGACTGGCACCCTGATCTTGGACTTACCAGCTTCCAATGATAAGAAATAAAAGTCTGTTGTTTAAGCCGCCTGTCTATGATACTTTGTGATAGAGCCCACACAAAGACAAATAATGTATTCATGGGTGTGATATCTCATCCTAGCCACAGTCCTGAAGACTGAGGTGTAGGATCTTCTTGGAGGCCATAATCCTACCAACTCCCCCGCCTCCACCATCTACATTCCATGCATGTTCTCAAGGTCATCCTCCAGGAAACTGCCCTGATTGAGCTGTTGTCTTTCTCTCCTACAATTTGTATACCTCTCCTTTTTCCAGCTCTGTGTTCTGCCTTTGCATGGGTGTGGTCCTATGTGGGCCACACAAATGCCCTGGCTTATCTGGGACATTCCCAGTTTGCCCCCAGAGATCCCACCTCTTTTGTCTCTGAACAGGGTTAGATGTGCACTGTGCCCTAGGAAGGATGGAGCAAATGGCTCACGGCCCCTGTGGGAGTCTCAGTGAGGTGCACCTGGCTGCATGGAGACCAGACTGAGATTCTGGATCCTAGGGCAACTCTTAGGGACCTCACGATTTTGCAGGTGATTTTTTCCATTCTCCAAACAAGAAACAGGGAAGTAGGACTGTCTCAGCTCCCATGGGTGGATCTGTTCACATGTGTTTTGGCACAAGTTCCAGGACAGCACCACCAAAGAGGGCAAGGTTTTTATTCTGGAGGTTTTAAGTTAGCGAAGATCTTGGATTTTTAGCTGTAAATTGCCAGTTTCTTCTGTTCACTGACTGACTGAGCAATTAATCTATTTGCCTAAAAAATATTTTTGAGCACTCATGATGTCTTAGGAGTTAATTACTTTTGGCAGGGCTGATAGTAAGCTGGGATATATGAGGCCAGAATTGGTTCCAATTGGTCAAACACCATTCTGGTTTTCAGTGACCCGTTCTGATGGGTTTTTTTCCCTTTGCCATATGGTTATGAAACATTCTGGAAATCACTCTTGGTTTGAGGAGCTGGTGGCAAGCAAGCTGAGGTTTCTTTTCTCCAGGAGCTTGTATTTCCAGATGGGAGTTGTGGGTGGGTTGTGGGGAGACAAGCAATAGACAGCAAACAAATAACCAGAGAAGACACTTGAGAAGGGAAGGGAATGTGGCTAAGGGGGCCTGGGTGGCCAGGGAAGGCCTCTCTGAGAAGGGGCTTCCTGAACCTCACACTGTAGTGGCAGGCCCTGGGGCAAAGATGCAACTGCCAGCTGTGGATTTGTGTGGTGATTCCAGGAAATATCCCTTGGGGAGTGGGGCAGTGGGACAGGGAGGGAAGGAAGGTGATACAGGGCATATTATTGAGCAGGTCATTGTTGAGGGGCTCAACCCCACAGAACAGTTCAGGGAGACAGGGTAGAACACCCCTCAGTGTTGTCCAGCCCAAGGAAAGAGGGAGTTACAGAATTTTTAAACTAATTCCCATCAGTCTTTGGTTGAGGGCTTGTGATGGTAAATACTGAGTGTCAACTTGATTGGATTGAGGGATGCAAAGTATTAATCCTGAGTGTGTCTGTGTGGGTGTTGCTACAAGAGATTAACATTTGAGTCAGTGGGCTGGGGAAGGCAGATCCACTCTTCATCTGGTGAGCATAATCTAATCAGCTTCCAGCGAATATAAAGCAGACAGAAAAATGTGAAAAGGAGGGACTGGCCTAGCCTCCCAGTCTACATCTTTTTCCCGTGTTGGATGCTTCCTGCCCTCGAACATCAGACTCCAAGTTCTTCAGTTTTGGGACTGGGACTGGCTATCCTTGCTTTGCAGCTTGCAGACAGCCTATTGTGGTACCTTGTAATCATGTAAGTTAATACTTAGTAATCTTCTAGATATATATATATATATATATATATATATATATATATATATCCTATTAGTTCTGTCCCTCTAAGAGAACCCTGACTAATACAGGGCTGCTCCTGGGACAGGGGTTTTTGATTCCCTGGGTCTGGGCATTTGAGAGAAAGCCCTCCAGCAGTTGGAAGTCAGTTGCAGCAGACTCTGATGATGAGGTCCAGAGAAGGATCAGAGCAAGTGCTGAGTCCTGGCAATCTCCAGCAGCGCTTGCATTTGAAGGGGCACCAGGACACAGCAGTTAGAACTCGAAATCTGGAAGCAGACTGCCTGGGGCTGGATCTTGCCTCATTGGGCAAGTTGCTTTTATTTACTTTATTGTTTTATTTATTTTTATTTTATTTTGAGATAGAGTCTTGCTCTGTCACCCAGGCTGGAGTGCAGTGGCACAATCTCAACTCACTGCCACCTCTGCCTCCCGGGTTCAAGTGATTCTCCTGCCTCAGGCTTCTAAAGGACTACAGGTGTGCACCACCACACCCAGATAATTTTTGTATTTTTAGTAGAGACTGGTGTTACCATGTTGGCCAGGGTGGTCCCGAACTCCTGACCTCAGGTGATCCACCTGCCTCACCTCCCAAAGTGCTGGGATTACAGGCGTGAGCCACTGCACCCAGCCTATTTACTTATTTTTTAATGCATTTTTAAAATTGAAGAATAACATACATAGGAAGAAGTCTACACATTCTAAGTGTGCAGCTAACAAACTTCCCCAAATGGAAAACACCCGTGTAACCAACACAACATGTGGCTCAAGAAATAAGGCATGACTGGCGCCCCAGTAATCCCCACTCACACCCCCTTCTAGTTACTGTTGCCTCCAGGATAACCACTATTTTGACTCTAACGCCATAGACTTTAGTTTTGCCTACTTTTGTGCTTTATATAAATGGGACCATGCAGTGCACACTCCGCTGTGTCTGGCGCCTTCCATTCAGAATTCTGTGTCTGAGATCCATCCACACTGTTGTGCACAGTTACTGCTCGTTTGTTTTATTGCTGAGTGGTGTTCCATTGTATTTGATTGTTTCCAGTTTAGGGTGATTTTAAATAGCGTTGCTGTGAGCCCTCTTGTATACCTATGGGAACAGAAGTCTCATTTTGCCACTTAATATTAGTTAGTGTCTTATCCCAGTTTGCAGTGGCAGCTACAGTGTGGTGTCTTGCACACAGCTTGTGCTTTATAAATGTTTGTGGCATGAATTGAGAGGCAGGGCAAGTCCAGAGGTAGAGAAACAGGCCTTGCTGGGATTTGGTGTCTGGTTCACTGGGCCTCTGACCTCCTCCATGATCCTAGACTTTGGGCCCCACTTGCTGGGTTTCAGAGGGAAACTGACAGCCACAGGGCAGAGGAGACAAAAAGGAAGTCTCCCAGGTGTGCCATTAACATGCGCAGTGCTTAACCATGTTGGGAACTACCCCCAGATGACAGCTGAGAATCCTCACTGACTTTTCTTTGAAGGAAAAAAAATTCTTCCAGATCTGTAACTAGGCTAATCACAAGAAACATCTGTGACCTCCTAAAAATATCTGCTTGGTACCATTTTGTAGAGCATAATATTTATATAGCCCAGCAGTGTAATTAAATTGATGTTTAGTTAACTCTTGGAAACAGCTGAAGGCTCCCAAAGCCCAGGATGAGATCTGCAGGCGGCCCTGGAATGGGCTTGAAAGGGGCCCTGGGAGGTGTTCCTGCAGGCTCTTGGTGGGGGGTCCTGGAGTGGCCACAGAGATTGGGTGGGCCTGAGGAACTAAGGAACATGCTGTGTTGAGGGACTGCGTGGCTCACTCAGGGGCAGCTGGATTATAGTTGTTTCTATATTTCTGTCCAGCAGCCTCTGGAACATCATTTCCTGCTGAGGAAAGGTTTTCTCTTAAAGGACTAATCAGAAAGTGCTCTGTCTCAAAGCGCCTTTGCTGTTGTTTTGTAGCCTGTGGAGATGAAGTGGGGTAATGGTGGGTTTTTCTGGAGGGTTTTCATGCTTGTTTCTGGAGAACTGCTCGTATTGGTGGGGATCTCAGCCGGCAGAGAGTGGAGCCCGTGCTTTCTCTTACTCCTCATCAATAAAGAAAAGAGCAAAGTTGAAGCGAGTTTTTTCTTTTTTGGAAAAAGAAAAAATTCAACTTTTATTTTAGAGTCAGATGTGCAGGTTTGTTACCTGGGCATATTGCGTGATGCTGAGGCTTGTGGACGACTGATCCTGTCCCCAGGTACTAAGCATAGTTTTTAGGCAAAGGGGCTCCATAGCTTTTCAGCTGGGCAAGTTTCTCACTGGAGACCCTGAGGCCTGCAAAGCAGGACTGGAGCCTACTGCGGGCAGGGCCTGGTGTGGGGTCTCCTCTGAAGCCTTGAGATGCCATAAAAACATCAGGCCTTTACAGGGGTGCCTCCAGAGTGCGGTTAGGGGTGGGATTCAGAAGGGCCTCCGGGGAGCTTGAGAAGTCTGGAGTTGGGAAGGCAGTCCAGGGACAGTACCTCCCGTTTTGGCCATCCCCTTTTTTTGGAATTCTGCTCTTTGCATGAGGAAAAGGGAAAACCCATTGATGTTTTGAGCCCGTAAGCATTCCTTTATTCATTCATTCTGTGATAATTACCAAGCAACTACTACCTAATATACCTTCTCGGCCCTGTGCTGAGAGTACGGGATGCAAGGCTGAGCAAAATGGACACCTCCTGATATGGTTTGGCTGTGTCCCCACCCAAATCTCATCTTGAATTGTAGTTCCCATAATCCCCACGTGTGGTGGGAGGGACCTCGTGAGAGGTAACTGAATCAAGAGGATGGGTTCGCCCATGCTGTCCTCATGATAGTGAGTAAGTTCTCATGAGATTTGATGGTTTTATAAGGGACTTTCTTCTTCACTTGGCTCTCATTCTTCTCCTTCGTGATGCCATGTGAAGAAGGACGTGTTTACTGTCCCTTCTGCCATTGTTTTGTTTCCTGAGGCCTTGCCAGCCCTGTGAAACTGTGAGTCAATTAAACCTCTTTCCTTTTTAAATGACTCAGTCCCAGGCAGTTCTTTCTAGCAGTGTAAGAATGGAGTAATACACCTCCGATCCTCAGGGAACTCCCAGTGTGGTGCCTGGCTACACACACAGTGAGGGCTCAGGAGGGAAAGCTGAGGGGCTCTTCATAGACTTGGTAGGGGCTTAGGACAGACTTCCTGAGGAACAAGATCAGAGGAATGAGTGAGAGGTCCCTGAGACAGGGCAGAGATGAGACCGTTCCAGGCGAGGAAACAGCATGTGTAAATGCCCTGTGGCTCACAGAGCACGATGAGTTCCAGGAACAGAACAAGACCAGTGAAGATGGAGAAAGGGGGTCAGTGGCAGAAGGTTGGAGCCTGGGGCCCAGCTTTGTAGACTGAAGCCAGAACTCTGGTGGTCATCCTTACATGACCTGAGACCTGGAACCACCTGCTACGGTGTGGACTCCATGCTGGCCTTATTTTATTCTGGAAAAGAAAGTTGGGGTGGGCAATGGCACCCTTAAGGCTGGAGTTGCCAGAAAGATTTAGGTTTTCTCCCCATCTTGAAATGTGTAACCCCAGACTCCTCCAAGCCCTGATGGTGACCATCAAGATGGAGGTGGCTCTATGACATCAATGAAGGGACAGTGAACAAGGACCTAAACCCAAACCCAGCTCCATGAAATTGAGGGCTTCATCTCAGTGTCTTTCCAAGCCACAGCCTAATAGGTCCTTAAACAGACTCAAAGGGAGAAACGGCCCAGGGAAGAAGGAAAGCCACCACTTGCATTTCCCAGTGGCGCCGCCTTTTATTCCAAGTCTAAAGTTATCCCAAGGCCACACATATGTGGACAGGGGATGGTGTGCTTGGGTGGGCTGGTGGTGTGGCGCCATGGGAAGTGGTTTGGAGGATGAGAGAACTTGGTGCCCAGATCCACAATGCCATCCTTACCTCTCTAATGGGCTCTTGTGGGACCCCTCCACAACGTAGGGATGACTCCAGATGGTCTCTGTTTCCCTTGGATATTTATAATCCTAAAAACAGATCAGTATTTAAAAGTTAATGAAGAAAAGGAAAGTTAGCTCAGCGATAACAATAAAAGGTGGTGTTTTGGGCACATTTGTCTATGTTCCTGGCATTGCATTCAGGGCTTAACATGTATCATCTTATTTCTTGTCACCACTACTTCTGAAATTAGCTCCATTTCCACTGGGAGGGTGAAAACCTGCTGAGGTTTTGGCTTTAGAAAGGTGGTGGTGCTTCCCCCTACTTCCAATCCATGTAACTAAAAATCTAAAAAATAAAACTATGCTAAACCATAAATCAAGTGCAAGATAGATTAACCAAGTTCTGGGTGTTTCTCCACAATGACTAGTTTGATGTGTATTTTGAAACATTATTGTACATAATTGTGGTTCTTTTTATGTAAATTTGAACTATATGATTCTGAGTTTAATATAAAATAAAAATAAAGTCTCACTTTACAACCCAAATATGAAATAGAATACCAAGAGATTAAAGAGAGTTGGGAATCTCATAATTTCAAGGGCCTTAAGATAGACTGGTTTGTGAGCTTTGTTGAAACTTGTCCAAGATGGGGCTGCTCTCAGCTGTTAAGAGGGAAACCCATCATGCTTTGTGTTGTTACTATGGAAAGGTTGGTCTGGACTTCAGTGAGCTGGGATTTACATGAGGTCTTCAGGAAAGTATCTCTCTAATAAATAAAACTGCCATATAGCAAATTATGTTGGAAAAAAAATCCCTCAGTGCCTTTGAATTGTGTGTGGCCACAGTAGGTACTTTCTCTGCCTACTGGGTCACTTAGGGGAAGAGAAGTTAAGTGACTTGCATAACAACACAAGGTCATGGTGGAGCTGAGGTTTGGAAATGGGTCTGCTTGGTTCCAGGTGTCTTGTTGAGAGAGATCTAGTGTTCCTGACCTCCTCTTTAAATTACTAAAAAAAAAGAAAAAAAAAAATCAAAGAGCTAGACAGGTCTTTGAAACTCATTTAATCCAGGGCATGCGTTTTAGAGATGAATGAACTCAAATCCACAGAAGAAAAACTGAATGACGCAAAACCATGGCTACTGTGCTTTGGTTGGCTTCACCAGTTTTCCAGGGAAGCTCTTGAAAGAGGCCTGAGCTCTACTTCAAGCTGGTTCTTAGCCTCGCTGTGTGGTCACAAGGAGGCTACTTGCCCTCTCTTGGTTCAAGGCCCTCCTCTCAGGGAATCAGGTGGGTTGGATTACGTGTACTCACATTCCTTCAAGCTTGAAAGGTCTCTATCTCTGATTCCAGCCTCTTCTCATTGATTGAGTTACTTCCCATTGTCTCTTGGGGATAAAACTGGGGTGGTGGTAAGGGGAGGCCCCATAAGAAATGGGGTGGCATAAATGAACCAAGAATGTAGAGGCAATAATTTTTCCAAGGAAAATTTATTTAGTAAAGAGAAAATAAAATTTCTTTCCTTTTTTATTTTAAAGAAATAGCCAGTATTGGAGTTCAAGATGACTGACCAGTGTACAATGAATTTCCATTTTTCTTTATTACAAAGAATCACTCAGAGATGCTCTCCTATTTTCATACCCACACAACACATAAAGCTCAACACACACTTGCATACACATGCACATCAAACATGCCCTGTCAATCAAGCATCACAATGAGCTGAATTAATGAGTTGTTCAAGGCAGACAGCTCTGGGCAGGACTTGGTTATGGCTTTGGTGGGAGTCTCTTTGGAGAAGTCCATTTGGTGGGGTGCATAGGCACAGAACCTTGAAAAACTTTCCGAGATGTCACTGACCAGCTTGGCTGGTATCTAAAATTGTCTCCTGTTTATATTTTCTTCATCTTGAACAACTCTGTGACATATGATTAGTTATAAGGTTTCTCATATCTCCCAATATTTTCTCTGAAGTTGGATTCCAATGTCTTTTTTGAGTGGCAGTGTCCAAACTACTTAGAGCCACGGCAACACTGAGTCACAAGCTATCTCAAAACTCTGCAATAAGTAGTGCTAAGGCACAGCACTGAATTATACTCATGGACCTGCGGTCTGACTGAGGATCTGCTAATTCAGGCTGGCTGGGCCCTGCCCCTCCAGTCTCTCATCTCCTTTCCCTCCCTGCTATGGTTTGAATGTGTCCCTCAAATTTCATGTGTTGGATACTCAGTCCCCAATGTGGCAGTATTGAAAGGTGGGGCCTTTAAGAGGTGATTGGGTCATGAAGGCTCTTCTCTTTACAAATAGATTAACTCATTCATGGGTTAATGAATTAATGAATTGATGGGTTATTGTAGAAGTGGAACTGGTGGCTTTATAAGCAGAGGAAGAGAGGCCTGAGCTAGCATGCTCAGCTCCCTCGCCACGTAATGTCCTGTACGGTCTCAAGACTCTTCAGAGAGTCCCCACTGGCAAGAAGGATTTCACCAGATGTGACCCCTGAACCTTGGACTTCTCAGCCTCCAGAACTGTAAGACATAAATTTCACTTCTTATAAATTACCCTGTTTCAGATATTCTGTTATAAGCAACAGAAAATGAACTGAGACACTCCCCTTTAGACCAGTGGCATGGTCCGGGCACATTTTCCCCATGATGATGGCAGAGGGGAAACGCATCATTGGGCTAACATCCCACAGGCCAGAGCAAGTGATATGGCCAAACTCAGAAGCAGGAAGTACGGCATTAAAATGCACATCAGAAGTGAAGGAAGAGAGTGGAAATGTGAAGACAGTCATCGTGGTCAATATCCACTGTGACAAACTTATCAGCTGTGGTGGTTTTAAACACTTGCAAATTCTTTGTTACTCCTCCCATCAAGAGGTGGGATCCAGGTCCCCTCCCTCTGAGCTGGGGTGGGCCATTGTGGCTGCCTCGATGAACACAACGTGGCAGAGGTGATACTGCATGACTTTCTAGGCTTCTGCTGGTTTCTTGCAGACTTCTGCCCCTTGTGAGAAGTTCTGACACCCCAAGGTCCCCATGTGGGGAGACCAGACAGAGATGCTCAGGGATGCCCGGATTCCCAGTGAGGAATCTCTGGAGAGGGCCGCAGACACTGCATGTCTCTGCAAACACATGGGAGTCCCTGAGCAAGAACTGCCCAGTGGAGCCCAGTTGACCCCCAGATCCATGAGCAAATCATTGTTCCGGTTTTATGCCACTGTTTTGGGGTGGCTCATTATGCAGTATTAGATAACTGGAAAATCAAGGCTACAGTTTCTAGCAAGGAATGGTGCATAGGGGTGAACTGCAGCTCCCCCACTTGCCACCCGGTTGTGACCTTGGATAAGTGCTCTGATGTCCCTGCCCAGCTTTTTCATCTATAAAAATGGGGATCATGTTCCCTGCCTCCTATGATTGCTGCCAGATTAAACACCTAGCACAGGGCCTGGATGGTGGCGGGTACTCAGTCAATATTGATGGAGTAAATAACTGCTTACTGCTCAACGGGGCTCATAGGGTGAATTCCGGCTGGGTAGAGCTCGGAGGCCAAAAAATGGGCAGATGGGATGACTGAAACAGTGCTGTGGTTCAGCCTAGGCTACAAATTATGGCTGTTAGAGACTGTGTGTGTGTGTGTGTTTGTGTGTGTGTGTGCATGCTTTCAAATCTTCCTTTAATAAGGAAGTGAGGAAGTGGAGACCTTTTTTTTTGCCCTGTTGCCCAGGCTGGAGTGCAATGGCGCGATCTTGGCTCACTGCCACCTCCGCCTCCCAGGTTCAAGCAATTCTCCTGCCTCAGCCTCCCGAGTTGGGATTACAGGCACGCGCCACCACGCCAGGCTAATTTTTGTATTTTTAGTAGAGACAGGGTTTCGCCATATTGGCCAGGCTGGTCTCGAGCTCCTGGCCTCAGGTGATCTGCCTGCTTTGGCCTCCCAAAGTGCTAGGATTACAGGCATGAGCCACCGCGCCTAGCCCCCTTTGTAGTCTTGATTGATGTGTGTGAAACCCATTTCCTGGAGCTCTCAGGGGAACACTTTTTTTGTGTGCAGATCCCTATTTCATGAAGTTGCAGGGACATAGAATATATAATTTGTTTGGGGCATTGCTTTGAGCAGGCTGATAAAAGTGGAAGCTAAAAAATTAATGTAGTCTCCTCCCTCAGATCCTGTAGCCAGCCTGTTTGGGTTTCTTCCCCATCTCTGCAACCTGAAGGGAAGGATCTTCCTTTTTTTGCCCCATACGATCCACAGGAAGGATCTTCCTTTTAACAAACTTCTTCTTGACAAATAACACACATAATGCAGAAGGTGCATGCATCCTGTGTTCATCTTGATGAAGTTTCATAAACTACAGGCACCCGTATTTTCATAAACCAACTTCCAGATCCAGAAACAGAATCCCTTCCAGCACCCCAGATGTCCCTTCTCCTCTTTCTTGTCCCTACTTAGTCCTCCAACCCAGGGAAACCACAATTCTGACTTAAAAATAACATTGTTTAGTTTCCCCAGTTTTGCTGTCCCATAAACAAAATCATGCACTCTGATTTTGTGTCTGGATTCCTCGGCTCCACACTGTCTCTGTAACACTCACGCATTTGTTGCACATCTTTTGGCTCATTCATCCTCTTAGTTGTATCACATGTTATTTTATGACTATACCACAATTTATTTATCTGTTCTACTGTTGATGGGTAGTTTCCAGATTTGTGTCCCATCTACCTGTCTCTCCAGCATGAAACTTATCTAACTTACCTCTCCAGCATGTGGCTTAAATACCTGGAACATTTGCTTGGACCATGAAGGAAGGAAGGCAGGTTCTTTATAAATTCAAATCCATCCTGTCCGGTTGCCCACACTGTGCTGAGTGTCCTCACTGGCTGCTCCAGCCTCTCCCACCCAAATGGCCAGACTTCAAGGAGTGGGGGGTGAGAACCCTCTCCCTTGTCTGTTCCAACGGCCAGTGCCTGAAATCTCACTTCGGGAGGGCCCTTCCTTTCCCACCGTTAAAATACAACAACCCGGCCAGGCACCGTGGCTCACGCCTGTAATCCCAGCACTTTGGGAGGCTGAGGCGGGCGGATCACGAGGTCAGGAGATCGAGACCATCCTGGCTAACAAGGTGAAACCCCGTCTCTACTAAAAACACAAAAAATTAGCCAGGCGTGGTGGCGGGCGCCTGTAGTCCCAGCTACTCGGGAGGCTGAGGCAGGAGAATGGCGTGAACCCGGGAGGCGGAGCTTGCAGTGAGCCGAGATAGCGCCACTGCAGTCCGGCCTGGGCGAAAGAGCGAGACTCCGTCTCAAAAAGAAAAAAAGAAAAAAAGGAAATACAACACTCACTCCACCCAGAAGACATGTTCTCCAAAGTGAGCCTTCTATGTCACTTGTCCCGAAAGAAAAGAAAAGAACAAGACTTCCTGATTGATAACTGATCTGGGCCAGGAATGCAGCAGCACTTGATGTCTGAGGGAAGCGGTTTTTCATTGAAGAGGGGAGGAAGACGAACGTGCCCCAAAGCAAGGTGGGGACTTTGACTACAAACTCAGTGGGGCTCCGCTTTCTGCCTGTCGCTGGCTCGTTTTATCGGGCACTGCGATTGAAGCAGGAGATTAGATTTGGGACCTTTAACTCAACCTAATCCCAAATGCACCTTTATTTTATGTCTCACTGAGGAAGAACTAACATTGCAATGGAAAACTATGGCATCCTGCTTTCTTTAGAATTTTATTTTCAACTTATTTGAATGGGCTTTATATTTAATTAGGTAAAAATTTTTATAATATAGTACTTGGGTGAATATAAAAAGAAAAATATAAGCAAAATAAAATTGGTTAATATATTCTAAATTTCTTAACATTGACCTGATTTTTCTGATTCACTTTTGACTCCCAAATTGTTGTTGCCTGTGGTCTCTCCACTCCTCTGGCAATGTCATCCTGAGTGCCATGAAGAGCCTTGGTAATACAGTAATTCTGTTCTTTAATTTTATCTTTAACTAACAAAGAATGATTGCATATATTTATGGGGTATAATGTGATGTTTTGGTATGTGTGTACATTGTAGAATGATAAAATCAAGTAAATTAACATATCTATCACCTCATGTACTTATCAATTTTTATGATAAGAATATTTAAAATCCAATCTTTAAGCAATTTTGAAATATACAATGCTATGATTAATTATACTCATCATGCTGTACAACAGATCACTAAAGTTTTGACCCTCTGCCTGGCTGAATATTGTACTTTTTAATCAAAATCTCTCTTTTCTCCATCCACCCCCATCGCTGAGCCTTTGATAAACACCATCCTACTCTCTCCTTCTATGAGTTTGCCTTTTGTCATTCATGCACGAACTAAAAGCATTGGCCCTGGGTTCTGAAGCTGGTTTTGCAGCCTGCTTCTGATTCCTGCTTTGAAGAGGGCTCCTGAAGGCATATTTTCCCTTCTCACTCCCAGACCAATTAGGAGAGGCTCCAGGATTTCCATGCACATGGCAGATACCACTCTGCTGGGTTTGATGCTGGTGCTTTTGATATTCATGCATGTAACAGGCAAAGGCAACTATATGGCATGACTACTTCTTAGAGGAGGTGGTTGTAAGGAAGCTTTGATATATACTAAGATGCATTCCAACTTCAGAACTGCTAAGATACAGAAAAAAGTATAAACTAGAATCAATGCAAAAATCACAGCCCCATCCCTGCCTGCTGGTCAGCTGTGCCATCCCCCAGAATCACGGCCTCCCAGAAGCATGCAGCCTTGTCGTGAGTCATAACCTGTGTCTGAACACTTGATTTATCTTCCTCTTTCTGGAAAGACTGTACGTAAACTGATTACATTGCTCTACTCCCCACTTCCCTCCAAACTAAACCAAGTAACACAATTCATTGGCTTTTCTGGAGCAAGAGGAGAGAGACTGATATCAGCATTCAGACCCAGGAGTGCTGTGGGTATGTTCATTATCTAGGCATAAAATGGCTCAGCATCAAAGCAGCCCTGGGGAGGGTTAATGTCCAGGCTCTCTTCTGCTTCTGCTCCTGATGTCCATCATACTTACCTCTTTGCAGGGTGTGCTGCAGGTCTGGACTGGTGAGAACTGAGCCTGGGAGAGGAGACCAAGCAAAGGCTTAATTTTCTGCTCTGTTTTCCCCAGTTTGCCCGGGGATCATCTTTAGCGCTGGCAGATGGGAGGTTTTGTTCTTCATTGCTCCTCCATTAAAGTGCTGTCCCTGAGATCCCTTAGAAAGAGTTTGTTTTATTTGTTTTTTGGTCAGAGGTGCATTCAGAAAAAGGCCCAGGCAACTCCCCAGAGGAAGTTCATTCTTTATTTTTAGTGGCTCAGGAGCCTGGAGATGCAATATTAATCTTCTTCCACTTCAGAGCTTGCTGAGAAAGGATTTGGGGGCTTAAAGGGGATGGCTTACTTGTCTTTTGGTTCAGCATGATAATGGCCACAGACTCTGTGAAGGGACTCTGTCTGTTCTACATGAGGTTTTGAACAGATTACTTTTCTCAGCCAGCTTCCTGGGGAGAGACTCACTTTCATTGAGAAGATGCCCTGAGCTTTGTAGAATAAAACAATGCTTCAGGCCCGATGAAAGAGACACCGTTCTGCAGAGGCCAGGGAATGCTTTTCTTGATGTTCTGGAGAGAGGCAAAGTGGAAGAGAGAAAGGAGAGGGAGGCTGGGGACTGGCAAGAGGCCCCACTGTGGGAGCTCAGATCGTTAATCATAATTCTCCCACACCCCTGCCATGGCCCCAGACGTGGGGGAAGGGGATGAGGTGTTTTCCTCTGACTTTAACTTTGGCTGTTTGACTTGTTTTGGTTACTGGGATGTTAACAGATATCACATGGGTAGAGGCTTGAAAGGCTCTTGGGTGGGGATTTTGCTCTGTTGCACTCCTGACTTTTACCATAGCAAGAACATGCCTTGGGTATTTGTAGGACCAGGGGCAAGAAGAAACACATGGAACAGACCTAGGCCCAACCCACAGCTTGTGCCAAGTCCACCCAAGTCCAGACCATTAGCCAAACCCCAGCCAACCCACAGATATGTGATTAGAGAATAAATTCTCATTGTTGTGTAATACTGTGCTTTGGGATTATTTATTATGCAGCACATTGTGGCAATAGCTGACTAATACAGAACTCTTTCTTATTCTCTCAAATCATTAATAAAATCAATAAATTCATGA
Source organism: Homo sapiens (assembly GCF_000001405.40). Lineage (NCBI taxonomy): Eukaryota > Metazoa > Chordata > Mammalia > Primates > Hominidae > Homo > Homo sapiens. The sequence continues at coordinate 18,833,467 of NC_000020.11, forward strand.
AATGCTTGGGATAAACGATGTTTTAAAAATGAGAACCAGTGAGGGATTGTGTGTGAACTGTAAGGCCGTATTGAAGGAGAAGGAAGCATTTGGAAGAAAGTTCCAGATAGAGGCTGCAGGGACAGCTTTAGAGCCTCATAAGGCCATGGAAATTGGGGTTGGGCTAAGTTTTACTGGCTCTCTGAGAGACATAGACCACTCAGTGGATAGTCAGCTTAAATAAGAAAGGATACAAGACAGACGCCAAGAATTCAGGTCCATTAGTCAAAGTTTTCCAGAGAAACAAAACCAATAGGATTTGTGTGTGTGTGTGTATTTATGCATATGTATACATATATTTTATTTATGTTTTAAAAGAATTGGCTCAAATGATTATGGAGGCTGACAAGTCCAAATTCTGAAGGGTGGGCTGGCAAGCTGGAGACCCAGGGAAGAGTCATTGTTGCAGTTTGAGCCTGAAGGTAGTCTGCCATGGAGCCAGGAAGAGCCAATGCTGTAGAACAAGTCTGAAGGCCTTCTCATGGCTGATTGCTTCTTGCTCAAGGGAGGTCAGTATTTTGTTCTACTTCAAGTCTTCACCTGACTGGATGAGGTTCACATTATGCAGGATGATGCTTTAGTTCACCAATTTAAATGTTCATCTCATTCAAAACCACCCTCACAGAAACATCAAAATGTTTGAGCATGTATCTGGGCACTGTGGCCCAGCCAATTTGACACATGAAATTAACCATCACAGTTGGCTTTAATCTTTCTCTAGTTCTACAAAAAGAAACCCATTGGCTCCATATCAGCAAGTTATAAGTTACCAAGGAGATAGCTAGCATCCAACTCAAATCATATCCCAGAGGACGTGACTTGTGGCTATTGTTGAGAAAATTTTCTATTGGGCCTACTGAATACACCAAGCTTTGTCAAAATATCATTGCTACCATTCTTTAAAAAGTCTTTATTGGGCTATAGCATACATAAGCAGAGTGCACAAGTCATAATGTGCATCTTGATGAATTTTCACAAAGTGAACTAGCACTGGGTCAAAAAACAGAATATTAGGAACACCTCCAAGCCCCTCTCACGCTCCCTTCTAATCACTACTCTCTTTCTAAGGGTAACCATTACCTCGCCTTTTAAAACCACAGATTAGTGTTGCCTGCTGTGTACATTATGGCAGGTGTATTTTCCAAAGACCGCTGCACTAATATATCCCATCCTTCCTTTCCTGAGAATGTGCTGCCAACATTCCTCCATCTCTGTTTCCTCCCTTTGAGTATGTGTGGTCCTGGGACTATAGCAGCAGTAATAGCATGTGACTTCTGGGGCTTAGTTATAAAAGACAACGACTTCCTGATCCTTTTGGGGTGATCCCCCTTGGAATCCAGCCACATGCAAGGCCAAGTCAATGTATTCCAACCACAGCTCCAGTTGAGGTCTCAGCTGACAGCCAGCATTGGCTACCACCTATAGGAGGAGAAGCTTTCAGATGATTCCACCCCCCTGCATTCCCATCTTCCCACGTACCTCAGAGTGGAGTAGAGATGAGTTGTCATCTACCAAGCCTTGCCCAAATGCAGACTTATAAAAAAATGTTGCTGCTGTTTAAAGCCACTAACTTTTCAGGTCATTTGTTGCACAGCAAGAGATAGTTAGAGTATACTTTATACAAATAGTGTCATCCAGTAGGTATACTTTCCTGACATTCCACATTATGTCTGTGAGAGTCTCCATGTTGTTGCATGTAGTCATAGACTGTTTATTCTTTTTGCTTTATAGTATGTGGTTATATGAATAAAATACAATTTATGTATTCATTGTGCTACTGACAGACATCATTTATTTCTAGTTGGGGCTATTAATAAAAGTCAAAGATTCTAGTACATGTCTTCTGGTAAATGTAAGTACATGTTTCTATTGGGCATGTACCTAGAATTGGAACTGCTGTGCCTTAGAGTCCATCTGTGGTCCACTTCAGTAGTTACTGTCAAAAAGTTTGCTAGTATTCTTTTTTGAACAAAATGTTAAAAGCCATGTCATAGGCTTGTTTATGGAGTGATGCTCTGAGGTTTGATCCTGTGAGGGAGGGAGGTCAGATCAGAGGTGCCCTAGTCATCTCTAGAAAAGACACTAGGTCAGCATTGGATTTATTCACTCTGTAACCCCATGGCCAAGTAGGCTTGCAAAGAATGTGATCTTTAACAGCAACAATTTGTAGACTGGGAGCCTCCTGGTGTTACACAACTGTGGAGTAGCCCTTTCTTATATTCCTGTTTCTGACTTCCCTTTAACAAATTTGTGAAAACACACACAAAGTCAAATTTTGGCCTTGTCTTTGGAAACAATCATTGCCACAGTCCAAGGAAGTTTCCAGTAGGTGTTCCATGATTAAGAACATTCGTGAGCCACACACCACAGGCTTTACCCTCTAAATCAGATTAGTCTGGAAAGACCCTGATGGAGTAAAGGGACAAGGCTAAATTGCCCTTTTATATGCCTTGGTTTGTATTTTCAATGGAAATTAAACCCAACAGCCACAGAACCTGCAACCCACAACTGAAGCGATGACGTAATGCACCATGACTGAGATGATGGCAAAGATAACTGTAGTGCTGTTGCTGCCCATCCAACAGCAATTATGAAGACACCATTAATAATAGCCTTGATTTCAGGATGATGACATATGAACAAAATGTGCTTGTAAGAATGGCCACAACACAGCATTTGAATATCATGCCCAGCCACAATCTCTCTCCTTTTGCCTGTGTATTTGGATTGTACATGCTGATTTTTGCCTCTGTCAGCTTAGATAAGTAAAGATAACTTAAATGTGATTCCTGATTCTGTTAATGGTTTGAAATAAGTATTATAGCTTCTCCATGTCCCTATGTCTGAATTTATCAGATGTTCAGGATGGATATTTCCCAAAAGGAAACATTTCTTGTACCTGTCGCTGGTGTTGAGGAACGTTTGGGGTGCTCCTGGTAGGAACTGTTCCTTTGGAAATGAGATCTTAGATATCACCCTTAGGGCTAACAATGTCTGGGAAGCAGCTGAGTGGTCCGTGATGTGGACAAGGGAGAGAGCAGGACAGGGAAGTGAGAGAGAGAGAAAGATTGAGAAGAGAGAAGCAATGAGACAGCAGCCGCCAGGATGGCAGGAAGATGTGGAAGAGGGGAGAAAGCTACAGCTGATAGAGATTGGTTAAGGCCTCAGAGGGCCTCCGTGGGCTGCTCCCATGTACTTTGGCTACAGAGCACAAAATAATGCACTTGAAGGGTTCTTGTGAGCTTCTTCTATAAAATGGGATGATGTTAATGATGGCGATGGTGATGATCTATATGTACCTCCTTATGTTATTATGAAGATTTGTAGAGATGATACTTACACAGTCTTTATCTCAGCACCCAGAGGGTAAGTGCTTAAGAAATGTAGTGAATGTTAAAATTCTACACAGGTAGTAATCTAGATTGTAAATAACAAACCTTGTCTGATAAAAATCTGGACAATAATCTGGCTATTTTTTTTTGTTTTTAGCACACATCAATGACCAGTTTTCAAAACAGATTATCATCAGGTAAATGTAATTGAAGCAAACAGAGTGACATGTGAGACACTTTAGAATCCTGCAGTGTCCCAGGAAATCTGCTGGGACCACGCTTTGCCATAGGCAGTAAAGCCTTTTGGGCAGGAGTTTATGTACTGCATGGGTTCAAATCCTGGCTCTGCCATTCACCAGCTTTATGACCATGGGTGAGTTGCCTAACCTCTCTGAGCCTCAGTTTCTCATCTGTGAAAGGGAAATAGTGATAGCATCCATTACATAGAGTTGTTGTGAAAGCTTAATATGGTTAGGTAGGCAAAAACTTAAATAGGTCTGGGCACACAACACTCAATATGGTAGTTCTCCTTATCCATGGTTTCAGTTTCCAACTGTGAAAATAGTTGGAAGTGGCTGTGTCTTTCCACGACTATAGCTCTGTCTGGTCCCTGCCCTCCACCCACCACTTGACCCCTCAATGCTCTAGCACTCACTGGATTCCAGCTCAGACCTAGGTATGTTAATGAATTCTGACGACTAAAAATAAAATCCTAAGCCCTGCAGCTGACTGAATGGACTCCCTCTTGGCTAAGGGGACCCCAGAGAAACCTAAAAAACTGAGTTGCTGGCCATGACAGGATGGGAGGTCATACACACCTTATTACCCCTGCCCTTTTGCAGTTTAGACACAACTACCAGCATTAATGTTAAAATAGAGATCATACCACTGACAGTACAGGCTCTCTGTGGCAATAAGATACCAAAATAGGACCTAAGGCTGTGCCAGGCAAGGGTTAAGTCATACAAGCAAAGAACTACACTAGAAGAATAAACTGTGTTCTACCTGCCACAAGGCTTTTCTTTCTCTCTATCAGCTAAACAAGCACCGGTCTTGAGATAAGCAATATTGAAACAGTTGCAGCTCAGCTGCCACCAGATGCTGACCTCCACCTACTGTTCCACAAGTCATCTTTATAGCTTTGATTGGACAAGAGACTGATTTCTGTAACTTACTCCTGATTAAAGACCATTGACAACAGACCGGCTCTGGCTGGTTTTACAGAGCCTGCACACTTAAGTGTCTTTGTATCCCTGCTTCACCTTTTGCCGTATAGGGCCTAATTGTAATACAGTTCATGTTAAGTCTCCACCCCAAGGTGAACACGGGTCATATGTAACATACATGTTTATTCAGTATGCATGTGTTAAGATTCCCCTGTCATGAATATTCATGGAGCATCCTATAACCTGTTGAATATTTATACTTGGCCAACCCGCTCAGTAAAAATTCCTATCTTACCCTTTCCTCCTTCAAAGTGCCTGCTAAAGGTCTTTGTGGGAGGCTGCTTCCCAACCTGTCAGGATGGCCACCTCACAGGCTATAACCCTTTATAAGGCAGGATAATCACTTGAGCCCAGGAGTTTAAGGCTCTAGTGATCTATGATCACACCACTGCAATCCAGCCTGGGCGACAAAGCAGGATTTCATCTCAAAAGAAAAAGAAAGAAAGAAAAAAAGAAAGAAAGAAAGAAGGAAAGAAAGAAGAAAGAAAGAATCTTTTCCAAATTTAAAGGTCTCATGATTAGCCATTTCTAGTCTTTGGGTGCATCAGCATCCTCTCTTTTTGATCTTTTAATCCTTTCCATTTTTTATTTATTATTATTATTTTTGAGACAGGGTCTCACTTTGTTGCCCAGGTTTGTGTGTAGTGGTGTGATCTCTGCTCAATGCAGCCTTGATCTCCTGGGCTCAAGTGATCCTCCCACCTAGGCCTCCCAAGTAGCTGGGACTTCAGGTGCACACCACCAGACCTAGCTAATTTTGTTTATTTTTGTAGTGGTGGGGTCTCACTATGCTGCCCAGGCTAGTTTGAACACCTAGGCTCAAGTGATCCTCCCACTTCAGCCTCCCAAAGTGCTGAGACTTACAGGTGTGAGCCACTGTGACTGACAATACTTTCCATTTTAATAAATTTCTTTCTAAAACTACCTAAGGTCATTTTCTGTTTTTGCTGAACCCCTAGAATCCTTCTCCACCAAGACTTGGGTTTTGCAATGTTGCTGCTTCTGCAGTTGTTGGTGTTGAGATTGACGTGTCATGATGAAGGAGTTCCTTGAATTTTGGAGGGGATAGACCTTGGGTGTTCTTTGAGCAAAATTGCATTATAAAAGATCTTTTCAGTCTGTCTTCACAGCTATGGGACAGTAGATGACTGGGCAAAGAATCCCTGTGGCTGGCTGCAGAAGGTTGCAAAAATGGCCACACTTGTTCATTCCTTGCTGTATGCATCTCTCTTGCAATGTGACTTTGCAGCTCCTCCCGTTGAGAAGGGAGTCTATTTGTATGCCCCCTGAATCTGGCTTTTTTACTTGCTTTAACTAGTAGAATGTAGTAGAAGAGAAGGTAGGCCAATTCTGGGACTGTGCTTTAAGAGGGCTTGCATGTTTCTGCTTGTTTTCTTTGAACCCCTTTCTCTACTATGAAAATAATCCAGAGTAACCTGCTGGGGGACCAGGGAGCTAATGCTCCAGAGCCAACTAGTCCCAGTTGAGGCCCATACATGTGAGAAAGCCCGGACAAGACCAACAAAGCCAATTTGCAGCTGCAGACATATGGGGGCAGCCAGCTGAGACCAGTAGAATCGCCAGCTGAGCCCAGCCTAAAGTTCTGACTCACAGAATTGCGAGCTAAAGAAATTGCTTTAGACAAATGTGTTACAGAGCTATACACAATTGTTATTCTGTCTGTTGGGTGGCCTAGGCTATAATCCCCATTTCCTGGTGACTCAGAGACATCTTCCAAGGGCATGTGGGTGGGTGGGCATTTTGGTCATGCCAGGCTGTTCACACTCCACTATCGCTAACTTCATTTCTCAAGGGAGGGAACAAAGAAAAACTCCTTTGTTACTGAGCCTGATAAGGGAAAGAGGAGAGAAGCAAAGCAGTTACTTCTGCCTTTGGTGTCAATCTCTGAGCTGAGAGCCAAAATTAGTGGTTTGCCATGTACCACTCCGCTCAGCACCGCTTCCCCTGTCCTGACTCCCCTGTTTTTCTATGGAAGCAGCTGCTACCCTGCTTCTGGTATGTCTGTATTTCAAAGCTAATCCTGTTTCACAAAGGCAGACTCCAGAAGCAAAGAATTCTCATGTCTTGACTGTTCAGCTGGCTTCTGAGCCATTCAGGAAGCAGTGGGAACCTGTTTGCATATTGCTCTAAATGGGAAATTAGCAAACACAATATGGTAAAATTGCCCCGAATTGGAAGGATTAATGTAAGGATGTAAGATGGACGGGAGCAAAAACTGTAATCAGAAACAATGGCGGGTGATGAATGGAGGGAAATGAGAACGCCCTGGCAGCACCCAGGGCCCCGTCTCACGTTCCTTCCCACTCCATTCCTCTCCTCCAGCCTGGAAGCTGATTTTGTTTGCCAAACCCTTGCCATTGGCTTCCTTGCACCATGTCCCCAGCTACAGGGTGGGGTGAGCACATCTGTGCCCTGCACGCTGTGCTACCCAGACTCATGTGTTTCTCAATAAAAAGATAGTGCAAATGCAGGCCTCACCTCCTTTCCTGCGGACTTGACTGCTCTTGGATTCCATGTCCTGGGTCTACAGGGTATTCTTTTTTTTTTTTTTTTTTTTGAGATGGAGTCTTGCTCTGTCACCCAAGCTGGAGTGCAATGGCACGATCTCGGCTCACTGCAACCTCCGCCTCCTGGGCTCAAGCGATTCTCCTGTCTCAGCCTCCTGAGCAGCTGGGATTACAGGTGACTGCCATCATGCCCAGCTAATTTTTATATTTTTAGTAGAGATGGGGTTTCACCATGTTGGCCAGGCTGATCTCCAACTCCTGACCTCATGATCTGCCCACCTCGGCCTCCCTAAGTGCTGGGATTACAGGTGTGAGCCACCGCGCTTGGCCTCTACAGGGTATTCTTAGTGTGAATTGAAGGGCAGGGGAATAACTTAGGTTAGTGTTTCTCAGCCCTTATCGTCTATTAAACTGGTGACTAGCAGTTTAACCTTAACCCCAAGAGAGGAAGAGGGGCATCTGCAGTCAGAAAGCAGTGGAATTGGAAACCAGACTGTGAGGAGTTACCTTTTTGGTGAGCTTCTGTATTTGCGGAGTCCTGAATTGAATGACTTTTCAAAGACAGAATTAGATTCCCAAGAGGCAATTACTGATATGCTAATGATAACTTTGAGGGGAGGCCTGGGAACCTGGAGGATTGTCTGACTGACTTTGGGATGACCATCTGACTTTGCTCTCATGACTCAAATGAGCAATCAAGGGGTTTGTAAACACATAAGGCTTTTGATGTATACTCAAACTGTTCTCCAGAAAGGTTGACTTGACTTCTAGGCGTGTGTGAGAGTGCTCATTGACCCATCTCTTCATCAGCACCAGGAGTTGTCATGGAAATTGTAGGTGAAAAATATGCCATATTGATTTGTGTTGCTTTATTACCAGAGAGAGAGAGAGAGAATAAATATGCTTAATTTGATATTTGTATTTCTTTTGTAAATTGCTCAAATTATTTGTTTTTTTCTTTTGAAGTTTTAAAAATTGATTTTTGAAAGTTCAGTATGTATGAGCTATTATTTTTATACTTCAAGCTACATCTAATTGCCATTGCCACATTTCCCAGTCCAATATAATAGGAAACTCTGGTTAGGTGAATTACATCTAATTATTAAGTTTATCAAGCAATTGTCTTTCTTATGTGGCACACTTTTTTTTTTCTAGATTGAATTTTACTTGTAAGTTTGAGTGGATAGGTGTGTTTTTGCCATTCAGAAAACTTTAATTTGTTGTAATGAGATCAATCTTTTCTTTCAAAATTTCCTCCTTTTAGGGCATAGATAAAGCTTCTCCAACCCAGATTATATGGGTCTCTACTAATTCTATTGTCATTTTTTCTCTTACATCTAACTCATTCAGGCATCCAAAATTTATTTTGGGGTTCACTGTAAGGTAGAGACCTAACTTATTTTTAGAAAATGGTATTTAGATGCCCTGATGGGGCCACAGTTCCAAACATCCTGGGTAGACATCAGGAGAAGGTTGTCCCCAGGCACGGCTGGCATCTTGAATGAAATTAAACTCTGTGTGGCATGGAGGCAGAGCAACCCCTGGGCTGGGGGCCGGGTGGATATCCAGCTATTAACTGACAACATGCTCCCTTCCCAGACCATTTCCCCAGACCAAGACCTCAGGAAAAGCTCCAGGCAGGATGATCATACATTTATTGTCCAGCCAGGACACTTTTGAGAGTGAAAAGGACATCATTTATAATTACACAAGGACTATAGGCATAAACTGGGGTTTTCCCCAGGCCAGCTGGAATATTTTGTTATCCCAGCCTACAGAAGACTGGCTCTCCCTCCTCTAAGGACTGAGGATTGACATCTCTCTGTGGAGTGAAAGTTGCCTCTTGGCAGCTCACAATACTAGAGACCAGCTTCTGGGTGAGCAAAAGTTAACTAGCTAGATCCTTGGACAAATAGTATGTCTCTTTCCAGAGAGGAAACAGGAACAGGAGAGAAGTGAAGATAAATCAACATGTTTCCATTAGGATGTGCATTATTCCTGAGAGAAAGATGGGCTGAAAACATGTTGCCTTTGGAAGAGATGCTGGTTGGGCATCAGTTACATAGGAGATTGATGGGAATTTCAATGGACAATTTGCATATCCATGGATCTCTGCTAGTTCTGAGAACAGTAATTAATTTTCTGGAACAAGAATGACTTCATTTTCTAGGAAAAGGATGGTCTGAATGGTTTTCTAAAGAGATATGATAGTCACAAATGTCTTCCTGTCTCTCCTTTCTCCCCTTTTCAGTGCCAGAGCACAGCAGCCACAAGTATAGATATTGGATTGGCTATTGAAGGAAATTCAAACAATATCATAGTCTGTTGCTGGCCCACAGGCTTGAGGAGCAACATGCCTGCTTGACTTGCTCTGCAGAAAGTTTGCTACCAATTGCTTGGATGTGTCACGGTGTCCCCACTACTTCATGAGGGGCAAAAGGGGTGGTGATAACTTATCACCATGATTGGGGTATAAATGAAAACAGAATAATGCCCTGGGAACAGGTTCCCGCTTTGAAAGCAAATCACTTCATCTCGAGATAGTTAAAAGACACCTTTCTGTTGCAAATCATCACGGCCTTAGTGGCTAAAAGCAACACCTTATAGACTTCCTTTATAGACCCTACGATTACATCTGAATCCACTCAGATAATCCAAGATAATCTCCCCATCTGTGTTAGTTCATTCTTGCATTGTTATAAAGAAGTACTTGAGACTGGGTAATTTGTAAAGAGAAGAGGTTTAATTGGCTCATAGTTGTGCAGGCTGTACAGGAAGGATGGCACTGGCATCTGTTCAGCTTCTGGGGAGGCCTCAGGGAGCTTTCAATAATGGCAGAAGGCAAAACGGGGCAGGCTTGTCACATGGGGACAGTAAGAGCAAGAGAGAGAGTGGAGGAGGTGCTGCACTCTTTAAACAACCAGATCTCATGAGAACTCATTATCATGAGGACAGCACTGAACCATGAGGGATCCGCCCCCATGACCCAAACACCTCCTGCCAGGTCCCACTTACAACATTGGGGATTACAATTCAACATGAGACTTAGAGGGGACAACATCCAAACCATATCACCATCTCAGGGTCCTTAACTTAATCACACCTGCAAAGTCCCTTTCCCATGGAAGGTAACATTCACAGGTTCCAGGGATTAAAATATGGACATACTGGGAGTTCATTATTCAGCCTACCACAGGGTCACTTGAGACGCCTTTCAGAAAATGAATTCTAAATTCGATCAAGGCCAATGGCTCCACACAGAACGCCTCTGTCAGGACAGAGGTGATATCTTTGATTTTGACAGCAAATCCCTCAAGCAGTGCTCCTCACCAGCTTCTAAAATGCCAAGCACTTTCAAATGCCAAGGGACATATTGGTGGAGGTGGAGGGCATGTACACAGCAGATGGCATCATGGGGTGACATGTTTGAAAGAATGTTTCCAAAAGCAAACTCCAAAATATCACACCAGCTACAGATCATGGGGAGGCAGTGGAGAAATGAAACACAGTGTCATAGAAGGGAACCAGATGGAGGCCCACAGAGCTAAGAAGGGTGAGGGTTGAGGGAGACTTGCTGCTTCTTGCAGGACACAGACAGTGGGGTTTTCAGAGGTGCTGATTAGTTGTTTTTTTCCTCTAGCTTTAGGGCACCAGAGTATCTTCTTGCGTTTCACCACTTGCTCCACTGTCTGTAAATATGTAGGAGGTTTTGTATAAGCTATATAGGAGAGAATTTCACAGTAGCCTTTGTTTAGTTTACAGTTAGCAGAATAGAGGGAGACAGCAGGCTGAGTCCTTCTATACCTCCGATGCTTGCAGGCTTAGGGGATGACCAAGGAGGAGGGACAGGGCAGATGTCTGCCTTAATGGAGAGAACCTGGAAGGCCTGATATTTCAGAATGAGACACAGAAATTCCAAACCCTGCCTGGACAGAAAAAAATAAGAAATGTAGTTTGGTTAGGAAGTAAGTCTCCAAGACCTTGGACATTAAGGCTCAATTTCGTGCCCAAAAGAAGGAAATACCAGAAAAACTGGCCCCCAACCCCATACGTGGCACCTTTTGATCATTCAGGTGGACCTATAGTCATTATTCAATATATGACATCAGGAACAGATTACTTTCTAAATAGGCAGCTTGAGAGAGTGAAAATCTAGGAGCTTTGGATTTGGGTCTGAATCTCTTTTTTAAAGGCCCCAAACATTTGTAGACCATTTGTAAAATGAGGGCTTTATCTAAATCAATGGTTTTCAGATATTTTGGGACCTCCTTGAAGACTCCCACACTAGTAGTTGTATTTTTTTAATTGAAAGAATATATACATGTAATGTAATTGAGAGATCATATAAGAAGCCATGGCCTCCTACTTGTATTCTACCAAAAGTGGACTCCAAGACAAAAGCTTGAGTGGTGGGAGTTTATTTGGGAGGTGATTCTAAGGTAATCCAAATGAAGGGGTGGGAAAATGAGATTGTAAGGAGAAGCAGCCAAGGAAGTGTGCAATAGTGATCAGGGTGGCCTCTGCGGGCAGTAGGGACTCCGTTCCACTGGAGTCTTCTTGAAGAACTGCTTCTCAAAGGGTGATTCCAAGATCAGCAACGTGGCATCATCTGGAAGCTTATTAGAAATGCAAAATCTTGAGTCTCCACCCCAGGAGCTCTATCATGAGCTTCAACAATCCATGTCGTGCAAGCCTTCTGGGTGATTCTGATGCATACGAAAGTTTGAAAACCACTGGTATAGAACATGCCACAGAATTGTCCCACTGAGCAGTTGAGGGATGAGGAAGCTGGAGTGATAATCTGCCAACTCTCCTCCCTCATGGGTTGAGGTTGCTTGGGAACATGGATTCCTCAGCACACTGGGCTGCTCTGTGCATGGTCTGAGCAAGGTCCCCTGGTGTTAGAGAAAGCTCTCAGGCAGAGAATCTGAAAGGAGGAGGTGCTTCAGTGTGGATACCGCTGGTGTACACAGGAATTCTCCATCATAGCTGCGGGTGAACCCAAGAGGTTAGCTGAGGGGCTTGGGTGGGAAAGCAACAGAATCTGCTACATATGCTAAGAATTTGGGGGCATTGATACATATTTGCAAATAGAGGTGCATATGTAGAGGTGCCTACATATATTCATTAAACATATGGTTAAGGCTAAGATAGGTGTGGAGGGGATACTTAGGGCCTTTGCATATTTAAATCAGTATAGAGTTGGTATAGTTTGGATATTGTCTCCTCCAAATCTCATGTTGTGATGTAATCCCCATTGTTGGAGGTAGGGCCTGATGGGAGATGATTGGATCATGACAGCAGATGCCTCGTGAATGGCTTAGCATCGTCCCCTTGCTGATGAGTGAGTTCTTGCTCAGTTAGTTCATGCAAGATCTGTTTGTTTAAAAGTCTAAGACCTTCCCCCTAACTCTTGCTCCCACTCTCACCAGGTGAAGTGCTTGCTCCTGCTTCACCTTCTGCCATGCTTAAAAGCTCCCTGAGGCCTCACCAGAAGCTGAGCATATGCCAGTGCCATGCTTGTACAGCCTGCAGAACTGTGAACCAATTAAACCTCTTTTCTTTGTAAATTACCCATCCTTAGGTATTTCTTCACAGTGATGGAAAAATGATCTAACACAAGGGTAGTGTTTTCACATCCGTGGATTTACCAGTCATGTGGTATGTAATAACATAATTTTGCCTTGTCACTCATACTGTAACTTCTGTGGAGAAACATAAAATTGATTTTTCTGTGAAAAGTGATTCAAGAAAGAAAGTCATCAGTCAGTTCAGGTAAGTCATATATGTGGAGAGAAGGCAAACAATTTTTTTTGACCTTTTTTTTTTTTAATTATCCTTTAAGTTTTAGGGTACATGTGCACAATGTGCAGGTTTGTTACATATTTATACATGTGCCATGTTGGTGTGCTGCACCCATTAACTCGTCATTTACATTAGGTGTATCTCCTAATGCTATCCCTCCCCCCTCCCCCGACCCAACAACAGGCCCCGGTGTGTGATGTTCCCGAGAAGGCAAAAATTCTTGGCCGAAAGAAAAACGTTATTGGAGAAACAATAGGCAATGGACCCCTTTATGAGGAATTTGGGGTACTGGGTGGCATGAAGCTGTTGGACTGTGGCTTTTCCAAATGTCAAAGTCTACTTGGCCTGTGTCCTTAATTGTTTTTATTGATTCTCTCAATGTAGCTCAGGAAAAGGGGCTGGCAAGAACTAGGCAGGGTCCCAACTGAGAGAGCTGGGGTACAATGCCCATCTCTTGTTGCAATAGAACTAAAGTGCTGTCTTAGTCCATTTGTGTTGCTAGAAAGAGATACCTGAGGCTTGGGACTTTATAAATAAAAGAGGTTTGTTTGGCTCACAGTTCTGCAGGCTGTACAAGAAGCATGGTGCCAGCATCTACTTCTGGTGAGGGCCTCAGGCTTCTTCCATTCATGGTAGAAGGTGAAAGGGAGCCAACTTGTGCAGAGATCACCTGGCAAGAGGAGGCAGGAGAGCAGGGAGGTGTCAAGGTCCTTTCAACAACCAGCGCTCTTAGGAACTAGTAGAGTGAGACTTCATTTGTTACCCCAAAGAGGGCAACAAGCCGTTCATAATGGATTCACCCCCATGACCCAAACACCTCTCATTAGGCCTCACCTTTGACACTGGGCATCAAGTTTCAACCTGAGGTTTGGAGGGTCAAATACCTACACGATAGCAAGTGCTATGTGAAAAACTGAGGCGAAAGCCCAGTTGTCTTGTCTAAGCTTACGGCAAAAATAAGGTGAAGGTTGGTGGACATTAAGATGAAGGGCTGCCCCTGGTTGGACACACTCCAGGCCTGCAATACCATGGCAAATTGCTGCTCTCATCTGCTGGGTGGTAGGAAGGGGAGTTTTCCAAGGCTGGGCGGAAGTGGTGGTGAGCTGTGTAGTGTTCTTGTTGCCTCCCATCATATTCGCTGGCTCCACCTCTCACTTCTGCTGCAGTAGCAGGCTGAGTTTTCTGGAAAGCAAATGTGAGGTCAGAGTTAGGAATGCAAAATGTTTACCGAGAAAGGAAAAAGGAGGAAGCAGGATTGCACAGGGGGAGCTGTCAGTCCCTGATACAGACCTCACAAAATCTGCACCCATCAAGATTGTGCAAGAGAGGAGTCCTCTGTTGAATGGAGAGGTCTCGGCCCTTCTTTATATTGCTGCCTTGCTCAGTTATTGGTGGGGCACTGCCCTGAGAAGAACCTGAACTTGGCTTGATGACCAAGGTGGATCCTGAGGAGTTAACAGCTGGAGGATGTCAGCAGGACCAGCGACATAATTTGTGAGGCCCAGGGAAAAATGAAAATGGGAGTCTCTTGTTAAAAATATTACGGATGTCAATCAAGATGATGCCAGCAGACTATTAAGCCAAGTGTGGGGCCCTTCTAACTACGGGACTCTGTGAGACTTATGAGTCTCACCTATGACCCAGCCCTGGCTGCCAGCTGACCATCGTTTGCACCTCACAGCATGTCCCGTTTTGAAGGGGATCTTAGCAGGGTCCTCCCATGTCTTCTGCAGGTCAGGACCTTCTCTGAAGTTGCAGGAAGTAGCTCAACCTGTCCCTGGGTGCCACTCATAGCTGTGGGTCTGTGATTCTACTGGGGTCAGCCCTCAATCAGTGGAGGGACAATGCTGAGGTGTGTTCTACAGAGTTCTCAGAGGGTTCCCAGCAAGAATGAGCTGCAATTGTCCACAGCAATGATCAACTTAGTAAAATGCATTTTTTTTTTGGCTTTTCCTTCTTCCCTGTCCTGCTTTCTCCACTCTTTCACCCTGGCTTTTCAGAACCATCTCCTAGATAAGCCACCTGCACCTAAGTCCTTGTGTCTGTCTCTGCTTTCAAGGAAACTCAAACAAAAACACATGCTCTTGGTCAGGACTAACTCAGGAATTGGTGTCCCTGGCAGAACATGGCTAAAGAAGGAAGAAGCAGATATGCATAACATAAGTTATGTTTTCTCATATTCCTAAAGGAAGAGACTGAGAGAAGTAACTTGATTAACAACCAGCCAACACCCATTGCCAGGGGAAATGAGGTTATTATTTGCTTTGGCCACAACGGGGATTCCATCTACCTTTTCAGTTAGAGACCCACATTGTCATCACCAGTAATCCGTCAGACAGGCGGAAACCTTGGATTGGGGCTTTATCGCAAGTGGATTGACCATCCATTCCATGTAATGGGAGAGTTAATATTCTCTCCAGAGAATGGCTATTGGCACGGGTTCTTTCCAATTAAGACCTGAGTTGATATGACTTCTACATCCAATTTGGGGAATGAAGGAGGGAACTTTCCACAGGTCTGTAAAAGTTAGGGCTGCCCTGGTTAACTTTTGTCTTCAACTGTGTGTAAATGTTGATCGTTCAAGGAGGGTGAAGTGCCAACTCTTCATAAAAATTTAGGTCAGGGAGAGTGGGGTTTGCGCTAAAAGAAATGAGAAAGTTATTGTTATAAGTTAATTTTGGAGACTGTGGTGGGCTTTGTGATGATGAGATGTATAGATCCACTTTATGAAAATCTAGCCCTCCCAGCTTCTGAGAGTGCTGCTGGTAGACATCTGTCAGCTGTTAGCCCATTTGGGGACTGGCTGGCTCAGGGTTATACCTCCTTCCAGGGGCAACCTGCATCCAATTACCAGTTGATGTCGGGTAAGAAGGCATGATCCCTCCGTGCTCAGGAGTCAGCTCTGAAGAGCCACTTGGGCACCCGAGCTCACAGGAGGTTGGCTGAGGCCTTTGTTGAGATCACATTGCAGCTTAGCTTTTTCTCTCTGCCTAATCCTGCTTCCTTCTCTTCCCTTCCACAAGCATTGATCCCAAGAATACTTCCTAAGAGGCCTCCTGCAAGCTAATCTTCATCCCAGAGACTGATTTTCAGGGAGCCCAAGCTGTAATGATGATATCATCCATGATATTGTGTGTTAACAGCAACCTTCAGCTGGGTAGGCTCTTTGCTGTGTCTTGACAAATTGGGTTTGTCCCAGGCTTAACGTTTTCTATTCAACAGTCCTTCTTTAGTGACAGTTTCAGGAGCGTCTGATGTTTAGAGTGCTGCTGTTTTTTTTTTTCAGGTTTTATCCAAATGAGTTTATTACAAACAAGAAAAATTACTGGCTTTCAGCACTTTTTAGATTTCAGAATTGTGAATAAGAAATTGAGGACTTACAGTAGTGTCATTTTTATAAGATTGTTGAGAAAATCAAATGGGACTGTTCTTAAGTTTTCAGGGAGAGAAGCAGCTCATGCTTCCCAGTGACATCTCTGTTTAGCAGGTGAGAGTTTTGTTTTCTTTTTAAGTTAAGGTGTAATTCATAAACAGTAAAATGCACAGTCCAACGAGCTTTGGTAAATTTATATGCCTGTATAGCCAACACCCTCATCATGATAGAAAACCTCTCCCTCATCCCAGATACTTTTTTGTGCCCCTTTTCCAGTCAATACCTTCACCCCAGCCCCTTTCAAGGGGCAAAGCTTATTCTGATTTCTATCATCATGGCTTTGTATGGCTTCTTCTAGAATTTCATGTGATGAAATCTTATGGTATATACTCTTGTTTTTAGTTTCTTTCACTTGGCATAGTGATTTTGAGATTAATCCTAGTTTTTGCATATTATTTGTTCTGTCTTCTCATTGCTGAGGAGTATTCCATCATTGGGATGTAGCAAAGTTCATCCATTTTTCTATTGACGGACATTTGGATTGTTTCTAGCTTTTGCTAGAACATAAGCGTGTGTGGACTTAGGAAGAAATATTTTTGTGTGGTCTTTAATAAATGTTTTTCTTTCTTTTAGGTAACAAGGAGTGGAATTGGTGGGCCATCAGTAAATATATTTTTAACTTTATAAGAAACTGCTGAACAATTTTCCAAAGTGGCTGTATTTATTTACCTTTCCCAGGGTGAGAGTTTTGCTATTTAATTGTCCTTGATTCATAGACTCAGCAAATATTAGAACAAGTGGTGATCTTGGAGCTTCTCACATTTTTCTACCAAGTGCCTCTGAGGTCAGAAGAGGAGAAAAGCATACTTTGGGAATGGAAAGTGTAGACTGATGCAGCCAACCAAGCATCAGTGTCTCATTGTTTATACTAAAGGGTCATGGAAACTTGCGTTCTACTCCATGGTATAGATACACTATGTACTTAAACGTATTAACCATGAAGCTGGAGTTCCCATAAAGATTCTACAACTTCATCCCATGGCTTTGAGCCCTGTTATCCACCAGCCCCCAACTGCCCACACAGCCCTTCTCCTCTGAAGTGTACATCTGATGGATTTAAGCCCATTCTTCTGAAGCACAGATCTAGTCATTCACTTTGTTTTACTGATTGCCACTCAGATGCAGAGAAGTGAAGTGGCTTTTCTAAGGTCACACAGCTATCTAATGAGAAAGTCAATTACTTGAACCTAATTTGCTTTCTTTCTTTATTTTTTTCCTTTCTCTATTTTAGAGACAAGGTCTTCCTCTGTCACCCAGGCTGGAGTAGAGTGGTGTAATCATAGCCCACTGCAGCCTCAGACTCCTGGGCTCAAGTGATCCTCCCACTTTAGCCTCCTAAGTAGCTGGGACTACAGGCGTGTACCAACATGCCCAGCCAATTTTTACATTTTCTGTAGAGATGGGGTCTCACTATGTTGCCCAGGCTGGTCTCAAACTCTTGGCCTCAAGCAATCCTCCCACCTCAGCTCCCTAAAGTCTGGGATTATAAGCGTGAGCCACCGCACTGAGCTGAGAACCTGATTTTCTTAACCAGCAGCCAAGAAAAAGGAAATTATACAGAGCAGCAACCCCACCTCCTCCTTGATCCTCAGGTGGGGACAGTGAAAGATTTGGACCAATGCCCTTTTCTTTGCCAAGGGGAGTTTTGTATCCTTTTAGACCTCAACCTTGCCCTTTGCTGATGAAGCAATTGCCACCAGTTCCTCAGAAGGAAGAAGGAGTCTTTAGTTTTTCAGGCAAATGAAATTCCACCTTTCACTTTAAGCAGCCTCGGGATGCAAGCACACACAAAATTCACATGGATTAAACTGTTAATATACCAAAGGGGATGCCAGCAAGTGGCAATAACAATTAGAAACACAAGCATCAAACTGCAGGAAACTGCCCAGAAATAGCAGCCTCCTCCAACCCCCTGATGTGGATATTAGCATGTAAGGGGGAAAGATGACAGTGATGCAGGGAGGCATTTGGCTCTGTGTTCTGTCTGTTGGCAGAGAAAGTGTCTCTTCTTATTCTATGCAAGATGTTAGCAAAGGGCTAGCCACACCCCACCTTAGATGGATTCATAGCATGGCAGCTGCAACAGAGCTGTGAGCTGGCCTGCAGGTGTTCACCCCAGACACCAGTCCTCAGCAGACAGAGTGTGCATAGGGGTGGTGCCATGCCATGACTGTTTCATCACCAAGCCATGGTGGAAAGAAACAGAGATCTGAATTCTGTTTATGAATCCACTATGAACTAGCTATGTGACTTTGGGCAATTTACTTCATCTCATGGAACTGTTTCTTCATCTGTAAAAGAAAGAGTTGTTTGTTTATTCATTCATTCTCTTCCGAGCTCTGTTAATGACTATTAAACACTTCATGGCTGGCACAATGATGAGCTTCTGGGATACAAATGAATAAGATAGGACTCCTACCACAGGAGCTTGGGGAAGATGGCATCACTGCCCTAGTTCTCTATTCCACCCTGTATCTAGTCTATCCTCTTTGCATTTGATTTTTCAGCGTCTCCTACTAAAGAGGTGGAGTCTATTTCTCCAACCCTTGACTTGGGGTTAGACTACGTGACTTGCTTGGGGTCATAAAATGAGGTGAAAGTAACTGTGCCAGTTCTGAGCCTATGCCTTAAGAAACCTTGGCATATTTTCTGCTTGTGTCTCTGCTACTGCCATGAAAAATACATGTCCAGGCTAGCCCGCTGTTTCCAGAGGAGGATGAGAGACACATGAAGCATAGCCATGCCAGTTGAAGCTAACCCATATCTGCTGACCCCAGTCAACTCACAGACACATAAGCAAGTCCAACTCAGATTAGCAGAGCCACTAAGCCCAGATCAACCAATTCTTGGCTGATCTGTTTGTATGTGACATTACTGTGGTCATAGTTAGCTGTAGAGAGTGCCCAGGCAATCAGACATTTCCATACAGGGAGATGAATACTTTGATAGAGGTAAGCTGGGGATGGTGAGGAGGTGGAGGTGGGCAATTTAAGTACAGAGAAAGGCACTTAGCCCAGTCTGGGGCTTTTATAATTGTTCATACATTTACCTTTAGCAGAGATATTTATTTCTTTGAACAGCTACGAGTTACTCTCCAGTGGCTTTTGTTTCAACCTGAAGGACTCCCTTTAGCATTTCTTGCATGGTAGGTCTAGTGGTAAAGAATCATCTCAGCTTTTGTTTATCTGGCAATGTCTTAATTTTTCCATCATTTTTGAAGGACAGTTTTGCCAGATATAAAATTCTCGATTGATGGTTTTTTTCCTTCAACATTTTGAATTAATCAATCCACTGCCTTCTGTCCTCCAAAGTTTCTGTGAGAAATCTGTTACCAATCTTATTGGGACCTCTTGTATATATGAATTGTTTCTCTCTTGCAGCTTTCAAGATTTTCTTTTTGTCTCTGGCTTTTGAAAATTTCATTATATTGTGTTGGTGTGTGTTGTTTTGAGTTTATCCTGCTTGAAATTTGTTGCTTCTTGGATGTCTTTATTCATGCCTTTCATGAAATTTGGGAGAATTTTAGCCAATGTTTACTCAAATAATATTTCTTCTCTTTCCTCTCTCTCGTCTCCTTTTGGTACTCCCACAATGCGTATGTTGGTCAGCTTGATGGTGTTCTATAGGTCCCTTAGAGTCTGTTCACTTTTCTTCAATTTTTCCTTTCTATTTTTCAGACTGAATAATTTCAATTGTCCTGTCTTGAAGTTTGTTGATTTCTTCTTATGCCTGCAAAATATGCTTCGAATCATTGCAGTCAATTTTTCGTTTTAGTTATTGTACCTTTCAGCTCCAGAATTTATTTTTGGTTCCTTTTTATTTTGTATCCTAATGTTTTATGTTTTCTGTCCATAATATTCCTATTATACTGTCTTTATATTTCTGTTTGTTCATACATCATTTTCTTCATGTAATAATTTGTCTATGTTTTCTGTTAGGTCTTTGAGAATCTTTAAAACAGTCATTTTAAAGCCTTTGTCTAATAAATCTGCCAGCTGTTCTTTCTTAGGGAGTTTCTGTTGATTTTTTTTTTTTCATTTGACTGGGCCATACTTTCCTCTTTCTTTGTATGCTTTTTGATTTTTGACATTTGAACCTTATAATTTTTAACTCTGAAAATCAGATTCTTCCCTTTCCACATGGTTTCCTTTATTTTTAATTGTTGTACTGCATTAAAAGTTTAAATAGACTGAAATTAATTGCAACTTTCCATTCAAGCTTTTGCCTGGAAGTTGAAAGCCTTCAAACAGACTCCAAGTTTCAAAATAGTTACATCAGACAGATCCTGCCAGTGCATTTTTTTGTCTTGGTGGGGAGATAGATTCCTGTGCTTTCTGCTTTGCCAATCTTCTTGTTGTCACTCTGCATATTTAGTTTTGTAAGAAATTTTCAAATGGGTTTCCAGCATGGATATGTCATTTCACATTCCTGCAAGCAATTAATGAACAATCCCATTTCTCTACACTATTACCAGCATTTGGTTTTGTCACTATTTTTTATTTTAGGCATTTTGATAGGTGCGTAGTGATGTCTCTCTATAGTTTCAATTAGCATTTCCTGATGACTAATGATGTTGAAAATCTTTTCATATGTTTTTTTTTTTTCCATTTGTATTTCCTCTTTGGCAAACTCTCTGTTCTTAAGGTGTAGGTGTCTTGATTCAGCTCCTGGAATCAAGCTTCATTAAAGTCCTTCTACATTCCTTGGCCCTAAATGCCATAATCTCAGGCAGCAGCAGTCTACTTCCTTTTTGCCAGTCTTCATGGAAGCCTCATTTTAGCTCCTGGCTGCAAGCAGTGACCCCGGCTTTCCCTCTTGTCTCAAAATGGAACACCTTTATTCCAATTACCCTAGCTGAAAAGAGCCAAACTGGCCTGTTACTGAGAAAATCCACACAGAAAATACATACTTCCTTTGCGTTCACTCAGGGCTTTTTAATTGTTCATTCCATAGTACCTCTTTCTTTGTTTTCCAGAACATGGATATCAACTCAACTTCAGGCATATGTGTTTTTTGAAGTTTCTCTGCCTAAAAGCCCTTTGGGTGACAGATGACTGGAAGGAAGATACTATGCTAGTGGGTAGGAGTTAGGTTGTGTCACTCTGGTAGACACTGTAGCTACCCTGTTCATATCCTCTAATCCCATACCAGAGGTCATCTGCAGGCCATTCTTGTACACATCATGGCATCTTGCATCTCTGCCTTAGCGGTTCTGGTGGTAGGCATGTGCTCTGTCTGTGAACAGGGCAGCATGAAAGTGTTGCAGACTTAATGCCTCAGAGACAACTCTCAACCAAAGAGGAATGAGAGTTGGTGGATTAATGCCCCTGCTTCCTCCCACCTCAATGATACAATATTAAGACTTGTTTTGCACAGACTTTGATCACAGTTTCCTACCAAGACTGAAGATTCTGTCATGTTTACTCATAAAGGCTCAATGTCTCTAAATAATAATGGGTTTTATTTTGAAATAATTTCAGACTTAGAGAAAACTTATGAGAATAGCACTATGGAATTCTTTTACTCTTTTCCCAGATGCCCCAAACATTAACATTTATCATATTTGCTTTATTATTCTTTCTCTCTATCTGACTTTCTCTCTCTCTTTTCTCCATGCCCCAAGCTTCAGTTTCTTAAAAGACAAGGACATCCTCTTGCATAACCACAGTGCAATCTTCAAAATCAGGAAATTAGCATAGATGCAATACTGTTAGTTAATCTACAGACCTTCTTCAAATTGTGTCAAGTGTCAATACAATCCTTTATAACAAAACCAAACCAAAAACATTTCCTGATCCAGAATTCCATCCAGGGTTATGAATTGCATTTAGTTAACATTTCTTTCTTCTCCTTTAATCTGGAACTTATTCTTCAGTCTTTCTTTGATTTTCATGACATTGACATATTTGAAGAGCATAAGACAGTTATTTTGTAGACTGTCCCTCAATTTTGTTTTGTCTGATATCCCTTCTGATTAGATTTAGTTGATATGCTTTTGGCAGGAATACCCCAGAAATGATGTGCATACATCTTTCTCAGTATATCACATCAGGAAGGAGATGATGCCTACTTGTTCCGTAATTGGTGACGTTAAGACCAATTGTTTTTTCTAAGTGAAAAACTTAAGAGGAAATCATCAAGGAGGAGCTCTGTTCTTAAAAATGAGGATTCATATGGCTGGTGGAATCAGATTTCCCTTAGACATTCTTCATTCCTATCCCTCATTTACATTATTTGTGCCTTGAGGGAAGGATTATGCATGTGAGAGGTGATGTATACACCCACATGTCAGGCCTGAGCTCTGGCCTCAGGAATTGTATAAGATGAGGATTCTGCTCTTCTGCCCAGCTCCTTGGACTCAGAGGAAGTTGGGAAATGGGGAGATGGGTTAGGGACAGTAATGTCCCTCCAGCATAGTCTGTTTTACCCAGCTCTGGTTGAGACATGGGTTAACAAATCCAGTGGGATCTATGCCTATCTATGTAGGTTTTACCTTCTTTGATAATAGACTAGGCATTCCAGCTGCCATGTTGTATATTTGTGGTTTACAAATGCAGTGCTGCTCATAAATACTCTTAGAAGAATATCATGCGAGGTTTTAAAAATTACTTAAACCCTTAAATCCTAGTTTCTTCATCTGTAAAGTGGTGGTCCTAATACTTTCTAGTGTAATTATGAAAATTAAATGTTATAATTGATATAAACTGCAGTAAGCACCTGGAATACAAAAATGTTCAATAAATATTATCTATTAATGTTAATGATAGTAACTAAAGAGAAGTCTGCACTGTGAGTTAAGGAATCTCAGTTTGAATTTCAACCTAAGTACTCCCTGGCTTAGTGAATTTGGCTAATCATCTAATCTCTGAGCCTTGGTTTTCTTGTCTGTAAATTGAGGGTAATAATATTGTTCCTAGATACCCCCATGGATTGTTGGAAGGAAGAAGTGGTCTCATATGTGTGAAAGCCATTTTCACAGTGGAATAATTTTGTAAATATGAGTGGATACTTACATTCCATCTCTATACCATGCTGGGCTGCACATCCATGAAAATTGTCTGGGTTTAGCTTATAGCAATGGGGCTGGAAGTGACCATTGGCTCCAAGACCCACCAGAGAAACCTACATTTCCTGCCTTGTCCCTCCCATAAATCCTGACTGTCTTTTAAGTCTGTCCCTAAAATGACCCTTGGAATGCCTTTGGTGGTTCCTATCCCTTTGTTGGCTGAATAGCCTGCCTGCTGTGGTATTGTGCCTCTATAGTCTCATTGCCCATGTGGGAGGCTGCTAGGCCTTGTGGGGCCCCTAGGCCGTGCGGAGCTCCACCACTGACACTGCTCAGGTCATTCTGCTGACCATGAGATGGGGAAGAACCCTCTAATCTGTGTAGTTGATATTGATAGGATTCATCACAATTTCTTACAGATCCATTGTACCAGTTGCTCTCAACCTTGGCTGCACATTGGTTATCACCTGGTGTGTTAGATTTCATATATATTTATGATTCTCTTTCTGTGGAATTACACACACACACACACACACAAATATATGAGAGACAGAGGTTGATTTATTTAAATAATTGGTTCGTGTGGCTGTGGTGGCTAACAAGTTCAAACTCTATAAGAACTTGCCAATAGGCTGAAAGTTCACATAAGAGTTGATGTAGTCTTGAGTCCCAGATTCACAGAGCAGGCTACTAGGCTGAAAACTCAGAGAGAATTTCTATATTGCAATCTTGAGACCAAATTCTTTCTTCCTTTGGAAACCTCAGTCTTTCTCTTTAAGGCCTTTTACTGGTTGGATGGAACCCACTCACATTATGGAAAGTAATTTGCCTTAATCCTTGTTTACTGGTTTAAAGGTTAATTACATCTAAAAAATACTTTCACAGCAAGCAACATTTAGACTGGTGTCTGACCAAACAACTGGGCACTGTAGTGTAGCCAAGTTGACACATAAAATTGGCCGTCATATCTGATTCTTTAAAAAATACCAGACTGGAACCCAGATGAGTCATTTTGGGAATTTCCAGCTTTCTGTTACTGATTTCTAGTTTAATTCCATTTTGGTCTGAGAGTAGACATGTATAATTTATATCCTTTTAAATTTGTTATGGTATATTTTATGATTCAGAATGTTGTCTATGTTTAATTTTCTCTGTGAGCTTGAGAAGAATGTGTATTTTCCTTTTTTTTGATTAAATAGTCTATAAATGTCCATTATATCCAGTTGATTGATGGCGTTCTTAAGATCAACTATGTCCTTATGATTTTCTGCCTGCCAAATCTATTCATTTTTGATAGAGGAGTGATATGGCTTGGATGTTTTGTCCCCTCCAAATCTCATGTTAAAATATGACCTCCAATGTTAGAGGTGGGCATGGTAGGAGGTGTTAGAATCATGGGAGTGGATCCCTCATGAATAGCTTGATGCCATCCCCGTGGCAATGAGTGAGTTCTTGCTCTGGTAGTTCATGTGAGAGCTGGTAGTCTAAAGAAGTCTGGCTCTTCCTCGTTGCTCTATTGTTTCCTTGCTTGCTCTCTTGCTTCCTCTTGCCTGCTCTCCCTTCATTGTCTAAACCATAATTGTAAGTTTCCTGAGGCCCTTACCAGAATGAGATGCTGGCACCATGCTTCCTGTACATCCTGCAGAACTGTGAGCCAATTAAACCTCTTTTCTTTATAAATTATCCAGTCTTAAGTATTCCTTTATGGCAATGCAAAGAGACTAACACAGAAAATTGGTGCCAAGAAATGGAGCATTGCTATAAGGATACTTGAAAATGTGGATTGGCTTTGGGACTGGGTAATGGGCAGAAGTTGGAAGAGTTTAGAGGGCTCAGTCACAGGGGTGGAAGGTTGGAAGAGTTTAGAGGTTGGAAGAGTTTAGAGGGCTCAGAAGATGACAGGAAGATGAGGGAAAATTTAAACTTCTTAGAGTCTTGTTACTTTGTTGTGACCAAAATACTGATAGTAATATAGACAGTAAAAGCCAGGCTGATGAAGCCTCAAATGGAAACAAGGTAGTTATTGGGAATTAAAGTAAAGATCACCTATGTTACACCCTAGCAAAGAACTTGACGCGTTATATCCATGCCCTGGGGGTCAGAGGAAGTTTGAATTTAAGAGTGATGATCTAGGGTATCTGGCAGAAGAAATTTCTAAGCAGCAAAGCATTTCAGAAGTGATCTGATGGCAGTGAGTCATGGTAGAACCACTGCACTCTGACCTGGGTGACAGAGTGAGACCTTGTCTCAAAAAAAAGAGAAGTTGCGTGGCTGCATCTAACAACCTATGGTCAGATATAGGAGGAAATGAATGATTTAAAGTTGAAACTTACAACTAAAAGGAAAGCATAGTGTATTAATTTGGAAAATTCACAGCCTGGCCACATGGTAGAGAAGGAAAGAGCATTTTTAGGAGAGGAATACAAGCAGGCTGTGGCTGCAAAACAACCACTTGCTGGAGAGATTTACATGACTGAAAGGGAGTCAGGTGCTAATATCCAAGACAAGGAAAACAAGGTCTCAAAGTCATTTTAGAAACCTTCAGAGCAACCCCTACCATCACAGAACCTGAGGCCTAGGAGGAAAGAATGGTTTGGGACCAGGACCAGGGCACCACTGCCCTGCTCTACCAGTCACAGTAGGAGACTACTGCCCTTATCCCTGCTGCTCCAGCTCCAGCCATAGCTCAAAGGGCCCCAGGTATACCTGGGGCTGCTGCTTTGGAGAGTGCAAACCATAAGCCATGGTGGCTTCTATGTGGTGTTAAGCCTTCAGGTACACAGAATGCAAAAGTGAATGAGGCTTTGTAGCAGTTACTTAGATTTCAGAGGATGTATGGGAAAGCCCTGGGTGCCAAGGCAGAAGCCTGATGCAGGGGCAGAGCCCTTGCAGAGAACTTCTACTAGGTCAGGGCTGAGGGTAAATGTAGGGCTGGAGACCCCACACAGAGTTCCCACCAGGGAACTGCATAATGGAGCTATGGGAAGGGGCCCACCATCCTCTAGACTCAAGAATGGTAGAGCCACTGGCAACTTGCACCCGGTGCCTGGAAAAGACACAGGTGCTCAACTCCAATCCATGAGAGCAGTCATGGGGGCTGCACCCTGCAAAACCACAGGGGTGGAGCTGCCCAATGCCTTGGGAGCCCACCACTTGCACAGTGTGACCTGGATGTGGGACATTGAGTCAAGGATTATGCTGGAGCTTTAAGATTTAATGTCTGTCTTGCTGGGTGTTGAATTTGTGTGAGACCTGTTGCTCCTTGCTTTTGCTTGATTTCTCTCTTTTGAAATTGGAATGTTGACTCAATCCCTGCACAACCATTGTATCTTGGAAGTAAATAGTTTGCTTATCTTAAAGGCCTATAGGTGGAAGCAGCTCTACTTGAGTCTCAGATGAGACTTTGGACTTTGGGACCCCTGAGTTGATGCTGGAATGAGTTGAGACTTTTGGGGACTACTTTTGTGATGAGAGAAGGACATGAGATTTGGTGGGGGAGTGGGGGGAAAGGGGCTGAATCATATACTTTGGATGTTTGTCCCCTCCAAATCTCATGTTGAGATGTAATCCCCAATTTTGCAGGTGGGGCCAGGTGGGAGGTGTTTAAATCCTGGGGGTGGATTCCTCATGAATGGCTTGGTATTCTCCTCAAGGTAATGAGTGAATTCTTGCTCTGAGTTCACATGAAATCTGGTTGTTTGAAAGAGAGTGACACTTCCCCCTACCATTTCTTCCTCTCTTGCCATGTGATATTCCAGCTCCTTCTTCGTCTTCTGCCATGATGTGCTCCCTGAGGCTCTCACCAGAAGCAGATGCCAGCACCATACTTCCTGTATAGCCTGCAGAAACATACATCAAAATAAACCTCTTTTCTTTATCAATTACCCAGTCTCACATATTTCTTTATAGCAGTGCAAATAGGCTAACACAAGGAGTGTTTAATTTCCAACTATAATAGTGAATGAATTTATTTCTCTTTACAATTCTGTCCAGTTTTGCCTCACATGCTTTGATGCTCTGTTGTTAGGTGCATGTATGTTAAAGAATTTTATGTCCACTTGGAGGATTGGCCACTTTATCATTATGTAATGCTGCTCTTTATCTCTGATAACTTTTCCTGGTCTGATGTCTACTTTGTCTGAAATTAATATATCCACTCCAGCTTTCTGTTGATGAAAGTTATCATAATATTTCTTTCTATATCCCTTAAACTTAAAAAATTTTTTAATACATATCTTTTTAAAAAAATTTTTCATAAGTTATTGGGGCACAGGTGGTATTTGGTTACATGACTAAGTTCTTTAGTGGTGATTTGTGAGATTTTGGTGCACCCATCGCCAGTATACAGTGCAACGTATTTGTAGTTTTTTTATATATATAGTTTTTATTATACTTTAAGATCTAGGGTACATGTGCACACAATGTGCAGGTTTGTTACATATGTATACATGTGCCATGGTGGTGTGCTGTACCCATTAACTCGTCATTTACATTAGGTATATCTCCTAATGCTATCCCTCCCCGCCACCGCCACTCCACAACAGGCCCTGGTGTGTGATGTTCCCCTTCCTGTGTCCAAGTGTCCTCATTGTTCAATTCCCACCTATGAGTGAGAACATGTGGTGTTTGGTTTTTTGTCCTTGCAATAGTTTGCTGAGAATGATGGTTTCCAGCTTCATCCATGTCCCTACAAAGGACATGAACTCATCATTTTTTATGGCTGCATAATATTCCATGGTGTATTTGTGCCACATTTTCATAATCCAGTCTATCATTGATGGACATTTGGGTTGGTTCCAAGTCTTTGCTACTGTGAATAGAGTCGCAATAAACATACGTGTACATGTGTCTTTATAGCAGCATGATTTATATTCCTTTGGGTATATACCCAGTAATGGGATGGCTGGGTCAAATGGTATTTCTAGTTCTAGATCCCTGAGGAATCGCCACACTGTCTTCCACAATGGTTGAACTAGTTTACAGTCCCACCAACAGTGTAAAAGTGTTCCTATTTCTCCACATCCTCTCCAGCACCTGTTGTTTCCTGACTTTTTAATGATTGCCATTCTAACTGGTGTGAGATGGTATCTCATTGTGGTTTTGATTTGCATTTCTCTGATGGCCAGTGATGATGAGCATTTTTTCATGTGTCTTTTGGCTGCATAAATGTCTTCTTTTGAGAAGTGTCTGTTCATATCCTTCACCCACTTTTTGATGGGGTTGTTTGTTCTTTTATTGTAAATTTCTTTGAGTTCTTTGTAGATTCTGGATATTAGCCCTTTGTCAGATGAGTAGATTGCAAAATTTTTCTCCCATTCTGTAGGTTGCCTGATGGTTGCTCTGACGGTAGTTTCTTTTGCTGTGCAGAAGCTCTTTAGTTTAATTAGATCCCATTTGTCAATTTTGGCTTTTGTTGCCATTGCTTTTTGTGTGTTAGACATGAAGTCCTTACCCATGCCTATGTCCTGAATGGTATTGCCTAGGTTTTCTTCTAGGGTTTTTATGGTTTTAGGTCTAACATTTAAGTCTTTAAGCCATCTCGAATAAATTTTTGTATAAGGTGTAAGGAAGGGATCAAGTTTCAGCTTTCTACATATGGCTAGCCAGTTTTCCCAGCACCATTTATTAAATAGGGAATCCTTTCCCCATTTCTTGTTTTTGTCAGGTTTGTCAAAGATCAGATAGTTGTAGATGTGTGGTATTGTTTCTGAGGGCTCTGTTCTGTTCCATTGGTCTATATCTCTGTTTTGGTACCAGTACTATGCTATTTTGGTTTCTGTAGCCTTGCAGTATAGTTTGAAGTCAGGTAGTGTGATTCCTCCAGCTTTGTTCTTTTGGCTTAGGTTTGTCTTGGCAATGCAGGCTCTTTTTTGGTTCCGTATGAATTTTAAAGTAGTTTTTTCCAATTCTGTGAAGAAAGTCATTGGTAGCTTGATGGGGATGGCATTGAATCTGTAAATTACCTTGGGCAGTATGGCCATTTTCACGATATTGATTCTTCTTTTCCATGAGCATGGAATGTTCTTCCATTTGTTTGTGTCTTCGTTGAGCAGTGGTTTGTAGTTCTCCTTGAAGAGGTCCTTCACATCCCTTGTAAGTTGGATTCCTAGGTATTTTATTCTCTTTGAAGCAATTGTGAATGGGAGTTCACTCATGATTTGGCTCTTTGTTTATCTGTTATTGATGTATAAGAATGCTTGTGATTGTTGTACATTGATTTTGTATCCTGAGATTTTGCTGAAGCTGCTTATCAGCTTAAGGAGATTTTGGTCTGAGACGATGGGGTTTTCTAGATATACAATCATGTCATCTGCAAACAGGGACAATTTGACTTCCTCTTTTCCTAATTCAATACCCTTTATTTCTTTCTCCTGCCTGATTGCCCTGGCCAGAACTTCCAACACTATGTTGAATAGGAGTGGTGAGAGAGGACATCCCTGTCTTGTGCCAGTTTTCAAAGGGAATGCTTCCAGTTTTTGCCCATTCAGTATGATATTGGCTGTGGGTTTGTCATAAATAGCTCTTATTATTTTGAGTTACGTCCCAACAATACCTAATTTATTGAGAGTTTTTATCATGAAGCGTTGTTGAATTTTGTCAAAGGCCTTTTCTGCATCTATTGAGATAATCATTTATTGTGGTTATTGTTTATGGTTCTGTTTATATGCTGGATTACATTTATTGATTTGCATATGTTGAACCAGGCTTGCATCCCAGGGATGAAGCCCACTTGATCATGGTGGATAAGCTTTTTGATGTGCTGCTGGATTCGGTTTGCCAGTATTTTATTGAGGATCTTTGCATTGATGTTCATCAGGGTTATTGGTCTAAAATTCTCTTTTTTTGTTGTGTCTCTGCCAGGCTTTGGTATCAGGATGATGCTGGCCTCATAAAATGAGTTAGGGAGGATTCCCTCTTTTTCTATTGATTGGAATAGTTTCAGAAGGAATGGTACCAGCTCCTCCTTGTAACTCTGGTAGAATTTGGCTGTGAATCCGTCTGGTCCTAGACTTTTTTTTGTTGGTAAGCTATTAACTATTGCCTCAATTTCTGAGCCTGTTATTGATCTATTCAGAGATTCAACTTCTTCCTGGTTTACTCTTGGGAGGATGTATGTGTCGAGGAATTTATCAATTTCTCCTAGATTTTCTGGTTTATTTGTGTGGAGGTGTTTATAGTATTCTCTGATGGTAGTTTGTATTTCTGTGGCATCTGTGGTGATATCCCCTTTATCATTTTTTTATTGCATCTATTTGATTCTTCTCTCTTTTCTTCTTTATTAGTCTTGCTAGCGGTCTATCAATTTTGTTGATCTTTTCAAAAAACCAGCTCCTGGATTCATTGATTTTTTGAAGGGTTTTTTGTGTCTCTATTTCCTTCAGTTCTGCTCTGATCTTAGTTATTTCTTGCCTTCTGCTAGCTTTTGAATGTGTTTGCTCTTGTTTCTCTAGTTCTTTTAATTGTGATGTTAGGGTGTCAATTTTAGATCTTTCTGCTTTCTCTTGTGGGCATTTAGTGCTATAAATTTCCCTCTACACCCTGCTTTAAATCTGTCCCAGAGATTCTGGTATGTTGTGTCTTTGTTCTCGTTGGTTTCAAAGAACATCTTTATTTCTGCCT
Source organism: Homo sapiens (assembly GCF_000001405.40). NCBI lineage: Eukaryota > Metazoa > Chordata > Mammalia > Primates > Hominidae > Homo > Homo sapiens. The sequence goes on from NC_000020.11 coordinate 18,864,456, forward strand.
TCATTTCGTTATGTACACAGTAGTCATTCAGGAGCAGGTTGTTCAGTTTCCATGTAGTTGAGCAGTTTTGAGTGAGTTTCTGAATCCTGAGTTCTAGTTTGATTGCACTGTGGTCTGAAAGACAGTTTGTTATAATTTCTGTTCTTTTACATTTGCTGAGGAGTGCTTTACTTCCAACTATGTGGTCAATTTTGAAATAAGTGTGATGTGGTGCTGAGAAGAGTGTATATTCTGTTGATTTGGGATGGAGAGTTCTGTAGATGTCTATTAGGTTCGCTTTGTGTGAGCTGAATTCAATTCCTGGATATCCTTGTTAACTTTCTGTCTCATTGATCTGTCTAATGTTGGCAGTGGGGTGTTAAAGTCTCCCATTATTATTGTGTGGGAGTCTAAGTCTCTTTCTAGGTCTCTAAGGACTTGCTTTATGAATCTGGTTGCTTCTGTATTGGGTGCATGTATATTTAGGATAGTTAGGTCTTTTTATTGAATTGATCTCTTTACCATTATGTAATGGCCTTCTTTGTCTCTTTTGATTTTTGTTGGTTTAAAGTCTGTTTTATCAGAGACTAGGATTGCAACCCCTGCCTTTTTTTGTTTTCCATTTGCTTGGTAGATCTTCCTCCATCCCTTTATTTTGAGCCTATGTGTGTCTCTGCACGTGAGATGGGTTTCCTGAATACAGCACACTGATGGGTCTTGATTCTTTATCCAATTTGCCAGTCTGTGTCTTTTAATTGGAGCATTTAGCCCATTTACATTTAAAGTTAATATTGTTATGTGTGAATTTGATCCTGTCATTATGATGTTAGCTGCTTATTTTGCTCATTAGTTAATGCATTTTCTTCCTAGCCTCGATGGTCATTACAATTTGGCATGTTTTTGCAGTCACTGGTACCGGTTGTTCCTTTCCACATTTAGGGCTTCCTTCAGGAGCTCTTTTAGGGCAGGCCTGGTGGTGCCCAAATCTCTCAGCATTTGCTTGTCTGTAAAGTATTTTATGTCTCCTTCACTTATGAAGCTTAGTTTGGCTGGATATGAAATTCTGAGTTGAAAATTCTTTTCTTTAAGAATGTTGAATATTGGCCCCCACTCTCTTCTGGCTTGTAGGGTTTCTGCTGAGAGATCCGCTGTTAGTCTGATGGGCTTCCCTTTGTGGGTAACCCGACCTTTCTCTCTGGCTGCCCTTAACAATTTTTCCTTCATTTCAACTTTGGTGAATCTGAGAATTATGTGTCTTGTAGTCACTCTTCTCGAGGAGTATCTTTGTGGAGTTCTCTGTATTTCCTGAATGTGAATGTTGGCCTGCCTTGCTAGGCTGGGGAAGTTCTCCTGCATAATATCCTGCAGAGTGTTTTCCAACTTGGTTCCATTCTCCCCATCACTTTCTGGTATACCAATCAGACGTAGATTTGGTCTTTTCACATAGTCCTATATTTCTTGGAGTCTTTGTTCATTTCTTTTTATTCTTTTTTCTCTAAACTTCTCCTCTCGCTTCATTTCATTCATTTGATCTTCAGTCACTGATATCCTTTCTTCCAGTTGATCGAATCGGCTACTGAAGCTTGTGCATTTGTCATGTAGTTCTCATGCCATGGTTTTCAGCTCCATCAGGTCCTTTAAGGACTTCTCTGTATTGGTTATTCTAGTTAGCCATTTGTCTAATCTTTTTTCAAGATTTTTAACTTCTTTGTGATGGGTTCGAACTTCCTCCTTTAGCTCAGAGAAGTTTGATCATCTGAAGCCTTCTTCTCTCAACTTGTCAAAGTCATTCTCCATCCAGCTTTGTTCTGTTGCTGGTGAGGAGCTGCATTCCTTTGGAGGAGGAGAGGCGCTCTAATTTTTAGAATTTTCAGTGTTTCTGTTCTGTTTTTTCCCCATCTTTGTGGTTTTATCTACCTTTGGTCTTCGATGATGGTGATGTATAGATGGGATTTTGGTGTGAATGTCCTTTCTGTTTGTTAGTTTTCCTTCTGACAGTCAGGAACTTCAGCTGCAGGTCTGTTGGAGTTTGCTGGAGGTCCACTCCAGACCCTGTTTGCCTGGGTATCAGCAGCGGAGGCTGCAGAACAGCGAGTATTGCTGAACAGCAAATGTTGCTGTCTGATCGTTCCTCTGGAGGTTTCCTCTCAGAGGGGTACCCGGCCGTGTGAGGTGTCAGTATGCCCCTACTGGGGATGCCTCCCAGTTACGCTACTCGGGGGTCAGGGACCCACTTGAGGAGGCAGTCTGTCCGTTCTCAGATCTCAAACTCTGTGTTGGGAGAACAACTACTCTCTTCAAAGCTGTCAGACAGGAATATTTAAGTCTGCAGAGGTTTCTGCTGCCTTTTGTTTGGCTATGCCCTGTCCCCAGAGGTGGAGTCTACAGAGGCAGGCAGGCCTCCTAGAGCTACGGTGGCCTCCACCCAGTTTGAGCTTCCCGCCACTTTGTTTATCTACTCAAGCCTCGGCAATGGCGGGCACCCCTCCCCCAGTCTCACTGCCACCTTGCAGTTCGATCTCAGACTGCTGTGCTAACAATGAGTGAGGCTCTGTGGGCATGGGACCCTCCGAGCCTGGCATGGGATATAATGTCCTGGTATGTCATTTGCTAAGACCATTGTAAAAGTGCAGTATTAGGGTAGGAGTGACCCAATTTTCCAGGTGCCATCTGTCACAGCTTTCCTTGGCTATGAAAGGGAATTCCCTGACCTATTGTGTTTCCTCGGTGAGGCAATGCCTCACCCAGCTTCAGCTCACGCTCAGTGCTCTGCACCCACTGTCCTGCACCCACTGTCTGACAAGCCCCAGTGAGATGAAGCTGGTACCTCAGTTGGAAATGCAGAAATCACCCTTCTTCTGTGTCGCTCATGCTGGGAGCTGTAGACTGGAGCTGTTACTATTCGGCCATCTTGGAATTGCCCTATTTGTAGTCTTTAATCCCTTGCCCCACTCTCACCTTTCCCCCCATGTCCCCAAAGTCCATTGTATCATTTTTTTTTGAATTAAACTTTAAGTTCTGGGATGCATGTGCAGAATGTGCAGGTTTGTTACATATGTATACACTTGCCATGGTGGTTTGCTGCACCCATCAGTCCATCATCTATATGAGGTATTTCTCCTAATGCTATCCCTCCCACAGCCCCCCATCTCCTGACAGGCCCTGGTGTGTGATGTTCCCCTCCCTGCGTCCGTGTGTTCTCATTGTTCAACTCCCACTTATGAGTGAGAACATGCAGTGTTTGGCGTTCTGTTCCTATGTTAGTTTGCTGAGAATGATGGTTTCCAGCCTCATCCATGTCCCTGTAAAGGACATGAACTCACTCTTTTTTATGGCTGCATAGTATTCCATGGTGTATATGTGCCACATTTTCCTTATCCAGTCTATCTTTGATGGGCGTTTGGGTTGTTTCCAAGTCTTTGCTATTGTGAATAGTGCCACAATAAACATACACGTGCATGTGTCTTTATAGTAGAATGGTTTATAATCCTTTGGGTATATACCCAGTAATGGGATGGCTGGGTCAAATGGTATTTCTGGTTCTAGATCCTTGAGGAATTGCCACACTGTCTTCCACAGTGGTTGAAATAATTTACATTCCCACCAACAGTGTAAAAGTGTTCCTATTTCTCCAAGTCCTCTCCAGCATCTGTTGTTTCCTGACTTTTTAATGATCGCCATTCTAACGGGTGTGAGATGGTATCTCATTGTGGTTTTGATTTGCATTTCTCTAATGACCAGTGATGATGAACTTTTTTTCATATGTTTGTTGGCCACATAAATGTCTTCTTTTGGGAAGTGTCTGTTTATACCCTTTGCCCACTTTTTGATGGGGTTGTTTGGTTTTTTCCTTAAATTTGTTTGTTTCTTGTAGATTCTGGATATTAGCCCTTTGTCTGATGGATAGATTGCAAAAATTTTCTCCCATTCTGTAAGTTGCCTGTTCATCACTCTGATGATAGTTTCATTTGCTGTGCAGAAGGTCTTTAGTTTAATTAGATCCCATTTGTCAATTTTGGCTTTTGTTGCCATTGCTTTTGGTGTTACAGTCATGAAGTCTTTGCCCATGCCTATGTCCTGAATGGTATTGCCTAGGTTTTCTTCTAGGGTTTTTATGATTTTAGGTCTTATGTTTAAGTCTTTAATCCATCTTGAGTTAATTTTTTGTATGAGGTGTAAGAAGTGGTCCAGTTTCAGTTTCCTGCATATGGCCAGCCAGTTTTCCCAACACCATTTATTAAATAGGGAATCCTTTCTCCATTGCTTGTTTTTGACAGGTTTGTCAAAGATCAGATGGTTGTAGATGTGTGGTGTTATTTCTGAGGCCTCTATTCTGTTTCATTGGTCTATATATCTGTTTTGGTACCAGTACCATGCTGTTTTGGTTCCTGTAGCCTTGTAGTATAGTTTGAAGTCAGGTAGTGCGATGCCTCCAGTTTGTTCTTTTTGCTTAGGATTGTCTTTGCTATATGAGCTCTTATCTGGTTCCCTGTGAAATTTAAAGTAGTTTTTTCTTATTCTGTGAAGAAAATTAATGGTGGCTTGATGGGAATAGCATTGAATCTGTAAATTACTTTGGTCAGTGTGGCTATTTTCACGATATTGATTCTTCCTATCCATGATCATGGAATGTTTTTCCATTTGTTTGTGTCCTGTTTTATTTTTTTGAGCAGTGGTTTGTAGTTCTCCTTGAAGAGGTCTTTTACATTCCTTGTAAGTTGTATTCCTAGGTATTTTATTCTCTTTGTAGCAATTGTGAATGGGAGTTCAGTCATGATTTGGCTCTCTGTTTGTCTATTATTGGTGTATAGGAATGCTTGTGATTTTTGCATGTTGATTTTATATCCTGAGGCTTTGCTGAAGTTGCTTACCAGCTTAAAGAGATTTTGGGCTGAGATGATAGGGTTTTCTAAATATACAATCATGTCATCTGCAAACAGATACGATTTGACTTCCTCTCTTCCTATTTGAATATGCTTCATTGCTTTCTCTTGCCTGATTGCCCTGGCCAGAACTTCCAATACTACATTAAATAGGAGTGTTGACAGAGGACATCCTTGTCTTGTGATGGTTTTCAAAGGGAAGGCTTCCATCTTTTGCCTATTCAGTATGATAATGGCTGTGGGTTTGTCATAAATAGCTCTTATTATTTTGAGATACATTCTATCAATACCTAGTTTATTGAGAGTTTTTAGGATGAAGGGGCGTTGAATTTTATTGAAGGCCTTTTCTGCATCTAATGAGATAATCATGTGGTTTTTGTCATTGATTCTGTTTATGTGATGGATTATGATTATTGATTTGCATATGTTGAACCAGCCTTGCATCCCAGGGATGAAGACGACTTGATCATGGTGGATAAGTTTTCTGATGTGCTGCTGGATTCAGGTTGCCAGTATTTTATTGAGGATTTTTGTATTGATGTTCATCAGAGATACTGGCCTGAAATTTTCTTTTTTTGTTTTGTCTGCCAGGTTTTGGTATCAGGATAATGCTGGCGTCATAAAATGAGTTATGGAGGAGTCCCTCTTTTTCTATTGTTTGGAATAGTTTCAGAAGGAATGGTATCAGCTCTTCTCTGTACCTCTGGGAGAATTCAGCTGTGAATCCATCTGGTCCTGGGCTTTTTTTGGTTGGTAGGCTGTTAATTACTGCCTCAATTTCAGAACTTGTTATTGGTCTATTCAGAGATTCGTCTTCTTCCTGGTTTAGTCTTGTGTCCAGGAATTTATCCACTTCTAGATTTTCTAGTTTATTTGCATAGAGGTGTTTATAGTATTCTCTGATGGTAGTTTGCATTTCTGTGGGATCAGTGGTAATATCCTGTTTATCATTTTTATGGTGTCTATTTGATTCTTCTCTCTTTTCTTTTTTATTAGCCTGGCTAACAGTATATCTATTTTGTTAATTTTTTTCAAAAACCAGCTTCTGGGTTCATTGGTTTTTTGAAGGGTTTTTCATGTCTCTTTCTCTTTCGATTCTGCTCTGATGTTAGTTATTTCTTGTCTTCTGCTAGCTTTTGAATTTCTTTGCTCTTGGTTCTCTAGCTCTTTTAATTGTGATTTCAGGGTGTCAATTTTAGATCTCTCCTGCTTTCTCCTGTGGGCATTTGGCACTATAAATTTACCGCTAAACACTGTTTAGCTGTGTCCCAGAGATTCTAGTACATTGTGTCTTTGTTCTCATTAGTTTCAAATAACTTCTTTATTTCTGCCTTAATTTCATTACTTACCCAGTAGTCATTCAGGAGCAGGTTATTCAGTTTCCATATAGTTGTGCAGTTTTGAGTGAGTTTCTTAATCCTGATTTCTAATTTGATTGCAATGTGGTCTGAGAGACTGTTATGATTTCTGTTCTTTTGCATTTGCTGAGGAGTGTTTTACTTTCAAGTATGTGGTCAATTTTAGAATAAGCGTGATGTGGTGCTGAAAAGAATGTATATTCTGTTGATTTTGGGTGGAGGGTTCTGTAGATGTCTATTAGGTCTGCTTGGTCTAGAGCTGAGTTCAAGTCCTGAATATCCTTGTTAATTTTCTGTCTTGTTGATCTGTCTAATATTGACAGTGGCGTGTTAAAATCTCCCACTATTATTGTGTGGGAGTCTAAGTCTCTTTGTAGGTCTCTAAGAACTTGTTTTATGAATCTGGGTGCTCCTGTATTGTGTGCATATATATTTAGGATAGTTAGCTCTTCTTGTTGCATTGATCCCTTACCATTATCTAATGCCCTTCTTTGTCTCTTTTGATCTTTGTTGGTTTAAAGTCTGTTTTATCAGAGACTAGGATTGCAACTCCTGCTTTTTTTTTTCTTTTCATTTGCTTGGCAAATTGGTCCTACATTTCTTTATTTTGAGCCTATGTGTGTCTTTGCACATGAGATGGATCTCCTGAATACAGCACACTGATGTGTCTTGACTCTTTATCCAATTTGCCAGTCTGTGTCATTGAATTGGAGCATGTAGCCCATTTACATTTAAGGCTAATATTGTTATGTGTGAATTTGATCCTGTCATTATGATGCTAGCTGGTTATTTTGCCTGTTGATGCAGTTTCTTCCTAGCATCAATGGTCTTTACAATTTGGTATGTTTTTGCAGTGGCTGGTACCAGTTTTTCCTTTCCATATTTTGTGCTTCTTTCAGGAGCTCTCACAAGGCAGTCCTAGTCATGACAAAATCTCCCAGCATTTGCTTGTCTGTAAAGGATTTTATTTCTCTGTTGTTTATGAAGGTTAGTTTGGCTGGATATGAAATTCTGGGTTGAAAATTCTTTTCTTTAAGAATGTTGAATATTGGCTCCCTCTCTCTTCTGGATTGTAGGGTTTCTGCAGAGAGATCCACTGTTAGTCTAATGGGCTTCCCTTTGTGGGTAACCCACCCTTTCTCTCTGGTGCCCTTAACACTATTTTCTTCATTTCAACCTAGGTGAATCTGATGATTGTGTCTTGAGGTTGCTCTTCTTGAGGAGTATCTTTGTGGTGTTCTCTGTATTTCCTGAATTTGAATGTTGGCCTCTCCCTCTAGGTTGGGAAAGTTCTCCTGGGTAATATCCTGAAGTGTGTTTTCCAACTTGGTTTCATTCTCCCAGTCACTTTCTGGTACACCAATCAAATGTAGGTTTAGTCTTTTCACATAATCCCATATTTCTTGGACACTTTGTTCATTCCTTTTTATTCTTTTTTCTCTAATCTTGTCTTCATGCTTTATTTCATTAAGCTGATCTTCAATCTCTCATATACTTTCTTCTGCTTGATCAATTTGGCTATTGATACTTGTGTATGCTTCACGAAGTTCTTTTGCTGTTTTTTTTCATCTCCATCAGGTCATTTATTTCTTCTCTAAACTGGTTATTCTAGTTAGCAATTCCTCTAACCTTTTTACAAGGTTCTTAGCTTCCTTGCATTGGGTTAGAACACGTTCCTTTAGCTTGGAGGAGTTTGTTATTACCCACCTTCTAAAGCCTACTTCTGTCAATTTGTCAAACTCATTCTCCATCCAGTTTTGTTTCCTTGCTGTTGAGCAGTTGTGATCCTTTGGAGGAGAAGAGGCATTCTGGTTTTTGGAATTTTCAGCCTTTTTGTGCTAGATTTTCCTCATCTTTGTGGATTTGTCTACCTTTGGTCTTTGATGTTGGTGACCTTCAGATGGCGGTTTTGTGTGGACATCCTTTTTGTTGATGATGCTATTACTTTCTGTTTGTTAGTTTTCCTTCTAACAGTCATGCCCCTCTTCTGCAGGTCTGCTGGAGTTTGCTGGAGGTCCACTCCAGACCCTGTTTGCCTGGGTATCACCAGCAGAGGCTGCAGAACAGCAAAGGTTGTTGCCTGTTCCTTCCTCTGGAAATTTTGTCCCAGAGGGGCATCTGCCAGATGTCAGCTGGAGCTCTCCTATATGAAGTGTCTGTCGACCCCTGCTGGGAGGTGTCTCCCAGTCAGGAGGCACTGGGGTCAGGGACCCACTTGAGGAGGCAGCCTATCCCTTAGCAGAGCTCAAGCACTGTGCTAGGTGATCCACTGCTCTCTTCATAGCCTGCAGGCAGAAACATTTAATTCTGCTGAAGCTGCACCCACAGCCACCCCTTCCCCCAGGTGCTCTGTTCTAGGGTGATAGGAGTTTTTCTATAAGCCCCTGACTGGGGCTGTTGCCCTTCTTTCAGAGATGCCCTGCCCAGAGAGGAGGAATCTAGAGAGGCAGTCTGGCTACATTGGCTTTACTGAGCTACAGTGGGCTCTGCCAGTTCGAACGTCCCTGCAGCTTTGTTAACACTATGAGGGGAAAACCACCTACTCAAGTGTCAGTAACGGTGAACGCCCCTTCCCCCACCAAGCTTGAGTGTCCCAGGTCGACTTCAGACTGCTTTGCTGTCAGTGAGAATTTCAAGCCAGTGGATTTTAGCTTTCTGTGCTCTGTGGGGTGTGATCAGCTCAGCTAGACCACTTGGCTCCCTGGCTTCGGCCTCCTTTCCAGGAGAGTGAACAGTTCTGTTTCACTGGCATTCCAGGTGCCACTGGGTATGAAAAAAAAACTCCTGCAGCTAGCTCAGTGTCTGCCCAAAGGGCCGCCCAGTTTTGTGCTTGAAACCCAGGGCCCTTATGGTGTAGGCACCTGAGGGATCTCCTGGTCTGTGGTTTGTGAAGACCATGGGAAAAGCATAGTATCTGGGCCAGAATGCACCATTCTTCATGACACAGTCCTTCTCAACTTCCCTTGGCTAGGGGAGGGAGATCCCTGACCCCTTGTGCTTCCTGGGTGAGGTGATGCCCCACCCTGCTTTGGCTTGCCCTCCGTGGGCTGCACCTGCTGTCTAAACTGTTCCAATGAGATGGGCTGGGTACCTCAGTTGGAAATGCAAAAATCACCCATCTTCTCTGTTGATCTCACTGGGAGCTGCAGACTGGAGCTGTTCCTATTTGGCCATCTTGCTTCAAATCCCCATTATATCATTCTTATGCCTTTGCATTCTCATAGCTTAGGTTCCACATATAAGTAAGAACATACAATGTTTGGTTTTCCATTCCTGAGTTACTTTATTTAGATAATAATCTCCAATCTTACCCAGGTTGCTGCAAATGCCATTAATTCATTTTTTATGGCTGAGTATTATTCCATTGTATCAATATACCACAGTTTGTTTATCCACTTACTGATTGATGGGCATTTGGGTTGGTTCCATGATTTTGCAATTGCAAATTTTGCTGCTATAAACATGTGTGTGCAAGTATCTTTTTCATATAATGACTTCTTTTCCTCTGGGTAAATATGGAGTAGTGGGATTGCTGGATCAAATGGTAGTTCTACTTCTAGTACTTTGAGAAGCCTCCACACTGTTTTCTGTAGTGGTTGTACTAGTTTACATTCCCACCAGCAGTGTGTATGTGTTCCCTGTTCAACACATCCACACCAACATCTACTGTTTTTTGATTTTTTGATTATGGCAATTCTTGCAGGAGTAAGGTGGTATCTCACTGTGGTTTTGATTTGCATTTCCCTGATCATTAGTGATGTTGAGTATTTTTTCATATGTTTGTTGGCCATTTGTATATCTTCTTTTGAGAATTCTCTATTCATGTCTTTAGCCCATTTTTTGATGAAATTGTTTGTTTTTTTATTACTGATTTGTTTGAGTTCATTATAGATTCTGGATATTAGTCCTTTGTCAGATGTATAGATTTTGAAGATTTTCTCCCACCCTATGGGTTGTCTGTTTACTCTGCTGACTGTTCCTTTTGCTGTGCAAAAGCTCTTTAGTTTAATTAAGTCCAAACTATTTATCTTTGTTTTTATTGCATTTGCTTTTGGGTTCTTGGTCATGAAATCCTTGCCTAAGCCAATATCTAAAAGGGTTTTTCCAGTGTTATCTTCAGAATTTTTATAGTTTCCAGTCTTAGATTTAAGTCCTTAATCCATCTTGAGTTTATTTTTATATAAGGTGAGAGATGAGGATCCAGTTTTATTCTCCTACATGTGGCTAGCCAATTATCCCAGCACCATTTGTTGAAAAAGGTGTCCTTTCCCTGCTTGATGTTTTTGTTTGCTTTGTCGAAGATCTTTGGCTGTAAGCATTTGGGTTTATTTCTGGGTTCTCTATCCTGTTCCACTGGCCTATGTGTCTATTTTTATACCAATACCATGCTGTTTTGGTGACTATGGCCTTATGGTATAGTGTGAAATTAGGTAATGTGATGCCTCCATATTTGATTTTTTTTTTTTTTTTTTTTTTTTTGCTTGCCTTGCTTTGGCTATGCGGGCTCTTTTTTGGTTCCATATGAATTTTAGAATTGTTTTTTCTAATTCAGTGAAGAATGATGGTATTTTCATGGGGATTGCATTGAATTTGTAGATTGCTGTTGACAGTATGGTTGTTTTCACAATATTGATTCTACCCTTCCATGATCATGGGATGTATTTCTGTTTGTTTTTGTCATCTATAATTTCTTTCATCAGTGTTTTGTAGTTTTCCTTGTAGCCGTCTTTTGCATCCTTGGTTAGGTATATTCCTAAGTATTTTATTTTATTTTTTGCAGCTATTGTAAAAGGGGTTGATTTCTTGATTTGATTCTCAGCTTGGTTGCTGTTGGTGTATAGAAGAGCTACTGATTTGTGTACATTAATCTCATATCTGGAAACTTTGCTGAATTCTTTTATCAGTTCTTGGAGCTTTCTGGAGGAGTATTTAGGGCTTTCAAGGTAAATGATTATATCATCAGCAAACAGTGAGAGTTTGACTTCCTCTTTACCAATTTGGATGCTCTTTATTTCTTTCTCTTGTCTGATTGCTCTGGCTAGGACTTCCAGTAATATGTTGAAGAGGAGTGGTGAGAGTGGGCATCTGTGTTTTGTTCCAGTTCTCAGAGGGAATGCTCTCAACTTTTCCCCATTCGTGGGTTTGTCATAGACGGCTTTTATTACATTGAGATATGCCCCTTGTATGCCGATTTAGATGAGAGCTTTAATCATAAAGGATGCTGGATTTTGTCAAATGGTTTTTCTGCATCTGAGATAATCATGTGACTTTTTGTTTTTAATTCTGTTTATGTGGCATATCACATTTATTGACTCGTGTATGTTAAACTATCCCTGCATCCCTGGTGTGAAACCCACATGATCATGGTGAATTATCTTTTTGATATGTTGTCAGATTTGGTTAGTTAATATTTTGTTAAGGGTTTTCGCATCTATCTTCATCAAGGATATCAGTCTGTAGTTTTCTTTTTTGGTTATGTCCTTTCCTGGTTTTGGTATTAGGGTGATGCTGGCTTCCTAGAGTTAATTAGGGAGGGTTCCTTCTTTCTCTATCTTATGGAATAGTGTCAAAAGGATTGGTACCAACTCTTCCTTGAATGTCTGGTAGAATTCTGCTGTAAATCCATCTGGTCCTGGACTTTTTTTTTTTTTTTGGTAATTTTTAAATTATCATTTTAATCTTGCTGCTTGTTTTTGGTCTGTTCAGGGTATCTCATTCTTCCTGATTTAAGCTAGGAGGTTGTGTTTTTCCAGAAGTTTATCCATGTCTTCTAGGTTTTCTAGTTTATGTGTGTAAAGGTGTTCATAGTAGCCTTGAATGATCTTTTGTATTTCAGTGGTGTCAGTTGTAATATCTCCTGTTTCATTTCTTAATTTATCTGTTGTATTTTGTTGTTGTTGTTTCAGTTTCATTTGGTTCTGCTCTGGTCTTTGTTATTTCCTTTTTTCTGCTGGGCTTGGGTTTGGTTTGTTCTTGTTTCTCTAGTTCCTTGAGATGTGACCTTAGAATGTCAGTTTGTGCTTTTTCAGTCTTTTTGATGTAGACATTTAGGGTTATTAACTTTCCTCTCAGCATCACCTTTGCTGTATCCCAGAGGTTTTGATATATTGTGTTATTATTGTCATTCCATTTGAAGAATTTTTAAATTTTCATCTTGATTTTGTTTTTGACCCATTGCTCATTCAGGAGCAGGTTATTTAATTTACATGTATTTGCTTGGTTTTGAAGGTTATTTTGGAGTTGATTTCTAGTTTTATTCCACTGTGGTCTATGTGAGTGCTTGATATAATTTCAATTTTCTTAAATTTATTGAGGTTCATTTTATGGCCTATCATATGGTCTCTCTTGGAGAAAGTTCCATGTGCTGTTGAGTAAAATGTGTATTCTGCAGTTGTTGAATGAAATGTTCTGCATGTATCTGTTTAGTCCATTTGTTCCAAGGTATAGTTTAAATCCATTGTTTCTTTATTGACTTTCTGTCTTGATGACCTATCTAGTGCTGTCAGTGGAGTATTGAAGTCCCCCACTATTATTGCGTTGCTGTCTATCTCATTTCCTAGGTCTATTAGTAATTGTTTTATAAATTTGGGGGCTCCAGTGTTAGGTGCATATATGTTTATGATTGTGATATTTTCCTGTTGGACAGGGCCTTTTACCGTTACATAATATCCCTCTTTGTGTCTTTTAACTGCTGTTGCTTTAAAATTTGTTTTGTCTGATATAAGAATAGCTGCCTCTGCTTGCTTTTGGTGTCCATTTGCATGAAATGCCTTTTCCCATCCCGTTTACTTAAAGTTTATGTGAGTCCTTATGAGTTAGGTGAGTCTCCTGAAGGCAGCAGATAGTTGGTTGATGAGTTCTTATTCATTCTGCAGTTCTGTATCTTTTAAGTGCAGCATTTAGGCCATTTACATTCAATGTTAGTACTGAGATGTGGGGTGCTGTTGCATTCATTGTACTATTTGTTACCTATTTCTTTTTTTTTTTTGCTTTTTGTTTTTGTTTTTTAACTTGTGTTTTTGTTTTATAGGTCCTGTGTGATTTTTGCTTTAAAGAGGTCCTGTTTTGTTGTGTTTCCAGGAGTTGTTTCAAGATTTAGAGCTCCTTTTAGCAGTTCTTGTAGTGGTGGCTTGGTCATGGCAAATTCTCTCAGCAATTGTTTGTCTGAAAACGACTGTATCTTTTTTTCATAAATGATGCTTAGTTTCACTGGATACAAAATTCTTGGCTGATAATTGTTTTGTTTGAGGAGGCTGAAGATAGAGCCCCAGTCCCTTCTAGCTTGTAGGATTTCTGTTGAGAAATTTGCCATTAATCTGATAGGTTTTTCTTTATAGGTTACCTGGTGCTTCAGTCTTACAGCACTTGAGATTCTTTCCTTCATTGTCACTTTATATAACCTGATGACAATGTGCCTAGGTGATGATCTTTCTGCGATAAATTTCCCAGGTGTTCTTTGTGCTTCTTGTATTTGGATGTTTAGATCTCTAGCAAGGCTGGAGAAGTTTTCCTTGATTATTCCCCCAAATATATTTTCCAAACTTTTAGATTTCTCTTCTTCCTCAGGAACACTGATTATTCTTAGGTTTGGTCATTGAACATAATCCTAGACTTCTTGGAGGCTTTGTTCATATTTTCTTATGCTTTTTTCTTTGTCTTTGTTGGATTGGGTTAATTCAAAGATCTTGTCTTCCAGCTCCGATTTTCTTTCTTCTACTTGTTCAATTCTATTGCTGAGATTTTCTAGAGCATTTTTGCATTTCTATAAGTGTGTCCAATGTTTCTTGGATCTCTGACTTTTTCTTTATGCAATCTATTTCCTTCAATATTTCTCCCTTAATGTCTTGTATAATTTTTTTTATTTCCTTGCATTGGGCTTCACCTTTCTCTGGTGCCTCCTTGATAAGCTTAATAACTAACCTCCTGAATTATTTTTCAGGAAAATCAGGGATTTCTTCCTGGTTTGGATCCATTGCTGGTTAACTAGTGTAATATTTTTTTGTGGGGCGGGGGTAGGGGTACGGTGTTAAAGAGCCTTGTTTTGTCATATTACCAGAGTTGGTTTTCTGGTTCCTTCTCATTTGGGTAGGCTCTGTCAGAGGGAAGATCTAGGGCTGAAGGCTGTTGTTCAGATTCTTTTGTCCCATGGGGTGTTCCCTTGATGTAGTACTGTCCTCCTTTTCCTATGGATGTGGCTTCTTGTAAGCCAAACTGCAGTGATTGTTGTCTCTCTTCTGGGTCTAGCCACTCAGCAAGTCTACCAGGCTCTGGGTTGGTACTGGGGTTTGTCTGCATAGAGTCCTGTGATGTGAACTGTCTATCACTCTCTTAGATGTGGATACCAGCACTTGTTCAGTTGGAGGTGGCAGGGGTGTGAAATGCACTCTGTGAGGGTTTTTAGCTTTGGTGGCTTAATTCTCTAAAGCTGATTGGCCTTCTGCTACTAGGTGATGCTTTCCTGAGAGCATCAGCTGTGGTAGTATGGACAGGAACTGGTCATGGGCGGGGCCCTAGAACTCCCAAGATTATATGCCCTTCATCTTCAGCTACCAGGGTGGGTAAGGAAGGCCCATCTGGTGGGGGCAGGGCTAGGCATGTCTGAGCTCAGACTCTCCTTGGGCCAGTCTTGCTGCAGCTGCTGTGGGGAATGGGGGTGAGGTTCCCAGGTCAATGGAGTTGTGTACCTAGCAGGATTGTGGCTGCCTCTGCTGAGTCATGCAGGTTGTCAGGGAAGTGGGGAAAAGCTGGCAGTCACAGGCCTTACCCAGCTCCCACACAAACCAAAGGGCTGGTCTCACTCCCACCTTGCCCCACCCCACAGTCCAGAGTCTCTTTCTAGGCAGTGGGTGAGCCAGGCTTGAGAACTTGCCCCAGGCTACTCGCCTCCCAGCTGGGAAAGAAAATGGCTTGGTTCCTTCCCAATCTGTGGAGTCTGCACACTGGATTCGTGCCCTCCCCCAACTTCTGGCTGGGAGGCTTCTCACCCAGTTCAAATTATTACAAAGCTCAGCTGGAGATTTCCTTCTCCCTGTGATGTTTTTCCCCACTCCTCTGGTTGCCCTCCTGATGGATCCCTGTGGTGCCAGGCAGGAATGGCCTGTTTGGGGACCCAGTGAGCTCTCAGTGCCTTTCTTGCTGCTTCCTCCACCCCTGTATTTCACTTGGCTCTCTAAATTGACTCAGCTCCAGGTAAGGTCAGAAACTTCTCCCACAAACAGACCTCCAGTTTCTCCAGTGGGGATGTGTTCAGGAGAGGAGGATCTCCCTTTCCCACTTCTGCAGTTGGGGGCACTTGCAGTATTTGGGGTGTCTCCTGGGTCCTGCAGGAGCAGTCCACTTCCTTCAGAGGGTCTTTGTGTCCTCTTGGTATTACTGGTTTGTTCTTGCAGTTGAACTGGAGCTAAAATTCACAGTGCAAGCCTCTGCATGCTGCTCTGTCCCTCTAAGTTGGAGCTGCAATCTAGTCCTGCCTCCCGTCCACCATGATGATCCCCTCTCCCCTTTAACTTTTAATCCATATGTGTATTTATATTTTAAATGGGTTTCTTGTATACAACATATAGGTGGGTATTGTTTTTTAATCCACCTTGACAATATCTGCCTTTTAACTTGTACATTTAGACCATTGATGCTCAAAGTAATTATTGATAGAGATGGATTAATATCTAATGTATTTATTCCTGTTTCCTATTGATTACCCTTGTTCTTTTTCCTATTTTTGTTTTCCACTCTTCTGCCTTTTTGTGGTTTTAGTTAATATAATTCTATTTTCTCTCTTTTATTAGCATATTAGTTATGCTTCTTTTTTCTTCTTACCTTTTTTAGTGCTCACCCTAAAGTTTTCAATATGCATTTATAATTAATCCAAGTCCACTTTCAAATAACACTATACTCTTCACTTGTAGTGTGAGTACCTCATAATAACAAAATGTTCCTAATTCTTCCTTCCTGAGCCTTGTATCATTGCTGTCATTCATTTTACTTACACATAAGCATATATAGGCATATATACACATACACACACAAATAAGCATATATAATCAAATATATTTCTGTGATTATTTTGAACAAAATATTGTCTGTTAGATCAATTAAGAAGGAGAAAAATAAAAACTTTAATTTTACCTTGAATATTGCTTCTTTGATGCTTTTTCCTTCTTCACATAGATCTGCATTTCTGACCTTTATCATTTTCCTTCTTGCTAAAGAATTTCTTTTAATATTTCTCTCAGGGCAAGTCTGTGGAAAAATATTCCCTCAATTTTTGTTTGTCTAAGAAAGACTTTATTTCTCCTTCACTTTCGAAAGATAATTTCACAGGGTACAGAATTATAGGTTGGTAGGTTTTTTCTCTTAACACTTTAAATATTCACTCCACTCTCTCCTTGATTGCCTGGTGATATGGTTTGGATGTTTGTCTCCTCTAAATCTTATGTTGAAATGTGATCCTAAGTGTTGGAGGTGGGGCCTAATGGGAGATGTTTGGGTCATGGGGGTGGATCCCTCATAAATGGCTTTGTACCCTTCCCATGTAAATTAGTGAGTTTTCACTCTGTTAGTTCATGTGAGAGCTGGTTTTCTAAAGGAGCCCAACACTTCCTCCTGTCTCTCACTCCATCTCTTGCCATGTAACATGCCAGCTCCCCTTCCCTTCCGCTATGACTAAAAGCTTCCTGAGGCCTCAACAGAAGCCAAGCAGATGCTGGTGCCATGCTTGTATGGCCTGCAGAACCGTTAGCCAAATAAACCTCTTTTCTTTATAAATTACCCATCCTCAGATATTTCTTTATAGCAATGCAAAATGGACTAATACACCTGGCTTTTGAGGAGAAGTTGAGTATAATTCTTATCTTTGCTGCTTTACAGGTAAGATATGTTTTTCTCTGGTTTCCTTAAGGATTGTTTCTTTATCTTTGATTTTCTGCAGTTTGTATATGATATGCCTAGGTGTAGTCTTTTTGACATTTATTCTGCCTGGTGTTCTCTGAGCTTCTTGGATATGTAGTTTGATATCTGACATTAATTTTGTGAAAATTCTCAGTCATTTTTTAAAATATTTCTTTTGTTCCTTTCACCCTCTCTTCTTCTGGAATTCCCTATGTGTATGCAGCTTTTATAGTTGTTCCACAGTTCTTGAATATGCTGTTCTATTTTTCTGCTCTTTTTTCTCTTTGCTTCTCAGTTTTGGTGGTTTCTACTGAGATGTCCTCAAATTTGGAGATTCTTTCCTCAACCATCTCTAATCTACCAGTAGGCCCATGAAAGGCATTATTCATTTATTTAACAGTGTTTTTGATGTCTACCTAGCATTTCCTTTTGATTATTTCTTAAACTTTCTATCTCTCTGCTTACATTGCCCATCCATTTTTGCCTGCTGCCTACTTTATTCGTTAGCATGTTGATCATTGTTTAAAATTCCTAGTCTGATAATTCTAATTCCTGATGGATCTGAGTCCGATTCTGATGCTTCCTCTGTGTCTTCAAACTATGTTTTCTGCTTTTTAATGTCTTGTAATTTTTTCTTGATAGCTAGACATGAGCTACTGGGTAAAAGGAACTGCTGTAAAAAAGCCTTTAGTGATGTGGTGGTAAGGTGTGGGGGAAGGGCAAACATTCTATTATTCCATGATCAGATCTCAATCTTTTAGTGAGCCTTTGCCTCTGTACTGTAAAACTCAAAGGGGTTTCATAGTTTTTCCTTCCTTTTAGGTGGCATAGAATGGCTATAGTGAACTATATTTGGGTATTTCCCTTACCCCAAGTCAGTTAGGCTCTGATAAAATAGGTTAGGCTCTGGTTAAACAGTTTTTCCTGAGGGAAGAACAAAGTGCTCTGACTTATTTCATAATGCTTCATTTCTTCCTTCTCCTGCCAAAAGCGCAAGATAATTTTTCTCTGATTTTCCCTGTGAGAACCTGATAGAGCTCCAGCAGGTGAAACTCACAAAAATGTGGAGACCCCTGATGACTGTGTCCCCTGGAGTTTTGTCTCTCAGACTTGTCCACACTGTGCCTCCGGCAATTTGGCAGTTACAGTTCAGATTTTTTTTACCTTGGCAGTTCTGCGGAGATTGCTGTTTGTGGGTTTCTGTTCTGGCAAGCCACAATTCTCTGCATCTACCTGTGTGTCTCTCCAGTTTTGGGGGTAGTGATTTGCCCTGTGGTCCCACTTTGTCATGGATCCAAGAAGAGTTGTTAATTTTTCAGTTTGTTCATCTCTTCTCCCTCAGCTTTATTGAAGGACACTTGGCAAATAAAAATGGTGTATATTTAAGGAATACAAGGTGAGGTGAAATAATTACTATAATCAAGCTAATTAGTATATTCATTACATAGTACTGATTTATTTTTGTGGTCAGAACACTTAAGATCAACTCTATGAGAAAATTTCAATTATATAATACAGTAATGTTAACTATAGATACCATACTGTACATCAGATGTACAACCAGTGCACAAGCCAGATATTCTAGAACTCATTCATCTTGTGTATCTGTACCTTTGTACAATTTGATCAACATCTTTCCACTCTCCCTACCCTCAGTCCCCCTCAACCATCCTTTTCCTCTCTGCTTTTATATTAAACTTTTGTAGATACTGCATAAGTGAGATCATGTGGTATTTGTCTTTCTGTGCCTGGCTTATTTCACTTAGCATAATGGCCTCCAGGTTCATCCATGTTGTAATAAGCTACAGTATTTTTTTTGTAAAAGGCTGAATAATATTCCATTGTTTATGTGTGTTTGTGTGTGTGTGTGTATATCTCACAGTTTCTTTATCCATTTGTCCATCAACGGACACTTAAGTTGTTTTCATATCTTGGCCGTTGTGAATAATGCTGCAATGAACCTGGTTTGCAGATATGAGGTCCTGACTTTATTTCCTTTGAATATATACTGAGAAGTGAGATTAACTAGATCATACGGTAATTCTTTTTTTTTTTTTTAAGATGAAGTCTCACTCTGTTGCCCAGTGTGGAGTGCAGTGGTGCGATCTCAGCTCACTGCAAGCTCCACCTCCCAGGTTCACGCCATTCTCCTGCCTCAGCCTCCTGAGTAGCTGGGACTGCAGGCACCCGCCACCATGCCTGGCTAATTTTTTTGTATTTTTAGTAGAGACAGGGTTTCACCATGTTAGCCAGGATGGTCTTGATCTCCTGACCTCGTGATCCACCCGCCTTGGCCTCCCAAAGTGCTGGGATTACAGGCATGAGCCACCACTCCCGGCCCCAATCATATGGTAATTCTATTTTTAACTTTCTGAGGAATCACCATACTGTTTTCCATAATGGTTGTACCAATTTACATTCCCATCGACAGTGTACAAGGGTTCCTTTTTCTCCATATCTTCACCAACACTTGTTACCTTTTGTCGTTTTGATAATAGACATTCTAACAACTGTGACATGATATGTCACATTGTGGCTTTGTTTTGCATTTTCTTGATGATTAGTGATGTTGACCATCTCTTCCTACATCTGTTGGGTATTTGTATGTCTTCTTAGACATGTCTACTCAGGTCTTTAGCTCATTTATTTTTAAATCAGGTTATTTGCTTTTTGCTACTGAGTTTTTTGAGTTCTTTATATATTTTGAATATTAGGACTTTATTATATATGTGATTTGCAAATATTTTCTCTCATCCTGTAGATTGCCTTTTTGCCCTGTTGATTATTTCCTTTGTAGTGCAGAAGCCTTTTAGTTTGATGCAGCCTCACCTGTCTATTTTTGCTTTTGTTGTCTCTGCTTTTGTTGTCATATCAAAAAAATTATTCCCCAGGCTAGTGTCAGGAAGATTTTCCCTTACATTTTCTTCCAGTAGTTTTAAGGCTTCAGGTTTTACAGTTAAGTCTTTATTAATTTTGAGTTGAGTTTTGTATATGGTGTGAGAGAAGGGTCTAATATCATTATTCTGCATGTGGATAT
Organism: Homo sapiens; assembly: GCF_000001405.40. Classification (NCBI taxonomy): domain Eukaryota; kingdom Metazoa; phylum Chordata; class Mammalia; order Primates; family Hominidae; genus Homo; species Homo sapiens. The sequence goes on from NC_000020.11 coordinate 18,884,600, forward strand.
ATAGTTTTCCCAGCACCATTTATTGAAGAGACCATCCTATCCCCATAGTTCTTGGCACTCTTGTCAAAGATCATCTGACCATAGACGCATGGATTTATTTCTAGTCTATTTTGTTCCATTGGTCTATATGTTGGGGTTTATGCCAGTCTCATGCTGTTTTGATTACTTTAGCTTTGTAATATATTTTGAAATCAGTAAGTGAAATGCCTATGGCTTTGTTTTTTCTCAAGATTGTTTTGGCTATCCAGACAGAAAAATCAATAAGAAAACAGAAGAACTAAACAAAATTTTAGACTAAATGAACCTAACAGACATATACTGACCTTTCTACCCAGCAGAAGATATACATTCTTCTTAAGCACACATGGAACATTCTTTAGGATAGGTCACATGTTAGGTCACAAAACAAGTCTTAACTAATTTAAGAGGATTAAAATCATTCCAAGTGTCTTTTCTAATCACAATGGAATGAAACTAGAAATCAATGACAGTAAGGAAATAGAAAAATTCACAAATACATGAAACTAAACAGCGCATTCTTGAACAACCATTGGGTCAAAGAGGAAATCAAAAGGGAATTTAAAAAGTATCTTGAGAGAAAGAAAAATGAAAACATAACATACCAAAGCTTATGAGATGCAGCAAAAACAGTGCTAAGAGAGAAGTATAAAGCAATACATGCCTACATTAAAAAAAAAGCAAGATTTCAAACAACCTAACTGTACACTAGAGAAAGGACAAACTAAGCCCAAAGTTAGAAAGAGAAAGGATGTCATAAAGAGTTGTCCAGCCTTTCACTTGTTGTTAGGATGGAGTGGTGACTTCCAGGTTCTTACATGCTGGACTGGAAACCAGAAGTCTGATATGGGTTTTTTTTTTTTTTTTTTGAGACGGGGTCTTGCTTTGTTGCCCAGGCTGGAGTGCAGTGGCACTATCATAGCTCACTGCAGCCTCAACCTCTGAGGCTCAAGTGATCTTCCCACCTCAGCCTCCAGAGTAGCTTGGACTACTGGTATGCACCACCACACAAGGCAATTTTTAAAATTTTTTGTAGAGACAGGGTCTCTTTATGTTGCCCAGGCTGGTCTCAAACTCTTGGGCTCAAGCAGTCCTCCTGCCTTGGCCTCCCAAAGTGCTGGGATTACATGGCTGGCCTTTAAAGCTGCTCCAGTGTTTAAAGATTGAGAACCACCACTCTACATGAGTCAGAATTTTAATGTTGTGGAAACTCAGAGATAATCTTCCCTATGTGGACTTGGATCTTCCTGCAGGTCAAGAAGTGGCTGCAATTTAACCGACTAGCTAACCAGAGGACCAGTGTGATAGAAAAGCAAGACAACCCCTTTAAGAGCATTGCAAAATAGTAACTAACATTTATCAGGCTTTAGCCAATTTTGACTCTACATGATTTGCCCTTTTGACTTTGAAACATTCTGTCTATAAAAGCATGGCTGTGGTACTCAAAGTTATTTCACATTTCATTTGGTCCGAATAACGATTCTACAAAGTGAAGACTCATGTAAAACTCACTTTGCAACTGGGAAAACTGAGACTCAGGTGAGCAAATAAACTTCACTAATTACTGAGTGACATTATGCACTCAGGTCCTACTACTACAGTTCGAGGTCCTACTACTACAGTTCGAGGTCCTACTACAAATTGAGGTCCTACTACTACAGTTTAATAAAGTACTTGCATCTCTAACTTTGGTGGTATTTTCCACAACTTCTAGTACAGGACTGGGCTTACAGGGGATATTTATTATAATTTCTAAAAAGCATTTTATAAAACATGACAAGTATTTGTAAAGTATCTTATGGTTTACAAAGAACATTCAGGTCCACTCTTTTTCTATTAAAATGCTTGCAAAAATTATGAATAAATGAATGGACACATATAGTTTTGAAATAGAATTTGGGTTTTGCACTAGTGTCCTTTCGAACTCCCTGAATATTCAGGGGACCAGTTTCATGGTCTTTGTCCATGGATGGCCTGCATCTCCAGTCCATGTAAAATTATACCTTGGTTCCTCATTCCCACTTCCATCCTTTCTAGCAACCAACCTCATCTCATGGAGTGATAAGGCCACTCAGAAAACACTTTGTTTTAATATTGCTTTTGCCACTGACTACCAAGGTGAACTTTAGCAAGTCATTTCTCTGGGTTTCAATATCTGTGCATGAAAAAGGAGAAGTCTGGACTAGACTGGTGGGCAAATACAAGGACAGCACATATATCTCTCCTGATTGTGCACAAGCCAGACATTGCTAATTGGTCATGCAATGTCCTTCCCACTATATTTGGATACACTCTTAGACTCTTTCTGAATCCAGAATTCCAGGCAGCCATTACAAATTAGCCAGGATTAGCACTCAAGATGAAACTGATTAGTCATCTTGGCACTAGATGACATTCGAGTTTCCTTCCAGCTCTGCTATTCTATGGTTTTCTGGTTTTAAAAGCTGGGTTGCATGGATCTCATCCTGCAGGCTGTTACTTGAGGATGATCCCAAAGGTGGAACTGGCAGCATAATTTGGAATGACCAGAGCATTCATGGGGCTCAGAAATTTCTCTAAAAATTTCTTAGCTGTCCTAAGTTTGGCTGTACATTAGAGTCACATTGGCAGTTTTTTCAAAAATTGAGGTAAAAATATATCATACATACTATAAAGTGGAACATTCTAATCTTAGCTGTACAGTTTGATGGATTTTTACGTACATAACATCTGTGTAACCACTACCTTAATCAAGACATAGAATATTTCCAGCACTCCAGGAGGAGACCTTATGTTCCTTCCTATCAACACTTGAAGGTAACCATTGTTCTGTTTTCTGTCACCGCAGATTAATTTCACCTGATCTTCAATTCTGTATAACATGTGTGGTCTTTTGTGTCTGGCATCTTTTGCTCAACCTAATGTTTTTGAGATTCATGTGTGTTGTTGAGTGCATTGATAGTTCTTTTATATTGCTGCTTAGTATTTCATTGTTTGAATATGTTACAGTTTATCCATTCTCCTGTTGATGGATGACTGAGTTACTTCCAGGTTTGGACTATTACTAGTAAAGCTTCTCTGAACATTCTTACACTTATCATTTTGTAGACCTATGTTCTCACTTCTCTAAGAGTGAAATTGCTGGGTCTGAGGGTACATGTAGAGTCAATCCTCATTATTCATGGATACTGTATTTGCAAATTTGCCTGTTTGCTAAAATATATTTGTAGCCTCAAAAATCAATACTCATGGCACTTTCACAGTCATTGATGGACATGTGCAGAGAGGTGAAAAATTTGAGTCAATTGATGTGCACATTCCCAGTAAGCCTGAACATGGCAAGGCCCCGCCTTCTTGTTTCAGTCCTCGTGCTGTAAACTGCTGTGTAGCTAGTGCCCTGTATTTTGCATTTCTGTATGTTTTTGAAGAGTGATTTCACTGTTTTAAATGCCAGCACCAAGTGTAGTGCTGAAGTGCTATGTAGTGTTCCTAAGCATAAGAAGGCTGGGATGTGCCTTTTGGAGAAAATACATGGGCTAGATAAACTTTGTTCCAGGCATTAGATTAATATGAATGTTATCAACAATATAAATTAAGTAAGAGGTCTTTAAACATAAACACATGTAAAACAAGGTTATGTATTGATTGGCTAAGTAAAGTCTTTTTCTTAAATTTGAGACAGTGTCTCACTCTGTTGCTGCTGGAGTGCAGTGCTGAAATCACTACTCACTGCAGCCTCAGCCTCCCGGGCTCAAGCCCTCCTCCCATCTCAGCCTCCCTAGTAGCTGGGACTACAGGCATACATCACTGCCTCTGGCTAATTTTCTAAAAAAATTTTGGTAAAGATGGGGGTCTCTATGTTGCCCATGCTGGTCTTGAACTCCTGGACTCAAGCAATTCTCCTACCTCAGCCTCCCAAAATACTAGGATTACAGCCATGAGCCACCGCGCCTGGCTAGCTGACCAAAATCTTGTGATCAAGGGCTGGCAGGCATCTAATCCTGCAGTTCCCCTAGGAGCAGTGGTTCAGTAGTCACCAATTTGATGTTCACTGTGACTTTATAGAACATATACTACTGCGAATAATAATAGACTGTATGTTCAACTTTAATGCCTAATAGTTTACTAACATGATCGTATGATCTAGGGAGCTTTAAAAACTGCCCTTGGTCAGGCTATGCCTAGACCAATTAAATTTGCATTTCTGGTGGGGGACCCCAGGGTAGGCGTCTTCAAGCTGCTCAAGTGGACCCACTCTACAGCTGATGTTGACCATCACGGATCGAAATATAGGGAGAGAAGACAGGGAATAACAACAGAGTGCAGCCTGTGCATAAAGCTGTCACTCAATAAAAAATGGTCAATTTTACTTAATATGCTCTCTTTGGTTTCTTTTTATTCAGGCTTTTATTCTCTTTTCTTTACGGATGGTTCATGCACATAAAAACATACAATCATGGAAAAAGCAATCTCTTGCCTGGAAAATAAATGACAAGAACTACCCTCATACCAAGGTGAAACTCTTACTCACAGACCTGGGCTTGATTATAAAGAACAAACAATGGCTTGGCAAACAGAATCACCTACCAGACATATGAACATTTATTATCACCTATGATTCTGCGCAAAGGGAGGGAGGAAATGTCTGTGTAGTAATCAGAAAGAAACTGCAATGGAAAACAAAGGAGATGATTGATTGCCAGATGCGAACGAACAGCTCGTTGTCATCAGGAAATCAGTATCTCCTACTCACAAAACTTGCAGGGCTAATTTCTGTGGTAGTCTGCACAAATTTAGCCAAGAAAATCAAATTTCCACTATCCCGAGAAGGTTAGCTCTGTTGTTGAAATTATTATAATCACTTAGTTTAAGGGGTGAGTTTTTAAGAACCACTTCTCCTTTACCAAGGCAGACAGAGCTGTCAAAGGCACCCAGCTTACCTGGTCCTCAGGCACCATATGAAGGTACTTAGGTATTTACCTCCCGGATGGAAAACGCCAACCTTTAGCACTCAGAATTGAATTGGAAATTGCTGAAGGTGTGTCTGAATTGGCCAGTGGTTCTCTAAGTGCGGTTTCTGGACAAACAGCATCAGCATTAAGTGGGAACTTGTTAGAAATGGGAACATTTGGGATCCACTCCGGTAAGGTTGTCAGAAAAAATACAGGATGCTCAGGAAAACTTGAGCTTCAGATAAGCAATAATGACTTCTTTTTTTTTTTTCTTTTTGTATAAGTATGTCCTATGCAATATGTGGGCCTAAATACTAAAAATAATGTTGTTCAACTGAGATTCAAACTTAACTGGGAATCCTATTTTTATGTGTAAATCTAGTAACCCTACACCCTACACCCCAGACCTATGGAATCAGAAACTCCTCGGGGTGCGGCTCAGTAAGTTGTGGTTCAATGAGACTTCCAGGTGATTCTGATGCTAGCTGAAGCTTGAGACCCAGTGCTCTAGTTTTAGTTCCCATCTTGCTATTGATGATAGCTCATTATCTTGCTCCCTTTGTAATTCACGTTGGTCAGGGCCCCAATTGTAAAGTGTCATGAATTGACCTCTCCAGATACAGGTGTGTGCTTCAGGGCTCACATTCCCTGGTTTCTGGCATCTGTGCCCTTTGCAGTTCACTGCCGATGCATGAGACCTCTCACCAGACAAATGGTGAGGCTGCCCGTCTCTGACCCATGGCAACCATGGGAACAATCTCCTTTGCCTCCATTGCTGCCACACTACAGTAGCTGTTTGGTTTTCTTACCTCTAAAAGTCCACCAAAGACTTGTGCCACCTGGATAAAGATATGATTAATTAAACAATGCCATCCCAGGCCTCTTTCCACAGCAGCAAATGCCACTTGACTATAGGAACCCATTAACGCAGAGCATCTGAGCAGGGTAGGTCCTGAGTGAAATAATTAGAGTCTGCATAATGGTGATAACAGTACCAATAACCATTTGTTGATCACTTGCTCTGTACAAAGCATTGTATAAGTATGTCCTATGCAATATTTGTAATTAATATTTAATCTTCATGATAACTGTGAATGCAGAACTATTTTCATCATTTTAAGCTAAGGAAGCTAAGACTTGGCAAGGGCATGTAACTTGTTTATAATCTCACAACTATTTAATAGGAAATAGATGAGCTAAAACATGAACTCCTATTTGTCCAACCCCACAGCTGGTGCTCTAAACCATAATGGCTATTGATTTCTTTTGGGAAGAAAGTTCTGTGAGAACCAGTGCCAGGGTAGAAAACCTGAACTGTAACTGATGAACTGATGGGAGCTCAGTGTGGATAAGTCTGAGAACTAAAAACTCCAGGGGGATCCAGATATGAGAGGCCTTCATACTTTTGTAAATTTTACTTCCTGGAACTCTACTAGATTCTTACAGTGAAGATTAGAGAAAAAAAAATCTTGAGTTTCTGGCATGGGTAGTCAGAATGCCAGAGCATTCACTTCTCAACAAGGCCTGCCCTCAAGAGGAACTGTTTTGCCAGAGCCTAACCTATTGGTGTTTCATGAGAGATGAATTGACCTAGGGGAAGACAAATGCCCCACCCCAGCTTTCTTTAGCCATCCTGTACCACCCTGGGGGTGAAAAAAACCTGAGAAGCACTTGTAAAGTGTACAGTCAATGATTATAGTTTATATATAAGTGAAATAAATGAGAGCAATGGTATAAAGGACAGGAGGGAGGGATTAAGAATATTTTATTATTATGAAGTACTCACACTACTTGTGAAGCAGCATAGAGTTATTTGAAAACGGACTTGGATTAGTTGTAAATGTGTATTGCAAACTTGAGCCATGACTAAAAGAGTTTTAAAAATATAATTGATATGCTAATAAAAAAAGAAAATGCAATCATATAAAATGCTCAACTAATGCCACAAAAGGCAGAAAATGTGTAGAAAACAAATGTAGAAACCAAGAGAAAAGGCAATGAATAGAAAACAGCAGCAAATATGACCGATATTAATCCAAGTATATCAATAATAATTTAAAATGTTAATGGTCTAAATACACCAATTAAAAGACAGATATCATCAGAGTGGATCAAAAAACAAGAGTCAACTATATGTCCTGTATAAGAAACCCACTTTAAATATAAAGATGCATATAGATAAAAAGTAAAGGAATGGGGAAAGAAATATGAAACACCAATCAAAAGAAAGATGGAGGAGATATATTAACTTCAGAGAAGGTAGACTTAAGATCAAGAAAAGTTATCAGGGATAAAGAGGAGCACTAGTACATAATGATAAGGAAGTCAGTTTTCCAAAAAGTCATAGCAATCCTTAATCTGCGTGCGCCTAACAACAGAGCCTCGCATATTCTCACTCATAGGTGGGAATTGAACAATGAGAACACATGGATACAGGAAGGGGAACATCACACTCTGGGGACTGTAGTGGGGTGGGAGGTGGGGGGAGGGATAGCATTAGGAGATATACCTAATGCTAAATGATGAGTTAATGGGTGCAGCACACCAGCATGGCACATGTATACATATGTAACTAACCTGCACATTGTGCTCATGTACCCTAAAACTTAAAGTATAAAAAAAAAACAACAAAATATGTGAGGCTAAAACTGATAGAAATGTAAGGAGAAATAGATGAATCCACTCTTATAATTGGTGACTTTAACATTCTTCTATCAGAAATGGACAGACACAGCAGGCAGAAAATCAGTGAGGACAATGTTGAACTCAACAGTACTGTCAATCAACTGGATATAATTGATATCTATAGATTACTTCATCAAACAACAGCAGAACACACATTCTTCTCAAGCTTACATAAAATATTCACCAAGATAGGCCACATTCTGGCCCTAAAATGCACATTAACAAATTTAAAATAATAGAAATAATACAATTTAAGCTCTCAGACAACAATGTAATTAAACTAGAAAGCAATAACAGAAAGATAGCTAGAAAATCCCCAAATAGTTGGAGATTAAATATCATGCTTTTAAGTAACATATTAGTCCGAAAGGAATCTCAAGAGAAATTTAAAAATACTTTGAACTGAAAAAATGAAAGTACTTGTCAAGATTTGTGGGATGCAGTGAAAGAAATACTAAAAAAAATTCATAGCATTGCATGTCTGTATTAGAATAGAAGAAAGATCTAAAATCAACAATCTAAGCTTCCTCTTCAGGAAACTAAAAAAGGAGAGCAAATTAAGTGCAAAGTAAGACCATTTTTGGTCTTATGGAAATAATAAAAATTAAAGTGCAAATCAGTGAAATTGAAAAGAGAAAATTAATAGAAAAAATCACTGAAAACAAAAGGTAGTTCTTGGAAAAGATTAAAACTGATCAGCCTCTAGTTAGGCTAAATAAGGAAAAAAGAGAGAATAAATTACTAATATCAGAAATAAAAGCAAGATATTACTACAGATCCCATGGACTTTGAAATAATAATAAAAATTACTATGAACAACTCTATGTTCATGAATTCAACAACCTGGATAAAATGAACCAATTCCTTGAAAGATACAATCTGCCAAGATTCACATAAAAATAGACAATCGAATAAATTTTTGCCTATTGAAGACATTATATCAATAATTAATAACCTCTTCAAAGAGAAACTACCAGGTCCAGATGCGTTCATCAGCAAATTCTACCAAACCCTTAAGGAAGAAGTTATACCAATTTTATCTCTCTTCCAGAAGATAAAAGGAAAGGGAATATTTCTAACTAATTCTATGATGCCAGCATTACCCTAATAACAAAACAAAATAAAGATATTACCAGAAAACTAAAGACCAGTATTGCTCATGAACATATCATAGAAGCAAAAAATCATTGAAAAATATTAGTAAATTAAATCCAACAATCTATAAAAAGACTTATACAGCATGACCAAGTGGGATTTATTCCAGGTATGCAAGGCTGGTTCAACAATTAACAATTAATTAATGTAATGCATCACATCAATAGAAGAAGAAAATCACAAGATCATTTCAATAGATAAAGAAAAGCACTTGAGAAACTAACAATCATTCATGGTTAAATAAAACCTCTCAGCAAACTAGGAATAAAGAAGAACTTCCTTATTTTGAAAAATAATATCTACAAAACCCTACAGCTAACATCATATTGAATGGTGAGGAAACTAAAAGCTTTCCTGCTAAGATTAGGAACAAGGCAAGGATGTTTTCTCTTACTACTCCTTTTCAACATCAAACTGGAGGTCCCAGGTAAGGCCATAAGGCAAGAAAAGAAAAGAAAAAGGTACAGATTGGGAAGGAAAAAAATAAAACGGTCTTTGCTAACAGATGAATGGTTATCTGGAATCTATAAAAAACCCTCCTGGAACTAATATCATAGCAAGGTTGCATGATACCAGATACAATCACTTTCCTATATAACAGCAATGAACAAGTGAAATTTGAGATAAAAATACTTTACTATTTACATTAGCACACCCCAAAACAAAGTACTTAGATATGAATCTAACAAAATATGTGTGAGACATAAATGAGGAAAACTACAAAACTGATGAAAAAAATCAAAGAATGAAAGAAACGGAGAGATATGCCATGTTGATGGATGGGAAAACTCAATATGTCAGTTCCTTCCAATTTCATCTATAAAGTCTATGTAATCCCAATAAAAATTCTATCAAGTTATTTTGTGGATATGAACAAGCTCATTCTAAAGTTTGTATGGAGAGATAAAAGACTCAGAATAGCCAACACAATAGTGAAGGAGAAAAAGAAAGTCAGGGAACTGACACTACTTGACTTTAAGACTTACTATAAAGCTATAGTAGCAAAGACAGTGAGGCACTGTTGAAAGAACAGACAAATAGATTAGTGGAATAGAATAGAGAGCCCAGAAATAGACCCACATACATATAATGGTCAGTTACTGTTTGACAAAGAAGCAAAGATAGTCTTTACAACGGAGGATGCTGGAATAACTAGACATCCACATGGGCCCTCCCCCACCCTCACCAATAAAAAGAATCTAGACACAGACCTCAACAAAACTAATTCAACCGCAACAAAAACTAATTCAAATGGGATCACAGTACTAAATATAAAACGCAAAACTGTAAAACGACTAGAATACAACATAGGAGAAAATCTATATGGCCTTGGCATATGGTCTTGACTTTTTAGATATAACACCAAAAGTATAATCCATGAAAGAAAAAACTGATATGCTGGACATCATTAATATCAAATTTTCTGCTCTGTCAAAGACATTGTTAAGAGAATGAGAAGACAAGCCACAGACTAGGAGAAAATATTTGCAAAAGATATATCTGATGAAGGACTGTTATCCAAAACATACAAAAAGCTTTCAAAACTCAACAAGAAAATGAACAACTTGATGGAAAAACAGGCTTAGGACCTGACAAAATATCTCACCAAAAATATATACATATAACACATAAACATCTAAAAAGGTGCTCGACATTGTAAGTTAATAGGGAATTGCCAATTAAAACAATGAGTTACCCCTACACATCTGTTACAATGGTGAAGACACAGAATACTGGCAAGACCAAATGCTGGCTGGGACGTGGAGCAATAGGAACACTTATTTATTATTGATGGAAATGCAAAATGATACAGCCACTGTGGAAGACAAGTTGTCAGTTTCTCACAAATAATCTTACCATACACTCTAGCAATCATGTTTCTTGGTACTTACCCAAATGAGCTGAAAACTTACATTCACGCAACAATCTGAATATGAAGGTTTATTTTTAACTGCAAAAACTTGGAAGCAACCAAGATGCCTTTCAGCAGGTGAGCGAATAAATAAACTGTGGTGCATCCAGACCATGGGGTATTATTCAGTGCCAAGAAGCTATCAAGCCATGAAAAGACATGGAGGAACTTTAAATGTATGTTATTATATGAAAGAAACCCCAAAAGCACACATACTATATGGATTTCCAACTATATGACTGATATGGTTTGGCTGTGTCCTCATCCAAACCTCATCTTGAACTGTAGCTCCCATAATCCCCACGTGTCATGGTAGGGACGTGGTGGAAGGTAATTTAATCATGGGGACAGGGTTTCCCAGACTGTTCTTGTGATAGTGAATAAGTCTCACGAGATCTGATGGTTTAATAAAGGGGAGTTCCCCTGCATCTACTCTATTGCCTGCCGCCATGTAAGATACGCCTTTGCTCCTCCTTCACCTTGCACAATGATTGTGAGCCATGAGAAACTGTGAGTTAATTAAACCTCTTTCTTTTATAAATTACTAAGTATTGGGTATGTCTTTATTAACGGCGTGAGAATGGACTAATACAATAATACTCTGGAAAAAGAAAATCTATCAGTAGTTTCCCAGAGTTGGGGGGTGAGAAGGATGGGTAGAGAGAGCACAGAGGAATTTTAGGGCAGTGAGATTGTTCTGCATGATACTGTAGTGGTGGATACATGTCATTATACATTTGTCCAAACACATAGAAAGTACAACACTAAGAGTGAGCCCTAATGTAAACTATGGATTTTGGGTAATTATGATGTGTCAACATGGGTTGGTTCATGGATTGTAACACATGCACCACTCTGGTGAAGAATTCAGGGAGGGTGTGCATGTGGGCAGGCAGAGGGTACATGGGAACCCTGTACTACCTACTCAATTTTGCTGTGAATCTAAAGCTACTCTGAAAAATAATCTATTTAAAAAAACAAAACAAAATCAGCCAAGGTGAACTTGAACACTGAATTAATGATGTTTTACCCAGCCTTTGGAGTGTAGAAGGCTGGTATCTATGCTCAATATTTTCAACATTGAAATACAACATCTGAAAGACTTTTATACCCCAAAATATGAGGACAATGACACGTATTTTCCTTTATTCCTCATTCTTTCCTAAGAAAGCTAGGGTAGAAAAATAAAATGAGGAGTCACCTAGTATTAACGCATTAGATTAGGGTATTAGAAGGGGATTTATCAGACTGTATGGTTTATCAATTTATGTGGACAGGGGAGACTAGGGTCAGAACTAATATATCTGAGCCATGTCATCTGTCTTAGTTTTGTTTCTCCTAGAAGCTGAGCTGAGACAAGGATTCAAGTTCAAGGACTTTATTTGGGAAATGAAAGGAACTCCAGTAGGGGAGTCAGGAAGTGATGCAAGGAAGGGAAGTGTGTTCTCAACTCAGCCACTGCTGTGGACAACTGGAGCTTGAGTTTGCTGGGTAAACTGTAAGCCAGTCTGCAAAAGGCTAGAAGAGTTATTGTATTAATATTTTGAAGGATCTCAAAGTCAAATAAAATATAGGAATCAATCTCTAAAATTAAAATGTTTTATTTTGGAGGAAAGAATTGCAATTTGGGGCATCCTTGTAGGCTGGCTGGTCTTCAGTATGTCCAAAGAACAAAGGAGAAATGTTATGTATTACTCTTTGAGAAATTTCTTTGGCACTAGTAAGCTTTTGAGGAGCTGGCAAGTTCTGATAGGTAAGTGACTGTGGTGGGCAAAAGTAGTCTTAGTTGCAGCAGGTCATTTCAGCAGCCATTAGATAAAATTGGTTTCAGGTTATGGCAGGGAGTTCAGCAGCCAGGCTTGCAGAGAATTACATTTTTGGAGCAATGTTTTGTGCCCTGAGTACTTTTTCTCCTGGCCTCTTGATTCTGTTTTAGTTGGGTATGACAAGAATGCTTAATTTTTATGATCAGCTTTCACAAGGGCAAGGGAGTTGGGATAAAAGAAAAAGTTATCCTTTAACACTTGTCTGAGTTGGGGGTTGAGATTCCTACCTGCTTCAGTTGTGTTTGTGGAGATAGAAATGGCATAATGACTGTATGGAAGAAGGAATGGTTAATTAGCTTTGTCTGGGGTGTGGCGGGGTAGGTCATGGAAAGCTTCGCAAAGGAGATGATATTGAAGAGGGGTCATGGTGAAAGTTTTGGGGTCAAGAGAGGAAGGGACTTCCAAACATAATAAGTAGCATGTGGAAAGGCATGGGTGTGGGAAACAGCACAGTGAGTCTAGGGGACAGTACCCCATCTGGTCCTCTGGTCACCTGGTCTTCTAGTGTGGTGGAAGCCTGGGCTTGAGATGGGGCAGGGAGTCGGTGGGGAGGGAGGGATGGAGAGATGGACCACAGCCAGTCACAGAGGGTCTTATTTGTCTGGATTTTGTTCTATAAGCAAGGGGGTGGAATTGAAGTGTTTCAAATAAGGTCAGATTTGCATTTTAAGAAGACCATTTTGACGAGTGTGGAGGGTGACTTAGGGCCACAGTGGGGTGGTTGTTCGGGTAGAGCATGCAGGAGGGACATGGAGGCAGAGAGACTGGCAGAATGCTCTGGGAAGAGCTGAGGGTGATAAGGGAGCGCTGGGAGGAAACCATGCAGGATTCATGGGATAAAGGAGCTCCAGAGAGAGAGGAGTTGAGATGATGTTAACTCTTATTTCAGCAACAGTAGCAATGCCGTGAGGTGGTTATTAACTTCTTTTAACTTTTAAATTTTGACGCAGTTTCAGATTTTCCGAAAAGGTGTGAGATTTTCTTTTCCTGTTTGAAAATAAGCTGCAGATGTGATGTCTACTGCAGACTGAATGTGTCCCCCAAATCCATGTGTTTAAATGCTAACCCCTACTGTGATGGTATTAGGAGGTGGGGCCTTTGGTAAATGATTAGGTCAGAGAGTGGAGCCCTCATTAATGAGACTAGTGCCCTTATAAAATAGGCCTCAGAGAGCGCACCTGCCTTGTCCATTATGCAAAGACACAGCCAGTAAGAAATCACCATCTATAAACCGGCAAGAGAGCCCTCACCTGAGACCAACTCTGCTGGTGCCTTGATCTTGGAATCTCAGCCTCCAGGACTGTGAGAAACAAATTTCTGTTTTTCATAAGCCACCCAGTCTATAATACTTTGTTATAGAAGCCAAAATAGACTGAAACAATACCCCTTTGCATTTTTAGTTATTGTTTTTCCCTAAAACAAAAATTCTCTTATATAACCATTGCACAATTATGAAAATCAGGAAATTAAATATTTATAAAATACTATTATATAAACTATAGACATGATTTAGATGTTGGTCCCTTATAGCAAAAATAAATAAATAAAGAAATAAACCAAGAAATGAAAAAAATCCTGGCTGCCGCATTGAGTTCTGTTGTTATGTTTCTTTAGCCTCCTGCAATCAGGAACAGTACCTAGACTCTTTGTCTTTCATCTCATGTGTGTGTGTGTGTGTATATATATATCTATGTATATGATATATATATATCATGTATATATGTATATATATCATGTATATATATATCGTGTATATATATATCATGTATATATATATATTATATATATATGTACTACAATCAGGAACAGTACCTAGACTCTTTGTCTTTCATCTCATGTGTGTGTATATATATGTATATATATGTGTATATATGTATATATATGTATATATGTGTATATATGTGTATATATGTATATATGTGTATATATGTGTATATATGTATATATATATCGTGTATATATATCATGTATATATGTATATATATCGTGTATATATGTATACGATAAATATATGAAAAAGTACATATATAGATATATATGTATATGTATATATATGTATATATACTTTTTCATATATATATACTTTTTGACATATTTGAAGTGCACAGGCCCATTGTGTTGCAGAATCTCTTTCCACTTGAGTTTGTCTCATGTCTCCTATGACTAGATTCAGGTGATTATTTTTGGCAGAAACACATAGAGGTGTGTTGTGTCTTCTCAGGGCATGTGACGAAGTATGTGGTGTTGACATGTCCATTATGAGGGTGATAGCTTTGAGCACTTGGTTAAGGTGGTATCTGCCAATTTCTTTTGGTTTAAAGTCGCTATTTTTCCCTTTGTCATTTATAATGACCTCGTGGGGAGATACTTTCAGACTAGGCAAATAACCCATTTTTCCTCAAACTTCTACCCTGTGGTGTTTACTCTTAACACACACTTCACAGATGAGGAAACTGATGCTCAGAGAGGTGGAGCAACTTGTCGGGCTCATGAGGTCAGCAAGCAAAACTCAAGGTTCAATTTTCTGACTCTAGGTCAGACCTCTTCACCCATGAGTGATCTCTATTCCTGGCTTAATAATGTCAGTTTCTAAACCATCCTTTGTGTGTCAGACCTGCCATGCCTTGCCCACATTTCCTTAGCCCTTACACTTGAACCTTGCTTCTGGGTGCAGCATCTGAGAGCTCAGCATGGTCACAGCACCAGCTCTGCCACCCTGTGCCCATCAGAGGTGGCACCCACTGGGAGCAGCCCTGGACTAGTCAGTGACCCCTCATACCACTCAGGAGTTGCTGTAGACATTCCTCAGCAACCTTGCCCATTGTGTGGGACGCTGTGAGGTGTGTGCTCTACATTGTTTCCCAGAGAGTCCCAGCAGGAGGAAGCTGCAGTGCCCACCACAGGGACCTGCTCGAGTGATGTACTCTCATTGGCTTCCTTCACATCCCCCTATCACCCATCCCCATTAGTTCTGGGATCACCTCCTAACTAAAGCACATGAATCCTTCTCTTGGACGTGCCTCTAGGAAAATATAAACTAGGGTCTTTGTGAAGTTTTGTGTTTCCTCTCCATTCTGGTCCCGCCTGTGAGCCCCATATCAGGGTCTCTCAAAAATCATAAGCGCCAAAATGAGCACAGCCCCCAGGTGGAGTTTGAACAGGCTAGGATGGAGCCTGCTGAGTTCTCAGGAGGGCACTTGAAGGGTAATCAGAGGAACGTATTCCCTTGCTCAACTCCAGCGAGCTGGAGACTTCCAAATTGGAGGCTGGATCCGATTGTATAGTCAGAGACATGGTTGAGAACATGCATATGCCAGAACTGAGGGCCTGAGCTCACTGTAGCCAGCAGTGGCCCTTCCCATCTCCCTTTAGGAGCAAGTGATAAGAGGAGTGTGAAATATGAAGTTGGCTTGAAGCTACAATGTTGGGGTACACACATCTTTTGAGCTAGCATCTTAGGAGGGGCTTCCTTGAAGCAAGCCCTATGATGACAATCTGTGTGCGTGTGTTTCATTAAGGCAGGACTCCGGAGAGAAATTGAAAAGGCAGTAGAGCAGGCAGGGGAGAGAAGCAGCAGCAGCAAGCAAGGGAGTAATTTCAGGTGATACTGTGGGCAGTTCTGGAATGTGAATTGCACCAAGAGTTCGCTCCACCTCAAGGCCAGGGAGTGAGGCTTTCATACCCTGCACCAGGGAGGGCAGGCACATCAACTCCAAGGCACTTCTTGCTTTCTTTGTTCTGGGTCATAGTTCCAGCAGTGCAAGGGCATTGAAGTGGGTTGCAGGTGTGAGTGATAGGAGTGAAGGCTGGGTGTAGCGGCTCCTGCCTGTAATTCCAACACATTGGGAGGCTGAGGTGGGAGGGTCGCTTGAGGACAGGAGTTCAAGACCAGCCTGGGCAACATAGAAAGACCTCCTCTCTACAAAAAATAAAGAATTAGTTGGATATTTTGGTGTGTGCCTGTGGTCCCAGCTACTTAGGAGGCTGATGTGGGAGGATCACTTGAGCCCAGGAGGTTGAGATGGCAGTGAGCTGAGATCACACCATTGCTGTCCAGTTTGAGCAACAGAGCAAGAACCTGAGTCAAAACATAAATAAAAAAAAATGTGAAGTGCACAGAAGAGGGCTGGGCACCCAGAACTGGTGTATTAGTCTGGTTGGGCTGCTATGACAAAATACCACAGAGTGGGTGCTTTGAGCAACAGAATTTTTTTTCTCACCATCCTGGAGGCTGGAAATCAAATATCAAGGTGCCACCGGGTTGATTTCTGGTGAGTGTTTCTCTCCTTGGCTTGCAGGTGGCCACCTTCCCAAATGGTGCCCTTATTTGGCCTTTCTTCTGTGCCTGCACATCCCTGGTGTCTCTTCCTGTTCCTATGAGGACACTAGTCAGATTGGATTAGAGTCCCACCCTAACAGCCTCTTTTTTTTTTTTTCCTTTTTGCCTTTACCTGAGAATCTAATGCTTTATTTAACCTTAATTACTTCTTTAAAGAAGCTAACTCCAAATACATCCACATTGGGGGTTAGAGCTTCAACCTATGAATTTGATGGGACACATTCAGTCCATGACAAATGGTGAGAAGGCTCTGAGGTCATCTGGGTGCAGTCCCAACAGTATCTATGCAGACACTTTAAGCTAAGGCCTCACGAAACCTTCTTTAGTAACCACTTCACATTGTGGGTTCATAGTAAGTGTTCTATTACCCAAATCCTCAACACCAGAGCTGTCTCCAGCCTATACCTATACAGTTTACCATAGCCATGCTCTTGGTCTTTACCCATCTTCAGGGATGGAGCACTCCCCTAGAGCTGAAAAGATCTCTGAAAGAGCTGAATCCATGGCTTCATTTTGCAGATGGAAGAAAATAAGGCTGGGGAAAGCCAAATGCCTCCCTGGAAGTTGGTGTCCTCATGGTAGAGTTGAGCTCACCGTCCAGACCTCTAGACTGAGCAGGGGAGAAAGACCTAACTTTCATTGCATGCTGCTTCTTTTTTATGTGCAAAGGAATGTGTAGCTGTTTTCCCCCATCAGATTTGCATATTCTCTTCTGGCTGCCAGGGGTGCAACCTTTTTCTCAGGGTTAATGGTATTTACATCAGTCTGAGACATCAACAGGCGCTCAAGACCCAGACTTTGCAATTAAGCCATTCCATAAGCAAAGAGGAGCTTATGGAGCTTTGTGACAGGTTGAATATTTATAAGCAGGCTTATCTTAATTAAGATTGCTGAGTGGCCAAGCTGGAATGTGTTTTCCTCTTTCACACAATGTCTTTCAGCTGGGAGGTCACTGGCGGTCAGGTTTTTGGGATGGTGGGTGGGGGAAGATTTGGCGATTGAATGAGCCACCTGCAGAAGATGGGAGAGGGTCAGCAGCTCATTCACAGGCCACCCTGAAGAACTTCTCTTGAGCAATCTGTTTACTTACCCAGCCAGCTCACGCTTAGGCTGGGGCTTGGCACTAGTTATTCTCTTCAAAGAAGCAATGTGTGCGATAAGCAACATATGCATCTGGCTATGGTTTATGGTAGACTCTGTCTGGTAGGCATGGAGCTATTTCATCTCAGCAGAGTCATCTTTTCTCGCTTGATCCAGCTGGCCAAAGCAAATGGCCTGTGGAACCAACTGGTCCTTGTTTGCCTGGGATGCTTCTGGTTTTAAAAGTCAAAATTCTATATCCTGAAAGTTCTCTTAGTCTGGTAGGTCACTCTATTTTTAGACCAAGAAGAGAAATCTCATTGGAATGAAGGCCCATTACACCTTGGCGGACTCTATTTTAAAAAATTTAACTGACAAGTAATAATTGTATATATTTATGCGGTACAGTGTGAGGTTTTGATATGTGTATACTTATGAAATAATTAAATCAAGCTAATTACTCTGTCCATCACCTAATCTACTTATTTTTTGTAAGAATATTTAAAACCTACTGTTTTAGTAATTTGGAAATATATAGTACGTTATTAGTTGATTTTCACACTGCTATAAAGTTACTACCTGAGACTGGGTAATTTATAAAGGAAAGAGGTGTAATTGACTCACAGTTCCACATGGCTGGGGAGGCCTCAGGAAACTTACAATTATGCTGGAAGGCAAGGGGGAAATGAGCTTGGACCTTTTCAAATGGCGGCAGGAGAGAGAGTGTTAGCAAGAGTGGGGAAAACTGCCTTATAAAACCATCAGATCTCGTGAGAACTCACTCACTATCGAGAGAACAGCATGGGGAAACCACCCCCTTAATCCAATCACTTCCTACCAGGTCTCTCCATAAACACCTGGGGATTACAAGTCAAGGTGAGATTTGGGTGGGGACACAAAGCCTAACTATATCAAGTACATTGTTATTAATTGTGCTTACCATGCTGCCTCTTCTTTACAGTTCAGCTGGAGGCCAAAGCGTTTGGTTTCCTGGGTGTGACCACCTCTACCTCTCCATAGCCATTTTCTCCATAGACTTGCTTGAAGCCTAAGGGATACTCCATTCCCTGTTTTCCCTTCTATAATAGTTCTGTGGATGGCTGAGGGGATGGCAGAAGACTAAGGGGAAAGTAAAGGCGTAGGTGACCCAGTCATTCCTGTCTTAGGGGCTAGGTTGGCTGGATCCCTAGACTGAGAAGCCAGGCTGAGTGTGACCTGTGGAGACCTAGAAGATTAAGAGGAATGGATATTGCCTTGCAGGGAATGGTAAGCCATGAAATGTTTTGTAAGAAGGAGTGGTACATACAAAATATTGCTCCAGAAAGCGTTTACCTTCAGGAGTTGATAGAGTGGGCAGAGCCCTGCAGGCTGGAGTTTATGGACATCCCAGTGAGAAAGGGCATGACTCGGGAGGCTGTGGAACAGCAAGTGGCCCTAGCCTGAGTGAGTCCCTGCAGTGTCCAAGAAATGATGTTGAGATATAACCACCCAAGAGAAGAGACGAGGGTCAGAAAACCCAACTGTCCAAGCTCACCAAGGGGAGAGAGCAGTGTTGCAGATGTGGTTGGTGCCTTGTCCATCTGCACCCAACACTTGCCCTTCATCTCTCCATCCAAGTTGTGCTTGGTCAAAGCTGAGCAGTTTGGGAGATAGGACCCCAATGATGATGCTGTTTGATGGATAAATACCCCCACTTCCTCATCATTGTCCCAAGGTGGGGACAACTCTGAGCTGTGTTATACACCATCTCCCACAGTGTCCAGCATGACTGATGTCAGTGGCCTGCAGTGGTAACCCAATAAATCCCAGGCATTGGCCGCCTTCCCTTCCTGGCCTCACATCCCCCTCCTCTAGTGGTGGTTTCTGGGATCGCCTCCCAAATAAGCTACTTATATTCAAATTCTTATTCCAGGGTCTGTTTCTGGGGGATCCCAGTCTAAGACAGATTAAAACCAGACGTTCTGGTATTCTGCGTCTAGACATTCTCCTTTAACATTAGACAAATCACAATCACTGCTCTTTGAACTGTGAGCTTCAGTTCTTTGCCATTTTGGGGGAGCAGTTCTCTGGATCTACTTGTCCAGATGTATACAGGTTTCTGATGGTTTGCTGTATGACGTCTCACAAGTCCTCTGCCCGTTCTGGGCCACTGCTTTCCTTTGAGTGTTGTGGTGTCTTCGGGTTTTTGTAAATCAGGACATTCGGGGGCATGCTGTGATAATCAGCTTTGCACTGTTTGGTAGCTCCGTTGATGGAAGAGGGTGCATGGTTGCTGTGTGGCATTTGGAGGCAAGGCCAGATCTAGGGATGGAGGATAGGTGGCAGCAAAGTCCTGGTCATCTCAGCTGGAACTTATCATCCTTTCCTCAAAATGTTGGAGATGAATTTTAGTCTCTCCACTCCAGAGTTTGAAAGTCTTTTACTAGTCCTGACTCAGTTTTCCAACCAACTGACATCCCTGCCCTTGAACCTAGCACCCTCCATAACCATATTGTTTCCCTAATTGTTCACAAAGTTAAGTTTGAAAATGAAAAGCCAGCAAGGGGATGATTCCAATAAAAGGAAACTGAAGAGGACTTTTATGTCTTAGAAATGCACTCATCTGCGCATCTGAGACTAATAATTGTTAGTGCATGTGCGTAAAAGTAATTTGTTACCTCTCTTTGTCTCTTTTTTACCCCTTTTTCTGAGCCTGACTCAACTATGGCTCCTTGGAGAGGGAAGTCAATGGGACTGAAATGGTTACTAATAATGGGTCCCAAAGTAGGCAATGTAGCCCAAGCCAGAGAAACTAT
Source organism: Homo sapiens (assembly GCF_000001405.40). NCBI lineage: Eukaryota > Metazoa > Chordata > Mammalia > Primates > Hominidae > Homo > Homo sapiens. The sequence goes on from NC_000020.11 coordinate 18,905,341, forward strand.
CAAACACTAAATGGGCATCAGAGAAGTCAGACAATATGTAAATATGGATTTTGAAGATCAAAAAGTAATTCTAAGTAACCAGAAGCATTAGTATTGTCATCATTCAGGAAACACAGTTGACGACTGAAAGACCCATGGGGCACTTTTCTTAGGCAAATTTAGTGCCAATAATATTTTGAAGCCTCTTTGTAAGGTCATAGTCAAGCTCAAGTTTCATTTGAGTGTCTAAAATTTTGTGACTACAGACATCATGAAATCTTCTCTATTTCTTTTTATGTTCCCCCTGGAACTATCCCTATTGAAAAGGTGATTTTGAGGACAAATTTACATCACCAACATAAATAACATTCCATCTTTAATTAGCTTTCACGATGGGCCCAGGTGGTCCTGACAGCCTTTTGCATCCTAGAGAGCCCAGAGGAATCAGAGAAGGTGTCCATCACCAACTGTTCTTGGTAACATGCAGAGGAGATGAAGATACTTTCCTTAGGGTGGTGGGAAACTTTGATGAAGGTATAAAAAGACTGATCTGGAAGAGGAAAGGAGTTGGATAAAGGTACCAGAATGAGCATACTTTCGAATCATACTCCCTTCTGCATTAGATCTCTAGAAATTACAGAAAAGACATAAAACACATTCATTACAGCTGTAGAAAATTAGATCTTGCTTTTCTTGGATGTGAAATTATGTAAGCTAGAAGCGAGAGGAAATGAGGTTGAAAGTGGAGTTCACTGATCAAAACACATGTAGGTGAGTTTTTTTAAAAGGCAGAAGTAGTCCAGGGGTGCTGCACAAGAGTCCCAGGAGAGCTCCCAGCTTGAGGCTGTGGATGCAGAGGGTGAGAGGGTTGCCTGAGGTCATCTGCCCTGGTGACTGATGATGTGCCTCAGGTGCAGCCTGGTGGCTTGCCACCTACCTGTGTCAAGCAGCAGCAGACAGAGGCATTTTCTGCCAGGTGTGAGCAGAAACCATGAGTACTTGGGAAAGAGAGGCAGGTACCAGGTAGCTGCTGATACTGGGAGTTGACAAACTACTGACACATACATCTAAGATAACATGTCGATACAAAGTGTCTACCAAACACTATAGCGTTACTGTCAAACCTGGAAAAAAGATATCACAATCATCACTGCCATTCAACATTATGCTAAAGGCCAGTGCAATAACAGAGGTGAAAAGGAGATATTTGAAGATGATATGATAATTTAGAAAATCTAAGGAAATCAAGTGACAAATTATTAGAACTTAGATTGCTAAAAAGGCGTCTAATATAAAATCAACATTAAAAAGTCAAAAGACTTAAACATCAGCAATAATAAATTAGACAATGTAATACCAAATAGGATTCCATGACCACAAAACTGTAAAATACCTAACAAATATAATGACAAATGTGAAAGATTTACACAAAAACTTATGAATCCTTATTAAATGTCACCAATAGAAGTCTGAGTAAGTGAAAACCTATACTATGTTTCTATATTGTATATTTCTCAATTCTTACTAAATTAATCCATAAAATACCAGTGTAATTTTAAGAAAGCATATAATAAGTAGAGTAAGTCAGCCAATTTCTTTTTATGAAGAGCATGACAGGGTTCTTGCCTTGTAAGATATAACCATGAAGCTACATGCAACAAATTAACAGCCAGATGCATAAATTGTAACTATAAAGGTAGCAGAAGAAAATACAGGAACATTTGTTAGTAATCTTGAGATAGGGAAATTTTCTTAAGCAAGGCACAAAATACAGAAGGCATAATTGATAGATTTTGATAGACTACATCAAAATGAAAACTTTTATGTAACACTTGCTGGTATAAAACCACACATTAAGACAACTTAAATAACCAGAAAATATTTGCAACATATGGGAGTTAAAGGATTATAAAAATGAATGTGACTGAATCACAAAATTATCATATACTCCAAAGTGCAGATAAAGTTATCTTCTACTTTATTTCTCTGTGTTTGATTTCATCTCCTCTATAAGGCCTCCATAATTTTGTCCACTCTAGTAAGTGTAATATGAACCAATGCATCCAAAAGTTTCTTTAGACAATGCGGATCTCGTTTGGATGAAATGCCCAGACTTCCTCCCTAAGATGCAGGGGATGTAGGAATGAGGCTGTGGCTTGTGTGGCCTTGCGATGGTAAGGACAATGGAGGATTCATTGCTTGTCTTCTGGATTTCCCCTCATGTCCACTTCAGTTCATGGATTAGTGACTGCCCGGGTGCAGCTGGTGTCATGCCTGACTGCTTAATTTCTGGAGGCACTTAGGGCTGAGGTTCACGTTGATGTCTTCGTTTCTGGTTCCTTTCCTAGCTGGGCCAATGCCTATGACCCTTTTGTCAGAAGCATTCAAACCAGAGTGACTCCATCTTGAGTGAGGGCTAGGAAAATGAGGCTGGGACTTATTGGGCTGCATTCCCAGAAAGTTAAGTATCCTAGCCTCTAGATGTTTATGGTTAAGGGAACAGATTGATAACATTTACTAAACAGACCCAGACTTGAGAGTGTCCTAATATCCCAATATCTTGAGAACAGAAGCAGTCCTAATTTTGCTTTAAAGATAATATTGATTCTTCCAAAATACAGTAATTAAGAAAATTAATCCTTTATCACACACCCTTGTAGCAGAGCACATCTCCCATGATCTTTTTTTATCCTATATAAATGAGTATTGTACCTAGGGTGGACGCATTCCTCCTCTTATTTTTGGAAACACCCTGCTCTGTCTGTGGAGTAGCTGTGCTTTATTCCTGTACTTTCTTAATAAACTTGCTTTCACTTTATTACTCTGTGGACTCATCCTGAATTCTGTCTTGTGTGAGATCCAAGAACCCTCTCTTGGCGTCTGGATCAGGACCCCTTTATGGTATCGCTTTCTGGCTGACCCAGCCCCACTACTGCCCTCACTATGACCTTGCCTGAGGTCTATGTGTGTCCCCAGGCCATGTGGCCTGTCCTGCAGCCCTCACCTGGGAGCTGCTTCCCTTCATCTCATGGGCTGTTTGGTGTGCTCCTGTCTAGCCATCCGGGTACCTCTGTACCTGCTCAGGGCTACAGGGAACTCTGGGTTCCCTTAGAGCCTCAGGTAGGGAGTGTCAGATAAAAATACAGGATGCCCAGTTAAATTAGAATTTCAGATAAACAGCAAATAATATTTTAGTATACGTGTGTTCCAAATATTGCAGGTCTCAAATATTACATTATATTAGTATATTAGTTATACTAAAATAAACACTGATTGTTTTTCTAAAGTTCTTATCTAACTGGGTATCCTGTATTTTTATTTGTGAAGTCTGTCAACACTAGCCATGTGGGAGCCAAAGGCTGCTTGGAAGAGGTGAACTCGAGGCCTTCCTTCTTTTGCCTGGCTGCCTGGCACACTGCGTCGACTTGGTTGTGCCCACTCCAGTTAGGCTGGGGGCTGAGCATAAGGCTGCCTCCTTCCTCTGTCTGGATAGAAAGTGAGGTTGAGGTTCTGCTGCTTTTTGCTTTTTCCTCGATTTATCTCCTCTATGCCTTCAATCCAGAGCAATTAAACTAAGACATTCTCTTTACACAGGCTATTGGGACTTCCCCCTGCTTTCCTGTCTGTCTGTGCGGACTTTCCTTGGGTCCTCTAGGCTCTTAATATGTTCAAGGAGGGAGATAAAGGAATTTAGAAAATCTCTTCTCTCTCCACAAAGCCTGGATTTAGAGCCCATTATCTTGCTGTGAATTCAAACTCTACTTTGAATGTCAGTAGCTGAATATTAATTCTTGGTACCACTGCTATAGATAATTCTAAAATCCCTCCCTGGTCCTCAACTGCAAGGGCAGTCAAATTCCTTACACTGATTAGGGGAAACGCTGCTAGAGTATAATTTCCTAGAAGTTGGAAATGACTTTTATACAAATATAAAGTGAACAGGTGTCAAAGATTTTATTTAGCTCATTAATTATTGAAGGGGCAAGTCAGTTGTTAGAAGAGATTCAAATCAGAATTTGAGTTACAAAGAGTTATATTCTCTTTGGGACAAAACTCATTTGCATTGTTAAGGACAGGAACAATTTACATTGCTACCAGTTGTCTTCACTTTAACTGCTGCCCCTACAGGCATGTAAAATAGACTAATAATGGAAAGTCAATCCAAAGGCACAGGCCTCTCTAGACTCAGATCATCCCAGAAGGTCCCCTAGGCAATGCCCAATACTCTACTGAAAGAATTCTCAGGGATCTCTTTTGCCCATTTCCACATCTTGGACAATTTTTTCCTGACAAAGTATAATCTCAAAATTTTTTTTATCCTGTTACAATATGAAAAGATAATAAATTCAAAGAAGAGGAACTATAAATGGCTGACAAATATAAGATTAAATGCTCAACCTCACCAGCCTATTCATGGGAAACATACTAAAACAACATAAGAGTTTTATCAGTTAATATCCAGGATGGAAAGACAAAGATTTCCATGCATTGATGTTGGAAGTATAAATTGGTTACATCTTTTTGGAGCACGATTTGGTAGTGTCTATTGAAATTTTAAATGTGGGCATCTGTTTGCAATTCCACTTACAGATATATCTTCTAGAGAAATAGTAACAAACATGCAAGTGAATAACGGTGAAAGCATCACTAATTCATTTACCAAATATTCATTAAGCACCTACTTTGTGTTAAGCTCAGAGATGCTTGGCACATATCAGTGAACAAACTAGCCAAAGCTCCTGTTTGCTGGAATGTGTATTCTCACGGGTGCAGATAGACAATAAAAAATATAATGAATATATAAATCCCCTAGTTTTTTGGAAGATAATAAATGTGGAAAAAAAGAGTAAGTAGATTAGGGTAAGGAAGAATTTGTAGTGCTGAGAGTTGGGGTGGGAGTAGGGGAACGGGTTTGGGTATTAAATATGGCGGTCAGGGTAGACCTCGTTGAGAAGGTGAAATTTGAATGAAGACTTGAAAGGAGTGTGGGAGTGAGTCATGTAGGTGTTTGAGGGAAGAGCAAAGGCAAGGACACTGAGGTGGGAGTGTGCTTGGCATGTTGGAGAAAAATCAAGGAAGCCAGTGTCTGTGGATCCAGGGGAGGGTAGCAGGAAAGGAAGTTGGTGTGGATAACAGGACACCCAACTTGAGGGGCCTTACTGGGCTTTGTAAGGAATTCAGCAATCTCTGTCATTGAAGTGGGGAGCTTGTAAGGTTTTGAGCAGGGAAGTTACACCATCTGAGTGTCATGTTCCCCGAATCCCGAAAGGTTGCTATGTAGATAATACATATATGGTAGGAGCAGGAGGGTGGACACAGGACCAGTCTAGAAGTGTTGCTCCTGGTCTGGACTAGCCTATTGGGCCAGCAGTCGAGAAGTTAAAGGTGGTCAGCTTCTGCAAGTATGTGTGTGTGTTTTAAATGAATTTTATTGTGTATATACAACATGATGTTATGGGCTACATATAGATAGTAGAATAATTACTATAGTAAAACAAGTTAACGTATTCACCATTAACATATCACATAGTTACCCACACTTTTTTTTTGGTGACAAGGGCAGCTTAAATCTTCTCATTTAGCAGGAATCTCAAATAAAGTAAAATTTTATTACCTTGTAAACCAAAAATAAAATGCTAAGCCCCTCAATCGACTGAATGAACCCTCCTCTCTGCCAAGGGCTTTCTGAAGTAAACCTGAAACACTAGTTCATGTCACATGCCACGTTGGGAATGGGTTGTCGGGCATGTCTCATTATAACTTCCTTCCCCTCATTCTAACTTCCTTCCTTTGGAATTCAGGCAGAGCTGACCAGCACTAACACTAAAACTTAAGACTCATAAAACGGACTCTTTGTAGCAATAAGATAGCAACATGAGATAGCAGGCTCTGGAAGAAATAAAAGTATTTACCCCAAAATATATTTCTTTGACATATTTTGAAATGGCCTTGCAAAGTTGTCTCTTGTGGGGAAAATCCACATTGTGTAGAGAATTCCCTTTCCTTTCCAGGTCTTTTTCCTGATCCAGGAGAGAGTTAACTAAGTGTTTGGCACCTTTTTAAATCTGATAAGAAACGTTTACAATGTATTCTCTCTGAAGCCTGGTACCTGAAGGCTTCATTTGCATAATAAGAACCTTGGTCTCCACAACCCCTTATCTTAACCCAGACACTCCCTCATATTGATTTCAGATCTTTAAATAAACTCTTTCAGTCAATTGCTGGTCAGAAAATCTTTGAATCCACCTGCAACCTGGAAGCCCCTGCTTCAAGTTGTCCTGCCTTTCTGTACTGAACCAATGTACATCTTACATGTACTGATTGATGTCATGTGTCTCCCTAAAATGTATAAAACCAAGCTGTAGCCTGAGCACCTTGGACACAGGTCCTCAGATCTCCTGGGGCTGTATCACAGACCATGGTCACTCATATTTGGCTCAGAACAAATCTCTTCAAGCATTTTATAGAGGTTGACTCTTTTTGTGGACAACCTGTAGTCCTCGTGTTATACATTAGATCTGGAGGCTTATTCATGCTACACATCTGCTACTTAGAGCTCCCCATTTCCTCCCCGCTACCCTTGTACCCACTGTTTTATTCTCTTTCTCTGTATATTTGACCTTTTTTTTCTTTTTTTTTTAGATTTTAGGTATAAGTGATACTGCAATATTTTTCTCTCTGTGTTTGGATTATTTCATTTAGCATAATGTCCTAATGTCCTCTGGTTTCATCCATGTTATGGCAAATGGCAGGATTTTCCTCTTTCTTTCTTTCTTTCTTTTCTTTTCTTTTTTTTTTTTTTTGAGACAGGGTCTTGCTCTATCATCCAGGTTGGAGTGCAGTGGTGCAATCATGGCTTGCTGCAGCCTTGATCTCCTGGGCTCAAGAGATCCTCCTGCCTCAGTCCCCCAAGTAGCTGGGACTACAGGTGTGTACCACCACATCTGGCTAATTTTTTATTTTTTGTATAGACGAATTCTTACTTTGTTGACCCTGTCTCCATGTTGACTTACTAGGCTGGTCTTGAACTCCTGGGCTTAAGCAATCTTCCTGCCTTGGCCTCCCAGAGTGCTGGGATTACAGGCATAAGCCACTGCACCTGGCTGATTCTCTTCTTTTTTAAGGCTGAATAATATTTCATTCTCTCTCTCTCTCTCTATATATATATATACACACACACACACACATAAAAAATATATTTATATACACATATACACTACAGTTTTTTTATTCACTTATCTGTTAACGGACACTTAGATTGTTTCCGTATCTTTCTGCAAGTGTTTCGAAAGTAGAACCCGCATGATTTTCCACCATGTGAATCACTGGGAATCAAGGCTGACTCCTGCGTTTTTGACCTGAACAATCTGGAAGGAAGGAGTTGTCTGTCAACTCCTGGGAGGCTGAGGGTGGAGTAGAGCTCCTTTCTGGTTGGTGGGGGCACATCATCAGAAGCTGAGTTTTGTAGAAAAGAGGTTAGCAATAAAGTATTTTTTTGATAATAGCTAGAAACTGAAAACAAGAGATCATCAAAAGGGTAACAATTATGTAAACTAAGGCTGTACAGAATACAGTAGGTCCACTTTTCAGCATCGCAAGTATAGGGGACAAGGAAGAACATCCCCCTTGCCCTCTGAAGGTTCACTGAAGATCAACTGACAAAAGACAGGTTAACAGGAGGAATGACATGCAAATGTGTTATCACGCACGGGGCAGGGCCACAGAGTGATCTCCCCGTCAGGCAGTGGGGTAGAAATGGCTGCATACCTTCTTCTTAGGGGAAAGTGGGGGTAGTAAATGATTTTTAGCGGAATTCAGTGGTCTTAAAGAACACACAGTGGCCTGAGACAAAGTTTATTGGGCCTGCAGAGTAGACAATGATTTGAGACAAAAGTCTGTCCAGGTGAGTTGAAAGACTTCAGTCTTTCTTCCTGCGACATGAATTCAATTAACAAAAACTCAGGGAAGGAACCGGAGGTGACTGTTTTCTTCTTTGTCAGGTCCAGACTTTAGACAGATCAGGGAACTTCAGGAAACAACTCCATCCTGTGCTTTAGGGGAAACAGAAGATTGAGAGTGGCAGAAGGTCAGAGAGGATGTGAAGCCTTTTCTTCAGTTCAGCATGTCAAAGTGCTGTCTATTAGGATATTGGTTTCTGGGCTCCAGCAGAAGATCTCCAAGGCACAGAATTACAGAAAAAACAATGTTCAATACTACCTCATTCATCTGCACACTCCATTGACAACACAAACAGAACTGTAGACTTTTATATCCATAGCGATGTAGACAGGTATCAGAAATGATACACTTTCAGCTTACATAGATTTCTAACACAATCAGCTTTTAGGTAGTGCTCATATAATTTAAATTTAATGCATAGAAAACAAAAGAGAATAATAAAAAACCTTGTCTCACCTTGGCTGGTGTCCTCATCTATAAAGTGACCTGCAAGGTCCTTCTGCCTCCAGGAATCTGTGCTGTGTAACATCAGGTGAACCAGATTATTCTTGGTTTGAAGCCAAGGTGTATTTACTCTTTGTAAACTCATACCTGGTTGTGACCAGAGAAGGATGGAATTTGGCTTTTCCCCCTAATAAAGTTGGGGGATCACTTTGAAGTATGACTAAAATTTGGATGTACATTGGCTTTCAATTGAATTTCAGACAGGGGTTAAAGCAAGTGGCTGCCTAGAAAGTTCACACCTGTCAACGTGGTCTCTTAGAAGGAGACAGTGACATGTGTAGTGTTCACCATCAAGTTCAAGTCAGAGAGTAGTCTCATGACTGGGTGGTTGAAGCCTTGGGGCTTCCTTAGGAAATGTTTTCTTTTTACTTTACATGGTTGACCAACCTGTGGTATTTTATATACATGAGTTTTGTCCATGGTTTCCTGGCTTATCACTCCTAAAATCCTTAAGATCTCCAAAGCGCTGTCTTTTAGAGTGGCTTTTGTCTGACAGGTTCACAATGGGGGCTGGTCACCAGAAAGACCAAGCCAGGATTAGATGGTTGGACTTTCAGCCACCTCCCCCAATCTCTGAGAAGTGGGGAAGGGGCTGAAAGTTAAATTAATCACCAATGGCCAATTGTTTAACCAACCATTCCTACTTAATGAAGCTTTTATAAAAACCCAAGAGGATTGGGTTCAGAGAGCTTCCAGATAGCTGAACACATGGAGGTTCCTGGACTGTGGCACCCCGGGAGGGCATGGAAGCTCCAGGCCCCTTTCCCGATGGCTCACCCTATGCATCTCTTCATCTGTACCCTTTGTAATATTCTCTTAATAAACCAGTAAATGCAAATTTGTACATTTTCTCCAGCTAATTAATCAAACCCAAAGATGGGGTCATGGGAACCCCAACTTGAATTCAGCCAGCTGGTCAGAAGTTCTGGTGGCCTGGACTTATGACTGGTGTCTGGGAGACAGTCTTGGGGCCTGAGCCCCCAATCTGTGGGATCTGACACTCTCTTGGAGGACACACAGCTGGTGTCTGTTGCATGTCTGTTGTGACCAAACCCCCATACATTTGGTCACAGAAGTCTTCCTGTTTGTTAATGATTGTTGTGATGTGACAGTAGAGGAAAAACATGGTGGGATAGAGTTTCTTTTCTGACATAAACCCTTACACATATTCAAATAGCCAAAGACCTACTGTGCCACTCCCTTCCTGACTGTTTCTTCTGTCTCCTTGCGGCCACTCCTTAACTCTCTGATCAGGTTACCAGTCCCTAATCACTGGCTGATTGGATGTTTGAAAAGAAGGTTTGGACAGGGCATGATTCTGAAGGTGAATGTGTTTCCACTAGACACTCCCTTCCACATACCAGTGCCCTTTAGGACGACCCATGGTGGGCAGAGCATTTCTTGCTTCATTGCAACAAAGTGGAATTTATTTTAAGAAGCTAAGAATAAACTTAAAAAACATTTGATAGGCATGGCTGTTGACTTTTGAAAACTTCAAATTAAAATACTTTCATTTAATTTTTTGATTATAAAAATCAATTTGTTTTACTGAAATACAATAACGTATACAGTCAAGTACCATCCAGAGGTAATCATCATTCATGTTTGGTTTATTTCCTTCCAACCTCCCTCCCATGTATATGCTGTTAAAGAAAAATTTATTCTGACATTCATTAAAATGCTAAGGACAGCCTTATTCAGAACTATTGTGATCAGTGCCAAGACTCACAATAGAGGAGAGATGGAGCTCAACTCTGAATACAGCAAGGGCAAGTGGGGATTTAATGGTCAATGAGCAAAATGAAGTGGTCAGTGGATGGAAAATTACAAGCGGAGACATCAAGGATGGGGGATTCTTGCTAAGCTGACAGGATCCTTGCTGAAGACAGGCCAGGGTGATACAATATCATGGGTGGGGAGTGAGGAATTTGGTCAGATATTGAGTGTGATCAGATACCAAGTGTGATGGGACCAAGGCCAAGGCTGAGGCCTCATTGAGAAGAGGGCTCAGAGGAGCCTGCCGGAAGTTTGGGCAAGGAGAGAGTCTTGGACAATGCAATGGGGACAAATGACATATTTATGAAGGACCATAGTTCCTCCTCCCATCTCTCTCCACACTAGCCCACCAGGCAGAACTGGAAAACAGAGAGAGGAAATAGCAAGAATAGGATACTAGCAAGCCAATTGTCTTGAGAAGGGTAAAGTAAGCTGAGCAGAAGAAAAAAACTCCACTTGTTTTGAGGGTAGGAGAAGAAGCTGAGTCAGAGAAAAGGAGTGGGAATCTGGACATGACATGTACTTTCCTCATAGTGCCTCTTGATAAAAAAGTGAGATTGAAGGTAGGGGAAGTAATATCTTTTTCCTGACTCCTCACGGTGTTCATGACTGAGACCCCTATGACAACAGATTAATGAGAAAAAGTCATACAAATTTATGAAATATAAGTTTTGTGTGTGATGGGAGGCTTCGGAAATGATGACCCAAAGAAGCAGGGACGCTGCGTATTTTTATGCTTGGATTTGATGAAGAGTAGACAGTTATGCAGAAGTAGAATTGGACAAAGGGAGCGTGATCTAGTGGTAACAAGCTGGGAGGAGCTGAGCAAGGCCTGCTTGTTCAGATTCTTCTTGGCATATCTGTGTCTTTCTTCCAGGCATAGGACCCCTCTGGGATTAGGGTTTTATAACCTACTTTAAATAAAGGTTGGAAAATTCTTTTATGGCCTGCTTCAGGGTAGAACAGCAAGAGAAGGCTAGAGACCCTTCCTGCTCCTTCTGTTTTGCTAAATGCCAAGGTACTATATTTCGGGGTAGTGTGATATTGGAATTAGTATTTGGGCTTCCCCAGGGAAGCACCAATTTTGACCCATGATAGAATGGAGAGCCCATTATTAGTCCCCAAAGAAGCTAGTCTTGAACTATTAAAACACAAATGATGAACTCAGTGCTATAAGAAAAGGGTCTCTGCATTTAATTTATTGGTCTGGTTCTGATTAGTCGTGTGGCCTTGAGCAAATCACTTGCATTTCTGGGCTTCACGTTCCTTATCAGTGGGTAAATGAATGAATGGAATTGGTCCATTTGTAAGCCCCCATGAGTTTATAAAATTAGAGCTGTTGAAAGGGAGATCTGTGCTCAGCCTTTGTCTGAGGCAGTTTCACCCCCTTTCACCTGGGCGACTGTATGCGCCTTTGCAGTCCTTCAAGATGGCGACTGGCCCTTGCCATCTCTCAACTCCTATGATGTTTCTGGCAGAGTTCCTCCTGTTGACTCATCTTCCAACCTCAGACTCCTAAGAAAGTACAGACTAGTGATGACCAGGATGGGCCATGGTGGTTGAAAATTTAGAGCTTGGGGTAGGGTCGACCTGAGGGAAAGAACATGTTAATGAGTTTATGTGGGCAGTGAGATGATCCATGTAATGACAGGCAGAACTTAATGCTTCCTGCTCCCTCCCCTTCCTTCTCTCTTCCCCTCAAGGCTGGCTTCCCACCAGAATTGTGCTATTTAATTATCTTTGCTGATAAAGATAAATGGCAATCATTCAACTCCTGAATGAGTAAAAAGAGAAATTTCACATGAGTCACCCAGGGTCTTCTTTCAAACCTCACTGGAAACTAAGCTGTGTTTTTTTATGACTTCTCTGCTTTGCAGGGACTCTAATTTCCTCCACTGGCGACCATTACAGTCCTTTATATAGAACAGTAAAAACAACATGGCACATTAACCTTTGTGAATGACACAGTCAGAAGGTGCCTTCGTCAGCAGTGGGCTCTGATGTAAACATGGGGAAGTGAGACACAGCTTTGGTACAGATTTCTTTGTATAACTTACACCCCTGTGGCCTGGGTGACACTTTTAAAAGTCACAGAAAATGCCAGCTTTGTCCCTCCCTGTTGGAGGTGGGGGAGAGACTGTCACAAATGGCCAGTTTAGAGCAGGATGTGGACATCTCACCAGTTCTCATGGCCTTCTCTGCTGCCACCCCGCTCTGAGCCACCACCGCCTCTCCCCTGGACGATTGCAATGGCTTTGTGACTGGTTCTCCCTGTTTCTGCCCCCATGGTGTATTTTCAAATCAGCAGCCAGAGGAATCTTTTAAAAACATATTAGATTACATCACTGTTCTAGGTTACCCAGCCTCAGCTCACACTCTGAGTAGAAGACAAAGTCTTTCCAATGCCAAATGGGCTCAGGCAGTCTGCCCCAGGTACTTCTCTGTCCCGACTCCTGGCCCACATTACCTGGAAGGGCCTTGGCTCTGGCTGTTTCTTCTGCCGGTAATATTCTTCACCAGATTTCTGCAGGCCCCTCCCACTCCCCTCCTTCAAGCCATTATTCAAATACTGTCTTTTCGATGGGGGTCTTTCCTGTCTTCCTATCTGAAGATGCAAACTTATCTCCCACACTCTCTTTCCTTTTTCCTAGCACTTATCAATGTCTTACATGCAATTTTCAAAATTTAAAGCAAAAAAATCTGCTGGTTACTTCCAAAATCACCAGTTTCATATCTCTAGTTAAATAAATAAATACTATATGTAACATTATTGTTATTATTTACCATTTATCTCTCCCAAGTGAAAATATGCTCCTTGAAGATGGGAATTTTTGTCTTTGTTCCCTACTTTTGGGACTGTATCCTTTAGGTCAGGGATTCTCCAACTTTCATATGCCCGGGAATCACCTGGGGGTCCTTTTAAAAAATGTAGACTCTAATTGGTAGCTTTGGGATGAGAACTGAGAATTTGCATCTCCAACAAGCTCTCAGGTGATACTTGCTATTGAATGAATCTGGGTTCTGCCCGCCCAATGCCGCAAACTCAAACACTGACATCGGGATTTCAGTGAGAGAAAATGAGGCATTTATGGTAGGGCACTAAGCAGGGGGAATGGGGCTGCTAAAGCCTAAGACCCAAATTCCCGGAGGGCTTACAGATAAGGGTTTCTAAAGGTGGGGAGGCAGAGGTCACAGGAAAAGTCATGAGTCAATACATGGAGGCTATGCATTGCTTTGACCTAGAAAGGCAGGACATCTTGAAGCAGGGGCCCAAAGGTCATAGGTGGAGTCAAAGATTTTCTGATTTGCAATTGGTTAAGGAGGTGAAGCTTTGTGTAGAAAGTTTAGGATCAGCAGAAAAGAATGTTAGCTCTGGCTCATGGGTGTGTCCTCCTCCAGGCCTTTCAGGAAGAAATTTAGAACAAAGGACAGCAGTGACAGTTTCCAGTCCTCAGTTTCTCCTTATCTGAGGTCTGTGTGCCAGTGGATCTGTTTGGTGTAGATCAAGATTTCTGAAAAACAACTCAGGGACATACTGATATGGTTTGGATCTGTGTCCCCACCCAAATCTTGTATTGAAATGTAATCCCCAGTGCTGGAGGTGGAGTCTGGTGGGAGGTGATTGGATCATGGGGCTGGTTTCTCATGGTTTAACACCATCCCCACTTGGTGCTCTCATAGCGATAGTGAGTTCTCGTGAGATCTGATTGTTTAAAAGTGTGTGGCACCTCCCCTCCTCTCTCTCCCTCCTGCTCTGGCTATGTGAAGTGCTGGCTCCCCCTTTGCCTTCTGCCATGATTTTCTGAGGCCTCACCAGAAACTGAGCAGGTGCCAGCATCATTCTTTCTGTGCAGTCTGCAGAACCATAAGCCAATTAAACATCTTTTCTTTATAAATTACTCAGTCTCAGGTATTTCCTTATAGCAATACAATGGACTAATGGACTAATACAGAAAATTGGTACTAAGAAGTGAGGGCATTGTTATAAAGATGCCTGAAAATGTGGAAGCAGCTTTGAAACTGGGTAGCCAGCAGAGGTTGGAACAGCTTGGAGGGCTCAGAAGAAGAAAGGAAGGTGAGGGAAACTTTGGAACTTTCCAGACACTTGTTCAATAGTTGTGACCACAATGCTGATAGTGATATGGGCAGTAAAGTCTAGGATGAGGAGGACTCAGGTAGAAATGAGGAACTTATGATTGAAGCAACCATTGCAAAATTATAACTGAGAAAATTATTACAGTAAAATAGATCTGACCTAACCAACTTCATCTTGCTTCTAACCTCCAAGCTGTCCTTGTTCACTCCTGGGCATAGGCCGAACTAACTGTGGGAGGAACTTATAGTTTAATTTTGAAGCAAAGATAATAACAGCCCTTTCCCAAAACAAACCCCCTTCCTGCCTGGGGACTAGACTGCCTTTGTAAGACTAACAAATTACCTACAAGATAAGAAACTATGGTTTAAGAATCATACAGCTGGAGGCTATAAGATTCTGACCCTCCCCAAAGTGCTCCTGGGGATAACATCACTATTGTAAAACCTATGATCAGTGATTGAGATATTGATAGATCAGCTGGAACCACCCAGATTGATAAACTGGCTCATCTGATCTTGCGGCCCCCACCTAGAAACTGACTCAGCAAAAGACGACAGCTTTGATTCCCTTTGACTCATCTCCAACCCAACCAATCAGCACTCCCAACTCACTGGCCCCTCTGTGCCAAATTATCGTTAAAAACTTCAATCCCTAAATTCTCAGGGAGACTGATTATAAAACTCCAGTCTCCCACAGAGGTGGCTCTGCATGAATAACTCTTTCTCTATTGCAATTCATTGTCTTGATAAATCAGCTCTTTCTAGGCAGTGGGCAAGACATGAGTTTTGGGAGGGGCCGGGGACAGAATGATAAGGTTTGGCCGTGTGCCTCCATCCAAATCTCATGTTGAAATGTAATCCTCAATGCTGAAAGTGGGGCCTTGTGGGAGGTGATTGTATCATGGGGGCAGTTTTGTCTCATGGTTTAACAGCATCCCCCCTTGGTTGTCACGATAGTGAGTTCTCATGAAATCTGGTCGTTTCAAAGAGTGTGACACCTCTCCCCACTTCCTCCTGCTCCAGTCATATGATGTGCCAGCCCCCTTCACCATCTGCCATGATTGTAAGTTTCCTGAGGCTACCCCAGAAGCTGAGCAGATGCCAGCACTATCTTCCCTGTACAGCCTGTGGAACCACAGGGCAATTAAACATCTTTTCTTTATAAATTACCCCTTCTCAGCTATTTCTTTATAGCAGTGTGAGAACAGAGTAATACACACGTTAGGATGTTACCTTTAGTTTCCATAGGGAATCAAACATCTAGTGACTCTAACTTCCTTGGCTATTGTTTCAAGCTATTATTACCTTCTTGCATATCAAGTTGCTCTCAGGGCTAGCCAGGTGTCTGGAATTTCCCTTGAAGGAACTCAAGATTTTCTTTTATTTCCATGCTTGGAGGGCCCGTAGCCTCCAAGAGGAGTCCCTGTTGTGTCTCACAGTGATTTGGAACAGCAAGGCTGAAGACCATGTGGTTTCATGCCTGGAGGCAGGACTGCTAGTTGTTTTTTTTTTTTTTTTTTTTTTTTTTTTTTGAGATAGAGTCTTGCCCTGTCACTTAGGCTGGAGTGAAGTGGCGCAATCTCAGCTCACTATAACCTCCACCTCCCAGTTTCAAACAATTCTCCTGCCTCAGCTTCCTGAGTAGCTGGTATTATATGCACGAGCCACCATGCCTTGCTAATTTTTGTACTTTTAGTAGAGACAGGGTTTCACCATGTGGGCCAGGCTGGTCTTGAACTCCTGATCTCAAGTCATCTGCTGGCCTCGGCCTCCTTAAGTGCTGGGATTACAGGCATGAGCCACCACACCTGGCCCCACCAGTTGTTTTCTTTCCAAAGTCAAGTTCAAAAACCCAGGGCTGAGTTGATGGTATCAGTCACATGGGAGAGCTTTAAGTTACAGATTCCTGGCTGTCTACCTCAGAGTTTGTGATTTAGTAGGTCAGAAGAGGGACCTAGGAATCTCAGTTTTTTTTTTTTTTTTTAAAGTTCACTGGGTGATTTGGATGTGCAGCTGGGATGGGTAACCAATGATACGGAAAAATAAAGAATTTCTTACATATGCAAATCTGATGCTAGTTGTTGCCAAATTGTCATCTAGTCGGTACAAAATGGAAATTGGCATCTCAAATGAAAATAAAAAAATATCTTTTTTCTTGTTGGCATCATTTGGTTGGCTTCCAAAAATTTAATGATTTCAACAGAGAAAAAGGGAAAATGTGTATAATCATTTCAGAACATCCCTATTCATCACTTTAAAATTCTATTTAGTATTATGAAAATAGCACAAGCATATAGAAAACAGTTCAAACAGTAAAAAGATATGCAATGAAAAGTGAGCTTTTCTTCTATTTTGGACTTCCAGTCTCATTCTTTGGAGGAAATTTTTGTTAACAATGTCTTATCAATATTTCCAGAAAATTTCTAGGTACATACACACACACACACACACACACACACACACACACACACACACACACACCCCTACATATTTTTTCTTTGTGAAAGCAGGGGAAATGTGACCAAACTGTTTGTACCAGGCTTTTTCTTATTACTGTGTGTCTTGGTTAGCCATGTATGGAAAAGTGTATTTTTACCCTGAGATCTACCATTTCCCAAGCCCCTGCCACCCCTCCCATTGAGAGGTGAGATTTATGGCTCTTTCTTTCGAATCTGGGTGGGCTTTAGACTATGTTGAAAGTGATACTATGTGACTTTTGAGGCTAAATCATGAAAAGTAATACAACTACCACCTGGTCCTCTTGGCATTCTCACTCAAGAACCCAGCTGCCATGCTGTGAAGATGTAGAGAGACGACATGGAGAAGTCATGTTTAGGTTTTCTCGCCAACAGCCCTAGCTGAAGTCCAAGCCAACAGTCAGCATCAACTTTGGGAAATGTGAGGGACAAACTTGAGATGATTCCAGCCTCCAGCCTTCAGGCCACTCCACTGTGGAACACAGATGAACTGCAAAGGAATTGGAGACAGAATGTCCTGATCCCATTTAAGGGCTCACAGCAGGATTTACAGGAGGGTGGTATAACCTGTGTGTCATTCATGGGTGATCTTGAGCCAATCACTATGTGTTAGTTTAGCTAGTCTAGGCAACACTGCAAGAGCAAACAAATCTTCATATCTCCCAACTTCACAACATACACGTTTATTTCTCACTCTCATTGCAATCCCATGAGAGTCAGGCAGCTCTCTTTCCTATCATAACTTAGAGATCCAGTTTCCTTCTCTGTGGTGTCTCTTCTATCTTTGAGAACTTTCTTGGAATCCTTTATTGTATTCTCTTCATTTGGCTGGCCTAAGAGTGGAAAAAGAGGGCATGGAAAAATCACATGGGAAATTATATGGCTTGGCCTTATATGAACTACATCAGTTCTGCCCACAATCCAGTGTGGCAGACAAAAATATATGGCCCCCTCCTAACTGCAAGGGAGTCTGGGAAATGTAGTCTTTTTGAGTACCTAGGTAGAGGACACAAAAGTGGTGGGTGTCTGGCCAGTTTCTGCCGCACCATGCCTCAATTTCCTCTCTTTAGATGAGAATAATAATGAAGTCAACCTCCTCAGGTTGCTGTGAAGATCAAACTATAAGAAATTGTCTTATATCTGAAGTTGAATGGACTAGACGCATTTTAGGTATTATGGTATTTCCCATCAGAGAAAGATACCTGAGACACTTTCCCTCAACAGTCCAGGGGCCCCATAAATGATGAACAATGATAGGCCACTGTTCCTTCCCTGGGCTATCCTAAATGTAACCACTGGCAACCACTGCCCTAATGCCAATGCCGAGAATGCTTCTCCCCCCACGGGTGGAGAGAGTAACGTGTTACAAAAGCAGCCCACCCACGTTCTATTAGGCTCAGAGAAAAGACTCACAGGAACACAGCTGGCCCCTCACCAGACAACATTCAAGTGGGACATTAAGCAGAGATACACTTGTTCTTTTTCTCTCCAGCTTTGTACCACACTGATGGCTACCCATGCTCTCTTTCCACAGCAGCATATACATTTCAGATGAATGAGAGCAAGAGAAAATATTAAGTTAAAGACCCGGGAGCAAACATTGGCAACTCTCTTAGGATCTGGTGGTTCACAGTCTTTCTTGTCCATTCCCTCAGTAAAAATATTTAAGTTCTGGAAAATCTCAATCTTCTCACTGGTAAAATGGGGATGATAATGATATCTGAGCTGCAGAGCATACACAGTTGTGGGGAGGATCAGGTAAGGGAATGCTTAAAAAGGGCTTTGTAAAGTTTATAAACTGCCCTAAACAGAGGTGAGTATAATGGCTCAATCATGATTCACAGCAGTCTCAAACTCTTGTGTTCAAGCAATCCTCCCACCTTAGCTTTTCCAAGTTGCTGGGACTATAGGCATACCCCACCACTCCTAGCTAATTTTTCTTTCTTTTTTCTTTCTAAGCCTAACCCCCTTCTTTTTTTTTTTTTTTTTTGAGATGGAGTCTTGCTCTGTCACCCAGTCTGGAATGTAGTGGCATGATCTTGGCTCACTGCAAGCTCCGCTTCCTGGGTTGAAGTGATTCTCCTGCCTTAGCCTCTGGAGTAGCTGGGACTACAGGCATGTGTCACCAAGCCTGGCTAATTTTTGTATTTTTGATAGAGACGAGGTTTCACCATGTTGGCCTGGCTCAAACTCCTGGCCTCAAGTTATCTGCCCACCTTTGACTCCCAAAGTGTTGGGGGTATTACAGGTGTGAGCCACTGCGGCTGGACAGCTTAACTCCCTTCTAAGTCTAACCCACCTCCTTATTCCTTACTGGTAGGGGGGTCCACTGCACGGTCACCACATCCGTTATTTCATTCTGGGTCCTGAACTTTCAGCTGCATTTTTTTTTTTTCAGAGAGGAGTCTCTCTCTGTTGCCATATTGCTCTTGAAACCCTGGGGTCAAGCAATCCTCCTGCCTCCACCTCCCAAAATGCTGAAATTACAGGCATGAGCCACCAAACCTGGCCATAATCATCCCTTCTTTATACCCCTCTTCCCACTACCTTTTCTCTGATTATAAAATTTCTGTATAAATCTTGGAAAAGATGAGAAATAATAATTATAACTTCTGCTTACTGAATAATTTCTATGTCCAACTGATTTGCCCTCATGGACGGGTGGTACAGTTCTGCCCTCTTACTTGGATAGCAGACAGCTGAGCAGGCCTGTGAGATTCCAGGTTGTGAAGCCGCTTGCTTAATCTGCCTATTTCCAAAGGAAGTAGCTCATCAGTTTCACGACACGTGTCAAGGGCCTTAAAAGCATCCTTTTCCTTTGACCCTGTACATTTCCTCCTAAGAAACTTCCTTAAACACACAGTCTTTACCACAGCCCAGGTTTATGGCCAAATATTAAAAGATGGCTGCTTCAGAGGTATTTATAAAAGTAGGAAATTAAAAATTTAAATGTCTGTCATTAAGGTAATTGGTAAGTAAATCATGGAACATTCACACAGTGACATGTTTTATGACCTCTAAGGCTCGTATTTATGTTATACTTCTAATGACATAGAAAATTGTTTATTATGTAAAGGTTCACAGGATGGGCAATGCTACATACAGTTTTATGTCAACTGTGCTCAAAATGTATAGAATAATAGCAGGGAAGAAACAGGCCAAAATGAACTGTATTGGTTTTGGGTGGTAGAATTATAAGAGACTTATTTTTCTGTGTGTTTCCCTCCCCTACACCGCCTCCCGCTTTCCCATACCTTAAAAAGTTTCTACGTGGAGCAAGATTAGAAAAAAAAAATAAATTAAAATGGTTAATATAAAGTTCAAAATCCCCCAAATCTCACTCTCAAACTGA
This sequence comes from Homo sapiens, assembly GCF_000001405.40. Classification (NCBI taxonomy): domain Eukaryota; kingdom Metazoa; phylum Chordata; class Mammalia; order Primates; family Hominidae; genus Homo; species Homo sapiens. The sequence goes on from NC_000020.11 coordinate 18,925,483, forward strand.
CATTCCCTATCTTAACTCTCTTTGTCTCACCTATTTAGTTTCATTTACTTTTCCTTATAAATGCGTAGGTTGCCACTGATGCGCTCAGAATGAGGTGAAATTCAATTCAAAATACATAAAAACCACAGCCACCCACTCACTAAGCCTTCATGTGCCAAGGAATATTCAAAGGAACTGAGACGTAAGTGGTTCTCATATTAAATTCCCACCTTCAGTCACAAGTTAGGGAGCACAGTTGAATGTTTTTTATAATACTAAACATATCTTTTGCAAACAAGAGTAAGAGAAAAAGAACGTTTATCATGAATCCAATTATAACTGCAGCCTTTTAGAAATGAACTGCTGCAAAGAATCAGGTCAATGAAGAGAGTACAAGTTTGCCGAAGATACAAACAGCTTTGGTTTCCTTTAGAACTTGACAATTGCTGTTAAGGCTCAGAGGAGTCTTGTGTGAGTGCAGACTGAATATTCCTTCAAGGATCTTGCTTGGAGGATAGTCCATGAAAACTACAGCCAGGATTTCCAAACCTCGTCAGAAGAGGAATGCCCATAGGGGGACTTGTTTTCAGGATCATCTTGTCTAGCTTATCTGTTCGTGCTGGCTACCCCCAGAGCCACCTTGAAGTTAAATAACATACAGAGTGACTGCTGAGCAGAAGCCAATGAAGTATGATGTGTATTAAATATCATTCAATGTATCCATTTGTGCCAGAAACAAAGGCAAGAGTATTACTTATTTCTAAGCGTCAATATTTTATGAGGCCTTGCAGAGCCCTTAACAACTGGGACCCTACACATATTTACTCTACATCAGAAGATGAGTCAAGTGTAGACTTCGTTTATTAGAAATTGTCTCAAAACTCAAAATGTTGGTTTTGCTTGGGGTGTGGACTCAGTGAATGCTCTTGGTGTTTGCTGACCCTGACAACCTCAGAGACATCCATGCTCAAAATAAATCTCCAGATTGAGCACTTTATTGCTTTCTGATCTTTTCTGATTAATAGCTGATGTCAGTCCATATATCAAGTGGGGCTGGTGTTTATCACGTGGCCTTGAACTGTTTTGGGAACAGAAGTGTTTGCTAAGTAGGATGTTATATATGAGATAGTGTAGCTTTGAGACTCAACCACTGTTTACTTGGTTTGGTAAGACTACCATTTCCTTGCCTCTCTCCTCCTCTGCACTCACAAGGGGTTCACCAGCTCCTCTTACCTTCCTGGGCTCGTTCTCACATTTCCCTTGCTGTCTGTCTGACCGGTTCTGGTTAAGGCACTGCCTTTCTTGTTTGAAGCCCAGAATCTGTGTATATAAGTTATTATGGCAGGTTCTGCCATGTTTCCTGTCATGAATTTCCTGCTATGGTGACCTGATGTGTACCCCTGCACACTCTTAAACCTGGAAACCCACTCTGCTCTTTCACGATCCCTGCCAGATATTTAAGCCCTGCCCTGAAACCCGAGGATAGGCCTTTCAGGTGCCAACCACTTCTAAGTCTAACCCACCTCCTATTCCTTTCTGGTGGGAAGGTGCATAAAATGGTCACCACATGTGTTCTTTTATTCTGGGTCCCCACAATGAAATGGCTGCATTTATGAAATTCAGCCTACCCTGGGGACAGCTTCAGGGAGATACTCCTCCTTAAGAAGATGCTTTGTAGATGACTCAGCTCCACTCCTCAGATCCAAGAGATGACATTGACTAACTCAAGTGACTGCTACCCAGAAGCTGGTGCAAGTTGAAAAGTGGACCTTCTTGGGCAGCTTCCAATGATAGCAGCTTGTGTTCACTCTGTGTGAGTGAGACTGAAACAACAAGATTCAGAAGAAGAGCTAGATCTCCTTGCATGAAAGGAAGGTCATTCAGGAAAGTAAACAAAATTACAAGGGTAGTTTTACAGCCTCTGATGATGGGGATGGTACTGCCAAATATCCTCACTAATATCATGAGATTGTATAGTCAACTGTGAAATTGTCCACCTTCCTAAATAGAAAGACAAAATACAGATTATCTAAGGAGACTCCTTCCTGTGTGGGGAAGCTGGATCATATGGCCCAGATCTGTTCTCCCAAAACTAACCTTCTTGGAGCTTTCTCATTTATGTTCTGGCTCAAATGGGCATATAGCCCTTTCTCTTAATAGTGTAATTGAGAAAAGACTGACTTTCCATAAAGGCTTCTGGGTTGCAAAATGGACGTGCACACCAAAAAGAACCATAAATTAGAAAATCTGACTGTAAGGTACAGTAGTTTTTAATTTTTTTTTACATTTTTAATTCTTGGCTTGGTATGTTTGACAGAGGGTGCACTCTTCTTAGGCCTTGGCTTGCTGCTATATTGGACCCTGGATAGAGGTTGGGAAGTCCATGGATGAATTTTACCAAGGTCCACGGGTCCCCTGAGATTGTAATTGAATGCCTTTGTGCCTATTTATTTTTTGGGAATAGAGTTCATAGCTTTCATGATATTCTCAAAGATGCTTTTGTATTCCCAAAATACAAAGATATTATAGGCATCTTAGTTATAGGCATTTAGTTATATGCATCTTAGTCCCTATAACTGAATCCCATGTACCTGGTCATCTCCACTATTCAAAGACAAGAAAGAGAAAGCAAGAAAGCAAGAGTCAGTGGATGGAAACTCCCTCCAGCTTCCTTCCTTGGGTGATTTACTCCAAGAATGATTACTTTTTTCAAGGTGGGCCAACCCGTGCTGATAATCAACTCAAAATACAACTCCAATAGGAATAGCATCCCAACATTTAGGATCATGTTCTATTATAGGGCCAACCTCTACCCACTCTGGAAAATATTCCATATAAATCAAAGTTCTTCATTTTATGCTCTAAGACAGGGAACAATTTTCTTGCACATCTTTTCTTCCTGGACCTCAAATGAATTGGGTTTTTAGAATGTCAAGCAAATTTTGTCTTGATAGACACTCAGTGGGGAGAACTTTAATCTGTTGTATGTTCTCAGAAGGTTAGATCAATTAATATTGTAGAAACAATACCGCATGTAGTCTCAGGGATAGCTGTGAATATAAAATGAGACATTAGCTTAATTACCCCCAATGAATGGCTTATTGTCTTTGCCAGCAAATATGGCTCATGGGTAATTGGCAAAATCACACAGATGAATCTCCAAAGAATCCATGTTGGGCTATTAGGGGATCAGTGGCAAAAAACACTGGTTTCAGTTTGATTGATCAGATGTTGATAGTAAATGATGGAGTCATTGTGAACTAAAATGACAGTTTGGATGTCCTTTGGAAAGAATACTACCCTTGGAATGGAGAGGCCAGAGTTCTGGAGCTGTATTGGGCACCCACCAGGTGTGTAAACATAGATAAGTCACCTGGTCTGGCTGGATGCCTGTCTGGGTTCTCATCTGTAGAAAGAGTCTCCCTAAGAGCAGCTTTGACTTCTGTGAGTCTATTGGCTGTACAAATTTGAGTGACTCTGAAAAAGTCTTGGAGAGAACAAATGGCCTTAAATGTTGGTAAAAAGAGCAAGTGACAGAACAATTGTACTATGAGTTGGGGGTTGTACTAATATAGGTCTCAAACAATGGTCAATTTAAAAAACTGTTGGGACAGTGATGATCTTAATTCACTATCTGAGATGTTCAAGTGGGCATTTCTGAATATATCAAATGATTGCATAATTTCCCACATATCTTTGTCTCTATCAGGCAAGCAAACTTGAATTGATCCCCAGAACAAGAAAGAATCATAAACACATTTATTAATTAGCATCACATTTTTTTTATTATACTTTAAGTTCTAGGGTACATGTGCACAATGTGCAGGTTTGTTACATATGTATACATGTGCCATGTTGGTGTGCTGCACCCATTAACTCGACTTTTACATTAGGTATATCTCTTAATGTTATCCCTCCCCCTTCCTCCCACCCCCAACAGGCCCTGGTGTGTGATGTTCCCCTTCCTGTGTCCAAGTGTTCTCATTGTTTAATTCCCACCTATGAGTTAGAACATGCAGTGTTTGGTTTTTTGTCCTTGTGATAGTTTGCTGAGAATGATGATTTCCAGCTTAATCCATGTCCCTACAAAGGACATGAACTCATCCTTTTTTATGGCTGCATAGTATTCCATGGTGTATATGTGCCACATTTTCTTAATTCAGTCTATCATTGATGGACATTTGGGTTGGTTCCAAGTCTTTGCTATTGTAAATAGTGCCGCAATAAACATACATGTGCATGTGTCTTTATAGCAGCATGATTTATAATCCTTTGGGTACATACCCAGTATGTGGTATTGGAACCACTCTCTCCTTCACTCATGGCAGTGATCTGAAGTAACAGGTGTACATTGGACAACTGTGAAGTAAATTTTAGGCTTATAGTTCCTGGGAGGATTCAGATTCACTCAACTTCTGCCCTCAGGGACAAGGCACAAGGTCCTAAGCCAGTGAAATACTATTTTCTAAATAGCTCTAGATTGGGGCCTGAGTGGCAGACATGTGGAATGATTTTCATTTGCAGATGTTGCTCAGCAGTTTAAGCAACCTCCATCAGTCTTGCCAATTATGCACATCTTCCTCCCAGCTCTAACTTGATAATTTATTGTTTCCAAAACCTGAAGCAATCCTGGCTCAGTGGTGATTTAGCAAAAGCTGAGTGTCTTCACTTGAAATGTCTACCAGCAAACTCAGATTTGAGCCCCGGAAATATTTTTGATGGATAAAATTTACAGTAATCCCATTCAAACTGTGATCCAACAGAAGGCACCATTTATAAGTATTTACCAATGGGACTAAGGAGAGCAGAGTACAGAACAATAAGAAGACATCCAACTGAAAATAAATGCAGTCATCTTATCCCTCATGGGTTGAAAGTTTTGCTTAGACTCAGCCAGTGACCTGAGAAATTTTTGGCTAGAAAGGTGGTACATCAAAATGTTTCTGAGTAAAATAATTTTCAGCAAATATTGTTGTCAAACATAAGCATTGTACTAAGCAGGACACAAATGCAAATCAGGTACAGATATTCTATCATAAACGAGCTTAAGGGGGAGATGAGTTCATAAGTAACCAGAACATGTAGTGCTATGGGTAGGAATATTTGAGAGGGAGGAAAGAGTCAGAGCCATGGAACAGCGGTAGAAAATGCTAGATGTGCACAGGAAACTGTAAGCTTAGCTTGGTTGGAAACTGGGCTGAAAGAATAGACTGGAGTCAGAAGCAGTTCATGTTGCTTTTCTTACCACAGGCTGGAATGACATTAACCTTTTGAAAGCTAACACGTTGGCCTATCATATAGAGCCTTTGGACTGTTGGAGGCCTCTGGTAGTCAGGAGGTCCCCAGGAGGCCATATCCCAGCTGGATTGTCTTTCAATAGTTTTGAGATACTCATTGAACACCTGCGTAAAAGTATTCTACAAGGCCTTACAAGAAATGCTAAAAAGAATCTCTTCTAAGAATCTTGAAGTGTAGAAACAGTTATAAGTATCTTAACAGAGGTCCAAGGAAAGACAAAATAGACACTGAAGGGGCATTTGGTGAATGTCAGTATCTGTTTCTTTTATAATAAAACTCTTTGAACTAGAAAGAGAAGGATGGGTCTTTAATTTGATAAAGGATAATTATGGGGGGCATTCACTGTTTTGGATCATTCTATATACTTTAAAATTGTTTTATAACTTTTTATTTCAATAGGTTTTTGGGGAACAGGTGATGCTTGGTTGCATGAATAAGTTCTTTAGTGGTGATTTCTGAGATTTTGGTACACTCATCACCCAAGCAGTATACACTGTATCCAATGTGTAGCCTTTTAGCCCTTGCCACCCCCCATCCTTTCCCCCAAACCCCCAAAGTCCAATATATCATTCTTATGCTTTTGTGTCCTCATAGTTTAGTTCCCACATATGAGTGAGAACATACAATGTTTGGTTTTCCATTCCTGAGTTACTTCACTTAGAATGATAGTCTCCAATCCATCCAGATTGCTGTGGATGCCATTATTTCATTCCTTTTATGGCTGAGTAGTATTCCATGGTGTGTGTGTGTGTGTGTGTATATATATATATATATGTATATCACATTTTATCCACTCAATTGATGGCATTTGGGCTGGTTCCATATTTTTGCAATTGCAAATTGTGCTGCTATAAATGTGTGTGCAAGTATTTTTTTGTTTAATGACTTCTTTTCCTCTGGGTAGATACCTAGTAGTAGGATTGCTAGATCAAACAGTAGATCTACTTTTAGTTCTTTAAGGAACATTCACAATGTTTTTCATAATGGTTGTACTAGTTTACATTCCCACCAACAGTGTAAAAGTGTTCCCTTTTCGTTGCATCCACATCAACACCTATTATTATTTTTATTTTTTTCATTATGGCCATTCTTGCAGGAGTGAGGTGGTATTGCATTGTGGTTTGATTTGCATTTCCCTGATAATTAGTGATGTTGAGCATTTTTCCATATGCTTTTTGGACATTTGCATATCTTCTTTTGAGAATGGTTAATGATTTATTCATGTCCTTAGCCCACTTTTTGATGGGATTGTTTGATTTTTACTTGTTTATTTGTTTGAGTCTCTTGTAGATTCTGGATATTAGTCCTTTGCCAGATGTATAGATTGTCAAGACTTTCTCCCACTCTGTGGGTTGTCTGTTAACTCTGCTGATTATTTATTTTGCTGTGCAGAAGGTTTTTAGTTTAATTAAGTCCTATCTATTTATCTTTGTTTTTGTTGCATTTGCTTTTGGGTTTTTGTTCATGAAGTCTTTGCCTAAGCCAATAACTAAAAGGATTTTTTAGATGTTATCTTCTAGAATATTTGTGGTTTCAGGTCTTAGATGTAAGTCTTTGATCTATTTTGAGTTGATTTTTGTATAAGGTGAGAGATGGGGATATGGTTTCATTCTTCTACATGTGGCTAGCCAATTATCCCAGCACCATTTGTTGAATAGGGTGTCCTTTCCCAACTTTATGTTTTTGTTTGCTTTGTCAAACATCAGTTGGCTGTAACTATTTGGCTTTATTTCTCTATTCTGTACCATTGGTCTATGTGCCTATTTTTACACCAATACTATGCTGTTTTGGTGACTGTGGCCTTATGGTATAGTTTGAAGTCAGGTAATGTGATGCCTCCAGATTTGTTCTTTTTGATTAGTCTTGCTTTGGCTATGTGGGCTCTTTTGTGGTTCCATATTAATTGTGTGTGTGTGTGTGTGTGTGTTTTTTCGGATGGAGTCTCACACTGTCACCCAGGCTGGAGTGCAATGGCATATCTTGGCTCACTGTAACCTCCAACTCCCAGGTTCAAGCAATTCTCCTGCCTCAGCCTCCTGAGTAGCTGGGATTACAGGCACCCACCACCATGCCTGGCTATTTTTTTTGTGTTTTTAGTAGAGACGGAGTTTCACCATGTTGACCAGGCTGGTCTCGAACTCCTGAGCTCATGATCCACCCGCCTTGGCCTCCCAAAGTGCTGGGATTACAGGTGTAAGTCACGTGCCTGGCCCCATATTAATTTTAAGATTGTTTTTTCTAGTTCTGTGAAGAATGATTGTGGTATTTTGATGGGAATTGCATTGAATTTGTAGATTGCTTTGGGGAGTATGGTCATTTTTCACAGTATTGATTCTATCCATCCATGAACATGGGATGTGTTTCCATTTGTTTCCATTTGTTGCTGATTTCTTTCAGCAGTGTTTTGTAGTTTTCCTTGTAGAGGTCCTTCACAATCTTTGTTAGGTATATTCCTAAGTATTTCATTTTTTTTATGCAGCTATTGTGAAAGGCGTCAAGTTCCTGGTTCGATTTTCAGCATGGTGACTGTTGGTGTACAGCAGAGATACTGATTTGTTTGCATTAATTTTGTATCCTGAAATTTTGCTGAATTCATGTACCAGTTCTAGGAGCTTTTTGGATAAGTCTTTAGGGTTTTCTAGGTATATGATCATATCATCTGCAAACAGTGACAGTTTGACTTCCTCTTTCCCAATTTCTTTCTCTTGTCTGATTGCTCTGGCTATGACTTCCAGTACTATGTTGAATACAAGTAGTGAAAGTGGTTCATCCTCATCTTGTTCCAGTTCTCAGGAAGAATGCTTCCAACTTTTCCCCATTCAGTATAAGGTTGACTGTGGTTTTATCATAGATGGCTTTTATTACCTTAAGGTGTGTCCTTTCTATGCCAATTTTGCTGAAGGTTTTAATCATAAAGAGATGCTGGATTTTGTCAAATGATTTTACTGTGTCTATTGAGATGATCATGTGATTTTGTTTTAAATTCTGTTTATGTGGTGCATCACATTTATTGACTTACATATGTTAAACCATCCCTGGATCCCTGGTATGAAACCCACTTGATCATGGGACATTATGTTTTTTATATGCTGTTGGATTCAGTTTGCTGATATTTTGTTGAGGATTTTTGCATCTATGTTCACCAGGGATATTGGTCTGTAGGTATCTTTTTTTATTATGCCCTTCCCCAGTTTTTGTATTAGGGTGATACTGGCTTCATAGAATAATTTAGGGAGGATTCCTTCTTTCTCTATCTTTTGGAATAATCTCAATAGGATTGGTACCAATTCTTCTTTGAATGTCTAATAGAATTAGGCTGTGAATATATCTGGTTCTGGACTTTTTTTTCTTGGCATTTTAAAAAATTACTGTTTCAATCTTGCTGCTTATTATTGGTCTGTTCAGAGATTCTACATCTTCCTGGTTTAATCTAGGATGGTTGTATATTTCTAGGAATTTATCCATCTCCTCTAGGTTTTCTAGTTTATGTGCATAAAGGTGTTCATAGTAGCCTTGAATAATCTTTTGTATTTCTGTGGTATCAGTTGTAATATCTATTGTTTCATTTCTACTTGAGCTTATTTGGATCTTCTCTCTTCTTTTCTTGGCTAATCTGGCTAATGGTCTATCAATTTTTAAAAATCTTTTCAAAGAACCAGCTTCTTGTTCCATTTATCTTTTGTATTTTTTTTTTGTCTCAATTTCATTTAGATCTGCTCTGATCTTTGTTACTTCTTTTCTTCTTTTGGGTTTGGGTTGTTCTTGTTTCTCCATTTCTGTGAGGTGTGACTTTAGATTGTGTATTTGTGCTCTTCCAGACTTTTTGATGTAGGCATTTAATGCTATGAACTTTCCTATTAGCAATGCTTTTGCCGTATCCTAGAGGTTTTGATAGGTTGTGTCATTATTATCGTTCAGTTCAAAGAATTTTTAAATTTCCATTTTGATTTCACTTTTGACCCAACAATCATCAAGAACATGTTATTTAATTTCCATATATTTGCATTGTTTTGAGGGCTCCTTTTGGAGTTGATTTCCAATTTTATTCCACTGTAGTCTGAGAGAGTACTTGATGTAATTTCGATTTTCTTAAATTTACTGAGACTTGTTTTGTGGCCTATCATATGGTCTACCTTGAAGAATGTTCCATATGCTGATTAATAAAATGTATATTCTGTAGTTGTTGGGTAGAATGTTCTGTAAATATCTGTTATCTCCATTTGTTGTAGGGTATCCTTTAAGTCCATTGTTTCTTTATTGACTTTCTGTCTTGATTACCTGTTGAGTGCTGTCAGTGGAGTTTCCCCCACTATTATTGTGTTGCTGTCTATCTCATTTCTTAGGTCTAGTAGAAATTGTTTTATAAATTTGGGATCTCCTGTGTTAGATGCATACATATTTAGAATTGTGATATTTTCCTGTTGGACTAGTCTTTTTATCATTATATAGTGTTCCTCTTTGTCTTTTTAAACTGCTGTTGCTTTGTCTGATGTGTGTTTTTTCTGATATAAGAATACTCCTGCTTGCTTTTGGTGTCCATTTGCATGGGATATCTTTTTCCATCCCTTTACCTTAAGTTTATGTGAGTTGTCATGTGTTAGGTGAGTCTCCTGAAGACAGCAAGAACTTGGTTGGTGAATTCTTATTGATTCTGCCATTCTGTATCTTTTAAGGGGAGCATTTAGGCCATTTACATTCAATGTTAGTATCGAGATGTGAGGTACTATTCTATTCATTGTGCTGTTTGTTGTCTAAATACCTTGATTTTTTCATTGTGTAATTGTTATACAGGTGAGATTTATGCTTTAAGGAGATGCTGTTTTGGTGTATTTTTAGGATTTGTTTCAAGATTTAGAGGTCCTTTTAGTAGTTCTTGTAGTGCTGACTTGGTAGTGGCAAATTTTCTCAGCATTTGTTTGTCTGGCAAAGACTGTATCTTTCTTTAATTTATGAAGCTTAGTTTCATTGGATACAACATTCTTGGCTGATAATCATCTTGTTTAAGGAGGCTAAAAATAGAACCCCAATCCCTTCTAGTTTGTAGGGTTTCTGCTGAGAAATCTGCTGTAAATCTGATAGGTTTTCTTTTTGTTTTTTAATTATACTTTAAGTTCTGGTATACATGTGCAGAATGTGCAGGTTTGTTACATAGGTATACATGTGCCATGGGGGTTTCTGCACCCATCAACCCATCATCTACATCAGGTATTTCTCCTAATGCTATACCTCCCCTTGCTTCCCACCCCCCAACAGGCCCTGGTGTGTGATGTTCCCCTCCCTGTCTCCATGTGTTCTCATTGTTCATCTCCCACTTATGAGTGAGAACATGCGGTGTTTGGTTTTCTGTTCCTGTGTTAGTTTCCTGAGACTGATGGTTTCCAGCTTCATCCATGTCCTTGCAAAGGACATGAACTCATTTTTTTTATGGCTGCGTAGTATTCCACGCTGTATATATGCCACATTTTTTTTAACTGGTCTATCATTGATGTGCATTTACGTTGGTTCCAAGTCTTTGCTATTGTGAATAGTGCTGCAGTAAACATATGTGTGCATGTGTCTTCACAGTAGAATGATTTATAATCCTTTGGGTGGGATTGCTGGGTCAAATGGTATTTCTGGTTCTAGATCCTTGAGGAATCACCACACTGTCTTCCACAATGGTTAAACTAATTTACACTCCCACCAACAGTGTAAAAGCATTCTTATTTCTCCACATCCTCTCCAGCATCTGTTGTTTCCTGAATTTTTAATGATTGCCATTCTAACCTGTGTGAGATGGTATCTCATGGTGATTTTGATTTGCATTTCTCTAATGACCAGTGATGATGAACTTTGTTTCATATGTTTGTTGGCCACATAAATGTCTTCTTTTGAGAAGTGTCTGTTCATATCCTTTGCCCACTTTTTGATAGGGTTGTTTGTTTTTTTCTTGTCAATTTGTTTAAGTTCTTTGTAGATTCCGGATATTAGCCCTTTGTCAGATGGATAGATTGTAAAATTTTTCTCCCATTCTGTAGGTTGCCTGTTCACTCTGACGATAGTTTCTTTTGCTGTGCCAAAGCTCTTTAGTTTAATTAGATCCCATTTGTCATTTTTGGCTTTTGTTCCTATTGCTTTTGGTGTTTTAGTCATGAAGTCTTTGCCCATGCCTATATCCTGAATGGTACTGCCTAGGTTTTCTTCTAGGGTTTTTATGGTTTTAGGTCTTATGTTTACATCTTTAATCCACCTTGAGTTATTTTTTGTATAAGGTAAAAGAAGGGGTCCAGTTTCAGTTTTCTGCATATGGCTAGCCAGTTTCCCGCATATGGCTAGCCAGTTTCCCCAACACCATTTATTAAATAGGGAATCCTTTCCTCATTGCTTGTTTTTGTCAGGTTTGTCAAAGGTCAGATGGTTGTAGACATGTGGTGTTATTTCTGAGGCCTCTGGTCTGTTCCATTGGTCTATATATCTGTTTTGTTACCAGTACCATGGTGCTTTGATTACTGTGGTCTTGTAGTATAATTTGAAGTCAGGTAGTGTGATGCCTCCAGCTTTGTTCTTTTTGCTTAGGATTGTCTTGGGTATACGGGCTCTTGTTTGGTTCCATATAAAATTTAAAGTCGTTTTTTTCTAATTCTGCAAGGAAAGTCAATGGTAGCTTGAGAGGAATAGCACTGAATCTATAAATTACTTTGGGTATTATGGCTATTTTCATGATACTGATTCTTTCAATTTCCATTAGCATAGAATGTTTTTTCATTTGTTTGTGTCTTCTTTTATTTTTTTGAGCAGTGGGTTGTAGTTCTCCTTGAAGACGCCCTTCACATCCCTTGTAAGTTGTATTCCTAGGTATTTTACTCTCTTTGTTGCAGTTGCGAATGGGAGTTCACTCATGATTTGGCTCTCTGTTTGTCTACTATTGGTGTATAGGAATGCTTGTGATTTTTGCACATTGATTTTGTATCCTGAGACTTTTTGAAGTTGCCTATCAACTTAAGGAGTTTTTGGGATGAGATGATAGGGTTTTCTGAATATACAATCATGTCATCTGCAAACAGATACAATTTGACTTCCTCTCTTCCTATTTGAATACCCTTTATTGCTTTCTCTTGCCTGATTGCCCTGGCCAGAACTTCCAATACTATGTTAAATAGGAGTGGTTAGAGAGGGCATCCTGGTCTTGTGCCAGTTTTCAAAGGGAATGTTTCCAGCTTTTGCCCATTCAGTATGATATTGGCTATGCGTTTGTTATAAATAGTTCTTATTATTTTGATATATGTTCCATCAATACCTAATTTATTGAGTGCTTTTAGCATGAAGCAGTGTTGAATTTTATCGAAGGCCTTTTCTGCATCTATTGAGACAATCATGTGGTTTTTGTCATTGGTTCTGTTTATGTGACGGATTACATTTATTGATTTGCGTATGTTGAACCAGCCTTGCATCCCAGGGATGAGGCCAACTTGATCGTGGTGGATAAGCTTTTTGATATGCTGCTGGATTCAGTTTGCCAGTATTTTATTGGGGATTTTCACATTGATGTTCGGCAAGGATATTAGCCAGAAATTTTCTTTTTTTGTTGTGTCTGTGCCCAGTTTTAGTGTCAGGATGATGCTGGCCTCATAAAATGAGTAAGAGAGAAGCCCTTCTTATTCTATTATTTGGAATAGTTTCAGAAGGAATGGTACCAGCTCCTGTTTGTACTTCTGGTAGAATTCAGGTGTGAATCCGTCTTGTCCTGGGCCTTTTTTGGTTGGTAGGCTATTAATTACTGCCTCAGTTTCAGAACTCATTATTGGTCTATTCAGGGATTCGACGTCTTCCTGGTTTAGTCTTGGGAGGGTGTATGTGTCCAGGAATTTATGCACTTCTTCTAGATTTTCTAGTTTATTTGCATAGAAGTGTTTATAGTATTCTCTGATGGTAGTTTGTATCTCTGTGGGATCTGTGGTGGTATTCCCTTTATCATTTTTTATTGTGTCTATTTGATTCTTCTCTCTTTTCTTCTTTATTAGTCTGGCTAGAGGTCTATGTATTTTGTTAATCTTTTCAGAAAACCAGCTCCTGGATTCATTAATTTTTTGAAGGATTTTTCGTGTCTTTATCTTCTTCAGTTCTGCTCTGATCTTAATCATTTCTTGTCTACTGCTAGCTTTTGAATTTGTTTGCTCTTGCTTCTCTAGTTCTTTTAATCGTGATGTTAGCGTGTCAATTTTAAATCTTTCCCACTTTTTCCTGTTGGCATTTAGTGCTATAAATTTCCCTCTAAACACTGCTTTAGCTGTGTCCCAGAGATTCTGGTATGTTATGTCTTTGTTCTTATTGGTTTCAAAGAACTTATTTATTTCTGACTTAATTTCGTTATTTACCCAGTAGTCATTCAGGAGCAGGTTGTTCAGTTTCCATGTAGTTGTGAGGCTTTGAGTGAGTTTCTTAATCCTGAGTTCTAATTTGATTGCACTGTGGCCTGAGAGACTGTTCGTTATGATTTCTGTTCTTTTGCATTTGCTGAGGAGTGTTTTACTTCCAAGTATGTGGTCAATTTTAGAATAAGTGCTATGTGGTGTTGAGAAGCATGTATATTCTATTGATTTGGGGTGGAAAGTTCTGTAGACATCTATTATGTCTGCTTGGTCCAGAGCTAAGTTCAAGTTCTGAATATCCTTGTTAATTTTCTGTCTCATTGATCTGTCTAATATTGACAGTGGGGTTTTAAAGTTTCCCATTATAATTGTGTGGGAGCCTTAGTCTCTTTGTAGGTCTCTAAGAACTTGCTTTATGAACCTGGGTGCTACTATATTGGGTGCATATATATTTAGGATAGTTAGGTCTTCTTGTTGCATTGATTCCTTTACCATTATGTAATGCCCTTCTTTGTCCCTTTTGATCTTTGTTCATTTAAAGTCTGTTTTATCAGAGACTAAAATTACAACCCCCGCTTTTCTTTGCTTTCCATTTTCTTGTTGAATATTCCTCCATCCCTTTATTTTGAGCCTATGTGTGTCTTTGCAAGTGAGGTGGGTCTCCTGAATACAGCACACTGATGGGTCTTCACTCTTTATCCAATTTGCCAGTCTGTGTCTTTTAATTGGGGCATTTAGCCCACTTATGTTTAAGGTTAATATTGTTACATGTGAATTTGATCCTGTTATGATGCTAGCTGGTTATTTTGCCCATTAGTTGATGCAGTTTCTTCATAGTGTCAATGGTCTTCACATTTTAGTATTTTTGCAGTGGCTGGTATCAGTTTTTCCTTTCCATATTTAGTGCTTCCTTCAGGAGCTCTTGTAAGGCAGGCCTGGTGGTGACAAAATCCCTCAGCATTTGCTTGTCTGTAAAGGATTTTATTTCCACTTCACTTATGAAGCTTAGTTTGGCTGGATATGAAATTCTGGGGTTGAAAATTCTTTTCTTTAAGAAGTTTGAATATTGGCCCCCACTGTCTTCTGGCTTGTAGGGTTTCTGCAGAGAGATCCACTGTTATTTTGATGAGCTTTTCTTTGTGGGTAACCCGCCCTTTCTCTCTGGCTGCCCTTAATGTATTTTCCTTCATTTCAACCTTGGTGAATGTGATGATTATGTGTCTTGCAGTTGCTCTTCTCAAGGAGTATCTTTGTGGTGTTCTCTGTATTTCCTGAATTTGAATGTTGGCCTGTCTTGCTAGGTTGGGGAAGTTCTCCTGGATAATATTCTGAAGTATGTTTTCCAACATGGTTCCATTCTTGGTTCCATTCAGGTACACCAATCAAACATAGGTTTGGTCTTTTCACATAGTCCCATATTTCTTGGAGGCTTTGTTTGTTCCTTTTCATTCTTTTTTCTCTAATCTTGTCTTCACACTTTATTTCATTAAGTTGATCTTCAATCTCTGATATCCTTTCTTTTGCTTGACAGATTTGGCTGTTGATACTTGTGTATGCTTCACAAAGTTCTCGTGCTGTGTTTTCCAGCTCCATCAGGTCATTTATGTTCTTCTCTAAACTGGTTATTCTAGTTAGCAGTTCCTGAAATGTTTTATCAAGGTTCTTAGTTTCTTTGCATTGGGTTAGAACATGCTCCTTACTTGGAGGAGTTTGTTATACCCACCTTCTGAAGCCTACTTCTGTCAATTTGTCAAACTTGTTCTCTGTCCAGTTTTGTTCCCTTCCTGGCAAGGAATTATGATTTTTTGGAGGAGAAGAGGCATTCTGGTTTTTGGAATTTTCAGCCTTTTTGCACTGGTTTTTCCTCATCTCTGTGGATTTATCTACCTTTGGTCTTTGATGTTGGTGACCTTTGGATGGGGTTTTTGCATGGGTGTCTTTTTTGTTGATGTTGATGCTATTTCATTCTGTTAGTTTTCCTTCTAACAGTCAGGCCCCTCTGCTGCAGGTCTGCTGGAGCTTGCTGGAGGTCCACTACAGACCCTGTTTGCCTGGGTTTCACCAGTGGAGGATGAAGAACAACAAAGATTGCTGCCTATTCCTTCCTCTGGAAGCTTTGTCCCAGAGGGGCCCCTGCCAGGTGACAGCTGGAGCTCTCCTGTATGAGGTATCTGTCAAACCCTGCTGGGAGGTATCTCCCAGTCAGGAGGCATGGGGGCCAGGGCCCCACTTGAGTAGGCAGTCTCTCTCTTAGCAGAGCTTAAGCGTCCTGCTGGGAGATTTGCTGCTCTCTTCAGAGCTGGCAGGCAGGAACATTTAAGTCTGCTGAAGCTGCCCCTACAGCTGTTCCTTCCCCCATGTTTTCTGTCCCAGAGAGATGGGGGTTTTATGTATAAGCCCCTGACTGGGGCTGCTGCCTTTCTTTCAGAGATGCCCTGCCCAGAGAGAAAGAATCTAGGGAAGCAGTCTGGCTTCAGCGGCTTCGCCGCACTGTGGTGGGTTCCACACCCAGTTTGAACTTCCCAGCGTCTTAGTTTACACTATGAGGGGAAAACCGCCTACTCAAGCCTCAGTAATGGCAGACACCCCTCCCGCCACCAAGCTTGAGCATCCCAGGTCCACCTCAGACTGCTGTGCTGGCAGCGGGAATTTCAAGCCAGAGGATCTTAGCTTGTTGGGCTTCACGGGGGTGGTGGATCTGCTGAGCAAGACGACTTGGCTCCCTGGCTTCAGAGCCCCCTTTCCAGGGGAGTGAATGGTTCTGTCTCTTTGGCATTCCAAGTGCCACTGGGGTACGAAAAAAAAACTCCTGCAGCTAGCTTGATGTCTGCCCAAATGACTGCCCAGTTTTGTGCTTGAAACCCAGGGCCCTGGTGGTGTAGGCACCGGAGGGAATCTCCTGGTCTATGGGTTGGGAAGACTGTGAGAAAAGCATAGTATCTGGGCCAGATAGCACCATCCCTCACAGCACAGTCCCTCATGGTTTCCCTTGGCTGGGGAGAGAGTTCCCCAACCCCTTGCGCTTTCCAGGTGAGGTGATGCCCCACCCTGCTTCAGCTTACCCTCCATGGGCTGCACCCACTGCCTAACCAGTCCCAGTGAGTTGAACCAGGTACCTTAGTTGGAAGTGCAGAAATCACATGCCTTCTTCCTTGGTCTCACTGGGAGCTGCAGATGGGAGCGGTTTCTATTTGGCCATCTTGCCCTCTTCCTGATAGGTTTTCTTTTATGGGTAACCTGATGCTTTTGTCTCACAGCTTTAATATTCTTTCCTTCACCTTGACTTTAGATATCCTGATGATTATGTGTTAAATGATGATCTTTTTGTGATGAATTTCCCAGGTGCTCTTTGAATTTCTTGTATTTGGATGTCTAGGTCTCTAGCAAGGCCAGGGAAGTTTTCCTCAATTATTCCCTCAAATATGTTTTCCAAAGTTTTAGATTTCTCCTTTTCCTTGGGAACACCAATTATTCTTAGGTTTTGACACTTAGTCCAAATTTCTTGCAGGCTTCATTTATTTAAAAAAATGTTTTTTCTTTGTCTTTGATGGATTGGGTTAATTTGAAAGCCTTGTCTTTGAGCTCTGAGGTGTTTTCTTCTGCTTTTTTGATTCTATTGCTGAGGCTTTCCAGTGCACTTTGCATTTATCTAAGTGTGTCCTTGATTTCCAGAAGTTGTGAATTGTTTTTTATTTATGCTCTCTATTTCACTGAAGAATTTTCCTTTCATATCCTGTATATGTTTTTGATTTCTTTAAGTTGGACTTCACCTTTCTTCAGTGACTCCAGAATTAGCTTAATAATTGACCTCCTGAATTCTTTTTCTGGCAATTTGGAAATTTTGTCTTGGTTTGGATCCATTGCTGGTGAGCTTATATGATCTTTTGGAGGTTTTAAAGAACCTTGTTTTGTCATATTTCTGGTTCCTTCTCATTTGGGTAGACTATGTCAGAGAGAAGATCTGGAACTCAAGGGCTGCTGTTCAGATTTTTTTTATCTCATGGGGTGCTCTCTTCATGTGATGTTCTCCTCCCCACCCTAGGAATGGGGCTTCCTGAGAGCCAAACTGTAGTGATTAGTTTTGCTCTTCTGGGTCTCACCACCCAGTGGAGCTACCAGGCTCCAGGTTGGTACTGGGGAGTTTCTACAAAGAGTCCTGTGACATGATCCGTCTTCAGATCTTGTGACCCTGGATACCAGCACCTGCTCCAGTGGAGGTAGCAGAGGAGTGATGTGGACTCTGTGAGGGTCTTTGGTTGTATTTTTGTTTACTGTGCTAGTTTTGTATTAGTTGGCCTCCAGCCAGAAGGTGATACTTTCAAGAGCACATCAGCTGCAGTCTTATAGGGAGGATGCAAACTTGCCCTAGGGACACCTGGTTAAGTATCCAGGATTCTCATGTGGCGGGCAGGGTAGGGCCATAGAGCTCCCAAGAGGTTATGACATTTTTCTTCAGCTACCGGGGTGGGTAGAGAAAGACCACCAGGTGGGTCAGGGATAGGCATGTCTGAGCTCAGCCTCTCCTTGGGCGTGGCTTGCTGTGGCTGCTGTGGGTGATGGGGGTGTGGTTCCTAGTCCAGTGGAGTTATATTCCCAGGGGGATTATGGCTGCCTCTGCTGAGTCATACAGGTTGCCAGGGAAGTAGAAGAAAGCTGGCGGTCACCAGCCTCACCTTACTCTCATGCAGCTGGCAGTCCTTAAGGCTGGTCTCACTCCCACTGTGCCCTGCCAACAGCACTGAGTCTATTTCCAGGCAGCCAGTGGCCAGGGCTGAGAACTTGTCCCTGACTATGAGCCTCCCTCTTGGGAAAGCAAGCCGACTCACAGTTTTTTGGCAACTCAGGGAGCCTGCAGCAGTGATCCAGTTTCTTCAAAAGTTCTGTGGATTCTCTCGGCTTTCCTGGTATGTTCCTCTGGTAGTTCTTATTAGCAAAAGTTCACAATATGAGTCTCCACATGCTGCTCTATTTGTCTGAGTGGGAGCTGCAGGCTAGTCCTGCCTCCTATCCACCAACTTCCCAGGATGCCCTCTCTATATCTATTTTTAAATTGACTGAAGCTGAGCAGCATATATATTCAACTTGGCCATCATGATTTGTGCAGGAATGGGCAAGTGACTGTAAGTTGGGCCCAGTGCAGCACAAGGATATTTCTTCTGGCTCCTGGGAAAACAGCTCCCTAGAGGGATGTTCTCCTTCTGTTGTATGTGAACTAGAAAACTCACAGCATTGAGAGGCCTCTGGCAGCCAGTGTGGAACCAGGGAGGAAAGTGGTCTTAGACACAGGCTGAGCAGAGAGCTGGTTGGCTGCGTCAGGCTTTGCTTGGACTTGCTGTGGGACTTATATTTCACATTATAAGCCAGTTTACATTTAGTTTTCTGTTACTGAAAACAACTGGAAGATTGCTAACTGGTAAAAACATTGACCTTAAACTAACTCCACCACATTTAATGGAGAAACAGAGACATTTTCATTAAGGTCAGAAATAAGAAAAAATTGCTGTGGTTCTTTCTACAACTGAGTATTGTTTTATATGTTCCAGTCGTTCCAGCCTTAGCTAGAACTCACCCTTAGCTAGAACATATAAAAGCATAATTTTTGGAAAGGAAGGCTTTGGAAAGGATGATATTATCATTATTTACAAATTATACAATTTTCTGTTTGACAAATAATCAGCTGAAACTATAAGAGAGTTCAGGAATATGGCTAGAAATAAAATATAGGAAAAAATCTATAATTTTTCTATATAACAGTAATAATCAGTTACAAAATATGCTGGAAAATGAGTTCATTCATAATTGAAAGAAATAGTATATAGGATCAGGTTTGAAAATAACAGCATTTGACAGAGGGCAAACATTTCAGAAATACATTTAAATAATCCACAATTTAAGCGGGAGTGCAGGCCCCCTCAGAACCCTAATATCAATCATAACAAAAGTTGCATAATTATTTTTGGAACTCTGTAAGGCAATGAATACCAAATGCTATAACAGCCTAAAATCTCTTCATTTCCTTGCCTTTATCTGTCAAGAAATTTATCCCATGAAAATTACTAAAGATCTCTTCAAAGACTTAGTTCCAAGGATATGCACTGGAGTATTTTTTATAAATCCAGGAAATAATTGAAATGTAGCACAAAATGGATAAGGTTAATAAATTCTGTTCTATTCATACACAAGGGAATAGTTTGCAATTATTGAAAAGATGCTTCTTACAAGGATATTTGTTGGTTTGGAAGGACTTATATAATATGATAAATGAAAATGCAATTTTATCAGTAGTAGGTACAGAGTGACCTCATTTTAAAGCAGATGTGATGTGACAGTGGGCAGATTTGGGAGAAAGACTGGACTAGGTGTCCCAGGGGATGTCACCTGGCATAGAGGCCACGTGTCTGCAACGTGGGTCTTCAGAAGGTAGCAGTTCTGAGAGGAAGCACATAGAGACAGAGCCAGGGAAAAGGAATGCTACACTTATGTGCATAATTCTCCCCTATGGCTCCACATGTCTTTAGTGGAACACACCTTTCTTGTGGAAGGTGCATGGGACTGAGTTTTGCACTATCACTGTGGACAGAGGAGTGCGTTAGTTATTTATTGCTGTGTAACAAATTATCCCCAAAGTTAGTAGGTTTTATCTCACATTATTTATTATCTCACACAGTTTCTGAGGGTTAGGAGTCTGGGATTGATTTAGCTTGATGGTGCTGGTTCAGGATCTCACACGTCAGGCTTGACTGGGGTGGGAGGGTCTGCTTCCAAGGGACTTTCATTCCTTACCACATGGGTCTCTCCATTGGGCTGCTCACAGCATGACGCCCACCACTGCAAGGAATCAGAGAGAGAGAGAGAGAGAGAGAGAGAGAGAGAGAGGGATTGAGTACACAAGACAAAAGCCACAGTCTTTACAAGCTACTTTCAGAAGTGACATACCGTTCTTCTGCCATATGCTACTGTCACAGAGATTTACCCTAACACAATATGGGCGGGCACTGCACAAGGGTGTGAATGCTGGGACACCATTCTTGGCAACTGTGGGAAGAGAAAAGAGAGTGGAGTTAGGGTGGAGAGTGAGCCCTGATGACACAGGGGCAGACGGTGGGGTGATCACAGGTAATATGTTGAATTCATCAAGTGGTAAAATAAGTGTTTGGAGCTGAGTTCATCTCCATCTCCAAGGGGTCTTATAGGCTTAAATTGCCATATGGAGTATACACAGGATTGGACTGAAACCTTTTGCTGTCTATTACGGAAAAATTTGGGGATCAAAAAGAACCTGCTTGAGAATGGTGCCCTTCAACACATATAGCCTGAGCAGAGGGACTGGCAGTTCACATGAAGGATCTTTACACTGGAATGCAGGCCTGGAAGGAAGACGACTGCAGCTTTTGTATAAAAAAGTCTGCAGTTATTATTATTAATTTACAAGTGGAAGGGGCCAAGTTGTGCTATAGGAGGAACATGTATTCCTCGTGTAGCTGTAAATGCACAAGCCCTGCTAGCAAGTTCTCAAACCAGCAAACAATTTTGGTTTTGGCAACTGAGTTGCGCTCATTTCAGCTAGGGAAACACTGAACCAAATTCAAGGACAAGGGTTTCCTCCCACCTTTTCATCCCACCCCAGTGAGCCCACCCACAGAATCAGAGCTACCCCGCTTTCCCGTGAGAGAAGCAGAAGACTCCTTGGACATCCAGCTGAAGTTTGAAGCAGCAGTGTCTGTAGGTACAAGAGGAGAGGGGATGAGACTCTACTGCCCTCTGGAGAGGGGTCCTTGGTAAAAGATGGGGCCCAACAGCAGATGGAGGAGGTCTTGAGGGAGGTCTACAAGAAAAGCAAAAGGAAGGTTGGAGGATAGAGTTAGGAAGTTAGGGTGTGTCCTTGAGGGACTCCTTCCAGAGGCCCCTGTGCGACACAGGATTCCAGGTAGCTAAGTAAAGGTGTGTCTCCTCATCTGCCTACCTGCAAAAAGGAAACATGTAGATTTCCATCAAAATTCTATGCCTGGTTTGTGGCAGACAGAAGAGGTTGTGCCAGGGAGAAGACAGCCTGAATGCTGATAATCTGATAAGCAGTAACCATCCTCCGTGGGTGCCTGGGTGAAGGCCAACCAACCATGGACAACTCACAGTCCAAGATGCACAGAGCTGCTTCCTCTGACCTGTGCTTGAATCCTCCACACCCACCACCTCCTGCAAAGCACAAAGGGATAGTAAAGAATCCTAAGGCTCTGTTCCCATACATACACATACACCAGGTGCACACACATACACACTCATGTGCACACATATATGCAGAGACATATATGCAGAGACAACATAGGAGTCATTTAATTTTATATAGCTCACGTAAAATCCAGCCCCTTCAATGGCTCAGTCTCAGTACTGTGTCACATTCAAAGAAACACAGTCTAGCCAACAAAGGTGACTAAATAGCACATGCTGTTATACTCTTTGCAAATATCTCCCAAAGAACATTAAAGGGGAACTAATTCTTAGCCCAGAGCAATTTTTAAAAATCTCCTCTGCTCCCCTTTTACTGTTTCATGCCCTGCAATTGCTTTCCAAACTCCTGATTCTCTGTCATGCCAGTCTTCTGCTCTTGTCTTTTCTTTCTCTCTTTCTTTCCTCCCAACCCTTAAGGAATGTTTCTCTATAATTCATCTTCCAAATCTCCAGGGATCAAGGAAGGGAGAGGTCACACCTGCTTGTGGACAATGAGGAAATTGTCCCTGGAAAGGCTGGCATTGGAGATGCCCCCTGATGAATCAGCGATAGAGAAAAGAGGGAGGATACAAGGAGAGAGAAGAGATGGGGAGCTGCAAGTTACCTCAGAACCCCAGACTCATGGGCTCCTGAGCTGGAAGGGCCATTAGGGCCAGGCATGGCCATGGTGCAGTTGAACAGAGCTGCAAAGATGCATGATGCGGTCAACACCCTCTAGTAGCTCATGTAATGGGACATTGACGGCAGTGGGGTGAGGACAGTCTAGAGGTTTGCACTGGGAGATTTCGGGAGACACAAAAAGGGCCAGTGGGAGTTAACGAAGGCTTCCTGGGAGAGGGTGAGGCCAGAGGTGAGCTGGATGTATGACATTACTGAGGGAACCAGGGGCTGACAGTCTCTTCCAGGCAGAGGGAAAGGTCTGAGGAAAGGTAGGAAAAAGGGAGTGATCAAGGAAAGTATTATTTGAGCATAAAATATAAAGAAAGGAGTGATGGGAGATAGGCCAGAGAAACAAGCTTGCATGGAAAGTCTTGTTGGTCATGCTAGGGAGTTCAGAATGTGGCCTGTGGGGGAATCTCAGGGGAGTTTTAGCAGAAAGGGGTACGGGTAGACTTGCCCTATCCACACAGTTACCCAGGGACACGTGGGAATGCACTGGGCAAGGGGGAGAAGGAGAGAAGTATAGGACAGAAACTAGAGGAAATTTGGGAGGCAAAGAGTTAGGGTTTGGACATAGCAGGTGAGAGGGCAGGAAGGGCCAAGGGTGATTCTCAGGTTTGTAGCCGGGAGACGAGCAGACAGTGGGGTCTGCAGTGCAGGTGGGAAAGCAGGATTAGGCTGAGGGTTGTGGGAAATGTGGTTTTGGCTTTCGGCACATTGACTGAGGGGCTGGACAGCATCCACGTCCTAGTCCACAGGGCAGGAGTGTGTAGAATGGGGAGGGGGTGGGGACAGGACCCTGGGACACCCACAGTCTTGTGGTAAATGGTGGGAGACGCGCCCACGGTGGGGCCTAGGCGAGGGGCAGCGGGTGGAGGCCTGGGCCAGGGAAGGAGAGGGAACAAGGGGCTGGAGAAGTGTGTGGAGGAGCTTCAGTGCCAAACCACAGGGGAGCGACGGGGTCAGAGCCTGGACTGTCGGTCTGGCCATGGTGGGAGGATGGCTGGAAGGAAATGGTGTGGGGGTGGCTGTTGTGGTCTGAACACAGGGACTAGAGAAGGGCCCCAAGTGGACAACGCTTCAGCTAGGGGCCCACAATTCTAGAACCACAGTGTCTGGGTTCAGTTCCTAGCTCTGCCGCTTGATAGCTGTGTGACCTTGGGCAAATCACTTAACTTTTCTGTGCCTCAGTTTCCTCATCTGTGAAAGGAGTATGTACCTCAAGGGTTGTAATGAGGAAAAAACAAATTGGTAAATGTCAGTTATGACTTGATACAAGGTAAGTACTCTGTCAAAAGTGCTATTATTATGTTACATATGATATTTTATTGTAGAGTATATGTATAGTATCTAAATATATGTTACATATATAGTACATATACTCTAGTGTGTATACTTATTAGTCAGTTTGGGCTGCTATAACAAAATATGATAGACTGGGAGGCTTAAACAACAGACATTTATTTCTCACAGTTCTGGAGGCTGGGCCGTCCAAGATCAAGGTGTGGGCAGATCAGGTGTCTGGTGAGGGCTTGATACCTAGTTTGCTCTCAGCTACCTTCTCCTTGTATCCTTGCTTGGCAGAGAGAGAGAGAGAGATCTTTCTTTTGTCTCTTCCTCTTATCCCATCATGAGGGCTCCACCTTCATGACATAATTACCTCCAAATGTCCGACCTCCTAATACAATCACATTGGGGGTTAGGATTCCAATATTATGAATTTTGGAGGAGACATAAACATTCAGTCTATAACAACATACAATAAGTGCTATCTATTTCTATTATATATGTTACATATGCTATTATTATAGTAAATACTACTAATATATATTAGTATATTAGCAGATGTTTGTAATATTTATAATGTATTTAAATAATATGTGACACATGATTTAAAATAATATATGATATATAATACAGTATATATTATGTATATTTAGTAATATTCATTATTATTATTATTTTTTTTTAATGTTTTTTTTTTTATTATACTCTAAGTTTTAGGGTACATGTGCACATTGTGCAGGTTAGTTACATATGTATACATGTGCCATGCTGGTGCGCTGCACCCACTAACGTGTCATCTAGCATTAGGTATATCTCCCAATGCTATCCCTCCCCCCTCCCCCGACCCCACCACAGTCCCCAGAGTGTGATATTCCCCTTCCTGTGTCCATGTGATCTCATTGTTCAATTCCCACCTATGAGTGAGAATATGCAGTGTTTGGTTTTTTGTTCTTGCGATAGTTTACTGAGAATGATGGTTTCCAATTTCATCCATGTCCCTACAAAGGACATGAACTCATCATTTTTTATGGCTGCATAGTATTCCATGGTGTATATGTGCCACATTTTCTTAATCCAGTCTATCATTGTTGGACATTTGGGTTGGTTCCAAGTCTTTGCTATTGTGAATAGTGCCGCAATAAACATGCGTGTGCATGTGTCTTTATAGCAGCATGATTTATAGTCCTTTGGGTATATACCCAGTAATGGGATGGCTGGGTCAAATGGTATTTCTAGTTCTAGATCCCTGAGGAATCGCCACACTGACTTCCACAATGGTTGAACTAGTTTCCAGTCCCACCAACAGTGTAAAAGTGTTCCTATTTCTCCACATCCTCTCCAGCACCTGTTGTTTCCTGACTTTTTAATGATTGCCATTCTAACTGGTGTGAGATGATATCTCATAGTGGTTTTGATTTGCATTTCTCTGATGGCCAGTGATGATGAGCATTTCTTCATGTGTTTTTTGGCTGCATAAATGTCTTCTTTTGAGAAGTGTCTGTTCATGTCCTTCGCCCACTTTTTGATGGGGTTGTTTGTTTTTTTCTTGTAAATTTGTTTGAGTTCATTGTAGATTCTGGATATTAGCCCTTTGTCAGATGAGTAGGTTGCGAAAATTTTCTCCCATGTTGTAGGTTGCCTGTTCACTCTGATGGTAGTTTCTTTTGCTGTGCAGAAGCTCTTTAGTTTAATTAGATCCCATTTGTCAATTTTGGCTTTTGTTGCCATTGCTTTTGGTGTTTTGGACATGAAGTCCTTGCCCATGCCTATGTCCTGAATGGTAATGCCTAGGTTTTCTTCTAGGGTTTTTATGGTTTTAGGTCTAACGTTTAAATCTTTAATCCATCTTGAATTGATTTTTGTATAAGGTGTAAGGAAGGGATCCAGTTTCAGCTTTCTACATATGGCTAGCCAGTTTTCCCAGCACCATTTATTAAATAGGGAATCCTTTCCCCATTGCTTGTTTTTCTCAGGTTTGTCAAAGATCAGATAGTTGTAGATATGCGGCATTATTTCTGAGGGCTCTGTTCTGTTCCATTGATCTATATCTCTGTTTTGGTACCAGTGCCATGCTGTTTTGGTTACTGTAGCCTTGTAGTATAGTTTGAAGTCAGGTAGTGTGATGCCTCCAGCTTTGTTCTTTTGGCTTAGGATTGACTTGGCGATGCGGGCTCTTTTTTGGTTCCATATGAACTTTAAAGTAGTTTTTTCCAATTCTGTGAAGAAAGTCATTGGTAGCTTGATGGGGATGGCATTGAATCTGTAAATTACCTTGGGCAGTATGGCCATTTTCACGATATTGATTCTTCCTACCCATGAGCATGGAATGTTCTTCCATTTGTTTGTATCCTCTTTTATTTCCTTGAGCAGTGGTTTGTAGTTCTCCTTGAAGAGGTCCTTCACATCCCTTGTAAGTTGGATTCCTAGGTATTTTATTCTCTTTGAAGCAATTGTGAATGGGAGTTCACTCATGATTTGGCTCTCTGTTTGTCTGTTGTTGGTGTATAAGAATGCTTGTGATTTTTGTACATTGATTTTGTATCCTGAGACTTTGCTGAAGTTGCTTATCAGCTTAAGGAGATTTTGGGCTGAGACGATGGGGTTTTCTAGATAAACAGTCATGTCATCTGCAAACAGGGACAATTTGACTTCCTCTTTTCCTAATTGAATACCCTTTATTTCCTTCTCCTGCCTGATTGCCCTGGCCAGAACTTCCAACACTATGTTGAATAGGAGTGGTGAGAGAGGGCATCCCTGTCTTGTGCCAGTTTTCAAAGGGAATGCTTCCAGTTTTTGCCCATTCAGTATGATATTGGCTGTGGGTTTGTCATAGATAGCTCTTATTATTTTGAAATACGTCCCATCAATACCTAATTTATTGAGAGTTTTTAGCATGAAGGGTTGTTGAATTTTGTCAAAGGCTTTTTCTGCATCTATTGAGATAATCATGTGGTTTTTGTCTTTGGCTCTGTTTATATGCTGGATTACATTTATTGATTTGCATATATTGAACCAGCCTTGCATCCCAGGGATGAAGCCCACTTGATCATGGTGGATAAGCTTTTTGATGTGCTGCTGGATTCGGTTTGCCAGTATTTTATTGAGGATTTTTGCATCAATGTTCATCAAGGATATTGGTCTAAAATTCTCTTTTTTGGTTGTGTCTCTGCCCGGCTTTGGTATCAGAATGATGCTGGCCTCATAAAATGAGTTAGGGAGGATTCCCTCTTTTTCTATTGATTGGAATAGTTTCAGAAGGAATGGTACCAGTTCCTCCTTGTACCTCTGGTAGATTTCGGCTGTGAATCCATCTGGTCCTGGACTCTTTTTGGTTGGTAAACTATTGATTATTGCCACAATTTCAGAGCCTGTTATTGGTCTATTCAGAGATTCAACTTCTTCCTGGTTTAGTCTTGGGAGAGTGTATGTGTCGAGGAATGTATCCATTTCTTCTAGATTTTCTAGTTTATTTGCGTAGAGGTGTTTGTAGTATTCTCTGATGGTAGTTTGTATTTCTGTGGGATCGGTGGTGATATCCCCTTTATCATTTTTTATTGTGTCTATTTGATTCTTCTCTCTTTTTTTCTTTATTAGTCTTGCTAGCGGTCTATCAATTTTGTTGATCCTTTCAAAAAACCAGCTCCTGGATTCATTGATTTTTTGAAGGGTTTTTTGTGTCTCTATTTCCTTCAGTTCTGCTCTGATTTTAGTTATTTCTTGCCTTCTGCTAGCTTTTGAATGTGTTTGCTCTTGCTTTTCTAGTTCTTTTAATTGTGATGTTAGGGTGTCAATTTTGGATCTTTCCTGCTTTCTCTTGTAGGCATTTAGTGCTATAAATTTCCCTCTACACACTGCTTTGAATGCGTCCCAGAGATTCTGGTATGTGGTGTCTTTGTTCTCGTTGGTTTCAAAGAACATCTTTATTTCTGCCTTCATTTCATTATGTACCCAGTAGTCATTCAGGAGCAGGTTGTTCAGTTTCCATGTAGTTGAGCAGCTCTGAGTGAGATTCTTAATCCTGAGTTCTAGTTTGATTGCACTGTGGTCTGAGAGATAGTTTGTTATAATTTCTGTTCTTTTACATTTGCTGAGGAGAGCTTTACTTCCAACTATGTGGTCAATTTTGGAATAGGTGTGGTGTGGTGCTGAAAAAAAATGTATATTCTGTTGATTTGGGGTGGAGAGTTCTGTAGATGTCTATTAGGTCTGCTTGGTGCAGAGCTGAGTTCAATTCCTGGGTATCCTTGTTGACTTTCTGTCTCGTTGATCTGTCTAATGTTGACAGTGGGGTGTTAAAGTCTCCCATTATTAATGTGTGGGAGTCTAAGTCTCTTTGTAGGTCACTCAGGACTTGCTTTATGAATCTGGGTGCTCCTGTATTGGGTGCATAAATATTTAGTATAGTTAGCTCCTCTTGTTGAATTGATCCCTTTACCATTATGTAATGGCCTTCTTTGTCTCTTTTGATCTTTGTTGGTTTAAAGTCTGTTTTATCAGAGACTAGGATTGCAACCCCTGCCTTTTTTTGTTTTCCATTTGCTTGGTAGATCTTCCTCCATCCTTTTATTTTGAGCCTATGTGTGTCTCTGCACGTGAGATGGGTTTCCTGAATACAGCACACTGATGGGTCTTGACTCTTTATCCAACTTGCCAGTCTGTGTCTTTTAATTGCAGAATTTAGTCCATTTATATTTAAAGTTAATATTGTTATGTGTGAATTTGATCCTGTCATTATGATGTTAGCTGGTGATTTTGCTCATTAGTTGATGCAGTTTCTTCCTAGTCTCGATGGTCTTTACATTTTGGCATGATTTTGCAGTGGCTGGTACCGGTTGTTCCTTTCCATGTTTAGCGCTTCCTTCAGGAGCTCTTTTAGGGCAGGCCTGGTGGTGACAAAATCTCTCAGCATTTGCTTGTCTATAAAGTATTTTATTTCTCCTTCACTTATGAAGCTTAGTTTGGCTGGATATGAAATTCTGGGTTGAAAATTCTTTTCTTTAAGAATGTTGAATATTGGCCCCCACTCTCTTCTGGCTTGTAGGGTTTATGCCGAGAGATCCGCTGTTAGTCTGATGGGCTTTCCTTTCAGGGTAACCCGACCTTTCTCTCTGAATATGTGACACATGATTTAAAATAATATATGATATATAATACAGTATATATTATGTATATTTAGTAATATTCATTATTATATATAAAATACTATGTGATTGCATGTACTGCTAGTGTAGATTCTGTATATATGATTACTGTAAAAGCAATTATTATCATTGTCTTTGTTATTAGAATCCATTTGATGCCACTGTTACTGAGGTCAATAGAGAGATAGTGAGAATAACATAGAAATTGTGAATCCTGTTGATACTAGGATTAGAAATAGATCTGATTGCATGTGTGTTTGTGTGTCTATGTGCTCACGCACATGTGCACGTCGGTAGGTAATGAATCTGGCTTTGAGCACAAAATCACAGAAAGAACTGATAGGAATACTGCAGACGATGTGGTCCCATTGCTCATTTTGTTGATGAGGAAAGTGATGTCAGTGCTTCATCAAGCAACCTAAGGTCCCACTATTGCTGGCAGGTCTCTTGTCTCCTCCCTTCTTGAATTTGGGTGGAATCCAGTGAAGATGGTTAGCAAAGAGATGAGGGAGTGGTCCTGGGAGGAGGCTCCTCTACTGGAAGATTCGGCTATTCTTCCTTAACTTGAGCCTAGTGCCACGCTTCTCTCCTGCCCTTCCCTGCTTCTCTATACTTTCACTTCCCACCTTGACATTTAAAACCTCTGTTTTCTGAGTAACACTGATGCTAATGTTTGTCTTTTTGGGGCCTCCTTCTGATGCTAGGCTCAGAGGACATTCAAAATAATAACAGATCAGTGCTTCCGAAACCCAATTTAATACAAGAAGGGGTGGGTGCCTGTTTTGTCTTGAAGTCCAGAGCCAGGTGAGTCACTGTGCTCCCCATGGTCAATTTCCTGAGAGATTATCATCTTGAGGAGGACATATCAAGTACCTTCCAAGGAGGCATCCAAGATTCAGGGCTGTTTTTCCAGCCCATGGAGTCCCAGGAATTGTTTCTTCTCTATTGATTGATTCTTCTCTATTGAAGACCCTTATTGAGGACGAAAATTTTTTCTCTGTGGATTTTCCACGTAATCTTGGCTTGAGAGAAAATATAGTAATTTTAGGCAGTTTGTGATTCTAGAGGTGTTAAGAAAGACATTTCCAAATACATTTAGGGATGTTGCTGGATAAATCTAACCCCTGCCTTCCCCCCTGACTCCACCGCAGGATCACGGGGAGGCAAGGCTGTGATTGCAGCTGGGTGTCTTTGCAGCATCTCAGCCTCGTCTCCCACACCCAGTTCTTCTCCAGCATCCGGGGCTTCCATGCTGTCGACTGGTGTGACCTGAGGACCAGTGTGACCACTCCCCCTCTCCTCCCTGAGCAAGCCCCTGCCATGCTCTGTCCATCCTCTGCCCCTGACTGGCATCGACCCCTGGTACCTCAGCCTCAGTGCCAGGACTTTGAGCCAGGAGCAGCAAATTGGGGAGCCAATGTGAGGATGGGGAGAATGAGGCCTGCCATGGTCTGGGTCTAGGCTGCTTTTGTCCAGCGACTCCCCAGGGTGACCACCCCTGAAGTGGACATCATTTCTGATCTAAGTGGAAGAGTAAGACATAAAGGACAACTGAAGTGAGGGTGCAGGAGGCTGCCCCACTCAGACCGTGGTGTTTGTATCAGAAGCTCTTCTCTGTAAGGGGAAGGTGGGAGCACCAGGATCTTGACTGTATTTTCCAGCTGAGTCTTCCTGATTTGGACACGTTTTAAAACTTTCGAATTTTTAGAGTATTGGTTTAGAGTGATGGAGCCAACTTCATGGGGTCAAACATATGTAATTTACATAAAAGTACTAAACAGTTCATTTAAATTACAGTTACACACAACTCGATGGAACACTGAGTTTTAAAAAGTCCTAGAAAATGATATACCCTATGAAACACTTTTAATACAATTAAAAGCAACTAAAATGAAACAACATATTTTTAGAAAAACATGTGTTAAGACTATATGCAAAATAAAAAAGAAAATGTTAACCCAGGTGTGGTGGTATGGCCTATAGTCCCAGCTACTTGGGAGGCTGAGACAGGAGAATTACTGGAGCCCGGGAGTTTGAGGCTAGCCTGGGCAACACAGCAAGGGCCTGCCTTAAAAGAAAAAAAGAAGGAGAAAGAAAAGAGAGGAAAAAAAGAAAATGTTAAACCTTTGGTTAAGTTAATTTTGGAGAGGTGGGGGACAGTGTGGAAGAGAAGTGTATGTGTAGGTATAAATTATTCCTAGTATTTTGGGTTTTGTGTTCATAATATATTCATTGATGTTTATTACATTAGATTATTAAAATAATATAAATTAGACTAATATAAATTAAATTGTTCAGGCCAATTACAAAAGTGAATTAGTGATCTAGTTAGCATTTATTCATATGCCAGGTAGTGTTCTAAGCACTTTACATATACCATCGACTCACTGAATCCTCAAAACAGTCCTATAAGGTGGGATTATTATTATTTCTATTTCCATGGGGAAACGGAGGCACAGAGAGATCAAGCAACTAGCCCAATACCACACAGCTGAGCGGGAATTCTAACCCAGGCTGTGTGTCTCCAGAGTTCTGCTCTCTTAACCACAAATGTTGTGAATGATGTATTTTGTGAACCCAGGGTTCCTAAAAAAAGAGGAACAAGTTACCTGAAGGAACTGGTTTCTATAGAAAGCAGGTAGAGTGTGCAGGAAAGGAGGATGTGTGGCCTTAGTCTGGGAGGAAAGTTGGTGGTTTTGTTTAGACTAATGTGTCGGTTGGTTACCATCTCTACCCTCCCAGGCAAAATACTTGCACTTTAGCAATGCCTTACTGGGTTAATTCTAATAGTGGGGATTTTGGGTGACATGGCAGACTGTTGGGAGACCATCCATTGACTGCGTGAGTCTTTGAGCTCTTTTCGTATCATACTGGTGATCTGGCTGCTGGCTAGATGGAGTTAGTGCCCCTTTTTGTTTTGCCTCAAGATTTATCACCTATTAAGCAAATATTGACTTCTTAAATTAAATTGTAATGCCTCTTGCAACAGAAGTCAATAGTTGTTTGATGACATCTGGTGACTAAGTGCAGCGAGGTGGCTAGTCTATCCATCAACAAGACCTAGCATGGAGGCCTCCTTTTCCTGTAAGGCAGAGGTTCTCAGAGAGTAGTTTCCAGAACAATAGGACTAACATCCTTTGGGAAATGTTTAGAAATGCAAATTCCTGGGCCTTGCCTCCTACTGAACCCAAAGAGATGGGGGTGGTGTCCAACCCCACCAGTGGTGTGCTGGCAAATATTTAACAAGTGCCTCTTTGAAAAAGTGCAGATATTTATGTACGTAAATTTTGCTGATACATTGAATGTGTAGCACACAATTTACAAATAATAAAATATTCAATATTCTTTACTATAAATGTTATGTAGCTAATTGGCTTTTGCAGAATGCTTTCATTCATTGTTTTTTTGTCAAACTCTTGTATCAGAGACAACCTAGGGTTGCAATTGATGAATGAGTGTAGTTCCAACATGAATGTTGATATTTTTGTTTATATTAAGGAGTAAGATGAAAGTGAAACAAAATGAAGACATATGTCACAATGTCACTTGTTTGTCAGTGATGTGAACAATTTGTTTGCTGAATCGAATGTTGGAAGACTATTTTCTCAACTTTTTTTCTATTCACAATATAATAGCTACAGGTTAACATATTTTGAAGCTTAATCTGTATTTTTACAATTTTCTCCATCACTTTCTTAAGTCTAGACAATCAACAAAATAATAAATCAAGCCCATTTGCTCATTTCTGTGGTGTAAATATTTCTGTCCTGGCCAGTGTCAAGCCACAACATGATACTACTCAACAAGGAGTTAGAAAGAGATGTGTGGCCCCACATCATAATGTACTATGTCCATTGTTCAGACACAGTAGATGTAAATATCCTCCACAGATAATGGAAATATGTAGTACAATAATTAGGAAGTTGCTTCTAATGCAATTTGTTTTTCACGTAATTTCTTTATCTACACATTTTTATCATTTATTTTTTAATGACAGCTTGTGTTTCACAACAGGCTTGCAGAGTTCCTGAAAATTTAACAATGGCCCTCATGAGCTGGTATGAATTGGGCCCATCAATCTGTGTTTTAACAAGCCTTCCACATGATTCTGATGATGCGAAATTTTGTGAACCACTGCTTCAGCAGATGGTGAGAACAAGGAATGCATGTAGCTATACTTAACCTGGTACTACATGCTCTATGTCTGGCCAACCAAATGCTATACTCAAATGTTTAAGCAAGTTCACATTGGGGACAGTGGGGAAAGAAGGAAGTATATCTAAAGGAGAACAGAGGAATGAGAAAAGGTTTTAATTTTAGATCTTTGATTTTTTTTTCTTCTGGATTTGGCCTGCTTTGGTAAACTGTTTATAGATATTCAAATAAATTAGGACTAAATTATGGCTCAGTTTATTCTCTTGAAACAAAATGGCAGCCAATGCAACTGCTCAAATGACATATCTTCTGAAGTCTAAAAAACTTCAGTTAGTTCATTCAATAAATACTTACTAACTACCTATGATGTGCCAAGCACTACACCGGGTGTTGGTTGTGCAGCATCAAATAAGGTAGATAAGGACACTGATCTCAAGGTTTTAGGAGGAAGAAATAGAAAAACCCAAGTAAGTGCCTTAGGTAAGCAAGATAATTCTTTGAGAAGGAAATTATATGGGTGGAGGGTGTTGGGTGGGAAGAGATTTCTTTCTGGCTGGGGGATTAGAGAGGGCCTCGTTGAGGAGGTGTCAATAAGGTGGGTGGTGAATCCAGCCATGTAACTACCTGGGCAAAGAGTGTCCAGGCAGAGGGGACAACAATTGCAAAGATATTGAGTTGGGAATAGATTTGATGTGTCGAAGGCCTGCCTGGTAAGAGGGCTGATGTGGCTGGAGTAATGTGAATGAGGCCAGAGTGAGAGAAGATGTGTTGAAAGGCAGGCAGGCAGGGGCCAGATCAAGTTTTAGGCTAAGCAAACATTTTGGATTTCATTCTGAGTGATGGGAATCCTTTGGAGGCTTAAAGCAGGGAGTGACTGGTCTAATTTCTGCTTTAAAAAGATCACTCACTGCTGTATAGAGAATAGGCTATAACAAGCAAGACTGGAAGCAGGAAAATGCACTGGGAAAATGTTCAAAGAGTCCCAGGGACCAGATAACGGCTTGGAATGGAAGTGGCCAGATTTGGGAGGTACTGTGGAGGAATAGCAGATTGTCCTGGTTGAGAGAGTGTGGCAAATTCTAAGTACAAAATAGACCATTAACCCTACCATCTTTAAGCAAAGTAGACTAGAATCCTTGATATTTATGTCTGCTCATGTCTTACCACACTGGTTGATCTACCTGTTTCAGAATTATGTATATAGGAAGTACAAGATAAGTGGTGACCCCTTAATTGGATGGGTGGCTGAGGAGGTAACACTCCAGACAGTCTAAGAAGATGAAGTATAATCCTC
Organism: Homo sapiens; assembly: GCF_000001405.40. NCBI lineage: Eukaryota > Metazoa > Chordata > Mammalia > Primates > Hominidae > Homo > Homo sapiens. Next base: position 18,959,871 of record NC_000020.11, read on the forward strand.
TGACTGCAGCCCCATGAGCTTAGGTAGATAAGGGCCAAGCATGAGTAAGAATAGAGATTACCCCACTACCTCCTCATTCCTGTGTGTAGATGTGAGTAGCAATTACTTGTGTGTGTCTGTGGGACTCTCAGCCTGCTTGAATTGGGTGATGAAACCTGTGGCATGGGTCAGGAAACATTCACGTTTCCCATGCCATCTCCCCAGGCTTGGTGTGTGCATTTGCCAGGAGTGGGCTTGGAGAATAACCTTCCAAGGACTCTGGCCTGCAGGTGGCTTAGCCTGTGGATAACTGATAATGTCTTCCGATGCATACAGTACAGGAGCTGCCACAGGAAGACTCACAGCGATTTCCAGCCCGATGCTGAGGTTGTTACTGTGGTCCATATTTTGTGAATTATTCAACATATGATTTTTATTCAGTGACTTAAAAGAAAATATGAACACACTAACGTCTCATTTATCCAGTATTCTTTGAGAACACAACATTCCATGTAAATGCATTTTTCACGTATACCTTTAAATGTCAAGGCAAATTTTATGTCATGAAACATTTTGAGCACTTGGGAGAGAAGGCTTTCTATAGCAAGCAATACCCTGAAGCAGAGGATCTGTATGGTTTAAACTTTCCTTGAAGCCTCCTGTTCATCATTATGATTGTCAATTACCACTTTATGCTATAATGCAGTGACACAGGGACTCTGAGCTCTGTGAATCAGACTATTGTGCAAATTCCTCATTCCCTCATTTTCTCTTTGGAGAACTAGGCCCCCATTAGACTGTTTTACAACATTAACACTTAGTAATGGCACCCAGGGGCAAAGTACAAGCAAGCCGGGGTCACCTACCACAGCACTGTTTCTTGTTAGAAAATTGGTGCTTTTAAGAAGATGGTTCTTCCACGAGAGAGGTTTTGCCTAGTTGTTGTCCAGTTAGTTATCTGGCCTGCATTTACGGGAAGCAGAAGTCTCAGCGTCTCCAGAAGCTGTATCTCTCTTTTTCTGCTCATCTGAGTCATGTGCACTGAATGTGACTCCCCCACACATCTGTATTACTTATCAATACAAAAACTTAGTATTGCTCCTCACTCATAAAAAGCATCCTTAACATCTGGGAGGCCAAAAGAATGAAACGGAGTTAGAATGAGAAGGGCGAGATGCCTTCTGGGTTATCCAAGCAGAAGCCAAAGGAGGAAATTTGACTGCAGCAGACCAGGGTCCCCCCAGTATGTAAAATAGTGTCAGTGAGACCTGGGTCACCAGTCCTCACCATGGGGGCCATGCTGCAAGTGATAGTGAATAGGTGGATGCTGAAGGGGAGCTCTGGGGCAAACAGGCACAGCTGTACTGTGTTGAATGTTCTCCTAGAGCCCGTTTGTGTGTTAAGATGGACCTGGCTCTTGGAAAGGTTATGTCACAGAATCTTCTAGAGGTCTCGCTACCTCGCTGTGATGTATAATGGCTCCCTTGCTCCAGAATTTGTGACAAGAAGCGTTTGATGCAGTCATTTACATTAAAAAATAAATGGTGTCTTTCTTCCAGTCCCTGGATCCTGGCAATCAGAGGGCTGTTTCTAGTGTGCTGTGATGGACGTGCTTATCTTCCGCTGCAGTTCATCCTGCAACAGTAAAACTGCAGGCAGCACACAGACAAGTTTCTGCCGACAGGCCAGATACCAGAAGTGTAGGTGGGAAGGTTCAGGGCTGCCTTTTGAACCAAAACAGAAGAGAGATGAACCAAGAAAGTGTCTGCAGTTTGCCTGCTGTTTTCTCCTTCCTTTGGGGAAATACATAATTATTTTGTATCTACTTATACACATATGCAGGTAATTTTTCTTTTTTAAAGAGAAAGGTCAAAGATTGTCTGTGTCACATCACACTGAAACTGCTTCGGCCCCTTCCTCTGTATTTCTGTGGTAATTGGTTCTGTGAGCTACAAATACAACAGACGTGGACTGAATAGGATGAGACCACCTGTGCCAGGTCCAGGCATGCTTTTCCCAAATATGGAAAAAAACAGGGCTGTCTTGGGCTGGTGGCTTTGACTTGAAGAGAAATCCATGGTCTAAAGACTCTCTTTTGTTCCTTGTTTTTCACTTAGACCCAAGGGACAAGGACTCCACCTGTCCGGCAGCAGAGGCTGTTGCCTAAGCCTGTGTCATGTAAACTGTCCATGAACCTTTACTGCCATTACTGACATAGTCTTTGGTGCATCTCGTTGTAAGTAAGACCCTGTTATTGGGCTGGGCTTGAGATGCGTAACATCCATGGCACTATCCTTCAAGGGGCTTACAGTTTGGTTAGATAAACAAGAGTGATGCCTGAAAACAACAACAACAAAAACAAAGACAAAACCAAAACCAGACAACAACAACAACAACAAAGACAAAACCAAAACCAGACAACAACAACAACAACAAAGACAAAACCAAAACCAGACAACAACAACAACAACAAAGACAAAACCAAAACCAGACAGCATAACCACCTACCCCCCAACCAACCAACCAAAATAAAAAACCAAGAAAACAGAAACAACAACAACTACAACAAAAAACCAGCCACCATCCCCCCATTCCTTCCCTCCTCCCTCCTGCAATGTAAGCAGCTAACTTTGTTGCTGATTTCTCTTACCCGGAAGGTTTTTGGGGGCAGAGGGGTAACGACTTGTGGATTTCTTGAGCTGGAGATTATTAGAGCTTCATGCCCTGTTAACGTGTCCAAAAGAGCTCTCTGTTGTCTAGGTTCAGGGACACAGTCTGCAAATCACAGCTATCCAGGAAACACTTTACAAAGAGTTTTCTGAACACTGCATTTCATTTGTGGAGAGGAAAAATGCCTGCATTTAACTTCTGCCTCCCAATCTGCAGTTGACAGAAATGAGGAAACTGCTCAATTTCAGGTGTTTACCTCAAAATACCCCATCTTAGCCAAGTGCATGGCCGCTCCCTTCTGCGAATGCAAGCCTCCACTGTCATGCCTTGTGTTTTTTCCTCTCTCCTGGTGTTGGCTTAATGCTCACGTCCAAAAAGCAGGCTTTCAGCAAATTGCATTCTGATTGACTGACCTGGTTTTCTGCTGGGGAGCAGAACACTAAAGCCAAATGAATTTGACCAAAACTTGCTTTGCTGAATACCTTCAGTTTCTTCGGAGCAGCCTCAGACATGTTTTATAAGAGGGAATGAAGACTATTATTTAAGAAGAATGGTACAAGCTAGAATCACAGAAAAGAGGGTTTTAGAGTTGGATGAAATCTCAGGTTATTTGTCCTAAGCTATTAGCTATTCACCTCCTGGTCTTCTTTGGAGAGCGCCTATTGAGACCAGCTTTCTTTTCTTTTTTTTTTTCTTTTTGAGACAGAGTCTCTCTCTGTCACTCAGGCTGGAGTGCAGTGGTGTGATCTCGGCTCACTGCAACCTCCGCCTCCTGGGTTCAAGCGATTCTCCTGCCTCAGCCTCCGAAGTAGCTGGGATTATAGGTGCGTGCCACCACGCCTGGCCAAGACCAAGTTTCTAAATTTGTAAAACCATGTACCTTTGAACAATTAGATCTTGTCTTTTGACTTTCTGTTCACCTTGCCATTTGTTTTTAGCTCGAATCTCATACCCGTTTAATCCATCTAACTTAGGACCCTGGTATCCAAAGTGAGGTATGGCCCCATGGACTTCATAACAACACTTGATAGTGCTGGGGTAATGTGTGTGTGTGTGTGTGTGTGTGTGTGTGTGTGTTTTGAGTTGGAGTCTCACACTGTTGCCCGGGCTGGAATGCAGTGGTGCAATCTCGGCTCACTGCAACCTCTGCCTCCCAGGTTCAAACGATTCTCCTGCCTCAGCCTCCAGAGTAGCTGGGATTACAGGCACCTGCTACCACGGGTAATGTGGTTTTTTAATGGGGTAAATTGGTAAAACCCAGGGATTTAGAATCTCCTGATTGTTCTCACGGACCCTTGTCTAAGCCATCCACATCTTGGACTCCAGCCATTTCCTCTTTCAACCCAATAGCACTGTCTTCCCAAACCCTAGGACTGTCACAGTCTTCCCCAAGCTAAACACTTTAATATCTCCCTATTAGTTTTTTTTTGAAATGAACTTTTTATTTTATAATGGTTTTAAATTTACAGGGAAAGTGCAAAGGTAGAAGAGGGTTTCCATATACTCCAAACCCAGTTTTCCCTTTATTAATATTTAATATAGTATAAGACATTTGTTATAATAATGGACCAATACTTATACATTGTTATTAACTGAAGTCTATGCATTATTCAGATTTTCTTAGTTTTAACCTAAAGTCCTTGTTCTGTTCCAGGATCCCACCAGGATACTACATTGAATTTAGCAGTCATATCAGCTTCTCTCAGCTGAGATAGTTACCCAGACTTTTCTTGTTTTCGACAACCTTGGCAGTTTTGAGGAGTATTAGTCAGTATTTTGTAGAATGCTCCTCTAATGAGATTTGTCCGATTTTTTACCCCTCATGATTAGACTGCAGTGATGTGTTTTTTGGAGGAAGACCACAGAGGTCAAGTGACATTTTCCTCACCCTCAAATCAAAGGTCCACACTATCAAAATTACCTATCACTGCTGATGTCAACCTTCAACACCTGGCTGAAGTAGTCTTTGTTGGCTCTCTCCACTGTGAAGTTACTCCTTTTTCCTCTTAGAAAGTAACTTATCATCAGCAGCACCCACTAAAGGACTGGCAAGTTTTGCTCTGTCTCCTTGAGGGTGGAGTATCTACACAAATTATTTGGAATTCTTCTGCACGGAGATTTGTTTCTTCTATCCTTATTTTGAGTTATTCAAACATTTATTTGGGTTATTATGGACTTAGAGATATTTATTTGATTTTATACTTTGTATTTTCTTTTTTTTTTTTTTTTTTTTGAGACAGAGTTTTGATCTGTCTCCCTGGTTGGGGTGCAGTGGTGTGAACATAGCCCACTGCAGCCTTGACCTCCTGGGCTCAGGAAATTCTCCCACCTCAGCCTCCCAAGTAACTGGAAATACAGGCACACACCAACACATCCAGCTAAGTGTTTGATTTTTTTATAGAGATAGCGTCTCCCTATGTTGCCCAGGCTGGCCTTGAATTCCTGGACTCAAGTGATCTTCCCACCTTGGCATCCCAAAGTGCTGGGATTACAGGCATGAGCCACTGGTGGTGCCTGGCCTATTTTATGCTTTTAGTTATAATTCAATACTAGTTTATTTTGTTGTTCAAATTGTTCCAGCTTTGGTCATTTGGAGCTCTTTCAGTTGGCTCTTGTGTCTTTTCAACATAAGCTACTGTTGTGGAGGTTTCTTGAGCACTTCTTATTTCTGGTGGTACAAGATACTCCAGGTTAGGTTCCTTTTGTATCTTTCTTGCCCCAGTCTTTTTTCCAAGGTTCCTTGGTTTCCCTTTTATTTCTAAAGCTACTTAGGTATACACTGTTTCCTCAAACTTCTTCATTCAGGTTATTGCATACATTTTTAATGCAGTTAGATTGTTTTATCACATTTTGCATTCCATCCTGGGATCTCCTAACATCCTAAATGATTTTTTTTTTTTACATTGCATACATTAAGGGTCATTCATTGTGCCATCAAGTTCTATGGGTTTTGGCAAGTGTGCAGTGCCATGTATTCACCATTACAATATTTTCATTGGCTGAATGAACCCTCCAAAAATGTGCATGTCCTAAGGAATATATTACTATGAACCTGTGAATATATTACTTTACATGGGAAAAGGGAATTTTCAAATATGATGGATTTCACATTTCAGATAAGTGAAGGATTTTGAGTTGGAGAGATTATCCTTGATTATCTGAGCAGACCCAATGTAATTACAAGAAAGAGACAGAGTTAGGATGTAGAGATGTAATGGAAGCAAGAGGTTGGAGTGATGTGAGGAAGGGGCTATCATCCAAGGAATGAAGACAGCCTTTAGAAACTAAAAGGCAAGAAAATGGATTTGCTCTAAAGCCTCTGGAAGGATTGCAGCTCTGCTGACATATTGATTTTAGACTTTATTGTACAAGAAATACAAGAGGGTAAATGTATGTTGCTTTAAGCCATTAACTATATGGCAATTTATTGCAGATTTTGGTACTTGAAAATGGAGTGCTACTCTAACAAATAATAACTTAAAAATATGAAAGTGGCTTTGGAATTAGCTAATGGGTAAAGGCTGGAAGAACTTTGAGGACCATGATAGAAAAAGCCTAGATTTCTTGGACAGACTGTTGATAGAAATATGGATGTTAAAGTTTCACCCTGTGTGGGGGTTGTCAAACACCCTATACAGGAGTGTTCCTACTGGCATCAGGTTGGTGCCCCTCGAGGTCAGAGATCCCAGAGGATGGAGCAGGCACCCATCTTTGCTATTCTCCAGCCTTCTTGAGTGACATCTCTAGGCGTGGAGTGAACCAGGTGAATAGGGCCTGAAGTGAACCCTCAGCAAACCACAGCAGCCCTACAGAAGAGGTACCTGACCATTGAAAGAAAAACAAATAAACAAACAAACAAATGGAAAGCAACAACAGCATCACAAAAAAGTCCCCACAAAAACCTCATCCAAGTGTCAGTGGCCTCAATGATCAAAACTAGACAAACTCATGAGGATGAGAAAGAATCAACAAAAAGGCCCTGAAAACCCAAAAGGCCAGAGTGCCTCTTCTCCTCCAAATGAGTGCAACACCTTTCCAGCAAGGGCACAGAACTGAACAGAGGATGAGATGGATGAATTGACAGAAGTAGGCTTCAGAAGGTGGGTAATCACAAACTCTGCTGAGCTAAAGGAGCGTGTTCTAACCCAATGCAAAGGAGCTAAGAGCCTTGATAAAACGTTACAAGGGATGCTAATTAGAATAACCAGTTTAGAGAGGAACATAAATAACCTCATGGAGCTGAAAAACACAGCACGAGAACTTTGTGAAGCATACACAAGTATCAATAGCCAAATCAATCAAGCAGAAGAAAGAATATCAGACTTTGGAGACCATCTTGCTGAAATAAGGCAGGCAGACAAGATTAGAGAAAAAACATGAAAAGGAACAAACAAAACCTCTGAGAAATATGGGACTATGTAAAAACACTGAACCTATGATTGATCGGAGTACCTGAAAGAGAAAGGGAGAATGGAACCAAGTTGGAAAACACTTCAGGGTATTATCCAGGAGAACTTTCCCAACCTAGCAAGACAAGCTAACAGTCAAATTTAGGAAATACAGAGAACACCACTAAGATACTCCTCGAGAAGAGCAACCCCAAGACATAATCAGCGGATTCTCCAAGGTTAAAATGAAGGAAAAATGTTAAGGGAAGCCAGAGAGAAAGGCCAGGTCATCTACAAAGGGAAGCCCATCAGACTAACAGTGGATCTCTCAGCAGAAACCCTATAAGCCAGAAGACAGTGGGGGCCAATATTCAACATTCTGGAATTTCATATCCAGCCAAACTGAGCTTCATAAGTGAAGGAGAAATAAAATCCTTCTCAGACAAGTGAATGCTGACAGATTTCATCACCACCAGACCTGCCTTGCAAGAGCTCCTGAAGGAAGCACTAAATATGGAAAGGATAAACCAGTACCAGCCACTGCAAAAACACATCAAAATATAAAGACCAATGACACTATGAAGAAACTGCATCAACTAGTATGCAAAATAACCACGTAGCATCATGATGATAGGATCAAATGAACACATAACAATGTTAACCTTAAATGTAAATGGGCTAAATGCCCCAATTAAAAGACACAGACTGGCAAATTGGATAAAGAGTCAAGACCCATTGGTGTGCTGTATTCAGGAGACCCATTTCACATGCAAAGACACACACATAGGCTCAAGATAAAGGGATGGAGGAAAATTTACCAAGCAAATGGAAAGCAAAGCAAAACAAAACAAAACAAAGATACACAACAAAAACAAAAACAGAAACAGGGGTTGCAATCCTAGTCTCTGACAAAACAGACTTTAAGCCAACAAAGACCAAAAAAGGCAAAGAAGGGAATTATATAATGGTAAAGGGATCAATGCAACAAGAAGAGCTAACTATCCTAAATATATATGCACCCAATACAGGAGCACCCAGATTCATAAAACAAGTTCTTAGAGACCTACAAAGAGACTTAGACTCCTACACAATAATAGTTGGAAACTTTAACGCCCCAATGTCAGTATTAGACAGATCAATGAGACAGAAAATTAACAAGGATATTCAGGACTAGAACTCAACTCTGGATCAAGTGGACTTAATAGACATCTACAGAACTCTCCACCCCAAATCAACAGAATATGTATTCTTAGAGCCACATGGCACTTATTCTAAAATCAACCACATAATTGGAAGTAAAACACTCCTCAGCAAATGCAAAAGAACAGAAATCATAACAAACAGTCTCTTAGGCCATAGTGCAATCAAATTAGAACTCAGGATTAAAAAACTCACTCAAAACCACACAGCTACATGGAAGGTGAACAACCTGCTCCTGAATGACTCCTTGGTAAATAATGAAATTAAGGCAGAAATCAAGAAGTTCTTTGAAGCCAATGAGAACAAAGAGGCAATGTACTAGAATCTCTGGGACACAGCTGAAGTAGTGTTAAGAAGAAAATTTATAGCACTAAATGCCCACATCAGAAAGCTAAAAAATCTCCAATCAACACCTGAACATCACAATTAAAAGAACTAGAGAAATAAGAGCGAACAAATCCAAAAGCTAGAAGAAGACAAGAAATAACTAAGATCAGAGCAGAACTGAAGGAGATAGAGACATGAAAAACCCTTTAAAAATCAATAAATCCAGGAGCTGGTTTTTTGAAAAAATTAATAAAATAGACCATTAGCTAGACTAATAAAGAAGAAAAGAGAGAGGAATCAAATAGACACAATAGAAAATGATAAAAGGGATATCACCACTGATCCCACAGAAATACAAACTACCATCAGAGAATACTATAAACACCTGTATGCAAATAAACTAGAAAATCTAGATAAAACAGATAAATTCCTGGACACATACACCCTCCTAAGACTAAAGCAGGAAGAAGTCGAATCCCTGAATAGACTAACATCAAGTTCTGAAACTGAGGCAGTAATTAATAGCCTACCAACCAAAAAAAGCCCAGGACCAGACAGATTCACAGCTGAATTCTACCAGAAGGAACTTTGAAATAGTTCCTTCTGAAACCATTCCAAACAATTGAAAAGGAGGGACTCCTCCCTAACTCACTTTATGAGGCCAGCATCATCCTGGTACCAAAACCTGGCAGAGACACAACAAAAAAAGAAAACTTCAGGTCAATATCCCTGATATCCCTGATGAACATTGATGCGAAAACCCTTAATAAAATACTGGCAAACTGAATCCAGCAGCTCATCAAAAAACTTATCCACCACCATCAAGTCTGCTTCATCCCTGGGATGTAAGGCTGGTTCAACATATGCAAAGTAATAAATGTAATCCATCACATAAACAGAATCAATGACAAAAACCACATGATTATCTCAATAGATGCAGAAAAGGCCTTTGACAAAATTCAACATCGCTTCATGCTAAAATCTCTCAGTAAACTATGTATTGATGGAACGTATCTCAAAATAATGAAACTGAGTCTTGCTCTATCATCCAGACTAGAGTGCAGTGGCGTAATAATAGCTCACTGCAGCCTTGACCTCCTGGTCTCCAGGATCCTCCTGCCTCAGTCTTCCAAGTACGTTGTTTCTTTTTAAGAGCAGCAGTTGTACCCAGCTACTTTTTCTAGTCTCCTTTCAGCTAAGTATGACCATGTGAATAAGTTCTGGCTAATAAGATATAAGCAGTAGCTGTGAAATAGGACTTCTAGAATATTTTCTTAAATTGAGAGAAAGACTGACAGGGTATGCCTCTCTGGCCTTTCCCTTCTTCATCTTTCCTGTTCCTGGAATATGGCTAGAATGGCTGGAGATTCAGCAGCCATCTTGGCCCATTTGGATAAGCTGTATGAACAGGGAAGTCATATGATAAGAAAGGAGGAACAGAGAGAGCTAAGGAACCTAGGTTCTCAGTGGCTTTATACCACAACTGTATACCACAACTTTATACCTGCTGTAGACTGCCAACCTCTGGGATCAGGATCTGTCTGTAATAGTTCTCCATTTCTGTGTGACAAATCACTACACATTTAGCAGTTTAGGACAACACACATTTATTGTGTCATAGTCTCTGTGGGCCAGGAGTCCGGGTATAGGTAATCCGGGTCTTCTGCTCTGGGTCTTTCAGGCTGAAATCAAGGTGGCTGGGACTGTCTTCTCTCCTAAGGCTTGGGATCCTTTTCCAAGCTCACTGGTTCTTACCGTAACTCATTTCCTTGTGGTTGTATCTAGCAAGATGCAGAGCCAGGCTTTGAACCCAGGCAGTCTGGAGTCAATGCCTATTCTCAAATCAACTCTATTGTGCACACCAATCACCTGAGAACCTTTTTAAAATGCAGATTCAAATTACCACATTTTACAGGGCACGTCTAGTTGCCTTGTAAGATCTGCCTCCAGCCCAGTTAAGCCCCCACATGAATTTTCAGCTAATTCTTGAACTTACTTGCCTGACTCCAATGACCAAATAGGTTCCATCTAGAACTCCTTATTAACCACATTCCAAGCTGAGCTTTTCGTGGCTTCCTAACCTCACCCACCTGATTACCGTACTGCCTGGTTGCTGAGCTAGAAGTCACAGGGATGGTCCTGCCCTGCTTTCTCTCCTACTCCTGTAGATTCTCATTCCTGTTATCTTTCCTCCTGCCACTGCTCTGTTCTGATGCTCATCACCTCCTGTCTGGACCTGTGCAAGGATCTTCTTCATGAGCCTTCTTTCTTTCTGTGTTTCCTGGCTTGTAGTTTGGATTATTGTTCCCAATTCTTCATGCCTCTGTAAGAGAATTATTCGTCCATCCTCTTGCCATGACCTTATGATGGATGGTCCCTTGGCCTAGGGCTTGGTAAGGTGACTTGCTTTGTCAGATTGACATGTTCACAAGTGTGATTGGAGCAGAGGCTTGAAGTGTGCTTGCACAGTTGGGCTTGCCCTCTTACACTGCTGCAAGCAGGAAGATGCCCTAGACAGCTTTTGGTGCAAGAAGCATGAGAGACATGTGAAGCAGACCTGCACCCCACTTGTTGTCTGGAGCCAAGCCCACCCAAGCCCAGCCCAGGTCAGCCATACTTAAGCCCAAATGCAGGTGCGAGAATGAAAAATAAATGCTTATTATTGTTTTTGATGTGTTTGTTACTTAGCAAAAGCTGACTAATATACAGCCCTAATTTACTCTCTCCACTGCCAAAGTCACCGTTGTGAAACACATCTATCCTGTTACTGGTATACGATGTCCAATTTATTCCACAGGATAAACTCCTAAATATTTACCCTGCCCTGCATGTAAGCCAACCTTGCTCAACCTCAGTCTACCGTTCCTGTCTCATTCCGTCATGACTCTGACTCATTTGACATTCAGAATACTTGAAGGGCTGAAGCAGGCTTTGGTCTTTGACCAGTCTAAACCTTTGCTTCTTTCTCTCTGCCTGGACTCTCATCTCACATCTGCTTCCTGCCTTGTCAATTCCTGCTCATTCTTCAAAGCCTGCTCAAATGCCACCACTCTGAAGCCTTGCTTTTCTCTCCCAAAAGCGGCCTTTTGCTGTCCCCATAATAATGCTGTTTGAGTGTTCATTTCAAGGCACTGCAGCAGATTGTGTCTATGACCTGGCCTAGCCCAATAGCTTCAGGGAAGTGATTCTACTTTATTCATGCATGTGTTCCTTACATCTATGGCCAACTCATATCCTGGCATACAATGGATGCTCAAAACAGGTAAGTGAGTAATTTTAAGGGGCATCATTTGGCAGCCTGCCCTTCTAGGCACTGCAGTGAGCTTGTGGAGAGTAGATTAATTCAGAGTTCACATTGCAAGCAGTGCTGCTGTGGTTCTCAGAGTAACTCTGCCAGGAAATGAGTTAGGTGTGTTGAAGACTTACCTGTCCTGCTCCAGGGCAGATGGTTAGTGGCATAGTGCCATAGCGGGAGCATGGGACTGCAAGTCGAGAGCCAGCCTGCAGCCCTGGCACTGTCCCCAACTTACCCTTATCTCTTTGAGCTTCACATTCTTTGTACAATGAAGCATGTAGATTTGAGAGTCATCCCAGCTCCTGTTGACTCTGATGTCCAGTTGTTGCATTCTGTAGGAGTTTGGAACAGGAGAAGTGAAGAGCCATAAGGAAAAGGCCTCTCACAATGCAATTAGGGGAACCTGCCCCTTCCTGTGGGTAGGGGACTTGGCTTTCACCAACCTCTCCCATACAATTGTTCTTGTTATCTATTTGCTGGGCAGAAATGACACCCAAACTTAATGGCTTAAGACAGTAATGTTTTATTATTTCTCATGCTTTTGTAGGTTGGATGGGCTTATCTGGGTAGGTTTCACTCAGCGACTTCTATGCAGCTGTGGGGCTGGAGTTATTGGGGAGCCTGGCTGGGCTGAGTACCTGGTGCCTCATCTACACAGCTGGCAGTAATAAGGGCTGTTGGCTGGGGCTGTAACCAGAGCACTGGTGTGCGGCCTCTGTGTGTGGCTTGGGCCTCTCACAATGCGATGGCTGTGTTCTGAGTGGGAGTGTCCTAAGAGTGAGAGTTCCTAGTGACCCAGGCAGAAGTTGGGTTGACACTTCTTGCAAGATTTCTGATGACCTAGCCTCAGAATTCTCAGAACAATTTTGCCACATTGTTTTGGAAAAGGAAGTCACTAAGGCTAGCCCAGATTTAAGGGTGGGGACTCAGACTCCCCCTCCTGTTGGGAGAATGTTGAAGAATTTGCAGCCATCTTTCCTTGCCTCAGCATGGAAATATGCTAAGAATCTTGGAATTTGGAAATCAATTAAGACTGAAAAAGGCCAGATGAATAGGTCTAAATATTTTGGGGTGCTTTGAGGTCTATCCTCAAGGCTGGTGGAGAGGCTCTCTTTCTTATCCCATCTTGAATCAGAGCATCTCTCTGAGGTTCAGCTTCAGATGCTATTAAAAGAAGAATTCCATGGGTTCTAAGGGTGATGTCATGACTAGGGTTAGGTGTGCACCCCACAGCCTTAGCAAACAAATGTATGCCGAGTGAGTTTCTCCCTGGGTGCCCCTAGGCCAATGTAAGTGCCTACAGCAGAAGACACAGATGCAGGCCTGGCCTGGCCTTATAGGAGCTATTCCTTAGTAGGCAGAGCTCCAGGGACTCCCTTTCCCTATTTGGAACTTTGTTAAATTTCTCACTGGGCTATAAATCCCTCAGCATCTTGTTAACTCAGTTTTCCACTTGGAAATTGGGTGTACAGACACAACCTGTAGCACTTGTCATATTTCTATCCTCTGCTGTATCATGAACTATAAAAGGAGCTGCTAACAGGAAGCACTTTTTGTGAAAGTCCAAGAGTCTCATCTTCCTGGGCTGTTTGTTGCCATTCTACCTGGAGTCTGTTTTAGTTTGCGTTTCCCTCCACAATCTTGTTGCAGGTGGGCATGGGGTTTTCCTCGTCTCTGTGTCCTGCTTGGTGTCTTATTTGCACACAAGAGGCTCTCCATGAAGTTCAGACCTGGGTCGAAGGAGTTAAAGAGCTCCACACTTTCCCACTGACAATTTCCTTGGGAATCCCTCTAGGAGCCTCTGAATAGCTCTAACTTCTCTGCTTTGAGGATGTTTTGCTCCTAAAAGGGAGAGGGATGTCTTTTCTCTTTTGATAGATTGGTGGCTGAGCTGGAGGGAGGAGAGGTTACTCATTGCAGAGGTCAGGGTGAACAGGGAGGCGAGGAGGCCTTGGCTGGCCATGCTGCTTGGGGAACTGCTCCAAGTCTGGGCTTGTCATACTCCTTGCCTGCTTTTAGTCATCGGGGTCATTAGGCTCTGTGGCACATGGCCCCGACTCTCTCCTTGTAGAAGCGTAGAAAGATTGGCTGAGGACAATCCAAGTCCAAAATGTCATAAATTTGTCACGATTTGATTTCCCTTTTTAGGCCCTGCACTGTGTATGTATATTTATAGGTGCTTGAGGAAGGCCTGGGAATTAGATAACTCAGGGACAGTTGGCTGTCCGACCACATGTTCTTGGCTCCTCTGGAGTTAACGTTAGTGGAGAAAATGCAAAAGCAATAACTGGTCCCTGTGAGGGCAGTCTTCATTCTGCCTCTTCCCTCTCCCCAGAGTGAGTGGTTGGTTCATCTCTCTTTTTTTTTTCTTGCATTTTTTTTTTTTTTTTTTTGGAGACAGAGTCTCACTCTATCACTCAGGCTGGAGTGCAGTGGTGCCATCACAGCTCATGCAACCTCCGCCTCCTGGGTTCAAGGTATTCTCTCACCTCAGCCTCCTGAGTAGCTGGGACTACAGGTGTGCACCCCCATTCCCAGCTAATTTTTGTATTTTTAGTAGAGACGGGGTTTTGCCATGTTGGCCAAGCTGGTCTCAAACTCCTGGTCTCAAGTGATCTGCCTGCCTTGGCCTCTCAAAGTGTTGGGATTACAGGTGTGGGCCACCATACCTAGCTGGTTGGTTCATCTCTTAAGAATGACCAAGTTGAATGATTCTTCCTAGTGTGTGTAGCTGTTCCTTGATGGGGGCTCAGGAACAACAGGAATGACTCTTTCTGGGTTGACAAAGCCAGACAATCCTGTGCCTTCAGTAATGGAATCTGTCTTAGTTTGAGTTTCCCTCCAAAAGTAGAACCTGAGAAGAGAAAGTTGAGTGCAAGTAGTTTTCTGGGAGGTGAACCCAGGAGTCAGGTGGGAAGAGCAGGTAGAATGAGACAGAGAAGAAAAAAGAATCAGTTTGAGAATGTGTTGCTTTGAGCAGCAGGACTTGATTTTGCTCAGACCTCTGAGAAGCAGGATGAGAGGCTGGGACACTTATCTGTGGGCCTGGCTCCCCTGCTGGTTGTGGTAGCCCCTGGGATGTTCACCTCCCTCTCATCTGGCTGCTCTGCTACTGGACCTGAAAGGGTCTGGTGCACTGTGGAAGCAGACCCTGGGGAGAGAGAGCAGGAGAACAGGGGGCATGTGCATGTGCTTGAGGCGAAAAGCTATCATTGCTGGATGAATCTGAGCTCCTAAGGAAATGTCCACCACTCTGCCTGGAATCAGAGGTGGGCTGAGCAGACAGGATGTAGAGCATCTTTTACTTTCAACTGGGGAAAACCTCTGATGATGTCTTCAACCGAAAGGAGGCATGGGTCCCTAAGACCTACTCTATAACAGGGAACAGGAGCAATGGGTTAGGCACTGGGCTTGACTAACTCTGCAATGTTTAGGACAGAATTGTTACCACACAGAAGACCCATCACTATTGTTTCCTCCTGGCTCTTCTTTGATCAACTTCAGGTAGTTTCTCATCTGAGACCAAAAAGCCACCCATGGCCCCTTCTTTGGGTTAAAAAATATTCCAGGTCATGCCTACTCTTTTTTTCCCTCCCGCTCTACTTCCTTCTTTCATACACACACTTGTTTGCTCTCTCTTGTCTTTCTCTTTCTCTTCCATTTGTCCTCCCTCTGTCCTTTCATTTCTTCAATTTCCCTCTCCTTCCTTCCTCCCTCTTCCTCTTTTTCTCCCTTTATTTCAACAATTATTATTTAATTTCCAAATACTTAAAGATTTTCAAGATTTCTTTGTTATAAATTTCGAGTTTAATTCCATCGGATAGAGGATATATTTTGTATATAGAGTACGTATTTTATATGAATTGAATGATTTTAAATTTGCTGTGATTTGTTTATGGCCCAGAATATGGTTATTTTTGGTGAATGTTTCATTTGTACTTGAAAATAATGTGTATTCTGCTGTTGTTGGATAGAGGAGGTTCTTTTTTTTTTTTTTTCTGAGACGGAGTTTCGCTCTGTCGCCCAGGCTGGAGTGCAGTGGTGCCATCTCAGCTCACTGCAAGCTCCGCCCCCCAGGTTCATGCCATTCTCCTGCCTCAGCCTCCCAAGGAGCTGGGAGGCGCCCACCTCCCTGCTCTTTTAATTTTTTTGGTGTTTTTAGTAGAGACGGGGTTTCACCGTGTTAGCCAGGATGGTCTCGAACTGGATAGTGGAGGTTCTTTAAAGTTAAATAAGTTTTACTTGGCCTGAAGTATTGTATAGCTCTCCCATATCCCTAACTGCTTTTTCTGTTTACGTGCTCTATTGAGTACTGAGAGGGGAGTGATAGTTTCTCCAAATATAATTGTGGATTTGTCTATTCTCCATTCCCTTTTACGAGCGTTTGTTTGATATATTTTGAAGTTATGTTGTTAGGCACCTACACACTTAGTATTGTTATATCTTCTTGGTAAATTGTTCTCTGTATCATTATGTAGTGATACTCTTTATCCCTGGCAATTGTTCTTGTTCTGAAGTCTAGGAGGTCTTATTCCTTGTCTGATGCTGATACAGCATTCTAGCTTTCTTTTGGTTAGTGTTTGTATGGTGTACCTTTTCCCACGCTTTTATTGGTTATCTATCTTGTCTTTATATTAACGTGGATTTCCTGTTGAAAGCATGCCAATTTGACAATCTCTATATTTCACTTGGGATGTTTTAGACCATTTAGACAAATTCGATGTAATTATTGGTATAGTTGACTTAAATCTATCATCTTTCTAGTTATTTTCTATCTGCCCCATGTGTTCTTTGTTTTGTTTTGATTTTTTTCATTTTCTTGCCTTCTTTTGGATGTGTTGGATATTTTTTATGATGCTAGTGTATCTCCACTATCGGCTTATTTTGCATATCTATTTTTATACAGTGGTTGCTCTAGTTTTCACAATGCACATCTTTATTTTATCACAGTCTACCTTCAAAAAATATTATAGCACTACAAATACAGTATAAGAATGTTAAAACAGTAGATTTCCATATTCTCTCTCATCCTCTGTGTATTGTTGCCATATATTTTACTGATACATATTTTATAAACCTCAAAATCTATTGTTACTATTTTTGATTTACATAGCCAATGATCTTTAAAGTTACTGAAAATAACAATGTGCTTTATATTTCCCCTCATTTTTACCATTTTTTACTCTCCATTTTAAAAAGTAGATTCAAATTTCCACCTGGTAACATATTTCCTCTGCCTGAGGAACTTTTTTTAACATTTCTTGTAGTGAAGGTCTAGTTATAGTAAATTATTTCAAATTTCATGTGTTTGAAAAAGCCTTCATTTTGCTTTTTCAAATAATCTGATTTGACAGTTATTTTCATTTAGTATTTTAAAGACATCACTCCACTATCTTTCTGCTCACCTGGCTTTTGATGAATACTCTGCCATAATTATTCTCATTATTCCTCTTTATGTAATGTTTATTTTTTATCTAGCTGCCTTCAGATTTTTATCTTTGGATTTCAGCAGTTTGACTATGCTGTGCTTGTGTGTGTGTGTGTGTGTGTGTGTATGTGTGCTTGTGTGTCTATGTCTGTCTAACTTTATCCTGATTGGGGTACACAGAGCCTCTCACATCTGTAGTTTATAGTCTTTCATTAATTTTAGAAAATTATTGGCTATGATCTCATCAATGTATTTCTTCTGTCTAATTCTCCCTCTTTTCTCCTCTTAGGACTTAAATTACATGTATATAAGAAAACTTGATATTGTCCCACAGATTTTGCATACCTTGTTTTTTTGCCTTTTGTGTTTCAGTATGTATAGTTTTTATTGACCTACCTTCAAATTCACTGGATTCTTGCTTAGTTGGGTCTAGTCTGCTAATAAGACCATAGAAGGAATTTATCTCTGAAATTGTGTCTCGCATTTGCATTTGACTCTTGTTTTGACTCTGCTGAAATTCCCTATCTATCTGCTCGTGCATGTTGTTTTAACTTTTTCCATTAGATTTTTAACATCTTAATCATAGTTATTTTAAGTCCATGTCTGGTAGTTCTAACATGTAAGCTATCTCTAAGTCTGGTTCTGTTGAGTGTCATATCTTTCTACAATGTGTTGTTCTTTCTTGCTTTTTTGTGTCTTAAAATTTTTCATTGCATGCCGGACATTGTAGAAAAAGAGTAGAGACTGAAGTAAATAGTATTTACACAAGAAATGGGCATGCCTCTTCTTTCAGGCTGTCAGCATGGATGGTTCAATCAATCTCATCAGCAATTAAGCTGGGTTTTGATTTTGTAGTTGCTATCACTTCCTTCAGTACATCACAGGCTTCATATACCTGTATCAGTGGACTTTTGTTAGTGTGGAGATTGGAGTGCTAGAGGGATTGTTTCTGTGTTCCTGTTTTACACACAGCTCTTAACAACAGTACCTGTGTGGCCAGTTTCCCCGAGGTTTTGCCCCTCCCCAGTAATAGTCTCTGTTGCTTTTTACTTGGCATTCATGATGGGGACTGGGGGTAGAAAGGGTCTCAATTTTCCTTGTCTAGCCTCAGACTTAGGTAAGGATTCTGTACCTGAGTCTTGAGGATAGAATTTTATCAGCATATTCCCTCCCCACACCCCCTGCCATGGAAACCAAACTCTGTTTTGTCTTTGTGTTGTGTCTTGGTTGGGAAAGAGTTTCCTGCCCCTTACCCAGTAGTAGCAAACCTCTGCTTTGTCTTGGTGCAGGATTCTGAGCTCAAGAGCATTTCCTTCCCCTAATCTAGCAGCTTAAAGCTGTTGCTTCATCTGAACGTAGGGTCTGGGAAGAGGGCACGATGTGTACCTGTATTTTAGTGGCATCACCTGCACACCTGCTCCACTCTGGGGATGTTGTTCCAGTCTCTTTTCTCATGAGTTCCTGGTGAGGGCCCATGGCAAAGAATGTGTGAGTGACTGTGAACCCTCCTGGTGTCTGGGGATCCTCATAATTGCAAACAGATATGCTGGCCCAGACATGACCTTTCAAATTCATTAATATTTTAGCTGATATCTTCTTGTCTACTTTTGTGGTGGGTGCTTCTTCTTCCTGTGCTCTGACAAAGGTGAAACACTTTGTGTGTCCCATTTCTCCTTAGAGGGGCTTTTCGCCCTTTAGAATTTTGTTCATTTGGTTGCCCTGTGACCTCAACACTGATGGGCTCAAAAAAGTTTGATTTTGTAGATTTCCTGGCTTTTCCTCATTGGTATCATGGGGAGAAGTATTCTTTTTTGGCTTTCCACATCCTAAGTGGAAGTGGGGCAACTCTTACCTGAATGTCTGTGATATGCAGGAAACTGGGACAGGCCCTGGTGGTTGAGTTTGCACCATGACTTGTCCCTTTTGACTAATCCCCATCAGTTGGACAACTCTCTGGCCACCTTTTTGATTTGTGGAGTAGCCACCACCTGGATTTATCCCTCAACTGTAAGCACCACAGTCTTGGGGAAAAGAAGGTACCATTCCACTTCTGTGCCTGACATTCTGGGATACTGCCACCCCCCACCCTAACCCAGCAACACTTGCCTGGGAGAGACAGTGGACACATCTCATTTGCCATCTAAGGGCAGTGTGGTAGAAGGGGAGATCAGTTATGTTGTCAGAACCACCAACTCCATGAGGGCATGAACCAGGTCAGATGTACCTTTTAGCTTGTGGCTGATCCCTCTTTTCCAGTTTAAGCAAGTCTCCTGAACCCTGGGTCACAGTTTTCTTGCCTGTAAAATTAGAGGTTGGACTAAATTATCTTGGAATGGATGGCCCTCAGACCGTGGTGTGCCAGTAGTTCCTGGGGCTGTGGATTCTATCTGCACATATGCATTTTCTCACTCAAGAGGCAATGAAAGGGAACTGCTGTTATGTGGGGTTAGGAGAAATGTTCTGTGTTAAGAGCAGTGCTCAGGTTTGGGAAGAAGGAGATACCTGCTGAGCTTCTGTGGTTTTCAAACAGGGTTTCTAGCTCTGCCCCATTTCATCCAGGACAAGCGGAGACTTCACATAGCTTATTTCTTGGGCTTCCCCTCAAATGTCTGTTTGAAGAAAAGGTTTTGTGAAAAAAAAATCCACTCAGAAATCAGGTCAGTGGTTGCCTGGGAGCAGGGAGTAGAAGCACGGGCTTCAAGGAGGTGAGAGATTTTTTGGCGGGCGGGGGTGTTCTGCATCTTGAATATGGTGGTTGTTACAGGAGTATGAATCTTGGTCAAAACTCCTTGAACTATATATTAAGATGGGTTAAGTGTGTTTTATGTAAATCATACTTAAGTTGATTTGAGAATTGAAAGCCACCATTTCGGACCAGTGTTTCTCAAACTTTTAAATATCCATTCTCCTTTAGATTAGACTAAAAACCTCACACTTTTCTTTAGTTACTTAGAATTTTGAAATGAATTAACTGTAGTGGGAAAGATTAAATCAAAACAATGGGAATTTTAGAATATGCTCTGTTGATTTGGAGACAAGAATAATAAAGCAGGTACACAGTTTTGAATTATTCGGAGTTTGTATTTGCACTTTTTTTTTTTTTTAGTGTGAAGGATGTTTTCAGGACTCTGGGAGGTGCTAATCTGGGAAGTTTCAGATAACTTTGATAACTAAAATATCATTTTTTGATAACTATATAATCATATTAATCATAAACATTTATTGATGCCTACTCTGAGGCAGGCACAGTTTTAAACAGTTTATAGAAATCAATTCAGTTGATCTTATACTGATAACAGATAGACTATTATTATAATCTCCACTTGCCAGATAAGAAACTGAGTCCCAGAGAGGTCATGCAGTTTGCCTAGAGTCACACAGTTGGTAAGTAGGGGCACTGGGATTTGAACTCAGATAGCATAAATACAGAATCTTTACTTTTAACTTCTACTGTACTACCCCACACTTAAAATAACACAGGGGACCTGGCTGAACTTTCAGGGATTCCTCTGTAGAATCTTTGTGCAATTTTTAGTTTGTTTAGTTTTTTTTATTTTTTATTTTTTAAAATTTACTTTAAGTTCTGGAATACATGTGCAGAATGTGCAGGTTTGTTACATAGGTATACCCGTGCCATGGTGGTTTGCTCCACCTATCAACCTGTCATCCAGGTTTTAAGGCCTGCATGCATTTGGTATTTGTCCTAATGTTCTCCCTCCCCTTGCCCCTCACCCTCTGACAGGCCCTGGTATGTGATGTTCCCCTCCCCGTATTTGCACTTTTTAAACTTTCATTTGTGTGTGTGTGTGTTTCTGTGTGAGGATAAAGTATTATTGATACATTTGAAGTTCCCTTTGGCTACCACCATTTCATCTCTGTCTCATTTTTTCCTCCCTCCTTTTTCTTCCCTCTTTCTTTCCTTCTCTCCCTTTTCTCCCCCTAGAGGCAATAGTATAAAAATATCATGTACATTCATTCTTCCAGTCTATTTGTTGACATCTTTTCATACACACACACGTGCGCGCACACACACAGACACACACACTCCTGAAAACAAAGTCTTATTTTGAACTTTTGTTTGTAAATTTATGCAATCAGTTTCAGAGTATACAGCTCATGCTGCAATTTGCTTTATTCTAATCAACATTTTTGAGATCCACTCATCATGATATGTGTCTAGGTCTCGGTAATTTTTTTAACCTTTTACTGTTGTGTAGATTTCCATCCTACTAATACAGCACAACCTAGTTTTCAATTTCCCTTGTTGTTGTTGTTAGGTACCGCGTGGCTATGACCTTCCTTGCACGTGCAGCAGGGTTTCTCTAGCTTAAACCTACAACTGAAATTCCTGTTTTATGGAGCTAGAATATGCTTCTTTCCCAACTACACATGTACATTCCAATTCTCAGCTGAAGATTGTGATATTCACATCTTCTCCTTCTGTTACTTTGGCTCAATTGAGGGTCACAGCTGTGGACTGTGAATGTTGTCTTGTGAATGTGGACCGTGGACGGTGAATGCGGACTGTGACTGTGGGTTGATGAATATTTTCTTAAAGAGCCAAAAAGTAAATATCCCAGGCCTTGCTGGACAAGAGTTAAAATGGAGGAAATTATGTATGGAGAATACTTAAAATGTAACTATTAAAAAATGTGAAATGTGAAAATAAGCTGGGTGTGGTGGCTCATGCCTATAATCCCAGCACTTTAGGAGGCTGAGGTGGGAGGATCGCTTGAACCCAGGAGTACGAGACCAGCCTGGGTGACATAGTGAGACACCCACCTCATTAAAAGAAAAAAAATTTATAAAAACTAAAATAAAATAAAAATGTGAAAATCAAATCATCCTTAGTTTGCTGTCTGCAAAAAGCAGCAACTGGATGTATTTAGCTAATGCACTGTAGTTTACTGACCCTTGTCCTCCATGGTCTTCTAGTTCTAATATAAACTTACTTATTAACAGAAAAATCAGTGCATGTGTTGATACACACACACGGTTTTTGAGCAGGGTGAGAAGTTAGGTCGTTTGCATACACACTGGCTGTGGCCAGCCTGGGGGAACCAGTGTCCCATTTCCTAGAAGGCTGCTGTTGCCCTTCGCTCTCAGAGGCAGCAAGGCCCAAGACTGGCCTCATTTCTCACCCCAAGGTGCCCCCTGCCTCTCTGCCTTCTCTGCAGGTTCGGTGCCCCTTCCTTGGTGAGTGGACACACAGCACTGATGCTCTGTCTGCAGTGGGCATTTGCAGGTGCTGCACCCAAAGGCCTGTCTTCCTTAGCACCCTATGACACTGTCTTACAAGGATTGTGAAGTATGTGTTGGGCAGGGTCTCTCCAGTGGGCTCAAGGACAAAATGCTGTGAGGCGTTTGGAGGGACAGTGGAAGGGAGAGCCACAAAAATGGGCCATTTTGAAAATATGAAATCAGGGGGGTCAAAGGGTTCAGGGCCTTTTTCCAAAGACAGGGTCGGAATGGGATATAGACAAGGCTGATAGGGTGGAAATAACCCACCTGGCTTGTTCCCTGAGATAACTAGAGGAAGTAGGATTAATGGAATAAATGACAGTTTTGAAAAGGCTCAGGTAAAAGCAGTTGTTTGTAAAATCCTTGTCCTAGGCAGAATTTGGCATGGCCATTTCCTGTCCTTCCAATAGCACCGCATTCAGATTCACCGTGACCACTAACATCCAGTGTACTTTTTACCATTTCTTTGTAAGGCGTCTCTACAATCTCTTTCTCCAACAACTTTGAAGTTACCATCTAGGAGGTGCCTGCCCTGGGGACTCTGTAAGTTCCTCTGGTACAAGGCCCATCATTTGCAGGGAGTGGGAGGGATTACAGGAAGAGGCAAAGAGCGAACCACCCGTGTGCGTGTGTGTGTGTGTGTGTGTGTGTGTGTGTGTGTGTGTTGGAGGGAATAGAGATAGAGAAACTTTCCCTTTTCACAAATGTCAAACTTGCATAGAAAATACTGTTGCAAGGCCGGGCGCGGTGGCTCACACCTGTAATCCCAGCACTTTGGGAGGCCAAGGCAGGTGGATCACAAGGTCAGGAGATCGAGACCATCCTTGCCAACATGGTGAAACCCCATTTCTACTAAAAATACGAAAATTAGCTGGGTGTGGTGGCGCCTGCTTGTAATCCCAGCTACTTGGGAGGCTGAGGAAGGAGAATCGCTTGAACCCGGGAGGCGGAGATTGTAGTAAGCCGAGATTGCACCACTGCACTCCAGCCTGGCGACAGTTCAAGACTCTGTCTCAAAAAAAAAAAAAAAAAAAAAGGAAAATAAGAAGAAAACAAAATACTCTTGCAAATCTGAGTGCCCACTTAAATTCTGTCAATTTCACCCAGTGTGGATGAATTCAGTGCTACCACTGTCCTCTCCCCCACCCTGCCTGCCTCTTGCTGCCTACCTCTCCAGATTAGGACAGCCCTTTTTGTATTTCCCTCCAGCAAACACGCTCCCTACTCCTATCCAAGCCCCATTCATTCAATAGAGATCAGAGAAGACATGACAACAAAGAAGAGACACAACTGACTGAAATTCTTCAAGACCCAGGATGCACCTGAGTCCATTCCAGGCCCCACACCTGTGGAATGGGGCTTATGCCACGGCTCTGCGAGGCAGTCCCATGAAAAGATGAGCTGGAACTGTCAGAGATGGTGGACCAGGTGAGGCCCCTGGCCTTCTTTTTCAAATCTCTCTACATACACCATCCATCTTTGCAGCGATGACTACGCAGGGCCGGAGGTGGTAAGCTGGCAGGGCTGGCAATCAGGTGGAGGTTTCCCACTGCTGGTTTTGTCATCTATTGACTCAAGCATCCTGCCTTTTACCTAGAGCAAACAACTCAGCAATGAAATCCCATGATTCCCCAGAGCTTGGGTTTGCTGCAACCCACACATGGAGGGCTAAATTAAGCTGTTTGCACCTTGGCTGACATCTTCTAAATGGTTCTGTGGATAATGGTGTTTATCCCCTGTAGAGACGGGGCGACACAGAGGGAAGAACTCAAAGGTAGGATTCCTTGAGTAAACAAAGCTCACCGGTGAACTAACCATCCCCGTTTAAATATTTAAATTCTAGCTTCAGTGGAGAGGAGAATGTGTCATTAAATATTGTCAGGCTCCTGTGTTTATTCCCATTTCAGTAACACGGGGTCCACTGGAGAGTGTTTTATCCCCCTCTGGCCTTTGTGCGCACTGCTCCCTGAGCCAGGAGCCTGCTTCTCCCTCCCACTCTTCCTGGCTGACCTTAGTCAGGGGTTTGACGTCACTCTCTAGCTGCACCTCCCACGCTCCTGCAGTACCCTGCACTCTCCTCATCATAGAACTGATCAGAGTGGGTTGTAATTGCCCATGCACTTGTCTAAGTCCTCATGAGATCAGAAATAGCTGCTGCGTTGCTGTCCTCACAGCCTGGACCAGGCTGAACAGAGCTGAGCTGGCTCTGAAATGGCCAAAGGCACAAAACTCAAAGAGCAGATTCCCAGAGTTCAAGGGTCAGAAAAGCAAGAGTCCTCTTCAAGCCAGTGGCGCAGTGAAGGTGCGGTGAGGAGAGGCAGGCAGGCAGGAGCTGCGGGCACGGGGACCAGGCCTTGGAGTAAAATTCCTGGTGGCTGGAGTTCCAGATGGCAGCGGTGAACTGTACCAGGGTGCCCAGGACTCACTCCGGGGCTGCTGGCTGAGGATCAGGAGGGGCAGGCAGGGGTTTCATGGTGCTGGGATGGGCCAAAGGCTTAACACTGGGCATGAAGAGTCCTAAGCTGGTTCTAGAAGCCCACCCTGAGGGGTGCCTGGCCTCCACAGCACTGGTCCAGAGAGTGTGGCAAACTCAGGAGTGGCTCGGACATGGAAGCTCCAACAGTCAGGCAGGTGAGATGCTGCATACCAGGCAAGTTCAATTCATAGCAGGATTCATCTGGGGCTTGGGGATGTGGAGTGCAGGAGCCAGGCCCTGGAGGTGGGAGATGATACCAATAGAAGGGTTTCAGGGTCCAAGCAGAGCCAGCGAGGAAAAAAGCATGAGCTTTTATTAGGCTGGGTTTCCCAGAAGCAGACCCCGTGACAAGGACTCCAGGGCAGGTGGCTTATTTGGGAGGTGAAGGAAATGGGGGGAGAGTGAGGCAGTGACACAGGAAAGGGAAGGCCGCTGAGGTGCGTTATGCAATGAATGACTACAGTGGTAGCTGGGGCTCTGTCCTGCTGGGAGCTCAGGAAGCCAGGGTGGAACACGTTAGGATTGCCCCACCTGAGGAGTGAGGGAGCTGGGGCATTTACCCACCACGTCCCATCAGCCACTTGTTGAGAGCTGGTCTCCAAGGACATTGATTTATTCTCCCTTTAAAGTGACTTTAGTACCAGAGGAGACCCTCAGACAGAGATGGGGGTGCTGGCAGTGGGAGGCTGGGCCAGTGTGCACTGGATTCATCAGGCCTGAGGGCTAAGCTGCTACAAGCTTCAATGTAAACACTCATCCCTGGAGTATCTGACCTGAGGGCTGGTTTTGAGCAGCCAGACTGCGTCCTGTGGCTATGAGCGCACTTGAGCAGGCTGCTGACACACCTCCAACCCGTGGCTCTGCATGTGGCTACTTCTGCAGGCAGCAGCTGCCGGGACTCCCCCTGGACTGAGTCACTTGTGCAGAGACACCCTACCTGGCTCCTCTGCATACCCCTGTCCTCTGGGCCTGCCGTGTAGAAGACCCTTTGGAACTACTGGTTGAACAGAACTAAAATCCAGTTTGGGAGGGTCAAAGAGGAGAGGGGACCAACTGCTCACTTGAAGGTCCTGAGGCCACCATCAGTGACCTATATCCCAGTAGGAATGCCCACCACATGTGAGCCCTTGGTAAAGAGCTGCAGCAGCCATATTAACATCAGCTGATGTCCACAGAGAGCTTTCTGCCTGCCAGGCATGGTGCTCTAATGCTCACATACATTCTCTCTTTCCGTCTGCATTACCCTCCTAGCTAGGTCCTGAAAGTATCCGCACTGTACAGATGAGGAAAACTTTCGCCCAAGGACTCAGTTTCTCTTGAACTTCTTCTTGGAAAGCAGCTGCACGTGGGTTACTTACCTCTTCCTTGCCTGGTACTGTGAATGCACAGCCTTTCCCAAACCCAGGCTGGTCATGCTAGGGTGAACTCTGAGCAGGATCCTTGCACTATGCGAGGGCGGAAGTGGACAGGACTCCAGCTCTCTTTGAGCTCAGCCCTCATTTCACAGCCAGAAAATGCCTTCTGCAAGGTCACAGAGCTTGGCCTAGCAGCCCCCTCTGTGGACTCCAAGGGTAGAGCTGTAGTTATTCCTCCACAGTCCCTCTCCTGTGGATCAAAGGCAGTTTCTAAAATAATTTGGCTTATGTAGCCCATTTTCTGGGCTGTATTTTCTCAGATGAATAACTTTTTTTTTTCCAGTGGGTAAGTGGATGACTTATGGGATTGTCATGCAACGTTTAGTCTAGGAGAAAAGGCCAATTTTTGGCTAGAGTCTTGTGGCTAGTAAGAAGAGCTTTGTGACCAGAGCAAGGGCTGAACCTTGGGAAAAAACACTGAAGGAACCTGAGGCAGCCCTTCCCTCAAGTGTCCTCAGCTGCCTGGCGCTGAGGTAGGTCTGGCCTAAGAGCAGGGCTGGGCAATGCCCTTGGAAGGCCCGCTTTGCCTCTTTCCCTGGTTTCAAAAACCTCACATCCTTATTCCAACACCAGGGCATTGTCTAGGAGAATGATTTTGACTGTTGCTGAAAAGGCATGTTTCTTCCTGAGATTTTTGGATGAGTTTAATTTCCACTTGTGAAAAGTGAGAGCAGTGTTTTTCCCACTGGGTCACCATCACTCTTCTGCCAAGCCTCACTCTCCCTCCCATGTGCTCCTCTCTGCCATTGGCCTGGGAGGGCCCAGGGTCAACCTTCTCCTTCAAGGCCCTGGAATGTTGTATCTCTGTCCTGTCCAACTCATCCTCCCTCAGGCCCCAGGTTTCCAAGAGACAGAAAACCCGCGTGTCCCATTTCTATATCTTCTATTTGTCCACATCCAACGCGGAACTAGGCTGTGGTTATTTATCATGACTGTTCCCCAATATCACCTGTCTCTAGAATTAACCTGGAAAATGCCAAACTTTTCCATCAGATCCCGGGGTGGGGTCCAACATTGCCAGGCAGACCCCATTCTCTGTGGGAACTGAGAGGGAGTGGGTCTCGGGTAGAAGGCTTCCCTGGAGGCCTCCTTCTCCACGCCCCACTCCCTCAGCAAGGCCACAGCCATGTTCACATAGTGACGCTGGAGGAAAGGTAGTGGGAGGTGGTGGTGATGGAGGTAAACACAGCATGGGGTCCCAGACCAGACTGCACCATTGCACGTGCCTGGAGTGCTTAGAGAAATAATCAAACCTTGGGTCTTCCATCAGTTAGCTTTTCCTGCATAACAAGCTCTTTCAAAACTTGATGGCTTAATTTGCCAAGAAAGTAGATTTTAGATGCTCTTACCATCCACCTCCTCCACCAAAGAAAAGGATGTGAAGAGATGGATCTGTTAATTTGCTGGACTGTGGGAATCATTTCACTATGTAGATATACATCAAAACATCATGTTATATACCTTAAATATATACAACTAGAAGAAAACACTTAATAGCTTAAAACACCAGCCATTTATTTAGCTCACAGTTCTGCAGGTTTATTGCAGGAGGTCAAAGCCTGTCATTTGGATAAGCCCAGAGTCATGTGGGATGGGACCACCCAGGGCCGTGAATACGGAGAGGTGTGGACAAATTGGAGCATGGCTGCTGTCATTCACCAGATCTCTACTCCAGACTAGAATAGAGCCAGGCTCTGGGGATGCCATGACTCAACTTTTAGCCCATTTCCTGGGTGATTCTCACACAGCTGCAGCACAGAAAGTCAATTGGGGACCACTGCAAACAGTGACTGGCTGGGATTCCCACTTCTCATTGTAACATCATCATGAGTTAGAAGTCAAAAACTTGCAAGTAATGTAGGTGCCTGAAGTGTCTGGTGTGGGGCGACCTGGAGTGCTCAGCCCAGGAAACACAGGCAGTCCACAGTGGAAGGAACTCAAATTCAGTTTTGCTACATGCTGACCAGGCCCGGTCTTGTGTCCGAGTGGCATGTGGCTGTAAGCTGCTGTCCCTGGTGGGCTCAGCTGTATGGTGACTCTTTCACAGACTGTAAGAAAGGCCAGTGGTCCTGGAATGAGGGTCCACATCACTCCACGCAGACCCCCCCATTTTCATCCCGGCTGTCCCAACCGTCGGGTCAAAGCAGGGAGAGGTGCTCAGCGGTCCCCGCTTCCTTTTTTCTTTGACTCCAGTTCAGCCTCCTGCTGAAATCTTCCCTATCATCCCCTCCACTTGCCTGCTTTATTTTCCCTCCTTACCACCGTCTGATGTAGAGTTTCCCCGTGTATTTGTTCACTGCCCCGCTCTCTCCCACAAGAACATAAGCTCCATGGATGGACTCCTGTGTGTTCTGTCCACTTCGGAATCCTCAGGTCCTGCTGCACAGTGAGCCCTTATGAATATTTCTTCATTGAATGAGGCCCCCTTGCTGGCATTTTTCACTGTGGTTGTTTCTCTTTGCTGGCCAACCTGGCCTGCACCCCCCTCTCAGCCCTCTGTGCCTTGCTCTGTGGATGGAAGCTGTGTTGATGGCATGGAGCTTCCTCCCTTGAAGGCACATCTTCCCCCAAGTCCATTTGCATTGCAAGAATTTTCTCTTGAGGAGTCTGAGAGAGATGATAAAATCTCCCAATTTCCTCAGAGCCAGGCCTCACCTGGAGGCAGAGGCGGGAGGGAGGGGGCGAGGGAGGGGCCTGAGTGTTGGAAGGGGTTTGAGGCTTTGGCTTCCAGTGTTCCTCCCATCCCAGGTCTAGAACATAGACCATTAGGACTAGAAGGTCCGTAGCTGTAATTTGTGCCAGAGAACTAGAGATGGGGAGGCTGTGTGAGTGTCTGGTGTGGGACTTGCTGCTTAGGGAATCACAAGACCCCTTACCTGGGGCATTTTAATTTGTGCCCCCAGGTCTTACAGGTGAGGAAATAGAGCTGCAGAGATGTTAGAAATTTGCCCAGGGCCCCAGAACCGATGTGAGACCCCACCTCACACCTCCCACCTCCCACCTTGTTCCACTATGCCATCCTGTCCCCCTATATCTTGAGAGGGTGAGCAAGATGGAGTTTCTTTACCAAACCCAATTTTATTATATTTTATTTTTTATTTAGAAATTAAATTTTTAATTTAAAGTATTTTTTTTTTTGTTGTTGTTGTTTTAAATAGAGACCAAGTCTCACTGTATTGCCCAGGCTGGTCTTGAACTCCTGGGCTCAAGCAATCCTCCTACCTTGGCCTCCCAAAGTGCTGGGATTTACTTGAGTACTCCTGAAGCAAAGAATATACATGGACCCTAAAACATTTTTAGCAAAAGAGAAAAGGATTTTACAATTTTATAAAGACAAAAACTGCCAGGAGGCCTGGGGTCAAATTGTTCAAGAGAAAACCAAAGCCCTCCAGATAGACTTTTGATAAGTCAGTTTAAAATATAAGGGACAAGGAGAGCAACATGGCAGGACTCAGTCTCTGTGGCTTTTGGGGGCGATGTTTCCGCAGCACAAATTTGGTACTGTCATTTCTCAGACACCATCATCCAACTGCTTGTTTTCCATCTTGCTGGAAGCAGCCGTGAGCAGCCCAGGCTGTTTTAGATCACGGTTTATTGGCTGGAGATGTGGAGCATTTCCAAGGGCCAAATGTTTCAGGCAGACACACCATGTTCCTATTAGGAAACTCGGGACTTCTTGGATGAGAACATCTCACATAAAACATGAAAATTCAGCAGTTCCAAGTATCAGAGAAGTTGCAGATCTGGGTCCTTTTCCAGTATGCCTCAGAACATGTCCAGACGACCCACTGGAAATGGCATGTTGCTTTCGGATGCTAGGAGGGTGGCCTGCAGAGGTCTCCCATAGTCCAGTCCACACGGGGCTGGTGGTGTCACCCCACCACCCTGGGGCTGCACCTCCAAAAGGGCTCAGCTTCACATGACACTCCTTCAGAGGAGATGCTCTGGGCTTCATCTGTGGGGCAGTGGATTTCCCCTCAGCCTCCCTCCCAGGGGCCTAGCAGAAGGGGAGGCTAATCCACCCCTGCCAGAGCGTCCCAGATTGTAACTGGATCTGTGCATTGGGGCCCATATTGCACAAGGACAGTGTCTGCTCAACTTGCCTCCCCCAGCATCCTTGGCTTTAATGTCAACAGCCAGTGCCTGAAGCCAAAGGGGTGCTGATTCTCCATTGGTATCCGTGGAAGGACATAAAGGGGCCATTCACCGGCACCTCTCAGAGTTGTCAACCACCCAAGAGACAGCTACCAAGAGACAAGCCTGGGCAGAAAAGGTCTATGGGGATGAGCAAAGGAGAGACCTGGACATGAGTGAAAGCCCAGCCCTATGCCCTGAAAATTTGGGAGCCACATAAATGTTGGAAATGTTTCCCTACTAAAGGGATCCTACTGGGTTGTCTGAAGACCAAGAAGGGAATCCTACGGGCTGCCAGAAGGATTCATTGTCAACTTCCAAAACAACTGTCTGAGCCCAGCAATAATCAGTAGGGGAGTTACAGACACCCTCCAGTTTAATGGGGTTATTATTCATTTTTGTCCTCAAAGGTATATGTTCATGTGGAGGCCAAAGCATCTCCATCTTGAATGCTAATCTGCCATGTTGACTTCTGATGAACCTCTGTTCTGGGAATGCCTCTAAGATTTCTACTTTATCTACTAATACCAAAAATCCTACCCTTAGGTCAAATCAAGCTTGACCATAGGTCCTGTCCTTAGGCAGGTTCACATAGCATTCTTGCCTTTCCCTGGTGGAGAAGTGGGGGCTTGGCTTCAATTGTCCTACACATTACTTCCCTATGGCATACAAGCCCTGGGTCTGGGGGTGATGGCACAGGGATCCACCACCTTGTCTTGCTGTCCCCCGAGATACAGATGTGGCTTCTGTTCCTAAGTCCCTGTTAAATATTTCTTTCTGAGAAACTGCTTATGTCAGCCTCTTTCTTCAGCCTCTCAGCTTCCTTGAACTTTTTGGGGGTAGGTCTGCATAGAACAGTCTGGCCCAGATCTCTGCCCTGAAATTCACGTCTATCTATCCCACTGCCTATTTGGCATCTCCACTCAGATGCCCAGCAGGCATCTCCCATTTCACATGTCCAAAGCAAGCTCCAGTCACTTCCCCATCAACACCTCCTCTTCCTGGTCTTTCTTGTCTCAGTTAATTGCAAGTCTACCCTTCTGGGAGTGTAGGCAAAACATTTTCCAGGCACCCTTGATGCTTCCCTTTGTTCACACTGTGCATGCTCCTGGTGGCTTGACCTTCAAAATATGCCAGAACTGCCCATTTCTTACAGCCTCCATAGTCCCCATCCTGGTCCAGAACACTGTTAACTGTTGTGTGCAGTTTTGTGGCAGTCTCCCATCTGGTCACCCCTTACTATCCTTCCTCAGCACAGCAGCTGGAGGGATTCTCTTAAAAACAGGTTGGATTGTGCTGCTCTGCTGCAAACCACGCAATGGCTTCGCATTGTACTCAGAGTAAAATACAAAGTTCTGACTGTGGCCTAGAAGGCCCTGCATATTCTGGGCTGCCATCCTCTCTCTGACCTCATTTCCCAACCTGCTTTCCATGTTCCTTCCTCAGGACCTTTGTGCTTGCTGCACACCTCTCGTTGAGCTAGCCATCATTGAAAGCACCTTTGCAAAATGATAATAGTAACAGAAATTTGACAGAGTTGACTCCATCTTGCTTCTAACCTGCAAGCTGTCCTTGATTATTCCTGGGCATAGGCCAAGCTAATCTTGGGAGAAATTTAGTTTATAGTTTAATCTTAAAACAAGGATGCTTGGTCAGGCATGGTGGCTAATGCCTCTAATTCCAGCACTTTGGGAAGCTGAGGTGTGAGGATTACTTGAGCTCAGGAGTTTGAGACCAGCCTGAGCAACACAGGGAAACCCCGTCTCTCCAAAAAAATAAAAACATAAAAAGAAAAAAAAAAAGAAAAAACAGTAGCTGGGAGTGGTGGTATGCCCCTGTAGTCCTAGCTTTTTGGGAGACTGAGGTGGGGGGTTGCTGGAGCCTGGCAGGTTGAGACTACAGTGAGCAGTGATTGTGCCATTGCACTTCAGCTTGGGCAACAAAGCTAGACCCTATAGACCCTATCTCAAAAAAAAAAAAAAAAAAAAAGATGCTGTTAGCCCTTCCCAAACTAAACTGCCTTCAGGAAACTAATGAAAGGTCACAAGGTTAGTATTTTGAGAGGAGAGCCTGAATTCTTTAAGATGTAGGCTTAGTTAACAAATAACCAGCCATTGTTTTGGAGGTCACAAGTGTTGCAACGTCCCAGATTGCTCCTATAGATAACATCACTACTGTAGAACCTAAGATTGGTCTCTTGAGATGTTTTTTGGACTTTTGCATTCCTGATAACTGGCTGACTCCACCCAGACCAATGACTCATGACTGAATGAGTCCTGTGACCCCTACCCAGGAGCTAACAAAGAACAATTCCCACACTCCTATGATTTCATCCCCAACCAATCAACATTCCCCATTCCCTAGCCCCCTGCCCAGCAAACTATCCTTGAAAAACCCTAACCTCCAAGCCTTCCAGACTAATTTGATTGAGAACTTCATCCCCTACTCACCAATTAAACTTTTTTTTTTTTTTTTTTTGAGAAAGGGTCTCACTTTGTCATCCAGGTTGGAGTGCAGTGCTGTGATCATGGCTCACTGCAGCCTCCATTTCTTGGGCTCAAGTGATCCTCCCACCTCAGCCTCCCAAGTAGCTGTGACTACAGGTGTGTGCCACCACACCTGGCTATTTTTTTTGTAGAGATGAGGTCTTACTATGTTGCCCAGCTGGGTCTTGAACTCCTGAGCTCAAGCAATCTTCCCACCTTGGCCTCCCAAAATGCTGGGATTACAGGCATAAGCTGCCACGCCAGGCCATAAACTCCTTTTACTTTCTTCTTTTTTTTTTTTTTTTTAAGGCAGCGCCATGGTCTTAGTGAATTGATTTTGTCTGTGTAGCAGGCAGGAAGAACCCATTAGGTGATTATATCTCCAGGCAGTCAAGTGATGGCTTCCACCAGCTCTACTATGGTAGATGCCTTGGCACTTTGTCCATCTTTAAGGTGGCTCAGATAGATACTGCTGATGCCTGTCCATAGCCCTCAGTGCTCGTCTTTCTCATGTGTGTCAATGGCATCCTTCTGGAAGCACCTGCCACTCTCTACATAGTATGCTCATGGCTTGCATGGCACAGGCCAGGTGGGCTTTGGAAATTACCCTTCCTTCCTTGTCCATTGGTTGGGACAATTCTGAAGCACATTTGACATGGTCTCCCAGAGTTCCCCAGCAGAATTTCCGTTGCCCATAGTGTTAACTGACCTGATAGCACATGTGTTATTGGCTTCCTTCCCTTCCCCACTTTCCTATGTGTTTACTTGGATCACCTTCCAAATAAATCACTTGCTGTCAAATACTCATCTCAGGGTCTGCTTTTGGGCTTCAAGCCTCTGCTGGTGTGACAACTATCTAGGGAGGCATCCAAGTAGCCAAGACCCCATCTCCTTGTGACTCAAAGCTCAGTGTGCAAAGTCCCTCTTTCCTAGAGCAGTTATTGTTCATGACTTCACGTAGGCAAATGACTGTAGGTCTCAAAAATATAGAAGCAGATACATCCTGGAGGCCAAGAAAGCAGTCCTGCTGTGGTTCCATATGTGTTCCTTATGGCCCAAAGCATCTAGTCTGCAGTTAAAATACCCATGCAGACCCAAAGAGGCACTGGCTGAAGATGATGTAGCAGGGGACTGTGGCTGGGCTTGAGCTGGGACCTACTTTCTTCTGCCAGGAGGTTGGGTGATTTCCCAGGCCAAGTGTCTGCATGTTCCTGTAGTCCTGCTCTGTTCCTCGCTCACATGCCAATGGACCACCATCCTTGCTGGTGTTAGTAATTTAAGCTTTGATCACCCAGGGGGGAGGGAAAATCAACCTTAGTTCCTATGAGACCTTGGAGTTTCAGAGCCCAGGTTTTGCAGATTGTCCTGGTAACTATGGCTGTGGAGCAAATCATCTTAAATCTAGTGGCTTAAAACAATGACAACATTTATTTTGCTCATAAATCTGCAATTTGATCAGAGTTTGGCAGTAGCTCATCTCTGCATCCTTGGCATCAACTGGAGCACCTCAAAGGTCAAGGGCTGAAATCTTCACTCATCCATGTGTCTGGGAGTTGGTGCTGGGAAGATGTGAGCAGCCAGAGCTGGGACAGCAGGGGTCTACAGGAATCTCTCTCTGCTCTCAGTGGTCTCTCCATGGGTTCTCTTCAGGGTGATGACTTTAGGGCAGCCAGACTTCTTACCCAGTAGCTCAGAGCTCCAAAGCTACATGTCCTGAGTGAGAGGGATCCTGGTGGAAGCTGTGTGACTTTTTATGATTTAGCCTAGGAAATTATACAGCATCACTTCTGACACATTCTGTGGGAAGGAGTTATAAAGCTTCACCCATACTTGACCATGTTCGGTAAATATAATCTGCCACACAGATCTTTGATTTGGAGTCTGATGGTGTGATGTTCCTCATGGCCCAAAGTATCTAGTCTGCACTGAAAAAGCCCATGCAGACCCAAAGAGGCATTGACTGAAGCTGATGTAGCAGGGGATTGTGGCTGGGCTTGAGCTGGGACCCACCTCCTTCTGCCAGGAGACTGGGCGATTTCCCAGGCCAAGTGTCTGCATGAGTTATACATATGCCTTGCTGATGCTGTTGTTGAAGAGAGAGGAAGATTTTTGGTAGTAAACAAGGAAAGATGAAATGAAGGGAGGGATGGCAAGGGGTGGTTCCCTGCCCAGCCTCTGAGACTGCTTAAAATTCCCAGGGGGAGAGCCAGAGACAAAAGGCAATAGAACTTGTTTACACAAGGTGTTTTGAGATGCTGAGCACAAGCATCCATACTTCAAGGTCCAGGCAAAGAGGTGCAGCACAGAATAGGGGAGCAAGGCATCCTGTTCTGCTCCGGCACCTTGGGAATCAGGGTTTGGGCAGCTCTGGGAGGAGGGATTTACAAGAGTGTGCTCACGGAGGGCACTGATATTGATGGCCAAGGACCATGACAAGGGCCTGCAATAGAACATGGGAATATTTGTGCCTTTACATCTGTAAAACACCAGCTGGGAACATTCCAAAATAGTGGGAGGAGATGAGGGAGGACCTGTGTCCCTGCATCGCCAGGTGCAGCCTTGGAGCTGGGACAGGTATATGATGTGAGTATGTCCTCATCGTGTTCATAGTCACGGGTGTTTGGGGAGGGTAATAGAAGGTTAAAGATACAGTCACAATCATAGCCATTTTTGGTAAATTGCAGTGGCAGTCATGTCTGTGTGTATGTGGCTAAAAAGTGAAAGACAAAAGTTGAGTGGGTGAGTGTGTAAGACTGACATTTATACCAAGTACCTGAGTCATTCTGAAGCAGGTGGCCTACCACATGGCCTTGTTGATTAAAAAAAAAAGACCACTCTTCCATGACATGTCTGCTACACTGAGAATCCTGTCATTTCTGTGGCTGGGATTTGAATCTCAGCAGGAGAAGAGGAGTTGGGAATTTTTAACTGAAAAGAGGCCATATGGCTTCAGTGTTTCAATATGGAAGATGTCTCCTAGAGACATCCTGGGGACATTGTAGCAGTCCTGGACCTCTCCAGAAGGTGGTCACCATTTCATGGCATGATTTTTTAACAACATTCACAGGAAATTTATAATTCCTTCAAGGAAAATTATGAGACTTCTAAATGCTACTGTGTCCAATATATTTTTATCATTCAAAAAAGATTTTTTCTCATTTAGCAAAATGCATGTTGACTTTTGAAAAATCAAAGAAAAATTTGAATAAGCAAATAAGATAAAATCCCTTTACATCTTAACACTCAGATATATCCAATATTAATAGTATATATACATAAAAGACACAAAATAATAAATCATAAGTGCCTGCATTTCTCCCCTCCTTTTCTGAGAAGGGATGTCTTTATTATTCTGGGTAGAGAGATTGGTGGAAAAGAAATCTGGACAAGCTGAGAGAGACCAAGTTGATCTATACAGGAAAGGGCATGGAGATACCAGAAGGAAGAAAAATAGGGAAGGGGAGGAATTTGGAAGAGAAGGGGGAGGGGGTGCAGGGAGAGAGAAGAGGAGAAGGAAGAGAAGAGAGTAGTGAGGAAGAAAGGCAGAAAAGCTGGGAGTTTTGGGGAATGG
This sequence comes from Homo sapiens, assembly GCF_000001405.40. Classification (NCBI taxonomy): domain Eukaryota; kingdom Metazoa; phylum Chordata; class Mammalia; order Primates; family Hominidae; genus Homo; species Homo sapiens. The sequence goes on from NC_000020.11 coordinate 18,996,481, forward strand.
GAAAGATCAAAAAGAGAATAGGAGGATATCCCAATAGATGTAGTACTGAGTAGAATTTTAAGGAAAATATGGCAAAATATGATTATTAAAGAAATATTTGTGGCCAGGCACGGTGGCTCATGCCTGTAATCCCAGCACTTTGGGAGGCCTAGGCGGGCAGACCACAAGGTCAGGAGTTCGAGACCAGCCTGACCTACATGGTGAAACTCCCTCTGTACTAAAAATACAAAATTAGCTGGGCCTGGTGGTGCATGCCTGTAAACCCAGCTATTCAGGAGGCTGAGGCAGGAGAATCATTTGAACCCAGGAGGCAGATGTTGCAGTGAGCTGAGATCGCACCATTGCAAGCCAGCCTAGGCAAGAAGAGCAAAAAACTCCGTCTCAAAAAAAAAAAAAAAAAAGAAAAAAAAGAAATATTTGTTAAACACACCATCAGAAAATTTATTAACATACATTACCCTTCAGTTCTGGCTTGATGATTGGAGTTGTATTAAAGCCTGAAGATGACCCAGTATTATGACCTGCCATTTTTTACTTAACAACATGTGTAGAACATAACCTTTAATGGTTACATAACATTCCACTGCATGAAAGAATGTACTATAATTTATTTAATTCATTCCTCATTGGTGATTGGGATTATTTCTTTTTTTTTGGTATGATTCTAAGCAATATACCAATGATGAATAACCTTATAAAAAATCTTCATGCACATGTATGATGATTTACGTATAGGATGACTTCCTTTGGATACATTTCTTAAAGTGGATTTACTGAGCCAAAGGATTATAAAATATTATAGCTTTTAATACTCATTGCTGGACTGTCTTACAGAAAACTTAACTAACTCTTCTCCCATTGTGAGTATAGCTCCTCATCTATTGATTCTAAACCATCTTCCTTTGCATTGTAACAATATCCTGAGAGTAAGTCAGCCAGAATGTAAGCTCCGGAAAGGCAGCAGTTCTCTCTGACTTTACATAACATGGACGGGAGCTCAATACACACCTTTGAATGAATGAATGATTGACGTGCTGGGTGGCTGGCTGGCTGGGATTGGAGTACTCAAGGGCAGGGTTTCTATTTATCCGAAGCCCTCTAATGTCTGGTACACTGCCAGGCACAAAGTAGGTATCTAATGCTAATACTCTCAGGAAGTTGGTTTTGGTCCAGCTATATTGCCATCTGGGAGTCAGTAATACTTTTTAATCTAAGAAAGTGGATGGTTGACTTGAAAATGTCTGAATTCAGAAGAAGTCTACTGCCCCAAGAATGGGTTATATTTCCTGGAGGATTGTCTACCAATATTTAGTACAGCATCCATGCTAATGACTTCTGTTGATAAGTTTCTCTTGGGGTAGGCCCAATCTGAGTAAATCTTTGCTGTCTTCAGATAACAGACCAAGCAACCTCTTGGACATTGCTTTAAAATTCTGTGTTGTGAAGATTGAAGGACAGAACGGATGGGAGGCAACTAGCGCAGTGCCTGGCACAGAGTTGCCCCTCAAAAATGGTGCCTGTTACTGTGAGTAAGTCCATCACTCATCAGTGTTGCCTGGCCTCATCCATTTAAGAATAAAGTGAGGCTGCGTGTGGTGGCTCATGCCTATAATCCCAGCATTTGGGAGGCCAAGACAGAAGGATCGCTTGAGGCCAGGAGTTTGAGACCAATCTGGGCAACATAGGGAGACCCCGTCCCTACAAAAAATAGAAAACTTGGCTGGATGTGGTGGTGCATGCCTGTAGTCCTAGTTGCTTGGGAGGCTGAGGTTGGAGGATCTCTTGAGCCCAGGAAATCAAGGCTACTGTGATCCATGACTGTGTTACAGTAGGTAGCTAGTCAGTCATGAGCCCAGCAGGAGAGGGCTCCCGCCACCACCAGGAATGTCAGGTGACCATCAGGTGATGATCAGGCGGTTGTTACATTGTTTCTCCAAAGTAATAATTGGTCACAGCCAGCACCAGGGAAAAGCAGTCTCCCAATAGATAGAAAAACATAAAACTGGTGATCAGCAGCTTCTGGATAAGATCTCAGGAGCTGGGCGAGTGGGCTCATGCATGCACACTAAGAGGCAAAATGGTAGAGCTTAACTGGTATAACCTTTCTCTAGAAACACTGTTAAGGGAACACCTCAAGTGAGCATACACACAACTTCAGTAAACACACTACACATGAGGCCCCTCCAAAGTGCTGGAAGGCCACTGTGCATGCTTACATCCCACCCCAAGGGAAGAATCAGGGGAGAAGTAAGGCAAGAGCCAGAAGGATGCCAACACATAAAACCCCAAGTCCAAAGGTCAAACCATGATCTCTCATGTTACCCACTTGGCTCTCTTTCAAGTGTACTTTATTTCTTTTCATTCCTGCCAGAAAACTTTTTAATAAACTTTCACTCCTGCTCTAAAACTTGCTTTGTTCTCTCCTTCTGCCTTATGCGCCTCATTTGAATTCTTTCTTCTGAGGAGGCAAGAATCGAGGTTGCTGCAGACCTGTAGGGATTCACCACCAGTAACAATTGCGCCACTGCACTCCATCCTGGGCGACAGAGCAAGGCCATTCCTGTCTCTTAATAAAATAAATAAAATAAAAATAATGAAACAGCAAATACCTCACATTTTGTTAGCTTTTGAGTTTATTTCTCCCTATGCTGCTACGAGTTAGTTAGTTTGTATCTTTTCCATTTTACTATTCAGGAAACTGGGGTTTGGAGAGGAAAGGCGACATTTCTGCCATCTCACAATGGTTAGCGGTCCGTTTGACTCAAGGAATGTGCGCAGCATCAGTTTTAGTCACTGTGTAAATTCCACCTTGAGTGTAGCTGCCCTTTTGACCAGTCAGTGGAGATGAAGCACAGAGCCGCCTCTCTCTCTTGGGCACTGCTGGTTGCCTGGTGCTTGTTATGTCCTTGATGAAGGTGGAAGCCATTTTCATCACAGCCGCCTTTCTGACATCCAGGCAGGTAGAGGCCAACTGTGTTTAAGAAGCTCCACTGAGGTCAGACAGACAAGCTGTGATCGCTCAGGTCAGACACTGTCTGTAAAAAGGAAGGCAACTCCTAAGAATTCTCTCGCCAACATGAGGAGAAGGTCCTGTGTAGAAAGCACAGTAGTCAAGGTTCGTTACATCAGGTTGAAAGTGAAATGCTTATATTGAAAATAAAACCGACTGGGAAAGGCCAAGTTTTTTAACTTTGGTTGACTCAAGGTGTGGACCTGGCACTTTATTTGGCCTGGGTTTATGCAATTTTTAGTCAACTCCTCAGCTGAAGGAATACAGTGAGTTCCTATGGCTGGGCACAAACACTTGTTCTTCCCTTTCAAGCCCCTTCACTTGATTCTCTTTCCGTGTTTTCCCAGCTTTGCCAGCAGCAATGGAATAGTGAATTTGCTCAAGTTGATTGCTTTTCCTTTTGGATGGGGGAGTTTTTGATCTTGGGATCTTCATCGTGAACCAGACCTCAAAGTCTAAATAGCAGCTGTCTATGCCCTGGTGTGAGGGATAAAAGCTGGTGCTTGGAGCAAAGGCTTTTCTTTTATTCTGTCAACACTCAGCTCTCCATTGCTCTGGACGGGGACTGTGTCTGGTGCCACCGACTTACCTAGAGGATGGTTAGGTGGACAGGACTGAGCAGGCTGGGAGGAGAGGCAGGCGTGTGTACGTGTGCGGGCACACACATCACAGACATCGCAGGGAGCGGTTTCCTTTTCATAACTCTTCAAACTTGATTTGTGTGTGTGTCTAAACAGATGCCTGAAAGAAGACATCTGTGTGGCAGACACTGTGCTTGCAGGCTTCTCAAGGGCATGACAGGGTGCTCGATTCTTGACCAGCCATGTGACTTTGAGTGAATCATTTAAGCACATGGAACTTCATTTCTTAAGTGCAAAGTGAAGGCCAATGGTATCCTAGGTAATGTTAATATATTTAAAAGGGCCCAGCACATAGTGAACACGTAATAAACTCCCAATTCCATCTTAATTCCTTCAACCTTAATTTTTATTCAAATGCTCTGGATTACCTAACACAGATGCCCTTTAGGCAGCTGATTGTAAGGACAGTCACTGCAATTTGTGCTGGGTTGAATTGATGCCGCTTCTAAGGCATTCAAGGTCATCTTCTTAGGAAGTCTAAGAGACAAATCTCAGACAGTGTTCATTCTTTTCCAGATGGAAAATGGAAAAATGTGGTCAAGCATCCAAATGTTTGGTCTATAAAACACTGAAAACATTCAGACATTTGGTATTGGGAGAATAAGGTGCCATCTAAGCATGTGAGTGTCATAAAGTCAACTGGCCCTGCCATTGGGATCTTTGGCCTTAATCCAGTTGCCTAGGAGAAATAACCCTGGCTTTGTGGTTTAACTCATTTTTTTTCCTCTTCTTTAGGAAAATTTGAATTTTTATCCTCACTCCAGAAGGTTAAAAAGAAGATTTCTCTGAAATTAGTTGATTTGCAGGGGCTGGCTAAGATTCTTATAAATTATAAAAAAGATGACTTTATAAGGATTCAGATTTGGATGTTGGCTCCTTATTTCAACCAAACTTGTTCCAAAGGAAATTCTGAATTTACCTTAAAGAAAAAAGAAAATAAATTATTTGTTTTCAAGATTAGTTTTTTTAAAGCCAGGTCTTATTTAGTTCTTTCACCTACATGTTAACCCAAAAAACATTTTTCATATTCCTTAGAATATGGGTTTATTTTCAATGCTGTTTGCAAATGGATGCCATAATGTTAAATATTTCCCTTAAAAAAGTGAAAGTCTTGCCACCAATGTTTCCTGCACCCATGGAGGAAGAAAGGGTGTTGGGCATATGAGATCCATGTGTCTAGGGTAGATTTGCTTACATCAATGGCCTCAGTTGACTCCTGGCTCAGCCATGTGGCTTGATTTGGCAGTGGGATGTTAGCACATGTGATGTGTGACATATAAGTTTGAACAATGCTTCTATGTTGGGGCTTGTTCTCCTACTGCTCTTGTAATAACCTGGAGAACATGCTTGAGCTAGCTTGTTTGGATTGTTACACATGAAACAGAGTCCCATTTTCCCTGATCCCAGCCAAGGCCATCATGAACCAGCTGACAGACCTGAGCGCCCCACTGAGAATAGCCCCAAACCTATGGCTAACCAACTGCATGGGGAGGACTGACCAAAACCAGCAGAAGGCCCAGGTGATCCACAAACTCAGGAGCAATGAGAAATAGCTGTTGTCAGCTCCTGACTTTTAGGGAGTTTTGTTACAGAGCATGATTGTGGTCATTGGCAACTGATACATTGCTGTGTACACTGCCCTGCGCTCTGAAATCAAATGGACCTGCTTCACCCTAGCTTCGTAACATACTACAAGGAGCATGCCGCCTAATCTCTTTGATTGCCACTTTCCCCACCTGAATTATGAAGAAAACAGTTCCTATAAGGCAGGATGGTTGAGCAAGTAGATATTAATTATCACTGGACAATTAATAAATAGCCCCCTTAATAAGGAGGCTGCTATTGCCCTGCCTTCTTCTTTATGGGTAGCAAATGGAGAGAGTGAGGCAGCTGATGTCTTGTTGCACCAGCATGGATTTTATAGACCCTTTTGTTCAAAGTCCTTGGGTTTCAGAGACTCACTCAGAGGGAAAGTCCTGGGATATCGTGCTTGGAAAACAGTATGAATTTTACTGCCAAGAAATAACCTTTGAATCTGAATTTTGGCCTTAGTTTTCATTTTTTATATTGAAGTGAGGATCAAGTAGAGACCAAAGAAACCTAGAGACATTTCCAGACTGAGTTAATCTCTTTAATCCTGAACTTTTGGATACCCAGGCAGGACCAGTTCATTGTCTCTTAAGCAAAGACATGTGAGTTGGATATAGAGAATAACAGAGTTTCAGAAGATAAATTCCACTGCCTCAATAGGTTTTTTGAAATAGATACGAGGAATTGATCATCTGGGGCGCAATGCTTGGTTGATGGAATTGCGGAACTGTCCTTTTGGGTTGGGTCTGTGTTTGCATTCCAGGCTAAGAGTTAAGAGAGCTGATCATGAGAAATACAGTTATGTTTCTACTACATCCCACCATGTTTCCATGCTATGGGGCCTCTTCATTCCAAAAGTCTTGTTCAACAGAAGTCTCAACTCTTCAACTTCCCACAGAATTCAATCAGTGTCAGAGCATGGCTGAACACAGACGCTTATTGAATGGCTGTTGGATGAATAAATGAGGGTATAAATGAATGAATTCATCCTTGCCATGAAATGGTAGTCTTTGTAAACAGAGGAGACCATTGATTAAGCATGGTAAGACTCTTAGGATGTGCACACAGAAAGGCACTTTAGGAAGCACTTTGTTCAATTCTCTCATCGAGGAGGAAAAAGTCTTGGACAGATGAAAGAGCTTGTCCTGGGTCACCCAGGCGATAATGTGCAGACTTAGAGAGGGGCCCAGGGCAGGAATCCAGCTCTCCCATCTGCTATGCCAGGATTTCTCCTGCTCTGGCCTGCTGGTTCCTCACCCAAGATTCCCTTCTTATATGCCAAGTTACAATGTATAGCCCAGGTGGTGGGAGGGGCTGGTCCCACATGCCTAGCATTTTAACTTTAATGTGTGTACTGTTACCTTTGGGAAGTTCTTTAAATTATCAGAATTTTCCTAAAGTCCTGCATTTTACCTATATACGTACACACAAGTGTGTGTATAGTATATACATATATATTATGTGTGTACATGAATAAGTATATAATATATACATATATTATATATTGTATACATATAAGTATATAATATATACATATATTATATATTGTATACATATAAGTATATAATATATACATATATTATATATTGTATACATATAAATATATAATATATACATATATTAGATATACATATATGTATATATTATATATAATATATGTAACATATACATACGTGCACATATGCTATATATGTATATACTATATATGCTGTACACATATATGTATATATTATTTATAATTTATATATGTATATATTTATATAATATCCAATCATTGTACAAAATAACTTTCTGCAGCCATTAAGCTATAACCATCACACTGGGGCTTCATCGTTTCCATAGCAACTAATGTACTGCAAAGTGAGGAGCCCAGAGAGGAACTTGGTAGAGGATTAAAAACTATACCAAATGGGGATGGTTGATGGCTACAGAAAAATAGAATATAATACCTAGTATTTGCTAGCACAACAGGGTGACTACAGCCAAAAATAATTTAATCATACATTTAAAAATAATTAATATAATTGGATTGTTTGTAATACAAAGTATAAATGCTTGAGGTGATGGATAAAAACAAAAAAAATGACCCACCCTGACAAAACTACACCATATATGAGCATCAGTAAAACGTGCCATTGGATGGGGTGAAGGAGTGGCTCATAAACTTTTAAATTGATGCCTGCTTAGGAAATCTCTGCCTATCTGACTCAAGGCTTTGCTATTTATAAGCAGTCAAAATTCTAGCATTCCTAGGCATTGCGTCCTCTCTACTGATGGTGCAGAGGTGTTGAGAAGCTGTTTGCTGTCTGTTCCTCACAGAGGCATTGAACTGAAATATTGAGGTTTCCAATTTTTTATATGTGTGGAGACTTCAAGGACTACAGGAGGTTCCAACTTTCTACCACTGGCACTTACTTGCTAAATCAGCCTTGCAAATTAGCACCTGCCCACATGCCTGGTGCTTGTTAGAAAGCTGGCCAGACTAGCAGATAAATGAGCTAGTGAACCACTAAGGGCTTTAAGGAGCTGGGCTTCTGGCCCAATCACAACTTCTTTCTTCTTTTCCCTGCTTTGTTTTGATTATTTTATTCTTTGATCGCCTTTCTTTTTCACTTTTGTTTCCCCCTTCCCCTGTTTTTTCTTTGCTGTGCATGCTTCTAGTACTCATCTTCCTACAACCCCTTACTTTTGTCTGGGTTGCCCATATGGTTATTCTCCCTGGTATTTTATTGTTGCAGCACTTGCTTTCTCCTTCCTCCCACATCATGGACTCCTGAAGGACAGAAGCTCTGCTTCCTCCCAGCTCCTAGGACTGGGAATAAGGTGTGCCTAATTAATGAGCCTAGGTCAGTGGTCTTTCTATTTTAACATGCACTGGAATCTCGTGGGTTGCTGGGCTCCACCCCCAGGAACTTCTGATTTGGTAAGTCTAGGCAGAGATGAGGACTGAGAATTTGAATTTCTAATCGGTTTCCAGGTGATGCTGATGCTGTTGGCCAGAGGTCACACTTTAAGAACCAGGATCCTAAGTCAAGCATGAACCCTTGATCAAATGACATCTTGTGGTTTATTCCTCTAGCGTTTCTTGCTCTCTTTCTTTTTTTTTCTTTAGTAGAATTGGCATCTTGCTGCACACACAGTTTTGTATTCTGTTGGTTTAACCTCTCATACCCATGGGAATATTTCCCTGTGGTGAATATTCTCTAAGTCCAGGTGCAGACCAGCTCTGAAAAGCTAAATCTCACTTGAGGGCAGTGTTAATGGAAAAAAAGGGTTTTGCTTTCTCTGAACAAAGTGGAAGAATTTATGGTAAGTGGGACCAAGAGTTCCAGCTGAAAAAGCCACGCTTGTCTTACGCTGGTGACACTCAGCTGAGCTCAGGGCAAGGCACAGCCCCTCTTGATGGCTGGAATGTGCTCCAGCTGAATGCCTTGCTGCGGGGATGAGCTTAGCTACCTGTGAGGACAGCCAGAGCCAAAGATGCAGCCAGCAGACGCCCATCAAGGGAGCGCTTTCTGCAGTTAGGGTGGGCAGGGTCAGCCTGGATCCTCCAACCCCTGTTCTTGGAGCCTGGAGGAGCTGGAGGGTAGCCTCCCATGCCGAAGTTCAGGCAGAAGCACAGATATGTGGATGTGAATATAAGGAACTCCTCCTTGGATTTCAAAGTACATCCACAGGGGATGGGTGTTTCTGCATGAAGAAAGTCCTGGAAGAGTCTCACCTCCATTTTCTGTGTGGTTTTTGATAATAAGCATATGATTTTTAAGGAGATGTCCTGCCTTTGAAAGACAGCCTCATGGCATCCCCAACGACACGGATGGGTCCAAAAGTGCTCATGTCTGATTTCAGCCACTCCGAGGGGGACAGTCCATCCAAGCAGCAGGAGTGTAAGTGCAACCCAGACGTGTGTGCATGCGTGCCTGCACATATGTGTGGGGAGTTAATGCCCTGGGGCAACTCTCTTTCAAGGAGGTCCAGAGCTAGTGATAAATACCCAGCTGCCTTTCCTTCAGGCAGATACTTCTGGGGGTACTGTGTACATTTCCCAGTGGAGCTGAACCCCTGTTGCTCAGCAGAGACCTCAGTAATGCACCCTTTCAGGGGAGTGTCTCTTCTCCCCTGTCTCAGATTTTTTGCAATCACTCTCCTAAAGAAATTACCTGTATCCAAGTCCTTATCTGAAAAGTCCTTAGTTTTGGGAGAGTCCAAACTGAGAGGGGTGACATGATTTGCTTGGTCTCTTCTGGGTGACCATAGGATGGCAAACCGCCATGACCCTCCATTCTATGGGGCCATCAGCAGATCTCCAGACATATCCCTGAACCGCACAAAATGTACTGATTGAGAGAAGAGGGCACCAAATGTTAGGACAATGGTTTGAACTGGGTTTTATGGGAACCTAGAGGTCCATACAAGGGTTGAAGGGCTGCTGTAGGGTTGGGGAGGAGAGTGGACAACGAAGACCCCGGCATCAACCACAGCAGCTCTTTGTTATCTATTTGTGCTGTGGGATTACTAAGAAAGAAGCTTAAAAAAACACATGATTTTGCTGCTAAGAAATGTCCCAGAGCCCCTGGGTTAGGGCCTAATGCATGTCCTAACAGGAGTGAACACTTTTCAACAAAGGTTGTAAGCAACACTCTCTTCTCCCATGTATCTGTTCTGTGTTTGTGCCTTTCTTGGCAGGAGGAGGTGGGCTGCACCATCCTGGGGGCACAGATGGGAAGTTGAGGCCCTTAACTTCAGGATGTTCTCCCATTCCCTCTGACGGAGCTGGAGAGAAGGCTCTGGTCCCCACAATGGTCATACTCCATGCCCGCCGTCCCTGTTGGGTGAGGCCAAGAGTGAATCACCTGATGCTCTCTGTAGCATTCTTGTTCATCTGAAACCAGGTTAGAACTCCCATCAGGGGCAATAAAGAAGGGGGATAGAAGTCACAAAAATGCACCATGCTGTCTAAATTAGGATTTAGGAAAAGTCTGAATCCATAAGGCAGAAAAGGGTTGATACTTTGCCATGGTGGATTGTTGTTGTTGCTGTTGTTGCTTATTTTGAAATGCCCATAGTAGGCCTAAAAATATACACATGGGCTGTTACATAGACAATGTGAATGGATTTGAAAATCACTGGCCAGTGACCTCTTTGTGAGTTAGGTTTAAAAGCACCACCTTTCTAGGCCCAAAGTTCCTCCAGGGTGGTGGCTCTGAGTTGAGTGGGGAGGTATTGAGCTGGATGCCTGGACTCTGTTCCTGCAGAGCCTAATCAGTATGTCTGCGGTGAGTCTTGGCATCTGGATGCCTTTTTCATGCTCCTTAGGTTATTCTGACATGCAACCAGACTTGGGAATCATCACCAGGTTAGGGTGTGTTGGTCTTGTTTGTAGGTCATTCACAGCAAGAGCCCCTGTGGCCAGTTCTGACATCTTGAAAGCTGTGGGACAACCAGCTGTGGTGCCCCTGAAACTCCTGGGGCTAGGAGACACAGCAACCCTTGTACTAGCAATGCAGGGAAAAGGGCAGTGTTCTCTGATAGGAACTTCCAGAGATGGGGACAGAAGAGCTGGTTAAAGGGCAGATTGGATTAAATAGCTGCCAGGGACCTAGCCTGCAGTTCTTTCATGCCAATTTGAAATGTCCCAAGTTTTCAAGTTTCTCAGGGGATTAATCAAGGCAACCCACTCTCCTTTATTCTAGAAAGCCGTGTATCATGGACATGAGTACACTAGTCCTGTTTTATTCTGAAGAAAGTAGAAATGTAGACTGAAGAAGGCTTTGCTCCCAGGGTATTGGGAATTGGGAAGGGAGAATTGGAAAGGGAGAGTGAAAGGAAGGAGAAAGCTGTGATGAGAAGAAAGAGGGATGTGGAAGAATGAAAAGGAGAGAGAAATGGAAAAGACAGAAAGGGAAGTGGCATAAGGACTGGAAAAGTGAGAGGCAAAGGGCACCTGTGGCTTGCTCAAGACTTCATATCCAGGTGGGATAGTTTCCTCCAACCCGTGGGGTAGACACAGCTCCAACGGTGCCACTGATGAGCTGGACTGTTGTGGAAACTGCCTTGAACCTTGTCTGCGACATACAATACCTAGACGTCAGGAGGCAAAATGGGAGGAGAGGTGTGGGGCACCCTGCGTGTCAGGGAAAGGGCTGAAGTAAAACCATGGTAAAGCCAGAGTCAGACTCACTGCTGGTGCCTTGATGAACGCAGGGGATGGCAACTCTATGTAGACAAAGTGCATCCACAGCTAACCTCTCATCTTTTGGATTCAGTGGTTTGCATCTCCTTTTGGGAATCTGCCTGTCTCTTGGCATTTGGTTGATTTCAGGTTAAAATATGTTTTGCTTGGGATTAGCCTTAGTGTCCAGATTCATCTTTTTCAGCACTGCCTTGCTTCTGACCTTGACTCTTTTCACGTTCCCCCTACCCAGCTGTGGCATCCCTCTGGTCTACCTGGATCACCAAGGGCTCTGGTTCATCACTGTTCTGCGTTCGTTCTTTTATTCATTCATTCATTGAATACCTATATATTAAGTATCTGCACAACCCTGTTGAGCCAGACACTGTGGTACTACTGAGGATGCATTGCTGCTCTTTTGGGGCTTATGCTCTGATACATCAGTTCTTAACCCTATCTGCACATTACAGTCCCTTCAAAGTCCCCCTGCCCAGGCCTTGTCTCTGACTTATTGCATCAAGATCTCTAAGCTGGGGATCCAGCAGATTCTGAGGCTCCTCTAGGCTTTATTTTTTCTTTATTTTTAAATTTTTTAAAAACTAGTTTTCTCAGGTTAAATCCTCCAGGCTCTAGACCACTGAGAAAGAATACTCTCTAAGCACTGGTATTATTTGGGTTCTAGAACTGCACCCTAGCCCCTCGATGAGGGGCATGAAAAGCATCTGACTTTCCGTCTTTGCTATGGGTAGCATTTCCTCCCTGGCTCTCTTGCTGCTGGACAGCTCCTTCCTCCATAGCCCTAGACCCACTGCTCATGCCAGCCGTGGCTTTAACTTCTGCACCACCAGTAACACCATTTCCTCTTTGTCCTTCCAGCCCTGCAGGTGGAGTGGCCTCCAGCTGTCACTAATCTTTATGTGGCTTCTCCGCGGTTCCATCACCTGTGTAACCAATCCTCTTTCATGATTCCCTCTGTTTGAAATGTCTGGGGTGAATTCTGTTTTCCTGACGTGATCCTAACTGATATAACATGAAACATAATGAAAGGCCTCTGTAAAGCGGCACTTCCCCATCTCTTGTGAGATGGTGCCTATGGTGTACAGGGAGGCAGAGACCAAGGTTGCTGGGAAAAGGATGTTCACTTCCTGCATCTGAAGCATCTGGAACAGAAATTTTCATAGATGGGCCATGGCCTGCCTGCATCCAACTCACCTGGGAAGCAATTCCTGGCTGTCACCACAAAACGGCTGAATCAAATTCTCTGGCTGGGGTCAGAAACTGTCAATTTAAAGAAGTTCCTCCTGAGTTGATATGTCTCCTAATACATGCAGCCAGGCTTCCATAGAAAGCTGCCGGTAACAGGACACATAGTTCTTGCCAGGCACACTTCTTACAGGTTCAGTTTCAGTTCCGACTCTAACTTGTGATCTCTTGCAGAAGGGGAATGTCCTTCCCTATACAGGGCAGTCATTTGGGGGATGACTGATCTATGGTTGGAAAAGCACAAACTTACATGCAGCTCTCTCAAAAATCACAGTAGTTTTGGAATCAGGGGAGTGGCTTGTGTATAAAGCAGTGTGACCTGCCAGAGAGCAAAGGGCATGAGTCTTTGACCCTTTCAGGCCTGCATTCAGATCTAAGCTCAGAAAACCCTGGCTGGATCCTTAACCTCTAGAAATCCTCAGTTCGTTGACAGCAGCACCTCCTTGTACAGTGGGGGTGAAGCATAAATGAAATAACAGCTCTTACAACCCAAGCACCTCTTAGGCATTCACCAGTGATTGGTTCCCCTCCCCTCTTTCTCCCTTCCTCCCCCAAGTTGAAAGATGAGTCCAGCAAAGGAGACTGAACGTCAAGAACTATTTGGGTTTCCACTCGGCTTGGTCATTCCTTCCTCTTTCCTGTCACGGTAAACCATGGATCCTGTTGCTTGCTTTGGGTATTTCCTTTCTGTAAGCTCCAGTGACACATAATATTTATCATTATTTTTTCTCCTTATGTATTTACTGCTTTTTAAGCTAATCTCTTTTGAGGGTGGGGACAGCATTACCTCATAGTTTCTAAGCATCTTTCTGGGCACGTTATAGGTGTTCAATAAATATAATTTATTTCAATTATTCTTCCAGTGATAACTACAACCTCTCAAACAGGATTGAATATGCAAGGTATATGCCCCTAGAAATGGAATAAGTTCTCTCAGATCCTATGCTTGCAAATGGAATAGCTGTCGTTAGATGACGGTGTGGTACTGCGGAATGCCATTGAACTTGTTTGGCTCCTCATCAGGCATAGGGACTGATACAATACTATCCACTTGACCTGCTACAGAGGAAAAAGACCCTTTACCAAAACTACCTTGTAAAGCATTTAGCTAATCATCGATTATCTGCATATTCTCTGATTTCTCTGGCCAGTCTTTTTCCCGCCCACTGCTTGTTGTTTTAAATGACATCATTGCACCCCTTTCTTCGTTTACATTCTACTCGCATATTCAAATAGCTCTTCCTAGTCCATGACTCTTACTTTCTTATTAGAATGCTCACCTGAGCGCACTTACCTTTTAGGGTTGGAGGCTTTCCCCTCTCCTTTTAGTTTCATGAATCATTTGCTAAGATTCTGCTTGCTGTGGAATAAATGCTTAATTAATCAATACAGTAGCAGTCTTTCATTTTTTTTCCCCAAGAAAACTGCAGAATTTGCTGGTCGGAAAGCTACAGCCATTCTCCACTGGGAGGCTGTTTACCTTTCTTAACATTGGAACTGAGCAAAATGGAGCTAGAGAGAGAATTTTAACATGAGTGTGACATTGGTTTCCTCACTGTTCTCTCAGGACAGCTTTGTGTGGGTTCATGAGACACAACTGTAATTATTTTCTAGAGCATGATATAAGATTAGGATTACCAGGAAAACCTCTCTGCCCTTCCAAGTACAGCTTTCCAAGTTTTGGGGGTGAGAAGGTGTGTGTAACATAAGTGTGTGTGAGGGGAGGGTAAAATGTAAGAGCAGAAGTCTATGTTTGCCCACAGGGGCATCTGGGGTCTTTTTCTCACCCAGCCATCCTTAGAGTTCTGAAGTCTGAGCCCGTCTACACTTGCTTCTTCCTTGGGACATTATCTCCAAGCAGAGAAACAGAATCTGCTCGCCATGTGTGAAAGCACAAACATCTTTTGAGTGGTGCCAAGCAGAAAGGCCTGGCTCTGAAATCCTTCCTGCTGAAAGGAGGGAGGGCCAGTGAAAACTATTAATGGGGATAACAATATCTGATGCCATTTGGTGACTGGCCTAGGGGTTTTATATGCATTATACCCAAGCCTCCCTTACCGTCCTATCCTGCTTACCTATTGCTGTGTAACAAACCTTGCCAAGACTTAGTGGCTAAAAACGATTATTGCCTTATATCTCATGATTTGTGGGTCAGAAATTCAGACCAAGCTCAGCTGGTGATTCTTTTACATCACACCTGTCACTCTGTGTCATTTGGTCCCACTCAGCTGGTGGATGGACTCCTGTGGATGACCCACATGGCTTTGTCTCATGCTTGGTCCCTTGGCAGGGATGGCTGGAAGGCTGGGCACAGCTGGACAGTCACCCAGAGAACCTACACACGGCCTCTTCAACAGGTGGCCTCGGGGAAGTCAGACTTTTTCCTCAGGGGCTCTGGACTCCCAGAAAGAATGTTCCAAGAGCTGCAGAAGAAAACTGCGAGTCCTCTGGCATTGTCCTGAAATTCTCACAACATCTCTCTGGCATATTCTCTTGGTCAAGCAAGTCACAAAAGGAAGCCTTGATACCGGGATGGGAATTAGGTCCCACCTCCCAACAGAAGGAGTAAAATGAGAAGGAAATAATATGTGGCCACCATCCTCTACCTCATCTGCTTTACATTCTCTTTCCTGTACCATGTATCACCCAACTTACTGTAAATTTACTTATTTATTAGGGTTACTGCTTATTGTTAATCTGTCCATACTTGAATATAAGCTACATGAGGGCAAGGATCAGTGTCCGTATTATTCACTAATGTATCTTAAACACCTAGAAATAGCGTCTGGCAGTGTGGCGATTCCTCAAAGATCTAGAAGCAGAAATACCATTTGTCCCAGCAATCCCATTACTGGGTATATACCCAAAGGAATATAAATCATTCTATTATAAAGATACATGCAAGTGTATGGTCACTGCAGCACTATTCACAATAGCAAAGACGTGGAGTCAACCCAAATGCACTTAATGACAGACTGGATAAAGAAAATGTGGTACACATATACCATGGAACACTATGCAGCCATAAAAAGGAATGAGATCATGTCCTTTGCAGGTACATAGGTGGAGCTGGAAGCCATTACCCTCAGCAAACTAATTCAGGAACAGAAAACCAAGCATCTCATGTTCTCACTTATAAGTGAGAGCTGAATGAGGAGAACACATGGACATATGGGGAAACAGCACACATTGGGACCTGTCGTGGGGGTCCCACGATAAGAAACTGAGGCACAGAGAGGTTAAATCACTTGTTCAAAGTCACATAGCTAGTGAGTGGCAGAGCCAGAATGTGAGCTCAGGTCTCTCTGATGTGGTTTTGTAGGTCAGAACCTAATGGTAAATTCGGCAGAGGAGAGAACAAGCAAAAAATGGTAACTGTGGCCTCTTCTTGGCCCTGGATCCATGGTTCTCCCTTGAAATGACTTATCTCACACACTGGCTTTGCCTTTTTTTTTTTTTTTTTTCCCAGAAAGACATGTGGGGAGAAAGCAAATGTGGGACTGCTGGATTGCTGTGGAAGATCGAGTGGGGGTGAGCTTGTTGCTTCTCTCTCAGTGCTGCTGGCACCAATAGACAATATAGGACTCTTGGAAGTAAAAAAGTTCTTCGTTTGATTGTGAAATCAAGCCAGGCCAAATGGGGATCAGCAGCAAATCAGCTTTCTGCATTCCTGTTGAGTAATTCTATGTGCTGGCCTCCTGGCTATATTTAGAAGCAATTCATGGTCTCTATCTTTGCTAAGGAGATGGTACAACCCAGGGGACGATGTCTCTGAAGCCACCCCATGCAGGCAGAGCTTGACGTCTGCAGTCATACCTTTCCTGTCGCCCCGCCCCCTCTTCTCCCATTGCAAATGTCAAGCTTCCCAGCATCTCCGAGGAGAAGTTAACCTCCCTGGACACTTATTTTGTTGCCTCTAGAGTTACTTCAGTGAAATGACCTCATATTACCTTGAGATCTTTTCCCTCTAAATATGAGTATTTGGGTGCACGTGATTTCCTTCAGGAGGGAGGGTCAGCATCCTGGCAGTTGAAGTTCTCTGCAGTTTGTCATCTGTTCTCCTTCTCTCTAGCTCTGGGAGACCCCTCCCTCACTGGATTCTTTACTACAATGCTGCAGCCTTCTGTGTGGTCTGACTTTGAAGTGCTGTTGCCAGTTGGTGATACTGGAACCTTGGGGGAACAGGCTTGGCAAAACAGAGCTGGGTGATTCCAGGTGGATGATGGAAACCATGGCCTAGTGGGGTTGTGTTGTAGCTGGGTTAGCAAAGACAATTCGTGGAAGGTAGCAGAAAGATATTTTAAGATGGAGGGTGGGATCCAGAAAACCAATGATTGGAGGCACAATTAGGTTAGGAACTAGAAGCAGCTAACCATAGGATCAGGGATTAGAACAGATCTGAGGTCCCAGGACAAGGCTAGTTCATTCATGGACTCATTCTCCCAGCAATATTTACTGAGTGTGTAACATGTGTCCCACATTGTGCTAGCTCTGAGAATACAGGGATGAGCCAAACAGTCATGCTCTTCCCCTCGTGGTAAAATCTAGCAGCAGAGGCTGCGGGGAAACAGGCTGATGGATACATGTACAATTGCACATGCGATGTGCATGAGAGAGAGATGGAAGGGGCATCTCAGGGGAGGCCTTCTGTCCTGGGGAGAACTAAGAGGGGTGGGAGAACAGTGTTCTTACAAAGGAAAAGGCACTTGAGGTGGCTGTGATGGTGATAAGAGTTTGGCATGTTTAAGAAATTGAGCCAAGGCTTCAGGGAGAGGCAGATATTATAGGCAAGAGTGGGGGCTCCTGGCAGAGTGGCACCTTAGTCAGGTTTTAAGGGGCCAGTAGTTCATAACCCAATAACTTCTTAAATATGTCGTGCAGTTTCTGACTATCTATGGAGAAAACACTTCTGTGCTCACCCTTCCATACTTCTGGAAGCCTCTTCCAGGAAGTCCCTCTGGATTTCCCTGCTAAAATGAGCCACTACAGAATTCTTCACTGAATGCTGCACACTCATAGCACCAGTAACCCGTTCTATCCTTAAAGAAAGGGCTGAGTGTTTCTTCATCTTTGCATCCCCAAAGCACAGAATAGGGCCAGGCACATCATATATGTGCAGTAAATAATTATGAATGAAGGGTGTTTCAAGGATTATGGCTGCATTATAAAGCTTAGCAGCCTAAGACAACCATTTTATCATGCTCACAGATCCCGGAGCTCAGGAATTCAGACAGTGTCTAGCAAGAGTGTTATGTGTCTGCTTTGTGATATTCAGGGCCTTGGCTGAAAAGAAGAATCCATGTCTAGGTAAGGCTCGGTGGCTGGGAACTGGAATTATCTGGAGGGTCTTCCCTCACCCATGTGGCTGTTGATGCTGGCTGTGGGCTGGGACCTTAGCTAGGGCTGTGTGTTAGTCCATTTTCATGCTGCTGATAAAGACATACCCAAGACTGGGTAATTCATAAGGAAAAAGCGGTTTAATGGACTCACGGTTCCACGTGGCTGGGGAGGCATCACAATCATGGTGGAAGGTCAAAGGCACATCTTGCACAGTGGCAGACAAGACAGAATGCGAGCCAAGTGAAAGGGGAAGCCCCTTACAAAATCATCAGATCTCATGAGACTTATTCACTATCAGAAGAACAGTATGAGGGCAATCTCCCCTAAGATTCAATTATCTCCCACCAGATCCCTCCCACAACATGTGAGAATTATGGGAGCTACAATTCAAGATGAGATTTGGGTGGGGCACAGCCAAGCCATAACAGGCTGTCAACTAGAACATCTACACATGGCCTCCCCATGAGGTCTGTGCTTCCTCACAATATGAAGGTCTTGGGGTAGTTGGGCTCCTTAGGCAACAGCTCAGGGCCTCAAAGTCAAGGGCCCCTACAGCACCTGATAATGGAAGCTGCATGGGCTTTTTGGACCCTATCTTAGATGTCAGCTGATGTCACCAGTACCATGTTCTCCTGGCTATAAGTGAGTCACAAGCCCACCCAGATGTAGACTCCACCTCTTCATGGAGGGGTGGGGTTTCCACTGTGCTAGCATCCCTGGCAGGTAAATTGGAGTACATTAATTCAGGTGTATCTAAACTGTGTTCTGTGGAGTGCTGTTAGGACCCTTCCTGGAGGAGCATGCGAGGCTCATCAGGCCAGGAGGAGGAAAGGAAGCCCAGGTGTCCCCACGAAGGACTTGCAGGCCCTAGAGGACAGGGTGCTTTTCAGGCTCTGTCTGCCTTCAAGCAAGGGAAGAGGCCTGGTGTGGGGTCCAGCAGAGGAACAGAAAGCCTTTCAGAGTGACGAGATTGCACAATGGGGACGGGGAAGGACAGTGCTGAGACATCAGCTGCATATCCTGCTGCGACCTCAGGGGTGGGGGCTGGAGGCAGATGCCTGTGTGCCTGCTACATGGCTCCGCTGGGGAGGGGCAGGTGAGGGCTCTGTGCTCAGTCCTGGCAGCCACTCACATCATAGCCTTGGACAAACGCAGTGACCTCGTTGTGTCTGAGTCCATCAGAGAGAGGCAGCATTGAGAAGATGAGCTGGGAAGGGCTGGGACTGCTAATCCTGGCTTCCCGGGCTCCATATCGGCCCCAACACTCAGTCAGAGCTCCAGGGGTGGAGGTTGGTCTGAGTGCAGAGACAAGCCTTTCCTGGGATGAGGCTGCATTTATGGATTTATGGGGCTGGACCTGCAATTGAGCTCAGAGCCTGGAGCTTGGCTGCATTTCTTTGCTGTCATCATGGTTCCTGCCAGCCCACTTTTTAAAAATTAGAACAAAATTCACGTAACAAAATTCACCGTTAACCATCACTGTCATCTAATCCTAGAACATTTTCCTCACTCCATAAAGGAATGCTGTCCTCATTAACACTCACTCCCCACACCTCCTGGCCCTCAGCCCTGGCCACCTGCTGGCTCTTTGGGCCTGCCTATTCTGAGCATTTCCTGTAAGTGGAATCGCACATGTGTCAGCCACATTTTTGCTCCTGATGTGGGTGTGACAACCATCTCAGGGCAGGGGTAATCTGGCCTCACGTCCCCTTGCTGTATCCGTGTCCCTCTGAGAGATGGGACAGTCCTTGACCAATGGGGGACAGAGCTGGGGAGGATGGCACTCCCCTCCTCTCCATCTCAGGTGGCCAATTCACAGGCGCAATGTGCACAGGTTCTCCAAGGAGCCCATCGGGAAGGAGCTCTGCTGGCTCGCGGCGTGACCAGTTCAATAAAGCCTCTTTAGGTTGACTTTGTTCCCTCTCATCCCTGCCAATCCTGTTCCATGAGATCACCAGCACTGCCTCCCCAAACCACAGCATGAAAAGTAGCAAAAATTACTTCTTGTACGCAAGTCCTATCTCAGATTCTGCTTTTTATTGGGGATGGGGCAAATTACACCAGTGTCCAAGAGAGGAAAACACCCAGAAAAGGACTTTGCAGCCTTTGTAAGTGGCTGTTCAGGTCCCTATTGATGTGGAAGGGGCCCGGCAGTCAGAGTCTGATTTGCACCCAGCTGTGTCTCTCAGGTGATTTTCCCCAGCACTTAGCTCCTCTATGCCTCAGTTTACCTGTCTGTAAAACGGGGATAATGACCTGTTCTACCCTACAAGGATGCTGGGAAGGTTAAATGAGATCTTGTATGACAAGTGCTGTGCACGGGTCCTGGGAGGCAGCAAATGCTATCGTGATTACTGGGCCCCTTTAGCTCAAAAATTCTGAGTGCAAGGGATCTCCAGCCTAGTCTTACTTCAGCACTCCCAGGACCCAACACTCCAGACCTGTACCGTCCAGTCAGGAGCTACTGGCCATGTGTGGCCCTTTAAATGTTGATTGCTTGAAATTAAATAAAGTAACAAATTCAGTTCCTGGGTAGCAGTGGCACATTTCAAGCGCTCAATGGGCCCATAAGGTTGGCGGCTCCCTCACTGCACGACACAGGTGTCGAGCATTTCCATCATCAAAGCAAGTTCTTTCAAACAATGCTGCTCCCACTGCTTGGAGCTGTTCATTCTTCAAGAAATATATATTTTCTTTTCATTCCTCCATGACCTTGTTCATGGTCTTCCTTTCACCTGAGTGGCCCGTCCACTCCCAAAATCTCACCAGCCATCTGGAAAGGGTGGCGCCCCCTGGGCCCTGACCAGCATGGGCCCTGCCCCTCCTGTCCCACAGCCCTGCCCCATCGGGTGGCTGGCTGCAGCCTCTGTTCCACACCGTGCGACTAGCAGCAGGAACATGACACTTCTTCCCACATCACACTGGCCAAAGCAAAGCATGGTGGTGGGGTGGTGGAGGAGGAGGAGTTCATTCTGTCTTTAGCGGGAGGGACTGCAAAGTTGCAAGAGTAAGGGCATGGGTTCACGGAGGGGTGAAACATTGGAGCCCATAACTGAATCCACCGCTGATGAGGAAGTTTAGGATTCTACTCTCAGCCCCCTTCCCCCTCCTCTCCTAGAGGCTCAGCTGTTGGTCCTCTGGCGTCCCGGAGGCTCCCCATCTGCACCTGAAGCTTCTCCCGCTTGGACAGCATCCTATGTTCATAATGGGCTCTTCCTCCCTGTCCCCAACACCATGCTGCCTGAGAATATCACCATTCCATCTCAGCTTCAAGGAAGGGGCTGCCTTAAAGTACGAGTCTCTGAGAATTAACTCTGTGAATCCATCCGAGATATTTGCAGGCTAAACCAGAACCCTGTTTACGCAGATCAGGGAGTCTTTAATGATGGTATTTTAGGCAGCATGATAGCTCTTTTGGGCCTCCATCTATCCTATCTGTGTATTGATAAACAGGAGCTGGGGCTAAGAATGATTCCTACGTGAGTCCTGCACGTGATGTGTGTGGCTGGAAGGAGCCCTGTTAGGGGTGTAGTGTAGGAACCAGGAGACTTGGGGTGGGGACCTGCTCCTCATAGGTCACCTTTAGACAATTTCTTCCCATCTCTGGGCCTCAGTTTTCTCGTGTGCTAAACAGGTGCAGAGTAGGTGGTTAGGTTGATAGTTCCCATGCTTCTGATGGCTTTGAGATGCTGTGGTCCCGAGTCCTCACTCTGTCCTTGAATGAGGCCAGCAGTTGATCTTGGTGGGATGTGTCCTGCTTTCTAGTCCTTGTCTCTTCAAACTTTTCCAACCTCTGACCCTTATTCTCTGCCAAAGAAACTGACTCCCAGACTCCCACAAAGGGGGAGTCTACTTTTTAGGGTCTGCTTTTTCCAGAAGATCTATTCGTAGAGAGCTCAATGTGGACTGGGCCATGCCTGGACATTATAGCCCCACCTGTAATCCTGCTCACCTTTGCTGGGGTGGGAGAAGGTCTTTCTAGAACATCAATGCCATGTTACAAACTCAAGTCAAAATAAATCAAATTCTAAGGGCAAATTCGGGATAACCCTAAAGCTACGGGGCTTTGATAATGAAGCAGGCCCTGATACTGGCTCCCAGGGCTTATCCCCACCTCTGCTACACCCACATGAGCATCAGAACAATGTGGCCTTTAATTTTTTACAGACAAACCCTAGGGTTTTCTTCCCAAGGAATCACATCGACTAGCATTTATCCAGAATAATTTGCTGTTGGTTTAGAAGTTCATATGTGGGGACAAGAATGTTTCTGAAAAAGGCCCAGAAATGGCTGGAGAAAATAATCTGTTTGTTTGCTCCCCTGCAACAATAGAAGCAAGTGTAATGATTCATGGCTCCTGAGGGAAGACAGCTCTGCTTCCTGCAGGATTCTCCCTGGGCAGCACCTCTCCAAAAGCATTTGCCAGGGTCAAGGTGTCTATAAAAGATTGGGAACTAGATGGAAGAAGTGTTGCAGAGGGAATTTGGGAGAAAAGGTCTTGGAGGTGCCGCAGGCTGCAGGTGCACTGGCCAGGAAGGTAGACACCAGGGGTGCGGTGATGGATTTCAGACACAGACCGCTGCGGGGGAGGGAGGGAAGAATGCCTGCCCTAATGGACCCACTAGAGCTAGGGCTCTCGCAAATCAGCCAGCCTGTCATCTGCTACTCACATCCCCCACTTGCATGTTATAGCCTGTGCCTAAAACATTTGTTCTGTGTCAGGTACTGTCTGGGAATCTAGGTATCTTAAATAAATATGACCCTTGAGGCCACTAAGGTCATTGTGAGAGTTAATTCTATATGATACAATGAATGTAATGGTTATACTAACAGAGATTTTCCAACATGCTGATGCATGTTCTTTTTTCCTCACTGTTACCTTAAAAGATAAGCCTTATTCTAATTTTATAGAGAAGGAAACAGTTTTGGAGAAATTAAATAATTTGCTTTAGGTTATAGCTCAGTCAAGAGGGGTTCTGGCAGAATAATCTATGAGACCAGCACAGTCCAATAGAAATAAATTGAACCATATGAGAAATTGTAAATTTTCTAGTAGCTACATTAAAAACTGAAAAAAAAAGTGAAATTAATTTCAATAACGTATTTTATTTAACCCACTATATCAAAAATATTATCACTGAAATGTGTAAATCAATATATATATTATTAGTGAGTTATTTTGCATTCTTTTTTATGTAACGTTGAAATTTGGTGCATTTTACATTCAGCACATCTCAACTGGGATTAGTCCATTTCAAGTGTGCAGCTGTCCCGCACTTGAAGTGTGGCATCCATATTGGATGGCAAGCACTGGGATTTTATGGAAGCCGGAAGGGGGCATGCAGCCAAGTCCATGTGTCAGGGGACATCAAGGGCAAGGTGCCACCTGAGCTGGACCTAGGAACACAAATGCCACACCACCAGGTGCAAACACCAGGGGGCACCCATCTCTATCCAGTAGTGCCAGGGGCAGCCCTAGGGGTTAGCCAGGCAGAGGAGGGAGGTGAGCTAGTGCAGGAAGACAGACTCCTTCAGCACTATCACCTGTTGAGAGAACTGCAAGCATTTGCCATGAGGATGACGTGGTGAGGTTAGACAGAGGAGGGGAGAGCAAGGTTATGGCAGGCCTCCCGTGCCACCTAAGGGGGCTGAGTTTCATTCTGCTGCTGATGCTGCGTTGTGACATCATCATAGGGTGCTCTTCAGCAGAGGACTTAGAGCAGGGAGACAGGAAAGAAATTCTCAGGAGCTGGAGAGAAATGTTTAGGGACTGGCCTGGGACAGGGGATGGAAGTGGATAGAGAGAGAGTGAGTCTACTAGCTCCCCACTTGCAAGGTTTGTGATTTTTCTGCAGAAATCCTCAGCTACTCTAGGTCAGAGGTAGATTGTCAGAAATTTGGAGCACAACAACCTGTTTCACAAACAGAGAGATATTGATTTAAGAGCAAGAGGCAGCTAGGATCACCTTCATTCTCCCTGTGGCCTGTGCTATCTCCAAACCACCCTATCCTTAATCTCCCCAGGCAGGCCCAGCACAAACCATCTGCCTCCCTCTGTCCCCTGATCTCCTCATAGTTCTCATAGTTCTAAGCAGTGTGAGTGTTTCCTTCCATTTTTATTTCTCCTGATAGCTCTGTCATATTGGAAATACCTGTCTGCAGGATCAACCGAGCTGAGAGATCACCCAGAGGCCTCTTTTCCAGAATGCCTGGTGAAAGAGAAGGCAATTCACAGAGCACAAGCTACAGCTCTGACACTGGCCCTTCCTGCTGAAATCGCCATCATTTAACGACAGTTGTGGTTCTGCCGACACAATGTACTGCCCTGGCTGTGCAGGGGTCTGGACATCTGCAAGTCTCACCAACTCCCAGGGGTGCCTTTACTGCCAGTCTGTGAGCCACACTTTAAGTAGTGATTGGCCTGAGTGGGGCTGGGAGTGGGGGTGTTTCAGTCTTAGCTGCTCACTACAGAAGCTCTTGGAGAGACTATAATTTCTCATACCTGGGCTGCACTCTAGACCTGTGAAAGCACAACCTCTGGGTGTGGGAGCTGAGGACCAGTCCAACCACCATGGACAGAAAGGCCCTGGAGGAGGGGATGCTGTGTGGAAAGAGAGGCCACAGGGAGGTGACCTGGGGCCCAGACATAAGCCACCACCCCAGCTGAGGGCTCGCACACATGAGTGAGACCATCTTGGCCCTGCAGTCCCTGGCCAGCTGCCCCAGCCAACACTCTGGAGCAGAGGTGAGCTGTCCCTGCCCCGCACTGCCTGAATCCCTGACCGACAGCAGCCATGAATTGTAATGTTTAGGCCAAATGATTGTTGTTCGTAAATCAGGAAGCTTGGGGAGATTTCTTATGCAGCAATAGCTAGCTGATACAACTCACAGGACTTTAACTGCCTTGAGAGTAGGACCTGTGTTGGTGCCCCTTTGCAACCCCTACACTTCAGTGGAAATTTGGAGAAGGCTGGAGAAATGCTAAATGCCAGGGAAAGGCCAAAGGAAAAAGTGCAGTGCTGTCCAGGCCAATGGAAGGCAGGAAGTGGAGAGTCATTGTTCGGAAATATGTTCAGCAAAGACCAAAGGAAAATGGACAGGGCTCCTCTCCTTACCCAGATGAGCATCTGGCCTTGTGTTGGCCTCGCTGACCCTGCCTGCTGTTTCTCCTGTCCACTTTCTGCTCTCCCCATGGCTCCAGCTTCCAGGCACAGCCCAAATACTTGGAGCAGTGGACAGTGGGTGGCAAATGGCTTCAGGCCACTCTCAGCAAGGCACTGGGGGCACAGCCTGACTTCCCATGGCCTTCTTTATGGTGATTCGGGTTCCTGTGGTTCTGTGACTCACCTGTCATTGCCAAAGATGCCAGGATGGGGCCTGGAACTTCAAGGCAGCCTGGGAAGGGAGCTGGCAGGACAGATCAGGAAAGAGGAGTATCCTGGGGTCCTAGCCAGATTTTGCAGTCACAGGGGCCTTTGGGGGCAGCAGCTCCCGGCCAGTCAGGCCTGACCCTTTTTTGGGACATGGGTACAGTTTGGGGGTGCGGGGCTTGGAGCTGGAGAGAGGTGTGGCCGTGTCTGCTTTAGTTCCTCTCGCAGGATCCTGTCAGAGCTCCTCTCTCAAGCCCCAGCACCTGCTGTGGCCTCCAGAACCATCTCTCCTTAGCCACAGAGGAAGGGTGCCCTGGGGCTGGGCTTCAGGTAGGGAGGGGTGAGCCTGCCTTCATGCGTGTGGTCGCCATCCTGTGGTTTCCTTCATACTTTTCCAGGGGGCTCACGCCCCATTTCAGGGCACAGACCCAGAGAGAATGACAGCCATTCCCTGTGCTTGGCTCATGCTGGGCCGTGGGCTGCTTTCGGGGTGCATGTGTGAAGATGTCTAGGGGACGCAGAGCTACATGGTGGGGCCCCTCAAAGTGGCCCATGGCCTGGCGCTGGTTCATGAGCTCCTTGTTACCAGTTGGTGACAGGATGAGCATTTAGAAACATTCGTGGAGCTTCAACAGAGCTGCAACACCCACACCTATGATACTGTATTTTTTTTTCTTTGAGACAGAGTTTTGCTCTTATTGCCCTGGCTGGAGTGCAATGGCGCAATCTCAGCTCACTGCAACCTCCACTTCCCAGGTTCAAGCAATTCTCCTGCCTCAACCTCCTGAGTAGCTGGGATTACAGGTGCCCGCCACCACGCCTGGCTAATTTTTAGTATTTTTTTTTCTTTTTTTTTTAGTAGAGACAGGGTTTCACCATGTTGGCCAGGCTGGTCTTGAACTGCTGACCGCAGGTGATCCACCCGCCTCGGCCTCCCAAAGTGTTAGGATTACAGGCGTGAGCCATCGCCCCCAGCCGATCCTGTATTTTACAGAAGAATTAGTCCACAATGGGTTGGAACAAAAATAAAATGGGTCCATCACTACAGAGAGGGAACACTGAGCTAGAAACCACCTGCTTTGTATGGACGCAGCAAAATAACCACTCCCAGGAAGCCCCCACCAGCTGCAGCTGCATGCCCCTAATTTTATACTAAACAGGGCAGCAAGGAAGGAATTAAAGTTCCCTAATATTCCAGCCAGGTCCAGTGCACGGCCAGCTCTTCCTTCTCAGAGCTTCTGCTACTCCAGTGGTTTTCACCGTGTCATCCTTGGACCAGCAATATCAGCCAGATGTGGGAGTGTGTTCGAAATGCACATTCTCAGGTCCCTCCCAGACCCATGGACGCAGGCACTCTGGGGATGGCACCAGCCACCTGTGCCTTAACAAGCCCCCAGGGAATTCTGATGCTTATTTACTTATGCTTGAGAACTCTGTGCTCTTGTCTCTAAAACATCGTTATAGATGATTTTATTCTCTGCTTCTGTTAAACTGGTCACTCTTTTCTCTACAACTACTTTCTGAGCTCATTGAATAAAGGGACTCAGAATTCTACATCTGCATCTTCCACAAATCCTCGCCCAGGCTGAGACAGGGGCTGAATAAACCAACTACTGATATATCCCACCTCTTGAAGTTTCATCACAATTACTGTACCCATTATAGAGCTGGGCAAACCAGTGAGCAGAAGGAACACCATAAAACTGATTTTGGGGCCAGACAATGGAAGAATTGGGTTGAAAATTTTCTTCCCATTCTTTTCTCCTTGGCATCAAGCAGAGAATTCATTCTCTCCCGAGTTTCCTCTTCACTAATCCCACTACCCCCCATCCCTTCCCAAACTTGGAGCTTGCTGCTCTTGGCCTTTTGTAGGGCCTGCCTGGTCTTTTGAGTTTAAAAATAAAAATTTAAAGAATTACCAAAAGGACGTTCTGAGCTCTGTCTGGCAATTTGGGCAGAGAAGCCTGACATCTGTGGCCATCACTGCCCACTGCAGACAAAACGGAGTCAGCCCTGAGACACTCCTCTCATGAAAAGACACCCCAGGCACCTGTTCCAGAAAGACCCACTCGAGGCTGGGAGCGGTGGCTCACGCCTGTAATCCCAGCACTTTGGGAGGCTGAGGCAGGCAGATCATGAGGTCAGGAGATCGAGACCATCCTGGCTAACATGGTGAAACCCCGTCTCTACTGAAAATACAAAAAATTAGCCAGGCGTGGTGGTGGGCGCCTGTGGTCCCAGCTACTTGGGAGGCTGAGGCAGGAGAATGGCACTAACCCAGGAGGCAGAGCTTGCAGTGAGCCGAGATCGCACCACTGCACTCCAGCCTGGGCGACAGAGCGAAACTCTGTCTCAAAAAAAAAAAAAAAAAAAAAAAAGTGAGGTCTGGCTGGGTGCAGTAGCTCACACCAGCACTCAGGGAGGCCGTAGCAGGAGGATTGCTTGAGGTCAGGCGTTTGAAACCAGCCTGGTCAACGTAGCAAAACTCCATCTCTACAAAATAATAATAAAAAACAATTAATGGGGCGTGATGGCACACGCTATAGTCCCAGCTACTTGGGAGGCTGAGGCAGAGAGTTGCTTGAGCCCAGGAGTTTGACACTGCAGTGAGCTGTACTTTCCCACTGCACTCCAGGTTGGGTGACAGAGTGAGACCCTGTCTCAAAAAAATAAATAAATAAGTAAAATAAAAAACAAAAGTGAGTGCTTGCACTGCCAACTAGGCATGCATGTGTGCCACCACCGAAATACGGATGGCACAAGGGAAATTTGTTCTGGCCTCAGTTCCCTGGATGTTGCTGCTCCAGCAGCCCCTGTTGGTGCCACAGGCATGCTCTGATGGCAGCTGCTTGAACTGATGAATGTTTTGCTGAGAAATCAGATAGACATGAGTAAACCAATCCAAGGACTGTAGCTCTCTCACAGTTTTGCAAGCTCAGCAAAGATAAGCGAAATTGCTTTGTGTGCAGAATGTCATTCCCTCTCTGGAAGGAAGATCTCGGTATCTTTCCATCAGGAGAATCTGGTCTCCAAGTTAACAGCACACGCTACGCAGAGGTGAAGGCTGTGGGAGGGAGGTCAGTGGAGAGAATATTGAAGATGGGCACGCCCTGGTTCTAATTGGAGTCACCTGGGGAGCTTCAAAGCCCTCCCACTTGGGCCCCACCCCCACAGCTTCTGATGTAGTCAGACGCAGAAGAGATTTTAAAGCAACCTGGGTAATTCTAATGTGTTGGCCATGTTCAAGATCGCTGGGCCAGGTTCTGGTTAGGACAGGTTATAACTCCATCCAGGTTTGATGGTCTCAGGTTTGAGGGTTCAGCCAGATGATTAGAGGGGGAGAGGACCTCTTGGAATCCTAGTCTTGGCAAATTGGGAGTTTCCTTGGGAGTTCTGAAGATACAGATTTAGATACACACACCCAGCTCTCCAGGCGATTTGTGTATAAATAAGAGCACCTCAGCTTTCCAGCGTTATCTGGATTTGGGGAACTGACTAGATAGCCCTGGGGACACCCTTGGGCTTTTCCTCCACCCCCTACTCAGGTGCTGGCAGATCTCACCTACCTCGCCCATCATTGCTTCTCAGACTTTAAAGTGCACAATAATTGCCCAGGGATGTTGTTCAAGTGCAGATTCGGACTTGCTAGCTCTGGAGTGGAGCCTGAAATTCTGCACTGCTCACAAGCTCCTAGTGATGCTGTTGGTCCCCAGGCCCATTTTAAGCAGTGAGGAGCCCAAATGTGGTCCATGTGAGCAGCCCACCAGCATCAGGCTCTTCCCAAAAGCCTTTTGCAGCTGAGTGGCCCCCTTCTAGCTGGGATTCCAGTGGCTCCTGGAGGCATTAGAGGCACCCGTTATCCCACTTCCCAGTTGTCCCTGATGGTACGCTGCCTGGAGCTGTTCCTGGTTTTCTCCCTGTGGTATCCTGACTCCCTGGAGCAATGGCTTGCAAACTTGGGTTCACCTTAGAATCACCTGAGGAGCCTTACAAAATGCTAATGCCTGGGCCCCAACCCCATTGAGTCAGATTTGTCTGTGGTGTCATCTGGGTATTGTGATTGTTAGAGATTCCCAGGTGATTCTAGTACAGCTGGCCTCAAGCCAGGAGTCTCAAAGTGTGCCTCAGACCAGCAGCAGCATGGCATCTGGGAACTTGTTGGAAGTGCAGCTTCTCAGGCCCCCAGGCTTCCTAAATCAGGAACTCGGGGCTGGAGCTCAGCAGCCTGTGAGCCCACAAGTCCTCTATGTGATTCTGACCCCGCCTTGAGTTTGAGAACCGCTTTCTTAGGATGCTAATGCAGCATAATGCTTGTCTGTAACCTTCTGACCACCGCTGAGGTGTGTGGGAGGTGGGGAACAGCTGTGGTTTCCTCGGAACCCTGAGTAAAACCAGGTGCTCCTGGGGAGGCCCCTAGGACCCTGCAAAGCTCTGAACCGTGAAGTGACTCAGGGTCCTTCTCAAGCCCCACATGTGGGGACCGGCTGCTCTGGCAGCTTCCACGGGCCACCTTCCAGCCCCAGACACATCACATCAGCTATTTAAAGCTCAGCTGAATAATATTTTCCATTATGTGGCACAGACTTTACTTCGGAGTCCTTCAGGGCTGCCAAGGGTCAGGTTTCTCAGCTTATCGAGGACTGTCTGGGACCCGAGTCCATGGGAGAGATCTCTTGTCTGTTTCTTCCCCTCCTAGTTGAGGCCTAATGGGGTGCAGGGGTTGGGGAAGAGAGAGGGGAAATGGCCTTGAGTGTCCCCTGCCCTGACAGGAAAGTCTCCTTGGGAACATGTAACTTTCATCGCCCTTTATTCCATGTGACAGGGTGGCTTCCAGAGAGGGCAAACCAATGGCCCAAACTCACACAGCTCATGCGGGAGAGCTCCAGGTCTCAAATAAAAATCTCTGGGTACATCGGGCTCATTGTCCCCCACACTGTGTTTGAGGGGAGGCCTCTTGACCCCCTCCACAGTCCTCCCTTCCAGGCTACCAGTCTGCCACCTGCAGGGATTTATTCCAGATTCAAGGTGAGGAGACACACACTACCAGGTGACAGGAGGCCCCCTGCTGCTCCCTAAGATGCCAGGAGCTGTGTTTGCAAAACGCGTTTTGAGACGTGGGGATATGGCACCCAGCAGCATCACCTGGGCTGCCCAGGCCCTGGCAGTGGGCAGCAGACAGGTCCTTTCCCCAGGTCCAGATCTCTGCCATGGGCTTCCCCAGGCCCAGTCTGTTCAGACACTTGGGCAGATGGCTTGCTTTCCAGCCACCCCCACAGAGGGGCCATCTGCTTGCATGCTCACTGTCTCCGGGCTATACCTAGGACACTGGCTCTGAGGTGTGCTCACAGTTACAGCACCTGTGGGGCATGGAGTTGTCAGAGGGGAGTTGAGCTTCCATGTAGTCAGTAGTCAACAGAGGCCTTGGTCAGTGACCCGGGGCCCTGGGCTGCTGTGGATGGAAGCAGGGCAGGTGCTTTCACACTCCTGTGTCCACTAGGTGGAGGCTTCCCCTGCGGAGGGTATAGACCGGGTTGGGGAGGGGCATGTAGGGGAATGCATCCCCTGGCCCGATGGGTATCTGGAAGGGCATGTGGCACCCACCACGGTCACATGCCAACTAGCCAAGGCCAGTCCAGGCCAGCTGAGAGTGGGGTTGGGCTGAGCAGCCATGTCGCAGTAAAGCAGCAGAGCCAGCGTGGCTGATAAGATCAAGGCAGGAAGTACCTGGAAGTACCTGGGCTTGAATCCCTCTCAGTGCTTACTAGCTATGGGAGCTTGGGGAGCTACGTGATCGCTCTGTGACTCAGTTTCCTCAACTGTAAAATGGAAATACGACTAGCACATATTTTGTTGTGAGGACTAAGTGAATCGTCATATACAGAGAATTTAACTCAGTGGTTGGCAAAGTGCTTAATAAGCAGCGTTTTTGTCCTGGACAAGGGCTCAGTGTGCTGAGGAACTTCCTCAAATATAGAGAGGATGGAGTCTGTGGTATTGGACCTTGGGGTGGGCTGCTTGGATTGAAAGATCAATAGGGTAGGCCCCTTCCTGGCACATATTCACCCAGAAATGCAGAAGGAATAAACCGATTAACACTCAGGTTTTGAGCTTCTAAATAAACTTTGAAGCCCAAGAAGAGTTTGAGAATCCTAGGGCAAGAGAGCCCCAACAGGCAGCCCGGGTCGGGGCTCCCCCACTCACCTGCAAGACCCTGAAGCAGGCAAGGAGGCTCTCGGAAGGTTCCCATGTGACCCTCCCAGGCTCCTGGAGCTTTCCTGGGCCCTGAGATGAACGCAGATTTCACGACATCCTCATGAGGGAGGACGCAGAAGATGTGGGTCATCAACTCAAGCCTGACAGGAGTGTGGCAATGCTGAGAACCAGGCAGGGGGTATGCAGCTTAGCAGACACTGATGCGGACAGGTGCCGAGCATGGTGGAGAGCTCCTGCAGATGCCTGCATCCCATGCGTGCCCACCTCCCCACTCCCTCAGCTACCACTTTTTTTTTTTTTTTTTTTTGAGACGGAGTCTCACTCTGTCACCCAGGCTGGAGTGCAGTGGCACGATCTCGGCTCACTGCAAGCTCCACCTCCCGGATTCACACCATTATCCTGCCTCAGCCTCCCGAGTAGCTGGGACTATAGGCACCCACCACCACATCTGGCTAAGTTTTTGTATTTTTAGCAGAGACAGGGTTTCACTCTGTTAGCCAGGGTGGTCTCGATCTCCTGACTTCGTGATCTGCCTGCCTCGGCCTCCCAAAGTGCTGGGATTACAGGCTGCGCCCGGCCAGCCACCGCTTTTATCAGGAACAAGAAAGGCAAGGGGAAAATCCAGATGAAATCCAAGATGACTCAGGTTATCCTGACATGGAGATAGATTAAGCCTTCTCGCCCCCAATGAATGGGGGGTACAAAATAGAGATTAAGTTGTATTGTTGAAGAAAACAAATTACAGTGGTGCCCCCTGAACTTTGGACCTGAATGTGTTATTAGAGAAATGCCAATCAAAACCACAATGAGATACCATCTCATGCCAGTTAGAATGGCAATCATTAAAAAGTCTGGAAACAACAGATGCTGGTGAGGATGTGGAGAAATAGGAACACTTTTACACTGTTGGTGGGAGTGTAAATTAGTTCAACAATTGTGGAAGACAGTGTGGCGATTCCTCAAGGATCTAGAACCAGAAACACCATTTGACCCAGCAATCCCATTACTGGGTATATACCCAAAGGATTATAAATCATTCTACTATAAAGACATATGCACACATATGTTTATTGCAGCACTATTCACAATAGCAAAGACTTGGAACCAACCCAAATGACCATCAATGATAGACTGGATAAAAGAAATGTGGCACATATACACCATGAAATACTATGCAGCCGTAAAAAAGCTTGAGTTCATGTCCTTTGTAGGGACGTGGATGAAGCTGGAAACCATCATTCTCAGCAAACTAACACAGGAACAGAAAACCAGACACTGCATGTTCTCACTCATAAGTGGGAGTTGAACAATGAGAACATGTGGACACAGGAAGTCCCAGGAACATCACATACTGGGGCCTGTCAAGGGGTGGGGGGAAAGGGGAGGGAGAGCATTAGGACAAATACCTAGTGCATGTGGGGCTTAAAACCTAGATGATGGGTTGATGGGTGCAGCAAACCACCATGGCACACGTATACCTATGTAACAAACCTGCATGTTCTGCATATGTATCCCAGAACTTAAAGTAAAAGAAAAAAGAAAGAAAAAATCTGTTCTTCCAAACTCTGCCTTTTAATTGGAGAGTTTAATCCATTTACATTTAAAGTAATTAGTAAGGAAGGACTTATGCCATTTTGCTATTTTGCCTCTCCATATGTTATTCTTTGTTTGTTCCTCTATTCCTCCATTATTGCCTTCTTTTTGGTTTAACTGAGTTTTCACAGTATACCATTTTGATTTACCTCTCACTTATTTTTCCGTATATTTTAAAAGCGACCTTCTTATTGATTATTATGGGGATTAAAACTGATACCTTAAATTTATAAGAAACTAATTTGAATCAATGCCAACTTAGCTTCAATAGTATATAAATCCTCTGGTCATACAGTGTTTTTCTTCCCTTTATATGTTGTTATTGTCACAAATTACATATTTATACATTGCCCCTTAATGTAAATCTATAATTATTATTTTCCAAAAATACATAATACAACACTGCATCCCAAAACAGTAGGACACTTATATTTACCCATGTGGTTAACTTTACCAGTGCTCCTTATTTATTTCTTTGTATGGCTTTAATTTACCATCTAGTGTCTTTTCATTTTGACCTGAAGAACTGCCTTTAGCATTTCTTGTTAGGCAGGTATTCTAGAGATAAACTCTTTCAGATTTTGCTTGTCTGGGAATGTTTTATTAATTCAATTAAATTTTATTAATTAAATTAAAACACTTCTTCAGCTTTGAAAGATAGTTTTGATAGATATGGAATATTTGGTTGACAGTAGTTTTCTTTCAGTACTTTGAATATGTCATTTCACTGTCTTATGGTGCCCATGGTTTTTGATAAGAAATTGGCAGCTAATCTTATTGAGAATTCTTAGTATGTGATGAGTTGCTTCTCTCTTACTGCTTTCAAGGTGCTCTCTTTGTCTCTGATTTTTCAGTTTGATTTTAATGTGTCTCAGTGTGGATCTTTTCGTATTTAGCCTATTTGGGGCTTGTTGAGTTTTTTGATTGTGTAGATTCTTGTCTCCCATCAAATTTGACAATGTTTTCAGCCAATATTTCTTCAAGTATTCTTTCTGCACTGCCCTCTTTCTGCTTTCTTCTGGGGGCTTTGTTGGGGGTATTGTCCCACAGGTCCCTGAAGGTCTTCCCATTTTCCCCCAATCTTTTTATAGATTTCATAATCTTTACTGTTTCATTTTCATAATTTTTATTGCTCTATCTTCAAGGTTATTGATTCTTTCCTCCATCATCTCCATTTTTCTATGTAGCCTATCCTTTTTTAAAATTTCATCTACTGTATTTTTTTAGTTATAAAATTTACATTTTATTCTTCTTTCTAGCTTTCATTTCTTTGCTGATATTTTCTATCTTTCCATTGATTTCAAGGACGTTCAAACTTGCTGGAGCATTTTTGTAATAGCTGTTAAAAGTCTTTGTCAGATAATTCTAACTTCTGTGTCATCTTGGTATTGATATGCTGACTGTCTTTTCCACTAAGAATTGTGATTTTCTTGGTTCTTCACAGGACGAGTAATTTGGGATTGTATACTGAACATTTTAAATATTTGCATCGTAAAACTCTGGATTTTGTTTTAATCATCTGTAGGATATTGATATTTTTGTTTTACCAGGCAATCAACCTTTTGAGGCCACAAATTCTGACCAGTCTTTTTAGGTTGTGGTTTCAATGTTACGTTTTCAAATCCTTGTGGTGTTATTAGTATCTGTTCCATGTGTCTCACCCAGTTCCATCTGGTATCTGGATGGCGGTCTGTCCCATAGTTCAGTTCTTGATCTATGGCATGCTGCTCATAGGGAGATCCATGCATGCACAACTTGCTGCTGAGCTGTAGATTCATGATGAACTTATGTGGCTGCTTTCCTGAGCCCCATCCTGTCCGTGACTTCCTTAGTACTTTCTGATTCCCTTAGAGACTCCCCTTTACATTCCTCCAGACAGAAACATGGCAGCATATTTATTCTGATCTGCCATACACCTTTCCAAGTGTACCAATGTCTATGGTCAAGCAGCAAGAGGAAAGAGAAAAAGAACAGGATTTTATCCTTCCCAGGGAGGATCACCGCTCCTCCAATTGGTGAGGGAAGTTTTCTTCATCAGAGTTTTAGGCTCCTGTGGGCCCTCGTTGTTTTTGCTGGTGCCACCATTGGCATTAGATTGTTTGGAAGCCAGAGTGTGAGAGAATAGGAAAACAAAAATAAGGGGGTGAAGATTTCTACACCTTGCTCTCTATGAATGTCAGAAGACCCCTTCCACACTCTGCAAGTCAGACTAGAGGGCTGCTCCTGGAGCAGTCTCTATCCATGCCAATGGTCTCTATCCATGCCAATGGTCTCTATCCATCCAAGTTTTGGGCTACACTGAGTTCAGGCCAGGGAATACAGTAAGTCCTCACCTAATGTTGTCAATAGGTTTTTGGAAACTGTGACTTTAAATGAAACAACATTTGATGAAACCAATTTTACTATAGGCTACTTGATATTAACAAGAGTGAAGTTCCTAAGGAATACTTCTGGTCACAAAAGCATCATTAAACTTATAAATAAAGACCCAAAACACTTCTAATATTAAACATTGAAATAAATGTGAGCTATATATACACTTAAGAAAGATTAATAAAAACAAGTAAGATCACTATTTACCCAATTTTTGGTGAATCAGTGAGTGATGGCAGTCATAGCAGTGGTGGGTTAAATCAAGGAATAAATGTTTGCAAAGTGAAAATAGTAAGAAGCCCCTCTCACCATCCCACAGTTCAAAAACAAGTAATAACAAACATGGCGGCCCCCTGAGCACTTTCGTGATGCATTTATTGTCCTGCATGGGTATGATTGTTGTAGAGTTTATGAATTTTTTATTTTACAGTAATTTTCTTTTCCTTTCTTTCTTTCTTTCTTTCTTTCTTTCTTTCTTTCTTTCTTTCTTTCTCTCTTTTTCTTTCTTTCTCTCTTTGTATCTTTCTTTCATTTTCCTACCCACTTATTCCAGTGCAGGGTCATAGGTGACAAGAGCCTCCCTATCCAGGAACTCAGAACAAGTCAGGCACAACCCTGGACAGGACGCTCTCTCATTACAGGGATGCTCATACCATGCTAACTTATATTGAGACAATTTAGACATGCAATTAACTGAATGTGGACAGCTTTGGGAAACCAGAGAACCCAGAAAAAAACCCACAACCCAAACAGATATGGAGAACATGCAAACTCCACACAGACAGTGGTCCCAGTTGGGAATAGATGTTTTTCTCATTGAGTTTATATGAAATGACTTTGAACAAAGCAAGGTAATTCAAGGACCTGTTGTACTGGAGGGAAATAAAGCGGCACCACTGCCAGTCCAATGGCACTTGAATTCTAGTCTCCTTGCCCATCTGCCTGTTACTCCTTGTTTTTCAGCTCTTCACATGGCTGCTCAATGCATCCTTTACAGGGATTTGGAAGCAACAGGCTGGAGTGTACTTACTGCATCTTACCCCAATCCAGAACCTCTCCTGTATCCTTTTTAGGCCTTTTGGGGTCACTCTCATACCTCCCTCATCACTGAAAAGTACACTTGACCCCTTCCCTCTGTACTGCTCTTTTATCTATTCCTAAGGCATCCTCCAACAACTGTTAAATTCCAGTAAAAAATATGTTGTTAAGTTCAATGGAAAGAATGGTCAGCCAAAGAAACCCCTCTGCTCAGGATGGAACAAAAGATCCAGGCCCCTTTCCCCTGTGACCACTTGTCAGACAAGATTCTAAACCAAACATGTATTGAACAAGAATTATATAATTGGTATTATACTAAAGTTGGAGCCCTTGTTGATCACTGGGCGTTTTTTTTACATTAAAAAGGTATATTTATATAAAATACAGATAATAGGAACAGGATAAAGATGATGATAAAATACAATTAAATATTCTGCTCAATCACAACGGTAAGAGAGAAATAGTCAACCAATATTGCTAAATTAATAACAGTGCACATTGGTACAGCCTTCTTGGAAAAGAACTTGGAAAATGAAAACCCAAGAAATATTAAAGCATTTATACATACTTGGGAATTTATGCTAAAGAAACAATTCTAAGAATGTAGGCATATAATTAAAGCATCATTACTGGCTGGGCACGATGGCTCACACCTGTAATAGGTCCTAGTACTTTGGGAAGCCATGGTGGGCAGATTACTTGAGCTCAGGAGCTTGAGACCAGTCTGGACAACATGGTGAAACCCCATCCCTACAAGAAATACAAAAATTGGCTAGGCATGGTGGTGTGCAGCTGTCATCCCAGCTACTTGTGGAGAGTGAGGCAGGAGGATCACTTGAACCTGGGAGGTCAAGCCTGCAGTGAGCCAAGATCGTGCCACTGCACTCCAGCCTGGGTGACAAAATGAGATGTTGTCTCATTTAAAAACAAGACTAATAAAGAAGAAAAGAGAGAAGAATCAAATAGATGCAATAAAAAATAACAAAGGGGATATCACCATCAATCCCACAGAAATACAAACAACTGTCAGAGAATACTATAAACACCTCTACGCAAATAAACTAGAAAATCTAGAAGAAATGGATACATTCCTCGACACATACACCCTCCCAAGACTAACCCAGGAAGAAGTTGAATCTCTGAATAGACCAATAACAGGCTCTGAAATTGAGGCAATAATTAATAGCTTACCAACCAAAAGAAGTCCAGGACCAGATGGATTCACAGCCAAATTCTACCAGAGGTACAAGGAGGAACTGGTGCCATTCCTTCTGAAACTATTCCAATCAGTAGAAAAAGAGGGAATCCTCCCTAACTCATTTTATGAGGCCAGCATCATCTTGATACCAAAGCCTGGCAGAGACACAACAAAAAAAGAGAATTTTAGACCAATATCCTTGATGAACATTGATGCAAAAATCCTCAATAAAATAGTGGCAAACCGAATCCAGCAGCACATGAAAAAGCTTATCCACCATGATCAAGTGGGCTTCATCCCTGGGATGCAAGGCTGGTTCAACATATGAAAATCAATAAACGTAATCCAGCATATAAACAGAATCAAAGACAAAAACCACATGATTATCTCAATAGATGCAGAAAAGGCCTTTGACAAAATTCAACAACGCTTCATGATAAAAACTCTCAATAAATTAGGTATTGTTGGGACGTATCTCAAAATAATAAGAGCTATCTGTGACAAACCCACAGCCAATATCATACTGAATGGACAAAAACTGGAAGCATTCGCTTTGAAAACTGGCACAAGACAGGGATGCCCTCTCTCACCACTCCTATTCAACATAGTGTTGGAAGTTCTGGCCAGGGCAATTAGGCA
The DNA here is from genome assembly GCF_000001405.40 of Homo sapiens. Classification (NCBI taxonomy): domain Eukaryota; kingdom Metazoa; phylum Chordata; class Mammalia; order Primates; family Hominidae; genus Homo; species Homo sapiens. Next base: position 19,034,921 of record NC_000020.11, read on the forward strand.
GGAGAAGGAAATAAAGGGCATTCAATTAGGAAAACAGGAAGTCAAATTGTCCCTGTTTGCAGATGAGATGATTGTATATCTAGAAAACCCCATCGTCTCAGACCAAAATCTCCTTAAGCTGATAAGCAACTTCAGCAAAGTCTCAGGATACAAAATCAATGTGCAAAAATCACAAGCATTCTTTTACACCAATAACAGACAAACAGAGAGCCAAATCATGAGTGAACTCCCATTCACAATTGCTTCAAAGAGAATAAAATACCTGGGAATCCAACTTACAAGGGACATGAAGGACCTCTTCAAGGAGAACTACAAACCACTCCTCAATGAAATAAAAGAGGGTACAAACAAATAGAAGAACATTCCATGCTCATGGATAAGAAGAATCAATATCGTGAAAATGGCCATACTGGCCAAGGGAATTTATAGATTCAATGCCATCCCCATCAAGCTACCAATGACTTTCTTCACAGAATTGGAAAAAACTACCTTAAAGTTCATATGGAACCAAAAAAGAGCCTGCATTGCCAAGTCAATCCTAAGCCAAAAGAACAAAGCTGGAAGCATCACGCTACCTGACTTCAAACTATACTACAAGGCTACAGTAACCAAAACAGCATGGTACTGGTACCAAAACAGAGATATAGACCAATGGAACAGAGCAGAGCCCTCAGAAATAATGCCACATATCTACAACTATCTGATCTTTGACAAACCTGACAAAAACAAGCAATGGGGAAAGGATTCCCTATTTAATAAATGGTGCTGGGAAAACTGGCTAGCCATATGTAGAAAGCTGAAACTGGATCCCTTCCTTACACCTTATACAAAAATTAATTCAAGACGGATTAAAGATTTAAACGTTAAACCTAAAACCATAAAAACCCTAGAAGAAAACCTAGGCATTACCATTCAGGACATAGGCATGGGCAAGGACTTCATGTCTAAAACACCAAAAGCAATGGCAACAAAAGCCAAAATTGACAAATGGGATCTAATTAAACTAAAGAGCTTCTGCACAGCAAAAGAAACTACTGTCTGAGTGAACAGGCAACCTACAGAATGGGAGAAAATTTTTGCAACCTACCCATCTGACAAAGGGCTAATATCCAGAATCTACAAAGAACTCAAACAAATTTACAAGAAAAAAACAAACAATCCCATCAAAAAGTGGGCAAAGGACATGAACAGACACTTCTGAAAAGAAGACATTTATGCAGCCAAAAAACACATGAAAAAATGCTCATCATCACTGGCCATCAGAGAAATGCAAATCAAAACCACAATGAGGTACCATCTCACACCAGTTAGAATGGCAATCATTAAAAAGTCAGGAAACAACAGGTGCTGGAGAGGATGTGGAGAAATAGGAACACTTTTACACTGTTGGTGGGACTGGAAACTAGTTCAACCATTGTGGAAGTCAGTGTGGCAATTCCTCAGGGATCTAGAACTAGAAATACCATTTGACACAGCCACCCATTACTGGGTATATACCCAAAGGATTATAAATCATGCTGCTATAAAGACACATGCACACATATGTTTATTGCAGCACTATTCACAATAGCAAAGACTTGGAACCAACCCAAATGTCCAACAATGATAGACTAGATTAGGAAAATGTGGCACATATACACCATGGAATACTACGCAGCCATAAAAAATGATGAGTTCATGTCTTTTGTAGGGACATGGATGAAGCTGGAAACCATCATTCTCAGCAAACTATCGCAAGGACAAAAAATCAAACACTGCATGTTCTCACTCATAGGTGGGAATTAAACAATGAGAACACATGGACACAGGAAGGGGAACATCACACTCTGGGGCCTGTTGTGGGGTGGGGGGAGGGGGGAGGGATAGCATTAGGAGATATACCTAATGCTAAATGACAAGTTAATGGGTGCAGCACACCAACATGGCACATGTATACATATGTAACAAACCTGCAAATTATGCACATGTACCCTAAAACTTAAAGTATAAGAATAATAAAATAAAAAAAAGAAAATGCAAAAACAAGTCATTATTAAAGGATTATCTCTAATAAAACTAGAGAACATTTAATTAAATATTGTACATAAATACTATGTTATGCAATATGGTAATTTAAAATAATTATTTTAAGTATATATAGGAGCAAACAAAGTTGTTTATAGTATAATGATGGATCAATTGTCTTGCTGTGTAATTTTAACACTTAGCTAGAGCAGAATGCTTTTTGTTCCTGAAACAAAAAGGATGCTACCCAAATGAAAGGGACAGGAAAGAAAACTTTAACAGAATATTTATTAAAGCCCATCACGATATAAAAATGAAAACACTTTATATTTGTACTCCACCTAGCATGTTAAAAAAAACCCAACTCTGGCCAGGCATAGTGGCTCACGCCTGTAATCCCAGCACTTTGGGAGGCTGAGGCAGGTGGATCACGAGGTCAGGAGTGAAACCCCGTCTCTACTAAAAAAAAGTACAAAAAGTTAGCCGGGCGTGGTGGCAGGCACCTGTAGTCCCAGCTACTCAGGAGGCTGAGGCAGGAGAATGGCGTGAACCCGGGAGGCAGAGCTTGCAGTGAGCCGAGATAGCGCCACTGCACTCCAGCCTGGACAACAGAGCAAGACTCTGTCTCAAAAAACAAAACAAAACAAAACAAAAAACCAACAAAAAAACAGCCCAACTCTATCAGTAGCATATATTTATCTTTTATATTGCCAAATTGTTCAATCCTCATTCATTTTAGTAGGTTGTTCTTAGCAGTGTTCTGGATTTTCTAAGTATGCAAGCATACAGTCTTCAAATGAAGTTAATTTTGCCCTTTCATCTTTAATGTTAGTCTTTTTTCTTTTTAGTCTTTTTCTTTGAGTTCTATAATATTCATCTTGAGTGATTTGTCTTACAACAGAAAATGCTTCCCAATGTTGTGACAGCAGTATTGATATATAATACAATCCTTTTCTGTTACAGAATATTTAATGTAATTTATGATATGAAAAATGTAAAGGAGAAAAAAGTTATTATAGCAAATAACATTTAGCAAATGCTAAAAAGGCATTTTACAAAATTCCACATTCAATCTTTATGAAAGTTCTAATCATAATTGAAATAGGGAGGTATAAAAAATGAAAGGAAACATTTTTCCCCAAAACTACTAACAAATACCTATTTTGTACATCACTACAAAAATATATTCAAGTAGTTATCGAAAGCAAAATAGACAAATGGGATCTAATTAAACTAAAGAGCTTCTGCATGGCAAAAGAAACTATCATCAGAGTGAACAGGCAACCTACAGAATGGGAGAAAATTTTTGCAATCTATCCATCTATCCATCTGACAAAGGGCTAATATCCAGAGTCTACAAGGAACTTAAATAAATTTACAAGAAAAAAATCAAACAACCCCATCAACAAGTGGGCAAAAGATATGAACAGACACTTCTCAAAAGAAGACATTCATGCAGACAACAGACACATGAAAAAATGCTCATCATCACTGGTCATCAGAGAAATGCAAATCAAAACCACAATGAGATACCATCTCACACCAGTTAGAATGGTGATCATTAAAAAGTCAGGAAACAACAGGTGCTGGAGAGGATGTGGAGAAATAGGAACACTTTTGCACTGTTAGTAGGAGTGTAAACTAGTGTGGTGAATCCTCAAGGATCTAGGACTAGAAATACCATTTGACCCAGCGATCTCATTACTGGGTATATACCCAAAGGATTATAAATCATGCTACTATAAAGACACATGCACATGTATGTTTATTGCAGCACTATTCACAATAGCAAAGACTTCGAACCAACCCAAATGTCCATCAATGATAGACTGGATTAAGAAAATGTGGCACATATACGCCATGGAATACTGTGCAGCCAAAAAAAAGATGAGTTCATGTCCTTTGTAGGGACATGGATGAAGCTGGAAACCATCATTCTCAGCAAACTATTCGCAAGGACAGAAAACCAAACACCGCATGTTCTCACTTATAGGTGGGAGTTGAACAATGAGAACGCTGGACACAGGGCAGGGAACATCACACACCGGGGCCTGTTGTGGGGGTGAGGGGATGGGGGAGGGATAGCATTAGGAGAAATACCTAATGTAAATAATGAGTTAATGGGTGCAGCAAACCAACATGGCCCGTGTATACATATGTAACAAACCTGCACGTTGTGCACATGTACCCTACAACTGAAAGTATAAAAAAAAAACAACTGTGTATGGTGACATAATATCTAGGTACCATAATTTATTTAATTCATGAGTTATTATGTTAAGTTGAATATCCTTGTGAACTCTCATTACTTTTTTTTTTACATTTATTTTTTTTGGCACCATGTCTACGAACTCTTTGCTTAACTCCAAGTCATGAATATTTTATTCTAACAGTTTCATGTTTTTACATGTACATTTTTAATTCTGATCCATTTTGAGTTATTTTTTTAAAAAGGTGTGTGCTTAGGTGGATTGTTTTGCATATGAATGCCAAATTGTCATTTTTTGAAAAGACTACTCTTCATCCAATAAATTTATCTTGTACCTTCCTTAAAAATCAGTTGGTCTTGAAAGGCCAAGGTGGGCGGATTACGAGGTCAGGAGATCAAGACCATCTTGGCTAACACTGTGAAACCCCTTCTCTACTAAAAACACAAAAAATTAGCCGGGCGTGGTGGCATATGCCTGTAGTCTCAGTTACTCAGGAGGCTGAGGCCAGGAGAATTGCTTGAACCCAGGAGGCGGAGGTTGTGGTGAGCCAAGATTGCGCCACTGCACTCCAGCCTGGGCGACAGGGCGAGACGCTGTCTCAAACAAACAAACAAACAAACAAGCAAACAAAATCAGTTGATCTTATTTGTGTGGATCTATTTTTGGGCTCTCGTTTTGGTCTATTGTCTTAATTACTATAGCTTTATTAAGCGTAAGTGTTAAAACCAAATAGTGTGATTTCTCTAACTTTACGCTTCTTTTAAAAAGTCATCTTGGCTATTCTAATTCCTTTGCCATTCTAGTACATATGTTTTAGAATCAGCTTGACAATATCAATGAAAAATTCTGTTGGAATTATGATTTACATTTCCTAAATTTCATAAGACATCAACTTATCAAAAAAATGTATTCTTCTGGGAATTGAGCCATCTACACTTGTGGAATAAACTCTCCCTAGTCATAGTATATCATCCTTTTAATACAGTGATGGATTCAATTTGCCAGTGCTTCATTTATACTTTGTATCTATAGTCATAAATAAAGTTGGCCTAGAGTAGTGGGTTTTATTTCATTTGTTTGTTCTTTGCTTCTCTTTTTTTAAAAAATAAATCCTATATAAAGTTTTTCCAGTATGGTTACACAACCTTCATTGAACAGATTTGAAAAGTTGTTCATCTTTTTCTATGGTCTGAAATGGTTTAATATAGGAATTATCTATGTTTTTCTATAGACTTTCTGAGTCTCTGCATGTCTAAAAATATCTTTGCTATGACAGATGATTGATATTATGGCTGGATATATAGGATTCTTAGAATACTGTCCCCATTCAATCATTTTTAAATGTTTTTCCAGTCTTACCTCTAGTGTTGCACACAAGTTGTCTGATGGTAGCCCATTCTTTTTCCGTTGTAAGTAATCTATCATTTCTTTCTATAAGTATGTAATATTTTCTTTTCCATAATTGGAATACAAAAATTTTATCAGGACATGTTACTGGAGGTCTAGGTTTTTTAAAAATTATAATTAACTTTACTTGGGACTCAATTGTTTTTTGTAACCTGAAAACTCAAACCTTTTTTTTCTAAGACATATTTTCTCTCTTGATTACCCTATTTATTACTTCTCCATCTGTTCTCTTTTCCCTTTCTAGTGAACTTTTATTAGTCACATTCAGATATCCTGGATCTGTCCTCCAAGTTTCTTTTCTTAATTCTTCATGAATTCCACATCATTTATAAAATACTTCTTCCAGTTGAGCTTCCAAAACAGTCATATGGTCCTCAGCAAAGAATGGTGTCTTCTCAGCTTATTGAACTTGTAATTTCAAAAATAAGTATTCTGGTTCTAGAAAATCTTTTGTTCTGTGTTAAATTTAATGCCCTTCGGGAGTTCTCATTTATTTTTGTTGTTGTTGTTTTTAAGTTCATCTGTCTTTTCCATTAGCTTTATTTAAACAATTGTCATCTGCTCTTCTTTTAAACTTAGTATTCTCCCTCGGGTTGCTGGAATTCCTTAATCTGGCAGTTCTCAACACTGGCCACACATGAGAATCCCTCTAGGGGGGTTACAAAAGTCCCAATACTCAGGAAACGGTGAAACCAATTAATAAAGACTTTCTGATGGTGGAACAAAGGCATCAGTAGCTTTTAAAACTCCCCAGGTGATTCCAGTGAATCAGCTAAGAATAAGCATTACTTTCTTAAATGGGCCTCATTTTATTTATCTTCTCAGGGGTGTATATTCCTTTAGAATTTTTACAGGTTATAGCTTTAGTATCACAACTGGCAGATGGTGTAAGGGACAAACATTTTTGCTCTCATTAGGTTGTGGGGTAAAACTCAGAAAACTGGGTTCACTTTGCTGGAGTATGGGAGGAGCCTCTCTGTCATTAGGTCTTTTTTGGGGCAAGTGACAGCAACTCCCTCATCTACAGAAACTGGTGCCAATGCACTTCAGTATTCAGCAGCTTTCCAGGTTCACAAAAGTCTGTGGACTAGGGAAGCCTTCTAAGGACCACATGCAAAACAGGGAGCAGGGGCAGGCAAGAGCTTTCTCTTCGAAGGTGATTGTTGGTTGTGACTTGCTAGTTCCAGATGGAGGTAAACAGCTATGCATGTAAACACCCGTATTTCCAGAATCCCCTCTATGATTTCCCCTGATAATTAAAACTTTATTACCATTTAGATTTGTATGATCACATGATCAGTGTGAATGTAAAATGTACACAGCCTCCAACTGGGTGCATCAAGAATCTCATGTAATCCACACAACAACATGGATGAATTTCAAATGCATCATGATAAGTGAAAGAAGCCAGATGCATGAGGCTGAACACCCTGTGATTCATGTATATGCCATTCTGGAAAAGACAAACCAGAGGGATAGAACACAGATCGGTGGTGACCAGGGGCAAAGAGTCAGGGGAGGGAATTGGCTACAGAGGAGCACTGGAGGAAATTGGGTGTGATCGAATTCTTCTATATCTTGATTCTGGTGGTGGTTACATCATTATATGCGTCTGCCAAAACTCACAGAACTGAGCATTAAAAATGGTGTGTTGTATTACATTTAAATTATACCTCAATAAACCCTTTTGGAAAAAAAATCATGTGTCATCTCCATTATACTGAACTCTCTGCAGATCCCCCCAAATCTCTCTTAGGCTTGTCAGCCTTTGTCTACTCTATTTTCTCTGCCAAGACATTTTCATTTAATCGTTAAGACTTGGATTAGATGCTACGTCCTCTGGGAAACCTTCCATTTTTCTGCATGACTCTTCTTGGTGTTTCTTTGCTATCCCAGCCCCGTTTGTGTGGTGTTGAGGTGCGTGTCTGTGTTTGTATTCTCTGCTAGACTGTAGGATCAGTAAAAGTAGGGATTTCATCCTGTTTATCATCATTGTATTCCTATCATCTACCTTAGTCTTGCTAAGTATCTGGTAATCTATAACTTGCAAGGATAAAGTGGCTACTCTCCAGCATATTCACCAGGACTTTCTGTTTTCGGAAACCTCCCTGGAAGCTCCAAAAAATTAAGAAATATCACAGAAATTACTTGCAAAATCCTTGCACTAGAGCAGACATGCTTGACTATGGAGCCACTGAGCTTATAAACCTGAGAGGTGGATACCTAGAGGAAGATATTTTGAGAAGATGGAAGTGAGTTCCCTGAAAATCCATGGTCCATAACACCTTATCCATTTTTATAGCCACAATCGACAAGAATGCTCATCCTATTTGCTTTCCTTGCTTGACAATATAATTTCAGAGACTGGTGAAAGATGTTTTCAGCACTAGAATCAATACTTCGGATTACAGCTGCTTTTGTGCTCGTCTCTCCCCAGTGAAAACATTGCTGGGGAAATGGGAAGATATATGGAAGCTCCATATCTCCTGATATTTTAGCTCTCAAGAATCTGTCTGTTCTAATCAATTGCTGCATTTATTTTGAAGAATTTTGAAGGCAGGGGTACAGGGTAAGAGGAGAGAAATGATAACTTTGAGGCACTTGTTCTAAAGCTGTTGTATCTGAACAAATAAGGAGCCATACGCCCACCTCTGATTCAGAATTGCATTTCTTTTCCTACAGATCCCAAGCCAAGGGCATCTTGTAAAAGCTCTTAGTGTAGTTGGGAAATGCCTCCATATTTCTCTTAATCTATACTTTCAAGGAATTCTCATTCAAGATGGAGGATAGACCACCTGCATTGGGAGAACGGGCCATCACCTCCCTTGATAGCCAAATCCCACAGAAATGTCCATCTCAGGCCACACCCTCAGGTGAGCCAGAAATGTCACTTTTTCTGCTTGTCCTTAACAGAATTGATTTCTCTTTGCATTTGTCTGAGTGGTGGAGACTTTCTCTCTTTCAGTTCAGGGTTTCTCCTCCTGTAACATCCCAGTTGCATTAAGTTCTGGGAAACTTCAGAGAGCCAAAGTGTTCAGGGATTGGGGGTGAGGGGTGCCCATCTTTTTCTCAGTTTCAGTTTTCCATGATAGACCTCATTCCATCTGGCCCTCAGTCATTGATTCATGCTAGCAGTTTCCTCATAGATATCCAGTTCCATTATTTGTTTATTTATTTTTGAGACAGGGTCTTGCTCTGTCACTCAGGCTGCAGTGCAGTGGCATCGTCATAACTCGCTGCAGCCTTGAACTCCTGGGCTCAAGCAATCCTTCCTCCTCAGCCTCTTAAGTAGCTAAGACCACAGGTGGGCAACACCATGCCTGGCTAATTTTTTAAATTTTTTTGTAGAGACGAGGTCTCACTATGTTGCCCAGGCTGGTCTCTAACTCTTGGGCTCAAGCGATCCTCCTGCCTTGGCCTTCCAAAGTGCTGGGATTACAGACATGAGCCACCACTCCCAGCCTAATTCCATTATTATATCCTTCTTCAACCAAACTGCTGGGCCTCTCTCTCTGTCACACAGAACATTTTTGTTCTTTCCCTCATTATGCAAGGGATCTCTTAGCCTGTTTTGGCCCATCTACTTAGAGACCACTCATGGCTGCCTTAGGCCCTAGAGGCATGTGGCAATTATGTTTGGCTCCTGGGGCAATCAGGAAGTGAGGTGTCAGGTTCTTGGTTCCCTGGAGTTCCAGTTACTACCCCAAGTTTCTACTTTATTGGAGCTGGAGATGGGTGGGCTTGGGGTACAAGTCCCTTTCTCAGGGCAGCCGTGAGAGTCTAGGTTACTAGACGCCACACAAACATATAGATTAGGTTGAACCATATAAAATTGTCAATTTTTTTTTGTTAAGTCTGGTTCAATAGTAGCAATTTTATACATTGTGAGCTATACATACCAAATTATGATACACATTCCTCAATCTGTTCCTCAACTTTGCAAAGGGTTTTGTTTTGTTTTGCTTTGTTTTTTTGTTTTTTTTTTGAGATAGGGTCTTGCTCTGTCACCCAGGCTAGAGTAATGCAGTGGCTCCATCATAGCTCACTGCAGCCTCATCTTCCCAGGCTCAAGTGATCCTTTCACCTCTCAGCTTCCTGAGTAGCTGAGACCACAGACATGCGCTACCACTCCTGGCTAATTTTTGTATTTTTTTGCAGAGACGGAGTTTTGACATGTCGCCCAGCCTGGTCTTGAACTCCTGAGCTTAAGCGATCTGCCAGCCTCGGCCTCCCAAAGTGCTGGGATCACAGGTGTGAACAACCATGCCCAACTGCAAAGGTTTTTGTTAGAATTTTTCCAGCAGATTTTATTCTTCCTTGGTAACCTTTACTTGTTTTTGCAAACTAATCAGAAACTTTTGTGCTTGCCTATTTTGAACAAAGTGTTTTAAAACCCCCGACACTCTTCATTTGGAAGATGGTCTAACACGCTAGAAAAGGTCCCAAATTTCTAAAGTGTGAAAATAGCAGCATTTTTATAGGTAAAACACATGATTTTGGGGAAAAAAAAATTCATGTCACATACCCAAACATCTCTTTAAAAAATGTTCTCTTTATAATAGACATTTCTTTGAAAAACAGTGTCTTTTCCCTCTTTGTTTAAATGTCATATTTACCTTGAGTGGACAGTGAGGCACTTCTTTTAAAAAGAAAATATTTGTTAGATAGCAAAGCAATGACAGCCACTTGTCATCACAGAGGAGATCAGCAAATTTGAAACATTTGTCTTTTTGTAAAAGAAAAGTGTATAACACGTCTTTAAGTCTGACAAATCTTTTAAGTACTTTGCTGTGAGATAACGTACAAATATTCATAGGTCACAAAAAAATTTTAAGTCCCCTTCTATTATGAAGTGTTATAAAAATTCTACTTGATCTTAAAGGTCCTAATTTTATAAGTTTTCCAACATCATTGACATCCTGTAATCCTTGGTACTTCTGACTGTAACATATTAGCCACAAGAGTGCGCCCAGCATGAGGCAATGTGTGACATGTGGCATGTGTCATACCATCCTAGCAGCCCTACCCCAAAATTCCTTTTTAATCTTTTAAGAACTTGCATTTATTTAAGGAAATCAGTTGTTAAGATTATATCTTTCTTTGCACGTCTTTACTATACTGATCTCCTAAAATACTTCTTTGTGGATTATCGGAACCAATCTGGCAAATTCCATAAGCTAAAACTTGTTAGAAACATCTGTACTTGATCCGTTTACAGTCTTCTGCACTGAATGCTTGCTCAAATGCTTATTTCCTCAGTGGCGTTTTCTGTGAGTATTCCAACAGTGTTTGCTGATGAAGGGATGTGTTTTCATTTGTTGCCATACTGTTTTCCATGGATTCTTTTAGTCATCTTTTATTGTTGAAGAAAGACAAGTGTTTTTTCAAAGGTAAGGTAGCTTTCTGTCCACCAATAAATAATTTTTTTGAAATTTTGTAAGGTAGTAAAGTAGTTTCAGTTAAACATCACTGAAAAAAGTCAAGGTTTGCCTTCTTGTTTTTGATGCTTTTCAAAAAATTGTCTTGCTGAACGTGATGGTTTTATCCAGCCATTCTGAACTGAATTATGACCTACAGAAAGTGATTTGAATAATTTTCCTGTATTTCTCTGTATGGCTAGCTAGTACTATTCTAGATGCACAGGGTGAAGCTAATCTCTTACATTCAGTGGATGTCTTAGGTCATTAGGACTTAATTTCCTGGAATTTCAGTTGAGAAACTTACTGTATTAATCCATTTTCATACTGCTATAAAGAATTGCCTGAGACGGGGTAATTTACAAAGGAAAGATAGGTTTGATTGACTCACAGTTCAACATGGCTGGGGAGACCTCAGGAAACTTACAATCATGGCAGAAGGTGAAAGGGTAGTAGGCACATTCTTCACAAGGTGGCAGGGCAGGATGGAGTGAGTGCAAGCAGGGGAAATGCCAGACACTTATAAAACCATCAGATCTCCTGAGACTCACTCATTATCATCAGAACAGCATGGGGGAAACCACACCCATGATCCAATTACCTCCACGTGGTCTTATTCTTGACATGCAGGGATTATGGCGATTACAATTCAAGGTGAGATTTGGGTGGGGACACAGAGCCAAACCATATCAAGGAATATTTAAGATTTTAAAAAATCACTATCAACCCCTTTGCATCATAGAATTCTCTTCCTTCCTTCAGGATCCCTGGGGACATGACTAGCACACAGATCCTTTGGCAATGCCATGTCATTCCATACATTAACTCTCGGAAGGCTAAGGTTGCTTTTGGTTAAAAAAATATAAATATGGGCTTAAATATTTAATTTGATAAATATTTTATTTCTGTACCCCCAAAGAAGTGCCTGCCCTATCCCCTGGAGTGTGGACACCTCATTCCAGAGATCATAAGTTTAGGGCACAAAGTGTCACTGTTCTTTATCTTTATTATTTACTTATTTATTTGTTTATTGAGTAATCATGCCAGTAAAACTTTTGCATTGAGAACTGAGAAATAGTGAAAGGGGGATAAAAATAAAGTCCAGTTTCTATAATAGAAAAAGGCTGGATGCACATAGGATCCCGGGAGTCTGTGGTAGATTATTTTCTTTGTTGTGCCGCACTGTTGCAGCAGAACCCTACTTATCCTGCAGAGGATGCCCCAGGTAACTTCTTCATCCTAGGTTACAGAATGTAAGTTACACAGAGCAGAACCAAACTTGCCCTGTAGCGTGGAGCCAACCTCTGCTGAATCCAACAGAGCTACGGCTGACCTGCAGATCCACGAGTAGTATCACAGTAAAATAATGGAACATGACAAACTTTTGCACATAAACCTATGAGTGTGCTCAGTGTTGAGTCCAGCATCAAGGACCTTTGCTCTCTCCAATCCTAAGTTGTATGAAGAGTTCTTCACACAGACACTTACATGCACACACATTCTCTGAGCAGGTCTGCTCAGAATTGCCTGGCTGTGACTTTGTTCTCAAAATATGTTGGTGTTTGGCAGCTATGTCAGACTATCAGCCAGTCCCTAAATACACCTTATTATTTCTCGTCATTTATGTCTCTGGGATGAAAAATATATCAGCCTGGTTGGTAAGAACAGAGTCGCTAAATGTGTTAAAGAAATAAAGGGTTTCATACAGGATTGGGGCTTACCCAAACATGGGAGGGGCTGGGAGAGTCATGGTCTGAAGGCTGCAGTTAAAGGGTAGGAGAAACAGTCACCTACAACTCAGAACTGGAAAGACTGGAACTCTTGGGCGTGCCTGAGAAGCTGCTGTGACTGCCTGCCAGAGTGGGAGTGCCCAGTGAGGTTTGCTAAACCACATGCTCCCTAAAACTGCGGTGTGAGCCAACATGACCTCCCAAGAGCTTTCCTCCTGCCTTCCCACCACAGGCTTCTCATTGGTAATAAGATTCATGTTCAAACCTGGAACCTCTCAGGGAAAGGAGTGCTAGGAAGTGGCTCCAAGTCTCAGATGGGACTCCTGGGGGTGCCACGTTGATAACAGGTGATTCAGCAGAAGGACTGACATTTGTGTGTGTTTACCAATCTAGGGCTTTACGTACCTGAGTCTGTTTGACTCCTGCAACAATGTTGAGGAGTAAGAGCTCCTCCAGGTACACAGCTGCTAAGTGGACAAGACAGGACATGGTCTTCCTGCTTAGTTCCTTCCTGACCACGTGGCATTGCTAGGGGTTATCCATCTGTTTCCTCCTCTAGACTTCAGGTTCCTTGGAGAGGGGATCTCTCTTATGCATCTTTGTATCTTCAATGAAGTAGAATTTTTGTACACCTTAGTATAGCATCTGCATATGAAAAGAATTCAATACTTCTTTTTTTTTTTTTTTTTTTTATAGACAAGGTCTCATTCTGTTGCCTAGGCTGGATGGAGTACAGTGGTGCAACCATAGCTCACTGCAGCCTCAAACTCCTGGACTCAATGGGGTCCTCCCACCTCAGCATCCTGAGTAGCTGGGCCTACAGGTGTGTGCCACCCTGCCTGGCTAATTTAATTTTTTCTTTTTTTAGAGATGGGGTCTCTCTATGTTGCCCAGGCTGGTATTGAACTCCTGGCCTCAAGTGATCCTCTCACCTCAGCTTCCCAAAGTGCTGGAATTACGGGTGTGAGCCACTGCACTCAGCCAGAATTTAATAAATTTTTTTAAAATTGAAGTGTTTAGATCTAGAAACAAAGAGCCAAGAAGATGCTCACCAATACATATCTTTCTTCTTGTCATTTAGGTTATATGTATTTTGAAACAGGAAATCTCGCCATCCTCACCAAAGCCATTTCCTTGAGAGGATTTTATCTGGTTTGTCTCCTTGACTCCAGGCAGGGCTCCATTCCAACCAGATGGAAGGTAATCTTTTATTTAATTTATCTTCTAATTATTTAGTTAATTTAAAGATTTTTTTGCTCTCTCTCCTGAAGTTGCTCAGGAATATGAAGAAAAGGGAGGGAGGCCAGACCAGGCCATTCTCAAACAGCATAGAACTTCCCAGTGACTGGATGAAAGATTTGCATTTCAGAACAGCAGCTGTTAGCTTGGTTGCTGGAATTTGCTTTCCCTCTCAACCCCCCAGCCAGCCTGTATCTCTCAGCTTCTAAAAATATAATCTTATTCTTGCTCTCTTTTCAACTTGAAATGGACATAGAATGCAGACATCTCACATCATTTACACCCAGAAGGCTGTCAGCAGCAGCGCTCAGGGAGTGAGAGTGTTTAATCTCGAGGAGGAAATAGAATGTATACACACCCTGCAAACTGAGATGTTTTACGTTGGCTCTGGCTCCTACCGCCCCCCATGTGTGGCAGCAGCTACCAAGACTCTACTGTGAATCCCCATGACTGGTAAGTCCTGTTGATCAGAACGATCGCGAATGTTTTCCTGCTCCGTAGACACGGGGCCCAGCCAGGCCACCCAGTCATCATTAACTGGGCTGCTGGTCCAGCCCTGTTTGCTGACTCTACCAGGGGTAACTATTTCATGACAAGTTTATAGGAGGGAGAAATCAAAAGTACAACCTTACTTTTTGCTGGTCTCTTCCATCCTCTGCTGGCCTCATGTGACCTCCCGAACATGGCACAGTCATCACCAGCTCCCGTTGGTCCCTGGGGTGGTTTGGCCGCAGTTACATTGGCACAGTCATTGGAAAAATCATTTCTGTACATCGCATCACTGGTGCATCTGGGCTTCTGCCTGAAGCACATGTCAGGAGGAATTGTTGGCAACCCTGAGGGCAAGGACGCATCTGCCTTGGGCTCCAGGGGTGGTGTGGCTTGCTGGAGTGGGAGGTGCGCAGCCCAGCAGGGTCAGACATTTCAGTATGCCACCCCACCCACCACACCCTACTCAGAGTGCAGGCCCCTGCGGCAAAAGCCTGTGCATGTGCTTTTCTCTCACGGCCCTCAAGAGAGGCCAAAGCTTGTGTTACTCTCACTTGCATCCTCTGATGACCTAAAGAGGGGAGAGAGGTCATTTTCATGGGGCCAATTCTATTCTCTTTTTCTCTTCTCCCTTCTCCTCTTCTTCCTCTTTTTCCCCATGACATATGTATTAAAAAGTCCACAGACTCTGGTGTACTTCTGGTGGGAATATAATTAATATGACCATTGTGATATACTGTTAGTAACATCTCATAAAGCCAAATATATATGGATACAGTATGACCCAGCAATCTCACTCCTAGAAATAAACCCAATAGAAATGCATGCAATAGTGCATCAAAAGGCATGCACTAGAATGGTCTTAGCAGCATTATTCATAGTAGCCCCAAACTGGAAATAATACAAACGTCCATCCACAGTAGAATTGCTGAACAATTTGTGCTATACTTACTACAGCAATGAGAATGAACAAAATGAACAACCTGCAGCAACATGAATGGACCTCACAAGGATAATGTTGAACATAAGAAGCCAGGCACAAAAGAGTGCATATTTTTGTGTCTGACTCCATTACATGAAGTTCAAGAAGAAGAAACATTAATGTATGGTTTTGGAAGGCAGGATGTGGGGAGGTAGTTGGGGCATGAGGAGGTTTTGGGGGTACAGGGTGGTGGCAGTGTTTTGCTTCTGGTTCTGGGGGATGGCTAAGTGTGTGTTCATTTCATGTAAGTTCATATGCATTTGTGCAATTGCCTGTAAAGTTGTCATACTTCGATAATATTAAAAATATGAAAAATAAAAATATAAAGCCCATATGGGAGAGCACACTTCTCTGCATTTTTTTTGCACTTTGGCGATGAGCTGACAGAGGGGTTGTTAACAAGCACCCTACTTGCTCACTGTGCTTGGTAGGATCCTCAACCTAGCGAGTCCCACCCCATTCCCCGGTCCCCAATCTCAAGCTCAAATCCCACACTTCCCCCTTCTCTCTAATCACACCACCAGCCCCTTCTCCTACTTTCCCTCCCTCCCAGCATCCGTAAGGCTCGACTCATGGCTCTAACTGCTGTGCCCTGCAGTGCGGGGGCCTTAACAGGGCTAGCCTTACATTCCAGCTGCTCGTGGTGCATACTGAGGGACTCAAAGCAAGACTGCCTTCTCTCCGTTTCTCTGCGGTATCTGCAACCTCCATATTGCTTAGTTCTTTAAGATTATGACATTATATATTCCTACTTAAATGTTAAAATGGAAGTAGCATGCTAATACTATCTTCAAATCCGTCCATCAGCCCAACTTCGCATTCAGGTTCCCTGTGAGCGAGAGAACCTTCCGTCAATACCCGCTTGAAAGTGGCCATCGGACTTTTGACCTTCAAGTTTTGAAGAATGGTCTGAACATTTTATTTTCCTTTTGTGTTTAATAATTGTATACTGTCCTTTCTTGACATAAAGTTGTGGCTATCAGAGATATTTTTAATCCAGTGATTTTTCAAACTGCTTTTGTTATCTGCTAAAGCCCTTCTTTTAACACTGTCTAAATGAGAATAGACGCTTATGAGAGATTAGAGCAAAGTTGTTGGGCAGTGGGGGAGGGGACTTCCAGGGCCCTCTCAGCTCCTTCCCAGTGTCCCCACACAGGTCAGTATGGGGGCCCACAGGGCCTCAGGTTGGAGCATCAGGTAACTTGCTCAATCTCTTTATTTTACAGTCTCTGCTCCAGGTCACCCTGGCCACACTCCAGAGCCAGGCAGAGACTCTCCCTCCAAAACCAGGGCTCTTTCCTCTCTGTTTCAGAAGGAATTCTGGCTTTCCGTCTCACCTCAACATTTGCAATTAGCATCCCCTTCTCTGCTTCCTCATGAGATTTCCCCTCACATTGTGCACATTTTGATTTGGGTGTGTGCTTGCATTCTGATGATTGGAAGTCCAACTTCTTAGACACTTGTAATCCCTGATTTAGGCCTGCAGGTTTGTGCTAGCAGAAGTTGCTGGAAAATGAGTCTGGGTCCTGGGGCTTTCCCCAGGGAATCTGAGACTTGGCTTCCAGGTTAAGGGAGCATGGAGTGGGTTCTGCACAGAGAGACGACCAAGGGCCAACTGAGCTTGGAATCTGGAAGAGTCCTTCAGCTGGTCATTTGCTGAAGTAGTTGCATATGAGTTTGTTGAATTTGGTGGACACAATCAATCACTGAACACACTATTTAATGCTTTAGAATGGTGTGTATGTGTGTATGTTGCATATGAATTGCCAAAGCCACACTAGTCAGAGACTCTAGGAACACACTTATCAAGCAAGGTTAGGTTCATTTAACTTTCTGCAGAAGAGGAAAGCACACACCAGGGGAATCGGGTATCTCAGAAACAGGACACTGGGATGGGGCTTCTGATAGGGTGTGGGCTTGTTGGGTGATTCTAAGGAGGGTTTGGGGAAGTGGAGGCTACTTCTGGGTTGGGTCTTATTAGAAAGCAGAAACAGTTCTGTTGTTGAGTATCTTCGTAATTGTTATCTAGGAAGCTGGAGGATTAAAATGGGGCTAAAGTTATCACTTGGTAAAGAAACAGAAGCTAATTATTAGTTAATTTTGTGGTTGCAGTGTGCCCTTGCCTCTAATTAGGTTTAGACATAATTATAGAGGGCTCTTGTTTCTGTCTTGTTTCATCCTGGTCACTGAGTGTCCTTGTCTGAATGCCTGTATTCTGTGAAAGTTGTTTAAACTCAGTAGGCAGCACTACAGGCTGCTTGCTGTTTGAGGTCAGCTGTCATGGCTGTTTGTTAACCACACACACTCATGTTTATATTATATGAGATATTTATATTATATCCATATCCATATTCATATTTGTGCAATGTGAACATATTACTAAATGATATAGTATATTTGCAAGTATCCAGCATGTGTGTCTGGCATATACAATCTGGAGAGACAATCTCACATCAAGTTTACTAGCATGAGCTTTGGAATCAGACAGACCTGGGGTTCTAATCCCTTAAGTAGATTTCTTCATCTAAGTTTCAATTCTCTCATCCATAAAATGGGGATGGTAATACTGATGATATATGTCTACCACGAGAAGTGAATGGATGTATGCATGCAAAATGATAAGCACAATGAGCACACATGTGGGTTAAACCCTTTGGTCCCCACAGCCATCCTGAGATAGGGACTAGGATGACATGGCCAGGATTTGTGGCCGAGCGTTCTGATGCCTGAGCCCGGCTGTGACAGTTGTACTCTGCTTCCTGGTACTTGGCAGATACTCCAGAGATGGTCACTGAATGTCAGTGCACTTGGGGAGATTGCATATATGAGTACTTCATCAAAGCCAGTTGCAACTTACCAGCAGGAAGAAATCAGCACTTCCACTGTTGGTGTCAGTGAGATGTGCAGGACAAGCAAGCCTGGCTTACTGACGGACAGTGGAGAACACTGGGGCCTATGACTGAGGCAGGAATGTTGCTTATCCACCTGCTCTGACACTGTTTCTTCTCAGAGAGACTGCTCCCGTGGGCAATGGAGTCACATGACCCAAACTGGCCACTCAGAGTCCCTTTCCAGCAACTTGGCTTTGGTTGGTCTCTGTTGGGTGTTGACTGGAGCTGCCATGAGGGATGAGGCTGAACTCTTCCCACCAAGTGCTTAGAGGAGATGAGACCTGTACTCAGTGACAGAGGATGCAAATGAGCAGAGAAGGAGAAATGAGAAGTCATTAGCCTCTGGAAGAGTTTTGGCCAAAGAGTTAGGGAGAAATTTGTCTCTTTCATTCCCCACTAAGGCAAAGGAAGGCGGTGATTGGCTGTCACTTAGAACCCATGAGCAAACAAGCATGATTTCTAGACTAGAAAGGACAAGACAGGAGATCTGTAGACCAGTGTTCTAAAAGTATGGTCTCCAAACCAGCAGCTAGAGCTTGTTAGACATGCAAACTCTCAGGCCTCACTGGAGACCTAAGGAATCAGGAACTCCAGGAGTGCAGCCCAGGAATCTGAGCTATAAGAAGCACTGTGGGGGCCAGGCGCAGTGGCTCACACCTGTAATCCCAGCACTTTGGGAGGCTGAGGTGGGCTGATCACAAGGAGATCGAGACCTTCCTGGCTAACACGGTGAAACCCTGTCACTACTAAAAATACAAATACAAGCTAAAATACAAAATACAATTACAAAAAAAATACAAATACAAAAAATTAGCCGAGTGTGGTGGTGCATGCCTGTAGTCCCAGCTACTTGGAAGGCTGAGGCAGGAGAATGGCATGAACCCGGGAGGCGGAGCTTGCAGTGAGCCGAGATCACATCACTGGACTCCAGCCTGGGTGACAGAGTGAGACTCCATCTCAAAAAATACAATAAATAAAAAATAAAAGAAGCACTGTGTGGATTCTGATGCCACTCAAGGTTGAGAACCACTGCTGTGGGATGGCAGGGTCTCCCTTAACACATGTGTGGAGGTGGTCCTCTACGTATGTGCCTTGCTTTGGAGCATAGTTCACAGTTAAGGCTGTTTAGTCCGTCTTCTTGCTCTGAGGATGAAAAGCCATGACAAGTGGCTGTGAGAAGCTGCAGGCCTCAACAGGGGACTACTCTGCGGGTTCCCAACCACACCTGGGTTCTTTGTGGGTTTTCCTATCCAATCCTAGACCCTAAGAGACCTGAAGATATCATGTCTCCAGGCTTATGACAGAACCTGGGAGCTGCCCTTTAGGGCTGTTCCATGTCTAACAAAGGTATGGACAAAGCTGAAGATGCCTGAGGAAAATGGTCTTAGCTTTGATTTGCTGCAAGAAGTTTTACAAAGTACGCTGTGTCAGCCCTGGGGTTTCTGGAATTAGGAAGCAGGCACAGAAAGAAACGGAGTTTACTAGCTAGCTGGGAAACCAAAGTGACCTTCTTGTTGGCTTTGGGAAGTTATGGGTTACTGATAGAAATAACCCTGTTTTCACTTTTCCCTACCAAGTTTCCCAGTGTCTTGGGCTTATTTAGGTTCCTTAAGGGATTCTCAAGGCCACCTCAGACTTTCCACCTTATGACCTGTCCAACCCAGTGGCCCTTCTCCCTCCTCTAAAAACTTCAGGCTGAGCAGCCACACACACAGAATCACTGTTTTTCTGCCTAAACCTCCATCTCTTGGTTAACCAAGCACAATGCACCAAACAGCATTATTTTACAGCTAAACAAATTAGTACAATTTTAGCTAATTTAATTTTTAAAAAGGCATTCGTTTAATCCTTTTTGTGAAAACCAAAGTGTCACCATTTATATTAACACCAAAAAAAGTTCTTAGGTAAGGCATAAAGTGAATAAAATTTGCAAAAGATCTATACATATCTATGCAGAAAACTACAAAACTTTTGAAAGAAAGCAAAGAAGATCTATTATTGATAATGGAAGGATGTTCTGTGTTCAGGTATTACAAGATTCAGTATTGTTAAGATGTGTGCTTTTCTCAACTTGATCTACAGGTTTAATGCAATTCCAACGAAAATCCCAGTAAGGTATTTTGTGGGTGTTGACAAATTGATTCTAAAGTTTACATGGAAAGGCAAAGGAACCAATACAGCCAATACGATAATGAACAAGAAGAACAAAGTTGGAGGACTGACATTACCCAACTTCAAGGCTTACTATAGTAATCAAGACAGAAATTAAATGATCAAGACGGTGTAGTATTGGTGAAGGAATAGATACATAGGCCAATGGAACATAATAGAAAGCCCAGAAATAGACCCACACAAATATACTCAACTAATATTTGACAATGGAGCAAGAGCAATTCAATTGAGCAAAGATAGTCTTTTTCATAAATGATGCTGGAACAATTGAGGGTCCAGAAGCCAAAAAAAAAAAAAAAAAAAAAAAAAAAAAAAAAAAAAAAAAAAAAAAATCTGGGCACAGATCTTAACCCTTTCATAAAAATTAACTCAAAATGGATCATAGACCTCAATGTAAAGCACAAACCTGCAAACATGCAGGACAAACCACAGGAGAAATCAAAGTGACCTTGGGTGGAGTGATGAGCTTTTAGACAAAATACTAAAAGCATGAATCTATGAAAGAAAACGCTTATTTAAATTTGACTTTATTAAAATAAAAAACTTTTGCACTGCAGAAGACATTGTTAAGAGAATGAAAAGACAAGTCACAGACTGGGAGAAAATATTTGCCAGACAAATATCTGGTAATGGACTTATATCTGAAATATAAAAAGAACTCTTAAAACTCAACAACGACAACAACAAAAACTCATGTGGGTCCATCTGGAAATTGGGATTTTTGTCCAATTTAAATAAGCAAAAGATCTGAATAGATCCCTCATCAAAGAAGATGTACAGATGGCAAATAAGCATATGAAAAAATATTCAACATCATATGCCATTAGGGAATTGCAAATTAAAACAACAATGAGATACCACTACATATATATTGGAATAGCCAAAGTCCAGAAATCTGACAATACTAAATGCCAGTGTTGATGTGAAGCAAAAACTCTCAGAGGATCAGGGTAAGATGGCAGATAGGAGGCAGGACTAGCTTGCAGCTCCTACTTGGATGAACAGAGCAGCGCATGGAGACTCACATCATGAACTTCTGCTCTAAGAACTGCTGCAGGAACATACCAGGAAAGCCGAGAGAATCCACAGACCCTTTGATGGCACTGGATCACTACTGCAGCCTCCCTGAGATGCTGAAAAACTGCCAAAGCAGCTTGCTTTCTCAACAGGGTGGCTCATGGTCTGGGACAAGTTCTCAGCCCTGGTCACTGGCTGCCTGAAAATACACACAGTGCTGTTGCGGGGGGCACAGTGGAAGTGAGACCGACCTTTAGAACTGCCGGCTGCATGGGAGCTGGATGAGGCCAGTGATTGCTAGCTTTCTTCCACTTCCCTGGTGGCCTGTGTGACTCAATAGAGGCAGCCATAATCACCCTGGGAACATAACTCCATTGGACTGAGAACCACACCCCCATTCCCCAATAGCAGCCGCAACAAGCCATTCCCAAGGAGAGGCTGAGCTCAGACACGCCTAATCCTACCCCCACCTGGTGGTCTTTCTTTACCTGCCCTGGTAGCTGAAGATGAAGTTCATAATCTCTTGGGTGCTCTATGGCCCTGCTCACTAGCTAAGAATCCTGAATACTTAACCAGCTGTCCCTTGGGCAAGTTTGCATCCTCCCTATAGGACCACAGCTAATGTGCACTTGAAAGCGCCACCTCCTGGCTGGAGGCCAAACAACATAAAACCAGCACACTAAAAACAACCAAGGACCATCACAGAGTCCATTTCACTCCCCTGCTACCTCCACCACAGCAGGTGCTGGTACCCATGGCTGAAAGACCTGAAGATGTATCACATCACAGGAGTATTTACAGACACTCCCCCGTACCAGCCTGGAGCCTGGTAGCCTACTGGGTGGCTAGACCCAGAAGGGCAAAAACAATCACTACAGTTCAGCTCCCAGGAAGCCCCATTCCCAGGGAAAGGAGGAGAATACCACATCAAGGGAGGACCCCATGGAACAAAATAATCTGAACAGCAGCTCTTGAATCCCAGGTCTTCCCTGTGACATAGTCTACCCAAATGAGAAGGAACCAGAAAAACAATTCTGGTAATATGACAAAACAAGGTTTTTTAATACATCCAAAAGATCAAACCAGCCCACCAGCAATGGATCCAAACCAAAACAAAAATATCTGAATTGCAAGAAAAAGAATTCAGAAGGTCAATTATTAAGCTAATCCAGGAGGCACCAGAGAAGGGGGAAGTCCAACTTAAAGAAATCAAAAATAGGATACAGGATATTAAAAAAAATTTTCAGTGAAATAGCATAAATAAAAAACAATCACAACTTCTGGAACTCAAGAGCACACTTAGAGAAATGCAAAATGCACTGGCAAGTCTTAGCAAAAGAACCAAATAAGCAGAAGAAATAACTTCAGAGCTTGAAGGCAAGGCTTTTGAATTAACCCAATCCAATAAAGACAAAGAAAAAAGAATAAAAAAATGAACAAAGCCTCCAAGAAGTTTGAGACTATAGTAAATGTCCAAACCTAAGAATAATTGTTGTTCCTGAGAAAGAAGAGAAATCTAAAAGTTTGGAAAATATATTTGGGGGAATAATCAAGGAAAACTTCCCCAGCCTTGCTAAAGATCTAGACACCCAAATACAAGAAGCTCAAAGAACACCTGGGAAATTCACTGCAAAAAGATAATCACCTAGGTGCATAATTATCAGGTTATCTAAAGTCAAGATGAAGGAAAGAAAAGAGCTGTAAGGCAAAATCATCAGGTATCCTATAAAGGAAAACCTATCAGATTAACAGCAGATTTCTCAGCAGAAACCCTACAAGCTAGAAAAGATTGGGGTTCTATTTTTAGCCTCCTTAAAACAATTATCAGCCAAGAATTTTGTATCCAGCAAAAATAAGCTTCATAAATGAAGGAAAGATACAGTCTTCTCCAGACAAATGCTGAGAGAATTCACTACTACCAAGCCAGCACTACAAGAACTGCTAAAATGAGCTCTAAATCTTAAAACAAAGCTTTGAAATACACCAAAATAGAACTTCCTTAAAGCATAAATCTCAAGGACCTATATAACAATAACAATGAAAAAAACACAAGGTATTCAGGCAACAAATAGTACAATGAATAGAATAGTACCTTACATCTCAATACTAATATTGAATATAAATGGCTTAAATGTTCCAAGTAAAAGATACAGAATGGCAGAGTGGATAAGAATTCACCAATCAAGTTTCTCCTGTCTTCAGGAGACTCACCTAACACATAAGGACTCACATAAACTTAAGGTAAAAGGGTGGAAAAAGATATTCAATTCAAATGAACACCAAAAGTGAGCAGGAATAGCTATTCTTATATCAGAAAAACAAACTTTAAAGCAACAACAGTTAAAAAAGACAAAGAGGGACATTAGATAATGATAAAAGGACTACTTCAACAGGAAAATGTCACAATTCTAAATATATATGCATCTAACAGTGGAGTTCCCAAATTTATAGAACAATTACTACTAGATCTAAGAAATGAGATTGATGGCAACACAATAATAGTGGGGGACTTTTATACTCCACTGGCAGCACTAGACAGGTCATCAAGACAGAAAGTCAGAAAAGAAACAATGGATTTAAATGATACCCTACAACAAATGGACCTAAGAGATATTTACAGAACATTCTACCCAACAACTGCAGAATATACATTCTATTCATCAGCATACAGAACATTCTCCAAGGTAGACCATATGATAGGCCACAAAACAAGTCTCAGTAAATTTTAAAAAATTGAAATTACATCAAGTACTCTCTCAGATCACAGTGGAATAAAATTAGAAATCAACTCCAAAAGGAGCCCTCAAAATAATGCAAATACATGGAAATTAAATGACCTGCTGCTGAATAATTGTTGGGTCAACAATGAAATCAAGATGGAAATTTAAAAATTCTTTGAGCTGAACTATAATAATGACACAACCTATCAAAACCTCATGGATACAGCAAAAGCAGTGCTAGGAAGATAGTTCATAGTATTATATGCCTACATCAAAATGTCTGGAAGAGCAAAAATACACAATCTAAGGTCACACCTCATGGAACTGGAGAAACAAGAACAACCCAAATCCAAACCCAAAAGAAGAAAAGAAATAACAAAGATCAGAGCAGAACTAAATGAAATTGAAACAAAAAAAAAATACAAAAGATAAGTGGGACAAAATGATGGTTCTTTGAAAAGATTAAAAAATAAAACCTGATAGACCAAAATTGAGATAAACCAAGAAGAGAGAAGATCCAAAGAAGCTCAATTAGAAATGAAACAGGAGATATTACAACTGATACCACAGAAATACAAAAGATTATTCAAGGCTACTATGAACACCTTTATACACATGAACTAGAAAACCTAGAGGAGATAGATAAATTCCTGGAAATATGCAACCATCTAGATTAAATCAGGAAAATGTAGAATCCCTGAACAGACCAATAAGAAGCAGTGAGATTAAAATGGTAATTTAAAAAATTGCCAAGAAAAAAAAGTCCAGGACCAGATATATTCAGAGCTGAACGCTACCAGACATTCAAAGAAGAATTGGTACCAATCCTATTGACATTATTCCAAAAGACAGAGAAAGAAGGAATCCTCCCTAAATTATTCTATGAAGCCACTATACCCTGATACCAAAATCAGGAAAAGACACACACAAAATATAAAACTACAGACCAATATCCCTGATGAACATAGATGCAAAAATCCTCAAAAAATATTAGCAAACTGAATCCAATAGCATATAAAAAAGATAATCCACTATGATCAAGTGGGTTTCATACCAGGGATGCAAGGATGGTTTAACATATATATGTCAATAAATGTAATACACTACATAAACAGAATTAAAAACAACAATCACATAATCATCTCAATAAGTGCTGAAAAAGCATGTGACAAAGTACAGCATCCCTTTATGATTAAAACCCTCAGCAAAATTGGCATAGGAGGGACATACTTTAAGGTAATAAAAGCTATCTATGACAAACCCACAGCCAACATTATGCTGAACAGGGAAAAGTTGAAAGCATTCCCCCTGAGAACTAGAATAAGACAAGGATGCCCACTTTCACAACTTCTATTCAACATAGTACTTGAAGTCTGAGCCAGAGCAATCAGACAAGAGAAAGAAATAAAGAGCATCAAAATCAATAAAGAGAAATCAAACTGTTGCTGTTTGCTGATCATATGATTGTATACCTAGAAAACCCTAAAGATTCATCCAAAAAGCTCCTAGAACTGGTAAATGAATTCAATAAAGTTTCAGGATACAAAATTAATGCACACAAATTAGTAGCTCTGCTATACACCAACAGCAACCAAGCTGAGAATCAAATCAAGAACTCAACCCCTTTCACAATAGCTGTAAAACAAACAAACAAACAAACAAAAGTCAAAATACTTAGGACTTTACCTAACCAATGACCTAAAATACCTCTACAAGGAAAACTACAAAACACTGCTAAAAAAAAAATCATAGACAACACAAACAAGTGGAAACATATCCCATGCTCATGGATAGGTAGAATCAATATTGTGGAAATGACTGTACTGCCAAAAGCAATCTATAAATTCAATGCAATTCCCACCAAAATACCACCATCATTCTTCACAGAACTAGAAAAAAACTATCCTAAAATTCATAAATTTTGTGAATTTATTTATGAATTTACAAATCAAAAAAAGAGCCTGCATACCAAAAGCAAGACTAAGCAAAAAGAACAAATCTAGTGGCATCACATTACCCAATTTCAAACTATACTATAAAGCCATAGTCACCAAAACAGTATGGTACTGGTATAAAAAATAGGCACATAGATCAATGGAACAGAAAAGAGAACCCAGAAATAAAGCCAAATGCTTACAGCCAACTGATATTTGAAACAAAGCAACCAAAAACATAAAGTGGGGAAAGGACACCCTATTCAACAAGTGGTGCTGGGATAATTGGCAAGCAACATGTAGAAGATGAAACTGGATCCTCATCTCTCACCTCACACAAAAATCAACTCAAGATGGATCAAAGACTTAAATGTAAGACCTGAAACCATAACGATTCTAGAATATAACATCTGGAAACCCTTCTACTCATTGGCTTAGGCAAAGACTTCATGACCAAAAATCCAAAAGCAAATGCAGTAAAAAAACAAAAATAAATAGTTGGGACTTAATTAAACTAAAAAGCTCCTGCACAGCAAAAGAAATAATTAGTGGAGTAAACAAACAACCCACAGAGTGGGAGAAAATCTTCACAATCTGTACATCTGACAGAGGACTAATATCCAGAATCTACAAAGAACTCAAACAAATAAGCAAGGAAAAAACAAATAATCCCATCAAAAAGTGGGCTAAGGACATGAATAGAAAATTCTCAAAAGAAGATATGCAAATGGCCAACAAACATATGGAAGAATGCTCAACATCACTAATTATCAGGGAAATGCAAATTGAAACCACAATGTGATACCACCTCACTCCTGCAAGAATGGCCTTCATAAAAAAATAATAGACGTTGGCATGGATGTGGTGAAAAGAGAACACTTTTACACCGTTAGTAGGAATGTAAACCAGTACAACCACTATAGAAAACAGTGTGGAGGTTCCTTAAATAACTAAAAGTAGATCTACTCTTTGATCCAGCAATCCCACTGCTGGGTATCTACCCAGAGGAAAAATAGTCACTATACAAAAATGATACTTGCACATGCATGTTTATAGCAGCACAATTTGCAATTGCAAAAACATGGAATCAGCCCAAATGCCCATCAATCAATGAATGAATAAAGAAAATGTGGTATATGTATACCATGGAATACTACTCAGCCATAAAAAGGAACATTTGCAGCAACCTGGATAGAATTAGATTCTAAGTGAAGTATCTCAGGAGTGGAAAACCAAACATCATATGTTCTCATTCATATGTGGGAGCTAAGCTGTGAGGACACAAAGGCATAAGAATAACACATTGGATTTTGGGGATTTGGGAGAAAGGGTTGGGGATGGTGAGGAATAGAGGACTACACATTGCATACAGTGTACACTGCTTGGGTGATGGGTGAACCAAAATCTCAGAAATCACCACTGAATAACTTATTTATGTAATCAAACACCACTTGTTTCCCCAAAACCTATTGAAATTAAAAAATAAAAAATAAACCTCTCATTCATTGCTAGTGGATATGCAAAATGTTACAGCTACTTTAAAGACAGTTTGTCAGTTTCTTACAAAGCTAAACATAGTCTTACCATAAAATTTTGAAATTATGCTACTTAGTATTTACCCCAATGAGCTGAAAACTTGTGTCCACACAAAAACCTGCATATGAATGATGACGGCAGCTTTTTGCATAATTGCCCTAAATTGGAAGCAACACAGATGTCCTTCAATAGGTGTATGGATAAACAAACTAGTACACCCATAGAATGGATTATTATTCAAGCCATGAAAAATGATGGAGAAACTTTTAATACGTTGACTAAGTGAAAGAAGCCAGTTTGAAAAGACCATACGATTCCAACTATATGATGATTTGAAAAAGACAAAACTATGGAGACACAGTGATTTTCAGAGTTTCAGGGAGAGAGAAAAGGGATAAATACGTAAAGCACAGGGAATTATTAGGGCAGAGAATCTATTCTGTATGGTAATGTAATGGCAGATACATTACAGTGACATTATCCATTTGTTCAAACCCATAGAATATTACAGCACAGAGAATGAACCTTAATGTATACAAATTAAAAAAAAAAACCATTTGGGTATCGAAGTCTCTCTCGATTCCCTTGGTGGAGTGTTTGGCCTGCTCAGGGCATTCTCTAGATGGTTCTTAGGGCAGCTGCCTCTGCTTTGGCCCACCCAGACTTACTGAGTCTGTCATTGAGCATCATCTTGCTGCCTGGGGTCATTAACAGTTCAGCTTTAGCTATATTTTCTAGTCCAGTTATCCATTCTGGGGTAGCTGGGCACATTTCTGGATTCTAGTATGTAAGGCATCTCATATTGAGTGGGATGGAGAGGGTGCAGAGAAGTATCACTGGGTTGTGTGAAGGTAGGAACTGGAGCTGGAAAGCCACTGGGATTGTGACTTTTATTACACCAATAGCCCAGTGAGAAGACATACAGGTATATCAATGTAGACATGCTGAGAGCACCCAGTCAGTGAACTCTTGCCTATTGTACTGTACATGTGAAGTGTGATGGAAACCTGGTACTGTGGCCATCAATCATATAGCTGCTAGTAACTGAAGGTGGAAGGCCTTAATACATGTGTTGCCTGCAATAAGTGTCTTTAGCACAAACTTAATCTCCCCTGCAGTTCTGGCATATGTGTGGAAAAGGAGTTTGGTGGTTGTGGGGGCACAAATCTCTCTCCTAGGACAGAGGAGGAGGAGTACAGACGTTCATCAGACAATCAAGGCAAGACTCAAGGAGTGAATAGGAAAAAAGTACTTAAGGAAGTTTTACAAGCTGTGTTTGTTAAATATTTGTGAATCAGGGTCTTTTGGGAATTAGAAAGAGAGCCAATCAAGGTGATATGGTTTTGCTGTGTCCCCACCTAAATCTCATCTTAAATTGTAGATCCTATAATTCCCATGTGTTGTGGGAGGGACCATAGGGAGAATTGAATCATGGGGGCAGTTTCCCCATACTGTTCTTGTGGTAGTGAATAAGTCTCAGGAGATATGATGGTTTGATAAGGGGAAACCCCTTTTGCTTGGTTCTGATTCTGTCTCTTGCCTGCCATCATGTAAGAACTGTGAGTCTACTAAGCCACGTGGAACTGTGAGTCCATTAAACCTCTATTGCTTTATAAATTACCCAGTCTTGGATATGTCTTTATCAGCAGTGTGAAAACGGAAATTGGTATCAGATAGTAGGGTGCTGCTTTAAAGATACAAAAAAATGTGGAAGTGACTTTGGAACTGGGTAACAGGCAGAGGTTGGAACAGTTTGGAAGACTTAGAAGAAGTCAGGAAAATGTGGGAAAGTTTGGAACTTCCTAGAGACTTGTTGAGTGGCTTTGACCAAAATGCTGATAGTGATATGGACAATAAAATCCAGGCTGAGGTGGTCTCAGATGGAGATGAGGAGCTTGTGGACTGGAGCAAAGGTGACTCTTGCTGTGTTTCAGCAAAGAGACTGGTGGCATTTTCCCCTGCCCTAAAGATTTGTGGAACTTTGAACTTTAGGGAGATGATTTAGGGTGTCTGGTGGAAGAAATTTCTAAACAGCAAAGCATTCAGGAGGTGATTTGGGTACTGTTAAGAGCATTCAGTTTTAAAAGGGACACAGAGCATAAAAGTTTAGAAATTTTGCAGCCTGATGATGTGATAGAAAAGAAAAACCCATTTTCTGAGGAGAAATTCAAACCTGCTGCAGAAATTTGCATAACTAACAAGGAGCCAAATGTTAATTCCCAAGACAATGGGGAAAATGTCTCCAGCGCATGTCAGAGACCTGCAAAGCAGCCCCTCCCATCACAGGCCTGGAGGCCTAGGAGGAAAAAATGGTTTCATGGGCCTGGCCCACCCACCAGTGTTCCCCTGCTGCATGCAGCCTAGGGATTCGGTGACCCGCATACCAGCCACTCCCGCCATGGCTAAAAGGGGCCAAGGTATAGCTTGAGTCATGGCTTCAGAGGGTGTAAGCCCCAAGCTTTGGCAGCTTCCACATGGTGTTGGGCCTGTGGGTGCACAGAAGTCAAGAACTGAGGTTTAGGAACCACTACCTAGATTATAGAAAATGTATGAAAATGACTGGATGTCCAAACAGAAGTTTTCTGCAGGGGTGGGGCCCTTGTGGGGAAACTCTGCTAGGGCAGTGTGGAAGGCAAATGTGGTGTTGAAGCCTCCACATGGAGTCCCCACTGGGGCATTGCCTACCAGAGCTGTGAGAAGAGGACCACCATCCTCCAGACCCCAGAATGATAGATCCACTGACAGCATGCACTGTGTGCCTGGAAAATCCACAGACACTTGACACCAGCCCTTGAAAGCAGCCAGGAGGGAGGCTGTACCCTCCAAAGCCACAGGGGTGGAGCTACATGAGGCCATGGGAGCCCACTTCTTACATCAGCATGACCTGGATGTGAGATCTGGAGCCAAAAGAGATCGTTTTGGAGCTTTAAGATTTGATGGATTTCAGACTTGCATGGAGCCTGTAGTCTCTTCGTTTTGGCCAATTTCTCCCATTTGGAATGAGTGTATTTATCAAATGCCTGTACCCTCATTGTATCTAGGAAGTAACTAACTTGCTTTTGATTTATAGGCTGATAGGCAGAAGGGACTTGCCTTGTCTCAGATGAGACTTTGGACTGTGGACTTCTGAGTTAATGCTGAAATGAGTTAAAACTTTGGGGGGCGGTTGGCAAGGTATGATTGGTTTTGAAATGTGAAAACATGAGATTTGGGAGGGGCCAGGGGTAGAATGATATGGTTTGGCTCTGTCCCCACCCAAATCTCATCTTGAATTATAGTTCCCATAATTCCCATGTGTTATGGGAGGGACTCAGTGGGAGTTAATTAAATCGTGGGGGCAGTTTTCCTCATACTATTCTCATGGTAGTGAATAAGTCTCAGGAGATCTGATGGTTTGATAAGGGGAAACCCCTTTTGCTTGGTTCTTTCTTGCCTGCCACCTTGGTTCTCTCTTGCCTGCCGCCATGTAAGACATGCCTTTTGCCTTCCGCCATAATTGTGAGGCCTCCCCAGCCACGTGGAACTGTGAATCTATTAAATTTCTTTTTCTTTATAAATTACCCAGTCTTGGGTATGTCTTTATCAGCAGTGTGAAAATAGACTAATACACAAGCTATCTTAAGAACTGGAGAGCATGCCTCTCATAGTTGCTGGGTATTCATCCACTAACTGATGGACTAGCTCAGGGAGTGGATATCCACCCACTAACTTAGGAGTCCCCAAACCCCAGGGCATAGACTAGTATCAGTTTGTGGCCTGTTAGGAAGTGGGCCACAGTGCAGGAGGTGAGCAGCAGGTGAGTGAGCATTACTGCCTGAACTCCACCTCCTGTCAGATCAGTAGTAACATTAGATTCTCATAGGATTGCAAACCCTATTGTGAACTGCGCAAGCAAGGGATTTAGGTTGTGCACTCCTTATGAGAATCTAACTAAACTCTGACCATCCCCCTTCCCCCACCCCTGGTGTGTGGAAAAATTATATTATATGAAACTGGTCTCTGGTGTCCAAAAGGTTGGAGATTGCAGCACTAGCTCATATCCCTCACTGAGTAAGGCTCTCAGCTGGGATATCAGCTCCAACACTTCCTGCTTGCTTGCTATGGTCTGATTTCACGTGTTCCCCCCAAATTCATGTGTTGGAAGTTTTTTCCTCAATGCAACAGTGTTGGAAGGTGGGGCCAAATGGGAGGTGTTCAAGTCATGAGGGTTCTGCCCTCACGGATAGATTAATGCCTCTACAGAAAGGGCTTGCTGGAGTGGATTTGCTCTCTTCTGCTCTTCTGCCATGTGAGGATGCAGCAAGAAGGCCCTCACCAGATGCCAGAAACTTGATCTTGGAAACTTTCCAGCCTCTGGAACTGTGAGGAAATAAATTCCTGTTCTTTATAAATTGCCCAGTCTGTGGTATTTTGTTATAGCAGTACAAAACAGACTAAGACACTGCTTAAGCCCAGCCTGTTCCTGTGACTAGAGAGAGCTCTCAGGCTGGTAACCCTGAAGCCTTCCCTGAGTGCAGGTTACCTGCAGGCAGGCTGAGGGGCACGGGTGGCACCAACAGTAGCCACCACTTTAGAATTTTTGTCTTGAGCTGAGTGAGAAGAGCAGGGAAGGTGAGTTGAGCTGAATCATTCCTGGGGCAGGTCTGCAAGCAGATTGTCCAAGGCTCCTTATTGAGGCCTTTGTTGTTGAGCCATTCCTTCGTGTTAGTGAGGTCTCCATGCCTCTTCTAAAAACATACTTACTTTTCTCCCTAAATTACTTAAAATTAGTTTGTTCCTTTACACTTTCAGAGTGAACTGACACACTATTCTAGCCAACTCTAGCTCAGGAGGGATGAGACAGAAGAGTTGGGAAGATCTTTTCCTCTTCCACCTCTTTCTGTGGTTTCTCACCTCACTGATTCTGCAGCCCCTAGAACGCTGCACGGCTGGTACTTAGCTGAAGGAGGTCACATCCTGGTGAAAGGGAAGAGATCCTTTAAGGGGATATGCCATGTGGCACCATGTTGCTGGTTCCCAAGCATTGGATGGGCTTGCTCACTCCCTTGGATATTCTGACACAGAGCTTCAGACATGGCAGGGCCAGGGTCTCTGGGATTTTCCAAAAGAACTTTGAGATTTAATAAAATACCTCTTTTAAAGTTGTTTTTAATGGAGCTCTTATGATGGATTTTGTGCAGAACTAGAAAAACAGGAGTTAGTCAGTCTCACAGAGCTGAATTAGGAAGTACCTGAGATAAAAATGTGAAGTGGGGAGAAATTTGTGTCCATAGCATCCTTTTTTCTCTTTTCATGTGAGCAGTTGGACTAGGTGACATCTAAGGTGTTGATTTTCAAAAGCTGGTTCATAGAGGGATGTCTGTCCATGATGACAATACCATTATCTTAGTTTGGGCTGCTATAACAAAAATACCATAGACTAGGTGGCTTAAACAAAAGAAATTTATTTCTTGCACTTCTGGAGGCTAGAAGTCTGAGCTCAGGGTGCCAGCATGGTTGGATTCTGGACAGGGCTCTCTTCCTGGTTTGCAGGTGGCTGTGTTCTCATATGAAAGAGAAAGAGAGGAAGCAAGCTCTTTCCATTCTGTTCTCACAAGGGCACTAATCTCATCACAAAGGCTTGACCCTCATGATCTAGCTACCGCCCAAAGGTCCCATCTCCAAATACCATCACATTGAGCATTAGGGTTTCCTACATATGAATTTGAAGAGGGACACAAACATTCAATCCATGGGACTGGTCCTTTATAATGAGAATAAAAAGGAGGATGCACTGAGTCTTACATAAAACAAAATATATTCAATTATTTTTAATGGAATAATTACCTTAATAACTATTTTGTAAAAAATTAGTTTGCAACTCTAAGCTATTTTTACAATTTTTTTTTAATTTACTGATAACATCAATCACTCAAATTAGGATGACTTGAGGACGGTTTAATAAAGAGACTATTTACAAAGACATGCTAGGGGTGGGAAAAGCCACAAGAGATAGTACATTACCCTGGGACTAGAAAGCTGGGCCCTGTTATCAACACTTGGCCTGAGTGGTAAAGGGAAGAGAAGTTTCTGGAAATTGAAAGGAGAGAGTCTTGTGGAGATGGCCACCCTAAGGGAAGCCCTTGATTATCCATAGAAAGACATCACCAGCCTGCGGAGACCTTGCAGGGAGGGAGCCTAGGAGTAATTACTCCAACACCTGCCTCTCCTTCCCTCTAAGCTGTTGCTGAGTAGCCTTGCTGGCCAAACACAGCAAAAAGACAGAGGCCAAGGGAACTGTTGGATGTGGTCCACAAAGGTTGACCTCCTGGGGCAAAGATCATGGAAGAGAAGTGGTATGGACTGACTGTGTCACCACAAAATTCGTATGTTGAGATCCTCAACCCCAATGCGATGGCATTAGAAGACTGGGCCTTTAGGAAGTAATTAGGTCATGAGGGTGGAGCTGTTAGAAATGGGATTAGAGCCCTTGTAAAAGGGACCCCACAGGCCAGGCATGGTGGCTCACACCTGTAATCCCAGCACTTTGGGAGGCCGAGGCAGGCAGATCACAAGGTCAAGAGACAGAGACCATCCTGGCCAACATGGCGAAACCCCGTCTCTACTAAAAATACAAAAATTAACTGGGCATGGTGGTGCACACCTGTAGTCCCAGCTACTTGGGAGGCTGACATGAGAATTGCTTGAACCTGGGAGGGGGAGGTTGTAGTGAGCCAAAAATCATGCCATTTCACTGAAGCCTGGTGACAGAGTGAGACTCATCTCAAAAAAAAAAAAAAAAAAAAAAAAAAAAAAGGGACCCCAGAGAGCTGTCTCACCCTCTTTCTGCCGTGTGCAAACAACAAGAAGTTGCCATCTATGAACCAGGAAGAGGGCCTTTGCCAGACACCGAATCTGCCAATGCCTTGATCTCGTACTTCTCAGCCTCCAGAACTGAGAAATAAATGTTTGTTGTTTAAGCCACCTAAACTATGGCATTTTTGTTGTTGCAGCAGCAACTAAGAAAAGAAAGGTCTAGAAGGCATCAAACAGAAGGCATCTGCAGAGTCCATTCTTTTGCCTCTCAACATCCCTTCTCCTCATCTGGGAAAAAATTCACAGAATATACAAAGTCCCATCAGAAACTACATCATTATGAGATAATATCAATGAGGTTACACTCCCAGGAGAAATCTGAAATGTTAGCCACTACTGGTGTCTCAATTTCCAATTCAGTAGAAACAATACTGCATTTCTAGAATAATCATTCTTCCTTTGAGTGTTTCTAAATCTGCCCAAGAACATGGTAACAGGAAGCAAAAGTTCTTCAAGTAGGATAGTAGAAGTAACAGTAAGAGGGACCATTCTTGGACTTTTGCTTGCTGGCTATAGCAGAGAGAACACTACATTTGGATGCTGGCTGAAGGCATGTTGTTTAGGGCAACACCCCAATTGCATAAAGGGTTGGCTCCCAAGCTGGTGCCATTCCTGAGTCTTCAGCAGGTCATTCCAGCACACATCAAGCCAGCCTCTGGGTGATGGGATGCATGGAAAGACTAGTGAATTCGATGTGTGTGGGCCCGTTGCCGCAGCCTCTTTGCAGTAAAATGTTTCCTGAGCAGAAGCAACATTGTGTGGGAAACCATGGCAATGGATTGTGCGTTTTCTAAGTCCAAGAACAGTAGCTCTGGCAGACGCGCTGCTGGCAGGGAGGATACATCCCTAACTGCAATATGTGTGTGTCCCTGTGAGGACAAAGTGCTGTTCCTGCCATGATGGAGGGGGCCAATGTATTCAATTTGTCACCAGATAGCTGACTGCTGCCATATTTATTATAGCACTGGTGGAAGCCGAGCAGAAGACAGAGGGTAAAGTTGCTGGTTGATGCCGCTCACACATGCCAACCTTCTGGTGGAAAGCCGAATGCAGAGAGGAGGAGAGCCACACATTGGTTCAGGAAACCCCCAAATTTAGGGCTCCTGCTCTGAGACCTCCACAAGTTTATGACGTTTTTAAACTTTCAGGCCCTTGTGGTTGCCTCTTCTCCCTCTGTCAAAACGGAGCCCTTTTGAGGATCTCTTCCATCTTGGTGGGGATGTAGGGAGCCCCTTGCTCTTTCTGGAAGAGTTTGCATTTTAGCTTTACCACTTAAAGTGTTACTGCCTGAAGTCTGGCTCATTCCTTTGTGGCCACAAAGTTGGACCCTTGGGAGCAGAGAGTGTTATTTGATTTGACATCATCTTGACTCTTGAAAACCACACACACCTGGGGTTGCTGGTCACAGAGACATTTTGGGGAAGACTGATTTGCAGCAATTCTCAGCTAATTTTCATAAAATAAGCAAAGGAGAAAGAACGTGGCTTCAGGGTCAGAAAATACTGGGTTTAAGTCAAGGCTTTGCTTTGAGAGGTTCTAAAGGGTATGACTTTGGGGAAGTTGCAAACTCTTGGGGAGATTCAACTTTCCTCTTCTGTAAGCTAGGAACCAGAGTGACTATCCCTCAGGGCTTTGAGGAAGTTAAATATGTTGTGCAGGTTGTAACACAATGAGGTTCCAGGGAGTGGTAATAATGCACCAAGAGGATTTGGTCCCACACGCTGCCTGTGATCCACCAGGCCCCCAGTAATCTCTGCATCACCCCCTGCCCCATCACCAATCCACAGAGTCAATAGTCATGTATTTTGCTAGGGGGTCTCAAGTTCTGAGCCTCAAAGAGGAAGTTGAGCATTACAAAAATAGAGGTGTTATATGGATAAAGCTGTAGCTTTCTACCTGTAAAACCCACCACATCAATCTGTGAAGATGCGGTTCATTATTCTCAGGATGATGCAATTAGTCTTAATGACCTGGCAGGCGCTTGTGAGCAATGATTCTTAATAAAGCTTTCAGGGCTAGGGTGAAAACCACCCACTGCTTGTGTCTATTCATCTCACTCCCAAGCTCGGCCATGCATACTCAGTTTGAATATGTGCTTCCTAAATCCATTTTAAGGGGAATTGTTTAGTGATTTACTATCATAGGCATCCTGGCTTATAGCTAAGAGATGGGCTTGCCTCTTTCAGCAAGAAAAACAGGCCAAGATGAAGATCAAAGGCAAAGAACTGGTGTTCCTCAGGAATAAAGACTGGTGGCTTGAACTGAGCCATCTTTGTGCATCACCCACTGAGTTTAATAATGTACCAAGAGGACTGGTTTTGTGTCCTATCCAAGGGGTACACGACTGCAAACTGGCTTGTTCATGAACCTCTTTCCAGCTGGCACAGCCTCATGGAGAGCTGTTTATCTGAATATTTATAATACTTATAGTAGATTAATAATTGTTATATTCCTGTTCAACAGCCATCCTTGACTTTCTTCCTTGCTAGCCGAAGGATACCTCCTACTCTGAAACAGACTGGATTCTAGCTTTCCCAGACATGCTTTCAGCTAAGACATGAGCACGTGACCAATCTTGACCAAAAAAACTAGAGGGGAAGTCAGTTAAGGGCTCATGGAAAGGGTTTTCTTCTATATTAAAAGAGTAACACAGTGGAGGAACATACTGTATCTGTGTTTGGACAGCATATATGAGAATGCAATGTCAGAAATCTAGTGACCAAGAGAGCAAAGCTGAGAGAATCACAGAGAAACCACATCAGTTTAGTTAGTGAACTAATGGGCCCTGAAGCTGCCCACCTCTGAACTTTCTATTTTATGAGATCATCAGTGCCCTTTATTGCAGGTACTTTCAGGTGATGGTTGCAGACACAGTTGTTTACCTATGCAAACATATTCCTCCATATTCCTTGCTAAAGGAATCCTAATTCAATTAATCTGGGGGGAGAT
The DNA here is from genome assembly GCF_000001405.40 of Homo sapiens. Taxonomy (NCBI): domain Eukaryota; kingdom Metazoa; phylum Chordata; class Mammalia; order Primates; family Hominidae; genus Homo; species Homo sapiens. Next base: position 19,072,473 of record NC_000020.11, read on the forward strand.
CCTCTACCCTTGAGGGAGATGGGCTCAGCCTTTATGCTACTGGCAGGGCCTGGGGGGGCGCATATAAACCATCCTGGACGCAGGGATGTAAAGGGAAGCCTTCTGGAGGACCCTGGGGAAGACTCTTCTGCCCTAATAAGAGATAACTCTGTGAGCATAAAGGTTCTGCCTGACTCTTCCCCTTTGAAAACAGCATATGAGGACAAGTTGCTGAGGACGTGGCTGCTTTCTTAGGATCAGAAGAAGATGAAAAGAAAACTATAGAGGAGGCATCTTTCTTTGAGCTGATCCCTGAAACAATTGCATGTAGGATTTTAAATAAAAGCCATTTAGTAATATTTAATTTTTAGCCATGGGTGGACATTTTCCTGCTGAAGGGATTTTGAAGTGTTCAAGCTTAGACCCAAGGCCCTGGCAGGGGTTGGCAGAGGTAGATTTTAAGAGTGATGCCGATTTGTTTTCCAGTCTAAAAAAAGGGGGGCTGCCTATCATATCTTTAGAGAGCAAGCGGGAATTGGACTGGACCAAAATATGCAGTCAAGTGAGAGAAGTGGCCCTTTGATTAGGGGCTTTTTAAGGCTCCGAATCCCCAGGCAGCCTGGGACTGTGATCTGGCCATGAGATGTGGGACAGGGAAGGGGAGATGCCCCAGATGGGAAAATCTAGGGCTGTGGACCTTGCCCTCCTGAAGTGACCAAGCCACGAAGACAGGGGCTTCAGCACAGCCGAGGCTGGGGTCTGGACACCTAGTGACCTGGGGCTGCATCGTGAGTGGTGGGAGAGGGGAGGCAGCTGTTGCCCCCACAAAAGGCTGGATACGGCTACTTTTGGAAAGCAGAAGGGGAAAAATAGAGGTACATTTCAGTAATTTGCTGGTGAAGGAAGTCAGTGACTGTTTTATCACCCAGGTCCACAGCCCTGTATTGTACCACCAGGATGATGTGGCTTGGGAAAATGATAGATGCTCATGTTTACCCCCATCTCACCAGATATTAGGTTGGTGCAAAAGCTATTGCGGTTTTTGTAATAGTTTTTAAGCACCTTGAAAGCACCGATGGTTTGTTACATTCCTCTGATGTTCCTGTGCAAGCATCAAATAGTTGATATTTAAATTTAATTCAATAAATATATGTTGAGACCATGCTGTGCCCCAGGCACCATGCCAGACACTGGGATACAGCAATGGATGTTTGCCTAAAGGAGGCTTGTGTGACTTGATGTAAGCTACCCCATAACCCTTGGGGCTGTACCCAAGGGGGGCTTCTATGCTGATCTTTGTCAACCACTAGAGGGCAGAAGAAGGGGCCCTTTTCCTGAGCCTGTAACATCCCCAGAGGGATGGCACCGGGAGTGTGAGACCAGGCTCTAGAGAGCTGAGACCTAAAAGGGAGGCAGGGATGGGAAGAGGGCTCCTTGTGATTATTTCTGAGTGGTGTTCTTGGGGGTGGTTTTTTTTTTCTCTTCCCAAGGCATTCTGCAAATTGGAAAATCACTCAGTCATGCTAATTGTGACAGCGTGAGACCTCTGTCAAATTACTGTGGTGCCTGTGCTCTGGGGAACATTGCCTTTTGAGCTGTAAAATGTCTTCTTTTACAGTAATGAACATCTTTTAGCAGCATAAGAATGCACCAGGGGGTTCCCAAGAAAATGGAATAGGTGGTTTCTCATGGGTAGGTTGCCCTACCCTCAACTTGATCTAATTATAAAATGATTGGATTTTCCTTAGATAATGGAGATGATGAGGAAAATCTACTTCATATTATGAGCCAGAGCTTCAGACTGTGGCAGTTTGTTCGTCCTTGGGCAATTGTGGTTGAGTAGCTAATTGAACAGCTTTGGGCTTTGAGAAATAGCCATACGCCTTTATCTCCTTCTCAATTTTCTCATCCTTTTATGTTTATTAACCTCTAAGCATGGTTGTTCCATCATGAATAAGAAAATTCTGAATCTTTGTTTTCCTTCTCCAGAAGGGATTTCTATCTGCAGTGGAGTGAGCCCAAGTTTACCACCAGGGACTAACTGGCAGAGATTCCTGGAGCACCTGCATGATGTGGGGGGCTTGTTGGCATTTGAGTCAGGAGGAAGTGGAGATCTGAGGCTTCTCAGAGTGAGCTTCAAAGAGTCAGAGAAAAGGTTAAAAGTCCTGTAGTCTTATTTATGTGAGACCTCACAACTAAGGTGACCCTTTAAACTTCCCATGGAATTACTGGCATGAACAACTTGCTACATTACTTTGGAATTATATCCTAGATATTTTAGAAAAATGTCCAAGCAATGCACGACATTGAAAACTGCTTATTTCCAACCATTCGTTGCTCAGTCACCAAGTGCTGGCCATTGCCTAGATCCTGGGAGAAGCGGAATGTTTGTTGGTTAAGAGCGTGGAGTTAGACTACTTGGTTGTGGTCTGTGTAGGGTGCAGGGCAATGGGAATATTTGAGAAAAACCTTAAGTTTATTTCTACAGTCAGAAATGTGTTCCTCCATTGGAAATCACTTCATATTTTTAGAGGAAGTGAGAGAGATGTGGAAAGTGTAGATAGAAAATTTTAGTATGATTGATTGCTAAAAAAAATTCCCCCGGAAAGCTATTTCAAGTAGAAAATGGTGTTATGTGGTCAGGTTGGGGCAAGAAAAAAATGAAATACACCAAGATTCTGAAGAGAGCAGAACATGAAAGATGAGCCATGATTCTTTGTAGCAATATCACGTGCTGGAAGCGTCCTGTTGTGGTCACTTTGTCCTTTGTGTTAACTCCACATCCCCCTGCACTTCCTGTCCCCTCCCACAGTTGCCCAACTCGGAAGCCCTCAGACAGGTCTCCGTGTCTGTCAGCAGCTCTGCCCTCAGGGCTGAGTGGCACCTTGCAGCACTGGCTGGATCCTGAGCAGTTCCTTCCTGTCAGCTGTTGGCAAATGCTGCCTTTTGAGCAGGACTCACCTTCCTGCAGCGTGGGAACTGGGGGTGGTGTCACCAACTGTTGGACTGTGACAACTGGCATGGCTAAGAGTATAGAAAGTATCTCCTACCCTGTCCTGCTCTGCCCTTCAAGCCCGGGCACTTCTTCCATTCTCCATTGTCCAAGGTCAAAGGAAGGGCTGGTTGACTCTCAGCAGTGGGATTCCCTGCCTGCCTGGGTACCCTCCCCAGCCCAGCTTCCTTCTAGGAGGTTGGAAACAGGCCCCGGCGAGCCTGGTGCCATGTCTTCATGGGAGTTGCTTACGTGGTACACCAAGCCCAGGTATAAGAGAGGGACCAGAAATGTCAACTGTTTTCTCGGTCCAGGATTTCTCCTTTGCAATGCCTGGAAGGATTTTTTTATTTTATTCTTTACTCTTTCTATTGAGACGTAACATGCATAAAATGCCTAAAATGCACTTAGGAGTGTACGGTCCTTCTACACCTGTATAAATAGCACCCAGATCAAGATTTGGAATCCTACTAGTATTCCAGAAGGTTCCTTATTTTCCTCTTTCAGTCAATAACTCCGCAGGCAACTACCATTCTGACCTCTATTTTCATCAGTTAGTTTTTCCTGTTTTTGTCATCGTATGAATGGAATCATGCCATATATACCCTTTTGTGTCTGGCTTCTGTGCTACTATGAACACTCTTGTATATCCTTTTGTATAGCATGGACTCTTTCTCTTGGGTGCATGCTAAGAGTAGAATCACTGGGCTATAGGTCCGAATGATGTATTTTGATTATGTTAACTTAAGCATGTGCGAGTTGGCACAACAAATAACACAGCTATAAATAAAAGTAGCTATGAATAAATTATAAGTGAGTGCCCCAGCTTTCAATCAACCACACTACCAAATGGAAGCATATTCATGTCATGTCAGGGAAAGGTGATGGCTACTGATTGCCTGGCTTTGAATCTTTGCTCTGCCACTTCCCTGCTCTGCCACTGGGAAAGGCCACGTCAGCCCACTATGCCTGAGTTTCCTCATCTGTAAAATGCTGATACTATGGCAGTACCTATTTCCTAGCAGCAGGAGTGCCTATTTGACACCCAGAGATTATTTCAACACGTCCTCCTCTATAGAACAAAATGATTCAATACTAACTGCATAGTAATACAAAAAATAACAAATTTCTTTATGTGTTCATTAGTTATGAAGAATTTTTTTTTTGAGATGGAGTCTCTTTCTGTCACCCAGGCTGGAGTGCAGTGGTGCTATCTCGGCTCACTGCAAGCTCCGCCTCCCGGGTTCAAGCCATTCTCCTGCCTCAGCCTCCCAAGTAGCTGGGACTACAGGTGCCCGCCACCACACACGGCTAATTTTTTGTACTTTTAGTAGAGATGGGGCTTCACCATGTTAGCCAGGATGGTCTTGATCTCCTGACCTTGTGATCTGCCTGCCTTGGCCTCCCAAGTGCTGGGATTACAGGTGTGAGCCACTGCGCCCGGCCAAAAAGAATTAAAATGCAATTTTAATAGTATTATTCAAGTTTGGTGAAACACTTTATGTATGAATTAAAATTTTCACTTATTAAGCAAAATCAGTATGCCTTGTCCTTTGCATTCAGTTTTGCTGTTTTAAATCTTAAACACAAAAGCTCCAAGTGGTCACATGGGATTGGAGTGACTCAAATTTTGTCTTGGTCTTCACAATCACTGTGCTATCCATATATATTTAAAATCTTTTGTTTATGTGCAGGCATTGGAGACACACACTGAGCTCCAAGGCCCAAGCACGAGGAAGGATTCTGAATAATTATGACCTTACTCCTGGAGTGAACCTGTCTTGCTGATTCTGCATGTGTCCGAGGCCAACTCTGTTATTGGGAATTCTCCAAATTAACTTCCATGTAGAATATAATGTTTATTAATGGGAAAGTAAAGAAAACATACCAATTTAAAGCTTACTTGTGTATAAAATGAAGTGGTAACTACAGTAATTATTTTTAACATAGTCCAACGTTTGGTAAGGAGTATTTTATCACTGATGTTGTTTGAAATTTCTGGTTCCTGGTAATAATTTAAGAAGGAGATGAACTTCTCATTGGTTTTCTTACTGACAAGGCATCTGTTGACTTTCTGCACTCTAGGTGGAGTGTTCCACTTCCCTCTTCCTGCCACTCTGCTGCTCCCTCAGGCTGCTCTGTAGTTATTCACAAATACTTGCTAAGCGCAACCATGCATAGGGCAACACTTCCGACAATAAGGCTGGGGAGGGGAAGTGAACAAAGCAGATTCCTTGACCTCTTGGAGCTTATGTTCTAAGGAGGGGAGAAGAGAAAATAAACACCTAATTGTGTCCTATGTCAGGGAGCAACAGGTGCTCTGGAGACTAATAATACAGGTTAGGGAGGACAGAGAGGTGGAGAGGACAGTGTCATATGGATGGTCAGGAAAGGCCTCCCTGAAAAAGTGACCTGTGAGCAGAGACCTGGAGGAAGTGGAGGAGTGAGCCAAGCAGACCTCCAGGTAAACAGAGGCCCAGGCTGAGGGGGCAGGGAGGGCCGAGGCCCTGAGGAGAGGCTGGTGTGTCTGGACCAGGGTGAAAGCAGAGAGGAGGAGAGGGAGTCAGGAACAGAGATGGGTCAGGAGGACAGGGCCTTGCTGGCACAGTGGGGTTGCTGAATGCTACTCTAAGGATGATGCAGACTCATTGGGGGCTCCTATTTGAGCAGAGGAAGGACAAGCTCTGAAATGTCTTAGTGGAATCACTCTGACTGCAGAATCAAAGATAGATTTATGGTAGGATGGGGAGCAGGCAAGGGCAGCTATGGGAGAGCGTTCTTGGCAACAAGTCAGCAACCCAAGTGAGAGATGGAGATGGCTTGGACCAGGCACTAATCAGGAAGGTGGGAGAAGTGGTAAGATTCAGGGAGAGTCAGCTGGGCTGCTGGAATATATGTGTGTGTGTGTGTGTGTGTGTGTGTGTGTGTGTGTGTGTGAGAGAGAGAGAGAGAGAGAGAGAGAGAGAGAGAGCAAGAGAGCAGAGAGAGACAGCAGAGAAAGACAGGGACAGAGAGACAGAATAAATGGTTAAGGATGACCGCCATAAGAGCTTTGGGTTGGTATCTGGGGAATGCTGGAGAGGAGCAGGTTTAGAAAGAAATCACAAGCTCAGTTTGACGCACCTGATTTGAAGTGCCTATTGGCATCCCAGCCGGGAGAGATCTGGGTTGAAGGTAAGAATTCAGCAGTTGTCAGTGTGTACATTGTATTTAAAGCCCTGAGACCAGCTGAGGTCATCTTGGAAGTGATGAGAAGAATGAGGAGCCTGGGGTTTGATGAAGTGTGTAATGGACTGAGTGTTTGTGTACAGCACAATTCCTATGTTGAAATCCTAACCCCTGATGGGGTGGCATTAGGAGGTAAGGCTCTTGGGAGGTGATTAGGTCATGAGAATGGGGCCCTCATGAATGGGGTGAGTACCCTTAGAAAAGAGACCCAAGAGAGCTCTCTAGCTCTTTCTGCCATGTGAGGATACACAAAACCAGGAGTCTCAGCCTGCAAGAGGACCCGCACCAGAGCCCAGCCAACCTGGCACCTGGGCCTCGGACTGCCAGACTCCAGAACTGTGAGAAATACATTTCTGCTGTTTGGGTCCCCACTCTATGGCACTTTGTTAAAGCAGCCTAAGATGACTAAGACAAAGAGACTACCCAGTAGAGAATTAGGAAGGTGGGGAGAAACCAGTCAATGCAGGCAACTTAGAAGGAGCAGCCAGGAGAGCGTGCTGTCCCGGAAGCCAGGAGGAAAGTACCTCATGGGGAGGAAGGTGCAATCTCTGTGCTGTATGCTCTAATGGGCTGGGAAGGATAGAGTGGGGAACTGGCCAAGGGACTTCTGTAGATGAAAGGTGTTAATGTGCCTAGAACAGGGCCTGGCCCCATGAACACTCAATGCAATAATCACTGCCATCACCCTTATTGATTAATTCATTTTATTGTTCTTAATATTAATGTTATAACAATTAATATAAAAATATTACTTATTATTTACATGCCTTGGGATATCAGAGGGCTGCTGGCTCTCAGGCAGCTGATTAAAAATCTTTCTACATTTTAAGCAGGAGAGAAGAATTTTGATTTTTTTCTTTGTGGTGATTATTTCCAGTTTCATGTTGCACCCTCTCACTAGCCCACTCCACTCCAAGTGCAGCTGCTGGTGTTGAAAGAACTTGTTTTCTGCCTTTCTAGGATGTTGTTGTTTAACCCATTTATGTCCTGTTATGTAAAGGCATCGTGTGAGCATATTCTCACGCTCTTTTAGTTTTGTAACGAAGGCAGTGATGACGCACTCACCTTGGTAAACTGCCAAGTGCACTTATATTTTTGCTTTTTTTCCTCAGCCACATCCTCTCAGCTCTGATTTTTCCCGCTAGATGAATAAGTTCATTTATTTGAGGATATTGACTAAGCTGGGAAATAATGGGGAGGAGAAAGTTTAGCCCTGTATGTAACCCAGGTGTCAATGACACGTATCACGCAAATACTCCAGGTGCAATGCCCCTCTGAGGGTCTAAGTCCCTTGTTTACATTGGTGGAAGTTGCTCCTGATGCCTCACACCGACAGGTACAGAGAATGGACGGCCGATGGCCCCTTATTTCTACCTGTCTGGAGCAGTAGGCAGAACCATGGCATGAGGGTGTGACCCAACATTGCTGCTGTTTTCTTTTGAATACTACACACTTCCCTGCTTGGCTCTGTCTATTCTCTCCAGCCAGCATTCTAGCTGCCACCTGTGCCTGGCAGCATCTCCATTAGTGCACTCTGAGGACAAAGAAGACAGATATAGCTCATATTCACCTGGAGTCCTGGGACAGCCTGGAGGAAGATGTGACACCTGGGCTCTTGAATATAGCCCTCAGAGATGAACCATAGGCTGCGTGGCTAATTAAAAGTTGGCTGTGATAGAACTTAGTTATTTGAGACAGAGGGACAGAAACATTGACTGGTTTGAACCCAGTGTTGCAACAAAGAGAAGCTCTGTGTTGTTTATCTGCTCACATGTGCCTCCTGCACATAAAATGAACCTTCGAAATGCCTGGACCTCTCACTAAATGCCGCTTAATATCCAAATACCTGCTAGACATCCCAACTTGGATGTTAAATAATCATCTCAAAGCAGAGACATCTTTGTCTCATTATGTTCAGGCTTCTGTAAAAAAATACCATAGCCTGGGTGGCTTATAAGCAACAGAAATTTATTTCTCACAGTTCTGGAGGCTGGGAAGTTGAAGATCAAGGTGCTGGTAAATTTGGTGTCTGGTGAGGGGCCCCTTCCTTGTTCATAGCTGGTGCCTTCTTGCCGTATCTTTACATGGCTGAGGGAGCTCTCCAGGGCCTCTTTTTTTTTTTTTTTTTTTTGAGACGGAGTCTCGCTCTGTCGCCCAGGCTGGAGTGCAGTGGCGGGATCTCGGCTCACTGCAAGCTCCGCCTCCCGGGTTCACGCCATTCTCCTGCCTCAGCCTCCCAAGTAGCTGGGACTACAGGCGCCCGCCACTACGCCCGGCTAATTTTTTTTTGTATTTTTAGTAGAGACGGGGTTTCACCGTTTTAGCCGGGATGGTCTCGATCTCCTGACCTCGTGATCCGCCCGCCTCGGCCTCCCAAAGTGCTGGGATTACAGGCGTGAGCCACCGCGCCCGGCCCAGGGCCTCTTTTATGAGGGCACTGATCTCATTCATGAGAGCTCCGACCTCATAGCCCAATCACCTCTGAAAGGCCTCACCTCCAAATACTATCACATGGGGGATTATGTTTCAACATATAAATTTTGAAGGGAATGTAAATATTTAGTCAATAACAATGTCTGAAACCAAACTTGTGATCTCCCCTACCCCCAAAACTCTCTTTCTGCAGGAATCCCTGGCTCAGTAAATGGCAATGTCATCTTTTCATTAGCAAATACACCAAACCTTGGAGTCAAATTTTGACTCCTTTATCATTTTTCTATCCCACAAAATAAATCCATAATCCAATCATTTCTCAAGACCCCCTCTTACTCCTGGGTCTGGGCTGCCTTTCTCTCTCATCTGGAACTTTTGGTGGAATGATGACTGCTCTTCTAGCTTCCACCCTTGTGACTATCCCCCACCGCCCACCACAGTCTATTCTTAGAATCAGGAGTTAGTCCTCCCAATATAACAGGTCATACTCATTCCCTGCTCAGAACTCTCTGGTAACTCCCATCTCACTCAGACAGCATCAAAAGTCCTCAGCCTGGCCTCAAGGCCCTGCACCATCTGACCCCCTTACTCCCTACCCTTGTTCTCTTCCCCTTTCCCCTCTGGCTGCCCTCGCCTCTTTAGTATTCCTGGAGAATGTCAAGCACATCCAGCCTTGGGACCTCTGCTCCTGCCACTCCTTTCTGGGGGAGTTCCTCCCCAGTATTCCCATGGCTCACTCCCTCTCTTCCAGTGCCATCTTCTCAGTAAGGACTTCCCTTACTACCCAGTGTAAAATCCAGCCTCCCACCCCCCTTCTCCTCACCACCTGCACTCCTTTCATCTCCCTGCTTTATTTTCCTCTGTGGGACTTATACTCATCTGACATTCTGTAGCATAGAGCAAAATGATTAACAGCAGGGGTCCCCAACTGCCAGGCCACGGACCAGTTCCAGTTGTGGCCTGTTAGGAAACAGGGTGCACAGCAGGAGGTGAGAGGTGGGCAAGCAAGCAAACCTTCATCTGTATTTATGCCACTCCCCATTGCTTGCATTACCACCTGAGCTCCACCTCCTGCCAGATCAGCAGCAGCATTAGATTCTCATAGGAACACAAACCCTATTGTGAACTGCACATGTGATGAATCTAGGTTGTGTTCTCCTTATGAGAATCTAATGCCTGATGATCTGAGATGGAGCTGAGGCAGTGATGCTAGAGCCAGGTGTGGCTGCAAATACAGATAAACATTAGCAGGGAGGTTTGGCTGCACAGAGTCCATAATAAATCAATTGCTTGCAGATTCATATCAAAACCCTATCAATGAGTGACAAGTGACAATTAAGCTGCATCTGGTGGCAGGCTTTATAGTGGCAGGTGAGTTGATATACTTGAAATGTACAGTTGCATCTAGTGGCAGGCTTTAAGTCAGAATTCGATGTTAATTTTAGTCTGCATGTGGCCCGCCCATTATTTTACTTACCACTTCCATCTGCGCCTCTTTCCTGCACTGTGCACTTGTCTCAGTCATAGTTTTGGCAAGCTCAAAGCAAACTCTAGCCGAAATGAGTAAAATACAGACATCATTGGAGAGCTTCTTCGTAGAGGGGGAAATACCCAGTGATGAGACAGCAGAAGACTCTAAGACTGCCAACAAAAAGAAAGCTGCATTTGAAAGAAAATACCAAGTCTTACTTAAATTATAGGCTCAAGGCAACAGATGATCACATTCTCCAAGCTCACTTTGTATAATATGTGGTGACCAGCTATCCAACGAAGCCATGAAACCTTCAAAACTGCTTCACCACATGGAGACCACGAACCCTGCATTAAAAGACAAGCCTTTGGAGTTAAAAAAATTCGAACATGAAGAACAGAAGCAATTATTGAAGGCCACCACTTCATCAACTGTGTCTGCACTGAGACCATCATTCTTAGTGGCCAACCACATTGCTAAAGCTAAGAAGCCCTTTACTATTGGTGAATAGTTGATCCTGCCTGCTGCTAAGGACATGTGTTGTGAACTTTTAGGAGAGGCTGCAGTTCAAAAAGTGGCACGCGTTCCTCTTTCAGCTAGCACCATAACTAGAAGAATTGATGAAGATATTGAGGCACAATTGTTAGAGAAGATTAATGAGTCACCATGGTATGCAATCCAGGTTGATGAGTCTACCGATGTTGACAACAAGGCAACAATGCTTGCTTTTGTGCAATATATTTTTCAGGAGGTTGTGCATGAGGATATGTTATGTGCACTTTTCTTGCCAACCAACACCACAGCTGCAGAACTTTTGAAGTCTTTGAATGATTACATGTGAGGAAAACTGAATTGGTCATTTTGTGTTGGTTTATGCACAAACAGAGCAGCTCCCATGACTGGATGGCTTTCTGGTTTCACTACTCGAGTCAAAGAGATCGCTTCTGAATGTGAGTTTATGCACTGTGTCATCCATAGAGAAACGCTCGCTAGCCAAAAAATATCACCCGAACTTTATAAAGTTTTGCAGGATGTGATTAAAATTATCAGCCACATTAAAATACATGCCCTTAACTCACATCTACTCACACAGCTCTGTGAGGAGATGGACGCAGAGCACATACATATTCTTTTGTACCTAGAAGTGAGATGGCTTTTTAAAGGTAGATCACCACCCAGAGTTTTCGAGTTACGGGAGCTGCTCCAGAGATTTCTTTTACAAAAACGGTCACCACTGGCAGCACATTTCACTGACACAGAATGGGTCACAAAACTTGCTTAGTGGTGTGAAGTATTCAACCTGCTCAATGAACTCAATCTGTCACTTCAGGGGAGAATGACAGCTGTGTTCCAGTCAGCAGATAAAGTGGTTGCCTTCAAAGCCAAACTGGAATTATGGGGGTGATGAATGAACCTTGTGATTTCTGACATGTTTCAAACATTAGCAGAGATTTTGAAAGAGAGTAAGCCAGGGCTTCTTTCTCCCAGCTGATGCATGATCACCTATCTCAGCTTTCAAAAGAGCTAGAGCATTAGTACCCAACCGCAAAGGACCCCAAACTGGGAAGGAATGGATCCGTGACCCATTTGTGAATAAGCCAGGGGAATTGACTTTGTCCGTGACGGAAGAGGGTGAACTGCTTGTGATTGCAAATGATGGTGGCCTTAAAAGTATGTTTGAGAAAACTTCAAATCTCCATACGTTCTTGATTAAAGTCAAGGCAAAATATCCCGAGATGGCCACAAAAGCACTGAAAACCTTGCTTCCATTTCCAACATCCTATCTTTGGGAATCAGGATTTTCTTCAGTGAATGCAGACACTTTGGGGGTCACTGTCTCCATCACCCCCAGATGGGACTGTCTAGTTGCAGGAAAACAAGCTCAGGGCTCCCGCTGATTTTACATTATGGTGAGTTGTATAATTACTTCATTATATATTACAATGTAATAATAATAGAAATAAAGTGCACAATAAATGTAATGCACTTGAATCATCCCGAAACCTGAAATCATCCCCTACCCCACTAGTCCATGGAGAGATTGTCTTCCTCAAAACCGGTCCCTGGTGCCCAAAATGTTGGGGACCACTGATTAACAGCATGGACCCTGGGGGTAAACCAGTGCAGTGTCTGAGTGACCTTGGGACAGTGGCTTAACAATCTGTGCCTCAATTTCCTCATTTGTAAAATGGAGATACTAGTAGTGCCTGCCTCATTGTGAATTGACAGATGTAAATAGTGTTATGTAAGTATTGAGTGACATTATTATATCTGTATGGTCTATTCCTACTCATTAGAGTATAAAATACTCTCATGAGGGCAGATAAGTTTGTCTGTTTTGTTCATGACTGAATTCATAATGCCTAAAATAATGCCTGTTACTTAGTAGGTGCTCATTAATATGTGGGGAATGAATGAACGATAAAAAATAAGAAGTACGCAGTCCCTTCTCTGTTACTTTGAAAATAAAAGTCTACTTTTATGGTGTGTTTTTCATGCTTTTAAAAACTCCAAGTAATAGAATAGAACATTCTAATTAAAACTCAAAACAATTCAGAGAAATGCACAATACACGTATGTTTATTGTAGTGATAGACTGGATAAAGAAAATGTGGCACATATACACCATGGAATACTATGCAGCCACAAAAAAGAATGAGTTCATGTCCTTTGCAGGGACATGGATGAAGCTGGAAACCATGATTCTCAGCAAACTAACACAGGAACAGAAAACCAAATACCACATATTCTCGCTCGTAAGTGGGAGTTGAGCAATGAGAATACATGGACACAGGGAGGGGAACATTACACACTGGGGCCTGTTGGGGGAGTGGGGGACTAGGGGAGGGATAGCATTAGGAGAAATACCTAATGTAGATGACGGGTTGATGGGTGCAGCAAACCACCATGGCACGTGAATACCTATGTAGCAAACGTGCACGTTCTGAACACGTATCCCAGAAATTAAAGTATAATAAAAAAATAGTATAGCTGGGCATGGTGATGTACAGCTGTGGTTGAGCTATTTGGGAGGCTGAGGTGAGAGGATTCCTTGAGATCAGGAGGTCAAGACTGCAGTGAACTATGATTGCACTGCTGCACTCCAGCCTGGACAACAGAGTGACACCCTGTCTCAAAAACAAACAAAAAAAGTAAAGGCTGTTTTTATGCTCTCCCCATCCTTTTCCCAGAGGTACTTTCTGTTAAGTTTGCTATCATTTTTGAGACTTTTTATTTAATTACATATGTCATAAATGAATTTTGTCCATTTTAGTCTTTGTGTAGTCAAATAGATCAATTATTTCCTTCATGGCACTGGAGATTTGTGTCTTGCATAAGAAGATCCTTATAGTCTTTATATTCTCATTTTTAGAACATTTTTGAAATTGAGTGCTTTTGGAGTTTTTCCTCTTTATCTTATAGTAATGTTTCTCTTGTAACTTCCATCTTGTTGTCTGTCACTTCTTTATTTTGACTGGAGAACATCTGATAAAGATAGTCAGTCAGTAGGCCAGGAGTGGTGACTCACGCCTGTAATCCCAGCACTTTGGGAGGCCGAGGTGGGTGGATAACGAGGTCAGGAGATCGAGTTCATCCTGGCTAACACGGTGAAACCCCGTCTCTACTGAAAATACAAAAAATTAGCCAGGCGTGGTGGTGGGTGCTTGTAGTCCCAGCTACTCGGGAGGCTGAGGCAGGAGAATGGCATGAACCTGGGAGGCAGAGCTTGCAGTGAGCTGAGATTGTGCCACTGCACTCCAGCCTGGGCAACAGAGCGAACCCATCTCAAAAAAAAAAAAAAAAAATAGTTACTCAGTAAATAGAAACATTGGTCTGCAACATGGGTTATCTGCTCACATGTACTGTCTTTTGTGGGGTGAGTGTGCAGTTATTGAAGTAAATGGTCATCTCTTCCTCACACATAAACCTTATATCAGCTAAGCCCTTCTGACCTTTCAAACATGTGTAAAATTTCCTTGAATCTCAAATCCATGGCTTGCTGAAGTCCAAGCCTACCCTAAGATGTCTGTGAGTTCCAGGCATGCTCAATGCTGATGACCTCCCTGGTCTGGAGTCAATTGCTTTGTTGCATAAAGTATTTTTCCTCTATGTGTTTTTCCAGATGAGAAACTCAATCTCTAGTTCAGTTTAAAAGTTATCTTCAAGCAAAATACTCTGAGGTGTTACTAAAGATCTGGAAAGAGATTGTCTAGTGGATCACATAAGAACCAACTTGATCCTTCATATATTAATCCCTTTTTTTATAAGTCTTTGTAAAAAAAGTTGGGTTTTGTTTTGTTTAGTTTTGTTTTGAGACAGAGTCTTGCTCTTGTCACCCAGGCTGGAGCGCAATGGTGTGATCTCAGCTCACTGCAACCTCTGCCTACTGGGTTCAAGCGATTCTTCTGCCTCAGCCTCCTGAGGAGCTAGGATTACTGGCAACTGCCACCACGGCCGGCTAATTTTTTTGTATTTTTAGTAGAGACAGGGTTTCACCATGTTGGCCAGGCTCCAGGCTGGTCTCGAACTCCTGACCTCAGGTGATCCATCCGCCTCGGCCTCCCAAAGTGCTGGGATTATAGGCGTGAGCCACCATGCCTGGCCTGTTTTTTATCCTTACTGTATTTTCCAATGAACTTTTACTTTCATGATCAGGAAAAAAAGATTTAAAAAAATAGGGAAAAAGTAGCACAATCCCTTATCATCATTTTGAACCTATCCTCTCTCCTTATGGCACACAGAGCATTCCACTGTGAATTAGAGTTGAGCCTCAATCCAGATTCCTCTTCAGGCTGGATTTGGGCTCCTTAATGGTGGAGCCTGAGTCTTGGTTCTTTCTGACCCCTGCCTTGTTACACACTTGGAATCTGACGCACACTTGCTGAGTTGAACTGCAGTGCACTGCCCAGGTCTGACGTGAAGGGCCACAGCAGGAACAGAAATGGAGAGACAAAAAAAGAGCAGAGAAGTCTCTAAAGAAGGCGATGTGCATGCAGGACGTGGAGTGTTCTGCTTTACCTTGCTGTGCCTCTCTTTATTCATCTGTGACATGGGAGCAATAATAGTACCTCCTTATGGCACTGAAGTCAAGATTACTTGAGTTCACTGTAAGTTAGCTGTAATTGTAATTTGTTCTAACTACTCGATGCTCTCTCTCAAATGCTGCTTCCCCCGTCAGTCCCACCGTGGGGGACTATGCTCTGTGACTGTGTAACTGAGGCTGTGTCTGGCCTCTCAATTCTCCCCACATTCTACCTTTTATCTGCTTCATTGCAAACTTCTTTTTTTTTAATTTTTTTTTTTTTATTATACTTTAAGTTTTAGGGTACATGTGCACATTGTGCAGGTTAGTTACATATGTATACATGTGCCATGCTGGTGCACTGCACCCACTAACGTGTCATCTAGCATTAGGTATATCTCCCAATGCTATCCCTCCCCCCTCCCCCGACCCCACCACAGTCCCCAGAGTGTGATATTCCCCTTCCTGTGTCCATGTGATCTCATTGTTCAATTCCCACCTATGAGTGAGAATATGTGGTGTTTGGTTTTTTGTTCTTGCGATAGTTTACTGAGAATGATGGTTTCCAATTTCATCCATGTCCCTACAAAGGACATGAACTCATCATTTTTTATGGCTGCATAGTATTCCATGGTGTATATGTGCCACATTTTCTTAATCCAGTCTATCATTGTTGGACATTTGGGTTGGTTCCAAGTCTTTGCTATTGTGAATAATGCCGCAATAAACATACGTGTGCATGTGTCTTTATAGCAGCATGATTTATAGTCCTTTGGGTATATACCCAGTAATGGAATGGCTGGGTCAAATGGTATTTCTAGTTCTAGATCCCTGAGGAATCGCCACACTGACTTCCACAATAGTTTCCAGTCCCACCAACAGTGTAAAAGTGTTCCTATTTCTCCACATCCTCTCCAGCACCTGTTGTTTCCTGACTTTTTAATGATTGCCATTCTAACTGGTGTGAGATGATATCTCATAGTGGTTTTGATTTGCATTTCTCTGATGGCCAGTGATGATGAGCATTTTTTCATGTGTTTTTTGGCTGCATAAATGTCTTCTTTTGAGAAGTGTCTGTTCATGTCCTTCGCCCACTTTTTGATGGGGTTGTTTGTTTTTTTCTTGTAAATTTGTTTGAGTTCATTGTAGATTCTGTAGGAAGAATCAATATCGTGAAAATGGCCATACTGCCCAAGGTAATTTACAGATTCAATGCCATCCCCATCAAGCTACCAATGACTTTCTTCACAGAATTGGAAAAAACTACTTTAAAGTTCATATGGAACCAAAAAAGAGCCCACATCGCCAAGTCAATCCTAAGCCAAAAGAACAAAGCTGGAGGCATCACACTACCTGACTTCAAACTATACTACAAGGCTACAGTAACCAAAACAGCATGGTACTGGTACCAAAACAGAGATATAGATCAATGGAACAGAACAGAGCCCTCAGAAATAATGCCGCATATCTACAACTATCTGATCTTTGACAAACCTGAGAAAAACAAGCAATGGGGAAAGGATTCCCTATTTAATAAATGGTGCTGGGAAAACTGGCTAGCCATATGTAGAAAGCTGAAACTGGATCCCTTCCTTACACCTTATACAAAAATCAATTCAAGATGGATTAAAGATTTAAACGTTAGACCTAAAACCATAAAAACCCTAGAAGAAAACCTAGGCATTACCATTCAGGACATAGGCGTGGGCAAGGACTTCATGTCCAAAACACCAAAAGCAATGGCAACAAAAGCCAAAATTGACAAATGGGATCTAATTAAACTAAAGAGCTTCTGCACAGCAAAAGAAACTACCATCAGAGTGAACAGGCAACCTACAACATGGGAGAAAATTTTCGCAACCTACTCATTGCAAACTTCTTTACCCTCTGGGATGACAAATCCTCTGAAGTTAAGCATTTATTAAACTTTATATTTCCTTCAATACATTTCACCTGGTAGGTACTAAATAAAACATATTTAATTAACTTTAAAATAATGTGTTTATTTCTCTTCCCAGGTGCCCTGACTCATTTTTCTTTTTAAATCATAGTTTTTGTTAAACTCCAATGTAAATGTCCTCTGCTTTTTATGGAGCCAATTCCTGAAGAAACGCACCCTTGGCTTCATCCTGCCTTTGGGAATGAAGCCAAGGATGCCTTTCTCTAGGAATTGGAAAGACAGGCTTTGAGAATGGAAGGAGAGGTCATGGGTGCCAGCACACGGCAGTGTAGTAGTAAAGACATACTTCAACCCAGGTCCCCTGTCTGCTGTGCCCCAGAAACTTCAAGGTTGACAGGAAGGGGTACACTTCTTATTTCCCATTTCCAGTCCTGTGTGGGTGGATAACCCTTGTGTGTGCACAGCTCCTGGGCATCCTGCAATGTTCCAGTGGATGAATATTTATTTATCATTACATTTATCCACAGTTCCAGGCGGCTCAGTCACCCTCACCCCAGTTCCTTGGCAGGTAGGCGACTGAAGCCAGTTTTTGAATTATTCATAGTTCTAGGGTTCTATTCATGTTTGTCTCAGAGTAAGAGTGAGGAAGACACCCACGCTGCATCTCACAGCCAGAGAGAATCAGTGGCCATTCCTTAGGGACCAGAGCTCGACCCTGGTAAATATAAATCACCATTTGGGAGGTGTTCTGAAACATGGGGCTGGCCCCAAGTTCGCATTCTGTCTACAGAAGCCACTTGCTGGGTTGCATTAGTTAATGAGTTAACCCTATTAACTCACTTGGTCTGAAGGGTGTCCGATGGCAAAGGGAGAAGCCAGTGTGCTGCCACCTGGACCTTCGTTCTCCCCTGAGGGGCCAGGTGAGAACTCATGTGGAAATGACTGCTGGCATTTTTCAGGTATAAACGCTCATCAGACATAAGCAGTTGCAGCACTGAGGTAGGAGCCTCAGGAGAAAGCTTCCTGTTTAATCTGCAAATAAAGCTTTCTGGGTTTGACGGGGGCTGGCCCTTGCTTGGTAATGATAGTGGAGCATGTGTCTTCTGGCTTATGGCTCACAGGCCGCCTTTGCCTGCCCCTCTTCAAAAGAGGGAGGATGCTAGCAGCAGGGCTCAGAAGTGATTTTTTAAATTAAAACCTTATTTATATGTCCTCCAGAACAATCCAACCCCTTCAGGAGGAGACACAATGCTCTCTGTTTTGCTGGTGAGGCAGAAGAAACAAAACCACATTATGTACAATATCCCTGAAGCCAAATTACAATGTTTACCTCCACATGTTAACTTGACGTGCATAATTATCTGTGCTTAGAACAGAAAATGGAAGAGAGGGTTCAATGAACAGCCACCTGTGCATTGTGAGTAATGTTATTCCAACAGAAACAAAATTTGAGGGGGAGCATTTAGGGAGGAGAGAAGGGAAGGTGGTATTGGAACTGCCTTAAGAGAAGAAGGAGAGAGGGGGAGTTGCTGTTGTGTGGGTGAGACTTCAAAGACATGGCCTGGCACATGGGGGCTCCCTTGTCCATCCCATTGGTGATGGGACATCACTGAACAACTGCATCATCGTTTCCCCCTCTGAACTAGCATTGGTGTCCCTAGCGATCTCCTATCAAGGATCAGGATAGAATAGCTTCAACACAGTGAGACAAGCTCAGCAAGCATTCAGCATCCTATGGCAAAGAATTAAGTTTAATTCTGTGCAAGGCACCACCACAGCCTTTACGACTGGCTCAAGTTCAGTTGGGCTGGGCTGTGCCCATTGCAGCACAGATGCAGTGCTTTACCTGCATGCCCTCCCATCCTGATGGGCTTTCATTCCCAGCAGCCAGCACCTGTGCCTCTCTCATGGTAGGCTACTCCCAGTGGTCAAAGGCACAAAGAGACCCCAGAAGGCCCTGGGGATTTAACTCCTCCAGGGGCTTTCTTGACCAACAACTGATAGGTATAGGGGTGTAAATAGTCCAGCTCTCTTACCTGGCTGTCCCCCCGCCCCTCCAACATGTACAACTTAGACAGCTCTGATGCCTCTCCTGAGCTCCCCAATGGGACTGAGCCAAAGTCCCTCCATGGGACTTTGCTGGATACCACACAGTGGCTTCCTGATCCCACTTTCTATTCCCCTACCAGTTTTTCCAAGGACACTTCTGATATGGTTTGGCTGCGTCCTTACCCTAATCTCATCTTGAATTGTAGCTTCCATAATTCCCACGTGCTGTGGGAGGAAACCAGGGACCGGGTGGAAGATAACTGAATCATGGGGGCAGGTTTTCCCATGCTATTCTCATGATAGTCAATAAGTCTCATGAGATCTGATGGTTTTATAAAGGGGTGTTTCCCTGCACAAGTTCTCTTGTCTGCCTCCATGTGAGATGTGTCTTATGCCTTCCACCATAATTGGGAGGCCTCCTTAACCATGTGGATCTGTGAGTCCATTAAACCTCTTTCTTTTGTAAATTGCACAGTCTTGGGTATGTCTTTATCAGCAGCATGAAAACAGGCTACTACAACTTCCTAGAAAATCACTTAAACATAAACCCATGGACCACTGATGATGGGTTGAGAAACATTCCCACGGGCAGAAACACAAGACTCTACTGCTCTGGCCACAGCTGATTGGAACAAGGATGAGGGTTAGACCCAAAGCAGCCAACAATAGATGACTGGCTGAGGTCTGCCTAATGGTCCTGATCTTAGATGTTAGCTGGTTACCCCAATCATATCCCCTCTTACTCAATTGAAATTGGAGCTACACAATTATTTGGTGACCCCAGGAAAAACAGAAGTAGCAATGGAAAGCAGTTGTCTCATGAAAATCGTGAAGCATTAGACTAGGGAGCCATTGGTTAGTGGAGAATGGACAAGCTTTAAACCATCTGAGCTTATTTCAGCCTGAATAGCCTCATTCCTGCATGTCCTTGCAAGATGCTGAAGACTGGCTGTGTGGATCTGGAATCATTCTGTGTCCTCTTTTCTTTGTACATTTCACATAACTCTCCCTTCCCCCCAACTAACAGGGCTGTGTTCCTTATGACCTAAAAAAGCTCAACAGGTACAAAGAAGAATATGAAGAAACAATCCTCACATAATTCTAGAGCCCAGAAATAGCACTATAGAACCTGCTAACATTCATTAAAAACTTATATACCTATTCATGAATATATTTTACGAAATGGGGGTTACATAATATATATCATGGGCATTTTCCCTTGCCCTAAAATACTCTTTAAGTACATAACTGACCATACTTTTTTCTTTTTTTGATATGAAGTTTTACTCTTGTTGCCCAGGCTGGAGTGCAATGACGTGATCTTGGCTCACTGCAACCTCCGCCTCCCAGGTTCAAGCTATTCTTCTGCCTCAGCCTCCTGAGTAGCTGGGATTACAGGCACCCGCCACCATACCCTGCTAATTTTTGGTATTTTTTTTAGTAGAGACGGGGTTTCACTATGTTGGCCAGGCTGGTCTTGAACTTCTGACCTCAGGCAATCCACCCGCCTCGGCCTCCCAAAATGCTGGGATTACAGGGGTGAGCCACCCGACCATAACTGACCATATTTTTATATAACCCTAATGTTCATCTCTGCATCGTAGAATTACTGGCTGTGGGGAATTCATGGATTTCTCACAATCCCTAATATGGCTGAGTCTGTGGTTCCACATTTGGCTGCACACTGGCATTCCAGGGGACCTTCAGAGAGTACTAATGTGGAGTCCCACCTCCAGAGACTGTGGTTTGAATGGTCTAGGGTTGGCCAGGGGCTTGGAATTTTCAGATTTTAAGGAGAACTCATGGGAAACTATTAAGTGAGACTTGGCCAGGTGCGGTGGCTCATGCCTATAATACCAGCACTTTGGGAGGCCAAGGTGGGCAGATCACTTGAGGTCAGGAGTTCGAGACCAGCCTGGCCAACATAGTGAAACCTCGTCTCTACTGAAAATACAAAAATTAGCCGGGCATGGTGGCACGCACCTATAATCCTAGCTGCTCGGGAGGCTGAGGTGGGAGAATTGCTTGAACCAGGAGGCAGAGGTTGCAGTGAGCCGAGATCATGCCATTGCACTCCAGCCTGGGAGACAGAGTGAGACTACATCTTAAAAGAAAGAAGTGGGACTTACTATGCTACGTGGTTTTGAGGGCAGCTTTTAACTTTAAGTGGGGAGAGACTTTAGGCAGCTTGGAGTCCCATTACCACTTTGTTAATGGCTTTCAAGTCTCTGATGACCCTTGAATGCCAAGATGTGTGGTCAAAGTTGTCCTGGAAGAAATGGCTTAGGCCTGAGTTTCTAGGAGCATCTACCACATCCCCCTAACCCTTCTCCCACCAGATCAACTTCTGGAATCTTAAGAGTTTCCATTCTCTTCTGGCTGGCCACACAGAGGACGGGACTTATAAAAAAGAAGCTCACAATGACCCAGTTTTCAGAAGAGACTCTGCCCTGGCCTCCCACATAGCTCCAAGCAGTTAACCAAAGAGTGATGGTGACCCAGATTATTAGCAACCAGGGGACCTATTAAACCAAGGCAATGGTAGCGTATGTATATCCCCAGAAGAAGAAACCTAGTTGCTCTAAGTTTTGCTAGTGTGTAAATGACTGATCTTTAACTCTGGTTTGAGAATGGATTTTTAAAATAATATTGCCTTAAGATATTGCCATCAGGACAGTGTTGTCAGAGAAGTATAAATTTTTGCTGTTTCACCCTCATTTCTTACATCATCCCATTTCTTGAAAGGCAGGCCCTGGGAAGAGAATATCTAAAATTCTAACAAAACCTAGAAATTAGGCTCGGTTCTCTCTGATTGAAAGGTGATAATACTGCCTGCTTCAAGTAAGACACACACAGAGAGAGAGAGCTGGGGATATGATTTCCTAAAGGCAAACCCAGCTAATGCTTGATGAAGCTCAGTCCCCAATCATCTTAGGATGCTACCGTGGGTTACAGGCTGTAGTTTTCACAGTCGCCTTGCTTCCCAGTTTTGCAGTTCCCAGCTGATTGTCATAGCCCACTTGGGGCTTACCCACAATATCCAGCCTCTTAAGACCCAGTTGCTGGGCATGATTCTAACTGCTGAGGTGGGCATGTACCAGCTCATGAGAACCAACTGTTAAATATTCAGGAAATCATGAGCTAGTTGTTAAACACAGCCATTATTATTCATTAAATTATATAAAGTTAGTTATAATTAAATACATTGTATTATAAATAAAGAGCATGATTCATCATGCTTATTATTTTACTTATTATTTTACTACATTTTACTACATTACTACCTTATTATTTTAGTACATTTTCCTGTTTTCTATGATTATTTATTGTCTCTTACCTCTATAGAGTGGAAATACTACACAGTATGTGGTGTGCCACTACACTCCCCCTCCCAACTGGGACATCACTTTTGCATCTTGAAATTCACCATGGTGGGAGTATTTACCCATGAAAATAGGAAATGCTACAAATCAAGGTATTTTTGTCCTCTCAGGGTGCTGGTTGTTAAACTCTGAGTTGGGATGATTAGTTGTTCCAAGTGCACACTCGGGAAATACCCATGACTGGGGTCAGTATGACACAGTGGCCTGGCCTTATGAGCAGTCAGAGGCTACAGAAGCAGGTAGCAGGTTATGTCTAAGCCTGGCATCAGATCAGAAACCAGGCAGTCAGAAAGTGCGCAGAGGGTCGAGGTCAAAGCAAAAAAGGAGATTAAAAACCAGTCAGAAGGACAGCCAATCAAAAGTGCTCACCCCCAGGAGGCCTCCAGCCAAGACAACTGTGGCTGATGCCGTGCTGTGGGCACCCCTCCCATGTCTGCCCAATGTCCACTGTCCTACAGGTGCTGACTCATCCTGCTATGAGTACCCGCAGCCTTCACCTGCAAGTGCCAGGAAGTTCATGTCCCTGGTATTGGCTGGTAATGGACAAGAGTTGGAGGATAAACACCCTCACTTTGGTGCTGTATCTGAGATGAGTTCCACCATCTTCCAGGGGTTCCCTGGCTGTATATTTAGAGAAACAGCACTTCAAAAATATCTGATATATCCAGCAAGGCAGAGAGCCCCATTGTCCACTCCTGTAACCTGTTCACTAACACACTTTTGATTGGTTTTCTTCTTCTTGTTGCACTTCCCTACTCGCCTTTTGGTGTTTTCTGGGTTTAAACCTCAAATAAAGCCTTTGCACTCAATCCTTGTCTTAGCGAGACCAGGAAAAGTCTTACGTGCTCCTGTTGAGGCCAGGGTCCCTCCTGGCATGGCTGGTTAGTGCACGGCTGGCTAGGAGATGCAGGGCAGGTCTGCTGATGTGCCCTGGGACAGTGGTTGGGAGAGGAGGCATGAGCAGATCCCGACATGGAGCCACCCTGAGACAAACCTCCTTGTCCCTGTCCCGCATTCCAGGAAAAGCCTCACTCACATGCCCTGCAGGGGGCATTTCACATGGTAAGCAGGGGAGGCGCCCATCCTGAAATCCTGGCCCACTGCAAACTTGCAGTTCACCAGGAGGTAAAGACACCACTCCACTCCCTTGTTTGCTTAATCTGGAATCACCCTCCCCACTTGAGAGCCTTGTGCAGTTATTTGATTCTTTGGCTGTTTCAGCAGTTCACAGTGTTGCTTGTTGGTGACTGGCTGTATATTTAGAGAAACAGCACTTTAAAAATATCTGATTGTTCTGCTTATCTCCTGCAGAGGCACCAGGTTTTTATAAATTAAGGATCTGCTAATTGCCACAAGAATTCAACTGTTAAACAGAAAATGGATAAATGCAGGCCCAGAGACACTATGCCATCATCTTCCTATATACACACACATGTGTATATATATATTATATGTGTGTGTATATAATACACATGTATACATATGTATTTTGTATATACATGTGCATGTAATATTTATGTATAAAATATATAAATATGTATATATACATGTGTATGTACATATATACATATTTATATATTTACATATGTATATATGTATATGTACATATATACATATTTATATATTTACATATGTATATATGTATATGTACATATATACATATTGCATACTACATAACATAATATATAGTATATATTATATGTATAGTATGTAATATATGGTATAATGTAGCATAATATAGTATAGTATAATATAGTATATTATTGTATAGTATAGTGCAGTATATAATATATAGTACAATATATGCAATACTATACTATATATACATTATATATAGTAAATATATTATGTAGCAGATAATGTTTATAAATACTATTATGTAGTATATTTTATATATATATATACACTTGTGTGTGTTTATGTGTGTATGTGTGTATGTATATATATTTTAAATTTGATTGAAAGGACTAGTGATAAATAATGTGTCTCAGAGGACTGTTGCCTTTGCCATAAACAGGTTGTCTGTTTCTCCCATGGGGTTGAGCCTGGTTCAGTTCCACATCTGCAGAATCCAAGCTGACTTGCTGAGCAATGGCCTGGTGGGAATGTGCATTGTGACTCAGCAAAATGTCCCAGTGTATGTTCCCATACATAATCTTATTTTATGATTCTTCTCTTCATGGTTTGCAGTTAGGTTGTTGCTGTCTTTTTGTGCTGTGTTCTTGCACACATTATTTTTGGATACATTGGGATATACATAAATTTAGCGTCATTACCATTGATAGTAATAACTATAATGGCGTTTAAGTAACCAGAGCCAGGCTGAAGCAGAACCGTCATTGGCAAATTGTCCAAACTCTTACATAAGTCAGGGGTCAGTCCTCAAATCAGAAATCATTCTAAGTCTTTCACTGAAAGAATATTTAGCACAGGGAATTAGTGGCACATGTGATAGAGGCCAAGAGACAACAGAGGGGCCTGTGAGGCAGCCTGGAGGAAGATGGGGCCCCCGCTGGGCTGCAGGAGAGAGGAGAAGGTCAGAACCCAGAAGCTGGGACTGCCCATGGGTGGTGGGACCATGAAGGAGTTGCAGGGAGGGCAGGAGGGAGAGAGAGAGAGAAAGAGACACAGAGACAGAGACAGAGACAGAGACAGAGTGAGAAGAGGGAGAGGGGAGAAAAGGAGAGGAGAGAAAGGCACCTTACCTTGTCTTCCTTCTCTCTTCTGATTTTCCACCAGGGCTCTCACTGGCAAAATCTACTTGTTTCCAGCAATACAGAGTGGATCTGGGCATGGGCAGAAGATGGGTACAGCAGAAATTTGGCAGTTACTCAGCATGAGCTGCTTTCTTCACACATGGACACAACCACAAATACCTGCATTTTCTTTTCTCCCCACCAACTTCCAGTCTTTTAGTTTGCTTTGCCCTGTGAAGGCTTGTAGTCTTTTCTACTCCTCTTGTCAGTCAGGAAAATTACTCTGATAATCCTTGCACAGCAAGGTGGTAGACACATCCCATGCTTGATTTGGGGGGTGGTGGTCTTTGGCCACAAATAAATCAGAAGCCCACTATAGCTGACTTAAGCAGAAAAAGAATTTATTAGGGGAAGTGGATGTTCCCATAGGCTACACACAGACAGGAGAGCAAGGCTTGCGGCACCTCCCCGAGGAGGACACCCAAGGGGCACCATGGCCCCACTGCCATGCAGACACGCTTCTGTGGGAGTGCTAGCCCTGGGCTCCACCCCTAGATGTCCACTGCTGACTCTCCTGGAAATTGATGTATTTGCCTTTGCTCTTGCATGAGTTCCAAGCACAGAGTTGCATGCTCTGTGCATGAGTTCCAAGCACAGCCTGATTCTCTCTGTGGCTGTCATTCAACCCAAAGTCCCAGGAGCGCGAGTCTGGTCTGTGGAGCCCAATCACATGACGTACCTTAGCTGCAAAGAAAGCTGGAACATGGGATTCAGAACTTAACCTGGGGAGGGAGGGACTCTTAACAAATTCCCCTAATGCAATGACAAGGGATTAACTGTGTTAAACATTGACAAATCCTCCATATATACTATATCACCAATTGAGTTAAAAAAATAGGTAAGCTGCTATTTAACATGGAATCTGAGGCTTGCGGGCAGTGGGTGAGGGAGGTGAGAAGAGATATTTTGGGTCACAAAGGGAGCTTCTGAGGGCTTCTCAATGTCCCCACATGGAAGACATCCTCCTTCACCAGCCCTGGGGTGCTGCCTCTGTGAAATATCATGGATTTCAACAAACCTTAAGGTCTGGTCTGTGAAACTTCTGTCTGCTAATTTGCAAGTTGGCAGGAAGGAAGCACCTTGGCACTTTTTATAATAGGCTTTGGGCAATTATTTGTTTGCCTGTTTCTATTCTTTTAAATTACTTGCATTAAAATAAAATACTATCTTTAAAGCTTCTACATTGGCCCAGATCGTCACAGTTTGCAAAGCCACTGCTCTTCTACCATCTCCTTTGACCCTGACAACAGCTTGGCAGTGAGCAGGCTGGGTGTGGCCTCCATTTTGCAGAGGAGGAAACTGAAGTTCTCAGTGTTGCAGAGGAGGAAACTGAAGGTCTTAGTGTTGCACAGACGACTGTGGCGGAGACAGAACCCAAACCTGACCTTTGCCCTTCCCAAGTGGCCTTTCCATACCCTTTGAGTTCTGAGAGACAGGGAGTTCACAGAGGTGGCACACGGTAGGTCTCTGACCAGCCACAGCCTGCTGCCTTCGGGGCAGGTGGCCGTGTGTTCAGAGTTCCTAAAGGCTGGCTGAGGCCAAGGTAGATGGAAGGCATTCTGCCTGCTGCCAGCTGGTCTCCGAGCTCACTGTGGACAGTGTCCACAGCTCACCTTCTGTCCCTGCACTGGCCCTAGCTCAGGGTAAGTGTGCATTAGATGCTGACTGAATGACCGATGAGCATGTGCTCACAGAAGGTCAAAAATAGAAGCTTCCCTGAAGGCTGAGGCTCCAGGGACAGCATTTCCTGGCTTTAGAGTGACTTACACTCAAATTAAGAGAAATTCCACATTGCCTGTGACTTCAGAATCTTCTGTTGTCTGCTGTGGCCTGAGACTTCAGAACCCTCTCTCATATGCTACCTGATGACTTTTCTTAGTCCTTGTCTCTCAAGAAGAATCAGGCACAAATTTCAGAAATGTCCACAGTGGCAATGCTTGGCGAGCGCAATCTTTCCGTGAGTTTGGCCTGAGCTCCTTTGCCCATCGTTGCTGACACCAGAGCAACTGCTAAGGGAGGCACCAGGGGCCGAGAGAGGGCGTCCAGAAATGTGGGGCTTAGTAGGAGAGGAAGCACAGAGTCAGATTACAAGTCAATTCCCAAGAACATCTCTACTTTCGGGCGGGGTGTGTGTCTTTACCGTGAGCCAGGTGGATTCCTGCACGCTTTATTTGAATCATCTCATAAAATGAGATAAGAAGGTGAGTAATATTTTAATCTCTATTTTATGGATGAGGAAGCTGAGGCTTAGAGGTTAAGGTCAGGCAGCTTGGAAATGGCAGAGTTTGTATTTTAACTCAGCTCTGTCTCTTCAGAGTCCTTGCTCCTGCCGCCCCCATGGTGGGCTGAAGTTTACATGTTGGGGTTTTTGCCAGGCAACTCCCTGGACAGCCTATCACTAAGCCCTCACCTAAAACCACTGACAGTGGTTCTTATTTTGCTTACTGGACAAAAAAAGAAACCGAGTTTCCGATGGATTTGTTTTTTGGGATGACACCGGGTAATCTCCCATGACAATGTCAAGGCAGCATCTCTATACGGATGGGAGGACAGAGACACAGGGAGGAGGTGCCATTTGCTAAGGAAGAACTGGGGCTCCTGAATCACAAGCCAGGCCTCCATGTCCAACAGTTCAAAGTTTCCCTGGCTTGTGGGAAAGATGAAAACAGCCATAAACCCTGCACACAGCAAATCCAGCAGGAAGGCAGTTACCTAAACAAGGGAGCAGGTTCACGAGAAGAGTCAGCGACCACGCCATGTGGCAAACCTCAGCAGCTGGGCCTGTGTGCTCTGTGAATGCTTTAACTTGTCCTGACTTATTAAGACCCTACACACTGCCCTGGCCTCTTTGTGTTACCTTAAGCTAGTGCCTTTCAACTTGGGATGATTTTACCCCCAAGAGGACATTTGGAAATGTCTGGAGGCATTTTGGGGGGATGCTACTAGCATCTTGTGGATAGAGACTGACATAAAGAAACATCCTACAATGCACATAGTAGCCCCACAACAAGGAATTATCCAGCTCCAAATGTCATTAGTGCTACTGCTCTAATTAGTGCCATTAGCTCAGTGTTAAGGAACACTGAGCTAAGCAGAGCAGATGACACAAGATCAGCCCGCTTACCCACAGACCATGAGCAGGGAAAGAAGGTCCAGCCCAGAGCATAAAAGAAAGCAGCTTGAGGCAGAACTACAATGTCCGAGTTATCCCACTGGGCAGATCAGAGGTGTGTTCCTCACTAGGGGAGTATTTTCAGGAGCACAAAAATCATTTATAGCCCAATCACCACGCCCCATTCTCTATCCTTTCCCAATAAAAGGCACATAAGTTCTTAGTGTCCAGTTTCTTTGACAAAGCCAGAAGCAAAACCTGGATATATTTCAAACTTCTCCAAGTAAAAATCCCACTGAGTGTGGCGCTCACTGTTGGAGAAGTCATTGTTGTTAGTCACTGTGGGGAGCTGGTCAGAACCATCCCACTGGACAGCTCTATGGAGGGATCACTGGCATTGTACTTTGGTGACACAGGCGCTGTCTCCTGGGTCTTAAACAGCTTAAACTTCAGGTCGCCATTTGCAAACTTGGCCCCTAAATCTCAGCCTTGGAGATCTTTTCATGCAACTGTAATTCAAATTTTAATAACAAATCTAGATTTTTAAAAATCACAGTGTCAAGCACATGGCCTGTCTGACATATAGCAGGTGCTCAATAAATACTTGAATGAATAAATGAATGAGTGATTGAGTGAGTAAATAAAGCCCAGAGATAAAAGGTGACTTTCCCAGGGTCACACAGGGAAATAGCAAAGTGGTCCTGCTCTCCCTCCATCTGTTCTCTGGTAGTACTTAATTTGGGGTTGATATTCTTGCAGCACTGACCTCTCTTGTCAGCAGTAAGTATCTGTAACAGGTGACTTATCTTTCCTGTTAGACTATACACTCCTCAAGGACAGTTGTGTGCTGTAACACCACTTAGGGAACTTAGCCAAGAGCCTTGCACACAGTAGGAAGTCAATAATGTGTGATCAACAGTGTGTTCCCTCTAATGCTGCACATTTTGGGCCTTTGAGTTGGCGTATAGGGCTTTTAGCATCTTCCTTCTTTGCGTTGCTGTAAGTTGTCAAGTTTTGCTCTTATCGGTGCTTGCTTAATTTGTGGCTTTCAAATTTGTGTCTTCAAAGTTGGCATAGGCAAGAAATCAATAAATCAAAACCAAAATTGAGTATGTACACACAAACACCACACACACACACACACACACACACACACAGAGTTGATTCTTATTATTCGAGGTACTTATGTTCTATACAGTCACTGCAAACACTGAATTAATTAATGCTAGACCATTGTCCTGGAGGAAACACAGGGTTAAATTCCTGCAAGCCTCTGATCCCAACACAGACCAATCCAAAGCCAGGGGCAAGGGATGGGGGTGGGGAGCCAGGGTCTGAGTCCTGACCACTTGGTCCAACCCTGTTCTGTCCTCAGACATTCTAACTTTGTGTGTCAGCAAACCAAGCTAATTGGAGTCACCTTTTTGCCACTTCCATGTGAACGAGTTCTAATTAACTTATTTGTTCAATAAAAAAGTATTTTATTGTATTCTAGAAATGAAATACAGCTGATACTGCCTTATTTCCAATGACAGAAAATTCTTCGTCTAGTGAAGCACTTTACAGAATACAGCTTTTGTTAAAACACTTCCCTGACACACAGACATACAGAAACATTCATTAAACACCA
This sequence comes from Homo sapiens, assembly GCF_000001405.40. Lineage (NCBI taxonomy): Eukaryota > Metazoa > Chordata > Mammalia > Primates > Hominidae > Homo > Homo sapiens. The sequence continues at coordinate 19,102,429 of NC_000020.11, forward strand.
GTGGTGGCCCAGGCGCTGAATGGGCTTTGGAGGTGACAAATGCATATGACAGTCTAAACCTTCAGTTGGTTTCATGGTTTAAATTCTTTTCAACTTTACAGAAAGTACTCCTTTTAACAGGGGAAAAATAACTTTCTTCTTAGCTTTTTTTTTCATTTAGCTTTTGTAATAATAATGCTGTGTAAAAAACAACTAAAAAGTCTCAGTGGCATACAAGAGCATGCAGGTGGGCTGGGTGGCTTGGAGGGACTCAGCTGGGCTCACTCTCAGGTCTGGGGTTGGCTGGGGTTTGGCTGATCTAGACTGGATATGGCTGGGTGGCTCAGCTTCTTGCTCCATGTGTGCAGGTTGGCTGAGATGGGGTGGCATCAGATTGCGATGCTGGAGTATCTGTTCCACATTATTCTCATACTCCTTATACCAGTGGGCTAGCCAGGCATGTTCTTCTCATAGTAATAGTGGAGATGCAGCAAGGCAAAAGGAAATATGTGAGGTCTCCTAAGGCATGGGCTCATTTCCACCTCATTCTGTTGGCTAAAGCAAGTCACATGGACAAGCCCAAAGTCAAAGGGGCAGGGAAATGATTGCCTCTTTACTGTGAGAGATTGCAAAGTCATGTAGTAAAAGACATGAGCACAGAGAGGGGGAAAGAATTGGGGTCAATAATGCAATCTTCTACATCATGGCCTTAGGTCCACCTTCTAGAAATCCACTCTAGCTAAACACGAGAAGCAATCACTATCTTAAAGATGACTTCTACTTCTGTTTTGGGTTGCTCAGCTGGACTTGGGGATCTCACTGTGGCTTTCTCCCCTCTGGACCTCACTTTTCTCAAATGGGGTGCATGGCAGGGGCCATCTGTCTTTGGAAGGTCCCAGAAAGCTGGAGTTGGTACCTTAATGATGTGCTCTATTCATGAGCTCCCTGGAGGCAAGGCTCTGTATCATTCCAAGTTGCACTCTGCAAATTGCTAAGTTCCAGGGAAGCCAATATTAATGGCAATGCATTAGGAATGAGGTTATCTTGAATTTGTGTACTTGTTCCCAAAACTACCCTGAGAAACTGTTTGCATTAGGCTAATTTTGTTCATTCCTTTTGTAGGAACATGTTCTGGTAATAGATTCGACAAGCTATGATATTTCCTTTAAAGCCTTGCTAGAGTAAGATTGATTTCCTCCATGTGAAGTACAACGCATCCCGTCTATTAAACAAATTAAACTACTTAGGTCGACAAGGCTACAAGAAGGAGCAGTGGTGAGCTGATAAATGTTTAACAACCAACTCTCTGGAAGAAAATGTCTTGATTTGTAGTATTTGACAATTTCCATGGTATAAGCACTCCTACATGGCAGACTTTAAGCTGCCAATGTGATGATGTCCCAAATGAAGATTCAGAAGAAGTGCACCTGTATGAGCCTGCTCTACCACCCTGCTGCCCATGCTGCTGTGCTGTTGAGATGGATTCTCTTGCTGGGTGTTCTTAGGGGAGAGGACATGGCACTTATGTGCTATGTAGAGTTTCTTAGAAGTTCAAGTCAGCACCGGATCAATCAGGGTGAATCCAAAGTGCTTATGGAAAGGACTTTCTCTGGGATGGCACTGTTTAAAAGTAATAATAACACTAGCTACTTTCCCCTCTCCCCCCATGGTAACTCCACACCAGGTACTTTTTTCAGTATTTAACATGCATTAACGTAATTACTTCTTACCAAAACTCTATGAGATAGGCTCTATTGGCATGAAGAGTTAAATAGTGAGCTTTGGACTACTCTAGTTAAATAGTGAGACTGAGATTTGAACCCAGCTGTTTTGGCTGAGAGTCCATGACTTCAAAGTCATGAAGCTATCCTGATACCCACTCAGAACCAGGGGAGTTTAAAATTGGGTCCGATATCCCTACTCACTCCCATATGAACAGCTCCGCCGAACACTTTGCTCTTATCCACATTCTCCATTTGGCAAATAAATCCTCTGCAAGATGCAGCAACAAGCATCCCCATCCCCACAGCTGAGTGTGTCCCACCTACCTGTGTGATGATGCATACCTGAGGCCCCAGTCAGAGGCTCCACCCAGTGGTGGGCAAGCCCGGCTTTTACTGGTTAAAAGGTGTTTAAAAACATCTTCAGGAATTTTGCAAGCCATTAGTAAAAATTAAGTTATAAGAACTTAAAACTAAATCTATCATATTAAAAAATAAAGGACATAAATACCCATCACTCACTACTTCCTAATTATTCTACTGTAATCTGTGCTCTTGGGGTTATTTATGTCGATGGCATCTGTACAGTGGAAATATCTATGTGATGATGGTCACTGAGCTTCTCTTCCCGACTCCATCACATCAGAAGTTTGAAATCATCCATGGTGGGACTATTTATATCACGAAAATCAGCAAACGCTGCAAAACAGGTATTGGTTTATTGTTTTGTGGATTGGCTAGACATAAGAAAATGTCAATAAAGCACATCAAACGTACAAGTCTGCCATGTCTGTATTTGTTACATTGTAAATAACACAAAACTTAAAGAAATATATTCCCAATATTTTAAAACTATGATTCCATTGAGCAAAGAAATCCCTCAGTGATGAACAAATGGATATGCCAATATACAGCTTTGTGTCACTTTTGTCTCACTTGTTGATGCAAACAAAAATACCAACCAACATTCATGAGGGAAGTATACTCATTTGTCAATTGCAATCACAGTTTGGCTACAAGAGTTAGAGAAAAATCAATGAAAGCAACTTTCACTTTCAGCCAAGATGAACTAGATTTACCCTGCCACCTGAAACAATGAAAAAAAAAAAAGATAGAATATGAAAACTAGCTCTCAAGGCATTGGACACCAGGAAAGACTGGAAATAGATAAAGTGAGATCCATTCTTACCCCAGCTTACTGCCTGGAGAAAGTTTCAAGGCAGCAAAACAGAGGAGGAGGTCACTTTGAAGAATGGGGGATGACTGGAAAGTTGGGAGACAGACGGAGAGTCCGGTTAGACTCCCAGAGTTGAGGAGATGAGGCTGGAAGTCTGGAGAGACCAAAGTGGCCATAGCATCACAGCAGAGTATCAGAGAAGAGACAGCTGCTCAGACGGAACACTTCAGAGCTCTTCAGAAGTCCCCCGTATTCAGCTGAGTACTCATCAGCATGATAGCTGTGCATTACCTGCTCTTTACCCACCTCCATCAGGTTAAAGCCTGCAGGGTTGTGCATAAATAATTGTTACAGATCAGATTTACGCATCAGTAGGCACCGCTTTAAATTAATTCACCTGGACAATGAAAGAGCGAGAGTTGATTTATTCACAGCACGTCGGGGATGAAGCATTATTAAGGAGGGGAGATAGAATGGCATGCAATGCTTTGCAATGTACCAACAGCTAATGGAACTCTGCAAGTGGCTGTATACATACAGATGCAGGTGTCAGCCTGGGCCAGGCAGCTGGAGCTACAGTTGCTATGTCCTCGGGATTCAGAGTCATGGGCAAGCTGGAGGGAATTATTATTTCTTCATGGTATAATTTTTTAAAAGCATGTATTGATATGTGTGGTGATGAAGTTATTGTGCTATTACCAGGCTGGATGGCGGGGTGGGGTGGACAGGAATGGACACCACCACTTGGGTTGGGAACACAGACTTCCAGGGCAGCAGCATGAGCACGGGAGGGAGAAAGTTAACTTTTCTCATTTACCCAGAGTATCACTCTGGGTGCCTGGATGCTAGAAATTGTGCTTATATAATGCCTCTATATGCCAGTCATCAAACTTGCATATAAAGCCACAGAGGTACACAGGATGGGCCTGGGTGTTCCAATGTGGAGAAAATCCTCATCCTACTGGTACTGCTACTAAAATTACCTTTCACTTGGGACTATGTGTCAACTGTGCCACATGCTTTTACACACATCATCTCACTTAATAGGGGCTGAGGGTTTCCTCAGATGAAAATGCAGGCTCAGTGGTAAAGTTATTTCCCAAGGTCTCCTGAGACCTCCCAGTGATGTTTGGTTTACTCCAAAGCTTGCTTGCATTTTAAACTTTCATATTACAAAATGGTGCTTAAGGAACCACACTATAAAACATTATTGTTCACAGAGTGCTTTATTGTTTAATATGTCATCATCTGATCAATCATTTGCATACTCACAACCACCCTGTTGCGTAGGTGTCTTTGATCCCATTGCACAGGTGAGGAAACTGAGCTTTGGGTTGGTTGTGCCTCTTGCACATTTGGGGGCACCTGCGATGTGGCAGAGCCAGAATCAAAACACTGGTGCTTTACCCCAAATCCTAATCTCTTCCCATTCTACCTTAACGAGAAGAGAGTTCTGAAGAGCTTCTCAGTGTGCTAGAATATATGAAAGATTGGATCGAGTTTGGGCTGGTTTACTCAGAAGTTATTTCAAATCCTCTGCAAGTTTCACAGGGCTGCAGCACCTGGATGGTGGTTTAACATGGCACTTCTAAAGGACTCACACATTTAGACCTGGATGATTTTCTCTGGCCTCATGCTTAAGAGCTGGGCCTCCAGATTCAGTGGGTCTGGGCTGCAGTTCTAGCATCACCCCTTATGGGCTTTAGCCATTTACTTAACCTTTATGAGTCTCAGTTTTTCCATCTGTCAATTGGGAATATAATAGAACCCACCTCATCTGGTTATTGTGAGGTTTAACATGAGATGACCCATGAGATCAAAGTTTTTGTGTAGTCACTATTGTCAAGACTGTTGTTTTGCAGCATGCTCAGGCTTCAGCAGACTCTGGGGCCAGAGGGCCCCCAGGCAGAGTCACCTGCTCAGGCAGAGTCACCTGCTGCTGTTAGGTGTGCATGAACATGGGGAATGCTGAGGGGAAGCAGCTGGGGTGCCTGCAGCGGCAGCATCTTCTGCACTGCATCAGATTTTGTGGGGGATGGGGGCGTATTCTAAGAGATGTGTGAATACCACTAAGAATTCTAAAAAGTTCTGGAGAGGGAAAATCTGGAGAAAGGTTAGATTTTCTGCAGAGCTAGCAAGCATGGGCCTGAAGTCATTGTAACATGGGGCATTAACACCAATGCATCCTAACCATACTCATGGAGGTTTGATCCTGCAACAAGTGGATGGCCATCCATGAGGTTGTGCTGTGTACAGAGGAGGGGCGCTCCCCTCTCTTGGTCCACATAATGCCATAGATGTTCTCCACACTGGTCAATACCCTCTGCATTTCTTCTTCCTCTGCCACTCTCTCACCCGAGCACACCAGGCTTCATTATTGTAAGGAGTGAGATGATTCCATTAACATTTATGTAGAGAAGTTTGCAGCTCTGAGATGTTTAAAAACCTGAGTAGGGAATCCCAACTATTTTAACTCAAATATAATAAGGTTTTAGGTATTAAAAATATGATTTCAACACTGTTGATTTTAATTGGCCTCATACACCTACACAAACACTTGGCAGACATTTAGGATCTGCCGTGGAGCACCGTGCATCATCACATAACGCTCTGGGAACTAGGGTCCCTGAGTCCTGATTGTGGTGATGCTTCATTCCCTGGGTATCCTTGGGAAGAACACATTTCTAAATTTAGGCCTCTGAACCTAGTTACAAGGAGGGGCTTGGGAGCACCTGTTGTTCAATGCCCATATCTTTCTTAATTTTTAAATTTTAAATGTAAATAAATGCAAAATAATTTTTACAATAAGAAGAAAGACAAATGCATGAGATCCTATATGCACCACCCAGATTCAGAATTGGAAAATTACCATTTCCACGGCAGCCCCTGTGGGCCTCCACTCCTTGATGTGATCCCCGGGATCTACTTCCACCCAGAGTTAACTACTGTCTTGGACTTTGTGTTTATTGTGATCTTGCTTTTATTTATAGTTTGCTTACATATGTATGTGTTCCTCATTAGCATGTTCAGTTCTGTTCAGTTTGGTGCCAATGCATCCTAACCATACCCCTGGAGGGCTGACTGTAATAGGTGGAATAGCGTCTATGAGGTCGTGCTGTGTACAGAGGAGGGCCATGCTTTCTAACTTTAACATTTGATTCATACCCTACTTCGAGTCTTATGCTTCGAGTCTTACTTTTCCCCTCAGCATTGGTTTTGAGATTCTCCCATTTTGTTTGAGTGGCCGCAGTTCATTCATTTATGTGGCTGTGTGGTTGTCTGTTGTTGCCAATGCCATCTACCACCTAATGTTATAGATTCTGTTTGTCCAGTCTTTCTTTCTTGATCTTTCTTGCATTTTTTCCTGGATTGCTTTTCTTTGTCTTTTTAAAAATTCCTTCAATTGCTTTGGAAGTTTTGCACTCTATTTCTTCTCATTTTAGTGAGCACCATAGAAATGTTAATTAACATACTTAATGAACTTTAAAATGTCTGAAATTAATCAATATCTTTACTTCTTCTGGAACAACACTAGACTTTAAACATGTTAACCCTGCTTATCCCGTCCTCTCTTAGATGCACTTAATTTCCAGTATTTTAATTCAGTCTTGATTTTTAGTCTTCCAAAATTGGAGATTTGAAAAAAAAACATTATTTCATGCAATGTTTGATTTTATTTACCCACATTTTCATCACATTTGTCCACTATTCCTTTTCATACTCTAGAACTTCCTTCTGGAATCTTCTGTGTAAAGTATACCTTCAGAGTTTCTTTTAGTGAAGGTTTACTACTGTGTGCCTGTGGTCCTGAAAATGTCTTTATTTGGACATTATTCTTGAACAATTGCTTCACTATACATATAATTTTAGGTAGAAGTTTATTTTTTCTAGGCATATGGAAAAGGTTTTTTTTATTATATAGTTGATGATGTGAAGTTAAACTTTAATTTACAGGTGATTTGTCTTTTCTTCCTGAATGGTTTATTTTCTTGTCTATGCCTTTGATGGTTCTGCAGCGCTTTTTTTTTTTTTTTTTGGGACAGAGTCTAGCTCTGTTGCCAGAGGCTGGAGTGCGGTGGTGTGATCTCAGCTCACTGCAACCCCCGCCTCCTGGGTTCAAGCGATTCTCCTGCCTCAGCCTCCCGAGTAGCTAGGATTACAGGCACACACTGCCACGCCAAGCTAATTTTTGTATTTTTAGTAGAGATGGGGTTTCACCATGTTGGCCAGGATGGTCTTGATCTCCTGACCTCATGATCCACCCATCTTGGCCTCCCAAAGTGCAGGGATTACAGGCGTGAGCCACCACGCCCGGCCATTGATTTTCTTGTTATTAATGCTGCTTGGAATTTATTCTCCATTCTTGGTTTTCTTCATGGATTCTGGAAATGTTCCATTATGTCTTCCCTGTCCTCCCGCAGCAGGTCCGAGACTAAGCTGTCATGGCTGAGACTATGAGCACTTGTTTTGGGCACAGAATTGAGGAGTGGCCAAAAAACTCAGTAATTGAGATAAATCATATTTTAATACAGTATTTTAAATATTTGTTAAAACAAAATCTAATGCAAAGAAACTTGTGGCCAACAAAATATCAAAATTTTCAATAAAGACAGGATCTGGCAGTGCCATGTTGAGATATTTGGAGCCTGAAGCAAAAGGAAAATCTGCACTCCTATGATTTTTTTTTCCTAGAACATTAGTATTTTTCTAGAACATTAAAGTACTTGAAAACTATAAAAAATTGAAAGTAAGTGTATTAAAACTTGACATTATTTTAAGTTTAAATGTTTCATTTATACCAAGGTCAGAATTTATCATGTTTACTTTTCTAGTTCTAACAGAAGCAAACTCATCAAAAATATTTGCATTAAGACCATTAACCATTAAAAATACATAAAAGTCTGTATATGGGTGCAGATTTTTCCTTTCCAGATTGTATTTTCTCTCCTCAGTGTTATTTTCCATTGCAGAAGCTTACATTTTAAAATAGTAGTGATGATGGTGATGAAGATGAAGCATAGTTAGATTTGTCTAAATCTCTTCCGCTGGTTACAGGCAGAGTTAGGCCTAGAATTCTGATCCTTCCTTCTTAGAAGAGCTTTTTCCAATTATATCTCACTTACTGAAACCAATATTCTCATCTCATGACCAAAATCTCTGTAGGAGGTGAGGCCACATCAGCACCCTTGGGCCAGGCAACTGTTGGAGGAGTGACATGCCCACCAGGGTGAATGAGCTATTTTTGGGTGTTTAACTGCTGAGGAGGGATATGACATGTGGGCACTGTGTTTACATCAAGTCACTGGTTCTCGGACCTATCAAGGGGCATGGCACTAGGAAACTGTACCAGTCTTCGTGGCTCACTATAACATGTTGAACTATTACTTTACCCTTTGGTGCTGAATCCAATGCCATCTTAGATTCTAGTTTAAATGAACATGACATATATCACACATTTAAGAAACATTTCTAAGAGAAAACCCTAAAATTGAGACAATCCTACTCATTAACTTACTCTTTTTTCTATGAGTCCTATTATTTTCTTTTAGTAGCTGAATGCCTAGTCTAACTGGAGTTCCCCGGAGGCCTTGCTTGAAATTGACTGCCAGGTATCTCCTTCAGCGTAACTCTTTGATGAGAAGCAAAGCTGCTTTGCTGGCTGCTTGAGTGGAAATGTGATCCCCGATGCTTATGTTCCCATAAAAATCTTTCGTGTGGTCTCAGAATAACAACTCTCTATTATGTCTCAGCTGCCAAATTTATTGGTGTGTGTGGGGAGGGGGGAGGGGGACAGTCAACTTTGCACAGATTATCTTCAATACCCCCTGTTTTAAGACTTTAGGGATGTTTATACAAAACAGTCAACTATTAGCCTTCTTGGCACTTGGTTCTGTGGGAATATTCCTCCCATATTGGGAAGGCGTGTGAACCATGGCTTACATGAAATCCTCAGCCGTATCTTTTGTGGCTGATGTATGCACCACAGAGGACTAGAAACTGCTTGAGTTAGGAAGTGGCCCACCATTTTACTACCCACTTGGAAGGAAAGCTCCACCAACTCCACCAGACCAAGGATAATACTTTATCTTTTATTTTATCCTTGTGAGATTAATGGTTTATGAGATACTTTGTATGCGTTAGGAATTCAGAAGCCAGTGGGTGGGGAGAGAGGAAGGTATTACTACACAGAAGGAAAGCACCGTCTCTGGACACAGGGCCAAGTTTCAGAGAAACTATTGTGAGTTTTTGTCAAGTTGACCCCTCCTACTGCTTCTGGATCTTCCAAATAAGCTCCCACAGTCTAAGATTTTATATTGCTGGCTACGAATATGCAAACGAACTTCCCTTCATCTTTTTTGCCTTACTAAGAAAAGAAACACAAGTTTCAGGTAGCAGTTGCTTTAGATAATTTCTAGACTGCGATCCCTTGAAAAGTTAATCTGTAGCTCCTAGTGTGAAGGTGATTGGGAGAATTTACCAGTGATATGTGCTCTAAATGATTGTAATTCATATCCAGGTGTCCTCAATTAGTTCTTCAAGCAAGATGATAGGATGCTAAGGGATGTTGTTCACCCCAACATTGAAAACAGGTCCACTTGGATTTCTTAGTCTACCTTACCTAGTGCTTGCCAGGTCTAGAACTGGGTTGCCTAATTAAAATATTACATTGAAAAAAGTCTAGATATGTCTTCTCTGATACTGTTGTCACTAGCCACACGTAGCTATTTAAATTTAAGTATAATTCAACATTCAGTTCCTGAGTAGCACTAGCCACTTTTTAAGTCCTCGGTAGTCACCTGTGGCCAGTGCCTACCACATTGGACAGCGCAGATATGGAACATGCCATCATAACATAAAGTTCAATTGGGCAGTGCTTGTCTCTGGATGGAGCACATAGCATTTCTGCCTGTTTCAGGCAGTGGAAGCAATATTCCTGAAGTTCTGATTTTCCAGCCTCTGGCTCTTACAAAGTTGTTACTGTATCCTCATTTAACAAACTTATGATAATAACTTTATATATAATATGTTCTTTTACAAAGTAGTTATTATATCTCTTATTCCTTCTACGTCTGCCACCCAAAGTTACCTGAAGATCTGCTGCAACTTTGGCATTTATACTGCTTTGGTGAAAATCATAACTTTAGCATCTCTGAGATTTTTCTTTTTTATGGAATATATCCTACAGCTAGTTTAGATAATGTTGGATGACTCTCCAAGTCCCTGTGTTTGGTTTTTCTAAATAGTTGCAGTGAGTCCTGCCAGTTGGCAGAGGAACGTCCAGGGCTGGCACTAGGTGCCAAGCAGGTGCTGTGGTCCTCAGCTGTGTTGCACATGAGGTGATGGGGAAAGGAGCGCCATTGCCTGGGAGCTCCTCTGGTGATACAGATAGCTGAGTTCAGGCCTGGTTTCCTGAAGTCACTAGATGGCTGTTATTGTATAGATTGATTAAAATAAGGGGCAGAGACTTCTGAAAATTATCTTGTGGTAGTTTTGCAAAAGGGCTACAAAATTAATTGCCACTCCTCCCATTGAGAGATGGGGATCTATGTTTCCTGCCCTTGAATCTCAGTAGGCTCCTGGGTGAGTTTTCTTTCTATTGCTGTGAAACAAATTACCATCAACTCAGCAACTTAAAACAATACCCATTTGGTAGGTCTTACGTCTGTAAGTCTGAAGTCCAGCACTGCCTGGCTAGATTTTCTGTTCAGGGTGTATCACAGGGCTAAAATCAAGATGTTGGCCAGAAAGAATTCTTGTCTGAAGGCTCTGGGGAGAAATCTGCTTCCAAGAAATCCAATCAGTTTGGATTTCTGAACTGTATTCAGGCTTTCGTAGAATTCAGTTCCTTGTGGTTGCAGCAATGGGGTTTCTGTCTCCTTACTGGCTGTGAGCTGGGGACCTCTCTCAGATACCAAAGACCACAGCATTCTTTTTTTCATGTGGCTTCATCCGTCTTCAAGCCAGCAATTGTGCATTGAATCTCCCTTGTTCTTCACATTTCCATGACTACCTCTTTTTCCATCAGCGAGAGAAGGCTCTCTGCTTTGAAGGACCCATGTGATTAGATCATGCTCACCTGGATAATCTTCTGATCTAAAGGTCACTTGTGCTATAGAACAGCACAGAATCATGGACACTCACAGGTTCTATGGATTACAGTGGAGAACCTTGGGGTGGTGCTTTAGAAACTACGCCACAGGTTGTGACAGTTTGATAGAATATGGTAGGAATGACTCTGCAGATTCTTAGGCTGGGTCATAACAGGTGACACATGTTTGTGCACTGGGATGAACGCTACTGCTTGGAGCCCCACCACGCCATAGAAGAAGTCAACTACTCTGAGGCCACTACGCTGTGAGGAAGCCCAGATATACGTAGCAGCCACAGACAGGCACTCTGGTTGTCAGTCCTACACCCTGAGCCAGCCCTGACCAGGCTCCAGACCTGGGAGTGAACTGGCCTTATTTGATTCTAGCCCCAGCTGTGGGGTTACTCCCAGTCTGCAAGTCTTCCAGTTGAAGGCCCAGCCACAGAATGGGAAACAAGCCATTCCCACTGTGCCTTCCCTGTTCAAATTCCCAACTCATGAACTGGAGAATATAATAATATGATTGTCTAGGCCTCTACATTTGGAGGTAATCTGTTATGCAGCAATAGTAACTGGGACAAATTTGACGGTAAAAAAGAATGAATATTTTCTCACTGATATTTTTTGAAGGTCTCAGGTAAAGGTGGGATGGTGGGGCCTGCAAACCACCCCTGCCCACGAGGAGTTCTAATAGGTGATGACAAACACCAGGAACCAAATTAATTCTAAAAACATTTATTATTTATGTGTACCCTGTGCAAAATACTAGGCTGAATGCTGGGGACATGGGTGCCTAATAAGGGGTAACATCTCTCCTTTCATGGAGCTTAGAGGCTAAGAAGAGTGAATTCCAAACATGTTCATATGCAAAATAATTTTAGATAAAGATAACTCTTAAGAGGAAAATAAAACAGGGCATTGAGTTGGAGCCCGGTGGTGGTGGAAGAGAGGCCACTCTTGACTGGTGCCAAATGAGTCCTGTCTAAAGAGGTAGCAGCTGAAATCTGAATTACAGTCAGTTCTGCTCTCATGCTTGTTTTGAAAGTGTGAATTTGTTCCAAGGAGATTGCTATGTTAGGAAACAAGTTTTGCATTTGCTTATGCATGATTTCATCTGTAAAAACACTAGGTAAACAGAAAACTGCACCCAGCTGAACTGAGCTGTTTAGGAATACACAAAAGACACATGCAGGGCCTCAAACATCTACCCGTGACCTCAGCTCACCACAAGTGTTATGAGACACACCTATGCCTCTAGTGACACAGCTTTTGCCTAACTTCACATCGCTTCCTCCTGTTGCATTCATAATAATTCACAGCTGCAACCCCTCAGATGTCCACTTCCACAAGCAAGTTTAAGGCCTTTTTCAAGGCCAAGTGACACATTTATCATCATATCTATCTATTTCTTATCCATTCACCTGAATAAAATACTGCTACCATTTTTATTAGGTTCCCATCTTTTTTTTTTTTAATGTGTCACATACGTTTTTGAATGCTGGGCCCCTACCCCCATTTTCCTCATGAGCCCTGTCGTTTTTAATTGCATGATTTTGCATAGCATGGTGATTTTTAGAAACAGGTAGCTTGTGTTATACAACGGACTGTGCAAGATCCCGTGAAGATCTTGGAACAACGAGTGCACCATCTCAGAGGCAGAAATGAGCTCCATGTGTGATATGGTTTGGTTCTGTGTCCCCATCCAAATCTCATCTTGAATTGTAATAAGCTAAGATTATTACCTTGACACGGTCTCCCTTTGTCAAGGGCCAGGTGGAGATAATTGAGTCATAGGGGCGGTTCCCCCATACTGTTCTCGTGATAGTGAATGAGTTCTCATGAGACATGATGGTTTTATAAGCATCTGGGATTTACCCTGCTGGTACATTCTCTCTTGTCTGCTGTGATGTGAGACATGCCCTCCGCCTTCTACCTTCTGCCTCCTGTTTTCCAACTTCTGCCTTCCGCCTTCCATGATTGTGAGGCCTCCCCAGCCATGTGGAACTGTGAGTCTATTAAACCTCTTTTTCTTTTGAATCTCAGGTATGTCTTTATCAGCAGCATGAAAACAGACTAAAATAATGTGTCTGAGGAACTGTGTGGCCAACTGAACATGGCAGAGGTCCCAGAAGGGGGGAGGAGAGAAAGCCATGAAAGCTAGGTTACCTGGGGCCTGATAGTAAGGAGTTTGAATGGAACACAATAGAGGGAGTAAAATATAGCGTTGTTTCATTAACGGTGGAGTTGGATTGCAGAAGAGCAACAGATGGGAAGGAGAGGGCGCGGTTCTCTCCTATACTGCCTGCTGTGGTCCGGTGAGTGAAGTGCCCCAGGGAAGCTTGAGGATGGGAAATGGGTTTCCTCCAACAAGTTAACTCATCTTCTTTCAAGTTGCACCAGGGTCTAGCACAGCACTCAGAGGCAGACTAGGAGAAATGTAAGGTTGGTCTTGGGAGGCACCTTCACCACTCCCTCATCTCCTCTCACCCTGGAGGGGAATGCTGTGTTGTATTGTGGCGTGTTATAGTATTGTATGGAATATGTTCACAGTGGCAAAGCTGGGACTGGAAACAAAGTCTAATGTATAATTGATTGATTGGCAGTAGATGAAAGCACATGTTTTCAATCTCTTGGGGAGCAGATGACTTACATTCTTAGATACTTAACAATACCCACATGGAAAGGATTTAAATAACTCATCGTTTTTCCTACCAATGTGTTCACAAGCATCATGAACTTCTTTGCCTGCACACTGGAAATTTTTTATTGTGACATTATTGCTACCCAGAAATTTTTGAGTCCTTGACTTTCGAATGCTTCTGAGGACAAAGTGGTACTGCCCTCTCTGACCTCCCTTTGATTCCTCAGCAATTCTGGGAAGCTTTTTCTTGGTATCAAGATGAGGTTTTAACAGGGCTGATATGTAAGTAGTGAAGGAACTCCAGTTGACCTGCACATGGTGTAAGAGAAACAACACTGACTCTATTCTACAGGGAAGGAAACTGAGGCCAGGGGGAGGGCTACACTGTAGCACAATAGAGTTCCAGGTTTCTCCATATGGCTCAGACTTAATGTATTATATCCCCATTCTTTTTTTTTTTTTTTTTTTTTGAGACAGAGTCTCACTCTGTCACCCAGGCTGGAGTGCAGTGACGTGATCTTGGCTCATGGCAACCTCTGACTCCTGGGTTCAAGCAATTCTCCTGCCTCCAAGCGATTCTCCTGCCTCGGCCTCCAGAGTAGCTGGGACTACAAGCATGCACCACCACACCCGGCTAATTTTTGTATTTTTAGTAGAGATGGGGTTTCACCATATTGGCCAGGCTGATCTCAAACTCCTGACCTCAAGTGATCCACCCGCCTCCGTCTCCCAAAGTCCTGGGATTACAGGCATGAGCCACTGAGCCCAGCCTATACCCCTATTTTTTTCTCCCACCACCTCACTTCCTCTGCTACTCCTTACCTAACTTCAGAGAGGCCAGTGACCTCCAGGCCTTAGCTGGTGATCCAGGAGAGCTGGTAGTGTTACCAATGGGTGCTTCCTTGGGCATTTCATTTCCTCATGTTCTGTGGCCACTCTTTGGAATTATCTGATGACGTGAAAGCTCTCTTGGTCTTCCTTGAGGCTTTCCTCCTTGAGTGTCGATTCCCCTTTCTCTTCAGAAAAGGACTTGATATGGGAATTCACCAGGATCTTCCCTCAGACTTGCCAGGCTTACTCCCCGATCTTCCATCATCTTCCTCTCACCACTATCATCCGAATCTCACACATCTTCTAAGGCCTGGACACTTCTTGCTTCCTCTGAGAATATTCCTCTGACGATTTTGCCTTATACCAAGCCCTCTTATTTATACATTTCTGTAGCCTTTACATTTCTATAGCCTGTACAGAATCTATACATTTCTATAGCCTATATAGAGGCTATACATTTCTATAGCCTGTACAGAATCTATACATTTCTGTAGCCTTTAATTGGACCGACCAATTACTGTAGCCTTGGATTCCCAATCCAAGTTGGGAATCTTTTATTTGTAAAGTATTGACTGACAGAGGAGTTCAAGTTAGGAAAACCAAATGAAAGTAGTGTATGGGAAATTTACTCAAGAATAGAGAAAGGTCTAGAATGACTGAATAACTAGGCTTCTGGATAGGATAAATTGGTCAGTTCCAAGAATGGGGCTGGCCTCAGCTGCATCTCCAGCTAGCACAATGATTCTCTTTGTTGCTGTCCATCTCCGTCTTTGCTTTTCTCAGTTATTTTTATCCCATCTTTCCCCCGCAACCTGCATCCTCTGAGCTTTTCTTCCTTTGGTGTGCAAAATGGCCCCAAATGGCTCTCCTGTCCTCCACTCTCTATGCCCACTGGCACCCACAGCTGACCCAAACCTTCCCTCTCTGTCTCGTAGTTCTAATTCCTGGCCCAAGAAGACTTTGGTAGACCCATTCACCCTTTTGAACCATGACACATGAATCATAGGTCTAGCTAACCAATGGGTGAACTCTCCTTGGGCCTCGTGTCCACCAATGGCCCAACCACCTATGACTGAAAAGATGAGATAGGGTCGGGCCAGGTGTGGTGGCTCATGCCTGTAATCCCAGCACTTTGAGAGACTGAAGCAGGCAGATCTCTTGAGCTCAGGAGTTCAAGACCAGCCTGAGCAATATGGTGAAACCCCATTTATCTCTCTCTATATATGTATATATTTATTTATATAATTTTCTCTCTATATATAAAATAAAAATACATATATAGATAGTGTATATATATATATATATAAAATTCAAAAACATAGAGAGAGTTCAAAAACCTCTTTCTAGAAGCAGAAGTTTTCTTCCTGCTCTAAACATCTATGAATTTATAAAAACACTGCAGAATTACACCCATTTAATGGAGCTATAAAAAGAGGTTCAGTTGATTATCTTATTGTAACAATAAAAGATTTATATTTTTACAAACGAGGTAGGGTGACATCCTATGATGCCCATTCCTCTGTGGTGCATGAATGGAGGCCTCATTAAAGGCATGTTGGCAGGACAAAGAAAAAATTGGCATCTTTTTTTTTTTATTTATACTTTAAGTTTTAGGGTACATGTGCACATTGTGCAGGTTAGTTACATATGTATACATGTGCCATGCTGGTGCGCTGCACCCACTAACTCGTCATCTAGCATTAGGTATATCTCCCGATGCTATCCCTCCCCCCTCCCCCCACCCCACCACAGTCCCCAGAGTGTGATATTCCCCTTCCTGTGTCCATGTGATCTCATTGTTCAATTCCCACCTATGAGTGAGAATATGCAGTGTTTGGTTTTTTGTTCTTGCGATAGTTTACTGAGAATGATGGTTTCCAATTTCATCCATGTCCCTACAAAGGACATGAACTCATCATTTTTTATGGCTGCATAGTATTCCATGGTGTATATGTGCCACATTTTCTTAATCCAGTCTATCATTGTTGGACATTTGGGTTGGTTCCAAGTCTTTGCTATTGTGAATAGTGCCGCAATAAACATGCGTGTGCATGTGTCTTTATAGCAGCATGATTTATAGTCCTTTGGGTATATACCCAGTAATGAGATGGCTGGGTCAAATGGTATTTCCGGTTCTAGATCCCTGAGGAATCGCCACACTGACTTCCACAATGGTTGAACTAGTTTCCAGTCCCACCAACAGTGTAAAAGTGTTCCTATTTCTCCACATCCTCTCCAGCACCTGTTGTTTCCTGACTTTTTAATGATTGAAAATTGGCATCTTTAATACAACTCATGTTCATTTCCACAGAGTTTAACACTTAATCGTCCTTGTGGTGCTTCAGGTGTTTGAATATTGTCTCCTTTATGAGATGGGCCTCTGGTGGCCCATCTGTCAAACAATTCCTGTTTGACCACCTTCTCCAACAACTTCTTGTTGGGAGGATCAAAAGAACCAATGTCTCTGATGGTGCTTTAAAAATTAAATGTTAGCTTGAGTGTCCAGTGATGGGAAATTGATTCAATAATGACATAACTGTGCAAGGGGACACTATCTCATCATTAAATGAAGTTGTAGCAGAATATTTATGTGGCAAGATGTTTAAGACATTGCTAAATGGAAAAAGTGAATTCCAAGCAGTATACACATTATGATTCTGTTTTTGAGAACACAAACACATATTCATCCTTGTATTTGGAAAAGTGCTTATCAAAATATCAGCAGTGATACCACCTGGGTGGCAAGGTTATTGATGAGGTAAATGTTATCCTATTTTTTGAGCTATAACTTCTAAATTTTCTGCAATAAACATCTATCACTTTTACAACAAGAAAAATAAATAAATTTTACTAGAAAAAAACCCTAAAATATAATGCAAGGCTGTAATTTCCTTTTTTTAGATCCCACTGCACTAAGCATGTATAAAAGGCTCAAGAAATAATTTTTGGCTCCCTTAAATCCTGTGTGGAAAGGATGTGTGTAAATGCACAGGTGTCTCTGACTGCATTTGTGACCATGGAAAGACGTCATTACATTGAGTGGCTTTCTTAGGTTGTGCTCACTTTATTTGAGAAGTGATCCCAGGAAGCACCAATCTGAGAGCAGGGAAATGAGACAGACAGTGGAAGAAAGCCACTACTGGGCAAATGGGGCTTCATCTTACTGGGACCTCTGAGAGAAAGAGGGACACACTGCAGCGTTATTCTCCCTGAGGAGCAAGGAAGCTGGGGGTATTTCTCCGCCGCTCCCATCTGCTATTGGTTTAAGGATGATCCCAGAGCATGTCAACTATTTGGCACTTCCAGCCTCCATGCCCAGGCCGAGCACGCTCCAGGGACCTGAGAAACTCTTTACCTTCCCAAAACCACACAGCACTTGCCATTGGAAGGCACCGGGTTGACACACGGAAGCGTGATGAGTGTTGAGGGGATATGGGCCAGGTACCAACAAAATCCACTGCCATAGCATTCTGCTTTTCTTGTTAAGCACCACCTCAGCAATCTTACTGATGATTCTGTCCTGGTGGGGCTGGGACTGTGGCGGGAAGGGAGCAGGAATGGTAGGGATGTAGTAGGTCCATAAGGGAAATCCTGTGACTGGGCTTGGTGTTATCCTGTCTCCTGTCAAATGCTTGAGTGTTCATTTAAAAGGCTGACCCTGCTTGATGACTCTGGGAATATTCAAAACAAAAGATGTGAAATCCAGGTTTCAACATTAACCCAGTATGGCCAGAGGAATTGAAGAATGTACCATGAAAACATGATATCAGAACTCAGAGATGTTTATTTATGAGTTTGGCAAGGTTTTAAAAATTTTTTTATGATGCGTTTGAGTTCTTCTGCATACAAGGCAAAATTCCATCAACCCGGCCAGCCTATAAAATCCCTCACAAATCGTTTTATGATGTGTTTGAAATACCTCAGGCTGAGTTATTTGTTGACAATTTGTCCTTTATTTTTGACACCTCGGCTGAGGATTATCTTCCCCAAAATAGAATTGCTAACTTCTTGGAGACCTGTGACCACTGTGTGCTAGCAATGTCAGTCTACCAGGCACATAAATATTCATTTATTGGTGTTAAGCAGGTAGCAACAGAATTCTGGACCTTAGTTGCTGGAGAAGAAACAAAGACTTTTAGAACTAGAATCACAAATTGTTTATTTTATGGTTGAGGAAATTGAGGCCGAAGGTCACCCAGCCAACTTGATGTGGAGCTGGAATGAAACTCCACCATCTCGTCCCATGAAGCCGCCTCTGCACAAGGTTGATTGGCGGCCCATTCTGGTTGGCTGATGAAGGACACTGGTTCTATAATTCAGCGATTCGTTCTAAGTGCCAGATCAGTCTCCCCATAGTGGGATTTGATACTCTCCTCGTATTGGCCACTGAGTGGTTGGCAGTAATTTCACCCTTTATGGCTTTTCTGGGCCTTTTAGTTCCTTAGATTCTAAATTGGTCAGGACTGTGTACTTCAGAAAACACTGACCGATTACCTAAGAATATTGCTAATCAGCTAGAACGAATTGTTATGGGATCCTAATATAATATTTTGGAGTGTCAGATACAGAGAGAAGACATAGCTGGGAGCTGGCACACTTAAGTTCTCTGGCCTGGTCCTCTTCCCATCCTGGTGGAGGCAATTCTGAAGATAAATAAATTATGTGAGCAAACCACCCTATGGTGAGGTTAAGTTCATTAGAGATTAAATGCTCAGAGGGGAAAAGGGAAGTTGACCTCTTTGATGATTCAAAAAGAACGTCAGCTGAAGTCAAAGTACAACATTCTAGGGCTACCCGCTGGCTGGTGGAGGAAGGCATGGCTTTCCCACAGGGCAAGGACAGACAAGACAGGCAGATAATTACAGCTTGTGCTTGGGCAGTGCATGTGCAAACAGGGCGGAGAACTTGTAGGTTATTAAGCCAAGGAAATAACTTCTCTCTGCTGCCATGCATTTATTAGTAAAATTGGAATAATTTTCATTTCTTTTTATTGCTTGGAAAGATTAATTAGGATAAAACAGAAAAAGCACATAGAGAACTACCAAGAATGTAGTGTGTGCTGAGTAGATATTATCTATGTATCTGTCATCTATCTCTTTATCTATCCACCCATTTATCTATCTATCCATCCTATCATCTATCTATACATCCCATCTTCATCTATCTATATCTATCTATCTATCTATCTATCTATCTATCTATCTATCTATCATCTATCATCTGTCTATCCATCCTATCTAATCTATCATCTATCTATCTGTCTATCTATCTATCTATCTATCTCATCTGTCATCTATCCATCCTATCTAATCTATTATCTATCTATCTATCTATCTATCTATCTATCTATCTATCTATCAATCATCTCCATCAATGTTAACAACAGATTCATGACCAACAAACATGGCTTCCTGTTCATCTTCTCCCTGAAACTTTGTGGTTTTATCTTTGCACCTGCCTCTATGCTCTTGCTTCTGAAGGAATTTTGAGCCCAGTTATAGCTTAACTTCCTTCATTGGCTATACATCAATGTAGACATGGGGCTCAATCCTTTTATATCAGTTTCCAACACTCTACCACTCATACAAGGTTTTTGGATGCAGACTTTACTGAAGGTTCTTAGTAGTTTAGGGGGTCCATGCTACAGCAGCACTATGGCAGATTCACTTTATTCCTATTCAACTGCCACTTCTCCTTTTTTGTTAGTTACAGAACCCCAATTTTGTCTGTGATGGCCACAGGCTTAGTTAAAAATAGTCACTCCTGCAGACTTTCTTGTAGCTAGGAGTGTGACATGATTTTGTCTAACAGGGTAAGCCTTTGCTTTCCTAATACAGACAATACCTCCTTTCTCCTTTGCTATGTTGTCTTATTCCTATCTGGAAGGTAAATGTGATGCTTGGAGAAACAGCAGACACCTTGTGACCATAATGAAAAAAGGCACATGCTGAGGAAAACAGAAAGACTCTTTGTTCTCCGTTACATTATAGAATAGCCAGATCATACCTGAATTGCCAACTTTGGATTTATTGTCAGGTGAGAGAAAAAACAAATGCTCTATCTGTTTAGGCCTGAGTCAAATGCTGCCCTACCATGAAGACAGAAAAATGATAACAAAAACTGAAGACTCAATGTCATGTTTTGTTACATGAGTCCCTGGCTATTTCTCCTGGTGTGGGGTCCAGCTTCCAACTACTTTCTTCATCTTCTATGCCCAGCCCTCCCCTGACCAACCACTCAAAAATTTCCTCACACTTTATTATCCAGAGAAATTCAGCACTTTTTTTTTTTTTTGCATTTCATCTCTCTCTTTTTTTAATTTTTATTTTTAGGTCAGGGATGTATGTGCAGGTTGGTTGTATAGGTAAACTTGTGTCATGTCATGGGGGCTTATTGTACAGATTATTTCGTCACTCACTTTTTGCATCTTTATTTCCCAGTTTTAACATAAAGGAGCCATCCTGTCATGAATTAGGGCACTTATTTAGAAGACAGAATTGATTTAAATCCAGCATACATTATATACGTTATATTACTACAATTTATGTATATATAATATGTTAATATAAACTAGATTTTTGGACACATATTTTAAATTTTTAAATGTACTTAAATTTTAAATGAACTTGCTCCCTGATTGGCTATTCAGTGTGTATGGAGGGAAAGGTAATTTGGATTCAAAGAAAGGAAGTAGGGAAACATTCCAGTTTTGGGCTCTGATAAATTATGAAGAGAATCTAAAGAGTGTTCTTAAAAGAAAAAGAAAAACCAGTATTTTCTATTTTTTTTTTTTTTTGAGACAGAGTCTTGCTCTGTCGCTCAGGCTGGAGCGCAGTGGCGCGATCTCGGCTCACTGCAAGCTCCGCCTCCCGGGTTCACGCCACTCTCCTGCCTCAGACTCCCGAGTAGCTGGGACTACAGGCGCCCGCCACCACACCTGGCTAATTTTTTGCATTTTTAGTAGAGACGGGGTTTCACCGTGTTAGTCAGGATGGTCTCGATCTCCTGACCTTGTGATCTGCCTGCCTCGGCCACTAGTATTTTCTTAAGCAGAGCTTCATAATTGGGGTGTGTGTGTGTGTGTGTGTGTGTTTTCTTTGAGACAGTCTGGCTCTGTCGCCCAGGCTGGAGTGCAGTGGCACGATCTCGGCTAACTCGCTCTGCCTCCCAGGGTCAAGCGATTCTCCTGCCTCAGCCTCCTGAGTAGCTGGGATTACAGGCGCCCACCACTGCGCCCGGCTAATTTTTGTATTTTTAGTAGAGACGGGGTTTCGCCATGTTGGCCAGGATGGTCTCAAACTCCTGACCTTCAGGTGATCCGCCCGCCTTGGCCTCCCAAAGTTGTTGTGTTTTAAAAGAGAAACACATTCAGGGGTCCATACAACTTTAGACATTACTTAACTCAGCTTTCACTTTGCATATAGTAAATTATAGAGTTATCAATGTATGAGATTCTTTTAGAGTGAAGATTTGCAGTTTTATAAGTTCTTTATGGATTATATATCTACTTCTCCTAATTCTACAAAAAATCCAGTCTAATTTCTGGGCACAGGCATGGTAGGAGACACCTCCGGTTTCAGGATTAGAGGAATCCTGAGAGTATTGAGGAATGCGGGGTTGGGGGGCTCTGCTCCCTCCATGGGACGAGGTTTAGCTCCGTTTGTTGATGAGTCCTCATTGTAGGCATGGTGATGTCGGAAGTTAGGCTCTGTGTGACTCCTGAGGCTGATGGCCTCACAGCCCCTGACTTTTAGTGTTAGTGATAATAGCTGACTTTTCCTGAGCACCGACTCTGTGCCAGGCACTGTGATCTCAGGGACTCTGCACAAGCCCCCCCGCCCCCGCCCCCCCACAGAAAGCACCATCTGTGTTGGGGGCTCGGATCCCAGAAAAGGTGAGTTCTCTCATCCAGGTCATGGAGCCAGTCATGGGTTGGGGGTCCCAACCCAGTGAGTCTGACTCCAAAGCCTCTTAATTGCCATGGTGTATGATTTATCTGTTCCACTTGTGTCTTGGTCAGTTGGGGCTGCTATAACAAAATGCCATCGACTGGGTGGCTTATAAACAACAGAAACCTCTTTCTCACAGTTCTAAAGGCTGGGAACTCAAAGACCGAGGTGCTGACAGATTCGGTCCCTGGTGAGGCTTGTAGACAGCCTTCTTCGTGCTGACAGATTCGGTTCCTGGTGAGGCTTGTAGACAGCCTTCTTCTCACTGAGTCCCCACATGGGAGAGGTAGAGTGGCGAGGGCTCTCTTCTATCTCCTCTTAAAAAGGCACTGATTCCATCATGAAGATGCCACCCTCTTGACCTAATTACCTCCCAAACGTCCATCTCCTAATACGATCACACTGGAAATTAGTGATTCAGCTGTGAATTTTGGGAGGACAAAAATATTCAGTCCATAGCAACTTTTATTTATTGATGATCATTTTATTTTGGAATAATGTATTTTCTCCAGCTTTATCAAGGTGAATAAAATTATATATATATTTATGGTATACAACATGATGCTTTAATATACATATTAGTGATATAATTACCACAATCAAGTTAATTAACGTATCTATTGACTAACATAGTTACCATTTTTGTTTTGGGTTAGGGACATTTAAAACCTACTCTCTTAGCAAATTTTAAGTGCACAGTACAGTATCATTAACTCTAGTCATCATGCTGTACATTAAATCTCCAGAAATTATGCATCCTGCAAAACTGAAACTTTGTGCCCTTTGAACAACATCTCCTCATTTCCCTATTCCCCAGCTCCTGGCAGCCACCATTCCACTCTGTGCTTCCAGGAGCTAGAGAGTTTTTAGATTCCACATGTAAGTGAGATCATGCTGTATTCAGCTTTCTATGCCTGGCTTATTTCAGTTAGCATAATGGCCTCCAAGTTGATCCGTGTTGTTACAAATGAGAAGATTTCCTTCTTTTGAAAGCTGGATAATATTTCATTGTGCATATGTATGTGTGTGTGTGTGTGTGTGTGTGTGTATATACACACATATATATACACACATATATATACACATATATACAATATATATATATGAATATACCTTACATTTTCTTTTTAAAAATTCATTCATTTATTCTCCACTTTACTGAGCTCAGTGAAGGCATCTCTGTCAGCACTGGGTGGGATTGGGGAAGTTGTGACACAGTTAATGTAAAATTGTCCATCCTACCCTCTTCAATGTGTCTTTTCTTATTTCTTTGCACTACCCAGGTGTTTTAATCTTTCACCTGGACGCTTGGGTTGATTTCACATTTTAGCCATTGTGCATAATGCTGCAATGAACATGGGTGTACAGATATTTCTTTGAGATACGGATTTCATTACCTTTGGAGATATACTCACAAGTGGGATTGCTGGATCATATGGTAATACTATTTTTAATTTTTAAGCTCCATACTATTTTCCATAATGGCTATACCAATCTACATTTCCTCCAACAGTGAACAAGGATTCCCCTTTCTCCACATTTTTGCCAAAGTTTCTTATCTTTAGACTTTTTGATAATAGTCATTCTAGCAGGTGCAAGGTGATATCTCATCACGGTTTTGCTTTGCATTTCTCCAATGACTAATGATGTTGAGTACCTTTTCATATACCTCATGTAGCCATTTGAATGTCTTTTGTGGAGAAATGACAATTTAAGTCTTTTCTAGTTCTCAATCAGGTTATGTTTTTGTTTTTGTTTTGCTATTGGGTTGTATGATTTCCTTATATATTTTGGATATTAACCCCTTATCAGATATATGATTTGCAAATATATTATTCAGTTTCATAGATCATCTCTTCACTTTGTTGATTGTTTCCTTTGCTGTGCAGAAATTTTTAGTTTTATGTAATATCATTTGTCTACTTTTGTTTTTGTTGCCTGTGCTTTTGGGGTCATATCTAAAAAATCATTGCCCAGACCAATGTCAAGAAACTTCTTCCCTGTGTGTCCTTCTAGAAGTTTTACAGGACCGTGTCTTATATTTAAATATTTAATCAATTTTGAGTTGATTTTCATATATGGCATTATGTAAGAGTCAAATTTTATTCCTCTCCACGAAGATATCCAGTTTTCCTAACACTATTTATTGAAGAGACTGTCCTTTCTCCATTGTTTATTCTTGGCACCTTTGTTGAAGATCAATTGGCCCTAAATGTATGGGCTTATTTCTGGGCTCTCTATTGTGTTCCAATGGCCTATATGTCTTTTTTAAATGCCATGCTGTCTTGGTTACTATAGCTTTGTTTTATAGTATGAAATCAGGAAGTCTGATACCTTCAGTTTTGTTCTTGCTCAAGATTGCTTTGGCTATTCAAGGTCTTCTCTGGTTCAATATGAATCTGACAGTTGTTTATTCTGTTTCTGGGAAAAATAGCATTGGAATTTTTATAGGGATTGCATTGAGTTTGCAGATTGCTGTGGGTAGTATGAACATTTTGACAATATTAACTCTTCCAACCCATGAGTGTGAGATATCTTTCCATTTACTTGTGTTTTCTTCAATTTCCTTCCTTAAAAACATAAAACTGATTTTTATTATTTTGGTAATGGTATCTCATTATAGGTAATTAGATACAGAATTTTTAAAAATTTGGTATATGAAACAGTAAAAGCTATATATTAATGCTGTTTCCCCAGAATCTATTTCAGTTACAACTCTGTGCTGTTGCTACTAGAAGCATACGTGATAAAATACAAAAATAAGAAAAGTTTAAATAATAATTCATCCTTGAGTTATCTTAAGATGTTATGGTAGTAACATCTACCAAAGCACACCTTTTTTCACAGTCCAAAAAACAAGCCTGAGACCTATTTTTTCAGTTTCGAAAAAAAGCAATTTTCTTACAAAGTCAAAGCTTTAATATGTAAATGAGGCAATTAATAAACAATATGCTCTAATAGCATAATAACCCAAAGTAAAAGTTCTGACTTTAATGTACAAATCATTAATCCCCTTTAATACATTTATTTCTAAGTATTTTATTTTCTTTGATTGTAAATGGGATTGCTTCCTTAACTTCCTTTTCTGATAATTTGTTATTCGTGTATAGAAATGCAACTGATTTTTGAATGTTGATTTTTGTATCCTGCAACTTTACCGAATTCATTTATTAATTTTAATAGTTTTTTTTCGGCAGTCTTCAGGGTTTTCTACATATAAGATCATGTCATCTGCAACCAGAGACAATTTTACTTCTTCCTTTCCAATTTGGATGCTTTTTATTTCTCTTTCTTACGGAATTACTCTGGCTAGGACTTCCATTACTGTGGTGAATAGAAGAGGCGAGAGTGGACATCCTTATCTTGTTCCTAATCTTGGAGAAAAAAACTTTCAGCTTTTTTTTGTTGTTGAGTATGATGTTAGCTGTGACCTATTCACTTATCACCTTTATTATGCTGAAGTATATTCCTTTTGGACCTAATTTATTGAGAGTTGAATTTTGTCAAATGCTTTTTCTGTGTCTATTGAGATGATATTATTTTTAGTCTTCATTCTATAATGTGATATATCACGTTTATTGATTTGTATATGTTGAACCAACACTGCGTGCCAGGAATAAATCCCACTTGATCATAGTGTATGATCCTTTTAATGTGCTATTGAATTTGGTTTGCTAACATTCTGTTAAGGATTTTTGCGTGTATGTTCATCAGGGGTATTTGCCTGTAATTTTGATTCTTATAGTATCCTTGTCTGGCTTTGGTATCAGGGTAATGCTGATTTTGTAAAATGAGATTGGAAGTGTTCTCTCCCCTTCAAGTTTTTGAAAGAGTTTGAGAAGAATTGGCATTAAGTTTTATTTCAGCTCAGGACCTGATAGAGTTTACAAGTAAAGTCATCAGGTCCTGAGCTTTTCTTTGTTGGGTGGCTTTTGATTACCTATTTAATCTTCTTATTTGTTAATAGTCTGTTCAGATTATTTATTTCTTCAAGATTCAGTATTGGTAGGTTGTATGTTTCTAGGAAATTATCCATTTCTTCTAGGTCATACTATTGGTCAGCATATAATGGTTCATAGTAATTTCTTATGACCCTTTGTATTTCTGTGGTATCAGTTGTAATGTTTTCTCTTTCATTTATAATTTTACTTTTTGGAATCTTCTCTCTTTTTCTTAGTTAGTCTAACTAAAAGCTTGTCAACTTTATCTTTAAAAAAACCCACTTATATCCATTGATCTTTTTCATTGTTTTTCTGGTCTCTATTTCATTGATTTCTGCTCTTATTTTCTTTGTTTGCTTCCTTCCTCTAACTTTGGACTTGGTTTGTTCTGCTATTTCTAGTTTCTTGTGGTATAAAATTTGGTTGTTTATTTGAGATCTTCCTTTTTTCTTAATGTAGAAGTTTATTGCCATAAAATTCCCTCTTAGAACTACTTTTGCTATATCTCATAAATTTTGGTAAGTTTTGTTTTTATTTTCATTTGTTTCAAGATATTTCTTTAGTTTCCTTTTGAATTCATCTTTGACTCATTGGATGTTCAGGGGTGTTTTCAGGAGTGGAGTTGCAGGGGTCACAGGGGCTGGCCTGGTGCTGGGGTCTATGGAACCTGGGTCCTCAGGAGATGGCCTGGAGTCTGAGTCTATCAGGGCTGGATTCTCTGGGAAAGGCCTGGTGCTGGGGTCTGTGGTGAAACTGGCTGCTCACCACTTCTCTGAGCTCAGTGAAGGTATCTCTCTCAGCACTGGGCAGGCTTGGGGGAGGCGTTGCTTAGTTAATATGAAATTGTCCTTCCTACCCTCTTCAGTGTATCTCTTCCTATTTCTGTGCACTATCCAGGTGCTATAATCTTTTACCTGAATTCTTTAGTTCTAGTGAAGATTGTTTTGTGTGTGTGGGTAGTGTTTCAAATTGCTTTTCTATGAAGGGATGAGCTTTGAAATTTCCTATTCTGCCATCTTGCTTTGAAACAATTTTAAATGTACAGAAATGCAACAGAGATAAGTTCCCATATGTCCCTCACTATCCAGCTTGCCCCTTTGTTAGCATCTTATATTGCCATTGTTTCCCTTTTTAAAATTTCTTTGATTTTTAGGTTTCACATTTTGGGCTATGAAAAAAAATTCCCTGCTTTTCCTTTCTTCTTTTCCCTTTAACTGCAACCTGTCTTATCCCCTTCTTTTGAAGAGAATCAGAACTTGAACTAGGGAGAACTGATCTTTCAGAGAAGATAGATTCACTCTGGCCTAGGGAAAGAGAAGGGAGATGAGACACCCTGCTGAGCCAGACAGCCAGCCTCCTGCCGTCGCTGCCAGTACCCTCACCAGCTGGACACCAGCTGACCTGGCACACAGACATCTCTGCCATCAGGAAGACCTGTGGGGAGTTTTCCACTGTGAATGCCAAGAAGAGCCTGCCTTTCTTTAACAAGTCTGTTTGCTTTAGACTATTTGTACCAGCTTTTCAGTTGAAGACAAAGACATGTGGTCATGAGAGCTGAAGTAAAACCACTTTGTTTCTGTGTTGTTTATTTAAGATGGCAAAGTATGTTAAGGGCATGGAGACCCTTGATCTTCTGCTGATGGAAGCATTTATATGACCCTGAGTGGTGTGCCCAACCCTTTGTTCAACAAACTCAGAGAGAAGGTAGAGAACTAGACCTGAGCACACCCTCCTGGCTGCAGGTGCAGCTCACGTGATGTAAGTGGAGAGAGGCCAAAGTGTCTAATTCTCCCCCACCCCCACTCCCTTGCCATGTGTCAGTTACCCTCCCCAGCTAGGGCTCTGCCTTCTCGCCGAGTTGAATTTCATACATTCACACAGGAATCTTGGGGTGGACCAGGATGGTGGTGAGCACTGGCACAGCTGCTTTGGTTCAGGTGTAAATTGAATCCATTCTATAGCCAGAAAATTAATTCACTTCCTCGTGCCTCGACCTGGCATCCAGGCTTCCTCACTCCAGCGGATCATCCCCACACCCTGTGTGTCCATACCAATCCAAGTGGGGTGGAGGGAAGGTGTGTTAGGAGGTCTACTGGCCCACCCAGGGCCTAGGAGCAGGAATCCTTACAAAGACGGGGTATGGATAGGGCATATACAAGCTTGAGATTCCTAAAAATGTGTGTGTTTAAGGCACAAAAACACTTGCACAGAAAAATCAGATCTTAGGCTTATCTGTAGGGCATTATAGGATTGTCCACAGAGCAATGAATCTCAGAGGGCATTCATTTAGGAACACTAAGACACTTGGGAGGTTACTCAATGTTTTTTCCCTTTCCCAGTCACACTGAAATGCTTCCAGAGAGATTTTATTGTTTTAAAATTCCGCCAATGAGGGGACCCCACTCCCTCTCCCCAACCCATTTTGTGGTGTTTAGTAGTTCACCCAAAAGTGGCTAAAGCTTCCATCAAGCTAAAGAACAGAACTCAGTCTCCTTGGGGAATGTGGGGGCAATTCTCACTATTTGCAGTATATAATAGTCTTTAACCAGCGTCTTCCGCTTTCTTCTGAAAATAGAACTTGTCCATTGAACAAGTAGCAGTAACAACCCCAGGGAATCCTCCTACCTCCATTCTCACAGTGCTGCTTGTGCACTGAGGCATGTGCAAGGTTTAACCTCGAGATGAGCTTCCAAGACGGTCACCAGGGAAGACTTCATCCGGCTGCACTAGTTTTAAACTAGGCTACCAGATAATGAACATGTGTGTGTGTGGTGTGTATGTGTGTGTGTGTGTGTGCAGGTGTGCACATATGGTGCCTGTCTCCAAATGATGTTTGTTTCAGTCAAGTCATGTGCAGAGGCAGCAAGACTCTTTTGTGCTTTGCAGGGACATCCTGGCTTGAGCTTATATGTACTCAATATTGGCATTCAGTTGTTGTAGTTCCGTCTTTCAGGTTTGGGGCCTTCTTGTTTAGTTTATTTTCCTTTTTTTCTTTTCTCCTACTCTCCTTCTATCTCTCTCTCCCTCTTGCTCTCCCTCCCTCCCTCTTTGTTGCTCCTTAAGGGTTTCAGGTCGGCCTCTGAAAAACAATTATGCTGACAGTCACTTACGGAGACTCTGCCATATGCTGGCAGCTTTACATCAGTGGTTAGAATCTTCGCAACAGACCTACAGAGTAGCCGCTGGTGGCAGGGGATATCTGAGGAGTCACTGTAGCAAACGCTGCTGTCATGGCCCCTAGGATTTTATCACCATTTTTGTGCATACCCAGCGTGCATTTGCCTCCAACGGCCAGCCCTCATGTCTCTGTTGGAGAATGGACTTCTGGCCTCTGGGACACTCTGCCTGCACTTGGAGACCTAGAAGTCCTTGGAGAATGTGTTTTATTTTGAAATCAAACTAACAATAAATGGGTAGATTTGACAAGAAGCCAATGCAGTGGGAAGCCAAGTTTGGAAGAGGTTTCTACTACTTTCACTCTCCCTTGGCTTTTAAGCTGTTGAGATGATATATATATATATATATATATTTTTGTTGTTGTTGTTGTTGGAGTCTCCCTCTGTCTCCCAGGCTGGAGTACAATGGCATGATCTCGGCTCACTGCAACCTCCACCTCCTGGGTTCAAGTGATTCTCCTGCCTCAGCCTCCTATGTAATTTATATTAAATGCAACCTGAAGGCCTTGAGCTTTGCCTAATGTATGTACCTGTGTAACTCCCACCCCTATCAAGATAATGAACATTTTCATCACCAGAAAAGTTTCTTTGGACCTCTTCCAAATTAATTCGGACCCCTCCAAGGCCACAAACAACCACTTGCTGATTTATATTAACATCATTTAATTTTGCCTGTTTCAGAACTTGATGTAACTAGAATCATAATTGTGTACTCTTTTGTGCATACTTTTCCTTCAACATTATGTTGTGTCTAGCAATAATTCCATCATTCTTGTTGTTGCATAGTATTCTGTCCTATGAATACAGTTTGTTTATCCATTCCTCTGTTAATGGACACTTAGGTTGTTTATAGTTTGGGGCTACTATGAATAAAACTGCTATGAGCATTTATGTACAAGTCTTTCTATAGAACAAATATTTTCTTCCAGATATTTTTTCCTCCTCTCTGATCCACTGCATTTAAGCATCCATTTTATTTTGTACTTGGAGCTATTTTTTTGATAGCTTTAAAGCAGAGAAAGGGGAGTTTTATGATTAATTTCAGTAGTCTCCATGTTTTTACAAAGTAGCATCCTGAAATGTTTGAGGCTTAGAGGAGACAGGACTTCTGTCCAGACTACCAAAGACTCTCTTGGATAGACTTGGTGAGGAGAGATGCAGGGGGAGAGAGAAAATCATGAGGTCAGAGGACCCCAGGGAAGACAGACAAGACTTCAGGGCCAGGAATGAGAGAAATGTGAGCAAAGGGCCATGTAACTGCCTCAGAGTCTTGGTTACAAACAGAAACTACGTTCAGTTAAATTAAGCAGTAGAGGAATGTATTGACTGGGTGAAAGGTAGTTGATACAATCAAGAGAAAAGCTATGGAACCATGATCAAAAAAAATAGGAAGAAGTTTAAGGAACTGGGCAGGTTAGAAGAGTAAACAAGGTCATCCTGAAGGAGTAGCCAGGTTAGGAGATGTGGGTCATGAATGCAGCAGATTACACCACAGCAAGGTCACCCTAGACCTTGAATGTGCAGATGATACCACAGCCACAACCACCATAGACCTCGAATGCTACAGATGACACCAAAGCCATGGCCACCCTAGATCTTGAATGCTTTAGGCAACACTGCCACTCTTGCCACTAGAGACTGGATGTACAAGCTGACACTGTCACATTGTCATCTGTGTGGTCCCTGGATGCAAGAGTTGATGTCAAGTCCACTGCCATCTCCAAACCTGAACACCGAGACTAGCACCACCCTGGCCAACCACCCTGAGGCTCTGGATGCTGGAGCTCTTATCTGGAACTGCCACTAGCATTATAATCATGTTGAACACTATCCTCTCCCCTGCTTCCAGACTAGATTCTAAACAATCCCTGCCTCCTGATCCACTAGTTTCAGATTCTAGGACAGGCTTTTCTGAGGTCAAGCCCACATTCCACTCACTGGAGACAGTGGGCATCTGGTCTTCTATAATTTTTCTAGTGGAGACAAGTGCTGTCTCCTTGCAAGGCTCACATTGTGCAATTCCCAAGCAGAGCAAGGAGGGGCAGATACTGTTCAGAGTGAAGCACCCTGATGCCCAGCACAGTCACCCACAGGGGAGCTTGTTCAAGCACCAGGATTCTGGTGCTGTCACCTCAGTAACCACATATTCCTGACTCCATTCAACAGGCAACATCCATCACCTGCATCGTGGCTTTGTCATCTGTCCTTAGATGTCCAGCAAGGACTTTCCTTCAGCAACAGCTGGCCAAGCACTGTTGATAGGGACTGATGACTGCTCTGCCTAAAGTTCTTCTCAGTGCCCACCTAACTTAGGCCACGTGGCCTTGTCTCCACCTCTAAACTCAAGAGAAGGCAGTGGGGCCTAGGAGTCCTAATGAGGAAGTGCTAATGGGAAGGTGAATCTCTTTCATCTGAATCAGGGAGATTTGCCTGAGCAGACTAGCTAAAATGTTTTAACATTTTATTATAGAGAATCTTGAACATACAATGGCATCCAATCCATGAATAATTCTGCTCTTTCTACACCCCCTTCTGTATACCCCGGGCATCCCATCAATTCATTTCACTTATAAATAGTTCAGTGTGTATCTGTAGTGTTTGAGGTCACACAATACACACAAGATTACTCTCACTTCTGACACCTACTGCAAAATTAGAGATGCGGGGGTGCTCCGCAAACCACCCTCAGGTTAGATAATTCATTAGAAGGACTCAAAGAACTCAATGATAGCTACTATGCTAATGGTTATGGTTTGTTACAGGCAAAGGATCCAGATTAAATTCAACCAAGGGAAGAGCACCTAGGGCGTGGTGTAGGAGTGTTTCAACCGCAGAGCTTCTGTTGTCTTCTCCCCATAGGGTCATGGGTAGCACTACTTTCCTGGTATTGGTTGTGCTATGGACTGAATGTTTGTTCTCCTTCTCAATGCCTATGTTGAAGCGCTGACCCCTAATATAATCATATTAGGAGGTAAGGACTTTGGAAGAAAATTAAGTTAGGTGAGGTCATGAGGGTGAAGCCTTAATGGTATTAGTGTCTCCATAAGAAGAGGAAGAGACCAGAGCCACTCTCTCTCCACAATGTGAAACTCAGTAAGAAAGCAGATATCTGAAAGTCAGGAAGAGAGCCCTCACCAGAACCAGATCATGCTGGCACCCTGATATCAAACTTCCAGCCTCCAGAACCATGATAAATAAATTTCCATTGTATACACTACCCAATCTGATATTTTATACAGAAGCTGAGGCATACTAATACAATGTGTGACAATATGCACAGAGTATTGACAACCTGAGAAGCTCATCTGAGCTTTAGTGTCCACCTTCTTTACTGGGGATCCATGGTCAACTGCCCATGTGGCTGACCTCAGACTCAGCCCCTCCAGAGATCAAATTGATATTACATGACTCAAGGCCCCCACCATAAATCACAAATTTAGACTTTCTGGGTGGTCAGCCCCAGTCTCAAACTAAGACCCTCCTATTAGGCATGACATTCCAAGGGTTTAGATTACCTCCCCGAAGCTTGGGGCAAAAGCCAGACCCTCTCTTAGGGCAAAGTTAGATTCTCTACTACACAATATCTCTGAATAAATAGAACCATTTTAATATGCATAACTACTATACAATTATCACACCTAAAATATTTACAATAATTTCTTAATGTCTTCAAATATCTAGTCAGTGTTCACATTTCCACTAATTTCCTAAGTGTCATATGGTTAACCGTTTCTCTGTTTGTTGTTTGAATTGGAATCCAAATAAGCTTTGCATGTTAGTTGATATAAATTTTAGAGTATCTTATTCTATAGGATCCCCCTCCATACCTTTTCCTTGCCATTTATTTTATTAAATAAACTGGTAGAATTTTCCACAATCTGGATTTCACTGATTGCCTCCCCATGGTGTGTTTTAACATGTTCCTCTGTTCCCTGTATTTCTTTGTAAATTGGCAGCTGGTTCTAAAGACTCAACCAGATTCATGTTCAGTTGATTTAGGCTGGACTACTTCATATGTGGTGGTATCCAATCCCTTGGGGGAGCCCTGCTACCTGGAATTTCTATTTATGTGATTTGGGGAATCACTGATGGTCATTGCTTAGATCCATTAGTTCACTAGGGGTTGAGGAATGAACTAGATAAAATTAATCCTGAGCTGGGCCTGTGATCACACAGAGCTCTCCACTCCTTCCCATCCCCACATTTTTCACCCTACAGCTCAGGTATAGGAGGAGCCTATGTTTCTGCCTGTGAAAATGTTCCATTACTAATTTGTTGGGGACAACGATCATTCAGTTTTATTTTCTCACATCATGGGAGATGTTTTCTATCTCTGCAGGTCCACAGGTATCTCCACTGCTGCTAGGATGGGGACTCCACGTCATAGCTCTTAGTGTGGTGCGGCAGAGAATCACAGACCCCTGTCTTTGCTGGAGGCTCCATGAATTGATATTTCTTTACCCACTACTTCTACCTTTGCATGATTTCCTCAGAGAAACCCACAGTGTTTCATGCTGCAGTTGTGTGACTTTGTGAACTGAAGTGTTGTAAAGAAGCTATAATAGGGCAGTTTGGGAGAACAAAGGGGGCTTCTCCCCTCCCTCACCCTACACTAGGGCCTTGCAGACCCAGCCTTTAGGCAAGACTACACATATAGCTGCTCCTCTCCCAACCTCCCTTCCACCTTGCAGTCCCACCAGTCAAACCACACAGTCCTTACGTCACATCTCCTTCTCTTGGGAGATTTCAGCTTCTCCCTCCTTGTTAACATCCCCAGCCCTATTTACAAATGATCAGGCTCATTTGGGCCACAGTGGTCTTCTCTCATTCTTGTGGGATCTGTACATCCAGCCTCAGTGAGGTTCCAGCCCCTCTACAGGAAGAGAAGAGTTCTATCTCCCCACATTGCTGTTTATAGCTGAGAAACCTAAGAGGGAGAGGAGTTAAATGACTTGCCCTAGGTTGCACAGCTGGAAAAGAGTGAAGTCAGAATTTAAACTCAGGTCTGCCTCATCCCAAAGTCTATACTTTTCCCATCCCATATCCTATGTTATAAGCTATTAATACCTGGAGTTAAGAATAACGAAATTGCAGGTCAAAAGTCTTTGAGGCCAGGTGTGGTGGCTCATGCCTGTAATTCCAGAGCTTTAGGAGGCTGAGGTGGGTGGAGTGTTTGAGGCCAGGAGTTCGAGATCAGCCTGGCCAACATAGCAAAACCCCGTCTGTACTAAAAACATACAAAAATTAGCTGAGCATAGTGGCACGTGCCTGTGGTCCCAGCTACTCCAGGGCTGAGACACGAGAGTTGCTTGAACTTGGGAGGTGGAGGTTGCAGTAAGCTGAGATTGTGCCACTGCACTCCAGCCTGGGTGACAGAGTGAGACTCTGTCTCAAAAAAAATCTTTGACTAGGTGCTTTTTTATATATAATTACAGTAAAAGGCAGGCAGGCTCAGGGCACAGGGGCCCGTGTGGGAGAAAATATAGATGACTGAACCTGGTGCCACAGGGGGATGCTTCTCAGGGTGAATGACGGGAGAGGGCAGTGATGCCCAGCAGGGTGACCCTGGGAACATTCTACAGATCTACACATGGCTAGAGAGAGAACGGGAGGGTGAATGTTTTGTTCAGTTTTAGTCTTGTGAAAAATACATTAAAAAATTGTAGTCTGGGAAAATGGAACATGAGTCAGCTGAAAACTCAGAATTATTGAGGGGTGGTGGTCCTTTCCTGTGCCACCTAGTGACAAAATGAAAGAAGGCGTAGTTGAACATCAGACTGATTTAATTGTACTCATGAAATGCTGACCTTTAGAACCATTAGATGCTCTGGGCTTTGGGGACACCTGAAAATATCTGCAAACACTTCAGTGTACTACTCTGCAGGCTCTATTGTTTACTCTTTCCCCAACATGGAGATGAGCCATCACTCTGGGAATATGACTCGCTTGACCACCACTGGGCTCTGTGCCTGCAATGCTGAGGGCAGCACAGCAGGGTCCTCTGAGGAGGGGATGAGCAGGTGGAGACAGCCCAGCTGCTGGGGACTGCAGCACCACCTGAAGTGGCTGCACAGATGCAGCTCCTGTAGCACTGCCTGGTCGAGGGCAGTGGTGAATGTGTTAGGGGTCAATGTGTGTTTGTGGCGGCATGCTAAGAAATGTTATATTTATCAAAGTAAAAGTATTGAGAGGGATAAATAATTCTTCCTATAGTAAAATAGGGTGTTCTGTCCAAGATTTATTGTCATCTTCATGCTTTCGATAGAATAATAATTTGAAAGTATACAAAAAAACATGATTTTTATTTCTATCCATTGTATGTTACACAGCAGCCATTTTACAAAAATTGCTAGGGGAAGGGGGAGGTGGAGATGCCCTCTCAGGAAAGAGGCTTTGATTAAAAGGAAGTCCTGGATGACAGGAAGTGGAAATGAAAGCCCCAGGGAACTGTGGGGAGGAGGAGTAATGATGGGGAAGATGGTGAGATGTACATCCTGATCCTCTCCAACCTGGGTCAGGGGAAATGTAGAGGCAGAGGGACACTAGCTGTATTAGTCTGTTCTCATGCTGCTATGAAGAAATACCCAAGACTGGCTAATATATAAAGGAAAGAGGTTTAATTGATTCAGAGTTCTGCATTGCTGGGGATACCTCAGGAAACTTACAATCATGGTGGAAGGCAAAGGAGAAATAGGCACATTCTTCACAGGGTGGCAAGACAGAGTGAGTACAAGCAAGGGAAATGCCAGACGCTTATAAAACCATCAGATCTCATGAGACTCACTCACTGTCATGAGGACAGCATGGGGGTAACTGCCTCCATGTTTCAATTATCTCTGCCTGGTTCCACCCTTGACACCAGGGGATTATGCAGATTATAATTCAAGGTGAGATTTGGGTGGGGCATAGAGCCAAAACATATCATTCCACCCCTGGCACCTCCCAAATCTCATGACCTCACATTTCAAAACACAATCAAGCCTTTCCAACAGTCACACAAAGTCTTAACTCATTCCAGCATTAACCTAAAAGTCCAAGTCCAAGTCCAAAGTCCCATCTGAGACAAGGCAAGTCCCTTCTGCCTATCCTGTAAAATCAAAAGCAAGTTAGATACTTCCTAGATACAATGGGGATACAGGAATTGGGTAGGTACACTCATTCTTAATGGGAGAAATTGACCAAAACAAAGGGGCTACAGGCCACATGCACGTCCAAAATGCAATAGGGCAGTCATTAAACCTTAAAATTCCAAAATGATCTCCTTTGACTTCATGTCTCACATCCAGGTCATGCTGATGCAAGAGGTGGGCTCCCATGGCCTTAGGCAGCTTTGGCCCTGTGGCTTTGCAGGGTACAGTGCCCCTCCTGGCTGCTTTCATGGCTGGCCTTGGGTGTCTGTGGCTTTACCAGGTTCACAGCACAAGCTGTAAGTGGATCTGCCATTCTGAGGTCTGGAGGATGGTGGCTGTCGTCTCACAGCTCCACTAGGCAGTGCCACAGTGGAGACTTTAACCCCACATTTCCCGTCCATACTGCCCTAGCAGAGGTTCTCCATGAAAGTTCTGCTCCTGCAGCAAACTCTGCCTGAACATCCAGGCCTTTCCATACATCCTCTGAAATCTAGGGGGAGGTTCCCAAACCTCAGTTCTTGTCTTCTGTGTACCCACAGGCCCAACACCACATGGAAGCTAAGACGACTTGTGGCTTACACCCTCTGAAGCCATGGACTGAGCTGTACCTTGACCCCTTTTAGCCAAGGCTGGAGCTGAAGCAGCTGGGAGGCTGGGCACAATGTCTCCAGGCTGCATAGAGTAGTGGGGGGGCCCTGGGTCTGGCCTGGGAAACCATTTTTCCCTCCTAGGCCTCCAGGCCTGTGATGGGAGAGGCTGCCATGAAGGTCTCTGACATGCCCTGGAGATATTTTCCCCATTGTCTTGGCGATTAACATTTAGCTCCTTGTTACTTATGCAAATTTCTGCAGCTGGCTTGAATTTCTCCCCCAGAAAAATGGTATTTTCTTTTCTATCACATCCTCAGGCTGCAAATTTTCCAAACTTTTATGCTCTGCTTCTTCTTGAATGCTTTGCTGCTTAGAAATTTCTTCCACCAGATACCCTAAATCATCTCTCTCAAGTTCAAAGTTCCACAAATCTCTAGGGCAGGGGCAAAATGCTGCCAGTTTCTTTGTATAACAAGAGTGACCTTTACTTCAGTTCCCAACAAGTTCCTCATCTCCATCTCAGACCACCTCAGCCTGAACTTCATTATCCATATCACTATCAGCATTTTGGTCAAAGCCATTCAACAAGTCTCTAGGAAGTTCCAAACTTTCCCACATTTTCCTGTCTTCTTCTGAGCCCTCTAAACTGTTCCAATCTCTGCCTGCTACCCAGTTCCAAAGTTGCTTCCAAATTTTTGGGTACCATCCCACTCTCTGTGGTACCAATTTACTGTATTAGTCCATTCTCATACTGCTGTAAGAAATACCTGGGACTGGATAATTTATAAAGGAAAGTTTAATTGACTCACCATTCCACATGGCTGGGGAGGCCTCAGGAAACTTACAATCATGTTAGAAGGCAAAGGAGAAATGGGCAGCTTCTTTACAAGGTGGCAGGGTGGAGTGAGTGCAAGCAGGAGAAATGCCAGATGCTTATAAAATCGTCAGATCTCCTGAGACTCACTATCACAAGAACAGCATGGGGGAAATCACCCTAATGATCTGATTACCTCCACCTGTTCCTGCCCTTGACACATGGGGATTATGGGGATTACAATTCAAGGTGAGATTTGGGTGGGGACACAGAGCTGAACCATATCACTGGTCCTGCATTCCACTTGGAGTTTTAAGTCCTCTGATTAGGCAAAAAAGGGAAGAAAATTAAGTTAGCACTTCCATGGCCCATTGGTTCCCATGTGGCATGGTCAGAATCCAGGTAGACCCTGGGGACCTGAGCAGGGAGAATCAGAGATGAAGCCTTGGGAAGCTGACAGAGGGGTTGCCGTGTTGGGGCAAAGTGGCTTGGTGCATCCAACAGCTACAGAGAATGGCACCCAGGCTGGAGCTGGATGTGAGTACCAAGAAGATTTCTGCACCACAGTGTTGGGATGGGAGGCCAAGTCAAAGGAGAGGATTCCAGGTTCTGAAGGGGCCAAGAATCTGGACCACAAGTTTCCCAGCCACAACCGCAGCTTCTGAAAAACCAGGCACCTCAAGAACAGACAGTTGAGGGCCTCTCCAAGGAGGCCACAGGAGCCACAGCTGCGTAAGACCTGCATGCAGCCTGACTTTTACAGTTAATATTTTAGAATTTTAAAGGCATATAATGTAGAAATAATTTTTAAAAACTATTTGCTGTTAGGCAATGACTTCTTTTCGTGTTTTTTTTAATGAGCCATTTTGAAACTCCAAGAGGCTTGGGGGCCATAAGAACCTCAGATTACCTTAGGAAAGAATTAGTTAATATTAAAAGTCCCTCCAAAAGAGAGAAGCGTTCACAGCCTGAAATTTCAGTCCAGCATTTTTATTTACCAGGAGACATGGGCCCTGAGACTTTTTTTACAGGTATTAAATTACAGTGTTCCTCTGTTGATTCCTCAATGCAATAAAAGGCAGAAAGATAATCACCAAGAAAAACATTAGAATTGTGTATAAAAGGCTCTCAAGATCAGAGAGACCAACTGGCAAATACCATCAATGCTTTTTTCCCCCACCGAGGTTGCCTTGAGCTCTGTGGGCTGTCAAGACCCAGGTTTCAAACTACTCAGAGATAGACACAATGAGTCTTGAGACTTTGGGTCTCTTCCTCTTTAAACAGAAGGTTAGACTATCTGGGTTGTGTGAAGAGCAGCTGCATCTTCTTAGCTGGAGACATAGAGGTATTGAGTTGATTCAGGGAGTGTGTGCAGGAGGATGTATATGGGTGATGAGTAGCTGGAGAGTTGAACATGCCAGGAACATGTTGTCTCTTCACTCCCCACTCATTCTTCTGTACTCTTCCTCATGGGCTGGGGCTGGGACTCATGTACGGTCTGCCTGCTGCTCTGCAGGTCTCCATCAGAAGGGGCATAGAGGAAGACCACAAGGAGGGGAAAAAGGCCTGCTCTTTCTCATTTGCTCCTTGTTCCTGTCTGCAGTTTCCCCGCCTTTCTTCTCCACACTAGTGGTGACTGCCCCTACAGCAGCAGCTGAATCTAGTTTGCCGTTTTCCCAGCAGTAACAAAACCAGCTTTTTCATGCTCCATTCCAGACACCAGCACCAGCTGGCCTGTGCAGCCTCCTCAGATGTCTTTATCCAGCCCCACAGGGCCACGCCTCTGAGCTCAGAGGCACCAACACAAACTGTCTGATGTTCCCTCCTCAGTGGTGATACTGGTAGTTTTACCTTCATGGGACCCTTCCTCTAAGCATCTATGTTTTAATAATTCTACCTCTTCTTGGTGTCCCTCCAGTCCTAGAAGTGGGCACTGCTTCCTGCTGTTGCTGTCTCCATGATGACTTTGTGTTCTCTTTTTGCCTTTTCATGGCTCTAATCCCCAGGTAATAATTCTTTATACTAAGTTCTCTTTGTGAGGAGAACCATCTCTGACTGGGTCATAATTGATAAGATGAGGAGCATCCAGAGGTAAAGAAGGGATGAGCAACGTGGCATTGCTTGCACTGGCATTCTTATGTGAGTCTACACCTAGAGACATCTGGCTCCAGTGTATGTCCACCGTTAGGGACTCTGACGGGTGTTCCCTGACTTGCTTCCCATCTGCTGCCAATCTTAAAGAGCCAGTTCATTTTTCCCTTTTGGGAATGTCTCTAGCCTCTGCTCAGCCTTCAGGCACAACCAATCACATGACCCCAGAAGGGGAAGACATTCTTCTACTCATCCCAGTGTAAGGCCTGTTTTCCCAGGCAACATATTGCATCCACTGTAGATGTCTTCCCAGGGGCTTAGAAAAAACTCTCTCTCTACTTGTGGGAGTGTGTTTGCTGTCTGGTTCTCACAAGTCAATTATTCTAGAACAAAGGGATCAACATCCAAACACATTGGGTTATCCAGGCTTTGAAATACCCAGGGATAGAAAGACTACCCAGAATGTGTTGGGCTCCCAGCTCAGTTAATTTTAATTTTGTCCTCAGCATGAGGTACAAACCAGCCTCCATCACTACATTCAACTTCTAGTCTGCTCACAGAAATTCACACATAACTCATTAAGTACAAGCAATAACATGGCAGTTTAAATTCATACTGGGAATATATACATTTTTCCCATTTAAGCAACAAATCCTATAGGCATAACTCTGGTAGAACACATGACAACTTTATGTTCCCCAAGAAAACCCAAAGCCTCACTCCCAATGACATGATTCCCCACAAAGAACACTGAAGTTAACAGTGGTTCCCCCGAAGAACACCAGGTGTGCCCTTGATTTATATGTGCCCAACTTAAAGGGCCATTATGTTGATTTTCTCCTAAGAGTAAAACAGATACTACTTCTTTTGAGTTAGAGAATGACTGAGCCTTTAAGTCAGTTTTTACGGTCACAGGGAGAAGAAAAGTGTTATTCTCACTTAGCTTAGGAAAAATGCAGAATCCCTTTAGGGGGACAGGTATTCTGTAATTTAGTTAAGTAATCATAATGGGTGCTTGTACTGGGTTGAATATTATCGGTCCCCAAATTCATGTCCATTTAGAACCTCAAAATGTGACCTTATTTGGAAATAGGGTCTTTGCAGATACAATTTACTAATATGAGGTCATTTTAGATTAGGGTGGGTCTTACTTTAACAACTGATGACATTATGAGAAGAGAAAACAGAGACACACAGGAAGAACATCATGTGACAATTGGAGTGATGTGTCTACAGACCAAGGAGTGCCACAGATCACTGTGGCGACCCACAGAAGCTAGAAGAGGCAAGGAAGAATCCTTCCCCCATAAGCTAGAGGGAGCATGGCCCTGCCAATACTTTGATACCAGATTTCTAGCCTTCAGAGCTGTGAGAAAATAAATTTCTCTTGTTTTATGCCACCAGTTTCTGGTAATACGTTGCAGGAGCCCTGTGAAACTAATATGGTGCATTTGATTTTGAAAGATGAGAAACCCTTGAGAATAGTTTTTAAATAATTTTTAAATTTAAATTTTAAATTTAAATTTTAATTTCCCATTAAATTAATTTAAAATTAAATTTAAATTTTAAATTTAAATTTTTAATTTTTAAAAAATAGTTTTTTAAAATTACAGTTATGGATAATAGTCTACGGTACAGTAGAAATTTTTAATTTGCCAAATTCTTTGGCAGCTGACTCAGTGAGGAAGGTGAGAGAGAATTTGGGTAGAGGAGAATTTGCAGGAGCTG
The DNA here is from genome assembly GCF_000001405.40 of Homo sapiens. Classification (NCBI taxonomy): domain Eukaryota; kingdom Metazoa; phylum Chordata; class Mammalia; order Primates; family Hominidae; genus Homo; species Homo sapiens. Next base: position 19,144,286 of record NC_000020.11, read on the forward strand.
ATGACAATCCCAGGAAAATTCTTGGAATTCCCACTACACATAATTTAGGATTGGAGCCACTTTATTGGGACACTAAAAGATAGTGTGACTCCAGAAAAATGCAGGGCTTGAGACCATCTCATTACATGTGTTTAGAAAATTTTACTTCCCCTTGGAGAACTCAAGGAAATTAAAACACCATTATAAAAGTAATGCTTTTTTGTTAATGAGGTAAAAGAGGGAGAGAGGTTGGATTTTTTAAAAGCATATTACAATCTTTTGCCAATGAACAGAATCAAGTGAATACTACAGAAAGAAATCTGGAAAATCGGAGTTACAAACTTGATGTATTTTGGGACCACGTACTACACAACCATGTCCACAGAAGGAAATGTGTGGTCGAACCACCTCCATTCCTTCTGTTTGGCTTAATGTGTTTCCTGTGGGACAGGAGAAGCTACTCGACAAGGGAACCAAAAATACACGGCATGATTCATTCATTCTCCATCTCTTTTTCTGTGCATTTCTCAGATGTTCCGCTAGAGAGCCTGTGTTCTACTCCAAATAGGCAGGATAATGACACCCCCTTCCCTAAAGATGTTCACAACCTAATCCCTGGAGACTGTGAATATTACCTTACATGTCAAGAGAGGCTTTGCAGATGTGATTAAGGTTGATAACCTTGACATGGGTAAATTATCTTTGATTATACCAGTAGGCCCAATCTAATCACACAAATCCTTGAAAGCAGGGAATCTTGTCTAATTGTGGTCAGAGAGATGCAGCATTGCTGGCTTTGAAGCTCCAGAGGAAGGGCCATGACCCAACAAATGCAGGCAGCCTCTAGAAGGTAGAAAAGGAAAGAAAATGAATTCTCCCATAGAGTCTCCAGAAAGAAACGTAGCCCTCCAACACCTTGATTTTATCTCAGTGGGACCCATGTCAAAATAATGACCTACAGAACTGTTAGATATTAAGTTTGTGTTATTTAGCCACAAACTTGACGGTCATTTGTTACAGCAGCAATAGGAAACAGTAAAGACCTAGCAGTATCCCTGTATTTGGCACCCTTTCATCATTCATGGACTGGGATTGTGATGCAAGTTGAACTACTATGTGCCAGACATCACACTACATATGGTGTCTCATCCCTCAGCACTCAGAAGGAGGCTATGATTATACCTCTCGCTAACAAATACTGTAAACCCTTGGAGGGTGGTGACTGTGTTGGTCTTACCTCTGCTGGCCTAGACCATGGCCTAATCCAGTGCCTAAAACATGGTAGGTTCTCAATAAAGATTTATCAAATGAAGAAAAGGATGTTCAAGGAGGTTATATGGCTTTCTCAGGATCAGGGGACAATATGGTTATAAATCAACACCTATCCATCTAAATAAAGGTCATATAGTTTCTGTTACAAGGTATAAGCTCCAAAATTATAGTACATGCATATAAAAGCAAGAGTACATAAATTTATTCAGTTTCCAGGGTCCCAGATTCTTTACATACAGTGTTTCATTTGGGTCTTATGATGAAGACATTAATTACATGTATTAGATGGATTAGAAAACCAAGGCTCAGAGAGGTTAAGAAACTCTCTCAAATTTTATGAGTAGCTGAAGCAGAAATAATTTCCAATCCCAAGTCTGTAAACATATTATTTATTTTCATTTTCCTGGGTTCATGAGTTGCTCTATGAAAGCAGAATCTATTATTCTCTTCGGATATTCTAACTACTCACAATAATCATGATCTTTTGAAGACAGAAACCATATCTATTCCTTTTCTTTTATGTTCAGAGAAAGCTGATTTTATGTAGCATATCACACACTCAGATGCTATTGACCTATGACAGAATTTACTGGGTTTAATACAGATATCAGAGATATTCTTTTACTAAATAGTGCTATTTAAAAATGATAGAAAAACTGGAAGTATGTTTTCCAGACTCTGTCAAGACACTTTTTGGTTGCTTGTCATACAGAAGACACCATATTGAGCATAGAACAAAATCCACCTGCATGCAGTATTGTCTTATGGTTAGATGCATGGGACTTAGTCTGACATGATTGGGTTTGGGTCCCTGAACCACCATTCACTAACTCTGGGACTCTAGCAAATTATACTACTTCCATGAACCTCAGTTCTTCATCTATAACAATAGTCCTTACCTATCAGGTTTTTTATTTTTTGCTTGTTTTTTATTTATTTTTAAATTTGGTTTTGTTCTTTTTTGGTAAGGATTAAGTGGAATAAATCTGAGAAGTTCTTAGCATAGTGTCTAGCTAGTGTTATTATTAGTTTAAAAATGATGTATATTTAATGTGCTTATTAGTGCAGTGTTTAGTATGTAATGAGCACTCAAAACTATTGTATAATACTATCAATAAGATATGGTCACTGTCATTACGGAGCTTTAATCTAGATAAGAGATAAGACTGATGTATAGTTTTAAAAGCCTCAGAGTGAGGCTTTTGGTTTCCAGTCTGGCATGTAAGGAGCTGGTAAGTCATCACTCCTGTCCTCACTACATGGCAAAAGCAGAACATGCTGAAAATCAACTGTTCTTAGTTCCATCAGAGATTTGAGACCTTAGGGCAAATCCTTGACCCTCAAATTGGAGAGACAGGCAGAAACAAAGAATCACAACTTACTAGGCAAAAACTCAGGAATAGAAAACTCCACAGGAACTAGTACTAGAGAAGGAAAACCTGAATGTAATTGATGAATTGCTGGAGGCTCAGTGTGGACAGGTCCTAGAATTACAAACTCCAGGTCTTAGAGAGGCCCCCAGGCTTCACTGAGTTTTACTTTAAGGAACCCTACCAGGTCCTCCTAGGGAAGATTGGAGAAAAATTCCCTGTGCTTCTGGCAGCGCATTATGTTCTTCCTAACAAGGACCTGTTCTCAAGAGAAACTATTTTACCAGAGCCTAACTAACTGGGCTCTTATCAGAACCTAAGTAATCTGGTAGAAGGAAAATACTCAACTCTATCCCTCTCTAGTCTCCCTGAATTACCCAAAGAGGAGAAAGGCTGAGGAGCATTTGTGACGACCACATCCCAGGGCCATAGGCTCACTAAAAGACCGTAAGAACTTATCATAGGAGAATTGAATGCTTCTCCTATCTCCACACTTTACCACCATACCAATAGGACTCCTGTATAATAATAAGGAATACAATTAAAATAACTAAGTATAAGACTTTTTTTAAGAAGAAGTATTTAGAGAAAGCCAAAGACAACGAGAGAAAACCAAAGACATTCAGAACATTTTAGATTTGGACACTGACAGCTATGACAAACAGTAAACACAGCCTAGCCCTTGGCTATTCTTTTTTTTTTTTTTTTTTTTTGAGACAGAGTCTCGCTGTCTCCCAGGCTGGAGTGCAGTGGCGCGATCTCGGCTCACTGCAAGCTCCGCTCCCCGGGTTCATGCCATTCTGCTGCCTCAGCCTCCTGAGTAGCTGGGACTACAGGCGCCGGCTACCACGCCCGGCTAATTTTTTTTTCCTTCTGTATTTTTAGTAGAGACGGGGTTTCACTGTGTTCGCCAGGATGGTCTCCATCTCCTGACCTCGTGAGTGATCCGCCCGCCTCGGCCTCCCAAAGTGCTGGGATTACAGGCGTGAGCCACCGCGCCCGGCCGCCCTTGGCTGTTCTAAACATCACACTAAACACTTTTTTAGTGTGATAAAACTAAATGCTTATTTGCCTCAGCTCCTTTTACCCAGGACATCATGTCTGGCTCTCAACAAAAGATTATATGTTATACTAATGAACAAAAAACACAGTTTGAGCAGATACAGCGAGCATCAGAACCAGATTCACATAAGAGAGGTTAGAATTGTCAAACCAGAAATTTAAAACTATAATTAATATGTTAATGGGTCTAACAGAAAAAGTGAAAAGACATGTAAGAACAGAGGGGGTAATGTGTGCAGAGAGAGTAAAACTCTCTCAAGAATCAAAAGGAAACACTCATATAATATAATCATGCTAATACAACAGCAATGAAGACTGCCTTTGATAGGCTCATTAGTAGACTGGACATCTTCAAGGACAGAATCACTGCGCTTGAAGAAATGTCAATGAAAACTTCTCAAACTGAAATGCAAAGAGAAAAAAGAATGGAAAAGACAAGATAAATATCCAAGAATTACAGTTTAAAAAGGTATAATATATATGTAATGAGAATACCAGAAGGAGAAGAAGAAAAAAATGAACAGAAGAAATATTTGAAGAAATAATGGCTGAGAATTTTCCAAAATTAATGATAGGTACCAAAGAATACATTCAGAAAGCTAACATAATATCAAGTAGGATAGCAACCAAAAACTACCCATAGACATATCTCATTAAAACTGCATACAATCAAAGATGAGAAAGTCTGAAAAGAAGCCAGAGGAAAAAAACACCTTACCTATAGAGGAACAAGGATAAGAATTACATTGGATTTCTCTTCAGAAACTACACAAGCAAGAGGAGAGTGGAATGAAATATCTAATGTATGAAAAGAAAAACTCCACAGCTTAGAGTTCTTTATTCACTGAAATTATTCTTCAAAGTAAAGAAGAAATATGGTTTCAGACTAACAAAAATTGCGGGAATTTGTCACCATTAGAACTGCATGGCAAGAAATGTTCAAAAATAAGAAGAGAAACTTTTCAGAAAGAAGAAAAATGATATAGCTCAGGAACTTGGATCTACATAAGGAAAGAGTGTTAGAGGAGAAATAAATGAAAGAAAAATAAAATATTTTCCTTTTCCTATTTTTAATTGAACAAATAAAAATTTATTCAAAATAATAGTATCTACAATGAATTCAGTGATTGTAGCTTATGGATAAGGGAAATGAATAATAGCAATGTTATAAGGAACAGAAGGGGAGGAATTGGCACTACTCTGTTATAAGATGCTTACATTATACATGAAATGGTATAGTGTTATTTTAAAGAGGACTTGGATTAGCTAACATATTTTAAGTTAATATATTAGCTAAAATAATACCTTTGACTAAACTCAAGTGTAGTCACTAAAAGAAGTACAAAAAGAAGTATTTATATGCTCAGAGGGATAAAAATTGGAATCAGTTAAAACCAGAGAAGGCAGAAAAAGAGTGGAAGAGTAAAAAGAGTTAAAAAAATAAAAAGAATAAGGGCTACAGATAGGAAACAATAAAAAATATGGTAAATATTAATCCAACTATATTAATAATCACTTTAAAAATCAATGGTCTATTATTCATTAAAAGACAAACACTTTCAGAGTGGACAAAAAACAGGATTCAACTATACACTCTCTACAAGAAACCCAGCTGAGGCTGAGTGTGGTGGATCACCCCTGTAATCACAGAGCTTTGGGAGGCCCACGTGGGAAGATCAGTAGAGACCAGGAGTTTGAGACCAGCTTGGTCAACACAGTGAGACCTTATCTCTACAAAAAAAAAATTGAAACGTTAGAAAAGAGTGATGGTGCAGATCTGTAGTTCCAGCTACTTGGGAGGCTGAAATGGGAAGATCACTTGAGCCCAGAAGCTCAAGGCTGCAGTGAGCTGTGATCATGCCACCACAATGCAGCCTGGGTGACAGAGTGAGACTGACTCTAAAAAAAACCGAACAAAAAAACAAAAAGGGACCCCCCTCTGGGCAAACCAGTTAAAAAGAAAATGACTTTAAATATAAATACATATAAATTAAAAATAAAGACATAGAGAAAAAATGTTATGCTAATACTAATCAAAAGAATTAATTTTAGATGATATAGACCTCAAAGAAAAAAACAGGAATAGAGTGGCATTACATAATAATAAAGGAGTCAACTCTCTAAGAAGATATAAAAATCTTTAATGTTTATGCACCTAACAACAGAGCATCAAAATATGTGGAATTAAAAACTAATAGAACTGCAAGAAAAGAGAGATGAATCCACTATTATAGTTGGCAACATCAACACCCCTGTATCAGTAACTGACAGGTTCGTTAGGCAGAAAATGAATAAGAACACAGATGAACTGAATAGTACCATCAATTAACTGAACCTGATTGACACCTATAGACTGCTTCATCCAACAACAACAGAATACACATTCTTCTCAAGCTCACACAGAATATTCACTTTATGATAGACTGCATTTTGGGGTGTAAAGTATGCATTAACAAATGCAAAAAATAGAAACCATTCAATGTCTGTTCTCAGCCTATAATAAACTAAATATCAGTAACAGAAATAACTGGAAAATAATAGGTGGAATATCTGAAAACCTTGAAGATTAAACAACATACTTCTAAATAATACAAGGGTCAAAGAAAAAGTCTCAAGAGAAATTAAAAAATAGTTCGAACTAAATGAAAAAGAGAATATGGCTTATCAAAATTTGTGAGATGCAGTAAAAGAAGTGCTTAGAGAGAAATTGATAGCATTGAATGCTTCTATTGGAAAAGAAGACAGGTTTAAAGTCAATAATCTAAGCCTCCAACTTAGGAAACTAGGAAAAGAAGAGCAATTAAATCCAAAGCAAGCAGAAGAAAAGAAATAATATTAATTATAGTAGAAATAAACGAAATTAACAACAGGAATTCAATAAGGAAAGTCAAGAAAACAAAAAAAAATGGTTCTTTGAACAAATCAATAAAATTAATAAAACTTTAGCTAGGTTAACTAAGAAAAAAAGAAGACAAAAATTACTAATCTCAGAAATAAAAGAGGGGCCATCACGATCTCATGGGACAGTAAAAGGATAATATAGGAATATTGTTACCAATGCTTTACTCACAAATTTAATAACCTAGATGAAATGGACCAATTCTTTGAAAGACTTAGCCTACCACAACTCACACAAGGAGAAATAGATAATATTCATAGGCCTATATATTTGAAAAAAGGAGTCAATAATTAGTAATTTTTCAAAACAGAAAACACCAGGTCTACATTGCCTCACCAGTGAATTCTACCAAACACATAAGGAAGAAATTATGCCATTTCTCTACAATCCCTTCCAGAAATAAGAAGCTGAGGGAATATTTCCTAACTCATTTTTATGAGGCCATCATTACCCTAATACCAAAACCAGACAAATATATTACAAGAGAAAAAATCTACAGATCAATATTTCTCATGAACATAGACTCAAAATCCTCAACAAAATATTAGCAAATCAAATCCAACAATGTGTAAAATGGATTACACACCCCAACCAACTGGGATTTATCTCATGTTTCCAAGTGTGGGTTAATATCTGAAAATCAATTAACACAACACATCACAACAGGCTAAAAAAGAGAAATTATATAATCATATTAATGGATGCAGAAAAAACATCTGAAAAAATCCAATACTCACTTATGATTAAAAAAACTTTCTCTGGAAACAGAGAAAGACTTCCTCAACTTGAAAAAAAGAGTATTTACAAAAACTTGATAGCCAACATTATATTTAACCATGTAAAACTAGATTATTTTGCTTATAAGATCAGGAACAAGGCAAAGATATCTGCTTTCACCATTTCTAGTCAAGATTGTACTGAAAATCCTCATTAATTAAAACAATAAAACAAGAAAAGGATATTTTACAAGGTATACAGACTGGGAAGGAAGAAATAAAACTCTTTTTTTTTTTCAAACAACTTGATTAGGTAGAAAATCCCAAAGAACAACAAAAATATAAACTGCTGGAATAAATAAGCAATTACAGTAAGGTGGTAGGATATAAGATCAATATATAAAAGTCAATTGCTTTCCTATATGCCAAGGATGAACAACTTGAATTTGACAGTAAATACACAACACCACTTACATTAGCAACAAAAAGGAAAAGAAAAAGAAGTATTTAGGTATAAATCAAACAAAACATATACAAGATCTATATTAGGAACTCTATAAAACTAGTGAAAAAATCAAAGGCCTGAATAAATGATGATGTATTCCATGTTCATGGATAGGAGAACGCAATACTATCTTAGATGTAGGTTCTTCACAACTTGATCTATAGATTCAATGCAATTCCAATAAAAACCCCAGTAAATTATTCTGTGGATATCAGAAAAAACTGATTCTAAAGATTATATGGAAAGACAAAAGACCCAGAATACCCAACACGGTGTTAAGGGAGAAAAATAGTGTTGAAAGACTGACACTTCCCAACTTCAACACTAAATATAAAGCCACAGTAATGAAGACAGTTTGGTTTTGACAAAAGAATGGACAAATAGATCATTGGAACGTACTAGGGAGCCCAGGGAAAGACACCCACAGTTAGTTAGAATCAATTGATGTTTTATGAAGGAGTAAAGGGAATTCTGTGGAGAATAAATAGTCTTTTCAACAAATAATGCTGGAACAATTGGAAATTGACATGCAAATAAGTAAAAATAGGCATAGACCTTATGCTTTTTACAAAACTTAACTCAAAATGGACCATTAATTTAAATGTAAGATATAAAACTACATACCCCCAGGTAACATAGGTAAAAATCTAGGTGACCTTGGGTTTGGTGACGACTTTTTGGATACTACATCAGAAGAACAATCCATGAAAAAAATTGATAAGTTGGACTTCATTAAAATTAAGAAAAACAATTGCTCTGAAAAAGACACTGTAAGAGACTGAGAGGACAAGTCAGACTGAGGAAAAAATCTTTGTAAAACACTTATCTGTTAAAGGACTGGTATTCAAAATATAGGAGAAAAAACATCTTAAAACTCACAAATAAGAAAACCAATAAGCCAACTAAGAAATTGGTAAAAGGTCTGACTAGATATCTCACTCAGTAAGATATATAGATGGCAAATAAACATGAAAATATGCTCAACATCATATTTCAGTAAAGAATTGCAAGTTAAAACAATGAGATATCACTACATATCTCTTAGAGTAGCTGACATTCAAAACATTGGTAACAACAAATGCTGGCAAGGATGTGGGACAACAGGAACTCTTATTAATTGCTCATGGAAATAAAAAATGGTACAGGCATTTTGGAAGATAGTTTTCAGTTTCTTACAAAATTAAACATAGTCTTACCATATGATCCAGCAGTTACACTCTTTGGTATTTAACCAGGTTGTTGAAAACATATGTCCACCATGATTTGCACATGAATGTTTATAGCTGCTTTAATCGTAATTTCCGAAACTGGAAGCAACTGAAGTGCTCACTTCAATAGGCGAATGTTAAACCAGGTCCCATCTAGACAATGGACTATTATTTTGTCCAACAAAAAGAAATGATCAAGCCATGACAAGACATGGAAGAACCTTAAATATATATTACAAAAGAAAGTAATCAATCCAAAAAGGCTATATACTGTATGATTCTCACAGCATCCCTGGCCTATGAGTTTGGTATTAAGGTTATTATTGGCTCCATTTTATAGATGACTAAACTAAGGCTTATCGTGGTTAAGTCCTGAAGTCACACATTAATGGCTGAGCTGGGGTTCAAACCCACATCTGCTGATTCCAAGTTACAGTTCTTTTTGCTAACTGGACCAAATCTATATGCATTTCATTCTTTGGCTGGGCCTTCACTACCCAAGCTTCCTATATTTTCTCTTATTGATTCCCTATTTCTTGCTCATCAGGATTCTAAGGTTTCCATTTTCCTCAAATACCATCTACATTATCAGGTAAACGTACCCTCCTTCTAGCCATCTAGAGGGTGACAAAATCATAGAAGAGCTGTCCACACCTGTTGGGATCTGAGACCCTGGAGGAGACATTACTTCTGGAAAAAAAGCCACCTGGGCAGATGACAAACCACGAATGGGAGAAGTGCCCTGGCCTCTTCCCCCTCTCTCCCTTCTGCCTGCCTTCTGCCAGTGCCTCCCACTGGCCATGCTGGCCTGGAATCCAGCTGGCAAGGAAGCTGAGACACATGGCTGGCCAGAGAAGGACAGAGCTTCTCCTTTCCCTGCCCCAGCTATAGCTCTCCATGAGGGTTTAGATACATTTGTCTTATATTTTCCAGTTTAAAAATTCAAGAAAGTTACCTGAAGGTTATTCCAAAAAATTATCTACAGATAACCTAGCCCAAATTTGTGGGGAAATTTTGGGTTATCTGCCAAGGCAGCCCTTACTTACACCATGTTCTGGAAACTTCCTTGTTCCCTTTCTCCTCTCTCCACCCTGATCTGCATGTTTTATTATCTTGTTCTTGTCCTGTCTTCCAGTACAGGACGCATGACCAAAAGGTCAATTTTGGGCCAAGAGAACTTCAGTTTCTTTCCATGTCACTAGAGATATCACCTGCATACTCAGCATTCTGAGTAGAAGTGACCTTTGCAAAAACTGTGAAATAAATCACACATACCAAAGGATGTATGTGATGAGTGTGTACATTTTAAAGAACAATACTTATTTTATAAAAGCCAAATATCTGCGCTGGAACCTTTGGAATCTGTCATGTACCTCCCTCAGGTGTACCTCCCCACCTCCTGCCATTGCTTTGCTTTTATAGTTTTGCCATATGCATGTGTTTTTCTAAACAATATATGAGTTGCTTTTGAACTTTATATAAATGGAATCATGTCTTAGGCATTGTATTAGTTCATTTTCATGCTGCTGATAAAGACATACCTGAGACTGGGTAATTTATAAAGAAAAAGAGGTTTACCATTAAACCTCTTTTTAATTTAATGGTAAACTGTGAGGTTTACCATTAAACCTCACAGTTCCATGTGGCTGGGGAGGCCTCGCCATCATGGCAGAAGGCAAAAGGCATGTTTTACATGGCAGCAGGGAAGAGAGAATGAGAGCCAAGTGAAAGGGTAAACCCCTTATAAAACCATCAGATCTCGTAAGAATTATTCACTACTATGAGAACAGCATGGAGAAACTGCCCCCATGATTCAATTATCTTCCACCAGGTCCCTCCCACAACACATGGGAATTATGGGATCTACAATTCAAGATGAGATTTGGGTGGGGACACAGCCAAAACATATCAGGCATCTTTCTAAACGATATTTTCTTTTTCAATCCAGTATTATCTTCTTGAAATTCAAAAATATTTATGTTTTTAACTGTGGTGTTTTCCACTTCTTCCTGCTCCATTGTGGAATATACTGAATTTATTGATTCAGCCTACTTTCAATAGACAATAAGGTTATTTCTAGATTTTTTTGATGCCACAATGATGCTATGGAAAAATTTTGTAACTTTTACTTGGTGCATACCATTGTTTTTCTAGGGCCAATAAGGCAAATATATTAGGGTAGAAATGCTCAATCATTTTGCGTGTGTGCACATACACACACACACACAGTCATGCATCACTTAACCCCAGAGATATGCTCTAAGACATGCGTCATTAGGAGATTTCATTTTTGTGCAAACATTATAGAGTGTACTTACACAAACCGAGATGGGATTAGCATACTACACACCTTGGCTATATGGTATAACCTATTGCTCCCAGGCTATAACCTGCACAGCATGTTACTGTACTGAATGCTGTAGGCAACTGTAACACAATGGGAAGTATATGTGTATCTAAACATAGGAAAGGTACAGTAAAATACTGTAAAAAAGCTAAAAATTGATACACCTGTATAGGGCACTTACCGTGAATGTTGCTTACAGGACTGGAAGTTGCTCTGGGTGAGTCAGTGATGAGTGGTGAGTGAAGGTGAAGGCCTAGGACATTACTGTACACTACTGTAGACTTCATAAACACTGTATACTTATGCTACGTACATTTCTTAAAAAATATTTTTCTTTCTTCAAAACTAAATTAACCTTAGCTTACTGTAACTTTTTTACTGTATAAACTTTTACATTTTTTAAACTGTTAACTCTTTTGTAATACTTAGCTTAAAACACACATTGTCCAGGTATACAAAATATTTATATCCTTATTCTATAAACTTTTTCCTATTAAATTGTTTTTTTCACTTTTTAAACGTTTTTTGTTAAAAACAAAGACACAAACACACACATTAGCCTAGGCCTACACAGGGTCAGAATCATCAATATCACTGTCTGCTGCCTCCACATCTTGTCCCACTGGAAGGTCTTTCAGGGGCAATAACAGGCATGGAGCTGTCATCTCCTGTGAAAACAATGCCTTCTTTTACGGTGCCTCCTAAAGGACATGTATGAGGCTGTTTTACAGTTAACTTTTAAAAACAAATAGAAGTAAACTCTAAACAAATGATAGAAATTATTATAGTAGAGTAAATATATAAATCAGTAACAGTAATTTATTGTCATTATCAAATATGTGCTGTACATACAATAATTGTATGTGCTAGACTTTTATATGACTGGCAGCACAGTAGGTTTGTTTACACCAGCATCCCCACAGACACATGAATAATGCATTCTACTATGATGTTTTGAAGGCTATGACATCACTAGGCAATAAGCATTTTTCAGCTTCAGTATAATTTTATGGGACCACCATTATGTATGTGGCCCATCACTAACTGAAATGTCATTATGGACCACGTGACTGTATATATACATTGGGAAAGGGAGAGAGAGAGTCAGGTTTTCTGCTTAAATTATTTTCCAAAATAGTTTTAAGCCAATTATACACCATAATTAGGTATGAGCATTTCCACTTCTCTAAATCCTCACTGCCACTTGGAATCATCAGACCTTTTATGTTTTTCATTTGCATTTTTCTCTGGTTACTAATGAGCTTGAGGATGTTTTTGTGTGTGTATTGGTCATTTGCTTTTACTTCTTATCTTAATCAGTTTGGGCTTTTATAGCAATCTATCATAGATTAGGTGGCTTATAAACAAAAGTAATTTATTTCTCAAAGTCTGAGATCCAGGTGCCAATATGATCGGGTTCTGGTGAGGGCCATCTTCCAGGCTGCAGACTGCTGACTTCCGGCTGTACTCTCACACGGCAGGAGGAAGATGAGAGTGCTCGCTAGGGGCCCTTTTACAACAACATTAATCCCATGAATGAAGGCTCCATCTTCACGATCTAATTATCTCCCAAAGGCTTCACCTCCTAATACCATCACCTTGGGGGTTAGGACTTCAACGCAGAAATTTTAGGGGAACATAAACATTCAGTCCAGTGCATTCCTCTTTGAAGTATCTCTTCATGTTTACTAATTTTTCTATTAATGCTATTTATCTTTTATGGATTTATAAAAGGTATTTATATACTTTTGATTCAAATTCTTTACATTGTATATGTATGGCAGGTGTCTCTTAATTTGTGGCCTGCCTTTTTATTTATTGAAATATTTTATTGAACAGAAGTTCTCAATTTTCATATAACTGAATCAAGCTGTCTTTTCCTGTCTGATTTTCCCTGTTTGTGTTTAAATAATTTTTGTTCTGTAGAAGATGCTTTTGGTGCCCCAGATCACATCCCATCAGCGCAAGGTCTGATTCAGTATTATTCGTGTTGGAAAATTCTACATAAACTTGGATTCCCTTCAGTAATTTCATTAATAGAGTTTCTACTGTTGATTTAACTTTGTGCTCCAGGAATAAATCCACCTTAGTCATATTAAATATATATTATTTTCCTGTCTGGATTCAGTGTCTAATCTTCTGTTTAGCACTTTGTGCATTTCTGGTCATGCTGAGGTTGTTTCTAATTTCCCCTTCCCTGTCCCTGTCTGGCTTTTCCATCAAAGTTATGCTTCTTTGGGGCTCTGAAAGAGTTTGTACAGGAGTACAATTGTCTATTCCTTGAATGCACAAATGAATCCAACTGTTAAACTGCCTGGGCCTGATATTGTATTTGTGGAACATTTTAAATTAATGATTAAGTTTTATTAGTGTTTTTTAAACAGCATTCAGATGTTTCTATTTATTTGTTGAGTCAGTTTTAGTAAATTTTCTATTTCTAAGAATGTATCCATTTCATCGAAACGTATTGGCATGGTCATAATATCCTCTCATTCCTCTTAATGTTTACAGCATTCGTAGTGAGGTGCCCTTTTTCTTTCCTGACATTAGACATTAGTCACAGGTGCCTTCTGCATTCCTCCCTCTCTCCTCCCCCACCTCTCTCTCCCTACTTCCCTCTCTCTCATTCTTATTTTTCATTCTTTCTGATCAATGTTGCCAGAGGTTTGTGAATTTTACTAGTCTGTTCAGAAAACCTACTTTTGGCAAAATCGATTGTCTCGATTGTATCTTTGCATTTCACTCATTTTGTTCTTATCCTTTTTATTTTCTTCTATTTCACTTAAGTTTATTGTTCTTTTACTAACTTCTTAAATTGGATGCTATGCTCATTTCTTTTCACAATTGTACCTTATAAAATATGTGGTTTTTTTGGTAAGGTTGTAGTTTTAGAAATTCTACTGTACCACTTTTGCAATGGCCCAAGAGTTTTAATAAGCAACATTTCATTAGTGTTAAAGCTAGTTTTTAATTTTTATTTATTCTTGACCTATGGGTTATCTGGTAAATACATATTATTCATAGATCAAGTGTGATAATTATTCTGTTCAAATCACCTCTGACTTTATCAGCTGTTAGTATACTTGATGTATTGATTATTGGGAGAAGTGTAGTAAAATTTAACAGTGTGAGATTGGATAATGGATTAAAAATGTTAAATTTAAAGTTATGTTTTAGATGGTCTAAATTTAAAATTGTTATATCTTCCTGGGACAATGATATTTTAACCTGTATGTCATGAGCCTTTAGCTTTGAATTTATTTTGCTGGAACATAATACACCTAACCAGCTCTCTTTGGGTTAGTATTTGCTGATACATTTCCTCTCCTTTTTTTGTTTACTTTCAGTTTTTCCATGTTTTCAGGTTGTAGGTGTGTCATTTTCACAATAAGCAACTAGGCTAAAACATAATACAGTATAAAAAAGTACTTTTTCTGTGTAGTTCATTTACACCAATTATGATCACTGTGATTATTTTCAATCATCTTAGTTTTGACTTTTTATTTGTCTCATTTTTCAGTCTTTTCTCTCTTTGCCCCTTTTTAAAACTTCTAGCATTTTTTATTGTACTAGACTAGAAGATACATAATCAGTTTTGTGTGTGTGTGTGTGGGTGTGTTTCCTTTTTTTGAGACAGAGTTTCACTCTTGTTGCCCAGGCTGGAGTGCAGTGGCACGATCTTGGCTCAAGCGATTCTCCTGCCACAGCCTCCCCAGTAACTGGGATTAGAAGCGCCTGCCACCTCACCTGGCTAATTTTTGTATTTTTAGTAGAGACGGGGTTTCACCATATTGGCCAGGCTGGTCTCCAGCTCCTGACCTCAGGTGATCCACCCACCTCGGCCTCCCAAAGTGCTGGGATTACAGGCGTGAGCCAACGTGCTTAGCCAGTTTTCTTTTTTTTTAGTGAATACACGGGAAATTCTAACCTGCATATTTAACCTAATAATGACCAATATTAATCAGCACCTTTATGCTCTTCTCAGACAATACAATGATCCAAAAATTCCTTAACCTCATTTTTCCCTCCATGTAAGTCTTCAAATTTCTATTTTCTCCCATTCTGTGGTTTTTCAGTCTCTTGATAGTATCCCTTTATGCACGACAGTTTTTAATGTTGACAAAGTGCAATTTATCTATTTTTCTTTTGTTGCCTGTGCTTTTGGTGACATGTATGAGAAACCATGGCCAAATCCAGTGTCATGCAGGTTTGCCCCTATGTTTTCTTCTAAGAGCTTTTATAGTTTTAGCTATTCTATTTCTATTATTGATCTATTTTGAGTTATTTCCTGTATGTGGTGTGAGGTCCATCTTTATTCTTTTGCATGTAGATATCCGGTTTTCCCAGCACCATTTGTTGAAAAGACAATTCTTTCTCCATGTATGGGTTTATTTTTGGACTCTCAATTTTATTCCATTGGTCTATATGTCTATCCTCATGCTAGGACCATATCATTTTGATTACTGTACCTTTGTAGTAAGTTTGAAATCAAGAAGTATAAGTTCTCCAACTTTTTAAAAATTATTTTTCAAGGACTCTTTTAGTTATTTGGGGACTCTTGCAATTCTGTATGAATTTGAGAACTGGCTTTTCCATTTCCGAAAAAAGAGTTGTTGGAATTTTGACAGAAATTACGTTGAATCTGTAGGTAACTTTGGATACTATTGATATCTTAACAATATTAAGTTTTCTTATTCACAAATGCAGGATGTTTTTCCATCTGTTTAGATCTTCATTTATTTCAATAATATTTTAAAATTTTCAAGTATTTCACTTCCTTGGATAAATTTATTCCTGAGATTTTATTTTTTTAGATGCTATTATAATTGGAATTCCTTTTTAAATTTTATTTTTGGATTGTTTGTTACAGATTTTTTGTGTGTGTTTATCTTGTATCGTGCAATTATGATGAATTCATTGATTAGCTCTAGTAGCTTTTTTTGCAGATTCTTTGGTATTTTCTATATATAGGATCATGCCATTTGCTAATAAATATAGCTTTACTTCTTCCTTTTTAATTTGGGTGCCTTTTATTTCTTTTTAAATGTCTTTGGAAAAAATTCCAATACAATGTTTACAGTGTTGAAAAGAAATAGTGATTCCTTCTTGGTATCAAGGATACCAAGAAGTTGGAATTCCTTGTTTATTCCTGATCTTAGGAAGAAATATTTCAGTCTTTCACCATTAAGTGTGAAGCTGTGAGATTTTCATAAATGCCCTTCATCATGTTGAGAAAGCTTTATTTTATGTTGAGTTTTCTGAGTGTCTTTATCTGAGGGTGTTGGATTTGGATAAATTCCTTATCTACATCAATTGACATGATAGTGTGTTTTTTTCTTCATTCTATGAATGTAATATATTACACTGATAGATTTTTATATGTTGAACCACCCTTGCATTTCTTAGATAAATCCCATTTTATCATAGTGTGTTATCTTTTTGATATGCTGTTAGATTCAGTTTTCTAGTATTTTGTTGAGAATTTTTCTGCATCAATATTCATAAGGTATACAGTACCATATGTAATTTTTTATGATGTCTTTTCCTGGCTTTGCAATGTTACCTTCATAGAATGAATAAGAAGTGTTACTTCTTCTATTTTTTTGGAAGAGAATGAGACAAATTGTTGTTAATTCTTTTTTAAATATTTGATATAATTTACTAGGTGTGAAGTTATCTGGTCCTAGACTTTTCTTTGTTGGGAAGTTTTTTTTTTTTTAATTACTGATTCAATCTCTTTGCTTGTTAGAGGTCTGTTGAGATTTTCTATTTCTTCTTGAGTCAGTTTAGGTAATTTGTATGGTTCTAGGAATGTTTCATTTCAACTAGGTTATGTAACTTGTTGGTGCACAATTGCTTGCAATATTTTGTTATGACCCTTTGTATTTTTGTAGGGTTGGTAGTAATGACCTCACTTTCATTTCTCCTTTTAGTTATCTATGACTTCTCTCTTTTTATGTCTGTCAGCTCAGCCAGAAGTTTGTCAGCTCTTTTCATATTTATTTATTTATTATTATACTTTAAGCTCTATGGTATGTGTGCACAACGTGCAGGTTTGTTACATATGTATACATGTGGCATGTTGGTGTGCTGCACCCATTAACTCGTCATTTACATTAGGTATTTCTCCTAATGCAATCCCTCCCCACTCCCCCAACCCCACGACAGGCCCTGGTGTGTGATGATTCCCACCCTGTGTCCAAGGGTTCCCATTGTTCAATTCCCACCTATGAGTGAGAACATGTGGTGTTTCGTTTTCTGTCCTTGCGATAGTTTGCTCAGAATGATGGTTTCCAGCTTTATCCATCTCCCTACAAAGGACATGAACTCATCATTTTTTATGGCTGCATAGTATTCCATGATGTATATCTGCCACATGTTCTTAATCCAGTCTATCACTGATGGACATTTGGGTTGGTTCCAAGTCTTTGCAATTGTGAATAGTCCCACAATAAGCATATGTGTGCATGAGTCTTTATAATAGCATGATTTATAATCCTTTGGGTATACCCAGTAATGGGATCACTGGGTCAAATGGTATTTCTAGTTCTAGATCCCTGAGGAATCACCACACTGTCTTCCACAATGGTTGAACTAGTTTACAGTCCCACCAAGAGTGTAAAAGTGTTCCTATTTCTCCACATCCTCTCCAGCACCTGTTCCCTGACTTTTTATTGATCCCCATTCTAACTGGTGTGAGATGGTATCTCATTGTGGTTTTGATTTGCATTTCTCTGATGGCCAGTGATGCTGAGCATTTTTTCACGTGTCTGTTGGCTGCATAAATGTCTTTTTTTAAGAAGTGTGTGTTTATATTCTTCGCCCCCTTTTTGATGGGGTTGTTTGATTTTTTCTTGTAAATTTGTTTAAGTTCTTTGTAGATTGTGGATATTAGCCATTTGTGAGATGGGTAGATTGCAAAATTGTTCTCCCATTCTGTAGGTTGCCTGTTCACTCTGATGGTAGTTTCTTTTGCTGTGCAGAAGCTCTTTAGTTTAATTAGATCCCATTTGTCTATTTTGGCTTTAGTTGCTATTGCTTTTGGTGTTTTAGTCATGAAGTCCTTGTCCATGCCTATGTCCTGAATGGCATTGCCTTGGTTTTCTTCTAGGGTTTTTATGGTTTTAGGTCTAACATGTAAGTCTTTAATCCATCTTGAATTAATTTTTGTATAAGGTGTAAGGAAGGGATCCAGTTTCAGCTTTCTACATATGGCTAGCCAGTTTTCCCAGCACCATTTATTAAATAGGGAATCCTTTCCCCATTTCTTGTTTTTGTCAGGTTTGTCAAAGATCAGATAGTTGTAGATATGTGGTATTATTTCTGAGGGCTCTGTTCTGTTCCATTGTTCTGTATCTCTGTTCGGTACCAGTCCCATGCTGTTTTGGTTACTATAGCCTTGTAGTATAGTTTGAAGTCAGGTAGAATGATGCCTCCAGCTTTGTTCTTTTTGCTTAGGATTGTCTTGGCAATGCGGGCTCTTTTTTGGTTCCACATGAACTTTAAAGTAGTTTTTTCCAATTCTCTGAAGAAAGTCATTGGAAGCTTGATGGGGATGGCATTGAATCTATAAATTCCCTTGGCCAGTATGGCCGTTTTCACGATATTGATTCTTCCTTTCCACGAGCATGGAGTATTCTTCCATTTGCTTGTGTTCTCTTTTATTTTATTGAACAGTGGTTTGTAGTTCTCCTTGAAGAGGTCCTTCACTTCCCTTGTAAGTTGGATTCCTAGGTATTTTATACCGTTTGAAGCAATTGTGAATGGGAGTTCACTCATGATTTGCCTCTATGTTTGTCTGTTATTGGTGTATAGGAATGCTTGTGATTTTTGCATATTGATTTTGTATCCTGAGACTTAGCTGAAGTTGCTTATCAGCTTAAGGAGATTTTGGGCTGAGAGGATGGAGTTTTCTAAATATACAATCATGTCATCTGCAAACAGGGACAATTTGACTTCCTCTTTTCCTAATTCAATACCCTTTATTTCTTTCGCTTGCCTGATTGCCCTGGCCAGAACATCGAAAACACTATGTTGAATAGGAGTGGTGAGAGAGGGCATCTCTGTCTTGTGCCAGTTTTCAAAGGGAATGCTTCCAGTTTTTGCCCATTCAGTATAATATTGGCTGTGGGTTTGTCATAAATAGCTCTTATTATTTTGAGATAGATCCCATCAATACCTAGTTTATTGAGAGTTTTTAACATGAAGGGATGTTGAATTTTATCAAAGGCCTTTTCTGAATCTATTGAGATAATCATGTGGTTTTTGTCTTTGGTTCTGTTTATATGCTGGATTACATTTATTGATCTGTGTATGTTGAACCAGCCTTGCATCCCAGGAATGAAGCCAACTTGATCGTGGTGGATAAGCTTTTTGATGTGCTGCTGGATTTGGTTTGCCAGTATTTTATTGAGGATTTTTGCATCGATATTCATCAAGGATATTGGTCTAAAATTCTCTTTTTTTTGTTGTGTCTCTGCCAGGCTTTGGTATCAGGATGATGCTGGCCTCATAAAATGAGTTAGGGAGGATTCCCTCTTTTTCTATTGATTGGAATAGTTTCAGAAGGAATGGTACCAGCTCCTCTTTGTACCTCTGGTAGAATTTGGCTGTGAATCCGTCTGGTCCTGGAGTTTTTTTGGTTGGTAGGCTATTAATTATTGCCTCAATTTCAGAGCCTGTTATTGGTCTATTCAGGGATTCAACTTCTTCCTGGTTTAGTCTTGGGAGGGTATGTGTCCAGGAATTTATCCATTTCTTCTAGATTTTCTAGTTTATTTGCATAGAGGTGTTTATAGTATTCTCTGATAGTAGTTTGTTTTTTTTGGGATCGGTGGTGATATCCCCTTTATCATTTTTTATTGCATCTATTTGATTCTTCTCTCTTTTCTTCCATTAGTCTTGCTAGCAATCTATCTATTTTGTTGATCTTTTCAAAAACCAGCTCCTGGATTCATTGATTTTTTCAAGGGTTTTTTTTTTTTTTTTTTTTTGTCTCTATCTCCTTCAGTTCTGCTCTGATCTTAGTTATTTCTTGCCTTCTGCTAGCTTTTGAATGTGTTTGCTCTTGCTTCTCTAGTTCTTTTAATTGTGATGTTAGGGTGTCAATTTTAGATCTTGCCTGCTTTCTCTTGTGGGCATTTAGTGCTAAAAATTTCCCTCTACACACTGCTTTAAATGTGTCCCAGAGATTCTGGTATGTTGTGTCTTTGTTCTCATTGGTTTCAAAGAATATCTTTATTTCTGCCTTCCTTTCGTTATTTGCCCAGTAGTCATTCAGGAGCAGGTTGTTCAGTTTCCATGTAGTTGTGCAGTTTTGAGTGAGTTTCTTAATCTTGAGTTCTAATTTAATTGGACTGTCTTCTGAGAGACAGTTTGTTATGATTTCTCTTCTTTTACATTTGCTGAGGAGTGCTTTACTTCCAACTATGTGGTCACTTTTGGAATAAGTGCAATGTGGTGCTGAGAAGAATGTATATTCTGCTGATTTGGGGTGGAGAGTTCTGTAGATGTCTATTAGGTCCGCTTGGTGCAGAGCTGAGTTCAAGTCCTGGATATCCTTGTTAACTCTCTGTCTCGTTGATCTGTCTAATGTTGACAGTGGGATGTTAAACTCTCCCATTATTATTGTGTGGGAGTCTAAGTCTTTTTGTAGGTCTCTAAGGACTTGCTTTATGAATCTGGGCACTCCTGTATTGGGTGGATATATATTTAGGATAGTGTGCTCTTCTTGTTGAATTGATCCCTTTACCATTATGTAATGGCCTTCTTTGTCTCTTTTGACCTTTGTTGGTTTAAAGTCTGTTTTATTAGTAACCAGGATCACAACCCCTGCTTTTTTTTGTCTTCCATTTGCTTAGTAGATCTTCCTCCATCCCTTTATTTTGAGCCTATGTGTGTCTCTGCACGTGAGATGGGTCTCCTGAATACAGCACACTGATGCATCTTGACTCTTTATCCAATTTGCCAGTCTGTGTCTTTTAATTGGGGCATTTAGCCCATTTACATTTAAGGTTAATATTGTTATGTGTGAATTTGATCCTGTCATTATGATGTTAGCTGGATATGTTGCTCATTAGTTGATGCAGTTTCTTCCTAGCATCAATGGTCTTTACAATTTGGCATGTTTTTGCAGTGGCTGGTACCAGTTGTTCCTTTTCATGTTTAGTGCTTCCTTCAGGAACTCTTGTAAGGCAGGCCTGGTGGTGACAAAATCTCTCAGCATTTGCTTGTCTGTAAAGGTATTTATTTCTCCTTCACTTATGAAGCTTAGTTTGGCTGGATATGAAATTCTGGGTTGAAAATTCTTTTCTTTAAGAATGTTGAATATTGGCCCCCACTTTCTTCTGGCTTGTAGATTTTCTGCGGAGAGATCTGCTGTTAGTCTGATGGGCTTCCCTTTGTGGGTAAGCCAACCTTTCTCTCTGGCTGCCCTTAATATTTTTTCCTTCATTTCAAACTTGGTGAATCTGACAATTATGTGTCTTGGGGTTGCTCTTCTCAAGGAGTATCTCTGTGGCATTCTCTGTATTTCCTGAATTTGAATGTTGGCCTGCCTTGCTAGATTGGGGAAGTTCTCCTGGATAATATCCTGAAGAGTGTTTTTCCAACTTAGTTCCATTCTCCCCATCACTTTCAGGTACACCAAACAAACATAGATTTGGTCATTTCACTTAGTCCCATATTTCTTGGAGGCTTTGTTCATTTCTTTTTACTCTTTTTTCTCAAAACTTCTCTTCTCTCTTCATTTCACTCATTTGATCTTCAATCACTGATAACCCTTCTTCCAGTTGATCGAATTGGCTACTGAAGCTTGTGCATGTGTCACATAGTTCTCCTGCCATGGTTTTCATCTCCATCAGGTCGTTTAAGGTCTTCTCTATGCTGTTTATTCTACTTAGCCATTTTTCTAATCTTTTTTCAAGGTTTTTAGCTCCCTTGCAATGGGTTCGAACATCCCCTTTAGCTTGGAGAAGTTTGTTATTACCGGTCTTCTGAAGCCTACTTCTGTCAACTTGTCAAAGTCATTCTCCATTGAGCTTTGTTCCATTGCTGGCGAGGAGCTGCGATCCTTTGGAGAAGAATAGGTGCTCTGGTTTTTAGAATTTTCAGCTTTTCTGCTCTGGTTTCTCCCCATCTTTGTGGTTTTTTCTACCTTTGGTCTTTGATGAACCTGACCTTCAGATGGGGTTTTGGTGTGGATGTCTCTTTTGTTGACGTTGATGCTATTCCTTTCTGTTTGTTAGTTTTCCTTCTAACAGTCAGGACCCTCAGCTGCAGGTCTGTTGGAGTTTGCTGGAGGTCCACTCCAGACCCTGTTTGCCTGGGTATCACCAGCAGAGGCTGCATAACAGCAAATATTGCAGAACAGCAAATGTTGCTGCCTGATCCTTCCTCTGGAAGCTTCATCTCAGAGGGGCACCTGGCTGTATGGGGTGTCAGTTGGCCTCTACTGGGAGGTTTCTCCCAGTTAGGCTACTTGGTGGTCAGGGACCCACTTGAGAAGGCAGTCTGTCTGTTCTCAGATCTCAAACTCTATGCTGAGAGGACCACTGCTCTCTTCAAAGCTGTCAGACAGGGATGTTTAAGTCTGCAGAAGTTTCTGCTGCCTTTTGTTCAGCTATGCCCTGCCCCCAGAGGTGGAGTCTACAGAGGCAGGCAGGCCTTCTTGAGGTGTGGTGGGCTCCACCCAGTTCCATCTTCCTGGCTGCTTTGTTTACCTACTCAAGCCTCAGCAATGGCGGATGCTCCTCCCCTAGCCTCGCTGCCACCTCGCAGTTTGATCTCGGACTGCTGTGCTAGCAGTGGGCAAGGCTCTGTGGGTGTGGGACTGGCCAAGCCAGGCACAGGATATAATCTCCTGGTGTGCTGTTTGCTAAGACCATTGGACAAGTGCAGTATTAGGGTGGGAGTGTCCCGATTTTCCAGGTACCATCTGTCACAGCTTCCCTTGGCTAGGAAAGGGAATTCCCCAACCCCATGTGCTTCCCAGGTGAGGTGATGTGCCGCCCTGCTTTGGCTCACACTCTGTGGGCTGCACCCACTGTCCAACCAGTCCCAATGAGATGAATCCAGTACCTCAGTTGGAAATGCAGAAATCACCCGTCTTCTGTGTCGCTCACTCTGGGAGCTGTATACTGGAGCTGTTCCTATTCGGTCATCTTGGAACCTTCAATCAGCTCTTTTCATCCTTTTGAGAACCTACTTTTGGTTTTATTGATTCTCTCTATTCTTTTTATTCTCAATTTTATTTATCTTTAATCTCCATTATTTCTCCTAGCTTTGGGTTTAGTTTGTGTGTGTGTGTGTTTTTTAATAATTGCTCAAGGCGCAAAGTTAGCTTATTGATTTGAGATTTGGCTTCCTTTACGATGTATGCATTTACAGCTATAAATTTTCCTCCGAGCATTTACTTTGCCACATTCCATAAGTTATGGCATGTTGTGCTTCCATTTCATTCCTCTGTAAGTATGTTCTAGATTTCTTTGTGTTTTTTTTTTTTCTTAGTCTTAACGGTCATTTAATAGTGCTGTTTAATTTTCACATAATTGTGAATTTTCTAGCTTTCTTTTCGCTATTGATGTCTAACAGCAATCCATTGTGTTCATAGAGTATACTTTGTATTATTTTAATCTTTTACATTTTTTGAGATTATTTTTTAGGCCTTATATTTTCTATCCTGGAGACTGTTCTATGTGCACTTGAAAAGAATGTATATTCTGCTATGGTTTTGTGGAGTGCTTTATGTATGTCTGTTGTGTCTAGTTGCTTTTTAGTGTTATCCAAGTCCTCTATTTTGTTATTGGTCTTCTGTCTAGATGTTCTATCCAGTATTGGAAATGATGTTTTGAGGTTTCTAACTTTCATCTCTGACTGTTTCACATTTTCTATGTTTGGGTTTTGCCTTTCTGCCACCATGTATCTAGGCTAAATTTCTTTTTATTGATCATGTTTGGGATTTAATGGGCTACTTGAACTTTTTTTTCACTGTGCTTCAATCTGTGTAATTTCTTTATTTCTCCCATTTATCTAATTTTCTTTTTTGCTAATTTTAAGCGGTTATTTAATATAACCATTGAGTTTCAAGTCCCCATTATTTAATTTTTTTCTTTCTCCCAGTACTATTTGGTTATTTAAAAAATTCCTGGTCAATATTGGTAGGTTTTTTTGTCTCTTTCTCATTGCTTCATAAAACTCTTTTTTATCTTTAAATATATTAAACATATTTGTTCTATATTTGTATCTGTTAATTCTAATATCACCAGCCTTTGTGAGTCTGACTCTGGGATTTTGTTGTTGTTGTTGTTGTTGTTGTCTCTTGCTCATGGTAACTTGTTTTCTTTTGGGCTTAGTGATTGTGTTTTGGCAGGTGTGGGGCAGGGGTGTCGGGAGGGATGAGAGACAGAAAGAGAGAAAGAATACTGATGTTTCCTGAACTTTTATCTGTGTGAATTATTTGAGGCCTATTTCCAAAGGGAATTCATTTAGAGAAAATTTCTTTTACTCCTGCAAGGTACCTATCCACAAGCTCGGGATACCTTTCAACTAATATTTTTGCCTCATACTTTTCACAGCAAATGAGGGTATAAATTTAGACCCATACTCATGGAAATACGGGCTTGTGGTTAGGAATTTTCAGGGTAGGACTATTTTTTCCAAGTCTGCCCAGAGTCAATGTTAACTTAAACTAGACATATGCGTATTTTCTTTTCTGTAGTAGAACAGAGGGAAGAGGTCATGGGTCATTCTTTTAGGGTTTCAGGGTCCTGGCTTTTGCAGGAGTCTCCAGCATAACTTTCCATCCTGCTAGGGCCCCACACTCTCCCTCCTGCCACCACGTGCATGGCAACAACCAGGATGGGCAGAGGCACCAGAGCACATCCAACTTCTGTTCCTACTCACTCCACTTGGATTTTCATGTTCTCATCGTGTCTGGTCTCCGCATTTTTCACTACTTACAATCTGCTGATTACTCTCCCAGCTAACTTCTCAGCCTAAGTGGGATGGCCTTCTCGTCAGGAACACAGTCTCTATATTCTGACTTTTAAAACATATTGATATGTGTTCTACAAGCAGCGTAGAATAATTGAACTCAATGGGTTGTCTTGCTTTCCAAACTCAGTTGGGCATTTTAAAAGATGTTTCGAATACCTTCCCCCAGTATTTTTAGGTATGTTATACCAAAATCATACATCTAAATTGGCAAAGCGTATATATGAATTGGAAAAACATACATGCGAATTTCTACATATGAACTGGAAAACTAGAAGAAAACAGTTTTTTGGGGGACAGGATTGTACGGGAGAAGTAGGACAAGGAAAAAGAAGATAAAAAAGAGAATAAAAGGGGATAAGAAGAAAGAAAAAACAAAGTAAGGAGGAGGAAAAAAGTATAAAGAGAAAAATGGAAGGATGAAGTAAAGCAGGAAAGAACACATGTGCGAGATAGAAACTGAGTACTTCTTGAGTTCTCCATAGAATGCCTGTGTCTTGTTCCTGGAACTGTTGTATTCCTGTCCTTGGGATTTGGGAAATACCCTGGGTCTTATTTATTTATTTACCCATTTCAATGTAGTTCCTGTATTGCAACCAAAAGTGCCCTCTGTATACTCCATCAAGTCATGTCTAAAACTATGGGCTGGCTTTTCTCTCCAGGTATGTGGCCTCTCTGCTTTGCCTCCTTAGACACATACAACTGTGCTCAACAGGAAGTACAGGAAGGCACTGGCCAAGCCCTGACCACAAGGTACAATATCAAACTGGTCAATAGCTCAATTTAAAGCAACACTATTCAGTGGAGATTGCTTAAAGAATGTCTCATCTTTCAGTTGTCTTAAGTTTTTACCCCCAGATCAGGCTATAACTAAGGAAAATTAAGAATCCAGATGGCATCATTCTGGTTTTTCTGCTGATTATTTTACTACATATCATTTTTATTTGAGGCTACAAACATATATTGATATTTGTTATAAGAAATATGGTCTGTGTGGTTTATGGGTACCTTGCTTGTTGTTATGTTTCAATTATACCCCTCCAAATCCATATGCTGTGGTCCTATCCCCAGTACCTCAGAATGTGACTGGATTTGGAAAAAGAGTCTTTAAAAGGTAATTAAGTTAAAATGAGTCAATAGGGTGAATTCTTATCCAGTAGGACTGGAACCCTTATAAGAAGAGGAAATTAGGACACAGACATTCACCTAGGGAAAACCAGGTGAAGACACAGGGAGCTGATTTCCATCCACAAGCCAAGGAGAGATACTTAAGAAGAAACCAACCCTGGTGACACCTTGATTTCAGAGTTCCAGCCTTCAGAATTGTGGAAAAATAAATGTCTGTTGTTTAAGCCACTCAGTATTTTGTTGTTGCAGCCCTAGCAAACTAGTACAGCACGAATCAGTCCACAGCTTCAGGGTCTGAGTTTTCACTGGTTCTTGTCAAACATGGTATTCATGTTCCTGTGAAAGCAGTGGCCAGGAGATTTGTGAGTGCAGTAGATTGTCTGGTCTCAATCTCCAGCTGTACTTACATCCTTGTCATGGCTTCCTTATGGGCAGAGTGTCCTTTCCTGCCCCTTGATTTTGGCCATGGCCATGCCACTTGCTTTCACCAGTGTCCTGTGGGCATAATTAACATGGTGCCAATTTCAAGCATAGGCCTTAAGAGGCTTTCTGTGTTTCCATGTTTCCTCTTGCACCCCTTTCATTTCTATGAGAAGAACACGACTCACATACCTTCAGATCCAAGGAGAGTGAGAAACGTGTGAGCAGAGGGTCCCTAGCTTAAAGTAGAGCCACCCAGTCCACCCCAGCCCAAATCGGCCACCCCCACCCAACCTGCAGACCTGTGAGTGAGCCCAGGTGACATCAGCAGAGCCTCTAGACAATCTGTGGACACATGAAGAATACATATGGTTAAATGGCACCAGGATTCTGTAATTATTACCCAGAATTATGTGTCAGTAGTTAACTGGTACAATGAAAATGTGGCCTTAGATTGTTTAATCAAGATGGAAGCTATAATTTTTTCAGTATTGTGAAAGCATTGTTCTTTCCTCCTGAAGGAGCAATTAGCCTGGAAGTTTTGGGCAGCCATATTGTACCTGTGTTGTAGACACTAAGGAGGAACAGGGAAATGGGAGCAATCTGTGTTCCTACAAATGTGGAGTCAGGGGATCAAACAAACACTAAGGCTGGAACTACCTCTGAAATGCCCAGTTATATCAGAAAAGAAATGCCTTATCATTAAGCCCATGGGATTTAGATTTTCTATTAATTCAAAAATACAGACAGAAGACTTCTGGTTTTAGGTCCAACATGTGAAGAGATTAGAAGTGATCACTCTTGGCCAGGCACGGTGGCTCACGCCTGTAATCCCAGCACTTTGAGAGGCCGAGGCAGGCGGATCACGAGGTCAGGAGATCGAGACCATCCTGGCTAACACGGTGAAACCCCATCTCTACTAAAAATACAAAAAAATTAGCCGGGTGTGGTGGCGGGCACCTGTAGTCCCAGCTACTCAGGAGACTGAGGCAGGAGAATGGCGTGAACCCGGGAGGCGGAGCTTGCAGTGAGCCAAGATCGCGCCACTGCACTCCAGCCTGGGTGACAGAGCAAGACTCTTGTCTCAAAAAAAAAAAAAAGAAAAGAAAAGAAAAGAAAAGAAAAGAAATGATCACTCTTGTCCTTACAATGTGAAAAATGCTGAACAAACTTCAAACAAATTTTCTTGGATCCATCAATAATTCAAGATCAGAGGCAAACTGCCACCCCAAAATCTGGAGAGATGGGTAGGTACAGAGAATCTGCTCACCTGGAGCAGAAGCTGCTGGAGCCACAAATGGGTAGGAACACTTAGACAGCACTTGTGATGAACATCTGGAGGCTGAGTATGGACTAGTTCCAGAGTAAGAAACTCTTGTGGTCTGCAGCCTTAGGGAGACCCCACACTTTCATGGATTTACATCTAAGAGCCCAATCAGGTTCTATACAGAAGAATGAAGGAAGATCTCCTGATGGCTTTAGCAGGAGGAAGGGAAAGGTATCCATTGTGAATTCGGAGAGTTGTCCATAGCATATGCTTATGTTCCAAAAGAAAGGATTTTTCCAGAACCTAATGGGAGGGGAAAAGCTAAGAAGCACTTTTGAAGATCATAGTCCAAGGACACAGACCTGTTAAAAGATTATACAGTTATAGAATACTTTCTTTTCCTCATACCTTATCACTACATCAATAGGGTTTTAGTAATAACACTGGATTACAGCTGAAAGAGCTGCAAGGCATAGACTTTATTTAAGAAGCTCAAAGGCAATGGGGAAGCCCAAAGGCAACAGGAAAAACAAAAACTAAAATATCAGACAAATTTGAAGCCTCTGACACCTGCAGGTACAGTAAACATTAGACACAACCCAACTCCTGGATAGATTAACCTAAGACCTCACACTGAGGCTTTTACCTCAGTTCTTATTATCTAATATATCGTGTCTGGCTTTCAATAACAAATTACAAGCCATGCTAAAAAGGAAGAAAAAACACAGCCTGAAGAGAAGAAAGAAGCAATGCAATCAAGCTCAGATATGACATAGATTTTGAAATGATTAAACAGGGAAGTTAAAGTACAGGTATACATCAGAGATGTTGTGGGTTTAGTTCTAGACCACTGAAACAAAGCAAATATTGCAGTAAAGAGAGTCACACAATTTTTTCTGTCTCCCAGTGCATACAAAAGTTTTGTTTACTCTATACTATAACCTAATAAGTGTGCAATAGCATTATTTCTAAAAAATAATGTACATAGATTAATTTTAAAATATTTCATTGCTAAAAAATGCTAACAATATCCTAAACTTTCAGTGAGTCATAATCATCTTTCTGTGGAGGCCCTTGCACCAATGTTGATGACTATTGACTGATAAAGATGGTGGTTGCTGAAGGTTGGAGTGGTTATGGCAATTTCTTAAAATAAGACAACAAATGAAGTTTGCTACATCAAGTGGCTCCTCCTTTTGTGAAAGATTTCTCTGTAGGATGCAATGTTGTTTGAAAGCATTTTGAAAGAATGCTACTTCTTTCAAAATTGGAGTCAATCCTCTCAAACCCTGCTGCTGCTTTATCAACTAAGTTTATGTAATATCTGACATGTTTGTAATCATTTCAAAAATATTCACAGCATCTTCACCAGAAGTGGATTATATCTTAATAAACCACTTTCTTTGCTCATCCCAAAGAAGCAATTCCTCATTCATTAAAGTTTTATTGTGAGATTAGAGAAATTCAGACACATCAGGCTCCAATTCGATTTATCTTGCTATTTCTACCACATCTGCAGTTCCTCTATCGAAATCTTGAACCCCTCAAAGTCCTCCATGTGGGTTGTAGTCAACTTCTTTCAGACTTGTGTTAATGTTGATATTCGGACCTCCTCCCATGAATTATGAATATTCCTAATGGTATCTATAATGTTGACTTATTTCCAGAAGATTTCCAATTTGCTTTGCCCAGATTCATCAGAGGAATCACTCTCTAAGTCAGCTATAGCCATATGAAATGTAGCTCTTAAATAATAAGACTTAAAAGTTGAAATTACTCCTTGGTCTATGGGCTGCAGATTGGATGCTGTGTTAGCAGGCATGAATACAACATTAATCTTGTACATCTCCATCACAGTTCCTGGTGGCCAGGTGCATTGTCAATGAACAGTAATATTAAAAATTTTTTTTTTTCTAAGCAGTAGTTCTCAACAGTGGGCTTAAAACCATGCTATGAACTGACATATTGTCATCCAGGCTTTGTTGTTCCATTTACAGAGCACAGACAGAGTAGATTTAGCATAATTCTTAAGGGCCTAGAATTTTCAGAATGATAAGTGAGAACTGGCTTCAAGTTAAAGTCAGCAGCTGCATTATCCCTTAACAAGACAGTCAGCCTGTCCTTTGAAGTGCTGAAGCCAGGCATTGACTTCTTTCTAGATTTGAGAGTCCTAGATGGCATCTTCTTCTAATAGCAGGCTGTCTCATCTACATTAACTATCTGTTGTTTAGTGTAGCCACCTCCAAAGGTATCCTCAAAGCACAATAAATTGAAGCACAATAAAATGAGGTATACCTGTAAGCATGATTAGCTAGATTTAGCCATTCCATAATGTCTACGTATTTTGAAACAACATATTGTATATGAGACATATATAAAATTGTTATTTATCAAATTAAAAAATTTTTTAAAAATAAAAGATCACATTGTACACCATAAGTACACATAGTTTTTTCAATTATACCTCAATAAAGCTGGGCAAAAAGAAAAAAATAGCCATGATTAATATATCAAGGGCTATAATGGAAAAAGTAGACAACATACAAGAACACATAGGTAATATCAGCAGAGAGCTGAAAACTCTAAGAAATAAACAAAAAGAAATTCTACAAATCAAAAGCACTGTTACAGAAATGAAGTTTACAATAAAGCCTTAGATGGGCTCATCAGTTGAGCAAAGAGAGATTGGGGCTATGCCAATAGAAAGTTCCCAAGCAGAGGTAGTACAAACACACACAAAACAAGAATTAAAAAAGCAGAACAAAATATCCTAAAACAGTGGGGAAATTTCAAAAGGTATAACATACACATAATTGGAATATCAGAAGGAGAAAAAAATGTAGCAGAAAAAATATTTGAAGTAAAAATGTCAGAAAATTTTCCCCAAATTAATGACAGACACAAAACCACAGATCCAGAAAATTTAAAGTACATCAAGATAAATAAAAAAATAAATAAATAAACAAACACCTAGGCATATTATATTCAAACTACAGAAAACCCATGAAAAAATTTTTTTTGTTTGTTTGTTTTTTTGTGAGACAGAGTCTTGCTCTGTTGCCCAGGCTGGAGTGCAGTGGCGTGATCTTGGCTCGCTGCAACATCCACCTCCTGGGTTCAAGCGATTCTCCTGTCTCAGCCTTCAGAGCAGCTGGGATTACAGGCTTGCAGCACCATGCCCAGCTAATTTTTGTATTTTTCATAGAGATGGGATTTCACCTGGTTGGCCAGGCTAGTCTTGAACTCTTGACCTCGAGTGATCCATCTACCTCAGCCTCCCAAAGTGCTTGGATTACAGGCATGAGCCACTGCACACAGCCCAATGACAAACTCTTAAAAGACAAAGGAGAAAAAAAAGAGTATCTATAGAGAAACAAGGATAAGAATTTCAGAGGACTTCTCATCAGAAACCATGAAAGCAAGCAGAGAGTGAACTAAAATATGTAAAGCACTGAAAACGAAAAATATGGAATTTCATATTCAGTGAAAGTATCCTAACAAAAGGAGAAATAAAGGATTTTCTCAGTAAAATAGAAACTGAGGAAATCCATTGCTAGCACACCTGCCCTGCAAGAAATGATAAAAAAGTTCTTCACAGAAAAAAACAATTATATAGGTCAGAAGCTTGGATCTACATAAAGGAAGATCACTGGAAAAGAAATAAATGAAGGTAAAACAAATTGTTATTTTTATTGATCTAAAAGATAACTTTGTTTAAAATTACAGTAGTATTTTATGTGGAATAACAATGTACTGGGTGATTATAGCATATGGATAAATGCAGTGAATGACAGCAATGTCATAAGGGATGGGAAGGAAGAATTGAGAATACTCTGTTGTTATAAGGTAGCTACATTACATGTGATGTGGTATCGTGTTATTTGAAAGTGGACTCAGATAAGTTGTAAATGTATATTACAATTCTAGGCCAACCACTAAGAAATTTTTAAAAGGAAGTGTAGGTTGTATGCTAAGAGAGGAGAAAAAAATAAAATTACATAAAATGCTCAATTAAAACTAGAAAAGGCAGAAAAAAAAGAGAAGGGAAAAAGAACAAGTGAAATTAATAGAAAACAGTTAGAAATATGGTAGTGAAGTAGGAGGTGGAACTCAACCTAGCAGGTGGGGCTTGGACACTGGGCCAAATTGAGGACTAGCTGAAACAGGGATGGGGCAGAAGCAGCTTTCCATAAGACACACCCACCATGTGCCATGTCAGCTTACCATTGCCATGGCAACACCCAGAAGTGACTGCCCCTTTCCATGGCAACAACCTGACAACCCAGAAGTTACAACTGTTTTTCTAGAAATGTCTGCATAATTGACCTTTTAATTTGCATGTAATTATGAGTGGGTACAAATATGACTACAGAACTGCTTCTGAGTGGCTTCTCTGGGCACACTGCCTCTGGGGTAGCCCTGCTCTGCAAGGAGCAGTTCTTCTGTCACTGCTGTACACAGCCGCTTCAATAAAAGTTGCTGTCTAACACCACTGGCTCACTCTTGAATTCTTTCCAGTGGTAAGCCAAGAACCCTCCTAGGCTGGACTCCAACTTTGGGGCTTTCCTGCCCCAAATCAGTAGATATCAATCTAATTATATCAATAGTTAACTCATGCAAATGGTCTAAATCCACCAATTAAAAGACAAGAATTGTCAGAGTGGATTAAAAAACAAAATCCAAATAACAATGTCTATCAGAAACCATCTTTCAATATAAAGATCCAGGTAGGTTAAAAGTGAAGAGATAGAGAAAGTGTACCACGCTAACACTAATCAAGAAAACTGGAGTGCCTAAATTAATTTCAGACAAAGCTGACTTCAGGACAAAAAAATTATCAGAGACCAAAAGGGTATTACAAAATGATTAAGGGGTGAATTCTCTAAGAAGGGATAACAATCCTAAGTGCATATGCAACTAATAACAGCGTATCCAAATACATGAAGCAAAAACTAATAAAACCACAAGGAGAAACAGAAAAAAATCACTATTACTATTGGTGAATTCAACACCCACTTTAGTTTATGATTGATGAAGCAGGCAGAAAATCCGTAAAAATATAGTTGATTTGAACAGCACTATCAGTCAACTTGACATTTATAGACTACTCCATCCAACAACAGCAGAATAAACATCCTTCTCAAGCTCACATGATACTTTCACTAAGATTGACCACATTCTGGATTATAAAATACACCTTAATGAATTTAAAAGAATATAAATTACGTGAAGCATGTTCTCAAACCACAAAGGCATTAAACTAGAAATCAATAACAGAAAGAGAGCTAGAAAATTCTGAAATATTCGGGTATTAAAAACACACTTTAAAATAAACATGGGTCAAAGAAGAAGTCTCAAGAGAAATGTACAAATATTTTGAACTAAATGAAAAAGAAAACATAACTTATGAAATACATACTCTTCACCAACACACCCATCAAGTCAGACTGCCAGAGAATTGCTTGTGCTATTCTGGGAATAAGGGCACTTCTTCAGTGAAGCTATTACCTAAGGATCTGCTTCAATTGCTCAAATGACTAGCTCCACTCCGAGGCATCTGGGGCATTCAGATGGGCTTCATTAGGTCTGAGGGGCAGGCACACTGTGATTGAAAGCTTCAGAGAATAAGCTCTTGGAGAGTGAAAGAACTCATCCATTTGGTTCGTTCTGTACAGAACGTTCAAATGCTGTCTGGTTTTGATTATAGACACCTCAACAAAGCTGCAAAAGTTTTCAGATCATAAATTAAAGTTATTCAAAAAATAACATTTGCATTCCCAAACAAGATCTGAGTCTCTGGTCTGTTAGTGATCACTTAGGCATTTTGAATTTAATCGTGTTTAATAGGAAGTGCTGGCACCAAATTTAGGGATGCATCAAAGTTTAGCTTTGGCCTCAATATTGTACTCTGATCTGCTATGTGCCTTTGCCTGACCTCAGTCTTTAGCAGTCCAAAGAGCCTAATTTGCCTATTTCACCACTTCATTTTGCAACAGCCCTCTATTGTATTTCATGAATGATCAAATGATTGCATAGGTAACATATCCAATCAGAGACAATGCCGATAACAAGAATAAAACATGAACTTTATATTTCAATATGTGAATATTTATCTCCAAATATAATCATCCCTCCTTGTCCATGGAGGGTTGGTTCCAGGCCACCTCCCTATCCCCATGGAGACCTCCTCCCTATCCCCATGGAGTCCCTTATATAAAATGGCATAGTGTTTGCATGTAACTCATGCACATCCCCCTGTAAATTTCAAATTATCTCTATTACTTATAATACCTAATACAATGCCACACATCACTTCATTAGCATGGATTCAATGTAGTACTCAGTGCACAGCAAGTTCAAGTTTGGCTTTGTGAAATTTTTCTTCTGAATATTTTTGATCCACAGTTGGGTGAATCCATGATGCAGAACCAGTAGATACAAAACGCCAACTCTACAGGCAAGCATTCTAGAGATAACGTGAAGTAACAAGTCTGCAAATGTTGACATTATATTAAAGTATGGATATATATTTATTATTGCAAGAGTAAAGTGTTGTGCTAATTAATGATTGTGAGTCATTAAATTTATGTATAAAAGTAGTATTTTCAAATATTTTAACAGGGAAAGAGATCGATAACTGTTATAATATAAATTTTAAAACTGAGAGCATTACCTAAATAACTTCAATAAGACCAACTATTTCATCCTTTCTGAACAAACAAATGTTTATCAAAATTTGAATAATAATTGTATTAGTCTGCTTAAGCTGCATAACAGAATACCACTGACTGGATGGCTTAAACAATGGAAATTTATTTTCTCACAATTCTGGAGGCTGGAAGTCCAAGATCAAGGATCTAGCATGGTTGGCTTCTGGTGAAGCCTCTTACTGACTTGCAGGCAGCCTATTGGATTAGGGTCCTACCTCATGACCACATTTAACCCCAATTACATTCTATCTCCAAATACAGTCATATTGGGAGTTTGGGCTTCAACATATTAATTTGGGTGGGATACAATTCAAACCATAACAATAACATAAGGTAAAACAGTAATAATAATACCACTATTTGGTATACCAGCATCTATAGCATTAAATAACATTTAAGAGCTGTATTAATTTTTAGTTATTTAATGCCATTTAATCTATAAATCTTTTAAGAAAACATCTTATGTAGGACTTTTTCATATCTTATGAAGCAGGACAAATTAAAATCAGGACCTCGACTTTGCTAGCCCAAGATTCCATTGAGAAGAAAAAAAAATTCTAAAATTCTGTGATAAAACATCTTCAGTCCAAATACGATAAAAAAGAATGATGAAAAAAAAATTTGAAAACTATGTAAAAATAAACATTTTGTTCTCACTAGTATAAATTCAAAATGAAAGAATTCAAAGTGTTTTAATAAGAAAATTCTTTATAGTGTTAACAGGCACTTGGTTTTTAAATAAAAATATGTCAAAATAAGAGCTCTAGATTGCAATAATCTCAGTAGTTTTAAATAAAGTTAAGAATCCTATGTGAAAAGTTTCTTCTAAAAATGTGACAAGGGTATTTTACTGAATTCTACAATGCTATACTCAAAAAGGGTAATAATCTTACTTAATGTGCTGTTTTTGTATCCTGAATTAGGCCTTTGGACATGGAAAAGAAGAGGTCTTTTTTACCTTTGATAGCATGGTGGATGGCTTACTAATAATTTTCTGGGTTTCTCCTAGCTAATAAGACATGAATCTGCTAAAGAAACATTCTTGGCGTGGAAATGCAGTAAAGGAAAGACCCATGCAATTGACAATGATATATAGATTGTGAAGGCCAGGAATGAATGAGGAGCTCACAAGCATGCCATGTTTTGTGCATATCTTCCAGTCATGTGTTCAAAATAAAGCAGAAGGTGGCGAAAGAAAATTACTGGCCTGAAGTAGATAAATTGTGAGCTATGTTCTTCATTCTTCTTCAGCCACAGGCAGACTATGAAAGATACAGGAGGTTCTGGAGCTGTCTTGTCAGGTGTTTGCACCAGACATGCACACCAGATACAGAGCAGCTGTTACATGTTTAAATGGGCTTAAAAACAAATGGACAAAAATACATAAATAAAAATATTTAACACTGCATTGTGCAGTATGCAAAACTTACAGAAGGAATCACTAACAAGAATATTTACTCTCAGAGAAAATAGTTCATTTGCTGGAAACTACTGAAAAGTTACCAAAATGCAGCATCTCGAAACTACAATTTTTTTTAAAAAAAAACTATGTTATCTGTCATAGAAGTCTTCATATTAATTTAGTTCAAACAACATACTGAAATGGAAGATGCTGATGGAAAGTCAAGAAATAATTTTTTTATCCTAAAAGTTAATTATATCACTGTTACTATGTTTCTACATTTGAACTAAGGGACAACATTTTCTCAAGTAATTGTGTGTTACAGCAAGTCCACATAAAAATAATCCTGCTACCTGTTTATGTATCTTTATTTATATCCAGATATAGGTATCACCTTAACTCTGTCCCTGAAAATATTCAAAAAGTATCTTCTTAAAGCAGAAAAAGTATCATGTTTTAGTAAAATTTGTATCACCATTGAAATCTTTAAGTTCAGGAGTTAAAAGGAAAAATAAAACTTAATTATTTGATGTCAGTGTCACCTATGCTGGTAGATCCAGCCAAAGATGTTTTACCCATCAATTAACAGTGAACATCAATTTAATATCATTAAGGCATAGTATGGCAAGCACAATGTACTCTGGTTGGTGATATTCTGGCACTATGTTATCAAAATTGTAAAATGTGACTACTCAAAATTCTAATTAATAAAATTATAATGACAGTAGAATTTCTTTTCGATAACATTTTAGATTTATTTTGGTATTCCAGAAGTTCATTCAAAATGATGTGATATTTGCTTTCTGTCTTGGTTTCACCCAAATACTGGTTTAGCATCCAGCCATATTGCATTTGTCCAGATGTGTTATTTGATGCCCCTCCATTTCACACACACATTGAGAGTGTAAAACGTTAAGTGAGGAGGTATAAGGGGCCACAGTTTTCTGTGTGTTTAGTATTAACATCCTTGGAGGCAGGAGTTTAACCAAGAGAGCAAAAATCATCACAACATGAAAATACCCATGAATAAACTGTTTAAAAATTGTGTTTTCCCCTAAGCATCTCACCCCACTGAAAATTAGTCATCTATCTTTGCCCATCTGACCAACTTCTAAGTCTGTTTGGATTTTGGCCAATTGACTCATTTTTGTAAACCCCCAACAATTTGAGACAGATACAGCACAATTTAATTGCTAAGTGAAACTGCAAACCTAGCCAAAGATGTATGCTTTTAAGAAGTCAATGAAAGTGGTGCTGGAGAACGTCTGGGGGCACCTACAAGACAATTGACAAATGAAAATCTGGCAGAGTGCGTCATGGTTAATGGCTGAGGAATGGAAAACTGACCAGGCAGATGACAGAAGCCATGCCTCAGAAAAGGATGATTTTAATATCAAGGGATGAAATGGGGCTTTTAGAAAACTGAAGAAGTTATATGTTTATTAGAAACCTCTTTTTGTCTTATTAGGATAATGAAACATGATATAAATACAGTTGAAAATATAGCTTAAGCATCCCTAATCCAAAAATTCCAAATCCAAAATGCTCCAAAATTCAAAACTTTTTGAGCACTGACCATGATGCCACAAGTGGAAAATTCCACAATTAATGTTGTGTACAGAAACTTTGTTTCATGCACAAAGTTACTAACAATATTGTATAAAATTACTTTCCGGCTATGTGTATAAGACGTATGTGAAACATGAGCGAGTTTCATATTTAGGTTTCAGTCTTATCCCCAAGATATCTAATTATGCAAGTATTCAGAAAATCTAGAAATATCAAAAATCCAGAACACTTCCAGTCCCAATCATTTCAGATAAGGAATACTCAACCTGTAAGAGCTAATATTTATTGAATACTTATTATGTGGAAGACACTGTTTAAGGTGCTTTTCATACATCAGTCTTTTTTTCCTCACAGCAATCCTATGAAATAAGCTAAGCAACTCTCCCAAGGTCACACAATTAGCAAATGGCCTCCTAACTGGCAATATATATTCTTTCAGAAGAATTTTCAATTGAGATATAATTTATATATCTTAAAATTCACCTTAGTAAAATGTATGATTCAGTTGTTTCCAGTATATTAATGAAGATATGCTGGCATCACAACTATCTAATTCTAGAATCTGTCATCACCCCCAAAAAGAAACCTCATACTTACTAGCAGTCAGTCCTCATTTTCCTCTCTCCCAAGACCCTGCCAACTACAAATCTACTTTTTGTCTGTATGGATTGTCTTTTTCTGGAAATTTTATATAAACTAGATCACACAATACATGGTCTTTGTGTCTGGTTTCTTTCACTTAGCATAATGTTTGCAAGGTTTTTCCATGTTGCAGCATGTATAAAAGTAACTTCATTACTTTTTATACATTTTGTTTGTCCATTCATGAGCTACTGTACAATTAGACTTTTTCTACTTTTTGGCAATTATAAATAGGCTACTATGAACCTTCAGGTACAAGTTTATATATATATATATCTAGGAATAGAATTTCTGGAGTATATATATATAAACTGCGAAGCTGTTTTCCAAAGCAACCACACTGTCTAATAACTAACATTCCCACCAACAATGTAAGAAGACTAATTTTTCCACATCCTCACCAACACTTGTTATTGTCTGTGTTTTGATTATAACTATCCTAGTGGATGTAAGGTGGTAGGTCATTTTGGTTGTGATTTGCACCTTCCTTATGGTTAACGATATGATCTTATTGGCCATCAGTATACTTTCTTTGGAGTAATGTCTGTTCAAATTTTGCCCATTTTTAAGTTGGGTTATTTGTCTTTTTAGTGTAGAATTACAAGTTCCTTATATATTATAAACATTAGTCTCTTATCAGCTATATGATTTGCATATTTTTTTCCCATTATGTAGGGTGTATTTTACTTTATTAATAGTGTCCTTTGAAGCATAGTTACTTTTGATTTTTATGAAGTCCAATTAATCAATATTTTATTGCTTGTGTTTTTGGTATCATATCTAAAAAAACCATTGGCTAATACATGGTCACAAAGACTTATGACTATGATTTCTTCTAAGAGTTTTATCATTTTCACTCTTACATTTAGGTCTTTGATTCATTTTGACTTAATTCTTGTATATTCTGAGATTTGACTCCAAATTCATTCTTTTTTCAGGTAGATACATAGTTGTTCCGATACCATTTGCTGCAAAAGCTATATTTTCCCCCATTAAATTTTTTTAGCACCCCTGTCAAAAATTAATTCATCATAAAAGTATCAATTTATTTCTGGACTTTCAATTATATTGCATTGATCTATGTGTCTACTGTTACATCCATACCACACAGTATTGATTCCTGGAGCTTTGTAGTAAGTTTTGAAACTGGAAGTGTGAATTCTCTAACTTTATTCTTTTTTAAAGTTTATTTTCACTATTTTTATCTCTTTCATTACCAAGTAAATTAAAAAAATACTTTATACTTTTATATATAAAGTATATATAAACTGTGAACGCAGTTACATGTTCACAGCAAAATTGGGCAGAAGGTATGTGGAATTCCCACATATCCCCAATCACACATAGCCTCCCCCACCCAAATGTTACACCAGAGTAGTACATTTATTACCTTCAAGGGATCTACATTGGCACATTATTATCACCCAAAGTCCACAGCATATATGAGGTTTCACTCTTGGTGTTACTGGTTTTATGGGTTTTGACAAGTATAAAATGATAAATATTTCACTATTATAATATCAAACAAAATAGTTTATCTGCCCTAAAAATCCTCTGTGTTCCACCTATTCATTTCTCTCTCCCCCACCCCACAATTGGAATCACAGAATATAGCTTTTTCAAAATGCTCAACACCACTAATGATCATGGAAATGCAAATCAAAACCACAATGTGATACCACCTTACTCCCGCACGAATGGCCATAATTAAAAAATAAAAAATAATAAATGTTGGCATGGATGTAGTGAAAAGGGAACACTTTTACACTGCTGGTGGGAATGTAGACTAGTACAACCACTGTGGAAAACAGTGTGGAGATTTCTTAAAGAACTAAAAGTAGAGCTACCATTTGATCCAGCAGTCCCACTACTGGGTATGTATCCAGAGGAAAAGAAGTCATATGAAAAAGACACTTGCACACACAGGTTTATAGCAACACAATTCACAATTGCAAAAATATGGAACCAGCCCAAATGCCCACCAATCAACGAGTGCATAAAGAAAATGTGACATATATATATATATATATATACACACACACACACCATGGAATACTACCCAGTCATAAAAAGGAACAAAATAATGGCATTCGCAGGAATCTGGATGGAATTGGAGACCATTCTTCTAAGTGAAGTAACTCAGGAATGGAAAACTAAACATCTTACGTTCTCACTTATAAGTGGGAGCTAAGCTATGAAGATTCAAAGGCATAAGAATGATACAATGGACTTTGGGGACTCAGGGGAAAGAGAGGGAGCGGGATGAGGGATAAAAGACTATACATTGCGTACAGTGTACACTGCTCGGGTGATGGGTGCAACAAAATCTCAGAAATCACCACTAAAGAACTTATTCATGTAACCAAACAACACCTGTTCCCTCAAAACCTATTGAAATAAAAAAATGTTAAAAAAGAGCACCAGTAAGCTACCACTTAACAAGGATGCTGCTAATATTTAGTTCCATTTCTATCTCACCCCTCACCTCACTCTGACTTCACCCTACCAGTAACAAACATCCCCATCTTGTGGTTACTTTTTACTTCTTTCAAAACTATAATCATATATGAATGTATCCCTAAGCAACATGTTTAATCATGCTAATTTGCAAGATTTATAGAATATATATCATACCAAAAAAAAGAATATTGCCTTATCAAATTGGCTTATTTCACATAGTAACATGTATTTAAGGTTCTTCCATGTCATTTCATGGCTTCCTCGCTCATTTCTTTTTAGTGCTGAATAATATTTCATTGTCTGGATTTACCACAGTTTATCCATTCAGCATTACTGAAGGACATGTTGGTTGCTTTCAAGTTTTGACAACTATAAATAAAGTTGCTAAAAAATGTGCAGGTTTTGTGGGGACATGTCTTCAATTCATTTGAATAAATACTAAGAAGTGCAATTGCTGGATCATATCATAAGAGTATGTTTAATTTTCTAAGAAACTGCTAAACTGTCTTTAAAAGTGGCTATACCATTTTGCATTCCTGCCAACAATGAATGAGAGTTTCTGTTGCTCCACAACCTTGTCACCATTTGATGTTGCCAGTGTTCTGGATTTTGGCCATTCTGTTATGAATGTAGTGCTATTGCATTGTTGTTTAAATTTGCAATTCCTTAATGACAAATGACATTGAACATATTTTCGTATGCATATTTTTCATTTCTAAATATGTTCTTTGTATGTGTCTGTTCAGGTTTATTGCTCATTTTAAAATTGGGTGGTTTGTCTTTTTATTGTTTTTTTGTTGTTGTTGTCAGGGATAGACAAGGTCTTGCTCTGTCACCTGGGCTGGTGCACAGTGGCGCAATCATGGCTGTCTGCGGCCTCAACCTCCAGGGCTCTGGTGATACTCCCACACCTCAGCCTCCTGAGTACCTGGGACTACAGACATGCACCAGCATGCCTGGCTAATTTTTGTATTTTTTGTAGAGTTGGGGTTTTGCCATTTTTCCCAGGCTGGTCTCAAACTCCTGAGCTCAAGTAATCTTCATTGTTGAGTTTTAAGGGTTGTTGATATATTTTGGGTAACAGTCTTTTATCTGATATATCCTTTCGGTCTGTGGCTTGTCTTCTCATTCTCTTGGCAATGTCTTTTGCAGAGCAGAAGTTTTTAATTTTAGTGAAATCCCACTTATCAATCTCTTCTTTCAGATTGTGCTTTTGATGTTGTATCTAAAAAGCCATACATCACACCAATAAACCTACCACTTAACAAGGATGCTGCTAATGTTTAGTTCCATTTCTATCTCACCCCTCACTTCATTCTGACTTCACCCTCCCAGTAACAAGCATCCCCATCTTGTGGTTACTTTTTACTTCTTTCAAAACTATAATCATATATGAATGATCCCTAAGCAACATAATGTTTAATCATGCTAATTTTCAAGATTTATAAAATATATATCATACCCAAGGTCACCAAGATTTTCTCCTATGTTATCTTCTAGGAGTTTTATAGTTTGTTACATTTAGGTAATGATCAAGTTCGAGTTAATCTTTGTGAAAAGTGTAAGTTAATCTTTGTGTAAGGTCTGTCTAGATTTATTTATTTAAAAGTAGATGCAGTTATTCCAGCACTATTTGTTGGAAAGACTATCCTTTCTCCATTGAATTGCTCTTGCTTTTTTGTCAAAGATCAATTGACTATATTTATGTGGGTCTATTCCAGGCCCCTTTATTCCATTCCACTGAGCTACTTGTCTATTCTTTTGCAAATTCTTTGCCAAGGCTTATATTGCTTTAAAGTCGGAAACTGTCAATTCCCTGACTTTGTTGTTCTTTATTATTTTTTTTATTATACTTTAAGTTCTAGGGTACTGGCGCACAATGTGCAGGTTTGTTACATATGTATACATGTGCCATGTTGGTGTGCTACACCCATTAACTCATCATTTACATTAGGTATATCTCCTAATGCTGTCCCTCCCTGCTGTCCCAACCCCACTACAGGCCCCGGTGTGTGATGATCCCCACCCTGTGTCCAAGTGTTCTCATTGTTCAGTTCCCACCTATGAGTGAGAACATGCAGTGTTTGGTTTTCTGTCCTTGTGATAGTTTGCTCAGAGTGATGGTTTCCAGCTCCATCCATGTTCCTACAAAGGACACGAACTCATCCTTTTTTATGGCTGCATAGTATTTCATGGTGTATATGTGCCACATTTTCTTAATCCAGTCTATCATTGATGGACATTTGGGTTGGTTCCAAGTCTTTGCTATTGTGA
This sequence comes from Homo sapiens, assembly GCF_000001405.40. Classification (NCBI taxonomy): domain Eukaryota; kingdom Metazoa; phylum Chordata; class Mammalia; order Primates; family Hominidae; genus Homo; species Homo sapiens. Next base: position 19,187,508 of record NC_000020.11, read on the forward strand.
ATAGTGCCGCAATAAACATATGTGTGCATGTGTCTTTATAGCAGCATGTTTTATAATCCTTTGGGTATATACCCTGTAATGGGATGGCTGGGTGAAATGGTATTTCTAGTTCTATATCCTTGAGGAATTGCCACACTGTCTTCCACAATGGTTGAACTAGTTTACACTCCCACCAACAGTGTAAAAGTGTTCCTATTTCTCCACATCCTCTCCAGCACCTGTTGTTTCCTGACTTTTTAATGATCGCCATTCTAACTGGTGTGAGATGGTATCTCATTGTGGTTTTGATTTGCATTCCTCTGATGACCAGTGATGATGAGCATTTTTTCATGTGTCCGTTGTCTGCATAAATGTCTTCTTTTGAGAAGTGTCTGATCATATCCTTTGCCCACTTTTTGATGGGGTTGTTTGCTTTTTTCTTGTAAATTTGTTTAAGTTCTTTGTAGATTCTGGATATTAGCCCTTTGTCGGATGAGTAGATTGTAAAAATTTTCTCCCATTCTGTAGGTTGCCTGTTCACTCTGATGGTAGTTTCTTTTGCTGTGCAGAAGCTCTTTAGTTTAATTAGATCCCATTTGTCTATTTTGGCTTTGGTTGCCAATGCTTTTGGTGTTTTAGTCATGAAGTCCTTGTCCATGCCTATGTCCTGAATGGTATTGCCTAGGTTTTCTTCTAGGGTTTTGATGGTTTTAGGTGTAACATGTAAGTCTTTAATCCATCTTGAATTAATTTTTGTACAAGGTGTAAGGAAGGGATCCAGTTTCAGCTTTCTACATATGGCTAGCCAGTTTTCCCAGCACCATTTATTAAATAGGGAATCCTTTCCCCATTTCTTGTTTTTGTCAGGTTTGTCAAAGATCAGATGGTTGTAGATGTGTGGTATTATTTCTGAGGGCTCTGTTCTGTTCCATTGGTCTGTATCTCTGTTCGGTACCAGTCCCATGCTGTTTTGGTTACTGTAGCCTTGTAGTATAGTTTGAAGTCAGGCAGCGTGATGCCTCCAGCTTTGTTCTCTGTGCTTAGGATTGTCTTGGCAATGCGGGCTCTTTTTTGGTTCCACATGAACTTTAAAGTAGTTTTTTCCAACTCTGTGAAGAAAGCCATTGGTAGCTTGATGGGGATGGCATTGAATCTGTAAATTACCTTGGGCAGTATGGCCATTTTCACAATATTGATTCTTCCTATCGTTGAGCATGGAATGTTCTTCCATTTGTTTGTGTCCTCTTTTATTTCGTTGAGCAGTGGTTTGTAGTTCTCCTTGAAGAGATCCTTCACATCCCTTGTAAGTTGGATTCCTAGACTTTGTTGTTCTTTAATATTGTTTTGGTTATTCTAGGTCTTTTGCCTCTCCAAAAAATTTTAGAATTTGATATGGTTTGGCTGTGTCCTGACCCAAATCTCATCTTGAATCGTAACTCCCACAATTCCCAAGTATTGTGGGAGGAACCCATTGAGAGGTAATTGAAAAATGGGGGCGGGTGTTTCTCATGCTGTTCTCATGTTATTGAATAAGTCTCAAAAGATCTGGTGCTTTTAAAAATGGGAGTTTTCCTCCACAATCTCTCTCTCTTTGCCTGCTGCCATCTATGTAAGACGTGACTTGCTCCTCCTTGCCTTCTGCCATGATTGTGAGGCCTCCCCAGCCATGAGGAATGTAAATCCATTAAACCTCTATCTTTTGGAATTGCCCAGTCTTGGGTATGTCTTTATCAGCAGCATGAAAATGGACCAATACAGAAATAATTTATATCAAAAATAACTTTTTGGGATTTAGATTTGTATTGCATTGAAATATAGATGAAGTTGGGAAGAGCTGACATCTTGAAACTGTTGAGTCTTTATGTTCATAAACAAGAAATATATCTCCATTTATTTATACTTCTTTGACCTTTTCAGAGTTTTGTAGTTTTCCTCATAAATTTCTTTTTTTTTTTTTTTTTTTTTTGAGACGGAGTCTCGCTCTGTCGCCCAGGCTGGAGTGCAGTGGCGCGATCTCGGCTCACTGCAAGCTCCGCCTCCTGGGTTCACGCCATTCTCCTGCCTCAGCCTCCCGAGTAGCTGGGACTACAGGCGCCCGCCACTACGCCCGGCTAATTTTTTGTATTTTTAGTAGAGACGGGGTTTCACCGTGTTAGCCAGGATGGTCTCGATCTCCTGACCTCATGATCCGCCCGCCTCGGCCTCCCAAAGTGCTGGGATTACAGGCGTGAGCCACCGCGCCCGGCCCCTCATAAATTTCTTATACATATTTTGTTAAGTTTTTATGTAAGTATTTTATTTTTTAACACTAATGTAAATAGTATTGTGTTTTAAATTTCAAATTCCAATTGTTCGTTGATGGTAAAGAGGAAAGCAATTGGCTTTTGAATATTTATCTCATATCCTGTAACTTTGCTGTAATTATCTATAAGTTCTGGGAGTTTTGGTTTGTTTATTTTTTGATCAATTTTTTGAATTTTCTGCATAGACCATTATATCATCACTGAAAAAAAATGTTTTATGTCTTATTTTTCAATCAGTATACCTTTTATTTCTTTTTCTTATTGCATTAGCTTTGATTTCAAGCATGGTGTTGAAATGATGAGAAGGGACATCTTTATTTTGTTCCTGATTTTAGTAAAAAAAAAAAGAGATTTTAGTTTCTCACCATTAAGTATGATTTTAGCTGTAGGTTTCTTATAGATGCTCCTTATCAAGTTGAAGAAGTTCTCTATCCCTAGTTTGCTGAGGGTTTTTATCATAAAAAAGTTAGATTTTGTCAAATGCTTTTTCTGTATCTATTTATATGATAATGTTATTTTTCTTCATTAACCTGTCAATGTGATGGCTTACATTAATTGATTTTCAAATGTTGAATCAGCCTTGCATACCCCCACTCGAGGTGGTGATAAATCCTGCTTGGTCTTCGTGTATAGTTTTTTTACACATTGTATTCAATCTGCTAATATTTTATTGAAAATTTTTGAATCCATGTTCATGAGAGATATTGGCCTGTATTTTTCTTTCCTCACTGTGTCTGTGGTTTAAGTATCAGTTTGCCTCATATAATGTATTAGAAAGTAATTTCTCTGCTTCTACCATATCAATGAAATTGTAGAGACTTGGTATAATTTATTACTTAAATATTTGGTAGAATTAACCAATGAACCCATCTAGGCCTGGTACTTTATGTTTTGAAAGGTTATTAATATTTGATTCAATTTCTTCAATACATGTAGGCATATTTAGATTATCTACCTTTCCTTGTGTGAATTGTGATAAACTGTGTCTTTAAAGAGATTGGTCCATGTTATCTATGTTGTCTAATTCACAGGCATATAGTTGTTCACACTATTTATTATTCTTTTAATGTCCATGGAATCTGTAGTGATGTCCCCTCTTTAATATCTGATATTAGTAATTTGTGTCTTCTCTTTTTTTCTTAATTAGATAGGCTAGAGGTTTATCAATTTCATCCATCTTTTAAAAGAACCAAATTTGAATTTCATTGATCTTCTCTATAGATTTCCTATTTTTAATTTTATTAATTTCGACATTAATTTTTATTATTTATTTTCTTATGTTTGGTTTGGATTAATTACTCTTATTTTTCAGTTTACTAAGGAAAACCTCACACTACTCATCTTAGATCTTTCTTCTTTTATAATAAATGCATTCAATGTTATAAATTTTCTTCTTAGCATTGCTTTTGCTATATCCCATAAATTTTGATATTTTATTTTTATTTAGTTCAAAATATTGTAAAATTTTTTTGAAATATCTTCTTTGATTTGTGTATATTTGGAAGTGCGTTATTTAATCTCCAAGTATTTGGGGGTTTTCCACATATCTTTCTGTTATTTATTCAAGTTTAATTCCATCGTAGTCTGAGAGCAGACATTGTATGATTTTCATTCTTTTGAATTTGTTAGGGCATATTCTATGGCCAAGAATGTGATCTGTTTTTGTGAATGTTTATGTGAACTTCAAAATAATGTGTATTCTTTTGCTGTTGAATGAAGTATTTGATACAGATGTCAATTATATCTCATTTTTTGAGTTTAACTGTGCCCTTGCTGAATTTCTACCTGCTCTATCTGTCCATTCTCATAGAGGGTTGTTGAAGTTGCCAACTACAATAATGGATTCATCTCTTTGTCCTTCAAGTTCTATCAATTTTTGCCTCATACATTTTGACACTCGGGTAAGTGCCTGCTCATTAAGGGTATTTATGTCTTCTTGGATAACTGATCTCTTTATCATTATGTAATACCCCTCTTTATCACTGATAAATTTTCCTTCTCTGCTACCTGATATACCTGAAATTAATATAGTTACTCTAGCTTTCTTTTGATTCATGCTAGCATGGTATATATTTCTCCATCCCATTACTTTTAACCTGTATTTTTCTTTATATTTAAAGTGGATTTCCTGTAGACACCATATCACTAGGTCTTGTTTTTTGATCCACTCTGACAATGTCTTTTAATTGGTTTATCTAGACCATTGACATCTGAAGTGATTATTGATATAGTTGGATTGATGTCTACCATATTTGTTACTGTTTTTTATTTATTACTCTTGTGATCTGTTTTAATTTTTTTCTTCCACTCTTTTTCTGGCTTTTTGTGGTTGTGTTTGAGCATTTTATGTAAATACATTTTCTCCTCATTCTTAGCGTATGAATTATATTTCTTTTTATTTTAGTGTTTGCCTTAGAGTTTGTAATGTACACTTACAATGAATCCAAGTCCACTTTCAAATAACACTATATTGCTTCATGGGCAGTGCAAGTACCCTATAATAACACAACGTTACTATTTTCTATCTCCTGTTCCTCATATCATTAATGTCATTTATTTCACTTGTCCATTATATATATATGCATATATATAAAAGTGTATATATATAAGCATATATATATAATATAAAGAGGGTTGCTGTTATTATTTTGAACAATTATTTTCTATTATATCAACTAAGAATAAGAAAATTAAAGTTTTCATTTTACCTTAACCAATTCTTCTTTGCTGCTTTCCCTTTCTTTATGTAGATCCAAGTTTCTGATCTATATCATTTTCCTTCTCTTTTACAGGTTTTCAACATTTCTTGCAAGGCAGGTCTACTTGCAACACATTCCTTCAGTTTTTGTTTGTCTGAGAAAGTCTTTACTTCTCTTTCACATTTAAAAGATAATTCCATAGGGTGCAGAAGTCTAGTTTGATGTTTTTTTTAACCAACACTTTTAATATTTCCCTCTACTCTCTTCTTGCTTGCATGGTTTCTGAGAAGCTTGATGTAATTCTTATCTTTGCTCCTGTATAGGTATCTCCCCACCCCCTGTTTTTTTTTTTCAAGATTTGTTCTTGAATATATTCTAGGTGTAGTTGTTTTGGCACTTAACCTGGGTAGTGTTCTTTGATCTTGCTAGATCTGTGGTTTGGTGTCTGACATTAATTTGGGGGAAATTTCCAGTCATTATTTTCTCCTCAAGATATTTGTATTCCTTTCTCTTTTTCTGATATTGTCATTTTAAGCTTGTTTACACCTTTTTTAGTTGTTCCACAGTTCTTGGATATTCTGTTCTATCTTTTTCCAGTGTTCTTTTTGCTTTTCATTTGTGATTTTCTACTGACATATCTTCAAGCTCAGAGATTCCTTCATCTGTGAGCTATGTCCAGTCTACTAATGAGCTTATCAAATTATCTCTAGCCTTTCACTTTGGATTGTTTATTAGAAGTTCTATCTCTCTGCTTACATTGCCCATCTGTCCTTACATGTTGTCTACTTTATCTGTTGGAACTCTTACCATATTAATTGTAGTCATTTTAAATTCATGGTTTGATAATCTCAACATCTCTGCCATATCTACATCTGGGTCCAATGCTTGCACTGTCTCTTCAAACCTCGTTTTTGTTTTGTTTTGTTTTGTTTTGTTTTAGTATGCCATCTAATTCTTTTTTCATACTTGGACATGATGTATTGGTTAAGTGGAACTGTAGTAATAGGCCTTCTGTGACGTGATGATAAGGTGTGAAGTGGAAGGAAAGCAATCTACGGTTTTATGATTAGGTCTCAGCACTATAGTGAGCCTATCCCTCTGACCTGTGAACTTCACAGAGCACCACAATTCTCCCCAACCTCTACACGTTTGCTGGGAACAAATATTTACAGTTAACCCGAGTTTGATATTTCCCTTCTGTCAGATCAGTTAGTCTGTTACAAAAACTCCATTATTTCAGGCTCTGGTAAAATAGTTTCCTTTGAAAGCAGGACTTGTTAAAAACAAAGTCCTCTGGCATATTTCGAAATGGTTATTTTCACCCTCTCCTATTAGAAGTATGAAAGGATTTTTCTCTGATACTCACCAAGAGAATCCGGTGGAGCATTTGAGAGGAGCATTTACAAAAGTGTAGCTGAGTGGGTTTCTATGACTACCCCATCCCAAAAGTGATTAACACTCAGATTTGTCCACTCTGAGTCTAGCAATTCCAGAAACTTGTCATTTACGGTTCAGGTTTTCCTCTCCTGGTAATGATTCCCTCGTAAATGTCTGCTCAGGGGTTTCCACTCTAACAAGTTGTGATTTTCTGTGTTTGCCTGTCTCCCTGATTTTAAGCACAGTAGTTTGCCTAGCTGTAATGGATCTAAGAGTTGTTGATTGTTCAATTGGTTCAGGTTTTTACTTGCTAAGACAGAGCAATGACTTCCAAGCTCTCTATATGCTGGACCACAAACTGGAAGTTCATTTCTATATGAATTTGAAGATCAGCTTGTTAGTATATGCAAAAGGGCACCTCGAATTTTATAAATATTACATTTAAACTGTAAATGAATTTAAAGAATATGGTATCTTAATTCCAATCCATAAATACAGGATGTCTTTTCACTTTTTAGGTTTCCTTTAGTTTCTTTCAATGATGTTTTATAGATTTCAGTGCACTTTTTTTTAAATTTATTCATAAATGTTTTATTCTTTTTGATAGTATTGTAACTGGAATGACTTTAATTTTATTTTCATTGAGAATATTTTCTTCTATTTGTACCTCTGTTGAGTATTTTTATCATGCAGCGTGTTGAGTTTAGTCAACTGCTTTTTTTGGCCTCACTAAAGGTGATCATGTGTTTTTTGCCCTTTATTGATATGCTGTTTCATTGGTTGATTTTTGTATGTTGAACTAACCTTGCATACCTGTGATAATTTCCGCTTGCTCACGGTGTTAAAACTATTTGTATGTGTTGCTGGATTCAGTCTGTAAATATTTTGTTGAGGACATTTTATCTATATTTAAAGGAATGTCAGTTTGTAGTTTTCTTTTCTTGTGATGTTATTGGTTTTGGAATCAGAAAAATGCTGGTCTTATAGAACGAGTTGGGAAGTATTCCTTTCTCTTCTAATTTTAGAAGGGTCTATGAAGGATTGGTGTTAATTCTTCCATTAACATTTGATATAACTCATTGGATAAGCCATCTAGTCCTGAGATTTTCTTTATGAGAAGTTTTTTCTTACTAATTTAATCTCTTGTTATAGGTATATTCAGATATGATCTTTCTTCTTGAGTCAGCTTTGGTAATTTGTACATCTCATGAATTTGTCCATTTCATCTAGGTTATCTAATTTTTTGTATATAATTTTTTATAATATTATCTTATAATTCTTATTTTTATAATTACTAAAATTTCTAACTTGAGTCTTCCGTCTTATTTTCTGGGTCAGTCTCACTAGAGATTTGTTAGTTTTGTTGATCTTTTCAAAGACTCAACTTTTGGTCTCATTGATTTCTTTCATTTTTTTTCTCCCTATTCTCTGTTTCACTATTTTTACTCCAATCTTTATTCTTTCCCCCCTTTGCTAGCTTTTTGGTGTACTTTGCTCTTCTTTTTCTAGCTTACTAAAGTGGAAGATTAGGTTGTTTATTTGATTTTTTTAAAATAGGTATTTATAGATGTCATTTTTCTCAAAGCACTGCCTTTTTTTTTTTTTTTTTGGTTCTGTGGGGACAAAGTGCCTGAAGTTTACCTCTATACACAGCAGAATGTGGGTTCAGTTTCATAGCAGCAATAATTGGTTGGGAAAGGCTTTGCAGCTTTCTATGAAGGCAAGTCACATGGGATTTTATTTATTTATTTATTTATAAAAACAGAAATGTATTTCCACAGTTCTGGAGGCTAAACATACAAGATCAGGGTGCTATGCATGGTTGTGTTCTGGTGAGGACCTCTTCTAGGTTGCAGATTGCTGTTTTCTTTTTGTATCCTCACACAGCAGAAAGAGGAGGTAAGAGCTCTCTGGGGTCTCTTTTACAAGGGTTCTAATCCCATTCATGAGGACTCCATCCTCAAGATTTACTTACCTCTCAAAGACTCCACCTCCTAATACTATCAATTGGGAATTAGGATTTCAGCATAAGAATTTGGGGGGAACACAAACATTCAGTTCCTAACAGATTTTTTTAATGTAATTTATGTAATCATTTTCTTACTTTTAGGCATTTAGATTGTTTTCTACCTCTGCAGTAAATAATACTATAGTAGTGAGCATTAAAAATATATAAACCTGTGTCATTTTTTCCCCTATATATTTCCTTAGGCTTTATGAATGACTAAGTCAAAAAGTGCAGGTATTTTTAGGTTCTGAATATACAGCTTTCCTGAAAGATTGTACTGCTTCACACTCATATCAATTTTCTCACTATACTCTTGCCACCATTTAGAATAACCTTTTTTATTTCTTTTAGTCTTATTAACTTGGTAAAATAATTATGTCTCATTGCTTTACTTTTCATTTATTTGACTATAATGAAACTTTTAAAAAGGAAAATGATAGCATGTTTCTAATGGATAGTGTGTTCAAATATTGACAGTTTGTAAATATTATTCACAAAGATGCGTCTGACTCCTTTGTCTAAGATTTGGGGCCAAATCTGTAGGTGGTGGTCATGTGAATTCTGGGAATGCAATGTGTTTTTTTAAAGGGACTTCTTTCTAGTGTATTGTCTTTAGAAGCATCTTTTGAAATTTTTTTGAAGCTCCCCTTTTTTTCACAGGTTCTCGAACCTTGAGACAGTAAATCAGTATTATAATCACAGCTAACGTTTACTGAGTACTTACAATTATTTGCTAGGTGTCTTGCCAAGCACTCTACTTGTATTAGCTCACTTAATGTTCATAACCACCCTATAAGATGTACAAAGCTTTTATTTACATTTTACAAATGGGGATTCTTGAGTACATAGAGATTAAGATATTTGGTCAAAGTTACAAAGTTAGTAAGCAGCAGTACCTGGATCTGTACTCAGACATTCCGGCTCTAAAGCCATACTCTTAGGTACTCTGATTCCTGGCAAGATTACTGACTTTGGGATGGTTTTCTTCTAAACATGTAATCTGGTTTAAATTTTTTAAAAAATTTTAGATTCAAGGGGTACATGTACAGGTTTATTATGTGGATATACTGCATGATGCTGAGGTTTGGGTTTCAATTGAAACTTTCACCCAGGTAGTGAGCATAGTACCCAATTGGTAGTTTTTCAACTCTTTCTCACCTCCATCTGTCCCCCTTTTGGAGTACCCAAAAGGACTGTCTATTTGGAGTGTCTATTTTTCCCATCCTTATGTCCACGTGCACCCAATGTTTAGCTCCCACTTATAAGTCAGAACATGTAGTGTTTGGTTTTCTATTTCTACATTAATTCACTTAGGATAATGGCCTCCAGTTTCATCCATGTTGCTGCAAAAGACAGGATTTTGTTGTTTTTTTATGGCTGCATAGTATTCCATGCTGTATATGTACTACATTTTCTTTATTCAGTCCACTATTGATGTGCACCTAGATTGATTCCATGTCTTTGCTATTATATGGTGCTACAATAAACATGGAAGTGTAGACATCTTTTCGATAGAATGATTTATTATCCTTCGGGTATATACTGAGTAATGGAATTGCTGGATAGAATACTAATTCTATTTATAGTTCTTTGAGAAATCTCCAAACTGCTTTCCATAGTGGCTAAACTAATTTACAATCCCACCAACAATATGTAGGCATTTCCTTTTCTCTGCAACCTTGCTAATGTCTGTGACTTTCTTTTTTTCTTTTTTTCTTTTTTAAGATGGAGTCTCACTCTGTCAGCCAGCTGGAGTGCAGTGGCGTGATCTCAGCTCACTGCAACCTCTGCCTTCTGGTTCAAGCGATTCTCCTGCCTCAGCCTCCTGAGTAGCTGGAACTATTGGTGCCTGCAACCACACCCAGCTAATTTTTGTATTTTCAATAGAGATGGGGTTTTACCATGTTGGCCAGGATGGTCTCAATCTCCTGACATCATGATCCACCCACCTCGGCCTCTGAAAGTGTTGGGATTACAGGCGTGAGGCAGCAGGCCTGGCCTTGACATTTTAATAATAGTCATTCTGACTAGTGTGAGATGGTATCTCATTGTGATTTTGATTTGCATTTCTCTGATGTTTAGTGATACCGAACACTTTTTTTTATGTTTGTTGGCCACTTGTATGTGTTTTTTTGAGAAGTGTATATTTATGTCCTTTGCATACTTTTTAATGGGGCTGCTTGTTTTTTTTCTTGTTGAATTGTTTGAGCTTCTTATAAATTCAGGATATTTGTACCTTGTTGGATGCATAGTTTGCAAATATTTTCTCCCATTCCGTAGGTTGTCTGTTTGCTCTGTTGATAGTTTCTTTTGCTGTGCAGTAGGTCTTTAGTTTAATTAGTTACCAATTTTCACTTTTTGTTTTTGTTGCAATTGCTTTTGAAGACTTAATTCTTAATTCTTTGTCAAGGCCAATGTCCAGAAGAGTATTTCCTAGGTTTTTGCTTATGGTAAGAGATAGAGGTTCAGTTTCACTCTTCTGCATATAGCTAGCCAGTTTTCCTAGCACCATTTATTCAATAAGGTATCCTTTTCCCACAGTTTCTTTTTGTCAACTCTGTCAAAGATTAGTTGGTTGTAGGTATATAGCTTTATATTTGGGTTCTATTTTTCTACCAGTACCAAGCTGTTTTGGTTACTGTGGCTTTGTAGTACAGTTTGAAGTCAGGTAATGTAATCTAGCTTCTGTTTTTGTTCTTTTTCTTAGGATTGCTTTGGCTATTTGGGCTCTTTTTTGGTTCCATATGAATTTTAGAATAGTTTTTTCTAAACTTATGATTTTAATTTTAGAAAAATTAAATTTATAAATTAATTTTCTAAAATTAATTATGTGAAAAATGATGTTGATAATTTGATAGGAATTGCACTAAATCTGCAGATCATGTTGGGTAGCATGGACATTTTGATGATATTTCTTCTTCCAATTTATGAGCATGGAATGTTTTTCCATTTGTTTGTAATTTCTTTCAGCAGTGTTTTATAGTTCTCTTTGCAGAGATCTTTCACATGCTAGGTTAGGTGTATTCTTAGGTATTTTATTTTATTTTGTGGCTATTGTAAATGGGATTGTATTCTTGATTTAGTTCTCAGCTTGAACATTATTGGTGTATAGAAATGCTACTAATTTTTGTACCTTGATTGTATACCCTGATACTTTACTGAAGTTGTTTGTCAGCTCTAGGAGTTATTTGGTGAAATGTTTCAGGTTTTCTAGATATAGAATCACATTGTCGGTCAAGAGAGAAAATCTGACTTCTTTTTTCCTATTTGACAAACTTTTATTTTTTTCTCTTGTCTGATTGCTCTGGCTGAAGCTCCCAGTACTATGTCGAATAGGAGTGATGAAAGTGAACATCTTTGTCTTGTTCCAGTTATTAGGGGAATGTTTCCATCTTTTGCTCATTCAGTATAATGTTGACTGTGGATTTGTCATAGATGGCTCTTGTTATTTTGAATTGTGTTCCTTTGATGCCCAGTTTGTTAAGCGTTTTTAACATGTGGGGATTTGGGACTTTATTGAATGCTTTTTCTATGTCTATTGAGATGACCATATATTTTTTGCTTTTAATTCTGTTTATGTGGTTAATCAATTTATTGATTTGCATATGTTGAACCATCCTTGTATCTCATTAATAAAGCCCAATTGATAGTGATGGATTATCTTTTTGAAGTACTACTGGATTTGGTTTGCTAGCATTTTGTTGAGGATTTTTGCATCTATGTTAATTGGGGATATTGGCTTATAGTTTTATTTTGTTGTTGTATTTGCTAGATTTTGATATCAGGATGATACTGGTTTTATAGAACGAGTCAAGAAGGAATCTCTTCTCTATTTTTCAGAATAGTTTCAGCAGGATTGGTACCATCTCTTCTTTGTACATCTGATAGAATTAAGCTGTGAATCCATCTGTTGAAGGTCTTTTTTGGTTGGTAAGTTTTTATATTGCTGATTCAATTTCATAGTTTATTATTGGTATGTTCAGGATTTCAATTTCCTTCTGGTTCAATCTTGGGAGGTTGTGTGTTTCCAGGAATTTGTCCATTTTATCTAAATTTTCCAGTTTGTGTGCATAGAGATGGTTGCAGGATCTTTTGTCACTGAGGATCTTTTGTATTTCTGTGGGATTGGTTGTAATGTCACCTTTGTCATTTCTGATTGGCTTATTTAGATCTCTCTTTTTTCTTTGTCAATCTAGCTAGTGGTCTATCAATCTTGTTTCTCTTTCAAAAAACAATTTTTCATTTTGTTGATCCTTTGTATGTTTTGGGGGGGCCTCAATTTTGTTTAGTTCTGCTGTTATTTTAGTAATTTCTTTTCTTCTGCTAAGTTTGGATTCAGTTCTTGTTTTTTTTTTTTTTTTTTAGTTCCTTTAGGTGTAACATTAGGTTGTTAATTTGAGATCTTTATATCTTCTTGATATACGTGTTTATCGCTATATGCTATAAACTTTTCTCCTAACACTGTTTTTGCTGCATCTCAGAGGTTTTGATACATTTTGCCTCTATTTAAATTTGTTTCAAATACTTTTCTGTCTTATATTTTTGTTTACCCAAAAGTCATTCAGAAGCAATTTGTTTAGTTTCCATGTACTTGTATAGTTTGGAGAGTTCCTCTTGATATTGATTTCTAATTCTGTTCAACTGCAGTCTGAGCTGGTATAATTACATTTTTTTTTAATTTGTAGAGACTTGCTTTAGGACCAAGCATATAGTCAATCTTAGAGTATGTTCTGTGTCTGAGCACTGTTTAAGTTACATCTCATACATTTTGATTTGTTGCATTTGTTTGTATTTTCATCTCAACATATTTTTTAAATTTTTTTTCTGATTTCTTCTTTGGCCCATTTATTTATCAGTGTTTAATTTTCATGGATTTGTGAATTTCCCTCATTTTCCTTCTGATATTGATTCCTAGTGTCAGTCTATTCTGGTTGGAGAATGTGTTTAGCATTATTTCAATCTTTTTCTTTTTGTGTGTGTGTGTCTTTTGTTTTTCTGGAGGATGTCTAATATATGGTCTGGCCTGTGGAATGTTTCATGTACACTTTTGAAGAATATATTTTTTCTGCCATTCTTGGGTAGACTCTTCTATAGATGTCTACTAGGTAGAGTTTGTTTATAGTGTCGTTAAAGTATTAAAGTAATTTATTTCCTTGTTGATCTTCATCCTAGTTGTTCTATCCATTATTGAAAGTAGGCTATAAGGGTCTCCAACTATTATTTTTGACCATTTCTCTATTCAATCCCATGAGCTTTTGCTTCATGTATTTTGAAACTCTCTTGTTAGGCACATATATGTTTGGAATAATTATATTTTCTTGATGGATCGACACTTTTATCATTATAAAATGTCCTTTGTCTTTAGTAATAACTCTTTTTTTTTTTTTTTTTTTTAGACGGAGTCTCGCTCTGTCGCCCAGGCCAGACTGCGGACTGCAGTGGCGCAATCTCGGCTCACTGCAAGCTCCGCTTCCCGGGTTCACGCCATTCTCCTGCCTCAGCCTCCCGAGTAGCTGGGACTACAGGCGCCCGCCACCGCGCCCGGCTAATTTTTTGTATTTTTAGTAGAGACGGGGTTTCACCTTGTTAGCCAGGATGGTCTCGATCTCCTGACCTCATGATCCACCCGCCTCGGCCTCCCAAAGTGCTGGGATTACAGGCGTGAGCCACCGCGCCCGGCCCTTTAGTAATAACTCTTAAAGTCTGTTTGATTGATGTTTTTTAAGCCACTCAGGTCTCTCTTGGTTACTGTTTGCATGGTTCATTGTTTCCCATCTTTTCACTCTCTGCTTATTTATGTCTTTTAACCTAAAGTGTGGCCCTTGTAGATAGTATATACTGGAATCTTACATTTTTGTTTATCCATTCTGCAAATCTCTGCATTTGGCTTGAAGTTTTAAATCAATTCCCATATAATGTAAGTATTGATAAGGTAGGATTTACAGTTGCCATTTGTTATTTGTCTTCTATATGTTTTATGTCATTTTTGGTCCTCTATTTTTCCATTGTTAGTTTATTTTGTGTTAAGTAGAAATTTTCATAGCATATCATTTTAATTCTATTGTCATTTATTTTACTAGTTTTTAAAGTTACTTTAAACTGGGGATCACAAAGAACATCTTACCACTGTATTTCCAACCTTAATTATAAGAGTGTACACAAATTTTACTCTGACATAACTCCATTTCCTTTCCCTCTTCTATGCTGTTATTGTCATCAAGATTACATCTTTATACATAGTATACCCATCAGCACAGATTTGTAATTATAGCTTCACGCAATAGTCTTTAAAATTAGATAGTATAAAAAGTTGCAAATAAAAATATAATTACATTAATTTATATTTATCCATGTAGTTACCTTTACCAGTGTTATTTATTTCTTCATGTAGATTTGAGTTGCTCTCTAGTGTCCAGTCATTTCAGGCCGAAGGACTCCCTTCAGTATATCTTTATTTAAAAAATGGATTTTATTGTGTATATTTGAGGTTTACAACATGATGTATGGGTTACATATAAATAGTAAAAAGCTTACTATAGTGAAGCAAATTAACATATATATCAACTCATGTAGTTACTTTTTATTGTAACAAGAGCGGCTAAAAATCTACTTATTTAACAAAAATCCCAAATACAATGCAATTTTATTAATGATAGTTCTCATGTTGGACATGAAATCTGACTTGTTTATCCCACATATCTGCTACTTTGTATCCTTCGACCTATATCTTCTCATTTCCTCCCCTCTTTGACCAGTAAATAATTGTTTTACTCCCTATCTCTGTATATTTAAATTTTTAAGAAGATTCCACATGTAAGTGAGATCATGCGATATGTTTCTTTCTGTGTTTGGCTAATTTCACTTAGCCAAATGTCCTCCAGATTCACCTACATTGTGGCAAATAGCAGGAGCCCTCTTTTTAATGCTGAATGATATTCCTGTGTGTGTGTGTGTCTTTGTGTTGACAAGACAGGTTTGTTTATCTATTCATCTGTTGACGAGTCTGCAAGTTCTGCTTTCAAAAAATATGGAAATGTCTAATATCTTCTTTAATTTTGAAGAATAGCTTTACTGGTGCAGAATTCTTGGTTGATGGTTCTTTTCTTTCAGCACTGTGAACACGTCATTTCACTGCCTTCTAAATTTCATGGTTTCTGATGAGAAGTCAGCTGTTAACACTATTAAGCCTCCATTGTATATAAAGAATCTCTTAATTATTGCTGCTTTCAATATTCTCTCTGTATTTCAACACTTTGATTTAAATGTGTCTAGATATGGATCTCTTTATATTACTTGAAGTTTACTGGGCTTCTTGGGTGCATAATGTTTTAATCAAAGTTGGGACGTTTGGGGGCTTTATATCTTTAAATATTCTTCCCAGTTATTTCTCTGTTCTCCATTTGAGGCTCCTATGATACATATGTTGCATCACACGTATGAGGCTCTATTCATTTTTATTCATTCTCTTTTCTTTTTCTTTTTCAAACTACACAGTCTCAATTGATCTGTCTTCAAATTTGCTGATATTTTCTTCCGCCTGCTCAGATCTGCTGCTGAAAACCTCCAGTGAATTTCTTATTTCAGTTATTGCACTCATCAACTTCAGAATTTCTATTTGTCTTATTTTTAAAAGCAGTTTCTATCTCTTTATTGAAAGTTTCTATTTTGTAAGACATTTAAAGACATGGTTTCTTTAATTCTTCAAACATATTTAAAATAGTTGATTTAAAATCTTTGTCTAGACTACACATTGGGTACAGTGTACACTGCTCAGGTGATGGGTAACCAAAATCTCAGAAAACACCACTTAAAAACTTATTCATGTAACCAAACACTACCTGTTCCCCAAAAACCTACTGAAATAAAAAAAATAAAAGTAAAGTATTTGTCTAGTGTGTCCAATATCTGGGCTTCCTCAGACACTGTATGTTAACTTCTGGTAGTTGTTGTTATGGGTTATACTTTCTTGTTTCTTTACATGTCTAAAAATTTTTAATTGACAACTGAACATCTCCAGTAACATAACATGACAAGTCTGAAAATCATATTCTTCCTCTTCCTTAGGGTTTGCTGTTGTTGCTATTAATACAACCTGGGCCAGGCATGGTGGCTCATGCCTATAATCCCAGCACTTTGGGAGGCTGATGCAGGAGTATTGCTTGAGGCCAGGAGTTCAAGATCAGCCTAGCAAGATCCTGTCTCTACAAAGAATGAAAAAAGAAAATACAACCTGTAGAGGGGCCCTTCTGTTTTCCTCTCCCCATTCCTCGTTGTTCATTGTTTGAGCACAGCTCTCTTTTCTAGTTGTCATTCAATGCTTCAGAAAAATGGCAAATAACTATTTACATGACAGTTGAATACCGCAGTAATCATTGTTGCAGATAAGATTCATCAATGGATGTTAAAATTAGCGGGTGAAATTTTGAAGAGAAACAAAATTTGCATAGCTTCAAAGTACCTTTCCCAAAATATTAACTCCATGTTATCAAGGTTAGCACGAATAATAAGACATATTGACATCAGAAATCCCATGGTATGAGGCAATGAGAAGGACATGGCATAATTCCATTACCATGATGCATAACCTCATCCAGATAATGAGAACATATTAGACAAAACTAAATTGAGGGGCATTTGTGAAATAAATCATTCGTACTCAAAAGTGTCAAAGTCATGAAAGTAAGGAAAGACTGGGGAAAAATTTATGAAACTTGAATAAGTTCTGTAGTTTATTTAGTACTATTGTTGCTACGTTAATTTGTAGCTCTCGTTATTTTACCATCCATACACAAAGTGATAACATTAGGATGAGATCCATGAAGGGCCTCTTGGGATTCTCTGTACTATTTTTATGACTTCTGTAAGGCCAAAATTAGCTCAAAATAAAAAGTTAAACAAAAATGGTTGTACCCAAGGCGGGAGGACCACTTCAGGTCGGGAGTTCTAGATCAGCCTGGCCAACATAGTGAAACTGCATCTCTACTAAAAATACAAAAATTAGCCAGACGTGGTGGCACATGCCCTTAGTCTCAGCTACTTGGGAGACTGAGGCAGGGGAATGGCTTGAATCTAGGAGGCGGAGGTTGCAGTGAGCCAAGATTGTGCCACTTCACTCCAACCTGGGCAACAGAGCAAGGCTCTGTCTCAAAAAAAAAAAAAAAGTTATATCTACTTTTTAGCATCTCAAAGGAATAATTTTTATTCGTTTAATAATTTTTGTCATCTTACTCAAAAACTTGATATTTTTGGACATGGTATTTTAATGAGAACATGACTAATGCCGACTATGGGTAGGAACACTTTGAAAAAATAAAAATGATTTCACCAAGATATGCTCAAATTCTCATGATACTTATTCATCAGAGTTTAAGTTATACCCTGTTTTGTGTTTAAAATGCATTATGCACTGGTGTTGTTGAACTAACATAGTTTACAATGATGTGGGATTTAACGTCGAAATTTTTCTTTTCAATATTATATGGAATAGGGTGTGTTGCTATTCTCAGCTAAATGTTTGATGCTGTAGCTGGAATTCTTATTCCTTGGAGACTTTAGAAGCTATTGCTTGTAGACTACTTTAAATGCTTAAACGTTGGGAATTTGGTTCTTGTGGTTTTCCATATTTAAGAGGTGTTTAAAAGCAAATGAAACGTGGAAAGTTGAAAAAATGAAAAGGTATGTGTAATCGTGAGTGCTGTAACATATAGTTAGCTATGAATACGGGTAGTTATGAATTCCTAGTCATCTCATCTATGAGGAAATATCAACCAAATCTATGCTTTTCAATCTGTGCATTTTGTTAAAATGCAAGTTCTAATGCAGTGGTCCCAGGAGTCTACCTTTCTAACTAACTCCCAGGTCATGCCACCAACTCCTAGTGCCTGCTGGTCCAGGGACAACATTTGGAGTACCAAGAACTTAAATGATTGGAAAGAAAATGCTATGCATGAGTCCTGTCTATTTCTGGCATAAACTTTCAAAGAAAGGGACTTAATTTTTAAAAAGTGAAATATTTAAGTACCTAAAGGAACTCTTTGAGAAACTCTTGCCAGTGAAACAAACTCGGGAGACAGGAAGAGCTGCATGCGACACACCAGTCATCTTAATGTCACATGTCACCTGACTGGAAATGTGGAAAGAAATGAGGCTGTGAAGTCAAAGATTAAGCTGAACCAGTCAAGGGCAGGTAGGAAACACATCTCAGGCACACAGAAATCCCCCAGCAGGAGAATTACCGCTGCCACCAGGGGGCGCACCGCCACAGCGATCCTAGGAAGAGCATCTGGACCCAATCATTCTGCAGTTCTGGGGCTGGAAACCTGGGCGATGAACTGAGATGAGGAGATGGACACAGCACTGTATAACGTGAGACCATCCCATTAGCCTCAGGTCTCTCTGAGGATGACGACTTGGTGATGGGTCATGTGTTTACCACTCAAGTTTTTGCACTGGACAGCTGAGCTGGGCTTGAAGTGGATTCCGCAGTCAGATTTGAGGCCCTGGGCAAGAGGGGTTTGCTGTGATTATCCCCATCAGAATAACACAGGGCTGTCTAAAGTACAAAGAGCCAACTGACTTTGGCATCTCTCTCATCTGAATGTTTTGTATTTTCAAAATGCTTCATTGCCGCAAAGCACCCTTCTGTGGAAAGGTTGGCATCATCTTTTACCATTGAGGAAACTGAGGCACAGGGGAGGAATGGACTATACTTTAGATCTGTGGCCAAATCAGAATCAGAATTCCAGCTTCTTGCTCCAGCCGTAGCAGACCACCTGGCTGGGCTGCCTTTCCCCTGTCATCTCAGGGCTCCTCCGAATGAGCCTCGGGCACAGAGCTGCCAGCCATGGCAGGGAGGAGCAGCTCCTTGGAAGCCAGGCCTGGAGGCCCAGCCTAGCCTCATGCTCAACCCTGCCAAAGTCAAACCATTTCAATTCCTTTCATTTAAGTCAACTTGCCTTAACTGCTTACACATGAGCAGATTCTTTTAATTTTTCTTTATTTTTTTAATTAATAAAATTGGACATACTGATGGAAGAAAAATAATTTTAAAGCTATGGAAGAGTATAAAATAAAAAGTGAAAGTCCCTCTACATTCTCTGATCCCCAACCCCAAATCCTGTAATCCCACATCCCAAAGTAATCAGAGATAGAGAGAGAGAGATGATTTTGCTTAACTTTACAAAAATGGGATTATACAATTCATAGTGTAGCTTCTTTTTTTTTCCACTTAAGATGTACTGCATATCATGGTCTACCAGGATGAAGTTTTGAAATTTCAAAATGCTAAAACATTTTTTAGATCTATTGTCTTGATTTAAAATATAGGATACCTAAGCCTAATATTTGTATATTAACAAAAATAAGCCCTCAGGGCTCTCCCCAGGCTCCTCTGCCACACTCAGCACCTTGTCTGCCCAAGTTTACGAGGGCAAAATTAAATTAGTGGCATGTATGTGTTTTCTTTCTGAATGATCCTGACAGAATGAACAAATTCCTCAAATTGTGAATACTTAATGTTTGTCCTCTGTGGATTTAAAATTTTAATCTCTTTATTATTTATGTGGTTCTGAATTATTTCTTACAGGAGTCTTTAAGAAACATAGTACTCAAGTGAAAAATGAAATACATATAGACATAGCTACAGGTTGTGTTTTCATACTCTGTCTTTATTTCTTCCAAACACCCCAAACAAGTCAATTTAAAATATCAACAAATAGGTGCTGGGCGGTATATTTTTTGCTTTTTAGACTTGCCCTCCAGGATTTACCAAAAAATACATGCCAAGCTGTCCCTTTCTCTGAAACAGCAGGTCTCAAATCTTAATATGAAAGGATACCTGGGACCTTGTAAATAGGGCAGATTGTTGGGCTTCCTGAGTCCCACATCCTCAGGATAGGTTGGGAATGCACCTTACTAACAAGCTCCCACATACTTTTTCTGCCCAGCAGAAAGGAATTTGATTGACAGGATCCTCCATGAGTTTGTCATGGCCTGGGTGTGACTCTTTCCTGATGGAACCTATTCTACTTTCCTCTCATTTAGAGAAAAAGGAAATGGGTTGTACTGACTTTTGCCATTAAAAGCTGCCTCAAGGTCTAACGCACATTGCAGGAATTTTTCTGTGCTTGTCTTTGACAGCTTGGCCCCCTGAAGTTTCCCAGTGGACCTGTTGTCCTGCAGTTTCCCTTGGGCTCCTCCTTATGTAGTGTAGCTGGTTTGAGAAGCAGCTGATGACTGTTTCAATTTCAACTGAAGTTCCTTACAAAACTAGCCAATCTGGGAGGTCATTTGTCTCTGATCCAGATGTAGTGGTTTGATTATTCTTGGCTTATACTAAAGTTGGAAGGGAACTGAAGCATCAGGTGAAAACCACCTACACCTTCACAGTGTGAAAAAGAACAAATCACAGCTATGCACACCACAATGGACAGACATCACAAAAACGAAGATGGGCAAAAGGAGCCTCCCTTTATCTGAGGTTCAAGGACAGGCAACAATGATCTAGGGTACAGGGTTGGGAAGAGGCACTATCTCTGGGGAATTATTGCCTGGTGAGGGGCTGGCACAGGGAGACTTTCAGGGAGAGCAGGAAATGTTCCATGTCTTGGTCTGGAACCTGTGAGGATGTATACGTATATACAGAGTCATTGAGTTAATGCTTAAGCTGTGTGCGTTTTGCCTCATGTATGTTATACTTCAACACATTTTCTTTTTTTTTTTTTTTTCTTCTGAGACAGAGTCTCGCTCTGCCACCCAGGCTGGAGTGCAGTGTCGTGATCTCGGCTCACTGCAACCTCCACCTTCCGGGTTCAAGAGAGTCTCCTGCCTTAGCCTCCTGAGTAGCTGGGATTACAGGCATGCGCCACCCTGCCTGGCTAATTTTTGTATTTTTAGTAGAGACGGAGTTTCACCATGTTGGCCAGGTTGGCCTCGAACTTCTGACCTCAGATGATCCACCTGCTTCAGCCTCCTAAAGTGTTGGGATTACAGGCGTGAGCCACCGTGCCCAGCCAACAAATTTTTTTTAAAGGCAATTGTGAATCTGACCATGGTCAACTAGGAAAAAAAAATCTATAGTCATATTCATGTGGTGAGTTAAAAACCAAACAAATGCACACAGTTCAGCAAAAAGAATATTCAAAATTAAAAACTCTTATAAAATAAGCAGTCTATTTGAACTCCAGTCATAAACTGATCACCAAAAATAACGTGAGCCCACCTTGCAGACACAATGCTCTCAAAAGAGTAATTTTTTTTTTTTTGTCCTTCAAAATACAGCCGGCTCAGAAAGTGTCTGAAGAAGCAGTTTTCCTGGCTTTTTGATAAAGACGGTGGACAAGAATGGGCGTGAGAAGAAATAGTTGTTAGGTCTTCCTTAGTAAGGATGGGCTTTTGTCCAAGTCTATGTGACTGTGCAGGTGCAGGGGTTTTGTCTGGAGGTGATCAGTGCTATCAGTCTAATGTCTTCCTGGGCTACATTTGAGTGAGGCAATGACAGGAAGCCTGGCCCTTCAAGTCCTAGGCAAGAAGGGGATGCTGCATACAAGGCCTGTTCTAGGCATACTCCATGAATTTCTCCCTTTTATCCCCCATCTACTAACATTTGGTCTCACTGTGCTTAAAGGTTTTCCATGAACACCCAGGGGTCTTTCCCCTCTGAGCTTGGGCCAGGTCTCCTTGTGTTATGAAACAGCCATGGTGAGAAAGCTGATGTCTCTTTACCAAGAAAGTGCCTTTTCTGGTTTTCTCTTCCTCTCTCCTCCTCTCTTCTAAATCAATGGCTTGCCTGCCACACCTGGGAATGTTTGGTGTTGTGGAGACATAACCTTGCTTTGTCCTGGAAACTACTCCATGAGGTCTGTGAGCTGTGGTCAGCAGGAGGCTGGAGAGCTGGAAATATCACAGGAGGGCACCGAGCTGCACCTAGTTTGGCCACAGACGAGGTCCCTTTCACTGGCTGGTGGATGATCTGGCCTGGGCTGAGAGTTAGTGAATATAGTCACGGGAGGCTTTCTATTCTTTGTCCTAAAGGTAGAACTGTGAGAAAGACTAACCAACTTTATTCACCACATCAGGTCCAAAGTCTCTGCAGGGACCTGAAAACAGAATGTTTATGGAAGGTCAAAACAGGGGGAGTAGACAGTGACCCCAGAACCCAGCCCAAGGTGGGGAGGTGCTCTGTAAAGACACCTGTCTTATTCCTGAAAGGGTGAAGACCCCCACACATCTAGGAGTGATGCCTCTCTCTCCAGGAAAGAAATACTCTCAGACTGAAGTATCAGAGCACATTCTTCATTTCAACTCTTGCTCCTTTCACAGTTCGGTTTCTGGAGGGAGCTTCCAAAGACTGAAAGGGACAGGTAGGAAAAAAAATGACTGTTTTCTTTGGAGAGGAGCTCCTGAGGCCTGTCTCACTTGGCCATCACCTGGGGGGCTGAGGAACCTATCAGGTCTCAGTTGCTGTCAGCCTAGGGACCAGGATCCCCACCTTTCTTCCCTAGGTGGTGCCTGGCCGCCCAAGGAATCACTCTCTGTGCTTTACTTTAACAGTGCCCTTCACTCCAAAATCTGTCAAAATGAATAGAAACCCAAGAATCATTTCTGTGTGCCACAGGAGTGCTCTCCCCCGGCCCCCCCGCCCCACCCCGCCACACACACACACATACACTCCTGGTGCTGAGATAATTTCCAAGAAATTACCAGTTCCTGGTTATTCTCCTTCCTCCTGGCTCCCTTCCTAACTCCCCCTCCATCACCAGATTACACAATTCCTTGAGCCTATGGTATTTTCCCCTGGAGCTTGTGTTCATTTCCTAACTCAATTAATTCCAGATTCCCTCTCTCACCTTCTATTTTCCCTCGTTTTCACTAGAAAACACTATTTGAGTGACTTTCCTGGTTAGTTGAATTCTTCTCAGCTCCTAAACTTTCTTTTCTGTGTCTGCAAAAGCTTGATGGAGATAACACAACTAGAGAATTCTCCCCACACACTCCAGCACGGATGAACTCGTATTTTTACACCCTCCTTAGTATCTGCAGCCAAAGCAAAGGGAAAACCACTCAGGCATTGTGGGGGAGGTACTCTGAGTGTCTGGAAGATGCCAGGCTGAGAACAGCAGTCATAAATGATATACCCACAAAGGAAAAGTCTCTGGTCTCCCTGGGTGAGATGGCCTTTCTCTGGAAAGGAGGCCACCTATAACCACTTCCTTTGCCCTTTGCTGTGACCTTGCTGTCCCCGGGCGCTGTCAGGGATTGTCTGGGAGGAGGTCGGGGGGGGTAGGTCAGTCACAGGTGGGGACACATTTGAACAGACCTAGACAGGGGAGCCTTATACAGAGGTTCTCTGCTTCCTTCCCACCTCCTTAGGGTATGAAGCTAGATTCCCTGATCTGAATGGATTCCATGGAGACAGTCACCTAGACAGACACCTGGTTTCAGGTGATCCCTTTCTGGACAAGGTCTTTTGTTTTCAGCGCCCCCCCACCCTCCGCCCCAACAATGGCATCTCCTCCTCAGCCCAGCCAGCAGCCCCAGGCTAGCATCTGGGAAGAGTCCAGGGAAGCCCAATGAGGGAGAGTGGGCTGTGTCTGGGATGGCCAGGGATCCCCTCCAAATGGGCACCTGCGGCAGGTCGTGAGTCCAGCCATCTCTAGGGCAGCCCACACCTTCAGCAAGGAGGGGCAGGAGACCTAGAATGGGGGAAATGGGAGGACTAAGATTCTAACGTTGGAGGTAGGGCAGGCTGGTGTTACCTGCACAAGGCCAGAAGCCTCTTCAGGCCGCCTCTCCAGGGACCGTGCCAGCTGTCCCCACTTCGATCAGCCACAGTATTGGACTTGGTCCAGCACGAACAGAAAGCGAAGTGTGAGCCCAAGACAGAGGGGGGAGCCGGACACCCTTATGGAACTAACAGCCTCTGGGGAGGCCTGTTCCAGATCCCGAGTCGGGCGCACAGGGGGATCCCCGCAAGGGGGCAGAGGGAAACCCGGGAGGCCCGCGAGAAGAGGCGAGGCCAGAGGCTGGGCGCGGGCAGCCAAGCGCACTCGCGGCGCCCCGACTCCAGGTAGCACGTAGAGAGGAGGCTGAAGAGCCCCTCGGTTTTCCGAAAGTTTCCAGCGAATCCTTCTTGGTGAAGATCGGCCTCTGGGAGGCAGCGTGTGTGCTTCCCGAGAGGGGGCCCCCTGCGCCGTCCCTCTTCCCCTGGCACAGAAGGGTTGAAGGACTGCACACAGGGATCCCTCCCCAGCCCAGTCTCCTCCCAGCGCGCCCCCTCCCCGCCATGCCGGCCAGCGCCGGGCTGTGTCCCAGGCACTGCCCCCCGCCAACCCTGGCCCGACCAGCCTCGCCGCTGCAGGCTGCCGGGAGCTGCGCTAGCTCATGCTCCCAGCTCGCTCGGTGCTCCCTGTTCGCTCCGGCCCGGCCCCGGCCCCCATCGCGCCGACCATGGAATAGGCGGGCGGCCCCGCGAGGCGCTCCTGCAGCCGGCGAGGCCAGAGCCAGTCCGGGGTGGCTTTGCCAACCGGCGGAGTTGGCCAGCGGCGGGCCCTCCTACCGTCGGTCCTTCCCCGCTCCTCCTCCTCTGCCCCCTCCGCCCCCGCCTCCCGGCCGCCCCCGCCGCCCCCGCCGCGCCGCCGCCCCAGGCCGAGCGCGGGCGCGGAGCGTGGGAGCCATGGCGCGCGAGGAGGAGCGGGACCCCGAGCGCCGGGAGGCGGCGGCGCGGGCGAGCGGCGAGGAGGAGGAGGAGGGAGGGGAGGAGGGACTGGGCGATAGCGACGAGGAGGGCGACGACGAGGAGACGGGCAGCGGCGAGGAGGAGGAAGAGGAGGCGGAGGCGGCGGCCGGGTGGGAGCGCAGCGAGGACGCGCGGCTGCTGCGCGCAGGGCTGCCTCCTGCCGCTGTCCCCGCCGCGGCCGCCCGCGACAGGAGCGGCCGCCGCCCGCCGAGGCCGCCGCCCGGCCGCCCGAGGATGCGGCCGTCCGGCGACGAGGACCGCGCGCGTCGCCGCCGCCGCCGCCGCCGCCGGAGGGACCTTCTGCTGAGCCAGCTCTGCTTCCTGGCCTCGGTGGCGCTGCTGCTCTGGTCGCTGTCGAGCCTGCGAGAGCAGAAGGGTGAGTGCACGCTGCCTGCCCCGAGTGGGCGCTGCGGCTCCGGCGGCTCGGGGCTCCCGGGGCTGGGCGCGGGGCTCCTTCGGGCGGCCCGGCCGGAGCCCCAGGATAAGCGGGCTGGGTTGGCGGGGGGAGTGGGATGCCAGGCACGAGGACTCCCCCTGCCCCACGCAGAGGCATGGAGGTGGGGACCCTGAGCGCCAGCAGCCAGCAGGCTTAGGCGTCTGGCCGCCCTGGGAACATTTACCTGTGCCCGCCTGTGCGCTGCTTACTCGCGAGCTGGAGGTACTGCTGGTGGCGGTGGTGGGGAGTCTTACTCTCCATCAGCCCCCAAGGCCAGGGATAAAGTTGTGGTGGTAGACCCGGCACCTGTGCAGGTGACCACCTGTATACTCCTTGGCTTGCTGAAGGATTCAAGGGGACTGCTTAACACACAGTTGTCCGTATGTTCTCCATCCAGAGAGCAGGCGGGATGGCCCGAGTAGAGAGCTCTTCAACCCCCTTTCAGAACAGGTGCCGGGAACTTCAGGGAGAGAAAAAGTGTTGGCCCTCCAGCTATGGGCTAGTAGGGGACTTGTTCTCCTAAAATGACCACTCACTGGGAAGACAGGGAATTCTTCCTCAGAGGTCCCTTTTGCAGAGCTGCTGCTGTGGAAGAAATGGTTTGCAGTGGACCACGCATCACACTGTCCGCTCCTCTACCGGTGCTCTGCGCAAAGTCTGCCCTTTAACCCACAACTTTTGTCTTGTCTTTGTCCTTGGCCTTTCTTGAGCTGAAATAGATCTTGTGTGCTCCCAACAGTTGTCTGCTGAAACAGCTTCGATCCTGGGATTCAGCTGTCTATAAAATGAAGGAAAAACATGGGAGAATAACTGTTGTAAAATGGTTTTATATCCCGGCCGTGGAAGTGGCACGATTAGTGGGAAAACAGCCATGTAAAGGGTTGTGAGAAAGAAACAAAACAAAACAAAACAAACAAACAAAAAAACAGTTACAAGTATGTGCTGTGGTGTTGAGGTCGACGTAGCTCTAATGCAAGATGTCATGAGGTGCAGAATAAAGACATTTTGATAGTCACCGTAAAATATTTTCAAAGGTGCCATGAATTTAAAAAGGGATCTCCCCCAGCTTGGCTGGTCTCCTGCTTGGTGGGGAAGTGAAACAGGCGTCAGTCTTCATTCAGTCTTAGCAGACCGCTTGACAGACTTCATCATTTATGGTAATAGCAGAGAGTCCGTCTTGGTCTTCAGTGAAGCTGTTCAAGACTCCACGGCTCTCTCCATTGCTCTCCTGGATCTCAGATCCCGTAGCCTTGGGTTCTGACATCAGGAAGGGGGCCGTGCCGGTGTGAGGGAAGCAGAATCTCTCCCAGGGCAGATTCACATCTGCCAGACTTCTGTCTACTGACAGTCTCACTAAGGGGGTTTTCCCGAATCCCATTTTTATTTTCCTTTTTTATTTTTCTCCAGTGAAAAACCAGTTTATAGTTCATGCCACCTTTGGAAAGGGCTATTCCTAGTGGATTACACGCTGGCCATTTTTTTCTGGTATGTTGGGGCTCTATGAGACATAGAGTTCCCACCACTTTCAAGAATATAAAAGACATTTTTTTCTGGGTGAAGGATGTGACTCATATAGTTAAGTCAATCAGTGACAGGGGGCTGCCTGGGCCCTGAAAAGCTGGGATTTGGGAGGAGAGGAGGCCAGACACTCTGCAAACTTGAAACCTGGGGACTGGAATGTCATTTTGGAATGGTTTCCCTGGTAGTGACATTTCTATTCAGGTGCCACTGACTCAGATTTAGTTCCATAGCACGGCCTTTTCCGCATCCCTCCCTCTGTCCTACCTTTCTCCTTCCTACCTTTCATATTCTTTTTTCCTCTCACTTCCTCTTCCTCCCTTCTCATCTCTGTTGGTCTTAGGACCCCTCCACACCCCAGTAACTGAAGATCTAACAGGCAAAAGCCAAATGTTAAGGAGGATGCCAGCCAGCCTCCCTGTGTTGCCCCCGAATGACATATGAGTTGAAATGGTCTCCAATCACTTTTTTTTCCGTTAGGTATTGATGATTTTGGTATGTGATGCACAGTAGTATTTTGCAGCAAGACACAGGTTTTTCTAGATAATTTTTAACATATTAATTAATGTGTGTGAATCTGCAAATGATAATTTTGCAAGGGGAATTGTCGTTTGGCACACGTAAGCATTTGAATGGTGACTTTTACCCTGGAAACTTGGAGCACACACTACCTAGTGGTCCTTTGGTACAGATACTGAAGTTTGGAATGGAGCATTGTTTCGAAGACCTTGTGGTGTAGAGAGGCTGAGTGATTAGCTTAAAGTCACACAGCATTCGAAGAGTAGAGGAAAAAACCAACCTGAGGTAACCTGGTTTTTTGTTCCCTACTCTGTCCTCATATTCAAACCACCATTTGGGTGTAGCTTTGTAATATTTATATAATCTCATAGGGGGTACCTTCATAATGATCAAAGGTAATATTTTCATTTAGTCACCTTGAAAGCCATGCAGTGATTGTTAAATGTAACTTCTCAGAAGCTCGTTTTCTAACACATATTGACCTTTCCCTCCCTCCTTCCTTCTGTTGGCCCTTCCTCCCTCTCTCCTTCCTTCATTCTTTCTTCCTTCCTGCTCCCTTCCTTTCTCTCTTCTTTCCTCTTAAAATGACAGTTCTTTTACCAAAGCAAAATAGAGATGTGTGATAATTATATTATATGATGTTTCATAACATTTCTAATCATATGGAATCCAAGATCCCTTTCTAGACATCTAACGAAACTCAGATTTGGCTATGTACTGAAAAGTTTTGGTTATATACTGAAAACATTTTCCACATATTCAGTATTTGGTTATATGCAGTAAGAATCTACATTGATTCTTTTCTGCTGAGGTGTAACATGAGGTCTGCTTAATTTAGGTCAGGAAGAATTAGTGCTGGAATCAAGAAATTCTAACAACAAAAGCAATAATAATAACTGGAATTTTGGTGGGCTCTTATGTGCCAGGCAATGCGCTATTCCCACCTTATAGGTATTGCTTTATTTAATCTGCAGACACTCTTTTCGGAGGCATGAGCCTTCAGTGGTGGAAAGCAATGAGCTCTAGTTGCCCTATTTAGTTGTTATGGATGAAGATCTCATTTTTGATCTCTGTTTTCAAAGCCAATTAAAATAAGGTGTTAGATTTGCTGAGGAGGATTTTCTTTCCTTTTTGCAATGAGAATAGATTACTTTTGTGTATTTTGAGTGGTTTAAAAGTGTTATATTTTTCTTTGACATGAACTACCCAGCCATTTTTTTTCCAGAAGTAGTGTGGATAAAGCCCAGGGATTCTAACTGAGGAGTAATTCTAGACTTTCTCTCTAGAAGGTTCTCAGGGAGGTCAATAGTAATTAAGAAAAAATATACACCAGCCTAGGCAACATAGTAAGACCCCATCTCTTAAAAAATTTTTTTTAATTAGCTGGGTGTGGTGGTGCATTCCTGTAATCCCAGCTACTCAGAGTCTCAGGCAGCAGGATTGTTTGAGCCCAGAAGACTGAGGTTGCAGTGAGCCATCATTGTACCACTGTACCCCAGCCTGGGCAACAGAGTGAGACCCTGTCTCAAAAACAGAAAAAAAGGAAAAAAAGAAAAAAATTACACACACATGCATGTACATATACACACACATATGTACATATACCTATGTGCATGAATGTATGTATGTATTTATGTATATACTTTGAGCTACTTTCTATACTAGTTGCTATTGCTGCATAACAAGTCACCCCAAAAGTTAGTGGTGTAAAACAGCCACTTAATTTTTTTTGCTTATGGATACTTTGGGTCAGGAATTTGGATGGGGGTAATGGGGCTGGCTTGTCTCTGCTCCACTACATCTGGTACCTCAGCTGGAAAGATTGCAAAGCTGGGTGGCTTGACAGCTGCATCTGGAGTCATCTGAAGCAACACCTCTCCCATGCCTGGGGTCGATGTGGCTCTTCACTGGACCCTCAGAGCTGGGCTGCCAACCAGAACACCCACACGTGGCCTCTCCATGCGATCTCTTTATGTGGCTCACTTTGAACTCCCTGAGAGCATGACATCTGGGTCGCAAGGGCGGATATCCCAAAAGGACAAGGTGAAAGATGGCATGTTTATATCCTAGCCTCATAAGTCACAGTCACAGAATGTCATTTTCGCTATTTTCTGTTAGTCAAAGCAGCGTTAGATGTCAGCCCACGTTGAAGGAGAAGGGCATAGATACCAGCAGTCATTCAGTGGAGGAGTGTAGGGTCACATTATAAGAGCCTCTGCTGTGGGAGATACTGCTGTGTCTGCCTTTTTAAAAACCCAAGGATCTGAAGGGATCATAACTTGGTAGTGAATGTAGACATTTCCCAAGGTGGCTAAGGTGAATGCCACATATGCATACATACAAACATATATAGACAAACATACACACAGACGTATGTATGTATGCATATATTATCTTTGAAATATCTTCCATTCATGAAAATATTGCTGCTTATTTTAGCTGGTGTGGGGTCTAGAAGTGGTATTTGAAAAGGAGGTTGCAGTGGGTATTTGAACTGCAAATTTAAATTGCAGAGCTGAGAGCCCGTCTTTGCCTTTGTGGCTGCCGATTCCTCCTATGGCAAATGACCACAGCTGTTGAATCCTTCTTATGGCTCAGTGTGAGGACTGCTGGAATCTCCAGCTTTGTTTCCCTCTTCTATTTCCATGCATCCCCACTCTGGTTTTTCCTCTGCTCCTCAAAAGGTCTATGATTCTTCCGATCTCAGATTCCTGGCGCTTGCTGGTCCCACTGTCTGGACTGCTTTGTCCACCATGGCTAGTGAATTCCTCACTACCTGGCTCGAGATCTTCCTGAATAGACTGGGTCCCTCCATTTCTCTGAATACACCATATGTTCCCTTCATAGCATTTATCACAGTTGGTAATTATGTGTTTATTTGGTCATGATTTGGGTGATATCTCCTCTTCCCCAGATTCTAGGGTCCAGGAGGTCAGGGACCCTATGAACTTTCCGTACCTCTGTACCCCAGTCACTGGCCCCATAGTAGGAGCTCAGAAGATATATAAATATCTTAAATATAGAGGCAAATATAAAAGGTATTTGGTAAATAAAGACGCTCTTTTGATCGCTGAACTACAGTGCCTGTGATAAAAGTAGTCATCCTGTGTTAGGAGCCCATCAGCTGACATGGATTTTATTGTCATGATTTATTAGGTTGGCGCAAAACTAACTGCAGGTTTTGCCATTGATAATAGAATTCTGCTCTCAGTCCAGCAGATTCGATATCATTACCCATTTCTCATGGGATAGCACTGAGCTGAAGAAAGGTGGAGTGCAGTGCCTAGTGTCTGTTAAGTGGAGGGATTTGAACCCAAGTCCACCTACATCAGGGCTGCATGCTGCTGCGTTTTCCAGCCTCTGTGGAGGAGGACATGAATAGAAGACGGGGAATCACCCTGCCTTTTTCAGTTAACTGAGGAGTAAGGAGTAACAGAAGGTTGGTTTCATAGAAGCAGTATTTTAGAAACACATTGCTTTTCAACCTTTTCTATTTTTTGCATAAACATATATAGATATGTCTCTTTCCTCTTGGCTTTTCTTAGCTTCTCATCAACCCAGATTTTTCTCAAAGATTTCCTCCACTTGCAAGCCTCAAATCCTTGTGGGAAGCTTTTTTTTTTTTTCTTCACCCTGGAGGGTTGGTGAAGCTAAAAGAATTGCAAAACTAGATATTTGCTGAAAATTCCAAGGCCTGGTGGAAGATGGCTGATAGGACAAAATTTTGGCAATTTTCTTTTTCTGTATGGAGGTTTCTTTTCCTTGAGTGAAAGAACTTTTTGGAGGAATAATAGTACACAGACTTTCATAATGGGGAAACTGAGGTATGGGGTGGTTAGAAAATGTTCCCAAAGTTGCAAAGCAAATGGGTTATGCTGCCAGGAAGGTAATTTGGATTTTTTTTTTCTGGTCCATTTTTGCCTTCTTTTTCTATAGAGCTTGTTTGGCAATTATTTATATTTATTGTTTGCAATGGTTTCACAAATGGGATTATCCTGTAGCATTTGAGAATGTGAAGTATTAAGGACCCAAATGGAAGAAGGTTTTGTATGAACCAAGTGGTGATGGGCTTCAGGTTTCCTAGGATTCCCCCTGCTGTTCTCTTCCTGTTCCACTTCCAACCTGGAGAGGCAATGCTCCTTGCTGTTGCTAGTCCCGGACGGCCCACACTATCCCTTATTGGTTTCCCAGCCCTACTCTTACCCTTGTAGGCTGTTCCTTCATGAAGCTCTCTCAGTGGGATCCCTTGAGGGAGTTCCTGCCCGGACCCCAGTTGCGTAAGACACGGGGACCTTCACCCATTTGTTCATTCAACAAATGGCAGGCTCTTTGCTAGTTGCTAGGGTGGCAGCGTTGTCTTCGAGGGACACCGTGATGTTCATCCTCGTGGTGCTCAAGCTTGAGTGAGAAGAGAGGTGCTGAACAAGTAATTTTCATGAATTATGAGAGATCGGGATGAGAAATACAGCATGGCATGGAGGAGGCTGTGGTGGTCAGGAAAAGCTGGAACCTGAATAATAAAGGGAATAAGATTGAGGAAGAATGGAGGATACAAAGGCAAATGTAGAAAAATAGGCAAAAGATGCAGACAGGCAATTTACAAGAAAACAATTGCAGATGGCCAACAGACACAAATAACAAACTTAATCTCAGTTTTAACATGAAAATCAAATTAAAAATAATGAAATACCATTTCTCAATATCAGGTTGGTAGATTAAAGTAAATTAAAACATGGGCTCACATCAAGGGTTTGTACAGATTCTGGAGACACAGCTGTTCTGGTTCACTTCAGAGGAGGTTGTCAGATGGCACTCCAGACACTGCGGGGGACCATCATCAGGGGACCTGGTTATAGGAATAGACCCCAAATGAAGCCTTGGCCATTTAATGCAATTGACATGTAGAAAGGGAGGTGGGTGGATTAGAATGGCTATATGTAGATATTTGAGACTTGGGTAGAAACTCATCTTAGCTGGACCCATCCATGGACCATGGAGCATGTTGGTCATGACCTTTTCATGTTTAGTTGCTTAGGTGGGAGCTCCAGGAAACAAGGAAAGACCTGTGTCATTCCTGGAACTGTCTGAACCAATAAACATCACTTATTTAAATCATGAAATCTAGTAATCGTTTTTGGCTTGTCAATAGTGATTTATTTTTAGGAGAGAGTGAACAAATAAAGTCAGCTCATCTGTGACCTAATTTAGGGACTTTCACATTTGCAACTTTTACATTTGGAATATTTGCAACAAATATTTCTCTTCCTTTCTCCTTTGCATTTCTGCATTGTTTGATCTCAGCAAAAGTCATTTTCACTTTAGTCAGCCAGTCTGCCATGGAATTGAACCCACAGAGGACAGAGAAAGGAGCAGGTTTCTTGATTAGGACCTTGACAATAGAACAAAAGGGGTGGGATAAGGGATTGGTGACCTCAGGAAGTCGATAATGCCATGTTTAAGACAGAACATGAAACATTTATTTTTGAAGATTTGGACTTTTAGAGCATCTAGGTGGAATATAGAGCTGACATTTGAAAGTCAAGGTGATAAGCATTTGTGGCTGCAGATAAAGATGTTGGAATGGTATGCATGAGGGTAAACATTACATCTATGGTTAGCTCCGTGCTTCTCAGTCTTGTCTGCACATTGTAATCACTTTGGGAACTTTAATAATTACTCATATGTGAGTCCCACCTCCCAGAAATTCTATTGTCATGCTCCCAGTTGTGGCCTGGGCATTGGGATTTTATAAAAAAGTAATACAGTTGGTGCCAGTGTATCTCAGCAGCCAGAGCTAAGAACCAAAGGGTTAAAGGTTATTCTTTACCTTATCACAAGCACATTTTGCTGTTCGTCATTGAGGTACGAAATACACTGTACTTAAATTTCCTGTCCTGGATGTGAATATATGTGTTTTTCTGCTTCATTTTCTAAGCCTTCACCACTAATTTAAACTTAAACTTCTCTCCAGTTGCCTAGATTTCCTTTTCTTTTTAGAGACAGGATCTTGCTGTTGCCTAGGCTGGAGTGTAGTAGCATGAACATAGCTCACTGCAGCCTCAAACTCCTAGGCTCAAGCAATCCTCCTGCCTCAGCCTCCTGAGTTGCTGGGATTACAGGTGCGAGCCCTCACACCTGGCTCTTCCATCTCCTCTCAATATGTGCAGGGACACTAAGTATTCCAGCACGTCTTCTTTGGAGGAAGTCTTTACCAGATTCCTCTGGCCTGCTCTGATCTAGACAGGTCACTTGTAAAGTCTGCTGCCAGCTGTCATCTTCCCATTGCCCTTCAGCTTCATCCTGCATATTTCTTTTAACTTTCCCTTGGGATGAAAGCCCTGCTCCCTGGAACCCAGGTATGCGTCTTTCTTAGCTTATTCCTGAAATTTCAGTGTACATTTTTGAGGGTCACAGCCTCCAGGTGCCTCCTACAATAGGGAGTGTGGAAAGTAAAGATTCAAGACTGTATGTGCTTTAAAATATATTCCTTCTACCTCTACACTTAGAAGATAGTTAGACTGGGTCAAGAATTTAGGTTGAAACTCATTTGCCTTGGAATTCTGAAGGCATTGCTTGAATGTCTTCTAGCTTCCATTGTTGCCTCTGAGAAATCTGCTGCTGTCTTGGTTAATCATTTTCGAAGCCTGTATCCACCCCCCGCCTCACCCCAAGAGCATGTCTATTCTTTGCTTTGCTCCTAATGGTCTATTTTTTCCTAATCTTCAATCACGTCACAATTATATGACTGGCGTGGGTCTGTTTTCATTCATTTTCTTGGATCTTTCACCAGGTTCTCTTAAACTGGAAGCTTGTCTTCTTTAGGTCTGGAAACTTCCCTTTTATAATATTCTCCATCCTAAGTACTCCCTTTTCTCTTTCTGGATTGTCTATTATTTGGGTGTTTGACTTCCTGGATTGACCTTCTAATTTTCTTATCTCTTCTCTCCAATTTCTCTCATCCTTTTGCTCTAATTTCTATAGATTTTTTTTAACCATGTCTTCCAACTCTTATACTGAGTGTTTAATTTCTGCTGTCATATTTTTAATTTCCAAGAGCTCTTCTTCCTGTGGAAGCTATTTTTAGTAGCATCCTGTTCCGCTTCAGTGGTACAATATCATCTCCCATATCCCTAAGTAGATTCGTAGTAGTATTGAGGTTTTCTTTTCCCCATATGGACTCTTTTTTCAAGTTGCTGTTGTTCCTTTGTTTTGTCTTGTTTTTCATATTATACATGCTTTCTTCAGATGTCAGGGGATCTTTGGCAACTACTTATATTTAGGTGGTGCTGTGGAAAAGATGACTGGAAATTGTGCAAAGGAGGGTCTTGTTGATTGTATCTCTGTTATGCTATCTAACTGGGCTATTTTATTGGGCAATGCTTCATATCTCAAGTTTTAGATCTCTGTCAGGGGGTGGTCAGTTTTCCCAGAGAAAGATCACTCAGCATCCTGTCTTGAGGGAAAAGACCTAGTTACTTCTGAGAATCCGATAGGAGAGGAATCTGGGAATGGGGAAGGTTTTTTCAACAGAAACACTCCCCTAGACTCAAGATATATTCAGCCCTCACAACTGTGAGTAAGGAAGCACTAAATAATTTATTTAGATATATAGCAGGACCATCCCAAATTATTTAATCCTTCCTTCCTTCCTTCCTTCCCTCCCTCCCTCCTTCTTCCTTCCCTCCTCCCCTTCCCCTCCCTCCCTTCCTTCCTTCCTTCCTTCCTTCCTTCCTTCGTTCCTTCCTTCCTTCCTTCTTTCCTTCCCTTTTAACTACTGTACACATGAATCTGGTAAGAGCTACTGCCTCCTGGTAGAACTAATGGTCAGAAGTAAAGAGAAGGCTTAATCTTCCCCATACCCCTTTTTTTAATTGAAAAATTTTTTAGAGAATTTCAGATTCACACACAGTCATAAGAAGTAATACAGAGGGCCAGGCACAGTGGCTCATGCCTGTAATCCCAGCACTTTGGGAGGCCGAGGTGGGCGGATCATCTGAGGTCAGGAGTTCGAGATCAGCCTGTCCAACCTGGTGAAACCCTGTCTCTACTAAAAATACAAAATTAACTGGGTGAAGTGGCGCATGCCTGTAATCCCAGCTACTCAGGAGGCTGAAGCAGGAGAATCATTTGAACCCAGGATGTGGAGGTTGCAGTGAGCTGAGATTGCACCATTGCACTCCAGCCTGGGCAACAAGAGCCAAGCTCTGTCTCGGGGTGGTGCGGTGGGGGAGAAGTAATACAGAGACATCTCTTACACATTTTCCCATTTCCTTTACATTTTGCAAAACTATAGTATAATATCATAACCAGGGTAATAACATTGATACAATCCACGAACTTTATTCAGATTTTTCCAGTGTTATTTGTATGGTAGTCCCTCAGTATCCATGGAGGATATGTTTCAAGACCTCCCAGTGAATGCCCGAAACCATGGATAGTACTGAATGCTACATACACTGTGTTTTTTCCTATACCTATATAACCATGATAAAGTTTAATTTAGAAATTAGGCACAGTAAGAGATTAACAATAACTAACAATAAAATAGAACAATCGTAATATACTCTAAGAAAGGTTATGAGAATGTGGTCGCTCCTTCTCTCTCAAAATATCTTCTTGTACTGTGCTCACCCTTCTGGTGATGATGTGAGATGATACAGGGCCTACGTAAGGAGATGAAGTCAGGTGCATGACGTAGGCCTGTGACATAGCGTTAGGCTACTGTTCACCTTGAACCCAGGCACTGCCACACCATGACAGTCGATCTGATAACCGAGCTGGCTACTGAGTGACTAAGTGACTGCAGAATGGATCAGCTGGACAAAGGGATGATTTATGTCCCAGGCGGGACAGAGCATGACAACTTGAGATTTTATCACATTACTCAGAATAGTGGCAATTTAGAACTTAGGTATTGCTTACTTCTGGGTTTTTCCATTTAATATTTTTGGACTATGGTCGACTGCAGGTAACTGAAACAGCAGAAAGTGAAACTGAGGATAAATGAGGACTACTGTACCCATGTGGTGTGAGTGTGTGAGTGTGTGTGTGTGTGTGTGTGTGTGTGAGAGTATTGAGTTACACACAGTTTTATCACCTGTGTAGGTTTGTGTATTCATTATCACATTCAAGATACTGTACAGATCCAACACCACAAGGATCCCTTATGCTGCACACCCATGTGTCTTTTAGTACAAAAGGAGTAGTCCAGTAATTTATGTCACCTATTCCCAAAAAAGTCAATTAAAAAGTATAACGTCAAGAATTAAGGAAATTCTACCCCCAATAATTTTGCACTCTACACAAAGGATTTCTTGCAATTTGGGGCAGGTCAGTCTACATTAGTAAAATTGAACCATGAAGGGTTTTCTCCATGGATGCACTTTTATTACTGTCAGGTATGGTAACCTGAACTACGTGCTGGATAAAGGCCATGCATGGCTTGTTAACAATTTCTTTGATAATGATTTTTTTTCTGTCATTTGCACAATATTTCTGAATGAATGCTCCATGAAAATAGCTTATTTGAGTAGTTTGTTCATTCAAGCAGCTTAGCCATGGCCCTTGCAATATTACTTTCACCATTATCTGTTTCCTAGAGTATCAGAGATGGAGAAACTCTTGGGGACCATTGAATCTTAACATCCTGTTTTACTTTTGAGGAAACTAATGTCAAAGGAAATTGGAATTGGGGCTGGAACCCAGGCTTTCTGATTCTTTGCTTAGTAAATTCTTTAAAAAATGCCAGAAAGTTAAGGTTATAAAAATATTTAATGCAAATTAACTCTTGGTAAAATTTTTTCAAATTCTGAAATTCTTCTGAAATGCTGGAATCTTTCTGGGAATTTTTTGGCATTTAGTGTAGTTAGTACATGGGAAAAATTAGGAATTTTCAGGGTGAGCCACTTCTTGTGACAAAAAAGAGATTTGTTTAATCAGAAACACTGGCTGTTGGAATGCTCCTAGGTTGCTTTAGAAGAGAGTTTGCATTGTTGGTTCACCACCTTCTACCTGGGTTGTAACCTCATATAACCATTAGGATGATTGACCGTTTTGAAAATGAGTGGCCATTAATTCATTTTGTTAGGGGTCTTTGAGCTTACGAGTTTTCAACTTTTTTCATCCTTCTTGTTGGAATTCTGGGTTGTGATTTGAAGATACTTCCAAAGAAATAAAATATTCCTAGGACCTTAAGAACCCAGGCTTTGTAAACGTGATATGAAGGACCTCTTGAATGGCATTCCACAGTTTGGTTGTTTGAAATCACAGGTGTTTGTTGGGCCATGTGCAGGAAGAAAGTCATTGTACCTACTTTAAGTAAATCTGGGCATGAGAACAGGTCAATTCCGGTATTTTCCAAGCATTGTGGAATATTTCTTCCCTTACATATGTTAAATTGATATCATACTACATATAATGTTTTAGATCCTGCTTTTAAAATAAAAAACCCCTAAACTTGACAGGGTGCAGAACAATATATCACCCCAAAAACCCCCCTCAAGCTACCCCTTTATATTCATACCCTTCTTCCATCTCTGAACCCTGATGTGTTTTCTGTTACTATAGTTTTGTCTTTTTGAGAACGTCATAGATGGAGTTCTATAGTTTATAATCTTTTGAAACAGGCTTTTTTCACTCAGTACAATGCTTCTCAGCTTCATCTAAGTTGTTTTGCACATCAGTAGTTCATTCCTTTTTATGGCTGAGTAGTATTCCACTATACAGATGTACAATAGTTTGTCTGTCCATTTAATGTTGAAGAACATTTGAGTTGTTTTTAGTTTTGTTAATTTATGAACAGAGTTGCTAAAAACACTCAGATCCAGGGTTTGTAATTCCTTTTTCTTGACTTATTACAGTGGCTAAGACTTTTAGTACAATATTGAGTTTGAATGGACATCCTTGTCTTGTGTCCCTGATATTAGGGGGAAAACGTTTAGTCCTTCCCTGTTAAGTATGCTATTTGCTGTAGGTTTTTCATAGATTGCCTTTATCAAATTGAGTAATTTCCTTTTTCGCCTTAGTTTTCTGAGAGTTTTTATCAAGGGTGGATATTGGTTTATCAGATGTTTTTCATGTATCAATTGATATGCTGAGGTGGTTTTAATTCTTTAGACAGTTAATATGGTGGATTGCATGGATTGATTTTCAAATACGGAATCAGCCTTGCATACCCTGTATAAGACCCACTTGATCATGGTGTGTTTTTCATTTTGTATTTCCTGGATTTGATTGATCATATTCGGTTGAGGGCTTTTGTGTCTAGGATCACACAAGATACGGACCTGTAATTTTCTTCATTTGGTACTATCACTGTCTGGTTTTGCTACCAGGGTAATACTGGCACCATAAAATGATTTAGGAGATGCTTCCTCACAGTTTCTGGAAGAAACTATGTACAATTGGTGGGTCATGCTTTTTAACTTATCATGGGCATCCCTCCATGGAATTAATCTTAAAAACTAGTTTTAATGTCTGCTTAATAGTAATAATAATCACAGTATTTTTCTTCATGTTACAGCATGTAATGTTTATTGGGCATTTAGTGTGGCCGAGGACTGTTCTAAGTGCTTTACTTGTACTGACTCCTTTAATCTCCACAATAACTCTATAGAGTAGATACCATTATTATCTCCAATTTACATGCGAAGAAAAATAAGACAAACAGTTTAAATAACTTGCTCAAGGTCACAAAGTTTCTATGTGGTCAAGTAGAATTTGAATCCAGGCAGTCTGATTCCACATCCTGTGGTCTTAACTATTACATCGTATCCTTTGATTATGTCATAACTTATTTATTCAGGGTTCCATTTGAGATCCATATTTTGAGATTTTCCATGCCTTCACTTTGATGACTGTTCTTGTCAGAAGTCTTTGACAATCTCTGCCGGTTTCTTTAGGTTGGATTTCTAAAGGTGGTATTTCAGCATCAAAAGGCATGCCCATCGTAAAGGCTCACACGTACTATCATGTAACTTTCCAGGAATTGGAACAAATTTGAAATCCCAACAGCAGTGTTTGAGAGAGCTCAATTCGATGTTCTGTTGCCTGAATTATTTTTATATATTTTTAATTCAATTTGATTGTAGAAAGATGGTGTCCCGTTGGTTTAGTTTGCCTTCCTTCTTTACCGAGCAGGTTCAACGTTTTACACGTTTGTTGAACTTTTATATTTATTTTCTTGTGAGAAGGGTTTGCTCATATCCAGTCTTCATTTTCTTCTAATGAGTTAATAGTGTTTTTTCTTAATGTTTTGTAAGAGCTTTTATATATTTTGTTTTACTTTGCCGTATTTCAAAAGTCTTGTTCATTCTTTTTTTTTTTTGGCATAGAGGATTCTCATGACATCTGGCCCACGCCGTATCTCTTTCCCTTTATTTTTTCATCCGCCTATTCTTAGATTCAGGCTCTTAGTCAACGTATTTATTCACCATTTGTATGGTTTACTTTTTAAAAAATTTAACTCTTTACTTCATTTGGAATTTATTTTAGCATAAGATTAAAATTTAATTTAAACAGATTAACATATTTAATAGTTAATTCCAGAATTGTTTATTGACTACTGTTTCCTCTACCTCCACATTTGTGGTATCACCTTTATTCCATGCCTATTCTCTTATGTACCAGAGGCAAATATTTTATGATATTTATTTTGTTATATTTACTCATTAATTAATTGTAACTTATTAGCATGTTAATTATCTGGTAGGTCAAGACACCTTTCCTGTTTTTTGAAAAAACTATTTATTTATTGTTATCACTCATTTATCTTTCCAGATGAATTTATAATCCTTTACATTTTCTCCAAATCCTTCTAGGTTTTGATAAATCTATAAATAATTTATGGAAAAATGGCATTT
The DNA here is from genome assembly GCF_000001405.40 of Homo sapiens. Taxonomy (NCBI): domain Eukaryota; kingdom Metazoa; phylum Chordata; class Mammalia; order Primates; family Hominidae; genus Homo; species Homo sapiens. Next base: position 19,227,942 of record NC_000020.11, read on the forward strand.
TATAATGTTGATTCTTTTTGTTCATAGTGTGTTTCTTCATTTGATAAAGGCTTTTAAAAAATTTGTCAAGATTCATGATTATTTCTCTATTTCTTCCTTACATTTACTGGTGAAGGTTACTCTGGTATTTATTATTTGTTGTTGCTCTTGTTTCATCCCTTAATAGTCTTTTAAAATATTGCTTCTTTATATTTTATTCTTAAAAATGTGAAATTATACAATACTGAAAATAAACTTATTCTATGAATCAATATCTTTAGGTTCATTCTGTAGCTGAGGAGTTTTTTTACTGTTGGAAGACTATGTGCTGTCCATTGGGGTATGGATCCCCTTGGCTATTAGTGACACTGGTTACTTTTCATTATGCTGTGGAAGTTTCCTTTCATTTGTGGTTTTCTATATTAGAAAAAAATCAGGGCCGGGCGCGGTGGCTCACGCCTGTAATCCCAGCACTTTCGGAGGCTGAGGTGGGCGGATCACGAGGTCAGGAGATCAAGACCATCCTGGCTAACACTGTGAAACCTTGTCTCTACTAAAAATACAAAAAATTAGCCGGGCGTGGGCGTGGTGGTGGGCGCCTGTAGTCTCAGCTACTCGGGAGACTGAGGCAGGAAAATGGCGTGAACCCAGGAGGCGGAGCTTGCAGTGAGCTGAGATCACGCCACTGCACTCCAGCCTGGGTGACAGAGCTAGACTCCGTCTCAAAAAAAAAAAAATTAGCCATGGATGTTGAATGTGATCAAATGCCTTATTAACACTTATTAAAGTGTTTAATATAACAATATATATAGAAAAAAATATCCTTACTAAAGCACTTCTGAAAGTGAATCTTACAAAGGCATGACATATATTTTTAATATGATGCTGGATTTTATTTATTTGCATTTTCTATGAAATTTTTGCCTATATATTTATGAAAGAAATAGACATATAGCTCCTTTGCCAGGTTTTGGTGTCAGGATCACACTAACTTTACAAATGAATTGATAATTTCTATGTTCCTCTATGTTCTGGAATATTTTATGAAGCATGGAAATTATTTGTATATTGAAAATTTGACAAAAGCACTTATAGTGCTGCCTGCCTTACAGTCTTCTATGAAGATAATTTTGAACAAACTTTAATTTCTTTCATTGATACTTTTCTGTGTGGGTAATTTATGTTTTCCTAGAGAAGTGTTAATTTCATTAATATTTTAGAAATGAACAAAATTATGAAGTACTTTTTTTGTTTTAATTTGTTCTGTAATTGAGATCATATAAACTTTTCTCAGTACTAACGTATATGTTTATTTTTTTCATTGATAAAATCTGACTGTATTTGGTGTATTTTATCAATTTGTGAAAATTTGTATCTTGTATTTCTTCATTAATTTTTCTCTTTTCCCTTTTCCCTGAGTCAGTAAAGCTTTAATATTTATTCAAAATCTCCTCTTAATTCCTGTGTTTATTTTCAAATATCTTGAATGAAATGCTTTATTTCCTTTTTATTATTTCTTGCTTTATAATGCATTTGATGTTTAGTGTAGCTTTAGACTCAAACTATAAGTTTTGAAATGTCATGCAGTCATTATTGGTACTTTTCAAATAGTCTTGTAATTATAGTTTTTATTTTTTCTGCAATTAATTATTTGAGAGACTGAATTTTAACTTCTAAGTTGTTGGAGTGTGTGTGTGTATATATATATATGTATATATACCAAGTTCTAATTTTATTTCGTTTTGCCTGGAGAATATGACCTTTAATTGTGGCTTCTTGTTGGTTTTGGTTGTTTCCCTTGGAACATGAACTGTTTGTAATTTGGATAGTTATTTGGCTGTGTCTTCATCTTTTTGTCTTTTCCTCTTCATTCTGTAAGAGCCTATGTTTTTTTCCCCTTGGTAATTTGATTTTCAGCACTATTGGGTCTGCTGTCTGCTGCCTCTTATTCCCATTTATGTTTTGTGTTTGCATTTCTGGTTTTTTAACCATTTTATGTCTTGTCATCTCCATCTTAGCTGACTCCCCTTGTAATCTTAGCCTTTTCCATTTAGTGATTTTTCTTTCATATATCCTATGTTTATTTGATATTGAGATTAAAAAAAATGGATTCCAAAATTTACATCTTCTTCCCATAATAGATTTTTTTTTTTTTTAGAAGAATAGTGTTTTACTTCAGATGTTGCAGAGAATTTTCAAAATTGTCTTGAGTTATCAACCTTGAAAGAGAAGGTCCAGGCCGGGGGTGTGCCTGTGAACAGACCCTCCTGTCCCTTCAGCGCCCTCACCACTCTCACCTGGTCACAATTGTCAGGTTACTGTGAGCATCGCTTATGCTGAAGGGGTGGTTGTTGTGCATGGTCCCTGGCCAACCTTCCAGTGTTGATGTTGACTTTTCTAGGGTGACTCAGCTTGCCTGAGAGGGGATCTCCTGCTCCTTCTACCTTGTAGTTAGAATACTGAGGTGGAACCTTATTCATTATAATTTTGATCAGTGATAGTTCTTCCTAGTTCTTATATCTAGAGACAGTGTGTGAAAATCTGCCACCCTGGTTTGATCCCTCCTGTGGCTCTTTCCATCGCACCTCTTTTCTATTAATCTCCAGAAGGCTCCATACCACCCTCCTTTTGCTTCTTTGCCTAGTTGAGTTGCATTTCCGGGAACTGGGGTCTCTGAATGGATGGGTATAGAAAGACATATTGATGGGGGGGAATGGATGGGTATAGAAAGACATATTGATGGGGGGGGTGCCCTTTACAACAGTTCCTTTCAGCAACAAATGCCTCATGTTTCTGAGATGGGATTCACACCTGGGGACCCATGTGCCCTTCCACAGTCCGCATGTCACAATCCCTTCTTGTGTGTTAGGCATTCATCCACACTCAGCTTCTTTTATGCATCTCTGTATTTCCTTCAGTGGGAATGACCCATTGAAGGGTCATTGGGTCCTAATGCTAGGCTAATGACCATGCATCCCAGAATGCCTGTTCAGATTTTAGCTTGAAATTTTTAGTTTGTTACAAAGAAAAAGAAATTGGGATTTGGGAACAACTAAAGCTATCCGATATTAACTACTCTGTCTTAGTATTTTTTAGGCTTACACCTGTTTCTATGGTTTACCCCACGTAATTATCTCTGCAGAACCATGGATTAGGTATTATTATCCTCATTTAAATTAAAGTAACTTTCCCAAGGTAAAAAACAGGTAGACAGGGCAGTTTTGAACTTATACTTTCTGTGAAAACACTCTTACACTATTTTCCCCATGCCAAACATCTCTGAAGAAAGACATTTCTGGATATTTCTGCCAGGAAGTTAGACAAGGAGCTACCCCAGTGTGGTTTGCAGAATAGTGCTCCCGAAGATGTTTACGTCCGAATCCTTGAAATCTGTGGGTTTGTTATGTTACGTGGCAAGGAGGAGTTCAAGTTGCTGATGGAATTCAGGTTGCAAGTTAGCTGACCTTGGAATAGTGAGATGATCCTGGATTATCAGGGTGGGCTCCGTGCAATCACATGGTTCTTGTAAAACAGGGAGGCAGGAGAGTCAGCCAGAGAAGGTGATGTGCCAACAGAAGCCGAGGTCAGAATGATGTCATTACTGGCTTGAAGATGGAAGAGGCCGTGAGCCAAGGAATGGGGGGTGCCTCCAGGAGCTGGACAAGGCAAGGCTGCAGATTCTTCCCAAGAGCTTCCAGTAGGAATGCAGTCCTGCTGACACATTAAATTTAGCCCAGCAAGACTTCTGTAGGATTCTGACTTCCAGAACTGTATGGGGCTGTTGAAAGCCAGTAAGTTTGTGGTAATTTATTACAGCAGCAATAGGAAACGCACGCACCCAGTGTATCGAATATTGGCCATGGTCTAACTCTCTGCAGAGCAGGAACAGGAAGTCCTGGAGTGATTGGCTGTGTGTGCACACCCACCACATGGAAATTTACATTAACATGTAACATGTTATCACTTGATTATATATTTATTAGCTCATTTTATTGTTGTCACCCTCCCCTAGCTAGAATGTCAGCTCCCTAAGAGCAGAAACTTGGTTTGGTGCATTCATGGCTGTATGCCCAGTGCCTCATGTGGAGGAGAGGCTAAAGTATTTATTGGATGATTAATTTTTTTCCCAGGTGACATTGTACCAACTAAATGGAAGCTAACTTTTATCTTGTGGTGGAATACTGTAGATTATATAAGTAATAATAGAAATAGAAGAAATTGAGTTAAAATTATCTACCCTTGACAATCAAAATATTTATTTTCAGTGTTCAGTGTTTGGTCATATGTGTAAATATTATTCATGTAGGTAGTAAATATTTCCATTTAAGGATCAAACATGCAACATGTGACATTCTATTTATTTTGTGATGATCAGCTCTCTTTATTTTATGAATATTTTTATGAATAAAATAAGAGAGATGGTTATCACAAAATAAATGCAATGTTGTATGTTGTATTTTTGACTTTTAAATAGAATGTTTCATGTTGCACTTTTGTGACAACATATTTGAAATAAAGGTCACTGAATTTTTTAATAATTATCTCAGTCTGGTTGGCATTCTGTTGACTGTATAGGTCATACTTATTTATTGTTGGTTATTTAAAATATTATAGTTTATTTGAGATATTTGAATACTGTTAACTGAACACCTTTGTGCATGAGTCTGCTGTCAATCATGTTAGCTCTCCAGGCATCACCGTAGTAGTCCAGTAGCCTGCACTAGCTGGGAAAGCCACTGACGAGGACTCTGGAGTTAGAGAGCTTTTGCATATTGATAGAGAACTCTGTTGGCTAAGCTATCTGCCTTTAGGCTTGTTGCATGCTTTTATAATTTTTGTCTAAATCTATTTAGAGGGAATTCTCACCTGGCATCAGGTGTCCTCACCTTGCCTCTTCAACGTCAGCTTGTGCTTCTTCTATGGAAACTCATTCCTCATCAGAAATGCCCAGAACCTCTATGACAAGTGTAGGCAAAAGCGTAGTATGAACGGGACAATGATGGCAAAGGAGGAGCTACCAATTTGGAAAATGAATCGACTTGGAAACTGAATCAACCCCCAAGAGCGTTATTAGTATCAGACTAAATTATCTCCTTTAACTGCGTCACATCATGACCTTTACTTTTTAAACAGATATCTTGTTTTTCTTATCTTCTCTTCTTGACAGTTGCTTCGGTTTTTCTACATACTGACTGTTCCTCTGATAACAAAGCAAGAAGGAAAAACAAAATTTTAACTGTCAACTGAGTTTCGCAAGAGCGATGAGCAGTCCGGGGTGGGGAGGGTCTCTCCCCAGGCTCCCCGTGGTTGTACAAGCCAGCAGCGTTAACGGAAGTGCACACAGCAGTTCCAAGCCTGGGAGGAGAAGGATGTCCGCTCCAGGCAGTTTAGGATAGTTGTTTTGCCTAAGATGGCAAGAACATCACCCTTGCATCTTGAGCCAAGGAAACCATACATGGACGCATCTTGTCCTACATGGGAAGGGATACCCCTGCAGGCTTCTGGGGTACCATAAGTGTCCCGTGATGGCTCTTTCACCTTGGGGTTTGTTTTCCAAACTTTTCTAAGTCATTGGAAAGTAGAGTAGGAAGGAGGGGAGGAGGAAGGGGAGACAAGAAATATACTTGCCTGTGCATGCACTTTTCTGATTAATGTTCTGAGTGTCAGCACACAGTGAAGGTTTATTTTAGAAGACACCAGGAATGAAATATTTTATGTTGATATTGTGCAGGACTGATCTTTATTTTCTGCTATGAAGGACGGTATAACTTCATGATGCTCCTGCATCTTTGTAGTTCCTGTCATGAAATCATTCAGGGGTAGGAGACATGGCTCACAAGAGTGAAGGGCATTGCCTAGAACAGGAGTGCTGGACAGTGACTCTAGAGACAGGAGTTCTAATCTCACTTCAGCTATTAACTTTCTGCATGTTCTCTTCTGTTCTCAGTTTCTTTATCTATAGAATGGGAGCATTTATGCTAAATTGTCTTTATATTGGTAACACTAATTTCTCTCTAATTTGATTATTGCTTTTAAGTCTCTAGCCTCCTGAAAGATGCTACCTTCTAAGGCTAATTTATAGCCAGAGTAATATGGTTTTGCTCTGAGCATGCCCTGAATCATTATTCGTTCTTATTTCATGAGAATTACTTTTGTAAATGTTATTTTCTTTTGGTTTCACAGAGCCATTGAGATTGCACAGCTCGGATTTCTTCTGCATGTCATAAATTTTGCTAATAGTATAAACCCGTGTTTTTCAAAGTGAGAGCCTTGGAACAGCAGCATCAGCATCGCCCAGGTCCCCTGTGAGCTTGTTAGAAATGCAGAGTCATGGGCCCCTCCCCAACCTGCTGAATGGGAGCCTCTGAGGATGAGACCCAGGAAAGTTTGCTTAACGAAGTTGGCATGTATTGCCTGTGAAAGAGAAGTTTGAGAAGCACTGCTGTGAAACAGGGCAGCCAGGAGGTGCTGTGATTTTGCCCTCTGCACGTGGTCACACACTCAAGCATATGGTTTGCTCCTTGCATGACTGCACTTCAGATGAAATGCCAAGATTGAGACCCTTCTATGCTAGTGAAGCACAGGCTACTTTATTGAGAGCCTAGCAATATTGAGAGAGAAAAATGCAGACCTTCTTGGGGTAGAAAGGAGGATGGGTTTCCTTTCCTTATGAGATGGGATCCAGCTTCCTTACTACTATAGAGTCTCCCATGGATGGTGGCTTTGCTGACTTCAGAGAGAGCTGCAGGTGCACAGGAGCACCGTGATGTCATTGGTGTGCTCTGAAGAAATGAGGCCATGAGAAGAAGGTGAACAGAAGGTATTTCTAAAGGGTCTGGGAAGAGGAACAGCACCTATGATAATGGCTATCATTTCTGTTGCACAGTACTGATTATTTTGATGGTTGGCCCTGGGCTTTGATTTCCAGCCCTGTGGTCACACACACTCCTTATAATCATCTGCTCCCAGGAGAAGGTGTCATGAATTCTCTCTTTTCCTCCAGCCTTAGCTGTCACTGGCCTGGAATACGGTGTGACTGTGTAGAAGCTGTTGGCATTGTTTCTGCATTGTAAACTCACACACACTGAGTTAAATGCTGCTGAGCAGTTAATGTGCCCACTCCGGCTATTTTCTACCCAAGGATACTTGACTCATTTCTTATATCCTCTACTGTCCTTTAAAGCTCAATAGTGCTCTATCGGGGCCATTTAATTTGGTGGCACAAGGCATGCCCTGCATGGGATGTCTGCTTTTGTTTGAGTGGGACTGAGACCCTGGCCTGGAGCTGTAGCTGCTTGGAGCAAGAACTGCCTTTTTCAAATGTGCATGAAGGTGCTACCCACTCATCTTCCCTGCCTATGCCCCTACCTAGTGCAGAAGTAAGGTGAGGTAGGGTGGTGCTGTCGCCAGTTTGTACAAAGGACCAGCTGCGGCTCTGGGTCCCTGTATGGTGCAAGGAGAAACATTTATTTTCACTCAGGTGCTCTGCCTTAATCTAAAGCAAAACTCATGGACTTACCTCCTACACTAGGGTCCCTTCCTATTTACACACCTAGGTTGAGTACCTGAGTCTCCTGAATTCCTGTGTCTTCATCAGAGCAGCGTCTGGGAAGCTGGGTCTCTGTACTAGCTCCTTCACAGCGTCTCTCCCATGGCTCCTCATCTGGACTGTCACCTCATCTCCCCTCAAGTCCAGATCTTGACACCTTGTACTTGCACCTTCTGGCTTCTTACCTGTCTGGCCCTCTAGACCCCAACCCCTTCCTCCTGACTGTTCCAGCGCATCACATGGACTGAGCTTCCTGCAGTAGCTTTGAGATGCTGGCAGGTGCATCCCCTGCAGAACATCCATTCATATGTCCCAGTTTCTCCATTACCTACAAGGTGCAACTGAGCCCTGCAGCCTGCACCTGGAGCCTCCAGATTTCTGCTCCAGCCTACCTTGAAGATGAAGAGCCAGTCTGTAGTCTTCAAGGTCAAGGTGTCTATGGGTCATAAATGCATTTAACAGCATGAACGCTGGGTGACAAACCCAATAAAGAAATAGTTTCACTCTTTGAACACTTGTGAAGTGCTCATGTATGAGACAAATTTCAAGGCCTAATTTGACTCCAACGTCCTGACCACTTCTTCTATCTCATGGCGAACTTTTCTGTTTTTGAATTTATTCATAATTTAATTTGATATAATTCAACCAACTTTTATTGGGGAGCCATGCTCTGTTGGTAACATATGGGTCTAAATAGCATATGGGACACAGTCGTTGCTTTGAAGGCACCTAGAGTCAAGTAGGGAGAATGGGCATGTACAGTCAAAAGACTCTCATGCCACCTGTGAGGTGCCCCTAAAGAGCAGTGTGGGAGTGTGCAAGGGGTGTTGATAGTGAGTGATATGGGTTAATTCCACAAGACAGCTCAGGGGGAAGCCAGCAGTGCCTTCCTAGAGAAGCTTGGAGTTTCTGTCCCTCCCAGGGGGTTGATAGACCGGCCCATATATCATAGTATGCTTCTATCCTCCACTCTACACTAGTTTTAGAGAAAAAATAAGCAGGCTTGTCATGGTGGCTCATGCCTATAATCCTAGTACTTCGGAAGGCTGGGGTGGGAGGATTGCTTGAGGCCAAGAGCTTGAGACCAGCCTTGGCAACATAGCAAGACCGCAACTCTGCAAAAAAAATATGCAAAAATTGGCCAGGCATGGTGGTGCATGCCTGTATTCCCAGCCACTGGGGAGGCTGAGGAGGCAGCATCATTTGAGCCCAGGCGTTTGAGGCTGCAGTAAACTATGATTGCGCCACTTCACTCCAGCCTGGGTGACAAAGTGAGACCCTGTCTCAAAAACAAAACAAAACAAACAAAAAACAAACAAACTTAACATGAGCACCAAGGGCATATTGAAAGGTCAACAGCTGTGGCAGAAACCCACAGAGAGAGAGGGATGCAAGTGTGGAGATGGAGTGAGGGAGTGTCCCTTGGGGATGGTGGCTCATGTTTATAAACCTCACTCTATTTTTCGGTAGAGTTTCCCTCTTCTTTTCTGGGCTGTTATTCTCCAAGGAACTACCTAAGCTCTGGACACTTCCAAGCCTTGCAACGAACTTTAAAATGTGATATTCATTACATTATTTAGCACTTGGCCTGAAATGATGACAATGAGAAATTATGGCAACACAACAAACATTTGATTAGCTCTGTTTCATTAGGATTCTTCACATTTTGAGTTTAGAGACCCTCTAGGTTTCGGGAGCTGCAGATGTTCATCCATTTTCCTTTCCTTCTGAAGTTCCTTCTGCCATGGAAAGAGAAGTTGGGAGGAATTTCAGCACCTGGTGCTCCTGGGCCTGCAGGCGGGGGTCAGTGTCTGGTGTGGATGGCGGGGTCGTGCATCTGGATTTGGTTAGCTGGCTGGCCATCTGCTGTTCCCCTGCCTCAGCTGCCCATCTTCACCTGCTTTGCCATCTGTAAGTCATCCTGAGAAGGGATTTCATGAGAATTACCTTCTGAGAAGGCCTGGTGTGCCGTCCCTTTCAAGTCATGGGAATCTGTGCTTTGTGGGTTCGGCACCTGTTCCCGTCATGTGCTAGCTCAGCTTGCAGAACATCCACCCAGCTTGCAGAACAGCTTGGGTCCAGTCTCTCTGAGACAACCAAACACCAGCAGGGCCAGGCTGGAATCTGGGCTCTGAGCTGATCCTTCCCCTGCTCTCCATGCATAGGACCTGTCTCTTCTCCTGCGTCGTCATTGAATGGACAACAGCATGAGCATTGACCTGTGGCTGAATTCAGCTGGATTGAGATTCACTCTTGGTGAGAGGGAGATTGAGCAGGAGAGATATGCAGCTCTCATGAGGGGCTCTTGGTTTGGCCTCCTTCTCATCAAATCCCAGCCTGCTCCCCCTTTTTCCTCGCAGCCTCCACCTCGCCTTCTGATTTAAGCCTGGGCCTGAGTTTCACGTCTGTCGGTTTTACTTTCAGTCGATTTTACGGGTGCCTGAGCGGCTGTAACATTTTCCTGCTGCCTTTTCTATTTTCAACCCAAATAGGAAGTGACAAAGATGGTTTTGGTGCAGAGAGAATGTGATTCATTTTGTTACTTTTTTAAAACTTTTTTTAAAGTTCAATATATGTACAGAAAAGGGTATCTATCATAAGTGTATATAGCTTGATGAATTTTCACTAACTAGACAGCAGCCGCCAAATTAAGAAACAGAGCAGGATCTGCACCCTTGAAACCTGCACATGGTCCTTCCGAGTCACCCCCCACAAGAGTGACCACTGTCCCAGCTTCTAACAGCAGAGAGCAGCTCTGCCTGTTCTTGTGCCGTTTGTCATCTGTGTGTCTGTTTTCTTGCTGAATGTTATGCTTGTGAGATTCATCCGTGTCGTCATGTCTAGTTGTAGGTTATTCATTATTGTTGCCGTTCACAGTTTTATTGTGAGAACTGATGGACATTTGTGTGATTTCCACTGTTCATCTATAATGAGCTGTGCAGCTCAGAACATTCTTGTTCATGCCTTTCCGCCATCACTTGCATGTATTTTGATCTGGTGTATACTCCAGAGTGGAATGGCAGGGTCTGAGGGGATGCTATGTTCGGCTGCAGTAGATCCTAATAAACAGTTTTCCAACATGGAGGTACCTATTTAAAGTGTAACTTCGATTTTAAAGCAAAGTGGATGCTTGGGTTTGAACTTCACAGTCACATTTATTGGATTGAAAGGGCTCATTGGCAACCCACAGCCAAGAGACCAAGAGAGAGTCCTAACCATGGGGAGGGAGCAGTTGCCAGTGCCCTGGCATCCTGGTCCCCGCCCTGGTCTGGTGTTGGGTCTCTGCAGCATGCAAAGGGGATGGCCAGACAAGACACACCGAAGACACACCTCCTGCCCTCTGGAGGCTGATTGTTTCCACAATGACGACAATGATCATCAGTATTACTATTGATCTTTCTCCTCCTCCTGTCCTTCTCTTTCACTTCTCCCCTCCACTTCACCCAAAAAAAGGAGTTTTATTCCCATCCCTCACCCAGCACACACATGGGCGCATGCACACACACACACACACACACACCTGCCAAATTCGTGGGAGGACCCACTCCTAAGGTTGGGATGCAGTTGGGAATCACAGTGTGGGGAAAAGTGTTAGTTACACTGGAGGAAGTGTGATGCAATCACTGGAGCTCTTTGAGAAAAGCTTATTTTAAAAAAAAAAAAAAAAAACAACACAGAGTAAGAATGAGTCTTTCCAAAATTACTGTGTCTTGGGCCAGGCCTGGAGACAGCCCTATCCCTCTCTTATGCTCCTTGTGCAGTGTTTGAGATGCCTAAGCCCGTATGAAGCACAACAGGAGAAGCAGCCCCAGTACCCTCAGATAAAAGCAACAGGTGATGCGTTTTCTAAATAGTGCATTGCCTTTCTAGTGCCACCTCCTGCAACTGGGGATCCCACTGCCAGCAGCCTCTCCAGGCACCCCCAAGGCTGTCTCCCACAGGTGGGCTAGGAGATGGGGAACAGGGCTCGCTGCTCACCTGAGGACCTGCACGGGCAACTGGAAGGGGCCAGCTGAACACAAGAGGCACTGGGTGCTGTTGGAGAAGAGGGTGCTTCTTCGGGACATTTGTTAGCCCATCAGAGGATGGTGACCCCAGGGTGGCTGACCCTTTCTTCCTCCATTCACTTCAGCTGGGTGTGGCAGAGGAGCTTGGACACGCATCAATTGCATGTCTGCAGGGCCAGAGAGGTGTGTCATATTAGCAGGTAACCAATTTGATCCACACCACCCTGTCACATTGTTTTCACCCCAAGGGTCCTGGCTCCCAGCCTGAGGGATCTCAAAGGTCCCCCTCGATGGCTTTGCCTTTGAGAAGTAGGGGGAGTGGAGGCATGGGTGAGGAAACTGCCTGGACACAACCCAGGGGCCCTGTGGGCAGCCTTGGCACTAGTCCAGGGCTGGGAAGCTGCCCCCTCAGTTCTATGGCCCTCGTTGGACTGTATGGGACCCCATGGTCTGTGGAGTGGGAGAAGCACAATCTGCGGTTGTCCTGAGTCTTTTCTGTCTTCCTGCAGGCTGCCCAACCCCAAGGGCCTAACAGAGATGATCAGTTTAACCAGGTAGAACATGGTGGTTTTGATACCTCCTTCTGTTAGTTTCTTCCAAATGGCCAATGTCTTGGAAAATTCTGTTGACCAGTAAAGCTTTATTAATAAAGCATTCATTTTTTCGTTTTCCCACTGAAAATCATCATAGACCCACATGACTGCCAGTGGGGCTTCAGGTCACACTGCAACAACTGCTGTGACTACTAGAGTTTATCTAACTGTGTCTGAAACTAGAGGCTCGTGATGTTCTTGTGAGCCATTGCAGCCTCAATGGTGTACATCTGAGGTTCCTGTTGCTTTGAAATAACATGCAGACCCTCAATACCACACTGTCCTACTTCTAGAAGGAGAAGTAGCTCTGAATTGTGAGTTTGCATTGTAAAAGCAGTTTTCTCCTTCCAGGAGTTTCCAAATTCTAAGTGACAGGGAACTCCAGGGATAGTAAAACTCTCTTCAGAGTGGACAAAACTCTGTATGTGCAGACAGGCTCAGGAAGCCAGGGAAGCCAGAGGAGGTGCTGCTGCAGTAACTCATCTCTCTTGTGAAGGTGGAAATGAAAAAGGAATCTCAGACCTCCTTCTGTGGGTCACCCACTGTCTCTGGTTAGTGAGCCTGATTTGTGGGCAGGTGAGTAATTGAGGGAGGGAAGGAGGATAGGCTGGGGATGAAGGTTGGGTTGGGATGTTGTCTCTGCTTGGGTTTGGCTGATCCCACAGGGTGCTCTGGAGCACAACAACATCACACAGTTGATCTTATCTTGGGTCAATGGGACCACTTTTTGTAGACCCAGTCAGCCACTCACTAGCCCCTGGCTGCCCCTCGCATGGGGCAGGGGAAATGTGTGACTCCTAAGCAAGGCAGCTTCTCTGGACATGGGGGAAGCTGAGAGCCAGGAGCAGCCAGAGCTCACAGCAGCAGGGTGCATGGCCGGCAAGGGTATCTGCAGGCATTGGCAGCAAGTGCCACGCCTCCCACTTGTGAACCTGGCTGGCCACGGGCTACCACCTCTCTCAGCCTGTCCCGGTGAAGAGGGTTGGTCTAGATTTAGATCCTACTGTTTGAATAAGTCTCTGCAGCCCTGCAGGGATCTTGCAGTAGATTGAGGGAAAGCAAACCAACCATGTCCAAAAAGACCATGCCAGTGGGCAAAGTGGAGCAGCGGAGATGTGGCTGTTAGGGTAGGACACGGACGGGGTTATCCAGAGGTGTGGGGAGGTGTGCCTGTCTCAGACCTGTCCAAGATTCTTTCTGGATGGCATTTCTGCTCAGCCATGTGTTCCTGCTTCGTCCATGTGCTTTGAGGCCCCAGGGTTTGTGCACACAATACTCGGGGCTTGGGAGTGCCCCATGTAGCTCAGAGCTGTCCACCCCTCACTCCCCAGGCATCTCCTCTCAGGCCGGGGATGCTTTTCTCAGGATGGCCTGGCCGTTTTCAGGCCACTCGGTTTCTCCATTTCTCCATTCTTGCGGTGGGCCTATTGATTAGGAGAATCTCACCCAGTCTCGCTTTGGCCGGGGTAGCTCTGCCAGGTCTGAATTCTTTTCAAAAATTGAAAAGTACTTGTAAGTAGATTAACCGTGCATGCCCGGGGCGTTTCCCAAAGCCAGCATTGACAAGTAGATAAGAATGATTTATAACTAGCACTTCAGTCTGCGTCAGTGGTGCTTGTGGACAGATAACGGTGTCTTCGGCTCGATTTCTTCTTGGCTGAGTTGGAGATGCTCCTTCCAGGCTGGTGGCTCTGAATTCAAGAACTCTGGCACACTCAGCTCTCATTGAGGGCAATCGTGATGAATAGTGAATCAGCTTCCCCTGACAATGGGGGTCATTTTACTGCAAAATGGCTGCCCTTTGTGTCTCTGGGAAAAGGGTGCTGAGAAATGAATGTCGAGGGCTGTAGAAATGCTGAATAATAAGTGAACTTGATCACATCGGGCAGCGAGTCTGAATGCCTCCCTTTGATTTGACCCAGTTATACCTTCAAGGTCCCAGGACTGGTGCTTTGGAAAAAGTGACTGGCTCCAGCACATCTCTGTGTACCTCAATGCTATCAGATCTCCATCATGGACTCTCATCTCAATAGAATGTTAAGTTTTGAGAATAATAACTCAAAGAATTTCCTGGAAAAGGCAGAGGAGGTGAGGGGTGGGATTGTGAATGGGCATACTGGAGACCCAGCTCCAAGAGGAAGATTAATTTAGAACTCAGAGGGAGGGGCCTTGGCTTAAGCTGGAGCCAGGCTGCATGGGCCCTGATGGGAATAAATAGAAGCCCCAGGTTTTGTAGGTGTTTCACCTCATTCCTTTATTCATTAAGTCAATGGGCAGGTGTGGGATTAGGTCAGTTTTGCTCGTATTGCATTTGAGATGTCCCATATAGATTGAGGTTTGGGCGATAGAGGTTTGGGTTGTGGGAGGAAGCAATTCTTTACTCTTTTCCCAAGACTGTACTGAAAGCAGCTGGGATTGCATCTGATGTTTTCCACACGTGGCTGTAATCTGAAAGTACAGGGCAGTTGTCGGTCGTCTCTAAATTCACGGGGCAAGTTTGCATCCCTAGTTAAGTAATAATTTAAAGAAATGGTTAATCATGACCTTCCTACAGATATAAAATAAACATGTGTTGAAGATTTTCTTTAACTCATTATGAATGAGGAAACTGGTAAGATGTTATAGACATTTCAAAGGAGAATCCAAAGAACGGACACAAATATAGATCAGGAGTATTGAAATGAATGTGCAAATGGAGGCAAAATTGGTTTCTTTCATAGTAGGGGAGAGAAGTCGATTGAACCTACTAGACAAAATTTGCATGTATAGATAATTATTTTGCATCACTGTCAATTTACAGAGTTGTAAAAGAGCTCAAATGCAATGAAAAGTAAGAATAATCTGGAAAGGTGTGCTGTAAACAATGCATAATTTCCTGTTGAACCACATTTTTTTTCCTTTTCTCTTCTTAGTAAAGTTCAATATTTTTATCATTAAACTTGTTCAGAAAGTGTCTGTCTCTTTAAAATATGTAAGCAATAATAAAAGTTTCTTTTTTATTTGAGATGTTTTATGTCTGTTTTTATGATATTAAATTTTAGATAGGGCTTTTACTCTCCAAATAACTCTAAGAGTTAATGAAATTATCCCAGGTGATTTCCTGAGACATATGTTAATGAGTAGAAAGTATGATTTATAAGATTGATGTATATTATTTGTAAGATACTGGGGATATGAATAACATTGGAATAATGAGTCTGTGACCAGAATAAAATAGCTCAAACAACACAGAAGTTTCCAAAGCACAACTGTTACGGGGTGGGCTACAGGAGGTGAGGGAATAAGACACATTCAGAAACATCTAGATAATTCCAGAACATAACTTCCCCAAAATAACTGCGAATTTCTTCATGCGTTATTTTTGAATCTCTGAGAACTTCTAGAGTGATTTAATGGAAGTTAACATTTTTCCTAGTTCAGAAGGACCCCACAGGGTAGATGCCTCTATCTTGTCTGTCTTTCTAAAGTTTATCCTGAGAAGATGTACAGGAGAACATGGGTAGGTAATTCATGGCAGAATTGAACTTGCAAAGCTTCTTCTGGTGTAATGTGGAAATAGTTCTTCTTGACCTTTCTGCAGTCTTTGACATTGTGGACTCAGCTCTCCTGTTGGAAACCTATCCCTCATTTCCTTAACCCTCTTACAGTCCCTGTTTCTCATCTGCTAGGGCTGCTTCCTGTGTCTTTCTCTGGCCCCTTCTTCTTTCCTCCCCTTGGTTCTGAGGACGCAGCCCCAGGCACCACGCTCCTCTCTCCCCAGAGCCTTCCCCAAGAACTGAATCCCCATGTGGAAAATCAGCCACCCACCTTGATTCAGATGACTATGATCTTCATTCATCTCCTGAGCATGATTCCAGTATTCCCCACGACCACTGGAGGTTTCCACCTGAATGTTCTTACACTCGTTACTCAGAGTGGCTGAAATGTAGATAATCAAATATCTTCCAGTGAAATATAGCTCCCTTTTAAACGTATTCTGTCATCCAATTGTTTGACAATTACCAAGCATTGTCAATTCTTTTTTCTCAATCTCTCTCCTATCTGACCTTTCCTCTCATTCCATTGTCAAGCCATAATCCAGGCCTTTATCCCTTCATCAAGGGGTCATCCTAATAGCTTCTGCATTCATCTTAATTCAATGAGCATTCCTTTAGTGCCTTATGAGTAGATACCGTGAACCAGGTGCTGACGTGCCTGGTAGGGCTACAATGCCGAGAGGCTGCTGGGAAGACAGACATCCGTTAGATACTCACACTGTTAAGCAACTAATCATAAACTGCAGTAAGTACTAGAAAGAAGGTGTGGTGAGAACATGCAGTGGGGAGCTGGACATTAGCCTCTAGGGCCAGACACGGCATCTGAGGAATGAAGAGACATGACATACATCAAGGCGAGGTGGAGGGGAGAATTTACCAGGCAAAGTCCCAGCGCTGGGCAAGTCTATGGGGTGGTTGGAGGCATGGCATGTCAGAGAGACTGAGCATGAAAGGCCTGTTGCTAGAGCGAGGTGAGGTGGGAGAAGGCAGCGGCAGGCCGGCAATGTGAAGTTGAAATAGGAATTCAGGTGTCTATCCTCAGGGCAGAGGCGAGTCTTTGAAGGGCTTAAGCAGGAAGGGAATGACAGGATCAGGTAAGCCTTTTCTAAAGGTCATTGTGACTGCTTTGTGATGTCCAATAGACAAGATAACCTGAAAATCCTCCTGATCCAAAACAACAGGAAATGCTGGATAATATCACAGCAGAGCTGAACTTAGAAGCAGGTGAGAGATATCCTTGGAGCTGTAAATAAAGAGGAAGCTGAATACCCAAGGAGCATGTTGTCACTCACTACTGCATCTCTCCTGGTGGCATTTGCCCATCTCAGTAAACAAGAAATGTCCGTTTTAATGACTGCACAAGGACAGAAGACAAGGCTGGGGGTGAAAGTGGGTTGGGGAATTGGATCTGTGACCCTGCCATGAAAGAGGAGCCTTTTGATTAATAAACAGGGGACTGTATGGTAAATCCGCTTCTCACAAAATAAAATGCTAGAAAGTTTGTCTCTTTTGATCTGGGCTCTAGGTGGGGCTGGGGGAGTCTTCTTAAAAAATATCTTATCGTGGACCTGCCCCAAGTGGGTTTGGAGTTCTTTACACTACTTTCATGGTCCTGGAAACCTCATGCCAAGAAATTAACATATTATAGTAATGGAGTTCACACTGGTCATCAGTGCAGGATTCCTAGAAGAAGAATGGAAATTTTCTCTGAAATTCTCAGTAGAAATGAACTCTAAATAACTTCAAATAATAATATTCATGAATATTTATATAAAAAGATATTTTAAATATTTCAGACTGTATAAATCAATGACTACATAAGTGTGATCAATTTGAGTTGGCGGTCAGAATTATGACATTTTAAGTCCCTGTATTTTTGAAGAAGACAGTCAATATAGAGTGAAATTTAATTTTATTAAATGAAACGTTTGTGTTAAAATTTATGGAGAATTACTAAGATAATACATTCACAACACAAAGGCACAAATGGTTGAAAATAAAAGAATGGAAAAATATGTAGTAGGCAAACACTAACCAAAAGACACCATTGGATTAGGTTGGATATTACTATCCAATAAAGTTGATTTAAGAGCAAAACATTATTATTTGAGACGATTTTAATGCTAATGGTAATTTTAATGGTAAATGGTACAGTTTACTGGGAAGATAAAACAATTTAAAACTTCTAAACATTTAATAACATAGTCTCAACATGTCAAAAAAAAACTTCACCAGAAACTGAAGATATAAGAAGAAACAACAAATTTTTTAAAATGACAAATTTATAATCAGATTGAGAGATTTTAATACAATTTTTTGGTAACTGAAAGATCAAATAATAAAGTCTTTAAGGTATAGAAGATTTGAACAATGGTTTGATTTGATGGACATATATAGAACTTTACTCTCAACAATATAGCATAATATTTTCCAAAATATCTAAGAATAAAACATGTGTAAGAATTCACTTTGTACGTGGCCATAACACAAGTCTCAAAAAATGTCATTGAATCAACATCACACCAGTTAAATTATTTGACTACAGAGAGACATATATAGCCTTATGTTGAATATTGTATATATTATCTTATGCTTTATTATATCACAGTAAAGGAAGACTAAAATTAAATATGCTAATTGTTCAGTGTGATAAGTTAGAAGAAAGAATAATAAACCTAAACAAATTAGAAGGAAGGAAATAATATATATGAGTAGAATCAATGAAATAGAAAACAGCTATTATCAGTGGAATGGTCAAAACTCAAGTTTTGTTCATTATGAAGAACAGTAAAATACACAGATTCTTTGACAAGCTTGATCCGCAAAAATGAATAATGTTAGACAAGAAAAGGAGGATATAGGTACAGCTATAGCAGAGATTATTAAAAAGATAAAGTGACTCTTACCGACATATTAGGCAACTCAGATGAGATTGACATTTTTTCTAGAAAAGTATAACAACATTGACTGAACAAGAAATCGAAAATGTGAAGAGATGTATAACACTAAAAATTTTGATCAGTAGTTCAAAATATGTTTATTTAAATCTATGATGTAATTTATCTCATGAACAGATAAAAAAGAACAGGATTATTTCAATAGGTGCAGAAAAACATTTTTAAAATTTGAGCCTATTCTTTGTCTCTCTCTCCCTCTATCTCTGTCTTCTATCTCTATCCCTTTCTCTATCTCTATCTCTATCTCCATCTCTGTCTGTCTCTATCTCTATCTGTCTCTATCTTGTTGTCTGCAAAGCAGGGCTAGTAGGGAGTAAAGAGTATTTATCAAAACCTGAAAGTAAATATAATTATCAATTAAGAAATAATAAAAGCATTTCCTTTAAAATCAGGAACAGGCAAGAGTGATCATTGTCATCCCTTTTAATCAATATTTTATTTGTGGTTATAATCAGCGTAATAAGTCATAAAAGGAAAGTAAAAGCATTTCAACATAAGAAGTACATTTGTTTATAAATACGTTTTTTAAATAAAAAAGAATATAAATTCGATGATTAGAGTTAGAAACAAAATCAGTTCCATATGTACACGTCAGTCATGAATAGAAAAGTACATAGCGTTTAGAAAGCAGGGCCAATGACTCCAGTAGGCTCTCTGATGGCTCAGTGAGGCATTGCCTGGTGAGTGAGCCTTCCATTTTAGGTACAGAAAGAATTCTGTGTGCAAATTATGCCCACTCTCCTACCTACCCTCGCGAAAGTTACTTGTAACCCCAGTTACTTTGCATAATATTTTTTTGACTAAAAGAAAATTATGAAGAAAAAAATTTTAAATCCTATTTCTGAAATGTCTTCCACTCTTTTTAGTGATCTATGACTTTCTCAGAAAACTCTTTTGGAGGAAAGGGTGTAATCCTGAGGTAGTAATGTTGTGGATAAAAATATGAGGCTCATAGCCACTGAAATGCTCATTTCTAGAGGCAGCAGACAGTTCCCAATTCTCTCTGGTTTGGTAGCCAACAATCCCGCGTAGATGATGGAGCAACTTGAAATGTGGAATTGACATGTGCCTTAGGTATAAATGCTCATCAGATTTTGAAGACTTCGTACAAAAGAATGTGACTATTTCCTTATTAATTGTATATTGAGAACATGCTGCATTGATAATATTTTTGATATATTGGGTTAATTAAAAGTTACTACACTTAATTTCTTTTAGAAAACTTCTAAAATGTGAACACTAGAAAATTTAAAGTTACATATGTGATTTGCTTTTTAGATGTTTTATATCTACTTGATGACACTGTTGTAGGTCCTCCAATTCCTAATTGTGTGGTTTGGGGTTAGTGCTTAATTTTCTCTCAGCCTCAGTTTCCTCCTTTGTAAATAAGTGAGATAAGTGTGTCCTCTACCTTAGATGATTGAGAGTATTCCATGGAGAAACCCATCCTTTAAAAGACAACTTGCTAAATGGTAAAGCTTTATAAAACCTACATAGGTTTGTTGTTTCTTATTTTTCAGTCCATTTTTGTTCCAGAGCATGACATAGTCCCAAAAATAGAAAAAAACAAAACAAAACAAAACAAGGTGGAGGGCTTGGAGAAAATCTACCATGTTTCTGCCACGTTGCCTCCTTGTGGGAGCCAGATGTCAGAACCAACCTCTAGGCAAGGTTTTGCCATTTCTCTTCTACTTTCAAAGAGAATTCTGTGTGCCCCGCATCCCGTTCATCATGCTGCAGTAGTACAGAATTGTAAACATTACCATGTAAGCTGAAAATGTGCAATATCATCTAAATAATTAATAAAAAAATGACGATGGTTTTGTAAACTTTAACATTTTTTCTCAAATCTTTAAAAACTCTCTTAGTATTGGTTATAAAGCATAGTAAAGTGGAAAATAGTGAAACTAATATTCAGTCAGTACATTTAACAGAACATTTGAAATATTGACGTGGAGAAAAGGGAACCCTAGTACCCTTTTGGCGGAAATGTAAATGAATACAGCCATTATGGAAAACAGTATGAAGGTTCCTCAAAAAACTAAAATTAGAGTTACTATATGATCCAGCAGCTCCACTTCTGGGTATACATCCAAAGACTTTGAAATTGGTATGTTGAAGGGATATGCACATTCCCATGCCTGTTGCAGCACTATTCATGATAGCCAAGATACGGCAGCAACCAAAGCGTCCATCGACAGATGAATGGCTAAAGAGAAGGTGGTGTATATATACAATGGAGTACTGTTCAGACTTGAAAGATGATGTCAGTTGTGACAACATGGATGAACCTAGAGGATATTGTGCTAAGTGAAATTAGCCAGGCACAGAAAGACAAATACCGCATGATCTCGTATGTGGAATCTAAAATAACCAGACACATAGAAGCAGGGAACAGAATAATGGTTTCCAGAGGCTGGGGAGTGGAAGGAATGGGCAGATGTTGGTCCAAGGATATGAAGCTTCAGTTGGACAGGAGGATAAATGATAAGTATTTGAGATAACGAATATGTGAATTAGCTTGATCCAGTCATTCCACATTGTATATGTAGATCAAGCATCACTTTGTATCTCACAAATAGATCCAATTTCAATTTGTCAATGTGCAGTTGAAAAGCCATTATAATTTTGAGAACCAAAGTGTTTTATTTCTTTGTAAAACAAACTTACCAAGAGTAGTTTGAACAGTGCTTATGATGTGGAGTGAGTATCTTTCCTAAGCCCTGGCAAGCTTCCGTACTCCTAAGTTTGGCTCAGCTTCCAACATCTTATCTTTTGTGCTCTCAGTGTCATGAAATATCTTCAAGCATTTCTTTAAGACATCATCCTTTTCCTCAAGACCACTTTCTTCATTTGTGTTGTTTGTCTTCACTAATTCCTGTGTCTCCAAATCTAGAGTGTCTGTACCTCAGGAGTGTCAACATCCCCACGGTCAGCTGCTTCTTCTCTAGCTCCATTTATATTCCATTCACATTTCATTTCCAGTGTGAACATATTTCATTTCTTTGCTTCACTTTCATTTCATCTTGTTGGCCAGTTGTTTCTTTTGGTCATCTGTCTTGTGAAATGGGTTTATCGCTGGGAGACAGGAAGGCAACACAACTTCACAATTTGCTGTCTATTGGTGGACTGAGTAACTGATGCACAGTGACCCCTGGTGACTCACTTTGAAAAAAAATCAGCATGTTAGTCATGGATCATGGTGCACATGTTAATTGCATGATGATTTGCGGACTGAAGCATTAGGGGCGAAATTTACACTTTTAGCAATTACAGTTAATATACCGTGCTAACTGAAACTTGTACAGTGTTACTGGGGCACTAAATTAATGCCTACAGAACTATGCCAAGTGAAGACTGCCTATGCTCAGCATTTTCAGACAGTTGTTCTTTGGAGGAGTCTTTGTCTCTTGTCTTTTGACTGATCTGAAAGGCCATCTTTCCTATTTGCAGTCCTCACATGCTGTCTTCTGAGCATTCCAAGTGTACAGAGGAGATGTGCAGGGGTCAGCAGTCATTCAGCCATTCAACAGCCATGTGTGCAGTGTCCACGCTGTGCTGAGCTCAGCACTGGGTGCTGGCATATTTGCTGGCAATTTCCAGTGCCTTAAATTGCTGTCATTTTTGGCTTTTGGCAGCTAACTTTCCGACATATTTTCCAAACCACTGCTTATACAATTTGCACAAGGTTTTAAAGTTACCTCTCACTTGCACAAATTTCCACTATCTTGATTGCTGGGATACACATACTGTCAGGAGCATCAGGTTCCTCCGGTTGGGATACAGTCCCCATCTTGGCATGCCAAATGGGGCAGTCCCTTTTTAAACAGAACAATCAGCTAATGGACACAGTCTAAACTTGCATAGTTGCTGGTTAATTATTCAAAGCATGTTTCATTAAAGCCAGTCCCATTTCTCAGCATCTTCTTTCTTCAGTGTTTTTAATTGACCTGAGAATTACCATACTCTGAAGGGTGTGCCAAAGAATCAGATGTCTTTGCCTGGAGCATTAAATTCCACTGAAAAACTACTTCAACCAGAAGAGAGGTGTGGCTAGAGAGAGAGGTTCATAGTTTTAGAGCTTTTTAAAAATTTTTTAATCCTTTTGAGATTCTTTGCCATTAAATATATTAAGTAGTTTTGGAAAATAATGTGTTTGCTTAAGAAATCCAAAACACTTTTTATAAGGGAGCTCCCTGGCTCCCAGTGGTGAAGGGAACCAAACGTTTATGGATCTGGGAGTGTGCCAGGGACTTTCACATATCATCATCCACAATCCTCATAATGGCCTTATAGGATGGAAATTGTTATCTTCATTTTCACAGTTGAGGAAACTGAGGCCTAGACAAGTAAATTAAGATGCCCAAGATCTTACTTCTGTTTGATGTTAGAGCTGAATTTTGACGTTTTAGTTTGTCCCATTCCAAAATCATTATACTTTTCCATATATAAATGATTGCAAATGTCTGACATGCCAGCCACCACTCTTCCATTCTGGTACCATTACAGACATCACTAATTGATAACCTATGTATTCAACCTGACTTTTGTCATGCAGCTGCCCATGAACGCTGCTCAGAATGGAAAACCCAGCTCACCCTCTAAATGGAAGATAATGTAAGCAAAGAGATTTTAGGGTAGCACTGATACAAGCTTTTAGGCCAGTGTAGCCACTCACTGATGTTGGGTTGGAGGTGCCCCTCCCTCATACTGGCATTTTCTTATGCCCTCTATTTCTACATTAGGGATAGTAAGAGAGCACTGAAGCATTCCCTGTGGAAGAAGCCACAGACAGGGAAGAAAAGTAAGAACTTATTAATTTAAATTCTGTCTGTTTCGCCAGTGTCTTGGTTTGGGTTCCTCTAGAAGCACACACTCAGACAAGGACTTGGGTGCAAGGAGGTGACCTAAGAAGCACAAGAGAGAGAATGAGGTAATGAAACAGAGTGAGGGGAAAGGCAGATAAAGGTGCATTCTTAAGCAGAACACTGCAGGGGACAACGAGGGCCCAGCTCTAGCCGGGGTCTCAGAGAGTCTGTGGAACAGGCTTCAGAATTGTCCCACGAGAGAGGCAAGGAAGCCAGGGTATTGATCCACCTAATTCAGTCCTCTGCAGGTTGAGGGTTGCTCACATCCCTCCACTCTCCTAGAATTAAATCTTATCTGCCTCTCAGTTTGTCTGTGCTGGTCCTGCAGAAAGCCCTCCAGGAGGAGCTGGGAGACTCCAGCCCTGGAGTTGAGGAGCAGTCATCAGGACACTGCACCAGGGCAGCCGGGGTCCCCAAGGGGGCATGAAGGGGGCCCCTCCAGTATCTGTGTGCTCTCTAGCTGGCTCTGTTGGGTAACTTTCTCTGATGGTGATCAGAGTTAAGTTGATCCCACTGTCCTAACTTTAGAAAATCACTGAGATTCTGTATATCCTGAACGCCACCTAATGGGATGTATAGACCACAGATGGCCTTTCTTTGTGGCCAGGCTACATTCTCAGTGGTTGCAGCCCAGCAGCATGGATTTGAAATTTATGGTGGTGGTTGATTCCACCAAAGACAACACAGAGTGTTGTGTGTAGCTCTTAGTAAATTCCTTGTTATCTTTTACAACCATCTCGGGCAAATATTGTTCCTCTTGACAGAGTGGGCCATGTTAGCCAGAGCAAATGTTACCCCAGACAACCGTGAATTGAAGATGAAAGAGGAGTTGCAGCCAGAATAACTAGCTTGGAAATGGAGCCAGTCTTTCAACAGCAGAAGGGGCAGATAGGAGGCAGGGTGAACTCAGACAACCTTTGTGCTGAAGAGACCCTTTGCTGTGTGAGGGTCTAAGCAGTTGCTGGTAGCAAAATTTTTGCCACCAAGGCTTGGAGTAAGAAGAAAAATCATGGTGGTGACGGAGTAGCAATATACTTGTGGTCATAGGCACTAATTAACCCAGACAGCTGATTTTAATCATTGCTGTCATCTGTTGCAATCAGCTAGCTGACAGAGGGGTTGTTTCATCTTTTCCAATAAGTGAATATTCAAAGCTGTTCTCTTTTCTCTCTCTTTCAGCTTAAAAAAACAAAAAGCCTGAAATTGGAATGGCGGGGGGGGGTGCCTGTTCCAGAAACTCCTTGCAATTGCCCTTCAGTCATCTTAGTACATTCATTTGTATGTGACTTTGTCTCACTGGATTGTGTAAACTAGGCAGGGAATAACTCCGCAGATCTTACTCAACAACTCCCATGATATAAACTTCTTGGGATCCTCCAGTGAAGCCTCCAGTATGGGGGAGGGGTCAGCATGTTTAGAATGAATGTGTCACTAGCTCTGTGCTAAATTCTAAAGAGACACATAGAAGAGGTGGTGCTTGATTTCACAATCTCATGGTACAGCTTTGGGTGCATTTAGATTTATATAATTATGCAATGGGTGCTTCGCCTGTTGGAGTGAAGCAAGGTCATGTGGCAACTTGTGGAGCAATTCTTGGACACTTGGGCTTCCCACGGGGTTAGGCAATCCTGCTGCTCCTAAGTGCCCCCAGGCAACAGACGGGATGGTATCATTTATAGAAGGCATCCAGCTTTGGGCCGGTGGTCTCATCTGCCATTTCCTATAGGAGTAGGTAGAGGAGGGGACAGACCTAAAGACTCACATTCTCTAGGGGTTTGTTGGGATGTCCCAGGGCCCTGGCACATCCTGGAAATTTCAACCAGGGAGTGCAAATGACCTGCCACGCTTGGTTGCAGGAATCTGTCATTTTCAGGGCATTTTCGCTTCAAGAGAGGCATGAAATTGTTTTAGACTCTGGGGTCTGATGAAGGTGTGCGCAGCACAGGCTCATGTTGCCCTTGCCAAGCGTTACCCCTGTTCCCCTCAGGGCCTGAGATCTTCTGAGCAGTCAAATTGGAATCCTCTAGACTTCCCCAACCCTTTCCATGTTGTATTTGCTTCTGGCATTTGCTTCTCGGATTGTTTCCTGGTTGTTAATTTTGAGTCATCAGCATCTTTGCCTGTAGTATCCGCATCTGTACACCCTCCGTGGCCTTCTGAGGTCTTGGCATGGGGTTGACCAGTGAGGGGCTGTGTGAAGTCACCCCACTGTTACCCCCATCCTCACAGGTTTCCCATAGGCTCTTCTAATGTTGCATGAGAACCTATTGTGGGCCTAACCCAGTCTGGCAGGAAAAGGAGAGAAGGAAAGTGCATGGAATGGTCCTGTCCTTAAAGAGCTTCTGGAGGAGATGGAGAAAGGAGGCATTCACATGTGAGATGAAAACAGCAAAGCAAGACCTGACAAGCTTGATAGGCCTGATGAGCCAGGCCACACCGTCCTCTTCCATGGTCCAGTCTAGTGTGCATGTTCCATGTCTAAATCAGAGGACCCAGTGGGAGACAGTAGGGTGTAGTGGAGGCTGTGGTGAGCACAAAGGAGGTTTTCCTGTCCAACATGAGGTAGACGTTCCCCTCAGGGCTTACATGGCATGAACTCTGGCCCATGTTGCCAGGTCTTCTGGTTTTTAAGAGAAACTGGAAATCTGGCTCTTTATATGAAATTGGGGATTTTTTATGACATTGTATGAGGAAATAATCACGCCTGTGCCCATATTCATCCTGACTGTAGCCTCTGGGCTGTGCCATCCTAGTGTGCTCCCACAGAGTGACATTGCCCAGGCGGCCATCTACTCCCGACCCCAGAGTCTGGCTTCATTTGTGAGGTCACCTCACATGGTCCAGGGGTTCCCTCACAAGTCACAGGCTCCACTGAATGTTCAGTGAGTAGAGGCTGGGGAGAAGAGCTCATCTGTGGGGACGCGGCCTCCCCACGCTCACTACATTGCTTGCCACCTCAAGGGAAGATTTCTGAGGCTGCATTTCAGGCACAGATTTCTGAGGCTGCACTCAGGTTGGGTAGGCACGTTTTGGGGACAAAAGCAGTGAGTCCAAGTGTTGTAGAGTCTGTCATTCCTCAGCAACAAACTCAGCAGCTTTCCTTCCAGTTTAATAAATCCAGACCCTTGTGGCTTATATAACACGCGTGATGACAAGTAATGATAACTCACGAAGAAAAGGAAGAAAACTTTTTTTGTCTTTCTGACTCATGCCTCTAGTGTGGGAAATCTGGTCAGGGTGGCCACACATGTTCCCTGGAGCTAGAAGGCGAGATTCCAGAGGACACACAGCATGGGCTGGGAGGTCTTTTGCTTCCACCGAGGAAGATGAGATTTCACAGGGAAGGGTTTCCTGGAGTTCCAGGTTTCTCCAGGGCAGCATGGTGGTCAGGAACCTGCATCCTAGAGCCAGATTGCCTGGGTTCAAATGCTGGCTGCACCACTTACTAGCTCTGTGACCTTGAGAAAGTTACGTAAACTCTCTGTGCCATACTTCTTTCATCTTTAAATGCAGGTAATGAGAATACCTCTCACACAGCATTGTTAGGACTAAAGCTGCTTCCAGTACTGTATACAAAAGGAAGCATGCATCTGCCTTGCCCTTTCCCAGAAGTAGTAAATGTTTTTGATTCACTGGGTGGGGATCCATGTGGCAATATTATTTATAAGGGATAGAAGTTCACTGACTGTCATTACCCAACAGACCTCATCTACCCAGGCGTGTTTGTACCTCATCTCCAGGGCTACCCTGCAAAGCAGGAGATGTATGTATTGTTCCTCTGCCAAGAGTCCCCAGGGGAGTTGAGTGGCTTATCACGGTGACCCATCAGTTTAACTCTTGCTGCCTGTCAGTGGTGGCTGCTGTTGAGAATTCCCTCCGCTATAGGATGGAGAGGTGCTCTCTTTAGGATGATCGTGGCTGGGCTGTCCCAATCCTTGTCCCACTGGGCCTGTGCCCTGGTTGAAAACCAAAGATGATTAAGATTTGGAGTGTCGTTGAGAGAGAAGTGTGGACTTCCATGGATGTCTGTTTAGCCAGATGGATTTCCATCTTTGTCCTCTCCAGGTGGCCCAAAGCATGGGTGAAGAGGAAGCATGGTGCCACTGGATGGTCCCAGGAATGCTTGGGTTCAAGCTCAGATGGAGCCATTAACTGGCACGTGGCCTTGGGGCAAGTCATTGTCCTTCCAATGCCATACTTAGTTTCTTAAAAAGAGGTGGACTAGATCTGTGCTGTCCAATACGGGAGCCATGAGCCACACATGGCAACCGAGCACTTGCAATGTCGCTTGCTAGATGAGATGTGCTGTGAGTATAAAATGCACAGTGGCTTTTAAGGGCTTAGTACAAAAAAGAATGAAAAATACCCCAGTAACTTTTTATCGGTCAAGTGCAGTGGTTCATGCCTATAATCCTAGCACTTTAAGAGGCCAAGGAGGGAGGATTACTTGAGGCCAGAAGTTTGAGACATCCTGGGCAACATAGTGAGACCCCATCTCTACAAAAAATAAAAATAAGAATTAGCTGGGTATGGTGGCACGTGCCTGTAGTCTTACCTACTTGGGAGGCTGAGGCTGGAGGATTGCTTGAGCCCAGCAGTTCCAGGCTGCAGTGACCTATGATGGTGGTACTGCACTCCAGCCTGCGTGATCGAACGAGACCCTGTCTCTAATAATAATAATAATAATAATAATAGTAATTTTTTATCTACACAGTAGCAATGAAAAGGAATGGAGCACTGATGCATGCTGCAACATGGATGAATCTTGAAAACATTATGATGAATTCATAAGCAATTCAGCAAAGCCCACATACTGTACAATTCCATTCATATGATGTGTTCAGAACAGGCAGCTCCATAGAGACAGAAAGCAGTTTCATGGTTGCCTGGGGCTGGTCAAGAGGGTAACAGGGAGTGGCTGCTAATGGATGCAAAGTGTCTTTTTGGGGTGATGAAAATATTCTAAAATTAGATGATGGTGATGGTTACACAACTCTGTAAATATATGAAAAACCATTTAATTGTACACGTTACATGGGTGAATTTTTATGGTACTGGCTGGGTGCAGTGGCTCACGCTTGTAATTCCGGCACTTTGGGAGGCCGAGGTGGGCAGATCACTTGAGGCCAGGAGTTTAACACCAGCCTGGGCAACATGGTGAAACCCCATCTTTACAAAAAATACAAAAATTAGCCGGGCATGGTGGCATACGCTTGTAGTCCCAGCTACTTAGGCGGCTGAGGCATGAGAATCACTTGAACCCAGGAAGTAGAGGTTGCAGTGAGCTGAGATCATGCCACTGCACTCCAGCCTGGGTAACAGAGCAAGACGTTGTCTCAAAAAAAAAAAAAAAAAAAAGAGAATTTTATGATACTTAAGCTATGTATTGATAAAGCTGATAAAATAGTTTTTATAATTATTACATGTTGAAATGTTAATATTTTGGATATATCAGGTTAGGTAGAATATATTATTGAAATTAATGTCACCTGTTTGGTTTTACTTTTTAATATGTCTGCTAGAAAATCTGGAATTCATGGCTCGCATTAGATTTCTGTTGGACTGCTGCACCGAACCCTCTCTAAGGACCTTCCTAGTTCCAAAATTATATTCTTCCACAAAACGATCCCTAGGTTTGGACTTCTGATGACTCATCTGGTATCATGGCTATGACCCAACTTGAAAAAAGTTCATTTGGGTCTTTTTGAAAACCATTTGCAAAAATAGGTTTTTAAAGAGAAATCCTGAAAGGAGGCACAGAGTCACATAAGGCGAGCCCAGGAGCTGGGACCATCACTTTCTCCTGCCTCCGTAAGCAGCCTGGAGCCATCTACAGCTGTGGATGGGGCTGTTTCAAAAAATCTATAGTCTAAGCCTGAACAGCGGTTTCCTTAATCGATCCTCCTCTCAGACGGTTGACTCCGCTGAGACTGGCCCTGCTGGGCATCAGGCCCAGGAGAATGGGCAGTAAATTCCCAGCTGGCGTCAGCCAAGAACAGGTGCTTGGGTTTCTCATATCTTTATGGTCTGGGGGGAGACCAGGGAGGTGCCTTTGAATCCCCAAAAGGCTCAATGTCAAAACACAAATCTCGGCCTCCAGTTGTACCTCCAAGGAGGGCTCAGGATGATGTTGGGAAGCATCTTTTTACCTTAGTTCTCCTGCAGGAATTAATTAAGAATGCCTGTTATGTTTCCTACCTTTTTCTGGGTGCTGGAGGGAAATTCAGAAGTCTCACTTATATCTCTTTTCAGAGCAGCTTGACTCCTGCAAGAACCAGAGTGTGTTCATGTCCATAAAAACCAAATCCAAC
Source organism: Homo sapiens (assembly GCF_000001405.40). Lineage (NCBI taxonomy): Eukaryota > Metazoa > Chordata > Mammalia > Primates > Hominidae > Homo > Homo sapiens. The sequence goes on from NC_000020.11 coordinate 19,257,742, forward strand.
CAAACACCCTCCAAACTCCTGGATATGGTGTGTATTTCCATTGGGAGCTTGAGTCTTTCCTGTTTACTCCTTCTACTGCTTCTTTTGATTTTTATATTTTTAGAGATAGGGTTTCCCTCTGTTGTCCAGGCTAAAATGCAGTGGGGAGATCATAGCTCACAGCAGTCTCAAACTCCTGCACGTAAGCCGTCCTCTCATCTCAGTCTCCTGAGTAGCTGGAACTACAGGCACACGCATCACTGTGCCCAGCTCACCTGCTTCTTAAAGGCTGGTAAGAGTCTGAGCCCTGGGGCTGTGAGCCTTTATCAACCTCTGTTTTCTGCAGCACCTGCACTCAGGTAGTTTCCTGTTTGGAATGCCGTTCCTAAACTGGCTTACCTCCCTTTTCACCTGTTTTCATGTAAACAGCTGATAGAAGCACCGCCATCCTGGGGAGGCCCAGCTGCAAGCTCCTGGAGGCGGGCACCTTTGCTGCCTCTGCCCTCACAGCTCTTCTTCCCACCCCATGAGCTCTTCTTCCCCATTCCAGGCTTTGGGCAAAGGCAAGGGGAAGAGAGCTTTTGGTAAAAGCCACTCTGAACATTTTTCCAGAAAACTGGGCAAAAGCAAACTTCTTTGGGTACTGGGCATCTTTTTAGATGATAATTAGAAATACAGAGGAATAGTAATAAACTATAATGATGGTGGGGTGCCGTGGCTCACGCCTGTAATCCTAGCACTTTGGGAGGCTGAGGTGGGCGGATCACGAGGTCAGCAGTTCGAGACCAGCCTCACCAATATGGTGAAACCCTGTCTCTAATAAAAATACAAAATTAGCTGGTTGTGGTGCACGTGCCCATAATCCCGGCTACTCGGGAGGCTGAGGCGGAAGAATCACTTGAATCCAGGAGGCGGAAGTTGCAGTGAGCTGAGATCGCGCCACTGCACTCCAGCCTGGGTGACAGAGTGAGACTCTGTCTCCAAATAAAAGAAAGAAACTATAATGATGAGGCAGATATAAAAGTGAACATTTTCCTGTGGCTTTTCCACCAAGCACTGGCTTTTCAGAGAACTCCAGAGAACAAGCAGCAGACAGGCAGCTTGTGCAGGGTCGATCAAGCACAAGATAAGGCCAGTGTCTTCAGGAATCAGAGTGGTTTGTGAGACACTTAAGCAAATTGCATTCAGGCCCTATCTCCTTCTGGCAATAATTCACCAGAGAAATGAGCCATTTCACTAGAAGATTTCCATTTTAATATTAGCACAGGGACAAGCCTTGTTTCACAATTAAATTAGAGCCAGGTAAGTTTTCTAGTAATAGTGATATCTCGAGGAAGGATTGAAAATAGAGCTGCTCAGAGATAATTTGCTTCTGAGCCAAGTTATTTCATGGATCTCCCAGGAGGACATCTTGCTGGTATGGCTTTGCTACTGAGGGGAAGCCCTCCAAGCCCCTCTGATGAAAAGATAAGTCACACTGCAGGTCTAAGAGGAAATGAAACGAGTGTGCAGCTTGAGAGACAGCGAGGTGCTGGGACACTCTGACTCCACCGTACAGATGTCTCAGGAGCAAAGGACCCAGCATGCAGGAGCTTTCCTTCTGGAATGGGCTGCTTCCGTCCGCCTGACACCTCTAGGATGTTGTCTTGTCAACAGTAGATGTTTGTCATATGCTTGGCCATGTGTTGGCACCATGTCACTCTGCTGGTGACAGTTCAGGACCAGAGGCCTTTAATCATAGTAGAAACAGTCTCAGAAGTGGAGCACTGCTGAGTGGCAGCGACACCTGAAGATTGGCGACCAGGCAAGGTGATGTGACCACAGTGGCCACATGGCAGCCAGTCATGGCCACCCCTGGAGGGGTTCATGGAACACATCGAGCTTGACCGCAGCCCTTGCTGTTGCATTGATCTTTCTTCTTATCACCCTCAGATACTACAAGAGGGTGTTATCAATATTAATGTACCACTGAGATATTGGAAACATTGTTTCTCCCCCAACATTATATATGAAAATGTTCAACCATACAGAAACATCAAAACAATTAGACGGTGAACATTCAGATACCCACCACCAGGATTTCACCATTAACATTTCACTCTATTTATAGTTTTTTCCCCCTGTGCTATGGGAAAATCTCTTTTTAATGTTTCTATCATGTTTTCCTTTTAACAAAGTAGGTCTCTCCCTCCCATGTCTCAGATGGAAACATTGAGGGGAAGATCATGCCAAATACATAGCATGTTAGTGAAGCCAAAGAAAAAGAATCCGTATGCCCTGAGATTAAGGTAGCAAAATATTAAGGGAAGGTCTCTGGAGTGGGATCTGGAAGGTGGATACCAGGCCCAGCTCTGCTGCTGCACAGCCTGTGAACCTGAGGTGATCAACTTCATCATTGTTATTTTTTCTTTTTCTCTTTTTTCCCATTATATTCAAGATCACCTCTATTCTGCCAGGATGGTCCTAAGGCTGACATTGGGCTAATTGTTGCCTGCAGTCTAGTCCTATGCAGAGATAACAGGTAGCCTGCGACCTTTGGCAAGTTGCTGGACTCGATTCTGAGCTATTGATTTCTTCTTTTGGAAGTGAGGATAACAACACCCAGCTCTCAAAGCTGTTGTAAGGTTAAGTAAGGTGTTGAGATGCAAAAAGAAAGTACTCAAAACCATGCCCGGAATGAGGTCAGCATACTCAGCATGGCAAATATTATGACTCCTAGTACACATATTCCCTTGCCAGTGTCCAGCACATAATCTCCCTGAGGGTAAGGTAAGCACTGCTGAAGTTAGAGCTGTGTTGTATTTAGAAATAATAATAGTAGCAAGAGCAGCAGTTATTGTAAAGTAAAACTGAACTGAAAATGAAAGAACTCGAGATACAATTTCTCAGTTCACAACATGTGCATCCTCTGCATGAATTTGTGAAAAGAACTGCTGCACTTGTCTCTATAGAAGAGCGTGTTTGGTTTACTGCTTCCCAAAAAAGATTGAGGCTATGAGACTGCTGTCCTCCTCTGCCACCCTTTGCAGAAGGCCTGCGAGGCATCATTGCTGTAGGCATCATTCTCAGTATGAGATGTGGTTACTGGAGCTCTGCCTTCCCAAGTTAGGTAACCCCCTCCGGCATGGACCGACACGCTCCTCTTACTCAGTGACTTCCTGTTTATCATCTGGCGGTAGACAGCCTGTCATTGGAGAGGATGGGATCAGGTCGAGTCACAGATTCAATGTGTTTCTAATGGGAAACCGAATCAGGGTTGCCTTGGAAGCAGGACATGGCAATGAAGACTTTCTATAGCCCCTCAGAAGCCCCAGCCCCTCCTCATGAGGCTCAACCCTTGCTTCAAGCTGCCTTGCAAATCAGACACCACCTTTCACAGTGCCTTTTCTGGCTTCACTGAACCTCTCTGAGGCAAGGAATCCCCTTGGAAAGATGGGAATTTATTCCAGAGACTCCTCGTTCTGGTCTGTCCTCCCTCTCTACTGCAGTTTAGAGCTGAGAGGTGCTAGAGCTGACTGACAGGCTGTCCTGATGGAGACATGATGTGAGGTAATGGACAATGGACCCCCAAGAAGGGGGATGGGGACTTTGTGGTGAGCATTCATTGTCCCAGTTTTATATTTTACTTTACTTTTAGAGACAAGGTCTCACTCTCTTCCAGGCTGGAGTGCAGTGGTGTGGCATGATCACAGCTCACTGCAGCCTCGAACTCCTGGGCTCAAGTGGCTCCCACCTCAGCCTCATGAGTAGCTGGGACTACAGGTGTGCATCACCACATTCAGCTATTTTTTTTTAATGATTTTTTTTTTGTAAAGATGGTGTTTTGCTGTATTGCCCAGGCTGGTCTTGAACTCCTGGCCTCACGCGATCCTTCCACCTCAGCCTCCCAGAGTGCTGGAATTACAGACGTGAGGCATTGTGCCCAGCCTTACTGCCCTTCACAAAAATATCTGTGTCCAAGCTTGCTCATATATGGAACAGTCCACACCTGTGTAGCGCCAGCTTCCAGGAAGAAGTTTATGCATTCGTAAGGCCACGTAGGTCCGAAAGTTGCAGAGCAGTAACTTAAACCAAAGTCTGGTGTTTCTCATGACAATGCTTATATCTTCTTAACAAAAGGCTTAATCTGACATATAAGTCATGAGGCTTCACACTGTCAAAAATAGAAAACAATGCAAAATGCTTGATGTATTGGAGATTTATCAGCAGCTGTTTCTGCAGGGAGTGTGGGTGTCAAGGCAGGTAGGATCAATGGGACAGTGATGTCATCAAGGACCCAGTGTTGTTTTCTCCTTTCCCTCCCTTCCTTATGTTAGCATCATTCCCAAAGAAGCTTCCTCCATGGTGGCAAAATGGCTGCAGCAGTTGCAAGCATCGCCTCTATACACAGAAAGAGAGAGAGGCCGGGCGCGGTGGCTCACGCCTGTAATCCCAGCACTTTGGGAGGCCGAGGCGGGCGGATCACGAGGTCAGGAGATCGAGACCATCCTGGCTAACACAGTGAAACCCCGTCTCTACTAAAAAACACAAAAAAATTAGCCGGGCGTGGTGGCGGGCGCCTGTAGTCCCAGCTACGCGGGAGGCTGAGGCAGGAGAATGGCGTGAACCCGGGAGGCGGAGCTTGCAGTGAGCCGAGATCGCGCCACTGCACTCCAGCCTGGGCGACAGAGCGAGACTCCGTCTCAAAAAAAAAAAAAAAAAAAAAAGAAAGAGAGAGAAATAGGACATCAGTAGCTCTCTCTGATAAAGAGGGCTTTATTCTCAGAAGCCACCAGCAAACCTCCCCTACCATCTCATTGGCAGGAATGGGGCCACTTACCTCTCCCTGAACCAGTCCCTTTGGTCAAGGAGATGCCATATGCTGATTCCCCCAATTGTGCTACAATGATGATGGCCCATCCCTGGAACTAAGGTAAAGTCAGGCCACCCCTTCTCCCCTTTCTCCATAACTTTCTGCTGCTACTCAATGGGGACTGGTGGAAGGGATCTTGAGAAAAAGACAATGTGTGTGGTATCTATGATGGGGACATTTACTAATCCCACCCACTTTACACTAACTACTGCTCTTGCTCTTACGATTATTTCTGAATGTAATACAGCTCTAACTTCAGCAGTGTCTACCCTCTGTGAGATTGTGTGCTGGGCACTGACAAAGCTGCGTGTGTCCTTATAGTCACAATATTTGCCCCGAGCCATTTGCCCTTTCACCACCCACTCATCCTGCTGCCATGGAGTGACCGTATGGGATTCCAGAAGAGACAGACACGCCCCTTTGTTCCTAGAATCCCTCGCTCCATCACCCACTCCAGCCTTTGTGTGTGTGTGTGTGTGTGTGTGTGTGTGTGTGTGTGTTTTCTGTTGACCCCCCCACGTTTGTTCCTGTTTCTTTCACTTTTAGAAACAATGGAAAAGGATTTTCTTTCTGGCTTCCCATCAGATGACTTGCTGACCTTGGCTGGTAGTGGCTGCAATGAGCAGGGTAGCTCACAGCATTGAGAAGGGAACAGTCTCATGTGGCTTTGGAGAGAGAATGTGGGCTGGAGAGAAGGAAGCAGAAAGCCACGCAAAGAGCAAACTGTGAAGAATGAGACAGAAGCCCTCAGCTAGGGGCACACAGCCAAACCTACATGCTGAATATTGCTTGTTTTCAAGGGGGGACGTTATTGGAAGTCTGCACTTAGATACCAGTGCTCCTTGTCAGGAGTCTGAAAAATAAAAAAAGCCTGATTATTTAGGCAAATGCCTAATCAATTAGAAATATAGGGGTTCACTAGGGATGAGAGTGAGAGAGGCGTTGCTCTCTGGCTGAAATATGCAAAGCAAGCCTCCCCGTTTCTCAGGCGCAGGTGGTGGCCAGGAAAGTCCTGCTTGCATCAACCCCTCCTGGTCTGACTGAGCCACATCCTCTCTCCTTTCCCTGCCTTCCCTTACCTATCAGTGGATCTCAGACTCTGGGCTGAAACTGAGAGGGCATGGATCTATCTTTCTTTCCATTCAACCTTGCTATTCTCCTATTGCTGGTTTCAGTTCCAACTTGGAAAGTTGCAAGCAATGGGCCAAAGAATAGGAAAAAGTGAGAAGAATAAAGTGGCTTTGTGTTTAAACGAAAGCTTCACTGCCTATCCTCCCCTCAGTTCTGTCTTTCTCACTGTGAGGCATCAAGAGGATATTTTAGTTCTGGTGTCAAGTTCCAATGGTGAAAGGAGAAGAGAGAAACATTATCAGAAAATCTATGGGCCAGGGGCGGTGATGGCTCAGACTTGTAATCCCAGCGACTTGGGAGGTTAAGACAGGAGTTCGAGACTAGCCTGGGCAACATAGTGAAATCCCATCTCTAAAAAAAAAAAAAATGCTTACTGTGGTGGTGCACGTCTGTAGTTCTAGCTAGCTAATTTCCACCACTACACTCCAGCCTGAGTGACAAAGCAAGACCCTGTCAAAAAAAAAAAAAAAAAATTATCCACTTCTATGGCTCTGGACCAAACACATCTTCCCACTTGTTTTAAGAGACATTGTTTCCAAGATGAGGTCAAGGTTACCTTCAGGGCTGACATCACTTGGTGTCCCTCAAGACAGACCCTCGGCTCTCCTCTGGTGCCAGCCTCAGGTGCCATGGGCAGTTCAGTGTAAGCTCAGACTCTCATTGCAATACAGCATTGCCCCAAGCATACGCTATGTGTCTCTCTGCTTCCTGGCTCAGGGCCTTCCTGAGAGGTGGGAGCCAGCTTGACTCACTCAAAAGTGCAGTCTGCCCAGCACTTTGGGAGGCCGAGGCGGGTGGATTGCCTGAGCTCAGGAGTTCGCGACCAGCCTGGGCAACACGGTGAAAACCTGTCTCTACTAAAATAAAAAAAAAAAATTAGCTGGGCATGGTGGCATGCACCTGTAGTCCCAGCTACTCAGGAGGCTGAGGCAGGAGAATTGCTTGAACCTGGGAGGCAGAGGTTGCAGTGAGCCAAGATCACGCCACTGCACTCCAGCCTGGGCGACAGAGCGAGACTCCATCTCAAAAAAAAAAAAAAAAACAAAACAAAAACGTGCAGCCTGGACTCTGGGGAGTTTGTGCTCCTGGAGCAAACCTCACCTAGTGAGGAACGGAAGCCACAGCCTCATTCTTCACGTGGACAATTCTGGGAAGCATTCTCAATGCATGTCTGAGCTTCCAGAGGGATCCTGGTCTTGTTACCAGTGGCAGCAACCTTTGTAATGCATGTTTATATATGCTTTTCCCCTTTATCTGTCTTGCTTTCCACTTTCTTTCACTGTTTCCTGGGATTCTCTCCAGAATAAACTACTTGCACCCAAGTCCTTGTCTCAGACTTGGCTGTTGGAAAACCCAAACCAGGACACCTTTCAACGTTGCAAACACTATATTGCAACGTAAAGCATTACTGCACTACTACAATGACATCTGAGGCTTTTGTTTGTGTGACTGAGCCAGCCTCTGCTGTCAGTTGGCCCAGGCTAGCCAGGTATTTTGGGGGGCTAGGTGTCAACTGTCTTGCTCCACCATCAGTGGCCAGCCTTCTCCCCTTGTAGCTTGTACTTGAAACTTTTATGTCCCATAGCCATCTTAATTCACAATTTCCCCAGGGCTCTTAGAGCTTTATTACTGTGATTCATAGAAGCCACTTGAGAGGCTCTGTGTTCATGGCATGGGGAGGGACATTCATGCAAAGAAAAGAAATAGCTCTCTGCACAGCAGTGCACTACGATGGACACAGGATGAAGCCAGGAAGGGCTGGGGAAGAGCGTTACTGGGGTTCTGTTTGGGATTTCAACAGACTTTACATGGGATGGGATTTTTTTAAAAAGTAGAAGCATGTATCAGCTATGAGCTTCTCAGGTGCTCTTAGAAAAAAGCCAGCCCAATCTGGCTCAGGCTAAAAAGGGAATACATTGCAACATGGAATCGAAAAGTTTATGATTAGTCTGGCTTCAGGTATCAGGGGCTGAAATGTGATGACATCAGGACCTTGCCTATCTCTGTCCTTTGGTCTGACTGTACTCACCTTTATGTGCCATCTGCGGACTCTCAGCCTCCAGGCTCTCCTACTTCCAGGTTCAAGGTCACTGGGACAGAGTGGGTGAGTCTCTTTCTGGGAGCTCTGCTTTGATTGGCCTGGCTCAGTTACAGGCACCTCTCAGAACCAATCATTATGGCCTACAGGATGTGGGACTTTGGCCTTTAGTTCAGGCAGCATCTTTGCTGGTGGTGCAGTGGGTGGGTGGAGCTTCCTCCCAGAACAGGTAGACTTGGCAGGAGGGAGGGGTCTCTCCTAAAATGAAAATCTGAGGTTGATTCTAACCAAGGGAGAGGGGATGCTGGGAGGGGGAAGTGCAGGCACCAAACTTGCAGTGTAGTTAACACTTTAAATTTCCCAGTGGAGTTTTATTGAATCTCTCCTCTGTGCAAGTACTGGGGCCAATAAGAAAAAAAAATGATGTCATCAGGAAGCTTATAGTCTAATAGGGGAAATAAGAATCATACATAGATAACTGCAATGTAATAATTGTTTGAAGGCACATTTCTTATTACTCTGTGAGCAGATGAAACGTGCTTTCTCACTGTTCACATGGTAGCTGCTCTTTCTTCTCCTCACCCCTAGAGAGTCCCGATACTTGGTACTTTTGAAGAAAGGTGTTCCAGTCAGGATTGTGGAGAAGAAACCACTGTATTTCTTTTCCCTCTGCCTGACTCATTGGTGATAACTGTACTCTAGGCATGAATTAAGAAAAGCCCAGAATTAAGGAAAGACTGATTTCCTGCCCTGTTCTATAATGGCAGAGACAAGACAGCCTGAGAGAAAACAGCAGACAATTTTATACTCATACTCATAAATAAATTGGACTGTTTATCCAATCACAAAGGATGGAAGTGGCAGTGATTTTGAGAAGCCAAGTGATGTAGAGTTGTCAAATTCTACTCAATTGGAAACAAAAAAGTGAGTTTTAAAGAGAACTGAAGAAACACATTTGGCAGGTTTGCAGGGGCAAATATATTAGATGTATGAAAAATACAAGTGTTCGGAGTATATCAACAGAGCCTGAGGCAAGGCATATGTACAGCTGGAATGGACTATGAAGCTGTGATCCTTAGGAAAGTATATTTTTTAAGAAATTATGTTTAAGAAATATTGTAATATACGTTATGTATATATATGTATAATGAGATATTATTTTTAAGCCTTATACCTATCTTTGTATTTGTAAAATTTTATATTTAAAAAAGTGGTCTCAATATTACATAAACTTCAGGTCCCATAAAACCTGGATCTGCCCCAGATTTTTATATACAATGAAAGATAAATGTAATAGGAATAAAATAGCGATGAAATGAACCATTTAAAAATAATAATTATATTTTAACAGAACAAAACGTGGATTTTTCTAAACTATGATGATGTTAATGTTGTTATATTTATGGTAGTATCTTATTGAGAAAACATGATAGAATATATTTAACCATTTTGAAAATATTAGTTCCATACTTTGAGATACAGCTAACAGAAGGTCTGCTTATTTTAATTTAAGGTTGTTTATTTTAAGTTTGAAGTTTAATGGCTGTCCTACTTGTAATAGATAATTCCCCAAGATATATAGATCCAAATGGAAGAAAAGCACTATGGGCTATAACTACTAAATCAAGATATTAAATTTTCAGTTTCATTCACCAATTACCCAAAGACTGTTGTTAACATCTTCCCATCTTTTCTGACTTCAGTAGATTAATCTTGCAACTTTTCAGAAGGTGTTGCATTTACATATTTCTAATAAATTGATTTATAAAAATCCATTTTTTTAAAATAAAAGACATTGAATTTTAATTTCAATTTTCTAATAAAAGTCATTGAAACTCTTTGGGAATTTTTAAATCAGGTTATGTAATTTTGATTCCAAATTTTTAAGTGGAACATACACGTTTTTAGAATGTACTGATTTTTATCATTTTCTTGATATGATTTATCATATGAAGACATAAAAAGTCTTGATATTTATTTTCAAAATGCTCTCTCCATAGAGCAAATTTCTTTAGAAAAGCTTACTCTTTCACTGGTTGTTAAAAAGTCACCTTGAGGGATGTGGAGCGAGGGCAGACATGGGGGGCAGTGTGTTTTCTGAAAATATCCGCTAGGTGCACACTTAGCTGGTGGCCATGTCTTCCCAGAAAAGGTTAGCATATTTATATCACTTGTCTTTTTATGAGAGAGAAATGCATAATTCATCTCTAAGTTCAACAGTTTTAAAAAATTATTTGCCAAAAGACAATCAATGGACATGTGCATGGTGTAAAAAGATTTCATGATCATGTCCCCATCTCATTTCAAAATATTGTAATATTTTAATATTTCAAATAATATTGGCAAATCTGCTCAACTGAGCCCATGTAAGGTGCATCATGCTGTGATAATAGGAAAGTAGGTGAGCTAGGAAGGGCACCAGGTCCATCCTGTGCTTTTCCTTCAGGTCCCTCACCTGCTGTGGGCAACAGGTGCACTTCTATTATGTAAATTATGGGATATGCTGACAAGTGCACTCGGTGCAGGTGCCATTGTGAATTCATATTTTAAATATTAAATAAATATGTATTTCTTATTTTTAGAGTGGAATGTGATATAAAGGTTCCAATATTTTCTTTCCAATCTCCAATAAGTTATGTAGCTCATCCTCCAGTAGCACACAATTCTGAAGGTGGGGGACCCTACCAGCTTTTGAACATATTATTCTACCATAGATTTAATAAAAAAGACTCTTAAAGTCCAAACGCAAAGGACCTTAGAGGTCAGCTCATTCATGCTTTTTAATATCCAGATGTGGTAATCGGGCTAAAGTGATTCAACTTCTCCAACAGCTTAAAGTTCATGATAGATCTGAGACTAGAAACCCAAATTGACACATCACCAAGATGACAAATTTCTGCTATCATAAGTCCATGTATCTTCCCATGGGGCCTCATGTGATTTCTTGGTCAACTTGAGTTGTGTTTACTTTAAATCCTGGTTGGGATGCTTCTATGCCATCACTATGCAAGATCACTATACCAAGTCACTATCATTCTTTTGGCTAAAAGGGGTTAAGGCTAGTTTTCAGTATTGATGCTCCTTTCCATTCTTTTCTACCAGTGAGACTGGCTGGCTTTCTTCTTCCCAGGCAAAGAAGGAGGCTAGAAGAAAATAAAAGTCAGACAAACTCCATCTTCTTTGTCTCATCAGAATGTTTAGTAACCTTTATCTAAAGGCCATTGCACTTTCCTTTGTCTCCTCTTGCCACTGCAGTCTTCTGACAGATTGGGGTTCTGCCTTGGTTCTTGGCCTTGGAATAGGGGACTCAGATTATGGGATAAGGCCAGTCCTTAGTTTAGTCACTAGCCACATGTGTCTATTTAAATTTAGATTTGCATCAATAAAATTAAAAATTCAGCTTCCAGTTGTATAGTCTTATTTAAAGTAAATAACAGCCACATGTGGCTGGTAGCTACCATGTTGGACAGTGCAAATATGGGACATTCCCATCACTGCACAGGGTCCTTTTGGACTGCACAGACCTAGATTGATCATCATGGTATTTGGGAGTTTCTGCCTCTCAAATGTGGGAAATTATCCTGGGGAGTGTTTCAGGAGCTCAGAAGGGGATAGGTAACCACTCACCTACCAGATGTGTCTCTGTTAATTTCCCAGTATTCCCTGGCATGTTAGATCTCAGGCCAGGTGGTCAAAGAGTAGCCCAAGAGTGATAACAAGTAGCATTTAACTGACAATTTCTGTCTGAAAGGCGATTTCAATTTCTAGGCCAGAGGCCCACATTGTTTCCATTAAATTGTGGGTGCACCTGTTGCCATCTGCCCCCCTTTGCTCTTCCCTTTCCCCTTCTTTCCAGCACCCTTTGAAAGCTGAAAGCTGTCTTCATTGTGAGACCCACTGCACAAACACCTATACAGGTTGAGTTGAATTGGCTTCCTGCACTTGAGTGTCATTCAGTATAATGGTAGTGGGTGGGGTATGGCTGACACAGATGCCCCCTGTTGCCTGAGAAACGTGGTTCATTTCACTCTCCATCATCAGGTGAGGTGGGCACACAATTATAGTATTTGCTCCTGAGGCCCGTATAATAATAGTTGAGACCCAGCAGGCTCATTCTTTCAACGGGGGTTAACTGTAGGTCTACAGAGTTATTGCATGAAGAGAAGAACATCCTGCATGCATACCTTCATCATGACTCTTCTTCCTGCTGGACAGAACCCACTACCGGTCAGAACATCATCTTCTTCGCTTCCATTCCTACGATTTCTCTTCCAACGGCACCCATTTCATTGGGGCTGCTCTGTCCAGCCTGATTGGGAGTCCCTGGGATTGCTTGGAGCTACTACACAATGCATTGCTCCTGAACTTGCATTTTCCTTTCTGAAACACAGCCCAGTTGGGGTGCACATTTGCATATGCTTCTAGTGACTCAGATCCTTTCATGTGTGTGTACATTCACTTAAAAATGTGTAATTGAGCCCAGCTGCTCAAAGTGGTGCTTGGACCAGCAGCACTGGCATCCACTGAGAACTCTTGAGAAACACAGAATCTCGGTGCCCACCCCAGACCTCCTTACTCAAAGTGTACATTTTAAGAAGGTCCCTACATTACATGCATGCATGCTCTTTAGAGTTTGAGACATATCTTAGTTCAGGCTGCTATAACAGAATACCACAGATTTAGCAGCTTAAAAAACAGCAGTTTATTCCTCACAGTTCTGGAGCCTGGAAGCCTAAGGTCAGGGTGCCAGCGTGGTCAGGTTCTGGTGAGGGCCCTCTTCTGAATTGCATACTGATATATTATTGTATCCTCATGTGGTGGAGAAAGGGCTAAAGAGCTCACTAGGGTCCCTTTAGCAAGGGCACTAATCCCATTCTTGGGATTTGGTGGATGTATTCTGGTCTTATTACCTAATTACCTCCCAATTGGGAGTTAGGATTTCCACATATGAATTTGACACCAACATTCCATACTTTGTAAGAAGAAACCCCATATTGGACATTGTATGTATGTGAGTGTGGGAGAGAGATAGAGTTAGAGGGGGAGGGGGAAGAGAAGGGGTGGAAGAAAGAGAGAGAGAGAGATACTAGAAGAGAGGAGAGAGAGAGGAAGGGTCTTCATCAGGTGGGGTCAGTCAACATCCCTGAGCTTTGAGCTACTACAGATTGTGAAACCTGGGGAAAGACATCAATAGGCAAAGGGTGGCAGGAGAGCTTTTGAAGTCCAGCAAGGGCCAGAGGAAGCGGAGCCTGAGGAGCAGGTGTTGCCTTGGGGCTGAGCTTGGGCCCTTGAAATACCTGAAGACCATCACAAGAAAGGCAGGCTTTGAGCAGAGAACTCCTGGGCTCAGCCCTATAGGTCATTAGAAGAACCACATTTACGTTATTTAGTAGTTCAATGGAGAAAGATAGGGATGTTCTGAAAAGAGAAAGCTCTGAAACCAGGATGCTGGGACTTGATTTTGTGAAGCCTTCTGAAGCAATTTCAAAATGGGAATGTCAACCTCACTAATGATCAGGGAAATGCAAATTAAACCCACAGTGTGATACTACCTTACTCCTGCAAGAATGGCCATAATTAAAAAATAAAAAAAAAAAAAGATGTTGGTGTGGATGTGGTGAAAGGGAACACTTCTACACTGCTGGTGGGAATGTAAACTAGTACAACCACTGTGGAAAACAGTGTGGAGATTCCTTAAAGAACTGCAAGTAGAACTACCATTTGATCCAGCAATCCCACTACTTGGAATCCACCCAGAGGAAAAGAAGTCATTATATGAAAAAGACACTTGCACATGCATGTTTATAGCAGCACAATTCGCAATTGCAAAAATATGGAATCAGGCTAAAAGCCCATCAACCAATGAGTGGATAAAGAAAATATGGTATATATGCACCACAGAATACCATTCAGCCATAAAAGGAATGAAGTAATGGCATTTGCAGCAACCTGGGTGGAGTTGGAGACTATTATTCTCAGTGAAGTAACTCAGGAATGGAAAACCAAACATTGTATGTTCCCACTCATAAGTGGGAGCTAAGCTATGAGGGTGCAAAGGCATAAGAATGACTCTGGGGACCTGGAGGGAAGGGTGGGAATGGGGTGAGGGATAAAAGACTACACATTGAGTATAGTGTACACTGCTCAGATGATGGGTGCACCAAAATCTCATAAATTACCATTAAAAATCTTATCCATGTAACCAAAAACCTCCTATTCCCCGAAAACTATTGAAATAAAAATTTTTAAAAAGAGGACTGTTGGCAGATACGGGAGAAAGCGTATTCAGGTGGCCACTCCCATGTGGATGCTGAAGTATCTTCAGCAGGGGCTTAGGCCCCTCTCCCTTTCTCCATCAGAACTTCTGCTTTCTCTGTGCTGCCCGCCCAGCCACTGGGGGTGGAAACCATTTCCCTGATCCTTGCAGCCCTCTGCCAGGCACTTGCAGGCTCTGCAGCCTCCCTTTGCTGATCCTGCCAGGAGGGTTGCCCCTCAGGGTCTGGGAGCAGTAACTCAGACTCCAGTGGTCTCAGTGAGGGGCCTTCCTGGTCCTGGGGATGTTGAAGACTGCATATTGGGCTTTAGAGATGGAGAGATCAAGCTGTGCACTGTGCCGGGAACTTTGAAGGCACGCAACAATGTCTGTGAGTGGAGCTGGGATAAAATAGGTAAGCACAGGCTGTCAGGCTTCTGCAGAATTGCTGGGCACATGAGTCACCTTGTGAAAATGCAGATTCTGATGCAGCATGCTGCCTGTCTCACAAGCTTGCAGGTGATGTTGATGCCGCTGGTCTAGGGACCACACTTTGAGAAGCAAGGCTGTCATGCAGACAGTTTTGTCCAGCAACCCAGAAAATCTGGATTCTGTCTCAAGCTTGCCACTAAAATTCTTGGGCTTATCATTTAAACTTAATCCCCAGGTCAAGGGGCATGGCCCTGAGGGGTGGGACCCATGGACCTGGGATCTTTTCTGTACGCTGTGCCTCCCTCCTCCCTTGGTGGTTCAGTGATTACCCAGGTGGTAGCTCTAATGAAGTGCTGGGACACAATGGCTACAGCATCCAGGCTGTCACTTTGGGAGGTGGGGAGACACAGCTAAGAAAAAAACATAACTGAACTTCCCTGGAGCTTACAACCTGCGGGTGGGGGTCAGGGACGGGTGATGGAGTAAAGATGGACAGGTTTTTGTGAAGGAAGTCCTGGAGGGTCCAGGAAGGCTTCCTGGAGGAAGGGCTTCCCTCTAGAAGAAGTGGGAGAATATGTGGGCTTTCCCATCTTTGTGCCACCCTCACAACCAGCTTGCCTCGATCTGCCCAACAATCATAGCAGAATCTGCCCTTGGGACCAGTTTGGACTTCTGGCTCAGGGCTTTGGTCCAGGTGCTTTGGGCCATCCCTTGTTCCCAAGGCCACCCTTGCCAGGGGCTCAGCCAGTCTCCCCTCCTCATACCTAACCTAGGCCAGTGTGGGCGAGGCCATGTAGGGGTCGGTGTCATGTCGGACAGGAAGGCAAAGGGATTTTGATGGGAAGTAGAGAAAGAGCCAGGCCTCTCTTTGCCCTCCCATAGGGGAGTTGCACTGGGACTGGTGATGGGGCCATTCTCCCAGGGTGCAAGACACAGGTGAACCCCACAGCCTCACATCAGAGCCCTGAAGTCCCAGCTGCTGGCTTAGCCACCCCTCTCCCTTTCTCCATCAGGACTTCTGCTTTCTCTGTGCCGCCAGCCCAGCCACTGGGGGTGGAAACCATTTCCCTGAACCTTGCAGCCCTCTGCCAGGTGCTTGCAGGCTCTGCAGTCTCCCTTTGCTGATCCTGCCAGGAGGGCTGCCCCTCAGGGTCTGGGAGCAGTAACTCAGACTCCAGGGTGCCCAGGGATCTGCTGCGGATCTTGTGAGATGCAGATTCTGACTCTGGTCCAGCCCCAGGAGGTGCCAATGCTGCTCCTCCTCTGACTGGAAGACAGGGACTCCATCCAGAAGACAGAAGATCTCCAAGCCACAGGAGGCCATAGGTTCTGTTTAAATCCTCTTCCATGAGCTGTCTCCACAGCCTGTCCAATGGGCAAGGGGATGCTGAGAACACCCCCTTGGGCTGGGTCAAGGTCTCCCTCTAATGTCCCCAACTCAGCAACGACAATCACAGGCATCACCTCTTAACTGGTGTAAATTTCTTGCCAGTATCAATTGAGCCTTTTCAGTCCCTCCAATAGGACAGGCCTCCCTTTAATCCAAAGGCGAAGAGGGGAGAAGGCACGAAGTGCCCTGCCTCAAGTGGGCAGGTGGCTAGGGTTGCCTTCTCCCCTCTTCCCCTCTGGGTTAAAGGGAGGCCTGTCCTATTGAAGGGACTGAAAACGCTCAACTTTCAATCTGGTTTTCCTCTTGGAGTGGAGGTGTAGCGCCTTGACACTGGTGAGAAATTTACATCCAGTGTAAGAGTTGATGCCTGTGATTGCCGCCGCTGAGTTGGGGACATTAGAGGGAGACCTTGACCCAGCCCAAGGGGGTGTTCTCAGCATCCCCTTGCCCACTGGACAGGCTGTGGAAACAGCTCATGGAAGACAATTTAAACAGAACCTATCGCCTCCTGTGGCTTGGAGATCTTCTCCCAGCCACCTTCTCTGGATATTCCCTTCTCTGACTTTCTGGAAGCTTTGAGGCAGTTGAGGGGAATGAATGTATGGCCCTGTTAGCCTCTGGCTTCCTCCTCTCCTGCTGGGTTAGGAGAGGTCTGTTTGGGGGATGTGTGGCCCTGTTAGCCTCCAGCATCCTCCTCTCCTTCTGGGTTAGGAGAGCTCCTTTTGGGGGCTGCAACCTCTCCACAATTGGTGCTCCTTTCCAAGGACCTTGAACAAAAGCACAGGGAAGCTCTTGCTTCAGCTGGAAAACCCATGAGAAAAATCTACCTGTACGAAGCCAGGGCCTCCACTGCTCCCCTCTTCATCCACAGAGGGTGAGGACACCAGGCTCATCCTTCCAAGACTTCAGGGGGAGGGGCAGGAAAGGGGTCATTTGGAGAGCAGTGCTGCTCACTCAAGTCTGCAGAAGGCGTCCGCTGGCTGCGGGCTTATGCAAACCTGACCTCCAACCCCAGGGTGAAGACCCGGGTTGTACAGAGTGGAGGCAGCTGTGTAAACTGTAGGGTGGGGTATTTATAGCCTTAGTGAGGAGCACCAAACCAGCCTAGAGAGCCTGAGTTAGTGCTGCCGCCCTTGGCTGTGTTTCTTGTGCCGTTAACTGAGTTTTCCAGACATTCTTTCTCCAGTGTTGCATTCGGCTTTACAAGACTCAGTTTCTTCATCTGCAAATGGGAGGCTGTTGCCATGGCCCTCTGAGTGCTTCAGCCAGATGGTTCTCTGCATCCCAGTTTTCAAAAAGAAAAGCAGTATTCCAGTTCACAGGGAGGGGAGAGTTAATACGTCCTCTCAAAAGGAGCTGCTATGCCCCTAAGGCCACTTCCCTGGGCTCCTGGAGCTCTGGGACAGGTGAGAAACACATACCTGAGCTTTGCAGTCAGCTCTGGCCTAGGGTCCTGGCTTGGCTGCTTACCTGCATCAGCATTCCCTGCAAGAGGATGGAGTGAGATGGTATAGGAAGGGTGCTTGGCACATAATAAGGGGCATAAAAGATAATTTTGCTGATGATGCAGCAAACTTCCTCATCTGCTGCCACCGCGGTGTCTGAAGGAGTTAAACCTCTTATCAGAGAGCAGGCAGCTCCACCTCTCCACCAGGCCTGGGGCTAGTGTTTGGGAAGGGTTTGCAAGCCCTGTGGGACAAGGTTCACATAGGAGACAGTGTTAGGGTGAAGGCTGCTAGTCAAGGCTGTTTGTCAGGGGGCATGCAGGGAGATCCATTCTTGGTGTCAGAAATCCTTGGGCTCTCTAAGCCCCAGTTGTGGGGAGGAGGGCGGTAGGGGAGGAGGAGGGAGGAGAGCACAAAAGGGTGAGCACACAGCTCTGTAATGGAAACTTGGCGTCCAGCCTCACTTTGTGTCCTTCCTTAGTGCATGCGGCTTGCTTTTCGAGTTGAGAGCTTGGTTTCCTCCCCTTCTAGCCAACATCCCGTGCTATCCCCATGGCCCACTCCTGTCCCCTCTTCTTAGAGCCTGCAGTCCTGCAGACTGCCTCCACCCGTGACATGTGACATGTGAGCCTGCTGCCTCCCCTCTTCATCCCCTACCCCTCCCCTGACTAATTAGGCCAACATGCAACTTCCAGGGCCTGGCAGATGAGGAGCCAAGAATGCCATGGACAGGGGCCAAGTGTTTTTGTTGACATTGCTCAAGTATAGCTTTGTGGAGCGGCCTCTTTGCTGTAGCAGAGAAATCCAAGGAAGCTGGAGAGGTGAGCGAGGGGAGAGCAGGGAGGATAGCCAGTGTGGGCGCCTCTCCGTATCCCCTTCACCTTCCCACCCTCCAAGCCTTCCCAGCTGCCCACCCTCTGCCCCTCCTCCCTAAGTGCAAGAAGATAGCCCTCCATGTCATAATTTGTGGGACCAGCCCAGTCTCTAGGAAATCACACTGAGCAGAGTGAGTTGCACGCAGTGGGACTTTAGAAGTGTCTTATTTCTTCGTTTGTGAACCTTTCATGGGGGATGCTCGTCCTCACTGCTGTTCCCAATTCAGTCACATGTCCCTTAACAGTGGGGATATGTTCTGAGAAATGCACTGTTAGGCGATTTTGTTCTTGTACCAACATCACAGAATGTATTTACATAAATCTGGATGGTATAGCCTATTGCTCCTAGGCTAAAAACCTGTACGGCAAGTGACTGACTGTACTGAACACTGTAGGCAGTTGTAACACAGTGGTAAATATGTATGTATCTAAACATATCTAAATACAGCAAAGGGACAGTAAAAATATGGTGTTAAAATCTTATGGGGCTGACTGTGGTGGCTCGTGCGTATAATCCCAGCACTTTAGGAGGTCGAGGTGGGAGGATCACTTGAGGCCAGGAGTTTGAGACCAGCCTGGGCAACATAGTGAGACTCTGTCTCTACAAAAAATAATAAAATTAGCTGGATGTGGTGGCATGCACCTGCAGTCCTAGATACTGGGGAGGCTGAGGCAGGAGGATCATGTGAGCCTCGGAGTTTGAGGCTGCAGTGCACCATTGCACTCCTGCCTGGGCAACAGAGCCAGACCATGTCTCTAATTAAAAAAAAAAAAAATTGACCACTCTTATATATGCCCTCCGACGCTGACAGAAATGTCATTTTGCAGTGCATGACTGTAATTTCTGAGGAAACAACCATCTTTGAAATAAGACCAGTGAGACTTATTTACCTCTTCACTGCTAGCCTATTATAAGGTGCAGGCTGCATTATTGAGCTACTTTACTATAGCTGTATAATTAAACCAGGATGGATTTCATCCTATCCCAGGATCTACCAAGAATTTGTCCTTTGAGGTCACTATACCTGGGTTCAAATCCTCATTCTGCTACTTGCTCACTGTGTGACCTTGGGCAAGATATTTAACCTCTCTGCCTATCAATTTCCTTATTTACAAAATGGAACTAGTATTTCCATGTAGGGTTTTCATCCATGAAGATGAAACATGGTGAAGAATGGAAAGGTTTCTGCACATCACAGACATTCAGTGAATGGAAGCCATGCTAACTACGAAATGATAGTTGATGTAGCCACGGATTGGCTCTGATCTTAGGCAAATTGCTTATCCTCTGACTTATGTACTCTAAAAGTAAATTGACCCTAGAACCAACTGCCTCTTCCTAGCTCAGCAGGAGTTTTGTGAGGACAAATGAACTGTGCTATAATATTGTCAAACTTGGTTCTCTGTGGGAAGGAAATGGATGCAATGCATTGCTTCATCATTCTTCTTTTCTCAGACTCTGGTCTCTGTGTTATTACATCAGCCATCAGTGGTCAAATACACTTTTGTTGAGATAAAAGTTTGCAGGTTTTGGAATCCAGAGGTGCTGCCTTAAGAGTCTAATTCCTGAAGATATTGAATCATTATGTTTAAAAATCCTCTAATTTTCTGCTACAATAGCTGGCTTTATTTTTACATCTCTTAATTGGTATCAGCTTTTCTCTCAGAATTACGGAACCATGGAAACTTGGCATATGAAGGAACTTTGGAAGTCATTGGAAGGGATACTCCTGCTTCTTTTTAAATCTTTGGGGTCTTCCTGAGCATTAAGATTACAGTACCACAAAGC
Organism: Homo sapiens; assembly: GCF_000001405.40. Taxonomy (NCBI): domain Eukaryota; kingdom Metazoa; phylum Chordata; class Mammalia; order Primates; family Hominidae; genus Homo; species Homo sapiens. The sequence goes on from NC_000020.11 coordinate 19,277,926, forward strand.
ATTTCTCCTTGACCCAGAGAACAGTGGAATGGCCACGCTGCTGGCCACAGCATGACTCTCTCTTTAGGTACTGTGTAGATGGGCAGATGCCGTGGTGCTCGACCGATATTACTTGGTTCTGACCTCTTCAATGCCAGCTGGCACAGTGCAGCTTCTAGCACCTTCCTGTCATTGCCCAAGGCCTTTTTCTGGGCATCACCTTGGACATCCATGTGGCAGATTAGAAATGCTGGGGGATTATGTCCTCTTTCATCAGCTTCAACCAATGTTAGACTAGGAGTAGGTGGATGAATACCTAAGCTTCCTCACATCTTAGGTGTCTGAGATGCATGTCTACGCTGGCCCCCAAAGCTATCCAGAGAGATCAGTTTCTAGTTATTCATGATGGCAACTGACTTAAAGTGCACCTACTATTAGCATTTCCTGTCCTACTCTGCTCTTCTACCGATTCTTCTTAGGATCACCTCCCGTATAAACCACCTTCTCACAAATCCTTCTCTCAGGGGCTGCTTCTGGGGAAACCCAGCCTGAAACAGAGGGGATGCCCTTCTCCACACTTTCAGATTATTTGTGATAATATGGGAGTTTAAGGCTACTAACCTTAACGTTTCTTCATGAGGTTTTGAAACTTTTTTGTCTCTGTTCATCACTATTCTTAACCATTAGAATCCACCATTCAGGTTATCCAAACTACACAAATGCCTTGCTTTAACCTCGAATTATCTTTGATATTGTCCTCATAATCTGGGCTAAGCTGATACATGTGGCCGCCATGTAGAATTTTGTATTTCAAGAGTCTGAAATTATTGTTTCTTTTCATTAGACTCCACATCCTTCCTCCATTTTTTGGGGAAAAAAACCTGGGGGGCTCTCCTGGATGATATGCATAAACTGTAATTTGATATCTTGCTAAATTTACATGTGGAAGCAGGGTCTGTGTTTGAGGAAGACCTCAGTTCATGAGCTACTGATATTATGTGCATCATGTTAGCTTAGGTGAGGTGCCCACAGGCATTGTGATTTCCAGACACTTCCATGAGTCTCACTTTCTCCACCTAAAAAGTGGGACTAATTATTTCAACACATACCTACTGAGTACCTACCCTGAGCCAGCAGTGATCAGGTGCTGGAGAGGCAATGTCCACACTCTCCTTCTTTCTTGAGCGGTGTTGTGAGGTTTGAATTCAGTAACGAAGGAGAAATCATTTGGGAAACTGAATCACTGTGGAAGTAGAGGAGAGGGCAGAATGCCCTCCAGCTCTTCAGTGACCACTTCAGACACCGTGTTGGTGTGGCTGGGTGCACCATGTGGCCTTGTGTGAAGGCCACTGGGCCCATGGGTTAGGCCCACGTCTTGTGTTTCCATCCGTTTTCCGCCCGCGGCAACTTTGGACATTCAAGAGGCAGCATTGCCTCAGGTCCCTTCTTCAGTGCCAAGCCCCTGGGAAGAGCCACTTTTGCAGCTTGGCTTACTGTCTGTGTCTCCCCATGGCCCCATGAAGCCAGGCCCCACCTGTCATGTTTCTGCCTTCATCTTACCTGATCTGTCCATGGTGGTCAAGGCTGTTGGCTACACCTTCCTTCCTGAAATTCTCTTTCTGCTTACCTTCCACGACACCTGCTTTCCTTGCTCTTTTCCTTCCTTTCATGATCCCTTCCTGTATCCTTTTGCTCTGTCTCCTCTCTGAAGGATATTGTGTTCTTCCATTCCTTCTCCCTGGTGCCCCCTCTTCTCCACCGGGAGACCCCATTCATATATGTGCCTCCCACCCTTCCCTATTGCTGATGACTTCCCTGAGGCTTGCTGTGGCTCTACTTTTCTGCCCGAGGTTCCTCCACTCACATTTGCAGCATTTCTAATCTGCCACATGGATGTCCAAGGTGATGCCCAGAAAAAGGCCTTGGGCAATGACAGGAAGGTGCTAGAAGCTGCACTGTGCCAGCTGGCATTGAAGAGGTCAGAACCAAGTAATATGGGTCGAGCACCACGGCATCTGCCTATCTACACGGTACCTAAAGAGAGAGTCATGCTGTGGCCAGCAACGTGGCCATTCCACTGTTCTCTGGGTCAAGGAGAAATGCTTTGTGGTACTGTAATCTTAATGCTCAGGAAGACCCCAAAGATTTAAAAAGAAGCAGGAGTATCCCTTCCAATGACTTCCAAAGTTCCTCCCTTTCCGTGCTCTGTAGGCTCTTCAAACTCAGCATGCCCCAAACAGAATGCACTGCACTGGCCCCTTCAGTGTGCTCTTTAGCCTGTGTTCTTTCTTCTGGCACCTCCAACCCCACAGTCATTGCAGCCCTGAGCCCTGTTACCTGCTCTCCCAACCTACTGTTTCCTAGTTCGTGCCTTCATCTCTTGTTCATTGAAAACATGCTGTGTGGCACTCATGAACCTATGCTTTGGGGATGGCAAATTATGTCTTTGCTTGATAACCCCCAGAAGCAGATCCTGATGTATGTTCAATGGTGGGTGGTTCATTTGGGGGCTGATTTCAGGAGATACTGGCAGGGGCTAGACCTCGGTGGGCTGGAGCCAGCTCTTATTGACTCAGTGGAGCTGATTGTGTCCATCTCTTCCGAATACCATTTTCAATGATGTCATGTGGGCAGCTTGGCATTGGCTACAATGGGAATATTGACACCACAGAAGTTGGCCAGTGGCTGCAAAACAGGGCTTTTCTCCCCCTTCGAGATTTGGTTGTTAAACATTTCTCAGCATGTCACTGGGAGCAGGGAATTGAGACAGGGAATGGGGGGCAGTTGATCAAGTGTGCTTTATCAAGAGAGTTACACAGTAGACAACTGGAGCTTGATCCCACTGGGAAGAATCTAGAATCCAGCTTAGAACATACACCTCAAAGTCATCCCACTGGTGCGGCAAGGAAGCCTTCAGGCAGCTAGAGGCAGAGTGGCTGGGGGTGCAGGCGGGGCTGAACAAGTGATGGCTGATCAGGGCAGCGGGCATGCAGCGTCGGCAGAGGCTGAAACCCAGCTGTGAATGATGTGTGGTTATTGTCTTTGTCTCCCCAGAGCTTGACCTCATGGACCTCGTAGGGGAAGACAGAAAGTGGATGATGGCGAGGAAGCTGATGCAGGTGAACGACACTCTGACTTCCGAAGATGCCGGACTCCGGAACAGCAAGAACTGCACCGAACCAGGTAACAGTGCTGACTACTCATGGGCAGCAGCTGTCATTTTCTCTGGCTATGGCTGAGGAAGAGCCAGCTGCTGTGTGTTTTCTTAGAATTTTAATCCAGAAAGCCTCCAAAGATGTTTAGGATGGGAGTCTAAGAAACTTTCAGGTGACATCCTGAGGGACTATTAAGTTGTGTTTTGACCTCTGTGTTCGTTTTCTACTGGAGCTGGGGGTAAGTCAGAGACAGTGACACTCCTGATGCGGTACTGAGATCAGATGTGGAGGCTGGTGCTGCCAAGTGAGAAACCAAGGCAGGAGCAGGATGGGTGAGGATATTTTGTGGTTACCTTTGCTTTGATTGCTTTGGTCCTCTTTGGCTGGTTTTTAATCAGGAACTTTGTTTCTATCACAGTAGAGACACAGGGATTGGGCCGGATCGTCACTCACGATGTTGAACTTCTTGGAAGAGGCGAATATTAATTTATTGGTTGTGAGATTTGATATCTATTATGCCATTCCCCAGAAATATATATGGAACATTCTATCTCTAATGTTACTAAACAGAAAAAGAAAACAAAGCAGATCAAAGGGAATGAGGAGCTGTGAGGACCCAGCCCACCAAGCCTCAGGGACGTGACAGGCATCCCTCTGGATGAATGAAGTCCCTGAAGGTTTAGACCTGGAGTCAGTAAACTTGTTCTGGAAAGGGCCAGACAGTAAATACTGTAGGCTTTGCAGGCCACATATCGCATCTGTAGTGTATTCTTAAAATAATTTTTTATAATGCTTTATCAATTTAAAAAGCATTCTTATCTCACAGGTTGTACCAAAACAGGCGGTGGGATGGAGTAGGTCTGTAGCCATATTTTGCTGCTTTGACTTGGACCTCGAAGCTCTCTGGGGCTTTCTGTCCTTGCCTGGTGGGGACTTGGCCTCATGTGTGCCACTGTCAAGGGCCCAGGAGCTCAATGACATGCTGATCCTACATCCAAAGGTCTGTCTCATCTTTAGTGTCAGCACGGAAGGATATAAACAATCTCCATTGCAGCCCAAACAACTACAGGCTGTTGAGTACAGAAGACATGTCAGAGAATTGCAGGTCTGCGATCTATTGGGAAGATGGGTGGGAGTGCCCTTCCCACCATACTTAGACTCTTAACAATCAGCTTTCAAGCAAAGCTGGAAAGAATTAAAAATAGTTATCTGCCCTGCCTCCACCACCACCACCAGAAAAACAAAAACAAAAACAAACAAAAAAAATACCCTATGTAGTCTATGTTCCTCAACCTGGAGAATCCAAGGGTTACTGTGGCTGTTGTTCCATGCTCACAAGGAGCATTTTTCACTTGAAAGTGAAGCAGCACATGGGCAGCTACGTGAGTTAGAAATGAAAATGGGTATGAAGGGTCCAAGTGCCCCACTGAGGGACTGAACCACGTGTACTTTAAGAAGCAGAGATTTCCAAGGACTAGCCTGAAAAGGCATAGCAGGGAAGGCACAGCTTCTGTGCCAAGAACAGATCTGGTCCTGTAGTCAAATAGTTTTCAACATCTTTCTCCAACTAATAAGCTAATTAGGATTAATCAGCTAATAGTATTAGAAAGCCCAGGTATCACTTCTGGTATGGGAAAGAATGGAATCAGACAGGACATGGTGACCAGCTCTGAGCATTAGGTTCAGCCATATGCAGAACCAGCAAGGATGGGGGGATTCTGTTCCCTGTTGCTGGGGTGTGTTTTGGGGGCAGGTGGTTGGTCTCTCTGTGAGTAGCATTGCTCACTGTATTGGGAAATACCGTTCTCAGAGTGACAGATGTAGAAGCATAAAGCACATTCAAAGTCATTCCAAGAGTGGAAATAACTCAGCCTCACAGATAGAAAAGAAAATGTCTAGGTAGATAAAAAGAACGTGAACCCGGGATCTGCCTGTGTTGGCAGGGGCCACACAGGGAAAGGGAGGAGAGGAAAGGCTTCAGGAGGAATATGGGAGGAAGCAAAAGCAAGCTGAGTCATGCTGCGAAAAGCAGGTCCAAAGGGAATATGGATCCAGGAGGGACAATCTTGATTTCCTTACCTGCAGACCAAAAGAACCGGGCTTGGTTTCTGAGGCCCTTGATTCAGAACCAAATTCCACAAGGAAGATGATCATGCCTGAAACAGGAGAAGTTCTGTTCAAATCCTAACACATCAAGGGCTGGGTCAGAGCCCACGTGCTTCATGAAGCTTGCTTGGACCACCCCAGACTGCAGCATTCTTTTCTGACTGCTGCTGGTATAAAATGTCTCCACATGTGCTGTTAAATATGGACATTCAATGGCAATTTCAATTCAAGTGAATTCAAACCAACTAAAATTAAATATTCAGATTCTCAGTTGCACCAACTACATGTCAAATACTCGATAGTTGGATCACAGATGACAGCACAGGTCCCAAAACATTTCCATCATCACAGAAAGAGCTATTGGACAGGGTGGTCAGAACTTGCAGTTGTCTTTGGATGTATCTCCTGTCTTTCCAGCCCAATTGCAAACATCTCAAGGGTGTAGAGCAAATATGTAAATCTGAGGGCCTTATCTCTACCCCGGGTCTTAGAGTCACACTGACCTGAAGCTGTGGACTTTGGCCAAATAGCCAGGTTCTCAGAGTCTCTGTGTGCTTCTCTAGAAGTTGACATCATCATTCTGATCTTTCATGATTGCTGTGAGAATTACTAATAAAGTGTGGACAGCTTAGTGCCCTGGGTTTGATGGCACTGTAGTAGGAGTGTATTCGTGAATTTCCCACCCTCTGTCCTGGGGCATCATTACGGGTGGGGCACAGTGCAAGATTCCTAGAGCAACATTCTCCAGCTACTCCCTGCAGAGCGAGTCTGTCAGCAGGCCACACCGCAGGTAGCTCAGGTCTAAACAGACCGTCATCTAGACAGGAGGCTTCAGTACCATCTTCCCATGTAGGCAAGCCCTGAAGACCTCAGGCTTGGCAATGAATGCCATCATCTCTGCTGCATTGACTATTTCTAACAACAGGATCAGAACATTGCCACAGACACATGTGAGCCCTGGTTACCTCCATGCCCTTACCAGAATGCTGTCGAAGCTGGCTCCTCGGTCTGGACTGGACAGATATTTTATGAAAAAAGTTGAGAGCCAAAGCACCCATAAGGTCCTGATTTAGAAGCATCATTTTAATAATATTCATCTTCTCTGCCTCTAACTTGTTGTTGGGTGAAATGGTTGAGCAGGAGTGAGGTGAGGGCAGGTTCATTCTAAAACTTTGTTCAGTTTTCCTTAAGAGGCCCTGGGCACAATGAATACTACTTGTGCTGGTTAAATATAGTGCCATCTGCCCTCGAAAATCTTAAATAGAGAGGCTAGGAAGTGAGCCCTGTGGTTCCTGGACTCTCTCCCTTCCTATTTATGATGATGTCAGCGGCAGCAGTACACTTAACAGAGCCTACGGAGCAGGCTTCCCTCTGTGCTTGGAGGAGTGAAGATTTACACAGGGACTTGAGTGTTTGGGGTGCAGTGTGTGTCCTGGCTGTCTGAGTTATGGTGGCAAGGTCACAGGCAGGAGTTAATTTGGCATTTGTCATAAAGTACACCCAGCTGCCACTTGTGATGTCATGGGGCTTCTCAGACTGTGCTGTCAGAAGCCCTGGCTTTAGATGCTATTAGAGGAAGCCTGTAGATTCAGAGACTGGAGACAGAGTTACCTCTATTCTGGTTATATTCCCTGTTGGGGCATGATTCTGGTTTGCCTCTCAGATTACCATTTCCTCACCTACAAAATAGATCTTCAACTACATTTATCCCTTCCCTTGCACACATCCATTTATTCCAAGAAATTTCAAGAATAGAAATTCAAGAAAACTTCTTCCCCTTGACACTCTCCCATTTCCCTTAATAACTGCTGTGTTTGCAGAATTCCATGCCATACCTCAAGCCTTCCTCTACTCCCTCTCCCCTCCTCCCCTTCCCTCTGCCCTGCCTTCTCCCTTTCTCTCTGTCTGAAAACCAGGAGCACAGAGTGCCCAGTTTTGGTGCCAGAGAAAGCCCAGGGTGCTGTCTTCTGATGACAGCTGCTACTTTAAGGATATATTACTTTATACATTTTCTGCTTTCAAAAAAATGGCACTGGGCGCGGTGACTCACGCCTATAATCCCAGCACTTTGGGAGCCCAAGGCGGGTGGATTACTTGAGGCCAGGAGTTCGGGACCAGCCTGGGCAACATGGTGAAACCCCATCTCTATAAAATGTACAAAAGTTAGCCAGTCGTGGTGGTGTGAGTCTGTGGTCCCAGCTACTTGGGGGGCTGAGGTGGAAGGATCAACTGAGCCTGGGAGATGGAGGTTGCAGTGAGCTGAGATCACTCCACTGCACTCCAGCCTGGGTGACAGAATGAGACCCTGTCTCAAAAAAAAAAAAAAAAAAAAAAAAAGGCATTTTTCCTTTGCCCCTTGAAGACCTAGTTTTGGTAGAAATTTGTGATTTTTTTTTTTTTTTCTACCTTCAGAACTGCATGAACAAGACTGACTGACCTCCGGGCTCCAACTTTTCTTTGCAATTGTTCCAGCTCTCTGTGAATTTTTAAGGTTGTTTTCTTAGCCTGACACTGCCGACTTCATCTGAAGCCTGGAAACATTTTTTTTTTTTTCTTTTGGCAAGTAACACTTGAAATTGTTTACTCAGATGACCTATTAAGAGAAATTTAACTTTGAATAATTTGATCCATGGAAAATTAAGTTAGCTAAATGTAATATTGAAGATGGTAGACAACTGTAGCAGAAATGAATTCTTTGTAATATTTATTTGTGCACTTTACAGAATTTTATTTATACACTTTGCAGTGTGTCTCCAGAAAAATATATCATCTTTTGGTTTTTGGTTCCTTGATATTTTAAGGAAATGAGCTTTTCCTCAGAGTGCTTTTTCCAAATAAACTTTGGAAGAAGGAAAATATTTAAAATGATGGCCTTTGGTGTGGGCTTCACTGTGAGATCACTGGATTTCCCTTGATAAAGGATCATCCCACTCTGTCTGGCTTAGCTGGGCCTAAGGCCTCGAAAAGTGAAGAGGATGCTTGGCCTGTGTTTCAAGACCAAAGTCAGGCTGGCAGGGCACTGCCCTATGGGGATGGCCAGGAGTGCCTACAGGTCAGCTATTGACTGGCCCGAAGCCCACAGTTAACAGTTAAATGTGAGCTGCAGTTGACGAGGGAAACCGGGAAGTCTATATGAGAGAAGCAACAGGAGGGGAGGTTCAAGGGGTGCCTGTGGTCCATAAACAAGAACTGGAGTCCAGGCACAGACCAGCAAGCAGAAAACATGCGTTCAGGGTACTGGCCATGAACAGTGTCAGGATCCCACTGTTTGGGGTTTAAACTGTGACATCAGAGTGGGCTGGTTTAAAATCAGAGGGCTGGACATGACCAGTCTACAAAGCATGATAGGGCCAACATTGTCATCTTTTACATGAAAAAAACAAGAACCAGAGGGGATAAACAACCGCCCAAGGTCAGAGGGCTTGTCAGAAGTAACATAGGGCCACCCAACACCCGTGCAGTGCTCAATACCCATTAATAATTGAAGAGAAAATCTGAGGTCTGCACAATCTCGAGTAGCACTGTCCAGTAGGAACAAGATGTGAGCTACAAGCGTACTTTTAAATTTTCTATTAGCTACATTACAAAAGTACAAAGAAACAGGTGAAATTAATTTTAATAATATGTTTTATTTGACCAAATGTTTCCGAAATACTAGAAATGACAAATTGCAATTAGGTTAATGTGGTTATTGCTGGGTTTGAACCCAAGAAAGAACTAAATTTAAAGACTTAAGATTCATCTGTACATTATTTCACTAGCTTATGTAACTTGAACTTCTTTCTGAAGTTGTAATTCTCATAATGATTCAAATCACAGCTGTTGAGATTCTTAAGTGGAACAGATTTGGAACTAATGTGATCTGCTTTTTAATTTGTATCAAATTGTGTGCTGAATTATTTAGATAGGGTAATAGTAGCTGCTGTAACAGAGAAGTCCTCCAGATTTCTGTGTTAACACAAGAGAAGTTTATTTCTTTCTCATGGAATGTTCTAGTCTATAGTTGCACCTGTTGCAAGAAGGGGTCCATGGACTCCAGAACCTTCTATCTTTAGGCCTTTCCCTCCTCAACTTGGCTTCCAAGGTTGCTGTGCTTCTTTGCATTAAGGGGAAAGAGCATGGAGGATTTGGGGTAGCAGGGTTTTATGGACTAGATGCTCACCGATGCTCACATTCCATTGGCGGAGCTCAGTCACATGACAACCTCTAACCTCAAGGGAGGCTGGCCCATGTACATCAGTGGAATGTAGAAAGAAGAAGAAACAGGTTTGGTGAACTGCTAGCTAGTCTCTGCTACATTAATTTCCCCCAAACTTGTTTCTTCTGAAAAAGCAAATTTCCCAATTTTTCTTTATGCTTATCTCATTTTCAAAAGCCAAATACCACCATTATAGAAAAATCATAACCCAAATTTATGTCTGCCAAGGCTGGCTATAGCTCTTGCTTTAATCTTCATAACAATTCCCTCATCAAGTGAAACAATTTTATTCTCTTTTCACCTTGTGGGGGTCATCAATGAGGCAGAAATTGTCCCAGTGGTGCCATTTGCAAATTGCATCTTTTCTTTGGTAATAAAAGAACCCTGCGGAAAATAATGAATGCTTTTGTATAGATGAAGTCATTTGGCAATTGTGTGGAAAGAACTTGGGTTCTGGAGTAAATCCTAAATCCCAACTCCACCACTTTCGACCTGTGTGATGCCAAGTGGCTTCCTAAATTATTTAGACCTCATTTCCACCCTCTGTAAAATGCAAATTAAGATGCCTTCTTCCCAGGCTTGTGGTAATCATTCAGTGAAGTAAGCTTTGCAGAGCAGCTGCAAATCATAGTATGTGCTTAATAAATTGTAGCCATATTATCTTTGCTGCCAGAAATACAGTGGAAGGTAGGCTGATGGAGATCATTTATAGGAATTTACCACTCTGCAGGCACATTAGAACTTTGTGGGAATAAGATTGTTTTAATGATGAATAGATTATTTAGTGTCATTCAGCAACAATACCACATTCTTACAGGTTGGGCTGCGTGTAGGAGACATACAGTGGTATTAACTACGAGGCTTCTGACTAATAAGTTTCTGGCCTAAGAGTCCACTATGTAAACAAACAGGATGAAATAGGGAGCAGAGGATTTTCTACTTTATACTAATGAAGAGTTTAAAGTCTCAGGCTCTAGCAGAAAGGGCCAGACACTATTTGTTTTTTCTAGCTTTGACATCCCTTTAGGGCATTTTTATTGAGACATTTTTTTAAACACTGTTCTTTAAAAGCAGCCCAGGCAGCCTAATTTGGTGAGTGGTGTCTGGAATCTTTCTGAAACACAGGTAAAGGATGATAAAACTCTGCTGTTAGATGCAGAGATTTTGTGGATCTATTTGTAAAGTCCTTTAGACATTTCAAAGCATTTTCACATTCATTAGCTCATTGGAACATGTTTGGCTCTTGGAATAAATACCTCAAGGTCAGGAAAAACGGTATGATGATGCCCAGTTGATAGATTAGTTAGTCTGAGAGCAAAGCAAGTCGAGTTAAAGAACTGAGAATTCAGAGTCATAAATGCAAAAACAAACATAGGGATTATGGTTTCTAGTGGCTTCTAAACCCTTTTCCTCTAAGCCAGGGCTCAACAAACAAGAGCCCTTGGCCACAGGGGGCCTGTCGACTGTCTTTGTGAATAAAGTTTTATTGGAACACAGCCACACACATCCATTTATGTGTTTCTATGGCAACTTTTGCTCTATGAAGGCTGAATTGAGTAGTTGCAACACAGACCACAGGGCTTGAAAAGCCTAAAATATTTATTCTTGGGCCTTTACAGAAATGTTTGCTGCTGCCCCTGGTTCCAGGCTCTGTGACAGTTGCCTCATGTGCTCTGCAGGGGAGGTTGAGGCAGGAATGACATTTCCAAGGTCCTCTCTACTCTCCCTGATCCTTCCCCCAGGTGGTGCCTGTGCCATATTGCATATTTTTAATGTCACCCCTGGGCTGGGGGTCTGTGATTCAGGTACTCTCCCCTCCTCCTGCCCCCACCCACTGGCACACAATCAAAAAAACTCCAATATTTTTCCTTTCGTATGTTAGGGATCTGTTTAAAATTTTATTTGAAGAGTAAAAGTTTACCCCCTAAAAGAGCTTGAAACCACGGGCCTGGAACACCCCTTGCTCCAGAGCATCTGGGTCTCCAGACCACATGTCTAGTACTCATTCTACCTTGGAATTGCTTTCCTCTGGGGTTCCACAGTAAAGCAGCCACTTAGGGTTGTCCACCTGTACTCATGGCTTGCTCTGCACGATGACAGTTTCCCCAGAGCTTATCTCACAGGCACCCCCGGAGCAGTGAGCAATGCACTCAACTGTGTGTAGAGACCATGGGTATTACAGCGGGGTGCTGGGAACACCCACCTTGGGGAGTGGAGAGCCTGCAAGAGAAGTCACCTCCTGGTCCCAACACACCTCTCGGCTGCACTGTGGCCTATGACAGTGATAAGCCACATAGTGCTGCTTCCTCCTGGCCTGGGAGCACATGTGGCCTTGGCCATGTCTCTACTCCCTGGGGTTCACTCCCACCCACCTGGCTCCCCACTCCTCAATCATTTCTGGAGCAGCAGTGTGCCCAGGGGACTTGGGGCTCTTTTCTTCAATCTCTTACTGAGATTGTTACACAGATAATCTTATTTTGCAGATGAAGCTTCAGGTTTAGAGACATGAGGGGCACCTCCAGGGCTCCCTGCTAGTTGGCACTAGAGCAAGGACCAGGACTCTAAGGTTGCCTGTCTCCCAAAGCCTTGTTTGTGTGTGGTCAGCCTTAGGTCACATAATCTGGGTTGCCAGGTGGGCTCTGTTCTGCCCCCTTTTAAGCGCTCTCAGATGTCTTAGGACCACCACCACCAGCAGCAGCAGCCCCTGGGTGCCTGTTACAAATGCTCATCCTTGAGCTGCACCTGCGCCCTACTGGATTGGAACCTCTGAAAGGCAGGCCCAGCCATCTGGGTTGTAACAAGCCCTCCAGGGGCTTGTGAGGCACACTCAAGTGTGAGGATCCCTGGCTTAGCTCATTGGAGGCACCTGTGGAGATTTTAAACCCAGGTCCACCCCAGGCCAGGAAAATCTCAGCCTCTGGGACTGGGAAGCAGGTGTCAGAGGTTTTCAAGCTTCCAGGGGGTTATAGTCTGAGTGTTTGTGTCCCTCCAGTATTCATTTGTTGAAATTCTAACTCCCAAGGTGATAGTGTTAGAAGATGGAGCTTTTAGGGGAACGATTAGGTCATGAGATCAGTCCCCTCAGGAATAGGATTTAGTGTTCTTATAAAAGAGGCCTGAGAGAAAGCCCTCACCCCTTCCACCTTGTGAGGCTAGAGTGAGAAAATGTCATCTATGAACCAGCATGCAGGCCCTCCACCAGACACCAAGCCTGCTGGCATCTTGATCTTGGACTTCCCAGCCTTCAGAGCTGTGAGAAATAAATTTCTGTTGTTTATAGGCCACCCAGTCTATGGTGTTCTATTATAGCAGCGTGAACAGCAGGTGAGAATGGTGGCCTGAGACCCACCTCTTGCATGGGTGGTCTCTGTCAAGCTGGCTCAGGGTAGAATAGCTGGGCTTGCAAGGCCTAGAATCTTCAACAAGCTGGCAAACAGATGAATAAAGGGAGACCGCCAGCCACATGTAAGACACCAAACCTGTCTTCCAGCAGGGTCTATGTGTGTTCAGCACTACTCCCAAGCCCTGTGAACATTTGTTTCTTCACTCTATCTTGGAGACCACGGGTTTTGTTTCTAAGCTTTCTTGCCCTGGGAAACACCAGGGTGTGTTTCACACTAGCTGCATTTTAAAATCTCTTTGTATTGAAGTCAACAGGGAATGTTCCTGCCTTGTCCTATTTGTGGGTCTAATCTTGCCATCGGGTCCTCAGTTGCCTCAGCACTTGCCACTCCCACCCACTCAGAAGCCAGGGCTGGCCGAGGTAACAGGGCGAGGTGCCCCTGGGGCTGAGGGCAGGGCCTTGGGGCACATCTCCCGGCTGCTCTCTGACACTCCCAGGCCTGGGTGGACTCTGGTGCTTCGGGGTGGAATGAGGCCCAGGGAGGCCCAGGTAGGCCTGGTCTCTCTCCCCAAAGGCTCTCCAGGCCTGAGGAGTTTCTCAGCAGGCTCCATGAACAATGGGGGTGGCCTGTCTGAGGGCTGTGAAGGTCAGGGATGGTCTGAGCTACACCAGTGAGTGCGCTTTGGTTTGGTCAGAGGCACCAAGCACAGTCTATCCCTGGCTAGTGGGCCACGGCCACACCTCGGTTTGTGTGCCCTGGAGTAGGTTCCACTGAGGCCCAGGACTATGTTCACATTCCACCTTGGAGAGTAAGTTTAAATAGGTACATGTCTAGGCTATCCTACGGACGCTTCTGAGGTTCCTGATAGAGTGTGACTCCCATTTCTTTTGGCTGAAATGTCTATAATAGAACAATAAAATCCTTGAACTAAAGATTAGCAGCCTTTTTTAGAAGCTGACTCAGAACAAAATGGATTTGGGCCCAGCCCAGTGGCTCATCCATCCCTGTCAAAACCTTTGTGCCAGGAGCTCAGCCTGGCTCCCCAGCCCTGGGCCTGCAGGAGACCTCAGGGCCCACTCAGTGTCCACGTTATTGGGATCAGGGACACTGATATGAAAAAAAGAAAAAAGGCAAGAAGCTGCAGACCCCTGGGACAGGCTCTGGAAGGAGCAGAGGACTGGGTCCAAAGAGCAGGCTGGACTCAGTGAAGCTTCTGTGACCTCAGTTGATAAATGGGCACTCACAGTACCCACCCTGTCTTGGGGTCATGAGGGAACCTTTCAGATAGATAAGGAGAGGCCACATTTTGTAATTGTAGGTACTTCTGAGCAGAGTGATGGATGTAGGGCCTGGGCATCACAGGCCTGGGGAGGACCCATGGGCTGTGGGACCCTGGACCAGCCGCGTAATCTCTCAAAGCCTTGGTTCCCTTCCCTGAGAAGTGGGGATCATTCATGAGTTGGTGGAACAAAGCGTGTCAAGTCTTTAACACACAGCCAGTGCTCAGTCCCTGAGTGGATGCCCATTTTCCAAGCACCCACTTTGCAACAGTCCTGAGGGGTCCTGCAAACGGAGTCTCAGCTTGTCACACTTAAGAGATTGTAGTTATTATTCATGCTGCTGATTCCTTTCTCTGGTTTTTAGGGCGTGGGAGTTTTCTACTATGGGAGGCAGGTAAAATGAATTTGACAGGCACTAATACTACAAAAACCCAGGCGGAAAGTAAAAATAGTCTTAGTTGTCAAAGCACAGGAGCCAGTCACATGAACAGCCTGTCAGTATCAAGGTAAGCCTCCCCGTGGAGCTTTTTCTGGGGAACGGGAATTCCACTTCTGCTGAAATCTTGTTGACTTGCCCTGGGTAAATTTATAGAAAAATCACGGATGATGGGGATTTTGGTCTGTAGGCCGAGTATGCAGGCTGGGTGTGTAGAATGGATAGCAGTGGTCGCAGGGATGAGGTTGAGAGGCAGAAGCAGGTGGGAAAGGAGGGTTTGATCTGCACTTGACTGACCTTCTTGTCGTAGTCTGCTCAGGCTGCTAAAACAAAATGCCATAGACTGAATGTCGTCTAAACGACAGAAATTTATTTCTTACAGTTCTGGAAGCTGGAAGTCCAAGGCCAAGGCACTGGCAGATTCAGTGTCTGGTGAGGACCTGTTTCCTGGTTCATGGTTAGCGCCTTCTTACTCTGTCCTCACACTGAGGAAGGGGCAAGGGAGCCCTTTGGAGTCTCTTTTATAGATTTAGTAATCCTATTCTTAATCATCTTCCCAAAGGTCTTACCTCCTAATCACCTTGCCAAAGGTCCTACCCCCTGCCTTGGGGGCTAGGAATTTAGCATGAGAATTTGGGGGGAACATAAGCATGAAGACCATAGCACCCTTGCATCCGTAGGACCATTGAGGTGGGAGGCTGCCCTTTGGACAATATCTTTCCACATTCCAGCAACACAGTTTCCCCACTGCCTGCTCCATTTTAACCACAAATACTAGGCCAATTTATTAAATTGAGTTATTTAATACTGAATTTAAAGGAAGGAGAGTTGTAACGCAGCTGCACCTCCCCACTCTCAGCCATTTTTATCCAATTGCCCTGGTTTCATGCAGGACATTGGCCCCTTTGTGGAATCATTTTATGTTCGTGGCTCGGAAAGGGATGTTTCCTGGCTGGGCATGGTGGCTCATGTCTGAAATCCCAGCATTTTGGGAGGCTGAGGTGGGTGGATCACCCGAGGTCAGGAGTTCAAGACCAGCCTGGCCAACATCGTGAAAACCCATCTCTACTAAAAATACAAAAATTAGTTGGGCGTGGTGGCAGGCACCTGTAATCCCAGCTACTTGGGAGGCTGAGGTATGAGAATCACTTGAACCCGGGAGATGGAGGTTGCAGTGAGCCGAGATGGCACCACTGCACTCCAACCTGGGCAACATAACAAAACTTCGTCTCAAAAAAAAAAAAAAAAAAAAGGGATATTTCCTTTAAGGATGCCCAAGCAAAATTACTCAGTGCCTGGCTCTGCTTAGTGGTTCTCAGGAGGACAGAATTCCTCAGTAATTCCCACTATAAATATAGAATTACTGTCCCATCAATGCCACAATTCGATGTGCTGTTTATTTAAAATTTTGCTTCCTCTGTCTCCTCATTCAGTCTCAAGAATCTTGCCTTTAGGTCCAGTGGTCCCTTGGTATCCACGGGGGATTGGTTCTAGGACACCCCCCCACCTCAGAATATCAGAATGCATGGGTCCTCAAGTCCCTGATATAAAATGGCATAGCATTTGCATATAACCTATGCACATCCTCCCATACACTTTAAATCATCTCTAGGTTGCTTATAATACCTAATACCTAATACAATGCCTATACATCACTTCATTTACGTGGATTCAATGTAGTACTTGAGACGTGGCAAATTTAAGTTTTGCTTTTTGGAACTTTGTGGAATTTTTTTTCCAATTATTTTTTAATGGAAAACTCTAGCATTTATTCATAAAATCTATAAATGGAAATCAAACCATTTTAATTAATTACTCTAGTCAAAATTACTTTTAATCAATAAACACTTTTTTTCTTTAAAGAAAAAATTTAATTGTATTTTATATTAAGTTCTGGGATACAGGTGCAGGATATGCAGGTTTGTGCTTTGGTGATTTGCTGCACCTATCAACCCATCACCTAGGTATTAAGCCCCACATGCATTAGCTATTTATCCTGATGCTCTTTCTCCCCCTTCTCCCCAACAGGCCCCAGTGTGTGTTGTTCCCTTCCCCGTTTCCATGTGTTCTCATTGTTCAGCTCCTACTTACATGTGGGAACATGCAGTGTTTGGTTTTCCGTGCTTGCATTAGTTTTCTGAGGATAATGGCTTCCAGCTCCATCCATATATATATATGCAAAGGACACTATCTCATTCCTTTTTATGGCTGCATAGTATTCCATGGTGCATATGTACCACATTTTCTTTATCTAGCCTGTCATTGATTGGCATTTGGATTGATTCCATGTCTTTGCTATTGTGAATAGTGCTGCAATGAATATATGCATGCATGTGTCTTTATTGTAGAATTACTTATATTCCTTTGGTTATATACCTAGTAATGGGATTGCTGGGTCAAATGGTATTTCTGTTTTTAGGTCTTTGAGGAATCGCCACACTGTCTTCCACAATGGTTGAACTAATTTACATTCCCACCAACAGTGTAAAAGTGTTTCTATTTCTCCACAGCCTTACCAGCATCTATTTTAACAATAAATAGCTGTTGTTTCTTAACTTTTTAATAATTGCATTCTAACTGGCTCGAGATTGTATCTCACTGTGGTTTTTATTTGCATTTCTCTAATGATCAGTGATATTGAGCTTTTGTTCATATGTTTGTTGGCCGTACAAATGTCTTCTTTTGAGAAGTGTCTGTTCGTGTCCCTTGCCCAATTTTTAATGGGGTTGTTTGTTTTTCTTCTTGTAAAATTTTTTAAGTTCCTTGTAGAATCTGGATATTAGAATCATTTCCTGAGACTTTGCTGATGTTGCTTGTCAGCTTAAGAAGCTTTTGGGCTGAGACCATGGGGTTTTCTAGATATGGGTTCATGTAATCTGCAAACAGAGACAGTTTGACTTCCTCTTCTCCTATTTGAATACCTTTTATTTCTTTCTCTTTGCCCTGGCCAGAACTTCCACTACTATGTTGAATAGGGGTGGTGAGATGGGGCATCCTTGCCTTGGGCCAGTTTTTAAGGGGAATGCTTCCAGCTTTTGCCCATTCAGTATGATATTGGCTGTGGGTTTGTCATAAATGACTCTTATTATTTTAAGGTATGTTCCATCAATACCTAGTTTATTGAGAGTTTTTAACATGAAGGGATGTTGAATTTTATTGAAGGTCTTTTCTGTGTCTATTGAGATAATCATGTGGTTTCTGATTTTATTTCTGTTTATGTGATGAATTACATTTATTGACTTGCATATGTTGAACCAGCCTTGCATCAGGGATGAAGCTGAATTGATCGTGGTGGATAAACTTTTTGATGTGCTGCTGGATTCAGTTTGCCAGTATTTTATTGAGGATTTTTGCATAGATGTTCATCAGGGATATTGGCCTTAAGTTTTTTTTTTTGTTGTTGTTGTATCTCTGCCAGGTTTTGGTATCAAGATGATGCTGGCCTCATAGAATGAGTTAGAGAGAAGTCCCTCCTTCTCAATTGTTTGGAATAGTTTCAGAAGAAATGGTACCGGCTCCTCTTTGTACCTCTGGTAGAATTCAGCTATAAATCTGTCTGGTCCTGGGCTTTTTTTGGTTGGTAGGCTATTTATTACTGTCTCGATTTCAGAACTTGTTATTGGTCTATTCAGGGATTCAACTTATTCCCGGTTCAATCTTGGGATGGTGTATGTGTCCAACAGTTTATCCTTTTCTTCTAGATTTTCTAGTTTATTTGCATAGAGGTGTTTATAGTATTCTCTGACAGTTGTTTGTATTTCAGTGGGATCAGTGGTGATATCCCCATTATCATTTTTTATTGTGTCTATTTGATTCTTTTTTCTTTATTAGTCTAGCTAGTGGTCTTTTTTTTTTTTTTTTTTCAAAAAAAAATAGCTCCTGGATTCATGGATTTTTTGAAGGGTTTCTCATGTCTCTGTCTCCTTCAGTTCCACTGTGATCTTGGTTATTTCTTGTCTTCTGCTAGCTTTGGGGTTTGTTTGCTCTTGGTTCTCTAGTTCTTTTAGTTATGATGTTAGGGTGTTGATTTAAGATCTTTCTAGCTTTTCGATATGGTCATTTAGTGTTATATATTTCCCTCTTAACACTGCTTTAGCTAAGGAATCAATTCAACAAGAAGAGCTAACTGTCCTAAATACATATGCACCCAATACAGGAGCACCCAGATTCATAAAACCAGTTCTAAGAGATCTACAAAGAGACTTAGACTGCCACACAATAATAGTGGGAAACTTTAATACCCCACTGTCAATATTAGGCCATTGAGACAGAAAATTAACAAGGATATTCAGGACTTGAACTCAGCTCTGGATCAAGTGGACCTGATAGACATCTACAGAGCTTTCCACCTAAAAACAACAGATTATACATTCTTCTTGGAGCCACGTGGCACTTACTTTAAAATCAATCACATAATTAGAAGTAAAACACTTCTCAGCAAATGGAAGAGAACTGAAAACATAACAAAGAGTCTCTCAGACCATGGCTCAAATTTTCCAAATATTTTTTATCCACAATTGGTTGAATTCACAGATACAGAACCCATGAATACAGGAGCCAGCTGTATTTTCTTCTCCAGCATTTTATTATGAACATTTGGAAACATATAGAAAACTAGAATGAATTTTATACTGAATGCATATAGACCCAGCACCTAGGTTCTATAGTTTACATTTTACTATACTGGCTATTATCACATGTTTATCCCTCTCCCCAACCCTGTGGCCATCCATCAATCCATGCTATTTTAGTAGACTTCAAAGTAATTTCAGAAGTCAACCCATTCCCTCTCACATGTGTTGTTAGATCATGTATATCATTAGCTAAAGTTTATCACTTTTTACCCTTCTACTTTGGGTTACGTTTATACGCATGATGTGCACAAGTTTTGAGTTGCATCCATGAGTTCTGACATATAGTAAACCTTTGCCCCCTGCCTCTGTCAAGGTATAGGACATACCATCATCCCAGGAAGTTCTCTCTTGCCCCTTCTCAGGAACCCCAGCTCAGCATACCCCATACAACTACTTTTCTGATATCACCATAGATTAGTTTGTGCCTGTTCTAGAACTTTATGTGCATGAATCCTACAATATGTGCTTTTGGATGTAAGGCTTCATAGCACTCTGTTTTTGAGATTCATCCATGTATTTGTGTGTAGGCACATTCTGGACACATACACATCCTCATATACATACATGTAGATACACATCTATACATATTGATGACATATACACCATGACAGACTTTCCAGGTAAATGTTAATTTGTTGCATGTATTTCTCTTCAGGAAATGCCTTGTAGATTTTAGTCATTTTTCTTAGATACTTACTTAGGTAAACTTTTAAAGAGACTTTTGTGAAAAATGGAAACTTAGAGCTTTGGTTGACCACAGAAAGTAACTTAACAAGGGCCAGTTATCCCTAATATCCCTCTCACTTCCTTCCAAAGCAGAACCATGAACTGGTCTCAAAAATCTTGTGCTAGGAAGGGAAGGGAAGAAGGAAGGGAGGAGGAGGTGTCCCTAGTCCTTGGGTCTTATAACCATTCACACCTTTCAGGTGCAGCACTGCACATTCAGCTATGACAGTAAGTGGGAGGAGAGAAGCTAAGAAGGTGGGGGAATGGTCTGATTTGCCGAGTAAACAGCCATGTTATTCTGTAGTGGAAGCTGCTTTCAGTGGCCAGCAGCCTCTTCATTACAGACACAGCATCAGAGAGAGAAAACAATTCCTTCTTCAAGTACCTTTATTGGGAAATGGATGCCTGGAATAGATGTAGGGATACAAGGCCCCCTGCATGAACACGGGAGTTGCATGTGTCAGGGTCTTTGGAAGGAATACGATCGTCATTTTTTCCAACAAACGCTGTCCCAGCAGAACACTTCATTGGTGTGGATCCTCATTTGTTTCTTTGTGATTCTTTTTTATGTGTTGGTTCCTGACACACAAGTTGATTTGGGGTGGATAACTTGAGATGCATAAATGACATGTACAGCAGTGGCACACCCTTGGTGATCATTAATATGTTGCTCTGCCATCAAGTGCCTTGCTAAGTTCTTGTTCCCCAGAAGCAGATTCTAAGACAAGGATGTGGGTGTGTATAGTTTATTTAGGAGTTGATCCCAGGAAACAACAGTAGAGGATGGGGAAGTGAGACCAGGAAGGAAAGATGAAGCTCAAAACAGGTCAAAAAAGAAAGAAAAAGAAAAAAAAATAGAAGGAACTGAAAAGAAAATTCTGCCTAAGTTCCTTCTGCAAGAAAATAGAAGCTTTACTCACAAAGATTCCCTTTGCCAGGCAGATCTTTTTATTTTGCAAATCAATGAAATAGTTGGTATCATTCCCAGTTACCACTGTGAGCAACTCAGTTTAATCTGGCTGGGGTCGCCAGGATACAATGTAGAACACATACCTCAGAGTTCTCCCTTCAAGGGGTGAGGGAGCTGGGGTATTTATACACCACTTCCACCAGTCATGGGTTGGGGGCTGTTCCCAGAAGTGTCAATGCCTTGGCACGTCCAGCCTGCCCCTCACACAGGAAAAGCAGTCCCCATGGCCGAAGACAGCCTTCAGGTAAAAGACTGCAGGTGCTGGCAGTTGGAAGTTGGGCCATTGTGGGTGAGGGGAAAAAAGCCGGCACTGCCAGTCATTGCTAAGTTCCCGCATCCCCCCAACTACATGATTTCAATGTTGTTGAGTTGGGGTGGAAAGCTCATCTTGACCCAGAAGACCACATAATAGTTCTTCCCCTTCGTGTGTGTGTGTGTGTGTGTATGTGTGTGTGTGTGTGTGTGTGTGTTTTCATCTTGCTAAGTCCCGGCACTCAACCTCAGCCCATTATTTTTCACTGCCTCATAACATGTGTTTGTACAAGTGCTGACTGCTGGCAAGCCATCCTGCCACAGCAGTGGGCTCAGCTGAATGGGTGATCTGAGGAGGCATTTCAGACCTAGGTCTAGAATGAGAGGAAAAACATTTCTTCTTTCCTCATTCATCTTTTACTGCCTCCGTCCATGTGTCAGACTTCTGGGGACTCCAGTGAAGCTCAAAACAGGTCAAATTTTTTTAAAAAAGAGAGCCAATAAGAAAATTTTGCCAAAACTCCTTGTACAAGAAAATAGAGGCTTTACTCACAAGGGTTCCCTTCACCTGGACTGATCTTTTTATTTTGTAATACAAAAGTAAAAGAGTTATTTCTAGAAGTGTTGCTGGGGCCTGGGGCCTGGAACTTATGTAAACGCAGAGAGGAGACTCCATTTGAGTCCTGAGTAGAAGTTAGGAGATATGGTATCAGCACAGAAGCACAGTCTGTTCTGGAGGCTTTGACCTGTGTGTTATTTTAGGGGCATACACTGGCTTTCCTGGCTTCAGAGTCAAAAGAAAATGGAACTATATCCACAGGCAACTGGTTAATCCCTCACTGGGCTCTACCTTGTGTGAAATGGAATTTGTATTTCACACAAAATCTTTGAAAGTGACTCAATATGTTTAAAGCCAGGAACGCTGTGGCCCTGGCATTCAGGTCTTCCATGATTTCTTATTTCCAGAGCCTCCCAAATGTGGACACATCCAACTCAGTGATGCTCCTTAACCCAAAGCCAGGCACAATGAGAGGTAATTCCTGCTCTGGGAAGTGATGTGTGGATTCCTCAAAGGCGATGGAGTACAGTTTCTAAAGGAAAGGTTGTACCTGTGGTCTTCTAAAACATGCTCACAAGTGCTTTGATATTTCTCTTACATGAAGTGACTCTGATTCCCCTTTCCTTGAATATGGCTGGCCTCTGTGAGTCCCCTGTAACTGACAGATTATAGCAGAAGTCATTTGCCTTCAGAAGCTGGGTCATAAAAACAATACAGCTTCCACCCAGCTCTCTCCCTTTGAACCTGGCTGCCATGTTGGGAGGAAGCCCAGGCATCATGGATGACCCCAGCTGAGGTCCTAGCTGACAGGCAGCATCAACAACCAGAGGTGTGGGTGAAGACACTTCCTAGGTGACCCCATCCTCAGTCACCACCTGACTGCAACCTCTTAAGAATTTCTGAGTGAGAACTACCTAACTGAGGCTAGTCACACACAGAACCAGGAGACGTAATGACAAGAAAAGAATGCTGCTGTTTTGTGCTGCCAGTGTGGTCTGGTTTGTTATGCAGCCACGGTGACTGATACACACATATGCTCATTGTCACACGGCTAAAGAACTTCCGGGGCTCATAAAGGATCTCCACTGTCCATCACTCACTTCCTTCCTTCGGTGCGATGACTGACTGGCTTCTTGACTCTCAGGAAATCAGTGTCTGGGGAGAAGAGACAAGGAGGGGTGTCTCTCTCTCATTCCTGGAGTCTTCAGCTTGCTGCCAAGTTTTGTGACCTAGAGGCAGGCAGGAGGTTTCCAGCTGTTTCGCCCTCAACAGGTTGGAGATTGAGGGACTGTTCACTGTCTGGCTGCGAGAAGTGGGGGTGGCAGCTGCTGCCTTTCTTCCTCCAGATGAGATCACAGTGGTGGTGGCAGCTGCCGGGAACAGTTCTCCATGTTGTCCCCACGTGCTGTGCCTCTGGCCAACATAGCACACCTAACTTGCTTTTAGGTTGTGACCTCCACACCGAGCCTCTGACCTTAGGAAGTAGTTGCAGGGTGCATGGCAATTGGAGCCAGTGTCTTTTCCAATGCTTCAGTTCCGTGGAAGGCAGGTCCCTCTATGCCCAATCACAGGCCTTTCCTCTCACTTTCTCCCCTGCACCTCTCCCTGTTCAGCTTAGGATTGGATCTGCTATTTCTTCATGGGCTCTTGGGGAGAAATGTGAAAATGCATGTGAAAGGACTTTGAAAATATCCAAAGATGTTGCAAAAATGGAAGCTACTGTTAAGGGATTAGTGAGCAATTAGTGGGACAGGCTGGAGCAGGACACCTATCCAGCTGTTTCAGCTCCTCTTAAGACCGTAAGTTAGTCATAAACTCTCAACACTCAGAGACTTTAAAAAAGCATGCAGCCCAGAAATCGATAGAATGCTTGGATTTCCTTTGTAGCATCACCACAGAGTGCTCTTCTACCACATCCTTGGTTATCCTCAGTGATGGGGAGCTCACTTACCACCTCCTTTTAGAGGTCTTTTATTCCATGGGCAACTGGGATTATTAACATTGTCTTCCTTGTGGCAAGCCAAACTCATTTTCCTTTGAGTTATCTTGAATTCTATAAAGTAAGTCGTATTTCTTTTCCTCATGGCATACTTTTGAGGTCAGCTATTAAGTTCTTCCTTGTTCAGGCTTCTCTCTCTTCAGTTTTTTAGTCGCCCCCTTATGTGACATGGTTTGATGACCCCCCTCAGCATCTCCCTTCTAGTTACCTTCTGGGCCAAATGCTTATCTCCTCTTCAGCTCTTAAAAATCAGCCTCCTGTTATTATGTTTGAACAGCTTGTGAAAAGATTGGACCTCACTCCGCCCATGTTTAGCTGTTGAATATAATTATTTCAGATGCAAACCCAGCATTCCTAAACTAGCACTTAAAGCCCTGCATTCTCTCAAGGGACAAAGTAAAGGAACCGGGCATTTGTTGAGTGCCTCCTTGGAGCCAGGGCTAGGCTAAGGGCTCTAGCTACAGAATCACCTTAATTCTAGTAACATGCCCATGAGTCAGGCATTCCAGGAACACCCAGAAAGGGTAGGACATACAGGAGTTAAATCTCAGCTACACCTAAGTGCTCCTTCTAACCACCTTCCTAAACTGAACTTCAGGGAAGACTCTCAAGCTGGTGGACTATATTTCCATAAGGAGTGGTCTTTGCCCTACATGTGCTAAGCCCTGTGTGGGCAGGGGCTGGGGCTGTTTTGCTCACTAGTAGATCGCCAAGCTGTAGAGAGTACTTGATACTATCTATAATGGTAATGGCATTAAATCTTAGGTGAATTAATGAACAATTGATTGAATGAATCCATGTAACTTCTCTGTGACAAGTTTTTAGTATTTTATCTTGAAACAACAAAAATTAATACAGAAAACTGTAAAGGAAAATATTACAAACTCCAGTGTATTTATTTGCCAAATTAATAAATGCTAACATTTTTATATTTGCTTCTAATCTTTTTCCATTTATAAGAAGTAAAACATTGCACATCAAGTTGACATCCTTTTTATTTGCCTTGTCAGGTCTTCTACTCCAGAAGCAACCATCATCTTTATTTGGGGAGTGTCTGGCCTGTGTTTAATATTTTTGCCTCATATATAAGTATGCATAAGCACTAAATAATTGTATATGTTTTCAAATTTAAGCAAATGTTGTTTTACTATATTAATATTTGTGATGTTCATTCCACTCATGTATTTTTGAGATCTATGTGTATACTCTACTTCATTTAACTGCTGTCTAGTATTCCACCTTATCACTTGATTGCCATTTGCTTATTCATCCCCCAGTAATCAATATGTGGGTTGTTTTCAGTTCCCTGTTGTGGGTAGTTAATATTATCGTCACCCTAAGTTTTCAAGCAAGGAAACTTAGAGTCATCAGTTAAATGACCCATTTAAGGTGTCAGTTTTAATAGGTTGTGGAACGTGATAATGAACTTAGTGGCCTTTGTTTTTTTTTTTAACTTTTATTTTAGTTTCAGTGGTGCATGTGTGAGTTTGTTACATAAGTAAACTGCATGTCGTGGGGGTTTTGTGTATAGATTATTTCATCACCCAGGTAATAAGCATAGTACCCAATAGGTAGTTTTTCTGATTCTTCCTCTCCTCCCACTCTCCACCTCAAGTAGGCCCCAGTGTCTGTTGTTCCTTTTAGTATCCGTGTGTTCTCATTGTGTAACTCTCACTCATAAGTGAGAATATGCAGTATTTGGTTTTCTGTCCCTGTGTTAGTTTGCTTTGGATAATGGCCTCCACCTCCATCCATGTTGCTGCAAAGGACATGCTCTCGTTCTTTTCTTACGGCTGCATGGTATTCCATAGTGTATATGTGCCACATTTTCTTTAACCAGTCTACCGTTGATGGGCATTTAGGTTGATTCCATGTCCTTGCTATTGTGAATAGTGCTGCAATGAACATATGCGTGCCTGTATCTTTATGGTAGAATGATTTATGTTCCTTTGGGTGTATACCCAATAATGGGATCGCTGGATCAAATGGTATTTCTGTTAATTTCTTTGAGGAATCACCATACTACTTTCCACCAATGGTCTTTCTCACTGTATCAGTTGTCTGCCTTCAGGAAAGGGAGTGAATTGAAGGAAATGTTGGACTGCTTTATCTTCTAAAACTCCAGAAAGGAAAATGATCATTTTTAGAGGAGACCGTAAATGTTCTATGCAAAAGGAAGTCACCTCGTGTGTTCCAAGGATGAGAAAAAACTCATGCATGATAGGAGGTTATCCCTGAGGCTAAGTCTTGCCTTCCTATCTCCCATTTTTGTGGTCACCATTAGGCATGAACAGCGTTGTTGCCAAGTCACCCTACTGTGTGGCTGCTGACTATTCACCCATGGCTTCTGAGCAATAGACAGGTCAAGTATTACAACCACCTTGAGGTTGGCCCGTGTTTCACAAAAACCAGGAGGCCATGGGTGACCTTATCTCCTAGCTTCGAGGATCCAAAACTAACAAATCCCTGGAGGATGCAGCCATTTCTGTCTTTGGTTAGCATCCTTCTTTAATTTCAACGGAATATAATGTCCCCGTAGAGCAAGTTTAAACAAGTTAACATAAAAAGACCGTGATCATATCTTCCCTAGCTTCTCTTTAATACATAGGCTTTGAATAACATTAATCAAGTTTTACAAATTTACCAAAAGATGTTCTAATTTCTGCTACAATAAAAACCTTATTTTCCCTTTTCTAGGGATGGGATGGCATCATGGTCTTTAAGCCACCTGGCTCTGTTCCTTGCTATTGAGAGGCTCAGGGGCAATTTGCGTAACTTCTCGTAGTTTCCTCATCTTTCAAAGCAGATGTTGTTGATACCTGCCTCATTGCCGGAACAAATTTACCAGAAAACCTGAGCCTGGGAGTCCCTACTTGCAATGGCCCTTCCAAGACGTTCCATCTCATTTCCTATTCGTTAATTTGGTAGGCTTTTTTAATAAAGAGGGTCCCCTGAGTTGATAAGCTCCTCTCCCTAAGCCCTGGCTCCACCTCCTTGTACATTGGGTTGTTGTAAGGAAGTTGCACCCCTCGCTGTGCCTGTGGCGTCATTCATGCCCAGTAATTGTTAGCTGTGGTTAGGTTAATTTTTTCCCCTTCTTAAAAGAACATGAATATGAAAATTTCTCAACTAAAAGCCAATGGTAAAACATTTTACAAGGGGGAAAAAAGCATGCAAGAAAATGCTGATTACCAACAAAAGCAGAGAAAAAATTGTTCCTAGAAAAGATGAAATTGTACAAGAGAGGAAAGGAGTCATGAAAAGTCTATTCTTGAGCATCCTGAATGCCTGGCTTCTTAAATAATCTACACCCTGAAAACTTGAACGTGACTATTTTGGCCCTGTCTGAACTTTAAGACCTGATGAGTTATTTTTTTTCTTTCCTTTTTGAATGCAAAGTAACAGTTGTGTTCTAAATTTAACTTTTCCTGTTGGCTGCTTGGACTTTTTGCTCACATCAGGCCCAAGTGGGATATGAGCGGCTCCCCATGAAGGATCAACTCTGCCATGGGCTGTCACATCCCTGGGGAAAAATGGTCTCAAGGGCCCTGAGGGATGAGTGGCTTTTGGATGTGTCCATTCTTTCTGTGCAGTGATATTTTTTCCCCAGAGTTAGTTTCCTTGACATCATGTTCCTCAGCCTCCCCAGGAGTCCCCAGCATTGCCTCTTTCATGAGGAAATGTGGGAGGATGGTTGCTTCCTGTGTAATTCTGAAAGCCATTTATGGGATCTTCTTGCAGTTTCTCACCTCTTTGAATGCCTTCTTAGCACTCACTATGCCATGGAGACCCAGACTATTTGTAATTGAGGCACCCGAACCACCAGGAGGGTAAGGGATTTGGCCAAAGGTGCATCACATGCTAAGAGTGAATGCTACGCCCTGACGGAGGGTAGAGGTGGGGTGCTGCTTCTGCTTGGACCTCCATTCTTGCCTTGCTTGAGTGTTTATACTTAGGATGTTTACACCAGGTATGACTTGTGGGGTTAAGAATGATCTCATGACACATAGACCAATGGAACAGGATAGAGAACCCAGAAATAAAGCCACATCTGGTCTTCAAAAAAGTCAACATTAACAAGCAATGGGGAAAGGACTCCTTACGCGATAAACGGTGCTGGGATAAGTGGCCAGCCACATGCAGAAGAATGAAACTAGACCCCATTCTTTCACCATATACAAAAATTAACCAAGACCTCAAACAATAAAAATCCTAGAAGAAAACCTAGGAAATATCATTCTGAACATTGACGTTGGCAAAGAATTTATGACTAAGTCCTTAAAAGCAGTGGCAACAAAAACAAAAATTGACAAGTGAGATCTAATTAAACTAAAGAGCTTCTGCATAGCAAAATAAACTATCAACAGAGTAAAAAGACAACCTACAGAATGGGAGAAAATATTTGCAAACTATGCATCTGACAGAAGTCTAATGTCTAGAATCTATAAGGAACTTAATTCAATAAGCACAAAACAAATAACCCATTAAAAATGGGTAAAGGACATAAACGGACATTTCTCAAAAGAAGACATACGTGTGGCCAACAAATATATGAAAAAGTGTTCAACATCACTAATGATTAGAGAAATGCAAATCAAAGCAACAAGAAGATATCATCTCACATCAGTCAGAATGGCTATTAATAAAAAGACAGAAAAGAATAGATGTTGGCAAAGTTGTAGAGAAAACAGAATGCTTATATACTGTTTGTGGAAATGTAAATTACATCAGCCACTGTAGAAAGTAATTTGGAGATTTCTCAAAGAACTTAATACAGAACTACCATTCAATCCAGCAATCTCATTACTGGGTATATAGTCAAAAGACATAGGTACTCATATGTTCATTGCAGCACTATTCACAGTAGTAAAGACATGAAATCAACCTAGGTGTCCATCAATGGTGGACTGGATAAAGAAATTGTGATACATATATACCATGGAATATTACACAGGCATAAAAAAGAATGAAATTATGTTCTTTGCAGCAATATGAATGGAGCTGAAGGCCATGATCCTAAGTGAATTATCGCAAGAACAGAAAACCAAATGCTACATGTTCTCACTTGTAAGTGGGAGCTAAACATTGGGTACACATGGACATAAAGATGGGAACAATAGACACTGCAGACTACTAGAGGGGGAAAGTAGGGAGGGGGTGAGGGATGAAAAACTGCCTAATCAGTTACTCTATTCACTACCTGGGTGACAGTATCATTCATACACCAAACCTTAGCAACACACAATTTACCCATGCAATAAACCTGCACATGTACCCGCAGAGTCTAAAACAAAAGATTAAAAAACAAAAACAAACAAACAAACAAACAAACAAAAACCTCTCACGTGACACTGCATAGCTTTTCTGTCAGTAGAGGTTTACGTTTCACTGACCTTTCCTCTGAGTGAGATCTGGGTCTCCCAAGGACTTGAGGTCTTCTGAGCCTTCTGAAGGCTCTGGCTGTTCTCTTCCCTGGTGAGGATATTGGTTGGAGTGGGGTCAGCATTCTAGGTGAAACTGAAACAGCAATGAACTGGGAATCTGCAGACTAAATTTTGGCCATTGCGTTTTCATTGATCAGTTGGATGAAAACATCCATCCTCTCATCTCAAAATGGGGATATGAACTACATTACTGTGTTATCATGAAGAGTAAATGAGATAATATTTGCAATCATGCCTAATATTTATAGTACCGGGTGTGTGATCAATGCTCAATCAATGGTCACCCCCCTTTGAATCCTTGGATTTTGTATATCAAATGCACAGACTGACTAGATGATCTTTAAGGCTCCTACTAGCACCAAAATGGAATGATTTTATCTGTTAAGAGTGATCTTTTAAAATCTGTCTTTATGTAGATGAAAAGCTTCATGTAGATGAGAAAAGATAAAACGTTTTTAAAAAGTGTCTTTCATCCTCAGCAAAGTAACACAGGAACAGAAAACCAAACACTGCATGTTCTCAGTCATAAGTGGGAGTTGAACAATGAGAACACATGGACACAGGGAGAGGAACATCACACACCGGGGCCTGTTGGGGGGTGGGTGGAAAGGGGAGGGAGAACATTAGGACAAATACCTAATGCATGTGGGGCTTAAAACCTAGATGATGGGTTGATGGGTGCAGCAAACCATCATGGCACATGTGCACCTAGGTAACAAACCTGCATGTTCAGCACGTGTATCCCAGAACTTCAAGTAAAATAAAAATAAAAATAAAGAAAAGTTTTGGCAACCAAAAAAAAGTGTCTTGTTTGTAAAGCCCTTTACACAGGAATACACATGGCAGGGAAACTGAGGAGTCCACCTTGGGACCAACTCTGCATCTGTGGTGACCCAGCAGACATCGGTTTGCTTAAGCTAACTCAGCACAGGAGGATTTACATTTTCCTTGTGCCTCATATTTATGGAAACAAAGAATTTTTTAAAGTGAAATGTTATCTTTATTAACCATACTTGACCTCATGTCTACATGACACATGACACAGAAGTCCCCTCCACCAGAACACAAAGAGGGCCCTTAGAAAATGGATGTGGGAGAGTGAACCAGGTAAGTCTTTATTCCCTTCAACCTGGCCATTGTTTAAATTAAGGAGGTATCATATTTATCATATTTTAATTCAGGGCTATGAGGTTTTCTAACGGACTCATAAAGCAATGCTTTGAAAGGAAAAGGTCTCTAGTGGTATATTGACCAACTTTGATGTCACCAACTTCTTGACTTTTAGTTTCTTCACTCTACAGCTGTAAAGATTGCTCAAATGGACCTTGCAAAAGGAAAGCTTCTAGCTAGACAGGGAGTGGCTTCATTCTGAAATTGCAGAAGACTGAAGTGACTTTCATTTTGTTATGCGTTTTGTTTGGAGGGTGCAGAAATTAAACCTGTGAGTCTGCCTCCGCAGTCCTCAGGCCACCAGCTGAGGGGAGGGGACATTTGTGATGTCTTCTGAAAGCTGGTGTTGGAGAGCTGAATCATGCCAAGTCTCCCATTCATTTACTGTGAATTTGTCTGAGGGCTTATCAGGATAGATTCTATACTTGATGCACTTCGCAAACCTTTATTGAGCGATTTTTTATTAAAGTATCTGAAATCAGTCATGTCATTTGCAACTCGGAATGGAGAAATACTAAACGGGGTTGCAGGAGGGGCTTTATTTCATCGTTAAGGAGCCCGTATTATGACTTAAGTACCTCATTTATCTGGCATCGTTGGGATATCGTTTCTGCCTAAGTGGCTGCTGCTGAGGGTGCAGTTCCCTCCACATCTAGGAACTCGACAAATGTCTGCAGAATGTGGTTGAATGAACTAAATGAAACATCTCTGCAAACGCCAGGCCATTTTGAAAAGTGATAAGCATTTGATTGATATCTTTCTAAGTAAATTTAATACGTTCTTGTCTGTGAGTCACAGTGCACGGAATGTGGATTGGACATTCTAGTGATAAATTGAAGCCATGGATTCGTGGAGGACATATGTTATTTTACCGTCTTGTAATTCAGACCAGGGCCTCCTTTTTTGTTGTCACTGTGTCCACTGTCACTTCCACTACTTCCTAGGTTTGTCTACCTTTAAAACTTTCACACCCTCAGATCTTCTAAAGTTTCATCCCGACAGCAGATCTATGGTTAGAACATAAACTTTAGTGTCAGGCAGATCAGACTTGAAATCCAGTTCCTCTCATTTTCTTGCTGCAGAACTTGATCAGCTTTCCTAACTTCACTGAATATGGGCTTCCTCATCTATCAGATAAAGGATCTGTGCTTGACCTGATGACATTACCAGTTCATTAAATTAGCTAATGTATATTAAGGGCCAAACCAGGTGGTTAGCATGTTCTCTTGCCTTCTGCTACTCAGTGTGGTCCAGGGACCAGCCTGGAAGTGTCAACACCTCTTGGAAGCTTGTTAGAAATGTAGAATCTCATACTCCACCCAAACCTACCAGACCTATGGAATCAGAATCTGCATATTAACTAGCTCCCCAGGTGGTACCTATGCACACTGAATTTTGGAAAACGCTGGCCTAGAGCTTCTATTTTTTCTCCTCTTTGGGAGGGATAACAAGATGTTAACTTTAGTTTGTCAAAGCTTCAGTTTTCTGGAAGGATGAGGGGTTCTAAGCATCATGAGAAGTGGCCTTCAAAAAGAGAGTTGGAACTTTTTGCAAGCTTCTTCTCTGTGTGGCAGCTTAATTTGAGATGGCCCTTTATTGTTCATTTCTTACCCATCCACATACCAACATAGAATCATCATTTGGGGGAATGTGAAGACAAGGGACTCCTCCTTGCACCCTGGGAGAGCTGGGCTTCCAGTCTGTGCTCCAAGCTTTCACGCCCCAGGAGTGACTCTGGGTCATTGGGACAGGTCAGGGCGGCAAAGCATCACACTCTTCCTGCTATCAGTGTCCGACCAGCCTGAGTCCCCATCCTGCACAGTGAAAAGAGTCCAGCAGGCACAATGGGCCTGAGCAGAGCCGGACTTGACATTGGAGGCAGCCCTGGGAGATGGTGCCTGGTGTCTTCGTGGAGTTCATTCCATCTTCTGGCTACTTCACCTAGGTGTCATGACATCTAATAACTGATTTTTCATTTTCTTGAACCGATAGACCCTTGCTTTCACATTACCCCTTCTAACATGTTTCTGCCACATTCTAAACCCTTGCTACTCAGAGTGTGGCCTCAGGCCCAGAGGCATCAGCAAGACTGAGAGCTTATTGGCCACACAGAAGCTCAGCCCCCACCAGGAAAATGCACTGAGTCTGACCATGAATTTCAAAAGTTCCCAGGTGGTCATGTGCACAGAAGACTTGGACAAGTGCTGAGCTAGTGTATGTTCAGTAAATATTAATTTTCTCTTCCATTTTTAAACCTGGTGTATGAAATAAAAATCAATAAGGCTCTGAATGAGAGCTTGAGAAATGAGAAGCTCAATATCAGGGCAGGAATTCCATGAGGACTGTCTATTCTCTGGTCCAGGCCAGTTCTCTGGAAGGTCCGGGTTGCTTCAGGACTGACCTGCGGCTACCTGGGAAGGAAACTTACTGCTCCAGCCACTGTTCTTCCTCATAGATGTCTGCAGCCTATGAAGCCTTGCTGAGACAGTCATTATCTGTGCTGCAGTCATTCAGGGCAGCAAGCATATAAACAGAGCTTGATGCTGCCTTCAGCTTCCAGTTACATAACCTCACTTTGGAGTCATACTTTCCAGATGTTGTGTATGGACATGCTCCCTTCTTGCACTACCTGTTTCTTTAGCCACATTCAACTTTTGGGGGAAAGGTCTAAAGACAAGCTCCAAGGACAGCCAGCATGCTTTAAATCTGAAATAAAGCCTTTTTTGAGCTTATAATCATGTTTATTTGCTTTGCTGGAGTCTTTCTGAAAGCTTTTCATTTCTTTTTTATTCCCCCTCTATGTAATCTTCCTTCGTTCCTTTCTTCCTTCCTTGCTTCCATCCCTCCTTCCCTTTCCTTCCCTTTCCTTCCTTCCTTCTTGCCTTCCCTTCCTTTTTTCCTTCCTTGCCTTCCCTTCATTTTTTCCTTCCTTTCTTCCTTTAGTGGAGAAGCACAGTTTGGGGTCACTGGAGCTTGGGTTTTGGTTACTCATATGTGTGTAGAGACTTGAGTTCAGATTTGCGAGGAATTTGGGCATGAACCTAAACCTCATGTTCAAAGGCTCAAGGCTTCAAGAGAACCCCAGGCTTGCAGTCAGCAACTTTTGGCCAGCAGGGCCCGCGGATGGGTTCTCTGTATGTGGTGGATCATTCCAGGGCCCCACACAGGAAATCAGGATGAGGTCACTCAACAGCCCCATGCTCCTTCAGCTTTCATGCTGGTCCAGGCATTCTGCTAATGGTGGGAAGGTTTGGAGAAAGAAGAGATACAGTCCCAGCCCTCAGGGATCACATGCGGAAGGTAGTGGGGAGAGGAATCCAGCTACATCCACTCAGAGTGATCAATGCTGTACTACAGGTGTGCACGTTGGCCCCCACAGAGGGCCAGGATGGGGCCTCCCATCCTGGGAGGTGTGGGGTAAAGGAAGGCTTCCAGGAGGAGGCAGTGTTTGAGTCAACAAGTGTCCCCAAAGGAAAACAGTTAGATCAGATTTCACCAGGGAGGATGATGGTACTCATTTGAGGAGGTGGAAGCCATGAAGTCAAGATAGCCTGTTAGTAACAACAGTATGCAGCTCTCTTTTTTCCCCTATGGCCAGCAGGGAATTCATCTGCCACACTTACTTTCCACACTCATTAAATACATCTTCCCAAAGGGTGGCCTGGAGGAAATAGGGATGCAGTCTCCTGATGGGATCGAGGCCCACTGAGAAACATGGCTGCCGGTGCTGTGTGTGTAGCATGAGGGTTTCCTTCCCATGCGCCCTTCCTCTTTCCTCTGTTGTGGGTCATGAATAACTATGAATCCATTCGCTGCTCTTGTTCTACTTCATGTTTCAAACACAGGAAATGAGCCTCTAATATAAGAACAATAAACTCAGAGGTAGATCACTGCCCGGATGGAAAATTGCCATGTGAACCAAAATGACACTTGATTAGTTTGTTAAGGTGAAAACATTTTTCTAAGTGGCAGTGGGTGTCCCTCAGTGAGATCCCAGCATTGGAAGAGTTCTTCAGGGGTGTAAGACACAAAGTTCCATTTTCCCTTCAGTGAAGGGCTTCATTCTTGCATGTAGGGAAAGTATAGGTGTGCCAGACTTCATCGGTGGGTAGCCCAAGGCGCAGGGGACAGTGTTCCAGGGAACTGGTCAAAGCTCTAGGAATTTGGAAGTTAGAACAGTATAGGTATATATAGCTTTTATATTTATATAGTTGATTTTTTAAAACTTGAAGAATCATTTAAGAATGCATACATATCCTAGAGAACCCAAACAGTACTGAACTATACAGGGTAAAAAGTTAAAATCATTCTCCACTTACCTCCTCCAGCCACTCTGCACAAGGGTAACTGACCATTGTGAACAAGGAGGCCCAGAAGGTGGGATTCTTCATGATCTCTTCCTATTCATTCACAAGTATATATATAGGTTATTAATACACCAGTGAGATACACTTTACACTTTATTTTGGGACTTGCTAAACTGCTGCCTTGATGTTTTATTGTTTTGTTTTGTTGCCCTCACACCTTTTGTCTGGACTTTATGTTGACAAGTGTGATGGAGAAGGGCCTTGGGGTTGTGAGTTTTATCCCAGGACTTAAATGGAACCAGAGAGTTCCCATGTGCTTCTGAGGTTGCTCAAAGCTCAGAGTTCCATTGGCCTGGTGTGTTTTATGTGGTGGCAGCCTGGGTATTGGTAGCAATGGTGATGCTGGCACAGCCTGGCCACTTGGGTTTCCCTGGCCATTGTATTGTAAAGTTCCCATTTACTTTGTAGCAGTGTCAGGACCAACAAGATGAGGGAAAACAGAAATGTTCTCCAGGGTTTTCAAGTATTCTTCCTTTTCTCTTGCTTTTTTTTTTTTTTTTTTTTTTTTTTGACATGGAGTCTTGTTCTGTCACCCAGGCTTGAGTGCAATGGCAGGATCTCAGCTCACTGCAAACTCTGCTTCCCAGGTTCAAGCGATTCTTCCCCCTCAGACTCCCGAGTAGCTGGGATTATAGGCACCCGCCAGCATGCCTGGCTAATTTTGTATTTTTATGGAGACAGCATTTCACCATGTTGGCCAGGCTGGTCTTGAACTCTTGACCTCAGGTGATCCGCCTGCCTCAGCCTCCCAAAGTGCTGGGATTACAGGCATGAGCCACCACACACAGCCTCTCTTGTTTTTTTATGACCTCTTCTTTCTGGCCAAGGGAGACGAAATGAAGCATGTTGTTTCGGAGCTGCTCCTCCACCCAGAGATGGAATTAAATCAGAGCCTTCCAAGGAAAAGCAGTGGGGTGTCTGGTTCCTCCCCTGTTTGCTCTGGGCTCTGTACTTGAGTGGCACTGAGAAGGGCCAGGGAACCTGAGCTAGGCTGGAACCCAGCCTGTTCTGGGTCAGTGGCCCATTTCAGCTCTGAGGTCTGAACTTGCCTCTCCTGCCACTGCTAGGTCTTTCTTTTCTTAGTTGACTTAACAAGTCAGATTTTGAGATTTAACTAAGAATCCGAGGCATTAAACCTAGCTCAGCTACAGTAATCTGGCTGCTGATTCCATGTGGACATGTAACAGCTCCTGCTTTCAGAGCAGGTCCTGGGGATCACGGTGATATGGGGCAAGTTTCTCTTGTGCTTGAACCTTTTCTTCTGCCCTTTTCAAACTAGTAACAGGGAGGTACCATACTGACAAGTTTAATCCCTCTGGGGCTTTAGAAACTTGTTTTGCTGCTCCACTTCAACCCCATGAGGAGATGATACATCTTAAAGGATGGGCAGAGGGAGAGGGCGATGCCAGATACATGAGTTGAACTATAGAACTTCAGGTCTTGAGGTAAGGAAAGGAAAATTCATGCTGTAAGCATCCCCTGATGAAATTCACAGACCGGTCACTGTGGTCATTTATCCAGCTCATGTTTACAGAACCCAGGACTGTTGATAAACAACAAAAGCCTTCACCTTTGAAAATTTTCTGTCCCCAACTTTGTCTGTGGTTTTGCTGTAAGGTCCCAGGCCTGCAGACAGGTGTTCTTCCAAGGGCCAATATTTTTTTAGGAAGGTTGGAGTAAAGATGCACTGATACCTAGTTCTATTCCAAATCCTCTTTTTTTGTTTTTATTTATTTATTTTATTTTATTTTATTTTATTTTATTTTATTTTATTTTATTTTATTTTTGAGACAGGGTCTCAGTCCACCACCCAGGCTGGAGTGCAGTGGCGCAATCTCGGCTCACTGCAACCTTGACTTCCCCTGGCTCAAGTGATCCTCCCACCTCAGCCTCCTGAGTAGCTGGGGCTACAGGCATGCACCACCATACCTGGCTAATTTTTGTATTTTTTATAGAGATGGGGTTTCACCATGTTACCTAGGCTGTTCTCATACTCTCGGGCTCTAGCAATCTGCCCACCTCAGCCTCCCAAAGTTCTGGGATTACAGGCGTGAGCTACTGCGCCCTGCCTTTAAATCTTCTTTACTGGAATTGTAGACACTTAAGCATTCTCATTCCTTGTCTGCAGGATGAAGGGAGTTGCTGCGGAAGCTTCTCTGCCATCAGGCAGCCTGTAACTCCTGCCATGCCAGCACGCTTCCCATCCGTACTCACAGTCTTCCGGAAGGAATGTCAGCAAAGCTTGTCATAACACACCTTAGTGGTTACCAGGCCTTGGCCTGTCGGTGTGTCTGGACATGAGTTACCGACTGTGGGCAGGAAGTCTGACGTTTCAGATGTGTGATTTACACATGGTGTCTGCAATGCACAGAATTGCAGTATCACCCTGTCATCTGACATCATTAACTGCATGTTGTGGCATTTGGTCAAAGGCCACACATAAAAGTGCTGAAGAAGAAATTTGCTTTGATTTTCTAGGTGGTAGGGCCAGTGTGCTGGCAATCAGGTCACTTGCTTCTGAGGCACCCGCGTTCTGTCCCATCTGCTCTGTTTCTGCTATTTTTGCAAAGAAAGGGTCCTTGGCATTACTGTGCTCAGATTCGCCTATCCTTGCACCCACACCTGTCTCTATAGTTCACACAGGGTAGGTTGGTTTCCTCTGTGCTGGGCAGACCTGATTTCCCTCTTCTCCATCAAACTAGGCATGTTTTAAATGGGAAATGGAAAGGAGGCTGCGGCAGCAGCCTGGCAGTGGCCCCAGGGTAGGTTTTCCAGAATATGATGCTGTTAGGACGAGATCACTGGGGCTGGGGTGCCAGAGACCCCATTCAGGTGCAAAGAAGCAAGTGTATGGTTGAGGGATTTTCTATCCAGCACCAAATAGGAATGGAATGGAGTGTTCTGGAAAGAGGCAAGATTTGTGCTGAAATCCTGGGGTCATGGTCTTAGAAAGTCTTAGAAAGCTAAGTGGGTTATATGGCTGGGGGCAGATCCCTGAACCTCCCTGGGCTATGGATTCTTTCTACAAAGTGCTGATGTCCCTCCCTCCTGGTTGTGGTCATAGAAATTACATGGAAGCGTGCACTGCTGTGCTCAGGTCATGATCAAGAACACAGGTGCTGGTGACTTTCATGATCTGTTGATGTGGATCCAGTGGCTCTTCTGGTAGGAGGGTCATCACCCTGCTGGAAGATTACAGCACTGTAACCAGAGTTCACAGTTCTTTTGTTCACTCGTGTACATAAACGTAGGTGCTCCTCAATTTAAAATGGGATTATGTGCCAGTAAGCCTGTCCACAACTGAAAATATCATAAGTTGAAAATGCATTTAATACATCTAACCTAGCAAGCATCGTCACTTAGCCTAGCCTACCTTAGACATGCTCAGAACACTTACATTAGCTTACAGTTAGCCAGAATCATCTAACACAAAGCTTTTTATTACAAAGTGTTGAACGTCTCATAGATCTGTTGAGTACAATGTACTGCAGAATGCACTGGTAATAGCATGGCTGGGGGCGGCAGCTCACCGCAGCTGCCCAGCATCACCAAAGCCTATTGAACCACATATTGCTAGCTCAGGAAAAGATCAAAATTTAAAATCTGAAGTACACTTTCTACTGAATGTGCATCACTTTCTACCGTCACAAAGTGGAGAAATCCCAAGATGAACCATCAAAAATCTGGGACCACCTGTACTAAGGAAGCTCTAGTTAAGTGGGGGTTTGAGCAAAGACAAGGCTGCACAGTTCCTACCTCTTGGTGCTTCTGTAGAGCTGGAGTGAGAAGGGTGAAATAAAGGCTTACCAGGGTTTACATAAAAGGCCAAGGAAGGCAGCGTGTCCTGCAGCCACTGGGTCAGGGTGTAGGCTGAAAACCATCAGGGTTTGCTCCACCTCCGGGGGAGCAAGTACGATGGTCCCTTTGACAGGACAGGGTTTCCCTGTTTAATCTGAGCTATGGCTCATAAATCAGTCAAATAAAAAAATCCAATCTTGAAAATGTCTAGCATTTTCAAAAATTCTGGGATTCAGTGAAGACAATGGGAGCCATAAATCAGCCAGACACCAAGTCGTGCCGACTCCCCCTGGGCAGGAGCACAGAGTCCAGGCCAGGTTGGCCCTAGGGGCTGGGGAGAGGTCACCTGACCTGAAATGGACTTTGCTGAGGAGACAATGAGAATGATCTCAAGGTCTTTGCTGAGGAGGCAGACTTCTTTAAGTGTTCCCAATTAACTCTCTTTGCAAAATTTTTAAAAATAGAATCTCTTGATTTCTTTTTTTAAAAATTTCCTACTTTTATTTTAAGTTCAGGGGTACATGTGCAGGATGTGCAGGTTTGTGACATAGGTAAATGTGTGCCATTGTGGTTTGCTGCAAAGATCATCCCATCACCCAAGTATTAAGCCCAACATCCATTAGCTATTCTTCCTGGCGCTCTCCCTCCTCCCACCCCTCTGACAAAAGGCCATACACCTACAACCATCTGACCTTTGACAAACCTGACAAAAACAAGCAATGGGGAAAGGATTCCCTATTTAATAAATGGTGCTGAGAGAACTGGCTAGCTGTATACAGAAAATTAAAAACTGGACTCCTTCCTTACACCATGTACAAAAATCAATTCCAGATGGATTAAAAACTTAAATGCAAAACCCAAAACTATAAAAACCCTAGAAGAAAACCCAGGCAGTACCATTTAGGACATAGGCATGGGCAAAGATTTCATGACAAAAATGCCAAAAGCAATTGCAAGGAAAGCAAAAATTGAGTCTCCTTGATTTCTAAGTGAGCTACCGGTGACTGGGCAGACACATGCATTCGAGGTCTTAGAATCATCTCATTTCTGTTTCTCCTCAATTGCCAAGTGTTACTTTCATTTCCACTCTGCTCTGCAAGATGACTCCCCTGTGACCTGCTGCATTCACAGAAAAGAGGCAAAAGGAAAAAGATCACTTCAGGACAAAGCAGCCACAGCCAGGCCCATGGGCCATGCCTTCTCAGGCCACCCCTCACTCCTGTGACCCCAAAGGGTAAAACAGCTTCCCATCCCCCGCCCCAGGACACCTGTTTAGAAAGCTTATGAGGAAGATCTGTTCCTCCTTTGAGTTGCTGTAGACAGGTACACTCATCTTTGGGGAGGGTTCTCTTTTGTTCTCCCCTTCACCAGCTCACCCCTTCTTGCCAGGGAAATAGAATTGCTTGTCTGGGTGGATAAGCATGCCTTGTGTTTACAGGACACCTCTCTCCTGAGGAGTGTAAGCCTTTTACATAAAGGTGCCCTCGGGCATCACAGCTGGTATAGTAATAGCTGCATTCTCTGGGTCTTTCAGGAAGCAGACACCACTGTGCCTGCCCATGGTTCCTTGCTCTTACCACATTGGTGCACACTGGCCACATTCTGCCTGCTCACACCTGCATTCCTTTGCCCAAAGGCTTTCTTTGGAGGCCAGAGTCCACACTGCTTTGTGCATGGCAGGCTGGAAATGTCAGAGAATTAACGACCTCTGGAGCAGCCCTCAACCAATGGCTGATGGGAGGTGGTGTACAAATACCCCAGCTCCCTCATCCCTACAGGGGGCTGACTCTGAGGCACGAGTCTGCACTGTCTCCTAGAGTTGCCCAGTAGGATTATGCTCCACTTGCCCACAGCCATAACCTGCTGGATAACACAAGCTTTATGGGCAGCCTTTCCCCCTCTCTCTATTCCTTCTTCCTCTATCTTCACCTCCCAAATACATTACTCTCAGTGTCTGTTCAGTGGGATTGAAAGCCAAGACATTTACTTGCATCCTTTTGTAGGTGGGCGATGGTAGACCTAGGGAAGAAGTAATTAGCCATGATGAGGAGGCTGAGAGACAAGACCCAAGAAAGACCAGAGCCAGGGGGAAACACTGGCATCTCTGCCTGGGGAGGCTGTGCTACCTCCTCATCCCTAGTACTGATGTTCACGACTCTTCCAGAAAAGCCGAGTTAGCTCTCCTCATGCTGATTTCCTGAGACTTAGCTGCTCTTATTACCAGATATGAAATCAAGAGTGGGAGACACCACATGTACTCCTTTGCCACAAAGAGGCCCCCTTGCAATCTCCAGTCCTAGTCTCTTGCTTGTCCCACAGGTAGAAGGGTAGGTGTGGGGAGGGAATACTGCTGTGCACCTGAGACACTTAGTTTTAGTGGGAAAAGACAGCACAAGGACACGTGGGATGCTCTTCAGGGCTGGAAGAGAGGCTGATGGGGGTGGGGCAGTCATGTCCCCAGAACTGCTGTCCTGTCACTTGCAGGGTTACAGCCTGCCTGCGAGGGGAGATAAATATTCTGTCTTGTTCCATGCTGAATGGCTGCCTCGGTCTAAATGATGCTTTTTTTTCTCCTTTTGAGATAGCATCTTTACTTCCACACAGTTCTTCCCCTTGTTACCAGCATTTTCCAGACCTCAGAAGAAAGTTCGAGAAGGATCCTGGTCTTGGTGATGTGAGAGCTCCTTTGTGCCATGTTTTAGAGCCTCTGCTTCTTTTTGCCTGCCAGTGAGTTCACTGCACTGCTGTTCTTTGCCTCTTCCTGCTCTAAACTTTACAATTGGTTTGCCAGGGTGAGGCTCTGTTTCCTTTAGGGAAGTAGAAATAGAAGATCAAAGTGAATCTAAAGGAACCATGGACTCTACTGTCCCATGAGCAGGACACTGGTAGGGGCTGGCTGGGCTTAATTTTTGCTCCGTAAATATGCATGTGTGTTTATTACTTAAAAAGTGTATCTCAAGTAAGCATTTTCCAGCAGAACTGCCTTATACATAAATCAGTGCCTCAGACCTATTGCGATTCATAGGCTCTGCACCTGAAACTCAGATGTGGCTCAAATGCAGTGGTGTGATACCTACCACAGCAACTCGCCGCTGCTCACTCTTCCTCACTCACAGTCAGCCCTGCCTCATGGCAAGCTCCTCTTGGGTCCTTGGTGGATGCATTGAACTGATACTTCTGCGGGTGTGGCTTCAAGACATGCTAGAGATGCAGAAATTAATAAAATAGACTCCTTGCCCTGGAAGCACCAGAGTCTAGGAGGCAGAGTGCTGTTTAAAATACTCAACAGTGACAGAGTACCTGGCCCTAGGTTGGATGCAGTGAGATTTTAGCTCTTGGAGTTAATGGGCCATGGGGGAGGCGGTGTTGAGGGGTCCTGGTGGAGGAGGCAGCAGGAAAGCACAGGAGTGGGCACTGGAGGCATTTGGAGGGCAGTTATTTACCAGCTGGTACAGAGCATCTTGGTATTTTAACAGCTGGTACACCTGTACATGTGTACCCCAGCTGGCCTGTGCCCATTTGACCATGGGGTCATGGGACGCATACCTAAGGAATCAGTGCACTGGGTTTGTCAAAGGGTGGTGGCTCCCTGCCAAGCATGGGGAGGTCGCAGAGCTTCCTCCTAAAACTCCTAGGGCAGCTCTTCTAGACCTGCTCTACTTCTCAGCAGCTGCAGCATGGATGGGGAAAGCTGGATCCATACAGCTTGCTCACCTCTAATTACGTTTGCTTGAATCTGTTGGCAGGTCAAGGCTGTGCCTGGAGCCCAGTGTGTTTAAATAAAAGCTGAGCTGAAGACGCGCCAATGTCCCTTGTCCTGCTCTGTAGCTGTTTTGTGGCTTTGTTTTCTGTCGGGCGCCGACGGTCCAGGCTTTGTCATTTGGAGAAGTGGTGTGCATGTGTTTTTGTTTCACTCAAAAGATGGTAATTTCCTAACATCATAAAGGTCGAGTTATGAAATTAACATGAGGGGATGCCTGAGTGGAACTTAAAAGATTATTTCCACCTCATTTAAGAGATTGATGCTGAATTGCTATTCTGGAGCTCTTGGGTTTGGGCATCTGCTCATTTTTCTGGGACAGATGTTGTCCCTAGCTTTGTTCATGGGATGGTCATTCTGCTTGGAGTGTGCTGACCTCATGGACACAGTTCATGTCTGGCTTTATGTCCACATCCTATGCAGGGGCTTTATCACATCTGCTTGGTCTCTCTCTCTCTGTTATGCATTATGGACACACACATGCATGTTACATTACGTTACACATATTTTATTACTATTCAGTTGTCGCTCGGTATCTTCAGGGGATTTGTTCCAGGACCCCTCACAGTTGCCAAAATCCGAGGGTGGGTGCCCAAATCCCTGATATGATCCTCCCATATGCTTTAAGTCATCTCCAGATTAATTGTAATACCTATTGCAATGTAAATGCTATGTAAGTAGTTGTTTTACTGTATTGTTTAGGGAATAATTACGAGAAAACAGTCTGTACATGTTCAGTACAGATGCAATTTTTAAGATATTTTCAATCTGAAGTTGGTTGACTCTGTGGATGTGGAATTCATGAATGTAGAAGACTGACTGTATACAGAATGTGTGTACATGTACACACACATATATATGTATTGAATATGTGGATATATATGTATACATACATACATATGCATGTATTGTGTCTATATGCAGTTAGTCCTCTGTATCCACGGTGAATTTGGAATCCACAGATATAGAGGGCTCACTGTGTGTGTGTATATATATATGTATTTATATATATAATTTACTTTTTTGTGTGAAAGCGTTTGACAGTAAGCTGCAGAAAGACATCATGACTCTTTGGCTCTAAATACTTCAGCCTGATCTAGAAACAAAGCCATTATATTCCTGCTCATAACCACAGTGTCATTATCACACTCAAGACATTGGAGCAGTAACCTTAAGAAGTTTAAAAACAATACAAGTAAGGTTTTTGTCACATTAAGCACTTGAGTGATGGAGCGAACACAGCGATTACTCATTATGGACTAAGCGTTTCCCAAGTCCCTGGCATGGGCTGAGCACTGCACTTAGCACTAAGGAGGCAACAGGCAGAGGAAAAACATGAATCGGTGAAGACAGTGAAAACATGTGAAGGAAAGGAAAGGAAACTTAGAGAAGCTCATGCTACGTAACTTCAATCTTGGAAAATCTTAGAACATTAAAAGCCACTTCTATCTCTAGACTGTTAGATCATCCAGAAATCAATACAAATCATCTTAAGATTATCTTATGTCTTAGGTCTCTAAGACACTTGTTACATTTAAATGGGCTTAAAATAATTAAAACCATATGTTAAGGGAGAGTGGATAGAAGATGCTGTAAAGTTTTGTATAGTTACCTTCCAAGACGTTGAATAAATACAGTTCCATTTTCTGGTCAAATTAATGTCAATAATGTCTAATATATTCCTATATTCTTATTTCTCCAAATCATCTCCAAAAGTCTTCTATAGTTTTATTTTTTAAATCTAGAATCTAGCCAAGGTTCCCACATTGCATTTTAGAAAATCTCCTGCCATTTTCTTTTTCTTCCAGCCACTGACATTTGGATGCATCCAGGCCTGTTGACTTGCAGAATGCCCCATGCTCTGAACTTGTCTGATTAACGGATTACCTCTCTCTGATTAGATGCAGGATGAACATCTTTGACATCAGGGGTGCGGTGCCCTTCCCAGTGCATCACTTCAGGAGCCACACGATGTCAATATCTCTCATATTTGTTAACTCTGACTGCTTGGTTATGAAGTGTCCACCAGGT
This sequence comes from Homo sapiens, assembly GCF_000001405.40. Classification (NCBI taxonomy): domain Eukaryota; kingdom Metazoa; phylum Chordata; class Mammalia; order Primates; family Hominidae; genus Homo; species Homo sapiens. Next base: position 19,322,134 of record NC_000020.11, read on the forward strand.
TGATGCTTTGTCTATGTAAGGTGCTCCTGCTTCTCAACAACCTTTCCCTCTGTGGCTTTAGTATCCTTGGATCATCCTCTCCTAGATCTTTATTATAGCAGGGTGTGCAAAATGGTGATTTTCCTATTCAATCATTTCTTCTACGTTAGCTGGTATTCCTCTCTAAATATACCCCTCCCCTTTTAGTATCATTATGGATTCATGGATTGAGCCTTCTTTCCTTCCTTCCTTCCCTTCCTTCCTTCCTTCCTTCCTTCCTTCCTTCCTTCCTTCCTTCCTTCCTTCCTTCTTTCCTTACATCCGTTTTTAATCCATTACCTTCATTGTTCTTTTTGGTTTTCAAATTGTCCCAATTTTGGACATAAGAGCCCATTTAAGCTGACATGGTCCTAACAGAATTTCCAAACTCACCTTTTTCTTTCCTGTGTGGGTATTTTTGACTTTCAAAGGCTTGGGATTTCCCTCTAGCCTGCATCTACTTGTTCTGTGAAATTTAGTTAGGTTATAACAGTCTATCTTGTAATTATCGAGCACTGGTCTTAAACACATAGTGCTCCCTCATGTTCACTCTGCACACACAGGAGATGCAATTTGCACACCAGACCTTGGCTCACAGCCACAAGCTCCTGGAATGCAGCAAACCCAGGGCCTGTGGTTAAGCCCTTCTCTGAGCTTGTAAGGATGAACTCTTCTTATCAGCTGGAGCTGGCAAAAAGACGGTAGACATAAAGACAGTGGGGCTGGAAGGAACCCATTTTGGATGAAGAAATTTTCCTTTAAGAAGAAATATAGGCCGGGCGCGGTGGCTCACGCCTGTAATTCCAGCACTTTGGGAGGCCGAGGCGGGCGGATCACGAGGTCAGGAGATCGAGACCATCCTGGCTAACACGGTGAAACCCCGTCTCTACTAAAAATACAAAAAATTAGCCGGGCGTGGTAGCGGGCGCCTGTAGTCCCAGCTACTCGGGAGGCTGAGGCAGGAGAATGGCGTGAACCCGGGAGGCGGAGGTTGCAGTGAGCCGAGATCGCGCCACTGCACTCCAGCCTGGGCGACAGAGCGAGACTCCGTCTCAAAAAAAAAAAAAAAAAAAAAGAAGAAGAAATATAACCTTCTTTATTCTTCAAGCTATTAGAGCATTGAGAATAGAGCTTTGTAATTATAAGCAGAATGACCTGGAGCAAAATTTATGCATGGACTAGCGGAGGTTAGAGTGTGAGCAGGTCCATGCCACATAAGCTTTTGGATGACCCAGCCTGAAAATGTTCCAGATTTATCCTAGGACACACAGGTTTCAACTATAGTGGGTGTTTCTGGCAAGGTTGATCATTTCTTTTATATTTAAGATATTTTAAAATATAAGGGTACCTCAAGAACCAATGGAATAAGGCCTTGTGGAGCAAACAGGACTAGACCTTCATATCCAGACAGCTGTCCCCCCAGCACACATCCCTAGCCTGCTGCAGGGAAGTCCTCACTGTCAGTTTTCCCCCTGTGAACCCCACATCCAGTGGGTTCACCAGGCAGTTAATATGGGAGGCCAAGACCTAAGGGGGACTTTAGCTACTATTTATACATTTTATGGAACCTTCTATCAGAGAAGTGCTGGAAGCCACACTGACCCATGAGGAAAAGTGAAAGCTGGAACTTCATTTGCTGAGATGGCAGAAGAATAAGCTTTAGCTGGAAAATTGTTCCTTTCCATTACTCAGTTTAAAAAAGTTTTTTTGATAGCTCTGCAAACCATTTAATTGATGTTATTATCATCAGCAGCATCATTAGCATTTCAAAAAAGTCTGCTAAATTAAGAATATTTGCTTTCTAGTCTGTCATAGATAAGAAGAATACCTGCCTTGCAAGGTCGTTGATTGGTACATGAGATCACACACAGGGAGCTCTCATCACAGTGCCCGGCGCAGGATGAGAGCCCAGAAAACGCTGCTGGTGATGACTGAACAAGCTTGGTTGCTGCCATGATGTGGCCTAGGAACACTTCCAAATGAAAAATGCTCTTCCCAAGCCATTAAATAATTCTTCCTGTTTCAGTCATGTGAAATCTCCTGGCTGTTCACTGTGGCGGATGAGAAGTCACAAGTGGATGTTGGGGGGCAAGTTTGACTGTCCCTTCCCCTCATTAGAGAAGGGAAAATTAGCCAGAATCCTGCCTTCCTTGGTGCTAAAACTTCACTGGATTGGTTTGCAACCATTTTTGATTTGAATATTTTTAACTGCAGTGAGATTGGGTTACACAGATACTATCGTGTCTAAATTATACATCCTGTGGCATTTATCACAAGACATTTTCACTGCTCTAACAGATGAGTGGGAAGTTCTGCTTTTAAGAACGTATCTTTCTCAGGTTGGCACTAAGTGGTGTCACAGTCCCATGTCCCCCAGGGTTGTCCTGGCCTTGGGGTTCACTGTGCTCTTTGGCCTCAGCCACGCTTCTCACTGCTTCTTCTGACTTTGCGCCATGAGGGTTTGACATTTTTACCCATCCGTATAATCAAAGGCAATCAAGTTGTTGCTTCATTAATGACGTTTCCTTAGGCTATGTCTATAGAATACCAATTATATGGCTGGAAATTGGGCTAAGTCAATTATCTTATTTTTCCCAAAGAGTTTAACACAATCTGAGATTTGGATTAATATTGTGACACATGCCGTCCTGAGAAATGTCTCAGACTTTTGTTCAACGAGTTAATCCTCCTGCTATCTTCACTTTTCTTTTCTTTTTTTCTCTCAAATTTTATTACAAAATATTCACTAACAATACAAAAATCCAATGTCTTCACTTTTCAATCGTTACCCTGGCAGTTGACATTCAAGAACCACAGCTCTGCTGTTATGACAGCTTGGAAGGTGAATGGACGGTAGATGGTAGAGCCTTTTTTTTTTTTTTTAATGACACTATCTCATTCTTACTCATGTTTGTCATTCTCTTGCACTCCTAAAATACCTTAGGTAGCTTTTCGGTCAGTGGGGTCACCTCCTTAGGAGAGAGAAGGAACCCAGGCTGGCTACAGTGGCTCACGCCTATAACCCCAATACTTTGGGAGGCTGAGACAAGGGGATCACTTGAGGCCAGAAGTTCCAGCCTGGGAAACATGGTGAGACCTTGTCTGCACTACAAAATAATAATAATAATAATAATATTAATAATAATTACCTGGGTATGGTGGTGCATCCCTGTAGTCCCAGCTACTGGTGGGGCTGAGGCAGGAGGATCCCTTGAGCCCAGGAGTTCAAGGCTGCAATGTGCTGTAATGGCATCACTGCACTCCAGCCTGGGTGACGACCGTGAGACCCTGCCTCAAAAAAATAAACAAACCAACAAGAAAGGGAATCCAGACCACAGCCTTGGGTGCTGCATTGGATGAATAGTCCCTCCTGTTCTCAGAAGCGATGGTGGTTTCTTCCAGTGCCCTGCTCCTTCCTGACCACCTTCATGGGAGAGGAGGCAGCTACCAGGGCCCTAGGATGTCCAGGTTGAGTGTTCCTTGTCTGAAGTACTTCAGACCAGAAGTATTTGGGATTTGGAGATTTTTTTGTTTTTTTGTTTTTGGATTTTGGAATATTTGCAAATATGCATATATATATATGTGTGTGTGTGTGTGTGTGTATACATACATACATATATATATACATATATATATATATATATAGAGAGAGAGAGAGAGAGAGAGAGAGAGAGAGAGAGAGAGAGAGGGAGACATCTGGAGGAGGGGGACCCAAATCTAAACATGAAATTTATTTATGTTTCATATACACTTTATACACATAGTCTGAGGGTAATTTTATACAATATTTTAAAGAACTTTATACACGAAACAACGTTTTGACTGCAACCAGTCACATGAGGTCAGGTGTGGTATTTTCCACTGGTGCTTCATGTTGGTGCTTATAAAGTTTTGGATTCTAGAGCATTTTGGGTATTGTATTTTAGGATTAGGGATGTTGAACCTGTATTTCTCTCTGAGTGTGTTGTTCTGCCTGGCACGTGAATTCTTCCTTTGGCATCCAGGGCCTGTAAGCAACAGATGGGGTATGCAAAGGGGGTAGTGCTTCATGAAGGGCCCCCATTACCGAGATGTGGGCAGGACAAGGGAGCCAAGAGCAGATGGTGAAGCACCCAGAGGACCAACAGTGAGGGGCCATCATCATCCTCTGCCCAAGGGAGCAAAGGAGGACAGGGACGAGCTGTGGATGCTGGGGACTTGATGGGGACTATGGGCTGGGAGAGAACTACGAGAATAACAATCCTGACTACTCTCTTCTTTCACTCTTTAACTTCCTGCCATTGGCCAAATCCACCTGGAAGCCAGAGGGGAAAGGAGCCAGGTCCGGCCTCCTGGGGCACAAACTAGGGGCAGTGGGTGTGTAGAGCTGGATCAGGGTAAAAAGGAGAATTTCTAGCACATTCAGTTTTTTCTTTCTTTTCTTTTCTTTTTTTTTTTTTTTCTTGAGATAGTGTCTCCCTTGGTCTCCCAGGCTGGTGTGTAGTGATGCAATCATAACTCACTGCAGCCTCGACCTTCCAGGCTCAAGAGATTCTCCTGCTTCAGTCTCCAGAGTAGCTGGGACTATAGACACATGCCACCACACCAGCTAATGTTTGTACTTTTATTTTTTGTAGCGACAAGGTCTCACTGTGTTGCCTAGGCTTCCCTCAAGCTCCTGGCCTCAAGTGATCCTCCTGCCTCAGCCTCCTAAAGTATGTTGTCCTTTTTAAAATACAGAACAAAGCTTGTTTCCTTTGTTTTACAGAAATAGATTATTTGGAAATCCAGGAAAAGTAGATCCTGCCAATAATTAGGTCCTGTTTAGAAACTCATTAGCAGAAGACTTTGCTCTGGGAAAGAGTTGCGGCCTTCCCATTTTATGAAGGTTTACTGTTCTCTACATTTAATTTAACTTTTTTATTTCTTTAATTTAAAAAAACGTACTAATATTTAGCTACCAAGTATTGGATCATTTTATCCTGTTCTGTTTCAAACACCTGGAAGGTAATTTCTAAAGCTCTTTTCTCTGGTGATTACTGGAGAGGTAGATTACTGGAAATGCGTTGAGCTTGTCCAGCTATTGAGAAGGTCACTGTTGACTCCCGTGTGTCCTCACTCCATGGCGGGGCAGGGAGAGTGACGGAGCAGCAGGCAGCCACAACTGCTTTGTTCCCAAATGTCAAGGCATTGGGTTGTCAATAAAAAAACGTTCTTTCATTTTCCCATGCAAAGTGCCCTCAGGTAGAGATGCCAACGGATGGAACATATGAGCAACAAATGATTTGTTAACTTCACAGACTCTTGCCAGAATAAACAAGAGAAGTGGCAGTGAGTGCTCTACCCAGAGCCCCCTCTGGAATCTCAGCATGAGACTTCACACATTACAACCCTTCTGACAAGGGTTGTACAAGGTCTCCACATCTTTGCCTCAAGTGGAGCTGGCTCCAGGACATGTGGTTCTGCTCTGATGACTGTCTGTTCCATTTGCATGTGGTCTTTGTCGTCATATCATTGTTAGATGTTACTGACGTGAGCTTGTCTGCTCCCAGCCTCAGGACGCCTGTGGCTTTCTTGGTTTCCCCTACTTTCATGGTCTGATGCATGGGTGCATCCTTCTTGTTTTGTCTCCATTTCCACAAGATTATGTAGAAGCGCGTTCATTCATTCAATGTATATTTATTGGACACCCACTGTGTGTCACTCATTATGTGTTCTGGAACATAAGGACAAGGAACAAAGAAGGAAAAGTCCTTCCATGCATGGAGTTTCCATTGGGGTGGTGGGGGCTGGTGGTGAAGACAAACAAAAACATGCACAAATAAATGTAAAGTATGCTCGAAAGTGATACAGAAAAAAAATGAACAAGGTGAGAGGGATGACAAGTTGGGGGGAGTTTGGAGGGCTTGCTTTTTAAGGCCAAGGTTGAGGTGACATTTGAGCAGTCTCTGAAGGAGGGAGGGAGGGAGCCATGGAGAGTTCTGAGGAAGAGCATCCAGGCAGAGGGGCAGCAAAGGCCAGGGATGGAAGCACGCTTGGTGTGTCCAGAGAATGGCACAGAGGGTCAGTGTGGCTGGAGCAGAATGAGGGAGGAGGAGAGGAGTTGGAGGGACGTCAAAGGTCGTGGGGAACCAGGTCTCTTAGGGTCTTGGGGGCTGGTGGAGGTCTTCTGCATTCACTGTGGAGTGGAGAGCCGCCTCTTGCTTCCTGTGACCAGGCATACATTGTTAAAGGATCAACCAGAATGTTGGATTGATAATAAAATGTAGTGGGCAAGAGTGGAAGGTGAAAGACTCCAGAGAGTATTATAATAATGGTGGCTCAGTTCAGAGCAGTAACAGGGGCAGGGTGAGGCGGTATCTGATTCCGGACATGGTTTGCCTTCTTGCAGGATTGACTGGACATGGTTTGAATTGGTGACAACACCCTGAAGGAGTGGATGTGGGTGAGAAAGAGCAATAGAAGACTCTGCAATTCCTGGCCTGAGCAGTTGTAGGAGAAGGTGAGGGGCGGGTGGAGTGAGCTTCATGGGAGACCGGGTGTCCTGTGTTGGAAGTGCTCATTTTGAGATGTGTCCTGGGTGTCCCAGTTGAGATCATGAGTAGGATGATAATAAGAGTGTGTGCATCTGGAGTTCAGGCTGCAGGTCAAGGCTGGAGATACCAAGGGGGGACTGGGAGGAAGACAGAAGCTTATATTGACAGCCATGAAGTGGAGGGGATTCCCCACAGGAGCAAGCGTAAGCAGAGAGAGGACTAAGAGCCCAGCCCAGGCTCTGCGAGGAGCCAGCAGAGGAGGCTCGGAGGAGCAGCCATCGAGGCGGGAGGAGGATCAGGAGAGGTGGCCTGAAAGTTGGGCACCAGGGAGGCGGGAGTGAGCAGTGGGTTGCAGGCTGTGGATGCATCAGGCGACTCCAAGGCCATTAGTGACATGGACAGGAAGAGTTGTGGTGCTGGTAGGAACAAAATTCTGATTGTAATGGGTCCAAAAGAGGATGGAAGGGGAAGGATTGGAAGCAAAGCAGATTGATAACTCTTTTTAGTTTTGCTACAGAAAGGTGAAGTAGTATAGTAGTTCATAGGGAAAATGGGAATAAGATTTTTTTTTTACTGGTTAGAAATAAAACGAAAGTATAATAATAAAAAAAGAAAAAAGCTTGTTTTTATGCTAATGAAATGGTTTCCTGTTTACCTGAATGTATTGGCTTTACAGAGTCTTTTTTCTATTCATATTAACTGATCTGAATCCATTTCTTGCACTCCTTCATTACATGAGCATACCTTCCCTCCTATCAGTAGAGCCGGTCATTATTCCTATAGGAAACACAACGAGATGCTCTCAAGTCCAGTTTAGTTCAGCTATTCCTTGGGCACTTATAAATCATTTCATATGCTCAAGAAAGAAGTTTGTCACATTACTTTGGTCATTATAATGTTTGATTGTTTTATTCTATCATGAAGCTATGAAGGCTATTTTGTATGCAGTATTATTGAATTTGTTGCCTAGTTTGCAGGGCAGTGAGATATATTGTGGATTTATTCTTCTGGGAACAGATAAGATCCCTCCTTCTGAATCTTCTGCCCCAGAAATATTTTTCCCCCTTCATAGCTAAGTGACTCAGGTGAGTTAGTTTGTGGTTGAAAACATGTTCCTTGATTCCAAGTTTGCTGTTTGCTTCATCTCATCTACTTAATACACAGTGAGTGCTAGCCTTTTACCTGTGCTATTTGAAGGTCAAGGCTTTGACCTTGGCAGCATGTGGGGACCCTCTGTGAGCTGATGTATGTGAAATTTTGCTTGTTCCAGGTTGGAGGCCTGCCATGTTACTGGACACCCCTCGAGCTGGTTGGAATTAGTTTTAATCATCTGCAGTCTCTACACATGATTTTAACTCAGAAGGGCTCCTTAACACACATCACAGACCATTTTACACCATGTTTATTGCAGCAAGAGTCTGGGGCTAACCAGATGACACACTCGTCTTCTGAAACAAAATCGTGCCTTAGGACGGAACCATCTTAGTTGCTTGCAGGGATGCGGTGCTGTTGTCTCCTGGCCAGAGGTTTCCCTGGGCAGGGCTGGGCTGAGGAGGGCCTCCAATCGGTGGGTCTGGACCTGCTCAGACTCCTCAGGGCTGGTTTCTCTTTGTCCCAGAGGAGGTGGTCAGGGACAGTGAAGAGCTGTGGCTGAGCCAATTAAATGGCCCCCAGCTGTCCAGGGCCCTGATGTGGGAGAAACGCTTATTTCCCCATTAAAGGGGAAAAAGGGCATCTTTGAAGCAACCAGGATTTTATGAATGTACTTAAAAATTATCCTCTTTTATACAGAAGCCATCTTGAAAGGGCTCTCACTGGCCAAATATGGTATATTTCAGGAGAGGAGATAAAATATAAATCTTGGGAAATAAGAATCCATGATTTCATACTTATAATAAATAGATAAAGCAGTGGAGAAGCAAATGTGGAAGGAGGAGGGCTCTTGCTTTCAGTAGAACACTGACTATTAACTGCTAAATGTGGAGAAGGTGCTGAGTTGGAAACTCATAATTTTGTAACTATCACAGTAAAGATTGGTCTGATAAAAGTCATCAGTAGATGCAAAATCCATGGGAAAGTTTTGATGAGGATATTTGCATGGTCTTCAAATGCCTCTCATAAGTGTACAGTGGGTAAATATGACAGCACCTTGACTGAAACTTCCTTGTTAAAGTTAACATCACCAAGGAGACCGATGGTCATGGTGCCCTCCACATGTGATACACCTTCCTTTCTGCAGTATTCTGGCAAGGAAGGCATGACTTGAATCTAGTTATGAGGAAGCACCAGAAAAACCCCCAATGAGGAACATTCTATTGAAGCAAGGGACTGTGTTCTTCCAAAATGCTGAAGTTGTGAAAGACAGGAAGGCTGAGGAATAGCTCCACATTAGAGGAGACCAGGGAGGTGGGACAGCTAATTAACCACACCTGAATCAGATCCTGTACTGGAGGGAGAAGTGCTTTAGTGCATATTATCGGGTCAATTGACAGTTTGAAAATGGACAGAAGTTTAGATAAAAGAGTTGTATCAGTGATAAACTTACTGGAATTGATGAGTGTGCTGTGGTCATGTTAGGGAATTCCTTTATTCCTGGGAAATAAGCATTGAAGTATTTAAGGGTGAGGGGCAATGATGCTTGCTACCTACTCTAGAACAGTTCAGGAAAAATGGTATAGATAGATGGATGGATGAGTGGTGGACAGATAGGTAGGTAGGTAGGTAGATAGAGTAGATATGATTGATAGATGGATAGATAGGATAGTTGGATGAATGCATAGATAGATGATAGAGAGAGATAATAGATAGAGATAGAAATGATATAGATAGATAAACAGAATGCTAACAAAAATGAGTACAATATTGACAATAGGTGAATCAGGGTAAAGTGTTTATGGGAGTTCCTTGTACGATTGTTGTAATTTTTCTACAAGTTTGAAATTACTTCCCTGCAAAAAATAGAATAAATAAATCAGGCCCCCTTTTTATTGACTGATTGATGCCTTCTTTCAGGATTGATTGGGCATTGGTCCATCTCAGGCCCCATCTTTCATGCTGTGAGCCACACAGACAAGCTCCTGATTCTCATGAAGCTTCCATTCTAGGGGGAGGTGTCAGAATTAAGGAATAAACAAAGAACAATTAGAAAGCATCTGATTTTGATCAGTGTTACGGAAAAAGGGAATGAGGAATAGGTCGTGATGGGGGTCGATGGGAGGCGTCCTTTGGATCAGGAGCCATGGGAAAAGGAATTTGATTGAGGGAAGGAGTCATTCCTATAACCAGCCAAGGAAGAACATTCCAGGCAGAGGGACCAGCCGCTGCAAAGGCACCCAAGCCGGAGGGAGACGGAGGTGCTTGAGGAACACAGAAGGACATTGCAGCTGGGGATTAGGGAGAGAAGGAGAAGAATTGGAGCGTCTTGCAGGGCTGGACCATCTAAGGTCTTGTCTGCCATGGTAAGGAGTTTAGATTTTATTCTAAGTAGCAGAGGGAGTCCATGGAAGGTTGGAAGAATGAAGTGACATTAATGAATTCATGTCTCCATATATCACTCTGATTATTGTGTGGAGCTTGAATTGTAGTGGGACACTGAGCAGGAACAGAAGCCAGTGGGCCACCGCTGTGGCCTCTCTGGGGACACAGCCACCCCCTCAACAGGGAGCAAGGCAGCTCCCTGAGCCCCCTTGCCTTGTTTCCCCTCGCCAGCCCTCACCCTCATGGGGTTGATGTCTTTAGGAGTATAGCATGATTCCGGCACACCATCTTTTTTTATTTCTTTTATATCAACACATGTCTTTAGTGAAGTCACTCAATGCCTTTCAGCAACTCTAAAAATTTACCAGGTTTCTTTTTCCAACATTACTTTGACACATGCCAAGAATGACAAAAATGCATCTCTCTTCAACTGACTTCTTTCTGCTGTTGAGCTGCCTTCAGTCTTGAGCACTGGGGAAGAATAAATAGAAACCCAGAATGGGACTGAGGAGACCCAGTTCCACAGGGAGAAAACCACCTTGAGGTTTCAGAAGGGTATTTGGGGGTTCCCAGCGCTCCCTAAAATAGGAGAGGTGGCAAGAGGACCTTGGTCCCATGAACACTCCAGCACTACATGGGATACTCTGAGGACACAGAGGCTGTGGCTTTTCTTGCCTGTTGGTGGGTTCTCTTCTCTGCCTCTATCCTGTGCTACCAGCCACCCTCATTGAGAATTTGGAATTCTTAAGTCTAGGGAGCCAGGACAATTTAGGGAGGATGCTCTAAATAGCTTTCTGGTTTTGTCTCCTCCCAGGGTCAGATGAACTGAGGTTTTTCTTTAGCAGGCTAAAGGGGCTGTGTCTGGGTTCTTGTGGCTAATAGAGGGCTGTTTTGTTGTGGGATCATCCTGCCAGAAACTGGGAGGGCCAGGGAAGTGTCCTTCAAAGCTGTGAGTGATTCTTTAAAGAGGGGCAGTGGTTGTAAACCCTTCACACTTCAAGCCATGTGGCTGTCTGTCTGTTTATCTGTCATCTGTCTGAGGAGTGAGGGGATGTGTAGTGGGACAGTGGGTGTCCCTGGAAAGAAATTTATCCCTGACATCAGTAGTTGTGGTCAGACATTCAGTTGGTTATGAAGAGTGGTACCCTTTTATCTTCCCCCCTGGACTTAATATTTATCTGCCCTAATGCATCTGTTCATTACAACCAGGGTGCTCAAACTAGGGGCTGAGAAACAGATTCTGGTGGGAGCTTCAGTGGCCCCAGCAGATGCAGGAGTCTTAGGGGGAAGTGACAGATTTGGCCTGTTGCAAAGAGCGGTGTGGGAAGAGAAGGGAATTGTTTCACCAAAGCGGTTTGTGGTATCAGTAATAATCAGAGAACTAGGGAGAAACGAAATTTTTTAAAAGAATACATTTTTGTGTGGGAATTTGTATTTCGTTGAGCAAACAATATGTTACTGGTGAGTCCAGTCTTGCTAGTGTGTGTGTGTGTGTGTGAGTGTGTGTGTGTGTGAGAGTGTGTGTGTGTGTGTGCAGTATAACTGATTATTTTACTGCCCTGGGGATTAGGTGAGTTGATGACTGAACACGGTAATTCTGAAAAATGGAGGGGAAGGAGCGACATTAGTATAACGATTGCATATTCTGTTGCCTAGCCTCAGTGCCAGTAAATTGTCCTCCACCACACATGACTTGGTCTTTGATTTTTGAATGTAGCCATAAGGTTCTTAAGCTGGAATAATGTGTGAGGTCAAACTGCCTGTTTCCATTTATGGTGAAAGAAGACAAGAAAAGACATGGTTGTGCATCCTGTGAGTATACTAAAAAAGGGTGGAATTGTACATTTTCAATGGTTAAAATGTATGACAGGTGCATTATATCAGAAGAAAAGCTGTTAAAAAAAAAAAAAGACAGCAAAGAGAAATAGACAAGTGTGACTATGAAGAAATCAAATTGTAAAAGTCACACAGGAAACAAAACATGTAAATGGGTGGTCGTTGTCTCCGTGAGTATGGTCCGTTTATCCTAATGACTTGTTATTGGCCAAAGGTCCTGAGAGCCAGACTGTGGGAATAGCTTTCAGAGCCTGGGATGTATTCCCTTCAGTATTCTCAGTGCAGTCAAATGTTGTCCTTGGAGAGTGGCTTGATTTTTGGAGATAGCTAAAATAATTCAAAAGTGGGTTTGGTAATTAAATAAAATGATCAAACTGAGAAATATCAACACAGTAAAAAAAATAAAGAGTGCTATGAAGCATACAAAAGTATATGAAGTATATCAACACAGTAAAAAAAAAGAATTCTGTAATGTAAGGCAACAGACTTAATTTTTTTCTGAGCTCTCATATATTGATTCCATAAGTGATCATCTTTTTCACTGGTAAAGTTGGCTAGTTTTCAAACACCAAGATTCAGTGCCAACATCAATGTGACTGTCTTACAATTTGTGAACTACCAGTGAAGTTCATTGTCTTAGGTGGGTTCCTAAAGAAGGCAACCCAAGTCAAGCCAATTAAGGGAATTTCAGCAAGCAGGTGATTGCTGTGGGCAGCTGGGACTCATTGCAATTTGGCACCTCTGGGAGCCTCTGTAGGACACGCCTCAGAGCTCTGTAAGCCAGGAAACATGGACGCTGGGGGGCTCATCTGCTGATTCCCACCTGCCATTCGCTGAGCCCTGCTTCTAGGGGTGTTTGTTGGCACTGCTGGCTTGACCCATCCTGCATGTGGGCTGAATGTCCCCTCCCAGCCAGAAACTAAGCATACAGACACAGGGTTAGCATGTCAGTGGTGAACAGCCTCTGCTGTGCCATATGCAGGAGATAGGCACAGAGCACTGCAGCACCTGGTACTTTAGTCTGAATCAGAACTTTCTTTGATGATGGACATATTCTCCCTCTGCACTGTGCAGTAATATAGCTTGAAATAGGACTGGAATATGACTGAAGAACTAAATTTTTAATATTATTTAATTTTAGTTTAATTTTAAATAGCTACATACGGTTATTGGCTACCATCATGGATAGTGAAAGTCTAAATAGAATATTAGAAAATGAATCCCTCAAAGTCTCATAGTCTCAAAGTTAGGAATTAAGAGGGCTAGAATGAAATGAGTGGTGTCCACGGATATATATCCACTGCCCCTTAAATCTTGTCTTTTCTACTTTAGCTGGATGGGTTTCCAGCTTCTCTTAGCCCACAGATAGGACTTTGTGTGCTCAGCTGAAGATAATTGCTAATTAATGAAATTCAACAGTTTTTTCGAGGACCACTGTAGGAAATTGCTGTGGCCCTGCATCCTAGCTCTGCACACAGAGAACAGTAATTGCTGGAGCCTTCAGTGATAAGGAATTCATTCCTGTAGGACTGCCCAAGTGCTTGACTTAGCCCAGATAAAGGCTGCTCAGGTAAATATTGTTGCAAGGGGGTTACTGGAATTATGCCTCCAGCTCAATGCCCATATTTGAAGATAGTAATGGTTAGGCAATTTTGCCTAGTCCTTTCCAGATTCAGTGTATTGACCAGCTCTTGACTTTTAAGGTGAAATAATTGAAGCTGGCAATCAGATCACTGGGTCAAGGGTATTCAGAAGATTATTCACACCTGTTTCTGAAAAGCATCCTGCATGATCAACAATTCATTTTAAATTGAGTTAGCATCAATTAACTTGTATTGAAAATGGGTAATGATGATGTAGAACATACATGACCAGTGTGTGGGATATTTGACTCATTTCATGCCATCTTTCTCCCTTATTTTGCCCAAGACAGACATTGCTAATCAATCACAGTGCCCTTTCATGTGGACCCACCATATAGCCCCTGGGTCTTTCTTAACACAACATCTCTGGTACATAATTGCAAGTCCATCAAGATGAATATGTTCAGTAAGAAATAATTAGTCATTTCTGTCATAACATAACAATGGGTGATTCAGATATCACTTAGAAGTAAGACTTTAATAGACTACTTGTTGTTTCTTAACTCCAGGGAGTGAGGGCACCAGCATTACTGTGTATTTCCCCTCTTCTCTCTCTGTCCTTTAGGCCAGGGCTCGGGAAACTACCCCCGTTTTTGTGAATAAAGGTTTACTGGACATAGCCCATAGACACACCTGTTGGTTTATGTGTTATCTGTGGCTGCTTTTGTGGTAGAACAGTGCATTCAAGACTGTTTGACCTGCCAAGCCTAAAAGATTTACTACCTTGCCCTTTATAGAAAAAGTTTTCTGACTCCTGCCCTGGGCATTTTTTATTTATTTATTTATTTTTTTGAGACGGAGTCTCACTCTGTCACCCAGGCTGGCATGCCGTGGCTCACTGCAACCTCCGCCTCCCGGGTTCAAGCGATTCTCATCCCTCAGCTTCCTGAGTAGCTGGAATTACAGGCGCCTGCCACCACACCTGGATAATTTTTGTATTTTTAGTAGAGACCAGGTTTCACCATGTTGGCCAGACTGGTCTTGAACTCCTGGCCTCAATCTGCCCCCACTTGGCTTCCCAAAGTGCTGGGATTAGAGGCGTGAGCCACTGTGCCCGCCCGCCACCCCCCACCCCCCACCCCCCACCCCCTCCTGCCCTGGACTCTTATTTTGACTTTTATACAGGGAGAAAACCACTCCTTCCTGTTGGCACAGAGAGCCACGTTAGATTCGCCTATGCTTGTCCTCTCCTAGACTGGGTAAAACCGGTAGGCCTTACTACTTACAAAACTTCCTCTTTATAAAATGTACACGAACATGCTATGTGGCCATGATGGAAATTTTAAATCCCAGCACATCATGTTAATTCATTACAGAGACAGAACTTCTCAAGCATACTCTGTAAGCATGTGAGCTTGGGATAAGTTGCCCTTGGGTTCATGTTAGCCTCTCTGAGTCTGTTTCTTCATCTTTCATATGAGAATATTAAATCCCAATTCTTGTGTGTGGCTGCTGAGATAATGTTGCTGTGAAGATTAAATTACAAAGGGACTAAAAGTGCTTTTCCTAGTACCTCATACATATTAACAGTCCACACATCGGCCGAGCGCAGTGGCTCACGCCTGTAATCCCAGCACTTTGGGAGGCTGAGGCGAGCGGATCACTTGAGGTCAGGAGTTCGAGACCAGCCTGACCAAAATGGAGAAACCTCGTCTTTACTAAAAATACAAAATTAGCCAGGTGTGGTGGCACATGTCTGTAATCCCAGCTACTCAGGAGGCTGAGACAGGAGAATCACTTGAACCTGGGAGGTGGAGGTTGCGGTGAGCTGAAATCACACCATTGCACTCCAGCCTGGGCAACAAGAGCGAAACTCCATCTCAAAATAAGTAAATAAATAAATAAATAAATTAATTAATTAATTAAATAAAAGTCCACACATGGTAGTTCTTCTTGAAGCAGCATGTTTTAGTAAATAAGATGATGGACTTGTTATGAGCTCAGAACAAGCTCATATTTGCCATGTGTCTTGGGGAAAGATTCTCCATTTATGCCTTGGGAACCCTATTGTTATCAGTTAGCTACAGCTGTATAACAAACTACGCTAAAACATGGTCGTTTCTAACGCTAAGCATTTACTATGGCTTATGAGTCCATAGGTCAGCTGGGCAGTTATGTTGCTCTGGGCCAGGATCAGCTGGTGGTTGCTGAGCTTGTTCATGCCTCTGTGATCATCTGGTGGTCAGCTTGGGGCTGGCTCGATTAGGATGGCCTCTCATGTCTTGTGGTTGGCTGGCTTTTGGCTGGCACTTGCCTCTCATCACTCAGTAGCCAGTTGAGACTTGTTCATAGGGTGGTGGCAGGGGTGGCACAGCATCACTTCCTTCAATTATCTTGCCCATATCAAGTCACAAAGATGGCCCATCTTCAGGGGATAGAGGCACCACAGGATGGGAGGAGAAAAATCCAATTGCAAAGGGCGTGGATACAGGGATGAATGGAGAACTGGGAAGAAAAAAATGTTGTAATTATCTATCACATTGGCCCCTTCACCAAGATGGTAAAAAATATACTGTTTTCCTTTAATAGAAAGAAGCTATTAAATAAAGCTTTTCATTAGGAAGTTTCGCATGGCAAAGTCAAGCTCTCCCCTGCCCTGTCACTCTTGCTCTGGCTTTGGTCAGCAGAGCCTCTGACATGGCAGGAGGTTAATTTGGGTCCTGCCTCCCAGGGTTTGTCTCTTGTGTGACAGGGTCAGCAAACCTTGGGGCCTGTTGGCTGGTTGCATATCGGATTTCTTCCTCTGACATTCTCACAAGTTCCACAGCCCTTGGATTGGTTTATGAAGGAGCCCTCATGTCCTCCACTTCTCAGACGTGTGGAACTCCCTGAGGCTGTGTCTGCAGATTGCCACTGAGACCACTTGAGAAGTGAGAATCGTGTCTGCTCAGTGCATTGTCTTGGCCTCTGGGATCAAGGCCTCCTGTCCAACCTGCCCATATGATCACAATGCCTGTTCTATTTCAGCCAGTTGTTTGGATGAACTGTTGAGATGTATGAGGCATTTAAGAGCTTGGCTCTGGAGTCAAATGCAATGTGGAAATCTGGCTCCTTTACATGCAGATGTGACCTTGGGCAAGATGCTGACCTCAAGGGACTTCAGGTTTTACATCAATAGAATAGGAGTAATAACAGTGCTTATGATATGGGGCTGCGAAAATTGCATGGGCTTGAGAAGCACCTTACCTGTGTGTGTGGAATAAGCCCTCACTCAATGATAGAGGTTATTAGCACGATTATTTTTATGACTCTGACCCCACCATATATGACGAGTTTCACCTCTTCAAAGGAGTCTCTATTACCTTTTTTTAAGGCTGGGAAGGCTTAGTTTTAGCACATCCATGGGTTGTCACAGAGATGTCATTTTTGATTCACACAGGGATGTTCCACATTTTGAATGGGATAGCTGGTCCTCAGCAAAGGGACACTGCCAAGATTCGGAAGAGCTGTGAACTTGCTGAGTCGTGGAGAAGCATTCTTGGACACATAGCCTGACTCTGTTTGTAATTAATTTGAATGCTTCCAGAGCTTCCTTTTATACCCTCCCTGTTGTAATTCCATGGGGAGTTCATCGGGCCGAAGCTGCAGTTCAGATCATTGCGTTCAGTGCTCATTCTTACCATCTGGGCTTCATTTGAGTGGAGGGCAGTTATTTTTTAGGTATCTAGTTTTTTTTTTCCCCTTGTGCAGCATCTGTGGGTGTTTGTACCGCAGAAGGAAGCATGTAAATAAATGCACTTGATGAAGAATCAGTAAGAATATTAATTCCTAAGCTATCACTCAGTCTATATAACCATTTGTAAAAGAGAAAAATGTCATTTCACTTATTTAGCTGTTCAAGAATTCTAATATTTCTCATTTTATAAGGAAAAGTAGAAGAAACAGGTTAGGAAGACTAAACCCAAAGTATGACAGTGCTAGAAGAAACAGAAATTGTTAAGTAAATGCTGGAGTTGCATTTCACATTGCCTCCCACATGGTGTTTTAGAGAGATACCACCCCGATCTACCTGCTGGGGAAAAGTGTGTCCTTAACCCAAAGCTTCCAAGTTTGCCAAGACTTGGGGGCTGAGGGCCAGAAACCAACCAGGAGATAGGGTACCAGGGTAACCTGGAGACAACCCTCATCAGATGCATGTGGACACCTCTCCAAGCCAGTAACATTTTACTAAGCATGTTTGATAAATTAGGCTTAACCAACAGCACATTGGGTAGAGAGAAGAAGGGAGGAAGGCAGAGGAATTCTAGAAGGAAAATGAGTGAGTTCCATATAATCTGCAAAAGAATTCCTTCTGGCAGTTTATGAAACGAGATGTTTGATGAAAGTAACATTCTAACCAGGACCCTGCACCTTGGCAGCCTGTCTTCTGTCTCTGGGACTTGGGGCATGTGGGGGATCCAAGGGGTGGGCTCAGGTGTTCAGGTTTGGGATGGTGTTGTGGATTGAATTGTGTCCCTTAAAAGAAGATATGTTGGCGTCTTAGTCCTAACCCCCAGTAACTCACAATGTGACCTTATTTAGAGATAAGGTTTTTACAGAGGTAATTAAGTTAAAATGAGTTTATTAGTATCGTACTAATTCAGCATGCCAGGTGTCCTGATAAAAAGGGGACATATGAACACAGACATGCACACAGGGAGCACTCCATGTGAAGATAAAGGCAGTTGCTGGGAGGCTGTGCCTGCAAGATGAGGAAAACCAAAGCTTAGCAGCAAACCATCAGAAGCTGGAGAGAGGCATGAAACAAATTCTCCCTAACAACCTCAGAAGGAACCAGCTTTGCTGACACCTTGATCTAGGACTTCTAGCCTCCAGAACTGTCAGAGAATACGTTTCCATGGTTTAAGCCAATCAGTCTGTGGTAGTTTTTGACAGCATCCCTAGCAAACGAATACAGATGGTGTCGTGATAAAAGGCGTGGATCTTCTCACTGCATCACCCCACTTTCCTGTTTCCACCATCCCCACAGCCTGGGCAGGGAGGAAGAGTGGGGTGAAGAGAGGCCATTGACAAAATTTGGGGATCAGGCATTCCCAGGTCCTCCAACATGAGGTTGGGAACCGCTTGGCAACTTAGATTCCTGTGTTTCAAATAAACATCCAGAAATAACATGATGAGCTCAGATTTCTGCCTCTTATCTTGTCATCTAGTTTTTCTGTTTATAACAAAAATGGTAATATGAAAAGTACAGTTGTATGATGTGATTTGTTGAGGGAGCGACACAGTTGCACAGGGTAATTTGTGTGCAGATCACATGTTATCCCCACCACGATGGAATGAAGGAGGTCTCATTGGGCCCCTTTTGTGAAGCAGCTGACTTGTACAGGAGGCAGTGACTTGTACACAGTGAATGATAGAACCACAGTTCAAGTTCAGGACTCTTGATTTGCTTGCATGTAAGCTCTTCCCTCCTACCTGTAGGATGAGTGCACCAAGGTCTGGCTGGGATGGCCCAGAGAGTTCTGAAAATACAGATGCCTGAACCATCCCCAGAGGGGCTGAACTAATTGGTCTGGGATGTGGTCTGGGTAGCGGGAGTTTTTGAGTCTTCCAGGTGGATACCCACCACAGTAGGCAAACCAGCAAAGCATTTTAGGTTGACAGCAGCCTGGAGAGGTTAGCTTATTCAGAAGTTCTCAGGGGCTTGTGACAATCCCCGGGAAAGCCATTCCTAAAATACAGATTCCTGGGACCTGCCCAGACATAACAGATCAGAATTTCCAGGAGTGGAGTCCAGGAATCTGTATTTTACAAAAGGCCCAGAGGTCATCTGAGGATCACGTAGGTTTGGGAACTGGACCTAGTCCATCCACTGTGCCTGTGGGGTGTGTTCTGGAGGGATTCTAGGCAGTAAAGCACTCTGTTGTTTTCACTTAAAGCCTGCGCTGTAACACCTTACCAGAAACAAGGTCATCTGCTTACTTCACAGATTCCAGGGGTAAATATAGTGTCACACTAGGAAGGACTCAGGACTCAAGACAGAGTAAACACTTCTTCACTCAGCAACTGGGCACAGCTCCCAGCCACCCAGGAACGCTAATTTGGCATTAAACAGAGACTTGCAGAAGTCCCCCAAATAGCAGCAGTTTCCCATCCTGTAGACCCACAGAATACAGCCTTTTTGATATCCTCTGTCTCAGTTCTTCATTCTGCAAATGAAGAAGTTGAAGCCAATGAAGGTATGACCATCTAATCTCTGTGACAGGCAGATCTTGGATGCCCTCTGCAATGGGCAGCTCCTAGTGCCAGCTGCTGTGTCCTTGTCATTGTCTCTGTGTGTTTCTGACCCTGGACTCATCTGGCTGCAATTCAGTGGCCACATTTGTAGATACAATACCTATTTTTGAAGTATTTTTGAAGAGTAAATGAGATAGCATTAAAAGCACTTTAATAGTTTATAAAATACTAGTTGTTGTTATTGTTGAAATGTCAGTTTGCATTAGATTGATATGGAAACTTAAGGTGGGGCACCAACTTTGATTTGTACCTGTAAGAATAGTCATGTAACAATATTGTTTGTGGATCTGGTTCCCTTTTGCCAGTCTTTAAAAAATTTCCTAATGCAATGCCCTATTCAGTGAGTTAAGCTAATTATCTATCTGTTCTCCTGGAGCTTAAAGCCAAGACAGAAAATACTGGCAGTGGCAAAGATGACTGGGCCATTGGCCAGAGTGGATCCATTGATAAATCCATTTTTATGTCTTGCCCAAGCACTGTGGGAAACTGGAACAGAACCATGGGACCTATACTCTGCCAGTGTTCCAAAAATCAGGTCCTAGGCATTCATCATGGCAAATTTCTGCTGAGTTGGCCATGTTAATCTTTGGACAGATCAGATGTTTAAGATCATATTCAATTATACAGCAATCATACATTGGAATATGGGAAACTCATTATAAATTAGGTTGTTGAATATTGAAAGACATGGGAATTTATTTATGACAACTGTTTTAGGTGCAAAAAGCAAGCTGCAACATGGAAATGTATGTACCAAATGTTAAGAAGGAGTTTCTAGTGGAAGAAGGAGTGTCTTTTTATTTTCATCTTTGTATCTCTTGGCATTTTTTAAAGAAATGCCAATTCTTCCAGATGAAGGTGGCTTGACGGAAGAGATAACGTCGAAGGTGGGTCTTTGATAGATGTATAAGAGTTTGAAAAGGCAGAAGCGCCGGGCACGGTGGCCCACGCCTGTAATCCTAGCACTTTGGGAGGCTGAGGCAGGAGGATCACGAGGTGAGGAGATTGAGACCATCCTGGCTAACATGGTGAAACCCCGTCTCTACTAAAATACAAAATAGTTAGCTGGGCGTGGTGGCAGGTGCCTGTAGTCCCAGCTACTCGGGAGGCTGAGGCAGGAGAATGGTGTGAACCCAGGAGGCGGAGCTTGCAGTGAGCCGAGATCATGCCACTGCACTCCAGCCTGGGTGACAGAACGAGACTCCATCTCAAAAAAAAAAAAAAAGAAAAAAGAAAAAGAAAAAGAAAAGGCAGAAAAATCATCCAGAGGAATGAGAGTAGCATTTGTGGAGGCATGGAGTAGTGAAATCCCATAGTTTGTTCTGGAACTGGCTGGCTGTTCCAGCTGGACCACATTCAGATGGCTGACTGGTTATCAAGGCAATGTACCACTGAGACTGAGAGCAGTTTGTTTGACCCACACAACCTGAGTTTGAGTCTTGGCTTTACCATTTCAATTGTGTGACCTTGGGCAAGTCAGTTTACATCACCTACTCTATGTGTTTTCATGTGTAATATGTGGATAATAAAAGGACCAAGGTATGGGGGAAGGTTAAATGAATTAACACACGTGAAGCAATTAGACCCCTCACCTGGAGCATAGTGAGTGCTTCATAATTTAGTCTATCGTATCTCATCATTACGGCAGATATTGTTTTGCACCCAGTAGAAATGTACAGCCTTACTTCTCTGAGAGTTGAAGGAGAAAAAAAAAATGGTGAGTTGGAAGTAATACTTCATGGAGTACAGGGTCTCT
Organism: Homo sapiens; assembly: GCF_000001405.40. NCBI lineage: Eukaryota > Metazoa > Chordata > Mammalia > Primates > Hominidae > Homo > Homo sapiens. The sequence continues at coordinate 19,343,616 of NC_000020.11, forward strand.
GTGGGGCTGTTTGGAATTGTGCAGACAGAGGGAAGACAGGAGGGCATTGCCATGAGAGGGTGGCACCAAGTGAGAGCAATTCTTCTGAGCTCAAGATTTAAAGCCAGTTCTAGTTGGAGCAGAAAGAGGGACTGGAAAGTGTTAGGAAATAATGTTGGATGCATTCAATGAAGCCAGATTATAGAGGGCCTTATGGACCAGTTGGTAGGCGTCTCACTCATAAAAAGGAAAAGGGGACTAGGACATGATTTTTACAGGTGATATACGCCTGGTGGAAATGTTACAGCATAAAGGGCCTGGACTCGGACTTGTTTTCTAAAGCCATCGGGTGATATTTCCTGTGGACCTCACCTGTAGCCAGTAATGATCTGGAAATATTTCAGACCTTAGTAATAGACCCTGGTTTCTGCACCTAGAAAGAACCATGGTGGACTTTTCTTCTGAACATTGGTTTCTGACTTGGGGAAAGCAGATGAGTATCTGTGAACACCTCCTCCTTCAGTGAATAAAGAGAACAATGGTGGATGATGGAAAGAGCAGTGAACATGTTGCAGCCACAATAAAGTGTATTGCTAATTCATTTTTTAAAATGTGTTTGTCTTCTTACTTTCCTTGATTTTTTACTACCACATTATTTTTGAAGTTTAATAATATGGTTGAGATATATGACTAGCTGGGTTTCTAGTGGATATGATACTCTGTCTCTGAGCAGTACTTGCGAGCATTCTGAATCCTAGCCTTTTACACCTTTAGATAGAGTGAAACCATAACTACATATGTACATGGCTTGGTCTTGGGTTGGGGTTCCCAAAGAAAAGACTCTGAGACTAGCATTTAAATTCAGTAGTTTATTTAGGAGGTAGTTGCAAGAGGCACTGGTAGCAGAGTGGGAAGTGAGACAGGCAAGGGCAGGAAGCCAAAAAAGATGTGATAATAAGTAAGTCACTTCTGTGGACAATGGGGATTCAACCCACTCAGTGGCTTGGGAGGCGGGGAGGACTGGGACACTGCAGACAGTATACCACAGGCTTGTCTCCCAAAATAGGTGAGAATACTGTGGAGCATTTATTTACCAACTCCTGTCTGCTATTGGTTGACGTTTGCTTCTGGAGAAATTAACTCCCCAGCACTCCTGGCTTCTCCACATAATGGATGGAGCCTGGTCTGTGGCCAGAGAAAGCTCCCAGACAAGGAAGATTGAATGCCAAGGGAAAATGTGTAGAGCACCTACTACTCCACGTCACATGGAGGGCTTAACAGTGAAAGTAATGGTGAGAAACTAGATACTTTACCCCTAAGATCAGAAATAAGGCAAAAATGTCCGTTCTCATCATTCTTATTTGACATCATACTGGAAGCCCTAGACAATGTAGTGAGACCAGAAAAGCAAAGAAAAGACACACTGATTTGGAAGAAAGAAATAAACTGGTTTTGTTCACAGCTGACACGATTGCCTGTAGAACGTCTCAAAGAATTGATAAAAATCTCCAGGAACTAATAAGTAATTATAACAAGGTTGCAGGATACAAAGACACAGGAGTTGATTGCTTTCCTATATGCCAGGAATGGAGAATTAGAAGAGTATAATTCTAACAAAATATATACAAGACTGATATGAAAAAACTGCCAAACTCTGATGAAAGAAATCAAAAAAAGAACTAAATGGATATTCCATGTTCATGAATAGGAAGAGTCAGAGTCAAGTTCTTCCCAACGTGTTCTATACTTTCAATGTAATTGTAGTAAAAATCTCAGTAATTTATTTTGTGGATATCCACAAAGTGATTTCTAAAGTTTATATTGAAAGGCAAAAGGCCCAGAATAACCAAAACAATACTGAAGAAGAACAAAATCAGAGGACTGACACTATGAGACTTCAACACTCACTGTAAAGCTACGGTAATCAAGACAATGTGGTATTGGTAAAAGAAGGACTAATATCCAGAATCTACAAAGAACTCCAACAAATGAGCAAGAAAAAAACAAACAATCCCATCAAAAAGTGGGCTAAGGACATAAATAGACATTTCTCAAAAGAAGATATACAAATGGCCAACAAGCATTTGGAAAAATGCTCAACATCACTAATTATCAGGGAAATGCAAATCAAAACCACAATGCAATACCACCTCACTCCTGCAGGAATGACCATAATCAAGAATAAAAAAAGAGTAGACGTTGGCGTGGATGTAGTGAAAAGGGAACACTTTTACACGGTTGGTGGGAAGGTAAAATAGTACCACCACTATGGAAAACAGTGTGGAGATTCCTTAAAGGACTAAAAGTAGATTTATCGTTTGATCCAGCAATCCCACTACTAGGTATCTACCCAGAGGAAGTCATTATACAAAAAAGATAGTTGTACATGCATGTTTATAGCAGCACAATTTGCAATTGCAAAAATATGCACCCAGCCCAAATGCCCATCAATCAATGAATAAAGAAAACTATATATATATATATATATATATATATATATATATATATATATATGGTGTGTGTGTGTGTGTATATATATATATGGTGTGTGTATATATATATGGTGTATATATATGGTATATATATATGGTGTATATATATATATGGTATATATATATGGTGTATATGTATATATGGTATATATATATGGTGTATATATATATGGTATATATATATGGTGTATATATATATGGTATATATATATGGTGTATATATATATATGGTATATATATATGGTGTATATATATATGGTATATATATGGTGTATATATATGTGGTGTATATATATGGTATATATATGGTGTATATATATGGTATATATATGGTGTGTGTATATATGGTGTATATATACACACACCATATACCATGGAATACTACTCAGCCATAAAAAGGAATGAAATAATGGCATAATGAAAAGGAATGAATAATGGCATAATGGTATTAGCTGCAACCTGTGTGGAATTAGAGACTATTATTCAAAGTGAAGTAACTCAGGAATGGAAAAGCAAACATCATATGTTCTCACTCATATGTGGGAGCTAAGCTATGAGGATGCAAAGGCATAAGAATGATACATTGGACTTTGGGAACTCAGGGGAAAGGGTGGGAGTTGTCGAGGGATAAAAGACTACACATTGGATACGGTGTACACTGCTCGGGTGATGGGTGCACAGAAATCTCAGAAATCACCACTGAAGAAATTATTCATGTAACCAAACACCACCTGATCCCCAAAACCTATTGAAATAAAAAGTAATAAAAAAAGAAAAGAAGAGTAATTATATAAAGATCACTGTTTAAACACACAAACAGTAAAAGAATAAACAAATAGGCTAATAGAACAGGATAGACAGCCCCAAATTTGGAAGCAACCAAGATGTGCTTCAACAGATACATAAATAAACTATGGTACAGACATACAATGGAATGTTATTCAGTGATATGAAGAAATGAGCCATCAAGCCACAAAAAGACATTTAGGAACTTTTAATGCATATTGCTCAGCAAAAGAAGCCAATTTGAAAGGGTTATATATTGTATGATTCCAACTATGTGACATTTTGGAAAAGATAAAACTGTACAGACAGTAGAAAGATAAGTAGTTGCTTGGGGCTCCAGGGGTAGGGAGGAAGGAGGGATAACTAGGTGGAGTGTAGAGGGTTTTTAAGGTGGCAAAACTATTCTCTTATGATACTGTAATGATGGATACATGACATTACATATTTTCAAAACTCATAAAATGTAGAACATCAAAGGCTGACCCTAATGTTAGCCATGCACCTCAGTTAATAATAATGTATCAATATTGGTTAATCAGTTGTTACAAATGTACCTCACCAATGCAAGATGTTAGTAATAGGGGAAACTGGTTATCGGGGGAGCATTTGGGAACTCTGTACATTCTGTTCAGCTTTTCCCAAAACCACTCTAAATTTGTTAAGACCTTATTTTAAGGTCTATTGACAAATGACAAGAAAAAAATTATGTAAATTGGAGTTTTAAAAATTAGTATTTGTGATTATTAACTTACAAAATAAATTGGAACAGAATTCATGGTTTGCTTGTTAAAAAATGAGTTCTGTTTGAAAGACAAAAGGGCGACATTATAGAAATGGAAAATACTGTGTTTGAGGTTGTGCATGGTGTAGTGGAAGGCCACAGTTCAGGGGCTGGTCACTCTGTGTTTGAGTCCCCTCCAGCCCGTTTCTGAGAAGTACTGGGACTTCAAATTAGTTACAACTAAGCTTCGGACTTCACATCTGCAAAGTGAGGATAGGGAGACCTACTTGATGGGGTTGTTGTGAAGGTGAAGAGAGAGGAAGTCTGTCAAAGCAATTAAACAACACCCGGCATGTGGAGCTCTGTGCCTCGCCCTGCTTCGAAACCTTTCCTGGTGCTGACCTGAATGTTTCTCTCTGATTCGGTCAACAGTTGTGCCATTTTTGGCTAGTGATCTGTGGCTGGGCTGCCAGCCGATGACAGGCAGTTCCCCAAGCAGGTCACAACAAGGTGGCAATTGACCTTGCTCCCCGAGGATGTCTGTTCGGGTTCTGCTAGAAGCCAAGGGCTCCCTGATGTGGGGTTTCGGTTTCACACTGTGGCACTCTGAACAATTCTTTATGGGCTGGCAAAAGGCGTTTCACACTTCAGATAGGCCCCAGGAGGATGATTTGCTTTCTTCAAGGAGAACTGAGAATTCTCAGATGATTGGAAGGTTCTGTACTCTCATTTTAGCACCTCCGATAGATTCTCCCACATGTGGCAAACACAGTCATAGCTGGAGGTCCATTGTCGGTTGTTAACAGGCAGTGAACTGTTGCTGAATCAGACAGTCCACGTATAGGGCATTTCCATCATCACAGAAAGTTCTGTTGGTCAGAGCATCTAAAGCATATTCGGCCTCTCCCCCTAGCCACCCTGTTTATCTCTTGCTTGCATTCCTCCTTGGTATTTGTGCTGCTGCCACCCCAGTTCCAGCCCCCAATGCCTAATAACATCCTGATAGATCAATAGAGTTGTGTTTTAGCAGGTCTAACATCATGTTGTATCTCTGGCCTCTCAAATGGCAGAGCTACTCCTCTGCTTGGTGCTTAAGGCCTCATCAGGGCCCTGACCGCCTGTGTCACCTTACAGTCTCCATCCTCCAGGATATGCCGAGGAGTGCATGGAGTGCACACACAGACTGCTTGCTGTTTATTGAGTAAGCTTTGTCAGTCTGTGCTAGGTCTGTTTCACAATCCACTCTCCATCTGCCCTGGTCAAACTCTTCTCCATTGTGTATCTGCTTCTTATATATCACCAGAGACAATTTCTCCCTCAGGTAAACACCTGAATACTTCAGGTTTCCCTTCCACGTGACACCCAGCATATCCTGCTTCATATGCAATTTGTCTGTCTGCATCCCCCAGCCTTGCTTCTTCCTGGAGTGCTTGTTCCTTTAGGAACAGGTGCTCTAGGCCTTCTTCTGTGTAGGCTAGCCCAGCAATACATAATTACCAAGCAATACATACTTGGTAAATTGTAAGATGCTTTTTCCAAGATACAATTTCTAAATTTCTTCTCTAAGAAGTTCTTTCCTAAACTTCCATAGGAACAAGCCAGCATACTTGCATTGACTCCACATTGGGAGACTACAGAATCGCTCCCTCAAGCAATCCTCTCTCCTTGCATCAGTCTCCTGTCTCTGTGCCTCTAGACTAACATTCAGCCACACTAGCTGAGTGTCCCCTTCTGCAGACTAGGAGGATTGGGTTGTGTATTAGACACTGTCCATGCCTAGTTCGTATCTCTTAGGCGTTACTACTTAGTATGTATTATCAGAGCCTCCCATTGCCTGAACCTGAATCTCTTTGCCTGAGGGTTCTGGGAGACTTCTCCAATCCCTAAGAGGACCACACCACCTGCCCCTCAAAGCAGACCAGAAGTTCCAGGAGAATGAAGACCCCTGAGAAAAGTCCTTGACCAAGAACTGATGAGTCAGTGTGTAAATATCCCAGTTCCCTTGCCTATTCGATGGGATGGCTCTGAGGTGCATGCTCTGTGTGGTTTTCTGGAGGCCCCCAGCAGGATGGAGCTTCAGTTGCCCACAGCAGTAACTGGCTTGATAAATTACTTTGTTGACTCCTTTGTTGGCTCCTTTATTCCCTATCCCTTTCTCCTCACATGTATCTTTGTCTTAAGCTCTACTTCTGAGGAACCCAAATTCAGATTGAATGACTCCCAAGTAATCTTCCTTTCCAACTCTCTGGCTGCTTTGGTTTTTATCATCCTTTGATTTGCTCTGGTTGGTGTTTTGCCTACACAGGTTACCACTGTGTGGCATATGTTTCTAAGCTTCAGATGAAATTATTGTTTCACTCATGTCACAAGACTAATCCTTGTAAATGGCGTGTCCAACCAGGGACCCAGCAGGGTGAGACGCAAACCTCGAGAGCACGGGCACCGTTGGAGGCCTCCAGGAGTCCTGGAGAAGACAGTGCAGAGAAGCTCTTGGCTGCAGTAGCTCTACCTTAAGCCAGGGATTACTGAGAGTTACCCACTCTGCTATTTATAAGGACTGAATTCATAGCTAGGGAGTTTATATATGAATAATGGGAAATAACTTTTTTATGTGATATTTCATTTTGTTCTGTAGTTGGTAAAAAGAGCACTTTATTAAAATAGAATTTGGTAGATGAGATCAAAGTTACCTTGAAAAATTACTTTTACAAATTTATTTCTGTCTGAGTTTGCTCCTACTTTTCTTAATTCTGACTCTCCTATTCTTTCTTTTCATTCTTCTCCTTCCTTTTCTTTCTGCCTCTCTTTTTATGATGACTTTTTGTGCTATTGCATTTAGGAAACATTAAGGTATTTTCTTTTTGAAATGCACATACACATGGTATCATTTACCAGTTTAGCTTTTGAATCTATTGGAAGATTCTAAACAAAAAGATATGTGTTGCTGTCTCTTTGCCACTACGCCTGCCAGACATCAATAGTCAATTGTAGCATCATTCTCAATCTTGAGCTCCAGGGCACCATGGTAATTGATGGGTATCAGCATAGGAGAGGAAACTGTTATGATCTAATGGAAATGATTAGATTAGGTAGACCAATGTAGGCAGATACTTGATATTCTTTTCCTTTCATTTGTCCTTTGTTAGGAGAAGGAGACTGAATGATTACTTCAGAAGAAGGGAGGTTCTTGGACAAATTCTTGAGTTCCATGGGTTGTGAGTCTGTCTTGGGTACAGACCGTGCTGTTTCTCATCCATCTTGGAGAACTCCAAGAAAGAGTAGAACCACAAGCTGGATGTTCCACTCACCTCTGTCCAGGCCCCAGTGGCAGTTTAATTCTCAATATGGACAGATAGGATGCTTACCTTTTCTCTCCTCCTGTAGACTTTATACATATTAATGCCCTGGCTTTCCCCATGGCCCAGCCTCCATTATTGACATTACCTGTCCTTAGATGCTTTGATGTTTGGCTGTCTTTTTGATGGTGGCCAATGGTCCAGGCCCAGGGCTGGCCTCCATAGGGTCTCTTGGGAGGGTGATAGAGAGGAGACAGTTCCCTATGTCAACACCTTATCTCAGTCCTCCCCAGAACCTTGGCCTTGTCACTGCTGCAGTCTGAAGTTCTCATTTTCCCTTCAGGTTGTTGGATTTCCTCATACACCCAAACGTGGGGATCATCTCCCACTCCTAAATACTTTTGCAAAGCTGAAGCTTGTTGTTGCTATTTCCTCTCTATTTCACCTTCACATCATCAGCAGACAGTATCATCGCCTGCCTGTGGGCTTAGCTGCTTTTCTCTAGGTCTGAATGTGTGATGAAACAAGAGCTCTTCCCTCTGACTTTGTGACCATCTCCCTCCCCAGCTTCTCCTTCCCTCTTGGCCTTATGTCCTGGCCTGCGAGTCAACTTGGAGAGCTTTTCCAATTTTTGCTGTGGAACCTAAGTTAAGTGATTAAGCTTCCCATGGGCCCTTGTGTGTCCAACAACAGGGTTAGTAACGTTTTCCTCTCCCAGCCTCCCCTAGGACTCCTTTCCTGGGGTATCTGTCAGCATCTTTTATCGATAGTTGGACTGGAGGTTTGGCTTTGTCAGCTCTCTTCTGAACACTCCCCAAGGCTTCATGCACTTCACCTCAGTTTCCACCAGGTGGTTAGTTTGAAGCAGGCTGAACACAGTAATATCCAGAGACTCCATGGGTTTGATCAAACACAGAATGTGTAGAAAATGCCTTCATCTGGGATGCTTTCACACTCCAGTGGTTAGAGAGCACAGCTTCAAAACAAAAAGTTAGCCTTTGTGCCATTAATGCATTGTGAAGGAAATGGTGCCCCTCAAGTTCCTGGGTGTCATAGGTGGGGCTCCTACAAGCAGAGCCTGAGGTGAGGACTCCGGAGCCTGTGTTTTATTGAGGGAGAGCTCTCAGGGGATACCGATGAAGGAGGGAGAGAAGCAGGACAGGGCAGGGGAGGGGCTGCACAGGGAGGATGAGGGGGTAGCAGGGCAGCTCAGCCTTGGCCTGAACCATTGTCGGTGGGAGGGGCGGGGAGGGGGTAGTTCTGTGGCTTAAATTACACCCAAAGTTGCCTTTCTTGAGTCAAGGGCCTTAGCATTTGTACTTAAAGTGGTCGGTCATTGAAAGCCCCCAGGGCAGAGTGGGGGTACAGCCTTCGATGAGGCCCTATCCAGGGGGCCCTATTGATGAAGGGCAGTTCTGCAGAGAGTCTCAGCTTTAGCCCTGCACTCACAGTAGCTGGCACTGCGGTACCAACCACTAAGAGAGACCTGGGCCAGCACCAACGGCAGCAACTACCCAAGCCTTCTTGGCTCACGACAAAGGAAACTAACATTATTAACGGCTGCTGTGAGTAGGTGCAGTGTGGAGAGCTTCTACACCCATCTCCTCATTTGATTATTGAAACAGCCCTTAAACACGTTATTATTTTTCCTGATTTTCAAATGAAGACTCTGAGCCTCAGGGATTCAGGAACTTCCTAAGGTCTAAACTGTAAGCAGAAGAGTTGGAATTTGAACTCAGATCCCTCTTTCTTGGTTTCTCACCCCAAAGCCCAAGTCCGCATTGAACCTTAAGGTTAAATTGCTGCCTGGACCAGAGACACTTGTTTCAACATGTGAAGTCTCAGCTGTTGGTGGGGAAGAGACATTGTGTAGGAATTTCCTGTACAATCATCTTTTAAAGTCTTTAAGGTCATCACTCAGGGCTATTTGCTTTTATTGTCATGTGTCTTGTACCAACATTTTGTCAATGATGGACCACTTATGCAATGGTGGTCCCATAAGATTATAATGGAGCTGAGAAAACCTTATCACCGAGTGACATCACAGCTGTTGTAATGTCATAGCATAATGCATTATCTTTTCTATGTTGAGATACACTTAGATACACAAAATACTTGCCATGGTGTTCCAGTTGCCTGGAGTATTCAGTGCACTGTCGTGCTATACAGGTTTGTAGCCTAGGAGCAATAGGCTATACCTCATAGCCTAGGTGTATAGTAGGCTATACTAGCTAGGTTTGTGTAAGTATGCTCTATGATGTTCGACAACCATGAAATCATCAAAAGATGCATTTTTCAGAACACGTCTTCATCATTAAGTGATGCATGACTGTATTTATACAGTTGTAAATTTAGAAGTCAAAACAAACTTCTATGTCAGCTCCCCAAACAAGCCCACAGTAGATTCAAATCACCAGTTTGGAAGGTAGGTCATCTACAGGCAGGGGGAAGCTGAAGATTTGATATGAAAGGAGAGACAGTTTAATCATAGCTATTTAAAAAAAAATAGTCTTGGGCCATTCAGTTAGAGAAAGCTGCTGCTTTACACTCTTTAGTAGGTGACAAATATGTCATCAGATTACATCCTAGAATTAACTGGAATCTGTTTGCTCATCTTTTTTCAATAGACTTATTGAGTACCTTCAGTGTGTCAGAAACTGTGCTAGAGATGCAAGAACTATTAAGACATGATCCTTGTGCATAAAGAGCTTGCATCTTAAAAGCTTGAACACAAGGAGGCTGCAGAGGAAGACAGAGCAAGCACCTCTCCTGAGCAGAGTTCTTTATCACATTAGCCAGACTAATAAAAATGCATGACCTGATACACTCATAAAAGGATGTTCAACATCATTAGTCACTGGGAAATGAAAATTAAAATTGCCATGAGATAGTACTGCACTAGAGTTGCTCAAGTTTAAAAGCTGACAATACCAAGTCTTGTCAAGGATGTGAAGACTCTGGACTCTAATATATGGTTGATGGACATGTAAGATGGTGCAGCTATCTTGGAAAACAGTTTGGAGTTTCTTATAAGACATATGAACCAGCCATTCCACCCTTAGGTATTTACCCAAGATAAATGAAAATATATGGTTACCAAAAAGATGTTCACATGAATGTTTATAGCAATTTTATTCTAATAGCTCCAAACTAGAAAAATCCAGATGTCCTCCAACTGGTAAATGAACAGTTAGAGGCACATCCATGCAATGGAAAGCTACTCAATAGTTTCAAAGAATGCACCCCTGAAACCCACAACCGCATGAACGGACCTCACAGACATCATACTATTCTTGAGCTGAAGCTGCAGTGTAAAAATAAAATTAAGTTTAAAAATAATTAGAAATAAGTAATTTGAAAACAGAAAAAAATAATTTAAAAACATGCCAAATGAAAGGAACCAGACACAAAAGAATACATGCTTTGTGATTCTAGTTGTATGAGAGTCTAGGAAATGCAAACGAGGCAATAGGAGCAGAAAGCAGCTCAGTAATGTTATGGGGGTCAGGTGCAGGGGGTTGGCCTACAGAGGAGGACAAGAAACTTCCAGGGATGGCAGAATTGTACACTTTAAGTGGCTGCAGTTTATTTTATGTAAATTATACCTCAATAAAATTCATTTTTCAAAAAGCACCTAGAAGCATGCCCAACACATAGCAAATGGTCAATAAATGGTGGACTTCATAAAAAATTTGTGTATGTGTGTGTGTGTGTGTGTGTGTGTGTGTGTGTGTATGTGTGTATGACCCAGTAAGCTCATAGAATGATGTTCAACATCATTAGTCATTAGGAAATGAAGATTAAAACTACATGAGATCATGTAGTACTAGTGCAGTAGTACTGCACTAGAGTGGCTTAAGTTTAAAAGTTGACAATACCAAGTCTTCTCAAGGATGTGTAGCAACCAGGCTCTAATATATGGTTGATAGAAATGTACGATGGTACAGCTACCTTGGAAAACAGTTTGGAATTCTCCCAATGCATGCTAGGTTCTTGCCAGCCTCTCCCCTCAGATAAGTCACTTCTCCTCCTTTGGGCAGCAGCAAGGTACAGAAACTTCAAGCTCTTCCCTGTAAGGCAAAAATGCCAACTCCAACTCACCTTCTTGGTGGCCTCTTAGCATCAGAGAAGGCTACTTCCTGACAAAAGCAATTGTGTTCTCTGTTTCATCTTGGCTTCCTTATGACCCCTTTCAGACTTATCAGGACTGTGTGCCACTCCTCAGACTGGGCTGAGTCAGGAACCCAGCCGGCTCTCCATGCCTGTCCTCCACATGGCATCAGAAGGGAGGAAGCTACATGTGGTTCCAATCACTGCATTACAGACTCAGCCTTTATGCCCTTCATTGTGTTTGGTTTGGAGGCCCCCTCGCAGACTTTATCCACTAGCTCGGTTCTTATGTTAAATTTATGTCTGGGTTCAGAACACTTCACATGATAACCACTGATTAAAATCCAAAAAATGAGACAGAAAGAAGACAGGATAAGAAGGATGACACATTCGAAAATAAGTGATCTTAATTCCTGGGCTCAACATTCTCCATCTGCTAAGATAAACAAGTGCAACTTCCTTTGCCTCCTTACATTGTGATTTGATTCTTCTCTCTGGCCTCTACCTGGAGCTGTAGGACCCCCAGGGTGTTAGCCACTGACCTGACCACTGGACCCTTGGAGAATCCCCAGCCCTTCTGGAATGTGCAGGGATTTCTAACTCCATGACATTTTGGTGAAGAATTTTATTTTCAAAAACATAGCATAAAATAGAACAACAGCAGGTATTTCCAACCTATAGTGAATAAACAACCTGGTGGTGAAGGAATGTATATGCTTCTTTATCCGCACATTAGTGGCAAGATCTGGTAGTGAGCCTAATAACTCCTGTCAGTTTGAATTGTTGATGAGCATAAATGCTATTTTGAGATGCCTGCTACATTGTAATGGGCTGTAAAATACCTGACTGCCGTTGATGATAAAGTCATGGAAATTGCTAACACTGTGTGGTGTGCTGCCTACATTCATATTAGAAGGAACTGCTACATTTGGGTTAGAAGTTATTTAAAAACATATGTATTTTGCTCAATTCACTTTAGAGACCCCCTAAATTCTACCCATAGTCACCTAGGGGGTCTATAGACCCCAAATTAAGAACCCTTGGAATTAGGACCAAACTCTGCCACCTGCCAGGTATTCTCACTGAGATGAGTGACCTGTCACCACTCCTGCCAACAGCATATGCCACCTCCTAAATTATTTTTAAAAAGTGATAAAACATTTCAGATACAAAAACATATAGGGAGTAACATAATGAATATCCATATACTCATCATTCACCTAAGACATAAACTGTTTGCAAATGTATTTTGAAATCCCCTGCAGACTTGTCACTGCACACAGTTTCAATCTGTTCCTTTCTCCCAAGGGCAACTACTAACTAGAATTGTCTTTTGGATTCCTGTATGTATCCTTATGCCTTTTCCACAAATGTATGTACCCATGAACAATGCCAAGTATCAGCTGCATGTTTTTAAACTTTGAGTGAATGAGATTGTGCTATGTGTATTCTCCTGCAATGTGCTTTTTCCTCTTGACATTATTTTTGTGAGGTTTATCTGTGTCGCTGTATGGGACCCCAGTTCACTTATTCTCAATTTGCATGGTGTCCTATAGTGTGGCTCTACCACAGGTAAGCTAGCTATTTTGTTGTTGATTGACATTTGGATTGTTTCCAGTTCTTCACATGACAGTACTCCACAGAACATTCTTGTGGGTGTCTCCTGGTGGGATGAATTTGTCTATCAGTGGAATGGCTGGGGAATAAGGTATGTGCATCCTTGGTATCTACAGGTTCTACCAAACTGTTCTCCAGCATGTTTCTTCCGATAGATTTACACTTTGACTAGCAGGGGATGCAAGTTCCTACTGCTCTACATGGTCATCAGTACTTCATATTCTCAGACTTTGCATTAATAATAATAATAATAATAATAATTCCTGCAGTCTGATGATGTGAAATGGTATTTCAATGTGGTTTTAATTTGACTTCCCTGGTTACTGGTTATAATAATATAAATTGTGCCCCCAAAGAGAGAAGGTCCTAATCCCTGGAACCTGTGAATATTGCTTTGGTAAATTATTTTGCAGGTGTGGTTCAGTTAAGGATCTTGAAATGAAGAGATTATCTTGGATTATCTGGGTGGGCCCTAAATGTGATCACAAGCATCCTTGTAAGAGAGAGGCAGTGGGAGATTAGACACACAAGAAGATATGAAGGTGGAGGCAGAGATTGGGGTGATGCAGTCACAAGCCAAGGGATGCTGGCAGCCCCCAGAAGCTGAGACAGGCAAGGAACAGATTCCTTCTTAGAGCTTCTGGAGGGGGCATGGCTCTGCTGACACCTTCGGTTTGGACTTCTGGCCTCCAGAACTGTGAGAGGCTACATTTCTGTTGTTTTAAGGGACACAGTTTGGGGTAATTTGTTCCGGAAGCCTAGGAAGCAAATTCATGGATCAAATTCAGCTTCTGTTCACAAGTCTATTGGGCATAGGGATGGCCTCTTCTGTGGATTGATTATTCATCAACATTGCCTATTTTTTCTTATTAACTGTAAGAGAACTTGCTGCATTATGGATATTAATTCTTTCTTGTTACTATGTTTTGTCCATGGCTTGTCTTTTCTGTTTTTGGTGGTGGTTTTTTTATATACAGAAGTTTTAAACTTTAATGTAGTCAGTGTGCCATTTCTTCTTCTTATTGATTTGTGTCAGGTCTTGATTGAAAAGTCCTTACTGTCCTGAAATTGGAGATACATACATATCCTGTTATTGTCCGCTAAGTATCTCCTGCTGTGTTGGGGCATGGCCAGCCCTTGCCTCTTGGGTGAGAGACCCCAGCTGGGAAGGGGCTGCCTTGCCCTTCAGATAATGGGCAAAGCCATGCAGATATCCCAGGGAACCTGCTAGAGCACACTGGACTGGGAGGGGGTGTTGGCTCTTTCAAACCTTAATTTTGCCAAATGGCCATGCTAATGATTTTGATATTGAGTTTTTGTAGATATCGACTTCTCTGTTGCTAACCTGTGCTTTTTAATCATCACTTACCATTTACCACTTTTCAGTTCAGTTACCACCACCGTAGGTCCAATGAAGGCAGATGTGCCCTCCAGCTCAGCTATATGTTGTCAGGGTTGTTTTCCCTCCTGCTCCAAGGTTGTCTTCATTTTCACATAGTTAATTATTTGCAGTGCCTAAAATTCCAGTCATGACAGTTTTGTTTAGTATTTTCCTGTCAAAAATCCAGATTGCAGGCCATGACCTGGGGTGCCTTTGGGCTGAGGCAGGTGATACATGAGCAAGGAGGTGAGTGAGTGACCTTAGGGACAGCTGCGGAGGGCAGGCCCCCGAGGTCTAAGATTGGACTCAACATCCACCCGCGCCACATCTGGGCCCTGGGCTCCTTGCTGGATGGCCTGTTATAGACCTCCACTATGGAAACTTTGGTCTCATTTTGGGAAAAAGGAGACTAGAGCCTCTAGCAGAGGAAATGACCCCTCTTGATACTTTTTGCAACCCTGACCAAGTCATTAACTGCCCTGCATCTTTCTTGAGCTTTCAAATGGGATTACAGATGAGTGTATTTTTAAGGCCCCTTCCAGCACCTAAAAAGTGTCCAGTGATACTTAAGAAATCCAAAGGTGTCCAGTTTCACAGACTTATATCTTCCTTTTAAGAAAACATGGTGTAAAGTATGCATAATGTAAAATGTACTATGTTACTCATTTTAAGGTGTACGATTTAGTAGTATTTAGTACATTCACGTTGCTGTACAACCATCACAGAACTTTTACCACCCCAAGGGATATTCTGTATCCGTTAGCAGTCGCTCCCCACTTCCCCAGTTCCCAGGCCCCCGGCAGTCACCAATCTGTGTTCCTTCTGTATGGATTAGTCTAGATTGGATATTTCATATAAATGGAATCATACAATTTATGGCTTTTTGTGTCTGGCTTATTTCACTTAGTATCATGTTTTCAGGGTTCATCCATTTTGTAGCATGTGTCAGCACTTCATTCACTTTTATAACTGAATGATAGTCCACTGTGTGCATATATCACATTTTGTTAATCCATTCATTCATTGGTGGACATTTGGGTGTTTCCACCTTATGCCTATAGTAAATAGTGCTACTGTGAACATTTGTGTACAGGTTTTGGTTTGAACACCTGAATTTACTTCTTTTAGGTATATTCCCAGGAGTGGAACTGTGGGGCAATGTAGTAATTTTATGATTGATTTGTTGAGGGACTGCCAAACTGTTTTCCATGACAGCTGCGCCATTTGTGTTTTTCTTGATGAACTGTGTCCCCAATTAAAAAAAAAGTTCTTGTTCTTTCAAATTTCCCATGTTTATGATTCCTCTGTTCCTAAAAGAATCCTTAATTTATTCCCACCCAGAGATTCCAGGAAATATTTCCTATGAATGGCCTGTGTAGCTTTTCAGTACCTTCTCTCCCCACTGAGGAGCCATACTGGGGGCTGCCCCAAAAGAGAGCTGCCAACCCGTCACCCATGTCATCTGGGTGCAGAGGGTGAGAAGCAGCCCTTCCAGGTCCCTGTGTGATGGGAGGTGGGTAAAGTCAGGGAAAATGAGCATGTCCTCAATCTGGGAAGGATGTTGATAGAGATTGAGGCACCTCCATAGATTTCTATCCTCCCAGTGACCCCTGCTTCTCAAGGGGCAAGTCCCCAGCCCCAGGTGCCTCAGCCACCCTTACAGATTGTAGGTGGTTACCCGACAGTCTACAGAGAAAAATATGTCTCTTTTAGCAGGGGTGGGTGTTCTGGCTCTGCTTTCTGACTGTTTGGAGACAGGACTGGTCCTTTGGGGATGGCTTAGTTAGGGTCCAAAATTGTTTGGGAGGTAATCCCAGGAAACACCCATAGGGAGTGTTACCACTGAGGACAGCTTGGGCTCAGTTTCGATGACTACCCTCTGGGAGACAGTGTAGAACCCTCAGTGTTGAGGCACTAATAGGTGAGGAAGGTGGGGTATTTATCCCCCAAATCTCATCCTACCTTGGTTGAGGATCACTCCTGAGGTCTGTCAGTCCAGTCTACACATGTAAAGTCTTAGCACACTCCTAGGGCCAGAGAACATCCTCAGGCAGAAAGATGCAGGAAGCCATAGGCATGAATGGAAACTGGGGAGACCTCCAACAGTGCTAACACCGTGCTAATAGCAAAGAGGTGTGTAAGAAGAATTTGACAGATATTGCCCAGAAATGATCAGTATCTATATCTTGGGTTTTGCTGATACCATCTTATGTTTGCAGTCAGACACGAATGAGAAGGTCTTAACATCTCAACATGTCAGTGAGTCAACTGATCCTGTCGATGTCTGTACAAGTCAACATGCAAAAATCTCAACAGCCACATCTTCAAATGCCTCCACATCTGGGCCTGTGAATATCTCAAAACTTTAACATGCAAATGACCCAATATCTCAACATGAGAATGTCCCTACATCTTAACATGTGGATGTCACATCAACAGCTGAATCTGTGAATGTCAACATTTCAGCATGTGAATACTTCAACATTTCAACATGGGGATGCCACCTGTGAATAATATGCCAACTTCTCAACATGAAAATGTCTCAGCATGGAAATTTTATGGCATCTGAATCTATGGATACCTCAAAGCTTCAATATGTAAATGTCTTGGTATCTTAACATGTGGATATTACAACATCTGAACCTGTGAATGTCTACACATAACAACATGCAAATGTTTTGATGTCTCAACATGTGATTGTCAACATCTCAGCAATGTCTAGACATCACAGCACATGTGACAACACCACAACTCCAAAAGGTTGAGTGAGCCATTATCTTTCTTCTCAATCCAATTCCTCAAAACCCTATTGAAGTACTAGCATGCAGAAATTTTTTTTTTTTTTTTGAGACGGAGTCTCGCTCTGTCGGCCAGGCTGGAGTGCAGTGGCACAATCTCGGCTCACTGCAAGCTCTGCCTCCAGGGTTCACGCCGTTCTCCTGCCTCAGCCTCCCGAGTAGCTGGGACTACAGGTGCCCGCCACCATGCCTGGCTAATTTTTTTGTATTTTTAGTAGAGACGGGATTTCACCGTGTTAGCCAGGATGGTCTCGATCTCCTGACCTCGTGATCCACCTGCCTTGGCCTCCCAAAGTGCTGGGATTACAGGCGTGAACCACTGCACCCGGCCAGAAATTTTAACTCTTGTAGACATTCTGTTCTTTTGCAGATCAGCACTGGCTCTCACATGTGGAAAGATATCTGCTAAAGCTTTGCAACAATCCATCAGCACTGCACTACATTTATATGGAAATGAGGCTGCTGGATATCTCAGATGCTTCCAGATCTTTGTTGGGAAAAGACCACCCTGAGACCCATCCAGTTTCCTGATAGTGGCTTTAGAATCCCTCTCACAATCCCATCCAGATAGTTGCAGATAAAATGAGGCTACAGATTAGAAACAGAACCTCTGACACTTGTAAAGAGACAGTTGACTGCAGAGGGAAGAAAAGGAAAAGCTGTAGAAAGTAGGATCCTAAGGAAGTGACAGTGGGATTGACTAGGACAAGCCCCAAGGAACTTCCTGGGACACAGCAATACTCTTTATTTTGATAGAGCTTTGGGTTACACAGGTGCATTCCTTGTCAAAACTAGATTCAGATCACTTCAGATTTGTACATTTTATTGTATGTTTTTGAATTGTATCTCAGCAGAAAAATACTGTAAACAAATATTGATATGATATGCTTGCTGAAGTATTCAGGGAAAAGTGTGTTGATGTTGGCAATATATTTTGAAATGTATTTTTTAAAAGATTGATGGGTGGGTAGTTAAATATATTTGTGAAAAAACAAGTATTTTACAATGTTGTCATAGAATCTAGGTGCTGGGTAACATTTTTTCAACTTTTATACATATCTTAAAATTTTCCTAATAAAATATTCCAAAAGAAAATCTAGGCTGGGAAAACTAACAAGTTCAGCCTTTGGGGGTTGCTCTACCCACATCACAGACTCTGAGAATGCCTCTCAGTCGTATCTCGTTTTCATGCCTGATACTCATTAATGGGCTGGGTTATTTTTAGAAATCTTAAGTTCTGGTTCATGTGTAGTAAAGACAGCAAAAATGCATGTAATTGCTTCTGGAAATTTTCCATTAAAAATAACTGCATTAGAAAAAAGTGGATTCTTAATTAGGGGTAAGCCTTAGATACTTGGAAAATCCCACTTAAGTGAAATCTCGCATTCTCTGGCAACATAGACGCAGGAGATGTTATTTTAATTAGCATTTCTAGTTAGTGGGTGATCCCATCAGCTTACCTTTATCCTGGCTTTATCATTTCCAGGGCATTTTTACATGTATCACCTCAGAGTTTTAGAGAAAGGGTTTTTGAGCTAGAGCTGCCTGAGTTTGAACTCTAGTGTGACCACCTGCTGGGTGTGTGACCGTGAAGTCACTTCTTGATTTGTTTGAGCTCAGCGCTTTTTCGTGACAAGTGGAAATGGTAATATCTAAAACACAGGCTTCTTATAGGAAATAAATAATTCAGGCAAAGCAGATTAAAGGGCCTGATCGGCCATAGGTACTTAATGAGATGGTGTTCTCGGCTTCAGTTACTTTGATGCAGTCACCATGACGTTTCTGTGAAGGAGGAGAATGAATATTGGTTTATCGTTTCCCAGACGAGATAGCCGATGTTTGGAGAATTTCAGTTACCTGCAGACCACCAACCATGTGGGTCTCCCAAAGTAGAAGGAGGACTTGAACCGACGTCTCCTGTGTCCCCTGCTGTTTCTACTTCAGCCATGCTCCCTACACCCCCGAGTCTGATGGGACAGTCACACAAACAGAATAAGGGGTACAAAGATGAACTGAGCTGGAATCTCCATGGGTCTCGGGGCAAAAATAAGGTTGCCTTATGCTTTTGGGTGTCACAGAAAGTTTTGTTGAAAATTATTAATATCCATGATTGAACAATGAAAATGTAGCTGAAATCACTCAGCAAACTTGCTGTGCCGTTTTCAAACACGGTTAAGTATTTGGGCTTCCCATGTGTCGCTGGGAAAGCTTGACTTAGGGCTACAACTGCCAAAACGTTGAAATCACAGGATAGGAACTGACAGGTGTTTTCCTGGCCTGTGAGCTCCCCAGGTGGAGATGCTCCATGTTTGCACGTCCTGCTGCTCGTCACTCCATCCCCCGAGGCCCCTCACTTCCCACCTGACAGCAAGCACTGGTGAGGAAGATTGGGGCATGGGTTGAGTGCACAAGCATGGATCAGTAGGGCAACAATGGCCTTTCGAAGGGCCGTGGGCCCTTTTGTTCCCCTTTTTTGGCCAAAGCTGTGGAGTTCCCACACACCACAAGGAAGAATAGCTGTATTACTTGCCAGACCATTCTCCCAGGACATCAAATCTGCCTCAGACCTGGTCATTGGACAGCTTTATGCAGATATCTAAGTTCTAATGAAGACTTTCCCGTCTTCTTAAGTTCATTATCCAGAATTGGCCACCAGCCTTATTTTAGAATAAAAGAAGAAAACACATATCCATTGGAAAATCATGTCAGCTGTTTGAGTGCTCTATCAATGCTGAAAGGGAGAGCCCTGGAGCCCAGCATGTGTCTGCTGGGGATGCCCATTCATGGTGCTCTATGGCAAGAGAGAGACCATGAGAGGAACAAAATACACTCACACCAACCCTGGGAGAGACGCTGTGGCCAAAGAACACACACCCTCGTGTGGCTTATTGTTTTTAGAGCATGCTAGAGAACTACAACAGACTGTTTGGAGCCTTAACAATCGCTTATTTTGTATTGGATGTTTTAAAAAAGCAAAGGATTTTTTTCTTTGTATGTTACACGTATGCCAGGAAAAATAGTTCCTGCAGAATGAAAACAACATGAGGGCCAGTTTGCAACTTGAGAGGGGCCATTGGGTCCAATTGCAAAGATGCCATTTTCTCTGAAGCAATGAGGCTGAGTGTCTGTGGGGAGACAGACTTGGTCAGGCAGGTGGGCTTGATGTCAGATGATTGGCTGTCTTTAGGGAGGGCCCAGTCAGATCTTCGGTGGGAACTGCAGATACAGTAATGACCTTGCCCCTGGCCAGCAGGAACATGGGCTCCTGAAAAACTGGTTTCCAGAACCTAATGGGAAACAGAGCTGTGCTGTCCCACAGCCTGGGGTGGTGGGTTTTATCGTTTCCAAGAGGAGATATCTGGTGTTTGGAGAAGTTCAGTTACCTGCAGATCACCAACCGTGTGGGTCTCCCAAAGTAGATGGAGGACTTGAACCCACGTTTTTGTATCCCCTGCTGCTTCCACTTCAGCCAGCCGCCCCCCTCCCCTGAGTCTGATGGGACAGTCATGAAAACAGAATGAGGGGAATGAGGGGTACAAAGATGGACTGAACTGGGATCTCCGTTGATCTCAGGGCAACCTTATTTTTGCCCTGAGACCAACAGATTCCAGTTCAGGAATAAGGTGTCCACACACGGCTCTAGGTTCCTCAAGAACAGTTAACTTTTTTTTCTTTCTTGAGATAGGGTGTCACTCTGTCACCCAGGCTGGAGGGCAGTGGTGCAGTCATGTTTCACTGCAGCATCAAACTCCCGGGCTCAGTTGATTCTCTACTTCAGCCTCCCGAGTAGCTAGGACTACAGGTGTGCACCATCATGCCTGGTTAATTTCTGTATTTTTTGTAGACGTGGGGTTTTGCCATGTTGCCCAGGCTGGTCTCAAACTCCTGGACTCAAGCTATCCTCCTGCCTTGGTCTCCCAACATGCTGGGATTACAGGCATGAGCCACCGTACCTGGCCAAGAGTGGTTAACTTTCAAAGTTCACCTTGCCTCAGCATCCCCAGGGCTGGGTTGGGAAACCCACCCAGACCTCAGGTTTTCTCTGGGCAGTGCCATTATCTGCAGGGTCAAGAAACTAGGCCCTACCAGAAAAGTAGGCACGGAGGAGCAGCAGGAGAAATGAAAGGAAGAAAGCCAGAAAAGTAAGTTCTAAGAACTAAGTAAGTTCACCCAGGGATGCATCAGGCAGCCTCCATGTGGACCACAGAGAGGGGATCCAAGAACCTTGTGCACATCATCTGTTGAGAATGAGACCCTCCCCATGGCTACTCCATAGAGCCATGCAGCTGTGCCAGGATGCTCTCCCATGAGGCCTTGCACTTTGTACCGTTATACAAGGAGAAGGATGCTCACCTACTGGCCCCTTCAGCTTGACTTTCCCTCAAGCCAACTTCTGGGGTGATAGGAATCCTTAAAGCAGAGTTTCTCAAAGAGAGTTTCCAGGACCAACAGTGTCAGCTTCCCCTGGGAGAAGCTTGTGAAAAATGCACATTCTCAGGCCCCACCCCATACCCAGTGAATCAGGAACTCTGGAGGTGGGCCCCAGGATCTGAGTTTCCCAAGCCCTCCAGGTGAGCCTGGTTCTAGATACACAGCTGTAGAGGAACCACGATAGCTCCTGCAGAAAACAGATTGGGTGGGGATTCCACTGTGGGGCGTTTCTTTAATCTCTTTCACATTCTACACTCTTTAGCAGAGTTTCTATATGGGAATGCATTAGGAACATGTGAGGCAGTGATCTGGCTGATAAGGGGCACTAGGGGATTTTTTTTTGAAGTTGCTATACAGAAAAGCACATGGTTATTACTTAAATGATATGTTGTAGATCAATAAAAAATGATAAAATGTTGTAAATGATGCCTTTGTTCACACTTTACGTAAGAGTGAGTAAATGTCTATGGTTCATTTCAATGGCTATGACTGTTGTCTGTGGAGGGTAGAGCTACCTCCAGCCTCACTGCCCCCAGCCCATCTCTGAGGCTCCATCATTAACATATCCAATTGCAAAAGTTTCCTACTTTCTGGTTCAGGACACTGCCCTCTGAAAATAAAGCCTCCCCACTAAAATCCTTTTATTTGATTTCTGATTTTTCCCTGACATGTGGGTCCTTTATTATCTGTTTTTTCTTTTCTCTGCCTCCAGGCAAGGACTATATTTAAGCCAATTCAAACTTCGCAAGTCTTAAAAATAACTCTCCCTTTGCTAACCCCTTCCAGGTTTGGCAGGGGCTTCCCTGGAACAGGAAATCCATCTCTTTCTACCTGCCCAACCCTCATGATTAACTTGCCCCATGATCTTTTCTTACTTTTTCAAGCTATTATGCTACAATTTGACAAGGTTTTTGGTGGTGGTGGTAGGGGAGGGTGGGGGTGGAGTCCTGCTTTTCCTTCCATTGCCAAGGATCCTGATTTTTAATGGTGAAGATTCACTTCTGTAAAGGCAAAACAGGCATTATGGCCCCTCATGAATATTCACACCTTGAATGAGTTCATCTTTATCTAATTGTTCCTAAAAGTTATCCCAGCCTTCTAGAAGTGAAAGCAACTATGACTATTTTAAAAAACGACCTTTAAATGTCATTGATAATTATCTCCAGTGTGAATTACTTCCATACTGAAAGGAGGCCTCTGAAGAGTTTTCTTTTTTTGTAGTTCTCCATGTAATGGGCTTTTGAGCACATTTGTTAGTTCTAATCTCTCATCTCCCACTGCTTCCCATCTATCCCTAATGACCAGCCCTTACCCTGACATGTTTTTCTGTCCCCGAAAACCACTGCAGTAATCAAACTCTTCATCCCCTGAAGGGGCCTCCTACAACCATGCATCTCCCTTCATGGGACCCTTAGTAAAGATGAGTGGGAATCTTTGATCACAGAGGGATCTTTGGTAAAATCAAGTTTGCTTTATTAAAAATTAAGAAAAAAAAATAGGGGCTGACAATTGGGCCCCATATTGAGGGGAGTGTGTCAACTTGCTGAGAAATGAAGCGTGCAAAATATTTGGAAGGTAAAATATCAGTAAAAGAAGGATAAGGGTCAAATGATCTTCCATTCCCACCTCCCACCCCCAGATCTGCATACCCTGCACCTGACCACCATTCATGGGTACACATGGAGACAGCATTCTGGGAAGTCCTCGAGTGGCTCAACCCCAAGTGCTCTCTACTTTGAAACAGATGCACCAATTGGCCAGCCCTGATATCCAAAAGAACCTATTGTGATGGCGGAAATATTCTCTGTCCTATTGGTACAACAGCCACTTGCCAATGTGTGTACTGAGCACTTGGCATGTGGCTAGTGTGACAGAAGAACTGAATTTTGAATTGTAGTTAATTTAACTTTAATTCACATTTACATTTAAATGGCCACATGTAGCTAGTAGCTCCCAAGTTGGACAGCACAGAAGTGGACAGAAGGAAGTGGAGTTGCCTGAGCAATGTCCACTCTTCCTCAGCTACCAGAAAATTCCTCTGGATAGTGGTCACAGGAGCCGATTGGCTCCCCAAAGAGGAGTTCCTTACCAGTTTTAAATCTGGAAGCTGAGGGAGGAAAAGACAATTGTTTGGCAAAGAAACAAAGATAACCGAGGCTTGAAATTTTCACTGAGGTGAAACAGAGCCTTCCTTATTAACAAACAGGCTTGGGAAAAAACAAAGCAGAGACGTAAAACAAACAAACAAAAAAAGAAGCCCTGCCTTTTTTTTTTTAAACCCTGCTTAGGTATGAATCCCAGAAAACTGTGAGTGTTCAAGGGCTCTCCTTGCCTAGAAAAGAGGTGGCGTCACAGTTGTCTAATTAGATGCCCAGGTTCTCAGACTAGCTGTGGTCTCCCTGCCTTCTGTTTACCGTCTACTAAGCCACACCTTACTTGGGAAGGTAGAATAAGGTGGGAATGAGCATTAGTTAATTTCTTCCTTGTTGGCCAGGTTCATGAGAGGGTCTGGTGGGGAGGCTCATGAAACATCCCAGACAAGGTCTGGAGGATCTCAGATAGCCCTGGGCCCAGTTCCACTTGGCATTGGTGCATTGGCCGTGTTTGTCTGAGAAAGCTAGTTCTGTTTTGGAATGATCCTTAGTGATGATCAACCAGCAGCCATCACTGGATGTCTGCTGAGTAACAGACTCCATGTTTTCTGCTATGAGATTCAAAAGAAACATGATGTATTAGCAGAGAGCATAATCTATAGAGTTGGAAAGATAAAATATACTCTCTTGGAATAGATGGTAGTAAAGGTAGATATTCAAGTGTTAATTTCAGGTAGTTATTGAAGTAAAGAATAGGGCTGTGAGGGTGTGTATGAATGTGAGTGTGTGTGTGTGTGTGTCCACGTGCATGCACATTTAGTTAACATGTTGGGGGCAGTTGGTGGGACAGAACCTAGAGGGATGTTGGGCTTCTTTTAACCTTAGAAACATCATGGCTGGATGGCTGGTGTCGCTACTGAAGACAGGACAGTAATTGGAAATGAGTAACACTGGCACTTTAAGACGGGCAAAGTACAGCCAGAGAGAACATGGGGCAGACAGAGTTAAAAGCAGCAAACCAAGATCCCAAGACTGCCCTGGGACCCTCGTGCCCCTACTGGCCTGGTCAGTTCCATTTTACTCCCCTTGATGGTGGTGTCACTTCATGGTCCTCCTCAGCACATGCTGTCGGCCCTGCATCTCCACCAGCAGCACTGACCAGCTTGGCTTGGCTTCAGAGTCTGGTGTGTGCCCTCTATTCATACTGTTGGCTGGCACCTCCAGCAGCAGGCCACTGCATTCAACTGAGGTCTGGGCCTTGCTTCTCCTTCCTGCATGCTCAGGGGGCACCACCCCCATTCCATCTGCAGTCTCTGGTACATCTGCTTCACCTCTCTCCCTGGGGCAGGCAGCCATGACAACCATTGGCCCCAATACCCAGCAGTGTAGCCAAATGACGCATTATTTAGACAAGCATTTAACAAACATTACATCTATTCTGAAACAAAAATGGGGTCCGTGGTATCTCAGCATCCGGGAGAATTTTCCAGTTCTGACATATCAAAAGGACACAGGAGCCAGCTTGAAGAAGATCCCACTGACCAAAGCTGGGACAATTTGAACATCAAAATAAATAATGACAATAACAGGTTATAATCCATAGAGTAAAATAAGAATCTGTGGGTCCACATGTGAATGAATGAATGAACAAGATGAGAAAATGTCTTCCTTTGAGCAGAAGACATGATGGAATTAGAAAAATTACCATTTGACAATCATCATCATCATAATTGTTTCAAGCAAAAATTCTAAACTAACACTAAAACTAGTGGATAAATGCTTGATAAATAGGATGTTTACATAGTTTCAAACTATATCCCCTTAAGATACTTATAAATTGTAAAGGAAAAAGTAGTAACTTTGCAGTGGAGGAACCTGGCCGCCTCCCCTAACCAAGTGCTTGCAGTTAGCGTCACCAGTGAAGGCACCTGCATTCTGCCTCCTGATGAAGGGCAGCACAGTGTCCTGTCAAAAATGCAGAGCCTGACTATAATTTTGAGAAATCATCAGGCAAACCCAAACTGAGGGGCATTCTACAAAATAACTGGTCTGTAGTCTTCCAAAATGTCAAGGGCATGAAAGACAAAGCAAGATGGAGGAACTGTCCCAGATTAGGGGAGACAAAGGAGATAGGATGGTTAAGTGCAATGGGGGACTTTTGTTGAATCCTGGACCACAATTTTTTTTACTTTTCTTGTAAAGACATTAATGATAATGAATAATATGAATAAAGTCTAACATAGATTAGATAATAGTAGTGTTATCCTTGTGAATTTCCATTTTTTTATAATTTCACAGTGATTATGAAATAGAATGTCCTGTTCTGAGAAAATACACTAAAATACTTAGGTATCCTTGTGAATTTCCATTTTTTGATAATTTCACAGTGATTATGAAATAGAATGTCCTTGTTCTTAGGAAATACGCTAAAATACTTAGGTATACAGGGGCACAATACCTGTATTGGGGCCTCAAAGGAACTGTCCAGAATGATGGAAATGCTCTGTGTCTTTTTAAAATTTTTTTTTGTAGAGTTGAGAGTTTCACTATGTTACAAAAACTGGTCTCTAACTTCTGGGCTCAAGCAGTCCTCCCACTTCGGCCTCTCAAAGTGCTGAGGTTACAAGCGTGAGCCACTGCACCCGACTGAAATGTTCTGTATCTTGACTGGGATGTGGGTTACAAGGGGATTCACATTTGTTAAAACTCATTAAACTGTGCTGGAAATCTAAGCTTTTTCCCATGTATAAATTGTGCCTCAATGAAAAGTTAAATTAAAGCAAATTAAATTCTTAAAAAAAAAGATAATTCCAAAATCGCTGGGTGCAAAGCCATGGAAGTGGTTGTAAATCTGTCCACAGTGGCTACTTTGAAATTCCAGAGTATCCCTGATCTAAGCATATTAATTGTTTTTTTGATGATTCACTACTTTCTGCTCACACATCATTTCCTTCATAGCATTTCGCATCATGTGGAACATAAATGTTTGTCTGTTGTTTGATAAGTGATGTCATTGACTGTATAATACATTTCATCTTATTTGAGACCTGACAGACTGGAATGACATTCGTGTTTTCAGGGAGAAGCAGATGACCCAGGTCAGAACTTTCAGGCACCCACAGCCTCTATGGGAACATTTCCCACCCTAAGAAATGTTCCTGCCATCTAATGCATGAAAGTGGCAAGCCTCATGGTCCTATGGCTTGAAGCCAGACAGTCCGTGGATTGGAGTATCCATTTAATGGACACCAGCTGGCTCCCTGCCTTGTTTTGAAAAGGTTGGAGAATGTATTTCTTGCTTTTTAAATCATGCTCCTGTGCCAGGAAGCTTCTAAACACTGTAATCCCTCTGCCTCCAAATCAGGTAGAGTAAAAATTTCCTGCCAACCTATCCCAGCAGGAGAAATAGGAGGTTTGAGCACATTGTCAGGTCTTTCAACTGAGGACTAGAGTTCAGGC
The DNA here is from genome assembly GCF_000001405.40 of Homo sapiens. Classification (NCBI taxonomy): domain Eukaryota; kingdom Metazoa; phylum Chordata; class Mammalia; order Primates; family Hominidae; genus Homo; species Homo sapiens. The sequence goes on from NC_000020.11 coordinate 19,370,779, forward strand.
CAAGGAAACAGGTTGAAGACTTCATCATGGGAGTTCTCACAGTATTGTGGCTCTGGTTGCTCAAGGAAAGAAACACAACTCTCTGGTTAGACCGGCTCTGGGCTGTCAGCAGCCTGGTGGGTCCCGGTGGTGGTTCTCATCCTTTAGTGTAATATTTTGATCCTCATTGGAAGATGATGAAATGGAGGATCAGAGATTTTAACTCACTAGAACCTGAGCTTTCTTTTCTCTTTTCCAGGGCTCTTGCCTGTCTTGGTGTGGGTCTTCCCAGAAGCAGCTCCTGAGCAAGGATTTGGGTGCAGTGCATCCCTCTGGGAGGTGAATGAGGACAGGAGCTCTGGGGGCAACTGGGCTGAAGTTTGTCCTCCATGGGATTCTGGAAAGCAGTGTAGAACAGGCACCTCAGCATTTCCTCCCCAATAGGGGAGGGAGCAGGGTACATATAGGCCAACTGGGAGGTAGGGGAGGATGCTAATTCCAGGCACTTCTGTCCATCACTCATTTCAGCAAAGAGATACTAATGTCTGTGTGTGAGAGTGGAGAGGGCAGGCCCTGGGAGGGTAAAGGCCCAGGAGGTCTGGGGATCACCGAGCAGTCTGCTCTGCCACTGTTTAGGTGTAGGCCCTGTGGTGTGGAACAGCTGGGAGCACTGAGAAGGAAATGAGCAAAGCATTATGGACAAGACCCCAAGCCTGGCCTTGGACTAGGATCACACTGCCTGGGAACCAGTGGCTGGGAATACGCAGTTAGTTTTCTAGCTAGTTCCTGAAAAAGGGATTTGGGTCCCCCAGGTTCCTACCATTGGTAATAAACCCCACCACCCCCTACATACAGGGACAAAATCCCCACACTCTCCATATGGCGGAAAGCTTTTGGCTGTCCATGTTTTTTAGTGGTATATTTCCCTACCTTTTTTGGGGTGGGACCCCAGACCCAGTTCTAATCTCATATCTGGACCACCTGGCCATGTGAAGCTGAGGAAAGTCCTTAGACTCCCTGTATTCTGCAGCGTACAGGTCTATTCAAACCTACCCCAGAGTCTGAGGAAGCTGATAAGCTATGTAAAAAGGCTGGCATACGGATATGGATCCATATCTCAGGTGGGTATGCCAGCCTTTTCTTCAGCCCATCAGCTTCCTCAGACTTCTCTGTGGAAGTCATGTCTGTGTCTCAGGCAGCAGTGAGGCAAGATGGTAAATCCCTATGCCATCATCCCCAGACCAGACCCAGGGCTTCTATATCATAGAGAAAAAGTATACATGCCTTGGAAGGGATGTGTAGGACAATTGCTTAAGGGCAGGATTTATGGTAAGGACATGCTCTTACACAAGGAACAGTAAATAAACTGGAAACCTTAGAACTGTGGTTGCTTAGAAGTCAACATGGTGGATTTTCATCCAAGATGGAGTTGCTTTAGCTTCCATACCTTTGGTCCAGAATTCCTCATGTGCTATATCTGTATTTGTTTGGAATCTTCTAACTCAGGGAAAGAAGCAGAAGTTGAGGGAAGGCAGGAATGAATATAAAGAGACCATAAAGGAATCATTTCAAGACAAGTGAAGCCTCATGAGGTACACAAGAAAGACAGGAACATCCACAGCTCACTGATGCTCTCACTTAGCATCTGGCTCAGCCACACCCACTTTCTGAGGGTAAGGGATGCTCTTGCAGGACAAAGAGCAAATTGAAAAACAGGAGAAAATGGTTCATGCGGGAATAAAGGCTGTGACCTTGACCTTATTAGCACTATCTGGGAGCAGGCTCAGTGTGTCGTTCAATTGCTTCCTATGAAAATGGTGAAACAGAAAAAGGAACAAATCAACAAACAGACTAACCAAACCTTGGAGAAGCTTCCTATGTGTTTACTAAGAATCAAATCCTGCTGGAGTGAGAAAACTGGGATTCCTTTGGCCAAGCCCTGCTGGTCACCTTAGTTATGAAGAGTGATGGAGCGGGAGGAAAGGGTCCCCAGGGAAAAACAGAAAACACAGGAAAATGCCCGGCTTTCCCTCCCCGAGCTCAGCACCACTGAGCAAAGGACACCGGTACAACCAGCACATTTCATCCTTCTCTGTGGCGGCCAGAATTACAGATTTAATCAGGTGGCATCAGAAGGCAAATATATGGACCTGTCTAATGGAAAGTTCTTCTGATCCACAGTTTCCTGTGGTGGCCCCAGGGCTGGATGGGACCAAAAGTGAAATGAATTGCACAGAAAGACTCATGCCTAACTTAGTTACCAAAAGAGAAATAAAGAAAGAAAGAAATTCTTTAGTTTTGCGATTTTTTTTTTTGGCCCATTTTTATTAAGGAGAGATCCTGGCAATGTCCTCTGTCCAGGGGCTTGCAGGTGGGATCCTGTGCCTGTCTCACTTTGTCTATTCACACCGAAGCTTTTAGGTCTGGTTTTTGTTTGTTGCTGGTGTTTAGTTCCTGAGAGATGATCCGATTTCTGCAACCTAAATTTTCCTTCAGCAGACCCCAGGGGAAATCAAGGCCTCTCTCGGAGGCCCTTCCTTGTCCTGCCCAGGTCCAGCCCCATGGTCACCTCCTCTGCAAAGGCAGAGCCTTGGAATGGTCTGACGTCAGGGTGGGAAGTTCTTATGGTCAGGGAGACCTGGTGGAACATTCGAGAACCCTTTTCTCTACCTTTTGGAGGTCAGAGCTGCCCACATGCTGCCTGAGCACTCAGCAGGCAGATCCTTGCCATCTCCATGCCTTTTTCAAGGATGTTTTTGTCTGGGATGATTCCTAACTCTTGAGGGACACTGAGCCCATGGAGGATCTAATTATAGTGGCTATAGATTTTGCCACTATATATATAGATTTATATATTCTGACTTAGATTTTGCACATATTTTGAGGACAGTCTAGCCCACCCTATAGATTCTTAGTTCCTGGATCCTAAGTTACGGAGATTTTGTCCAGACTGATGTAGGTGAGGGGAGAAATTTAGTGGAGGAGGAGCTTCAGCTGCTGCTATCCATCATTTTCCTGGAGTGGGTGGGCTTCTGAATTTGGAGGCATCTACTAAGAGCATGACATGTTTTTAAGCCAAAACGAAATGAAGCTGAGATCAGCGGTGGGAGCAGGGTGGGCAGGGAGGAGTGTGTGTCTATCTACGAACCCTAGATCCCTGGTAGGTTAATCACAGCTTCTTTCAGGTTTTCCTTGAATGGGTTGAATAACTGGATGAAGGATTCCTTATCCAAGTAGTTGTCACTTGGCCACTAATGTCCATTTTTCACAGCATCATTTTGTAACGTAGCATAGGTACTTGAATGCCAAATGCCTTTGCTTGAGATCCGGTAAAGAAAGAGCCTCAGATCGGGGAAGCATAGAGGAATGGTTTATCCTGTGGTCTAAGGGCAAAGCAAGGAATTTCCATCATGTTTCAAAAATGGGAAAGTTTCCCAGTTCCTCTGCTTACCTGACCCTTAGATATAACTCAAATATCACCACCATCTCAGTGACAGGGTGGGCCGTCACTCCTCCACATGCTCAAGTTGCCATTTCTTTCTGGTCTTGCATGAGTAACCATAACCCTGTTAAAATGACAAATGTTTTCCCTGAGCTGGGACACCGGTGAAGCAGGCTGGATTTGTGCCCCTGAAAATTAGGCAGCCTGCCCGCTAAGTGCTCAGATGAGCAGAATACTGACTGTTGAATGAGCCTCCCCTTTGCTGCTCAATTATAAGACATGGGGAGACTAAGCCTGCACACCTTTTCTATCTCTCCTGGAGTTCTGGGCACTGGTGGGCTCCCACCCTTCCCTGTGAGTTTATGGTTTAACAGCCCTTTGTAATATGCACTGTCCTTTCACAGCATTACCTGACTTGATTCTCACCCCAAGCCTGTGGGGTAGGCATGAAGGCACTCTTTTCTCAATGTGAAGCTCAGGTATGGGTCAGAGAAGTTAAAGGATATGTCTGAATCACAGCTCTGATCAGCAGCAGAACATGGATTCATAGGCTCTCATGGCCCTGATCATATTCTTCACCCATTCTTATCAGGGCATCTGCATTCTTTTGTCAAAGGCCTCTCTCTGGCCTCCTAAGTGTAGCTTGCCAGCCTTTATGGTAGACCAGAAGTCAGAGGAATGAATGCTTTCTGGAGCCACCCATAGCCGATGATGGGAGTTGGTGTATAAATACCCCAGCTCCCTTACCCCTTGGGCAAGGTAACACTGAGTCTGTGTTTTTATTTTTCCCAGAGTTTCTGCTAGTAGGAAGCCCCAGGTACACCCAGGGATAACTGATGCAACCACTCATGCCTCATTGGCTGGTGTCTCTTCCCAGTATCACCTCCTCACTCCCCAGCTGGCCCTGCTTCACCTCACAGATCAATCACCTGTACTGAAATCCTTGCCTCAGGGTTTGCTTCTGGGAGAACCTACACTATACCCCAGATTCCTGGGCACCAAATCCTGGCTTTTCTCATCTTCTCTCTGGGCGTAAAAGTTCGCCAGGCTCCTTAGGGAGAAGGCAGGCTATGTCCCGATGCTCAGAACACCCTGTCTCAATGCTGTGGTGCATAGAGTGTAGTTAAAGTTGATGGTTTTTATTTCTTTCTTTTACTCTGGGAGAAAGAAAACTCACTGGCCCTCCCTTATACACTCCATCATGAACCGCACGGATCAGCACTGTGTTTCTTATCATAAAGAGAACTTGGCTGAAATGGAGGCGGGGCAGGCAGAGACCCAGGAGGAAACCCCAGTGTCAGAGCTGCTGGCCTGGGAAGACAGATTTGTCCCAGATAGGTTAAAGCGTTCATGGAGTGACTGCATTTCTTCTGCACATTGCCTTATGTTATGTGAGAGGAGGAAGTGCCATATCAAACTCCATGACAGATGTTGTAAATCTTGGGAAGTGTGCTGCGGCCATCTCTGCACTGTGGCTTGCAAATGAAGCCATCTGTCAAACCAGGGGCCAGGCGCCCAGCCCTCACTCACCTGGGCTGTGCCTCTGGCCAATGGCTGAGGTGACCTCCCAGGCATCCATAGTGGAGTATGTTTCTACTTTATTGAACAGCCTTGAAAATCAGAGAAGCTGAGGAAACCATGTCAAAATTTCCTGAGAAATTTCTCTCCTGCACTTGGTAAAGGTGAACTAGAATTTGCCATGTGAGTGAGGAGGACATTTTTTAATGAGGCAAGAGCTCCACAATTCCCACAGCTGCTCAGAAAGTTCTCTTGCGTGTCTTGAGAGAGACTGAAATAAAGGGAAGTCGAGGACAGCCTGGCTTTGTTCTTTGAAACTACTTATCAAAGTAAGATCATCCTAACCCAATATGAGAAGTATATGTGCAACTGTGTGAGTGTGTGTTTGTGTGTGGGGGTACACACTGAAAGAAAATAAATAAGGATGAAGGAAAGAGGAAAACAGAACTGTTTCATGGAATACATTGTGTACCCCAATTAATGCTTCCTATACTTTTATTATTTTGTTTGTAATTTTATTTATTATTAATGAAACTGCCAACTTGGGAATAACGTTTTAGGTGCTAGGCGCCACATTCAATAAGAACCCAAAGAGTGAAAGGACAAATGGAGGGCTATCAGTGTTCAAGATGGCTTCCTGCTGGTTGTCCTGGTGAAGAACAGTAACATAAAGGGTAAGAGAAGGATTAATGGAAACTATTGAACAAAGTGAGGCTTCCGAGTCATCTCCAGATTGCCTTGTGCGCTGCTGTATCTGTACCGTAGCGTGGATAATCGTGGCAGGCTATCGTTCTAGCCCTGCTGCGAGACAGATTCCAATTCATTATTTCATTCCCCAGCATGAGCCAGCCAAGGGAAAAGGATATTCCCAGAACCAGAGTGTTCCAAGTTTTCTGAAAGGTCATTGCCACTTTTTTTTTTTTTTGGTAGCTCCCAGCAAAGCAGAAACACTTGGAAGTCAACCCTGTCCCTTTAACACTGCTGTGAGCTGACTCCATTTGTCTGAGATAAAACTTCCCTCTTGATCCAGTAGCGTTCACGGCTGAGTTGGCCACGAGACAGAGGACCCTGTGTTCCTAATTATTTCTGGATGAAAAGTCCTGCAGGCGAGTGGAGATTCGGGGCAAAGACGGCCAGGTGGAGCCGTCACCAGCGAGCAGTGGATTGTAGAAATGGAGAGATAATTAAATTAAAAGTGCCAGGTGCAGGCATTGAAAAATAACCCTGGGTGTTAATTATGCAGTTCAGTGTTAGCAGAGGAAATGCCACCGGCCTGTCCATCACGTGGCAGTTGAAAAGCTTGGGAAAGACACATTCATGGTTTCTAGAGAATTTGCCAGGGCTGCCTACTTGGGATTCTGGTGAAGCAGAGATTATTTATTAGTTGGAGTGTGTACATTTCCCCCATTTTCCACTCAGCCAAGTTGGGCATTTGGTGGGTACTTGGTGTGTGGGGGATTAACTTTGATCCACATGAAAATTTGAACGTTGGAGTGTGTCACTTCCAATTTAGGCACTTAGGAGTATTTCTTCTCTTTCTGATTTGAAATGAATTTGATTTTAGGGGTCAGAGGTAGTGTGTCCCTGTCATGAAGATGGAAGGATAAATGGTGGCGTGTTCAGACAATGGAATAGAGCACAGTAATCAAAAGGAGGGGACCCCAGTAGCATAATAGCAGCATGACTGTGTTACAAGCACAGTTGAATGAATGAAAGAAGCCAGACCTCAAGACCCATTCTGCATGAATTTATTTTGGTGACGTTCTAGAACAGGTTAAACTAAGCTATGGAGGTGGATGTCAGGTCTGTGGCTGCATCAGGGAACTTTTGGGGTAATGGGGTAACTTTCTTGGGCTGAAGGGCACATGAATGTAAACATTTTTCAAAATCTGTTGAATGCACGCTTAAAATCTGTGCATATTCTTGCATGGAAATTATCCCTCAATGAAAGGAATGTGAAAAGATCTTCCCATGTTTTGTCCTTCCATGGATTTTGAACCCTGGTCAGTCAGTTCATTTCAAAAGGTGATAAGGATTAATCTGTTTGTGGTCCTTCCTGACCACCCAGCCTTTTCCTGTTCACAGACCTGTTCAGAAAAGGCTTTCATTCCAAGGAAGCAGAATGGAAAACAGGGTGGCCCACTACAGCCTTTGGGCCAAATCTGCTCAATCACATTTTTGTAAGTAAAGTTGTATTGGGACACAGCCACATGGCCAGTCATTTATGTGTCTTCTGTGGCTGCTTTCATGCCACAGTGACAGCCGAGGAGCTTTTACAGAGACTGATCCACCACCTAAAGTGTTTACTCTCTATCCCTTTACAGAAAAGGTTTCCTGGCCCTTGGTCTAAACATTCATTTCTTTTTGGAACTTCTCCCTTCAGATCTGTGTGGGTGGAGGTTTTGGATGGAGAGTGCTCTCCAGGAACGAGAACCCTGTAGAGCCAGGTACTTAGGTTGAGCATGGTCACAATTTGGATAAGCTATCCTTCATCCCATGGAGTTCACTGGGCATGCGTGCTGTCACAGATCTACAACAGTGCACAGAGCTTGGCCTACGTAGAGGTTTTTTTAAAAAAAAAAAATAAAGTTATCCAGGCCACTGTAAAGAGAAGAGGAATAAATAAGGCCTGGAAGCCATCAGTGGACAAAGCTAGACTCCTGTTTTAAACTCCAAGCTACTGGCTATAAATTAGTCCTGCATGGAAAATAAAACTAAGCTAACTGATTTTGATAAAAGTAAATGTGATCTGGTTGAATTGGGTCCACATGGTTGGCAATGTTTGTTAAGTCAATGAAGGAACAAATTGAACTGATGTAACAATTCAGTTTTGAATTTGGGGCTAAATGAGCCATTCTGTTGAAGACACCCTGTGCTGCTGTTTTCTTCAGTAAGATTTAAGCCTCCCTTCTTTCCTTTACCTTCCACCCAAGATGAATGCACGTGATCAAGCAGGAAGTCTCTGGAGGATTTGCTAACGAGACACACAGGTCCCCAAAGCTCAGTCTTTCTTCATTTTGCAAGTATGTATTTCCTTCATCTGTCTGTTTTCTCATTCCACAGTTACTGGAATTAAAGAGTTAGATCTTGGGGAAAAGCAATCAATAGCTTTTTTAATGAAAGGGGACAAATGCAATTGGTATCACCTAAGGCTTGAGAAGTAGATCTCTACTTTCTTTAAAAAAAGCTCAAAAAAAAAAAAAAGGATGCAGTGGGGGTAATTATAGACCCCAAGAGTCCACCTAACTGGGGAGTTTTAAAAAGTCAAGGGAATGTCTTGTATTATATTGGACTGTTCCTTAATGACTCCAGGTTACAGTGGCTGTGAGCAGATGAGGAATAATTGTTAGAAATGGAAAATTACCATTTAACCAAGAGGATTTCCAAAACAAGCAGATGAACCATGAGCGGTAAAAATGTGCTCTACGGAATGTGATTATTGCTGATTTCATCATATGTCCTGGGCATCTTGGGTGAGAATTCACTCATTTACTCCGTCACATATGTTCAGAGCCTCCCCTAAGTCTGGCACTGTACTAGGAGCTGGGGGCACCCTTTTGAGAACCACCCATGTGTTTCTGCCTTCAGGGATCTTCACTCTGGAGTGGGGTGGTAGAGGTGGAGAATAATTGGAGATAAGGCTGGAAGGCCAAGATGCCAGCCACGTGGGATCAGGGTTTTGCTGAGTTTTTTATTTAAGCCTGTGGTCAGTGGGGTGCCATTTTTTTTACTGTTTTAGGAATGAGGGGGTTTGATAAGCCCGAGTCTCACCAGATTTGTAGTGAATCTGAGCTGGATCATGTTGTTATTTGTGCTGCCAGTGATCCTGGGGAAGGACTGTCCATGGGCCATGGTGACCTGTGCTCACAGGTGCACACCCCCAGTTACCTTTGTAACCAGAAATTAGTCAGGGGTTGGCAGAATTAAGCCAGTGGCTGCTTCCACTGCATAATAGTATAAAAAATGATTAAATCTCTATACAAGCCTCCCCTCCTCCCTCCAGGCCACTGTATCTTACAACAACAACAATGACAAACACCACACCATTATCTGATTTTCCCCCTTCTAGCTTGTTTCATCTATGGATTTGGGATTGAAGGAGAATATGATTGTCCATATTTTCATCAAATGTAAAGTATTTGTTCTATACGTATTCTTATAGAATTGCTAAAATAAACCTATGACCCAGACATAGGCTGGCTAGCATTGTCTATGCATTCATTCATTTAGTAACTCATATATATGAAGCACATTGCTGTATGGCAAATACCCTACTTGGTGCTTGGGAATAAACAGTGAACAAAAGTGAACCCAGTTCCTGCCTACAGGGAACTTACAATAATGGAGGCAGGTAATAATCAAATAATATTCAAATTTATGCTTGCAAGTTTAGAAAAGGTTTGTAAGTGATGCAATATGATGAGATGGCACAACAGGTCTAGGGGTCAGGAGAGGTTTTGCAGAGAAGAAAGTGACACTGGGTCTGGAATCTACAGGAAGCGTATTGACCAGGTGAAGGTTGCGGGAAGGCCTGTTGGTGCAAAGAAGCAGGGCACATTAGAGGAATTGAAAGAAGACTGCAGAGAATCAGAAAAGGAGAGTGCGGTGTGAGACAGGGCTGGAGACACTGGCAGAGACCCGGCAATACTAGTCCTTGTGGGTTGTGCTAAGGAGGCCGGGCCTGATTTCAAGAACAGCAGGAGGCTGCTGCAGTGCTTTAATAAGGGTGGATTTACATTTGGAAGATGCACATTTGGATTTACATTTTGGAAAGGTCTCTCTGGCTGCTGAGCTGCTGTGGACTGGAAGGGGGAAGATTCAACCTCCGATGATGGCTTTCTGCTGATTTGTTTTCCTTCTTTCACTTTTCTTCTGGGTTTGGGGGCTCTTGGCTGATTTAGTCTCTACTAGCCTCTGAGGAAAAGCACTGGTCCTGGGGTATTTATTAAAGGAAGCATGATGGATTATTTTGGAGGGATATTCTTTGAAATCTGGAGTGAGAGGGGGTACCATATGCCAGCAGCAATGGGCAAAATGGTGCTAAGAGGTAAACTGATGTCCAAAATGATTCCATCCACCAACCTTGGACATGAGAGTGAAGTTCCTATTTCATAAATGGAAATATAAACCTAGTTTATCCTTTGACATCCAGAATAATGTGTAAGAAGTTTTCCTTGGCAGCAAATCTTAAATGATGGAGCCTTGGGGAATGACTTCTGACCCTTTATAATAATTAGCCAGGCCAGGACACATAGGTAAGACACCTGGTGACCAACAGCCTAAGGGTCAGGGGGCAAAGGGTGGTAGGACAATATAAGAGTGCTTAACTCAGTGTCCTGCATAGATGGTAGCTATTAGCATAATGACTATCACTAATATACACACCACTATTACCAACAGAAGTGTCCTATATTGCTCTCTCATCTTTTAAAATATTTATTCATTTATTCATTCAATTCATTGTTTCAGTGAATGTTTATTGAACACCCACAATACTATGCATTGTTATGGGAGGTGGGGACTCAACAGTGTCAAAAACTAAGTTCCAGCCACCATGGAGCTTACATTCTGGTTGGGAGAGGAGAATAAACAAATAAAATTAAATAAAGGAATGCATTGTCTGGCAGACGGTAATAAGAGCTGAGAAGAGAAACACAAAGCAGGATAAAGAGATGGAGAATGATGGATAAGATGATCTGGGAGGCCCTCTTTGAAGAGGCACTGTGAGCCAAGCTCTGAATAGAGGGATTGAACTATGCAGATGACTGGAAAGATGGAACAGCAGGTGCAAAGGCCCCACAGCAGAAGACGCTTGCAGGATTTGAGAAGGGGTGCCCTCCACTGTGTGCCCAGAGCTTCTGTTATTCTATAACTACTAACCTTAGTAACAGGAGTGACCCCTCTTCCAGGAGAAGGAGATGAGCAGCTCTGATAGAGTAGCATCCGCTTTCAATTTTCTTTCTTTATTTCTTAAGGCTCTTATTCCAACCTCCCAACTACGGTTTCAGCACAAGTTAGGTGAGCAGCTATTTATGTACTAGGTGAAGGTTCCCAGAATAAATGTCTTGAGATTTTAAGCAAGGTGTAGTATTATCGTATGTCTCTTCTGACAATTTTCCAGGTTGACAAAAATCTGCGTTTGTCTAGCAACATGGTGACTGGAGGGGCAGGCAGGCATTCTGTTCAGCATGGAACAGAAATAAGCAGTGGGAGCTGATGTGCTGAAGTAGCAACTGAAGGAAATACAGCTTTGGATAAAATGGAGCCACTCAAATGGCATTTGAAATGTCTGCTCTGAATTCGACAGATGATGTTCTCTGCCACCGGCATCCTTTCCGATATTTAATGCAGACGTTTGCCACGTGTCAGTTCTCAGCTGGGGACTAGGAAGCATTCTTCAGGGTGTCAGCGTCTTGATAAACATGTCACCAATTTGTATGATTCACTACACATGAATAAATGCTAGGAATTTGGCTGATCAATTCATATGCCAGGGCCTACAAATGTGGAGGAAAATCGCACTTCTTATCTGTGGGCGGAAATGCAAAAACCAGCGTGATAGTGCACAATGCATGATCTGAGTGTGTGAAAAGTTTTAGAGACTCGATTACTGTTGATGATGATGATCTGAGTAATTGAAGCTGTATCAGAATTAGTCTAATTTACTGCAGTGGGAGGAAGAAAAAAAAATATTTATTTTTATACTCATGAGAATCATAGTGATTGAAATTAAGCAATTTCCTCATCTTTTTAAAAGACAACCTAGAGACGCTGTTATCTTTGTTCCAGGGGCCTTGCGGCTGGCAGACATGCAATGTGAATTTACTTGTCCTTCCTGATTTGGGAGCTGCTCAAGCCCTGGGTGTAACGAGCATCTGTCTCTCTGCTTGGCTCCTGTCTCTCTGGCTGTGCCAGGCAACACCAAAACCCCCAGAGGGCATTAAGACTGGATAACCAAACTGCACAAATGTGAGAGAAGAGAACAAGGTTTAATTACAGCTTCCCTTCATTGCCTGTCTTCTCCCACCCCAAAATTAATTTGTAAACAAACATGGCATATTGGGGTTTGAAGAGGATTCAAGCAGGAGGTTGTTTGGTTGTAGCCAGGATAGATGATGGGGCTGCAGTGTGCTCCGATATATTCACTCAAGTCTGGCCGCCCCATGTCTCTACGGCAAAGCCTGCAAAATTGTGAGCATTCAACTCTGTACAATTACCCCTGACTCAGCTGCCAAAACGTATTTTCCATCCATTTTTGACAGAGGCTTCTGTTTAAGTAGAGAGAAGAGGAGAGATGATCTCTTTTAAAAGTGATTCCAGTCTGATTCTCGAAGTGCAAGTGGTAAAGTCACCAAGCCTAATTGGAATGAATTGATTTATCCTCTTTGGCAGCCCTGATCAGTACCCTCTCAAGAGACTGGACTACATATGGGAGGTAATCATGATGATATACATATTTCTTTGGATGCTGCTTGGCTCATCCAGTCCATTTTCCATAGATATTATCACTTAAGACAGCTGCTATTCTATCACTGGTCTTGGATTTTTTATTTAATCCCGTACTTCAAAAAGAGAAATCTGTTGGCTTTTTGAATGCAGAAGAATTGCCAGAAAAGATAGGGGAGACAAACTGTTTCCTTTAACAGTCTTCTATGGAAGTTAAGTTTTTTTTTTCCCACTACCCCCAGGCAAAAACCGAATGACCATTTATCCTGTGAAATGTCCTGAAGCTACATGTAGTATACACATAGTAATCATCTGTGTACTCCTGCCTATGTTCTGTGTTCATCCATCAGACCCATCAAGCCTTGAGTTGTCCTTCTGCCTGTCGTGCTTGACCCTGAGAGGACTGAGGAATGTGGGGTTGGGGGCTCAGCCTCTTAATTGCCATGGTGTGTGATTTATCTGTTCCACTTTTGTCTTGGTCAGTTGGGGCTGCTATAACAAAATGCCATAGACTGGGTGGCTTATAAACAACAGAAATTTCTTTCTCACAGTTCTGGAGTCTGAGATCAAGGTGCTGGAGATTCAGTTCCCCATGAGGCTTGCAGACAGGCTTCTTCTGACTGAGTCCCCAGATGGGAGAGGCAAGGGAGACTGTCTTCTGTCTCCGCTTATAAAGGCACTGATTCCATCATGAGCATGCCACCCTCTTAACCTAATTACCTCCCAAACGCCCATCTCCTAACACCATCACCTTGGGGATTAGCGATTCAATTGTGAATTTGGGGAGGACACAAACATTCAGTCCATAGCAGCTTTTATTTTTATCTTTTGCTATTCTTTTTATTTTGGAATAACTTTATTTCTCTAGCTTTATCAAGGCATAATTGGCAAACAAAATTATATATGTTTAAGGTGTACAATATGATGTATTCACTTTCATAAACATTGTGAAATAATTACCACAGTTAAGATAATTTAAGATATTCACTGCCTCACATAGTTAGCATTTTTGTTTCATGTTAATAATATTTAACAGCTACTCTCTTATCAAATTTCAATTATACAATACAGTATTATTAACTATAGTCATCATGCTATACGTTAAATCTCCAGAACTTATTCATCCTGCGTAACTGAAACTTTGTGCTCTCTGAACAACATCTCAACATCTCCTTTGCCTCCTAGCTCCTGGTAACCACCATTCTACTTGCTGCTTCCAGGAGCTTGACTTTTTTAGATTCCACATATAAGTCATATCATTTGGGTTTGTCTTTCTGAGCTTGGCTTATTTCACTTAGCATAATGCCCAGTAGGTTCACCCATGTTTTAGCAAACAAAGAATTTCCTTCTTTTTTAAGGCTGAATAGTATTCCATTGTGTATATATACCACCTTTTCTTTACCTATTCATCTGTAGGTAGATGGACACTTAGGTTGATTCAGAATCTTGGCTATTGTGAATACTGCTGCAATGAACATGGGAGTGCAGATATCTCTTCAACATACTGATTTCATTTCCTTTGGATACATACCCCAAAATGGGATGTGAGAATCATAAAGCAGTTCTCATTTTAATTCTCTGAAGAATCATCATACTCTTTTCCATAATGGTGGTACTAATTATATCGCCACCAAAAGTGTAGAAGAGTTTCTTTTTCTCCACATCCTTGCCAACACTTGTTTTCTTTTGTCTTTTTGTGAATAATCATCCTAATAGGTGTGAGGTACTATCTCTTAGTTTGCGTTTCTCTGATGATTAGACATTTTTCTTGTATACCTGCTGGCCATTTTTATCAGGACCCTTGATCATTTTTTAATCAGGTTATTTGTTTTCTTGCTGTGAAATTGTTTGAGTTCCTTATCCATTCTAGATATTAATGCCTTATCAGATGTATGGCTTGCAAATATTTTTTCTCATTTCTTAGGTTGCCTCTTCACTCTGTTGATTGTTTCCTTTACTGGGCAGAAGGGTTTTAGTTATGATGCAATCCCATTTGTCTGTATTTACTATTGTTGCCTATAATTTTGGGGTCATACCCAAAAAACCAAAATCATTGTCCAGACCTATGTCAAGAAGCTTTCACTCTATATTTTCTTCTAGTAGTTTTAAAACAGTTTCAGCCCTTATGGTAAGTTTTTAATTAATTTAGAATTGATTTTTGTATATGGTGTGAGATAATGGTCCAATTTCATTATTAAGCATGTTTCCCTAATGCCATTTATTGAAGAGACTGTTCTTTCCCCGTTGTGTGTTCTTGGTACTTTGTTGAAGATCAATCAACTGTAAATGCATGAATTAATTTCTGGGCTTTTTGTTCTGTTCCATTGACCTGTGTGTCTGTTTTTATGCCAGTGCCTTGCTCTTTTGCTTATTGGAGCTTTGAAGTCAGGTGGCGTGATGCCTCCAGCTTTGTTCTTTTTGCTCAAGATTGCTTTGGCTATTCAAAGTCCTTGTGGTTTCATATGAATTTTAAAATTGGCTTTTTTTTTTTTTTCTGAGACAGGGTCTCACTATGTCACCCAGGTTGGATTGCAGTGTTGCAGTCATAGCTCATTGCAGCCTCAACCTCCTGGGCTCAAATGATCCTCTTACCTCAGCCTTGCAAGTAGCTGGGACTAGAGGCACACACCACCATGCCAGGATCTTATTTTTGTAGAGACAAAGTCTCAAACTGTGTTGCCCAGGCTGGTCTCAAACTCCTGAGCTCAAGCAGTCCTCCTACTTCAGCCTTCCAAACTGTTGGGATTACAGGCATGAGCCACCACCTGGCCTATTTTTCTATTTCTGTGAAAAATACCATTGGAATTTTGATAGGGATTACATTGAATCTGTAGATCACTTTGGCTAGCATGGACATTTTAACAGTATTCATTCTTCCAATGCATGAACACAGGATATCTTTCCATTTATGTGTGTATTTTTCATTTTTTTCAGCAGTGCTTCATACTTTCTAGTGTGTGGACTTTTTCTCTCTTAGGTTAAATTTATTCGAAGTATTTTGGTTTGGTGCTACTGTAAATATTATAAGATTGTTTTCTTGGTTTCTTTCTCAGATAGTTTGTTGTTAATGGACAGAAACTGCTGATTTTTTGTATGTTGATTTTGTATTCTGAAACTTTACTGAATTTATTTATCAGTTCTAACAGGGTTTTTTGGTGTAGTGTTTAGAGTTTTCTGTATCTAAAATCATGGCATCTGCAAACAGAGACAATTTAACTTCTTCTTTTTCAATTTGTATGCCTTTTTATTTCTTATCTGGTTGCTCTAGCTAGAACTCCCAGTACTATATTGAGTAGAAGTGGTGAGAGTGGGCATCCTTGCCTTGTAATAGCTCTTAGAGTATAAGCTTTCCATTTTTCCCATTGATTGTGAGGTTAGCTGTGGGTTTCTCATAAGTGATCTTTGTTATGTTGAGGAAATTTTGCTCTATACCTAATTTTCTGGGAGTTTTTATTATGAAAGGATGCCAGACTTTGTCAAATGCTTTTTGGCATCTATTGAGATGATCATGTGGTTTTTATTTTTCATTCTATTAACGTGATTTGTCATGTTAATTGATTTGCATTTGGTTAACCAAACTTGTATAGCAGAGATAAATCCCACTTGGTCATATTACATAATCTTTTTGATGTGTTGTTGGATTTAGCTTGATAGTATTTTATTGAGGATTTTTGCATCTATGCTCATCAGATATATTGGCCTGTAGTATTCTTTCTTGTGATGTCTTTGCCTTTGGAGGAATTTAAGGAGGATTGGTATTCATTCTTCTTTAAATGTTTGTTAAAGTTCACCCATGAAGCTACCTGGATCTGGGCTTTTCTTTATTGGGAATTTTTTGATTACTGATTCAATCTCCTTACTCGTTATTGGTCTGTTGAGATTTTCTATTTCTTCATAATTTAGTGTTGTTAGATTGTATGTTTCTAGGAATTTATCCATTTATTCTAGGTTATCCAATTTGTTGTTACATAATTGTTCACTGTAGTCTCTTATGATCCTTAGTATTTCTGTAGAATCTATTGTAATGTTTCCTCTTTTATTTATAATTTTGTTTATTTGAATCTTCTTTCTTTTTTCTTTAGTTATGATTTGTCAATTTTATTTATCTTTTTGAAAAACCAGCTTTTTGTTTTATGTATCTTTTTATTGCTTTTTTCTCTATTTCATTTATTTCTGCTCTGATTTTACTTTTCCTTTCTTCTGCTGACTTTGGGCTTCATTCTTTTTTTCTAATTCCCTGATGTGTAAAGTTAGTCTATTTGAGATCTTTCTTTCTGCTTATGTAGGCATTTATCACTATAAACATCCCTCTTAAAACTGCTTTTACTGCATCACATAATTTTTGGTATGTTGTGTTTCCAACTTCATTTGTCTCAAGATATTTTTTAATTTTCTTTTTGATTTCTTCTTTGAGCAATTGGTTGTTCAGAAGTGTGCTGTTTAATTCCACATATTTGTGAATTTTCCATTTTTTCCTGTTTTTGAATTTCTGGTTTCATACCATTGTGGTTGGAAAAGACACTTGATATGATTTCAGTCTTCTTGAATTTGTTAAGACTTGTTTTGTGGCCTAACATGATCTATCCCGGGAAACATTTCTTGTGTGCTTGAAAAGAATGTGTATTCTGCTGCTGTTGGATGGAATGTTCTGTATATGTCTGGTAGGGCCATTTGGTTTATAGTATTATTTAAGTCTGCTGTTTCATTATTGATTTTCAGTCTGGATAATCTATCCTTTGTTGAAAGTAGAGTATTGAAGTCCTCTACTATTATTGTTTTTAATTTTTTTAATTTTTAATTTTTGTGTGTTCATAGTGGTATATATATCTATGGGGTACAAGAGATGTTTTGATACAGGTATGCAATGCATAATAATCTCATCATGGAGAATGGGGTATCCATCCCCTCAAGCTTTTATCCTTTGTATTACTCTTAATCTAATTACGCTGTTAGTTATTTTAAAATGTACAATTAAGTTATTATTGACTGTAGTCACCCTGTTGTACTATAAAATAGTAGGTCTTCTTTATTTTTTCTAACTATCCCTACTATTGTATTGCTTTCTATTTCTCCATTTACTTCTGTTAATATTTGCTTCATATATTTAGGTGTTCTGGTGTTGGATGTAAATGTATTTAAAATTGCTGTATCTTCTTCATGTCTTCATGAATTTACCCCCTTTATCATTATATAATGACCTTTTTTGTCTCTTGTGACAGTTTTTAACTTAAATTCTATTTTGTCTGATATAAGTATAGCTATCCTCAGCCTGGTGCGGTGGCTCACGCCTGTAATCCCAGCACTTTGGGAGGCCAAGGCAGGTGGATCACCGGGTCAGGAGATGAAGACCATCCTGGCTAACACGGTGAAACCCCATCTCTACTAGAAATACAAAAAATTAGCCGGGCGTGGTGGTGGGTGCCTGTAGTCCCAGCTACTCGGGAAGCTGAGGGCAGGAGAATGGTGTGAACCCGGGAGATGGAGCTTGCAGTGAGCCGAGATTGGGCCACTGTAAATAAATATAGCTATCCTCTCTTGCTTGTTTTTAGTTCCTATTTGCATGGAATTTCTTTTTCCATCTTTTCACTTTCAGCCTATGCGTGTTCTTAAAACTAAAGTGAATCTTTTGTAGTTAGCATATGGTCAGCTCTTGTTTTTTTAATCCATTCAGTCTTTTAATTGGATAATTTCAGCCATTTATATCTAAAGTACTATCATTTTAAAATTGTTTTGTGGCTCTTTTGCCGTTCCTTTATTCAATTCTTCCAATCTTGCTGTCTTCCTTTGTGATTTGATTATTTTTGTAGTGATGCGCTTTGATTCTTTTCTCTTTATCTTTTGTGATTTATCTTTATTGTTACCATGAAGCTTACATAAAACATCTTATAGTTATTGCAGTATATTTTAATCTGATAACAGCTTACCATTCATTACATACAAAAACTCTCCATTTTAACTTCTCTTCCCCCCAAACTTTGTGTTATTAATGTCATAATTTATATCTTTTATATATCCTTATTAAATTATTGTATATATAGTTATTTTTAATACTTTTGTCTTTTAACTGTTACACTGGAACTAAAAGTGATTTATACACCACTAGTACAATATTAGAATACTCTCAATTTGACTATATTCTTACCTTTAAATTGAGTTTTATACTTTTACATGCTTTCATGTTAGTATTCTTTTGTTTCTACTTGAAGAACTCCCTTTAGTATTTCTTATAATACAAATCTAGTGATGATTAACTCTCATACCTTTTGTCTGTCAGGGAAAGTCCTTATCTCTCCTTAATTTCTGAAGGACAGTCTTGCAGGTTATAATATTCTTGGTTAGCAGGGTTTTGTTTTTTTTTTCTTCTTCAATACTTTGAATATATCACTGTACTCTTTCCTGACCTCCAAAGTTTCTGGTGAGAAATCTTCTGATAGTCTAACAGACATTCCCTTGTGAGTGGCAATTTGCTTTTCTCTTACTGCTTTCAAAATTATTACTTTTTGTCTTTGACTTTTGAGAATTGTATTATAATTGTGTCTCAATGAAGATCTCTTTATCTTTAATATATTTGGGGCTCTTTGGAATTTATATATCTGAATATTAACTTCCCTTTCCAGATTTGGAAGATTTCCTGTCATTATTTGTTTAATATGCTTTTAGCCTCTTGCTCTTTCTGTGTTCCTTCCAGAACTTTCTTATTGGTATGCTTGATTGTGTTCCATAAATCCCATATCCTTTCTTCACTCTTTAAATTTTTGGTGGTGTTGTTGTTGTTCTGACTGGGTAATCTCAAATGACCTTTCTTTAAGCTCGATGATTCTTTCTTCTGTTTGATTGAGTTTGTTGTGAAAAAACTTTCAGTTCAGTCATTGTGTTCTTTAGCTCCAGAATTTTTGTTGTTTCCTTTTTATGGTTTCTAGCTCTTTGTTGAACTTACCATTTTGGTTTTTTGTTTCCTGATTTTTATTTAGTTGTCTGTTATCTCTTGCAGCTCACTGAGTTTCTTTAAGATTATTATTTTGAATTCTTTGGCCAGGCAGTTTATAAATTTCTATATTTTGAGGTCAGCTAATGTTTTTCATTTCGTTTCTTTGTTGGTGTCATGTTTCCCTGATTATTTGTGATCCTTGTGGCCATGTGTTGGTATCTGCCCATTTGGAAAAGCCCTTCACCAGTCAGCTGATCCAGAGATGCTCAATGGACCATCTGGTGTGGTCCATGGGTGGGCTTGCCACTAAAGTCCTTGGTAGGCTTGCCTGGTGCCTCATTCATCAGTTCACCAGGCCTGGTGCCTGGGTCCACAGGGGCTGGCTTGGAGGCTAGGTCCATGTGTCTGGCCTGTAGTATAGGACCATGAAGAATGGCCTGGCACTGGGGCAGGCCTGGAGGCTGGGTCCACAGAGGTCTACCCAGTGTGATGATCTACAGGGCAGAATTAAATGCTGAGTTTGCTGGACCATGGAGCTGTGGGGAGTGACCTGTTGCTTGGAGTCACAGGGACTGGCTGGACCTGGAGCCTACATTTGCTGAATTTCCTGTATCAGCTATAATTGCTGAATTTCCAACATGGGAATTTCCAGCATAGGCCTGGCAGGGAGGCTGCATCTACAGGTATTGGCCTGGTGCCTGAGGCCAAAGGGACTGACACTGAGCCTGGGGAGGCCTGGAGACTGGGTCTGCAGGTGCAGATTTGTAGCTCGGGGCTGCAGAGGCCAGCCTTGCACTAGGTGGTCCTGAATTCTGAGGCTGCAGGGGCTTGCCTGGAAGTGTAGCAGGTCTGAGGGCTGAGACTTTGGGAGCCAGACTATAGCCTTGGGCTCTGGAGGCTGGCCTGGCACCAGTGTGGGCTTAAAGCCCAGGGTTGCAAAGCCACCCTGGTGCTAGGGCAGGTCTGAGATCAGCGGCTTTGGGACCATCCTGGGACCAGAACATCTTGTCATCACTGCTCACGTGGCATTTAACCCAAGCTGTCTTGTTCTGGTGTTTAACAGATTCAAGGAAGCCTTTTTATCCCTAACCCCACTAACACCCTTGGCTCCTTAGGTTAGGCCTCATGAGAATTCTCTTTTTTTATTTCCCAAGGCTACTAGCCAAGCTCTGGGCCATAGTGAACCACCAGTAGTGTCTTGATGACTTCTTGATGACTGAGTAACTATGGGTGAATGAATGTATCTCATAGTCCCTGAGTGTGAGTCTAGATGTGTGTTACTGAGGAATGTAGAGGAGTTTCTGGTCTGAGGGTAGGCTTTTCAGATCTCCAAGGTGAAGCATCCTGTAGCTCAGTTTTTCTTGAGGGCACAAATACAAAATCTAAACCAGTGGATCTCAGACTGGTGTCCCATATCCAGCAGGCCACATCACTTAGGAACTTGGGAATGCAAATTCTCAGGGCCCATCTAGACTTCCTGAATCAGAACCTCTGGGGTGAGGCCATGCAGTGTATGCTATAACTAGCCTCCAGGGAATTTGGAGGCACTCTCAAGTGCAAGAACCACTGGCCCAGAACACTGCATTTTTAGCTATGCTGCCAGAGGGAGCATAGTCTTTGGGAGTCTTCAGTCTTTGGGACGGGCCTTGGCTGACCCCAAGAGAGTTTACACAGCCTCTATGTCTGGAAAAGTCTCACAGAAAAATGCAGAGGTTTTTCCTTAGCTAAGAAGACTGACTCCTCTGGCCTCTTGAGGCTTGTGTCTATAAAGAGACATTCTGGAGACTTGGCTTCTGTCCCTGCTACATTGACTTTTTGTCAGCAGGCAGGTAGCAAGCAGTGTCTCCGAATCTTGTGCCTGGAGAAGGGAACAAATGTTCTGGGTACAGATGACCCTTCGCTTATTGTCCATCTTCCTTTCAGAAATCTAACTTCATGAGACCAGTGATAGAGTCCTGCTGTTTGCCTAGGTGTCGGGGGCACACAGTAGGTATACAATTAATGTTTGTTGATTTAAAAAAAGAAAGGTCCTTGGAGCATAGATGTTTAGAGGTCAGGTGAGGAATTAAGATTTATATCTTAACAGTTTCCTGAGCCTGAGTTGTAATTCTAAGGGGTAAACAAACAACAGTTACATCTGAAGGTCCCTTGTATTGGGCCCTCTGATCACCTGTGGGTACAGGTGGGCAGAAGGGTGGTCACGGAGGGACATAATTCATTCAAATGCCTTAGTCTGCCTCAAATGCCTCAAAGCACATGGATTCCAGCATGTTCTATTAGCGTTTCTTGAGAGTGGAGGATATAGGAACCTTCTCAGTGTTTAAAGTTTTAGAGAAGACTTATGGAGTGATGAGAAATGTTCCAGCATAGCTCCCAGGGCTGGGCCTGGATACTTCTAGCTTGGCTGTGAGCTTTGCTGTGGCTTCTTCAGCTGTTTGTGGGAGAGTGCTGACCAAGCAAGATTTCTCTCAATAAGAACTAGAACCAAATACAAAACTGAGGATGTGCCCTGGCTCCCATGGTAATGATATTGTAAGATTATTTTATGTGCCGTTGAGATTGATGATCTCCTGTTTGCCAGGCAATGGTCCTCCTGTTACCCTAGCTGGATGACAGCATTAAGCCAGAGTGAAAGTGTATCAACCATTGACCTGTAACATACAGATCTGTCATGCATCTTCATTTCAGATGACAAATGTGAGTATGACATGTGGGTAAATCTTTACCAGAGAATAGACCACCACAAAGGCAGGTGATCATATGTTTAGTTTGCTGACAGTAATTGAGTGAGCCTTTCCCTTCTTGCAAGGAAAGGAGAACTTGCAGTCAAAAGGGGAAAGATCCTCTCTTATCTTGTCCATCTTTATGGCCAGAACAAAAATATACCTCACTTCCTGTCTATCTCTTATCTCTGATCACACCTGGTTATCCTCAAGCAGAGAGTACATTTTTCAGTGAAGTAGTTCAATCATGATCTGGCCAACAAATTATTGTTTGTTAAATAACTTTTAATCTGATTATTAAAAATATGCATAATCTCTTACAGAAAACTTATGAAATATAGAAATATACACAGAAAACATAAAAATCACTGATACCCATAGCCTGACATCATTCTTTATGATGAAAGACTGAAAGCGTTTTTCCTAAGATCAGGATGGCCATTCAGGGTACTCGAGGGTATGATAGAGACTGTGGAAGAAACAAAGCACACTCACACCAACCACTAGAAATGAGGATGCCTGCTTTTGCTGGTTTGCTCAACATACCACTGGAAATCCTAATCAGAGCAATTAGGCAAGAAAAATAAATAAAAGGTATTGGAAAGGAAGTAGTAAAATTATATCTGTCATAGGCAACATGATCTTATATGTAGAAAACAAACTGTTGTTACTAATAAAGAAATTTAGCCCAGTTGCTGCATACAGGATCAACATACAAAAATCAGTTGCATTTCTATAAAATAACAATGAATAAGCTGAAAATGAAACCAAGAAAACAATTTTATTTATAACATTATCAAAAAGAATAAAATACTTAGGAATAAACTTAACCAAGGAGGAAGGCAAGAGATTTGTCCATTCAAAACTACAAAATGTTGATGAAAGAAATTTTTTAAAAATGTAAATAGATGAAAAGACATCACATATTTATGTAATTGGAATAGTTAATATTGTTAAGATGTCAAGATTACACAAAATGATCTACGTATTTAATATAATACCCATCAAAATTGTAATAGTGTTTTTTGAAGAATTAGAAAAATCCACCCTAAAATTCATATAGAATCTTAAGGGACCCCAAATAGCCAAAACAATCTTGAAAAAGAATGAAGTTGGAAGTCTCACACTTACTGATTACAAAATATATTACAAAGCTACAGTGATCAAAACAGTGTAGTACTTGTGTAAAGACAGACATAGATCAATGGAATAGAATAGGTAGCCCATATATTAACCCTCACATATGTGGTCAAATTATTTTCAACAAGAGTTCCAAGACTATTCAATGGGGAAAGGACAGTCTCTTCAACAAATGTTTCTGGGTAAACTTGATATCTACATGCAAAAGGATGAAGTTGAGCTCTTACCTTACACCATAGACAAAAATTAAGTCAAAATGAATCAAAGACCTAAATATAATATCTAAAAATATAAAATTCTTAGAAGAAAACATAGGAGTAAAGCTTCCTGCTGTTGGATTTTGCAGGGATTTCTCAGATATGACACCAAAACCATAGGCAACAAAAGTAGAAATATCTAAATTGGACTGCATCCAAATGAAAAACTTTCACCAATTAAAAAACACTATCAACACAATGAAAAGGCAACCTACAGAGTGGGAGAAAATACTTGCAAATTATATATCTGATCATAAGTTAATATCCAGGATATATAAGGAAGTCCTACATCTAAAAGCAAATGAGAAAACCCAAATAACCCAAAAAACTCAATAAAGGACTTGAATAGACATTCCTTCAAAAAAGATGTACAAGTGGCCGACAAGTGTATGAAAAAATGCTCCATGTCACCAGTCACTAGGGAAATGCAGATCAAAACTGCAATGAGATATCACCTCCTACCTAGTAGGATGGCTGTCATAAAAAACAAACAAAACAGAAAATAACAACTGTTGATAAGTCTGTGGAGAAATTGGAACCTTTGTGTACTCTTGGAGGGAATGTAAAATGGTGCAGCCACAGTGGAAAACAGTATGGTAATTCCTCAAAAAATTAAAAGTAGAATTGCCATATGATCCAGCAATTCCACTTCTAGGTATATGCCTGAAGGATTGAAAGCAGACACTCAAACAGATATCTGTACCCACATGTTCACAGCAGCATTATTTACAGCAGTCAAAATGTGGGAGCAACCCAAATGTCTAATGATTGATGAATAGATAAACAAAATGTGGCGTATACATACAGCATTATTTAACCTTAAAAAGGAAGACAATTCTGGCACAAGTTACAATATGGATGAAATAAGTCAGTTATAAAAAGACAAATACTATATGGTGTAACTTATGTGTGGCATCAGGTACAGGCCGACTCACAGAAACAGGAAGTTGGATGGTGGTTGCCAGGTACTGGGGGGAGAAATAAGGGGAGCTACCGTGTAATGGTCATAGAGTTTCAGGTTTGCAAGATGAAAAAGTTCTGGGGACAGGTTGCACAAAAATGTGCGTATACTTAACACTACAGACTGTACACTTAGAATTGGTTAAAATGGTAAATTTTATGTCATATGCATTTTATCACAATTTTAAAAAGTCACTTATGATCCACATGATCTCAACATCAGAACTGACCAATGTTAACATTTTGGTATATAACTCTGTCTAGTTTGTAGATTTTTCTTTCCTAGGTGTATGTGTTTGCAAATGTGTGTGTGCATACACACATACCAACACAAAATTTGCTCTGTTCGTCTGACAGTTCTGTAGGCATGTAGAGAACTACAAATTAGACAAGATAGTTCCTGCTCACATGAGCAGAGAGATACTCAAATAATGACAATGAAATCTAGCTGTGCTCTAGTAACTAAACGCTGAAAATGTCAGAACACTGCGGGAGCCAGAGGGGGATGACCTGCAAAGAAGGAGGCATCCAAGTTGAGTTTTAAAGTATGAGTAGGAATTTTATAGCAGAAAGAGGGGATCATAGCATTCCAGGAAGGAGAATAGCATGTGAAAAGGCATGGGGTTGTAAAAGGTTGTGTGTACTTGGGGAATAATGAAGAGTTCATGCCTGTGTTTCGAGAATTGGAGTGGGGTAGGTAGTGGCAGGTCACGAGCCTAGAGGAGATGGTTTGGGGCCATTTGGGGCTTTGGTCTTCTAGCTGTGAGCCAACAGGACCCACACCCTCCAAACCCTGAGATGGTTGGTTTGATTGATTTTAATAACAAGAATGATATTTTGGCTGCAACATGACACAACAATGATTACTAGGAATTACTTGTCATTGTAGAATTTGTATGATAACCCTTGAAAAGATGACCATTTATGGCTCTGCAAAAGGAAGTTACCAATATCCTCGTTACCAGATGTTTAAATTTCTAATGGGTATACAAGTTAGCTCGCAAAGGTTGATGTGCTCTTGCTGTTGCCTTTCCAATTGGTGCACTTTGAAATAGACCAAGCAATGAGTATACAAGGTTTATTAATCTTTACTGTTTACAATAACAATAAAGCAAGACATAATAAACTTTTAAATTTTCTAATAGCTACATTAAATAAAGTAAAAATGAACAGGTAAACTTGACTTGAATAATTTATTTTACCCATTTTAGTATTGAGATAGTATCATCAACATGAAGTCAATATACAAATTAGTAATGAGCTATTTAAATTCTCTTTTTATAGTAATTCTTCAAAATCTGATGTATATTTTACACTTATAGCACATATCAATTCAGACTGTTCACATTTTGAATGCTCAATAGCCACGTTGTCAGTGGCTATCCTATTGAATACAGCAGGTCTAGAACATGCAGTGGTTTAAACCCAATAAATAATAGCCACACATTGTTCACAGCCTTTGGTTGGAATGAAACATGATCAGTATCAGCACTGTTTTAAGACTTTGCTCATAGTGCAGATCAAATTACTTCTCTGGCATTTAGGAAGGTTTAAGCTGATGGAGTATAATTTTCACTGACACTTTCATTTGCCAGGATCATATAGTGTCTAAAAAATATGCAGTCATGTCAAATCACGGTAATTAGTGCCAGAAAAAAAAATGTGTCAAAGCATGCATGCAGACTCTAACATCTCCACTTGCCAACCTCATGTGTGAATGTTCTTTTGCATTTTCATCTCAGTCAACAGAACTGAATTCTGCTTCAGGATATGTACCCACGGCCTGTGTTAGTATAGGTGGAATTGAATTTAGAACAGAACTTGGCCTGAAGGGTAAATGAGAAAGTGATCTTTAACACTGCTAAATATTGGAGGTAGCAAACACATAAGCATACACTAGACACTTTGATAAATGTGTTTGTATATGCGTTTGCATTTCAACCCCACTCAATAGAATTCATTCTTTCAGTCTCAATGTAAACATATCATACCCACTTTTCAAATTTTCCCTCATTCCATGTCTTACATGTTTTTAAGATACAGATTTGAAACTCTTAAATCATACATTATCTTTTTCTCATTAGCAAAATTTCTTCCACAATCCATATTTTTTCTCCTCTCAAGATACACGCAATTTGTTGTACATCATAACCAGTTAGGTTCTTGCCAAAGGTATGAAATAATTTTTTTGAGATGGCGTTATCTTGACGCCAAGCCCTCCAATCAAGATAAGAAACTAGTTGGAAACCCCAACAGTTGGAAAGAAAACAAGACTTGAGCCCAGGAGTTGAGCAGTGTTTTCAAACTTTGAAGGAAAACAAAATCCTAAAAACAACTTATTATGGATAACAGACATTTGTTGTCTTCAAAAGCAGAAATGGTTTTTCCATATCTCTTATTTCATTTTGCCTTAAAAATGTTAGCTTTTTTCAAAATGTGGTTATAAAGGAAAAGGTTGTGCTTTTTTTTTCTTTTCTTTTTTTTTTTTTTTTTTTTGAGTGGTAATTAAACAGATAAAGAAAACAAGGTAAAGATTCTAAAGTTTGAGGCTGTTAAAATAGCCAGACTCTGCATCTATTAAATAAGTTGGAAGCTTCCAAGAAATAACATAATTTGGAACTATTGTTATGATGTTGAAAGGGCTGTTGTGTGAGAGTCTGAAGGAGGAGGAGCTCTAGGGCAACAGGAAATGAGATTCAAGTAGGAAGTGAGAGGCTCACAGAGAATGAGAAAGCTGACTATTCGTCTGCCACTTGAGCAAGGAAGAGGCCCTGTGGAGAAAATCAACACCATTTTCTTAAAACATGCTCAAGAGGAATAATAACCTACCTTATTAGATTATGGATGTTTTCTACTTCTTTTTTCTATCTTGGCTTCTTTCTCTTAAATTATTACTTTTTACTTATCTCAGGAATTAAAGCCTTCTCTCTTCTATTGGTAATCATTTCCTTTTGACTTATGATTTTACTTGTGTGACTTCCCATTGATATACCTTTATTACTTAACTTAAAGGCTCTGTAACTTTTTTCTTCTTCTTTAAAAAAGACTGTTGGGATTTTGATTGGGATTGTGTTGAATCTATAGATCAAACTGGGGAGAATTGATATCTTAGTAATAATGAGTCTTCCAACACATGAATATGGTATATTGCTCCATTTACTTCAGTGTTCAATTTCTCTCAGCAATGTTTTGTAATTTTCATTTTACAGATCTGACACATCTTTTGTCAGATTTATCCCATTTTTGACGTTAAAAAGTGTGTTGCTTTTTAAATTTTTGATATTTTGTTTTCATTTCAACTTTTAATTATTCATTGTTAGCATTTAAAAATGTGATAGATTTTTGCATTTTGATTTTGTATCTTGCAACCTTGTGAAACTCACATATATGTTCTAATACCTTTTAGTCTACAACATTAAATTTTCCACATAGAGGGTTATAACATCTGCAAATGAAGACAGTTTTCTTTTGTCTTTCCAATGTAAAGAAAGACATTTTATTTATTTTTCTTGTCTTATTGCACTGGCTAGAACTTCTGTAATTTTGAACAGAAGTGAGGAGAGTAGCTATCCTTGTTTTGCCCCATATCTGGGAAATGCATTTAATCTTTCACTATTAGATTAATTATTCTGTTTTAGTCTTCAGAATAATTCTGTCTTCATAAAATAAGTTACATGGGAGCTAGACAAGTTTTGTGTGCAATTGGTATTATTTATTTTTTAGTTGGTAGAACTTACCAGTGAAGCCATCTGGGCCTAGAGTTTTAGTTCTATTTGCATTAACGTTTTTAGATATAAATTCGATTTCTTTAGTAGATGAGGGCTATTCAAATTATCTATTTCTTTGGTAGTTTGTTCAGAAATGTGTTCATTTCATCCATGTTGTCAAATTTATTGACATAAGGTTGTTGAAATATCTACTTAGTGTCCATTACATATATATAGAATCTGTGTTGATGTCACCTCCCTCATTCCTGATCTGTCTGAATAGTTATCATTTTTTTATGACCATCTCAAGAATCAGCTTTTGGTTTCATTGATTTTCTTAATTGTTTTCTTTGTTTGTTTATTTTGTATTTCGTTGATCCCACTCTGATCTTTATTATTTTCTATCTTCTACTTCCTTTGAGTTTTATTTGCTCTTCTTTTCTTAGTTTCTTAGGTTGGAAGCTGAGATCACTGATTTGAAACCTTTCTTCTTTTTCAATATAGATAAGTTCTATATATTTCCCCTTACTTGATGACATCTGGCAATGTTTGATATGGTATGTTTTTATTTTCATCCATTTCAAAAATATTTCTAATTTCTCTTAGAATTCTTCTTTGACAAATTGATTATTTAGAAATATATTATTTGTTTCCAAATATTTTGGAGATTTTTCAATTATCCCTTTGTGACTGATTTCTAGTATAATTCCACTATGGACAGGGAACAAACTTTGTATGACCTGAATCCTTTTAAGTTATTATAATCGAGGCTAATTTTATGGCCCAGAATATGGTTTGTTTTGACAGCTGTTCTGTGTGCACCTGAAGAGAACATGCTTTCTGCTGTTGTTGGATGGAGTGTTTTGTAACTGTCAATTTGGTCAAGTTGGTTGGTAGAGCTGTTGAAATCTACTATCTACTTACTAGCTTTCTGTCTACTTGTTATATTAGGGATTGAGAGGAAGTGTTGAAGTATCTTTTTGTTCTCTCTTATTTTGGATAGTTTCTATTGGTATATCTTCGATGTCACTAATCTTTTATTAGACGAAACATCTAATCTGCTGTTAATCTTGTCCAGCATATTTTTCTCAGATAGTGTGGTTTTCACTTAGAGATGCTCAATTAAATTTTTTTATATCTTCCATGTCTCTACGTAACTTTTGGAACATAGAACAGATAGTTATAACAACTTTTCTAATGTCGTGGCTCTAATTCTATCATCTGTGTCCATTCTTGGTTAGCTTTGATTGATTGATTTATCTCCTCATTATGGGTCCTGTTTTTCTACTCCTTTGTACAGTTGGTCATTTTTGATTGGATATACAGACATTGTGGATTTTACCTTATTAGGTGCTGGATATGTTTGTATTCTTATAAATATTCCTGAGTTTTGTTCTGAGATTCAGTTAGGTTACTTGGACACAGTTTGATTCTTTTGGATCTTACTTTTTTGACTTGTTGGGCAGAATCACAGCAATGCTCACTGGGGCTAATTATTACCCACTTCTGAGGCAAGACCTTCCCATGTACTCTACCCACTGCCCCAGGAATCTTTCCATTTTCCAGTCTTGCTGTTGAGAACAGGCACTATTCCTAGCCCTGTGTGAGTGCCGGGCGCTGTGACCTCTAACCTCTTCGAGTGGTTCTTTCCCAGGTAGGCTCTTCATCTGTATGTGCTGATCAGTGCTCAGCTGAATGCTCCTGCGGGACCCTCTGCAACCCTCTAGAATTCTGTGTCTGATCAGCTGTCTTCTCCCTAGTGCCCTTCCCTGAGGACTCTAGCTGTCTTGGTCTCCTTAGACTCTCAACTGCATCTCCCCAGTTCAAGAATCCTGCCAGTCTGCTTCTGTGTTTCCCTCCCCATGCTGCAGCATCTTGGAATCTCTCTCAAAGCAGTAAGCAGAGGGATTTCTAGGGCTCATGCCATTCATTTCTCATCTTTTGGGGATCACTGCCCTTTTGTGCCTGATATCTATTGTCTTGAAAACTGTTTTATATATTTTGCTTATTTATTTATTTTTGGTTGTTTAATGTAGGAGGGTAAATCCATTCCATTACTCCATCTTGATCAGAAGCTTGATCTGGGGCAAATATTTAAATCCCAGTTCCTCTATTTTCTCAATTTTCACCCATGTTTCATAAGGCTGTTATCGAGTGTGTGAGTTGCTCAACGTAAAGTGCTTAGAGCATGCCTGGCATTTGGTAAGCTCCCCTCCATTTCAGGAGGGAAAATGACTGAGGTCCAAAAGAGACAATGGTCCCAATTGCTCTTCCTGAGATTGTCAAAAGAATCATGAGACAGTTCCTAGAATGAATGCTAGGCAAACCTCTGAGGTCAGACAGTGGCTGAAGCACGAGTCCACAGAAGTGGGATGGTGCTGCCAATGATGACACCAGCCTCTCTCATCTCTCACGGGTAGTCTTGGAGAGTAAGAACAGCTCATGCAGCAAACTGCCATGAGTGACAGAGGAACCGATGAAAGATTTCTAGATGGAAACGATTGTTGCATCTGATAGTCTACTGTCAGTCTTGGGGATAAGAGGCATCCACTCAGATATGTATTGGAAAGTAGTTCAGAGCCTCAAATAATCAACAAATGTTTCCAGAACTTTGGGGATCATCTACTTTGGCCCCATTATTGGGCTGATGAGAATACTGAACAAGGAAAGGTTAATTGACTTGTTCCAAAGGATTTCCCAATAGGGACTGATTAGGAACCTGATTGGAGAGTGGAGCAGCTGCTGTCAGGACCCTGCCTGGAGGTCCTCACCCTTACCACATCAAGTTCTGACTTCACTTCTTTGTCCAAGGGCTTTCTTTGACTCACAAAGCATGTTTTGCCTGTCGAGTAGAAGCATGAAAGTGTAGAGAAATAATGCCCTTGTCCAAGAATCCCTCTCAAATGATGACTGCGGGAATTGGTGTGTAAGTACCCCAGCTTCCTTCCTCAGGAGCACATGCTTTACACTGCTTCCTGGAATTCACTCGTGGGATTGAGCTCCAGTTGTCTACAGTGGTAGCTGGTTTGATAACACACGTTTTATTGATCACCTTCACTTCACTGTCTCATTTCTCTACCTCCTACTGGTGTTTCTTGGGCTCACATCCCCAAAATCATTGCTTGCCCTTAAATCCTTGTCTTGTTGTCTGCTTCTGGGGAGAACCCAAAATAAGGCAGGGGCTACATGGGGACAATTTACAAGTTTCAGGAAAGGAAGAAACAACAAAGGCAGAAATCCCTTTTTAATGTAATGTTATGAAAGAGGAAAGAAAGAATTACTGCTCTGAAGCTCTAATCTAAAGATTAGACA
Source organism: Homo sapiens (assembly GCF_000001405.40). Taxonomy (NCBI): domain Eukaryota; kingdom Metazoa; phylum Chordata; class Mammalia; order Primates; family Hominidae; genus Homo; species Homo sapiens. The sequence continues at coordinate 19,402,191 of NC_000020.11, forward strand.
GAAGCCTGGGAGGAAATGATCACAAAATAATCAAATCCTTGATGATCTCAATAGGAATAAGCCAGAAAATGAAGAGAGTTCAGTTTACGAAAGCAGATTTGCTTAGATTTTCTCTCCAGCCTTTTTCCCCTAACGATTACAGGAATGTGAGTGAAGGATGAATGGAGATATTAGAACTATTATTTAGCAGCCTAAAGTTTGCTTCAGAAACAAACAAACCAGGGTCTCAGAAGGACAGAAATGATGAGAAACCAACCAAGGCCTCACTGCAGACTCTGTGTAGTTAGGGCACATTGGAAATGAGGCCATGTCCTCAACAAGAAGTAGAATTAGACAGCCCAGCAATATTAAGCGGGCCAACATTGAAAGAAGTTGTTGCCAGCAAAGGGCATAAAAATAATAACAACAAACAGAACATTTAAAATCTATTGGGCAGAAGGAAAGGATCAGAGAAGTTGTTTTTTTGACAGATGAAAGCTGTAAAAATCTTTCTCACTTCTGACTTTTCAGAAAAGATCAGCAGTGAACATTTGGTTGCAGCAAGTTCTAGTTATACATTAGGAAAGAAGGCAAACTCTAGACAGGGGGTGATGTAGTTCAAGATGACCCAGAAATATGGGATGCATTGAGCTTAGCAGGGCCCACACAGTGCTATCCAAAAGGACTTTCTGCATGGGTGGGCATGGTCTGCCCCAGTGGTGTCCAGGACAGTGGCCACTGGCCACACATGGCTCTTGAGCACTGGAAATGTGACTACTGTACCCAAAGAACTGAATTTTTGAATTTTATTAACTTTTAATCACTGTAATTATAATTAACCATGTGTAGCTGAGGGCTTCCATATTAGACATCCCAGGCCTGGAATATATTCCCCCAGGTAATGTGAGATGTCGTGAAGGAGCCACTGGCCTCCTATTTTGAGACATCACATAGAACAGATAATAAGCCCAAAAACTGGGGAAGGGCCAGTGTCACAATTGTACTTTTCTAAGAGAAATGTGACCACTGGAAACTACAGGTTTGTCCAACATCTGAAGGTACATGGGATTGTACCCTCATAGTAATGAACTGTTATGCATCATCTTCATGCTTGTTAAACTTGTTATTCATTATTCCTTCAAGAAATCAGAGAATGCTTATTCTATTATAGAGAATGAAGTTTTGCCTGATTCTAGGATCACAAATAAAAGTCAATGAATTTTCTTTTAAAGAAATAGTTATTGAGTAATACATATGAGGTCAACTCTGGGAGCCATGTGGTGAACAAACAGACCCCATCTCTGCCTTCATCTCCTGGAAATGTTCCTCTGGCAAAAAGAACAGACCTCTGACCAATAATCACATTGATGTATTTAATTATAGTATAACTATAAAAGGTACTGTCAATAAAGAGGACATAGTACTGTGGGAACAAATAACGGGGCCTCAGACATAGCAGAAGGCAGCAGGGATGGCTCTTCTGGGGAAATAGCATTTAAGTAGGAGTTAGTCACGCAGAGATGTAGCAGCAGGTAGGTGGGAAAGGGCATTCCAGGTAGAGGGAACAGCATGCGGACTGGCCCTGGGGAAGGGAGGACTTTGACATATTTCAGGAATCATAAGAATGCAGTGTAGCTAGAATGCAATTTGAAATATCATCAGGTGGTAGAGCCTTTTGGGGCAACAAAGCCCAGTGGTTTTCTCGACCATTTATGATTAGCAGGGGAATCCTTTAGTCAAACAAAATAAAATGGGTAACCCTCATGATAAAACAGGTAAAAGCAGCTGTGCTCAGGTCTCCTGTGTGCTTCTGCACGGAAGTGCCTTCGCTAAGCTTTGGGACTTGATGAAGGTCACGTATCTTGATAAGAGCAAGGGGAAATCAGCATTGTGGTCATCTGGCCCCACTGCCAAAGGATATTTCTGCTTTACTGCAAAGCAATAATTCTGAACCTGCTGTCAGGGATTTCTTGGCACCCCTTTAAAATTCAGTTTTACTCAGCAAATATTTTTGAGTGCCTACTATGTGTGTCAGGTACTCTCCTGGGAGCTGGGAATATCTCGGTTAACAAAACAGACCATGGCACCTGGTGGAGCTAAATTTTTGTGAGCTCGTATTTAGACAATGAAATATGGGCTGGGTAAGCCAATAGCCTTTCTAGTTGCAGAAATCCTTAGGTTCTTATGACAGCACTGTGGACAAATAAAAACTCCCTTACCCACTTGTCATGGGGGTGTAGGTAAAAGTGGAAAAGCAAATGGGCAGTGAGATCCGCAGTCAGTACTTTGTAAGTAGGGCTTGCAAAGGAATTACCAGGAAACAAGAAATCCCCTGGAGCCTAACGGGTCTAGTTTTACCCCAGTTTTTTGCCTGGCCTTCCATCAGCCTTTCTCCTTCTGTATTTGTTCAGACGCACCTAGCTGATGATTTGGGCATGAGTTTTAATCCAGTTCAGTGCATTCTTCAATGTGATACAGCATGGTTGCTGATGGGGCCCAGAGGTCGGGCTGGACACTCCTGTGGGGAAGTCATGTGTGGTCTGTTCAGAGTGCAAGCATGTCCCCTTGCAACTGCATGATGCATGCAGCTCCTCACAAGAGCTTGGCCATGGCTGAAGGACTGAAGGGGCTCTTCCCCAGGAGGCTGGCTCTTTCCCTAATTAAGTGGCAGTTCTTTCACCTGGTGCCCAAGCAAGATGGTCTTGCATTCCTGGTTTCTTTCAAGCCTATTAGGGTTGAAATGGCTCTATTTTTAAAAGGCCAGTCAGTTTTTTTCCACTGTCTCTCGGGGTACTTAGGACAGAGAGAGCAGACAGTATGACACATCCCAAAGTCATCCTTCCCTAGTGACCACTAGCCAGTGCCCCAGGAGGTCCTACATCCACAGGGTGGGTTCTTGCTAAACATGACTTTCTCTGAAAGACAGAAATCACATCTTTTCAGCTGCCCCCGCCCCAATCCCCAGCTTCTCTGGAATCTTAATTCCAAGGTGCAGTGCATTTTTCCATAGTCCCTAGTCCCCAGGTCTCCAGAGGGCCCGGGCCCACTCCTAGCATCCCCTCTGTGCAGTGGCTTGAGTGAGAGGTTAGTTGGCGTGACTGAAACCAGGACTTGGGATTCTCATGTTGGTGCTTCTTCCAGCAGCTCTTTGAGAAAACCAGGAACCACTAGCACATCACTCTCAAGTCTGTCTTCCCGTTTTTTCTGGAAAGTAAAAGTTACTGTTAGGAAAAAAGATTAGTGTTTGAGAAAACAAAATGTTGGTGCGCCTTCTGTCAGTGGCATTCTAGCTGCCTCAAATTTCTTTTCATTTTGAGTCAGGGAATAAACGACCAAAATGTACTTAGTACCCTGGCCACATGTATGGAAGCCAAAGGCAGAATAGCGACTTGGGTTAGATCACAAGGGAGAAGCGTAATTTCAGCCACATCTATCTTCACAATCACTGCTCCTCTACATTTTCGTTGAAAACCATCCTGACTTAAATAACCTGATTCCCAATAGTGCATTTGGTTTCAGTGCTGTTTCCAACCAGTTTAAAACAAAATCACAAGCCTTGAAGAATTTGAAGAATTTAAATTTTATTTCTACAAAGGATAATTATTGAAAGGTATAGCTTCCTGGGCTTATGGTCACACACTGGACAGTATAAAGTGAAGGTGTCTTATTTTTGGCAGGTGTAGAAGGAACTTTGGGTAAAATAATGAAACAGTTTTAACACACGGATTTGGAAATGTATTCATGTTTATTCCGTGAATGATTTTCTCTGCTGAAGGACTGTGTTAATAAATATTCTGCCAGCAAATATATTTTCTAAAAGGAACTTCTGAAAATATGATTTTGAATTGCTTCATGGAACTTGCTGGAGTCTTGGGCCTGCCCCTCCTTCTTATTTAATTGCTTTAGAAAGTTCTTAGAATGCAGTCTAAGAGGCTTAACTGCCTTCAAGAATATTGTAGCAGCCCATCCCGAAGTGCTTATTACATTAGAACATTTAGTGCTTTTAAAGATGGTGTGTGTGTGTGTGTGTGTGTGTGTGCGTGCGTGTGTGTGTGTGTGAGAGAGAGAGAAAGCATATCTAAATGTTGGTACCAAATCATACCCCATTGGAAAGATTCAATTTTCTGAAATTCCACCTAAGAATTTTTGTATGTATATATGAAGGCAATTGTGAAATTATAGAGAATTAGCAAAGTTTATTTAGAATTTGAGGGGTTTGGAGTGCAGTTTTACAGATTTTCTGACTCTCTTTTCTTTAATGTCCATGCAGAGACTAACATAATTGACTTTTAGATCTTTATCCAGAGAGTCAATCCAATTCAATTCAAAAATGTTTATTGCCAGTCCACTCTGAACAAACAGGATGTGATTTCTACCTTAAAGGAATTTACAGTCTAGCTGGGGCTCAAGACACATGTTGACACATTTATTGCAATACAGAGTGATGAATGCAGTGAGAAAAGTGGGGTGAGCTACAGGAGACTGGCAGACAGACTGAAAGGTAGCACAGAGGGGGAAATCATTACATTTGGGGACCTGGGGGTGCAGTAGACATCACAGCGTGCTCTATGCCCTCGGTGGCTGGTTCAGCACCCCAACTAGAATGAGACAGTGCCATGACCTTGCCATCCCAAAGCACAGTGAGGTTATTTGTTTGCTTTTTCTATTGTAAGTTAGAGAAATATTGCACCCCATTTATGAGGTACTAAGTTTCCAAGACACAAGTGTAATCCCTGGTGATGTGAAGGGAGGGGTCCAGTAAGAGAAGGCAGTTGACATGTGGTGCTGCCAGGTGTCTGTGACTAGCACAGACACATATCACTCACCAATCATGGCACTCTTTTCTGTTGATCTCTGACAACACGGTGAACCAGGTAGTTTCTACCAATCTGTGAGGTTGGGATCCAGAGGATATCAATTGACAATTACCAGAGGATCTGTTTCTGGAAACTGAGTAAGAAGATGGGATCTTGTTGGATGCATTAATCCAGAGACGATGGAGGCATCCAAGGACTGGAGCGCCTCCTTGTCACAGAGTCCACAAGCAGAGTGGTTGAGCATTCTGGGAGTGTATTTGGCAGCAGCAGCACTAAGAGGATGGCGGTAGGAGACCTTTGGATAGTTGGAAATGCCCTTCAGATGGAAAGCATTCGCCATCTTTAGTTTTTCTGTGTCCCGGTGCTGTGTCCTCATTCCTGTCTTCCTCCTGTGAGTTGAGAACGGGGCAGGTCGTGCTCTGATGCTGCAGCTCCTGCTGCTTCCAGTGTGAAGGGGCACCTGGCAGAGCAGAGCTGCCTTTCATGTCGGACACAGAGGAGGGAAAATAACAACAAAGTTTTCCTGCTTTAGAAGAGAACTGCAGGAAAGATGCAGCAGAGAGAGCTCTTCGTGGAGAATAAATGAATCACGGAAGTGTCTATTTTAGGAATCTTTACTCTTGATTAATCTCAGACATAGAAAGAAAAGAAAGGAAAACAAGTAGCCAAGAACAACAATAGTAATGATAGTTGTCATTTAAACTATGCCCTTCTTTTCCATGTTATATAGGTTCCCATTCTCCACCATATTGATGTCTGAATCTTTTATATTTTAGCAAGGACATATTGGCAATGGTCAGTCTCTATCATGGCGTCTGCATGCTAACCATGAAACCGCCACAGAAGAATTTGGCAGAAGGTGTCACTGAAATAGGAGTAAGTCCTTCTACTTCTTTCTGCATTCGTGGTGGTTGGGACACACCAAGGATGAAGGCTGCTACAGTTCTAAGGAAACCTTGTGGCTTTATGGGAGTAAACCTGTAAAACTGGTTCCTTCTCTGAACATTCTTTCTGTAACACTTAAAAAAATACCAACAGTTTGCAAAACGCTTCTAAGAATAGAAAAGAAGTCCTCCCTTACCTCAATAAAATGTGGGAATAAAATGTTGAGTACAAATGCCTTTGAACTCAGAAACTGGAGAATTTGTAATATTTTACTTTTGTCTGATTGTGAAACACATGCCTGTTCATTGGAGAAAAGTTGTAAAACACTAAAGTACCAAGTAAAAAATACTAATTATATCATTCAGATATACCATTAACATTTAGTATATTTGTTGTCATTAAAAATTCTATAAACATTTTTTTTAAATCTACATAATGCTTTGCCATTCCTAAGAGATTAACCCGTATAATAATTTTCCCCTTTTTCTAGTGAGGGTTTATTTTTGACATTAAAAATACTTTTTTTTTTTTTTTTTGAGACAGAGTCTCGCTCTGCCACCCAGCCTGGAGTGCAGTGGCATAATCTCAGCTTACTGCAGCCTCCACCTCCCAGGTTCAAGCGATTCTCCTGCCTCAGCCTCCCAAATAGCTGGGACTACTGGTGCACACCACTACTCCCGGCTAATTTTTGTATTTTTGGTAGAGACAGGGTTTCACCATGTTGGCCAAGCTGGTCTCGAACTTCTGGCCTAAAGTGATCCACCCACCTCAGCCTCCCAAAGTGCTGGGATTACAGGTGTCAGCCACCACACCCGGCCTAAAAATACTGTTCTGATGACCATCCTTGTGCCAAAATTGGTGTCTCCATTTTTGTCTATGTCATTAGGAGAGATTCCTAGAAGCAAAATACTGGTCAAAGGGTTATGGACAATTTAACACTCCTCTGGAAATAAAGGACATCCATATAATGTGGCAAATAATTTATAAAGCATTTCACCAGGGAAATGAGATTTGCCTTCATGTTTTCATTCATTCATTTGTTCATTCGGGAAACATTTATTGAGCTCCTGCTGTATGCTTTCACTGTTCTGGGCGCAAGAGACACAGGGATGCACATGAGAAATAGTTTGGCTAAAGGGAGAAGACGATCCAGAAACACATCAAAGCACCAGATATTATCAGGGAGAGTTCCGTGAAGAGCTCAGTGTTCTTGGGTCATGTTACTGAGTTGATTGGTGAGGAGGGAGACTTAGAGCTTCTTTAGATTGTAGATCCAGGAGGCCTCTCTGAGAAGGTGACTCATAGGCTGGGACTGAATTACAAGGAGACACCCTATGAAGACCAGGGAGAAGGAGGAGCCCTTCCCAGGAAGAGGCGCAGCAGGAGCAGAGGCCCTGCAGGGGACCTCTGTGCATGGGCGAGGGGAGGTGGAAACAGCTGCAGGGATAGTGGGTTCAGGAAGCAAAACATGAGTGCAGATGTTGACACTGAAGGGTCTAGAGGCAGGATGTTTCCCATCAGGTGAAGACCAGGGTGTGCAGCTTTTGGAGAGTATGCATGACCTGAGAAGGAGGAGAATGTTCTGTGCCGGATCAGACAAGTGAACTAGAAAAGGTTCTGAGCACCTTTGTGGATGAGCCACTGAGTCAGAAAGACTGCAGCACAATTATGCTCAAATGTCTCATTGGAGAAGGAGTAGGGGAGATACATTTCTTATATGATTGTAACAAGCAAGGAAAAATAACCCAAGTGTCAAGCTAGGAAAATGATGCAATAAATTATGATAGACTTGAAGTATAAAATATTATGTGACTATTTACAATCATGCTTGTGAAGAATTTTAATAACATAGGAAAATACTAACACTACTATGTTGAATTTTAAAAGATCTAAAATTATACATAAAAAACTATACACAGTTATATAACTGTGCTATTATGTATAGTTTGAATATATATAATATGTGTGTGTGTGTGTATATATATATATATATATGTATTCAAAAAATGTCCTGGCATAGAGTGGTCCAAAATGTTATTAGTGGAAGTCTTTGGGTGGTAGAATTGTGGTTATCTTTAATTTTTATGTTTATCCTTTTTTGCATCTTTCAAATTTTTAATGATACATGCATCACATCTAAAATCTAAAAAATAAAGTATGTCGACAGTTTTTTGAATGCCAGAATTCAGACGAAATTCATCGCACAGTTATTCAATTACAGAACAAGAAACTGCAGAAAGAATAGAGGCATTAGCTAGAAAAACGTTGGAAGGAACCATGTAACAAAGCAAGTTCCTCCCAAGAATCAGGAGACTTTATCAAACTCCTCATTAGAGGCCTAGAAAAAATACCTACAAAGAAGCAAGAAATGTGGCACCCAGAGGGAGAAAAATAAATTATCATCTTAACAGAAAGGCATTAGACAGTGTCCTTGAGGAAGCGAACCCAGCGTGCGGTCATGGCCTCCAAAAGATAGAAGAGAAAGAAAAGAAAAAAGGAAGCAGCCTCATTGTCATGCATCTCAGGACACATTTAGAGGAGAAACAGAAGGTGCTGTGCTCTGGCCTGGGTTGCTAGGCTCTCTCAGGCTATCTCACCACAAGGAAGGTGGTCAGAGAAAGAGAACACTCAGGGACAATAAGTATGTATCAGATCATGAGATGACAAAATGGCAGAACTGGAGGAAATACGCCTCTTCATCCCTGGTTGGGTTGAAAAATAAGCGTGGTTCTCTCGGGGAGGTCTCTGGATTCCAAAAAGCCGAAACCACATCTAATTTTGGTTTTGGTCATAGCCCCAGCACCAAGAACATTGCCTGGCACATAATAGGTGCTCAGTAAACCCTGAAAATAAGTGAATGAAAGAATCCAATGAACCATGATTTGAAGGTATCTCAAGTGGTGACACTAGCAACATCTTCATTCACCAATTCATTCGTTTTCTCTACAAACATGTATTGAACATTTTCCTGTGAAAGGCACCATCTTTAAAATAAAAACTGGTTCACAACAATTTGATGAGCTCAGTGGGCTCACATTCAGTTGTGACAGGGAGCTGTGGTGGGAGTTGTTTCTGGAAACATCCCAGCCTTTTGAGTTGAAGTCTAGGGAGAAGCCACATAATGCTGTTCTGCTTTCCTTGGTGCCTAAGAATGGCCACACATTTACGATTTGGTTTCTTAGTCCCTGCTTTCCAGGTGATGTTCCCCTCTGCCATTTTGGGCACCGATGGCCCATGGGCTGGCTGCTGTGGAGGATGCCTGCTTGAACCCAGGGTGATCACAATCTGAATGGTGTGATCTGTGACACCCTGAGCACACTTTTGCATCAGGGCTCCCATTACCCCTTCCTTAGGTGCTGAATCTCCCCATGTTCCCAAATAGGTGTTACCCACCTTGGGCCTGAATTGGTCTTTCTTTGAATTCTTGCTTCAAAAAGAAAGTGTTGGGTTTTTCTTTAGGGGGACAATGACGTGGACTTTATTTTTTCTAACACAAGTCTTCAGAACTCTGTGGTATCCTGTTAGTTGGCAGGACAGTAAAGTCAATATTTGGGAAATGTCAAGATATGTTTGGACTTTGCCTTGGACATCGCCGAGCAGATTGATGTTTCTTCCTCCCAAGTCTAGGACCTGGATCTTTTAAGTGCATCCAGCAGCAAGAAGGAAGTTGAATTTCCCAGGCAACTGAAAACCCTGGCTGTTGGAACAATCTTGCTGTGATGCATGAGTGAGTCAAATAAGCTTGAGTGATTTAAGGGAAACAAATATGGAGCAACAGGGTATCACTTGGAGGAGGGTCTCATTGGCTTCCCCTCAAAGCTTTGGCCACCTTTCAGTCAGTTTGAATAATTGTAGGTTATGCTTTTGAAGAGCAGAAACGCAAATGTTTCACTTGAGCAACCTCTGACGCGTTGATCTCCAGTAGTACATTATAACTTTGGGCATGAGGACACTGAATTTCCCTTGACACTGTCAAAATAGTTGACAATTTTTTTGTACATATTTGGTGAACTTCCTTTGTGTTCATCTCAGGACTGTCGGCATGTCAGAAATTCACAATGTGAGCTAAAGAAAAGCTCCATGATAGTCCCCAACCCCAGCCCTTACTTGTTCTTCACTGTATTTTTAACTGTGAGTACACGGGGTCAGGGTCACGGCCTCTTCTTCTGCAACAAGCTAGGAAAACCTCTTGAAAATATGAAATTACAGTATTATTGAGTATACCACTAGGCAAATTCTGAACTCCAGTAATTCTAGGAATTCAGTGCATTTGGCCTGCAAATTTATCTCTCACTATTTTTCTTCAAATCCATCCAGTGCATCTTTGTTTTAAGCCTAATAAAATTAAGCCTTAATAAAATTATTCAGGCAGGAGTGACCCAGACAAAGAAAGATGGGCTTGGTTGGGGTGGCAAGACAGAACTGTAAATTCATGGAAAAAACCTTTTGATAGGATAAAGATGGGAAAGTCATGAAGAAGATTGTGACCATTCAGGTTCCCCTGTGAGCGAAATGCCAAATTGAAGAAGAAAAGAAAAAGAAGGAGGTGGAGAAGGAGGAAGAAGAGACAGGGAGGAAGAAGAGGAAGAGTAAATAAGGAGAAGGAGGGAGAATAAGAAGAGAAGAAACAGAAGAGGGAGATGAGGAAGCAGGAGGAGAAGGAGGAAAAGAGGAAGACGGAGAAGGAGGAGGGACAGGACGAGGAGAAAGGAGGGCAGGAAGAGAAAGAGAAGGAGGAGCAAGAGGAGGAGGAGGAGGAGGGGGGGAGGAGGAGCACCTGAAGGCAGCAGCATGCCCTGATGAAATTCTTTTAAGATCTCCCACAGAATAGTATAGGGTGCATATTTTGGATGTCACTTTGACTTGATATCTTTTAAAGAAAGAGAAAATGGGCTGTTTTCTCATGGCCTGAATCACTTGGACTTCATTTGTGCAGTAACAGCTGAATAGCTTGCATTCAGCCCCTAAACTCCCAGTAACCAGCCAATTGATATTACTTTGGAGGCCTCCTTCTCTTTGATGTATCTCTGTTGAACACATCACAATGTTTTTGGGATAAATATAAAAGATAGTTCAAAGTGGGAAGAGTGGCTTAAATGGGGAGGAATATCCCAACTGGTGGTTGCTATCATAATGCGTCATCTTGGCATGAATGCTCTAATTGGAGATTTCTGATGCTCAACTGGGACACTTCTAGGATCTGTTAGCTCCTGAAGTAATTTTCAGCCCTTTTGCCTTTGGGCTACCTACTTAGTCGTTGAGAAAGACCAAACCCAGAAGTATAGGGCCAGGACTAGAAGTCTTCCAGAATTGGACTGGACCTATAGCTAGTTACATTTTCATAAGTCAGACCATTTTCTGAAAACAGAAAGAAAATGGAGAAATGAGAACTTGCATCATTACATGGTTTATGATGCTTCATGGAGTATCTTGAGCAAAACCAAGATGCAATGAATATTTGTTGTATAAATAAATCAATGGTACCAGACATTGGGGTCCCTGGTCTCTAGGACAGTGGAAAAGAGCAGAGGAATTGGAGGAAATGCTGAAGAGTTAGAAAAATTTTCTAACTTCTCTTCAAGCAAGGATTACTGTTTCAGGTGGGCCCTTTGAGCTGCCCCGTTCTTTAAAGGAGACTGTCTGGGAAGATGCTCCACGCTGAATGTTCTAGCTGCACTGATTGCCCCCCTGGTTGCTTGTTTGGTTTCTATCAAGAACACCCAGTAATCACCTTTCACTTTCCCCCCAACCTCACCTTTGCAGCAGACTGATGATTACATTTTGATTTGCAACTTCTTGTTCTAAAACAGGTAAGCAGAAGGAAAAACATGTCTCTATGACATTCTACCATAGTTCCCCAGGACAGGAATATTTTAGTCAAGCTCTTTGTTAGAATGGCTTAAAGTAAATGCATTGAAAGAAATCATCATGGAATCAATCAATAGGTTTGACGTAATAACATTTTAAAATTTCTCTTTATAATGTTATCTCATGAGCAAAATCAACAGACAAGCATCAAGCTGGGAAATGTTTGAAACCAATATGTTGGAGAAAAAATATTAATATTCCTAATATATAAAGAATGCATACAAATCAATAAGAAAAACATTAAGACCCAAAATAGATACCCAGGTAAAGGACAAACAAATCTCTGAAGAGGGAATGCAAATGGCAAATCAGCATATGATACAATGTCCAGCCCTCCTTGGTTTTGAACAAAATGCAAATTGAAATAGCAGAAGGACATCATTTGCCCTATCAAATTAACAAAGATTCTAAAATGATGGTCGAAGAAAGGGGGCAGTGAAGTAGAATGTCATGTGCTACTCAGGAGAGGCACAGATTTTCTGGAAAATAACTAGCCCATTATAAATCAAGAGCCTTAAAACAGGTGGATACGTTTTGACCTAGGAATTCAGCTTCTAGAAATGTATCATGAGGAGGTCATCAGAAATATGGGAACTCACTTATATACAAAGATATTAATAACAGACATTTGCTTTATTTAAACATTAATTATCAAAGAGTCAAAGTGCACCAAATCATGAGAATGGCTCAATGAATATGGCTTATCCATTCCACGGAATATAGAGCTGTTAAACATGGTATGTGTGTAAAGAGTTTGTGTGGCATGAAAAAACTTTTAAGATATAACATTAGTAGAACAAAATAGGAAAATATCACTACATATCATTTTATATATTTTCAAAACCGTAAAGAGACTGGAAGAAAATACTCTAAATTCTTACATCAGTTATCTCAGGACAATGCAATTACAAGGAACTATTATTTTCTTTTTAAACATTTTTTTCTCCAGGTTTTCAGAAAGGGTATCTTTTCCTCTTAAAATAGAAGAGAGAATAGCATTCTCTCAGAGAGGCCCTCAGTCAAGATCAATGACCTCATGGTTTAGTGTTATCTTAGAGCATGAACTCAATCTGTGGACAAATAACCTGTAAATTACATAATGCATCATATCACGTTTCCCTTTCTGCCTTGGCTGTCAAAAACCTAAGGCCAATTATAATGTTCAACCAAAATAAATAATTATCTTGACTTTGTATTGAGTTTTCTCCCACTTCTTTTTATATCACTTCATGAATTTTATATTTATTTTTACAGCCTTATAGTATGTATCTTTAGTTAGAAACCACTTCAAATTCTTTTTATTTTAAAAGTAGTTGGCTCTCTCATTATAATACCTATAAATGTGTATATCGAGCTTTAGAGTCAGTAAAAAGCATTGACCATATTTAGTTTTGATGTGTTGTCCAGCAGCAGGGGTCTTTGGGAAGTGATATAAGGATCCTGGTGGTGTTGAGAGTGGACACGCTTGTGGATACACAGGTATGTGCACACCACTGACACACTCACACCTGCTCATCCTGCATGTTCATTGTAGAATATAAGCCTCAGGGCTGCACCTTTTCATGCCTGCATGTTATTCCAGAACTGTGTAGGCTCCTGTGCCTTGATTGTGCAGTGCACGGTGTGACCTGAATGACAGAAGCCACCTCACCAAAGTGAGGCAGAACTTTATTACAAACCCTCAAGTCCACTCTCCCGCATGTCTATAGAAAAGTTGAGGTGGAAACAACTGCTTCCAGCCATACCATTCATTTTTCCTAAAGAAACCCTAAGTAAGTATTCTAAGTTCCACTGTTTAAAAAAAGTGAGATAAAACAACCTTTCAAAACTAACTCTGGGCTCACCAGAATGTATACCTTAAATGTGTACAAGATTTTGTGTATCAGTTATACCTCAATAAAGCTTAAAAAAAAAAAAACTGAATCTAGGTCCCTGGTCAGGGATTTCGGCTTTCTCTTAGGGTGAGGTATTGTTCAAAATTAGCATGCATTTCAGAGAATTTGTTCTGTCAAGTGAATTATCTCATCCTATTATATTCCAATTCCAGGAGGGGAAAGCTAAGATATACAGTAAACCTAAAGTCATGATTTTAGACTTCTTAATGTCTTAAATTAAATGTCTTAAATTAAAAGGAAAACTCACCAAGACTCTCTTGTCCTTGAAAGACCTTTTTCTCTAGATTGTGCAAGGTGGTAGGCATATCATGGTAGCTAAGCAAAGGTCAGGGGTTCAGACAGGCCTGGCTTTGAATTATATCTCTCCTGCTTATTAGCTCTGTAAGTTTGGCAGTGATATTTAACTCCACTGAGCCTCAGTTTTCTCATTTGTAAATAAACCCAGTAATGATAGTTAATGTGTTACATGTTTACTGTGTGCCAAGCACTGGGCTGAGTGCTTCACACATATCGACTCATCCCATCCCCCACCACCTCACCAAGGTGGGTGATCCATGGACTACCATGGCAAATGGGGAAACCAAGGCACAAAACACAACACAAAAACAAAAACAACACAATCATTTGCTAAAGTTCTGTGTGAGCTTGTAAGTGGCAGAGCCCAGATTCCGATTCAGGAAACGTGGCCCTTGAGCCTGCATTCGTAACCACCCTGGGAAGGTGGTATGGGAAGACAACTCCAGCCTTGTAGTAGATTTTTATTTTATGGCTCGCCAGCTAACTAAAATCCTTTCAATAAATTGTCCTTCTGCTGAGCTCAGGCAGAGGGGCTTCTTTCTCTTATAATGAAGACCTTTGATTGATAAGGGTCCTTCTCCCTCACAGACAAGGACACCAGTGAGGAGAGTGGCTCTGCCCAAGGACACCTGCAAGCCGGTGCCTTGTCCTGCTGGTTCCCAATCAGTGCACTTCCTTGTTTGGAGTAAATTGATATAGTACAAGAGAGATTCAAGGAAAAGATGGAATTTTAGCAGTTCACTACAGAGAGCCTGTAACTTAAATAGGAGAGTTGAGTAGGAATTTTAGGTTTGGAACCAAGAACCTTCACTCATTCCCTTGCTTGGTCATTTCATTAAGACTGAGTGTTTACCACTTCCTGGGCTCTGTGCTAAGTACTTGAGATGTGAATGTAAGGAGTCTTTTAAGGAGCTTCCTGTCTATGGGGGAGACATGCAGATACAATAAAATGCCACCAGTCGTATAGCAAAACTCGCAGAAGGTACTGTGGGAGCACAGAAGGGGAGCAGTTAACCTAAAACCAAAAGGAGCAATCTTGGAGAACTTCTTGAAGCAGGTGGCACTTCAGTTTAATTTTTTAAGAATAAACAGGAATTAGACAAATGAAGGGTGACAGGAAAGACAAGATAGACTGGAGAGGCCACATACACAAAGGCCGATGGCAGGGGAAATGTTAGGTGTTTGAGGAACTGCAAGTAATTTGGGGTGTATTAGACCAGTGAGGAAAAAAATAGACCCGTGAACAACCTTTAGCATTAAAAAATTTAATTTTATCCTGAAGACAGTAAGGAATGGTCAACAGGAAGTAACATGATCAGATTTGCAGTAGTGTAGAAAATAGATTGGAGACAACTATTGGTTAAACATAGTGCATTATATATGTGTTTATCTTTGTTCTCTCCAAAAATCCACGGAAATGATAATAACATAAAAAAAGTCATTAATCTGCAAGTACAGACAGAATGGAACAATAGCGGGCAGATGAGAGGTGTCAACTCAGTTGTACAAGATGTCAAGTGGATGGAAGCGTGATACCTCATCAGTGAACTAGAGACAGTGGGATCCCTGCTTCTGCAGGATGGGAAAGATGAGACACCAACTAGAAGCAAGCTGATTCACATTGAGAAACCTTGAAAGCTTCAGAAATCAGGGTGCCAGATATCCATAAATGTACAGACTTGGGAAAGGCTGAAAACAGAAGAATAAGTTGTTTATTAGGAACAATTACGTAAACTTCTAGATATGCTCTCTTCCCATACCACACAGTCAGGAAACCAGCCTGCACCCCAAACCTAGCAGAACTCTGAAGGCACATTTTCTGAGTTGAACTAGAAACATTCTGACTCAGGCATCAGCCGAGGTGAGGATGCTGGATGAGGCATCACATTACAATAGTGGGAGTAAGTGAAACTCTACATACTGAATGGTGAGACCCCTGCCTAGCACCCAGAAATGAAAGCCAGACCTGTACTCTCTAGGTAGGAAGTTGGAGGAGTGGAGGAGTCCTTTTGGGAGAAACCAATCTGCTCAAAACAAAAGGCCTACATAATGTTGACATTGGAGGTCCCCTGAGAGATTGCTAGATCCCTGCCTGCCCACTCTGCAGTGAAACCCTGAAGGAAATAGTCTCATCCTTCACAGAAACAGAGCTTTCAGTCAACATTTTAGCTCCTCACTCAAATATGAAAAAACAACAAGGGATCATTAGGCACTTGAAAGGGAATGGCAGAAACCAAAGTGGAAAAGCAGGACAAAAAGGAATTTTAAACAAACAGAGACAGCGTGGAGCACATATGAAACATCAAGAAAAGGATAAGTGATAGCTTCAGGTCTAGGAGAAGTTGTTGCACCCATGGAACAAGAACAGCATGCTGTATAAAAAGAACATTCAGAGAACACAATAGAGCTCTTGGAAATAAAAATATGTAATAGCAAAAACAAAAAATCCAAAAAAATAGTGCCAACATAAAGTTGAGGAAATCTCCCGGAAAATAGAATAAAACTACAATGGATGGAATAAAGTAGGGGGAAAAAAATAAGAAAATTAGAGGACTGGTCTGTGCAATCTAAAACCCAGATAAATAAAAGTTATAGAAGCAAAACAAAACAAAAAACAGTAAATGGAAGAGGAGATGAAATTATCAAAGAAAAATACAAGAAAATATCCAGCTCATAAATATGAGTTGACTACTTTGAAAGGGCTCATTGAGTGCCCATCACCATGAATTGTAAAAGACCCTAATAATATAATATATAATATAATAATATAATAAACATCACTCCTCTTTAAAAGAATGAGATTCTTAGAGAAGTGGATAATTCTAAGTCTGGGGCAGGAAATGCACAAGATGGAACATTATATCAAACCAAATAGCAAAACAGTCATGGAAGTAAGTCTGTTTGGGTCATGTCAGTGGGACTCAGGAGCCAATTTGGAGAGATTCCCACTGGCCAGAGGTGTAATGATTTGAGCATCACTTAGAATAATGACTGTAATGAATCAGACATGTTTCAAACCACGAGTCTATTATGATGCCTAAAAAAAGAAGTCATTGGCCACCTTTGGAAGATGCTAGGAAATCAACTCATTATTTTGAAAGCTGATAAATAACAAGAAAGAATCAAGCATTTATTTTGTCTTTCATGTAAAACTGTAGTTCAAGTAACCAAACAGTTGATGAGAGAAGGTTTCTCTTTATACAAGTATTTCAACTCATAAACAAAGAAGGAAGGAAAACAAATGTGAACTTCACCACACTGCATCTCCTGGTGACATAAAGGATCTGGGCCAAGATCACTGATTATTGCTAACACCAAAAGGAGTGACAAGCAGACATTTGTGCTTCCTGGTGGAAGTACACACCACCACCTGTGAGGCCCTATTGCCAAACCCCCTCTCCTGCTGGCACAAATCAGGCAGTAAAAAGCTAGCTTCTTTTTTTTTTTTTTCCTGGGCATTTAAGCCAGAAGAGAATATGTTTTGCAGAGGCTCAGTTTACACTGAATGCAAGGACCGGGGATCTGGTATAAAGGTTTTTGCAAGTGATGGATTTAATACTTAATGACTGATACAGAGCCTCTAAGCAAAATTTCCTGAATCTCTGCCCAGAAGAAATGTTGGAGGTTTAACCCAGCTGTCCATCTGTCATGTGGACCGTCTCTGCAGTCCCTCAGGCAGATCCTGAGGGGAGGGATGTGAAGGGGCTGGGAAAAGGGTGTGCAGCCTCCTGGGTAGGATCTTTGCAGCAGCTGCCCTTTCCTGCCTTCCCGTGGGAGGCAGTGCTGGAAGCTGCACAGCATCTCCTTTCACTTCTGAGGGCTTTCAGAGATGGAGGCCACACGGGCTCAGGGACATTAATTCCAGGTCTCGCCATGTCCTCGACAGCCAAGTTTTTTTTTTTTTTTTTTATTATACTCTAAGTTTTAGGGTACATGTGCACATTGTGCAGGTTAGTTACATATGTATACATGTGCCATGCTGGTGCGCTGCACCCACTAACGTGTCATCTAGCATTAGGTATATCTCCCAATGCTATCCCTCCCCCCTCCCCCGACCCCACCACAGTCCCCAGAGTGTGATATTCCCCTTCCTGTGTCCATGTGATCTCATTGTTCAATTCCCACCTATGAGTGAGAATATGCGGTGTTTGGTTTTTTGTTCTTGCGATAGTTTACTGAGAATGATGGTTTCCAATTTCATCCATGTCCCTACAAAGGACATGAACTCATCATTTTTTATGGCTGCATAGTATTCCATGGTGTATATGTGCCACATTTTCTTAATCCAGTCTATCATTGTTGGACATTTGGGTTGGTTCCAAGTCTTTGCTATTGTGAATAGTGCCGCAATAAACATACGTGTGCATGTGTCTTTATAGCAGCATGATTTATAGTCCTTTGGGTATATACCCAGTAATGGGATGGCTGGGTCAAATGGTATTTCTAGTTCTAGATCCCTGAGGAATCGCCACACTGACTTCCACAATGGTTGAACTAGTTTCCAGTCCCACCAACAGTGTAAAAGTGTTCCTATTTCTCCACATCCTCTCCAGCACCTGTTGTTTCCTGACTTTTTAATGATTGCCATTCTAACTGGTGTGAGATGATATTCCATGCTCATGGGTAGGAAGAATCAATATCGTGAAAATGGCCATACTGCCATTTTCATAATTTCATAATTTCATAATTTCATAATTTACAGATTCAATGCCATCCCCATCAAGCTACCAATGACTTTCTTCACAGAATTGGAAAAAACTACTTTAAAGTTCATATGGAACCAAAAAAGAGCCCGCATCGCCAAGTCAATCCTAAGCCAAAAGAACAAAGCTGGAGGCATCACACTACCTGACTTCAAACTATACTACAAGGCTACAGTAACCAAAACAGCATGGTACTGGTACCAAAACAGAGATATAGATCAATGGAACAGAACAGAGCCCTCAGAAATAATGCCGCATATCTACAACTATCTGATCTTTGACAAACCTGAGAAAAACAAGCAATGGGGAAAGGATTCCCTATTTAATAAATGGTGCTGGGAAAACTGGCTAGCCATATGTAGAAAGCTGAAACTGGATCCCTTCCTTACACCTTATACAAAAATCAATTCAAGATGGATTAAAGATTTAAACGTTAGACCTAAAACCATAAAAACCCTAGAAGAAAACCTAGGCATTACCATTCAGGACATAGGCGTGGGCAAGGACTTCATGTCCAAAACACCAAAAGCAATGGCAACAAAAGCCAAAATTGACAAATGGGATCTAATTAAACTAAAGAGCTTCTGCACAGCAAAAGAAACTACCATCAGAGTGAACAGGCAACCTACAACATGGGAGAAAATTTTCGCAACCTACTCATCTGACAAAGGGCTAATATCCAGAATCTACAATGAACACAAACAAATTTACAAGAAAAAAACAAACAACCCCATCAAAAAGTGGGCGAAGGACATGAACAGACACTTCTCAAAAGAAGACATTTATGCAGCCAAAAAACACATGAAGAAATGCTCATCATCACTGGCCATCAGAGAAATGACAGCCAAGTTTTGAGTTTTGAGTTTCTTCAACAGCTGAGCCTGAACAAGGGCTTCAGTTTAGGAGGAGGAGACAGGAAGCAAGGTAAGCAAATGAGACAGGAGAGCTAATATTGTTGCAGGACTTCTTCCTTAGTTCAGCTAAAGATGTGGATCCTTATCACACGCCCATGAAAATTTAGGCTTGCAGACGATTTGAAGAGTGAGAAAAACGGGATTTACTGGGCAAAAAGGAAAAAAAAGTGGGGGGACAGAGACTCTTAGCAAAGCAAGAGAGTGTGCTTTTTGGCCATGGGCTTCGCGCCTCACAGCTTAAATTCCAGGTTCAACACAGGAAGAAGAGGGGCCAGGCTTCTCCCTTCTGCAAAATGCACGAACTTCCGGAGCCTCCACCCCAGTGGCACAGGCTGGTTAGAGTTTTGCCAGGGAACTCTTCGCACCTGGCTGTCTCAATACAAGATGTGTCAGGGAGCGAGTTACCACTGTGGACACCGGGAACCTCCGGGAGATTGTGAGGAACACGCCTCAGCCTCAGAGTTGTCCCATCCGGGACAAAGAAGTGGGAGTCTCTTTCCCCCAGTGCTTGAGGGTCACTCCTGGGGTGCTGACTCTCTGGCAGTTCTGGTCGATCCTACTGAGTGTGTTCTCTGGCCAGAGAACACATGCAGACTGGGTAGAGCTGTCTGCAGGTAATCTCTGAGGGAATCTAAGTCTCCCCCACATGGCCAGTAAATGGCAGAGCTCAGAGCAGAACCAGACCATCTTGGCCACAGTGCTGTGCTTGTAGCCTCCGCACTAAACAGGTGTTGGGTTTTTTAAATAAAGCTCAGATCTGGAACTTGGGGAGAGAGGGCAGGCTGCTACTGGCTAGACGTGCCTTTGTCAAGCAGGTAGTGACACAGGTATTGTGTGTTGGGAGAGCAAGCAGTTACGGGAGTAGGGCTGCACCTCCATGGTTCTGGCCTGATGTATCCCAGAAAGAACTGAGGATGCTTGTGATCAGTGGGGCTGTCAGGAACCTGGCTTCTGACCTGGGCTATCCTGCTCTCAACATCTTCTGTAGTTTTGTTGAAAATGCTGACGGTCATTCTCAACCCTGGCTGCACATTAAGGTCACCTGGAGAACTTTAAAAAATACTGATGCCTCTGTTCCTTCCGCAGAGTGAGGTAAGTAATTGGTCTGCAGTGAGTCCTGGCAGGGGGAGCTTTAAAAATCTCCCCAGGTGTTTCCAATGAGCAGCCACAGCTTATAAGAAAGTTCTAAAAGCTTAAGCAGGAAGCTTCTATTGCAAGAAAGTATTATTTTAGCAATCAGGAAGGAATTTCTCACCTCTTTACAAAACCCCACCCAGTGAGTTGGGGGAAGAACGAGCCCCCATAGAAGGATGTGTGAGTGAGCCCTTTTGCCTGCAGGCCTCTGATGGAATAAGAGAGTTACACATAAGTGTAATTGATTAGTAATTGATAAAGTTAGGAAGTCGCTTATCAGTGTCACCTCCTGGCCATAAAACTCTGCTGATCAGTGATGCTACTTTAATTCCCAAGCTTCAGTTTTCACATTTATAAATGAACATATTCATGTGGCCTGAGCAAACTCCTATGGCTGGGCACCTGGCATGCTCAGGGCAGACACACTGGCAGCTCTTGCCCCGCATCCAGCCGGTCTGGCCAAGAGTGGTTCAGTGTTCTGGGCCACAACTAAGGTGCTTTAGCAGAACAGGGAATGTTCGATTTTCTCAGCCCTACTGGTCATCCAGATGTTGTGGGAGGGAGACATTTGAGGGGCTGAGCTCAGAAGGGGCCATCTCCCTTCCTCTAGCTTTTCCTGCTTTCCCGCTCAGCCCCAACTGCAGAAACTGAATCCTAGCAGCAGGGTGAGTGCAAAGTGATAAGGGGCCTTTGCTCGGTCTGAAAAAGATGGCTGTGGTAATTAGGACAAAAGAAAATGTAGCTAGGCCATTTAAAAACTTTGCAGGATGCTTTCCTTCCCAAAGAATGAGCTAAGCAGGAGCCCCCGGGAGGTGTTTTTAATGGGGCTAAGCAGCAGGAGGGTTTGCAGAATTGTTTTCTCTGCTCCCAGGGGTTCTGTTTCTGTTTTGGTATAGGCACCGAACTTATTGGTTTTCCAGAGCTCCATTTGTTGTTATTAATAACACAGCATCATCCAGAGCTTGAGCAAAGGCAGGCAGCAAGGAAGCAGGAATCCTGATATTTAGAGAGGGCTGCATGTTTAGAGACATCCCTGCCCAGCCCCCACAGTAGGTTGGTTCTCTGGACATTGAGGGTGCCAGGTCCTGACAGTGCACTCAGGATTTGAAGCCAGGTCTTCCTGGGGAGCTTACTGTTTAGTGCAGGATGCCAGGTTTGTCGGTAGTCAGCAGTTCATGTCCCACAACAGAGTGCATGATACGATGGAGGTAGGCACCCAAGCCTGGAGGGGTAGGGGAGGGGTGTGCAGGAAAGGAGTTTGTCTCACAAAGAGTCTTGTCTGAGATACGTTTAAAGGAAGTGAAGTTATGAAGCATGAAAAGGAAGGAATCCCTTAATGGTGGGAGGAACCACATGAGCCATAGCAGAGCGAAGAGGAAAGGCATGGTGTGATCTAGAAACAGTAGACAAGTGGGGGTGGCTGGTGCAAGGGAGGCCAGGGGTGACAAGATATAAAGCTGAGAGATTAAGCAGAAACCAAATACCCAAGACAATTTCCTGGGTCCGGGAGCATAGACTTGACTCCAACTCCTTCCAGCTTTTCATTTTGAAACGTACAAATCTACAGAAAAGTTTCAAGAATAGTACCATAAATAACTGCACATTCTACACATGGATTCCCAACTTGTTAACAGGTGCCACATTGGTCTTCTCTTCCTCTCTGTATATTTTTGCCAAAACTTTGAAAATAGGTTATAGACATGATGACTAAATAATTGAGCATGGGGCCGGGTGCAGTGGCTCATGCCAGTAATCCCAGCATTTTGGGAGGCTGAGGCGGGTGAATCATTTAAGGTCAGGAGTTCAAGACCAGCCTGGCCAACATGGTGAAACCCCAGCTCTACTAAAAATACAAAAATTAGCCGAGTGGTAGTGGTGTGTGCCTGTAATCCCAGCTACTTGGGAGGCTGAGGCAGAATCGCTTGAGCCTGGGAGGCAGAGGTTGTGGAGCCAAGAGCCTAGGTTGTGGAGCCAAAAGGCTTGAGCCTGGGAGCCAAGATTGTGCCACAGCACTCCAGCCTGGGCAACAGAGTGAGACCCTTTCTCAAAAAAAAAACAACAACAAAAAAAAAAAAAAAAAAAAAAAAAACTTGAGCATAGGTCTCTAGGAGAAAAAGACATTATCTTACATAACCACAATGTCACTGCTATTCTATGGAATTGAACACTGAAAATATATTGAACGTATTATTTGACACTCATTCTATAGTTAAATTTTCTGAATTATCCCACAAAGGAACTTTATAGGTCTCCTGTTCTTTATGGAGAGTCTGATCAAGGAAGACATAAGAACACTAATGGCCAATACCCGCAAAACATACCCGCTAATAAAAATTTTTGGGCTGGGCACAGTGACTTACACCTGTAATCCCAGCACTTTGGGAGGCCGAGGTGGGCAGATCACGAGTTCAGGAGTTCAAAACCAGCCTGACCAACATGGTAAAACCCCGTCTCTACTAAAAATACAAAAATTAGCTGGGCATGGTGGTGTGCACCTGTAATCCCAGCTACTCAGGAGGCTGAGGCAGGAGAATCACTTGAACCTGGGAGGCGGAGGTTGCAGTGAGCCAAGATTGTGCCACTGCACTCCAGCCTAGGTGACAGAGTGAGACTCCGTCTCAAAAAAAAAAAAATTAATTACTGGGGACATTGGCTCTTTTATCTCTTTTAATGACCAGCCCCCGGCCTTTTTGTTGTTACTGTTGCTTTGTTTTTCTTGACATTATCATCCGTTAAGAGTACAGGCCAGTCACTTTGTAGAATGTCCCTCAGTGTGAGGTTTGTGCAATTGTTCACTCATTATTAGATTAAGGTCAAACATTTTTGGCAAAAGTACCACATGGGAGAGGTGGTGGCCTTCCCGTTGCATCGGTTCCAGAGGTTCATGGTGCCAGCTTGTCCCAGTATTGCTGTCCTAAGTTGTCCGCTTGATGTCTCTACAGTTTTTCCATTTTAAAGATATATCTTACTCTTCATAATTAAGGGAGATTTTACAGTTCTATCTTCCATTCTCCATTTGTAGCTTGACATGCTTCTCTGAAGAGAAACTCCCACCACACACTTCTTTAAATTATCACTGTAGACTCCTGGGATTCATTTTTTTATTCAATGCATTATAATTCATTAGTGTCATTCCTTATGCATGTTGGTGCTCAAATTGTCCCAAATTGGGCCAGTGGTTGCTCCTTCAAGCCAGCTCGTGTGCCTTGGATGGTCCTTACTCAGTTTTGCGCACTTCCAGGCTTCCTGCCTAACTTTGTGCTTTCTTGCCCTGAACTTGGAATTACACTTTTCCAGAGAGCCCTAGTTCCTTTTAGTGAGGAATAATCACTAGAAACCCAGGTCCATGTGCTAACTGTGCTTTATTGCTACCGAAATATCGCTGCTTCTAGGCCCTTCAAGTGGAAAGTGCTTAGAAATGTGTATTTTCCCAAACTTACTAGTTTATGCCAATAACACCAATTCAACATGAGATTCTTCCTCACTTCCTCCCATTCCATATCCCTACATTGGTTCTCAAATATATGAATATATTTACTTATTTGTGCTCTGTATTACAATATACACAAGGTTGTTTCCAGATTACTGTATAGGTAACACCACCACCAACAGCAAACTTACCAGGTAAAATGTAAGATTTCTTGGAGCTATTTTCTTTCTTAGAACATGTCCCACTATGGGCGTACACTCAGAGGACTGTGTTTAAAATTACTTAAATATATTATTTGTGGTTAGATTCAATTGTTTATATACAACTTTAGGCTTGTTTATCTTTGAATTTATTTTTTGGAAATGCAAAATGCTTACATTTCAAAAAGTCAACACTATATAAAATTGTTTATCTAGCCAGTGTCCTAGGGATAGGCACTTGGATTGTTTCCAATACTTTGCTATCACAAATAATGCTGTGGTCAGTTATTTTGATGCATGGATGTATTTTCGAGGTAAACTCCTGAAAATGAGATTGCTGCATTGAAGGGCACATGTGTGTCATTTTGTGAGATGTTGCCACATTCCACTCACTACCGGCTGTACCATTTGAGTTTGTATTGGTTCTCTTGGGGAATGGATTTGAGAGGAAATGAGGTTGGACCTAGGAGCATGGGTCAGGAGGCTACTGCGGCCATCCAGGTGGGTGATGAGGAATACCTGAACCACAACAGTGGGACTGGGGAGTGAGAGGAGGGGCCAGGCTAGAGGCTTGGCCCTTGATTGGACATGAGCAGCAAGGGCATAAAAAGAACAGAGAACAAAGGAATAAAAAGATTCCCAGGTGAATGCGTGAAGGGGAAGCAGGCAGTTTGGTGTCCACACTAGGACAGGAAATACAAGGGTGAAGAAGATATGCATGTATGTGTGTATGCCTGTGTGTGCGTGTGTGTGTGCATGTGTGTGTGTGCGTGTGTCTCTGTGTGCATGTGTATGCATATGTGTGCACACGTGTAGGTGTGTGTGCATGCACGCGCAGGAATGAATGCCATCTGAACACGTGGAGTTTGGGAAGCAGATGCCCAGGAAGCCTGGAACACCAGGTGAGGTGGGGCTGGCAGCAGTGAGACACCGGCATGAAAAAAGCAGCAAAAGCCATGATCGTGGATGAGATCAGTACACACATCATAGTGTCCCCAGACTCGGACACACAGGGAAAATGGTGCATCTGCTTTACTTTTGTCGGGTGAACAAGTGAACTCATTGCTTTAAATTTCAAGGTATTTCATCTGAAGAGGCATCTGGAGGCTGAAAAAAATATATTGAGCATATTATGTAAAAATGTAAATACTGTTTAGAAAGAAATCGATTTTATGTTTCTTGACTTTTCAAATACCATTTGCGCTTTAGTGTTCCACTGGGGGCTGGGGGAAAAGGTAGGTGGATGCAGCCTTGGCCCCAAAAATGAGGTGTGAAGACGCTCCCTGTGAAACAAGCTGCTATCGGGAACCCGGAGTCCATTCCCACTGCCGTGCCTCTGCCTATTACAGGCCCCGCCCTCCGACTTGTCCTCCTCCCAGGCCTGTCCTGGGCTGACCCAGAGAGGATAAAGATCTCTCCTGGAAAAAAGTATTTGCTGGAGGCTGGGAGGAGGGACTCCAGGCAGTGGGAACCAGTGGGACCTGTAGAGGTTGTCTGGAAAGGGGCTTTTATCTCCCGTCAGGGAACAGGCTCTTCATTTCCAGAGGATAGTTTATGTTTCGCTCTGTGTATTCATGCACAACTTTAATATCAGTGGATTAATCCACAGTTTTAGAAGCTTATCAATAATTCTGCTGTCCACACACATATAACAAAACAGCACATTTGCAGTAACACATCAGGGATCTTGCGTTGCTGTGCTCCTCATATTTGAATTACTCAGATAATTGGAAGTCCAACGTTTGGTTTGGACTTATTTCAGTGCAGTCTTTTGAAAATATGTTCTTGCCACCTTGCACTGTGTCTCGTGCACATTCCTCAGCCGTCTCTCCATGCAGTAGCAGCAGCATGAGCCCGGTCTGGTTGTGGGTATTGCAGTTGCTGTTTGTTCCCTTCACGGGTGGCCGTCAGCTTCTACTTCTGTTACCTTCTGGTTTGCCTCAACCAGCTCATTTCACACCAGTACAATTCAATCAGTGTGCTTATTGTTTGCTAGCTTAAACATTCACTGAGCTTGGACACAGCACTCAATCGACACCGTGTTAATACTGTGTGTTAAGTAGGAGTCATTAGACTCTGAGGGACTTCTCAAAAATAAATGTCTGACTGGAGTTCAGGGCACTGTCAGCAAGGGCTGCGAAATTCTAAAATGGGAACAAGGATGTGGAGGAAGTTCCACATTTGCATGTTGGTGTCTAACCACTGGTACTTGCAACAGACATTATTTTCCCCAAAATGATAAAACTGCCAGAGCCACTGAGCAAAGTAAGCTACAGTGTAATTGCTCATGTGAGTTCTCTCCTTTGAGTGGGCAGGATATGGCATGGACCATCCTTAATCCTCATCGGGGAGGCAGAAGAGAAGCAGCCCTAGATTGTAGTTCCGAGTTCTTACCCACTCCAGATTCCATCACTTCTTGGCCACGTGGTGTTGGGTACGTTGCAGCTTCCTTATCTACACCTTCCTTTTCTCTAAAATTGTAGCTATTTAACCTGCCCTGCCCAGGAGGTGGGTGTGAAGAGGCTTTATGCAAGTAATGCAGTCTACAAACATAAACTGTCTTTATCAGTATCGATATCCTTACTTGCAAGTTGGGGATATGGCAAATGTGTAATAGACAAGTTGTGAATTGTGGTTTTGTCAGCTACAGCAAGCATGGGATGCCTTCTTTCCATCTTTAGGTTCTTCCCTCCCCCTCCAGTGTTTCTGCCCAGGAATTTAAAACAGAAATATAATGCTATTTTTTAGAAATCAGAAATAATTTCCCCTCTGTACACTATTAGCAGCCAGAAACTTTCATTTCTCTGAAGGTTACTAAATGCAAAAGAGGTATGAACTGTGTTTAACAAAACAAAAGCAAGCAACTCAACTATCCTCACTGTTCACTCAACCATCCTCCACTATTCTCACCTTTACCTCTGTTATCATTGAGAAAAGAATTGATGTATTGGGTTGACCCAGAGGAGGCTGCTGATATTTGATCACTTCTGGCATGTCATTTTTGTATGCTCAACCTAATTATTTCTGAGAAAAGAGAATTACACCTTTGGTTCAGGATTATCCAGGCAGCATTGCAGCATAATGCTGAAACTCTCATTTTTATGGTGCAAAGCCTTGAAAGAAGCCTATGGAAAGCGTGTGAGTAAATGCAGAGGTAATACACGCACTATCTCTAATACTTTGTATCTACCCCTCATTCAGGAGACACTGTTCTTTCTTGAGTTAAGCTTAGCCCGGGAAGGACACATATTTATGTGGAAGACGATGAGAGTTAGACTTGAATTTACTGTGTCATTTTAATAGACTGCTTCATCTACTTGACAATGAGGTTCTTCCAGGATTATCTTCGAAGCCCTGATGATCTGCTAAATAAATAATGTTCTGGGCCGGCCGACTCTATATATGGTCATCCGAGAGGGCCATAAATCTGTGCTCCTAGGGTAGCAGGAGTTCAGTTGTCCCATTTTTATTTCTAACTGACCCATAAAAGGCATCTTCAGTGTTGCTGATTATGCTCTCCTCATTTGATTTGGAGTTATGTCACCCTAAAGCAGGGAGAATTTCCTCACAATAAATCTCTCATTTTTAATCTCGAGCTACAGTGGGAAAGCCTGTCTGCACAGCTGAGAAAAAAAGAGGAGGGCCTGGGCTGTGATTTAATAGGGTGAAGGGTGGGGAGGTAGCCACCCTAGGGGCTGCACAAAGGCATCTCTGGGGAAGCCGCTGGGAACTGAGTCCCAAGGGGGAGAGGGAAGGAAGGAGGAAGGGATTTGGTTTGATCTTTCTTCCCCAGCCCCCGACCCCACCCTAATACTATGTCTTTCTTTGAGCTAAGATTTGGCTCTTGCTGGGGTAAAGGCCACCTTTAGGGTTTGACTCCTTGGAGCCATCATCTCTGCTGGCACTGATCTTACAGACATGGCCAAAGACATCATTGTTCTTCTGTTTTCTGGGCTCACTGAAGACAGACAAGGCTTAAAGCAGAGAAGATCAATAATCAAAACAGAGTTTTCCCTTGGCTCACCGCTCAGGCAGGTGCAATCTCCAGCCCGACCAAGGGTCTTGATGCCAAAAGAAAGAAAATAAAGGAAGGAGGGAAGTTGGGTGAGGAAGAGAAAAAATAGGGAGGGAGGAAAAGGAGGGAAAGGACCAGGGAGGGAAGGAGAGCAAGGGGGAAGGAAAGGCCATTCTCCCAGTTTATTTATGTGGAATTTAAAAACAGAACGTGGACTATAGGATTTCTGTAGTCTTCAGGGAGAGTGCTAATGGGGAAAATAGTGCATAGAAATGCAGCTGATCCACACTAGCAGCCCTTCTCCCTTGAGATGCTCCTGCTGCAGCCTGTGACCACATACTCACACACACATACACATTTGTATATGTGCACACTCAGTCAAATTCACACATGCATACAGGCCCATGCACAAGCACAGCTAGGTAGACTCACACACTTGCATGCATGCACACACACACACACAGGCACTTGCACTCATGGACACACATGCACGTGCACACACATGCAGGTACACACTCACCTAGGGACACATGCACACACATACGCAGACACGGTCACACCCTACTCCATCCTGCCTGTTTTGAATTTTGGCCTTTGAAGTTGTTGATGACTTTGATCAGCGGTGGAGTCTGCACAAGGTCATGTCCTCCATCCTCTGCCTGCCCTCAGGACCCCAGCACAGACAGGTATCTCTGCTGGGGGCAAAAGGAGCACCTAGGCTTTGGGGTCAGGGCAGTAGAGCAGCTTTTATGCACCCTGGGAAGATGCTAACTGGCTGGTTGGCCAATGGGAAGGGAGTGTTGATGAGCACTACAGTGAGGACTCTGGTTCTGCCCTCAACCCAGCCCCATGTGACATCCCAAGGTCATCCCTAGGGGAAGCCTGGGTCCTCCGAGAAACAGATGCCAAGACAGAATGAAGGATGCAAGGGTTTTATAAGAGAAATGCCTATAAAGAGGGCAAGGGAGCTGGGGGAGGGTTGGGAGGGGCAGTGGACCCCTGCACCTTCTGACCCAAGTGAAGGAGGGAGAGAGGGAAGCAAGGTTGTGTGAAAGCATCCACGTGTGGATGGCTGTGCAGTACAGACAAGGTTCAGCAAGACCAGCAGAGCATCACTGAGTCCTTGGTGTTCCTGCTGTGCTCAGTCACAGGCTGGGAGCAGCCGCTCCATGGGGCCGTGGGTCTCAGTCACCCTTTGGTCAGTGGTGAGGTGCCTGTCGCCAGCCAGATAAGCACCCAGAGCCTCCCCTCCCAGCTGCCTTCCAAACTACTACTGAGCAATTGGAGGAGGTAGATTGAAAACTCAGCCTGGAGTCAGAAGCAGTAGCCCCAGTCAACTTCATACTGAGTTGAAACAGAAAATCAACAATTCACTCAAGAAATAGATTCACTTCAAAAAAAAAAAGGTAAATTCATTCAAATAATAACTTGTTAACAAGGTGTTTTCTCTGTCTGAATTTGAGGAGTTCTCTCTCCATATCCAACTGGGCAACACAGAGGCATGGCTGTTATCAGCACCGAGAAATGTCAGGGTTTTAAGCTGCCACAGAGAACATTTAGCTTGAAAATAAGAAAGACTTTCTGGATGGTGAGGGGAGCTTTAAACATTGCAAAGGGTTATAGAATTATTTTGTTTTAGAATTCTTAAAAATCAGGTTTAAATCTTACCGTTTTAAGGTAAGTTGAGTGACTCAGGGGGAAGATGCTTTGAAGTCCTAGCTTTGCAAACTACCTGAATTCTCTCAGCATCTGGTTGAGGTCATCAAAGGCACCACTGAGGTGACAGCAGGGAGAGGTCTTTGCTTTGAGGCTGACAAAATATGCAGCATGTCAATGCAAACATAGTGCTTAGCAAAAGCCAACCCCCAATGCGGGTATCCTAGAGGAGCAGATAGTTGGCTACTATCATTTTTACAGAATCAAACAGATTTATATATATCTGTTTTATATATATATATATATATAAGATTATATATATATAATCTTAATAATCATCCTAATAAACAATTTTCAGAGTCAAAATTTAAAAAGTTGAATCAATCAAAGAAGACAAGAAAAAATGCCTGATTAATTTGAAAGTATTAGATTGCTTTTTCTGTGACCATCTTTCAGTTCACCTATTGAACTTTCTCTCATTGTTCACAATAATTCACCTAAAGGCAGATGACCCCATGGAGAATTCCAAGCTGACGTCTACCACTCTCTGCCTATCTAAAGCCCCAAGACATTCATAAGTGGAAAAAACAAAAAAAGCAACAAAAGTCAGCAGCTAAAGAAAGTCTTCAGTCAGAAGCTTGGGGTCTCTCTTGTCACCTGGGTGAGAGTCAGGTAATATTGCACTGCGGAGACTGGCTCAGCTGTGTTGCCTCAGCTAATAAGGGGAATGCTTTGCTTGCTCTTTATAGCCAGATGTATTATTAAGCACAGGTTTACAGAAGCATCTTAAAACACTGACTTAGTGCTGTAAACTGTGAAAAGTAGAAATTCATGTGAATGCTTCAAGTTTTTTTGATGAACTTTCAGTGGATGATGGTGGTTGTAACTGTCTGCTTTTTATTTTTGCCTAGTGTTCCATTATTGGAACATAAGCATGTGACAGTTATTTATATCCTATTGCTCAAGGTCATCGCCAAGGTCTGATTGCAAAAGTTCAAAAAATTGCAACCTCGGGCATAAATGGGTTCAATAACATTAGAAGGACTATATTTCATTATTCAGGTAGTTCCAGTTAAGATATAGATATTTTATCTTGTGCAAATAGCTCTCTCTCTAGGAAGTTCTCCTCACTCAGGATTTAATGGAACATGCCCTTTCTCCGCAATGTATCATCCAAGGCATTTCAGGTTATATGTGGGGCAGTATCACCCTGTTACTTATTAATAGACTAATGATAGATGACCAAATCCTCGTACATAAAACATTTATATTTTATTTCTGGAGTTTGGGGATTGAAACTGGGTCAAATCACAGAGAGCTCTTACACAAACTAATGAGCTTACAAAATCCAGATCCTCAGAAATCATGCAGTGGTTTTAATGAATGTTCCGCAGGGAAAACGCACCAAGATTTGTTGTTTGAATGAGGCAGTGACTAAACTCAGGTCACCTTAGGTAAGTTTTCTCCAAGATGCAGAGTATTAAACTTGCATCTGCATCTCTTTGATTGTTTTGCTTCCTTTTTAAATCACAGTGGTTGGTTTTTCTCTTTGAAAAGCAAGATAAGGATGAGGACACCAAAATTCTTCTGCTGCCTTGTGGTAGGCCCTGGAATTTGGTAAGAGTGACTCAGTAGAGACTCTCACTTTGAAAAAATATAAAGTATTAATAGAAAATGTAAAGTATGGTAAGACCAACAAATTAGGAGACAACTGCCACTGAAAAAATAGTGCGTAGCAATAGCAAGCAATTTCAAAAGGTGAGTCCATAGCGCCAAGGGGAAGTAGGACTGATTACCGTCTCATCTTAATGTCTCTCTAGGCCCCATGGTTTAAAAGGACTCACATTCTTCACATAAAGGTTCTTTTCTTTTCTCACTAGGTTTTTGACACCTGGCCCTGGGGTGACCTGAACAGTGGATAGTGGTCCCAAAGTGGGGAGTGAGAGTCTAATAAAGGAGATGGTTGGGTGTGAGCTCTGGATTGATTGGTTTGTATTTGAAAAGCACAGTCTTGGGTATGTTGCTCCCTATCTCTAGGAGCTGGTTAACCCTGGGAGGGGCAGTCCCTCAGGGTCAGCAAGATGCAGTATCAGAGCATTGAAATACAGGAAATGAAAGACGTGATTAATACACATCACTGAGCTGAAATGTCAGTGGTTTACCGAACAAGATAAGTAAAGATTTAGGACTACATTTGTGCTCACAGAAACCCCCATATATGGGAAATTTTCATGGGCAGTAAAACCAAGGAACCGCTGAACTGTATTCTCCCATGGAATTTCCTAAACCTGGCATCCATCAGCCCCTTTTGATCACTCCGCAGCGAGGGCTTGGGAAAGCTCTCTAGAGAGAAGCAGGCAGCTGAACAAGGTGCGAGAGAAAAGGAGCATCACCTTGAGTCTGAGCACATGGTGGGAACAAATGAGAAAACGTTCTTCAGGTGACCTCAGCTCAAGAAAGTGGACACTGCAGGAAGAACATTTCAATTCTGGAAAAAACAGAAAACTTTATAGAACCCTGGTCTGCACTGTTAGCATTGGTGCATTGGTGACAAATGATTTTTTTTTCTTTTGGAGAATTTGTCATTTTTGCTCAGAAAGAAACAAATAATACCTACAGTGAGGCATGCTATCTACCATTCTCTTTTTTTCTCTACATCCCTCTAATAGGCAGCACAGCTGCCTCTGGATGGTTATTTGTTCTTGGCTAATTACAAAGTAAAGGGATTTTACAGTCTTACAGATGGGAACTTAGAGATAGGATGCTTTTTTTTTTTTTCTGGAAAGAAATGGAGCTCATTTAATGCCTAATTAGGGAGAGTCACATGTGCAGGGTAAGGGGAATGGTGACTGCTAACCTGAAGGGAAGGAACTCTTTCCTTCTTGCTGGCATCATACAGGGATTCTGTCTCTTACTTTTGTAAGCCACTTAACAATTGACAGTTATCTTGGCAACAGCCAAGATATTCAAAATTTCAAAAAATTCAAAAAATTCAAAAAAGGCTATCTTTCCTTAGTCTTCCCCGTAGCTTGAGGTGCTCTGCATATCTTTGGACAGATACTTGTTGATCAACTGATCCAATTACTCCAGCTTTGGATTTTGCCAAAATTATTTACAAATGCTGCCCTCTCTATTTTGAGACAATGCACAATGGAGAGAGAACAGGCTTCCAAGTAAGGCAAGGCCAGGTTTAAATCCTGGCAGAGCCAATTACCAGCTGCAGAAAGTTGGGAAACTTAACTCCCCAGAACTTGAATTTTCTCCTCTGTAAAATGAGCATAACAGCACCTACTCCATCACTTCACTGACATGATTAAGTGGTACTGCCCATGCAAGAACCTGCCATCTTACAGACTTATCTTCAGTATATGTTTTACATTTCTACACCAAACAACATAGAAAAGGATTTTAGTAAAAAAGACATTCGTTGTCACCACTTATAGTCTATACCATAGCATTAAGTACAATTTCAAGGAGAAATGTTTTGGAAGGAGATTCATCTGCCCACTAAAATGTTAGGAATCCAGAATGATCTACTTGGCTAGATGATGTGCTCACAGTTCAGTACTGGACAGTTAGGGGTATCCCAGGGCAATTAGTATGTGCTTAAAGTACTCACGGTCACCTTTGGAGCTTTTTCCCCAGGCAAAGAGTGACCCAGCTGGAGTGCCCACCCCTGACAAGCACTGACCTGTAGACTCAGAATCCAAAGGTGACTGTAGTTTTCTCGTCTGTCTAGTGAGAGTCTGTGATAGCTTTCCTTATCTTTAAAGTCTCTTCCAGTTGGAACAGTCCTATAACAGCTCATGGTTATAGGAGAAACATAGAACAGAGAAAAGTCTGCCCTGCTGACTTGCCTACACCTCACATTGTAGTAGATGCCCAAACTGGTTCCAAGAATGAATGATATAATGATGCAGACATTCATTTTCTTGTCTCTTGGGTCTGCAGCTTAATCACCTGAAATTCTCTGTACCAAGTGACCTGCTGGCATGTCCTTCCTACAAGTGCTGACTTGTGCTTGGCAAGGAGACTGGTTTAAGATCTTCCTCAGTTCAAATGCAAATAGTGGAGATAATAATAGCTAACAGTTGTTGAGTATTTACCATGTGTCAGATAGTTTCCAGAACTTGGCACATGTCAGTTGATTCAGTCCTTACACCCTGAGGTAAGGATCACTGTTTTCATATCCTATACTAATATAATAGTACTTATGTTTTCCTAGTTGCACTGAGCCACTAATGGAACTTCTAATTGACCCGTCCTTTTTCAACGGTTGGGAATACTCTCCTCTGACTTCCTTTAAAAAAGCCATGTAAAAGGACCCAAGTAGAATTTCAGCTCATGATCTTGGCCTTATTTAGCATGACGCTCAGATTTATGTCTCTTGGACTTCACAGATGGATGTGAGAAAGAACTCCTGCTCTACCTGCTGAAAAGGTTCAGTATGCTCATGTAGATTTACTGACCCCAGTACTTTCAGGGGCTTCTCCAGGGGATATCTTCCCCACCTCAACCCTAGTTTCTGGCTGGATGCTCCCAGGAGCTTTGTGGCTGATAGACAGCACTAGAGCAAAGGAGCCCAGGAGGTCTTCTGGCTGCCTCTCTCATCATATCAGTCTTACTCTCTTTTACTCTTTTCTTGGTGTGTATTCATGTATCTGCTTTCACAGGCAGCCGGGTCCAGGGTCACCACTACACCTGGACCCAATCTTTACATCTCAGCTTCTAGGGATAATGGGACTCTCTCCCCATCTCTACTTGGGAAAACCCCAAAGAAGGGCTCTGATTGGTTACAGCTGGCACCTGTGCCCTTCCCTGGACCAATCACAATGGCTAAGAAACTGAGGGACCATTTTTGGTTCAGCACAGGCCATGTCTCCACTTTTGATCAATTTCTGCAGCCAGGGGATTGGGGTCACATCAGAGGATAGCAGCCCCCATTGATGAGAAAGCTAGAAGGGCAGTGGGGGCTAGGTGTACCCACGAAAAGAGAGATCAAGTTCCAAAAGACAGAACGGATAAATGAGTGAACAGAATAACATGGTGAGACATGTAAATGTTGGTGAGTAAATGTTGGAGGAGCAGTGAAATGGCCTTGTGGGGACATCAAAAGCAAATGGACTGTGTCAATGTAGGGGGGAGAGAGGATACATAAGAGGAAAGACATGAGAGTCGGTGATATGGTTTGGCTCTGTATCCCCACCCAAGTCTCACTTTGAATTGTAATTCCCATAATCCCCAAGTGTCAAGGGCAGGACCAGGTGGAGGTAATTGAATCATGGGGGCAGTTTTCCCCATGCTGTTCTCATGATAATGAGTGAGTCTCACAAGATCTGATGGTTTTATAAGCACCTGGCATTTGCCCTGCTGTCACTCATTCTCTCTCCCGATTCCCTGTGAAGTGGTGTCTTCCACCATGATTGTAGTTTTCTCAGGCCTCCCCAGCCATGCGGAACTGTGAGTCAATGAAACCTCTTTTATAAATTACCCAGTCCTGCGTATTTCCTTATAGCAATGTGAAAATGGACTAATACAGTCAGAATTAGTAGAAGTGAGAAGACAGAGCAAGAAGTGCTGGGGCCAACATCATGCCCTCAAGAATCCCATGAGGAGGTGGGAAGAAGGCTGAGGCTTATCCAGGCCAATTGACCCAAACGGCCAGGACAGGATAATGCTAGTGAGCATCTGGGTTTCCACAGCCTGGCCCTGCCCTGCAGTTCTCTATAGCAAACCCACGTGCCTGAGGGGAGATGGTTTTCAAGACAGCTGCTAGGGGTGCCAGGGAGCTCCTGTGCTCCTCAAGTGCGTTCTGATCCTGTCTCCATCCTCCTCCACCCTGTTCCCCCTGCTCTTTGGGGCATGGTGGTTGGTCATGCTTCCCTCTCCCAGCATAATTCCAGAAAATTCCCCACCACCATTTTGCCACAAGCTGGTGAAGGGACATTAATGAGGTCGTTATAGGGCCTGCTGCATTTTCGGAACAGAACTCTGCACATGAGTCTAACTGCCAAGTGAGCTGATGGAGAACACCATGGCTTTCCCTGAAAGGCTCTGGCATTAGTGCCCAAACACTCTCACTTCCTCAAGGTCCCCTGTGTTTTTGAACCCAGGGCCCCTGTGTTTTTGAAAATGTGAAATGATAAGTGAGAAAATGAAGTGAATCAAGTTTTGTGGGTCCTTGGTGTCTGGGCATCAGGCGCTCAGCTGTGAAAGGAAAATGCTGGTCTTTGAGCACACAAAAGTCATCTGACAGAGTTAGAAAGAAGGGGCTTTTCACCACTTCAGGGCAGTAAATTGAACTTTGAAAAGGGCACCTTTCCTTCTGGGAGGACTGATTTGTACAGCCGTTATTTCTGAGTGATATAAAGATGGTCTTAGAGATCTTCAATGTCCGGCTCCTGGCCCATCACCTGCTTAGGGGGTGGTAGGTAGTGTAGACAGCAAACTGCTTGCTGGCCTCTATACAGGACATCCCTACATGGTAGGTAGTGTGGACAGCAAGCTGCTCATTGGCCTCTGCACCCGACACCCCCATACAGTAGGTAGTGTAGACACCAAGCAACTCATTGGTCTCTGCACCTAGCACCCCTACATGGTAGGCAGTGTGAACAACAAGCTGCTCATTGGCCTCCCCACCTGGCATTCCCACATGGTAGGTAGTGTAGACACCAAGCCACTCATTGGCCTCTGCACCCAGCATCCCCACAGGGTAGGTAGTGTGGACAGCAATCTGCTCATTGGCCTCTGCACCTGGCACCCTGACATGGCAGGTAGTATAGACACTAAGCCACTCATTGGTCTCTGCCCCTGGCACCCTCACAGGGTAGGTAGTGTAGATAGTAAGCTGCTCGTTGGCCTCTGCACCTGGCATCCCCACAGGGTAGGCAATATAGACAGCAAGCTGCTTTTGACCTCTGCATCCTCCCTCTCCAGTCCTCAACTTGTGACTGCCTGAGGCACTGTAAATCATGCCCAGAGTCAAGCGCATGGTGAGACAAGTGCATACCCGGGGGAAGAAGCCTTTGGCTGTGGCTTTCTGGGATGCAGAGTGGCCTCCCAGGAAATAAGGCTGATTGCCTCCAGGTTGGCACCCCACATCCCATACAGATGTTCCCATTCCACTGCTGTGCTTGTCTCCACTGCCACATCTTCCTTGCCCCTCCACCAGCCTGCTGCCCCCTTAGCACTCTGTGACAGCTGTCCTGTTGGTGACCCCAGACCCACATTCAGTGGAGCATGGGATGCTGCTGGGCAGCCATCCCAGGTCTGGGGATCAGGCCTCCCTCATCTTGAGAAACGTTCCTTTACTTTCAAAACTTTGTAGGAACATGGCACCAAATTTTCGTCTTTGTATTTTTGCTTGGTTTAAAAAATTTTTTTCTTCTGTGGAAAATGAACACACATGTAAACAAAAATTATATATTGGGACATAAGCCTGCCCTTCCTCGCCAAAAAACAAAACAAAACCACAGATAGATTTGGCTGTTCCTGTCTCAGAAGTATATTTGTGAAACACTTGTGAATGATTTATATCCCATGTAACTCCATACAAATTTTGTTAGCACATGTGAGTAACTTCTTAGCACCCCACCAAAATGATTACTAATAATAGCCTGATTCACCAAAAACAAACCAAAACTTATTTCCTTCCAAGCAAGAGTCTTCCAGATCTCTTGCTTTCTTCCTTTACATTTATCCATCAATTATGTCTGTATAAAGTCAGAACAACTGATGGTTTGGATCTGTGTAGTGGGCAAGTTCAGAGGTCTCTGAATGGAAAATAATGGAATGCCTCGCTGATCCGAGTGATTGATTTGGCAATAACACGGTCTCTCCGTGTAGACGTTGTTAACTCTTGCTGAGGGTAAGAAGGGGAGAGAGAGGTTGAATTCGGTCTTAAACTGAGGAAGCTGTTGGCTTTGCATGTGGCCAGCTTTGGGTGGGAGGGGGATGTTAGTGGCTGGGTTTCTGACGGGATGTTGGGGTTTTAGTTCAATACAAGAAATACATATTCCTATGGATTTATTATATTTCACTTTTTCAAATATGGGAAACAAAATCAAAGTTAACCTTAACAATTTGTCTTTGCTGAAACACAGTGATGTGAGAATCCTCAAGCACTGAAAACAGACATCGTTCTAGAATTTGCATTTTCTTATCTGGGTGAATTTAACTTATTTCGAAGCTCAGAGATATCCAATGTAAATTTAAGAGCAGCACCACAGCCTGTACTTCACTTTGATCATGCTAGTCCTATCTGACCGTGCATCCACTCACCTTATCTGTCAAACACCTAGTTGTCAAGTTAGGCGCTCTGTGGTGTTCAGGTAGGAAGGTTCTATCTGTAATCTCAGAAGGAGCTGGCAAGACAGCTGGGGAGAGAGAATGGGACAAGTGTCCAGAGATCTCTTTTGTCTCTGACTGTAGTAAGTGCCTTAAAAGTTGAATGCTGCAGAGATATGCAGAAAAGTAATACCCCAGCCCCTACGGTGTTTCCTAGCAAGGGACAAACTACCTTTGACCTATATACCTGGCTTCCAAACCATGAGGTAAGAGAGAGAGGGTGCCGACAACGAACATTTCCTTACTTTTCTAAACCAGAAGAGATTTCATTACTTGGAAAAATCTAGAAACAGTTCCTGGAGGAGAGGCCTCACTGTTTTTTTTTTTTTTTTTTTTTTAAGAATGAATTTATTTAGTAGAATGAATGAATTTAGTAGAATTTCAGCTACTAGAGGTAAGTCCAGCTCCAAGGAAGTGTGTCAGCAGAGGAAGAAGAACGATGAGAGTGTCCAGGGTTCTGCCAGGCATCTGGAGGGATGGATGGAAGATGAACTTAAGGGCTCGGGTGGAGGGCCCTGGGTGAGGGCTCAGCACTGGGCCGACAGCAGCCTCAGGGTGCATTTGGATACCGACGGACTGTTTTTTCATCACATATGAGTGACAGGGGAGTTTAGATGGATGGGTTAAAAGCAAAGCCATGTATTCTCTGAGTGGGAAGCAGGCCGGATCCTGAGAGTTCGTAATCATTGAGATTTCACATCGCATACCTGCAGCCATGTTTCAGACAAGATTGTGCACCCACTCCTGGGTGAGGCAGCTTTTGAAACCAAGCTGGAAGCCTTTAGCCTTCCTGCTGTCTCACCAAGCTAAGGATGGGCTGACCTCTGTATGGGACCTTCCCTTCCTTGCACCGTGGAAGCCCATTTCTAATTCACATTCTGACACTGACAAACTCGGTGACCTTGGTTACGTTATCTCATCTTCTTGGACCCCGGCATCCCACCTAGGGGCCGGAAGTAATGACGGTTGACACCTCATAGCCACACACAGGGCTAGCACAGACTGCTCCAGACTTGCTAGGTGAG
Source organism: Homo sapiens (assembly GCF_000001405.40). Taxonomy (NCBI): domain Eukaryota; kingdom Metazoa; phylum Chordata; class Mammalia; order Primates; family Hominidae; genus Homo; species Homo sapiens. The sequence goes on from NC_000020.11 coordinate 19,441,355, forward strand.
GGCCCTGTGCATCTGAAAGCAAAGGAAGGAAGTGTGGTTAGGACTGCAGTTAGCATGGACTCAATGCACAGTCCCCACTCTGCTAATCAGATCATCACTTCTTAGACCTCCAGGGAACAGAAATATATTTAATGTTTATTTGAGATACTTTAAGTTAATAGACTTTATTTTTAAGAGTAGTTTTAGAGTTACAGAAAAGTGAGTGGAAAGTATGAAAAGTCCCCATATCCCCATCACTTACCCATCTACCCCCGTTTTCCCTGTTAACATCTTATATTAGTGTGGTACATTTATTACGATTGATGAACAAATAATGATGCATTATTATTAACTCAACTTTATAGTTCATATTAGGGTTTATTCTTGGTGTATAGTTCTGTGGGGTTTGCCAAATGCATAATGTCCTGTATCCATCATTACTGTATCCTACAAAATTGTTTAATTGCCCTAAAAATCCTCAGTGCTCTGCTAATCCATCCCTCCCTCTCACTGACCCCTGGAAACCACTGATTTTTTTTCTGTCTCTGATAAAAATCATAAAACCACTGATTTTTTTTATGTGACATTTCTTCCAGAATGTCACATAGTTGACATTATACAGTATGCAGCTTTTCAGATTGGCTTCTTTGACTTAGTAATATGTGTTTAAAGCTCCTCTATATCATTTTGAGGCTTGATAGCGCATTTCTTTTCATTGCTGAATAATATTCCATTGTCTGAATGTACCACAATTTGTTTATTCATTCACCTACTGAAGAACATCTTGGTTTCTTCCAAGTTTTGGCAATTAAGAATAAGGCTGCTATGAATATTTATGTGTAGGCTGTTGTGTGGATATAAGTTTTCAGCTCATTTAGGTAAATATCAAGGAACACAATTGCCTGATCAATCATATGGTAAAAGTATGCCTAGTTTTGTAATAATCTGCTAAGCTATCTTCCAATATGGCTGTACCATTTTTCATTCCCACCAGTAATGAATAAAAGTTTCTGTTACCCCACATCTTCACCAGCATTTGGTGGTGTCAGTCTTTTGGATTTTGGCCACTCTAATAGGTGCATAGTTGTATCTCATTGTTCTTCTAATTTGTATTTTCCTAATGACATATGATTTGGAATCTTTTCGTATGCTCATTTGTCATCTGTACATCTTCTTTGTCAGAGTGTCTGTTCAGATCTTTTGCTCACTTTTTAATTGGGTTGTTTGCGTATTGTTGAATTTAAAGAATTATTTGTGTAGATTGCTTACTAGTTCTTTATCAAATATCTGTTTTGCAAATATATTCACCCAGTCTGTGGCTTGTCTTTTCACTCTCTGAGCAGTGTCTTTCACAAAACAGTTAATTTAATGAAGTTCAATTTATCTATTTTTTATTTCTTTTATTTTGTATGTTGCATCTGAAAAATCATCACCAAACCCAAGGTCACCTATATTTTCTCTTATGTTATCTTCCAGAGGTTTTACAGTTTTGCATTTTACTTTTGGTCTATGATCCATTTTGAGTTAATTTTTGGGAAAGGTGTAATGTCAGCATCTATGTTCATTTTCTTTTGCATATGGATCTAACTTTCCCAGCACCATTTATTAAATACTGTCTTTTCTCTATTGCATTGCCTTTGATACCTTGTCAGAGATCAATTGACTATGTTTGCATGGGTCTATTTCTAAGCTTTCTATTGTGTTCCATTAGTCTGTCTTTGCTTTCAGAAATATCACATTATCTTGATTACCATAGCCTTGTAAGAGATGAAGTCAGGTAGTTTTAGTCCTCTGACTTATTTTTCTCCAATAGTGTGTTGGCTCTTCTGGGTCTTTTGCCTTACTGTATAAACTCTGGAATCAGCTTGTTCATATCCACAAAATTACTTGCTATGATATTGATTTTAGATTGCATTGAACCCATAGAGCAAGTCAGGAAAAACTGATATCCTAACAATATTGAGTCTTGCTATCCATTAACATGGAATGTCTCTCCTTTTTTTAGTTCTTTTTTATTTCTTTTATCAGAGTTTTATATTTTTATACAGATCTTATACATAGTTTATTAGATTTATACTTAATTTTTTGTTATTTGGTGCTAATATAAATGGTATTATGATTTTACTTTCATATTTCAATCACTCATTGCTGGTAGTAGGAAAGCAATTGACTTTTGTAAATTAACCTTGTATCCTACAACCTTGCTGTAATTACTTTCAGGAGTTTGTTGTTGTTGTTGTTGATTCTTTGGAATTTTCTACATAGACAATTCTGAAACCTGTAAGAGGACAGTTTCATTTCTTCTTCTCCAATCTCCATGCCTTTCATTTATTTTTCTTGTCCTATTACATTGGATAGGACTTTTATTATGATGTTGAATAGGAGTAGTGAGAGGAAACATCATTGCCTTACTCCTGCTGATCTTAGGGGAATAATACCTGGTTTCTCACCTTTACTTTTACTGTTAAACCCTCCCCATAACTGGGGAGTGCTCTACCCATAATTGCCTTGGCATCCACTCTTCCTTGTTTAAGGCTTTTCTCTAGCCATGGATAAGGCCCAGCCCATAATGTGGAGAAAGACAGGAGTGCTTGAGAGTTAATAAAGTATCTTGTTTCTTACCATTAATGTTACCGTAGGCTTTTGATAGGTGTTTTCTGCCAGGTTCCCCTCTATCCTTAGTTTCCTGAGAGTTTTTTAAAATCATAAATTAGTGTTAGATTTTGTTAAATGCTTTTTCTGCATCTATTGATAAGTTTATATGATTTTTCTTCTTTACCCTATGGATGTGATTAATTACATTAATTGATTTCAAATATCAATCCCACCTTGCATAACTAGAACAAATATCACCTGGTCATGGCGTATAATTTTTATATACCTCATTGGATTTGATTTGCTGATATTTTGTTGAGGATTTTTTTGCATCTATGTTCATGAGACATATTAGTCTGTAGTTTTCCTTTCATGTAATTTATCTGGTTTGGTACTGGAGTAATGTTGGCCTTAGAGAATGGGTTAGGAAGTATTCCCGCTGCTTCATCTTCTGGAAGACATTGTACAGAATTGATGTAATTTCTTCCTTAAAGGCTTGGTATAATTTACTAGTGAACTCATCTGGGCCTGGTTTTCTTTTAGTAAATTATTAATTGCTAATTAAATTTATTTAATGATGTAGGCTTATTCAGGTTATATATTTCTCCTTATTTGAATTTGGTAGACTTTGTCTTTCAAAGAATTGGCCCATATCATCTAGGTTATCAAATTTCTGGGTATAGGTTGTCATAATAGTCCTTTATTAACCTTTCAATGTCAATGCAATAAGTAGTGATGGTCCCACTTTCATTTCTGATGTTAGTAATTTGTGTCTTCTTTTATTTTTCTTTTTACCTGGCTTGATCAATTTTATTGTCCTTTTAAAAGAACTATCTTTTTGTTTTGCTGATTTTATCTATTTTTTTAACCTTTTTAGTTTCATTGATTTCTGCTCTAATTTTTATTTTTTTTCTTCTGCTTACTTTGGATCTAATCGGCTTTTTGTTGTTGTTGTTGTTGTTGTTGTTGTTTTTACTTTCCTAAAGTAGATGCTTAGGTTATTGATTTTGGATCTCTTTTTTTCTGATACGTGCATTCACTGTAAGCACTATTTTCTGTGTCTCACACGTTTTGATACATTTAACTTTTATTTTTATTTTATTTGAGAAAGTTTTAAAAATACAAAGATAACACACTCTGTATAACCACCAACCAGAACTGACCTTTTTCATGACCTTATATCTGCTTCATCTCTTTATAGTAAAATCCAGTACAGCGTTACACATAATATGGATCTTGGCTTCCACCATCATTAGTCTGCATCATTCCTCACCCCTTATTTCTAAATATAACCACTGGCTTGAAGTTAGTGTGTTCTTTTCAACCCAATTACTTCTACTGATTTGGGTTACAACCTTAATTACTCCTACATCAACAATGTGGACCTCAGGAAGCTGGAAAGGATAGCAGTATAATAAAAGATAGTAGCAGCAGAATTCATAGATATCTGGGCCAGAATGCATGGATTTGTATTTATGCACAATGCATCTGTCTTAGTTTGAAGTTTCTTAGAAGCAGACTCAGGGTCAGTTATTTAAGGCAAATAGTTTATTTGGCAGTGCAGAACAGGGAATTGGAATGTAAGACGAGGAAGGGAAGAACTCTGAGAAAAAGTACATTATCAAGAAAGTTATCACTTTGGACAACTGGAGCTTAATCCGTCTTGAAACTCTGGGAGGCAGCGTAGAGCACACATGGGGAAGTGGGATATTCATCCGCAACACCCATCAGCCATTAGTTAAGAGCAGACAACAGGTGCATTGAACCCCTGGTATTTATGGACATAGACAAAGTCAGCTCTGACAGCCAGGAAGTGCCCTTGAGAGGGGAGGTATAGGTCCTCACATGCAGAAATCAGACAGATGGGTGCTGACATGGTCAAGGTGAGGAGATGTGGGCAGTCCACCAACGACATCTGCCCAAACCTCTTATTAAAAATTCCTTTTCTGAGATTTAGCTTATTTAGTAGGTATATTAAAAGAATAAAAAGTAAGAGCACTATCCTTACTGACTACATGCTGTGTACCAGGTACCGGCATCTCATTCTATCCTCACAGTAACCCTTTAGGAAACTGTTGTTACCTTTATCTTCATTGTCCAAATGAGGCCCGTAGGGGTTCACTCCTTACCAGTGGCCAGTGCCAGCACCAGAACTCTGACTCATCTGCCCAGGACCCCAAGTTGCTGCTCATAGAGTGTGGCTTCAGTAACCCTTAAGAACATTCAGGAAGGGAAAGGCTGTAATGGCAAAGAAAGCTTATTTTGAGTCAACTTTTAGAGGGCAATGTATAATGAGTTCTGGGAGCCTTTTAATTAAACATGGAAAAGCACGAGAGGTTGAAAGCAAGCTGCTTAAATGGGAAAGCTAATATTTACAGATTTAAAAACCATGTAAAAGTCTGAAAATCCAGGTCTCTCATTAGGTGTGATATAATTACTGAATTTCCATTTCCTAACAGTAAGGAAAAAGATGTTAATTCTCCATCCATGGATTGCATTTAAGCAGGTCTTGGATATAGCCTCTGGCTGAAGCCTGTTGTCAAGGGATTTATCTTTGGACTTTTTAATGGAAGCAAGCGTTCGGGGAAATTGTTCTGTAAAGGATGGCGTTACTCTTATTCTCTGTATTCAGGTGACTTGGATGAGAAGTTTGGGCAGTGAATGTCAGAAAGGGAAAGTGCTCTTTATGTGACCTTGACTCATTCTTCCAGAATGTCTGCCTACAGGGAAAACACCTAGGCTAAAAACAGAGACCTCAGCTTTGCCACTAGCCAGCTGTGGGACTTTGGACAAGTCTGTAGACTTCTCCAAATTTAGAGTGACTTTTGGTGAGGTCCTGTTCAGCTCTGTTAATTGTACATGGCTGTAAGTGAACCTGTGAGCAATGGAGCCTCTGCCAAAAGGCTTTCGCGTGCACCTGCAGTGCTCGTCGTCAGCTGCAGCCCATGTCTGCCACCAGATTATCCCACTTTGTGTCATTAAATGGATTTCCCCTTGGCATTAGGCCTAACACTTCACTGTGGTCCCCAGCATCTCTCATATGACTTGGATGAGGGCACTAAAAGCATACACATCCACTTTATGGATCCCACAAAGCTGGAGCAATGAGCAGAAAGTACCTTGTTTAGAAAGAAATGGAACCTGGACAAACCCAAGATAGATTTGAGTATCATCTGCCCCACACCAGCCCTGTGACCTTGACCAAATTCATTTGATCTCCTTGAGCCTCAGATTCTTTATCTGTGAAATCTGGGAATACTTACCTAGGAGGGTGGGTGTAAAAATGAAATGAGATAATGAATCCAAATGCAAGAAAATGGCCAATGTAGTCAGTTCTCAATGCCCTCCTCTGGCAAACGGGGAAGGGAGCAGGCTCAGTGGTGAGGGACGGGCGTGGTGTCAAATTCCTGTTCTGGAGGGAAAGAAGGGTGCCTAGTGTTGTTTGCTCTGGAGAATGAGCATTTTAGGTGGCTAGTCCGTCTACTGGAAGGAAGGGAATACTGAATGGACAGGTTTGCAGAGCCCCAAGCAGTACGACTAGGGCCTGAACAGGTGCAGTTATGGGAGGCAAAGTGTTGTTCAATAGAATAAAGTGGTTTTTTTGCCTTAAAAAATGGCGACACATATACACACACACAAAATAAAATAAAACAAAACAAATAAATAGAAACAGGAAGATGGCAGGTTTACCATCATTGGAAGTATTTAGGTTATGCTGGGCACAATTTTCTGGCAGTGGTGTTGAGAGAATTCAAGCACATCTTGATGGGGTGCGATGATGGTTGTTCCTCTGTGAAGCTATACCAGGATGCCCCATAGATAGATGGTCTGCTTGCTCCTTTGAGCCCCACTATGCTTTTGGAAGAGACCTGTTTCTGCACTTGGGACTCCTTAGTGAACTTAATTTCTGGGGTAGACTTAATCCACCTTCAGATCTCCAGTGGTTATCACAGAGTGGGTACTTCGTGAAGGCTGTAATTAATGAATGAATGCATACATGCGTGAATGAATGTAGGGTTGGAAGGCAGGGACATATGACTTCTTAGGTCCCTCTGACCCCAGACTTTCATCGTTTCATGAACAAAATGAGCTCGCTCTTCCCAGAACTGACCTGTGGATTTAGCTTTTCCGGCCTTAGCTGGTTCTAGGTTCTGGGGGAACCCCACAGTTCCAGTCATCCCTTCCTCCCAAAATGCCGGATCCAAGGTTTTCACTGCCCCTCTTGCACATGCCAGGATGGCTAGACCTGGTCTCCAAACCCTCAACGGTAGTTCAGAGCCAGACACAGTGCTGGACCCCATGATCTGCGATTATTTTCGCATTACTAAGAACATTGTTGATATTGTTAATAGCTACTATGTATCGGGTACTTATATACACAAGTCACAAGTGGTTACTTTGCATACTCTGTCTTTTAATTCCGGTAACCAACTGTAAGATAGTCTTTATAATTCACATTTTTCAATGTGCAAACACAACCTTGAGTTTCAGAGAAGGTCAATGGCTGATTCCAAATGCAAGCCTCGTCCGCCTGACTTCAACACCGTGTTTTCCCAGGTGTCACACGATTTCTCTGAACCCTCGAATCACAGCGTCCAACAGTTACCATTTGTCCTTTTCTCCCCAGAAGTAGTCTTGAGTGGTTTCCCTAGTCAACATTGTATCCCAGTGTGTGTGTCCATGGTGAATAGGATGAGGCTCCCACAGTCATGGCTGGAGGTATGAGACTGGGTTCAAGCTACCTTTTGGTCAAACCTGGGCCGCACCATTCAGCAGTATATTATTCTGACATCCCTGTTTTCCCCTTTGTATGGTGTGGATGACACTTGTGCCAGTCTTCCCAGAAAATGGTCAAAGAGTCAATGAGACAAACCATGCAAAGCCACTTAGCACAGTCCTGGCCCCTACTCAACCCTCCATAAATTATTAGGATTTGAGAGAAAGCAGAAGGCTGTAAAGCCATTTTCTCCTCTCCTACTAATAAAGGAGAGAAAACCACACTTTGTGGGCAGGGAAAGTGCAACTGAACAGCAGCCATTCAGCCCCTCCTGGATGTGCACCCTGGGATGGACACATGTAGGGACCTGCCTGTTTTGTTCAGGAGTCATTTATTAATGAAGTGGGCAAGAAAAAGAAGTGAGTGGGCAGGGAGAGGGAGGCAGGAAATGGGAAGGGCCCATCAAGGGGCAACATCCAGGGACTCCATGGCGGTAGAACTGGATGAAATGCCTCTCAGAGTTACGTCTCTGCAGTGGTGGCTGCAGGCAGAGTTCTCTACCACCCCCGATCCTTGGTGGCTGAGGGCCAGCTCCCCTGCATTCCCAGGGACTGAGCAGCTTTGCGAGGCTTTGGAGAGAGCTCCGAGGCAGGAAAGCTGAGAGCTGCTGCTGGCACTGACAGTGGGATTCTGCCCCAGATGTGGGATGTGCCTCACAGCCACAGTGAAATAAAGGGTCTTCCTGCCCCACGTGGCGCCCAAGCTCTGGGGCCGAAGACACACATTTCCAGGAAGATCAACCTGACAGAGTCCTAGGCTGGGGCTTGAATCAGGAATTTAGAAAATGCCTTGACCTCTGGCAGGAAAATAAAAGTTCTCAAGTCTTGCCAGCCACAGTGCTCAGCCCAGTGGGATGTCCAGGCCTATGGCTCTTGAGCTAGGGTCCTCCATCTTTTCCTCTCTTTGAGCTTGAACATCCCACTAATTCAAAAGGGGCTGGCAGATGAGATGAATGAGAACTTCTTCCTGGGCAGTCATGTTTGCAAGTCTTGGACTTAAACCACATGCCTTGGAGCTTTAGGGGAAGAGGAGGAATAACTTGCTACAGTAAGTTCTCTGATAGGAACCTCATCTTCCCCCCTGTTCTGTATCTAGGGGTCCAAACCCCAGCCCTTGAAGGGCTCCCAATAGAGTGTTCATTCCAGATACGCTTTATCTTCAAACTTTTTAGAAAGGAGCATTAAGTAGAAAATAAGGGGAAATAAATACCTTTCTTTTTTAATGAACTTTGCACTCATTTATGCATGCATTCATTCAGTATTCTCATTTTTTTCAAGAAACAGAGCTATGGTGTCCAGACCTCAAGGCATTGACAGTCTGGGGAGAGAGAAGCAGAAGATGTGCATCACTTTGGAATGGGTCAACACAAAACATCAACCATAGGTGCCAAGTGAGAGCACGGTGATTCAGAGGAGTTGGGTCTCTACAAGTTAATGTGGTCATAGCATACTCCTTTTCTTTGGCTCATAAGAAGTTAGGTGAGAAAGCTTCAGACAACATGATGGCAGTCCTCTCCACAGACAGTAAACTGGACTTGCTTCCAACAGTCAGACAGTGGTGAACCAGCAACTTTCAAACTCCAGACAGCTCTCATGTAGGATGGGGTTGCATCCCTGGCACTTGTTACACTTTCTTTCTGTTCTCACTTCCAATGAGATTCTCATTCTCGTTTCATCTCCCCAGCCCTGATCATGAGACACTGTGATATTTACTGTGGGGAGGAGGAGGTGGCAGAGGGGAGGGAGGTTGGAGGGGTGTGGGCAGAGGAAGTCTTCCCTCTGTGCAACGTCACGTGTCATGTTCTCATCACACAGTTGTTACCTTTGCACCTGCCCAGTCCCCCTCACAATATGCTAATTTCTTGAGGATAGTGGCCACCTTTCCTGAGACATCACCAGCTCATAGAGTGTTTTTGTGCACACTTAAAAGGTGCCCCCTTATGATGATCACAGCCTTGTGGGCACTGGCTTAGTGAATAGATGATACCTTGATTCAAATTTATAAAACAGTGGGCTGGGTTCGATGGCTCACACCTGTAATCCCAGCACTTTGGGAGGTCGAGATGGGTGGATCACTTGAGGTCAGGAGTTTGAGAGTAGCCTGGCCAACATGGTGAAACCCCATCTCTACTAAAAATAGAAAAATTAGCCGGGCACGTTGGCTCACACCTGTAGCCCCAGCTACTAAGGAGACTGAGGCAGAAGAATCACTTGAACCTGGGAAGTGGAAGTTTGCAGTGAGCTGAGATTGCACCACTGCACTCCAGCCTGGGTGACAGAGCGAGACTCTGTTTCAAAAAAAAAGGAAGAAAACACATTTTTAAGACTACTTCTGGGGTTTTGTTAATGCTCCATTATGTGACCCAGGTGCTGAGTACATGGTTGTGTTCAGTTTGTGAAGATTTATGGAACTTATGATTTATGTATTTTTCTTGTATGTATGTAATACTTCAGTGAAATTTACAGAAAGATCAAAGGTAAAAGAAAACACATATTTTAAAATATTCCTTCCTCCAGCTTGGCTTGGCAAGAGGAGCTAGTGGCAGGATATCAGCACCCAGTTGCCTCTTCAGTCAAAGGTCCTTGGGCATTGCACATCCTACACAACTGTGTATGACTATTCTCGCCTGAATCAACATCTTACGTCTCTGGGGTTGGGGGTTTCTGTAACAGTCCTTGGCCCCGGTGGGCTTTCTTATCAGTCGCTATCCACTTGGTCCATTCGTCATCATGTTGAGCCTCTGTAGCCCTTTGAGCGGAGCCAATCTTTATCTCCTTCATTGCTGACGATAAGTCTGCTATGTGGCACAGTGCAGAGATGACTTGTGCCAACTCATGAGTTTTGTTACTTGAACTAGTCCTCTGTTTTTGCAAGAGTGAATGAATGAAAGGTTGACTGGCAGCTCCCTGTCATGAAGATGTTTTGAATGTTGGCTGCAAAGGCAGGTAGGACTGGAAGATTCTCAAGGTCATCAGAAAGGTCACATTTTCAGCTGCCAATAAATAACTTTCAAGTGGTTTCTTACAGACTCTGTCTCTTCCTGGTGTTGTGTTCCTCTTGCCTCTTCTCTGCATGCCTGCCTTGGGAGTGCACCACACAGTCATGTCATGCGCTGGCACCTCAGATCCCAGGCCATCCAAAGGGAATCAACTTGGTCTCTGTTTTTTTCCCCTAGCAGTGCTAGAAATGAGCTTTCAGCCCCAATAAAGTGAAAGAAGGAAATGTTTACCAAGAGCCTCCCTCCCCATCCCGTTTGCTTTCCTTGACTTGCTTCAGTCTGTCCACATGTTATAAAACAGGATTCTCTCTGTGGCTATTTTCAGAAGCTCAGACCACATCTCATTACAGCGCGAGAACATAATTCAAAAGAAGCCCAGCTCTGCTCCTGGGAAACGTTGCGTGTGATAGATGAGGCGCTTAAGGCTTATCCCACAAGTGCAGTAGTGCTTTTTCAACCACAGACCAACATTTGAGAAGCCAAGAGGAAGACGTGGTATACTTTTTAAAGAACAGGGCTAGAATTTACCAAGGGGGAGAGGTTAGGTTCACATCAAAATCTACTATCTAGCCGTCAGGCTCCGAGCAGTATTTCTGTCCTAATTATTACAACTTGTTAATGGCAAATTTAGAAAAATGAACAGTAGGTGGTCAATGTGGGATCCTGTGGGGGATGTGTGTGTGTGTGTGTGTGTGTGTGTGTGTGTGTGTGTGTGTGTGTGTTGGGGAAGTAAGGTGGTGGGGAGGAGAGTCCTTAGAGAAAGGAAGGGAGAATGTGAGAGTGATGGGGTACACTGGGACCCTTAACTGGGAAAGACTGAGGCACTTGGTGGAGTTGGAAATAGTCAGAGGGAAGAAGCTGACCCTTCTATAAGAGGCCTGTGGGGACATTATGTTCCACCCTTCATAGAGCATCATACAGGGGTCCTGGGTGAATCATTCTAGGCCAGAGAGGTAATTGTGCTATAGATGGGATACAGCTGGTATATTAGCAACTGATTGAAAACAGCTTCAGCAAGGTGATTTATGGTTGGGCCCAGTGGCTCAAAGTGCTGTAATCTCAGCACTTTGGGAGACAAAGGCAGGAGGATCAGTTGAGGCCAGGAGTTTAAGCCCAGCCTGGGCAACATAACAAGACCCCATCTCTACAAAAAATAATAATACTAATAATAAATAAAAATAAAAATATTAGCCACCTGTACCAGGCGCGGTGGCTCACGCCTATAATCCCAGCACTTTGGGAGGCCGAGGTGGGTGGATCACAAGGTCAGGAGTTCAAGACCAGCGTGGCCAAGATGGTGAAACCCCATCTCTACTAACAATACAAAAATTTGCCTGCGTGGTGGCGGGCGCCTGTAATCCCAGCTACTCAGGAGACTGAGGCAAAGAATTCCTTGAACCTAGGAGGCAGAGGTTGCAGTGACCCGAGATCGCACCACTGCACTCCAGCCTGGGTGACAGAGCGAGACTCTGCCTCGAACAACAACAACAACAACAAATTAGCCAGTTGTGATGGTACAGGCCTGTACTCCAGCTACTCAGGTGACTGAGGCAGGAGGATTGTTTGAGCCCAGGAGTTTGAGGCTACAGTAAACTATGATCATGATCATGCCACTGCCTCCAGCCTGGGTGGCAGAGTCAGACCCTGCCCCTCAAAAAAAGTGTGATTTATGGCTTTGGTGGGAGGATTCTCTATAATGGCATGTCTGCACTTGACCCCAACAACACCCTGATCTGGCTCTTTGATGAGGAGAATGTATTGGTGGAGACAAGGAACATACTGTTAACCACCAGAGTCTCTTGGGAGCCTGACCAAGCTCTGGAGGTCCTTGACTTCTGGCCTCAGGAGGAAATTTGCCAACTTTCCAAAGACACATGAGAAGTGGGGCGGGAGTGGCCGATGGAGCCTGGAGACAGATGGTCAGTGTTGAAGTTCTACTTGAGGCATATTCACAAGATTTGCTTTAGATACTCCCAATGTCCTTCCATTGCCATAGGCTCTGCTCAGACCTGTGCGCCCACCCCACCTTTCCTTTCTGCAGCACTCTAGCATGGTGTCACCCCCATTGGAGCTGGCTCCCTCTCCCCAGATCACTTGCAGGGCCTGCCCACTGTGAGAACAACGAGGACATCAAAACACACAGAGGCACAGGAGAGGGCTTTGGGGGCTTAGGGTGTTCCCAGGCTGCCCAGGCTGCCTCAAAAAAGACTGAAAATACACGCAAAGTCTTCATTTACTGCAAGCGTATGAGCTAAACAGCGCCAACACTGCTGACAGAGCGGTTTTTCCACTTTACAAGCTGCTATCTTCAGATGCTAATGAATTATTCCTTGAAGCCTGACCAGCCTAGAGATACTCCCATCTCAGAGTTCAGGAGGCAGACATGCTGGGGGTTAAGAAGCAGTGCTCAGAGCCAGTGATTTAGAGGCGGGTCTGATGTAATTGAATATTTATGGCCCATGGTGTGGGGAGAGGCTGGGCAGCTGGGCTTGCCTGCTTCCTGCCCATCTAAGGAGTCAAACTGTCATCAGAGTAGCCGGGGAAGACCCATCAATGTTGTGTTCCCCAACCTCTAAACCTCTGATCCATAATAGATTTAAGGTTCATTGAGGGCATCTTTTGCACTGATAATTTATTTCCTGATTTTTGATAGGTTTTTCAGGCTAATAGTTCAGGACAATGAAATAGATATTTGGTCTTGATTTCATTGTAGGATTTGCAGAATCTGTTATGCTATCATTTTAGGCCAGACTGTGCTATGGATGGTATACAGCTGCTATGTTAGCAATTGGTTGGAAACCACTTCAAAAATGTGATTCATGGCCCAGGCTTGGGGGGACTCTCTATAATGCCATGTCTGAACTTGATCCTAACAAGTTTGACATTTTTACAAATGATAGAGACTTAGAAAAGTTAAGCCATAAAGAACTTCACTGAAGACATAAAAGGTGTAATTATCACATTTGCAAAAGACCCAAGGGTTGTAGGGGTAACCACAAAGTATAATGAAGAACCGGGATTTTAGGCTATCTGCACAACCTGCAGATGAATGAGATGAAATGTAATCAGGTTAAATGCAAAGTCCCTCATGTAAGTTCCCAGAACCAACAATGTAAGTGCAGGAAGGGTGAACTCTGTCTAAAGAGCAGTTCCTCTAGAAATTGCTTGTATTTTCTAGTTTTCATCAGTGTTAGTATGATCAGATATGGCTGAGAATACACATTCTCAGCCACTGAGAATTATAGACAGAGTCTAGGTGATAGTGTCACTCTCAGAACTCCTTCCCGCTCCCTTCCCTCCCTGTCTCTTGTTCTATGTCTTTTTTTATCAGCAAGGCAGACTTTTAGTGTCCCCCAATACCTAACCCTCATATTTCATGCCCATTCCCAAGCTAAGCATTTGCAAGTAGAATGGAGTCACCATTATTGGTTGATGAGCACCATGCTCGGAGGAGGAGAACAGATCCTGTGAGCAAAAGCGGGACCCTGTTAGAGAGGAGGAAGGGGACAGATGGATCTTCTACAGAAAGTGAACAATTTTTGTTTTCTTTTTCCATAGACCCTGATATAGTGTTGAGTCATTGGTGGGTTGATTGATCTTATGACGTTTATTTCTTATCATCACTATTAGGTAACCAGATAAACCTAATGGTTAGATGGATGAGATGTGAAGTTGTGGCAGATGCTATCAGTGCCCTTCCCATGTTGCCTCAGCCTACCCCAGAGGTCACCTGTAGATACTTTTCATAAATGTATGTAAACAGATTCTTGCATCTGTCTCCCTCATGGTATCCTTTAACCATGGAAGTATGCTCAGCATAAACATAGAGAGAGCCGAGAATGTCTGGAAACCAATACACCAGGAGCAATCTTTAATCAGCGAGAGATAAGAGTATAGTAGATAAACCCCAGCCTCTTCACCTCTTCATGGAGCAATAAAAGGTAATTCAGCATCCTCTCTCAGAGCATCCCCAGGAGGATCAAGCCCTAGCTGATGGAGGTAATATGCTCATGAATGTTTGGGCCACCTTCGGGGCTCTGTCTCACTTCCTCACTCCCTTACTGGTGCTTCCTCGGATCACCCCCCTAATTTCACAGTCGCCTTCTGGGGGAAGTCAAATGAAGATGGAGGCTAAATAATTAGAACTACTTGGTTGAGAGGCTAAAATTATAAGTGTCAGTATAATATATAATTGGTTCCTTAAGTAACGTTTATTAGGCGACTATTGTGTACAAGGAACTGCACCCTGTGTTGGATATTTTGACATAGATGAATGAGCTATGAGTTTATAATGTACTGGGGAAGGTAAGGTAAGTACATCCCACCCAGGAAGTCCTCTGTGCTGCCAGGCAGTGAAATCTCCACAAGTCCTATGTTTGCCCTTTTTTTTTCCATCTGTATCTGTAACACGTTTCTTAAAGTTGAAGGAAAGACCCTTTAGAAAAAGAGATTTGGGCCCCACAGTTAGGGTAGCCTTTGGAGGAACACTTATGGCAAGAGAAAGACCTTTTATTCCTTCCAGGAGGAGACATACAACCAGATATGGTTTGGCTATGTCTCCACCAAAATCTCATCTTGAATTGTATTCCCATAATTCCCATGTGTTGTGGGAGGGACCTGGGGAGAGATAATTGAATCGTGGGGGCAGTTTCCCCCATACTGTTCTCGTGGTAGTGAATAAGTCTCATGAGATCTGATGGTTTTATCAGGGGTTTCTGCTTTTGCGTGTTCCTCATTTTCTCTTTGCCTGCTGCCATCCATGTAAGACGGGACTTGCTCCTCCTTGCCTTCCACCAGGATTGTGAAGCTTCCCCAGCCATGTGGAACTGTAAGTCCAATTAAACCTCTTCATTTTGTAAATTGCCCAGTCTTTATTGGCAGCGTGAAAATGGACTAATACACAACCCATTCTTTAAATCTTTCCACATTGCTGTGAGATGGCCAGGATGTCAGTAACCAGGCTGTCACTTCACTGCCCCTCTACAGCTAGCAATGGCTCAGACATCCACTGTCAACTCATGAATCCCAAACCCTAGTCATTGGGCAAGACAGGCTAACAGGGCAAGGAAGTGATTGTGGGTGGTGACTTCCTGCCTTGGGACAGCTTTGACCTGGGAGTCAGTGCAACACACCAGTCACCACCCTGGGCTTATTACACTCCCCAGTACTCAGTCTGGCAGGTACAGTGTACAGTGTGTTCACAGAGATAAAAGATGATACTGTGACTTTGTCCAGAATCTCTGTTAATGACTTGGAAGCTTAAATATTAGAGCCTGAGCTTTCTCTTGGGATTAATATAAGAGGAGGCATGTGCCAGACATGGCTCCTCCGTGAGCTATCTGATGCTATAAAAAGAAAAACTGCAAAGGGCATCCAGAAAAATGTCTGGACCCAAGAAAAAAATGAATAATGTAGTACTTACTGACCTGTGGCCTGGGATGTAAAGGGAAACCCTAATGGCGTAATCCCAGATCCATCAACTGTGGAGTCTCATATTTTATGACCAGTCTTTCTAGTTGTGGTGAGGGGGGAAATGTGGAGGAGGGCAGAGTCTTGCTTTCAGCTCTGCATCTCATTTGCTGCATAACCTGGGGCAAATCATGTTACCACCCTGAGCTGTAACTTTAAAATGAAGGAATTAGGTTGGGTCATTTTCAAGGAACATTTTCTTTTTGCATGATACAAATTCAGACTAAAACAAAAATTATTTATAGTCTACTTACTTTTCACTCAAGATGAAAATGCTTTATTGAATTCCATAAAAGAAAATAGTATTTTTACAATTTAGATGGTTTATTCTACTGAATAGAAAAATGCCAATGACAAAGTCAACACTGCTTTTTAGCCTCTGAAGCATTCACTAGCTGGGAATATTTGAGAAGTGGTACAGTAGTGGAAGCTTTCTAATGTTCTGCCTTAAAACTGGATCTCTGGGCTGTCTTATGAAGCCAAGCAAATCCTGTACATCCTGACAGCCACAAATCACTCATGGGACCAAGGCCCCAACCTCAAATTCCATTTGAGGACTCACATTCCCTGGATCTGTGGTTCTAGCCTGCTGTGAATCCCATCTGGAAGAGGTTGAGGGAGTCAGCTGTGAGAGCTGAGCAGTCCCCAGAGAAAGAACTACACGTGGCTTCTGCAGGAATTACCTTCAGCCTGTGGTAATCGAGAGTGGCAGCTCCAGCTATGAGGTTCAGAGGTGGCAAAGCCTTGGGATTAGGTGGCCCCAGGTGAATCACAGAGCATCTGGAGGACCGTTGATGAATTCCTTCCCCACCTTTTTCCTCCAGAAATTTCAGGTTAAACTTACTCTACAGTTTCATAATGACTGTTTCATCCATGACTTCTGCAAGCCTAGGTTGGCAGGGCAGGGTGGGAGCTACAGTGCTTTGTAAGTTGGAAGTTCTGCTTGAGAATGTGTTCTGGACTTATTCTACATCCTGCAAAAAAGATGGCTTCAAGCTCCCCCCTCACATGCACACACACACACACGTACGTCTATGTTCATGTGTGTGTTTCCGTATTCTTTTTATTGTTAGTTTCACTTGAATAATGTCAGAGGCAGGCTTTGCACCCAAGCCCTTAAGGGTAGGTATATAAAAATTATTTTTTAGCAGACTGTGTTTTTAAAAGTTTCAGCAGACTTGGTTTTTAAAATTGTCGTAAATACAAAATTTGCCGTCTTAACCAATTTTAAGTGCACAGTTCAGCTGCATTGAGTACATTCACATTGTCTGTGCAACTGTCACCATCAGCTGTCTCCAGAATCCTTTTCATCTTGCAAAACTGAAACTCATCAAACAACATTAAGTAATCACTTTCCATTTCTCCCTCCTCCCTAGCCCCTGGCAACCACCATTCCATTTTCTGTGTGTATGAATTTGACTACTCTAGGTACCTCATATAAGTGGAATCATACAGTATTAGTCTTTTTGTGACTGGCTTTCAGTTTTATCCGTATTGTAGCATGTCTCAGCAAGTCCTTTCTTTCTAAAGAAGAATATTCCATTTTATATACATCCCACATTTTCTTTATCCCAGACTGTATTTTTCACAGTTGACTGAGCAGTCTCTTTTTTGTTGTTAATACATACCCTATGGCCATCCATTTTTTAAATAAGAATTGTATTTAATTCTGTGGAAGCAGCAGAAAAAGTGATTTTTTACTGTGTGAGCATTCTCAAGTCCCTTACTTTGACGGACTTAAGAATTATAACTTGTAAAACTTGAGAACTTAGGACTGGTTAACCCACTTGTTTTAGCCCATTGGAGTGGTTAAGATAGTAGTGTTATAGTCAGATTTGCTTAGAACTCACTTCCCCCCTCCAACATGAGCCCTGGGATCATTGAAATATTCTGAGATTTTGGAGGACTTGAGTCTCAGCACCTACCTGTGGGGACTGCAAGATTGATATGTGTGATACATCCTTCTTGGTTGACTTGAATTGGTTGAGATACCTGGTTTACTGAGCTGCTTTCAATGGAAAATATATACATACAGATATATTTTAAAGAGATATTTAGCATAACCCTAAACATGTTGGCCGGTCTTGTTATAGTCACAAGTATCTTCTGGTCTCCATTTAGTGCTTCCCTAACATTTCACCTGCCACCATGTGCCTCTACCCCCCTTGCAATCTAAGCCTCCATCAGATAAAACCGTCCAGTATATGTGGATGGCCCGTGGTCTCTTGACCTCCCTTGTTAGTAACTGGCTCACTACTATTCTTCACATCTTCTGGTTGTGGAAGGAACAGGAACTTGGACATGTGCCTGACACATTTTGCTTTCAAGTTCTGTATGCCTTTGAGACATCACGTAAATGTTTATTGATTTTCATTGCATAGACTGTATTGACATACTGCAATATTCAATAGAACCTTCATACTATGGAACCTTAGGGAGTGGTTGTTCCTCCATCCAAATACAGTGTGTGAGCTTTGCTAAATATTTCATAAATGGTCAATAAATACTTCTTTTAATATAATCAGTGTGATGTCTCTCTGGAAGCTGAATATAGGTTTGTGATCTCCAGGTGGCCTGAGAGAGACTCAGGGAAACCCTTGGGGAATCTTCCTTCTGCTGGTATCACTCAATCACCTCCCACCCCCATTTGGACCAAGGCTGAGATGGCAAATGGCAGACGAGCCTGGGGTTCTGCCCTTCCTTGCCTCTGCTACCTCTCAAATATCAATTGTGCCGCTATAAATCTCCTGGAGGTCTTGTCACTTTGCAGATTATGACACAGTAGGTCTGGAGCTAAACCCAAGGCCCTGCATTTCTAACAAGCTCCTAGGGGATGCTGATACTGCTGGCCCGTGGAAAGCAAGATAGAAAAGAAGTGGGCCAGGGTGAGGGTGAGGCGAGGGATGCATCCAGGCCACAAAATTTAGGGAGGCACCTGCTCTCAGAGTCATCCAGCTGCTCTTAGGGAGGTTTGCCCTCTTGGTTGGTGCAGGTGTGGACAGGCACCTAAGCGTGGGCGACTTCTTAAATTTTGCGCACCAGGTACTTCAGGCACCTCTCACTAGTCCTGGCTCTGAAAGAAAGATATGGGTCCAGGGATTTGAAGTCTGTTGTGCTGTTTGCCCTGAGTTACCCTATAGGCCAGTGCAGTAGATACCTCTGCCTGTTTGACCAACTATGCCCCGTCTTTCCTGCTCCCTGAGCCATCTGTAGACAGAGACCCGGGCTCATGTAAACGACCCCCACAGCCTAACCAGATGTGGGCAGGATTCTCTCACAGCTGAGTCCCTGTAGCTGCCCAGATAGTGCAATGTTTTAAAAAGAAGACTTTTAGCATGATTTCTTCTGCGTGCTTTGTGGTGCAATGTGCATGATGTCCTGTGGCAGCAAGCAGAGAGGATGCAGAGTGAATTAGCAGTGGGGCCATGACTCAAACCCAGGCAGTCCCCTGACTCACTGTGTCTTAACCACTCTACTCAACTGTTTTATTTGGACGTGTTTCCCTCCGGGGTGTTTATGGTGGATAATCATGTTCTCTTCAGCATGTTAGCCGTATGGAAGGAGAGACTGCAAAGCCTCATACTGCAGGCCCTCCCTTGTTCTTTTACCTACTTTCCCTCTCCTCTTTGTAAGTCTATTGGCATTTAGTAAAATTAAGTTACAGGAAAAAAAGAAAATAGAAAAGAGCTGTTAGCCAACAGTTGACCAGGCCTCCTCCAGTTGTGGACTTTCTGGGAGGGTCCCCATGAGTGAGGGGAAGGGTTTTAATTTTCCTGGTAGAGTCATGTCCTAGAGAAGACCAGGCTTTGGTTGTTTTAAAGCTAAGCAGTTTTATTAGCCAGCGGAGGGATTGGGGGCATCTTCCCATAGCACATTGAGGTCTCCAGTTTCTGGAAGAGATCAAGGTGAGGCTGACGGACTTCCATATCTGGAGAAAGCCCCTGATCATCTGCCTTTTCAGAGGCTGCTTCTCAGCTCACCCTGTGTTTGTTGGCTTTAAAAAAGCCAAACAAGCCTTCAGGGAGGAGCTTAAGATGCCAAGCCTGAGTTCACTCCATGTTCTCTAGATGGTCTTGGATAAGTCCCTGTCCTCCACCTTAAGTTTGGATTTTGTCCCAAGAAAGATTTGATTCTTATTTCCTTTACCAGAAGAAAAATGGGAAAAGAAAAAGAAAAATATATATATACACACAAATATACATATACATATATGCACATATATACATATACACATACATGTACGCACATATACATATATGTTCACACATATTATGTATAGTCTGTATATAATATGCATGCACTGGGCACTTATTATTCGCCAGATACTTGTCTACGTCCTTTTCTTTTCTTTTTTTTCTTTTTTTTTTTTTTTTTTTTTGAGGTGGAGTCTTGCTCTGTCGCCCAGGCTAGAGTGCAGTGGCACAATCTTGGCTCACTGCAACCTCCACCCCCTGGGCTCAAGTGATTCTTCCACCTCAGCCTCCCAGGTAGCTGGGATAACAAGTGCGCACCACCACACCTGGCTAATTTTTGTATTTTTAGTAGAGACGAGGTTTCACCATGTTGGCCAGGCTGGTCTCGAACTCCTGACCTCAAGCCATCTGCCCGCCTCTGCCTCCCTAAGTGCTGAAGTTACAGGAGTGAGCCATCGTGCCTGGCCCCCAAGTACTTCATCTACCTATTTTGTTTATGCCTACAAGCAATCTTAAGGGAAAGTATAAGCATTTTCCCCATTTATGAGAGGTTAAGTAAAGTCTCTCAGGTTAAACAAATATTCAGTGGTTGGTCAAGGATTTGAATTCAGGCGTTCTGACTCCAGGGTCTTAAATCATTTTTTTCTTTCCAACTTTTATTTTAGGTTCAGGGAGTCCGTGTACAGGTATCTTATCCACCTCCCATCCTGTACATGGGTAAGTGCATGTTGCAGAGGTTTGGTGTACACATTATCTCGTGTCTTAAATCTTAACCATTAAAGCAGTAGTTCTCAAACTGTAGTTCCCCTCAGAGCCCCCTGGAGGGACTAGGAAACCCAGATGACTGGACTGCTGTCCTCAGAGCTTCTGATTCCGTGGGTGTGGGGAGGCAGATGGCGGGTGGCTTTCTTTCTTTTTTTTGCTCTCTCTGTTGCCCAGGCTGGAGTGCAGTGGCACGATCTCGGCTCACTGCAAGCTCCACCTCCTGGGTTCACGCCATTCTCCTGCCTCAGCCTCCCTAGTAGGGACTACGGGCGCCTGACACCACGCCCGGCTAAGCTTTCTAACAGGCTCCCAGGGGCTGCTGTTGCCTGGGGTTGGGGCAGGGCACACACTTGAGAACCACTGCCCTGGACACAACCCAAACTTGGGAGAAAGCCCCAAAACTCAGTGAGCAACTTAACCGACATGGTGAGACCTGAGTCCCCGCTGGGATGAGCCTGGGAGAGGCGTCCCTTTGCCTCTGGTCACGTGCTTGTGCGCTCCTGGCTTGATGATCATCTGAGAGTCCATGTGGAGTGGAGCTTTTGGGCTTCTGTCCAGCCAGAGAGAGGCCCAGGACACAGCCGAGGCTTCTCATTGCCATCACCATGAAGTCAATGAGACCAGAGCTGGGAGGTGGTGAGTGCAGATGGAAATGCATTAGCCTGGAGGGGGCACCATAGACCCCAGCCCTGCCTTCCACATCCCTAGCAATGCTTTTCCACTTAGAAAAGGTGGGGCTGGACTATCTATCCCTGGCAGTTTGGAATTTGAATTCAAATGTATCAAATTTTCACAGGTCATAGTTTGAGATTCTGTTTCTAAGTGCCTGTCCCACCCTGCCTTAAGAAAATGTGTCTTATCCACCTCCTATCTCTTCACTGCCCGGGGTCTGGTCCTGCCCACTCTTTCCAGTTTCCCAAGGACTTCTATGTAAGTTTCTTTGTTCAGTTAGCAACATATTATTAACCTCTTTTCCTGTAAATAAAGAGAAATATTCCATAGCTTTCAATAACGGTGTGACATTTACCTGTGTGGACCCTTTGTCTTTATTTACTTAGACTTCTCTTATGAGGCACTCACGTGACTCCTGTTTTCTCTCTATCGTAAACACACTGCATCCTTGTACATTCATCTTGCCTTATAACAAATTCCTGGGAGCGTATTCACTGGGTCCAGTAATGACAGTATTTCCCTAGTGAGGTACTCAAGGGCGCAGGTGCCCACCAGTCTCTCGATCCGTTAACATTTCAGTCTTGGTGAAATAATGTCACAGGCTCCCAGAATCCCTCCACTGAAACACTTATTCCTCACCACTGTGTTTTTCTATTCGCAAGTATCAAGGCACAGGTGAGCTTTTGATGTCTTTTCCATGACTTGTTTCAAGACAGGTCCCCGAGTGAATGCAGAGCATGAATTTGAGGTTGTCCTAGGATGTGGATAGAGTTGGGTCATGGGCCATCAGTCAGTTACAGTGGGAACTGTGGTGGGCTAGCCCGGACTCAAGGGCAGAAAGTCCTTAACAGCCCTGACTGAAGAGCACAGGATGTGCACACAGGAGCCCTCTTCTGGGCCACATGTGCGGATTGAGAAATTCAGGGGAAAACCTGACTTGCGGAGGTGGCCAGAAAATGGAATCAGGGCTGAGAAAGCAGGGACAGGATGTAAAGGGCTCCCCCTGGCTAGGCTGAGGCCTCTTGGGAAGGGTTCAGCGCAGGTTGCACTCTCCTTGTCACCTACAGGGCTTTCCCAAGATTGCTGGGGGGCAGCCCTGGTAGTGGGTGGGAGGTGGCCCTGGTGCTTTTTCTGCCTACTCTTAAAGCCCTGTTGAAAATAAAAGGCCTTTCATACAGAGCAGCCCAGCCCTGAACACTTGTGAAATACCAAGAATGAAATCGCAGTGCACTGCCACCTAGGCCATTGGAAGTTAGTAGTTTTTATTCACCAGTGAAAAGATCAGTAGAACCTGGAGAAAGGTGTCATGAAAGGCTCTTCATCACAGCAGCTGTCAGGCCTTGCCCAGCCTTCTCGCCAACACTGGCTGCCAGAAATGGGCTTTCCTATGTCTTCTTAGAGCTGGACCAGTGTCTGGCTCAGCCACTCCTGCCACACAGCTCTGGCTCTTCGACTTCTGGGCTCTGGCTCATGACTTCCTTGCCTTCCTCTGTGACTGCCCCTCAGGACTCCTGAGGCTCTCAGTTCAAGAGCACATGCGTGCATATTAATGCATTCATACCACACACATACGTGCGCACACGTGTGTACACACACACACATGCACACACACAAAGCCAGTAAGAGAGGTTGTGGATTTGAGCCCATTCACGTGCATGCTCACAAAGCCAGGACCGAAGAGAGAGCTAGAGTCAATTGGGTAAGGAATGATCACATAAAACTCTCTCTGCTTTAGATCACCAAACGGTGAACTCTTCGTATTCTCACTCATTTGCTGTCAGTGATTTTTTTTCTTCCTGGGCCTGGTGTCTGGGGCCTGTTTGTTAGTACTTAATGTTGAAATTAGCAACAATCATAGCACAGTCTACATACAGAGTACATTTGTCTCAGCAATTTAAAGCTCCCTTTTTAGCAAGCCTTTAAGTATATTGAGGTCAAGAGAAAAAAAGGAGTGAGTATGCCCATTTTACAGGTTAAGAAACTGAGGTCTATAAATGCACCATGATTCCCCCTTACCCCAGAGTACGATCATGGGTATACTTTGGCATTTGATTTTCCTTTATGTCTCCAGCCCTAGTCAATATTGTCTAGCATCAGTTGGCAGGATACTGCAGGCTGACAGCAGCGCTGTCCAGTGGATCTTTCTGGAGTGATAAAAGCACTCTGTGCCTGTACCATCCAGTATGATAGCACTTGCCACATGTGTGGCTGTGGAGCACTCAAAATGTGGCTGGTGCAACTGAAGGCTTTATGTTTAAATTTTACTTAAATTTAACTCATTTAAATTTAGATAGCCACATGTGGCCAGTGGCTACCACACTGGACAGACCACAGGCAGAGAGCATGAGAAGGAAAAAGTCCTTACCAGGGCAGATTTCACGGAGCGATAGCCAGCTCTCCTCGGCTCATTTACATTGGAGATGCCATCAGGGCAGCAAGTTGGGAGGGTGGAGAACTGGGAACTCCTGAGAGGCCCAGGGGTCTGAGGACATCATTGATAGCCAAGGAAGTGGACACAGTGCCCAGTCCTCTCAGAGAAACTTCCCATTTGGAAGAGTTACCCCAGCAGGGCTGGAGAATTTTTTTTTTTTTTTTTTTATCAAAACACAAAAACTCAAGAGACTTTTTACTAATGTTCTTTCACGTGGTTTGCTAGAATGCACATTTGTTTGCTACAATCCAGCCAATGAACAATGAAATTTATTTAAGATGCTTCCTGCAAAAACCAGAGTTGATGATGTGCCATTATATTAGTGATTCTATAGAACAGGATCCATGTGATCAACTCATGCATGAGTCTGGGGGCTTCCGGGAAAACAAGTTATGTTATCTCTGCAGACCAACTGTGGCCTCCTCTTAGCAGACAAAATTGATGTGGCTCAGCAGGTTCCCCTTTGTCATAGATGTCAGAAAATGTACAGGCAAAGTAGCTGCCCAATTGCACTCAGCAGTTCCTCTCTGTGATGTAATAGAATCTCACGCTACTTTCTCTGGGCTTGTGCTTCTACCACTGGAAGCACATTAGAATCACTGGAGAGCTTTCCAAATAACACAGTGAAACCCAGGCCTCATCCCAGGATAATTAAACCAGAATCTCTGCATGCAGCCTGAGAAATGACATCTTTTAAAGCCCTCTAGGAGCTTCTTCTGTGTATCCAGGGTGAGCCAGTCCTCTTTAGGTAGTCATTCTCCTTGTCTCCCCAGCTGTCTTATTTTGTATTTGATTTCCTTGTGAACTGCCCAAGGTCCATTTAGAAGTACACTGGGATAAACCTTAAATAAAATTCTATAGTGTGTTTGTTAGACAAAGTACAAATGTATTTTCACTATGTAGAGAAGTTTGGCTTTTCTTGAATGTAGGAGTCTAAATAATAAATCTGAATAGAATTTCTGTGAAGTGTCAAATAATGTCATTATTTCAGGTTGATTCCTCCCATACCTATTCCCTGCAATAGTTCTTTTAGCCACACCGTCTGATTGCCACAGGAAAGGATGCTGCAGACCTCTCCTGAGTGGTGATTAAGTGAAATGCACCAAAGAAATGAGGACAGTGAGCAACTAAGATGCCTGAAGCAACACTGGAAAGGGAGTCAGGTCTGAGCCACCTCTTTTTGCAGCCAGTGTGCAGTGGAAGTGGCTCGTGGGTGTTCCATATTTGGATTGGAGAGCAAAGCATAATCCCAGCGCTAAGGGAAGCCTCTTATGCTTCTGGAATAGTGCCCCATACTTCCCTGAAAAGGTAATAAAATATGTGCATTCGCTGATTAGGAACAAATGTCAAAGCGTCCACCATGATGGAAGTGTCCGATTTCCATGGCTCTGATAAGTCGCCACAGGATCTCATGAATCTTTAATGGCTGGCCTATATTTAGGGGCTTTCAGTTTCTGAGGGTGGTAAAAGGTCCACAGAGATGCTATTCTCCTAGCACACTGGCTTCTGCCAAGACCGGTGTCTATTTAAAGCACCTCTCGTCTTTCGAATGTACAGAGATTCTGCTGACAACAAGAAACTTTCTTGGGCCTGAAATTAGATGAAAAGACCTCCCACTCAGAAAGTGTTTATTAATTTATTTAAAAATATGATCTGGATCATCCACTACATGTCAGGGCTTATTCTGGGCACACTGAGGAATAAGACAGGGTCCCTGACCTCTGAGCTTGCATTCTAGTTAGGGGATACAGGCACTAGGTAAGAAAACAAATAATCGAGGTAATGACAGTACAGGGTAATTGCTATGAAAAGAATAAGCCGGGCAATCGGATATCATTTAAGCACAGCAGTGACATGAGCTTATTTGCATTTTGAAAGATCACTCTAGCTGTTGGATGGGAAAAATGGATTGTAGGGGGATAAAAGCAAAAGCCGGGAAATCAATTAAGAGGCCATTGAGTGGTCCAGGGAAGAGATGGTAGTGGTGATAGAGATAGAAGAGAGCAGATGTGCAACATATATTTGAGAATGAAAGAGAATGTGCTGGTGATTGGGACAGAATCGCAGAAAGAAAAGAAGCAAGAAAAACTCCAAACGGGTGGCTTAACCACTTGGTGGATTGTGACAGCATTTCCTGAGACAGAGAAGACTGGGTTGTACATATAAAGAATAGATTTGGGGGAAATTTCAAGTGTACAGTCATCTAAATTATCCAAGTATGGCTATTATCTAAGGGTAGATATGCCTAGAGTCTGGCTAGAGGTCAAGCCTGGAGATACTCACTTTGGAGACATAAGCTTGTAAGTGGTACTGAAAGCTAGAGCTGACCTGGAAAGACAACTCAGTTAGAAAATGAGCCCTTTGAGGCTAGGCATGGTGGCTCATGCCTGTAATCCTAGCACTTTGAGAGCCCGAGGAGTGTGGATCACCTGAGGTCAGGAAGTCGAGACCAGCCTGGCCAACATGGTGAAACCCCATCTCCACTAAAAATACAAAAATTAGCTGGGCGTAGTGGTGCACGCCTGTAATCCCAGCTACTTGTGAAGCTGAGGAACGAGAATAGCTTGAACCTGGGAGGTGGAGGTTGCAGTGAGCTGAGATCACACCACTGCACTCCAGCCTGGGTGACAGAGTGGGACCCTGTCTCAAAAAAAAAAAAAAAAGCCACCTGATTCTTCACCCTGCAGCATCCAGGAGCAGAGGTAACCAAGATGGAGCAGCCAGTGAGGTATGTCCTAGAAACCAGGAAGAGAGAGAGCTTCCATAGGAAAGAGTGGTCACCAGGGAACATGAGGTTGGAGAAGCATCATTGAGATGTTCAGCACCATGGAGCAGACAAGAGCAGTCTTAGAGGGAAGTTTTAGAGTGGAAAATGGATTGGATGGGTCAAGAGTGACTGTAATGAGAAAGTGGAGTTAAGCTTTTTCAATTTTGTCTTTGAAAACTAGAGCACAGATATAAGATGGTAGCTGACAGTGGATACTGAACAAGATAGGGATCTGTTTGTAAGATAAGAGATATTTCTGAATAGAGATTCCGTAGCATATTTGTTTGCTGATGGAAATGATGGAGTAGAAAGGGAGATGTTAATGTGGCAAGGATGGGGGAGCTGTCAGAGGAAAGCTCTCAAAAAGCCAAGGGGGTACAGGCCTCAGAATCCGAGTTCACCAATACACTTACTAAAGCAGCAGGGACATTTCCATTTTAACAGCAAGCAGGAGAGAGTATGGGTATAGAGACCAGGAGGCTGGGAGATTTGGTGGAGAAGGTGAAAATCTCGTCACTCCTATTTTCTTCCAAATATAAGGCAAAATTCTGAGTCAATAGAGATGGCACATTCAAGGAGAGAGAAGAAAGCATGAAGCAGTCACCTCTAAGAGCAGGGAGCAAACATACTAAGAAAATGTGGTCTGATTGCCCAGCTCTGCTGGTGCCCGTTGGAGCTTCCATGGCCTGTTTAGGCTGAGGTCAGCTAGCTCAGGCTTGTTGTCTTCTCTGGCCACATAAATTGCTCGGATATGGCCCAGATTAAGTGTATGTTGGGTTTAACCATGGCCTGAAGTTTAGCCAGCTAAGTACTACCTGAGATGAGAGGGGCAAGGAGGTGAGTGTATTTGAAAAGAAGAAACTGGAAGGATAGACAATGGGATCTTGTGGGCAGCCAGTGCAGTAAAAGTAGGAAGGGAACGGTGGGTAATGAAAAGAGGGATTGGAGCCCTGAGGGTTCTAGAGTGAATGGCCTGGACAGATGCAGGAGTTCAGAGAGATGGATACTTAACACCAGCATGTCTGATGTCATGACGTCGTTTATGATAACAAAGGGCAATGCTTAGGAGGGGCAGAGAGCATGATCATTAGGAAAAATGAGGTCACGGCTCTGGATGGTCATCTCCATGGATCCTGGCATCACCATGATTGTGACAGAAGCGGACGGATGAGCAGAGACCAAGCCTGGGGATGAAGGATGTGCATGGGGCAGGCAGGAGATGAGGAGGACTGGGAAGGGTGGCGTAGGAACTGGATGACAGGAACTTCAAAGGGTCTGGGACTCGAACAAGGAGATGGAGAAATGGTTTGGTGGCAGCAGTGGGGAGCTTTGATGGAAATTAAAATTATATGCATTGCTTGAGTTTTCTCACCTTTTAGGCTTGGAGACACTGTTTTAGTTAGTACTATAGAAGCTTCTTGGAGAACAACATGTTCCCAAGCCGCCCCTGGTCAACCTGCCATACTGGAGAAATTCCAGCCTGCCCACAGTGCTAAGCAGGGAGCACTCCACGTAGCTGCATCCACTGTTGGGTAGCCCAGAGTCAATGTTGCATGATGCCTTCATCTGAGGACATCCAGTAGACATCAGTGACCTGAGGACCAGTCCAGCTCTGCCAGTACATTCCTGTGTGACTTTGGACCTGTGACTCCACCTCAGCTCACTGATTTGCAAAATGAGAGTCAATGTACTTCTTGGCTTCCTAAATCCATTCTCGTGCTAGTCTTCCATGATGTTACATGTCTGGGTCGGGGAAGAGTGGCCTGAGGTCTCTATCCATTAAGCTTTGGGAAAAACTAGCAAGCACACCATCACTTTATGAATATTGGCAAAGGAAACGGCTGTGGTCACATGCCCATTCAAGCATGTCATCTTGCCAACCTCGACTCTTCAAACCTAAAATTATTCCCATGCAAGGGTGACACCCATGTTCATACTAAGGTAGGGAGTCTGCCCACATAGACCTCCTCCCTGCAAACTTAGAGGTGCTCTAGGTTCAGCCAGGGACCCTTGCTTGAGAACCGCCGGCAAGCTCAGGTCGTTCCCACAGTTTTAGGACTGTGCACAAGTGTGTGAAGATGCCCTGCCACCTGTGTTCCTGATCAATTCCTTGGCCCATTCAGCTCTGCCTGTCTTGTCAGCCGGTTAGAGATTTACACTGGAGACCAAAGTCCTACCCCCAAATGTTCGTGCAAATATCCTTTCTTTTCCATCTGCTGTACAACCACTCAATGTGTCTGTTTCCCAAAAGTGAAGCAGCCTCAAATGTGGCTCAGAGATGACAATACCCAAATTAGAGATAGGAGGCTACACAGATCCCTGAGCAGGGCTGTTATCTCAGCAACTCCAGGTATAGGATTTTAGGGCCAACTTTTTTTCTCTGAAAAGGGGGAGGGCTGAAACTGGGAGGCCAGGCTGCACTGCCCAAGAATCAACAGAGTGTTCTTCTCTCTCCCAAGTATGGTTTGCTCAGACCTTAAAATATGGATGACATCAGAGTCTGGGGAATGGTCACTCAGATGCACAGCATTAAGTCTGTACGCTGAACTTCTCCCCCTCCTTTGCACATACACTCGGGTACATGTGCACACATGTACATACACGCACACACACACATAGACATGACTACTATTGGCTGATGCGCTGACATTAACCATGCAAAATGCCAGAAATTAGACGCAGAAGAAGACTTTGACCCACTCATTTCTGTGTTTCTGTGCATAACACAGGACTTGGCACCAAGTAGATCACACACGTATGCATGTTAGTTCATTCCTTTATTCCCCACTCACATGTTAGTGATGTGAAACTCACGTAGACCCAGACATTTAGGGAGGTGCAGGCTAGCTGAGGTGCAAAACACACACAATAGCTGTAACACCAGTGTGGTAAGTAACATAAGGGAGATATCAGCAAAACACTGTGGGGGTTCGAAGCAGGATAGATTTCTCCTAAAAGAAGGCATCAGGAGGGCCTCAGAGGGAGACGGCACAAGGTTGAGCATCTAAGATTCAAGCCAGCAGACTGAGAAAGGACAAGTCCCCAGCAGAGGGTGTGTCAGGGGCTTGGAGAACATGTCTGGGGTTCTCAGGTTGCTATGTGGTATTTTGACGTTTTGGGGTAGAGATGTCTTGAGGGCTTGAAGAAGAAGCAGAGTAAGAGGGGAGCCCCCGTGCTGGAGCTGTGAGTGATGATCTAGTGGAAAGGCCCCTTCAGTGTTTGGCGTTGCTGTGCACCTCTCGTCCATGAGAGATCCCCAGATTTGCCCAGTCTTCGCTCTAAACTGCTGTTTTGGTCAGTCCATGAATATGGTCCTGACAGATTCACAGAAACTGCCTCAGATTTCAGCCTTAACGAATATACTATCAAAATCAATGTGGCTCCAATTTCTTCCTTAGGGTTCATTGCTAATGCATTTCTCTTTTTGCACTGGAAGCTGGAAAGCCAGATGCCGTCTCTGTGAATGTTTCTAGATGTTGAATGCATGTGTGTTCAAGGGAGTGGGGGCAGGGGTGTCCAGATAAAATGGCTGGGTGGGAGAAGTCCCTATTTCTGTGGTATAAATACCCCCATAATGGCCAATGTCAAGACAAGGACATTTAACAACTAGCCCATAACATCCCTGCATGTTTCTACTTGGCCCTCAGAAGCTGGTTCAGGATGGCTTAGCCCATCACTCTGTCGGGGAAGAGTGGGAATGAAGAAAAGAAAGTGTGTAGTAGATAGAGGTGGCAAAGTTTCCTTCCCTCCATACCCTGATGTCCCCTGCAGCACTGTCTATAATTAGTTGCTTTTTTAATTAAAAAGAAAAAGTTTTAACTGAATGGAGGCAGCCAATTTGTCTCCCTATATCCAAATTTCAAACGGTTCCTTTAAAAAAGAGCAACATTTGAAAATCGAAAATATGAAAGTAATAGTCTGCAAATCTCTGCATGACAGAGAGATTATTGCTTTACAAAGGAATTTGCCATGTAGTTCTTTAAATCCCAAGTTCTCCTGGGGTTTTAAAATTATTCAATTTTTGCAAATATTTAATGTACTGTTTCTTTTAAAATTCCTGTTGTGTAGAGCAGAAGTTCTTAATTTGGGGTCCACGGATCCCTGGAAGGATCCACTGGGGTGGGAGTTTAGGAACTTGGTGAACGCTGTGAAGTGGTGCACTTGTGCTTTCCCTATGGAAATGGTGGGTAGCTTTCAACATATTTTTAAATAGATCCTTCACTTGAAAGGTAATGACCTATGTCACCTGCCTGGGGGCCCTGCGTTATGCACATAAAAAATGCATGGGTGGTCAACTCTAGGGGTCCAGTGAGGCGTTTTAAAACTGAAGGCACATTTAAAGTTGGTGCAGATTTAGTCTATGTAATGGCCTTCTTTACCTTCCAGAGAAACTGGGCTTGCCCTGGGATGGCAGGTAGGATGTAGGCTTTGCTAGCAAGCCTCTGCCACAGATTTTTGATAATGACAATGCCAGTGATGAGGACACTTCAGCTTCACACATGTGGGGAAGGAAACCAAGCCAGAAGTCAAGTGTGTTACTTCCCTCCTCCAGCCATGAGGACGCTCTACCTCATTTTCATCTGTGAATCTCCAGGGTCATACCCGTTTCCTTCACCAGACCTTCGTGGGAACTCTGGAATAGTTTATGTCAATCTCCTGGTTAACTAGGGGAGCCAAGACCTCCTACACTGGCTTTCCTGGGAACTGCAGGATTTTCTGTTGGATGAACGGGATTGTGGACGTCCCCACTACCGTTGCCTGAAATACAGGGGTGTGCTGTAGTGAGTGGGGTAGGAAGAGAAACCACCCCATTTTCAATCATCCACGTTCACACCCTTGGGCATGCGGACTTCCTGGGCCCCTAGCAGGGTTCCCCTGCGGCTGCATACAGGGCCGGCATCAGCAGTGGTGGGAGCTGCTTGTAAGAACGAGGCTGGGAAGGGAACAAGGGGTGTTTAGCCCATTGAACAGCACACTTGCTGGCCACTGGGCACTGGGGTTGCTAGCTGGGGTTCGGGGGCCACTGATCAAGGCTGGATCAGACATACAGAGGCCGCTATGCATCTGATACCAGAGTTAGTATTTCTGGCCTCTCCCCTCCTTCCTGAACCCCCAGAACCCTAGCTTTGCCACTTTCAAAGCCAAAGATCTTGCTCCTGAGACTCGGAGGTTTAGGGTTCTTTTATGTTTGCTATTGTTATCCATTCAGCAGAACACGAAGCTTGTATCTGTGTGGCTCTTCAGGATTTTAAAGCACATGTTCTTTAGAACTCTGTAAAACAAGATAGAGATTATTTATTTACATTATAAAGGTAAGAAAACAGAGGCTTGGGGTTTATGGAATTGGCTAAGTTCAGAACTCTAGATTCCTAACTCACAATGCACCACACTGCCTGCCCAGGAGAGATAATAACAATGATGAAATAGCAGTAGTGGTGGTGGCGGTGGTAATAACAACAGCAATGGCGGGTAACCCGCCTTGAGCACTTACTGGAACTACGTTAAGCCCTTTCTGTAGCTTTCTTTTTTTCATCCTACAACAATCTGTGACATACATTAAGTACTTTATTCCCATTTCTGAGGTCATGTAGCTGGGGAATTGGGGAGCCAGGATCTGAACCCCGGAAGCTGAATTCCAGCCTCTGAGCTCTCTCTGGCTTCATGAACCACCTCCTTGTGTGGTCTGTGTAGTTCATACCAGACTCTCTCAGGGACAATGCTGTCCACAGAGGGTCTGGCCACTGCTATGCAGAGGCTGATGGGCTCCAGTAAGCGCCCCTCCAAGGCAGTGTAGGTGAGATCGGGCTGGCCCAGGCCTTTGCCCCAGTGACCTCTCACTGTCCTTTGCAATCAGATCAGTCCTTAATTCTGTGGTTTGGTCTGCAGAGACTTCTAATTAAAAGATGGGTTTTCTAATGAACTTTTATTAATTCAGCAATCTGTCTGGATGCTGAATTGTCATTTTTGCTAATAGAGAAAATGGTTTGGTTTATTTTCCAGAACAGTGAAAGTCACTCAACTTAATTAAACTGTCGGAGGAGATGTTCTACTTGTCTTACTCAACACGGGTCCCTGAGGGAGCTCGCTTCATAAAGCCTGTCAGCCGCAGTGGCAATTCCAGTCTAGCTTTTCTTTTGAAGTCAGGATGGATTTGGTGTCAGCTACTTCTAAAATTCCCTGTCTGGTCTCCAGCAGCACCAGCCTGAAGCAAGGCACAGCAGGACGGTGTGCACATTATATGACTTCAGGTGATCAAGAAGGCCCTGTGTCCCCCGGGGCTCCCCCACTTCCCTGTGCCTGGTATCCAGAGAATGGTGGAGGGAGGCTTTTAATTCCCAATGCAAGAAGACTGCACAACCCGGATTTTAAAATCTGATAGCGAGCACCTGAAAAGAAAATTATTAAAAATTCAGAACTGTTAAGGAAAATACTAACTACATTTGGCAATACATTAAAAGAATCACCTCTCATGGGCAGTTAGGGGTTTATCCTGGTGATACCAAGACTGATTAATGGTAGAATATCTACCAGTGCCATCCATCATAGAGCTGGGTCTCCGTGGAGAAAAACACTATGTGAAAGAAAAATATTTTAGGAACATTTTTATTTTTTCTGTATTGTATGTATTTAGGGGGTGCAACAAGATGTTTTGATATATGTGTATATTAGGGGATGATTAAATCAAGCTAATTAACATATTCATCACCTCATGTTGGAATTTTTTTGTGTGTGTGGTAAGAACATTTAAGATCTACTCTCTTAACAATTTTCAATTGTACAGCATCTCATTACTACCATGCTCTACAACAGATCTTTAGAACATATTCCTCTTAACTGAAACTTTAAACCCTTTGACCAACATTGCCCTATCCATTTCTCACTCCCCCAGCCCCTGGTAACCACCGTTCTATTCTCTGCTTCTGTGAATTCAACTTTTGAAAAACTGTTTGATGTGGAAGGAAAGGGTATCTTCTGATATGAAAAAGGCTCTCTGACACTAACAGTTCACAATAGAGGTGACCAGGAAATACACACGCCCCATAAAAATCACATCCAGGCTGGGCGCGGTGGCTCACGCCTGTAATCCCAGCACTTTCGGAGGCCGAGGTGGGAGGATCACAAGGTCAGGAGATCGAAACCATCCTGGCTAACATGGTGAAACCCCATCTTTACTAAAAATACAAAAAAATTAGCCGGGCGTGGTGGCGGTTGCCTGTAGTCACAGCTACTCGGGAGGCTGAGGCAGGAGAATGGCATGAACCAGGGAGGTGGAGCTTGCAGTGAGCTGAGATCGCGCCACTACACTCCAGCCTGGGCAACAGAGTGAGACTCTGTCTCAAGAAAAAAAAAAAAATCACATCCAAGGCAGAGAATGGCCACCATTCCCATTTCCATTTACCGTTTTAAAGGGCCCAATGGATGGCTATTGTAAATACAAAGATAACTGCTATTATTTGCAGATAATATGATAGACCTAGAAAATCATGAGAATCTAGTGATAATCTCTTAAAATTAATAAGAAAGTGTTAATGATTGAACATAAGATAAATATGCAGAAACTAATAGTTCTTCCAGTTACTGGACATGACCAGTTAGAAGATACACTCAATCTTTTATTTGCATTATAATGACAAAAAAAGAAATAATAAAATAAATAGGAATTGACTTTAATCTTGCACAACCTATATAAAGAAAACTATTTTAATTAGTATGTGTTCTTGGGTGAAGGATGGAAACTTATTTTTAAATCATTTTTTCAGTTTAATTTAAAAATTCCAAAAATTTATTTTTAGATTTACCTAAAGACCTGAAAATATTCTGATGGAGAGCAACAAAGAAACATTTTCTTCCTACTCTATACTTGGAAATGTGTTTTGGGTTTTATTAAAACTACAGCATCAAACCAAACCAATGAGTAGTGTGAAGGAGATAGCCCAGAACTGACATTAGGACTTGAGCCTAATCTATAACAATGGGAATAGCCTTGGCCAAATCAGACAGAAGGACAGTTTAGCAAAGCATGTGGGAAAATAGGCAAATGACTTGGGAAAACTCACTGTGGATGTAACATCCTCCTTGATCTCCCATTCTTCTGTCAGACCCACGCGATCCACTCCCAGGCCGGAGAGCTAGAGTCCTCTGCCTGCCCAATGTCTTCCTTGCTGGTGTTGCAGCTGGTTATATAAATGCCTTCAGAGATTCATTCTGGTGAGCAATTGATATTAATCTGAGATGTTGGTAGTTAAAAATAATATGTCCGAGCTTGCCTCAGGTGTAAATCCTGGACTTGATGAAAAACAGAAGTAAGGCCATCCCTGATGTTCTTACTGGTTAGCGAATGACTTTTCTTCCTGCTGTGCAATATTAAATGTAGGCCTCAATGTAAAATGCAAAACCATAAAATTCCTGGAAGGTAACATAGGAGAAAATTAGGTGACTTTAGGTTTGGTGATGATCTTTTAGATCAATACCAAAAACATGATCCATGAAAGGAAAATTTGCTAAGCTGGCTTTCATTGAAATTCAAAACCTCTGCTCTGTGTAAGACACCATGAAGAGAATAAAAAGACAAGCCACAGACTAGGAGAAAAATCTTGGCAAAGTACATGTCTGATAAAGGACTAGCATTCAAAATATGTAAAACTATACAACATATTGTCGGAGAGAGTTAGGTGAATGCTTGAAGATGGTTGCTTCAGAAAGGAGGGAAATCCAGTTGAAAGTATGGGGCCTTCCGTAGCAAGGATGTCAGTGTCCATAATTATGGGAACCCAGGCAGGGCTCCTCTCCCAAAGCACAAAAAATTCCAGAGGCATCCACCAGAGGAGGAACGATAGCACAGCAATGCCTGCTTGCTCATTAATCTTCTCTCCCTCTGATTCTTTTGCCCTCCTCTCTCTTCTGGGCACTATAAGGGCATTTTCGAGACTTAGAAACAAATAATAATGCAAGGAAGGTAAGGGCTCGTTTTTCTTGCTGTGGGTAAACCCTACGGGTGTCAGCTGAGCTGGGGTGGGATAAATGCAAGACGAGGACTGGTGCCTAGCCATAGTAAGGACTGTGGTCCTCACTCTGCTGACAGCTGAGCTGACACAGGGCTATTAACCAGGCAGACGCAAGCAGAAGAGACTGGGAAAGGAAGTACTCCTTCTTTATAATGGATCCAGCAGGTGGAACTCCTAGGACCTGCCAGATGGCAACGAGGTGAGGAAGAGTGGAGGCACTGCTGAAGCAAGCAGGAGATGGGCCTCCAAATTTGGAAACTGGCTGGACCCTGGGCTGGGTCAAGCCTGAGGAGGCCAAAAGATTCCAGATCCTCTGTTCTGAGCTTGTGTGGATGCCACTAACGTTTACAGGAATAACAAATCCAGGAGAAAGAGGCAGGTGTTTGCAACTGGTAGAACCTGCAGGGAGTAGATCGCCAATTTATTTGGAGGCAAGCTAAGTCCAAAAAAGGTGAGATTTTAATAGCAGATAAAGTCATTACCCAGAAGTATTTTTGAGCTACAAAATTTCTCTTCCACAGTGTAAGTGTGTGGAAGGAACTCAACAGAGAGAGATCAGTGCTTCATCCAGAGTTCAGCATCACAGACACCACAGTCCTTGGATAGGCAGAGAGTTTTTGGCTTTTGGTTCAACTCTGGCTCCTCCTGGCAGTGCTATCCTGGCATGAGGGTGCCATGTGCCATGTACCTAAAGTGTCGATGACATCCCAATTAAGGCAAATGGCTTGATTATGGTCTTGCTCCTCTGACAATTTCTCCCATTTGCCAGTCTTACACGTGAATATAGTATACACTGTACCTACTGACTCTACCCTGTGTGATACAAAACCATTAAGACTTGATCCAAAAAGGAACAAAATGGCTACTATTGGGTTTTGCAGGTATTAGAAGTGAATGAAAGAATGGGTTCTCATCTTCACAAAGGACAGTCTATACTGGAGGATAGGAAACTATCCAGAAATAGAATGCCCAGGTCCCTGGACATCAATTCCCCCTTTCGAAAGCCATCAGGAATCCCATCCTCGCTGCTAGCAAGAAGTCCTCAGTCATTCTCATTTATTGCCATCTGTCACCTTGGTTATTTGCAGGGATTTCATTTAGTGATCTGAATCCAGAGATTGTCCATCAAAGTCAGGAGCCAGGAGATGACCTTGTGTCCCTGGTTCTGGTCCTGTCTCAGCCTTCCTGAAATTGATAACTGGCATTCCCCTCCCTCTACTCCCTGGGAGAAATGAAGTGCAGGCTCAGAGCCTTATTGATTTCCCATAACAACTGATGGATCTTTAGGGCTCTATTTTTATTTCAGAAGTGGCCATCTGACCTGATCAGGTCTGTAAATGAGCTGATAAAATGTTTGCTGCTCTTGTTCTCGGCATGATCTTTCGTGCTATGGTTTTTTTCTTATATTTGACATAGAGTATATCCTTGGGGTTTAGGTACATCCTCTTCTTTTGAGGGGAGCTTTTCTGAAGTGTAACCTCAAAGACAGTTTTTAAAAGGGGACTGAAAGAACCACAGCCCCCCATCCATTGTGGTTTGACTAATCCAGCTTACAAAGCTACAGTGTGCCCATGTGTGGCTGTGTCCCCAGCAACCAGCAGTGTTTCTCAGCCCCTTTTGGGGGAAGGGTGAGCATTTCCACCAACAAGAGGAGTCTGGGCCCATGACCACACTCGAGAGCTTTTATGCTGTAAAAGAACCCTGCATGCCTTCTGTGTCCGATAGATAAGTCGAGGCTCACCAGGCCATTCAAACTCTGCCCATCTCATTCATGTTACATGATGAGGAACTGCAAACCAAGTGCACTTTGAGGACAGGAGTTGTCTCAAGTTCATCTGCATCCCCAAAATAAAGCCCAGTGTCTGGCAGTCACCCCAGTGTCAATCAACTCCTGTTGACTGAACAAACCAGTAGATGGTCTTGCTTGTCAGTGGCAGGTCTCCTTCAAAAGCGAAGCATTGTTCTTGTTCTCACACGGGCTGTGGAACTTTCTCTTTCCTCCTCCACAGAAAGCTGCTCTGCTGTCCCTTAGCATGTAGCAGGTCTCTGAGGATGGTGTGGCATTCTCCCAGGCTTCTAACAGGCCCATGCCATGCTCAGTGACTGACTACCCCTAAGTTGAAAGATCAGTGCATTCAGAGAGTCATAGAGTACCAGTTGTCTTAGCCTTTCATGGCTAACACACCTCCACATGCTTCCTTCCTGCCAATGTCCACTTAGTTTCACCACCTTCACCAGGAATATCTGACTGTGGGCGAGCCACAGGTTAATTACTCATTGCCCATCTTCCACTTTACCCATTTTGCACACAGCTCTTCTTGGCTTTGTAATTGCTCCATATCTGTATTTACGAGTGAAACTTGCACCTCTAGACTGGCTTTCCTGACATCTCCTTGAAGTGTTTCATACAGATCTTCTGTTCTCCCTTCTCGCAGTTACAGAATGAAAACCATCCTCTTTTCTCATGCTGGCTTGGAATGGCTTCCCCAAGGAGCAAACCCCTGAGTGAAGATTCAAGTGTCAGTGGTTTATTTGGGAGGTGATCCCAGGAAGTTTGGTGTGTGAGTGGGGAAGAGAGACAAGAGAGGGAAAGGAATAAGATTAGCTGTGTGAGTGAGTGAGCAGATTGCTTTTGTGGGCAACCAAAGCTT
The DNA here is from genome assembly GCF_000001405.40 of Homo sapiens. Lineage (NCBI taxonomy): Eukaryota > Metazoa > Chordata > Mammalia > Primates > Hominidae > Homo > Homo sapiens. The sequence goes on from NC_000020.11 coordinate 19,479,657, forward strand.
TCTCCAGCTGGAGAGCTCTGGGAGACAGTAGGGGAGGGGAAGGCTGTGGGTTTTACCCTCCAGCTCCCATCAGTCATTGGCTGGAGCTGCATCAGGGGCATTAACCCCTAGCTCTGGTCTGTCCCATTGTCCCACATGTTGGATGAGGAAAGGACCTCGACACTTGCATGAGGACCATGAATGCTTAAGGCACATGGTTGGGACACTGACAGCCCCAGCTACACTCAGGTTTTGAGAACCTTGAAAGAAAATTTTAAAGGGCCTTGGCCTCAATACCCGCTCATTCCAGGGACTTGAACAAGCTGCTGAAACTCAGTGAGACTCAGTCCTTCCCTCTATCAAAAGGGACTGTTGTGATGCATATTTCATATAGTGGTTGCAAAATCCAGGAAATGCATATGAGGTGCTTAGTGCTGGCCTGGCTAAGAAAGCACAAATACATTAGATTCATTAACAATGTTATAATCATACTCGTTTTTTGCTACCTCTTTTGGACTGAAATGTGTTCAGTATGGTGTGATGAGGTGTCTGCTGCATGCAGCAGAAAGTTGCAGTTCCTAGGAGACAGAGCACTTGGGTGCCTGGCCTTAAGATGAGTGAGCTAAGAGAAGTCATTTCACCTCTCTGGGGCTGTTTTCTCCTTTGGACTAGAGGAGAGGTTCTAATCATTGATGATTCTGTGAAATGGTCACTCATACATATAAATATCATATTCTACATTGTTCTCTTGGCTTCCCAAACCCACTCTTACCCAGCTGAGCCATCCTGCCTTTGGGACTATATTACATCATTACACACACAGCTGCCTGAATTCGGGGTTAAAAAGTTGTGTCCAGTTTGAGGTGCACTATTGCAGAAACTAGTTGGGGTCTTGCCTACCATGTTGCCTACCTGACATGTGGTGGCATCCTCTGCCCTAGACTTGGTTCCATGCCCTTGTCTGACAACTAGCCCATTCAGCTCCTGGAACCCTGCTCACAGAGGAGACCAGAACATTCTGTAGACTCCATGTACCTTATTCTCATGGTTGGGAGGGCAACTCTGTGTGCTGATCTTGCAGAAAGGGGGAAGTTCCCCAAAGACCAGTTGGCTTATCTGAGTCCCCTTGGCCAGTGAACTCAATCTAAGAGCTGGGTTTCTTGTTCATGAATATTTGGGTCCTGGGACACTGATCCTTACTGGTTTTATTGTCCTCCTGAAAGGCTGAAACAGCAGAACTGAGTTTAGTAAGCCCAGAAAAATCCAATAGAATTTAACAAATACATATTGACTACCCTATTTAATACAAAACCTCTAAAAATACTTTGGGTTCTTGACAGGAACATTATTAATGCTCATTTCTCTCACTGCCCACTGCATGCCTGGACTTATAAAATTTGCTGTGACTGCACAATCATAGAAGTAGTGGTCATTTTGGAGCACATTCAGGGCATTGCGACAGGAACTTGGGAACCAAATAGTAATGAGAAACAGCCTCTGCCCACGATGAGTTTCCAGTCCAGAGGAAGAAATAGATAGTATAGGCAACACTCTCAAGAGAAGGTGCTACATTGCTACGTCCTGGCTTGTCAGTGTGCCCAAAGTATGTTGAAGAAGATATTAAAGTTGTGATAATAATAACTATTGAGCAGTGACTATGTGCTGGACACCCGTTTTAGCACTTCACACGTACTAGTGCTTAGTTTATACAGCCCTGTGAAGTGTATGAGGCCACAGCCACCATCTTAGAAAAGGAAATTGAGGCATATCTGGTCTAAGGTTGTCCAGTTGGTAAATGGTGGAGTCACAGTGGAAATTCAGGAGGCTGGCTTTAGACTCAACAGAAATTCCATCCCATGAATAGGAGAAGAATCTGGCAGAGATTCAGGAAAATTCACAATGACTCTGACTTCAGCTGGGTGCCTGGAGAAACGGTGGTCCCACAAGTCTACGAAAGGACTAGTGGGTCTCCAAGCTGGGGGAGAGCAGAGTGAGTCTGATTTGGGATGAGCAGAGTTTGATGTTGGCAGGACAGCTGGGGAAAGTGTCCAGGGGGATTCCCTGGAGAAGTCATGAAAGCCAGATCAGCATTTCATTCCACCTACAGAGAGCCCGGGGAGTGCTCCCCGAGTGATCTTCCTACAGAGGGCCCTTTTCTATGGAGTGAGTGCAAGGATTTCCCCTCTTTGGCCCCTCCCCTTAGGGTTCTTCTTTGAGCTCTAGCCTTATAATCTTGGGCTCTAGACCTAGTGGACACCTCCTTCTGGAAAAGCCATAGGCTTTTCAAATGCTACATGTCCAAACTGACCTCTAGACCCATCTCCCAGACCCAGTCTTCCTCCCGGGTTCCCACCCTGTGCACACATCTCCACTGCAGAGCCAAGCACTTCTTCCTCTCACCTGGACTCCACCATAGCCCATGTTGCTTCATTGGCCTCCAATACTCTGTACACATGACAGCCAGAATGATCCTTCAAGAAATTCAGCCTGGTTGTGCACCCCCTTTTTAGAAATGCAAATGGCTTCCCATTGCTCTAAGGGTGAAGACCAACACTTCAACCTGATCCTCCCAGCCCACCTGGCCCACCTGGCCTGCATTGTCTGGCACCCTCTGCACCTCACCTCACCGTCATTCCTTATTCTCTTTCCTCAAGCCTCATTCTCCTTCTTCAGCTGTCAACACCATGTTGTCCTCCCTCCCCCAGGCTTCTCTGGGCTTTTCCTCTTCCTGGAACAGTGGTCCTCCACATCTCCCTACTTTACTCCAAATCTGCTTGCCCCTCTGCCATGTAGGCCAAGGGAATCACAGCCATCCTTGCACAGGTCTTAGACTCTCTGGGGACATCTTCCTGGTGCTTATCAAGTTGAAACTTTGCATTCATTAGTAAAATTAAATCACCACTTGCTTTCACACTGCATGGTAATCTCTCTTGTGTCCCCAGTGTCCAGCCATTGGCAGGCACATAACATGTGCTCAGGAAATTTTATTTGAATAAATGAGTGAATGATTCAATGAATGGAGCAAGCCTGAGATAGCCTCATTTCCTTTCCCATTGGAGGATTGTTCTTTCTTCTGTGAGGACAGAACCTATACCTTGCTGAAATATTCTGGACAGTGAGAACCCTTCTGCTGAGATTGTCCTTTAGCTCCTCACTTGGTGGGATCTCAGAGAAGAACTCTTGGAGACAGTTTGAGGACACCACAAGCACACGGTTCAGTCAATAGGAGGCTCTGCACCTGTGTGTGCTGAATTCAATTGCAAGGTTTATGATTCAGTGTGAAGACCAGCTTAGCAGATGGGAAGGTGGTGAATCACAAAAATGGCCCATGGTGTTGCTGTGGTCTTTCCCTTTCAGCACATGATGTAGTCTTGCTGGCTTTGCTCACGTGACAACACACTTTCTATCTCCACTGCAGGGATATAGGCTTGACAGCAATAAGTAACCTACTAATGATTAGCTTGTTTGCTTGTAATTAATGGCTGCTAAGGCCAGGCACATCAGGGGCAATGATCAGTCCTGATTCATTGATCAAACTGTCCCACTGACCATGGACTCCAGAAGGCAGCTGCACTTGGTCACCAATAGTTTTCCTCCTACCCACCCTATCCCTGGGGAAGTTGATACTAACTAACAATAGCTTCTTAGCAGATTTTTTACTGAGCTTGGCTTTCCAAAACAACTGGGGTCCCTTTTGAGAAAAGGGACCAAAGAAAGTTATTTGCAATGGAAATAAATGGAAAATAAATTTTGACAGCAGCCAGCCTAGGACACTTGACACAGAATTTGGCTATCACATTTCAGTGGATTGTGGGGCTGTGGAGTAATTGTGTGTGTATGTGGTAACTAAACCTAAATTTAGGGTTTAGAATATTTGGCAAGTTCTTAAGGGTAGGTGGCATTTTCACCAGCTGTGTCTGCTGTTTTTCTTGCCCTGAGGTTTACTGACATTCCAAATGGAGTTGCCTCCTTTGCTGTGGATACCAGAGTCAGGGCAACTGTGAACAGGAAAAAAGCTACTGGATCTACATGGCCAGGAGGCTCAGCTAAGGGTCCTGAGGTCTAAGCCTGTGTGGAGTTGCTGTGATAATAGCCCAGCTTCTTGCAACTGTGGGGCCAGGTTGGGTCCGTGCTGCTGGTTTCTGGCTTTCTTCTTGGGTCACACTGGAAGTCAAAATCCCAGAGTACCAAAGAGAACTGAGGGACCTAAGAACAAATTCTGTGATGAGCTTGAGTATCCATGAAAGAGACTTCCAGGAACTGAGGTCTGGCTGGTGTTTAACGGTTAGCTGGAAATAAAAAAATCCAAATAGAATCACCCAGCAATTCCACTTTGAGATACGTATCCAAAAGAATGTATATATCCAAAAGCAGGGTCTTGAAGAGATATTTGCACACCTATGTTAATGGGAGCATTAGTCACGGTAGCTGAGAGGTGGACTCAAATGTCCACCAAAAGATAAATGGATAAATAAAATGTGGTAAGGGTTGAGTATCCCTTTTCCCAAATACTTAGGACCAGAAGTATTTTGAATTTTGGATTTTTTCAAATTTGGGAATATTTGCGTATGCATAATGAGGTATCTTGGAGATGGGGCCCAATTCTAAACATAAAATTCATTTATGTTTTATATGCACCTTATACACGTAGCCTAAAGGTTATTTTTTGTAAATTTTTAATAATTTTGAGCCTGAAACAAAGTTTTGATTGCATTTTGACTGCGACCTGTCACATGAGGTCAGGTGTGAGATTTTCTACTTGTGGCATCATGTTGACACAAAAAATTTTAGATTTGGAAGCATTTCAGATTTCAGATTTTTGGATTAAGGATGCTCAACTTGTATATCTGTACAAGGAATATTACTCAGTCTTAAAAAGGAAGGAAATTCTGATGTATGTTACACAACGGATGAGCCTTGAAGACATTATGCTAAGTGAAATAAACCGGTCACAAAAAGGCAAATGCTATATGAGTCCACTTGGGTGAAGTCTCTAGAGTAGTCAAATGCATAGAGACAGAAAGTAGAGTAGGATTGTCAGGGTCCGGGGGGAGGCAGGAATGGGGAGTTATTCAATGGGTTAAGAGTTTCAGTCTTCCAAGATGAAAATGTTCTGCCTAGTGGCTGCGCAAACAACATGAATATACTTTAGACTACTGAGCTGTTCATTTAAAAAGGGTTATGATGAAAAATTTTGTGCTGTGTACATTTTTACCACAATTAAAACGAAAAAATTAAAACTAACTTTAAAAATAGGTGTGTATTTTTTCAGGAGACTGAAAGATACTCAGTCTCCTCGGTTATAAGCAAACGTGCAAATTAGTGCTACCCTGGACAGCATTTTTCTTGGACCATAGTGGCAGAGGATCAAAAAGCTACATAATTAAATGTGTTGGCAATAGCATGGGACTCAGGCACTCACTCTCATGCATGGCTGGTGGGTGTGAAATTGGTATAAGCCCTTTGGATAGTATTTTATTTCTGTCAATTTTTTTTAAATGTGCAGCACTTTTACCCATCAATTTCCCTTCTAGGAATTTATCTTCTAAATATTCTTGTCCAGATACACAAAGAAGTGTGCATAGGATGATGCTGTAGCCCAGTTTGCCAACACTGGCAGCAGCCTCGTTGTCTGTCATGGGGCCCTGGGTAAGGGAGTCATTCCTTGACACCCAGTAAGTGAATGAGGCAGCTGGACTGATGAGTCCATGTGGAAAGATTTCCAAGATATGTTAAGTGAAAATTGCAGTATACATACCACTGTATGTAATTAGCTACTATTTGTGTAAAAACAAAGGAGGCTGTATTTATGCCTAAGTGCACCATTCTCATAGGAAAACACCTGCTAGGGCCTCGAGAGACTGAGTATCCTGGTTGTATCTGGGCCAGGAGTTGGGCGACTGGGGACTTCATTCCTTCTTATCCTTTTGAAGGCTACTTTTTGAAAGCATGTGTTATTTATTTGTAACAAATACATGCATATGTAATATATCTATTCAAACATACATACACTTTTTTAGAGTTGGCCTTGATGATGAAGGTCCCAGTCATACTGGCCTCACAGCTCCTTGAAGGGCCTCTGATCCACAGCTCCTAAGGACCAAACAACCAAGATTCACACGCTCCCAAAACACACCTGCTCCAAGGATCTTACTCACATTGCTAGAATCTCAACAGAAACAAAGTGCCCCCCATGGGAGAAAGAGATCCCCCTCTAGACAACGGGAACAATTACCCATTGTCTATCATTCTGTTGTCCTGAAAACCTGACTGCCTTCCATTTCTGGGGTTAGCCCAGGTGGTCCATTGAGGGCCTTGGAGGAGGCCATCAGTGGGCACTGTTACCTGCAAGGGGTCTGGTATAGGTGGGTGCAGGGTCAGCTGCAGTGTGGGGGTGTGGGAGGTAAGTGGGCTGGAGGGTAGGTGGAGGGAATTTCAGCTCCATCTCATGGCCCTGGCTCAGGTTCACTCACCAGCATGCATGCCCCCACCACATCCCTAGGCTTAGCAAGTCCTTGCTGACCCAGGGAAGGAGAGTCTCCCTTCTAGTCCATGGTACTAAGTAGGGAAACAGAATTTATAAAGACTAGAAATAAGTATTACCATAGTAAATTCTGTTCCTAAATTGTAAGAACAGAAAAACTGATCACTGTTTGCCAAGGATTAGGAGTTAACTACCAGAGAATTAGGGGGTGATGGAACTGTGGTGTGTCTTGATGGTAACAGTGGTTGAATGAAGAAATGAAAGCCTTTGCCAAAACTCCTAGAACAGTACACCAAAAGTGGTGAATTTTATTGAATGTATGTTTTAAAAAAGTAAATGAAAATTTCCGAAAGAAAGTATCTGCCTGCTGGTGAGATAAATGAGGAAAATAACTGTTATCATGTGACTAGTGTCAGCTCAGGTTTGGGGGCCATGGCCCCACACCCAACCCACAAGCTCAACTTCAGGGACAAAAGTATGTGGTTCTCATTTATCTCCTGTCTCCATACACAGCTCCATCAACAGCACTGACCTCCACTTCATGAGGGTTATTTTTGTCTCCTGTTTTATCCTTGTATGTCTCGTCAACCCAATGGCTTAATTTTAGGGACTATAAGTATCTAAGAAAAGAGGTGATGAGGTATGTCTCATGTTGTGGCTGAAGTGGAAGGATGTGGATTCCACTTATCTTCTGCCAGGCACCCAGACCCTGCAGAATCAATAAAGACGTGCTACTGCATAGGAAGCCTGGGAATTAAATACATCAGATACTGCTCCCATGGGCTTGGACACAACTTTGGTCAAGTTCTGTCTTTGCCATGGAGCCCTGCTTCTCTGGAGGGCAGTTAGAGGTACAGACATTGGGGCCCGTCAAACCTGGGATTGGATTCTGGTTCCAGGTCCTTGAACACAGTTATTTAAATGCCTTAAACCTCAGCCTGTTTGTTTATAAAGTGGGGATAATTACTTTATAAGAGTTTGGAAGATCTGTTAGGTGAATGTGGAGTGTCAGCTGTACCCTTATGACTCTTCTTTAGCGTCTCCCATAGAGCTGAGTGCTCAGAACACAGGAGATGCCAAATTGATGCCTCTTGAATTGAATTAAATGCCCTGTAATATGATAAGGAAGGACTCAGAGGCTGGAGACCCCATGCGTTAGGAATCTTTGTTTCCTTCCAAGAGCACAAAGAGACCTCTCTGTTTTCTTACCACCTTCATTCTCTTTCTTTTTCCCTTCATATTTCATTGTTTTCATATTTACCATTCCATTTTCCTCCCTGTACCTTAACTAAATCTGATTGCCTTTTCCTGTACCAGATCAGTGCTTCTGAATAATAATAATAACAACAATAGCACTATACAGATTTCCATAGCAAAATGCCTTTTGCCTGATTTGGTAGGAAACCAGGGCTCAGAGGAGACAAATGACACATCTGTGGTCCCCAAGCTAATACATATTTGGTGGACCCAAAGCTCTCTGAAGAACTGAATCCCAGCTTATTGCACAATAATATCAGTACTAGATGATATCAAGAAATTCCATCTTGACTCAATCACAGCCACTACACCTAGTCAGTCACTGTGAGCTGAGGTGAAGAAAAAGGTCTGTATGCCACGCTAATATCCCAGTGAATTTACAGAGCAAGCCATAGCTACTCCATTCTAGAAATATTTGCTGATCCCCAAGATACTGATGCCACTTTGAGGTCATGAAGCTTTATTCCAAGCCTTCTTAAAATGAGGCTTCTTTATGATTAGCTGCTGCTTCCATTTTATTGTCAAAATTCCTACAGAGTTTTGTTTTGTTTGGTTTGTCCTGATGAACCAATATATGTGGGTTGTTTTCTTCTTCAATTTGTGGCCAAATTGAAAGATGTGTCAATGACCATCTCTGCATGTTGATGTTACCACATCCCAAATAGGCCCTTATGGACCTCCTTCCCCAGAAGATTGATGGGGCTGGTCAAGAGAGACTTTCTCGTACCAAACAAGAAGAGAATTGGCATGCGCTGGGTAGCGCATTTTATTGTTACTGACTCTGGCATTTTCCCCCCATTGCAGCTATAATCATGGGACCTCAGGCAGTGCTCAGTCCCCTCAGCAGTACTAGGCAGAGGCCAGAGGGCAGGTGCCTTGGAGCAGGGACTTGGCCCTCTCATCCCAGCTCTGCTTGCCTCTGCGCACATCAGGATTGCACCTCCTCTTGCCTGACTTAATACTTCATAACCTGGACTGACACGTTAGGATGGGAATCCTTTATACTGGAAAACAAAACAAACAGGGCAGTGCTTCATTATAGAGCCTCATGTGTGAGGTTCTGTTCTCCCTCAGACCAAGATCTAGGAATTGCCTTCTAGAAAGAAATGAGAATGAGAGCCCAGCTCCATCCAGCCTAACAACCTTCTGGAGGGATAAAACATGCTGGGACTCTCGACTCTCCATTACTGTCACCACCAGGAAATGCTTCAGTTGGAAAATTGGCCAAACTACATTTCAACCTAGTTAACAGTGGGCACAAGTACAGGTTGGGCATCCCTTATCTGAAATACGCAGGACCAGAAGTGTTTCAGATTTTTTTTTATTTTGAAATATTTGCATATACGTAATGAGATATCTTGTGGGTGGTACCCAATCTAAATACAAAATTTAATTATGTTTTATATACACCTTCTACACAGGCCCTGAGGGTAATTTTATACAATTTCTTAATAATTTTGCACATGAAACAAAGTTAGTGTACACTGAACAATCAGCAAGCAAAAGTGTCACTGTCTCAGCCCACCAATGTGGCATTATGTCACTGATCCAAAGTCAGATTTTGGAGCAGTTGGGATTTGGGATTTTCGGATTAGGGATGTTCAACCTGTAGATTATTTAAGTTGTATTTACTGAGATCAGTCACAGAGCAGAAACCCGCATACGTCTTCTTTGCTTTTTTCCTTTAATGCACTCAGGAAAGGAAAGCCACCCTTGGAATTTCTGGGGAAGTCACCTAGCCTAATTCAATCTATACATTCAGAACTCCTACAGCCTATAATTTCTCAAGAGAAAAGGGTTTTGTCCCATAATAATATGGAGAATTGCTAGACTCTCAATCCCTATCACAGGGATTATCTCAATCCCCTTGTAGGTATGATTGACTCATTGGCTATATGAGGTTTTTATATTCTCAGTGTATGTGGGTTTTCATGTCTTAGAATCCTGAGTTAAGATCACAGGTTTTAATGGCAAGCATCTCATTTTATTGTGTGTTATTTTATTTTAATTAACATTGCAGGTTAAAGCAGCACATGACTCAAAAGTATAAACATCATAGTAATATATTTGAAGTAGGCTTTGTTTATAGTTGATGAATCATTTGTTCTTGGTTCACAATTTACATTTACTAAATGCCTGCAATTTGATAAGTACTATTCTAAACATTTTCATATTTCTCTCTTTTATGGATTTGTTTCCCAATTTACTTTTTCAAATGAGCCCAAGGGCCTTTGGGACATTCCAGTATATGACCAGCCAGGAACTACAATTTGGGGGCACAGAGGGGCTGATCAGGGGAATTTTAACTGTTGTTGAGAGCTTCCTAGTGGCCCTGAGGATCTGTGGGTCCCGAATTGTCTTTGGAACATCAAAGACAAATTATATATGTTCAGAAAACAGTTCAGAGCACTGAGTGTACAGTATACCACGTGGCCTTTTTAGTTGATGGCCCATATATTAACCTATGGTGGGTGCCTCTCCCTCTGGAATGTGCCGTTCTTCACTGTTCTGAATAATGGAGTTGAATGTTGCCCCATTTTCTTTCTGAATCCAGCACTAGATTTAGAGGCTCTGGGTAGGAGGAAGTAGAAACTGTCTTTGGGAGTGTGGAAAGTTTGTGTCCTTGGTGTATCTGGTTGGGGGGATCCTGAATTGCTCACCTGTTTCTGTGTTTGTAAACTTCCAAATACTCCCCTGGATCCCACAGATCTTCCTCCTTACTCATTGATGGCCAGATTGGCCATCAGAACTGTTGCCAGTTCATTCAAATTGTCCTTTTGATCCAAGGCCACATGTCCTCCCATCTTTCACTCTAGATGGTAATGAGATGGAAACCAATCTTGTGCCCAGGGGTAGCATCTCTCCAATACACAGCCCATGGCCCCTAGGGAATTGAAAAAATGGCTCCTGGTTTATTTTCCCAAAACAGAAACTCTCTCAGGCTCGTGAGAAATCTGGCAGTTGAAAAATGTCTCCTGCCATATACTTCATCCACAAAGCCAAGAGAGAGGCAGTCAGCACCCAAGAGTCCCACTGGCCTCCTTTGTTACCGAATCCCCTGACTTTCTGGAGAGAGGGATGCCCAGGAGTTTCCCAAGTTACCATGTGCATCATTAACCACCTAAAATAGCGGCTTTAGGTGCAGTGGTATTTGAACTACTGAAAAATCCTGACCTGGATGTCTGCTAAATATAGTAATTATGACTCAGTAATTGATACAGTTAGAGCTATTATTAAGATTGGGATGTTAGGGTGAAGATTTTGCCAAAGACACTCTAGTGTTAAAAAATAAACACCATTCCTCAATTTGGTAGTTCCACACCTCAGACCCACCTTCCTGAGGGATGTGGGATTTCATGTGCTCTTGGTACACACATACAAAATCCTGGAGAACTGCCTAGGGGGCAAATGGGGACTTATATCTCCCATCCTTGCTCTTTGCCATCCCTTGAAGGTTTTAAAAATATGCATCTGTAGCCCTTGCATGGAATGAATGGCTGGCTTGCAGGAAACAATTCTTTCTCCCTGCTCCTCCCTCATGGCAATCTGTGCCACTGCCACTTTCTAATCTCTCATTGCTTCTCTGTTTCTTCTCAGCGAGCAGAAAGTAATTTATTCATATTTTAAAATACGGAACATTCACAAAACTCAACTTTGCCTTTTCCTCTTTTCCCATGCACTAATCACCCAGTTATGGCAACAACCATTTGAAGCATGTGAACTTGCCCTTTCATTCCTTGGAGGGGAGGGGTCCTCACTGCCATCCTTGCATTTAGATGCCAGGGATAGCAGCACCAACCTTCTTTCCCCAGGTCCCTCACCTGAGCTCGTAGTTGTCCAGAGAGGGGAAGGGCTGTGCACCCCTCCCTGTCCTCTGAATATGCTTCTCATTCCGGTTCCTCCTGGTCACTGTGTTTCCTGCACATTGAATCCTCCTTCCTTGTTACCTGTCTAGTCTGTAACTAACCTCTTCAAAGATGGTTCTTTCGACATGCTTGGTTCCCTAGCACCAATCTGTGTTGTCTGCTGTGTTCCTGAGTTGGTTGAACAGAAGTGTCATCTGTCTTCCATGCCCCTTAGCACAATGACCTCAGGGCAGAAATGACCAACCCTTGTCCTCGATGGACAAAGGTTGCCTGAGCTTCCAGTCACCCTGGCTTAGGCCTTTCCAGGCTCTGTCACCCCAGGCACTGAGTGGCGCTGCCATCACATTCTGGCACCCCCCATACCTCCTCTACCCTCCTGCTCATGTGTCAGACACCCCTGCCCCTCCTCTGTTCCCAATGAGGATGGGCTCCCCAGAAGTGCTTTCAAGAGGAGGACTTGTTTGCAAATCACTAAGGACATGCTGGGAAAGGAGTGGGAGAGGAAAGAGGAAGGGAAGGAACCAAATTGAGGGTGTCTCCCCAGTCAAAACACTGCCCGGGAAGGCTTCATCTTAATCCCACAGGTACTCAGTGTGAATTCTCCCTCCAGGATGTCCCAGCCCTGGGCAAGGGCGCTGGGCTTGCAAACACCTTCCTCCATCAGTGATTAGTTAAGGGACCTGGGCAGGGCAGCAGTGTCATTATTGCCCATGCTCTTCCAGAAGTGCTCAAGGGCCCCCCCTTCACCCCTCTTCAAAGAGAAGGTGCATGTGCTGGCTGTTACAAACTGGAGGCACACCGAAGCGGGGTGCAGATGAAAACCAGTGGTGTGGGCAGATACCCAGGTTGTTCACTGTGCACTAGATCCGAAAGTTATCTACCTTTTGATAGGAAACTTTGCAAGTATTTCAAACAGAGCTTTCTGGCCTTGACAAGGCCATGGATATTCTTCTTTACTATACTCTAAAGCAAGGCCAGATGCTTGCTTTAGAGTACTCAGGACAACATTGTAGTTAAAAGCCTGGGCTCTGGAGTCCAAGAAAACAGGGTTTTAGATTTGTCTCTGCCACTTATGAGTCATGTGGCCTTGGGCAGATTATTTTCCTTTCTGAATCAAATCTCCACATCTGTGCAATGGTGACAACTCCACTTATCTGCCAGTGTGTTCGAAGGACCATTTGAGACAACGCATCTGTAGCCTGGCACCAGCGTTCAGCCCACCACACCTGCTCAGTCCATGGGAGTTCTTACAGTCATTCATTTTTCCCATTCAAGAAGCAGAGGATTCCAGGAAGTTAATACTGTGGTAGAATCCCACTCACTATGGACCTTTAGCCTTTTACTCCTGAGGCCAGGGATCCAGTGCTTTAGTTTCCTGCATCTCATATTTACATGTTCACCATATCCACATACTCCCTGGAGAATTATTATTTCCTGTATATTTTCCTTAAACTCACTTTCAAAAACTGTATTTTTTGAAGCTAATTTTATTATATCTGTTTCATAAATAAGTGTGGATATTTTTATAATAATATTAAAATGATCATTATATAACTATTAACATTTACAAAGTTTGTTCTCGTATGGCCTGTCCTCATCTACACATCCCTGGAAGCACACCAAGCACCTTCCAGGCATCCTGTGTGTACTTCTCATACCTTAAGAGCTATCCAGCCATAGCGATGGGATTTCAACAGCCCTAGGGATTTAGAAGCAGTTCAGAGTATGGTATTTCTAATCTTTCCAATAATGTTTTATATGTCTCACTGCCGATATCTGACTCTGGGAATGGAATTATTTCTGGATCCTGAGGTTGCTTGTGAGGCTGCTGTGTAGCTCTCTGAATTAAATGGTTGGCCTGGCCTCGTTGCCATGGTGACAGGAATCAGTGCAAGCCGACCAGGTGACCAGCTGGATGGGGAAGCATCACAGATGTGGGCCATTTCTTTGTCAGTTATCTCAATGACTGTCATTTCCATCCCCTTGAGTTGGTCACATGAGCAGTCACCATCTCAGATCTTATCTCTGACATAGCCGGTGGGAGGGCCTGAAGACCTTGGAAGTTGGTCTAGGATGCATACCTTGGAAGACACACACAATTCAGTGATGTATTTTTAAAAAGAGTAAGAAAGATAAGCAAACCGGGTGAACACTGTCTATTTATTTACTGATGAATGCAACACCTGTTATAGAGTTGGTACTCCAAAATTTTAATTAAATGAGTGAATGAATAAACCAAGTACTAACACTGTACTATATAATAATCATATGTATGCTTCTTCAACCAGCATTTATTGACTATTTTCTGCATTCTTAGGACCAGGCTGAGGATAAAAGGGTAGAATAGCCTGAAAATGTGAAGCAGTCATCAGATGTCAGGGGGTGGGTAAGAGGAGAGAATCTGGGTGCTTTCTTAGGGAAAGAGAATGGATCATAAAATGGGATCACTGGAGCTGGAGGGTAAGAATCTTAGTTGGGGGGATCAGTTAGGCTAAGGGCAAGTCAGGGAAACACTTCTCAAGCCAATGGCCAGTTCATCCCCTTCCCTGAGAGAATGGCTTAGCCCTCCACACTCCAGAAACACTGCAATGAGGCAGACTTTCTAGGGTCGTGCTGCAGATGGTCCACTATGCTGCTTGCCTCTTTGGTTCCTCACAGGCCTGGTTTGGAGGGAAATGCTCTCTCTCGGGTGTCTTGCTGGACACTGTATCTCTTGGCTCCAACTTCCTTGGCCTAGCTTGCCGCATTCCAAGTCAAAATAGCTCATGCTCCTTCCGGGCGGCTCCCCAGGGCCTGGGGTGCATAGATCTGCATGGAGGGGGAGAGGGTCTGTGACTGGAGATCCTTCTTTTGATGGGTATCTCTCTGTGAGGCTCAGCCTCGGCCACCAGGCCCCATGTGCCCAGCAGAGATGCTGCCTGTGTTATCTGAGTACTTAGACCCTGGGTTTGCCCATCTATAGTCCATACCCACCCAAATAAGTCATGCCTGTGGAAAACTTTTTAGACAGTTTTAGTCCTTGTGATGAAGGAGAGCAAAATCTCTCTCCAGAATTGAAAATGCTTCAGCAGAGAAGTACTCTTGCAGTAAACTGGCTCCATCTAGCAGATCTACAAAATTAGTGGAGGGAAGCTTTGCAAACACGAATCTTTAGGGCATCTCAATGAGGATGCTTGGTTCTGTCCAGACTCATTGCCTTCCAAGTAATGAAATCATCTGGGAAACAAACTTATTAAAATATAAAACCCTTCTAGAATCCTTCTTCAAGCTTCAAAGGGAGATTTGGGGGAAGGAAATACTACCCCATTTTAATGATTGCAAAGATGTTTGGGGTGGGAGTTTGGGGGTGCACATTGTTTTTGGTGTCTAATTCAAATTTGGTTATGTGCTGTAGGTCAGTTTCCAGGGTGCACAGCCTGGACTAGGGTCTTCCTGAGCCTGGAATTTGGGACAGAAGGAGCTAGACCCACTCATCCAGCTTTGGGCTGCAGTGACTTAGAGGGATTAAGAGGCAAATCTTGCTCTGGCCATCCCGAAAAGGCTAGAGGACTCACCTCTGATGCATTTTACAATTCAAAGGGATGCCCCATTCCTTTGGAGACTTAGAACAAAAGCCAACTGAAGAGGTTGTCTCGGGTTGGGTCCCCAAGACAGAGATTCTTGTGCAAGTCATTCATTGTTGGAGAGATCTCCAGAGAAAAGGAGTGAGAGAAACAGGATCAGGCAGGAAAGGAGGCAACAAAGGAGTGGTGTTGGCTGCAGACCAGCCTCAGGTGGATCCCAGGAGACCATGGAGTGTGAATGGCACCACAGAGCTGTCCTGCCTTGAGGCAGGAGCTGGCCTTTGTACCCTAGTGTCTACCACCCCTCTTGGAGTGAGGACTTAATCTTCTAGGCATTTCTGGGTGAGGTTGCATGCACTGGCCAAGTGCAACTCTGGAGAACTTACTCTTAGCCTTTATCAGGAGCTGGATGCATCAGCCCCAGAAAGGGTTTCTGAGCGGGCACCAACAGCATCTACAAGACATAGTCATGTGGTTGTCCTGCCTGTACTTTGCATTGGACTGGATGTACAAGTTCTTGTCACCTTTACAAGGAGACATCATTCATCTGTCTATGAGAACTCCCTTTCCTTTCCAGCCCTTTCCTTCTCAGCTTTTAGACATGTTTTGTAAAAGTAGGGGAAGGGGTGGATACATAAGTGAATGTAGCTGGTCAGACATGAACGCCTCGCTCTGTAGAGCATCGCCAGCTGTGGATGTAGCCGCTCAGCTATTCATCCAGGCTTGTTAAAATATTAGAGCATAAAAAGGCTGATTTCATTCGTTGTATGGCAGTACAGCTTCCCTCAGGAAAGGCAAGGCTGGCCAAAATGTGTGTGGTCCATACCTTTTGGGTGGATGATATTTGCAAGACTTGACTCCCTCGGCTGTGCCCAATCTTGCCCTGACCATTCACTTCACTTCTTGCCTTTTCTCTAGAACTTCCCTTTCTGTTATTTGGAAATGGTCACAGAAAAGTACAATCTTTTCCATTCTGAAACCCAACTTGCCATTTTCTTCCATACCATGTGGTTCTAATATCCACATCCTCCACAGCACCCCAGATTTCAGGCTGGGCATCCTGTTGTCACCTGAGTCTGCGCCTGCTTCCAACACACCAATACATAGCCACACAGTGGATTCTGTTTGGCTCTTTGGATCTGAGTTTCCGGCAAAAACAAGATTTTTTTTAAAAACAATGTGACAGAAGAACATAGAAATGTCTGGAACGTGTTCAAGCCAGTGAAAACACTGAGAAGACACTCTCCCTGCCGCCTCTCAGTGCAGACGAGTCAGACATGCCTCTGGGACACCCCGGCTCCCTTTGGCTGGCACAGGGAATGGAAACTTTGGCCACGGGTGGTTGTTTCTGTGGCTTCTGCACTTCTGGCCTCACCCGCTTCTCACTGATGATTTCGCAGAGTAAGCCTAGTCTAGCATCAGTCCATCCTCAACACCAGCCAGCCGGTCTCCATGCAGCAAGGCCCGATAGGCATGCTGGAGTCTCAACAGGAAATGTGCTTTTCCACTGAGCAAAAACAGACACTCAGGAGCTGATGGGCTGTGGAGTGATGTGCATGGTTCACTCAGGACCCTGTCACATTAAAGGAGCATATGAAGCCATATCCCCACATAGCTCAGGGATGTGGGGAACAAGTTGCTGTCCATCGCCCACCCTCCAGCCTGCACTCCTGTGGTTGGATTCCCAATCTCTGTAGCAATTTATTGCAGGATTCCTTTGGAATGATCAAGAGAATGTTTGTGGAAGAAGCAGCATTTGTGTGGCTCCTGAGTTAGCCTGGGTTGCCAGAACCTGAGCCTGGCATGAGCATTCCCGTGAAAGCCATGTTGGACATGCTTCTTGGAAAAACTGGTCAGAGAGCACATAGTGTGATCAGGAAAAGGTAGGAGGTCAAGAAGGGCACGGTGTCAAGCAGAGTCCCACAGAGAGGAACTTCAGCACAACCGAGCCCTGGGTGCTGGCTCCTGAGTGTAGAAGCACTCTGGGAGCTGGAGTTAGCAAAATGGTAAAGGGCTTTCCAGGGAGGAGGACAGAACCCTGACTGCCAGCTTCAGTTCCATTATAGCAACTTTCAGAGGAGTTTGTGGGAGCAATAACAGCACCAGGCCTGTTCTTCCCCAGTGTCTAAACTTCTTTCTGTTGTAAGCTGAGCTCTTTTGCAAGCCCCAGTATCAACTCCTTCTGCCTTCTCCTTGTGAGTTCCAACACACTAAGTAGACATTAGGGTACCAGCCATTTACCCCATGGGGTACCAGCGATTTGCCCCATGGCCGTAAAATGTGCACATGATAAAAAAGGGCCCTGGGGCATAGAAAGAGTCCCTACAAAAGGTGCCAACATGCTTTCCATCAGGATGTATCTCAGGCAACAGGAGAATCTGAGTCAGCTCCCAGCTCATTCTTAGCCCATGACAAATGTTGAGACACAAGTAGACATTTCCGGCACTCAAATAAGGCAAGAACTCCAAACCAGTCCCTTTTTGGGTAGAAGGGGCTAGGACCGTTTCATCTGAATAGGAAGCTCTAGTTGGAGAAAGATACTTACCGCAAGGCCTGCAGTGAGGAGCAGAATCCCAGACGCTATGTCCTCCGGGGTCATGTTTCTCCAGCCCAAGGCTTAGTAAAAGGCTAATTAGGAAGTTGGCCAATTTTAGTCTCGGGTCCCATTTTGGGCTCTAATGTACTGTGAAATGTAATGCAATTCCACATGTTTTGCAGATGCTTGGTGCAGTCATTTCTTTGGGAAAAAACAAGGTTAGGGTTTGCACATTTTTTCCCCTTTGAGCCTGGGGAGAAACGTGAACTAAACCACGTCTAATGTTGATCCTGAAGAGGCTGCTGTGGTGTAGAAGGAAGGACACTTGCCTCAGAAGATCAAGTGGATCTTCTTACTTTGTGAACTGAGCCTCAGTTTCCCACTCTGTGAAGCACAGAGCTCTCGAGTTCTCATGAGGATCAGGAAAGAGCATGCAATGGGAACAATGATATTAACATATTAAGAGTTGCTACTGTTTCTGCTGGAGAACTTGGCTGTTTGTTCAAGGAGAAATGCTTTAAAGCAGAGGTCCCCATTCCCCAGACCATGGACCAGTACCAATCCCTGGCCTGTTAGGAACTGGGCCACATAGCAGGAGGGGAGTGGTGGATGAGCAAGTAAAGCTTCATCCGTATTTACAGCCACTCCCCACGGCTCACGTTAATACCTGAGCTCCACCTCCTGTCAGATCAGTGGTGGCATTAGATTCTCGTAGGAGCATGAACCTTGTTGTGAACTGCACATGCGAGGGATCTAGGTTGCACACTCCTCATGAAATTCTAATGCCTGATGATCTGTCACTGTCTCTCATCACCCCCAGATGGGACTGGTCTAGTTGCAGGAAAACCAGCTCAGGGCTCCCACTGATTCTACATGGAGGTGAGTTGTATAATTATTTCATTATATATTACAAAGTAATAATAATAGAAATAAAGTACACAATAAATGTAAATACTTGAATCATCCCCAAACCACCCTTCCCCACCAGTCCATGGAAAAATTGTCTTCCACAAAACTGGTCCCTATGCCAAAAAGGTTGGGGACTGCAGCATTAAAGAGCCACAACCTCATTCAAACTCTGGATGGCTGTGCCCCTCCCCCACCCCCACACCTTGTCTCTACTTCCCTGTCCACCTGGACTGCCTCCTGCAGTCCTTCTCTAGGGCTCCACTCAAGCCTGATTTGCCCTATGCAGCCTCACTCACTGTGCTGGCTCATGCTGACACCTTCCTTCCTGACCTCACTTCCCACTCACTGTCTGATCCATATTAATAGATATCAATTGTTATCAATATGGTTATAGCTATGGTTATCAGTTCAGGTGAGATAAATAGTGGCAGATTGCATCTTCCCAAAAGACCACAGCAAGAACTCCAGGACAACATACTCTTCCAGAATCTTGTCCTCCCCCACCAAAAATGAAGAGATAGGGTCCACTTCACCTCCCTTTAAGACTGGTTAAATCTTTGTAACTGCCATGACCAGCAGAAGCAGCGGAAATGTTTTGCGTGACTTCCTATGCCAGATCATAAAAGGCTGTATGATTTCCTCCTGGCACTCTCTTGGCGTGTGCACGTGCAGCTCTGAGCCACTATTTGAGAAGTCTCCAAGCTGAGAAGACCACATGGCAAGACCACAGACTTGGAGAGGCCAGGGAGCCCCAGCTGTTCCAGCTCCCAGGTGTTTCAGTTCCCCTAGCCCAGAGGCCAGACAGGCAGTGAGTGTTGGAGCCTTCACATTTCCAGGTCCAGCCACCATATGATTGCAATTGTGTGAGCAGCCAAGTAAAGACCACCTACCTGAGGCCGGTCAACGCCTAAAAATGTGAGACATAACAATAAAATGTTACAGTTGTCTTAAGCCACTATGTTTGGGATGGTTATTATGCAGATACATATACATATGTACTATCTTAGTTCTGGCAGCTTTAAGAAAATACCATACTGGGTGGGTTTATAAACACAGGAATTTATTTCACACAGTTCTGGAAGCTAGAAGTCTGAGAACTGGGTGCCAGCATGGTTAAGTTCTGGCAAGAGCCTTCTTCTGGGTGACGGACCTCTGACTTCTCCTTGTATTCTCACGTGACAGAGAGCAGAGAGGGGAAACAAACTCTCTCATGACTCTTCTAGAGACAAGGTCTCTCTCCATCACCCAGGCTGGAGTGCAGTGGTTCTATCCTCCCACCTTAGCCTGCTGAGTAGCTGAGAATACAGTTGCATACCACTATGCCAAGCTAATTTTTCATGACTTTTATAAGGATACTAATCTTATTTGTGAGGGCTCCACCCTCATGACCTAATTACCTCCCAAAGACCCCATCGCACTGGGGATTAGGATTTCAACATATGAATTTGGGGAGTAGGGTATTCAGTCCATTACACACATACACCTAGATACTTGCGTATGCATATGTTTGTACATATGCACACACACATACATGCATACCTATATTTACATACATGTACACACATGGATGCTACATACATACATACATGTACACACATGGATTATACATACATACATGTTTAGGGATGTAGCCTGATTTCTTCAATCATCCTCCAGTTTGTGCATTTGTGTGTGTGTGTGTGCTGGAAGTTAGCTTCCCAGCTGGGCTGTAAACTCCTGACATCAAGACTGTGCTGAATACTCCCTGTTATCCTCCGCCAGCTGAAGAACGACATGGTGGATGTAGCGACTCTGCCCTGAACCCTTGAGTTATATTGATGAGGAAATGTGTGGTGCACACCTGTGTCCCTGAAAAGCTCATTACATGATGCAAGTGGGATCAGAGTCACTTTGGTCTTTGAATCTTTCTCAAGGAACCTGTATCCTTGGAAAGAACCATTTACCTGAAATTGTTGAGAAAAAGCCACTCGATTTGCTTCTGTGTCGTAGACTCAGTGGAAGGAAATGCCACTCTCTCCAGTCCCCCAACTGTGGATACTCGGCCGCCACCTCGGAAGCTATTAGGCAGGGTCTCCTTTCCTTGTTCAGGATCCCCATGGGATTTGCTGCTTCTATCTTCAGATTCAAAAGCAGCTCTTTTGCTTCTCTCCTCATCTTAGTGTTACCTAGGAGATCAGAGATTTTTATGAGTTAGGATTGACAGTCTGATCATATTTATGTGAGCTAGGCAAGAAAAGTTAAATATTGGAGTCTCTCATTGAATACAATATTATTTGGATAAAAAATTGTCTCAAACATTGAAAGGGTCATTTTCTAAAAGAATTTATTTTAATAAATTTTCCTCCATAAATCTATATGAAATGCCCTGAAATTCAAAGTTATATAATATATGAGAAAACATCAAAGGAAGCAATGATATTAAATTCCTTTCCATCCTTGAAAATTCTGCTAAGTTATTTTACCCCACCCACTGCATGAACTCAAACATCGTTACAAGAACTCAAACAGCCCAGTGAGGTGCAACACAGCTTCTTCAAGTACATGGTAAACCACTCCTCGTCTGGGAAGGCTGGAGAGGAGGTATTAGTATCTTTGATCAGCCTTTGACTCAAGTGGGCCTGAAATTTGTCCTAGCTCATGACTGTAAATGTATACATTTGCATGAGGCCTCTGTGACATCATGACCAAGGTTATTACATCAGAGTGGATGTTGCTACCACTACCTCTTGCATTATTTTGTCTTGTAATAATTGTATTACTTTATGGATCTCTTTTAATCTGTTTTCAACTCCAGCCAACCCTGCAATGATACATAAGTACATGGAAAGACAAAGATGACAATCTTTGTGCCAATGACACAAACTCATAGGTTCTGAGGAGGAGCAAGAAGTAATTGACTTATAATGGGTGATATGATGGCATTCTAACATAAGAATGAAGTGAAACTTTTTCCTCCTACTTCCTGTCCACTTTCCCTCCTTACTTGGAACATAAATTATGGTATTTATCATTTTCATCTTAACTAACTCAACAACTAAGCCAAATTTTCACTTTCTTCCATAAAAAAAGTAAATGTTAATACTGAGGTACTTTATGTAATGGCCGGACTTGGTCAAAAGTTTTATTTTTCTGCCCACTTTTCTTTCCTCTTCATAAAGCTTCACAAGTTTCTCTAGACTCGAAAAGCATTTATTAAACACCTACCTTGCTGTTACCATGAATTTCAATTTGGCGACTTCACATGGGACATCAAAATCTGACACTTGCAGGAAACATCTAAGAGATCCCACAGATTCTAAAGGAAAGTAGAACACAATTTTACCTTCTTGGCTGTAACTGGTTTCCAATATCATTTTGCCTCTGAACACATGTTCTTGCCTCTGAGCCTTGGGGCATCACCTGTCAGAGACATTAGAACTGCCACAGATGCTTGTTTGGGATGACTTGACCTTGAAATATTTATAGTTGAGAGCTTTGGAAGGCTGCAGTGTCTCTTCCTGTAATCTCCCACTGTTCTGATTGCTCTTTCTGTCTGATTTTTGGTTTATCCACGTAAGTTGACATGCAATTAGCTCACCTCCCAGGCTTTCCATCCTAGCTTGTCAGCCCATCCCAACAACCTTTACTTTCCCTAGGCTGTTATTTACCACCAGGCCACACCGTGACTCCAGGCAGCATAAGTTCCATGGAGGACTTAATGTGGCTAAGGGCAAGTTTGGGGAATCTTTAATGTGAATTTGGTTTGCAGTCGCTTATGAAGTAGAATATATTCCAGAGGAAAGTGAAGAAAACAAGCAGAGACTGGAGGGGATATGAACCTCAAAAGAAAACTAGACTGGCAGAGAGCCATAGCAGTTAGCTTTTCTCCTCTGAAACCTCCCCAAGGTGTGTAGCATATGGGGGATAGAGCTCAGGCAGAAAGCAGCAGTCTTACTCGGTTGAGGCATCAGAGATTGGAGCTTGGGTCCCAGAGCAGCTGAAAATTGGGGGAAATCTCAGAAAGAAAGGAGTCAAAGAGGGAGAGCCCTATAATAGACATATAAATTTCCCTCAGGTCCGTGACTGACTGCTGAACCTCACATGCTTGGGGATGACTCCACGCGGCCCAGGGAAAACAACAGCTGAAAGGCTGAAAGCGGATATGTCAGCTGCTGCCTGGCACTGGGGAGACAAACTGAGAAGTGCAAGCCTCTAAAGTTAAAGGGGCTTGATAAACAGTTCAGATGCTCCACTGAAAGCCTATAGGGACCACATCTCAGGACTAAGGGCACACTTAAAACAGGCCTAAAATTACCACAAATGATGACCCTCCAGTAATTCAATCAAAGCTGAAAACCTAAAACCACCTCTGGCTTTGTGGCTTGTAATTACAATCCTCTGATAATTCAACTTCCTATTAGAACAAAACTCAACACTGTTCAGAGGAAGATGACAGAATCCAGAATCTCCTGAGCCACCATCCATGAAGTCAAATATATAATAAAAAAAATTAATAGAAGACCGGGTGCAGTGGCTTATGCTTGTAATCTCAGCACTTTGGGAGGCCAAGGTGGGAGGATAGCTTGAGGCCAGGAGTTTGAGACCAGCTTAGGTGACATAGCAAGACCCTGTCTCTACCAAAAAAAAAAAAAAAAAAAAAAATAGCTGGGCATGTTGATGCACACCTGTTGGGAGGCTAAGGTGGGAGGATTGCTTAAGCCCAGGAGTTGGAGGCTGCAGTGAGCCATGATAGTGTTACTGCGCTCCAGCCCTGGCAACAGAGTGAGACCTTGTCTCAGAAAAAAAAAAAAAAAAAATACTAGATACACATCAAGTAGATTCTAAATTCTCTTGCTTTGATCTTGCTTGCTCCAAACTCTGACAGGTCTTCTGCCATCTACAAGGCAGCACAGTGCCCTTCCTAAGATACCTCTCATGTCATCAGTTTCTGTTCTTAATCTGTAACCCAAAATCCTAGCTGGACACCAAAGCACATTGTTGAAGCAAAAGGCACTTAGTATGTTTCATTCAGAGCTATAGTGTGCCATCACCAGAGCCCTGTGACAGTTCAAGGAAATGGAGAAAAGTGAACAAATGAATTACATTTTTGGTTTGAATTAATTATGCTCTTTTCTTAATTTCTGTTCATATTCAGAGGCAAATGTTGTCCAAGAGATGGAGACTTGATATTTGGAATCTAAACTTTGGATGCACAAACTTAGTGATCTAACAAAAAATAATCAAGTTCTAATCTACCCTTAAAAGAGTTTCAGGAGTAATTTGCAGATTCTTTAGTGCTTTGACCTAAAATTATAGGTAAATGGTCAAAAAATATTGAATGTATGGTAACATAAAAGGAAAAATGATTTCCTGCAGTCAACATCTGCATTTTCCCCTTAAGGAGGGGGCCAGAGGTGGCCAGGACCAAAACTGAGAAGTAAGCACAGCTCTTATTTTTTCCAACTGAGCTAATCAATATTTTTTGTCTGCTTATTTATGTCTTCCTACAACAGCTACGCATATTCTTAGATATTTATTTCATTATCATAAACTAGAAATCAAGCTAAAGATTAAAGACGTCTCAATAAATTCCCTGAAGATACCAAATACCTTCAAGCAGATGGATTAGTAATAACTCTCCCCCTTTTAAATGGATTATATTCTAAAATAGGTGCAGATCAAACAAAATGATATCAGGAATCACTATTACCAGGACCAAGGAGTGCCAGTTATTCTTTCATTTTAGGACTTGGTTAGCAAAGCTTCAGTATAGGGAAATAAGGAGCGCACATGTCCCTGTTCCTATTCCCCTAACCATGGTAGACATTGCTAATAGATGGAGATGCTCTACCACACTGAGCCCCATCCAAGACTCAGCCTATCAGTCAATCATTAGCAGTCAAGCAATGAACATGAATGAGACTAATTTTCTATCCTTAAAATTGGCAGTCGTGGAATAACAACATCAGGAGGAAAGAAAAAGGGCAGTTTTTAAGAGGGGAAGCAGAGGGAAACTTTTGTGCTTTTCATGAAATTCTGTTATTATCCTCCCATCTATAGACCAATAGAACCATAAAGGTTACTTCCACCTCTGGAATTTAATGAGTTAACATTAAAAAATGTCATTGATTTTGAAACCTCCAGCCATTTAGCATGCACACTTCACCTTCTATAAAATAAATATTTAAAGTTTAAAAACTTTCCATGTAGATTCCTGTAGGGAATTACTACATTCCAAAAGCACTATTTCAAGTGCATTTTTTTTCTAGAAAAGTTTTTCATGCAATCTCATCCTTTCTGAGGGCATTGAACAGGAATGGGCATTCCTTGTAATCACCATGGGTTCCCTTGAGGAACTATTTAGTGGGTTCCTGTGTACATCAGCCTATTGGTCTGGATCAATAGCAGACATAAGAACATGAGAGATGCAGCACTTGGGTCAGACCCTAGGTCATCCATTCAAACATTCTGTCTCTGATGTTGGCACCAAGGGACACTTTGAGAAACAAAGGAGTCCAAGAAGAGTATCAAGTTCTGCACACCACAGGGAATTTACCATAAATATGTCACTTTCTTTAATGAGAATTCATTAGTGACACAGCCTTGATAATCACATGTGAGCAACAAATGCATGCCGTAGGCTCTTGCCCTTGCAAACAGACCTCCTATCTGCTGCCATGTTTGTGGCCTGGGAAAACTACATTATTCATGAGATTGCTGTATTTTCTACAGTAGCTGCTGGCTCAAAGACATGAGCAGCACTGATGCCATGGTTTTTATTATTGATAAAGAAATATGTTTCTAGTTTGTCAAATTACATTTCAGTGCTCTGCTAGGCCAATAGTCTATGTAACTAATGATTGGGGTTCTTTAGTTCCAAAGAATGTCTGTTCTCTTCCAGGAGAAAAGTTTGTGGGCTGATTGTTTAAAATCTTCTGCCAATACAGACATGAGAAAAAGAGCTCTTAAGTGGGAACCAAGGGGCTTCTCATGATGTTGGATCAACTTCAGCATCATGAACAAGGAGCAAAGGCAGTTTCTCAATCTGCATTCAGGAGTGAGGTAGTTCCATAATGCTATCTAGATTGCAAATCCACCGCAAATTGTCCATACAGACTATTGCCATGATTTAGGGGAAAATTCATCCAAATGTGTTTAAGTTCTTTTCTGGAAAAACAAATCTTTGTTGAAATAGAGAGAGGGAAAAGTGCAAAATTCCTAACTCTCCTTTTCTAAATATGGGTTTTCCAGAAGTAGTCCCAGAAACAAACTCAAGTACAAGTTGTTTGTTTCTGAGATGATCCCAAATATGGGAGCTGGGAAGTGAGACAACGAGACAATGACAGATAGGCAACCAATCATAGGCATGTTACCACCGTGAGCAACCAGAGCTTAGTTGTGCTGGGAACCCTTAACAGTGTAGAACACACCTCAGCGTTATCTCATCCAGGTAATGAGGGAGCTGGGGTACTTATACACCCACCTTTCATCAGACTTTGGTTGACAGTTTCTCTTGAGAGAAAGAGTGGTATTAATTCTCCAGCATATCCAGCCTGCAGTGCCTGGGCAGGGGAACCTTTCTCAGCTCTGGAGAAAGCCTTCAGGGAAAGAGATGAAGGTGCTTAGTACAAAAGACATAGGGCCCCAGGACTGTGGGCCTGGTATTGATGTCTTGGGAAACTCCCCTATCCATATTTCTCCCTCTCCATTATTTAATAAATTAGAGACAAACAGAGCTATCATTTGATAGGTCCTTGCCCAATTTTAGGTATTGCATATTTCATAAGCATCATCATCAATCCTCATAATAACCACATAAATGGGTATTGTTTTCATTCTCCCATTTTGCACATTAACAATTAAGACTCAAAGATGTTAAAGAATTTTCCCAAAGCCACAGAACTTATGAGTGGTAAAGGACGGATTCAAATCCAGGCCCTCAGGCTCTTGTAAAATGCTGGTTGCCTGTGGTAAGCAAATGTCACCACATAAGCATTTGGCTGATCCAAGTTTTCTTAGCAAATTTGATTGGCAATACCATTTTGATTGATAGTTTAATGATCCCTCTAGGCCATCTGTTCCCATGACTTGTGGTTGCATCTTCCTTCACAGAGATGCTTCTCATGACCTTGTTTTCATTCACACATCAATCCATTTGAATCTGAACTTTGTTTCTGGTTTTTGAAGGGAAGGACTTATGCCCTTAAAAAAACAAGAAAAAAGGGGGTAATTTGTTCTTTCTAGGACAGTGGAATCAACATATTAGAAAGTTGGACCCTAGTTTGATCTCAGCTCTTCCACTAACGTCTATGTGAACTTGGACTGGTTACTTGCCCTCTTTGGGCCTCAGCTTACCCATCTGTAAATTGGGATAATGCTTCCTATCATATAGAAGCAATGAAAAAGTGATAAATATATTTTCAATACTTGATAAAGGTTATTTCCATTCTTAAATTCAGAATACTTAAGGTATTGGGATGATTTCAAAGAGAGTCCCCTTGCTCCCAAGCTAACCTCAACTGTTAACTCCTCAGTGATAAGGGCTGTGTACCTTTAACTAGTATTGAGTATGGTATCCAGCAGATGGTAAGTGCTGAAAGTAAGCAGTGGTGTTTTGACACAGTATTGATTTAATAAATTTTCCAATGTTATTAAGATATGATCTTTAGAACGAGACAAAAATTCAAAAGATGATCTAAGAACAGACTGGTTCCCTGGAACACCCAGCACCTCCTGTTGCCAGATGCCTTCTCCCATGCCTGCCTGAGGTTTACTTGACCTCGTTGAATGTAAGCATGCATTGAAATGTCTCTAAAACATTTCCAAAGACTAAATATTTAGAAAATTAAGTTATGCATTTATGTACTTTCACACAGATTCTTTTGTGGATAATTTTGTTCAGGGGCCTTTATTTATGACAAATGTGTTAATTGCCTCAACCAACACTATTAAGTGATTTGTGTGCCAGGTATTTTGCTAGACACCAGGGCTACAGAGAAGAATCAATATCCTACAACCTTAACCTCCCTCCCCCAGTCTACTGGAGAAGAGAGAAAACAACCAAAAATTGCTGCAAGGCAAACAACGTGCAAAAGGCTGTAGGGATGCCAAGGAGCAAGGACCATATGCATTTCTCACAAGGAGCTAGGATATGCTGGGTAGCAAACAGCCCCCGAAGATCAGTGGCTACAAAATACAATAATGTTATTTTTACTCATGCTACACGTACAAAATGCATGTATTGGGGTTGGGGATTCTGGTATCAGTCACTCAGGGATCCAGGCTGATGGGAGATGCACATTGCATCCTGATGTACCTTTCAAGAAATGCTGAGACAAGAAAATGCAAAATGGTGAGCCAGGCACTGGTTTGAAAGCCACATGCAATCCACATCATTTTGCTCACATTTCACTAATCAAAGCAAGCTGCATGGCCTTACCTAACTTTGAAAGGGATGTAGAAATACTCCTCCTAGGTCTCTGGAACAATGAGAAATGGGGTATTTGTGAACAGCCCTCATTGCCACCAGAGTTGGGATCTAGTAGTTGGGAGTTTGACTGAGCTGTCCCTCCCAACACCATTTCTCAGCCAATAATTCTGTCTTGTGTTTATACAAAACCACTTCCTGAGAGAAAGGCCCTCTGCATTCAGTCACACTTGATATTTGTTGTCCTCTTTCATGTATCCCAGCCTGGTGGGTGCTGATGACAAAGAGAGAAATGACAGGGCTCCTGTCCTCAGGGAGCTGAGCTCATGGTGCCACTGAGTCCACGGTACACATGGACAAGAAAATGCCTACAGTGTGGTTGGAAAATAATTTGATGAGCACTGGGACAATGCAACTGGGCCACAGAAAGAGAGGCAGGGAAGGCTTTGTGAGAAGCGGAGGAGGTACCGCACCCGGAAGACAAAGTTTTTACAGTGCCCCAGGAAAAGTGGGAGCAACAGGCTTTACTAAGACAGATGAAAGCACGTGAAACAGAAGCTTGAAGCCACTCATCACTGCAGGGGGAAGCTGGGTAGCATCCAGACTGCCATCCTTCGGTGCAATTCCTGAGAGACCAATCCCTCAAGTTGCATGGGTATTTTGTCATGAGAAGGTCACTGGGATGGCAGACTGGTATTCTGATGGCTGCAGCAGCCCATGTTCCTTTTGCTCAGACATGTTAAGGGAGCCAGGCTTTTTAGGATGTGTTGATCTTCATTTTGGCCTGCTCCATTTGATCAATATGTGATGAGTATGTCTAAAGATGGCATGAATGTTCCTGCTGCATTTTTTTTCAAGCAAAGGAGAAAAGACTCTACCTCTGTGAACCTCCGTTTAGACTCATCAAACTCGGGTCTCATGAAAGCAGCCAGGAGGGAGAAGCAAGGAAGCTGATTGCTGTTGCCTTGGTAAGGGGAATCCACTCCACTCAGGTCCCTGTGGTTTCCATGGGAACAGCACCGCTTGCTTCTGCAGGCCCCCAGGGCTGGCGGGATGCACTGAAAGGAAAATTGGGGGATGAAAGAGAGGAGCAGAAAGAGACTTTGAGGACCTTGAAGGTATTTGGGGAATGACTCTCAGCTGGATGAGGCTGCTCCGTTCTCCCTGCATAGGTAGCTGCTGTTAACAGGCCATGTGGGCCATGTGGCCCCAACAGGCTGAGTACCAGAAGCACCTGCCTAGAGGCACATGCATTTATGCAGCTCTCATGGACTAATCACCATCCAGGTAAACAGATGCCAATGCAAGACAGGAAGGAACTGGCAATATGTGGATTTCAACATCAAGACCAGAGATGAATGTGTCCTCTGCCCACACCAGGCCAGCATGTCATTGTTGTTATAATTTAGAATAATGATATGTGACCCCAGGAAGCATGGCGGTAGGTATTTCACATTCACTATCTACACTCTTCATAACAACCCTGCAGGGATGACATCAACACACCCATCTACAGATGAAGGAAATGAGGCCCGGTGTGGCACAGAAGGAGATCTGGACCCGAGCCTGATTCTCCACTGTGGGATCTTATTCAAAATCTAACTGATCACCCAAGGAAAATGTTAGTTCCCAAATACAGCAAGCATCCTAGCTCAAGCCTTAAAAAATGCGCTGAGTACTTTTGGATTTGGCGCTAGGATGCACACCTGGAGAGGGTGACATCAGCACCAGCCATCAGCTCTGGGAGGCGCTAGAGGCCCCACATTGTCTTACCTCTTGTTCTAGAAGTGAACCAACTGAGGCCAAGAAGCACTTGGCAGAGCCTTCCAGTCCAGTGCACCACACTGTCCGCATACACTCTTTTCTTGGACAGCTGCAGCTATTCAGAAAATCGCATGCCCCACACACACCTGCAAGGCACCAGAGTGTGTCGCCAGTTGAAGAGCTGTTGCAGTCTCCAGGAGGAAAGCACAGCTGC
The DNA here is from genome assembly GCF_000001405.40 of Homo sapiens. Classification (NCBI taxonomy): domain Eukaryota; kingdom Metazoa; phylum Chordata; class Mammalia; order Primates; family Hominidae; genus Homo; species Homo sapiens. The sequence continues at coordinate 19,509,635 of NC_000020.11, forward strand.
TGTTGCAGCTCTTTTCTTGAACCACTGGGTCAACTGGGCAGAGTGGATTTACCCCATCCATGCCTAAGGTCTGTTCTCAGAGTTCTTCATCCCACTGAGACTTATCAGGCATCTGCTGTGTGCACTGCAGTGTACTGTGTTTGGACCAGAGGCAATGGGAAGGAGGATCCTCAGAGGCCACTTTTCAAATGGCCAAAAGGCAAATTGAGTCCCAGAGAGATGAAATGACAGGTGGCCAAAGCCACACTTTGGAAATGTTGGCATTGAGCCCCACATTTCCAGATTCCCAATTGAGGACACTTTTCTTGACTCCAGGCTGACCCCTTCCTTAGGAAGATTAAACACTGTGATACCAAATTGCTTTAGAACCACAGCAAGGCAACGAGTGAAATAACAATGTTATTAGTAGGCTGTGTATATAGCACGCACGTAGGAGCTGACAAAGATCAATGACAATCCTTATGGCCTCCCTAAACGAAGCTGCTGCCCCAGTGGGTCTCTAAGATAGGATTCTTCCTGATTTACATTCTGTGCTGCAGGGTCATCTGGCAACAAATGCCCTTTGCAAATGAATCAAAGAAGCTTCTAACATGGTGGAACAGGATATGTAATATAAGAACATGTTACAACCCTAAGTCTTAACATTGGGGTCCTACCATGCTAGATTCAGAATGCAAGTCTTAATAACAGTTTATCCTGATGTTATGCTTGTGCAGAGGGACTCCCTTCTGCCACCTCCACCCCATGCCCCACTGCTGTGTGCTGAAGCTAATTATGTGTGTATAAGTTATGGTCTCTCCTTTCCTGCAATAAGATACCTTGCGTCTCCTCTTCAGTTCTTATGCAAAGGAGGCTTCGGAGATGCTGTGAACTGAATGTTTGTTCCCACTTCCCAGATTCATATGTTGAAGCCCTAACCCCCAAAATGATGGTATTTGGAGATGGGACCTTTGGGAGGTAATTAGGGTCACATAAAGGTGTAAGAGTGGGACCCCAATCATGAGATTAATGTCCAAATAAGAGGAGGAAGAGACCAGAGTTTACTCATACTCTGATATGTAGATACTGTAAGAAGGTGGCCTCAGCCAGCCAGAAGACAGCCCTCATCAGAACCCAACCATGCTGGCACCTTTATCTCAGACTTCCAGCCTCCAGAGCTATGAGAGATAAATGTCTGTTGGTTAAGCTCCCAAGTCTACGGTATTCTGTTGTATCAGGCTAGGGCAGACATGGGGCATTCCTACACCCAGACATGCGGATGGTTTCTTGATATATCACCTGTGACTCTTTCTAGGGCCTTCTCTGGCCCCAGAAGCATGCTTGGCTTGGCCAGTGCAGGGCTGAGCAGAAGTGTTGAAGGGTCAGTGCCTTTGGGACAGCCCTAAACAGTGACAGGCAGGCGTCAGTGGACGGAGCCCCCCACCCTGCTGCTGACCCTGCAGTAGACAACTCTGAGACCTGCTTTCCTCTGTCTCCCAGCAAGCTTGAGACACTGTGCCAGCCCCTTCCCCTCCCTGCCTCATCTCTCCACCCTGCTCCCGATGCTTCCTGGGATCACCTCCCAAACAAACAGCTGTCATTCAAATCTTTCTCTCAGGGTCTGCTCTTGAGGGCCCCAGCCTAAGGCATGGGCATTTGGAACCTATGAGGGAAGACTCACCTCTCACAGGGTAGGAGAAGAGGGCTTAGCTCAATTTTTTTTTTTTTTTTTGAGATGGAGTCTCGCTCTGTCACCCAGGCTGGAGTACAGTGGCGTGATCTCCGCTCACTGCAAGCTCCGCCTCTCAGGTTCACGCCATTCTCCTGCCTCAGCCTCCCAGGTAGCTGGGACTACAGGCGCCCGCCACCACGCCCGGCTAATTTTTTGTATTTTTAGTAGAGACAGGGTTTCACCGTGTTAGCCAGGATGGTCTCAATCTCCTGACCTTGTGATCCGCCCACATCGGCCTCCCAAAGTGCTGGGATTACAGGCGTGAGCCACCGCGCCCGGCCTGGGCTTAGCTCAATTTTTAGATGAAATCTCTCCCTGTGACTTTTTTTTCAAATGATAATGCATATCTAAAAGGGAAAATAAAATATATGTAGTATTCTTTGCAAGCTGTGCATGAGTCCTTTGAAACCATTTTTCCAATTTTGTTATTTTCCTGATACGTGTTTTCTGAGAGGAGCTGTAATGAAAAAGTGGTCAGAGTGGGTGGATATCAGGTGAAGTTTGCTAGGTGAGTATTTAACCTGGTCATTCTTTCCACATTGCTATTGGCCATCAAATAAGACTCTTTGTTTTTCTTGAAGAACAGTGGTTCAAAACCGTTAGACTGTCCTCTGCCTTGCCCACCCTGACCCTGGAGCTCCCACATTCTACCCACATTCAACTCGGTGAGGAGGCCCACAGTGCTGGCCGCTCCATTCACAAGCTGTGCTGCTGACTGTGCCAGATTGGAGGCTCTCATTGCCCCATGGAGAATTTTCACACACTTCCTCATGGCCAGCTGTGACTGCTGACAAGAGGAGACAGTTTTGATAGAGGAGCTCCCAGCTGGGCATGGATCAGAGAGCAGGCCCTGGAGAGCAGACCAAGATCAGGTCACTGGTAAGCTGCCCACTCCCTGAAGGGAGGAAAGGGAGGGTTGCTGAGCCTCCAAGGAAGGAGGACCCTGACGAAGCTCCTGTGGTTTCTCTTTGGCTCACCCCTGCCCGGCCAGGACTTTGGGCAGCTTCTGGGTGGACTGTCCCGAGCCAGCATGGGGCCCTTTGGGTCCTGCTCCATCCAGGGCTCAGCCTCCAGTGTGTCTTCCCCAGGGGTCCCAGCTGGGGCCACCATGTGGGCTGGCATGGAGACCCCTGACAAGAAACCTCCTCCACCAGAGAACCAGGCCCAGTGGGATACACATATCTGCAGTTGCTTCATTCAGCCAGTTGCTGTTCATGTTGTGGAGAATTGAAACTCAGAATGCCTGGATTCAGAACCCAAGCCTGTCACTTACTGACATGGTGTCCTTGGTGGAACAGATGTGCTCCCTGGCCCTCAGTGGCCTCATGCACGGGGCAGCAGTGAGGCAAGAGAATAGAGCTGGGCTGGGGAGAACCCAGTGCAGACGTGGATGATGCTCATGGGGTGACTTTCACTCCTTTCCTGTGCTCCCTCGGTCCCTTGTTATTGATCACGGAGGAAGCTTGTGGGGCGGAAAGTAAAGAGCTAACTGGATGCCACATACCTGTACCCACTGTACCCCTCGTTGATGATTGGGGACCTCAAATAAGAGGTTTCCACACGATTCCTTTGCTTGGCACTGCCCCAGGGCATATGACTGGCTTGTTTCCCATGGGTGATGGCTGTTGTGATTGATACATTAACTCAGCATCCCATCTCTAGCTTCCAGCTCTGAGACTAGGAGAACAATAGGAGAGGTGACCTTTCAACCCTAGGACTGGCCAGTGCCAAAACACCCTGTGGCAGCTACACTGAAAAATGCAAAGAAAAAAAAAAGCCTATTGCTTCTCCTCCAGGAGAGTGGCAGCTGAATGTAAATCAGGTCAAATCCTCTTTTGGAGGAGGTCACAGAAGGAAGAAGTCAGAGGGCAGAATGGAATTGCAGATCCATGCAGTAGGGGGGTGGCATGTGTGAGGGGCGTCCCCAGCCCTGGGTTTGCTGGGTGTGCAGCCCTTCTCCCACTTTCCAGCCATGGAGCCCAAGCATGTTGCCCCATCTGTCTTCCCCTTGGGTTCCTCATCTACAGAACTGGAATAATAATCTGTTTGTGAGGATAAGATGGGATCACAGGGGCAAAGTGCAAGGTACAGTGCTTGCCAGGAGCAGGTGCTCAATAAATGCTCACTGTTGTCATCCCTCTGCCCCTCACATTAATTTCCAGATCGTGGCTTCATTTTGGTCCCCAAGGGAAACTCCTCCAGGCTTCTCCCAGTTTATTCATTGTTCAGAGGGGCTCTGTGCAGCCTGTTTAGAGCAGCTTCAGCTTAGAAAAATCCTCCCATAATCATGATGTTCCTGTCTTTTCTTGTCTCCTTTTTTATGTTTAAAGGACCATACAAAACTAGAGATTGTGATTGGCTAGACACACAGGTGGGTCTTGCTTTTTTTTTAGAAAAAAAAAAAAAGCCTTTTTGAGATATTATTGACGTATAAAAATTGTATATGCTTAAGGTATACAACTTGATCTTTTGATATACAGATACATTGTGAAATGTTAACCACATTTCAGTTCATTAACGTATCCATTACCTCTACATAGTTATCATTTATGTGTGTGTGTTTGTGTGTGTGTGTAGTGAGAAGATTTAGATCCATCCTCTTCGCAAGTTTCAAGTATATAATGTAGTATTTTTAACTGTCCCCCACTTGCTGTACTTTGGAAGGTGAGCCTTGCTTTATGTACTAGACGTACCCTTTGGCCCAAACACTTCGTGTGGCTCCAACCCAATACCTGCACAATGCCTTAAGCCAATGCTGCCTTGGATGCAGAGAGCAGAGCCTTTTCAAGCAGTGACCGATGGCTTGTGTCTTGCACAAATCCTCCGGGCAAGCCAGGGGTCCCCAGCAGAACTGGGCCTGGATGTCTCAGAGGTCATCCACTCACTCCTTAGCAGCACTGTCTTTGTCTCTTCTCCCCTTCCTGGCTGCACTGCCTCCCTCATGCACAGTGCATCCTGGAGTCATCTCCCAAGTAAACCACATAGCTCCACATCCTTGTCGGAGGGTCTGCTTTTAGAGGAATCCAAAATAAGACAGGTGGCAAGCAGGTATCATCTAGCATATCCTCCCCATCAAATGGTGGTGGTTTCTCTAAGAACTTGCTAGAGAAAGACTTGGAGACATCATCAAGCTCAGAGGGAAAGACTTCTTTCAGCAGCTGGTGATGTCTGCCCATGTGGGGCTGTGGGTGGGGGTGGTGTGTGCTGCTTCCTGCCGCGCCTGGTGGGCACATCCTCCAGCAAAGGAGCCGTGGATTCCTATCGGAGGGACCACAGGAGGCTTCATAAAGGAGAGGAGATGTGAGAACCTGGCCCAGAAGGTTGATTGGATTTTATGAGAGGAAGGGACAGGAGGCCTGGTTAGTGGTGGAGGACCTTCTTGGGACCGTCAGTTCACAGACTCCAGCTTTCATCTCAAGGCAGAAAGGTTTTGGAACATTGAGAAGGCATGAACATCCCTGTGGTTGGCATTCTGGTCCAGCCACAAATGGAGGTCAACTTAGAAAGGGGAGCAGAGGGAGGGAGCAGGGAGGGGGTTGTTCTAATAGCACACGAGGCCCACACCCTAAGCCAGGTCAGGCAAAGTGGAAAAGGAGCAAAATGAAGACCCACTTAGAGCAGGGGCTTCAAATCTGTCTGAGCCACAGACCCTTTTGGTGATCCAGTGAAGCCTACAGCCCCCGCTCAGAAAAGCAGTTTTCAATGCATGCATGCAGCAAAGTACATAAGGTTACACATGGAAACTGACTGTGTGGAAATGAAGCTGTCAAAGTATTAGAAAACAAATTTGCAATATAGTAGTTCACGTGCTTCCTCATTAACACTTTAAGTCACAGGTGGTGACCTAACAACCACCATAAGATTGAAGCAGTGGGTGAGAGCTGCACAAGTATGATGGTATGACGTGTTATGAAAATATCTGTGGGGCCGAGCCCCAGGTTCTGCTAACGCTACTGTGGTTGGTTGCCCACGTTCTTATCTGAAGGAAACACTAAATTCTGGTTAGTTTTGTGAACTTAAAGATTCAGGATCTTTTTTTCATCCAAGTTCATGGACCCCATGTTAAAACCAAGACTCCCAGACCTACAGCACTGAAAATGTGGTCACCTGTGCTGAGACGGTTTTCTTTCTCTGTTCTTTAGCCCTGCATGAATTCCCCAATGACATCTTCACAAACGAGGATAGAAGACAAGGTGCGGTGGTCCTCCATGTGCTCTGTGTAAGTACCCCTCTGTGCCTCTGCCTGGAGGGTCCATAGGCTAGGCCTAGGGGTGTGGGGTGTGGCACCTGAGGTGCCCCCAGTAGATTCTCTCTGCCCTCCTGTTCCCACGCTGCCTGGTGGGGGTCCTTCGAGCTCTGTAGGGGGCCATCACCAAATGGAGATGAAAGACCACAGCTTTCGAAGGTGGAGCCATCTGTTATGCACTTTCCCTTCATGTTAGTGCCCAGAGTGTGGACTCTAAAGTCAAACAGCCCCACTCTCCATGACTTAACCCTACTCTCTGCTCAAACACCACCCTCTTGGGGAGCCCTTTCCTAACTGGCCTTTCTGAAATGCCGCCATATTTCCTCTTACCCTGCTTTGTTTTCCTCCATGCTATCTGCCATTGCATAGTTATTTGCTTTTCAACTTTTCACCCTCACTCACACGTAAGCCCCATGAGAACAGGGACTTGGTTTTGTACACGGCTTCATTCCCAGACCCTTTCTTGGCATGTGGTAGGGACAGAACATTTGCTCACTGAGTGGATTATATGTAATGGCAACTAGCACCATGTCTGACACATAGAAGATGAACAAGAAAAGCTTGTTCTGTTCCCATCTGGCCTCTTACTTTCCACCACTGCCCAGCATCTTCTGCCACAGAGCCAGTGGCTCTAAAGTCTGTGGTCCTCTTGTCCCCATTTGGAGGGTTTGGGGGAGGGCATACATGTGACGATGTCTAAGGAGTGGACAGCTGTCCAACAAGAAATCTCTGAGCCAAATTCTCGACTAGGTACATTACTGCTTCCCCATCTCTGTGGCATTCCCTCCCCCTTAATTCCATTCTAGTTATTTATCGCTGTGAAGCGAGCTCCCCACATTCAGTGGCATGCCTGGTCACCATGTTGTTTTGTTCTTGGGTTGTTTGTGTTGAGTGCTCAGAAGGAGCACAGTGGGAATGCTGCTCCACGGAATCCAGGGCCTCAGATGGACCGACTCCGATGGCTGTGGCTAGACCAGTGGTCCTAAAGGGTTTCTCTCTCCCATGCCTGGTATGTGGGGTGGGATGGCTGAAGGGCTGGCTCAGCTATGGCTACTGAGAAGAGCACCTACAGTGACCTCTACAGCATGGCAGCCTCAGGCAGTCAGACTTCCACGTGGCAGCCCAGAGAGCTCAGAAAGGGAGGGTGACTTAGCCTTGAAGTCCCACGGTGTCATTTCCACCATTACAGTCACAGCCCACTGTGATTCAACGGAGGGGTCAGAGACCTTGCTTTCAACCCACAGCTGGAGCAGGTCAGCAGGCACAGCCTGGGCTGTGGAGTCAGAGAAGACATGGGCTTGAAGCCCACTTCTGCTGGCCTTGCTTTATGTGTCACTTCTGGGAGGACACTTGACCTCTTACGACCCACAGGCCACCTTGATCTTGACTCTGGGTAAAATCAATCAACTCTTCAACTGGTCTCCCACTCCCAAAAAAGGGAGCATGAAAAGTCTCTTTTCTACAAGGACATTCTCTAAAAATACCAAATGAGTAAGGAGAGCCTTTGCAACCCCCCAGCCCTCCCTGCCTTTCAGGGAAGTTGTGTGCACTGAGCCATTAATATGGATGGCACCTTCGGCACCAAGGAGGCTACCCTGTCGCAAGGCTGAGGAGCTCCAGGCACTGAGTTGGATCCGGAATTCCCTGGCAGCCGTTAGCATCCTGATGCTTTGACATCTGAGATATGAGATTTCCACTCTGGACCCAAACACTGCGTGCTTTCATCCTCCTGAAGAGATGTTGTCGCCTGCAGCTGCATGGTCCTTTCTCCCCACCTCCATCTCCCCTCTGGACTCACTGAGTCATCAGCTGGAGGTGGAGGGGGTTCATTTTTCTTGCTCTTCATGAGCCCAGGATACCCAGGAAGGTTTCTGGTGTCTGTGGTAGTGCATTTCCAGGCTGGCATAAAGGCAACATGGACACAAATGCATACTATCCTCCTTAAACACTTCCCTAAGAATGGGCATGAGTCTACATGTTAGCACTTCGTAATCACTGGAATCCGATGCCACTGTTAGCCCCTGCCCTGGGCCCTACACTTTAGAATCCATAGGGCAAGGAGTTCATGGACCAAGGCCAGTGCCCACCCCTTCAAGATTATGTTCCAAGCACACAGAAGCCCAGAATTCTCCACCCAAATAGCCATGAGCCTGCTGCCAAGGCCCTTGCAGGTTTTCTCCCTGGCTCCTCTTCTTGTAGGGAAGAGACCCAAGTGGGGCAAGCTTCAACACACAACATACATGCCTGTGTCCAACGTGAGGCCAGGTGGGCAGAGCAGCAGGGCAGAGACAAATGTTCGGGTGGACCTGCTGGTGCCATCCCCAAGGCCCAAGATCAAATCTTGTTATCCTACCCACTAGAATATAAGCCCCTACCACCAGAATGTAAGCCCCAATAAAGAAGCCCCTTCGTACTGTGTCCAGCCATTGAATGCCTGGAGTTGGACAGTCACTTTTTGTTCAGGGCAGGAGTAAATTATTCTTTCTATCCCCTTCACCTTCCATGTTGTACAGCACATTTAGGATGCTCAGAAATTTTTAAACAAACATCATTGGATGTAAGAACTGCTGGAAGGGTAACATCTGGCATTTGACTGGCCAGCAGGAAACAGATGAATGCATGGGTCAAAGCTGCAAGAAGCAAAATACAGACTTCCTGCACTTGGACATCTAGAAAGCACTTTTTGAGCCCCTGCAGAGTAGTGCTGGGCTGAGTCCTTCTAGATGCTCAGGACATGGCTTCACTCTGAAGGAACCTGCTGTCTTGTGAAGAGAACCACTTATGGTCAGCACCTGCCATGCACCAAATGCTGACGAGGGTCTATACAGCGTGCTGTGCTGTGGGAGCTTAGAGGAGGCAACTCAGTGTCAGGAAGGCCAGGTGGTGCTGTTCTTGAAGAGTGCAGGCAGATTCCAAAGAAGCATGGAGAAAAGGGACTCCACACAGGAATGGGAAGCCTCATGATCAGAGACACAGAGAGGTGAGAGTCAGGGAGTCTAGAGAGAGCAGAAACCAAAGGTGTTGGTGTTGGAGAGTGAGAGAATATGAGCGTGGAGAGACTGACAGGACCTCACATGGGAGGCACCACAGGTGATTTAGCTGCTGCGTTGGAGTGGTGAGAGATTCCTGACCTCACCGTCCCTCCTTGCCTAGGGTTTGTGCTGCATTAGCTCAGGCTTCGCCCGAAGTGACCCAGAGTCATCTGCCCTACAGTCAGTTGAGAAGAGCCCAGGCAGGACATAGAAAAAGGCTCAGGGCCATTTGGGCAGGTGATCCCAGAGTCCCAAGGGCCCTAGGGAATATCCAGAAGGGAATGTGGAGGACAGAACGACCCCAGGAGGCTGTCTCTAGGCTCCTGAAGATCTGGGACTGCCTTATCCAGGCAGGGGAGTGATGGTCTTCTGCTGGAGGGTCCCAGAGGGGTGTCCTGCCACCTCAGGCTTCCCCCAAGAGAGGGCCATGGGGCTGTCTTTTCCTGGGGTTCACTGCTCGTAGTCATGGATCTGGACCAGAGGGCCTAGTCCTTGCTGCTCCAGTTTGATCTGAAACCTGATCACACTTAGCATTGGCACCTACACTCAACCTGCCCCTTTCCATTTGGGCCCCACGAGTTTGCTTTGCTTCTAAGGCTTGCAGCCTTCAGCCTCAGTCTGGGTAGAAGTCTGGAGACACAGATGGTTCTGACCCCTTGATACACTCTTTTAAACCTTAAATGACAAAGCTTGCATTCTTTTTGTTTTTTCTTGTAGATACTTCCCTGTTTTGTGTGTGCTTTGTGTGTGTTTTGTGTGTGGCTTTGAACAGCCATTGCTGGTTCAACTTTCTGAACATCGCAGCTTGAATGTTCCCTTGGATCTTTCGTGTTTTATGTATTTCAGAAATCCCAAGCCTGAGAGTGTGCTTTTTAAAAAAGGTTTCTGTTCCTTCTGGCTGTTTGTCATGTATGGTTTCCTTACTAGTGGGGAAATCCATGATCTTGACAACTTTTTCAACAAAAGATAGCCCCAAGAAAACACTTGTCTTAGAACTTGCTTTATATCTAATCTATTATAACATTGAAACACTAAAAGCAGGATTTCCTGTCTGTGAGGAAATTTGCACCCTATAGATTCATTGAGCCTGTGCCAAGTAAAGGAAGAAGGCTATGAATGATTTTCTAGAATTGTAGTTTGTTTGTGATTTATCAAGATCTTGTGAAATTTTGCTCATTATCCCCATGACACAAATAGCTGAATCTGGGAGATTATAAGCCAAGCTACGCATTTCTCTTCCAGTAAGAGTCTTTAAATCATCAATATTTGGAATTCTTTCTCGAAGTTGGTGTGGGTGGCTGCCTATCTTTAAGAGATCAAACTCCACAGCAGGAATAAATACTCTCTGCACACCTTTTCAGCTTTCAAAAGTATTCTTCCTAAGCTTTGAGCCTTGCTTTCCGATTTTTAATGTAATTCCTGTCTTCTGGAAGGCAGATATTTCTATATGCTTGTGTGTATGAGAGTAGAAGGTGTCACACATTTGAAAATGATTCTCTATCCCATACCAAGGCAAGCTCTTGTTAAGTGAGTCTGTTTGGTAGGAGGGCTGCTAATTAGTCCAGCAACCCAGACCTGTCAATAGATGTGCTGGGAAAAGACATATCAAGGAGAATATTTTCAATGTGCGTCTTCATTTTCTAAACCCTAGGCACGCCCTGAGATGTCCCATAGGAAACTTGGGAATTCAGGCAGAGGGGACTTTTCCCTCCACTGAGCTGTTGGAGTTGCTGCCATCTGCACCTCCTCAGGTTGATCAGAGCAGCAAAAGGGATGTTCTGGCCACGTGGGAGGTCCCTGGCCATCTGCCTTAGGCCCCTTCTGTTTAGTGGTAGGGACTCCCTTGTGCACATCTCCATCTTCACACTCCTGTGTCCAGTGCCCATTAGGGGCTCATGTTATTAAAGGAAATAGGCTCTCTACGGCGCAGGTCATTCCGGAAGTCCAAGCAGGATTCTTGTGCTGAGCTGAGCCGTCAAGCCGGGGCTCCCTACAAGTGGAGGTTCTCCAACAATGAGGAAGAGGACCATTAACATCACTCCTTTTGGTGTCTGCATGGTGAGGGTGCCCAGGGCATGATCTCAAGGTTGGTGGTCTCCCCTGTTCCCCGCGTCAACACCTGTCCGCACTTCTTTCTTCCTCCCCTGGACCCAGGGAATTTTATCTGGTCTGGGAATTGGGGAATCTCACTTATGAGCTTACATCCAAATTCTCTCTTATTCCTAGATCAGCTTTTAAACTTCAGAATGTGCTTTCTGTCTCATGATCCCATTGTGACCTCTTTGCTCCCCAAAACTGCAGAGGAAGCTGATTAGCATTGGAGGGCAGCCTTTGATATAGAAGTGATGAAAGTGATTGGAGTACTGGGGAAGGAGGGAGGCTAGTCACATCTTATCCTCCCTCTGGCTTTGTGGTTTTCAGGTCCACTGTCTATTTCTGGATTTTGTGTTATTCCTAGCCTAGCAGAGTACCTAGGTGACCTGAACCATGCTTTCCTTCCCTCCTTCCCTCTTTGCCTCCCTCCCTCCCCACACAATCCTTATTCTCTCAGAAGAAGTGTGTCTCTGCCTCCACTCTGGCCCTGGCTCTAGCTGTTGTCATCTTTTGTGCACTTGCCCTGCTTCTTCAGTACCTCCCGGCACTGGTCAGTTTCCTAATTTATAGTCCCCAGAAGTCTCTAATTATTGGGCCAGCTCATACTTTTCCTGCCTGGCCATGGGGTGACCATCCCCTATAGGTTGACTCCCCCTGGGTCAGGTCTTAACCAGTCAGTGTGACCAAATCACACAGGTTTCCATAGGAGGCCTGGAGGGAGAGGAGTCTCAGCTCCACAACCCCACCTTCCCATCCTCAGCAAAAGTGGAGACTTATGTGGATGTGTTCTTGAAGGAGCATGAGGCTGGGACACCTCCTGGGAGAGCCCAGGTTCCAAGTGGAAAGGGGTCCCTTCCTCCCAGCTGACTGCTCCTCTTTCAGGTCTGGGGGAGGAGAGGAGGAGGAAGCTCTTCTTTCTGGAAGGAGCCTCACCAAATGGATGTCATTTCCTGGGGCCTGAGGTTCTTCCAGTTATTTCTGCTATTTAATTTTAATATCTGAAAGAATTATTTCCCTGGGTGCACTCCCCCAGGCCCAGATTGCTGTTGTTCAGAGCCAAAGAATAAACTAATGATGCAGTAGCCAGTTCTTAGGGGGCAGAAGACCAGGGTCCTGGCAGGAGGTGCAGAAGGCCCCTTCCCCAGCCCCCATCTCCTCCAGTATTTTGTATATTTAAGCTCACTTTCCACCTCACTCCCAGGGGTATTTTTTTTTCATGGTCTTTCAAGGATGTCTTTTCACTTTTTTGGCCCTAAGACTCAACTCTCCATTTGTAGGCCATCAGTGTCTAGCAGACCTTCCCCAGCTGTCCAGTAGTCTAAATCTGTGCTGTCTAACGTGGTAGCCACTGGCCATGGGAGCTATTGAGCACTTGAAATGTGGCTAGTGTGAATGAGGAGCTAACTTTTTTTTAAATTAACATAAATGTAGATAGCCACATGTAGCTAGGAATCACCCTAGAAGGCCTAGCAATGAATTCTAATTCAGTATCTTCCCTTCCTCGTTTATGTCATCAACTTGAAATCAAGAAGCAGAAGTGGCTGGAGAAAAGGTTGTCAGCAAAGAGACACTGCTGCTTTACTCAGTCCTCTCAAGGGCTGGCCTGGCTTTAGCCATCCAAACAAGCAGGATGTATAGAAGGCACTGCCAGGCCACCAGGCTTACCAAAACAAGGGAAGGATGAGATGTTCTGGTAAGGAGGAAGGACACCCAAGTTAAAAGCTAGAAAAACATGTATATGACCAACAAGCTTCCTGCTTTGGAACAAGTCCCAGAACTTCTCCTGACCTCAATATCCACATCAATAAAGTGGGAACGCATGGTAGGTGCTCCGTCAGTGTTAAGGTTTTTGATCTTCACCGTCTCTTCCCCCGCAAACGCCACCAAAGGCAGCTCAGCTGTGCTTGCCAACCCCATCACAAAGTACCTCCTGTCACAGGGCCAGAGCCCAATCCATTCAGACGGAGCTGCCCTCCTTGTGAGCAACAGAACGGGGTGGCGCAGGAGGCCTCTCTGCAACTGGTGTTGCTGCCATGCCCAGGGCTCCAGGAGAGGCTGCTCCTGCAGGGTTTTTTTTTTTTTTAACTGAATAACAATAATCATCTATATTTATGGGGTATAATGTGATGTTGTAATTACATTGTAGAATAAGCAAATCAGGCTAATTAATATATTTATCACCTCACATTCTTACTTATTTGTGATGAAAACATTTAAAATCTCTTTTACCAATTTTGAAATACATATTATTATTAACTATAAAAAAGGAAAGGGAGAAGTGAAATTGTCTACTAATGACGTGGTCTTGTATGTGGAAAACCCAAAAAATCCTGCCAAAAGACCGTTAAAACTGACGAACAAATTCAGTATAAAGTTGCAAGGTACAAAATCAACACACAAAAATCAGTAGCATTTCTATACACTAAAAACAAACTATCTTCAAAAGAAATTAAGAAAACAAACTCATTTACTGTGGCATTAAAAATAAGATAGGAGTGCATTTAAACCAGGGGGGTTTGAAATTTGAGGGGACCTGCATGATCTGGTCAGAAAGGTCCCAGCAACAACTCACTTGCAGGGCAGACGTGTTTAGTTAAGGGATTTTACTCTGGAAGAGAAAAATGATTAGAATAGCTTGTGGAATTTGCTGTTTACTCTTGGAAAAGTGCTGAGCATGTCCTTAATTTGTCAGTGTCAACACAAAGCTAAAACTGGTGTCCAGAGAGGATTAGCACAAAGAGAGTAAATTATGTTTCCATACATCAGTGATTTAAATCACTGCCTCACCCCCTTGATCATGAGACTTAATTCAGAAGGTCCAGGTCTAATCATTCAGCCCCACAGGCCCCATGGCTTGCTGGTGGGTTGATATCCTAGGACCTGAGCTGGATATAAAGCATGACGGCTTAGAGCATGCCCTTGCAGTGAAACCCATCTGAGTCGTAGTCCTGAATTTTCCACTTTAGCTTGTAGCCATGGGAAAGCTGTTTTGCCTTCTTGAGCCTCAGTTTCCTCATCTGTCACAGCACCCACCTCATCAGGCTGCCTTGAAGAACACATGAAAGCAGGTGGATGAAGCTCTTGGCAGAGTGTCTGGCACTGAATAGACGATACCTTACTTGTCCCTCTGCTTAGTTCTTGCTACCTGTGCATGCCCACCCAACTTTAAAGTTCCAGCCCCTGCAACTCTGGGCATTTTCTGGACCCTCACATCCTATTCTACCTGAATACTGGACAGGCAAGAAGTGCCAGGAAATCAGCATCCCCCAGAAGAAGGCCTTAGACAGACAGGGGATTGGTGGTGGATAAATGCCTGTTCCCTCTCGCTTCAGCTGGGCTAACAGAAACACATGTTCTAGCCTGCCCCCGAAAGTACCCCCAAAGGAATAAGCCCTCGCTGTCTGCCCCAGTGCCCCACTTGGTAACACACCTTTATTAGATGCTCTTCCTGCCCTGACTCACTTCCCTGCTCCTCTCCTGGAACCTCCTGGGATCCCAATTAAATGACACGCACTGAAAACCACCTGCTTCTGAGGCACAGCCTCCATAGATGTCACCTACCATTATTATTATGCAAAACCCACAAAGACTTCAGGACGTACAGAATCCTGAGACTCCAGTCCCTCCTCGACATCCACAGCAAAACTCTGGCCGGAGTTGACCTGCAACCAGTTTGGTTAATGTCTTGAGGCTGGGCAAGATAGAAGGATGTTTGGGGAATGAGCTTTGAAGTAGACAGTTTCCAATTTGATTTTATCATGGCGCCAAATGGTGGTAGAGGAGACATAATTTTGTGTTTTAGCTCATCCCTGCCCTTCAGTAGAGAGCTTATGCACATTGCTTAGATACCAAACGTTTACATGTGGAGATTAGATACATGCAGCCTGCTGTATGCTCCTCTTCATCTTACTTGTTTATTACTCAGTCCACCTGTTCCCCACTTCATGTATTTCCTTTTTATTTATTTTATTTTTATAGTAAATAAGCTTTATTTATTTGTTCTTCTGGGCTGACATTGCAGCAGTCACAGATCTGCATAACATAGTTACATGTTGACTATATCTACAATTTACAAGAGTATTTTTTTCCTCTGAAAAGCATAAGAACAAAAGCTAAGTAAATAATGAGGTACTACTATTTGGAATGATCATATGTCATGGCTTAAAGAACTAGTCTTAGCAAATATTCAGCAAATCAATCTGGATAAAATAGCCAACCAAATGCTCTAATTTATCAGGGCACACTCCATGTTGGCGCTCAATGGTTTTGTCTCTTTGCCAATAGTTTTCTGACAATTTTGTACCTGGGAAAACTGCAGAACAAGACCTGCTGCTTATCATGACTTGAGACTTCAGAATAAACACTATCCAGCAGGAGTTTTGTTTTTATGCCATCCTTCCCCTTTCTCTCCCAAGCCAGCCCCCCTTATATAGTAGAGACTCCAGATAGGAGTTTCAAGCTTAAGAAGAATCTGATCTTACAGCAGAGAAGCTTCCCTATCCCAGGAACCTGGATATGCAGAGTGTTCTGCAGCCAGTGTCTTGAGGAGTCACTTCCTCCTGAGGACCCACACCAGAAGAGCTACAGGAGCCAAGACAGCTGTCTCAGGCTGACTCCCCCAGAAGCAGACCCTCAGACAAGGAGGCCAGGGCAGAGACTTTGGATGATGGTCCCAGGAAGTCCACTATGGGGAGTGAGGTAGAGAAGGAAGGCAGCCCTGAGGGTCTGTGGGAGAGCCAGTGACGGCTGGGGAGAAGGAGGCTGGAGCTTCATCCCACTGGGGAACTGGCAGGTCATGGAGAACATCCACAACTGATGACCTCAAGCAGGGCAGGGGAGGAGGGGCATCTATCCACCAGCTCCTATCTATTGTCTGTCGAGGGCTGCTTGGGGGTCCCAAACTCATAGCATTTCCAGTCGGCCCCACCAAAGCCCTCACACAAATGGACGTCATGGGGTTTGCATACTCAGGAGAGTGGCCGAGGACGAGGACGGGCACCAACGGTGCCTGTGACAACACACACCAGATCCCACCCAGCTGGGCCGCTCAAAGAGGGGTAGACTTGCACCTGTGCCCACCCCTAGGCTTCAGCTGAAGCTCCCAGCCTGCAGACTCCCCGTGAGTCTTCTTCCCAGCCCCTCATTCCACAGGCGCGGCTGTGCGGTGAGGATTCACATGCCTCACGAGGGTCCTCTGGGAGTCTCCTGAGGTAGGTGGCTCTGGCAGATTCTCCTGGAGTTTCTCCAGTTCTGAACGAACTCGGAGGTAGGGGAGTGGGAGAGGATGCCCTGCCTCTCATCCAGCTACCCAGCTTTGACACTCCACCTGGAATGGTCACACCCTCCGCGGGTGTGCTGTGTCACCCCACTGCCAGTCTCCCCGATAGCTCTTCTTTCTATTCAGCTCACATGTTTCCCTTCCTACCCACTGAGCCATGAAGAGCAAGCGTTTTGACTGGTCCCAAAGCACCCTTGTTCTCTTCAGTGCATTTCCTCCAGTGCTGGCTCTGATTTTGGACTTGACAAGTCCTATTGGCCCTCCCACCACTTCCCAGGATTAGTGTGGAGGTCACGAGTGCAAGCCCTGGCTATGCCACGTACTGCCTATGTGACCCCTAATATTCTGGGCCTCAGTGTCTCCATTGAGGTAGCACCTACCTCATGAAGATGAAGAAGATAAAGTGTGTAACATGTTTAATCCAGTGCCCCACTCACAATAGGCACAAGGAAATGTTAGCTCTCATATTATTTTCATCTCTTCTATGTTGGATCAGGCTATGGTCACTTCTTGTCCAGAAAGTGGCCATCTAATTGACCTTCCTGGATTCAGTCTATTCTCTTCCGATCAAAATTTAGCTCTACCAACACCAGATCAGCCCTTGAGAGCAACGTCCAGGTCACGCTTTGCTCGGAACTATCCTTCCTCCATCTCCCCCACTATCAGAGGGTCCACATGGCATGGTGGGGAGAGTGGGTTTTCAGAGTTAGACTTCCTGGGTTCAAACCCCAGCCTTGCTGTTTTTTAGGTACATACTACCTAAAGTAAGAGTATAAGTTATTTTCCTTCTGTCTATCTTGATTTTTCTAAAAAATGTGGATAATGATAGTATCTACTTCATAGGGCTGTCTGCGTGAGAATTGATCAATCCATGCCAGATGCTTTGAGCACAGCAGGGCATTTAGTAAGGACTTAGTAATTGTTGGCCATTGTCGTTATTTTTATTTCAGTATCCCCATAATCCATGTGATGACTATGTTTGCAGTCTTGCTTTTCTCTTCTCATAAACCCCATGTATCACGGCCTAGCAAAAATTAATTATTCACCACCCACCAAGAAATCCCAGTTCCTGCCTAGGCCCCAAAACCTTTGGTCTCCCTGAAATCCAACTACAAACTCCAGCTAGAAGTCATTTGCCTCCTGGAAGCTTTCTTTGACTTCCTATAAGGAAGAGTGGGACTTTACACTAGCACAGATCTCCCTCTACTCTAAATTCCCACTTTTCTTTGTTGCTGTCCTGTAACATGTCCTTCCCCTCTTCCCAGAATGATGTTGGAGACCTGGGACCATGCCTCACTCATCTTTATGTCCCCATCATGCCCAGCACGGCACCTTGCATGGAAGAAGTGCTCATTGAATGTGTAGTGTGACGGTGAATGAATGAAGTGTGCTTAAGATCTTGGTGTCTGAGTATAGGGTCTATCCACTAAGCTGGTAAGTGAGTGATTTAGCTGTGGTTTCATAAGGCTCTGGGGGTTTCATCAGTCCTAAGCATAACAAGATGAACTTTGGGGGGCCAGACCTTCCTTAAGAGACATGGACTAAGTTAAATACTCAGGAAACCCCTGCTCATGAGGCAGGAGAGAGCAAGATGAAGTAAGAACACACAAGTCTCTTATGCCAGTGGCATGCCCTGTCTCTCTAAGAGGTCCAGATAGCTTGGGCATTGCAAAGATCCAGGGACAGCAGAGACCCTGCCCTGCAAAGACATGTGCATTTCACAGTTTAAGAGTGACTCAGAGCCCTTTCTGAACATTTGCACAAAGACATAGCATCTAAACAAACGTCATCATTACTGAGGATCACGATGTTCTCCAACTTTTATTAAATTAAATTATTTCCCTGAAGGATTGGCTTCTATCTACTGAGATTTTATTTCAGCAGCCAAATTCAGTGTCCCACACATGAAAGGTACCCAAACATATCACCAACTAAGGGCGGGTGGAGTGAGGTTTGTAAATGTGGCTTTGGTTTTCTAACCCCATTCAGCCTGAGAGGCAACTACTAGAAAGTAAGCAGTCCTGTTTGTCCCAGGCTCCAAGATTCCACCTAGTAAGGGCCCAGGAGTCCAAGCTCTTTAAGACCCCTTTGTTTCCCTGATATTCTAAATCCTTTTTTGTCCTCTTTAAAGGCTCCTGAAAATTTTCCCAAGCTCTTCCCATTTCTGGTGCTTCTTTGTTTTCACAGTTTAAAGAAACTCAAGGGCCCCAAAGATAACTTGTCCTTTCAGTTTGAACAACTTATTTAGGAATTTGGAACCGGATCCCAAAGTGCTGGTTCAGGGGACATTTGTAATAAACTGTCAGCCATCAGCGCTCCCACTCACCATAAGCTAGGGACACAGGTTGGTGCCCATTTTCCCATCTCTTTACCTTCCCATCTCTTTACCTTTGGTGCCCTTAACCCATCCTTATTTCCTAAGATGCTTCACCATTTCTCCCAATAATCCCAGAAGCTATTTGCAAATAGATTTTTTGATGACATGTCCTTTTACTTGGAAATCGCCAAGCACATAGGAAAATCAGGTCTACACGTGGCCCTCACTATTGCGACTTTGGTTTGGATGCTTTTTACTGATTATCATGATGAATCCTGAGAATACTGAAAGATACCCTGCTGCTTGCCCATGAGTGGATTCCAAAGGTGGTCATGAAACCTACCTTCTCAGCTGTGTCATTAGCACTCTGATTGCTGCTGTTTTGTGCACCAAGGTAGAAGCCTGAGGATTTATTTTTTCCCCTTATTGAACTTGTTCCAGCTGTCTTTTCCTCTGTACTGTGGACCACAGGAATTAGGCAGAGGGGGTATTTTTGGCAGTTAGCTTAATGCTTTTTAGCATCAGAAGCTTTCATGGGACCAGCGGTTTGACTGATTGTGGGCCTCTCATTCTCTCCTGGACCCAAGCCCAAATTCATTGGATTTCATGCCTTTGGTTTTTCAGAATTAGTTTGGGGTGAGACCCATTACTCTCCTTTTTAGAGGATCAAACCTGGAGGATAGTTGTATCCCCATGCTTAGATCTCAGTGTACACATTACACACACACAATGTATATTTATGGTACTCCAACTCTTTTGTAAAATACAATAGGCACTAATTTTTAACATATTAGGCACAGCTATTTAAAGTATGATTCTGAATAAATGTACATTTGTATGCATGTGAGAAATACATGTATGTGTGTATATATGTGTGTGTGTATATGTATATACACACACATAAATATGTGTCTCCGTGGCAACCCATACAACACTTTTTGGGTTTACATAGAGTCTGAACGTAGTTTGAAATGGAGCTATGAGGTTTTAGAAGACAAAATTATTTCATTCTCCTTGCAAACCTGTTCGTCTCTTAGCTTTGCCATGTCAATACTTGTCACCACCATGCACTGAGCTGCACAGGCTGGAATCCTAGAAATCAACCTTGATTTCTCTCTGTAGCCCCACCCATCAGCAAGGTCTGGCCACTTTCAACCTGGGTCTCCATCCCATCTCCTCTCCATCTCCACAAGCATGGCCCTTGATCAGGCCGCTGCCCATGGCAAGAGCTCACTGATGGATCTCACCTTCACATCCATATTCCATGTGATGCTTTAGAAACATACATGAGGATCAAGACTGCACGATCTGGCCCTGACTACCTCTCCCAAGTTCATCCCCTCCTCCCCGCACCATCATGGCACTTGGGCCTCAGACCTTCCTCCTGTTTGACAGATAATCCAGGCTCATCCCATCCTAGGTACCTGGCTGGGTACAGCCCCTTTCTTTGATACCACTCTGACCTTACACCCTGCTGCCTGTGCAGTTTGTTATACATGTCCCAGTTCTTGCTTGCGTGTGAACCCTCACCAACAGCCTGCCACCTGAAAATTTGATTCCACTCTTTGCTCTGCTGATAAATGAATCTGACCTTTCTATACCAAAAATGGCAAGAAGTGAATCTTCTTGTCTCCCTTCCTATAGTAAATAGACTATATAGTAGATAGACTGAGTCAGCTCAGAGAGGAATTTGTTCAAACTAGAAAGGGCTCAGTATGACTAAAGAGATGACTGACTATGTCATTCCCTATAAAACCAGCTGGCCTTTATTTTTTATTTTTTTAAAAAGAGTGTTGGAAAGGAAGTAAAAAGCTCCTCTGTGAATGTATTCATATATACTTGATTCAGTGATGGCGTTGGCATGGAGACACAGCATGAAAGGGGAACGGAAGGGGTCTCCTGCACTGTAAGACATGGGCAGAGACTTTTGTTTTCTATTGTGATCCTTCTAATAACATGACATAGATAAACCGTACTCACTGGGCAGCAACAGAATCACCGTGCTACTCTGAGTGTCTTGAAATCAACTGAGTGCCGAGGGCCTCTCTCTCTTTGTCTTTTGGGGTAAGGTGGTGATGGAACTGGTTCAGTGGTTAAAGGAGGGAGAATCTGGGTGGGTGAGGATGTCAGTAGCAACAACTTGTTGATTTCCATGACAGCTCAATGGTGGTGGGTCATTCTGTCCCAGAGCCACCACTGACCAGCTCTACGACCTTCAATATGTCACTTGCCCTTCAGGGTTTTGGCTTCTTCATCTTTAGAATGAGGAAAAGCTTCTTAAGGTCCAGCCTAAAGATTCTCAAGGTCCGAGATCTGTGATTTATATAGTAAAAGAGGAAGGAGCTCCTGGGTGACCTGAAGCATCCATCCCTAGACAGCAGGGACATTGTCAGATTCCCCAGAATGCAACCACTTCTGATGAGCCTGAAGTTCCAGGGAGCACAACAGAAGGCTTGATATTGCCTGATGATAAGTCCCTAGACAGTAGCTGCGAGCTTGAGCACTGGGGTCTAATCAGACACTCCAGGGGGAAAGGCTCCATACCCACCTGTCCAGAGTAAACAGGTATGGCTCCATGCCCTGGGGTTAGACAGAGTCACCTGACCAGTGCAGGCAGAAAAAAGGCCCACAGCTGCTCCATAGAAGGAATAGGACTCTATCATAAATAAGAGCCATTGTCCCCAAAATAATAATATTAAAGGTAAGGGCAAGACGCTAGCCAGTGCCTGCCTTAGGTTGCCTGTGGTTCAGCCTATCCGTGTGCTGTAGTCACACCAATTCTGAACCTGTCCACATGCATCAGGATGGGAGTTGAGCAGAAAGGCCCCCTGATGTTTATTGCTGCTCTGCTGTAAGCCCAGCCACCAGGTTAACAGGCCACTGGTCACCCATTTTATTTTTCAGTCACAAATGGACCCAGAAGTGGGTATTGAGTGCATCAGAAGTTTTTCTAGAAGTTCCAACAAATAAAACAAAGCAAAAAAGCAGTCAGTCAAGTAATTAGGAATTCTTCTGTCCTACTAAGATGCTTACAAGGAAGAGTGGAATAAAAGAAACATGGCATGTGGAAATATGTCAAGTACAAATACAGCATTCAGTTGTTTTGCTCCTGGGCCATTAAGAGGAGGAGAACTGGCATTGACTGGAGCCCACTGTTTGGCAAGAGGTGTCTGGGGCCTTCCCCATACTCTCTAGAGTGTGGATTAACATCCATCCAAGAATGTACAATCCTCCCTATTTTATAAATGAGTAAAGTAAGGCTTGGAGGAAGAATTAGTCCAAGGAAACAAACTGTTTGTATTGTGGTTAGCCAGTGTATGTGTAAATACCTCAGGTTCAATCAAACAAAGAAGTATTACGAAGAGCTTTGGAAACCAGTGATGCAGAATGGAGACAGGGAGGGATAAATAATACATGGCCACTGCCTCTGAGGAGCCTGGTGTCTCCCAAGGTATGAACTGGGAAACGTTAGACCACAGCGAAAAGTGAAAGCAGCTTTCCAAGCCCCCGCGTGGAGATCAGAGTGTCCCAACACGTGGCTGTTCTGATGTCCATTTTGCAGATGGATAATTAAGGCTCAGAGAGGTTAAATGAGTTGCCCCCCCATGACAGAAGTATTATCTCCTCCATGTTAGAGGTGAGGAAACTGAGGCACAGAGAAATTAAGCAACTTGCCCAAGGCATGCAGCTCACGAATGGTGGAACTGGGGGTTGACTCCAGGCTATGGGGCTCCAGTGTTCCAGTGGTGGGGAGGGCAGCCCTCTTCCCATGGCAATGGCTTAGAAGGAAGTCCAGCCTTGAGCAGTGGACATGTTGTTTGATCAGTTTTCTCAGCTTTTGATCTAGACGACGGATCTAAGAACAACGTTCCTTGATTCCTGTATGCAGCCAGGGGACCATGGATAGAGACAAGGACTATGGCTCTGCCCTCAGGGCCCAATCAGCCAGCCTCAAGTCAAGCACAAAGCAGGGCTGGATACTTGCGGAAGGCCCCGCAGCCCTCCATGTCCAGACCCCTGAGTGCTTGGGTCTGCCCTCACTGCTCCCTCATCCACAAGGGGCATTGCATCCCCAGGACTGTCTCAGCCTCTGGTGCCCAAGTCCACTGTGGTTCATGGAGTCACCACCACAGTGGGGCCCCATCTTGGAAATGAGCCCGGCTGTCTCTCCTGGAGGAGAATTCCTGGGGTAGCTATGGCAGAGCCTCCCATCAAGCCATTCACCTGAGTTCATCTTCTGGAAAAGGGCAGACAACAGAGGATCAAAACCAAGCATCCGTTTTGCTACCTTTGGCAAGCACTCCTGAGTGTCTGCAGAATGGGGAGCTCAGTGGTAGGTGACACGTTCAGAGCTGAAAGACTCTGCCCATGGAGCACTTGCACCAGACACTGTGCTCGGTGTTCCACACACCGTCTTATTCCACCCTGGCAACCCTCAGAGCTAGGTACCATAGAGACCTGAAAGTCACAGAAGTAGGGTAACTTGCCACAGCTGAAAGATAGGATATTAATTGGTATAAAGAGGTCAGCACAGGCTATTGAGAGAGCACATTGGCAGCCCCCTGATTGGGATGTCATTCAAGATATTTAATAACTGGAGGCAACAGAGACGCTGATCAAGCAGACAGATATCAGCTGTCAACATCCAGTTCAGCCAAACCAACACATATTAGCTGAATTTCAGAACTGCCTGATTCTTCTTGGGCACAGCATGAGCTACCTTTCTGGATATCTACTGCTGCATTACAAAACACCCAGTATTTAATGGATTAAAACAATTTGTTATCAGTCCTGGGTCTATCGGTTGACTGCACTCAGCTGGGTGGCTCCTGCTTCAGGTCTCTCATGCACTTGCAGTCAGACAACAGCTGGAGCTAAAGTCATGTGAATGCTCTATGGGGCTGAACATCCATGATGGCCCCATTCACACAGCTAGTGTCTCTATGCTTCTCCAGGTGGCTTCTCTCTCTAACAGAGGAGGCTGAATGGTTTACGCAGAAGCTTGAATCTCCAAGAGGCAGAAAGCAGGGGCTGCTGGGTATTTCGTGGCTACCCCTGAAACTGGCCCACCATCACTCCCGCATGCCCAGATGTAAGAGGAGTTGCAAGGTCACACTGCAGAAGAGCAGGTGGGATGCAGTGATAATTCCATGGCCGTCTTTGAAAACCATCTGCCACAGCAACCTTAGAAGAAGAGGCAATACCTATGTGGAGCCAGGTGAAGGGGTCAAGGAAGGGTATCCCAGGCAGCGAGACACTATGCAGAGGCAGAGGGGAGAGAGAACACCAAGCACCTGTGCTTATAAATATAGGGCACTCACTGTGGCTGGCATGGTTGGGTCAAGATGGGAGATGGCAAGAGCTTGGGCAGGAGAGAGACTTAGATCTTTGAGGGTCTCCAGTGCCTAAGGAGTTTAGATTTTATCCCAGCAGCATTGAAAGCCATTAAGGGGATTTGATCAAGCAAGGAGTTGACCCAACCATATCTATATCTTGGAAAGATTTTGCTGGCTGTAAGATGGAGTAGATGAAGACAGGTAGACCAGCTGCCTTCCCCCAGCTGTCCCACATCTCAAAAGAAGAGCTACCGGGATAAAGCCTTGTTGTAGCTTTGGCCTTAGCCCTGTCCTGGTTCTTCATTCTCATCTGAGCAACAAGGCTGCATAAAAGAACAGAAGCCCTGGGGCAGTGGTGTTTGCAGGGTTCAGTTGACTCTATCTGTTATGCTCATTTGTCTGAGATTCCGGAAGCCTTTGAATAGCACTTGTGATAATTACAGAATCCCCACATATATTGATGAAAAACAGCTACATAAATAGCAAAGCTTGGTATTTGTGAAGTGCCAGTTTTCTGTAAATATAGAATGTTGGCAGTTACTGCCGTGTGGTTTGTCTACTCTCTGGAGCCAGCACTGGTTTTATTACAGCCCTTTCCAGGGAGGGTTTTATATCCTGCCTACCTGTGGCCAGTCCACTGGCCTCACAGGTACAACTGCAAAAAGCAACAGGCAATCTGAGACCAAGAGAGGCAATCCTCAATCTCTTTTAAGTGTGGAGAGTCCTGTTTGACATCCAAAAAGGCTTTTCTGTTGTTGTTTTTTTGTTTTGTTTTGTTTTGTGACGGAGTCTCGCTCTGTCACCCAGGCTGGAGTGCAGTGGCACGATCTTGGCTCACTGCAACCTCTATCTCCCAGATTCACGTGATCTTCCTGCCTCAGCCTCCTGAGTAGCTGGGATTACAGGCATGTATCACCACGCCTGGCTAATTTGTTCGTATTTTTAGTAGAGACAAGGTTTCCCCATGTTGGTCAGGCTGGTCTCAAGCTCCTGACCTCGTGATCCACCTGCCTCCCAAAGTACTGGAATTACAGGCCTGAGCCACCATGCCTGGCCCCAAAAAGTATTTTTAGCTATTCCTACATCTATGTGTAGAGACCCCTGACTGCTTTAGTAAGTTGAGGCTCCTTAGCAAGTGTATAAGGTACAGATTGGAAACCAAGGCTTATTTGTAGATCTAGACCAGCATTTTCCAAACTGTTTTCTCAGGACACTAGTGAAAGAATGATAGGTATTGTATAGGTATTGTATAGAAAATGAGGATCTCTTAATCAAGTGTTTAAGAAATGCTAACTTACTATGTATTTTCTAAATGCAGGGTTTCTCACAAACTTTAAATATGCTAATTTGGGCCATGATTCTGCACAAAGGAAGTGTAATAGCTGGGTTTTCAAAATTGACCACAGAACTCTTTTTAACAGAGTATTTTACAGGAGTTTGGAAAGAATTCTACTTTGAGTAATGATGACTAACCATCCTCAAGGCTCATTAATTGATCTCAGCTCAGCTCTCAAAGGAGTGATATTGTATCAGTTAGCTTTTGCTGTGTAACAAATGATGCTACATTTTGGTAGCTTAAACCAATGGCTATTTTTTTAACTCATGATTCCCTTGGTCAGTAATTTGGGCTGGACTCAACTGCGTGGTTCTTCTTGTCTTGGCTGCCTTTCTCATGTTTCTGTAGTCAGCTGTCAGCAGTTAGACCAGCTTGGTTTTGGACAGTTAGTTGGCTGTCAGCTTGGGCAATGAGAGTAACTGAGTCACATGCTCTGTCATCCTTCACCAGGCTAGCCAAGTTTATTCACATGGCAGACAAACAGGGTTCCCAGAGATCAATTAGAAGCTGCAGGTCATACTGAGGCCTAGGCTTAAAACTGACACAACTTCCCCTCCAGTACATTCTATTGGTCAAAGCAATTCAAAAGGCCAGCTGCTGTGATTTTCAAGCCAAAGAGAAATTAGCTTGAGAAATAGGGGCTTCCACATTTTTTATAAGAGAGTCTTAGGGGAGGTGATTTGCTTGAGAGAGAAGAACTGGGGTTATTTTTGAAGTTGTGTCTGCATAACAAACAAAAAGAATCTTGGACCTAGATTGCATATTTATTTAGGGTACTGGGAGGGTGTCTTAGTCCATTTTGTGATGCTATAACATAACATCACAGACTAGGAAATTTATAAACAATAGAAATTTGTTAATCATGGTTCTGGAGTCTGGGAAGTCCAAGATCAAGAGGCTGGCATCTGGCAGGGTCCTTCTTGCTGTGTCATCCCATGGCAGAAGGGCAAAGAGAGGAAAAGGGAGAGAGAAGATAGGGAGGCTGAACTTGTTTATTTGTTTTAAGGAGCCCACCCTCACAATAATGGCATTAATCCCCTCTTAAAGGTCCCACCTCTTAATTTGCCACATTGAGGATCAAGTTTCCAACGCATGAACTTTGGGGGAAGCACTCAAATCACCTCAGGGAGAGATGCCGCTGATGGAGATTATGTGGGGCTAAAACCACCCCTCAATCCACTCCTCAGTACTCTCATTGGAAGTGAGTCTAAATTTCTCTCTCTCAATAAATAATATACCAAAAGCCCACCAACTGAAGATGACTAGGAACATATTTGTAGTCATACACAGTACAATGTTTGATTTTTTTAGCAAGTGCAAGCAAGGTTAGACCTGCCCAGAGGAACTTTGGGAGTGTTTCTGTAAGGGGAAGATTGGCTTTGGGATGCATGACTCTGAGGACAGATGATGGAGTGGGGCAGGTCTGGGTTGGATGCTGCTAAAAAGTGGGGGTAGGCCATACTGCCCAAGGTAATTTATAGATTCAATGCCATCCCCATCAAGCTACCAATGACTTTCTTCACAGAATTGGGAAAAACTACTTTAAAGTTCATATGGAACCAAAAAAGAGTCCGCATTGCCAAGTCAATCCTAAGCCAAAAGAACAAAGCTGGAGGCATCACGCTACCTGACTTCAAACTATACTACAAGGCTGCAGTAACCAAAACAGCATGGGACTGGTACCAAAACAGAGATATAGACCAATGGAACAGAACAGAGCCCTCAGAAATAATGCCGCATATCTACAACTATCTGATCTTTGACAAACCTGACAAAAACAGGCAATGGGGAAAGGATTCCCTATTTAATAAATGGTGCTGGGAAAACTGGCTAGCCATATGTAGAAAGCTGAAACTGGATCCCTTCCTTACACCTTATACAAAAATTAATTCAAGATGGATTAAAGACTTACATGTTACACCTAAAACCATAAAAACCCTAGAAGAAAACCTAGGCAATACCATTCAGGACACAGGCATGGGCAATGACTTCATGTATAAAACACCAAAAGCAATGGCAACAAAAGCCAAAATTGACAAATGGGATCTAATTAAACTAAAGAGCTTCTGCACAGCAAAAGAAACTGCCATCAGAGTGAACAGGCAACCTACAGAATGGGAGAAAATTTTTGCAACCTACTCACCTGACAAAGGGCTAATATCCAGAATCTACAATGAACTCAAACAAATTTACAAGAAAAAAACAAACAACCCCATCAAAAAGTGGGCGAAGGATATGAACAGACACTTCTCAAAAGAAGATATTTATGCAGCCAAAAAACACATGAAAAAATGCTCATCATCACCGGCCATCAGAGAAATGCAAATCAAAACCACAGCGAGATACCATCTCACTCCAATTAGAATGGCGATCATTCAAAAGTCAGGAAACAACAGGTGCTGGAGAGGATGTGGAGAAACAGGAACACTTTTACACTGTTGGTGGGACTGGAAACTAGTTCAACCATTGTGGAAGTCAGTGTGGCGATTCCTCAGGGATCTAGAACTAGAAATACCATTTGACCCAGCCATCCCATTACTGGGCATATACCCAAAGGATTATAAATCATGCTGCTATAAAGACACATGCACACGTATGTTTATTGCAGCACTATTCACAATAGCAAAGACTTGGAACCAACCCAAATGTCCAACAATGATTGACTGGATTAAGAAAATGTGGCACATATACACCATGGAATACTATGCAGCCATAAAAAAATGATGAGTTCATGTCCTTTGTAGGGACATGGATGAAGCTGGAAACCATCATTCTGAGCAAACTATTGCAAGGACAAAAAACCAAACACTGCATGTTCTCACTCATAGGTGGGAATTGAACAATGAGAACACATGGACACAGGAAGGGGAACATCACACACCGGGGACCGTTGTGGGGTGGGGGGAGGGGGAGGGATAGCATTAGGAGATATACCTAATGCTAAATGACGAGTTAATGGGTGCAGCACACCAACATGGCACATGTATACATATGTAACAAACCTGCGCATTGTGCACATGTACCCTAAAACTTAAAGTATAATAATAATAAAATTTAAAAAAAAATGGGGGTAGTTTGGTAATTGGATATCTCCATAGTATCTGTCCAAGATACAGTACATGTTAAGCCACGGTGTGGTTTCCATTGGTAAGAAGGTGGCAACGGTCACTCAAAAGCAAGATGTTGGCCATTTTAGGGTTGAGGTTCAGCCTTGTCTATGTCCTGCTAGACATGTTTCTCAGGATCCACTGGCTTGTGTAGAAACATCAAAATTCTCTTGGAAATAGTGTGATTTGATCGTCAGTGGGTAGATTATTGTTTCATCACAGACCAGGATGGAAGCTGGTCAGCAAGAGACTTAACTATAGATAGAGATAGAGACATCCAATAAAGGATGTGTATCCAGAGTATATATTTTTAAAAACTGTTAAAAATCAATAAGAAAATAACAGACAACTTTGCTTTTTAATGAAAAAAGCAAAAAGACTTGAACTTCATAGATGAGAATGTTCAAATGGCCAATAAACATGAAAAGTTGTTTGACTTCCTTATTCATTAGGGAAATTCAAATTAAAATCACAATGTAGTACCACTATACACCCACCAACATGGCTAAAGAAAGACGAGCAAAACCAAGTGTTGACAAGTATCTAAATAAAGCAACTGGAATTCTCATCTGCTTCTGGAGGAACATAAATTGATGCACTCACTCTGTAAAACTGCTTGGCACTAAGTAGTAGAGCTGAACATATGCATGCTCCCTGATCCAACACCACTACTCCCCGAATCAACAGAAATTCATATATACATGCAATGAAGGTACTAGAATATCCACGGCAGCACTGTTCATGCCAAGCACTGGAAACTACCAAGCTGTCTCTCAATAACAGAAAGGATAAACTGTGCTGTGTTCAAACAACAGAATGCTATGCAACAATGGTGATAATCTACCATGATCCACAACTGCATACAACAACACGGTTGAATCCATGAACACAATATTGAACCAGACACAAAAAAAGTATGGGCTGTATGATCCCACTTATATTAAGGTACAAAAGCAGGCAAAACTAGTCAGTGGTGATAGAAGTCAGGATGATGGTTAGAGACTGTGGGGATGTGCAAGAGCTTCTGGGGTGATAGTTACATTCTGTTGTTTCTTGGGCTGATTACAGATTACATAGTTATATTCACTGTGTAAAAATTCATTCAAGGTATTCACTTCTAATACGTCCATTCCAATTAGAAGGAAACATAACATCAGAATCCTTGTGTTGCTGGTGACATGGCAGCTCTGGCCACACTGGAGCACAGTCTTCCTCCTGCCCTCCCCACCTCTGGGCAGCAGCTGAAGGTGAAATCCTATGCTGGATTTCAGCTGGGGGCAGGGTTCCTTCACACCTTCCAAGTTGGCAGAGACACAGCTTTGAGCCTCGTGGCCTTGTGTGGGGTCGTGAGCTTAGTCTCTGGAGCCAGCCTGCCTGCAATTCTGCTGACTAATAAACATCTGCCCTCATAACACTGAGACACAGTAAGCACTATATTTATTTTTGCCGTTATTTTCTGCTCCATTTTACAGATTTAAAAAACTAAGATTCAGAGTGGACAGATGATTTTAGAGGAAGAAGGGGGAGACACCTTTCCTCCCCATCATAAGGGTCTCAACTGACACTCCTATAACAAATGTCAGGTTAACAAGAGAAAAGCATAACAAATGTATTTAATCAAGTTTCATGTGACACAGGGACCTTCAGAAATGAAGACCCAAAGACCCAGGGAAAATTATCTGTTTTGACACTTACGTTTGATGAAAAATGGGCAGCCATATAAAAATGTGATTGGACAAAAAGGGTGTAATCTAATGGCAAGAGATTAAGGGGGAAACCTAGCATGCCTGTGTGTTCAGCTTCTTCTTAGCCTCTCTGACTTGGATTTTTTCCACCTAAATAGGAGGCAGAACTCTTCTGGAATGAGAGTCTTCAAGGGAGATGGAGAGGGAGAAAGTGACCTTTCGGAATTGTATGGCTTGCTTTTGGGAGAGACCTGTTTTGGGCAATAGGAATTCTGGTTTCTGTGGTTCACTTGGCGGGAGAAGAGGGATGGGAGACAGGAGGGCAGAAAGTCAGAGAGAACTTGCTTCTGAGCCCCTTCCAGTGTCCTTCGGTTCAAAGTACTCAGCATACCAAGGTGCCACACTTCGGGATATGATGTTCTGAGTCCCAGCATGACCCATCCCAAGCCATGCAGTAAAACACGTTCAGTGCAGAGCTGCAACTGGGACCAGCATCTCCTTGACTCCAGAACTTGTGTTCTGAAGCATTCAGCCCTTTCATCAGGAAGGGGAGAACAAGGAACGCAGGGAGTGGTGCTCCTCGAGAGAGACCTGCTCTCTCTGCCATCGCTGGAACAGCCAGAAGCCCCTGAAGCCCTCCACACAAGGGCTCTGCCTGAACACCCATTTTTTAAATGCAAACTAATTCTTCAGTCTGCCTTGGAAACGCAAAAGCTGTTCTTTTACACAAAGATGAAACCAGCAGGCTCGCAGAGGCCAGTAACACCCACTCCCCTGCATCATAAGTTCCAAACAGTGTGTGAGGGACAGAGCCAGCGCCACGGTGAGGAGTAAACATCACACACGCCACACGTGGGTGGTTAGTACTGCATGAAGCCCAGGGGAGGCCCATTTCCTGGCATTCTGCTTCTATGTTTTAGTCAGTGCTGC
This sequence comes from Homo sapiens, assembly GCF_000001405.40. Classification (NCBI taxonomy): domain Eukaryota; kingdom Metazoa; phylum Chordata; class Mammalia; order Primates; family Hominidae; genus Homo; species Homo sapiens. The sequence continues at coordinate 19,540,707 of NC_000020.11, forward strand.
ATTCATGGGTAAGTTTGCATTTGATTTGCTTTATTTCCAAAATTATTTCCAGCAATGGAAAGGGAAGTCGAGAGGAAAAAACCAAAACATTTCCCATCTTCCGTCCCTTTATATAGGGCAGCCTTAGCCCACTCATTACATCACCAAAGATCTATTGCAAATGTCAGTGAAAAGAAAATCTGTTTTGATAACAATGTCACTTTAGATGTATTTGAAATGTCTAAATGTTGGTGCAATTTTGATACTAATAATCCTCCCCGTGTCCCAACCCTACTTTTTGTGGATAACCCCGCACAACAATCCTTGGTGGGAATGTCAGATGACGACTTGAAAGGCAACTGCTTTAAGAAAACCCCATACACACAGCTCATGTGTTCTTCTGATTTAAAAGCAGCTTTTTACTTTAGTCTACATTTGTAGTGGACATATTTAGCTTAAACCTTACAGCAAGATGTACCTTTCAGGATAAAACCCATGTGGAAACCTTTCAGGCAGAAAAGAATGGCTTGTATGGAAGTCTTAATAGTAATGGTAATAACAAGGATAATGGCAGCGGCTGCAGCGGGGAGACGTCTCTGGAAGATGTTGGAGCTATCCTAACACTCCTCCATCCCCATTCACTGTTATCTGCCTGTCCCGGAAGCCTGGCTTCCTTCTCTTCTCTTTTTTCCCACTTTTAGGAAAGCCCATGTCCAGGAGCAGCCTCCCTTTTGTTGCCTCCTGCAAGCCCTCTGTATTAGCACGTGTGTGTCTATTTACACGCACCATTAAGTGCTGTCCCTCAGTTAGAACAGGTGCTGAAGGAAGGGGATTGGTGTAGTCTAAGGATGTGGGGCACCCCCGCGCCCTCCGCCCCCATCCACTTGGAATCCCAAATCCCTAGCATCTCAGGATTGGGAAGGGTCTCAGGATTCATAGTCTCACTCCTATCAAAGCCATTGCTAGAGAACTTAGTTGCCATTTCCGGAATGCTCCTATTAAACTATAAAAATCCCACCTGAGATTGTAAAAACTTTTGCACTATTTTGAAAAAAGTCAGGGAAATGTGCTTCCCAGTTGGCATTTTAGTTGGCCACCCTTTCGGGGTTGGGCGGTGTGTGCGGCTATGGGTCCATCTCTCCTCTCACACATTCTCGAGGTTTGCACATCCTTACCTGTAATTAATTAGTCAGCACACACTGTGGTGCTCCTACTGTGTGCACTACCAGCCAGCCTGTGAGTAAGGGGAGCAAGGAACAGGGAGAGGAAAAAGCCTCAGCTCCTGCCCTTCCAGGTTTTCCAAACCAACGCAATACCAAATGAGAATCCAAGATATCTCACTCCACAGAGTATTATCAAATCAAATGAAGGGGGGACCTGCAGCCAGGCTGGAAGGTGGCATTGAAAGGGGAGAGATAGCAGGTGGAGCAGTGTTCAGAGGCAATGCCCAGAGGAGGAAACACACTTAAGTTGATGTGAAATGTTGAGGTCAAGGTGAAAATTGCAGTTCAATTTATGCAGTCCAATCTTCACCTAGAGAATGTGAAGTTGGGAGCTTGTGCATGCATATGTTTACTAGGTATTGAAATTGTATAGATGAGTAATTAATGTGTTTGAGATTGAAATAAGCTGCTGGTCGTCATTTTGAAATCTGTCTCTGGACTTCCTCTTCATTAGAATGCAAACCTCAGGGCAGGGCTGCTGCATCAGGGTGGTAAATTGACTGGAAACCACGCCTAGGACTTCCAGGTGAAATCACCTGTGTTTTGTTTTTGAAGTTGCCAAGGTTTATTTTCTTCCTGCTGTGTTGTTGTTGTTGCTTATGACTGCAAGATGAACATTAGAGTATCAGTAGAATCTGCGTCTGGGGGCTGATAGTCACCCCAGAATGAGAGCTGCCTCCCAAAATGAAAGAGAAATGTTTCAGCATATAGATGCCAGCTGACACGTCTTTGCTACTGTAATTCCATAAGTGTTCAGCCCAGATTGAGGCTGTGCCTAAGGAAAAATGAAAGGAATGTACCCAAGAGATTGAGTATTGGTGGGGGGCTATGGAGAGGAAGGGATCGGAGAGCCCCTCTGAGATCATAAACCCATGAGAGAGAAGGAGGAGCCTCTTTCAGAAGACAACCATACACCAGACTTGTTTGGACATTTATCCAGAATCTCCAGGATGGTCTATGGAGTTCAGGCTGACCTAATTCTCCTTAACAGAGTGACCTAGGGAGGGTTACTACTGTCCCACAGATTCAGTTTTAGCATCTGTACAATGGGGATAATGACACCAACCATGCAGCCTTAAAGAAAGGGTTACATTAAGGTATGTGTTTAAAGCACTTAGGAGGAGGCCTGAGACACAGTAAGTGCTCAGTACACATGGGATTTTTATTATAATGATCATGGCCTTGTCTATTCCTCAAATGAGCCAGGGAGGTTCATCTCACTGTCCCCATTATACAGGAGAGTAAAAAAGAGCTTTATAAAGATCAAAAATTCCATTAGATGAAATCGCTTCTTCAAGGTTATACATTCAGTGAGTGACAGTACCAGGAAGTAGCCACATGCATGTCTAATCCTCACGTGGGTGTTACTACCCCTGGAGATGAGCCTATGGCAAGGAAAGAAAAAACCGGATACCAGTGGTTTTTTGCAGAGAAAGTGAGCTTTGTTTTGAAACGGCGTGTCACAGACAATGTTGGCAAAGCCAAGGATGCTAGGCCATAAATTTGAGCCTCTGGAGGGCCCGAACTATGTAGCATTTATTCAGTGAGTACTTACTGATATCCTATAATGTGCCAAGGTGGTGCTAGTGTTGATGATGCAAAAGTGAGTGAAACACTGAAGCAGAGTGCAGCTGCCAGGCCGGGGAGGGAGGCCAACCTGCGGTGCTGCATGAGAGGTCTCCCCACAGCAGCAGAGGGAGGGAGAGGTCCACTCCCACCGGGTGGGAGGGAAGTCTTCACATAGGCCACAGAGGAAGTCTGGCATCTTGGGCTCTAGGATGAAAACAGTCACCATGCTTTGTGCGTAGCCAACCCCCAGTATATACTGGTTGAATTGCTAAATAAACTAGGTTTCTTAAAGGTGGTGGTACCCTTATTTGCAAAAAGGATAGCAAAACTCTGAACACAAGAATCCAGTCCTGCCTCGGGTACAATTTATGGCTGTAAAGAATGAGGTTTATCTTAACAGACATTCCATAATGTACACCCTGAAATGAGTGCTGCCTCCTTTGGAACAGAATCCTGAGTGACTCCACATTTATTCCTGTGATTTTGCCTTTATCCCAAACAGTTTTGGAACTCTTCTTTGTCAGGTGAAGAGTTTTGATGTTTACAGGTCCCACCAGAAAGTCAAACTCAATTTGTTACTGCAGTCATACTTCATTTCTAACCAAAAATATCATTTCCCAGCCTGACTGTCCACTTGATTCATGTATTTTACCTCCGAAGGGTTTTTAGACCATTTTCCAAATTCAAAACACCCTCTAAGGACCTAGTTTGCCACATTTGAAGTTGTTAGAAAGGATAAGCCACAGGCTCTAAAAGCAATTCCAAAGAACAGGAGCAACACTACAGAAATCCTTCCTCAAGGACCCCTGAGAGGTGCCCAGTGTGCACGTGGCCCTGTAGAAGCCCTTGAAAAGTGAGAAATAGACCAGCATGAAAGATACACCCTTTTCATTCTCTGCCTTAGTTCTGAGACATTCCAGCTATCCAGATGTTACACAGCAAGAGAATCAACAGAGAGCTCGAAAGAAAAAACAAAATAAGCATAAAAGTAACGTGAAATTCTAGCGCTTGTGTACAGATGTGGGAGGGGAAGCCTGACTGAGTGGTACCATTTTTGCACCAGACTAAAATTCACAGGGTTAAAGATTGTAGGAGGGAAGATTGCTCATCATAACACCCACTCTTCCTCTGGGGCATTTTTTTTTAGCAAAGCACAATAAGAAAATTAAAAATCTGTTATGCATCTGATAACCACCAGTGCAAAATTCCGATAAAAACTGGATTTATACACTCAAGCCTGAGATTCAAGTGATTCCTCTTTCTCTCTCCACATTGGATCCAAGATGGCAGTTGGCAAAATGGACCTGACAACCCAGATGGGACAGAAAGAAAGGGAGCGGACAGGAACCCAAGGCAGTTTGAATGAAGCAACTCCAAGCAATAGTAAAGCATGGCCACCATGAACTTGAACTCTGACCTCAGATTAGCTTTCTTATCGGAGCCAATAAGGGAAACGAGCAGGGAAATAGAAGCGTGGAAAGGAAATGCGGCCTCCTCCTAGCACCAGATCCAAGGATTAAGGAAGAATAAGGCTATATGGGCATATTCATAATTTTTTTAAAGATTTAGTAGAAGATAGATCACACGGGGTTTAAAAACAATGCAGCTCTATTGTTTTGCTTCCAGTGTTTACTAGGCTCCAAGTGGTGAGAAGGAGAAGTGGGACATAAACATGGGAAATGCATGAAGCGGCTCTTAACTCAATATACTCACAGTGTGGGTGAGAAGGCAGCACATAAGTACATGCAATTATCCAGCTCTGCAGGAGCAGATATGAGTTCGTGAGCAGTCCAGACAGCAAGTGTGGACAAACGCAGGTCGGGAGGAGAGGAATTCCCTATTTCCATATGGATCTCCCAATGCTCAGCTTCTGCAAGACTCCTCTTCAGAGGTGCTCCCCCTGGAGTCAGCTGGCCTGGCATCCGCACTTGGACAGAGCTGCTCCGTGTATGCAGATTGGGTTTAATGAAGACCAGATTAAATGGCTGCTTTTTTTCGGACTCTTGCTCCCATGTGGAGTTGAAAGGAATCAGACAACTAAGTCAGCCACACCCTCTGGCCCTGGGAAGAGAGTGATGTTAGCAGGTCCCTCTGAGATAGGCATGGGGACATGGGTCTGGGCCTTGCTGCGTTGCCACCCCTCATCCCCATCTTCTGGTCTAATCACAAGACCACCTGCCCCCCACTGGAGCATATCCTGCAGTATTTTCCCAGGACTGGGACAAAATGCAATGACTGGTTTGGAGGCATGTACCTTTTCAGGTTCCCAGAGGAGTCAAAGAACAGTGTAAGTTTTGTTTTTGCTTTTCCTGATGTAAATGGATTGATTCGAATAGTGCTTTCATTTCTTTGGACGTAAACACCATTCCTTATAATAACCCATAAAACAGGTCATCGACCGGCCAGGCATGGTGGCTCACACTTGTAATCCCAGCACTTTGGGAGGCCGAGGCGGGTGGATCACGAGGTCAGGAGATCGAGACCATCTTGACTAACACGTTGAAACCCCATTTCTACTAAAAATACAAAAAATTAGCCGGGCATGGTGGCGGGCACCTGTAGTCCCAGCTACTCGGGAGGCAGAAGTAGGAAAATGGCGTGAACCCGGGAGGCAGAGCTTGCAGTGAGCCGAGATTGTGCCACTGCACTTCAGCCTGGGCGACAGAGCGAGACTCCGTCTCAAAAAAAAAAAAAAAAAAAAAAAAAAAAAACCAGGTAATCGACCTGAGCCTTCTTAGTGCTCCCTTCTCCAGGACGCAGGATGTGGCTGAAAGGAGTATCTTGATGCTATAATGAGTCTTCATCCTCTCTCCCTACACCCCTGAGCCTGTGTGGGAACCCAGACCTAGAAGATGAGACAAGGCTTTGCAGTGACTGCCAGAAACTAGGCCACATTCCTGTGACACCGAAATCCTTTCCTTCCTTCTCCCATCTTTTAAAGTAATAGATTACAAACCAAATCTCATCAATGCCTAAAACAGAGCTGCTTGACAGAAGTGGGCTGGAAGGACCGGAGCCCTGCTCCCTGAACCCCATCACCCTCATGTCTGTCCCACTCTTCACCTCCTCCCTGCAAGGCAGCTGCATAGAATGTTGACAACTGGACAGCATAGCTTGAAAATGCTGCCTCCTTTTTTTGAGGGGAAAGGGGGTGGGGGGCAGACTCGCAATTTTTAAGGTCCTTTCCAATTTGGAGTTTCTCTGATTCCCTGGGGCATAGTCACATAATACCCTCAAGCCATCTGCTCATGGGAGTAAATCCAGAACTTGCCTTCCCAACCTGGTTTCTGCCTAGACCACTGCAGTCACCCTGCCTCCAGGAGGGGCAGCTCTGGTGCATTCACACTCCAGAGTCCACCCTGGGGTCAGGCTGAGGAAGCATCCCCCACGCCTTCCCTTTCCACCCAGCCACTGCATGCCCACAGGGTGCTCCAACAACTCTGACCTGCTTCCATTTCTTCAGACAACTAATCTCTTTGGAAAATTAACTACTGCTCCTCCCTGAGGTCTCAGCTGAGAGGTCCCGCTCTCTGAAGGTGTTTATGACCACCCAGGTCAGATTCTGTGTCCTGCCTGCATGAGCTAGTCTCCCTCTGCACTATTCCTGTGGTAGCTATTATCACAACATGTAATTATACATTGTGGCATTATTTGATTAGCATCTTTCTTCCTCTTAGTCTTAATCTACATGAGGATAGGGACCATGTCAATTTCATTCATCATTCCAACCATAGGGCCTAATTTAGTGTGTAACACACCATGAATGTCCTATAAGCATTCAGCTAAGTGAAAGAGGCTAGGTCTAAAGTTCTAGATGCTGTATGATTTTAGTGATATGAAATTTCTAGAAAAGGCAAACTAATGAGGCAAAATGCTAATCATTGGTGACCTGAAGATGAGGATAGGAGTAAGGACTGGCTGCAAATGGACATGGGGAAATATTCTGGGGTGATGGAAGTGTTCTAAAACTGGGCTGTGGTGATAGTTGCATGATTTCATAAATTTCCTCAAAATGACAAGTGTACACCTACAATGGGTGGATTTTGTGATATGTAAATTATACCTCAATAAAGCTGTTCAGAAAATGAAATGAAATGAAGCCGGATCTCACAGGTGACTGCGTTCACTCGGCTGCTGTCATATTTCCCTCTCTCCTTTGTCCAGCAAAGAGATGTGCACTATCAGCAGAAGCTGAGTGAATGGCCAGGCCAAAAAAAACTGCCTCTCCCACCCTCCCCTTGCCCTGAGCCCAGCTCAGATGCAGATGCTGAAACTGCAGTTCCTTTGATGGTATGCCAGAGCCAGGGCAAGAGAAAAATTCATGATGTCTAATAACCCTCATCTCTGGTTGCAGCTCTGTCCTCTCTCTAATTAAAGAGATCTCCTTTGGGCGCAGCCCAGAAGTCAGGACATCTTTGCAGCTATCACTGCAGAGTTTAGCAAAATAACCAAGTATTGGGAACTGTGGTACAGTCCAGGATTTTTTCCCCCAGATCAAAAATGCCCAGACAAGTTTTGTTATTTTTAGAGTTCTTCTTCTGACTACATTATTTTCTCCTCTGAATTAACATGGTCTTCTCAGTCATCATGCAGAATAGTTCAGTCCCAGTACATGAAGAATGTGGGCCTGGTATCAAAAGGGGCTGATTTACAAGCAAGGCTGATGTTCCGCGCTTCTCGGCTCTTACTGGGCCAGCATCTGTCCTGAGTTGCTGGTGCTCATGCCTTACCTGGTATTATGTATTTGGATGACCCCTCTGCTTACAAGTAGCACACTTGTCTCAAATTAGAAGACTTGGCCTCCAATGTAAGTTTTTCGTTTTCCCATATGCTAACACTGTAAATAATGGCCCTGGAAAATCTGTCATTAATTAGAAATTTTCACTATAGCAGTTTTTTTAATTTAACAATGAGATGTTATGTGACATTTGACTCTAAATAGGTCTGTGCACTAGTATGGTAGGCTAATTGTAGTAACAAATAAACCCTATGTTAGTTTTCTATTGCTGTGGAACAAATTACCACAAACTTAGAAGCTTAAAACAGCAACCATTTATCATCTCAGATGTCAGACACAGCATGATTGGGTTCTCTGCTCAGGGTCTCACAAGGCTAACGCCAAGGTGTCAGCCATCAAAGGAGAATATCCGTCAAGGCAAATGCCTCTTACCCTTGGAATCTCTTTCAACAGAAAGAGTCCAGCCTCTTTTGAGGACTCCCCTGACTAGGTTGGACCCACCAAGAATAATCTTCCTCTTTTAAGGTCAACTGATGAGAGGCCTTGATTACACTTGCAATATCTGTTTTCAGCAGCACCCATATTTGCATTTGAATAACACCAAGGTGTGCACACATCAGAGGTTATCTTAAGAGTTCTGCCTACCACAAATGCCTAAATGCATCATGGAATGAACATAATAAGGGATTATTTCTTCCTCACACAAATATTCCAAGGTAGTTGCAGGTCAGGGCAGTAGGGTTAGCTCTTTCCATAGAGCCAACCAAGGGCATAGACTGGTGGAGGCCCTGCTATTTTCAACAAGTGGCTTTCAAGATCTTTCTGAGCCTTAACGGCCAGCCAGCAGGAATAAAACACAGAGGCACATGAGACAAAAGGTCTTTATGGACCAAGCCTGAGAGTGGTACCTGTCACTTTGCCTGCTCACATTGGATTAAATAGAACTCAGTCACATGATGGCACCTAACTGCAAGGGATGCTGGGACATGCTGTCTTTAGCTGGGTAGCCACTTCTCTGTGAAGGCTTTACACCATGATTAAAAGAGCATCAGTTTTTGGTAGATAGCTAGACATACCTCTACCATGACTGAATTTTAGGGAAACAATCCAGAAGGAATACATGTAAATGAGGTATATTGTCCTCCAAGATTAAAAGTTGATATTGTAGAATCAATATCTCAGGTCTGACCTAAAGACAGATCATTTTTTAAATGTCAACATATGTATTATTCATAATTTAATTGCTCAATGTATTTACTAGATTCAGCCTCAAAAACCTTTGACTTGGCCAGGTGTGGTGGCTCATGCCTGCAATCCCAGCACTTTGGGAGGCCAAGGCGGGCGGATCACTTGAGGTCAGGAGTTCAAAACCAGCTTGGCCAACATGCTGAAACCCCATGCCTACTAAAAATACAAAAATTAGCAAGGTGTGTTGGCGGGCGTCTGTAATCCCAGCTACTCAGGAGGCTGAGGCACGAGAATTGCTTGAACCTGGGAGATAGAGGTTGCAGTGAGCCGAGATCATGCCATTGCACTCCAGCTGGGGCAACAGTGCAAGACTTTGTCTCAAAAACAAAACAAAACAATACAAACAAAAAACCTTTGACTCTTGAAAAAATTATATCCACTTCCAACTGATGAGGGGTTAAATGATTGAAATTATCCCAAAGAATATGATGCAGGTCATCAAAATCTGAGTTCCAAATATGTTTTGAACAATAGAAAACATGAGAAAAACTACATAACCTTCCAAAACCATTACTTTGAATTGTGACATTTATTTGAAAATAAAACTTCCAGATATTTTATTTAAAGGATCTTATGTTGTTTGAGTCACACTTCATCATTATCAGTCCTTCCTGTCAGGGAAAAGTGTGTTTGGGAGAAATACAAAGAAAAGCTTTGAGTTGCCAAGATAGCATTTACTAAATTTGGTCATAAAAAATGTTCTGAAACTTACTTTCTGTATGCTGTTTTAGAGGCAGCTCAAGAATTACAGAAATTTCCTTTTTTCTACACTCTTAATTTTTCTACTTTATGTATTTCTTTTTGGCTCTTTAAAAGGCAACAGATTAAAAAAAATTAGAGGAAAAACATTTGTTCTACTAATGTGTCACTTGAGAATCCCAGACAATACATAGTATCATTGAGCTAAAATGTGTTGTAGCCTATAGAACTTAGCACTTCTCTCAAAGAGAGAAGGGGAGACCCAATGAGAGAGGCAGACATGGGGTGAGGCCAATGAACACTCAGAAATTAAAAAGAATAGTTCTACCTTCTTGACTTATGTGTAGCAACTAAATCACAATTAGAGAAAGATACATGTGTGAGTGTGTGTGTGTATACTTGTGTGTGTGAAGGTGTGCATGTGTACAAGGAAAATGGAAAATGCATTTCTACCTAGTGTCATAATGAAACTAGGTTTTCGGCCAAGATATTTTCCTTTTGCCTTTGCATATCTGTGGCCTACTGGACCCTTATATTGTACCTGTGTAGAAAGGAAGCCTCTAAGTCTAGTTGAGAGGCAAAGTGCCTTGAAGGCCGTGACCCATTAAGGAACCATATTGAAGAAATGTAAAGCCAGGCAGTAATGAAGAGCATGACCCATTAAGGAACCATATTGAAGAAATGTAAAGCCAGGCAGTAATGAAGAGCAAATGAGGCCAGAGGTGAGCACGGTAAGTAAATTAGACCCAAGTGGGCAGTGAAATCTGAGAGCAAATGAGAGTGGTGAGGAAAGAGGATGAGAACGTAAGGCACGGGCCACATGGACTCTGCATCTTTAGCGTGCTGTTTGGCCACAGGGAATAGAAACCCAACAAATAGTGGCCTAACTCCTAGATGCCTGTTTCTCTCAAGGGAATGGATTCAGAGGAGCCACTTCAAAAGCTAGTGCAGTGCTTCTGCAGTTTCATTAATGCATCAAGCCCGTTCCATCTTTCCACTTAACAGAGCTTCTCTTTGGTCCTCATAGTTTCAAGACGGAAGTGAAAGGACTGTGGGAGTCAGGACCTCACATGGAATAAACCAGGAAGGCAGGAGGTGAAGATGAGAATGGAATGCATGAATTTGAAGTTGAGGAAGGTACAGTAGGTATTCATAATGATAAGGTCTACTATGGTATGATTATGGAGGTGAGTGAGGTTGGATGGACAAGACCCTTGGAGAAGAAATCAAGAAATGGAGAAGCAGGTATTAAAAAGATCATCTACAGGTACATTGAAACCTCCAAATATTAAAACAGAAGTGGTATTTTAAATGAATTATGACTCCCGCCTCCCCATCCCACATTCTATAACCTTCCATTGTCTTCATGGTGAGTGTAGAGAAATAAATGCCTTGGTGGAGTTGCTATAACATGCCATGAGTCGCTTGTTTTTCCTCATGTGCGGTTTCCTCCTAGCCTCTTCTACAGACCTCATATTGCCCTGTGTTGGAGAGAGTGCCACCCTTTAGCCTGGGCTGCCATGCTCCTCGGCTCCTGCTGACTGAGACACTCTGGCAGAAGGCTCTTCCCTCCTTTCTTCCCATAGGACATGCTCTCAGCTCTCCTCCCAAGTCCTAGCAATCAGCTACAAGAATCTGCTTCATTACTTTCATCCTCCTTCCCTCCACTGCCCGGAGGACCAGGCAGGCTGCTCTCAGCTGCCTGATCTATCATTGGGGCTCAAAATACATCAAACTCTCTTAAAAGCCAAAACATTTTTTAAAAAAAGAAAGAAAACCAAAAACCCAAAACTTGTCTTTCACTGACTGTATGTGGGGCTACTCACGTCGCCACTGCTTGCTCTTTTATTTGCCTGGAAGCTATTTTCTCAGTTTAGTTACCTCCCACCTAAAAGAGTTTAGTTTCCAAGATCTACCTTTAGGGAAACTTTTTCCCCGTCTTTGAATCTTTCATTGTTAGTACGTTCCTAGAAGTATTTCTGTCCCCTTAAAAAATGTGAAAATTGCATGGGGCCCTCTGGGTCTCAGGCATCAGCCAGAAATGGGCAGGTGAGCTGGTTCTTCTAAGACTCTCTCTCCAGCAGAGGCAAAAGGGCTCTGAACAACTCCCCTCCCACATTCCCAAATCACCAAGGACAGCCCAGCCTCCCTCCTGTCTGCGCAAGCAAAGCTCCTCCCTCTCACATTGCTGTCTACACAGCCGCCCAGCAACTAGGGGAGAGACCAGCAAATGCATTCTGCTGACTCTGACTTTACCCCAGCTTTGAATTTTCCAGGTCTTTAGAATATAGCTGCTCCTGTGTGGCCATCTACATAGAAGTTCAGAAAAGTAAATGAATCTTCCTATTTCCCCCAAGTTAAGACACTTCTTGCCATTATTTGATTGACAGCATAAATCATTCCTTTACTGTTTGCCAGCTGGGTCTCTGGGCTCCAGCAAGGAGGCTGAATACAATTTCATTATGAAACAGCACCTGATTTCAGCTGATCCCATTCACTTTCACTTTGAGGTTAAACAATTCAAAAGATTCTTTTTTTCCTTCTTTCTGACCCCTCTTTAAACTCCCTGTTTGGCGTTTCTCAGCTGCCTGCACTCTCCCTGGCCTGTAATCTCACAGACAAAAAGTCTCCCTCCGGTGACTCCTCCAGTGTCAGTTTCTGTGACAAGTATGGACAGGATTAGGTGACAGCCTACATCTGTGTCATCTTGCTTCATCAGAGGAAAGGGGAGGGGGCCACGATCTGTAAACCACAACCAGCAGGAATTTGTCCTGTGCAGTGCGGGCCTGTGATTGTCAAGGTTTGCAAGGTCCCCAGACTAGGGACCTCGCCTTTCCCTCGTTCCCTCCATCCCTCCCTCCTCCCTTCCTCCTTCCCTCCCTCCTTCTTTCCTTCCCTCCTTCCTTCCCTCCCTCCCTCCCTCCCTCCCTCCTTCCTTCCTTCCTTCCTTCCTGTCTTTCTAAAATTATTCTGGCAAATCACAAGCAGCTTACAGAACACAGGGCAGCCTCCGCACCTTTGTGTGCACGTGTATGTCCGTGTGCACACCTCTGTGTGCACATCTCTAGGTGTGTGTGCACCTGTGTGTACACCTCTGTATGTGTGTGCACCTTTGTGTGTGCACTTCTGTGTGTGTGATCAATGTAGGTGATGCCCAGTATTCACAGGACACTTAAAAACCATGGGGAAATAGACCAGTTTCTGTATGTGACTTGCTGCATCACAAGGAAGTAAGGTGACTTTCATGGTGAGTGGGATACACTCAATTCAGAAAATGAGAAATCTCATGTATGGAAGGGTAGAATGACCTCTCTGTAACACAACTGTGTACACTTCAAGAGGTCATAGTTCAAATTGGAATAATCCTTCCTTCTCCCTCAGAACATGTCTTTCATATGATGAAAGACCCAGCATGGTACTCAGTAAATAATAACAGAATGACTGGTGAGGTGTGTAAAACTAATGCTGACAAAAGCACTTGGTAGCACCGATGCTGTCCATGTCAGCTGGCTGATATGGCAACTGCAAGCCTTGTAAATGACATTATGAAGTTGAAGATGACTCCAAAGACTGAGGAGCAAGAGGGCATGCATTGGAGTGTACAGGTGTGGCTGAGACTGTTTCCAAAATGTACCCCAGGGGAAACATAAAATATTTGAGTGCAAAAAAAGACGGAGCGTATAAAGACACAGGCCAGCCTGTGCATTTTTTGGGTGAAGTTGTAGATAACTTACATTGGCAGAGTAGACAATCTGAGAACAGCAGGAGGGCAGTAGGCAGAGTTTGTCAAAAGGAGGAAAACGATTCAGAAAAGGCAGAAATTGACTCTAAGGCACTGAATGCAAACCAAGAGGAATGAATCCAATGATAACAATGCAGTCTAAGAAGAAATAACCCAGAGACTGGAAATTGGGTATCCTCTATCCAGTATGGTGGCCAGCAGGCATGGATGGCTCAGGCACATGTGAAAGTGCCAAGTTTAAACTGAGAATTGCTGTAAATGTAGAACACATGAGATGGCAAACAGGAGGAGAAAGAAAGTAAAATGTCACATTAGTATTTTTATATGGATTCCATAGTGAATGATAATATTTGGATACATTCAGTTAAATAAAATATTATTAACATTAATTTCATCTTTTTTTAACCTCTTTGAACTAAAAATTTTACTTCAGAAGTAGAAATTTTTTTCATTGCATATGTAGCTCACGTGATAGTTCTCTTTGATGGCCTTACTCCGGAAGTGCTTCTAACAGAGTTTGTGGAGAGAAGAGAAAAGGTGGAAGAGAGATAATATTGTGATGGTAGAAATTACACTGGGCTCAGAGTTCACTTCCTGGGTATAGGTTATTGAGCATTACATAATTTCAGAAAACCTCAGTTTCCTCATCTGTAAAATATGGTGCTTGCTAATAATGTCTGTTTGACGGAGTTGTTGTTAAGCCTAAATAGGAAACCATGCAAAGCCTCTAATGGGATACCTTGCATGTAGCAGAAGGTCCTCAAAGAGTAGTTCCTTTCTTCCCTTCCTTTCCCCCACCCAGAGTAATACATCAGGGGCTCCAGAGGCAGCAGGCAGAGCTGAAATAACCTCAGTGAGTTCTGAATGTGCCAGCTTTCTAAATGCATTGGATTGCAGGAGATGGGGCAAGTGAAAGAGGAGCAGAAAGCTCAGTGGAGAAGTCAGAGTTTAGCAAGGACTGCAGCCAGTCTGCAATGACAAAGCCACCCACCAATTTAAAGGGAGCGTAGAATGGCAACAGAGAACAAGTCCTGATGGTTAGCAGGCAGGACTTAGAAGTTCCCTGTCCAGTTTTGCTAACAGCTGCTGTCAGATACAATTGGATTAAGCAGATAGGTTTCCTATTAGGTAAAGAAGTATTATTTTCTAATTCTTTGTGGTTTCGTAAAGCCAACTCTGAGTTAGCCGTAGCCTCAGCAACTTGCAGCAATAATGAATCTTCAAATAGAATTTAGCAACCCTGAGAAAGATGCCAAAACTCATGCTTAGTGTTGAGCTAAGAGACTCACAAAGAGAAGAACTTATGTACTTGCTACTCATAAATAAGCCACCCACCAAGGGACACCAGATAACAGTGAATGTCCCAGGATCCTGAAGAGGCTCAGTGGTGGCAGCAAAAGCAGATTATGTCAGAGGCCCCTGGTCGTGATTTGACACTTCTTAAAGAAACAAAACTGAGGCCAAGGAATTCTGATGAATGAGAAATTCATCCAGTTCCAATCTACTGGATTTATACTTCAAGAATGGCCATATTTCTTCTTCCATTAGTCTCGACAATGGGAAAGAAAAATAGATGCATGGCTATCCTAGAATGGTAGACAATCCCTGGATTACTCCAGGAAGTATTACAAAAACCACTGGTCTACAGAGACTTAAAGAGATCTGCTTCTGCTGTAATGGCACCAGTGACTTGTTCCTTCCCCACTGAGAAAATTGAGTCTGTCTTCTATGGACCTCAGTTTCTTGATTTGAAGACGATTAACAGAACAGAGCATCGTAAAACCAGTTCCCTTATTTTATGCATTCAAAAGAAACCCCATCTTTGTACATGACTGAAGAATATTGTAAATTACTCTGAGTTTTGAAGGACCCCTCTCCTCCCTATGACAAATACACCACACCAAGGGTTTCAAAAACCCAAGTCAAGTAAATGCTGGTAGTCACAAAGATGTACAAAAAGACATGGAATGTGTCTCAGTCAATTCAGGCTGAAATAATTAACAAAATAGCTTAGACTAGTGCCTTATAAACCACAGAAATTTATTTCTCACAGTTGTGAAAGCTGGAAATTCCAAGATCAAGGAGCCAGGAGATTTGGTGTCTGGTAAGGCCTTTCTGGTTCAGAGATGCCACCTTTTTGCTGTGTCCTCACATGGTGGAAGGGGCAAGGCAGCTCTCTGGGGCCTCTTTTATAAGGATATTGATCCCATTCATGAGGGGTCTTCCCTCATGACCTAATCACCTCCCAAAGGCCCCACCTCCCAATACCTTCATATTGTTGATTAGGTTTCAACATATAAATTTGGGGGGGACATACACATTCAGACCATTAGCACCACCGGCATCCAGAGTTGCCTGTTTCTCATCTCCTTCTCTATGTGCCTTAGGCATAAGGAAAATCCAAAAATAAAATTCTTTTCTTGCTAGCAAAGTATTCTAGTGGGAAAATCAGTCATGGTGTTAATAATCAGTTTGTCTTATTAAATTGTCCTCTCTCCCACCCCATCGTCCAAATTAGTAGAGAATTTAGAGTCAGCTGAATAATTTCACCATTAAGTCATTTAATACGTGTGGGTTTTCTTCCAGCAAACCCTAAATAATTATGCTGAATTGAGAAAAAGATGTTGTTTTTAGCTAGAGTGTAAAATTGTCACTGTAGTGGCCAGTGTGTGAAAAAAAAAAAAAAAAAAGAAAAGGCAATTTTAGCTTGGTGGCTCAAACAACTCAGATTTAAGTCACTGCTACAAACGGCTTGTCACAACTGGTTGGGACACTGTTGCCCAAGTTTCTCAAGTGATTAGTTTTGTGAAATTCTTCCACTAAGTGGTATTTTCTCTCTTAATGCACAGACAGGACTGTGCCACATCCTTACTGACCTCAAACCCAAAGTAAGAGAGAAAAGAAGTCTAACTAGAAAACAACACCAGGCAATCATGAGGTCTGCAGACGGCTTGTGGAAGCTGAATATTCCTTACACTTCTCAAAACAAAACCCATTTTTTTAAAAAAGTATTCATTTCCAGTGGCCTAAAATGTAAAGTCTTCTCCATGGTCTGACTGCTCCCTGGGCCTCTGCTATGTGCTGCCAATGAGATGCCCAAGGTTCTCTGGGCTTGTCCACAGCCCCAGCCCTTTGGAGATCCTTCCCAGTGAGGCTCAGGTTCCTGCAGGATTTAGAAGTCTGCAGCTCATGCACTCAGCAGGGCAAACTGTGGTTGTTTACTCCTCCTGTCATCTTGGTTCTTTTGTCCTAGTGATATCTTGACTTTTCTATGGCTTTTATCCGCTAGATAAAGAGGTCTTTTCCACCTACAAACACTTGTGAAATCCTCTCCCAATTATCAGTATACTGAATCCTGCCCCAGCATGTCTGTGCAGTGGTGTGCTGGAGATGGCCTGGGCTGGCCTGCAAGAGTCAATTATGCACAACTCTTCCCAACTTTGACATCACAGGGGTAGCCTCCAATCAATCATGGTGGTAGTATTTACACCATGAACATCAGAAAATGCTACAAATCAAGGTTTCATCCCCCAGTGTCAGTTACTAAACATTTGCAAGCTAACCCCTATGTCCATCTATTGACAAATCACTTCCTCAAACTCAGTAGCTGTCTCCAAAACCACCCTAAGTGTGGGGAATATTCAGCTCCCATAAGCCGTCTGCAGACCTCATGATTGCCTGGTGTTGTTTTCTAGTTAGACTTCTTTTCTCTATTACTTTGGGTTTTGAGGTCAGTAAGAATGCAGCACAGTTCTGTCTGTGCATTAAGACAGAAAATACCACTTAGTGGAAGAATTACACAAAACTAATCACTTGAGAATCTTGGGCAAATATGTCCCAATTGGGTGTGACAAATCTGTTCTAACAGTGACTTAAATCTGTATTGTTTGAGCCACCAAGCTGAACTTGTCCACTTTCATTTTTCTCAAAGGCAAGTTTCTGAAAGTTAGACCTAAATGGAATGTTTTGAAATATAAAGGTATTGAAATTTTCCATAGTTGTTAGCAATAATATCCCCCCTTTTTAATGGAGTCATAACAGAATAAATATATTTATGTGTGTATGTGTGTACATGCATGGGTAGGTGGATGGATGGGTGGATGGATGATGTTAAAATAGAACTAAATGCGTTGAAGCATAACCTGCAATAGAAGATGGGGGAGGGAAATGAGGATGGAGCTTCCCCTCTTTACTGTGTCCTCATTTCAGGGCCCTTGAAGAAACATCAGGTTCTCTGAGTCACAGTGTAAGAAACATGGGCTTACTAAGTTTTTAAATCACCTTTACTGACATATAATTTTACACAAAGAAAATATCATTTTTATAAACTTTTTATTTTTTATTTTTTTATTTTTGAGACAGAGTCTCGCTCTGTCACCCAGGCTGGGGTGCAGTGGTGTAAGAAACTTTTTATTTTGAAATAATTTTAGATATACAGAAAAGCTGCAAAATAGCACAGAGAATTCTCTTATACCATTCACCCAGCTTCCCCTAATGTTAACATCTTACATAATCACAGTGCAATTATCAAGATCACAAATTTGACGTCTACAGACATTTTTAAACTTCACCAGTTTTCCCACCAAGCTGTTTGTCTGGTCCAACCCAAGATCCCACAGTGCATTTGGTTGTTGTCTCTTTAGTAGCCTCCTCTCCATGTCAGATCCTTGGTCTTTTCTTATTTTTAGGACCTTCAAAATTTTGAACAGCTTGGGCCAGTTTAAGTTTGTCATCTCTTTCCTCATGATTTTGTTGAGTTTATAGATTTTCAGCAGGAATACCACAGTGACGTTGTACAGCTGTCAGCATATCATATCAGTACATGGTGTTGATATGCCTTATTACTGATATATAATGCTTTTGAGATCCATCCATATAGTTATATGTATGTGCTGTGTGTAAAGAGGCAGTTTATTCCTTTTTATTAACAAGAAGAACTCCATTGTATGGAAGTACTAAAGTTCGTTCATCCATTCACTAATTGATAAACATCTGGATTGCTCCTGGTTTGGGGGTATTATGAATAAAGCTGTTATGAACATTTATGTACAATAGTTAGTGTCTACAGATTTTTCATTTATCTTGGGTAAATACCTGGGAGTGCCATGTAAGTATAGGTTGAATTTTGTAAGAAACTACCAAACTGTTTTACAACATGGCTTTACCTTTCACACTCCCACCAGCAATATCTGAGGTTCCAGCTGCTCTATGCTCTCACAAGCACTTGATATTGTCAGCTTTCTTTACTTTAGTCATTCTAGTGAGTGTGTAGAGGTACCTCATTGTGGCTTCTATTTGTTTCCTTAATGACAAATAATATGAACATCTTTTCATCACCTTCTTGTTCATTATCTTTTTGGGTGAAGTGTTTGCTCAAATTTTTTGTTCATTTTTAATTGGATTATTTCTTTTGTTTTTGTGTTGTACGTATTCTTTATACATATTGAATACATGTACTTCATAAGATACATAGCTTGTGCTTATTTTCTCCCAGTCTATGGCCTGCATTTTCATTTTCTTAGCAGCATCTGTTGGAGAGCAAAGTACTTTTATTGTTAAGTTTTGTTTGGTTTCGTTTGATGTGGCTCATTTTATCAATCTTTTTTCTTTCCTAGTTTTTCATTTTCCTTTTGTGTGTTCTATGTAATAAATCATTGTGTAACCCAAGGTCACAAAGATTTTCTCCTATATTTTCTTCTAGAGGACTTTCAAGTGGCAACAGCTCCTGGTATACTTTCCTTTTAGTTTCTCTACCTATTCCCTTAACTCTAAATCTAGTAACAGATTATCTTCCACCAGTTAAGTGCCCTGAGAATCATTAATTACATAATTATTTGTAATAATTATGAGAAATTTTGATGCTTTTTTATCATAAATATTCATACGTTGGCTTCTGTGAGCACTTGCTACTCACACTCATAGTTTCAGTGCTCCCAAAAGCAAACCCTAGATGAGGACTTGGGTGAAGACAACAGTGTGCTCATAAATATTTAACAACTGGCTCTCCTAAAATAAATAAATAATAAAAACCCTGACATGTAGCATTTGCAAATTTCCGTGGTGTAAATACTCACATGGCAAGTTTTCAACTACTAGTGTTACATTAACTGATTTACAACAGTCCTGAATTTTTAATAATTGTCTCTCATGACAGTTCATGAGATACAAGCCCACTCCAGCACAGCCCCAGGTGCAGGTAGTTTATTTGATCCCCAGGAGTGATCCCCAGGAGTCAAAAGTGAGGGAGTGAGAGAAATGAGACGGAAAAAGAGGAAGCCAACAAAGGGGGGAATTAAAGAGCTGATAACACTGAGGACAACTGGGGCTCGATCCTGCGGAAGAGTCTCAGAGGAACTATGTAGACCACAACTCAAAATCGTCCCAAGGAGGGTGGAGAAGACCAGGTCACTGAGGCATCAATTCCTACTCCTGTCTCTCTGTTGTTGTTAATTGTTCTTGGGCTTTTAAAACCCGGGCACTTTCAGGGTGCTCCGCACATGGGCTGAGAAAAGTTCTCTAGCACTGGTAGGAGCTGCAGGCAGAAAAGTAGAAAGTCACAGGGTGAGGTGTGGGTAGGAAGCTGTCATGGGTAGGAAACTGCCAGTGTATCTTAAGTTGTCCATTGTCAGAAGTGGGCAGAAGGGTACATCTGCTCCCTGTACCAGACACGTTTTAAACACTGGATCACTGCTATTCCACAACACCTCCCATTAGATCCACAGTCAGAGGTATAATTCCCTGTCTGGTGCAAAGTTGATGATAAAATATAACCAAGAATAGGGACCTTCGGTGTCCATTAAATAATGCTTTCTTTATTGGCTGATGTCAGTGGATTCAAAGCCCCCACTGACCAGACTCTAGTGGCACTGGCATTCCCTACAGGAGCATGACTTTCATCCTTCTGTTCCATTAGTACATTTTGTATTCTTCGAAGAAAGGGTAATTCTTTGTCAGTCCTTAAAATATATGTAAGTATAATTAATAGAATCCAAACAAATAATTTCTCCATCCAAGCCACTTAATAATTAGAATCATATGTACGTGTGGATGAGGAGGAGGGTTGTCTCACAAACTGATAGGCAAGTCAGATTCAAATATTTTTTTGTCTCCAGACTATCTCACTGTGGTAGCATCTTGAGCTCCTGTAAGCCGTCTACATTCCGGGAGTATTTCCGCTGACCTTTCCTTGTTTGGACCTCTGACCTAATGTTTCTGTGGTTATGTAGATCAGAGAGAATCTTATCATGACAAATAATAAGATATTTTCTTAAATGCAAAATCCCAGTCTTTCTTGGGGCAAAAAGAAATTGGCTATGGCTCTGTCTTCTCCACTGGGGAAATGTCCCACAGATGTGGAACAGATGGGCCTAGATTTAGACACCATCCGCTTTTCAGTTGTAATTAACATCGGATCCAGGGGCAGATTGGATTTTACCACTGCGTTGGTCATCCCTGATGACCGCTGGGGAATCCTAAATCATGTGTTTGTTAGAATGTGAAATCTGGTTTGGGTTTCTTTGGATGGGCAAAAGCTCTTAGGAGTCAAAGGAAGAAAAATAAACCAACCTCTTCAGCACACCACTCCTATGTGTCTGTTTCTATGGAAGTAGCCCCCACAGATGCAGTCGAAGAATAAGCCTGCTGACCTTTCCTGGTGATTTTGTAAAGAAGAACATATGCAAGCTTCCCTAAATCCACTTCTACTCAGTTGGTCCCAGTTTTTGAACAAGTGGATTAAAATAATAATGACCCCCAGCAACAATAAAACTATCTAGCACTTACTGAATGCTTGAAACATTCCAGCTATTGCGCTAAGAATTTTGCACATATTATCCACTTTTAAAACAACCATATGAGGTTGGCACTATTATTTTTCCCATTTTACACACAAAGGAAACTGAAGCCTTAGTGAGGTCAAAATAGCTCGAGTCATACAGCTGAAATATGGACCCAGGCTGTCTGATTCCTGGTTTGTAACCACAGTATCGTTACTACCTTCACTGACTTATTTACATCTGGGCAGAGCAAGGGTAACCAGCTAGCAAATTTCTTCCATTCCTGTTTTGTAAGGTGCAGAAGAGAACTGCCAAAACTCAAAGCTACCACTGTAGTCCAGTCTTTTTATAACCTCAAGGAAATTTATTTCTCTCATGCTTCAGCATGCCTTACCCCAGTGTGCCTTTATATGATCTCCTGGATTCCCATTTGTGACTCTGCTTCTTGCTTCTTCTGAGCCCTGGGGAAGGTAACTGGAAGCATGATTAAATTTTAGCTCTCTGCTTTGTAGTCATGGCTCCTAAACATTGGTGGCAGCATCTGCAAACTGCAAGTGTAGGTCCTTCTCATTAACAATGAGAATATCTCACATTGTTCCTCTAACAGCCGTAGAACCAAAATGTTGTCTGAGAACATCTTTCTCTTGAGTTCTGATTGCTCTCTAAGGGCACACTGGGTGAACAGATTGCAAGAAGGACATACTGAGACCAGGAGTCATCTGTGCTGATGTCCAGGTACCAAGGTTTCCCTGGAATACCCCTGAATTTCAAGCTAGCCTACATCAGTCAGAGACAAAGGAGCCCATGTGCCCAACTGAGCTAATTGTCTAACAAGAGAGGTTTTGAACTTCCTAGTTAGAAGTCCATAGTAATCATATGGTAATTATTTTAATGGGTTGTCATTGAAGCGTGAAGTTGAAAGTGCTGTAATAAGAAGCTTCAGTATGGCTTCGTTAGCTGTACTAAATCTTAAGCAATAAAACCGAAGGTCAGAGTTTAAACCCCACACAAGTGTGTTGGCTTTGTTCATTTACACACACAGCCTCAGATTGGGCCCCTAACCCACTGCCATCCAGCTTGTTAGCTCTTTGTACCTATCATGAGAACGATCTGGCTAGACACCCTAGGATGACCTAGTTGGCCCATCACCGCTAATGAGAAATCATATTCCACTCCAGGAACACATCCTATGGGATTAGGTCAGTTCTGGCAATAGGATACAGTATAGAGAGGCAGTTAAAGAAATGGTCCCAACCTGGGAATCTTACTATGGCTTTCAGCAGCTGGGTGCACAAAGCTAGATTGTAGGGTGACCCCCTGAGCACCTTCTCAGGGTGCCAATCTACAATGGGCACTCAAACATCATTATAATAAACTGGAAATATGGTGTTGCTTAACTTGGATCTCCACGTGACAGAAGTTATTATACAACTGAAGACAAATTAATCCGCACAACTGAAGACAAAAAGCCATCCCCTCTACCTGAAGGATCTTTTTTTCTTCTGCTATTGCTAGCCTAAATATGCATATAACATATATCTCATAGGTGCTCACATTGTCCCCGCCAGCTGAGATTTTAAAATTCAACAGTGTGTGGTAGCTACCCAAGTTAAATAAAATGTGTTCACTGTCTAAATATTAAATATTAAAACTTCAAATACACCCACAAGAAGTTGCCTGCTTGAGAAACATACAAAAGAAACTTGAAAGAAAATAACAATGAAAGGAAAATGGGAGATATTTTGCAGAATTGTTTGCAGAATATTGACTATGCTTGTGCCAGGGGAAATGAATTAGTAAGAGGCTTATTTCTATACACACTTTTTTATTAATAGAAGATTAGTTTTCTCCTCCCTCCTCCACAGAATAAATGTTGAATAAATATTTAAAGAATATAGGCTTGAAGAGGCGCCAGATTACGAGCCTGCTGGCGTCCTGTGTCTCAGGCCTATTCTGTTTTTGGAAGTCCTGGTTGCTTGCCCTTGATTGGCCAGCAGTTCCACTGTTTGATGTTATCTGGTAGCAGCAATGTCCATCAGCTCCTGAGTCTGAGTTTGCAGAGAGAACAAGAAAGTGACAGAAAGGCAAGAATGCAAAAATCTTGATAATTTTAACCAGTCTTGTATCTTTTAAAAGCACAATGTTGGGCAATAAACATTGCTGTAACTGGCACGAAAATTCCTACCTTATTGTGATAACCCTCGGAAAGGCTCAGGTTACTAATAAGAACCTTTAGGCAAGAAGTAGGTTTCTTACCAACCTTGAAGTGAAGAGCTCTATCATCTTGTAGACAGTTGAATGAGTTTTGAAATTTCAAAGGCCTCTAGAAAATTTAAATGATCTAATATTTACAGTAGATACCTAGACAGAAGTCATTGTCCTCACTTCTCAAGTAAGCCTGAAGAGGAAGATCCCAGTATTGGCAAACAGGACCTCTAGCCAGCCAGTGTTTACCTGGGATCAGAAGAACTCCCACAGGGTATGGCACTGGGGTTTAGAGGAGTAGTAGGGAGGGAATATCATTGAAAAGTGGGAGAGGGTAAAAGGGAAGAAAGAATCTGATGAACCAGTAGAGGTCACGGGCATTCTGAGCTTCCTCTCATGTTGCTGAAAGCAATCAGGGTTAGATTCATGGGTTCTGGCTTGGATTGGAGTCACACAAACAGGATTGAAGTCCCATCATCAATGCCACCATCATCACTATCATCATCACCAACATCTTTGTCATCGTGATCACCATCTCCTCCTCATCACCATTACCGTGATCAACTTCATCATCCTTGTCTCCACCATCATCATATCACAATCACTATCGTCACCATCATCATCACCACTACTGTCAAAACCTCATTCATTATCACCATCAGATAAGGTTCATCTAGTGGAGTCAGCAGTGATTCCTGTTCAAGACAGATAACCTGAACTTATACATCCAAGTAGCATGGTCCTTCCTAGAATGAACTTTACCTGTTCCTCCAGTCTCATCTGTTTGTGCTCCCTCATACACAATCTACATACTAGCAACAGTGAATAATTTGTAGTTTTCAAGATAAACCACATTAATTTTTGACACCATGCTTTTACTCATTCTGTTCCCTTGCCACTTCCTTCCTAATGGCTAATGCCTGTTCATCTTCTCAGATGTTATGTAGGTATCAATTCTTCCAGATAATCCTACCATATTATCTTCTCACTCTCAGCTCACTGCAACCTTTGCCTCCTGGGTTCAAGCAATTCTCCTGCCTTAGCCTCCCAAGTAGCTGGTATTACAGGCATGCGCCACCCTGCTGGCTAATTTTTGTGTTCAGTAGAGATGGGGTTTCACCATGTTGGCCAGGCTAGTCTTGAACTCCTGACCTCAGGTGATCCACCCACCTTAGTCTTCCAAAGTGCTGGGATTACATCGTGTGCCAACACACCCGGCTTCCATCCTCTCATTCTCTAAGACCTAGGTTAGGTGTCCCTCCTCTGTGGGTTTGTGGAATCCAGTAAGTCTAGGTTTAGCTTTAATTTCAAAGGCTCCGCTTACATATGTAGAAGATATATTGGGGCTCCATTAGATCCACATGAATTCTCTTTCCTTGTTTGTGTGTCTATCCAGCAGCTCTGTGTGCTTTGCTACGAATGTTTCACCCCTACAACCTTCAATGAACTACCTTAGGCTACTAGAGCCACTTCACCAGGAGGCACTGAGAGTGAGAACGACCTGGGAATTTGTGTTCTCGGGGGGTGGGGGGTCAAATAACCAATGATTGATTGGTATAGTAGTAGGAAAGTCCAGCTGCTTTGCCTCAAGTTCTGTGGTGCAATCCACATTCTGTGCAGGTGAGGCTAAGGCTGAGGTGTCACCTGGCATCACACCCCTCATTGGCTGCTGCTTCTTCCTTGTCTTGCCTTTGCCACTACCTTATTGGTCCCCCATTGCATATGGACTCTTATCTGAGGGTCTACTTCTGAGCAACCCAACCAAGACCTCGGAGCCTTTTTCCTTGTATTGATTCCTATCACCTGAGAGCCAATTTCCCTCTCACACTAAATGGCACCTTTAAATGAATGAATGAATGGGATGGTGACCAGACAGGTAGGGAATTCTGCATCTTCAGTGCCTGGAGTCTACTGAGAGTGGAGGCTGTATGATTCAGATCAGGGGCTTTGAAGTCATGTGGCACTAAATTTGGATGAATGCTGACTCTGTAAATCGGGCATCTTTCTTATTTCCTCCAAACATAAGTTTACTCATCTGTGAATCAGAGATTCAGCAGGCCCAACTTCTGTATGTTGGTTATTGGGAAAGTGAAATGAGCTAATGCATATCAAGCACTGAGCCCAGGGCTTGGCCCACTGAAAGCTCATTCATTCATTCATTCGTTTATTCATTCAAATTCCAGAAGGAGTACCAGGTACTGCTCTGGAACTAAGGATACAAAAGTAAACTAAACTGTCCCAAGATCATTCAAGCAACAACCGGGAAGCCAGTGTGCCTGGCACAGAGGCAGCAGCAAGGGAGAAGGATCTGAGAACAGAGTGGCTACTTAGTGTCCATTACTCAAAATCAAGAGATTGTATCTAGAAGCCCAGCTTTGCAGCTTTTCTTAAAGAATCAGAAGCTTTGACCACACTAAGCACGTATTCTCCTGCAACAACTGGCTGAGTCAAAGATGGTCCTCCACTGTCCAGTGAGCAGTGGGCCCTACCTCATTCATTTCTACATTCCCACACCCTGCTGTTTCCTGTGGGCAGTTGAGGTCATGGCCCAGGCAGCAGCCTCTGACAACACCAGGGACTCCCACACTTCTCATTGCTCACTGCCTCCACCCTGTGCCTGTCATTCTTTCCCTCAACCACAGAATGGGGATAAAGAACCTCAATCATCTATGCCTGTTCTTGTACGAACCAAATGAAGACTTCTACTGGGTAATACTTTGAAAAGGAAGGAAACTCATATAGATGTAGGAGGAATTAACATTCCTTATTCTACAAGAGAGGCCCTTCCTTGGAAAATAATTAATGGACTCAAACCAGGAAGGTATCTTCCTCTAGAATCATGCTTCACAGAGTGTGTGTGTGCTTGCCAGGGGAAAGTTGCCAGGAAAACCAGGAAACATTTCTGCTTCTCCATCATGCTTGGCAGCAGGGCTTCAGGAGGATGGCAGTGAGAGGGGATTTCACTTTTTCAAAAATGAACTTTTTTAAAGACATAATAACACAGCCAACAAGCGCATGAAAAATGCTCAACATCACTACTCATTAGAGAAATGCAAATTCAAACCACAAGTAGATGCCATCTCACACCAGATAGAATGGCTATTATTAAAAAGTCAAAAAATAATAGTTGCTGACAAGGTTGAGGAGAAAAGAGAATGCTTATACATTGCTGCTGGGAATGTAAATTAGTTCAGCCACTGTGGAAAGCCATTTGGAGGTTTGTCAAGAACTTAAAATAGAACTTATCATTCGACCTAGCAATCCTATTACTGGGTATATACCCAATATATAGAATAGTTCACAAGTGGTCCAAAAGAATATAAATCGTTCTACCATAAAGACATTGCAGGCAGCACTATTCACAAAAGCAAAGACATGGAATCAACTTAAATGTCCATCAACAGTAGACTGGATTTTTTAAAATGTGGTACATATACACGATGGAATTCTACACAGCCATAAAAAAGAATGAGGTCATGTCCTTTGTAGCAACATAGATGGAGCTGGAGCAAATTAATAAACAGAAAGTCAAATACTGCATATTCTCACTTACAAGTGGGAGTTAAACACTGAGTACACATGGACACAAAGCTGGGAACAACAGACACTGGGACCTACTTGAGGGTAGGGGTGGGAGGAAGGTGAGGATTGAAAAACTACCTATCAGGTACTATGCTTATTATCTTGGTGACTAAATGGTCTGTACACCAAACTCCCACAACATTCAGTTTACCCATGTAACAAGCCTGCACATCTATCCCTGAAACCTAAAAGTTCAAAAGAAAAAATAAACTTTCTAACCAAATCCAAAACCATGTCTCAGTCACCATCTCTTGGCAGCAGAAAAATAGATATATTGACCATCACACACACATTAGAGTGGCTGAAAAAATAAATTGGAATACATCAAAAATTAAAACTTTTGTCCATCAAAGGACACAATCAATAGAGTGAAAAGGCAACTCACAGAATGGGAGAAAATATTTGCAAATCGTATATCTGATAAGGGGTTAATATCCAGAATATATAAAGAGCCCTTACAAGCCAACAACCAAAAAACAAACAGCTTGATTTCAAAATGGGCGAAGGACTTGAATAGACTTTTCTGCAAAAAAATGATATATAAATAGCCAATAAACATATACAAAGATGCTCAAAATCAGTAATCATTAGGAAAATGCAAATTAAAACCACAGTAAGATACCACTTCACACCTATTAGGATGACTACTATCAAAATATCAGAAAATAGCTGGTGTTGGCAAGGATGTGGAGAAATTGGAACCCATTTACACTATAGTTAGGAATGCAAAATGGTGCAGCTGCTGTGGAAAATAGTATGGCAGTTTCTCAAATGATTTAAAACAGAATTACATGTGAACCATCAATTCCACTTCTGGGTTTATACCCATAAGAATTGAAATCGGGGACTCAAAGAATATTGCATCATTCACAACAGCTAAAAGGTGGAAACAGACTGTCCGTAGACAGATAAATGGATAAGCACATTTGGTATAGACATATAATAGAATATTATTCAGCCTTATAAAGGAGGGAAATTCTAACACATGCTGCAACAGGGATGAACCTTGAATATATTATGCTAAGTGAAATAAGCCTGTCCCAAAAGAGGAAATATCATATGATTTTACTTGTATGAAGTACCTAGCACAGTCAAATTCATAGAAAGGAGAATGATGGTTACCAGAGACTAAGGAGAAGGGAAAATGGGGAGTTATTGTTTAATAAGGACAGAGTTTCAATCTGGGAAAATGAGAAAAGCTCTGAAGATGGATGGCGATGATGGTTTCATGGCATGAATGCACCACTGAACTGTAGATTTTAAAATTATTAAAATGGTAAATTATGTTATGCCTATTTTACCACAATAAAAATAGTTTAAAACATTTAATCCAAACTAATAGATATGTGGGAATATATACAATATTTGTATATGTTGATACATCCAATATATACTGTGTATATATGAACAGTGACTAAAATAGAGGGAGAGATAGATACAGAGAGACTTTTTTAATGATGCAGCCCCTCTCGGAGTTATTGGCCCTTCCAGTTCCCCAACTAGGTTTGCTTTCCTCTATCTTACTTAAGAAAACGAATACATAAGCTGACTTAGAAATGGAAATGGTTCACAAACCCCAGGAAGCAGTCCAGCTCAGGAACCCAAGAAAGAGTGGGTCAGGGAACCCTTGTGGGAGGTCAGACCTGTCCAGCGTAATGGGCCTGCCCTTCCCTGGCCAGCCCCCAGCACTTCTGGGAGGCACAAATCCACAGGGGATGTAAGATGCCATATCAGTGTTCTTCTGCTTCCTCCTCTTAACCCACTACTTGTATTTTTATGTTTCCTGTGTCCTGATGCTTTGCACGTACTTGTTTTGTACAATGATTTTATCATGTATGTACTTATTGAGGGCCTTAGTACATCGGCAGTGAGGGCAAGGAAGTGATAAAGGCCTGGTGTCTTCATGTTGAGTTAGACTTAAGGACTTGTTCATGTCCCTTTCCTCATCCTTCCACTCCTGTGGCCCTCCTGTCCCACTTGTGCCTCCCATTTCCTTTCCATCCTTTCCCAAGCTTCCTGGGAGGTTATTCTCTGCTCCAACCCCTCTCCCATTCTCCATTCTTCTCTGCCCTGCTCTGGACAGGGAGATCAGCCTCTAACGACCTTAGCCCCAGGGCTCCCACACCTCTAGCTTTCACCTCAACTGATGGGAAGCTGTGACAGGAGAGGGGAGGGCAGGAGGAGTGAGAGGCCCAGACACTTCTTTTTTGCTCCCTCCTGGCTCTCCAGGGTCTGGCGGCAGCTGCTTCCCTCCACTCCTGTGATCATCTACATGCTCTTAACCCCCTTCCCCACACTTACCAGGCTGCAGCAACTCCGTGTCCTCTTGCACCTTCAGGCCAAAGGTTCCCGTTGTTATTAGGCTCTGGGGGTCTCCACCATCTTTGCTGGTTCCCCTAACCCTGACTGCACTGCTGCAAATAAGTCCTTCATTAAATTCTCTTCAGTTAGAAAAGAGTTCTCTTTGGTCAAACCCTTTTGAGTTGGCTTCTGCTTTCTGCCCAGACCCTGACAGGTACATTAGACCTCCCCACTATTCTGGATGTATTTATCTGTTCTCACACTGCTGTAAAGACCTACCTGTCACTGGGAAATTTATTAAGAAAGGGGGTTTAATTGGCTCACAGTTCTGTGAGTTGTACAAGCTTCTGCTTCTGGGGAGACCTCAGGAAACTTACAATCATGGCAGAAGGTGAAGGGGAAGCAGGCACATCTTCACATGGCCAGGAGGAGAGAGAGCAGGGGGAAGTGCTACACACTTTTTAACAAGCAGATCTTGGGAGAACTCTATCAGAAGAATAGCATCGGAGATGTCTGCCCCTATGATTAAATCACCTCCCACCAGGCCCCTCCTCCAACACTCAGGATCACACTTCAACATGAGATCTGGGTGGGGACACAGAGCCAAACCATATCACTGACCCCTTCTCAAGGAGTTTTATGGAAGCAGACCAGGAAATGTACAAGAATACCCCCCTGTGTGTTCCCATGCAGCACCTGGTACTGGTTAGAAATGGAGATCCCTGGGCCCCAACCCAGATTGCTAAATAGATCTTCTGGAGTGATGCTAGGGACCCCCATTTTATCTGCATTTTCTGGTGACTCTGGGATACATAAAGTGATATAGTAACATAGGATACTTTGTTAATACATTGGATAGAAGGTCTAGCGTTAGGTCTCATAGCTACTTATTTTTGAAGTAATGATGAACACAAATGATAGTTTGAGGTCTGTGAAACATGAGTAATATGATATGAAAGATCTGTGACTTCTGCTGGGGACATATTCCCAGGTTTTGCCAGTATTACTGTGGCATATTGCCTGTATTCATAGTGGAAGGAAGTGCTGAATTCCAATTAGAGGTTAGTGAGAACAAGGATGTAATTTGTTTGCATCCTTAGCAAACTCACGAATTCTTTTTGAGTGCTCTTTGGAGGATAGAGGGGCTTATGGACCCCAGGATAAGAGCCTCAGTCTTAAGAGAGGTCTCCATAGAAGGGGATTTGAGGCCTGGTAGAGGTTAGAGCTGTAGACGTTCCTCAAGTAGAAAGCAGGCTTGTCCTCTTCCTGGAATGCTGTGTGGTGTGGTGTGGTGTGGTGGTCAGGATTTGAACCCAGTGGGTCACCTGGGTTCAAATCCTGCCTCTATCACTTACAAGTCATGTGGCCTGAGCTGCTGGACTTCTCTGTGCCCCAGGTTCCCACCTGTGAGGCTGGATGAGGTCCATTGTCCCCTACTGCAGGTGGGGAGGTAAATGGAGAAGGTGTGTACTGGAATCTCAGTATAGCCCTGTAGGGAGCACATCAGCATCAGCCCAGCTGCACAAACCTTGTTCCCAGAGCCTTCATTCAGAGGGTTTCAAGGGGAATCAGCAATGATCACCTGAGAAACTGACAACCAAAAGAAATAAATGACTTCCTCAGTAACACAGGAGTCAATATCTCAGCAAGTGGATATTGTGAAAAAGGCATCTTCAAGGAGGAAGAGGGAGAGAGAGGAGAAAAAGAAGGAGAACAAAGGGGGGAAAGTAGAATAATCTTTTCCTGCTGAAAAATTTCTCCAGAGATGGCAAATCTCTCATTCCCAAGGCTCCAAAACAGGGACCCCAGTATGGTGACCTTCAAGAACACTAAATGGTCAAGGACACATCTGGGCACCTTTAAACTCCTTTAAAGTAAAATCATTCAAGGATTTATGTTAATGGTGCAGGTACATTCACATATGCTCGTTTCCCTTGGAATCTGAGCCCCTGCAAGAAAACTATTTCAGCTGGTAATGGCTCCCAAAGACTTTCCCAATGCCAAATGACT
Organism: Homo sapiens; assembly: GCF_000001405.40. Classification (NCBI taxonomy): domain Eukaryota; kingdom Metazoa; phylum Chordata; class Mammalia; order Primates; family Hominidae; genus Homo; species Homo sapiens. Next base: position 19,571,778 of record NC_000020.11, read on the forward strand.
AAATAACCATAGGGTGGGACTCAGGAGAGGCTCCCATGTACCTTAGGAAGGCAGTTGTTTCTGAGAGTGGCCCATTTTGATTTAAAATTGTATTTCATTCCCTTCACAATCTTCCTTAACTCACTCCCCTCTTGTTTTAATGTGGGCTCTCTCAGAAGCAGACCTTGAGACAAGGATTTAAATGTAAGTGATATTGGAGAAGAGGAAGAAAACATCAGTAGGGGAATAGAAAGTGAGACAGGAAAGTCAAAGCTACTAATAAAAGGTACATGACCTGAGCCAGGTGCAGTGGCTCACACCTGTAATCCCAGCAACTCAGAAGGCTGAGAGGGGAGGATCGCTTGAGTCCAGGAATTCAACACCAGCCTTGGCAACATAGGGAGGAGCCCCCTCCCCCTCTAAAAATGTTACGTAAAAAAACTAGCAAGGCACAGTGGGCATGCCTGTAGCCCTAGCTACTCAGGTGGCTGAAGTGGGAGGATCCCTTGAGCTGAGAAGTTTGAGGCTACAGTGAGTTATGATCATGCCACTGAACTCCAGTCTGGGCAACAGAGCATGACCCCATCTCTAAAAGAAGAAAAAAAGAAAAAAACAGGTCCATAACCAAGCCAGCAATGCAACATAATATTCTGGGCACCTGAAGCTTAATTCAGCTGGGAAACTCTGGAGACAGCCTAGAGTTAGCCCACTCAGGGGTACTGATATGCCAACTCTCAACATTTGAGGGCTCCCATGGGTGTTAATTTTCAAGCATTTCTTGACTTCTTTGTGTGGTAAAATCAAAAGCCTTCAAAGAAATTGAGGCATTCGCTGGTATTTGAAAGTCAACGGAGCTCTCTAAATTAATAAGGCCTGAAGAATATAGTGAAGGGAAGGGGCACCAGCAGCCTTCTGCTACATTCCTCTTCCCTGCAAACCCCCACCCCAAATCCTCTTGTTCAGAACCTGGACTGTGAGACTGATCATTTCTCTCTAGTGACTAGAATCAATGAATGGTTCCAGAACAATGATATTCACACTGGTAGCAGCACCCTACAGCAGACCCATGGTCAGTTCCACCTTGTCCTCATGGGGCTATTAGATACAGAGCCTGTGATCAGGGAAAATAAATTTAAAAAAAAACTTTTATATTCCAAGCTTAATTATATGTGATCACTTGAAACTATGAAAAAGAGGAGGAAAAGGAAGATTTTATTATTATTATTCCAGCCGTGTTCCCTGGGAGGTTTAAGATTTAGAACAATTTCCACCAAGGCCACAGTTCTGTAGCACTTCCCTAAGAATTGCTTCTCCACAACACCTTCACTGAAATTAAAGACAGAGAGACAGGAGTGCAGATGATGTAGTAAAAAGAAATTGTCTGTGAAAACCGCTGACTGTCGATGCAACATAAAACAGCAGGGTTAACGTCCTGCCATTCAAATACATTTGCCCTCAGTATTCAGAAGCCCTTATGTGGATCAACATTCCAGCTAGAGCCTGCTCACCTCTAATATGTCATGGGCCATGATGATTTCCTGTTATCTTAGGTGTTTTTCCATTTAACCACTGTAGACAAAGTTCTTTAGTTTTATTAGTCTCAATCAACCTTTGAAATTACCTGATGAGATAGTAATTATTTCTCAGAATCCTGGGTCAATAGCCACTTCCTCAATCTTCTCCTTGCACTACCTCTACCCAGCACAGTATCTTCTGTGGCTCACATCAGTTAGGGAAGCACATGGCTTCAAGTACAGAGCCCCCAGCTAATGGTGAGTGAAGCAAGTAAGGAAGTCCTTTCCTCACATAGTTAGAAATACAGAAGGAGCTGATTTCAGGAATTAGTCCAGATGGTGCATGGTGTCCTCAGGGCCCTGCTGCCCTCAGCATGTTGGTGTGTATCCTCAGGCTTATTATCTCATAGTCATAAATGGCTGCTGCCATTCCAGACATCACATCCAAGTTGCACGCCGGAAGATAGGGTGACTTTAGCTGGATTTGTGCTTTCTTCTCATTGGCCAAAACTGTGTCACATGGCCATGACTAGATCCAAGAAGGCCAGAAGAGTTGAGCATATTATTACTTAGAACAAGATTGAAGTTGTGTTTGCAAAATAAAAGGTTTAATGACTAATGAATAGGCCACCAACAGCATCTGCCACATTACAGAACTCTGTCCTAAGATCTCCACACTGAGTTAAGGTGAACCTCTTACGTTGGGTACTTCCAACTGGACCTCAGGCCATTCTTCTTTGTTGAAGGACAGTAACTTATTAAGTCTTAGACCCTTCCCACCAAGCAGCGCATCTGGCTTTGAGTTGGTGCTGCACACATTATTGTTGAATTAATAAATAAATAACTCTTCAAATCCTAAGGCAGGCGTGTCTCAGAATAGAATCATCATTTTCCTTGGTGGCCTCTGAATAGTGCATGCTTTAAACATATAAATGTGATTTCAGCTGAGTGGAGCTATCCCTGGAAGTTTACTTTGTCATTTAGTTTGTTAGGAATGTTTCAAGTCTGCTTCTTGGAAGTTACTCGTTATTGTTTTTTCACTGTGGCTCTTTTTATTATCTGGGCTGTATCTGTTACCTGTACATCAAAGGACACTATCAACATACTGACTGCCACAATAATGCTGCATAACAAATGGCCTCACAACTTCAGTGACATACAATAAACAATTCATTGGTTCATGGGTTTTTCTGGTTCAGCTGAACTGTTGAACTTGAACTGGGCTGGGCCTGTCTCAGTTGGGCTCACCCACATCTAGGGGTTAGCTGCTTGCCAGCTAATCTCTGACAGCCTTAGCCAGGACAACTGAGGTGACCTGTCTGTACCCTGCATGTCTCTTTTCCTCCAGCAGGCTAGCTTGGGCATGTTCTCATGGCATCATTATTGTTGCCACAACAATGGCAGTGCATGAGGGGCTGCGCTATGTCTAAGCTCCTTTGCTCATTGCTTTTCATTTACTTCTCACAACAGCCTTGTAAGCACTAGGGAGCATGCTGTGACGAGGCCCATGTTGAAGGGTAAGCAAAGTAAGAAGAGTCACACAAAGTCACACAGCTTGGAAGTGTCAAGTCTAGGACCTGATGGGAGATCCCATACCATGCCCTGGGCTTCCTCCAAGGCTCCAGGCTTTGTTGCTTTTAGCAGCTGCTTGTGCCCTGTCCCTGCTACTTGGGCATTTCCCTTGCTAGATTACACCAGGCCAGCTGCGGTGGCTCACAGCTGCAATCCCAGCACTTTGGGAGGCCCAAGTGGGTAGATCACTTGAGCTCAGGAGTTTGAGACCAGCCTGGGCAACATGGTGAAACTCTGACTCTAAAAAAAATACAAAAAAAAATGAAGGGCGTGGTGGCACACATCTGTAGTCCCAGCTACTCAGGCAGCTAAGGTAGGAGGATTTCTTGAGTCTGGTGGAACAAAGCTGCAGTGAACTATGAGTGCACTGCATCACTATACTCCAGCCTGGGTGACAGAGTGAGACACTCTCAAAAAAAAAAAAAAAAAAAAAAAGGCAACACCAGCTACTCCACGAACACCACCCTCCTTGGGATCCATCACTTCATATATAGAGAGCCCATGCTTGGGAGGGGTGGATATTAATATGTGAGGACACAGCTGCTGCCCTCAATAGAAGGGAGGCCAGATACATGAACATAAAGCAAAAGGGAGGCCAGAGACATGAACATAAAACACGGCTCATGGTCCAGGCTACACATGATCAAGGCCAAAGCAGATTCCCACTCAGAGGGTTCTAAAAAGTTCCCTGGGAAGAGAAGCCTTGTGATCATGAGACTAAAGCTGAAATTCCAAAAGACCACCCATCTTCTCTAAATGCCTATCATTCATCGTTTCCAGAAGGCACTCCACATTCACTTGTACCGGCTGCTGTAGCCAAGCCATGGGCTTGGATTCCAGGGTGAGTTACAGCATATCTGGGCTGCCTCAGGGTGTTGGGCCAGCCCAAGCATTTTCAGGAGTTCAAACCTGTCTCATATTTTGTAGTGCATCTGGTAAAAATAATAATATTGATAAAGAACTTCAACGGCTCTGACAGGCAGCCCCAAAAAGTGGATGGCTGGAATTCTAAAAATATCCCTCACTGTCTGCAGTTGGAGAAGACAGCTCACTAGTAGATGAGCTGAACATCAGAAAAAGTGGAGATGGGGTGGTGAACCAGAAATGATCTTTATACAGGGAGATAGCTGGGCTCTGTGGGAAGGCTTGGAGGGAGTCCTGGGGTCAAATTTAAGCCCTGCCATTTGCTAGCCATGTGTACTTGGGTAAGTTCCCACACCCTCTGCATTGTCTGGGAAATGGGACCAGTAACTCCCTGCCTCATATAATATTTAGAAGAACTGAGGAAGTCCAGGTAATATACCTGGAGCATGCCTGGAATTCCTGTCTCAACAAACAGTGGCAAATGTGATTATTATTATTATTGTCAATGATATTAATATATCCTTTGAAAACATAAGAATGGTCAAAGTAACCTAAAGATGCCTTACTCTATTAAAACTATTTGTGCTAGTTGTATTAATAGTACCATCAATGTCACACTCCCAGTAGGTTTTCTGCATCCTAAAATTTGACTTTGAACCTTTGTTTTCTTCCTTTGTTCTCTTTGCTTGTGCTGCAGGAACCTGTTTTCCAGTGAGTAACATGAGAGAGACTTAGAGCAGAGTGTTTTGTAGCCAGAGTGGCAGGCCCACCGTCAGGTGCCAGGAAGGGCTCTGCAGCTGGAGAAGGGCTCATCACCTCGCAGGCCTCTCTGGGTGCCCAGAGGTGCTATGTCAAAGGGTATCTGGTTAACAGTGAGCATCCCCGCCTCATGCTGCCCAGCTCACGAGAACTAACACAGCTTTTGATAGTCATTACCCTCAAAAGTCCTGAGTGCTTGGCAGATCTCATTTCTCATCCCCCTCGAAGCGTGGATACAACAGTGTGTTAGATGGAGCTTCTTGCCACAAAACCAGATCAATATGTAATACTGGAACATATTCTTGGTGAGATGGTTTATGGACTTCTAGGCAGTGTTGGCTGTTTCAGTGAGTTGAATATGTCAGCTATGGAACAGCTTATTTAGATCTTGATTAATCTACAAATGTGCAATTCTGTATCCCAATTACCTAATGTGAGTGTCCTTTCAAAGCTAATCCTAAAACCTGCATATCATTGGATCAGCCAAGTCATACAGCAAAAGAGGGTTTGAGTCCATTGCAATTTGGGAATGTATTTTCTGATTTATTCCCAGGCTACAAAGTACAGCAAGAATTATTCTTAATTGACATTTTCTTTTTATTTTTTTGAGACAGAGTCTCACTCTGTCGCCGAGGCTGGAGTGCAGTGGCGCGATCTCGGCTCATGGCAAGCTCCCCCTCCCAGGTTCATGCCATTCTCCTGCCTCAGCCTCCTGAGTAGCCGGGAGTACAGGAGCCCACCACCACGCGCAGCTAATTTTTTTGTATTTTTAGTAGAGATGGGGTTTCACCATGTTAGCCAGGATGGTCTCAATCTCATGACCTTGTGATCTGCCCGCCTCGGCCTCCCAAAGTGCTGGGATTACAGGCATGAGCCACCGTGCCCGTTAATCGACATTTTTAATAAAAAGCCCATTGGCAAATAATTTTGTACAGATTATGAATAGATCTATCAATGAGTTATTTTTGAGATTTTTTTCCATGCCAAGCATCCCAGGCTCCTCAGAAATTAGTGAAGTATAAGACAGAATTCTTACCTCTAAAATCTCCCATCACCTACAAAAGTTACACAAGAAATACTATTTCAGAGTGAAAATATTACAAAATATAGTTATGGATTATAAAATACAGATAGAGTCACACCAACTGAGAGAGAAATGTAGCCACTATTTTGATTAATGGCCTTACAAACTCTTATATGCAAATATATAATATGTGTATATACACATATACATAGATTATTTAATAAAAAAAGACATTGTAATGCTGTTTTTCATTTAGCAATGTATTATGAATGCCTTTCCTTATCACTTCATATTGGATTTACACAATCCCTTTTAAGGGCGTCTTATTGAATGATGAACCACAGTTTATATAACCCATTCCCCAAGGTATATTTTGCTAGGTTTGATAACTTATTGTAGTCAGCAATTTTGGAATGAAAATACTAGTGCATATGTCTTTATGCATTTGTCTGATATTTCCACAGGATCTAGTGTTAAAGTATACTTTAGAATCTTACGATCTTATGGAAGAGACCAAACATATATGTGAAAAGCAAACAAGCTCATACAAAGCAGGGACCCTGGGGCTACGTTAGTGCAACTGCTAAGGGTCAAAGGCAACAGAGATCATTTCATGCTTGGGTTGCCACAGAGGCTTCATGAAGGACAGTTGCAAGTGACAGAAACTTAAAACTGCTTAAGTGTAAAAGGCCTATTATTGGCTCATGAAATTAGAAAGTGATTTTGATTTTAGACTGGAGCCGGGGCCAGGGGTCACATGGTGTCATTTGGGACGTGTGTGTGTGTGTGTGCATACATGCTTGCGTGTGTGTGCCTGTGGGTGTACTTTTCGTGTATGCATGCGTGTGTGTGTGCATGTGTGTGTGTGCGTGTGCCTGTCCCATCTCTTGGGTCGGCTTCTCACTGTGGGAGCAGCATTCTTCTCAGGCAAGTTTTCTCTATATGACAGCTGCCTCTAGCAGCTCCAGATGTGGGGTGTTTATATCCATAAAAAGAGGGTGTCTCTGCCTCAGCTTCTCCACTTATCTCTGCTTGGCCCCTTACAGACCTGTCCCTGACTCTCCACTGTGTGACAGGGCATGGATGTTCTATGGCTATACTGGGTCATGTGTGTGCGCCCTGTGTGAGGAGGAGGGGATGTACGACTCCCATCCTGAGGAGCACTTCTCAAAAGGAAAAGATACTGGGAGGTCAATAAATGAATGCAATGTCACTGCTGAGGGTGCTAGAACTTGAACCACACCTATTAGATGCTTTGAGAAGCAAGTAACAGAGACATTCTAAATCAAACTGGCCTCAACAATGCTCATGGTATGTTATGAAGTCAAGAGGCAGGGTGGACACCTGATCAAGGGCTCAGTGATGTTATCCGGGGGCTTAGGTTTTTTCTGATTCAGGGTCAACTTCCTCTCAAGTCAGATTCCTTCAATATGACTGTCAGTGGCAATGAGGGCTCCCAGCTTCCTGGTCCACAGCAAGCAACAGAGGGTGAGAAATGGCTCCCTTTGGCAAAAAGTAAAAGCCTTTCCTGCTCTCTAATTGGGCCAACCTAGGTCATGTGCTCACCTCTGAAACAATGGCCACAGCTAAGGAATACTACATACTGATTGACCAATCAGCATCCACTCCTGGAGAAAAGGATAGGGTCACCTTCCACATGGGGCATGGTGGATATTTGGACAAAACTGGGGTCTCCTTAGGAAAGAGTGGGAGAAGGATGTTGAGTGGTCAGTCAACACTGAAATCCTAGTAAGATTTCATTAGTTGGAGAGGAAACATGCGGTTGGATACAGTGGAGAGGCAATTTCTGGCCAGAAGGTAGAATTCCAGGGAATACCCTGGTCATAGCTGACCAAGATGCAGAAGCAAGTTTGCAAAGCTTTCCTGCAGGGATCCAGTGAGTAAACAGGTTCAGTTGGAAGTGTTCATTTATTTATTCCCTCATTCCACATACCTTTATGGAGTACCTACTATATACCAGGCCCTGTGCTGACTGCTGCGGATATGGCAATCATTATATGAAATTAATTATATGACATCATATCCTCATGAACTTCTGGTGGAGGAGACAGACAATAGATGAATTAATTTAACATATAATGTATCAGGAAAAACCAAAGAGATAAATGACATAGAGAGAAATGGGAGCGGGGGAAAGAGGTTGCCATTTGAGCAGGGACCTGAAGGGTGTGATGGCGTGAGCCAGTGGGATATCTTGGGGCAGAGTGTTCAGGGCAGAGGGAAGAACAAGTGCAAAGGCCCTGAGACAGGAATCCATGACATGTTTCATGGAAAGGGAAGTGGGCAAAAGGAGAGTGACAGGTGATAACATCAGAGAGAAAGCTGGGACCAGGTCACAGGAGAGTGTTGTGGGCATTGGAAAGACTTGGTATTTAAGGTGTTGAATTCATGATGACAGAAGACATTATCAAAGCAGAAGGTGGCTGGACGTTCATCTTCCTGGCTCTGCCTCACTCTAACTTTAACCCCTTTTATCTCCTCTCTTCCAGGCCATATACATGTTCTATGCGCTGGCCATTGTGTGTGATGACTTCTTCGTCCCTTCCTTGGAAAAGATCTGTGAGGTACGTGCCTCACATTCTTGGTATGTGTGAGCCAGACTGGGGACTGGACCTGTGCCCTGTACTGTTCCAGCCTCCTCACCAAAGTCCTGGGGAGCCCTCGCAGGGCAGCTGCAGCGGGAACACCAGGCATCACCATGTTTGAGAGCAATGGGCAATATTAGCACAAAAGTGTCATCGGTCTACTGAGCATTTCATGACTCTGATCAATAATCAGACGAAAACCCACAGGACCAACCTCCCCAACTCCATTTAGACCTAACTAATGGTACTATTTGTGTTTTCCTTCCCCATTTTCTTTTCCTTTTAAACTCACTCTTCCTTTCTGTTACTTCCTCCACCTCTCTCTCCTGTGTTTCCTTCTGCCTCCATAACTCTCCTTTGATATCCATGGCATCCTCGCAGGATTAAAAACCTCCAACCGCATACCTCTGCCATGCTTCCTCTCTCTGTATATGTACAGAAATGCTCCAAGCGGAAGCACTGAGATGAAAGAATTGGCCACGGAGATCAGGAAAGTGTCCCTGTTAGAAATCATCATAGTGCATGCCAGGCTGAACAGCAAGTTAAACCCCTTTCATCAAAAAATATTCAGCAGATCTAGAACTCTTTCATTCTCTTGCCTCTTTCATCTCTGTCTGTTTGGAAATGTAGCTTCCTTTATCTGAAAGCTTTCCATTTTATTTATTTATTTATATTTATCGGTTTATATTTTAATTCAGAATCCCTGTTTCCAGAAGGCATCTCCCCCAGACACATCTGTCGAGAACTCGGTTTCTTTATGCCAGTAGTTCTCAAAACTGGTTGTGTCTTCCCTTTCCTTCTCTCTCCCCTGAGTACCTGATCCAGTAGGTCTTGGGAGAGTGGGAGGGGGTAGAATTTGCATTTCTAATACGTTTTTCAGGTGATGCTGAGGCTGCTGCCTAGTCCAGGAACCACAGACTTAGAGAACCACATACCCTAAGCAGTGTCTTCTACATCCTGGAAGTTAGTGTTGGATACTTAAATAAATAAAAAGTGTCCCACAATAACAATATTTAGAGAGCCACAGGAGGTGTTCTCTTCCACAGTAGCACAGAGTAATTGAGGTGGCATCTGAAATGCACAGTGGGCAGGTGTGGAAGCCCTTTGTCTGAGGAATTCCACCTGAGAGTGGGGTCACCTTATGTCGAAGGGGAGGAGGTGTTCCTCACCTGTAACTGGAGTCCTCTGTGATCTCTGAAATACCACTATTGGGTGTTTTATTATTCATGCAGAGCAAAACAACTCTCTCTCTTTCCCATGCAATTTTTTTGGTGTGAATATCAAAATTATATTCTGGAAATGTCAGTACAGTTGTCAGCATGTGTTCTACTCAGTTGAGGACACAGAACCTGTGAATACCCATGCCCTTGTAGGGAGAGGCAATCAAAGAGCCAGAAAATGGCAGGAAAAGAGGGCAGGTGTGAGTCTTTTAACAAAAAAGTTATAAGGAGAGGAAAAGGAAAGAAAATGTTTAAGGAGGGTGAGGTGTTATTTTACTAGGTCCCTGATATGGTTCAGTCGCTAAACAGTGTGGTGTGACTATGTCTACCTGTCTTTAATCATCTCAAGAATTCTGCCAGGTGACTGATATTATCCCCTCTTTACAAACAAGGAAACCAGAGCTTAGAGAAGCTGAGCAACTTGCCCTGGGTCAAGGGATAGAGTCACTATTTGAGCCCAAGTCAGCCTGATTTCCAAGTCTTCAGGCTTTTCTCTACTCCATCCAGAGACGAGCCTGGACCAGGTCATGGTGGTGTTAGAACTGGCTGCACTGCCCAGACCCACAGCGATACTGGAGGAGTGGGCACAGAAGAGCAACCACATTTTCCTGGGCTCTCCCTGCTCCCACCCCAAATCTGGTCTTATAAGCAAGATTCATATAACAAGAGTGGGTGCCCCGTGCCTGTCTCCTGGAAAGACAATGTTGGCTCCATGGACCTTAAACAACCTTAATTGCTGGGGAAACATTATGTCTGTGAATGATGGGTGGGCTGAGGTCAGAGCTCACATATATTTAGAGATCCTGACATGTTTACATCTTCTAAGAGACGTGGAATCAGTTCTCCCTGGAGTTACACTTTCTCACAAGATGAGAGGATCATGACGTGGGTCCACCAGCAGTGGCCTGGAGGGCCTCTCGGCCCTGGATTCTGTTTACTGCCTGTGCTTTCCTTAATCACCTTTTAATGATTCGATACTCTGTGTTTCATGGTTACTCGTAGACTAAAACTGGGAGTGGGGCAGAAAAACACAGAAGGTTGTCGTTTCCAGCTTTTGTGAAAGATGAGTGGGGAGAGAAATCCACACTGTGCAACGAATCATTGCTTGGAGGTCAGGGCAGATTCTCGCTCAGTCTCAAATACTTTAAAGTTAAAAGCAGAAAAATGTGGGGTTCAGGAAAAGGCAAAGAAAAGAAAATGGGAGAAAGAGAAGGAGATAAAGGCAATGATCCAGGATCCGAAACTGGGGTCAGGCAGGCCCTGGTGCTTACAAAGCACCTGCTCCATGCCAGCCCCTTCCCCTGTCTGGACCTTACTTTCTCCTTGTGTGAAATGACAGCCCCTAGATTTTGAACAGTCCAGAGATACCATTGCAGAACGTGCAGAGAGGGTCTCCAGAGTTTAGAGAAATCCTATAAGCCACAGTAGACAGCCTCAGCTGCACTGAGGCGGGAAGGGAGAGAGGCATTTCAGGAAGAAGAGTGAACATGAACCAAAGCGCAGCGAGTGGAAGGGCCTGGCATCCCCAAGGACCATGAGGTGGCAGGCCTGGCCGAGCAGAGGCTTGTCTAGGAAAGGTGAAGTCGGATGGGGAGGGTGGGAGGCTTTGGGACCCATGTGGAGGCTTCCAGGACAGCAGTGGGACATTTGAGCAGCGGAGGATGTGACAATAGGTCTGGAACACTACTCACCCCTCTGACGTCAGCACTAAGCTGGGCTCTGCCTGGACCAAGCTCTATGCCAGGGGCTGGGAGGAAACTAGATCACACACAGCATGTCCCATCCCATCCCAGGGCTCCTAGCTGCAGAGCAGCTCCAGGGTAATATCCACAGGGGGCTGGAGGAAGTGGCGGGGAATTGGCAAGTGCAGAAGTGCAGAGAGAGAGTGGGGGAAGGAGAGATTGACGCTGCGAGGGACAGAGTTGGGAGGAGATCAGGAAAGGGCTTGTGCAAGGGGCAGGATTAGAACAGCCCTTAGAGGGAAGGTGTCAGTGGCCAAGTATTTTGAGGAAGGGTATTTGGTGAGAGAATGTGTGAGCCGCAAAACCAAGATGGGGTTTTGCACCAGCATACAGGGAGCCCTGCAAGCCAGGCTGGGCGTTAGGAATTATTCCAAGCTCTGGAGGGAGCTGGGGAGGGCTTTTCAGGGCTCTGTCATGGTAGATAGGAGTCCAGAGTCAAGAAGACTAGAGTCCTGTGAGATATTGCCAGGGCTGAAGTGAACTGGGGATGATGGAGGGGTATAAGAAGATACAGAGGAAGAAACAAACTGGCTGGATGAAGGAGAGAGGGGAAACGGACATGAACCCAAGGTTTGGATGCCACAACTAATACCCCAGCAGGACAGAACCACAGCAACACATGGCTCCCGCCTCCTGGCAGGTCTCGGCAAACCATACAGGGAGCTGCGAGCTGTGTCAGGCTACCTCACTCACAGACTCTTAGCTCCATGGGACAGGAGTGCTTGGGCACCCCTCACAGCCACACCTTGCAACTTTGCGCTATCTGCGCCTCCATCTTAGGATCTGCTCGGCATCCCATGTGAAGCTTCGCTGTCCAGCCGACAGCGAAGCGACCCAGGATCCTAGATCAAAATCCTCAGTTAGGGCTTCTCCTGCAGACTATTGTGGGTCACTCAATGGAGGCCAGTGACCTACATCAGGGCCACACCGCCCCTCTCTGGCTGAGCAAGGAAGTGCAGCTGTAGGTGCCACTGGGAAGAGAAGGATGTCACTCAAGCTTGACTGCCAGGAGGGAACTGGCTATTCACTGGCAGCCAGCAGCATACTTTCTGGGTCATGACTGAATGCAGAAATGCAAAATCTGGTTACCAGCCTCTAATGTATAATTGCCTTGTCTTCTTGTAAATCACCTTTTGGTTTAACAAACAGAGTAACCTGGAGAGCTCATTGTATAAACCCCGTCTTGGCAGGGCTGATGCCTCATTACCTTCTTTTCAGCCTTAAGCCCCCACTCCCACTCTCTGATCCCGGGGTTTCCAGAATGCCTCAAGGAAGGGGAGTGGGTTTCAGGAGGGTGATCCCCACATCCACACCCCAACATGCCTCCATAACCTCCTAAAGACTCACAAACTGGTTACCATGAGCGTCATTTAGCCTGAGATCAGCATAGTATCACAAAAATCAGGAAGTTTTGCATAAAAGGTTGGATTATTGGCATCTCTTAAAAATCAGAATATCTGGCCACACTGAGGGAACTGGGCAATGCTGCCCATAGAAAGAGGTGAATGCCCCCACCATAGCCTCAGACCTACCGCCTGCTGTGGCCTCCCATGGGCCCACTCCACTCCTGACTGTCATCTGCACAGCCCCTGCGGGAATTGGGTTGAAGACCCCTAGATCTTCCCAAGAGCCTTTAGCTCATAAGGACATGTAGTTCCCTCCCCAAACCTGTCCCTTAAGGAGGACATTGAGAGGAGCTCTGACTCAGCAGGGGATCGGCAGCAGTGGCTGCGCTCTGTGAGAAGGAGAAGGAGGCTGAGAGGGACTAAGTACCAGCCCCAGGTCCCATCGGTCCTACTCTCGCTGAAGCCCCAGTCTTTGCTTCTCAGGGCTTGGACTCTCGGGTGTCACAGTCACCTCTCTTCCGAGATGGAATCCCAACTCACCTGTGCTTTGTCTTTGCTCCTCTGTAGCGCCTGCACCTCAGTGAAGATGTGGCTGGGGCCACATTCATGGCAGCGGGAAGTTCGGCCCCAGAGCTGTTCACATCGGTCATAGGTAGGTGACAGACTGAGGGACATCTCAGACCTTCACTGTCTGAAGGAAAAGGGCTCTGGGAATGGATGGCCCCCAGACCGAGATTGTCTGCCACTCATAGAAAATGATAATCCAGGGACCCCAATGAGTAGAACATCAGCCTCCCATCTGCCGTTGTTGTTTTATTTAAGTGATGCTTTTACTGTGCATGAACTTGTCCCAGACCCCAAGCCCATCACACTCCTGTGCAGCTATCATCCCTCTGTAGATTAGAAAGCTCTCTCCACCCCTCAGCTGTTTCCTGTAGATTCTGAGAACAATCTAATGCTTATGAAAGGTTCCCCATGCCCACCTTGGAATGCAACAGGGCCACAACAGCCAGGCTGATGTGGGATCTGTGTTTCAGGGGTCTTCATCACCAAAGGCGATGTGGGAGTTGGCACCATCGTGGGCTCAGCGGTATTCAACATCCTGTGCATCATTGGTGTCTGTGGGCTCTTTGCTGGGCAGGTAAGACTGGCGGCTTCTTTGTGATGGCAAAATGTGACATTGGGGAAAGGGGAGGCATGGAGTTTAGGCAGGAGACTGTCTTGCTGGAACACAACTTGCATTAGGGCCCAGTGGTTTGGGCAGCAGTGATTTGGGACCTCACATCCCAGGAGGCTGGCCCAGCTAGAAGTGGAAACTGGTAATCCACCATTACTTGGTCTCCATGTTGATGGAATATAGAATGCTCAGGTCCACATAAATAATTAACCAGACTGAAAGATGTGGGTTACAATCTGAAGGGTTCCACATTCATTTTGGTATGTTACTGATCTGAACTAGAATGGCCTAAAACAATTTTAGGTATGATTTTTGCTCATTGGAAATAGAATACATGAGAATCTGCTAAACACAATGAGAATACATGAGAATCTGCTAAACAAAACATGCAGTCATCACGGTTTAGGACACAGCCTAACCTTTTTTGACTGTGGTAGAGCATTTCATTTCTCTATTATAACGTGCCTTTGGGGTTATGAAGGGCTTAGCAAGCCTGCAGTTTACCTATGGAGTTGATGCCACTTCCAGGTGGTGTCCTGCTATCTGAGTTCTTTATGAATACTGGCGTCTGTTTTGGAAAGTCTGGGGAAGGTGCTCAGAAGCCACTGCGTGGGAGGCTCTGGGCGACAAGCCTACACTGCAGCAGCACCTGGAGGTTTGTTTGCAGGGTTTGCAACTGTTTTGCCAACTCTGATATCCTAAATTTCTTCATAGGGATTTTATTCAGAAACAACACAACCCTGAGATCTCTGCCCAAATACCCACAACTTTGTGTATCTTCTAGTAAAAGGCACTTCTAAAAGCTCATGGAGGCTACTCCACTTACAATATCAAGGAACCTGCTGATCCTAACCACTTGATCAGCAGCCTTGATATGAACAGTGCACTGTTCTCCTAGAAGTGGCTGATTGGGTCAGGGGGCTAAGGAAAGCCCCGGGGCAGCCTTCCCCCTACCCTTTGCCAGGGCCCTCACCCCACAGCAGCGGCAAGGGGCACCCCATGCTGCCCGTTCCACTGATGTAGACTCGAGGGTCTCCATGCAGGATACCCCGGGTCCACCATTGCATTCTCCACTGCCCATTTTTACTTCCGTCATCTTCGTGCCTATTGATTTGTCTGGATTGCCTGGTGTGTCAGTTGCCTTCAGGTGACACGCAGAGGGACACCTGGATCTCATCGGGATTCAGCTCCAGGGCCCACAGGTGGATGGGTCCCTTCTATCTGGAAAAGGGGCTCCCAGTACATGGTGACTGAGCTCTGCTCAGCTCCTTAGACTGAATGATTTCCCTCTTCTCATCCTCTCAGTCAATGAGCTCATGTCTTAGATTTTGTGTACCCACAATATGTGCTTTTTAAATCTCCCATAAATGTAGTTAGTATTTTTTTAAAAAATGAGTCTCTGCCTTTGCCTTTGGTGCTATTTGCACTTCCCTGGCTCTCCTTTGCCTTGGACACCTGCTTGTGGCCTTCCACAGATGAACAGTTGCACCCAGCAGAAGAGTCTGTCGCTGTTAGCACTCTCCTAATTGGCATTGTCACCATCAGCAGTATGGTTATTAGTCTGGCTGTTATTAGTGTTGTCATTAGTTCATTCATCATTTGTACCTGAAGCTTGATTCACAAGCAAGCCCAAAGGAAGAGAGATAATGTAGAGAAATGAAACAAATGACTGGGGAGCATCTAGTCAGTGCCACACAACTAATTACTTATGAAATGGCTTGGATGCATGTGTGGCTCATCACTCATTAGTAACGCGGTTCATCCCAGCTTGGTTGGAACACCTGCATCAAAGGCAAAGGGCTCCCTGAACTCCAAAAAATGCTGGTGTCTGTCCCTTGACTCACCCCAGAAGGTCTTTGCTGGCTCACCTCACAACCCTGTAGCCATGGACAGAAGTAACAACCATGACTGTTGGGAGAAGCAGTCCACAGTCCACGCGATGACTCTGGATGCCAACCTTTCCTTCTGACTTTCCTGTCATGTGCCAAACTGGAGATTTTCAAGGCCATCCAGCTCAGGGTTTTGTAGGATCCTTCAAGTCTTTGCAGAGGAAGCAAAATTATGTTTTGGGAAGAACATGGGCTGGGGAATCAGACGGGTCTGGGTTTAAATCCTGATTCTGCCATTTTCTGGCTGTGGAACCCTGGAGAAGTTACTTATGTTCTCAAAGCCTCATTTTTCTCATCTATAGAGTGGGTACAAGCACACCTACTTCCTAGTGTTGCCATCAAGATGAATTGTAGCATGTTCAGCATTAATAGACCTGCTCTACATGGTAAGTCAGTCTCAGTTAGACACCATTAGCTATGCTCAGAATACGCATCCCTGGGGTTCTCACCTCCAAATTCCACCTAGGTCACTGTGATAATTTGACCAACTCATTGATGGAACTTATCTAACAGTCAAGGGTGTCCACAGCTTAATTAACAGACACAGGATACTCAGTGGGAAGGAAAGGGATAGTCAGGGAGAAGGTCTTCTAAATGTAAATCAAAGTAAGGAGATGTTCGTAGAAAAACAGTCTCAAAGGACTAGTACTTACTTCTGTGCTGTCTACCAGTGGGAGGTGAAAAAAAAGAAATGACAGCTTCCCAGCCTCAAACAGGGAGAAGCTCTCCCAGGCGGTGGAGTTGGTGCAGTGGAATGTTACGGCAAAGGCTGGATATTGGGAATTGAAGCGATTAATAAATCCAATCATGGATTTCACTTAGCATTTTATTTATGTTGATCTGCACTTTCATTTGGCTGGGAGAATTACCAGCGAGTGCCCGTGGGCCTCCCTCTATGAATTTCAGCATGGAGGGTTGCACATGACCAAGTCTGTTATCCATCTGAAATTAAAGTAATTAAGCTATAAGGTTTGAGTTCCTGTCTCAATTAGGGTTTTGATGAATTCAGTGTAATTAAATGTCTGCTGTATTTGCAGTTTGCAAACATAACCCTCGCTTTGGTGTTCACCTAAGGTGCTTTGGGGAGTTTTATGGGACAAAAAGGAAATTGCTTTTTAGAAAGTGGCTTATAGAGAGGTTCTTGGCATCACTTCAAGACATTTACAAGGCTGTGGTCCTACAAGTTTCCTTTATTTAAAAACGAAGAATAATAACAACAAAGAGAAAACACCGAGCTCTTGATGCAACATACTAATGTATCTTGTACGTTGTATTGAAGGGACTTCATGCCAGTTTTGTAAAACAATGTACTTGTGAATTTCGATCTGCCGTTCAGAGCATGTTAAGATTTAAATGCCTAACCACAAACAGAAATTATGCAGTTTAACTGCATCCCAGGTTAGGACTTTCATATTCAGGTTATTACAGGCCGGCAGATGGCTCTAGTTTATAATAAAGAGCTCCAACATCAGCCCTACTGGCATGCTTAAAATGTGCCTGATGTTCTTTGGCAAGGCCCATCTCATCTTGGCTGGGTTTGCCTTTCTTCAAATAATACTGGCTCGTTTAAACAAACCCTAGCAGCACCCAAAGATTGCACCTCTGAATTGAAATCCACCTGCATTTGGGCTTCCCCAAGAGACTCTAAGCAAGGACTCAAGTGCAAACAGTTGATTTGAAAGGTGATCCCAGGAAGTGCTTGTGGGACAGTGTGGAAGGAAGGCAAGGAAGAGAAAGCAGTGGAGGAAAGTGTGTTAGCAAGCCAGTTATCACTGTGGGTAACAGAGATCTAATTCTTCTGTGGGAACTGGGAGACAGTTTAACTGGAGAGCCACTAAGTTATCTCATGTAAGGAGGCGGGGGAGCTAGAGTATTTCTCCACCAGCTTCCATCATTCATTGGTTAAAGACTGCACTTAAGGGATATTAATTCCCCAGCATTCCAGCTTGCTGGGCTCAGGCGGAGTGGACCTTGGGGCCCAGGGAAAACCCCCAGGCAAAGAGATCTAGGGGACAGCAGTGGAAAGGGCCTGAAATGGTAAAGGTGGGGAAATATGAGTGAGCTCATAGTAAAACATTTGCTATGAACTCAAGACAAAGACTTTAAAACAATACACTTCCTGGGTCTCATCTTCAGCTCCCTTGGATGAAACACAAGCTTTAGTACTAGGCAGACTATAAAGTGTCTAGGGCCAGGACATCTTGCATTTAAAGAATTTTCTCTAATGTTAAAAATACCAGCTACTGTTTATTAAGCTTCTCTAACGTTCAGGCACCACACTAGATTCTGTAAAAATATTTGCGGAAATACACCCACTGAGTTTTAAGATAGTTATCATCCTTCTTTACAGGCAAGGAAATGGATACTGGGGGATTCAGTATTCCCCAGATGGCAAAGAGTCTATTGTCTGGTAGTTAAGACTGAATTTGAGCTCACATCAGTTGGTTATAAATTCCATTCTCCTTCCAAAAGGGGGAATCTACGATTTAAAAACCTCCAGATGTTATCATTGCATTCTTATGATTAGCCTTGGATTTTATGTGTTCTTTGGAAGTTTTGAGTGTAGGATCTGGGGTCAATGCCAAGAAAACAGACACATCAGCAAAATGGTGGTAGCCCCTGCTACAATGGAAGTATTAGATAGGTGCAAAAGTAATTGCGGTTTTTGCCATTGAAAGTAATGGCAAAAACCGCAATTACTTTTGCACCAACCTAATATTTTACTTAGCACAAACAATGTGCAGCTAGAAGTTTCTCTTATACTCAGATGGCATCTCCCACAGCTGGGCTTTTGCTTCCACCACAGATGGAGGACTCAGGCTGATAAACACAGCGGGACACCCACAGGCTGCCCCAGCTTACCCCGTACACCTTGATTTCTATCTTATTGTTCCCCAGACAAAACCCAACACACAGCTCCCCTGTTCCAATCCTGAGATGCATCCAGATTTTCCAAGAAGCTGGGGACAGAGGACAGGGGAGGCCAAAAACCACACACCCATAGTGCTGCCAAACCTAAAAATAGGGGCTGGAGGCCTAACATCCATTCCAGGGAGGGAGATGAAATTGCAAGGAAGAGAGCAAGTGATCTGTTGAGAAACCAAGAGGGCAGGTGTGGCAGAAGGCCTCATCCAGGAGCCAGCGTGCTTCCGTACATGATCCTGTGAGTAGCAGAGAGCAGAATGTGAAGTGCAGGAGTAGACCAAGGCCAAGGTCAGGTCCAGCTGAGGCAGCCAGTGAATTCCATCACACCCAGTAAAACTGGGTTTCTCCCGGCATCTTCTGCAGGCTGTGGCATCAGGAGGCAGATTCCTGTTAGAAGCAGAGCCCCAGCCCTAGCCCAAGGCCAACTGAATCAGAAGAGCAGCTCACCTGCTTCAGCTCCATCTGCAGGCTCAGCTCTCATCACGTTCTAGACCAAGCGTGGCCCTGGATGAGAGGCAGCCTCCAGCAGTTGGTCCAGGAAAGGTAGACAGTCCTGCTGAGGCCCCAGTCTTATGACTGACCATCTGCCTGAGGCTGTCTCTTGCACTGTCCCCTCATAGTTTCTTTTCTCTGGCCATCCCCACCCCAACCCCCTCAAGGCCAGGTCCTGACAGGGCCCCACACCTGATCTCCCCCTGACAGATGCTGTTGGTCCCAGGCCCAGAGTTCTGCTAAGGCCACCCACCTGGCTCTGTGCTGCTCTGTTTTCATTGCCTCTACAACTTCACCCCAGATCTCTGTGTTAGCTTTGATCTGGGCTCACAAAACGTGTGTCTTGCTTGTTCCACTTCTTTGATACGATCTCCTGAAGTCAGATTCATTCTCAGATCCACATCTAGACTAATTAGAAGCTTTCAGTTTCAGGTAACAACAAAAAAAAAATCCCAACTCTAACTGGCTTCTTAAATGAAGGAAATTTATAGATGTCTCTGAAAAATGCAAAGGAAAGTGGACATCAGGTATGACTTGATCAGGACTTCCAGCCCCATTGTTGTGATTCTTTTATCTCTAATCTCCTCTGTTTCCTTCCTCATACTAGTTTTTTTTTTTTAATGGCAGAAAATAGCTGTAGCATTTTCAGGCCTCAGGTACACATACCACTTTGGCCAGGAAAGAGAAAGAGGATGTCTCCTTGGCCACCACATCTCATTCCCCATCCCCCCATAGCATCATCAAACAAAAATCTGATTGAGCCAACTCAGGTTACCTGACCATCCCTGAACCAATCATTGTGGCAAAGGAACTAGTTACTCAATTGGTTTAGGTTAATCAAGAACCACATACCCATTTCTCCCTTCCCTCCAGAGCTAAGAATCTAATCACTTCCACCTCGAATACACAGTTTTCAGTTTATTATAAAAAGCAGAGATAAATGATTACAGGACAAAGCCTGTGCACTATCGTGTGCTGCCTCAATGTCTGCTTTCCCTGGGCTGGTGGAACACAAGGGAAAAACTGCACACAGATGCACTCTAGGTCTTGCTGTGGACATATGCTCTCATTTCTTTCAGGTAAATAACCTAGGAGTGGGATTACTGGGTTGTGTGCTAAGTATGTTTGTAAGAAACCACCAACAGCTTTGCAAAGTGGCTAAACCATTTGTATTTCCACCACCTACATGTGGGATTCCAGGTGCCCCACATCATCACCAGCACTTAGTATTATCAGTACTATTTTGTTTTGTTTTCATTTTAGCCATTCTATTGAGCACGAGTGGCACGTCACTGTGGTTTTAATTTGCATTTCC
Source organism: Homo sapiens (assembly GCF_000001405.40). Classification (NCBI taxonomy): domain Eukaryota; kingdom Metazoa; phylum Chordata; class Mammalia; order Primates; family Hominidae; genus Homo; species Homo sapiens. The sequence continues at coordinate 19,592,202 of NC_000020.11, forward strand.
CTGACGAGCCATAATGTTGGGCATTTTTTAACAGGCTTCTTTGCCATCTTCTTTGGTGAAAAATCTGTTTAAATCATTGCCCATTTGTTAGTCAGGGGTTTTGTCCTCTTCTTATTATATTGTCCAGGCAGTCTCTAAATCATCACACTCGACTAAGCACTCCTCTGAGTCCTTCTGTCCAATTTATTTCCATAGCCAAATCAATAGTGGGTAGAGCCATTAGAAATGATTTAAACTGATCATGGCAATGTTTTATTAGTTCTGTTTCTTGGATTTAGGTTTGCAAGAGAGGTACTCATAATCAGCACGGTGCAATGGGGGAAAGAAAATGAAGCAATCATTTCCCTTTAGTATGGCACACCTGGATGTATCTGAGATGCATCATTCCAGAAATGTGAAGAGAAAAGCAGGAACCTCTCGTGGCCAGGGGTGAGGACTCCTTCCATGTAGTTTTCACATGCTCCTTCAAAGTGAGTAATTTTCATGTTTCTCTTGAAACTCACTTCCAAGGAGCACCATGAAAATTACTGGAAGGAATATTCACCTTCTGAAACTCACTGCCTACATCTTCGGCAAAAATTTTCTTTCTTTCTTTCTTTTTTTTTTTTTTTTGAGATAGAGTCTCACTGCGTTGCCCATGCTGGAGTGCAGTGGCACGATCTTGGCTCACTACAACCTCCACCTCCCAAGTTTAAGCGATTCTCCTGCCTCAGCCTCCCGAGTAGCTGAGATTACAGGTGCCTGCCACCATGCCTGGCTAATTTTTGTATTTTTAGTAGGGACAGGGTTTCGCCATGTTAGTCAGGCTGGTCTCCAACTCCTGACCTCAGATGATCCGCCTGCCTCAGCCTCCCCAAGTGCTGGACTTATAGGCGTGAGCCACCGCACATGGCTGGCAAAGACTTTCAATGTACAAGTTGCCCAGAGTCTTACCATCATGGCAGCTGAGCACTGTCCCAAGATGAGAGTCCATTTTTGGGGCACAAATGTCATTTCTTTCCATGACACCACATTCCCCACACTGCCTCCTATCACAGGCAAGTGGGGCTCTTAGCAAGAATCTGCCAAATGAGCCCAGGGCTAATTGAACCAAAGCCAGGTCACCCCTTAGCAAAATCACAGAAGGAGGTAGAGACTGGGCATCCAGGCCCCTCTGCCCCGCAAGTAGCTGAACCTGAGTTGAAGGTTAAGTATAGTGAGGACAAAAGCCAGTCAGGCTGGCAGATGCTTGTTTTATTTATGCTTCCCTTTAACAAGCACACCTACAGTACTTACCTTGTGGCAGGCACTGTCTCGCAGCGTTACATATGTGAACTCATTTTGATCCTTTCAATAACTCCTGGAGAAAGACATTGTTGAGAAAAGAGGAAACCAAGGCTCAGAGAGGCTGAGTACTGTGTCAGTCACAGAACCAATGAGTTGGGAGACGTTGAGGGCTGCAGGGATACAGCTAAACAACACAGGCAAAGCAGGGTAACTGCTTCCTCAAGGCTGGCTCCCAGAGTCAGCTTAGACCAAGGGCCTCATACCCTAAAGCTCCCTCCACAGTGTGGCTGTCCTCAACATTCCTTCACAGCTCAGTGCCCTCTTATCACCATGCAACCCACTTCAGTGAGTAATCAGAGGGGCACACTTGGGTGCAAAGGGACTGGCAGCCCAGAAAATGCCTTCTTCCGCACTGCTGCAACATGTGACATCTGCTGAGCTCGTTCTCCTGCTGGACCCCGGCCATTCACTCCTGAACCCCACAACAGCTGCCGGGTGGGCCCAGGCACCCCTAGCCTTAGCACAGAGACCCCTCATCTCCACACCTGCCCTTTCTGCACAGGCAGAGCCAGCCTGCACACCAAGTGAGGGGAGGCGAAGGATTCCCGTCATGGCCTTCGAACTCCACCCTTGGGCAAAAAAGCACTGGAAAGCTTCCCCTGGTAAAAGGGCACACAGGACATTAGCAAGTCACAAAAGTGTATGTGCAGCAGGCAGGGAAGGCTTCCACCTCTGTTCCTTCGACTGGTGTCCACTGAAGACTCCCTGGTCTTCCCTCCTATCAACCCCCTACACAGGTCACCATGTAGGGAGTGACAGAGCAGACCAGATTTCATGCCCTAGGTCCAAGCAGCTACAGTCCAGGTGGCTATGGCCTGAACCACACCAGGACCTGAGGCCTGAGACCTCCTAGAATCTAAAAATGCAGGCCTGTCTGTACACAATAATGTGAATTAAAGGTGGTTTGTCTCGTAGTTATTTGTGAATTTAAAGCCAGGGTCATAGTCCACTGATTGTGTTCTAGGGAGAAATGTTTATTATAGTCTTCTTTGGGCAGTAAGCTCATTCACTGATTTAACAAATGTTTACTGAGAGCCTACTATGTGCCAGGCACAGTTTCAGGCACTGAAGAGGCACTAGAGAAAAAATTACATTCTAGTAGCAGGCTTCGAGATGTTAAATACTCAACAGAGGTGATAGATTGGTAGGTAGGTGAGTGGGTGGGTGGCTGAGTGGATGGATGGATGGATAGATGGAGAGAGAGTAAGATATTAATATAGTGGGATAGTGGGATAGTGAGATAGGGAGAAGATATATGGAGTCAAGTGGTGGCCAATGCTATGAAAAAGCAATACAGCATGGTAAGCGTTAAAGAAAGTACATGAGAGAGAAGTTACTGTGTTATAAAGAGTTTTCAGGGAAGACACCCCTGCAAGCACTGATAGCATAGTGCCGTGAAAAAATATTAAGACATTGCACTCTGTGAAGAAAATGGCACCATTTAAAATGTAGACTCTGATTTGGTGCAGTTTTGAACATGAGTCACTCTCTGAGCAGAAGGAATGTGCCATCCCAGTAAACTGCCAGCCATTGCCCCCAGGAACAGTGTAAAATGCTGGTCTTCTAGGTTCACAAGCTAGAGTAAGAAAACAGCAAGGCCAAGGGCAACAGGAAGAGGCATATTCATCGACCATCCCCAACCCTGGCAACAGTGAAATGCATGATGTGTCTAAGCAGACACATCACGCATTTTTTCTGCTGAGGGAATCACTGTGCTAGGCTGTGAGCTCCCCAAGAATGCAGCCCGTCTCTGCCTGTTCCTTACTGCATCTGCAGCACCAACAGTAGTGTCACATATGGTAAGGGCTGAAGCATCTTCGATAAGGGCCTGGCTAGCTGATATCCTGCCCTTGATGCAGGGCAGGGGAGGATGAGTATATGATCAGAGTTCACAGGGCCCTTCAGCTGGCACAAACGTGCTCAGGGACTATTCTAGGGGTGCCTGGGTAGTCAGATGGATGCATGGATGAATGAGTATCACAAGTTGCCACCAGATACACCAAAGACAAGGTGAGTTGAAACAGCACAAACTCTGGGTAGCATTTGAGACACAGTCATGAAACCGAATTATTGATTTCATGTGGACTTCCATTCACTGCTTTTTAGCGGCAGGCACAAAGCATACTGAGGTGAACAAAACAGGAAAGGTTTCTTCCCTTCTAGAGCTCACAGACCCATGGGAGAACACAGGCAAGGAGCATCTGAACCAATCAATGATCAGATAATAGAAGACAAAAGTTATTGATGGAAATGCATTGGGCAATGGGATGGGTGGTGAACAGTGGAGAAGGTGGAGGAACAGCTTTAGCGAGGGTGATCGGGGAAGTGTCTCAAAGAAACCCCAAATCATGACAGCAACTCCAATCAAGATCTAGGAGAAGAAACTTCCAGGTGGGAAGAAGAGTAAATGTTCATACAGAAGCAAGCTTGACATGTTCGAGGATCATGGAATAGGCCAGTTTGGAGCCTGGTGAAGAAGGGGAGTATGGCTGGGAGTGCTCAGAGAGGTGGTAGCCAGGGGCCGATCATGTCCAGCCTTGGGTCATGCTGAGGATATGGGTGCATTGGGAAGCTACGGGAGAGTTTTAAGCTGTTGACTACCGTTATGCAATTTATATTCTGGGAATATCACCCCAACTGCTTGGCAGAGAAAGGATACTACAGGGGCATGATGGTGGCCGGGAGACCAGGTAGGAAGCCTGTGGTAAGACTTGAGTGGCGTTGTCAGCAGTAAAGATAAGAAGTGGTTGCTGTCTTTAGAATATTTTTTGGAGGTGATGCCAAGAGGGTTTGCAGGTCAGTTGGAAATAGGAGTGATGACATGGGAAAAATCATGGAACACTCCTGGATATTTGCCCTGAGCAGTATAAATTGATTAAGCAATATTTGTTAACTGTACAAATGAGTACAAATCGCCATGAGCAATTAGGAGCTTGTGTTCAGAAAGTAGGCATCCTGTTATCCAACACATTCTGAGGTTGACCGTTATGAGTCAGATCCAGAAAGTTGGTAGGGTCTCTGAGTAAATGGTGAGATTTTAATTAAAAGTTGTTGATGTTATTCACTGGCCCTGCCCAACCTCCTGAGCCGCCCAACCCTCTTACAGTCACAGCTTCCCTTGGTGGCACTTGTAGTGAAAGCCCTGATTGGCTCCTTCTAGGACTTCAGATACGGTGACACCTATGTCCTGGATAGCACTGCCCATCTCCAGGTCAACCTCAGTCTTTATGAATTTGAAATTGGCACCTAGGAGCTCCATAGACCCCTGGTGGCCATGCTTTTGCATATGGTGGAGCAGGACGTGAACAGGTGAAATACACAGCATTTGCTACGGTGTGGATTGACCCATCTTATTCTCTGTCCTCTGCTTTCTCACACCCCCTTTCCCCGCCCATCTTAGGTCCAGCTAGAGTTTGGATATTTTATCAGACTCTGCTAGGCTGCAATATCATTAGCATGTCTTTATTCTGTGTTCCCTGAGCTCCTGACAAGCCTTATCTCTACTTGTTAATCCATCAGACAAGAAGGACTCAGTTTGCAATTTTATTTTATTTTTTAATAAATACAATTTTTTGCTAGGCACTGTGGCTCACACCTGTGGCCCCAGCACTTTGGAAGGCCAAGGTGGGTGGATTGCTTGAGCCTAGGAGTTCCACAACGAACGGCCTGGGCAACATAGTGAGACCCCATTTCTAAAAAAAGTTTAAGAATTAGCCAGGTGTGGTAGTTCACACCTATATTCCCCACTACTTGGGAGGCTAAGGTGGGAGGATCACTTGAGCCTGGGTAGTTGAGGCTGCAGTGAGCTTTGATCACACCACTGCACTCCAGCCTGGGCAACAGAGTGAAATAACCCAAAAATAAAAATAACCCCAAAAATAAAATAAAATATATATAATTTTAGAAAACACGTATGGGATACATATTTTTGCATATTTATTAGGTACATGTGATATTTTATTACATGCATAGAATATATAATAATCAAATCTGGGTATTTAGAGTGTCTGTCACCTCCAGTATTTATCATTTCTACATGTTGGGAACGTTTCAAGTCCTCTCTTCTAGCTACTTTGAAATATACACTACATTGTTGTTCATTGTGGTCACCCTACTCTGCCATCAAATATTATAACTTATTCTTTTTACCTAATTGTATGTTTGTACCCATTAACCAACCTCTCTTCATCTCCCCTCACCCCACACCCTGCCCAGTTGCTGGTATCCATCATTCTACTTTCTGCCTCCATGAGATTAACTATTTTAGCTCCTACATATGAATGAGAACATGAGATATTTGTCTTTCTGTGCCTGGCTTATTTTCACTGAACATGATGACGTCCAATTCCATCCGCGTTGCTGCAGATGACAGCATTTCATTCTTTGTTATGGCCAAATAGTATTCCCTTGAATGTATATGCCACATTTCACCCACTCATCCATTCGTGGAGACTTAGGTTGATTCTATACCTTTGCTATTGTGAACAGAGCTGCAACAAACGACAGTGCAGCGTATCCCTTCAATACTGAGTTTGCAATCTTAAAATGGAGAAGTGAAGGACACAATCAAAGGAAAGTTTGAGGGGTGTTTTTGGGATTTTTTTAATATGACAGAATACTTTTCTAGTCAAATCCTTTTTATTCTAGGCCAATCTCCTTTTATTTTTTGTGAAGTAAGACATTTGTGGCCTCCTGCTGCAGCTGCTCTTTCCTGCAGGGGAAATCTCACTCTGCATTTGAATGGAAACCTGGAGCCTGGACCTGAGCCTGAATCTCCAAGTGAGAAAGAAACTAATGCCATTAACCTTTCCAGATGGTGTGCAGACCATCTAGGGCAATGGGAGGGCTCATGTACCACGTGTCCGGCTTTCACTGGCAAAGTAAGATTGTGTTGCAGTTGGCTGGGGGCTCTCCCTCCCCTGACCCAACCAAGGGGGTGACATATCTTGTGTGTGGAAGGGAGGATGAGTTTCTTCTTCCCTTCCCTATAGTGCATATACCTGAGTGCCATTGCCTGGGAGAGGAGAAAGAATAAAGCACACTGGCCTCAGTGTGCTTTATTTACTTGTGACTTTCTCCCACAGTGAAATTGTGACTGCAGTTGGGGCATGGAAAATTAGAATTAGGGCACTTGGTGAGGTACCAGCAGCTGGGGGACTCAAGGCGTGGGTACAGCTGTTAGACAACATTAAACCCCTGCCCTTCGTCATTTTAAGATATTGGTCATTATACAGTAAACTTTACTTTTTCCACTCTCTTGCTCTGTCTTTGATTACTGCAACATGCAGCTTCTAAACACATGTGTCCCAGCCTCCCCATAGCATCTTTGTGCTTGACCTTTTTCTTAAATAAAAATTTAAATATATATATATGTATATACACACACACACACACGCACACACACACCTTTCTTTTACTCCCAGTTGCTATTTTTATTTTAAATTAAAAATAGTTTTCATATGAATAGCTAATCTTTACTGGGAACTCAGTTGAGTCGATGTGAAATTACATGCATGAACTCGTTTAATCTTTGTATCAACCCCATGGTGTCGGTTCTTCTTTCTTCATTGTACATATGAGAAAATAGAGCCCAGAGAGGGAGGTTGAGAAACATACCCCAGGCCACACATCCAGGAATAGCAGAGTTAGGATGCAGAACAAGGCAATTTGCTTCCAGAATTTGTGTTCTTGATCTCTGTGGGGCACACATGAGTCAGTGGAGCAAAACAGGACAGAGGGGCTCCCGTCCTGGAGGCTGTAGAACATGTCTCACAAATGGAGGAGGAGGGCGCCCTAGACTGTCTTGCGGTCCCTCCCGCGCACCTGGCGGACTGCGTGTATGATGTGGTCCCTCCCGCGCACCTGGCGGACGGCGTGTGTGATGCGGTCCCTCCCGCGCACCTGGTGGCCTGCATGTGTGATGCGGTCCCTCCCGTGCATCTGGAGGACTGCGTGTATGATGCAGACCCTCCCGCGCATCTGTATATGTATGATGTGTCCCTGGGCCTTTTTGGTTTAGAACACCTGATAGTGCTGAGCCTGGCTACCCAGGTGCTCATCTCTGAGTGGAACACAAGATGCTGCCTCCTGTTAGACACTGAGACTCTATTCCGAGCTACGTTTATGCATGCCCTCATTATGGAATTTAGCAGGGATTGAAATGTGGTGTGGGACTAAATGGAATTTGAGGCCTTTCTGATACCATTTCCTGATGCCAATACGCTGTGGTGCTGGGATGTTCTGCAGAATGAAGCGTGGGAAGACGCACCTTCCCTCATCCTGATGAGTTTGTTCAGCCCATCCTGTTCCTGGCATCTACTCTCTTTGGGAAGAATTGACTCTGTTTAAGGGATAAGGAGGAAAGCTTGAGAGGGGAACAGCCAGGAGATTCTTCTATGACCCGCGGAGTCAAAGCTCAGCCATGTCCTTGGTAAACGTGTGCTTTCCTGTTTTGGAAACATGTTGGCGTCGAAGTCCTTGCAGGGCTTGGCTTGGCTTATGCTACCTGTGAAGGTCCAGGAGCCAGGTTGAAGGCCCGTGGGGGTCATTCTGAGGGAAGGCCTCAGTGCTCTTGGTACAGAGTTGAGAATCAGGTCAGGGTGGAAAACACGTGGCTTTCACCCAAACAGGGGTTGATCTCCCAGCGCTCCCAGCCTCCCCTCGGCCCCAGCTCCAGCTCCAGACCCTGCCAGCTTGGCCTAGACAAACCCATTAGGAGGCGCCATTTCTCGCTGGACTCTTAAATTCTGCCCAGCGGTTAAGTCCAGAACACCTACTAAGAGTCATCATATTCATATGAAGGCTTCAGGAGGGCCTCTGAGAGCCCTTTTAAATGCCATCAAAAAAGTCAGCTCTGCAATTTCATGTAAAGAAACAAGAATATCATGATCAAATATATCTCCTTAATTTTTATGACAATAAAATAAAAGAATTGTGCACATCTGTCATCTCACATAAATAAAAATGGATTTTAATGAAGTGCTACTCTACAAGTTTGAACTGAAGCAAAATGTTTAATATAAAGTGTGCAGCTCCAATTCTGGCCTTGGGCAGAGAGAGTAATTGTAAATATTAGTCATATTGTATTATTATGCACAAGCACTAAGCTAAGTGGGTTTTGTGTATGTGTGCTTTCTTAAAAATATTTTAGAAATGAGTTCTTGTCCTGTCACCCAGGCTGGAGTGCAGTGGCATAATCATAGCTCACTGCAGCTTCAAACTCCTGGGCTCCAGTGATCCTCCCACCTCAGCCTCCTGAGTAGCTAGGACTACAGGCAGGTGCCACCACACCTGGCTAATTTTTAAAATGTTTTTGTAGTGACAGGGTCTCCCTATGTTGCTTAGGCTAGTCTCAAACTCCTGGCCTCAAGTGATCCCCCCACTTCTGCCTCCCAAGGCACTGAGATTGCAGGTGTGAGCCCCTGCACCTGGCCAACGCTAAGTTTTTCATATGGTTCTGGAGGCTAACTGCCCACATTCAAATCTTGGCCTCCCCACATCTTGAATACATGAACTTCAGAAGTTACTTAACCTTGCTGTACCTAAGTTTTCTCATCTACTAAATGGGAGTAATAATAATATCTACCTAATAGGGTTGTTGTGGTGTTGATATATGTTTATATATGTAAAACACCCAGAAGACCCATTCGCCTTCTCCTCTACCTGTGTTGCCAGCAAGAGTTTGGCTTGGGCTTTCTGCCCAGCACAGAAGCTTGTCTGGGCGGTGGTCCCAATCCACTTTTTCATGGGGCCCTCTTGCCCAGAAGCTCCAGGTCTATTTTCAGCCTCTGCAGCTGCCCTCTCAGAAATCTCCTGTTTCTTTGGTGCCCCAGTTCCCTGGTCTGTTCCGGCCAGCAAGAGCTCAAGGAGTTGGAATTCCCTTTATGTGGGGATCCACACTTCAAAAAGAATAAAAAAGCAACGCACCCACAACCTATGTATCTGCGTCATCCCTCCTCCACTCATGGAGATCACAGACCCAGGGTGAACCCATGCTCCCCCTTCTGACTCCTGCCCTGTTGACAAAACCAGGGAAGTCACCAACACCATCCTAGTTGTTCCACAGAGAGCTGAGGTTAGATGTAGCCCTTTCTCAGAACGGTGTTGACACATGATTCATGCAAGGGCTCCTGAGACGTCAGAATGTTCACGGCCATGCTACAAGCCGGGAATGTGAATCTGAGAGTCCTACAAGTCTCATCTCTCCAGTCCCTCCATGCACAGCCTCTCAGCTGGCTCTGGTCTGCAGTGCTGGTGTTTTCCATAAAAGAGGGGTGTAAGTTAATGTTTAAGACTCCTATTACTAATAATAATTGAAACAGTAATAGGAGTAGTAGTAGCATTAATTTAAAGTTATTATTATTGGCCAAGCACGGTGGCTCACGCCTGTAATCCCAGCATTTTAGGAGGCTGAGGCGGACGGATCACCTGAGGTCAGGAGTTCGAGACCAGCCTGGGCAACATGGTGAAACCCTGTCTCTACTAAAAATACAAAAATTAGCTGGGTGTGGCTGGCGGGTGCCTGTAACCCCAGCAACTTGGGAGGCTGAGGCAGGAGAATCGCTTGAACCTGGGAGGTGGAAGTTGCAGTGAGCCGAGATTGTGCCACTGCACTCCAGCCTGGGCGACAAGAGCAAAACTGTGTCTCAAATAAATAAATAAGTTATTATTGTTATTGTTATTCCTAACATGTATTGATGGCTCCTGGGCACCGCACTTTGTTGTTTATATACATTATTTTATTTAATCTTTTCTAGAGTCCCCTGAAAAAAGTACTATCATTGTCCCCATTTTACAGATGAAAAATCAGAGATGTAGCTCATCAGTGTTGGTGTCAATGGGTGGCTTGGGAGAGCTTTTGCCCACCTACTCCACACACAAGCCCCCACAGTGTCCTTGCTATAAAGATATGACTTCAGAAAAAACCCTCTACCTTCTCCTTTACCCAGACAGATGCCTGGACCTCTTCTTTAAAGCTTCGAAACCACAGCTGGTTTTCAGTTTCACCCAGGTAGGAAATGTCCAATCCAAACTTCCAACCCAGGTCTGGCCAACTCTAGAATCCAAGCCATAACACACTGTATACTATTATATATTTACCAAAAGACATACACATCTACCAAGAGAGTCCCCATGCTAAGCATGGCTTGGCTTGAGAACTCCTTCTTCACAAGCATCAACATCTAAAGGAGTCTCTCATCACGTACATGAAATCCCTGCTTATGGCTCTGTCCAGAGGAGGCCTGTCCAAACCAGATGGCAAAGGCACGGGAGTCCCTGACTCTCTCTCTGCGCTAATGAGTCAGCAGGCAGGTGTGTGGGGAGTTGAAAGCCAGCCACATGTCCGGCAAGCAGACCACTCTCTGCTACCACTGGAGGCATCAGCCAGCTGAGGGGGGCTCATCACACCCGCACCGTGGTTCAGCTGAGCAAGATTGCTTAGGAAGAGCCTGGCATGTTCACGGTGCATGTGGAGTTAAGTCCTAGTAAAACAAGTCAGGGTTTCAGTCTCTCTGGAATTGTCACCCTGTTTAAAGTCCTGAAATCACACAGCGTGGCACTAGTCATGGAACCAAAGTTCATCTACCAAAGTCCCAAGTGGGATTTAGAAGTAAATGAATCCTTACATGTAATTGAGTCTCTGGCCCTGATTTGACCAGAGTTGGACCTGACTCAGGAATTCCCTGGTCCTGGCTTAACTTTTGTGGGGGTTTTGGTCTGGGCAGTCCTGGCCACACCACAGCATCTGCCCGCTGAACAGATGCAGCTGTGGGGTCAGACAGCTCAGCAGGGGGTGATGGCATATGCTGAATTTTGGCATCTTCAACTTTGTGTACCCTAATTTCTCTCCTTTTCCAAAGAAAAGAGTTCCGTGTGGAATGGGGGCTGGTGATGGATGTTTCTGAGGTTGTTTGCCGGCTCTTGGTGCTCACGTATCAAGTGGGACAATCAGAGAATCAATGGACTCCATAAATAGTCCGGAATGACTTCCTATTTGTGACCAAATCCCTCCTGAGTCTGAACACCTGTTCGCCCAGCAGGCTGGCTGTTGTCAAACCACTTGGCAGTTGTTTGAAAGCAGGAAGTCTTTTCTCCATCAGAAGAAAGAAGAGGTTTCCCATAACTATCAGACTTCGGGTACATATTTCCCTTCAGTTCTTTTTTTATTATTCCTTAAATTCATTGTTCATTTTGGAACTAAGTGTGCTGTCTGTTGCTGGCCTTGGAGCCACATTATGCACATATTCAAAGAAAAAAAAACAAGGCTGTGAGTTCCAGGGGTGACACCTGCAGCTGTCCTGGCATCCTGGTGCACACCGAGCTGGTGCGTATGAGAGCAACTGAGCAATGGTAGCCTCTGTTACCCCTGGGTCTGTGCTGAGCCCCATCATTCACGTGTCTCTGTAAGGGCTTCGAAAGGAAGCTCAAGGCTCCCATGCTACTACATCATGAAAGGCAGCAGAGATGTCTGCAATCCCCGGGCAGCACAGTGTGGTCCAGTCACTTACTCCATCGGTGAGTATCTTCTGAGTGACAATTCTAGGGCTCGGGGATATGATGGTGACCAAGACAGGAAAGGCCCATGCTCTCAAGGTGCTTCTGTGCTGCCAGAGGGAAGGTAGATGATCAATAAGAAAAAATAAACCAGCAAGGTAATCTCCAGTAGGAGTGGTCTGAAGAGAGTAAAATAGGGGGACGTCAGGGCCTAGTGGGAGTGAGGGGCTGGCATGAGCCACCACAGATGGGAAGGGAACAAAGGCCTCTATGAAGAGGGAATCTTGGGGCTGAGACCCTAGTGGTATGAAGGAGGAGCCATGTGAAGACCTAGAACATTCCAGGAAGAGTGAACTCCCACTCCAAAGCCGTGAGGCAGGAACAGAGTGACTCGGTTAGGGGAACAGAAAGAAGACCGCTGATGCTGGAGAGCAGGGTCCTGGGTGAAGCCAAGGGCTAGGCAGGGCTGGGTGGGGGGTCCTGGGGCCTTGGTGAGCAGTTTAGTTGCAATTAGGACAATGATCTAGGAACTTGCAGTCCTTGGGAGCAGTGATAAATCACAGAGAGTAGAAAGGAGTCAGAACCCCCAGTGTTAACCTAGATCTCTGAAGGTGCTCAGTGGTTCTAAACTAGCTTATTGTCATGGACCAAGCATTGCTAACACGACCTCAAGTGTGAGCCTCCGCCAGAGCCCTGGATGCCTTTGAGTGTTCGCTCAAATCCCCCTACTGCAGGCTCTGAGGAATTTCCTCCATTACCCTCTGCCTACCCTCCTCTCTCAGGAGCTCTGCATCCCCACTTCAAAGCACCCCACCTTCCCTCAGTCTTTGTTCCATTCCTGACAGATTGTGCAGGTGGTCAGGCTTAACCGCCTTCTCCTCATTGTCTAAATCTCATCCTTTTTCCACAGGCTGTCAGCATTCCCCTCTTACAGGTGACCATTTTGATTAACGGATCCCAGGCTTTAGCATTTGCCACCCTCTCTCTGGGTACCATTTCCCTTCCATCCCATTTTGATATTAGAACACTCAGTCTGACCACGGCTTATGCTATTTTAAAGTATAAGAGTTAAATTAGGAAAAAAAACACGTTGGCCTCATCTCAATCCTGGAATGGTCCTAGATTTGGGAAACTCCCAGAGAGTGTGGGATGGTCAAAGATCAAGCAAAGAGATTATTTTCACCGTTTGTACAAAGTGTATGATTGATCAGATTTACTTAAGGCTCCATCATCACACAGTTTAACCACAGCTGTCTGATGTCTAAAGACTTTTACACTGTGTTTATTTCCAGTCCTTTCTCCTGTGATTTTTTTTTTAATCACTTACATCTACTGGCTAGTCTGTTTCCAATTAAGACTTCTACTAAGCTTTCTCTACGAAAGAGGTTTTTCTTTTCTTTTCTTTATAAAATGCATCCTTGGTATTAGAACGTAATAGCAACATATGAGTTTCTGAAGCTGAAGTCAACTGATTCTTAAAGATTCTTAGAATATATATTGGCTGCCACTAAGAGATTAATGTCAACCCCACAAGCCTGCCATATCAATTATCCCTATGTTTGTTCATTCAGAGCTGTAACACGTGCTGTCTGCTTTTTAATTCAGCATAGGCCTTCTTACATCTACCCATTGAGTCTCTGTTTAGTGACCTGATTTTTCGACGTCTTCCCCAGAAAGTCACAACCACTGCATTTTTAAGCTTCAGTTTTCCCCTTGAATCAACCCATCGAACGTGCCAAACCAAAAGAAAACTAATAAAATTTAATAGCATTGAAAAGAAAAACAAATTATACCTATCAGACTGCTTTTTTTCCCTAACTCCTCCACTCAAGAGGTTTGGGGAGACTGGAAGGGAAGAGGCTACACCTCTTGTCCTCTCTGCTCTGAATGACTGTGCCCACTTCTGAAGCCAATTCTGACACCCAGCCCTGAATTCCTAGTCTGGGAACAGATATTCTAAAAGCCTAGAAACATCCTCAGCTTTGGTCTCATGATATCCCCCAGCTGGACTTCCTATTTGGCCAGCATGAGCAGCAAAGCAAAAGAAAGTTGGCCAAACTGCCAGTTTCCCAGCCTTCCTCTCCATCAGGGCCTGTGGCAGCACACCCAAAACTGTGCTCAATAGATTCCTCTCCCTGAAAATTACCCAGGGGTGCAGGTGAGGCAGACCTGCCTGCCTGCCTGTTCCATGTGAACATACCACTCGCCAGTGTGCATAGCCTTGTCATGTTCTAGTTACTGCTGCCTGAGTGCTAGAGGCTTCCAATATGGGGAAGGATGACATATCATTTAAATTAGCTCCTTTTATGGCAGGAATGATTCTGGTTGACATTGGCTCAGGCAGTGCCCATAGAGATAATAGCAGTTGGTATTGATTTTATTTTTTATTTTGTAGCTCAGGGTGTTTAAAAATGTTTGGTGCTGAAATGCAAAAACACAAAATTTTTGCAGGGGATTTTAAGCTCCAGTAAAGCTCTAAAACCTCTCACTAAATTTGAATCTGGATGACTGCTTTGCAAATGATATTCATCTGACTTTGATGAGTGAATTTTTAAACTCAGGGAAGTAACCGCTTCTTTGTGCATAAATATAAATAGGAAGCATTTGTGAATCCCTCATATGTAGGAGGGAGATGAGAAAAGCAGGGACTTATAGGACTGAGAATGCAGAGGGAAGAAGGCCAGGGAAGGTCATGAACCAGAGGAGAATGCCCATGGCATAGAAGGATGTCAGAAAGCAGGAGGTCCAATCCCTCATTTTGCAGGTGAATGAACTGGTGGTCAGAACAGGGTGTGGCCTGTGCAAGTCCACACAGTGAAGAACTATCAAACTAGGACTTGAACCCCACTGTTCTGCTTTGGTCATTCCAGTGTATATGTGGACAGTGTGCGGCCAAGCCATGCCTCACACTTGGTACACCTGTCAACCCTTGTCCCTCTGCAGCCCCTCAGGCCCCTCTGTGAATTAAGGAAGAGAATGTAGGCATAGAAGAGGGTTGGACGTGTGAATGAGTTTAGATGTTTATCTTCAAGGAAGCCACCAGAAATATGAGTCAGTTCACAGACGTCCTTTGAGAACCCATAACATGGGACTTGCCTCCTTCTCCTGCCCTGATCCCCAATTGAAACTGATTCTTTAGACTCCCCATAGTTCTTTTTCCTGGACACCAATCCAGTGAACAATCTCACTGTGCATCCTCTCCACCTGCTGTACTCTATGGAATGCTTTCTTCCTCCTGAAACCCCTCTTTTCTCACCCCAAATGGTAGCATTCCTTCTCCCACAGAGATGCTCTTGGCCACACCTCCTTCAAAAGGGATGGTCTCATCTGATCTCATGACATCAGTCCCCTCCTCTGGCACCCCACTCCTCATCCTTGGTCTTGATTTTTCTCCCATCCTCATGACTTAGTTTACAAATGGGTGCCAGATCTTTCCAGCCCGGGCCTTCTGAGGCAGGCTCCAATTGGGGGTCTAAGCTATGAACTAAATTACTTGCTCATTAATGTACCATTTCACCTGAGTTCTTCTGGTACATTGGGTGCACCTTTGTGGTTTCTGTCACTCAGCCTTTAAGCCTCAGCTTCATGGCCGACTGTCCACATCCAGACTGCTGTCAAATCTAATCAATTCTTCCACTGTAGCATTTCTCATCCTGCCCCTTGCTTTCCAAGTCCACTGCACCATACACTCCAGACCTCCACTCTTGGTCAACTGGACTGCCAAAGTCCCCTCACCCCTGTCTCTCTGTTCTTTATCCTCTGCTCCATCAAATTCATTTTCATACTGATAAGGCTTCCTGAGCCTCCACTCTGACGTTGCCTCTTGCCTGAAAGGCCCCCTTTGCTGGTCACATCCCAGTAGCCCTTTCTCATGTCTAGCTGTCTTTCCCCTGTCCATATCTACAGCAGAACTGAACTGCTCGTTGTGTCTTACCTTTGTTGTCTTACCTGTGTGCTTGTGCTTATGTTGTTCTTCCTAACCAGAATGCCCTTTTTCATCTCTGTTCACTTCAACCCATCTCCCAATTTTAAAAGTGCAAGTCATTTTTGTCCTTCAAATCTGTAGTCTGTGTCACCTCCTGCAAGAAGCCTTCCCTGGTTTCCCCAGGTGGACACAATCTTCTCTTCTTTGAACTGCCATAGCAATCTTTCGGTTTTATCTTGATATTGGTGTGGGCCGATGATAGTCTTTAATAGACTCCTAAACTTGTTCGTCTGAATTGATTGTTCTGGTATTTGCTTTCTTTGGTGATGATGATATGGAGTAAGAGTGTATAGAAAAATACATACACAGATGACTGTTAATTAGCAACATAAGATTTAAATACATATTAAAGACCACAAGAAATGTGAAGTTACTGGTTGGTAAATGATTACCAAATGGATTGTACAGACTTCAAGATCCCAATGCATCATTCTACAACATGAGTTAAAGTCAGTCCTTTAATATCTGTACCATTTGCTGGTGTCTTCTCATTTAGGACACACAGTTCTATGAGAAGCATAACTAGGTAAATAACTTTTCTTTGCAGATTAGCAATACTTGCTCCATTTTTCATGTATGCTTTGGTTGTTTCTATAGAATGACCGTGTCACAATAAGGCTTTTAAAAAGAATAATAATATGTTTTTTAAGTTGTCAAAAAGGAGGGTGTAATGTATAATGGAGGCAGAGGTTCTTCGTTGATCTAAGTTCAGCATTCATTATCTGAATCACTGCTGTTGGCAGGTTGCATAGGAAAGCAAACTTGTCAAAACACACAATATTCACTAATGATCTGACCGCTTTAAAAACCTAGGCCCCCTCCTACTTTTTTTCCTGCTTAACAATAGCATCTCTCCCCATTCATTACATAAGCCAATTTTTGGCCATTTGTTGGAAATTGTAACATTCCCATAAAAATACAAACTGACTGCAAACTGAAACTGAAAATCTGGCAGAGATAGAGGGTTTCATGAGGCAGACGTGTTGAATGATGTCTCCATCCCACGTACAAAGGCATTAATGAAGGAGGCTCCTGCAATTGAGGAAGAAAAAAAGTCAAGGATGACAACCCAGGTTCTCTATCCCCCCAAAGAAAATGATACTAATATTAAAGGATCAGGATGGAGACTTGGAAAACTTGATGAAACTCTTGAATGTTTTTCCCCAAACTCTCTTTATGACCATGCAGGAAAATGAAATACGAAGGAGGGGGTTATTATCTTATGTTCTTCTACCATTTTATGGGGAAATTACACCAAGGAACAATTAACTTGGTGGCAGGACATGGTTGCTCTTATAACCTGATTTTTTTTTTTCAGTTATAAAGACTTTTATTTCTGTCCTACCACAATAGAGAAATCTTAATTTTTTAGTATTTATTTTTATGTATGTATTTATTTATTTTTTAATTTTACTTTAAGTTCCAGGATACATGTGCAGACTGTGCAGGCTTTTGTTATATAGGTATACATGTACCATGGTGGTTTGCTGCTATCAACCTGTCATCTAGGTTTTAAGCCCCGCATGCATTAGGTATTTGTCCTAATGCTCTCCCTCCCCTTGCCCCCCACCTCCAACAGGCCCCGGTGTGTGTTGTTCCCCTCCCTGTGTCCATGTGTTTTCATTAGAACCTAAATTTTTAAGAAAACATTAGGTTCACATGTTTTGCTTTTGAAGCTAAAATCTCAATGCAACCATTCTTTACTTATGCAACTTATTCCCATTTCAGGTAGTTTACCTGACCATGTCTTTTCTTTACCAGCTATCCTCATATTTATTAAGTTTAAATAATGGGAGAAGTGTCTTTCTCTGAAAAAGGACTTTGAGACCACAAAGAGTTTGGTTTGGAGCTGTGTGCCTGTGAGTCAGGTGGAAGTGATAGCAGTAACTGGAACTTTGCAGTGTTTGCCAACAAATGGAACAGACTTTCATTCATCTTAGGTTTAACCACAAATCCTCTGTTTCTACTCACTGAGTCAATACATCTTGAATCGCAGACCAGGAAACTCAGGTGGAAAACTGCTCATTTGTTTTCTTTATGAGCTAACTACAGTCCATCACCCCAATTCCAGTGAAATAAAGCTTTTTGTGACAGTTGGTACTTTTTTCTTATTTTTCTTTCCTGTTTCTTTTGTCTTCCTCGGCTTTCTTCTTCTCCTTTTCCTTCCACTTCCTTCTTATCATTCTCTTCATTCTCCCCTTCTTTTATTTTTCTTTTTGGTTTTCATTCTGTTTTGTACCAAATTGTTGTTTCAGTTACAAAGGAAAACATTGGGATCTCCTAGGTACAATTTTGCTTCTCCAAGGTGTACAACATTAATCTTAAAATAAACCCGAGAGATGAGGTGGTCTACCCCACTCTGGCCTAGAGACGGAACAGTGGGGCTGGGCTGGGACCCCACAGATGCACAGCCCCAAGCCACATCCTTAGGCAGCTGCCTGCCATGCCTCTTGAGGGATAGCCACAGAGGGGATTGACAAGAATCTAGGGATATCAAATCTTGGAGCCTTTTTTCTGCATCAAGTTTTGTATTCCCCAGAAGTAGGACCTCAGACAAAGATTCTAGAGCAGTTAATTTATTTGGGATAGGATCCTAGGAAACACTGAGTGGG
The DNA here is from genome assembly GCF_000001405.40 of Homo sapiens. Taxonomy (NCBI): domain Eukaryota; kingdom Metazoa; phylum Chordata; class Mammalia; order Primates; family Hominidae; genus Homo; species Homo sapiens. Next base: position 19,610,619 of record NC_000020.11, read on the forward strand.
GAGTGGGAGAGAAAGACAAAGGAGAGAATAAAGGCAACCAAAGGTGTGTTATCAAGCAGGTCACTGCTCTGGACACCAAGGTTTGACCCCATGGTGGAATCCTGGAAGATGATGGGGTACACATACTTCAGAGTGGCCACCTGGGGGGTCAGAGAGCTGGAATATTTGTACACCAGCTCCCATTAGTCAGTGCTGCCCCTTGAGGGTATCACTCCTGAGCACATCCAGCCTGGCCATGTGAGGGCAGAGTGGGCTCGGGCCACCAGGGCACTTGGACAGAGTTGCGGGCACTGGAAGCTGGAAGTCCAGCCCCCATGCATGGAAAGGGCTGGTAAGATATACAGGCAGGAACCAGCTGTATCTGCCACACACCACATCACAGAAACACACTGCAGAGGGCACAGCGTCCACTCTTCTACACTCAGGTAGGAAGATGCTGGCTTCACGGATGCTAAATTCCCTTTTCAACAAGGATGGCAGGAAGGGGTCCTAGAAGGCCAGGACAGACCTAGATCCAAGTGACTGCCTCACAGAAGGAACCCCATGGGGAAGGTCTCATCAATGCACTCAACAATGCAGATTCAACAGGCGGGCAGACTCAGCTTAGAGCAGAAGATGGATATCATTCAGCCCATCTCCACTGCAAGATTCCTCACTTCTCTGCCTTTTTCTCAGTCATTAGAGTGAAGGTCAAATCTATCACTGGAGTGGTTCTTGGAACAGAGAAGAAAAGAAGTGGCTGTAACCCGTTGAGAGATTTTTTGAATACAGGAGTCAGTCTGATAGCTCAACCAGGATTCTTGATCCCCACTTAGGACTCTCTAAGCAGAGTAGCCCATACATGATTGTCTTCATTTTCATCCATAAAGCCACTGGACAAATGGATGGAAATGGGAAAATATACCTGGCTGCAGCAGAGCCTTTGGCCAAGTCCAGAACCTTTCCAAAGGCTTTTTTGACTTTCAGGAATTGGGATGGTTTGTTCCTTCATCTGCCCTTCCACTAACCAGACCATCTTCCAGAATGGAAATCATAGTAAGAGTGCAGAATAATCTCAGGGTTCCAAGAGGACATTAGGGACTATTCAATCCAAATTTTCTCCCAATACAGTACTCCTTGAAGGGTCTGTTGGTCCCACACCTATCGGGCTGTGTCCCTTTGCTTCACAATCACTGCCCTTAGCAAGAGGTTCCTGCATGGCTGAGTCTAACACTGACCCTTGGCCTCTTCCTCCTTTACATAAAGCAGCCTTTGGCGCACTTGTTCACTCCTGGAATCGTTGCTTCCCGCAGCCTCCAGGCTCCCCGTTGCCCTGGCCATCCTCTTACCTCCCCTGCCTGCCCACCTTGGTTGCTTTTTCTCTCCTCCCCACTGAGGTGTTATGTCTTCTGACAATGTTCCTTCTCTCTCCACACTCGCTTTCAGGCTTGCGGCTTTCCATACCTTCTGTGCGCTGATGAGGCTAGCCACCCGTCCCTAGTTGTCTACTTGACAGTCTCAAATATGTCCAGACCTGCTCTCCTGGCCCTCCCCGCAACATCAAATCTTCTAAGTAAATGGTGTCTCCATCTTTCCAGCAGCTCTAACAAACCTTGGGGCCATCCTTGGTTGACCCTATGCCCCATATCCCATGTCAAAGCTAACAGGAAATCCTGTGGATTTACCTTCAAAATACATCCAGATGCAAAGTTACTGCTAGACGGGAGGAAGAAGCTCTGGCATTCTGTAGCACCACAGGGCGAATATGGTTGACAGTGATTTAGTGTATACTTTCAAGAAGCTAGAAGAGAGGATTTTTAATGTGCACAACACAAAGAAATGATCAATGTTCAAGGTGATGGATCTGCTGTGTACCCTGATGTGATCGTTAAGCATTGTATACATGTATCAAATATCACTCTGTATCCTACAAATATGCACAGTTATTTAATATCACATGTCAATGAAAAGTAAAAGGAAAAAAATAAAACTCAAGAACCCTTAAGAAAAGTGTGTGTGTGTGTGTGTGTGTGTGTGTGTGTGTAAAATAAATGTTTTTAAAAATACATCCAGAATCTGACCACTGTGATCACCCCCCCTCTGCTGCCATCTGGCTCAGCTGCCACAATCCCTCCTTGGGATGACTGCAGGAGGCCCCTCAGGGCTCTCCCTGTTTCTTTCCTCATCTCCTGGTGGGTGCTCTGTGCCCCACCAAGCACTCAGAATCGTGTCAGAAGGTCTGAGTAGAGCCACTCCACTTACACCCTCCACCAGGGTCCCATTGTGCTTAGAGTAAAAGGCAAACTCAGACTTCCTCACCTACAGTCCAACCCTTCCTCAGGTCCCTCCAGTCTCCCTGGCCACCTTGCTGTTTCCCACACGGTCCTGCCTTGGCACCTGCTCTGACTTTGTTCATGGACATCTGTGCCCCAGACTTCCAATGTTCTCTTCCTCATGACTTTCCAAATGTCACCATCTTGGTAAGGTCTTTTGTGGTCACCCTACTCACATGTTCACACACGTCCCCACCCAGAACCCCCAGTTCCCCTTCTCTGTCTTTTAAGTTTTAATTCTCCATCCTATGTATCATCATGAACATGCTGTATAATTTAAAATCTATTTGTGTATTATAAAACTTCCTCCAATGGGATGTGAGCATTATGGGGCAGACAGCTTTATCAATTTTGTTTCTTGCTCTATCCTCAGTATCTGAACAGTGCCCAAAATCCATTTGGTGGCTGAATGATGGCTGAACAAACACCATAATCAAGTGCCTATCCCCAATGGCTTATAGTTCAGGGATAAAGAGCCTACCATTTTACAAGGCACTTCTATTATTTTTTTAAAGAGTTCTTTTCTAAAGAGTTCTTTTTTAGAGTATCTTGCTGAATTCTCCCTGGAATGTGTGGCAGTTGGTTCAGTTTCTGCATTCTCTGCCAAAACAAAATACATCTATTCCCCGTTTTAATCAAATAATCTCAGATCAATTCCTGGGCGTCACTTCCACCTATGATGGAAACCGTTCTCTGCCTCTTGGCCTCAAGACACCTGTTCCTCCTTGGGATGTTCACGCATGGCCAATGTCTCCATTACAGAGTGGGACCCAGACCTGGAGGATATTATTCTCTAGAAGTGTAATGAACAATGCTGAGCATGGAGAGATGCCCACCTCTTCCCCATCACATGAAAAACCTTTTCACCCAGATGAAGGCTTCCTTGGTTTGCGTAGCTGTTGATGCTCACCCTTGACTCATGGGAATGTTTGAACAGCTCCAGTCTCCATGTATTTTTCCCATGCACCACCCTGTTCTATATTAAGATGTGAAATTCTTTGCGTTCAACCCGCTTACACCACCCTTGTTTGTCCTGGCGCAGACTGTTGACATCCTTTTAAATCTTGATTCTCTTATGCGGGGGCTGGCTCTGCCTCCCAGTTGTGTATATCCACAGATCTGATGAGCAGTTTCAACAGTGTGATGAGGGTGGGACAGTTTGCATCTGGAATCTTTAAGAGATTGCAATTGAGAGTGTGATTAAGAGCTTGAGATTTACAGCCAGACTGTTGGGACTAAAATCTATCTTTACCATTTGCTATCTGTATGAAGTTGAGCAAATTAATTAAATTCTCTGTGCCTCAGTTTCCTCAACTGTAAAATGGATTAATAATAATAGCTTTACCTCATGGAGTAATTGCATTAACTAAATGAGTTAATACACTCAGAGTACTTAGAATGGCACCAGCTATATAGAAAGTACTCAGTAAAAATGACCTGTTATTATGCTCTTGGACATGCAATATCTTTCTCCTAGAATGTGCTTCATGCAGGGCTGGGCCCCAGCCCATCCTCTCCTGGAAGCTGTCCCTTAGTGCCACAGGCCCATTGATTCTCCTTCCTCCAGATATTAGTTTTTACCACAGAACCTGGCAAAGATCGCTTTGGATCCCATTCCACCGTTCTTGCCCACTTAGCACATGTTATTCTGGGCCACAAAGATGGACTGTGGGCACTGGAAGAGCAAGTGCCATTGCACAGCAGGTTCTTATTAACCAAAGACGCAGCCCAAATTGTAGCGTTGGGAGAGTGCACTCGGTGACACTGAGGCCTCTGTTGTTGCCATGTGGATTCAAGTTAAAATGCCACTGACTCTACAGCTGCTGTGACTTTGCCTCTTTTCCTAAGTGGATCCTTGACCTGGATCACTCTGCTAAGAACACTAAGACTGGTAATCAATAATGAGGCTGGATTAGAAGGAAGATGAATGATCCACTGGGTTAGCGTTTAACAACCCAAATTGAAATTTGCTGGTGGGACGTGTGTGTGTGGGTATGTGTGCACTGTGATTAGTGAATCTCTTCTGTTTGCTCATCATCCAAACCATAATCTTTTTGTTAAAGCCGTAATCTTTTAAGCTTTAATTTTACAGACTATGTGGTCTTTAGCTTCATCCTTAAACAGATCTGTAAGGGTAAAGCATCTTAACCACCAAGTGGTTTGATTCCTTCTCCCATTGGTTTTGTTGTTATTTGGTTCAGATTTTCTTATGTTTTTGGTGGGGGAAGAGGAGAGTCATTTAAAAATATATATATCATGGAGGGATCAAATCAGAGTCCGGAAGTTGTAAATGAATTAATTAAATGCTGTCACCAGTTGGGTTCTCTGGAAGCAGACACGAAGACAGAGTTTTGAGTGCAAGATATTTTTTAATCAATACCTATGTTAGTCCATTCTCAAATTGCTATAACTAAATAGCTGAGACTGGGTAATTTATAAAGAAAATAGTTTTAATTGGCTCGCATTCTGCAGACTGTACAGGAAACATAATGCTGGCATCTGTTCTGTTTCTGGAGAGGCCTCAGGAAGCTTACAATGGTGACGGAAGGTGAAGGGAAAGCAGGCATATCACACGGCCAGAGCAGGAGCAAGAGAGAGCAAGGCAGGAGGTGCTACACACTTTCAAACAACCAGATCTCTAAAAAATTCACTCACTATCACGAGAACAGCACCAAACGGATGATGCTAAACCATTCATGAGAAATCCACTCCCATGTTCCAATCAGCTACCAGCACCAGAACAAAACAGGCAGAACAAGAGGGGATAGCTTTGCTTGCTGAGTCTTCTGGCTCTTTTATTCTTCCCACACTGGACCCTTGCTTCTGTTCCTCCTGCCCTTGGACATCAGACTCCAGGTTCTTTGGCCTTTGGACTCTGAGACTTGCACCAGTGGCTTCCTGGGGACTCTCAGACCTTTGCCCACAGACTGAAGGCTACACTGTTGGCTTCCCTGCTTTTGAGGCTTTTGGACTCAGACTGAGCCACTACTGGCTTCTCTCTTCCCCAGCTTGCAGACAGCCTATGGTGGGACTTCACCTTGTAATTATCTGAGCCAATTCTCCCTAATAAACTCCTTCTATAGGTACATAGATCCTATTGGTGCTGTCCCTCTGAGACCCCTAACTAATACAATGCCTGTGAAAGGAAAGGAGAGGAAGATGAAGTCAAGCCATGATGCAGGCTCACCAGAGTCCCAGCCAAGCTGACAAAGAGTTCTGGAACAAATATGGTTCATCCTGGAACCAAACTGCCAGGAATGTATACCACTGCCTCTGTGTCAGTGGATGTGGGCCTTCCAGGAAGGGTGTGATGTGGGCGAGGTAGCTCTCTGCAGCTGAGGCTGACCCAGCCCAGTGGAGCCAACAGCTTGAAGCCACCTGATGGCCACATCCCTCTGCAGCTGGACAGCAGATCCTTCCTTGCAGGGAGTTTGTGTGTCACCTCTCCATGCCTGCCACGTGTGCTTTACAGCCCTCTAGACAGAGTCATTCAGGACCTCTGAACACTCACAAACACTTAGGCAGGGGACAACATGTTAGGGGAGGTGGGGTGAGTGCTTGACAATTTTTTAACAAATGCTGTGACCTCCCAGTTCTCAGGCCAACTGTCCATCTGAGACGGCTAACCTAGATCTGCCCACCAATGCTGGGGCCACCCAAACAGTAGGCACTTGGACTATGAATGAAAAGTTTCCATGGTCAAAATCACCCCCAAGAAAATGGGTTCCAGGAAGTGTCTAATCATCTGGAGGACATGGGAAGATCTAGGGGCCATTTAGGAGTTTCGACCAGCAATGATGAGCCACTCCCTTAGGGATGTCAGTAGGCCTCCCACCTCTCATTCCCCTTCTGGGCTCTTCAGCCAAGAGCCCAAACCTGCTTCTGTCCAAGGTGCTACTTAGGCAGCTGAGAACCCCCTTTAGGGCCTTTTTGATACATAGGAGGAAGGAAAGAAGCAAACCATTTCCTGCAGATGCCCCGAGTTCTCCGTTGGGCAGAAGAACCATGGGCCAAACGCCTACTCTTTCTTTCATCCATTCAATGTTTGTTGAGTGCCTGTTTGTAGTGAACCAAGCAGATGAAGCCCCTCCCCTCATGAGCTTTACATTCCCTGGAATATATGGTGCATCAGACACAATGCTGGAGATTGCACGTGAAGTCAAATGGAATGACCCCAGCCTAGAAAGCAAACAATCTTATGAGTCAAAGCTCAAAATGAATCTGACTTCATAGGGCTCCTCTCGAGCAGATCCTTTCAATTCATTTTCCCTGGACTCTCGAGTCTGATGAAGTATGAGAATCTAGACGAGGCCGTGGAGCCTGCCTGGTGGCCTGCAAGCCAGCGCATCTGTGCTGTGCCACCCACCTCTGCTGGTAGTTAGAAGGACAAGGACAGCATGCCCCTAAAGCACCTCTGAGTGTCACCTGGAGGTGTTGGGCAAGAAGCTCCCATGACTGTGGCAGCCACAGACATGCATTCAAGCCCTTCTCCCGCTGCCTCTAGCAGTGAGGAAGGGAGCAACACCCTGGGACTCAAAGCGGCAGGGCTTTGAGGTGTCCATTGGAGCTGGCCTTGGTATCACAGTATTTTCTTCTCACGTAGGCTCAGGAGACATTGTCCATGACTTTTGTTTCAGGGAAGATCTGGAGAGGCAAATGGTCATGAAACCTCTGCTGTTGCAAACCAAGACTGCCTGCAGGAGGGCGGCTTGGGCTTTCTTTCTGAGGTCTGGAGCCAGGGACTGTTCCCAGTGGGGAAGTTTGCTGCCCACAATCTCTATCCTAAACCTCATATTCCCAGATCCCATCCCTAGCCCATAAGTTTCTGCCTGTCACAGCAGCAATTATAAAAAGAGGGATTTAATAAAAAGAATAGTGGTGTCCCAGCAGGAATTTCCAGTCCACGGTTCAGACGAGGCGGCATGTTACATAATGAAAAGACTAAAGGGCCCTGGGACTTTCTTTTTGATCTCCAACTTCCAAGCCAGATCCTGGGGAGCTTAAAAACTCCTCTCATCTTATTTTAAATGATCTCATTTCAGGTTTTGTTGTGTTTTTGTTTTTTGTTTTTTTTTTCCTTCTTCACTTTAAATTGACTTCTCCTCCTAGCATTTCCACGGAGCATCTACCTGGAAATTCGCAGGAAAGGAGTGTCAGCCTGTCCTAAAACATGTTTGGTACTAGTGGTGGGGAAAGATGGGGAAGAAGGTCACTAGTGGGGAGCCCACTTTCCAGCCCCAGCAGTGGGATGGGTAAGAGTCAGGCTGTCTACATCCAGGTTCCAACTTCATTGCTTTGTTAGTCTACTTGGGCTGCCATAGCAAAGCACAGCAGAGTGGGTGGCTTACACAACAGAAATTTATTTTCTCACACTTCTGGAGGCTGGAAGTCTGAGATCAAGGTGTCAGGAGGGTTGCTGTCTTCTGGCTTTGCCTCCTCACCTTGCAGGTGCCGTCTTCCCCCTCCCCATGTCTTCACAGGCTCTTCCCTCTGTGCATGTATCCTAATTTCCTGTTCTTATAAGGACACCAGTCATATGGGATTAGGACCCACCCCTATGACCTCATTTTAACTTTAATTACTTCTTTAAAGGCCCTAGCTCCAAATACAGCTGCCTTCTGTGATACTAGGGGGTAAGACTTCAACATATGAATGTTGGGGGAGAGAGAATTCAGCCCGTGACAACCATGTACCAACTAGGTGACCTTAACCAAGTGCTTTTTAAGCCTCTTGTGCCTCTGTTACCACATACGAAAAATGGGCACAGTGATAGTGCTTCCTAGTGGGATTGTTGTAAAGATTAAATGAGTTAATACCTCGTGAGTTAGGTATGATCTAAAACAGTGTTGGGAACTGTTACTTCAGATGAAAGCTGAGCAAATTCTCAAGGCATAGCCCTTTCATGCTTATGATCCATGGGATCGAGGCATGCCCAACTTTGTCCTCAGATCCAGAAAGCTTGTGTGGCCAGTTATTTTTACTGTTGGAAAGTGCTGCGTTGTTCAGATTCCCACAAACCAAACTGTAAAACCACGGCAGGGTGAACCACCAGGGCAGCCCAGAGCTCCAGCCAGCTACCCCACTTTGCTCCCCGAGTGCCCCACATCCCACCCTGCCTGATTACAGAGGCTTAAAATGTGACAGCAAATTATTTTATTCTCCTCCCTCCCATCAAAAAGTGGCATCTAATTACCCTTCTCTTGATAAGGAGCCAGCTCAGCAATTCCCTTACAGCAAATATGAGACATAAGTGACCTTGCATGGCTCCCAGGCTAGGTCAGAAAAAGCATTATGGCTTTCTCCTTGGTTTGCTCTCTCTCTTTTTCTTGGGACATTGATCTTTGGAGCTGGTAGCCACCATGAAGCAAGCCCAGCTACCTGAAGGCACCGTGCTGAAGAGACCATACATGGAGAGAGATGCTCAGGGAGCCTCAGATGTTCTCTCCCCAACTGTTTGAATGTTTCCAGCTGGGAAGCCAGACTCAGAATATGTACTATGCATATGATTTCAGCCTGCAATCCTCAAGCCACCCCAATCGATGCCAACTAGAGCAGAGATGAGCTTTCCCGTGGATCCATAGGATCTGTGATCATGAGAATGGTTGTTTTATGCTACCACATGTTGGAGTAACTTTTTAAGCAACTGACATTACTGGAGCATAGATACATAGATAAAATCCAGCCACTCTCAGACAAGGCAATGTGGGTGCTTCTCAAGGCCCCTAAACAAGGAAGTGCCTCCAGCTCCTCCCTTTGGTGCATTGGGTTGTAGATCTATGATTATGAGCTCTACATCCTTTTTTATTAGTATACGTTGTATGTATGTTATTAAAAACTGCCAGAAGGAACTTCTGTTTGTTGGTGAATGACAGCTGATAGGGTCTTAAAAGAAGACCAAGTCTGATTATGAGATGGCCGTGCGGGTAAAAAGTGATGTGTACAGATTAAACTATGGCAAGGGAAAATCTTGGCTGAGGGGAAAGTTTATCAAGAAACAGGTTTGGGGGATACCTATGGTTTTAAGATACTTTATTCTGCAGGGAAAAAATCTCCTATGACTCACCAAAAGGGTCACAAGACCACCCACCTTGGCCCACCAACCCTCTTTTGCATTTTCAGAGGAACTGGACCACTTTTTTCCTTGGCTGACTCACTCCACAGTCTCCAGTGTTAATTTAGACATCCCATCAGTCTATCTAGCCTGAGGGTCTCCCAGCACAAAGAGGCTATCATCCTGCAAATCCACCCATGACACCTTTACTAGTTAGGCAGATCTTTTTATCAGGGCAGCTTCCAGCATGTTAGAAATAAGATTAAACGATTACTCTTTTTCCTTTGGAATAAAAGAAATGATGATTGGGGAGTCTTAAGTGTCTGTGTGTTGTCAATCTTTTTTGGGGGGGAAAGCTTGAAGAGATAACGATTGTATTCAAGCATCTCAAATTCAAGGCTCTTTCAAAACCAGTATATTCTGCAGTGCTCTGCAAGGAGAAACATTACAGAGGGTGAGAGATTAGGCGTTATTAAGAGAAAGAAGCTGAAAGAGGAAGAAATGACCTTGCCAGACCCTCAGCAGTTTGACATTAAAGCTTGGCAACAAAGCAGAAGTTCACCAGGGAGCAAACAGCTGGAATATTCACACCAGTTGTCCTAGCTGTCACTGGGACACTAGCACATTCTTGGGGAAATCCAGATAAGGCCCCACCTGCTGGGACATTAGCAGGTCTTCTGTCTTGTGTTTACAGAGCAGCTGGATGATTAACGCATGTGTTGCTTACCTGAGAAATGGAATTTGAGCTTCTGTCCTGGGAGAGAGATGAGAAAGGAGAGAATATCTGTGGGGCTGGATGAGGCAATAACTCTGGCCTCATTTGCAGTCTGCCTTGCAAAGACAGAGAGGGAGAGAATGATGGGGTTCACCAGCTCTCATTGCATTTACCAGAAAAAAATGTTTGCAAAGCCCAGACATTTTTCAAGGGACCTGAGTTTTCTGCAGAATGAAAATATTACTAACTCTGAAAAGGCTTCTTACTAGAAAAGTAAAACTCTCCAAGCTGCCAGATTCTTTTTGGAATGAGTTTGATGTGAAAGGTGCCTTAAGATCATCTATTTTCTCTTTAGTGGCCATGGAGAGTTCATTTTCTAGACTCTGCGCCCACACCATTTGCAGGTAACAAAAGGAGGCAAATAGCATAATTTCCAGCAAACACAAAAGTAAAACACTGAACTTCCTGTTCTTAAGAATTCTTCCTGATTAACATCTCCCCATCTGTGCCTTCCTCTTTGTGCAGCAGTCATGCAGGATGCTTGAGTGGATCTCCAGAGACTGACATTATCAAACCAATGACTCAAAGCAGGCTCATTTCTCCCTATGTCTCTTAGCTCCTTGATGGTTACCCTGACTCATCCCCTCAACAGTAACCCCTTAGCCCTTAGACCTAACTTCCTCAGAAGTAGATTTGTAGAAGGGTTGTTGGTTGGTTTGTTTAGTTGTTTTTAACTAAAGATACTTAATACTGTTCCCCTAGGAACCCTCTTGACCCTCTTGGTTAGAGTGTGTTGGTTCTCATCCCCTCGGGAATTTCCAAATGCATTCAGTAGATGTTCCTTTTTTGTAGAATTCATGTCCCTTAGGTATGTCCCTGGTATCTTTTTACTTCTAGACCAATGTCTCTCCCATTTTATCATGCACATGGATCACTGGGGATCGGGTTAAAATGCAGATTCTAATTTGAAAGGACTGGGATGGGGCCTGAGATTCTGCATGGTTCCAGGTATGGCAGCTCCTGGGTTCTGCTGCTGCTGCTGTACCCAGAACCACATGAAAGAACAACCTGTTGGACGTATCCAGTCTTCTGCTCTTTCCGTCTTCCCTGGAACCCCTGGCTCCACCATTTCTCCTTAGAAATGCTCCTCTTAGCTGTTATGTTTGTGAAAGATCATTACTAGGAGGCATTAAAGCCCAGAAATGCCAAATCTCCTGGTTGCCAATGCAGATCTGTCATGCTCATCAGCCCCTGCCCACCCCACTTTAAATATGGATTGAGCTCCTCCCCTGTGCCAACATCAGGCAAGATGCAGGGAGGTGATGGGTTCTGAGGAGCTCTCCTTAGGGAGTTTTTGTGCACTTGCAGAGTCAGGGACCCAGAAAGAAAACCAGATGAGAGAGCAAGAAGTAAAGGACTTCAGTGCATGATTGCACTAAACCAGTGCCACGAACCTTCAGGAACTTGAAAGGAGACTGGGGATGGAACAATCAGAGGCTTGGTGCAGAAAAAGAAACTGGAGCTGGGTTCTAAGATGTATGGAGAAGGAAGCAATGTGGAGACCAGAGTGAACTCAGGCTCACTGGAGGAATGAGCATGGGGCTGTTAAGGGCTAACCTGTGGAGAGCTCAAAGTCTATGGAGAAGGAGAAAACCAAGATATTATGGCTGGGTCATTTCTAGAGTATCCTTTAGTGAGCTGGTAAAAGTGTTTAGTGATAGTTCTCTGCTTGTCATCAAACTAGTGCTATAATTCACACCCTTTGAGGTTGAGTTTCTGATCAGAAAGAGCTGAAAAAGGAAAAATATATTTCAGGGAGCATGGTTCAACACATTTTCACTCTCATTCTTGGAGTCTGTGTCGACTTTTGAGAAGGTCATTCACAACACACCATGCTTTGGGCTAAACTGGGGAATAGAGTATCTGAAAATAAACTTAACATTCCAACCATGCTAAATTATTTTCCAACCCTGGAGCATACAGGTGAGTTCAGATGAGTTCAGTTGTGTATTAGCCCATTTGTGTTGCTATAAAAGAAATACCTGAGGCTGGGTAATTTACAAAGAAAGTAAGTTTATTTGGCTGTCAGTTCTGCAGGCTATACAAGAAGCATGGCACCAGCATCTGCTTGTGGTGAGGGCTTCAAGGAACTTCCACTCATGGAGGAAGGAGAAGGAGGAGCAGGCATATCCCATGTCAAGAGAGGGAGCAAGAGAGAAGGAAGGAAGATGCCAGGCTCTTTAAACAGTCAGCTCTCGTGTGAACTAATAAAGTGAGACTCACTCATTATTGGGGGTGGCACCAAGCCATCTGCCCCTATGACCCAAACACCTCCCACTTGGTCCCACCTCCAACACTGGAGATCAAATTTCAACATGAGATTTAGAGGAGACAAATATCCAAACCATAACAAGTTCTAACTGTTTTTTGTTTTTTGCTTGGTTTTATTTTTTAAACAAAAAAAGCTATCAAATACAGTGACTTGAATTCAGAGTCTTTAATTGAACAAGTGGCTCCCATGGGCTCTGGACATTGAAAAAGCCAGCACTGCAGGCCCATGTGTCTATTGCCTATTTATCAAGATGGCGGCAAGTCTAATGCCATAAATGCTTTCTCAAAATGAATGGCTCTTGGCAGTTGAGAATTTTGTGTGCTCACCACCAGCAGCAAGCATGCTCAGCTCTGAAACAGGAGCTGCAAAGGACCATCAAGGCTGTGGCTAGTTTGCAAAGGCTTACCTTTCCAGTAGCTTTAGATTTTTATATTAGTAATGTCTATTAGAGGTTCAGAATGTATTGGGGTTGGCCAGCACAATGCCATCTAGAATTCTGCTGTCCAGAATGGTAACCACTAGCCACATATGGCCACCCAAACTTAAATTAATTATTTTTTAATTAAAAATTAATTTCCTCAGTCACACCAGTTATATTTCAAGTGCTCAATAACCATATGTGTTTAGTGGCTACCATATTGGACAGCACAAGTTATAGACTATTTTCACATCACAGAAAGTTCTATTGAGCAGCTGCTCTAGAAACTAATCACATACATTGTCTTAATATCCAGTGGTGGGTGGAGAATGGGCCTGCCAGGGTATGAGCGAAACATCTGTGGATGAAGAGCAAATATGTGTCCCTAGGAAGAAAGACCACACCAGTATGATACCAGGTGGACTAAGCTACATACCAACAGCACAAACACTTGGTGGCCAGCCACATCCCTGAGACTCAGGAAGAAGAGGGGGAATTGAAGAGCATGCTTTCTTCTCCACAAAAGCCTCCTTTTCCTGAACTGGCCTGACAACTCCTTCTCTTATCACAAGCCAAGGCACACCCCTTTCTCAAAAGAGCCAAGGCCTCCAGAAATCTTTTCAGATCTCACCTCCTATTACTATACTTTGCTTCAAGAACTTACTTGCTTTGTCTGGGTACTTCTAAGCTATTGTTTTCAAGTATTTTACCTGTCACCTGCGTTTCTTCTCAGTCCCTTCTCTCTGATGTTTTGATTGGACTCCCTGCTTGGTTTGATCTTGCCTTGGCCTCTAAAGGTCATTTTTCCAAAGTCACTCAGTGACAGCTCTGTAGGCAAGTATCCTGGAACCCAGCATTCTAGAACTCAGGCCTAGAATAGTTCCTGAGATGCCCACTTATCTGGGAAGGAAATGCACACATAGTGGCAGTATCAAAATAAAGTTGTATGTATGAGACAGCTATTGCTGTGTAACAAAAAGCACCTGAATCTCAGTTGCACACAAGAACGAACATTTATTTCTCACATGTCTTTCATTCTGGGGCCCAGGACAAAATAGCAGCGGCTACTCAGGGGGAAGTCTTCTCATGGTGATGGCAAAAATACAAAAGGAAAAGTGAACTATGCCAGGCCTCCTAATTTTAGGCTCAGAGCTGGCAAACCATCACTTCCACTCTCCTTCAGTGTCCAAAGTAAGTCACATCAGCATGCTCAAAATCAAGGGGCTGGGAATCACATTCTATACTTTACAGGAAAAATTATATAGTTACTGAAATAGGGTGTGAGTTCACACTGTGCATGACCACTTATTTAGATCTTGGGAAGAGGAAGTGAGCAGGCAGTCAGTCATACAGCTCCCACTCATTGAGTTCTGATTTTGTGGATGAGTCTACATATTATCATTTATCTATTGCTATGTCACAAACTATTCCAAGATTTATTGACTTAAAACAACAAATTTTATATAGCTCATAATTTTTCGGGTCAGCAATTTGAGCTCAACCCAATGGAATGGTTCTTATGATCTGGGCTGATCCTGGCTGGGTTTGTTTAAATGTTTCAGGCTGGGAAGGCTGCACCTCACATTCTCCAGCAGGCTATCCCAGGCTTGTTCACACAGTGTAGTGGAGAAGTTCTTGTCATAAGAGTGGATGCTCAAGCCCTTTTAAAACCTAGGCTTGGAACTGAAGCCCCATTACTTCTATTGCATCCTATGAATTAAAGCAAGATAACAGATTCAAAAGAGGAATTGGGGAATAGACTCCACCTCTTGATGGAATGATGATCAAAGAATCTCAGATTCTTGTTTTGCAATCTACTAGATGAATCAAGGATATATATTCCATTACTGGAAATAACATTATAAGGCTTGGTCCCCATCCAAAATTTACCATATAGAGGCAACTTGAGTGACACATATTAAGTGCAGATAGAGTTTGGAAGATGTATTTCCTTCCTCAGTTACTCCCTATACAGTGGGACATCTTTGCTTGCCCTGTCTTGATGAGACAATGTCAAAAGTATGTTGAAGTTATATAATATACTATGATGGCAGCCAGTTATTGCCAACTCAATATCATACCAGCAATTCACTGGGAAAATTCACTGGGTCTGAATTTACTAAGAAAATCCCCATGTATGTCCATCGTCAGTATTACCACCTGTCAGTTCTTTTCTAAGGGATGGAGTTGCAGCTGCTAATAACAGCTGTCAATAACAGCTGCAATCATAACCCTAAATCCAAGTTTCTATAGTTTCATTCTTTCTGGGAGCCAAAATGACTGCAAACATATATTTTGTCATTTATTCCTACTGAGGTATGTTTATTCAGAAACAGTTGGGCACAAGTGAATGCAAGTAATAACTCCCTAAATATATATATATCTTTCCCTGAAGTCCCAGTTTCCCATTTCATCCCATCAAGAGTGTTAATGCAACACTTTCTCTTACTTCAGGCATTGTAAATCTATTCATCTGATTCACGTTTCTTTTGGATTGTTCCTTTCTCCACCTTTATTGAATTCTATTTTTCTTCCTATTTATCTAGGGGCATAGTTTATTCATTTTTCCTGAGTTTAGCCCACCTGACTATGGCTTTATAGCCTGTTTGTGAATTGGTTTTAGTAATAATTATTATATTTTAATATTACTTGGATTCATAAAACATTAATTTTCAACTTACAGTAGTCACTAAGTCCAATCAAAATCCATCAGAATTCAGATAGAAAGGAAACCACATTCCAAGCTCTATAGTAAGACTTGACATGATCCTGCTCATCTTTATGTCAGTCCAGAAAGAAATGCATTATTACTTCCATGTTTCAGCTGAGAAATCTGAGGCTCAGATCAGGGAAGTACCTTTTCTATGTTCCAGGATAGGCATGAAGCAGACCAAGAATATTCTTATCATTTTTCCTGATGATGAAACTGTGATGTAAGTTACATATAGAGAAAGAAATTCCAATATTTTTCTAAAAGACACTTATTTTTGTACATTGTTATTGAAGGTGACAGAAAAGGGTGTTGAGTTGAACAGAATAAAATCCACCTTTAGAGTAACTATGCAACTTATTTCAAGAGTAGGTGAATATTTCTTGGTCCTATTCTCCTGGGTTCTAAGTAGTTCTTCCCAGGAAAACATAAGAGAGATTACGTTTAAGTAGTTAGTGCTTCCTTGTAAATGTATAGTCCTTAATGCTGGTGCTCTGTTTCTACCACAGCCTGAAAAATATAAAATAACTCTAGTGGCTTTGCTCCATCTCATAAGCATCCTTATCACCAAGTACCAGGAGTAAGAATGAGCAGTGTAGATGTGGAGGAAAAACATTTGTTTTCATGATCTTAGTCCCCCAGTTCTACTGAAAAGGCCTTGGGTATTTTGATTACTGACAATATACCTATTTGATCATTCCTCATCCCTTGCAAAATGAATATGGGCTGTCACGTAGAGCCAGTTGAATACTGTGAAAAGATCACAGTGGAAAGTCTTAAGGGCGACCTTGGACAAGAACCTGGATTCCTGCTTCTAACTGAAAACATCCTACAAGGTTATACAAACTGGTAGGAAATGGCTGACCTACTGGAGATCTGCAGATTGATCAGGAGCGAAGCCACTTAGAGCGTATCAGATTCTCTTGTTATCTGCAAAGCAGGAGTGAGTCATTTCATTGAGCTGTTGGCATGCAACAGGCACTTAGGAAAGATCTGACGAAGTGAAAGTATCCATTTGGGACCCATTCTATTCAAATATGTGCCTACCCTCAAGATGCATGTATCTGTCTGTGTTGTTTCTTAGAAGTGGTACAACCGCACATAAGCCATTCTTCCCAACCACTATCTTCTTCATTTTAACATGTAAAAATATTGTTATTCCATTATGTCTAAATTCTTCATTTTCTTGACTCTCCTACTATCTCCATAGTATTTCCACATGTAAGATGTAGGCTTTTGTGAGAAAAAGAGAATTCCTTTAATTTGTTTCAGCACTCATTAACCTAACGTGATTCTTGACCATTCTACATGGAAGTCTACTTACACTTTCCATGGACACAAAGGAACCTTGATTCTTATATTTACTTGGCAGATGGACTGAGGATGGGGGGAAAAAAAGGCACAGAATGAAAACAAGTAAATATTCTGGGGTTCAGGGAGATTATGATAAAATAAATAAAGGAACAACAAGCTGTAAGAAGAAAAGAAAAGAATAAGTCATGCCTGATCAACATTATTTTAATTGTTCCACTACATTAATTAATGGAAGGAGGAACACCATGGTGCCCACCCTTGAGAAGAATGTTCTGTTGAGTGATTTGTGAAACATTTAACTATCACATTCATTGAACAAGTATAAACACAGAGTAGTAATAAGTGACAAGGATTCTATAAGGAGATGTATATTAGCACAGGTAGGAGCAAATTTGAAGTAATTTCGAGGAAAATGTAAATCAGTCACTGAGAAGAAAATACCCTCAGCTGGGAGTTGTGGCTCACTCCTGTAATCCCAGAACTTTGGGAGGCTGAGGCGGGCAGACCACGAGGACAAGAGATTGAGACCCTCTTGGCCAACATGGTGAAACCCTGTCTCTGCTAAAAATAATTTTTAAAAAAAATTAGCCAGGCATGGTGGGGCACGCCTATAGTCCCAGCTACTCGGGAGACTGAGGCAGGAGAATCGCTTGAACCCAGGAGGCGGAGGTTGCAGTGAGCTGAGATTGCGCCACTGCACTCCAGCCTGGCGACACAGCGAGACTCCATCTCAAAAAAAAAAAAAAAAAAAAGAAAAAGAAAAAAGAAAAGAAAATAATCTCAGCCTGCAGAAGTGAGAGCACTCATATCACTGATGAGTAGAGAGAGCATCAGTGATTTCAGCAAGATGGTGGAACAGGAAGCCCCAGGTCCTTCCCCCATGGAGACATTAACTTAACAACAATGTATAAACCACATTGCCTTTGTGAGAACATCAGAAACCAGTTGACAGGTTACAGGACCCCAGGTGAGTACAACACCAAGAAGAGACACATTGGAGGAGGGAAGAACATTTGTTGGACTTACCTACTATATCCCATCCTCCAAACTCATGGCTTCTCCTTCAGGAGGAAAAGAAAAAGGCAGAACATGCACCCAATGCCTGGATTTTGGGGGTGCTTCTCAGGGGACTGGTTGCTTTCTTGCCTGACCTAGAATGCTGGTGGGGAAACAGCACACTTTTGATACCTGGGGGCCACTGAGAACCAAGGCAACAGTTCTGCTTGCTACACCACTACCAGAGAAATTAAAGCATCACAGACAGACACCAGGGGGAGCTACTGAGTAGAAACAGGCACACCACTTCAGCTGGGAAATTATACCTGTAGGCCCAGAGATGATGCAACCGCTGGGAAGATTTGAGAGGCCTGCAGAATCTCTAGTGGGGCTAATTGGAGAAGATGTTCCCTGTCTGAAGACAGTCCATAGAGACTGGGAGAGGTGTTTGTTTTTTCAAATGTCCACATATCAACAAAATATCGTAAGACATACAAAACAACAACAACAAACAAACAAACAAGAAACAGGAAAACATGGCCCAATAAAAGGAAAAAATAAATTAATAAATCTCCAGTAACTGACCCAAAAGAAATAAAGATTTATGAATTACCTGAAAAAGAATTAAGAATAACCATCATAAAAATGCCCAATGAGCTATAAAACACACACACACACACAGACAACTAAATGAAATCAGGAAAACAATATACAAACAAAATGAGAGCATCAGCAAAAAGAAACTATAAAAAAGAACTAAACAGAAAATCTAGGGCTAAAGAACAATAACTGAATTGAAAAATTCACCAGAAGGGATCAACAGTATACTGTATCAAGCAAAAGAAAGAATCAGCAAACTTCAAGACAGGTTATTTGAAATTATCAAGTCATAGGGGTAAAAAACAAAAAGGATGAAGAAAAGCAAAGAGCTATTAAGAGACATATAGGATACGATCAAGTGGACCAATGTACACATCATGGGAGTTCAGAAGGAGAAGAAAGAAAGGACAGAGAGCCTATTTGAAGAAATAATAGCCAATATCTCCGCAAATTTGAGGAAGGAAATGGGCATACAAATTCAAGGACCTCATATAACTCCAAATACAATTAATCCAAAGAGACCTTGCCATCAAACACACTATCATCAAACTGTCAAAAGTAAAGACATGAATCTTGAAAGCAGCAAGAGAAAAGTGATTTGCCTCATACAAGAGAAAATCCATAAGATTATCAATGGATTTCTCAGAAGAAGCCTTGCGGGCCAGAATGGATTGGGATGATATATTCAAAGTGCTAAAAGAAAAAACTGACGGCCAAGAATACTGTGCAGAAAAACTGCCATTCATTAATCATGGGGAAATTAAGATTTTCTCAGATAAATAAAAGCTGAGAGAGTTATCACCACTAGGCCTGCCCTACAAGAAATACTGAAGAGAGACCTTCAAGTTGAAACAAAAGGATTCTAGAAAGCCAAACAAAAGTATACAAAAATATGAAGCTCTCTGGTAAAGGTAAATACATACACAAGTATAGAGTCCCATGGTATTGTGATGTTAGTGCAAAATCACTTAATTCTGGTATAGAATTTAAAAGACATAGGTATAAGCAATAACTATAAATTATTGGTGAGTAAAGAGAAATCATCTTAGAGGCTTAGGGCACAAGAGATCCTATGAAAAGCCACTATGGCTATTCTCATAAGAGATTCCATTTTGAGCAAAGTTGCCCAGATGGAGATGAGGGAGATTGTCAAAGTTTAAAACATTATACAACGTTGGAAAATAAGATTAAGACAGCTAGTAACTTTGAAGATATCTGTTTAATAATCACATTAATAACAGTAAGTTTGGAGACAACAAGCCACCCAAATTCTCATGAGATCCATCTATGTTTGACTTAAATGATCAAAATGACTTGAGATATATGAAATTAATTTGCCAAGTCTATTTCTGTAATCTTCAGGTCATCTGCTACTTACACTGACCAGGTAACTCTAGCTTTGTTTTGAAAGAAGGTCTGATGGTGAAATTAAATAACAAGTTAGGATCAAGGAGACCATTTGAGAGAGAAAAGGATCTAAATTCTAGTTCTAGAATGGAATCCCAGACATAACATATAACTGACCCCAATTATTCTTTAGCTAAAAGGTATCCTTTTCTACAACAGGATTGCAGTCATTCTTTTCCAATTGACTCAGCAATATATAACCTCATTTTATTATTTAACTTTATTTTCATAGCTCTGACATAAGCTAAACTCCATTTAATCCAAAAGGATTTTTAAAGTGTCTATACTGGAAAAGACTACAATGGAAAAGGACTGACTTTGTACCTAGAGCAGGCCAGGATGAAAACATACCCTAGGACCAGAACAGCAAGGAGGGATGGGTTTCAATGGATGGTGCTCTGAAAACAGCCTCTTGAAATTTAGATGCTGGCCCTTGAACTAATTGTATGGGTGGAGCACGTTAGCTGCTTCAGAATAAAAACCAATTATATTAACAACCACCCTCATTATGCAGGACATAATCACCATGACCATGTCAATATGTGTGTGGAATATGGATTTTAAGTATTTTATTATGAAAGTATTGTGTGTTGGGCACAGTGGCTCATGCCTGTAATTGTAGCACTTTGGGAGGCTGAGGTGGACAGATCACTTGAGCCCAGGAGTTCGAGACCAGCCTGGGCAACATGGTGAAACACTGTCTACAAAAAAGAAAAAGAAAAAAAGAAATACACAAATTAGCGTAGGCTGGTAGTACCACATGTAGACCCAGCTACTTGGGAGACTGAGGTTAAGCCTTGGAGATGGAGGTTGCAGTAAGCTGAGATCACACCGCTGTGCTCCAGCCTGGGTGACAGAGTCAGACCCTGTCTCAAAAATGAAAATAAAAAGATATTGTGAATATTTTGCGAAGTGTTGTAAGGACATATCCATCAAAGAATGTCTAAAATAAAGCCAAAATACATCAACTTTTATTTTTTTTTAAGTATAGGTGCTCCTTGACTTATCATGAGATTACATTCCAATAAACCTATTGTAAGTTGAAGATATTATAAGTTAAAAATGCATTTTCTACATCTACCCTATCAGTTGTTTACACTCATGGTCACGTGGCTGACTGGGAGTTGTGGCTCACTGCCACCGCCCAGCATCACGAGGGCATTGTACTGCACGTTGCTAGCCCAGGAAAAGATCGAAATTCAAATTTTGAAGTGTGCTTCCTACTGAATGCTTATCACTTTCTCTCCCTAGTAAGGTAAAAAAATCTTAAACCATCATAAGTTGGGGACTATCTCTGTATCTGTGTGTATGAGTGAGAGTGTGTGTGTGTGTGTGTGTGTGTGTGTGTGTATGTAACCACAATTTTTTAAAAGTTTTTCTAAAATGTGGACTTCAGACTCTGGGAAATGTGAGTCTGGCTCTGACTCCGCTGTTCTCAACTGTGGGACCTTGGGTAAGTCTTTCTGTTGTCCTAAGCCTCTGTTTCCTTCTCTAGAGAATGGCAGTAACCACACACACCTACACAGGATTGTTGGAAGAGTTAGATTTGTCAGGCTCATTAAAGACACTCACTCCCCATGCACAGCCTCAAGTGCAGGGTTTTGGCGCACCAGCTGGCCTAAGGAAAGCAAACCTTTCTTCTCTCAGGAAAAGAATTGGAACCCCTCCTTTAGAACACTAACTGTGCATGGAGTAGCTGGAGTCGGCAGCACCTGGTGCCTGGCATGCGAAGTTCCATAGCAGGGTAGGTGTATTAGCTTCCTATCACCTCTATCACAAATTACCATGAACTTAGTGGCTTAAAACAACCCAAATTGACTCTCTTACAGTTCTGGATGTTAGAAGTCTAAAATCGAGGTGTCGGTAGGAATGTATTCCTTCTGGAAGCTTTTGGAGAGAATCCATTTCTTTGCTTTTCTCAGCTTCTAGCGGCCACCTACCTTCCTTGACTCGTGGCCTCTTCCTTGTATCACTCCACCCTCTTGTTTCCATCATCACCTCTCTCACTCATCCCTCTGATCCTCCTTCTTCCCTCTTGTAAAGGACCCTTGTGATTACATAAAGTTCACCCAGATAATCCAGGCTAACCTCTCTATCCCAACATCCTTACTTACTTCTGCAAAGTCTCACTTACAATGTAAGCTAACATATCATCAGATTCCAGGGATTAGGATATTCAACTAGTCATACCAGGCACTGTGTTTTTATAGGAGACCATCAAACAGATTGTATACACCACCACTGAGCTCAGCACAAGGGAAAAAGAACAACTCTGCTGCAGAATAGGTGTCCCTGACAACAGCTCTGGCATGCTGAAAGGCTCTAGGCACCCCGTCCTAGAAAGTCTATTAAACAATGCCAGGCCTGGTCCTCCAACTCTTAGGGCTGTTTGAATTCAAGAACTGGACCATGTAGACTTTGCCTCCTATGCAGAAATTTGCCTTCACAGCGAGTTGTAAGCTCCTACAAGATACGGACAACTTTCCATTTTATTTTTACTACTTGAGAAAAATAGTTTTTTTAATAAAATGCATGTAAGCATGGACTTTTGAGTCATTCAGCTGGCTCCATTGCTGGGCATGTGCAGATTTATCAGTTTACCATGATCTTTGGCTTTCCACATCTGTAAAATGGAGACAACTTTATGTAGCATATTCTTAGTCAGCCAGGGCTGACATAATAAAATACCACAAACTGGGTGGTTTAAATAATGAAAATTTATTTTTTCACATTTCTAAAAGCTAGAAGTTCAAGCTCAATGTATTGGCAGAGTTTACTTCTTCCGAAGCCTTCCTCCTTGCATTGTAGATGGCTGTCTTCTCCCTGTGTCTTCACATGATCTTCACCTTGTACATATCTGTGTCCAAATTCATTCTTATAAGAATGCCAGTCGTGGCCGGGCGCGGTGGCTCACGCCTGTAATCCCAGCACTTTGGGAGGCCGAGGCGGGCGGATCACGAGGTCAGGAGATCGAGACCATCCCGGCTAAACCGGTGAAACCCCGTCTCTACTAAAAATACAAAAAATTAGCCGGGCGTAGTGGCGGGCGCCTGTAGTCCCAGCTACTTGGGAGGCTGAGGCAGGAGAATGGCGTGAACCCGGGAGGCGGAGCTTGCAGTGAGCCGAGATCCCGCCACTGCACTCCAGCCTGGGCGACAGAGCGAGACTCCGTCTCAAAAAAAAAAAAAAAAAAAAAAGAATGCCAGTAGTATTGGATTAGGGTCCACCTAATGACCTCACTTTAAGTTAGTTCCCTCTTTAAAGACTCTATCTCCAAATACAGTCACATTCTGAGGTACTGAGGTTTAGGACCACAACTTATGAATTGGGCTGGGGGAAAGGCACAATTCCCCCCATAACAAGCACCCTTCTTAAGGAGTTGTGTGAGAATTACATTAATTAAAGCATGCAGAGGAAAGTCCCTAGAATGATGCCTGGCAATCATAAATATTCAATAAAATGCTGCTGCTGTTACTGTTTGTAAAGGAAGTTGTCCAACACTCCCTCCCACCTCTTTCTATATCTGCCATAAAATAGTTCACATGTTTATAAGAAAAAAAATTCTTGTGCCTTCCATTTCTTTTCAAGTTCCCTACTCAGCATTTATTTTTATAGGCATGGCCATTCCTAAATACTGAGACATCGCCAGTCAAAGGGGAAGCATTTTCAGCTTGTGCTCCATGGTAGTGGTGTTTATGTGCTATTTAAAGGGAAGCTGCCTATCTCTTTGAAATGCTTATTATCAAA
The DNA here is from genome assembly GCF_000001405.40 of Homo sapiens. Classification (NCBI taxonomy): domain Eukaryota; kingdom Metazoa; phylum Chordata; class Mammalia; order Primates; family Hominidae; genus Homo; species Homo sapiens. The sequence continues at coordinate 19,634,221 of NC_000020.11, forward strand.
GCATGCCTGAGTCAACTTTTCCAGTGCAGTAATGCTGGCTTTGATTTTCACAGACCACTTTTGATATGATTAGCTCGTTCTCTCCCACTCCTGGGAGCCAGCATCTTCTCATTTACAGATGCTAGTTGCCCAGCGGCCACCAGAAATTCTGCTGGGGAGACTCTAGTTCATTTAAGGAGGAAACAAAGGGCTTTAAAATATATAGATCCAAAGCACTCCTACAGTGTTCATCAAAAGGCTTGTCCCAAAATGTTCATATCAGTTTTAATAATAATAATACCTCAAAACCAGTAACATTCCAAATATCTATCAATAGGGAAATCAATGAACAAATCTAATAGTGCTCAACAATAAAAAAGAGAAAATTATTGATACACATAACTTAAATGAAGCTCAAAAATATGCTGAGTGAAAGAAGCAAGCACAAAAGTATACAGTATGATTCCACTTATATGAAGTTCTAGAACAGTGAAAACTAATCTACAGTGAGAGAAATCCAATCTGTGGTTAGCTGGGTGGGGATAGATGAGGTGATTGACTGGAAGCCGGGGGGGACACTTTTCTGTGTGGTAGAAATGCTCTATGTCTTGACTGAGGTGATGGTTGCAGGGGTATACAACATCTTATATGAATAAATTTCACTGCTTATAAATGATACCGCAAAAATTTTATTTAAAAACCAATCAACAAATAAAACACCATCCAACCAAGATAGAAGAAATTTAATTATCTTCACAGTGCGTATGTTTAGGAAAAAGATATTTGACTACATTTTTCATATTTGTGCATGCTATGTCATAGACACAGCCTATTTCTAACTCACTGATGGCTGTAAAATGTACCCAACTTGAGTAGAGGATCTATCTCTTTCTGTGAAGAATCTCACTGCTGGTTCTCAGAACAGACACTTACCTCCCCTGACTACAAGCTCGTTGAAATAACAGCCTGATACACAAAGGGGAGGGATGAGTCCATCATTGCCCAGATACCAATAATGCATAGCGAGAGTAGTCTAGAGTTTTTAATGAATTTCTAGAGAACAGAAATAAGATGTGGTTGTATTGATCCAGAGTATGGAAATCCTTAAACTAAAACACACACAGGAAAAAGCTGAAGTGGGGATGAGGGACATGAATCCTAGAGGGTCTCTCTGAGCTTAAAGCACAGAATCAGAAAATTTGGTGTGTGAGTAGGTTGATGAAGAAGGAGTAATCAGGGTAATTAATTAAACAAATCTTTGTGCATCAGGTATCTATTGCTGTGTAACTAGCAACCCCAAACTTAGTTATGTAAAACAACCACCACATAATTCTTCTCAGTGATTCTGTGGGCCAAGAATTTGGACAAATCACAGCAGGGATGGCTTGTGTCTGTTCCACTGGAAATACTGGAATAGCTGGAGGTGACGTGAATGACTGGGGCTGGAATCATCTGGAAGATTCTTCACTCACATGTTTGGCACCTGGATTGGGGTGACTCGAAGACTGGGCTCATCTAGGACTATCACCTGGAGCACCTTTGTATGTTCACTCTATGTGGCTTGGGCCTCCTTACATCATGGCAGCCTCAGGTTATCAGATTACTTTCATGGCAGCTTAGGGCTCTGAGAGTAAATGTTCCAGAAAATAAGAAAGATCAGGCCAGGCGCGGTGGCTTACACCTGTAATCCCAGCACTTTGGGAGGCCGAGATGGGTGGATCACAAGGTCAGGAGATCGAGACCATCCTGGCTAACACGGTGAAACCCCGTCTCTGCTAAAAATACAAAAAATTAGCCAGGCGTGGTGGCGGGCGCCTGTGGTCCCAGCTACTTGGGAGGCTGAGGCAGGAGAATGGCATGAACCCGGGAGGCAGAGCTTGCAATGAGCCAAGATCGTGCCACTGCACTTCAGCCTGGGCGACAGAGCGAGACTCCATCTCAAAAAAAGAAAGAAAGAAAGAAAGAAAGATCTCCCAAGGCCTTTTATGGTCTCACCTCAAGAGTGATGTAACACCATTTCTGTCATGCTCTACTGGTCAAAAAGTCACAAGTCCACCTTTATTCAAGAGGAGGATATATAGGTCCCCAACTCTTGACGAGAGGAGTGTCAAAGAATGTGTGCCATATTTGAAAACATCCATCCATCGAATAAATGGATCAGTTGGTCCTTGCTCATCACTATTAATAGACTAATGGCTTTCCCAAGACAGTACCAGAAAGATGCTCTTTAAGGCAAAAGAAGGTATGTCTAGGGAGGTTTGTAACTGAGAGAGAAAAAAGGGATGTCTTTCAACTTTCACAAGGTTCAATATTGCAGAGGTCTAACCAGGAGCCAAGCACACTTAAGTATTACATTCTCTCTTTTATTTTGGCTTTTGAGCCTACCACACTGACCACACACCCTACAGTGAAGCTTGCCAGTCTACACATCCTATTTACCTCCACAGAGCCAGCAATCAGCCTTCCTGTTTGGAGGAATTTGGGCAAATAGACCTATACACCTGCAAAGAACACTCACACTAGCTGCCACATCACTCATCCTGGCCACTAATCCATATGTATAAGGCTGCTTCCTCAGGCTACCAGGCATCTAAGGATCCTTCCCAAAGGAAGGACCAAAATGGGTAAACAGAGCAGCTGTCTACCAAGTAACCGAAGATAATTCCAGTAATAGAAATCAACTTCTTAAAAGTTTTAATTAGTATTCTCAGAGAGCTTCACAGGGATATTGAAGCCATAAAACAAGAACAAGCCGCTATTTAAAAAAGAAGAAGAAGAAGACGGCAGTAGGAGTAAGCAGTAAAAAAGAAATTGTTGGCCTGGCACCGTGGCTCACACCTGTAAAATCCCAGCACTTTGGGAAGCCAAGGTGGTGGATCACCTGAGGTCAGGAATTCAAGATCCGCCTGGCCAACATGGCAAAACCCCGTCTCTACTAAAAAAATACAAAAATTAGCCAGACATGGCGGTGCATGCCTGTAATCCCAGCTTTTTGGGAGGCTGAGGCAGGTGAATCGCTTGAACCCAGGAGGTGAAGGTTGCAGTGAGCCAAGATCGTGCCACTGCACTCCAGCCTGGGCAACAGAGCAAGACTCTGTCTCAAAACACAAAAAATTGTTCTTAAAATTTTTAAGTGTGGCTTCCAAAATGTAAAATATAATGAAAAGGACCAAAATAGTGGAATTGATATGGTGATGACCAAAATAGAGACTTGAGAGACATACGGAATATTTTTTTAAAGATGATGTTTCAGATAACAGGTTCTGTTTTATCTTAACATAAGAACATAATCTTTTGAATAGGGAGTAGGCCAGCACATTGAATCCATACAAAAATATTATGTTCCTAGCACACTATTTGGCTCCACAGTGAGCAATATTCGCGTACTGGTAGTAATAATATAACTGCTATTTATCGTTTAATCCACATTTAAAGGAATCCTTAGATAAGGCATAGACAACTGAAAGAGGATGACGGATTAGAATGTAAATGTTTTCAGTGTTGACAATATAAGAATCAAGTTATATCTAAGAAAAGATTAAAAGTGGAAGATGGAGTGAGGAGGTGGCTGGAAGATAAGAATGTGAACATTTTTGTTCTACCTAATATGGAATCGAGAGATACTCCCGAAAGCTAATGGTATGTGACACAGAGGGGAAAGCTTCAAAGATAGTAGTCCTAATAATTATAACTATCAAATAGATTAGGAGTATAAGAGAATGCAGGACATAATATAAATTAGCTAAACCTTCATTTTTCTTTTTTTTAAATTTTATTTACATGTGCAGAACGTGCAGGTTTGTTACATAGGTAAAGTGTGCTGTGGTGGTTTCCTGCATCTATAGACCCATCCTCTAAGTTCCTTCCCCCTCATCCCCCACCCCTCTACAGACCCCAGTATATGATGTTCCCCTCCCTGTGTCCATGTGTTCTCACTGTTCAACTCCCACTTAGGACTGAGAACATGCAGTGTTTGGTTTTCTGTTCCTGTGTTAGTTAGCTGAGGATGATGGCTCATTTTTCATAGTGGGATTCAATAGATGATACCAAAAGTAGATAAATCTAGAAAGGCCTATTATGATTCTTTTATTTGGCATTATATAAATAAGAACTAAAAGACTCCAAAATGAAAATAAATAAAAGTGTATACCGCTGGGACATAGGAGGGATGAGACAGGGAAGAGTTGTTTTTCATTATCAACCCTTAAGTATTATTTAATTTCATAATATGTGCAATTTAATTTTATTGAATATGGGAATAAAGTCCTTAAGATACCCACTTGAGGAACTCATTTTCAAATACCCAAGAAAGGAGGAGTGGAGTGAGGGAGAGGAGAAGCAATGAGAGTAGCTGTCACTTATCATACAGACTTTATTACATGCCAGGCAGTGTTCTAAACCTGTTACATATGTCAATGCATTTGATCCTCATAAAGACCTTGAGAGGGTGCTATTATTATCCCTATTTTTGAAGATGAGGAAACTGAGGCACAGAGACATAATTAATAGCTTGCTCAAGGCCAGACAAGTAGTAGTGTGTCCAGAATTGGTGGGTTCTTGCTCTCAATGACTTCAAGAATGAAGCCACAGACCCTCGCGGTGAGTGTTACAGCTCTTAAGTTGGCACGTCTGGAGTTGTTCGTTCCTCCCAGTGGGCTCGTGGGCTTGCTGGTTTCAGGAGTGAAGCTGCAGACCTTCGCAGTGAGTATTACAGCTCATAAAAGCAGTGTGGACCCAAAGAGTGAGCAGTAGCAAGACTCATTGCAAAGAGTGAAAGAACAAACCTTCCACACTGTGGAAGGGGACCCCAGTGGGTTGCCACTGCTGGCTCCGGCAGCCTGCTTTTATTCTCTTATCTGGCCCCACCCACATCCTGCTGATTGGTAGAGCCCAGTGATCTGTTTTGACAGGGCGCTGATTGGTGCATTTACAATCCCTGAGCTAGACACAAAGGTTCTCCACCTCCCCACTAGATTACCTAGATACAGAGTGTCCACACAAAGGTTCTCCAAGGCCCCACCAGAGTAGCTAGATACAGAGTGTCAATTGGTGCATTCACAAACCCTGAGCTAGACACAGGGTGCTGATTGGTGTATTTACAAACCTTGAGCTAGATACAGAGTGCTGATTGGTGTATTTACAATCCCTGAGCTAGACATAAAGGTTCTCCAAGGCCCCACAAGAGTAGCTAGATACAGAGTGTCGATTGGTGCATTCACAAACCCTGAGCTAGACACAGGGTGCTGATTGGTGTATTTACAAACCTTGAGCTAGATACAGAGTGCCCATTGGTGTATTTACAATCCCTGGGCTAGACATAAAGGTTCTCCACGTCCCCACCAGACTCAGGAGCCCAGCTGGCTTCACCCAGTGGATCCCGCACTGGGGCTGCAGGTGGAGGTGCCTGCCAGTCCGGCGCGCTGTGCAGCCGCACTCCTCAGCCCTTGGGTGGTCGATGGGACTGGGTGCCGAGGAGCAGGGGGCGGCGCTCAATGGGGAGGCTCCGGCCGCACAGGAGCCCATGGAGTGGGTGGGAGGCTCAGGCATGGCGGGCTGCAGGTCCCAAGCCCTGCCCCGCGGGAAGGCAGCTAAGGCCAGGTGAGAAATAGACAGCAGCGCCGGTGGGCTGGCACTGCTGGGGGACCCATTACACCCTCCGCAGCCGCTGGCCCAGGTGCTAAGCCCCTCATTACCTGGGCCGGCAGGGCCGGCTGGCCGGCTGCTCCGAGTGCGGGGGCTGCCAAGACCACGCCCACCCGGAACTCCAGCTGGCCCGCAAGCGCGGAGCGCAGCCCTGATTCCCGCTGGCGCCTCTCCCTCCACACCTCCCTGCAAGCTGAGGGAGCCTGCTGGGGCCTTGATCAGCCCAGAAAGGGGCTCCCACAGTGCAGAGGTGGGCTGAAGGGCTCCTCAAGTGCCTCCAAAGTGGGAGCCCAGGCAGAGGAGGCGCGGAGAGCGAGCGAGGGCTGTGAGGACTGCCAGCACGCTGTCACCTCTCAGTAGCGGTAATGCAGGCACAAGTGTGTCATTTTTTTATCTTTCCTAACAAGACATCAATACAAAACAAGATACAGAAGTGGAAGCAAATTATTAAGGGTTAGTTTACTGACACCTGAAATAAGGAAAAGGAGAAATTTTAAGAATGCTGACCCCTGGTGAGGAAGGCTGGGGTGAGGCAAGGAGGGGCCAGAGATTTTTTTACTTTTATTTTATACTCAGTTGTCCTGCTTGATTTTTTTTAACTGTAATTGTCAATATCATTTTTTAAGCAAAAATATTTTTTGTCACACCTGTAATCCTAGCACTTTGGGAGGCCAAGGAGGGCAGATCAGTTGAGGTCAGGAGTTCAAGACCAGCCTGCCCAACATGGTGGAACCCCTTTTCTACTGAAAATACAAAAATTAGCCAGATGTGGTGGCGGATGCCTGTAATCCCAGCTACTCCGAAGTGTGAGGCAGGAGAATCACTTCAACCCGGGAGGCGAAGGTTGCAGTGAGCCGAGATCATGCCACTACACTCCAGCCTAAGTGACACAGCGAGAATCTGTTTCAGAAATTATATATGTATTTTTATTTTTATGTCATACAAAACCTACAATTATCACTGAACTTTTAAGTTAAAATCAGATAGAAATAGGAAGAAATTGATAAAAACTTAATTTATGACCCTTTTGTCTCCTAAGATTGGAGATACAATTTGTATGTTTGCATGACTTTTGCAACCAAATGCACCCTTAGGAAATTTGACTTAAATATTTTATTATGTCAGGTGTTTGCTTCATTTGAAGGAAAACATATTTAAATTTTCTTGCCAGTACTTCTATTCAGTTTTTAAAGTGCAGTAATTAGATTTTACCAGTCTTGTGCATAAGATACAAAGTGAGACTATCTGACTTTTAGTGCCACACCATAAAAGACTATATGGCTTCTGCCTGTTCTCTTGGGACACTTGCATTTGGAGCCTGAGCCCCCATTTAAGTTGTCTGATTACCCTGAGGCTGCCCTACTAAGGAAGCCCTGGCCTCAAGTTCAGCCCATATACCCATCTGAGATCTCTGTCCACAGTCAGTGTCAGCCACCCATCATTCTGGCAAAAAAAACCTTCAGATGATTTCAGCCCCAAGCCTCTGAGTCTTCCCAGCTATAAAATTAAACCCAGCAATTCCACACATCTTGTTTTATGCTGATGGGACTCTCAAAGTAAATTTTTATTATAAATATAAAAGGGATATTAAAACAGATCTGCTGTATAAGCAGAGATGGATAGCAGCGCTGCTGGTGTGTGGACTCTGAGATAATCCTGAAGCATGTACAAAATGCGCTGTGACTTCTCGAAATCTCATCCACACGGATGGGGCTTTCTTCACTGTTGTGTGGGACTGGGGAGTGCTAGGGTATTTCTCATTTTTTATTGTCTCACATCTATTAGCCTCATGGGGTGCAGCAGGAGGGAGCAGTGGTCTCAGTCCCTATCTCATGTTAGAATTACTGGGGGGTATTTTTAAAACCCCAGTGGCTGGGCCACAGCACAGCTCAGCTAAATCAGAATCTCTAGGGGTGGGACCCAGGCATGAGTATTTCATAAAGCTTCTAGGTGATTCCAATGTACAGCCAAAGTTGAAAACCAGGGCCTCCCTGAAAGAGTTTGATTCAGAAGGTCTGGGGTAGGTGGGCCCGGGAATCTGTACTTAACAAAGACACCCAGGTCATTCTTACAATGATGTAAGTTAGGGTCTTACCTCAACAAGGGACTAACCATGTGCACTCTGCAGTAAGTCAGACCTGGCTCAAAACGTAGTCCTATCACTTTCAAACTATGATCCTCACTAAGCCTTAGTTTTCTCATCTGTGAAATGGGAATATTAAAAGTTTGTAAGAAAAAAAAGGCATGTAAAGTGCTGAGCACAGTGTTTGACACTTAAGAACCAATTGTTAAATGTTGGCTCTTGCAGGGAGAGGCTTCAGCACAGGCCATGACCTCCTGGAAAACAAGAGGTTCCTGACAGCCCCATATCATTCAGAGGGGTCTGTTCTTCCCTAGGAATGAGATAAGATTCTATAGCTATTTGCAAATGTTCACTGTTCCTTATGTATATATGCACACAGTAATCTTTTCATTCCGAAATCTTAGGATCTTCTCATACGTTTTTGCACGGATTCTTACACATTGCTGAGCATCTGTTATGGATAAATATTATCATTCCAGGTGGAAAACTGAAATGAGGAAGTGCATAGGCAGCACTCTTGATCACACAGTACCTGAAGGGTGAAGGTGAAGAGTAGCTCAGGCTTCCAGGCCCCACACACACCCTAAAATGTGGAGGAAAATGAAGGAGGTGAGGCTGCACATGGAACCCATTCTCCCTTGTCTCAGCCTTCTCTGCACAATATAAGCACATATTTTTATCACTGTACTTCCTAGGCTGCAAATTGATTACCTTTCTGATCCTGTGAACAGCTAAGGTGCTAACTACACTCTGCTGAGATGGTCTTCATTTGCAAGCTGAAAATCCACATAAATACTTTGATAACATAACCTCCCCCTATGTTTTTGACTAAAAAATATTCAGCTCCTTAAGGAAGGGTTCTTTGTTGGCTGGTTGACTTATTGGCTGCCTTAGTCACCCAATTCTCTCAGCTCTCTTCTTTATTGTCCAACACAGATCAAACCTAGATGTGTTATTGATGTGGTACTTTGTTTTAATTCTCAATTTCTTTAATGCAGGGGGGAAATATCTTCCAAGCACACATTAAAGAAATGTCCTTGTGTTCGATTTGCCCTGGCTGCAGAATTGATTCATGAGTGTCACCTGCTTTCCCTACCCTGAGTCACAGAAATTACTTAAAATAGATCGTCTGAAGATCAGTTGGGGCCAGATCAGCCACACAGTCATAGCAATCAGTATCCTTGAGTATAAAAATATCACTGTTCACTCCTAAGAGAAGACGGTGGCCGGCATCTGCACCTGAGGGGGACAGGTGCTTCTCTTCCAACCTAGAGTGCACACCAAATATGCAGAAGGGTTTTATTTGGGGGGTTGGGAGGAGTCACCCACATTTTTAAACGCATGCTCCATTTTAAGCCAGATTAGCTCCTGATACTGTGAAAGTCCCCTTCATTGCCAAACACCAGGTAGAAATCTTAATTTTAAAAGCACAATCAACTATTCTTCTTCGTTGTTAATTGATGAAACCAGAAAACCTTGGATCCTTCCCGATATGAACCAGAAATTTCCAAATCCATGTCCAAGCCTGCGAATTGAAAAACAGCTGGCTCTTCTGTCTTTCTATCCTCTTTGTTTTAGCATTTTAATTTTTAGAGAGATGAGAGAAATGGAGCATCTGTCCCCTGTGATTCTATTACTGGCTCTCCTAACACCATGAAAAATATCAGCTTCTGCATTCTGATAATATTATAGACATCAAATGCCAGTGTAATAATGTATGTAATTTTAGGCAGGGTCTTACTTCCAAAGCTTAAACTCAGATGCATAGTCTTAACTGTCTGATTTCTGAACTCACCTGGTAGGTATTCACTTCCATTTTTGTCAGCACTTCAAATGTAATGTTGAGTGAACTCCACACTATTTTGGAGACCAAGTACTATGATGGTATATTCAGGTCAGGACACCAAAAGTGTTCCTCAAGTTAGAGATTGCTCTTAGGTTTTGTAATTCATAAAACAAGGAAATATTTGCTCCCTACATAGCTCTAGCTACTAATGTGACAGGTATACATTTTAAAATAAATTCAGCTCCACTCTGGTTTGGACTTCTTTATACCGTGGAAGGAATAGGAGAGCTTGGGGGGAGCAGGAATTTTCTAACATGGTTCTATCCATTATACAAAAGGGTGATTTCCCCCAGCATCTTAAACAGGGTTGCTGCTCAAAATAGATGAAGTATGAAGCCCCAAACAAGTGGTGCTTCTAACTTGCAGCTTCAGCCCACGCACAGAGTCACTAGGTGTCCCAAAGGTCCCAGATGACTCTCTGTGCCTGCTGCATCGCGTCCAGATCCCACTTCTCACGGGGAGGGCCGTGGACCTCCTCCCCAGCCTCTCACTCTTTGCATTTCCAGTTTCATGGGTGTGACTCAGACCCTGAATTCTCTGTCCTCTAAGCCAGCAGGACTCACACTACAATAAACCCTTGAGTCACCTGGGCACCTCGGCAGCATACAGGTTCTGATGCAGCAGGTCTGGAGGGAGGTCTGAGAGTTGCTTTTCTAACCAGCTCCCCGGCGATGCTGATACCACTGTCCCCGTGTCTTTGGGGATAAACAGCAGGAGGCACACACTTAGCTGTGGGGAGATTGTCTGTTCAGTCCTCACAGAAATGACTCCAGTTCTGCACTCATCAGTCTGAGATGACAGAATGAATATTGTGAGCCACTTTAATTCTTCCTGCAAAACTGTAAATATAGCCAAATTTCTCTCTATGATAATGAATTAAACAAATAGCACTCTTAATCAAAATCTACAGATAACCCCAAACAGTGTTTTTGCCATTAGTTTAACCTCCTCCACCTGAATTCTTATCAATATAGCCAGAATGGGCTGAGAGCCCATTTCCTCCTGCCCCCTTCTCCAGGGGAAAATTAGATGACCAAATGCCAAGAACTGAAAAGGAGTAGAACCTCAGGGCTTCCAACTCTGAAAACTAGATTAGGGAGTGGGTGAGCATAAATGAGAAAAAAAAATACATCTTTATTTTCACTAAGCACTTTTATCTAGCATTTGGTCTTATTATACATGAAGCAACAACCATAGCCACATGAGCTGTATCTGTGATGTCGTCTCCGATAGAAATGTGAGCAATTGCGTGCTGGATTACAGTCACCGCAGTTATCTCAGAGCTCTTCTCATTCATCACTACTTCAGAGTGAATGGCTAACTCTTCTTATAATAAAGAAATTTACTGGCTCTTGTTAATAAGGAAACACATATATTAATGAATCTCTATTTTTCAATGTTTTGATGACTAGATTTCAATAAATCAGTTTCCTAGTGATTCTATTATTTATTGTATGCCTTTTAACACACTATTCTGCAAAGGGATCCACAGAGTGTCAGGGGCGCATAGCACAGAAAATGTTTAAGAACCCCAGAGCATCATGTCAAATGTTGAAGAGATGGCAACTGATTGTGTTCAGCATTGTTGATGCTAATTAATATAATTATTTTAGATCAGGGATCACAGATGCATATTCCTGCAAGGCTCAGCTATATAGAATAAATAAGTGGAGTGGTTGGGTCTAAGGACAATCCTAGCAGAAAGAGAGTAGTATATGGCATCTGACTCTTGGCCTTAGGAGTTGGGGGCAATGAAGAGGTGGGCGATCCATGCAAGCAGATGAATGCACATCCCATCTATACAGGGCACCGCTGAGCGGCTCCACAGTGACACAAGTTGCCTGGTCTTCAGATTTTTCCAAGAGAAACCAAAAGTCTTGATGTTGTGGACATCCCCCCTAAAAAAAAATGCAATGTACACTTTAGCAACTATTTCAACTAACAAGAAACAAAGAAAAAATTCTAATCAGGCCAAACAACCAAAATAAAACAGGGGCTCAGGCCGAGCACAGTGGCTCACCCCCGTAATCCCAGCACTGTGAGAGGCCAAAGCAGATGGATTGCTTGAGCCCAGGAGTTCCAGATCAGCCTGGGCAACATGCAAAAACTCCATCTCTACTAAAAATACAAAAAATCAGCCCAGCGTGGTGGCATGTGCCTATAATCTCAGCTACCTGGGAGACTGAGATGGGAGGATCACCTGAGCTTGGGAAGTCGAGGCTGCAGTGAGCCAAGATTGCACCACTGCACTCCAGCCTGGGCAACGAGAGTAAGGCCCTGTCTCAAAAAACAAGAAATATATAGTGGTTAATATCCAGCATAAGATAAATAGGCAACATAGAACAGGTTCAACTTGCCCTTTGTCCTAAAAATATTTAGTCCAAAATCACTAAACTTCCAATCTTGTGCTTATCCAAAGAAAGTCAAAATAGTTATTTTAATGAACACCCAAAATCTAATAAGTATGGTTACTAGGTTTATCAAACAAAAATACAGTATATCACATTAAATTTTAATTTTAGATAAGCAACTATACTATTTTTAGTATACTGTATGTCCCATGTGATATTTGAGATATGCTTATCTCAAATATCCAAGATAATTTTTATTTGTATTAAAAAATGACTTGGTGTTTTCTTGAAATTCTGATTTCACTGGGCTTCCTGTATCTTATCTGGCAACTTTTATAATAAGCCAACCCCACATTGTGATGGAGTAATTACTATTAAAATTAATGTGTAATGTTAACAACGATAACAGTTAACATTGTAATTGCATTTGTGCTTTGTTTGAATAGCGTTTTTATTGAAGCACCACATACACTTAGGAAAGTGCACCTGTCCTAATCCAGCTCCATGGCATTTCACAAAGTGGGCACACGTGGTAGCCAGCACCCTGATCAAGAGGGAGAACAGTCATGGCCTCTGAGAGCCCCTCATGGCCTCTTTCAGACACTAGCCTTACCTCCAGGGGAACACTACTCCTGATTTAAAATGGCATGAATTAGTGGTGCCTGCTTTTGAGTCTTATACAAATGTGATCGGGTTGTACTTTAAAAATTACAAAACTCTGTGTGTGTGCGTGTGTGTGTGTGTGTGTTTATGCTTTCTCTGAATATTGGATTACTGTGTAAATCCACATTTTTGGTTAGACAGTCCTCATGCCCCACCCGTGGCTTTTCACCCTTACCAGTTCAGTTCCCACTGGCCTGACTGCCAACAGCCAAAACCTGCATTTCTTTGTCTGGGAGCTCCTCTTGGTCACAAAAGCCCACATTTTCTGCCCTTGGGGTAGGAGGTGCCAGAGAATTTACACTCCTAGGTGCAGCTCTCAACCAATGACCGATGGAAGTGGGTGGATTAATACCCCAGCTCCCTCTCCTCTCAGAGGCATGTTCCATCCACATGGTCCCCCAGAGATCCCCACTAGGATGGAGTCCCAGTTGCCCACTGCCATGACTTGGTTATTATCTTCCTTCCACCGCCTGCCTCACTTCCCCACTCTCCTAACAATTATCCTAGAATCACCTCCCAAGATAAACTATTTGCACTCAAATCTGGGTCTGTTTCTGGGTGAATCCAAGCTAATATATTTGGTTAAATTAAATTACCCTAAATGTCCTACATTTATTCAACAAATTTGTATCAAGTACCTAGTACTGCCAAATGCTGTGCCGGGTGCTGGCACATCAATGCCTGGCAGTGAATGCAGATATCCTTACACCTGGTACCCAGAGTGGGCGAAGGGAGCCAGGGGCACTGCAGGGAACAGCCCTGTGGCCTCAAGTCCAGCATTTTCTTCCCTACAGCAGAGCTGACTCCCTGTGAATTCTGATGTGTGGGGGAACACTCTGAACTACCAAATTTTGAAGGCCTAGCAGGCAATAACTTACACTTAACATGAAAACTGCACATAATTTTGTGGATGATTGAGAAGGCATGTCTGAGTCCTGAGGCATCTCCAGGTCATTATGAGCATCCGTGGTTATTGTTCAGCAAGATCAATGAAGAGCACTCAAGAGATTATTCTATGTCTGCACTGTCCTGATATGGCCTTGTTTTTATTTAAATCTGTCTCCACTAGAAGCTTGTTTATTTGTCATTTGTTTTTCTCACACAAAACTAGAACTCAAAATGAGTTTTCTTTAAAAAATTAGATTTAAAATGTGAATTTATTTTGTGTTCCTGGTTGGGAAGATTAATAAGCAGCAGTTCACTGTATTTTGCAAAAGCGTGTAATTGTCTTTTTACATAGCCCAATTATTACTGTCCATTTTCGATAGTGAACTTCTAGAAAACAGGAGCCATTTGTATTTCAGTGATTTTTCCCGGCATAGAAGTTTTTTAAAAGTGTACTTCATGAGCAGACAGTAGTACTGAGACTGCCCTGTGGGAGGAAAAACCCACATCAGGCCTGTCTGAACTTCAGCACCACTTGGTGTCCTCAGATGGTTTCAGAGACACCCCAGAGCCCCATCCTCACTGCAGATCAGGTGGCTGTGTTTCCTGAGATGAGAATTGGCTGTAGAAATTGTGTCAGCTCAAAAGCTTGGAACAAAACTCATGATTTCTCAAATCCCTTTTCCATGAAATTTGTGTGAAATAACAACATTTCTCACAGACACTAACAGTTTTATGTTTTATGTTGTGTAACTATTATGTTGTTTTGTTTGCTTCAACAGTTTTTTTTTTTAAAGCAAATACTCACAAATCGAGAATATTTGTGCCTTTTTAAATGTGCCGGTAATGTCAGGTTATATTGTTCATCAAGAAAAGTTATCATAAATATTATATAATATTACAGATACGCAATCTATCTTCATATATACTATATGTATATTATCATATATAAAAATAGCTGTATATAGATTCACAATGCATATCTGTACACAGAAAATATATGGTTTTATCATAAACAATTACTTTTACCTCCTAGAGGGAGCCAGAATTCCAGAAGAGAATGTGTTGTTTTAAAAGTGTGAATTATTTTTTGCATTATGCCACTCTGAAACTAAATGAAATTATAAGAAGGAAACTGAAGCTGCATATTCAATAGAGAATGTGTGAATGCATTCCATAAATAGAAAAAGAAATATCAAGATGAAATTCCAGCTGGGTGGGATTCCTAAAGCTATAGGGGGAAAATAGAGTCTCTGGCTGAATCTGTGGAGGAGTGGATGGGCTTCTGTAATCTGCACCATCTATGTTATTGACCAGTGAGGTCAAGGACAGAATTACTCACTGTTGGTTTTCTACTGGGATCTCTAATCTGGTCTCTTAGCCAGAGTGATTTGACTTTCTTCCCTGCAATCATTTTGCAAAGGGCTACAGAAGGTGACCTGTCTTCTCATCAACCTACTGTGGCTTGGGGGACACCTGCCAACAGATGCAAAGAGCCTCCCATTTGATGCAGAGATGCTAACACGCCCCCTCTGCCAGGAAATGTGTTCAGGGCTGAGTCACATGGTTTCCGGTCTTCATCTAGAGATAAGTGATCCTTCACTGAGAGGCAAAGGGAACCACATGGAGCCCAGAAGACGAGGGTATTCATGTTTGTGAAACAGTGAAACATTCAACCACCAATGAGCTGTAGTGGTGTTTTATTTTTGTAAATTGAACTGGCCAAATGGACAGGTAGTTTCAGTGTTTATTTAACTGATTCTCTCCCTCCTAGAATATATCCATATCTAGAATATATCCCTTCCATATCTACATTCCTATCTATAGTTTTTATAGTAACTCTTTTTTTGCTTTGATCACTTACCTCGATTCTCTTGAAAGCAGTTAATTTTAAAATGTAGCTGTGGTCACTGTTTTTTGTTTTTTTTGTTTGTTTGTTTTTGTCTCTCAGCCTTCAACTATTCTCTTTTTTGGCTACAATTTCTATTATACCTGTTCTAATGGCTACAGTAGTGAGGGAGAAAGGAAAATCCCCATGGGAGGCAGTCGCAAGTGGGTGCCTGTTTTTCACCTTTGCCTGTAGTGAAGCATTGTAGTATAGTGTCTGGGAACAGGGACCCAAGGCCCAGGCTTCCTGGATTCAAATCCCAAACTCTTTCCCACTGCTGGTATTACCAACCTGGCTTAGTACTCAACTTCATCAAGATCAGGTTTCTGGGAAATGAGGGTAAGCCAAATGGTATTGGGCCTCTGCAAGGATACAGAACCCTTCTAAACCCTCTTCTTTGCAGGAAGGGTCAGATAAATATTGCTTTTGTGGTGAATGGTGGTGTCAGAAAGGTAAATCAGAGGTGGGCATGAGTTCACGATCACAGATCTCACTGTAAGTACCATAGAATTGTGAATTATTTGGGTGTATGCCTTTCTAAATTCCTTCTAGAGTGTGGAAAGAATTCTTTGGTTTGATGCCTTCTTACCTGTGCTCCAGTTTGTCACCTCTATGCAAAAAAAAAATGATTTTGCTAAGGGTAGGCTCTGAATATGCGGCTGAAATTTGATTACAATCCAGACATTGAAAACTATTCTATTTATAAAGAAGAGAAAGGATATCACTATCCACCCACATTTGACATCTAGACCTAGTGCAAGATGCATTTCTTGCAGAAGTAAAACTAAGTGGATAATTTGTGATATATTTTCCTATTTTTATTAAAGTTATATGGGCACAGAGCTTAAAGACGCAACCCACTCTAGAAAGCTTATTATGGAAAATAGCCATCTTCCAGTCCCACCATCACCATTTCCCCACTCTTCTAAGGCAACTGCTTTCCATTAGTTTGCCTGTTCCTGATATTTGCTCAACATCTCTAAATAACCTGCTTAGATGACAGCTACTTGATTTTTTCAGTTACCGGCATTCTCCATTGAATTCACAGTATAGAAGAGGAGGGTTTACGTCTCTTTTAGCCCCCCCTTCTCACTACCCAGCCCCCATCTTCCCCTAAAGAATTATAAGTTTGGTTAGACAATATTCTGCTTAGTTTATTATTACTATACAACCACTCTTCATAGTTGAGCCATTAATACACAATGGTTCATCTTCTTTGGAGCACAGTTCTGTGTTTACCTTGTGGCTTATAATTGTCTTTTTTATTGTTTGCTTGCTTAGTTTTCTATGTTCTATTCTTAGAGCTCTCCAATCTTCTTTCTGTACGTTCAAAATTATCAACTGTTTCATCAATTTTGTCCTTCTGGCAACATTTTTTCTGTAGTCTTCTGAGTCACTCCAGTCTGGCTAGGTTGTTCTCTAAGCCTGCTGTAAAAGTTTCATTTTGGAATTTCCTTTTATCATCCTTCTAAATTCTCCCTTCACTGTCATTCTAGAAATCCCCTTTAATTATCATCATAGATTCTGGTTGCTTGGTATTATGTTTTATTGTAACATAATTATATGTAACAAGTGCTTTACTCCCTTATTTTGGTGGAGTACATTCTCCAGTAGCTTTTTCAGAAAGGACACATAGGAGGCAAATTTTTTGAGACAACTAAAATTTTATTTTTATTCTTTTCTCATTTTTAATTAATAATTTGATTGGGCATAGAATTTCAATTGTTTTCCTTTCTAATTTTGAAGGCATGACTCCATTTTTTGCTAGCTTTCCATGTCTTTGTTGATTACAAAATGTCATTCTGGTTTTTATTATATATATATATATATATATATACACACATATATATATATATATATCTGCTTTCCTCTCCTCTGTCTGGTAATTTCTAGGGTCTGTTCTTTGTTCCAGTGTTCTGAAGATTTATGATTATCTGCTTTGATGTATGTCTTGTTTTGTTTATTGTGCACTCAATGAAATAAACTCAGAGGACCCTTTTGCTATGAAAATGCATGTCCGGCCAGGCGCCGTGGCTCACGCCTGTAATCCCAGCACTTTGGGAGGCCGAGGCAGGTGGATCACAAGGTCAGGAGATCGAGACCATCCTGGCTAACACGGTGAAACCCTGTCTCTACTAAAAAATACAAAAAAATTTGCCAGGCGTGGTGGTGGGCGCCTGTAGTCCCAACTACTTGGGAGGCTGAGGCAGGAGAATGGTGTGAACCTGTGAGGCAGAGCTTGCAGTGAGCCAAGATCACGCCACTGCACTCCAGCCTGGGTGACAGAGAGAGACTCCATCTCAAAAAAAAAAAAAAAAATCCATGTCCTTAACTTCTGGAATGGTTTCTGAATTATTTATTTCATCATTTCCTCCCTCTGTGTTCTCTGTTTTCTGGAACTTCAATTCTTCAAATGCTGGATCTCTTATTTTCTATTAAGGTAAAGAATGAGCATTAACTGGGCTGTATGAAGTAAGGAAGGAGGCTTGAGATTAAATTCTTAAACAGTCTTTTGATTGTTCTGTTTTCAGGCCTATCTTTATTCTAACTTTTAGAACATTCCCAATTATTCTTCTGCTTTCCAGCTTCAAAAATTTTGTTGTTCTTATCAGCTCTTCTATTCCTTTTGCATTGTGGGTTTATGTCCTGATCGAAAAAACCCTTTAGTATTATCTTGTTACGGTATAACAAGAACGGTAATGGTATGTACTCAATCTGTCGTCGTTAACTAAAAGTCCAAGTAATGTGTTAAAGAAATTCAAAATTGATATTTGCCACGTTTTAAGCCCATTTGTCTGATTATAATAAAGTGAATAAATACAACCTTTTATGACCTGCTGGAAAATGAACAATTTAGTCCAATTTAATCTATTGCATAAATGGTGAGTGATGACCACAGATTCTAAGAGTTTACAGTACTGAGAGAGAATGAAAAAAGGGTAAAGAATACTTTATATTTATTCTAACATGATTTTTCTGATGTGAATTCTCTTCTTGACAACCCTGTCATGTGTGACTTAGAAATGCAAATGCTTCACCTAATAAGGCAAAATTAGCAACAGGAAATAACTAAGTGTTCATATAGGAAGTGGGGAATGCGTTAATGGAAAGAGACTGGCCTTGTTATTCATTTATGGTCCTATTTAAGTCATGCCTTTCATGTTATTTGCATCCAGAAAACCTCTAGTTTGACTTGGTCTGATCTTTATAGACTTGCACAGCAGTCGGGGAGGGTAGAGGCTCAGGGATTGCATGTCCCTGGGGTCCCTTTTTCCCACTGTGTTTGGTGTAGCATGTGCCTGTCATTGCCACGGCTGAGAGTGTTGACTTGTGCTGTGTCTTTTTTCACTTACTACGCCAAGGGCAAAGGTAGCCAGGCAAACATCCTGTGGCCATGGGGTAGTCGATACTCCTCTAGGGAAGGGAAAGGGACTTGCCAGTGACAACCCTTGGAACAAGGTGTGTGGACTCTCCCAGACTTATTTGTAAGGTCTGCCAAAGTGGACCTACACTGTAAACAGATAAAAATACTAAATATCCCTTAATAAGAGACTTAGAAGAACTTTCCTGGGAGAAATGATTCTTTCTCCAGAACAGAAGCCTCAACCTGACACCCACAGCTCTTTCCCCTCTCCTCAAACTCTCCCGACCACCTCCAGCCCTGGCTCCTCTGCCCTTCTTTGCACCTAGCAGCCCCCTCCTCTTGCAGGGAAAGGCTGCTTTAGCCTCCAGCAATGTGCCTATCAGCTTCGTGTCAGCAGAGCCAGCATCTCTTTAAAAAGGGCTATCTCCAAATGCCAAGAACATTTTCCCCTGGATCAGTATGCAAATCAATCTTTCAAAGATTCTGATTAAACCGAGGTCAAATGCCAGCAAGGCCAGGCATATAATAGAGATGAGGGAAGAAGGTCTGGCAGAGACAGGCTTGTCCACACCCCTTCTGAAGGGCGGCAGCAGCCCAGCACATGTTGCTCACTCCACGGGGCAAGACAGGCTGTAGCAGACGCTAGACTCATGGCAAAGGCACAGGTTAGGATTGCTCCTCCTATCCCCTTGATATTAGGGATGTCAAGGCAGGCCCGTTCCTGGGGGGATGTGAGACTCCTCTGATAGGCAACTTTGCATTGAGGGTTCCCTGGGCCTCACTGCACCTTCCTCAGACTGCGTGCCAGCTAGGACAGTGCACCCAACCATCCCTGTCTCCACGGGGGTCAGACCCGCATCACAGTTGGACAGGCTGCATGCCCAGCTCCCCCGATGCCCCATTTTCTATCACCAGTTGTTTCCCGCTAACAAAATTGTTGCAGGTTTAATTGTATCTTCATGTCTGCCTCTCAGAAGATCCAGACTAATATGCCTAAATACTTGAATAAATTCCGATTGATTGGCAGATTGGGTGCAGGACAGGAGGCCTAGACAGGAAGCTGGCTAAACCTGCAAGAGTCCCGCCATCTCATTTGTACAGTCTATATCCTGTTTGACTTTGTTTCCCTTGTCCTGCAGGTTGTGGCTCTTTCCTCCTGGTGCCTGCTGAGGGATTCTATTTACTACACGCTGTCTGTGATCGCGCTCATCGTGGTGAGTCACTCTGGCCATTTCAGCTCCCATCAGTGCTCTTTTAAGCACCAGGGGTGGTGTGAGGCTCCTCCACATGGAGTTCACTCGAGGTCACCGGTGGCGAGTGCGAGATGCATGTCTTTGCTTGGAGGCAGATTTATTTCTTTCAGCTACTTTGATCACCCAGAACTCCAGCCTGACCAATTGCTGGTCAGAGCCGGCATTTAGACTTGGGTTATCTGGGTCTATGAGAGTCCATGGCTGTTCTCCTGAGACCCTCGTGAGCATGGCTCTTCTGTCGCTTCATTGGCGTCCCTAGCTTTGGACATCACTTCTCCCCCTTCTCACTCTGTATGCTCTGCCAGGACTCCCTGCCCTCCCACAGAGCCCATTACCGTGGCCACCTTTGTGCCAACACCCACACATGTCACTTAGCAGTGACACCTCCCTGAGGTCCAGTGGTGGATAAAGAACTCTCTACTAGACATCTCCATGCCCCAACTCAACATGTCCCTAAATAGAATCCTTTTTTTTTTTTTTTTTTTTTTTTGAGATAGAGTCTCACTCTGTTGCCCAGGCAGGAGTGCAGTGGAGTGATCTTGGCTCACTGCAAGCTCCGCCTCCCGGGTCCCAATGATTCTCCTGCCTCAGCCTGCCAAGTATCTGGGACTACAGGCGTGCACCACCACGGCTGGCTAATTTTTGTATTTTAGTAGAGATGGGGTTTCACCATGTTGGCCAGGTTGGTCTCAAACTCCTGACCTCAAGTGATCTGCCCGTCTCAGCCTCCCAAACTGCTGGGTTTACAGGCATGAGCCACAGCACCCAGTCCCTAAATAGACTTTTGATGTTTTCCCCAGGACTTGCCTTTCTATATATTTCAGTCCTCGTTCCTATCGTAGCCACAGACTGGGAATGAGATTAAACTGACCTTTCCCTCAACTCCCAGCATACCCATTTGGCTTAATTGTACCGTGAATTTCAGGTTACCACAATCTGTCCACTGCATTCCTCCAGAGCCCACTTCAGCTGAGGCTCTCTGCATTGCCGGCCTGACGCAGCAGCTGCTGCAGTTCATTGCGGGTCAGTGTTTCCATGCAGTGCATCTCCACCACTTACTCCCCGCTTCTCTCCACCCCAGCCAGTCCTCACGGCCATCCAAGTGGTGTCTCCATAAAGAACACCTGCAAATGCTTCTATCCCTTGTTCAACTGCTCAGTGGCTCTGTGTCATTTGTGGGGAAAAACTCATACTCTTTAGTGTGGCAAGCTGGGCTGTCCAAAAAAAAAGGGTGAAAAATTGGGAAGAACATTGAAATAGGAGTCGGGAGATCTGACTCCTAGTTCTGCTTGCCCCTTTACCATCATGGTTAATTTTATGTGTCAACTCGACTGGGCTAAGGTGTGCCCAGAGGGCTGGTGAAAGTATTTCTGGCTGTCTGTGAGAGTGCTTTTCAGAGGAGATCAGCGTTTGAATCCTAGAAGATCACCCTCCCCACGGTGAATGAGCATGATTCAATTCACTGAAGGCCCGAATAGAACAAAAAGGCAGAAGGGTGAATTTGCCCTTTCTGTTTGAGCTGGGCTATGAATCTTCTCCTGTCCTCAGACATCAGTGCTCCAGGTTCTTGGGCCTTTGGATTCAAATTGGGACCTACAGCATTGGCTTCCCTGGTTCTCAGGCCTTCGGGCTTAAACTTGCACCACACCACAGGCTTTGTAGATGGAAGGTCGTGAGACATCTCAGCCTCCATTGTACTGTGAGCCAATCCCTCACAGCAAATCTTCATTTTATATATATATATCTTTTGTTGGTTCAGTGTCTCTTAAGAGCCCTAACTAATACAGCCCTCACTGGCTCTCATGACCTGGGAGAAATCAATCTCTCTAGGTTTCAGTTTTCTTACCTACACAATAGGAATAGATCAACTAAAGGGTCTACTCACCTGTTTGACAAAGCTCCTACCAGTAGATTATTTTATTGTAAGTCTTTATACAAATAAAATGAACATGAGGGTTGACGTGAGATTTTCCCTGCGGAACCAGACAGGTACTTCAGTGACCAGCAGTTTCTGACACTGAAAATCTTGAGTTTACAAACCATCACAAGGTTTGCCAGCAAGTCAATATTCCTTTAAAATGTGCTTTCAATTTTGTCCTCCAGTGTCCCCAGATTAAAACAGGAAGGGAACTGGACCTACCATGCTCCCCTAATTCCAGGGTCCCTTTATCATTGGGAGGGTTAGAACCCACCCCACAGAGCAGAGAGGTTCATGCTGGAACTGAAGACATGCTTCTGTTAGGAGATTTAAGGACATACATGAACTATGTTCTTATTCTGTTATTACCTGTGAAAAGGGTATGATCACCTGGAACCCAAGGACTCTTCCCAGGCTTCTCTAATACCCCTTCCAGCAAGCTTCATCCTTCTATGCACAAACCCACACTGACTGTGTGCACTCTGCTCTTCTGCCATTACAGGATGTTGGGATGATTTTTGAAAAAAATTTTTTTTCAAAAGACATGGTTAGGGAACAGTGTCAATGAACACAGCCCTCTACTTTGCTGAATTCCAGAAGGAGACGACTGTGCTCATGAAGACAAGGTGGTGGAACAGAATGGAGCAGATTTGGATCTCCTGGGAGCACAGACTTAACCACACACTCCCAACAGCAGTTCTGCTGGTGTTGGCTTCTTTCCCTGTTTTCCGCATAGACACTAACTGGACTATGTGTGAAATCACTTGTCTTCTGTTCAGTGTATCTGGATATATCAAAGATAAAATGAATGTAATTGTTGTTAATGACGTGTGAATAAGTAAAGAGGTTTTGCTTCTTTGGGCTTTGAGTAACTCCCTCACCCGAGCCTGGTCTTTGGGCAAAGCAATCATCTGCCCTCAGGGTGCAGCATATAAACCCCAGAGCTGAGCTAGCTGAACACGCAGGCTGCCAGGGCAACTCCATATTTCATTCAGACAGCAACAAACCACATAAGCAAATGATTCTTTGCTGTTACCTGAAGATGTGGACTGTGTATTTACAGACCAGTTGTCAAGGCTAGAGTTTTGTGATTTGAGAAAAATTACATCTCTCCACTGTTAAGAAGAAATAGAAAAGATAAAGTTTGAGTCCTCAAGGTTAGGTCTTGGTTCTTTTTACTTTAACTGGTGTTCCTCCAACTTTAGTCTACACTGGAAACACCCAGGATGCCTATTTAGTTCAACAGGCTCTTGGGTAGGGCCTGGGAAATTGCATTTTAACCAACATCTTCCCTCACCCACAGGTGATTCTGATGCCACTAGCATCAGAGAAACTGCACCTTGAGAAACACAACTTTAAATATGGCTGGAAACCATTTCCTTGGGGTATTCATCTGTTGCATAGAAATGATAATTTCTGGAGTCAGTTTTCAGATTCCCAAAGGAAAGGAATCATAGCAGCCTAAGTAACTTTAGTTGCCTGGATTTCTGACTATTGCTAGTCTGAGTAGACTCTTAACTCTTGTTAAATGGTGGCCAAACTCCCAGGGTCATTTTTCCATGAAATTTGAAACTGTCCATGAGGAGTAAAACAGAGTTTCACACTCAAAAGTGCTGCAGTTCACAAAGTACCTCTCACAATGTCTCCATATCTATTCCATGCCCCCAGCCAGAGGCTACAGGTCGCACGCACTGTCTTTTTTCTTCTTCTCCTCTTTCTGTTTCCCCTAATATCATGGTAACAAAATCATTTTTCTTCTGATTTCCCTTAGGTAATACTAAGTTTCTCTATAGGACTCTGCAATGAGCACTTGAAATTCCTTTATTTAAAAGCCCTTCCTCGTACCCACCAAATAATTACCAACCTTCCCAAACAATGCATTCAACTCTTCGGGTTTTTTCAAACCACTCTCCCTATTATACAGCAATGAAATGTTCAGAAGGCGTGTAACTGTCGGTGTCCTGAGGTTGTGTAATAAAGAGCTCCTTCACCCAGAGGGCAAGTCAGGATTAAGCAGGACCAGATGCTGTTCTGTGTACACGCCCACCAAGGGGTTCTTCAGACCTCAGCAGAGGGGCCCTGGAGACAAACCATGGGGCCTGGAGACCCACAGAGAGGCATGGCGACTTCTCCAGAGACGCTGATGGCTGCTGAGGGGCCGAGGGTTCAGAGGAGGGTCAGGAAAGCGCCAATAGAGTCCTTAAGACCTGGATTCAAAATGGCTGAAATGTCAGCTGATGCGGGCGGGGCATGCCGAGGTGGACAACCAAAACCACAGGAGCAGGAAGCGCACGTGCATTCCGAAACCAACAGAGCTCAGAACAGTTCACTCGGACGGAGACGTGGGGCGATCCACTTCCCTATTCGGGTATTTCACCTAAACTTTCCTCTGTGCTATTTTCTAGTTTGCTTGTTTGAAGGAGAAGCAAAAGAAATGAATTCAGTCATTGTCTAAAGCAATTATAATTTCAAAAACATAAAGTGTGTGCTTCTCGGGGCCCTTCCCCAGCCCCAGTCAACTTTCTCTTAGCCCTGGTGACATTCCGTACTTTGAAACATCTGGCCAGCGGTGGAGAGGCTGGACAGGGGCTCTGAAAGCGTTGAGAAGGCTCCCCCAATGCCTTCAGTCTCTTTTTGCAAGACAGACATCACCTTTTAAATCCTGAAAGAGTTCTAGGTTCTTTAGAGCCCTTCCTTGTGCCCATTCACCCAACAGCCAGGTGCAAATTATTGCAGATTCTTCGCTGCTTCTCCTCTGCCCCCAGTGAGCACTTCAACTCTGGGTATCTCCGGCCTCCCAGTCCTGTCTTTTCTCCAAATTCCAGCAGACGGACAGTTTTTTGTATTGAAATGTTACTGTAATTTACATAATGAGGTAATTTACATAAATGCAAATGATTCATTACATAGGCAGTCTAGCAGCTGCTCTAAAAGAAATACTTTATTTTTACCTTTCGTCTCTGCTGGAGGACGGGGACTGTGAACATGGAGAGGAGGGCAGCCCTCAGGGGAAGCAGATAGGCCTATGGGACAGGTCCCAGGTAACGTGGGCCAGCTTGAAACTCCAAATTCACAAGTGCTGTCTGTCTGCTGATGGGTCAGGTGAGCCCTTGGCAGCAGTTTGGGGGTCTTCAGGGCAACCTGAACACTGGCACAGCAGCGAGGTTCCTTTACACCAACACGTCTCCTTCCTTCCCTGGGACATTCATTGTCATGGCACCGAGTGAATGGAACCCAGGGGGATATGAGAGAGTTCAGCTGATTCACCTGCCACAGGTGCCCAGCACTTCTAGCAGAATTTACATGGTGATAGAAATGGCCTACAATCTTGTGCTGTCCAATGTGGTAGCCACTAGTCACACGTGGCTACTGACAGGCAACTAGTGGGACCAAGGAACTACACTTCTTATCTTATTAATTTTAATTTTTAACAAGCATGGACTTGATCCTCAGCAGGGGACTGTGTTGGGTCTACTGATAATTACTTTTTAGTTTAATACTCGTGACTATGCAAGCAAGCTATTTTGTGAGTCCCACGTTAGAGATGGCATCACCAGGGCTCTGGTGGTTAAATGATTCACCCAAGGTCAGGGACCGGTAATACCTCGAGTTTGCCAGAGCAGGTGTCTGACATGGTGCAGCTCTACTGCCCCAATATAGAATTTGGACTTTCCCTCCAATAAAATCCTCCTCTTACAGTCTTTAAAATCATCCTACCCCACCGCCCACTCCCCCTGTTAGAGACGAGGGTTACCTTCACTTACTTTGTGGTCTAGTTTTTAGGCAGAAGGGAACAGCTCCAGCCACCCCCTGCTAGAATTTTTTCATTAAAATAACTAATCTGAAATAATCTGGAAATGATTGTATCTTGCCCTTTCTGTGATAGAGAAGAAATCTCAGAGGTCATGTGGAAGTCTGTCCATCACCGGCAGCTGGCTGACCTCCAAGGCCCTGCCCCTCTGACCCATCACCCTCCCCTCCTGCACCCATTTTTCATGGGAATTAACCTCTTCTCTCTCCAATTTAGAAACTTGGGGTTCTTATTTTTTTATTTCAATGGCTTTTGAGGTACGTGTGGTTTTTGGTTACATGGATGAATTATATAGTGGTGAAGTCTGAAATTTTAGCATTCCCTTCACCGGAGTAGTGTACATTATACCCAATATGTAGTTTTTGTATCCCTTGCCCCTCCTCCCACCCCCCCACCTTCTAAGTCTCCAAAGTCCATGCCACCACGCTGTATGCCTTTGCATACACATAGCTTAGCTCCCACTTATAAGTGAGAACATACGGTATTTGATTTTCCATTCCTGGGTTACTTCACTTAGAATAATGGCCTCCAGGTCCATCCAAGTTGCTGCAAAAGATATTGTTTCGTTTCTTTTCGTGGCTCAGTAGTATTCCATGGTGTATATAAACCATATTTTCCTTATCCACTCGTTAGCTGATGAATACTCAGGTTAGTTTCATATCTTTGCAACTGTGAATTGTGCTGTGATAAACATACTCACGCAGGTGTCTTTTTGATAGAATGATTTCTTTTCTTCGGGGTAGATACCCAGTAGTGGGATTGCTGGATTGAAGGGTAGATCTACTTTCAGTTCTTTAAGACATTCTCATACTGGAAAACTTGAGGTCCTTCAGCTCGTTGTGCCCTCATTACATTTCAGCCCTCAGGTCTTTCAGCTCATTTTGCCCTCATTACATTTCAGCTCTCTTTCTGGCAAAGTCGGAATAACTATGGTAGCAAGAAGATCCTCACCGAGAATGACTTTGACAGAATTTTAAGATCCTTAAACAAATCGACTATGGTCTTACAAAGGTCGCCTGTTTTGTAATCCCTGCTGTCAACAGGAGGAAGGAAAGTCCTGCTTTAATGACACTGGGTAAACTAGGAGGCCGGTTACACTCTCATTTGCTGCTTGGACAGGGAAGTGCATCCGCTGGCCTGGAGACCCCAGAGAGGAGCCTTTCATCTCTAACAAGGAAAACAACGTGGAAACTGTAGCTATGTGCTTGATTTTGGTTTTCCCTGCCCAGCAAACATAGTCCTTTCAGTTTAACAACCCCCATCTCCTATATCCTCAGTACTTGCCCTTTTTTCTTTCCTGTAGCCTGCCTTCATATATTTATACAACATGATCAGCTCGGCTAAAGCCCTGCCCGTAGGTCATTTTTTCCCTGCCCTTCTGCAACCACAACCTTCATCAATCAAGCCTATAAGACATCCTGAAGTAGGAATTTCTGCTTAACTTTGAAATATAAGTGATACTGGTGCCTAACAGCCAGCTTCCCAGTGTATTCCACTGGATCCCTCTCCTCAGATGAAATCACCATGGCCTTAGCTAAGCCGTCTGCACCCCCACCCAAGAGCTGAAGAAGTGAGAACTACACCCACTCAAGGGAGTTCCCGTGATATTGAGTGGGAAAAGTCTACGGGGGGCTGTTTTCTTTGCAGCAAGGAAGGAAAGAGTTTCAGGTTTCAGTCTCTTGAAAGAAAACGATGATGTTGATTTTCTCCCATTATTTTCACTGCTTAAAATTCTCATGGTGCCAGTGATTACAATACATGCTATGAAGTCTTAGCTTCAGCAATGCAGCCTCTCCTGCTTCATGGTGACAATTTACAGTAAGCAAACCCAGGGGCTGACATGGCGATGTTGAGACAGCCACCTGCCTCCCAGCTCAGCCAGCCTCTTCTCTCCCGCGTATACTAGGGGCTCCTGGCTCTTCCTCCCCTGCTCCTCCATGTTGAGCACTCCATTCCCTTGGCAGCTCTCTGGGTTGTTCTGATATCCAGGGATTCGCCGGCCTGATGTAAGCCCGTCTTGCTTGGAAGAATTCTGGAGCAGACACCAGGAATGAAAAGCCGGTTTCCATGGTACCCAGCCGTTTCTCTGAAGCCTGGAGGAAATGAGTGCTTTTTTCAAATTCATTCCTGTTGAACATTTAGCTCAGCAGCAGAACACGTGGAAACCTCAGGGCGAAGCCAAGGGTATCTTTGGATGAACCACATGTGGGTCAGAGGGCAGAGGCCCCCTGACCAGCTGGTGCTCAGCAGATCTGAGATCCAGCTATCAGTATCACCCTTGGTGGTCTCTGGGCTATCGCAGAGCCTGGCCCCCAAACAGAACCAACAGGGCACAGAGAGAAGAACGCTTACCCAAGGGTTGCTTTCACAAATCTGATGGGGAAGAAGCTGAGTCAGTTCCAAAGCCCACAACAGGAGGTCCGTCAAGTGCAACTCATCGTTGAGGACAGAGTGTTGACCCCAGGACAGAGCACCAGGCAGGACCTGCCCCTGGAACACCACCTTGCCTCAAGACAGCAGCGGCTAAAGCCGCCTTCAGTAGGCTGCCTGCCTTGAGGTGATTCCCTTCCTTCCAGGAGATTTAATAGAACTGCGAAAATGGACTTGAACTGACTTCATTTCAACTTCACTACCTTGGCAGGCTGGACATGGAGGGAGGACTGGAACGTGAGCACCACTTAGTGGTCATTTGCAGGAACTGCGGGTGCAACTTGTTCTAGTCTAGAAAGAAATGATTTCAAGTTTTCTTCTACACTAGTAATACTTATCTAAGGGATGGGGGATGTTGCTTTGATTTCTTTTACTCTCAGCTAGTAGAGCATAAACTACAGAGGGATACGCAACACGTGTCTTAAATGTATTGAATAACATGAAATCTTTAAGGAATAACAAATTCATTTCCTAACCTTCAGCAAACTCAAGTGAAAGGAACCTCATCCTTGCCGTTTGTAGAGTTTTCTGAGGGAGCGATTCAAATGCTCCATCAAGATGGTCCAGCAAGGTACCCTCCCGATGGAACGTTCTGCAAACAGCGCCAGTCCTAATTTCCAGTCTTCGGAAGAGGCGATGACCAGCTGCTTGTTCTCCAAATAACAGCACTGAATGTTCACAGGCAGTTGATAGCTCATCTCCACCTTCTTTCTCATGATGAGGAAGCCCTGCTTCTGTTTAGAGTTTTTTTAGAGACAGGGTCTTGCTGTCTCCCCAAGGCTGGAATGCAGTGGCCAGATCATAGCTCACTGCAGCCTCAAACTCATGGCTCAAGTGATTCTCCCACCTTGATCTCCCAAGGTGCTAGGATTGCAGGCATGAGCCACTGTGCCAAGCCAATTTAGATTTTCTCAGAGTCCTGATTTCTAGTCCCTTTTGTTCATTTCATTGTTCTTTTCTGAGTCCTCTCATTCCTCCACACAGTCCTCTCAAAGGAGAAGGATAAACCCGAATGATATTTGCCATCAGCCACAGGGTAGAGAAGCCCTGACTTTGTGGAGGCCTCCTCCTCCACCTCCTCCTCCTCCTCCTCCTCCTCCGCCTTCTCATCCTCCTCCACTTCCTCCTCCTCCTCCTCCTCCGCCTTCTCATCCTCCTCCTCTTCATCTACCCTTATGCATTCTGAGTGATGGGGCATCTTCACACAAGGCAGAGATCAAAGGGGAAACTATATCAGTTATTTGCATGTTTCCGGATCTCCTCCATTAGTTAGTACTTGTAGTGAGATCACCTGCATTTCTCTTTCCCTGTCTGCCTCCCTGAACCATATCCCCAACCACAGCTCCCCAAGCCACAACCATCCTCTTGACTCCAGGGTCATGAAGCTCTGGACCTAATTGCATATTTTGTCCAATCTCACCCGGATTTGCCCACTGTTTCTCTGATTATTGTGCTCCTGTTTGGGGTCCCTCCTAAAATTAAGCCCAATCTCATTTTTTCTTTGCTATGATCATTGAAATGATCAGTAGCTAAAGTCCTATGAATCTCAGGGCTGACTGCTAGCAGACAGGAAGAGTACTTTCTTCCAGGGTGAGCGATCTCCAAGCTTTTCCTTTGCAGAATCTGTGCCCCACCTATGGGGAGGATCACTCAGAATAAGGGCTTTCTAAAAGCTGCTTTCATATTCTATGTTATTGCCTGCCTTCCCTGATAGAAGAAAATTAAATTGGCCTGGTCTAATAAACTCTTTCTCAATATCTTCTGTTCTCTTAAGTGGCTACAAATTGATTGTTCCAGCCTGCTGCAAGGACTAATATTGAATTAACTTCAATTAATAGAAAATGTTTTCTATCTTAAATAATTTGATCTGCTCCATGATTTTTTGGCAACAATCTTTTTTCAAAAAAGAAAGTTGGGGGGGTTATACAAAAGAGCTGTCAATGCCTTCTAGGGGTTGGGTACCATGCCATTCAACCTGGATTATGAGATTGTTGCCTTTATTTCTTTAATTCTCTGCCCATTCTAGTTTGACATTGTCATCCCAATGTCAACTTGTTGAATCTGATAATAAAGATGAAAGTAACAAAAATGATGAAGCCCACATTTCCAATGGCTTGTTGGGAAGAATGAGTTACAAATGAGCACAGCTCCTTCCTCCTCATCCTCATTTTGACCTTCAAGATAATTGGAAAGAGTTGCTTTATGCGCTTTGTGACTGGTGCCCTGAGGTGTTCTCTACGTCTCTACCCAGCTCATGGTTACTGCCCTGGCTGGAGGCTGATGCCATGCCCGCTTTGTTAACTGAGTTTCCCATCTCCAAGTTGTGATGGCAGTTGACACCCAGAGTGTCCTGCAAGTGTCTGCTTCAGTCTGCAGAGGGCTGCTGCCTCTAAAGGAAAGGCCGCTCTGAGACGACCATACTCAAAGCAGTTGTCCTTCAGGAGTTTGAGAAGAAAGAGCTATGAACCATGTCCTCGGCTTCCTACTTCTATGAAATATAGGTGTACTCATTTGGTTTCGGCAACATGTCATCAGCCATGTGTGTCATGAAAAGGACACCAAATTCGGAGCTGGGGCTGAGTTCTCGAGCCAATTCTGCAGCAAATGGAGCAAGCCTAGGAAAATTACTTATGTTCTCTGTGACTCAGTTTCCCTGTATAATCAAAGGATTACACTAGGCTTCCCCCCATGCCCCCACAAGGTGGGAAATGATTTTAGATGGTATATAGACCAGGACTTCAGTAGATTAAATCCTGCCGTGTATTCTCTCTGTATTCTCTTTCAAGTCCTAACTGATGAGTAAACCTCAGTGGGGTGCTAGTGTGCCTTTGACTGCTTCTGACCCCTAATAATCTTCCTTAGTGAAAGGGCAGGACCATGCCCAGGGCTTGGGCGCCAACAGTGTCCAGATGGGATTTGCAAACACCATTTGTTGTTAATGCACTTATTTTTCGGGGTGATGGCAAGGAGTGTTGATCCCCTACTTCTGGTTGTGATGTGAAGTTTCCTTTGAAAATAAATTATTTTAAGGAAACAAAAAAAAATCAATTAAAAGAAAAAATTGAGCCCATAGAAGTCCAAGCACTTGCATAAAAACTGAAGATGCACAGACATGCAGAAATCTTACAGAGACTAATATTTGGAAGAACCTGCTGAGCTCCTACATCCCCTTGCAGATCTAAGATTCTACAATGGGCCTTGCTTTACAAAGCAGGTTAGTCACACTTCCCTGTCACTCTGATGTTGTACAGAAATTGCAGGAAGAAGGGAATTACCTGAGGCTGTTCTTTTCCACACATGCCCACCCTGATCTACCAACACCTCCTTCCACTAACACTGGCCAAAGGCCAAACCAGTACAGAGGGAAGTTTACCCACAGGGACTCCAGGTCCCAGGACAACCCAGTCCTGATTACACCATCCCAGGAACAAGGTGGATACTGCGTGCAGCCTTAAAGCGTGTGTGTGTGTGTGTGTGTGTGTGTGTGTGTGTGTGTGTCTAATCTTCTATTCTTTTTATTTTTTCACAGTTTATTTATGATGAAAAAGTTTCCTGGTAAGTACCTCTCTTTCCCCTTCTCATTTCTGAATGTTATGTTGCAGAGCCAAATATATTGAAGACCAGTGTTGGGATTCAAGAAAGAAAGGGAAGTGTCATGACAGCTTAGAATGAGGAGAATTTCCTAGGAACCCTCTGCACACCTCAGGGGAGAAATTAAATTCATTTTCACAGAGTCAAGACCTTTCCTCTTGGGCTAGAGTGGTGGGGTTCTATTTGAGATCCTAATATCTAAATGTCTTTATTATCCTATGTCTGGACATCATGGCTTAGCTGTGTCTTTCTACAGTCAGCCATGTGCTAGGGTAGAGTTAAGATTTGACTGATTTTTGGGCCGGGCACAGTGGCTCATGCCTGTAATCCCAGCACTTTGAGAGGCCGAGGCGGGTGGATCACGAGGTCAGGAGATCGAGACCATCCTGGCTAATACGGTGAAACCTCGTCTCTACTAAAAATACAAAAAATTAGCCGGGCATGGTGGTAGGCACCTGTAGTCCCAGCTACTCAAGAGGCTGAGGCAGGAGAATGGCATGAACCTAGGAGGTGGAGCTTGCAGTGAGCCAAGATCACACCACTGCACTCCAGCCTGGGCGACACAGTGAGACTCCATCCCCCACCCCCCAAAAAAAAAATTGTGTCCAAACCAAGCTCCATGTTCCCAATCCCACGTTTATCTTAGGAATTAGGACCCAGGCACTTCTGTGACCATTAATCCATTAAAGTTCCCCCTGACTTTCAAAAGATCTTAGAGCTCTGAAAATTGGTGTTGTTGGGGATGTTTTATTTTGATAGAAACTGTTGCCCAAATTGGCCCGGCATGGTGGCTCATGCCTGTAATCCTAGCACTTTGGGAGGCCGAGGTGGGCGGATCACCTGAGGTCAGGAGTTCGAGAACAGAAACTGTTGCCCAAATTAAATATATGGCAAGACATTTGCATTTGGTCCAACTGTTCAAATCCTCGTTTTCGAGATGGGTTCTGAGCAAATCAAGCATGTTTGAAATGGAAATGGAAATCGAGTGTATTGTGCATTCTCGTTACATATTTTCCGAATATTTGATCTACAGAGGTAAGCAATGTGAAATAACATATTAGGAATAGGCGTAGGTAGAAAATCTCCCTGGTATTATTGAAAGCTGTGAATGAGCCAGAAAAAGTAGAGTCCACCAGGCTTCACTTTCAGCAAAATGACTGCTAACTCTTTGTTGGTGTGGGCCTCTCTGTATCTGAGGACATCTCTGACTTTCAGAATTAGGGGGCAGTGGAGAACCCATCACATTGATGATAAATGTTACTTGCTATGTCAAGGTATTAAGATACTTTTGCTAACTCTCCTCTTTGCAAGAAGAAAGAGGAGGAGACAGCTAGGAGAAAATGAGAAGGAGGTCTTCTTTGAATCATAGTGACCAATAGGCTGAAAGGAATTGACATGCCCAGGAGCACCCCAGATCAGAGAACCTCCTTGTTATATCATCCTGGAGGTGGCTGCCAAATGGAGTGAGGGGCATTTTTCCCCCCTGTCCTTGGGGATAAAGTGCAGCACAAGAAAACTTCCAGAAGCTGATGGCGTAGTTAGCACAACCACTGCTCCGCCTTAGCAAACAGTAGGTGCTTCAACGTTGCTCAGTGGTGCTAGTCTTTGCTAATGACACTCCCCAAAAGACAAACAAGTTGTGATCACAGTTGATCTCAGAAATGTGTGTGCAGCTGTTGTGCAGAAACATGTTAGGAAAGGCTACCCAGGATGGTTTGCTGTCAGCCTTAGAGGGAGCCGTCTTTTCTACCACCTCCATGGCATTGCTGTATGAAAGCCATGGCAAGTGAAGAAAGCAGGCTTCACCATCAGCCCATTTCACTCCGTATCCTCAAAACATCTCGGGATAGTTCAGATGGTTTGGAGCAAGAAAAGGAGTGTCTATTTCATCTTCATTCCTAAGTTTTTCCCATGATGTTAGGTAACCCCATCCTAGGGTAGGTGCCCGAGGCTGCAGCAGAAGGGTCTAGATTCTGGAAGGTACAAGTCATCAGAGCCCTCGCCCTGAGCACCGAGGCTCCCTCTCATCCAATTATGAGTAAGAGGCTTGGAGGGCCATGGATACATGAGTTGCAAATCCCCTCGTGTGTCTTGATCTATCTGGGGGGCATTGGAATCATAAGTCATGCACAGTTGTGGCTTCCAGGGAAGAATTGGCCTGGGGGGGCCTTGGTGGCACCAGAACTACATTCTTCCCAGAGCACTGGCCTGTCGTGTAACTTGTTATTACACGCATGGGCTGATGAAGAGCATTTTGCACGTGAGTGAGGCTGAGAAATTAAAGTCTGTGCCACTGGCCCTTATCTACTTTGGGACTCCCGGGGATTTCAACTTCTCATTTAATGGATGAAAAATAATGGAAGTTTAAGAATTTTTTACTGTTCACTTCTTCTATCTTCTTACCAAGCCAATCATGACCATTTATTTTGCTGAAATGGTGCGTCTAGGTGCTGATTTCTCTCTTTAAAATCAGAGTCTTCAGTCTGTGCAATTAAAGCACAGTAACATTTTGAAAATACCTTTAACAGAGAGTTCCATTCCTCATTATAGAACATTCCAGCATGGCCTAGAGATTTCAAGGCAGGTAACCAGTTCACCCCAAAAAATCTTCAAAAGGAAACAAATTTCAATTGTGTTTATTTCGAAACTACAGTACTCTTTAAGAGGAAGTGAGCTTTGTCAAATACAAATACACCAGGACAAAGTACCCCTGTCATGCAGTTCAGATTCTTTCA
This sequence comes from Homo sapiens, assembly GCF_000001405.40. Lineage (NCBI taxonomy): Eukaryota > Metazoa > Chordata > Mammalia > Primates > Hominidae > Homo > Homo sapiens. The sequence goes on from NC_000020.11 coordinate 19,668,661, forward strand.
CCATTCCTGAAGCAGCATTCTGCAGGAAGTCACATTCAGTCAAAAAAATGGTGGTTGACAGTTAGTCAGGATTGATTTTAGTAGCAGGTACTAGAAGAACCAGCTACAGCGTATTGAATACATACTGGTGTATTTTTCTTACTATCAGTGCCCCGGATGTAGGTGGTGCTGTGGCTCTGCATTTCCCCTGGCCTTTGCCTAATGGTCCCAAGATGGCTGCTGCAGCCCCAGCCACCAAGTTCATATTGAAGAAAGGAAGGAGGAAGAAGGGGCACTGTTGTTCTTTTTGGCACACTTCCACCTTGCATCTCTTTGGTCGCAGAAGGGTCTGCCTTGACCACTGAGCAGCCAGGGAGATTAGAATGACCACTTTAGACCAATCATGATTCATGCTCAGGGCCTGGGGTCAGGCGCACCCTCTTTGAGATCAGAAGGGCTCCATTTGCTGCCTCAACCTAGTGGGTGGGGTTCTCTTAGCAGGGAAGAGGCAGGGGAATAGTGGTGAGTGCTCTTCGGTTAGGTGCCTATGTGCTAAAAGACACTTGACATAGGAAGCATCGGCAGGTCATGGTGGCTCACGCCCATAATCCCAGCTCTTTGGGAGGCTGAGGCAGGTGGATCACTTGAGGTTAGGAGTTCGAGACCAGCCTGGCCAACATGGTGAAAACCCATCTCTACTGAAAATACAAAAATTAGCCAGGCATGGTGATGCACACCTGTAGTCCCGGCTGCTCGGGAGGCTGAGGCTGGAGAATAGCTTGAACCCTGGCAGCGGAGGTTGCTGTGAGCCAAGATTGTGCCACTGCACTCCAGCCTGGGTGACCGAGCAAGACTCTGTCTCAAAAAAAAAAAAAGAAAAAAAAGTGTCAGAGGCCCACATATTAGGATGTATGCTCGACCCACAGAGCATTCCCGTGTTGTTGCCAGAAGGAATTCGGAATGTGTCTTCAGGGAGTCTGAAGGCCCAACAAGAAAACTAAAGAACGCAGGGCGATGGTTTGGTTTCTTCTTTTGAGTCCGAAGTTGTGACTTTGGGAGAGAAAAGAGACCCTGGGATTGCAACCTGGAAACTCTTCTTGGTGGGGCTGGAAAACAGCTTTTGCTGTTCTGGGATGTGTTCAGGAAACCAGAGCCAACAGTGTACCCAGGTGAGGAGAGGAGCAGTCCTCACATCTGAGAAGGAACCGTCTTTGGTGAGAATCAGGGACCCGTTGAAAATGATTCAAAATGGAAGCCTGGGGAGGGAAGAAACAAACCCAGATCAGCTACAGAATGGGATCCTCAGAGGACAGCGGGTGAGGTGTGCTCAGGAGGAAAGGGGAGAAGGTGCCCAGCGTCCTAGGTGAAAGGGCGAGAAAGGGGACCAAGGAGGGCCGGGTGACTTCCAAGGTCTGGATGCTTCCTAAGCACCTCCTCTACGCCAGGGAAACATGTCGTACAAAACCAGAGCTGGCCCGACCTGGAGCTCTCTCAGGCTGGAGGGATGCAGACCCTTCACATGTAACTGTGGGACCACATGGAGAGGCTCACCACACTGAGGAGAGGGGGTGGGGGGAAGGGCCCTGAAGAGCATTAGGCCAAGGCTTGATGATCCAAATTCAACCAGGTCAAAAATGCATGAGGAACAGCAGGTGGGGCGGCACAGAGGCCTCCTAGAGCCCACTGGGTTCAATGGGGAGGAAGCCTGGTGAGCCCTGTGTCTGAAAGCCAACAGAGCAAACTTGAAATGTCAACAAAAGCAAGGAATCTCATCCTACAGGCATCTCTGCAAAATGGCCAGAGAGAACCTGGTTTGAATATTGCAACAGAAGGGCTTTTGATGAGTAAAAAATTGAAAAGATCTAAAAGAATTAGAAAGAGCATACATACGCCTGTTTATAAAGTGCTGGACTTAATTCAATCTGACTACAATATTTCATTAAAGTTGATTCATTTTCTGGTGACTTCTCACTGAATCTATTAAAATGCATCTAAGCAATAACGTGACATCCCTTCAGAACCTGGGAGCCTGTTCCTTCCAAATGAATGGGCTGTGAATAAATCTCACTTTTCACCATGAAGTGTATGCTACGTATACATTGGTGTCGATGAGATAAGAACTATGTTCAGGCCACTGGAGGCATTTTGCAACTGAAAATTGATGTTTGGAGGGAGTGTCACCTGCACAGATGAGCTGATGGCTGCTTTCTGCTGGGGAGAAGAGGCAAGTGGGCAAGACCTGGGGGTGTCTGCGTGGGGAGAAATCAGTTGTCGGCATTTTAAATCTCTGGATAATGAGACACCAGATACCAGGGAAGGTGTCAGGTGTGAGGAGTGGTGTCAAGTGACTGCTAGAAACAGGTGTTAGTTACATAATAAATGAGTAATAAATATATAAACAAGATAATCACAGACTGCTTAGAGGTTTGAAGAACATAAACAGGGTCATGTGAGAGAAAGTCGGGCAGGGGCAGGCAGGGAAGATTGCTTGGAGGAGGTGATATTTAAAAGCTGGTATCTGCAGGATAAAAGTGGCCAGCCAAGGAGTGAAGGCAAAGCCATTCCTGGCCAAAAGAACATTCAGTGCAAAGGCTCTGGGAGAGGGAAAGAGACGGCTGTGTGCAAATGAAAGGCCATTGAGGTGGGGCACAGATAGGACACAAGACAACATGGAGACAGAAGAAAAGGCCAGGATTTGCAAGGAAAAAGGAAACTTTCATTTTTTTTCTTAGGCATTTTGGGAAGTAAAGATTTTAAGAAGTGCATTGACATGCTCCCATAGTATCAAGGAAACCAGTTCAGAGGTTGAAGTGAAAAATGACCTAGGGAGGGCACAGTAGAGAAGAAAGAAGTCAGTGATTGATGAAATACTTGAGACACAGAGTCCGATGGATATGGGAGTGAGGAAAAGGGAGTGCTCCATATTGATTTCCAGATTCTGGGCTTGACTGGGCAGGGAGTGGTACAGTTGACTGAAAGGACAAAGCCCAGGGTTGGTTTTTTTTTTGTTTTTTTGTTTTTTTGTTTTTTTGTTTTAAGGAGGCTAGGAAATAAGAATGAAGAATTCTGTTCTGATAGACATTTAGACTTCCAGGTGCAGAGGCCAAATATATGAATCTGGAGCTGGAGAGAGGTGTGGTGTGGATGTGTAAATTGGGGGTCATTATCATGTATTTGGTATTTATAGCAATAGGTCAGGATGAGGTCACCTAGGGAGAAAACATAGGCAATAAAGATGGCCCAATAATGAGAGGATGAACTGAAGGAGTGGAGGAGGCAAAGGAGATGGAGAAGGAGAAGCTGGGGGCAGGAAGGAAGCCAGGGGTGTGGCCTCTCGGCAGTCAGAAGAGAGGGTTTTATGAAGCGGGGCAGATGATCTCCTTTCAGATGCTACCAGGAAATCGAACAGGATGATGGACAACCACCCACTCATGCTTGGACTGGTGTGGATAGAAATCACTGGTGCCCTTGACAGGTGATTCAGGAGATCGGGGGGTGTGGAAGTTAGGCTAGAGAAATTTGCCAACTGAATGAGAGGCACTGAAACGCAGTGTGCACAGCCCTTTAAGAAGTTTTGCCATGACAGAAGCTGAGAAATGTGGCAGAAATTGAAAGGGCTTGGATACCCTGATTTCCTCTCTCAATAGTGCATCTGAGCACTTTCTAGAATAAATACCTACATCTTTGCATAATTTGTTTTGGAAGGGAGATGGAAGAAAGGGTTTTACTGTGTCGCCCAGGCTGTCGTGCAGTGGTGTAATCATAGCTCACTGTAGCCTCCATCTCCTGAGCTCAAGCAATCCTCCCGCCTCAGCCTCCCCATGTAGCCGAGACTCCAGGGGCACACCACCATACCTGGCTAATTTTTTAATTTTTTTCTGGAGACGGGGTCCTGTTATGTTGCTCAGGCTGTTCTGGAACTTGGGGACATAAGTGATCCTTTCCTCTCGGCCTCCCAAAATGCTGGGATTACAGGAGCGGGTCACTGTGCCCAGCCTGCATAATCATTCTTAATGGATACATGAACCTACGTATCATTTATGTACCCAGTGCCCTATTTTATAACCACCTGGCTTCCTTCCAGCTTTTCACTTTTTTATAAACACTGCCGCAGGAAAAACCCTTGTGTATGTATCCTTTTCACATTTGACCAAATATTTCTCTAGGATCAGCTTCTAGACATGGAATTTGAAAAGAGAAAAGGAAGGATGGGTATAACCTGGAGTTTCCTCATCTGACCATTCTCCAGTAACCTACCACTGAAGCCAAAATTACTCCCTCAATGAGCTGATTTGATTCTGTAGCTAAAGCGAAACCTGGAAAACAAGCTCCTGGTTTTTAGTTGGAAGCCACTAAGATAAAGAAAACAGAAGTATTCAGACTATTAGAAGCTCAAGGCACATTCTAGCAGGTTTTTCTTTTCTTCCTTCCTGTGGAATGTTTTCCCACTTATTCCTTCTTACTCTTCGACTGGTACCTTCCCTGCCCAGGTTCCGTCTGTCTGTCTGCCTGCCTCTCTCCCCACTTCTACCCTTTATGCCTGGCTCCTATATATACAGCAATCCCTCAGGCATCCCCGGCAATTCCTCTAATTTTAGTTTCCCCTTGTAAATATGTCTGAATAGTTTCAGTGAATGATTAAGCTGAGACCAGATGTATACATATTGACCTATATTCAGCAACGTGTATGAAAGGCTTGCTGCTTTCAAAGAGCTCTTTTAGGTGACAAATAACAGAGAGGAAGGGGCATTTTCCCTTTAGGTGAGGAGAGAAGAGAAAGATGGTTGACAGCCTTATGCAGCATAGAGAATGTCTCTAGACCAGGAAATATCCGTCACCTAGCACCGTCTGCCTTCTCCTTACTATCCTGGCCGTTTGCATCAAATATGTCTTTAAAAATGAGGCAGGTGAGTTTCACAGATGTCCATGACTGTCTTTAACTGTTCTTGGTTTACACACAGGTGGGAGTCTTTAGTCCTTGTGCTGATGTATCTTATCTACATTGTCATCATGAAGTAAGTAAAATTTTTCATTTCTTATCCAAAACTGTTTCTTGCATTCCACATTATGTGATGATGTGGGAAGAGGATTGGGGTGGGTATCTGACTGGTTTTTCAGTGTGTATCATCACAGTCACTTGGCTCCCTGCCAGACTGTTGTGAGTCACTGTAATTTTGATTAGTATCAATTGTAGTGACCCTTCCAGCCCATATTTGATGATAGACTCAAAGCTTCAGTGTTTCACTTGAGAACTCTCTAGAACCCCTAATCTCTCTTCAGGATCTGGCAGCTCTGGGAGGTTTCTTCACTCTCTTTCTTAACACAAAGGAGATAAAACTCAATATGTTACACTGCTATAGAGGGTGAGAGAAGATGCAAGGTAGTCTACTCAATATGGCAGCCAACATGAGCCAGCCATCCGGTGGTCTGTGTAGACCCAGTCTCTAGGGCTTGCTTGTGAAGGGAATTCCTAGGGTAGGACCTTCATCAAACATATCCTGGCATGGAGTTATCATGAGGTAACTGATGAAGAGTTAGTTAAGAGACAGCTGAAATCATGGATCAAATATCTGTGGACTTCCATTATTTATATGGTATTAGTCATCCACTGCTGCATAACAAACCATCCCAAAACTTAGTGGCTTAAAAGCACAAACATGTATTATCTCACACATTGTCTGAGAGTTAGGAACCCAGGAGCAGCTTAACTGCAAGGTTCTGGCTCAGAGTCTCTCATGAGTTTGCAGCCAGAGCTGCCATCATGTACTGGACTGGTGTGGGAGAACCTGCCTTCAAGCGATGCTGGCTCTTGACTGGCGGGCTGTTTCTCACCACATGGGCTCCTCCCTAGAGCTGCTTGAGTGGCTTCCTCCAGAGCAAGTGGTTCAAGACAGAGAGCAAGAAGGGCCCTGCAGCACCTTTTATAATATCCCAGAAGTCACACGCCATTACTTCTACCATATTCTGTTTATTAGAAGCGAGTCACTAAGTCCAGTCCACACTCAAGGGGCTGGCATCACTTAGTGAAGGGAAAAATGTCAAAGAACTGTTGAGGTATTTTAAAACCACCATGTTATGACATATGTTCTTTTCCCTCCTGGAGTTGGGGTAGCTTATTTATATCAAGAATTTGCCAGGCGCAGTGGCTCATGCCTGTAATCTCAGCACTTTGGGAGGCCAAGGTGAGTGGATCACTTGAAATCAGGAGTTCGTGACCAGCCTGGCCAACATGGTGAAACCCCATCTCTACTAAAAATACAAAAATTAGCCAGGCGTGGTGGCGTGCGCCTGTAATCCCAGCTACTTGGGAGGAGGCAGGAGAATCGCTGGAACCCGGGAGGCAGAGGTTGCAATGAGCTGAGATCGCGCCACCACTCCAGCCTGGGTGACAGAGCGAGACTCCATCTCATTAAAAAATAAAAATAAATAAGAATTGTATGACCAATGTTTCCCATGCTGTAAGTTAAATGTAAGCACCATGGTGGTAAGCCTGCTGGTTCATCTTTTTGCCAGGCACCACTGGGATGAGGAGGTTATAAAGAATGCAGAGATGTTCTGTGCTGCAACTGCCCAACCCCGTGGGAGCTGCTGCTTTTCCTCTAAATTAGCCCATGTTTCCCCAACATATGTAGCCGTAGGAGTGACTGCCTTCTCTAGGGGCAAGAAAGTAGAAATCCATCAACAATGGCCAGTTTGGACATATCAGGTGGCAGTCTGGAACTGACACATTAAGGTTTCTTATTGTTGAGGCCTGACAAAAGTTAATTCTGGTGACCAGTGACTGAGACACTTGTTGAGAGAAATCAACACGGACATTGGCAAATATCACAGGAGCAATGAAGGTAGAAGCTGGCTTGGCCAGTGCCCAGGGTGGGCTGTAGGCAATCTGCTGCCAGTCTACTCAATATGGGGGCCAACATTTGTGAGGGGAGCCATCCAATGGTTACTGTAGACCCCACATCTGGAGCTTAGTGGAGAAGGGCATTCCTAGAGTAGGACCTTAGTCATACATATCCTGGTACCATAAGGTAACTAATGAAGAAACCAGAAGTTACACACCGTAGAACTAATCATTTAAAAATACCAATAGATGAGCTGTCATGAAAACCAGAGTTGATCCAAAGCCTTTCCAAACTTTCCAGCCCCCAAAGGAAAAGCCTTTAAAGATCAGAGTACCCATCTTATGCCTCTTTGTCTCAAAGAGCAAAACTATATAGCAAATCAGTGCCAAAGTGGGGAAGCCTCAAACTACTGTCTGTGTGTGTACTCACACATCTTCCTTTGCTGTTTTCTAGTGCATCGTTTCAATTTTTTAACATTTTGAGGCTCTAATTGAGCTCCCAAAAGTGGATTAGTTGATTATTCTGGAAGAATCGCCACACAGTGTCTGCTCTATGCCCAACATTAATCTTGGGTCTTGAATCTTAATTTTCATGAAAGTATGTTTCAAAATGAATTCACTAAGGGCTTCAGAGAGTTAAGTATTCTTCAAAAACAGATGTGGCCAGAGAGAAGAAGACTTGAGGAATTTTGCTGGCATGCATCTTATAGCCACTGCTCCCCTTTTCCAAGCCACCTTGAAGCCCATGAGTCGCTGGCAGGACACGTGTACAGTAAGATAGTACAGCGAACACATCCTCTCCTCTTCCCCAAACCGTACCAAATGTGGAAGCTAATGAGGTGTGTTTCTGCTGATGCCTCACTTTTACCAACATTCCAGCTGTTCAAACCAGCAGGATACAAATAAAACTGGGAATGGAAGCTACTGTGCTCATGAAATTTTCTGCATAAATTCTGGTCCTAAGTTCTAAATTGAAATCTCTGCTCTTTAGCCATCCCCCTCTGCAATCAGAGGCTTTAATCATTGGGTTTTATCAAATCTGATTTATAAAATTGCATGCTTCACAATAAAATAGCTTCAGGGTGCAAGCACAAAATTTAAAACATTCAATTAAAAATATAAAACAGCAACAGTAGTTAAGAAAAAAAACAGCATATATTAGAATCGTCAGCTGCCTCCTAGGTGGAGAGTTTTTAAATGACTTTAAACATTCTATCTGAAGGTCAAAAAGCAATTTCAGATTGTCCAGTTAGGTAGAAACCTTCAAGGAGCATAAAGCATGCCTGGCCTTGGCAAGGATTGCTTTCTGTACATCCCAGGTCACTGCTCTAGGATTTGTTCCCCAGATGGGGTATGTGTGCTGGTGGTTAAGAACCAGTGCCTCACATTCAGCCCTGACAGCAGAGCCCCCTGCCACTGACAGTCATGGGACCTCAGCCAAGTTCTTCAGCCATCTTGAATCTCAGTTTCCTCTTCTGCAAAACAAGATTAATAATAATTTCTACTATTATTATATATATTCCATGAGAACGGAATGTGACAGCTTAGTTAAGCTGTCAAGCTAAGTTAAGCTTAGTTTAACCTGGTATCCAGTTTTGAGAAAGCCCTCACTGTATAGTATTATTATCCTGTTCTCTAAACCCTGATAAATGTATAATACATGAGTTTGCTTTTGTACTTTAAAAGCAAAACCTAATCACTGGGCACTGTAGTGCATGCCTGTGATCCCAGCTATTCAGAAAGCTGGAGCGAGAGGATTGCTTGAAGCCAGGAGTTTGAGACTAACCTCAGCAACATAGCAAGACCCCGTTCCAAAAAAAAAAAAAAAAGCAAACCTTTATGCAAGTCAGTATTTCTTTCAGGGAAATGGAGTCTAAGTCAAGATGACAGAAACACTGCCTCTTTCCCTGTCGCTCTACAGGGCAAGGCATCCTTGTCGAATCTAGAAAGTGTGGAGGCCTTTTCACTAACAGGAATTTTGAATATATACAGGAGTCTGCAGAATAGTACGATGAACCCCATGCATTCGTCACCACCCCCAGCAACCATCAACCCACAGTTGCCCCATCCACACCCTATTCACTTCCCTTTTCTCCTATAATTTTGAAGTCCCGGACATCATACTAGTTCATCCACAAAAATTCCAGTATACATCTGGACATCTCTAGACACAGCTGGATACTCTTTTAGGATTCTTTTTTTTTTCTTTTTTTTTTTTTTTTTTTTAATTTTCATTTTTATTTTTATTGATCATTCTTGGGTGTTTCTCACAGAGGGGGATTTGGCAGGGTCGTAGGACAATAGTGGAGGGAAGGTCAGCAGATAAACAAGTGAACAAAGGTCTCTGGTTTTCCTAGGGAGAGGACCCTGAGGCCTTCCGCAGTGTTTGCCTCCCTGGGTACTTGAGATTAGGGAGTGGTGATGACTCTTAACGAGCATGCTGCCTTCAAGCATCTGTTTAACAAAGCACATCTTGCACCGCCCTTAATCCATTTAACCCTGAGTGGACACAGCACATGTTTCAGAGAGCACAGGGTTGGGGGGTAAGGTCACAGATCAACAGGATCCCAAGGCAGAAGAATTTTTCTTAGTACAGAACAAAATGAAAAGTCTCCCATGTCTACTTCTTTCTACACAGACACGGCAACCATTCGATTTCTCAATCTTTTCCCCACCTTTCCCCCCTTTCTATTCCACAAAACCGCCATTGTCATCCTGGCCCGTTCTCAATGAGCTGTTGGGCACACCTCCCAGACGGGGTGGTGGCCGGGCAGAGGGGCTCCTCACTTCCCAGTAGGGGCGGCCGGGCAGAGGCACCCCTCACCTCCCAGACGGGGCGGCTGGCCGGGCGGGGGGCTGACCCCCCCCACCTCCCTCCCGGACGGGGCGGCTGGCCGGGCAGAGGGGCTCCTCACTTCCCAGTAGGGACGGCCAGGCAGAGGCGCCCCTCACCTCCCGGACGGGGCGGCTGGCCGGGCGGGGGGCTGACCCCCCACCTCCCTCCCGGACGGGGCGGCTGGCCGGGCGGGGGGCTGACCCCCCAACCTCCCTCCCGGACGGGGCGGCTGGCCGGGCAGAGGGGCTCCTCACTTCCCAGTAGGGGCGGCTGGGCAGAGGCGCCCCTCACCTCCCGGACGGGGCGGCTGGCCCCGGGCGGGGGGCTGACCCTCCACCTCCCTCCCGGACACGGCGGCTGCCGGGCGGAGACGCTCCTCACTTCCCAGACGGGGTGGCTGCCGGGCGGAGGGGCTCCTCATTTCTCAGACGGGGCGGCTGCCGGGCGGAGGGGCTCCTCACTTCTCAGACGGGGCGGTTGCCGGGCGGAGGGTCTCCTCCCTTCTCAGATGGGGCGGCTGGGCAGAGACGCTCCTCACCTCCCAGACGGGGTCGCGGCCGGGCAGAGGCTCTCCTCACATCCGAAACGGAGCGGCGGGGCAAAGGCGCTCCCCACATCTCAGACGATGGGAGGCCGGGCAGAGACGCTCCTCACTTCCTAGATGGGATGGCGGCCGGGCAGAGACGCTCCTCACTTTCCAGACTGGGCAGCCAGGCAGAGGGGCTCCTCACATCCCAGACGATGGGCGGCCAGGCAGAGACGCTCCTCACTTCCTAGACAGGGTGGCGGCCGGGCAGAGGCTGCACTCTGGGCACTTTGGGAGGCCAAGGCAGGCGGCTGGGAGGTGGAGGTTGTAGCAAGCCGAGATCACGCCACTGCACTCCAGCCTGGGCACCATTGAGCACTGAGTGAACCAGACACCGTCTGCAATCCCAGCACCTCCGGAGGCCGAGGCTGGCGGATCACTCGCGGTTAGGAGCTGGAGACCAGCCCGGCCAACACAGCGAAACCCCGTCTCCACCAAAAAAATACGAAAACCAGTCAGGCGTGGCGGCACGCACCTGCAATCGCAGGCACTCCGCAGGCTGAGGCAGGAGAATCAGGCAGGGAGGTTGCAGTGAGCCGAGATGGCAGCAGTACAGTCCAGCTTCGGCTCGGCATCAGAGGGAGACCGTGGAAAGAGACGGAGAGGGAGACCGTGGGGAGAGGGAGACCGTGGGGAGGGGGAGAGGGAGAGGGAGAGGGAGAGGGAGACGGAGACGGAGACCGTGGGGAGAGGGAGAGGGAGAGGGAGACTCACTCTTTTAGGATTCTAAAAGGACTATTTTCTTTAACATAACCACATTATCGTCATACGTAAAATTAATACTAATTCCTTAATATCATAAAATACCTAATGTTCAAATTTTCAGTGGCCTCACAAATGTCTTTTTCATTGTTTTCTTTTAGTTTCATAAATATCATAAATATTTTAAAAATGAGAATTCAAATAAATTCCACTCATTAGAATTGGTGGCCCATGACTTGCTGCTGTGTCTGTATGTGTGTGCATGTGTGTGTGTGCATTTTCCTTGCACTTTGTTCTTTAATGAAGTTTGGCTGTTTGCTCTGCAGAGTTGCCCACGGTTGGAAAGCGTTGATTATATCCCATGATGTGGCACAGTCTGTTCCCTTGGCCTCTGTGTCTGTGTGTTGTCTGTGTGTGTATGTGTGTGCATGACTGGGCATCTGTGTGTGTCTGTGTGCTGTGTGTCTGTGTGTGTGTCTGTATGTGTCTGTGTGTGCGAGTGTGTGTCTGTGTCTGTGTGTGTGTCTGTGTGTGTCTCTGTGTGTGTCTGTGTGTGTCTGTGTGTCTCTGTGTGTCTGTATGTGCATGTGTGTGTGTGTGCATTTTCCTTGCACTTTGTTCTTTGATGAAGTTTGGCTGTTTGCTCTGCAGAGTTGCCCATGGTTGGAAACTGTTGATTATATCCCATGCTGTGGTGCAATCTGTTCCCTTGGCCTATGTGTTTCCTATATGTCTGTAATTGATCTGATTCAGGCTAGACTATGTCCCAAGTGGTGGTAAAGTTCCATCACCAGGAGGCACGGTGAGGTCTGCCTTTCTCTGTCTGTAGTGTTGGCAGCCGTCAGCATTCAGGTTCCATCACCAGGAGGCATGGTGATGTCTGCCTTTCTCTGTCTGTAGTGTTGGCAGCCATCAGTGCTCAGTGTCTGCATCCATTATTTCGTTTGGGTTGCAAAATAGTGGTGTTCTAATTCTACGCTTCGTGTCTTATGAACTACAAATGACACCCGTCACTTTGACTAGTTTTCTGTTCTCTCTCATGCAATGTAGTAACTGCACGTTCCTAGAGAGTACAGGAAAGAACTCATGGATGAGACGGTCCAGCCACAGAGGACCTCTTCGTCTCTCTGAGGTCTTGTTGCCATAGGCCAGCCACCTCAGAGCTGTACCCACTGAAGAATCAGGCACAAAGGAGATAGCTGGGAGGGAATCCAGAGAGCTTCATGTCTGTAGCAGCAAAGAGATGAGGAAAGGGAAGAGAAACATAGGTTGAGTGGCCTTCCAGCTGGCAACTTACGGTCACCATGCCTAACTGCCATGCCTATGGGAGGCCGGAGGTCAAACTGGAGGTCCCCAGTGGGCTGTCCCATGGCCAGTAAACGATGGAGGGGGGAAAAGCAGTAGCAGCCTTTTGTGACATGGAAACTGTGCCTGGCTGTCTTTGCCCGTGAGTTTTTATGAGTTTTCTAGGATTCCTCTGTGGGAATCTTCTCATACTAAAGCTAGGGAGACTGTAAAAAACCATCCTCGGAACTTGTACAAGCTTCTTCCCTTCCCACCTCAGCCTGCTGGGGCATCTAAGGAACACTGCACAATGTATTCACTTGATCATTCTGGAGGATAATAGCCTAGAATTTTTTCATAAAGCTAAGGGCCCATTGGATCTGAAACTTAGGCACGATAGTCATAGAAATTTGGAGAATCCCAACCCATGACCTCAGGAAACCAAAGCCATACAGAGACCTAGACGGCCAACCGGACTGTAGCACATAGACTGTGACACACAGCCACTGTTCCTGGGGAGTGGTGTGGATGAAGCAGCTTCTCCTTCTCCCAAAAAGCTGGTCCCTGATTACAAAGGCCCTGGAGATGTGGCCCAGAGAAGGTAGACCTTGACCATCCTACTGAGTCTTAGCACAGTCCTTCCATGTGCAGACTGAGAAGGGGAGCTCAATCCCAGAGAGGCCCCCACTGGCATGAAAGAGGTGGCAAAGTAAGCAATGTGCCCATGTGCTCTGGTTTATTTCTATAATGGTGGTTTTCTTTTCACTTACCATTTGTTCATAAATTGGGAAATGGGACAGGCTTGTATATTCTGAGGGGGAATGGGTTGAGAAAATTAGAACACTAATAACTTGAGGCCTGGTGACTGTGCATGCAGACTGGGAGAGCTCTCAGAAGCACTTGGTGGGAGTTGAGAAATGGGAGAATGGAAAACACTGATGGACTCTGCCCACTTGTCGCTTTGCTCAGATATAACGCTTGCATACATCAGTGCTTTGAGAGGAGGACAAAAGGTGCCGGGAACATGGTCAACGGATTGGCCAACAATGCTGAAATTGATGACAGCAGCAACTGCGACGCAACTGTGGTGCTACTTAAGAAAGGTAACCAAGGAGAGCACTTTGGGGTCCAAGGCAGGAGGATCAATTGAGGCCAGGAGTTCAAGACCAGCCTGGCCAACATGGCAAATCCCCATCTTTACTAAAAATACAACAAAATTAACCAGGAGTGGTGGCCCAAGCCTGTAATCCCAGCTGCATGGGAGGCCGAGGCATGAGAATCGCTTGAACGCAGGAGGCAGACGTTGCAGTGAGCCGAGATTGCTCTACTGCACTCCAGTCAGGACAACAGAGCCAGACCCTATTTCAAAAAAAAATAAAAGAAAGAAAGAAAAGGTAACCAAGGAGATATTGTGTGTGAGAAGAAAGTGCTAGAATATGAGCCCATCTGCCCACTCTCATAGCCACACATGGCATGTCCCAGCTGGCCTTGAGAGGGCACTCCCTGCCCCGAGAGAGCAGAAGTTTCCAGTCCTCCAACCCTCCCTTTCACTACAATGTCATGGAGCCATCTCATACCTGGTAAGCCCCTTAGAGCTCAGAAAGCCCCCTGGAAATTCCCAGGCAACACATTTGCTCGAGTGCTGCAGAGAACAGGATGGCAAAGGAAAGGAGACCCTAGGTTCTGAGATAGGGTTTTGGTTGTGTGACCATGAAGCAGGTTATGTAACCTCTTGAGCCTCAGTTTTCTCTTCTGAAATACGAGAATCATTTTTGTAATAAGCAAAGTAGATAAATATGTGTCAGAGTTTAGTGCAATGCTCTATAAATGACAGGTGTTATTAGTATATTACTAGATCCAAATTCACTTTAAGGCTACATTAACTCAGTTTCCAAGCTGCAAACAGAAATAGAAAAGTGCCTTCCTCTTCAAAGTAATTCTTGTATTCAGTCGAGTCTTACAAAACAGCTGAGACACTAAGGGAAATTAGATGGTGCTCTCAAATATATAATATTTTTTCTAAGAGGAACTCAGAAAATAATCATTTAATTTTACCTGGAATGTGTTTTTTACTTAATTTTTTAAACTTTTCTCTTGAAATATGGGAGTTTATTTTTTCTTGGTCCCATATGGTTGCTTTGCAGGAAGAAAAAAAAAGAAATTAGAAAGATTATTTTCAAATACATCTATGGGTTATTTTCAAATATATCTCTGACATCACTGCATCATTAGATTTTCAAAATTAAATATTTGATATATTTTTCTGAATGATTATACATATGTTTAACAAATGACTTAGGTGATTTAGTACCATTTCACATGAGGATTTTATTTAGTTTCTTCTCTTCTGGGTAGTTTATAACCGTAAAAGGAATATGCTAAAGAGAGCTACCTAGTATTAGCCAGTGTTTCCAGAGATCACTTCATGCTTTAGTGGCTTGGAAAACAGGAGCTAGTATTACAAGAGGCTGCAGCCAAGTACCCTTGAACTGTGTGCATATACAGCTCATTCATAGAGAGGGAGCTGGACCCTTCGTGCAACATTATTTTTTAGGCCTTCTGGTGAACTATCACACAAGATTTGTCCCAAGCACTCTTCTGACCTCGGTTCTCTGTAACATGAACAACTCACCCAACACTTGTCAGCTCTGCTCATAGACTGGGCTGAGGGAATGTGTACATTTCACCACCATGTCCTCCAGTGCAGAACTGCACTAACGTCAATTCAGTAGCATTTAACAGCTCAGTATGAATATTGCTGACATTTGAAGGGCATATAGGGTACAAAGTTCTTGGAGTCTTCTCTGTGCCCCAGATCTGAATGGTGGGAAAAGAATCCTTTAAGGACAAGGAGGAATTCTCTTATGGTATCATTAATTCTTACCATGTCAGTGAATGAGGCTTAAATTGTTTCAAGTCCTTTCAAAAGATTTAACATGAACACCCATGGAAAGGAGATTTTGACTCTTGTTCAAAATTTGCTCACTGCAACCCTTCCTGGCTGGCTGGATGAATGGAAAGAAGGAAGGAAAGAAGGAATAAGGAAAGAAGAGTGGATGGATGGATGGATAGGTGAGT
The DNA here is from genome assembly GCF_000001405.40 of Homo sapiens. NCBI lineage: Eukaryota > Metazoa > Chordata > Mammalia > Primates > Hominidae > Homo > Homo sapiens. The sequence continues at coordinate 19,683,967 of NC_000020.11, forward strand.
TGGATGGATGGAAAGAAGAATGAATGCATGGATGGGTGGAAGGAAGGAAGAAATAAGGAAAGAAGAGTGGATGAGTGGATAGATGGATGGGTGAATGGATGGGAGGAAAGAAGGGAGGAAGAGAAAAGAAGGGAAGGAAGAATAAATGAATGCCTCTTTCCTGCTCCTGGCCTCCATGTTATTTTACCTTATGTTTTTCGTTTCCCTAGCAAATTTCCACCGCAAAGCATCAGTGATCATGGTAGACGAGCTGCTGTCAGCCTACCCACACCAGCTTTCCTTCTCTGAGGCTGGCCTTCGAATCATGATAACCAGCCACTTTCCCCCCAAGACCCGGCTCTCCATGGCCAGTCGCATGTTGATCAATGAGGTACCTGGGAAAGCACTGTCCACTGCCCACTGGACAGGGGTGGGAAACTCTGGGAAGGAGAGAAGGTTTCTTGTTTGAAAGAAGAAGCACCTAACTCAAAGTTTAACACCGCAGCATCCCTCAGCCATTTCCTAATCTTAGTTCCCTGGGCCAGCTGTATATCTGGCCCTTGCTCTTCCCTCCACGTGTTGAGACATGGACTAATTTCCATTTATATAGAAAACTCCCCTGTTCCTTCTCCCTTTCACCCACATTTTTCTTCTATTCTTCCATTTGAATAAAGCCCCCTGATATGAACTTGCACAGAAATTGTTTCTAACTAAGGGTTACCTTAGTTTAAAGTAATCCAGAGTCCCTGACTTGAATTTTGCTGTGCATTCCTTTTCTGGAATATAGCCTTATTGATACACTAGACCAAACACAGTTGTGCAGCTTTCTCACATAGGGACCCAGGAACTCCTGCAGTCTGGGGAAGAAAGATGACATCACAGTGCACAGAGTGTCAAGGAACTGCACATCCCCTAAGAACTTTCCTCTAAAGGGATTTGCAAGTTCTGATGGGTCATAAAAGACTAATCTTTCCTCCCAGATGGAAGTTGTCTGGAGTTGGTTATCACATTGAGAGGCCCCTTAAAACTTGACTCCAGGGTCTTCTGGAAGCATATCGTCAGCTGCCAGGGAAAGATCCCAACAGCTCATGTTCTGAGTGTAAGGTATTTGCAATCCCTCTGACCGTGGTAAGAGTGCGCCTTTCTCTTTCCAGAGACAAAGATTGATAAACAGCAGGGCTTATACCAACGGGGAATCTGAGGTGGCCATCAAAATCCCAATTAAGCACACCGTGGAGAATGGGACAGGGCCCAGCAGTGCCCCAGACAGGGGCGTGAATGGGACACGGAGGGACGATGTTGTGGCTGAGGCTGGCAACGAAACAGAGAATGAAAATGAGGACAATGAGAATGATGAGGAGGAAGAGGAGGACGAGGATGATGATGAAGGACCGTACACACCATTCGACACCCCCTGTAAGAGGTTCTATGTCTGGGCTGGGGTTGGGAGCTATTTTGAGCCACTGAGTAGATGCCCTTGACTTAGATTATCTTTTTACCATTCAATTTTTTAAAATCTCTGTATGAACATGAGACTATGTATATCAAGTCTCCTTTGGGCAGGACTTTGTTGTAGAAGTTCAAAGATGGCCAAGATGGGGGTCCATGATCATTGCTTGAAATGTGAGCTCTTTAACCAACTCTGTTTTGTGGAAGTGTTACTGAAATGTCAGGGATTTGTTCTAGGTCCTGCTCATCAGTACACAGAAAGCCAGTCACTGAGACAACGAATATTGCCAGGGAAGAAGGCTTTAATCAGGTGCTGCAGCTGAGGAGATAGGAGATCAGTCTCAAATCCATCTCGCTGACCAACTGCAATTGGGGATTTATATAGCAGGGAAGGAATGTAGCTACCTTCCAGCAAGCAGGAATTAGGGAGAAGTAAGGAAGAGGAATTGCTCCGCAGGAAATAGGCAGTCCATCAGGCATCACGATGAAGGAGAGATCTGACTCCTCATTGTCCAGACACAATGATCTGGTGAGTTTCAGTTCCTTGATGCCATCTGGGAGGCCTAAGGGTCCATTTCCTGAGAAAAGAGCTCAGGGAAGACAAATGTAAGTTTCGCAAGTTTTAAAGCTGAGAGAGAGTCAGTTTTTATATTAATTCAAAAGAAACTATAAGCATCAGTTCTATGGGACAGTTGGGCTGGTTTCAGGGGACGGTCTTATCTTACTTAGCTGTTCTGCAGGAACTTTTGGTATGAAGGAAGAAATGCCCATGACCCGTGTGGGCAAGGCAGCTTGGTGCACAAAAGGAGAGGCACGTCACTCACCTCCACCCATCCCATTGCACCTAGCCGGGAGAGCTGTCCTGCCAAGGCCAGCCTGGTGGATGCCAAGGCCTGAAGAAGCTTTCAGGACCTCAGCCACCAGGGTGGTGTCCTCCTCTCCCAACTGCTGCCTCCAACAAGGACTTGGTTGTTCCAGAAACTGTTTCACCCCACCCCACCCATTATCAGAGCAGGTGGTCCAAGCCCAAAGAATTCAGCCTATTTGCTGGACCTTCCAGAAGCTTCTGGCTGTTTCAGGGAAGAGTACACTAGTTTGATTCACATGGACTGTCAAGTGTGTGAGGCTCAGTATACATGTGCAGCAACCTCTTCGGGATGTTTGAATGTGCAGGATTATCTGAAGAAACGTTTGATTGACTTGAAAGCCCATTTAATGATAGGACATGGTGCCGAGTGTCAGAGTCCTGTGTTAATTTTGGATGCGCAGGGTCTTGCTGTGCTCCAGGGGAGCTCCTTTCTGTCCAGAGGACAGCAAGTAAAACTTGAACCAGAGATGCCCCTGTGCCCACTCAGGGCACCCAAGATCTCAGCCTCTTCAAGAACTTATCAGAAAATATTCATCCAGATTCCTATTCCCCCAGGTCCCTTACCTCCCACCCAAAGCTAAATCATTACTTGTTAGTACATTATCTTCATAGAAAAAATGTACACTCGTTCTTTATCCATTTTGCCACCATCAGATATATTTCTTGGCAACCTTTCCTATCAACCAAGACAAAAACATCTTAAGGATTAAATGGCAAAACACTCCTTTCCTCCCTTGTAAACCCTTCCATTCATTTTCTGTTGCTGCATAACAAAATGCCACATATTTTGCAGCTCAAAACAAGACCCTCTGATTAGCTTACAGTTCTGTAGGTCAGAAGTCCTGCTGGATTCTGTCTCACAGGCCGTAATGAAGGTGTAGCCAGGGCTACATTCCTTTGCAGAGGCTCTGGGAGAAATCATTACCAGGCACCGGTTCATTGCGGCTGTGCAGGTCCTTGATGGCTGTCAGCTGGGGATGTCCCACTGTTCCTAAAAGCCACAGAGCCCCTCCACCTTCACCTGGATGTGTGGAGCTCTTCCCGCCATCATTCCTAATCTCTCTGGCTCCCCTTTTGCTTTTGAGGACTCTTTGCAGCTAGATCAGGCACCTGCACAATCTCTCTACCTAAAGGTCAACTGTGCCATACAACACAGCAGAATCACGAGGCTGATAGCTCATCCCACTCACAGACCCTGAGAATCTTAGGGACCTGTGTCTAGAATTCCACTTACTCAACCCCTGTTTTCAGAGTCCGCCATTAGCTGGCCATAACCAAGCTCCAGTAATGCTTATTTCGCTAAAATCTTTCACTAATTAAACAGTCGAGCCAGTGGAAGTTCTGTAAGTGACCAAGTTCTATGTTAGCATCTTGGGAGCCCAGAATCCCCAAGTGCACCCCTCCAGGGGACAATGAAAGATGTGTGTGTGAGATGAGACCAAGTCTGGCCCAGTGCCTGGGCCTCGTTACTGATTGGGACCAAGCACCCCTTTCAGATCCCTGGTTCCGTATTTCTCTCCTGGATGAGAGCTAACTGTGGGGTTTCAAGGTCTTTGAAACTCGTGCTCGCCACCCTCTGTCTCACTGTGATTAGGTTGCAGATGATGGAGGCCTCAGACCTTCCAGCCACACCTTCTGGGCTCCTGTGTATGAGGAGACATGGCTGCAGGCATCTCACCCCCAACAGATGCTTCACCTGAGGCTCAGGAACCCCACATCCCCTCCTGTGTCCTTCCTGAAGCACAGACAGGAGAGAAGAGACGATACTCTGTGTGGTCGTACCATCCCGTGGGGTCTCCATGTCATTCAAGGGCTCCCAGCTGCCAAGATAGAAAGCAGAATTCCAAGTTCTTCTCTAGCAGCCCTTCTCACCAGGGCTTCCTTAATGAAATGCACGTTCTGATTCAGGAGGTCTAGGGTGAGGCCCGAGTCTGCATTGCTAATCAAGAACCGGCTGCCCCCCATCCTGTGACACTGACGCTGCTGGTCTGTGTGCCACACTTGGAGCACGGAGAGGCTAGAGACCTAGAGGCACTCAGCAATCTTCCCAGTTCTTCTAAGATGCGGGAAAGCCTGATTCAGAGCCCGGGTCTGCCTTTGAAAAGAGTGGGCTCCCCCAGTTACAACTGTCTCTTCCCCTCCACCAGCTGCTAAGGAATCCCAGGCCCAGAATTAGGAACTCCATTTTAAGGCAAGGGGACTGAATGTCCAGCCAGGCCCGCTTCCTGGGGCAGGCAGGCCTCTGCTTATGGGTGAGAAGCCTGTCGGGTGCTTCCGGCCAGCAGAGGGCATTGAGAAGCCAGGGAGTCAGTTCTGGGAGCCCCAGATGGGTTCCTATCAAGTCAAGTTCCTGTGGACTGAAAAAGATCCGTCCACATGATGAGGACATTTTTCTCTCTCATAGTCATTCTGCAAGGCATGAGTACCCTGTTTCTGGCACCCAGCCACAGTGCTTTCTTCTCTCAGGACTTGACTATAATGGGTATGATGATTACCAAGAAAGTAATTATTTAGGAGTATGTGAATACTGTTGTGAGTTCATATATGTACATATATGTACAGTGTGCAATTTAAGATTGATATAACATAGTGTTAACATGCACATGTATACTGTGTACACTTAATATATTGTATGCATGTATAATATATGTGCAGATATTAACATATTTATGTTTATATATGTATATACTATATTATAGGTTATATACACACAATATACACATATACATCTACACTTGGTATATGCACATACATACATATAAACGTGCAGCTATTGTTATCTCTTGGGTGAAGAAAGCCTTATTGTTGACAGACAGCAAAAGAAACCTTTTCATGTGTATGTAGGTAAACACATTTCCATGGGAAAGAAAAACTAGAAGGAAATACACCAAAATATAAGTAGGTTTTTCCAAAGCAAAATTATGTTTTTTCTGTATTTTTTACTTTAAAACAGTGTACATTTTTATTGCCGATATTATCGGAACAAATGTATATGTTTAGGTCTAGGTCTAAAATACTGTGCAATAACTTTTTCTCTCTTTGATAGAATTCAGCTTTCTTCAAAGCTGACTGAGGAACATAATTTAGAAACAAATCCTTTTGCTTGTTAAAGCCAAGTCCAACTCAAAGGGATACTATCATGCTTACGGGCCAGCTCCGGCCCCTGGCTTCAGCTCTCAGTTGCTGGCTGACTTTTGTGAAATCAGGTAATCACCAACACATCAGGTCCATGGTCAGGGAAGTTTTTTCTCTTAATTCATTGCTGTACCCCCAGGACCTGCAGCAGTGCCTGGCACAAAATGGCATAGAGGACATTCACAGATATTTATTAAATGAATGAATGAAGAATAAACCTATCCCCCTTGTTGCTCTATTTTGACCCAATGGTAATAGAGCAGAAGATGGAAAAATGTCCAGAAATGTTGTTGACTCAAAGAGGAAAGGAAACCTTTTTAAACCCTTTATTCAGAAATGGAAATTAAGGGCTGGGCGTGGTGGCTCATGCCTGTAATCCCAGAACTTTGGGATGCAAAGGGAGGATGCGGATCACCTGAGTTCAGGAGTTGGAGACCAGCCTGGCCAACATGGCAAAACCCCATCTCTACTAAAAATACAAAAGTTAGCCAGGCATGGTGGCACACGCCTGTAATCCTAGCTACTCAGGAGGCTGAGGCAGGAGAATCACTTGAACCTGGGAGGCAAAGGTTGCAGTGAGCTGAGATTGCACCACTGCACTCCAGCCTGGACAAAAGAGTGAGACTCTGTCTCAAAAAAAAAAAAAAAAAAAAAGGAAAATTAAGACCAGCTAAAATGTGGGTGATCTTTATTTGACTGCCTTTGTTCCTCAAAATCATTTTTAAAAAACACCTTTATATTTGTTATATTTGCTGCATTACATTTAAATATATGATTCAGATAATGCTCATTGAATTTCTGCTTTTAAGGTTCTGTTGTTACAAAGGGGCAATAACTTAAAGAAAGCATATATGTCATTGAAAATGATGTTTTCCAGATATAATGCCCTCCCAGTGTCCAGTCAGAAATTTTTAAAGCAGTTGATAAAAACTCAAAATTCACTGGCACTAACTTACACTTCTTACAACTTTGTCTAATCAATATCATTTTCCAAGCTCTTGCACTCGTAAATTCTGACTTCATTTTTTTCTTCCCTCTTTTTTTTTATTTTCTGAAGAATGTGAAAGAGCCAAGTTGGGATCATTTCTCTTCCTCTTCCTGTGTTTCTTCGTAATCTTTGATTGGGTGTGTATTTTAAACTAAACCGAGTTACTCTGTCCGTTTGAGGGCATCAGCCATATGGAAGGCCGTTGAGGGGATTCTAGGAGGTTCCACATGGGTAAATGCCTTATCAGCACATTGCGGGATTTAGGAATGTGCCAAATTCCAGGATGCATTTGGGATCCAAAGAGCTGGCCATATCCTGGATTCTGCAGCATCTGGAAGCCCCTCTCCAAACAACTCTCAGCCAGGCTTCTTGATTTACAAAGCAAGCACAGTCTCTATGTTCTCATCATTCACTTGACCATCTCCAAAGCTTAAATCTAACAAGACTCATAGCAGCTAATAGGAAAACACTTCTCTTTTCTTACTATTTTTTTTGTTTGTTTGCTTTACTCTGTACTTGTAAATTGGATAGCCTTAGATTCTCAAAACCAAGTAATTTTCTTTGGTCTGTCTGATTAGATTGTTCATAATAACATTATTACTACTACTGTTACTGATATTTACTGAAAATGCAATATAAGCCCTGCACTATCCCTGCCTTTCAATCAGGTGCTAAACAAGTGAGAAGACCCCTGTTCTCATAGACTTTATTCTAATTTGAGGGAGACTGAAAATAAATTAAGAAACAACCCTGATGGTTTAAGACAGGAAATATTCGCATGAAACAAATAAAAATATTTGCTATGAAACAAATAGAAAAGCTGGAGTGAGATGATGAGAGTTATATTTAGATTTATCTGAGGGCTCAGTGACATTCGAGCAGTGAAGTGGCCTGCGTGACAGGGCAGATTCTGCCATGAGAAGATCCAGGCAGAAGACCTGCGAGGGCAAAGTCCTTGAGGCAGGAAAAGGCTTGGAGTGTCTGAGGACAGAAAGTTAGCCAAGACCAGGGAGTATGTGAGCAGGGAGAGTGGCAGGTGCGGCAAAATCAGGCAGTGCCTTACAGACCATGGTGGGGAGACCTGATTTTACTCTAAGGGCAGTGGAGGCCAGTGGAAGGTTCTAGAACAATTTGGTTTTTGAGACTCTTTCCTCTGGCTACTGGTAGCAAACAGATGGAGGTAGGATAGGCATTGGAGCAGTAGTCCCCGTAGGAAGCCAGGTTGTCAGCCAGGCCTTGGTGAACCTGGCCCCAGCGGAGGCTGTGGGGATGATGAGATGGTGGGAATGTCCTGTCAGGTTGCCAGGGTTGGCTGTGGGGGATAAAAGAAAGGGAAAGATCAAGAATGACTCCCAGGATTTTGACAGGAACGACTTGTGAGCTCATGTTGTCCCAGCCCTCATCCTAATATCATCTCATTTAATTCTCCCAGCAACTCTGTGAGCTCGGTGCTGCTGTATACACATTTTCACAGATGAAGAAACTGAGGTGTAGAGAGTTTAATTAACTGAGTCTTTCAACTCATAAGCCACAGAGCAGGGACCGGAGCCCAGCACCATCTAATGAGAAACCCCTCTGCCTCCCATAGACACTGTGCCTCGGCCCTTTAAGAGAGGCCAGAGGGTGCCAGAAATAATGTTAGATACTTTTTCTATCTATGCAGTTTTAAGAAACTATTTGGAGATTGGTAGGATATATGAAACAAATACTGGATACTGGTCTAAAATTATAAAATACATTTTATTAAACATTTAATTACTGTTCAAATGTTATAATATAAAAATTCCTCCTTAACTCTGGTGGGAATATAAAATGGTTCAATCATTTTGGAAAACTGGCAGTTTCTTATAAAGTTAAATAAATACCCACCTTATGACTCAGCAATTTTCCTGGGTCTTCGTCCAAGAGAGATGAAACATGACCACAAAAAGACTTGTACAACAATGTTCATAGTCACCTGGCTTGTAATACCCTCAAACTGGCAACAAACAAATGCTCACCCACCGCCATATGGATAACAAATCGTAGCACATTCATAGGAGGGAATACTACACAGCAATTAAAAGGAATGGATCACGCAACATGAATGAATCTCAATCACATTATGTTGAAAAGAAGAAGGAAGGCACGAAAACATCCTATATGGTTTTATTTGAAGTTGGAGAACAGTAAAAACAATATCTATGGTGGTAGAGGGTGAGGGTTTGACTAGAAAGAGGCACAGCAAACTTTCTGGAAGGTAGAGGCACTGTGTATCTGGATTGCATTGAGGAATACATGGAAATATGTATGCATATTTATTTCTAGAGGTGAATTAGCAGTTAATCAGGTTAGTAATACAGGTCTAGGGAGAGCCTTCAAATCCTCTTTGAAGATTCCGGCGCGCTGACCGACGATGCTGAGAAATTCCACCAGGTGGCGCTGCGTCCGCTGACGCTTTATTATCGGGCGAAAACGTGGAAAACAGAAGCCCACTGGAGGTCTTCCTAGCTCCCCACCCCCATTTCGACCCCCTGCACCTACACACATTCCACCTCTTTTTTGACCTGAGTATCCTCCTCTCTTTTCCCACCTGGCCATCTGCCAAACCATCCCCCTAGCCTGGTATTACTAAGAAGTGATTCACCCTCTCATTTCGGAGACCTAATCAGCAGGTGGGCAGTGGGTAATTTTTTTTTTAATTCTGTTTGGTGTTGCATGTCAGGTTTCGTTGGTGATGGAAAGTCATTTGAATGTTTTAGAAAAAGAGCAATATAATAAGGTTTAATTCTGGGGAAAGCAGTACAGACACTTGGCAGAGCAAAGAAATAAAGCTAACTGGGGTTCTTTGTTATTTTTTTTTTATTTCTTTTTGGCCTTTTTCATTTTTCCAGCGGGTAAACTGGAAACAGTGAAATGGGCGTTCACCTGGCCGCTGAGTTTCGTCTTATACTTCACTGTACCCAACTGCAACAAGCCGCGCTGGGAGAAATGGTTCATGGTGACGTTTGCTTCCTCCACGCTGTGGATCGCAGCCTTCTCCTACATGATGGTGTGGATGGTGAGTGCAATCGGGACCCCATGGCACTGTTAAATCTCTTTAGAGAATAAAGAAGGGAATAAGAGTCAGGGTTTCAGCCGATAACTGTACTAGTCAGCTATTGCTACAATAAGCTGCACAACGAACCACTCCTAAACTTAGTAGTTTAGAATTGCAGGCATCGATTCTCCTGCTCACACGTCTTCATGTTGACTGTGGATTCATTAATCTTAGCTGGGACCTGCTATGCAGCTCTGCTTCAGGCTTCAGGGTGGTCATGTTTGATTCAGGCAGCAGGTGGGGTCCATGTCTACTCCACGTGTCTGCTCATTTTCTTTGTACCAGAGGCTAGCTACCTGGGGTATGCTCTTCTCACAGTGCATCATTAGAATGCAAGAGAGTACGTGGAAACACGAAATGCCTCCAGGATCTTCGCCTGGCCCTGACTTACCATCACGTCCACACACATTTTACTGGCCAAGCCCCACATCAATGGCATGGGGGAAGTGTACTCCACCTGCTCCAGTGGGAAGAACAGCCATGTCACAGGGCAAAGGACATGGAGGAAAGGCACAAAGAATTGGGAAATGATGATCAATCCCTATCGGCATCTTAGTTTCTTCAGCCAGACAATGAGGCATTGTATGAGGTGATCACTCAAGGGTCCCTTCTGAGGCTAAAATAATGACTCAGTGATTCACATTGGTTGATTGACATTGACTGATATTAGTTGATTGACATCGATTCAGTGGCTTTGACCTTAACAAAGCCATTTTAGGAAACCCAGCCTTCCAGAATGCATTACCCATTTATGGCTATACTTTTTAACTGGGGAGAAATTCCAAATCATTAGGATTGGACAGAAATTAAAAAGCATGGCAAAATGATGCAAATCCAAATTAATCTTGCCTTGAGTGTTGGATAGAAATGTAATATAAATTCTGGAGAATTAAACTCAAGAGCTAAAAAGAAGGTTATGAAAAAGATATTTTGGTAAGAACAAAAATACCCAGAAAAATTTTGCTACATGGGTTGCAAATTTGTAAACCTGACACAACTAATTCATAATCATCTCTTTCCTCAATATCACAAACATTTTTTTAAAACCCAAGTTTTATAGCCAGGGGTTTCTCCCTCATCCTGCATTCACTAATGTTTTCATCTGACATATGCACCAAGAGCCACCTCCTATCTGGATTTGGGGGACAGTGTTGGCTGTCCCTGACCTTAAGGTGCTACATGATTTTCTGTGCAGCCCCCTAACCAGCGGGCTAACTGACCTGACTCATCTGAGGTTCAACTTCCTTCTGTTTGCTTCCTTTTCCTCCAGTGGAGGTTCTAATAAGTCCCAATCAATGCCCAGGAGTAGGGAGAAAACTAGGAGAAGCCGGAGACCTGGTCCCAGCCACCTGAGCAGTCTGCTCCCCTGAACTCCAGACCCAGCCACAAACATGATCATGAAAATGATGAACCAGAGGCCAAGACTGGCTGAGCCAAACCAGGTTCCTACAGGGACTGAGCTGAGGGTTAAAAAGGAAAAACAAGGTTTGGCCAGGACGCTGGTAGCTCCATTTGATCCAGAGCGACAAAATAGAAACAGCGTGTGTTTCTGCAGCTCACTTTCCTCCCTGGAGACCGGAAGTCAGAAAGCCCTGTGGCCACCCCAGGTTAAATTCTGTTCAGTTCTGCTCAGTACTGAACAGAAATGAGCTGCATTCTCTGTCTGAAAGGAGGCAAGGCAAGCATCTCTATGGATTTCACTCACATCCCCCCAATCTTTGAACAGGGAAGGAGCGATTGTGGCCTTTGGAGTGAAGTCAGGGTTCCGGGTGTAGGTGTCTCTCAAGGGCTGGCCCAGGAGGAACTGTGAGAAGAATGTGCTCCTTACAACATGTGCTTTGCATTTCCTGTAATTTTATGGCAAGTGAGGGAGATCCAGTGGCATCCTAAAATGACCTGACAGTTTCAACTCTTGTGAGTTATCTTCTCCTTGGGCCCACATGCAGGGAATGTGTCTCTTTTTCCACTTACCTCTTTTTTTGCCACCAGCTCCCTCATCATCTGCCTCATCAACTGCTTTTGTTTTTTTAAGCATGCTTGCATTTGCTTTTTCTATATTTGCATAAATTTAAGCGGTACAAGTAAATTTGTTACATGGATATATTGTGTGATGGAAGTGACGAAGTCCTGACTTTAGTGTATCCATGACTGAAATAATGTTCATCGTACCCATTAAGTAATTTCTCGTCACCCACCCCACTTCATTCCGTGCTGAATTTAAACTGAGGTGGCCTCTGGCCTTCCTGTTTTTCAGTCTCCAGGGAGGAAATTGAGATGTAGAAACACAACATTTCTGCCCCCAATCCTTCCAAGACTCCATTGCCTATCATTCCACACCCCATGTCCAAGTGTACACATTACGTAGCACCCACTTATGAGTGAGAACATGTGGAGTTTGACTTTCTGTGTCTGAGCTGTTTCACTTAAGATGATGGTCCCCAGAAGCTATTATAGTGAAGAAGATGTTGACAAGGACAGCAAATTGCTACCAAGCTTCAAGGAATAGAGAAAAGGAAATGCTAGTTATGGCTTTCCCCTTTTTTTCCTTTTCTTTTTTTTTTTTTTTTTTGTGAGACAGGGTCTCACTGTGTTGCCGAGGCTGGAGTACAATGGCACTATCACAGCTCATCGCAGCCTGAACCTCCTGGGCTCAAGCCATCCTCCTGCCTCAGCCTCTCAAGGAGCTGGGACCACAGACATACACCACCATGCCCAGCTAATTTTTAAAATTTTTTGTGGAGACAAGGTCTCACTATGTTGCTCACGCTGGTCTAGAACTTTTGAACTTAAGCAATCCTCTCAACTTGGCCTCCCAGAGTGATAGGATTACAGGCCTGAGCCACCGTGCCCAACCTTAGAGTTATGCCTTTTCTAACAAGTATGGATACTGTCAAATCCAGCCCCTTTGCAGTTCTTCTAAATTCCCATTGTGCATCCTCCCTGACATGGACGCTCAAATTCCAAGCAAAGCATCCATCCATTCTGGATGCCTCAGGGCCACCCGTAGTTCAAATATTCTGTCCCAATATTGCCTTTTTCCCAGAAATTCTATTTTCTCTTCTCAAACCACCCGCCTCACCGGAAGAGAACAAGTGAAAAGGCCAATGTTTTGTTGGAAAGTTTGGGTCCTATTACAGCACCGTCCCCTGACCTGCAGCCCCGGTCGGCATCCACATAGTGTTTGTCACCCTCTGTATTGATACAGAGAGCAGACATTGCACCCCACAGAGATAGCCCAGACCATAGCCTGTTGTGAGTCTCCATCAGAAGAATCATGGGCAGGTGGGGCTTGAGGTGACCCTCAGCTGACCACCTCTTCCTGCTCCTTCTAGGTCACAATCATTGGTTACACCCTGGGGATTCCTGACGTCATCATGGGGATCACCTTCCTGGCTGCTGGGACCAGCGTGCCTGACTGCATGGCCAGCCTCATTGTGGCCAGACAAGGTGGGACTTCCAGTGGCAATGGGGAAGGAGGGAGGGAGGGAGGAGGAGAGGGAGGGAAGAAGGGAGGGAGGGAGGGAGGGAAGGAAGGCAGGAGGGAGAAGAGAAAGGGAGGGAGAAGAGAAGGAAAGAGGGAGGGAGGGAGTGAAGGAAAGAAGGAAGGAAGGGAGGAAGTCAGGCGGGCAGGCGGGCCTCTCTACCTGGGGGACCCACCTGGTAATTAACAGGGTTTGGAAGGAGGGAGGGTGATGCCGTGTTGGTTGAAAGGTTTCCTGGGCTCAGAAGAACAGAGAAATAATCCAGAAGGTCCTACCCTTGAGGAAAGCAAAGACATTTCCTAGGTAGCACCCATAGCCCCTTCTGGAGGCTGTATCACCATCCTCCTATTATTCAAAGTAGTAGGAAATGTACTGACAGCTAACCTTTACTGAGTAAAACATGATAGATGCACTATCTTATTTGATTTAAACAACAGCTCTGTGAAATAAGCACAATCATACCCCCATTTTATGGACAAGAAAATTGAGGCTTAGAGAGGACAAACCTCATCCCTAAGGCTGACCCACCTGCAGTGCCCTCTAAGTGACAGGTCCCAGAGGTCAGTTTTCAGAGTGTGACAGATCCTTCCCTCCTTCAAAGCCAAGCTCACAGGCTCACAGCTTACCTTCCCAAACAGATTCCCCAGATGGCCACACCCTTCTGTAGCACTCATTCTGACGCATCTGCCTGATTTATGCTGGAGGGCATTTGTTTCAAACAAATGTGTGTTGAGCTACAAAACTTAGCTCAGTGTCCCATAGACATCCTCATGAAGCTCTACTGTTGTCTACACTATTGTTCAGTTATTCCGAAGAAGGACTGGAGACAGTACAGGGCAGTTGGAAGATGACCCAGTATGCAGGTGTGAGCTCGGGAGTCACTTTCTAGAATGGTTGAGTTTATTCCTTTCCATAAGGGTGTCTCAGAATCTCCAGAATCCTTGAAACCATCTGTATTAGTGCGTCTCACATTGCTGTAAAGAAATACCTGAGGCTGAGTAATTTATCAAAAAAGAGCTCTAACTGGCTGATGGTTCTGCAGGCTGTACAAGAAGCATGCCAGCATCTGCTCGGCTTCTGGGGAGGCCTCAGGAAACTTCCAGTCATGGTGGAAGGTGAACGGGGAGCAGGCATGTCTTACACAGCAGGAGCAAGAGGGTGGGGGGAGGTGCTACACATGTTTAAATAACCAGATCTCACGAGATCTCACTCACTATCACAAAGCCGGTACCAATGGGGGATGGTGTTAAACCATTCATAAGAAACCACCCCCATAATCCAATCACTTCCCGCCAAGCCTCACCTCCAACACTGGGGACTACAATCCACATGAGATTTTGTGGGGACACAGACACAAAGCCTATCACTGTATTTGGTTTTTTGAATCACTTATATTCAATCAGTGATGATATTTGAAGTAAAGGTCAACCATTCAATAGAACGTGTGTTTCTCTGTTTTATAATTCATGTCATCCTTTCACATGGGTGATGGCCTTGAAAGAGAAGCACATATGTGAGCTTGCAGAACCACTCTCTGGCTGTGAGACTAAAGGCTTGGGAGAGTCCTGTGTGGGGCCCCTGGGTTCCCTTCCCTCTCTTAAGTGACCTCTTGTCCCTGCAGGGATGGGGGACATGGCTGTGTCCAACTCCATTGGGAGCAACGTGTTTGACATCCTGATTGGCCTCGGTCTCCCCTGGGCTCTGCAGACCCTGGCTGTGGATTACGGATCCTACGTAAGTGGTTTTCTCCAGGACTTCTCCTGAAATCCAGGGCTACGTGACTGTGTTTTAACAGCCTTGGCCACAGGGTCTTTGTCTCGGGGAAAAAGGGGTGTAGAAATCGTAATATTGAGGGGGAAACAAATTCTCCTTGTCAAAGGCCTTACTAGTCAGGCTTGCAGGGACATTCAGGACTTTAGAGCAGGGGCCAGCAAACTTTTTCTGTCGAGGGGCAAATACTAAATATTTTAGGCTTTGTGGGCCAGAGGATGTTTATACAGCTATTCAGCTTTGCTGCTGTAGCAGAAAAACGGCCATAGACAATAAATAACCAAACGGGCATGTCTGTTTCAATACAACTTTCCTAACAGAAACCGAAGTTTGAATTTTATATCATTTTTATATGTCATGATATATAACACTTCTTTTGATTTTTGTTCCAACCATTTAAATATGTAAAAACCATTCTTCACTCATGGACTATGCAGAAACAATTGGTGGGCCAAATTTGGCCCATGGGTCATAACTTGCCAACCCCTACTTTAGTGTACTTAGACTTGCTTCACCTTATTACAGGCTAAGTGATTCATGTCAGAGAAACACTGGAGAGATGCCATCCAGGCTGGCCACTGAAAGGGCAACGCCCTGGCGGGGAGAGGGGGAGAGGGTCACAGAATTCCAAATAACTCTTCTAAGTTCTGCAGCCCACAGGGTGAGACTTTTGCAGTCAGGCTCTTATGAATTGACTCACATCAGCCAAATTCACAAGAATTTGATGTCTAGGATAGAATGTCAACAGATGGTAGTAACAGATGGTAAGATATATAAGGGCTGTGCAGAAAGCATGTGCTTATTTTGGATGATATGTTCTCTATATTCCTGGAGAAATATCTTATGTGGGAATTATTTTGGGCATCCTATGACCATCCTCTAATTCAGGGTTTCAGGAGTACTCACAGATTACATTCATGGCTAAGGTTTATTATAGCACAGGATATGGGATAAAAGGAGCTGGAAAATGAAATGCATCAGGAGAAGCCCAGCGTGGTCAGCTGCAGGCCTCTAATTCCTTCCCTAATGAGTCACACAGGAAGTGCTTTCTCCCTTGCAGGAAACATGCATGAGATGTCTCTATCCAGGGAAGTCCACTGGAGGCTGAGGCTTTTGGGGAGGGCTGGTCAAGTAGGCACATTCCTGCTGCATGAACAGCCATGATGCCTGAATCTCAGAACCCCAGCATAGATACCAGGTAGACATTATAAAGTTTGGGAAATGATCGTGACAAATTGGTACAGCATGGCCTATCGCTTCTGGGGTACAAACCAATGTCATCAATTGTAGCATCCCAAGGGTCACATTCACAGGGGTTGGCCAAAGGTCAACCATGGTTCAGGACTCTCCTGGAGGTATGCAAGGATTAAATAACCAGGCCTGCTGTGTCAACAACTTTCGCAGAGAAGGTCAAATTATGGTTTTATTTTTCAGAATAAGTGTTGCTAGCTACTGTATTACCAAAAACCCCAAAATTCCACTGGAGTAGCCCAACACGGGATTGGTTTTTTACTCAAATTCCACTGCAGATGTTCCCATCCTGGCAGCTCTCATGTCTCTTCCAAGCAGAAACTCAGGGTTTGTGGCACAGTCCATCCAGTGGTTCTACCATCTTGAAGTCCTTCTCCCATAGCTACACAGAAAGCAGAGAAGGCAAGGGCATGGAATATTGTGTAGATCACTTTCTGATGAGGCCTGGAAGTGGTGTCTGTCCCAACTGTTCCCATCCCACTGTCCACATAAGTTACATGTACCCACTTGGATGCAAGAAGGATCCAGGTAATTAGGTTAGTGTTGTGCCTGAAATTCATATAGCCACATGTGGCTTGTGGCTGACTGTTGGACCCTGTAGCTCTAGAGGATTAAATGACAATCACCCAGAGTCTAATCCATAGATAACTATTGTTAACATTTCAGCATATTTTTCTTTCTCTAGGTTACTTTGTATAGCAAAGATCATCCTATGTAGGCAATTTTATACATTGCTTTTTATACTTCCTGTTATATCAAACGTTTTTTCCTCAAAATCTCATTGGAAACATCATCTTCAAGGTGACCTATTATTACAGTATATTCCAAAGTGTACTTAATCATGCTGCTGCTCTTGGACACTTATGTTGATTCAAACCTTTCACTGTTGTAAGTAGTGACACCACAGACATCTTTGTACATTAACCTATAGGTTTTAGAGTTTTACCTAAATCTATACTTTTCAAGTTAACATTTCAAGTTCTTCTTTAGATGATTTTTCTCAGTGTTAGAAAAGTTATATAAAAGATTGTTTTCCAGAATGACAATATTTTTTACATGGTTATTTGTCCAGATTCATTCCTGAAGTTTTGGGACAGCTTTATGACACCCTCATATCCTGACCACAGGAAGCCCCATGAGGGCTGACATTGAGCCTTTCACATGTCTGTCTTCTTCATGGCACACAGTATGGGGCAGGCACATACTCAAGCCATGAAAAGCATGTTGAATAAATGGGAATCCATGTTTAGCTCTTCCATGGCCTTTGCATTCACTTTCACCAGCAGTGAAAGTTACCTTTCATGAATTAGAGGGACACTTCAGGTCCAGGCTGAGACACGAGGGCATGAATAACCTCGTAATTTGGTGCCCCCCGAAACATATTTTTATTAAAAAAAAACATTAATTCAGCATTTATTTTCAAGATGAGATAAATGCTTCATGAGCAAAGGGTGGAGATGGGAGATTACTGGTTCCTTCAGTAATGCAGTCTTCTCTTGTTATCAAGAAGTTCAGCTCTGAACTCAAACTTGCATATCATGGTCTGAACAAAAGCTTCGCAGTTAACACAACCTAACTTCCTTAAAAAATATTTAGTGGCTTTCTGTCTCTACTCAGTCATACGTGACAAGGATGCCAATGAAGATACTCCTCAGCCCAACTCAGAGTGCTGCATGCAGGGGTCTGATGAACCCGTTGGCAGTCCATCTGGTTTACTCCTCAGCTTGTTTCACTTCCCCATTGACCTCTTATCAAAGTTATGAGGAATTAAAAATCAGAACTATCTGAATTTTAACTGCTTTTTGTCCCTCTGTTGAGGACTAGAAGACAATGGCTAAAAAACAGACATCAAAAAGAAGAAGAAAAAAAAACCTGGGCTCTAAACAACCTGAAGAATTCATCCCTGAATAATATATTTTCACCAGGATGACTCTCCAGTGAGGGAGGGACAGGCAGGAGCAGAGAATGAGAAACTTTCAATGTCCTTCAGATCCATGATGTTATTTCTTATTTTACTTTGATTAAAGGGGACAATCATAGAAGGTGAAATCAAAAACTTTCAAAACAAAACTAAAACTCACCCCAGAAGCAAACCAGTTTATCTTACTAACTTTGAAATCTTCCTGACTAGACATGGATATCAGGCCTGAAATTCCAACTCGATTCAGCACACCATAAATCATTCTCCTAATGATCTCTCCTCCTTTCCTCCCCTTCTGACATTTTCCCAATACTCTTTAGAGAACAAAAAAAATTAAACATTATTCTTCTATCAGTAATTCCCAGAGCTATGAAAGTATACTCTTTCCAGATCTCAATGTCTACTGACACGGTGACATCATGAAAACAAAAATTCAGGCTTTAGTGGATGTTTGGTCCAAATTCATGTTTTTCACCTGAAGATGACATAATTGGATCACTCTGGTCATTCTGCTGGAATTATACAAGGGCCACATTAAGTCTTGAAAT
Source organism: Homo sapiens (assembly GCF_000001405.40). Lineage (NCBI taxonomy): Eukaryota > Metazoa > Chordata > Mammalia > Primates > Hominidae > Homo > Homo sapiens. Next base: position 19,702,437 of record NC_000020.11, read on the forward strand.
TGAAGATCTACTTTATCCTTGAAGTCAAGGGGGAAATGCAGGAGAAGAAACCACTCTGGCTTATTATGATCAATAGCCATGACATGCACAAGAGTCCTCTTGGGGGAGACTTGGTTAGGAAGACTTTGGAGAAAGGTGTGTCATGTTGTGTTTCCATCCAAATGCTGCTGTTTCTGTAATAAGTGCAAAAAAAAAAAAAATCATTTTATGCTGGGGATACAAACATCCAATGCAGACCACTCTTTTGAAAGTAGAAAATCAGTAATATAATCAATAAACAGTTTATGAACTCCAGGGAAGTCAAGGAGATTCCATTTGATATATGGTGTGAGGTAGGGATTCAATTTTATTATTTGGCACATAGATATATAGTTGTTTCAGCACCGTCTGTTGAAAAGGAGATTTCATTTTGAGCTTTAAAAATTCAATGGAAAAATTTCTGGTTAGCTTATTTTTCAGTAATAATCACAACCTAGGAACTACTAGGAAGCCATGATTTGGTTAAAGCTGTGAATGTTGCATTTCATAAGTAATGCTAACTTCCACTATTTGGAAAAGTTTATCTTGAGTCAAGACTAAAATGTAAATGAACAAGAAACAGGGAAGGATCAACCTGGTGAACTGAATCGGGGAGTGAGGGTCATAAAATCAGCCCCAGATCCTAGTGGCATGCTTTAATATTCTGCATTCTCCTTATTCTACTCAAGTAGTTGCTCTCCTTCCTTGAGAGGGCATTTAATAAGGGAAGAATCCCTATGAAGAGAAGAACCCCAAATGCTCCCCACATCCTAAATCTTCTAATCCTTCTAAGCTCTGCCCAAATACATCCTCACACTGCACATAATCTCTTTCCACATCCCTGCTGGCCCATCCACGTTCTTCCTTGTTTCACAGTTATTAACCACATCTCTCTCTGCTGTTAGAATCTGAGTTTAAGACCTCATCCACTTAATGTCTGCCACTCACACTGCACCAGTATCCATCTGACACATAGAAGGACATTTTATTTGTTTAAATAGAGAATAAATTTTATTTTTTCAACTGCAGCAGCAAGCAATCCCTTTGTACATCAATAACTCCTGAGATCTTTGCCATGTGTCAGCCCAGTTAAATAATTTATATTAATGGTGGTGATCCTGAGTCATTCAAGAAAAAGTTAAGTTAGATCTCATATCCTCTAGGATAAGCATCAAGTGTATGATCTATTTCAAAGTGAAATATTTCATCAAAAATAGTTAAGGAACTAGCCTATAGAAAGGTAGACTTTAATTTTCCAGAAGCTTTTGCTTGTACAGACTATGCTTCTTTGACTAATAATGTTAGATCAAAATAGTAACAGTATTTGGCCCAACCAAACAATGCCTTTTGGTTTGCTTGGAAGCTGGGGTTCCCAGAAAATGGCACTCTGAACCCAGACTACCTCACAGAGGGGGTTACAGGGGCCCCAACCAAGGGCTTCTTTCTTTCTCTAGCTCATCCTTCAGGTATCAATATAGATGTTGAACTGGGATTTCCCAAGCCTGGACCAGATGTCATGCCTGTGTTCAGCAGTTCTCATCAAAGTGCTTACCTTTACCCCTTGGTCTGAGTCTCCCCCTGGAGAAGTGACCTCCCTGAAGACAGGAACTGTGCTCCTCTATGCATTTATTATTTTGTTTGTGCCTAGCGCAGTGCTTGGCACTTGGAACATATTCCACAAATATTTGTTGGATGGATGGATGGATGGATGGAGAGATGGATGGATGGATGGAGAGATGGATGGATGGATAGATGGATGGAGGAACATGTGTGAGCAAAGAAGAACAGAGCAGTAGGGTGACTTGAGAAGAGAGTAGGGGGGCAAGCACAACAGCAAAAAGAATAGCTAGAATTCACTGAGCATCTACTCTGCACCAGGCACTGTAGGAACACTGTATTCGCATGGTCTCATCTAATCCTTCCAACGCCTATGTAAGGGAATGATTATTCTTTCAACCAGGGCTTATTATGCACCCACTATATGCCAGGAACTTGTCAAGGCAATAGGGATTCAGAAGTGAACAAGGTAGACAAGACCTTTCCTCTTAGAGTATACATTGAGTGGGGAAGGATAGACAGTACATACGTGAACAAATGCCTGATTGCACTAACTTCAGAGGACATCTGCCTTATGCAGATGATGAGTTGAAGTGATGTTTTAGAGAGAGAGGTGCAGATGTCACTCTGTATTTACTGAACAGGAGATTAAGTTCTGTGTGGAGTCATGAGTGACAAGAGCCAGCCATGGGAAGAGAGGGGTGTGTGGCGAGCAGGGGAGCATTCTGAGAAGGAACAGTACTTGCAAAGGCGTCGAGGCAGGATGTGTCCTAGAACAGGAGACATGCTGGGCAGAGGTAGTGCAGAGTAAGGTGGGCAGGGGTCACACTGGGCCACCAAGACTGGTCACAGGGCTCAGGTTTCATGCTAAATCCAATATAGTTCTTAGCTCAGTTCTGCAGATTAGGAAACCAAGGCACAGCGGTTAAATCACACAGCCAGAAAGAGGCAGAGAGGAGTGCTTTCCTCAAAGCACTGACAACTATTGCCAAAGCAAATCATGCCACAGCAGTCACCCATGCATAACTCTGGGCTCAGAGGAGAAATTTCAGACCAGATCCATCCCTGAGTTTGAATCTTTGCTAAAAGACAGGGCAGGGTCTGCTTATTAATGCTTAGGTGGCTTCTTCAACTTTATATAAAGAAGTGAAGAGCTAGAAGGGGAGGAAATTCTGATCCCCAGTTTTCTATCCTAAAAGTACCAACAGGCATAATGGGGGCTGCACTCCTTGCTGTCCTGGGCCATGGTAACTGATATTTCTACAGGGATTTTCTGTCTGATGGTTGGAGGAACCTCTCTGGATCCTTTGTTCAGTCCCTGGTCCCTCCCTGGCTCTCTTTGGGTGTCTTCAAGTGGTCGATTCCTCATGCTCAGCCACACTGGGCAGGGTGGGGGACATCACCATGGAGCTCATGCCGAAATGCAGACGTTATTTGGAAAAATAATCCCAGGTTCATGAAAAAGCAAATCTAGGGCTTATTTGCTTGAGAGCATTTTGATCTGCCCTCTTCTCCACCACAAGCTTTTCCTATGAGAGGCTTTATTTCCAAAACGACACTCAAAAGCCTCTTTCATGTAGCATGGTAGTGACCGCATGACATCTTTCTGCATCTCTGACATCAGAACCGAGCAGCTACTGTGGGTTTAATGGCCCTCCTAACCTCACAAGGGACCTGCCAACAATTTTGAGCAATTTTTTCATCTCATCTAGATGGGATTTCCAAGTCATAATTATCTGATAATTACCATCCGGATGGCTGTTTTGTGCATGGCATTAGGTTTAAGCATTTGGCAGGGAAGGATGAATGCAGTTTTACAGATTTTGACATTTCTTAATACTCTGTGGCTTGCTCAGAAGGCAGCTAGTTACCTAAGTGCCCAAAATAAGAAATCTTTCTAAAAGTCAAAGTTTGGAAAATGAGCACTTCTTGTTCCATTATGGTGATGAACGTCTGTTCCACAAGCTTTAAGAGAGCTGAGAAAGTCACCATGCAGGCTCCAGGAAGCCAGGGCAAAACTCATATTTCTAGCTAGGGCTTAGAAATGTAAAATAAATCTGAGATGCAATGGAGGGAGGGTGTCTGTCTCTCTCTCTCCAAGCAAGAGACCACCAGAGTCCAGAAACAACAGAGACAAAAAGAAGAGCTGTCCAGAAATATTCTCACCCCACACTGTCTGCCTGGTTTATTCTTTCTTTGACAAAGTGTTAATTGAGTGCCTACTATGTGCTATGCTGGTAACCACTGGAGATGGTGCAGTAAGCAAGACAGTCAGAGGCCTATGCTCCTGGACCTACAGCTATGGAAGGAGAGATTTGCACAAGCAATTCCAAAACAAGACGTGATGCCTGCTCTCCTAAGGGCTGCCTATACAGAAGTTTAGGTAGTGTGTGGCAGTGATTGGGGGATCTGGAATGCTGGGGAGGAAATGACAGTTATTCTGAGAATCCAAGATTATCAGGACAAGCAGGTGGAGAGAGGTGAGAAAATTTATTTCCAAACAGAAATAAGAGCTTGTAGAATACCAAGATATGGGAAAACTTGTTGCACTGAAGCACCCAAGGGCTGCTTCTGTGGCTGGGGGGAGTATGGGAGGGGTGAGGAGTTGGGGAACTGAAACAAAGTGGCAGAAATGAAACTAGAGACAGAGAAGCTGCATGGTAAAGGCCATGGTAATGGAAAGAATAAAGGGTACATGAGAAGGAGAGGTACGGTCATGTGTGCCTTTTAGAAAGGACGTTCTGACAATTCCGTAGAGAAAGCACTGGAGCCTGACAAGACTGATGGCAACAAGTTCAGCTACGGGGCATTTGCAGGAGAGAGAGAATAGGGTGATTGGATTAGGATGGTTGTATCTGTTAGCTATGGTTACCCTAATGCTAAGTAACAAAAGGCATGCATCCATTAGCGTATATATCTCAGTCATACCTTTGTGGCTGACAAGTGTGTGGCTGCTCTGGGCTTGGCTGCAGGCTTCATATGAGTCTGCTCCATGTGCCTCTCATTCTCTTTGGACCACTGGCTTCTCAAGACACAGTCTTCTCATGATGTGTCTCAAAGAAGACACATCATGTTTTGCTCTTCTCAAAGCAAGAGCACAAGAAGACGCACCCAGCTTCGGAAACACATTATGGATTCAGGCTCATATCAGGTCAGCTAACACCATTGGCCAAAGAGTATCACACAGCCAAGCCCCAAATCAGGAAGCAGAAAAATGCATCCACCCACCATGAGGCTATGGAAAGTGTGTGGACATAAAACCTATTACAGGGAGAGGAGGTGAGACCAGCAGTTCACTCTGCCTCCACAGTAGCGGTAAAACTGGAGATCAGTGGAAAGCTAAGCAAGAGACTACAGAAAAAAATAACAGGACCTGGCAATTAGTTTAACTTTAGCCCCTAAACAGCTGTTCATGCGGAAGTAAGTCGGGAAAGGCAAGGATTTTGTAAGCTATTGCAAACTTTTCAGGTGTTATTATAACTACGATTGAGGATTTTAGCAAGGCAATGGCATGATTCACTTTACATTTTAAGATTACACTGGATGCTCTTTCTAAATGCATAGGAGGCAAGAGTGGATGAGGGGAGACAGGTCAAGGAGCTGATGACAAAAAGAGATTCTTTTTAAGGAAGAATTAATAAGATTTTCTGACAGTTGTATGGAGAGAATGAGAAGGAGAATAATCATAAGTAACATGTGATTCTTTGCTTGGGCAACTAAGTGTATTGTGATGCCATTCATGGAGATGGGGAGACAAGCTGGGAGATGAGGAACACATTTAAGATGACATACCAAATGTTCCATTTAGGACAAATAAAGTTTGATATGTTTGCGGGTCACCTGAATGGAGATATTAAGTAGGTAGTGGAAATGATAGGTCTGAAGTTCAGAGGCAAGGTCTTGGTTGCAGATATGAATTCGGGAGTCAAGAGCATTAACTGCAAGTAACAACGTAAGAAGGTAAGTGTAGATAGAGGAGAGGGCCTAGAACATGTCGTGATGTTGGATGGGGGAAGAAACAAACATTCACTGAAGGAGACTGAGGAAGGGCCAGCCAGGGACAGGGAGAATCAGAAGAAAGGGGGCCACACAGCCAGAAGAAAGTTACAAGGATGTTGGAGCAGCCAAGTATATCAGACCTTGTCCAAGGTCCTTCTTCTAAGGCCAGCGCTTTCAACCAACCATCACCTCCTCCAAGAAGCCTACCCTCAGCCAAATTTAGTACCTGTATGACAGCATGGGGGTATATTCTATGATGTGTATGCCTCCCCCTTAACTCCCTGAGGGCAGAAACTGTATCTTACTCAACTTGTGCTCCTTAACACCTAGCAGAGGGCTTTCTGTGGAATGAATCAATGAACCCATCAGTTCTTGATGTCTCCCACGTCTTTCATTCTCACCTTGTATGGCAACCATTCCGAATTCAGGCTCCCAGCACCAGGACACTGCTCCCTCTGCTAGAACCAGTCTTCCCTTTTCTGCAAATTCCTTCCCACGCCCCCAGGGACAGTAGGGTGCTGGAGCCAACTCATATAGCCTCCAGAGAAGCTATCATGTGCAGCTCTTCATAGCTTCCTCTGGCGATGCCACGTTGGTAGCTTGAAATCAGCCATGATGGCAGTATTTACACCACGGAAACAGGACCGTGTCAGAAGACCACTGCTAGGGTCTCCTACAAACTATCCCCACAGGACCTAGATAGGTAACTTGGGGATAATGTGGTGATGTCTTAATGAACGAGGCTTCTCAAGGTTATTCAAACAGAGCTCCTGGGAGCAAAAGTATCACCACCCAATCCCCTTGATCTTGACCATTGTGTTTCAGGCTCTATGTTAGGAAAATTAGGTGATGCCTGAGGGAAGGAAGGGTTCTTCCAGATCCTACTGTGGAAGGGCTTACCTGGAAAGCTGAATCAGTCTCTCTGTTCATCACAGTTTAGGTCCCTCAGAAACTATTCATTTCTAAGAGGAGGATCCAGGGTGAAGAGTTTATTGAGGGGGAGCAGTATGAGAGTGGAGAGGAAGAAGGAGGGAAGGCAGCCCACAGCGGCTGTGCTAGCAAGACTATTACCACAGTGGGCAATCAGGGCTGACTCCCATAGTGGGAGCTCTGGGAAACAGAGGACAGCCTCTGTCTCAGAATGACTCCATCCGAGGGGCAAGGGAGCTGGGGGGTTTATTCACCCACTCCTCAGAGTCACTGGTGGAGAACAGCTTCTAGAATTGTTCATTTCTTGGCACTTCTTTGGTTTAGGAGAAAGTCCTAAGGCAACGAGGCAGGAATGGCTGTTGGGAGGCAGCTGGCACCCACCAAAATAGCACCTCAGGGAGATGGGGGGATGTGGGTGAGTACTGCTGGCAGCTGCTGCAGGGGCATCTGTGATTCTTAAAGTTCATTCAGGACTCTTACAAACATGGTAGGCAGACATGGTGAAACCCTGTCCCTACTAAAAACACAAAAATTAGCCGAGCGTGGTGGCACACACCTATAGTCCCAGCTACTCGGGAGGCTGAGGCAGGAGAATCACTTGAACCCAGGAGGTGGAAGTCGCAGTGAACTGAGATCATGCCACTGCACTCCAGCCTGGGTGACACAGCAAGACTCCATCTCAGAAAAAAAAAGTGCTAGGCAGGAAAGGTCCAGATGCACTTCTGAGGGTTCTTAGAGGGTAAAGGGAGGCTTTACCCTGGCTTTCTGCTGTGCCTGGCAGAGTACAACAAAAAGTGAGAATTTAGGGTCCAAAGTCCAACTCTAAATGCAGACCTGACCCCTCACCAGCTTCGTAAACTTGACTAAGTGGTTTAACCTCTCTGAGCCTCAGTTGTCTCATCTTTCAAATGGGGAGAACAAAACCCACTTTGCATATTTCATGAGTGGCCACCAGAACTAAATGCACTATTGTACTAAATGACTAAAGGACTTAGGGATGCAACTGTCATTAAATTGCTTCTTTTCTGTGGGCTGGGTCACTGTCTTACCTCATTTAATTGTTCAAACAAAGAGATTGCCACCCAGTGATATTTTACAATGTAAAGCCACAGCTGGGAACATCCATTTGGAAACTACACCCAAACAAGTGTAAAACTACCCAAATAAGAAAATGTGAAATGACATGCCACATATGTTCCAAGTTAGAAATAAATTAGCAAAAATCCAGGGGCTTCTTATTTTTCCTAAAGGAATTTGTTGGTTGGGTCAAGCTGACCACAAACTAGAGAGAGATTTTAAACTGTAGTATTAGGGAAATCAGAATCTTTTAGGGTGGGGGTGTTGGCTCTCCAAAGGTAATAGGGTTCAAAGAACTGTTTTATGAGCAGCAAGTATGCATGAAACTTGGTATGAATGAGTATCTGTGTCTGCATCCGTACTAAAAAATATACATGCACTGTGGGCTAAATCCCTGTTGACTTTGGAACTAGCCACCCTCCTGTTTCCTCCACAACAACTGCCAAGAGGGAATTAGAGAATGAAAATGCATGCTTCTTAAGGCAAGAAATGAAAACAGCATTAAATGTCAGGACTGAACAATCTGAGATGTGCCTCACATGCTCTCAGATCAGCATTGCCTTGAAGATTTTCTGCATTGGCACTTAATGTTCCTTGCGTCTTTGAGGCAGGGAGGAGGGAGATGATCTAGTTCAACACTGTGCAGGCCTGTCCAAAGGTCATTCACGGATGAGAAGGGTTTGGTGATATCATTTGGCTTAGCATGCCTCAAGAAAGTGTTTTACTGCCTTCAGGGAAAGTTACTGGGATGATGAAAATGTTTTTTATTTTTGTTGAAGTGTGGATTACATGAGTATAGGTATTTGTCAAAACTCATCCAGTAGTAAGAACACTTAAGATCTGTGCATTTTACTCTATGCAAATTATGCCTCAATTAAAAAGCAATTTGGTTCCCTCTTGCTTTGTTACTTGCGGAGATCGGCTTAAAGCCAACCCTCACCATGGCCTGTCTCCCAATCAACTCTCCACTCTTGCCCTTTGCTATGCAGTCTCACTGCCTCCCAGTATGCACATGCAGTCTCACTGCCTCCCAGTATGCACATGCATGCACACATGCAGACACACACAGACAAAGGCACATAAACACATGCACACAGGCAGACACATGCAGGCAAACACACACACACACATCCACACATGCAAACATGCAGGCAAACGTACACACACACGCATCCACACATGCAAACATGCAGGCAAACGCACACACACATGCAGACACACGCAGGCAAATGTGCACACACACATGCACACATGCAAACATATGCATGCAAACACGCACACACATGCACACATACAAACGCACACACATGCATGCACACGTGCAAACATACCACACACATGCATGCACACATGCAAGCAAACGCACACATATCCACACATGCAAACACACAGGCAAATGCACACACACATGCAAACACATGCAGGCAAACGCGTGCACACACACACATGCACAAATGCAAACACATGCAGGCAAATGCACACACGTGCATGCAAACATGCAGGCAAACACACACATGCATGCAAACATGCAAACATGCAGGCAAACGCACACACGTGCATGCTCACATGCAAACACATGCACACAAACACACACACCCATGCTCAGAATCACCAGCAGATGCTTTTTTCTTTTTTTTTTTTCGACAAGAGTTTCACTCTGTCGCCAGGCTGGAGTGCAGTGGCTTGATCTCAGCTCACTGCAACCTCCGCTTCCAAGGTTCAAGCAATTCTCCTGCTTCAGCCTCCCAAGTAGCTGGAACTACAGGTACGCATCGCCATGCCCAGCTAATTTTTGTGTTTTGAGTAGAGACAGGTTTTCACCATGTTGGCCAGGATGGTCTTGATCTCTTGACCTCGTGATCTGCCCGCTTTGGCCTCCCAAAGTGCTAGGGTTACAGGTGTGAGCTACCGCGCCTGGCCGCAGATGCTCATTTTGTTTGTTTGTTTGGGGTAGGGTTTTGCTCTGCCACCCAGGCTGGAGTGCAGTGGTGGGATCACAGCTCACTGTAGCCTCGACCTTCCCAGCTCAAGTGATCCTCCCACCTCACCCTTTCAAGTAGCTGGGACTATAGAGACACTCCAACAGAACTGGCTAATTTTTATTTTTATTTTTTGTAGAGTTGAGGTCTCACTATGTTGCCCAGGCTGGTCTTTAACTCCTAGATTCAGGCAACCCACCTACATCACCTTCCCAAAGTGCTAGAATTGCAGGCATAAGTCACCACGCCTGGCCCAGATGCTCATTTAAACATACAGTATGTGGAGCCAGGGACTGGAGGGGTGAGGGAATTAGGTGCTAGAGTGAGGAAAAACTCACGAGCCAGGCATCTGCCCTCTGAGCATTTGGACCTGCTGTTCTGGTAAGAACATGCCCCAACCCAAGCACAAGCAGGACGACATCAGCACCATAGGGACAATAGTGAACTTGGAAGAGGCAAAAGGACTTATGGCAGGATGGGCAGAGTAGAGGTGGGAAGGAGGTGAGACCCCCACCTAGCTAGACCGAAAGTCTCAAAGAGGGCACAGGAGTGTGCTTAAGGTGCTGACTACAGAGAAGGGGTGCTAGGATATGAGACAGTGACATGAGGTCCTTAGCAGAGCTCCTGGCCCTCCTCGATCTTCATTAATGGCTAGCCTGTCAGGAAGGAGGAGCCCTACAGGCCTCTTTTCATTTTGCTTTTGAATTATAAAAGTAATACACATTAATAGCCCAAAACTGGAAGTGGCCCAGATGTCCATCAACAGGAGCATAATTAAACACACCGTGGCATATTTACACTGCTGTAAAAATAAATGAGCTGTTGATGCAATGAAAACATTGAAGGAGTCTTTAAAAATGATGCGGATATAAAAGAGTACACGCTGCAGGATTCCATTGCTATGAAGCTCTAGGACAGGCTGAACTGCCTTGTGGTAGAGAAACAGGGCAGTGCCTGCCTCAGGCAAGGCTTACAGAAGGGCACCTGAGAACTTTCTGGAATGACAGAAGTGTTCTGAGCCATGGTAGAGTTTGAGTTACATGGGTGTATGCATTTCTCAGAACCTGTTGAATGGTACAATTTTGTGGTGGGAATTTTACCATGTAAAATGGCATCTAAGAATAAAAGACCCATGAATTGTGAATGAACTCTACTTAATGAGATGCAGGCAGGAGTGCTGAGGGGTGAAATGGCCTGGTCTCTGCAGTTTACTTTGAAGTTCCCACAAGCACACGTGGACATGCCCTGCTCTTAAAAAAATAAGATGGTATAATTCTTCCAACTTTCCTGAATGCTTGAAAACTTCCATAGCAGCATGCTGGGTTTAAAAACACTACATAGACTCAAAATAATTTAAGTAAAGTGGGGAAGGGAGAGAGAGTACATTGGGCAGAGACCACATTGCTTCTGGAACATTATCCAGGGAGTGGCATCCGGGGTCTCTCTGCTTCCAACCTCACTCTGACCAGTCCCTGCTGCCCCACAGAACACTGGCCTCCTTATAATGCATATTCCAAATGAGACTTCATGGACATGCCTTATTCATTCATCAGTTACGTTTTAAGCACGTGGTCTGTGCCCAGCCCTCTGCCAGGTGGAGGGTAAAGTCAGACGTGGTTCCTACCCTTGCGGTGTCTGTAATCTAGTAAGCTATTGTTCAGTGATAGGTTTAGAAAAGAAGCAGCCTCGGGTGCAAGGAAGTGGACCCAGCCCCCAATTATTCAGAAGGTATTACACACCAGGCCCTGTTCAACAGTTTTAACGTGGATTAATTCAGTTCAACCTCATAAGCACCAACAAAGCAGGAACTGTATTATCCCCATTTTACACTTTGAAAAACTGAGGCTTAGAGAAGTTCAGTTACCCATCCATGATGATACAGCAAGTGAATGACCAAGAAGAGATTCAAAACCCAGGAAGTTAGCTCTGGAGTCCATGCCTTAAACCAGAGGGTTGCAAACATTTTCTACAAGGGGCCAGAGAGGAAATATTTTAAGCCCTGTGGATCATGCTGTCTCCATCAAAACCACTCAGCTCAGCTGCTGTCGTGTGAAAATAGCCATTGATGATACATAAATGAATGAACTGAGTTCCAATAAAATTTTATTTACAAAGACAGGCTGGAGCCAGATGCCGTGGCTCATGCTTGTAATTCCAGCACTTTGGGAGGCCAATGCTGGAGGATTGCTTGAGGCCAGGAGTTTGAGACCAGCCTGAGCAACATAGCAAGATCCTATCTTTACAAACAACAACAACAAATTAGCTAGGCATAGTGGTGTGTGCCTATAGTCCCAGCTACTTGGGAGGCTAAGGCAGGAGGATCACTTGGGCACAGGAGTTCAAAGCTACAGTGAGCTATGATTTCACCTCTGCACTCCAGCCTGGACAACACAATGAGACCCAGTCTCTAAAAAAAAAAAAAAAAAAAAACAACAAAAAGAGGCAATGGCAATGACTCCTGCCCCAAACCATCCATAGCTGCAGCAGCTGGGAGATGTTTGAGCTGGGCCAGAAGGCAGCTGAAGGAGCCCTCATTCCTGCCTGTCACATCCTGGTGGAAGTACAAGGGTCAGACAGCAAGGAGTAAATACAGGCTTTGAGAGCCCAGGTCTCTAACAATGAAAACACAAAAATACACCCCTGGGTGTGTGTAGTAGTTCATGACCAAAGGAAGGCCATAGAGAAAAAGGTGAGAAGTTAAAAACACAGCAACTCCACAAAAGAGTGAGTTGCCTTTGGCCTCTGGAACCAGATTTAGAATTTCAGCCACACTGTTCTTCGAGATTTCATGTGAACATAGGAAGAGTAAAGTTCAAAAGCTTTGGTTTAACAGGATTCCTTTTGAAAATGTTTGGCCAAAGGGAATTTTCCTGCTAGGAGCTTTGCTGTCACTGGCTCTTGGTTTCTTAAGGGCATGAAATCACTTTACTAAGTTCTTGTTGCTGACAAGGGTTTGACCCTGGAGCTCAGAGGGCAAGCTGTGCTGGAAATGCATTGCCCCTCTTAGAAGATATCTGTATGCGCAGTGCTGAAAGTTAAGAGCTCAAAAGGATTCCTGAGTGTTTATCTACAGTTTCACATCTACCCAAGGGTGACTGAGGATAGCTCCAAGAGCCTCTTCCTCTCTCCTAGGGGTTGCCATCTTGCTCTGAGGAGCCCATCTCTCCCATTCAACATTGACCAGAACACAGGGGATTATCATAGTCAGTGTGGACAGAATATTTGGAGGAAGAAAATCTTCAGTACAACCCATTTGCGATGCAGTCTTGTATGCTGGCCTCTTTATACCAACCCAGCTGATGAAAGTAGGAAAGTCTATCCGCAGTCAGGTTGAGTGTGTGCATGAAGTTAAGCCACCAGCTGGACTGCGACGGGGCCGATCTGCCATTTTTCCACACTGAATTAACCAGGTTAAGCCATTGCTCTAGTGTCACAGAGATATGACTTGAGTCTTCCTTTATTCTCGGGAAGGCATTTGGTGGCAGGGAAGCATGTTCCAGCTGGGGGCCAGCAAATGGTTGACTCACAGGGATTGCAAGTCACGAGAGAAAGAGTCCAGCTCAATCCCTCTGTGACAGGACATCATTAAGTCACATCTTCACAGAAAGGGTTGGCTGTTTAGGGCGTATGGTGTCCCTATTTTCTGTCCTGTCAGAAAATAAACCTGACACACCCACCTATGGAGACTCCTTCCCATATGCACACTCCAGTAGTGAACTGGTGCAGTCATGCCAAGAGGTACCTTAAACCCTGTCAGAAGGGCCCAGAACCACTCCTACTCGATAATTACCACTTAGTTGTCTAACAGAAACAATGCACAAATCAACCAGCCTCACTTTCCCTTCCCAAGAACGTAGAGAAGCTTTTCACTCCCTGCAGGAGAGTGTACATTGGTTGGGGTCTGTAGTCCTCAAACCTGAATGCACACAAGCATTTCCAAGAAAACATGTGAAAAATGAATGTCAAGATCCCTTCCACAGAACCCTTGGAGAACAGAAGTGGATCTGAGCTTTATGCTTTCTCTAAATCAGTGGTTCTTAAACTTTCCTGTGCATCAGAATCACCTGGAGTTAAAGCACAGATTCTTGGGCCCTGCCCCAGGGTTTCTGATTCAGGAGTTCTGGGTGGGGCCTGAGATCCTGCATTTCTAACAAGTTCCCGAGAGCTGCTGCCGCTGCTGGCCCCAAAACCACCCTCTGAGAACCACTGCTCTAAGGAATCTCTTCTATTTTGGGGCAGCCGGCCTCATGACTTTGGTCAAAGGCAGAAGCAGTGTCTTCTCTACATCATGAAAGAAACTATTTGGCCTTTGTCAGCCAAGTCAGCACCCCAGTACTCTCTACCTGCTCTGCTTGATATTATAGCCACAACCACATGTGGCTCTTTAAATGTAAATTTGGTTAAAGATGAGATTAAAACTGTTTCTTTTTTTTTCAGTTGCATGAGACACATTTCAAATGCCCAACAGCCACCTGTACCTAATGGCTACCATGTTGGAGAGCACAGATATAGAACTTTTCCATCACCACAGAAAGTTCTGCTCATCAGTGCTATTCTATAGAAACTCCAAGGCTGGGTGCAGTGTCTCATGCTTGTAATGAGCCACTTTGAGAGCATGTTGGGCTGCTTGTAATGAGCACTTTGGGTGGCCGAGCTGGGAGGATCACTTGCTTCCAGGAGTTCAAGACCAGCCCGGGCAACGTAGTGAGACCTAGTCTCTACAAAAAATCAAAAATCAGCCAGGTGTGATGGTGTGTGCCTGTAGTCCTCAGGAGGCTGAGGTGGGAGGATCACTTGTGGCTGGGAGGTTGAGGCTATAGTGAGCCAAGATCACACCACTGCACCCCAGCCTGGGTAACAGAGTGAAACCCTGTCTCAAAAAAAAAGAAGGAACTCCAAATATGCTTCTCTTTTTCTCTTCATTGGCTGTTATCCCCATTCTGCAAAAAACAAACCTCCAAAAATCCCTTTACTAACATCAGAAATGGAATTTTAACTTTTTCTTCTGTTTTGTTTGCTCACAACAGCAACCCTCCTCCACTTCTTCCCATCAAGTTAGGGGAAGGACAGAGACATTTTGGTGCAAAAGAGATGAAAAGTTTATTCATATTTTTCCATTGCCCATGTCATGAAATTCATCCTAAAAGCAGTACGGGTTTGAGAAAGTAAAAGTTCCCCAGAGGTAAAGGAACACGTGGACAGGGATGTGTTGTGGGCCACAAGAATCTCACAGTCCCAGATAGAGGGTTCAGGTGGCCGTGGGGCACTCCAGCCAGGGGCCTGCTATTGAGGGTAAGGCCAGGATGGGACTGAGAGTGGACAAGACAAAGACAAGCCTTGGGTTTCCAGAACAGCACACGTCTCAAGTATAAGCTGTGGAGCTGGCTGCTGAAGCTGTTGCTTTTTCATTCTAGAGGGGAGATGTGGAATCACTGCTACTCAGAGTTGCGTAGGCAGATGCCTTTTCCAAAGCCTAACTCTGCTTTGGAAGCCTAGCTTGTCAGAAGCCTAACTCTAACCCTCTCTTACAGATCCGGCTGAATAGCAGGGGGCTGATCTACTCCGTAGGCTTGCTCCTGGCCTCTGTTTTTGTCACGGTAGGTTGGCAGCTCTCTCCTCGTACTTGTGTTTGCCTGTTCTTTCCTCCCCTTGGTTTCTTTGGAGACCAGATGAGCTTGGTCTCCTGGTGACTGGGTACAAGCAACCTCCTTGTCCCATCTCCTGGCTCTTTCTTCTAGAAGTGAGTCCTAGCAACCCACTAGAACACCTTCTCCCTTTCTGAAAGAAGCCAGCCTTCCTCTCAAAGGCATGGCCCTATCTTACATAGAAAGCAAACCATTTTCCCAAACACAAAGAGAAGATCCCACTTTGTCTGCAATATGAGTCATGGAAAGGTAGATTCCAATTCATTGATTGTTCCAGGTTCCCATACGAATCCATGAATTTGACTAATACTTGGAAACTAAAAATATATTTTATTGACAGTACATTTTGAGGCCATTCCACTCTCTCAGCCATTACGCCCACTTGCGTACTTTAATATTCCCAACTCAACTGTTGTGTTTGGAACAAGTTCACACCAACGCATGGACTCATCCACATGAAGCATCCATTAACATACAAATATGCTGTTGGCATTAAGCAGCATTGAGACACAATATGTTTTTTCCTTAATTATTCAAGGAAATAGTCATTGAGTTACACCTGGCATGTTGTTAGCATAAATATGCCAGAGAATGGGAATTCAGAAGGACAGGCAGGAAGCAAAATAAGTAGTTTACAGGATCAGGGTGTGAATTGAATGTCAAGATTTCACCAAAGCTAATACTGCCTTATACAAAAGTGCAAATCGACATCATTCATGCTCTTATGGTTTAGGAGGTCCTGCAGTTCTGCTATGACTTGGAGTGGTGATATTTGTAATAGCCACACGCCGTACTTAATGTTTTGTATACATATCTTCCCATTTGGAGCTCATCATGCCCCCCATGAGGTTCACTAAGATCAACCTATTATACAAATGAGCGACTGAGGCCTAGAGGAGCTAATTGACTCCTTTTTATTGACACCAAGTGAATGGAGGAACAAGCATCTGACACCAGGGTGCACAATCATAGCTACGGTGCATCTTTTTAGGCTATGCTATAGTTATACCATCTACAGGAGACCTGGCTAACCACTAACTGGGCTGTCAAAATGAGGTTACCAAAATGCTGAAGAGAGGCAGGTTTGGGGGAGGAAAAGCAATTTTAAACATCTTAAGTTTGCAATGCCTGTTTGACATCCAAAGGAAGAGGTCAAGAAAGCCATTGGAAATATAAGTCTGAGTTCACGAGAAATGTTCAGTCTAGAGACACCATAGTGTAGATGGTATTTAAAGCCCTGCAGTTGGGAGAGATCTCCAAGGGAATGAGTGTACACAAAAGAGAGAAGAGCCCCAAGATCTCAGTGTTGAGGCAGTCTGATGCTTACAGGTCAGGATGATAAGGAAGAAACACCAAAAGAAACAGAGAAGGAACAGTTTGGAGATGCGGGAATAAAACCACGAGAGTGCAGGGTCCTGGAAGCCACCTGCTGGAGGGTTTTCCAGGTGGAGGGAGCTATTGGCTGAGTCAGGGAGAGGAGCCCTGAGCATTGGCCATGGGAGTTAGCAATGCAAAACCATTGGTGCTAATGAGAGGGTAGTGCTGTGGAGTCAAGTGGAATAAGTTAATAGAGAATGAAAGGAGAGAGATTGGAGACCGTGGGCAGACATTCACAACTCTTTCATGTTATCTGACTGTAAAGAAAGGAGAAAAACGGAAATTCAGGAAAAAAAGTGTTATTTTAAGATGAATAAGATAACAGAATCTTTGTATGCCAATTAGAATAATCCAGGGATGGAGTTGGGGCATGTGCTAGAGGAGAGGGAGTTGCTGGAACCAGGTCCTTAAGAAGGGTGGGAGATGGGATCTGGGGCATGCAGGGTGGAGTTGACCTCACTGCCAGGAGAGAAGGCAGGGAGGTGGGGTTGGGAGCTCTGTGCCGTGGGGATAAGTGAGGACGGGGAAGTGAGTGTCGGAGATTGGAAGAAAGGGGAGAGGTGTGAAGTAGCCGTCTGGGGAAGGGAGAGACAAGGGACTAGGGAAGGATGAGATGCCTGCTGAAAAGCATGAATGACCCACTTAATGTCAGTGGTCTCTAATTTAAAATAAGACCCATCCGCATGGCTGACCGATTTCCTCCAACCCTGATGGACAGCTGCGTGGATGCAGCATGAACCAGATTGGGACTTGGCTTGAACTGAAGGGCTATGGCTTAGCCAAGCAAGGACAACCAAGCAAGAGAGAGGCCAGGGAATCAGGGTGGATGCCCCGGAGTGACTCCAGCGAGTGTGGGTGGAATTGAATCAGAGGAAGGAGAGAAGGAAACGGGCAAAGTGGGTGAAGCCTAGAGAAGTGGTGATGGTATCAATGAGGTGTGGGCTATGGGCATTTGCAGAGTTGTGGGAGCTGGGGAATCAGGCGGAGTAAGCTAGAAAGGAAGAGATTTGAGTCAGAAAGTGGGATGAGTGACACTAAGATAAGACAGATGCTTCTGTCACTGCCAATAGCAACATCTAGGCCCCAGTGCCACCCAGCAGACCTTTCTGCAGTGAAATGGCCTACACCTGGGCTGGACAGTACCACTGGCTATGGTTGGCTGTAGCACTTGAAATGTGGAGCTGTGTTTTAATTTTATTTCATTTAAATTTGGGTAGCACATAGGCTGGTGGGTGTGAGTGGCTGAGGCCAGATGAAGGATGAGGACTTGATGGGGCAGGGTGTTGGAAAGACCCTCTCCCCTCTGGAGGCATTGAAATCACAGAGAAAGTCAGCAGGAGTGCAGTGGAGAGTGGCAAGAGCCGGGCGGAAAGCTTCAAGGATAGGCAGTGGCCGGGGTTACATCGTTGGCTGCAACAGGCAGAACCAAGAGGAACTGTGGGAAGAACCGAGATTCCAGGCTCAGTGTTTTTAGGGAGGAGAGAAGGAAAATGGTCTGGAAGCAGCCATGATTTGCTGTGGGGAGGGAGGAACTTCTCACCTCCAGACGCAGCCGTAGGAAGAGATGCAGCCGCCACCGCCTGAGGACTGAGGGGTCAGTGTCCCCAGGGGAGTGGGGGCCTGCTTAAAGCAAGATGGGGAAGGCCCAGAACAGATGAAGGGCCCACAGGGGTGTGGAGTTGGAGCTTCGTGAAAGAGGGTTGGCTGCTGGGATGTGCTTGTGAGTCCTGCCATTTGTTTTAGTTATTTTTCTACAACCAGCAGCTTCTGGCTTCCTTTCTTCCTGATGTTGATGTTCTCACCTCCCACAATCTGAGACGAGAGGTGGATTTTGCAGGCTCAGAGAGGATCAGCACCCTGCCCGAGGCCCATAGTCAGCAGCCCTTCCCCGGGTCCCCTGGGTTCCCCTACCAACCCCCCAAAGGCTGCTGCCTCCTCCTGGTGCCCTCTGAACCTGTTCTGTGCCCTGCAGGTGTTCGGCGTCCACCTGAACAAGTGGCAGCTGGACAAGAAGCTGGGCTGTGGGTGCCTCCTCCTGTATGGTGTGTTCCTGTGCTTCTCCATCATGACTGAGTTCAACGTGTTCACCTTTGTGAACCTGCCCATGTGCGGGGACCACTGAGCCGCCGGGTGCCCACAGAGGCTCAGCTCCTTCTTTTCTGTGCAATACGAGACCCGGCCGCACCCCGAGTCACACAGGCCCCCGGGGCCACGGCGTTCGTCTCTCCTGTGCTGTCCTCAGGCCTCCGCTCCTGTTTTGGTGGCCCAGGCTCTCCCCTGACCCATCCTCGCTCCCCCACCTCCTTGGGTCATGCCCACCCACCCTTTCCTGCCTCCTCCGTGTGAAGACATCCAACATCCACGTGACTTTTCCAGCTCCATTTTTGAACAGTGACTGAGATTCTAGAAAAACTGGCTGCTAACTGGCCTGAGCCAGGCAACACTGATTCCAATCCCTCCTCCTTTTTTAAGTTATTTGATGGAAGACTCACCTAATTTGTGACCTGAGACTGTTGAAGAAATAGAGAGGAGGGGGCCCGTTGATTACAGAGAGCATTTGGGATTTTGTTTGGTTTGGAGATGATGCCTAGGTTACTGGGTTTGGGGGGATTGTTTTCTTTTGGGGGCCTTCCCCTTTTACTCCTTTTCTTCCAGAGATCAAGAGCTTCTCTTGCATCTTCTTCCACTGGGCTCTGGATTAATCAATTACCCAAAGGCTGCACCTGCCGTGTTGTCTGGGCTTGCATCCCAGATGTGTTGGAGTATGCATGGATGTAGTGCTTTTTAGAGGAGCCACTGGGCAAGGCCACCAAGAACAAATGCATGACATTTTATAGCCAAGGACGCCTCGCTAAAGTCTTATGGGCGTCCCCTGGGGTTGGGGGGGCACAAGGTTTTGGAGGAAGAAGACAACTTCCCTCATTCCATCATCACCATCTCTTTCTCACTAGGTTCTTTCTAGTTTTCAAGCAATAGTTCTAGCCTGCCTTGGACAAGGGGGCCCCAGTTAAACAAACTACCCATCCATGAGCTGCCAGGCAGTCAAAAACAGAAGCTTCCCCGACTTGTGAGTCCCTGAGATGTGCTCTTGTTGTTTGGCATTTGGGGTGACAGGGAGTGACCCAGAGGCCACCACTGCTTTTCATGCAGGAGTTACAGACACTGGTTTCTTGGAAAATGGAGAGAAGCGCACTTTGCACAGACGTCGTCAATTAAGTCCCAATTTGCCACTTGGTATTGAGTACACTGGACCCTGACCACTGGCTCTTGGGCAAACGTCCTTCCTCACGGGGCGCCTCCGCCAAGCCGGCCCAGCTGCACCCCTCCCTTCCTGGAGGGATGGCCAGGGAAGGAGAAAACAGAGAACTGACACCTTTGAAACCACAGAATGTGTTACATGCAGACTCGCTCAAGGGCATAAGTTATTGTGAACGTTTTTGCCAATCACTGCTCAACAGCCCTGCTAGATTTTGTATGATGCTGAATTATTATGCAGACTAATTCCACCCAGTTGAGACACACCATGCTTGTTCACTTGTATTTATTGAAACTGTGGATTCTTGCCCGTGCTGTCCCTTGTATTTACTTTAAGCACTGATCACTTATCATTCATTCGGTATGGTTTTCCCTGTCCCTTGTACACATTCTGGTATGAATTTGTAAAAATAACCTGCTACAAATTGGTTGAATGTTTCTGTCTGTGGTGCGAACCAGCATTAACGGATGGGGCACGTGCCCAACTGAGGAACAGGAGAAGAAATCACCAATTTGGGCTCTCAGAGCTAAGACACACTTATTGATTCTGTTGCACATTTTGCACTGGTTTATGGCGATTGTTTTCTTGGACGGATAGTGTAAAATAAACTTCTCTGTTCTCTATCCTTCCCAGAGCAGAGTGCATTACTTTCTCCCCTGGAAAGCTGTGCATTTTTCATTGAGGAGAATGTATGGGAGGTAAAATGATTGTAGTCACTATGTGGCCAGGCATTTGCCACCTGCTGTTTCTGCGTTGCCTCACCTGGAAAGCTGGCGTACGTGTGGCAGATTACGAGAATGAAGTGGCCAGCTGTGGGTCCCCTCTAAATCTTGAAGGGACTTTAGGCCTATCATCCTGTCACAGAATTCCAGAACTCTACCCGTCCTAGAATACATTAGTTAAGAATTCATTCTTTCCATTGAACATGAGAGAAGGAGCATCACAGTACTGATGATGACATTCTGGAGTGGCCAAGTTCTCCATTCTGTCTGATTTTAGTAGTTCTTAATCGTGAAAATTAAGATTTCCCCAAAGCTGATTCCTTAAAAGTGACAATAACATAGTTGTAATAAGCCATGATCTGATTCTAGGTGATGCTCAAGAAATAACTACCCACATCTAAATTAGTAAACACAGAGAGCTAGGCTTCCACCAGAAATGCAGCATAATTCATTTATAAGAGGCAGAAGAAAAATAGCCACTAATCCACAGCACCAACTTTATTTAACTGTTGAAAAATATATATTCCCAAGGTGGGAGGAATACTAGATACTTAGCATGTTTTGAGTGTTTCCATCTTCAAATGTTTTATTACTATATTTGTATATTTTACAAATATACCCTGGACACAGGGCAGGGTATTTTCATTGTGCTGATCAGTGCCTACAAAGCATTAGATACTTTCATGTTAAGTATCTTGTTAAACTAGTCTTAATTAGTTTTACTTTTAATATTAAGCAAAGACATTTAGTCAGAAGCTTGATTTAAAAAAATACATTTTCTATGAAATCTTTAGAAACTATAGTTCATGGCTGAATTTCTCAAAGTGAGAATTATGGGACAGCGTAGAGTTTTCATGCTTCCATGCATAATGATTGCCAACCCAGGAACTGTGGGGGTTTCCTTTCTGAAATGAGAATTTAGCCTATTTCTGCCTAGAACTCAGGCATGCACAACTGTCTTGGGTCGTGAGTTGAGAATGGGGTTTGAAATGAGCCGGCTGTTCAGTGATGCCGGATTGCTGATATTGCTCTTTTCACGACTTCTGCTGAGCTGGGACTTAAGATGGGGCTGGGATAAGTTTGAGGAAAGAACCTTTGTCAATATCCCCAAACCTGACGATGTCTCCTAGAGAAACCCTCACGGCAGTTTTCTGAGCAGGCTGAACTCCCCAGGCCGCAGCCTCGTGCACAAGTGGGACGTCTTTCTGGCCTTGGCCAAGGGAAGATGGGCACTGGGGCTCACACTTGCTCCTGAGTGTGTCCTAGTGGCCCCCAACAGCTGGCACCTGGAGAAGACCCTCTGTTCCCAGAGATTCTGTTTCTACCTTGCTGAGAGTCACTGCCAGGAGGAGTCATTGAGGCCCTCAAGTGGCCTCAGATACACTGAGAGGTCACTATGAGGGGATATTTCCAGGCACAATGGAAAGATAGCGTCTGCCCCTTCTACAGAAAACTGCTGGCTCTACCTTTTTAGTAATAGTTCACTTTTGTAGGCATATGTTTTGTATTCACCTCCAAAAGATACCTGGCATAGAGGGTAAGTGGATAGAAGCCATTTTATTTTCCTAGGTCTTTTGCTACAGACACTTATAGTTTACAGTCCTAGATTTGCATACTAGGGATCCGAGACTCTGTATAACTCAAGCAGCAAATTTGAGCTCATTTTAAGCATTCCAGCTTCAAAGAAAAGCCTGAATGTTTAGAAAAAGGTAAGGAGTGATAACATTGTAAAATCCAGACCGTTTTACGTTGTGGTGTATAAAAATAAATGTAACCAAATAGTGTCCTAGAATTTTACCTAATTGTTCTTAAAAATATTCAGATTGTCGAGACCACGGTGAAACCCCGTCTTCACTAAAAATACAAGAAACTAGCCGGGCGCAGTGGCGGGCGCCTGTAGTCCCAGCTACTCGGGAGGCTGAGGCAGGAGAAGGGCGTGAACCTGGGAGGCGGAGCTTGCAGTGAGCCGAGATCGCACCACTGCACTCCAGCCTGGGCGACAGAGCGAGACTCCATCTCAAAAAAAAAATTCAGATCGTTGGGAAAAATTAGAAGTGAGAAGTTGGTGATGACGATGATGCTTTTTCCGAGATTTATTTATTTTCACTTTTTTAAAGTAGAATAATTATCCCATTAACAGAATAATTATCCAGTTACGCTGACCCATTTCCATCAACTATTTTGAAATAGATGAGATATTTTCATATTGGATTTTGTAAAGTCTCATACTAATTAATGAGTCTCATTTATTTTGTTATTTTCTGCAATGGCTGCCCATACTCACACACGTGTGTGCACACACATACACACACACACACCATCTATGTGATACCAAAACTCTGTATGAAGACAAGCCAGTGGATTATTGAAATTTTTTCAAAAAAGTTCTTCCAACTCTCTATTATTATGCAAGAATAACAGAGGCGGATTCCGCAAACTTTTCTCTGATAAATAAAAAGCTATATGTTCATTGTCTCGTCATCCAGAGATGTGGGCCCTGCTGAGATGCTGAAAAGTGAGGAGCTGGGGCTGTGGAGAGCAGAGAAGATTAGCAATGTACATGAGATAGATAATGCCAGGCCCCAGAATTGATCTCACATTGAACTTTATGCTTACAACACAGGGCAGAGTAACAAAACTCCACCAAAGTTGTTCAGATGGCTTACTGTTACACTCAGGCCATTTATTTCTTTAATAACATGTACCCAGTAGTCCCATTAATTTAAGAAATTCTTACTAAACCTTAATGTAGCAAACATTCTTGCCACGTTACAGAGATTTAAACATAGTGAGTAGCCACAGTTAATACTCATGTTGGTCTTGGTCTTCGTTTTTGCAATAAGAAGGAGGGGAGGTAAGATTTAAAACTACAATTTTGGCTTTCACAGATGCCACATGAGGATTTTTCTACTTGAATGAATTTACATAAACATATGCATGTATACATAAATTATGTTTCTTCTTCATATAACTTCCCACTTACCCTATTTATCAAAAGCTGAATTTGGTGATGTCACATCTTCTGGTTTGTTGGGACAATCAATCCAGTAACTGATTCCAGAAAACTACACACAAAACTTGGAATGAAATGTGATGAGGAATTTCAGAATCCCTGCAATTGCTTTTTTCAGTGCTTCTGAGCCATGCTTATAAATCATTGCTTAAAAGAGATATGCTTGTGTGTGAAGGTGCTTCCAGTACAAAACTAATGTTTTTTAATTCTTGCAAAATAAAGTGTACTCCACTCAGTTTTACATCTTTATTTTTGATGTGCCAAGTCAGACATTTCACTTCCTCCCATGATTAATGAAGGATGATTCATTTTTTAAAATACTACATACTAAATCTGTACTGTGTTTGGTCATCATGGCTCTAACCACCAATGAGTCTGAACCCAAATGCCCAGTGCTGTTTTCTTAGGAGAATGGATTTTGTCTGCTGGTTACAGATTTCTGATATACCAGTTCCAGCTTTTCTAAAAATGTATTGTCATAACATGTAGAACAGTTTTTTACAATTGCTTAAATATTCAATCCAACTTCACATGTGAAAAACATGTTTACCTGCATTTATTCATCATATTATTTAATCAGTGTTTCCCAAACTGATGCATACGTCAGAATTATCTAGAGACTTCTGGGCCTCACCCCAGAGTTTCTAACTCAGTAGACCCAAGGATAAGTCCAAGAATTTTCATTTCTCACCAATGCCCACACATTACCACTGTTGGGTCTAGAACTGACTTTGAGAACCACTGGTCCAAATAATGTCCTTTGCCCATAAACCACATTTTTCTTACACCAGCCCCACCAGTATCATAGGTTTACAACTTATGAAAAGCATACATGCATACATGCACACAGATACTATTTCTTCCATTTTTCAGAATTATTTTTTCCTTCTACTTCCTGAGAGCTATGAATAGCTGAAAGTGGGAAAAGAGTATGTCTAATTCTTCATAATCTCCATTTTCTACCATTCTGCAGTCTGTCTGTTCCCATCCCAAAAGAACTTTTAAATTAAAACTAAATCAGATGAAAGTAAATGATTTAAGATAAAGATGCAGGAAAGCCAAAATTCTGTGTGGGATATTCACTCTGCAGAGATGGAAGCAGGTGACTACCAATTTCATTTAAGGTAAAAAGGATTTCATTATAAACTACAAGAAAAAGTAATGTTGCATATAGGAGAAATTTTCTGCACATGAATTCATATTTGCATATTACAACCATGTGTAGCTAACCTTCTCATCTAAATGTGTTATTTTGATGCAAATCAATCCAGCAAATATGTCATGGCTTAGAAAATAAATAATAGGCCTGCACAAGAGTGAGCCACCAAGTGCTTCAGATCATCACATGAAATGAGAGCGGCACACACCCCGCCACGCGTCTCTTGCCCGGGACTCAGAAACCTCCATGGACAGGCTGTGACCAAGGGTCAGCTCCCAAGTGGAAAATGATTGAGACTCCCAGGTGAGAGACAGAGGCAGGCAAGACTTGTGTCTATGGCCAGACCTTAACTCGGGCATGGGCTCTTGCATTGTCTGCAAGAACTCAGAGGACACACTGGGCTCAAAATGACCTGGTAAAAGCCACATTTTTATAGAGTTCACTAAAAGTTTTGCTCTGAGTCAGGAAGTGGGTATAAATATTGGCAAGCGGAATCCAGGGTGGGCTAGGCAATGAGGAAGGGTGAAGTGTTCCTCTCTAGAAATAGAACATTTCACGCTTGGCCTGAGCCAGCAAAGGGGTAATCAGCCCAAAGGCAAAGAGGTGTGCGAATTCACCCTCAAATTTCTGGATGCTCCGAAAAACCAGTGTGGCTCTCTTCCCAGTGGTGGTATCACCAATCAAGAAACATGGGCCAGCAGTAGGAGATCCTGCCTGTAATCTCAGCACTTTGGGAAGCCAAGGTGGGAGGATTGCTTGAGCCCAGGAATTTAAGACCAGCCTGGGCAACATAGCAAGACCCCATCTCTACAAAATTTTAAAAATTAGCAAGGTGTGGTGGTATGCACCTGTAGTCTCAGCTACTCTGGAGGCTGACACAGAAGGATCACTTGAGCCAAGGAGCTCAGGGCTACAGTGAGCTATGATGGCACCACTGCACTCCAACCTGAGCAACAGAGCAAGACCCTGTCTCCAAAACAAAAAAAAAGAAGAAAGACTTTGAGAACCGCTGTTCAAAATAATGTCCTTTGCCCATAAACCCACATTTTTCTTATACCAGCGCCTACCCACATCACTCTTCTGTGGTAGCATTGTTAGTGTGAGACCGCTTTGCCACTGTATGATGGAATGCAAGATATTTCTTCCTATTTCTAAGCCCCTCTGTGGGCCAAGTGCAGTGGCTCAAGCCTGTAATCCCAGCATTTTGGGAGGCCACGGCAGGCTGATCACTTGAGTTCAGGAATTCCAGATCAGCCTGGGCAACATGGCGAGAGCCCCGTCTCTTCAAAAAAAAGATAAAAAATTAGCCAGGCATGGTGGCTTGCACCTGTAGTCCCAGCTACTTGGGAGGCTGAGGTGGGAGGATCACTCGAGCCCAGGAGGCAGAAATTGCAGTGAGCCGAGATCACACTACTGCACTCCAGTCTGGGTGACAAAAGGGAGACCTTGTCTCAAAAAATAAATAAATAAATAAAACCCTCTGTGATGGAGGCAGCCTCCTTACACTTCTAGGCAGAATCTAATCTGTCACCTAAATGTTAACTGTTGGCACTTCTTAGGAGGAAACCAAGAAGTTTGAAAAAACAGAAGAGATCCATGCCAAGAAATTCACTCATCTGTTATAAATGAGGCAAGTCTGTCATACATAAGGCAGATCAATTATTCGGAGGTGTTGGTACTTACTGTGCCTTGGATGCGCATGCTAACAGAGTCACTCATGTTGCTCTCAAAGGGAATCTAATACAATTCCAAATTTTCAACTTTATTATTTGTTTCATTAGGAATTATGTCCCTGATATGTTTTGGCTGTGTCCCCACCCAAATCTCATCTTGACTTGTAGCTCCAGTAAATCCCAAGTGTTGTGGGAGGAACCCGGTGGGAGATAATTGAATCATGGGGGTGGTTTCCCCCATACTGTTCTCATGGAATTATTAAGTCTCACGAGATCTGATGGTTTTATAAGGGGAAACCCCTTTCGCTTGACTCTGATTCTCTCTTTACTTGCCGCCGTGTTAAGACATGCGTTTCACCTTCTGCCATGATTGTGAGGCCTCCCCAGCCATGTGGAACTGTGAGTCCATTATACCTCTTTTCCTTTATAAATTACCCAGTCTCAGGTATGTCTTTATCAGCAGTGTAAAAATGGACTAATACAGTCCTTTTAACATTTTAACATGGGTTGACTGGCTGCACAGAAAGTTTCACAATTTTTTTTTTTTTGAGATGGAGTTTTGCTCTTGTTGCTCAGGCTGGGGTGCAATGGTTCGATCTCGGCTGATGGCAACCTCTGCCTCCCGGGTTCAAGCGATTCTCCTGCCTTAGCCTCCTGAGTAGCTGGGACTACAGGCATGCACCACCACACCCGGCTAATTTTGTATTTCTAGTAGTGACAGGGTTTCTCCATGTTGGTCAGGCTGGTCTTTAACTCGGGACCTCAGGTCATCCGCCCGCCTCAGCCTCCCAAAGTGCTGGGATTACAGGCGTGAGCCACTGTGCCTGGCCGAAAGTTTCACAATTTATATGTATGAATTCTGGGACCAGACAGCCTTTGAATGTCAGTGGCAAGCTCTTCCCTGGCCCTCATCAGGGGAACCATGCTGGCTTCGCTGTATCTTCTGAGAGTTTCCTCTGTGACTCAGTGGTGTGGGAAGCCAGGAGGTCCCAAATCCTGCTTGCTTGCTCATTTCTCACTTGCTTCACCTCCGTCACCATCCTGAGAGTTCCCACGTGGCCCCTTTTCACAGGTCTCAGGCAGTCTGATGTGACTTCTCTCACTTTTGCTGGCCTGGCAGTGGCCAGATGTAGGATCCTCAAGGGTTCTCATCATCAGCTGAGCTGTGAAGCCGACTCCCACCATCAAGAGACCCCAAAATGGGGAGAGCTGGGGTCATGGCTTACCCAGGTTCTGTGATGCATGAAATGAAAACAGGGAATATTTCTAACCCAACTTTCAAACTCTGGATAAAGACGCGGTGGCCATGATATGATCCTGCTTCTCGTGAAAGCCGTAATCAGGGGGCCAGCAGGCTCTGGGTTCAAGGGCAGGAGTTCTGGCCCATCCTCTCGTCCTCCTGGAAGAATTCATTGGGGCACATGGTCACCGAGGTCCCTACCAGCTCGGACAATGTATTAACTTAGAAGAGAGAAGATGATTTCCCTCCAGAAATCAAAAATAATAATTATATATGTTATGTAAATACAGCAAGACTGGCATGAGTTTTGATATAAAATACTTCACAAGTTATTCTGGTCATTTGCTCTGTAACTGAAATTCTGTCTGACTACAGGTGCAAGCCACCAGGCCCGGCTAATTTTTGTATTTTTTTTTGCCTGGCTAATTTTTGTATTTTTTTTTGTATTTTTTATTGTAGTTGGGGTTTTGTAATGTCTATAATTTTGGACATCATCTGTAAGATGATGTAAACATGTTTGTAAAGTCCCATCCCCTTGTCCTTCTCAGGAGGCATTGTTGGGTTCCAGAGACCCGACATGCATTTATTTTAAAGGAGATGTAGGGTGGGTGCTTGTTGCCTGGCAATGGCTACGTGTATCCTTTCCAACATCATACAGGGTGTGAGTTCTGGCCCTCTGGAAAAAAAAAAATCTCCAAGAACTGGTCATCTTGGGGACAGGAAGCTTTCCAAGAGGCAGAAATGGCTGGAGTTGGGCTGGCACTGGGCATCAGAACGTTCCAGCAGAACTGGTGGTGTGGACAGGAAGCCAGGCATCCTCAATGAGCGCCACAAGCCATGCTGACACACGTGCAAGGTCAAGAACCTCTCGGTTCACTTCCTTTGCACATGTAAGTCACTTTAGGGACAGACAAAAAGTATTTCGAATGTGTATAATACATAGAGCAGAGAAAATGCTGCTGTCCCTGTTGGTCACAGGTCACCTGTTTTCCTACAGCGCTCTGTGTGTCTTATGCTCACCAGAAGCTGAGTTATTTTTTTCTTTGCTTACACTTAAAATTTACTATTTCATGTAGTACAATGACAAAATGAGGGACAATAACAAGGCAAAATATGCTTAATGTTATAAATATTTGTTAATAACAGTTGCAGGGCTTGAGATTTGGAAAATAGCTACCTATCCACCATGCTTTCTATTTAGACAATGTCAGCCATGGGGGAGAAAAAAGCAACAGTGTTTTCTTGAATGCTTACTAAATGTGAGGAATTTTCCCCCAGTGAAAATCAGAGTCACAAATGGTAAAATCTGCACAATACATTAGTAAAGTATCATGCTAGCAGCCTCGCAGAAGACCTCAGTGCATTTTTTTCAATGTAAACTATGAACCATGCCTGAGACGGCCTGGCCTGACCAGGGATAAACAGCAGTGATGTCTGCAACTGGAAAACCTGGCCACACATATCAGGCATGGAAGTCACCCTTGACCAGGGGTCCTTTGACATGTCTTAGGTTTTGTTTTTACTTTATTTCTATTTTTTTATTTTTTTTATTTTTATGGGCACATAGTAGAGGTATATATTTATAAGGTACCTGAGATATCTGATACAGGCCTACAATGTGTGATAATCTCATGAGGGTAAATGGAGTATCTACCACCTCATGCATTTACACTTTGTGTTACAAATAATTCAGTTATACTCTTAGTTACTTAAAATGTACAATTAAATTATTATTGATTATAGTCACCCTGTTATACTAGCAATTACTAGGTCTTTTTCATTCTTTCTATTTTTTTGTGCCCAATAATCATCCCCACTTCCCTTCCCAACCTCCACACTACCCTTCCCAGCCTCTGGTAACAAACAGTCCTTCTACTCTCCATCTCCATGAGTTCAATCGTTTTAATTTTTGGCACAATTAAGTGAGAATATGTAAAGTTAGTCTTTGTGTGCCTGGTATATTTCACTTAACATAATGACCTCCAGCTTCATCCATGTTGTTGCAAATGACAAGATCTCATTCTTTTTTGCGGCTGAACAGTACTCCATGATGTATATGTACCACATTTTCTTTTCTTTTCTTTCTTTTTTTGAGATGGAGTCCCACTCTGTCACCCAGGCTGGAGTGCAGTGGCGCGATCTCGGCTCACTGCAACCTCTGCCTTCCAGGTTCAAGCAATTCTCTGCCTCAGCCTCCCAAGTAGCTGGGATTACAGGCACCCACCACCACTCCTGGCTAATTTTTGTATTTTTAGTAGAGGCAGGGTTTCACCATTTTGGCCAGGCTGGTCTTGAATTCCTGACCTCGTGATCCACCACCTTGGCTTCCCAAAGTGCTGGGATTATAGGCATGAGCCACCGCACCCGGCCTATGTACCACATTTTCTTTTTCCATTCATCGGATGTTGGACACTTAGGTTGCTTCCGAATCCTGGCTGTTGTGAACAGAACTGCAACAAACATGGGAGTGCAGATAATGTCCATATCCTGATTTCCTTTTTTTTTTTTTGGTATTGACCTAGCAGTAGGATAGCTGGTAGCTTTATTTTTAGTTTTTGAGGAACCTCCAAACTGTTCTCCATAGCGGTTGTATTAACACTAATTTACATTCCCATCAACAGTGTATGAAGGTTCTCTTTTCTCCACATCATCACCAGCATTTGTTATCGCCTGTCTTTTGCATAAAAGCCATTTTAAATGGAGTTGAGATGACATCTCGTTGTTTTGATTTGCATTCCCTGATGGTCAGCGATGTTGAGCAGTTTTTCATATGCCTGTTTATAGGCCTGATTTTTAAATTGATAAGTGTGGGTTATACACAGGCACAATGTCAAATAGGCCTGGTCCTCAGTATATTTTTCAACCCAGCAAAAGGAATCTCTGTGGCCAACTGCCAAGAAAAGACTATGAGTGATTACTAACAAAATAGAAGACACTTCGGAAGCATGCAGGTGTACATGGACCTATGACAGCTCAGATACTCACAGTGACATGGATCCAACATCTGGACCATGTCATTATTGCAGACCAAATGCCAGTTCAGCTGAAAGGCCTACACTATCTTTGCTGTAATTGATGTTGCTTCTAAACAGGTCTTTCTATCCTCCCTGTCCATTTTTCTGAATGCAGTTACATGAGCATAAGGCAGAAACCAGGAAACTCTGCTTTTAAATCTTTATAAAATGTACTTTTTTCCTTTTTTTTTTTTTTTTCAGACGGAGTCTCTCACTTTCTTGCTCAGGCTGGAGTGCAGTGGCACAGTCTCGGCTCACTGCAACCTCTGCCTCCCAGGTTCAAGCGACACTCCTGACCTCATGATCCACCCACCTCCACCTCCCAAAGTGCTGGGATTACAGGCGTGAGCCACCACGCCCAACAAAAATGTATTTTCTTAATGTATGCATCTAGCATAGAGAGTTCAAAATCTCAGGAGCAACCCTTAATGTGTCCCTTATATCCACAGGTACTCTTCACATGGAGAGTCAAATCCAACCAAAGATGAAATTCCTCACCTGTAACTATTTGCATGATTTTCACGGGCCTGCCTGGCCCAGGCACTATTCTTTTCCCAGTGACTGGAACATTAATGGGAACACTGATGGGTGTAAGAAATGTGTTAACATAAAAATGTTTTATTTTCCCTTCTTGACTTTCATAAATAAGGCAGGTTTCAATACGGGGACACTTGAAGCAAAGAAAGATCAAAATGAATCTCAGTGTTCCTTCAACGGCGGCCAAACATCTCTTCTTGTGTGAGAATGTCACAGTGAAGATGTCTCAGTTTCTTAGTCTCTATTAGAAATTTAAAATTATTATTATTTTTAAAGGCTTCAGTCCAATTTCTCAGAGACTTCACCTGAAAATGGAGGCACTGAAAAAGCCATGAGGAGCTGAAAACAAGCAGAGTATTTTGAGAAGCCCAGAAAATGTTTCCTAGCCCTTCTCACACCGTGCGTCAGTGCAGGGCACGGCACTAAATTCAGGTGGAAGCAGTGATTCCTCACCTTGGGTCCACATTAGAACCACCTAGGATGCATTTAAGAATCCCAAGGCCCAGCCGCCAACCCCCACCCCATCCCGATTTGGGTTCTCTGGTGTCTGACACACCCCAGGACCTCAGATTTTGTTTGGGACTCCCAGGTATTTCTGACATGTATCCATGGTTCAGAACCACTGGTTTAAGGAAGCATAATCATACCATTTGCGATCTTTCATTGTGCAGATTCCTAAAGGAAAGCCCTGTGTCCTGCAGGCCTTTGCTACCCAGTGTGAGTGGGCCTTAACCCGGCAGCTTTGATGAGAGAGAGAGAGAGAGAGAAATGATTTTTGGAGTTCCTGGAGGACAGCACTGTCCAGCAGGACTTCCCATGATGATGGAAATGTTCTTTACCTCTGCTGCTCAGTACAGTAGCCACCAGAGGCCTGTTGCCGTTGAGCACTTGCAGTGTGGCTCATGCAACTGAGGAACAAAATGTTTAACCTTGTTTATCTTTAATTTAAATCTGCATTTAAAGAACCATATGTGATTAGGGGCTCCAATATTGAGCAGAGCAGACAGAGCGTACTGAGGGGCCGACTTGGCCAACAAAGGCCCTAGAGTTTCTTCCATGGTGTAGAGAGAACATTGCTTCTGCCTTTGGCAAAGGTCATGAGGCCGTCTGCCCTGAAACAGACGGGATGCTTCAGAGCAACGGTTCTCAAAGGATAGTCCCAGAGCCAGCAGCATGAGCAACAGCATCACTGGGGAACTTGTTAGAAATGCAGACTCTCAGGCCCCATCCAGACCTCCTGAACTAGAGCCTGCATTTTAACAAGATCCCCAGGTGATTTCTGTGAATAGTCAAGTGTGAGATGAGCTGCCAGTAGCTCTCTGCTCTGCTCTTCAGAAGACAAGAAGCAGGTTGCACAGAAGCCTTGTCCAGGAGGTCACTCTATATTAAGTCAAGGGTATCCGTGTGTATTACAAGACTTGCCAAATGTGGACAGACAAGAGTTATGGAGAGCAACACATTTGAAACTGGGGATAGATTGGTACAGTTTAAAGGGCAAAAGGGTCATCTTTTAGTTCCAATAAGCCTTTGTTTTGATGGGGCAGAGGAGAAACTAGAGAGCTCAATTAAAAGATAAAGATTTAACTCAAGGTGTTTCCTACTTGATTTTCAAATTCATTCCAGTTGTTTCTTTAGAAGGGGACTCACATCAGATATCTTGCTAGTATAGAAAGTTCCTAAGCTGTACTGACAAACAAAACAGGCCTGTAGCCCTGCGACACTGTGCTTTACTTGCAAGATAAGGGGCTAAGGGAATGGGGGACAAAAAACAAAAAAAAACCTCAACCAAGAAAC
Organism: Homo sapiens; assembly: GCF_000001405.40. Lineage (NCBI taxonomy): Eukaryota > Metazoa > Chordata > Mammalia > Primates > Hominidae > Homo > Homo sapiens. The sequence continues at coordinate 19,735,427 of NC_000020.11, forward strand.
TCAACACATTTAAAAAAGGGGGCAGAAAATAGGACAAGGAAAAAAGTGGTTTATGTAACAGCAATTTTTTGTAATAAGTGTGGGGACGGGTCCCATCGGGACGACATTAGGCTGTTAATTTTGAAATAATCATTGGAACCCAGCTGGATAGCAGCAAGATTTGACGCCAGGAGCAAACACAGCCAGGAAGTGGAGGAGCAGATGACTCAGCCCACAGGGCACCAGAGGCGGGGATAATTTCTTTGCCCAGGGGAGTAGCAGTAGTCATCTGTTGTGTAGGCATTACCAAGTTCAATTGTGTGAGCGAGAATGGAAATCTGTTCTTCTGCAGCTTGTGAAAGAAATTAATCACAGCTCTCTGCATGACAAATTTTGGATTTTAGTTCACACAGTCCCTGAATTTTCCTTCAGGTTAAATTTTCCTTTCCTTGGGACCTCGTGTTGCCTTTACTACAGCCCAACTCTCTCTTGCCCATTTTGCACCCCAATCCAAATATAAAACAAAACAACTGGGAATTGGTTCTAAATGCCCCTTTCACATCTGCTCAGGCCATCATTACAGAATTTCATTTGCAAAAAAAAATCCAGATGAAACCAAATGAGGCATTTTATTCTGGCATTTCATTTTATTCTACATACAGATAACGACAGGGCAGTGAGGAGTTTTGGTCTGTGGCCTCTTCCCAGGACTAACAAGAGCCTGACACAAGAAAACACACCCTTGGTGCTTTTATTAATAACTTTTTTTTTTTTTTTTGAGATGGAGTCTTGCTCTGTCGCCAGGCTGGAGTGCAGTGGCTCGATCTCGGCTCACTGCAAGCTCTGCCTCCTGGGTTCAAGCGATTCTCCTGCCTCAGCCTCCTGAGTAACTGGGACTACAGGCACGCGCCACCATGCTCGGCTAATTTTTGTATTTTTAGTAGAGACAGGGTTTCACCATGTTGGCCAGGATGGTCTCGAACTCTTGACCTCTAGTGATCTGCCCACCTCAGCCTCCCAAAGTTCTGGAATTATAGGAGTGAGCCACCGTGCTCGGCCTTAATAACCTTTTATATGTTGGGTACGGTTTTTCACCTTTGTAATCCCAGTGCTTTGGAAGGTCAAAGCCAGAGGATTATTTGAGGCCAGGCTTTGGAGACCAGCCTGGGCAACATAGCAAGACCCTATCTCTACAGAAAATTTAAAAATTAGCCAGCCATGGTGGCATGCACCTGTAGTGTAGTTCTGGCTACTTGGGAGGCTCAGGCAGAAGGATCACTTATGCTCAGGAGTTCGAGGTTGCAGTGAGCTATGATCGTACCACTGCATTCCAGCCTGGGTGACAGTGTGAGACCCTATCTCTAAAAAAAGAAACTAGCAAGAAATAAAAAATAGCATAACCTCTTATAGTCCACCACCAAAACAAGGATACAGATAAAAAGTCCAAAATTGTGTGAAAGCACAATGCTCAAAAATCTTTCCAAGACTACTCTCATGGAAAACTAAAATGAGTGTAGGTTTAGATTTATTAGCTTATTAACACATTAATCAGTAAGATGGTAAATGTAGCTCAAAAAGCATGTTGAGGACATCAGGATGTATAGGTATATACAAAGACTGTGAAGAGTGCTAGATTTGAGACTAATGAATGAGCTCCAATGCAACCACACTCATAACCTCTCGCAGTCTTCATTACCTGATTCAAATGATTTGCCTTTCCCAGACAAGATACACATGTTGAAGTGTAACTTCATAAAGTGTGAGTCCTCCATCAACAGTAAAGAGTGAGTCAGAGGTGCACTCCCTTAGTTCACACAACAATCCTTGGGTGCGTCTGTTGAGCAATGTTTCAGTATGCCACTGAAAGGAGAAACTAACCTTAACCCTAACCTTAACCCTCTCTTGTCTTTATTTCCAAGTGTTGGGTAATTGTGTGAAACTCGTGCTGGTTTCAATTGAAATCATTCGTCATACATGCATGTTCACAAGTGCTTCAGCTAAGCAGGCCTGAAATGCCTTTAGTTTCCTGGAAATTTCGTTAAAAGCCTTTGTCCTTCCTAAAATGTCCCCTTTTGAAATCCTATACTTCAAAGTATCAGCCTTATACTGTATACTTATGTACAGGGTAAGATATTAATTCAAAGAAACAATGCAGGCAGCTAAATTCCTTTCATCTAAACATGCCTTTCTTCTTTCTCCTTGGTGCTACATTTCACTCAAAGCTGCAGGAAAGTATACAGGAAAAATGAGCTGAGTGTGTTCTGCAAATAGGTCAGGCTGAAGCAGGAATGTTTTCCTGTGCTGAATTAAAAGTTTTCTGTTTCATTTATCAGTAGAATTAAAAGTTCTCTGATGTTTCTCTAAGTGTCATACATATACAAAACAGTGTAAAATTGAAAAAAAAAAACCCACATGCTGTATTGTCCATTTCTGTTCTTTGGGACTCTACAGTTTAAAAAAGAAAGAAATTAAAGAATTTTGAAAATAAAAGTTATCTTCAAATATTATCTCTCTTCTTAATGAAATTTTTTACCTTTAAAGCAGATGCAGCAAAGACAAACTTTGGTTATTCTTTTTAAAGAGATATAAACTGATTTGTTTCATGCTTATATGAACCTGATTTCTCTATATTTGTTTTGCCACTTATTATAGAGGAGTATTTGCCTTTATGACTCTTTTTCTTCTTGCATGCACTAATTAGTAGTTTAAGAGAGGTGAAAGCACTTACTTTTCCATTTTTCAGTAATCTGAGTATTTTTAAACCAGTGTTTGTGTATTTTAAAAAGTGGCTATTTGTGAGCCTAAGAAAATTTCACAACACTGTTGCTGAAAGAATAATAATATGTATCACATTTTAGTGTTTAATTATCTTTTAATTTACTTTGATAACTATTCTGGGTTGAATTGTCCCCCCTCCAAAAAAAATTTATGTTAAAGTCCCATCCCTCAGAACCTGTGAATGTGACCTTCTTTGGAAATAGGGACTTTGCAAATATGATCAAGTTAAGATGAGGTCATAGGGGATTGGGGTAAGCGCTAATCCAATGACTGGTGCCCCTTCAAGAAGAGGGAAACATGGGCCGGGCACGGTGGCTCACGCCTGTAATCCCAGCATTTTGAGAGGCTGGGGCGGGTGGATCAGCTGAGGTCAGAAGTTCAAGACCAGCCTGGCCAACATGGTGAAACCCCGTCTCTACTAAAAATGCAAAAATTAGCCAGGCCTGGTGGCGTATGCCTGTAATCCCAGCTACTCGAGGGGCTGAGGCAGGAGGAGTGCTTGAACCTGGGAGGCAGAGGTTGCACTGAGTTAAGATCGCACCATTGCACTCCAGCCTGGGCAACAAGAGCAAAACTCCGTCTCAAAATAAATAAATAAATAAATAGAAGTAAATAATAAAAAGAAGAGGGAAATGTGGCCACAGACACAGAGAGAGAACGCCAGGTGACCTCGGAGGCCGAGAGTGGAGTGATGCTGCCACAAGCCGAGGAATGCCAAGGACTGCCAGCCATCGCCGGAAGCTAGGAGAGAATGGAACAGGTCCTCCCCGTGAGCCCCAAGAAGAAAACAACCCGGACTGATTACGGACTTCTGGCCTCCAGAGCTGTAAGTGAAAATGGCTCTGTTGTTTTAAGCCATCAGATTTGTGGTAATTTGTGACAGCAGCCCTGGGAAATGAGCACAGTGGTGATTCAGATCCTAACCTGAAACCATCCCAAGTTGATGGATGCACCAAGTCTTTGTAATTTGAGCTGAACTACTTACAAGAAAGAGTTATGACTATCGATAAAGGTGAGAATATTTTACAATCCTGTTTAAGCCCTCTGTGTCTATTTCCAGGGTGGGGCCATGCTATAAACAGGACAAACAGAACTCTCTGCTTTTGCTACCACTGAAAAAGCATTTCCGTGGGAGATCCATATTAGGTAGCACCTGGAGATGCCAGGACCACAAAACCACTGCCCAGCGTTACACACACATACGCCCTCCAACCCCCAGGATGGGATCAGATCCCTCTGTGATTCTGCCAAAGGCTGAGGCTGGCCACGGGTTTGGGGGATGGGGCTGAGACCAGGCGGCAGGGATGCCGTCTAGTGGGGATGGGAAGCACAAGAGAGATGAAAGCTTCTGCAGCTTCTGCTGCCATGCGCTCTTACATAGGATAGCCAAGGGCACAGGCCAGAGGCAGATAGGGGAGCGGGCTCTCTCTAGGAAACATCAGCTCCAAGGAGGACCGGGATCCTTTGGAAGGAGCTGGAGCTGGGGTGAGACAGGGGCAGACACCCTCCGGATGGATGGGACGATCATGGTTCCAGCCTTTGGACATCTGGAAGGTGAGTAGGGACACAAAGCATGTGGGAACTGGGGCAGACAGTGGCCCATTTCCCACTCTGCTGTGTGGGCATCAAATGTTCCCCCAAGGGAGTTTCTAGCTTGAGCAAGCCATTGTTCTCAGCATTCATTTGCCCAGTGAGCCATGGTTTTGGAGACCAGAGTATGATTCTCCAAAACACAAGTGTGTTGGACCTACCCACATAGGAGACCCATGGAGAATACTAAGTATCAGTCAATTCCATTTCTCCCATCGCGGCCCCAGTCCACACCCTAGGAGGCATCCTACTGGTGGTTATCATTATTTATTCACTCTGCAGAGATGCCCTTTTTTCCTCTGGCCTTTCCTCATTGGTCCATGTAGGTTTCTTTGGCCACCCAGAGGGTGTGGCAATCCTATGGTGCTGTCTTAGGCCTGTGTGCCTCAATACCCCTCATCCATAGTTCTTCTGACCCCAAACCATGCTAAGTGAAAGAGAGCTCCACAGTCTTCCCACATCGCTGGGCCCCAGCCTGGAAAGGAGACACAGATGCCCTGCTAGTCTTAGCTCCTCATTCTCTGTAGGGAATCTATAATTCCTCCTGATCACAATCAGGACTTACTAGGGTAAATGGCACTCGAGCCTTTCCTCCAGAGGGCTTAAACTTAACACAATGTCTGGTCAAAACCATCCTATATTGATTTTTTATTACTTCACACTTGAATAAGTAACATCATCTTTAAGTTTAGGTTGCAACTCAAGTGCCAACTACAAATTGCACTGAAATGGAAGAACTCAAATGCATGCCTGGACCAGCATCAGGTGCCTTCCGGAAGTACTGGACATGTAGAGTTTAGGTAGTAAGCTGCCTGTAGAGTTTCTACTCTGCATAAACATAAGCACAGGACTAATCAAAATTGCCCAGAAGATATTGGAATATTCTTTTCTATTCAATTAAAAAGTGATGTCATAGTTTGCTTAAGGGCAAAGCGCATGGAAGTCCCCCTGATGTCACTTCTTCAGGTCACCACTGACAGCCAAAGTTTCCCCAGGAGGTCATTCAAGGATCTCCGAGTCCTTCAGTCTTCTGGGATCATCCTTTCCTTTAATATCCAAATAAAATATCTGAAGAAGTAGAGCTCAAAATGGTAGACTAATCACATGCATTTGCCTCCCTACCCTCCCCAAATCCCTTAGAATGAAAGTAAAGAGGTGCAAGAGGAATTAAATCCATAATAATGGGATCTGTGTGAGGCTCATCAAGAAATGTGAAACTATGGTAAATTAAATGAAAACACAAGCAGATATGAGGATACTGATGGATAAAACAAAGCAATGAATGAAAGATCAAGTCCAGACAGATTCTTGTGAATTTTACAACTTGGGGGGATTTAAAAGAAAAAGTCTCCAGAGGAAAAGAAAATCAGATCAGCTATAAGGAGAAGGAGATTCAGACTAACATTGATTAGACTTCATCCACACCAGTCAGTAAAGCACAGTGGAGAAATGCCTTCAAATTAAGAGGGAAAAATATTTTGAACTAAAATGTCATTGTTAGCCAAAATATCCACTGAACATGAATAATATATATTCTCAGATATACACAACCTCTGAAAGCCTTTTCTGCAACAAAATGAGAGAGAAAACAAAATAAAAGAGGAAGACTTGAGATTCTAGAAAACAACAGATTTACCCCCAGAAGTATGGAGGGAAAAAAATGCCTTGGGGTTATAGCTCCCAGCAGGTATAGACAACAGCCAATTTAGATTGGAGCAGAAATGCAGGATTCTCTGGAAACATGTCTTCAGAGAGAAAGTAAATCCCTTAGTTGGTGTGATTAAATAGCTGGATATTTCTGAAGATGTGTAATGATAAATGTCCTCTGTTGACAATATAAATATAAGGAGAGAAGGAAGGAAGGAAGGAAAGAAGGGAGGGAGGGTGGGAGGGACTTTAGCAGAGGTGCTATCTAAGAAAATGATGGTTAAAACATGAAGCAAGCTGAAATATAGCATGGTTGTGATTTTGAGGAATTGAGGGAAGGCAAGAAAAGAGAATTTATTTGACCTTGATGCTAGAAAAGAAGGTCTAGAAAACAGAATTGGGATTATAGGGCAGAATGTGCCTGTTACAGTAAATCCGTAGCTGATAGGATAGGAAGAAAGAGTTCTATCAATTAAGGTAGTTAGAAAACATTTGTCCTCCATAAATTTTCTCTTCTCCTGTATCTTTTAAGTTATATTGTTTGTTGTTCAACAGCCATGCACAATCCCACCTCCACACATTTGACCTTGAACTTCAGCCTCTTTCTCCAGCCTAGCTAAGCCTACCCTCAGGCTCCAGCTGAGGGCCAGCTTCTCTGTGCTCTCTCCTTTGGCAACCCAGTCTACAGTGATCTCACTGCTGAAACCAAAAGGATGCTTCGGGACTGCTTCACAAACTCAAACTGACATGCCAGATGGAGAATCTGAATAATGTGCTCTTAATACTGCTTATGAAAATCAAAACACATGCAAAATTTAGTATCAAAGGGAAATTTCAACTGCTTGTTTGGAAAACTTTCCTGAAAGTGGGGAATCTGATCTATCCTTGAATTAATATTCTCGATGATTTCAACTTTCAGAGCAAAAGCAACCCGGAGCCTTATTTTCTGACCACCATTTTACTAATAACATTTAAACCTGAACACCCGCCTCTTTCCTTAGTGAGCAGAGCAGAAAAATGAGATTAGTCCCTGTGAGCATTTTGCTACATAGATGTCAAGCCAGGGTGTGCTAGCATCACCTAGAGAGCTTTTAAATATCCTGACACCCAGGCCACACGCCAGACCAATTGCATCAAAATCTCTATGCGGGAGGCCCAGGCACCAGTGTCTTTTAGAGTTTCTGGGGTGATTCCAGTGATCGAGAATTGCTTTAAAGGCTACAGCTTCTCAAATAGTGACACTTCCAGAACCTTAGATACATATTAGAACCACCTGGAAGCTACAAAATTTCTTATGCCTGGGTCCCATTTTAGAGGCTCTAGCTAGGGTGTGACCTCGGCATCAGGATTTTAAGACTCCCCAGGTGACTGTAATATATAGCCAGCGTTGAGCCCACTGCCCCACAACAGAACAGAGCACTAAAGCGGACGGGCTGTGTACCAGGAGTTGAAGGACCCCACACTTAAGGAGATAGTAGAAGAGACATGGAAAGCCATGGAGGCAAACAATGACATTTTTGGGAACGTTAAGTTTTTCACCTAGAGTATTAGAGAGCTAGAGAACCAGGGAGTGTATTAGGAGATTAATTCTTGCTAACTGGGTAGAGGCGTCCAGGTAGGGCACTGAGAGAAGAGTTTGAAAGGAACCTTCTAATTTCTGCTCCTGGTCTCTTTCGCACAGAAATCAGCCACAGCCACCGAGCCGCAGGTGTTAAGAGAGAGGCTTTCAGGGCAGCACACAACCGTCTGTGTTGAAGTACCATTGAAACAAGGGCCGGCACAGCACTGGTGGAACTGGCTTCTTCCCAGTGCTCCTTCTACAAGTTTAAAGGTGAAACCCCAAGTGTGGATGTCATCTGGTGGAAAATCAATGAATGGCAGTGACCAACAGTTGTTCTCCAGGACCTGGGTTCTCCTTGTGAGGTTCATTCTCTCTTCTCTCCTGTTAGGCGCTATGCTAAGTAGTAGGCAAAATGTCCGATGATCTCCTGTCCCAGAGTTATACTCCAAAGAATCCTCCCTCTTCAGTGCGGGCAGGACTTGTGACTTGCTTCTAGCTAACAGAATGTGGCAACAGTGATGAAATGTCACTCCTGTGATTATGCAATGGCATGTCATAAAATACCATCTTCCCAGAATGCCTAAGAGTGAGAGATGCTCTTCTGCTGACCCTGAAGAAGTGCCCATGGAGATAGCTACAGGGTAGGGGACTACAGGTCTCCTAGGGAGCTGCAAGTCTGAATATATAAAGGGACAATGGCCAGATCATCTGTAAAAATAGAACTCTAACCAGCAACCTGCAGCAGCTAGCCCAGGAAACCCACCGATTATCTGCAGGAGCCAGCCCAGGAAGCCAGTCTGCTATTTACAAGTCAATCTCATACAGGAAGTCAGACCACCAAATCTAACAACTGGCCCAAGGAGCCAAACAATAACTCCTGTTACAATCAGTCTCACACTGCCAGGACTTGATATAACAGACAGCTTCCCTCATTTTATTGCTAATTTCCAATTAAGGACAAACCAGAGAGAACTAAATATGCACTTTCAACCAACCACATGGGACAACCTTCTTCCCTTAGCCCACCTACAGATTCCTCATCACAACAGCCTCTATCAAGGCACACCTGAAGCCTTCCCTTTCTTCCTGGATAAGGTTTTCCAACTCCTCTGCCTGGGAGTCAGAATTAGCAGCATCTTGGACAGTAGTAACTTCGACAAAAGCCATTTCAGTCTAGTATCGGGGACAGACTGGAGCAGGCTGAAGAGCAAATGGTAGATGAGGAAGCCAAGACAAATAACATAGACAAGAGTAACACAATCTAAGAATTATAGGTGATCTAGACCAGCAGTGAACATTTTTGTAAACTGCCGAATAGTATATTTTAGCCTTTGTGAGCCAGATGATTTTATTTTATTTTACTGAAATGGAGTCTCACTCTGTCACCCAGGCTGGAGTGCAGTGGCACAATTTTGGCTCACTGCAACCTCCACCTCCCAGGTTCAAGCGGTTCTCCTGCCTCAGCCTCCTGAGTAGCTGGGACTACAAGTGCACACCACCACACCTGGCTAGTTTTTTGTATTTTTAGTAGAGATAGGTTTCGCCATGTTGGCCAGGCTGGTCTTGAACTCCTGGACTCAAGTGATCTGCCTGCCTCAGCCTCCCAAAGTGCTGGGATTACAGGCATGAGCCACCGCTCCCGGCCCCAGATGATTTTTTAAATGTAGGTTTAATTATTATTAATGTATGGTGAAGCCAACAAGCCATTGAATGAGATGATTGCCATTGAAAAGATAGTTTGTTACAGTTCCCAAGAGGAGGGGCACATCATGCAATTGAGGGAGGTCACACTGTGAAGTATCAGGGTTGGTCAGGAGGCCGAAGAAGTGAAGGGAAAACGTGGGCAGGAGCCTCTGTGTGTGTGTGTGTGGTTTCATAGGAATGGGCAAGTTAAGGTAAACAGGCTTAGGACAAGCTGGTTTGAGTAATTTCAGTGGGCTCTGGGGCACAGTGACTATCCCTAGTTGTCTGGTGCCTGGCCCTGGGGTGATTAGGGCAGGTGGATAGTGGTCCAAGTCTGAGAGCCCAACAAAGGAGGTGGTTGGGTATGGGTTTCAGATGGGTTGATTTGCATTAGAAAGCAGCATTCCTGGACAGAGTTGTTTGCTATCTCTAGGAATTAGCTAACTCTGAGGGGGCAGTCCCTTCCAGTGTCCGCAGAGCCCCATATGTCAAAGCCTCAGAATAAAAAAAAGAAAAACATGCTTAATACAGATGTTCTCTGTTGCAGCTACTTAACTCTGCTGTTGAAGTATGAAAGCAGCCATAGACAATATATAAATGAATGGCTATGGCTGGGCCCCAGTAAAATTTTATTGACAAAAACAGGTGGCAGGCCAGGTTTTTCATGCAGGCTGCAGTTGCTGACCCGTGTGTAGATGAAGGAATCATTACAATTAGAACCCGTGCAGTAATCAAAGGCTTCCCTAAAGAAAATGTTTTAGAGCTGAAAAAGAAACCCTTAGATAAATCAAAAATTTAACTCTGTTGTACACCAAATCAATGAAGAAGTATTCATACTCCAACACATACAGGGAAATAGCTTAAAGTAGGAAAATGAAGCAAATTCTTAAAGTATGCAAAATTAGTGTCTATAATAATGAGAAAAGACAATCAGGCTGAACCCAAACTTGTCACTGAGATTAAACATTAGAAAGTAATAAAGCAGTGTTTATTGAGTTTTGAAGGGAAATGGTATCAGTTATCTATTGCTGTGTAACAAACTACCCCTAAACTTAGTGGCTTAAAACAACAATTACTTCTTTTTCATCATTATATAGGTTGGCTGGGCTCAGCTGGTGGTTCTTCTGCATCCTGTGTTATCTGTTGGAGTCACTGACATGGCTGCATTCAGCTAGAAACTCAGCTAGGGTTGGATCATCCAAGATGGCTAGAGCCTCAACTAGGGTAATCAGATGGCAGAAAGCTGTCTAGGATTCTCTCTCCCTACTTGGTATCTTATCATGCAGCAGCCTTTCCCAAGATTATTTACATCGTTTTGGATCCTATGATGAGAAAAATTGGGGTATCCAAAGCTTTAAAGTCCCAAGGCAAAAAAGTCTCACAGCATCATTTTTGCCATATTCTCTCAGCCAAAGCAATTCAGAAAATGAGACTAGATTCAAATAGAGGGGAAATAAACCAACCTCTTCATGAGAAAAGTGATAGATGTCCATATACCAGGATGGGAAAAACTGTCAGGGGCCATTTTTGTAGATAATCTACCACAGAAAACAAAATTCCATACACATCTGTGTATAAAGAGATAAGAAAAACTTTTTCAGAAACACGTATGCTTAGAAAACTTATGATCTTTATGTTCTTCTTGAAAAAAGTATTTTGTTATGTTCTTTCTATTCTGATGAAAAGGTATATCATTAAGAATGGCAAAGACAAGATATGAAAGACGGGGGAGTAGATATTTAAACAAGTTTAAATAAATAATTAAATCTAAGTAATTGTTATAAATAGAATTGAAATTTGTAGATACAAAATAATTCTTGAAAGACAACTCATATAGTCTAAAAATAATGATTCACTAATCCAAATATCTGTTTTAAAGTTTAGAGTGTATAAACAAATACTAGAGAAAGAAGAGGGAGGCTGGGCATAGGCTGTGAGTAGGGAACTGGGAAGCATGATAAATTCCATGTTGACACAGGCAGAGCCATGTATTTTTTATCCTGGTAGTTAAGGTAGGCAGTTTTTAGGTAAATTAAAGATAACCGGTACTCTATTTTCCACCCCCTAAAACTGCTCCCATCTCAATAAAGGGACCCACATTTCAGCCAGGCACTCAGCAGAAAGCCTAAATCCATGTGTGATCTCTCTTTTCCTCCCCTTTATGGGACTTCTGCAACGTGCCCTGAAGCCTTATCCTCTGAAACATTTGCAGGAAAGGTTTAGTGTATGTCTTAGTCTGTTTTGTGTTGCTATAACAGAATACCTGAGATTGGGTAATTTATAATGAACAGAAATTTATTTCTTACAGCTCTGGAGGCTGAGAAGTCCAAGGTCAAGGGGCTGGGATCTGGCAAGGGCCTTCTTGCTGCATCATCACATGGCAGAAGGTGGAAGGGCAAAAGAGAACAAGATGGGGCAAACTCACCCTTTTATAAAGGCCTCTATCCCGCCTTGAGCCCTCATGGCCTAATTATCTCTTAAAGGTCCCACCTTTAATACTGTTGCAGTAGCAATCAAATGTCAACATGAGTTTTGGAGAGGACAAACATTCAAACCATAACAAAGTGTAAACACATACCCACATGCATATATACATGCACGGACACATTTTTTTTAACACCACTATCTCATTATAACTTCTTATTTTAAACATTCTCAAAGGAGGCAATATATTTTCAGCTAATGTAAGCAAATATTTGGTACTTTAAGTCACCCTACAAGTTTAATAAATTTATTGATAGCTAAATTCAACTAAAGTATAATCCAAATTGTATTCAAATGTACTACAGGAGGGATATGTAAAATAGCTTGCCCAGTGGGTCCTACCTTCAAAGCTTACCTTGAATTCACCCACTCCATTCCATCTCTAACCCTCTACCTAATCAATCTACCATCCCTTGCCTGGGGACTGCAAGTCTACCTCTTTGGTAGACTTCTCCTTCTACCATTCATTGCCCATCTCCTCCCTGCTATCCTTTCTCCCTACAGCCTTCTTTGTGGCTACTTTTAAACATACAAAGCTGATTGAGCTGTTCCTTGCTGGAACCCTCCCTGAGGACTCTCCCTAAGCCTCTAGCTGCAGCCCCAGTGGGCTTCTTCATATTCCTTGACACCCACCTGAAGGCCTTGTCTTTGGCTGTTCCTTCTGCCTAGACTGGAATATTTCTCAGGTACTCATCTGTCTGCATCCTTGTTGTCATCTATCTCAGCTTAAGCATAACCTTCTCAGGGAGGTCTTCTCTGATAGCCCAAATTAAGTCAGCCCCCAGCCACTCTTCCTCACACTATTCTGTTTGTTTTATTCATGGTATGCATCATGCCCTGCCTATCTTCATATTTAATTGTTCACGTGTTTATTGTCTGCCCCCCGTTGGATGATAAGTACATTGAAGGAAAGATTTGATCTGTTTCATCACATATCCACAGTACCAAGGACAGTGCCTTGCCACCCCTTAGGTAATCAAAAGTTCTATATTTAAAAAAGAAATGACTCCAGGCTCAGTGGCTCACACCTGTAATCTCAGCACTTTGGGAGGCCGAGATGGGTGGATCATGAGGTCAAGAGATTGAGACTAGCCTGGCCAACATGGTGAAACCCCGACTCTATTAAAAATACAAAAATTAGCTGGGCATGGTGGTGCGAACCTGTACTCCCAGCTATTCGAGAGGCTGAGGCAGGAAAATCACTTGAACCCAGGAGGCGGAGGTTGCAGTGAACCAAGATCGCACCACTCCACTCCACTCCACTCCAGTCTGGTGACAGAGTGAGACTCTGTCAAAAAGAAAAAAAAAAAAAAAGAAGCACTATGTTTAAAACAACAAATATACTTTCCAAATGACTGGAGAATATATAAGGAAATAGAGCACAGTCAGTTTTACCAAAAACACAGAACTTAGGAATTGGCAGGGTTTCATAAAACCCAGAAAGCATAAAACAAGATGGCAGAAATTAAACCAAATTCATTAGTTGGGTTTAAAACAAAATCCAATCGTGGTATATGTCGCTTTAAATGTACTCTTTCAAAATAAAATGATGCAGAGAGACTTAAAACAAAGGGTGGACAAAAATTTACTACATGGACACAAAGACAAAGAAAGCAGGGATCGTGATATGAATTTCAGTCAAAGAATAGATCAAGGGAAACACATTGAATGGGGCAAAGGAGTTTTATTACACCAATAACTATGTAGTCCATGGCAACGTGACAGTACACATACATATTTATGTACTGTGTAACACAGCATGAAAATGCTGGAATAAGAGCAGTTGAAAGTCAAAGAAAAATGTCAGAATTTTGATTGAAATGGAAGATGTTAATACACCCATCCTAAATCCATTTTCTTCACAAAGATGGGTAGGGGAGAAGGCAGAATATAGTCTAGAAGACTGTTTGGAAGATGAAATAATAAAGTAAATGACATAAAGACTTAGAATAAATATGCAAGATGAATGAACGTTTAATTATTGCTCATGTTCACATGTTAAAATTGTTAAAAAATAAACAATTTTTTAACAGCTACTACATGCTCAGCCTAGAACTAGATTATGGGGCTTGCTTAATATGCCTTTTGTTCAGATAACTATGGAGATTTTTTTTCAAAATTGGTCATACACTAGATCACAAAGAAAGCCCCAATTAATTTCCAAAAAAAAAAAAAAAAAGCAGAAATTGAACAAGCTACATTTCTTCACCACAATGCAATAAACCTGGAAACTAATAACAAAAATTTAAAGAGCAACAACAAGGAAATCTCAACCCTTGGAAATTTTTAAGTGATTTAAATACTAAAGTCAAAGAGGATATCAAAATCTTAAGTAATTATATACAAGATTGCCTTCACACTTGTGTTTTCAATTCTCTCACCAGAGCGACTCCATCTTGAAAACGGGATGGGTAAAATAAGGCTGAGACCTACTGGGTGACATGCCCAGGAGTTTAAGGCATTCTTAGTCACAGGATGAGACAGGAGGTCAGCAGAAGATACAGGTCACAAAGACCTTGCTGATAAAACAGCATGTGGTAAGGAAGCACGCCAGATCCCACCAAAACTGAGATGGGGATGAAAGTGACCTCTGGTTGTCCTCATCGCTTTTTATATGCTAATTATAATACATTAGCATGCTAAAAGACACTCCCACAAGCTCCATTAAAGTTTACAGATGTCATGGTAACATCTGGAAGCTACCCTATATGAACTAAAAAGGGGAGGAAACCTCAGCTCCAGGAATTGCCTATTGCTTTCCAGGAAAACTCATGAATAATCCATTCCTTGTTTAGCATATAATCAGGAAGTAACAATAAGCATAAGCAGCTGAGTAGCCTAAGCGGCTACTAAGAAACTTTGCTTTTACTTTACTCTATGGATTTGCCTCCAATTTTTTCTTGCATGACAGCCAAGAGCCCTCTCTTGGGACCTGGATCGGGATCCCTTTCCGGTAATGCTTTTTCTTCAGATTAACTAAGGATTCATATAATATTTTAAATATTTAAATAATTCATAAACATGCAACTTGAAAAGTTAAGGGCCCATGCCAGGCACAGTGGCTCATGCCTGTAATCCCAACACTGTGGGAGGTCAAGGGAGGCGGATTACTCGAGCCCAGGATTTTGAGACCAGCCTGGGCAATATGGTGAAACCCCGTCTCTACAAAAAATACAAAAATTAGCCAGGCATGTTGGTGCTCGCCTGTAGTCCCAGCTACTTGGGAGGCTGAGGTAAGAGGATCACTTAAGCCTGGGTGGTGGATGTTGCAATGAGCCAAAATTGTACCACTGCACTCCAGCCTGGGTGACTGAGAAAGACTGTCTCCAAAAGAAAAAAAAAATGTTAAGGGCCCAGTAATCCCACACTCCAGGGATAATCACTGACTCCTTTCTTTGAGATTCTGAAACAAAGATATAAGTTAAAAAGTAGAAAGAATGTATCTTTTTCAATGTCCCTTCCTTCTTAGAAACTCCTCTCTCTTGTGAACCATATCTTTGGAGAGGGAGATGCAGTTATATAAGCACTGTTTAGGTAATTTCTAATACATGGAAATAGTTAAGTATCTTCTGATATTCTCTACTGTCTTCTGGGGTAGCTATGCTATGGTGCTTGAGCAGGGTAATGTTACCCAGTATCAGCAGCCACCAACAAAAAAGAATTGCCATAATGATTATGATGATGATTTTATAGCGCAGGGTCCAGAGTAAAAAATTGCACTTTTCAAATCATTTACACATGACACTCACTTCTACCTGTTCTGCTCAGCAGAGAGGAGAGGAGAGGAGAGAAACAAATTGCTGAGTTGCCAGCTCTGGGCAATGCTTCCAGAACCAACAGTGCTTGGTTTACTTTAAAGGGGAAATAACTTCATTAGAAATGACATTTTCTTGGCTAGCTGGTCCCCAAGCCTGCAAAAGTGCCCCATGAGCACTTGTGCTCTCTGCAGCTGACTGAAGCGGCCACTTGAGTCTCTTGGGACCCTCAGATGGGAGGTCAAATCTGCCAAAAATGAGATAAGTCCATGTGTCCTCACGGGTTTTCTTTGATGAGTATCTCTGTTATAAGTGCAGCCTCCCCAGCACTCTCTCTTCCTCTTCCTGGTTTAGCTTGAATACTGTGGCTTGACTACCACACATTCACCTTGTTTGTCTGGTTTATTGCCTCTCCCTCCCGATTAGATTGTGAGTTCAGAGAGAACAAGGGGATTTTTCTGTTTAGCTCACTGCTGTAGCTCCAGTGCCTATGACAGTGCTTGGCGCATAGTAGGTACTCAATAAACACTTTTGAATAAATAACCCCCGAATTCATTTCTATGGTAAAAGATGTTTTCCTGGGGAAGGGCAGAGCAAAATGGCCCCCAAGTTCTGGAAAAGACTGAGATTCTAGGACCATCCATGCATGGAGCAATGTGGGCAGAGGAAGCATGTTTTCAAGAGAGTGGGTGGAAGGGGAGAAAGGAAAACTTGACAGGAAGAAAGGAGCAGAGGCCGGGTGTCTTCAGCACTTACCTGGCACCCTTTATCTATAAAACCGGGTCCCTCTGCAGCTGAAAAAGGAAGAGAAGAGAGAGGGACATGGGGCCAGGTCTACCTGTCTGTCCACTTCTCCCTTTTGCCCATGTATCCAACCTCTTAGGAATTGCTGTCAGCTCAACCTTCAAAATAATTAAGAATCCAACTACCTCTCTCCACCACCCCTGCTCTGAGCCTGCTACCAGCCACCATCTCTAGCCTGAACTATTTCAATCGCCTCCTCGCTTATTTCCACCTCTGCCCGGACAGTGGGCTCTCCAAACAGCATTAGACTGAGCTCTCAGCAATAACAGATCAGGTTATCCTCTGCTCAAACCCTTACGGCTCAAATCCCACCTTCCCTGAGGACTACTCTGACCACACTTTCATGCGCGTCTGTGTGAAGAGACCACCAAACAGGCTTTGTGTGAGCAACATGGCTGTTTATTTCACCTGGGTGCAGGTGGGCTGAGTCCAAAAAGAGAGTCAGCAAAGAGTGGTGGATTATTATTAGTTCTTATAGGTTTTGGGTTAGGCAGTGAAGTTAAGAGCAATGTTTTGTGGGCGGGGTGGATCTCACAAAGTACATTCTCAAGGGTGGGGAGAATTACAAAGAACCTTCTTAAGGGTGGGGGAGATTACAAAGTACATTGATTAGTTAGGGTGGGGCGGGAACAAATCACAATGGTGGAATGTCATCAGTTAAGGCTATGTTTACTTCTTTTGTGGATCTTCAGTTACTTCAGGCCACGTGGATGTATACGTGCAAGTCACAGGGGATGCGATGGCTTGGCTTGGGCTCAGAGGCCTGACATTCCTGCCTTCTTATATTAATAAGAAAAATAAAACAAAATAGTGTTGAAGTCTTGGGGCGGTGAAAATTTGTGGGGGTTGGTGTGGAGAGAGAATGGGCGATGTTTCTCAGGGCTGCTTCGAGCGGGATTAGGGGTGGCGTGGGAACCTAGAGTGGGAGAGATTAAGCTGAAGGAAGATTTTGTGGTAAGGGGTGATATTGTGGGGTTGTTAGAAGAAACATTTGTTGTGTAGAATTATTGGTGATGGCCTGGATATGGTTTTGTATGAATTGAAAAACTAAATGGAATAAGAGAAGGAGAAAAACAGGTATAAAAGGTCTAAGAATTGGGACGACTCAGGACATCTGATTAGAGAGTGCCTAAGGAGATTCAGCATAGCCCTGCCAGCAAAGATTATTTACTTCAAGAGTTAAGAATGGCAGTTTGGGGATAGCACGAGGCAAGCGTGATCAGGGTGAGGAACAGCAAAGAAGGAAATATGGGGAAATGGGGTGAATATCAGGTGGATCAGAGAGATACAGTCATGGGGGTCAGGTGTGGTATCAGGAATAATGTGGGAGGCCAGATTGAAGTCCGGGCCAGGAACAATGGTAATTGTGGGACTTAAAGAGTGAGTACAGCTGAAGGAGCCGGGGAGCAGAAAGTATATGTGTCAGGTATGAGGAAGAAAATAGATTTTGGAAGTTATGAGAAATGTAGAGAGTGAGTTGAGCATAGTTTGTGATTTTTAGGGCCTCTAACGGTATTAAAGCAGCGGCAGCCGCTGCACGCAGACATGAGGGCTAGGCTAAAACAGTAAGGTCAAGTTGTTTGGACAGAAAGGCTACACGGTGTGGTCCTGGCTCTTGTGTAAGAATTCTGACCGCACTAACCATGCCTAGGAAGGAAAGGAGTTGTTCTTTTGTAAGGGATTGAGGTTTGGGAGATTAATCGGACATGATCAGCAGGAAGAGCACATGTGTTTCTATGAGAATTATGCCGAGATAGGTAACAGATGAGGATGAAATTTGGGCTTGACTGAAGTAATGGGGGCTGTCCGCGAAGCCTTGCGGCAGTACAGCCCAGGTAATTTACTGAGCCTAATGGGTGTCAGGGTCAGTCTAAGTGAAGGCAAAGAGAGGCTGGGATGAAGGGTGCAAAGGAATAGTAAAGAAAGCATGTTTGAGATCCAGAACAGAATAATGGGTAGTAGAGGGAGGTATTGAGGATAGGAGAGTATATGGGTTTGGCACCACAGGGTGGATAGGCAAAACAATTTGGTTGATAAGGTGCAGATTCTGAACTAACTTGTAAGCCTTGCCTGGTTTTAGGACAGGTGAAATGGGGGAATGGTAAGGAGAGTTTATAGGTGCCCATGCTGTAGCAGGCGAGTGATAACAGGCTTTAATCCTTTTAAAGCATGCTGTGGGATAGGATATTGGCGTTGAGCGGGGTAAGGGTGATTCAGTTTTAATGAGATGGTAAGGGGTGCGTGATCAGTCACCAAGGAGGGAGTAGAGGTCTCTTATACTTGTGGGTTAAGGTGGGGGAATACAAGAGGAGGACGCAAAGGAGGCTTTGGATTGGGAAGAAGGGCAGCAATGAGATGCGGCTGTAGTCCAGGAATAGTCAGGGAAGCAGATAATTTGGTTAAAATATCTCGGCCTAATAAGGGAAGTGGGCAGGTGGAGATAACTAAAAAAGAGTGCTTAAAAGAGTGTTGTCTAAGTTGGCACCAGAGTTGGGGAGTTTTAAGAGGTTTAGAAGCCTGGCTGTCAATACCCACAACAGTTATGGAGGCAAGGGAAACAGGCCCTTGAAAAGAAGGTAATGTGGAGTGGGTAGCCTCCATATTGATTAAGAAGGGGACGGACTTACCTTCCACTCTGAGAGTTACCCAAAGCTCGGCGTCCGTGATGGCCTACGGGGCTTCCGAGGCGATCGGGCAGCATCAGTCTTCAGCCGCTAAGCCGAGAAGGAGTCAGTCAGAGAGCCTCGGGCCAGAGTTCCAGGGGCTCGGGGAGTGGCTGCCAGGTGAGTTGAACAGTCTAATTTCCAGTGGGGTCCCGCACAGATGGGACACGGCTTAGGAGGAATCCTGGGCTGCAGGCATTCCTTGCCCTGGTGGTCAGATTTCTGGCACTTGTAGCAAGCTCCTGGGGGAGGAGGTTCTAGAAGAACGCCTGGCCGCTGCGGTTCAGGCATTTGGAAGTTCTTGTATGCTGGAGATGTGGCTGGGGTTTGTCTCACAGTGGAGCCAAGGAATTGCAACTTTTTTCTATTATTGTACACCTTGAAGGCGAGGTTAATTAAATCCTGTTGTGGGGTTTGAGGGCCGGAATTTAATTTTTGGAGTTTTATTTAATGTCGGGAGCAGATCGGGTAATAAAATGTATATTGAGAATAAGATGGCCTTTTGACCTTTTAGGGTCTAGGGCTGTAAAGCGTCTCAGGGTTGCTGCCGAACGAGCCATGAACTGGGCTGGGTTTTTATATTTGATGAAAAAGAGCCTAAACGCTATGTGATTTGGGATAATGAAAAAGGAGCATTAACCCTGACTATGCCTTTGGCTCCAGCCACCTTTTTAAGAGTAAACTGCTGGGCAGGTGGGGGAGGGCTAGTCACAGAATGAAACTATAAGTCGGACCAGGTGTGGGATGAAGGGAGGGGAGGCGCGGAGGCTGAGGAAGAATTGGGACCTAGCTTGGGCTGGCGCGGAGGGGAGAGGTCAGATGGGTCTGTAGAAGAGGAAGATTAGAAAGACTCAGCGCCGCTTGGGGTTGGGACTGAGGGGACAGGAGGGAGGGAAAGAAGGAAGATTTGGGACGAGTTGCACGGGGCACAGAGACTAGGAAGGGACTGATGTGTAAAAGAATGCCTGGACGTCAGGCACCTCAGACCATTTGCCCATTTTACGACAAGAATTATTTAGATCTTGTAGGATGGAAAAATTGAAAGCGCCGTTTTCCAGCTATTTGGAACTACTGTCGAGTTTGTATTGGGGTCAAGCGGCATTGCAGAAGAAAATAAGGCATTTAGGTTTTAGGTCAGGTGTGAGTTGAAGAGGTTTTAAGTTTTTGAGAACACAGGCTAAGGGAGAACAAGGAGGAATGGAAGGTGGAAGCCTACCCATAGTGAAGGAGGCAAGCCCAGAGAAAAGAGTAGAGACATGGAGAAGGGGTGGGGAGTTCTTGCCCTCCAGAAAAGCAGAGAAAGGGTTGGGGCACGGAAATAAGGGATTGGGGCACAGAGATAAGAGGTTGGGGTGCGGAAATAAGCGATTGGGAGGTTCTTGCCCCTAGGAAAGCGGGACTTGCCGCTAAGGGTGAAGGAGAAGGGGTTGAGGGGTACTTGCCCCTGCCCCAGGAAAGGCAGAGAAGGGGTAGAGACAAGGAGAGAAGGGGTTGGGGTACTTGCCCCTTCCCCAGAAAAGCAGGACTTGCCGCTAAGGGTGAAGGACCAAGGCAGGCGTCCCTGCGTGGTCTGACACCCTTGAAACGTGGGTGTATAATCACAGAGGCATCCCTGCAATGATTAAACACCAAGGGAAGGCTGCCTTCCCAGTCCGTGACCGGCGCCGGAGTTTTGGGTCCACGGATAAAACGTGTCTCTTTTGTCTCTACCAGAAAATGAAAGGAATTGAAATTAAGAGAAGGGAGAGATTGAAGTGTAGCGCCAAGATTGAAAGGAGAAAGAGGTTGAGGGATAGTGAGGCAAGTTGGAGAAGAGAGTAAAAAGAGGCCGCTTACTGGATTTGAAATTGGTGAGATGTTTCTTGGGCTGGTCGGTCCTGAGGTCGTAGGTGGATCTTTCTCACAGAGCAAAGAGCAGGAGGACAGGGGATTGATCTCCCAAGGGAGGTCCCCCAATCTGAGTCACGACACCAAATTTCATGCGCGTCCGTGTGAAGAGACCACCAAACAGGCTTTGTGTGAGCAACATGGCTGTTTATTTCACCTGGGTGCAGGTGGGCTGAGTCCAAACAGAGAGTCAGCAAAGAGTGGTGGATTATTATTAGTTCTTATAGGTTTTGAGATAGGCGGTGAAGTTAAGAGCAATGTTTTGTGGGCAGGGGTGGATCTCACAAAGTACATTCTCAAGGGTGGGGAGAATTACAAAGAACCTTCTTAAGGGTGGGGGAGATTACAAAGTACATTGATTAGTTAGGGTGGGGCGGGAACAAATCACAATGGTGGAATGTCATCAGTTAAGGCTATGTTTACTTCTTTTGTGGATCTTCAGTTACTTCAGACCATCTGGATGTATACGTGCAAGTCACAGGGGATGCGATGGCTTGGCTTGGGCTCAGAGGCCTGACACACACCATCTATTTAATTCTGTGACCTGCTCCAGACACAAGCACTCTGGGCCCCCATATTCTTTTTCTTGTTTTCCCTATCACCGACCTCTTCCAACACCCCAAATAATTTACTTAGGGATGGCCATGGTTTACCCTCTGTCTCCCACTTCTTCCCCGCAGGCCTTCAGCTCCCCCAGGTGAGGGAGACCTTTGCTTTGTTCACCGACATATCCCAAGCATTAGAACTGCGCCTGGCACCAGCAGGTGTTCAATTATTTATTTAATGGGTGACTTGGAGCAGAAACCGAAGTGCAGTGGACTGTTTTCCTGGGATCTGAGCTGATGATAAATGATAAATAAGTCTTGGGATTTTAGAAGGCAGGAATCACGAAAACCAACACCAATGAAATCCAAGTCTCCTCTGCTACTATCTGAAGTGGAACAGAACAGAAATAAGGTCTGTTTTCTTTCCGCTTCGCTGTTCTGTTTCTGTCCAAAACAACCGTCTCTCTGACACCTTCGAGGTGTCCCTTTGTCTCTTTGAGGTTCCCTCCGTGACACTGGCTACTTTGTAACTCTAACACTGTCAGCAATTAATTCCCAAAGGTGAGGTCCCCGTGGGAAGTGGGAAAACCCAGCGAATCACCAGGGACCCGCCTGATTCCGAAAAGGCTGGATGCTGGCTGGGAACCGGCCCCGCAGCTCCGGCGTCCCCGCCTGCCTGCGCGGCCTTCAGCTGGGGTTACGGAGGGCTCCCAGCGCCGATCCAAACCGCGTTCCAGGCGGGGTGGGCGGGCCCCTGGCCAGCGAGGCCGAAGCAAAACAACCCGCCCAGGCGTCCAGAGCGTATCCAACCCTGGAGAACCTGCCCCGGAACCAAGAGCCGCAGCCAGCTCAGGCCTCTCGAGTGGGGCCTTTCCAGCCCCTGCAACAGATCCCGGGATCTGTAGTTGGGCGGAGGGGCTCGTTATGGGAAAGGGGTGCGTGCGCGTTTGTGCTAAAACAAGAAAGGCAAGAATCTCCGAGAACAAAACTCTGGTCCTCGCCTGGCCGGGGACCGCAGAAGACAGGGGCGGCAGCGCCAAGGCGGGTCAGGGGCCGGTCCAGCCAAGTTTGCTCCGGCTTAGATAAACTTTCTGATGGCAGTTTTTCCTGGTTGCAGCCTGGGTTCCTTGTAACAGGGTAAGCGTAGCGGGTGGTTGTCAAGAGGGGCGGAGGCTGGCGGTTACAGGGAATGGAGGGATGGGCCGGACCTGGGGTCGCGCAGGCGCCTTGGTCGCTGCCTCCGATCCGATCACCCCCGCCCCATCTCCTCTGCGAGCTCAGGAAGGTGGCTGGGGGAGGGGGATGGCTCCCTACTGCCGAGGGACGGCCCGAGGCAAACACAAAGCCCTTCCCTCCCCTCCTCCTCTTTCCTCTCCTCTCCCCTCCCCTCCCCTCCTTTCTCCCCCTTCCTCCTCTTCCTCCTCCTCCTCTTGCTCCTCCCGGGCGGGGAAACCCAGCCCCGCGCTCGTCTTTGGGGCCACCGGTCGCCCCCGCCTCCGGGACCTGCGGGGAGGGCCCGCGAGAGGTAAGGGGCGGTGGCAGCGGAGACCCCACCCCCTGTGCCCGCACCTAGAGAGCCCGGAGAGGCTCCGGGCACGGGCGGGGCTCTCTGGGGTTCCAGACGTGGGTGCTGCTGTGCGCACTCTCTCCCTACTCCGGAGGGGACTTGAGGAAGACAGCCAGAGCGCGTCCTCGGGGATCGTGGGGAACGGAAGGGGGAAGGGGGATCAGGGAGTGGGGACAAGGGGCAGAGTGACATTCCGGAGCGCGAGGTGGCCGCTGGTCCCGGCAGGGTCACCGGGTGTCCTCAGCTGACCTGTGCGGGGCTGGGGTGAGGGACAGCTGGAGGGTGCAGGCACTATGGCTCGAGGTGCGGAGGTGCGGGTGTGCGTGCGTGTGCACCGGACGGAGTTTGGTAGGGACCTTTGAGGAGTTCTACCTGCAGGGCTGCCTGTGGGGTGTCAAGTGCTCCCTGCGCCTGAGCGCGCGGGTCAGACCCGGTGTCGCACAGCTTTGATCCCCAGCGCGGACCCCACTGGTGAGTCCAGCCAGTGTGCAGGGCAGATGCTCCGACCGGAGATTTCCTCCCCCGGGTGGAAAAGCAGGAGGGTTGTTGTGTCCGGGCAGGGGGCACTTGGGCTGTCGCGGTGATTGATGGCTGCGCAGCGGGCGGAGGAGGAGCCCCGGATTCCTGCCGGGAAGGGACGGGGCCACTTTCCCACTTTGAGGCCTCCCCGCCCCCTTCTGGGCTTGGCCTCCACCCTTGGCCTGGGCTCCCACCAGCTCGGCGTCCACCCACCGGCGGTGGCGCGCCCCTCGACCGCGCGGGGACAGCAGGATTTGCAGAAGTTCAGCTTGAAAGCCTATGATATGTTGCCAAGAAATACAGGGCAAGATCGGTCCCCTGGGCCCTGAGAGGCGCCTGTCTTCTCAGAGCTCTTAAATCCCTGGGGCTTTCCTAATTCCGCAGTGTAGCGGCACTTCCTTGCGCGGTTTTGGGCACATTGGGGTTTCTTAGGAACACGCTGTCATCGGTAAGGAAACATCAGAGTACTCTTCGACCAAAAGGACTGTAAATACTGAAGCAAAAAGAAACACTTGCTGGGAGTGCAAAGGGCTTACTGGGAAAAAAGAAACACACAGGGCAGCACTCCATCATTAAGATAAATAGTATTTTAATACAATCTTTTTAACAAAACCAAATTGAATGTAAAAAATTCATGATAAGCAAAAATCAACATTTTAAATACAGGTGGGTGTTGTTAGAACCCTGCTTCATAGGCCGGGTGCAGTGGCTTATGCCTGTAATCCCAGCACTTAGGGAGGCCAAGGCAGGCAGATCACTTGAGGTCAGGAGTTCAAGACCAGCCTGGCCAACAGGGTGAAACCCCATCTCTACTAAAAATACAAAAATTAGCTGGGCCTGAAGGCATGTGCCTGTGGTCCCAGCTACTCGGGAGGCTGAGGTGGGAGAATCACTTGAACCTGGGGGCAGAGGTTGCAGTAAGCCGACATTGTGCCACTCCACTCAGCCTGGGTGACAGAGTGAAACTCTGTCTAAAAAAAAAGAACCCTGCTTCATTGTTCAATGGGAACAGTCATATCCAGTCTCCCTCCCCCACCTCCCCATTTGTTTGTTCCCTTGCCTGGTGGTTTGAGAGTTGACAGTGGCATGCAACAGATTGAGCAACTCTGGCTTCAGATGTAGTCACGTTCACTGAATGCAGAGCTTTTATTAACTTTTTACCTAATTCAAATGTAGGAGGATATTGTCATAAGTGGATATAGAGGTGCTAATTTTCCTTTTTGCCTCAGGTTCCAATATTGCCTCTGGAATACTCATGCACTCCCGTGCTTTGGCACCTCCAGAGAGAGCATCACAGGCTAGGGATGGGTAGGGTCCCGGGACAGTGAAGGGCCCTTGCTTTTGGAACTTGGGAAGAAGGCTGTTGACAGGAGCTTTTGGGTTTGGAGACTTGCTCTCAGTAGTTGGAGGCTGGAGACACGGGGAAAACCAACCTGCTATCAAGACCTTTGTCTGGAAACATTCTCCTGCAGACAGTTCATCAGAGCAGAGGAGGAAACTGAAATAGCCCACACTTGACCTCTAGTGTAGGGCAGGTGGGAGGGAGCTTGACTCCCAGGATGGCTATGGCGTGTGCTTATTTAAAGATAACTTCGCAGCAGCACTCTTATCCCCACCCAAGGTGTCCTGCCATACACCTTATCCAAAGTCAAGGGTCACTACCCACTTCAGGACTTCCACTTTCCAGAAAGAACCTCCTTGCTTAGCTAAACCCTCTTCCTCTGCTTGGAGGACACAGATGAATCAGGTATCACAGATGAAACACAGGGTATGCTACCCTGAGAGGTCCATGCTCGTGTGACCCATTAATGGGAGGCCCATTCTTCACATACTCTCTGTATTATAGTGCTTTGACCTTGTGCCCAATTCCCCTTGTATATCCAACCTACCTAATGAACCTTCAAGAATCCTAATAGTTTCAGCAAGAAAGATTTCCCCGACCCTGTCCTCCTTTCCCCAGTAAGACACCCCCTCACTGCCACCAGAATTCCTTGTGTGTGTGTATGTGTATGTATCTCTTAAAGCAATACAGTGGACCTCACTTGCCCACTGTCTGTAAGCTTCCCAGGGTCCAAAACCAGGCCATAGCCCTTAAGACCTACCACTCAAGGAGGGGGTGTTGAATGAATGAATGAACAAAAGTGTCCCTTTGTCAAGGCATTTTGAGAAGTTGCACAGCAAGAAGTATACCCTCAGGACTGTAATGCCTCTGAAGAAAGCAGGTAACATTTTTGTAGCACATTATAAAATGGATTTACAAATAGTATCTCAGTCGTTTCTCACAACAGTAGTATTCATTGCATTTTGTAGGTGAGGAAATGAAAGCCTAAAATTAGTCTGTCATTCTGCCGCAGCACAGTGGACTTGCTAAAGGCGAACCTGCCCAGAGGCACACTCCATGCAGTGTATGTACAGAGCAGGATTCACCGAGTTGTGTTTTAGGATGCAGTTTTGCTAAACAATCACTAATGAGTTACAGTGATAAAATATGTTAGGGAAATGCTAATGTTGTCTGTTTTTTTATGGCAGGACTTTAAGGAGTCTTTATTGTTATACCATACATTGGGACTCTTTAGAATGACACCATAGTATGGGATGCTTGCCAACTTTATTTGGCCACAGAACACTCTTTCTCATGAAGTATCTTCTGGATCCAGTGTTCCAAGGAATTCACCTAGGGAATTGTTTAGTTCTCCCAAAATCTTATAATGTCTAGGCCAACTTCCAAGGAATGTTGATTCCATCTAATATGTGGTATTTTGGATAGTAAAAATGTATATTCTGGACACTAGAAAAGCATAATAATCCACCCTTGTCAATTTAGAGTGGATTGTTGATCTGTGTATCCAATTAACTCAAGTAGCTTCCATGCATCCGATTAATATGAATAGGTTCTTTGGGTTTGATCAGATATGATCTGAGGGAACCCCAGCCTCTGGAGAGCACTGCCTTTTTGCTGCCCAGAAGCCTTCAGATTTCAACCAGCCTTTCCAACTCTGAGAATCCCCTCAAACGCAGCTCTGTAGATGGGGTGGCAACTTCAGGGTTCTTGTCCTGAGATCACTATTTCATCTTGGCTAGTTACATCCATTGAGTGAGAAAGTACACCTGCTCAGTGAATTTTCTGTTCTCTCATTCCTCTCTCCTTGGGTGCTGGCCAAGTGAATTCTCTAGGGTGTCTAAGTGTGTGTGGACATTTGCTTATGAAAAGTAAGTAAATGTCACTCTCTGGGTGTCTCAGACCTGGAACAGAAGCCTGCTAACAGCAATCCCTCCTCATAGGAGCTGCAGCCCCCGTTCACAAGCAACCATTGTTTGAAATCAGGTATTTTTAAATCAGAGTTTGCCTTCAATCTACTGTTAGAGCACCTTCCACAGACCAGTAACCTCAGCTATTGAGGCTTTATTGCAATTAAGGAGACAAAGTGAGGAAGTTGGAGTTAGAATTTCAGGGACTCAAAGGAGAATTGTGGGCTAGTGGAGGAGCCTTCGGAAAGTGATCAAAGAGGCACAGCTGTGCAAATTTAACATTCATCTGCAGACATTTCTAGGTCTCCAATGCTGAGCAAATATATCTCAAGATTTGTTTCGTAGATTTTTCGAAAGCACAAAAAGTAACAATTCTCATTTAGAGATATGTATTAAACAGGGTGGTGTCACAGAAGTCAAGGGAAGGAGTGTTTTGAGAAAAATGGACCTATCAGATGGGGCGGGATGGGGAGTGACAAGGGGAGTTGAAGAAGATGACTAGAAGGCTGATGGGTCATTAGCCAAGCCGTGGAGTTCAAGTGTGTGTGTGAGCATGCACATGTCATCGTGCTGTGCGAACAAGGGAGAAGGTAGGGAAGAAACACTGAATGTGATTTATTTTATTTATTTATTTATTTATTTAGAGATAGAGTTTCGCTCTTGTTGCCCAGGCTGGAGTGCAGTGGTGCGATCTCGGCTCACTACAACCTCCACCTCCCGGAGTCAAGCGATTCTCCTGCCTCAGCCTCCTGAATAGCTGGGATTACAGGTGCCCGCCACCACACCTGGCTAATTTTTTGTATTTTTAGTAGAGATGGGGTTTCATGATGTTGGCCAGGCTGGTCTCGAACTCCTGACCTCGGGTAATCCACCCACCTTGGCCTCCCAAAATGCAGCAATTACAGGCGTGTGCCACCATGCACAGGCCTAAATGTGATTTTTAACCTGTTGAGTTTAAAAGTCCTGGCCAGGTGCAGTGGCTCATGCCTGTAATCCTAGCACTATGGGAGGCTGAGGTGGGCAGATCACTTGAGGTTAGGAGTTCAAGGCCAGCCTGACCAACATGGTGAAACCCTGTCTCTACTAAAAATACCAAAAAAATTAGCTGGGCCTGGTGGCAGGCCCCTGTAGTCCTCGCTACTTCAGAGGCTAAGGCAGGAGAATCCCCTGAACCCGGGAGGCAGAGGTTGCAGTGAGCCAGGATCACTCCATTGCACTCCAGCCTGGGTGACAGAGCAAGACTCTGTCTCTAAATAAATAAATAAATAAATAAGATATATATGTATATCAGCACAGAGAAGTGTGGAATGTCAGCTGAAAGTGTGAATAGAACCACACAAGTGAATACAGCCGCTAGCAAAACCACTCAATAGCATAATCACATAATGAATGAGTGAATGAATGAATGAATGATTAAATGACACTGTTTTTTGTAGCAGAAACTGTTTTTAAACTCACTAATAGTTAGGTGAAAGTTTAAACACAGTCATTTTGTGAAAGAGTCTAAGAAAATAAAATTGAATTTTTTAACGCTGTGGGTATTCCAGCCTGTGTGAGATGTCTTATTCTGGTCAAAAAGCTTTGGTTGTAAGAACCTCCATTACTAACGTTGAATGATGCTCCATGATTGAGAGCCCCTGATTCAGTTTGATGTAGGAATGGTTATAAAGGTATGCTGGTTTGTTTTAAAAACCATCCTAAGAGTGATTTAAAAGACGTTGCTGGACTTTATAGTATCCAAATGAGAAACGGATTCGGGAGGTGTTCTAATTCCTACTATGAGTGTATATCTCATTTTTATTTGATGATACCATCTGGCCAAGTGATAGTACATGGAGTATTAATACATAACCCCCCACTTGCTTAAAATTCTCAAAATTTGAGTCATTTCAAAAATCAGATTTGGAAACATTTGTATTTTTAATGAGTGAAGTCTTTTTTTAAGTAAGTTAATCCAATAAATTGGATAAAGAGACTTTTTGTTTTTTATGTACCTGATTTTATTTGGTAGATCAGGAATTCAAAATTTAAAAAAAGCTAGATTAAATAGTTAGCTAGATGAACTTTAGTTATTAAAGAAATTGTTACCGATTTTTCCCAAATACTGAACTCCCCCATTGCATTTTAACTATGGCTCGATTACAAGAATACTTTTAAAACATGAATGGAAGCAGACATCTGTCCTGTGTGGTAACTGAGGGCAGCTGTGCATGGAAACCTTTGAGTCTCGGAAAGTCAGCCAGGATCCCACACCAGGGGAAGTTGAGTGCTGAGACCAGTCACCTCGTCTATGCAGGACCTAGCAGTCCTGGGTGTGTCTGACTTCAGCACACCCATGTCCAGATAAGGGACGTGGAACCTAAACGCTCATCATCTTGCTATCCAGACTTTCCTTGCTTAAGTGCTAAATGTTTATCGCTTCAGCGATACACATTTTGTTATACAAAATCTTTAACCTTTTGCATCATCAAATGTTTGTGCTTTTTCTTAAAATTTCCTTAGTGGCTCTTCTGCATAGAAAACCTTTCCACTTCCTCAATCAATTACCTAGCCTTTTATATTTTCTTCTAATGTTTATGCTTTCAGTTTTTCAGATTACTATTTAAATTCATTTGAGATCATTTGGCAGGTGGTTTATAGAGTAGGAACAAAAGTTTATTCCTTTTTCCCCATAGTTTTCCCCTAGGTCTGGCATCATTTGGTGAATAAACCTGCCTTTCCCCAGCTCCATAACACATACAAATTCTACTAGGAAGGGCAAGTCCCACTTCACTTTCTGCGTTTTTTTTTTTTTTTTTTTTTTTTTGACAGAGTCTTGCTCTGTCTCCCAGGCAGGAGTGCAGTGGCATGATCTCAGCTCACTGCAACCTCTGCCTACCAGGTTGTACTTTTAGTAGAGACGGGGTTTCACCATGTTGGCCAGGCTGGTCTCGAACTCCTGACCTAAAGTGATCCACCTGCCTCAGCCTCCCAAAGTGCTGGGATTACAGGCGTGAGCCACCGTGCCAGGCCACTTTCTGCCCTTTTATCTTCTCCCCCACCCCCAAATCTTCTTGGCAAATTCACTTATTAATTCTTCCAGTGAAATTTTATTCCAGGGGATTTGTTTGGAATTATATTAAGCCTAATTTGGGAAGACCCGAAAGATAGTTTGGGATCCTCTTTTTCTGGGAAACCATGACATTGAATTAGAGCCAGTGGGCATTGATTGTATGTGTTCAGGCCACACATGCACACTGATCCCTGGGGTGGCTGGTGAGGAAGGCACAAACCCAGACTGGAGGAGACTGGCTTCTGGTTTCAGCTCTGCTGGGAGGTGTGGGACCTTGGCTGGCTCAAAGGTTCATTTGCACTCATGTGTGTAGGCGCTCCTTTAGGATTCCAGGCTTCAAGGACCTAGCAGCCTAGCAGGGGATACTTACACAGACTGGGAAGGGCAGGACAGTGTGGTCAGTGCTTGACTTGAGAGACAGACATACTTGTGTTGAGTTTGAACTGGAAGACCCCTAATTCAAGTTCTTTGTTGCTTTCCTTTGCAATGGTTTTTCTCCTTGATAATTTAGGGATCCCACAAAGTCAGAGGCTCTTGTCTTTTTAGAAAAGGCATTTATCCCTCTTCCTTTTATGAAGTAAGCACAGGGATCTTGGGGGTGGGATGGGGTGGGTTTAGGAGATTCCTCTGGCTCTCTGCTAGACTAATGTTGTTGAAGGAAGGTGACTTCATCCTCATGGATGGCAAGACCCTTTGGAAGGTTTCATGGCTTGTGAGAAAAGGAGGCTACAGAGGGAGGGAGGGAAGGAGGGACAGCCAGTGGGATGGACCAGGCACAGATGGGGAGAATGGTCCTCCTAGGTTGACGGAGGCGCTTTATTAGGGTGGCTTCTTCAAAGCTTCTTATCCCCTCAGTCCTGTGAGGTCTGATGTCTGAAGTGACAGTCAGACAGCTCCCTGTCCTTCCCTCATGGTGGGAGGCTGCTCCTGGCCATCTGTCATGGATGGGGCACCCACCCATCCTCTCTGTATTCCGGGATTCCTGCCTTAACAGATGGTGTGTGTTTCGTATGACAAACACTGTCTCTGGGCACACCTCATACCCTAGTTTTCCCCAATATTTGCAGCTAATGTCTTTCCCTAAACAGTTTACAGGATGACCTTAGACCACATATATGATCTAAATAATACAAATAACCTACTACACTTTAGTATCAGCTTAGGCACTCTCCCTCTTTTAAACTGTGCTTCCATGGGACGTTGGGATCAGAGGTAGAGTCATTTCAAAGAACAGGGCTAGGAAAGGGCAGATTCAAGGTTGGTTCCCAGACCACTTTCTATTCAAGGGCAATGTGGTTGCATACAGAAGGGGTACTTCATCCTTTCCTGGGCATCAGAAAAGGATTCACAATGGAAGAGATGTCTAAGCTACGGTGGATGGAATCATCAGTGTTAACTAATAACACGTGGGTTCCAGGCAGGAGCGGCAAGTACAAAGAGTGAGAAATAAGCTGGGTGTGATGGCTCACACCTGTAATCCCAGCACTTTGAGAGGCTGAGGCAGGCAGATCACTTGAAGTCAGGAGTTCAAGACCACCCTGGCCAATATGGTGAAACCCCATCTCTACTACAAATGCAAAAATTAGCTGGGCGTTGTGGCACGCACCTGCTACTCGGGAGATTGAGGCAAGAGAATTGCTTGAACCCGGGAGGCGGAGGTTGCAGTGAGCTGAGATCGCGCCACTGCACTCCAGCCTGGGCAATAGCGTGAGACTCCATCTCAGAAAAAAAAAAAAAAGAAAAAAAAGAGTGAGAAACAAGAGAGGCTTGGAGCACCTAGGGAAGGAACGTGGAGTTTGTAGGGGCCAAGGGAAAAGTTCTCCTTCACCTGCTGAAGGTTTGCTGTAAAATCAACTCAGAAAAGGCAGGTTAATTGGGGAAAAGGCATACAGATTTACTTAACGTGTCTACAGAGGAGCCTTCAGAATGAAGACCCAAAATACAGGGGAAATTGTGTTTATGTTTAGGTTCAACAAATATGGACAGCCGTGTAGAAATGTGACTGGACAAACAGTCTGATTGAGTGCGAACAGACTGCTTGGGGAGATCCAGCAAGGCCTGTCTGTCTAGATTCCTCCTGGTCTCTCTGAGCAGCATTCCTTTCTTCCAGGTATGGAGCTGACCCTCTCCGGAATGCTCTTATGACCTATAGTTAGTCACAGTAGGTCAGACAGTTTCTTTATGGCCAGTTTTTACACAGAATGGTGGAGGGAAAGTTACAGCAGTAAGTTTAGGTTTTGTGGCTGGCTCTGGGGAAAAGAGGTTATGGGTCCTATGACCCACTTTGAAGGAGAATTCTAGTTTCTCTGGCTAGCCTCAGGGAGGATGGGACTGAGAGACCAGAGGGCAGGAGGTCAGAGAATGACTTTTGCTTCTGAGGCCCTCATTTTGGGGTACTGTTTTCTGAGCTCCTGCGAGTTCATTATGGCACCACTTAGAATGCGAGGCTCCTGGCCAGGCGTGGTGGCTCACTCCTGTAATCCCAGGACTTTGTGGGGGCTAAGGCGGGTGGATCACCTGAGGTCAGGAGTTCGAGACCAGCCTGGCCAACATGGCGAAACCCTGTCTCTACTAAAAATACAAAAATTAGCTGGGCGTGGTGGCAGGTGCCCATAATCCCAGCTACTCAGGAGGCTGAGGTAGGAGAATCACTTGAACCTGAGAGGCAGAGGTTGCAGGGAGCCGAGATCACGCCACTGCACTCCAGCCTGGGCAACAGAGCAAAACTGTCTCAAAAAAAAAAAAAAAAATCAATGCAAGTCTCCTGCGAAACATGGAGAGAGACGGAGGATGTGACCCAGACCCTCTGAGGGCTTCAGTCCAGGGAGGGAGGCAAGAACTGTACCTGCAGGACAAGTGGAGGACAACTTAGGAGAGCGTCATGTCCCAATGATCCAGACTGTGTGTCACGATGGAGAAAGTCTGTGAGGGAAACAAACCAGGTTCTGCCTGGTCTCTCCCTATGTTTTGATCTAAATAGCATCTCAGGCTCCTTGTCTATAACAGGAGATGAGGGAAGGTCTCAGACCAGGTTCCCTAGAAGCAGACCCCGAGGTGAGGATTCATGGAAAATGGATGAAGAAATATTCACAGGAAAACAGGAGAGTGGGGAAAGGGGGCCAGAGGCAAGGAAGCTGAGCAGTGGTGCAAACTGGAATGCTCTGGAAACAGTGGGAGCCCCACAAGAGTAGCCAGATCGGAGGCCAGCTTTCTGGAGACGCTCTACCCCTGCATCAGTCAGACTAAGGGTTGCCCCAAGTGCTTCCAGCTCTCTCTGCATGCGGGCAAAGCGAGTCCCATAGAGAGCATCCTCTGACAGGGACCCAGGTGCTGGCTGTGGCTTGCAAATGTGCATGAAAATGATTTAGGACTCTGAAGGCACAGGGACAGGGCGTGGCAGCATTTGCCAGAGTGGGATACCTGTTCTCATCCTCACACAGGCAGACAGAGTGGATTGTTATGAATAATTCATTGTCATTTCTTGTGACCTCCTGATCGTATGAGGAGCAGGAGTTTCTTACTGACATTACACAGCATGATGCCATGTGTGGCTTACTGGCCCCTCAGAGGTTATGCTGGCCCACCAGAAACCGTCTCTCCTCTATGTGCTTATTTCCCACACTTCTGGTGCTGATTTTTATGCCTTTAGACCTTATTGGAAATATTCAATATAATTACAAGATACCTATAGATATATAAATATTCTTCTTGGAAATACTTTGCTTTCTGTTTCTTTTTTTTTTTTTTTTTGAGACCGAGTCTCGCTCTGTCACCCAGGCTGGAGTACAAAGTCGCACTCTCGGCTCACTGCAACCTCTGCCTCTTGGGTTCAAGTGATTCGCCTGCCTCAGCCTCCTGAGTAGCTGGAATTACAGGTGCCCACCGCCACGCCCAGCTAATTTTTGTGTTTTTAGTAGAGATGGGCTTTCACCATGTTGGCCAGGCTGGTCTTGAACTCCTGACCTCAGGTGATCCACGCGCCTTGGCCACGCGCCTTGGCCTCCCAAAGTGCTGGGATTACAGGCATGAGCCACCGTGCCGTGCCCGGCCAGCTTTCTGTTTCTATTATTATTGGCTCTGAGTTCCTTGAAGGGTAAGTAATGAATAGGATAGAGGACATTGAAAGCTGTGGGTCTAGGAGACCAGAGAATATGAAGATCTGAAGAAGAATCTTCTAACTAGGTCAGGGCACAGCACACACCCTCACCACCCAGGCTAGTAGTTTGTCAAATCCTTACTCAAATACACATGAGTATCTGAATGCATAGGCACCTTCCCACCTCCATCCGTTCTGTGCCGTAGTCATCATCATCGACCCTCCATCTCTGGTAGGTTGCACAAGCCCTGCCAGTGAAGTGTAACAGGGTTGGATATGTAAATTACTTCAAACTAGCAGATCACAAGAGATTTCAGAGATGAAGCACGTTGTTGTTACCAGGCGGCTGCAATTTGACATGAAGCTCCTACCAGTGACAAACCACTAGTAAGAATTCCATGTGTTTGCTATTCTGAGCATGCAGCAGCTGGAGTAATGGCTGAGAAAGCAGAATAACATGACAGGGCCATATGAAATCAGATATTTTAAATACTGTGTTTCAAGACCTCAGGAGGTGGATCATGATAAGCTCTAATTTGAACTGCTGATATAAGGTGGAAATCAACCTCTTTTGAAAGTTTTTTACTAAGGTATATTTCACTTAGCTTAAGAATCAATAAACAATAAAAATAATTATTGTAAGAGAAAAAGTAATCAACCCCAAGAGCAAAAGAAAATGAACAGCAGAAAAGGAAAAGCGAATATTTTAGCTATAGTTTCCTATAAGCGCATTTAAACCTCTTGGTTGTAGTTGGTCTTTAACATTCTGAGGAATTGTTTCTATTTCTCATGGAAGATGGTGTAATGAAGGTATGAAAGGCTCCAGGAAAAGCTATGCTCAAGTTTTTTAGAGAGACAAAAAGAGCCTGGCATAAGAACTAAGACTTCATATTTCACAAGGATTATGATGCTTTTACAAAATAAATATCATTCTAGAAGCAAAGATAAAAAGTAATAAATTTAGCAAAATAACTGTTGAAGGTTGACTGAGCTGAAGGAACTATGCAATTAAGGATTATTTAATTTAACAGGACTGCCTTTGAGGAAAACAATGTTGGGTGAGTGCTGGAGAAATTGACCCAGCTATGATACCATTTGACTTCAAAATTGTTTACATGCCATGTGAAAAGCCCAGCGCAGAGGCAAGGAGAAAGCCCTCTGACCCTTAAAGCATTTCCCAATGAGCCATTTTAACAGAACCTCTCTGCAAATGAGCATTTCTAAGGGGACACAATTCCCCTGCCCTCCATCTGGAGGAGGAAATGTGAAATCTTGTTTTCCCTGCGGAGCTGCTTCCGCTCAGTCACCACCAAGCTCTGCAACTCATGGCTCTGCCCCCAGCCTCTGTCCCTCTTCCACCTCCTGCTGCCTCCTTCCCAGCAAGAATTCCATGTTTTCACGTATAACCTGTACGTGAAAAAAACAAAAACGTGTTTTTCCTCTGCTCTCACAACAATCACCAACACAGAAGCCTTCTGTGACCAAATGTGTGGGGTTTTTCCCCACACACCAAGTAGTGGACACCAGCTGGGCATCCTCCAGCTCAATTCCCACAGGGTGAGGGCTGAGTCTCACAAGACTGCCCCCACCCCCCCCCCCCACCTTCCCACTAGGGCCGCAAGTCCCGGCCTCCGGATCTGCTGACAGACCCGGCATCAAGTGGGGGTTCCCACAGCCCCTTCTTCGAGTTCAACTAATTTGCTAGAGTAGCTCACAGAGCTCAGGGAAACACAAATATTTATTGGATTATTGTAAAGGATATTGCAAAGGATACAGATGAAGAGAAGCACAGGGGGAGGCCAGCTTCCAAGAAGCTTTCTGAATGCAGGCCTTTGGCGTGTTTGTGGAAGCTTCATTACCTAGGTCTGCCTGGTCAAACCATTGGCTATTGGTGATCAACTTAACCTTCAGCCCCTCTCCTGTCCCTGGAGGTGAGACAGTGGTCAAAGTCCCAGTCCTCTAATCCTGCCTTGGTCTTTCCTGTAACCAGGGACTGCCAGCTGTCAATCAGCTCATTAGCATGCAGAAACATCACTTTGGAGATTCTAAGGATTTTTGGAGTTGTATGGCAGGAAACAGGGTTAAAGACCAGGTATATGTTTCATAATATATCACATAACACCTCCTTTGCGTATTCCTCATTTCTCTTGCCTGGTCTCTCTCAGGGCACTCCCCGAACTCAACCCCAACCCCTGCTGAAGCACACTTCCCCTGGGCTGTCCCTGCACCAGGCAGACGGACATGGCCAGGAAGACCACGGCATCCTTAAGGGATTCACGGCTGTCGGTCTCGAGGGGTCCAGCTCCCTTTCCGTAGTCCATCCACACACCTCTTCGGATCCATCTTCGACATACTTGTTTTTCAAATTACATTTTTATATGCATAGGAGTGAAGGAGAGTTTGGGGAACTAACACTGCTTTGGTATTTCCTTTCTTCTCCTCTCTGATCCTATCCTCTTTCATTTCATTAAAACGCTCTGACAGCAGCTTTTCTAAATTGCTTTCACAACCCACTAATGGGCTTTGAAAAAAACATGCCCTGAATGATTGTTCCACTCCGACTCTCCCTTCTCAAGCCTCCTGCCTCCTCCTGCCTCCTCTTGCCCTCCTCACTCTCTCGTTATTTTGAGACAGGATCTTGCTCTGTTGCACAGAAACTAGAACTAATCTGCAGAACTTCCATGACTCCCAAACACTACCAAGCCACCTGCATGCCGACTGTAGGCTCCAGCTCCCTCCTGCTTCCGTGGATAGAACAGATGCGCGCTCTCAGTTATGCAGTCCACCCAGGCTTCTCTCAGATACTCAAGGGCATTACTGCAGCAATTGTCCCGCTCTTTGCTGGGTCACCAGTTTCTCACCCTGTTTCCTGGGTCATTTCCATCCAGCTGGATTCATACTGTAGTATGGCCCAACTTTAGAGAACCTTCTCTTGACTCCACTTTTACTTCCAGCTCCCACATCTTTTCTCAGCTTTCATTTTACAAAGAACTCTTTACGAGTGCATCGGTGCTCACTGTCCCCAAGTCTCTTCCTCCACTTCTTCCGTTGTACCACTCTAGCCAGGATACTGCCCCCTGAACTGATTTTGTCAAGGTCACCGATGACCCCCCTGTTTTCAAATCCAGTGGTCAGTCTTTGATCCCCATATGATGTGATTTTCTAGCAGCATCTGACATTAAACCAAGGATGGGGCCCTTCTGAATGCAGGGCCCTGTGTGACTGAACAGTTTGGGTGCCACGAAGCCAGCCCTGGAACCATGCTGATCTTGGGTTTCATGTCACAAGAGACACAAGCTTCCACTGACAAGCACTCCAAGATCCCAAGGAATAATCCCAGCAGCTAAAAGGGTCCCGGCACTGCCTGAGCCAGACCTCTGTTCAGGACTTCACATGGCTGCCTCATCTCAGAACCCTGACCAGCCTGTGAGATGATCACTTCGTGCCTCATCCCCCTGGTATG
Organism: Homo sapiens; assembly: GCF_000001405.40. Taxonomy (NCBI): domain Eukaryota; kingdom Metazoa; phylum Chordata; class Mammalia; order Primates; family Hominidae; genus Homo; species Homo sapiens. Next base: position 19,772,749 of record NC_000020.11, read on the forward strand.
CATGAAGTCGTTTTATGCTTTTTTCCCCAAATTATAGAAACTGAGGCACAGAGAGATGGAGTGATTTGTCTGTAGTCACAAAGCTTGAAAGTGGGGAAGCCACAATTCACTCCTGGTCTGTCAAACACCAGGACCTACACTTGTAGCAATGACTCTGTAATAACCTCAGGGTGTCCCTGTGTAGAAATACAGGCATGCATTAATTTTCTAGGGTTGCTGTAACAAAATACCACAAACAAGGTGGCTCGAAACAACAGAAATTTATTGTCTCACAGTTCTGGAGTCCAGAAGTCTGAAATCAAGGTGTTGGCAGGGCTGTGCTCCCTCTGACGGTGGTAGGGAAGGAGCTGTTCCAGGCCTCCCGGCTTCTGGAAGCCTCAAGCATGCCTTGTAGATGCATCCCTCCAGTCCTCCATGCTCACACATTCTCCCTGAGTGTCCTCACATCGTCCTCCAGGTTTCCCCTTTCCTGTTGGATTGGGGCTCATCTGATGACCTCATCTAAATTAGTTAAATCTGCATAGACCCCATTTCCAAATAAGGTAATATCCAATGCTAGTAGGGGTGAGAACTCCAACATATCTCTTTGTGGGGACACAATTCAACCCATAACTAGGTGTAAAATTAGAAACTGATGAGATATCCAGGAAGTGTGACCAGTGCACACAATCAGAAAATAGAGTCAGGCATTCTCAGCAGTAAATAGCTATTCCAGGTCAAAGGGCTGGGTGTGAGTTGCCTCCATCTTGTCTTGTTCTGCTGTTGTTGGGGAGGCCTTAGCACCTTCTGAGGTGGGTGAAAGCAGAGAATGGGAGCTGAAGGCTTAAAGAAAGGGCCAAGCGAGGTGGGTGGTTCCTGAGCTTTGATTTGGTGGCGTGCTGTCTATTAGACCACCCTGACTGGTTTCTGTGATCTCTCCATGGTACTGCTGAGTGCCAGGTACATCTCTTTGGAGGTATTGATGCTTAATGAACGGCAGCTTCTCCTTCCTGCTGGCTGAGGTGCATGAGAGGCCAAATGACTGTATTTGGGAGATGTGCGGTACAATTTCAAAATGCCTGATAATACAGTGATCTGGTTACAATCACTATTAAAATCACATCATGGATTGTGATAATAAAAATAAAATAATATATACTAGATGATAAATATTATAAAATATTATATATATATAATAAAGATAAAGGAAATATGTTTAGCTTCATATAAAAATCACCATCATGCCCTTGATTTGCCCCTGACCAGCACCCAGTTCCCATGACCTTGGAGCTTCCTGCATTCTGACCCTGAGCTTCTGTCCCATGGAGCAACTGTGTTTATGGGCTGTCAACCAGCTACCATAGGCAGGGGATGGAGGCCTTTATAGGCTCCTCTCTTTTATCTCACAGGGAATTTTTCAAGACAGAGCTCAGGTTTCTGAACTCAACTTACATAATGCATCTAAAATGACATAAATATGAATGTATCTCACCTATCACCCCCGAGCAGCCAAGTACCAGTTCACTGAATCAGGAGAGAGCCCTGGGATTGCTGAAGAGGGCAGGATGATGGAGTTGCATAAAGAACTCAACACAACCCAACTCTGATTTATGTCTCCAAAGGAAGTCAGATAGGAATGTGAACTGGGCACATAGTATTTTTCTTACAGGAGCATATAATAAAAGCAATATTTTTGCAACTAGAGAAGAAGCGGGAAAAAGATCAAGAGTCAGAGATTGCAGAGAGGAATTCCAAGAGGAATCTTTAGTCAGAAAAAGCCATGAGTCTCTCTTGTCCTCTGCCACTGTGGCATGTAAAGGAATTGAAAATGCCTTGAGAAAATTATTCGTATTCTAGAAAAAGGACACAAGGGAGTGGGATCCATGCATTTGCTCATCAAATCACTATTGGGTACCAATTGTGTTGTCAGGCACTGAACAGGCAGGGTACCCGCTTTGTACTTCCCTGAATCTCCATGGCCATTGTCCCATTCCAAGCCATTGTTCTCTCTTGTGAATAGGATGATGTAATAGGATTTGGTGTTACAAAGTTCACCCTGACTGCTGATCACAGACAGCATTTCAGTGGAGCAAGAGTGGCCTCAGTGAGACCAGATAGGAGAAGACTGTGATCATTCAGAAACTGGTCCCTGGCTAGAGGAAAGAATTGGAGGCAAAATTTGGAGAATGACCCAGCAAAGCTGTGGTGAATTAGATGTGAGGAGAGCAGAAGAGTCAAGGATGGCCCATTACTGACCACCCACATTCATGGAGGCATTATTTAAGGAGATGATCAATCTGGTAGGAAAAGAAGCCAGAGCAATACAGAGTTCCACTTCGTATGTGTTAAGTTTGATGAGCCTGTGAAAACCCAAGGAGGTGTTAAATATCTGGGAGTCTGGAGCTTGAAAGAGAGCTTTGGGCTACAAATGCATTGGTAGCAGTTTTCAGAATATAGAAAGCCTAAAGAGGATAAAATTGTCTAAGAAAAGGATATGGAGATGTTATCCTAGGGTTAACTCGTGTAATAGGATGGCAATAAGTGCAAAATTTTATGTTGCCAACTATGGTCTCCAAAGTCTGTGAAAACGTGGCAGTGCAAAGGTTGACTGCTGGTTCATTTCACTAAATTGCGTATCTTCCCTGCAAATGGGGCCCCCATTGAAGTCGGTATTTTGGATGTTAGCATCTGGCTCCCTCAACTGCAGAGGATTTCTGACTGGTGGAGGTATGCCTACCCTTCCAATTTGGGGCTGAGGACACCACCTGATTTCAAAAAGAGACTGTAGATAGACTGCTGAGAGGTGACATCACTAATTTATTAAGCACATGTGTGTCACTCATATACTTGCCACAGTCCATGTGCTATTTATTGTATACTTACACCAGTCTTGAAGATGAGTATTTTTACCCAATTTACACTGGAAAAACAGAGGCTTAGAGAACACAAGCATTTGCTGAAGTTCATGTTAATCAGTGGTAGAACAGGTCTTGGACCAGCTCTGTCCACTGACAGAGTCCAAACTCCTAAGTGCCAAGCTGTACTGCTTCTCCCAAAGCAAACAGCCTAAGGAGTATGTCCGCCCCAGGGCCCTCCATTGCTTAGCTGAGTATGGGACTCAGCTGCAGTTAGGAGCCTCACCCTCCACAGGCTGTCAGAGCCTCCGGCTTCGCTCCACCCAGGCAATCTGGTTTTACAGTTTCCTTCTCAAATAGAAATACTAATACTAACAAATATTTTTGTGATGTGTATAGCTTATTAAAGACTTACCCAGGCGTTCTCTGGCCTCAATCTTTTATGTGCCCTAAAGTCAACCATTAACTTCTTTTCATTTCCTTGGTATGTAAACCAAAAATAAAACTCTAAGTCCCCCAACTAACTGATGGACCCCTCCCCTTGGCCAAAGGCATTCCAAAGTTAACCAGAAAAACTAGCTCAGGCCATGATGGGAAGTGGGAGTCGGACATGCCTCATTATACCCTCCTCCCTTTGGGAATTCAGGCACAGCTGACCAACATTAACATCAACACAGAAACCTTAAGACTGATAGAACAGATTCTTGAAGTCTGATGAGAAACATTTACCATCTCTTCTCTCTGAAGCTTGCTACCTGGAGGCTTTATTTGCATGACAAAACTTTACTCTCCACAACCCCTTATTGATTCCAGGTCTTTAGATAATAACTCTTGCAACCAATTGCCAATCAGAAAATCTTTGAATGTGGCCAGGCACTGTAGTTCACGCCTGTAATCCTAGCCCTTTGGGAGGCTGAGGCAGATGGTTCACCTGAGGTCAGGAGTTCGAGACAAGCCTGGCCAACATGGTGAAACCCCATCTCTACTAAAAATGCAAAAGTTAGCTGGGCATGGTGGCGGCTGCCTGTAGTCCCAGCTACTCGGGAGGCTGAGGTGGAAGAATTGCTTGAACCCAGGAGGTGGAGGCTGCAGTGAGCCGAGATCACGCCACTGCGCTCCAGCCTGGGTGACAGAGTGAGACCCTGTCTCAAAAAAAAAAAAAAGAAAGAAAGAAAAAATCTTCAAATCTGCCCACAGCCTGGAAACCCCTTCCCTTCCGATTTTCCTGCCTTTCCAGACGAAACCAGTGTACATCTTACATGTATTGATTATGTCTTAGATGTATTGATGTCTTATGTCCCCCTAGAATGTATAAAACCAAGCTGTAGCCTGACACCTTGGTCACATGTTCTCAGGATCTCCTTGGGCTCTAACTCAGGCCACTGATCACTCATATTTGGCTCAGAATAAATCTCTTCATATATTTTACAGAGTTGGACTCTTTTTGTTGACAGATAAAATAGGAAAAGGAGTGAGGGAGGAAGGAGGAGGTGTTCAGGGGCGGGTCCATCCGGGAGGGAATTGTTTTATCCTGGCTTCTCCCTCCATCCTTCATGGTAGAGTGTTGGTCTTTTTAAATGTAGGAGGTTTAGAAGAACTGTGTGCTCAGGGCCAAAGAACACAGGGAAGGGCACAGGTGGAACCCCTGGAAATCTCAGGGGAAGAGACTCCAAGTCCCTGAATCTCTTTCCCTCTTCACCCCACTAGGCCCCTTCTGCTTCATGCTCATCTGCCCCACTGGGGCCTTTGGAGCAGGGTCCCACCTATCGAGAAGCCTGGGGTGGGGTAGCCCCAATGTCTCTTACAAAGAAACATGCTGTTTCAGAACTTCAGCTCTGCATTCTTCCACATTTCCCCTCCATGCCAGGAGATTAAAATTCCACACTCCAGTTACTATAAAACTGACCCATGGGATTTAATAGGCTTTTATAAATTGTTGATAGACCTGACCTCCCTGTCGCCTCATGGTTCCAGGAAATGACCATTTAAAACGAATTCTTCAAGTAAACGGGGGCTCTCTTTCTGCAGAGCAGAGATGTTCGCCATGATTTTTCTTATACTAGTTTGTATTCATTTCTGGCTGAGACGAGATCTTCCTTATAATAAATGGGATTTTCTATTCACATGGAATTTTTAATTTCTCTGGTTTAGTTTTCATTCCAGACGAATTGTGAAATGCTGTGAATAAACACTCAAAACACTGGCGTGGAGCAAAGGCTTGTGTTGTGGCCTTCCTGGTTTTTTAATTTTGCCATTTTTAAAAGTCAAATGTCACTTTTTTAGGAGCCACCAAAATGTAATTGAATTTTGGGAGGCTTTGGGTGTGTGATTACAATCAACACATGCTACAATCCACAGTCTTACTGGTGTGTTCCAAATCCAAGGAAATTCCTAAAAAGGCTAACGATGCTACAGAAGCTGTATTTTCAAAGGAGGAAAAAAGCATGCCTTTGTTTGGAGTCCACCTGAATATATTTTCATTTGCTTGGGAAGGAAAAACTAAGTCCCCTGATACAGAAGAGGTAACTTTAGAAATGCAGAGGGCGTTGCCCCGGGTGTTTATAAATTGCCTACATGCATAGGGCTCCCTGCCAGGTGCCACAGAAGAAACAGAGTGTTTAGGGTTCAGACAAGATGGCAAATTCCAGTTGCATGAACATTTACATAGACTCAGAATTTGAGATAACAAAAGACCCTAAAAATCACTGAATCATGTCACCCAATTTTACAGAAGGAGACACTAAATCCTAGAAATGTCAAAGTATGTGCCCAAGTCCTTGTAATTAGAGCATTTATTATTTTGGCACTGTTAGTTGTGTGTGAGGCACTGTGGTGGGAACTTTATCTACTTTATTTGGGGTACTCACAGTTTTGTGGGGTGAATGCCTTGATCCCCACTTTACAGATGGGCAAACAAATGCTCTGAGAAGTTAAGTGAACTGGTCCCAAGTCACAAATCCAATAAGTACTGCCAGAGCCAGGATTTGGAACCAGAAGTGCTGACTGCAAAGCCCAGCATAGACTTTCCATGACACATCCCAAACACGGGCTGATTCTTAGCTTGGAGCAGACGCTGGGTAGGGAAAACCCTGAGCTTCTTTGGGGCCAGGAACTGGGCCACACCAAGTAATGGGGCAGTGGGCTGGGGACATTTGGAGGAAGGACACCTGTTCTGAAGTTAGGGAACTTCTGGGACCTCGGAGGGCCCTGTGGGGTACAAAGAAGGAAAGCGAGGCCCAGAGACACCACCTGAGTTGCCTTGCTAGTGCCTGGGACTGTATTCCTGGCCCCCCAACCACTACAACTCCTGGGATTCCCCTTCTCCATTTCCTTACAGCCAAAAACCAGCGTCGGAGCATCTGGGTCCTGACTCAGAGTAGAGTTTGGACTTAGAACATCACTAAGTCAAAAGGTAGAAATGTCCACAAGGAAATTATAAGTAACTTAAAAGAGAAAATAAGGCCATGTGGGTGATCCCACGAGAGCAATAATGGTAGTGACGGGAGGATTTATCTTCTTGGATCATCACAAATCTGTAAAAAGGAGACTGAGCCATATTCCTTGCAATTCCAGGTCCAGCTCAGAAAGATGTCTCAGTGAGAGGATTGGAGGGTGTTTGATTTCTGGCTCAGTTCTCACCTAAATCCAGCCAGTTTTATATAGCAAATGCTGTGTCCTGTGTGTCAAAGTGATACCAGGCATTCAAAGCACAGATTAAAAAAAAAATCCTCCTAATTATTAATAGTGTCATTAATACTTACTGAGTGCTACCATGCCCAGGTGCTGAGCTAAGTGCTCTTCTCTGGGCCAGGCCCTGGGCTGGGCATCCCAGAGAGATCATCTCAACTCATTCTTACAGCACAGTCCTCAGGGCACGGGTCACTAGAACTGTACCTCAGCGGGGTATAGCTAACTTGCTTAGGATCCCAAGATGAGAGAACGTGGAAGCTGGGATTTGAATAAGAAATGTGTTCAAATTCCAGGATCTATGTTGACCCCTAGGATGAAAAATTGATTCATTCTGGCCGTGCTTGTCAAATTGTAGCCAAGCAGAGAGCCTCAGATAAGTGTCCCCAGACCCAAGCACAGGAAAAACAAGTATTAATATTTTTCTTGCTTGAACACTTTGAGATTTTCTAAAATAAGACTTTCAGTGGTTAGACAATCTAGTCATGCCATGGCTTTCAAAAGTATACCATGTATTGCTTACAGAGCTCGAGTTAGTGCGATGGATGTGGTTTTTATTGTTACCAGCATGTTTTGTGCCTCCGGGGAAAGAATACATGAAACCTGTGGTTTGCCTAAGCATAGCAAAATCAGCCTATTTCTGGAGGTCAGCGTGTTTGCCCTAAAGAAGCGATATTATGGCTTCTGTAATAGTTCAATCATTTCCTTTCTGCTAGCACCTCATTAACAGATAATAGCTTTTATTTCTGATTATAAAGACAATATCTACTCATTGTATATGATTTGAACCGTTCAGAAAAATACAGAAACAAAAATACAAAACACCAATGCCTCATTGACTCAGCTCTTGGTCCAGAGTGTAATGTGATTCAGAGCATGAATTGTTAATGTGGGAGATATTCCTTGAGAAATTTCACTTATCATGAAGGCAGCTATATAATTTTAAGGCTGCATTTGCCTAGAATTCAGTTAAAAGGAAAGCATTAAAATAGCAAGGGAATAATCATGACCTAGGGTTGTTTGTGAAGACAGCTTCCGATAGTGGTCCCGAATTGATATGTTTTGAAGAAGCAGTGCCTCTTTAAAAATACAATCACAAAGGACCAGCGTGTCCCATTCTCTGCTCAGATGTCACATGCCCTGCTACCCACTGAGATAAGAGACCAGGGTGTCCCATTCTCTGCTCAGATGTCACACGCCCTGCTACCCACTGAGATCTGGATGTAATGAGCTTCTCTTAAAGTAGAGCAAGCCAAGTGGGACTCAAGGGTCTCACCATGAGTCCACCCAGCAGCCAACACTGTGTTAGTGGAAATGCCTAGTGCTCAAGAATATGACTGGTGCTGAAACGAAAGGCCAGATGGAGAGGTGGGACAGTGTGGTGAATAAAAACACATGTTCTGGAGCTAGGTGGCCTCTGTTGCAACCCTCGTGAATCTACTTACAAGCTGGGGATTTCTGGGCAAACTAATTAACCTCTCTGGGCTTCAGTTTCTTCATATGTAAAATGAAAATAAGAATAGCACCTGCTTCAAAGGAGAAGATTAAAGGAGCTATGCCACATAATACTTGAATTTAACTGGCATGGGGTGTGCACTCAGCATTTGTGCTGTGGCTTTACATGTAACAAGGTAAATAATAGAGGTCTTGAAGAATAGGAAGGAAGTTCATTTTATTTTAGTTCTCCTAGTAATAGAGAGATGAAAGAGTGGTTGCAGCGAGCCACTAAACCCACAACCACCACATGATCTTGGTTGGGTGGCTCTTCTCCAGGTGATAATGCAGGGATCCAGGCTGTTTTAATCTTGTATCATGTCATCTGGAACATATAGTTTACAAGGCTATTGCAGAAAGGGAGAGAAGGCTGGAGACACGTGACCTCACTTTAAATGCCATGAGTGAGGGTGGCATATGTCACTTCCATCCATATTTTACTGGCCCAAACTCAGTCACATAGACCCTCCCCAATGCAAGAACATCTGGGACATAGAAGACACGTGGATGGATGCTCAGTGGGCAGTGACTACATGTTGTAAGGAGTGTGTAGAATTCGCTTATTATTGCCAAGAAAGAGAACATCGATAATGACTTTGCAATAGGTGACTTTCTGGAGGTTAGGAAATCTCCTTGTATCCTGGCTTTGGGGATCTGTTTAGAAAAGCATGAGTGTTGCATCATTCAGGAAATCTGACATCTGCGTACCCTTTACCAAGTGACACGATTTCTCTGCTCACTGCAACCCCCGTCTTCTGGGTTCAAGTGATTCTCCTGCCTCAGCCTCTGAAATAGCTGGGATTACAGGCACCCACCACCACAGCTGGCTAATTTTTATATTTTTAGTAGAGACGGGGTTTCACCATGTTGGCCAGGCTGGTCTCAAACTCTGGACCTCAAGTGATCCACCTGCCTTGGCTTCCCAAAGTGGTGAGATTGAAGGCCTGAGCCACAGCGCAAGGCCTATTTAGCAAGCTTTTTATGAGTGAGGCAAAGAGCTATGAAGGAAGATTATACACTTTTTTTTTTTTTTTCAAGAAAAGTATTTCCAGGTATCCATCTGTGGCCAATCTTCATTAACCCAGTGCTTGCAATTACTGTGCCCCCTACAGCTAGGAATACGAAACCTAAAACATATGTACTGAAGGTTATTGATGACCATGCATCGTCAAAGAATGGTTCCATTTCCCATGGTAGGTTACTAAGGTAGTGTAATTTGGCTTTACATTTTAAGTTAAGCGCTAATTGAAAAATCTGTTTTATTGTTTGAGGTGTTAATGACAAGACAGTTAACCCTTCCTTATCTGGGCTTGCACATGACCAGGGTCCACAGGCCCGTATCAGACAAAGATGAATGGAGAATTATTCATGAAATATCCAATGGATTGACCACACTAGATTGGTCTGTCTTTCCCACTAAAACTCTTGAAGGAAAGGTCCAGATCAAGCCTATATGTTCCTTGCCATATGCGTAGCACCTAAGCCAATGTCAGGCATGAGATACGTATTTTAAAATGTTAGCCAGCCGTGGTGGCTCACGCCTGTAATCCCGGCACTTTGGGAGGCTGAGGTGGGTGGATCACATGAGGCCAGGAGTTTGAGATTAGCCTGGCCAACATGGTGAAACCCCGCTTCTACTAAAATTACAAAAATTATCCAGGCGTGGTGATGCACGCCTGTAGTCCCAGCTACTTGGGTGGCTGAGGCACAAGAATCACTTGAACCTGGGAGGTGGAGCTTGCAGTGAGTTGAGATGGACTCCAGCCTGGGCGACAGAGCGAGACTCTGTCTTAAAAAAAAAAAAAAAAAGATAACTATTAAAATGTTATTATTGAATAACAAAGTTTAAAAATAACGGCTGATTTAATTAACTGATGTCCCCAAGAATTGGAAAAAGCCTGATTCTACCTGTAAATGTGCATCTTCTCTTGTGTTCTAAATGCCTCCCTTCCTCCTACTTGGCATGAACCAAACTCATCAGCTTCATGTGCTAGTCTGGCCTCTTCTAAAGCATCACTCAAGTTGATCTGTCCCTTGTCTTAATTATTAAGGTATTTCCTACCTGGTACAGAGATGTATTGACTTCATGGCCATTCAACAGGTGTTTGACGGTTTGACTGCATCCCCTGCCTACCTGTATGCTGGCTGTCCAGCTCAGGCCTGCAACAGGAGGAGCCTAGAATGCCTAGCAGCTTTGGACAGTGAGTGTCTGAAGACAAGCTTAAACCATTTCCATCTCTCTTAATATGTGACCCCACCCAGGAATTCAAAGCAGCGGCCGCCTATGGTCAGTGGTGGGTTCTCTTGAGTGCCCCACGTTGGTGGTGGGTGGGAGTCTATAAATCCCAGCTCTCGCTCATCCTGGTGGTAGTGTGTTGCTGTATCAGATCATAACACAACAAATATTTGTTATATTAGAGTTGTAACTGGAAAAACTTTCTGTGTTTAACAGGGTTTATATTCATACGGTTTTCTCAAACTAAATTCCTGCTCATTTATTAATCCCACAAACATCAGCAGAGAAGTTACTGTGTGCACAGGCCTTTGTCATGGACTGTAGATGGCCTTCCCCATCACTGCCCCTTTGAGTCTCAGCCATGCCACACCAGGGTTCTCTGCAAACTCTCATCAGGGCCTTCTCCTGAGCTTCCCTAGACCCCCAGGTTTTTGGGCGTCCCCTCTCATTCCTGCCCTGTTTGGATGGGGACCCAGCTGGGGCTGTCTCTGACCTGGGTGATTCCTGTCCAGGCAAAGGCTCTGGGTGGCTGGAGGTGAGGCCCTGAGCTGGGGAGCTGTCTGGATCTGAATTCCTCCCGAAGCCGGCTCTGAACAAGGATTTGATTAGAATGCAAGTAGTTGATGGGGAAGGCGGTCCCAGGAAACCCCTAGGAAAGTGGGGAGGTGAGGCAAGGGAGGGAGGCAACAATATGGAGTGTATTATCAATAATTTACCCCATGGACAGCTAGAGCTTACCCCTGCCGGGAAGCTGACTATCCCACGAGGGGTGGAGGTGTGGGAGGTGCAGGGCAGGTGTTCACACTCGCTCTCATCAGTTGTAGATTGAGGGCTACTGGGGTCTGGGAACTGATTCCCAGCATTTCAGGCCTCTCCCTGGGAAAAGCTCATTCCAAGAGCCAGAGGAACCCTCAGGCAAGGAGACGGGGATGCTGGCTGTGTGGAGTCCAGCAGGCTGTCGTGGAAGAGGGGACACGAGCAGCACCTGCAGTGTCTACTCCAGGGCCGAGGCCAGGTTAGCACAGTGAGACACTGACGGACACAGTGTGTCAGAGCAGGGCTGGCACGTGGCACCGGATGGCGCTGCTTGAAATTGGCCAATTGCCTGCTACCCCAAGGCAACTGGAAAATCACATGCGGCTTTGCCAGCAACTCCTGCAACCTGTAGTTTTATTCAGGACAGCAGATGCTATCAAGGGTGCTGTGCCCTTTGCTGATGCAGTTGATGTAGGAAGTTTGCTTGTTTTGGTGATGGCTGATGATATCTAAGAATTGTAGCTTCAAGTATGCTATAGTGGTCAGAAAGGAATTTAAACAATTATGTGTGTGTGTGTGTATGTGTGTGTGTATGCATTTAGTTATTACAAAGGGTTCCTTGTTTAAAAAGCTATATATACTGTTGCACTAAGAAATGCTTGTATTGTGAAGAGCAAATAGATTTGGGTAAATGGATGTTTTAGCACAGTAAATGGCATTATTATTTAAACACATAGGGAACTCTGAATTTCAGTAGAATAATGGTGGTTGCCTGCATCCAAATCTCTTACCATAACTTAAAAAAATTTACCCAAATCAACAAATAGAGCAAATAAAACCATTGTTTACACAAGCCCTCAGGATTACTAAGAGACAAAATTCTACAGACTTCAAATTTCCTGTAAGTAGTGAGAGAAGTATCCAGGTCCAGCCAGGCAGGCTCCGGAGCCCGCCCCTGTCTAGAGCATTGGGCGGGGACCACAGAGGACAAGTGGAGAAGGGCAGGAGTGTGCATAGCCCGGGGTGATGCAGCCCAGATCACATTACCCCTGGAAGGACAGGCCCCATCCTGAGTGGGAATACCAGACAGTGTGAGACTGGAGGCTACAGCCGTAGGAAAGGCGAGGTTACTGGGAGAGAGGAGGGAAACTAGGAAGGGCACTGCCCCTTGGAGACTTGGTGATATCCAGAAAGAAGGCAAAAAGAATAAAATAAAGGGTCCTTCAGAGATCAAAGAAAACCGCAAAATCAGACATGCTTCCCCTCTTCCAGAGTAAGCACAATAAAGAAATTACACTTCACTCTATCAACGGTAGAGGGCGCATCTGAATCAAGAAACCTGGCTAACCACCCACACGCTGTCCCCTGCCTACATCAACTCTCACTCACGATCCAGTAAAGAAAATAGATGACAAAAGGAGCAGAAAGTGGCAGACAACGTGCAAGCAAAGCTGCAATCAGAAGAAACGAGTTTGTGAATCTAAGCATTTCAGCTAGTCAATGTTCTCACCCCTCTACATACACACACACACACACACACACACACCAGAGCAAAAGAAAACTAATGACATTCCACCACTAATTAAATGTCCTAACATAAGAACTTTCATATGCTAAAAAACCCAACCTTTAATAAAAAAATCAGAACTAAAATGGGCAAAACCCAGGATGAAGTGAAATGAGAGTTGACTGAACTCCGGAGAGGAAATGGGGAAATTCAGTTTGCAGATGCTTTTGTGCTGCCAGGCAGGACATCCTTTCAGTGGACAGTAGATGGACAAGAACTGTTGCCTTTTCCCATCCACAGGCCTATGTTTTCTAAACCCCAGCCCAAGGCAAGCATTTCTTATCCATAAGCGTACTGGCTATTTCAGTGGGGAACATTGTGCAAGGCCAATGTTGGCTATCATTTTTACTTGCCAAGTTCTCTATTATATGAGACTAGGAAATACCCAAATACTTTCCCAGGGAAGATCAAGTTGAGTGGATTAAACTTTCCAAGGAGAGCTTCATTCTCCTTGGTAATATGTCAAACTTTCAGAGATAAACTTTTCAGAGATGTTTTCAAATTGTAATGAATGACTACCATAAATGATGCCGTATTTTATACTTTAAAAAGTAATTTTCATACATTATATTCATCATTAAAGTTGTATATATGTCAAAGTAACACATGTGATAGTTTCTTCCCTGCCTCTGTGTGACCACAAGCAGCTTAGAAATGCTTCGCCTTGGTTTATACATGTGAAAAATGAGAATGGGAATGGCTTCCCCCTCTGTGAGATTTCCAGTGCATTGCTAACTTCAGTCTGTGGGACAGATTGTATTTTTCTAAACATAGCCACAATGTCATCACCCATCCCACACCTTCTCCTAGGCACCTCCTTATCAAGAGGTAAAGTTGAATGCCTGTCTCTTGAGTCTGAGTGGGTTTGTGTCTCACTTGTACCCAATAGAATGCAGCAGAAATAATACTGCATTACTTCTGAGGATAATTTGGAAAGAAAAAGATAGTGCAATTTCCACCTTGCTGTCTGGTACATTCTTGCTGGAGTGCTGAGCTGCCATGCAAGCAGTTAGACTGTTCTGAGGCTACCATGCTATGAGGAAACCCAAACTAGCCCCGGGCAAACAGATCACATGACAAAGCCCTGAAGCTACATGAAGAAAGAGAGAGATACCGTAGCAGTCTCCAGCTGTTCCAGCCATACCTTCCCGTTCCCCACCCCCACACACTCTGCCTTTTGTTCCAGTTCCAGTTACCATCTGGCTGCAACCACATTTGAGACTCTGAGCCAGAACAACCCAGCCAAGCCCTTCCTGAATTCCAGACACTCAGAAACCATGGCAATAATAAAATGATTATTGTTTTAAGCCACTGAGTCTTGCGGTGACTAGTTATATAGCAATAGATAATGAGGATGCATGAAGCGTGAAGATGCATGAAGCCATCATTTCTAGGGAAAGTGTAGTGACTATGCCTAATACCTTTTGCGGTAGTGCTGTTTTGGATAATTTTTATAGCGGAAGTTGATAGGACAGAACATGTCTCTTTGGGGAAGAATTATATTCCTCTCTAGATTTAGCTTACATGCTAACCTTTCCAGTGGAAAAGAATTGAGTTATTTTCCAGTGATTTTCTGTTTTTGTACTTGCAAAGCTTTATGTATCTATTGCTTTTGGTGAAAGTAAATGATAGGATAGGTTACTGGAGAGCTATTTATTTTGTTTCTGGATGGGATAAAGCTAAAAGGACATAGGGACTAAAAATGTGGCTGCTGGTCTCAAGGATTTCTAATGAAACCCAACATTGGGTAGCTCTCAAGTTAATTCTATGGTGAGCAAACATATTTAACATTCTAGGCCATAATAAAGACAAATGACTGTCTGGGCACAGTGGCTCATACCTGTAATCCCAGCACTTTGGGAGGCCGAGGCAGGCAGATCACAAGGTCAGGAGTTCGAGACCAGCCTGGCCAACATGGTGACACTCCATCTCTACTAAAAAAATACAAAAATTAGCTGGGCATGGTGGCGTGCAGCTGTAATCCTAGCTACTTGGGAAGCTGAGGCAGGAGAATTGCTTGAACCCAGGAGGCAGAGGTTGCAGTGAGCTGAGATCGCACCAGTGCACTCCTGCCTGGGCGACAGAGCAAGACTCCATCTTAAAAAAAAAAAAAAAAAAAAAAAAGAGAGAGAGAGAGAGAAATGACCTCAAATGCGGGGCTAGAGGGAGAAGATTTTATTCCTGATGGCAAAAGTGTAGTGATTAATGTCATGGAGTCAGATGGTTTGAATCCTGGCTCCCTCACTTACTGGCTGTGTGACCACAGGCAAGTAAATTTATCTCTCATGCCTTTGTTGCCTCATCTGTTGTTATGAAGGTTATGGCAAGGATTGGATGAAATAATAGACATAAATGGCTTAATACAATGTCAAGCATATACTGAGTGCTCAATAAGTGGTAGCTAGTGCTATCATTATGTTATGCTTTCTGGATTTTGTATTTTAAGCTCCAGGTCCAGAGACATAGATCTAGTAAGGGGAGGATAGACAGTTCAGGTATTAAACTGCTTGACTCAAGCATGTGCTTACTGGCAACCATGTTACTACCCTATGCATTACACAAGACAATCTCAGATCTACTCCATCTATCCCAGGTGATGGTCTTTTCCAAATAGAGGAAGACTTCCTCTATCAGTAATGTAAAGTACTACACCCCTCCCTAACTTGTATTTCCAAATAAGTTATTGTGTTTTTATTGTAGAATTTAACATTTAGATTAAAAATACTTAGTGCGATCTCAGCAAACTACCATGGAAAGGTAACCACTTGAATCTGACAAAGGGTATGTGCAAGCCATGTTGAATGGTGAAATACTTAATGCTTTCACTCTGATGTATGGAATAACACAAGCGTGCCCTATCACTCTTATTCACTGTCACCTTATAGCATCTATCACTCTGTCATCTGTATTCAACAATATACTGGTAGTCTTACCAGGACACTAAGGCAAGAAAAAGAAAGAAATGTTATTAAAATTAGAAAATAAGAATTGGCCAGGTGCATTGCCTCATGCCTGTAATCCCAGCACTTTGGGGGGCTGAGGCAGGCAGATCACTTAAAGTCAGGAGTTCAAGACTAGCCTGGCCAACATGGCGAAATCCTGTCTCTGCCAAAAAAAAAAAAAAAAACAACTAGCTAGGCATGGTGGCAGGCACCTGTAATCCCAGTTACTTGGAAGGCTGAGGCAGGAGAATCACCTGATCCCAGTAGACAGAGGTTGCAGTGGGCTGGGATGGCACCACTGCACTCCAGCCTGGGCAACAAAGCAAGACTTTGTCTCGAAAAAAAAAAAAAAAATTAAAATTGCCATTACTCAGGAGTTAATATACTAGTAACAAGTAGAAAATTAAATAGAAAATGTGATCTACAGTACCATACAAAAAAAACCTTAACAATAGATATGCAAGAACACCACACTAAAACTACAAAACATTGAGAGAAATTAAAGAAGACCTAAATAGATAGAAGGACATACCATGTTCATGGATTGAGATATTTTAAAGATGTCATTTATCCCCAAAGTGATCTACGGACTCATTAAAATTTCAAATAAGTCCTAGCAGAATTATTTTCTGTTTAAATTGGCAAGTTAATTCCAAACTGTAGGTGAAACTGAAAAATAATTATAAAATTCAAAGCCATATTTAAGAACAACAGCAAATCTGTAGCTCTTACATTACCAATTATTAAGACATGCTATAAAGCTACATAATGAAGACTGTGGCATCAGAACAAGGATAGACAAATAGGTAAATGGAACAGAAGTGAGAGTTCAGAGACAGAGCTACAAGATAATGCAGTATCTTGGCTTACAACAAAGGCTACACTGCAATTAAGCGGGTGTGGAGGCGGGAGAAGAGTCTTTTCCACAGATGGCGCTAGTCAGTTGATATTCCTGAGGAAAAAAATAAAACTTGATTCCTATGCCATACACAAAAATGATTTTATGATGGATCATAGGCTTAAATGTTAAAACTAAAACAATTAACCTTCTAGAAAAAATACAAGAGAAATATCTTCGTGAACTTGGGATATGCGAAGATTTTTTAAAATAATACTTTTAACTTAAGATGTGTGCACTTTACTGTATGTTAATTATACTTCAATAGAATTTCCTCTCCCTTGTCTTTTGTTATGTGACACTCTTAATTTTCTTCCTAGTCCTTTATGATTTCTCTATCTTGCCTAGTTTCTTTTATTTTGTACAAGATTCTTTCTGTGGTTTACTTACTTTCTCTTGCTGCAGTTGGTATCTTGGGCATTTTACCTATTTGTAGCTTTAGCTGCCTGCTCCCTGTAGGTGGCTCCTAATCTTATAACTGTTGTTCCAATCTGCCTCCTCCCATGGGGTCGTAGGACTCTCAGGGACATCCAACTATTGCCTGGTTCCCTGCCATGTGCTTCAGTCCCCTCTATGCATCCCCATGGGTTGTTGTTCAGTCTGTGCTTTAATATTTTTGATGAGGAGAAAATCACCCAGTCCCAAAGTGCTAGCCAGAGATTCCTCACCTCGAGTTGCAATTTGTCTTCCTCTAATTTCTCTCCTTTGGTTCTCCTCTTATCTGTCACTGAGCAAGTCTAATTCCACTCACATGACAGAGGCTTCCCTGCTTTTTCTTTTCTCCAAGTCAATCATCCAAGACTCCTTCAAACATCTTTTCCTAAACATGGTCACATATTTCATTTCTAGCTACTTCTTGACGGGCCCTAATTTTATCACGTTTTTATCAAAATGTGGCACCCAGAATTGAACAGAAGGCTTGAAGGTGATCTGGCCTCTATAGACCATCATTTCCCTCGTTGCAGATGAGTTGTTTTCTGAATATAGACTTATTCATTTGTCTCTAGTAATTCTTCAACTGCCTTTTGGATTTCTCAATCTGGATCTCCCTAGAAACCTCAATTTATTCAAAAATGAAATAATCATACACCCACCGACACCAGCAACTGCCCCAGTCTTACAAGGCTAGCAAGTCAGGTTGCCTGCTTCCCACTCAGATAACTTGATCTCTAGCCTTATTAATTAGGGGGCAGCTATTACTCCACTTGGCTTTCATTCTCTATTTGTGTATGTGGGTTTAGGGAAGGGGACTTTTTATCCTGATACAGAATATCCATTTATTCCTGTTAATTTTTCAACTAATGTTGGATTTTTCAAGTTGGGCTTAACTTATCTAAATCTAGGATAAGCTGGGCTCTGTGGCTTGCACTTGTAGTCCTATCTACTCTGGAGGCTGAGGTAGGAGGATGACATGAGTCCAGGAGGAGTTCAAGGCCAGCCTGGGCAACATAGGGTTACCCCAGCAGTAAAAAAATTAATAAAAATAGAATAATCATCCACTTACCCCAACCAATTCCCCCTCCCAACTTCCTTATCCTTTGGGTGGCCTTATCTGGCCCTTCTTCATGTCTGTCACCTTCTTTCTTAGTTCAAGCCCATATTCCTTAGTTCAGGTCTCTCTTACTTGCCCTAAATGGTCCTTCCAGCCTCCAGCACTTCACCCCAACTCTGAGATGGTCACTAGCTCCCATAGGTTTGCATTGTAAAATGGAAACCCTTCCCTTTGTCCAGACCATGACCTGGCCTGCCTTTCCATGTGAATCCTCAATATGCCCCAAGGGCTAAGCAGTGTTCTAATGGTTGTAGCTTGGCACAGCTGCTTTAAACCAAGTGGTTCTGTCTAAACTAAAATGCCTTTCCCCATACTCCCCAGCCAAAACTACACTCATCTTCTGCATCTCTTTCAGATGGCCCACAAAGAAAAACAGGACTTCATGTGTGTTCCTGTAATGTATAGCTTAGACCTTGAACAAAATCAGCCAGTGGCTTTGAAATTGAATAAACAAATGAATTACTTGTCCCATTTCTTTAATTGGAAAAATAGAATTAGAAATGATTGGAAAATTATCACAGATATATATGTATTTCTAAAACTACTGGTCATTTCTAAAGATAAGTTTTCCAAAAAAGTGAATGAATTTATTTGAGAAAATGACTAAAATACAATTCTGTGGATGTTATTTAATTTCCTCTTACATATTTAAGAAGACACCAAAGAATATAATTTGGGAGTTACAGTGCTAAGGCTTAGATAATTTAAGGTCAACAAAATTCTTAGCTTGATCTTTGAAAGAATACCTGATCCACCAAAGAGGAGATGTGCCCCCTGCCTCAGATATTATTATGTGGAAGTGAGGAAAGCTTCATAAAATTACAGTAACATGACTTCTCTAGGGAAAACAGAGATCATCAGTTGAGGAAAGTTAACTAAGAAGTTCATTTTAAAGTAATCTAAATTTTCTTCATTACACAAATGTCTTTGGAAAGGGAATGAAAAATATAACAAATATAAATCCTTATTTTTCATAGGAACTTTAATTTCTTTTTCCAAAGATAAATTATTCTTTGAAATAAGTATTCCTAGAACTGTTAACAGGAGGCATTTTGAGGAAATGCTCATATTCTCATGCAAACTCAGCACTGGGGTTGTCTTAGTGCAACTAGCAAGGCTTTCTTTGCCTGTATCGTGTCCACTTCAGGCAACAGGTAAGGAATAAAGTCATCTAAACTTACCTAAAATGTTCATGTTTTAGAATTACCCATAATTATTATCTTCATTCCTTTAATAATGTTGAAAAGGAAATGTGTATTTTTTCCTTCCCTCCCCCATCCAGCTTTTTCTCAGGTTGTTTCCATGGTTGGGGGAAGAGGAAGGACAAGTGGGACTCCTTCCAGGGACATGGCCAGAGCAGTTGACAAGGCCAAGTGGACAGTATGAGCTGAAAGAAAGAAATTCTTCTTTGTGGACAGAGGAACTGCCTGTGAAGGTCTTCAGAGGCAAATTCTACCACAGCGGAAATTCCACTTCCAGCTGGCGTGGTTTGCCTTGGCTTTTTAGGGTCTACCTGTCTGTAATGGTCACCCTCATCAATGCACTTAATTCCCATTTTTAACAGCAAAAATATACATTTCTAAAAGATGGCGAAAGGAAGATATTCAAGTATATAACATGCTTTACCTTAACCAAATATTGACTGAGGCCTCATAGTGTCATTTCTCGTGAACATTTAAACAAGAGCAGAATCCACCCGGGTCATCAGAGGGTATCATGTGCCTGAAACAAAATGTCAAAGCAGTGGTAATAGGATGTAATGAGTGATGTGTGTTGTGAGAAAGACACTTGAACTAAGATCTGGAAAGTGAGGGAAGCAAAGCTCACAGGAGCAAGGGGTGCCTGCCATTGAGGACTTAGCGCACACATGGGGAGGTGAGGCAAGAGCCACCAGAGGGGCTAAAGGGGGGACAGTGATGACAAACCAAAGATGATTTGGTGATTGACAAGCCAAAGAAGACTCAGGTTTGCCACTGACCAGCACATAGCGTTAAGCAGGTTACCTCACCTCTTCCAGCTACAAAATGAGCATATTCTATTACCCCTTCATTGGCTGTCGGGGTGATTTGAGGGAGGAGGGGGCTCAGCATAGTGCCTGGCATGGAATCACTTCTGAAAACCTGCTAGCAATTGCCTATTATGTTTTGAGGTGGATCTTAAAAGTTTGGCAGGATGGTAACAGGAGATGGCTGCGGAGGGCAAGGTATTTTAGGCTAAGCAGCCACTGTGTGTGTGTGTGTGTGTGTGTGTGTGTGTCTGGTGTGTTCAGAATATAGCATTGTGTTTGTGTGTATGTGTTCAGAATACAGCAAATACAGCAGCCCAGCCAAGGGGTATTGATGACCTGTAAGGCTTTGGGAATTATTCCATCAGGCAGCACTGTCCAATAGAAATATAACATGAGTTGCATATGTAATTTAAAATTTTTTGTAGTCACATTTTAGAAAGTCAAAAGCAATAGGTAAAATTAATTTTAATAAGATATCGTATTTAATTCAATATTTCAACATATGATCAATATGAAAATTTATTACTGAAGCATTTAAAATTTT
Organism: Homo sapiens; assembly: GCF_000001405.40. Classification (NCBI taxonomy): domain Eukaryota; kingdom Metazoa; phylum Chordata; class Mammalia; order Primates; family Hominidae; genus Homo; species Homo sapiens. Next base: position 19,793,267 of record NC_000020.11, read on the forward strand.
TTTGTATTAAGTCTTCAAAACCTGGAGCATATTTTCTACTTACAAAGCATTCCTATTCAGACTTGCCACATTTCAGGTGCTCGATTGCCACACAGGGCCCGTGGCTGCTATATTGGATGGCTCAGCCACAGAGGGGCTTTCCTGTGATAATAGCATGGTTTTCCTTGAATGTTAGTCTTTCTCTCTCTCGTACCCCAGAGAGGGAGATGGCAATGCCTTTCTCTAGTACAATTAATTTAAAGAAAAAAAAGGAAAGGAAAAAGGGAGGGAGAAAAGAAGTACTCCAGGGCACTATCTTCACAGCTGGCCTAATCCTGAGGTTTTCACAAATGAAAACTCAAAGGGTTTTGGGAGATGCTGGAACATACTTTGACCCTTTTAGATTATACTAGCAGAGATGCTCTAGAAATCTTGCACAAAGAAACTTATTTTACTTTGAGTAACTCCAAATTTTCCAGGTTATTAGGATTACAGAACAATGTTTTTAACACTTTCTAAGGTTGACAATTCATCGTTTTGTAGGAAAAGCTGTGGGGAAAGACTGGAGAAGCCTAGATTTGGGTTCCCCATGGTAGCTACTGACGCATTGCTGGGGTTGCTAGATAGGGAAGTACAGGGAATTGGAATGAGAAAGCTCATAGCTGGGTGAGTAAATTCTTAGCCTGAGCCAACACCAGAGATGTGGTCCAGTCATGAAGATAACACAGGCAGGATTCAGTACCTAACAAAAATCAATCAAATTGGTCACTGAATCTTTTCATCTGTGAAGCTTAGATACACTAAGGCAGGATGAACTGAACCAATTTTACTTCCTTTAAGAGAAGATCAGGGAAAATAATATACCCAAGATCACAAGGATCCAAAGAATAATGCATCTATAGTCAACATGTACAGAATAGAAAAGAAAAGAAAGGCTTTAGTGAGAGATGAACTCCACCAGTAGCAGATTTCAAAATGGCACCCAGCAAGTGGCCTGCATGTGCAAATCTTCAAAAAAAGATTCAGTGGGCTGGGTGCAGTAGCTCACGTCTGTAATCCCAGCACTTTGGGAGGCCACGGCGGGCAGATCACCTGAGGTCAAGAGTTCGAGCCCAGCCTGGCCAACATGGCGAAACCCCATCTCTACTAAAAATACAAAAATTAGCCAGGTGAGGTGGCGGGAGGCGGAGGCAGGAGAATCACTTGAACCCAGGAGGTGGAGGTTGCCTTGAGCCAAAATTGCACCACTGCACTCCAGCCTAAGCAACAGGGTGAGACCCTGTATCCAAAAAAAAAAAAAAAAAAAAAAAAGATACAGTGATACTAGGTAATGATGAATAACGTTCATATGAACCTTCTAGATGATGCTATCAAAATATGTGGAAAAATAAGCAACTACTTCAGTTTCTAGAGTTGTGACTACTGGATTAAGAAAAATTAAATCTAGTTGTATTTCATTTTCTTCAACCTGTTATTACCTTGTAGGTTTTAATTTATAAATTTCTTTATAAGGACTTCAGGGTTTCTATGAGAACAGCGACTCAGGATTTCTCACAACGCCTCGCACCTACTAGATGCTTACTCCGCATTTGGTTAATTCATGAATAATTCTGATCAAGACAATCCCCTTCATAAATTTGGCTTTCCTCCATAGAAAAATTAAATTAAAATTTAAGACAATTTAGAATCCTTAAAGGTAGAAACACTTCAGTTGTCTTTAGAGAAACTCTAGTTTGTTGAGAAACCAATGTAAGTTTTAAAAGAATTTGCATTTCTCTTAGGAACACAACCCTGTTAAAGTTCAATAACCCATTTAAAACACAGGCACTTTGCTGAGGAAATGCTCTTGTGTACACATGCGGTGACACTGGCCCAGGAAGGTCAGGACAGCATCCCAAGTTGTTCCAGCTGCTTAACCCGGACTCGCAGGGAAGTCTCAGTCAGTCTGTTTCTGTTTTTAATATGTCATTATATTTCTTCTTACGGAAAAGCACCATTTGTAAGTGGCTATAGTGTTTTTGTTTCTGTAGTAATATCTTAGTTTCTGTAAGATGTCGTAGCATATGTCATACATATTCAGTGCAAATTCAGTTTTGTGTCTATTTTTTAGATTGTTTGGGTTTGGCTGTTTATTGTAGTTTTCAAGTAAAAACCCCTTTGGAAGTTGACCAGTAGCATTTTGCCTGGTGAGTTTTTTTTCCCCTCAGGTCCTCAGAAAATTTAGTTTTAAATACTTGTGGATGCTACTGAAGCAATATTAATGAAAATTGGATTTTTTATTGCCCTCTATTTTGCCCGTGAGATAAGGGTGTCAGAGATCTAAAACAATACAGTCTGATGTTAGAAGGGGTTCTAGGCTGGAAAACAGCCTAACTATTGAGATCCTGCACGTGACAGCAAATCCCCTTCTCTATAAGACCAAACAAACATTTTTTTCCGCCTCCTTAGAGTGCCATTGTGTCAAATCCAAATTGGAAATATGTCCTAGAATGCTAAAACTCAGTCAACAAATGTTAAAATGCACACACCTACCCCATGCATCATGGGCAAAGGAAAAAAAGACCAGCACCCCCAAACAACACACACTGAAGTAACATCACTAAGCTCCAGAAGCTCTATGTTTAAGGGTCCACAGTGTCATCATTTAAGGATTTTTCAAATAGACAAAATGGCACATGAAAATATGAAATAAAGGGCTGGGCGCAGTGGCTCAGCCTATAATCTTGCAGTGAGCCGAGGTTGCACCATTGCATTCCAGCCTGGGCGACAGAATGAAGCTGTCTAAAAAAAAAGAAAGAAGAGAAGAGAAAGAAAGAGAAGAGAAGGAAGAAAAGAGCAAAGAAAAAAAAGAAAAGAAAAGAAAAGTAGGTTAGGGCAAAGTGTAACACACACAGGCACGTACACATCCAGGAGGAATGTATATAGGAGTTTGACCTTTTCTGTTTTGTAAAATGAAGGATTTGGTCCATAGTAAAGATTTTCAAAATGGGCCTCTATATGGACTTATTCTCAGGAATTCACATATCCTCCTTTTGGAATGTCTGAAATCCAGTATGTTTTTATATCAAGGATAACATTTACTAATTAATCAAATTACATTCTGGACTAACTACAGCAATGTTTTTCAAGCTGTAGGTCATGATCCCCCAGTGAACTGTGGTTCATTAAGGGGTGAAGTTGGGTATATCCAGCGTTGTTTTAAATAAAAGTGAAGAAAATGGAAAATATTAGAGTGTACGGTTGGTAGTAACAGTTAAGTATTGTTCTACAAAATGTTTGTTTCTGTTTTGTATGCATATGCCTGGGTATGGATCATGATGTGAAATATATTTATTACCATGGATGGATGGTCAAACGTGTTTGAAAGCTATGAGTCAATAGATTCCTGTTCTCGACCTTCAGTGCACATTGGAATCACGCAGGGAGCTTCAAAAATAGGGTTCCCATCCCCAAATTGATTTGGGATGTACTCTGGGCTTGGAGCTTGCTTAAAGCTTCACAGGTGTGCAGCCAGGTTGGAGAATCCCAAAGAATTGAGCCTTGGGACCAAGTTCTGCCAAGTAATTTCAGTGTCTGCCTCTGAGTTTGAGTTTATTTAATTTGCCTTGGGGCCAAATCATCCCATAAACTGAGATTGTTGCAAGGTATGAAGATGGTCAGGGGAGACTTCACACAGAGTCAATGTTTTTTGTTTTTTGTTTTCCCCAAAGTGAAGGCCAAATGCAGTGTAATGGGGGAGGATGAATGAAAGCTGCCCAGTAGTTCAGATAGAGAAATGTAGTGGGAGAATTCAAAGAAAGAGTGAAAGAGATTGGAATAATTTGAATTGTGTGAGCAATTCCAGCTGCCATTCCACTCAGTAAGTGAGTGTCCCAGCATCAGCATAACGCAGGGCACTGGAGTCTGCTGTTCCCCCAGGTGGTCTCAGTTTATAGGTGCTTATCACTAGTGTGAGCCTCTGCACACAGCAAATTAGCTGTCAGGGTAATTTTTGACTTGTTCTCTCATGTAAGCCCTTCCTCTCTTAGAATATGCAGGCCCACCGTATTTATGATGCAAGAGTGACTTAGTTTCAGGAAAACATTATCCCTTGCATTAATTGAGTTACTTTTAATTATATTCATTTACATTCTTGTTCTTATATAATTTACAATTGTGCTTGGTTTTATAACTATGTAAAAGCAAGAACATAGGCCATTTACACCTAGTTATTTTATTTGCACATACTTATTTAATACCATAATATAAACCATGCAACAGGCTCCCTTTACTCTGTGTGATTTATGAAGCTCACCCTGAATACAGTGGGGCAGTACATTGAATCCAAGACCTACCTATTAGTAAAGATTAGAAGACATTGTGAAGTGATGTCAACGTAGCTTAATGTTTATTGGGATGATTTTGAGTAGTCCTATCTGTGTGTGAAGCAGGGGTTCAGAGGAAAATCTGGATTCAGGAGGAAAATCTGGATTAAGAAGGAAAGTGGGATTTAAATGATTCCTGAAAAATGATGATGATCACTAACATTGACGGTGGTGGCAGTTCACATTGTTTGAGCATTTACTAAATAATCTGCAATGGACCAATGCTTTCTATGGATTATTCTACTTAATCTTTTTTTTTTTTTTTTTTTTGAGATGGAGCCTTGCTCTGTTGCCCAGGTTGGCGGTGTCTCAGCTCACTGCAACCTCCGCCTGCCAGGTTCACACCATTCTCCTGCCTCAGCCTCCTGAGTAGCTGGGACTACAGGCACCTGCCACCACGCCCGGCTAATTTTTTGTATTTTCAGTAGAGATGGGGTTTCACTGTGTTAGCCAGGATGGCCTTGATCTCCTGACCTCGTGATCTGCCTGCCTTGGCCTCCCGAAGTGCTGGGATTACAGGTGTGAGCCACCACGCCCGGCCTATTCTACTTAATCTTTAGAGCAATGCTTTGAAATATAATAAATGCTATTACAATTACCCTATTTTTTTATATAAGAACCCAGGTTAAGTAATTTACCTGAGCAACTCATCTGGGACTGAAGCCCAAGTATGTTGCATCCCAGCCCAAGAGCTGAATCTTCTCAAGGAAGAGGAGAGGGACAGGGAGGATATTCTACACCAGAAAGCTAACATGGACCCAGGCATGAAGGAAGGGATGTGTGTGCATCTGTGTGCGAGATTTCCAGGGGAGGAGATGGAGGGAAAGTCAGAGTCCAGTTATAGAGCCTGACAGAGGAGCCAAGACTATGAAGTATTAGGAAAGCAGTGGGAAAAAAAGAATGAGATAACCTTCTTATACCGATGTTGGGAGTTTGATAGGACATCCTGAGGATAGAACAAGCAGGAGAGTGGAGCACATGAGAAACATATTTAGAAAAGAAACACATATACGTGTGTGTGTGCACGTGTGTGCATGTGTGTTTGTGTGTGTGCGTGTAATAGGATATTGGAATGCACAGAAGCAATCTGGAAAGATATAATTTAAATTATAAAAATGCCCACTTCTGCCAAGAATATAGGAGTTAATGGTGATGGTCAAAGGGAACTTGAGCTTTGATCTAATATTTGCGTTTTCAAGCAAGGTGACTGCATTCATGCATGTACTTAGGTAATTTTGAAAAGGCTAGGATACTGATTCAAACAGTTAAAAATGAAATATAGGATAATATAGTAATTTTTTTTTTTTTGAAATGGAGTCTCACTCTGTCACCCAGGCTGAAGTGCAGCAGCATAATCTCTGCTAACTGCAACTTCGGCCTCCTAGGCTCAAGCAATCCTCCCACCTCAGCCTCCCCAGTAGGTGGGACCATAGGCGTGTGTCGCTATGCCTGGCTAATTTTTTGTATTTTTGGTAGAGACGGGATTTCACCATGTTGCCCAGGCTGGTCTCAAACTCCTGAGCCCAAGCGATCCACCCACCTCTGCCTTCCAAAGTGCTGGGATTATAGAGGCCAGTCACTGTGCCTGGAGATATAGGAATTTCTTATTCTGATTAGTCCCATCTCCAGAATCCTAGACTAGAAGATTTCGGGATCCTTTTTGTAGGAAGCGATGTGATGCAAGGGATAAGGGAAGGAAATGAATTGTCACTTAACTGGTGGGGAAGACAGGATGCTTGTTAATTAGTTCCATTCATGAAAGACCATTTAGAGTTTTTAAAATCTGAGCATTGGCACAGGGATTTAGAGGGCATTCTGGTAAAGAAATCTCCCTCCTCGGTTTCCTGGTCCAGAGGTGGAGGACCAGGAATGGGAAGGAAAGGCCATCACTGTGTTCTCATTTCGCAATGTCTCCTCCCAGAGCCAGACTAGGAAGCAAGTCCTCTGTGTGGTTGTTCATTGTGTTTTTAATATACATACAAAACCCTGAATGGTCAATTTTTGTGTTGTAGATGGAGACGAGAGATCTGGACTTCTGAACATCTACCGGAAAAGATAAAATGTGCAAGCCCTTCAGAACGCTGGGGAGGTTGGGCTGAACTGCAGTGGGAGAGGAGAAGAGATGCTGGCGTGAAGGGGTACGTAGCAGCGAGACCATAAACCCAGTGTGCGCCACCCCAGCGTTTTCTTCATTTCCAAGCTCATCAGTGTGATTGGGAATATCATGTGCTATAGTTGTGATATGTGGTCGTGGAAGGGACTTTGCTCCGACAGAGCAACAGGGAGGATGTTTTCCAGCTGCCTGAGGGATTCTGTCCATGATACACTGGCAGCAGGGCCACATCAAGATCAGGACAAGTTAGGAGCCCACGAGCATAAAGGGAAACCATTCACATTTTCAGAGCACTCATCATGGGCCAAGCACAGCTTTAAGCACTTTAATGGGTTAGTTCATTCAATTATCACAACACCACCACGAGGTGGGCACTGCTGTTGCCCCGTCTGAGGGATGACACCACTGCCGAGTACAAAGAACCTGGCAATAACTGAAAGAGGACATGGCAGTAATGATTCTACTTCTCTTTCTTCAGTTCCCACCACCTTGCTTCCTGTTCTCCACTTTTTGTAGTTTTTTTTATAATAGAATTATAAATCTTCACATTGAAAGGAAATTGCATTGATGGGATTTCAGTATAGGCCACTATGGCAGATCATATTTTTCAACATGGGTCACAGTCATGGCTCCTCCAAAACCTTGCTACTCCTCCATCAAGTGGAGAGGTCTATTTTCCCTCTCCTTGAATCTGAGCAGGACACAGTGACTGCCTTGACATAAAGAATGTGGCAAAGTGATGTCGAGTGACATCAAAGTCTTGATTAGCAAAGGTGACGGGGCTTCCACGTAGCTCTCTAAATCCCTTAGGATACATGTCCTTGAGACCCAGCCACCATGTTTCTGGGAAGCCAGGCCCTGCAGAGAGGCCACATGTAGGTGCTCCAGTTGACAGCCCCACTGACATGGGACTTAGAAGGCTGGCTCCAGCCCCCAGCCTTTGAGCTGTCCCCACTGATGCTAAATCGAGCAGAGATAAGCTGTCCCTGCTAAACCATCCCTGCTGATCCCTGCTCCTATAGCAGATTCATGAGCAAAATAAACATTGTTGTTTTCAGCTATTTCATTTAAACCCACAGCAACACTGTTTGAAGTGTAAAATATCATTTTGCTTGTTTACAAGTAAGAAAACAGAAGTTGAATGAGATGAACTGACTTACCTAAGGCCACACAACTATTGAATGTGTTGCTGGAGTTTCAACCCAGAGCTGCCTGATTTCAAGCTTGTGAGGTTCACCACTGCTCTAACTACACATTCTTTCTGGGCTGGGAGCTGGGCCTTCGCTGCCCTGTAGACACAACTGCTCTCAGAGAAAGCAAACCCTTGCAGAGTAAGAGCAATAAGAGAGAAAAATGTTAGAGAACTATTTCTGCACAATATGTTGTTGCTCTATTTCTTAATTTGGACCCTGGTTGGGTGCCTCCCTTTCTGACTTAAGTGTAGAGTTCTCTCAGGAAGCTGTCTACCTTCCCTCCATGAATTTAGATCCTGTGGTATCTGCTCATATTACACAATATTCTTTTCCTTATCATGTAAAATAATCATCAAGTAATTCTTTATTTTATTTTATTTTATTATTATTATTTTTTGAAATGGAGTTCTTGTTTGTTTGTTTGAGACAGAGTCTTGCTCTGTCACCCAGGCTGGAGTGCAGTGGCGCAATGTCGGCTCACTGCAATCTCTGCCTTTCGGGTTCACGCCATTCTCCTGCCTCAGCCTCCCGAGTAGCTGGGACTACAGGCCCCCACCACCACGCCCGGCTAATTTTTTTGTATTTTTAGTAGAGATGGGGTTTCACTATGTTAGCCAGCATGGTCTCAATCTCCTGACCTCGTGATCCGCCCGCCTCGGCCTCCCAAAGTGCTGGGATTACAGGCGTGAGCCACCGCGCCCGGCATCATTATGCGATTCTGTGATCAATGTCTCTATCCCTAGTTTTATTTCGGGAAGGCCCGGGATTGGTCTGTCTTTCCTATTCTTCACCTCTTTTCTTCTAGCAAAGACCCTTACCTGAGCAGATACCTAATAAATGCATGTTAAATAAACACCAAAGAGCATTAGATGTGAATTTTCTTGATAATAATGATGACAGAGTAAGGAAGTGCATAGTTCCAGGTATAAATACTGAAGTCTTATCATGATGTTGTAGGTTTGTCTTTTGAGGCCAAAGATTTCTCACTTCCTCTGTCCTTCCTGTTAGATAAAACATCCCTGTGTTTGACTTTCATAAATAAATAACTTCAATAAAATGCAGTTGTAAAATAAACAATAATAGGAACTGCCACAGGACTCTGAGATACGATATTTCATTAGGTTATCCGAGCAAAAAATATTTTCAAGAGGGGAAAAGCCAATATATAACATTGGAGAACTGATGACCACATCATCCGTTGTCACATTTAATCATCACGACAGCCCTATACAGGTGGGATTGTTATTATTCTCATTTTACAGATGGGAAAACTGAGTCTCATGAGGTTAGGTCACTTGCCCTACATCACCCAGTTAGGCAGTATCAAGGCGGAATTTGGAGCAGGCCGGGTGACTTCACTGGGCCCTGTCCCGAGCACCCCGTGCTTAGGTGACCTACATGCTTGGCAGAAAGAGCTGCCCCTACCAGGTATGGCCAGGCCAGGTGTGGTGGCTCATGTCTGTAATCTCAGCCCTTTGGGAGGCCAAGGCAGGAGGATTGCTTGAGGACAGGAGTTCAAGATCAGCTTGGGCACTATCTCTACAAAAAGTTTCTTTAAAAAAAAAAAAAAAAAGTATACCTAGAGTTCCTGGGGCTTGGCCTCCCTCCCTTCCCCTTGCCACAGTGTGACTAAAGGTCTGGAGTGAGGCTGTGTTATAGAAAGGCAGGCTGGAGGGATGACATCACTGAAGAATTCCTTGGCAAGCAGTCAGTCAGCCACCTTTGGGTAGTCCCTACTTTCACCTGGGTCGCTAGGGTTGGTTAATTTTTAATACCAACTGAGTGACCCATCCCCTTCTCCACCTTGACTGAGTCCTGAAGGCCCCCTCAAAAGCTAGGTTTTAGTGCCCTATTTCATGGTACACCAAGGAGTGCTCTGGCACCATCTAGAGCAAGCCCTAGTCATCTGCATACCTGAGCGAAGTCTTCCAGCCCCTGCTGGACCCTGTTGGAAACAATGTATCCTCTCTTGGACACAGTCCATGCCTTAGACCTATACTCCAAGGAGCACAACCTGACCAGCCTCTCCCACTAGACCCCTCTTTTATCTTCTCTTGTTCTCGGGCTTCTCCTGCCCTCAGTGCAATAGAACTTCATTAACTAAATACAATTAACCGAGAATGCTTTATTGTTCCTGTTGTTCTACCTGCTCACTGATTAGTGAAAAAGGCCAGCACTGCCATCTGTGGGCTGAGAATTGTAAAGTGACTTAATGAAGATGAAATGTATTCCTTTCTCTTCATTCTCTTTTACCTGTCTATTTTCCTCGATTCTACCCTGTTCTTTCAACCCTAGCAGATGCAGCTTAGAAGCCTGATAATAATAAGGATAAGCAAGTCTTGCTGGAAAATAACTAGCATTTATTGAAAGCTTGTTGTGTGCAAAAAGAACAAAGCTGGAGGCATCCACTACCTGAGTTAAAACTATACTACAAGGCTACAGTAACCAAAACAGCATGATACTGGTACAAAAACAGACACATAGACCAAAAGAACAGAATAGAGATCTCAGAAATAAGACCACACATCTACAAACATCTGATTTTTGACAAACCTGACAAAAACAAGCAATGGGGAAAGGATTCCTTATTTAATAAACGGTACTAGGAAAACTGGCTAGGCATATGCAGAAAATTGAAACTGGACCCCTTCCTTATACCTTACACAAAAATCAACTCAAGATGGATTAAAGACTTAAATGTAAAACTCAAAACTAAAAATCAGATCTTTGTTCTTTTTGCTCCAGATTGTCTTACCTGTACAGACTCTTTTTTGGTTCCATGTGAATTTTAAAGTAGTTATTTTTTAATTCTGTGAAGAATGTCAATGGTAGTTTAATGGGAATAGCATTGAATCTATAAATTGCTTTGGGCAGTATGGCCATTTTCACAATATTGATTCTTCCTATCCTTGAGCATGGGATGTTTTTCCATTTGTTTGAGTCATCTCTGATTTCCTTGAGCAGTGGTTTGTAGTTCTCCTTGAAGAGGCCCTTCACTTCTCTTGTTAGCTGTATTCCTAGGTATTTTATTCTCTTTATAGCAATTGTGAATGGGAGTTCATTCATGATTTGGCTCTCTGCTTGTCTATTGTTGGTGTATAGCAATGCTTGCGATTTTCCCACATTGATTTTGCATCCTGAGACTTTGCTGAAGTTGCTTATCAGCTTAAGAGGCTTTTGGGCTGAGACAATGTGGTTTTCTAGATATAGGATCATGTCATCTGCAAACAAAGGCAATTTGACTTCCTCTCTTCCTATTTGAATTCCCTTTTTATCTTTCTCTTGCCTGACTGCCCTGGCCAGAACTTCCAATACTATGTTGAATAGGAGTGGTGAAAGAGGGCATCCTTATCTTGTGCTAGTTTTCAAGGGGAATGCATCCAGCTTTTGTCCATTCAGTGTGATATTAACTGTAGGTTTGTCATAAATGGCTCTTATTATTTTGAAGTATGTTCCATCAATACCTAGTTTATTGAGAGTTTTTAACATAAAGGGATGTGGAGTTCTATTGGATGCCTTTTCTACATCTATTGAGATAATCATGTGGTTTTTATCTTTAGTTCTGTTTATATGATGAATTACCTTTATTGATTTGCATATATCAAACCAGCCTTGCATCCCAGGGTTGAAGCTGACTTGATCGTGGTGAATAAGCTTTTTGATGTGCTGCTGGATTTGGTTTGCCAGTATTTTATTGAGGATTTTTGTATCAATATTCATCAGGGATATTGGCCTGAAGTTTTATTTTTTTGTTGTATCTCTGCCAGGTTTTGGTATCAGGATTATGCTGGCCTCATAAAATGGGTTAGGGAGAAGTCCCTCCTTTTCAATTGTTTGGAATAGTTTCAGAAGAAATGGTACCAGCTCCACTTTGTACCTCTGGTAGAACTCAGCGGTAAATCCATGTGGGTTTTTTTTGTTTTGTTTTGCTGTTGTTGTTGTTGTTTGTTTTGTTTTGTTTTTGGTTGGTAGGCTATTTATGACTCCCTCAAAATTTCAGAACTTGTTATTGGTCTATTCAGGGATTCAACTTCTTCCTGGTTCAGTCTTGGGAGGGTCTTTGTGTCCAGTAATTTATCCATTTCTGCTAGATTTTCTAGTTTATTTAGGTAGGCACTATTCTTATCCTTATTTTACAGATGAGAAAACTGAAGCACTGAGAAGTCAAGTTACCTGTGTGTCATGGCGTCTGGCACATTCAAGTGTTCAGTGAGTGTTAGTTACTATTTATTACAATGAGACTTAGCTTTGGTCAAAAATTGGGATGCGGGTATTTATATGGGCAGGGATGCCCTGAAGCACAATGAGGGAGTAGGGAGTGGCATACGGAGGGCAAAGAGGCCATACAGTCTGTGACATGAGCAGGTTACCACTGTGGGCACCAGGGCTCAATCCCACCATCACTGCGACAGACTGTGTAGGATTCATCTTCGAATAGTCCAACTATGGGACTCAGAAGTTAGGATATTCCTGAAAGAAGTTATAGGGACCTTATTTTTTTTCTGAGATGAAGTCTCACTCTGTCACCCAGGCTGGAGTGCAGTGGTGCGATCTCGGCTCACTGCAACCTCCACCTCCTGGGTTCAAGCAGTTCTCCTACCTCAGCCTCCCAGGTAGCTGGGATTACAGGCACGCACCACCACACCCAGCTAATTTTTGTATTTTTAGTAGAGACAGGGTTTCGCCACGTTGGCCAGGCTGGTCTCAAACTCTTGATCTCAGATGATCTGCCCGCCTTAGCCTCCCAAAGTGCTGGGATTACAGGCATGAGCCACTGCGCCTGGCCCAAGTTACAAGGACTTTTTTTTTTTTAATTATTATACTTTAAGTTCTGGGGTACATGTGCAGAACATGAAGGTTTGTTACATAGGTATACATGTGCCATGGTGGTTTGCTGCACCCATCAACCCGTCATCTACATTAGGAATTTCTCCTAATGCTATCCCTCCCCCAGCCCCCAACCTCCAACAGGCCACAGTGTGTGATGCTCCCCTATCCTGTGTCTATGTGTTCTCATTGTTCAGCTCCCACTTATGAGTGAGAACATGCAGTGTTTGGTTTTCTGTCCTTGTGATAGTTTGCTGAGAATGATGGTTTCCATCTTCATCCATGTCCCTGCAAAGGACATGAACTCATCCTTCTTTATGGCTGCATAGTATTCTATGGTGTATATGTGCACCACATTTTCTTTATCCAGTCTATCATTGATAGGCATTTGGGTTGGTTCCAAGTCTTTGCTATTGTGAACAGTGCTGCAATAAATGTGAGTGTGCATGTGTCTTTATGGTAGAATGATTTCTAATCCTTTGGGTATATACCCAGTAATGGGATTGCTGGGTCAAATGGTATTTCTAGTTCTAGTTCCTTGAGGAATCGCCCCAGTGTTTTCCACAATGGTTGAACTAGTTTACACTCCCACCAACAGTGTAAAAGCGTTCCTATTTCTCCACATCCTCTCCAGCATCTGTTGTTTCCTGACTTTTTAATGATCGCCATTCTAACTGGCGTGAGATGGACTTTTTAAAAAGCAACGATGAACATCATGATTATATCCTGTACGTTGCCACCCATTTTTCCAGGGAAGGAAAGAGGAGAAACCTACTATAAACTATTCCCCCTGGCTTCCTGTACTTCCCCTTTGCTCTGGCATCAGCTTTTACGTGTGCAACAAAACATCTCCAAACTCAGTAGGAAAACTGAGCTGGGTGTGATGGCTCACACCTGTAAACCTAGCACTTTGGGAGGCTGAGGTGGGATGATTGCCTGAGCACAGAAGTTTGAGATCAGCCTGGGTAACATGGTGAAACCTCATTTCTACAAAAGATAACAAAAATTAGCCAGGCATGGTGGTGTGCATCTGTAGTCCTAGCTAATAGGCAAGCTAAGGTGGGAGGATTGCTTGAGTCCAGGAGCTCGAGGCTACAGTGAGCCAGCCTGGGCAACAGAGTAAGATCCTGTCTCAAAAAGAAAAAGACAAGAAATTGATAATAAATATCTGTTTAGCTCATGCAAACAGAGGTTAGCTGGGATCTGGCAGATCTAGGTTGGGCTCAGCTAGGTGACGCTGCTTCCTGCACAGGTTCAGCTAGGCTTGGCTTCCCACTGATGTCTGGGTTCAGGCCAGCAACACTTAGCACACGCTAAGTCCAGGTTGGTGGGCATGGCTACCTGAGGAAAGCTCTCCTGTGACAATGGCAAAAGTGCATGAGTATAAGTGGAAGCCCAAGAAACCTTGTAAAGCTTGTGCTTGGAATCGGCACACTGACATTTTTGTATTATTCTATTAGCCAAAGCAAGTCACATGGCCAAACCTAAGTCAAGAGGCAGAGAAATGTGTTCTGCCTTTGCTGGAGGAGTTTCCACTGTTGACCTTGGCTTAAGACCAATAAGGCAATCTACCATGCTTCCTCTATCTTATGCCAAATTGGGCAAACATGATGTGAAATTTAAGTCTTTGCCAGTGCTAGTTTTAGTTATCACTTTTGGCAAAATCCCAAAACCTTAATGATATTCTAAGTTGTTATTAATGGGAGATGAGATGATACTAAAAGCTGCACACCCTAAGGCTCCAGGAATCTCTTTATCTCAGACCTGAGCTGGGAATTGTTACTTTATCTTGTATGATGGCTTTGTTCACCTTAGAATTATGAAGTGTTTGGAGATGGTGAGCTTGTTCCTCCACAGTGACAACCTGTTAGCACTTCAGCAGCTGCCTCAAATGATCAGACTTGGATTCAGCACACACCAGTTGCCCAAACTTGTCAGAATGAAATAAAAGCAGCAAGTAGAATGAATAAATTGTCAGTCATATTGATGTGTGTGTTTTCCTAAATTTTAGGAGAAGGTTTTGGATTCTGCAAAAATGCCTTTTCTGTGCTTCTCTCAATACCTTGGCTCTCTCATCTGGCATGGATGCAGTTTAGCTGGAAGGAGAAGAGGCAAAGCTTTTATGTTGGTTGGAATTTGCAGCCTTAAATTTACAGGACTTTTTCCAACTTAGCATGGAAAAGACTTGCAGTTTTATGCTTTTTGTGAGTTATAAGTCATAAAGCATATGCTAGGGGTGGCATCACTGTTGTGTTCTTGGCCATCTAAAGAAGGTCTGCGGAAGAAACCTAAGCCTTAAATGATTAAATGTCTTTCCAAACACTCATAAGTTATTTATACTGTGTCCTTGCATTGGCTAAGCAAGCAAGCAAATGAACCCAGACGTTGATGCTAGTGTCTTACAGTGCATTCTAATTAAACTATGAATGAAATCATATGCCTTATGCGTGCCGTTAAGATGCCTGCATGCTTAGTGGCTTGCTTCTGTTTGTATAAATTCACAGGCCACACCTGGCAGTCACAGGCCGCCCCTCTCCTCCCTGAGCCTGGTCCCCAGCAGGGCCAGAGAGGCCGCCATGGCCCAGTAGGAGTCAGGGGAAGGGGAGTCGGGTGAAGGAAAGCTGAGAATAGGATCTTGTGTAGACACAGGCTGTGGCATGGCCCTGCTTTGACCATCTAGCTGGGCTGTAGGGCCTGTTGGGGCCTGGAGTGGCCTCAGCTCGGGTCTGCCATGAGCTCTTTCCACTCCCCGAAGGCCCTGTATAAGTAATGTCATTTTCTATTTGCACAGCAAAATCAGGGACACAGTTTTCTAAAGCACGAGGTGCCTCCCCTCCCCCAGTCCAATGGATGGTCTACCCTGGTTGGTGGGCCCCTGTTTGTGTCAGAGACAGAACACTCCGCAGGGTTCCGGTTAGCTGTCCACAGGTCACTGGCAAGTGGAAACAGAGCAGCAGAGCCCTCTGGAGCCACGGAAGGCCTGCTGCTCGCCACGCAATATCTACTCAGCTGCTGCTGGCCCCCTGGGGGTGGCATTGCTAGTGATGTATAGAATCCTGGGACTAGTGCCAGCGACCCTAGGGATACCCTGGGTGATCTGGACATGCACTGTTATGGTGGCCTTTATGGTCAGGAGACGACATGCAGTGAAAAGAAGGGCAGAGCCGGCCTAAAGGGATGCGGTCCAGGGCGTGGTCCAAGGAAAGGCCAGAGCCAGGATGCAGTCAGCACCCCAGGCTGGTGGGGGGCCTCATGTCACCCATGCCACAGGCCAGTCCTGGATTGCTCCAAACCCTCTGCCTAGGGTTCTGAATGAAATAAGCAGGTCTTTCCCATCAGGACCTAGGTGAGCTTCTGAAAAAAGCATCAAAAAGGAAGCCTCCTGAACTTCCCCAAGTGACTGATGCAAACCACGTCCATATACTTCACAGCTGGGGCAGAAGATCAGGGGAAAATTGCGGATGATCTGAATGATAGCAGTGACCACCAGCAACCTACAGAGCTGCCCAACCAGGAAATTGTCAGATGGAAGCAACGCTTGCAGGCAAAGAAGGCTGAAGCAGGCCAAGGCAGGAATGAAACAGTCATAAATGTTGGAGTGAAGCGACTGACCTCCCCGGTCCACACCCCGGCCCAGCGTCCTGCATCTGCTGGAGGATGGTGGAGACCATGTGGAGGATGGGGACTTGGCAGTGGAGGAGAACATGGAAGCAGGATATGGCAGTCCCCTAGCGTCCCAGCCACAAGTCCTCTGAAGAGTGTGGATGACGATGGTGACTTAGGTGCATCCTTCGAATGTCCTGAGGGGGAGACTGGAGAAGCAGACACGCAATTGTGGGAAGAAATCAAAGGCATAAAGAACTCACAGCACAAGTCCAAAGTCTGATCAGCGAGCAGGCCTCTCTGCAGGGTGCAAGGGCACAGCTGGAGAGGGAGCTCCCGAAGCTACAGCCGACGCTTCCTGTTCTGCCTGATCTCCACCGAGAACACATGATGGGGCCTCATGGGAGTCCACAGAGGAGGACGCCTACTGCCTGGACCTTGAGCAGAGACTTCACAAGGTGCACACATACATGAACCACATGTCACAACCCACAACCACTACAAGAAGATGGCCCAAGACCTGGCCCAGAAATTGAAGAAAGACACTTCCAGTTTTCAGAGGGAGATCCTCTGCCACAAGAGAACAGCCCAGGAAAGCTAGATGGCCGCTGCGACCACTGAGATAGAACTCCAGGTGCTGCAGAAAGAAAATGACTACAGCAGGCAGAAGCCGGCTGACTGCAAGGCCAAGTTGCAGCCTTTCCTGAGTGGCCCTTTGGCTCCTAGGGCTCCACCATCCACAGCCCACAGGAGCCCAGAAGTGCCAAGAGGGGCCAGGCGTGGTGGCTCACACCTGTAATGCCAGCACTTTGGGAGGCCAAGGCAGGTGGATTTCTTGAGGTCAGGAGTTCGAGACCAGCCTGGCCAACATGGCAAAACCCCGTCTCTATTAATAATACAAAAAAAAAAAAAAAAAGCCAGGTGTGGTGGTGCATGCCTGTAGTCCCAGCTACTTGGGAGGCTGAGGCATGAGAATCACTTGAACCTGGGAGGCAGAGGTTGCAGTGAGCTGAGATTGTGCCACTGCACTCCACCCTGGGTGACAGAGTGAGACTCTGTCTCAAAGAAATGAAAAAAGAAGTGCCAAGAGTACCATGGGCTGCCAGGGCCCCCAGGAGGGAGGTGGGTCACAATGTGAGCGCTTGGGTCCAGAGCACCTACCGATTTGATTCTGTTTTCCCTTTAGCCAAGTTCTGAATGCCCAGAGCCTCGGCAGAACATCAGCCGGTGCTGCTCCCTTTAAAGCACTTTTGATTGCTCTCTCGTTAGTTTAGCTACAGCTTATTGATGCTGAAATTGCTCTTATTGAAGTTTGATCATGTTAAGATTATAAGGTACTTTTTTTTTTTTTTTTTTTTTTTTTTGAGACGGAGTCTTGTTCTGTCTCGCCCAGGCTAGAGTGCAGTGGCGTGATCTCGGCTCACTGCAAGCTCTGCCTCCCGGGTTCACGCCATTCTCCCGCCTCAGCCTCCCAAGTAGCTGGGACTACAGGCACCCACCACCATGCCCGGCTAAATTTTGTGTGTGTGTGTGTTTTTTTTTTTTTTAGTAGAGACAGGGTTTCACCGTGTTAGCCAGGATTGTCTCGATCTCCTGACCTCGTGATCCGCCCGCCTCGGCCTCCCAAAGTGCTGGGATTACAGGCGTGAACCACCGTGCCCGGCCAAGGTACTGTTTTTCAAATAACGATTGTTTAATATAAAAAAAAAATGCACAAGGATAAAGCGGAAAGTACCAGATGTATAAACCAATTAGTAACTGTCGCTTCTTGGTGGTGGTTTATTTTGGTCCCCCTGAGACAAGGATTTAGATGCAGTAATTTATTTGGTGAGTGATTCCAGAAGGATGGAGGAGGGGTAGGGAAATGGGAGAGAGAAGGGAAAGAACGAGTGTTAAAGATCAGATGCCACCATTGGCAACGGGGGCTCAGTGGCGCTAGGAGCTCTGCGAGGTGCTGGAGACCTCACCTGCGAGTGGTTTTACCCACAGAGTAAGGGAGCTGGGGTGTTTATCCACAACTTCCTTCCATCATTGGTGAGGACTGCTCCAAAAGGCAGTAACTTCCTGGCACTTCTGGCCACCCATGCGTGATTCAAGTATGCTCCTGTCACCAGAGAGACTTCAGGAAGAGACTCACGGGTACCTGCAGTGGGAAACCCTTGGCATGGATGGGAACAGTGGGTGTGGAGGGGACAAGGGAGGCACCATGAGCATCCATCACAGGGTGCTTAAGAGATTTTGAGGCAAGGAACTAATTTGTAGCTTTTAAAACTGAACGCAGAAACTGTATGCCTACAAGGTCTTTGGTCTGAATGGAGAAATGAGATCTTTTCGTTCATGGCTATTTGAGTTACTTAAATTTGGACACAATCATACAGCGAACCATTATAACCACTAAAAAATGAGGGCCATCTCCTGTGCTAATATGAAACTCTCTTTGAGTTATAGTTTTGAGTAGAAAAAAGCACAGTACAAACAATATTTAGAATATGCTCCCATTTTAAAAAAAAAAAGCTTTGTTTGGGTATAATTTAAATACCACAAAATTTACCTATTTTAAGTGTACCAGTGTAGTGTTTTAGTAAATTTATACAGCTTTCCAGAAACTTTACATAAGTGGAACTATACCATATATGGTCTTTTGTGCCTGA
Organism: Homo sapiens; assembly: GCF_000001405.40. Classification (NCBI taxonomy): domain Eukaryota; kingdom Metazoa; phylum Chordata; class Mammalia; order Primates; family Hominidae; genus Homo; species Homo sapiens. The sequence continues at coordinate 19,811,997 of NC_000020.11, forward strand.
CTACTCCCACTCAACATAGTGTTATTAAAGTCATCCACGTTGTAGCAGGTATCAATAGCTTGTTCTTTTTTTTTACCACTGAATAGTATTTCATTGCATGGATTTATCACACTTTGTTTATCCATTCTACATTTGGACTGTTTTTAATTTTATTGTTATAAATCATGCTATTGTGAACACCCACATACAAGTCTTTATGTAGACACATATTTTCACTTCTCTTGAGTAAATACCTATGAGTGGAATTTCTGGGTGATGTGTTAAGTTTATGTTTATTTCTTTAAGAAACTACCCAACTGTTTTCCGAAGAGACTGTACCATTTTATGTTCCCATCAACTATGTATGGTGCTTCCAGTTCTCTGAGTCCTCATTGACAGTTGGTAATATCACTCTTTTCTATTTCAGCCATTCTGATAGATGTGTTGTGGCATCTTATTGTGGTTTTAGCCTTTCCCTACAGACTAATGATGTTAAGCATCTTTTCATGTGCTCATTTGCCATTTGCATAGCTTCTTTGATAAAATGTCTGTTCAAATCTTTTGCTTATTTTGTGTTGGGTTGTTTTTCTCCTTCCTGAGTAGTAAGGGTTTGGATAATTGCAATTATTTTCTGTAAGTTCAAAATTATTTCCAAATAAAAAGTTAAAAAAGCAATTCTAGCTCCCATCACACTGCAGCACCCCCCCATTCAGAATGGCATACTTGGGAATTGTTTCATAGCGTGGGCATCCTCACTGAAAGAATCAAAAGGAAGAGCAAGATCAGACTTTCAATCTTTTGTTAAAAATAGTCATTGTCTGGTAATAATACTCCCTGGATTACTTTTTGTCTGTGAATAGGAAGTTGGTGGTTAAAATGTCCAGATGTTGGGTAAAGAAAGACATGAGAGTACTCATGATTATCTTCCTTTCTTTGGTTACTGCAGAAGTTACTCAGCTTCCTCAGCATTGTCCCTTTGGGTCTGATCAAGAGTCACTTGCTTTGTATCCACCTAACAGTGCAGGGTCAGATTCTGAGAATGGAGGAATTGAGGGGAGCTATTCATTCACCACCCCTGCAGGAAGAACACAGGCACTAGTAAGCTCAGCAATAGACTTCCCCACTCTAATCCACTCCACAGTGGCCTCTCGGACAGTCAGCCCCATTTGTGGGGTCACCATTCTTTCCCTTGCCCCCAGATCACTACTTCTCTCTAGTTCTCATATAATGAATCAACTGCGTGCCTGCAGCTAATTGACTGAGTTCAAATTAATGGGCTAATCGGCCAATAGCAGAGGAAATCAAGAAATATGAGGTGGAAAAGAAAGAAGTTCCCATCCATTTGCCATATCATGACTTTAGGTCAGTTGGCTTGTACTTCATGGCTTCTTTCAATTCTTCAAATATTTAGTGAGCATCAACTATTCATTCATTCTTTCATGGACACCGAATACGTACCAGATACTATGTGAGGCTAGTGGGGCTTAGTAGTGAACAAAAGAGGCAGAGTACTTTCTCCTAAGAGGCTTCCATTCGAGTGGGAGAAATAGATTATAACAATTGGGCAAATGAATACGTAATACATGTCAGGTTATAATAGGAATTACAAAATGAAGTAAAACACAATAAAAAAGTAGAGACAGGTGCATAAAAATTCTGGAAGGATGTACTCCAAATGATTAATAAATAGACCTGTAGCTTTTAAAATTTATGTCTTCTAAATGTTCTGTAACAAACATGTATTTTTTAAAAAAATGAAAAGTTATTTTAAATATATAAAAAGCACTGGGTTTGAATGTCCCACATGATTAATTGTGTCACCTGTTGTATCATAATTTTATTACCAAAAATACTGAAAAAAGTTCAACTGGAAAATAATACATAGTCTTTATTATCTGGGGTGTGGTTTCAACATATTTTAGGAATCTTGATATCTGGAAATATAAATAAATTATAGAAAACTAGACATGTTTATAAAATGCCTTCCAGATGGGTAATTTGAAATGATGAATAATCTCTTCCGGTCTTGGTAAACAGCAAAATGTGCTAAATAGGTCAGAATAGAAAAATAGTCGTATCACGTGCAAGAAACAGAGAACAAAGCATTGGAGCCCAAAATGCTATTTCTAATGCTGCTTTGTTTTGTTATGTTCTTACTGGCAAATGAAGGGCAAATGTGTGTTTACGAGGTCACACAATAAAATATAAAGTGAAAATTTCAGTCATTTGGTTAGCTTGGCCCAAGGAGACTATCAGGCTTGGAAAAATCAGACAAAAATAAATCATGTTAAGTAAGGTCCAATCCAGCCGCTTGCCTGGGGCTCAGCTCCCTGGGGTGTTTGGACCCATGTTTGGTAGGTGGACGTGAGGTCGCGGTGCACACTTGCCCTTTCCCCTCCTCCCACCCCCTCCCCAGTGCTTCCACAAGTCTGACTCTGCCTTGTCACTGATTGACTTTGCCTTCCAAAATGAGATGACATGTTTATTGTCTAACATCATCACTGATTACGACAACAATCACTCACAACAACTGGTGTGGTCACACAACATCTCACCCCAGATGTCCACCTAAATCCTCCACCTCTCATGTGATTAAAGTCATTCAATCTCTGGTCTATAGTAATTTTATATTTTATATTTTGGAGACAGGGTTTTGCCCTTTCATCCAGGCTGGAGTGCAGTGGCACAATCAGACCGCACTGGAACTCCTGGAACTCAAGCATCCTCCCACCTTAGGCTCACAAGTAGCTGGGATTACAGGTGCATGCCATCATACCCAGCTAATTTTTTTTTTTTGTAGAGACATGGTCTTCATATGTTGCCCAGTCTGGCTTTGAACTCCTGGCCTCAAGTGATCCGCCCACCTCAGCCTCCCAAAAAGTATCAGGATTACAGGTGTGAGCCATCATGCCTGGCCCTGGTCTACACTGATTTTAAAATCCACTTGGCCATTTCTGGTGTTAGAATAAACCAAATCCTATCCAAATATTAATTTAATTTTATGTTTTATAAGCTTGATCATGTAATATTTATCCATTTAAGCACCAACAAAGAAACTCAAATTTGTATCTGTGTGGATTATTAACTGGCTCTGAGCTCTATGGCTTTCTGCAGTATTTCCAGCAGGTTTCAAAGTGATCAGTCCTAATAACTCTGAGGTTTGCATTTTGTTTATTTATTTTTTAAATTGCTTGTTGAGTCTAACAACAATGAATCCAACTTGCACTTTCTTATTTTGTGTTCCTAGGTAATTCATTATTGAGAAAGCAATTTATGCTAGTTAAGAGAAGGCCTATAATGAGGCAAGAATTCTGCTTACAAAGGTAAAGTAATTTAAGCAAAAGCTAAAATTTAAAAGTTCGATAGTAGTCAATAAAAATTAAAGAAGTTATACATAGGAATCTTTGAAATTATGTCTAAAGCAATACATTGGCTCCCTTTTTCTTATAACAAAAACCAAGTTCACTGAAAGTAATTTATTTCTTTTTATGGAACTACATTGTGCATTATATGAGTTCAATCTTGCCATCAATAGATTTCTTAGGCTTTGTTTTGAAAAGTTGCTTTTCTTTTTCTTCTTTGGACTTTTCAAAAGCAGAAGTTTCCCTGACATGCTCGGTGTGGTATTTGCTGATGCGTGCATGTGTGTGGTTTTAATTTTTAGGTTTGTTTCCCCTCAACCTTTTCTTTGAGTTAATGTGAATCACAGCTGTATTTTTCATTCCTGAGCACTGTGATTCATTGCCGTTGACTTCCTCTGGAGCCCGCTACACCACAGAGTCCTGTGGGAAACTGATTAGTCACTGCTGAGCAAGGTACCTTGCAAGCCATGGTCAGCATCGGCTCAAACAACTGTCTTTGGGCAACGATGAAAGTTGTTGTAGCATCTTCCTTTGGGAAAGTAAGAAAGCTTCCCTTTAGGGGTTCATATAGTTTGTAGCAATCCATGGATTCATCTTGATAACATACGGGAAAATTTGATGTTGAAAAAGATAAACGTCTTCTTTGGTTAAGAAGATTTTGGGTCACACTTCTGCCTTCAAGAAACAGACATTGATCACAGCCCCTTGCCAGTGGCATATAAATAGTATTTGTGGATAGCTTGAACCTTACTATATTGGTGCAGCTTTGAAAAACTTGGAACAGATTCATTTATCTCAAACATACTTTTATCTAACTTCCTTGAGTCTAATTTTAGAAATTTTCAAGCCAAGGGATTTTTCTTTATAAGCTAGACTTACAAAGAATTCCTAAAGTCATGCCTTAACAGTAATCAATTATTCTCCATAAGTTTCCACTTGCAGTTAGCATTGCTGATTAACAGTTTGTGATCACCTATTCTAAGGGTGGAGAGGCGACCCTACCTCCATTTGATATCACCTAACCTGAAGGGGCTTTGGCGGCTATGTCTGTGATAATGAGAACTCGAATTTTCCTGTTCAGAGTAAAGGCTCTATAAGTTTAAGGAATTGGAGCAGTTTAAGAGCAGGGACAAATGGTTAACCAGTTAAATAAGCCAAACAAGGTGTCAGAAGATCAAATTCTGGTTTGATCCTTGGGTAGCCTTGGGAAAGAATTTTTGCCTTGCTAGGCCTCGGGCTTTTTACGTGTCTGTTAGCATGGAGAGCTTGAGGTGGAAATGCAAACAGAAAACAGTGCACCCGGGTAGAAGTTGCATGTGGTTGCCTTGCAGTTAGAACTGGGTCACACAAACAAAAAGCCTGATCAAATATTTCCTGAACATATAGGAAGTATAATTCCTTAACCTCTGCATAAAAGAGGATTGCCAGCCATATTCTGTTGAGACAAGAGGACATTGATACAATTCCTGATGCATCTGAATAACTGAAAGAAGATTTAGAAAATTTGCAAATTTCAGGATGAATAAGAGAAAAGTAAATAAAAACTAAAAACAAGACAATATTAAGTTGTTCAAGAGAGGAACATTTATCATAATATACTGTGTATTTCAGTGATGAATACAATATTGGCATGATTGCAATATAATCATGTAGAGAAAATGGAGACATAGTCATATAGAGAATGTGGAGACAAGAAGTGTGTACATTTGCTAGAGCTGGGATGGGGGTGGAGGTGGTAGAGTTCAATCCTTGCCTTCCATAATGGGGAATCAACAGTCTAAAACTGAAAATTCCAGAAGTTGCAACACGTGTGTTATTACTTGGAAGTAAATACCAACTGGGTTGGTCCATTCCGGCTGCTCTAACAAAATACCTTAAACTGAGTAATTTATAAACAATAGAAATGTACTGCTCACAGTTCCGGAGCCCGGAAATCCTGAGTTCAAGGTGCTAGCTGACTCAGTCCCTGGGGAAGGCTCACCCTTTCCTTCAAAGATGAAGGTTTCTAGCTGTGTCCTCACTTGGCAGACGGGGCAAACAAGCTCACTCAGGCCTCTTTTATAAGGGCAGTAATCCCATTCATGAGAGCTTCACTCAAGACCTAATCACCTCCTAAAGGCCCTACCTCTTAATACTATTGCAATGGGGATTCGGTTTCAATGTATAAATTTGGGGGCGGGGGGCACAAACATTTAGATTATAGCACCAACACAATTAGCTAAAAAGATTGAAAGTGGTTGACTCTAAGGAGAGGGAAGTGGGGAGAAATGCTTTTTATGTGAATAATATTTATGGATCTATTTGACTTTTTGTATAATTTTGATGAAACTAAAGACTGAAAAAGTCATAAGAATTTTTTTAAATAAAATCAATGAATCAAAAAGAAAGACACTGATGCCCACTGAGGTTCAATAACTTGTCTAGGGTTCACCACTGACAATGGGGCAAAGCCAAGATTCAAAAGCTCTCAGTTCAGCTCTAGAGCCTGAGCACTCCATCACTATTGAATATCGCCTCTCCAAAAAACATTAAATATACTCATCATCATTCATCATTCAATATCAAAAAATGTGAATTAAAATAACGGTGAAGTATAGTCATGCATCCCTTAACGATGGGGTACATTCTGAGAAATGCATCATTTGGCAATTTTGCCATTGTGCAAATGTTGTAGAGTGCACTTACACAAAAATGGTAGAGCCCACTACACAGGTAGGCTATATGGTATAGTCTCTTGCTTCTGAGTTACAAACCTGTGCAGCATGTACTGTACTGAATACCATCAGGCAATTGTAACATAAAAATAAGTACTAAACATATTTAACATAGAAAATGTACAGTAAAAATATGGTATAAAAGATTTTTTTTTAAATAGTACACCTGTATAGTGCAGCTCCATTATAATCTTATGGCACCACCATTGTATATACAGTCCATCATTAACTGAAATGTCATTGTACAAGGCACAACTGTATTATATTGTACTTTTCAGATGAGCAAAAATGTAAACAATTGTTAATGTTCATGGTTGGCAAGAGTGTGAAGTCATGGGGATCCTTGCATCACAAGTTCTTAAAAACTGCACATGCCTTGCCCTAGTAATTCACTTTATAGAACTTAATTTAAGAAAATAGATGGGCATGCCCAGCACTTTGGGAAGCCAAGGTGGGCGGATCACAAGGTCAGGAGTTTGAGACCAGTCTGACCAACATGGTGAAACCCTGTCTTTACTAAAAATACAAAAATTAGTCGGGCATGGTGGTGCATGCCTGTAATACCAGCTACTTGGGAGGCTGAGGCGGGAGAATTGCTTGAACCCGGAAGGCAGAAGTTGCAGTAAGCCGAGATGGCTCCATAGCACTCCAGCCTGGGCGACAGAGCGAGACTCCGTATCAAAAAAAAAAAAGAAAGAAAGAGAAAAAAAAAAAGAAAGTAACTGGGCATGGATTAAAAGATATTTGAAAAAAAGGCTGCAACATTGTTTAAAATATCAAAAACAGCAAAAATTAAAAGTAACCGAAACATTCATCAGTTGGTTAAATGTATTACTATATGCATTTCACAGGTGTGAAAGGGATGAGGTGGATATATTTGTGTTAACATGAAAAGATGTCCATGTTATATTATCAAATGTAAAATGTACATCTCAGGACAGTATGTGCAATATGATCCCTTCATGTAAAAATGTGTGTGCATGTGCACGTGGGCATACATATAGGGTCCGGAAGGACAGATCTTTAATGGTTGATGACATTTATTTCTAGGTGGGAAAGGATTAGAAGGTGTCTTAGCTCAGGCTGCCGTAACAAAATACCATAGGCTGGGTGGCTTAAACAACAGAAATGTATGTCCTGTCGTTCTGAAGGCTGAGAAGTCCAAGGTCCAGGTGCCAGCATGGTCAGGCTCTGATGAGGGCCCACTTCCTGGCTTGCAGATAGTCACCTTCTCACACAGCAGAGAGAAGAAGAACCAGCAAGCTCTCTGGTGTCTCTTCTTTGAGGGCACTAATCCCATCACAAGCACCCCACCCTCATGACCTCATCTAAACCTAATTACCTCCCAAAGATTCCACCTCTAAATAACTTCACAGTGGAGATTAGGGCTTTAACACAGGTATTCACAAACATTCAGTTCATAACAAGAGGGGACTTTCCCTTTTATTGATACACTTTTGTGTTGTTTTAATATTTACAAAATATTTAACAATTGAAATCGTATATGTATGAGACAAGGTCTCACCGAGGCTAGAGTGCAGTGGCACAATCACGGCTCACTGTAACCTCGACCTCCCAAGTTCATGCCATCTTCCCACCTCACCCTCCTGGTAGCTGGGACCACAGGTGCATGCCACCATGCCTAGCTAATTCTTTTATTTTTGTAGAGATGGGGTCTCACTATGTTGCCTGGACTGGTCTGAAACCCCTGAGCTCAAATGATCCTCCTGCCTCAGCCTCCCAAAATGCTGGGATTACAGGCATGAGCCACCACACCCAGCTGAAAATATACTTTTATTTAAAAGGCAAAAGCATATAGCTATGAGTGATAAGTGATCAGAGACGACATCTAATCCAAACTTTCAATTTGTATAGGTAATCAAAGAGATTTAATAAATTTCTCAAAGTCACACAAATGCAAATGCAAATAAAAACTCAAGATTTCTGGTCTGATGAGTATCAAATTACTGTAATCAATAAAGTATTAAAATAAAACAATGGCATTATATGGTTCTCATTAAATTTAAAAGGCTCAAACAGACAACTCAAAATGTGTCTCTAATATTCTAGGCGATTTGTTGCCATTTTCACATCAACATTGGTTTTTACTGCTAATCCTGTTGATTTTAACCTTGTTTTGTGACAGTTATAAAGACTGGTAAGATCAAGTGGCCAATGTTATGATTATTTATTTGAAAGGTGAAACCAGAAAACAAAGCCTGATTCTAAATAAGGTCATTTTAAATGGCAAATGAACAGATGCCAGTTTTAAGAGACTCCATCGTAGCCTTTCTCAGTGAGTGAGATTTTAACATTGTAACGTATCACCAAAAAGTAAAGTAATGCACTACAGACTCTTAAATTGTCACTATTTCCCTTAAACCCCCTCAAAACACAGACAAAAAATAATAATTTAGGAAATACGAGAAGTGTGGGCGAGGGGTCTGGGCATGTTACTTCTATCACAGATTTGGAGAGATGTTGGCCAATTGTCAACAGTCTGTTTCTGGGTCCTGTGGTCTAGAGTCCCCCAAGAGCAAGCCAGGGGTCTCCCTGAGCCAGCCCAGCCTCAGGTGTGTTTCCACCAGGTTCCAGGCCAGGCCAGTCTTCCTGGGCCAGTGTGGACCATGTACTTCCTGTGGTTAGCTGGGGTTCTCTAACTTTCCCATCTGAGTCCCCTGGGGAGCTGGTGAAAACTCCCTCAGGGTTTCTGATGCGATAGGTCTGGACTGGAGCCTGATAATTTGCATTTATAATTCCTTCTGCACCATATGCTGGTAGCCAGCTCTGGGATGGGTTGTGGAGCAAGCAGACCTAATTTACAGCATTTGCTGACTTCCATGCGGTATAAATACTCCCACCAAGCTACCAAGGGTTTCACATATTTAGTAAATATGTGAAATTACTGAATATGCTGCATATTTAGTAACTGGCTCTTGTGAGCTGGTGTGAGCTGGTGTGAACTGGCTGCAGAACATTGCTGCAGGTGAGACTGATACTGCTGATCTAAACGAGCTGTCTGGCTTTCTACCAAGAGTTTCATCCATTGGTGATCCTGCCCGCTTTAACTCTGTTTCTCCACCCCTGACTGTGTGTCTCAGCTCCATACTCATCTATCCAACTATCCTTTGGTCATTTCCACTTGGGAGACCTACAGGCTCCTCAAATTTAGCTGGTCCAAAGTTCAACTATTTTATTTTTCTCCCACCATAGCTTTTATCTTTCTAGATGTCTTATTTTGGTGAATTATACCACTATCCACTCAAGTTTCCTAAGAGAAACTCAAATCCTGTATCCCATAAATAGATCACCCATATGTGCCCCACCCTTTTCCATTCATCTCACATGTGTACAATCATTCCCCTACCTGCTTGGCCATCCACAATGTCACTCTCCTACTCAGAAGTATTCAGTGGGGCCCCATCATTCCCCATAGGATCAAACCTCAATTTGTCTCTATGGCCTAAGGATGATCTGATCTTCCCTGTCCAGCCCCACTTCCCCTTCCACAGGACACTTGAGCCTCCAGCAATAGTGGGCAGTATTGGATTTGTTGCTCTCCAAAGCACTTGCTCCTTTCTCACTTCTAGGGACCATTCCTCACGCTGCTCTCTCTCTCTCTCTCTGCCTGGAATCCCTTCGTCTGCCTACTCATCCTTTCAGGCTCAACTCAGAGGCTACTTTTTCTGCAACACCCTTCTGGCCTCCCTCAGAAGAACTTGCACTTTCCGTTTTCTGTTCCTATTGCACTGGTCACAGATCTGTTTTAGCAGTGATCTTGTTGGTAGTGTCTGGGTGCAAAGGGCTGCATTTTCACATGTCTGTTATCTCACATTGACTGCCTGGGACATTATAGATGTTCAGTCATGTTTGTTAAGTAGAAGAATGGCTGAGTGAATTGTGGGCCAAGTTTTACCCATCTTCAGTGCTTAGGCTGCAGAAGGTAGAACTGAAAAGGTGAAACCAGAGTTAAACGTGGCTCATTCTCCTCCCACTTTTTGGAAGATATTTTTGTCTCCAGAATCTTCAGACCCATGAAGTCCATTCTGATCTGTGTTCCAGCCTTTAAGATGGACCCAAATGTATTTGTTTCTAGGTGGCTCACAGGTCTGAGCTTCCTGGGAGACCTGCAGACTAGAAATGGTGCAGGACTGGTCTGGGACAGGTTGACCAGCTCTTCAAGACTGAGACAGTGGGGTGAGAAATGCCTACATCTGAACAATGAGAGTGGCAGCACTCTTTCTTTTGATTGGGCTTCCTTCCTGTGTTTTCTCAGAGCTTATAAATGAAGTTAGTATAGATGAATCCAAAGAACGGCAAGAATTTTCAGAGGGTGGATCGACAGAATAGATGGAAGAGCCCATTATCTGTATGAAGAGACTCAGGAAGTAAGGAGCTCCAAAAGCCACGAATAGATTCTAAACAGATATCCTGATTTCATCTTAAATGCTCTCTTGCTCATCTTTCCCTGATCCCCTCCAAATGTCTTCATTCCATCCGGTATTAGAATTACTTACAGCACTGGTAAGACCTCTGCTAATGACACCTATTCTTCTAGGCAGGATAGGTTCTTACTGATTTACACTAATGAGAGCAAAATACACACACACACACACCCACACACAATTACAAATTCAGATGTTAAAGCACCAAATACATCTATTTGGATGAACATAGTAAAGTTTTAATTATTTATGGTCACTTTTTGTTGCTCATGCTAATATATGCATTATTATGGTTAATATTTTTAACAATAATTTAACTTGCAAAGTGCTTTGGATGCATTTATTTAGTATGCTATAATTTCTGAACAATGTACTCTGCAAAAAGAGGTGACTATTTGCATGAATACATATTTTTTGGCCTAGCAACTTAGTAAATGAGGATTTTAAAAATATATATTTCTAATAATTTCTAATAATAAATAATCACTAGAATAGCTAGCATTTATTAATCATTTGTCATATTACACACATTGTGCTAAGAAGTGCTTTTTCATGGACTGTTTTTATTCAATGCCCATTTTACAGATGAGGAAACTAAAGCACAGAGTAACTAAGTAACTGCTCAAAGTCACGCCTTTAGTGATTCCCTGGGATGGCCCTTCCCTGGTTTAATAGTCGTAGAGCCATAGCAAGGAGACATTGCTGCTTGCTGAAGTTTCTCACCTTAATGTCAAAGCTAACTGGCAGTGAACGTGCTGAAGAAGCAGAAGGTAGTGAAAGTGTTCATGCCCTGGAATCTGGGGACTGAATGAAGTTCTCATCTTACTCTTTCGTGGCTGTTTGTCATTCTCTGAGCAAGTGAGTGAATGGTGGTAACATCTGCTCTGCCTGCTTTTTTTTTTTTCTTTTTTTGTCAAATGATCCTTTATTGAAATATTTTCCTTTGTGCTTAACTAGCTGGGCATTCTACAGCACCACTGTTGATGTCATCTATGATGTCATGAGGGTGGCGGCCATCAACATTACAGCCCACAGACTGGGCAGTCCCCAGGATCTCTTTAGTGGTTCCAGAGAGTTCTCTGGCTAAGGATTGGTGCCGCATCTGTCGAGCAATGTTGACGATCTCATCAAAAGTGATATTCCCACTGTGTTTAATGTTTTTCTGTTTCTTTCTGTCTCTTGGTGGTTCCTTGAGGGCTTTGATGATCATGGCAGAGGCAGAAGGCACCACCTCAATCTGGGCCTGTCTGTTCTGAATGGTTAGTTTCACTGTAATCCTCAGGCCCTTCCAGTCACCCATTGCCTTGGCAATGTCATCACCAACCTTTTTTGGAGACAGACCCAGGGGGCCGATCTTGGGGGCCAGGGCAGAAGTGGCACCGACTTCACCTCCGGTGCACCTCAGGTATACGACTTTGATCTCGTTCGGGTCGAACTTCGGCAGCATGGTGGAGGCAGCTGGTGTCGGATGAACCCGGATTCAGGACGACCGAAGAAAGTTGCACCTTGGCCTCCTCCGAGCCGAAAGCCGAGAGAGCTGCTCTGCCTGCTTCTATGGCCCCCCAGGGACTGGTATGCACATGTGCTGAGTTAATTGTATAAAAGTTATTTGCATGCTGGACCTGAGTGAGATCCTATTTCAGGAGCTTCATCTAGGCTCCCTCCCAATGGCCTTTCCCTTTCCTTCCTGTAAGAACAAGCCTACGGCAGAGAAGGAAGCTTCCCACGCAGTTTGCTACCACGCCTTATCAGCGGGAGGCCCCTGTGCCCTTGAGTGAACATGAGATAATTTTAGATGGAACATCTTTTTTGGGCTTAGGGGTTTATTTTAAGATTATTCAAAATACATGTACCTAGTACATCAAATTGTGATTTCATCATCCTTATTATTATTTAAGGTGTTAGGTATATTTGTTTTTAAATAATAGTATAGTATTCTGTGGGTAAGGCAAAAATTAACGCAGGCAGGTGTAGATTTATGGTGTATCTAGTGACACTCATGTCCTTCAAGGCCCTTCTTTTGCCCAGATCCCTCCCAGTCCTGTGGGCAGTTTGCATTAGTAATTTCATATCCTTTCTCCTAAAGGGGGCTTCCAGAATAGAATGAATCTAAGGCCCCCTGAGACCTGGATCCTCCCTGTGTGACATGGACTGTGTAACCATTGCAGGAACTTCTTAGAATCTCTAAAAGAGAGATTTTCCTGAGTTCTGGCTGGCAGGGACACAACAGGAGCTAAGGAGAAGGAAAATGGTCTAGAAGAGTTTTTGAAAAATGAACTGAAGACATTAGTTACAGAAACTCGGTTAGGTCCCGCCGATGATCATTTCCATGTGGAGAGGAGCATTCGAAGGCCACCCTCTTATATCACTGTTGGGATGCTGATCCACCCAGATCTCCTCCTCTAGCCATGGTGGGAGTTGAATGTGATGGCTCTCAGTGGCCCTCTTCTCCAAGGCCTGCTCGAGGCCACGAGAACCTCTTCACCCAGGACACACTCAGACATACTGACTGGCACCAAAGCATAACAGTCAGCATGGCCCGCCTTGTCACCAGTGGGATAACTGTGGGGTATGAGTCATGCTCTCAAGATCCCTGGGGATGAGACCAGGCTAGACTTTCCCTGCAACCACTGGCTTGATCTGCTCTTTCTCCTTTCCTACCTGCCTTCCTCACTTCCATACAAGACCCTCCCTATATGCCTTGTGCATCCCAATATGCCTTGTGTAGTTAATCTCTACTTCAGGCTCTGCCTCTAGGAAATCTGATCTAGGACTAAACCTTTCTTGACAGCCCTGCTACCTGGTTGATGTCCTAGGGTCACCCAGCGGTCTGAGGCCCTCTGCCTCCAGAGCAGTCCATGCCATGTGTGGGCAGCTCTGATCATTAGATAGGTCTTTCTTAGCTTGAGCCAGGCAGATGGAGCCTCGCTTTCAGAAGACAGCTCTCCTGCCCTACTCCTCTCCCCTTCCCAGTCCTCTCTTAAACTAAACTTTTCTAGGCCCTTCAGCTAGGCCTTTTGTGGCCAGGTTCCTGTTCTCTCACTTCCTGGGTTCTTTCCTTACCTCAATCCAGTGTTGCAAAATCCCACCATAGGTGCTCACTTAAGCTGAGCCCTTCATTCTCACTGAAGGTTGAGGACACTCAGAATAGGACTTCCACCAATACGGATACTGCCTTGGATAAGCCCAAATGCTCATCAGGGATTTGGGCAACTCTGTCACTGAGCTTCAAACAAAAGATGCTCTCACGTGTGTTTCTAGTAGGCTGCACCTTGCCTCAGTGCACCCTCAAGCGATGTTTTCTGTAACCCCACTCACAGGATTTTGCATTTATTTCTGCTACTCTCATTTGTGAGCCTGTTGTCTCAGCCAGTTGAGTTGTATTTTGTATCCTAATTATTTCATCTGGTCCTATCTTTCCAAAGCATGTTACAACAATGATTGTAGGTATAGCCCTGAAGATTTTTAGCTGGAACTCAGATTAGCATTTTGTGATAATTTTATTTCATTTTTCAATTCTTATGAATTCAGTTTATAGCATAAAAGTATGATTTATAGTCAATCTTTGTTGCTCATGCTAATATATGCATTATTATGGTTAATATTTTTAACAATAACTTGCAAAGTGCTTTGCATGCATTTATTTAGTATGCTGTTAATTTCTAAACAATGTACTCTGTAAAAGGAGGTGAGTGACTATTTGCATGAATACATTTTATCTTGACCTTAGTAAACCAGGATTTTAAAAAAATTCTAATAATAAATAATTATGAGAATAGCTAGCATTTATTAATCATTTATTATATTACACACATTGTGCTAAGAAGTGCTTTTTCATGAACTATTTCATTCAATACCCATTTTACAGATGAGGAAACTAAGGCACGGGTAACTAAGTAACTGCTCAAAGTCACACTCTTAGTGATTCCCTGGGGTGGCCCTTCCCTGTTTTCATAGTCATGGAGCCATAGCAAGGATGTAATTAGCACATCATATCCATTAGCTTCTTCTGCTATAGATTCAAGTTGAAAAGAGAGTAAATTTAAGGAAAATTCACAATCCTGTCTGATAGTTGGCAGCAAGCATTGGGAAGGCAGTACATGAATGACTGGTGTTTAGGAAACACTGATTTATAAGATTTGTCATTCTCTCTGCTTTAAGTCATCTATTAGCTTAACCTCTGTTCAATCCTTATCCTGGTTTAACTTCTTAGCAAACATCCTGCGCAGGACAGGCACGGAGGGAATCTTGGGGCCTACTCCTGTTTGGTGGCAATCCATCAACTGTGGCTCCTGTGTGCAGGCATTTAACTATTTTCTTGTCATCCTCTTAGGCACAAATTTTTTTCTTGCTAAAAAGGTGTCATTATTTGTCAACTCCCTATTTGAAATTCAGATCCATGCAACAGTTTTTTTCTAATTTTATTTTTGTTATTGTTGGTGGTGGTGGTGGTGGTTTTTCTATTCGTTTGGTTTTGGGTTTTTTTTTTTTTTTTTGAGACAGAGTTTCGCTCTTGTTGCCCAGGCTGGAGTACAGTGGTGCAATCTAAGCTTACTGCAACCTCCGCCTCCTGGGTTCAAGTGATTCTCCTGCCTCAGACTCCCGAGTAGCTGGGATTACAGGCATGTGCTACCATACCTAGCTAATTTTTGTATTTTTAGTAGAGATGGGGTCTCGCCATGTTGGCCAGACTGGTCTCCAACTCCTGACCTCAGGTGATCTGCCTGCCTCGGCCTCCCAAAGTGCTGGGATTACAGGCGTGAGCCACCACACCCCGCCTTTTTCTAATTTTCTAGTCTAATAGCCCTGCGAAGTACATAAGGAATATGGCTAAACTGACATAGCTTGTCTTGGGAAACCCAAACTGGACCCTGGGCTTGACCACGTTTTGGCTAAGATACACCATCTTGCAAAGAATTCCAAGAGCAATCATCTCTCAAATGGCCCTGGAGCCCACAGCTTCATAGCTGGAGAAGTCTACTGCCTTCTCTGTTTTTGAAGCCAAGGACCAACATTATCTACCAGCTTTGTCCAGCCCTCTTTAATTCTCCTGAGTGCTTGAAGGTGATCACAAATAATCTCACATGCATTTAACTTATAACCATAGTGTGGCAGTGAGTCCTCCAGATTGGAAAAGAAAATGCCTATAGAAGATCCAGGTACGCCCTTATGACCGCCAAATTGACTTCAGGATCCAGTCCCGCTTTTTAATGCTGGTCTCCTCTTCCTGTCTTACAGCCTTTAGGTGTTCAGCTGATGTAAATTAATTGCTCCCATTGTCAAGGACTTTAGTAGGTTTGCTTTTCTTTTTTTCTTTTTTTTTTTTTTTGCTGCTAGTCAACCACATTGTGTTCCAAAAGTACCTTTAAAAAGGTATTTTATGGTTTTATTTAGCTTTGTTTTATTTGTAAAATACCCTTCTCCTGGGCTGTAGGCTTCTAGGCATTATTCACACAGATCCAGCACACTGTTTGGGGTACACTTAAGCCTCTAGAGCCCTTACCCATATTTGCATGCTGCCCAGCTGTGAGTTCATTGCAAAGGTGCAGACTCACCTGCTTGTGATACCTCTCCCTCTTAGCTACTGACTTATTTGTGGTGTCAGAACCCCATTTTCAAGAACTTCCCATTCTGTTTGATGGGAACGAGGGCACTTTTTATAGACTCCAACTCACCTTTAAACTTTGTGAAATCTCTGTTTGTAAACCACAAAATTTATCAGCACAACTGAGTTTCCCATTCCTAGCTTTTGTGAACATAAGGATGACATAAGAATTTCCTCTTACAATGCCTCTCACTTCCACTTCCCCAATCAGTTCCTCCCCGTGAATCGGAAGTAAGTTGAGAATAGCAGCTCCACCCACAGCTTTCTGATCCTTCTGAGGGCTGAATCTGCCCACAAGTTAGGTCAAGTGTGTGTCAGAAATGGTTTTTATCACAGAGACACTATGAGAATATGTGCGGACAGCTGAGTCTGCCACCTGTCTTTCTGCCTGATTTCTGCAGCAGGAATGAATCACTCACTTCCTGCGTTGATGGTGGCTGTGGCATCCTGTCATCACAGTAGCCCTTTTATTCTATTCCTCCATTCATCTCCATTATCTTCTAATATGAAAACCATTATGTAGGTGCATAGATTTATTTGTCCTTGACTTAACAGAGACAGCTTAGTACTCTCCAAAAGAAAAGAAAAAATATGTTTCTTATGAATGGAACATGATAAAATATGCCATCTCTTGGTTGCATTCTAACCGAGTGTCCCATTCCCTGTGATCTTGCTGACTCCTAGGAAGTTCTGCAGAGCTGATCATTTCCTCCACCATCCTAGGTCCATTTTTGCTTGTTCTGCTCTGTATGATCATTGGGATGGTCCAACCGGCTACGTCGTCTGAGGCTCCCTTTGCTAACTGGCTTCCTGCTAGGCTTGGTTTGGCTCATGTGAAGCCCTGGTTGATAGGGTGGGTGGAAGGAAAGGAAAAGCCAGGGCATTTCACCACGTTTAATATACTAATGATTCAAATTTGTGCCTCAGCAAACATGCAGATTACCTGGGATCCTCAGCAGAGAATAATAGCTACCTCTGGAAATAGTAGGCTCATGAATGCTAAGAGGCTACTGAAATTGCCACCTATATGATGGGACGCTTTGGGTGAGAGGTTCATGGAGGTTCTGATTGATTGGGTTCTTGAAGAGTACATGAGCATTTTCCTGGCAGATCTACTCATGACAGACATCCCAGGAAGACAGAAGAGAAGATGAGCAGTTATGGAAACCCAAAGTTGTATGGCGTGCTTGCAAATTGGATTAACTTATTAATTTGTAGGACTTTGGGGGCATGATAGGAGATGAAGCCAAAAAAAGAAAAAAAAATGGATTGAATCCAGTATATGAAGGACCCTCTGTAATAACTATGCTTTCTCCCAGGGGTGAGTTCACAGGAGCAACAGAGAGCTCTAGAGTGAGGAGGGTGGGAAGAACAATTTTGTATATCATCTACGTTGTATACTGGGCTTCTATAGGCTGTTGTGTTTGATGAAAGTGTGCCGGCTTAAAAAGTTCAAAAATCCACTGTTGTGACTATAGGAAATGTATTGGTCAGGGTTTTTAGATGCATACTAGAGAATCGCCTCTAGCTGGTTTAGGCAGGGAGGGGTACTGAGGAACAGAGTTCCCAAAGTCAAGGGATGGATCAAGCAGTGGGGTTTAGGCTGGGCTTCCCAAGTGACTCCCAGAATGGCCCACCAGAATCAGCCCACCAAGGGGTTGGCCACTACGGAAGGGGTCAGGAAGCTGCTGAATTGGGAGACCCCCTCAGGGCTGCTGCTCAGAGCAACTCCAGCTCTGCCATGGCCCCTGACCACAAAATGATGCCCCTGACTCTGTCTCATTCCCTGCATCACTCAGTTCCCAACAAAGCCTTGTGGGAGCCCATCTGCGTGGTAGAATCTAAATCACGTAGCCATATCCCAGCAGCAAGGAGGCCAGAAAATGAGGTTTCTGTTGTCTTATTTTTGCATCGTATGTTGGAAAGACAGAAATTATCCTGAACGACACTATCAAAATACGGATTGTGATCAAAAGATTTGGGGGATACCCAAATGATAGCAGTCCACCTCAGGAAGACATATTTTCCAAAGGAAGGGAGAGTAGGATGAAATTTGCATTTTAAAATATCATTTTTATGAAACCATTTGTTTTTTAGCCAAGGCCAATCCTGATGACTGTGTGAGGTCATGAGACTGCTGGTTTCTCTAACTAGCTTCACATTTTTTTTTACCAAGTTCTCTAAAGCCAAGCTAGCTTTTCATTAACTTTTATGCCAGGCCTCAAATCTTCTTTTACTTACATGGCATGACCTTAGAATCCTTTCTTGGCCTCTCTTTCATGCTTCATTCTTGTGCAGTTTGGTGAAGACCCCCTGCACTCTCAGGTGTAGCATCTTCCTGCCACATGAGGGATACCTTAATAATATGACCATCAGCCACAAGCCTCAGCCCTTTCCAATGTCATGTCCCACAGTGCATAACATACCAGCAAATGTTTATCACAACCTACTCAAGGCCAGTCATTCAGTTTCCAGGACTCTCAATGAGGTTGGGCCGGAATTTCCTGTTGCTGTGGAATAAAGCATGAACAACTGCCACATGATGTGTTGCTAAAATGAATGCAGTATCATTAGCATGGTGGACACTGTGATGCACCACCAGATGCCCCTTAAGGAGGGACTTGTTGCCCGGCTGCTGGGAGTGCTGACCATGGGGAGTCTATAGCTGCCACCAGCCCCTGCAGGGGTACCTTGGCTGAAGGGGGCTGCCTAGGCAAGGGTCATGCCATGCCCAGGGATACCCACATCCAGCGATGACTGATGCTGGTGGGGGTACAATGGCATAGCCATCTCACCCCACCTCGGGACACCCCTATAAGGTTGACTCATCCTGAATCCTGAACCTCATCTCCATGTCCCCGTGTCCACTCCTGCTTCCTTCCCATTCCACAGGCACTGATCCCACGGGCGCTCCTTAATAAGTCTCTTGTACCCTAAACTCTGTCTCCAAGTCTGCTTCTGGGAGACCCCAACCCATGACCATCAGCCTCTTCTAGAAGTACACAGATGCCCCAGCATGCCACACTCCGGGTAGATACTCCACCCTCCCAGGGCACCCAATTCACCTTAGAAATGTGAAGCTGCCAACTGCTCTCAGCAAGGAGATGTCTGGTACTTGGTGCTTGGAAGTAGTTTCGTTCGTCTAAAAACGTAACATAAATTTTTACATTAACATTTTTTAACCTGAAAAAATTGAATTCTAGTTAGTGATATGTATGTTAGAAGTATTTAGTGGGAAGTACAGACATCCAAGTTTTTCTTTTAAATGCACCAAAAGTAAGATGGATTGAGGGATGCGTAGAGGGAGGTAGAGATGGAAAAATATGGATAAAACAAATATTGTAAAATGTCAGTGGTAAAATCTTGGTGGTGTGTATGTGAGTGTTCACTGAAAAATTATTTCAATTTCACTCTGTTTGAAACTTTTTATTTTAAAGTATTGGGAAAATAAATAGGTGTGACTGAATAGGAAGAGTAGACCGAGATTGTTTTATGAACTGATTTCAAAGATAAAGTTAAGCCCGTCAAGTACTTGAGATTATATCAGTGTAATTTCCCTGATACATTTGAACCCATCGTTTATTTAGCAAACATTCGTTGAGCAGGTACAATGAGCTTGGATATACAGTAAGTGTTCCAGGGAGGACAAAGAAATATAAGAGCTATATTCTGCAAGTTTATTGTAGTAGATACAATAAATACATATGGAAAGTTAAATAGTAATAGTTCATATCACCCTAGACATAGACTTTTAAAATACATGGATTCTCCTTCTTATAGGAGATAGCTACAAAGCAAAACACAAACAAAAACAAATGCATGTATTGGTTCTACCATACAGATAATGTTTCTAGCAATGAATAATAACAATTATAATAATAATGATAGCAGATCTTACACAGTGTTCGCCATGTACCTGGCAGTGTTCCAAGGGCTTCACCTATTTCAATGCATTTCATCCGTACACTGTGTGGTGGTGAGAATGTATCTGCAGATTTGCAACTAAAGGGGACGTGACTGGCCGAGGGCACCACCTGCTGTGCTCTCTAATCCATCACTAAATTTCTAAGCCAGTGGCTGAGCCCAGTGGGGATACTAAGGCAAGCACATTCCCAAGGACGCAGGCGGCCTCTGATAGTCATCGCTGGCTCTGTGACTCCCAGATGGCCTTGCCAACCTTTCTAAGCCAGCATGGTGATCTAGGATGCTGTCCCCAACCTTCCTTCCTCCCCACTCTCCTTTACAGAGACAAGACCTGTGTGGCATCCCGATGGCTCTCCCCACCTCCCTAGACTGCCTCCCTCTTGCTCCCCACTGTCCCTCCCAGGGCTAATTTTTGGAAATAGTAAAAAAGACTCACCCTCAAGCACGCCTTTCAAAGGCAAACCAACCACTCTGTAGCCCACATCCCAGCCACCTCTTTCATGTGCTCCCACCCTCCGGGCCATGACCCACCAGCCCTGATCACCCCGGGGCCAGGTACCAGACAACCAGGGACAGCCCCTTCCTTAGTCCCTCAGTGCCCCAGACTGGGTAACTTAGAAACAATAGGCATTTATTCTTAACAGTTCTGGAGTCTAGGAAGTCCAAGAAGAAGACACCAGCAGGTTCAGTGTCTGGTGAGGGCTGCTCTCTGCTTCCAGGTGTTGCTGCATCTTCTGGAGGGGACGAATGCTCTGTCCTCATGCAGCAGAAGGGACAGAAAGGGCCAACTCACCTCCTCAAGCCCTTTGGTAAGACCCTAATCTATTCATAAGGGCAGGTCCCTCATGGCCTTCTCCCCTCCTAAGGGCCC
Organism: Homo sapiens; assembly: GCF_000001405.40. Classification (NCBI taxonomy): domain Eukaryota; kingdom Metazoa; phylum Chordata; class Mammalia; order Primates; family Hominidae; genus Homo; species Homo sapiens. The sequence continues at coordinate 19,832,897 of NC_000020.11, forward strand.
CACCTCTTAACACTGTTGCACTGAGGATTAAGTTTTAACATGAATTTTGAAGGAGGCACAGACATTCAAACCACAGCAGCCCCTATGCTCCAGAGCCTAATGAAATTATTCAAACCACCCACTCCTAAGCCGGATTACCCTGCCCTACATGTTCCTCCCCACGGAAACCACAGTGAAAGCTCCCGCCCACAGTTTTCCCCTCACCTTCTGCCTCTAACAGACCTTGGTGCTTCCCTGTGTGGCCCCTGACAACGTGGCAAGCCCTCCTCTTGGGATCTGTGAGTAACAAACCGTCTTTTCAATGATAGTCATCTCCTGATATGCTGGTCTTGCCAAAACAAAATCATAATAAAACCTATATCTATATATAGATAGATAGATATAGGTTATATATATATATTTTAACTTTAAGTTCCAGGATGCACGTGCAGAACATGCAGGTTTGTTACGTAGGTATACGTGTGCCATGGTGGTTTGCTGAACGTATTGACTCATCCTTTATGTTTCCTCCCCTCACTCCCGACTCCCCAACAGGACCCGGTATGTGTTGTTCCCCTTCCCGTGTCCACATAAAACCTATATTTTTTAAAAGCCAGTTAAGTACAAATGTCCCTTGGTGTTCAGCTTTTCTGAGTTACTGTTTACAACGTGTTGAGCTCTTAAAATAGCAAGAATGCCAAGAATATTTTGCTCTCAATTACTTGGTTTTATGGTCTTACATGCACAAGGAAGAGAACAGAAGGTATCTCTATATGAGTAGTGAGTGTAGCAGTGCGCTTGGGGCCCCACCAGATCTTCAAGCCTGGGCTGGTGCCCCACCGTGTTAGGAGTGGTGGCTGCTAACTGGCCTCCCTCCCCAGGAGATTCTCCCCTATGAGATGCAAGGCAGCCCACAGCCCGTGGCTGACTAGCACAGGGGTGCAAAAGTGCAGTCCCCTCGCCCCAGTGCAGGACCAAATCTGTGTTCAAACCCCAGAGCTCCCTGCAGGCTTAGGCTGAGGTTGGCATCCTGCTGAGGTCCCATTCCCCTGCCCCCTCCTGCTTGTCCCCGTCCCCTTCTCCTGAGAGCTTTCCTCCACCACATCGCCTGCACAAGGATCCCCTGTGAGTGAGACCCCCAGTGGCCTGGTAACCCACAACTAAGCATCACATGAAATGTGGAGGGACCTTGTGCTGGGTGCAAGGTTTTCCCCTAGTGTGTGTAATGGTTATGGATCATTTAGTGACTCCTGCTAATCTCCTTAGTACAGACTGTCAGAGCCTAGTTAATGGATCAGCCCATAGGCAGCTCCCTAAATATTCCACCTATAAAGAACATGAAATAAACCACTGGCATGAGCAGCAGATTACCTACGAGCAAATTCACATCCCCTCATTCAGCTTTTTGCTTAAGTGGGAAGATGCAACTGGGACCCATTTTTGCCAAAGTGGAAGCTGCCTATGGGTGACAATAGCAGGGAGAAGGGATAGCCCATGTTTATGGGGCACTTGCTTGGTGCCAGGTACCCTGCTAAGCACAGGAAGGACAAATGGCCTAACCCAAATCGCACAGCTAGTAAGCAGCAGCATTCAGCCCCACAGCTGCAACCTCCCACCCAGTGCGACGCTCTGGTTCCCTGACAGGCTCCTCCTCCTGCCCTCCCACCCCCTTAAAAGTGGAGGAGCAAATCAAGAATACTGGTGTGAAGGGAGGCACCTCATGGCTGGCCCTGTTGGCTGTATTTAGTCTTCAGATTTCATAAATATGCAAACTAGGAAAATAGAATGATCTTCGGTCTTTTTAGTTTTTTCTTTTGTTTTTGTATTATTCTTATCTTTTGTGGTAACATGTAGACCTGACATCCCAATCTTCTGTCTTTTAAGTTGTATAATAAATAATGTTCATCATTCTCTTTAAAACTTGACTCTAGGCCAGGCACAGTGGCTCACACCTGCAATCCCAGCACTTTGAGAGACTGAGGCAAGAGAATCCAGGAGGTCAAGGCTGCAATAAGCCAAGAGCAAGCCACTGCGCTCCAGCCAGGGCAACAGAGCAGGACCCTGTGAAGAAAAGAGAGAGAGAGAGAGAGAGAAAGAAAGAAAGGAAGGAAAGAGAGAAAGAGAGAGAGAGAAAGAAAAAGAGAGAGAGAAAAAAGAGAAAGAGAAAGAAAAAGACAGAAAGAAAGAGAAAAAGAGAAAGAGAAAGAAAGAGAAAAAGAAAGAAGAAAGAAAGAAAGAGGGAGGAAGGAAGAAAGGAAGGAAGGGAGGGAGGAAGGAAGGAAGGAATGAAGGGAAGAAGGAAGGGAGGGATTTCCTAGACTAACTCCCACATTGCATCTATCATTTTCTTCATGTCTGCACTAGTAATTGTGTAAATTATAGCACATTGTTTTGTTTATATACATATACATATGTGGGTGTGTGGTGGTGGTGAATGTGTGTATCTATAGGTATGTGTGTGGAATGTATATAAATCTTCTTTATTGTTTGAAGTGCTCATGTGTAAATGTTTTTGCCTTCAACTTCATTAAAATTTTTTGAGGGCAGAATATTTTAAAGTCTTCAATAACAATCATTATATTACTTTAAACGAGATCAGATAAAAAAGGACATAAATAAAGTCTACTGAGTTATAAAAGGAGTAAACCGAATTTCACATCATTTACATGAGGCAATTAAAAGATCAGCATTTAAAAAGCTATACTCTAAGGTAAATAAATCAGTACCTGAAGGCAAATGGTAAGGAAATATTTAGTTAACAGAAAGAAGTCAGTTTATCTCAAAAGCCGTCTTCCCTGAAATTCGGGCCTGCATTGCTTTGCTTAAGTAACAGCAAATATGAATGGGAAGTTGAGTGGATGCTCAGAATTATTTAAATTTTTTCAAGCTTTTTTCAAGCACTCCGTTTAGTGAACCAGGCTGAGTAGGAAAATCTCTCCTCTCCATGAACTTGTTTAATTGCAGAAAAGCTACAGAAGGAAAGGTTCCTGGCCAGAAGGAGAGAGTGCATCTTGCTCCTCTAAGGATGACAGTCGATGAGGGAATCCAGGGTCCTTGCCTGTCACACATTCCTCTGAGCTCTGGGCACTGTGCTAGGACCGGGACTGGCTGCCTTTGTTCCTTTGGGGCATGGCCAGGCCATCTGGTATTCCGGGCTACCAGATAAGTCGCCCTGTTCTGCATCCCAGAGGGAGAGTTGAGCTCTGCACCAAGCACTTAGGGACAGAGCAGTGGTCTGAGCTCAGCCACTTTTGTTCCCACGACTGGTATCATCTGGTGACATCAGATGCTGCACAATCCATGTCGACTGCAGACCACTAGGCAAAATGGGTTACAGAATTAATGCACTGAGTGCTCCAGCGATTATAACACTGAACATAAGAGATCCCCATTTCTTCCAGGTAAATTCTTGTTTCAATTAACTAAAATTTGAGTGAATTCATAAGTGACTAGTTCCTCATGACGCCATCGCACCAAAACTAAATTAAAGGATTAATCCTCAATTTCCACATTAGTAACTTAAATATTAGAGCATGAAAAGATTTGTAATTCTCATTACAGATCACTGGCTCCTTCTTCAGAAAAATTGGACTAATTAGATCTAACTTAATTCCTCACAGTTATGTCCCTACTTTAATTGGAATTACATTAAATATTGATAGTAAATTAAAGAATATTTTCATGGATAGAATTTCTAATCTACCAATTAGGAGACCATGAGCTCTCTCTCTCTCTCTCTCCATTTATCTAAATCTTTCTTCATTTCTCCTATTAGGGTTATATAATTTTGAACGGCTCTTATGTTTATTGAATTATGTAATTCTCATCTATTTAATTTTTGTAGCTGTTATGATAGAGGAAGATAATGAGTTTCTGTTCCATTACTAACATTAAATAATGCTGTTGATTTTTACGTTTATAGGTAACATCCTATAATCTTGCTGAACTTAACTATTTTCTTAAATAAATTTTTGTTGATTTTTGCCAAATTCAAGGTATATAATCACATTATTATAAAAAGCAACAAAAATGCATCAGAGTCTTAGTGACAAGTATTAATTTTAGAGGAATGGGAAGATATTGAAAGAGCCTCATCCTGGCCACTGCGCCATTGTATTAACTACCATTTATTGTATATCATGTGCAGACACCTCCCCTAAAGCTTTATCTATATAATTTCCATACAACACTGCTGTAAGATGGGTACTGTAATGATCCCCATTTTGCAGATATGTGTGGAAACTAAGCCTCAGAGAGATTAAGTAACACTGAACATCACACACCGCCCCCCCCAACACACACACACACACACACACACACACACACACACACACACAGAGTGAATTACACAGCTTGGGTTTTAACCCAGCTCAGTGTGAGCCCAGAATCTGTTCATGTAATAGCAGCAAAAAGGAAATAATATACTTGAGAATTAACTCAATACACATGAACTATTCAAAGAAAATTAAAATACCTCCAGGGAAAATAAAGGCTCTGAGAAATCCACAGGGAAGCATTATCTCTTTCTTAATCTTCACTAATTTCACAAATGAGAAATAGTCTCTTGTTGTCAGTTTAATTTGCGTTTTTGTTACTAGGAAGTTTCAACATTTTCAAATTAATCACATGTCTTTTCTATCCTGTGTTTTTTCTATTCAAAATTTCTAATTTCACCATTGGGATACTAGAGTTTTTATTGCTGTATTTAAATTCATTATAAGTTAAGTATATTATCTTTTATAAATTCTTAGCAAATGATAAGCCAAGCTTTTGCTTTGCTTTTTAATTGTTTATTATATATGCTGATATACAGATAACTATTTTTAATATAATTAAATTTGTCAACCTTTTTCTCCTTGATTCTTTCTTTTTTCTCTTTCTTTTTTCTTTCCTTTCTTCCTTTCCCTCTCTTTTTCTTTCTCCATCCTTCTTTCCTTTCTTTCTTCCCCTCCCCTGTCTCCTTTCCTTTCCTTTCTTGTGGGAGTGAATGTTGAGAATTATCTTCTCAATCCAGAGATAAGACAGACATACGCCTATATTTTCATCTGGTTTCACTATTTATTGACTTAACTATAATATATCTGAAACATATTTTGAGTGGAGGGGACAAGAAAAAGAAAGTAATTTATTCAGCTGGCTAAAACAGTCACTTCACAAAAATCAGAGGGTTTTTTAATTAAAAAATTATCCTCAGATTTTAGTTAAAAAACAAAAACATATCTTCTCTCATTGGAAGGCTATTTCCATCTTCTTTTAACATGAAGTAACTTTTGCTAGTTACATTCTGACTTCTTTTTAAACAGATTCTGCAATAAGTAAGTCTAAGATCAGTCATACTACATTGCATAGGATATTGTGAACTAAGCTTGCATTTGTTTTGTGTCTTGAGGAAGAGAGATATGGCCTGGTTAATTAATTAATTTACCCAATCAAGTTTAAGAGTGATGTTAATTTTAATAAGACTGTTACTTTTTGTACTTTCTAAAAATTAAAGTATGATCTACGTACTATAAGGTTCATACATATTCAAGGTTCATCCATGTTGTAACCCATATCAGTAATTCAGTCCTTTTTATAACTACATATATATTTCATTGTATGGACATACCCTATTCTGTTTGTCCATTCATTAATTTATAGACATTTGGATTGGGTCCACTTTTTGGCTATTATGAATAATGCTGTGTGACCCTGGGAGGATCGTGTGTGGCTGTAGCCACTCCCTTTATCACTGGGATTCATGCTGGGGGCTGGAGCTGGCTGCTTCCAGTCAGGTCTCTTTCCCGCATGGCTACAGGAAATCATACTCCCAACTGTGGTGAAATCTAAACCAATGGCCTGGATGAGTCTTTTGCAGACAGGTTTGGCACTGTTTGGATAGCTTGGCAAGTCTCTGCACACCTGCACTCCGGCGTCTATTTCTCTAGTGTGGGAAGTAACTCTGGGTGCAGGGCTGGTGCTGAGGGTACCACCGCCTCCCCACACACTGGGGTCCCCGAGACTTCACCCGAGCCTCCTCTCCAGCCCCCAAACCTCCACCCAGTGGCCTGACAACACCAGCTTGTCAGCCTGGATGGCCCGGGAGGCCTCTAGGATCATTTTAAATCCATCCATGAGTGGACCAACCTGATGATTGGGAACAGGATTCCAGCAGGACTGTTGGGTGAGATTGTTTCTGCAGTGGGAGGAGCACAAATCAGAGTCTGCGCAGCCCCAGTGCTCAGCGCCTCATGGATGTTCCCTGGCATCTGTTACGATCCCCCTGTCAGCTTTAACCTTTGCCTGACAACCATGTGGTTTCTAAGGGAGGAACAAAACCGGTGAGAAAAGCTACTGTGCACAAAGTCCCTTTTGTTGGTACGCAATTGCATAAATACTTGAGAAGGAAAATGAATAAAGGCCAGGATGGGACCTCCCTCCTCATGGCAGTGAGAATAACTTGCCCTTGGGCATGCCCTGGAACCTGCCTACAGCTTTCATGGGCTAGATCCGCCGTATCATACCAGCCACAGTGTGGCGACTGAGCAGGACCTGCTGCCCACATTTTGCAGATGAAGACATGGAAACTCGATGAGGTTCCATAACCCAGCCAAAGTCACAAAACCACCTAAGTGATGGAGTTCACCATGTCTCTGGGTCCCTGGCTTAATGCTTTTCTCTACCAGGGGCTATTTACCCACTCAGAGTCTGTTCTGTCTTAAGAGAATTGCTTGGCTAGAGAAGATCCTTTCCTTCCTTCTCTCTACCACCTCCCCCTGGAGGATCTAGTTCCACCCTTACCTCTGGTTTCTCTCCTGGGCCTTTCTTCTTGCACCTTTGCAACCCTGTACCCCTTCCCTCTCCACTTTTCTTTGTGCAATATGGCTAGCAAGGTCCTCCCCTTTCCCACTCACCCTCTGAATGAATCCTATCTAAAACACTTGGCTTCAAATCCAATGGGACATTTGAAATGTACAGTACTGACATGTTTAAAGTGAGAGTAAGCAGTATCTTTAAATCAAAAGTGCTTCTGTAAATGCAAAATTGAAACCCGCCTTTCCTGCAGCAGTAAAGCCTTAGAACTGCAAAGAATTTGAAAGAGTAGCTATTTATAAAAAATATGTTAATACATGTATTTGAGGACAATTGCCTAAAATTAATATACCAAATGATAACAGTGGTTACTTCGAGGTGGCAAGATTATCAATGTTTTTGATATTCTTCTTCCAGCTTTATTGTATTCCCTACAATGAGTAGTTATTATTTCTATAATCAAGGAAAAAGCTGAACACTTTTAGTTTTAGCCAACTCCAACCTCAAATTTCACAAACAGAGAAACAGAAACTTGGAGAGAACATTCCTGGTCACACAAAGGTTTGCCAGTGGAAGTGGGTGAGTCTGGGTCTCAGGGTTTCCTTCCCCACTCCTTTTCCCTGGTGCCACACCTTGGTAAGACAGTGGCCACGCTCAGCACTGCATACTTGGGCAGCAGTTTGCGGTTGGTTGGTTGTCTATCCTTACAAGGTGCCTGATTTTCACCAGCGTGACCGTGAGCAGGCAACTTGGGGAAACACAAGTTAAAAGAAAGAGTTGTTCTTATGTTCTTTTTTAAAGCGCAAACACACATTGTCATTTCCTTTCCATAGAGAGCCCTTCCCCACAGTTTATAGGAATGCCTTATCATTGTTGACATAGCCTGTTCATGGGCTTCTGTCAAGGGTAAGTCCCCATGCCCCTTAGCCAACCAGAAACCACTTCTGTTAATTGAGGAATTGTCTTTACATGCCCTTACGTTCAGTCACGCCTTGAAGTGCTGGGAGAACATCTTCATCCAGGATGGGCAGTGAGAGACAAAGCCTTGAATCCACACAGTTCCATTTCCTGGGGACCCGTAGAGCATTTTTCATGCATGTTCCACAAGCTCCTTTCATGGGCACCTCATTATGCTCAGAGTTATCCAGAGCAATTGATGAACAAATGTCTTTTCTTTCTAGGAACTCACAGATTTCAAATCTTGAAAACTGGTTAAGAGAGTTTGTTGTTGAGAGATGAGACATAACCCACATGTAAGAACGTTTCCATCATCTCCAGTGTGGACTTTTGTCTCACTTTTCTCTTTTTTCTTCGGCCTCTCTTATTCTCCAAAAGTTATCTGTTCTTTAGGGAACATTTGATCCTATGGGTCATTTTCAATCCCTCGTTAACTACCCGGCAAGGACTTTATTTTCTTTTAGAGATAGGGTCTCACTATGTTGCCAAGAGTGAGAGTGAGAGTGGCTATTCACAGATGTGAACATAGCACATTGCAGCCTCAAACTCTTGGCCTCAAGTGTTCCTTCCACCCCAGCCTCCCAAGGACAGTAAAATCCTTTTGAAAAAATCCTTAGCCGAGTGAGGTGGCTACAGGCGTGAGCCACCACACTCGGTGAAGGGTTTTTTCAAAAGGACTTTACTGTGATTTTTTTGGCAGTGCTGGCTTGAACATGAATTGGCTTTTGTTCTTTCAGTTCTATTGAAGTGAATTAAATCTATAACCTCACCTGGAGTTGGGAGTAACAAACGCAGCCCCATAGATTTTGCCAGCTTATGGAATTAAAAAGGCCACCATTGAAATGACGATCTGAACCATAAAGGCAGAGTCTCCTCTTTCCCTGCTATAAAGTGTTCATGTTTATTTGGGGGATGATCCAGGCATCCACACTGTAAAGGGGCTTATCATGTGACAAAAGTGACCTTTTCAAACACTGAAACCTGTGAGAGCATCCCACAGCTGAAAATCAGGGAAGGGAACTGGGACCAATGAGAAAAAGCATTTAAGGATGCACAGGGCTAGGCTGGCTTGCAGGCAGAACTGCCCTTGTACCTACTCTGTGCAGGTCCTGCTGGGGAGCTTTGTCAATATGAAGGCTAAGTCACATGAGGAAGCTGCAGAAGAAAAGTTTGAAGCTAACAAAGTTAGTTCATGAGATTTAAGAAAAGAGGCCATCTGCAGGTGCCAGTGGAGAATCTGCAGCAAGCTGTCCAGAAGATCTAGCCAAGATAATTGATAATTGCAACTCACTACACTAAACAACAGATTTTCATTGTAGATGAAACAGCCTTTTGTTGGAAGAAGATGTCATCTACAGCTCTTATAGCTAGAGAGAAGTCAATGCTTGGCTTCAAAACATCAAAGAACAGGCTGACTCTTGTTAGGGGCTAATGCAGTTGGCAACCTTAAGTTGAAGCCAATATTCATTTATCATTCCCCAAATCCTAGAGCCCTTCATAATTAGGCTAAATCTACTCTGCCTGTGCTCTACAATTGGAACTGTAAAGCCTGTATGACAGCACATCTGCTTTTTTGTTTCTTTGTTTTTTTTGTTTGTTTGTTTGTTTGTTTGTTTGAGACAGAGTCTTGTTCTGTTGCCCAGGCTGGAGTGTAGTGGTGCGATCTTGGCTCACTGCAACCTCTGCCTCCTGAGTTAAAGCAATTCTCCTGCCTCAGCACCCCCTAGTAGCTGGGATTACAGGCACTCACCACCATCCCTGGCTTTTTTTTTTTTTTTTTTTTTTTTTTGTATTTTTAGTAGAGATGGGGTTTCGCCATGTTGGCCAGGCTGGTCTCGAACTCTGGACCTCAGGTGATCCACCTGCCTCGGCCTCCCAAAGTGCTGGGATTACAGGCGTAAGCCACTGCACCCAGCCACACATCTGTTTACAGGATGGTTTACTGAATATTTTAATCCCACTGTTGAGACCTACTGCTTAGAAAAAAATACATTTCTTTAAAAATATTACTGTTTATTGACAATGCATCTGGCCACCCAAGAGTTCTAACTGAGATGTAAGAAGAGATTCGTGTTGTTTTCAGGCCTGCTAACACAGCATCCATTCTGCAGCCCATGGATCAAGAAGTAATTTCAACTTTCAAGTCTTATTATTTAAGAACTACATTTTGTAAGGCTATAGCTGCCATAGGTAGTGATTCCTCTGATGGATCTGAGCAAAATACATTGAAAAATCTTCTGAAAAGAATTCAGCATTCTAGATGTCACAAAGAACATTCATGATTCACAGGAGGAGGTCAAAATATCAGTATAAATTGGAGTTTGGAAGAAGTTGATGCCAACTCTCATGAATGATTTTGAGGGACTCAAGACTTCTGTGGAGGAATCTGCTGCAGATGTGGTAGAAGCAGCAAGAGAATAGAATTAGAAATGGAACCTGAAGATGTCGTTGAATTACTGCAATCCCATGATAAAATTCAAATGAATGAGGAGTTGCTTCGTGCAAATGAGCAAAGAAAATCGTTTATTGAGATGGAATTGCTCCTGGTGAAGATACTGTGAACAGTGTTAAAATGACAACTAAAGATTTAGAATATTTTATAAACTTAGTTGATAAAGTAGTGGCAGGATTTGAGAAGATTACTCCAATTTTGAAACAAGTTCTACTGTGGGTAAAATGCTATCAAACAACATCACATGCTACAGAGAAATCTTTGATGAAAAAAAGTCAATCAATGTGACAAACATCATTGTTGTCTTATTTCAATAAATTGCCACAGCAACACCAACTTTCAGCAACCACCACTCTGATCAGCCAGCAGCCATCAACATCAAGGCAAAACTCTCCACCAGCAAAAAATGACAACTTGCTGAAGGCCCAGATGATCGTTAGTATTTTTCGGAGATAAAGTATTTTTACATACACAAATTGTTATTAGGTACTTAATAGACTATAGTAGAGTCTAAACATAACTTCTACATGCACTGGAAAACCAAAAACTTTGCATGACTCCCTTTATTGCAATATTCACTTTATTGTGATATCTGCTTTATTGTGGTGGTCTGGAACCAAACCAACAGTAACTCCAAGAGGTGCCTGGACTACCACAATCCACCAGCATGCGCGAATATCAACTGACAAGCAATATTGAAAAATATAGTCACTTTTCTTTAATTTCTTTTGAAAAGAACTAATCATATTAGAAGTAAAAAGTTATTCTGAAAAAAAATAACCTTTAGTCCTCAAAATGATTTCAAATAGAAACTACTGACTTTATAAAGAATACATTTTATCCTTCTATAAAACATGCAATTCTTTGACTCATTAACTATTCATAACTTTTAAAAACAACATGATTTGGGCAAATTAACAATCTTTAGAGTACAAATACCTTCAGTGGGGAAGAATAAATCTTTAATTTCAATATGATGGTAAATCATATTGAAATCCTCCAGTATGTCAAATTCCAATGCCAAAATAAGGGAGAGTAGCTCTAGAAATGATGTTGGTGGAGTGTTTTTCCAGTTTGGCTGGCAAGATTGGAAACAGTTTGTAATTTCAAGCCTGTGCTGTTGGGAGTTCCCTCATTAAACACTTCATTACCTCAGATATGTGAGGGATAAAAAAACATCACTTGCCTTTGAATCTGGGACCAACTATTCTACTAAGATATAAGCTAAAGGCTCAAAGCCCCTTAAGGTTAAACTGAAACCACTCGAATATAAACATGATAAATAATGGTGTTTAATTTTGCTACAATTTTTCCTATTGCCAATAGCATGCAACCATATTGCTTTCAACATTAGCCTATTGTAACTCAGAAAAGTCTTATTGTCCCAAAGGAATGACTACTGCAGGGGACACAAGCTCAAAAACTAGGTAGTCAAGCAAATGGGTGCATGGCTGGTGTGTGACAGGTGGGAATGGTGGAGAACATGGCCAACTAGAGAGCTGCTGCTGCTGCTGCTGCTTCTTCCTCTTCTTCTTCTTCTTCTTCTTCTTCTTCTTCTTCTTCTTCTTCTTCTTCTTCTTCTTCTTCTTCTTCCTTCTTCTTCTTCTTCCTCTTCCTCTTCCTCTTCTTCTTCTTCTTCTTCTTCTTCTTCTTCTTCTTCTTCTTCTTTTAATTATACTTTAAGTTCTGGGATACATGTACAGGACATGCAGGTTTGTTACATAGGTATACACGTGCCATGATGGTTTGCTGCACCAATCAACCTGTCATCTACATTAGGTATTTCTGCTAATGCTATTCCTCCACAGTCCCCCACCCCCCAACAGGCCCCAGTGTGTGATGTTCCCCTCCCTGTGTCCATGTGTTCTTGTTGTTCAACTCCCACTTATGAGTGAGAACATCTGGTGCTTGGTTTTCTGTTCCTGTGTTAGTTTGCTGAGAATGATGGTTTCCAGCTTCATCCATGTCCCTGCAAAGGACATGACCTCATCCTTTTTTATGGCTGCATAGTATTCCATGGCATATATGTGCCACATTTTCTTTATCCAGTCTATCATTGATGGGCATTTGGGCTGGTTCCAAGTCTTTGCTATTGTGAATAGTGCTGCAATAAACATACATGTGCATGTGTCTTTATAGTAGAATGAGTTATAATCCTTTGGGTATATACCCAGTAATGGGATTGCTGGGTCAAATAGTATTTCTAGTTCTAGATCCTTGAGGAATTGCCACATTGTCTTCCACGATGGTTGAACTAATTTACACTCCCACCAACAGTGTAAAAGCTTTCCTATTTCTCCACATCCTCTCCAGCATCTGTTGTTTCCTGACTTTTTAATGATCACCATTCTAACTGGTGTGAGATGGTATCTCATTGTGGTTTTGATTTGCATCTCTCTTATGACCAGTGATGATGAGCTTTTTTTTCATATGTTTGTTGGCCACATAAATGTCTTCTTTTGAGAAGTGTCTGTTCATACCCTTCACCTACTTTTTGATTTTTTTTTTTTTTGTAAATTTGTTTAAGTTCCTTGTAGATTCTGGATATTAGCCCTTTGTCAGATGGATAGATTGCAAAAATTTTCTCCCATTCTATAGGTTGCCTGTTCACTCTGATGATAGTTTCTTTTGCTGTGCAGAAGCTCTTTAGTTTAATTAGATCCCATTTGTCTATTTTGGCTTTTGTTGCCATTGCTTTTGGTGTTTTAGTCATGAAGTCTTTGCCCATGCCTATGTCCTGAATTGTATTGCCTAGGTTTTATTCTAATGTTTTCATGGTTTTAGGTCTTATGTTTAAGTCTTTAATTCATCTTGAGTTAATTTCTGTATAAGGTTTATGAAAGGGGTCCAGTTTCAGTTTTCTGCATATGGCTAGCCAGTTTTCCCAACATCATTTATTAAATAGGGAATCCTTTCCCCATTGCTTGTTTTTGTCAGGTTTGTCAAAGATCAGATGGTTGTAGATGTGTGGCGTTACTTCTGAGGGCTCTGTTCTGTTCCATTGGTCTATCTACCTGTTTTGGTACCATTACTGTGCTGTTTTGGTTACTGTAGCCTTGTAGTATAGTTTGAAGTCAGGTAGTGTGATGCCTCCAGCTTTGTTCTTTTTGCTTAGGATTGTCTTGGCTATACGGGCTCTTTTTTGGTTCCATATGAAATTTAAAGTAGTTCTTTCTAATTGTGTGAAGAAAGTCAATGGTAGCTTGATGGGGATAACATTAAATCTATAAATTACTTTGGGTAGTATGGCCATTTTCACGATATTGATTCTTCCTATCCATGAGCATGGAATGTTTTTCCATTTGTTTGTGTCCCCCTCTTATTTCCTTGAGTAGTGGTTTGTAGTTCTTGAAGAAGTCCTTCACATCCCTTGTAAGTTGGATTCCTAGGTATTTTATTCTCTTTATAGCAATTGTGAATGGGAGTTCACTCATGATTTGGCTCTCTATTATTGGTGTATAGGAATGTGTGTGATTTTTGCACATTGGTTTTGTATCTTGAGACTTTGCTGAAGTTGCTGATCAGCTTAAGGAGATTTTGGGCTGAGACGGTGGGGTTTTCTAAATATACAATCATGTCATCTGCAAACACAGACTATTTGATTTCCTCTCTTCCTATTTGAATATGCTTTATTTCTTTCTCTTGCCTGATTGGCCCAGCCAGAACTTCCAATACTATGTTGAACAGGAGTGGTGAGAGAGGACATCCTTGTCTTGTGCCGGTTTTCAAAGGGAATGCTTCCAGTTTTTGCCCATTCAGTATGATATTGGCTGTGGGTTTGTCATGAATAGAGATAGCACCTTCTTCTATGGGCAGGGGCACCAGTTACTCCATCCAGCCTACCATAATTACCTGAGAATACAGGACCTGTGCTCACAGACCTTTTGATTTTTCAAAAGACAACAGAAATCCAGATTTGTAAGTAGTATCTCTTAATTTTTGAACATTAGCAACTATTCCATTTTTCTTTTGTTTATCTCTTTTTGTAATATTGGGCAGACCAAAATTAAATTACTGTTTTGCCCTGCAGTCAACATTGTTTTGTCACTGAATAGGATAATGGCACAGCTGAGTTGCTGAAGATCCTCTTGAGGGATGCTCATTGATTCCTTTTTTGCTTTTTATCCTTCATCTGAAGCATTTAGCATTTGTTTGCAGTTTTCATGTAATTTTTCCCTTAGTGAAAGTCCAAAGGGTTTTGATGCTCATCAGCTCACTCTACCCTTGCTCATAAAACTGTCAGTTTAGGCCACAGTTCCTTACTCTTCATCCCTGAGATATGTTACTACTAAGTGTTGTAGGATTTCTCAGGGTGGTTTTGAAAATTCACATTTTAAAGAATCAGGAAAGCTTATGCATAAACGTGCATGCAGTTAAAAGGGAGGTGCCTAGACTGGCAGTGGGCTCAACAAGAGGGTAGAGGTGCTGCCACTTCAGCTTCCGGAGACCCAGAGGGGGTTCTAGAAGTGTGGCACCCAGCACAGTAGTCCCAGAATACATGGCACTGTCCAGCACTTGACGTGTGGCTTGTGTGAACTGAGATGTGCAATCAGTGTAAAATACATACCAGATTTAGAAACATAATGAAAAAGAGATAAAATATCTCATTTTTGAAATTGGTTACATATTTAAGTGGCATTTTAGATATATTGGGAAATTAAATAGTATTAAAATTAATTTTACCTGTCTAATCTTACTTTTTAATCTGGTTACTAGAAAATTTAACATTATGACTGTGAGTCGCATTATATTCTACTGATCAGTTCTGCTCTAGAACAGGGAGGGGCCCATAAACTTTTTTCTGTAGAGATCCACAGAGTAACTTTTTTAAGCTCCACAGGCCATATGGTCCTTGTTGCAAACATTCACTCCACCATTCCAGTACAAAAGCAACCATGGATGAGATGTAAATGAATGAGCAGGGCTGTGTTCCAATAAAACTTTATTTGCTAAAATAGGCAGGGGCCAGATTTGCTGACTCCTGCTTGATGAGAAAATAAAAGCAAGGGGGAGGGAGGGGACATTGAGGTGTTGGTGGCATTCTGTTTCTTGATCTTAATGCTAGTTAAGTGGTGTACTTTTTGAAAATCCATCGAGCTACAGTTATATGATATGTGTACTTTTCATGTACACATTATACTTCAATAAAAAGTTGACTTAAAAAGAGCAGGGTCTCGGCCAGACAAGGTGGCTCATGCCTGTAATCCCAGCACTTTGGGAGGCTGAGGTGGGTGGATCATGAGGTCAGGAGATCGAGACCATCCTGGCCAACATGGTGAAACCCCGTCTTTACTAAAAACACACAAAAAATTAGCTGGGCGTGGTGGTGTGTGCCTGTAATCCCAGCTACTTGGGAGGCTGAGGCAGGAGAATCACTTGAACCAGGGAGTCGGAGGTTGCAGTGAGCTGAGATCACACCACAGCACTTCAGCCTGGTGACAGAGCAAGACTCCATCTCAAAAAAAAAAAAAAAAAAAAAAGAGTGGGGTCTCTTCTGGAAGATCTGACTAAAAGAAAAAAAGCCGGAGATGTACATCTGCTCTTATTAATCAGTAACAATCCTCTTCCCGGTTTAAGAATGAAACAGTTTTTTTTTCACAGTACATAGCAGTTATTTATTTAAATACTTGAAAAGGTTGATGATGGAAAAAATAGGTTTATCGTGAGTTTATATCCATTCGATTTATTTTATCATTTAAAAAACTACTGCCTCTAGGTTATTCTAGCCTGACATAGAACACTTTTGACACCTGCAGTTACTGTAATATACTATAATAGACACAGCCATTATAGAATGATTTCCACTTGGGAGGAAATTCAACAGTAGTAAGGATGACTCTTTATTTAAACTAAAATCATTTTTCTAATTCTCTACCATCAGTCGGCCATTTAGTTGTCCAAACTCATCTGGCTTTCCTCAGGTCTCTGTACATCCATTCCGTACAATGGTCACTACCTTTGTGAGAATTGCACTGGGACAAAATTCAAGCTATTGGCCATTTGGGGAGTAGTAAGGGGATAGAATTCACTGGATATCAAAAGCCTAAACTGTATTAAAGTTGTGTAGACTTAAACCACCAGATTTTGCAAATTAAAAAAAAAAAATTCTGGTTCCCTGTGAGCTCATCCTGTGCAGAATGAATATGCAGGTTTTACTATTTTGCCATCTGAATATAGACAGACAGAAAAGTATGACTTTTCCTTCTAGACCTCGATACTGACCAACTATCAAGACACTTGCTCAGGCCTGCTCAGACAGAAATGAGAAAGCGTGGAAACCGGGGCCGAGGTTAGAGAACAGGACAGCCATGGACACAGGCTCCCAAGGTCAGGGCATGGAAGTGCCAGACCCAGCAGGGTCCTGGTAGCTGCGAGAGCATCGTTCTACCCCGACTCTGCTCCTGCTCAGCAGCAAAGTTGCAGAGAGAGAGAGCTTCCAGAAGTGGAAAGATTTTTAAATAAGTCTTTTAACTTTTTGCCTGTGGATACAGCTGCGTTGACACAAAGCCACATTTGAGGCATGATGTCTCGGAAGCCTGGCACCACGGACTGTTTTTCTACTGGGACCCATAATTGCTGCCTTTTAAGAGGTGTCCTGTGTTCAGTTTTATCAATGTGGTGCTTGAACCGGACTTTCAGCTGACTCCCAAAAGGAAATAGTTTTAAAAGGAAGAATTTTAAGTCTGCCAAGAGCCAGATAATGGCATAGCACAGAGAAAAGCCAGGGTTTTGTGGTTTGTATATTAAAATACAAGTCTCTTAATGCCTCAAAACAGCAGCCTCCAGAAAATGGGAAGTTTAATAGATGAGGCTAGAGAAAGCAGTTTTAAAGATCGAAATTTTCCCTCTTTGTTCCTTGTGATTTACCCGAAAGGAACAAGTTCCTTTCTCCTGAACCTCCTCCTATGTCTATTTTTGGTTTTATACAAGTGACTGTTCTCATTAAAGTAAATCTCAAAGTGCTCTGAAAATGTCCATGCTGGGCTGCCGGCCTCACGCCTGAGGAGCTTTTGGCCTGGACACTCTGCAAAAATGTGTCCTGAGGACAAAGGCCATTAACATTTGGTTAATCTAACATCATAAATTACTTTTCCCATAAATTACTATTAACAGACCTCCCTCCATACTTTTTCTGAGTGCTGTCTTGCCGTTTTTAACCTCCCTTACATTTCCACCCTTTTGCCCAACACAGAATCACATGAGAGCCCCTGGAGGACACGGGGGAGGGGTGGGTTCAGCTGTTGTCCTAGCACAGTCTGCAGCTCCTCCGTGCAGGCTGTTGTTTTCCCTGACAGTAATCATCTGTCAGGAGAAATGTTACGTATCCCATCATCAGTGTGGACTCTGGCTGGACTCTAGACAATGCACAGAACCATCAGCCATGGTCCTCACAAACCACTTGGCCACTATTGTCTTCTTACCTTCTGTTTGTAGCAGTCACTGCAATAGGTTGGGCCAGGGGACAGCAGAGGAGGTTTGGGGATGCCTGAATTCAACTGGAATGCCACCTACACTTGTATTATCCAACACATGCCCCTGGTGCAGTGTATTTGGTTTTAAAACCAGTTTTAAACGGATGCACATTGTGGTTAGAAATGGCAGACCAGGCTGGGTGCAGTGGCTCATGCCTGTAATCCCAGCACTTTGGAAGGCCGAGGCTGGTGGATCATTTGGGGTCAGGAGTTCAAGACCAGCCTGACCAACATGGTGAAAACCTGTCTCCTAAAAATACAAACAAAAACCAAAAATTAGCCTGGCATGTTGGCACATGCCTGTAATCTCAGCTACTCAGGAGGCTGAGGCAGGAGAATTGCTTGAACCTGGGATGCAGAAATTGCAGTAAGCCAAGATCGTGCCACTGCACTCCAGCCTGGGCAACAAAAGCAAGACTCTGTCAAAAAAAGAAAGGGAGAAAAGGAAGGAAGGAAGGAAGGAAGGAAGGAAGGAAGGAAGGAAGGAAGGAAGGAAGGAAGGAGAAAGAAAGGAAGGAAGGAAGGAAGGAAGGAAGGTAGGAAGGAAGGAAAGAGAAGAGAAGAGAAAGAAAAAGGGCGAATTTGCCTAACCTGCAGTCTGACACTGATCTCTAGGCATGCTGGGTGCTGGGAACTGGGGTGATGGAGGGGGTCAGTGGCAAAGAGAAAACCTTGGGGCAGGTGAGATGATGCTGGGGAAGGGACCCCAGTGGTGTGGATGTGACACTAGGCCATAGAGGACTCAATCAATAAGAAAGGAAGGATTTGCAGTGTCAGGGGTTCCAGACACAGGTGAATCTTGAAGCCAGGTACAGATGAAGGAGATTGGGAAAAGTTTCCAGCCACTGGGTAGGCCAACCCAGGTGCCAGGGACAAAGAACCTTGGTCTTGGGGCTGGGCATGATGGCTCAAGCCTGTAATCCCAGCACTTAAGGAGGCTGAGGCAGGAAGATTGCTTGAGGCCAGAAGTTCTTGAGATCAGCCTGTGCAACATAACGAGACTTCATCTCTACAAAAACAAAAAATCAGCTGGGCTTGGTGGTGTGTGCCGGTGGTCCCAGCTACTCAGAGGCTAAGGTGGGAAGATCGCTTAAGCCTAGGAGGTCGAGAATGCAGTGAGTTATGATTGTGCTACTACACTCCAACCTGGGCAATAGAATAGAACTCTCTTCTCTTGGGCTCCCAAGAGCTCTAGCGGGGAGTGACCACACATGGTTGCTGAGCACTGTGACAGCTGCCATGAGACCGGCTGAAAAGAGGTATTAGTTAGCTATAGTCCCAGTAGAACTACCTAACAAGGCACCCCCAAACTCAGAGGTATACAACAACAAGCACTTCTTTCTCACACTTACGTATGCAGGCTGGCTGAAGTCCAGCTGATCTAGGCTGGGCAGGCTGGGCTCATCTGGGCTCAACTAGGCTTGGCTGCAAGTCGTGGATTGGTTCAGGGCTACTCCATATGTCTTTCGTCTTCCCTGGCATCTCTGACACATGTTCTCAGGGCCGTGGCAGAAGCACCAGAGCACAAGCCCGACCACAGAAACACTTTTTAGAGCCAGTGCTCATGGCATTTATTCTATTGGGCAATGCAGGTCATGCCGTGAAACCCCACATCAAAGGGCAGGGAAATATGCTCTGCCTCTACGTGGGGAACTGCAAAGCCACATGGCAAAGGGTGTGGATAAATAGAAGGGTAAAGAATTGAAGGTGGGTAACATGACCAAGGTGATTCTACCAGCATCTCCAGGTGGTGATGAAGGCTCCAGATGGACTCCCACTAATTAAGCTCATGCAACTGATACTTAAACCAGAAAGTCACCTTATTGATCTGCAGCTAGAAATCTTAGTATATTGCAGACTAGAAAGCTCCTGTCATCCGCTCAGTGTATTCTTTTCAGTAGGAAATTAATGTAGAACATCAAGTCATAATTCCAGCTTTGCTTATGAACATGGAGAGCAAGCAAGAAGCATTGGTTGGGCGATCCTAAAGGCTTGAATTATCCAGGTCTCGTTGCCTGAGGCCTCCCTTTCCACTACAGGAAAACACCTGCCAAAGGGATAGTGGGCAGGCTGCTCCCTTGTTTAGGTAGAGACCTTGCCAAATTACTCTTTGTATGCTCTTTTCTAGCCTCCTCTCTGATCATTCTTAATCTACATTAGTCCTTTACATACAAGGTAATAATGAAATTATTATTCTGTGACTACAAGCCATATTGGGAATTAAGGTCTCTAAGATGCCACAGTCACCTAGTCACTTAAGACTGTCGCTTAGGATAAGGTGCTTTACATATTCATCAATATCTCTTAAATAGCAATGGATATCATTTGCCATCCTTTTTTTTTTAATTATTATACTTTAAGTTCTAGGGTACATGTGCACAACGTGCAGGTTTGTTACATATGTATACATGTGCCATGTTGGTGTGCTGCACCCATTAACTCGTCATTTACATTAGGTATATCTCCTAATGCTATGCCTCCCCCTCCCCCCACCCCATGACAGGCCCCAGTGTGTGATGTTCCCCTTCCTGTGTCCATGTGTTCTCATTGTTCAATTCCCACCTATGAGTGAGAATATGCGGTGTTTGGTTTTTTGTCCTTGCGATAGTTTGCTGAGAATGACGGTTTCCAGCTTCATCCATGTCCCTACAAAGGACATGAACTCATCCTTTTTTATGGCTGCATAGTATTCCATGGTGTGTATGTGTCACATTTTCTTAATCCAGTCTATCATTGATGGACATTTGGGTTGGTTCCAAGTCTTTGCTATTGTGAATAATGCTGCAATAAACATACGTGTGCATGTGTCTTTATAGCAGCATGATTTATACTCCTTTGGGTATATACCCAGTAATGGGATGGCTGGGTCAAATGGTATTTCTAGTTCTAGATCCTTGAGGAATCACCACACTGTCTTCCACAATGGTTGAACTAGTTTACAGTCCCACCAACAGTGTAAAAGTGTTCCTGTTTCTCCACATCCTCTCCAGCACCTGTTGTCTCCTGACTTTTTAATGATCACCATTCTAACTGGCATGAGATGGTATCTCATTGTGGTTTTGATTTGCATTTCTCTGATGGCCAGTGACGATGAGCATTTTTTCATGTGTCTGTTGGCTGCATAAATGTCTTCTTTTGAGAAGTGTCTGTTCATATCCTTTGCCCACTTTGTGATGGGGTTGTTTTTTTCTTGTAAATTTCTTTGAGTTCTTCGTAGATTCTGGATATTAGCCCTTTGTCAGATGAGTAGATTGCAAAAATTTTCTCCCATTCTGTAGGTTGCCTGTTCACTCTGATGATAGTTTCTTTTGCTGTGCAGAAGCTCTTTAGTTTAATTAGATCCCATTTGTCAATTTTGGCTTTTGTTGCCATTGCTTTTGGTGTTTTAGTCATGAAGTCGTTGCCCATGCCTATGTCCTGAATGGTATTGCCTAGGTTTTCTTCTAGGGTTTTGATGGTTTTAGGTCTAACCTTTAAGTCTTTAATCCATCTTGAATTAATTTTTGTATAAGGTGTAAGGAAGGGATCCAGTTTCAGCTTTCTACATATGGCTAGCCAGTTTTCCCAGCACCATTTATTAAATAGGGAATCCTTTCCCCATTTCTTGTTTTTGTCAGGTTTGTCAAAGATCAGATGGTTGTAGATGTGTGGTATTACTTCTGAGGGCTCTGTTCTGTTCCATTGGTCTATATCTCTGTTTTGGTACCAGTACCATGCTGTTTTGGTTACTGTAGCCTTGTAGTATAGTTTGAAGTCAGGTAGTGTGATGCCTCCAGCTTTGTTCTTTTGGCTTAGGATTGCCTTGGCAATGCGGGCCCTTTTTTGGTTCCATATGAACTTTAAAGTAGTTTTTCCCAATTCTGTGAAGAAAGTCATTGGTAGCTTGATGGGGATGGCATTGAATCTATAAATTTCCTTGGGCAGTATGGCCATTTTCATGATATTGATTCTTCCTATCTATGAGCATGGAATGTTCTTCCATTTGTTTGTGTCCTCTTTTGTTTCGTTGAGCAGTGGTTTGTAGTTCTCCTTGAAGAGGTCCTTCACATCCCTTATAAATTGGATTCCTAGGTATTTTGTTCTCTTTGAAGCAATAGTGAATGGTAGTTCACTCATGATTTGGCTCTCTGTTTGTCTGTTATTGGTGTATAAGAATGCTTGTGATTTTTGCACATTGATTTTGTATCCTGAGACTTTGCTGAAGTTGCTGATCAGCTTAAGGAGATTTTGGGCTGAGACGATGGGGTTTTCTAAATATATAATCATGTCATCTGCAAACAGGGACAATTTGACTTCCTCTTTTCCTAATTGAATACCCTTTATTTCTTTCTCCTGCCTGATTGCCCTGGCCAGAACTTCCAAGGCTATGTTGAATAGGAGTGGTGAGAGAGGGCATCCCTGTCTTGTGCCAGTTTTCAAAGGGAATGCTTCCAGTTTTTGCCCATTCAGTATGATATTGGCTGTGGGTTTGTCATAAATAGCTCTTATTATTTTGAGATACGTCCCATCAATACCTAATTTATTGAGAGTTTTTGGCATGAAGGGCTGTTGAATTTCGTCAAAGGCCTTTTCTGCATCTATTGAGATAATCATGTGGTTTTTGTCTTTGGTTCTGTTTATATGCTGAATTACATTTATTGATTTGCGTATGTTGAACCAGCCTTGCATCCCAGGGATGAAGCCCACTTGATCTTGGTGGATAAGCTTTTTGATGTGCTGCTGGATTCGGTTTGCCAGTATGTTATTGAGGACTTTTGCATCAATGTTCATCAGGGATATTTGTCTAAAATTCACTTTTTTTGTTGTGTCTCTGTCAGGCTTTGGTATCAGGATGATGCTGGCCTCATAAAATGAATTAGGGAGGATTCCCTCTTTTTCTATTGATTGGAATAGTTTCAGAAGGAATGGTGCCAGCTCCTCCTCATACCTCTGGTAGAATTCAGTTGTGAATCCGTCTGGTCCTGGACTTTTTCTGGTTGGTACATTTGCCATCCTTTGATGGCAACTTACAACCCCTTCTGACCATGTAGTCATCAAGTGGTTGTCATTTCCTGAATGTGTACAAGTTTGCAACTGGACATCCTGAAGTTTCCATCAACCAACCATTTAAGGAGCATTTAAGGAAGGAATATGAGTCTTTCACTGACCTCTTCTGTAAAATCAAGAAAACACCAACAAGAGACTGGCAAAACTGACACCGGAGGCTTGGGGGAAAAAAATCCCAGAGACAAAAATGAAACATCTTGGCCAGGCATGGTGGCTCACGCTTGTAATCCTAGCACTTTGGGAGGCCAAGGCGGGTGGATCACAAGGTCAGGAGTTCGAGACCAGCCTGGCCAACATGGTGAAACCCTATCTCTACTAAAAATACAAAAATTAGCAGGGTATGGTGGCAGGCACCTGTGATCCCAGCTACTCGGGAGGCTGAGGCAGGAGAATTGCTTGAACCTGAGAGGCGGAGGTTGCAGTGAGCAGAGATCGCACCATTGCGCTCCAGCCTGCGTGACACAGCAAGACTCCTTCTAGAACAAAAAAAAAGAAGAAAAATCTTTTAAGAGACGCTACATCATGAATGTCCTTGAAAGATCATACCCTGTATATGAAAGAACTTTAGGGATATCTTAATTAATTAATTTTGCTTTTATTTTCCTTGTAATGCGCATGGGAAAAACTGTGCATGACGACATTCTGTGTCTAAATATGATTTTAGGGTTTTAAGAGTTATTTCAATAAGATTAAAGTAAATTCTAAGAGATAAGAAAATAAATTCAGCCTGGTCAACATAGTGACAACCCATCTCTACAAAATAAATTTAAAAAATAATTTTAATTAGCAGTAGTTGGGCATGGTGACATTTGCCTGTAGTCCCAGCTACTCCAGAGGCTGAGGTGGGAGGATCGCTTGAGCCCAGGAGTTCAAGACTACAATGAGTCACGATCATGTCACTGTACTCCAGGCTGGGAGAGAGAGTGAGACTTTGTCTCAGAAAAAAAAAAAAGAGAGAGGGAGAGAAAGGGAGGAAGGAAGGAAAGGAAGGGAGGGAGGGAGGATGGAAGAAAGGAAGGAAGGAAGGAAAGAAGGAAGGAAGGAAGGGAGGGAGGGAGAGAGATATTGCCATGGTTTAATTGGCAATGTCTGTTTCATTAGATGATACATAAAATAATGATGTCCTTTACTATTGATGGAGGCTCAAATGCTATTAAATTTTGTATTTCTCCACTGGAGCATTCCAGCGACTGGTCATCAGAAATGGAACTAGCACCATGAGCGAGGTAGCTTTGGCTGTGAACTGATTCCAAATCTTGCAACGTGGCCAGTAGTAAAGAAACAAGATGAGAGGCCACTTTTTATATGGCTTTTTAAAGCCTTTATATATACATACTGGAATATCTTAGCCAGTATCCCCCCTCATTTTTTAAAACCTTAATTTTATTGAGATATAATTTGTATACAGCAAAGTGCAAAGTCTTAAGTGTACAGCCCAGTGAACTTTAGGCAGAGACCCCGGTAGCCACCATCCAGATCAAGGTCTAGAACATTTTCATTATCCCGGATGGTTTCCTGTCCCTTTCCTAGTCAATGCCTCCCTAAACAAGAATACCCATTATTCTGTTTTCTATTAATAGCAATGTAGATTAGTTTTGCCTGTTATTGATCTCCATATATATGGAATCAAAATGTATACACCTTTGTGACTGGCCTCTTTTGCTCAACATAATGTTTTGAGCAAATGCATCCACGTTGCTTCATATATCAGTAATTTGTTCCTTTTTGTTCCTGGGTACTTATCCATTGTATGAATAATACAATGGATTCATTGTATTATTTTCATATTGATGGATATTTAAATTGTTTCTAGTCTGGACTATAATGAATAAAGCTGCAATGAACATTTCTGTACGTGTATCTTTTTGTAGACACATACATCCATTTATTTTGGATGTATAACTAAGAGTGGAATTACTGGATTATAGAGCAAGCATAGATATTAGTAGATTATTCCAGCTTTCTAAGGTAGTTGGACCAATTTTTATTCCCACCAACACCATATGAGAGTTCCAGTTGCTAACACTTGGTATGATCAGTCTTTTAAATTTTACTTATTCCAGAGGGTGCATGGGAGTGTCTCAATGTGGCTTTAATCTGGATTTTCCTCACTGGATATGGTGGTACACACCTGGAATCCCAGCTACTTGGGAGACTGAGGTGGGAAGATTGCTTGAGCCCAGGAATTTGAAGCCAGTCTGGGCAACAAAGTGAGACCCTGTCTCTAATAATAATAATAATAATAATTTGGATTTTCCTGATGAGTAATAATGTTGAACAGTCTTTTGAATGTTTTAGGTTTGAATATTCTCTGTAGTGAAGGCTCCATTTAAGCCTTTTGTTCTTTTGAAAATGTGTTTTGTCTTCCTTATATATTCTAGCCAGAAGTTATTTGTCTTACATGTGCATTTCAAATATCTTCTCCTGCTCTATGTCTTATTCATTCACTTTTTAATGATGTGTTTTGTTGAACAAAAGCATTTAACTTTAATGAGGTCCAACTCATCCCTTTTTATGGTCTGTCTTTTTTTAAAAAAAAATATTAAGATGGCTTGAGTTTTTTATGTCCTGTTTAAGACATTTTTGCCTACTCCTTGTTTTTCTGTCTTACAACCCCTGTTTCTTTTGCCAGTTTAATTGCCTGCCCTTTTCTTGAGTGGGGAGAATAGGAATCAGGTCAGGCTACATCTGAGTGAGGAAGGAAGGGTGACAGAGTTAAATTAGGAAAGCGAGGCCAACAAATTAGGGGAATAGATTGAAGCAGGAAGAGGCCCAACACTGTCTGATTTTTGGTCTAAGGGACCTGAAAGCCTTTGAGTCTGGGTAACCTGATAACTGACTTCAGTGCTGTCCAGCCCAAATATCTGCATTGCGTCTCTTAGAGTGTTTGGAGAAGCTTGTCAAATTTTATGAAATCAACCTCTTCCGTGCTCACAGCCCTGATCTATTGCCTAGAAACATGAAAAAGTTAATGAAGTTCGTGTTTTAAGGACATCGTGCTAATGTCTAGAGACCATCATTTTCCTTCTAAGTGCTCAAAAACCATCTTGATAATCCCTTCTTGACCATATCCAGGAAATGAAACCTCCATTTGGAATAATATTTACTTATTCCTAATCCTCTGACTCCTTCCCCATTCTCCATAAGTTTTCCTTACTTACTAAAGATGTCAATAATTCCATGATCTCATCTGTCTTCCTACAATCAAGGGTAAATGTTTGGGTCTGCTTTTCATAAAGAGACCCTGGCAGGGCCTGAACTGAGCTGACCATGTAGTGGAGACCAGAACAAAGCAGGAGTTGGCAGGGGGCTCGGGACATGCAGGGAGAAGGCGGGACTGCTGCAAACACGGTGGAGGACAGAATACATTTCTTAAAGTAGCTTCAGATTAGGTAGCAGCAACTGAGTTGAGATCCCTGGGCTCAGAAGATGGACTCTGGAGTCCATAGGGCTTTCTTGGGAAGATAAACAGCTCTACAGGGAGAAAATACTTCCATGCCAGGCCCTTCCAGGGGGTCATACTTAGAATGTTGGGACTACATTGATGAATCAGAGTCTCCTTAGAGGCACTAATTGGCAGGAACAAGATGGGGAGGAGCCATCCAACTTCCAGGGATGAGCTGGATGAGGGCAGGCAGGATGTGGCTGCAGAGACGCCCCTGGGCGTCCACCCTCAGGCACAGGGAAAGGGAGTATGGTGTAATAGAAAGAGAGGACTGCTGGGATTCACACATTCCTGGTTCTAATCCTGACTCTACCACTTATTAATTGTGTAACATTAGGCAAGAATAGTGCTTCCATCCGAAGATTGACTAGAGGGTCAAATAGGATACTGTGCATAAAATGCCAATTTCCCCATTTTCCTCCCATTTCTTTGGCTCTTCCTTCTGGTTGCTCTACCCAACAGACAGCTTTCAATTCTTATCTTTCTTGCCCACTTTGAAGCACTGGCACCATTAAATAGTCACAAGGTCTTGAAATATAACTTTCCCTTGACTTCCATGAAGATCCCATCTATTCCATGACAGTAGCTACCATGTGCATGCTGACAACTCCCACGTGACTATCTCCGCACATAACTCCTTCCTAAGAGCCAGATCCATTGATATACCTGCTTCCTGAACTTTCCACATGGATGTCCTACTGACAGCTCAAACTCAACAATTCCAAATTCAGCTCATTATCTTTTCCATAAATCTTTCCCTTCCTCACCTGCGTTCTCTATATGGAGAATCCAGTCATCAAGCCCAAAACTTGGGAGTCATGGATTCAAGTGCAAGTGGTTTATTTGGGAGATGATCCCCAGAAGCATCACTGGGGGATCTTGGAAGTGAAACAAGGAAGGGAAGGAAGCCAGTATAGAGTGTTTTATCAAGCCTGGCACCCCTGTGGACAACTGGAACTGAATCCCACTGAAAAACTTGGAGATGCTGTAGAGAGCACAAGCTTCAGAGTCACTCATCCCAAGGTGCAAAGGAGCTGGGTGTTTATTTGCCAACTCCTGCCAGGCATTGGCTTATCTCTGTCACTGGCTGCCCCTTGCACTTCTGGCCTTCCATAGGTGTGATAGCATTAGGTCCCACCACCAGAGAAAACCCTCAGATGAAGTGGCACAGATGCTGATGGTTGGAAGTCAGAAATGGAACTCCTGACTGGTGCCAAGAGACATCCTGTATCGGGTCTGCCCCTTTACATGGGTGATTCTTGTTTGTTTGTTTTTTTGTTTTGTTTTTTGTTTTTTTTCTGAGACGGAGTCTCACTCTGTTGCTCAGGCTGGAGTGCAGTGGCTCGATGATCTCGGCTCACTGCAACCTCCACCTCCTCAAGCAACTCCCCTGCTTCAGCCTCCCAAGTAGCTGGGATTACAGGCACACACCACCACACCCAGCTAATTTTTTTTGTATTTTTAGTAGAGACGGGGTTTCACCATGTTGGCCATACTCGTCTCGAACTCCTGACCTCAGGCAATCCACCCACCTTGGCCTCCCAAAGTACTGGGATTACAGGCATGAGCCACTGCACCTGGCCGGTTAATTCTAAGCTAATTTTCAGATTGCCTAGTTGTCTTCTCCTCTTGGGACCCTTGTGTTTCTCTCACACTCACTCCCCATGGAGTCTGGATGGTGTGCCCCTCTCTCTCTGTTTTAGCACTGATAAGCTTGTCTTTTAATGGTTTCTTATTTAATTATGTCCCTCACTGGACTATGAGCATATTCAGAACAGAAACCAAACTCTGATTCACCTTTACATCCCCATAGTTGAGTTAATGAATGACTAAGTGAACGAAGAAAAAAGCCATAAAAGAGGTGGCACAGCACATAACCAACTGCAAGTTTTTGCAGATAACCCAGGAAAGTAGCAAATTAAAGCCAGGGCAAAGAACACCCTTCTTTCACTATTACAAATCCTATGATAACATTCGGTCAGGTCTAAACCCACAGCCAGTCTTTCCTTGTTAAGTTTAGGGTTAACAGTTCCCCTTATGACTTTATGAGGTAGAAAATATTCAGCAGAGTCAATCAAGAATGTGTCAAATGTCCTGCTTTGATCAGTCTCCGGGCAGATGTCACACTATTCCTTCTACCCTTCTTGATCCTGTCCACCTCCTAAACTCCTATTCTTCCTTTAAAGCCTGTCTCAAAAGTCCCACCTCCTTATAGGTTTCCATGACCCTCCAACCTCTAGAGAAAATTGATTTCTGCCCAGCTGCACTCTACTGTCATTGTCAGCCTTTGCTATGATATGTTCCACCACAGCCCTTCCCCTTGACAAAGATTCTTGGCTTGACGAAACTTTAGTCAGGCTCCTGAACCTCCTCCTAGGTGCTTCTGAGCACTTCCTTATAAAATCTAGTTTTAACAAAGAACCCTGCTAAGTAGGTTGAGCAAGAACGCCCTGCCCTCGATATCTGATCACCCTCCATATCTGATCACCCTCCATATCTGATCACCCTCCTTATCTGATCACCCTCCATATCTGATGATCACCCTCCATATCTGGTGATCACCCTCCATATCTGATGATCACCCTCCATATCTAATGATCACCCTCCATATCTGATCACTCTCCATATCTGATGATGACCCTCCGTATCTGATCAACCTCCATATCTGATGATCATCCTCCATATCTGATGCTCACCCTCCATATCCGATGATCACCCTCCATATCTGATGATCACCCTCCATATCTGATGATCACCCTCCATATCTAATGATGACCATCCATATCTGATCATTCTCCATATTCAATGATCACCCTCCATATCTGATCAACCTCCATACCTGATGATCACCCTCCATATGTGATCACCCTCCATATCTGATGATCACCATCCATATCTGATCATCTTCCATATTTGATGCTCACCCTCCATATCTGATGATCACCCTCCATATCTGATGATCACCCTCCATATCTGATGATCACCCTCCATATCTGATCACCCTCCATACCTGATCAGATTTCTTCACTGCCACTATCCCCCAAGTGGAGTCCGGCCATCCTGGCCTGTCTTCAGCAACCTGCTAGGTTGGTTTAGCCAGAGTCTCCTGACCCTGATGTTTCCTCTTGGTAATATGCATATGATACATAAACAGTTATACAATAGATATCCATGGTATTAAAATTTAATGGAGGCCCCATCCACTGTCCCTCCACTCTTCTCCTTGGCTATAAATTCCCACTTGTCCATACTGCATTCAGAGTTGAACTTGGCCGGGCGTGTTGGCTCACACCAGTAATCCCACCACTTTGGGAGGCCGAGGCGGGTGGATTGCCTGAGCTCGAGAGTTCGAGACCAGCCTGGCCAACATGGTGAAACCCTATCTCTACTAAAAATACAAAAAATTAGTCGGGCGTGGTGGCAGGCACCTGTAGTCCCAGCTACTTGGGAGGCTGAGGCAGGAGAATCGCTTAAACTCGGGAGGCAGAGGTTGCGGTGAGCCAATATCGTGCCACTGCACTCCAGCCTGGGTGACAGAGTGAGACTCCGTCTCAAAACAAACAAACAAACAAACAAACAAACAAGCAAAAACAGAGTTGAACTCAATCTCTCTCCTCAACCACCCATTGCCACGGACTGAATAAAGTCTGTCTTACCAGGCATTAACAAGTATCATTGAATAATTTTTTCTTTAATGCTCTTTGTAGACTATGAGTTCTTCAAAGTTAGAACCAGGGCTGGTCTTAGTCATCTTGGTGTTCCCAGTGCTTGGGAGCACAGTCCCTAGAACTGAATCCTTGCCAAATGCACGTTTTCTGAGTTGAATCCCCTTTCACTGCAAGATCTTGTCTTTGGATTGGTTTGTAACATGACTTAATGTAGCAACATCTGCCCTCCAGCGTGGAGCCAGCAGACTTGTACCATGTTCCTCCCTCTTGGCATCATCTACTTTTCTCTCTTCTTTCACCCTCTGCTCTGTGCCTACCCTTGTCCTCTCAACTTATGTGTTTACCTAAGGTGAGCGTTTTCTCATATACATCTTATTGCTTTGTCAAATCAATCTGAATAGGAAAAATCAAGAGGAACAGCATGTGTGTGCAAGAAGAAAGGCAGTATACATGTGCAGCCTGTCATTTATGCATGTGGCCTCTGGAGTCAGCACTTGTCACTTCCACTTACTCCCTGTTGACTTTAGGAACATTATTTAACACGTTTTGTCTCATTTCTATAACATTTGCAGTGATTAAGGGCTCACCTGTCATAGATGTTGTGCGTTACATGAAACCATGTATGTGCCTCACCCTTCTGCCCTGGGCCTTATCATTGCAGCTCACACCAACTTGACTGCTGGCTGCTTGCATTTGCATCTGTCTGTCTAGAGAGTACTGGGGAGTTAATGTCCCCACAAGCAGCCTTCAACCAATGACTGATGGAAGTCAGCTGTATCAGTACCCCAGCTCCCTCACCCCCTTCAGAAGGGATAACTCTGAAGCTTGTGTTTGACACTGCTTACCAGCATTACTCTGTGAGATTAAACTCCATTTGTCCACAGCTGTCAATGGCTTGAAAATCATCCTCCTCTTTCCTGCCTCACTTTCCCATTCACCTATCAGTATTTCTCAGGACCACTTTCCCAGAAATTACCAGCCCTAGAATCCTTGCCTTGGGGTTTGCTTCTGGGAGAAGGCAAACTTTGACAGTATGTAAAGTGCTTAGCTCATTCCTTGCATCTAGGAAGTCCCAGAATGGTTGTTTCTGCTGTTATAAAACTGCGGTTCATCGGTAGAAAGCAAAGATGACCATAGATGGGAGAGGTCATTCCCATCCTGTGTTCATCTTCACACTGCTCTGGGAAACCCCATATGGGCATTGCCAGGCTGTGAGAGCACAGTGAATAATGGTCAGTTTACAACACGCATTCTCAACAGGGGCTAGATTGCCCCCAAGAAGGCAAGAATTGGTTCTCGGGGGTGGGTGGTAAAAAAAAAACTTTTTTTTTAATGTATAAGACACAGATATGCATATGATACATAAACAGTTATACGATGGATATCCATGGTATTAAGATTTAATGGAGGGATCAATTAGAAAAAAGGGTCTGAAAAGGCTGGGAAACAATAGTTTGCAAGAGGCGGGAGAAGTTACTATTGACAGTACCCTGGTTTTTGACCATCCTGGGTGGCACTGTTTAGTTTGCAGGGTCATGTCCTCTTCTGGAGTGAGGAGTTAACAGCTGAACTTTCATAAAGTTGTTTGGTTAAGTTTGCCCCACAGGGCACAAGCTTTTTGGCAAAACATTCAACTGTTTGTGGTTAGGATTTTCCTGGTTCTTATTAACACCAGACCTGGTTACATTTAGAAGATCATGACGCTTGGCTCTATAAACAAAATTACCAGGTCGTGAAACACAGCATCCTTTGAATCCTTCCTTCCTGACTTCACCAAAGTCCCTCCTCCAAAGCAGACAGCATGGAATTTGACAAGAAGAAAAAAGGACCAAATTATTTGGTTCCAATACACTTCTCCTTTGTCAAAATATGATCATTTAAAAGTTTAAAAATAGAGCCCTCCTATTGACATATAAGGAGCGTGGGGTTAAAGACTTATTAGGAAGGCATCAGCAGGTGGGTAAAGCTAGTTCAAAGCAGGATGGGTACAAGAGATTGGTGTATATGTAATCAGTCTAAAGAAATCCTGCTGAAATAGGCTACATATACTCGCTGCCTGTGATACAAAACTGGTTACCATCCTCAAAGGGCCGTCAAACCATCATCTTTGGAGTTGTTCTCTACCAGACAAATTTTATTTGTAAATTATATTTGGATGATTCTATTTGGGCATTTTGGACCATTTTTTTAAGATCACCTAAATTCACCTTAACACTTTCTATAGCATTCAAGCTAGGATATGAAATCTTAACAAGTTTTATTTCTTCATTTTCTCTTTTAAGTATCTGAAAGACTACCTGAAAAACCTGAATTAGCTTATCCCTTTTACATCAAAGATGCTGGGGAGCAAGGTGCAGACAATGGTTTGCTGTAAATGTTTACGACTCCCCCAGATTTAGTACTTGCCAATTTCCATGGTGTAAATAAATACTCCAACCATAATCATCTTCAAATTACTAACAGAATGTCCTTAGGCAGAGTTAAGGAGAGATGCTCACCGTCACCATTGTGAGATGGCATATTTTGGTCCCAGCATGTCATCAGGTGTGTGCTATGACATATTTTCTATACAGTATAGTCACAACATTCAGGTTCCTTTCTGAGGAGGTACACTCAGGCCACTGGGTAAATGCCTCTGAAGAGCCAGAAAGATCAGCTCAGCTAAATAAAACTGCCCAATAAAACTGTATTCCCTGGAACCTTAATACATACCCTGAGGGGTCCTTCAGGGATTACACAATTTTAAATTCAAATTTCATTTTAAAAGTTATACTTTCTTTCTTTTT
The DNA here is from genome assembly GCF_000001405.40 of Homo sapiens. Classification (NCBI taxonomy): domain Eukaryota; kingdom Metazoa; phylum Chordata; class Mammalia; order Primates; family Hominidae; genus Homo; species Homo sapiens. The sequence goes on from NC_000020.11 coordinate 19,865,494, forward strand.
TTTTTTTTTTGGCAACAGTGTCTTGCTCTGTTAACCCAGGCTAAAGTGCAGTGCTGCAATCATGGCTCACTGCAGCCTCAAACTCCTGGGTTCAAGTGATCTTCCCTCCTCAGCCTCTCAAAAAGCTAAAACTATAGGCACACACCACCAGGCCCAGCTAATTTTTATTTTTTATTTTTTGTACAGATGGAGGGTCTCACTTTGTTCCCCAGCCTGGTCTCAAACTCCTGACCTTAAGCAATCCTGCTTTGGCCTCCCAAAGTGCTGGGATTACAAGCATGAGCCACCATGCCTGACCAAAAGTTATACTTTACAAAAATATAATAAAAATATACACATACATACATATGTAGCAAATGTATAAAGGTGCATTTGCATACATATAATAGAAGTGGTCCCCAACCTTTTTGGCACCAGGGACCAGTTTCACGGAAGACAATTTTTCCATAGACCGGGGTTGTGTGAGGGATGGTTTTGGGATGATTCAAGCACATTACATTTATTGTGTACTTTATTTCTATTATTATTACATTGTAATATATAATTAAATAATTATACAAGTCACCTTAATGTAGAATCAGTGGGTGCCCTGAGCTTGGTTTCCTGCAACTAGATGGTCCCATCTGGGGGTGATGGGAGACAGATCATCAGGCATTAGATTCTCATAAGGAGCACAGAGTGTAGATCCCTTGCATGTGCAGTTCACAATAGGGTTTGTGCTACTATGAGAATCTAATGCCACTGCTGATCTGACAGGAGGCAGAGCTCAGGTGATAATATGAGCAATGGGGAGTGGCTGTAAATACAGATGAAGCTTCACTGCCTCACTCACTGCTCACCTCCTGCTGTGCAGTCTTGGGGGGTGGGGGACCCCTGATATATAGGACTGATGAACTCCAAGTTCAGAATTCTTGTAACCTCTGAAAAGAAAAAGGATATATGATAGACAGGACTCCACAGGGCTGGGGAGTGCAGAGAGACATGTTACATCTTTAAACCTTTTTGTATATCTTTAACATTGCATACAAAATTCACAAAACACATAGCCATATATGCTTTTTATATCAAATTTCAAGCTTTTAAAAAACATTAACGTGAAATTGTGTTTCTAGATTAATTTTGGATATTTTATTTTATTTTATTTATTTTGAGACAGAGTCTTCCTGTGTCACCCAGGCGGGAGTGCAGTGGCATGATCTCAGCTCACTGCAAGTTCCACCTCCCAGGTTCAAATGATTCTCATGCCTCAGCCTCCTGAGTAGCTGGGATTACAGGCAGGCACCACCACACCAGCATAATTATTGTATTTTTAGTAGAGATGGGGTTTCACTATGTTGACCAGGCTGATCTCGATCTCCTGACCTCAAGCGATTCTCCCGCCTTGGCCTCCCAAAGTGCTGGGATTACAGGAGTGAGCCACCATACCTGGCCAGATTAATTTATTTTTCAACACACATGTTAGTGTTTTGCTGTGCGAAAACGTTAAACCATCACTAAGAATCTTGTTTATTTTTATTTTTTTTTTTGTTTAATGGAATGCATTTTTACATTTTTAAATAATTTCAAATTTACACAAAGTTTGCAAGTATAGTACAGAGACTCATAAGATGTCAGTTATCCAGATTAACACATTTTAACATTTTACCATATTTGTTTTATTTCTCTTTTTTACCTCTCACTCCACACACAACACGTGCACACATGCTCATGTGCACACACACACACTTTTTTCTAAACCATTGGACAGTAAGTTGCATGAGTCACGCCTCTTTACCACTCAATACTTTAGTGTTTACTTCTTAAGAACAAGGACATATTTTTACATCATCACAATCCAGTTACCAAATTCAGGAAATTTAACATTGATGCAATACTTTAATCTGTTGCCCATATTTCAGTTTTTCCAATTATCCCAATAATGTCATTTACAGCATTTTTTTTCAGTTAAGCATCCAACTGAGGATCATTTATTGAATTGAGTTGTCACTTCTGTTTAGAGACTCCTTCACTCTGAAATGTATCCTTAGCTTTTGTTGCCTTTTAAGACCTTTACGTTTTTAGAGCATGCAGGCCAATCATTTTTGTAGAGTGACCCTCAGTTTAGGTTTGTCTGATGCTCCTCACAGTAGATTCATGTTTTGCACCCGTGGCAGGAATGCCCCAGAGTGATGCGGTGGCCTCCTCAGTCCCAGATATCAGGAGGCACATGTGGCAGGTTTGTTTTATTCCTGGTGACACCAGCTCCAATAGTTTAGTTAAGATGGTGGTGTCCACCAAGTTTCTCTGCAGTGGGAGAATTTTAAGAGTTGTGGTTTGTCTAAAACTGAGAGATGAATCAAACTGGGAGGGTATTTAGACTTTGCTGGATGATGGCCCCAAAGCTGCTCTGAAAATGCTGTGCAGCTGGGTGAGCCGGCCTGCTCTCTGAACTGCAAGGCGTTTTCGTGGGACAAGAAAGGGCAGCATCAGCAGCCTGTTCTGTGGCTGGGGCTGCAAAAGCCATCAGTGTCGTCATGTCTGGCGTGGGGCATGCTGGTGCACAAAGAGCCGAACCAAGCTCCACAGCAGGAACTGACACCAAGCCAGGCCCCAAGGAGGCCTGTGAGTGTGGCCAGTTCCCTGCTTTGGTGACGTGATATTTATGCACCACGGCTCTTCTGAGGTTTCTCCAACTTTCCCATATAAAATGAAGATGGCCTTTCTTCTGAGCCAGGGCTGCCCAAGTGGCAGGCCACAAACCACGCATCGCCTGACCCAGGCTGGGGCAGCAGCGTCTCGGAGAAAAACAGGAAATTGGGACATACGCGCTTTCCACCGCCTGGCTACGTTATGAGTTTCTTAGTGGTTCCATGTGGCTTGAGTAACAGGGTAATTTTCCTTAATGCAGTAAAATACCCAAAGGAATGAAGATGTATTTTATTGGACAACGTTTTATTTTAGTAAATTATTTAGTGTCCAGCACTGTTTGAAGTACTCTTACAGATTCGCTCCTGAATTCATACCACACACTTTCACTGGGCCAGGAAACACGTGAAATGAGCAGGGCAGGTCTTAGGGTTTCATCCGGGTTTTATGATATGCTGGGCAGACCGTGAACATTCGACAACAGGCCGTGCTCCATCCTGTAGGGGCACACAGCCTATGTGAGATAAACAGACAGCTATAATCATGATGTTGTGGAGGCTGTCAGAGGGACCTTGGGGACCCAGAAAGGGGAAGGGCTGATAATGGGAATAGGTAATGAAGGGAAGCTAGCACAGAGATGATCTCTGACCTAAGTCTTGAGGGATAAAAAGGTGTTCACTAGCTGGGCATGCTGGCTCACACCTGTAATCCCAGCACTTTGAGAGGCCAAGGGGGGTGGATCACCTAAGGTCAGGAGTTCAAGACCAACCTGGCCAACATCGTGAAACCTTGTCTCTACTAAAAATACAAAAAGTTAGCTGGGTGTGGTGGCATGTGCCTCTAATTCCAGCTACTCGGGAGGCAGAGACAGGAGAATTGCTTGAACCGGGAGGTGGAGGTTGCAGTTGAGCCGAGATCACGCCACTGCACTCCAGCCTGGGTGACAGAGCAAGACTCCGTCTCAAAAAAAAAAAAAAAAAAAAAAAGTGTTCACCAGGTGGTGAGGCATTTTAAACAGAGACTGAGTGATGTATACAGAAACACGCAGGGTGGATGAGTCTGCGCTGGAGAGAGGGATTAGAAATGCAAATAAAGGTTTGAATGAAATTGATGAAGACCATATACGCTGTGGCAGAGTTTGGACTGATGTCAGGGCCACCTTGATTAGATTTTGTGTTTTAGGCAGGATTTCCCAAACTTGAGAGGAAGGGTTTCTGGGGAACAAGACCCTCACTATTCCTTCAGAGGTTACTGACTTTTGTGACATGGTGAGGTGGGGAGACGAAGCCACGTCATCACTGGCCACACTGAAGATGGGTTAGCACTGACCCCAGGGAAGGGCCAAACCAAGAGATAGAAAAAGCTGGGGAAATGGGGCCTGGTTGAATTGTGGAGCTGCTGGATTGGCCCATGCCACTCCATGAAGCCTCCACCCTCACCCTGGACTTTAGGCCATCCCTTAATCACTTTTACTGCTTAGAGATTTTTAAGCTTTTATTTTGTTCTTGGGTTTTTTTTTTTTTGAGAGACAGGGTCTCGCTCTGGGGCCCAAGCTGGAGTGCAGTGGTGCAATCACAGCTACTGCAGCCTCGAACTCCTAGACTCAAGTGATGCTCCCACCTCAGCCTCCCAAGTAGCTGGGAATACAGGTGTGCACCACCATGCCTGGCTAATTTTATTTATTTATTTATTTATTTATTTATTTATTTATTTATTGTAGAGAAGGGGGTTCGCTATGTTGCCCAGATGACAGTGCTGGACCCAAGCAATTCTCCCGCCTGGGCGTCCCAAAGCATTGGGATTACAGGCGTGAGCCACCTCACGGGGCCAAGTTATTTTGAAATAATGTCAAACTTCCAGAACCGTGGCAAGAATAGTTCTGAGGACTCCTCTGTACTATTTGCACAGGTTCACTGACCTGTGCCATTTTGCCCCATTTCCTGTATCAGCCTCTGAACCAGGTTAGAGTAGATTGTAGCCATCAGGCCCCTTCACCACTTACTGCACCAGTATATACTTCTGAAGAACATGGAGGTTCTCCTACATTCCCACAGTTCGATGACCCAAGAATGGAGCCTAATCATCATATGATACTTTGATCTAAACCCGAGATGCCAATTGTTATCATTTTTCCCAATAATGTCCTGTATAGCATGTTTCTTTCTCTAGTCCAGGAACTAGTCCAGATCATGTCTTTTGCAGGAAGGTGTCAGGCCTCTTTAATCTTTTTTAAGAGTGATTCCTCAGGCTAGGTGTAGTGGCTCAAGCCTGTAATCCCAACACTTTGGGAGGCCAAGGTGGGTGGATCATATAAGGCCAGGAGTTCAAAACCAGCCTGGCCAACATGGTGAAACCCCATCTCTACTAAAAATACAAAAATTAGCCAGGCACGATGGTGCACGTCTGTAATCCTAGCTACCCAGGAGGTTGAGGCACGAGAATCACTTGAACCCAGGAGGCAGAGGTTGCAGTGAGCCAAGATCGCACCACTGCACTCCAGCCTGGGCTATAGCATTAGACTCTTTCAAAAAAAAGAAAGAAAGAAAGAAAAAATGGTTCCTCAGCCTTTCTTTGTTTTTCACGACATTGATATTGATGTAGAATCTAGGCCAGTTCTATGATGGGATGTCCCTCAGTTGGAGTGGGTATGATGTTTCTTCTTGATGAGATTCCACATACACACTCTCTGTTGTAATATCCTCTAACTGATGCTGTGTTCTTCTAGGGCATCACGTCTGGAGGAACACAGCATCTGGCTGCCTTCGTTTGGGATGCTGACTTGGATCACCTGGACAAGGTGTTGCCTAATTTCTCCACTGTGTAGTTACTATCGGTCCCCTTGCAACTAACAAATACTGTTTAAGGAGATGTTATTATTTATCTTCAAGCCAATTTGAATGGGGTTTTCTGTTACTTCCAACATAAAAATTCCTAGCTGATTCAAGGGCTCATTTGTATTGCAGGATTGATTGCTGATTACCATGGAGAAGCAGGCAAGGGATTATGAAGAGAAAGACAGGAGGGATATCTTAAAAGCTTTCATTGTGGTCTGATGGGAGCAGATCTGGACCAAGGCACATGGGGATCCTAAGAGGACTAATTCATTTGGTGACACTTCTTTTTCTTTGAATTTATTTTGCAAGAGCTGAACAACAACAAAAATGATACTCTCGCCAGGTAGGTGGCTCACATCTGTAATCTTACTTTGGGAGGCCAAGACGGGGCTTCACTTTGAAGCCAGGAGTTTGAGACCACCCTGAGCAACAAATTGACACCCAGCTGAAGCTTCATCTCATGAGGTATCTTTGGGAGACAGTATATATCGTGCACCTCAGAGATGTCCTACTAAAATGAGGGAGCAGGGTTGAGGTGAGAAAAATCACTGTTGCTAGTAAATAGCAGTGCATCATGCACTATGTGGTTTCAGAATTTCCTCTTCCTCAGACTGCCAACTTAGGTCACACATTCTAGCTGTTCTAGGTTGGCTTGTTCTAGGTTTGGCTGGGAGTTAGGGCATGCATTGCCACGTGTCAAAATACTCAACAAAGATAGATCAGTGCTAGTGAGGATTGTTTCCTATCTCCACTTCTGTGGGGTCTCTACTCTGAAGGAGGTAGAACCAATGTACGCATCGCGGCTTCTCTAAGGAATCATAGGCAGGAACTCTGCCTAACAGGGACTATATTTCCAGTTAAAAATGCTGAAATGGATCCCCAGTTTATTTCAATGATGTTTATGAGGAGGACGCTAAGATTTAGGAATTGTGGACTCTTAAGTTATTTCACTGGTTCAATAATGGAGTTAGATCATTATGGGGGCAGTGCTCAGGGAAAAGCCCATGAACAGGGTGGGTGATATGGTTAGGCTTCGTGTCCCCACTCAAATCTCATCTTGAATTGTAATCCCCAGGTGTTGAAGGAGGGAGCTGGTGGGAGGTTATTGGATCATGGGGGCAGTTTCCCCCATGCCTAGTGATAGTAACTGAGTGCTCACGAGATCTGATGGTTTTATAAGAGTTCAGAAGTTCCTCCTTTTTCACTCGTCTCTCTCCTGCTGCCTTGTGAAGAAGGTGCTTGCTTCCCCTTCCACTATGATTGTAAGTTGCCTGAAACCTCCTCAGCCATGAGGAACTGTAAGTCAATTAAACCTCTTTCCTTTATAAATGACCCAGTTTCAGGAAGTTCTGTATAATAGTGTGAGAATGGACTAATACCATGGGCTTGAGCTAGTCTTTGAAGAATAGGCAGAATTTGGATATACGAAGTAGGGAAGGTGTGGGGGCACTGGTCCAAATGCAAAGGTGGGAGTGGGGATAAAATATGGATAAGATGCATGTGCGATTGTACCTCGCTCACTTCCTCCTACCATACACTCCTATGCACGTCTTACTGCAACTTTCTGCCTGGCCGTCTGAGGGTGCCATCAAGTTAATACGCCCAGGAGCAATTCTCCAACAGTGACCTACACAACCCAGCTTCCTTGACCTCAAGTGGGACACCCCTGAAGCACACTCACCCCACATCATCTGCACTCCCCTGCAGCATCATGCTCTGGTGGCCCCCAGCTATACATGTTCAGTCTTAAAGGATAAATATTCTAAAGGTAAAATCATGACATTAATAGAAAACTTTTTAAAAACTACATCAGAGTGAAATACTGGACATTGGAAACTACAAAATGTGGGACGCTGGGTAGGGAGTGAGGGTTGAAAAATTACCCATTGATTATGATGCTCACTATTCAGGTGATGGATATAGCAGAAGCCCAAACTTCACCACTACACAAAATATGCATGTAAGGTACCTGCACTTGTACTCTCTACATATATTTAATAAATAAATTAATTAAATGTTTTAAAAACTGCTTAAAATTTTTTAAACTCATTAGTGAATGAGGGAAATGGTAAAATGTCACAACTGATTTAAACATAGACTCAAATAGCACTTACATACAAATATATAACACACTTTTTCTTTTTTTAATGTTTTATTTTATTATTTTTATTTTTATTTTATTTTATTTTTGAGACAGAGTCTTGCTCTATCACCCAGGCTGGAGTGCAGTGGTGCAATCTCGGCTCACTGCAGCCTTGATCTCCTGGGCTCAGGTAATCCTCATGCCTCAGCCTCCCAAGTAGCTGGGACTACAGGCATGTGCCACCACTCTTGGCTAATTTTTTAAAGTTTTTTGTAGAGTTGGGGTCTCACTATGTTGCCAAGGCTGCTCTTGAACTCCGGGGTCAAGGGATCCTCCTGCTTCAGCCTGCCAATGTGCTGGAATTACAGGTGTGCACCACCATGTCCAACCATGTAACACACTTTTTCTGGAAAGGACCAGATAACATTTTAGGGTTTGCAGGCCACGTAGTCTCTGTTGCAACTACTCAGTTCTACCACTGTAGCCTGAAACAGCTATAGACTATATGTTAATAAAGGAGTGGTTGCTGGTGTTTCAATGAAACTTTATTCTCAAAAGCACATGGTAGGTGCATTTGGCCTAGAGACCTTCTTTGCAGACCCCTGATACAGGCAATTAAGAACCCTGAAATTGCTTTACAAGTGGATGCAAAACTGGTCAATATCCACAGGGCACTAATCAAGTGCATCTCCATAGAACCGAATTTGCATCTCTGTGGGCAACATTCATCTGCATTATTATGAGTTTTCTACAATTTACAGAATTGAAAATACAGTTGATCCTCATTATTTGTGAATTCTGTATTTGCAAATTTGCCTTCTTGCTAAAATTTATTTGTGACTCCCAAATCAATAATCATGGTGCTTTTGTGGTCATTCGTGCACATACACAGAGGAGCAAAAATTTAAATCACCTGGCACATTCCCAGCTGAGGATGAATGAAGCTCTACCTTCTTGTTTCAGCTCTCATACTGTAAACAAGTGTCCTTTTTGATGTCTATTTAGTGCTGCCTTTTTCACATTTTGGTGTGTGTGTGTGTGTGTGTGTGTTTGTGTGTGTTGGTTATTTCACTGCTTTAAGAGGCCCCTAAAGTAAATGCCAAACAACTGTTTAAGGGCAAGAAGGCTGTGATGGAGAAAATGTGAATGTTAGATAAACTCTGTTCAGGCTTGAGTTATAGTGCTGTTGACTATGACTTCAGTGTCAATGACTCAACATTACATATTAAATAAGGTGGTTTTAACTAGAAACACACATAAAGCAAGGTTATGCATTGATCTGTTAATGAAAATGCTGTGACCAGGGGCTAGCAGGAACCTAAACTGGTATTTCCCCTAGGAACAATGGTTCAGTGTTGGCTAATTCACGGTTGGTGATGACTTTACAGAACTTAATACCATGAAGTACAACAATTGATTGTGGCTCAAAGAAAGACAGTGAAAGGTGGAGCTAACCCAGAAGGGTGCTCAAGACAGCACACCCCGTCATTATCTCATAATGCTTCCTGGTGTCAGTAATGCACCTTTCTTTGGCTGCCTTCTCTTCCCTGACTCCCTCACAGTACCTGTCTCCTTCCCTACAGTGTTTCCTGTGACTACCTCTGAAGGAAACAATTTGCACAGCAATGCTTCTCTCAGAGTTGGCTTCCAGGGGAATGGAGACTAAGACAGGTTACACTGAGCAGAGGAGTGTAATGAGAGTTGAGGGTGTAGAGACATAATTAGCAACTGAGATTGAATAGTTGAGTTGGTTGCAGAGCAGAAGGGGCCCTAAAGAGGGAATATAGATACACTTTTATTTTTAAAATTATTTTATTTTATTTTATTTTATTTTTTATTTTTTGAGACAGGGTCTCACTCCATCACCCAGACTGGAGTGCAGTGGCATGATCTTGGCTCACTGAAGCCTCCTCCTCTTGGGTTCAAGCGATTCTCATGCCTCAGCCTCCTGAGGAGCTAGGATTACAGGTGGGTGCCACCATACCCAGCTAAGTTTTGTATTTTTAGTAGAGCTGGGGTTTTGCTATGTTGTCCAGGCTGGTCTCCAACTCCTGACTTCAAGTGATCCACCCACCTCGGTCCCCCAAAGAGCTGGGATTACAGGCATGAGCCACCGCACCCAGCAGATAATTTTTTTTTTTTAAACGGAGGCTTACTCTGTTGCTCAGGCTGGAGTGCAGTGGTATGATCTTGGCTCACTGCAACCTCCACCTCCCGGGTTGAAGCAATTTTCCTGCCTCAGCCTCCCAAGTAGCTGGGATTACAGGCGCACGCTACCATGCCCGGCTAATTTTTGTATTTTCTTTTTTTTAGTAGAGATGGGGTTTCACCATGTTGGCGAGGCTGGTCTCAAACTCCTGACCTTGTGATCTGCCCACCTCAGCCTCCCAAAGTGCTAGGATTACAGGCGTGAGCCACTGCGCCCAGCCTAAATTTTTAAATTCTAAAAAGATGAGTTAACTGGATGTGGTATTGCACACCTGTAGTCCCAAAGGAGTCTGAGGCGGGAGGATGGCTTGAGTCCAAGAGTTTGAGGCTATAGTGAGCTATGATTGTGCCATTGCAGTCCAGCCTAAGCAACAGATTAAAAATTAAACTTTTTTTAATAAATAAAAAATGGGTTGCAAACAGGGAAGCAGAATGCTGGTGCAGGCCTGCAGGATGGAATGAAACAGACACAGACAGTGGTGATGCAGACATTTAAATCACTCAACACGTTCCCAGCAGAATGTGTCCTTTGGTGTGGGCCTGCAGGATGGAATGAAGCAGAGACAGACAGTGGGGATGCACAGACATTTAAAGAGCTGCTGAAGCCATTAGGGTCGGCGCAGTCCAAGGCCTGAGTGAGTGCAGAGGATGGGAAGGAAGATGAGTGACGTTTCAGCCAGAAGATTCAGCAGAACTGCAGAGTGACTGATGTGAGGAGGAAAGTAAGGGCACAGCCGGGGTCCCTCCCTCTGAGGCTTTGAGCCTGGGGTTGTCATTAACAGAAGAGGGAGCGAGGACTTCAGGGGAACGGAATGTGAAGTGGAAAGTCTGCACTGGAAGCTAAATTTCAGAGAGAGAAACCAAAAATGACTGCTTCTCGTACTTTTTTCTAGACAGATATTTCTGAGTATAGGAAAAGAGGAAGCAGACTCCACAAACCCTTGGCTTTTGTTTTTGTTTTATTTTTATTTGATCCAGGCAAAGTAAGTAGTTGCAATCCAGAAATAATGCACAGCTCTGCCAACTGAAAGATCTGACTTCTATCCTCTGGTTTATCTTCAGGTCGTATAAATCTTTTGCCTTCGACTGAAAGATTTGATTTCTGTCTACTCTCTGTGTATACCCCAATGAGATAATAAAGGGGTAGACTATAATTCAAAAAAAGGGAAGAGGAGAGAAAAGGAAAGACTCCTAACTAAGAGAATAGGGCTTAACTGGAAAATAGGGCCTATGGAGAAAGCCTTGGTTAAAATGGAAGCTTCCAGATGTAGGGAGGGCTCATGTAGAGAGAGGTGCCACACAGACTATGATGGCATAACAGACAGGCGAAATGGGGATATGTGAGTAAAAGCCCTTTATAAATCAAAATACCACATACCGGCTGGGTGCTGTGGCTCACGCCTGGAATCCCAGCACTTTGGGAGGCTGAGGCAGGCAGATCACTTGAGATCAGGAGTTCAAGACCAGCCTGGCAAACATGGTGAAATCCTGTCTCTACTAAAAATACAAAAATTATCTGGGTGTGGTGGCGGGTGCGTGTAATTCCAGCTACTCAGGAGGCTGAGGCAGGAGAATCGCTTGAACCCAGCGGGGCGGAGGTTGCAGTGAGCTGAGATCTCACCACTGCACTCCAGCCTGGGCAATAGAGACTCCATCTCAAAAAAAAAAAACAAAAAACAAACAAACAAAAAAAACAACCACATACCAAGTGTACTGGGGCATTCATTCTTTTACAGCCAGACCCACCCATTTGGATTAGGCCAGTCAGGACTGCGAAGAGGTCAGTTTGGCCCAGTTTGCTTTACTGATTTCAGCAAAAGCACTTACAGCCTTCTGGAGGAGAGTAAGAAGATAAGGTCTTCAGGAAGATAAAAGCATTAACTTCTAACCTTCCCCCTTGCTGGAGATGCTGTTACAACCACCCAAAGAGAGGGATGCCTTGTTTTACCAAGAAACTCAGCTTCTGGGTGATTCTCAGGCATGTTATCTGTTTTCCTATTATCTGCAGTAACTCGAGGTCAATGGATGCTGATTGCAGAGGGTTCATAACATTACCCCAGCCCCAGAGAAAGTGTGCATATCTCAGACACAAGGCAGAGGTATTTTTCAGTGCTTACTGGATGTGTTTTGACTCCCAAGAGAAGAATGTTTGGAGGGGAAAGGCATCTGGTTTGGAACTGAGAGCGAGGTTTCAGAAGTCTAAGACAGTGGGTCCATAGTGCAGGGTTATAGTGTTGTAGACTCACCCCGTGAAAGAGCCATAAGGCAGAGGAAGGAGCACAAGAGCCAGGATGCTTCTCAGGAGAGAGTCTGACCTCTTTGCTGGAATTCAGAGCTAGAGAGAAATTAGGTTGCAATAGGGCTGTTGAACCTAAGCCCACCTGCTTTCTGCAAGTGCCACAAGGATGTAACTAGGCCCACACAGGACCGAACCTTATACTTTTGCAAACCAGGATTGGATGGAGGGTGGGAGAGGACTAAAAGCAGTGGTGGGGCTGGGCACAGTGGTTCATGCCTATAATCTCAGCACTTTGGGAGGCTGAGGTGGGAGGATCGCTTGAGCCCAGGAGTTCAAGACTAGACTGGACAACTGTAGAGACCCCTGTCTCTACAAAAAAGTCAAAAAATTATCCAAGTGTGGTGGTGCACACCTGTAGTCCCAGCTACTGGAGAGGCTGTGGTGGGAGTATCACTTGAGCCTGGGAGGTTGAGGCTGCAGTAAGCCATGATTATGCCAGTGCATTCTAGTCTGGGCGACAGAGTAAGAGTGTCTCAAAAAAGAAAAATAGTAGCGGAAGCTGTGTCCATTCTGTTGTGAGCCCTAAGATGATCCTACCTGCCACCCAATAGTCCCCTAACACCTGAGATATGCACTTTGTCCTATCCTAGCCTCACCCCTCCTCGTGGAAGGAGAAGTTTTTGGAGCAAACAAGTTGTGCCAGTCTTGGGCCCACATCCCCTCCCTGCCTCACCCATGCTCCCAATGCCCAAAGCTCTGGAATCTCTTCCCGCGTGGCCCAAGCCTGCTTCCACTGCTTGGCAGGATGTCTCCCAAGCCCCTGGGCCCATGGGCTGACTCTGCTCCTGGAGTAGCATCCATAGGCTGAAAAGTGTGGGAGGGAATAAAGGATGCACAGCACTTGGACATGAAGGATGGGGTATCCACAGAGCTATTGGAGGGAGAAGAGGTGTAACAAACCAGGGTCACCCCATGTCCCCATGTTCAGGGACAAAACACAGACGAGTCTGAGAATTTTAAATTTAAACCAGGTTTCCCAAGTCCTCGTAAAGGCACATTTGTCGTGGTAGGAGAATAGAACATACTTTAGTTAACAGTTTGTTCTCTTGATGTATAATTTTTTTAATATTCAGACATAAAGTATAAGTGAACTTCCATCTGTCCTCTTGCCTCAGTCCCTGAAAATGCCAGTGTCCACCCAGCATCCTCATGGGTGGCACGAAAACCCAGACACAGGCAATGATGCTGTCTCTACTGTCAACTCAGACCATCCATCCATGGGCCCACTCGACCCTCCGTGCTTTACTGTTTTCCATAATCTAATTCTTTTGCTATCATTATGACTCAAAGCAGTCTCTCTTGGACATGAGTTTGTACCCACCCTCAAATAGTCTCAATGGATAAGAGGTAATCCTGCTTCCTCCCCTGTACCTTGGGCTCCATGCTAACCACACCTGCCCTGTCTGGCCCCACTGCCAGAGGAAGGAGTCAGACGTCTGAACAAGAGGATGGGGTGAGGTAGAACATTGAGAGGAAAACCCTAAGCTTCAGAGAACCTGCAGAGCCTAGCAGAAATTATTTGGTAGTTGCAAATAGTGCAAAACTGAATAATAGGAAACTGGATTTGTGAAATATCCTATGTCCTTGTCACTCCTAACAAAAGACATGAATGCCATTGGTCAGCCAAGACAGACTTTTAAACATGCCTGAACTTCTGAGGCACAATTGCTGCCACCAAAACCACCTTTCTGGTGATGGCAACAGATATCTCTGAGAGCATTACATGGATTTTTATGACTCTTTCATAGACACACAAAATACTAAGTTATTTTGGAGAACTGTTACTTTCTTTATGCTTTTCCCTTGCTAATTTCTGGAGTCTGGTTGTGTGATGGTATTAAATATTAATACCTGTTATCGGCACATTTACTATGTTTAGAAGGTGTCATGGTATGTTGTTATTTTGATATTAGACACTGTGCTTCCGCTGACTGTCCACATGGAATCCGTGGGCTTACAAGGAAGACATTCTTCAGAGGAGGCTATCTGTTCTCCGGCCCACTTCCTAAGAGAAAGCATGGAAATTTTAAGGCTCTAATCCTACAACACATGGATGCAAAGACATGCACAAACACACAGCGTGGTCAATTTGCTTCACTGGTCGATATATTTCACTGGGAGTTTAGCACGTGTTTCCGTGGACTTTTTTCATTGTGTGATCTTCAATGCTGATGTGTTGACTTGGACAAACACCCGGAGACTTCTCTAGAATTCCAATTTGTGCAAAAATGAAAGGGCTGAGAAACATGATTGGCTAGTGGACTTGTAGAGAATAAAGTAGGTTTGTATGCTATAGAGAGAGGAAAGATCTTCAGATCATAGAACTCTGTAAGAAAAATCCAACCACAGAGAGAACACATGGACTCCCTAAACTCTTTCATTTCTTTGGTATTTCAAAGTGGTATCAAAAAATATGTATTTTTTTCCAGACCGGTTGCAGTGGCTCATGCCATCCCAGCACTTTGGGAGGCCAAGGCGGTCGGATCACTTGAGGCCAGGAGTTCAAGACCAGCCTGGCCAACATGGTGAAACTCTGTCTCTAACAAAATTACAAAAATTAGCTGGGCATGGTGGTGCACACCTGTGATCTCAGCTACTCAGGTAACTGAGGCAGCAAGACAATTGATGAACCAGGAAGGTGGAGATTGCAGTGAGCCGAGATCATGCCACTGTACTCCATCCTGGGCAACAGAGTGAGACTCTGTCTTAAAAAAAAAAAAAAAAAAAATTTCCAGCATGTTTTGTGGGTCAACAGCATGGTATGTGTGTTGCTGGCGTTTATCTGTCCTAGGAATTCTTAAAGATAAGCATGGCTCTTCCTATCATCTTATGCTTTAGAGGAAGTCATTCTTTTTTTTTTTTTTTTTTTTTTTTTTCTGAGACAGCGTCTCACTCTGTTACCCAAGCAGGAGTGCAGTTGCATGATTAATGCAGCCTTGACCTTCCAGGCTCAAGCGATTCTTCCACATCATCCTCCTGAGTGGCTGGGACCACAGATACATGCCACCATGCCCAGCTAATTTTCTGTAGAGATGAGGTTTTGCTGTGCTGCTGGGCTCAAGAGATCCTTCTGCCTTGGCCTCCCAAAATGCTGAGATTATAGATGTGAGCTGCTGCACCTAGCCGAGAAAGTCATTCTTTAAAAACCCTTCTCTTTAGCCTAGATGACTTCCTTGTAAAATCCTATGCACTTACTCATTCGGCAAACATTTACTGAGCACATACGTACCAGGCAGCACGTAAGGTATTAAAGACACCACTGTGAACAAGCAGATGAGATCTCTAATGTCTGGTTCCATAAAGGAAGATCTTTTCTTCTTCTCTCTTCAACCTCCATAGAAATGGAACCCACTAAGTCTAAAATAACAGACCGAACATATGGCTTCCTTTAACTATTCCCGATGGCAGCATTTTACTTGGTTAAGATGAGAGCCAGAAATATTTCGTGTCCTACTAGTGACAAATAATGTGGTTTCATGGATAAAGCACTGGTTTCAGTCTAGAGATCTAGTTTCTTACTTTTGCTATCTTTTATTACTTAAGTGTATGAAGAATCAAATAAAAGCCACCTCTTCAGAGACCTTGTGGTTTAGAATTAGTGAATTAAATATAGTGGTGACCTGGAATTGGTTCTCCCTGCTCACTAGAGCTGATTGTTAAAATTTCATGAACTTTCCAAGTCTGTTGATGTCACACTGGTAGCTTGAAACCAGCCATGATGGGAGTATTTACACCACAAAATAGGCAAATGCTAAAACCCGGGGCTTTTATTTCCCAGAAAGCCAGTTGTTAAACATTTCCCTGCGCATCACTAACTAAAGGGAAGGGTAAACACCCTGATGGTGAAGGGGAAAGTTTGGAAAGACATCAGCATATACATGGTCAAAATGAAGGAAAAGAAGCAAATTAGTACATGAGATTCCAGGCAAGATGTATCCTAGAGGCTAATTTATTATATAGGGATGATGTTCCTCTCTTTTTCCTTCATAGCACTGGTTGTCATGACATTTCGACCCAAAACATTGTATTTTATTTATTTATTTTTTAAAAGAGACAGAGCCCCTCACAGAGTCACCCAGTCTGGAGTGCAGTGCTGCAATCAGAGCTCACCACAGCCTCAATCTCCTGGACTCAAGAGATCCTCCCTCTTTAGCCTCCTGAGTAGCAGCTGGAATTACAGGCATGCACCACCACACCTGGCTAATAGACTCAGGACATTTTCATGTAACCCTGTGGACTTTGTTTATGTTCTTTACTCCACTAATGACATAGGCTGTTAGTAAACAAAACAAAAAACATTGTAAGAATAAAGAGTATTGTGTTTAGAATTTCAATACTCCATTGCTGGGCCAAAGAATATTCCTAGAGTTTCTGTGGAATTGCTTCTACTTTCATTATTGACTGTCTAAGAATTACAAAATCACTGGTATTGTAGCCATTTCAGAATGAAATGGGTGAAGATGCACTCAACAGAATTTGTGATAGATCCAAACATAAATTGATGAATTTTATCTTGCTTGTAATTTTGGAAAGTGAAAAAAACTTGGTCTGAGAAAAATGATACTGGTAGAAGAAAACCTGATGACAGCTGTCACTAACTACACCCAGTCACACTTGTTATGATGGAACAAGTGACGGAAGCATCAGTCTTACAAAATTCGGACATTCCAAATGTAACCCAGGGAATTTGGAACTTCATAGAAATAATGAAAACAGCCAACACCTCACAGAGCAGGAATCTTAAACAGTAAAGTTTCACGAAGACAAAAATCTTTTTGATCAATCATGTCTCTTTTACAAAGTTTACAAGGAAAGTATTCATCCCTAAAACTATTTTCTATAAAATTAAAATTAAATGAATAGCTATATGAAAAAACTGTCATACCACACACAAAATCCAAAGCTGCCAGATTACAACCTCTAATGAAAAATAATCACCTACATAGACTCTTTTACCATCATGGACAGAGAGCCTTGGAAAAGAAAGCTCTAAACTCAACTGCTAACAGGTTGATGAGTAGACCCTGAGGAAGTCCCAGTGTGTGTGGCTTCTTTGTCCATGGGATTCTGTGGATTACGGGCTGAGGTGGCTTATGACACCTCTGCACTGTATTGCATGAAGTTACTGCACACATATGTTGTGTGACCACTGATCACATGGAGCTTTTCGAGTGAGGAGGTTTGGAAATATTGTTGACCCTTGAACAAAACAGGTTTTCAAACTGCACTAGTCCATGTATACACGGGTTTTTTTCAATAAACATATTGGAAAATTCTGGGGGAGATTTGCAACAATTTGAAAAAAACGCACAAGTTGTGTAGCCTAGAAATACTGAAAAAAATTAAGACAATGCTAGGTATCTTATGAATGCATAACATACGGGTTAATTGGCTGCTTATGTTATCAGTAAGGCTTCTGATCAATAGTAGGCTATTTGTAGCTAAGTTTTGGGGGAGTTAAAAGTTGTACTCAGATTTTTGACGGCTCAGAACCCTTACCCCATCCATTGTTCAAGGGTCAACTGTATGCAGACTTTTCAATGACCTTGCGGGTAGCCAAGGGGAAGCCACCCCTCTTTCCCTGCTCAATCATATTCCAAGTGAGTTGAGTCCATCAGCCCTGAGGCCTGGGCCACCGGTGCAGGAGAAGCCATCAGTCAAGAGAGGAATAAGGGATGCCTGCAGGGGTGGCGAAGAGGGATGCCTCAGGAGGCTAATTCTTAAATGGCCCAAGGGGGAAAATGAGGGCATTGGATAGGAGGTGAGAGAAGCTTCCTACTCCAGAAAGAGAGGACTTTTTTTTTTTTTTTTTTTTTAGACCTGGTCTCTCTCTGTTACCCAGGCTGGAGTGCAGCGGAGCGATAATGGCTCCCAGCACCTTTGACCTCCTGGGCTCAGGCAATCCTCCTGCCTCATCTTCCCAAGTAGCTGGGACCCTAGGCACTCACCACCATGCCTGGCTCATGTTTTTGTTATTATTTGTAGAGACAGGGTCTCCCTATGTTGCCTGGGCTGATCTTGAACTCCTGACCTCAAGTGATCCTCCCACCTCAGCGTCCCAAAGTGCTGGGATTACAGGCATGAGCCACCATGTCCAGTCAGAAAAGGAGGACTTTCTAACCAGCAGAGGAGCCCACCTGTTGCCCTCGGGTGGTCACATGGCCAGTAACTACATGGGCACCAGCAGGGCTTCTGTGGTGTGGACAAGGTGAGAGTTTCTATGAGTCTGTGAACCAGTTTTCCAAGGAAAGAAGGGATGGACTTCCACCAGAATTAACCCCATTTACAGGCCAGTCCTGTAAGTGGTAGAAAGGAGTTTTAACCACCGCACCTCACACCACCTTGTTAAAAAAAAAAAAAAAAGGTTACTCTTAGAAAAATTGAGGCACTGGACATTGTTCCTAATTACATTTTTAAAATACTTTTTAATTTTTTTATGTGAAAGATAGGGTTTCACTATATTGTCCAGGCTGGTCTCAAACTCCTGGCCTCAAGCATTCCTTCTGCCTTGGCCTCCTAAAGTGCTTGGGATTATAGGCATACGGGCATGAGCCACAGCACCTGGCCAACAAGAGTTTTTAAATAGGATTAGGACCAGGCGTGGTGGTTTACGCCTGTAATCCCAGCACTTTGGGAAGCCAAGGCGGGAGGATTGCTTGAGGCCAGGAGTTTGAGACCAGCCTGGGCAACATAGGGAGGGAGACCTGGTCTCTACAAAATAAAAATAAAAAGATGAGTTGAATGTGGTAGCACACACTGGTAGTCTCAGCTATTCGGGAGGCTGAGGTGGGAGAATCACTTGAGCCCAGGAGGTTGAGGGGCAGTGAGCCGTGACTGCAGCAATGCACTCCAGCCTGGGCAACAGAGCGAGACCCTGTCTCAAAAACAATAATTAAAATTAAAATTAAAACACTGTTGTTGAGTAAGGGGGCTGGGAATACAGTTCTTTCCATATGACTTCTTTCTTTCTCGTAAATTAGCTTGTCTTTTCAATGGAAAGTTTTCATGACCTTCAAACTTAAAATTTTTTTTTAAAATGACTGTTGGGTGAGGGAAAACCTGTGTCAAACAGTGATCCAAGACACTTTAAAAATTTCTTTCAATTCACATAGTTCGAATTGTCAAGTCTGATC
This sequence comes from Homo sapiens, assembly GCF_000001405.40. NCBI lineage: Eukaryota > Metazoa > Chordata > Mammalia > Primates > Hominidae > Homo > Homo sapiens. Next base: position 19,884,676 of record NC_000020.11, read on the forward strand.
CTGGAATAACATTTGTCTGTCCAACGTGTAAAATATTGAGTAATACAAAGATAATTATGGAAATATTCAGAGAACTTCCCTGGACCCAGACACAGAGCCACCTCCATTTCCTCCTACCTCTCTTAGAAAAAAACAAAAAGCATTAAAAGGAGAGATGACCTGTCTCCCTGGGAGCTGGTTAAGCGACCAGGCAAAAAAAGTGAGATGCATTTCTTAGATTCGGACTTGACCTGACAGGTCCTCTAGGGTGAGTCACTTTTTCCTATTTCAGTCAATTTGGCTGTAAAATAATTACAATAACGAGGTCTTGTTTACTGAGACTGAAGTCCGTGCTGCCCGGCCTCATTTAACGGCTAGAAAGAAAAACTGAAGGTTGTGATTAGAAAGCTTCTGTAGCCAACCTCATGCAGCACGGAGATGAGAATCCAGGACTTGAGTACACTAAGTGTCTATTAAGTCAGAACTGTGAGTAGTGGAATCCAATATAATTGCTTTTGCTGCTTCTTTTGTGGGTTTGCACTTGTGACCTAAAGTAAATAAAATAGCATAAAATAGGAAGCTGGGGTGGGGGCAAGAGGAGAAGAGATTGGGCCGATGTTGGTCAAAGGATACAAACTTTCAGTTCAGAAGGAGGAAAAAGTCCAAGAGCCGTATTGTGCAACACGGTGACTGTAGTTAATACCAATGTATTGCGTATTTGAAAATTGCGGCCGGGAGCGGTGGCTCATGCCTGTAATCCCAGCACTTTGGGAGGCCGAGGCAGGTGGATCACTTGAGGTCAGGAGTTCAAGACCAGCCTGGCCAACATGGTAAAACCCCACATCTACCAAAAAATACAAAAATTAGCCAGGCATGATGGTGCACGCCTGTAATCCTGGCTACTTGCAGGCTGAGGCAGGAGAATCACTTGAACCCTGGAGGCGGAAGCTAAAGTGAGCTGAGATGGTGCCACTGCACTGCAGCCTGGGTGACAAAGTAAGACCCTGTCTCGAAAAAGAAATACAAGCAAACAAACAAAAAAAAAAACGAAAAGAAAAGAAAATTTTCGAAGACAGGAGATTGTAAGTGCACAAGTGCACTCAGAACAAAAAAAAGCATATGAGGTAATGCATATGTTAATTAGCTTCACTTAGCCATTCTGCAATATGTATACCTATATATATCAAGATGTCATGTTGTATACCATAAATATATACAATTTTTACTGGTCAATTAATAAAATAAAATCCTTCCCCCAAAATAGGAAGGTTACGTTGGACTAAAGAAATTAAGAGAAGAGGAGAGGAGCGGAGGGGATGGGAAGGGTGGGGAAGGGACAGTAGAGGTGGGCGGGGAATAGGCGACGGGGGAGGGCAGAGGAGGGAACAGGCCTGTCCTTAATCCTTCTCAAGCTCTGTATCTTGCCAAGATCTGGCCTGTGGCCCGGCGCAGCAAAAGCTGGGAAAATGCCAGTGACTCAACCCAGTTCCATTGATCAGTGAAATGGAAATCGGGGACTCTGTGTTTCAACCCCAGTCAGCCAGCCCACAGCCAGGGTCCAGGTGGCAGCCTCAGCTCCTGGCCTCAGTGGCTGTCAGTAGAATGGGTTGGGGAGCCAGCCTCCAGCGGTCTCACATAGCAGGCAGGCAGTGCAGCCTGGAGCCCAGCCAGGGGACGCAGGAATCCTTTCTGCTTTTTAAGGACAGACTTTGCTTTACCACAGCAGTCGCTCTTGGGGCCACACGGAAAGCCACCACTGAGTTTACTATAAAGTGACAGAGGCTGGTGTCTCTAGGAGAATGAGGAATAGTCACTTCCTGCCTTTGTCCATTAGCGCCGACCAACGCGACCAGCTCCGTTTACATTCTTTCAGTGGTGTTGTTGAAAGGGCTTGGCAGCTCCCAAATGTTTGCAGTGTCCTTAGTCCTATGAGGGCTGCCTTCTTCTTCTTCTTCTTCTTTTTTTTTTTTTTTTTTTGCTAGCTTTTAGCTAGTATCTGGAAACATCTACTGGACATGTTGGACTCATTTTCTCAAGAATCCACTTTACCCTTCAGGGAAGCCAGGAAAAGAACAAGCTTCCAACCGGTACAAGTCTGGAGGAATTTCACAGCCTCTCAAACTACGGTACCCTTTTTGTTTCTTAGTCTAGCCTGTTACTGGGATGGTTTTAGGATGAAGCTGCTGGGGTGACATCTGTGGGGAGGCATGGGGAAGCGCAGGTGAAGAGAAGTTATCGTTTTAAATGGTATTAAATTGCTGTCAATATTGAGTCAAGGTGTCTAAGGTTATGGTTTGGGGAAGAAAACTATAGCTAACTATAGCTACTACAGAAAGATCTTAAACCAGAACTCTTTTGGGGCCCTGAAGAACTTTTTTTTTTTTCTTTCGAGACAGAGTGTTACTCTGTCGCTCAGGCCAAAGTGCAGTGGTGCGATCATGGCTCACTGCAGCCTCAATCTCCTGGGCTCAAGTGATCCTCCCTCCTGAGTAGCTGGGACTACAGGAGCATGCCACCATGCCCATCTATTTTTTTTTTTTTTAATTTTTTTTAGAGACAGGGTCTCGCTATGTTGCCCAGACTAGTCTCAAACTGCTGGATTCAAGTGATTCTCCTGCCTTGGCTTCCCAAAATGCTGGTCATGAGCCACTGCACAGACCAAGAACTTTGTTTTTCTGGCCAAGGACTTTATTTTTTAAAATAATAATAAGCTATGTACTGTCTGCTTGAACTATTGGATGGCCACCAGCATTTAATCCCATGGGATGTACCTGCTGCTGCACCTGGCAGTGTGTTCCTGTCACCTGCTCTCATTTCCCTCTTGGAGCAGCTTATGAAGGAGAGATGCCACCTGCATCTTTTGAAATGTGATGGATCTGCCTGCCCTGAGCAGAATTCAAACTGGATGGTGAATTGAGGACTGCTGGAGGTTAAAGGGTACACATGAAGTTTTCAGGCAGCTAATTAAAATAAACTAGTACATTTCTGGAACCTAAACTGCTCCAATGCTGTAGGCAAAATTCCCTGTCTGCCCTGGCTCATCAGAAAGAGTTTGTATATGGAAAACTTCAGAACAGAACAAAGGAACTTAAGTCTGGATGAGGAATGAAGTCTTGGCTCTCGTTTAGCAATTCCTGAACTGCCAGGTGACATCAAATCCCCTGCCGAAGAAATGTCTGAAATAAAAAGAATTCCAGACATTAGGCCTGGTTTAAAACAGGGTATGCTTTTTTATTTGTGTGCTTCTGGGTCTAAACAGGTCATGGTTTGCTCCCCAAGGTGACAGTGTGGCTCCCATTCCGTCCCTAGTTCTGAGCATGGCACTGTGATTTCTTTCTGGAGTTGCTCCAACCTGTGGCCTTTTGCTAATGAGTGATGAACCCCAGAACCTGAACTTCTAGAGTCAGCAAAATTGCACACTGCCTTCTCAGGAGGTTTCTGGAACATTGGCCTTCATCCCAGCAGGATCACAAGTGGAAAGAAACACAGGGAAGACCCCGTCAAATCTTTAAAGTGGCCACAGCACGGAGCACTGACACAAAGAGACGATGGTTCTGGAAGGAGGGGTGGGATGCTCTGTGTCACTATTGTTTTCTAGATGGGATTCCGTGCACAGATCATCACAACTCACTGTGAGTGCAAGCAGGGGTGTAAATCGTGGGGCCGAAAAAAACCTTTGTGCAAAGATCCTTGCTCACTCACTGATATGCACTTCTCAGCTATAGATTCATGCTTTTCCACTTGTTGAAACGTCCCTAAATATCGCCCTCAATGTCCTGTTTGTGTCGCTGGCTCTCTGCCACTCAGCTAATAATGAAACAGCCTCAGTGAACCTGCAGCAGCAGCTGCCTTAGCTTCAGTGCCTACCCACCCCTGCAGCTGAACCACTTTGAATATTCCTTGATGGTGCAAGAGACAGTCTCACTATTCCCTTCACTGGCCTTCCTCTGTGTCCGTCACGGTTGGCATGAGCTACCTCCTGTGCATGTTATGGCGAGAAGGGATGAATGAGGAAAGACAGGGTGGTTTTATACTTGATCCTGGGACAGTCACTGGGTAAGGAAGGGTTTGGGGTTGCTCCCCCAGGCCCCCCTCAATGCGTGAAGGCCTGAGCCAGGTCAGCTGGCAGAGGTGTGTGTATGTTTAACTTAGAACTGAATGTTGAAGGCTTTGTGACCCAAAGGGAAGAATTATTGGGATCTGATGCCCTAGCAGGGGAAATTCCAAGCCCAAAAAGCTACAGTTAGAATTCAGAACTGTGTTGTTACCCTGCCTCTGAGTTTTCCTCTACGTTCAGCTCCCCTTTTGTGGATGATCGTGAAGCTGTTTACATGTTGTCCTCTTCCGTGAACTGATCCCTGTAAACAGTGACAGGATTTTATCCAAATATTTCTGATTTCTAAGGGAAAAATAGAGCAATTTCTTCCCAGTGCCCTTCTGTTGACCTTGCCTGGGGGAGAGGCCAGCAGAGCTAAGGATGACCTCACCCCCTTCCAGCAGGATTTCCTGGGATGTACAGAACCTCCTTCTTCAGCTGTCCCTCTGTGATCAGCCACATTCAATCTATAAACTTCCAGTGCAGATGATGGGGACATCTAATATTGGGTCTGTTCACATTTCAGCAGGAGGTGAAACACACAAAGTAATCATTAGGCTTCCTGAAGTCCCAAGGACCTTCTACGTCAGTGGCAGAGGTGGGAGGTGGGCTGGCGAGGTGGGGCAGTCTAGGAACTGCGCTGGTGGGGACAGGAAATTGGGCTGAAGGGAGATGTAAGGCCTTGGTGGGAAATAAATGGCACTGTGTTGTTGACGGAAAAAGATCTTGGCAGGACTGTTGTTGTGAGTGTTCTGTGGCTTAGAAAGGAATTTCCTACAGGCTGGACTAACCATTAAAAATGTCTCTACCTTCAGGAGTCCCCGGCGTGCAGTGGAGCCTCGCTGGGGGAAATGACAGCTTGGACCATGGGCGCCCGCGGTCTGGACAAGCGAGGAAGTTTCTTTAAGGTAAAAGGAAGCCTTGATTGGGATCTCAACTCGTCGGCTTGCTGCCTGAGCCTGGGAGCTGCGGTGCTCCATGGAGCTGCTGAGGGAAGTCTGCTCTCTGAGCCAGCACCGGCTAAGGGAGCTTGCCCGAGCCCAGCTGCTGATTGTTACCAGGGCTTATAACAGGTTGCGGGGTCTGTGATTTAGTGCTTTCATACAGGCACAGGACTCGGGCACGGAGAGGGGCCGTGCTGTGCAAGACGGCTGAGGCTGTCTTTATTTGAGAGCTGCTCAGTTTGTCCTTTTTCAGCTGCAGGGTTTTATGGTGGAAGCTGTACTTTGCTTTCCAGTGAATCAATGCTGTCGTCCATGTGTTCTCTCCTTGGCTTGTTTGTATGAATCACTGAAGGGCTCCAAAACAAACAAACAAACAAACAAACAAACAAAAAACAGCTTCCTGGACCGCACCTTAGAATGATGAAATATTATTTTCTGGTATATTTTATCAAACATCCCCAAAGGCTTCTTATGATAATGAGGAAGCATGATTATAACTGTCTAACTCTTCTGTGTTCATATTGATGTTAATGGGACTAAATTACCTTGCTAGCTTAATGAGATAAGATTTTAAATGGGTGTTTTATGTACTCTGTGTGTGTGTATTTAATGAAGACTTGGTGGTCGCTTCTGATTTACACTTGGGAATCAATTCCCCTCTTGTGGCTTTTTGCTTTGTTTCCTTTCATTCACCCTCGAATTAAGGCATCCTCAGTATAGAAAATTTTGAAAATACAGAATTATGTTTAAAAAGGTAGAAAAATGGAGGTAAAATATGCACTTGAAATCTGTCATAGGCAGTGTTCCAACACCAGGTCTTGTCCTCAGAGGAGGAAGACGGAGGAGATTTTATTACCGAGGACAAGTGACTATGTTTAACAATTAACCAACCTTTATGGGTTGGAAGTATCTATTAACACTTATTTACATGTTTCCTGTTTCCAAGAGACCAAAACTGATATATTGTGTCAACTGTTGACTCTACAAAAAAAAAAAAAAAAAAAAAAAACCATCAGAAGAACCTGCTGATAAAGCAAAGTTCATGAGATTTACTGAAATAAGGAAGAACATCACCAGGACACAGTCTTATTCATGTCTAAGCCAGGGGAGATTAAGAGGCAGATTTATAGGATTCGGGGATCTAGGCCTAAGTCCTTCAAGCTGCATTTTTCAAGGTGGAGAACTAATTTGATTTCAGTGACGTCTATGCCACAATAGCTTGGGACTGGTGGATACAGCAAGACTAGTATATTGAAGTGGCTCTTGACAAGTAAACCCTTGTTTGATAAGTGAGCTGTTTTCCCAGGTGAGCAAATTGCTTGCCAGGACAAATTAGTGTGTAGACATTTCCTGCAACAAACAGTGAAGTTATTTATTGGTTTACAGTCTTAATTTTCTGGGCAAGAAGATCCTGGAAGAATGAGTTACGTTATGTTGACACAGATGGTCTCAATTATCAATCCTAATAGTTAAGCTTTGTGGACAAAGTAGTCTCAGTTCTCAAATGATTTACTCAGTTTTGATCAAACCTGTATAACCTCCACCCATTGGAGGCAAATGAGAGTAAGGAGCTCCTCAAGTCCTCTGTAGATCAAGAGCTAAGCCCACCAGGTTGCCCAATTGTCATCCTCCAGGTTCCTGAGTTGCATCTGATGCTGAGATATTTATTTCCCCCTGTTAAGAGGGATGATCCAAAACCTCTCCTTAACCCAAAGCACTGTCTAGATCAGCCTAAATATTGGCTAGTCCATAATTACCACCTTATGATGGTCAGGAAGCACAGTGGAGCCGTATCTTACATAGTAGTTAGATTTTAAAGTCAAGGCAAAAGAAGAAAATGGAGGCCAGCCATGGTGCTTCATGCCTGTAATTCCAGCACTTTGGGAGGCCTAGGTGGGCGGATCACTTGAGGTCAGGAGTTCGAGACGAGCCTGGCCAACATGGCGAAACCCCATCTCTACTAAAAATACAAAACTTAGCTGGGTGTGGTGGCCTGCACCTGTAATCCCAGCTACTTAGGAGGCTGAAGCAGGAGAATCGTTTGAACCTGGGAGGTGGAGGTTGCAGGAGGTTGCAGTGAGCCAACATCGCACCACTGCACTCCAGCCTGGGCAACAGAGCAAGACTCCATCTAAAAAAAGAAGAAGAAGAAGAAAATGGAGTATAAAGTTGCCTTTGAACATTTCTTAGGAAGGTGCCCTGAGGGGCCCAATGTACTACCTATCATCAAGTCCATTGTAGCCAGTTTTTCCTGCAGTTCTAAGAAAATCATATTTGTTTTTATTTGAGTTTTCAGTGGGACAGCAGTTAAGTCATTGACTTGTATTTCTGGGCTATGCTATAGGAAAGAACCAATCAGGTGAGAGGTGAGAGGTCTGCCTGACCCCGCCAAGGGTGAGATCTGCCATGTAACCTCTCCTGGGTCAAATACCCATGAAAATATTGGCAAAGGCACCTGCACTATTTAACTTGTCTGTAATTTTGTGTTTTTGGCAGAGTTTAAATTGTTTAATTCATTAATTAATTAATTAATTTATTTTGAGACGGAGCCTCATTCTTTCACCCAGGCTGGTGTGCAGTGGTGCGATCTCGGCTCACTGCAACCTCTGCCTCCCGGGTTCAAGCGATTCTCTGCCTCAGCCTCCCGAGCAGCTGGGATTACAGGTGCCTGCCACCACACCCAGCTAATTTTTGTATTTTTAGTAGAGACGGGGTTTCACCATCTTGGCCGTGCTGGTCTCGAACTCCTGACCTCGTGATCCACCCGCCTCAGCCCCCAAAATGCTGGGATTACAGGCATGAGCCACCACGCCCAGCCTTGTTTAATTTATTTAAGTCAGATGCTCCATGTAAATGATATAGTTACTTTATACTTCTTTCTTTCCTCTTTCTTTCTTTCTTGGAGCTCCCAGGCTCAAGCAATCCTCCCACCCTGGCCTCCCAAACTGCTGGGATTACAGGCGTGAGCCACCGCACCCAGCCTCCTTCCTCTTCCTTCTAGACATGGTTATTCTTTGCTGTAACAATTATTCCGTAATTAGTCACCAATATTCACATGTAGTTCTCTGTGAGGAGAAGTGAACTGCCCTTTGGACATTCAGTACTGATTCTTTGCAGGTTCATTTGTAACAAGCTGGAGGGGAGTTCGGTGCTGAGATGGATTGTCACCCAGTGGCCACCTTCTGGGACCCACTGGCCCTGCTCTGACTCACCATGCTTTATTTCAGTTCTCACCTATTAAGCGCCCATGAGCAGCCAAGCTCTGTACGTGGCCAGGGAGAGAAAAAGCAGAAGCCACCCCTAACCTCATGGAGCTTTCAGTCTGGTAGCAAATAAAGATATTAATCAAATAATCACAGCACCAGACACATAATTATAAATCATGTTTTAAAAATGCTTCATGGGAGATGTAAAAGGAGCCCTGAGAATATATAACCTAATCTGGGGTTCCAGAGAAATCTTTCCCAAGGAAGCGGACTTCGATTTGAGAGCTGAGGTCGACATTATACCATTTAGGAAGATGGTTGGAGCTAAGTTTTGGAGTGACTCTTGATGCTACCGCAACGCACTTCTCAGCAGATACCAGTGATGCCATACAATTGGAGAGGATGCTTTCATAAAGCGTGAGGTTTCCTGGTCACATTCTTGGCTCACAGCTGAATTCCACATGAGTATTATCCCTCTCTTGGCTATTAGTGCTCACGTGACTTTGTGTAAAGCACAGATAATTGGAAGGCAATCATTGGACCTCTTTTTCATCATTATCCTCCCCATCCAGTTTGTGTTTCTAAGCCAGAGTTGCTAACCACTAGTAGTTAGCACTACTAGTGATTTGTGGTTTCCCATCTGTCCTGGCTCATGGACATGACTCAGATAGGCTGGAGGACATGAGGTGCGTGGATAACACACAGATTATCTGAGCATTCTGGGATCACTGAGATGCCCTGTGGTTACTGTGGAATCGCATCCCAGAAGCTCCGACCACATCCATCCATGCAGATAAACCCATTTTCCAGGCACTCACAGCACCATTGTTAATTTTCCACAACCATCTGGGAAAAGTGGTATCTTCCTGCTCCACAAAACATATGGCAGAGCCGGGCGCCATGGCTCACACCTGTAAATTGTAGCATTTTGGGAGGGCAAGGTGGGCAGATCACTTGAGGTCAGGAGTTTGAAACCAGCCTGGCCAACATGGTGAAACCTGTCTCCACTGAAAATACAAAAATTAGCCAGGTGTGATGATGGGCGCCTGTATTCCCAGCTACTCAGGAGGCTGAGGCAGGAGAATGGCTTGAACCCAGGAGATGGAGGTTGCACTGAGCCAAGATGGTGCCACCACACTCCAGCCTGGGCAACAGAGCAAGACTGTGTCTCAAAAAACAACAAAAACAACAACAAAACACGTGGTGGGGAGAAGGGGTAACACCCTACACATGGTAGCCAAAGTTACCTGCTTTTAAGTAATAAATGTGAACACCTACTGCTATCACATTTCAAAGGTACATTGAACGAAAGAGTTTGTATAAGAAAGATGTCATCTAGGCTGGGAAAGCTATTGGTAGTCTTGAATTAGGGGCAGAGATGCTCAAAGTTATCTTTGATCCCCGCTTTCCCTGAATCCCATAGTTACCCCCAAGCCACCCCCACTCTCCCTACCATCCAGGCTCCCAATGCTGGCAAATCCTCCTCTTTAAAAAAATTTTTTTAAATTTTTAAATAACTTCTCTTTTTAAAAAAATAGAGATGGATTCTCTGTGTTGTCCAGGCTGGCCTCAAACTCCTAGCTTGAAGCAATCCTCCTGCTTTGGCTTCCCAAATCCCTGGGATTTCAGGCATGAGCCAGCACCCCTGGCCTAAATCCTCTTCATGTCTCCAAAGTCCTTGCCTTTCTTTCCTGTCCTATAACCACCTTTCCTGTCCTATATCCTGTCCTTGCCCTTCTTTCCTATCCTATATCCACTTGGCTATTAGTGCTCATGTGACTTTGTGTAAAGCAGAGATAATTGGAAGGCAATCATTGGACCTCTTTTTCGTCATTATCCTCCCCATCCAGTTTAGGTTCTCATTCTTTCATTTGGTTCTCCTTCTTCCATTGTGGGCATTATAAATGATGCCTATAATCCACCCACACCAACACTGTACATGTTTCTACTGATCCATGTCACCTGCTTGAAGACCCTGGCTCCTTGCTGGGCACAGGACCAAGTCTGTACCTTGACATTCAAAGATTTTCAGGCTGTGCTTCCACTTTCCCGGAACTCTTCCTCCACCGGTCCTGCCTCTGCAGCATCGTGAGTCTCTCCTGGGGTCCAAACCCACCAATCCCTGCCTCCAGCCTTGCCCACCACCCTATCCCTTACCCCTCCCCACCATCAGCCTCCCAACCACCCTTCCAGGCTTTAGACCCACTTCATCCACTGACAACAGAGCTCACATGGGCTGGGCTGGTATCTTCCTTTAGTTTTGTCTGAAGATCAAACTGTGGGAGAAATGTTATGTATGAAGGCCTAGCTGTAGTCTCAATGCAGTGCCAGGAAATAAACTTCAATTCATAACTCTGCCATAAGGGATTTGTTCTTTCCATTTGTCATCACGGCTATGATCCTGAGAGGGATCCTCTTATAGCAAAGAATGGTGCCAGAAGAGAACCAGGGTGAATTGTCCGGTCGACAGTTCTAATTTCTTACCGGCATACCTTTGGGCTTCCTGAGCAAGCCTGCCCTCCCCAGCCTCAAGTGTGTAGAGTACCCCCTTTCTAAGTGGCTGCCTTCTAACCTTCCTTGGCCTCTGGGACAGGGTGAGAGTTGAGAGTTGCTCTTACTAGACCAAGAAGAAAACATGTTTTAGCTTACAGGGATCCTACCCTCCCGGGCCTCAAAACCACTCATGCTGCAGAAGGATCCCTGAACCTAGGTTCACGAACCAACCGGGGTCATTCAAAGGCCCAGCCCAGCAGCAGAGGCCCAACTTGAGAGGCCCTCTTTGGTCATGTCTCACAGGTTGGATAAGAAGGTGCATCACGATTGTGTTTCAGAAACAGAAAACCTGTCATTATATTTCAGAGAATAACAGAAGAGCTCTCTGACACCACAAAGACTAGACCTGCGACTAGCTTTGAAGAAACTACATTGCTGAAATCTGGCTATACCGAATAGATGAACCAGTGGGTGATGATTCACTTGACCTCAGCTGAGTTCCCTCAACTATTGGTCTCTTCTTGGCATTTGAAAAAGTATTCAATTTTCAAAAATTCTGTCTGCCAAGCAAAATTTTTCAATCATTCAGAACTGGTCCAACTGCACATCTCAGGCCTCAGGGATTCCCAGTAATGGAGTTTTCAGATTTTTTTGTTTCCAGATAAGTGGAAATTCATTCATCTGCATGCACAGTAACAATGTACTGTGGACAGAGATTGCAGGGGCATGAAAAATAATGGATAGAATCAAAAACCACATTTTAGTCAGTAATTTCTTTTTTTATTTTTTTTATTTTTATTTTTATGTTTTTTTGAGACAAAGTCTTGCTCTGTTGCCTAGGCTGGAGTGCAGTGACATGATCTTGGCTCGCGGCAGCCTCCGGCTCCCAGGTTCAATCAATTTTCCTGCCTCAGCCTCCCAAGTAGCTGGGATTACAGGCATGCGCCACCACACCCAGCTAATTTTTTGTATTTTTAGTAGAGGCGGGGTTTCTCCACGTTGGCCAGGCTGGCCTCCAACTCCTGCTAGTCAGTAATTTCATTGAGCAAATCCTTACATGGTTCTCTGGATGCTCAAAAGCCATAGAGATGAATGTTGCCCCCTTGGCCTCCCAGCAGATCCCCTGGACTGTGAGTAGACGGAACATCACCTGCCCACTGTCCAGTGAGTCCACATCCCCACAATGTATCAGCCCACAGGCCTCTCAGCACCTTGCAGTGGAAACAGCAGAGCAAGTAGAGATTTAGTCACAGTGACAATTTACTCATAATAGTATTGCAAAGCATGCCTCACACCTGTATCTGGATGTGTCTTTTGTTTTCCATAAATAAATTCTTCATAGACACTGACACCTGGAGAGGCCTCAGAGCATAGAAACAATAGCACCATAGAAAACAATGTAAGCCACAGATGTAATTTTAAGCATTCTAGTAGCCACATTTAAAACTTTAAAAGGAAAACAAGTGGAATTAATGTTAATAATATATTGTATTTGGCCTAATATATCAAAATATCATCATGTCAACACATGATAGATATAAAAAAGTATTAATCAGATATTTTACATTCTTTTTTGTACCACTTTTTTTATTGACAAAAATGGTATATATTTATTGTGTACATGTTATTTGAAAACATGTATTATTCCATGTCTTTGAAACCCTGTGTGTATTTTACACTCAGCATGTCTCAATTCAGACCAGCTACATTTTGTTGTTGTTGTTGTTTTTGAGACAGAGTCTCTCTCTGTCGCCCAGACTGGAGTGTAGTGGAACAATCTCTGCTCACTGCAACCTCCGCCTTCTGAGTTCAAGTGATTCTCCTGCCTCAGCCTCCTGAGTAGCTGGGATTACAGATGAACCGCCACCATGCCCAGCTAACTTTTTTGGATTTTTAGTAGAGACAGAGTTTCACCATGTTGGCCAGGCTGCTCTTTAATTCCTGACCTCAAGTGATCTTCCTGCCTCAGCCTCCTAAAGTTCTGGGATTACAGGTGAGTGTCACCGCACCCAGCCAGACCAGCTACATTTTTAAGTGCTCAGTATCCACACGTGGCTGGCAGCTGCCAGACTGGACAGCAAAGGTTTAGCTGGTCTAAATCCCTTCCTTCTACAGATGGGGAAACTGAGGCCCAGTTTAGGCTACAGCAGGGATGGGAGTCAGACCTGATCTGACATTGCTCTGTGGCTTCCTGACCCCACGTAACCTCCTGCTCTGGTTCTTCTGTGACTGTCTTCCCCCTTTTCCAGCTCCCTCTCCCAGAAAACTCCATCTGAAGAGGTCATAAGAATGGTGGTCTCTCTCTGCAGGAACTGTTGGCTTCTTTTTTTTTTTTTGAGTTGGAATCTGACTCTGTTGCCCAGGCTGGAGGGCTGTGGTGTGAACATAGCTTACTGCAGCCTGGAACTCCTGGGCTCAAGCTATCTTCCCCCATCAGCCTCCCAAGTAGCTAGGACTACAGATGCATGCCACCATGCCTGGCAACTTTTATTTTAGTTTTTGTAGAGACAGGGTCTCACTTCGTTGCCCCGTCTGGTCTTGAACTCTTGGGCTCAAGTGACCCTCCTGCTTCAGCCTCCCAAAGTGCTGGGATTATTGGCATGAGCTTTGGTGCCCAGCCTGTTGGCTATTTTTGGATGCACACACATGCCTCTCACCATTTGTTCCAAACATTTCCAGGACTCAAGTCAGCGCCCCCAAGGCATGACTTTCTAGGAATGCTATGAGCCTATCGAACAGAAATTCCTTTTCATATTTTCAAAAAGCAATGGATCTCATGGTTTTATAAATGGTTTTTCCAGTACATTGTGGCCATTCATTTCTGATGCTAACAGCATGTGTCGTTCCAACACATGCTCATCTTCGCCAGGGGACTTCTTTGTTTAAAAATCAGGAGTGAAGCAGATTGCCCAGGTTCCCCTCAATGATGTATTTCTCCAGGCTTCCTTGTAGCTCTAAGTTTCATATTAGAAGGATACCAAGAAGGAAGATGTAGTTTTGAAGGACTATTGTGTCAATGTAAAATTTTCAAAAAGTTAAAATATGACTCTTGTACAATATAGAATGAACACCTGCCAAAGCTTTATCTCACCCATTTATGAGGAAACCAGTAAATAGTAAAACTGGTTCAAAAAATGCTTTGACAAATGATGTATTTGTAGTCAACTTAGAAAGGCAGTCTGTGATAAGTTTGCTGAGTTAAAATCCAAACTGGTAACATCCTACAAGGCAATAAAACTGTAACCTTTGGTGTTCTCCCTTTTTACAGAACAGAAATCTGCAGGCTGGTATATAACCTCACTGTGTCTGATCTCTTCATTAATACCACATAAGTCAAACACAGATACATTCCTCTAGACAATTAACTAATCCATAGATAAACTTGTTAAATCACGTGCCAGCATGGCAATGAAAGGACAAACTCAAATAAACAAAAAGGCCCTTTCATCTAGAAGTTTTAAAACCCTCTAATAAACAACTCTGGGGTGAAAGCAGAAATACAAACTGGAATTACAGAAAAAAATGATACAAAATGATAATCAAAACACTACCTATCAGAATCAATGTTATACATTTAAAGCAGCAATCAGAGGAAAATTCATAGCACTAAACACTTTTTATCAGAAAAAACACGCCCCACCTTTTTAATCTATTTCCAAGTCTGAGTGTTTCTTAATAATTACTGCTGAAATGGCTTATTCCCAGCCACTTCTATTATGCCTCTCCTTTCCTTGTTCCCAAATATCCCCAACCAAGGATTTTTGCCTTAAAAAATCAAATGTCTTCAATGAGGTTGAAGAACTATGTGACAGCTAGCTCTATGTTTATTGACTTAAATACTGGTAGAGGATTCCTGGGCTCTTTTTCATGGTGTAAAATCCTCACAGTGACGCTCTTGGTGTTGCTCTAATCCCTAAACTCAGATATGTACATATATATGTCCAGTGGTCCGAGGTGAATTGGATGGAGAATAATTTCCCAGCATAAAATCTTTCAAATGTCTTTATGGTGGCATGTAGAAAACCATTTCCACAACATAATCTGAAGCTGTACTATCTATTGCTGTGTAACTAATTACCCAAAATCTTAGTGACTTCAAACCGCAAACATTCATACCTCACATTTTCTGTGGGTCAGAGATCTAAACGCAGTTTAGCTGAGAGCCTCAAGCTCAAGGTCACTATGAGATTTGGGAGGAGTTGGTGGCCAGGGTCATAGTCTCATCTGAAGGCTTGACTGGTGAGGAATCCACTTACAAACTAACTTGGCAGGTCTCGGTCCATTGTCAAATGGTTCTCTTCACAGGGGTGGCCTTAGGACATGGCAGATGGCTTCCTCACATGGCAAATTAAACAGGAGAGAGCAAGAGAGATGGAAGTCACAGTCTTTTTATAACCTACTCTTGAATGGTACCCCATCACTTCTGCTATATTCTATTCGTTAGAAGCCAGTCAATAAGTCTAGCCTCAGGAGCAATTACTCAAAGGTGTGAATATCAGGCTGTGGCTTACACTGGGAACATCTTAGGGAGCGCAACATAGAAAAACAGCTCAGTCACAAACTCAACAACCTGCAGGGCCAAACAGAAATAAAATGAGTGAGTGGGCCTGGCATCAGACAGGTGGGATTGGTGGAGACTGTAACAAAACTGGAGCATACAAGTCCCTTCTAGAAGGAGAAACTGCTCTCTCAGTTCCAACCAATTCTTGTCATGCAAGAATGAATGTGGGTTTTTTGGTTTTTTCCAAGTGAGGGAGGCCAGAAATCTAGATTTTCATGTAAAATAATCCCAATTTAAAAACTATTCTGGCTGGGCATCATGGCTCATGCCTGTAATCCCAGCACTTTGGGAGGCTGAGGCTGGCAGATCACTTGAGGTCAGGAGTTCAAGACCAGCCTGGCCAACATGGTGAAACCCTGACTCTACAAAAAATACAAAAATTAGTCAGGCGTGGTGGTGCATGCCTATAGTCCCAGTTACTCAGGAGGCGAGGCAGGAGAATTGCTTGAACCCAGGAGGCAGAGGTTGCAGTGAGCTGAGATTGTGCCACTGCACTCCAGCCTGGGCAACAGAGTCTCAAAATAAAAAATAAAAAAATAAAAACCGTCCTAAAGTCAGGTACAGTGGCCCATACCTGTAATCCCAGCACTTTGGGAGGTCGAGGTGGGAGGATCACTTGAGCCCAGGAATTAGAGACCACCCTGGGCAACACAGGGAGACCCTGTCTCTACTACATTAAAAAAAAAGAAAAAACAAAAACAACAACAAAAATTAGGCTGGGTGTGGTGGCTCACGCCTGTAATCCCAGCACTTTGGGAGTCCAAGGTGGGCAGATGTCCTGAGGTCGGGAGTCCCAGACCAGCCTGATCAACATGGATAAACCTCGTCTCTACTAAAAATGCAAAATGAGCCAGGCGTGGTGGCGCATGCCTGTAATCCCAGCTACTTGGGAGGCTGAGGCAGGAGAATCGCTTGAACCCGGGAGGCGGAGGTTGCAGTGAGCCGAGATCACACCATTGCACTCTGGCCTGGGCAACAAGAGCTCTGTCTCAAAAAAAAAAAAAAAAAAAAAAAAAAAAGAAATGTACTTCTTGGATTCCACTCCAGACCCAGAGAATCAGAAACTGCAGGATAAGGCCCAGCTCTCTCCTGGTGATTCTGATGTTCACCCAGGTGGGAGAACCACTGCTCCAGACCCTGTATTTCAATGAGTGAACGGCACTATACAAAAAGCATAGAAACGTCTTCATTCTCAACCTAGCTTCATGTCCTTCTCTGGAAAATGGAATGATACCACCTTACCAGCTGGATTGTAACTGTCTGTTGGTCAGATACAGTATTTTGATGATTTCAGTCAATAACTCTGCAAGCCTTGGTGTTACTACTGGTGTCTTTTTCTGTCTGCTTTCCCCCACCCCCGTCCCCACATTTTATTTGCTTTCTCAAAAGCATCTGCACACAGATACATGGGTGGACATCCTCAGAGGCAGGGTGACTCAGCCGAACAGAACCCTGCAACATGCACTGGCAAAAGTGCCCCACCCAGCGTCGAACACCCGACCTTGTCATTTACCCACGGGTGCTAGCACAATCAGTGTGCTACGATTGAGGGGCGGCTCTTCCCCCTGCCAACTAAACCCTGGGGAAAATGAACACTCAAACTCCGTTGTTGGTATACACTGCCATTAGCCAAAGGAACAAATGATCAAATGGAAAAAACAGACATTTTGTTGTTTGACATTTAGGTAAAATCAACTATTTTGGTGCCACTCCCTAGGCACAGCCCAGCCTTCTTCCTTATTCAATTACTTTGTAATATTTATGTTTAATCTAATAAACAGGTCGAGTGCGGTGGCCCACACCTGTAATCCCAGCTCTTTGGGAGGCCAAGGCCAGCAGATCACTTGAGGTTAGGTGTTTGAGACCAGCCTGGCCAACATGGTGAAACCCCGTCTCTACTACAGACACAAAAATTAGCCGGGTGTGGTGCAGGCGCCTGTAATCTCAGCTACTCAGGAAGCTGAGGCAGGAGAATCACTCGAACCCGGGAGGCGGAGGTTGTGATGAGCCAAGATGGCACCACTGCACTTCAGCCTGGGCGACAGAACGAGACTCTGTCTCAAAAAAAAAAAAAAAAAAAAAAAAAAATTGAGCAAACACACTGTTCCAGGCATTGTTCTAAGCACTTTAAAACCATTAACTTATTTAATCCTCACAATATTATTATCCCCCTTTTGCAGTTAAGAAAACTGAGGCATGAAGAACTTGCCACACAGTTTGTGAAGTATGTGGTGGCTCCGTGGACACTGTATATAAACTTGGGAGGAATTTCATAGAGACAGGACCCAGCACTCATTGGACTCCTCCGACTCTCCTTGAGTCCTTGAGATGCTGACTCTGTGCCTCAGCCAGCTCAGAAATGAGACTCAGGCAGTCTCTCCTCCCACCACCTTCCATGGAGTGCTCCCTGGGCTGGATGCTAGTGAGCTGAGCCTCTCTGAACTTTCCCACTGCACCTGTCCCTCACCGCTGTCCTTTGCTGGCCACCCACCACTACCTCTTTCCGATGGCCATCTCTGAGTTTCCTATAGCAAAAGGTGGGGATGATTCTTCTCAAAGGCCACCAGGAGGACATCCTTCCTCAAAGTTAGGTTTATGAGCTTGTGCAGACAGAGAGAATGCCCACTGACAGAGGCATAGGAGGTTCTCAGTCCGAGGGAGCTGGGGGAGCTCATTACAGGGTTTCTGCTTGCGCTGGGTAATTCTAAGGAAGGTGGGGTTGCAGATCTAGCAAATAAAATATACAGGACACCAGTGAAACTTGAATTCCAGATATGGCATAAGTATATCCTATGCAATATTTAGCACATACTTATACTAAAAAACATTATTCATTATTTATCAAAAATTTAAATTTGGCCGGGCACGGTGGCTCACGCCTGTAATCCCAGCACTTTGGGAGGCCTAGGTGGGTGGATCACAATGTCAGGAGATTGAGACCATCCTGGCTAACGCGGTGAAACCCCGTCTCTACTAACAACACAACAAATTAGCCGGGCATGGTGGCGGGCCCCTGTAGTCCCAGCTACTCGGGAGGCTGAGGCAGGAGAATGGCATGAACTCAGGAGGCGGAGCGTGCCGTGAGCCGAGATTGTGCCACTGTACTCCAGCCTGGGCAACAGAGCGAGACTCTGTCTCAAAAAAATAAAATAAATAAAAATAAAATAAAATTTAAATTTAACTTAGCATCCTGTATTTTCTTGAGTAACTCTACAGGAGGGCTAAGATGTTGTCAGGAAGTGAGGGTAATTTGTTGCTAGGGGTAGCTTGATGGTCTTTATCTGGAAGGGGAGGAAATAAAGGGAGCTTGAGGGATCATCGGTGGAGGAGCAGCCAGCGCTCGTGTGTGTCGAAAGAGGGGGCCATTTCGTCGTTTTTGTGGTTTCAGCATCCTGGTTTCTGTTCTGTCATTTCAGACCTGTTCCCTAGTGGCCTTGAATAGTTGGTGTTTACATTGTGTCTGTGTTGTTTATGTTCTGTTGGGAGCGTGCCAGGGGTGTTTCTTCCTTTCTCATTCTACTTCCAGATTCTAGGCTTGTTTCAGGGTCTCAAAGACACAGGTCACTTGGGGTTCTGTTCCGGGACAGCTGGTTCCACCTTGACCACTGGTTCTCTGGAAATATTTTTGGTTGCCACCACTGGGATGGGGATGCTACTGGTCTCTAGTAGGCAGACGCCAGAGATGCTGCCAAACTTCCTCCAATGACCAGGACAGCCCCCACGACAAAGAATTATCTAGCCCCAAATTCTAACAATGCTGATGTTGAGAAATCCTGGTCTGCACTGTAAATTAGGAAATAAAATTTGTGTTTCTTGAGGTTTCTCCAACTATCTCTGAATCAGGCTTTCCAGAAGTAAAGGAAATGAAAGCAAGAAGACTGTGATCATGTATTTAGCACCCAGTGTCCTGCATGCTCCTTGAGGACAGAGAGAGTGTCTTACTGAATTTGTATTACCTGGGCTGAGCTCAGTACCTGGCCGGTAATTGCAGGTGTTCAATAAATATGCTGGATGGGCCGGGCGCCATGGCTCATGCCTGTAATCCCAGCACTTTGGGAGGCCGAGGCGGGTAGATCACTTGAGGTCAGGAGTTCAAGACCAGCCTGGTCTCTACTAAAAACACAAAAATTAGCCAGGTGTGGTGGCGCACGTCTGTAATCCCAGCCACTCGGGAGGCTGAGGCAGGAGAATTGCTTGAACCCAGCAGGTAGAGGTTGCAGTGAGCTGAGATCATGCCATTGCACTCCAGCCTGGGTGACAGAATGAGACTTCGTCTCAAAAAAAAAATATATATATATATATATATAAAATATATATATATATTTGCTGGATGAATAAAAAAATGTGTAGCACACATCTGTATGCGCTGCCTATATATGGTTCATTTATTCAGCCAGTATTGATTCCACACCTACAATGGTGAGGCCAGCCCTGGGCACCGGGTATGCGGTGCTGGGGGAAGCAAATCAGAATTGGAGAAACTTGAACTTGAAGGATGGGGATGAGGGGCAGGGCTACTCACATTGGGGTAGGGAAAGTCTTCCTGAAAAGGTGACTTTAAGCTGAACTGTGCAGGAGAGAAAGAGACGAAAGGAAGAGCATTCCCGGATAAGGAAGCCACATGTTTAAAGGCCTGGAGTGACATCTGAGGCTCTGAGGGAGAAAAAGGGTGGCAAGTATAATGAATGGCAGGCCGGAAGGGCAGGAGGGGCAGGATGCCAGTCATGCCAGCCAGGTGAACACTGGGATTCCATTCTTAGTGCTATCGGAAGCGGTGATGGGTATGAGGAGGGGAGTGCCACCTATGTGCCACCCTCATAAAGCTCACCCGGCATTAGCACTGTGTCTCCATCCATCAACCAAGAAAACCAAAGTGCAATTAAAATCTTCCCTGGAGTCACTCAAAGGAGGCCAGAGCCAGCCTCCCCATCAGCACAACTTGAAATCTTGACATTGAGTTGCTGTTCTTTCTCTACACTTGCTTCTTCAGGTGCCAAGCAGCTCTCTCAAATTGAGGTAGCCCTGCCCTTCCTCCCCATCCTTCAAGTTCAAGCTTCTCCAGTTCTGATTTGCTTCCTCTATCTCTCCCAAGCTCTTCCAGCCTGGTGGTCCTCTCTGGTTTACTCTGTCCCGTTCCCACTTTCTGGTCTTTATTGTACAGGTCCCCTTGACCTGGCTGGGGTCTTTAGTATCATGGTTTTCTTCTCTGCCCCGATTCAGAATCTGCTCAGCAAAAGCTGAGCCAGAACAGACTCAAAACTCACACCTTCCCCACTTGGAAGGTAAGACAGGGAGGAGGATTGCAGACTCCTGTCATGTGCATTTTTCAGGATTGTCTCATACTCTTTGAAATAACTCGTCTACCTGACATATGTGGAGTGGACAAGAGAGGGGCAGGAGAGGGAGTGAGAGAACCTCTGAGGACAAAGCAAACGATGACACTCAGGCCACATCCAGCTGGCATCTGTGCTTGAAAGTCAAGTTCTGGCTGGGCGAAGTGGCTCATACCTGTAATCCTAACTCTGTGGGAGGCTGAGATGGGAGGATGGCTTGAGGCCAGGAGTTCGAGACCAGCCTGGTCAACACAGTGAGACCCCATCTCTATTTATAAAGATAAATAAACTAAGAAAGTCAAGTTCTATTGGAGCTGGGCATGGTAGCGTGTGCCTGTAGTCCCAGGTGCTCCTGGAGGCTGAGGCAAGAGGATCACTTGAGCCCAGGAGTTCAAGGCTGCAGCCACTGCACTCCAGCCTGGACAACAGAGCAAAACTCCATCTCTAACAAAAAACAAATAAACAAACAACAAGTTCTATTGGAACCCAGCCATTCACTCACGTATTGTCTGTAACTGCTTCTGTACCATTAACTGCAGAGTTTGGTTGCTACAGGGACTGTATTGCCCCTATATAATAATTCCTAAAATATTCATTCTCTGGCCCTCTGTAGAGAAAGTTTGCTGACCACTGACTTAGGAACTAACTGCATCCTGTCACTGAATTCTCAAAGGTAGTCTTGAGTGTAGGTAGCAGTATCTCTATTTCACAAACAAACAAACAAACACATGCCAGGGCCATGAATCTATATAAACACCCCCAGAGAGTAAGTGGCAGAGCCAAGATTCACAGCCTGATCTCCCAGGGCAGGTTCCATTCTCTATCCTGAACTGCACTACTTGCCTCATACATACAGGTTGTCAGAAACAGCTGGAATAGTGGCTAGGCATGGTGAATTACACTTGTAATCCCAGCACTTTGGGAGGCTGAAGTGGGAGGATTGCACGAGTTTGGGAGTTTGAGACCAGCCTGGGCAATACAGCAAGACCTTGTCTATACTAAAAATAAAAAATTAGCCAGGCATGGTGGCATGCACCTGTAGCCCTAGCTACCCCGGAGGCTGAGATGGGAGGATTGCTTGAGCCCAGGAGGTTGAGGCTGTAGTGAGCTATAATCATGCCACTGCACTCCAGAGCCTGGGTGACAGAGTGAGACTCTGTCTCAAAAAGAAAAAAATAGCAGGAATGAATTCATCAGAGGTGTTAACCTTGGATGCTTACAGGGGCCAGGAAGATAATGTAGGCGAGTGAAGCCAACCCAGGCCAAAGTTGATAAATGGCAACTGACATTTGGCCTCAGTATTAGAGAACAAGAACCATAGGGAGTGGTGGGGTCTGCGGCCATCTGGAGAATAGATATCCCATCTAACAAGGCAGCATCACCATCGTGGTCCAGGGTTTCTAATTTTCAAGAAGCTGGAAACCTGAATTTTTTTGTTTAAGTCTCCTGACTTTTGCATGAAATATTATTATATTTAAATGTTGAAACTAGTTTAACTCTAAAAGACAAGACAAGCCCATGTGAAGCAAACTGGGCAGAGCATGGATGAGTGTCCTATAGGCCACTGGAGTATGACCTCTGATATGTGACATACACATTGGAGTGACTGCCACAGCCTTCCTCAATGTCTTAGACTGTTTTCTGCCGCTAAAACAGAATACCTGAGCCTGGCTAATTTATAAAGAACAGAGATTTATATGCTACAACTCTGGAGGCTGGGAAGTCCCAAGGTTGAGGGGACTGCATTTTGCGGGGGCCTTCTTGCTGCGTCATTCCATGGTGGAAGGTGGAAGGGCAGCAGAGAGTACATGTGCATGCAAGGGTAGGAGGGAGAGAGAGAGGAAGGGCAGGAGAGAGAAGGAAAAGGGGCTGAACTCATCCTTTTATCAGGAACCCACTCCTGTGATAACCAGCCCACTCCCAAAATAATGGCGTTAATCCATTCAAGATGGCAGACCCCTTTGACCTATTTACCTCCTAAAAGCCCCACCTCTCAACACTGTTGCATTGAAGATTAAGTTTCCAACATATGAACTTTGAGGACACAGCCCAATCATAGCCCTGGAGAGGGTTGGGTCTTGTGGAGGGGAGAGGCAGCTCTAGGGGAGGCAGCTGGGGGTTGCCCTGGCCTGTGTACCAGACAGAGCCCTGGCTCCCAGCCAAACCCTCAGCTGGACACTGGGTGCATTCTCATCCTTCACTTATCACCAGAGCGAGGAAGGAAGGAAGTTCCACCCATCACCAGAAGCTCTCCACTTATTACTTCAAGGAAGGAAATTCCAAGGAACCAAAGAAGATACAGAGATGCAGGAACACTGAGCTCAGGAAGGAAGAGGGTGGAGGTGGGTCTGGGAAAGCCCCAGGGTCTGAGATAAAGCTGGTGAGTTTGTCCTGGGTATAGCCACAGGGCCTTGCCCAGAGTCCACACACTCACCTTTTCAAACGTAGTAAAAGCCAATATTCCCTTTAATGCATCAAAGATATGTGTACCTCACCTGGGTAAATACTGGTGGAAAGGCCATGGGTTTGTAAGGGCTGCCAATCCCTGTTGCACCATTACCAGCTGCATGACATTAAGCAAACTCTCAGAGCCTCAGTTTCCTCATCTGTAAGGTGGGATTAATAAATCCCTGTCCTATGGTGCTAAGACGATGGAGGATTAAGTGAGACAATGGACAATGCCAGCCATCAAGAAGGCCCCTCCTTAAGGGGCAGCTGCTGTTGGCTGAAGCTGGTTAATGAAGTGTTATTTCTTCACCTTCCTCATGCCTGTAACATTGACCTCTGAGCCTTCACCACAGTCGGGAGAGCTTAGGTCCATGCTCCATCTGTCTGCAGGGCGATCACTTCCAAACCAAAAAAGACTCATCCAAGAGGCATTATGTTGTGTTATGGACATAGGAACTTCAGAGTTTGGACATCGGCCAGGCGCGGTGGCTCACACCTACAATCCCAGCACTTTGGGAGGCCGAGGTGGGCAGATCATGAGGTCAGGAGATCGAGACCATCCTGGCTAACATGGTGAAACCCCGTCTCTACTAAAAATACAAAAAATTAGCCGGACGTGGTGGCGGGCGCCTGCAGTCCCAGCTACTCGGGAGGCTGAGGCAGGAGAATGGCGTGAACCCGGGAGGCGGAGCGTGCATTGAGCTGAGATCGCACCACTGCACTCCGGCCTGGGCCACAGAGCGAGACTCCGTCTCAAAAAAAAAAAAAAAGAAAGAAAGAAAGAGTTTGGACATCAAGGGGGTGGGGAGATAATCCTCTGGTAAGTAAAATAATTCTGTGGAAACAATCTCTCATTCCCAGCATGCAGGTTAATGAAGATTGAGAAAAATTCAAGTAACCCCAAAACATCATCATTTATTTACTAAGACTTCGAGTTTCAAAGTTCAAAGCTTTTCAGAATCAAATTGAAGAGTCAGAAATTACTCACAGGCAGCAGAAGTTGGCGGCCCTCCTTCCATTCTGTTCAGAGATTTGTGGTCACTTGTGGAATATCCACTATTTGGAAAGAGCTGGGCTTAGGGGTGGGCAATGGAAAAAATACACGTGGAACACCACGCCTGTTGTTCAGTTTGTTTGTTTATCTTTGAGATGGAGTTTTGCTCCTGTTGCCCAGGCTGGAGTGCAATGGCCTGATCTCAGCTCACTGCAACCTCTGCCTCCCAGGTTCAAGTGATTCTCCTGCCTCAGCCTCCCAAGTAGCTGAGATTACAGACGCCCACCGCCACTCCCAGCTAACTTTGTATTTTTAGTAGAGACTGGGTTTTGCCATGTTGGCCAGGCTGGTCTCAAACTCCTGACGTCAGGTGATCCACCCACCTGGGCCTCCCAAAGTGCTGTGATTACAGGTGTGAGCCACCGCGCCCAGTCTGCTCTTCAGTTTTTGTTAGTAACCCACTGAGGCCCATAAAACAAACACACCTGTCATCAGAGCAGCCAGCTTTATAATCTCCTCCTCCAATCCCCCTCGTTGTCTCCTCCGTCCCATCATTCACCCCACACATCCTTCCCTGCCCTACCCCCAAGGCAAGATTAAATGCCTTCAGAGGTTCCCAAATACTGAGGAGTTTTGATCCGCCACCACTTATACATAACTAAAAATAATTTCAATTTTTCCCAAGTGACACAGAAGTTACCTATATACTGAAATTGAAATCATTCCTTTCTGGAACTTTCAACAGCCAAGTGCTGGGCAAGTTCATCCGAGATGAGCATTTGTGTGCTTGTGTGCACGTCTCTGTGTTGAGCCCCGGCACACACTCTGCACCCTACTCCCCGCTGGCATGGGATGATTTGGGTTGGAGCAGTTGTGCCCACTATTGTGGGCATCATCATGCTGGTCCCCTTTCACCATCCCACCAAGTTATCTCATCTTTTACAGATGAGGAAACTGAGATCCTGGTAGGTTACAGTCTCGCCGCACAGGTCCCATAGGTAGTAGGAGCCAGCAGAGCTAGTTTCAGGCCAGGTCTGTGTGGTTTCCAGGGCTCATCAGTAAGCTAAACTGGTCTCCTTGGTGGCCACAAGACATTGGCTTCCCCAGAGGCACTCAGCAGGCAGCCTGGGTGTGGTGCGGCTACTAGTAAATGGGGACCATGATGCGGCCATGCCTGGGAGCCCAGCCAGTCTTGAGCAGGAAAAGGTGGGGCCCCTGTGGTAGCTGCACACGCTTCCTCCAGCTTGCATCCCAAGTGTCCATCAACGCAGATTTTGAGGACAAGGCACAGAGCTGGCTGAACTTTTCAAAGAAGAGATTTCCCAACAGGAAGAATGTGCAAAGTGAGCTCTGAAGATGTGCTAGGAGAAATTAAGGAAGTGTTTCCTTGCAACCTGGTTTTTAATCTTGTGTACATTAATTTTTTATTTATTTTAATTTTTTTCATACTTTCTCTCTTTTTTTTGAGACAAGGTCTCACTCTGTCACCCAGACTGGAGTGCAGAGGCACGATCTTGGCTCACTGCAACCTCTGCCTCCCGGGTTCAAGTGATTTCCCCTTGAATCCTGAGTAGCTGGGACTACAGGCATGCGCCACCATGCCCAGCTAATTTTTGTATTTTTAGTGGAGTCAGGGTTTCACCATGTTGGCCAGGCTGGTCTCGAACTCCTCACCTCAAGTCGTCTGTTCACCTTGGCCTCCCAAAGTGCTGGGATTACAGGCATAAGCCACCATGCTTGGCCTTCATACTCTCTTTTTTCTTTTTCTTTTCTTCTTCTTTTTTTTAATCATTCTTGTGTATATTGTTTGAATTTTTTTTTCTCTGTGAGAGGAAGTGAACTTTTTTTTTTTTTTTTGAGATGGAGTCTCACTCTGTCACCCAGAATGGAGTGCAGTGGCGCAGTCTCGGCTCACTGCAGCCTCTGTCTCCTGGGTTCAAGTAATTCTCCTGCCATAGCCTCCCACAGAGCTGGGATTACAGGCGCCCACTACCACGCCCGGCTAATTTTGTATTTTTAATAGAGACAGAGTTTCTCCATGTTGGCCAGGCTGGTCACAAACTCTTGACCTCAAGTGATCCGCCTGCCTCGGCCTCCCAAAGTGCTGGGATTACAGGCGTGAGCCACACCGCACCCAGCCAGGAAGTGAGTTTATTGATATAATTCCAAACTTCCAGAATAGTTGCAAGAAGAGTTCAAAGAACGCTTATATATCCATTACCTTGGTTCCATATGCACCAGTGGTTAACATTTCACTGCCCTTGCTCTGTCATTCTCTTTCTACACACACATACACACACATATGCAGAATTATATAAATATGTAAATTTTTTTTTTTGAGACAAAGTTTCACTCTTGTTGCCCAGCCTGGAGTGCAGTGGTGCAAACTCGACTCACTGCAACCTCTGCGTCCCAGTTTCAAGCAATTCTCCTGCCTCAGCCTCCTGAGTAGCTGGGATTACAGGCATGCACCACCTTGCCCAGCTAATTTTTTAATTTTTTTAGTAGAGACAGGATTTCACCATGTTGGCCAGGCTGGTCTCGAACTCCTGACCTCAGATGATCTGTGCGCCTTGGCCTCCCAAAGTGCTGGGATTACAGGCGTTGAGCCACCGCGCCTGGCCCAAATATGTCAATATTTTACATAAATAGATAATTTTGTCTCTATATAGCTACATATGTAGTCTGTTTTCTGAACCATCTGAAAATACATTGGAGACACACCTGCGACCACACCACCTTATCTCTAAATCCTCCTTGTGTATTTCTGAGGAACAAGGACATTCTCTTGCACAAACAGTAAGTAAAAGACACAAGCCAAAAAGCTATTATACACACACTGATAACACTAATATAACACTCCTCTCTAACCCACAGCTCATTTTCAGAGCTTGTTCATTGCTCTGGTCATGTCCTTATACTATTTCTTTTCCTATTTCTTTGCCTCACTGCATTTAGTTGTCATGATTCTTTGGCCTCCAAATGGTCCTGTCTCACTCATTTCATTCCGTGAATTTTTGCTTCAGTGTCACATACATGCAGAAAGTGCTCACGTCAATATCCAGCTTAGTGAATTTCCACAAAGTCAACATACCTGTTACTGGCTTTGAATGGCATTTGTATGTGACATTTTTTACAAAATGAATCTCTTTGTTATCAGAATAGGTGAATCGCGTGGGTGAGCCCAGCGTACAGATGTGCAGCCAGCCATGGCTATGGGTCCACAAGACAGGGGCTGTCTGTGGTTTTGATGGAAGGATCTACAGGGCTCCCTTTTAGTTCAGGTTTTACTTCCTGGCCCTGTGGACTCCTGTGGCCTCTTCTACCCATTTCAGAGTAGCCATTTGATGTGTTTTCATAATTGAATTAAGCTAAACATGAAAAGCAGATTCTAAAACTCAGCCTTAACTCCAGGACTCCTCAAGTACACGTCAACTGGACCCAGACAAGTTTCTCATCTGAGTCAAAATGCTGTGACCCAGAACAGGGAAAGGGCTTTCACATAGACACATTTCATATGAGCATTGCTTAAAGACACAAAGGAAGGAAGCCTGGGGTTCAACTGTGCTCTCACCACCCCAGAACCTGATTTGGTCTCCTGCTGCAGGTCCATGCTTTTTACCAGGCCAGACCCCTCTCCAGGGGCATCTCAGCCAGTTCACCTGGCTCCAGGAGGCCTGTTCCCATCAGGAAAAGCCCCTGCATCCATTGCTGGGATGGTCATTTCTTTTTTCTTTTTCTTTTTCTTTTTTTTTTTTTTTTTTTTGAGATGAAGTCTCACTCCCATCGCCCAGGCTGGAGTGCCATGCTGCGATTTCGGCTCACTGCAACTTCCGCCTCCGGAGTTCAAACGATTCCACTGTCTCAGCCTCCCAAATAGCTGGGATTACAGGCGCCTGCCACCATGCCCAGCTAATTTTTGTATTTTTAGTAGAGACGGGGTTTCACCATGTTGGCCAGGCCAGTCTCAAACTCCTGAGCTCAAGTGATCCACTCGCCTCAGCCTCCCAAAGTGCTGGGATTACAGGCGTGAGCTACCACGACCACGCCGGGATGGTCATTTCTAACCACCTTTTTGGGTGAACAGCAGGTTTTTCTTCTCCATCCTGAATGTTTGATGTCACTAGGAAATGGAAAACCCCGGGGTGTGGGAAAGGCACAGCTGAGGAAGCTGCATGTTGTCCACAGCATCAAGAGGTGCCATGAGCGTGCGGTGCACAGGCTGAGCCTCAGTCCATGCGCATGGGTCCAGAGAAAGTGCTGCGAGGTCCTCTTCACAGTTAGGGCCCTCCTGGGCTTTGCCTCTGATTACTGTCATTTTCTTGGAGGAGCCCAGAATTTAGAAGCTGGAGATGGGTTCGTATAGATCATTTTCTCAAGAGAAGGTCTCCATGACATATATTCATAAACAAAAAGAAACTCTTCTACCTTGTTTTCTATGAAGTTATTTTCTAGGGATTCTGTTTTGTTGTCG
The DNA here is from genome assembly GCF_000001405.40 of Homo sapiens. NCBI lineage: Eukaryota > Metazoa > Chordata > Mammalia > Primates > Hominidae > Homo > Homo sapiens. The sequence continues at coordinate 19,913,204 of NC_000020.11, forward strand.
TTGTTCACACTGTAGCTCTCAGATCTTACTGTTTTTTTTTTAATTGTGATAAAGCATACATAACATAAAATTTACCATTTTAAGCATTTTTAACCATGTTTTTTAAGCTCACCATTTTAAGCACTTTAGTGATGGTGTCTCACTGTGTTGCCCAGGCTGTTCTCAAACTCCTAGGCTCAAGCCATCTTCCTGCCTTGACTTCTGAAAGTGCTGAGATTACAGACATGAGCCACCATGCCCAGTCACATTTTAAACATTTTTAAATGTACAATTCTGTGGCATTAAGTACATTCATATTGTTGTGCAACCATCACCACCATCCATTTCCAGAACTCCTTTCATCTTGCAGAATTGAAACTCTATCTATTAAATAATTCCCCATTCCTCCTTTTCCTCAACCCCTGGTAACTACCCTTCTGCTTCCTGTTTCTATGAGTTTGACTCCTCTCGGTACTTCCTACAAGTGGAATCATACAGTGTTTGTCCTTCTGTAACTGGCTTATTTCACTTAGCTTAATGTCCTCAAAGTTTATCCTTTTTGTAGCATATGTTATAATTTTCTTCCTTTTTAAGGCTGAATAATATTCCATTGTATGAGAAGACCACATTTTGCTTATTCATTCATCCATCAGCGGACACTGGGTGCTTCTACCTTTTGACTGTGGGAAATAATGCTGCTATGAATGTGGATTAGAACCTGTTTTTAAGGAAGATTATTTTTTTCTCTTGCCCCGAATAAAAATATTAAAACCTATGTGATTAAGGGGGCCCATCTGCCCATAGGCATATGCACACGTGCGTTGTGATGGGGTGCGTGTGAAGTTGAATCTGAATTTTGTGAAATGCAACTACCAGAGTTTGCGGTCTAGGAGAGCCAGGTGGCTTTAATAACAGTATTATCAGTTCAGTGATCAGACGGGCTTACTGAGATGTCAAGTGAGTTAGATCAAGCAAACTAGTTGTCAGGGTTACTACTGTCTTTAACCACTCACCTGATGCTTGTTTCTTATTGTCTGTCTCATTTTTTCAGTCACATTGCAAGCCTTTTGGGGGATAGAAATAATATCTTATGCTTCTTTTGGTGTCTAGTTAGGCTATTACCCTAAAGGTAGCAGGTCTTCAATAATGTTGACAATGGTGTGAGTTGACAATGACTCACACCAAATTTGCCTGTCTGCACACGCTCTGCATTGTTCTGTGGTGTTCCTGTATGACTTTCCCAGTATGTACTTTCCCACCATCAGAAGGACATTGCATCAAAAAAATTTGCATTAAACAGTTGCTGCTCTCGTGTTTGAAGCTGGGCAGCTGAATTAAATTAGTGAATCGATGTGTTAATCAATTGCAAGAGCCAAATTTAACAAATATAAACTCAGCACCCACTATGTAGCCAGCTGGACGAGACACTGGATATACCGACCTGGGAAAGAATTGGTCTTGTGGTTGGGGCTCTCACACTCCAGTGGAACCTTGTTCACAGTGTGGTCTGCCCGTCAGCCATGGAGTTTGCTAAAAATGCAGACTCTCAGGCCCTACGGAATGCCTCTGAATCAGAACCTGCACCTTCACCAGGTCCCTAGGTCATGCGTGTGCACATTCCAGTTTGAGAAACACCAGTCTTGTGAATGTTATCCTGTTAGCTATATCCTAAATGATAACAAAGGGTGTTTTGTGTGTGTCAGGGAGAGATGAGACTAAGGTGGCACTGGGAAACTGTGCCCAGTTCTGGTCACTACAACCTCAATGAGAGCAGAACAGCACAAGAGACCCCTCTGTGGCCATTCCCTAAGACCTTCGGGATGACAGCAGTGCAGCTGGGAGAAAAGGCCCTACGGGTAGTGAAGGTATCTGACTGCCTAAGATGGAGCGAATCCCAGCAGGGATTTCCTGCTCTGAATTTATAGTAAAAAGAAAAACATTGTTTGGGTTCCTCCAGTAGCAGAGACAGAATACGAATGCAAGTAGTCTATTCTGTGTTGAGTGATCACAGAAAGTTCATGTGGGAGAGTAGGGGAGTGAGACAGGAAGGGGAGGCAGCCAATACATGGTGCAATCCCACTGGGGACCTCTGAGAGACTGTGTGGGGGCATCCAAGTTGTTCCACATAAGAGCGAGGCAGCTGGGGTGTTTGTGCACCCACTGCCATCCCTCCTTGGCTGAGGGCTGCCCTGGGGTATTAACTCCCCAGCACTGTGGTCTGATCTGCTCAGCACTCACTCCCAGCCACAGAGCTTCCTCAGCTGTGGGCAGAGACTTCCAGGTGCCTGCAGTAGAGCCATCACAACAGAAGAAAACGGTGACTTCCAAGGGTTGTGGGCAGAGCACTCACAGTCTCTGCTCCATGTGTCCCATCTGGATTAAGAAGTCAAGGGTGTCTCAGCAGATGTCCGCATCAGAGCGCAGGTTCCAAATGAGGAACAAACCTTTGCATTTCAGTAAATTTCAAATCTTAGTGACTCATCCCCTCAGAGTAACTAATCATCTTCACAAGACCGAAAATGGCTGAGCTTCATATTTGCTTATAATCCAAATTCCCTTTTCATACCCACTCTGCTCTCTTCCTTCCCTAAACCAACTCTATGTGCTCAGAGGACACTGACAAGCTCAATTTACAGAAAATTTTTTGTCATTTTCTGTTTCAAAATTTCCCTTCTGATATTGCATGCTACAGATTCATCTCCCCTATCCAATTCCTTTCACTGTGAACCCTTACTCCATTCTTTCCTGTTTTGTTTTTTAATTAAAACTGAAATTCTGGCCGAGCGCTGTGGCTCACGCCTGTAATCCCAGCACTTTGGGAGGCCGAGGCGAGTGGATCACGAGGTCAAGAGACCGAGACCATCCTGGCCAACATGGTGAAGCCCTGAATCTACTAAAAATACAAAAATTAGCTGAGTATGGTGGCACGCGCCTGTAGTCCCAGCTACTCGGGAGGCTGAGGCAGGAGAATCGCTTGAACCTGAGAGGCGGAGATTGCAGTGAGCTGAGATAGTGCCATTGCACTCCAGCCTGGTGACAGAGTGAGACTCCATCTCAGAAAAAACAAACAAACAAACAAAACTGAAATTCCAAATACAGCAGTTACTGTCCCCAGGAACACTGCTTTAAGTTTGCATTTCTTTAAGAGTTTGGGGGCTGGGTGTAGTGGCTCACGCCCATAATCCTAGTACTTTGGGAAACCAAAGCGGGAGGATTGCCTGAGGCCAGGAGTTTGAGTCCATCCTGGACAAACTAGCGAGATTCCATCTGTACAAGAAATAAAAATATTAGCTGGGCGTGGTGGCACACACCTCTGGTTCCAGCTACTCAGGAGGCTGAGTTGAGAGGATCGCTTTAGCCTGGGAGCTCAAGGCTGCACTCCAGCTCCAGCCTGGGCGACAGAGTGAGATCCTGTCCAAAAAATAAAAAATAAAGAGTTTTGCAGACCACTGCTCCCCAGAAATGATCATCAACAGAAAGCCCTAAAGCCAGTAGGTTTGGGGAACCCCGCATACTTTATTCACTCCCTGGAGACCAACCCTGGACATCAGCATCTGAAAAGTTCTGAGGAGTCTTCAGTGACCTCATTTTATCGAATGTTTAATGTGCTTCCACTGTTGTTCGAGCAGTAGTGTTTGTATTGAAATCGTGCCTGTTCACATCCTACACTGCTTGTGTTGGGTGGAAACCACTTGGGGAGATGCTGCTTGATATACAGATCCTGGCTCCATCTGTGCATTTGAAATTCATAGGCATCTGGAGACAGTGGCATAGAAGCAGTGGGCGCAGGAAAAGTACAACTCAGAGTTTACAACGAGAAAAAGTGAAAACCACCTGACACATAGCTAATGTTTTAGAATGAAAAGTGACTTCCATTCCAATTGAAGTCAGCCCCTGCTGTGTAATTAAGCAGATATTTAAAAAATTTAAAAAAAAAAAAGGCAGGCGGAGTGGGTAAGGTACGACTCCAAATGGCAAAGCCCCAGCTTCAGGGAGGGAGAGGGCCCAGGAGTGAGGAACATAATTAAATAGCTGTGCCACGGTCATCCACCGAATGCCTTATTTCCTTTGTTTTACCAAGAATTGCACCAACCAAGTGATCTGTTGCCAGCCTTCCATATGGCAAATGTAAGCACCTGTCCAGAGTACTAAATGGCTGAGCCCAGGAGCTCCAGAGGAAACTTGTCTGATTGCTCTGCTGCCAATTCCAGGCTCTCTGTTAATTCCATCCATCAAATTATTCTTTTTCTTCTATTTTTCCTAAAATGATAATAGTTATTTTTACTGTGAAATTTAAAAAGTGTAAAGAAGAAAAGAGACCTAAATTGTACCACCTCTAATCACTCCACTCGGGAATGAAGCCAGTGAGCATCTTGACACTAATGCATTCAGATTTTTGTTCTGTCTGTGATTCGACTATATTATGTAAATCCATACATAAGTGCAGCCACAACTATTACTTAAGTGAGCTCAGAGAACACATACTTTTCACAACTTGTTTATTTCCACTTAATAACATATCACTATATTGATATATTGACATACAATATATCGATATATACTGTACATCTCAAGAAATATGTTTTAAAGGCGGAATCGCCTTTTAAAGGCGGAATAGCATTCCATCATATTGGGGTACACACTTTATTTACCCAGTCCACAGCTGTTTGACATTTAGCACTTTTTCCCCTGTTCACTATCATAAATGATATTGCCCAAAGCATTCTTTTACATGTATCTGATTATTTCTTTGGGTCAATTCCTAGAAGTAGAAATGCTGAATCCAACAGTTTTCATACTTTAATGTTGATATACACATTCAGATTGTCTTCTAGAAAGAGCAAGTCATCTTTTTTCTCTAGTGCTTGTAGAAAACCCAGTGAAGACAAGTGGTAAGAAGCCAGAAATGGTAAAAGGGAAGTGAATGTGACTGTGACACCCACGCCAGTGCATTCCGGAAAGGCAAAGTGGGACAGCTGGGGGGACACCAAGTTAGAGCCAGAAGAGGCACTGGAAACCTGCTCGTCTATTTTAAGCTTAAGGAAACCAAAGGCCAGAAAGGTTAAGCAACCTCCCACCCAAGGCCAAGGTCCCATAGCTTAGATGGATAGCTGTAAACTTCAGGGATAATTTTCAAAAAACGAAAAAACGTGACTCTCATACAAATACATTGTGTGTGTGTGTGTGTGTGTGTGTGTGTGTGTGTGTGTGTCAAAGATTGATTTAACTCATTAATGAGATCAACAGGACATTAAAGCTGGCTCCAAATGGGGCAAAGATTGGGAAAGACTCAGTGGGCAAAAGAATAACACCTTAAACGAACTTTGTCATCTACTATGAGCCACTTTTGCATATCTACCTTTGAAGGTTAGAGATAAGCTTGCTATTGTCAGCATTCAACCACTTTTTGACCTTCAAACAACTCAACTTCAAAAGGTACAACCCAATACAAACCTGGCTAAAGACATAAAAGGCAATACAATTAAAACCTCTGGGGTTCTCTTTTCTACTGGACAAACATCATTTGCAATTTACAGACCTTCCAGAAGTTAGCATCTGACTTTACGGAGTCTGGGCCTTAATTAAAAAAAAAAAAAAAATCAGACAAAATACAAAATGACATCTGGGATGACACTTAGGTAGATGTGTTACGCAGAGCCCAAGTATGCCTTTGCAAGGGAATATTTTGTGCTTTATTGAAGTTGGCATAGTTATATTTGCTGTAAGAACAGCCTTTGGTGGCTGAACTATGTGTGGGAGAACAAGGTTGATATTCACGGCAAATCTACTCAAGCTACTCTCCAATGGAGTTTCTCTGAAGGCTGGGAGGCTGGAAGGCCCCGCAGTGAATTGTTGCTCTCACTTCTCATGGAGTGGGCTCCAGGCTTTGTGTTTCCCCAGGAAGCTGAGGTGGAGCAACTGTTTGCCATGTGGGAATCTGCTCTTGTCAGCCTTCCAGCTGGGGGATGACAGATGCCGTGCGAGAGTCCCGGTTATATCCAGAGAGGGTTTTAGGGAGAGCTCAGGATGCTGGAAGGCCTGCCGGTCATCTGCCAGTTTCTATTTTGTAAATTCCAGGATGCTGGTCCCCACACAGCATGTTTGTCACTAACAATGCAACCAAACAAGTCACTAATATTTGACCTATACACCTGCAGGCCCCTTCAACCTGAGCTCTATGAAGACATAAGTCAGCACATTTCAGTTATAAGATTTTCAAAATGTTATCCCTGAAATCATTTATATCCTGTAGTCAATGGTGTATAAAAGTGGCAGGGCTCTTTTTCTTGATACTATATAAAATAAGAGTGTGTGTTATCATTAATAGTATCTTAAATTTGTGGCCAGGTGCAGTGGCTCACACCATAATCCCCGTACCTTGGGAGATCAAGGCGGGCAGATCACTTGAGCTCAGGAGTTCAAGACCAGCCTGGCCAACATGGTGAAACCCCGTCTCTACTATAAATACAAAAATTAGCCAGGCGTGGTGGCATACACCTGTAATCCTAGCTACTTGGGAGGTTGAGGCAGAAGGATTGCTTGAACCCAGAAGGTGGAGGCTGCAGTGAGCCGAGATCATGCCACTGCACTCCAGCCTGGACAACAGAGCTCAGAAAATAAAAAATAAAATAAATAAAAATGTGAAAGTGCACATTATGTATTTTTCTTCCCTATTGTAGACCCAAAGCCTGATGCTTAATAAGTACTCTATAAACACATCTTAAAAATATTAAGCAAAAGATGCAAGATCTAACTGAAAACACCAATGCTAAAACTAACTGGGGCTGCCGAAAGCCTTAGTGACCACTCTTAGAAAGAACGTCATCCCAGGCCGGGCGCAGTGGCTCACGCCTGTAATCCCAGCACTTTGGGAGGCCGAGGCGGGCAGATCACAAGGTCAGAAGATCAAGACCATCCTGGCTAACACGGTGAAACCCCGTCTCTACTAAAAATACAAAAAAAATTAGCCAGGCATGGTGGCGGGCGCCTATAGTCCCAGCTACTTGGGAGGCTGAGGCAGGAGAATGGCGTGAACCCGGGAGGGGGAGCTTGCAGTGAGCTGAGATCGCGCCACTGCACTCCAGTCTGGGCGACAGAGCGAGACTCTGTCTCAAAAAAAAAAAAAAAAAGGAAAAACTTCATCCCTTGTGGTACTTCAATCATTTCACTTATTACTGAACCTAAAAATGCAAAGCCACAGGCAGGAGTATGGTGCCATCTGTGACTGCCAAGGTCATTGAATAATCCAGAGGTCATGGAGTAATCTAAGGCAACACTGGACTCAGACAACTGATGCAATAGATCAAGGCCTCAGCAGGAGGACTGTTTCAAGATACAGCCACACACGCTGCTTCCGTAGTTCACACATTGAACTGCAGATACTACACGCACCTTTTACAACTTATTTTTCTTTCTCTGTGAGCATGCGCCAAATTGAAGGTTATATCAGAGTGTTTGCTCTGCAGTGTAATTTCAAACATAGTTCTTTTGTTTTCGTTTTTGTTTTCTTTGAGACAGAGTCTCGCTGTGTTGCCCAGGCTGGAGCACAGTGGCGTGATCATGGCTCACTGGCAACCTCCACCCCCCAAGTTCAAGCGATTCTCCTGTCTCAGCCCCTGAGTAGCTGGGACTACAGGTGTGCACCATGTCCAGCTAATTTTTGTATTTTTAGTGGAGACGGGGTTTCACCATGTTGGCCAGGCTGGTCTTGAACTCCTGACCTCAAGTGATCCACCTGCCTCTGCCTCCCAAACTGCTGGGATTAGAGGCGTGAGCCGCCATGCCCAGCCGAAACAGTTTTTTGGGTTGTTTGTTTGTTTGTTTGTTTGTTTTTTAATAAAAACAACTCTGGGCTAAGCCTCTGGGAGTGCCACTGATCAGGGGTGCCGCCTAAACAGGGATGTCCTCCCGGCCCTTCACAGCCTCTCCCATGTGTGGTGAGGAGTGCCTGGCAAGGTGGAGCCCACTTTGATCTCTTTTGTATGTTGAGAGGAGCAGTTTACAATTTAGTTATTAATTGTTTGAAAGCAAACGTTTTACACTCAATGAGAACTTCCCCCAGAATCAGAAGAGAACCGCTGCCTCCTGGATGTGCAAGCACATTGGTGTTTTTGGGTGGTGGATAATTGAAAACTCGAGCAGTCTCTTTTTAGTGGATGCCACACGTCAGCAACTTTCCCATCCCATCCAGCTGAGGTTATAATGGATTGGATCCGAGCTCCGCCTCCTCTCTGTCCTGATTTACCCCCTGCCTGGCACAAAAATGAACAGAGAAGTCACCAAGAGGAAGGCGGAGAGGGAAGAGCACTTGATTCACTCAACAACTAATGTGTGCCAGGGACTGCTCTGAGCTGAGGAGACTGCAGTGAACCAAAGGACAGCATTCCTGCTCCGTGGAATTCGCATCCAGGTGGGGGCGTTTGGGAGCATCTCTGGCTCCAGGAAGAACCCACCGAGCGGCGCCAAGCAGGAAGGCTGGGGGTGTCCTAGGTCGGGTTCCCCAGAAACAGGCCCAGAGCCGAAGAACTGTGTGAAAGTGGCTATCAGGAAGTGCTCCCAAGAGAAACGCATGGTGAAGTGGGGGTTGGAGCCTGGAGGGGAAAGAGATCAGAGATCAGAGGTCCAATATCAGGTGAAGTCCCCTAAGGGTAAATTTGGATCTGTCGGTTGTTTGTTTGTTTGTTTGTTTGTTTGTTTGTTTGTGACAGGGTCTCTCTCTGTCACCCAGGCTGGAGTGCAGCGGCACAATCTCAGCTCACTGCAACCTCTGCCTCCTGGGTTCAAGCGATTCTGCTGCCTCAGCCTCCAGAACAGCTGAGATTACAGGCGCATGCCACCATGCCCAGCTAATCTTTGTATTTTTAGTAGAGATGGTGTTTCACCATATTGGCCAGGCTAGTCTTGAACTCCTGACCTCAAGTGATCTATTCGCCTCGGCCTCCCAAACTGCTAGGATTACAGGCGTGAGCCACTGCTCCCCGCCTGGGTCCGTCTTAAAGGGAGCTTGAGGACAATGTAGGTCTCACCTCAATTATCCCAATCAGGAGTGGGGAGCTAGGATATTTACACCCCAACACCCAGCTTCACTGGTCAAGGACTGACCCTGGAGACCCTTCATGGTCTCTGCACCAAACAAAGCCAGCTGTGCCAGCCTGAACCACCAGCTTTGGGGGATGCGCTTCTCTTGTCCTGACCACTCTTTCTCTGGAGGTGTGAGAGGCCCCCTCTGGCAGAAGTGCTGGTCTCAATTGAGGCCACTGTGCAGCCTGATGTTTCTAGGGATTTTCAGATCTGAAAAAAGCCCAAGATAAAAAGGTCCAAGATCTGAAAAAGGTCCAAGATAAAAAAGGTCCATAGCTTTCCAAAGCTATGGAAACCTCGTCATCAATGCCTTGAGGTCCCCCGAGGAGGTAGCACCACTCAGTAGGAGTACCACGTGCTCCATTTTCTGAGGCTCTCCTAATTTCAAATATTCTGTCCACTGTAAGTCCATCCATGCTTCTCAGACCCCATGTCCCTGTGGAATGAAAGTGCCCATGGGGACCATAAGGTGGGGAGCTTCCCTCCTGCTCCCAGGAAGCGCCCAAAGACCAGTGTCCCCAGCAGATACAATTAGCCAATGCATTCTGCCACCTGGACCCCACCCCATACTGCAGCATTCGTTTAAACCATACCTTTCACTCGCCTGTCTTTGGAAGAGGGTGTAAGTCACTCAGCCCTCCCCCCACCAGCACACTACAGATGCTCGCCTGCTGGGGGCTCTGCCAGCATAACTTCCGTGAACTCTCGGCAACCTTGGACGCAGCCTTCATCCTGTCCTCCTTTTAAGCTTGAGGAAATTTAAGGGGTCAGATTATTTACTCAAGGACACACTGCTTAGAGCAGCAGAGATGATAACATTCCAAGTAGGCATTTCAGTCAAAATTCTGCTTTTAAATACTAAGTTGGCCAAGAGGCCAGCGCGGTAGCTCACGCCTGTAATCGCAGCACTTTGGGAGGCTGAGGCGGGTGGATCACAAGGTCAGGAGTTCGAGACCAGCCTGGCCAGTATGTTGAAACCCCATCTCTACTAAAAATACAAAAATTAGCCAGGTGTGGTGGCGGGCGCCTGTAGTCTCAGCTACTTGGGAGACTGAGGCAGGAGAATCCCTTGAACCCAGGAGGCAGAGGTTGCAGTGAGCCGAGATTGTGCCACTGTACTCCAGCCTGGGAGATGGAGCGAGACTGTGTCTCAAAATAAAATAAATAAAATAAAATAAAATAAAATAAAATAAAATAAAATAAAATAAATAAAATAAAATAAAATAAATATTGGCTGAGAGGTGTGGTTCACACCTGTAATCCCAGCACTTTGGGAGGCCAAGGTGGGAGGATTACTTGAGCCCAGGAGTTTGAGACCAGCTTGGGCAACACAGCAAGACTCCATCTCTATTTTTAAAAATAGACAAATATTAAATTATCCATTGTGTTTATTTCCTTTAGATACTACCATTTACTAATTAGAACTAAAATTATAAAGTTATTCACAACAAAATACTCATTTCACTTAACTCAGAGGATGGGGGTGGATGGCTTATTACCTTTTTTTCTACATACTGTTATTTGAGGTATAAGGAGAAAAAGGGAATTAAAAGATAGTGAACGTTGCTTTTTGGTAAATAGAACATCCCGATTTTGACTAAGGTGGTGTCTTGAACCAACAGGGCTAGGATAGACAATTGAATAAATGCTGTTGAGCTCATTTGCTGTCCATTTGCAATGAAAAATGAAGGGCAGAGTTCTGTTTCAAACCTCCACCTCTTCATACCCCCACCTTTATACCCCCACCTTCGTATCCCCACCTTCCATACCCCCACCTTCCTTACCCCCACCTTCCATACCCCACTTTCATACCCCCACCTTCATACCCCCACTTTCCATACCCCTACCTTCATTCCCCACCTTTTCATACCCCCACCTTCATACCCTACCTCTTTATACCCCCACCTTCATACCCACACCTTCATACCCCACCTTCATACCCCCAACTTTCATACCCCCACCTTCCATACCCCACCTTCAAACCCCCACTTTTGTACCCCCACCTTCATATCCCCACCTTTCATACCCCACCTCCATACTCCACCTTCATACCCCCACCTTCATACCGCACCTCTTCATACCCCACCTCTTCATACCCCCACCTTCATACCCTCACCTTCGTACCCCACCTCTTCATACCCCACCTCTTCATAACCCTACTTTCATACCCCCACCTTCATACCCTCACCTTCATACCCTCACCTTCATACCCCCACCTTCATACCCCACCTTCATACCCCCACCTTCACACTCCCACCTTCGTTCCCGACCTCTTCATACCCCCTCTTCATACCCCACCTTCATACCCCCACCTTCATTCCCCACCCCTTCATACCCCACCCCTTCATAATCCACCTCTTCATACCCCCCACCTTCGTACCCCCACCTTCCATACCCCACCTTCCTTACCCCCACTTTCATACCCCCACCTCTTCGTTTCATATCCCCACCTCTTTTTTTTTTTTTTTTTTTTTTTTTTTTTTTTTTTTTTTTGAGACGGAGTTTTGCTCTTGTTGCCCAGGCTGTAGTGCAGTGGTGCAATCTCGGCTCACAGCAACCTCTGCCTCCTGGGTTAAAGAGATGCTCCTGCCTCAGCCTTCCAAGTAGCTGGGATTACAGGCATATGCCACCATGCCCAGCTAATTTTGTATTTTTAGTAGAGATAGGGTTTCTCCAAGTTGGTCAGGCTGGTCTCAAACTCCCGACCTCAGGTGATCCACCCGCCTCGGCCTCCCAAAGTGCTGGGATTACAGGCGTGAGCCACTGCGCCCGGCCTCCCCCACCTCTTTGTGCTCCTCCTCTCACCACTCCTCAGCCTTTGGGTAAATTTGTGGAAAAAAAAAAAAAAAAAGCTGTCCTCTGGGCACATTCCTTAGCCTGCAGAAGGTGCCTCAGGCAGACAGAGCCAACCCAGGGTATAGTGCTTAACAGGCTGGGGGAACCCAGCTCTGGCCATGTTGTAGTTGTTCCTTGCTCTCTAGTCCTGACTTTGCACCATGCACAAAACTAAATTCCAGATGAATGAAAGGACTACAAATAAATAAATACATCATATATAAACAGGCAAAGCTGTATATACTGTATAAGTCTTAGCAGAAAATAAAGGAGACTTTATTACTTCAAGATGAGGAACTTCTTTCTAGGCAAGGGCCAATAAGCAATGGCCATATTGAAAACTTGGATAAATTTGATTCTATCATCATTAAAAGCTTAAGAAAATTTAAAAGGCAGAAAAACAATGAAAGAGATCATATGTGAAACATATCAGACAATGGATTCATATACACAACCAACTTATGCAACTTAATTTTAAAAAATCAAGAAACCACAAAATAGGCAACAGATGAATGAAAAGGCAATTCCTTGCAAGAGGAAATAGAAATAAACGATAAAAATATAATCAGGGCAAAGCAAATGAAAACAAAAATTATTTCTGCTCATCAGATTGGTCTGCTTAAATGTTTGATAATATCAATCATTGACAAGCAGCGTGGACACTTTCACAGATGGCAGGGGCAGTGCAGAAGGGCACAGCCACCCGGGGAGCAATGTGGCACCAGCTCAGAACCTGCTACATGCATAGGCTCCAGCATTTTCTCTGAGGTTTCACACAGTGCACAAGGGAACACACACACAGGTGACCATCACAGCCCTGCCTGTGATAGCAAAACTCTGGAAACAACTAAGCCTCTATCAAAATAGAATGGATATGTGGATTGTGGTATATCCCTATGGTGGAAAACCGTTCCCACTTACAACAAATGAACCAGGGCTTCGTGTATCAGTGTGGATAAACCTCATTACAATTTGTCGAGTGAAATTAGTAAGCCAGTACAATTCCTTTGGTTGGAGAAAACACAGATGATACCATTCAAGGATGATACACACAAAACTGATAACAGTGGTTACATCTGAGTAGGTGAAGGAGATTATGGGTGATGGTCAAGGGAGATTACTTTTAAGTACAATCATTTATTTTCTTTAATTAAAATATATTCATTTGTGACATTTGTAATTACAATTAAATATCAAAAATATAAATGCAAACACCCTTGGGAGGAGTAATACACAAAGTTAAAAGAAAAGAAGCAATGTTCTCCAAAGGTGTGCTTGCATCATTGTCCAGGTGCCCCTCTGCAAGTGAAGGGGAAAAGCCTCCATTACGTTTTTGTTTTCCAGGTGACAGTTCCTGGGGGCAAAGGTCATTTGAAAGTTTGGAGGAAGCTCATTATTTTCCAGACTAGTTTAGAAAAACCCCAACATGAGAGGTACCCACCACACCAGGAGGCTCCTCAGCCAAGCAGAAGCACATGGTCGAGGGAACTGTTTGGGTAATGCGGTTTTTTTAGGATCTGGAGGTAGATCTGATACCGCAGAGCTGATTCCCGGATTATAAATGCTTACCACACCTCAAGGCCAAGTTGATGCACTTGGGGAATGGAAATTCCATAGCTGGGAGCCAAGGACTTGACTTTTCCCACACCCTAAGTTTCAAGTCTTCAACATATCAGCAACACATCCCTTTTCAAACCACTGATAACATTCCTGAATGAGACTTGGAATTTGAAGAGCGCTGTATCAGGACTTGTGCTATAAGCACTTTCTTATTTGACTTTTACTTGACCTTCAAGAGAATTTTTCTCCTTTTATCTAACCCTAAAAGAAAGAAAACAAGACTTGGGGTTCCTCCCTTTTCCCTCCTCCCTGCAGCTTCCTATGCATGCAAAGAAGCATACAACAACTTTTCTCTCTATTAGGGGAAATTCAGCGCCTAGTGGGCAAATCTCTAGGTTAGAGGCTTCTGAGCAGACAGGCAGGAGGAGATTGGACTCCGCGGACATTGTTTCTTTGTAGTCCCAGGTCTCTGCTGCTGGTGATTAAATGGCCTCTTTCCAGGAGGGGAGGTACATGAATCCATTTTAAGTGTCTTTTAGTATCAGCTCTCTGGTTAATAACAATTGCCATTAATATAAAGAGATAATTTGTTACTTATTTATTTTAAGAGATGGGGTCTCACTCTGTTACCTAGGCTGGAGTGCAGTGGCACCGTCATGGCTCACTGCAGCCTTGAACTCCTGGGCTCAAGTGAGCCACCTTCCTCAGCCTCCTGAGTAGCTGGGACTACAAGGCACATGCCACCATGCCTGGGTAATTTTTTTTTTCTTTTTGGAGATGGAGTCTCACTCTGTTGCCCAGGCTAGAGTGCAGTGGCGTGATCTTGGCTCACTGCAACCTCTGTCTCCCAGGTTCAAGTAATTCTCTTGCCTCAGCCTCCTGAGTAGCTGGGACTACAGGTGCATGCCGCCATGCCCAACTAATTTTTTGTATTTTAGTAGAGACGGGGTTCCACTGTGTTGCCCAGGCTGGTCTGAAACTCCTGAGTTCAGGCAATCTGCCCACCTTGGCCTCCAAAAGTGCTAAGATTACAAGCGTGAGCCACCACGCCCAGCCAATTTTTTACTTTTTTGTAGAGCCAAGGTCTCTCTATGTTGCTTAGGCTGGTCTCAAACTCCTGGGCTCAAGTGATCCTCCTGCCTCAGACTCCCACAGCACTGGGATTATAGGGGTAGGCTACTGCTCCCGGCCAAGAGATCATTTAAATAGGAAGAGGATTAGAGAGTATTTAGGTGCCTATTGAAGTGTTTTGTTTTGTTTTTGAGATGGAGTCTCACTCTGTAGCCCAGGCTGGAGTGCAGTGGTATGACCTCGGCTCACTGCAACCTCCACCACCTGGGTTCAAGTGATTCTCCTGCCTCCGCCTTCGGAGTAGCTGGGACTATAGGTGCACACCACCATGCCCGGCTAATTTTTGTATTTTTAGTAGAGACAGGGTTTCACCATGTTGGCCAGGCTGGTTTCGAACTCCTGACTTCAGGTCATCTGCCCACCTCAGCCTCCCAAAATGTTGGGATTACAGGCGTGAGCCACTGTGCCCGACCTGTTGCAGTGTTTTAATCTCATTGTCCTTTTTATTCCTCCAATGACCTTCCCTTGACATCATCAGCCCTAGCTTTGGGGATTTAAGGATGAGGGCACCCAAATGGGTCGCCCAAGGCGACCCAGCCAACCGGGGCCCGAGACAGGATTTGAAGACAGATTTTTCTGAGCCAAAAGCTGGTATGCCTACCCCTACTCCCAGCTGTCAGGTCACCAGTCAGAGCTTCAGGCCACACCGCCTCGAAATTGCACAAGTTGCTGCCTGAAGAATGGCCCCTTGGATGAGGTCCCCGCCTACTGAGAAATTATGCAGAATGATTACAAAATGGTACAAATTACTGTAGACTCCTGCACCAGACTGGAACTCAGCAGGCCCAGCCTTGCCCAGGCCCAGCCCTGGGTGTGACCTCAAAGGGCTGGGAAAGAACTTGGGCCTTCTCCAGTTATTCTCTTGCCCTTGGCCAGGATGCCAGCTCTTATGCAGGAGCACTCAGGTGAACACCTCAGGCTTCTCAAGGTGTGTTATGCACGAATGCAGGACGAGGGAGTGGACCCAACCCCTGACCTGCCTTCCTCTCCCTCTTGTGGTCACCAGCACCCCCTCTTCTTCCCTGGAAGTCCCCAGCCAGGCCAGCAGCCCACTCTCTCCCAGCTTCTAAAGGCAACACATCACCCCTCTGTCCTGCTGTACATGCCTGCAGGGAAAAACAAACACAGGCAATGCCCCGGCAAGACCTCCGTTGAGGTCTGCTGTGCTGTATAAGGATAGGTGGCTATCCCTTGGGTTGGGGTCTTTGTCACTGCTTGTGGGATTTTCTGGGAATGATGCAGCTGTGCTGGGTGTTTGATGTAAGAACCATGGTCTCACCAACTTTGTGCCTTGTCAGCCTTGTCCTATCTGACCCTCTGGCTGCACTGAATCACAGGTGGCTCTGCCACCACTTTCCCAGGTGTCCACAGACGAGCAGGGGTGTAGTGAGCAGCACTCACTCACCAGCTTTGCAGATGTTTAGACAGCCCCTCCCCATGCTTGCAGGAATTCTGCACAGGTACAGGGATGTGTTAGAGGCTGGGATTGTGTAAGTGGGTCTGGAGAAACTTCAGTTAGTAGCACCAGTTTTTTGTGTTTTTGTTTTTGGGTTTTGTTTGTTTGTTTGTTTGTTTGTTTTGGTCTGGTTTGAGACAGAGTCTCGCTCTGTCACCCAGGCTGGAGTGCAGTGGCTCAATCTGGGCTCACTGCAACCTCTGCCTCCCGGGTTCAAGCGATTCTCCTCCCTCAGCCTCCCAAGTAGCTGGAATTATAGGCACATGCCACCATACCCAGCGAATTTTTGCATTTTTAGTAGAGATGGGATTTTATCATGTTGGCGAGGCTGGTTTCAAACTCCTGACCTCAAGTGAACCGCCCACCTCAGCCTCCGGAAGTGCTGGGATTACAGGCATGAGCCACCACACTGGGCCTGTAGCACCAACTGCTATTGGCTTTGTCATGGGAAAGCTGACATTAAAACTGGCCTCCTTTGTTGGGTGACAAGTTATTTCTGCCCTCAAAGAAGGAAATTTTGAAGAAGCAAGTGTAAGGGATGAGATTGAAAGTCTGTGAGAATTAGAAACAAACAAATAAATCAACACAAACTTGTCCAAAAACAACTTCAAAAAAACACCCAAAATCCCTTCAGTGGGACAAAATCCAACCGTCAGAGGGGAGGAAGTGTTTTGTGATGCTAACTGCTGCTGGCGGAGGGCCCAGTGGGTATATACACATGATTCTGAGAGGCAGGACTGGCCCTGGAACACTAAACTCTGGTCCATTTGTGAGATTAAATCCCTCTGCACTCTGGGACAAGTGAGTCAGGACTGAATGGAAGGGGAGGGAAAAGTTGCTGGGGGCTGGGGCTGGGGGGGATGCGAGGGACCAAAAAAAAGTCCCCACATCCAGCAGGGAAGGGTCCACAGCGATCCAGCCAAGTGCAACCTCTGTGCTTGTCCACCCTCGTGCCTTGGGGTCATGGTGCCTTCCTCTGCACTAGAGATAGGTGGCATGGCAATGGTGCCTTCCTCTGCACTAGAGATAGGTGGCATGGCATGATTGGTGACTTGGCATGGGAGTGCCGCTAAGTGACAGCCACAGACACCGTCAGCTTCTTGTGTGTGGCCAGATGTAGAGAAGGAATTGAGGAGGAAACTTGGAGGTCTGGAGATCCAGCCAACAGCATCGGCAAGAGCGGTACCCAGACAAAAACAGCCTGGCTGAAGGGAATCAACTGATGCCCATTCTGATGAGAATCAAGGCCATTTGGGGTTTTTATGTTCAAATCAGTATGATGGTTGTGAAGGTAACCAAAGTGTGGAGAGGGAAATGTACCCAGTGACGGGGCTTCCTGCTGGGGTGGGAGTCCTCTCTTTGAGGTTTGCCAGAGGCTGTGGCCGGCCCTCCCTCACAAGGCCTTCTGCTTCTGATAGGTGTGTGGCTCTCCTGTTTGGGGCCACAGCCACGGTCCAGAATGAAGCAGGGCCTAGTCCCAGGGTGGTGGGGCTTCAGCAGACGTACCCAAACTCCCCTCAACCCCTTCCTTGCTTCTACCTTTTTAGTCCCTTCACTCCTTCCATTTTCATACACACCACCCTTTCTTTTTCTTGTTTTCCTAAAATTTTGTTTACAAAGTACTTTAAGCATACAGAAAACCACACACCATATTAAAATACCCATCACTCAGCACTGTCAAATGTCATCATTTCGCCATTTCATTTTAAGAAATAAAATCTTTCCAGGCACGGTGGTGCCTATCTGCAATCCCAGAGCTTTGGGAGACCAAGGTGGGAGGATTGCTTGAGGCCAGGAGTTCAAGACCAGCCTGCACAACATGGTGAGAAAGTGTCTCTACAAAATAAATACATAAATAAAATCTCACACGTGACCGAGCCCATTGACCTGTGAACACTTTCATCCATTTCTCCTGTCTAGAGGTAACCACTATCCTGGATTAGGATTATAACCCCATACATATTAGGATAGCCTTTGTGTCTATGTGTGTATCTATAAACATACAGTACAGTTTTGCATGCATTTATAATTTTAATAATATAACATGTAACAGTATTTTATTTTTAAAAAAACTTTTTATAGAGACGATCTCACTATGTTGTCCAGGCTGGTCTCCAACTCCTGGCCTCAAGCAGTTCTCCCACCTTGGCCTCCCAAAATGCTGAGATTACAGGCATGAGCTACCACATCTGGCCTAATAATATATTTTAAAACCTAACATAGACGAAATAGTATTCTTTCAACATGTTATCAATATAAACATTATATGGATACATTTTATTTGTTAATTTGTTATGTCATAGTTGTACATATTTTGGGGTGTACAGGTGATATTTTAATATGCAATATGTAATGAGCAAATCAGGGTAACTGGGATATCCATCCATGTATCTTTTTCCTTGTGTTGGGAACGTTTGCATGGTTTTAAACTTCACATGCTGTATATAATGCTTCTCGATTTGCCTTTTTTTTTTTTTTTTCTGCTTTCAAAAAAAGCCTTTTGGGCTTTTATGTTTATACATGTGTTCATACATACAGTTCTGGTTCATTAATTTTTAACTGCTATGTAGCATTTTATACTCAATTAATGTATCCATTCTCCTCTTAATGAACCCTTAGGTGTTCTCACAAATAATGGTGCAACAAATATTCTTGCAAAGGTATCTTTGGGCCCACGTGCAAGTTTAGTCTCTAAAGTACACATATAGGTTTGTGTATCTTTAACCCTACAAGATGTTGCCAAATTGCTTTCCAAAGTAGCTCTGGGGGTAATATTCCTCCAGCAGTGTAAGAGGTGCCATGGTTTGAATGTCACCTCTAAAACTCATGTTGAAATTTAATTGCCATTGTAACGGTCTTAAAAGGTGAGACCTTTAACAGATCATTAGGTCATGAGGGCTCTGCCCTCACAAATGAATTAATGCCGTTATCTTGGTAGCGGGTTAGTTTTCAAAGACGTGGTTTCCTGACAAAAAGAATGAGCTTGGCCGATTTCCTCTCCCTGTCTCCACTCACTTCTGCCTTCCGCCACGGGATGACTCTTACCAGATGCCAGAGTCATGCTCTCGGACTTTCCAGCTTCCAGAACCATGAGCCAAATAAACTTCTGTTCTTAATAAATTAGCCAGTCTGTAGTATTCTGTTATAGCAACAGGAAACAGAGAAAGACAAGGGGGATCCTGTTTTCCCACATCCTAGAGTATTTGGCATTGTCAGACTTTTTAAAAAAACTTTGCCACAGAGATATGTATAAAATAGGATCTCCTAATCATTTCCTCTCTCGAGGCCCCAGTGCTTCTGGAAGCTCCCCCTCTGGTCCTTACTGCAGTCACAGGCACCGAGGGGATGGATCAAGCATGAAGGGCTTGGCTGGCTTCCCTTCTTCTGACCTCTAAGTCCTGGGAGTGTCCAGAGCTATCTGCTGGGCCCCCTTCTCCATCGACCTCTCTCCTTAGATAATCTCTCCCTGCCACAGTGCTTTAGAATGCCAGCCACACATGCCAGTGACTTCCAAACAGAAAAATCTCCATCCAGAGTGTCAGAAGCTACTTCACAGATTTATTTGATGGCTGATAAACAACTGAAATAAATTTAATCTGCCCGAAGTTCAATGCAGTTTCCCCCTCAAGTCTAATTCTTCCCCATTGCTCCCATCTCAGTCAAGGGCAATGCCATTTATTAATTGCTCAAACCAAACACTTCGGAGCCATCCTTGATTATTCTCTTTCTACCACCCCCACATTCAATCCATCAAATTATATCAATTTCTATGTCAAATTGTTCCTAAATTCCCCCGTTCTTTCTAGTTCCACCACTACCACCTCGGTCCAAGCTGCATCATCTCTTGCCTAGACCACTGTAGTTGCTCCTAACTGGTCTTCCTGTTTCTCATCTTGCCCTTTCCAACCACCTCAGTGCCAAGGTGATCGGTTTAGACCATAAAACAGATGTAAAATGGCTTTCTCCTACTTAAGGCCTTCCAATGGTTCTTATCATGGAAGACTCAAGGTGGTGAATACCATGATCTACAAAGTTGGCAAGATCTGATCCCTGCCTGCCTCTCCTCCTGCACACCTTCCTGGCCTCCAGAACTTTCTCTCCATGTGGAGGGCTCTTCCTTTGATCTTTTCATGGCATTCTTGTCATTCAAGGCTCTATCGCTTAAAAAAGACTTGCCCTGACCAACCCGCCCTGATCTGTTTGGCCCCTTTGTTGCTCCCACAGCATTACCTTCACCTGTCTTCATTCTGGAACTGCTCAGTGCTTGGTTCTGGTGTCTTTCTGCCCCACCAGAATCTCATCTCCATGAGAACTGAGATCTTCTCAGCTCCACTCCCCATTTGCAGTACCTGGCATGAAGCGGGAGCCCATAAAAGTTTGTCGAAATAGTGAGTGAATAGATGGGGTCACATTTTAGAACAAGCTTTAAGCGCAAGTGAAGTTTCCCTCCCAGAGTCTGGGTGGGATAAAAGCTACCTGAGACAAGACAACATTTCTCTTTAGTGAGAACAGTGCTCAAATTTCTTAGCCTCAGGACCCCTTGATGCTCTTTAAAATTATTATTGTTGTTGTTATTTTTTTGAGATGGAGCCTCACTCTGTCGCCCAGGCTGGAGTGCAGTGGCATGATCTTGGCTCACTGCAACCTCCATCTCCTGGGTTCAAGTGATTCTCCTACCTCAGCCTCTGGAGTAGCTGGGACTACAGGCACGCACCACCACGCCTGGCTAATTTTTTTGTATTTATGTACAGATGGGGTTTTACCATGTTGGCCAGGCTGGTCTTGAACTCCTGACCTCAAGTGATCTGCCTGCCTCGGCCTCCCAAAGTGCTGGGATTACAGGCAAGAGCCGCTATGCCTGGCCAATGCTCTTAAAAATTATTGAGGATCCCAAAGAACTTATGTTTGTATGGATCATATCTATAAATAGTTGCCATCTTAGAAATTAAAATGAAGGAATTTAATAACGCTTATTTTAAAACAATAATGGACCTGTTACCTGTTAATGTAAATAACGTTTGTATGGAAAATTACTATGTTTTCAAAAAATAGTGAGCAGAGTGGCACCCTTGAGAACAGCCACTGTACACTTACAGTGCCTAGTACGCGCCAGGAAAGACTCTGTTGAATGAGTGAATAGGAGGGTGAAAGATTTTAGACCAGCCTGAAGGGTCAGATGCAGGTGCATGGATAGGTGGGGATCTGAGATGGGGCCGCCTTTTCCCCTAGATGGCCCTGGGGCCCACTCCCCTCCTCCCCACTCATCCACCCCAGCCTCACTCAGTCCTTTCTCTTCCCTTTCCCCAACAATCTTCTCTCCACAGCAGTGCAAAGAATAGAACAAGAAATCATTTTGATGTCGTCAGAAATCAATATGTAAGCTGGATATATCTTTTAAATAAACTCATTTCTATAACAAAATAATCATTGTATGAATTTCAGTCCTTCAAAGGGGGTTCCTTTGGAGGGTTTCCCTTGCCAAATGAATATTGAGGCCCGGTTTTGCCAGGATGTATTTATTCCCGTCTATATTCATGTTGAGAAAGCTAACTGGGTGTTATATTATCTTCCTTATTACAATACTGAAACCTAACAAACTGGGTGTCATATTCTTTTCCTTATTACAATACCGAAACCTAAGTTCTTCCCCTTTCTAAGGAGAAGCTGCCTCCTCCCCCTTTATTTTTTCCTCTGGCTAGAGGAAATTCACAGAGCCAAGATTAAAAAAAAAAAAAAAGAAATAGAAAAAGATGGTCATCTCTGTTCCTATTGAAAAGCCTGAGTTCCCCGGGCGCTGTGGGCATGCCACGCCTCTCCACTTCCTGACGTCATACTATTTTTGTCTTTGAATAGCTCATTGACACAATTGCCTCGGAGATCGGAGAACTGAAACAGGAGATGGTGCGGACAGATGTCAACCTGGAAAATGGCCTGGAACCCGCTGAAACCCACAGGTGACCAGAGACACGGTTAGGTGATGGGTGCGAGAAAGGGATCGAGTGAACCCTGGCACTGCCAAGGGCTGACTTGCAGTCACTCCTCAGAAGTCTGGGAGCTGGGAGTGTGGTAGCAGCTCTAGATGAAATCCTCTGTAGGAGGTGGGAGTGGCCTAGGAACTAGTTGTCTGCTTGTTTATTTTAATCACTTTGAAGGCACTTGAACTTTATACTCTCTCAATTCCTCCTGGCACCAGAACCCGGAAACCTAAAATTGTCTGTGCCATATCCACCTACTCCCAATGATGGAAACAGTAATGCAGCAAGATCCAGCGTGTGCAAAGTAGAATTCAGTGTAGCCGTGTGAGTCTCCAGAAGGCTTACAGGGGAGCAGCTAAAGAGGATGGACTCATTTTGCATTCTCAGGTCAGAGAAAAACCCCAGCAGTCTCCAAAAAACCATTAACCTGAAAAGCCGTGCAGTGATTGGAAACTGGATGTGGTTGTAAATTCGATACAAAGGGAAGGCGGCGTGCTGTGCTGTTGAAGGCGATACCTGTGCACATACTGCACACCGTCTGAATAGGAGGCAAGGGACTGGTCTGTACCTGGAGAAAGGGGGTGCAAAGGTCGGGGGGTGGTGGGAAGTTGAAGGTGACTTCTTCCAACTTTGATGCTAACAAGATAACAATATAATGGCTATAAAAAGACACAGACACTTCGTGCCTTAGAGGCCAGATTTGTTAACAGCTTCCCCTTTCTCCCAGAAAGTGGGGCTGAGCCTGCCTGGAGCAGTGTGAGGCTGAGATTTATGGAGTAGGTTTTGCCTGCAAGTCATGCAACAGGCAGGCCAGCCAGATGGTTCTGGTTGTCCAGGCAAGTTTCAAACCAGCCCGACTAGTTCCGCCATACGCTGACGGGAGAGAGCAACATCCCAGGGAGGCACTTGCAGCTGGAAGGTGGTACTTTGATACCCGATGTCTCTGGGGGAACAGCACTCACCCTTAATTCTCTGTGCCTTCCTTTCCTTTCCTTCTCTACAAAACGATGGGGGTGAACCAGATGGTCCCCCTGCTCCTTGCAGCACACCCAGCATTCTATGATTGTTCTTGACCTCAGTGTGAAAGTCTTATTTTTTCCCCATAAACTAGACAAATGCACAATGATTTTCAGGTAGTGACTCTCTGCCTCACCTCCAGAGTAGTTTCAAACATCGTGGAACTTTAGCCAGGGAATTTCTCTATCCTGTGCCTTGTTGAGCTAAAATTTAATTGGGAGTCTAGGCTGATAACAACAGAAAAGAGAGCTTTGGTAGCACTGATTTCTTTCATAGCCAGGAAAGGCGGCTCTGTGAGATCAACCCCAAGCTCCACAGATGACAGACACCCAGACACAGAGCGGCGGAAACCTTTCCCCTGCATATAAGCACAGGGGATTTTGGGGGTGTGAGAAGGACGTTCTGAACATGTGAGGGGCCCTCAAGATCTTGTTTTCTGACTCCGGTGGGTATTAGAGTGAGAGCTGGGTGGTTGCTTAATCTTTAACATTTCCTTCCATCTTTTCCTTTTCAGAGGTAAGAATAACTGTAAGCAGTCCACAACAGCCTTTTTTCCCAGATGAATGTCACTTTGAATGCTATGTTGCTTAATTCATGAATTTATACATTTGCAAAGGCATTTTATTTGGCTTTTTTTTAACAGAAAAGAAAGAGGAAAAAGCAAGATGAGTTGTCTTTATTTAACAATATAGATCATGTTGGCCATGTGGCAACACTGTTCATATTAAACTACTGTTCTAAGTCGCTTATAGCGACTAACTTACGGAATCTTCCTAGCACTTCCAGGAGGGAAAGCTCTTTAGGGCCTGCATTTGACTGATGTGGAAACTGTGTGCTGTGGGGAAAAAGCTACACAGTTTTGGCTTCTGTGCTGGAGTGTCTTGCTGATTTTTTAGAAGTAGTGAGTTTGGTTTTAATTTCTCCATTTTGTCCAATGGAGCTGTCAGGAGGGCCAGTTCAGTTATTTCTAAGATCAAGGAAAAGCATAGCTGTGGCCACAATTCAGCCTGGCACAGAGCAGCAGCCAAAGGGGAGAGGAGGGAAGAGGAAAGCAGACCAGTAGGTAGCAGAGTTGCTTTCAGCAAAACCCCTGGAGAAAGAAGTGGCGAGCACCGCCCGGGCCCCTGGCTCTGCACGTCTGACGGCTGCAGGAAATGCACCGCCGTCAGCTTCCTCTGCAGCTTCGTACTCTGTGAGTGTGAGCTGGGATAGGGAGTCGCCTATCCCACCACAGCCACCACGAAATGTCTATGGTTCCTTAGTTGATGGAATACCAGATTAAGCACCAAGCTAGTCCCTAGGTTAGGAATCACTATTACTCTAGCTGTGTTAGTGTTTGGTTGCTCTTTCGTGCTTAATATTGAGATAACCTTGATCTTTAACTTTGTCTTGTGCCATGGACTCCTTCTCTGAATAATCTTTTGAATGCATAAAATAACATATATAGGATGTCATGGGAAAAACAATTACAGTGAAGTCCAGTGATCAGAATGTTTCAGTGTGTGTTTCAGCATGTGCTTCCATGGCATAGGTGCTTCTGTTTTACATGTGACAGATAGGCATAAATGACACAATCTCTGTAACAGCTGTGACAACGGTGAAACCTCTGTGGTTTCTGTTGGTGACAAAATCACAGGTCGTGATACTACTACTGTGGTTTGTTGCCTACAATCAAAATGGAAGGAAGTTCATTCAGAATGAGGCTATGGAAAGTGAAGATGTCAGTTTTTGGCCCGATGGCCAGTGCCCACCTCCCGTCCTGTCTCCTGTCAGCGTCGTCTGCCATGGTCCATCTGCCCTCCTTTTTGGGACATTTGCTTGGCTTGGCTTCTGGGACCCCACACCTCCCTGGGATCCTCTTAGCTGTCCTGCTGCTGCCCCCAGTGCCCTGGCTGGTTCTTCTTTATCTCCCTGAACTCCAGCCCTGGAGAACCCAGAGATCACACTTTGATCCCCTCCTTTTCTTTTTTTGTTTGTTTGGTTTTTGTTTGTTTGTTTTGAGACAGAGTCTCACTCTGTTACCCAGGCTGGAGTGCAGTGGCACAATCACAGCTCACTGCAGCCTTGACCTCCTGGGCTCAAGTGATCTTCCCGCCTCAGCCTCCCAAGTAGTTGGAAGCACGGGTGCCCACCACCACACCCAGCTAATTTTTTTTTTTAATTTTTGGTAGAGATTGGGGTCTCTCTGTGTTGCCCAGGTGTGTCTCAGACCCCTAGGCTCAAGGGATCCTCCCACCTCAGCCTCCCAAATTGCTGGGATTACAAGTGTGAGCCACTGCGCCTGGCTGAGCCACTCCTTTTCACTCTTCACACCTTTCCTTTTCTCTCTCCCACTAACTTTGTACAAGGTACTTTAAAAAATATCTGTGCCTCAGTGTTCTCCTCATTAAAATGGGAATAATAACAGAGTTACCTCACAGTGTTGTTGGGAAGATTAAGTGAGTTAATAGCTGTCAAGGACTCAGCACAGTGCCTGACACGTGGTAATAGCCACACTATATGTAGTTTTAAAAGGTGGTCTGTGGAGTAATTTCCTAGGTTATCCCACCCAGTCTTGTGGCTCTGATACCATCTATACATTGGTTATTCCCAACTTATACTCCCTTGGCCAATCCTCTCTTTGAGTCCAGAGGTTGGTAACCAACTGCCCACTCAGGAAGTGTTCCTTCATAGGTTCATTCCTTCCTGGGTCTTCCCCGTCCCAGTCACCATGCCTCCAGCTTCTTGGGCCTTGTACTCATCAATGGTGCCTCTATTCCTGTCATAACTGCCCTCCTCCCATCCATCTCCAAATCCAGGCAGCTCTACCTTTTATTTTTCTTTGAGACAGAATCTCGCTCTGTTGCCTAGAGCTGGAGTGCAGTGGTGACACGATCTCAGCCTCCTGCAACCTCTGCCTCCCAGGTTCAAGCAATTCTCGTGCCTCAGCCTCCCAACATAGCTGGGATTACAGGCATGTGCCAAAATGCCTGGCTAATTTTTGTAATTTTAGTAGAGATGGGGTTTCACCATGTTGGCCAGTCTGATCTCGAATTCCTGGCCTCAAGTGGTCCACCTGTCTCAGCCTCCCAAAGTGCTGGGATTACAGGCATGAGCCACCGTGCTTGGCCTCTACCTTTAAATAGATCCAGGATGGAACCACTTCTCACCAGCACCACTGCAGTAGCCCCTGCCTGGTGCCTCTGCTTCTACCAGTTCCACTTTCTCCAGGCTATTAGCCAAGCAGCATGGTGAACCTTTTAGTTCACCTAAGTCCAAGACACATCTCTCCTTTGTTCAAAGCCTTTTGATAATTTTGCATCTAAAACCAAAATTATTACCATGGCCTTCAAGACTCTATAAGATGTGACACCCCAGCACCCCTCTCCTCTGCCATCTCTTCTCTAGCATTCTCTCCCCATCACTCAGCTCCAGTCCCACTGACTTCCTTGCCAATGTGGCCCCTGCCTCCTGGCCTTTGTACTTGCGGTTCCTTCTGTCTGGCACATCCTTCCCCCAGGAAGCCTTCACCCTTGAGCCCTCCTTTTCTTCTACCTCATTACCTGGCTTTATGTTTCTTCATAGAACTTGTACACACAGGACATATATTCACTTGCTTCCTGTCCATTCTTTCTTTTTTTTTTTTTTCTTGGAAACAGACTTCCACTCTATCGCCTAGGCTGGAGTGCAATAGTGGTGTGATATTGGCTCACTGCAACCTCCACCTCATAGGTTCAAGCAATTCTTATGCCTCCAGCCTCCTGAGTAGCTGGGATTACAGGCACGCGCCACCACCACCGGCTAAGTTTTTGTATTTTAGTGGAGACATTTCATCATGTTGCCCAGGCTGGTCTTTAACTCCTGAGTTCAGGCAATCCGCCCGCCTTGACCTCCCAAAGAGTTAGGATCACAAGCGTGTGCCACCACACCTGGCCTATCTGTGCATTTCCTGCCTCCCACCACTAGAAGGTAAGCTCTGTGAGACCAGGGACTGGGTCTGTCCTTCACCCTGGGATTGCAGTGCCAGGGACAGTATCTGGCATAGAGCACGCACTCGCAAGTATTTGTTGAATGGATAAAGGAAAGGTGCCAAGCCCCTTAGTGATTTTAAAGTATTCTTGCCTCAGAGACCTCTTGCAGGTGGCCACCAACCGGTGCATAAAAAAATAAAAAGTTGAAAATGTGTGACAGGCCTAAGGCTTCCTCCCTAGCAAAGAAATAGGGCAGAGGCCCTTCCCCCAGTCTCCAGTTGTGCCTCCCTGACCAGTTCTACCATGAGCTATTTTAATCTTTGGCCAATAGAGTAGGAGCTGATTAAATCTCCCTCCATGCCTCTGCTGATCTACCAAATGGAAGCCCGTAAGCCAGGGGCGAGACTGAGGGCTTCTTGCTCCTGGTTTTCTGCTCTCTCCCAGTGTGGTTTCCTGCTTCCTCTCTTCCCACTGCATCCCTGCAAAGACTGGAGAGTATGGGAACATGAAGGCATTTCACTCCCCTCTCCCTCCCACATGATTCCACAGTCCATTTTCATTTGGCGGAAGCAGGCCTCTTTTGGGTAGGCTCACCAGGCCTGAGGTAGGTTCCACCCTCATCATCACTTGAACCCATCCCCTCTAGGCTGAGACAAGTCTCTAAAGATCACTTTATCCTCAGGCGGAACAGAGGGATCCACAGAACAACCTCCCCAGCTATTGTCTGGGCCCAGGCTGCCTCTGCAGGATCCCTGGCATCCTGGCTAGAGCAGGTCAGTGAGAACTGCAGCTCATCCCTTCCTCCACTCTCCTGTAGCTGTCACTCCTGCTGCCACTTCGCTGGTGTCCTCTAGCCCAAGTGGATTGCTGTGAGATGCCTGCGGTCCCATGTCTTCACTCCTCCTGCCCCACCACAGAACCAGACATGACACAGGAAATTCAAAAATTCCTTGGCCAGCTCTTCTCAATGTTACAATGTAGCAGCTGGTCATCACCTTTGGCCTCTTCTGGGAAGCTCTGAGCTTCCCAGTGGCTATGTGACAGCATTGACATTATAACCACAGGAAACCCAGAAGGCTCCTCCCTTGTACAATTGTTCACTTCTTCACTTGCCCAGAGGTGAGAACTGAAGATGAGAAGGGAAGAATGGTGGCCGCAGCCTGGGGAAAGATGCCCAGAGTTCCACTTCCTTAAGTCTCAAGAGGGACAGTTGTGACCACATTAGCGACTCTGTGGCTTTTTGAACCAGATCCACCTTCACTTGGTGCTGCTTTTTAAATAATTTTCCACTGAAGTAAAACATAACTCAGCAAAATTGCACAAATAAGTATCCAGCTAGATGAAAATCCACAGAGTAAACACATCACACATCGATGGCTTTGCTCACAAACCTGTTACTGCTACAGGGCAGGCCGTGTAGCAGCAACAGGTTTATGGTGAGACATTTTCCGGCTATGTCACTGAGGATTCTCTACTATGATTACTTTGATCAATTTACCCCCAATCCCCTAGAATATTTCCATATTTCAACTCAACCAGGAGTGTCCTGAACATGATTTCAATGAATTCTATGAGGGTTGACCAACTCTTCGCTACACTATCACCAATGTAGCAACAACTAAACTCAAATTAAAGAAAATATTTAAGCCGGGCAGGGTGACTCACACCTGTAATCCCAGCACTTTGGGAGGCTGAGGTGGGTGGATCACGAGGTCAGGAGTTTGAGACCAGCTTGGCCAACATGGTGAAACCCCCTCTCTAGTAAAAACACAAAAATTAGCCAGGCGCAGTGGCTCATGCCTGTAATCCCAGCTACTCAGGATGAGGCAAGAGAATTGCTTGAACCTGAAAGATGGAGGTTGTCATGAGCCGAGATCAAGCCACTGCACTCCAGCATGGGTGACAGAGTGAGACTCTATCTCAAAAAAAAAAAAAGAAAGAGAAAGTATTTATTCAGTGGATCATATTTACCAAAATACCATGAGAGTGGAGCCTGAAGATTTACACAACCTAAGGAGGGAAAAAATTGTAAACAAGTGAGTATCATGTAACGAAATGGGACATAATAGAATACGTCAGATGAACAGAGGAGGACAGCAGATGTCCCAAGAACCTCAGGTGGGAAGCAGGTAATTCTAGGTCAGAGGTACATCAATTTCATTAACGAATAAGAAGTGTAAGATAAAAAATGCCCTAAAGAGCTGTTCAGTCTATCTTGACTGGTGATATCTGTTATCTTTGGGAAGTTTTTTAAAAGAAACATTTAAGATTTCTTTTTTTGATAGCCAAAAGTAAAACGTGTACATGGTGGAAAAAGCACAATGCAGAAAATAAAAATAAACAACACCCTGACCCCGACCCCACCCCCACTCCAAGATAGAATCATTTTTGATTGTTTGTTGGGTTGGCTGATTTAATTCTTTGCTTTGATGTGTATCCTTCTGATGTTTTTGCATGACAATCCATTTAAATGGTAGATCATGCATGATTTTTCACTGACCTACAAGGTGTTTTTGATCATCCTAGAAATGCAGTTTCCTAGAAATTGATTCTGTTTTTGTTGACGGGTAGCACCTTCCAATGTAGTGGCTAGCTTATCTGTTTACAGTAAACCTTGGCCACACAATGTCACCAGCAGCATACTCCAGAGTTGGAGCTATTTTGACCTTGGCCACACAATGTCACCAGCAGCATACTCCAGAATTGGAGCTATTTTGTGCTCTGTAGGCTTTGCATTGCTGCTATATTGGCAATTGGTTCTGCCATAAAATATCTGCTTAGTTAGAATTCATCTGCTAGGAAATAACACCAGTGTAACCCAGAGCAATTAAATACTAGAAACTGCCAATCCATGGAACACTTGCCTTTCCGTGAAGCAGGGTGCATGCCCCGGGCTTGAAGGGCATCGGGACCAAGACTGGAGCCCGCCTGGCTCCTTCTTCTGCCTGTTTTCAGCTCCAAGGGCAACCAGGACAACAGGTTCTTTGTTCCTCTTTCTTATTTTTACAGGAACAAATGAAAGCCTCTGCCAGCATTCGCTCTGTATCTGGCCTTCTCATCTCTAGCTGGAGAGTCAACCAGAGGAAGTTCCTGGGCAAAACAGCTACCACTTTTTCTTACCTCCCGAAATGGCAGCGTCTCCCTGGAGGCAGACATGAGCTTTTGTTCCCATTTCTGTGTCCTCTTCTGCTGGGCCTCAGTTGATAGAACTTAAAAATTACCAAAGGCCCTAAAGGTTTTTCAGAATAGTCCTACTGTGACATGCTCTTACAAATCTTTTTTGAGGAAGTTGGGGCTCCACCCTCAAAAAGCAGCAGCCCTTCGCCATGGAGGAATAAAATCTGTAACCCCAAATATGCTAGTGATTCTTTTTCCTTTTAGAGTTTAATGGGACAAAAAAAGGCCTTGAGGAATTAAGTATGAACTTGCTTGCTCTAGGGAAACTCCCTAAGTCGGAAAACTGGACCTAGGACCAGTTTTATCAATTTCTAGCATTTTGATCTCAAATAAGGAGATAAACTGGATGGCCTCTGATAGCCCTTAAAACTTGGCTAAATATGCAGGGGTCCTTCTAAGACAATCCATTTCCCCATGCCTCTCTGCCCACCACTCTTCCCATGCTGGGTGGTGGGTAAAAGGTTTCTTCTGCTCACCTGGCAATTTCCATGCTGTCAACTGTGTTAGCCAGGCCAGGGTCCTGCCGTGTCCAGAATAATGGATTGGGGTTTCCCTTCTTCTCCAGACTAATAGAATATTACAGAGACATGTTTAATTCCATTTCAATATCCTTTTTTTTTTTTTTTTTTTTTTTTTTTACCTATAACTAGACTCAAGTTCTGAACTTCAAAATTCTAAAGAAATATTTTTATGTCTGAAGGTGTTAAGAAATCATTGGATATCAACTTCTATGTATTTTTGAAGTTGAAGTTTTTCTGGGAATTTTTTGTTTGCTCTGTGTGTGTGTATGTCTTTAACACAAATTGGAATTTGTCCTGTGCCAAAGATTTTTAGTTGATAGATATCTTCAGTATGGGCCATTATTTTCTGTCTCTCTACATAAGGGGCCTCTGGTACTAATATTCTTCCACAAGTTGTTGATCCCAGACCCACCACCTCTCTTCTCCCAACCCCGCTAAGTCCTGGCTTCATCTCCCACCTATCCAGGCATCTTGGCTGCAGCTTGGCATTTGAGGTGTATATTTGTGTTCCTTTTGATACATGGTCAAGGATCTACTGCCCCAAGATCAGGACCATGGTGGGCACAAGACTCTTGACTTCTGTCTCATCCTTGATTCATAAGATGACCCCTGCATTGGCCTCTTGTAGCTAGAAGCCTGGGCCCTCCGGCAATGCCACATCCCAGGGTGTATCTTTCTTGCCATTGCAGCTGGTTAAGACAACAGCCTGGAAAAAGATTTTAGTCTGGCATGCAGCTGAAGGGAAGCTCCTGGAGAAGCATGATATACATGGAAATTTTAACACAAAAATATCAAGAGAAGTGGCTTTTTTTTTTCTTTTTCCATCTGAAAGTTGAGGATGGCAATACCAGAGTCCAGGTTGAGCCTAGACACTAATGGTAGATGGAGAACTCTCCTGCTTCCAGGACCTGCTGGAAGCTGGCCTGTAGAAGCTTTGGGGTTTTGCTTTCTCCCAGGTCACATGAAATGCTGCCAAAACAAGCTCCAGAGTTGTGTTAATACCACAGGATTTGTCAGTCCTAGAATGGAAACACATTGCCTTGCTTTCTTTTTGTGACTATCCAAAAATTAGAAGACGGTAAGAAGTCATCCTGAAAACTCCCATGGAGCGGAACCATTACTCATAGTTTCAAAGACAGTCCAGGCACTTAGAATCAGAAGTTCTTTTCAGGTTCTGTTTATTTGTTTTGCTAACAGATTCCTTTTTTCAGCAAGAATCCATTTTTAGACACAGGGAAACTGAGATTAAACAGTGCATGGTAATGGGTGCAGGCCTCACAGTGATGAAGGGGCAGTGCTGAGGCTCTGATTCAAGTCTGACTTGGAGTCCTCTTTCCACCTAACCGCTGAAGATTAGGAGGCTGAGGGAGACTAGAATCAGGGTTGATTCCATTGAAACTATGACATGCCTTACCAAAAATAGCATTGTGATTTCAGTGCACTCACATGGGCAGGAGGTGGGTGGCTTTGATTCCGGATAAATTGATGACTGAATGTGAAAGCCCCTGAAGCTGTGTGTGGGGTTCCCACTGGGGTTTCTTCAGACCTCATGCACTGCACCTGCCTTTATCCAAGAGCACTTTCCTGCCAGGACTGTCTACCCTCTACTTTCTCCTGCACTCAGCAGGCCACTTTTGTTGGAATCCTAAATCTCATTCTCCGTGCTGGAATAAAGCATTCTGTATTTGGAGACCTTGGATGGAGCACTGGTCTCCAATGTCTGGTATTGGTGGGCATAGAATTATTGTAATTCTACACTAAAGCTCATCACTGACTTTTCTTTTTATCTTTCTTATCATTTTTTTTTTCACTATGTAGACTGCAGGAACATCATTGACTTTTACAACCAAAGCCACTCAAAGCCCACTCCTTGCTAGTTGACTTGAGCTTAGAAGGGGTGTCCATGGGAGAAATTAATGAGCAATAAGGAAGGATTTGTTTTTCTGGAAGGATTGGAGCTGCCTCCTTTTCTTGCCCCAGAGATGGCCAAAGGCCAGGTGGCTCTTGGTAGCTGTGGTGATTTTTGCCGCCCATTTCCTGATAAGCACAGAAACAAGAACGCTTTGTCTCCTGAGGCTGGAGCTGAGCAGCGGATTCTATTTGTTAGGGGGCCTCAGAAAGAAACTGCCCAGTGCCCCTAAGAATATTTCTCCCTGCCCGCTAAGCTCCTCCTCTTCCGTAAACCTTGCTGTCTGCAGATCACCTCCTCCTCAGGCCCCTGGTCATGCCTAAAGCAGACCTTTTATTAATTCCTGCACAGGGCTAGGCCTGAATATGGGCTGGGGATGAGGCCAGGCTAGTAAGGGAGAGAAGTCTGACCAGAGTGGAATGGGGTAGGGGCCCTGGAGGTGTGGGGACAGTAGGGAAGGAATGTGATGGGCCACAGATTACTTGCAGCTGAAAGAGATAAGGGATGAGGATTTGAACCCAGTTTGACAGGTAGGTAGGTAGGAGCCAGATATGGCAGGAGACATTCCAAGTAGCTTGAACTCAGTAATGAGGAAGCTGAGCAACAGCATGTAGATGTATCTACAGGATGATCTTCCCAGGCCGGCGCCGGGGTTCACACCTGGAATCCCAGCACCACTTTGAGAGGCCAAGGTGGGAGGATTGATTGAGACCAGGAGTTCGAGACCAGCATGGCCAACATGGCGAAACCCCGTCTCTACTAAAAATGCACATATTAGTCTGGCATGGTGGCGCTTGCCTAGCTGCTCGGGAGGTTGAGGCACAAGAATTGTCTGAACCTGGGAGACAGAGGTTGCAGTAAGCCGAGATTGTGTCACCACTGCACTCCAGCCCTGGGTGACAGAGCAAGATTCTATCTCAAAAAAAAAAAAAAAAAAAAGGGAAAAGCAAATTCAGCTGGGTGCGGTGGCTCACACCTATAATCCCAGCACTTTGGGAGGCCGAGGTGGGTGGATCACCTGATGTCAGGAGTTCGAGACCAGCCTGGCCAACATAGCAAAACTCTGTCTCTACTAAAAATACAAAAATTAGCTGGACGTGGTGGCGCACGCCTAAAGTCCCAGCTACTCAGGAGGCTGAGGCGGGAGAATTGCTCGAACCCAGGAGGTGGAGGTTGCAGTGAGCCGAGATCGTACCACTGCACTCCAGCCTGGGTGTCAGACTGTCTTAAAAAAAAAAAAAAAAAGCAAATTCAGTATCTTTACCATAATTAGGAAACACACTGAATACATATAACCATTAAAATAAGTAATGGCCATTAAAATTAAAACCATGCCTCCATGGATTACCTTGATGTATCCATCACTTTTTGGGAAACATTGTCAGTTTCTAACAACATTGAGATATTACAAAATATCAAAATTGGGCTAGGCATGGTGGCTTGTGCCTGTAGCCCCAGCTACTCAGGAAGCTGAGGCTGAGGCAGGAGGATCACTTAAGGCCAGGAGTTTGAGACCAGCCTGGGAAACACAGCAAGACCCCATCTCTAAAAAAGTATTTTTTAAAATTAAAAATTTAAATATCAAAATTAACCTACACTTTTCCACCATTAGAGCTTTATTTTGTTTTTGAGTTTTCCACTTAGTAGCAAAACTACAGTTCTTTATGTTTGGGAGACAAACAAGGTAATGAATCTTAAACCATAATTTAGTCAGAGTCAAAAGTAATATGGAACCTGAGTTCTGCTTTTGTTGTTGTTTTTGTTTATTGATAAGAACTTATCACATGATAATTAGCCCATTGTCTTCATTCTGTAACCACTTATTAAACACTTACCATGTAAACAATGAGAAACTTTGTTTTCATAAAAGTCTAGGAGATTCCCGGAAACCTTCAGGGAACGAGCCCTCAGGCTTCAAGAAAAGCCAGGATTTTTCGTAAAGACTGTTTTCAGGGAGTGCCTGGCCAGAAAGGTGAGACTTGCAAGGAGAGACATGGGCGGAGCCTGCCGCTCACTCCTTCAAATCCCAGGTCTGGGGCAGTCCTTGTAGATTCCACCAGGATTGGCCTGGGAAAGCCGGCAAAGCAAGCAGGTGTTGCTCTTCCAAGAGGAGAGTTCTCCATACCTTGTGGAGCCTGACATGGGAGAGAAAGTCCTGTCTAGGGCCAGGGTTTGGGGAACTGAGATACAAGCCGAAAGCCAAGCTGCTTTTGAGAAACTGTGATAATCCTTCCTCCAACTAACTGCTGACCCAGTCATCCCAGTGTCTCCAGATGACTCATGTAAGTAGAAGCAAACAGGGTACCTTGATAAAACACAAGGGTAGACCACAGATGGTTCCAGCTCCAAGGCAGATGTGATACTGACAGTGCTGAGACACAGCTGCTCGCACAGACACACGGAAGGGAGCCAGAGAACTATGGAACTTCCCCTAGGAAAGCATCATTTGACTTACGGGCCACAACCACCTTATTTATCTCCATAGGGGACTTGCCATTCATTCTATGAGGGGTTTTCAGATATTGTTAATTAACTAAACCAATCCCATCCTAGCTGAATTATGATCTAACAGTCTGCTATAGACTGGAAAAAAATATATACATATACATATTTTTTTGGAGACGCAGTATCCATCTGTCTCCCAGGCTGGAGTGCAGTGGCGTGATCTCGGCTTACTGCAACCTCCGCCTCCCAGGTTCAAGCCATTCTCATGCCTCAGCCTCCCGAGTAGCTGGGACTACAGGAGCGCGCCACCACACCCAGTTAATTTTTGTACTTTTAGTAAAGACAGGGTTTCACCATGTTGGCCAGGCTGGTGGAAAAATCATAGTACATTTTAAATATTTGTTTGAAATCACTTTTGTTCTTAAAAAAAATCAGGCACATCTTACCATAGATGATATTAAATTGTCCATTTAAAAACTCCAGTTTCTCGGGAACACTCCCCAAGGCAACTTGGAAGTATGCCCCAGACAAAAGTGATTGTCTTGAATGATTTTAATTTTAATTTTATTTATTTATTTATTGAGACAAGGTCTCACTCTGTTGCCCAGGCTCGAATGTAGTGGCATGATCACAGCTCACTGCAGCCTCAACCTCCTAGGCTCAAGCAATCCACCTCCTTCTGCCTCCGAAAATGCTGGGATTATAGGTACAGGCCACTGCACCAGGCCGTAATTTTACTTTAAAAAAAAAAAAATCTAGGCTGTACACCGTGGCTCACGCCTGTAATCCCAGCACTTTGGGAGGCCAAGGCGGGGGATTGCCTGAGTTCAGGAGTTCCAGACCAGCCTGGACAACGTGGTGAAACCTCGTCTCTACTAAAAAAAATACAAACATTAGCTGGGCATGGTGGTGTGTGCCTGTAATCCCAGCTACTTAGGAAGCTGAGGCAGGAGAATCGCTTGAGCCTGGGAGGCAGAGGTTGCAGTGAGCCAAGACTGCACCATTGCACTTCAGCCTGGGTGACAGAGCCAGACTCCGTCTCAAAATAAATAAATAAAAATCTAATTGCTCGGCTTAGTGAAGGTGTGGTTTTACACACATAGAGGAGGTTTAGGGGGCTTTTTGTTTTACTTGTTTATCCTCATGTCCTGCCACTGAGGGCAGAGCCACACAGGGCACAGCACACCTGCTGCCACCCACAGCCTAATGGATGTGCACCATCCTTGGTTGACAGAGTAAGAATTTGTCATTTTGCCTTGAACTTTATTTTTGCTATTTAACAGCCAAACTAGGTTTCTTATATCTAGAAAGTTGTTCACTTTATTTACTCAGTCAGTAAGTTTTGTCACAGAAATGGCCTCGCATCACATTTCTGTGTATTTTTGCCTTATTGTCTCTCATTTGCAAGGTCAAAGTGTACATTTCAGATGTATGGTTGGGGATGCAGCTCGCGGGAGCGGGTGATGTAGGGGGAGGTGCAAGGGAGGCTTCATAGCATGCTTTGTCTAGACCCTGGTCACTAGGACTGGTCATTAGGGGCTGCGCTGGTAGACTGTAATGTCTTCTGGAATTCTGAATTAGGACAAGAAAAGGCATGCATCGTTTGGAAGTTCTGCTCTGTGTCGATGGTTTCTCTGAGGTGAATCTGATTCTGGCAATGTTAGTAAAACTAACCCTTGTCTGCCTGGTTGTCCTACTCAGAAAGAGCTTTCTGCAATCACTTACTCTCCCACCTGCTCAGGCGACTAATGTTGGGCCATGGGAAGGAAGGAAATCCAGCCCAGTGGAAAGGCTTCTCTCATCCCATACTCCAAAGAACCTTAACCTGGTTGTCACGAGAGCAGGACAGGTGCTGGAGAGCCCTGCCCTTCCAAAGTGGATGGAATATCCACCCATCTGCTTCAAAGCCATGAGGCCCAGGTTTGGTTGTAATTGGAATGGGTGGAGGCTGTGACTTTTGGGTGAGTGTTTGTTCTCTGCCCCTAGAGGCACCTTATACTTTGCGGGCCATTCTATGGTTTGCCCATTGTATTCACATGTGGGTCTCACTGTATCTGTACCTAAGTTTTATCTCCCCATGATAGCAGCCCTAGACACCTAGACATAGTGGGAATGGCTGCACAAATAAATGAGTTTTATAGTTATAAAAACTCAGTGAGATGGTAGATATTATTACTTCTCCTCCAACCTATTATTTTGAGAAATTTCAAACATTATGGAAAAGTTGCAAAGATAGCACTGTTCAGTTAATTCACTAAGTGCTGAAATTTTGCTACATTTTCTTTATCTCCCTATTTTTTTTCTTTTTAGGGGGAGCTCATCATTTGACACTTTCTTTCTTTCTTTCTTTTGACACTTTCAAACATGTTTATACTTTGCCCTTAAATTTTTCAGTATGCATGTCCTAAGAATAAAAGCATTTTTCCTTTGTAAGCATAATAAAATTATCACACTTAAGGAAATTCTCCATTTTATTTTATTTTATTTTTGAGACAGGGTCTTGCTCTGTCACCCAGGCTGGAGTGCAATGGTGCAGTCTGGCTCACTGCAACCTCCACTTCTCGGGTTCAAACAGTTCTCCTGCCTTAGCCTCCTGAGCAGCTGTGGCTAGAACTGTAGGCACACCCCACTGTGCCTGGCTAACCTTTTTTTTTTTTTTTCTTTTTTTGGGACAGAGTCTAACTCTGTCACCCCCGCTGAAGTGCAGTGGTGCCATCTCAGCTCACTGCAACCTCCACCTCCCAAGCTCAAGCAATCCTCCCGCCTCAGACTCTTGAGTAGCTGGGACCAGAGGAACGCTCCATCATGCCTGGCTAATTCTTTTCTGTATATTTTGTAGAGACTGGGTTTTGCCATGTTGCCCGGGCTGGCCTCAAACTCCTGAGGTCAAGCGATCCATACACCTTGCCCTCCCAAAGTGCTGGGATTACAGGTGAAATTGTCCTTTATAGATCTTTTTATACTGATGCCATATATGAGTTCCAGGCTATGCACTCCATGTAGTTACCACATCTCTTTATTCACCTCGAACCTGTATTAATCCTACAGCCTGTTAAAATTCATAACATTGACATTTTTGAAGTTTTGGCCATTGGTTTTGCTGTCACTGAAATTTGGATTTTTCTGATTGTTTTCTCCTGTATACATTCAGGTGAGTCATATTTGGGAGCAGGAAAGACACCTAGGTGACATGGTACCTTCTCAGAGCCTCACACTGGGGGCACTTGATGTCAGGGCAGCTCATTTTTGGAGGAGTTAACACAGATCACTTGGTTAAGGTGACATCTACCAGTTTCCTCCATTGCCAGGGTACCTTTTCATTTTCACAAGTCATTAAGTGATCTGTGAGGTGATATTTTAAGACTATGACTATCCTATTTCCTAAGTCTTTTGCCTTCTGATTTTAGCATCCACTCAATTTTTGCTTGCATTGATTACTACCTGGTGGTGAAGGTATTGTTATTTACTATTTTCAGATCAAAAGGGCGAGGCTCAGAAAGGGACCTGAGCAAGGTCTCACATGCCCAGCTGAGCTAGGAGAGGAACCTCATGCTTCCTGCCCTGAGCTTGGCTCTGTGGCCATTCCACTATGACCATGTTTTTATTGGAATCTCCTGGATTGTATCACAGTGTTTTACCTTTTATGAACCTCTGTTCACTGCCTTCCCTCCTGTTTGCATGCAGACACCTTTCTTAGAAATCGCTAGTTTCTATGAATCTCATCAAGTTCTGTCATAGGTTGAGTTCCCTGGAAGGAGAGCCTGATTTGGGGCTTCTTGTGCAAGTGATTCAGAAGCAGCCTGCCAAGGAGTGAGGGATCCAGGATGGGAAAGGGAGGAGGCAAGGCAAAGACGTGGGCTCTGCCTGGTCCCACAGGGAGCTCAGCAGCGTGAATAGCCCCCCAGAGTTGTCTCAACTCAAGGCTAGAAGGCCACTCTTCTCCATCTCACATATGTAGAAAGTACATATCAGTATGTCACTGGCAGTGAGTCTGCTCTCAGGGAGAGGATGTAGCTTCCTGGGCATTTCCAGGAGAAGAGGGGCAGCTGTGAGCTTTCCACAGCCAACACTCGCAGCAGATGGGGCATGGGTGCCTGCCCTAGAGGAGGGGCTCTAGGTGGAGCACCAGTAGCATCCCCTACATGTTCAATGTTCTCACATTAGTTTTTTCCTGAAGGTTGTTCCTGATAAAAGCCAATTTGTCCTGTAATAATATGCTATAAACCTCAAGTGGCTGGCTGAATCAAGGTGTCAGCTTAGTCATTTGCAAAGGCAAGGGATAATTATGGTTGCTGTTTTATAAGGCCCCATGAATCTTATTCACCATCTTCCTGTCTGGGCCCTGCTTTTTAGGCTGAGGTCACTTGTCAGAACAAAGGCTTTTCAGCTCCTTGAAACCACAGAGGAGTCACAGGATGCGCCCTTCTAGGGAAGGAAGATATGTCAACGTGTTTACTTTCAGCACACATGAGCATCACGATTGTCATGTTAGACACTGTCCAATTTGGTCTTGGCAAAATATGGCCAACCTGAGATGGCAGTGATAAAATATTTATTTAGTCGCCAAGAATTCTTTTAGTGGCATGGTACCCATCCCGCGCCCGCAGCCCCTAGCAAAACAAAACCAAACCCCTAATTGATCTGAGTTAATATGCATGTTTTACACTTGGATCTCAGGCAAATGTTCCTTACAGTGTTGTCCTCAGATTGGTCACTGAGAGCTTGTTAGAAATGCAATGTCTCTGGCTCACCCCACACCTGCAGAAGCTGTGAGTCTGAAACCAGGAATCTGTGGCTTAACAAACCCCAGGTGACTTTCACGCAGGCTCTCAAGTTTGACAAATACTGATCCAAAGTAGTGGTTGTAAACTTGGTTGCACGTTGGGATCCCCTGGGGAATTTTTTTTTCTTTTTTTGGAGACGGAGTCTTGCTCTGTTGCCCAGGCTACAGTACAGTGGAAGGATCTCGGCTCACTGCAACCTCCACCTCCCATGTTCAAGGCTGCCTCAGCCTCCTGAGTAGCTGGGACTACAGGTGTGTGCCACCATGCCCAGCTAATTATGGTATTTTTAGCAGAGACAGGGTTTCACCATGTTGACCAGGCTGGTCTTGAACTCCTGACTTCCAGTGATCCAACCGCCTCAGCATCCCAAAGTGTGCTGGGATTACAGGCGTGAGCCACTGCACCTGGCTTTTCTTTTCTTTTCTTTTCTTTTTGAGACAGGGTCTTGCTCTGTTGCCCAGCCTGGAGTGCAGTGGCACGATCTCCACTCACTGCAACCTCCGCCTCCCCAAGTTCAAGCAATTCTCCCGCCCTAGCCTCCTGAGTAGCTGGGACTACAGGCACCCACCACCACTCCTAGCTACTTTTTGTATTTTAGTAGAGACAGGGATTCACCATGTTGGCCAGGCTGATCTTGAACTCCTGGTCTCAGATGATCTGCCTCCCAAAGTGCTGGGATTACAGGCTTTAGCCACCATGCCTGGCTTTTTTAGGTGATTTTTATCAGCAGCCAGGGTTGAGAATCACTTGTCTAAAGCTGGCTCTTTTACCTTCTATGAAAGGAATTTTAACACCAGCTTCACTTTGAAGAGTATGTTTTTTTAACTGCAAATATTCACTTCCCAATACCTGCAGGCCCTGGAATGGCATTTGCAGAAGGAGAAACTATTCTTTTTGGCACAGAGTCTCCTACCTGGAAATTTGTAGCAGAAGTTGAGCAAAGCTTTCACATATTTGAGAAGAAATAAAAAGATAAATCTTGAATGAATGAGTGAGATTCCTTAGGCCTGCAGAAAGTCACGAAGGTGATGGAGAGAAGTTAGGACGGGGGTCTCTGGCCAGTCCACATGCCAACACTGGGTATTATTATTGAGTCTGCACACCCAAAAATGATCGGCATAGGTTGGCTTCTTCTAAATTCAGTCCCACCTCTTAGGAGTAGAGTTGTCCATGTGGAAATATCACACTTCCTTCCTTTAATTTCCTTTTTATAACTCATCATACATTCAGTTTCATTATCCATCCTTCTCAGTGCTAAATACATTATCTAGTTCACACAGTTGAGTTCCTTTGGGTTTAGAGGATTGAAGACCATATGTACCCGAATCTAAACCTGCTTGTTTGGACATGAATGGTCAGGTCTGGTGTCCCTTGGCTGCCCCAGGATAGGGCTTGATGACCTGCTCCTTGAGAGCCAGGTTAAGTGTCAGTTCTGAGTTTGGTAAAGGGTGAGAGAACCCAGAGCGAAGCTGCCTTGGATGGAAATGTCAGCCCCCTCTCTCTGACCAGGGGCTTGACCTTGAGCAAGATCCTGACCTGAGCTAAGACTCCTGGTCCTCTCTGTAAAACCGGGATCATGGTGCCTGTGGTCCAGGGCTGCCAAGAGGAGTAAATGAGAGAATGTAGGTAAAGGGCTTGGCACACAACAGCCGCTACATGGATACAAACTGCCCTGTGCCCCTCACCCCTGTGTCCCTCACCCCTGTGCCCCTCACCCCTGTGTCCCTGACCTGACTTGGTACCCACAACATTGGATAAATACCAGAGCATGTGTAATTTCTAGTTCTGCTGTTTCAAGGCTGTTATCACTCAGGACAGCTCAGTAACTTCTTAGGCCTCGGTCTTCTCATTGGTAAAATGGGAATTAAACACTCACTGACAGAACCAGTATTGGCACCAAAAGGATGTCAATATGGTTTGGTCATTAAGACGTAATTCACATACCATAAAATTCACCCTTTTAATGTGCATGATTCGCGGGTTTTAGTACCTTCACACATTGTGCAATTATCACCACTCTCTAATACCAGAACATTTCCATCACCCTGGAAAGAAACCTGGTACCTGTTTGCAATCGCTCCCCATTCTCTTTTCTCTCCCCCATTCTCTGGAGCCCACTGATCTACTTTGTGTCTCTGTAGATTTGCTTGTTCTGGATATTTCATGTAAATCGAGTCATTCAGTATGTGGCCTTATGTCTGGCTTCTGTCACTGAACAAGATGCTTTCCAAGTATATCCATGTTGCAGCATGCGTCAGTGCCCCATTCCTTTTTATGGCTGAATAATATTCCATTGTAAGAATAGATTACTCTTTTTTTTTTCTTTTTTTGAGACAGGGCCTCACTCCTGTTGTCCAGGCTGGAGTGCAGTGGTGGGATCATGGCTTACTGCAGCCTTAAACTCCCAGGCTAGAGCCATCCTCCCACCTCAGCCTCCTGAGTAGCTGGGACTACAGGTGCGCATGACCACACCTGGCTAATTTTTGCATTTTTAGTAGAAATGGAATTTCGTCAGGTTC
Source organism: Homo sapiens (assembly GCF_000001405.40). NCBI lineage: Eukaryota > Metazoa > Chordata > Mammalia > Primates > Hominidae > Homo > Homo sapiens. The sequence goes on from NC_000020.11 coordinate 19,955,543, forward strand.
CACGGGCTGGCTTCAAACTCCTGGGTTCAAGTGATCTGCCTGCCTCAACCTCCCAAAGTGCTGGGATTATAGGCGTGAGCCACCACACTTGGCCACATTTTGTTCATCCACTCATCAGCTGACAGACATTTGGGTTGTTTCCGCTTGTTAGCTATTATGAGTAATGTCGACATGATTTTACGAATAGCACAGCATCACTCCTCTGTGAGGTTTTATTATAAATAATGTCAGTAATAAAAATGCTTAGATTTGTGAGAAGAAATAAAATCCAATCATTCAGGTACAAAATAAATCTGTGTGAGTGCATTTGCCTTTAGACTGGGGCATGGTTGTGCTTATGAGAAATGCTACTGAGCATTAGGAACTCACGGTTACCATCCATGCTATTTCGCATTTAGGGTTCTGTCCTCAAAGTTAGAAATGTTTTATATTGGCCAGGCAGGGTGGCTTATGCCTGTAATCCCAGCACTTTGGAATGCCGAGGTAGGCGGATCACCTGAGGTCAAGAGTTCAAGACCAGCCTGGCCAACATGGCGACACCCTATCTCTATTAAAAATACAAAAATTTAGCCGGGCATTGTGGTGTGCGCCTATAATCCCAGCTACTCAGGAGACTGAGGCAGGAGAATCACTTGAACCCAGGAGACGGAGGTTGCAGTGAGCCCAGATCGCGCCACTGCACTCCAGCCTGGGCAACAGAATAAGACTCCATCTCAAAAAAAAAAAAAAAAAAAAGAAAAGAAAAAGAAAAAAAGAAATGTTTTATGTCGGAAGACAAAGCCTGAATAAATGGCATTTAGGATGCTTAGAACTTTTGAAAATGGGGTTAGGAATAGAAGGTCAGGTCTGCCCAGTGCAAAGTGTTCTTTTTAATATTAGAGATAGAGGGTAAAATAAAACATTGTGTCTGCCCTCAGAAAGCTTTCAGTCTGGAAGAGAAGATGATTAAGGGGGCGATCACAAGATGGGGTATGTGCGGTGGCAAGCCTGGCCTATGAACTTGTAGGGACGGTCTCCTTGTTAGGGAAATGGTACTGCAGCCAGCTGACCGTGCCGCTTCTCTTTCTCCTAGCATGGTAAGACACAAGGATGGTGGCTATTCCGAGGAAGAGGACGTGAAGACCTGTGCCCGGGACTCAGGCTATGACAGCCTCTCCAACAGGCTCAGCATCTTGGACCGGCTCCTCCACACCCACCCCATATGGCTGCAGCTGAGTCTGAGTGAGGAGGAGGCAGCAGAGGTCCTGCAGGCCCAGCCTCCGGGGGTAAGACTCAGAACCTCGGGAAGCAGGTTGAAGCAGGCAGGACTGCTGCCGGCTTAAAGAAAAACACTTGGAGTTAGTTCCAGAAATTTCTTCCTAGCTTGTAAGGAGCATGTCTCTTGATGTGTAACTGGTTTTCAATGCAGAAATATTCTGTAAACCCAGGAACAGAGCCCTTCACGATGTGTCTTTCTGTCTTTATCTGCTCAGTTACCATGGGAGGTACAAGGATCCAGCAGAGAACTGAGCATCTGGGTAGCGAGTAGGGGCCACTGGCCAGAAGCCTGGGTCTGACCTCTTGAGCCTGGACACTGAGGATGAGCCTGGGTCTGAGATCCTTGGTGGCCTCTGCTACCTTCCTCTCCTTCTGAGCCTGGGAGCCCTGCCAAGGTCCAGCCATCCAACTTGGGACCCAGCCTTCAAAAGTTCTGTGTCCACAGACTTGCCTGCTCTGTAGTCCTCTTTTCCCTGGGCTTTCCACACAGACTAAAGTCTAATATGGTTTCCTCAGCTACTGTCTATCCAAGACCACTGTCCGTCCCATCCAGACCACTCCACGACTTGTGGAAGGTCCTCAAAAAAGTGACTGGAGCCGGGCACGGTGGCTCACGCCTGTAATCCCAGCACTTTGGGAGGCCAAGACGGACAGATCACTTGAGGCCAGGATTTCTAGACCAGCCTGGGCAACACAGTGGCACCCTATCTCTACTAAAATTACAAAAATTAGCCCGGTGTGGTGGCACACGCCTGTAATCCCAGCTACTCAGGAGGCTGAGGCAGGAGAATCACTTGAACACAGGAAGTGGAGGTTGCCATGAGCAGAGATTGTGCCACTGCACTCCAGTCTGGGCGACAGAGCAAGAATCTGTCCCCCCCAAAAAAAAAAAGTGATTGGTATCTCTAGTGCTATCCAATATGGTAGCTTCTTGCCCCATGTGGCTGTTTAAATTTACATGAATTAAAGCAAATAAAATTAGAAATTCAGCTCCTCAGTTACCGTAGCCACATTTTAAGTGCTCTCTGGCCTCGGCTGGCTGCCATATTAGATGGTGCAAAATTTGGAACATTGTCATTGTAGTACAAAGTTATAGTGGACGGCATTTGTGTACAGTGTCTACTTCCAAAGGATAAATACAATAAGTCACAGATAAAATAATACTTAACACGCAACACAAGATAGAAACTAAGAACTAGATGGAGAAGCAAGGAGAAAATCCCATTAGTAGCTAGCTGAGGAATGTCATAAGAATTGGGCACTAAATACCTTTTTGAGTTTCCTAGCAGTCAGAGTCTGTCTGTTCTCACTTTTTAAAAAACATATGAATCTTTCTTTATTCCTCATCAGGCAGAAACAGGTAGAACTAAGACGTCTGCTAGAACATGCTCAGGGGAACAAGGCACGGTGCTTTCTCATCTTTGCAGAGAATCCCTTGGCCATAACACAGAGCTGCTGCCTCTAGTTTTGTTCTATAGGATCAGGATTTCCTCACCTTCTGTGAAGCCTAACTTTCAGCCAGTTGAATTGTCTGCTCTTGCATTTCTGCAAAACATTCCAAAGACAGAAGTTGCTGCAGAGCTAGGCAACAGCCTGCCCAGCTCCCCCTCCCAAGGTAGGGCACGTCCACTCTTGCTGAAACCTGCATGGGAAACAAGCCAGGCATGTTCTCTCCATCCACCTGCCTGATCCCTGCACAGGGCCTGCCTGATGAGATTGGGCAGGTTGAGGGCAGGGCCAGGACAGGAGTAACGTGGACCAGGACAGTCAAGAATAACGAAGGGAGAGGCCAGGCATGGTGGCTCAGGCCTGTAATCCCAGCACTTTGGGAGGCCAAGGCGAGCAGATCACTTGAGATCAGGAGTTCGAGACCAGCCTGGCCAACATGGCGAAACCCCGTCTCTACTAAAAATACACAAGTTAGCCAGCCATGGTGGCACGCACCCATAACCCCAGCTACTCCAGAGGCTGAGGCAGGAGAATTGCTTGAACCCAGGAGGTGGAGGTTGCAGTGAGCTGAGATTGCACCACTGCACTCCAGCCTGAATGACAGACCAAGACTCCATCTAAAAATAAAATAATTAAATAAAATAAAGAAGAGAGAGAAAAGCAGGTGGCTAAAAGTGTGTGAAAAAGGAGGATTTGAGAGACTGGCCATGGTGGCATGAGTGAAGTGGGCTCTTGGGGTGCCCATCCTTAATTATTCTACAATCTAAGATAGAGGTCCACAGACTGTTTCTGTAAAGGGCAAAGTAAACTATTTTTGGCTTTGCAGGCCATAGAGTCTCTGTCACAACTACTCAACTACACTATTGTCATGCAAAAGCAGCCATAGACAATATGTAAATGATCGAGCGTGGCTGTATTTCACTACAACTTTACTCAGAAACAGATGGCAGGATGGATTTCGTCTGCAGGCCAGACTTTGCCAACCCCTGATATAACGTAAGGCTGCAGTCCTCCAAAAAATAAGGCCTAGAGGTTGCACTCCCCAACCCCAAGGCTCAGGGAGATCTCCACTTGGAAAAGGGAGTGTTACTTCCTCTCCTAACAACCAACAGCTGCCTCTCCACAGTGCTTTGGCCTCTTACCCCCCTGGATGCTATTTAGGAAGCATCTGCTTCAGTTTTAGGGTGTCCCAGAGGCACTGACTCCCAGAACCTGCTACTGGATGAGTCCTATGGATGCATCCCCATGGTGCCAGGAGAAAAGAGAACTCACGGTCTTCCAGCTTCATTCTTCACCAGATACCCAAGTCCCATACCCATCTTCCCACCCCCCAAATAAAGTATCTTATGAGATATCAACTGGAGATAAAGAGAGGAGCAAAGATTAGGCAGGGAAAAAATGAAAGGCTATAGAAAGGTAGGGGAGAGAATAGGTAGAGAGTAAGGTGTTTAAATGCAGAGGAAAGAGAAGTAGCTAAAGAAGCATGACAGACAGAATAGGAGAAGGGCCATGCTCCACAGAAGGGAACCAGGACTCAGCTGGGCTGCCACACGCCATACTCCAGGGAGAGTCACTTCATTTGTAGGCTAGGTGAATGGTGCCTCCTGGAGTTGTGCAGTGCACGGCCTACACAACAGTACACAGCATACTTAACTCTGCAGTGATGAGGGACAGAATGGTGTCCTGAGATCAGCACTAGGAATTGAACTGTTTTAAAGCATGTGTCTAAAGACAATATTAGGATCTTGAGGGAACTGGTAGAATGTGAAGTGAGTCAGGAATAAATGGACAGCCTCCATGTCCACCGGGGTGAACTTCAGAGTGCATCCACCCACCACCCAAATGGAACAGCCATTTTTCAGCTCCAGTAGATTGTTGCCTGGTCTTGCTATATCATCTCATTTTCCAAGAGGAGCTAGAAATTCAGATTTCAATTTGAAAACAAAAAACAAAGCAACTTCTGCTTTTTCACTGTTGGCCACAAACTTAAATTTCTATTGTAAATATCCTCATAAGCCAAGTTAACCAATGAAATGCCAATTCCTATGGTTTAGTCATGTTACCTGTGTTTAGAATTTAGGTTTCACCAACCAAGATATATAAGACAGGGGCTACAGAATATAACTCATATAAGACAGGGGCTGGAGACCGTAACTCCAGCAGTAAAACAGTCACTGAACTGAAAATGCTTATGCAGACTAGGGGAGTTCTTAGCCCCATGGAGAAGCTTCTGTCAGAGGGAAAGCAGGATTCTTTTGGAGGCAGTAATGAACAAAGGTGTCTGCAGCCTGTGCTCTGAGCACCCCTTTCTATGGCAGGAGAGTTTCCTGCAGGGAGCCATGCAGTGTGGATATGAAGGGATTCTATTCATTGAGTGTGAGGGAAACCAGATGCTTGGGTTCCAACATTCTAGATATTTCCTAAAGCTTGTATTTCTTTTCCCTCCACTAGATCTTCCTGGTTCATAAATCTACCAAGATGCAGAAGAAAGTCCTCTCCCTCCGCCTGCCCTGTGAATTTGGGGCCCCACTCAAGGAATTTGCCATAAAGGAAAGCACATACAGTAAGTGGTCATTGGATGCTCAGGTCCTGACTGACAGGGCCACGGGGCTCTGCAGGGAGTGGAAATGGAAGGAGCTCTGGTTATGAGATGGGCAGATATGGGCCTGAGTCTTGGCACTGAATGACTAGGCAGATAACCTACTCCAGGAGCCTCAGTTTTCTCATCTGTGTAATGGGATGATGGTAACCTCTGAGATGTTAATGAGTCAAACAACCTGAATATAAAGTGTGCAGCCTACTGCATGGCATATGGTAGGGAACTAATAGAGGTTGACTTCCTCTCCCCCTACCCAGTTAAGTGGAACATGAATTCAGTTCCCAGGTTTGCCAGTGACTAAGTTGCAAGGAGACTGTAGCGAGAGAGCCCTTTCACGCTAATCCTAAATCCTAAAGCATGTGTCTGCACTTCTTCGTGAATAAATAATCCCTGAGCAGACCTGTTCCCTCCAGGCAATCAGTGTTCAGTCTTCTATGAAATGCAGCTAATCAGAGGCAGAATCCAACCTTTTGATGAACATTTTGAAGGGAGAGTGGTGTTCAGAAGTGTTGGTTTTCTTTCTGCTGTTCCACGATTGGTCATTGGAAATGTGAAGTGTCGGGAGGCCAAATTTTAAATAAAAAAGGGAACACCCAGTTCTGATGTACTGCCAGCCTCCAAGAAAGGATCGGAAGATGGATCTGCACATCAAAGGGGGAGGAGTGGGAGGAGCAGGCCAGGAGGAGAGAGCTCAGAAGCAAGACAGAGCCTGGGATTCCCACTTGCTTCCCGATTTCCCAGCACCTCACCTCCTGCATTTGGAGAAGCTGAAGGTGTAGATGAAGGTCAATTTCAGGGCCGAGATGAGATTCTACTCAGCCGGGAGGGCACAATCTTGCTGAGCCAAATGACCATTAACTGAGTTAGGGGAGGGTAAAACCTGCCAGGCTGACTGTGAACCGCCTCCAGCTCAATTGTCAACCTGGATCTTACAAGTCCACAAGGTCATGGATGCCAGGGAAAAACTTCCCCCTGAAAGGCGCACAAGCAGGCGGAACCCAGCCAATAATGTAAATACATTAGGATGCAACCAGAAGGTACATTGCAAACCCACTGCTTGAAAGGTAATAAATTCATATTGAGCTAATAATGTGTTAGGTGAATTGATAATGAATTTATATTAAGTGAATCAATTAAGTAATTCTGAATTGGCTTTTGAAAGTCTGCGAGAGGCTGGGCACCATGGCTCACACCTGTAATCCTAGCACTTTGGGAGGCCAAGGCCAGAGGGTTGCTTGAGCTCAGGAATTTGAGACCAGCCTGGGCAACATGGCAAAACTCCATCTCCACCAAAAAAAAAAAAAAAAATTAGCCAGGCATGATGACACACGCCTGTAGTCCCAGCTACTAAGGAGGCTGAGGTGGGATCACTTAAGTGCAGTGAGCCGTGATCGTGCCACTGCACTCCAGCCTGGGCGACAGAGCCAGACCGTGTCTTAAAAATGAAAAAACAACCCAAAAATATTAAAAAAAAAAAAAGTCCACAAGGCAAGAAGCCACAGATCTAACTGGTTTTCAAATTCCTCCCTAATGTCCAAAGTGGAGCACGATGGATGTGTTGGTCGGAAGCCACTTCCTCTCCTCTTCCAGAAGTGTGGGCAATGTGTGTGGAAGCTTCCTCGTTGTTCATTGAGGTCCTTGTGGCCGAAGGTTTTTCCCCCATAATTTGACAAGGCCTCTAATCACTTCCCTAATCTTCTCCAGGTGACTTCAAGTGGTTAAAAGAGCTTGTTTAAATAAAGCATTAGCCTGGTCATAACTAGTTACCACAGGCCTGGGTCCCACTGCAATGGCCCCTTCTCAGCCAGGGCCTGTTTATCTTCTCTGTGAATTGAGGTGAAGGAAGGACTTGCTATAAAAACATTCAGGGAGGCTGAGGTGGGCGGATCACTTGAGGCTAGGGGTTCGAGACCAGCCTGGGCAACATGGTGAAACCCCGTCTCTACTGAAAACACAAAAATTAGCCAGGTGTGGTGGCGCAAGCCTGTAATCCCATCTGCTCAGGAGGTTGAGGCAGGAGAATCGCTTGAACCCGGGAGGTGGAGGTTGCAGTGATCCGAGATAGTGCCGTTGCACTCTCCAGCCTGGGCGACAGAGTGAGACTTTATCTCAAATAAATAAATATTCAGATATTTTGTCATAACTTACAGACAGTGCAGCTTAATAATAAACAACACCTCATATTTGGAAACAATGCTTTCACATAAATTATTTCATTTTTAAAAAATTTCATCTCCCCCCACCACCCTTCTGGGAGATAAGGAAAGTACTGTTAGGGTCCATTTTCCAGATGAGAAAACCGAGGCTTAGAGAAGCTAACCTGCTCCAAATCAGTTCCCTCCTCCTTAACTCTACAAATTGTGGCACACGTGTGTTTGTTGTTTCTGTGTGTCTGTGTGTGTCTGTGATGGTATATGTGTAGCGGTATGGATGTTTTTTGGGGGTGCTACAGAAATAATAAAATAATACAAAAAAGCGAAGAAGCAGCCGGCGCAGTGGCTCACACCTGTAATCCCAGCACTTTGGGAGGCTGAGGTGGGCGGATCGCCTGAGGTCAGCAGTTCGAGACCAGCCTGACATGGAGAAACCCCGTCTCTACTAAAAATACAAAATTAGCCAGGCTTGGTGGTACATGCCTGTAATCCCAGCTACTTGGGAGGCTTAGACAGGAGAATCGCTTGAACCCGGGAGATGGAGGTTGCAGTGAGCTGAGATTGCACCATTGCACTCCAACCTGGGCAACAACAGCGAAACTCTGTCTCCAAAAAAAAAAAAAAAGGCAAATAAGCAAAATAAATGAGGGTATGAGTGAGAAGAAACACATCGGATTGAGGAAATCTTCATAAAACAGGATATTTCAAATGTTTAGAGGAATATCAGTGTGAGTTGCTCAGCTGAGGTGGTGTGAGGGCTGGCTGGCAAATTCATGAGTATTTGAAGTCAGACTACTTGCTGCTCCAGCATTTGGAAGATGTGCAGAATGCCACACCATCTTGCCAGTATGTGTCTTTTTTTTTTTTTTTTTTTTTTTTTTGAGACAGAGTCTTTCTCTGTCACCCAGGCTAGAGTGCAGTGGCTCTATCTTGGCTCACTGCAACGTCCACCTCCCAGGTTCAAATGATTCTCCTCCCTCAGCCTCCCAAATAGCTGGGATTACAGGTGCATGTCACCACATCCAGCTAATTTTTGTATTTTCAGTAGAGACAGGGTTTTGCCATGTTGGCCAGGCTGGTGTCAAACTCCTGACCTCAGGTAATCCACCCACCTTGGCCTCACAAAGTGCTGGGATTACGGGCGTGAGCCACCATGGCCGGCTCAGAACATGTCTTCTGTGTTAGAAAATGTGAACACTGGAGCAGGGGTGGAGGGGGGAACAACACTCCAAGTAAATGGGTTTTAGAATCTTTGTTTTAAAAAAAAGTGAGAGAGAGAGAAAAAAAAAAAGAGAGATGTAGTCTCGCTATAATGCCCAGACTGGTCTCAAACTCCTGGGCTCAAGAGATCTCCCTCCTCGGCCTCCCAAAGTGCTGGGATTACATGCATGAGGCACCATGCCCGGCCAGTTTTGGAATCTTTCATGTTGAATTTAACCAAAAGCTGATTTCAGGGAACTTGTTATATCCTCCCAGCTCTACATTCCTTCTCCCGTGTGCTTTTATCACAGGTGCTCTGTTATGGCAAAAAGGAGTGGCCAGGGAAGTGTGTGTCCTAGGAGGGTCAAGGGATCGAGGGGAGTAGGGGTCTTGGTGTTCCCCAAGCCCTGTCCTGTGCTGATACAATCCAGACAGACTGGCCCCTTGTCCCCTGCCCTTTGTGTTCTGAAGTTAAAAAAAAAGACAGTTGTGCAACTCGAGTCTGTCCTGGTCTGTTTACCAAGCACTGGAGCATGTGCTCGGCATGAGTCAAGCGATGAACTTCCAGATCATCGACTGTTTACCGGTGGCTGCTGGCTGACATGCCTCCTCTGCACAGCTGGTTCTGATAAGCCACACGGTAGTTTGTTTGAGAGTACTCAGATGGTCCCACACACATGGTGTTAGGGGCTCTTCCTGTCCCAGAACGTGCTCAGGGAGAATCAGCTGGTTTCTGAAATCTCTTTTCCAGCCTTTTCCCTGGAAGGCTCAGGAATCAGTTTCGCAGATTTATTCCGGCTCATTGCTTTCTACTGCATCAGCAGGTAAGGCCTCTTCCTCTCATATGGTTTCAAGGCCCTGTTTGGTGTGTGGGATATAATTAACCTGAGGTTTCTTGAAGGATCTAGGAGGCTGGCCACCTATTTGATGTTGGCAGATTAAGACTGGTTACTTAAGTAAAATGTTCACCAAGTGAACAGGTTCACCAAGTTCACACCATGCCAGGCTTAAGGTCAAAACGACTATCCCAACCCCTCCAAACATAAATTATCCTTCATATGATTATTTCTTCAAGCTGCTCCCAAGGCTCCTTTCAGCCAGGCCCATCAAGCAGGAAACACACACACACGCACATATGTGCACACATGCACACACAGACACACATGCACACACATACATGCGCACACACACCTACACACAGAAAGGGAATGTGCATGCAAACCTGTGACTTTGAAAGCTTCATGATAATGCCTCTGAAAACTCTGTAAGGGATGGAGTTCATTCTACAAATGTGGGTTCCTTAAACCAGCCCATCAGTCTTGTCCTTCAGGCCAACTGGGTGCTCATGTCCTTTTCATAACCAAAGCAACTATTTTGTTCTATACAATGTTAAGTCCAAAATCAGTTTTTTGTTTTTTGTTTTCTTTTTGAGATGAAGTCTCACTCTGTCACCCAGGCTGGAGAGCAGTGGCGTGATCTTGGCTCACTACAACCTCTGCCTCCTGGGATCAAGCAATTCTCCCGACTCAGCCTCCTGAGTAGCTGAGATTACAGGCGCCTACCACTATGCCTGGCTAATTTTTGTATTTTTAGTAGAGACGGGTTTTCACCATGTTGACCAGGCTGGTCTTGAACTCCTAACCTCAGATGATTCACCCACCTCGGCCTCCCAAAGTGCTGGGATCACAGGTGTGAGCCACCACGCCCCGCCCAGAATCAGAATATTAACCAGAGTCAACAGGGTGTGCATTGTGAAAGGCTTTCTTTCTTTCTTTTTTTCCATTTTTTTCTTACTAGCAATAACAGTTTTTTCACATCAAGTGTTTTTTCAGTAATTAAGAATCAAAATTCTTGTTATCTGCAGGGATTGGCATTGCCTCCTCTTATGGGGCTGAGCTCAATTTGGCTTCCTTTTCTTCTCTGTCCATGGCAGCTGATATGGCAGAGACAGGAAAATGTGTTACTAGGATGTTTTCAGACATCACTTCTCACAGCTAACACACGTATAGGCTGGGGAGTTTATTTGAGTTTGGCTCGGTTTATTTTAATTTAAGGATTAGGTTGTTTCTCAAAGACTAAATGCCTGTTGACTAGACTCTGCCAGAGGGCAGGAGGCACTACGCACTTTTTTTTTTTTTTGAGATGGAGTTTCACTTTTGTTGCCCAAGCTGGGGTGCAATGGCGTGATCTCGGCTCACTGCAACCTCCACCTCCTTGGGTTCAAGCAATTCTCCTGCCTCAGCCTCCTGAGTAGCTGGGATTACAGGCATGCACCACCATGCCCAGCTAATTTTTGTATTTTTAGTAGAGATGGGGTTTTACCACGTTGGCCAGGCTGGTCTCAAACTCCTGACCTCAGGCAATCCGCCCGCCTCCGCCTCCCAAAGTGCTGGGATTACAGGTGTGAGCACCATGCCCGGCCAGGAGCCACTAAGCCGTTCACCCTCTGAAGTCTCCAGGTCAGCTGAAGCCACACAATAAATGGCCTCAGGAAGGGGAGGCACTTCCAGAGGAGGAATTCAGCGCTGCTCACCAGCAGGAAGAAAATGAGGGCTTCACTGAGAATGGGACTAGTACCTGGGGGCACCTCCCAAGAGGATGCAACCTGCCTGCCATGATTTGGGCAGGATCTCTTAAGCCTGTGTAAGGAAATGAAATGTGCTGCCCAAAGAGAGGAGGCTGGTGCAGAAGCACAGCCCCCAACAGACACACACACACACACACACACATATATACACACTCATCCCCAGGGAACCACACCTGGTATGGCCTAAAGCCAACCAGGTTGGAGGAGTAAGTCTCAATGCTAACACGTTGGCCAGGGGTGAAGCCAGCTGATATTTACTTTTCACAGTTTGCTTTTTGGTAATTGTGGAGTTGCTGGGAAAAATCATTACACCTACAAAGCAATATTTGGCAGTAGCATAGAAAAGTTACCATCAGTGTTCATGGTAGACTGGAGTACCTGCTGTCCAGGACTGTTTGAAGATGCAAGGAGATAAAGTATATGAAAGCCTTATAAACTATAACACATGATACCAATATATAAGGTACTTACAGGAAAACTCCAAAATTGATGTTTTGCAGGTAGGAAGGCCAAGATTAATTTCCCTGTCTGTTCCAAAATGCAAAGATATTTGATGTTTTTGTTTCTCTTTCTATGCTACTCATCTATGTTCTTGGCAATTGGTAGTTGATTTACTCAGTCTTACAAGAATATTTGTGACATTTTTTAGTTGGTTGTTAGTATATAAATATATTCAAGTAAAGAAAGTGATTGGATTATTGGTTCTGGTGTTTCACACAGCATGCATATGCAAATATGCATTGCACAAGAGAATTCACGAATCAATAAACATAGGATTTGCCATAGTGGGAAGGCTCGCTGAAAAGTGTCATTGAGAATACAAATAGTGACTGCACACCTTCACCCCCAATGCCTGGCAACGCTCTGTTGATTTGGTGTTATCAGTGTAGTAGTGAGAGTACTAGAGTCATTTGGAGTCTTGCTAAATGCAGAATCCGGTACAGTGGGTCTGGGGTGGTACCTGAGGTTTTGCATTTTCAGCAAGCTCCCATGGGTTAAGGCTAATGCTGCTTGTCCTCAGACCGGAATAGAGGAATAGAGGAAATAATAATTTTAGGGGTCTTCTATATCTGTACTAAGCACCATACATACATATTTCTAATCCTTATGGCAACCCTATAAATTAGGATGATGAAAACACTGAGACAGAAAAAGTGAAGCATGTGCCCACAATCATTCAATCAGTAAATGACAGTTACGGGAGTTGAACTCAGGCCTGCCTTAATGCCAAAGCCCGTATTTTCCCACCATACTATTCAGCTGCTGAGACCTTAGGGTCCAACACATCCAGGTTTTGACCCTCACTTCACCTCCATTAGCTCTGCGAAGGTGTGCTAGGGACCTCACTTGTCTGTGTCGTCATCTGCTCCTGATCCACAGAATGGGGGCATCACGGCTTCCTCCCAGGGCTGTTCCAGGCCCCACACGAGTTACGGTGCCTGCTGTAATTTAATAGTAGTTGCCCGATGATCTTTGTCCCCTCCCCTTTAGAAATCTACGTATAGAGCAAAGTTAAACAAAATAAATCTAGACTGTACATGTTTTAACTCTTGGGTGAAACATTTATATCTAAGATGATGGCTTTTGTTTTTCTGTTATGCAAGCTTTAGAATTGAGGCCCCTTTCTTTAATAGGATGTAAGTGAGAAGGCGTCCCTGTGTGAGTGTGTGTGCGTGTGCATGCATGTGCATGTGTGTGTGCATGTGTGTGTGAAGATGCTGGGATGCACCCTGGCTGGCACAGTGGGAGACGATGCATATACAACATCTAATTTTCTAGTAGATCAAAGCCTGAAACCATCCATTAACCAAGGACAGGTGTGGCTTCCTGTCATATATCATTAAGAAAACCCCAAACCAGTCATGTGACGTTTAAGCTCCAGGTACTGCATTGAGCAAGGTAAAAGCTTAATATAAACACAGGTTGGTTTTGTGGTATGCAGCTTTCCCCCAAAATTGTCTGAGGAAAGTAGATTTTAATTAAGTTGGTCCGGCCACACAAACATATATTTACAGTCTAGTTTGGTGTTACAAGGTTGTGGTTCCCATTAATCTTCACTTGAGATTAGCATCAGGGTTGCCGCCCTGCCAGGTCAGGCAGCAGCTATTACAGACACAGCCATCCCCTGCAGTGCTGCCTGCTTCATCTCAAACAGACACAAGTGGCCAAGCAAAGGGGGTGCTCACAACATTTGAGGACAAGTGAAAGGTCTCATGGAAGGAAGAGGTGATATGGGCCTGACCCCCAAGAACAGCAGCCTCCTGGCTTTACATTAGCAGAGTACTACGGTGTCAAAACATTCTTGCTTTTTTCTTCTTTTCATTGACTTACTAATTTGTTATTCATTGTTAACAGCTTCCATGGCTCCAAAATTCTCCAGTCATCCAGATTTAATCTGGTTTATCCAAGAATGTTGCCTAATTTTACCGTAAACAATAGGTTGTTTGGTATCATTATTCTCGTCAGTGGAAATTCTCAGCACGTCTCATGATGACAAAGTCCAGGCAGGACTCCAAGTTTTGTTCCTTACTAGCACCTTCCAGCCGCAGTGGTCTCCTTGCTGTTCTTCATCCATGCCAGACCCTCCCCACCCCAGGGCCTTTGCACCTGCTGCTCACTCTGCCTGGAAGGTCCTTCCCCTCATGATTTAACCCCTGGCCACCATTAGATCTTCAGTCAAATGCTGCCTGCTCACGAAGACTTGTCTGCCCACCTTCACACTCAAACACTCTTTATTCTCCTTTCCTGCTTCACTTTTATCCATGTCATGGATCTCCTTCTCATAGATTCTGTAAATTGTGTATTTGTTTATTGTCTATCGGTATCCCCTGACATGGAGCTCCATGCAGGCAGGAACTTCCGTCTGTTTCGTTCCCAGCCCCTGATGCAATGTCTGGCACATTGCAGATGATCATAAACATCTGTGGAACAAATGAATGAATAATTATTTCTTTGTAAGACTATTACCACCACTGGAAAAAAACAAACAAACAAACAAACCCTCCTTTTTGATTAAGTCACCATATTTATTGAATATTCATTCATTCATTCAAGTACTTCCTGCCTGTCTGTGTCAGGACAGTGTTGTGCTTTGCCCTGTGGGGAATTCACCAGTGCTTAGAGCATGGTCCTAACCTTTGTGAATGAACATGAGCAAATGTTTAAGTCTGCCTTTGCCATTTCCAAGAAAGCAAGTCATGGCCCATGGCTGTGGCAGGTCCCTGATGCTGGCTGGGCTCTCTCCTGTTGGGTCTGTTGCTCTCTCTGCCATGTGTGTTTGTCCATCTGCACGTGGCACCATGCTGCTTGGGTGCTGGGGTTATTGGCATGAGGGGTCTTAGACTTGCTTTCCTATTCAAAGCCTGGTCCAGGGTCCAGCAGCATCAGCATCCTCTAAGAGCTTGGCAGAAATGCCGAATCTCCAGTCCCTCCCAGACCTCTGGAATCAGAGTGTGCAGTATAACAAGACCCTGGGTATCTATCTGTACATTAGAGAAGCTCTGCCTTCAAACACAGGAGAACGTTTTGTCTCCAGCACACCAAGGCCAATGTGTGGGCTGTAATGGGAAGATTTCATAAGTAAAGCCAACAGATATTCATTGAGAGCCTGCAGTGTGCAAGGCAATGGGCTAATTCATCTCGGTTTAGGATTCCACATTCCTGCCCAGGCAGTTTCGGCCCAACATTCACATAGGCATGCAGTGAATTAGTACATAATGTTTTATATGCATGCTAGATCTACCAACAAGTCAGCAATTCTGATGTAAACTCTACATACGTTTTAGCTACTCAGCAGGGCAATTGGGTCCCTACTTTGATACTGAAACTATGCTGGTTTTTCTCTCAGCCTGTCCTGAGTGTGTGATAATACAGACAGGAATTTTAAGTGTTAAGTTTTACCACCAGGAAAGATAACTTTGTCGATATGGTATGGTGTCTACTTAGGACATTTTAAACAGTTTAAGCTAAAACATCTCTATGATGAAAATAAACACAAGATAGAAAGCAGACATGTAATTACAAACATTCTCTCTTTTTCTGAACAATCAGGGATGTTCTACCATTTACCTTGAAGTTGCCTTATGCCATTTCAACAGCCAAGTCGGAGGCTCAGCTTGAAGAACTGGCCCAGATGGGACTAAGTAAGTGTGTGCCCCCTGCCTGAGTCTATCTAAAAATGAATCCATGGAGCAGAGTCAATGGTGGGCTCACTGAGGCTACATTGCTCCGTCAATCTCTCCAGCTTCTCCATCAGTGAGTTTGGGCTATCCAAAATGTTGACGTCCTCTTGTAAACATCTGTAACGTGTTGATGTCTTCCCTTTCTGAGGCATCTTCCTGGGGAGAGGCAGCACTTGACAGAAAGAGAAATCCAGTGTAGTGCATCTCGCGTGCATGATTTTTTTTTTTTGAGGGGCACACGGGCATTGACGGCACTTCTGTGCTTTGAGGAATTTGACAGCACAGACATCTAGAGTAACGTCTGTTCCACTTCCTCTCTTGTCGTTCAATTGTTGTCCTGCTGTTCTGGTCCATGTCCTAACCCTGCCGGGGATCCTTGGTCTGGCAGCTGGGTACTTGCTTCCCCGTCCTGTCCCTTTGCCGATGTCCCCTAAGTCCCCACAATTCTGCCGGACAATGGTTGACAATGGATCAAGACATACAACTCACCCACTTTAACGTCTTTTCCCCATTGCCTTGGGGGAATCTGTGTGGGTTTAGCTTTTGCAAAAAATGTTCCTCCTAGATCAAAAGAGGAAATTCTCTTAAGATTTTAGGACTTCACTCACTGTGATACTTGACCCAGCAAATAAAAGATGTATGTATTCCTCCTCTGGCATATTTTTCTCTTAATTTAAAGAACTTGTTTTGAAGCAAGCGCCATTTCCAAGGAAGCTTCAGCGAGGAGCCTGGGCATAGCTTTGAATTCCCTTCTGCTGAAACTGCAATTTTTTTTTTTTTTTTTTTTTTTTGAGAGGGAGTCTCGCTCTGTCACCCAGGCTGGAGTGCAGTGTTGAGATCTCAGCTCTCTGCAGCTTCTGCCTCCCAGGTTCAAGCGATCCTCCCACCTTAGCCTCCCGAGTAGCTGGGGTCACAGGCACTTGCCACCACGCCCAGATAATGTTTGTATTTTCAGTAGCGACGGCGTTTCACCACGTTGGCCAAGCTGGTCTCGAAATCCTGACTTTTGGTGATCCACCCGCTTTGGTATCCCAAAGTGCTGGGATTACAGGCGTGCGCCACTGTGCTCGGCCATGAAACTTAGATTGTATCTGTAGAAGGATTGCCTTCTGTGTTTGAGGCCTGTCTGATGGCAAGACTGGGTAATGGGATTTGGAAAGAGAATACTGGTAAAACTCTCGGGCCATAGAAACGTCCCTATTTAAAAGTTGCACCTTCTCTTGCAACTAAGTTCTGCATACCTTTGGAGAGAGATTAAAATACTTGCTGAAGTTAAGTCAATATTGTCAACTAGATTCTAGGCCTCTTGAAGATGTGCACCGGGTCTCAGTTCTCTCTCCCGACCTCTGTCCACATAGCTCCAGTCTGATGGTCCACAGGCTTAGTGAGTGCATAGTGCTGAGTCTGAAGGACTAAAGTGTCAAGGACAATGCTTGTGCCATGCCGAGAGAGGTGAAAAGAGTTTGCTCCAGTGGCTACTAACCAGAAGCGACTGAGGGCTAATTAACATATATTCGACTTGTGATTCTCGATGTGCATATTATCCATTTTGCGTAGAGATAGAATATTTTAAAATTCTGTGCCTCAGTAAAAGTACTGTTCATCAAACTAATATTCCTCGAGGGTCTGCTTTGTGGCAGACACTGTGCCCCAGACCAAGGACTCAAGGGTTAATAAGATCCCCTCTCACTCCCTGTGCCTGTACCTACTGCCAATGAGATTTGTAGTTTATATGGGAGATAGATATACACGTGAACTAAATATACAAAGCCTTACAAAAGATTTACAGCTGTGACAGTATAAGTCTAAGGAGGACTCAAAGGAGGTGGAAGTAATTTCTCCAAGACCTGCTGTCCTGGGTAATAGAAACATAAGGCTAATCTGTGTGTAATTTGAAACTGTCTAGTAGCCACACAGGTTAAATTGATTTTAATAATTTATTTTGTTGTATTTAATATATCCAAAACATTATAATTTCTACATGCAGCCAATATAAAAAATTTTAAGGTATGAAATGTTTTACATTCTTTTTTTCATATCATGTATTCGAAACCCAATGAGTTATTTTATACTTACAGCATATCTCAAACTCAGGCCCTGAATGTTTGTCAGAAATACATGGTTTGTATTTAGATTTCATTAAATTCACAGTTAAAAAGGTAGATTCTCATAACCAAGTTCCAAAGATACTTAAACGTTTTCCAGTAACTGAACTGAACATGAGTTCTAAAATTTAAATTGATTGACACTGAATGAGATTTGATATTGACTTCCTCGGTTGTACTAGCCAACTTCAAGTGCTCAATAGCCACCTGTGGCTGTTGGCTTTCTTGTTGGACAGTGCGGGAGTCGGGAGAGAGAAGGAGGGATACAGGATAGATTACATAAGGCAGGTGACACGGCTGTCACCACACAGACAAGGGAGAGCCAGGACTCCCAAAGGGCTTCATCTCAGTCCTCCCATGGCCAGCCATTCTGGGCCCATGGGAAAGAAAGACACTGCAAAGCATAGCTAGAGATAGAGAATAACCCATTCCAGGCCAGGCACAGTGGCTCACTCCTGTAATCCCAGCACTTTGGGAGGCCAAGGCAGGTGGATCACCTGAGTTCAGGAGTTGGAGACCAGCCTGGTAAACATGGTGAAACCCCGTCTCTCCTAAAAATACCAAAATTAGCCAGGCGTGGTGGTGTGCGCCTGTAGTCCCAGCTACTCGGGAGGCTGAGGAAGGAGAATCACTTGAACCTGGGAGGTGGTGGTTGCAGTGAGCCAAGATCGTGCCACTGCACTCCAGCCTGGGCGACAGAGCAAGACTCCGTCTCAAGGGAAAAAAAAAAAAGAATAACCTATCCCAAATGGAAATTATAACAGGCACCACTGATCACAGCACTACCTCCCTCAACTTACATGGAACACTGAGACTCATCTGCAAGAGGAGACACAGGCAGTACAGATCAATAAGCAATCTGCACTACTTCGCAGAGCATTGCATATTTATGAGCATGGTGAGGAGGTTATATAGGATTTGGGAAGGAGGGACTCCAAACCACAAAGGTAAATGGTTGGGCCTGCACTGCACATTAAGCTTGCTGTGGTTTTTCTGCTGATGGGACCCATGAATGTAGTTTTCCTCCTTTGGTGGTTTTAATGCTGAATGTGTAAAACCCTAGGCAGATTGTGTAACATCCCCCAGGCCCAGCTGCTGGTCCTGCCCATTAAAGGGGAACTTCAAGGCCCGATTCCTTGGCTGGCAGCTGCACTGTGGAGGGCATCCCAGGAGAAGTTGTTGGGAAAGGGTGGTGTTGCTTTGTAAGTCGGTTCAGTTTTTGTAAAGCAAGTCAGGAAGCCCCAGTGACCTTTTTTGAGCTTATACTGGAGCAATTCCAGTTCCTTTTTTTCTTCCAACTTACCTGTGAAAAGGCAGGGCTGGAATCCTATGTTGGCCAAGCCATTTCTCCAGGGCTTTGAAGGTGACAGACCCCTGGAGCCTTCCTGTGAGCCCACAGCTGGGCCTGGCAGCCTTTCTGCCCTTTCCAGTAAAGGAATGCAGTAAACCTGAGTACAACGCACCCCCTACCCCACCCCGCAAGACTCGCGTTGTCATGCAGTGTGCTTTTTTTAATTTGTGAAGGAATGGTCTGAGTGTACCGTATTTACATTCTTGTGTTCACTGATAATGACTTTCAGATTTCTGGAGCTCCCCAGCTGACAGCAAACCCCCGAACCTTCCACCTCCCCATAGGCCTCTTTCCTCCGACGGTGTCTGTCCTGCCTCCCTGCGTCAGCTCTGCCTTATAAATGGAGTGCATTCTATCAAAACCAGGACGCCTTCAGAGCTGGAGTGCAGCCAGACCAACGGGGCCCTGTGCTTTATTAATCCCCTTTTCTTGAAAGTGCACAGCCAGGACCTCAGTGGAGGCCTGAAACGGCCGAGCACAAGGACTCCCAACGCGAATGGCACGGAGCGGACTCGGTCCCCCCCACCCAGGCCCCCGCCACCCGCTATTAATAGTCTCCACACAAGCCCTCGGCTGGCCAGGACTGAAACCCAGACGAGCATGCCAGAAACAGTCAACCATAACAAACATGGGAACGTAGCTCTGCCTGGAACGAAACCAACTCCCATCCCTCCACCCCGGCTGAAGAAGCAGGCTTCTTTTCTGGAAGCAGAGGGCGGTGCAAAGACCTTGAGCGGCGGCCGGCCGGGCGCAGGCCCGGAGCTGGAGCTGGGCACAGCTGGCAGCCCAGGTGGGGCCCCGCCTGAGGCCGCCCCGGGGGATTGCACAAGGGCCCCGCCGCCCAGCTCTGAATCACGGCCCCCGTGCCATGGAGGCCGGCAGCGGCTGAGCGACATGAGCATTTCTACTTCCTCCTCCGACTCGCTGGAGTTCGACCGGAGCATGCCTCTGTTTGGCTACGAGGCGGACACCAACAGCAGCCTGGAGGACTACGAGGGGGAAAGTGACCAAGAGACCATGGCGCCCCCCATCAAGTCCAAAAAGAAAAGGAGCAGCTCCTTCGTGCTGCCCAAGCTCGTCAAGTCCCAGCTGCAGAAGGTGAGCGGGGTGTTCAGCTCCTTCATGACCCCGGAGAAGCGGATGGTCCGCAGGATCGCCGAGCTTTCCCGGGACAAATGCACCTACTTCGGGTGCTTAGTGCAGGACTACGTGAGCTTCCTGCAGGAGAACAAGGAGTGCCACGTGTCCAGCACCGACATGCTGCAGACCATCCGGCAGTTCATGACCCAGGTCAAGAACTATTTGTCTCAGAGCTCGGAGCTGGACCCCCCCATCGAGTCGCTGATCCCTGAAGACCAAATAGGTAAGTACCCTCTTTTTTAAAATATAAAATCTATTGTAACTCTGTCCGGGCAGTGCAACCTATGTTTGTTATTTTTTATGAAGTTTACTCCGAAGTTCAAAACAACACCCAGCTCCACCTTCTCTCCCGGTTTGAATGGAAAAATCAGTTTCTCAAAGTAGCTGCTGACTGCCAGACTCAAAAATGTCTTCGGGAGTGACAGATTGGAGCTGCACAGTGATTCTGTTCAGGGATGGAGTTTGGTCCTCTGTGGGTCCAGCTGCCGCCTGCTGTGGTAACGTGTGTGTGTTACATGTGCCGGGTGTTTCTGGACGCGTGCTTCTCTGCAGGCTGTGCATACATACAAAGGTAGTTTTGTTATCTTCTGAGAGGCAGTGGGTATTTTGTTCTGTCTTGGTTGCAAGTAAACTTTTTATTGAGGTGTAGCATATGTTCAGAGAGCACAAAACTCACGTATGCATTGGAATGAGTTTCCACCGCAAGCTTACCTGTGGGACAACTACCAACCCCTGGATAAGCAGAACCTGACCAGCATCTAGGGACCCCGGGCCCCCTGTTCTCCCTCAAGGTTACCATCCTGCTGGCTCCTCATCCCATACACTTCTGTAAGCAGCACGGCTTGGGAGTAAGCAAAAACTGAAAAAGACAAGTTTGTTTTGTGTAACTTTAAAATAAGTAACATAGTTTGGAGGTCACATGAAAGGTGTTTTCTCCAACTTCAAGGGGAAATTCTTTCTTTATAATCTCATTTAAAGGATGAGTTGCTAATGGTTACTTTGGCCAAGGCAAATTTGAATTTGGCAAGCAGTCTTTTCTTCCAGGGTGAGAATGTTGAAGGTTCTTTGTTTGTTTGTTTGTTGTTTTTAATTTTAGAAGGTTGACTCTTGAAGGTTAATTTCAGAGACTTTATTCACCAGGCAGCAGGAGCCTTTGGAGCTACCAAACATTTCCAGGCGGTTCAGAAGCTACACCCCAATTTTTTCTTTCTGATTGGGTCCATTTGTTGAAAGTAGTAAACAGTGTGTGATAGAGGGCTCTTTCTCTTTCTCTGTCTCTCTCTCTCTCTCCTCTCTTTTTTCTCGTTTAAGTGATTTTCAGCAGCTCTTTGATTTTCTCACAAAGGAATCAAAGCCTTGTTTGTTTTCTTGTGGTTTGACTGAGGCCAGGCCTGGTTGATCAGGGCGTGGTTAAAGCTGGGGTGTTGCTGGAGTGAGTGGCTAAAGGAATGTGCCCTTGTGAGGTGCCTTCTAATTGAAAAAGACATCAAGGAGACAGCAGAATATCCACACAGGCTGCCTTTTTCCCCATCCCACCAGAGACCCGCTCTCAAGGGAGACCATATCTGACTCAGTATTAACAGAAACCCAACCTGCAGGAGAAGCTTCCTCTTAGGGGCTGGGGTCAGAGGGGGGTGCAGCCAGGCAGGGGCTGATGTCAGGCCTGAGCTATGTGGCCAGCGGCGCCAACCAGCCCACAGTGCCTGGCCTTCCCTCCCTGCTGATGCTGTAAGAACCAACCCAAGTTAGTCCCGGGAAGCTCTTCAGCCAGCTCCTTTTGTAGTTAAATTCGGATGTGGTACTTGCTCTTAGAACTCAAGGACTCACTCATTTTCTCCAAAAAACATGCTAAAATTATGTATTTCACTACTCTAGAAGGATGCAGCCTTTAATTTAAAATGATTTATGGAGCTTCGAGTATAAGCCCGGCAGCCTGTCCAAGCTATTCCAGTGGGTCCTCACCTCACCCCTGTGAACAGGCATCGTCATCCCTTAAGGATTGGAGGAAGGCAAGGAGGGCTCTGCCAGGCCATGCCATTTGTCTGACAGCCACACTCTCTAGTAAACTAGCAGGTGCGGTATTTGAACTTCCATTGGATCAGAAGCCCACGTTTGCTGAGCTCACTGTTCTGCTGCTGCTGCTTGTGTTTCTATTTTCTCATCAGTAGTTCAGGGGAATTGTAACTGCAGGGACAACCCTGTGTTGAGGCAGCTCAGACTAAAGCTCTCTGTTGAGTTATGGATATGGCCTCCACAAGCATTGCCATGCTTTTTCTGTGGGTTTGTTTGGTTTGGTTTTTTTAAACTTTTGCACTAAAAGCAGTCAGTTCCTCCTGTTTCTTCACCAGTGAAACAGCATTCTGTTTTGAAAGTATAGTGACAGTGCTAGGCTTTTGAAATAAAGAAGGTGAGTGGGAGCAGAGGTCAACCTGAGAAACTCATCACAAGTCCAGGTGGAAGGAAAGATGCGACCCTAACTATTAGAAAGCCAGTCCCCATAGAGGTGCACTTTATTAGATTAGGCCTCTGACCAGAACATGGACTTAGCCAGCCCACTTGTCTATGTGGGCTTAAAAACTGGTCTATGTCTGCTTTAAAAAAAAAAATCTAGTTCTATCCTCATTTCCTATAGCTTCTGAAGAAGATAGCTCTGAACTAGAAGACAGAATTCTAATTTAAAGCCTAGATTTATGGAACAACTTGAAGTCAAGAAGGTAGGAGGAGATAATACACTGGTTTAATCCATGTATGTTAGAGCAGTCATTCTTAGGTGAAAATGACCCTGTGAATGCATGCACATGTATCCCTTTAGTATATGGAGATACTACTCATCTGTCTTCTTCAGAGGGTGGTTCTTCAGTTACATAGAGAAAAGCTAATGAGAAAAACAAATAGTTCTCAGTCACTTTCCTTTTGCCCATGTGCTGGTGTCACTATCCTTTCTAGCACTTTCTAGACAAGTGCAAATGATAAACAGTGAATCAATCTCAAAACCGAAAAACTGCCCCTGTAAATGATTATGTTCTCTCATGGAGAATTTGCATTCTATTTAGACTACCCTTTGGAGCACTTCCAACCAAAAGCCCTGCTATGCAGAGGTTCCTGAATACATGTTCATTGCCTGGCACCAGCTTGGCTCTCCTGGTTGGAGAGACACGGGCTCGTTCCTGTGTGTGCCAGCTCTCTATTCATTCCAGGCCACATACTGGGCTTCCCTCCCAGAGAGCCATCACCTACTCTCACCCTTCCAGAGTGGTACATGGAAGAACAGACAAATGCTTTAATAAGAAGTGTGCAGTTTGGGGGCCCTACTTAAAGTATTGGGATCAACCTCTTCACGGACAGTGTGCTGCGCTCATTACTGATGACCCATGCTATAGGATGTAGATGGGGTGAAATCACTTCCTGCTTCAACACACGTTCCTCACTGGTGGGTGTTCACATCCCACCACTCTTGCTTTAGTCTTTTTCAACCCATGGGGGATATCCAACCAAAGTTTCTGGTAGAGAAATCTTCATTTTGCAGAACTTGTTGCAATGGTGTGGTTAGTGTTTTCATTTTAGTAAAATGATGTTTATTTCTGACTTGATGTCAGTCTTGGGAAATCCCTCTGTTTTCAAGGCTTGTTTCAAGAAAAACAAAATTTGTCCAAATCCAAACATGTTAGTAATCTTAAATTTTCTATTTCATTCAGATACTCTCCACAGACTATCAGCAGTGATACAAAAGAGCCAACTATTCATATTCCTAGAAGTCAGTAGCAGAAAAGAGACAGTACTGTGCTTATTTAAGTGCTACAAACCAAAATGTATGTTTTCTCCAAAGAGCAATTTAACAATTTGAAGAAAAAGTACCCTTAAAGTCAATTTCCACATATTTCAAAGGTCACTTCGATTTACGTATCTGAGTGTTTTTTGTTTGTTAATAGAGAAATGATACGGAAAATGTGGTTAGACACCGGAGAGTATAGCGCATATAGAAAAGGTGATTGAAATGATTCCCGGGGAGTTAAACAATCACAACTACTCTGGTTCAGATCTGGGTTTTTTTTGTTTTTGTTTTTGTTTTCAAATGAGTATTTAAGCTGGCTCTAGCTTCAATATCTAGTGTGACTTGTTTTTAATTTTTCAGGTCACAGTTTGGTTCAAGCCCCTGAGTTATCTGGGTTATTTTTTAAGATAAAGAGCTATTCTGGGGCCAGGTGCAGTGGCTCACACCTGTAATCTCAGCACTTAAGGAGGCCGAGGTGGGTGGATCACCTGAGGTCAGGAGTTTGAGACCAGCCTGGCCAACATGGTGAAACCCAGTCTCTACTAAAAATACAAAAAAATTAGCCAGGCATGATGGTGGATGCCTGTAATCCCAGCTACTCAGAGGCTGAGGCAGGAGAATCACTTGAACCCGGGAGGCGGAGGTTGCAATAAGCCGAGATCATGCCATTGCACTCCAGCCTGGGCAACAAGAGTGAAACTCCATCTCAAAAAAAAAAAAAAAAAAAAAACTCTTCTGAGAGGTGTAGCCAGGGAGGCATGTTAGTGCCAAACAGAGATTAAAACCTTGAATCTTCTGACTTCTGATCTAGTACATGTGACCCTATCGCCTGAAGGAACAAATGTCCTTGTAGAGTTAACAAGAGGCAGAGAAAAAGAAGAAAGATTGTGGTATGCAAAAGGATACCTATATTATTTCCAAAAATTAATTTAAATAGAAGACCACGACAAGAAGCACTTGGTTTTCCCCTGTGGGACATCTTTTGTTGATTAATTTTTACTTTAGGGCATCAAAATGGGGTCAATTATGTTACATCAACCAAAACAAGGTTGACACCCCTGGAGTTGTGACTCTCTGACCCTGAGCCCCTGACTCCATGACAGCCTGCACAAGGGGGCTGTTAGCTCAGTAATTCGGAAAGACCTTGCTCACAAGGTGGGTGGCGGATGGCATCACAAAATAAGTCACACGAAGATGTCTGCTCCAGAGTATTTTTTGACCATATTCCTAGAGTCTTTCTACCTCCCAGGCAGGAAACCTCACCAGGTAAAAGAGGAATTCATGTAGGAATTGAGGAATGTCACCCAAAAGACACCTAAAATGCTGCACGAATTGTGTGGCAGCATCAGGCTCTTTAGGGCACACCTATGTTTTTCCACCCCTCCACTCCAGCCAAAAGGAGGGTTCCCACTGGCTGCCTCTGTGAGGCCAGCACCGCATAGACGCAGCCCTCCCTGGTCCTCAGGTCCTACCCACAGCCTTGTCTCACTAGCTCAGTCTCTCAACAGGGAACAAATGGTGTAGACACAGCCCCCACTCTCTTCTCGCAGACACAGTATCCACTTTGGAGCTTCTCAGTTATTGTCCAGGCCCAGGTGAAGTCACAGCCACCTCCTCTGTAGAGTCAAAGCGTATGAATTAAATGCATCCCTGTTTTTAAAAGAGCCAAGTGAGAGCACTGGTAATCACTCCTCGTGGGCGGCCCTGTGTGGTTTACAAAGCACTTTAATGTATAAGAATCCCTTTTAATCCTCCGAATGCCTTGGGAGGCTCCATTTATTGCCCTCACTTCTATAGATGAAGAAACCAAAGGCGTAGCAAGGTCAAGCCAAGATGCAAGCGCGACTGACACGGTCCCTTGGCAGGCCTTGTCTATACTTCTGGTGGCAGGGAATTACCGCTGCCTTCCAGTTGGTTTTATGTGGCGGGAAGGTGACCTCAGAGGTGAAGGCACATCACACCAGAGGGTACTGCTGTCTGCATGACTCATCACTGAAATTGTTCTCCCAACCCCCTGACCCAGGCCATGTATGCCAGGTTTCTGCCCTGTAAAATTAAAGATTCCCTTCTTTCCATACTCTGTTCTTTGGAAGCAAGTCACTTAGCACTGCCCACACTCAAGGGATGGAGTAGAATTAAGCTCCACCTCCCAGAAGCGGGAGGATCTACATAAATTATTTGGAATTCTTCCATAAGGGAGATTGGTCTCTTCTTCCCTGCTTTCATTTTTCCTGGCCTTTTACTAAAAGACACTGAAATCAGGCTGATGGATTCCCTACATCAAATATCACACAGATGTAGCCCATACTTTTGCAGACTAGCTTTCCTTGAAGCCCACCAAAATGAGCAGAAACTGAAGTGGATCAAAGCCCCAGTGCTTGTTATCCTTATTTCGGCCCCTTTCCTTGCTGGGCTAATGGGATCTTCCTTAAAATCATACCGTGTCCTTCAGTATTTATTATTTATGAGCCAAAGTGTGCATGGCCAACAATACTTAAAACCAACCCAGGTTACAGGACATCCCTGCAGAGTGACAGGGTGCCCCACACCTGCCTGCCCCATGCCTGGGCGGTGATTTCATCGCTAGAGTTACACACCTGTATTCTGCAGGGTAAAGAGAAGAAACATAATTCCATGTCTTCTCCCAAAGGAAGAATTCTCTGTTAAACTTCACACTTTTGGAGTGTGTGCTGCATGAGGGCCTCATGCTGGGGACTTCAGGTGACACTAGACTGCAGGAACCCCAGTGTGGTTTTCAGAGGGCTTCCCCTCAAAGAGAGAAGACTAATTGACTCTATGTCAGGGCGGAGACAACAAAGAAAGCAGCGTGCTTACGAGGTGTCAGATGCATACAATTGCTCCTGGTGGAGACGCCACCCAGTCCTCCCAGCAACCACCCCGGGAAGCTGTGCGTGGCCCTATTTTACAGATGAGGAAGCTGAGGCTGGGAAAGGTCATCTTCTTTGACGGTCAGAAACCAGAAAGCTACCCATTCAGACTTGGCATCTGACCTGAGTGCCTCTGCAACCCCAGGTGGCCTGCTGTTTTTTTGCGTAGTTTGTAATAGAGGATTAGCAAAATGCTGTCATGGCGGCCCTGGTGTCATATTTTCAAGATCCTGCCTTCCACCCTCCTCAGCCACCAGCTCTGCTCACATAAGATAGAGAAGTTTCTTGGCTGAAAGTCAGGGGCGAGTGGTGGCTCAGAGGAAGGGCTCAGGCAGGTTTGAAGCCCTGACTCTGCTGTTCCCGACTTGTGGGTGCTTGGTCATATTTCTTAATATCTCTGTGCCTCAGTTGCCTCAAATGTAACACGGTGTTGTGGATGCCATTGTGCTGTGCCCACTGACACTTGCTTACCAGTCTGACGTCCAGCTTCCAGCACCTGTGACATTTTGCATGAGGCTTTCACCAGAGCTCTGGCCCAGGGTGGGCTAGAAAGCCTGGGGAATTGATGCCCGTCCACCTCCAGGAGCAGCCTCAACCAGGGACTGAAGGGAGCATGTGTATCCATAACCCAGCTGCCTCTTCTCCAGGGGGAGCAACTGTAAGGCATGTTCAACGCCACCTCTTGGAGCTCCCCAGCAGGGCTGAGATCCACCTGCCAGTGGTGATAACTGGCTTAATAAAGCAAACTATATTGGCTGCCTTCTCTCCCCAGTCAGTGCTTCCTGGGATCACTTCTCAAATTTAACCACTCACACTCAAATCCTTGTCTCAGGATTGGCTTCTGAGAGAATCCAAACTAAGACAAATGGGGATTATGCACCCATTTTAGTCAAAGAATTGTTTAAATACCTGTAAAGTGCTTAGTAGACATACTGAGCTTTCACTCAATGTTAGTTCTGATCCTTAATCCAATAATACAGCCAAAGGAGAATATGTTAGCACATAAAAAAAGAAAGCATCAAGTTGTTTTGCCCTTTTTGTACCAAGAGAGGTCTATGTGCCATCTCCTGACTTGTCGGAAATAGAAGTTACCTGGTTTGCATTTCTTCTCCACCATCTGGGAAAGTCACCTGACTTCCAAGCTTCATGGCCATCTGTAAAATGAATGACAGAATGACAGTAGTCCCAGCGTCGTAGGGCTGAAGTGAGGGTTAATGAGGTAATACATATAATATTAGAATAGGAAGTGCTCAAATAAATGCCCAATAAATGTTAGCAATTATAAATGTTTACATTTTCACAATTTGACTTCCCTACAAAAAAAAGGCCCATATCTTGTTATCAAACATTAGCTTCTATTTCTACTACTTTACCTTTTTAAAAAAAAATCAGAATGCTAGAACTAAAATAAGCTAAGAGGTCACATGATCTAAACTCATGGATTTTTAAATTTTAAATATGTTTATGTATTTAGGAAGTACGCATGCAGAATTCTAACATGCATATGTTGCGTAGTGATGAAGTCTGGGCTTCTGGTATACCCATCACCTGAATAATGAACATTGTAACCCAATAGGTAATTTTTCCACCCTCACCTCCCTCCCACCCTAACCTCATGTTGTATCTTTGTCAAGTAACTTTAGGTTGTAACCTGTACATTTTTTGTTTATTATTATTATACTTCTAGGGTACATGTGTGCAACGTGCAGGTTTTTTACATATGTATACATGTGCCGTGTTGGTTTGCTGCACCCATTAACTCATCATTTACATTAGGTATTTCTCCTAATGCTATCCCTCCCCCCTCCTCCCACCCAACAACAGGCCCCCATGAAGCTGGAAACCATCATTCTGAGCAAACTATCGCAAGGACCAGAAAACCAAACACTGCATGTTCTCACTCATAGGTGGGAATTGAACAATGAGAACACTTGGACACAGGGTGGGGGACATCACACACCTGTACATTTTTAATACAATCATGTGTTGTTTAACTACAGGGATACATCTGAGAAGTGCACTGTTAGAGAATTTTGTTGTTGTGGGAGCATCATAGAGTACTTACACAAAGCTAGATGGCATAGCCTACTACATACCTAGGCTATATGGTATATCCTGCTGCTTCTAGGCTACAAACCTGGACAGCATGTGACATACTGAACAGTGTAGGCAACTGTAACACAATGCTCAGTATCTATATATCTAAACACGTCTAAACACAGGAAAGGAACAGTAAAAATACGGTAACAGAATCTCATGGGGCCAGGCGTGGTGGCTCATACCTGTAATCCCAGCACTTTGCGAGGCTGAGGTGGGTGGATCACCTGAGGTCAGGAGTTCAAGACCAGCCTGGCCAACATGGTGAAACCCCATCTCTACTAAAAATACAAAAGTTAGCTGGGTGTGGTGGTGCATGCATGTAATCCCAGCTACTCAGGATGCTGAGGCAGGAGAATCACTTAAACCTGGGAGATGGAGGTTGCAGTGAGCCAAAATTGTGCCACTGCACTCCAGCCTGGGTGACAGAGTGAGACTCTGTCTCAAAAAAATAAATAAGAATCTTATGGGACCACCCTGGCATATGTGGTTCATCTTTGACCAAAACACGCCATTATGAAGCATGTGATTATATTACATGGTTTAGACTCTGGGTGTGGTTAGATTCCCTGGAGAGTATTGATTTTTACTTTGTGTTGTTTGAACAATCACCAACTCAGTTAGGTTCAGACTGCTGGCTCTGTCTTGCCTTCTGTGGACAATGATTCTGATGGCTGTCCAGACAGTGGCAGTGAGAGGGGAAGGGACTTGGCCTCCCCACGGCTCCCAGGGCTCTTTCTAACACAAGCAATTTCTCCAGTCTTCAGCTTTGCCTCTCAAAGTCTCACTGCCTTCTGGCCAGCAGTGGAAATGCAGAAAGTGTACAAACAAAGCCACTGAATTGCTGGTCTTGTGATGTTTCCTTGTCTATCTCCAGCCTCTGGAATCCATGCAGTAGGTGGTCAGCATGAAGGAAAGGGTCAAGGTTTCTGTCTCTCTTCCTTAATGGAGGAGTGAATCAATTCTTGGAGAAGTAATAAGAGTGAATCACTTCTTGTCTAGAAGCCAACACATTGAATACTTCCTATAAATTATTACAGTAAGTGACATTTAGTCAAGGAAAAGCCAGCAATTGCTATGGCCTCTACCACTTTCCTCTTATGGATTATTTTGGGGCCAGTTGATATAATCTTGATAAATATTTTCAGAAAACTTGTTTCCAGTTTTGATCATTTAGAAACATTTAGTTTCTAAAGTTCAATATGTTGTGGTTCAAACGATTTTTTACTATTTGCTTGTTACTAGAAAAATAGAAAAGAAATGAGTGAGGCTGGGCATGGTGTCTTATGCCTATAATCCCAGTGTTTTGGGAGGCTGAGGTGGGAGGATCCCTTGAGACCAGGAGTTCGAGGCCAACCTGGGCAACATAGTGAGACCCCCAGCATCTCAACAACAGCAACAACAAAAAGACCTTAATGAGCTTTAAAAGCATATACTCATCTTACTCATCTGTAAAGGTTTCAGGTGTTTGTTTTGCACGCGTGCTTGTGGATGAATACAGTTGACATTACTCCAAGAACTCAGGAAACATTTTATGAGTTCCAGTCCTGGCTCTCCCTCTTGATAGCTGCATGACAAAGATGTCCTTGGGTTTCAGTTTCCTCATCTGTGAAATGAAAACATAGTAGGCCTCCCTGGATGGAGTTTGTCTGAGGATTTGAAGATCCAGTGCAGGTAAAGTGGCTAGAATAGTGTCATTGTTCTGAGAGTTTAAAAGGTTTTGTTTTTTTGTCCAGGAATTAACGATTAATGCAAAAAGAGATCATAGAAAAAAATGGAGAGTAGTAATTTATGAGAAATGTGACCAATTTGTTCTTTCCTCTTTTGTCTGAGGTGGTTCATGTTATGAAAGATCGTCTGTTCCTTGGGCTCCTCAAATCCTTTTTCCTTCTCGCTTTATGAGCAGAAGCTTGCTTTTCCTATTGGAGAGAGCCAGCTGGATCGTGGGTCCCTCTTTTCATTTAGGCTCTTGTCCCCTACTCTTTATGTTTATTAAGGATTTGGGGAGGGTGGGGAGGAGGAGTGGGATAAACCTCTGAAAAAAAAATGCAGGGACCAGTTTCCTTATTTTTAAATTATGGTCTTTAAAGAAAAATGTCCTAAAATCTACCACTAGCAATTACTTTTTCATTTTATTTTCAGAAAACGGGCTACTCCCTTGGCAATTGGTCCTAGGTTTCAACCCTCCTAAGAGATTTCCACAGCCCCTTTTATACCCAAGGGTGGAATTCCCCTCGAAGGCCAGCACCCCTCCCTGGCAGCAAGGATGAGTTGCTCAAGGGAGCCTGTCCAACTTGCTAGTAACGACTTTTCTGATGTCATCATTCCCCAGAAGCAGCTGCGAGCCTTTTGGGGATGATTTGTATTAACACTCTGGCCCAGAGGTGACCGGGCTCACTCTGATGATAACAGTTGCCCGTGGGGTTCAAGGTGAAAATCTCATCCAGGTCTTTAGTTGTTTTCTGTTTTTCTGATTCATATACATTTATTGAGGTTTAACTTACATCCATAAAGTGTGTAAATCTTAAGTACTCGGCTCAACAGAATTTTACACACATGCACACCCATGTAGACACAGTCCAGATCCAGATCCAGAACATCTCTAATCCCTGGTGTCCTGTCCTGGCCCAGATCCTCCCCAAGGGGGACTGCCATCATGACTTCTGTCCCACAGGTTAGTTTTGCCTGCTTTTGAACTTCATATAAACGAAATGCTGTAGGAGATACTCTTGTGTCTGGGTTCTTTCACACAGCCTTGCGTTCATGAGATGCATCCATGTTGTTCTGGAGCAGTAATGTGAGCTTTTTCATTGAATAAATACATTCCATTGTCTGAATTTCATTGTAGTATTCCATTGAATGAATATATCCAATGTATTCATTTCTGTCCAAATGGGCCTTTGGGTTATTTCCAGCTTGGGGCTATTATAAATAACATTACTATGGACATTCATTTACGTTTCTAATTAATGACTGACATGGCCTTTGTCCTCCCGTGGTGACCCTATTTTAACCAAGTAGTGGTCACTTACAACCATGAATGTAGCTTTCAGAATGTTTGGATGAGAGGAATAAACTGGCGAGTATTTATAAAGTGACTTGAACTTTACAATTAAAAGATTATTTACTTTGAAAAGCTGTATAAATGGTTATTTAAAATAGTTGTGTGGCTTCTATCAAGCCATTAGTCATCTCTGAGCCTCAGTTTCCCCATCTGTTAAACGGACATAATATTAGTATTGTGCAAAAATAATAGAATTATTGCAAGGATTAGATGATAGTGAAGTAAAGCACTTAGATGGAGGCTGGCCCATCTGAGCACTCAATATTAATTTCTGTTATTAATTTTTTATCATAATGATGATATAAGGTAAAGTCAAAGATGCTATGAAGTTGCACGAGCTTATTAACACAAAGCAACCAATGTAAACCAAGTAATTTGTTTTAATGCCAGATGTGAATAAGTTGTTCTGCTTTTTTTCCTACTTTATAACCTCCTTCGCATCAACCTTGATTTCTATAGTTATATAAACCTTTGTATTTAAACAAAGAGATCTCCTGGATAAGTTGGAAGAGGAGAAAGAAAAAAACAACTTGGGCTGGGGAATCTGATGATTGTGGGGTCAGCGTTAACTTTTGGCCTCAGTTTTAACCTTGGGGGACTGTTTTCATTGTTTGTACCTCTGCGTTAGATTTATCTTTGTCCCTGGCCTTCTAATAATAGGTAATCATTTGAATTCAATAAGATCTGATCCAGCGTCAGGAATTCCAAAGGCCAGAGAGACAACTCAACTATTTCTTTTGCTTTTTCTTTTGAGACAGAGTCTCATTCTGTCACTCAGGCTGGAGTGCAGTGGCAGGATCTCGGCTCACTGCAAGCTTTGCCTCCAGGGTTCAAGAGATTCTCATGCCCCAGCCTCCAGAGTAGTTGGTATTACAGGTGTGCGCCACAACGCCAAGCTAATTTTTTGTATTTTTGGTAGTGATGGGATTTCGCTGTGTTGGCCAGGCTGGTCTTGAACCCCTGGCCTCAAGTGATCTGCCCACCCCAGCCTCCCAAAGTGCTGGGATTACAGTCATGAGCCGCCATGCCTGGCCTAACTTAACTATTTCTGATCTTATATGTAAGTGGACCCATTGGCTTCCCAAATGGAATAAAATTAAGGTGTCATCATTTTATGCGTAGATGCTGCAGCAGAACCCAAGGGGCTCAGATGAGAATGTGCAAACGTGTGAGGTCAAAAAGCTGCTATTGACAAAGCAGAGGAGTTATTATTATATAAATAGCCTTCAGCCCGCATCTCTGGATTTATGGTACTGGTCATTTTAGTATTAGCCAAGAAAGCTACTCCACTGGGAAACCATTCAATGAAGGAGGGAAGAATAACGCCTCCCACACCCAAAGGTGTTTCCTAACTCGGAACAGAAACACATTTCACACATTTTTAACTTTTAATTTTGAAATCATTTCAGATTTCCAGGAAAGTTGCAAAAATATCATAAAGAAATATCTACCCTTCACTCAGATTCCCAAATGTTAGCACTTCGCCACATCTGCCTCATTCTTCTTTCTCTCTCTTCACACACACACACACACACGCGTGCACACACACAGATACATGCACGTACACATACATGCACACAAATACGTGCACACACACTGTCTCTCATTTTTTCTGAACCATTTAAGTTGCAGACATTATATCCCTTTACCCCTAAATACTTCAATGCATATTTCCTAAAAACAAGGCTATTCTGTTTAATAACTACAGTATAATTATCAGACCTAGAAAATTAACACTGATGCCTTGTTAGCACTATTACCTTATCTGCAGGCTGTATTCGATGCCCCACTAATGTCCTTTATAGCAAATGAAGAATTTTTTAGTCCAGAATCTGATCCAAGATCACATACTATATTTAGGTGGATCTATTTCCTCAGAAAACATTCTTTTTTTTTTTTTTTTTTTGAGATGGAGTATCACTCTGTCACCCAGGTTGGAGTGCAGTGGCACAATCTTGGCTCACTGCAACCTCTGCCTCTTGGGTTCAAACAATTCTCCTGCCTCAGCCTCCCCAGTAGCTGGGACTACAAGCGTGCACCACCATGCCCAGCTAATTTTTTTGTATTTTTAGTAGAGATGGGGTTTCACTATGTTGATCAGGCTGGTCTCCAACTCTTGACCTCAAATGATCTGCCTGCCTCAGCCTCCCAAAGTGCTGGGATTACAGATGTGAGCTACCACGCCTGGCCCTCAGAAAATATTCTAAGAGATGTTGAATGCTCATTATTAGAAAATCCTTCCTTTAAGATAACATCTTTGCTCTCCTGTTAATTGGATGACCAGTTGAAGGACTAGGTCAAAAGAATGTCTTCTAGCATATTTGCCTGTACTTACAGGGATAGGGCATGAAAGTAATTAAAACAAATATATTTCATTGTATTGATTATATGCAAGTTAGACATCATTGGGGAAGATTCGGTCTTCCTGGCTTTTCAGAGAAAAATGTTAACATGTGAGTTATGGCGCTGCTTGGTGTTGTCTGTTGGTTGGATGTTAAGGTGTACAATTTGTGTGCCTGCAACCAATGCATAGAGTTGCAGATGTCCATTGTAAGAAAGCAGATGTTGCATTTCTTCTTTCTTCAGACAATAGTCATAGTAGCTACACTTTCTTTGGCAGATGTGGTGCTGGAAAAAGCCATGCACAAGTGCATCTTGAAGCCCCTCAAGGGGCACGTGGAGGCCATGCTGAAGGACTTTCACATGGCCGATGGCTCATGGAAGCAACTCAAGGAGAACCTGCAGCTTGTGCGGCAGAGGAATCCGCAGGAGCTGGGGGTCTTCGCCCCGACCCCTGATTTTGTGGATGTGGAGAAAATCAAAGTCAAGTTCATGACCATGCAGAAGATGTATTCGCCGGAAAAGAAGGTCATGCTGCTGCTGCGGGTCTGCAAGCTCATTTACACGGTCATGGAGAACAACTCAGGTGAGGCCGCTGGAAGCCCAGGCTTCGTGCCGCTTCCCTTCCGGGCCGGGGACAGGCCTCTCTCCTGTCAGGCTTTCTGATTCCCAATTTCTCCTCCCTTTGGTCTCTTGATTTCACCAAGTGGCTTACAGAACTACAAGTGATTCTCTGATATCCGGCACATTAGTCACATGCAACAGATTAAAATGTAAGCAGATGAGGGCAACAAGATTTTTGTACCAGGCCGATTTAATTAAAGATTTAGTTCAGAGTATGGTTACAAATTCAGTCTCTGGAGTCTGAGTTCAAATCTTCCCTCCGAGAAGAAGAAAATTAACTGAGGGACTTTGGCCCCCTTAATCAACCTTGCACGCTGTAGTTTTCTGCGTCTTTAGCCGGATGTCACCCTTTCTTTCATGAGGTGGGGATTAGCTGAGACAGCCCACACATAGCCCCAAGTGCAATGGAAATGTCAGCGATTATCATTACAACATTTTGGCCAATGAGGGTTTGTGTCAATGACCTATAGTATGTGAAAGAAACTCTGAACATTCAGTTATAATGAGGCCTCATTAGAGCCGCTTCATTGGCTAGCCCTTCTTTGCTACAAGCTGAAGCAATATAATTGAAATTCACCGAAGAGTTACAATCTTGGAAAGCCAGCCCTCAGATTTAGCCTTGTTGTTTCCTGTAGATGCAGGGGTAACCATGAATCCTGGATAGTAATGGAGCCCTGCATTGTCCCAGGTCTTCAGTAAGCTTATTGTAATTCTGAAGACGATTACGAACTTTTCTTCTGAGTGAAATTGCTTAATGGAGAAGCAGCAGAGAGAAAACACAGGCTGTATTAACCACTGCTTGAGTAGACAGGAATGTGTGTGCACTTTGGGAATTGTTGAGTGAAGAAGTTAAAATATGAGCTCCTGGGCGTGGTAATGATAGCAAGTGAACATCACCTCACAAGTTTGCAAGCATATTTCACATATAGGAAACATATTTTCTATAGTTCACAGTTATTTATAAAAATTCCCCAAATAATATCTGAATATCTGAATTCCCCAAATAATTCAGAAGGATTATGCTCTTCTGAAGCACAGTTCCTCAACACACACACTAAAGACATTAATGTAGACAGGATAATTCTTCTTTTGGGGGCTGCCCTGCTTCCTGTAGGAAGTTTAGCAGCATTCCAGATGTCATCTGCATCCCCACCCTCCAGTTATGTCAATGAAAAATGTCTTCAGACAGTGCCAAATGTCCCCTGGGGGACAAAATTATCTCCAGTTGAGAACCACTGATGTAAAGAAAACTAGAAGTAAACACTAACATTTTTTGCCATATATTTCCATTAATCAATGTGTATATTCAACATGTACTGAATTGGCACGTTTAAAGAAATTAACTGTGTGCTCACATTAAATACAGAGCAAAGTTAGCTTATTCCTGGTTTGAGTTTGACCTTGTCATTATGTTTGTAAATAATGTGCACAGCAAGAAAGAGGAAGTAAGACACAAAGAATTAGCATAAGTAAATATTTTGTAAG
Organism: Homo sapiens; assembly: GCF_000001405.40. Lineage (NCBI taxonomy): Eukaryota > Metazoa > Chordata > Mammalia > Primates > Hominidae > Homo > Homo sapiens. The sequence goes on from NC_000020.11 coordinate 19,991,835, forward strand.
CATTTTATAATCTTGTTTGCTGAAAGTTAAAATATTTTAACGAGTATTCTGTTCTATCACATAATTTTATACAAATTATAAAAGTAGGGAGAAAATCTGTAATGTGTTCATTGGTTCATAGACATTCATTCTGAAACTGTAAGGGCTGGTCTCTAACATTAGCAGCTGGGAGGGTCAGAGGCTACATAGGATTCCAGAAACACTCACCTCTGTTTATAAATAGCACAGTTCCCCCCAGAGTGACTCCTTGCTGTCTAATAAAAGCAGCAAGAAGGATGTGAAAGAAAGAAAAGTTGGTAAAAATATTCCATCTCCTTCTCTTCCTGCTCTCAGGGAGGATGTATGGCGCTGATGACTTCTTGCCAGTCCTGACCTATGTCATAGCCCAGTGTGACATGCTTGAATTGGACACTGAAATCGAGTACATGATGGAGCTCCTAGACCCATCGCTGTTACATGGAGAAGGTAACTGCTTTTGAGAAAAGTTGAAGGAACTGGGTGCTATTTTTTTCATTTTTTTATAATTGAGACGAAATTCATGTCACATAACATTAATCATTTTACAGTGAATAATTCAGTGGCATTTAGTATATTCACAATGTCATGCATTCTCCACCTTTATTTAGTGTCAAACTATTTTCCTCACCCTAAAATAAAATTCTGCACCCATGAAGCAGTTACTTGGGTGCTTTTTTGACATCTTAAGTGTTAACTGAATTTTTTATTAATTTAAAAGAGTGTACTAACCTTTTTCTGATTGCAAAAGTAATACACACTCGTGGTAGAAAATTTGGAAAAGTCAGGAAAAACACAAAGAAAAAATATAACCCCATCTTAACTATACTTCACTAAGATTGCTTAATGGCAATAAAAAAAATACATTCAGTAGAATAAATGCCATTTTTTTTGGAAGAAATGGTTTCTTTGGCTCCAAGAGGAAATTATAAACTTTTGTTGAGGATATTTCCATTGCCAGGAAAATAACCTGCTCTTATATTAGTGAAATGGATAAAAGCTTGGCTTTGTTTTTATTTTTTAAAATTTCGTTTTCAAGGTGAAAACAGTATTAATTTTTTTCCAGTTTTTTTTAAGTATCTTTTCATTTTTATAGTAAAAATACAGGGGTGTGGAATCTGTGCAGTTTGCTCTCAATTTACGTTGGCATTCGGGTTCCTTCTCCTTGTGTCTGCCTAACCCCAACATGTCTTAGCAGAAATTCCTTCTCCTTACACATAGCTTAGGTATTTTACATGGAAATGATTAGGATGTTTGGCACAGTAGTGCACAGCCTTGAAACGCAGAAATAACTGGGACTCTATGTGAGCTTATCTTTTCAAAGGAGAACAAATCAGGGCCTGTGCACTGTGAATCCTCTTAATCCATTTTTATATATCCAGATAAAAGCCCAGACAAGCCCTGGGGGGGATTGTCACGGTTTCGTTTTTTTTTTTCCCGTGAGTTTCAGTCTGGGCTTGAGTAGAAAGGTCCATCTCTGACAGGATTCCCTAAGGAATGAGTCATCCCAGCATTTTCCCTGGAGGGAATGAAATGCATTTTTACCACCCCCAGAATGTGCCCCCTTAGTCTCCTCAGTCCTGTAATGTGAATTCACCAGGCCTTAACTTTTCCTGTCGGAGGGACCGCCCTCCTTGGAGCCCGATTATGCCCTTCCCACGTGACCATGGGTAGTGCTGACTCAGGATGGGGGATGAATATCTCTCCTCCCGTACCCGATCCCAGGCAGGTATGAATGGGCCTCTTTCATGCTTTCACCCTTTAGCCTCTTCTGTCCCCTTATTAATATTACTAACCATGGAACCAGACACTCCCCGATGAGCCTCCAAGGCCCTCCCTGGAGCTTTTCTTGCCTGCTCTGCCCTGGGATTAGACAGGACAAGGCCAAACATGTGGTTTTGCCCAGGGACCAAGAGAAGCATGTTAGTCTACATAGCATGCTTTCCTTCCTTCCACTGTAATGTTTGTTATTAATACAGTTTGGGGTTTGGTTATTCTTTTTCGAGCTTCGATCATGTTTAATTCTAGTAATATAAGTATGTAGAGCTCTTAGGGCTTTGGGGAAAAAGACACGCCGGTTTCACTTAGAAAGTCGATTCTGTTGCTGACAATGTGCACTCAGGACAAACATTGCTTGTATCTTGTGGCTCAAGGATAGAAACAGCTACTTCCTGCCCCTTTCCCAGATTGGCCCAGGGCAAGGCCCTGTGTTGATGACTAATGGACAGGTGGCTGTCTTCTCCTCCACGAATCCCACAAGAAAGACAAGGGCACAGCTAGTGAGGATACAAAAGCTGCTGGTGAGCTCGCACTTAAATAGAGCCTGCTTCCACTTAACCGTGTCTGGGGCTTCTTGGCTGCCTTCCTTGGGAAGTAGGCGGCCCAGTTGGGTTGGCTGTGATCACAGACCAGGCCTGCACAGCATCGAACTGAAGCTATGCAGCCTGGGAGGAAGAGGCTACTGAGCAGTGGCAAAAATACAGATTGGACTTTTCCGTGCCTGCCCAAAGTCCTCTTTGGTTTGCGGGGTAGCAGCCACGTCTGTTTTCCGCTGTTTAAGCAGGTATTCTCATTTACCAAAAAGGCGTCATAGAATCCCTTAGAAGTGCACAGCTCTTGTGGTAGGGTTATAGTCTTGCTGAAATTTAAAACCTTCTCTAATTGCATCCACATGTTTCAAAGTGTGGTCAATTTTGTGCTTCCAGCATTTGAGTTTTCTCCTTAGCGTCCTGAACAGATGAGAGCTAGGGAGTCTAAAATTTGAAGTCCAAAGGAGCCCCCCTCCACCCCCACAAAGATTGTAACAGTTCTCCGAGTCCTTGCTCAAATCCTGACCCTCCATACGGCCTTTCCTGAATACTTATGTTCATATTGATTTCTCCTGAAATTCTCCATGTAGCATCTGTATTCTGGATTACTGAGTTTCACACACAGTCACATGCTGATTTGTTTGTGGGGCGAATATTTGGTAAAGATCAACAATTCAAAACTCTTAACTAGGGTGATTATACTGTAGGTGGCAAGGTCTGGAAAACCCTTCAGATCACTCTATACACAAAAAGCTTGACATGTGATCAATGGAAAGTGCATGGCTCAGGGTGACCCAGATTATGCCGCGGGAAAAAATAACCTCAAGTCTTCATCTGCAACCTGAAAACAAGAAGGGTATTTTTCTTTCTCGTGTTCATGTCCAGCACGAGTTTGCAGGGCGTGTGGCTCCTGATCCACATGGAGGGGACAGTTGCCATCTTGCATATTGCCACTTATTGACCAGAGAGAGGCTTCTGCAGGGTCTCACATGAATAAAGCTAAATACTTTGGCCCTAAAGGTGACACTTCTGCACAAAACTCATTTCGCCAAACTAACTTCTGGTCCCTGCAGGAATAAATTGCCAGTGTCTGTTTTTTTTTTAAAAAAAAAAAAAAAAACAAAACACATTCATAAACTTCTGGAGAGTGGGGACTCAGATTCTATTTCTTACAAACCTACTTTCTTCTCTGTAGCTGTGGCTCACAGTAGAGATTCAATGAGTATTTTGACAAAGAATGTCTCTAAATCTAAAATATGCTGTGCCCAATTAGGGAATTTTTAATAAACATTCAGGGCGACCCCTAGTGGCTCTTCAGCGCAGAGACCATAAGTTCCTCCCCAGGCACCTAATTATATGTTAGGACAAAAACTATGAAGGAATACATACACATCTTACAGTGTCGTCAGCCCTTTTTACACTCCTCAAGAACATAAGAGATCATTCCTAAATACACCATCACAGGAACATCACTTTCCTGTAAATTATTTTATCCTAAATGCCAGATGTTATGTTAGTCCCAAAGGAAGGGGGGGGTAAGAAAGGGAATCAAGGGAGAGAAATTATTTTTGAAGTGTCCACATTTTTGCGAACAGTTCTTTCAAAGTGTATAGTTTACTTAAGATTTAGAAAATACTCATTGCGTTTTTTCCTTTTTACTTTTTTTTAAACCAAATTCTTGTTTATCAGAGATAGAAAATATCAATTTCTAAAAGAAAAAGCCAAGAGCAAGTGTTGCCACGAGTCTGGACTGATGGAGGGGATACTGGCCTTGGATCACCTCACACGCCTGACTTTCCCCCCACCTCCCCGTCAGGCCTTAATACCCCAACTACTCCTGGCAAACATTTTTCATAATTGCACTTTAATAATTTCGGCTGGGCATGGTGGTCATGCCTGTAATCCCAGCACTTTGAGAGGCCGAGACAGGTGGATCAGTTGAGGCCAAGGTTCAAGACCAGCCTGGCCAATATGGTGAAACCCCATCTCTACTAAAAATACAAAAATTAGCCAGGCGTGGTGGTGCATGCCTTTAATCCGAGCCACTCGGGAGGCTGAGGTGGGAGCGTCGCTTGAACCTGGGAGGCGGAGGTTGCAGTGAGCTGAGATTGTGCCACTGCACTCCAGCCTGGGTGACAAAGCAAGACGCCGTCTCAAAAACAAACAAACAAAAAAACAAACAAACAAAAAAAACACTTTAGTGGCTTGGTCAGTCTCACGCACTAGAATGGAAATCCCATCATTGAAAAACAGGAACCTTGTCAGCCTGGCTTGTCTGTGCCCCCTTGGCCCCTCCCAGGCCTGGGTCGCTCCAGAAATCTCTGTGGGATGGCTGTGTGAAGGGATGGATGGAGGAGTGAGTGCCATGCTCTTGGGTGTGTGCTTCTGTGATCCCACAAGGAAATGCATGTTGAAGAAATACTAAAAATACAAAACATGCCTTCTAACGCTGGCATCCCCTGTTATCACCCGTGAGCGGAGGTTGGCACTGGGAGGACCCACTCTTTCTGCTCTTTTCAGGAGGCTATTACTTGACAAGCGCATATGGAGCACTTTCTCTGATAAAGAATTTCCAAGAAGAACAAGCAGCGCGACTGCTCAGCTCAGAAACCAGAGACACCCTGAGGCAGTGGCACAAACGGAGAACCACCAACCGGACCATCCCCTCTGTGGACGACTTCCAGGTGTGCAGCTGGCCACCCCTTTGCTTCCTTCGTCCTCCAGGAATGCGGAGCTGGCTCACCCAGCACATCCCAGCTCAGAGGTCCCCACTGTGTTGAATTATTTGGCAGGAAAGGGATATCTCAAACCACCCTCTGGCCTTGTTACACTGATCTGTTTTCTTTACATTTATATACGCATGGGATACTTGGCCCAAGTTTTGCTGTCTTTAAGAAAACCAAGTTGAATTAAGGCAGAATCTCTGCCCAATCAAGCAGACGATAAGTCAAAAAGGAGGAGGAAGCACTTGGCACAGACGTTGGAGATTTTGTTTCATCAGGAAACAGCCGCTGTGTTACGCGATGCAATTGGCCTAGTTTCTCTTTGGGAAGAGGGAGAGGAACAGCGATGTCTCCTTCCCTTTTCTCTCGCCCACTCTCCAAAACAGAAGACCCCAGAATCTCAGCAGCAGCAGCAACAGCTATGGCAGCCGTCCACGGCGCAGAGTGACCAGGCGAGCATCTGAGCGAGTCCTGCTCAGGTTCCCTGGCCAGGGCTTTTCCTGACCGTGAGCTGCTGCTTGGGAATGTGGGACTCCCAGTGAGCTTGTTTCTTAGAATGGACAGGTGGGTTAGGGCTATAGAAATCTTTACCCAAGGCCAGGCATCAGGGCTCACGCCTGTAATCCCAGCACTTTGGGAGGCCAAGGTGGGCAGATCACCTGAGGTCAGGAATTCGAGACCAGCCTGGCCAACACGGTGAAACCCTGTCTCTACTAAAAATACAAAAATTAGCTGGGTGTAGTGGCAGGCACCTGTAATCCCAGCTACTTGGGAGGCTGAGGCAGGAGAATCGCTTGAACCCAGGAGATGGAGGTTGCAGTGAGCCGAGATCACGCCACTGCACTCCAGCCTGGACAACAGAGTGAGACTTAGTCTCAAAAAAGAAACAAAGAAATCCTTACCCAACACAATTCCTGATTTGCTCATTGTCTATGAAATAATGAGTGAGTTGGCAAATGTCTGCAAATAATATTTTGAAGGTTTTAAATTAAATGATAAAACCTTCCTGTGGTTTGTTTCTATGTTCCCCATGATGAGTTTCCAAGCAGGGATGTGGAAAGCAAGACAGATTTGTCTACACATCCAGATTCACCTGCTTTTTTTTTTTTCTTAAGACAGAGTCTCGCTCTGTCACCCAGGCTGGAGTGCAGTGGTGGCACGATCTCTGCTCACTGCAACCTCCACCTCCCAGGTTCAAACGATTCTCCTGCCTCAGCCTCCGGAGTAGCTGGGACTACAGGTGCTCACCACCACACCTGGCTAATTTATTTTGTATTTTTAGTAGAGATGGGATTTCACCGTGGTGGCCAGGCTGGACTCAAACTCCTGGCCTCAACTGATCCACCCGCCTCAGCTTCCCAAAGTGCTGGGATTACAGGCGTGAGCCACTGCGCCTGGCCATTTTTTTTTTTTATAAGAGCTCTGAAAATAGAGGGTCAGATGAGGTGGCTCATGCCTGTAATCCCAGCACCTTAGAGGCTAAGGCAGGAAGATCGCTTGAGGCCAGGAGTTGGAGACCAGCCTTGGCAACAAAGTGAGACTCCATCTCGACAAAACAACCACAACAAAAAATTTTCAAGTTAGGTAGGCGTAGTGGTGCACACCTGTAGTCCCAGCTACTCAGGAGGCTAAAGTGGGAGGATCCGTTGAGCCCAGGAGTTTGAGGCTACAGTGAGCCATGATCACACCACTGCACTCCAGCCTGGGCAGCAGAATGAGACCCTGTATCAAAAACAAACAAACAAAAAGGCAAGCCCATCTTTGAAAGCCAAGATCAGCTCATTCTTCTCCATGATTGCAGTATGCTCAGAAATTCCTTCTGGAGCGCATAAACCTAAAGAGTGAGAATACACGCACTGCACTCTCCCCACCCTGTTGCACTAAGAAGGTCCCTGTGCCACTCAGTGCCTGCAGACCCCTGGGGTGCCATCATATAGCCATCCAGGGAGGGGCTGCCTAGGGCAGAACAGAGGAAGTGAAAAAAGTTCATTGTTCCTTTCCCCACCTGCCAACACACCCTCCTCCACCTCTTCACCTGGAGACCCTCAGACACCATAGAGCTGCCTTCTTCTGCAGCCGTCCCCTCCTGCCCTCATTGACCCTGCTCACCTTGGAGGTGCATGCCTTCTCAGAGTGTAACCGAAGAAGGAAATGTTCAGCACTCGGCTCAGGGGTCAAAGCAAAACCTCAGACCCAAAGCTCCATCTGGAACCCCTAAATCAGAGGCCACAGACACAGAGGTCTTCTCACATGGGAAGAGGTAGTACGTCTTGGTGGTAAAGGCGGTGGGGCTGCATCTGCCACGTCCTAGCTGTGTGGCTTTGGGCAAGTTACGTAGCCTCTCTGTGCCTCAGTTTCTGCACTAGTCAAACAGGGATTATGTAGACCCTGTCTCTTAAAAAAAAAGGTTCAAAGAGTGTCACTGTCAATCTGGGCACCTCCCACTAGCTCACCTCTCCTGCAAAGTCACTGGGCTAGCAAAAGTCCCCACTGGAAGCAGATATGAAACATATCTTACATGTGCAGAGCTCACTGTCCTTCCCAAGAGCTTTCCCTTCTGTTATCCCAGGAAACCCTCGTGGTGACCTTGCAGGCACCTGGGCAGAGAGCCCTCCTTCCCTTCACTGCTGAGCAGGGTTGCCAGATTTAGCAGAAAAAAATCTATTTGTTTTCTAGCTGAAACTCAAATTTAACTGGCTGTTCTAGATTTCATCTGATAACTCCACTGTTAAGGAAACAGAAGCAAAGTTATCTGGGGTCACAAAATCTAGGAGAGCCTGATGTGAGTTTAAGATTCTTTATGCCTGGTCTGGGCTTTGTATCTTGTAAGGCCACAGGTTTACATGTTTCATGATAGCATGTACCTGGCATGATTGCAGCACCTGAGCCTGCAAACGTCTTTGTTTAATTCCCTGCAGCACCACCTTGCATGTAATCAGCTCCATCTGCAAAGTATTTGGCAAAATCAACATTCTTCTCCTTCTGACTTTTTCCACATTGTGCCCAGAGCCACTAGGAGCCTTGTATTAGATTGAACTACATGAAATCACCATTTGGGGGAGATAAAAAATAGTCAAAAGTCAGCGCATTTTGTGTGTGTGTGATTCAACCTAAATGATTGCCCTTGCTTAGGATTTATTTAAAAAGTTTGTCAAAAGTGAACACAAGCCAGGTACAGTGGCATGCACCTGTACACCTAGCTACTCAGGAGGCTGAGGCAGAAGGATCACTTGAGCCCAGCGGTATGAGTCCAGCCTGGAGAATATAGTGAGATCTCATCTCTTAAAATGAAAAGAAGAAAACAAAAAGTGAGCACAGTACGTGCTTTTGTGTCTAGATATTTTAAATCTCTTTCTGCTGACTTCCTTCATACTCTTGTGCTATTTGGTTTAGTTTTCAAGCTGGGAATAAACCCAGCATTGGATGTGGTTCACACTCTTAAGCAGGGGTTTCTTAACCAGACCTTATGAGGGAAATGGAAAGATCAGAACCAGGGCTGCATGGACTTCCTGCTTCTTACAGTTGCAATGAATCATGTAGTCATCTTCGCCACTGTCCAAAGTCAGATCAGCCTCTTTCCTTGCCATTCGAAGCCTCGTGGCCTGACATCGGACATTATGACAGGAAAGGGCCTGGAAATGGCTTACAGTTACCCCCTCCCCTGGTCCCCCATCATGCTCACTATCTAGTTTTCTCTTCTGACTGTCTCAACATTCCTCTTCCACCTGCAGAATTACCTCCGAGTTGCATTTCAGGAGGTCAACAGTGGTTGCACAGGAAAGACCCTCCTTGTGAGACCTTACATCACCACTGAGGATGTGTGTCAGATCTGCGCTGAGAAGTTCAAGGTGGGGGACCCTGAGGAGTACAGCCTCTTTCTCTTCGTTGACGAGACATGGCAGCAGCTGGCAGAGGACACTTACCCTCAAAAAATCAAGGCGGAGCTGCACAGCCGACCACAGCCCCACATCTTCCACTTTGTCTACAAACGCATCAAGAACGATCCTTATGGCATCATTTTCCAGAACGGGGAAGAAGACCTCACCACCTCCTAGAAGACAGGCGGGACTTCCCAGTGGTGCATCCAAAGGGGAGCTGGAAGCCTTGCCTTCCCGCTTCTACATGCTTGAGCTTGAAAAGCAGTCACCTCCTCGGGGACCCCTCAGTGTAGTGACTAAGCCATCCACAGGCCAACTCGGCCAAGGGCAACTTTAGCCACGCAAGGTAGCTGAGGTTTGTGAAACAGTAGGATTCTCTTTTGGCAATGGAGAATTGCATCTGATGGTTCAAGTGTCCTGAGATTGTTTGCTACCTACCCCCAGTCAGGTTCTAGGTTGGCTTACAGGTATGTATATGTGCAGAAGAAACACTTAAGATACAAGTTCTTTTGAATTCAACAGCAGATGCTTGCGATGCAGTGCGTCAGGTGATTCTCACTCCTGTGGATGGCTTCATCCCTGCCTTCCTTCCTTTCTTTTTCCTTTTTTTTTTTTTTTTTTTTTTTTTTACAAAGAGCCTTCATGTTTTTATATATTTCATAGAAATTTTTATAGCAGTTGCAGGTAAACTGTCAGGATTGGTTTTAAAATATTTTTGTAACTTTAAAATATTCTATAATTATGCATGTGATTTTAACATTTAATATTCAAAAATAAATCTCTTGCTGGATTTGAGAGTATTGCATTTTTAAAGTCTCTCTTCTGTAACTGGATGTTTTGGCAACTTTGTGGGGAGAGACTGCTGGATTTCTTAAAGCAACGTATTCCTGACACTGGCCACAGAATGCCTTTGGAAATCGGATGTACTGTTCTCTTGTTCACGTTTAGTGGTGTTTTGCTGTTTTGTTTTTTAAACAAATGATGCTGAGAATAAGGAGAGAAATGAATGTAGAGAGAGGTAGAGAGAGAAATATGAACTCTAACAAAGGACTGAGGAGTGCAGTCTGCTGGTTCAGGCTCTTCAAAAGATGTAGAAAAAGAGATAGAAGGAACCACCTATGCTTAAAATACTGTAAATATGCAGTGAGGTTTGGCAAAATCTATTCCATGTGTGATTTGCTTGTAGAAACAATTTTGAAAGCCCCTTGAGGAAAATAAAAATCAAGAAGAACACTTTTCTCCCTTTTCCATACAAATTAAAACTTAACAGCATCAAATTATTGGGACCAGAAACCAAGTAATGTATAATGTGGCTTTTGTTGAGTTAAATAAGATGCTATATAATGGAGAAGAATTTGAAAATGCACAAAAAAATCAATCTACATTATCAGAACCTGCAGTGAAATTAAACTTATGTTAAATAAAACCAGTTTGCAGGTGCACAAACTATGAGGGTCTTGTATCCACGTAACACAGGTAGTTACAAAAACATGTTATTGTACTGTGTAAAGATGCATAGTCATCTCATTTGGTTGGCTTTGTACCTTGTACCTTTTTTAGCCTTGGCTTTTGTTGAACTAGAACCCTCAGCACATACTGTGTTGTACTTTTGTAAATGATTTTTTAAATGGAATTTTGCACATAATACATTGTAATACTGTATGATAATCATGTGTGAAAATAATTTTTGAAATATCCTTTGGCTGTTTTTTTTTTTCTTTAGAGTAAGAATATATTCATGCACCACGCAGTGTCATGGACAGATGAAATCCGAACCAGGGTTTGTGGTTAGACAATGTATCGTGGGGGTGAGCAGAAAAGCTCACATTTCTCAGAAGCTCCTCCTGATATGGGGCAAAAGTTAAGGAGCAGAAGGAAAAGATCATCCTCCCACCTGAAAGTGTTTTCATTGTTATCTAGTGCTGTACTTGGCTCAGTGGGACTTAGAGCAAATCACAGGTAATTTGAACCCGGAGTTAGCTGGGGTCCTGCAGACAGCCCCACCCTGTCCTCACGTAACCTCTGCAATGCCCTGGGTGACAGTTCAGTGCTGTTGCAAAATTGATAGCGCAGAGGCTTGGACTCCTCGCTGCCATACTCCCCATGCTTGGAAGGGTGCCTGGCATATATTAATAGTAAGTGCTCAATAAATCCTTGCTGGCTGAAGGAAGGAAAACATGAGTTTAGAAGGGTTTCTAACTCATCAGTGGGAGAGATCCGTAAAGATCAGAATGAGAATTGAATGGGCTGCCTGCTTTTGATATTTACAACGGACCAAAAGATGACAGCTCAATCCATATGGTTGTCCTCCCAACTCTTCAAACTAAGATCATCATGCTTTGTTGATTTAAAGCAGGTCACAGCCTCTGGATGCGAGGCAGCCTTGCAGCCTTCGGTGGGACGAGAGCGGGCTCAGAAGAGGAAAAGGTAGCGTGGGCAGAAAGCAACATCACAAGACGGTCCCTGGTTTTGTCATTGGGCAATGTTTCCCCGTTAAAATTACAACACAACATGTGCCTCCACTTTTTCCCCCACGCAGGCATTTCTCACTTCTCAAATTGCCAGGAAACAGACTTGGGTGAAGGTTGGAGGGAATAAGAGGAGAGTAAAAATATACATGCTGGGTGGAGGAAGAGGAGAACGCATTTCCAAATTTAAAAATACATTATAGCTGAGGTGGGAGGATCGCTTGATCCCAGGAGTTTGAGGGTGCGGGGAGCTATGATCCCGCCACTGCGTTGCAGCCTGGACGACAGAGCAACCCTGTCTTCCCCCTACAAAAAAGTAAAAATAAAAACATGTTATAAAAGTTGAACGCCGGCCAAAGGAAGGGATTTTTTTTTTTTTTTATGTTGCATGCGCTGCCAAATACTTTCACTCTAGTACCACCCCCACACCCCCGGGACACAGAATAGAAATAGAAACTGTTGAAGTAGTTCATATTATGTGGAGGTTACAACTTCAGATCTATAAGAAAATACAAAGGACAGGAAACCCAGCTATGAATGCTTCCATTCACAAATGCGGTTCCGTCCTCATTGGGCAGCTGTTACCTTCATCTTCTTTAAGAGACTTGAAATGAGGCAGCGCTCCAATCTTTAACGCCTGCTCATGCCGTCATGCCTGGTCACACCTAGTCACTCCTGGTCTCCTACCAGCAGTCTCAGAGAAACAGAAACAGCACAAGAAGGACTCCGAAGGGCACAGTGTGTGTGGAACACAGGCATTTTAATCATCTGGCAGTATCTGATAGTAAAATTCTAAGTGTCCTCATTTTTTCGGCCCATTTTCATGATGGTGAATTTGAGACCAAAAGTACTTTTTGTCATTTGGTTAACTCTAATTCAGTTGGAAATATGGGAAAGAAATCGCCTAACATTGCAAAATCCTAAATACGTGATAAGGAAAGGAAGGAAAGAAGGCAGAGAGGGGCCAGGCGCGGTGGCTCATGCCTGTAATCCCAGTACTTTGGGAGGCCAAGGTGGGTGAATCACTTGAGGTCAGGAGTTCAAGACTAGCCTGGCCAACATGTGAAACCCCATCTCTACTAAAAATACAAAAATTAGCCGGGCATGGTGGCAGGCACCTGTAATCCCAGCTACTCGGGAAGCTGAGGCAGGAGAATCCCTTGAAGCCAGGAGGCGGAGGTTGCAGAGAGCTGAGATGAGGACACTGCACTCTAGCCTGGGCAATAGAGCAAGACTCAGTCTCAAAAAGAAAAAAAAGAAAAAAAAAGAAGGCAGAGAGGGAGGGAGGAGGAAAACATCTGGCATTTGTCTCAAGAAACAGGTTCTGATTAGAAAAAGATCGATTTTACTCCAACATCAAAAATGGTGGCAGTTGGCACAAACCTTTCCCCCATGAATACTAGCTTTGGAAGAAATGTAGGTATGGGAAGTTAAAAATATATATAATTATTCTGAAAGGTCTGGGCATGTAACCTTTTTTTTTTTTTTTTTTTTTTTGAGACAAGGTGTGACTGTCACTCAGGCTGAAATGAAATGCAGTGGTGCTATCTCGGCTCACTGCAGCCTCAACCTCCTGGGCTCAAGCACAATCCTCCTACCTCGGCCTCCTGACTAGCTAGGACTACAGGTGTGCACCACCATGCCCAGCTAATTTGTGTTTATTTTTTGTAGAGGTGAGGTCTCACTATGTTGCCCAGGCTAGTCTCAAACTCCTGAACTCAAGGGATCTACCCCCCTCAGCTTCCCAAATTTCTGAGAAAGTGTAACCAAGGCCTCCCCTCAGAAGTCTCCCTGGAGAAGCTTCAGTTGGAGTGAGGTGGTTGGGGGTGGAGATGGGGGCAGAGTTTCTTATCTCGAGTCTGCTATAAATTCTCCCATTTAAAAGTAAAATTTGCCTGAACTCTGAGGCTGCATGTAAGACACTTAGACTATCATTACATTAATGAATCTGAGTATTTCCTTTGAGTGCACACATTAGAACTACTACAGCCAGCCCTCATTTCTCACTGCTGGGGAACGGGGGTGGTCAGATCCTGCCACCTGTGGAGAGGGGCTCAGAACCTGAGGACCACGGGTGGCCAGGGAGGAGCTCCTAGACGGCCTTCACCTCTGTAACCAGCCTTCGGTTTCCTGGGGGAAATATCACTACACATAATTAGCTCCATTGCTTCCCTTTCTTCCCATTTCCCCACCATGATTCTGTGGGCTGGGTTTTCCCTCACGTAGTAGGTTTGAGGGTGCTCTTAACTCTATTCCAAGCCTCCTTGCCAAAAAGCAGGCTCTGATCCTTTTCACAGTTTGTTTCTTCAGTTCCAACCAGAGACTCAAAAAGTGTGAACCCGGCCCCACTGCAAACATTACCCGCCCACACTATCTGTCACCAAGACCCAGTGTCCGTTGTTCCATTTGAATAGGTGGCTCTCAGCTTTGGCTGTCAGCTTGAAGTCACCCGGAGCCTTTTAAAACTCCCAATGCCCCAGCTGCCCAGACCATCAGAATCTCTGCAGAGGCGACCCAGCCAGCCATATTTATTTTAAACTTCCAAGGTGCTTCTGCTGTGAAAACTACTAGTTTAGATCAAAATCTGGATTTTAATATAAAAACACACCTGCGAGAAGTAACACCTTTGCCTAACCAAGACCACTGACACCTAACCAAGCATGCATTCTCAACCTGATTTGGCTGGCAGAGGACCATGGAACATGTACTTCTAGCCTGGTGCTATCCCGTAGAAATACGAAGCAAGCCACATAATAGGTAATTTTACATTTACTAGTGGCCACATTTTTAAAAATCAAGAAGAAATATGTAGAATCAATTTTAGTAATTTTATTTAGCTCATGATATCTCAAATATATTTCAACAACCAATCAATTAAAAATATTAAAGAGGCATTTTACATTTTTTTATTTTTTATATTGTCTTCAAAGTCTTGTGTGCATTTTGCACCTACAGCACATCTCATTTCACACTGGCCATGTCTTAAATAACCAATAGCCACATGTGGCTGGTGGCTACCATATTGGAGAGTGCAGTTCTAGCATATCAACTAGGGATGATCTTAAAAGTTAAAAAAAAAAAAACGGTATGTGTATATAAAATAAAACACATTCACAGGTTACATCTACAAAGGAACAGACACATGCATCCTGTCAAACGTATGTACCTATTACTAGCCAAGGATGAAAATAGCATCTTGCCTCTTCAGGCACTGCTGTAAGGCAAACATAAATTGATCCATGCAAAGTGCTTAGAACATCCAGGCACCACACCACAAGCACTGTTAAATGTTACTTATTATGATTATTAGATAATCGACTGCTTTGGCATTTCACCCCTACTGCTTATTTCTGCTTACCCATTCATGCTATTATCTGCTGGCAAGTTTCTTGTGAAACAGAAGAAAGGCAGTAATGGGTATCAAAGGTTTAAGAAAAATGTACTGGGGCGGGTTGCTCAATGTAGGAAGATCAAACATAAAGTGAATACTAGTCATTAATTTTATTTTATTTATTTATTTATTTTTGAGACGGAGTCTCACTCTGTCGCCCAGGCTGGAGTGCAGTGGCACGATCTCGGCTCACTGCAAGCTCCGCCTCCCAGGTTCATGCCATTCTCCTGCCTCAGCCTCCTGAGTAGCTGGGACTGCAGGTGCCCGCCACCATGCCCGGCTAATTTTTTATATTTTTAGTAGAGATGGTGTTTCACCGTGTTAGCCAGGATGGTCTCGATCTCCTGACCTCGTGATCCACCCGCCTTGGCCTCCCAAAGTGCTGGGATTACAGGCGTGAGCCACCGCACCTGGCCTAACTTTATTGTTGTTACTGCTGACGGTGGTGATGGCGGTGATGGTGGTGTGTGCGTGTGAGTTGGGAGTAGCTCATTTTCCCCAGTATTCAATGCTGGTCAAGAGCATCATCAGGGCCCATAGCCAGGGGTGACTTTCGCCAAGAAGGGAGAAGGGAGCAAGGGAGGTTGCAAAGACGTCTTGCTAGCTTCCCAGTCACGGGCAGATCGAAATCCTAAGAGGAACCATCTCTGCCTGCACAAGAGTCTAAAATAGTATTTCCCAAAAAGGAATTATTATTTAAGTAAAAGCATAATTATAGTCAGTGATTATTTTAACCACTTTCCTCCACCTTTTTCCCCTTTTACTTTATTATATTCACGAATTTATATGTCCATTTATATCATTTAACAGGACTATTGTTTAAAACTTGGTGCTTTACCAAGAAGAATACAGAGGTTGACGTGATTAATTCTTTTTATTTCTGATGTGCGTGCTTCCGATTTCTCACCACTTCTACAAATTATGAGAGAATGCATTTATTTACCAGATTGCAGTTTCCGTCCATTTTATCTTTCTCACTCCCATTTTTCTCTGCAGCCTATTGATGTACGATCATATGCAGAAAAGACTTATGCATCTATTATCTACTGAAAGAAAAACTACAGAAAACAATAAAATGCTAGAGACTCTTTAACCAATCAGAAAAAAATACGTAAGTGAAGCAGCTACGACATCACAAAGCTTCTATTTTTCGCTAGCACATGAAAATATGAGACCTGACAAATTGCAAACTCTCATTGAACAGATAGTTTAGGGTTTTGCCTTGAAAACCATAGTCCACGGATCAAGCATCACATCTTTTGGGAGTTTGTGAGAATCTCAGACCCCTGGCAGACCTGCTGGATCAGAATCTGCATTTTAACAAGATTCACGAGCACATTAGAGTTGGCTTGAGAAGCATTAGTTCAAGGTATATTTGGGGCCTTGGCATTTGTGCAGCTGATACAAATACACAAATGTAGGAGGTGTGCTGCTCTTAGAACCCTGCAGGAAAGGAGAAGAAAATAGCTCATAATTGTTTTGCTAAGAGTAAGGCATAACTTCATTTAAAATCACCTACATTATGGACAAAAGGCTTAACAAACAAATGTCAGGAACCAAGTTTTTACCTCATTATATATATTCAATTATGTTCTTCTTGCTTTGACAGGGAAAAGGGGCTTGAAGGGCGTGGGGAAAAGATTCTGAAAATTAGGTGGGATTGCTGAAGTCAAACTTAATGATTTTGCTGAGTTTGCTGGAGAGTGGCTTCTCTCACCTCCAACATCTGTATGAGGGCAAACAGGAGCAGCGGAGGGGGATCTCTCTGTCCGGGCCAGCTGCTTGCACATGCATGTGTGTGCACGCACGGATGTCGTCATGTAGTCTGCACAATTAGTCACATTGTCTGCATGTGACATGGGAAGTTTATAAGCTTTTTTATTTTCTTAAAGAACAGCTGGTCCGGCCACAGTGGCTCACGCCTGTAATCCCAGCACTTTGGGAGGCCGAGGTGGGCAGATCACCTGAGGTCGGGAGTTTGAGACCAGCCTGACCAACATGGAGAAACCCCATCTCTACTAGAAATACAAAATTAGCCAGGTGTGGTGGCGCACGCCTGTAATCCCAGCTACTCAGGAGGCTGAGGCAGGAGAATGGCTTGAACCCAGGAAGGGAAGGTTGTGATGAGCCGAGACTGTGTCGTTGCACTCCAGCCTGGGCAACAAGAGTGAAACTCTGTCTCAAAAAAAAGAAGAAGAAGAACAGCCAACTTCCTTTTAAAGGCATTTCATTCCCTGAGAATCTACTAATCATAAGACCCTTTTACTCACCAACTTCGAAAAACAAAGATGTGTTTAATAAAACCTCTTCGGTGAGCAAGGAGTGGATGATTTAAAACATCGCTGGAAAAAGCTCCTGTGGAATCCCCAGCAGACAATTTCAAAGGGAAAGTATGGTGAATTTCGCAGAACTCTTTCATTTCTCCAGGTAACCATTGTGGACAATCCTGAGCCCTCATTTGTTTTTCCAGATGACACTGGTTTACTCACATGATTTTGCCTTATGTTTTTCAAGGGGAAGGAGGATTTTAAAAGAATAAACACAATACATGGTTTTCAAAATCAAATATTGGAAGACTTGCAATGGAAGGCAGCAGCCCCTGAGCCTCCTCCCAATCCCATTTCTGTTATCTCCTCCCCTAAACTACGTCTCCAGCTGTGTATTCATTATTTATCTCCATACTTCTAAAAAGATGCTGATACTGCTGCTTATTGGTTTCTTTTTCTTTTCTTTCTTTCTTTTTTTTTTTTTTGGAGACAGAGTCTCACTCTGTCCCCCAGGCTGGAGTGCAGCGGCACGATCTCAGCTAACTGCAAACCACCTCCCAGGTTCAAGCAATTCTCCTGCCTCAGCCTCCTGAGTAGCTGGGATTACAGGCATGTGCCACCACACCCGGCTAATTTTTATATTTTTAGTAGAGAAGGGGTTTCACCATGTTGGCCAGGCTAGTCTTGAACTCCTGACCTGAAGTAATTCACCCACCTCTGCCTCCCAAAGTGCTGGGATTACAGGCGTGAGCTACCATGCCCGGCCTCTTTTTCAATATTAGACATTAATAATTGATTCCATATCATGGAAGGTGAGGATTGAACCTTCTTGTATGGTGGTCCTCTCCTTAGGGTGACCATGTAGCAGCCTGGTCATATGTCAATGCCTGTGGGGCTTTTCTCCTGGGTCAGGTGGTTTCCCCACAAGAAAATTCTCCAGTATCCTACGGGCGCCGGGTGCAAAGTGGGGTTAAATTTTGTTGCCAGCGTTCTAGGAGCTAAGCAGGCAAGGAGCCTGTGGGTTTTCAGCTTTCCGTCTGCCAGCTTTCACCTCCTCCCATTTCCAATGCAGTGTCTCAACGTCACTTTTCGCTGCCTGTGCTCTGACGGCTCAGGGACATGGCTTCTGGGTCTCTCCAGGAGTGAGGCGCTCATCTTCTCCCTTCACTCACACCTGCCAGAGCTCATTCCTGAGCCCGCTCAGACGCTGCATAGGGAATCGATTGCCTTGCTTCCTGCTGGCTTTTCCGCCTGACATTGGTTAACATCTAGCTTTCTCCTGTCTGCTGAGTTTTCAAGCCCGCAAAATTTTGTTACCAGTTCCCATTGGCTGCTGTCTCCTCTTCCATTCTTTTTGTTCCTATGGATGTATGCCCTTTTAAAAATTCCTTTTTAAATTTTCTTTAATTCTCATTTTAGTGAGGTATTGGTAGGGGAAAGATAGGTAATGCAGCCTGCCTTGTTTAATTGAAACCTGTAGTTTTAATAAGAAAAAAAATAAATAATAAAATAATAAAGAAAGAAACCTGTAGTTTTACATTTGAATGGTGAATGAACTTATACATCCTAGTTAGCAAAACTGAAAATAGATTATTACAATGATAGGCCAGAGTCAATGCATCTATCTTATCCAGTTATTATTTTATATAAAAAATTTCTTATATGAAGTCATCCAAACATCCAAGCTGTTTAATTGTAAAGTATGCTGCCTAGGATATATCAAAATATATATTTACTGTGCACTTTGTCCTTTCCATATAATCTGAAAGAAAAGAAACAGAGCAACAACAGATGAACCATCAAGCTGTTTGCTTGTTTTCAATGTGGAATTTTGCAATGATGGATGTGAATCTGGGTCAGCACTGTTTACAGAGAGCACATGGTGTTTTGTTTCAATGAGCAGGAAAATGTTTGCCATTAAATGTGGTAAAAGCTTGTAGTTTTTTCCAACTAAGCAGTAAAAGAAATTACTCTGTGTAGAATGATAAATAAAGAGTTCTATGAGTCATCTTTAATGTAGGGGAAAATGTGCAGCCGGGATAGAAACAGTGTTTTACTGCCGGCTAAAAATAAAATCAAATGCACTGAAACAGAAGTCAATAACAGCATGTCCTAGAAGCCCAAGTAACTGTGGGGTTTAACGTAGTTCATGCTTTTCAAATATACTTCTTAAAATGATGGTGACAAAAATGGAAAGACTATGCTGATCCTTCCTTCTTTCCTTCCTTCCTTCCTTCTGTCCCCTCCCCTCCCCTCCCACCATTATTTATCTCCATACTTCTAAAAATATGCTGATACTGCTGCTTATTGGTTTCTTTTCCTTTTTCTTTTCTTTTTTCTTTTTTTGAGACGGTGTCTCACTGTGTTGCCCAGGCTAGAGTGCAGTGGCACAATCTCAGCTTTCCTTCTCCCTTTCTCCCCTCCCCTCTCTTCCCTTCCCTTCCTTTCTTTTTTAAAAACACCATGCTGGAGTGCAGTGGTGCAATCATGGCTCACTGGAGCCTCAAACTCCTGGGTTCAAGGGATCCCCCTGGCCTTACCCTCCTAAGTAGCTGGGACTACAGACACATACCACCATGCCTGGCTATTTCTTCTTCTTTTCCTTCTCCTTCTCCTTCTTCTTCTTCTTCCTTTTTTTTTTTTTTTTTTTTGTTTTTGTTTTTTTGTAAAGATGGGGTCTCGCTTTGTTGCCCAGGCTGGTCTCCAACTCCTCAAGCAGTCCTCCCACCATAGCCTCCCAAAGTGCTGGTGATTCTTCTGTTTAAAGTCAGATTTATTAAGGTATAAGTTTGATAAAGTAAAATTGACTCATATTAGTACACATTTGATGTATTTTGACAGACTCATTTGGTCATGTAGCCACCACCATGATCAGTCCCAGCCTGGGCAAACATTGGTCTGTTTTCTTCTGTTCCTATAATTCTGCCCTTTCAGAATGTCATATAAATGGCTGGGCACATTCACTCATGCCTGTAATCCCAGCATTTTGGAAGACTGAGGTGGATGGATCACCTGAGGCCAGGAGTTTGAGACCAGCCTAGGCAATATGTCAAAACCCCATCTCTACTAAAAATATAAAAATTAGCCAGGTGTGGTGGTACACACCTATAGCCCCAGCTACTCGGGAGGCTGAGGCAGGAGAATCGCTTGAACCTGGGAGGTGGAGGTTGCAGTGAGCCGAGATGGTGCCACTTCACTCCAGCCTGGGCAACAGAGTGAGACCCTGTCTCAAAAAAAAAAAAAAAAAAAAAAAAAGAATGTCCATGTAAATGGAATCACAGGGTACACAGACTTTTGATTCCGGCTTAAATATTCATACAGATGTTTTGATAAAAACGTAACTTTTCGTTTCCCTGGGGTAAATGCCCAGGAATGCAATTGCTGGGTTAAGTGATAGTTGCATGTTTGCATGTTCAATTTGTAAAGAAACTACCAAACTGTTTTCCAGAGGGGCTGCACCATTTTATATTCCCATCAGCTATGTATGAGTGATTCTGTTTTGAAGTTTTTAGTACATTTCAGTGTTAAACTGCTGAAATTGTCAGATTCACTAGGTTTAAAACACATGCACTGTTAAAAATGTTTTATTTCTGAAAGTGTTATAATTATATTTCTAGAAATGTTATAATTAGACTCCAGCATAAATTAAGTCGCTGATACAAGGGGGAAAAAAACTCATGCTGGCCTTATTCTTCTCCCCCAGAAACTTTAAACACCAGAAAACAATGGAGTAATGATGTTTACAAAATCTTGGAGGAGAGAACATGGGATCCAGGAATATCCAGCCAATATTCCACTTGAGCATCCTAAGAGACAAGGGCGCTCTGTGAATAGAGCACCAGCACCATGAGCCCGAGGAAAAACAAAGCACAGCAAAGTCAAACAAACAAAAGCTCAGCAGAGAAACCCAGCCAACCCATACATGCATCAGAATGAAGAATGGAAAGGGAAAAGCTGTAAGAAGAAACAGGAATGACAATTACATCCACTCAATCATAGACTTAAAACCAAACAACTAGGTGATATATAGTTGAAAAACTGATGTGGCTTTATAGAGAATGGTGGCACACGCCTATAGTCCCAGCTACTCAGGAGCTGAGGCACGAGAATCGCTTGAACTTGGGAGGTGGAGGTTGCAGTGAGCTGAGATGGTGCCACTTCACTACAGCCTGGGCAACAGAGAGAGACCCTCTCTCAAAAAAAAAAAAAAAAAGAAAGAAAGAAAAAGAAAGAAAGAAAAAGACCAGTCACGGTGGCTCACGCCTGTAATCCCAGCACTCCGGGAGGCCAAGGCTGGTGGATCACAAGGTCAGGAGTTCAAGACCAGCTTGGCCAAGATGGTGAAACCCCGTCTCTACTAAAAATGCAAAAAAAGTAGCCAGGCATAGTGGCGGGCACCTGTAATCCCAGCTACTAAGGAGGCTGAGGCAGAGAATCGCTTGAACTCAGGAGGCGGAGGTTGCAGTGAGCTGGGATCACACCACTGCACTCCAGCCTGGGCGACAGAGCAAGACTCTGTCTCAAAAAAAAAAAAAGGCCTCGTGTGGTGGTGCACACCTATAGTTCCAGCTACTCAGGAGGCGGAGGCAGGAGAATCCCTTGAACCCAGGAGGCAGAGGTTCCACTGAGCTGAGATCTTGCCAGCGCTCCAGCCTGGGAGACAGAGCGAGACCCTGTCTCAAAAAAGCAAAAAAACAAAAAACAAAACAACACAAAAAAAGAGTAAATAGTGCCCTAAATTGAAATTTCTATTAAAAAATCTGATTTTGACCATTAATTATCCTCATTAGGAGATTGAAATTACATTTAATACATATATAAGATAATACTATACATATCTTAAACTTTACAGGAAACTTTTAGGAGCTTTTATTTTGTGCTGCTCAGCAATCTCTTTATTTTCATATTTATTTATTTATTTATTCTTTGTATTATTTTTTAATTTTTTGAGACAGAGTCTTGCTCTGTCACCCAGGCTAGAGTGCAGTGGTACAGTCTCGGCTCACTGCAACCTCTGCCTCCCGGGTTCAAGCGATTCTCCTGCCTCAGCCTGACAAGTAGCTGGGATTACAGGCGCCCGCCACCATGCCTGGCTAAATTTTTTTTGTATTTTTAGTAGAGATGGGATTTCACCATGTTGGCCAGGCTGGTCTCAAACTCCTGACCTTATGATCCACCCGCCTCGGCCTCCCAAAGCATTGGGATTACAGGTGTGAGCCACCGCGCCCAGCCTATTTATTTATTTATTTATTTATTGACATGGAGTCTCCCTCTGTCGCCCAGGCTGGAGTGCAGTGGTGCAATCTCAGCAAACTGCAACCTCTGCCTCCTGGGTTCAAGCGATTCTTCTGCCTCAGCCTTCCGAGTAGCTGAGATTACAGGTGCCCACCACCACGCCCGGCTAATTTTTGTATTTTTAGTAGAGATGGGGTTTCACCGTGTTGGCCAGGCTGGTCTCAAACTCCTGAACTCAGGTGAACCACCTGCCTCGGCCTCCCAAAGTGCTGGGATTACAGGCGTGACTCACCGCGCCTGGCACTCTTTCATTTTCATTTGATTTGTTTTTCTTCTGTTAAATTCAAGAAAAAAGTCAAGTACAGTAATACCTTATACTTCATAATCTATTAACATATATAATTAGAATCCCTTTTAAGTAAAAGTCTCTTTCTCACTCCCCTTAATCTACATAGAGAGATGACTGAAATTATCTGAGAGTTAACATGGTTTATTCCCAGGTGGCAAAATTTTCAATGATTTGTTGCTTTATTCTTTGTACATTTCCACAAGTCTTTGATTTCTTAATAATGTGCATATATCCTTTTTATTAAAAAGTCTTTAAGAATGTAAATAGCCCTAAAAGGTATTTTTAAAACCCATAAAACAAGTGTGTCAACATGTAGACTTTTCTGGTTGAAGCAAGACAATAAGAGGAAAGGGAGGCGGCTTCCAAAGCCCCACCCATCTCCTCTAAGCTGCTCATCGGGGACTATGAGCAAACATCACCCCTCCAGAGCCATTTGTGCTAAGGTCTATGATTGAGGGCTGTGCCTCTCCTAACTCTACATCTCCAGATTCTGATCCTTCAAAATGCAAGATACTTAATTTCATTATTTTTCTTAACAAACACTTATATGGCACTTAAAATGTGGCAAGCACTGTTATAACTGCTTTACAAATATTAACTCATGTAATCTTCATAATAATCCAATGAAGTAGGTGCTATGATTATGCACCTTTTACAGAAACTGAGGCAAAGAGAGGTGAAATACCTTTGTTGAGAATGTGAATACCCTCTTTGTAAACTACCAAGGATGACATTATCTTCTGGGTAACCTGTGTGCCACTTTTTCACTCAGCTATTTAATCAATATTTGCTAGGCACTTACTGGCCACCCTTCGAGATGCTAATTCATAGGAGGCAATCAGCAATGGAAACTGATAACAGTTTAAAAATAAGTAGACAAACAGGAGAGAAGGGAGAACCAGCTGGTGAATATCCAGGATATTCTCTGTACTGCCCTGCACGTTCCCCTGACCCCATGTGTTGGAATGGCCACGTAGCTATAGGATATTTCTGATCTGTGCCTCAAAATCGGAATAATAATTCGTATCGGTGCTTGCAAACTGCTGGCCTACAGCATCCAGTTTCTGCAGGGTTCCAATGCTACCTTTGTGTTAAACCCACAGTGTTTTTTTCTAAAAATCAAAATCATGTTTATTCCACCATTACCTAGATACAAACATAAAGTAGCTATAAACTTCTAATGTTTATAATACCAATGAATCAGAGCCAAAAATATTATAAAAACCTTCACTACTTCATAAGGAACAAAATTCAAATCAACATTAGTTCATGTCACACACAAAAAATTATGAAACACTTTGAAATGGCCAGAAAAAGATTACTGTTTAGTACACGTTTCCAGGTTTTCTCTGCTTTTTATTGTCTTTGACAATACAAAATTTTACAAATTTGTAAGCTGAGGAAAATTGATAGTAATGAAAATTTTTCTTGTCCATAAAATACAAATGCATAGTGTTATACAGTGCCCAGGAGAGACAGTGATTACAGCTCTGTGGATATTGACCAGTTTAACACTCATGTGTAAATACATTTCAGCATTCCTGCTTGCTTTATGTATTTTATCTCTCTTTATCTTATCTTTTTGAGACAGGGTCTTGGTGTGTCACCCAGGCTGGAGTGCAGTGGTGCAATCATGTCTCAGAGCAACCTCTACCTCCCGGGCTCAAATGATCCTCCCACCTCAGCCTCCCAAGTAGCTGGGATTACAGGTGTGAGCCACTGTGTCTGGTCTGAATAAAGGAATTTTTAACTTTTAATTTTAACTACTTTAAATTTAAAAACTGATGTTTGGTTCAGCGATTTGAAAACAGTATATTTGGAACCGCTTGGATATGAGAATCTGCTTTTTAACCATACATTGATGAAATCTAAATAGAGAACAAGCATTTCCGATGACAGCTGCTCTCTCAGATTGAAATGCACTGCAAATGTAAAATACACACCGGATTTCAAAGTCTTTGCAAAAAAGAATGTAACATATCACATTCCTTTTTTTATTGATTGATTACATGTTGAGTATTGATTGGTTACATGTTGAAATGATATTTCGGGTATAATAAAGTGGGGTCAGGGAAAAATATTTTTCCCAAATAGGAAAAATAAATGGGTAAAATAAAGCGTACTATCAAAATCAATTTTACATTTCGTTTTGCTTTTATTTATTTATTATTTATTTTTGAGACCAAGTCTAGCTCTGTCGCCCAGGCTGGAGTGCAGTGGCGAGATCTCGGCTCACTGCAACCTCCGCCTCCTGGGTTCAAGCGATTCTCCTGCCTCAGCCTCCAAGTAGCTGGGATTAGAGGCGCGTGCCACCACGCCCAGCTAATTTTTATTTCTTTCCTTTTTTTTTTTTTTTTAGTAGAGAGGGGGTTTCGCCATGTTGGCCAGGTTGGTCTCGAACTGCTGAACTCAAGTGATCTGCCCGCCTTGGCCTCCCAGTGTTGGGATTACAGGCGTGAGCCACCGCGCCCGGCCTTCTTTTTGTTTTTAAACGTGGTATTGACATTTTAAGATGACATCTGCAACTCGCAACACTGGGACAAGGGATTCTGGGTCATAAATTCTCCCATTCCTCATTTACTCTGCAGCACCGGGTGGCTGCGAACTCCGCTCTTCTGCTTGGGTTTCCGCATCACCAGCAGCTTCTTTCCTTCCCAGGTGTCGCCGCCTGCTTTCTGCAGCCGCTGCCTGGGAGGGGTTCCGAGGTTCTGGGCAGCCACAGCCCCGGAGGCCTTACAGGAGCGACCTGGCAATTCCCGCCGCCGGCCGCCAGAGGAAGCTGCTTTGCTGCTGTCGTTGCCCAGCAACTCGTAGCCCGGAAGCAGTACCCCGTCTCGCTCGGTTCCGCGGCGGCCACGCTCCGGGAGACTTCCGGCAGGGCGGGCGCGGGGTCTTGGCGAACGGTCTTCGGAAGCGGCGGCGGCGCGATGACCACGCTACGGGCCTTTACCTGCGACGACCTGTTCCGCTTCAACAACATGTGAGTGACACGCGCCTAGGGCCAGCCGCTCTTGGCCGGGCCTCGCTTCCCGGCCCCGCCAGCTCCGGCCCCAGCCGCGCCTTCCCGGCCGGACCCCAAGCCCGGACGGGGACCCGCGAGAACCACCCCCCGCCGGCCAACGTGGGCGCCTCCCTGGGGCCACAGGGTCCAGGGAGAGGTGGGCCTGGAGTCGACGCACGCCGGCCTTGGCGACCTTGGCCGAGGTGCTCAAACTTTGTCTCTGGACCCTGCGAGCTGGCAGGTTCTGGGGCAGCGCTCGGGCCTCCGCTCGTGGTCGCTGTCAGGAGGCGCTGGGGTGATGGGGCGAGCTGGAGACGCGGCCTGGAGCCCACGACCTGGGCTTCTCGCCCTGCCCTACTGCTTGCTGGTTCGTGGCCGGGCCGCGCCTCTTCTGGGCAGAGGGCACCGCCGACGGCCAGGCCGCAGAGGGGGCTTGCGAGGATCGGAAGCTGGTCAGCAGCTGTTGGGATGTGTACATCGTGAAGCCCACCTGGTGGCCGTGGTTAAATTGTATCCAAATGAAATGACACTGATCACTGCGTCCCCTGCAGCAGATGCTGTCTCAGTCATGGTTAGTGTTTGCAAGTTTAGTTACTGTAGCTGCGCACCCCGGTGTACACACCTTTCCTCTGTGAGGAGTCACGGCAGATCTTAGGGGAGGCTCGCTGTGCCCAGAGCCCTGGATGCAGTTTCTTTGGATTCGAGTTAAGGCCAGACCTCTGATTTGCAGGTACCAATTTTTTTTTTTTAAGAAAACATTTTATTATGAAGATTCCCACACATTTAGAAAAGTTGGAGGAATTTCACCATGTGCTTTTATAGACACTTTTCCTGGATTCTGCAGTTAACATTTTGCTACGCTGGTATCTCTCCTTCCTTCCCATCTATCAGTCCTGGATCCACTTTAAAAAAACAACAGGGCGGTATGTGAAAACTAAGGACAAAGTGGTTCCGATTCAAGTGTCAGGAAGATGGAAAGAACTATGGGATAAGATGGCTGGGAACATTTCAAAGAGGGGGTGAGCCTTGAAGATGGATAACACATTGGTAAGTGAGGAAGACGGAAGTTCCGGAGAAGGAGCGGGGCATGAAAATGGGGAAACTTGAAGTGCGGTCAGACAACTGGGATCAGTGCGAATCTAGTGGCTGGTTTCTGCCACTGAGCAGTCAGGAAGAAATGGGTGAAACAGGAGGGGTTTAGACTTGATCCTGTGGAAAGAATTTTCTGTTGGGCCAGTCTGGTAGCTACGGTGACTTGTGTTGAACTCACTGTTCCCTGCATTGTTCTGAGTGCCCACGTAATAATCCAGTTAATCCTCACGATTCTTTGAGGTGCTGTCACCCCCATTTTGTGTATGAGTAAACCAAGGCATGGCAAGCACAAGTGAATTGGCCCAGGTGAGAATGAGTAAAGCGAGGAACTTCATCCAAGGATATTGGCTCTGGAGCAGTGGTTCTGAAAGACTTGGTGCCTGTGGTCAGGGGACCATGTTAGAAACGCACATTCCGTTTGCGATCCACTGCTCTGGAGTGGGTCTTAACCCACCTGGAGCCTCTGGAGAGGCTCACCCTCTCTTTAAAGTGTTCCCAGCCATCTCATCCCATAGTCCTTTCTATCCTCCTGACCCTTGAATCGGAACCACTTGGTTTTTCGTTTTCACTTACTGCCCTGTTGTTTTTAAAAGTGGATCTAGGATTGATAGGTGGGCAGAGAGAAATGATGAAGCCAGTGTAGCAAAGTGTTCACTGTAGAATCCAGGTGATGGATTCAAATTCTTAACCACTGAGCTCTGTGGGCTGTCATGTGATGACAGCAGGTAAACTGGGCAGGTAAGCCATTCAGGAGGCCTTGGCAGTGGCCCAGAGACGATGACTTGACAGAGGCTTCAGTTTGGGAGGTGCAGCATGGGAGGTGACAGGGTGCCTTGAAGCTTCAAGAAAAGGCAGAGCCTCATGGAGAATCAGTTTTAACTGAAGATCTAGGAAAGGACAACAGTTTTACATGGAAATGAATAGAAAGAAAATACACAGGAACACTTGCAAGAAAATATTAGATTTCAGAGAATCATGTGGCCTCTTCAGAAGGTGCCAGTAGGGGAACTCCACTTATTCCCCATTTTCTTTTATTTTTTGAGACAGGGTCTCGCTCTGTTGCCCAGACAGGAGTGCAGTGGCACAATCCTAGGTCGCTTTAGTCTCAAGCTCCCAGGCCCAGGCAATCCTCCTGCCTCAGCCTCCCGAGTAGTTGGGACTACAGGCACGTGCTGCCACACCCCACTAATTTTTAAATTTTTTTGTGGAGACAGGGTCTTGTTTTGTTACCCGGGCTGGTCTGGAACTCCCAGGCTCAAGTGATTCTCCCACCTAATCCTTCCAAAGTGCTGGAATTACAAGTGTGAGCCACCACACCTGGTTCCCATTTTTTTGTATTTACTTGCCTCTTTGATTAGGGCATTTTGGTAGAAAACTCTGAGAATGACTCAGATTAGATGATGCAGTTGGAATTGAAATAATCCATGGATGTAGAACACTGCAATTAATTTAACACATATTTTATTCTTGGAAAAATATTTGAGTGCCTACTGTGTGCCAGTTCTAGAGACACAGCAGTGAACAAGACATAAACAAAAAGGTGTCTTTATAGAATGTAGATTTTCCCCTCTAAACACCTTAATGTATCATAAAGTAGCTGTGACTTCATAGAACACCTGAAACAATTTTGGGGACCCCCTCAAATCCTGGCCCACACCTTGGGAATCACAGTGCGGGGAGTCATGTGGAACTTAGTGTTCAGTTACAAAGGAAAATAGAAGCAGGGAAGGAAAGCTGGAAGTGAGTGGGGATTCAGCTTTAGTTTGGGGGTTCAGGGAGACTGCCCTTGAAGAAAGACCTGGGGAAGTTAGGAATGAGTTACATGAACACTGGGGGCCAGGGGAGCTTCCAGATAGAGGGAACAGTAAGTGAAGACACCCCTGTTTCAAATAGGAGGCAGGCCGCATGGCTGGTACAGAGTGAGCATGGGAGGGTAAGGGGATAACAGCAGAGAGTTAGAAGGGCAGGGCCTGGAGAGGCCATCATAAGACCTGAACTTCTCTGCCAAGTGCACCAAGAAACCCAGGTGGAGGGGCCAGGAAGGCATCTGGGCATGGGCGTCTCAAGATTAGGTCTGAGCTAAAGATGGAAATTTGGGGGTCAGCACAAGTGTAGAAAAAAAGGCTAAGAGTTTGTAAGATGGCGCCTTAGGGCATCAAGTGTTCAAGTAAAGGAGACCGTGTGGCTCAGTGAGGTGAGAGGAGAACCCCATGGTCTCAGAAGCTGAGTGAAGACAGCATTTCAGGCTGTCCCAGGAGTGGGAAGCTGTTCAAGAGGAGCTGATGGCTCAGTGCACATCATATTTGTACATTTCTTCCAGGAAAGAGAAATTGAAGATGCAGATGCAGGAGGGAAAGAGAATTGCAGGAGGAGGGTCCCGAGTACTGAGGGGGTCTCTCGCCCGCACTCCGTGCCTATTGACAGGAGAGCAAGTAGCATATGGGTGCAGATGCCTGTGTGCGTGGGTTCGGTGGGCGGGGGGGGGGGGGGACTTTGGCAAAGACTTCTTCCTGTTTTCTCTTCTTAGTGATGAAATAGGAAGCCCCTGAGATGGCGGGGCTGGAGGTGAGGGTGCGGGTGGGCAGACAAGAGGAGATAAAGCAGTTCAGTCGTCGAAAGGTGTGGTGGAGTGACTCCCTGCACTGTATTAGAGCAGTGATTCTCAAGGAGTGGGCCAGGGTTTGGGGTCCCCAAGATTGTTTCAGGTGTTGTGTGAGGTTAGAGCTATCTTCATGATGTATTAAGAAGGTTTTTCATCTTTTCCACTGTCATTCCCTCACAAGTAGACAGTGGAGCTTCCCAAGGTGTGATCTTTCAGCAGCAAGCATAACAAATGCTTGAGAATCCCGTTGTCTTTTAAGCAGGACGTTGCAGAATTGTTAAAACAATGCCATTGTTGTCACTGGATTTTGTTTTGTTTTGTTTTCGGAAGTATAGTGATTTTTTTGGTAAAGGTATTTGTGTTAACGTGTAATTGATTTATTATTTTTGAGTGAATATTTAAAATTTTTAAATCTCAGTAGATATTACGCGTATAAACAAAAGTTCTTTGGAGTCTTCAGTAACTTTTTAGCGTAAAGGAGTTCTGAAACCAAACAGTTTAAGAACTGCTGGACTACAGAAATATGATATGACTAGCATTGTTATGGGTCTCAAAGGAGAATTTGACTAGAAATCAGAAGAGAACAGTTGAAAAGTAGCTGGTTTTGAACCTGA
The DNA here is from genome assembly GCF_000001405.40 of Homo sapiens. Classification (NCBI taxonomy): domain Eukaryota; kingdom Metazoa; phylum Chordata; class Mammalia; order Primates; family Hominidae; genus Homo; species Homo sapiens. The sequence continues at coordinate 20,021,779 of NC_000020.11, forward strand.
CAAAATAGTGGCTCCATTAATTGACTAGGGAAGTGAGGGGATGGAGATGGGTTTTCAGAATGCAGATTTGGGAATGGTGTGCTGGGATGTGCTGGTGAGCTGCCCACAGCATCGGAGCCAGGTTGGGAGGCATCCACTAAGAACACGTGATTGAACACATAGGAATGGGGATGGTGGGGACAGGGAGGTGGGAGTGTAGAATAGGAGTGGGGAGCAAAAACCGAGTGGTGGGAGTGACCACATTTAGAGGGTGGAATAAAGGAGCAATTGTCAGGGAAGACCCAGACACAGGCGGGGAGGATCCATGGGGTTGGATGCTGCAGCGGGCGAGTTTGACCTTCTGTCTCTGCGAGATACATCCCTAGTTGGTCTCCAGTTCCATTAGCAATTTATTGCCACTTAGAAAACACAAGATGTAGATTTATTAACTTGAATTTTAAAGAAGCAAGTAGCAGTTAAGTGAAAAAATATGTAAACACCTTAATAGTGGCTGTGACAGCTTATTATGGCTATTAGGTAGATTAAATCATCTGCCTCAGCCCTAAAGTTGGCCTTAAAGTTGTTGATGAAACATGTTTTGTTTTCCTTGTGGCATATTACTGTTAGCTTTAGCAGGCTTATTTCAACTGGTTATTGTAAACGCTGCTTACTAGAGACATTTCTCTTGTTTCTTTCAGTAACTTGGATCCACTTACAGAAACTGTATCCTTTTTTACAAAAAAAAAAAAGTTGAATGAAGATTTACTGAGAATAAAGAAAACAGAAATGAAAGGAAAACAGAGGAGTACTGAAAAGTTTAAAAACTTGTAGGTCAGGAAACATCATAAGCAACACTGAAAGCAATTTTAAAAAGTGAAACTGAGAACAAGAGTTGTCTTAGATCTGCTGACAAACTGTTAATATCATGACTTGGTAGAAATCTGTAACATCATAGCTCCCCTGCCAACCTTGCCCCTCAGGAGTCAGCATGGCTGTATTCACCAGAAAGCACAGTGACTTCAGCAAGGTGGCTGCATAGTCTCCAGTGTGAACAAAGTCTGGAGATAAGCAGTCCCAGGCAGGTGATGCTTCCATGAAGACACCAACAGCCAGGCTCTTTGCAGTTTAAGCACTCTACCCCTCCCAGGGTGGCCGTAACCTTGTTCCAGATGTTGCCACAGCAAACAGCATCACAGCCATGTTTCCGGCAGCAGAAACAGCAGAGGGGGAGGTGAGGGTGTTCTTCCCTTTTAAGAGTACCTTTGGGCCTGTACTCCCAGCACTTTGGGGGGCCAAGGCAGGCAGATCACGAGGTCAGGCGTTCAAGACCAGCCTGGCCAACATGGTGAAACCCCGTCCGTCTCTAGTAAAAATACAAGAACTAGCCAGCCGTGGTGGCTCACTCCGTAATCCCAGCTACTTAGGAGGCTGAGGCAGGAGAATCGCTTGAACCAGGACCCGGGAGGCAGAGGTTGCAGTGAGCCGAGGTTGCAGTGAGCCGAGATCGCGCCACTGCACTCCAGCCTGGGCTACATGTAGAGCGAGACTCCGTCTCAAAAAAAAAAAAAAAAGGAGAGTACCTTTGGGAAATGCCACACAGGCCCGCTCTGTCTCATTGACCAGCACCTGTTTCATGCTTCACCTGTCTACTGAATCCTATCTAGAGTCCAGAAATGTGCCCTGCTTTATAAATTGGGACTTGTTACTAAAGTGAAGGCTTTGAGGTAACAATGAACAGTGTCTATTATTGTCCTAATGGAAAAATGGGGCAAAGATGTGAAGATAGGATACTGTGGTTATGCTGCTGTAACAGATAACCCCACATCTCTAGTGGCTTACAACACAAAGTTCGGATTCTGTGTTATGCTCTGTATCTACTGTAGGTGGGTAGGAGGGTTCTGCTAACCGGTAATTTATCAAAAGAGGGCATATAGGAGCTTAATGAACGTGTTAAGAGTTCAGTCTCATCAGTCAAAAGACATGTAAACTAAAACCAAAATGAGATGCCATATTTTATGTATCAGCCAAGATTTTAAAAAATGATAAACCTCAGTGCTGATGATGGTGAGGTGAGAGGAACATTCTCATAAATTGCTAGTGACAATATAAATTGCTATTATCTTTCCAGAAGGCACTTTGGAAATAGTAATTCCATTTCCTGAAAGCTGAAAATAAGAAGAAATAGAGGCAGTTTGTCAGTGGTTGACAAAATAAGGCCCATAGGCCAAATCTGGCCCACTGCCTGTTTTTGTAAATAAAATGTTATTGGGACACCACGCTGATTAATTTATATTTTTTTCTGTGGCTTTTGCAGTTTGAGTAGTTCAGCAGGGACTGTATGGCCCACAAAGCCTAGGATGTTAACTATTTGGCCTTTTACAGAAAAAGTTTGCTAACCCCTGAGTTATACCATTACAAACATTATTTATTGCAGGAGAGTTACTAAGCATTTGGAATAAGATTCACACACAACAATCAGGAGATGGTTAAGTAAATTAAGCTGTACTGAAGAAGGATTTCAAACATTTTTTTGAGAAACAGGAAATGACCCAGGTGTCCATTGTCAGGATACAGGCTATTTAAGGTGTCTCTTCACATAAAGAAATACTATACAGCAGTAAAAATTAACTTACAGGTGCAGGCAGCAACAGGACTACATATCAGAAACAAAACTGAATGGGAAAAGCAAAAAATCTCTGCAGGTTCATCTGGATTTTTTAAATTACGACTAATGATATCACCACTTTTAAGATTTTTGAAGAATTTTGAATGACAAAAGTTTCACTATATAGGAAGGAAGGATTTTAGGATGCAAATCCGTTTATATGGTGTGCTTCCAGTGACATTTAAAATTTGCAGTGAAAGTCCCATAATCCAGGTGAGCCTATATTTGAAAGTAACCTGTTAGGTCCTAGAGGTCGATGGGAGGGAGGGGTGTCTGGGACTCCTCTGTTAGCCACAGAAGAGATGGTTGTGGTATATGTCAGTGGCTGGCTGGCAGGAAGACTGGCTGTCCTGCCATGTTAAGGGTTGTATTTGAGGGGTATTCAAAATAATGATGGTCCTTCAGAGGAGATTTTGAAGAATTTCGCACGGAACAGGTTTTCCAGGAACTTAAAAAATATATTTATGTGTGATTGATGGTGTCCTCTGATAAATTGCATCAGAAAGTTTATACTAACAAGAAATATATTTTCATCCATTAAAGTACAGAGTAAAAAGAAGAAGAGAAATGTAGGAATGATTACATGTCAGTAAGGATATCCCAAGGTTGAAGAGTGAAGTCATGAGCAAATTATTCAGGCATTTACTGTTAACATAGTTGATTCCTTAAGTCAGCTTTTATCTGCATTACTAGAAATGCAGGATTTGAATCAGTGGAGAGGAAAAACTGGGTAATTAAGTTGGCTCTGGAAGGACTTAGGTTGTAAAGTTATTTTCACAGTCTCATAGCTGAAGTCAAAGTAGGAACTACCCATTAATTTTTCAGTGCAATTATGTAAGCATCAGTGTATTAAGCATCTACTGTGTACCAGGCACCAGGGACAGAGGGAACATGATATTCATAGACTAAGAGGAGGCAGACCGCAAACAAACAATATCAGGTGATAAATGGAGAGACTTAGATATGGTATGGTCAGTAGGGAAGTAGACTGTAGAACTTTGGGGTCCTGATTCTCTGCTTTCTATTAGACAGTGCTATCACCATTCCACACTTGAGGCTATATGTCCAGGCAATTTTGTTAAAAATCAGTGATAACCTAAATATTTCATGTAATGGTATGTATGATTATAGGACTCATACAGAGCTGGGGATAAAGTAACAGTATACTTTTTAAAGGAAACTTTTTTTACAATATCCCTTAATGAAGAACTTTTTACTGTCCATTACTTTTCACACTCCTTAACAGGACTCTAGTATGGGATTCCTTTCTACCTACAATACCTCGCCCACTGGCCAGAGTATTTCATTGTTGCAGAGGCACCTGGTGGAGAATTAATGGGTTATAGTAAGTATAATACCACTAGTATTTTGTGGAGTAGGTAAAGATTTTAATATAGATTTCAACTGATTGCTTTAGACTGCAGAATTGGAATATAATGATGCTTGTAATTTTATTTCCTCTTCAACAATTCAAGAACTTACTGATCTCTGTTTTGGGCACTGTGCTAGGCCCAGGCGATAACGGCAGTGAACCAGACAGACATGGTCTTAGTCTTCTTAAATCTTTCATTCTAAAAAAAAAAAAAATCTTTCATTCTAAGGCCAGGTACAGTGGCTCACGCCTGTAATCCCAACACTTTGGAAGGCCAAGGCAGGCAGATCCTTTGAGGTCAGGAGTTCAAGATCGGCCTGGCCAAATGGTGAAAGCCTGCCTCTACTAAAAATACAAAAAATTAGCTGGGCGTGGTATCGCGTGCCTATAATCCCAGCTACTCAGGAAGCTGAGGCGGGAGAATCACTTGAACCCCGGAGGCAGAACTTGCAGTGGGCTGAGATCATGCCACTGCACTCCAGCCTGGGTGACACAGTGAGACTCTGTCTCAAAAAAAAAAAAAAAATCTTTCATTCTATACTTTTGTTAAATTTCTACATGGTTTATTTAGTACATAATGCAGGCATCATAGCATCCTCATTGAATTAGCATTACTAACAGAACCTTTAGCTCTGAACTATATGTGTACATCCACATGTACCCACATATACCCACACCCATATGAAATGCAGATATTTGAAAAAATACATACTCTGGTTTTTTTTTTTTCAAAATTAGTTGTGTTTTAAGTATATCGTTCTTTTTTGTTCTAATTCTGATTTTAGAACTATTCTAAATGTAACAGATAGTGTTACATTTACAAGTGAATTTCAAATAAAAGCACTAACTGTTAGCTGGATGACCTCAGGTGGTACTTAAAAACTTCTTTATTAGTTTCCTTTGTAATAAAAACATACTGAACAGTAATTCTATATTTATGTGTAAATCAATGTCTAGTTACTGAATGTGATTTTTGTTGTTGTTGGCAGTTATGGGTAAAGCAGAAGGCTCAGTAGCTAGGGAAGAATGGCACGGGCACGTCACAGCTCTGTCTGTTGCCCCAGAATTTCGACGCCTTGGTTTGGCTGCTAAACTTATGGAGTTACTAGAGGAGATTTCAGAAAGGTGAGATTCAGTTTTTCAAATACACTTAGTGATTTGTGGACCCCTAACCATTTTCTTCCCCTTCAGGCTGAATAACTGTCATGCTTTACAGTTCACAGGAATTTCATCTTCCATCTCCAGTAGTCCTTAGAACAATTCTATCACATAGTCAAAGTGATATTGTTTCTATTTTGCCATTGAGGAAATTAAGGCAAAGTGTTGTAGTGACCCGCTATAGGCCTATAAGCTGAGGAATTGGTGCAATTCAGTTCCAAAGGCTAGCTCTCGAGGTTTCTCTTAGTGTTCCTGCCACAGTGGCACACATTCCTAAAATCTGTTACCATTGCTTTGGCATCTGAATAAATTTTTAGCAGTGCTCCTCGGCCAAAAGAAAATAGTTCAGTCTTAAGCAGTTATATTCTAACTGTTTAATAAGTATTTATAGCCTAACAGCTAATAGCCATTTAGAAAAAAAATAAATTGAAAGAAGAAATATTTTCATTTCATTCTTAAATAACTGTGGCTAGCTACCAATGAGAGGTGTGCACCTGTTGGACATTAAATGACTTGGCAGAACCACTTGCATTCCTGTTTCATATTGATTTTCATCTAGTATTTTTTTTTAATCACAGCAACTGCCAGAAACTCAGCTTCATAGAAATATTATGTCATTAAGAGGAATGTAGCATGATCTTACGTTGAATTTGTGAACTACTTCAAACTAGTTTGCCAATATCTGACATGTAAGGTTTTGCTGTTTTCCCTGAACATTCGAAATATCCTTTGGTGGCTGTATGAGTTTGGGACACCTTAGGGCACCTGAGTGCACAGTTTGCGAACTGCCAGCATGGCATTTTTTTTTTTTTTTTTAAGGGACGTGTTGTATATATCAAACCTCTTCATTACTGGAGATAAAAGAAATACAATAAATAGAAGAGAAGGCCCCTCCTCGTATCTTCATTCTAGAAGAGAGATGTTTGTAGTAGCTTCACCTGTTGTCAAGCTGCCATTTCTTTCTCCACTGTAATTTCCTAAAAGTGTGGTAGGAAAGAGAATAGTTGCTGAGAAGGGTTCTTGAGCTTAATTTCTACTTAATTATTAGATTTAATAAAGGCAAGTTTTAAAGAAGTATCTGTGGCCTGACAAAGACTTCAAGCCAAATTAGAGGCAAAGGAGCTCAAACTCATTCAGAGAAGAAATTGTGTTAGCTGAAAAAGAAGTCGGTGCTAATCTTTAAGATTTTTTAAAGTTCTCTCTAGACCAAACAAAGAAGGGAAGAAAATTTTAGCATGATTATAGTTTACACACATTTATTAATGGCATTATGTTGAAAAAAAGTATTTGGCATTATTGTATAGTGAACAGGGAGTTAGAAAGTGGGTTGTTCAATGAGAACACATGGACACAGGGAGGGGAACATCACACACCAGGGCCTGTCGGGGGTGGGGGTCTAAGGGAGGGATAGAATTAGGATAAATACCTAATGTAGATGACGAGTTGATGGGTGCAGCAAACCACCATGGCACGCGTATACCTATGTAACAAACCTGCACGTTCTGCACATGTATCCCAGAACTTAAAGTATAATAATAATAAAAAAAAGCAGGTCGTAACTAGCTATGACCTTGCACATATAATTTAGGGTATTTGTATGATAGATTCTCCCTCTGAGTAGAAGACCACTAAGCTCTCTTCCCTTCCAGTTTCTAAGCCTTCATTATTTTAGACTAGTTGCTAAGATTTAAGTAATCTTCATTTGTAGGCATATATATACATATACACATACATGATACATATACATATGCTTATATACACTATATACATGTATACATAGTGCATACAATGTATACATTAAAAATAGAAACCAAACAAGTAGAGGAGAAGAAAAATTGAATGATAGAAGTCAACTCCAAAGAAGAGAAAAAGGAAATTAAACCAGCAAAACAAAATGCATGAAATAAAATGGTAGCCCAGAATCCAAATATTGTCAGTAATTACAACAGTAAACGTTAATGGACTTAGGACTTTATTTATTTATTATTAGTTTTGGAGATGGGGTCTTGCTCTGTTGCTCAGGCTGGAGTGCAGTGGCGTGATCTCAGCTCACTGCAACGTCTGCCTCCCAGGCTCAAATGATTTTCCTCTCTCACCCTCTGAGTAGCTGGGATTACAGGCGCCCACCACCATGCACGGCCAGCTATGATGACTCTATTTAAAAGACAAAGGCTGTCTGTATTGTTTACAGGAAATATGTGTAAAATATATTAAAATATTTTTAATACAGAAAGATTGAAAGTAAATTTTTAAATTACCTTGCAAATTCTAACCAAAAGAAAGTTAGAATACTTATTAATAATAGTTATAGTTGAATAATTATTACCAGCATAAAAAAGGGTCACTGCATATTGATAAAATATTTAATCAAGGAAGTAACAAGTCTGGGAGTGGTGGCTCATGACTGTAATCCCAGCACCTTGGGAGGCCGAGACAGGTGGATCACTTGAGGTCAGGAGTTCCAGACCAGTCTGGCCAACATGGTGAAATCCCGTCTCGACTAAAAATACAAAAATTAGCCGGGTGTGGTAGCACGTGACTGTAATCCCAGCTACTCGGGAGGCTGAGGCAGGAGAATTGCTTGAACCTGGGAGGCGAAGATTACAGTGAGCCAAGATCACGCCATTGCACTCCAGCCTGTGCAACAGAGCGAGACTCCATCTCAAAAAAAAAAAAAAAAATAGCGATTTAAAATGGTATATACCAAGTGACATCATTTCAAAGTAAAAATGCACAAATTGACAAAACTACAAGGAGAAATAGACAAATTATTATTATAATGGGAGATTTAGACATGCTTTTTTCTAATTGATAGAACAATGAGATAGAAATTTGTCAAGCCTATAGAACAAGAATCAGCAATTTTCTTCTGGGTCAGATAGTAAATATTCAGGCATTACAGGCCACCTAAAGTCTTGGTTACATAGTTTTTTGTTTTGTTTTGTTTTGTTTTGTTTTTAACAACCATTGCAAAAACCATTCTTAGCTTGAAGGCAGTAGCAAAATAGGTTATAAGCCAACCCCTGCCCTAAAGAATTTCAATCAGTAGCCCAAAATCTTTTCACGAAGAAAGCTGTGGCTTCTCTGGCCAATTTTACTAAACATTTAAGAAATAATGACTGAAAGGTCACTTTTACACAAACTATTTTGCACAAGCCAAAAAAGGGAACATTCCTCAACTTATTTTTTAAGGCCAGGATAACCTTGATAACAATACTTGGCAAAATATGGGAAAGGAAAATTCGAGGAACATCTCACTCAGATGCAAAATCTCGGAAAAATAATTAGCAAAGTGGATTTGGCACTACATAAATAGGATGACACATCAGGAACAAGGTGGTTTCAACTTTACACTAAAGGAGAACACTGGTTATTTTAGAAAGTGCAGCAAACTTGATAAAATCCAATATTCCTTCCTGATAAAAACTGTTAGCAAACTGGGAAATAGAAAGGGGGAACTTCCTTAACCTGAAAAATATCTACAAGAAATTTGTAGTAAATATATTTAGTAGTGATACACTGAATGCTTTCCTTTTGAAATTAGGGACAAGTTAGTCCCGCTTCAGTAATTTACTAGAAATTATAGCACAGGAAAGCAGGAAAAAATAAACGATAGGAGGATTGAGAGGAAACAAAACTTATTTTGCACAGATATGATTATATAAATATAAAATCCATAAGAATATAAATATTTAGAATTAATAAAAGGCAAAGTTGTTGGATATAAAGTCAGTATAAAAATCAATTGTATTTACATATGAGAGGAAACAAAACTTACTTATTTTGCACAGATATGATTATACAAATATAAAATCCACAAGAATCTAGAAATAAATGTTTAGAATTAATAAAAGGTAGGCAAGGTTGTTGGATAGAAAGTCAGTATAAAAATCAATTGTATTTATATATATATAAACAGTAAAATTTAGAAAAAGATGCCATAGCATGAAAAAACATTAAGTACTTAAGAATCTAGCAAGTGCTATGCAAGACCTCTCTGACATTTAAAAAACTTTTTTGAGAGATATTAAAGTAGCCCTGATAAGTGGAGCGATAAACTATCACTGGATTAGAGGATACAGTAAACAGGTAATCGACCGCAGTTCCAATGTAATTGCAGTCAAAATCCCAAGCATTTTTTATAGTACTTGTTAAGCTGACTCTGAAACATACAGAGGAACAGAAAGAGCAAAAAAGAGACAAGATATTCTTGAACAACAACAAAAATGGGTGATGTGCCCCTCCAGGTATCAGACTGTAAAGAGTGAGACTATATCTTAGTGCTGTAGTTATCTAGACCAGTGTTACAGAATTTGAGAAACAGACCCAAGAATATATGGACTTTAACATACCACAGAAGAGGCATTGCACATCAATAGTATGAAGATAGACTTTTCAGTAAAGGTGGTTGGACAATTGGATGTCCCTATGGGAAAAAAAAATTTCCCAGATTACCATTATTCCATACACAAATCAACTCCAGATTTATTAAAAACCTAGATGTGAAACCAAAACTAAGAAGTCTTTTGAATATAATATGGCAGAGTGTCTCTGTGGCCTCAGTGTAGAACTTTTTAAAAAGGCCATAAAAAGGCTAAGGAAAGGATTCATATATTCAGCTTCACTGAAGTGAAGTAACTTTTTATCAAAAGATAACATAAGGATAATGACAAGACAAACCACAAATTGGAAAAAGATACTTGCAGACATTACACAGTATTGAATATTCACAATACATAGAGAACTGTAGCGGGGGAAAAATTGTATGAAAGATTTAAGTACTATACAGAAGGAGAAATCTAAATGGCCAACCAACAGAAATATATTCAGCATTGTTAGTAATTGGAAATACAAATTAAAATCTGAGATATAGTTACACTGTAAGATTGGCAAAAATAAAAACATGTGATGCACCAAGCCTTGTTGCTGTGGAATGGAGGCTTACTCACTTCTGTGCAAGAGTAAGTTGGTACAAGCCAGTTGGAAAAACAGTTTGGTATTAACTAATGAAGATGTGCCCTGTGACACAACAGTGAGACTCCTAGCTATAGACCTTACGTGAGACACTCAACAGAAGTATTCACAGGAGCATCGTTTGTATAGTAAAAGCCAGAAACGTATCAACAGGACCGTGAATGACTTGTGCACAAGCCCAGCCACTCTTGAAGCTGACTCTTACAATGTTAGTCGACTGAGAGAAGCAAAAGACAAAAGAATATATGATTCCATGTATATAAACTTCATAAACAGGAGAAACTGTAATAGGTGGTGAATTTGTAGAACAAATGCCTTGAGTTTATCTTTTAAGAAAACGTGTTGCTTTTGAAATACTAGCATGCAAACATAAAGTCATGTTCTTACACTGCAAAGTAATTGTCATAAATCCTAAGTAATACAAATTTCTATTACCATGTAATCAGCTACAAGGTCCTATTACTACCATTCTGAGTAGTAGTCAAAGCAAGGTAAAAACACGTTTTAAAAAAAATATGTATCTATTACTTTCTAGGGTTTCTCACATTCTAACATTTTCCTTTTTTGTTTTTCTTTTAAAGAAAGGGTGGATTTTTTGTGGATCTCTTTGTAAGAGTATCTAACCAAGTTGCAGTTAACATGTACAAGCAGTTGGGCTACAGTGTATATAGGACGGTCATAGAGTACTATTCGGCCAGCAACGGGGAGCCTGATGAGGACGCTTATGGTAAGCTCCCTTCCATGGCAGTATCCCCAAGAAGTCGAAACAGTTACATTCTTTCTACAGATTGTAGTATTTGATTATTTTAATAAATGTAGAATATTTGACTTTAAAATTTAAATTTCCCTCAACCTACCTTTATCAACCTATTAGTAGTAGTAATTAACTTACCTATTAACTAACCAATGGTTAATTTCTGTACCTTACTGTTTCACTCTGTTACATACATATTATTTTGCTAACAAGAAAACGTGTATTGTGAGCTGAATACTGGGTGAGGTCTGGTTAGCATCTGGTACACTTGGCAATTGGGAGACATTTATAAATACATTTTGCTTAGAATATGGTGAAGTGGGGGTAGGGATAAAACCTCTTATGGGAACTTTACCTATACACTTTACATTTGATATAATACATTTTTTGGGTGTTTATATTAAACTTTGCTTCTTTACAGATATGAGGAAAGCACTTTCCAGGGATACTGAGAAGAAATCCATCATACCATTACCTCATCCTGTGAGGCCTGAAGACATTGAATAACCCTGGGCAGTGGTTCTTAGGCAGATACTCTAGATGCTTTATGGACAATATTATTTTCATTGGATGATTCTGGAGCTCTATTAGGAGAAAAGTAATCATTTTAGGTCTTAAAGACTTCAAGAAAATACAGGTTATCAATTTATTTTAAATCTCATTGTTTCCAGTTAGCAATATCATACCTATTAAAGCTGTTCATTGTAACAAAATTCAATCAAAAAGGCAGCTAGGTCAGAAGGAAACATACCACTCTCATGGTTCATAGTATTCACTGTATGTATGCTAGGGAAAAGACTTGCTCCAGTCTCCTCCTCAGTTCTGTGCCTGAGAACCACTGCTGCATATATTTGTTTTTAAATTTTGTATTGAACTGTTAATTGAAGCTTTAAAAGCATATATGAAATGTATAAATCTAAGATGTATAATACATTATTGACTCTATGAATGTTTTCTGAAGTTTGTTAGTCATTTGTAAAACTAAATCAGATTGTAATCCCAGTACTTTGGGAGGCCAAGGCAGGCTGATTGCTTGAGGTCAGGAGTTTGAGACCAGCCTGGCCAAAATCTATACTAAAAAAAATACAAAAATTAGCTGGGCATCCCAGCTATGCAGAAGCTGAAGCACAAGAATTGCTTGAACCCTGGAGGTGGAGGTTGCAGTGAGCTGAGATCGTCCCACTGCACTCCAGCCCGGGCAACAGAGTAAGACCCTGCCTCAAGAAAAAAAAAAAAAAAAAAAATCAGGATTGTGAAAGGTCATCATCATTTAAGATACGTTTAATTAAATTGTGACTTCCATACGTAGTATTTTAAAAATGCACACTTGAAGCAATCACTGTCCAGCATACTTAAGAAGCTCCCTTCTTATCGTGTAGTAAATTCTTCCCAGTCACCTGCGTTCATACCATTATACTGTTTGTTTGTTAGTCCTAGATCTTTTCTCCTCTTCACAATGCTTTGCTTAAATCCTGCCCTTCTAAAAAGCCAAAAAAAAAAAAAAAAAACTTGAGGTTTTTTTTTTTTTTGGAGAGGGAAAAGAACATAATTCCTAAAGAAAGGCCATATAACTATATCATAGGCCAACCATGTATTTTATGTGTAGTGTCTTCCTCTGTAATATGTGAAAATATCCAGTTAGTTAGTTAGTGAAAGACTTAACGAAAGAAAAACCCACAAGAAATTATTAAACTTTTACTATCGAAAGGATTTACTTTGGTGGAGTTGAGGGTGGGAGAGAAATGAATCTTTATGTTCTCCTGTTAGAGAATAGCTTTTTTCCTTCCAGCTTTCACACTGGCACATGCTTATTACAATTCTACCTTGGGAACATGACAGAATTTTTTTCTTATGCATTCATGCAACATAAACAGATAATTCTAGGAAGACTGTGATTAAGTCACTTGCATTCTGACCTATTATTTTCATCTCTCCCTGACTCTGGGTGAGCCAAAGGCTATTAAGATGATGTTCTCCTGCTCACTCACTAGGCAGACCTCTACTCGAGAAGTGATCTGACACCGCAGTAGCTGATGCTCGTCCAGTGACTAAAGCAGTCAGGCTGAAAACAGATTTTATCTCAACAACAGTCCTAGTTTCTTCTGTCCTCAAACACTGTTATTTATTTTCAAGATAAAATTTAGTAACAACATTACGAAGTAGCTTTTATTCCCTTGGGTGAATAAGATGTGCACATTTAATAATAAATTTGCTTACTAAAGGTCCTTTTAGGGGAAAACAACCTTAAAAATACAGTTCTAGTCCTTGGGCAGTGAACAAAGAAAAAATGTGCTTGAGAAACACAGTCCAGGTTAAAGGAAAACTCTCAGATCGGTTAATGCAGTTGAATTTTTGCTTGAGAATGTGAGCAACGTATCAGCAAATACATTCATTCTTGTGCTACTCTTCATTATTTAGCATAGAGCTACCTTAGGTGTTTCTACACATGCTCTAAACCAAGAGTAAGTTTAACATGTCAGCAGTGAGGAGTAGACATTTTCTACTATAGCACACTGGGAGATGTTTACTGGTACTCTAGGTAGAAATGACTCCATTGTCCACTAAGTTTGGGAAATAAATAATATGGCAACATTGCTACTGGAGATACATAATGTACAGAAGCCTAACTATAAAGAGATTTGATTAACGAGACTTAAGTCTTAGTCCAGAATTTCCCAAATTTATGTGAACATGGGACATCATTTTTCATAGCACACACGTGAACAAGCCATTATTCTTTAAACAAGGTATTACAAACTCAACCACTCTGGAGAACTGATGAGCGCCTAACTGAAATTATTAGACTAAATTCTTAGTAAACAATGTTTTCTGAACCTTGTTCAGAAATATAATCACTGCAAATTATTTTCCAAGTGTTGTTCTAAAAAACAATATAACTGGACACTAGTAAGAAAGTAAGGTAAATTATTAATCCACTCGCATTCAATTCTACAAGGAATGAAACCATTTTTAAAAGTGGCTTAGAACAAACAATTTACTGAGCACTTACTATGCACCCACCAGGTATATTCCTTTTATAATGTAATCTTCAAAATGAGCTGTCAAACTATTGGCCCATTTTGTGAATGAGGAAAATGAAAATTAAGTTATATAATCATGAGTGGCAGAGCTGGGAAATGAACTCAAGTCTGTGACTCTGAAGACATGAAAAAGTTACACATTTCAGATGAATGCATAAACTATCTTTATGGGTATGACATGAAAAGTAACTGTAGAATGTTACCTTAATTACATTTCCTAATGCATGATGTGGACAGACATTAGAAAAGTTTGGACTCAGTTGGAAAAACAAATCCAGCAGTTAAAAAAGTCCTTTACTTGCAATCCCTACCCCTAGCTAACCCAAGAGCATTTAAAAAATAACTTAAAAAGTAGCCATCAAAGATACCAATCAATTTCTTACTGGTGAAATATATAAGAACTTCCAGGAGTCACAAGAGTTCCAAACAATTAATTTATAAAAATAACAAAACATTTGTCTATGAAAAAAAGATCAGGATTCACTCTCATCGACGTCCTCATCTGGATGGTGCTCAGCATCCTCCTTTTCCTGCTGCTGTTTCTTCCACAGTTTGGCCATGGCCAGGAGTTTGAGGTTAGGTTGGTTGGCAGCATCTTCTGGAAAGATGTAATCAAAGTATTCTTCCCAGCCTGCATCAGACTACAGAAATAAAAAATGAAAAGATAAGCAAACGTGGGTGATATACTCACATATCAGAGTGAAGAATTTTTACTGGAAATCCGGATGATTACCTCCATTTTACAAAATAACATCAAAGTCTACTACAGAAAGAACAAGGGCTGGGTCTGAAAGACTGGGAGTGAGTAAGCAGCAACTGTAGCTCAGTGAGAACTAAACTGGTAGAAAAACATTCTAAAAATCTAAGCACAGCTCCTCTATAGCCAACCAAGATGTTCAGTGTCTCCAACTACATTGTGCAGTCTTACACTTAAGAAAACGTTTAACGATCTTTACATAATATTCACCCAGTAGCAAAAGCCATACATCTGTGCATTATTATTCCAACTCCCTACCTTCCCATCCTCACCTCCTATCAGTCACTGATTTCACTTCCCAAATATTGTTCTAACAGGCCCTGTGGCCCTGTTCTAGTTCCAGCTTCCATGTCTTGCTCAGCTTATAAAAACTGCTTCCTGATGGGTCTTCTTTCTCCAATCTAAGCCCCTTGAGTCTGCCAGGATGAGAGGCTAGCAATCTGGTCACGTCATTTTATGCAAAACAGCCTTCACTGACTCCCACCAAACTCCTTCTTACCGCCTACAAGCCTTCTCTGGATAGGCTCCTATCTGAAAGTTCAGTTCCATCTTCCTCCACACTTACTTCCTATTAAATGCTCTAAAAATATCACACTTCATGAAGTTCCCAGACTCAACCATCACCAAAACACCTTTGCCAACCCCTTCCCGTTCTCCACCTCTGACTGGACCATATGTTCTACCCCGTGTTTCCATAACAGCCAGATTGCAACCATCTCCTACTCCAGGTGGTCTGCTTCCATTCTAAGATTGTACATATGCCACTTAAAAGTCCACATTTCGACGTCAGAAGTGTTTCTACTCATGTGACGTGAGATGAACAGTCCCAGGGCAGAGTTCTTACCCCATCATCAGTCTGGACCTTTCTTCTCTTCTTGACTTTCTCTGGCATGAGTTTGTCTACTCTCTCCTTATCTGAAGCTGTTCCAAATTCTTCTTCAAAACTTCGCCAAGATTCCAGCAGCATAAGTCTCTCTTCCTTTTCTTCACAGTTTCGCATGGTTTTGTTAGCTTCTTCATAAATTTGTCTGCATTTAGTCAAACTTCCTTCTTTTCCTGAAGACAACTCAAACTGAGCAAAGCTGATCCATACCTTTAAAAAAAGTTATTATTGAACCAAATTAACCATATCACTCAGAAGATAATAATGTAGTAATAATAAAGCGAATTCCCAGTTAATGACATCGGAAAGTAATGTGTGCATCACTAATGTTTCACAGATGAAAACAATGAATATATGCTTCAATATAAACACTGAAAATATTTGATTCTACATTCTACAATTAAATGTCTGACATAGTCTTAAACTCTTGAAAAGAGTTTAACTTGGCTGGGTGCAGTGGCTCACGCCTGTAATCCCAGCACTTCGGGAGGCTGAGGTGGGCAGATCACGAGGTCAAGAGATCGAGACCATCCTGGCCAACAGGTGAAACCCTGTCTCTATTAAAAATAGAAAAATTAGCCTGGGCATTATGGTGCGCGTCTCTAGTCCCAGCTACTCTGGAGGCTGAGGCAGGAGAATTGCTTGAACCTGGGAGGCGGAGGTTGCAGTGAGCCGAGATAACGCCACTGCACTCCAGCCTAGAGACACAGCAAGACTCCGTCTCAAAAAAAAAAAAAATAGTTTAACTTTTTTTCAATCTTGTGATACCCAAGCTACTCACATGCAGCATAAACAATGACCTGGTATAAACTTAACATTCCAAACATTCCAAAGTCCTCTGAGACTCACGTTTCTCTTGAAAAGCAAGGAAGTCATTAAAAAAAAAAAAAAAACAAAAACCCAAACACTTAAAATACAGAAATATATCATTTTCTTCTGGACTGCTGATTCAAGCAAAATGAAAGATCATCTACAAAGCAAGGATACCTTGACATGCTGCGTCCGTTGAAGCAACCGCCGGTAAAGGTTTCGTGTTCTTTCTGTTTCTTCCTGCTCAATTTCAAAATCAATATATGATTTCCAAAGCACCTAAGGAAGAAAAGTAAATGGGTCAGTCTTGACATTTACAAAGCAGCATGCCCCCATCCAAAGCACAGCTGAAGTATCACTCTAACCTACATCTAGGAACATAGGATTTTTACTGAACAACTAAAGAACACATGTGGATAAGATAAATAACATTGGTATCTATAAGCTGGCCAAAACTTGGCTAGAATTCCAGATTACAGAAAAAGGGCCTTGGATTCAGTCTTAGAGATTCTCTTTGGAAGTTTTTCAAATGCTTGACTTATCAAGAGCTGAGAAACTTGCCAAGCATCTCCCAGGTACTCCATATTCTAGCCACACGCAATTGAGCGTCCAGAGAGAAAACAGGCCCAGGTTAGCCAGTATGCATGTTCTTACCTCTACTGTACATTCCTTGTTATTATGAGAGTTCAGTGCAACAAGCATTCACTGAACAGGTGCGCACTGGCTCGGTGCAGCCTGGCAGGGAATAAGGATGAATAAACCGTGGCATGGACACCTGAAAGCTGGCAGTCTGGTGGAGGAGCCGAGGACAACTGATGAACTCAGTGATACCCAAAGCCCTGCCTTAATTAATGCAATCAGGGGGCCAAACCATTAAATGCAGGGTCATGTTAGTGCATGAGATTAACAAAACGGCTGGGTGAGTTCTACGACTCATGTGAGATTCAAATCTTTCCTAGCTGTGGTTTGGTGCTACCTTGTGGGTCAAGCTTAACTACTGAAGGCAGGCGAGGACTTTCAGGACAGTGACAACAGAAGTTGCAAGGACATCCTGGTTTAGAGAATACAGGGATGTGCAGTTCCTACCTCCATCCCCCTCGTTCTCCGGGTGGGCCAGCCTGCTGGCTTCTTCCTTGCCTGGCCTCTTCCCCAGCCCCTTTAGGCTTTCCTGCTGCAGAAGGGGCGTCACCCACCCCCATGATATCCCAGTTCATCCTGGGCATCATCCTGGATGTCTACTGCTCTGGTATCTAATGAGAGGGCTACTTCCCCTGTCCCCCACAGCCACCTTTCCACGTACAAGCCTAATCTGAGTAGAAGAGACTAAGTTAGTTAGATCATCGTTATACTCTAAAATACACCCACATTTAGATGGTCATCTAAAGTAAGACTAAACACGTATCTCAAACAAAATTATATTTGACTTGAGATGCTCACCTCTGGCATGTCTAAACGTGGCTGACTGATGGCTAATTCATAGATTGCCCGTGCTCTGTCAATATCACCAAGGATTGTCTCTAATTCAGCGAATTTAATCCATGAGGTACAATTTTCAGGTCCAAATTCCAGGAACTTTTCATAAAGCTTCCGGCATCTGTCAAATTCTCGAAGCTGTAGCTCCAATTCTATGTAAACTTTAAATAATTTGTTCTTTGGACATTTGCCTATGGAAGTTCCCTGGAAAATAAAATAACCAGACCACTGTGATACTGTAGTGGATTTAATCTGTGCAGTTATTGCACTGCCCTAGAGGCTGTTCTCTGCTGAGGAAGAATCTTGCAAAGTCAACATGGCCTACCATTCTTTCCCTCTGTGGTATCACAATGTTTACTGGTTCTTGACAAAAGGCTGAAGGAAACTCCTCTAATTCACTCAGCAAGAGGCAGTGTTCCAGAATTGTTTGGGCAACTAAATAAAATAAGATTTGAAAGTTTCTCAGGATCTCCTAGGGAATAGGGATGTCAAATGCATAAAACCTCCTATAAATAAAAAGGACAAGGCATGGTGGCTCATGCCTGTAATCCCAGCATTCTGAGAGGCCAACATGGGAGGATCATTTCCGCCCAGGAGGCAGAGGTTGCAGTGAGCCAAGATCGCGCTACTGCATTCCAGCTTGGGGAACAGAGCGAGACCCTGTCTCAAAAAAAAACCAAACAAACAAAAAAAAAAAAAAGAAAAAAAAAGTGGAACAATTAAAAGTGCATTTAACACACCAAAAAGTTTGCACAGGATCAGATTACTAATTCCAGTCTGTGGAAAGATTTAGTAACTGGTAGCTATAGAAGTTTCCAATATTGAAACAGAATGTTAATTTGCCCCAGGTAATAAGAATAATTTACGCATTATTAGTCAGTGTTTTTACAGAGGACGCATGTTTTCTAACATGTCCCAGGCTATAAAGGTATAATACTTCTGTCACTCTTTAAAGTAGGAACTGTACAACTTCCAAGCACCAAGATTTTAATTTCTTTCTCATAGAACTTGATGAGACATCTTGATCCTTTCTTTACTTACCAATGCTCTTCTGGCTAATGACAGATTCTTCTGTCGTATTTCAAACTGTGCATACAGTATCCACATTTTGGCAAATGTGAACTAGAAAACAAAAGCACAAAAATATCTAGCTTAAAAGCCTCATCCAAATTAAATTGAATTAAAATTAATTTAAATTAACCAAAGCCATTGGTAATTCGATTTCTCTAAAACTTCAGAGTAAGAGGAATGTACTCTGCTTATTTACAAGCAAAGACCACATTCATTTCACAAAAGTTAGAAACCCACATACCATGATCCAGATACTATATTGTACTGCATGGCATGGTAACCTCTCCTGAGAACCATGATCCAGATACTGTACTGTACTGTATGGCACGGTAGCCTCTGCTCAGAACAGACTTTGTTTTGTAGGCATGCTTGTATATGGGCAGAATGTCCTACCTCTATTCTGAAAAGTAACTCAGTCAACACTTCTACAGAAGGAAACACGTTTTGTTTCTCGTGCTGGGAAACAAGGCGGAGGTAACATCTCAACCATCTACACAAGGGGCACATTCATCTGTGCATGCACACACTCACTGTTACCAACAAACCCGCCTGTGTGTCCCCCGCACACGTTGTGTGCTCTCTGCATGGATGTCTTTCTCCTTCCACTCAGACTATTCACATTACCTAGCCTTCTCTGAATTTATATTATTTGTTTGTCAATGCAGGTTGTCCTCCAACCTAGTCTGTGAGCTGTTTTCAGAGGCAAGGAGCATATCTCAGTCTTATTTATGTTGTCCATGGTGGGACAGGGAAGCATTTTATCAATCAATATTATTTCACTGAATTACTTCACAAGTAACAGAAGAGGATTCTGACCTGTTTGAAATGGAACACTTTAGAGCAAACATACCTTTTTGTGAGGAATTAGTTCCAAAGAGGCTTGATACACCTGTCTTGTCCTCTCAGGATCCTGTATTAGGATAAGAAATTTTCACAAAATATTGAAGTCTGCTGCTAACACTCATTTTACTAGTTACTAATTTTACTGATATTGGTAAAAATGTACACCCCCAAAACAGCATGTTTCACAAGTTGTTACTTGCAAACCCTGATTTATGATCTAAAGTATGAACGGCCATGAAACTTCAGTTTAAGAATCACCAACAAGATAGCCACCAAACTTCTAAGCCCTTCTTTGTAGAAAGCCGTTTTGCCTGATGGCAGAAAGAAACAAAGATGTTTCATAGTCTCAGATCAAACCCAGAAGGTTAATACAAATGATTTCTGAAAATGCCACTTGATTTTTGCTAAAAGCAAAAATGCATAATCTAGCCAGAATTACTCCTATTAATGAGCAAATCCAGGAAACTATATTTCACTAAATTAAGGGCTGGTTCACTGTTCTCTTTCAAGCTCCAAGTGATATCTTGTTGTGCCTCAAGTAAAAATCAAACCAAAGTTAAAAAAGCCCCTCACGTGTGGCCACAACAAGCACAGAGGGTTTAAAATGTTGCAGAGCGAATATATAACTGTATGGATGAACAGAAGCCTATAAAAATTTAAAACTAAATTTCCTTCTTTCAAGAATTACAAACATCCACAATAGGTGAGCTGTGAATACAGAAGACAGGAAACCATTATCAGCTGACACATAATTCTGTTTTTTCACCTTTGCCTCCAATTCTTCATAGAGTGCATAGTTGATCCAAAGATAAATGTAGCGCTTCCAGTGCCTCTTCTCCTGAATGGGTGGGACATTGGCAATGGCCCTTTCATAGACTTCTCTCACGGCTTCAGCTTCTGCGTCACTTTCTACCAAGCGCAAGTAATCAAACCATGCATCATAATTGTGTGGATTCGCCTAGAAAGACAACCAGTTTAATAAATAAAAAACAAAACCAAGAGCTGCACTTGCCAGGTTAAGCAAGCTGAAAAAAGGCATCAGGCTGACTTTCTATATTTTAGCACCTTTTCTTCTAAATGTTACATGTTCTTTCATTTTAAAAACACCATCCCTGAGACTGCATAAATAGAAAAGAAACAGGAATACAGAGGATAGATTACTGGCCAGGTGTCCCACAGCAAGGACTCCTTCATCTATAGCCATCACTCTCACGACAGTCAATAATTAGATGCCTATTCTTGCCAATGCATTTGCTTAAATATGTGACTATGTATCATTATGTCTGTAACAACAGAATCGTATCATGCTCACAATTGTTAAACTTGCCTTTCCAATTAATAGCAATTCATCTTTAACATATCTTGCTAACCTACCACCACATTTAATAACAGACTTAGTCCTTTGCTTGGAGGTATCTTAATTAACTTGACTAAGGAAGAGTATTTTTAAATACACAACAGAATACTGAAGGAAAATGACACTCTCTTTGAATTGAAATCAAAATAGTACATTACAGAAAAAGAGATGCCGATGGAACCCTGTCTAGCATACATCTTTTGTTCAGGCAGTTAAGCTCAAAGGTGATGTGCAAAACAGGTTTTTGGACCAATCTCTGACTCTTCCACCTTCTTCCAACAATGAGCTCGAATGGATTCCACATTTCTTTTGCTCCAGTTCTACATACAGTCAACAATCAACAAAACGACTTACAACATGTAAGTGGCAGAGCAAATCCAAGTGTTGTTTGCTTGCCTTTTCTATCAGCCTTGTTTATTCCTACTTGTCTGAAATAGCTGCCAATTGGATCACGGGCACATCATCACGAGAGTAATCACTAGTAGTGCTACTTGCTATTATTCATTTTAGTGTTGCTAGTATTGATGAGCACATCTTGGGTTATCTGCAGAGTTGACCATCCACACCAGTGCTCACCTTCACTTCTTCTTCGTACTGGAATCTCCGTTTGCTCACAATGATATCTTCAATACCCCGCCTATCACCAAACTTCTTCTCAAAGATGGTATAATTTTTAAAGAGTTCTTGGGCATCTTGTTTTGAAATTCTGTCCAGGGCATACTTGTAAATCACTCGTACCCTTTCAAACTAAATGCAGACAGGATGATTACCTTCTATAACACAATATTCTCATGCCAGTCACAACTAGGAGAGTAAATATAACAAAATATTACTTATAAGTTAGATTTTGAGGCCTCATAATATCCAGAGTAAGATGCTTTTCTCCCTCTTGTTGAAGGTTATCTCTGTCAGGATGGACCGGTACTCTGCTTTGAGCTCCATATTTAATACTGTCTACCTAACACTGCCAACTGGATGTCTACTGCACATCTCAAACAGGTCCAAAACTGAGCTTCTGTTTCCTCCCCACTCAAACTGGGACTCTCCCCATCTTCCCAATTTTAGTAGGCAAGGCCTAACCTACAGTCACTTGCTCAAGCCAAAACCTTCAGGTGATCCTCAATTCCTCTTTTTTCCTCATACTCCATATTCACTCTTGCAACATGCCCTACCATTTCAATCTCTTCCACACAGCCATTTGCTTCTCCCCAGCCCCCAGCCATCAAACTCCACTGTTCACCTGGCCCACTTCAAAAGTCTCCCCACTGGTCTCCCCTGGTTCCACTTTTGCCATCTACCCTCATACATTCTCCATGAATTAGCCAGAGGCTCTCCTTAAAATATAAATCATATCCAATCACTGTCCCGCTTAAAACCTTTCAATGCTTCCCACTGGCCCGAACAGAATCTGAACTCCCTAGCATGGTCCGTGCAAGACCTTATATAGGTTGAGTATCTCTTGTCTGAAGCATTTGGTATCAGAAGTGTTTTGGATTTGGGATGTTTCCCCAGTTTGGGAATATTTGCATTATACTTACTGGTTCAGCATCCCTAATCCAAAAACCCGAAGTCTGAAATGTTCCAATGAACATTTCCTTCGAGTGTCATGTCAGCACTCAACAAGTTTCACATTTTGAGTTTTGGATTTTCAGACTGGGAATGCTCAAACCTGTATTTGGATGGATCTCAATTCTGTATTATTTGAACTCCCTTTTTTTTTAAGAAATGGGGTCCTGCTCTGTCACCCAGGCTAGAGTGCAATGGCACGAACATAGCTCATTGTAGTCTCAAACTCCTAGGCTCAAGTGATACTCCTGCCTCAGCTTCCCAAGTAGCTGGGACTGTAGGTGTGCACCACTATGCCCACTCAATTTTTTTTTTTAGAGACAGGGTCTCACTATGTTGCCCAGGCTGGTCTCAAACTCCTGGCCTCAAGTGATCCTTCTGCCTCATCTTCTCAATATTTGAGCTATTTTCATAGGTACAAGGGAAAAAAAGAACTCTCTTATTTGTAGGGCAATCTCTGTTTCCATTCTAAATGTTTTCTGTTCTAGGGCTTTAAGCTTTTTGTTTCCCATATTTATTATCGGTTAAGTCCTTTACTTAGGATGCCAAAAGACTAGTTCTCAGTTTACGGGCATTCAGACTAAAAGGCTTAATTTTCAAACAAAGCACAATAAAATTAAGACAGTTATAATACAATCTATAATCAGCTCCCATCTGTAGCTTAGTCACATATATATGCTGTTCTCTGTGAGAAGCTGTGTTTTTGTATTTTGAAAACATCTTTCCAGGGATATGTCAGTAAGAAAAAATGGAAATGAACTCACCATGCACAAAATGTAATCTTTGCTAAGCTGTTTTACAGTATAATGAAGTTAGGTATACTTACCTCTTTCTGATTTTCTTCAAACTTGGCAAAGGCAACATAAAGGTGCTCATCCATATGTTCATCTCCAAAGAATTCCACAGCTCTCTCATACACTTTCCGTGCATGGGCAAAATAAGCATGTTTTTCTTCAAAGCGGGCATACTTGATCCAGTTCTTAACATCAGGGTGCACGAGGACAAGTGCAAGGGAATTAAGGAAATCCCAGGCAAAACAGCATGGCTTAAAAAAATAGTAAGTAAGTAAACACCAAAACCATACCAAAGCCTGGAAACTCCAAAAATTCAAACTACAACTCTAGGGGAACAAAACACATACAAAAGTGTAGAATTAAACAGTGGCTTCTGTGAGAGCAGGGCCACGCCTGTTCATCTCTATTTTCCTCCAGTGCTTAGTTAAGATTTTAGTGGTGGGTATAAACTCGAGTTGGAAGCAAAGAAAAATCTCAACCCAGGTTACCAACCATGTGATCTTGGATAAGTCACTGAACTTAGACGTCTAAGTCTCAGCTGTTTCATTTGTAAACAGGGAAAAATAATGCCAGCCTCACTGGATTACTGCCAGCTTTAAATGAGAAAATGTATGTAAAGCCCTTAGCACAGTTTCTAGCCAAAAGAACATGGCACCGTAAGCGGTCAATAATGGTCTGGTCATTAAATAGCACCAATTATATTAAAATATGAATACTTGAACTAATAATTAAGAAAAAAACATGCTATAAAAAGAAAACTGTTAACTAGAGTCAAAGCAGAAAGTTTTGAATTGTCATTTTAATCTATCTTCCTTGAATAAATCATTAATTTCCAAAGTAGTAATATATTCCAATATGGCAAAGAAGAGCATCAGTTCTGAAGCTGCTCTACTAGGTTCACATTCTATTTCCATCAGCACCTGTGAGAACCCAGTCAAGCTACTTAATCTCTCATGCCTCAGCTCCCTCATCTGTAGGACAGAGAAGTTCCTACACTGCAAGGATGTTATGAGGATTAAACAACAATATCTGTAAAGTACTTAGAATACTGCCTGGCACGTAGCAAGTGCTATAAAAGCTTTCGTCAAACTAATAATATTAAAATTAGTAGACATAATTAAGATCTTAACATTGTCACCTCAACAGAGAAGAGTAAAAAAATAAAAAGATCTTAATACTGCATAATAAAGTTGACTCTCATTATTTCTGGTAGTTATGTTCTATTTAGTCAATGCGAACACTTAATTATTGAGTACTGAACCACTGCTCCTAGGAGAAACGTGTATATATACAATCTCACATTCATCATCATCTTAAATCCTAAAAAGAACTCATCCTGGCAGATTCTATCTTCATTATTTTGTAAGAAAAGTGGTTCAGAAATGTTAAGTGACTGGACTGAGGCTGCCCCACTGACAGGGATTCAAACTCCCCGACTGGCCCCAGAGCCACAGCTCCTTGCACTACATGGCACTGGCCCTTCCTGTCTCCAAGCTCTAGGCATGGTTATATGAGGTTAAGACCAGAAGGCAAGCCTCACCTTGTTGGACTTCATGCTCTGTGCATGTCCACAAATGACTGTGAAAGTGCCACAATTACTGATTTTGGGGGTTACAAATAAATTTTAGCAAATACGTGATTTTGCAAACATGGAATCTGCAAATAGTGAGGAATGACTGTACTTCAGTTTCTAAAAGTGCTTTCATGTGTATCATTTAATCTTCGCAACAGCCCAACAAAGGTGTTTTTATTCTTGTTTTTAAGAAGAGGACACCAACTCTCAAAGGAGTTAAATGACTCTCTGGAGCCACACAGCTAGTAAACAGTAAACCTTGGATGAACTCCAGTAAGGTAGTAATGACCAACACAAACCTTAGAAAAACAGGACTGGCAATGGCAGCCAGGACCTTAGTACAGTTAGTCCTCCAGCCATGGGTTCCATATCTGTGGATTCAACCAACCTGAGATAAAGTATTCGTGAGAAAAAAGTGCTTCTGTATTGAACATGTCGTTTTTTTGCTTATTATTCCTTAAAATATACAGAATAACAATTATTTATATAACATTTACATTGCATTAGGTATAAGTAATCTAGAGATTATTTGAATTATATGGGAGGCTATGCATAGGTTACATGCAAATACTACATCATTTTATATGAGGGACTTAAGCATCACCGATTTTGGTATCCCCTTGAGTTCCTGGAAACAATCCCCCAGGAATATCATTTTCCACAAGGAAACATTAGCTTTTAGCATTACAATAAAATAAACCCAAACTCTCACTAGAAAAGACTAGTTACCCAGAATACAAATTTTCATTCTGACCAATCTCTTTCCCTACAAAACATAGGGAAGCTGATAAACTGGCATTCTTGACTTTGAGCCTGACATTAATGACTGTGTGTCCTGATCATGAGACATCTCTACAGGAGCAGCAGCAGCATCCAGGACAATCATGGCACCATACAGATCTCGTCCAAAGGATATATCGCTCATAAATGGTGCGGGCCCGATCCACCTCTTTGTATCTCAGCTCAAAGTTGATGTAGGAGTGCCAGGCTTGCTCCTCAGGCTGCCACTCCATCCAGCGCTCAAACACCTGCCGGGCACCGGCAACGTTTCCCAACATTTCCTCCATGTACGTGTACTTGTACCTGTAACAAAATCACCCGAAAATATCTGCTGTGGTTTAGTTCTTCCATTGTTGAATGGGAAGAAGATTGAAGATTTTACCTTTCTTAAAGGTTAAATCAAACATGTTTTGTCATTTGTATGTAAATCTGAAAAAGGATGAACCATTGGAAAAAAAGATTTTTTTTTCTTAAAAGTTGCCTAGTTCAACAAGAAGCTTATGAATAAAAGATTGCAATCAAAATTTTAGTTTTGATTACATAGCTATAGAACATTACGATTATGACTTAATAGACTATGGGACATAACAGCATTTATGTCTGAAGAAAAAGTAGGATATCAAATTAAACTATCATCATGTAAATAAAATAAATACAGAAGATGTGGAACTTTGCTAGTCTATAAAAGGCTGTTTTGTTAGATCAGAAACTTACCAGAACTGATTAACTCGAGGCAGCGTTGTTATGGCCCGGTCCCAGATATTTCGAGCATGGTTGACTTGGCGATTCTTCATTTCCATTTCTGCGTATTTCAGCCAGAGTGTAATATTTCGGTAGTCTACATCTAAAGCACGCTCGTATATGGATCGAGCCCTTAAGAAGCAAGATTTGCAGGGCATCAAAAATAGAGCATTCAACACATGTAGCAGTTATTTCAAACTATCTGGAATGCACTGATGTTTTATTAGGTGTCTACCATGAGCCAAGTTCTGGGCATAAAAAAATGAAAAGATATAATGCTCTCAAGTACCTTACAAAGTCTTATAAAAAGACATGCATGCAATTATAATGCAATGTGATTTATGTTATAGTCAAGATCTGCACGGGAAACAGAGAGGAAGAAATGAAAATGTTTGGTGGAAAAGGCTAAGTAGTAGGTAATTGTAGAAATGAGAACTTGAGGAACGTTCCGATTTACCAGGAAACTAAGTTTGGTGAGGAGGGGGTGCTCATTCCAGGCAAGGAGAACAGTCAAGCCTCACGATAAGGAGACATGATATATTCAGGGAGTGGCACATACACAGGCACAGTGGGGGAAGGAGGTATGCGGGGAGAATGCAGAAAGCTAGACCACAGGAAGGGCCAGATTGCAATTTTTATTTTTTTTGGCCATTGGTTTTATTTTTTTTGGCCATTGTTTAGCTGAAATTTGTAAAAATCTCAATATATACAAAGCAAATGAAATTGTGCTTCTTTAGCTACAACTGACAAGATCTATCTCTAAAGCCTCTTCTGCCACCCTCCCCAGGACTATTCTACCCCAGTACTCCTGAGGCCCTCAAGGGAACCCTAGGGTTCCATGGAACCAAAGTTGAAAATTTCTACCCGAGGCACAATCTTTTACCTGTGCTTTAACTTTTTCTTCTTTTCTTTTTGGTATCTGTTAATCTATGAATCATTATATACAAAACTACACTCTCAGTAATTTTACCTTTGAATCTCCTTTAGGCTTTCTTCCCATTGTGCGTATTTTATCCAGTTACTAATCACAGTCCTGTTTTTTCTTATATTATCTTCAAAAGTCTGGAAGAAGGCAAAAAGGGTCAAGTCAAAAGACAAATGACTAAAAATGACAGCACCCTTGGTCTATTTTAAGTCTTGTACTAAAATGGTTATTCATTTTGTTCATATTTAAGAGAAATTACATCCTGGAATCCTTGAGGAATAAGAAACCCACTACAGAAGGTTACAGTCAACTAACTGATACTTTAAAATGGTCTATGCTTGTCCCTAATAAAAAATGTTTTTGACTATTACCTTTAAGTCCTCTGGTAATTCTCAGAATTTCATATATAACAGCATTAGTGCTTTAAAACAGTCCCACATTCTAGAGTGAAGAGGTCAAATCAGATCCCAAAGTCTTCTCATGGTCCTTTTGCAGACCTCAATTCCTTTTCCTTTCTTTCTTTCTTTCTTTTTTTTTTTTTGAGACAAAGTCTTGCTCTGTCGCCCAGGCTGGAGTGCAGTGGCACGATCTCGGCTCACTGCAGCCTCTGCCTCCCGAGTTGCTGTGATTCTCATGTCTCAGCCTCCCGAATAGCTGGGATTACAGGCACCTGCCACCACGCCTGGCTAATTTTTGTATTTTAGTAGAGATGGGGTTTCACCATGTTGGCTAGGCTGGTCTCAAACTCCTGACCTCAGGTGATCTGCCCGCCTCGGCCTCCCAAAGTGTTGGGATTACAGGCGCGAGCCACTGTGCCCAGCCAGATCTCAATTCTTAACACAGAAGGTGGTATAGACAGAAGTACACAGTGCAGCCTTACTAAGCATACCCTCCTTCTTGTTGTCAGTTGTTCCATCTGCTAAACTTCCGCTCACTTTGATTCAGCATCAAAAATTATGCAGATTCAATTTCTTTACACTTTAACCAGACAACTCATGGCATATTTTATATAGTTCAGAAAAATGCTGTTATCTGGTAACCAGAAGTACATTATTCATGCGTCTGGAAACACTTAACCTCATCTTGCCCTACAGAATCCAACCAATGAGGAGCTTTTCAAACTGACCGATACAGTCTTAACAATTAGTGGACTGAAAGATACCACACTGACTGACCTTCCTTTTCCTTAGTTTATAATCATTTAATTCTTCTTCATCTGTGATCTTCTGTTGAGGTGGAGGTGGAAGAAGCTCAAGTTCTCTTTCTTTAGCCTCTCTTAAGAGTTGTTCAGCAGTTATCTGTACCTCAGCCGGGGCTTTGTTTTTCACCTTTTAAGAAAGAAGACATTTCTATTTTTAGTAGTTGCTCTTCACACAAGGCTTAAGAAACAAACATACATTTTTTAGGATATGAACTTTGTTAGTATTATCACAAGATGCCCTTTTTGTATGACATGTTCCCATTCCTCCATGAGACTGAAAAGAAAAAAAAAATACCGTTTTCTCTCTTATTCATAGTATCTACTGCAAAGCCATAGGTAAAAGTCTCAAGAGAAAAAGGTGGCAAAAATAATAGCAAGTTTTCCCTTTTAGATGAGTATAATAATAAACTTTGAGGCCGTCTAGGTAAAATTCTGACCAGAGGTTTTGTTTTATCAAAATGTGTAGCACATCTTATTAACAGCATTACAACCTGCATTTACAGAATTCTTCAACTTATTTAATGCCCCGGTGTATAACTGGGTTTGGTTTTACATGGCACTTCAAGTCAAAGGCAATTTCAGTAAGTTCTCATCATTAGACTGTAAGCTTCTTGAGGTCTTAGAAGCTTACAGTCTAACGTAGCTTAGAGCTGTGCTGTCCAACACAGTAGCTATGAGTCACATGTGGTGAGTACAAATTGAGGTGGACTGTAAGTGTAAAATACACATTGGTTTTGAAGATGAAGTATAAAAAAGAATAAACTACCTCATTACATTTTTTATACCGATTACATGTTGAAATGATAATATTTTGGATACATTAGCTCAAATAAAATATATATTATCAAAATTAATTTCACTTTTTTGCTTTGTTTTTACTTTTTAATGTAGATATGAGAAAATTTAAAATTTCATATGTGGTGTGCATTATATTTCCATTGGACCAGTGATGCCCAATAAAAGTTTATGTAGCTGAATTATAAAAAATGTTACTTAATGCCACATGTGGAGTAATGATGATAATGGTGATAGCTCATATTTAATAAGCACTAAGTGCCAGACACAGTGTTACTTGCTCTATATGCATTACTCCTGCGAGTCAGACAAATAGTTATGTAAAGGTCCAGTTCAAGAGAGTCATCCGGGCTCAAGAAAGACTGGAGGGAGGGTATCTGTAAAGGCTTCAAAGTCTGCCACATATTAAGCACTTGGTAAGTATTAGCTATCAAAGGAAATACCAGATAGTAAGTCTACTGTTTAATTAACTTATGATACTATACTACTCCTACCGTCTACTCTCGCCCTCCGCTGTCAGCTGGGCTAACTCCTATTCAGCCTTCAAGTCTCAGCTTAAAGGTCATTTCCTCAGCAAAATTTACTTTCAGGACCCCTTCATACGACCCCCTTATTCACGCCCATGGCATATTCTACTTTGCCTCTCGGTAACATCTAGCAAGGTCGTCTTTATACAGAAACTCGTGTTTTGAGTACTGCTTGTGGCCAGCGTACGAGCGTAGCTTCCCAGCGCCCAGTGCAGTGCCTGGCTCAGTAAATCTTCACCGAACCACCCCACTCCACTCCCCAGCAAAACCACCCCAGAACGAAGGCCACGCCAACGCGGGTCGTGCTCCGCGATGACAAGAGCCCGCGCCCCACCACCAGCTGCCCTTCCTCTCCATCTCTCAGGGTGAGCCTTCTCCCCGGCGGGAACACTCTCTCCCAACCCGGGCACCCTCAGGGCTGAGGGATGCCCCTTTCCTAGGCCACCTCCTACAAGGCCCCTCGCGATCGCCTACCTTGGCCACTTTGGGAATCCGCTGCTTCCCGGCCGCGGTGGAGGCCGCCATGTCTGCAGCAGTCGACCTCTGGACACCTGTCCCCGGCACGGACGCTAGAAATCGGCTCTGAGAGCTCACCGAAACCACAAAGCTTTCAGAAAACAAACAGGATCTCGGAACCGGAAGCGGAACTTGCAGGACTGACCTTTGACCTCTCGCTTGAGCCGTGACGGAGGCGGCACCGTTTCCATGGTGACCAGGCTGCGCGTCCTCCTTGCGGCAGCGCGTGGAGTGCGGCGTCCTGGAGCTGCGGATGAGGTGGGTAACGCCGTGCTGACTAGCAGCGACGCAAGGACTGCGGTGCAGGGCGTCCAGGGCGCATCCCCAGGTCAGCCTCCGGAACTGGGATGACCAGGCGAGGACGAGTGGCTCTGTCGAGCCGTGGCGCCCTGCAAGGGAGTAAGAACGGAGCTCCAATCTGGATGCTCGAGGGCGGGGGAAGAAGGGAGAGCGAGGAAACTACCATTCCCAGCATGCGACGGGGCGAGCTGCCGCCCTTTTAGGCTGCAATGCCTCGAGCATTGCATTCTAGTAGTCTCTGGGTCCACGCCCCCTCGTTTCTGGTTTCGGGACAGTTGTGCCCAAATAATTCTAAGGTGCCCAAATAATTAACTCTAAGGCTTGGAATTAAAAATAACAGAAGGTACTTTGAAGCCAGATATTAGGAAAAAATATAAATAGAGTAACTGGAAAACAACTCAGTCTTGTGATAAGAAACATGTTTAAATTCTGTGTGTGCCTTAATTACTCTAGTTAAATTTTCTTAGCCTCAATGTCCTCAACTATAAAACAAGGCTAATAACATCTGTTTCACTAGGATTAAAGACAAATGCTCAGTAGATGTTAGCTGTTATAATACTTAACCTGCCCTCAAAAACTGAAAAGCAAAGGTTAAGAGAATTTTTTTTAATAGACATTTTTAGAGAAGTTTTAGGTTCACAACAAAATTAAGTGGAAGACACAGAGATTTCCTCCCTCCACAGCTTCCTGCTATCAATTATTGTACCTCTTCCCTCCTCTAACAGCCTCCAACTCTTAAAAATATCCTCCACCAGAGCAGTACATTTGTTACAATCTTGAACCTACATTGACACATCATTATCACCCAAAGTTCATAGTTTATATTAGGGTTCACTCTTGGTGTACATTCTATGAGGTTGGACAAATGTATAATGACATGACTTGGCAGCTCATTTGTTAGGATAATTTCCACAGTTGCAAAGCTCTTTTGGTGTTTGGGGAAAATATATATTTATGTATGTAGTAATATCACGTCTACCAATGCAGATATTACTTTCAACAAAAGATTTATGCAGATTTCTAGAACTGCAGTCAGTTATAACCAACATCAATGTATTTGCCATAACTCTTTATTAACCATATTATTTAGATATTTTATCTCACTTTTCAAAATTTAAATAGAGAAGATTTTATATCACTTTCATAAAGCCACCTAACAAAATAAATAAATATTAAAAAGATGTTTCTTTGAAGTGATTTTCCTTAAATGTGTTACTGTAAACAATTGATTTACCAAATGAATCATTGGTTTAATCATCTGTTGCCTTTGCTCAAAAGTACAAACATGCTAGAATACTTTGCTTCTGATCACCATCCTTCTCTCTTACATTTCTGTTGTCTGGCAATTCAGTTCATCTCTGTGTGTGTTTTTTTTGTTTGTTTTTTTTTTTTTTTTTTTTTAGGAAAAATGTATTATCCTTCTTACTTTTTGCCATCAATGCTTTTGTAGATATACCTTCATGTTTACCTTCTTATTTCCCAGCATTTAATCTTGTATTCCACTTCTTTCTGATTTTATTCTTCTCAGAATATACCATCTCCTAGTTCTTTCTACAAGATTCTTTGAATTCTTTCAGTCTTTGTATGAAATTGTCTTTATTTTATCTTCATTTTAAAGTGATTGTTTAGGTTTATCAGTCTAGGTTAATGGTTATTTTTTCCTTTTATATTTTTAAAACACTATTCTAGTAGTTAGAAAACTATGGGCCGTAGACTAAATTCAGCCCATTGACTATTTTGTATGGACTGTGAATGAGCTAGGGATATATATATATATATATACACACACACATACATACACATATACACACACACATTTTACATTAAACTTTATATGTAGTTTACATTTTAAACATTTTTTAAAAATTACATGGCACATGAAAATTATACATAAGTCAACTTTCAGTGTATGTAAGTAAAATTTTGTGGGAATACATTCATGCTCATTTGTGCCGATATTGTCTCTGGTTGTTACTGTGCTACAATGGCAGAGTTGACTAGTTGTGTAGACAACATGTGGCTCATAAAGCTTAATGTATTTATTCTCTGGCCTTTTACAGAAGTTTGCTAACCCCCGTGCTACTGGCTTCTAATGTTGCTCATGAGAAATATTCTGTCAGTCTAATTATTTTTTATAGACAGTCTGTCTTTTGTCAGGTTCCTTTAAAGTTTTCTGTTTGTCTTTAGGGTTTTGTAGTTTTACTATATATTTGGAGTTTATTTGTATTTTTTGCTCTGAACTGAAGGTTCATGTCTTTCATCCATGCTAAAAGTAATTAGCCATTATTTTCAAATGTTTCATTTATTCCTTTTGGAATTCCCATAAGACAGATGTTTTTCATTCTGTCTTACATGTGTCTTTACTGAATTCTGTATTTTCTGTTTCTATGTGCTTCTTTCTAGATAATTTGTTCATAAGTATCTTCCAGTTTATTTTCTTTATTCTTCTGTTTTTAACCCATCCTCTTAGTTTAAATTTTAATAACCACGTATTTCATTTTTTAAGTTTCTGTTCTTTT
The DNA here is from genome assembly GCF_000001405.40 of Homo sapiens. Lineage (NCBI taxonomy): Eukaryota > Metazoa > Chordata > Mammalia > Primates > Hominidae > Homo > Homo sapiens. The sequence goes on from NC_000020.11 coordinate 20,055,153, forward strand.
TTAAATAATGACCTGTTCTCTTCTCATGACTTTTGTTTCTCTTTCTATATTTCTTTATTATAAACATACTTAGTTTGTAGTCTGTTTCAGAGTCTATCATCTAAAGTTCTTGGTGACTCCCATAATACACAGATTGTGTGGACTAGAATGCCATACCCACTTTAGTCTAGAATTTGGACTTCTCAGCAGTATTTTTGCTTTATTTTCTACCTAGAGCTTTGTGTAGAGAAAGCTTGTCACTTTCTTGGGCTGGTGAGTTTAATTTTTCTAGCCCCCTCACTTACCGAGGGGCCCATCCAAAGTCCCAGGTAGATGCATGGTTTAATTTTTAATTCTCTGTTTGGAGTGAGGTCCATTCTATCCCCAAAACCTGTGTCAGATCGGCTCACATCATTGCCACCTGGTTGGAGAATTTCCCTCGCTCGCTTTCTTTCTTCTTTTCTTGTTTTCTTTTTACCAAAGTCAGTTATCTAATTAATTATACTTCCTTATTTTATTCAGAATTTTTATATACTTGTAGCATTAGTTTATGATATGTTTCACAAACAAGATGTCTCATTCCAATTTTGCTTTCAATTTAAAACCAGAACAAGGAATGACAATATTTATGGTTAGCTTCGATAGGAGTCTAGACATTATTAATTTCTCCTTCATTGTTTTCCCTGTTTTGAGCTCACTGGCTAGTATATAATAAAATGGCTTTCCCTATGAAGGAAAGAAGGGAGGGAAAGAGAGAAGAGAGACTTACAGAAATTGAGACAATGAGAGAGAAATTGAAATCATTTTGTGACCTACTGTTTTTGTCAACAGCATTTCCCAAAGTGTCCTTCTGGAACGTTAGGTTCTCCACTGTTGCCGTCATTAGAGATTCTCTTCCCAAAGAGTGTCGGAAAGGCTGGGTTATACAAAGAAAACAAGTTGCTTTATTATGGAACCTCTCAAAGATGTTAATGGGCCTGGTGGCCCTTCAGGAAGCCTATTGCGAGCATTTCCTACACTTAACCACAGAACTTTTTTGGTCTCAAAATATGTCTCAAGACTGCTGACCTTCAGGGCTCCAGTTTGGAGAACTCTATTAAGAACATAGGCAGCAGCTGTCAGTATTTCCCCAGTAACTCTTCACCACATGCCATCGTGGCCGATTAAATATAAGAGGACCCTGAATCCGTAAATAATTCCTTTCAATGTTTTTCCAATTCTATTGTTAGAATTTTTTAAAGCAGCTTTGTTGGAAACAAAGAATATAGTTGCAGAAACTTCTAAACAGGCCAGTTCTCAGAAACTTCATTCTCCTATGGAGGAACGTCAGCTGGTTTGCAGTGACAGTTGTCACAGACTACACCCAGGGGAAAACGTGTCACACCAGTATTCTCACACCATGTTCACTCTGACCACATGGAAATTGAATTAGTGTTCAGTTTTGTGTGTATTATAACCAAACTGGCTTATCATATCAGATTAATAGTGGACTTTTTTCTCTCTTTTGGGGACAGGATAAAAAATGTCAGTACTCACTTCTCCAAGAGGAAAGGTAGAAGTTGTTCATTGCCGAAGAACAGAATCACAGGATGTTTATTGTATCAAAAGCCTTATTAGAAAATTTACCTGCAAGCTGTTTGGGAAGCTAAATATCATCTATCTTCTGTAAGTAGATAACTAAGTTCAAGAATGTTCATCAATTTTGGTTGGGTGCAGTAGCTCACACCTGTAATCTCAGCACTTTGAGAGGCCAAGGCAGGCAGATCACCTGAGGCCAGGAGTTCAAGACCAGCCTGGCCGACATGGCAAAACCTCATCTCTACTAAAAATACAATAATCAGCTGGGCGTGGTGGCGCATGCCTGTAATCCCAGCTGCTCGGGAGGCTGAGGCATGAGAATCGCTTGAACACAAGAGGCAGAGGCTGCAGTGAGCCAAGACACGCCACTGCACTCCAGCCTGGATGACAGAGCGGACCCCTGTCTCAATTAAAAAAAAAAAAAAAAAAAAAGAAGGTTCCTCAATTTTATGACATGCCAGAAAAGGATCCTACCTTTTTGTCTTTATGGGGCTTATTGTGAGCAAATGGGTAGCTTACTGCACAGTGAAAAAATTGTAGCAAGAAATCTCTGGGAACAACAAATTCCTATTTCCTATAATAATATGCAAATCAAAAAGGTTTCTCATGGGCTTTGGATTCAAACAAACTTGGTTCAAATCTCAGCTGCCTCACTCACTAGTGGAGTCACTTAAAACAAGTTAATAATATTAGCTGCCAGATTTTGAGAAATTAGTTTATGTCAGGCTCTGTGCTATGCCAACATTATGTTATTGTTCTGATACTTCTCTGAGGTGGCCACTATCATGTCCATCTCACAGATGAGAATGGGAGGCTGGCGCAGGGTCAAACAGTACGTTGGAAACCTGGATTTGTTCACAGCCGCTGCTGTTAAAGTGTTCTTCTGAACTTTAAAGTATGCATAGATTTGTTTCTTAAAAGATCTTTTTTCTCTCTGTTTTGTTTGTTTATAGACCTTCTGTGGGTGCCAAAATATAAATATCCTTGAATCTGTTCTTCATTATTTAATTAATTTATTTATTTTTGAGACAGAGGTTTGCTCTATTGCCCAGATCTGGGGTGCAGTGGTGCGATCTCGGCTCACTGCAATCTCCGCCTCCTGGGTTCAAGAGATTCTCCTGCCTCAGCCTCCAGAGTAGCTGGGACTACAGGTGCATGCCACCATGCCTAGCTGTTTTTGTTTGTTTGTTTGTTTTTTAGTAGAGACTAGGTTTCATCATGTTGGCCAGGCTGGTCTCGAACTCCTGGCCTCAAGTGATCTGCCTGCCTTGGCCTCCCAAAGTCTTTGGATTACAGGCATAAGCTACTGTGCTCGACCCTGTTCCGCATTATTTTTATTGAAAATATTAAATATCCTAGTATTTTGGATTTCATAAAGCTTCATATCAAATACAATTGAAATGTTTAAGCTAAGGCCAGCCTAAGACATTAAAGTTTGTAGTTTCTAATTACCCCCCTGATGAATGTAATATAAATTGGCACAATTTTACTAGAGGGCAGTAGGGCAATAGTTATAAAATGCCTAAAAAATAGATATACCAATGAAATGATTTTATTTTTTGGCATTATGGTGGACTCAGTACCTTAAAGATGTCCATTGGATGGAAACAACTAAAATACTGATACACACAAAAGCTAAGGACTGTGTAGGGAACATTATCAAATTGAAATCAGAAACTTCATTAGATAAACAGGAACCAATGCTAGCTTCATCCTTGAGGATTTTTGCCACATTCTATTAATAGCAACTTCATATTTCTGTTTTGACAGCTTTGCAAAGAATGGAAGATAACTACTCCCTCCACCTAAGGAGGAAAGCATGTGACCCCTTTGTATAAAATTGGGATGTTCATTGTAGGGATGAACAAGATATAAACCCACTAAATAAAAATGGACAGTGAGGGCTCACTCAGCCTTAGCATGGAATAGAGGGGGATAAAGTCTCTTCTGAGAATTCATAAGCACACACTGATTTGAGATCCATGTTAATTATTTATGTGGTCCAAAAAATGTTGAAGTAAAGAATTTAATTAAAAATAGTCACAGGCCAGTAGTGTGTCCAGGAAACTGGCTGACATAAATGCAAATCAAGTGTGAAGGGATGCAGCTTCAGCTCAGACTCCAAATAATAACCCCAGATAAAGTTGCAAGGTATATGAGCTCACAGTCAAAAATCGTAAACACACAAGGAAACATGTATCATTAGAATCAACAAGAGAAATTATATAGGATAATCAACTCCCAAAGACTTCAGATATAAAATTAAACAATGAATATAAAATAACTATGTTTACTATGTCTAAAATAAAAAAGGTAGGTTTAAAAAGATGATTAAAGAAGGCCGGACACAGTGGCTCATGCCTGTAATCCCAGCACTTTGGGAGGCCGAGGCAGGAGGATCACGAGGTCAAGAGATTAAGACCATCCTGGCCAACAGGTGAAACCCCATCTCTACTAAAAATACAAAAATTGACTGAATGTGGTAGCGCGCACTCTGTAGTCCCACTACTCGGGAGGCTGAGGCAGGAGAATCGCTTGAACCCAGGAGGCGGAGGTTGCAATGAGCCAAGATTGCACTACTGCACACTCCAGCCTGGTGACAGAGAGACTCTGTCTCAAAAAAAAAAAAAAAAAAAAAAAAAAGGATTAAAGACTAAAAAAATCTGGGATGCTGAGGTGGGCAGATCATCCGAGGTCAGGAGTTTGAGACCAACCTGGCCTATATGGCAAAACCCCATCTCTACCAAAAATACAAAAAATTAGCCAGGAGTGGTGGCACACACATGTAGTCCCAGCTACTCAGGAGGCTGAGGCAGGAGAATCGCTTGAACCTGGGAGGTGGAGGTTGCAGTGAGCCGAGATCGCACCACTGCGCTCCAGCCTGGGTGACACAGTGAGACTCCATCTAAAAAATAAAATAAAATAAAAAATAAAAAATTATAAAAATGAATAATCATGTTTAAACAAAAGTGAAATAGACCATCTAGAACTTAAAATGTAATTGAAATTAAAAGCTCTGTAGATGAATTAAACATCCTTCATAGACACAGTTGAAGACAGAAGTAATGAGCTGGAGGATCAATACCAGTAAATTACCCAGAGCTCAACACAAAGAGAAAAAATATGAATGAAGCATGAGACCTAGTCTAGTTAGACTTTTAGAAGAAGATAATAGGAAGCCAAAGGGTAATATTTGAAGAGAGAATGGCTGAGAGTTTTTCAGAATTGTTGGAAAGCACTACTTCTTACATCTGGAAAACTCAGTGGATCCCAAAGGGGATAAATACACAGAGAAATCCCAACTGTACCCATCATAATGAAACAGCAAAACACTCCAGTTAAAAAGATCTGAAAAATAACAGAGGGGGAAAAAAAAAAAACCAAGTTACCTGCAAAGAACTAAAGATTAGACTAATAGATTTCTTAGGAGCCACAATAGTAGTCAGAAGATAGTAGAATATCTTCAATAGTGGAGAGAAAAATAACATCAATTTAGAATTGTGACATTGTTTCACCCAGTGAAACAATTCCTAGGGGACCTGGGAGAAAATAAATGCATTTTCTGACAAACAAAAACCTAAGTCATTTGCCAATAAACTCTGAATGGAGGAAATTCCTCAGAATATGTTTTTGGAGGAACAGAGAATACCTCAGCTGGAAAGCTCAAAACACAAGAAGGAATGTCAACAAAAATATGGAAAATATATAGGTAAATCTAAGAAAAAGTATGACTTGCATAAAACAATAATATTGATAATGACTGATTTGTGAGGTATAAACCATATGTTAAAACTAAGATTCAGGACAAAAACATTATATAAATTGGGAGGAGCATGATTAGAATGAAAGAATCCTTCAGGTTTTATTTAAGATGGAGGGTGTGGTAAGTGGTGTGCAAACAGGCTCCCCTGGCTCCAATGAGCCACACATCCTGTCACTTACGCCTTTGTGTAGTCTGTTCTCACAAAGAATCATGGCTCGCCTTATGCAGCCAATGGAAAGCAGCAGAAGTGAGACTCTATTTGACTTCAAGTCTAAGTCATAAGAAGTCTTGCAACTTCCACTGGGTCTCCGGAAGTGCTCCTTCTCAGAACCCAGTGCCACACTGATGAAAGCTCCAGTCACATGTTTCCCTGTGGGTGCTTCATTTGACAGCCTCTGCTGAGCTCCCCGCTAGCAACTGCCACCAGCTGCCAACCATGCAAGTAAGCCGTCTTAGACACTGAGTCTTCAGATGGCTTTAGCCACTGCTGCCATTTGATAGCCTGAGATACCGTGCAAAAACTGCTTAGTTCAACCCAGGCAGCCCACAGAACCATGAGAGATAATAATTGCTACTTAAAGCCACTGAGGTTTGGGGTGGTTTATTACACATCAGTTGATAACTGGAACAGATAATAAAGACTGTTAGGAATATATATTAACATGGTTAAGATCATCATTAAAAGAACAGGTGTAGAGATGATAACTTCTGATCTATAGAGGGAAAAATGGAATGAGAAATTTAAAATGAACCCTGAATCTAAAAGAGGACAAGACAGGAGGAGGAAAAAAGAAACAAAAAGCATAGAATGTATTAAAATTACAGAATAAGAAAATAAATTTTACTATATCAGCAATCATAATAAATGCATCTGGACAAAAATCTTCCATTAAAAGATTAAGAATGGCAGATTGGCTCAAAACAAAACAGTCATATTCTATTTGTGAGACATACCTCATATATAAAGTCACAGAAATATTTAAAGTCAAAGTATCAGGAAAAAAGATATGCCACCCAAAATCTCACCCAAAATAAGGGCTAGTATTGCTATATCAACAGCAGACAGTGTATAGTTCAGGACAAAAAGCTCCCTACAGATAAAGAGGGTCACTATATAATGATAAAACTGTTGTTGGGAGAGCTATGACAGCTTTAAACTTATATGCTTCTAACAACACAGTTCTAAAATAGATAAAAGTGAAAATCACAGGTAGAGCACTGGAGACTCTCCCGCCTCCCTGTGTTCCCCATGCCTTTTTGTGCCATTCTCCCTGCTGTAGTCCCCATGTTTTCTATCTTTGTTGAGCCTGTGATTCCCCTGACAGAATGTAATGGAAGTGGGGCTGTCCTGGTCCCAGGCCCAAGCGTTAAGATGGCCTGGCAGCAGGGCTGGCCCAGGAGAGGCACGCAGGGTATCCTGGGTACTCACTCCCAGCTAGGGCCCCTGCATGAACCTGAGAGTGAACACCTCCTTCCATTTTTGAACCCTGGGTCCCTCTGGCCTCACCCTAGTTCGAGCCTTTGCTGGGAGCTTTCAGTTTTGTGATCTTGGGAGCCTTGCACTACCATGTAAAAAGTCTGGCTACTCTACTGGACATACCACCCAGAGAGGCCATATCGTAAGAGAGAAGTGTGTGCCTACATGGAGGAGAATTGAGGAGCCCAGCCTCCAGCAAGAAGGAAGGCCCCATGTCACTCTTCCAGGCACACCCCAGCCCCTTTGGGCCACCCTCACTGAGGCACAAGACACATGAGGGAAAAAAACCGTCTTGGAGGTTCTTGCCCCAACAGATACCCCTACTGTACCCTGTCTGAATCTCTCACCCATAGAATCATGAGCAAATAAAACAGAGTAGCCACTAAATTTGGGATAATCTGTTATGCAGAAATAGTTGAACAAAATAGCAGGTCTTAGAGGGAACTTATAACCTTAAATGCTTATAACAGAAGAGAAGAAAGGCCTGAAATAAAGTTCAGAGTTTACCTCTAAGAGCAAGAACAGTCGAATCAACTCAAGGAAAACAGAAAATAAAGGACAAGAGCGCATATTAATGAAACAGGAAACAAGCATCTGGTAGAGGATAAACAAAGCCAAAAGTTTGTTCTTTAAAAAGCCTAAAGAAAAAAAAAATCTGACAAGATTAATCAGGAAAAAAAGAAAAACTTTCAAAGTAATGTGAAAAGGACATAATCACAAATGTTGCTGAGGTTAAGCAGGTAATAAAAGGGCATTATAGATCCACAATCCTTTAACTAAATCCCTCGTGACTAGTTGTGTTTCAGAAAGCAGAATTTAAAAAATTAGTTTCTTCCATTGATGAAATATTATTGAATTCCACCCACAAGGGCTGGAGAGATTTTCCATAATTACACACGTTAGGATATCTGTGGTAAAAATGTAAGAATATTTTATATATGGGATCAAGACTGTAGAGTAACCTCCTGTCACTTCAAGTCCAATTTTGCTGCTTCCAGTTTTTAGGGCTTTATGGATTTAAAGGGATTGGGGACCTGTATAAAAAAACTGCATGCCAATAAATTTGAAAATATGGGGTCCCAGAAAAGTTTCTTAAAATCAACTTAAGAAATGATAGAAACCCATTAAATTGAATCGTTAGTTTTAAATCCTCCCGCCAATAAAATGGTCGGCACAAGTGCCTTTATAAGCAGTCCTACCAAAGATTCAGGGATTGGGTATGTCCCAAATAAATACAAGTTCTTGGAAGCAGAAAGATGGAGAATACTTTTTAGCTCACTTTATGAGGCTAGCATAATGTTGATATCAAAATAAGACAAAGACAGTACAAGAAAGGAAAGTTAACGGCCAATCTCACATAGAAAGAGAAATGAAATTAATGTTCATGCCTTGCTCATGAACATGGATGTAAAAATTCAAAAAAAAATTGGAAAGGAATCTAATGATGAACTAAAAAGATATGATTATGATTAACTGATCATGGTATTCATGATTGGCTTAATACTAGAAAATTGATTAGTCTAATTCATCAAATTAACAAAGGAGAAAATCTAATAATCTCAATAAACAGAGACAAAATCATTCGATAAAATGCAATATTCTTAGTAATAATTCTTAACCTAATAAGAATATAAGATGACTCTCATATGTATACAAACCTTTAACAAACACCATATGTAATGATAAAATATTAAAAGAATCCCTGTATAGTAAATGAGGATGCCTGTTGTCATGAGATCCTAGCTATTGCAGTAAGGGAAAGAAAAAGCAATAAAATGTACTAGGATTTGAAAGGAAGAAACGAAATTGTCATTTTTTGCAGGTAATATATTCTCTACTTAGCAAATGGAAAGGAATGTGAATTAGAATGAATATAGAAGTTCAAAATTGCTGGCTATGAAGTCATTGAATAAAAACCCATTGCATTTTTATATACTAACAATGAACAGAAAACATTTTTCTATTTACACCCATGCCAAAGAATATAAAGTACCTAGTATAAAACTGACAAAATAACTCTAAGCTCATTATGGGGTAAATTGTCAACTATTGAAAGACATTAAGGAAAGCCTAAATAGAGTAACCGCCCCCCACCCCGCCTTATCTGAGGGGAATATATTCCAAGACCCCCAGTGGATGTCTGAAACTGAGGATGGTACCACATCCGATTGTTATCAGTCAGAACACATTTTTGTTCATGCCTTCCACCCACAAATGTAACGGCTTTTCCATCGTAACTAAGCATTTGCTATGCACTGTGACCATAACTTTTGTAGTTTGAAGTGCGACAGGAGAACTAACAGGAATTTCTTTTTCCATTTTCACAATTTCACGGATTAAAGATTTCTTCTTACCCTAGATCTTAGCAAGCTCAGCATACAATTTATTTTTTCCTCATTAAGTTGAGAATTTTCACCTTTTTGTGTAAAGGAAGCCTTTTACGGCTTCTTTTCAGCATGTCTGAATTACCAGCGTCACTACTCTTGCACTTTGAACCAAAGCACTGTGATGCAGTGACAGTCGATCTGGTAACAGAAGGCAGTTACCAGATCTAATACTAAGTGACTCATGGGCAGCAGCATCTACAGTGTGGATCTGCTGGACAGTTCCTGGGCAGGACGGGCTGGGATGGCACGTAATTTCATCTTGCTACTCAGAATGGCATGCAATTATAAATTTATAGATTGTTTATTTCTGGAATTTTCCATTTAGTATTTTCTAACTGCTGTTGACTGCAATTAACTATGAAACTGTGGGCCATGAAACCACGGAGAAGTGGGGGGACTACGGTATTTCCCAAGAGGTAGACCACATTTTGGACAGGAAGATTCAAATCATAAAGTTAGTTTCTCTCCACCCCCGTCAAAATCCTAACAAGATTATTTGTCAAGCTTAATGAGTCTAAATTTGTGTGGGAAAGCAAAGGTTCAGGGTAATCTGAAGGAAGAAAAATAAGGTGGAGAGGCTTGCCAACTAAAGGTTCATTGTAGGTATAATAATCAGGGCAGTGTGGTAATTTGCAGGGAATTTTGACAAAAGACAGATGGACCAGGATAGAGATCCCAGAAACAGACGCATACTATATGAAAATTTGATGACGGCTTTGTGAGGAAAGGATGTGCCACTCAATAAATGGTGCTGGGAGTGTTCGTTATTCACATGGGAAAGAAAATAATAACCAACCTCATGTAGTAGAAAACTTGTAAAAATTAATTCTGGGTGAATTTATGGTATAAATGTGAAAAACATCTGACATCGATGACAGAACCTTCTGGATTCCAAATTCATTTATCCAGCTTCCTGGTGAATGCCAACCCTTGGATACCTAGTAGGCACTTGGAACCTAGCATGATCTTCACCTGCATTCAATCCACTCTTCCCACACTTTTCCTATCTCAGTAATTCCAGCCTTCCCCTTGCTCAGACCCCAAACATTTAAAAAAAAAAAAGTTAAAATGGAATCTTTATAACTGAAAAGGTTGCAACCTATCTTAGAAGCCAGCGTATTTTCAGAAGTAAAAGCAAATTTAAATTTTCATTGATGTCCTGAAGCTTCCAAAACAGCTGCTACTAAGCCCACACAGTGTTTCATTTTTTATATTAGGCAACTCCTGTCCCCTGGCCAAGTCAACTGCAAGGCTTAATGACTTATTTTATAGACATTTTGAAAAAAAAAAAAAAGGTGGTTCTTTTGTGGTCTGTGTGTTTGGTTTTATTTTATTGACTGCCTGTTCAGTTACAGAAATAGAGGAATGAATAAAACTGATCTCACCTAAAAATCCAGCTAAATTTTAGCAGATTGGGCATGGCCGATGAGTGGGGAAAGGGCTGAAAGAATCACCTGCGTCCAGTGCAAATAGCACAGTGGCGATCGGGGGGACAGAACTGTGCCCAGGCTGCAGTTTGTGAGCAATGGATGTGAGGAAACTCTGAGGTTTCTGGGTGATGGTGTTGTTAAATCAAGCAGAAAAAGCGAGTGCTGTTTCTCTATGATGGAAATCTTAGAAAATCTTTTGTACAAAGAACTTAAACAAATTTACAAGAAAAAAAACAACCCCATCAAAAAGTGGGCAAACAGACACTTCTCAAAAGAAGACATTTATGCAGCCAACAGACATATGAAAAAATGCTCATCATCACTGGTCATTAGAGAAATGCAAATCAAAACCACAATGAGATACCATCTCATGTCAGTCAGAATGGCGATCATTAAAAAGTCAGGAAACAACAGATGCTGGAGAGGATGTGGAGAAATAGGAATGCTTTTACACTGTTGGTGGGACTGTAAATTAGTTCAACCATTGTGGAAGACAGTGTGGTGATTCCTCAAGGATCTAGAACTAGAAATACCACTTGACCCAGCAATCCCATTACTGGGTATATACC